>NC_000017.11:66935980-76935980 GCF_000001405.40 Homo sapiens | reverse complement strand
TCTCTATCTACATATATATATATATAATGTATATAATATATAGTATATATAATTATATAATATATAATATATATAATGTATATATAATTATATAATATATAATATATATAATGTATATAATATATATAGTATATATAATGTATATAATATATAGTATATATAATTATATAATATATATAATATATATATGTTTAAAAAGAGAGAGACAAGCCACAGACTAGAAGAAAATATTTATAAAGCATATATTTGATACGAGACTTGGATCCAGGATATATAAAGAACTCTAACAACTCCATAGTAAGAAAATAAACAACCTAATATTTTCAATGGGCAAAAGTTTTTAAAAAGACACATCACCAAAAAAAAAAAAAAAAAGATATATGGAAGACAAATAAACACACAAAAATATCTTCATCATTAGTCATTAGGAAAATGCTAGTTTAAACCACAAGAAGACACCATTCCATGCCTGTTAGAACGGCTGAAATTTACAAGACTGACCATCCCAAGCATTGATGAATTTGTTCAAGAATTGAAAGCCTCGTAATAACTTTTAAAAAAAGTTAAACACACTTCTACAGTATTAACCAGCCATTATATTCTTGGGCATTTACCCAGGAGAAATGAAAGCATATGTTTCTACAAAAAATTGTACACGAACCAAAAAGGCTAGTCAAGACTCCCTGAGTTGGCTTCACAATTTATCCATGGGTTGCCACCTACGGATTGAAAAGTTCCACCCAAGCTCACCCAGATGACTGTCTGAGGGCCTGGAATGTTTCCTCCAGGGATGAGGGTGGGTTTGCCCCGGGCCTGAACCAGCTGCCTTTGCCTCCTTCCTGCTTCATTCCCTTGATCCTTCACCCCTCGCTTCCTGGGACTACACTCTACTAAAATAGCACCTAAGCCTTAGCCTCAGGCTCCACTTTCTGGGGAATGCAGAATAAGACAGACCCGCTTAGCACAAAGTTCACCCAACGCCTTGCCCTGGGTCCCCAGCTCCTGCTCCCTGGAAGGATGATAAATGACCTGACCTTCCATCTCCCCTCCTTCCTCCTCTGCTTCTCGGCCACCTGATCCCCTGTACTCTGGAAGGCATCTCTCCCAAGATGCTGCTTTCATTTTTCTCTCCATCCAGCCACCTCTGACTTCCTTTGGTTACAAACACCAGGGCAAAGATGTCTTTTTTTGGAAGCAGTTTCTTTGAGGTCTCTAGCTGAACAGGATTGCCTCGGGCTATCACAGAAGTTCCAGCGCTAGAGATAAAACGTTTCTCTTTCCAGACTTCATAACCTCTCATTCTCTTGGGCCAGTTTCTTAACAGCATTTTCTGATAAAAGTAGACCCTGTGTGTTCCACGACCCTCCGACTCTGCCCTCTTCTCCAGCACCCAGTGCCCACAGCTTCCCGGGCTTCCCTGCAGCTGTGGCAATCGGCATGGGGAGCCTCATCTCCCAGCTCCCCGCTCCACACCCCACAGTGACCTCTGACATCTCAGCAGAGGTCTTGGACCTTGATTCCTGCTTTCAAGCCTTCTCTCTGCCATTCTCCAAGGCTTCATAATGCTGAACAGGCTGTGGGGTCAGGGCCAAGCACCCCTGGCTCTGGACTTAGATTGATGTAGGCTGGAACATCAGCTCGGCGCTTACTAGCTATGGGTCACCTTCTAACCCACTGTGCCCTGGTGTCCTCATTTATAGAGTGGGCAGGATCACATGCAGCACCTACCTCATTGTGTGAAGGTTAAATAAGAGATGCACGTGAGCCCTTAGCACAATGCCTGGCACATAGCAAGCTCTCAGTGAACAGTAGCGTCTTGGGTGGACACAACCCAGATGGTGAGATCCCCCTGAGTCCTCCTTCTCTCCTCCTTCCTCAGTCATAGAACCCAGAACAGGGCTGGGCACATTGAGCTGAGCTGCCTGGAAATAATGCCACCCAGCATCCCCTGGAAGTGGGCATGGCCCTGTGGCCAAGATGGAGCTGATGAGCAGTGTGGGAAACGTGGTGTCCCGCTCTGCTCCTTCCTTCTCCTTGTTGGCTGGGATGCAGATATAATGACTCTAATACCTGTAGCCATCTTGAACCATGAGGCAAGGCCAAGGTGGAAACTAAACACGATGGGTCAAGGTAAGAAGACCCCGGGGAACGCCACACCAGCCCTCCCGACCTCTGAAATTTGCAAGCAGGAAAGAAAATATACTTCCATCTTGTTTAAATCACGATTATTTTGGGGTTTCCCTGCGACAGCCAGATCTAATCCTAACCAGTACAGCTGGGAGAGTGATTAAATCCAATAATCATGTAACAGGCCTGATGTAGGATACAGGGGCTTCCCCTGATCAGTAGCTTCGTTATTAACCTTGACCTCATGCCACCTGCTTGATGTAATAACCCATCCAACGCTGGTCCCTCTCATGCCCAAGGGCTGCCCTGTGGCCATGCCAAGCAGGACCTTGACCTCCCAGGACTTGCCTCCCTGTGACAGAGGAACCAGGAAAGACGGCTCCTAGGACCCTGCTGTCCCCATCACCCTCTTCCCCACCTTGGTCCATCCACAGGAGCCACAAGCCCCAGAGAGCCTGAGTCAGGAGAACATCACAAGGAGAGACCCCTGGAGTGGCTGCTGGAGAGGGGAAGGGAGCAGAGGGTAGAGGGGGCAGGCGGCAAGCGGTTTCCATACCTGGAGCTGCCTCGTGGCCAGGGGGAGCACAAGGAACAGAGAGAGAGACAGCAGGTTAGTGATGATTCGCAGACAACACCCCATGCAGGCAGCTCCTCTCTGGGGCCCCCAACCCTGAAGATGGGGTTCTAATCTCTAAGCCTCTCCTGCTTCTCTCTGCCTCTAATCTCACAGAACTCCCAAGTCTAGCCTGACCACCCCCCCATCCACCGAAGACGCCCTTGCTGGGCTTACATTGTCTATTGATCTGTTTCTTGGAAGGGTGGAAGATTTAGTCACAGTCCTCAATTAAGGAATCATTTATTACGAGAGTCCGGGAGACAAGCTGTCAGCTCCTAGGCTGGGTGTCTTTAAATAGCAGTTAGGAACTTTTTGTCCTGAACTGGTTCATGGGAGACATTTCCAGCATGCAGGGCTGGGGCGGGAGGAGGGCACCGCATCCTGGAAGGAGGAGATGCGGGACCCAGGCGGGGGCCTGTGCCGAGCAGGCTGGTGCTTCCCGCGCGCAGGGGCCGCGCTCACCTTCCAGATGCTCGCCTCCTTGCCGTACACCACGGCCATGTTGCTGGCCTTGCCGCCTTTGATGAGCCGCTTCTCCGTCTCGTTGAGCTCCTCGGACACGAAGCCCATGAAGGAGTTGTCGGGGGTATGAGCTGCAGCCCGAGCACGCAGAAGGAATGGGGTCACCAAACAACCAAGGGCAGCCCCAGGCCTCCCTGGACTGCCCCGCCCAAGAGGTCCTCTTTTGGCAGGGGTGGGAAAGGGGGCGGGGCACAGGGTGCGGTGGGGAGGGTGTAATCAGTGCCCCGGCCTGTGACCCCCTTCCCGGAGACTGCTACAAAGATCAGAGCTGAAGGAAACCTAGGCCTGGCATGGTGACTCACGCCTATAATCCCAACACTCTGGGAGGCAGAGGCAGGAGGATCCCTTGAGCCCAGGAGTTTGAGACCACCCTGGGCAACATAGTGAGACCCTGTCTCTATTTAAAAATTTAAAAATCAGCCAGGCATGGTGGCACGCGCCTATAGTCCCAGACACTCGAGAGGCTGAGGTGGGAGAATCGCTTGAGCCCACTAGTTCAAGGCTGCAGTGAGCTGAGCTATGATCGCACTGCTGCACTCCAGCCCAGGCAACAGAGCAAGACCCTGTGTAAGAAGAAGAAAGAAGGAGAAGACAAAGAAGACGAAGACAAAGACGAAGAAGGGGGGGGGGAGGAGGAGGAGGAGGAGGAAAAAAGGAGGAGGAGAAAGAGGAGGAGGAGGAACAGGAGGAGGAGGAAGAAGAAAGAAGGAAGAAGCACCACCAGCAGTAGCAGCAGCAGCCTAAGAGGTCATCAAGTCCCCCTGTTTGAGGCTGAGGCCCCCGGGTGACCAGTAGGGACTCTGCCCTCCTCACAGTCCCTGGAGCCCCAAGCTTCTGACCCATCTTTTCGCCCTCCACCTGCGCCCATAGGCAGCATCTGTCATCCCAGGTAGAACTTTCTCCACCTTCTCCGTGACTGCACCCCGGCCTAGGCCATATCAGCTCTCAATGGGACCACCCTGACAGCCGCCTCCTCATTCCTGTGGCTCTCTTGGTAGAGTCTTTTCTCTGAAATGACAGTTTTGAATCTAGGCCATATCAGGTTCCTCCTCCGCACAAAACCCCATATGCCAAAGTCCGCCCGACAATCACCAGGCTCTGCCTCCATTTCTCTCCCACCGCACCTTTGACCATCCAGCCCACCCAGAGCCCTGCTGGACACAACCCCTCTCCATACAGAACTGTGCTCATGGGCCTGTGAGAGGTCTCTCCTGACCCCAGTCACTCATTGTCCCCTAACAGCTTTATTTTTCATCACAGCACTTACCGACCAGACATTAGACTATACATTTATTTGTTCATGTATCATTGTCAGGATAGGCCAGGTGTGGTGGCTCATGCCTGTCATCCCAGCACTTTGGTAGGCCAAGGCAGGTGGATCACCTGAAGTCAGGAGTTCAAGACCAGCCTGGCCAACGTGGCAAAACCCCATCTCTACTAAAAATACAAACATTAACCGGGTGTGGTGGCGCACACCTGTTATCCCAGCTACTCAGGAGACTGAGGCATGAGAATCACTTGAACTTGGGAGGCGGAGGTTTCAGTGAGCTGAGATCACGCCACTACACTCCAGCCTGGGCAACAGAGCAAGACTCCATCTCCAAAAACAATAATAATAATTGTTAAAATAAAAGCACCTTGTGGACAATGGTTCTGTTTTGTTCACTTCTGTGCCACCAGCACCTGAAACAGAGCCTGGGCTGGCTTTATGAATGCTGGACAAAGATGGATGAGACAGGGGAAAAGCCTCCCATTCCCACCTCCAAGCGTTGCCCCTGCTGCTGTCCCCTCGGCCTGCACTGCCCTCCTCCCTTGTCTCGGATGAGGAAATTCTACTCAGCCTTCGGGGCCCCTCTCACACGACACCTCCTCCTGGAAGCCTTCTCTTGGGTGGACTGTGCCTCCCTTTGTGGCCCCATCTGCGGCAGTTAGGTCTCTGTTACAGCAGGGATTGCCCCGGGATTTCCTCGCCATTTGACTTATTTGTCCATAAGGACACACACCCTCCTACACACCAAGGCCAGGGAACATGTTTGATCTCACGCTCCAATTCCATGGCCGTGTGTGGAGTGCAGTGACTGCTAAAGCTCTGTCCGCCACGGAGGGGTTAAGAGGAACATGAGACCTACGAATCTGCAGGCACACGAGCCCTGCCTTCTGCGCACTGGGATCCCGAATAAACCGTTTATTGAGTCCAAGGATATTTAATCTACCTTCCCGCACGGAAGGGGCTATGGTGAGTGAGGAGGCTGGGAGCAGCTGCCCAGCCTTGATTTCCCACAACAGCCTTGATTCTAAATACCCTATTTCTTCATTTCGAATGCACATCCCCCACATTTTAACGTTTCTCCAATTGGGATGCATGCTTTCATCAAATGTGTAAATCTACTGTAGTATTCCCACCCACCCCTCAAGGCCCACAAGACGTAATAATCAACATCTGGTACAGCTTAGAAGAGATGATGCTTTCCTGTGTAAGTGCCCCCAAAGCTCACAGATTCTTGGGCCTGAAAATTCAACTACAGAACCAAACGATCTCTCCTCTAGAGCTTTGGGAGGGTCAGGAGGAGCCCTGGAAGCCTGGAGTTCTTTCTGTGGGTGGTCAGGGTCAGGACAGCTCTCCCATCTCAGGAGGCTCTGTCCATGCCAGGCAAAGCAGCCCCTGCCCGACCCTGTTTACCTGTCCGGCACCATCTTCCCCTCCCCTCTGGCTTCTCCAAGACTGCCACCCAGCCCTCTCCCCTGTTCCCACCACTCTCTGAAGCTGAAGAATCTTTCACTAAACTGCCTTCATTCCACCAACTCCACCAGAAGAGGCAGATTTAGAACACAATTAGCTAAGCCAGTCAGAGAGGGACAGGGAAGTATTGCAACCAATTAAAATAACAGGGACCATTAAGCCAAGAGCTCCTGGGGGCAGAGCGAGGGTAAGGCCAGGAGAGGCAGCAGCCCCCCAGTTAGCTCCCTGGAGAAATCAGCCAGCTAGATGGGAACAGGCCTGCTCATGACTTCCTTCCTGGACTCTGTGCCATTAAAACTGGCCAGCCTCCCTCTTCCCTTTTGTCCCCACTTTCTTCGATTTATCCAATCAATTAATGTTCTCTGAGGACCTAGGTTGGCTCCAGAGAGATTGAGATAAACCAATTAGTGGCCCCTTTTTGAGTGGCTCATGATCTATCAGGGAAAAGAAATGTATAAGCAAATAACTAGCATACTTCAACATATGCTTTAACGGAGTTAAGTTTAAGAATTATAAAAATAGAGGTAAAGAGGCAATACATTCTGCCAGGAGTAGGAGATGAGGGGATCAGTGAAAGTGATGGTAAAAAGAGGAGACATTTCACTTGAGGTTTTGAAGGATGAGTAGGAGTTTGCCAGGTCTGGAAATCCACATCCAGCGGGCTCCACCCTGGGACAAGTCCTCATTTTCTCAGTGCAGGATATTGCAGAAGCCTCTTAACCCATCTCTGCTTCCCCCTCCTCCCTGCTTCATCATCTTTGGCCACCTGCAGTCCGACAGGATAATACACCTCAATAAAAATGTTGCCCTGGCTGGGCACAGTGGCTCACGCCTGGAATCCCAGCACTTTGGGAGACCGAGGCAGGTGGATCACCTGAGCTCAGGAGTTCAAGACCAGCCTGGGCAACAAGGTAAAACCCTCTCTCTACTAAAAATACAAAAATTAGCCAGGCTAAGTGACGTGTGCCTGTGGTCCCAGCTACTCCAAAAGCTAATGCACAAGAATCGCTTGAACCCGGGAGGTGGAGGTTGCAGGGAGCCGAGGTCGCGCCACTGCACTCCAGCCTGAGTGACAGAGTCTCAAAAAAAAAAAAATTATTCATGACATTCTCTAGCTGAAGAACCTTCAGTGGTCCTCCGACGTGAATTCAGGAACCTTGGCTAAAACACCCCACTCCTCGGTGCCCTGATCCTCCATGCTCCTCTTACCAGCCTCCAATCTGACTGCTTCCCTTCCTTTTTTTCTTTTTTCTCTATTTTGTTTTTCCCCCAAGACAGAATCTTGCTCTGTTGCCCAGGCTGGAGTGCAGTGCCACGATCTCAGCTCACTGCAACATCCACCTCCCGGGTTCAAGTGATTCTCCTGCCTCAGCCTCCTGAGTAGCTGGGATTACAGGCACCCACGACCACACCCGGCTAATTTTTGTATTTTTAGTAGAGACGGGGTTTCACCATGTTGGCCAGGCTGGTCTCGAGCTTCTGACCTCATGATCCGCCTGCCTCAGCCTCCCAAAGTGCTGGGATTACAGGTGTGAGCCACCGCGCCTGGCTTGACTGCTTCCCTTCTAAGTGATCTAAATACCCAAGCTTCTCAACTTCGTAGCTTTTCCTCTTCCACAGCCCGGAGCACCATCATTTCCTCCCTGCCTCTATTTCCACTCCCCATTTCCTTTCCCTCCAGAAATCTGCTCCCTGTGCTTGCTCTACCCCAAGCACTCTTCTGCTGGGAGCACAGTAAGAAGTCTCATGCAACCTTGAAACGGGCCCTGCAGAAGGAGTCTGGTCCCGACTGAGCTGTGTGACCTCAGGCTGCATGCTCTACCTCTCTGGGCCTCAGTTTTCTCATCTGGACTGCATGAGCCCCAGGAACCTTCCCACTTTCCCAACCTTCTGGGATTCAATGATGCCATTACTTATTTATTCAAAAATCACATCTGCCCCTAATATAGCCTAGAGTCTAGAGAATCAGAAAAAAAAGAATAGTCCAAGCACCCACAAGAGATGCCATGAATTTGACAGGCCAAATACAAATCACATACTTTACTCACAAGCAAGTCCGTCAGGACTCTGCTCAGAGTCTACGTTGCTCTTACTTTAACAGATGCAATCCTAACAAGGCTACTTATCTAGCTTTCTGGCCTGGAGCCTTGAAAGAGCCACACGCAAGATGCTGCTGGAGGCAGATGTACTGACAACAATTAAAAGTGACAGCTGAGAGCCTCCCAACAAGGTGGAAGAGCGCAGCGTGAACCAGACACGAGGAGGGGACGCAGCTCCGCACACCTCTGCCGTCCAGAAGGGCAGGCCCATGCGCCCGGGAGGCAGAGAACTGACCCTGAGCTGTCAAGAAAAGGTGAAATTGTTTTCAGTGAGCTGCGTTTAACAGGATAGGTCAGTGTGTGTATACATTTTAGAGTATCATTAAAAACAGCTGAAACCCGGGCACGGTGGCTTGCACCTGTAATCCCAGCACTTTGGGAGGCCTACGTGGGTGGATCGCTTGAGCCCAGGAATTCAAGACCAGCCTGGGCAACCTGGTGAAACCCTTTCTCTACAAAAAATATAAAAATTAGCCGGGCATGGGGGCAGATGCCTGTAAAGCCAGCTACTCGGGAGGCTGAGGCAGGAGGATCACTTGAGCCCAGGAGGTCGAGGCTGCAGTGAGCCGAGGAGATCACACCACTGCACTGCAACCTGACCAATAGAGCGAGATCCTGTCTCAAAAAACAAACAAACAAATAGCTGAAGCCCAGCTCCACTCACGTTCCTTGCCTGGAGCCCTGGAAGCCAAGCCCAATCCTGCATTTCCAGAACCTTCCAGTTCTTCCCACATCCCTCTTTACTGCATCTGTTCCCACTGCCTGCCTGCTCCTTTCTACCCAGGGAAGTTCTCCAGCTTACTCTGGAAAGCCTCTCTTTCTGGAAGGCCGCGGAGTCCCCCGTGTTCTGGAACTGTGTGCCCAACCTCCCTCCTGGAGGGTGAAGGCTACATCTGCTGGAGTCGGGGAGGTCACCCCGCCCTGGACACCCCCTCCATGCTTCCTGCTCCCCAAATAGCACCAGAGGCTTCCTTCCTGGTTCACACACTTATGGAGCAGGAGAAGGCGATGCTTGCTGGGTCCCACCAACCCCACTGGCTGGAGAAGGAAAGAGAGGGAGGAGCGAGACCCTGGCCGCCTCTCGTGTCACCTCTGAGAACCATGAGGAGGACCTCCGACCCCACCCCTGCCCTGTGGGGCACTCACGAAACATGGTCATGAACTGCTTGGGGTTGAGGTTCCAGTAGCCCCAGTTGGTCCGGTAGCCGTGCAGCGTGGCGTACTCCTCGTGGTTGTACGCAGGTTCCGTCCCGAAGGTGTCGATGACCCTGATTCGGCACCTGCCCCCCCAGGGGACCAGGAACCAGGGTCAGCAACCTCCCCGTGTGTCCCTGGGCTGAAGTTGCCCCAGCCACGAGCACTGTCACCAGCCAGTGGTGGAGTCAGAGTAGCACAGTGTGTGTTAGCACTTGGACTAGGACACTGCCCTGCTGTGTGACCACAGGTGAGTGTCTTCACCTCTCTGTGCTGCCTCATCTGTCCAGTGGGAAAAACAACAGCCCAATTGTCTCAGGGTTGTAGGGAAGCTCCTGACCCATGGTCCTTGGTTAGCACTCAGGAATTGTAGCCATTACTGCCACCCAGAAGGGAGGCACTGCTTGGAGAGGGGGTCCCTCTCTGGTGTCCCCTGGGTCCTCTATACAATTTGCATCTGCCTGGGTAGGGAGTCATAGCCCCTCTTCTCAGGAGCCTGACACCCCTGGATGTGCCCAGTCTATAGGGCCAGGATGCAAAAGGCAGGGTCCCAGGCACTGCCCATGGGCTGTCTTTGGGAGGGCAGCGCTTCTGAGCCTCCTCTGCAAGGCTGGTCCCAGTAGGGCTGGACCCTGCAGCTGGGCAGAGGCTCTGCTCCACAGGGCCCTTCTCCCTCTGCTGTCTCCAGGGGTGGAGGCCCAAGTTCAAAACCCAGAGGGGTCTTGTCCCTATAGATAAGCCAACCACAGGGCCAGACGAACTCCGAGGCCATTCTCAATGGGCCACAGCCCCAGAGCCACCCCCTCTGCCCTCCCTACTCCCTGGAAGGGGCACCTGAAAAAAAGTGCCAAGACTCAGAGGCCCTGCAAGGAGCTCCTCACCCCAGCGTCCTTCCTGGTGACCCAGAATTGTCTGCAGAGTGCTGAGGTTGGCACTTTTCCCCCAGGGAAGAGGCCCGGGGTGGGAGGAGAGAGCCGAGTGCATAGAGAACTCGCATTAATAATAAAAGCAATAACACTGCCTGTCACTTTTTTCCCTAATAAAATCATGTGGGATCGTCAATGGGACTGGAGCACACGTAATAAATAGCAGGGCTCTCTGTGCTAAATTAAGCCCCACATCCCACTGGCTGCAGTGAGACAGGGAGCGATGGCCTTGGCCTTCCTCCAGACGGAGAGAGGGTGGGGTGGAGGAAGAGAGGGGTGTGCTGAGCTGCTCTCCCCACCCCAAGGTCCCCACAGCAGGGTCACAGCCCAGGTTAATGTCCTGTTCCGTTATACTCTTCTCTTCAATTCCTCAGCTCCGCTCCATGTAGATGACCCCGGCCTCCTGCCCCCAGCCTCAAAGCAGCAGAGGGGTGATGGAGCAACTCCCTGGGTGGTTTATTAAATATCATTGAGTTAGCCGGGAGGCAGACACGGAAGTGGCAGGGGAGGGGAGGGGAGGGCGGAGGGCAGGATGCAGGACAGTATGTTCTCCCACCTGGGCCCAGCTGGCTGAGTGGGGACGTGGGGGCAGGGCGTGAAGGAGGAGCTTTCTCCCCTGGCATGTGGGCCACGTGCCCACCCTCTGGCCGCCCTCTCACCGGTACTTCTTGAAGGAGAGTCCCATGTGCCGCTTCATCTGCTGCAGGCCGTGGTAGTCGGTGTAGATGAGGTCGAAGGGCAGGGGCATGGTGAGCGGGCAGCTTCCCCGGCCTGGCGGTACCCCTAAGTTACTGAGAGAAGAGCCCTTCAGATTCTGGGCCCCAAGAAACCCACCTGCCCAACCGGCCACCCCAGTTCCTTAGAGCCCAGAATGAACTGTACAAGTGCAGAGAGCTTAGCACAGACTCTCAGAAAGGAAGTGAGCAGGATGGCCCTGTACGGTAACGTAGGTTTTTCACTGCACAAGGCAATCCAGCAAGGGGCAGGTGGGACTGAGGTCAGCGTGGGCTCCCGTGCACCCAGCCTGGGTTACCTGCCAGGAAGAAGGGGCACCTTTTGTCATCGACACAAATGTGCTCCCGCAGGGCTGTGGCTACCCAGAGAGGGAGCCTTTCTCTAACTTTCACAAATCCCATGGATGCTGGCGGCAGTCCTCAGCGCAGCTACGTGTTTGTCTGGATGAGGGCCCCAAACCTCCTGCCTCAGAAAAGTGCAGTCTTGCAGTGCTGACTGAGCTCCTGGCGCCCAGGGCTGGCTGAGGCCGCGAGCTGCTGCAGGCCACTGGTTACCTGCTTCCCACCCCGGGCACCGCACAGGACCTGCCTGCCTTCACCTGCCGGGTTATTTACACACAGGTTTTCATCTGGGACAAGGTTGCCTCTGGTGACCTGGAAGACGCAGCTTGGCCAGAGGAGGGGTGGTGCCCCTCTGCCATCTGGCATCCCATCCGGCTGGAGCTGCTGGGTCATCTCCTCCTGCTGGACCCCCCAGGCCCCCAGCTCCAGGGGTATGGACAGGAGGACATGGAAGGACATGACCACACCCCATGGCTTCCTCTAGAATCCCCACATCTGCTCAGTCCACCTCCCTGGAGAAGGGTTCAAAGCCCCCTGTCCCAGCAGCCACAGCTGCCAATTTAAATTCCTCTGCCCACAACCCCCCCTGCCAGCATCCGTACAAACCAGCTCCTCCCGCCAGAAGCCCCTGCTTATTCCAACTCCACAGCCTCGGTTTCTCCCCTGCAGGGGATGACGAGGCATCCGGTCACTTATTCATTCAGTTAAGTCTATGCCGAGCCCCTGAGTCAGGTGGGATGTACCGTCCTCCGCAGAGACGGCCCTTCCACGTTCCCATCCCCACTCCACCAGAGGAGGACGCCCGGGAGCTCAGAATGCATGCAGAACCCGGTCAGGCACCCGCTTCCCCAAACACCCCCTCCCCACTGGGTCCTCAGGATAATTCTCTTTAACAAATGTTTCTTGAGTGCACGTCGGGTTCCAGGCCTTTTGCCCACATCACGAACTCAGAGACACGTGGGATGTGTCCCCAGCCCCAGGAGCACAAGCCGTGTGAGGTGTGTACACCTGGGGGTGCTGGAGCAGAGATCTGATCAGCGTGTGCTGAGGCACGGTGGAGGCGTCCTGAGGAGAGGCCCATTGGTGGAGGGATGGGCAGGGGGGATGCCCAAGCAGAGAAGGCCACGTGCCCTGTCTTCATCTTCCTCTCTCAACAGCTCTTGGTGGGTGCATCACCTCATGGGGCTGGATGTGACCATCCTTTGCTCCCAACCCAGACTGGGAAGCAGCCAGGCCATCGGGTCCCATCTCCCGGGGATGCCCACCTCCCCAGGATTCAGGGTTCAGGTGCCAGCCAGCTCTGCAGGAGGCCCAGGACACCTCCTACTAGGGAGGCCCTTCAGGGACCCACATCATAAGCAGAGTCAGGCTGGGGAGGTGATGAGCTTTGACAAGGTCACCTCCTCATTAACGGCAAGTGGCCAGGATTGGTCAGTTTCCTGGGCTGTGTCTGGGCTCCTTGAAACCATTCAGGCCAGGTGGAAAAGTACCGGCCTGAAAGGTGCATGCTCGCTTTGCGCATGCTCAGAAGCTCGGGGAGGGGACTGTGCGCACCATCCCGTTAGCACACCGTCCAAAGTGGTGCCGTGTCGATGATGTTTCTGGTCACCTGCCGACAGCGCTGTGATGGAAAGAGGTGGAGAGAAGCTGCCAGCACAGGGACTAAGCCATCAGAGGTCAGCCTCGCCCTGCAGAGAAGGGCAGCAAGAGGGGAGGCGCTTTCTCTGGGCCTTGCCCCCCACCTCCAGCTAGTACCCCCACCAGCCTCCTGAGCTGTCCCCACACTGGCTTCCCCGCCATGTCAGAACCTTTGCTGCTAAGTGTGAGAGGGGAATGTGAAAACCTAATCACCATTTCCTCCTCATTTCTTGTCTATAAACTTAAAAATGGCCAAGGGCTCCTCCATCCCTCCAACCTTCCTGTCTTCCCCTCCTTCCAACACAGACCACCTGCCACACGGGATTCTCTGATCCAGGGCTTCTAAGGCAGTGCCTGCCTCTTCAGCTTTTTGGCTGAAATACCCAGAAAACAAAGGAGAAGAAGCACAGACCCCAGGGGTCTGGAGCCATCACAGGGAACAACTCCCACAACCTGGAGACTTCATGAAATATTTGGTGGTAGGTTTAAGTGTTGAACAAATTCTGCATTCACTCTGCAAGACATCCCTGTTGTTTCCTGTGAAGCATGGACTTTCTCACTCCCAAAACTCCTCCAGTAAAACTGATGGCCCAGAAAGAAGCTTCATTTGTTTGCCCTGGGGCTCCAGAAGTCCCCTCTTCCTCACCTCCCCAACCCAACTGAGAACCACACACAAAAGGACACAAAGACACTCCCTCTGTATCCTTCCTTGCAGAAACCAGGAAGGGGGTGGCTGCTCCTCCCACATGGAATCTGGGTCTAGTAAAATTAAGACAATCCTGAAAATACAAACCGTAGGTGGGTCTAGGAGCTGCTACCTGCACCAGGAACATGACTGGCTTCCCTACAGATCTCTGGTTGGTTTCCAGGCAACATGTTATCTCTCTGTCCTGGGAGCTTCCTTTTGCTGCCCCATCACTGAGCACACCTCTGACCCTAGTCCCAGACACCAGGGCCACTGAGAGGACAGAGGGGTTGTAGCACGTCACAGCCCTCTCCTGGGAGACCACCACGCTGCGGTTCTAAGGTGAGTCCATCATCCTCGCCATCTTCAAGGCTAACGTTTTGGACACAAGCATCATTCCATGTGCTTTCAACTTACTGATTCATCAGCTCCTTTCATCTTAGCAACTACCCTACCAGATCAGACCCATTCTCATCCTGTTCCCATCTTTACAGATTAGGAAACAGAGAGGCTGAGTAACTTACCCAAGGTTACACAGCCAGGAAGGAGCAGAGCTGGGATCAGAGTCTTTATACAATGGAAACTTGATCACATCTCCCAGGGGTTCTGACCCTTTCCGAGGCTTCCCACTGCCTCTGAGCCAGGACTTCGAGGATGCTTCCCCACCTAACCCCTGTGGAAGCAACAGCTGCAGCCCCTGCACCACACCCTGCGCCCCCCAGGATCTGCAGCAGCCTCTCCAGCACAGGCCCACTGGGTGTGCATGGAGGGAGCAGGGAAGTGGGTGGAAGGTGGACCCCCGCTGAGCCCCACCTGATGCAGGACCCGCTTGGGCAGTCAGGCCTCACCCCATGAAGTATCAGCCCTAAACCTTGGCACCCAGATCCAGAGCCGGGCAGGAAAAGGGGCCCCCTGCTGAGCAATCGCTTCCCCCATGCACACCCTGCTCAGTGTGAAGTCAAAGTCTTGACTAAACCAGAAGAAAGGGAGGAATATTAACGGATGGGGGAGAAGGAATCTACAATAAGACAGCAGCTGTCACCAGTGTGCGACTAAGATAAGTGAGACCGGACACTTCCTGTACCTGTCACACGTGAGGCCAGGTGCCGCAGAAATTTCAAGGTGGTCCCGGCCAAACCCTCCCCTCTGATCCTACCAAGGTTCTCCTGCGACGGTGCCCTGTTTTCACAGAAACTGTTCCCTGGGTCTAGAAGACTCTTCTCACCTCCACGTGCTTAACTCAAATATTGCCTCCTCCTCCAGGAAGCCTTACCTGAGACACCCCTCCCGCTATGCTCCCTCCATACCTGGGACACACCTGGTCAATGTCCCAAGTCACCTCTTCCCACCTGGAGGCCCCTTTGAGGAGGGCAGGGTCAGGTCATCTTTAACATTCAGGACCAGGGACAGGACCTGACCCACTAAACATCTGCTGTATTTATGAAGCTATACACAAAGTGGTAGATGAGAAGAACTGGTTTCAATGTTTAATAGTTGGCCAAGAAAAGCCTCTCTGGAGAGAGAGTATGGGTGAGTGAGGGGCCCAGGGGTGAAGGTGCCTTGGTCACTCACTGGCCTTTGGGTCTGGACCTGAGCCCAGTGGCCTTCCACGTGCTCAAAGGACATCACGGGAGAGGAGGGAGACAAATCGGCCCGGAGACAGCAGCATCCCCTTCCCAGGAGGAGTTAAGGAGAAGCCCACATGTCCCCAGCCCTGGAAAACAAGGATTTTCAATGGAAGGGCAGGACGTCCCTGGAGGTGTCTGCAGCGGCCTCATTGCTCTTATCAGAAGAAATCTGAGCCTCACCCCCTGGAGAGCAGAGAGGTCAGCTGCTGGGAGAGGAGGCTGTAGTTTTATCACTTGTAATTTAAGTTTACTTTCATGGGCAATTTTACGCTAAGTGATTGGCTGGAGCAGTGACATGAATTGAAAATGCCGTCCCCCGACAACCTTCAACCAAAGGTGCCCGGGAGGCTCGGCTGTGCATTTCCACCAATCCTGCTGAAAACTCAAAACACTCCCGTCCAGACCTTTCTGCACCTCCAAGGCCAAGTCCTCATTTCTCTTGTACTCTCAGTCAAGGGCTGGGTCAAGAGGACGGTTCAGCAGCCCCCACAGATAGGAGGGTGGTGGGGGGAGGACCTCAGGGGCAGAAGGAACTTGAAATGCATCTGCTGCATACCCCTCCATCTGCCCACTGCCAACAGCCAGTGCTTGGGAAGGACGGGGAAGTTTGTGTGGAATTGCCAAACTGGCTGGTTAGAATATATTTCTGAGTGTCCCCAGGCCAGATGAATAGGAGTCTAAATCCCAAGAGGAAAGGGGTAGGGGTAGGGTGGTCCAGGGGAATGGAGCATTTCCGCAGGTCACCTGGTTAGAGTTGGCCCCTGCACTGTGCCCAAATTAATCCACCCGGAAAAGCTACCCTCTCGGGGCAGGAAGGAATAGGAAATTATTGTTTAATGGGTATGGAGTTTCAGTTTTGCAAGAAGAAATCTGGAGATGGATGGTGGCGATGGTTGCACCACAATGCGAGTGTGCTTTGCCACTGAACTGTGCACTTCAAAGTGGTTACAGCAGCACATTTTATGTTATGTGCATCTTACTACAAGTTTGTAAAAAGCCAGCCCGGCACAGCGGCTCACGCCTATAATCCCAGCACTTTAGGTGGCCTAGGTGGGAGGATCGCTTGAGTCCAGCAGTTTGAGACCAGCCTGGATGACATGGCGAAACCCCATCTCTACCAAAAATACAAAAAATTAGCCGGGCATGGTGGCATGCACCTGTCATTCCAGCTACTCAGGAGGCTGAGGTGGGAGAATCGTTTGAACCTGGGATGTTAAGGCTGCAATGAGCTGTGATCACACCGTTGCACTCTAGCCTGGGCAACAGAGTGAGACCCGGTCTTAAAAATACGAATAATTTAAAAATAATTTTTAAGTCAACCCATTCACATTCCTGGCTCCCGTGCCAAGCACTCTGCCTCCCAGAGGGGCTGAGGTCCCATCTTCTCCAGCTGTCACGTTCCCCACCTGCCTGGGACTCCCAGCTGGCCATAAACAATATAGGGGCTCTGTAAATATCCAGGGAAGGACTGGCTCAGGCACTCTTTGCTAAAATATCAAAGAGGAGGATGGGGAGATGGGATGAGGGAGGAGAAAAATAAACCTTCACTTAATAGAAGAAACCCTCGGCTAGGAATTCAAATGCTGAATTCTGGCAATGAAAAATATCCCTGGGCAGGAGCTCCAGCAGGCATTTGCTGGGTAGCCTTCCACGAGCCACCACATCGCTCTGGTGTCCGCCTCCACATGTGGGACACGTGCTCAGGCAAATCTCCACGGTCTCTTCTAAGCTAAAAATTCCCTGGTTTTATTTCTCTCTGTGCCTTTGGTCTGTGGCTAGAAATAATCTCTCCAGGTAGTGCTCAAATTGTGGAACACACTATTCTCTCTCTCTTTCTCTTGTGTGGGAGGGACCTAATTAAAAAGAATCCTTGCAAAGTAGTCAGAGATCTTTGACTCCAGGGGCTGAAGTGCAGGCAGGATCCACAACTTCACTGGGTGCCTCTCAAGGGGAACACACAGCTGGGGCAGCCTGGGACGTTCTGTCTCCCCAGGGCCCTGAAATCCTCCAAACCTGACCAGTGCCCGTTTCCCAAGTATCATGGGCAGCCCCCAACCCTGCCATGGCCCATTACCACAACAGGCCACTGTCTGGTCCCTGACAGACCAGATGGGGGCAGAAAGAAGAAACTCAGAGGTTGAACTGGACATCTAATGAGCTGCTTTAGGAAGCAGGGGTTAGGATCACTAATGAGGAAAGAATTACACCGTCCTGCAGCATTTTCTTCCTGCCCAGGATGGACTGACCTCCCTGTACCCAACAGAAGCAGCCCAGAGTTGCTTTACGCAGTCACTGGGATGGCCCTGCCCTCAGCTCCCATCTCCTGAAAAGGCGATGCCCTTGAGCATCCCCAGCATGTACCCTGTGCCCTCGAGGGTTCAGGGCTACAGCTGAGAACTGCCAGGCCCCCTCAGGGTCCCTGGCTCAGAGGAAAAGGGAGTCCAAAGGCAGATGGAGGCACAGTCTGGGTGCTCTTTAGCCGAAGCTACCACAAAGCATGGGTGCGGGGGTGGGGGTGCGGTACAAGGCGTGCAGTTGTTGGGGGGGAGCCTCCGAAAGGGAAACTGAGGGAGCAGCGTATCCTCAACACTGCAGACCCAAAGTGGGGCTGGCGTCCAAAGCTGGCACTTTCTTCCCCAGCGTTCTTTCCTAGCAAGCAAACTCAGTGCTAAGAATAGGGCCATGCTCCCAGGAGAGCTGGAGGAGACCACACACTCACCCCGCTGGCTGCCAGCACGGCTGCAGGAAGAGGAACGGGAACTCGGCCCTCCGGTCGTTCCCAGTCCTCTTCCTTACAGACAGGCCTCAATTTCTAGAATAAATGCCTGTAAATGCTGAGCCCGAACCCAGGTTTTCTCATCCAGGCTTTAGCTCCTGGTGCTCAGGCCACCCCGAGGGTCCCTCTATTTGCTCCGGGCTGGGGCCTGGGCGTCGGGGATTATTTTCAGCTCCTCGGGTGACTCCTGTGTGCCAGGGGCTCTTGCTATTCTATCCGGTTCCACCAACCTTTGCTGAGAACCAACCTGTGCAGGGACCTTGGGGTAAGACTCCGCTGTCAATCCCACTCGAGCAGTCTCAGTGGGAGATGAGGGCCAAAAGCTAAGACGCAGCCCCTGCATCCTGGATTCGGATATTGAGGGCCGCTGGCTCCACGCTAGAGATGCCGAGGAAAAAGCAGTCTGGCTTGCAGGAAAATGCATTCCTTTTACCAAAGCTACTCTGACTTGAGGGGCAGGTGGTGATATAGGATAGTGTTTTGTGATCCTAAATAATCTCAAAATGGAGTCACTTATGACAAGTGACTCAGCCCACGGTCAAACTGCTGATCCTTCAAAGTGATAAATGTATGCTGGACTGGGGTGACGAGATACCTGCTGTGGGAAGGCACCCCCGAGACCCAACAAGAAAGTGAAGCCAGGGGCAGCTGAGAAATGACTATGGACGGCCCTGCAGAGGCCGGAGACACAGCAAAGAAACTGACTTCGAGGAACATTCGGACCTGCCTGGCTCATCAGTCAGCGCACTCGTATCCCGAGCCACTGGCCTGTGTGTGCTGAATATATTTGCAGTGATGGTTGGTGTGCAAAATCCTCACACTAAACCCGGACTTGAGAGCATTTAATTGGCCACTGAGTCACAGTGAAACCTCCCACCTGGCGTTGGACTTAGCACAACTAGGCTGACTCAAACCTGACAGCGTAGTCGGGAAGAGTGCTAGGGGGTTATTCGTACCACCCTGTGCTTCTGCCGGCTTCACCCAGAATAAAAAGCCCCAGACCAGCCCTGGCCCCAGTTTCTAAGAGGCGGGAACCCCTGAGTTTGACCCTTCCCGTGGGTGGCTCCTTCCAGTCTCCCTGACAGATGGTTCCTGAAGCTCGTCCACTGCCACCTTCCTCCTCTCCAGCCACCATCTGACAAGACGCTCTCTTGGTCTGTCCTTGGCAGAGGAAGAACACTGGTCCCCTCATCCCTTCTCGAGAACCCACGACCCCTGAGATTCACAGAGGCCCTGATGCCTCCTCCCCAGGGATGAATCCTGCCTCCGTCAGGAGCATCCAGAAGCCAGCCCTTCTCCTCATTTCTTTCTGAGTTTTTTCTTGTAGAGATGAGGTTTCCTTGCTCAGGTTGGTCTTGAACTCCTAGACTCAAGGGATCTGCCTGTAATCCCAGCCTCCCAAAGTGCTGGGGTTACGGGTATGAGCCGAGGGCCTGGTCTGTCCTCATTTCTTATCTGATCTCCCCAAGTTCTCCCCACTCCACCTGGGGTGCATGGATCTCTCATGAGGGCCAGCGACGTCATTTCCATGAGTCTTCCCTTGCAGCCCTCCCCAACACAGGCCAGGCCAGAGCTGGGAAAGGCGACACGGCACGGCCTCCATCGGTCTTGCTTATTGGTCAATGTTCAGACTTGGCCGGGGGGCCTTGACTTGCAAGAAACAGACTCCCTGTGACGCCAGCGCAGCGCGTGGAGCATGAGGGGAGGCGAGGCCCTTGCAAGGAAGGGTCTCTCCTGGATCCCGAGGAAGAATGAAGGGCAGGGGCCAGGGCAGTGCAGCTATGTGGAGCATAAGGGGAGACGAGGCCTTGCAAGGAAGGGTCTCTCCTGGATCCCGAGGAAGGATGAAGGGCAGGGGCCAGGGCAGCCCCAGGCCCCAGCAGCAGAGGCCCACGACATTTGGCGGCACTCAACGTGACCCCGCCACACTCGGCATGCCGGCGCCTGCTCCCTCTCTGTCCCCTTACCCGCAGTCTAGGTAGGTCTTCTGCCTACCCAAGTCTGAATTTCCTGGGGAAGGGTTCTGACCGCCAGCCAACTTGGGTCAGGTGTCTGGCTGCCAGGCCTCTCCGCTGGGATGTGTGCTCCTGCGCTCGCTCCCCGCTCAGCCAGGAGGTTAAAATGCCTCCTTGAAACTGAAGGAAGGGGAAGGAAAAAGGAGACAGGAGAGGGGCCGGGGATTTTTAGTGAATTGTAATCGTCGGCCTCTCGTGCCTCCTCTTGGAACGGGGAGGGTGATGCAGGAGAGCTGCCATTCACAAGTCTAGGTGCCAAGATGCGGTTCTTCCCCACCTTTTCCTAATCTGTGTGCTTATAAGTTACAAAATATTCCAAGCATCCAGAAAATTATAGAAAATCATATAATGCTCCAATGCGCCCACTTCCCAGCCTCATCAAGCCTTAACATTTTGCCATATTTGGTTCGAATCCTGTTTGTTTCGAGGGATAGCATATTACAAACCCTGGTAGAGCCCGAGGGTTGTTTTTCGGTCTTGTCCACTTCCTCGCGTCTCCCGCTGCCTCCACCTGGCTTGTGGGAAATGCTCTCCCCTCCGGCATCGAAGATAAAATAGAAACCGTCAGAGAGGAGTGCCCGATCCCCGGCCCCCAGCCCAGGCCCCCCACCCCGCTGCATTTACAGTATACCCTGGTCTCTTCTCCTTCTCTCCTCTCAGGGCAGAAGAGCTGTCCCTGTCCCTCCTCCTGGGACCCTCCCCTGAAGCCACTGCCAGCAATACTCTCTCCCTCCTATGTCCACAACCTCCCTACTGTTCTGGCTCCTTTGCAGCCACATTTAAACATGAGTGCACTCTCTTATCTCGAAAAATAAACAAGCACACCTTTGATCGTGGGCTGAACTGTGGCCGCTGAAGGAGGGTGAAGTCCTAATCCCCGTACCTGTGAATGTGACTTTGTTTGGAAAAAGGGTCTTTGCAGAGGTAATCAAGTTAAGATGAAGGCATTAGGGTAGACCCTAATCCAAGTTGACTGGTGTCCTTATAAAAAGAAGAAACGTGGCCGGGGGCAGTGGCTCACGCCTGTAATCCCAGCACTTTGGGAGGCCGAGGTGGGTGGAACACCTGAGGTCAGGAGTTTGAGACCAGCCTGGCCCACATGGTGAAACCCTGTCTCTACTAAAAATACAAAAATTAGCTGGGCATGGTGGCACATTCCTGTAGTCCCAGCTACTCGGGAGGCTGAGGCAGGAGAATCACTTGAACCCGGAGGTGGAGGATGCAGTGAGCCGAGACTGCGCCACTGCGCTCCAGCTGGGGGACAGGGCAAGACTCTGTCTCAAAAAAAAAAAAAGAGGAAGAAGAAATGTGGACACAGAGTCATGCATGGAGGGAGGAAGAGATGTGGACGTAGGGAGAACACCATCTACCCCTCTAAGAACACCTGCGGCTACCAGAAGACAGGGGAGAGGCTGGGACTGACGCTTCCCTAGTGCCTTCAGAGGGAGTCTTGATTTCAGACTTCCAGCCTTCAGGACTGTAAGAGGACACATTTGTGTGGTTTACACCCCCCAGCATGTGGTCTTTTGACTGGTCACCCCCAGGAGGCAAACACACCTGCCTGCGATTCTGTAACCCCTGCTCCTGCGCTCTTTCTCCTCCCGGCTCCTGGCCAAGCTCCTTGGAGGAGTGCAGACACTCACGACTGCTGTGTCCTCCCCATCCCGCCTTCCACACTCCCACAGCCCACTGGGTTTAGGACCTTTGTCCCCACGACTGCACCACAATGCTCTTTCCAAAGTCAGCAATGACATCTTTGTGGCCAAATTCTCTTTCTTTCTCTCTCTCCTTCCTTCCTTCTTTCCTTCTTTCTTTCTTCTTCTTCTTCTCTTTTTTTTTTGAGACAGTCTTGCTTTGTCACCCAAGCTAGAGTGCAGTAGCATGATCACGGCTGACTGTAGCCTCGACTTCCCAGGCTCAAGTGATCCTCCTTCCTCAGTCGCCTGAGTAGCTGGGACCACAGGCGCACTTGGCTAATTTTTTTGTTTTTGGTAAAGACCAGGTCTCACTATCTTGCCCAGGCTGGTCTCCAACTCCTGGAATCAAGCAATCCTCCCGCCGTGACCTCCCAAAGTGCTGGGATTACAGGAGTGAGCCGCCCCACCCAGCCTCATGTGACCAAATTCTTTGGACATTTTTCAGTCTCCTTCTTACTTGGCTTTTCAATGAGCAATGTGTTGCTGGCCACATCTCCTTCTAGAAGCATCTTCTCACAGGCACCCATGACTCCACATCTGGCTTGCTCTTGGCTACTCCTCAGTCTCCTTTGCCTGTAAGAGGCCTTTCTGTGTTGATATTTCCCAAGTCTGTGCCCCTCAAGCCTGTTTTCCCATCCTTTGACAATTTCAACCACACTGTGTTCAACCACTGTCAACGGCCAAGACCCTGTCTCCATGCCACACCTCCCCTGGGCCCGTCACCCAGTGGCCTCCATGGGGCACCTCTGTTTCAACATGTGTGCCCTAGACCCAGTGCTTTTCTCCTCTCCCCTCAGAGAAGAGCAGCATCCTCCGCCCTGGAGCTGGTTTGAGCTGCCCAGGTCAGCCTGGTTCTGGTCAGCTCAAGCTGGTTTCCAGCAGCTGGGCCCAGTTTGCATTGGTTCAGATCAGTCTGTGCCAGTCATATCCAGAACTGATCTCTGGGTTCCAAACCTAAGACCTGCCTCAGCTGGTCACAGTGGATTGTGCGGGAGGAAGCAGATGGAGTCCCCACCTTCGTCATTCTCTGGGGATCCTCCCCAGCCTTTCCTTTGGGCACCTGGCCCCAGGCAGGAGGCAGATTTCCAGCCTGGCTGCATGCTTGACAGCCAGGAGTTGTCCCTCCTAGTCCTCCTTACTTAAACATTCTCCTCTCAAGCTTTCATCATTTGCCAGTTAAGTCAACTAATTTTCTACTAAACCCAATTTCACTCATGGATGGAGAAAGAGCTCAGTAATGTTTTCTCATGCCATGTACTATTAATGATGCTTGAAATTGTGCAAATAAAATTGATGAGCACAGCTGATGCTAGGAAAGCAGGAAGGGAAAGGCTTAACTTTAAAACGCCCACCCTGGACCTGCACATGCACGAGGCCGTCTCAGGATGCAGCGGCTGGGCAGGCACTAGGGTTTGGCTTCTTCCCTCCGCACACGGCGGGGCGCGGGCGGGGACTGGCTGACATCACCTTGCTGCAGTCTCATCACAGAGCGCACGGCTCCCTCGTGCCACCTCCCTCACCCCGGAAGCATCTTGCAGCAGCAAAGCCAGATGTAGATCCTGCACATTGCCCCAAACGTCACTCCAGTGAGCCAGTTAATTGAAACACCGAGACCCGAGGAGCAGAGCGGGACCGGCTCATCCGTCCAGCCTTGTTGCTCCATCAGTGGCCAGGACATCTGCCGTGAACATCTGCGAATAAACTACAACAAATGTACAAGCCGCGTCTTTGTCCCACCGCCTCCCACGCAGGTCATTTCGCCAGCCAAGGGAGACATTTCTGTCGCAGAAACCAAGCTGAGACACTCAGAATTCAGATTACCTTCACATCCCATTGACCTGTTTTCAAATTAACCTGGTGCTGCTCCCACAGAACGGCTCCCAGGGCTGAGAGGTGAGGCCCTGGGTGCTTCTGCCTCTCCCTGAAGGGCTCGCGGTTGCTCGCTGGGAACTCTGCCCAGGGCCCCCCAGTGGTTGCCATCTTATTATGGGTTTACATTGTGTCCTCCACCCCCAACATTGACATATTGAAGTCCTAACCCCCAGTTCTTCAGGCTATGACCTTATTTGGAGTTGGGGTCCTTACAGAGGTAATGGAGTTAACGTGAGGGCATTAGGGTGGGCCCTAATCCAATAGGTCCTTATAGGGAGGGGAAATCTGGACACAGACACGCTCACAGGGAGGCCACCAGGCAAAGGCAGAGATGATTGTAGAGATGTAGCTGCAGGACAAGGGTCACCAAGTTCCTCACTAGGAAACCACCAGGAACCCAGAGAGAGGCCTGAGGCAGAGACTCCCTTGCAGCCTCAGGAGGCCCCAGCCCTGCCCTGCCAAAACCTGGCTCTTGGACTTGCAGCACGCTCCAGCGCCAGGATTCAGTTCATGCATTCCTGCTGTTCATTCATTCCTGCTGTGTAAGCCCTGCAGTGTGCACTCCATTGTTATGGCAGCTCTAGGAGGCTCATCCACATCTCAAACTGTATTGACATCTCCACTGTGAGGAAAGGCCTGCATTTATGTATCAGAGAGGCCCCAGCAGGGAATGTGCCTGGGAGCTCACAGTTCTGCCTCCACCCTGGCCTCACATCTGTCACTGACCCCGCCAACTATGGGGACCAATGCAATGCCCCCACTTTAGAAAGGAAGAAGGAAGAAAGTACATCCAAGAAAGTGTGTGGCACAAAGTGCATTCCAGGCCAGCAGGTTCCCACGTGATGCCCTGGGCATGATGCCAGACGCCCCACCATCTGGGCCACCTCCACAGGGTGCCTCTGTGGCCCAACCCCCCACTAAGCCACACTCTAGCAACCAAGGGTATCCTGGGTGCTCTCAGGATGAATCCTCCCATTCTTTCTACATCTTTTCTAGGGCCCTGAGCCTGGGGCCTCAATCCCATCCCCCAGGACTGCACTGGGGACACAGACAAGGCCTTCTGAAGAAGCCATGCATTCTACAATGTCCCAACCCCACCGCCAGACTGTGTACTGGGCTGAGGGGCTTAGAAAAGCCACAGCCTCAAGCTTTTCCAATTCCCAACCTTTGGTGCCCATTAGAATCACTGGGAGCTTCAATTTGTTACCTGGGCCCCCACCCCAGATGGAAGAAGTCAGAGATGCCTAGACAGGGGCCCAAACACTGGTAAGTTTCTAAAGTGCTTCAGGTGGTTTTGCTGCAGCCAGGGTTAAGAACCCCCACCCTGAATGTATTCCAACCATAGCTGATGCTGTTACTTTTGTAGGCATAACTGGGGAATTCTCCTGGGGAGGGTGGTTTTGCTTTTATTTTTATTCTTTTAGTTGTTTTTAAATTGTATTTGGTAGCAGATTTAGAAATCACCTTCCTAAGATCCCCTGAGGTAGCTGAGCTGTTTACACCATTCTGCCCTGTCTGAGCCAGATCGTTCATTCACACATACACCCCACAGGGGACCAAGGGCCAGGGCATCGGAGCACAGCCCTGGGCCTGCCCATTTAACAAACTGCAAACCAGAGATGGGGCAACCTCTCCCTGGAGCACCTTTAGATCTGCAAGAGCTTGAGAGGAAGTGGAGCCTTGCTTGGTAGAAAACACTGATTCTCTGTGGGGTGTGGACATGCATGTGTGTGCAAGAGAGTGTGCATGTGTGTCTGTATAGATGCATCATGTCTGCACATGCAGGAGCATGCATTTGCACATGTGTATGTGGAGTGTGTGCATATTCAAGTGTGTGAGTGGGTGTGCATGTGTGGGTGCAGAGGCTATGAGTATGTGTCCATGAGTGTGCATGTGAGTGGGTGAGTATGCATGTATGTGCACACATGTGGTGGATATGCACGTGTATGCATGGGTGCATGTGGAGGCTGCATGAGTGTATACACCTCTTTTCATAATCTGCAAATGTTAACTGCCTCTGCAGCGTTCTGCTCCACAGACAGCATCGATGCATATTCCAGGCTCTCTGTTCAGAGGGAGCCGGTGGCAGACAGTTTAGTGTGCAGCAGTGGGTGCAGGCGGGCGAGTGGGCCCCACACCTTGTCTCTTAAGTGGCCTGCACAGTGCGAACAGCTGGATCTGACAACAAGATGTCACCAGGGTGAGAGCCAGAGTGAGGGACGTGCTGTTTCCCTCTCCCAGCATTGGGAGTATCTGTGGGTTCAGCACTAGCACTCGGGGACAGCTCCCAGCCGGGTTCCTTGCAGCTCCTGGACCTGCTATTTCAAGGTGAGAATTTCCTCCCCCAGAGCCCGCCCCCGACTTGGACAGTGCTTCTCAACACAGCCACAGGCGTGTAGCTGCCTCTTTAGTCTCTGGCACCAACCTGCCTCTGCCCCATAGCCTCACTTACACGTGCTGTTCCTCTCTGGAGACACTTTTTCTTTACTAAGCCTAATCATCGAATGCATTCACTTAAAAGGATGACTCCAGTGCTGTGAATTTCAGGCCACGGGGATGAAAACCTTCAAAGCCCTGGGTCATTTAGTGGCCTCCTAAGCAACACAATCCAGACCCAGCCTCCTTCTCCCACTACTCAATACAGCTGGCCCAGACTCCTCCCTCTGATCGGAGTCACAGACGTTCTACCTGAGTTACTGGCAGACTCTGAGTTGCAGCGAAGAAAGGCAGAAACTGAGTAGCTGCCCAAGACTGGTGCTTGCTGGGCCCTAGTGACCTAAGATTGCCATGGCTCTGTCCTCATCAGCATCCTCTGCTCTCCAACACTCCTGTGCTACAGAGCATTAGCATTAGTGGAGAGAAGGCCAATCAGACCAGCAAGAGAGTAGGCAGGCTCTGGTGGGGACTCACAAGGAAACCACCTGTGTAGAAGTTAATGAAGAAAAGCTGATTCACATGCAAACAGTTCTGGGGCCCTGAAGGAAGGCCCTGAGGAATAATCTCATCAAATGTGGTGGGGAGGAGGGATAAAGAGAGGTTGGTTTGGTTAATGGGTACAAACATATAGATAGATAGAAGGAATAAGTTCTACGTTAGATAGCAGAGTAGGCCGGGCACATGGCTCATGCCTGTAATCCCAGCACTTTGGGAGGCTGAGGCAGGCAGATGACTTGAGCCCACGAGTTTGAGACCAGCCTGGGCAACATGGCGGAAACCCATCTCTATTTTAAAATAAATAAGATTTAAAATATATATATAGCAGAGGCTGGGCGCAGTGGCTCATGCCTATAATTCCAGCACTTTGGGAGGCCAAAGCAGGTGGATCACCTGAGGTCAGGAGTTCGAGACCAGCATGACCAATATGGTGAAATCCTGTCTCTACTAAAAATACAAAAATTAGCTGGGCACGGTGGCACCCGCCTGTAATCCCAGCTACTCGGGAGGCTGAGGCAGGAGAATTGCTTGAACCCGGGAGGCAGAGGTTGCAGTGAGCCGAGATCGCACCACTGCACTCCAGCCTGGGTGACAGAGTGAGACTCCATCTCAAAAAAAAAAAAAGATAGCAGAGTAGGGAGACTATACTTAACAACAATGTATTGTAGATTTCAAAATAGCTTGAAGAGTGGACTTAAAATGTTCCCAACACATAAAAATAATAAATACTCAAGATGATAGATCCCCAGTACCCTGACTTGATCATTACACATTGGATGCATGTAGCAAAATATCACCCATCCCCATAAATATGTACACATATTATGTATCAATAGAAACATTTTTAAGTCAATGAAAAGGAGGAATAAAGCCAAGCACGGTGGCTCATGCCTGTAATCCCAGCACTTTGGGAGGCTGAGGTAGGCGAATTTCTTGAGCCTAGGAGTTCAAGACCAGCCTAGGCAACATAGTGAAACCCTGTCTCCACTAAAAATACAGAAATTAGCCAGGCGTAGTAGCGTACACCTGTAATCCCAGCTACTCAGGAGGCTGAGGTGGGAGGGTTGCTTGAGGGGAAGGCTGCTGTGAGCCATGATTGTGCCACTGCACTCCAGCCTGGGCAACAGAGCGAGGCCCTATCTGAAAAAAAAAAAAAAAAAGAAGAAAGAAAGAGAAAGAAAGGAAAAAAAGAAAGAAAAGAGAGAACAGAGAACTCCACAAAACACAAAATTGCTAACTATAAAGAAAAAGATGGATAACTTTTATTACATTAAAATTAAGAATTTCTGTTACTCCCCAAAAAACCATAAAGAAATTAAAAAGGCAAGCCACAAATTAGAAGACTTTTTTAACACATGTAACTTCCACAGAATTTATATCCTTAATATATAAAGAGCTCTTACAACTCAATATGAAAATGATAACCCTTATCATATGATGCCCATATCAATGGGCATCTCATCAAGACGAAAGAACCACAGGACAGGATGCTCAGCCCATTATCTTTCAGGAAATGCAAGTTGCAGCCATAATAAGACATCATCATGCCTCAATCAGAATGTCTGACAACCCTAAGTGTAGGTGAGAATGTGAACCAGCGGAAACTCATGCACTGGTGAGTCTCTGAATTGGAGCAATCACTTTGGAAGACAATTCGGCATTATCTTGTAAAGCTGAATTTTCACCATGCCAAGATCTAACAATTCTGCATCTAAGTCTATACCCAGAAAAACTTACACAAGTACATCAGGTGACATGTCCAAGAATGTCCACCACGGCAACGTTCAAAACCATTTCAAAAACAGGAAAAAATATCCGCAGACAGGAAAAACTGATACATAATTATGGCACATTCACACAATGGAATATTATATAGCAGTGAAAATGAATGAAATAAAGCTACATGCAAGAACATGGATGGATGAGTCTTTGAAACAGAGTGAGTTTGAAGAAAGCAAGTTAGGAGACCACATAGAGTAGATGCCATTTTCTCAAAGCTTGAAACCAGAACAAAACAAAAGCAAACCATAAACTGTTTATGGATACACTATTAAGAAAAAACAAAAAACTTTTTTTACAAAAGCAGGCTGGGTGCGGTGGCTCATGCCTGTAATCCCAACACTTTGGGAGGCCGAGGCGGGTGGATCACCAGAGGTTGGGAGCTCAAGACCAGCCTGGGCAACATGCTGAAACCCCATCTCTACTAAAAACACAAAAATTAGCCTGGCGTGGCGGCGTGGGCCTGTAATCCCAGCTACTCAGGAGCTGAGGCAGGAGAATCGCTTGAACCCGGGAGGCGGAGGCTGCAGTGAGCCAAGGTCACGCCACTGCACTCCAGCCTGGGGAACAAGAGAGAAACTCCATTAAAAAAAAAAAAAAAGCAAAGGAATAATATACACAAAGTTCAAGTTAAGGTTTCATCTGGGGAGGAGGCAGAGAGATTGGCAGACACTCTCAGGCAAACCCAGAGTCCTTGGTGACAGCATGATCTTAAATGGATGGTCACACATGGGAGGTGATTTGACTGTTGTGTTTCACAACATACTTTACATAGACTTTGTATGCATCATATATCTTACAATAAATATTAATAAAGAGAAGAATCTCCTGTATTCCTACATCCCACAGAAACAGTGATTAAAAATAAACCCAATCACACACTCTTACCCCCTTGACATCCCCACACTCTCAGCCTCACCCCCATCCTACCCTCAAACACTCAGGGGAGCCTCTAATCACTGCCCTTCCACCTCCCACAGCATCCAAGGGACCGTGAAAAGCCCAGCACTGGGTAAGGGACAGGCACCACCCACCCAACCACGCCCCTTCATCCTCCATGTCTTACTGGTCTCCAGACCCTAAAGTAGACCCAAGAAGGAGCCCAGGTTCAGAAGAGAAACCAAGCCTTCCAGGACGGCAGGCAGAGGGGACCCCACGTGCAGACGTGGCTCAATTCCACAAGCCAACACGTGTCAGCCCCTGAGCAGAAACACCAGAGAAGGAGCCAGGCCCTGGCCAGACAGCGCTATGCAAATACACTTCCCTGCCACATCCCCCAAGACCGGGCAGGAGGAGGGGGATTAGGAGTGGTGATGTCCTGCGGAACACCAGGATGTCTCCCAGGGTCTCAGGGCCGTGGGACCTGCAGGCAGAGCAGGTGCTCCCACAGCCCCTGGGAGGGAGGGGTGGGGTTCCCCTTCATCCCCTCCCTGCCCCACTTAATGCCAGTGGCTTTCCCCAGCACTCACCTCTGCAGCTCCTTCAGGGAGACTGTGACCCGCAGGCCATGGCCCAGGACATAGAGTGCAGTCAGAATGTCCGCCCACTGCACCATCTCCCCTAGGGGCCCGCCCTTCAGGACCCGAGGGCTGAACACGTCCCCGGACTCCTCCGTCAGGAAGCCGATGTGGACCAGGATCTGGGTGGGCGGAACACAGAGGGTCAGCAGAGAGGAGCAGCAGCTCTGAGCCCCGCCCCCCCGGGGCACCGGCCAGGAGACCAGCCGGCAGCAGACCCTGTCTCCAGGCTGGGCCCCAGCAGGTGCTTTCCGGCACCAGAGTGACCAGATCGGGCACTGGGGACACGGGCGAACAAGATAGTCACGTGCTTGCCCTCATGGAGCTAATGTTCCAGATGGAAGAGGTAGACAACAGTGAACACAGACAAGAGATAATTTCATGAAATGATAAGGGCTCTGAAAGAAATAAAAGGGCAATGTGAGAGCCACGTAAATATCTACTGGGTGGAGGGAGGGAGGGAGGGAAGGAAGGAGGGAAGGAAGAATGGAGGCATGAGCTAACGAAGCTCCCCAGAACATTCCCAACTTTCCAGGCCAATACCATGACTTTTCTGCCTGACATGAACCAGATGTACACAGAATGCAGGACCTCTTGGGGGCTTGTCATTTGGTCCCAACCTTGAAAAGGGCCAGGGGCCACCACCACAGACATCTATCCCGACTCTGCCATCCCTACCCCTCTCTCCCTCTGATCAAATTCAGAAGCCCACTACAGCTTGTTTGAAGACCTATTCCATGCCCACTCAGAAGTGGGGGCCCTGAGCTTTCTCAGCTCCTGCACATGAGGGGGCAGGGGCCACGCACCTGCTTCTGGTCCCTCTGGGTGGCCCCCAGCTTCTGTGCCAGGCGCTGGGCAGCCAGCGCCCACTGGGCTGTGAGCCTCTTGGTCCGCTTCTTCATGAAGATCAGGGACTCCTTCCCGCTGCCCATCAGGTCCAGAAGGTGGGACAGGTTGCTTCGGAAAACTGCCTGGAGGGGTCCAGACCTCAGCTCTCTGCCCCTCAACCTGCGGCCACCATCATTCCCCGCTGGCCTGGGGACAGGGGCTGGCACCCTCCCATGAGGCTGGGGCCTGCTCCAGCTTCTCCTGCACTTTCTAAGGGGCTCATTAGCCCCCAAAACCAGGGAGCCCTGCCCGCCCTGTCAACACACCCTCCCCAGCCCAGCTCTAACCATGGGCCCCTAGCCCTTCCACGGAGGTGGCCAACCATAGCAGTTTCCAGGTTCCCAGCCATGACAGGGAGGCAGTGAGGGTGGTGGTCATAGCCAGGACTCCGATGGCAGGGGACAGACGTGGCCACCACAGCAACTATGCGCCTCGAACCCATTAATTCAATTGTAAACCTCAGATGCATCGTCTGTCAAATACGATCATACAAGGATGGCTGGGAACTTTAAGTGCAAATAAAGCATCTGGACACAGAAAACCCTCAATAAGTGACAGCTGCTATTACTACTATTCTAGTCCACTAAGGGGGCATCTCCAGGCCCCCCACCTGCCCTGCAAACAGGCCCAGCTTGGTGGCATCTCAAAGAAGGCAGACAGGCCTTGGCAGGCTGGCCTCCCGTCTGCCCGGTAGGGTGGGCTCGGACCTGCCCACACACCTGGCAAGCAGCTCAGTCTCATTCCCTCAGGACAGAGGTTTCTGTCCACTGTCCTTAAGAATGTCCAGCCACACCAGCCCCTCACCGGCCCACCCACCTCCCAGGCCCACCTGGACTTTGGGGAGGGGCTTGGGTGCCCTCTGGGCAGCCGTCTGGTTCCTCCAGGGCAGCGGGGGGCAGAACCACTCGACCTCACTGAGGTAGATGAGGAAGGAGCACTCGGTGCCGTCCACCCCAAAGAAGGCGTAGCAGGGGTCAGAGGTCCAGCGGGCACGCATCCACTGCAGAGAGGGCCAGGCTGGGCAGGGGGCTGCGCCAGCCCCACTGACCCTCGGGGACTCCCCCGCACGTGCACCCCCAGGGGTCCTGAGGTCAAGGATGGGGCCCATGTGGCCCACCCTACTGATGCAACAGGGGACAGGGCAGAGAAGAGATTGAACCAGGACCCGCCTGAAGGACCCCAGAGATGGCAGGGGCAGGACCACCAGCCCTCATGTCTGGAAAGAGGAGAGACTGGGAGAGAACACTGGCTCAAAGGTCTGGGGCAAAGAGCCAGGAGGCCTGGCTGTCTCCCTCTCCCTCTGGTCCCCGTCTCCCTGCTACCAGAGCAGGATTGGGCTAGAGGCCAAGGTCAGGGAGCAGCCTCCAAGGCGGCCAGGGCTGGAGCCAGGGCGGGATCCACCTGCAGTGATCCCAGATGGTCACCAAGGAAGGGGTCTGCGGCACCACCGCCCACCCCTTAGGGCGTTCAGAACCAGTGGGGAGCTGACTTCACGGCTGTGGACGACTCCTACAAGGGCAGACTTCATGCAGCCAGTGGTGGCCCCAGAAATGGGGCAGGAAGACTCTCCGTCCAGCTGTTGGCTGGGCCAGGAGGAGCAGGGACAGGGCAGCCAGGGCCACTCCTCTGAGTCTCTGGGGGAATCCGGCTGCTGGCGGTGACACTTGGAGATTTAATCATTTGCTGTGAGAAAGCACCGACACCTGAGGGAGACTCTTTCTGGGGGATTTGGATTGATGGGTGGGGTGGATGCACTGAGCAGAGAAGCTGTTTCCCTGAGGTTGGCCTCTGCCAGCTTGTGCCTGGGTGAGGGGCCAGGGCCAGACAGAGAGGCCCTAGCTGTAGACATCCCCACCCCTCAGCCCCAGGCCTCACCTCCACCTTCCCTGAGCAGTCAGGGAACTTGGGGTCACTGGGTGCCTCACACTGGTCCCGCCGGCCTTCTGACACTGTAGGGAGAGGTCACCTTGCTGAAGTCCCTGGTCCAAGGAGGAGCCCAGGGAGGGAGGCCTGCGTGCGGGAGGCAGCTTCCCACACAATCCGCTGCCAGGCTTTCCCACCTTAAAGCTCATCAGCCGCACAACCCACCCACAAGGTCAACCCGGGCCTAGGTTGCCCCCGGCCTCCTCAGGGGGTTCAGATGCAGTGAGGAGCTGGTGCGAACAGCCACTCAGCAGCTGCCTGGATGGGCAGACCTCATGCACCCACCCGAAAGCATCCCCAGCGTTTTCTGAGGAGGCAGAAATGAGGTTTGCAGCCCCCAGCTCGCTGCTCCCCACATCACAGGGACTGGAGGGGCCGCCGAGGGACCCTTCCCCAGGTGGCCTCACTCCTGGAACTGTGGACCCCAGAAGCTGAGACTCCAGGGACCTCCTCTGTCCTCAGCGCCCTCCTGCCGGGTCGAGGGAGTGAACCCCCAGTTGTCCTGCTGAAAGCCTAAACTGGGGCCCCGAAGAGCCAGCAGAGCTGCTGTCAGGAGAAGTCGGCCACACCCCAAGTGTCCCACCCTCCCAGGGCCCACCCAGCACCCAGTTCATTGGCCCCCTAGGGGTAGAGGGTACCCCCGCCCCCTGGCACCCACCCTTGCTGTGCAGGAGCAGACTGTGGCGCAGGATCTGGTCCACCTTCACAGCGATGTCGGAGACGTTCTGGGCAATAGCCTGGATCCGCTCCATGAGGCCGGCCCCAGGGGGCATCCTAAGTGGGAAAAGCCAGAGGTGAGCCACAGAACCGGCCGGGGTGACCTTCCCATGAGGGTCCTGCCAGTAAGGCCCACAGGCAAAGGCGGCAGGCTCTGCAATGCCCCAGGCTCCCAAACCCTGACCCCAAGCAGACCAAATGGTGGGGAGTGAATCGGGTGAGAAGATGGAGCTGGCAGCCCACCCCATCCAGTACACACATTACAGACATACGGGAAAGCCCATATCTGCACATGTTGGTCACAACTGCATGTTGTGCCCACAACTGCATGTGTGATCATATCTGCAGAGAGCCCTTTAGTGGACATCCCCCACCCCTCGGCCCCAGGCCTCATGTCCACCTTCCCTGAGCAGTCAGAGAACATGTCTTCATGTGGCCACAACTGCACGTGTGCCCACAACTGTACAGGTGCCCACATCTGCACATGTCCCCACATATGCACACGTGCCCACAACTGCATGTGCGCCCACAACTGCACACATACCCATAACTGCACATGTAATCATATTTGCATGTGTGGCCACAACTGTACATGTGCCCACATCTGCATGTGTGCCCACAATGGCACGTGTGCCCATATCTGCACATGTGACCCTATCTGCACGTGTCAGGCATGTCCGTGCATTACTGCATGTGTGCTGAAGGGCAGTGCATGGGGCTGAAACAGGCAGAGGAATTCCATTCAAGAGCCTGGCTAGGTTCTGTCCAGGGGTCACACAGGTGACAGAGGCCTTTTCCTAGGCACAGCCGGGCCTCTCCGAGTCTGTCTCTATTTCCTCCCAAGAGGCCATATTGTGCCAAAATAAATTCTACCCGCAGAAGCCTGGGAACTTGCCAGGTATTAAAACTCCGGTAAATTATCACTGGCTTCCTGAGAACAAATCCTTCCCAGGATCTTAAAGGAGGTGACTGCCACCACCACAGCCCTCCACCTCACCATCGATACCAGTGTTGCTTTTATTTTTGGAGGATTTATTTCCTGTGTTGATTACTACTCAGCTCTCAGGGACATTTATTAGCCGTCATATGCAGTATTTATCTCATTGCAAACTTCTATTGAGATGGATTCCCCTCAGCTGGCAGATCTTCTCACACAAAGATAGCCCTGGGGGTCTTTCTCCAGGAAGCTGCTTGCCTTTTTTTTTTTTTAACACATTAATTCGGTTTCCTTTGATTCTCACCTCACCCCGTGGCTTTGCAGGCCCAGTTTAAGCTCCGTTTATCCCTATACAAGGTACTGGTCTTTATGGCTGCACATAATGGGAATTCGATGAAGGATTTTTCCAACCTGGGCTCCGTTCGGGTCTGCAAACCCCACCTCTCCTCCTCTTCTGAGCCTAGTGAGCTGTCCACTAGAGAAGGCATAGCAGGAACCCTCAATGGCCACCCGCCCTCTACAGCCATCACACTCTCCCACCTCCACCTTTCCTAAGGAAAGAAAGGGCAGTGGCCCCATACACATCGGGGGACTAGTCAGGGTGACAGGTGGGAGCAAAGCAGACACCGAAGTGGAGGGGACAAAAGGCAGATGACAGGAATGGGGAACAAGCCCCCCATGTACACACATGCACACACACATGCACACAGGCGTGCACACGCACACACTCACACACAAACACGCACGCACACATGTACACACGCACACACACACATGCACACACATGCACACACACGCACACATGCACACACAATCCAGTCTGTCCTCTCACTCTAGTTCAGTGCCCAAGGCAAACTTTGACAAAAACAAACAAACATAAAACTCTTAAAATAAAAAATGCCACCATTTTTGTGTTAGTTTCCTGGGGTGACTGCAATAATTTCCACAAACCAGGTGGCTTAAAACCACACCCATTTCTCCTCTGGCAGCTCTGGAGGCTGGAAATCAGACAGCGAGGTGGCAGCAGGGCCGGCGCCTTTAGACTCTAGGGGAGCCTCCCCCAGGCCTCCCTCCCAGCTTCCAGAGGTAGCAGCAGCCCTCAGTGTTCCTCAGCCCGTGGCTGCTCCACCCCGACCTCTGCCTCCGCCTTCACACGGCCTTCTCCCCTGTGTGTGTCTGTGTCCACTTTCCTCTCTTTATAAGAACACCAGCCATGGAACCAGGGCCCATCCAAATCCAGTAGCACCTCCTCTTAATTTGATTACATCTGCAAAGAGCTTATATCCAAATGAGGTCATAGTCACAGGTCCTGGGGCTAGGACTTGGACATGGCTTTTTGGAGCACAAAGTTGAATGCACGACAGCCTTCTGTGAGATTACAAAGAAAGAGAAGAGACGTAAAAGCTACCTGCTTCATTTGCTCAAAAAGTCCTCAGGAAGAAGGAAGTAGGAGTATTTTTCATCTATCCAAAACTCATCAAGGTTCATTACCAGTATGATACAAGGAGATGAGAGGAAGCTCAGACCCCTATGAGCTATGTGACCCTGGGCAGGTCACCGAGCCTCTCTGTGCTCACCAGTCTCATCTTTTAAGACATAAGGGCAGCTACCATGGTGAGGACTGAATGAAGAGAGCTGTAAAGTGCGTGGCCAGCGGCACCTGTGTGACATCAGCACTGTTTGCATTCGTGATCAGCACTGATATTGATGTGGTTGAAGCAGCAGCCACAGGGACTTGGGTTAGACCAGGGCACATCAACCTTTTCTCATTATTGCCCGTCTAGGAGGTTTCTTACAGCTAAGATTGTTTCAAGAACCAGTGTTCTCCCTTTTGGCAGTGATGTGCTCCCACCGAGAATGCCTGGGTTCCCTCCAAGAAGAAACATGCCGATTTGATGTCTGCCAGGCTCTGACATCAGTCCAGATGAAGCCCGTGGAGCTGCTTTCCATGCTGACCTACAGGGGCAAGATGGACACTCCTTTGACAGGAATGAATATTTTTTTATATACACAGAGAGAGAGAGGGAGAGAGAGAAGGGCTCTCACTCTGCCACCCTGGACAGAGGCTGGAGTGCAGTGGCGCAATCATGGCTCACTGCAGTCTCAACCTCCCGGGCTCAAGCCATCATCCCACTTCAGTTTCCCAAGTAGCTGGGACAATAGGCATGAGCCACCACGTCCGGCTAATTTTTTTTTAATTTTCTGTAGAAAATATATTGCCCAGGCTGGTCTCCAACTCCTGGGCTCAAGTGATCCTCCCGCCTCAGTCTCTGAAAGTGCTGGGATTACAGGTGTGAGCCACCATACCCAGCCTGGAATGAATATTTCAAGGACAGAGTGCAGAGGCAGGGAAACCTCCACTGCTGCAGGCTCAGAGCTGGAGACGAGCCGGGCTCTAAGGCTCCCATCATGACAGGAGGCACGCAAAATGGAGAAAAACTGGGCGCCTGTCCTACCTTCTAACCAGAGACCCCAGGGCACAAACAACCTATGTCAAGACAAGCCAAGCCAGGGGTCCTGCCAGGTCAACTAGAGACTTTGGAACGGACCTCAACCCGTTTCAGCCCTTCCTGGAGGCACCTCTCCCTGGAGCGAGGCTCCTCTCCATCCGTCTTGCAAGAGCCAGGTCACTTTCTGAACCCCCTGACCCACGGTGGGTGTGGTTGTGAGTGGCCAGCCTGAAACCCCGAATGGAGTCCTGAGTCCTCCAGGACAGGGACTTGGCTTTCCTGTGTGGAACCAGATGCTGGCCAGCGTGGGCCCTGTGCTCGGGGCTCCATCACTTAGGCTGAAGAGTGTCTCCAAAATTCATATCCAGCTGGAACTTCAGAATGTGGCCTTATGTGAGGGATAAAAGACTACACATAGGGTGCAGTGTATACTGCTCGGGTGATGTGTGCACCAAAATCTCACAGATCACCACTAAAGAACTTACTCATGTAACCAAATACCACCTGTACCCCAATAACCTATGGACATAAAAAAAATACTAAGCTACTGCTATGTGCAATGACATAGACGAATCTCAGAGTCAGAATGTTGAGCATGATAAGCCAAATAAAAAAGATTATGGGCCGGGCACAGTGGCTCACGCCTGTAATCCCAGCACTTTGGGAGGCCAAGGAGGGTGGATCACCTGAGGTCAGGAGTTTGAGACCAGCCTGGCCAAAAAAAAAAAATTAGCCGGGTGTGGTGGTGCGCGCCTGTAATCCCAGCTACTCAGGAGGCTGAGGCAGGAGAATCGCTTGAACCCGGGAGGCAGAGGTTGCAGTGAGCCGAGATCGCGTCACTGCACTCCAGCCTGGTGACAGAGCAAGACTCTGTCTCAAAAAAAAAAAAAAATAAAAAGATTATGTACTCTGTGACTCCATTTATATGATGTTCAAGAACAGGCAAAAGTAATGCTGATAGAAGTCAGGGTGGAAGTTAGGTTTAGGGGCTAAGAATGACTTCCGCTGACGGAACACAGGAAATCTTGTGTGCTAGAAATATCCTATGTAACCTAATCTTGGTAGGCGAATCTGTCCATATGTAAAACTCCATCAAAACTCCATCAAGTTCTAACTTTAATATTAGTGTACTTTATGAAAAATATACCTCAATAAACTTTTTTTTTTTGAGACAGAGTTTCACTCTCGTTGCCCAGGCTGGAGTGCAATGACACAATCCCGGCTCACTGCAGCCTCTGCCTCCTGGGTTCAAGTGATTCTCCTACCTCAGCCTCCCGAGTAGCTGGGATTACAGGCATGTGCCACCATGCCTGGCTAATTTTTGTATTTTTAGTAGAGACAGGGTTTCACCATGTTGGCCAGGCTGGTCTCAAACTCCTGACCTCACGTGATCCACCCACCTCGGCCTCCCAAAGTGCTGGGATAACAGGCGTGAGCCACCATGCCCGGCCAATAAACTTATTTTTTAATAAACCAAAAAAAAAAAAAAAAAAGAAAAAGAAAGAAAGAAAGAAAGAAAGAAAGAAAGAAAGAAAGAAAGAAAGAAAGAAAGAAAGAAAGAAAGTGGCCTTACTTGGGAATAGGGTCTTTGCAGATGTAATTAGTTCAGGTGAGGTCATATTGGATCAGGCTGACCCTAAGTCCAATGACTGGGGTCCTTCTAAGAAGGCCACATGCAGACACCCAGGGGAAAAGACCATGTGACGAAGCAGGCAGAGAGCGGAGTGATGCATCTGTGGGACGAAGAAGGCCAGGCACTGCCAGCATCCACCAGGAGCAGCCAGGAAGGGGCAGGGAGGAGTCTCCCCTCGAGCTTTGGAAGGAACACGGCCCTGCTGACACCCTAATTTCAGACTTCTGTCTCCAGAACTGGGAAAGAGTAAATTTCTGTTGGTTTAAGACATCTGGTTTGTGGTCATTTTTTACGGCAACTCTACGAAACTAAGATAATCACCATCCGCAGAACTGAGGGGAAATGGTTTTTAATCCACCGCAAAAGAGAGTCCAGGACCAGGCCCAGAGGTTCACGCCTGTAGTCCCAGTACTTCGGGAGGGCAAGGCAGGAGGATCACTTGAACCCAGGAGTTCGAGACCAGCCTGAGCAACAGAGTGATACCCTATCTCTATACATAATTTTAAAAATTAGCTGGGCATGGTGGTGTGCGCCTGTGGTCCCAGCTACTCAGATTGAGGCAGGAGGATCGTTTGCGCCCGTGAGGTCCAGGCTGCAGTGAGCCATGATCACACTGCTGCACTCCAGCCTGGGTGACAGAACAAGACTTTGTTTAAAAAAAAAAGAGAGAGAGAGAAAATCTAGGTTCTCCTGGATGCTCCTGCTGTCAAGAAGTTCTTTTCAGCAACCACGTTGCTCTTGCTGAAGGCCAAGCTTTAATTCTCCTGCCGCTCTCACAGGAAAGAAAGAAATCAAGGGATGTCCTTGAGTTTCAAGCGCTGGGTCAGTGACTCTCCACATTAGCCAGAGATGTATTGGAAAGAGTGAAACCCTGGAAGTCAGAGGTCCTGGGTTCAAATCCTGGCTGCACTTCACATTTGTGTGACCTTAGGCAAGTTACCTAACCTCTCTGAACACAGGCTTTAACTCCTGTGAAATCTGAGTAATGGAGTTATTGGTGAGGATAAGCTGTGAGGCCAAATGCAAAGTACTCAGCATACAGGAGGTGCTCAATACATGCTTGATATGCTTTTGCTCCCCAGGGACAGCAGTCATCCCATTCCTGAGAGGAAGCATCATACGCCCGACTACAAAGCAAAGCACTTTACTTTTTGGGGGATTCAGCAATTTTCCTGCGACAAGCATGTCTGTGTAAAACCCATCGCCAGCACAGGCTTTAAATAGTGCAGATGGCATCTGTCTGATTTAACAAGTTCAACTTGTTCAAAACACAATTATTTGGCATCACTATTATTATACTGGACTTACCATTTGCACAGCCCTTTCTATTTTCAAATCATATACAATTAGGCTTCTCTCCCTGAGAGGTTTTTCTAAAAGTGACAACAAAAGTAGATGTCGTAAAGCCTCAAACCTCAACAGATCTATGACCTGGGAAATGCTTGGTTGGAAAAGAAAAAGAGGGGCTGGACTGGGGGGATGGTGGCCAATGGCCTTCAGCCTATGTGGTCTGGGGAACACAGGGCCTTGGTGTTGTCACCGTGTGGGGAACCCAGGGCCTTGGTGTTGTCACCGTGGGGTAGGCAGCACCAGCGCTGACTTCTCCACCAGGGCCAGGAGGTGCAGGCCAGGGCCCACGCTGCTTTTAGGGGCCCTCGAAAATGTTTGAATTTCTTTAAAAATCGGGGGACAAAAAAACCCCTTGTAGATCAAAGAAAATGTTTTAATGTGATTTTCATATATTATAAAATATAATTTTTGCCATGGGTTAAATGATGCCCCCCCTTCAAATTCGTATGTTGCAGCCCTATCCCCCAATAGCTAAGCATGTGACTTTACTTGAAAACAGGGTCACTGCAGATGTCATGAGTGATTATATGAGGTCATACTGGAGTGAAGTGGGTCTCTCATCCAATATGACTGGTGTTTTTATCAAAAGGGGAAATTTGGTCTGAAACTCACAAACAGAGAGGACACCATGTGAAGACTCAAATTGTGCTCCCATCAGTCAAGGCCAGGAGCAGGGCCTGGAACAGATCCTTCCCTAGCACTGCCTGCTGACGTCTTGATCTCAGACTTCTGGCCTCCAGAACTGTGAAACGATCAATTTCTGTTGTTTAATCCAGTGGTTCCCAACCTTTTTAGCACCCAGGACTGGTTTCGTGGAAGACAATTTTTCCATGGACCCAGGGAGAGGGGCAGTGGGGATGGTTTCAGGATGATTCAAGTATATTACATTGACTGTACATTTTATTTCATTATTATGAAATAATTATACAACTCACCACCACGTAGAATCAGTGGGAGCCCTGCAACTCATTTTCCTGCAACTAGATGGTCCCATTTGGGGGTGATGGGAGACAGTGACAGATCATCAGGCATTAGATTTTCATCAGAAGAAGGCAACCTTGATCCCTCACATGTGCAGTTCACAATAGGGTTTTCACGCCTATAAGAATCTAATGCTGCTGCTGATCTGACAGGAGGCGGAGCTCAAGTGGTAACGCGAGCGATGAGGAGCAGCCGTAAATACGGACGAAGCCTCACTTGCTTGCCTGCCGCCCACTTCCTGCTGTGCAGCCAGGTTCCTAACAGACCATGGAGCGGTACCGGTCCATGCCAGGGGGTTGGGGACAGCTGGTTTAACACAATCAGTTTGTGCTGCCCTAGGAAATCAATGCCATTTAAAATCTGTTCTTTTTTTTTGCCTTTTTTTTTCTTTTTTTCTTTTTTTTTTTTGAGACAGAGTCTCACTCCGTCACCCAGGCTGGAGTGCACTGGTGCAATCTCAGCTCACTGTAATCTCCACCTCCTGGGTTCAATGAATTCTTTGCCTCAGCCTCCTGAGTAGCTGGGATTTACAGGTGCACCACAACGCCCAGCTAATTTTTGTATTTTTAGTAGAGATGGAAGTTTCACCATCTTGGCCAGCCTGGTCTTGAACTCCTGATCTTGTGATCCACCTGCCTCGGCCTCCCAAAGTGCTGGGATTACAGGCATGAGCCACTGCGCACAGCCTAAAATCTTTTCTATGGAGGAAGGTACCTGACATCATAAAGCCACCCAGGGAGGCAGGACTTTTCCTAGACTTTTAGGAGGACACGAGAAAACCATGCCACTAACGATAATGACAGTTACACAGCCAACAGGCATTGAGCACTCGCTTGCCAAGCTCTTTCTATACTCTGATCTCATTTAATGTCCATGGCAACATCCTGGTCCCTCTTAATGCTCCCATTGGACAGATCAGGAAGGAAACAAAGGCACAGCAAGGCTGAGTGACTTGCTCAGGATCACACAGTTATTAAATGAGAGATCAGTCCAACCAGGCAGCCTAGCCCCAAAGTTCACCCCGCCCAGCCCAGAAGGCTGCTGAACAGGCAACATGGCTGGAGACGGACAGCTGGAGAGGATGTTCCTGGCGGGGGAACAGGGAGCCGGGTGGCCCTAATGAATGCCTGGACACAAGTGCAGTGCCCACAAGCTTACGAGGGGCCTCCAGGCCTTGGTCCTCAGCAAAGGAAGCAGGCTGGAGCCACAAGTGGAACACTGGCTTCAATCAATCAGAAAAAGCTGCCCTGAGACACGCTGGGTTGCTGGAAGAAAATCCATTTTCCACCTCTTACACCCCGGGAAGGTGGTGCCAACAGGTGGGCTCTGAGACAGGCAGGAATGCACCATTTCACCTGGAAGGGGTCCATGCACAGGGTGGGGGCAGGACATCAGGACCAAGGCCAAGACCGAGCAAAAGGCTGGCACCCCCCGCCCCCAGTCTAGAAAGTGACATCCTGGGGGATGGGACTTTCAGGGCTATTTCCACTGGGATAACAGCCAACACTCCCCGCAGGAGGCAAGGCCGAAACTGCTCTGGCAGAAGGAGTTTCCCAGGCAACAACCACCCTAACCCTGAAGAATCCATTACCAGGGTACAAACCTTGAATTCAATCTACCCCGGCACGGGGGACAGGGGACAATCCCCTGGGCCTCACTCCCACCACCAAGTGCACCCAGTCTTTCTCCAGCTGGTGCAGATGCCCCTGAGCCCTTTGGTCCTGCTTATAGTACATTTTCCTTTCTTTTCTTTTATGTCTTTGTTACATGCATTTTAAGAGAGGAAGGCTGTGAACCCAGGTGAGCTTGAACCGGCTGCTTCTGGCAGAGCAGCGTGAACATGAACAGTGAAGATCTGGCCCATGAGAGTCAGGGAGAGGGGAGGCTGGAGGGCTCAGGAGGGTTGTCCCCAGAGGAGGCCCCATCATCCACGTGCATACACACGTATTTACCATGTGCCTGCTCGGTGCTGGGCTCTGGGCACAGAGGAACCAAACGCAGATGAACCAAACGCAGGCCCAGCCTCAAGGACACCCTGAGGGGGGTTATCAGGGAGAGGGGGCAGAGGAGAGAGCAACCTGGGGTGTGTCTGTGTGGGCTGACCCTGGGGTACATCAAAGGGTATCACTGAGCCACTCAAGGGCCACAGGGAAGAACACACAGGTACCAAGAGCCCGTACTGTGCGTGCAGTAACAGGTGAGCTGGGCAGCTCCGGGATGTCCACACCCACACATTAGAAAGAAAGGCCTGCCCTGGACCTGCTCCCGGGAGCTCACCCCTCAGCCCTTGGAGTGTCCCCTGATAAGAGTGTCCTTTTCTACCTGGGGCCTTGGGCCACCCCCAGGAGTCTGTGCTTCCCTGTGATTGACGGTGGGACATGCCACCTCAGCTTGATCTCTGGAAGGGCCAGAGACTGAGGTCAGCCCCTGAGTGGTCAGTCATGTCTCTGAGACTGAGCCCCCATAACATCACTGGGCACCAAGGCTGGCAACACGCATGTGTGTTGTCCCATATCGTTGCTGGGAGAGCAGGCGCTGTCACAGCTTCACTGGGAGAGGAACACCAGTGCTCCATGCGGGTCTCCAGGGCTCTGCCCCGCCCGTGCGCCGCTCCCCTTGGCTGATTTTCATCCATATCCTTTCACAGGAATAAGCTGTCACTGTGAGGATCATGGCTGTGCTGAGTTCTGAGTCCTCCTAGCAAATCACTGGACCTCAGGGTGGCCTTGGGGATCCCAAATGTTCTGTGCCAGTGCCCTGCATCTGGAGCCCCAGGACCAGCCTGAGGTCGCCTTCTCCTCTCCACACAGGCTCTGCCAGTTTCCTTCTTGCCTGGCACTTGGGGCTTCATTGCGGGGCAGAGGTCACTGGCCCAGCACAGTCCTGGAGCTTCCTTCTAAAGACTTCCTACCTGGCCGAGCGTGGTGGCTCACGCCCGTAATCCCAACACTTTGGGAGGCCGGGGCGGGCGGATCACCTGAGGTCAGGTGTTCGAGACCAGCCTGGCCAACATGGTGAAACCCCATCTCCCCTAAAAATACAGAAATTAGCCAGGTGTGGTGGCACATGCCTGTGGTCCCAGCTACTCTGGAGGCTGAGGTGGGAGGATTGCTTGAGCCCAGAAGGTTGAGATCTTCAGTGAGCCGTGATCGAGCCACTGCACTCCAGGTTGGGCAACAGAGTGAGACCCTGTCTCAAAAAGAGACTTCCTACCTCCTGGCCCTGATACCATACCAGCCTCACTGTGCTGGCTTTTTCTTATTCAGTGGGGTCAGGGGACACACTCCAGGAAGCCCCCTGCCCTCCTCAAGGCCTGTTAGGGTCACGGAGGGCTTGGAAGAGGAACAACCCTGTGTTCGAAGCACCGAGAACTTTGGAGCCACCAAGCCACCAGGCTGGCCCCGTGCTGCATGTCCTAGACCCACAAGCCTCTCTGAGCCTCAGCTCCCTTGTCTGTCAAAGGAGGCAACCCTTGGAGGGCTGCGTGAAGGAGTAAGCAATAGAAGGCACTTGTCTTGCCTGCTGCTATGAACCATGTCTGTGTCCCCACAAAATTTGTATATTGCGATCCTAACCCCCAGGGCCGGGCGCAGTGGCTCACGCCTGTAATCCCACCACTCTGGGAGGCCGAGGCGGGCAGATCGCCTGAGCTCAGGAGTTTGAGACCACCCTGGGCAACATGGTGAAACCCTGACTCTACTAAAATACAAAATATTAGCTGGGTGTGGTGGCAGATGCCTGTAGTCCCAGCTACTCAGGAGGCTCAGGCAGGAGAATCGCTTGAACCCAGAAGGCGGAGGTTGTAGTGAGCCGAGATTGTACCACTACACTCCAGACTGGTTGACAGAGGGAGACCCCGTCTCCAGAAACAAAAAAGAAAGAAAGAAATCCTAACCCTCAATGTGATGGTATTAGGAGGTGAGGCCTTTGAAGGGGGATTAGGTCATGAGGGTGGAGCCCTCATGAATGGCATTAGTGCCCTTATAAGAGGCCCCTGACTGGGCACAGTGGTGCACACCTGTAATCCCAGCAGTTTGAGAGGCCAAGGCAGGTGGATCATCTGAGGTCAGGAGTTTGAGACCAGCCTGTCCAACATGGTGAAACCCCATCTCTACCAAAAATACAAAAATTAGCTGGGTGTGGTGGTGTGCACCTGTAATCCCAGCTACTCAGGAGGCTGAGGCAGGAGAATTGCTTGAACCTGAGAGGCAGAGGTTGCAGTGAGCCGAGATTGTGCCACTGCACTCCAGCCTGGGTGACGGTGGGAGAATCAGTCTCCAAAAAAAAAAAAAAAAAAAAGGCCCCCAGAGAGCTCTCTCAGCCTCTTCCCACTGTGTGAAGACACAGCAAGAAGCTGATCATCTATAACCCAAAAGAGGATCCTCCCCCAAAGCTGACCATGCTGGCACCCTGGTCTCAGACCTCCAGCCTCCAAAACTGTGAGAAATGAATGCTTGAGGCCGGGCACGGTGACTCACACCTGTAATCCAAGTACTCTGGGAGGCTGAGGTGGCCCAATTGCTTGAGCTCAGGAGTTCAAGACCAGCCTGGGCAACATAGTGAAACCCTATCTCTACAAAAATATAAAAATTAGCCAGGGATGGTGGCATGCACCTGCAGGCTGAGCTACTCAGGAGGCTAGGGCAGGAGGACTGTTTGAGCCTGAGAGGCAGAGGCTGCAGGGAGCTGTGATTGTGCCACTGCACTCCAGTCTGGGCAACAGAGGGAGACCCTGTCTCAAAAAAAGAAAGAAAGAAATGTCTGTTGTCTATGAGCCCCCGAGGCTATGGAACTTTGCTATTGCAGCCTGAACTCCTAAGAGACCTATAGGTAGTTACAGGTATACCTATACTTAGATGTACCTAGCACACATACCTAGTTTTAATGATTTTATTATTATCACTACTCGTAATGGACATTCAGTCAAAGTGAGGTCTCACCCCCTTCTGGATGAAGTCCCAGTTAGACCTGCCCAACAGCAGAATGGACCACATCAGAAAGCAGTGAGTCTCCCGACCCCGAAATTGCTCCACCCGAGGTTTCAATGGCTCAGAGGGACCGAGGACAGGACTGCAGCCCCTTCTGAGGGGGTGACCCTGAGATCCACCACTCACTGTCCCTCTTCAGACCCAGGACTCTGTGGGGCCTGGGTTCTTGGTGGCAGTGAGTCTGGCCCAGGCCATGGCACATGATCCTGTAGTGACAGGTTATTCCCAAGCCAGGCCAGGAGACCACCCACGGCATGGCCAACAGTAGGGGAGTGAAGGTCTCTGGTCCCGCCCTGCCTTCAACAGAAAAGCTGGGGACATTCGTCATGATCAGGAAGCCCTCAGGGCCAACAGGACATACTTGCAGCCTGAAGGGTCCCACCTCCCTCCCAGCCCGGCAGGGACTGCACTGGGAACTTGGGACTTTTTCACACCCCATCCCCAATAAACGTGGCTGTCATGTGGTTGGTCCGGCTCTCGGCACCGTGGGGCTGTGACAACAGTGCAGGCCTGGATCAGACCTGGATGGGATCCTCCTCACCAAGCTCTAGTGAGCTTGGTGCCCAATAGAGGGTGGCTGTTATTATTATTTGCTATTGTCATTGATTATTATCATCATTAATTATTATGATGATTAATAATTATTACTTCAGCCAGCTCTGCAGCAAAGTCTGTTGGAATCCAGAACATGCCCCTGGGGGCCGACGGCTGCCCTGGGGTGGCACTGGCTGAAAGAGGCCCCTGACCTGCCAACCACACGCCTCTCTCCCAGTGAAGGTACCCACGGTGGCCCGAGACAGCTTCTGAGACCAGAGGGCTTTGCAGACAGCTCTGGGCAGGGATGGGGAGAGGGGACAGTGACTTCCCAGGTTATCAGGTGTGTTCCCTGAGAGCTCTTCCCTCCCTGCCTGCTGGAGCCACCCCTTGGTGGGCCCAAACCCATCACAGTGACCTCCCGTGGGCTCAGTCACCTCCCATGGGCACTGTGACCTCAAGAGCCTGCCTGGGTCCCAAGGTCCCAGGATGTCTGGCAGATATAGTGGCTTTCCCAAGGTCACACGGCGAGCTCCCAGGGCTGACACTGCCCCTGCGCCAGCCCTGCATCTTCTCACTGCATCTGCAAAACAGCTCGGTGTACCTGGCATGGGAGACCTGGGCCTGAGTATATTTTCTGCACATATACTAAGCCCCAGGCATTCTACCAAAACCATCGTTTCTCACTCGGAAAGTAAAAGAATGCCAAGCGAGGCCTCTGATCACCGCCCACCCCTCTTCCCAAGGCCGACCCTCGTGCAGCCAGCCTCCGGGCACTGTCCCAAGGGACCAAAGAGTAGCCAACACTGCAGGCCACAGGCCGGACCCAGATGCTCTGTTCCCTCCACCACCTGAGGCCTAGGGTGATGGGCCGGGGCCAGCGGGGAACTCTGGAAGGCAGCTATGCTCACCACTATACCACCAACGCGGCCCTCCAGTGGGGAACTCTGGTTCCGCAGGTGGCCAGTGGCAGGTCACTACTTCCTCGCAGGCCCCAATCCTCAACTCCCTTCAGGCTGGTCCCTCAAAGAGGCCCCTGAGGCTCAGCCCCTTCCTCCCTGCCCCACGAGGTAATCACTGATTCTGGTCCAGTCTGCTTCCCCTGAGAACGAGCTCTCCAGGCCACCTCAGGAAAGAGATTTAATTCTGACTCCCTCTCCTGATTTACGAGAGTTGCATTCAATTAACGGGGATATTGATCTCCCCGCCGCTGGCTAGGGTGCTTGCTGGGGCTGTTATTTTGTTATGAAACTGATCACTTTTCTTTTAAAACACAGAGACTCACGTACACAGGTGCCTACAGACACGCATACCGGGAGACCTGAGTGCACACGGCTGGAAACATGAGCGCCGGAGCAGGGGAGACGGATCCTCTCTGTCGCCATGTCTCTGCGTCCGCCTCTGTCTCTTTCACACACACCACACGGGACATGGAGCCCCCACCCCAGCATCCAGCCTGGCTTGCATTCGCACTGCTCTCTTCTGCTTCAGCTCCTCCTTGGCCCATCCAGAGCTCCCCACCCTGATGCTGGGGAGGCCCCCTCCCCAAGTGAGAGCAGAGAGGACTCCTCTCTTCCAAACAAAAAAATAAATACATAAATACACCCGTGCACACATGCACTCCCCCTGTTAAAAGGAGCAGAGCTGGGGTTGGGCTGTGTGTGGTGTCATTACCACCTGCCCGGGGAAGCAAATTCTGAGATCACTGTGCTCCAGGGACAGTGGCAGAACCAGCAGGAGGAGCCAGAGGGACATGGGGCCAGGCATGGTGGGGCCAATGGAAGGACCTGGGCTCTTACTCGAGTGAGCTGGGGGGCCATGAGGGAGCGGGGAGTAGAGGAGGGACCTGGACACTTATTGATGACTTAGAAAGACCCCACTGGGCCAGACACGGTGGCTAACACCTGCAATCCCAGCACTTTGGGAGGCCAAGGCGGGCAGATCACATGAGGTCAGGAGTTCGAGACCAGCCTGGGCAATATGGCGAAACCCCATCTCTACTAAAAATACAAAAAAAATTAGCCGGGCATGGTGGTGCACGCCTGTAATCCCAGGTACTTGGGAGGCTGAGGCGGGAGAATTGCTTGAACCCTGGAGGCGGAGGGTGCAGTGAGTCTAGATCATACCACTGCACTCCAGCCTGGGTGACAGAGCAAGATTCTGTTAAAAAAAAAAAAAAGAAAAGAAAAAAGAAAGGAAGGAAGGAAGGGAGGGAGGGAGGGAGGGAGGGAGGGAGAGAGGAAGGGAGGGAGGGAGGGAGGGAGGAAGGGAGGGAGGGAGGGAGGAAGGAAGGGAGGGAGGGAGGGAAAGAAAGACCCTAGCGGCTGCTGAGTTGGAATAGCTGGTTGGGGTCAGTCAGTGGGGTGAGAAGAGGTGGGCTTCTAAGGCGTATTCTGAAGGTGGGAGAATTTGCTGAGGGATGGGGCAAGTGTATGAGAGAGAAGAGCCAGGGGTGACTGCAAGGTTGGGGTCCGAGCCATGGCAATAATGGCACTGATACAGCCTGAGATGGGGGCTGGGAGAGAAGGGGATCCTGAGTGCAACCAGGAGACCCCACGTCTGAGTGTTCCCAGGACACCCAGGTGGGTCAGCAGGTGCCTATTCTGAGAGCAGCAGCATCCAGGGCTACAGCGCCAGCTTAAGACATAAACTGGGGAGTCTAGAGGACAACGGTGTTTTTTTGTTTTTGTTTTGTGAGACAGACTCTCACTCTGTCACCCAGGCTGGAGTGCAATGGTGCGATCTCAGCTCAGTGCAGCCTCCGCCTCTCAGCTTCAAGCGATTCTCCTGCCTTAGCCTCCCAAGTAGCTGAGACTACAGGCATGTGCCACCACGCCTGGCTAATTTTTGTACTTTTAGTAGAGACGGGGTTTCATCATGTTGGCCAGGCTGGTCTCGAACTCCTGACCTCAAGTGATCCGACCACCTCGGCCTCTCAAAGTGCTGGGATTACAGCTGTGAGCCACCACACCCAGCCTGAAGGTGGTCTTTAGAGCCATCAAAGTTCAGGGTTCAAGCCCACCACTGCCCCTCACTCACCAGGTCCTCCGGCCACAGTGCTCCCAGGTGGCCCCTCCTCCCTGGTCCACCTCCCTCGGGCTCAGCCACCTCAGCCATCTGCTCCTTCCCGCTGTCCAGAGTGCTGGCTGTCTCCCCAGTCAAAATGTCTCTCCTTCAAGGCTATCCCAAACTCCCCTGTGCCATGGGGACTTGGTGATTCTAAGCCTCCCAAAGAGTGGTTGGGTCACCCCCTTCTCTGGACCCTCACGGTACAAGGAAAGGAAAGGAGACAAACTATTCTTCTGAGCGCCAAGCACAGGGCCCAGGCCTCCCATCAGCATCATCTCTAACACACACGTGAAGAACCTGAGGCTCGCAGAGCCCAAGGCCGCCCAGGTCTGCCCCACTCTGAGGGGCCACTGGCCAGGCTGGGCACCGGGCATGCAGTGGAATTCCATCTTTTTTGTGTCCCCTCCACCTGCTCTCAAACCTCCAGCCCAGACTCTGCACACACTAGGCATTCAACAAATACGGACTGACCTCTTCAATCCAGACAGCCTCAAATTTCGGTGGTTTTATGGCCTTATGGAAAATTCAAAGATCATTACTATTTGGCTTGAGGATACATAATACGATGCCATTTGAAGCAAATCTGCCTCTCTAATTATGTTTTCCTAGGCTAAAATTGCAAATTTACTTTCCCTGAGGAAACACCAGCCATGAGTGGAAGGCGGCAGCCCAGAAGCTTCCAAAAGGGCTGAGGAAGAACAGGGGACGTGTTTTTTTTAAGCCACAGGAAATTTCTAAGTGGGGAATCCAAGTGCAGGCACCTGAGAGTTTTCTGGAAATGCAGCAGCAGGCACTCCTGCAGGATTCTTGCCGGTCTAGCTGCAGGTTGGTTAACCTGGAGTCAGGTTCAGGGTGCGGAGGGGGCAGCAGTGTTTGTGCACGGGAGCGTGTGAGCAGGCGGCTTTCACAGGCCCGGGACACACCCACCATTTCTCTCCCTGAAACCAGCAACCACAGTGTCCCTGAAATTGATGGCTCTGCCTGTGGGTGTGATGGGCTCTGCCGGTCGTGATGGATGGTTGCTATTTCCCAGGAGGGAGCTGGGAGGTGGCGCATATTCCCCCTCCCCCTACAAGTTCCCTCCTTCCCCAGGAGGAGACAAAGGGCAGGGCAGGGGAGGGAGGCACAGGCCAGGACCGGAAAAAAATCAGAGAAACACTGGATGCGCCAGCAGTACCACCCCCAGCCCAAGAAGGCAGACCTGGAGTCCAGGGGTCCACTGGACCTTCAGCTCTGCTGCCTGCAGCAATATCCTCAACAGAGACCAAAAAGGCCTGCTCCTGACCTGGGGAACAGGCCTGCGGACAGAGGCTGCATCAGAGGCACCGCTGGAGGCAGACAGGAAAGCAGAAAAGAATGAAAGAGGGGCAAAGGACTGGATCTGAGGGAGAAAGATGGAGCTGGGGGGCAGGGGCTGGATCCGAGGGCACACAGACAGTGTCAGAGAAGAAGGATCCATGCACACAGAGAGGAAAACGGCCTCATGCCTCAGGGGGATTTCCAAGGAAGCTCAGATCCCTTTGCAGGCACTCCCCATCTCCACCACGGCCTCACTGCTTCCCCTCCTGCCACCCTGTTTATCCAGTTTTCACACAGCAGTCAGAATGATCTTTTTAAAAAATAAATCCAGTAGCCCAGGCACAGTGGCTCACACCTATAATCCCAGCACTTTGGGAGGCCGAGATGGGCGGATCACCTGAGGTCAGGAGTTCGAGACCAACCTAGGCAACAGGGCAAAACCCAGTCTCTACTAAAAATACAAAACTTAGGCCGGGCGCAGTGGCTCACACCTATAATCCCAGCACTTTGGGAAGCCGAGGCAGGTGGATCACGAGGTCAAGAGATCAAGACCATCCTGGCCAACATGGTGAAACCCCGTCTCTACTAAAGATACAAAAATTAGCTGGGTGTGGTGGCATGTGCCTGTAATCCCAGCTACTCAGGAGACTGAGGCAGGAGAATCGCTTGAACCCGGGAGGCAGAGCTTGCAGTGAGCCGAGATCATGCCACTGCACTCCAGCCTGGGCAACAGTGCGAGACTTTGTCTCAAAAAAAAAAAAAAAAAAATTAGCTGGGCATGGTGGCACACACACCTGTAATCCCAGCTACTCAGGAGGCTGAGGCAGAAGAATTGCTCGAACCCAGGAGGCGGAGGTTGCAGTGACCCGAGACCGTGCCACTGCTGGTCTCCAGCCTGGGCAACAGAGCAAGCCTCCATCTCAAAAAAATAAATAAATAAATAAATAAAACCTCTTAGAAAGGGACAAAAACCAAACCACATATAACCACATATTGAATCAATCATCAAGAGCACAGTGCTTAGAAATGTGGGCTGTGGAGCCAGTTAGCCTGAACCCAAAGCCAAGTCCAGCCTCTTACAGCTGTGCAACTTTGGGTGAGTTTCTGAACTTCTCTGTGCCTCAGTTTCTTCCTCTGGGAGATTAAAGCTTCCTCCTCTGGGAGAGTAAAGATTTAATTAAATCTTTAAAGATTAAACCATAAGATGGTTGTGAGGTAGGTAAGATCTATCTTATCTTACCTATCTTAAGCTTATGCAGTAAGAACCATGCCAGGTGCTTAGTGTGTTTTGAGTAAATGTCAGCTAATATGAGGGTAATGATGCTCACACCAGGCTGGCCTACCAGGCATCCAGGACGTTCACTCAATCGGCAAGGCCAGTTAGAGGTTGGCCCCATGGCCAGCAGCCCAGCACCAGCAGGCTACATGGCAACGGATCCCACACCAGTCCACATGGGCGCACTGTGTTTCAGGCCTGACTCAGGCAGGCATCCCTCCAACCCTCCCACGGGCACAGTGACCTCCTGTGGGTCATCATTTTCTTCTGTTTCACCCAACTCCGTACTTTAGAAATGCCTAGAGCTTTGGCTTTTCCATCACACACGCTGGCTGAGAAATAGCTTTTCTGCAAATTGTCTAAAAGTGCGTTTCAAGCTTAATTTTTAGCAGCTAGAATACATTTAGCAAATCAATTTCACAAAGAACCCCAATATATAAAAGAGGGAAAGTGGAGCTCGTCTCCCTGGAATAGGGTGGGGTCAAAGCCCCTCCTTCCACATCCACCTCTAGGGGCCAGTTGGGACAGCCTGACCTCCCGCACTCCTGTTCTCTGAGGTCCAGGAGATGCCTTATATACCTAGGACACATGATTTGGATGTCACACCTCATGTGTCCCTGGGGCTTGTAGGATAGCAGCACAGACTCTGGGCTCTCAGACATCCTGGCCGAAGCAGGAGAATATTTAGAAGAAATAAACCAGAAAGTTCTACTTGGCAAAAATGGCCAGGGGTACATAGTATCCACACATGCCCCTCAACACAGAGTTCAAAATCATCATGAAAAGATTTTTTTAAAAAAGGCGGGGTGGCTCATGCCTGTAATCCCAGCACTTTGGGTGGCTGAGACGGTTGGATCACCTGAGGTCAGGAGTTCGAGACCAGCCTGGCCAACATGGTGAAACCCCATCTCTACTAAAAAGAACAGAAAAATTAACTGGCGTGGTGGTGCTCTCCTATAATCCCAGCTACTCAGGAGGCTGAGGCACGAGAATCACTTGAACCTGGGAGGCAGAGGTTGCAGTGAGCCAAGATCGTGCCACTTCACTCCAGCCCAGAGTAAGAGTGTCTCAAAAAAAAATTTTTTTTTTAATTTAAAAGGCAAAGATGTAATCCCAGCACTTTGGAAGGCCAAACGGGTGGATCATGAGGTCAGCAGTTTGAGACTAGCCTGGCCAACATAGTAAAACCCTGTCTCTTCTAAAAACACAAAAATTACCGAGGTGTGGTGGTGGGCGCCTGTAGTCCCAGCTACTCAGGAGGCTGGGGTGGGAGGATCGCTTGAACCCAGGAGACAGAGGTTGCAGTGAGCTGAGACTGTGCCACTGCACTCCAGCCTGGGTGACAGAGTCAACCAGGCTCTGTGTCAAAAAAAAAAAAAAAAAAAAAAAGGGGCAGTGGAATATGTGCTGTGAGATGCCACTTACATGGAATTTGTTAAAATCACACACTATGAATTTATAATGTGTGTGTGTTAAACATATGTGCAAATGTGCTCGGAATGGACTGGAAAAACTTACAGCAAATTCAGGGAGGCACTTGTCTCTAGGGAGAAGTCATTAAAAGGCCTTTTAGTTTTCATCTGTGACGTTTTATTTAAAGAGGAAAACAGGCCACAAATGTGACCAAATGTTAACGGTTGTTAAATTTGGGTGGTAGAAATGCACTCTGGGCTGTACCACAGTGTGGTCCAAATCTTCTCCAGATTCACAAAAGGAGATGACGGACAGCACCCCGGATGGAGTGGCAGGTGCCACCGCTCCCCTGCTCCGTGTGCCTCCTCCCCACGTCCCCTCACCTGTCTGCGGGAAAGTGCAGGTCGCCGCCGGCCCGGTGCAGCTCACTGCTGTTCTCCAGCCTGGCCAGTGCGTCCATGCGCTTCACCATCAGCTCCAGCAGGTCGCTCATCTTGCGCAGGACGCCGCGGGACTCGGGGCCCCCCATCACTGTGGGCAGAGTGTGGGTATGGTTAGGGGAGGCCCGAGCAGCCTGGAGGCCACCTGGTGTCCGAGCTGGGGCAGCTCAGACAAAGCTGGCCCCAAAGTCCCCCAGCACCAACCAACACCAGACCCCAGCCTCAGCTCCATCTTCCCAGGCACTGCTGACCCTTTTGCTGCATTGCTTTGCGGTGCAGAGAACAGCATCGTGGCGGAGTGCAGAGCCCTGGGCAGCCCCGTTGCCCACTAGCCATGTGACATTGGGATCATTTCCTAAGCCCTCTGGGCCTCAATTTTGTCAACCATAAAAAGGAACTTTAGATGTAACCTTTGAGGTGCTCTGGGGCCCAACAACCCTCATGTCCGTGAGATGGCAGAAAAGGCCCAGCACTGGGAAAGAAGCCCCAGAGCCCCCAAACGGTAAGCTCCAGGCAGGACTTCTAGATCAGGGTTCCTAGAAGTGTGGCCAATCACCCAGCAGCATCTGAATCTTCTGGCCAGGCTGTTAAAATTCAGATTTCTGGGCCTTGGTCTAGATTTGCCCATTCAACTCTCTAGGACCCGGGGCCCGGGAATCTGCACTTTCCTTGCTCCCCATGGATCCGGACATGCAGGGAAGTTGGGAGCCTGTGTTCAGGGCCCCAGGGCCCTGTTGCTTCCCCAGCCCTCCTTCTCCTGCCCGGCCTCTGGGCCCTAACTCCATCTCTTCCCCATCCCTCTTCCCTGGACCCTCCTGTTGGAAACCATAATGCATGTGTTCTGAATCTCAAGCTGGTCTTTGGATTTCCAAAGATCAACTGACAAGGGCAGGTTCCCTGGGGCTGAGGCGGCTGCTCTTCCCTCTGCTCCCAGCCTGGGGAGGGGAGACCTTATGAAGAAGAAAATTACATGAAAATGAGGCACTTCGACCAAGATCCCATCAGCCAGCCTGCAGTCCTCCACGGCTTCCTTTCTAATCATTCCCGATCATTAGCGCTGCACGTGCCAGTGTGCGGGAGCGAGTTCTCGCCTTCCTTTTTAATTAAATCTGAAGGCTTCACATTGCCCCTCCACACAGTCCATAGGGTGCTGGGCTCCAGGCACTAAAATCCGCAACTCAGCTCCTCCCAAACCCCTATGGATCAGGCTTGAAATCACTCCCCCAAAACGAGCCAAGTCACCTGGGAACATGAACCTTCGATGCTCCCAGGCTGCCAGTCCAGGGGCCCAATGGAGGATGCCGTGGGTTGGGCTCCCCAGAAGCAGAGCCTGGGACAAGGGTTTGAGGGTGAGTAGTTTAACCGGGAGCTAATGGAAACCCCAGCAGGAGAGTGAGGAAGAGAGACGGGGAAGCTGTGGAAAGCTGCACTGCCGAGAATATTACCACCCGGGCGCCCAACCTTAGCCCTGCTGGGGAGCCCTGAGACCATGTAGAACACACTGCAGTCTCCCCACCTGGGGAGGGGCAAGGGGACTGGGGCCTCTGCCCGCTGACCCCTGTGTGACCAGGGCAGTCATTGAATGGCTCTGAGCTTCAGCATCCCCGTCTCAAGGCAAGAATAACAGGCCCCGTCTGCAGACCACAGGACCAGGAAGGTGACGAGAGAGGCCACTGAGAAGAGGCAGAACAGGGAAAGGAGAGAGGGAGCTAGAGGCAGTGGGCGGAGCAGGGGCAGCCAGCGGCTTCTGCATCACCGGGGCTGCTCTCACACCTCTGCTTTGGTTCTGCCCTTCTTCCCTGGCTCTGGCTGGCCCAGCCACTGCTGCCACGTTCCCACCCTGATATAAGTCACCCCCTGGCTGGGCTCCCCTGCCAGGTGAACCCGCCTGAGGTCAGAAGGGAGGCCACAGGAGCTGGGGCGGGACCACTCACACACCTTGGAAATGCCGGCCAGGCTAGGGCTGCAAAACAGGAGAAGCTGCGATTTCCTTAAAGACACAGGGCTCCTGGCTCTGAAGAACAGGCATGAATGGGAGCAGGGGGGATGTGGCGGGCAGAAGAAAAGGAGGAGAGAGAGGCAGAGATGCCCAGGAAGGCTCACGGAGGGGGTCGGGTATTGGAGAAAATGGGCATATTTCCTCCCCACCCCAAGAGCTGAAGCAGCAAAGGACCTCCCCACAAGTCCCTCTACGGAAAACAGAGTGGATTTTCAAAAACTCAGCTGGGACCGGGAAATTTCATACTAGCGTTAGATGACACTAACTCAGGTCTCTCCAGCCTCTCAGGCCCTCCCCACGCACTCACACACTCAATCGGTTAATCTGGGCAGCCCTGGTGAGCCATCGCTCATAACTTGGGCTGGAGTAGTCCTTCTCCAAAGGAGTGGGAGAAAACAGGATATAGATAGCTCCCTCTCTCTTTCAGCTTCCCAGAGGCGGGGGCAACGGTTTACTTTTTCAGATCACTCTCGTTTCAGAGATGTCTGCCCAAGCCCATCATCCAAATTCAATACCGAGCTTGCAACCAGTGCTTGTAGCACAGAGTAGATGAAGAGATTTCCATCATTTCAGCTAAAAAAACTGGAGGACATCAGATGACCTGCCTGGCCACTGCTTTCTACAACTCCACAGGACACCACTGGTATTGTGGCCGCCTAAAGGGTGTCTGTCGTGGAGTCGTGCAGCGCACAGCCTGCGTGGCCTCACTGGGCAGCCCTGGTGGGCTGTCGCTCATAGCTCGGGCTGGAGTAGTCCCTTCCCCAAAGGACTGAGATGAAAAAAGGAATGTTTCATCCCATAAGGTGTCTCACAGCTGGGACACCATAGCGGTGCCGTGGCCAGAGCACTCAGGCCTGACTGACCACAGAGCCTGGTCAGCAGCTCGTTCCTGCAGACGCAGCACCCCAGTGGTGCTGAGCCCACAGCGTGGCTTTTGGGGTGACGCTGTGTTCCCTGGAGCGCCTTAGGCCTGGCACCCTGCCTGCTGCACTACTGGTCCCACTCTCCAAGCCCACCCCAAGCTTCCTCTGCCCCTGCCTATCGCCTGAGCCCCCTCCCAGAAACCTCACGGTCACAGCTCCCTACCCACACCCCACGCTCCCAGTCCCATTGAGCAGGCTGAAAAACAGATGATGGGCCAAAAACTATGAGGGCTGGCCTAGAGCTGCAGAGGCCCCTGAAAGTCAACAAAGTGGAGGCTGCAGCAGCAGCATGGTGGCATGGGCCCAGTCAAGGGGGATGGGGCAGAAGCCTGGACTCCAGGCCCGCTCTGCTGCGGACCAGACAGGTGAGCAGGTCACCGTCCTTCTCTTGGCCTCAATTTACCCTCATGTAAAATGAGGGGGCTGGGCTCATTGAGCTCTGAGTCTCTATCGCCCTGACTTCTGTTTCTGTGTCTTCCCCTAATTGCCTCCGGAGATTAGAGAAATGGGAAAAGAAAGAAACGCTCCTATAAAAACTGGCAGCAGGCCAGGTGCAGTGGCTCATGCCCATAATCTCAGCACTTGGGGAGGCCAAGGTGGATGGATTGGTTGAGCTCGGGAGTTCAAGACCAGCCTGGGCAACATGGCAAAACCCCTTTTCAATAAAAAATACAAAAATTAGCTGGGCATGGTGGCATGTGCCTGTAATCCCAGCTACTTTCAGGGCTGAGGTGGGAGGATTGCTGGAGCCCATGAGATTGAGGCTGCAGTGAGCCACGATTGCACCACTGCACTCCAGCCTGGGCAACAGAGCGAGACCCTCTCTCAAACAAACAAACAAAAACCCTGAGGACATACAGAGGCATGGGTCATTGCAGCCTGGGTTTCACGATGACCATGCCTGCGGAACCAGATGCCCCTTCTGTAGTTCTTCAAGCCCCACCCCATCAGACTGGACCAAGTCCCCCCGTGCCAGGGGCTCAGGAGCTGCTCCCATCTTCTGCAGATGGCATGGAACTCCAGAAACCCCTGAGACCTGGGGAGACAGCCCCTACCCCTTCCCAATGAGCCCTCGGGGTACCAGGCACATTTTGTGCTCTGGAAATGCCCAAAGACTAGGCAGGGGGTGGGTACCCAGGAGGGAAGCAGGTCAGGCCGACTCTCCCCCAGTGACCCACTCCCCTAAAAGCCACCACTGGCCCCGGGACTGTCAGCAGAGCAAGCTGACATCGCTTCCCCAGAGTCACTTCACCACTCTTGGCATCAGCTAAATTGAAATATATCTAATGTGAGGCCCCAGTGATACAACTCAGAACAGGCACACGTTCCCTCCATATTTCCATATAAATAAGGAAAGCTGGGACGCTGGGAGATACAAATAGATCCTCTCATTTACAGACGGGATGTGTTTATTACCCACCGAGGCCCCGTCTCCTCCCCAGACGCTCTTCGTCTCTCTCTGTCTCTCTCATCCTCCTTCGTCCCCCTTTTCTTGTCCCCATCCCCACCCTTTACCATTGGAAATTGAATGAGCCCCCATCTCTCCAGAAAGCAGAGACCTCCCTGGCACTGAGAAGGGAACTGTGACTGGGTGTTCGTGCAGCTGGAGAAATGCGCACATTTATCTCTCTGTACTCGCTCACCGCAGAAACCAGCTGAGGCCACGGGAGCTCTGGGCTCCGGGCAGCAGAGAAGACAAGGACAGGCCGTGGGAGGCCACACCAGGCTCTTCCTCAGACCTCCGGGCCCCGGTCCCCCATCCATCAAGCCTGAGAGAAGAGCCCCAGGGCCCCTTAGTACCAAGGGCCAGAGCCAGAGCCAGAGCCATCCACAGAGCCAGGTAGCCTTCCCCAGGTTCAATCCCTGGTGGAGGCCTGGGAGGTCTGGCAGGGCCCAGTAGACACATGCAGCTGTGCCATGGACCTTCAGCCTACAGACCCCTCCCAAAAGATAGCCTCCTACCACTACTTTTTTTTTTTTTTTTTTTTTTAAGCCGAGACAGAGTCTTGCTCTGTCACCCAGGCTGGAGTGCAGTGGCGCAATCTCAGTTCACTGCAACCTCCTCCTCCCTGGTTCAAGCAATTCTCCTGCCTCAGCCTCCCGAGGAGCTGAGATGACAGCACGTGCCACCACACCCTGCTAATTTTTGTATTTTTAGTAGAGATGGGGTTTCACCACGCTGGCCAGGCTGGTCTCGAACTCCTGACCTCAGGTGATCCACCTGCCTCAGCCTCCCAAAGTGTTGGGATTACAGGCGTGAGCCACCACACCCAGCCTCCTACCACTGCTTCTTCAAGACAAGTCAGAGGGCAGGAAACAGCCTCACAGCACTATCTGCAGCCACATGGGGAAGGAGGCCTAGGCGAGAAGGGCTGGAAGGGCAGGAAACAGGAGGAGGACCTGGGGTGGGAAGTGGGGCAGAGCTGCCTGGGAGGGGGCAATGCCGGAAAGCCCTCCCCAGAGCCCAGGCCCAGCCCAAATGCAGCAAGAGGGAAAGAAGTCAGATCTCCTCCGGGTCATGATTCCCCATGCAGCCTCCTCTCTTGAATCTTTAAGATGAGTGTGCAGAATACAGAATGAGATGTCAGTCACATTTCATCCCCAAAGTACGCAGTTTATCATGAAGTATAAACAGGCACAGAGGAGAATTTGGAGGCCCCACACATAGACCACAGTCCACAAGAGGCTGAATGACGCCCTCCTCTTCTTTTCGAGAAAAGCCTTCTCCTCCCTCTCCCTTCGCAGCCACAGTCCATGTGGGACCCCACTTCTGTCACCGGTTTGACAGGGGAGGAGAGATTGTTTTTCCCATTTGTACACAGATTGTTTTGTTGACCAATGCAATTTTTTTTTTTTTTTTCTAAATAGCAGGGCCTTAGAGGGTTTCCTTCTCCTGATTCTGCTCTGGGGTTGTCTAGACTCCGCAGATTTCTTTTGGGTAACAAAACGTGCATTATCCAACAATCCAACCTTGGCCCAGGACTTCCAAGATCCCTCCCCAGGCCTGATTCAGCCAAGCAATTTGCCAAGCACCTCCCCGTGAAGCCCTAATCCTTCCCTCAGGCATCTCCTAAGTGGAAATGCTGGTACCTCCTAGGTTTTCTGCAGGGCTGCCCCAGGCACTGCGTGGGGATGTAGTTTGAGGGGCTTCTCTTGCAGGATCAGGATGTTAAACCCACATTGCACACTGCTTTCCCGGCCTGAGTCCCTGCCTTGGGTCTGCCCAAGCAGATTAGCTTGATCCAAGGGTATGAAAGAAATCATGGAGGACAATGCGAGTCGGGATCTAAAGTGAATCAGGGTCAGCTCTCCTGGGTTCTCAGCGGCCCTTTTCTTGTCTGTCTCCTCCTTCTCCCGGACTTCAGTTCTGTATTCCAGGCACTCAGCTTCTGAGGCCTGGGAAATGTGAAAAGACTGGCTTGGATAAACTTGGTCTGAGAACTAATGTTACAACACGTAGAATCTCCACTCCTAGGTATACCCAACAGAAATGCCTACGTATGTTTACCAAAAGACGTGCACTGAAATATTCATAGCAGCACTGTTCGCAAAAGCCCAAAACTGGAAACGACCAAATGCCCACCAATGGTCGGATGGATAAAAATATGGTGGTGTACTCACACAATGGAAGGCTACACAGCAAAAAAAAAAAAAAAAAAAAAAAAAGTGCAAGTGACTACAACCGCATACAAGATAGTGAGTCTCACACATGTACTACTGAGAGAAAAGACACACACAAAAGACTACTCCTCTATTAGTTCATTCTCAACGTTGCTACTAAAGACATACCTGAGACTGGGTAATTTATAGATGAAAAAGGTTGAATTGACTCAGAGTCCAGCATGGCTGGGGAGGCCTCAGGAAACTTACAATCATGGTGGAAGGGGAAGCAAACATGTCCTTCTTCACATGGCAGCAGGAAGGGGAAGTACCGAGCAAAAGGGAAAAAGCCCCTTATAAAACCATCAGATCTTGTGGGAACTCACTGACCATCACAAGAACAGCACCAAGGTAAACCACCCCCATGAATCAATTACCTCCCACAGGGTCTATCCCACAAGAGGTGGAGATTATGGGAACTACGATTCAAGATGAGATTTGGGTGGGGATACAGCCAAACCATATCAACTCCTGAAACGATTCCATGCTCACAAAGTCCAAAAAACAGGCAGAACTCTTCTATGTGATCAGAAGTCAAGTCGTGACTATCCTTGGGTGAGTAATGACTGTGAAGTGGCATGGGGACACTTGGGGACTGATCACGTTCTGGTCCTTGCTCTGGGTTGTTAGTTGCATGGATTGTTCATTTGTGTATATGATACCCCATTAAAAAGTTTAAGACCACGTACACGCACACACACATGCACACACATGCACATGTACACACGAATGCACACACACCTCTAGTCCAATTGTATGACCTTGGGCAAGTGCTCTCCTATGTGGTTCCATCCATCTTTAGACCCAGACCTGCAGCTGGGGTTGGACCCCCACCCCCATACCCAGGCAAAACTGCATAGCACCGAGCACAGCAGGGCTCCTACACCCCTTGCACTCTGGGGCACTGAGTCTGATCCTGCCCAGATGGGGCAAGAGCCATGGGGTAGGTGAGTTACCTTGACTCTCTAACCCCCTTAGGGAGATAGGCATAAAAACCAGAGCCCGGCCAAAAACCCCTCCTCTCCCCCATCCCTAATTCCCACCTCTTAGACCCCTGACCTTTCTGGAGGTTCAACTTCCTCAAGGCCTCTGTAGCAGCCCACCCAGATAGGCACACCTCCTTTCCAGGGGTGGCAGCCAGGTAGTTTATGAATCTCTGTCTACACCCCATCTTCCCATGCACCACTTTTCCCACCAGCCCTTCCCCAAGCCACCCTTCCGGTTCACCTTCACGACTGCTCCCTCCCATCCCCACCCACCTCAATCCTCAGCCTCTCCCACACAGACACTCCAGCACCTCCTTGGTCCTCTTTCATAAACACGCTTTGCTGCAGTGCCCCCATTTCAGACTCGACACATCCATTAAGTATTGATGGAGTGCTCGCCGTTTGACAGATGCTGCTGAGGCCCCTTCCCTTGCTTTATCTTTGCACAGCCTCGCAACGAGCCTGGGAAGTGGGTATTACCATCCCCATTTACCAGAGGAAAATTTGGAGGCTCAGAGATTGAGGAATCTCTGCAAGTCAGAGACGGGATAAATTAACTTACACTCAGGCTTGAATGACTAATAAGCGTGAGATTCCTTCTGAGGGCTTTTGCAAGTTTAAAGAAGTGCATGTGAAACCAGAGGAATGAATCTAATGATGAGATGACAGATGGCATAATAAGAGCCCCTCAGCACCCACCCAGATGACAACCTATTTAACTTGGGATGTCTACAATATTCATCACTCAGAACAGGGGAGCCAGAAAGCCAAGCCCTGCAAGTTCAAGAAGGTGGACTTCAAGGAGAGACTTCCCCAGAGGGGCAGGGGAATCTCACAGAGCCAACCCTCGAACAGTTCCAGAAACCTACTTGCCTCAGTTTCCCCACTACCCCATGTCCCTCCTTTTGACCAGTGACCAAAAGAACCCCCATGATACAGTGAGCAGGGCTCAGTTCTGACCCCCACCCCTCCTTAGGTGAGATGAGGTGGGGCTGGGCCCAGCTTCAGGAGGAGGGCTCCCAGCTGGTCACTCTTGTGCCATGTGGCACCAACCATGCTGGGTAATGTCCACGTGTGAGCCCCTTCAATCCAACCTCTGCAGAAGGTCACTGCTGTCCTTCTCTGTAGGGAAGCCAGGTGACTCAGCCAAAGGCACACAGCTGGTAGGTGATGACAAGGATGCAAGCCCAGACCCACCAGACGCCCAAAGCCCATGCTCTGATCTCCATTCCACTGCCTTGCAAATATCGTGTGGGCAAGGAGTGATGGGGCCTGGGAGGGAGCTGTGTCCCAAGAGCTCAGAGATAAGACATTTAAGCCCATGGCCAGGCCCGTTCCCACATGGCCACAGCCTGGGCCAAAGGCAAGGAAATGTGTGCCTCAAGGAGACAAGTGTCATATCCAGAGACCTCTCACCCCTGACACCCAACTAAAGAAGCAACACTGGCAGCCTCTTCTGAGGCCTGGAAGACCCTGGCTTAAAGGCCCTAGCCTGGCCTGAGAATCCAGGCCAGAGGAAACCTGATGACCACAGCCAGACCAGAGCCAAAGTGCATGGAGGGTCATACGGCCCAAGCCCAGGCCCCCTCCACTCACATCCACCTACAGGGCGGCCAGAAAGCCAGGTACAGGGCTAGGCTCAGAGGCACTTCCTCTTTGACCCACAAACGCCCTCACTCATCTCACACTCCCCTTGCCCCACCAAGGTACCTTCTGTGCGGATGGTGAATGGCGAGTCCCCCAGGCGCCGGGCCGAGAACTGGCCTCCCAGAGACGTCATCAGGAAGCAGAGAGTGAAGAAGCCGATGCCCAGGACAAAAAGCCTGCGGAGAGGAAGGAGGCGGGTCAGGAGGGCAGGAAGGGCCATCGTGCCCTGACGCTCCACCACGTACCGGCTGCACAAATGTTTTACGAATGAGTGCATGAGTGAAGGAAGCAAGGGAGAATGAAAGGATGGGGGCTGAGCTCCAGACCCAGGAGGGCCCCCCCACTATAGGATAAAGAGAGCTCAACTACAAGATGCTGGCCTCGAGCCACACGAGAAACCACAAGGCAGAATGACGCACACTTAGGCATGAGGCAGGCGGGCTCTAGCCTCCAGGCAGAGCTGGTTCATTAACAGCTGCAGTCCTGAAAGTGCAGTCCCCAGACGAGCAGTCAGCATCACCTGAGACTCCTTAGAAATGCCAATGCCGGGCCCAGACCCCAAATTACTGAATCAGATACTCTGGGGTGGAGCAAGCAAGCTGTTTTAGCAAAGTCTCCTGAAGATTCCACTGCATGCTAAAGTTTGAGAACCAGTGATGGACACAGCAGGGCCTGAGGCCAGCCAGACCCCATCAATCACTCAGGCCAGCCTTGGTGCAGTGTGCAGAGGCCTTGCTGCAGCAGTCATGAGCTTGTTTGAACACCCCCCTCCACTTCCACCACTAGATGGTAAGATGTCCAGGGCAGAGCCACACGGCCCATGCCCAGGCTCCCCCCAACACACATCTCCCCTAGGCAGGCACGCCCAGGGTCATCAGCCTGCACCACGGACTGGCCAGGGTGTCCTCATACCTGTGCAAGGGGTGTCATATAGGTGTGTGTGCTGTCACACTGGGTGGGAGGGAGGGCTGGTCAGAACAGGACTCCTGTTCCTGCCTTCAACATGTAGTTATTGATTATCCAGCAGGAGCCAGGCTCTGGGGTAACCCCAGGGGGACAGCAGGGAACAAGGCACAGAACCCTTCCTTCCTCAAGTCCAGACCCAGGGTCCTGCTGCTTCCCTCATCAATCCTAGGCCCCAAACAGGCAAGCTGAGCTCACCAGCACAGCCTTGGGGCTCTTCTGGGAACTTGAACCTATCAGAGGACTTGATGAACTGGTAGAGCTGAGAGGGGCGCCCTCCCACCAACCCCAGATCAGGGTGAGGAACCCCATCTTGTGTGGAGTCAGGCTCCCTGGAGAGAGCCCCACGTCATGCCAGAGACCTCCGGGCCTTGCCCCTCCACTCCCCGCCCTCAAGTTCCATGCTTGTTTGTGTCTTTATGCAAGACTTGCTTTATGCATTTTAATCTTCATTATTTGAAACTGGCAGAGCAGTATTTAATTAAAATTTGGTCCATTAAAGAAAACATATAATTGCAGAAGGAAATAAAAAGCACAACAAAATTCCCAGCCCATATTTAAAGGAAGCTGTTAGAGATTTGGGCAGAGAAGAGGAGAACCCCAAAGCAGAGAGGGGCTTGGGAGCTCCAAGGAGAGACTCGAAGACCACACCCCCAGCAGGAAGGACAGGAGACATGATTCAGTAGGCAAGACCGCGCAAGGGACACTTTCCTTAGCGCAGAGGGACGCCTCACGGAATTCCACCAAGCCTGGGGGTGGGGCTCAGATCTTGGGGTCCCTCAGAGGAAGTCAGGTGGCTCTGGAGACAACAGCCACGGCCATGGCACAGGAGAGGTGCTGTCCCATGCTCAGGGAGATCCCAGGGGAAATCAGCTATTTGTCCTCCCAGTCTGAGGACAAGGACGGACTTCCCCCACTCATGTCTCTAGTCCCTGGAGAAGAGGCCAGGGGAGTGAAGGAGTTGTATTTAGAGCTGGGGACCTGGGCTGCCTGCCAGGATCCAACAACCCTGCTATGAGAAAGGTGTCTACCCCCTTCAGCCCAGAACCTGAAGCCCCCTAACACACCTCATCTGCATCTCCCTCTGCCAGAACCCCATCCTGGGGTTCAATGTCCCCCAAGGCAGCTGGGGGCCATTTGGAGTGGATTCAAGTTAAAATGGCTTCAGCCATCCATGTATCCACTCAAGCAACATTCCAGGGGCACCTATGGAATAAAGACCCTGCCAGCAGCCCTGGGAAAACCACAGGGAACAGGACCCCAGCCTGCCTTTGAGGATGAATAAGCTGGGGTGCTATGATTGCAGCCTGCCCCCCACCTCAACTGAAGGGACTCACTGATGGCTGCGGGTCTCCGGGCAGCCCAGGGAGACCCTGGGGTGAAGTTACACAACTTTGGGGACCCATGCACCTCCACCCCCAATCCTGCCTTCAGATAAGGGCCTGAAAGAAAACCAGGGCAGGACCAGACAGGGAAGCAGCCCTGGGTCGCGAGCACTGTCCGTGGTGCTGGGGTCTCGCGGCTGCTTCCAATCGCGCCAGGAAACACCCAGCGGCCCGGAGGGCGGGACAGGGATGGGGTCGGAAGGGGCGAGGACCCTCCAGCGTTCCCAGTCAGGCCAGGGATTCAAGGCCTTCCCTGGAGGAGCAAGGCCCTTTCCAGAGACGCCTGCTTCCCGCCCTGCTTCCCATGGGCTCCCGACGCCCCCATCACCACCCACGGCCTGCACCAGCTCTCCGGGCCTCCCGGACCCCCGGACCGCAGAGGTCCAGCCTGACCCCTGCCGTCCCCTGGGGTTGCCTCCTCGGCCCAGCAGACAGGCCCGGTGTGCTGGGAGGCGGGCTCCAGGTGAGCCACCGTCTCCCCGCCCCCATCCCCGTCTGGAGCCGGCAGGGGGACCACAGTGGGGCTGGGCCGAGACCTGGAGGGCAAGAGTTCAGGGCCCCTGCAAGCTCCGCCTTCTCGGGCTCCTTCCCGCGCCCGGAGCCCACCTGTGGCCACGTCCCGAGTCCGGCCCCCGCGCCGGGGCGGTCACTCCCCCAGCTTCCTCGCTGCCCAGCTACCCACGGGGTGACACTCGGGCCCCGCCGGGCGTCCACTGGGCAGCGCCCCCTCCCCACCCCGCTGCGGGCCGGTTCCGCGGATGCCTGGGAGGAGAGGGGGCTGCCCCGGCACCGCTGGGCCCTGGGGGCCCCTGGCTGGGTCCAGTGAGTCCCGCGCGGCCCCAGCCCTGCCTGGCCTGGGCCCCCAGGTGTTGGCCGCCCGAAGCGTGTCGCCTTCGCCACCGCCCGCCCACCACGCTCCGCCGCAGCCTCGGCTCCAGCCGCCCCGTAGCCCTGCAGCGCCGCCCCTGCCCCCGCCTCTCCGACGCCTGCGATCGGGGGCGAATCCTGGGATGAGCGAGTCCTCGCTCTAATCTCGGGACCCTCTCGTCGGAGCCAGGCCCGAGCCCCGCGGGGAGGAGAGCAGTGCCACCAAAGGCTGGGGAGAGGGTGGCACAGGCGGAGGGGTTGGGGGGTAGCCGACCTAGGGGCAGACGGGCGGGACGGGAGGGACCGGAGGGGGAGCTCCAAGGCGCCGCACACTAACTTTGCCACCCGGATGGGACCGTCCGCGGGGTGAGGAAGGACCCTGAGGGGCTGGGAAGGGGCGCGCAGGCTGGGGCAACTTTCTGGGCCCAGGACCACGACCTGGGGGTTTTCTGCCCCCATTCTTACCTCTGCACCCCGAGTCCTCTCCAACCCTGCCCAACTCGGGACAGGTCCCCGAATAACACAACCCTCCCCATCCGCACCCCGAACCCCAACGCCATCCGTTCCCCCAGCCCAGCCCCACTGGTCATCACCAGGGGTTGAAGTGTGAACCGCCCCCTCTGCCACCAGGACTTGAACGTTCGCAGGAACCGACCTCGCCCACCTCCACCCGGCGCCCCCCTGGGGAAAAAACCAACCAGGAGGGAACTTTACCGAAAGGGTCTCAGGGTGACCAGGCATCTTCTGACCATTATCTTCCCATCGGGGTTGACGGTGATCATTGTTCAAACTTGTTGGTGCGAGCAGCCGCGGGCGAGGCCGGACGCACCGTCCTGGGCCCAGCTCTCGCCGCGTCCGGGCCACGAACCCTCTGCGGGCCGAAGCCGCGTCCGAGCGAAGCTGGGAGCGCGCGGCCCGGTGGCCTCGCTGCTCAGGCCTGGGCGTGCAGCGGAGGGAGCGGCGCGGCTGCCGGAGGGCGGCGAGGGCGCCCGGCCGGGCCGTCTCTGCGTCTCCGCCCTCCCCGCTTCACATTTTGGGGACCGGGAGGCGGCGCGCCCCCAGACCGCCGGCCGCGCGTCTGCCTGCTCGGGCTCGCTCGCTGGGCGGGAAGGTGCCGCGGCGCGCAGACGGGCTCCCCGCGGCGGGCGCCCTCATCCCCGGCCCCGCGCCCTCGGTGCCGGCTAAAGGCGGCCCCGGGCCCGCGCCCCGGTCCCCAGCGCCTCCGGGCCGCGCCGATCCTCAGCCCCGCGCCGCGCCGCGCCCATGGCTCTCGACGAGGGCAACCCGCGCCCGCCGCGCGCTCTCTCGCCCGCTGGCTCCGCCGCCCGCGCTCTGGTGTCCGGCGTCCGGCCCCGCGCGACGCTACGCCCGGAGGCGCCGCATTGTTCCTCGGAGGAGGCGGCCGAGCGGCGCTGGGGCGGCCCGGGAGCTGCAGCTGCGCTTCCAAGGCGCGCCGGCGCCACCTCGTGGCCGCAGCCCCGCTGTGCGCCCTGCCCGGGGCCGTGCGGGGCTGGGACGCCGAGGACCAGCTTCGAGGACGGGCGGGCGGGGGTCCCTGCTCCTTCCCCTGAGCCAAGCAGCTTCCCAGGGCGCCACCAGCCCCGAGGGCCGAAAGCTGCTTTGGCTCCCGCAGAGCACAGAAGAGATGCGCACCCAGCGGAGACCCTTCTCTTCTGCCAGGTGCCTCCGTGGGCTTCCTCATCAGCCGCTTCCCACGATTTCGCTTGGCAACACATGCCTATCTTCTGCCCCTCCCTGGTCAGAAACTCCCGTGGCTCCTCTTTGCTTACTGATCTGAGTATAAACTCGGCCTGTGGTGCTGGGGCCCGCTCACAGAGCCAGGCGCAGGGGCGTACTGAGTTGTAGCCCCAGATCCTCCACTAGCCAGTGGGCGATCAAGTGTGCACGTCTCAGAGTCTCCATTATGAAATGATAGTGACCAGAAGCTCACCAAGGTCCCTTGCAACCCTAAAGCATGTAGGATCTCATGTCGTCTCTTAGCATCTAGGCGTCCTCCCCTCCCCCTCCTCGTACTTCCTGGCTCTGGAGATGTGTTTGCAGTTGCAGAGACAGAGACTCCTGGGAGCTCGCAGAGCCAGCCTGAAGAAAGCTCTCCGGCTTCAAAAGCACTTCCCGAGGTCATATCTGACCACCCCACCCTGGGAAGTGCCCAAAGCCTCAGTCATGTGTCAAATGACTCTGAGGGTCTTCCCAGCTCAGGCCACGATGCTGCAGCCTGGCTTATGCGAGGAGGAGACTTTATTTTCCTCCAGCTGGGCCTGGTCCCCTCCAATCCCCCATACCCAGGCCCCTTGCTGCCTGCCCTGCCCACCTCCCGGCCCCCTTCCTGGGCCATTACTCACTGGCCATGACTCACGCTCTCTGCTTTGCTGCTCCTTCTTCATCAAAATTTACCGGTGCTGAGTTCCATTATCTCACTGCCTTGCTCTCTGCTAATGTGAAAATGGGTGATAAATTGGTGTTAGCAGATATAATGTGTTACACAGGCTAGGTAACAAATTTGCATTGAACAAGGACATGCTGACCGTGCCTTTGTGCAGAAGAGTGATGAATGGTGGCCGGAAATTTGGGCATCGTGGCAGGCTGGCTAAGGAGATGTTGGAGGGCAGAGGTCTCTGCCAGGCCTGTAAATCACATCTCATGCCTGGGTGCCTACATCTGCCACAAATCCTGGCAATAAGCCATATCTACACTAAGGAATGAAATGGTCCTTCTGATTAGGTGTCTCTCTTCTGATTGGGGGTTCTTCTGATTGAGTAGGCTTAGGGGGTGGCATTTATATCTGGTTGCCATTTTAGGCCAAAGGGGAAGCCTCTTCCTCAGTGGTGGAGATGGGGTTCCCTAGAAGGCATGGCCACCTCTGGTGTGGGTCATCTGGGGAGGTGGCCTACCCTCCACAGAAGCCAGAATTTAGAAGGTAGGGGAAGGTACTCCCCTCTTCCCCTGGGCCACACACCCTTAGATCTGGACTTTGAAGTTGGAGCGGGAAAGCCTCTCTGCCATTTGACGGCTGGCTTGGGCCAGGGAGGGAAGCAAGCAGAGGACAGCCAGTGACTTTTTTTTTTTTTTTTTTTTTTTTTTGAGATGGAGTCTCGCTCTGTTTCCCAGGCTGGAGTACAGTGGCGCAATCTCGGCTCACTGCAAACTCCGCCTTTTGGGTTCAAGAGATTCTTCTGCCTCAGCCTCTTGAGTAGCTGGGATTACAGGCACGTGCCACGATACCTGTAATAAATGCCTATAAAAATGCAAAATTTTTGTATTTTTAGTAGAGACAGGTTTCGCCATGTTGGCCAGGCTGCTCTCAAACTCCTGACCTCAAGTGATCCGCTTGCCTCGGCCTCCCAAAGTGCTGGTATTACAGGCATGAGCCACTATGCTGGGCCAGCCAGTGGCATTTTGCAAGCCAGATTGTCCAGCTGCCTGTCCCTTTTGAAGTCTGTCCCCTTTTTTTGGCCTCTTGTCTGCAGTAAAGTTCAGTGTAAACAGTCCTGCTTGCTCTCCACTGTGCTGTAGGCATTAGGAGAAAAACTGTGAATCCCACATCATGCAGTCTTGGGTATAACCTCTTCATGCCTCAGTTTCCTCAACTATAAGTGGGGCTCCTTATAACCTGCTTCATAGAGCTGTTCTGAGGATTGAGCCGCTTAATGCAGGTAAGTAGCCCGTTGCCAGGACCTCCTGAGCCTTTCAAGCATGGTGGTTCTGATGGTTGTTACTGTCCGTCAGGAACAGATGCTGTTTGTGCCCAGTCCTGGTTCCCACTGCAGTCACCTCTGCAAGCTAAGAGGCAGATGACTGAGAACACCTTCAACTCTCTGCCTGAGGACTTTTTTTTAATGGCTGTGGGAATATGCTAGAACACAAAAGGGCAAGAAGAAAGGACCCTGGACAAAGGATCAACACCCTGGCAGCAGCCCTCAAGCAGTGGATAGACACCCCCACTCCCTCTTCCTAAGGGGGATACTCCGCGGCGTGTTACCCCGTGGCTCCCCAGGTTCCCAGCAAGTTTGAGCTCCAGTCACCCGTGGTGTAGCCAGCCCTGTGATGCCCCTGTGTTCACTCCCTTCCCTCCTGTCTCATTCCACTCCCCGGTCAATGTTCCTGGGGTCACCATCCAAATAAACCACTTGCAGAATCCTATTCTGAGCATCTGTTTCTGGGGGACCCACACCAAGATCCCAAGATCCTGCCTCATCGACTGGTGGTTCTCAGCCCAGATTCCAGCAGAATCACCTGCAGAATTTAGCAAAATTGTCCTTATTCTGATCCAGTACCTGAGGTGCAGCCTGGGCACGCTGGTGCATTGATGCCACAGGTTATGCCGACACAGGCAAGGTGGGGAAGCACTGTTCTAGACAAATACTTGTGGCCTCCTGAGGAGAAAGGAAAGTCTCTGGAAGCAAGCCAGAGAACAGGGGAGTAGGAACGGCGGCACCTGCTGCAGGGCCCGGCCAAGGACTGACGGTGGGCCAGGCGCCGTGACTCACGCCCGTAATCCCAGCACTTTGGGAGTCTAAGGCAGAAGGAATGCCTAAGCCAAGAGCTTGAGACAACCAGCCTGAGCAACATAGTGAGACCCCATCTCTACCAAAAACTTTAAAACTTATCCAGGTGTGGTGTCATGCACCTGTAGTCCCAGCTACGCAGGAAGCTGAGGCAGGAGGATCACTTGAGCCCAGGAGATCGAGGCCGCAGTAAGCTATGAGCGCACCACCGCACTCCAGCCTGTGTGACAGTGCGACGCCCTGTCTCTTATAAAATAATAAATAAATAAGGACTGACATCAGGTGTACCCATTTCCAAACCCCATCCCTCTTCACTGTTTCTCTCCTGAAGCTATCAACAGACCCACAACCAGCCAAATGCAGAGCAGGATGCACATTCACCCGGGTGCCCTAAATATAGCAGTTCCTGGCAGGGCGCGGTGGCTCATGCCTGTAATCTCACCACTTTGGGAGGCCAAGGCGAGTGGATCACAAGGTCAGGCATTCGAGACCAGCCTGGCTAACATAGTGAAACCCCGTCTCTACTAAAAATACAAAAAATTAGTTGGGTCTGGTGGCGGGTGACTGTAATCCCAGCTACTCAGGAGACTGAGGCAGGAGAATCGCTTGAACCTGGGAGATGGAGGCTGCAGTGAGCTGAGATCACACCACTGCACTCTAGCCTGGACCACAGTGCAAGACTCCGTCTCAAAAAAAAAAAAAAAAAAAAAAAAAGCCAGGTGCGGTGGCTCACGCCTATAATCCCAGCACTTTAGGAGGCCGAGGTGGGCAGATCATGAGGTCAGGAGTTCGAGACTAGCCTGACCAACATGGTGAAACCCCGTCTCTACTAATACAATAATCCCAGCTACTCAGGAGGCTGAGGCAGGAGAATCGCTTGAACCTGGGAGGCAGAGGTTGCAGTGAGCCGAGATTGTGCCACTGCACTCCAGCCCAGGCAACGGTGCAAGACTCCGTCTCAAAAAACAACAACAATAATAAAAAAAAGCATTTCCAGCCCCTCCCCCTGCCCCTGGGTCCTGCTGGCCTGGCTGGAGGGGTCAGAAGAAGCCCACAGTCAGCAGAATTCCCTGGCCAGGCAGTGGAGGCCTGTGTCCAAACAGGCAGAGGACTCGGGAAGGGTGCAGTGAGGTAAGTCCTGCCATTCAGAGGTCCAAACTCAAAATACTGACAGGGTGGGCCAGAAAACAAGGGAAGGGGAGTGGGGTGTTTCCCAGGCAATCGCAACAAACCACAACAACCTGCGTGGTTTAAGGCAACTGGAATTTATTTCTTCACATTCACCCTGCTCAAGGGGAGGGGCTGGAAGTGCTATATTTAGGGCACCTGGGCGAATGTGCCTCCTGCTCTGCATTTGGCTGGTTGTGGGTCTGTTGATAGCCTCAAGAAACAGTGAAAAGGGATGGGGTTTGGAAACAGGGACACCTGATGCCAGTCCTTGTTTATCTATTTGTTATTTTATAAGAAAGGGCATCGCACTGTCACACAGGCTGGAGTGCGGTGGTGCACTCATAGCTCACTGCGGCCTCGATCTCCTGGGCTCAAGCGATCCTCCTGCCTCAGCTTCCTGAAGTCCAGAAGTCTGAAATCAAGGTGTTGATACGGTCCATTTCTTCCAGGCTCTGAGAGATAAACCACCCCAGGCTTTTCTCCCAGCTCCTGGTAGCCCCAGGCAGCCCTTGGCTTGTAGCTACCTCACTCTAGTCTCTGCCTTATCTCCATCTGGCCTTCTCTGGGCGTATCTCTGTGTGCCTGAAAATCCCTCCTCTGGTAAGGACACTACTCATTGATTTAGGGCCCACCCTAATCCTACAGGACCTCATCTTAACTAGTTAAATCTGCAAAGACTCTATTTCCCAATAAGGTCAGAGTCTGAGGTTCTGGGAAGACATGGATTGGGGAAGAAACTGTTTAACCCACTACGGGGACCTAGTTCAAATGACCAGTGTGGCTAAAGACCGTCAAGGGCTGCAGCCCCCGAAGGGGACACGTCACCATTGCATTGTGTGACTGTGGGCCCAGTTATTTCAAGAGAAGCCAGAAATCTGGGCTTCTCCTGTGAAGTCGCATAATTTTAAAATGTAGGCTCAGTATTTTTAGAACATTGTGCAAGACCAATAAAATCCACCGGAAGGCCTACCATCTGGGCCCCCTGCGCGTGTCACTGGAGGGCAGAGCAGTGAGCCCACCAGCCCACCCACCTGGCAAGTCCAGCTTCCCTGAACTACCCCACCACCCTCAAGCCTCAGGCCAAGCTGCCCAGACACCTGCCTGCCCCAGCGAGGAAAGTCAACAGTCCTAGGTGCACTCTGGGGGTGGGAAGGCTGGGCTGCTTCCTAGGGACCCCTGGACCCCCTCACTGGTCCCGCTGGAGCCTCACTGGGCATCAGAGGCTCGACTGCCACTCCTACCTTCTGAAGGCTTCAAGGTTGTTTTTAGAGCTCATAGACGGGGCCTGGGGTGTGTAGAGGGAGAAGAGAAACAAGCCATTTACCATGTTTGAAATCCCCATTTAATGTGCTCCGACTGCAGCAGCACACAGCACATTACGAGGCAATAGGCCATTGTCCTTTGCCGTAGTGTGCAGCATTAATAATGTCATAACAGCATTTACTGACACCGCGTACAAATCAGCAACAGTGGCACTGCGCGGGGACAACTGGCCCTCACACACTAGCCACCTCGAGTGCAGAGGCCACGAGGTGGGGAGAGCTGCTTCTCCAATGCATATTTTATGCTTTCTGTTTCACAACATTTAGACTAATCCTCTGATTGAAAGGCAGCGTCTAGGATTTATTTTTATTTATGACAGAAGGCCATTCTACCGCACAGCTTGTGGGAGCTGCGAGCAGAGCTATTGTACTTGCCCTGTTCTGCAGGAAAGGTAACCACTGTGTCTGGGGTGTGTGTGGCCAGCCAAGCAGGCACCAACCAGACAGGCAGCCCTCCTCCTCCACATAGGCCCCATCCCAGTGCTGGAAACACAGGCGAACACTTTATCATGATCAGGAGATTCCACTTATTGAGCATCTACTATATGCCAGTGATACGGTTTGACTCTCTGTCCCTACCCAAATCTCATCTGGAATTGTAATCCCCATAATCCTCACCGTGTTGAGGGAGGAACCCCGTGGGAGGTGATTGGATCATGGAGGTGATTTCCCTCATGCTGTTTTCGAGATAGCGAGTGCGTTCTCATGAGATGTGATGGTTTTATAAGAGGCTCTTCCCCCTCATTCCTCATTCTTCTCTCTCCTGCCACCTTGTGAAGAAGATGGCTGCTTCCCCTTCCGCCCTAATTGTAAGTTTCCTGAGGCCTCCCCAGCCACATGGAACTGTGAATCAATTAAACTTCTTTCCTTCCTGAATTACCCAGTCTCAGGTAGTATCTTTATACCAGTGTGAAAACAGACTAATACAGCCAGGAAATGAACCAGGGACTCTAAATGTGTTATGTTCACATCATTATTTTATTTAGAGTTACAGGGGATTAAAAAAGTTAGCAGGGCAACTATTTTTTTAATGACACTGATATGGTTTGGATCTGTGTCCCCACTCAAATCTCATGTCGAATTGTAATCCCCACTGTTGGAGGAGGAGCCTGGTGGGAGGTGACTGGATCAGGGCGCAGAATTCCCCCTTGCTGTTCTCGTGATAGTGAGTTCTCACAAGATCCAGTTGTTTAAAAGTATGTAGCACCTCCCCACCGCCTTCCTCCTGCTCCTGCCACGAAGCCGCTGCCTGCTTCCTCTTTGCCTTCCGCTGTGACTGTAAGTTTCCTGAGGCCTCCCCAGCCATCCTTCCTGTAGTCTGTGGAATAGTGAGCCAATTAAACCTCTTTTCTTTATAAATTACTCAGTCTCCAGTGTTTCTTTATAGCAACGTGAGAAAGGACGAATACAGACCCCCTTTCTTTCTGAACAGTTTCTCTGGTTAGATCACAGATCACTGCAGAAATATGGGATCAGCAGAATCAGTCCCCAAAGATGTCCACCTCTTAATCCTCAGAACCTGTGAGAATTAGGTTGCTAACCAACTGAGTTTAAAATGCAGAGATTAGGTCAGGAGTGGTGGCTCACGCCTGTCATCCCAACACTTTGGGAGGCTTAGGTGGGCGGATCACCTGAGGTCAGGAGTTCGAGACCAGCCTGACCAACATGGAGAAACCCCATCTCTACTAAAAATACAAAAATTAGCCAGGCATGGTGGCGCATACCTGTAATCCCAGCTACTCAGGAGACTGAGGCAGGAGAATCAGTTGAACCCAGGAGGCGGAGGTGGCAGTGAGCCGAGATCATGCCATTGCACTCCAGCCTGGGCAAGAGCAAAACTCTGTCTCAAAAAAAAAAAAAAAAATGCAGAGGTTATCCTAGATTATCTGGGTGGGCCTTCAACCGAACCCAGGTTCAGCTGCTTGCCACCCAAAAGCCAGACATGAGCAGTAAGGTTGGACAGAGGAAAAGCAGGTTTATTCAGGAAGCCAGCAAAACCAGGAAGATGGTGAACTAGTGTTCAAAAGTAACAACTCCAATTTTTTAGGCTAGCCAGAGGGTTTTTGTGGCAAGGGGATATGGGGAAGAGGAGGGCATTGGGATCTAGAGGTGATGAAGGACCACAGACATCTGAACATCAGTGAGGGTCAGAAGAGGTTGAGAACTTATTTGTCCTTGGTCCGGTCACAGTGTGCCTGTAAACTGTCAATAAAACATAGCTAGTTGTTTACAGACTTCGCCTTTAATCCCAGAGTTTCAAAAACTACATGATTGCTGTTTTGCATTTTGTCTCAGTGCTCTAAAATTATCCTAGCAGACGTGCAGGAATGAGTAAAGGCCTCTTAAACACAAATGGAGGGAGTGATGTTTGTTCTTTGCTTCTTCACTGTTACAGGCCTAATGTAACCTCAAGTGCTGGAAGTCAGAAAATGACACCTCAAAATATGGCGCTTTGACATGCTAAGTACAGTCATCCCTCAGTATCCATGCAGGATTGGTTCCAGCACCCCTGCAGGTACCAAAATCTAAGGATGCTTAATTTCCTTATATCATATTTGCATGTTATCTGTACATATCCTCCCATATACCTTACAGCATCGCTAGATTACTTATAATACCTAACACAACATAAATGCTATGTAAATAGTTAATTTTTAAATGTGTGTTTTTTTTTTGGAGACCGAGTCTCGCTCTGTCGCCCAGCTCACTGCAACCTCTGCCTCCCGAGTTCAAGAGATTCTCCTGCCTCAGCTTCCCAAGTAGCTGGGATTACAGCCAGGCACCACCAGGCCTGGCTAATTTTTGTATTTTTAGTAGAGACGAGGTTTCACCATGTTGGCCAGGCTGATCTCAAACTCCTGACCTCGACTGATCCACTCGCCTCAGCCTCCCAAAGTGCTGGGATTACAGGCATGAGCTGCCATGCCTAGCCAGTATTATTTGTAAATGTTGTATTGTTATGATTGTTTTTTAATGTTTTCCATTAGCAATTGGTTGAATCTGCAGATGTGGAATGCACCGATGCAGAGGGCTGTATTTTGAACTGAAGCAGCAGCCTCAGAACGAAGGTCTCTCTGCCCTTCTCCAGTCTCCATCCTGTGTCTCCATCCTTTCTTTCCCAAAGCACAGGGAGGGGCTTTCCTGAAGCTTCCCTTATCTAAGGGAAGTTCCTCCAGAAGGAATGCAATTGTCTTGGCCCCGGAACCCACACTAACCAGAGGAGAGACTAATGCCTTTGTTCCCAGTGCAGCTCCTGCCCTCACCCTCCATTGCTGGTCGCCACCACCCTCCAGGAGCCTGTAAGCCCCTAATTCTTTCTGTAGCTCAAAATGCTATTTAAGCTTCAACCATCCGGTCCTTCTTGGAGGCGCCTACCCTGTGTGACCCCTGTGCACATGCACCTCATAAATGTGTGTCTTTCCTCCTGCTCATCTGTCTCCTGCTGAGTGCATTTTTCAGGCTCGAATACTGAACCTCCAGGAGAGAGAGAGAAGGTTCTGTCACTCCTACACAAGGATCCTTATATATAGAAGAGGGAGACAAAACAAGAGTGTCAGAGTGAGACAGCACCAGAAAGACTCCACCAGCCATTTCGCTGGCTTTGAAGGCGGAGGAAGAGGCCACAAGCCGGGGGATCCAGGCAGCCTCCAAAAGCTGGAAAAGGAAAGGAGGTAGGTTCTCCCCTAGAGCCTCTGGAAGGAACGCAGCCCGGCCAACACATTGACTTTAGCCTCTGCGAGCCCAGAAGGATCCAAGACAGGTCTCAATCCATTTAGAAAGTTCATTTTGCCAAGGTTAAGAATGTGCTCATCACACAGCCTCAGGAAGTCCTGACGACATGTGCCCAAGGAGGTCAGGGCACAGCGTGGTTTTATACATTTTAGGGAGACATGAGACATCAATCAGATACACTTAAAATATACATTGGATCAGTTCACAAGGCGGGATGACTTGAAGCAGTGGGAGGGGAGGGCTTCCAGGATATAGGTAGATTTAAATTGTTTCTCGGCCCAGCATGGTGGCTCATGCCTGTAATCCCAGCACTTTGGGAGGCCGAGGTGGGAGGATCACCTGAAGTCAGGAGTTCGAGACCAACCTGGCCAATATGGTGAAACCCCATCCCTACTAAAAATACAAAAAATTAGCTAGGTGTGGTGGTGCATGCCTGTAATCCCGGTTACTCAGGAGGCCAAGGGAGGAGAATCGCTTGAACCCAGGAGGTGGAGGGTGCAATGAGCCGAGATCACGCCATTGCACTCCAGCCTAGACAACAGAGCGAGACTCCCTCTCAGAAAAAAATAATAATAGTAAAATAATAAATTAAGAAATAAAATGTTTCTGATTGGCAATTGGTTGAAAGAGTTATTATCCGTAGAAAGGAGTGTCTGGGTTATGGTAAGAAGTTGTAGAGACCAGAGTTTTATCATGCAGATGATACCTCCAGGTAGCAGGCTTCATAGAGAGTAGATCATGAATGTTTCTTATCAGATGAAGTCTGTGTTGATGTTCAATGTTAGTCAGCTTTTCCTGAATTCCAAAAGGGAGGAGGTCATAATGAGGAGTGCCCTGGCCAAGAGGAGGGAGTCCATTCAGATGGTTGGGGGGATCTTCGAATTTTATTTTATTAATTTTTGTTTTTGTTTTTGTTTTTTTGAGATGGAGTCTCGCTGTGTCGCCCAGGCTGGAGTGCAGTGGTGCGATCTCAGCTCACTGCAAGCTCCGCCTCCTGGGTTCATGCCATTCGCCTGCCTCAGCTCCCAAGTAGCGCCGCTACCACGCCTGGCTAATTTTTTCTATTTTTAGTAGAGACAGGGTTTCACCGTGTTTGCCACAATGGTCTCGATCTCCTGACCTCGTGATCCGCCCACCTCGGCCTCCCAAAGTGCTGAGATTACAGGTGTGAGCCACCGCGCCCAGCCAGAATTTTATTTTTGATTTACACCTTCAAGGGACCATTTTGGACCTCCAACCTCCAGAACTGTAAGATGATAAATCCGTGTTGTTTTAAGCTGTGAAGTGTGTGGTGACAGCAGGCATAGGAAACTGACACATGCAATCCTGTTAGAGCTGCTGTGTCCAGGCACTGTGACGCCCAGTGCTCCCCATGTGTGAGCTCATATCCCCATTAACAGATGAGGGAAACTGAGGCTCGGAGCGGTGAAACATCTTGTCCAAGGGCTCACCACTGATCCAAATGCAAACTCAGGCCCAGTAGACCTCAGAGCCCACGAACTTACCTTCTGTCCCTTGCTGGACTCAAAACCCTGGGCCAGGAGTCCCAGGGGCAGGCATGAGCAGGCATGGCCCTGGGAAGTTCAGGCCCCAGGAAAAGGGCTCCCTCCCAGAGATGCAGGTGCCACATGAGGAGGGGCTGACACAGCAGGCCACCAGGCACAGAGGTGCTTCTCCACCCAGCTGCCTCGGTTTCCTCCTCCTGCTCCCTGAACGCCCCCGGATCGTCTCAAAAGAGCGGTGGCCCAAAGACACCTCCTGCTCTGGTTGTGATCCGGGCGAGGGTGCTGCAGGATCTCAGGCCGTGGCGGAGGTGCCTCCCAAGACCACCTTGAAATCCGTCCCTGTCTAGCAAGATTTTATGGTGTCCAGTTCCAGGTGGGAGCTTGCCACACTGAGACAGCCATGACCTTCCCATCTTCAACAGAAGGGAAGTAGATGGGGGGTGTGGCAGATGGACCCCTTTGTTGGTCCATCTCTGCTCCAGCCTCCATGGCTGTATAGAGGATGCCGTGGGAGAGCCGTGGCCCCTGCTTTGTCCTCTGAGAGATTTGAGGAGAAGGTGGGGATGGACACATGCACCCCCTCAAGCTAGGAGGAGGAATTTAATCTATTGCCCACTGAGGCCTCCCAAGTGTCCCAAACAGCATCTAACATGAGCCGCATGTGACATGAGCCGCATTTGACAGAGGGGTTTTCACTGAATGGATGAATGAGTGTGGGGACGAGGCAGGGGACGGTGGGGATTCAAAGGACCCCAGTCCCTAAGCCCAGCCCGACATGGTGGTCAGCCAAGGCTGTTTCCTTCCACCTTGCCCTCTGTGCCCACTGCACTGTGCATGCCCCCTCTTCTCGTGAACCATTCACCCCACACCTCCAGCCCATGCCAGGCAAAGAGTGTCTGCCTCACACCGCCTCCTACTCTCCATGTTCCTCCACCGGCTCCTCTGTGCAGCTCCCTGACACTGAACATCACCGTAGGGGCAGCTTCCCGAAACTTCCCGATTCATCTCAGACTCTTCTCAGCCTGCATTTCATCATCCACTAGGTGTTCATCCACACAGCCACCCCCAGGGCCGGCCCAGCCCCTTTCCCTGCCTGTCAGGGACAGGTAGCACATGGGGTGAGGGTCTCGCCTGGGCAACCCTGGAAGCACAGCGGTGCCTGCAAGATGGGCCAGGCTCTTCTCAGCTTCCTCGCTCACTGTGAGACCCCGGAGCCCAATGGGCCTTGAGTCCTGCCTCCCCTTCCCGATCCAGACCTTGGCAAATCACCCTCCAAGCCTCAGTTTCCTCACCTCCAAATTGAAGATCGCACCTGCGGACTTCTCATGGGGCCTGACACAGAGCTGGCTTCTGTTTGTGGCTTATGTGTCTACTAAATTATAAGCTCCTGAGGACGAGATTCAGGCACAGAGAAACAAAATCATTTTATCATTAGCTTCCATTTCTTTAACACCCACCTTGTACCAGGCAAACATCTCATCAGTTCATACAAATAACCATGTGAGAGCCTGATCCTGTCTTATAGGCAAACACTGAGGCCCAAAAAATGAAGTAACTTCACGGCTAAGTGCATCTCCAAGAGAAATGAAAACACATATCCACATAGGAGCTTGTACATGCATGTTCATAGCAGCATGACTCTCTCTTTTTTTCTTTTTTTTTAGATGGAGTTTTGCTCTTTTGCCCAGGCTGGAGTGCAATGGCATGATCTCTGCTCACTGCAACCTCTGCCTCCCGGGTTCAAGTGATTCTCCTGCCTCAGCCTCCCAAGTAGCTGGGATTACAGGCATGTGCCACCATGCCCGGCTAATTTTGTATTTCTAGTAGAAACGGGGTTTCTCCATGTTGGTCAGGTGGTCTTGAAGTCCTGACCTCAGGTGATCCGCCCGCCTCAGCCTCCCAAAGTGCTGGGATTACAGGCATGAGCCACCGCGCCGGGCCAGCATCACAACTCTTAACCAAAAAGTGGAAGTAATTCAAGTTTTTCATCAATGGATGCATGAATAAACAAAACGTGATTTATCCATGTGATGAAATATTATTCAGCCTTAAAAAGGAATTATTCTCAAAAAAACTAAAATAGAATTACCATATGATTCAGCAATTCTACTTCTAGGTATAAACCCAAAAGAGTTGCAACTAGAGTCTCAAAGAGGTATCTCTTCACCCATGTTCATACAGCGTTACTCACAACAGCCAAAGGGGGAAACAACCCAAGTGTCCATCAGCAAATGAAGAAATAAACAAACTGTGGTATGTCCCTACAGTGGAATATTATTCAGCCTTAAAAAGGAAGGAATTTGGCCGGGCATGGTGGCTCACGCCTGTAATCCCAACACTTTGGGAGACCAAGGCAGGTGGATCCCAAGGTCAGGAGATCAAGAACATCCTGGCTAACATGGTGAAACCCTGTCTCTACTAAAAATACAAAAAATTAGCTGGGCATGGTGGCACACGCCTGTAATCCCAGCTACTCGGGAGGCTGAGGCAGGAGAATTGCTTGAACCCAGAAGGTAGAGGTTGCAATAAGCCAAGATCACACCACTGCATTCCAGCCTGGGCAACAGAGTGAGACTCCATCTCAAAAAAAAAAAAAAAAGGAAGGAATTTATGTCTGGGTGCGGTGGCTCATGCCTGTAATTCCAGCACTTTAGCACTTTAGGAGGCCAAGGCAGGCAGATCACCTGAGGTCAGTAGTTCGAGACCAGCCTGACCAATATGGTGAAACCCTGTCTGTACTAAAAATACAAAAATTAGCCAGGTGTGCTGGAGTGCACCTGTAGTCCCAGCTACACAGGAGGCTGAGACAGGAGAATTGCTTGAACCAGGGAGGCGGAGGTTGCAGTTGAGTCCATATTGTGCCACTGCACTCAAGCCTGGGCGACAGAGCGAGACCATGTCTCTGCCTCAAAAAAAAAAAAGGGAATTTCTGACACATGCTGCAACATAGACAAACCTTCAAACCTTGAAGACATTATGCTGAGTGAAATAAGTCATGCACAAAAAGACAAATACTATGGGATTCCACTTATATGAGGTTCCAAAATAGTCAAACTCAGGGAGAAAGAAAGTAGAACGAGGGTTCCCAAGGGCTAGAGGGAGGAGAGAATGCAGAGTGGTTTGTTGGGTATAGAGTTTTGTGGGGTTTTTTCATTTTGTTTTGTTTTGAGACAGGGTCTCTCTCTCTCTCTCTCTGTTGCCCAGGTTGGAGTGCAAATGGCATGATCACAGCTCACTGTAGCCTTGAACTTCTGGGCTCAAGCTATCCTCCTTCCTTAGCCTCTCAAGTAGCTGGGGCTACAGGCATGCACCATCATGCTCAGCTAATGTTTTTAAAAAAATTTTTAGAGGGGTCTCTTTATATTGCCCAGGCTGCTCTCCAACTCCTGGACTCAAGTGATCCTCCCACTTCAGCTTCCCAAAATGCTGGCATTACAAGCATGAGTCACGGTGCCCAGCCCGGTTTTACGAGATGAAAGAGTTATGAAGATGGATGGTGGTGATGATCACATAGTAATATTTAGTACTTAACACTACTAAACTGTACACACAAAAATGATTAAGATGAGGCCAGCCACAGTGGCTCACACCTGTAATCCCAGCACTTTGGGAGGCTGAGGTGGGTGGATACCCTAAGGTCAGAAGTTTGAGACCAGCCTGACCAACATGGTAAAACCCCATCTCTACTAAAAATGCAAAAATTAGCCGGGCATGGTGGCACAAGCCTATAATCCCAGCTACCCAGGAGGCTGAGGCAGGAGAATCGCTTGCACCAGGGAGGCGGGGGTTGCAGTGAGCCAAGACCACTTCATTGCACCCCAGCCTGGGAGACAAGAGCAAAACTGCAACTTAAAAAAAAAAAAAAAAGATTAAGATGGCTGGGCACGGTGGCTCATGCCTATAATCCCAGCACTTTGGGAGGCTCAGGCAGGAGATCAGCCTGGACAGCAGAGGGAGACCCCATCTCTACAAAAAATTTTTAAAAATTAGCCAGGCATGGTGGCTGTTGTCCCAGCTACTCGGGAGGTGGAGGTGGGAGGATGGCTTGAGCCCAGGAGTTTGAGGCTGCAGTGAGCCATGATGGCACCACTGCACTCCAGCCTGGGTGACAGAGCAAGACCACATCTTAAAAAAAAAAAAAAAAAAAAAAATTAAGATGGTAATTTTATCTTACGTGTATTTTGCCACATTTAAATTTTTAAAGGAATGAAATACTAATATGTGCTACAATGTGAATGAATCTTGAAAACATTACGCGGGGTGAAAGAAGTCAAACACAAAAGGGCAAATATTGCAGATTCCATCTACATGAAATGTCCAGATAGGCAAAGCCATAGAACCTGAAAGCAGATTCATGGTTCCAGGGCCTAGGGGCAGGGGGAATGGAGGATAACCACTAAAGGGTACGGGGTTTCTCTTGGGGATTCATATGGTTTGGCTGTGTCCCACCCAGATTTCATCTTGAATTGTAACTCCCACAATTCCCACGTGTCGTGGGACGAATCCAGTAGGAGGTGATTGAATCACGGGGGCGGGTCTTTCCCGTGCTGTTCTCGTGATAGTGAATGAGTCTCACAAGATCTGATGGTTTTATTTTTTATTTTTAATTATTTTGAGATGGAATTTTGCTCTTTTTGCCCAGGCTGGAATGCAGTGGCATGATCTCAGCTCACTGTAACCTCTTCCTCCCAGGTTCAAGTGATTCTCCTGCTTCAGCCTCCTGAGTAGCTGGGATTACAAACATACACCATCACAATGGGCTAATTTTTTTGTATTTTTAGTAGAGACTGGGTTTCACCATGTTGGCCAGACTGGTCTCAAACTCCTGACCTCAGGTGATCCGCTCACCTCAGCCTCCCAAAGTGCTGGGATTATAGGCATACGCCACCACGCCAGGCCAATCTGTTGGTTTTAAAAAGAGGAGTTTCCTTGCACAAGCTCTCTCTTTGCCTGCTGCCATCCACGTAAGATGTGGCTTGCTCCTCCTAGTCTTCCACCATGGCTGTGAGGCCTCCCCAGCCATGTGGAACTGTAAGTCCAATAAACCTCTTTCTTTTGTAAATTGCCCAGTCTCAGGTATGTCTTTATCAGCAGGGTGAAAACGGACTAATGCAGGGGTGATGGAAATGTTTTAACTGGAAAGTGACGTTTGCACAATGGTGAATATACTAAGAATTTATAAATATACTAAAAACTACTGAATTGTACACTCTAAAGGGGTGAATTTTATGTGAATTATATCCCAGTTTTTTTTTTTTTTTAATGAAGTAACTTGCCCATGATTATGCAATTAGTAAGGAGAGTCGGGATTTGAACCCAGACTCCCTGGCTGCCCTGTGCTCTGATATCTTACAGACATGGTGTGTTTGTTAACATGGAGGACCAGCACTGAATAAATGTCGCATCTCTGATGAGAGCTTAATAAAGAGAAAACACTTAAGGAAGAAAGACTCGAACCCATCCTCGGATTCCCACGGTGAAGACAGCCCTCATTACTGCAAGCCACCAAACCCTCCCAAGGGCCTCTGACATATTATTTTGGGCACTTAAACCTTTCCTTCTAGAATATGGGTCATAAGCCCTTTCTCTCCCCCATCTTCTCTCCTCTGACTGATGACAAAGAATCTTAATTAAGTGTCCCTTGGCTGCTGGTTTAATTTGATAAATATAAAATTGAAGCATGCTAATAAAGCCATCCATCATCCCAGATCTCAGCAGTTCTTTGAGCTGAAGGCTCTACTTTTTTTTTCCCTAAGTCAATTTTTAGGATGATAATGAATTGGGTCTTGTTCAGGAATATCAGAGAACACAGGGACTCAGTGAGATGTCAGTGGGGGCTGCTGGAGACCCAGGAAATGGGAACATCTCCAGGGACCTCTGCTCCCGTTCTCCCGAACTCTCTCTCTCTCTTTTTAAATTTTTTTCTTGAGACAGAGTTTCGCTCTGTCGCCCAGGCTGAAGTGCAATGGTGCGATCTCAGCTCACTGCAACCTCCACCTCCTGGGTTCAATTGATTCTCCTGCCTCAGCCTCCTGAGTAGCTGGGATTACAGGCACCCGCCACCACACCCGACTAATTTTTGTTTTTGTTTGTTTGTTTTTTGTTGTTGTTTTTGAGACAGAGTCTCACGCTGTCGCCCAGGCTGGAGTGCAGTGGCGTGATCTCGGCTCACTGCAACCTCTGCCTCCCAGGTTCAAGTAATTCTCCTGTCTCAGCCTCCCGAGTAGCTGGGACTACAGGCGCCCGCCACCACGCCTAGCTAATTTTTGTATTTTTAGTAGAGACGGGGTTTCACCATATTGGTCAGGCTGGTCTCGAACTCCTGACCTCAGGTGACCCACCCACCTCAGCCTCCCAAAGTGCTGGGATTACAGGCATGAGCCACCGCACCCAGCCTAATTTTTGTATTTTTAATAGAGATGGGATTTCACCATGTTGGCCAGGTTGGTCTTGAACTCCAGACCTCAGGTGATCTGCCCGCCTCAGCCTCCCAAAGTGCTGGGATTACAGGTATGAGCCACTGCGCCTGGCCCCTGCCCCCAAACTCTTACAGAACCCCATAATGCCCACCCCGCCCCTCCTCTCTGCACCTTCCCCCCACCTACCCCACCTTGTGGCCCATCCCCCGCCTCCGCACCTGGCCCCAACCCCTCTGCCTGTTCCTCTAACTGCCAAGCCCAAGTTCTTATCAGGTGCCTCTCCCACCTCCTCACTCAGCTTCTAAAACTGCCCCCCTCTTAGTTCCACTCTCTCACTCCATGGAGTAGAAGGCATTTTGTGTGACTTGCAAGTCTCAGAGAAGCCAGGCCCAGCTCCTGGGCTGTGCTCAGCCCCACCGGGGGCACCTGAGCCCCAGGCATAGCTCGTCCAGCCCTAGACTTACCCTTGGCCGGCCGAGCTCAACAGCCTTGGGCGGTAGGATGTCCTGACTGTCCTTAGCGGCTCTTGCCTTGAAGGAAGAGTTGAGGCAACACAGGTAGGGACCACTCCGACATGTAGGGGCTGCCCTCCAAGCTCCCTGTCCTGAGTTGTCCAAACTTCTGTCTGCCTCAGGGCTGCTGGCTGTCCAGGGACCCGGATGCTCAGCATCATTCTCTTCCAAAAGGCCCCTCCTTGGTTTCCTGACAATCCGGCCTGTGATATTTGAAGCACGCAGAAATACCACTTGCGCATGGTTGAGAAAAAGGTCATCGCCTCACACTGAGTGCGTGGTCAGCTCGCGCTGCGGTAACAGATCAAAGACCAGGGGCTTAAACAATGGGCATCGCTTTCTCACAGGTCTGGCAGCCGCAAGCCCAGGATCAAGGTGTTGGCGGATCTGAAGGCTACTGAACGATTGTCTTCCTGGCTTGTAGGCGGCCTCTCCTTGTTGTATCCTTACTGGTGGAGAGCGGAGCGGAAGCAAGCTCTCTCTTGTCTTTTTATAGGGGCTTTCATCCATCTACACGGGCTCCACCCTTTTGACCTAATTACCTCCCCAAGGCCCCATATTCAAATACCGTCACACCAGTTGAGGTTTCAACATATGAACTTGGCAGGGGCAGAAGGCAAACATTTCAGCCATAGCCCTGAGCTAACCCTAAGACTCCCCAGCATAGCGGGGAGGTTGCAGTGAGCTGAGATCACGCCACTGCACTCCAGCCTGGGCAACAGAGCAAGACTCTGTCTCAAAAAAAAAAAAAAAAAAAAATGATTCCCCAGCGTATTATCTTATGTAAAAGCACAGACTTTGGATCAGACAGCCCTGGGTGCACATCTCAGCACTGCCGCTTACAGATTGCCTGGGCTGGAGCACCTCTCCTGCCTGGCTGGGCTTGGCCTCCTCAACCATATAGATGACATACATCATAAGGCTGGGCTCAGCTGCTCACACTTGGAATCTCAGCACTTTGGAAGGCCAAGGTGGGAAGATCGCTGGAATCCAGGCATTCGAGACCACCCTGGGCAACATGGCAAAATAAAAAATACAAAAATTAGCCAGGTGTGGTGGCGTGCACCTGTGGTCCCAGTTCCTAGGGAGGCTGAGGTGGGAGGATCACTTGAGACTCACTGCAGGACTTCGAGACTGCAGTGAGCCATGATTGTGCCACTGCACTCCAGCCTGGGTGATGGAGCAAGACTCTGTCTCTAAATAAGTAAATGAATGATGTCATAAGATCACATCCTCCAGCCGGGCGCGGTGGCTCACACCTATAATCCCAGCACTTTAAGAGGCCGAGGTGGGCAGATCACCTGAGGTCAGGAGTTCAAGACCAGGCTGACCAACATGGAGAAACTCAATCTCTACTAAAAATACAAAAATTAGCTGGGCGTGGTGGCGGATGCCTGTAAGCCTGGCTGAGGCAGGAGAATTTCTTGAACCTGGGAGGCGGAGGTTGCAGTGAGCCGAGATCGCGCCATTGCACTCCAGTTTGGGTGACAGAGCAAAACTCCATCTCAAAAAAAAAAAAGTATCTCCCCCCTCGGGCCACGGTGAGGACTGTGGGGCACTCAGCGGGGCCTGCACATATAGCTTTCAGGATTAATATCTCACAGGGGAGCCCCAAGGCTCTGGCGCCTTCTCTCTTCCTCCTCAGCTAAAACCAAAGGCTTGACAGCCACCAAGATCTGTCCTCCGGGTGCTGAGGCCCCGCTTCTCCTTCTAATTTGGTTGTTTTATCAACCAAGTCCAGAGTCGTCCTCAGGCCTAATGGGTAGAGATAAGAATATTCTTCATTCCTGTTTCTTAGAGAAAGCAGACACTGCCTGGAGGGACCCGAAGTAGATGGGCTTGCAGTTGGCTCCCCGGGTGACACTGATGCTTCCCTCAGTGCAAGCCATCTGTGAGCAGCGCAGTCTGGAGATGCTGCAGGCCTGAGGTTAATGGCAGACTCTGTCATTTCCTTGTACATTCTACAACTGCAGTTATTTGTAAGACACGGGTGGGAGTTTGCCCCTAAGTGCTATTTTGGTTGATTGCTGGTTAGGCGTATATATGGTGCATCACGGCATTTAATTGGCATGATGGTGCGCACTGTTGACGTACCCCCTTTGATGTCTGGAACCTGGGAAAGCCAGGGACCAACCAGGTCAATGAGTGGAGACATGGAGCCCCAGTGTGCGCTTGGCCAGGGCACCTAGAACTCCAGTCCCTCTAGAGCTCACGGTAATTATGGACAGGGAACTTCCCCGAGCTGAACCTTACCAGAGCATACTCTATTTCTTGTTTAAAAAAAAAAATCAAGGAGAAATTCACATAACATAAAATTAACCATTTAAAAATATACAATTCGGCCAGGGGCAGTGGCTCACACCTGTAATCCCAGCACTTTGGGAGGCCGAGGCGGGTGGATCACCTCAGGTCAGGAGTTCGAGACCAGCCTGGCCAACATGGTGAAACCCTGTCTCTACTAAAAATACAAAAATTAGCCAGGCGTGGTGACATGCACCTGTATCCCAGCTATTCAGGAGGCTGAGGCGGGAGAATCACTTGAACCCCGGGGTGGAGGTTACAGCAAATCGAGATCACGCCTACTTCACTCCAGCCTGGGAGAAAGAGCGAAAGTCCGTCTTGAAAAAAATAAATTAAATAAAATATACAATTCAGTAGCATTTAGTACATTCACTTTTTTTTGTGCAACCACCACTTCTATCTCCAAAACATTTCATCACCCCAGAGGAAGACTCCATTCCCACTAAGCAGCCACCCCTCATTCTCCCCTCCCCCAAGCCCCTGGGGACCACTAACCTGCTTTCTGTCTCTATGATTTACCAATTTGGGATATCTCACATACATGAGATTATAAAATATGCGCTCTTTTATGCAGTTTTCTTCTTTTTTTCTTTGAGACAGGGTCTTGCTCTGTCATCCATGCTGGAGTACAATGGCATGATCACGGCTCACTGCAGCCTTCACCTCCTGGGTGCAAATGATCCTCCTACCCCAGCCTCCCAAGTAGTTGGGACCACAGGCATCCACCATCCAGCCTGGCTAATTTTTTTTTTTTTTTTTTTTGGAAAGACGAGGTTTTCCTATGTTGCCCAGGCTGGTCTCAAACTCTTGAGCTCCAGCAATCCTTCCTTGGCCTTCCAATATGATGGGATTACAGACATGAGCCACCCATGCCCGGCCTTTTGTGTAATGTTGTAAAGGTTCATCTACATCGTAACAGATATTAGAACTTCATTCCTTTTTATGACTAAATATTTCATGGTATGGCTACACCACATTTTGTTTATCCATTCATCAGATGATGGACATTTGGGTTGTTTCCACCTTTTGACTACTGTGAATAATGATGCCCTGATTCTCCACCACCACCTACTCCTTCTCCTCCCCCTCCTCCCCTTGTTCTCCTCCTCCTCCTCTTCATTTTTCTCCTTCTCCTTCTTATGATTATTCTTATTTCTCTCCCTCGTCCTCATCTCCTTCCTCTTCCTCCTCATCTCCTTCCTCTTCCTCCTCTTCTTCTTTTAGTTAAAAATTTTGGCTGGGTTAAATAGCTCATTTGTAATCCCAGCACTTCAGGAGGCAGAGGTGGGAAGATTGCTTGAGCCCAGGAGCTCAAGACCAGCCTGGGCAATGTAGTGAGACTCCCATCTCTACAAAAACTCTAAAACTTAGCCAGGCATAGTAGCATGTGACTGTAGTCACAGCTACTGAGGAGGCTGAGGTGGGAGGATCACTTGAGCCTGGGAGGTTGAGGCTGCAGTGAGCTTCGATCACACCATTGCACTCCAGCCTGAGCGACAGAGTGAGACCCTGTCTTAAAAAATAATAGAAAAATAATTTTGTTTGAAAAAGTAATACTTGTACACAGTACAAAATTTAAAGGGCTCTCACAGAGCATATGGTGAATTGTCTCTTTTCCACACCTGCCCCTCACAGCCATCCAGTTCCCCTCCATGGAGTCAACCTTGGCACCAGTTTCTTGTACCTTCCTGTATCCTTAGTACTGTTTGTAATGTGCGGCAACAGACACTAACACAGGCACTTCCTGCTCTGTGGGTTGAATGGTTGTGGAAAGCATCTGGAAGAGCTGTTCAGTTAGAAAGAGTTCATTCTCTCCCTGGCTAGAACCCCCCCTCAAGAAACAATCCAAGCCTCAAGTTAAGACCCATTATGGAGGTGTTAGGAAAATTTATCCAGAGTGGTAGAAATGGTATGAACACAGCAATAAATTAAGAGTCAGTTGTGGCCAGGCTCAGTGGCTCATGCCTGTAATCCCAGCACTTTGGGAGGCGGAGGTAGGTGGATCATCTGAGGTCGGAGTTCAAGACCAGCCTGGCCAACATGGTGAAACCCTGTCTCTACTAAAAATACAAAAATTAGCCAGGCATTGTGGTGGGTGCCTATAATCCCAGCTATTTGGGAGGCTGAGACAGGAGAATCACTTAAACCCAGGAGGCAGAGGTTGCAGTGAGCCGAGATTGTGCCACTGCACTCCAGCCTGGGCAACAAAGAGCGAAACTCCATCTCAAAAAAATAAAAATAAAATAAATTAAGTCAGTTGTAAAGATGCAAAGACTAATTAGCAGAGGGAGAGGCTCTTCAAAACAGGCACGGAGAGCCCCACTCAACAGCTGTGCCTTAAGTACGATGGGAGGTCCCCACGGGAGGGAGGGAGGAAGCCAAGGGTCGCAGCTGGAAGAAAAGTGAGCTAAGAGGAAAGCAACCCCATAGCTGATCATTTATTTGGGAGAGCCGGGCCAGGTCCTGACTGAGAAAAGACCTCATGGACTTGAGGCCCAGTGCTGCTATCTTTAAAACAGTCCACCCGTGAGGTCAGCTCTGAGCTGGCTTCTGGGAACTTGGCACTTGAACCACTCCTCCATTCCCTGGCTGATAAGGGTGACTCACTGTGCCTAGCCTGTGTATGCAAACAATATGGGTTAGGATAAATAACTGCTTTTTTTCTTTTCTTCATTTATTTATTTATTTTTGAGACAGGGTCTTGCTCTGTTGCCCAGGCTGGAGTGCAGTGGTGTAATCTTGGCTCACTGCAACCTCCACCTCCCAGGCTCAAGTGATCCTCCACCTCCTGAGTAGCTGGGACCACAGGTGCATGCCCCCATCCTGGGCTAATTTTTTTATTTTATTTTTGTACAGATTGGGTCTTGTTATGTTACCCAGGCTGGTCTAGAACTCCTGAGCTTAAGCAAGCCTCCTGCCTCAACCTCCCAAAGTGCTAGGATTACAGGCATGAGCCATTGAACCTGGCCCAACACCTGCTTTTCTTATGGGAGAGTTTTTTTTTAAAGTTGCTCAGTAGGGATTGCCTATGTGACCAGCCCTCAGTAAAAACCTTGGGTTCTGAGTCTCTAAGGGGTATCCCTGGGCAGACATATTGCACATGTGTTTCTCTCGGCTGGGGAAGGAGCATGCTCTGTGAGCGCCCTCGAGGGAAGGAGGAAGCCCCTGATGGCTGTAACAGAATGCTGCAGACTCCACTGGGTCCCATGAGCCCTTCTGGCAAATCACCAAGTGTGTGGGCCGTCCCAGGGACCGCCACAACCAGGACCAAAAGGAAAGATGGAAACTGAGTAGCAATCTACAAAAACTGTCTCAGGAATCAAGAATCGGTTTGTGCTATATTTATGGGTTGCCTTGGTTACGAATAGTCAAAAAATTTAGAACCCCTGTGGGCTTAGCAGAGCAGTCATGAAAGACTGGCCTGGGTGAGGTTCGTGGTGAGAGAATGCAGAAGAGGACCTAGGAGAGGCATTGCAGGGAGTCGAGCCCTCACAGAACTGCCCAGCATCCCAGGTCACAGGTCCAGCAGGGCTGTACTGTCTGCTGTTTGGGGACCACCAGCCATTCTTCACTGTTAAGACAGGAGCACCCCACAGCAGCCTGACCACATCCCCCACTCCAGGCCATCCCTGCTCATGTCATGGCCCTTTTCCAGGGCTGTGATTCCAATCTGTCCCGCAGGGGGTCTTCCTGGTGACTTGTCTCCATATCCGTCCCCCTTCTCTCTTCCCCAGAATACGTTCAGTCATCAGTGATTCCTCCTAACAGCAAATCTCCCGGGCCTGGGGCCTGTCAAAGAGGAGCCCCACCTGCCTCTGGTCTTGGTCCACAATGCATTTAGGGCATCACGATTTTGCAGTGACCTTCAGAAGGTCTCTACAATAAGAGTGCCTAGCAGGCACGACTGTGACCATGGAGGTTATGGCAAGAGTATGACTCAGAGTTCCAGAGGGGCCGGGAGTCATCAGAAGCTCTGCACAAGCTCCACTCCTGCCTCTGGCATCACAGAACAGATGATCTGGGGACAGGCACACTCCAGGAAACACAAGCTGAACTCAGCTGCTCCTGCCCTGATGGGACACCTATTGATTTTCTGAGATCCTTGTAGAAATGGTGCACTGTGTGCTCTGTGGGCTGGGGAAGGGGTGTAAGCTTAATCGCTAAGCCTGACCAGTCTCTCCTGTTTGAACACACACAAGCACACAGACACGTTCCCATGTGCACACCTGGCACCTGCATGGGTCGACTGGCTGTGATGCAACTGAGTCCCCTTCCCCAGGAGGCCACCAGATGTCCCCACCTCCAGGGTCAGGCCAGCAAAGGGGCCCACCTTCATTTGACCACCCCGACTGCTGGTCCTGGAGCTGGGTTCCTGGAGGGGCTTCCTCAGAGGCAGAAGTGCTTCCTGCCTCCCAGACAGCAGCCACATGGCTCCCTCACAGCCGAGGATGCTAAAGAGCCACAGACCATGTGCCTCAACCAGCAGAAATCTATTATTTCACAATTTTTCTTTTCTTCTTTTAGAAACAGAGTCTCGCTCTGTTGCTCAGGCTGGAGTGCAGTGGTGCAATCACGGCTCACTGCAGCCTCAATCTCCTGATCTCAAGCTATCCTCCCTCCTCAGCATCCGGAGTAGCTGGGACCACAGGTGCATGCCACCATGCCCAACTAATTTGTTTTTTTTTAAAAGATGGGGTCTCAGCTGGGTGTGGTGGCTCATGCCTGTAATCCCACACTTTGGGAGGCTCAGGCTGGTGGATCATCTGAGGTCAGGAGTTCGAGAACAGCCTGACCAACAGGCTGAAACCCTGTCTCTACTAAAAATACAAAAATTAGCCGGGTGTGGTGGCGCACACCTGTAGTCTCAGCTACCTGGGAGTCTGAGGCAGGAGAATCGTTTGAACCCAGGAGGTGGAGGTTGCAGTGAGCCAAGATCATGCCACTGCACTCTGCCTGAGCGACGGCGAGACTCTGTCTCAAAAAAAAAAAAAAAAAAGATGGGGTCTCACTATGTTGCCCAGGTTGGTCTCAAACTCCTGGCCTCAAATGATCCTTCTACCTTGGCCTCCAAAAGTGCTGGGATTACAGGCAAGAACCACCTAGCCCAGCAATTTTTCCACAATTCTGAAACCTAGAAGTCCAAGTTCAAGGTGTTAGCAGGGTTGGGTTTTTGTTCACGCCTCCTACGTTGGCTTGCATGACCTTCACCTGGTCTTCCCTGTGTCTGTGTCCCTCTTCTTGTAAGGACACCCATCATGTTGGATAGGGCCCATTTTCACTTAATTTTTATTTTATTTTGAGACGGAGTTTCACTCTTGTCGCCCAGGCTGGAGTGCAGTGGTGCAATCTCGGCTCACTGCAACCTCCGCCTCCCAGGTTCAAGCGATTATCTTGCCTCAGCCTCCCAAGTAGCTGGGATTACAGGTGCCACCACCATGCCCGGCTAATTTTGTATTTTTACTAGAGACGGAGTTTCAACTGTTGGCCAGGCTGGTCTCAAACTCCTGACCTCAGGTGATCCACCTGCCTTGGCCTCCCAAAGTGCTGGGATTACAGGCATGAGCCACTGCACCTAACCTAATTACCTCTTTTTTCTTTTTTTTTGAGATGGAGTAGCCCTCTGTTGCCCAGGCTGCAGTGCAGTGGTGTGTGATCTCAGCTCACTGCAACCTCCACCTCCTGGGTTCAAGCGATTCTCCTGCCTCCCGAGTAGCTGGGATTACAGGCACATGCCACCATGCCTGGCTAATTTCTGTATTTTTAGTAGAGACAGAGTTTCACCATGTTGGCCAGGCTTGTCTTGAACTGATACCCCCACCTCAGCCTCCCAAAGTGCTGAGATTACAGGTGTGAGCCACAGTGCCTGGCCCTAATTACCTCTTTAAAGACCCTGTCTCCAATGGTCACATTCTGAGCTACAGGGTTTGGGGTTCTAACATACGAATTTGGTGAGATGAATGCAATTCAGCTCTTAAAAGGTGCCCACTCAGAGAACTGCCACCCAGCAGCAAAAGGGTTAAAGGCAGAAGCCGGGTAGGGGTGGAGAGCTGGGGGGAGTGTGTGTCTGCATTAAGTAGATTAAGTGGGAGGGACTGCTCCAAGCCTCAGCTATAATTAGAGAAATTAAAGTCCCGGCTGGAAAGAGCAGGAGCTCTCCTGCCTTATCATTAATGGGGAGTGTGCTGGTGCTCCGGGGAAGTTTGGGTTTGCGGCTGCTGGGACCTGTAATAAGGGGAGGAAGTGAGCTGACTCCAGCCAAGGTGCTTGGTGCATGGCTCAGAATAGACCTGGGTATGCATGAGACCATCCTAAGGTCTCTGGGAGCCCAGCCTGCAAGCCTCCAGGTTCCCCCAGCCAAAGCCCACCCCAAGTGATCCCCCCACCCTCTACCAGAGGAGCACTGGCCGGTCCAGCTCCGACTGGTCAGGGCACTCGGCCCCTCTCCCCACGAACAGCGCAATTTGCTGCCTGAGCTACAAGAGGTGTTTGTTTGAAACATGAAGGTACTGAAGGACTGATCCAGGTGCCCTGGACCCACTGGGTACAAGGGGAAACTAGTCCCTTCCGGAGGACGCTGCTGGAGGGGGTGGGGTCAGGTCCAGTAAGGAGCAGAGTGGAACCCCCTTGCGTGGCTGCATCAGAGGCCACCCAGGGGCCACAGCATGGGCAGTCACAACTCCAGCGTGGGGGTAGTGATGACTTCCCTTGCTCAGGAATTCCAGCTTTTGTCTTCCTTCTACCCTTCACCCAAAAGACCGGAACCGGGGGAGAAAAAAAGGGAGTGTCCTGGGGCAAAGGGAGACACAGCCCTCCACAGACATGGGTGGGTGGGGGGAACAAAAGGAGAGAGAGAGGGGGAGAGACTGAGAGGCAGAGAGAGAGAGAGAAAGGGAGGGAGAGGCAAAGAGAGAGGGAGAGACAGAGAGGTGGGGTGGGGGGAGGGAGAGACAGAGAGGCAGAGAAAGAGGGAGAGAGAGACAGAGAGGGAGAAAGAGAGGGAGAGATAGAGAGGGATAGAGAGGCAGAGAGAGAGAGGGAGAGAGAGGGAGAGACAGAGATGCAGAGAGAGAGGGAGGGAGAGGCAAAGAGGGAGAGACAGAGAGGCAGAGAGAGGTGGGGGGAGGGAGAGAGAGGCAGAGAGAGAGAGGAAAAGAGAGAGGGAGAAAGAGGGAGAGACAGAGAGGCGGAGAGAGAGAGAGAGGAAAGAGAGGCAGAGAGAGATAGAGACAGAGAGGGAGAGAGAGACAGGGAGAGGGACAGAGAGAGAGAGGGAGGGACAGAGAGAGAGAGGGAGGGACAGAGAGGCAGAGAAAGAGAGGCAGAGAGAGAGAGAGAGAAGCAGAGAGTGGGAGAGACAGAGAGGCAGAGAGAGAGTCGGGGGAGAAACAGAGGGAGAGAGGAGAAAAGAGACAGAAATAGAGAGAGACAGAGAGGGAACAAGAGGGCGGGGAGAGGAGAGAAAGAGACTGACTGAGGGAACAGAGGGAGTCAGGGAGAGAAAGAGGGAGAAAAGGAGAGAGAGGAAGAGACAGGTGGGGAGAGAGGGAGGTAGAAAAGAAGAGAGGGAGGAAGGGACAGAGAGCTTGGCTCAGGGAGGCCAACAAGACTGTTTTACCAGGAACACAGTGATGAGAACAGAGCTCTGGTCTGGAGGGGCTGATGCTCCCTGTGGAAGTCCAGCTCTGGTCTGGAGGGGCTGCGTGCTCTCTACAAGGAAGACGACGTGCTGTGCTAGTGAGTGTTGGGACAAGACCTCTTTGAGGAGGTAACACTGAATTCAGACTGGAGTGAGGAGGAGACACAAAGGTGCCAGGGAGGTAGTTCCAAGCAGCAAATGCAGGAGCCCTGGGAGGGGTCAGCACTGGGCAACTAGAAGGGGAAGGAGGAGATGGGGTGGGAGGGCTGGGCAGGCCAGACCACAGAGCAGCTGGGATGGATTCTGGTTGCAGTTAGGGGTGCAGGGAGCGAGGTGCTGGGATTTGTGCTGTAGCCGGGTCACTCTGGCTGCTGGGCTGGGGGACACGGGACAGGAGTGGGGAGGCAGAGAGCTGGGAGGGCCAGCCTGATCCGGAGTGGGCTGAGGCAGTGGGGGTGGAGGGAAGTGTAGGTTGGGATATGTCTGGAGGGACGAGCCCAGGTGACTGGCTCAGGGCAGGAGAAAGAAGGAAACAAATGCAACTCCTGAATCTGGAGGCTGAGCAGTGGCAGGTGCCGTTCTCTGCGATGGGGAAGGTGGGATCAGAGAATTTTCACGTGCTCAATCCATGTGCCTATGAGGCACCCAGGAGAGGTGTCAAGAAGAGATGGATCTCATGGGGGCTCAGGGGAGGTGTCAGCGCAGGGAACAGAAATGCAGAAGACAGCGGCAGATGCTCTACAAAGGCACGGCACAGGTATTAACAGCCTCCTAGGAGGCGCTGTCCAACACCGCAGCCAGCAGCCAGCAGCCACTGTGGCTATTTACATTTAAATTCATTAAAATGAAACTAAAAGGAAACCTCAGGCCGGATGCAGTGGCTCAAGCCTGTAATCCCAGCACTTTGAGAGGCCGAGGTGGGTGGATCATCTGAGGTCAGGAGTTAGAGACCAGCCTGGCCAACATGGTGAAACTGTCTCTACTAAAAATACAAAAATTAGCTGGACATGGTGGCATGCACCTGTAATCCCAGCTACTCAGGAGGCTGGGGCAGGGGAGAATTGCTTGAACCCAGGAGGCAGAGGTAGCAGTGAGCCGAGATCATACCACTACACTACAGCCTGGGTGACAGAGGGAGACACTCCATCTCAAAAAAAAAAAAAAGAAAGGAAAAAAAAGGAAACCGGTTTCTCAGTCACACTGACCACCTTGCACGTGGCTCATGGCTACTGTGTTGCACAGCACAGAGAGAACATCTCCAACATGGCAGAAAAATCTGTTGGGGCCGGGCATGGTGGCTCACGCCTATAATCCCAACACGTTGGGAGGCGGAGGCAGGCAGATCACTTCAGCCCAAGAGTTTGAGACCAGCCTGGGCAACATACTGAGACCCCCATCTCTACAAAAAATAAAAAATTAGCCCAACACAGTGGTGCATGCTTGCAGTCCCAGCTGCTCAGGAGGTTGAGGCATCAGTGAGCAGTAACTGTGCCACCGCACTCCAGCCTGGATGACAGAGCAAGACCCTGTCTCAAAAACAAAAAAAAAAGCACCTCTGTTGGACCATGCTAAGATAGAAAAGACAGCCAAGAGCTGAGCCAGGCACAGGCCAGCATTGAGTGCTCAGAAACGACACCTGAAAAATGTGCTGTCTGGGGGGCCTGGAGCTGAGAGGTGACGTCGCTCATCAGAGACCTTGTCAAAGGCCAGTTCAGTGAAGAGCGGAGAGGACTGAAGTGAGCGGAGGGGAGGAAGTGTAGACCATGAGAGGAAAGAAATAAGCATCAGGCCGGGCGCTGTGGCTCATGCCTGTAATCCCAGCACTTTGGGAGGCTAAGGCAGGCAGATCAAGAGGTCAGGAGTTCGAGACCAGCCTGGCCAACATGCGAAACCCCGTCTCTAGTAAAAATACAAAAATTATCCAGGTGCAGTGGCGCGTACCTGTAGTCCCAGCCCCTCGGCGCAGGAAAATCACTTGAACCCAGGAGGTGGAGGTTGCAGTAAGCCGAGATGGTGCCACTGCAGTCCAGTCTGGGCAACAGAGCAAGACTCTGTCTCGAAGGGAAAAAAAAAAAAAAAGAAGCATCAGCTCAAGGGTGGTCACCTAGGACGTGTCATCATCACAGGAGGAAGGACTGGAGTCTTCAGGCCTCTATGCCATTGACTGTTCACGGCCTGGCTGACCCCTTTCTCAGGATGTCCTACAACAGCCGGAGCCCAGAGGACAGAGCCCAGGCTGAGAGTCAGCAAGCGGAGGGAGCACTCTGCCCTGAAGCCTGGGCTCACTCCCTGCACTGTGAGTTAAAGATGGCACTGAGCTGTCTTTCTGCTTATTCTAGATCCAGTTTCACTGGCGCTGGCCATGTCCAAGGCCAGGCCCTGAGCTCACCAGCTGAAATGGAACCTGTCTCAGGGGGTCCAGGCCAGCAGAGCCATTTCAACAGGGTCAAGCCTTCTCAGCCCAGAGCAGACCCCAGAAGCAAAGGGCTCCCACTCCAGGGCCCTGTGACAAGGCTCTGAGCCACTTCCTTCCACCGTGTGCTCAGGGCGAAGGTGGACAGCCCCAGACAGGGCCCGGGCATTCTTTGGGTGGCCTCCTACGTCTTTCCTCTGTGCCCCTTCCCTGCTGTCTCTTTGTGTGTCTGAATTTCCTCTTCTTTTCTTTCCTTTTTTTTTTTTTGAAACAGAATCTCACTCTGTTGCCCAGGCTGGAGAGTAGTGGCGTGATCTCAGCTCACTGGAAACTCCGCCTCCCAGGTTCAAGCAATTCTGTCTCAGCCTCTCGAGTATCTGGGATTACAGGCACGTGCCACCACGCCCGGCTAATTTTTGTATTTTTAGTAGAGACGGGGTTTCACCATGTTGGCCACGCTGGTCTGGAACTCCTGACCTCAGGTGATCCACCCACCTCGGCCTCCCAAAGTGCTGGGATTACAGGCGTGAGCCACCATGCCTGGCCTGAATTTCCTCTTTTTATAAGGACACCAGTGAGACTGGATTATTGCCCGCTGAGCCTCATTTTAACTTAATCACCTCTTTAAAGGCCGCATCTTTAAATACACTCACATTCTGAAGTACAGGGGTTAGGGATTCACTATGAGTTAGTTTTTTTTTTAAGAGATGAGATTTTACTATGTTGGCCAGGCTGGCCTCAAACTCTTGTGCTCAGGCGATCCTCCCACTCAGCCTCCTGAGTAGCTGGGACTACAGGTGCATACCACCAGGCCCAACTTTCATCATGAATTTTTTTTTGAGAGAGGCAAATCAGCCCCTCACACACAACCTCAGGTCCTATTCCAGGACACTGTCAGAATGTGAAGAGATAAAAAGGCACAAGCCCCCTTCCCCACTTGGCCTGGCTCTGTCTGAGCTCTGGGTTCAAATCCTGCTTTAGAATATAAAACTGCACAGACAATACGACTCAGGTTATGGAAATTAAATATGAAGACAAAGCAAATATTCTAAAAGATTAAATGGCAGGCTTATATGGGCAGATTAAATTTTTTCATTTTCCATTTTTTTGTATAGTATGTATTAACTGTTTTTTTGTTTTTTGAGACGGAGTCTCGCTCTGTCACCAGGCTGGAGTGCAGTGGCACGATCTTGGCTCACTGCAAGCTCCGCCTCCTGGGTTCACACCATTCTCCTGCCTCAGCCTCCTGAGTAGCTGGGACTACAGGCGCCCGCCACCACGCCCGGCTAATTTTTTGTATTTTTAGTAGAGACGGGGTTTCACAGCGTTAGCCAGGATGGCCTCCATCTCCTGACCTCGTGATCTGCCCACCTCGGCCTCCCAAAGTGCTGGGATTACAGGCATGAGCCACCGTGCCCAGCCCTAACTGTTGTTTTTAACAAAGAAATGTTTTTAAAAATCCCAATTCAGCTGCTTACTGTAAAATCATGGACAAATTATTTTTTTTTTTTGAGACAGATTCTCACTCTGTACCCCAGGCTGGAGTGCAGTGGCACAATCTTGGCTCCCTGCAACCTCCACCTCTGGGGCTCAAGCCATTCTCCTGCCTCAGCCTCCCAAGTAGCTGGGATTACAGGCATGCGTCACCATGCCCGGCTAATTTTTGTATTTTTAGTAGAGACGGGGGCTTCACCACGTTGGCCGGGCTGGTCTGGCCTCAAGTAATCCGCCCACCTCAGCCTCCCAAAGTGCTGGGATTACAGGCGTGAGCCACTGCACCCGGCCAAGACATGCTTTTTAAATCCCAACTCAGCTGCTTAATGTAAAATCCAGGACAAATTCCTTCTGAAAGGTTTCCCTTCTCCATCTCTTTCAGATTTCATCTGAAATTGGGCTTATGCTGCCTCCCATAAAGGAAGTTGAAGGATTAAATGACACAACTTATATCAGTGATTTTCTAACTTATTGGCTATAGAATCCCTTTACTCTCCTAAAAATTATTGAAGCCTCAAAGTGTTTTGTTTCTATGCATGTTACTCATCAATATTTATTGTATTAGAAATTAAAACAGAAATTTTAAATTTTATTTAACTCCCTTAAAATAGCAACAATAAACCACTACATGTTAACATAAATCACATCTTTTTATGAAAAAAAAAACCTCTTTTAAAACAACACAATGTTAGTCAGAAGGTGCTGTTTTAAAGTAGTGCAAGTCCAGGCACGGCGGCTCACACCTGTAATCCCAACACTTTGGGAGGCCGAGGTGGGCAGATCACTTGAGGTCAGGAGTTCAAGACCAGCCTGGCCAACATGGCGAAACCCCGTCTCTCCTAAAAATACAAAAATTACCCAGGCGCCATGGTGCACACCTGTATTCCCAGCTACTCGGGAGGCTGAAGCGGGAGAATTGCTCAAACCCAGGAGAAGGAGGTTGCAGTGAGCCGAGATCACACCACTGCACTCCAGTCTGGGCAAGAGAATGAAATTCTGTCTCAATAAATAAAGTAGTGCAGATCTCTTTAATGTCTGGCTTAGTGGAAAGAAGCAAGTGGACTCTTCTGTCTGCTTCTACATTCTGGCCATTGTGATATGTTGTTTTGATTGAGAAGAACGAAAACCTCCTCGAGGCCAGGCGCGGAGGCTCATGCCTGGAATCCCAGCATTTTGGGAGCACAAGGCAGGTGGATCACCTGAGGTCAGGAGTTCAAGAACAGCCTGGCCAACATGGCAAAATGCCGTCTCTACTAAAAATACAAAAAATTAGCTGGGTGTTTGGTGGACGCCTGTAATCCCAGCTACTTGGAAGGCTGAGGCAGGAGAACTGCTTGAACTCGGGAGGTGGAGGTTGCAGTGAGCTGAGATCATGCCATTGCACTCCAGCCTAGGAGACAGAGTGAGACTCTGTCTCAAAAAATAAAATAAAATAACTCCTTGGGTCTCAGAGGGCCCCACTTTGAGAACTGCTGACTTACACAAAGCCCCTGGCACAGGGCTGGGTGGGGTACCCCCGGCCTGGGTCCCATAGGGACAGTCAGGACTGTTCTGGTCCTGATTCCAATTCAGCAGCACAGGACTGGCCTCCCACCAGAGCCCAGGGACAATGGCAAGTGACAAGAGCCGCGGAGGCAGCTTGGGAGGTGGCGATGACAGAGGATAGAATCGACCCAGAAAAGCAAACTTTGATTTCCTAAAAATATCCCTGAGTTAGGAGAGTCTCCCCCAACGGCCCCTCCCAATTCAAATCCATGAAAAGCCAGATGCAAGGCACCCAGCCAGGATTGAGATCAGGCAATTAGACCATTTCAGACAAGCTTGCAAGCTCTCAGACGCACAGACATTTCAGCCGTACAAAGAAAATGTGCACTTTGTGGATACAATGACAGCAAATCGTTTTCCCTTTTTGTCCCTCTTCTTCGTCCCTGTTCATAGACAAATGATGGAGAGAAATAAGCATGATTCTGTGCAGACAAGACGAAAATAAGTTTAACAACAAAAGGAACATCTTTTAGGGAAGCTTTCGAGCTGATGCAGCCCCGTCGGGGTGGGGAGCAACTTCCCCCGAGGCACAGCCTGCTGGGGTCTGCCTGGCCCCTGAGTCCACGAAGTCCCTGGATGACAGAGGCTTGGGTCGTGGAGCATCTGCCCTGATGTGGGGTGCACAAGGGGACCTGAAGGCACCAGCTGAAATCAGAGAGACCACTCTGTGGACGTCCTTACCAAAGCTGCAGGTATCAGGCTGGAGAGGACCCCAAAGAGCCTCTCACAGACTCTGTAGTAATGGAATTTGCAGCCGGCCACTGGACGAACATAATCTAATCACTGCTCTAAGATACCTACTTAACTTTGCCCCAGCTTACTACCCATATACCTTTCTCTCAATTATGAGAGGCCACTCAATATCAGGGGTTCCCAGCCATGCCTTACTGTCCCCCCCTGCCATTCCCTCCTCTGCTGAACAATAAGCAACCTTTTCCCAAGAAGAGTGGCTTCACTCCCCTCCTATGCTTCTGGGTCCCAGCCTCCAGCAGAAAGAGACATCCCATAACTATGCCGTATGGGAGCTGCCAGCAGCAAGGCTCAGGAGGGGCTGCTGGGAAGCCTCTCTGTCCTAGTGGGCTCCGGCTACCATTGCAAACCACAGACTGGGAGGCCTCATCACAGGCATTTGTGTCTCATGGTGCTGGAGGCTGGGAAGTCCAAGATCAAGGTGTTGGCAGATTTTGTTCTCAGGGAAGCCTCTCTTCCTGGCTTGCAGATGGCCACCTCCTTGCTGTGTCCTCACATGGCAGAGAGAATTCACGCGCAAGCTCTCTGGGTCTCTTCATACAAGAGCACTAATCCCATGGAGAGGGCCCCACCCTCATGCCTTATCTAACCTAATCACCTCCTAAGGCCCGTCTCCTAATACCACCATACTGACAGCTATGGTTTCAACATAGTGATTGTCAGGGAGATACAATATTCAGTCTAGAGCATTCTCTATGGCTACTCCACCATCCCCCACCGCAACTCTTCACAAGGGACCCTCCACTATCCCCCCAACCCCTCACAAGGGATCCTCCATTATATCCTGAACCCCTCACAACAGACCCTCCACCATCCCAACCCCTCACAAGGGACCCTCCACCATCCCCCCAACCCCTCACAAGGGACCCTCCATTATACCCCGAACCCCTCACAATGGACCCTCTACCATCCCCCCAACTCCTCACCAAAGACTCAGCCATAGAACTCACTGCAGAGGAATTGACTGGGCTGTCCTGGGGAGGGGCTGGATGAGTACCATCATCTGTCATGCAACAGGAGGCCCCGCCCAGGACAGCGTGATCATTTGCAGGGAGACACAATGCTCTGTGCTCCCTGTCTCCATTGGGCCACCCTCCCAGCCCCTGCAAATGCATACACTCTTTCCACCTTCCTTACTTCCCACACAAAAAGGAATGTCCTTCTGCAACAAGCTCCACATGGAAAGTCAGCATTCAATATCAGAAGAGAGGCTTTGTTTTGGGGAGGGACGAGGAGAGAATTGAAGAGTCATGTGACCCTAATATATCTGTGGTTCTGGCAGGGACTTTGTATATATGCATCATCTCATCCTCACACGTCTGACGAAATAGGTGGCATTATCCCCATTTTACAGAGGGGAAATCTAAGTTCTCACAGCTGGGGAGTCCGGAGGCCAGGATCCTCAAGGGTCTATCCAGTCCCAAAGTTACTCACTTTCTTTTTGAGATGGAGTCTTGCTCTGTCACCCAGGCTGGAATGCAATGGTGAGATCTCGGCTCACTGCAACCTCTGCCTCCCGACTTCAAGCGATTCTCCTGCCTCAGCCTCCCAAGTAGCTGGGATTACAGGTGCCTGCCACTATGCCCAGCTAATTTTTGTATTTTTAGTAGAGATAGGGTTTCACCATGTTGGTCAGGCTGGTCTCAAACTCCTGACCTCAGGTGATCCACCCGCCTTGGCCTCCCAAAGTGCTGGGATTACAGGTGAGAGCCACCGCGCCCGGCCAAGTCATTCACTTTCCACCACACCACACTTTCAGAATAACTGGAAGCTCCCCCCAGGCTAAGCGGGGCCTCCCACAAAGTGCAGAAGATGATGGAGGAAGGGATGGGGTACAGAAGCAGAAGTCATGTCTGCCCGACGGTGCTGACGTAAGGTGGTCACTCTTGGGATGTCCCGTGATGGTTAATATTGAGTGTCAACTTGATTGGATTGAAGGATACAAAGTATTGTTCCTGTGTGTGTCTATGAAGGTGTTGCCAAAAGAGATTAACATTTGAATCAGTGGACTGGGAGAGGCAGAACCACCTGCAATCTGGGTGGGCACCATCTAATCAGCTGCCAACGTGGCTAGAATAAAGCAGGCAGAGGAACGTAGAATAAGGACACTCTCTGGATCTTCCGGCCTTCTTCTTTCTCCCGTGCTGGATGCTTCCTGCCCTCAAACATCAGACTCAAAATTCTTCAGCTTTTGGACTCTTGGACCTACACCAGTGATTTGCCAGGGGCTCTCAGGCCTTCAGACACAGAGTAAAGACTACACTGTCAGCTTCCCTACTTTTGAAGTTTTGGGACTCAGGCTGTCTTCGCTGCTCCTCAGTTTGCAGAAGGCCTATTGTGGGACTTCACCTTGTGACTGTGTGAATCAATTCTCCTAATAAACTCCCCTTCATATATACATCTATCCTATTAGTTCTGTCCCTCTAGAGATCCCTGACCAATACATCCCCTTTAGTTAAATGGAATGGGACAACACGCCCAAGACCTACCCTGAACATTCCCAGGACTCTGAGTTGCTTTAAAATATGCTTTTGTCAGGACACAGTGGTTCACGCTTGTAATCCCAGCACTTTGGGAGGCCAAGGCTGGTGGATCACCTGAGGTCGGGAGTTCAAGACCATCCTGGCTAACATGGTGAAACCCCGTCTCTACTAAAAAAATACAAAAAAATTAGCCAGGCGTGGTGGCAGGCACCTGTAGTCCCAGCTACTAGGGAGGCTGAGGCAGGAGAATGGCGTGAACCCGGAAGGCGGAGCTTGCAGTGAGCCGAGTTCACGCCACTGCACTCCAGCCTGGGTGACAGAGCAAGACTCTGACTCAAAAAAAATAAATAAATAAAAATAAAAAATAAAATATGTTTTTGTTCTGGAAAGCAAGAGAGTAGCCTGGCACTGCTTGCCCTCCCCAAGTACTCGGCCCAGTTACTAAGGAGCTGGCCCAGCCTGCTCAGTGGGGTCAGATGAGGCTTGCCAAGTCATTCTCACCAGCAGCAGAATGAGAGGGAACTCACCGCCTGAGGACCTTGGTGTTCAGGACAAGCACCAGCCTGTGGATTCATTAATGCAGATCTACCCAGCTGCCCTGAAGGATAAACTCTCGCCCACCTTTCAGGCAGAGCCCCCATCTAGAAGCCTACGATCTTTGGCAAAACATCTTTTCATGCGGACATTTTATAACTGATGTTTTCATGTATGTGCAGCTGCCTGCTGTCACACGTATCTGTAATTTGTGGATTTCAACCGGATGTTCTATCATAGGCAGGAGCAAGTTGTTTGCAAAACATACAAGTCAAATAAATTAATGGACCATTAAACGAGGCTCTCCTTGATAGCCTAGAGAATGCTCCTGATCTATAAATCTGCAGATATTAATAGCATCTGCAGGCCAGGCACAGTGGCTCACGCCTGTAATCCCAGCACTCTGGGAGGCCAAGGCAGGTGGATCACCTGAGGTCAGGAGTTTCAGACCAGCCTGGACAACATGGTGAAACCCCATCTCTACTAAAAATACAAAGATTAGCCGGGCATGGTGGCGGGCGCCTGTAATCCCAGCTACTTGGGAGGCAGCGGCAGGAGAATTGCTTGAACCCGGGAAGCAGAGGTTGCAGTGAGCTGAGATCAAGCCATTGCATACAGCAGAGACTCCATCACAAAAAAAAAAAAGCACCTGCAAAACCAAAATCCCATGTCTCTCTTGCCAGCATGTGTACACTCCCCTAACCAGTAGAGACGAGGCAGCAGCCTCCCGCATGGCCCCAATGGTCCTTACCTCCTGGTATCCATGCCCTTGCGGAATCTCCTTCCCTTGGGTGTGGGCTGGACCTGCTTCCAACAAATATAACACAGAAATGATAAGATGTCACTTCCAGGTTACAAAAAGAAACCATGGGCCAGTGTGGTGGCTCACACCTGTAATCCCAGCACTTTGGGAAGCCAAGGGGGGAGGATCACTTGAGCCCAGGAGTTAGTGACCAGCCTGGGCAACATGGCAAAACCCCAACTCTACAAAAAATACAAGAATTAGCCAGGCGTGGTGGCAAATGCCCATAGTCCCAGCTACTCAGGAGGCTGAGTCAGGAGGATCACTTGAGCCTGGGAGGTGGAGGTTGCAGTGGGCTGTGATCACACCACTGCACTCCAGCCTGGGCAATGGAATCAGACCCTGTCTCAAAACAAAAAGGAAAAGAGAAATAAATGGTGGCTTCTGTCCACTCACCCCTCTCTCTCTCGCCGGCTCTGAGGGTGACTCTTCCTGCCATAGCTGCTTTACAAAGAGGCTTCTGCAGCAGGAAACTGAGGGCAGTCCTTGATCAACAGCCAGCAAAGAAAGTTCTGCCAGCAACCAGGGAGCAAGCTTAGAATTTGATCGTTCCCCAGTGGAGCCATCTGATCACAATAGACCCCAGCCAACTCCCTAACCACAGGCTTCTTGAGAGACCTGGAGGCAGAGGCACCCAGCTAAGCTGTGCCCAAATTCTGACCCATAGTAATAAATGAGACAATACATGTTTGCTGTTATAGGCCTCTGTGTGTTGAGGCGCTGAGTTACACAGCAATAGCTCCCGGATACACAGACATACACACATGCTATACGGACAATTACCAAGTCTCACATCAGTTCTTACACACATAGTCACAAATAAGAGGTACAGCCAGAAAAACGTGAGCACAGATTTCTATATCAAACCTTCAAGGTTGCATGTTGTATTATTGTAGTTTTTTTGGTTGGTTGGTTGGGGTTTTTTTGTGTTTTGTTTTGTTTTTGAGACGGAGTCTTGCTCTGTTGCCCAGGCTGGAGTGCAGTGGCACGATCTCAGCTCACTGCAACCTCCGCCTCCTGGGTTCAAGCAGTTCTGCCTCAGCCTCCTGAGTAGCTGGAACTACAGGCACCCACCATCATGCCCGGCTAATTTTTATATTTTAGTACAGATGGGGTTTCACCATGTTGGCCAGGCTGGTCTGGAACTCCTGACCTCAGGTGATCCACCTGCCTCGGCCTCCCAAAGTGCTGAGATTACAGGCGTGAGCCACCACGCCTGGCCTTTTTTGTTTTCAGACAGGGTCTTGCTCTATTTACCAGGCTGGAGTGCAGCAGGTCAAACACAGCTCACTATAGCCATGACGTCCTGGGCTCAAGTGATCCTCCTGCCTCAGTCTCCTGTGTAGCTGGGGCCACAGGTGCACACCACCACACCCCAGCTATTATTGTCATTTTCATATATAAACTTTCCAAATTCTTCCAAAGTCAAAGCAATCCACTAACCCTGAGGCAGGAGGAAGTGGGGCAGGAGAGGCAGACAGCTTTTGTTTTCAGATTTCTTTCTTCTTTTTTGAGTCAAGGTCTTGCTCTATCACTCAGGCTGGAGTGCAGTGGCACAATCACAGCTCACTGCAGCCTCAACCTCCTGAGCTCAAACGATCCTCCCACCTCAGCCTCCCAAGTAGCTGGGACTACAGGCATGTGCCACCATGCCTGGCTATTTTTTTTTTTTTTTTTTTTTTTGGGAGAGACAGAGTCTCACTATGTTGCTCAGGCTGGTCTTGAACTCATGGCCTCAAGTGATCCTCCCTTCTCAGGCTCCCAAACTGCTGGGAATACAGGTGTGAGCAACCATGCCCAGCCTGTTTTCAGGTTTCTGAAGCTAAGAAGCTCAGTTTGTCTGACTTACCTACGATGACTCTCTCTCCCTCTTCTACATAAAAAACAGCCTATTTCGGAGAAAATTTAGTGCCAGCCAAAGGGGTATCTACCTTGCTTACTGTGGGACATTACTTCTATTCCAATTCAAGCTTTTAAGAATAATTTTTATTTTAATATCTTGAACGTATGAGAAGAATCCATCCATAAAATAGACTGCTCGATATTTCATTACACTCAGATCCCAGCCGAAGTACCCTGCTGGCTGCCTGCCTTCCCTCGGCCAGGAGGGTGCAGGTGTCCCCATGGAGAGAGGCAGCCTGGACTCCTTGGCTCTGCCCAGATCCAATGCCAATACCCTGTGCCAGGCCCCGCTAGCTTCAAAGATTCCCTCCACACCCCTGACATGTCCTACTGACTCATCCTCTTGCTGCAGGATACACATAAGCATCCATCTTCCTGAAAGTCATTTATTAAAAGAGAGTCTATCTTAGAAAGAGCTCTAGGCTGGGCACGGTGGCTCACGCCTGTAATCCCAGCACTTTGAGAGGCCAACGTGGGTGGATCACGAGGTCAGGAGTTCGAGATCAGCCTGGTCAAGATGGTGAAACCCCATCTCTACTAAAAATACAAAAATTAGCCAGGTGCAGTGGCAGGTGCCTGTAATCCCAGCTATTCGGGAGGCTGAGGCAGGAGAATCGCTTGAACCCAGGAGGCAGAGGTTGCAATGAGCCGAGATCGCACCACTGCACTCTAGCCTGGGCGACAGAGCAAGACTCCGTCTCAGAAAAAAAAAAAAGAAAGAAAAGAAAGAGCTCTAGTGCCCCAGGAAAGGCCTGCTGGGGTGCATGCTCAGGTATGTGTAACTGAGCTCGCCTTGGCTAAACTCCAGTCGCAGAGGCAGCTTGGAAATTGGCCCAAGGGGAAGGGAGAGTGAGTAAGAAGACACTGGGGCCGGAGCAGGGTGGACCTGTGGCCTGGAAAGAGAAACGGGATGAGCACGGCATGGCACGGCACGGCACGGCACGGCAAAGGGCCCATGCAGATGAGGCGTCTCCAGTCAAGGTGGCCCAAGAGAAAAATTATCTGTGGGGACTGATCAAGAACCACCCACGTTGGGAGGCTGAGGTGGGCAGATTGCTTGAGCTCAGGAGTTCAAGACCAGCCTGGGCAACATGGTGAAACCTCATCTGTACTAAAAGTTGTTAAAATTAGCTGGGCATGGTGGCACGCACCTGTGGTCTCAGCTACTGGGGAGGCTGAGGTGAGAGGATCACCTGAGCCCGGGGAGGTCAAGGTTGCAGTGAGCCAAGATCATGCCACTGTACTCCAGCCTGGGCAACAGAGTGAGATCCTATCTCAAAAAAATAAAAATAAAAAGAGCCACCACGTGGGGAAGGGACAGCCAACCTCATCTGAAGAACCAGTGTCAGGACTGAGGGGTCATCCAGAAGGCTCAGACCAGCACCCTCAGCCCTTCCCACTAGCACAAGGGACCAAAGGTGGATGGGATCATTGGCCAAGAGCTTGGTCAGCCCCGTTCCAGTGGCACCCTCATACACAGCACACAGAGGCACCCACAAATACCCACACAAGGGCCAGGCGGGCATGGAACACACACTCTGACACTCCACAGTCAGATACAAGAACAGCCCACAAGCACCACTGGGACACCTAGGGGCCCCTTGCTCAGCCCAGACCTGCCATCAGGCATGGAGAGGCCACTGCCCCGACCAGAGGCAGGATGGAAACCGAGTCTCCTGAGGCCTCCCTGCGGAGTGCAGGCCCTCGTCAGTGGAAAAAAGGAAGGAAGAGGAGGCTCCTACTTCTCTGCAGGAGAACTTTCTAGAGGGTTATTCCGCTGGCCTCTCCCGTGCAGGGCATTTCCAATTCTCTGTGACTTCCGGATATGCAAGGATTCAAAGCCACAGAACTGATCAGCTTCACCGCACCCCCTACATGCACGCCCCAGCCCCGGGAGCGTGCCTTCCACTTCCGGTGCTCCACCAGAGGAGAGGCCACAGCACTCCTGTAACAAGACGCCACAGTGATGGTTCCATCTCCTGGAAGCTGGTGAATAATTCAGGAGAAATACTTACTCCCGTTTTAATTAATCCACATGCAATTTCAGCAGCAGAAATGCACCATCACTCCGGCCAGGAAGCAGCAGGTACAGGCATCTTATTACTCGGCATTTGATAGCCCGGCTCTCACTTGGTTGTTAACAGCCTTCACAAGAAGAAACCTCAATCTGCACCGAAATGATGAGACCGGTGCAGAGGGAGACATCCCGGAGCCTGGACGCCTTCAGGCCTCGTTTCCTCCCCAGCCCATCCTCAGCGCAGAGTGGGGGAGAGAAGTCCTGCTTGCCTCATGTTGGACAGCAGCCGCCCTTGCATGTGGAAGTTACACACACTCACTCACAGGGACCAGCGCAGGGAGAAACAGAATTGGCTACCTCCACCTCAATGCTCCCCTTCCGCTCACGGGCACCTGCCACTGCTCTGTCCAGTCCTGCCCTCCACGGTGCCTTGAGGGCCTGTGTGGTACAGCCGAGTACACCAGGACCCAGCGAAGAGGTGCCTCCCTCAACACTGTCACATAGCTACGAAGGGGTCAAACTGAGACCCCAGGTCTGTTCACTGCTGGTGCTCGACCCCCAGTGGGTCCATGGATGCTAAACTGGGGAGGGTCATGAGGCTGAGGGAGGGAATCCCTCCGCCAACTCCCACTACACAAAACACAGGAAAGAGACAGAGGATGCCGAGTCCAGGAAGAGAGACTCCATGTACCTACCAGGGGGCTGTGGGTGCCCCTGGGAAAGCAGGCTGCCTGGCAGATGGCACAGAGTAAAGAGGACAGGGCCCACGGTGGTGACACAAGGAATGTGAATGGCTTTGATAGGCAGTCTGGGAGCTAAGGAAAATTGGATGAATGGAGTTCAAGGGGTCATGGTCTTAAGAAAAATGGTCTTTTGGCTGGGTGTGGTGGCTCATGCCTATAATCCCAGCACTTTGGGAAGCCGAGGTGGGCGGATCACTTGAGTTCAGGAGTTCGAGACCAGCCTGGCCAACATGGCAAAACCCCATCTCTACTAAAAATACAAAAATTAGCTGGGCGTGGTGGTGGGCACCTGTAATCCCAGCTACTCGGGAGGCTGAGGCAGGAGAATCACTTGAACCCAGGAGGCGGAGGAGGTAGTGAGTGGAGATCGAGCCACAGCACTCCAGCCTGGGCAACAGAGCGAGACTCCACCTCAAATTTTAAAAAAATAAAAATGGTCTTTAGTTTGTTAATATGTTCAAGAGGGAAAGCGTTTATAAAGTGAGGCAAAGGTGCTGGAGAGAGGGAGACAGGAGAGAGAGGCTGCCCTAGGACGTTGCAGCCCCACTTGTAGAGAGCCCCTGGAGGGAAGGACAGCTCAGAAACACAGCTGCCACTGCACCCAATGCACACGCACCTCCTCTGCAGTGGGTTGAATAGTGACCCCCAAAAAGCTACATCCACATTCCAGAATCTGTGAATGAGGCCTTACTTGGAAAAACATTATTTGCCGAAGTAATTAAATTAGGGGCCTAGAGATTTAAGAAAATCCGCCTGGATTTTCATTGGAAAATGAACATTTTCTCTTTTTTTTTTGAAACGGAGTTTCACTCTTGTTGCCCAATGGCACGATCTCAGCTCACCATAACCTCTGCCTCCCGGGTTCAAGTGATTCTCCTGCCTCAGCCTCCCGAGTAGCTGGGACTACAGGCGTGCGCCATCACGCCCGGCTAATTTTTTTTATTTTTAGCAGAGACAGGGTTTCTCCATGTTGGTCAGGCTGGTCTAGAACTCCTGACCTCAGGTGATCTGCCCGCCTCAGCCTCCCAAAGTGCTGGGATTACAGACGTGAGCTACCGCGCCCGGCCCATTTTCTCTTATAAGGACACTTGTCATTGGAGTTAAGCTCCTCCTGGAAAATGCAGGAGAAAGGAGGAGGAGGCCACGTGAAGACCGAGGCAGAGACTGCAGTGATGCAGCCACAAGCCAAGGAGTGCCTGGAGCCCCCAGATGCTGGAGGAGGCAAGAAACGGACCCTACCCTCGAGCCTTCGGAGGGAACACGGCTCTCCCACACCTTGATTTTGGATGTCTGCCTTCTAGAACTGAAATAAATACCTGCTGTCAGCCGGGCGCGGTGGCTCACGCCTGTAATCCCAGTACTTTGGGAGGCCAAGGCGGGAGGATCACGAGGTCAGGAGATCGAGACCATCCTGGCTAACACAGTGAAACCCTGTCTCTACCGAAAATACAAAAAATTAGCCGGGTGTAGGGGCGGGCGTCTGTAGTCCCAGCTACTCTGGAGGCTGAGGCAGGAGAATGGCATGAACTCGGGAGGCAGAGCTTGCAGTGAGCTGAGATCGTGCCGCTGCACTCCAGCCTGGGCGACAGAGTAAGACTCTGTCTCAGAAATAAAGAGAGAAAAAATACCTGCTGTCCAGACATCCGGTTTGTGGTCATTCATCACAGCAGCCACAAGAAACTAACACCCCGGCTATGCTCAGCCGCATGAGAGGACAGGAATCAGTCAACCGATGGGCCATCAAATGGCAGGGAGGGAGGGACCCTATTCAGCCCGGCTGACCGTGAGGAGAGGAGCTGAAGAGGGAAATGCAGGATGGCACTGAGCTCAGGAAAGCATGAGGCGAATCCCAGAGCAGGGGGTAGGTTTACGGTGGAACACTCAAGGTGGGTGGAAGGATGCTGAAGGCAAGGCTGCGGGCAGCTGAAGGACAGTCAAGAGGAGACACAGCCCAGGAAGGGCTGGGGTCGGGGGAGCAAAACGGAGGGTGAGCAGATCAACTCCACTTCCAGACGTGTCTCGGCAAAGCTCAACCATCCAAGAGCAGGAGCGGGGGAACCAGCAAGGTGCTCTGGGCAGGTGCGTGTGTGCAGAGGTGTGCAGGACAGGGAGTGTGTGTGGTGTGTGTAGGTGTGGTGGGTGAGCGTTTGAGTGTGTGCAAGACTTTATGAGGGGCCCGGCGCGGTGGCTCATGCCTGTAATCCCAGCACTTTGGGAGGCCGAGGTGCGTGGATCACTTGAGGTCAGGAGTTTGAGACCAGCTTGGTCAACATGGTGAAACCCTGTCTCTACTAAAAATACAAAAATTAGCCGGGCGTGGTGGCACATGCCTGTAATCCCAGCTACACGGGAGGCTGAGGCAAGAGAATCGCTTGAACCCAGGAGGCAGAGGTTGCAGTGAGCCAAGATCATGCCATTGCACTCCAGCTTGGGTGACAAGAGCGAGACTCTGTCTCAAAAAAAAAAAAAAAAAGTTTATGAGGGAGAGTGTGCAAGTGTACAGGTGCATGTGCAAATGTATAAGCGGGTGAATGTGTGTGTGTATGTGTGCACAGGCACCCAGGAGAGGGGAATACAGAATCAAGGTTAGAGGAGGCCAAAAGCAGTGACTTACGCCTGTAAACCCAGCGCTTTGGGAGGCTGAGGCAGGAGGATTGCTTGAGGCTAGAAGTTCAAGATCTGCCTGAGTAACATAGCAAGACCCTGTCTCCACAAAAAAATTAAAAATTAGGCAAAGCACCCTGGCTCATGCCCGTAATCCTAGTACTTTGGGAAGCCAAAGCCAGAGGATCACTTGAGCTCAGGAGTTTGAGACCAGCCTGGGCAACACAGTGAGACTTCAACTCTATTTAAAATAATTATGGCCGGGTGCGGTGGCTCACGCCTGTAATCCCAACACTTTGAGAGGCTGAGGCAGAAAGATCACTTGAGTCCAGGAGTTTGCGACCAGCCTGGGCAACATGGCAAAACCCCACCTCTATAAAAAAGAAAATACAAAAAGTAGCCGAGCATGATGGTGCCTACCTGTTAGTCCCAGCTACTCGGGAGGCTGAGGTAGGAGGATTGCTTGAGCCTGGTTGGTTGAGGCTGCAGTGAGCTGTGATCGTGCCACTGGACTCCAGCCTGGGTGACAGACGAGACCCTGTCTCAAACAACAACAAGAAAAAATATTCGCTTTTCCTTACCTTGAATGCCACTGGGTGAAAATGGTGGTCAGAGTTCCTCAGATCAACTCAGTTGAAATAGAAATGTTCCAGGGGGCTCCTAAGACACGTCACTGAGAGTGGGAATTCCAAGTTTCCCAAAAGCCCTCCTGCCGCTTCCCAATACCCACCTCCTCCACCTTCCACCTCATTCTAAAGCCCAGGCTCATACCCAGAGGGTGCTAGGCCCAGTGGCCCCACACACTCCTCCTCCTCACTGGCCTCCTTCAGAGGCCCAAGTGACAGCTGGGCAGTGCTTGTGGGTGATCTCAGCATGAGCACCCACGTTTTTAGCTGCAGAAGAGAGGAGCTTGAACTAGATGATTGCAAAGATGAGGGACAGCTCCAACATAATGCTGCTGGCTGTACACTGACAAAGTGCCTTGAAGATCACGGGCTTGATGTCACCATGAAGTGATGCTGAGTGGAGGCCAGCATCCACTGGCCCCGTGCCAGAAGAGGAACAGAGCCTCCTGCACTCCACTCTGCCGGGTCCAGAGCTTCGGAGCCTCTCTGCCACAGCCAGGGCTGACCCCACCCCCTTTCCCATCCTGACCCAGGCCTCCAGGACCCCAGCTCCAGATCAAGTGGCAAAATCCATTGTTTAAAAGGAAAAGGTGGGCCGGGCATGGTGGCTCATGCCTGTAATCCCAACACTATGGGAGGCTGAGGCAGGTGGATCACCTGAGGTCAGGAGTTCGAGACCAGCCTGGCCAACATGGCGAAACCCCATCTCTACTAAAAAATACAAAAATTAGCTGGACGAGGTGGCAGGCGCCTGTAATTCCAGCTACTCAGGAGGCTGAGGCAGGAGAATCGCTTGAACCCGGGAGGTGGAGGTTGCAGTAAGCCAAGATTGCGCCATTGCACTCCAGCCTGGGAAACAGAGCAAGACTCCATCTCAAAAAAAAAAAGAAAAAGAAAAAGAAAAAAAAAAAGAAAACATGGGCCAGGTGCGGTGGCTCACGCTTGTAATCCCAGCACTTTGGGAGGCCGAGGCGGGTGGATCACTTGAGCTGAGTTCAAGAGCTCAGGAGTTCAAGACCAGCCTGGCTAAGATAGTGAAACCCCGTCTCTACTAAAAATACAAAAATTAGCTGGGCATGGTGGCGGGAGCCTGTAATCCCAGCTACTTGGGAGGCTGAGGCAGAGAACTGCTTGAACTTGGGAGGCGAAGGTTGCAGTGAGCTGAGATCACGCCACTGCACTTTAGCCTGGGTGACAGAGTGAGACTCCATCTCAAAATAAATAAATAAATAAATAAAAGATGGCCAGGCACGGTGGCTCACGCCTGTAATCCAAGCGGTTTGGGAGGCCCAGGCAGGTGGATCACTTGACGTCAGGAGTTCAAGATCAGCCTGGTCAATATGGTGAAATCCCATCTCTACTAAAAATACAAAAATTAGCTGGGTGTGGTGGCATGCACCTGTAGTCCTAGCTCCTCTGGAGGCTGAGGCCAGAGAATTGCTTGAACCCAAGAGGCGGAGGTTGCAATGAGTGGGGATCATGCCACTGCACTCCAGCCTGGGCAACAAAGCAAGAGTCTGTCTCAAGGAAAAAAAAAAGAAAAAAAAAAAAGGACGACCAGCATTTTGATCTAGGCTGGCATTGGTCCACATGCTCCTTCTCTCAGGAGAAGGGGATAATTGTGATGTTTCTGATTCACTGAATTTATTGAGGGTCTCCTCTGTGCAAAGTGGTCTCACTCCTTATTTATACCTAATCAAAGGACCATTTGAGCACCCCCTAAATGATGCTCACCTTAACCCCATGAAGTAGCCATTTCTTGAGTGCTGCAGTGAAATCGAGGCCTGGAAAAGTTACACCTTTGCTCAGGGTGACATCTAAGAAGTGGGGGGATGTAATGTGAACCCAAGCTTCTCTGTCCCCAAGGCCCCTCTCGGCAGCATAGGGAGAGGATCATCATGTTGGCAGCCTGTGCCCACACCGCATGGCTTCCTACTCTGCTCCTAGAAAAGGGGCCCTCACAGCTGGCCCCTGGCCAGGAAGCCTGCTCCCAATAGCAGCAGATGCCCCAGGAATGGCGACCTCCTTGGCAGGGTACCGGAGGTTAAGGGCAGAATGGTTTCTGCTAGCAAGGCAGCCCTGGGGCAGGTGCCAGATGGACCTGAGAGCATGCCAACTGCTCTGGAGTGATTTCCTCCTGATTGCCTCCTGCATGGCAAGGACCTGCCCTCTCTACCTTAATAAAATTGGATCCCCATCCTACAAAACTAGACATAGAGAGAGACGCTGTCATCCAAGGGGAGACTGAATCTTGGATTCTAGAAAAGAAGAGTTGGGACTGCAAAGTCAATTCCCTTTATGCACCCCCGACTCCAACTTTCCCTCCCCACACTGCGCCCTCCATCCCCCACCCTTCATAACCTAAGGACAGACAGTTGATTTTTGTTAACAGAGTAAGTGGTTCCAGTAACCACCTTTCAACACAGCCCGGAGGAAAAAGGGAACTTCTCTGCCTGGCATCTTTCCCACTGTGGTGCCCCAGGGGAAGCTGTCCCTTGAGACACTGTGGAGAGCCCCAGGCTGCCCACCTGCAGAGCACTCCAGAGGCCTCTGGACTCCCCCAGCTGCTGAGGTTGGGTAGAGCCTTTGCTATCCCCTCTCCTGCAAGCCCAGAGGAGGCAGCTCAGAGCAGAAGGGAACCTCTGTCCTTTCAGAGCTTGGCCCCAGGTTAGGGCAAAGGGGATCCAAGTCTCTCCTTTCAGAGCAGGGCTCACCTGGGCCAAGCACTCTGGGGCCCTCTGGGACAACCCTTGCCATTTGCCCTCCCCTACAGGAGGGACTCACAGTGGCTGCCGAGCTCTTGCCTGTCCCATCTATCCAACAGCATGGGACCTGGCAATTATGGCAAGCTAGGAAGTTATTAAAAGGTAAAGTCTATTTTTAGGAAATCAACAGCAAACTGAGGACAAGGTAGGAGAAAACAATATCTGCCTTCTGGGACTTTGCAGCTTCTGATGCATGTGATTGAGCCTCAAGATGTAAGCAGCCCACCCCAGTGAAGTGGGGGAAGAGGCAGCCCTCCACCCACCAGGCATCCCCGGAGCAGAGCCTGCTGGGAGGTGACCTCTGGGAGAAGAAGAAGTGCCAAGGGAAGTCTGCAGTGGCCCAAGGGAAGGGGGCACAGAAGGAAAGCATCTAAAAATGGAAGTCTTAGAACATAAATTATTCAAAAACAGGATTATTTAACTGGAAGTTAAAAATGAGAGAATCATTACACACCCTTGCCCAAATGTTAATGCCCTGGAGAGAAGGCGTATTACTTTCCTCGGGTCACCATAACAAACTATCACAAGCTGGGTGGCTTAAAACACCAGACAGGTATTTTCTCACAGTTTGGAAGCCAGAAATCTGAAATCGAAGTGTTGGCAGGACTGGTTCCTTCTGGAGCCTCCAAGGAAGAATCCATTCCACGCCCTCTCCCAGCAATAGCTGGAGTTCCTTGGCTTGTCGACGCGTCGCTCCCATCTCTGCCTTCATCTTTTTTTTTTTTTTTTTTTTTTTGAGACCGAGTCTTACTCTGTCACCCAGGTTGGAGTGAAGTGGCATGATCTCGGCTCGCCACAACCTCCACCTCCCAGGTTCAAGTGATTCTCCTGCCTCAGCCTCCCAAGTAGTTGGGATTACAGGTGCACACCACCACACCCAGCTAATTTTTGTATTTTTAGTAGAGATGGGGTTTTGCCATGTTGGCCAGGCTGGTTTCAAACTCCTGGCTTCAAGGGATCCACCCACCTTGGCCTCCCAAAGTGCTGGGGTTATAGGTGTGAGTTGCCATGTCTGGCCTCTGCCTTCATCTTCATGTCACCTTTCCCTATGCGTCTCTGTGTCTCAAATCTCCCTCTCCTTTCTCTTATAAGGATGCCAGTCATTAGATGTAGTAGGTACTCTGAATCTAGAATGATCTCCTCTGGGGATCCTCAACTTAATGACATCTGCAAAGACCCTATTTCCAAATAAGGTTAAGTTCACAAGTACCGATGGTTAGGACTTGGACATATTTTTCTGGGGGACACGACTTCACCCACTACAGAAGGGTAACCGACTCACCCTATAAAGATAACAGGAAAATTCATCTAAATTCCAGCAAGGGCAGCTTAAGTTGGATGGCAGCTACGTCTTTCTGATGGCAAACACTGAGGATGGGAGAATCTATTCCTTGAATGCAGGTGAGGGACAAATGACCTCCAGAATCAACCTGATAACTCCCATACTAAGTTCACGTAGAAAAGCAAAGGGGCTGGACTCAATGGCTCTTGCATGTGATTCTTGCAATTTGAGAAGCCGAGGCAGAAGGATGACTTGAGCTCAGGAGTTCGAGATCAGCCTGGGCAACATAGTGAGAACCCATTTCTTAAAAAAAAAAAAAAAAAAAAAAAAAAAAAAATATATATATATATATATATATATATATATATATATATATATATAATTAGCTGTGCATGGTGGTGCACACCTGGCACACCTGCAGTCTCAGCAACTTGGGATACTGAGGTGGGATAATTGCTTGAGCCTGGGAGGTTGATATGGTTTGGATTTCTGTCCCCACCCAAATCTCCTGTAGAACTATAATCCCCAGTGTTGAGGGAGGGGCCTGGTGTGAGGTGACTGGGTCATGGGGGTGGACTTCCTCCTGGCTGTTGTTGTGCCAGTGAGTTTTCATGAGATCTGGTTGTTTAAAAGTATGTAGCCCCTCCCCCCTCTCTTCCTCCTGCTCCAGATATGGAACTTCAACTTCCACCATGATTGTAAGTTTCCTGAGGCCTTCCCAGCCATGCCTTCTGTACAGCCTGCAGAACCGTGAGCCAATTAAACCTGTTTTCTTTATAAATTACACAGTTGCAGGTATTTCTTTATAGCAGTGTGAGAATGGACTAATACAGAGATCGAGGCTACAGCGAGCTGTGATTGCACCAGTGCACTCCAGCCTGGACAATAAGCAAGACCCTATCTCAAAAAAAAAAAAAAAGAAAGAGAAAAGAAAAGGGGATTGCAGCAGTCACTGAGGGCTAGAGGAAAATGTCATTGAATGACTACAAGCAGCAAAACTCCCCAATAATAAGGGCCACTGAAAAGACGACAATGGTAAAGGCACAAATGACAGTGGACTAAAGTCTCTCCTGTGCACACAACTTTCCACTCTCCAGGCTCCTCTTAGCAACCTGAGGCAGCATTAAGTGTTGTTGTTGTTGAGACGGAGTCTTGCTCTGTCATCCAGGCTGGAGTGCAGTGGCGTATTTTCAGCTCACTGCAACCTCCACCTCCCAGGTTCAAGCGATTCTCCTGCCTCAGCCTCTCGAGTAGCTGGGATTACAGGCATGCGCCACCACACCCGGCTAATTTTTGTATTTTTAGTAGAGACGGGGTTTCACCATGTTGGCCAGGCTGGTCTCAAACTCCTGACCTCTGGTGATCCACCTGCCTTGGCCTCCCAAATTGCTGGGATTATAGGCATGAGCCACCGCACCTGGTCTAAGTGGTTTTGATGTAAAAAAATGTATATACATATATATATACCTGTTCTACTGCAGGAATTCTAGTGCTGAAGAAAAAAAAAAGGACTCTTAGTTCAAAATGAATTTATATATTTAACTGTGACTTTCTAGGCTTCCTGTTAGATGTTTTCTTCTGAGGTCAAAGGCAACAAGAGCTAAATGAATCTCATTCTTACTAGAGTTTATTTGCTGTTATATTTTTTGGCAAAACCACTTTCAAAACAGTAATATCTGGAAAGGTTTTCAATTTTCCCTGAATTGAGTTCTCAGTGCCTTTCAAAGAGGAAATGACAGATAAGGACAGTGTATGAACTCAGGGATTTAAATAGGAACATCAGATACCTCCATGCCACCCCAGAGAAGAATTGAGGAGGGGTGTCAGGAGAGCGCAGCAGAGCCTCATTTGAAAGGCTGCATTGAAGTTCAAATTGCATTTTAATTTACTATGCCAGTTCAATTCCTCTTCCGTCCCAGCCCTGGGGGTTAGCCACACAAAAAGGAGGCACACTTCACAGTAACTCCCTCACAATACAGAAAATCCGATTGCAAGAGCGGGTCGCCCTCTGCAGGGCACGAAAGGATGTGAGCCTGGTCTCCGAGCCCTGAGGTTTCTTTCATGCAAGACTTCAAAAACAGCACAGTGATTCCTACACACTTCAAGAGACCATTTCCGCCTGGAATTTGTTAATTTGGTAAGCCATGAAGGATTAGAAGGCCAGAGGGCCATGGCTAAAACTTTTGCCTAGGCATTTGGAATTCATCTGAAGCTACTAGCTAAGGGTTGGTGGTGTTTGGTTGACTAGGGACATAGAAACAGTGGTGAGCATGGGTCCTGCAGGGACTCCACCTGGGTGAGAATCAGAGCATTTTCTTTTCTTTTTTTTTTTTCAGACAGCGTTTTGCTCTGTTGCCCGGGCTGGAGTGCAATGGCGCGATCTCAGCTCACTGCAACCTCTGCCTCCCAGGTTCAAGTGATTCTCCTGCCTCAGCCTCCCTAGTAGCTGGGATTACAGGCATGTGCCACCATGCCCAGCTGATTTTGTATTTTTTGTACAGACTGGGTTTCTCCATGTTGGTCAGGCTGGTCTCGAACTCCCAACCTCAGGTGATCCGCCCACCTTGGCCTCCCAAAGTGCTGGGAGTACAGGCGTGAGCCACTGCACCCAGCCGAATGAGAGCATTTTCCTTCCTTCCTTTCTTTTTCTGTCTTCCTTCCTTCTTCCTTCTCTCCCTCTCTCCCTCCCTTCCTTCCTTCCTGTCTTCCTTTTCTTTCTTTTCCTTCCTTCTCTCCTTCCCTCCCTCCCTTCCCTTCCTCCCTTCTTTTTTTTTGAGATGGAGTTTTGCTCTGTCGCCCAGGCTGGAGTGCACTGGCACAATCTCGGCTCACTGCAACCTCCGCCTCCCAGGTTCAAGCCATTCTCCTGCCTCAGCCTCCCGAGTAGCTGGGATTACAGGCGCGCACCACCATGCCCAACTAATTTTTGTATTTTTTTTAGTAGAGACAGGGTTTCACCATGTTGGCCAGGCTGGTCTCGAACTCCTGACCTCACGATCCACCCACCTCGGCCTTCCAAAGTGCTGGGATGGATCTTGTTCTGCTGCCCAGGCTGGAGTGCAGTGGCACAATCATAACTCACTGTAACCTTGAACTCCTAGGCTCAAGCAATCCTCCCATCTCAACCTCCTGGGTAGCTGGGACTACAGGTGCATGCCACCATGCCCAGCTAATTTTTATTTTATTTTTTGTAGAGATGGGGGTCTTGCTATGTTGCTCAGGCTGGTCTTGAACTCCTGGCCTCAAGCAATCCTCCCGCTTTTGCCTCCCAAAGTTCTGGGATTACAGATGTGAGCCACCACACCAGGCCCAGAATATTTCTTGACTAACAGACACCCTGGAAGCCATCATGGCCAAACCTTTATTTTCAGATGAGGATATTTGGTCCAGAGTGTCTATGACTTGCCTGCAGATGCCCACATGGGACCAGAATCTAGGTTTCTCTGTTGTCATCCTTCCTCAGACCCTGACAGGGCAAGCAACAAACTGGAGGAAAGAGGAAACCTTGGGAGAGAAAACCTGCCCAGGGGTCGGGCATCCTGGAGCTTGGCCTGGCCTTGTTTGACATAGGACTTTGCTAGGAGCTGAAAGCCCAGCTCGAATGTCTCATAAGAAAGTTGTGTTGTTTTATCCGGGCAAATCCTGGCTTGTTCCGGGTGTGCAGACTGTGCACAGCCAGTGTTGCTGAAGCTCTGTGTGATGCTGTGTTGGATTGGAGGTTCTGGGAGGGCACAGCTCTGTGGCTTTTGCTCTCTGGTGTATTCCTTTCCTCTACCCTACAGTAGGAGCTGGGGATTTGCAGAATTTATCCCAATAAGGAGGCATGCTTTAAACATTTTTCATACAGTTGGGGTGATTTTTACACTGATCTTTCTTGCCTGCTCCTCCTTATAACAAATAATTTAGTAGACAACTGGCCAAAGTTATAGGTGCTAGGTGAAGCTGTCTGGGAATGACACTGGGTACCTACTGAGTGAGCCAATACTGACAATGCTAGCATTTCTTGTGGTCCGCAGTCTTCATTAAAAGTAAAATTTTGCTGGGGTGTAGTGGCTCACGCTTGTAATCCCAGCACTTCAGGAGACTGAGGCAGGTGGATTCCTTAAGGCCGGGAGTTCAAGACCAGCCTGGGCAACATGATGAAACCTTGTCTCCACAAAAAATACAAAAATTAACTGGCATGATGGTGCACACCTGTAGTCCCAGCTTCTTGGGAGGCTGATGTGGGAAGATCGCTTGAGCCTGGGAGGCAGAGGTTGCAGTGAGCCAAGATCACACCACTGCACTCCAGCTTGGGCAACAAAGCAAGACTTTGTCTCACAAAAAATAAAAAAAATAAAAAATAAAATTTTGCCCAGCACAGCGGCTCACACCTGTCATTTCAGGACTTCGGGAGGACCATGTGGGCAAATTGCTTGAGCTCAGGGGTTACCAACCCGGGCAACATGGCAAAACTCTTTTTTTTCCGAGATGGAGTCTTGCTCTGTCGCTCAGGCTGGAGTGCAATGGCGTGATCTCAGCTCACTGCAACTTCCGCCTCCCGGGTTTAAGTGATGCTCCTGTCTCAGCCTCTGAAGTAGCTGGGATTACAGGCGTGCACCACCACCCCCAGCCAATTCTTTGTATTTTTAGTAGAAACGAAGTTTCACCATGTTGGCCAGGCTGGTCTCGAACTCCTGACCTCCTGATCTGCCCACCTCGGCCTCCCAAAGTGCTTGGATTACAGGCATGAGCCACTGCGCCAGGCCTGGCAAAACCCTGTTTCTACAAAAAATTCAAAAATTAGCCGGGTGTGATGGTGTGTGCCTGTAGCCACAGGCTGAGGTGGGAGGATCACTTGAGCCTGGGAGGTCTCAGGCTGCAGTGAAGTTGCAGTGAGCCAAGGGTCACACCACTGTGCACCAGCCTAGGACAACAGAGTGAGACCCTTTCTCAAAAAAAAAAAAAAAGGTAAAATTTTGGTGAAACTATTCTATGTGCCACTATAATGGTGGACACATGCCATATAGATTCGTCAAAATCCATAGAATCAAGAGTGAACCCTCGTGTGAACTAGGGACTTGGGGAGATGGTGATGTGTTAATGTGGGTTCATCAGTTGTAACAAACCCACTCTATGGAGGACGTTGATAGTCGGGGGGTTATGGGTGGGGGAGGAGGAATAGGGGATATGTGGGCACTCTATGCTTTCTGCTCAATTTTGCTGTGAACCTACACATGCTCTAAAAAATAATGTCTCTTTAAAAAAAAATTTTTTTTTGAGACAGGTTCTCTCTCTGTTGCCCAGGCTGGAGTGCAGTGGCATAAACTCAGCTCACTGCAGTCTTGACCTCCTGAGCTCAAGCAAACCTTCCACCTCAGCCTCCCAAGTAGCTGGAACAACAGGCAGTGTGTGCCTGGCTAATTTTTGTATTGTTTTATAGAGATGGGGTCCCACTATGTTGCCCAGGCTGGTCTGGAACTCCTGGGCTCAAATGATCTGCCCACCTCAGCCTCCCAAAGTGTGAGATTACAGGTGTGAGCCACCGTGCCGGGTTTCTTGTTTCTGCTTCTGACATGACATCATCACGTCTCCTTCTGTGACTCTGACCCTCCTGCTTCCCTCTTACAAGAGCCCCATGATGACACTGGGCCCACCCAGATAATCGAGGACAATCCCCTTCTCAAAATCATTAACTTCATCACAGCCATATAAGGTAACAGGCTCTGTGTATTAGGACATGGGCATCTTTGGGCACTCATGATTCTTTCCACCACACCCACCAAACAATTAAGTGCTAAATTATGTGAAAACTTTTTTTTTATTTTTTGGAGATAGGGTCACTCTGTTGCCCAGGCTGGAGTGCAGGGGCACACTCTCGGCTCACTGCAACCTCCGCCCTCCTGGGTTCAAGCAATTCTTGTACCTCAGCCCCCCGAGTAGCTGGGATTACAGGCGCCCACCACCACGCACGCTAATTTTTTTTTCGTAGAGATGGGGTTTCACCATGTTGTCCAGGCTGGTCTTGAATTCCTGAGCTCAAGCGATCCACCTGCCCTGGCCTCCCAAAGTGCTGGAATTACAGGCGTCAGACACCCAGCCCATGGAGACAGTTTTACTCAAAGAGATAAACTTGACCCATTCCAAACCGCAGCAGTCCCTTTTCAATTCTGAGTGCCTCAGAAGTCTTCAGACTCAGCTAACTCTTGCCACTCCCCACAACAGTGCTTCTCAGGGAGCCAGGGAGACAGTTTTGCTCCCAGGAGATACTTCACAACACCTGGGGTGGTTCCGGTTGTCATAACTTCAGGAGGGAGAGCTCCTGATATCTACTGGACAGAGGCTGGGAGCACTGCTCAACATCCTGCAATACACAGGACAGCCCCCCACGACGCCATACACAACCACAAAAAATGATGAACTCTGAATGTCAAAGGGGCTGGGCTGAGAAACCCTTCTGAGAATAGAGAGAGGATTGTCCAGGGAGCGCTGTAGCTCACACCTGCAATCCCAGCATTGTGGGAGACCGAGGCATGAGGATGGCTTGAGGAGTTCAAGACCAGCCTGGGCAACAAAGCAAGATCCCACCTCTACAAAAAAGAAAAAAAAATTAGCCAGACATGGTGGCACATACTACTAGTCCCAGCTACTTGAGAGGCTGAGGCAGGAAGATCGTTTGAGCCTAGGAGTTGGTGGCTGCAGTGAGTTATAATTGCACCACTGCACTTCAGCCTGGGCAGCAGTGCAAGACCCCATCTCCTAAAAAGAATCCCGGCTGGACGTGGTGGCTCACTCCTGTAATCCCAGCACTTTGGGAGTCTGCAGTGGAGGGATCACCTGAGGTCGGGAGTTCAAGACCAGCCTGACCAACATGGAAAAACTCCATCTGTACTAAAAATACAAAATTAGCTGGTCATGGTGGCAAATGCCTGTACCCCCAGCTACTCAGGAGGCTGAGGCAGGAGAATCGCTTGAACCTGGGAGGCGAAGGTTGTGGTGAACCGAGATGGCATCATTGCACTCCAGCCTGGACAAGAGTGATACTCTGTCTCAAAAAAAAAAAAAAAAAAAAAAAAAAGAATCCTAGCACTTTGGGAGGCCAAAGCAGGTGGATCACCTGAGGTCAGGAGTTTGAGAGCAGCCTAACCAATATGATGAAACCCCATCTCTACTAAAAAGACAAAAATTAGCCAGGCGTGGTAGTGTGCGTCTATAGTCCCAGCTATGTGGGAGGCTGAGGCAGGAGAATGGCTTGAACCTGGGAGGTGGAGGTTGCAATGAGCTGAGATCGCACCACTGCACTCCAGCCTGGCGACAAAGCTAGACTCCATGTCAAAAAAAATAAAAAAGAAAAAAAGAAACAAAGAAAGAAAGAAAAAGAGCAAGGCTCCAGGAACTAGGAAGGCCCGCAGCTGCTGCAGAATTGAAAACATGTGCCTTCAGATCAACCAGCAGCCTAAAAACCAGTGACAGGGACTCCGAGAGTGCATCTCTCTGACCCTGAAGACACACTGACTGTGTAACTCCCACCTCCCCCTTCTTAGACAGCATAGAGCGGCACTGACACTGAAGTCCCCTGCTTGGCACACACCCTGCTCCATTGATCACTTCTCCCCCACCACCTGGGACTGCTGGTTTATTTGCCCAGTGCTGGCACTTGAAGATACTTTATTGCCTTGAAATGTTTTTAACCTTGTTTTTCTTTGCATGAAATGAAATTAATTCTGAAGCTCCCCCAAGGTCATTTTTCATCTCTTCACTCCCGGCAACTCTGGTAAAGAGAGCTCTGAGGCCTTTCTTTGGCAGGCTCTGTCACTTTACCATTTTCAAACAGAAGTGTTAATTAATGCTTGCAGGCTCCACTGAGTTTAAATTGGCTTTACCGGCCAGGCGCCTTGGCTCCTGCCTGTAATCCCAACACTTTGGGAGGCCGAGGCGGGCGGATCACAAGGTCAGGAGTTTGAGATCAGCCTGGTCAACATGGTGAAACCCTGTATCTATTAAAAATATAAAAATTAGCCAGGTGTGGTGGCGGATGCCTGTAATCCCAGCTACTCGGGAGGCTGAGGCAGGAGAATCCCTTGAACCCGGGAGGCAGAGGTTGCAGTGAGCTGAGATCGCGCCACTGCACTCCAGCCTGGGCAACAGAGCGAGAATCTGTCTCAAAAAAAAAAAAAAAAAAAATTGGCTTTACTGTGAATACCTTGCAGTTTCCAACACAGAGAGACAAGTGGTAAAAAAAAAAAATCTGCACAGGACAGCGGGGTGTGGTGGCTCACACCTGTAATCCCAGCACTTTGGGAGGCCGAGGCAGGAGAATGGCTTGAACCTATGAGTTCAAGACCAGCCTGGGCAACATCGTGAGAGACCTTGTCCGTACAAAAAACAAACAAAATTAACCAGGCATGGTGGTCCACACCTGTGATCCCAGCTACTCAGGAGGCTGAGGTAGAAGGATCACTTGAGCGCCCGGAAATCAAGGCTGCAGTGAGATCATGCCACTGTACTCCAGCCTGGGCAACAGAGCAGGACCCTGTACCCAAAGAGGGGAGAAAAAAAAGATAGTTAACGAAAAACCAAACTCTGTAAAATGTTTTAAAGAGGTTTATTCTGAGCCAATAGGAGTGCCTGTGGCCTGGGGTAACAGTCTCAAAAAGGCTTAAGAAAGCGCACCAGAAGTGGTTGGGCTACATACAGTTGGTTTTTTTGTTTGTTTGTTTTCTGAGACAGAGTCTCGTTCTGTCACCCAGGCTAGAGTGCAGTGACACGATCCCGGCTCACTGAAACTTTTACCTCCTGGGTTCAAGTGATTCTCCTGCCTCAGCCTCCCGAGTAGCTGGGATTATAGGCACGTGCCACCACACCCAGCTGATATTTTATATTTTTGGAAGAGATGGGGTTTCACCATGTTAGCCAGGTTGGTCTAGAACTACTGACCTCAAGTGATCCACCTGCCTCGGCCTCCCAAAATTCTGGGATTACAGGCGTGAGCCACTGTCCCCGGCCTACAGTTTGATTTTATACATGGAAGATACACATTGGTTTAGTCCAAAAAGGTGGGATACCTTGAAGTAGGGGCTTACAAATCATAAGCAGATTCAGAGTTTTTTTTTTTGGTTTTTTTTTTTTTTTTTGAGGCAGAGTCTGTCACCCAGCCTGGAGTGCAGTGTCACAATCATAGCTCACTACAGCCTTGATTTCCCACGCTCAAGCAATCCTCCTGTCTCAGCCTCCCAAGTAGCTGAGACTATAGGAGCACGTCACCACACCCAGCTAATTTTTAAATTTTTTGCAGAAATGGGGTCTTGCCATGTTGTCCTGGCTGGTCTCCGACTCTTCAGCTCAAGCGATTTTCCTACCTTGGCCTCCTAAAGTACTGGGATTATAGGTGTGAGCCACCTTGTCCAGCTTCAAAGATTCTTTTTTTTTTTTTTTAAGACAGAGTCTCACTCTGTCGCCCAGGCTGGAGTGCAGTGACACGATCTCAACTCACTGCAACCTCCATCTCCTGGGTTCAAGTGATTCTTCTGCCTCAGACTCCCTAGTAACTGGGACCATAGGCACACACCACCACGCCTGGCTAATTTTTGTATTTTTAGTAGAGATGGGGTTTCACCCTGTTGACCAGGCTGGTCTCAAACTCCTGACCTCAAGTGATCTGCCTACCTCTGCCTCCCAAAGTGCTGGGATTACAGGCATGAGCCACCACACCTGGCCTACTCAGAGATTCTTTAATCTGCAATTGGTTAAAGGAACATAACTTTGTCTAAAAACTTGGAGTTAGCAAAGGCCAGGCACGGTGGCTCACACCTGTAATCCCAGCACTTTAAGGGAGGCCGAGGAGAGCGGATCACTTGAGGTCAGGAGTTCGAGACCAGCCTGGTCAAAACGGTGGAAGCTTGTCTCTACTCAAAATACAAAAATTAACTGGGGCGTGGTGGCAAACACCTGTAGTCCCAGCTACTTAGGAGGCTAAGGTGAAAGGATCACTTGAACCTGGGAGATGGAGGTTGCAGTGAACTAAAATCACACTACTGCACTCCAGCCTGGGTGACAGGGCAAGACTCCATCTCAATAAAAATAAATAATAAATAAATAAATAAAACTTGGGAGTTAGCAGAAAGGAATGTCCACTTTAAGCAGTCAACCACAATATGACCTGCACAATATGATGAGATTACAATGTGCTGGATGGCCTTCAGGCATCCCCTTGCCTGCCATGGCTTTATATCTTGTTTATAATTTGGTGTCTTATTGCCACAAAGAGGCTGTTTTGTCAGCCTCCCGATCTCTATTTTATTGTTAATGTTGGTAAGTTGTGGCTCCAAAAGAGAGGAGATATAACAAAGTGTGTCCAACCTCCCTTCCCGTCATAGCCAGGAACTCCATTTTATTTATTTGAGACACTCTCGGTCTGTCGCCCAGGCTGGAATGCAGTGGTGGCATCTCGGCTCACTACAGCCTCCACCTCCCAGGTTCAAGCGATTCTCCTGCCTCAGCCTTCTGAGTGGCTGGGATTATAGGTACCTGCCACCATGCCCAGCTAATTGTTGTATTTTTAGTAAAGATGGGGTTTCACCATGTTGACCAGGCTGGTCTCAAACTGATGACCTCAAGTGATCTGCCCGCCTCGACCTCCCAAAGTGCTGGGATTACAGTTGTGAGCCATCACGCGTGGCCAGGAACTCAATTTTAAATGTTTATCTAGGGTCCTCTTGGTCAACTGGGGGTGTTCTCGTTTGGTGAGGGGCTTAGGGTTTTTAGTTTACAGTGTCGTATGCTTAATTCAACTTCTGAAATTCTAGTTCGTCCGACTGTATTTAGTAAACACCTGGGAAAAGGCTCTGTGGAGAGGCAACTGAACACAAGTGCAGGGCAAGGAAGCCCATTCTGGAGCTGACTGTGCCACGCACCTGTTCTCTCAGGCAGGTTCCCCACCTCTCTGAGCTCCGTTCCTGAGCCATCACATGAGGATACGAATCCATCTCCTAACTGGGAGGCTCAAAGTAAGGATATACTTGAAAGGACTCTGAAAAGTCAGATTCTACAAATGCCATCTTATTCTACAGAGCAAGGCTGTGGGAGGAGACTTACCTTTCACTCAAAAGCACAGGCAACAGAAATTGCCTGGGAGACACAAAATTCCAGGGAGAGGATAAAGCCCAAACGTGAACTTCACCAAGCTGACCCAAGTCCTCACTGCAGTTCGGCTGACCCACCCTTGATTGGGCCACGTAATTTAACCACCTCCGTATCATATTGTGTCCGGAATTAGTGGGTTCTTCATCTCACTGACTACGAGAATGAAGCCACAGACCCCCGCGATGAGCGTTACAGTTCTTAAAGGCAGCGTGTCCAGAGTTTGTTCCTTCTGATATTCAGACGTGTTCAGAGTTTTTTCATTCTGGTGGGTTCGTGGTCTCACTAGCTCAGTAGTGAAGCTGCAGGCCTTTGCGGTGAGAGTTACAGCTCTTAAGGCAGCACTTCTAGAGTTGTTCGTTCCCCCCTGTGGGTTCCAGCTCTCCCTGACTTCAGGAGTGAAGCTGCAAACCTTTGTGGTACTATAACTCATAAAAGCAGTATGGACCCAAAGAGCAGACAGCAGCAATACCACAAACAGCAAAAGAACACAGCTTCCAAAAGACTTGAGGTGGTTGCCACTGCAGCATCGGGCAGCCTGCTTTTATTCTCTTATTTGGCCCCACCCACATCCTACTGATTGGTCCATTTTACAGAGAGCCGATTGGTCTGTTTTACAGACAGCTGATTGGTCCATTTTGACAGAGTGCTGATTGGTGCGTTTACAATCCCTGAGCTAGACACAAAAGTTCTCCAGGTCCCCACTAGATTAGCTAGATACAGAGTGTCGATTGGTGTATTTACAAACCCTGAGCTAGACACAGAGTGCTGATTGGTGCATTTACAAACCTTGAGCTAGATACAGAGTGCCAATTGGTGCATTCACAAACCCTTAGCTAGACATAAAGATTCTCCAAGTCCCCACCAGATTAACTAGATACAGAGCGCCAACTGGTGCATTCACCAACCCTAAACTAGACACAAGGTGCTGATTGGTGAGTTTACAAACCTTGAGCTAGATACAGAGTGCTGATTGGTGTGTTTACAATCCATTAGCTAGACATAAAGATTCTCCAAGTCCCCACCAGACTCAGGAGCCCAGCTGGCTTCACCCAGTGGATCCCACACTGGGCCGCAAGTGGAGCTGCCTGCCAGTCCCGCGCCATGCGCCTGCACTCCTCAGCCCTTGGGTGGTCGATGGGACTGGGTGCCCTGGAGCAGGTGGCGGCGCTCATTGGGGAGGCTCGGGCAGGGCAGGAGCCCACGGCGGGGGCGGGGAGGCTCAGACATAGCAGGCTGCAGGTCCGGAGCCCTGCCCCGCAGGGAGGCAGCTAAGGCCGGGCGAGAAATTGAGCACAGCAGCTGCTGGCCCAGGTGCTAAGCCTCTCACTGCCCGTGCCGGCGGGGCGGCGGGGCCGGGGGGCTGGCGGGCAGCTCCGAGTGCGGGGCCGCCCGTGCCCACACCCACCCGGAACTTGCCCTGGCCCGCAAGCACCACGCGCAGCCCCGGTTCCGCCTGCGCATCCCCCTCCATACCTCCCCCGCCACACCTCCCGCAAGCTGAGGGAGCTGGCTTCAGCCTTGGCCAGCCCAGAAAGGGGCTCCCACAGTGCAGCGGTGGGCTGAAGGGCTCCTCAAGCGTGGCCAGAGTGGGCAGCGAGGCCAAGGAGGCTCCAAGAGCGAGCGAGGGCTGAGAGGGCTCCCAGCACGCTGTCACCTCTCAATATCTGCACATAATAACAGGAATAAGGGCCGGGCGTGGTGGCTCACACCTGTAATCTCAGCACTTTGGGAGGCCAAGGCAGGCGGATCACCTGATGTCGGGAGTTCGAGACCAGCCTGACCAACATGGAGAAACCCCGTCTCTACTAAAAATATAAAATTAGCCAGGCATGCTGGAGCATGCCTGTAATCCCAGCTACTCGGGAGGCTGAGGTGGGAGAATGGTTTGAAACCAGGAGGCAGAGGTTGCGGTGAGCTGAGATCACGCAGTTGCACTCCAGTCTGGGCAACAAGAGCAAACTCCGTCTCAAAAAACAAACAGGAATAAGATTTGTTTCTTGCATTTGGGGTAAGGTATTTTAGCAAGGATAAAGCACTCTGCCAAAGTGGGTAGTATTTCCTCATATCTGGCAAGGCGTGGTGGCTCATGCCTGTAATCCCAGCACTTTGAGAGGCCGAGGCTGGTGAGTCGCATGAGGTCAGAAGTTCGAGATCAGCCTAGCTAACATGGTGAAACCCCATCTCTACTAAAAAATACAAAATTTAGCCGGGCATGGTGGCATATGCCTGTAGTCCCACTGCACTCCACCCTGGGCCAGAGTGAAACCCCGTCTCAAAAAATGGTGAAAAAAAAAAAAAAGGCCAGGCACAGTGGCTCATGCCTGTAATCCCAGCACTTTGCGAGGCCAAGGCAGGCAGATCACCAGAGGCCAGGAGTTTGAGACCAGCCTGTCCAAAATGGTGAAACCCTGTTTCTACTAAAAATACAAAAAATTAGCCGGGAGTGGTGGCAGGTGCCTGTAATCTCAGCTACTCAGGAGGCTGAGGCAGGAGAATCGCTTAAACCCAGGAAGTGGAAGCTGCAGTGAGCTGAGATCGCACCATTGCACTCCAGCCTGGGCAACAAGAACGAAACTCTATCTCAAAAAAAAAAAAAAAAAAAGAGAAAAAAGTATTTCCTCGCATCTCACCTAGTCAAAACCCAGGGCCCACATACCCTACCTATCCCATGCATGTGAGACGCTCACACTATCAACATAAAAAGTCCCTTAGTATCACCTCATTACCAATAGCAGCACAACAACAAGTCAAGTTAGAGGTGAAGCTCAGCTCACCAATCAGGTTATTCTGATTTGGATCAGTTAGAAGGAAAGGTAGGAGAGGCTCAATATCTTGAAAACAATGCTCATTTGCATACATGGATAAATACTTAATGGCCCAGCATGAGTTCCATCAATACAGAGGCAGTGTGTATTCACTCCTGTGTTCCGTGAATAGATCTTCTCTTGGTGCCCTAAATTACATTTCCTATAATCATGTTAACAAAAAGGACAGATGTGTAGAACAATCTATCAGAGGCAGTCATAAAAGTATTTAAAGTCTCTGTTGCCAGAAAAAGGGGTCCCTACCCAGACCCTAAGGGAGGGTTCCTGGATCTTGTGCAGGAAGGAATTCAAGGCAAGTCACAGAGTGCAGTAAGAAGAGATCACTGGCCAGGCGCAGTGGCTCATACCTGTCATTTCCCAGCACTTTGGGAGGCCAAGGCAGGTGGATCACGAGGTCAGGAGTTCAAGACCAGTCTGTCCGAGATGGTGAAACTCTGTCTCTCCTAAAAATACAAAAATTAGCTGGGCGTGGTGGCGGGCACCTGTAATACCAGCTGCTTGGGAGGCTGAGGCAGGAGAATCACTTGAACCCGGGAGGCAGAGGTTGCAGTGAGCCAAGATTGCGCCGCTGCACTCCAACCTGGTTGACAGAGCAAGACTGCATCTCAAAAAAAAAAAAAGAGAGAAAGATCATCTATTGAAAGCTACTCATTTTGCAAGTAAGGCTTACGATATAAAAAATAAAACTAATTTTTTTAAATAAATAAGTAAAGCTACTCAGTTAGGCGGGGCATGGTAGCTCACATCTGTAATCCCAGGACTTTGGGAGGCTGAGATGGGGGGATCCCTTAAGCCCAGAGTTCAAGACCAGCCTGGGCTACACAGCAAAACCCCATCTCTACAAAAAATACAAAAAATTAGCTGAGCATGGTTGTAACTGACCAACGGGCTCACCTTGCCCACGGCCTAGACAGAGCCAATTTATCAAGACAGGGGAATTTGCAATACAGACAGTGTAATTCAGGCAGAGCCGGCTGTGTGGGAAACCAAAGTTTTATTATTACTCAAATCAGTCTCCCTGAGCATTCTGGGATCACAGTTTTTAATTCAGGATAATTTGGTGGGGGTGGGAGGGAAGGCCATTGAGTCAAGAGTGCTGACTGTTGGGTCAGAGATGAAATCATGCAGAACTGAAGCTGTCCTTTTGTGCTGGAGTCAATTCCCAGGTCAGGGGCCATAAGATCAGATGGGCCATTTTATCGATCTGGGTGGTGCCAGATGATCCATCGAGTGCAGGGTCTGCAAAACATCTCAAACACTGATCTTAGGAGCAGTTTAAGGAGGGTCAGAATCTTGTATCCTCCAGCTGCATGACTCCTAAACCATAAATTCTAATCTTGTGGCTAATTTGTTAGTCCGACAAAGGCAGTCTAGTCTCCAGGCAAGAAGGAACTTTGTTTTGGTAAAGGGCTGTTATCGTCATTGTTTTAAACTATAAACCAAGTTCCTTCCAAAGTTAGTTCGGTCTGTGCCCAGGAATGAATAAGAACAGCTTGGAGATGCAAAGCAAGATGGAGTTGGTTAGGTCAGATCTCTTTCACTGTCTCAGTTATAATTTTGCCATGGCACTTTCAATCTCTTGCTTTGGGTTTTTTTTTGTTTGTTTTGTTTTTGTTTTTGTTTTTTTGAGACGGAGTCTCACTCTGTCACCCAGGCTGGAGTGCAGTGGCACGATCTCACCTCCTTGCAACCTCTGCCTCCCGGGTTCACACCATCCCCTTCCTCAGCCTCTCGAGTAGCTGGGACTACAGGTGCCTGCCACCACGCCCGGCTAATTTTTTGTATTTTTAGTAGAGATGGGGTTTCACCGTGTTAGCCAGGATGGACTCGATCTCCTGGCCTCGCTTTGGGTTTTATAACACCTTAATCTTAAGGTGTTGGCTAATGAATATGGAAAAAGGGTGAAGACTGCTCTAACTTCTTCCTGCTGATCATGGGTGTAATGGGGGTAGGTGCTGACCCCAAGGTGAGAGGAGTGGAACTCCTTTGCAATTGTCTGAGTGTACTCATGCGGTAGCTGGGATTACAGGTGCATGCCACCATGCCCAGCTAATTTTTGTATTTTTAGTAGACAGAGGGTTTCACCATGTTGGCTAGGCTGGTCTTGAACTCCTGACCTTAAGTGATTTGCCTGCCTCGGCCTCCCGAAGTGCTGGGATTACAAGTGTGAGCCATGTGCCCAGCCCTCCACTGTACGGATAAACCACATTTTATACATTTACACGTGGATGGCATGTCAACTGTTTCTAGTTTTTGACTATTATAAATAACGCTGCTCGGAACACTCAAGTGCATGACTTTGTGAAAGTAAATTTCTAAGAGTTAGAGTTGCTGAGTTGTATGGTCGGTTTATGTGTAATATTTTGAGAAACTGCCAAATTGTTTTCCAAAATAGATGTACCATTTTACATTCTTGTTAGCCATATGTGAGGGTTCCAGTTTCTCCAAATCTTCATCAATACTTGTTATTATCATTTTTATGACAGTAATTGTTTTTGTTGTTGTTGTTTTTGAGACAGAGTTCTGCTCTGTCACTCAGGCTGGAGTGCAGTGGCACAATCGGGACTCACTGCAACTTCTGCCTCCTGGCTTCAAGCGATTCTCCTGCTTTAGCCTTCCGAGAAGCTGGGATTACAGGTGCCCACTACCACACCTGGCTAATTTTTTTTGTATTTTAGTAGAGATGGGCTTTCACCAAGTTGGCGAGGCTGGTCTTGAACTCCTGACCTAAAGTGATCCGCTCACCTTGGCCTCCCAAAGTGCTAAGTGTGAGCCACCGTGCCCAGCCCAGTAATTGCCTCAGAGGCATCTGAAACCAGAGCGACTCTATCTTGAATAGGGGGTGGGTAAAATGAGGCCAAGACCTAATGGGCTGCATTCCCAGGAGGTCAGGCATTCTTAGACACAGGATGAGACAGGAGGTCAGCAGGACTGGTATCACAAGATACAAGTCTTAAAGACCCTGCTGATAAAACAGAATGCAGTAAAGAAGCCAGCCAAACCCACCAAAAGCAAGATGGTAACTAAAGTGACCTCTGGGCCAGGCACGGTGGTTCAGACCTGTAATCCCAGCACTTTGGGAGGCCAAGGCAGGTGGATCCCTGAGGTCAGGAGTTTGAGACCAGCCTGGTCAACATGGTGAAATCCTGTCTCTACGAAAAATGCAAAATTAGCCAGGCGTGGTGGTGCATGACTGTAATCCCAGCTACTCGGGAGCCTGAGGTAGGAGAATTGCTTGAACCTGGGAGGCGGAAGTTGCAGTGAGCTGAGATCATGCCATTGCACTCCAGCCTGGGTGACAGAGTGAGACTTGGTCTCAAAAAAAAAAAAAAAAAAATGCTGCTCTGCCTATGCAGTAGCTATTATTTCTTTTTCTTCCTTTTTCTTTTCTTTTCCTTTTTTTTTTTTTTTTTTTTTTGAGACAGAGCCTTGCTCTGTGCCCCTGGCTAGGAGTGCAGGCCATGATCTCAGATCGCTGCAACCTCTGCCTCCTGGGCTCAAAGCTGGAACTACAGGTGCATGCTACCAAGCTTGGCTAATTTTTTAAGTTTTTTGTAGAGACGGAGTTTTGCCATGTTGGCCAGGCTGGTCACGAACTCCGGGCCTCAAGTGATCCACTCTCCTCAGCCGCCCGAAGTGCTGGGATTACAGACGTGAGGCACCACACCCGGCTGGAGTAGCCATTCTTTTATTCCTTTTTTTTTTTTCAGACCGAGTCTCCCTCTGTTGCCCAGGCTGAAGTGCAGTGTGCCATCTCGGCTCACTGCAACCTCTGCCTCTCAGGTTCAAGCGATTCTCCTGCCTCCACCTCCCAAGTAGCTGGGATCACAGGCACGTGCTGCTGCGCCCAGCTGATTTTTATATTTTTGGTACAAATGGGGTTTCATCATGTTGCCCAGGCTGGTCTTGAACTCCTGACCTCAGGTGATCTGCCTGCCTTGGCCTCCCAAAGTGCTAGGAATACAGGTGTGAGCCACTGCACCCAGTCTGAGTATGGTATTAATAGAAGGATAAATACAGGAAATTCTAAGTATACCCTCTACACTGAAACATAGAAACACATCTTAAGGTTATTTTACTGCAGTCAATCAGTTCTGTAGCAGCAAGAAAAGTGTATAGACAGCTATGCACTGCCCTCACTGTTCTGTAGCCAGACAACAAATAATAATGTACCATTAAAGGGCTTTTTCAAACAGGTTATTATGTGTGTCATTTTCTTTCTTGAAAAAAAGATTAATAGCAGCAACAATCCATTGCGAGTTGGCTATTACCCACAGACAAATGGCCACACCAATACAAAGAGACTACAGCACAAAGGAGAAGGCTGTTTAATTGGAAAGGATTTCATAGGTGACCATTACAGAGGCAATGCTTCCCTCTGTGCCAAATTAAGTGATTCCTTACTGGACACTTAAGCCAGCTTTTGGACTTTTTACCTCCCTTAAGGATACCACTTCAGTACTAGCTCCAAGAAAACCCTTTTAGCCAGATACTTAGTAAAAAGAGAAAATAGCAAAACCGAAGGCTAAGCCAGGCACAGTGGCTCACACTTGTAATCCCATCACTTTGGGAGGCCGAGGCAGGTGGATCACTTGACACCAGGAGTTCGAGACCAGCCTGGCCAACATGGTGAAACCCGTCTCTACTAAAAATACAAAAATTAGCTGGGAGTGGTGGCGGGTGCCCGTAATCCCAGCCACTTTGGAGGCTGAGGCAGGAAAATCACTTGAACCCAGGAGGCAGAGGTTGTAGTGAGCCAAGATCACACCACAGTTCTTCAGCCTGGGCAACGGAGGGAGACTCGGTCTCAAAAAAAAAAAAAAAAAAGGAAAAAGAAAAAGAAAAAAAGAGAAGAAAAGGCTATAGGAGTGGCTGGAATAGCAAGAAGAAATGCAGGAGAAATCATGGGGAAAGGGGGTATGAGATGATGCATCTGATCAGATAATAAAACATGCTGGAGTTTTTTTCCCCTAATAGAATATTTAGGTGACTTGTAAGCTTTAAGCTTTGGGCAAGGTTGGGGGTGGGAACAAGGTGGGAGAAGAGAAATGCTTTGCAATAATGTTTGGGACACAGAGGTGTGGTTCTGCGATATAATTAGGAACCATGAGCCCAGCGCAGTGGCTCACGCCTGTAATCGCAGCACTTTGGGAGGCCGAGGTGGGTGGATCACTTGAGGTCAGGAAACCCAGTCTCTACTAAAAATACAAAAAATTAGCCGGGCGTGGTGACACATACCTGTAATCCCAGCTACTCAGGAGGCCAAGGCAGGAGAACTGCTTGAATCCAGGGGGGCAGAGGTTGCATTGAGCTGACATGGCTCCAGCCTGCGTGACAGAGCAAGACTGTGTCTCAAAAATAATAATAAGGCAGGACGTGGTGGCTCACACCTGTAATCCCAGCACTTTGGGAGGCTGAGGTGTGTGGATCACTTGAGGTCAGGAGTTCGAGACCAGCCTGGCCAACATGGTGAAAGCCCATCTCTACTAAAACTACAAAAATTAGCCAGGCATTGTGGTGGGCACCTATAATCCCAGCTACTTGGGAGGCTGAGGCACGAGAGTTGCTTGAACTGGGAGGCAGGGGTTACAGTGAGCCAAGATCGTGACAATGCACTCCAGCCTGGGTGACAGAGTGAGATTTTGTCTCAAGAGTTCCCTAAGTTTTAAATGTTCTCCAAGATTCCTTCTGTGTCTACATCTTATGATTCTGAATCTATTGCATTTCCATATTTTCTTTTTTTTTTTTTTTTTTTGAGATGGAGTTTCACTCTTGTTGCCTAGGCTGGAGTACACTGGTGCGATCTTGGCTCACTGCAACCTCCGCCTCCTGGGTTCAAGCAATTCTCCCGCCTCAGCCTCCCGAGTAGCTGGGATTACAGGCATGTGCCACCATGCCTGGCTAATTTTGTATTTTTCGTAGAGACGGGGCTTTGCCACGTTGGTCAGGCTGGTCTCGAACTCCTGACCTCAGGTGATCCTCCTGCCTCAGCCTCCCAAAGTGTTGGGATTACAGGCATGAGCCACCATGCCCTGCCTCATTTCCTTATTTTCTAAATCATAATAGAGCAACAGCTCACTGGTTGCTAACCACTTCCCGAGAGTCACCTTGAGGCTCAGACCTTTACTAGATGTGATATAATAAGAAATATATTTGGTCTTTGTCCTCAGTGGCACAGAACTCCTACAAGCCTTGGAATTTCCTGAAAGACAGGAGTGTCTTTGGTTGTTATGAGCCTCTCTGATAACACATGTACTGAGGTGACAAAGGGTGGGGTCCCCATATAGTCTCACAAATGACTGGTCACCAGAAAGACCAAGTGATTAGAAGGTTGGGCGTTTCATCCCACCCACTGATCTCCTGAAAGGGCAGGGAGGAGGCTGCCATTAAGCTGCATAAAATCTCTCAAATCTGGAGACGTGATGAGCTTCGAGGTTGGTGAATACATGGGGTGCTGGGAGGGTGGCATCCCTGGACGGGGCATAGAGGCTTTGCATCCCCACCCCAAGCTCACCTTACACATCTCTTCCATTTGGCTCTTCTTGAGTTGTATCCTCTACAATAAACTGGCAATTTTAAGTAAATTGTTTTCCTGGGCCAGGCATGGTGGCTCCGACGTGTAATCCCAGCACTTTGGGAGGCTGAGGTGGGAGGATTGCTTGAGCGTGGGAGTTCAAGACCAGCTTGAGCAACATAGTGAGACCCCATCTCTACATAAATTTATTTAAAACATTAACCGGGCGTGGTGGTGCGCACCTGTGGTTCCAGCTACTCGGGAGGCTGAGGTGGGAGGATCACGTGAGCCCAGGAGTTTGAGGCTGCAGTGAACTATGATAGCACCACTGCACTCCAGCCTGGGCAACAAAGTGAGACCCTGTTTCAAAAAAAAAAATGTTTTCCTGAGTTCTGCAAGCCATTCTAGCAAATTATCAAATATGAGCTGGGGATTATAGGAACTCCCCTCCCTTTACAGCTGGTCAGTAAGAAGTATGGACGGCCTGGATTTAGGACTGGCATCTGAAGTAAGTGGGGGTAGTGTCAGAGGCATTTGAACTGGGGCAACTCCAACTTAAATAGGGGCTGGGTAAAATGGGGCTGAGACCTGCTGCCCCGCATTCCCAGGATGTCAGGCATTCTTAGTCACAGGATGAGACAGGAGGTCCTCAGGACTGGTATCACAAGATACAGGTCATAAAGACCCTGATAATAAATACAACAGGATGCTGTAAAAGAAAAAGAGCCAGCCCAAACCCACCAAAACCAACACAGCGACTAAAGGGAACTTTAGTCATCCTCAACCTCATTATATGCTAAGTATAACATATTAGCATACTAATAGACACTCCCACTAGAGCCGTGACAGTTTACAAATGCCGTGGCAATGCCCAGAAGTTACCCTATATCCCTATATTGCTTAAAAAGGGAGGAACCCTCAGTTCTGGGGCTTGCTCGCTCCTTTTCCAGAAAACTCTTAAAAAATCCATCCCTTGCTTAGCAACTGATCAAAAAACAACCTTAAAATAAACCAACAGTCCTCAGGGCTACTCTGTCTATGGAGTAGCCATTCTTTTGTTTCTTTACTTTCTTTTCTTTTTTCTTTTTTCTTTTTTAATTGAGGAAGAGTCTCGCTCTGTCGCCCATGCTGGAGTACAGTGGTGCGATCTCAGCTCACTGCAACTTCCACCTCCTGGGTTCCAGCAATTCTCCTGCCTCAGCCTCCCAAGTAGTTGGGACTACAGGCGCCTGCCACCACAGCTGGCTAATTTTTTGTATTTTTAGTAGAGATGAGTTTCCACCATGTTGGTCAGGCTGGTCTCGAACTCCTGACCTCGTGATCTGCCTGCCTCGGCCTCCCAAAGTGCTGCAATTACAGGCATGAGCCACCGTGCCCAACCGAGCCTCAGCTTTCCAAGTAGCTGGGGCTACAGGCTCGTGCCACCATATCCAGCTAATTTTTTTTTTTTTTTTTTTGGTATTTTTAGTAGAGATGGGGTTTCACCATGTTGGCCAGGCTGGTCTCAAACTCTTGACCTCAGATCCACTTCGGCCTCCAAAGTGCTGGGATTACAGGCATGAGCCACCGTGCCCAGCCTCGGAATTCTTTCTTGTGTGAAATCCAAGAACCCTCTCTTGGAGTCTGCATCAGGATCCCTTTCTGGTAATGGTAGTCTTGTGGGACTGAGACCTTACTTAACCTGTGAGGGTCGGTGCTAACTCCTGGTAGTGTCAGGATTGAACTGAATTGTTGAACACCCAGCTGGTGCTGCAGAGTCGGCTGGTGTGGAAGAGAAACCCCCAGAGATTTGGTGTTGGAAGTCATCAGACTAGTCAATGTCGAGGATATTAGACTGTAGACTGTACGATGTAGACTGTAAATGACAGTCCTTCCCCCCAAGAGTTAATATAGTTGTGAGAACAAGAAAAACACATGGGGGAAAAGGAAGCAATGCAAGATGAGGTGTGATTCAGTCTGTGGGAACTTCACTAAAGTCAGGAAAAGGCTGCTGTGGTCCGAAAAGGCTTCACAGGGAGGTGGGACTTATGCCAGGTCCTGAAGATGAATAGGATTTGGATAGAAGGAAGGAGAAAGAGAGGTCATTCCACAAAGAAATACAATATGAACAAAGGCAGAGATGTTGAAGTAAAATGTATTCATGAAACAAGAATAAAATAAATGTGTCTACAGAAAAGGGTATGTTTTGGAGACTGGCATGGTTTTAGAGTCTTGAAGTTTTGGTTTTGCATGGAGCAGGTATGGTTTTGCAGGATGAGGTTTTAGGAATTGTTCAGTGTCAGGCAAAGAAGTATGGGCCTGATCGGCCAGGCGTGGTGGCTCACACCTGTAATCCCAGCACTCTGGGAGTCTGAGACAGGTGGATCACGAGGTCAGGAGATCGAGACCATCCTGGCCAACATGGTGAAACCCCGTCTCTACTAAAAAAATACAAAAAAAAAAAAAAAATTAGCCGGGCGTGGTGGCGGGCACCTGTAGTCCCAGCTACTCAGGAGGCTGAAGCAGGAGAATGGTGTAAACCCGGGAGGTGGAGCTTGCAGTGAGCTGATCTGGTAGGAAATTAGAAAGCACCACCATTTTCTGAATGGAGAAATTTAATCAAAATTACAACATCCCTCATCTTCCACTGATTGTCAACATCATGAAAGATGTGTAGTCATCCCAGTCATCCCTCAGATACCAAAACCTGCAGATGCTCAAGTCCTTGATATAAAATAGCATAGTATTTGCATATAACCTACACACATCTTCCTGCATACTTTATAATTTTTTTTTTTTGGGAGATGGAGTCTCGTTCTGTCACCCAGGCTGGAGTACAGTGGTGCAATCTCAGCTCACTGCAACCTCCATCTCCCAGGTTCAAGCAATTCTCCTGACTCAGCCTCCCAAGTAGTTGGGATTACAGGCTCACGCCACCACGTCTGGCTAATTTTTTTTTTTTTTTTTTTTGGTAGAAACAGGTTTTCGCCATGTTGGCCAGGCTGGTCTCGAACTCCTGACCTTGGGTGATCCGCCCGCCTCAGCCTCCCAAAGTGCTGGGATTACAGGCATGAGCCCGTAATTACTACAATTCTAGATTACTTACAATACCTAATACAATGTAAATGCTATGTAAATAGTTGTTATACACCATTGTTTAGGGACTCATAAGAAAAAAAGTCTGCACATGTTCAGTACAGATACAATTTTTTTCCCCATATTTTCGATCCATGGTTGTTTGAACCTACAATACAAAATGGTTATGGAGGACTGACTGTGGTTAAGAGTACATTTTCGGCTGGGTGTGGTGGCTCATGCCTGTAATCCCATCACTTTTGAAGGCCGAGGCAGGTGGATCACGAGGTCAGGAGCTCGAGACCAGCCTGGCCAGGATGGTGAAACCCCGTCTCTACTAAAAATACAAAAAAAATTAGCTGGGCATGGTGACGGGCACCTGTAATCCCAGCTACTTGGGAGACTGAGGCAGGAGAATCGCTTGAACCTGGGAGGTGGAAGTTGCAGTGAGCCCAGATCACACCACTGCACTCCAGCCTGAGTGACAGAGTGACACTCCATCTCAAAACAAAAAAAAAAAAAAAAAAAAAAAAAAGAGTACATCTTCTTCAGATTTTTTTTTTTTTTTTTTTTGAGACAGAGTTTTGCTCTGTCGCCAAGGTTGAAGTGCAATGGCATGATCTTGGCTCACTGCAACCTCTGCTTACCAGGTTCAAGTGATTCTCCTGCCTCAGCCTCCTAAATAGCTGGGATTACAGGTGCCTGCCACCACGCCTGGCTAATTTTTTTTTTTTCTTTGAGACGGAGTCTCGCTCTTTCACCCAGGCTGGAGTGCAGTGGCGTGATCTAGGCTCACTGCAACCTCCACCTCCTGGGTTCAAGCAATTCTCCTGCCTCAGTCTTCTGAGTGGCTGGGATTACAGGTGCGCTCCACCACGCCCGGCTAATTTTTTAGTAGAGACGGGGTTTCACCATGTTGGCCAGGCTGGTCTCGAACTCCTGACCTCAGGTAATCCACCCACCTCAGCCTCCCAAAGTGCTGGGATTACAGGTGTGAGCCACCACACCCAGCCCAGATGAGATTTTTAAAAATCCATCTCTCCTTGTATTAGCTTGCTACTGCTGCTATAGCAAATTATCACATTGAGTGGCTTAAAGGCAACACAATTTTATTATCTTACACTTCTGGAGGTCAGAAGTGCAAGACGGGTCTCCTGGGGCTAAAAGTAAGGTGTCAGCAAGGCTGCTGCATTGTTCCTGGAGGCTCTAGGGGAGAAACTGTTCCTTTGCCTCTTCCACCTCCTAGTGGCCACCTAGATTCTATGGCTTGTGGTCCCTTCCACTGTCTTCAATGCCAGCAACAGCAGACTGAATCTTTGTCCCAATGCATCACTTTGACTCTGACCCTGACCCTCCTGCCTCCATCTTCTGTTGTGGGAAGTCAGGGACCCCGAATGGAGGGACCGGCTGAAGCCATGGCAGAAGAACACGGATTGTGAAGATTTCATGGACATTTATTAGATCCCCAAATTAACACTTTTATAATTTCTTATGCCTGTCTTTACTGCAATCTCTGAACATAAATTGTGAAGATTTCATGGACACTTATCACTTCCCCAATCAATACCCTTGTGATTTCCTATGCCTGTCTTTACTTTAATCTCAATCCTGTCATCTCGTAAACTGAGGAGGATGTATGTCGCCTCAGGACCCCGTGATGATTGCGTTAACTGCACAAATTGTAGAGCATGTGTGTTTGAACAATATGAAATCTGGGCACCTTGAAAAAAGAACAGGATAACAGCAATGTTCAGGGAACAAGACAGATAACCTTAAACTCTGACCGCTGGTGAGCCGGGCGGAACAGAGCCATATTTCTCTTTTTTCAAAAGCAAATGGGAGAAATATTGCTGAATTATTTTTCTCAGCAAGGAACAGCCCTGAAAGAGAATGCGGCCCTGAGGGTAGGCCTCTAAAATGGCCCCCTTGGGTGTGGCCATCTTCTATGGTCGAAACTGTAGGGATGAAATAAGCCCCAGTCTCCCATAGTGCTCCCAGGCTTATTAGGACGAGGAAATTCCCGCCTAATAAATTTTTGATCAGACTGGTTGTCTGCTCTCAAACCCTGTCTCCTGATAAGATGTTATCAATGACAATGCGTGCCCGAAACTTCATTAGCAATTTTAATTTCGCCCATCCTGTGATCTCGCCCTGCCTCCATTTGCCTTGTGATATTCTATTACCTTGTGAAGCATGTGATCTCTTTGACCCACACCCTATTCATACACTCCCTCCCCTTTGAAAATCACTAATAAAAACTTGCTGGTTTTGCAGCTTGTGGGACATCAAGGAACCTACCGACATGTGATGTCTCCCCCAGATGCCCAGCTTTAAAATTTCTCTCTTTTGTACTCTGTCCCTTTATTTCTCAACCCGGCGGATGCTTAGGGAAAATAGAAAAGAACCTACATGACTATTGGGGGCAGGTTCCCTGATAATCTTCCACTTTAAGGACCTGACATTATATTGGGCCCATTCAGCTAATTCCAGATAATCTCCCCATCTCAAGGTGAGCTGATTAGCAGCCTTAATTGCACCTGCAACCTCAATTCCCCGTTACCATGGAACTAACATATTCACAGGTTCCAGCAATCAGGACATGGACAAATTTAGGCGGGTCCTTATCTGCACTTACCTGCTCTGCCATCTTGGATATGTTACTTGATCTCTCTGTGCCTTGGTTTTCTCATCTATAAAATGGGGATAATGGTTTCTAGTTGATAATTACTTGTAACATGCTTTAAAGAGAGCCCGGAAAAAAAAAAAAGAAAGAAAAGAAAAATAAAAGAACGCCTACACCGGGTGCAGTGGCTCATGCCTGTAATCCTAACACTTTGGGAGGCTGAGATGGGTGGATCACTTGAAGTCAGGAGCTCGAGACCAGCCTGGACAACATAGTGAAACCCCCTCTCTACTAAAAATACAAAAATTAGCTGGATGTGGTGATGCAGACCTGTAATCCCAGCTACTCAAGAGGCTGAGGCAGGAGAATTGCTTGAACCCTAGAGGCAGAGGTTGCAGTGAGCCAAGATAGTGCCACTGCACTCCTGCCTGGGCAATATAGTGAGACTCTGTCTCAAAAAAAAAAAAGGGTGCCTGGTATGTAGGTAAGCACTCAATATATATTAGTGATGTCTCTAGCAGAGAAAATTCGCTTTGGAAGGTCAGGCCGTGGAGGGCACCATGGCACTGTATGAAATGTGCTGGGCTCATCTAGCATATTAAGGATTCAGTGTTGAATAGACGTGAGTGCCCTGCACTGGGCTATTCTTCTTTCACTGGTTTCAATGGTTTCTGATCCAGAAAGGGATAAAATGAAAGAGTTGATCTCTCGGGGCGGGGGGGAACACAAAGAAAAAAGAAAAAAAAAAAACAAGCAAAAAACCAAAACCAGCTGTATAGCAAACCCAAAGCGCTTCATTCTGCAAAATAATGGGACAGGCCAAAATGGTTCCTAAGTCAAAGGGTTTGCCAGAGCCAAGGCAATGTTCTTTAGTGGAAAGCAAGCTCTGGCTGCCAAACAAATCATTTCCTGCAGAATAGGGTACAGCTTGGGGGGCAGCCACCTGTGGGAGGAGAGCCAGCCCAGACACCCCGTGCGGCTCCCCCACGGCACATGGATTCAGCAGGCTACCTCCCCAGCGCGCCAACCACAAAGAAGTAGAGAAGAAAACATCTGTTTTTTCCTCAACATGTTCTCACAGTGTCTACAATATGAGTCATCAAATTGCTTTCGGTTCAGTGACAATTATCCCAAAAGATCCCTTTCTAAGATATAAAACTGAGAAAACTAAACCAATTTAAAAAAAAAAGTTAAACAGGCTTAGAATGTAAACAAAAAAGACTGAAGAATTGGAAATATCTGACAACATTTTCAGGAAGTAAAAGAAAGAGGACCTGTGAATTGAAACGAAGTCAAAAATAAATGCTCAAAGGAGCCTCCTCTGGACTAGACTTCTCTAAAGCTGCAATCTGCTTGTTCTCTAAATTATCACACAGAAATAGGGCAGAACTACTCTTGATAAGAACATCAAAACTTCCAGATTTAATAGCAGCTCAGAAAACCAGTAAATCATAGCCCAATGCTGCAGGGAGGTGTCCAGGGCACATTCACACTATTTGCACACAAAGTTAAAAAGAAGGTCAAGTTTGACCTTCTACCTTCACACAAATATACATCCTAGTATTAAGATTTAGTATATTGTTGATCAAGGACCAAAAAACACACAAAACACACAAAATGTCAAGTTAGAATATTTCTTTTTTTTTTTTTTGAGATGGAGTCTGGCTCTGTCGCCCAGGCTGGAGTGCAGTGGTGTGATCTTGGCTCACTGCAACCTCCACCTCCTAGGTTCAAGGAATTCTACTGCCTCAGCCTCCCGAGGAGCTGGGACTACAAGGTGTGTGCCACCACGCCCGGCTAATTTTTGTATTTTTAGTAGAGATGGGGTTTCACCATTTTGGCCAGGATGGTTTCGACCTCTTGACCTCGTGATCCCAAAGTGCTAGGATTATAGGCGTGAGCCACCACGCCCGGCCGAGTTAGACTATTTCTAGGGAATATGTTTCCAATATTTATCAAGAAATATGAGTTTTAGGCCGGGCACGGTGGCTCACGCCTGTAATCCCAGCACTTTGGGAAGCTGAAGCAGGTGGATTGCTTGAGCCCAGGAGTTCAAGACCAGCCTGGCCAACACGGCAAAACCTGTGGTGGGTATGGTGGCGCGCACCTGTAATTCCAGCTACTCGGGAGGCTGAGGCACGAGAATTGCTTGAACCCAGGAGGCAGAGGTTGCAGTAAGTTGTGATCACGCCACTGCCCTCCAGCCTGGGCAACAGAGTGAGATGGTGTCTCAAAAAAAAAAAAGAAAGAAAGAAATATGAGGCCGAGGCCGAGCATGGTGGCTCATGCCTGAGGTCAGGAATTTGAGACCAGACTGGCCAACATGGTGAAACCCTGTCTCTACTAAAAATACAAAAATTAGCTGGGCGTGGTGGCTCATGCGTCAAGAGGCTGAGCCAGGAGGATCACTTGAACCCAGGAGGCAGAGGTTGCAGTGAGCCAAGATCACGCCACTGCACTCTAGCCTGGGCAACAGAGTGAGACTCTGTCTCAAAAAAAAAGAAAAAAAAAAAAAAGAAAAGAAATGTGAGTTGTAGAGAAAAGAGTTGTCTAATTATTTTACATGCTGGAAACCCAACCAAAATAACCCAAACAAACAAGCCAAAGTAATTATGTTTTATTTTAATGAGACATTAACTTTTCAAAGTTAATTATCTCTTAACCAATAAACACAATCCATATTCACAACCATGTTGATGAACAAAACCAAACTCTGCAAGATATTTAAAGAGGTTTATTCTGAGCCAATATGAGTGACCATGGCTGGGAGAACAATCCCAAGAGGTCCTGAGAAAGTGTGGTCAGTTACAGCTTGGTTTTACACATTTAGGGAGACAGAAGTTGCAGGCCAAGACATAAATCAGTATGTTAGAGTAGGCAGTTAGGCAGAACTGAGCAGGGCAGGAGAGGGCCCCTATCAGGTCGTCAGGCAACCATCAGGTGATGGTCAGGCAGTTGTTAAACTGTGTCGCTAAAATGATAATTGGTTGCAGCTGGTTCCAGGGACCTGCAGTCTCCCAGTAGATAGAAAATACCTGGAGCTAGTGATCAGCAGCTTCCTGATAAGATCTCAGGAGCTAGGCGAGTCGGTTCAAACATGTGCACTAAGAGGCAAAATGGGAGTTTAACTGGTATATGACCTTCCTCTGGGAATGCTTGACTGGTAAGAGAAAAATGCCTCAAACGAGCATACACACAACTTCAGTAAACGCACTGCACATGCGGCCCCTCCCAAGTGCTGGCAGGTCACTGTGCATGCAGACAGCCTGCCCCAAGGGGAAAATTAAGGGAAGAAAAACACAAACCCCGGAACCATGCCAATGTATAAAACCCCAAGCCCAAGGCTGAACAGGGCACTTGGATCTCTTATGTTGCCCACTTGACCCTCTTCCAAGTGTACTTTGCTTCCTTTCATTCCTGCTCTAAAACTTTTTTATTTTTTATTTTTTTGAGATGAAGTCTCACTCTGTCACCCAGGCTGGAGTGCAATGGTGTGATCTCAGCTCACTGCAACCTCCGCCCCCTGGGTTCAAGCGATTCTCCTGCCTCAGCCTCCCCAGTAGCTGGGATTACAGGTGTGCATTACTATGCCCAGCTAATTTTTATATTTTTAGTAGAGATGGGGTTTCACCATGTTGGCCAGGCTGGTCTCGAACTTCTGACCTCAGGTGATGCGCCCGCCTCAGCCTCCCAAAGTGCTGGGCTTACAGGCATGAGCCACCACGTCCGATCTTATTTATTGATTGATTTATTGATTGAGACGGAGTCTCGTCCTGTCGCCCAGGCTGGAGAGCAGTGGTGCAATCCTTCTCCCAGGTTCAAGTGATTCTCCTGCCTCAGCCTCCCAAGTAACTGGGACTACAGGCGCGTGCCACCAAGCCTGGCTAATTTTTTTCTTGTTTTTAGTAGAGATGGGGTTTTGCCATGTTGGCCAGGCTGGTCTCGAACTCCTGACCTCATGATCCACCTGCCTCGGCCTCCCAAAGTGCTGAGATTACAGGCATGAATCTCAGCCTCTACCGAGGCTGTGAAACCCCGTCTCTACTAAAAATACAAAAATTAGCCGGGCGTGGTGGCAGGCACCTGTAATCCCAGCTACTTGGGAGGTTGAGGCAGGAGAATTGCTTGAACTTGGTAGGCGGTGGTTGCAGTGAGCCAAGATCATGCCATTGCACTCCAGCTTGGATAACACAGCGAGACTCTGTCTCAAAACAACAACAAAACAACAAAATATATACATATATATTTTGGGCTGGGCATGGTGTCTCACACCTGTAATCCTAGCATGTTGGGAGGCTGAGGTGGTTGGATTGCCTGAGCTCAGGAGTTTGAAACCAGCCTGGACAACATGGCAACACCCTGTCTCTACTAAAAATACAAAAAATTAGCCAGGTGTGGCAGCGTGCAACTGTAAATCCAGCTACACAGGAGGCTGAGGCATGAGAATCTCTTGAACCCAGGAGGCGGAGCTTGCAGTGAGCTGAGATCATGCCACTGCATTCCAGCCTGGTGACAGGCCACTTCACTCCACCCAGGGTGACAGAGTGAGACTCTGTCTCAAAAAAAAAACCACAAACAAACAAACAACAAAAAAAGCAAAACCATGTATTTGGGGGTAAAATATTTGTATTTCCCTCAGGTCTCCTATCTGTCATGTGATGCTATGCCAGAGTTAGGTTGGAATTTGGTATCTTATTGCTACAGAGTCTGTTCTGTCAGTTTTATGATTGCTATTTTAATGTTCATGCTGGTCAGTTGTGCCTAAACTCCGAAAAAGGTGGGTATAATAAGGCAGCTGACCTTTTTTCCCCGGTCATGGCTGGGAATTGTTTTGAGGTTTCTCTAGCATCCTCTTGGCCCATTAAGGGGTCTGTTCAGTCAGTTTGGGGTTGGGGGGTTAGGGTTTTATTTTTGGTTTTCAATCATTTCACTGCTGATTATATAACAAAAGCTCATAGTATTATATTTACCCAACCATATGGCTGGAATTTGATCCAGCTTGATCAAGCCTTTCATTTTCTTGGAGGACCAAAAGTAACAGAACTAGACACTTAGGCCATATTGCAAAGAATATTTTCTTTCAATTACATAATGAATCTCTCAGTTTGAGAAAATAAGGAAGGATGTCCGTGTTCTACTGAAATCACTCACATCTGGTCGGGTGCGGTGGCTCATGCCTGTAATCCCAGCACTTTGGGAGGCCAAGGTGGGTGGATCACCTGAGGTCAGGAGTTCAAGACCAGCCTGGCCAACATGGCGAAACCCCGTCTCTACTAAAAATACAAAAAATTAGCTGGGCGTGGTGGCGGGCGCCTGTAATCCCAGCTACTCGGGAGCCTGAGGCAGGAAAATCGCTTGAACCCAGGAGGCGGAGGTTGCGGTGAGTCGAGATCACACCACCGCACTCCAGCCTGGGCGACAAGAGCGAAACTCTGTCTCAAAAAAAAAAAAAAAAAAAGAAATCACTCACATCCTGTTATCCTTTGATATCTGTTTCTGAGAGTCATGCCTAGAAATAGAGGTTCGAGAGACATGAGAACCCTTGAGAACATTTTTGTTGTATTGATACAAAGCCTGCATGAAACCCCATCTCTATTAAAAATGCAAAAATTAGCCGGGCATGGTGGTGGGCCTGTAAATCCCAGCTACTCCGGAGGCTGAGGTGGGAGAATTGCTTGAACCTGGGAGGCAGAGGCTGCAGTGAGCCAATATCGCGCCACTGCACTCCAGCCTGGGTGACAGAGCGAGACTCCGTGTCAAAAAACAAAAAAACAAGAAACATTGTGGCTAATGCTAAATAAACACCTGCTTTCCTTCTGGAGTACGGAATTTTGGTACCAGCTGGGCAGAGGCTGCCTATGTGACCAGACTTCAGTAAAAACCTTTGGTGCTGTGTCTCTAGTGGGCTTTCCTGGACAGAAATATGGCACATGCCTGTGTTTCTGCATCTTTGTTGCTGGGGTAAGAGTGTGTTCTGTGTGACTCCTCGGGCTGGAGAGAGCATAGGAAGCCTGTGTCTGGATTCCTGTATGCTCTGCTGAGTCCTTTTCCTTAAGACCCAGCTGCGCATTCTGACTGCGTCACTGTTGAGTTCAACACGTGCTGAGTCCTGTGAGTCCTAGTGAATCCCCAAGTTAAGAGGTGGTCCTCAGCCAGGTGTGGTGGCTTATGCCTGTAATCCCAGCACTTTGGGAGGCCGAGGCGGGCAGATCACTTGAGGTCAGTTCGAGACCAGCCTGGCCAACATGGCGAAACCCTGTCTCTACTAAAAATACAAAAATTAGCAGGGCATGGTGGTGCATGTCTGTAATCCCAGCTACTTGGGAGGCTGAGGCAGGAGAATCGTTTGAACCCAGGAGGCAGAGGTTGCAGTGAGCCGAGATCACACCACTACACTCCAGCCTGGGTGACAGAGCAACACTCCGTCTCAAAAAAAAAAAAAAAAAATTAGAAGAGCTCCAGGAGTGCTTGTGTCTCAGGTACTCAAGGAACACCTCTGTTTTTTTTTTTTTTTTTTGAGATGGAGTCTTGCTCTGTTGCCTATGCTGGAGTGCGGTGGCTCGATCTCGGCTCACTGCAACCTCTGCCTTCCTGGTTCAAGTGATGCTCGTGCCTCAGCCTCCCAAGTAGGATTACAGGTGCCCACCACCATGCCCAGCTAATTTTTGTATTTTTAAGAAACAAGATTTCAGCACGTTGGCCAGGCTGGTCTCAAACTCCTGACCTCAGGTGATCCACCTGCCTTGGCCTCCCAAAGCGCTGGGATTTTAGGCATGAGCCACCATGCCTAGCCATTAATTGTGATAAAAATACTCATAAAATTTACCATCTTAACCATTTTGAAGTGTGCAGTTCAGTGGTATTAAATACATTATAATGCTGTGCAACCATCACCACTGCCCATCTCCAGAACTCATCTTGCACAACAGAAACTTTGTACTCATTAAATACTAGGCCAGGCACAGTGGCTCATGTCTGTAATCCCAGCACTTTGGGAGGCTGAGGTGGGTGGACCGCTTGAGTCTAGGTGTTCAGGACCAGCCTGGCAGCATGGTGAAACCCTGTCTTTACAAAAAATACAAAAAAATTACCTGAGTGTGGTGGGATGCGCTTGTGGTCCCAAGCTACTCGGAAGGCTGAGGTGGGAGGACCGCTTGAGGCCAGGAGTTGGAGGTTGCAGTGAGCTATGTTTGTGCCACTGCACTCCAGCCTGGGTGACAGAGCAAGACCCTGCCTCAAAAATAAAAAATGAAGACAATAAACACTACCTTCCCACTCTTCCGTCCCCACCAGCCCACCATTCTACATCTGACTCCATGAATTTGTCTACTCTAGGTACTTCATATAATAAATGAAATCAAGCAGTATTTGTCTTTGTGTGACTGGCTTATCTCACTCAGCACGATAATGTCCTCCAGGTCCATCTATGTTGTAGCATGTGCCCAAATTTCCTTCCTTTAAAGGCTGAATCATACTTCATTGTATAGACGTACATTTTGTTCCATTCACTGATGAAGATTTATTTTCCCACTGTTAGGTAATTGTGAATAATGCTGCAGTGAATGTGGGTGAACAAATATCTCTGAGACCTTTTCAACTATTTTGTGTATATGCCCAGAGTGAAATTACTGGATCATATGTAATTCTATTTTTAGTTTGTTGAGAATAAGTTTTTTTGTTTTGTTTTGTTTTTGAGACGGAGTCTCACTCTGTTGCCCAGGCTGGAGTGCAGTAGTATGATCTCTGCTTGATGTAACCTCTGTCTCCTGGGTTCCAGCGATTATCCTGCGTTAGCCTCCTGATTAGCTAGGATTACAGGCACATGCCACCATACCCAACTAATTTTTGTATTTTTAGTAGAGACAGGGTTATACCATGTTGGCCAGCCAGGCTGGTCTCGAACTCCTGACCTCAAGTGATCCACCCACCTCAGCCTCCCAAAGTGCTGGAATTACAGGTGTGAGCCACCATACCCGGCCTGAGGATAACTGTCTTTTAATGCTGAATGCCATTCCATCGTATGGAGAAACCACATTTTGTTTATCCATTCTTTTTTTTTTGAGATGGAGTCTCACTCTGTCGCCAGGCTGGAGTGCAGTGGCACGATCTCAGCTCACTGCAACCTCTGCCTCCCAGGTTCAAGCGATTCTCCTGCCTCAGCCTCCCAAGTAGCTGGGACTACAGGCAGCGCCACCATGCCCAGCTAATTTTTGTACTTTTAGTAGAGATGGGGTTTCACTGTGTTGGCCAGGATGGTCTCGATCTCTTGACCTCATGATCTGCCTGCCTCAGCCTCCCAAAGTGCTGGGATTACAGGCTTGAGCCACTGTGCCTGGCCTGTTTATCCATTCTTCTATGGATGAATAACTTGAGTTGTTTTGACTTTTTGGCTATTGTGAATAATGCAGCTATGAATATGGGTGTACAAATATTGCTTCAAGTCTGCTTTTAACTCTTTTATGTATATACCCACAAGTGAAATTATTGGATCACATGGTATTTCTAGTTTTTGAGGAACTGCCATACTGTTTTCCCAGCAGCTTCACCATTGTACATTTCCACACACAGTGCACAAGGGTTTCAATTTCTCCACATCCTTGCCAACACCTTCCTTTTTTCTTTTTTTTTTTTTCTGGGTAGCAGCCATCCCAATGGGTGTGAAGATCCAAAAAAAATGACTATTAATGGGGACTTATTTGTACTTGGAGAACTTAAAAACTCCCAAGGGGGTCAGGAGTGGGGGCTCATGCCTGTAATCCCAGCATTTTGGGAGGCCAAGGCAGGCAGATCACCTGAGCTCAGGAGTTCGAGACCAGTCTGGCCAACATGGTGAAATCCCGTCTCTACTAAAAATACAAAAAATAAATAGGCTGGGCGTGGTGGCAGGCATCTGTAATCCCAGCTACTCGGGAGGCTGAGGCAGGAGAACCGCTTGTACCTGGGAGGCAGAGGTTGCAGTGAGCCAAGACTGTGCCATTGCACTCCAGCCTGGGCATCAAGAGCAAAACTCCGTCTCAAAAAACAAAAGACCCCCAAGGGACTTACTATAAGTCAACAAACAACAAACCAACCAACCAACAAAAACTCCTAGAGGAAAGAAATCCTGTGTGGGCAGCCGAAGCCCTGGTTTAAAGGCGTTCAAGTTGGGGTATGGGAAAACTCGGGAGGGGAGGGGAGAATGTTTTCATACTCACAGAGAAAAACACCTGTGGTTCAATAAACGTTGCTCAAGGTCTAAGCCAAATCTAAATATAGACAATATGAAACTTGCAATAAAAGAGCGGGACATCCACACACACAAACAAACACCCATGGGAGACCCAGCTACAGCATTTACTTAGCTACAAGTATGAAGACAAAAGTTTTGAACAGCATATATAAGACAAGCATAAAAATTAAACTATTTATTTCATTGTCACATTTCTTTTTTTTTTTTTTTGGAGCTGGAGTGCAGTGGCGTGATCTTGGCTCACTGCAACCTCTGCCTCCCGGGTTCAAGCAATTCTCCTGCCTCAACTTCCTGAGTAGCTGGGATTACAGGCTCCTGCCACCACACTTGGCTAATTTTTGTATTCTTAGTAGAGATGGGGTTTCACCATATTGGCCAGGCTGGTCTCGAACTCTTGACCTTGTGATCTGCCTGCCTTGGCCTCCCAAAGTGCTATGATTATAGGCGTGAGCCACCGTGCCTGGCCCCACATTTCATCTTTAACTCAAGTAATGCAAAGAATTTAAAAGATGACCTTAATGTTATCCAGTCATCTAAAGAGTCAACCAAGATCAAAACTATAGACACAAGAACTGAATAAAAGCAGCCCCGCGTGGTGGGCTCAAGCCTGTAATCCCGGCACTTTGGGAAGCTGAGGTGGGTGGATCATGAGGTCAAGAGTTCGAGACCAGCCTGGCCAACATGGTGAAGCCCCATCTCTACTAAAAAATACAAAAATTAGCCGGGCATGGTGGTGTGCACCTGTAGTCCCAGCTACTCGGGAGGCTGAGGCAGGAGAACTGCTTGAACCCGGGATGTGGAGGTTGCAGTGAGCCGAGATTGCGCCACTGCATTATAGCCTGGGTGACAGAGCAAGACTCTGTCTCAAAAAAAAAAAAAAAAAAAAAAGCCTGGGCGCGGTGGCTCACGCCTGTAATCCCAGCACTTTGGGAGGCTGAGACGGGTGGATCACTTGAGGTTGGGAGTTCAAGACCAGCCTGACCAACATGAGGAAACCCTGTCTCTATTATAAATACAAAATTAGCTGGGCATGGTGGCACATGCCTGTAATCCCAGCTACTTGGGAAGCTGAGGCAGGAGAATCGCTTGAACCCAGGAGGCAGAGGTTGCAGTGAGCCGAGATCGCGCCATTGCACTCCAGCCTGGGCAACAAGAGTGAAATTCCATCTCAAAAAATAAAAATAAAAAAGAACTGAATAAAAGCGCAACAAACTCCCCACAGGGGCCGGGGGCGGGGGAGAAAAAAAAGCATAGTAGCTCATTCCTGTAATCCCAGCATTTTGGAAGGCCGAGGCAGGAGGATCACTGGAGTCCAGGAGTTCAAGGCTAGCCTGGGCAAGATAAGACACTGCCTTTACAAAAAAAAAAAAAAAATTATCCAGGCATGGTGGTACATGCCTGTGGTCCTAGCTACTTGGGAGACTGAGGCCGGAATATTGCTTGAGCCCAAGACGTCAAAGCTGCAGTGAGCCATGACTGTGCCACTGTGATCCAGCCTGGGCAACAAAGCAAGACCCTGTCTCTAACAAAAAAGTGAGTACGAAACTGAAAATGAATACCATAGCACAAAGCCAGTAGGAGGCAGCCTAGGAAAAGCTGGGTTCCTGCCATACTGCACACAGCACTTCACTTCATTTCCTTTCCCTTTTGACAATAATCACCAGGAATCCTAGGGGTGACAAGATGCCATGGCTTCCTCAGATTAAAATTCTCAGTGTCATTAACAGAGGTGGCTTCACCTCCTTCTGCCAGCAGGGTTGTACAGATCCATTATGAGCAAACAGAGCAAGGGCCTGGAGAATGCGAGGCTTGGGAATACAGGACCCAGTTGTCACCTTCCATGTAAGTCTCAGTGTGACAGGTGACAAGGTGGGCAGCCTTGTAAGATGCTCCCCACCAATTCCCTCCCTGAGAATAGGCTGGAACTAGTGACTGGCACCTAACAGACAGAGTGCAACAGTGATGAAGTTATGAGAGACTGCGGCTTTTGTCTTGCTCTCGTTCTCTCCAGCTGTCCTTGCTTGTGACCTTTGATGGAGACAGCTGCCATGTCGTAGGCTGCCCTGAGGACTACTCCGTAGCATGATGAAGGGCAGAGGGCGATCTTTAGCCAATAGCCATAAGAAACCAAGATCCTTACTTAGCCTGACAGTCTGTGAGGAACTGACTCCTGCAACAACTATACGAGTGAGCAGGGAAGCAGGCCCTCCCCCAGTGAAGCCTGGAACACACCTTCACTGCAGCCTGCAGAGACATGGACTGCAGCCTGGAGAGACGCTCAGGACTCAGCTCAGCCATGCGCAGATTCCCGACCCACAGAAACTGTGATGAAATAGATGTGTGTTATTTTAAGTGGCTACGTTTTGAGGTAATTTGTTATGGCACATTAGAAAACTAATACACCTTGATAAATAATGTGCTTAAAGAGATAATAAATCACTACTGTTAAGTCTAAAAGGGCATTTGTAAATTATTTATATAGGATCAACTAAGCCAATGGAGGTTATATCAGCTTCAAAAAGGAAAACCAGAACTTCAAAATCTGGAGCCGCTGGGCGCAGTGGCTCACGCCTGTAATCCCAGCACTTTGGGAGGCTGAGGCAGGCGGATCATGAGGTCAAGAGTTCGAGACCAGCCTGACCAACATGGTGAAACCCCGTCTCTACTGAAAATACAAAAATTAGCCAGGCGGGGTGGTGCATGCCTGTAATCCCAGCTACTCAGGAGGCTGAGGCAGGAGAATCGCTTTAACCTGGGAGGCGGAGGTTGCAGTGAGCCAAGATTGCGCCACTGCACTCTAGCCTGGGCAACAGAGTGAGACGCTGTCTTGAAAAAAAAAAAAAAACACATACACAACAACCAAAAGACAACAACAACAAAAGTGAGCTCTTCCTAGGCACGGTGGCTCTTGTTTGTAATCCCCCCAGCACTTTGCGAGGCCATGGCAAGAAGATCACTTAAGCCCAGGAGTTCAAGACCAGCCTGAGCAACATAGGGAGACTCTGTCTCTACTAAAAATTTGAAAAGAAAAAAAAAACAAAACTGAGCTGTCTCATTTACATGAAATGTTCAAAATAAGCAAATCTATAGAGACAGAAAGTAGATTCGTGGTTGCCATGCCAGATGAGAAAGAATGACTGCTGACAGGCAGCGACTACTTTTTGGGGTGATAAAATGTCCTGGAATTAGATCATTGTGGTGGTTATGCAACCTTGTGAATGTACACTTTAAAATGGGACATTTTTATGGTTTCTGGATTTGATTTCAATTTAAAAAAAAAATTTAAGTGAGCTCTTATGGAGGGAAGCTAACACTTCCATTTAACATCTCCCCAAATAGTTATGTTCCATTCCCGCACCCAGGATGATAGACTTGCACTGCTCGAGGAGGACACATAAATGACGGTGTGACACTGGCCTGATGACGCAGCTCAGATCTCATTCCAGGTTTGTTTGGGGGTTTCTGCATTGCATCTTCCAGGAAAATTGCTAGCAAAAGTCCTCCCTCAGTAAATATGTTTGTCTTTTTCAATGTTTTTGTTGTTACAGATGTTAGATCCCTGTTCTTAAGACTTAAAGGACCGGGCATGGTGGCTCACCCCTGCAATCCCAGCACTTTGGGAGGCCGAGGCAGGTGAATCACCTGAGGTCAGGAGTTCCAGACCAGCCTGGCCAACATGGTGAAACCCCATCTCTACTAAAAATACAAAAATTAGCCAGGTGTGGTGGCACATGCCTGTAATCCTAGCTAGTTGGGAGGCTAAAGAATGAGAATTGCTTGAACCCGGGAGGCAGAGGTTGCAGTGAGCTGAGATCACGCCACTGCACTCTAGCCTAGGCGACAGAGTGAGACTCCGTCTCTAAATAAATAAATAAATAATAAATAAATTTTAAAAAAGACTTATGACAATTTTTACCTTATTTCATAATACTTAACTGGCCACTCCTTGCTATGAGCTACAAGGTAAGAAAACTTATCAAATGAAACATTTACAGAGGAAGACATCTTTTCAAAATCAATATTTCATTTCAGCATCTTGTTATTTATTTTTCATTATTTTAAAAAATTATCATTATTATTTTCTTTTCTTTTTTTTTTTTTTTTTTTTGAGATGGAGTTTCACTCTTGTCATCCAGGCTGGAGTGCAATGGCACGATCTCGGCTCACTGCAACCTCCGCCTCCCAGGTTCAAGCGAATTCTCTTACCTCAGCCTCCCTAGTAGCTAGGATTACAGGCATGCACCACCAAACCCAACACATTTTTGTATTTTTAGTAGAGATGAGGTTTCACCATGTTGGCCAGGCTGGTCTCAAACTCCTGACCTCAGGTGATCCACCCACCTCAGCCTCCCAAAGTGTTGGGATTACAGGCATGAGCCACTGTGACCAGCCTATTATTATTTTCAAGACAGGGTCTCACTCTGTTGCCCAGCCTGGAGTGCAGTGGTGTGATCATAGCTCACCGCAGCCTCAATCTCCTGGGCTGAAGTGATCCTTCTGTCTCAGCCTCCCCAACAGCTGGGAGTATAGCGGTGCAACACCACACCCAGCTTTGCTATTTATTTAAATGTCATTCTCCAACACATATGGGGAATGACATATGCTTCCCATTATTACATGGCAAAACATACTCCATATCCAGAAAAAATATTTATATGACATATGGCCTAGTATTCTAAATCAAGGCAGGATCTTCCAACAAGAGCAGGAGAGAGAAGAAAACATTTACATTCTATAACATGATTATAAGAATTGAGATAGATGAAATGAAAAACAACATCTTTGAACAATTACAGTTGACAGAACAGCTTTCCCTTATTCTACTTGCTTTAAATAACTCATATCTGTAAACTTGAACACCAACTCTGGCTGATTTAACAGTCTTAATCCCTTGATTTTCCATACTGAACATCACCCAATATATAGTGAAGATCAAAGGCGACTTCTTCCACCAAGCTCTGTGTCCAGCTGTGTTTCTGAGGTCATACGTGTCCCCTCACGGACACCAGATCAGATACTTCGGTAGTCAGAGCCGCGGGCTACAAAGGCGGCAGCTTCCCATTCCACAGTGAAGAAAGAAATTGTTCCAAAAAACCCAAATATCACCATGACCAGGAGTTGCCAGTGAAGGAGAAGGTAGTTGCTGTAGAAAAATGCCACGGCTGCGCAAATAGACTAAGAACAAACAAAACAAATCACAACGGGCGCACCGGGGGCCACACTGAGCCACAGTTAGCCCCTAGCCCCACTCCTATCCTGCCCCAAGGACACCTGGAACTCACAGTGCTTTCTATTCTTTCTGCATCAAGGTATGACTTCCTCAGTCACTGACTCACAAACATGCACCATAAACTCCTGCCACAGTTCCTGGTATTTAAAATAGCATTTTGGCCAGGTGTGGGGGTTCATGCCACCCAACACTTTGGGAGGCCAAGGTGGGAGAAATGCTTGAGCCCAGGAGTTCAAGACCAGCCTGCACAACATAGCAAGACCCCATCTCTACAAAATAAAATAAAATGAAACAAAAATAGCATTTTGTGGAAAACTGGAGTAACAAGAATGTACAGAGTAAGAAATACACTTGTCTGTATTACAAATGAATAGAATTCTGGTATCTAAGGAAGGAAATCTCTAATCAGAGCCATAGAGACCAGAACATAAAATCTGTTACACAAAAAATCTTACTGCTCATTGCTTCCTAATTCTAGTCATAAATCCTCTTAAAGGATGTCCCCAACTTTCATTTAAAAAACACAATACAAGACAAAAGCAAAAAAAGGAAAAAAAAAGAGGAAACAAAAAAATAAAATAAAATAAGAAACACAATATAGCCGGGGCGGTGGCTCATGTTTATAATCCCAGCACTTTGTGGGGCCCAAGCGGGCGGATCACTTGAGGCCAGTAGTTTGTGACCAGCCTGGCCAAAATGGCAAAACCTCATCTCTACTAAAAATATAAAAACTTAGCTGAACATGGTAGTGCACTCCTGTAATCCCACCTACTTGGGAGGCAGAGATTGCACTGAGCCAAGATCGTGCCACTGCACTCCAGTCTGGACTACAGAGTGAGACTGTCTTTTTTTTTTTTTTTTTTTTGAGACGGAGTCTCGCTCTGTGGCCCAGGCTGAAGTGCAGTGGCGCGGTCTGGGCTCACCGCAAGCTCCGCCTCCCGGGTTCACACCATTCTCCTGCCTCAGCCACCCAAGTAGCTGGGACTACAGGCACGTGCCACCACGCCCGGCTAATTTTTTTGTATTTTTAGTAGAGACAGGGTTTCACCGTGTTAGCCAGGATGGTCTCCATCTTGTGACCTCGTGATCCGCCCACCTTGGCCTCCCAAAGTGCTGGGATTACAAGTGTGAGCCGCGGCGGGCCGACTTTGTCTTTAAAAAAAAATAAAATAAAAAAATAGACCAGGTGCGGTGGCTCACGCATATAATCCCCAGCACTTTGGGAGGCCAAGGCAGGTGGATCACCTGAGGTCAGAAGTTTGAGACCAGCCTAACCAACGTGGTGAAACCCTGCCTCTGCTAAAAAGAAAAAAAAAATACAAAAATTAGCCAGGCATGGTGGTGTGCACCTGTAATCTCAGCTACTCAGGAGGCTAAGGCAGGAGAATTGCTTGAACCCGGGAGGCGGAGGTTGCAGCGAGTCAAGATTGCGCTACTGCACTCCAGCCTGAGTGACAGAGAGAGACTCTATCAAAAAAATAAAAATAAATAAATAAAAATTAAAACCACAATACAAGTAACCAAGGAAAACAAGGCAATACACAAAGGGAAGAGCCCTATGTCAAACACAATCACAATCTGAAGAGGTTACCTGAACAAACTTGAAGATGGCAAATGCTGGGGCGCTGTCTTCAGAATACAGAAAGCCCAAGATACTAAGCAGCTGGGTATTAAAGCAGCTGTCTCCAAGGCCCAACAGAAAACTGCAGAGAATGGCAACTTCTTTGCTGAAGAAAATAAAAATCAATTTAGTATGAGCAATATCTGCTAGAGCCATTTAAAATATACAAGCAACCCACCCACAAAAGAATTCTACCTGCAAGTTGTAAACACTATGAAACAAAAATAAAGACAAAGCTGGTGCGGTGGCTCACACCTGGAATCCCAGCACTTTGGGAGGCTGAGGTGGGCAGATCACTTGAAGACAGGAGTTTGAGACCAGCCTGGCCAACATGGCAAAACCCCATCTCTACTAAAAATATAAAAATTAGCTGGGCATAGTGGCGCGTGCCTGTAATCCCAGCTACTCGGGAGGCTGAGACACGAGAATCACTTGAACCCCGGAGGTGGAGGTTGCAGTGAGCGGAGATCACGCCACTTGCATTCTAGGCTGGCAGACAGAGTGAGACTCTGTCTCAAAATAAATAAATAAATAAATAAAAATAAAACATAAAGACTAGAATTTACAAAGTAAGAATTTTTGCTCAAATGCACACACCTTTACATTCTAACAAACTCTGGTCTCAACCATTTGTGAAGAAAATGCAGGTTGAGTATCCCTTATCAAGACCAGAAGTGTTTCAAATTTTCTTTTCAGATTTTGGAACATCTGCATTACACTGACCAGTTAGGTATTTTTAATCTGAAAATCTGTAACCTGAAATGTTCTAATAACACTTCCCTTTGAGCATCATGTTGGCCCTTGAAAAGTTTCAGATTTTCAGATGCGATATACTCAGTTTGTATAGTTTTTTGGGCTGGGCTCCCCTTGGATTTGTGGAGCTGGACATAAATGTCTGCGTTTATAATGAACTTGAGAGTTGAGTGCACTAAACCGATATCCTCAAACGTTATATAAACTGCTCTGGAAGGACTGAATGGCCTCCCCGGTTGCCAGGTTCTCCCTCGCTCCTCTTTGTTCTTCCTCCAGGCCCTAATGTCTGGATATTTCACTGCTTAAGAAGCAGAGATAAAAAATTCAAATCAGATACTTACGTGCTCCTTCAAGGATCAAGAAAAAGATTTAGTGGGGGAAAAGGTTAAAACCAACTATTACAAAAATAACTTAGGATTCTCTAAGGATTCCTATTTAAACTCAGTCTGACTCCATGAACACTTGACAGATGACCTTAGAGAGACACCAGGCTCTCTGAAGAGGATTAACTGCTCCACTTTCAGTATCTAGCCATCCGTTACCTCCCACCCGTACTCAAGCGACTAGAGAAATGACAGCCACTATACCTGGATTTGATGTAAGCACTGCTGTCAGTTCCTTTAACAGGAGCAATCGGGGCATCTCCAGGCATGTTGAGAAATATTAGATAAAAAGCTATGAAGTGCACCAGGATGCCCAACAGCACAACTGGATTTCTACCAAAACGATTGTTCTTGCTCAGCAGGCCGAAGAGGCTTCCACCTATAAGTCAAGATGGCAGAAACGTCACTAATGTTGCCGAAACATCACATACCCAGGCCTGAGTTACCACCAAGGAGCCAAGGAATAAACATTCTCACTTGTTAAATTTCTTCAAAAAACCCAACACCTCAGCACTTGCAGACAATGATAATGATGACCAAGCATCAACTATTAGAACAAAAAAGTAAGGTATCAAAATGACTTGCATTTCTATCCAGGAACATTCTTGTATTTCTTCTCTGTGAATTATTGTACCCCACAAGCTATCCCCTTTGACCTGTAGCTTATAACAGAAATAAAATAAGGACACAACTTGTCATTATGACCACGTTTTTGTTGCAATCATAGCCAAACAAGCCAAGGTATCACACTGAAAGGCAGTCACTATGGATTCTGAGAATTATGTGTGAGCTCCGAAGGGGAGTCAGAGAGGCCTAGGAAGAGTCAGCAGCCAGAACAGCTAGGATATCTCAAAAGCTGAGAGGAGAATCCTCAAGAGTGAGAAGAGGAGAACTCTGTAACTGAAAGGAAGAAGACCTTTATAATTTTTAAGTGATTTCTACCCCAGAAATCGATACCAGCAAACCTATATATCAAAAGTGAAGGATGGCTGGGTGCAGGGTCTCATGCCTGTAATCCCAGCACTTTGGGAGGCCAAGGTGGGAGAATTGCTTGAGGCCAGGAGTTCCAAACCAGCCTCAGCAACATAGCAAGACGCTGTCTTTTTTAAAAAAAGAAAGAAAAAATTGTATATATATTTTTTAAAAAGTGGGCCAGGTACAGTGGCTTACACCTGTAATCCCAGCCCTTTGGGAGGCCAAGGCGGGCAGATCACCCGAGGTCAGGAGTTCGAGACCAGCCTGGCCAACATGGTGAAACCCTGTCTCTAGTAAAAATACAAAAATTAGCCAGGTGTGGTGGCACATGCCTGTAGTCCCAGCTACTTAAGAGGCAGAGGCAGGAGAATCACTTGAACCCAGGGGGCAGATGTTGCAGTGAACCAAGATCATGTCATTGCACTCCAGCACGGGTGACAGAGCAAGACTCTGTCTCAAAAAAATAAAAAAATAATTTAAAAAAATTTAGAAAGTTGCTGGGCATGGTGGCTCACGCCTGTAATCCCAGCACTTTGGGAGGTCAAGGTGGGCAGATCACGAGGTCAAGAGATCAAGACCATCCTGACCAACATGGTGAAACCCTGTCTCTACTAAAAATACAAAAATTAGCTGGGCGTGGTGGCGTGCGCCTGTAGTCCCAGCTACTCAGGAGGCTGAAGCAGGAGAATCGCTTGAACCCAGGAGGTGGAGGTTGCAATGAGCCAAGATTGCGCCACTGCACTCCGCCTGGCAACTGAGCGAGACTCCGTCTGGAAAAAAAAAATTTAAAAAGTGAAGGTTAACAGTAAAAACAAAACAAAACAAAAAAACCCTGCCTAGAAAATGGGCAAAAGATATGCACATACACGTCACCAAAGAAGATATAAAGAGGGTAAATACACACATGAAAAGATGCTCAACATCATTACCCATTAAAGACAAAGTAAAACCACAATGAAACATGACTACACATCTATCACAATCGCTAACATCAAAAACAGTGATAACACCAAGTGCTGGCAAGGATTCAGAAAAACGGAATCACTCACACATTGCTGGTACAGCCACTCTGGAAAATATCTGGCAGTTCCTCTCAAGAGTAGGCAGCAGAGGGAGAAAGAACCCAGGCGGAGGCCAGCAGCCCCCATGGATTGAAGAGACGGGGATGTGACTCTAGGGATATCAGGGTGACCAGAGTTCACAGACAACGGTATCAGAAAGGAAAGCTACACAGAAAAACAATTCCAGAGAGCTGCAGACAGTCCCCCTGAGTCTTCAGCTGAGGACTGATCAGTACATAAAGTGAGCAAATTAGCAGAAGTCTGGGAAAGAACCAGCCAAGAGGATTAGTGGTATTAGGGCCCCGCCCTCAGCTGGGTATAGTGTCTGGTCCCACCAGCCACTTAAAAGCTTATGATTCACAGGAACTGGGTGGAGCACACAGAAGGGTCTTCCCTTAGAAGCAGGAAATAATTAGCCCTAGACTGAGTAATGCTCCAGTCCTGCCCAACAAATCTTAAAAGGTATGCTGTTTTCAATTAAATGAACTACATCTAAGAACAAAGCTCAAAAATACTGACAGGAGGGCCAGGTGCAGTGGCTCATGCCTGTAATTCCAGCACTTTGGGAGGCCGAGGTGGGTGGATCAAGAGGTCAGGAGATTGAGACCAGCCTGGCCAACATGGTGAAACCCCATCTCTACTAAAAATACAAAAATTAGCCAGGCGTGGTAGCGGTTGCCTGTAGTCCCAGCTACTTGGGAGGCTGAGGCAGAAGAATTGCTTGAATCCCAGCAGCGAAGGTTGCAGTGAGCCAAGATCGAGCCACTGCACCCCAGCCTGGGCAACAGAGCAAGACTCTGTCCTTAAAAAAAAAAAAAAAAAAAAGTTACTAAGGTAGAGCGTTAACAATAGATGAATCCTGTTAAAGGATATTCAGATGTTCATTGTACTATTTTTATTTTTGCAATTTCTTTTTTTGTTTTGGTTTTTTGGTTTTTTTGAGACAGAATCTTGCTCTGTGGCCCAGGCTGGAGTGCAGTGGTGTGATCTGGATTCACTGCAACCTCCCACTTCAGCCTCCCAAGTAGCTGGGACGACAGGCATACGCCACTACACCTGGCTAATTTTTTTGTACTTTTTTTGTAGAGATGGGGTTTTGCCATGTTGCCCAGGCTGGTCTCAAACTCCTGAACTCAAGCGATCTGCCCACCTCAGCTCCCCAAAGTGCTAGAATTATAGGCGTGAGCACTGTGCCTGGCCTATTTTCGCAATTTCTTATCAATTTGAAATTATTTTTTTCAAAAAAGCAGGTTGCCTACAGAAAGTGAGTTTCTTCCCAGGTAGTCTACAGGCAGACACTAAACAAGCACTTACCAGAGAAGACAACCCTGCACTGACTCACCATGGCTAAGCTTCGCCCGCCATTTACATACCCATAACTCCCAACATCAACCTCCAGCCCACGAGTCCCTCCTGAGCATCAGCCTGCATTTCCCACTGGACACTTCTCTACTTGGGTGCCTCTCTGGTACTTAGAGGTGTTCAAAATCCCATTCAGCAGATTTCCTCAAACCCCATCTCCTACAGCATTCTCTCTGCCCAGGTTACTCTGATCAACCTGGTCATCATTCTAGACATCTCTCCTCACACCACCACGCAACTGGTTACTAAGTTCTGCTGAAACCATGTTCTCATTATTCATTCAACACATTTAACTCATTTATTGGATGCCCAATATAGACCTTGTCCTGCTCCAGGTGTTGGCAATAAGGCAGGGGCCAAAAAGCAAAAACAAACAAACCCTCCAAAGTCCGCTTTACCCATGGTGCTTACCACTGCCTGACATACAAAGATTTCTGTTTTTATTGTCTGTATTCTTCCTCAAGAATATAAGCTCTATATGGGCAGGTATTTTTGTCTATTTTGTTGACATGACAGATTACAATAAACCTTTGTTGAAGTTCCTCATATCTAACACAATATTCAATATACTGCAAGTGCTGAACAAATCTTTGTTGAACAAAGAATAACTCGTGGAGCATAATAAAAATACATATTTGGTCTTTGCTGCTAGTTCTTGGCACAGAAATCCTAAAAGGCCTGGAATTTCCTCAGTGATACGAGGGACATTAGTTATTCAGAAAGAGCCACTTTCAACCATACTGAAGTTTACGCTAAGGGGGCAACCCTTGGGGAGAGAGGGGTTGGCCTAGGATAGAGCTTCAGGATGAGGCTGGTTCCCAGAAAGACCAAGCCCTGAGGGCTAGAACTTCCAGGCCCCTTTCACTCCCACTTCAGGGAGGGAAGGCTGGAGATTAAATCAATCACCAATGGCCAATGATTGTTTTTTTGTTGTTGTTAGAGACAGGGTCTCCTTATGTTGTCCAGGCTGATCTCGAACTCCTGGGCTCAAGTGATCCTCCCACCTCGGCCTCCCAAAGTGAATGAGCCACTGCACCCGGCCATGTGGCCAATGATTTAATCAAGCATGCCTATGTAACAGGATCTCCATAAATCCCCCTAAACAGGGTTGGAGGAGCTTCTGGAGTGGTGAGCCCAAAATCCATGGAGACAGAGGCTCCTGCACTTAGGGACCCTTTCAGACCCCACCCTTTGCACCTCCTCATCAGGCTGCTCATCTGTATCCTTTATAATAAACTCTAATAGTCAGGAGAGCATTTTCCTGAGTTCTGTGAGTTGCTCTAGCAAATTATCAAACATGAAGGGGGAAGAGGGCTATGGGAACCTCCAAATTTGTACCCAAGTCAGAGAGGTGTGCCTGAGAGGCCTATGGACCCAGACTGTCTGTCTGTAGGACTGAACCCTTAAACCTGTGGAATCTGACACTAACTTTGGAGAGTTAAGTGTTAGAACAGGATTGAGCTGTTGGACACCCAGTTGGTGACAGGGAATCAGAGAACCAGAGTCAGGAATTCCAAGACTTTCTAAATATTTTAGGAGGAAAAGTCGGGAGACATTGTATGTTTTCTTACACAGGGTTTCCATCTGTGAATTATTTTGCAAATGTTTTATAATTTAGTTATATTAGAATAGCAATAATAGGCCGGGCATGGTGGCTCACACCTGTAATCCCAGCACTTTGGGAGGCCGAGGTGGGCGGATCATGAGGTCAGGAGATCGAGACCATCCTGGCTAATGCGGTGAAACCCCGTCTCTACTAAAAATACAAAAAAATTAGCCGGGCATAGTGGCGGGCGCCTGTAGTCCCAGCTACTCGGGAGGCTGAGGCAGAAGAATGGCGTGAACCCGGGAGGCGGAGCTTGCAGTGAGCTGAGATCGCACCACTGCACTCCAACTCTAGCCTCGGCGACAGAGCGAGACTCTGTCTGGAAAAAAAAAAAAAAAAAGAAAAAGAATAGCAATAATAGAAAAATAAAAACACACGTTTGGGTAAAAATAAGTAGAAAAAACAGAAATTCAAGGACAAAGGTGAAGCACACTTAAAATTTCTATTTTACCTATAATAAACTGATATTTTTAATGCAAACGCTTTTTTTTAAAACCAACCTAAAATTTCTCCAATGCCGATGAAAATGCCAGAAAGTCCAATAAGGCTTTTCTCTTCTGCTCCAAATTTATTTGTAGCACCAATACAGGTTCCATATACACCAGAGAAGAAAGTTAATTCCAGACCTTTAGTTAAAGAAAAAAAACAGATGTCATTTATATATTCACATTTTTGTTTATCTTCCCATCTAGTAGTATCTGACGAAAGAATACTTGCGTAGTAAAACACATAAAACTCACAGAGACTGAAATATTAATCCCCAAGCAGAGCATAATGTGATGTAACTGATGAAATGGAATTAGCTTCATGCTATGGACTAAATGTTTGTGTCCTCCCCAGATTCACATATTGAAACTCAAATTCCCCAAAACATGATGGTATTTGGAGATGGGGCCTTTTGGAGGCAATTAGGCCATGAGGGTGGAGCCCTCTCGATGTGATTAGTGCCCTTATAAATAGAGACAACAAAAAGCTTGCTTCCTGTCTGCTCTCTGCCATGGGAGGACACAGCAAGAAGGCAGCTGTCTACAACCAGGAACAGCCCACACCACAAGCTGCGCATGGTGGCATCCTGCTCTCAGACTTCCCAGCCTCCAGAACTGTGAGAAATAAGTGTCTGTTGTTTAAGCCACACAGTCTATGGAAATTTGTTATAGCAGCTAAAATTAAGATACCACAAGACGGCATCTGCCATATATTTCAGGTAAAAGTATACAACTCAAATGAACAGATATCCTTATGTTAAAACCTATCACTCTCCATGCAGGCGGAGATGGGCAGAGGTGATAATTAACATAACTTTGTAACAGTGAAGACTAACATGCTCATTAACCTTGTTAGTAGCTTTCCAAAGAAACAGGAACATTCTTTTTTTTTTTTTTTTTTGAGAGAGAGTCTTGCTCTGTTGCCCAGGCTGGAGTGCAGTGGCGCTATCTCAACTCACTGCAACCTCTGCCTCCCAGGTTCAAGCAATTCTCCTTGCCTCAGCCTCCCAAGTAGCTGGGATTACAGGCATGCACCACCACACCCGGGTAATTTATGTATTTTTAGTAGAGACGGGGTTTCACCATTTTGGCCAGGCTGGTCTCGAACTCCTGACCCCAGGTGATCCACCCACCTCGGCCTCCCAAAGTGCTGGGATTACAGACATGAGCCACTGTGCCCAGCCCCTATTCAATTATATTCTTACTGTAATGGAAAGCCAATACATACTATACAATGTGTCTTAAAAGCACCATAATGTTTTAATTAAACCCCTTTTTCTAGGAAAAGAAAATTCCAAAGATTAAAAAATTAGAGTAAATCAGTAGGGGACCTTGATTCCCTAATGCTACAAAACCTTAACTGTGAATTTTAAAGATGTTTAATGTTTATTCTATTTCACCTAAAAATATGTTGTATCTATGAGGCACATAAGGGAAAAGATTAACTAGCAAATTACAGCATTTTTTAAAAGAAAACAAATTTCTTTATCATTCTTGACTTAAGGGTACCCCGCCTGCTATCATACCACATTATGACATGCTTCTATTTCATTAGAAATGACTTTTTTTTTTTTTTTTTTTGAGACGGAGGTCTTTACTCCCGTGGCCCAGGCTGGAGTATAGTGGTGCCATCTTGGATCATGCAACCTTGACTTACTGAGCTCAGGTGATTCTCCCACCTCGGCCTCCTGAGTGGCTGGGGCTACAGGCATGCACCACCATACTCGGCTAATTTTTTGTATTTTTAGTAGAGATGGGGTTTTGCCATGTTGCCCAGGCTGGTCTTGAACTCCTGGGCTCAAGCAATCCACCCGCCTCAGCCTCCCAAAGTGCTGGGATTACAGGCGTGAGCCACTGCACCTGTCCAGAAATGATTTTAATCCATATAAAGTTACAGATTTCTTCATGGTTATTTTCTGTAGCGCTCTGCATTGCCTAAAACCACTGGTCCCAAAGAGCCACGTGTCCTGGTTTTTCTGAACCTTGTGTGGAATCCTTCCACACTGAATTTGGGCCAACCCTGTGATTTGCTGTCACCAACAGAATCCAGTAGAAGTGATGCTGGGCTAGACTGAAGCCTGAGCTTTAAGAAGGTCTGGTATTCTTTCCTGTTGCCTTTTTTGGAGCCATCAGTCCATTAACTAAGGTGTCTGGCTATCCTGCCAGATCACAAGGTGATCTTATGGAGGGGGTCGTGGAGATGGAGAGCAGCTCTGAGACTACACAAAAAGAGAGATATTCAGCCTATCATCTGACCACAGTGAAGGCGACACGTGAAGGAAACCAGCCACAAGAGACCCCAAGTGACACCATGAGAAGAACCATTCACTGAGTCCAGTCACTGCACAGAATTGTGAGAAATAATAACGTGGCTCGTTTTCAACTCCTTATTGTCATTATGCAGCAAGAGAAAATAAGAACAGTAATTCCATTACCTGTATAAGCAGTTGTAATACTAAGAAGGAGCATCTCCTTGGTGACACATAACTTAAAAGACTTTTCTGTAAACACAAAAATTTAAGAGTACTTAATTAGATTTTAGTTAATAAAACAAACATTCTAAAACTTCCTTCAACCAAAACACCCCTTGTCAATAATGCCAGTAAACGAACACTTTGGGATATAACTTTCAGATTAAAATGCTTAAGGCATGAACTACATTTGCCCTATAAATAAAACGTTTATTTCAAGTGCTTAAATACATTCTACAGATGCATTTCCTCAGCACATTTTCCAGCTCTTATAACAAAAACATGAAAAGGAAGAAAAAAAATAGAATCAAACAAAACAACAAAGTACTTCAAAAGGCATGATTAACCGTTAGGCTCTTGAGAGAGTCAACAATCAGCAAAGCACTGACTTCCCTAAAGAATTATCATGGAGCAGCTTTAAGAGTGGACTCAAGATCAGAATCACAGGGCAGCTTTTTGGCCATACAGAAGCTGGGCACCACTTCCCAAGATTCTGACTCTGTAGCTCTGAGGACTGAAACTTGCATTGTGCATATTTGTTTCTAGTCACTTTAATGTTTGCTTTTACACTGTTTATTTAGTTGAAATCTGCAATGGATAATGCATTTCTAAAAACTCCACATTTAACTGACTTTTTTGGAACCTATTCACATTTCATAATTTAAGGACCACTACTCTAGTACACAAAACTAACAGTGGATCCAGATTTTAATTGTGATATATCTGCTGGCCACGAAACTTACCTAAGTCACAAACACTGGCCTAAATCTCTCCATATGTAAGAAAGGATACTTTTTTCTCTAATTTCACTGAACTATACTAAGAATAAATATAAGAAGACATTTTGTACCAATCATTTTCAAGTATTTCCAGCAAAAAAATACACAACCAGTGCAAAGTTTAAAACAATACTTTTAACTTAAAAAACTACTAGCAAAGCATGTTCATTTTATTTTATTTATTTATTTAGGTTTCTTTCTTTTTTTTTTTTTTTTTTGAGACAGAGTCTCACTTTGTCACCCAGGCTGGAGTAGAGTGGCGCGATCTTGGCTCACTGCAGCCTCCCCCTCTAGGGTTCAAGCGATTCTCCTGCCTCAGCCTCCTGAGTAGCTGGGATTATAGGCCCATACCACCATGCCCGGCTAATTATTTTGTACTTTTAGTAGAGAAGGGGTTCTGCCATGTTGGCCAGGCTGGTCTCGAACTCCTGACCTCAGGTGATCCACCCACCTCGGCCTCCCAAAGTGCTAGGATCACAGACGTGAGCCATCACTCCTGGCCACATGTTCATTTTAGAAAAATCAGAAGACTTAGCTAACAAAAAGAAATTCTAAAAGATTATCTAGTATGATCCTATCATGATGAATGCATGTCATTATATATTTGTACAAACCCATAAAAGGTACCACACCAAGAGTGAATCCTAACGTAAACCATGGTCTTTAGGTGATAACGACATGTCAGTGTAGGCTCATTATAACAAATGTGCTCTGGTGGGGAACATTAATAACAGAGGGAAGTTCCATACATGTGGTATAGGGGCCACATGGGAACTCTACTTTCTGCCCAGTTTTGTTATGAGCATAAAATGATCTAAAAAATAAAGTCTATTAAAAAACCCATCAATCTATTTGCAGAAATAGATTGATCCTAAAATTCATGGCCAGACCTGGTGGCTCATGCCTATAATCCCAACAATTTGGGAGGCTGACTTGGGAGAATCGCTTGAGCCAAGACCAGCTTGGGCAACATGGCGAAATCCTGTCTCTACAAAACACTACAAAAATTAGCCAGGCATGGTGGTGCACACCTATAGTCCCAGCTACTTGGAAGGCTAAGATGGGAGGATCGCTTGAGCCTGGGAGGTTGAGGCTGCAGTGAGCTCTGATCAAGCCACTGTACTCCGCCCTAGGCGGCAGAGCAACACCCTGTCTCAAAAAAAAAAAAAAAAAAAAAAAAAAAAGGAAATTCAAGGGACCCACAATAGCCAAAATAATATTGAAAAGTAACAAAGTTGGAGGATTCACACTTTCCAATTTCAAAATATACAAGATTCAACACAGCATGGTACTGGCATAAGAATATATCTATCTATCTAGAGATAAATGTTTATATCTACAGTCAATTGATTTTTGACAAGAGTGACAAAAAAACAGACTTTTCAGCAAATGGCGTGACTACAACAGGATATTGACATGCAAAAGAATAAAGCTGGATTTCCATCTCAAACCATATGTAAAAATTAACTGAAAATGAATCACAGACCTAAATGTAAGAGCTAAAACTAAAAAAACTTTTAAAAGAAAATATAGGAGTAAATTTTCAGGACCTGGGGTGAAGCAAAATCTTAGGACATCAAAAGCACACACAACAGAAGAAAAACTAAACAAATTGACTACATCAAAATTAAAAACTTTATCAAAGCCACAGTAAGACATCCCCTCACACCTGTTGGGATGGCTATTATCAAAAAGACAAAAGGTAACAAGTGTTGGTGAGGATGTGGAGGAAAGACAACCCTTGTACGCTATTGGTGAGGATGTAAATTGGTACAGCGAACATGGAAAACAATATGGAAGGTCCTCAAAATACTAAAAACATGTTATGATCCAGCAATTCTACCTCTGGGCATATATCCAAAGGAAATGAAAGCAGTATCTCAAAGTGATAGCTGCACTCCCATGTTCATTACAGCACTATTATATGTATATGTGTGTGTGTGTGTGTGTATTAATTATATAGCAAAGACATGGAAACAACTAAGTGTCCTTAAACGGATGAATAAAGAAAATGTGGTATATACAATGGTATATTATTCAGCCTTACAAAAGGAAATCCTGCCATTTAGGGCAACGTGGATGAACCTGAAGAGCATTACGCTAAGTGAAATAAGCCAGACACAGAAAGACAAATACTGCATGATCTTACTTATATGGGGAATATTAAAAAGTCAAACTCATAGAAGCAGAGAGTAGCATAGTGGTTGCCGGGGCTGGAGGGTGGGGGAAATAGGGAGACGTTGGTTAAAGAGTACAAAGTTTTCGTTAGGCAGGATGAGTGAGTGCTGAGGATCTAATGTACAACTTGGTGTTGACAGTTAATAACACTCTATTGTATACTTGAAATTTGGTTGGAAAGTAGATCTTAAATGTTCTCATTACACATGCAAAAAAAAGATAACTATGTGAGGTGATGGATATGTTAACTAGCTTGAGTGTGACCATCATTTCACAATGTATACATATATCAAAACACGTGGCCGAGTGCTAGGGCCCACGCCTGTAATCCCAGCACTTCGGGAGGCAGGCGAATTGCTTGAGGCCCAGAGTTCAAGATTAGCTGGGCCAACATGGTAAAACCCCATCTCTATTAAAAATACAAAAAAATTAGCTGGGCATGGTGGTATACCCCTGTAATCCCAGCTACTCGGGAGGCTGAGGCACCAGAATTGCCTGAACCCAGGAGGAGGAGGCTGCAGTGAGCTGAGATCATGCCACTGTACTCCAGCCTGGGTGACAGAGCAAGATTCTGCCTCAAAAAAAAAACAAAAACAAAAACATGTTGTACCTCATAAATATATACAATTTTTGTAAGTTATACCTCGATAAAGTTGGGGGAATTTTTTTTTTTTAAGTTTTGTGCTTCAAAAGATACTATCAAGAAAATGAAAAGTCAATCTATAGAACGGGAGAAAACATTTGTTTGTTTTCCTAGAGCGTTTGCTGAAACAAAATGGGAGAAAATATTTGTAAATCATATATATAGAACTTTTATCTAGAATATATAAAGAACTCTTACAACTCATTAATAAAAACAGAATCCAATTTAAAAATGGGCAAAGGATCTAACTAGGGCCGGGCACGGTGGCTCACGCCTGTAATCCCAGCACTTTGGGAGGCTGAGGCGGGTGGATCACTTGAGATCAGGAATTCAAGATCAGCCAGGCCAACATGGTGAAATCCCATCTCTACAAAAAATATAACAGTTAGCCGGGAGGGGTAGCATGCACCTGTAATCCCGCTACTAGGGAGGCTGAGACAGGAGAATCACTTGAACCTGGGAGGTGGAGGTTGCAGTGAGTCGAGATTGTGCTACTGCACTCCAGCCTGGGTGGCAGAGCAATACTCCACCTCAAAAAAAAAAACAAAAAACAAAAAAACAGAAAATAACTGCAAGCACGTGGAAACACTGACAAACTCATCCTCTGCTAGTAGAAATGTAAAGTGGTATAACAATCTGGCAGTTCCCCCACAGGCTAAGCAGTCAGATACCACATGACCCAGCAATTCCACCATTCCTAGGTGTGCATCAAAGAGATCTGAAAACACATCCACACAAAAACTTGTACACGAACTTTATGTATTACCATTGGGGGAGTTCAGTCAGGATGGTGGGGAAAATTATAAGACGCAAACCTTCTTGGAAGGCCTGGGGCGTTTGCATAAGCTCCAGTGATAAACTTAGCTGAAGGCAGCCTTGTCCCCTTAGTTAAATAAATTACAGTAGAAACAAAGGAATGTGGGGAGTTTAAAAAAAAAAAAAAGGAATGTGGGGAGTTTATCTAAATAGCTTGTTTACTCTTGTGGTCCTAAGGCTAACCTTTGATTTCCCGCCGGTGCTTAATTGCTTTCTACTCGGGAAGTCCACGATGTCAATTACCCTCTAGTGGTGTTGACTCAAGCCTTTGTCAATTAATATTTACTGAATAAATGTGAGTCTCACTAGCTGGTCAAGGCCGCTTTTTTTTTTTTTTTTTTTTGGAGACGGAGTCTCGCTCAGTCGCCCAGGCTGGAGTGCAGTGGCGCGATCTCGGCTCACTGCAAGCTCCACCTCCTCGGTTCACACCATTCTCCTGCCTCAGCCTGGGACTACAGGTGCCCGCCACTACGCCTGGCTAATTTTTTTGTATTTTTAGTAGAGACGGGGTTTCACCGTGTTAGCCAGGATGGTCTCCATCTCCAACTGTTTACAGCACTCTGCGTGGAGTCTATAAGCTGCCCGGATGCTCAGCCAAACTGGCAAAGCAGAATATCTGTGTGTCAGTGTACTTTATTCATCCATTGTTGGGTCAGGGTCTGCAGGACAGACCCCTGAAACTCATAATACATAAAATATAGGAATGACTCAAATTTTATAATATATTGTGACATGAATGAGCCTTGAAACCATTATGTTAAAAGAAACCAGGCACTAAAGACCACATGTTGTATGATTCTATTTACATAAAATGTCCAGAATAAGCATATCTATAGACAAAGTAGAGGAATGGGTGCAATAGTAGTGAAAGGGGAGAAAGTTGGGAGTGCCTTAGGGAGGTTGCATTAGGAGGCTGGAATGAGAAGTGACTCTAATGTGCACAGGGAAAATGCTCTAAAATTGAGTAAAGTGATGGTTACACGACTCTGAATATAATAAATTGTACTGACTTTGCAATGGATTCTTTAGATTGATTAAATGGGTGAATCATATGGTATATGAATTTTTTTTTTTTTTTTGAGACGGAGTCTAGCTCTGTCGCCCAGGCTGGAGTGCAGTGGCGTGATCTCGGCTCACTGCAAGCTCCGCCTCCTGGGTTCACGCCATTCTCCTGCCTCAGCCTCCCAAGTAGCTGGGATTACAGGCACCCGCCACCACGCCTGGCTAATTTTTGTATTTTTAGTAGAGATGGGGTTTCACCATGTAAGCCAGGATGGTGTTGATCTCCTGACCTCATGATCCGCCCGCCTCGGCCTCCCAAAGTGCTGGGATTACAGGCGTGAGCCACTGCGCCCGGCCAGTATATGAATTATATCTCAATTTAAAAAGGCAGAATCTAACACCTTAATGAATCTTCTTCCAGTCTTTTTCTATGTATTTTTTACAAAAACAAATTCTACTATATATTCTCCATTTTATCATTTGTTTTCACGTAATATACAGGAGAATTTTTTGAACATTCACAGAGATAATTTTTATGGCTAGGGTAATCTATTATATAGATGTACTAATGTCTAACAGTTGAATACTTATTTCCAGTATCTCACTACTATAAACATCTTAGTAGCTAGATCTTGCCACAATATTTAATTATTTCCTGAGGATAATCTTACTAGTGAAATTGGTTATTCCACTGGGGCAAAGGTTATAAACATTTTTATCCCTTTTGATACCTAATGACAAATCACTTTTTATAAAGTACTACAAGTATATATCAGCAATGTAGTCTTCCCCAAGATGGAGTCTTGCTCTTGTCACCCAGGCTGCAGCACAACAGCACGATCTCGGCTCACTGCAATCTCTGTCTCCCAGGTTCAAGCAATTCTCCCGCCTCAGCCTCCTGAGTAGTTGGGATTACAGGCACTCACCACCGTGTGCGGCTAATTTTTGTTATTTTTAGTAGAGATGGGGTTTTGCCATGTTGGCTAGGCTGGTCTCGAACTCCTGACCTCATGATCCGCCCACCTCGGCCTCTCAAAGTGCTGGGATTACAGGCATGAGCCACTGCGCCCGGCCAGCAATGTAGTCTTATGCATATAATTACCTGTCCCCCCGCCCATAATATTGAGAATTATGTTTTATCTTTTGAAATCCGATAGAAACTGCTCCTGGCCAGGCACAGTGGCTCACGCCTATAACCCAGAACTTTGGGAGGCGAAGGTGAACAGATCACCTGAGGTCAGGAGTTCAAGACTAGCCTGGCCAACATAACAAAACCCCACTTCTACTAAAAATACAAAAATTAGCCAGGTGTGGTGGCATTCACCTGTAATCCCAGCTACTCAGGAGCCTGAGGCAGGAGAATCCCTTGAACCCAAGAGGTGGAGGTTGCAGTGAGCCGAGATCGCGCCACTGCACTCCAGCCTGGGTGACAAGAGCGAAACTCCCGACACTCCGTTTAAAAAAAAAAAAGAAAGAAAACTGCTTCTAATTTGCACTTTACTTACACAGTTGACCCTTGAACAACATGGGTTTGAACTTCAGGGGTCCACTTCTGTGCGGACTTTCTTCTGCCTCTGCCAACCAAGACAGCAAGACCAACCCCCTCCCTCCTCCTCCTTCTCAATGTGATGATGAGGATGAAGATCCAGATGATCCACTTCCACTCAACAAACAGTAAATATAGTTTCTCTTCCTTACAATTTTCTTTTTTTTTTTTTTTGAGACAGAGTTTAGCTCTTTTGCCCAGGCTGGAGTGAAGTGGCATGGCTCACTGCAACCTCTGCCCCGCCACCACCCCCACCCCAGGGTTCAAGCAATTCTCCTGCCTCAGCCTCCCGAGGAGCTGGGATTATAGGCGCCAGCCACCACGCCTGGCTAATTTTTGTATTTTTAGTAGAGACGGAGTTTCGCCATGCTGGCCAGGCTGGTCTCGAACTCCTGACCTTAGGTGATCTGCCAGCCTCAGCCTCCCAAAGTGCTGAAATTACAGGAATGAGCCACCAGGCCCAGTCTCCTTACGATTTTCTTAATATTTTCTTTTCTCTAGCTGACTTTATTATAAGTCTACAGTATATAATACGTATAGAAAATATGTGTGGCTTATGCCTGTAATCCCAGCACTTTGGGAGGCCGGGTGGGTGGATCACTTGAGGTCAGGAGTTCAAAACCAGTCTGGCCAACATGGTGAAACTCCATCTCTACTAAAAATACAAAAAAAAAAAAAAAAAAAAAAAAAAAAAAGGCCGGTCACGGTGGCTCACACCTGTAATCCCAGCACTTTGGGAGGCCAAGGTAGGCAGATCACGAGATCAGGAGATCGAGACCATCCTGGTTAACACAGTGAAACCCCATCTCTAGCAAAAATACAAAAAAACATTAGCCAGGCATGGTGTTACATACCTGCAGTCCCTGCTACTCAGGAGGCTGAGGCAGGAGAATCGCTTAAACCTGCGGGGCGGAGGTTGCAGTGAGCTGAGATCGCGCCACTGCACTCCAGCCTGGGTGACAGAGCCAGACTCCATCTCAAAAAAAGAAAAATACAAAAAATTTAGCTAGGTGTGGTGTCAGGCACCTGTAATCCCAGCTACTCAGGGGATTGAGGCAGGAGAATCACTTGAACCCAGGAGGCGGAGATTGTAGTGAGCTGAGATAGAACCACTGCACTCCAGCCTGGGTGACAGAGTGCCAGTCCATCTCAAAAAAAAAAAGAAAAAGAAATATATTTTATTGTATTTTATTTTTTTGGGACAAGTTCTTGCTCTGTCACCCAGGCTGGAATGCAGTGGTGTGATCATAATTCTCTGCAGCCTCAATCTCCCAGGCTCAACTGATGCTCCTGCCTCAGCCCTCCAAGTATTAATAGCTGGGACGTGCCACCATTCCCAGCTAATTTTTATTTTATTTTTTTATTTTTAGTAGAGATAAGGTCTCACTATGTTGCTTAGGCTGGTCTCGAACTCCTGAGCTCAAGTTATCCTCCCAACTTTGGCCTCCCAAAGTGCTGGTATTACAGGTGTGAGCCACTGTGCCTGACTCAAAATTTGTGTTAATCAACTGTTTATGTTATCAGTAAGGCTTCCGGTGAACAGTGACCTTAGTTAAGTATTGAGGGAGTCAAAAGTTATATGTGTATTTTCAACTGTGTGTGGGGGGTAGGGGTGTGTGGAATGGAGTGTCCATGCCCCACGCTGTTCAAGGGTCAATTATACTTAAGTTGTAACAATTTTTTCCATATTTGTAAAATGCCTCTTTTCTACTGGAGTGTTTATACTTTTCTTATTGGTTCATAACAGCTCTTTATCACATATTGCAAATATTTTCCCCAGATTTTCCTTGCCGTTTCAAGTTTGTTAGGTTGTGTTGACTGAAGTTTTACATTTATTTTCTTCAATCACTTTTTTTTTTTTTTTTTTTTTGAGACCTGGTCTCGCTCTGTGCCCATGCTGGAGTGCAGTGGCGCCATCACTGTTTACTGCAGCCTTGACCTCCAGGGCCCAAGCAATCCTTCCACCTCAGCCTCCCAAGTAGCTGGGGCTGCAAGTGCATGCCCCAAAACCCAGCTAATTTTTGTACCTTTTGTAGAGAGAGAGGTGCATCATGTTGCCCAGACTACTCTCAAACTCCTGGGCTCAAGCAATCCCCCCATCACCTTGGCTTCCCAAAGTGCTGGTATTACAGGCATGAACCACTGTGCCCAGCCTCAATTACTTTTATAGTTTCATTTTTATATTTAACCTTTAATCTACTAAAAGTTTTAATATAAAGTGAAGTATGGATCTATATTATTTTTCTATGCAGTCAGCTATCTAACCTTGCTTAAGACCCACTTTTATTGTATCCTATATTCCTCTATGAGCATGGGCTTGATTCTAGACTTTGTTTTATTGGTCTTGCTATTCTGATGTTTGCAAATGAATCTGCAATAGGTTTTAGTGTTTACTAGGATAAGTCTCTTGCCTTCTTTGAGAACATTTTTTGTTTTTTTTTTGAGACACAGTCTCGCTCTGTCACCCAGGCTGGAGTACAGTGGTGCAATCTTGGCTCACTGCAACCTCCGCCTCTTGGGTTCAAGCAATTCTCTGCCTCAGCCTCCCAAATAGCTGAGATTACAGGCACCCACCACCATGCCTGGCTAATTTTTTTGTATTTTTAGTAGAGACAGGGTTTCACCATCCTGGCCAGGTTGGTCTTGAACTCCTGACCTCGTGATCCACCTGCCTTGACCTCCCAAAGTACTGGGATTACAGGCATGAGCCACCGTGCCCGGCCTGAGAACATTTTCTTGGCTGTTTTCAGACATTCATCCTAGTAGAAGAACTTTAGCATTGTTTCCTCAAGATCAAAAAATCAATGTTTAAAAACTTTACGAACATATTTTAGAAGCACACTAAACGTATAAATTCAGTCTGGGAAGTAAGTGATTTTAGATAGTATGTAGGAACCTTCTCTGTACAACATTCATCACAGCCCCAACCACAGGAATGTCATGATTAATTAATAAATGAAGCACTGGCCACACACAGGCCACATGAAGCCTTGCCATTCATTCTCCCTCTCTCCCTATGCCTCTGGCTCCCTTGCCACCTCACGACTTCCTGTTGTGCCCCAATTGCCCAGGAACTGGCCCCTGAGTCTACTTTCCCTGCAGCACCCTACGTGCCATACCTTCTCCCTCTTCAAACCTGACAGCCCAATATCCTATGATAAATCAATCCTATCAAGTAACTGACAAGCTCCGTAATGCAAAGCATGTGGCCCAAAATGTGTCAGTGCCTCCTTTTACAGACAGAGTTGAGGCAAAGTCTGTCCAACTGTCTAGGTGAGATGTCCTGAATCTGGTTAACATTAACAGACAGCCAGAGGGGGATCTATGATGGAGCAGCTTCACCATGGCTGGGGACACCATCCCATAAGCCAGGTCATCTACCTCCCTTTAACGACTCCGATCTCACCAAGTAAGCCAATGTGGCTTTCTAGCCTGCTGACAACAAGAAGGAAATATCCATGAAAGGGCTCACTAAGAAATGTCAAGTGCCATCAAAAATGGTTAAATTGCCATTTCTATGAGTTTAGCTTGAGTCCTTTTCCCCTCTGGCCTCTGTGATCAATAATGGGTATTCTTTTTTTTTTTTTTTTCTGAGATGGAGTCTCACTCTGTCGCCCAGGCTGGAGTGCAGTGGCGCAATCTCGGCTCACTGCAACCTCCGCCTCCTAGGCTCAAGCAATTCTCCAGCCTCAGCCTCCTGAGTAGCTGGGATTACAGGCATCCGCCACCATGCCTGGCTAATTTTTGTATTTTCAGTAGAGATGGGTTTCACCATGTTGGCCAGGCTGGTCTTGAATGCCGGACCTCAAGTGATCCTCCCACCTCAGCCTCCCAAAGTGATGGCATTATAGGCATGAGCCACTGCACCCGGCCTAATAATGGGTATTCTGACAGACAAGTTTCTAGGCCTGCAAAGATGAAAGCCAAACTTTTGACAGTGATTGACCTCCTACCTTGCTAAGGGAGTCAGAGTATAATCCTTTTAATTATCACGTGTGGCTCAATTTATAATTATAAATGCATTCCCGAGCCAGGTGTGGTGGCTCACGCCTATAATCCCAGCACTCTGGGAGGCCGAGGCGGGTGGATCACTTGAGGTCAGGAGTTTGAGAACAGCCTGGCCAAAATGGAGAAACCCTGTCTCTACTAAAAAATGCAAAAATTAGCTGGGCGTGGTGGCACGTGCCTGTAGTCCCAGTTACTCAGTAGGCTGAGGCAGGAGAATCACTTGAATCCGGGAGGCAGAGGTTGCAGTGAGCCAAGATGGTGCCAGTGCACTCCAGCCTGGGCAACAGAGCATGACTCTGTTTCAAAAAAAAAAAAAAAAAATCTGGGTGCAGTGGCTCATGCCTGTAATCCCAGCAGTTTGGGAGGCCAAGGCGGGTGGATCACCTGAGGTCGGGAGTTTGAGACCAGCCTAACCAACGTGGAGAAATCCCATCTCTACTAAAAATACAAAAATTAGCCAGGTGTGGTGGCACATGCCAGTAATCCCAGCTACTTGGGAGGCTGAGGCAGGAGAATCGCTTGAACCCAGGAGGTGGAGGTTGTGGTGAGCTGAGATCGCACCATTGCATTCCAGCCTGGGCCACAAGAGCAAAACTCCATCTCAAAAAAAAAAAAAAAAAAAAAAAAAAAATATATATATATATATATATATGTATACACACACACACACACACGTACATATATACATATACACATATATATACATATATATACATATACACATATATATACACATATATATATGTAAAAAACTATGAATATATTCCTGAAACAATATACTACGTATAGAAGGCTCAGACTCCCATGCTCATAGACCTTTTCTAAAAAAACAAGCTACAGGCATTTCTGGCCAAGAGTTAACAAGCTTTGTGTCATCTGAGCCAGGCCATGGCTGATTAGATCAAGAATCTGCACTCCAGCCCAAGGCAACCTAGAAACTAATCATAAGTACTCAAGGGCCATAAGGGCCACATGTCATTAACGCCCTGTGGCCTACAATAGGCTTAATGAATATACATGGTCTCAAAAGGCTGCTCTCTTCTTGAGAATAACTGCCCCAGTCAGATTCCCTCTCCTGAGAAGACAAAGAAGCTGAGAGAGCCATAGGCAGAAGCAAAAGGGACTCACTGGAAGTTTCTGAAGGAAATTAAGAGAATCTGGCTCAAATCCCAATTCAGCCACCTACTAACTGGTTGATCTTGGGTAAATTATTTAATTTTTTTTTTTTTTTGAGACAGTCTCACAGCTGCCCAGGCTGGAGTGCAGTGGCGTGATATCAGCTCAGTGCAACCTCCACCTCCTGGGTTCAAGCAATTCTCTTGCCTCAGTCTCCCAAATAGCTGGGACCACAGGCGCCCGCCACCACACCCGACTAATTTTGTATTTTTAGTAGAGATGGGGTTTCGCCATGTTGGCCTGGCTGGTCTCAAACTCCTGACCTCAAGTGATCCACTCACCATGACCTCCCAAAGTGCTGGCATTACAGGTGTGAGCCACCATGCCTGGCCCTTAAATTATTTAATTTCTCTAAGCCTCAGTTTTCTGTTCTGTTAAACTGAGACAATGATAGGTGTGTATTATATAATACTCGTAGAATTGTGAGAATTACATAGAGTAAAAAACAAAGAATTCAGCAGAGTCTTTGGCCAGGAAGACTTCTCAATGCATGAACATGATTATTCTTACTACCTTCTGGGTCACTGGAGCTACTGCTTTGCTCCAAGAAGTAGCAAGCAATCTGCTCTTTTTTTTTTTTTTTTGAGATGGAGTCTCCCTCTGCCACCCAGGCTGAAGTGCAGTGGGGCAATCTCGGCTCACTACAACCTCCACCTCCCAGGTTCAAGCAATTCTCCTGCCTCAGCCTCCTGAGTAGCTGGGACTACAGGTGCATGCCACCACGCCCGGCAAATTTTTTATATTTTTAGTAGAGAAGAGGTTTCGCCATGTTGGCCAGGCTGGTCTTGAACTCCCGACCTCAGGTGATCCGCCTGCCTTGGACTCCCAAAGTGCTGAGATTACAGGCGCGAGTCACTGCGCGCAGCCACAATCTGCTCTTAATTACCCTGCAAAAATCCCAGGAAGACTCTCAACTTCAGGGAGAACCTGAGTGCTATGCAGCCTCTTTCCACTTCCCTCACACACCTGGGCAGGTGGGCAGTCATACCATCATCCATCCCTCACAACCCCCATGTTAGAGAGATGTTGATAAGGAAGATCAATATATTTCAGAGCAGCATACCTGGAAAAATGCAAACCCTGGGGTGTCATCAATCCAAAGTTACCAGGGAATAGGGGAAAGGCAAATGCCGAGTTGTTCCTGAACAGTTCTTGCATTTCAGATACAGAAAATACTTACTAAAAGCATCTACTGCCTTTGTCAGATTGTTCTGGGCAGACCTGAGAAAATAAAATGTAAAAAATAAGTTTTTTCTTTTTGAAAATAAAAGAACAAACATACGATCACATTTTCATTTACGTTCGTAAAAACCCTGTCCTATACCAGGTCTGAGATGCATTCCCAGTGACTCGAATGCTCCTTGCCTCAGGGTGTCCCTCATGGCCACACCCTCGCTTCAGGTTTTTAAAGTCCCACCTGGGCACCTCTCTATCAACTATTGGAAGACTATTCTTTCAGATTACACTTATTGTACATGTTTATGCACGTCTTTCTCAGAAATGATACTTCAGGCAGTACAGAAATACCTTCTATCCTGTTACTTTCACTTTCTTTCTTTCTTTCTTTTTTTTTTTTTTTTGAGACAGGGTCGCACTCCACCTCCCAGGCTGGAGTGCTGTGATGCAATCTCAGCTCACTGCAACCCCCACCTCGCAGGCTCAGGTGATCCTCCCACCAGCCATCCTCCCACCTCAGCCTCTTGAGTAGCTGGGATTACAGGTGGGTCCCACCACACCCAGATAATTTTTTGTAGTTTTGGTAGAGACGGGGTCTCACCATGTTGCCAGACTGGTCTTGAACTTCTGAGCTCAAGTGATCCACCTGCCTCAGCATCCTGAAGTGCTGGGATTCCAGGCATGAGCCACCACACCCGGCCTATCCTGTTACCTTCAAACTGAAAATAATCTGTGAGTACTCAATTTTCTACCGCCCTTACTATGAAAAATAAGTTCTTTGGCATTAAAACCCGTCAGAGACTTTTGTTATTTTCTGCATCCTGAGGTGGTTACTTTGGATGTGGTATCATGAAGGCTTTCTTGAAGTTAGCTTTCATTCATCTCCTTGCTGCTATGACTGTTTGGGTATCGAGAACCAAGAGACTTTGACAGGTACTGTACTCTCGATTGGCTTCACATCAAAATTCAAGCACTGACAGGTGACGACTGCTATGTGCTTTCTGATGAAGTGTTTTTGGGAACTGTAACCAACATGTGACAAGATTTTTTTTTTTTATGGAACAAGATTTTTTTTTTTAAATATGGAACACTTCACAAATTTGCATGTCATCCTTGCGCAGGGGCCATGCTAATCTCTGTATTGTTCCAATTTTAGTATTTGTGCTGCCGAAGTGAGCACAAGATTTTTATATGTTATATGTTTCTATACCAACAGTGTCATCAAATCTCAGGTTTTAAAAGGGAAGGTTATTTTAAAATCTGTACTAATATTTACCTCAGGAAGATTACCAAGGCAAGGATTCATGCCTATCTCCTGCCCTGCTGAGAGAGGTGGGTCTTCGTCGCAACCTGCAATTTTATTTATCCATACAAGGCAGGTCAAATCACAGACTTGGGCAGGGTGTGGTGGCTCACGCCTGGAACCCCAGCACTTTGGGAGGCCAAGGCAGGCTGATCACTTGAGGGTGGATTACTTGAGGTCAGGAGTTTCAGATCAGCCTGGCCAACATGGCGAAACCCTATCTCTACTAAAAATACAAAAAAATTTAGCAGGGTGTGGTGGTGCACCCCTGTAATCCCAGCTACTCAGGAGGCTGACATGAGAATCGCTTGAACCCAGAAACTGAGATCACGCCACTTCACTCCAGCCTGGGCAACAGAGCAAGACTCCATCTCAAAAAAAAAAAAAAAAATCCCTGACTTTTCCAGTTTACCAAGACTACTGCCGAAACACTACTGAGTGCTTGAAATCATGCTCCAAAGCTTAAAACGTATTTTTCTTATTCATCCACCAAGATTGATGAAGTCAAGGAAGTGCCTAACATTAGATCATTGTACATCCTATGCCTCATTTTCTCTTCAATGGGAAACGGAAGTGGGTTATATAAGGTGATACACAGAGCAACTGCAGCTGTCTGAGGACTGAGCAACAACACGCCTGAGCTATAATACTGAGGATGGCAGAGTTCTTATTGATACCATTTGCTTTCATTAATCTGCAATTTTCACAAAGCAGACATTTCCTTCTATGATTCCTTTGGAGAAATAAGTTTTTAATTATACTAGAATCATATTCAATAACACTCTTCAGAATCATGAATGCCCTCCTTGTGACATGGCTGGGACGCACAATGATCTACTGATTGAAACAAGGGCTTTGGAGTCAGAGGCCTGGCTTTGCTGCTAATTAGTTGTGTGATTTTAGACAAGTGACTTCATTTCTCCAAGTATTATTTCCTCATTCATCAAATAGGGATGCTACGACTTACCCATGGGAATTAAATAAGATAATGCAAGTTAAGCATAATTGTTAATAAGATTATAAGAAAGTTTTTAAAAAATATTTTTTCCTTAATTTTTAAAGATTTTTCTTTTTCCTTTTTTTTTTTTTTGAGACCGAGTCTTGCTCTGTCATCAGGCTGGAATGCACTGGCACAATCATGGCTCAGTGTAGCCTTGACCTCCTGGGCTCAAGTGATCCTCCTGCCTCAGCCTCCTGAGTAACTGGGACTACAGGCATGCACCACCATGCCTGTAGAGACAGGCATGATTTTTAAATTTTTGCAGAGACAGTATTCCACAAGGTTGCCAGGCTGGTCTGGAACTCTGGGCTCAGTGATCCTCTGACTTCAGCCTCCCAAAGTGTTGGGATTACAGGTGTGAACCACCACACCCATCCTAGAAAGATTTTTTTTTTTCTTAAGACAATGTCTCGCTCTGTCACCCAGACTGGAGTGCAGTGGCACGATCTCAGCTCACTGCAATCTCCACCTCCCAGGTTCACGCCATTCTCCTGCCTCAGCCTCCCAAGTAGCTGGGACTACAGGCGCCTGCCACTACGCCTGGCTAATTTTTTTGTATTTTTAGTAGAGATGGGTTTCACCGTGTTAGCCAGGATAGTCTCGATCTCCTGACCTCGTGACCCGCCCGCCTCGGCCTCCCAAAGTGCTGGGATTACAGGTGTGAGCCACTGCACCCAGCCAAAAGATTTTTAAAAGATTACATTTCTATCCTGTAATCCCAGCACTCTGGGAGGCCAAGGCGGGTGGATCACTTGAGGTAAGGAGTTTGAGACCAGCCTGGCCAACATGGTGAAACCCCACCTCTACTAAAAATACAAAAATTAGCCAGGTGTGGCAGGTGCCTGTAATCCCAGCTACTTGGGAGGCCGAGGCAGCAGAATCACTTGAACATGGAAGGCGGAGGTTTCAGTGAGCCTAGACCGTGTCACTGCACTCCAGCCTGGGTGAGAGAGCGAGACTCCGTATCAAAAAAAAAAAAAAGATTACATTTCCTATCCTAATAGCCAAGTCTACTCCTATATCTCTAAATGGCATTTTTACCAAAAAAAAGTAATGTAAAGAAGATCTTGTTAACTTAAGAAATAAAAGGAATCTAATGGTGATCCAATTAAGTTAAAAAATTTCTAAAGCTCGGCCAGGCGCGGTGGCTCACGCCTGTAATCCCAGCACTTTGGGAGGCTGAGGTGGGCGGATCACGAGGTCAGGAGATCGAGACCATCCTGGCTAACACAGTGAAACTCAGTCTCTACTAAAAATACAAAAAATTAGCCGGGCGTGTGGCAGGAGCCTGTAGTCCCAGCTACTCAGGAGGCTGAGACAGGAGAATGGCGTGCACCCGGGAGGCGGAGCCGAGTTTGCGCCACTGCACTCCAGCCTGGGCGACAGAGTGAGACTCTGTCTCAAAAAAAAAAAAAAAAAAAAAATTACTAACACACAAAAAAATAGTGTGCTCTAACCAGCAAGAAAACTTTTTTCCTCATCATAAAACTCATGCCTTGCCCGGAAGCAAATACTATTTAGATGCCATCATTTGGTAGTACCCTCATTTTATACTTGGATAGGATCCCATGTAGGATTCCAATATTTTACCCTTCAGGCCCCAATTAACTGATTTATACTCTACAGACGACTAAAATACAATAATTCAGCTGCAAATCACTTCCAATTTAATTCAGTGAGTTATTTACCATTTAAGTTAGACCACTGTCAGTCCTCTCTCGAACCCTCCAATGGCTTACCATCCCACTCCAGGTAAAAGCCACACCTGGCTCACCTCTTTCAGGCCCTGACTTAAATGTTACTTTCTCAGCCTTCCCAACTCTGTAACTGCAACAGCTCCCCTTCCACCTCCCACCCTCATATTTCTCTATTGCTTCTCTGCTTTTTTTTTTTTTTTTTGAGAAGGAGTCTCACTCTATCGCCCAGGCTGGAGTGCTGCGGTGCAATCTTGGCTCACTGCCACCTCCAACTCCCTGGTTCAAGCGATTCTCCTACCTCAGCCTCCTGAGTAGCTGGGATTACAGGCACACACCACCACACCAGGCTAATTTTTGTATTTTTAGTAGAGACGGAGTTTCACCATGTTGGCCAGGATGGTCTCGATCTCCTGACCTCGTGATCCGCCCACCTCGGCCTCCCAAAGTGCTGGAATTACAGGTTTAAGTCACCGTGCCCAGCCTGCTTTATTTTTTTATTTCAAGAACCATATGGAGATAGGCTACAGCATACATTGTTCCTTCTTCTTCTTTTTTTTTTTGAGACAGGCTCTCTCCCTGTCACCCAGGCTGGAGTGTGGTGGTGTGATTATCTTGGCTCACTGCAACCTCCGCGTCCTGGGCGTAAGCGATTCTCCCACCTCAGTCTCTCAAGTAGCTGGGAGCACAGACATGCGCCACCATGCCTGATTAATTTTTGTATTTTTTTTTTGGTAGAGATGGTGTTTCGCCATGTTGCTCAGGCTAATCTCAAATTCCTGGGTTCAAGCAATCCGCCTGTCTCGGCCTCCCAAAGTGCTATGATTTTTATTACCTGGAAAAGGAACCACAGGCCAAGCATGGGCCATCACATTCATCCTGTGGCTCCTTTTTGGGGTAATAAAAGTATTCATAAAATATTCTAAAATTGGTTTCAATGATGGACGCACAACTCTGTGAATATACTCAAAAGCACTGAAGTGTATACTTTAGATGGGTGAATTATATAGTATATGAGTTATATCTCAATAAAGCTATTTTTAAAACCTGCCTGTTTCTTTTCTCTCTGTCACCAACTAGAAAGTAAGCTCCATGAATGCACAAACTTCTGTTTTATTTAGCACAATGCTTGGAATATCAGAGAACCTCAAATATAGGGGAAGGAAGAAAAGAAGGGAGAGAGGAAGGGAGGGTGGGAGAGAGGGAAGGGAAAGAAAGGATGAATGCAGGAAGGTAAGAAGTGAAAGGATAGAGGGAGGAAAGAAGAGAGGAAGGAAAGAATACAGGGAGGAGGGGAGAAGGAGGATAGAAGTAACTGCCAATGAAGAAACACCCAGAGATCACCCAGCTAATAAGTCCTCAGAGATGCAAATTACGCACTTGAGATAGAGGACAGATTTTTTTTTTTTAAGACAGGGTCTTGCTCTGTTGCCCATGCTGGAGTGCAGCGGCGTGACCACAGCTCACTGCAACCTTGAATCCCTTTGCTGAAGCTTCCCCCTACCTCGGCCTCTCAAGTAGCTGGGACTACAGGCGTGCACCACCACACCTGGCTCATTTTTTTTTTTTTTAAGTAGAGACTAGGTCTTGCTATGTTGCCCAGGCTGATTTCAAACAGGGCTCAAGCGATCTTCTTGCCTCAGCCTCCCAAGGTGCTGGGATTACAGGCAGGAGCCACTGTGCCCAGCCAGAAGACAGACAGAGCTGTCTCTTTGGACCTCTTCAAATCTTTTTCTGTGAGGCCTTTAGGTGGGAACCTTTAAAACAGAATTCTACTTATACCCTCAACAGCTTCTAATCACACTAAGAAGAAAACACAAACCTCCTATCTTGGCTTACATAATCTGACCCTGTCTACTGCTTCCACTTCTTCCTTCTTGGAGACCAGAGCCCACCACGCCCTTCCCACTGCCTGGCTTTGGCAAAGGCCACCCGCTGACCTTCATGTCTCACCAGCCACGTCTCAGGGAGCCACCCCACTCTCCCCCCTCCCCCCCACTCTCCCCCTCTTTCACAGTCTTCCTAACACTCACTTTGCTATTTTCTTACACGTGCATTGTCTACCACCCCCTCTAAAATTAAGTCCCGTAAGAACAAGGACTTATCTGTCTTGTTCACGCCTATATCCCTCAGGCATAGAAGAGGGCTGCCACAAGTCTGTGCTATTTGTAGAACAAAGACACAGAAGCTCCAAATTTAGGAGACGATTCAGGAAGAGAGAATGCTACAAAGGCTGAGCAGTATTTCTAGAAGAACGCCAGCTCACAGTTACAGAACCCCTCATCCACCTCCCCAACTTGGCAGTTCCTTAAAAACAGGGATGGGCGGCATTTGTCCTCTAGGACCAACACCAAACATGTGCTGGCTGAATGGGGGGGTCAGTTTTCATTGAATTTGTGGTATTCACTTTCACAGACTCCTTCTCCAGTAACTACTGGTTTGTGCTTTAAAACAAAATGTTTTGCCAGGCGCGGTGGCTCACGCCTGTAATCCCAGCACTTTGGGAGGCCAAGGCGGGTGGATCACGAGGTCAGGAGTTCGAGACCAGCCTGCCCAACATAGTGAAGCCCCGTCTCTACTAAAAATACAAAAATTAGCTGGGTATGGTGGCATGTGCCTGTAGTCCCAGCTACTCGGGAGGCTGAGGCGGAAGAATCACTTGAACCTGGGAAGCAGAGGTTGCAGTGAGCCAAGACTACGCCATTGCACTCCAGCCTGGGTGAAAAAGTGAGACTCCATCTCAAAAAAAAAAAAAGTTTCACCATGTTGCCCCGTCTGGTCTCAAACTCCTAAGCCCAAACAATCCACCTGCCTCAGCCTCCCAAAGTGCTGGGATTACAGGCGTGAGCCACTGTACCCAGCCCCAGGCACAGATGTTCTTAATGTGACCTACCTAGAATGATGACTCCTTCTCAAAAGGTTTACAATTTACTTTGCTTAGATCTGAAGAATCATTATCTATGGCAGCTATATCCTCATGAAATGTATTTCTTAAATAATAAGACTTGAAAGTTGAAATTAGCCAGGCATGGTGGTGCACGCCTGTAATGCCAGTTACTGAGGAGGCTGAGGCAGGAGGAATCTCTTGAACCCGGGAGGCAGAGGTTGCAGTGAGCCGAGATCCCGCCACTGCACTCCAGCCTGGGTGACAGAGCAAGACTTTGTCTCAAAAAAAAAAAAATGGAAATTACTCCTTGATCCAGGGGCTGCAGAACACATGTTGTTAGAAGGCATGAAAACAACATTCATCTCCTTGTACACCTCCAACAAAGCACTTGGCTGATCAGGTACATTGTCAATAAGCAGTAATATTTTGAGAGGAACCTTTTCTTCTGAGCAGTAGGTCTCAACAGTGGGCTTAAAATAGTCAATAAGCCATGCCGTAAACAAATGTGCTACCATCCAGGCTTTGTCACTGCATTTCTAGAGCCCAGGCAGAGTAGATTAAGCATGATTCTTAAGGGTCATAGGGTTTCTGGAATGGTAAATGAGCACTGGCTTCAACTTCAAGTCATTAGCTGCATTATCCCCTAACAAGAGTCGGCCTGTTCTTTGAAGGTTTAAAGCCCGGCATTAACTTCTCTCTAGCTATAAAATTCCTAGATGGCATCTTTTAATGTAAGACTGTTTGGTCTACATTGAAAACCTGTTGTTTAGTGCAGCTACGTTTGTCAATTATAATGGCCAGATCTTCTGGATAACTTGCTGCAGCTTCTCCAGCAGCACTTGCTGTTTCACCTTGCACTTTTATGTCATGGAGATGGTTTCTTTCCTTGATCCTCACGAACCAACCTCTGCTAGCTTCAAATTTTTCTTCTAAAGATTCCTCACGTCTCTCAGCCTTCACAGAATTGAAGAGAGGGACTTGCTCTGGATTAGGCTTCAGAGAATGTTGTGGCTGGGTTGATCTTCTATCCAGACCACTAAAACTTTCTCCGTATCAGCAATAAGGCTGTTTCACTTTCTTATCATTCGTGTGTTCCCTGGAGTAGCTCTTTTGAGTCCCTTCAAAAACTTTTCCTTTGCATTCACAACTTGGCTGTTTGGCACAAGAGGCATAGCTTTCAGCCTGTCTCAGCTTTCTACATGTCTTCCTTGCTAAGCTTAGTCATTTCTTGATTAGTCATTAGCCGGGTGTGGTGGTGCATGCCTGTAATCCCAGCTACTTGGGAGGCTGAGGCAGAGGCTGCAGTGAGCCGAGATCATGCCACTGCACTCCAGCTTGGGTGACAGAGCGAGACTCCGTCTCAAAAAATAAATAAATAAATAAATAAATAAATAAGTAAATAATAAAGTGAGAGACATGCATGTCTTCCTTTCACTTTAACACATAGAGGCTATTGTAGGGTCATTAACTGGCCTAATTTCAATATTGCTGTGTCTCAGGAGAAGAGGGAGGGAGATGGGGGATGGCCTGCAGTGGAACAGTCAGAACACACACAACATTTATCAATTAAGTTCACCACCTTATATGGATCTGGTTTGTGGTGCCCCAAAACAATTGCAATAGTAACATCAAAGATTACCGATCACATCTTATAACAGATGTCATAAGAATGAAATGTTTGAAGTATTGTGAGAATTACCAAAATGTGACAGAGAGACACAAAGTGACCACACGCTGTTGGAAAAGTGGTATGGAGAGAAAGACTTACTCGATGCAGGGTTGCCACAAGCCTTCAATTTGTAAAAAACCCAGTGTCTGTGAAGCACAATAAAGAGCAAGAAAGCAGGGCATGGCAGCATATCCAGACCAAAGCGCTGCCTTGCTTCTGCTTTACACAAACTTACTGCAAATCTGGAGCATCTAATGCTCCTATGACTGGACAATTTTAGGCCCTTTCTGGATTACAAAGTCAGCATGGGATGCTCAATGCGAAAGTTTTAACAATATATAAAATGCTATAAGGCAATCTTCACAATGTATCACAAACAAAGCAAAACAAGGGTGGCAGAGATTAATTTCTCATCTCTCCTTCCTCAAATCTAAATGATACTGCAGATCACTAGCCTGTCATGCTTAAATAGTGTCACCTGAAACTGAAATGTGCTTAGGTAATTTACAATTTTTACAAAACACAGGGTTGTATACTCATTCCCCTATTTGGACCACTCTGGGGAAAACCGCCTATGTAAGTTAGTGCAAGAGCCGGACACCATAAGCAAGAGCCTAGTGATAACCAAGGTTCATCTGTGACAACCATCACTGGCCCTGCCACTCACTCACACCACAAGAACAGGAAAGCTTTAGAGCTGGATCACAGAAACAGTAACCAAGGTCAACACTGCCTTCTATTTCCTTGCCCATGGAAACATATGGATTGAGTGAGAAAGCTGAGGCCTGGAGACATGAAAGGAATTGCTGCCACTGTCCAGGGTCACACACATCAGTGGCAAGGCCAGGAACAGACTCAACTTCCCTGTGCACCTTTTCACCACCTCCCTTCCTCTGGTGACCTTTTTTTTCTTCCTCCCTCGCAGCTCCTCCTTTATTTTCTTCCTTTTCTTGCCTGTGGTAACCTACAGAGAGTACTGGACATCAGTTAGGGCTAAACGGGTTGGTAATCTCTAGACTAGATCTACTCAAAATCTATTTTAAAATAAAATAGAATGTTTCCAACATCTTACTCGTTGACTTCCATGTCCTGGTCATCAGAAGACTCATCTTCTCCTAGGACATTTTCAGAATCTGGTTTCCGAATGAGAAAGAATAGAACTGTCCCCACAAGGCTAATCACCGTTAGGGCAATAAACACTGTTCTTCGGTCACTCTCTACGGAGAAAAAAGAAGAAACAAGATAGTATCGACCAAACAATTCCAGAATTAGTATCACGGTACAAGGGCTGCTTACAACTGTCAACACACTTCCTCGTTACATTTTTACTTTAATGCATCAGTAAAAACCTAGGAAAAGGAGACAAATAGGATACCTTCACCTTTGTCTTTCAGTTAGAGAAATATGAATAAGCCAAAGAAAAACAGCACAAGGGCTTAATCGCCTTCTTTTAATCAAAGAAGGGTCCAGAGAAAACAACTGAGCATTCAGAAGTCTTCTGAGAACCACATACTCGTGCGCAGTATTCTCGTAAGCTCGTGCACAGCATAACCTTCCCTTAGACCCTGAGAAGCCCCTTAAAGCATAGTCATAAACTATAATCCTAGTTTAGTAATAGAAACCAGGCTGGGAGGGATGGCTCAGGCCTGTAATACCACCAATTTGGGAGGCTGAGGAGGGCGGATCACCTGAGGTCAGGAGTTTGAGACCAGCCTGAACAACATGGAGAAACCCATCTCTACTAAAAATACAAAATTAGCTGGGCGTGGTGGTGCAGGCCTGTAATCCCAGCTACTTGGGAGGCTGAAGCAGGAGAACTGTTTGAACCCGGGAGGCGGAGGTTGCGGTGAGCCAAGATGGCACCATTGCATTCCAGCCTGGGTAACAAGAGTGAAACTCCATCTCAAAATAATAATAATAATATAAACCAAGGAAAAGTCTTACTAAAAGCTAAAATCTGCGAGAACTTGAGGTGTCGGGGTTCATGAGAACGATGCTTGAATAAAGCAATAATGGGTATTTCTATATAACTCCTATTATGCTTTGAACATATCTGAATAAAGCAACGCGAATAAAACAAACCTGATATCTGAGTTTTCCCTTGCCAGGCAAAATATATGTAGAGATTTCCAAAGAACAAGCTGGGGGAAGAAAAGGGAGGATAGGATGTTGGGTAATTATTTTAATATTTATAGTTTTTTAAAAATAATTATTCCCATTATTTGTTGTAAGAGAGGGAGAGAGAAGGACATCATTTTTAAAGTATCTACCTGTCCTGGGTCATTTAAAAGTATCAGCTTCATCTGGACTCTGATAAACTTAACTGCCCCAGATGGAATTCAGTCTCCTTCCATGTGACAGTAACCTGATTCAGAGGCACCCTTCAAAGAAGAATTGACTCACTTTGAAACATGTGATTTATTGCAACTCTGGAAATGACTCCCTGGAAATAAGCTTAAGCTAAATTTTAAAGAATCTGTTTCTAAAAATCCATGATTTAGTTATCTGCATCTAATCAAATACTTTCTTTAGCATACTTTCCTGAAAAATCATTCACTTACACACTAGTTTCTTAATATACAACTCTTTAAAATGTAACATTTGCATTTGTTAAGCCTTGTCAAGGCCAAAATTTTAGGCGCGATTCATGAGGGTGATTCCTCAGAAGAGATTCCAGAAATCCAACAGTCAAGAGCAGAATAGCTGTTTTGCTTTCTTCTTAAGAAAAATGTTAAGGCCAGGCACGGTGGTTCACGCCTGTAATCCCAACACTCTGGGAGCCCAAGGCGGGCGGATCACAAGGTCAGGAGTTCGAGACCAGCCTGGCCAACATAGTGAAACTCCGTCTCTACTAAAAATACAAAAAAAATTAGCCGGGCGTGGTGGTGGGCGCCTGTAATCCCAGCTACTCAGGAGGCTAAGGCAGGAGAATTGCTTGAATCCAGGAGGCAGAGCTTGCAGTAAGCCGAGATCGTGCCATTGCACTCCAGCCCAGGTGACAGTGTGAGACACCGTCTCATTTAAAAAAAAAAAAAAAGTTAGTATGCTATATTCAGTATTGGTATAAATAGTCCTGAGTAGCTAGTGAGCCACCATACTCAGCCATTATTACAAGTGATTCTATAAAATTGGAATCACGTCACATTTAGCTAGAACTTAAGTCACGTAACATGGAAGATCCAAATTGTCAACCAAAGACCTAAAAAATGGTATGACAGAAAAAAAAGAAAGAAAAGGAAAGACTGAACCTCAAAAGGATAATTACCTAGACTGCAGAAGTGCCCAGAAAATCCCACTGTTTCTCCCAATGCTGTGCTCATCCGAATTGATTGTCAGGCAGTTTCCTTGTGCTGTCCAAAGCACTAAAATTCAACCCAAAAGTTTATCAAGGGAAAGAAATTCACTTAGAGTCACATACTAAACACATAAATAATACCCTTAGATAGGCCCCAGAAAAGAAAGCAGAGAAGTTAAAAATCAAAATGCTTACCAGCAGCAGCAATTCCAATGAAAACAGAGGCTGTGTAGAAGGACCACGGGAAAGGCTGGATGAAAACGGCAATGTACATGCTAAAATATAACAGGTCAAGGTATTACAGTCAAACGATACCTGAAATAGAATGCCAATTATGCCTTCTAGGAATCAGTTCTGACATTCTCTTCTTTTAAAACTCAACCTGTAAAGGATCGCTCCAGTTTTGAAAAAAGGGACACAATCAACTTTCTCATTTCTTAATTAATTAATTTTTTTGAGACAGGGTCTCACTCCATTGCCTAGGCTGGAGTGCAGTGGTACCATCACAGCTCACTGCAACCTCCACCTCCTGGGCTCAAGCCATCCTCCCACCTCAGCCTCCTAAGTAGCTGGGACTACAGGCATGTGCCACCAAGCCCGGCTAATTTTTTTTTATTTTTGGTAGAGACAAGGGTTTCACCATGTTGCCCAGGCTGGTCTCGAACTCCTGGACCCAAGTGATCCTTGGCTCAAGCAATACCTCGGCCTCCCAAAGTGTTGGGATTTACAGGTGTGAGCCACTGTGCCTGGCCCATAATTTATTATTTCAGATTTGCAAAATCAGACATTTTACAGGTTTGCAGTGTTCTTTGCCAAAAGCTTAGCACATCATGGAACTATAGTTCTAGAGTTCAGAGAAAGATTTAGTTATTTCATTTGAATCCCCACATATTTTCAGTCAATTGACAGAAAATAAGATTATTTCATAGAATGTTCTTTTCAACCCTCATAGAGACTTTTGGATACTATTTTTATTAACAATAAAACAAAAGCAGATATAGATACATCCTATCACATTAGAATATGATATCCCTGAGCAACAAGTACTGAGCCAAAATTCGTAAAATACCACCTATATTCTATTCAGTCCAAGTCTATAAATTATTGTGAAGTTTACTATCTACTTGAAAGATCCTGACAAGTGTTCTGATTAAATAAGTGCAAGATTACACTACTTACCTGTAAAATAAACCACTGGCAAACATAGAGAGTTGAGGTCCTACAATGGCAACCACTGACGGTGTAATCAAATTTGAAGCAGAGAACACTCCATAGATAATAGCCATGCTGCACACATAATACACAAACGGAAAAAAAAAAAAAAAAGAACAAAGCCCTTATATGCTGTGTCACTGTTTAAAATCCATTTGTTTATAGATTTTACAATAAACACTCATATTATTTAGTCAGAATTTATGATAGTTATATCATTCAATTCAATACCATATAAAAGTTTTCATTTGTACAAAATATTGAAGCCCACCAACTGTGCCTTGGGATCAGTCTGCCTACAATACATTTTTTACATACTGGTAAGTCATAGTAACAGGAACTGTGCCAAGTACCTTATACAGATTTTCTCTTCTAATCCTAACAGCACTAGGAGAAAGATATTGTTATTATCCTCATGTGAAAGAAAAGAAAAAGGAAATACAGTGGGATTAAGTAATTTGCCAAAAGTCCAGCTGGGTGGCTGGTGAATGTCGAGCCAGGACTGCATGACTCCAGAGGCCCCAGTCCACCAATCTGCCCTACAAACTTAGCCTACAACTCTGGCAGCGTCATGACATTTCTCTGCTATAAATAACAAGCGCAGAGCTACAACTTGCTTAAGCCAGAATTTATTTAACTCAACCTAATGGTCTCACTTGAACATTATTACTCAGTTACTATTGACCCAGCCCTAGTACATATGTCTTGTACGAAGTGTGGTTAAAACCATTTCAAAGGCCCTGAATTCATTTACTAGATACTATTCATAAATCCAAAGTAAATTATTCTTTGGCTTTTATGAATCTCTCAAATATCAAATGTGTTTTTGCATTTGTTCTTTTTTTTTTTTTTTTTTTTGAGACGGAGCCTCGCTCTGTCGCCCAGGCTGGAGTCCAGTGGCACAATCTCTGCTCACTGCAAGCTCCCCTTCCCGGGTTCACGCCATTCTCTTGCCTCAGCCTCCCGAGTAGCTGGGATTACAGGCGCCCACCACCATGCCTGGCTAATTTTTTTTTTTTTTGTATTTTTAGTACAGACGGGGTTTCACCGTGTTAGCCACGATGGTCTAGATCTCCTGACCTCGTGATCCGCCCACCTCCGCCTCCCAAAGCGCTGGGATTACAGGCGTGAGCCCCCGCACCCGGCCGCATTTGTTCTTTAGAATACACATGAAGACAAAAAAGTAGAAAAAGCTGTGCTACTAATCACTTACAAAAATGAACAGTAACATCCCTTCATTCTCAAATATTACATACAAGGCTTAGGATAGGGAAAAAGAACCAAGTATGAGTTATGGGTTTGTGGGGGGCGGGGGAGTGCCACGATCCAATCTCTAACTCTAGAGAAATTAAGAAACTGTTTCTACAGCTCAATGTAGCCATTCCATGGCACATATTTCAAAACATGTTGTACACAATAAATAACAGGCAATTTTCATTTGTCAATTAACAAATCTAATTTTAAAAAAGAAAAACCTGTTTGTGTATATATACCTGTACATATTACATTCTCAGGTCCAATCACAAGGTTCTAGTGACTTGTGAAGGTCTTTTCATTTTACCCATCTGTAAAATTGGGACTAATCACCTTAACAAAAATCTAAAAGCTCCTGACATACGTATATTAATCGTCATGAATTACAAAAACAGAAGGACCAAATGTTTCAAGAATCACAACATCTTCTATAGGACTGGGAATTCTAATCATGACAATACTAGAGTGCTTATTCAATGCCATGCACTGTGCCAAGTGCTTTACATGCATTGTCTGAACTAGGAAATTAGGCTCACGGAAACACTTACCTAAGATAACAATGCAATAAATACCTTGTAGAGTCAGGATTTCAAACCTAGTGCCTAATTCCACAGGAAACCTAAACTCATCAGCTTTATTCTATTATGTTCTCTCAGTCTAGGCACTGAGAAGAGAAAATGCCATCACCACTTATTCAATCACAATATTCTATTGCTGGTGATTCTGATGAGATTTAAGCAACTACTGTCAAATATAAAGCAAAATCAATCATACGGTACAATACCTGGTATATCCACTGCCGTGAAAATCTGTCCTATTTAAGCTCCTGATGACAGTTTGCTGTGTGGAAGATAAAACTAATCAACGAAAATGTTTTGCAGTCTCCCTCCCACCCTTGGGAAGTGTGACTCCAAGTACTCAGCAAGAGAATAAAGTAAAAGTTCATAATGTACTTAATACTGAAGTCCATTATGAGAAAAGAAAAAGGACAACAGAACTGCAGAAGGCAAACCAATGACAGGGAGGGGGGAGGAAAAGCAGCTGTAACCATCCAAGTACTAAGGAAGCGCTTAATACAGACGAGAAACAAAATAACCAGGTTAACATCCAAACCCCTAATCAAATCAGATTAAACGATAATGCTTAACGCCCCCATGAGAAATGTCTGACACAAGAAATCAAACCTAATCATAAAAAATGAGGAAGTCTGGGTGGGAAAAATGAAAGATGCAATTAAAGCGCGCTATTAGATATAATGAACGTTTATTTTCATTTCTGGACTGCATTATGATGGGCACTTCAAAGGAGGGAGGACAGATTCCAACTCACCGCCACATTTCCACAAGTTTGAAAGGCAGTGAACATAAACATAAAGGCAACTCCTAAAATAATGATGTTGAAAAGCTTTTTAGATTCCGGGGACATTTTGGCTCAGCTCTGCCGGAGGCAGCAGCCCAGGGCAGTCAGCTCTCCTCGGGGCGAAGCCACTGACAATCCTGGAGAAAGAAATGAGATGGTGAGTGGAGAAGGCAGATGCAGGAGCCAGGCAGCCAAGCTGTCAACTTCCAGTTCCTGGATCGGAACCCCAGGTTTAGGGCGAAGTTCTCCCCACCGGCAGTTAGGATACTCCTAAGAAGCGATCCGAGTACGGAAGAGCACAACCCCCGGAGAAGCGCCAAGAATTTATCCGCTCCAGGTTGAGGGGCCCACGAAGGGGATTAAAGGGCCAAGTGCCAGCCGCAGCAGCCGGCGCGGCCCCGCCCTCCCAGCCTGACTCACTGCGGCCAGGCGACCGGGTCACCTGACCGCAGCCGCGGCGCCGGCCGCTCGGCCCGCTGGGAAACGTAGTCCCGGGTGGCCTGGCACGCGCAAGCGCTCCGCGGGGAGTCCCCACCGCCAGGACGCAGAGCCGACGGAGCTCTCGGGCTCTGGCGAAAGGGGGTTGGGAAGCGGACTCCGGCGAAGAGCAGTCAGGAACGGCTGGACGGGGCCGAGAGACGACGCAGCGGAGTCTGAGGGGGCCGGGGTCACAGGGAGAGGCAAATGAGGGCAGAAGCACTCTTCAGACGGAGACGGGGCTGACGGCTGAGCAAAAAAGGGGCGTGAACTTGGAGTATTGGCATGAAAAAAAGGTGGGGGCCCAGATGGGGAGCACCTCCTCTTCCTCCTGCCCAATCGCGATCGTCCGGCCTCCCAGGCGGAAAAAGCGTTTCGCGGGCTTTCCAACTGCCCGCTAATTCCGCTCCCCCTCCCTCCAGCCGTGACTCCGCGCTTTTTGGCCCGCCCGCCGGGCTGTGCGCAGGCGCTTCGGGTAGGGGCGGGGCGCGCGGCAGGGTCGTTACGAAGCGGGGCGCGGTGGGCCAATCAGAAGGTTTCATTTCCGGGTGGCGCGGGCGCCATTTTGTGAGGAGCGATATAAACGGGCGCAGAGGCCGGCTGCCCGCCCAGTTGTTACTCAGGTGCGCTAGCCTGCGGAGCCCGTCCGTGCTGTTCTGCGGCAAGGCCTTTCCCAGTGTCCCCACGCGGAAGGCAACTGCCTGAGAGGCGCGGCGTCGCACCGCCCAGAGCTGAGGAAGCCGGCGCCAGTTCGCGGGGCTCCGGGCCGCCACTCAGAGCTATGAGCTACGGCCGCCCCCCTCCCGATGTGGAGGGTATGACCTCCCTCAAGGTGGACAACCTGACCTACCGCACCTCGCCCGACACGCTGAGGCGCGTCTTCGAGAAGTACGGGCGCGTCGGCGACGTGTACATCCCGCGGGACCGCTACACCAAGGAGTCCCGCGGCTTCGCCTTCGTTCGCTTTCACGACAAGCGCGACGCTGAGGACGCTATGGATGCCATGGACGGGGCCGTGCTGGACGGCCGCGAGCTGCGGGTGCAAATGGCGCGCTACGGCCGCCCCCCGGACTCACACCACAGCCGCCGGGGACCGCCACCCCGCAGGTACGGGGGCGGTGGCTACGGACGCCGGAGCCGCAGGTAAACGGGGCTGAGGGGACCGCGGGAGGCGGGGCGGGGCGCGCGGGAGGCCCGGGCGACCTCACAAAGGTCCGCGGCGAAGCACGTGGTGCGGGCCCGGACGGGGCGGGGGTGCACGCCGCGTCTCGCGACCCTCCGGCCACCCCGCGAGCTTCCGCCGTCTGCGACCCGGGAGTGGCCGGGGTGTGGGCGGCGCGGGGCGGAGGACCCCGCCTCGCGACTGGGGAAATGGCGTCTGGCGGCGAGATAATGGCGGCCTGGGCGGGAGCGCGCGGGCGGGGCCGGCCCCGCTGCCTGGAATTAACCCCGCTGTGCTTGCTCGTCCCGCCCGCAGCCCTAGGCGGCGTCGCCGCAGCCGATCCCGGAGTCGGAGTCGTTCCAGGTCTCGCAGCCGATCTCGCTACAGCCGCTCGAAGTCTCGGTCCCGCACTCGTTCTCGATCTCGGTCGACCTCCAAGTCCAGATCCGCACGAAGGTCCAAGTCCAAGTCCTCGTCGGTCTCCAGATCTCGTTCGCGGTCCAGGTCCCGGTCTCGGTCCAGGAGTCCTCCCCCAGTGTCCAAGAGGGAATCCAAATCCAGGTCGCGATCGAAGAGTCCCCCCAAGTCTCCTGAAGAGGAAGGAGCGGTGTCCTCTTAAGAAAATGGTAATGTCTGGGAATCCGAGACACATAACCCTAATTCATAAATGGGATTTGGGGTAGGTCTTTTTGAGTCGTGTTAATGTAAGAATGACTCCTATCATTAGGAGTGCTGCTCGGAGGTTACTCACCTTTGGGAGTAATACTGAAGAGAGGGGTCTGCAGAAAGGATGTGTATGAAGCTTAGATAATAATGGCTGTTTCGTAAACTGTTTGAGACCTATTAATGAAAATGACTATTTCTTGCTGTTTTTATCCAACGTCTGCATTTTCCCCCTTTAAAGCTGCGGTCTCCTGTTTGATAAAAGAATATTGGCCAGTATTGCAGATTTTAACTGATTTGGCTGATCCTCCAGGGACCAGTTTCTGTGGGCGTGTATTGGAGCAGGTTTGTCTTTAAATGTTAAAGATGCACTATCCTCTTAGAGAAACAATCAGTTCAACTATTGTTGTACTGACTGGGACTTCATATTCTAATGGATGTGGCAAAAGAATTGCAATAAGAAGCAGTGAACATTTGGAACCCCAAAAGAAAGTTACAGGTATTGCACTGGGTGGGGAAAGGATAGTGTGTCTTTAACTCTTAAATTGTTTGGTCCTATTTTTTAAAAAGGAAAGGGCCCTAAGTAGCTCAGATATTAAAGTAGTATTCTCAATTACCAAATGTTTCATTTGAAACAATTTATCTTAATGAAATATAGACCAATTCTCTGATCTCGAGTTGTTTTTGTTTGGATACAGCCCTTTTTTTTTTCTTTTTTTTTCTTCCCCTTACCTTTCTTCACCTTGGTTATTTGGCCAGGAATACGTAAATTCAAACTTGTACATGCTGATGGTAGCCTTTGTGAAATTTTCCTAATTGGGCCTTTTAAAAACATGGCTGGGTGGAACATTTCTGTACCCTACTGGTTTGACCAGAGCCTTAGTAAGTACGTGCCTGAAACTGAAACCATGTGCACTTTAATGGAAGGTAAGCTGAACTTCTTTCTTTTCAAACCTAGATGTATCGGCAAGCAGTGTAAACGGAGGACTTGGGGAAAAAGGACCACATAGTCCATCGAAGAAGAGTCCTTGGAACAAGCAACTGGCTATTGAAAAGGTTATTTTGTAACATTTGTCTAACTTTTTACTTGTTTAAGCTTTGCCTCAGTTGGCAAACTTCATTTTATGTGCCATTTTGTTGCTGTTATTCAAATTTCTTGTAATTTAGTGAGGTGAACGACTTCAGATTTCATTATTGGATTTGGATATTTGAGGTAAAATTTCATTTTGTTATATAGTGCTGACTTTTTTTGTTTGAAATTAAACAGATTGGTAACCTAATTTGTGGCCTCCTGACTTTTAAGGAAAACGTGTGCAGCCATTACACACAGCCTAAAGCTGTCAAGAGATTGACTCAGCATTGCCTTCATTCCTTAAAATTAAAAACCTACAAAAGTTGGTGTAAATTTGTATATGTTATTTACCTTCAGATCTAAATGGTAATCTGAACCCAAATTTGTATAAAGACTTTTCAGGTGAAAAGACTTGATTTTTTGAAAGGATTGTTTATCAAACACAATTCTAATCTCTTCTCTTATGTATTTTTGTGCACTAGGCGCAGTTGTGTAGCAGTTGAGTAATGCTGGTTAGCTGTTAAGGTGGCGTGTTGCAGTGCAGAGTGCTTGGCTGTTTCCTGTTTTCTCCCGATTGCTCCTGTGTAAAGATGCCTTGTCGTGCAGAAACAAATGGCTGTCCAGTTTATTAAAATGCCTGACAACTGCACTTCCAGTCACCCGGGCCTTGCATATAAATAACGGAGCATACAGTGAGCACATCTAGCTGATGATAAATACACCTTTTTTTCCCTCTTCCCCCTAAAAATGGTAAATCTGATCATATCTACATGTATGAACTTAACATGGAAAATGTTAAGGAAGCAAATGGTTGTAACTTTGTAAGTACTTATAACATGGTGTATCTTTTTGCTTATGAATATTCTGTATTATAACCATTGTTTCTGTAGTTTAATTAAAACATTTTCTTGGTGTTAGCTTTTCTCAGAATATGTCTCGGTCTTTTTTTCCCCCATTTATTTGAAGGACCTATTCAATTTTGTGATTGTGGCTGACTGCATAGTATGGAAGTGGAATGTTTAGTGCCTATCATTTCCTAAGTTAAAGTGGAAATGCCAGTTGAACACCTAAAAGCAATGCTTTAAGTGGCACTTTTCTTGAGGTTGTGATACCCCCTTCTCAACCTAATTTATATCCTATTTAATGACTAAGGAACAATCCAAGTACTTGTAATACGTATTTTAATTTTTGTTTCATATGAGTTTAAGTGTTGTCTAGGTGACATCAAAATCTAAGGCAAACAGACTTGACCATCTTCAGACCCACTGCATTCTCAAGCTGAAGTGGTCTGCTCATAGTTTGTGTGCCAGGTTGCTCATCAGTATTGATACTGTCCCAGAACAGGTTGTAGGTATAATTCAGAGACTGTCCTTTGCAAAGGAAATGACCAGCATTTCAACTGTATGTCTTCCTGGAAGGGTAGATTCTGCTATATCTTCTTTGTCTGCATCAAAAGACTCAAGAGGAATGTGGACACATTTCATATCCCATTTGTAGAGTAAAGCTTCAAGTGACCAGTCAGCACTTAAAAAAAAAAAGTTGTTCTTTTAAAGTCATGCCTTTTCTGTTTTGCTTCAGATGTATTCTATTCTTAAATTATGTATCGCATGGGTAGGGTAGAGTAAGGCTTAAGTTACATATAAAAAGTAAGGGTCATCCATACTTGCCTCCTAACTTGATAAGTAGACCACAATTGGACCTTGGGATTCTTGTGCATCAAAAAATATATTGTAGCCAAAATGTCTTCAAAATCTGAGGAGAAAGGATTTATGAATAGATTTTCATATAGCATCACTGGCCAAATGTACTATTGAGCCAAAAAAGCTTACCTTCTGGTTCAAAGAACACATCAGATGCAAGGATAATATCTTGTGGTGGTAGAGCCAGAAGATCCCAAGATATATGACCCCATGTTAGTCCTACCACCTGCAGATGTGGCAGGTTATTCATTTGGCAGCTTTGCCGACAGACTTCCAGACAGTGAGGCAGTTCTGAGCTGTCTGACAGTATTACTTCTGCACCACATTTGGCAGCCAAAATTCCTGGAAGGCTCACTCCAGCTCCAATCTAATAAGTTATGAAAGATGGCATTTCACAATTATACTTGGAACTGCAAATAATTGGGAATCTTAGTACTTTTTCATTATATTCTTGCATTTTTAAATAAGCATAGAGTCAGTCTTTCTGGGTTTGTATAAAATGTACCGTAACTGAACATTACTATAAACATGACAAAAGTACATTCCTTATGAATCTACTCTGCTAAAAGGTAAAAGCTTAACCTTCAATTTCAATATTAAAGGGCCATGTATCGTAACTGGCAGTTAATTGCTATGCACACAGAAGTAGTTTTGGGGCACTTGATTCCTCTGCCATGATTTTCAGTTTTGTTTTATTTTTTTGAGACGGAGTCTTGCTCTGTTCTCCAGGCTGGAGTGCAGTGGTGCAATATCGGCTCACTGCAACCTCTGCTTCCCGGGTTCCAGTGATTCTCCTGCCTCAGCCTCCTGAGTAACTGGCCACCAAGCCCAGCTAATTTTTTTTTTTTGAGAGCGTTTGGCTCTTGTTGCTCAGGCTGGAGTACAATGGTGCAATCTTGGCTCACTGCAACCCCCGCCTCCCGGGTTCAAGCAATTCTGCCTCAGCCTCCCAAGTAGCTGGGATTACAGGCGTGCACCACCAAGCCCAGCTAATTTTGTATTTCTTTAGTAGAGACAGGGTTTCTCCCTGTTGGTCAGGCTGGTCTTGAACTCCCGACAGGTGATCCACCTGTCTCGGCCTCCCAAAGTGCTAGGATTACAGGCATGAGCCACCGTGCCCAGCCACTCGGCTAGTATTTTGTATTTTTTAGTAGGGACTGGGTTTCACCATGTTGGCCAGGCTGGTCTTGAACTCCTGACCTCAAGTGATCCACCAGCCTCAGTCTCCCAAAGTGCTGGGATTACAGGCATGAGCCACAGCACTCAGCCTAATTTTCACTTCTGTTAGCATGTTCTATAGTTGATTGCTTTTCTGTAGCTAAAACCTAACAGGTCTGCAACATGGCTTTCTAGTAAAGATTTTCCAGTTGGGCCTTCAAAGCGGCAAGATGCTTTGCAGACACTAAGAAATAATACCAGGGAATGCCTTCATAAGTATTAGCATAAACACAAGCTTCCCATTTTCCAGTTCAAGGAAGGACACAGAGATAGAATTATTGTGAGTGCCCAGCAATTACAACTAGGACCAGAGGTGTGTGCCAAATCCTACCCCTAATTTCATTTACTTGGTGTAGTAAAAGTTAAGAGTGGGATGTTAATATTAAGCTTCTGGTTTGTCTATTTAGCCTTTGGTCTTAAGTATGGTGTGAAAGTCTATTTCTGCAAATGTGATAAAATTGGTTTTTCCAAGCCTTCACCAGTCTGAGGCCAGGTAGTGAGGTTAGAAAGAGAATGGGATACATTTTTACACTAATCTCAACATTTCCAAAAACAGAAAGGGCTACACTACGGTCTGAATGTGTTCACCCAAAATTCATATGTTCAAATCCTAATTACCCATCTGATGTGGGCCTTGGGAGGCAATTACATAAAGGCAGAGTTCTCATGATTAGTGCCCTTATAAAATGCCCTGGAGAGTTGCTTTGCTTCTTAAGGTACAAGACACTTAAGAACACAGAGGACACTGTCTGAACCAGAATTCTGGCCCTCACCAGACACTGAACCTGTAAGGACTTTCATCCTGGGACTTCACTGCCTCCAGAACTGATACCCAAATTTCTTTATTCTTTTGAGATGCAGTCTCGCTCTGTTGCCCAGGCTGGAGTGCAGTGGCACAATCTCAGCTGACTGCAGCCTCCACCTCCTGGGTTCAGGCGATTCTCCTACCTCAGCCTCCTGAGTAGCTGGGACTACAGGCATGTGCCACCAGGCCTGGCTAATTTTATCTTTTTTTTTTTTGAGATGGAGTCTCGCTCTGTCGCCCAGGCTGGAGTGCAGTGGTGCGATCTCGGCTCACTGCAAGCTCCGCCTCCCGGGTTCACCCACCATTCTCCTGCCTCAGCCTCCCGAGTAGCTGGGACTACAGGCGCCCGCCACCAGGCCCGGCTAATTTTTTTTGTATTTTTAGTAGAGACGGGGTTTCACCGTGTTAGCCAGGATGGTCTCGATCTCCTGACCTCGTGATCCGCCCGCCTCAGCCTCCCAAAGTGCTGGGATTACAGGCATGAGCCACCACGCCCAGCCAATTTTTTCTATTTATAGTAGAGACGGGGTTTCACCATGTTGGCCAGGCTGGTCTTGAACTCCTGACCTCAGGCAATCCGCCCGCCTTGGCCTCCCAAAGTGCTGGGATTACAGGCATGGGCCACAGCGCCCGGCAAGAGACATAAATTTCTGTTATTTGTAAGCCACCCAGTTTATGGTATTTTGTTACAGCAACCTGAATATAAAAAGGCTGCATGACACTGCTGGGACACCTAAAACAATGGCCTTAAAGACTGCCACGGCCGTGGAAGGCAGTTCAGGGGCTTCATCTAGAATAGCGGTCAGCAAACTAAAGGGCTAGAGAGTCAATATTTTAGGCTTTGTGGTCCACCTATCATCTCTGTCACACTTTTCTTTTTTCTTAGAGACAGCGTCTCACTATGTTGACCAGGCTGGTATCAAACTCCTGGGCTCAAGTCATCTTCCCACCTCGACCTTCCAAAGTACTGGGATTACAGGTGTGAGCCATCACACCCAGTATCTTCTTTAAAAAACCACTTTTTTTTTTTTTTGAGATGGAGTCTCGCTCTGTTGCCCAGGCTGGAGGGCAATGGTGCGATCTTTGCTCACTGTAACCTCCGCCTCCAGGGTTCAAGCAATTCTGTTTCAGCCTCCCGAGTAGCTGGGATTACAGGCGTGCACCACCAGGCCCGGCTACTTTTTGTATTTTTAGTAGAGATGGGGTTTCACCACATTGGCCAGGCTGGTCTCGAACTCCTGACCTCAAATGATGCACCCGCCTCAGCCTCCCAAAATGCTGGGATTACAGGCGTGAGCCACCATGCCCAGCCGAAAAACCACTTTTTAAATGAAAAAAAGTTCCAGGATAATCTCTGTACCTTAAGACAAAAACAAAACAACATTCTTAGCTCACAGACCTTACAAACTAGCTAAATTACCCGATTTAAAAATATTTAACAAAAGCTAAAAACAAGCAATATACACATGTCAACTTAACACATCTGAACATAACCTAGAACTCTGGAAACTTCAGGGGCATTTGTACCTCTAAGATGGCCTTGCCTGGCAGAGATCTTCTGTGAAACCAAAGGTACTGGGCCAGGACCACAGCACAGGGCCAAACATACATTCCATACTGGAGATGCAGGACCTGAAAAGAATGTTTTTGTGTGCCATAAATAATTTAGCTGCTGGAAGTTGGAATCATTCATACAGCAATTTCTGTCAGGCATTGGCATCCATTACAAAAATGGCAGCCCTGTTCACCAATCCACGACCTTTGGGGATATAAAACTGCAATGCAATGTGATAGAAACTCTTGATAGCACTGTTTATTCAACAAGTGCTTCTAGTGTCACAGTATCAGGGATCATTCTCAGACTGGGGATATAGCTCTCCCTGAGCACATATCCTACTGTAGAGAGGCAACGAGCAAGCAAATAAGATATTTCTAGTCAGGGGCCGGGCACGGTGACTCAGGCCTGTCATCCCAGCACTTTGGGAGGATGAGGCGGGCGGATCACCTGAGGTCAGGAGTTTGAGACCAGCCTGGCTAACATGGTGAAACCCCTGTCTCTACTAAAAATACAAAAAATTAGCCGGGCATGGTGGCACGTGCCTGTAATCCCAGCTGAGGCGGGAAAATCGCTTGAACACGGGAGGCGGAGGTTGCAGTGAGCCGAGACTGCGCCACTGCACTCCAGCCTGGGCAACATAGTGAGACTACGTTTCAAAAAAAAATGGCCGGGCGTGGTGGGTCACGCCTGTAATCCCAGCACTTTGGGAGGCCGAGGTGGGTGGATCATCAGGTCAGGAGATCGAGACCATCCTGGCTAACGCGGTGAAACCCCGTCTCTACTCCACTAAAAATACAAAAAAATTAGCCGGACATGGTGGTGGGCACCTGTAGTCCCAGCTACTCCGGAGGCTGAGACAGGAAAATGGCGTGAACCCGGGAGGCAGAGCTTGCAGTGAGCAGAGATCTCGCGACTGCACTCCAGCCTGGGCGACAGAGCAAGACTCCAACTCCAAAAAAAAAAAAAAAAAAGGAAAGAGGCTTCTATTCTCACAGGCAATATCATCACCCCCTACATTTAGGAAGAAATGCAAGTGTATTTAAACGTGAAGCCAGCCGGGAGCGGTGGCTTACACCTGTAATCCCAGCACTTTGGTAGGCCGAGGCAGGTGCATCACCTGAGGTCAGGAGTTCAAGATCAGCTTGGCCAACATGGCAAAACCCCGTCTCTACTAAAAATACAAAAATTAGCCAGGCATGGTGGTGGGCGCCTATAATCCCAGCTACTTGGGAGGCTGAGGCAGGAGAATCACTTGAACCCACGAGGCGGAGGTTGCAGTGAGCTGAGATTGTGCCACTGCACTCGTCTGGGTGACAGAGCGAGACTCCATCTCCAAAAAAAAAAAAAAAAATCCGTGAAGCCAGATTGGGTGTGGTGGCCAATGCCTGTAGTCTCAGTTACTTGAAAGGCTGAGGTGGGAGGATCACTTGAGCCCAGAGGTTGAGGTTGCAGTTAGCAAAAAAAAGTGAAGCTGTTTGGAAACAATCAGAAATAGCCTCCACTCCAGTCTTTTTTTTTTTTTTTCTTCTTGACAATGTCTTGCTCTGTTGCTCATGCCTGAGTGCAGTGGCCTGATCATAGCTCACAGCAGCCTCGACCTCTCGGGCTCAAGCAATCCTCCCACCTCACCCTCCGGAGTAGCTGGGGCTACAGGCACAAGCCACGATGCCTAATTTTTCTACTTTTTGTAGAGACGTAGTATCACTATATTGCCCAGGCTGGTCTGGAACTCCTGGTCCCAAGCGATCCTCCCGCCTCCGCCTCCCATTTAACTTCTCTAAAGCTGTTTCTTTAGCATGGGACATGCCTCACAGGCTGGTGTTAAAACCAAATGAAATACTGCAAAGTGAAAGTGCTTTGAAAAACCGAAGACAGGCAGGGCATGGTGGCTCACTCCTGCAATCCCAGCACTTAGGCAGGCGGGAGGATCACTTGAATCCGGGAGTTGGAGGTTGCAGTGAGCTGTGATCGCGCCACTGCGCTCCAGCCTGGGCGCCAGAGCGAGACAGTGTCTCAAAAAAAAGAAAAGAAAAAGAATTATTATTGAGAGTTTTGTTGTAGCTGTGAGCTTAGAGGAAGAAGCGAGGTCCAACCCAAGAAACACTTTGGGCACCAAATAAAACTGGAAACCCTGATCCCAAAACTCACACAAAAGTGAGAGATAAGGATGAATCAAGAAACCCTTGGACAAGATCAAAAGAAGCATTAGAGGTCAGTCAAGAATGTCACTTTCCTGGCAGGAAAGATTCGATGTGGAGAAAGCCGGCCCGGCGCAGTGGCTCATGCCTGTAATCCTAGCACTTTGGGAGGCCGAGGCAGGAGGATCACTTAAGCTTACAGTTCGAGACCAGCCTGACCAACATAGTGACCAGGGTCACTTCTTGGCAGGGTCTCCAAAATTCTTACTGAGAGACATTTAATGCACCGAAGGGCTTCATATCCGACGTTTTTGCTCCGGGGGTCAACCTAAAGCAGGAAGCTGCGCAGCTGAGCGTCCGCACCCCCGGTCCCTCAGGAACCCAGCCAAGTCAGCCGACATCCGCTCCTGACCTCAGGCGCCTCCTGGCGGGTGCTGCTGCACGCACCTGCGGGACGTGGACCTCCAGGACAGCCCCGTCGGCCCCCGGACCCGGCTCCTCCGAGAATCGAAAGCGCTGGGCCCGGACCCCCTGTCCTCGGAAATCGTGCTCGCCCAGTAGGGCGTCGTTGGGCCCCGGGCGGGCGGGGGACCGCGGAAGGCTCCGGGCTGCCAGACTGCGCGAGCGGGAAGCCGCGGGCCACGTGGCCGTAGCACCTGACGGCAAGAAGGGGAAAGCCCAGATCTGGTGATAACCCTGCCGCGCTGCGAGCGAAGAAAGCCCGGAGCAAGGCGAAAGAGACTCACACGCGCAGAACTGGCAACGGGCGGCTGGCGCGACCGGAAGTGATGGGCACAGCGGCAGCGCGGGAGGGGAGGGGCGGGGCGGGGCGGGGCGGTGACGCAGCCGACGTGACCTTCCCAACATGGCGGAGGCCCGCCGTATGTGAAGGAGTACCCCAGGGGAGCCAAAGCCAATGGAAAACCGCGAGAGGCGTCGGGGCGGGGAAGACGGCGGCCGCTTGCCCAACCCGAGGCTCGGGAGGTGGCTGGGGAGTGAATTTTCTGGAAGGCGACTTTAAAGGCGCCGGGACTGAGCGAAGGGCGTTTGGGTACTGCCGTCGCCGCCGCCCAGGCCGGGGAGGGGTGCGTTAGTGTCAGGAAGCGGGCTGCGCCGAGGTCGTAGCGGAACCAGCTGGCGACCCCGCAGAATGAACCACAAGAGCAAGAAGCGCATCCGCGAGGCCAAGCGGAGTGCGCGGCCGGAGCTCAAGGACTCGCTGGATTGGACCCGGCACAACTACTACGAGAGCTTCTCGCTGAGCCCGGCGGCCGTGGCGGTGAGCGGGTCGGGCGGGGGTGGCCAGGCCGGGCATCGGCACCTCCAGCCGCTACGCACCTTTCTCTGGGCCCGAGGCTGCCCTCGCCCCGAGCGCCCGGGACCTCGTAGAGGCTCACCCGCACCCCGCGGAGTTTGGGGTCCCCGAGGCGCGGATTCCGGGGCGGGTCTGCTTCCTCCCGTGCTGTGGCCGCCCGTCTGCTCTGGCGGACGACGGGAGTCCCACGCCTGTGGCGCTCTCAACTAGAAGGCCCGTCGTCCCTGACTCCTTTGGGCGGCGGGTCCCCTAGGGGACCTGGCTGTCAAGGCTCATGGGGGGTGGCTCTAGGAACGACGTGGCCTCACGCACGCGCCCTGCCCCCACCCCGGAGGAGCCAGACGAGAGTCAACTTCCTTCGGTTTGTCATTACCAGTTGGCCTTGGGGACACCCTTATCTGCCACTGGACTTTTTTTTTTTTTTTAACTGGACAGGTCTTTTTTAATTCCCTCAGGATAACGTGGAAAGGGCAGATGCTTTACAGCTGTCTGTGGAAGAATTTGTGGAGCGGTATGAAAGACCTTACAAGCCCGTGGTTTTGTTGAATGCGCAAGAGGGCTGGTCTGCGCAGGAGAAATGGACTCTGGAGCGCCTAAAAAGGAAATATCGGAACCAGAAGTTCAAGTGTGGTGAGGATAACGATGGCTACTCAGTGAAGATGAAGATGAAATACTACATCGAGTACATGGAGAGCACTCGAGATGATAGTCCCCTTTACATCTTTGACAGCAGCTATGGTGAACACCCTAAAAGAAGGAAACTTTTGGAAGACTACAAGGTGCCAAAGTTTTTCACTGATGACCTTTTCCAGTATGCTGGGGAGAAGCGCAGGCCCCCTTACAGGTAAAGTATTCTGCAGCTAAGTGGTTAAAATCCTTTTCTTTTTTTTTTTTTTTTTTTTTTGAGACAGAGCGTCACTCTTGTAGCCCAGGCTGCAGTGCCGTGGTGCGATCTCGGCTCACAGCAACCTCCATCTCCCGAGTTCAAGCGCTTCTCCTGCCTCAGCCTCCTGTAACTGGGATTACAGGCATGCGCCACCACACCCAGCTAATTTTGTATTTTTAGTAGAGACGGGGTTTCACCATGTTGGTCAGGCTGGTCTCGAACTCCCGACTTCAGGTGATCTGCCCGCCTCGGCCTCCCAAAGTGCTGCGATTGCAGGTGTGAGCCACCGCGCCCGGCCTGTGGTTAAAATCTTATCTACAACAGCATTTGCTCGCTGAGTTCAGTTGCTAATCTTTTTTGGAAACAGTGAGTACTCCCTCGGCTGTACATTGAACTCATTTAGGGGGCTCCTGAGGCCTGCCTGGGCCCTACTGGGGAGACTGATTTAATTCGGGTGATGCCTGCGCATCAGAATTTCTGAAAGCTCTTCAGGTGACTTGAATGTGCAGCTATGGTTGAAGCACTGATCTCTAAGGGAGGTTTTAATAAAGTCCAGCAATAAACCACATTAGTGATTTTTCTTTTTTTTTCTTTTTTTTTTCTTCATTGAGATGGAGTCTCCCTCTGTCGTCCAAGCTGGAGTGCAGTGGCGCAATCTCAGCTCACTGCAGCCTCCGCCTCCCGGGTTCAAGCAATCCTCCTGTCTCAGCCTCCTGAGTAGCTGGGATTACAGGTGCCCACCACCACACCCGGCTAATTTTTGTATTTTCAGTAGAGATGGGGTTTCACCGTATTGGTCAGGCTGGTCTTGAACTCCTGACCTCAGGTGATGCACCCACCTCTGCCTCCCAAAGTGCTGGGATTACAGGCGTGAGCTACCGCCCCAGCTGATTTTTCTTATTTTGTTAGGAATCAGTCCATGAACAATGCACCCAGTGTTTCTGTGTACCAGAATTTATATAATCTCTGAAATAAAGATGACATATCACATAAAATTAAAACCTGGCCAGGTGCGGTGGCTCAAGCCTGTTATTCCAGCACTTTGGGAGGCCGAGGCAGGTGATCACTTGAGGCCAGGAGTTCGAGACCAGCCTAGGCAACATGGTGAAACCCTGTCTCTACTAAAAATACAAAAATTAGCCAGGCGTGGTGGTGTGCGTCGGTAATCCCAGCTACTCAGGAGGCTAAGGCAGGAGAATCACATGAACCTGGGGAAGCAGAGGTTACTGTCAGCCAAGATCACGCCACTGCATTCCAGCCTGGGTGATAGAGCAAGACTCTCAAAGAAAAACTAAAAACTTATTGTTTTGTGTGGTATGTGTGTAAGTAAATTACACTTCACATCTTGGATATCTCCATTCTGTAGGTGGTTTGTGATGGGGCCACCACGCTCCGGAACTGGGATTCACATCGACCCTCTGGGAACCAGTGCCTGGAATGCCTTAGTTCAGGGCCACAAGCGCTGGTGCCTGTTTCCTACCAGCACTCCCAGGGAACTCATCAAAGTGACCCGAGACGAAGGAGGGAACCAGCAAGACGAAGCTATTACCTGGTTTAATGTTATTTATCCCCGGACACAGCTTCCAACCTGGCCACCTGAATTCAAACCCCTGGAAATCTTACAAAAACCAGGAGAGACTGTCTTTGTACCAGGTATAGATGAACTGGAAGAAAGTACATTCTTTGCCGGGCGCGGTGGTTCATGCCTGTAATCCCAGCACTTTGGGAGGCTGAGGCGGGCAGATCACGAGGTCAGGAGATCGAGACCATCCTTGCTAACACGGTGAAACCCCGTCTCTACTAAAAATACAAAAAAATTAGCCGGGCGTGGTGGTGGGCGCCTATAGTCCCAGCCACTCGGGAGGCTGAGGCAGGAGAATCACGTGAACCCAGGTGGCGAAGGTTGCAGTGAGTCTAGATCGTGCCACTGCACTCCAGCCAGGGTGACAGAGTAAGACTCCATCTCAAAAAAAAAAAAAAGAAAGTACATTCTTTGATTTCAATATTTTGTCATTTTGGAGCAGAACTGTTAGAGAGTGAGTCCAAAAAATCCTTTGGATGCTGCCTGGTAAATGAACTGGTACTCACCTCTGACAGTAACATGTAGCTATAGTGTCACATACTTTGGGAGCTCTTGTTCACATTTTATATGGCTATAAAACCTGATAAACTGTATGCAGGCCCGGTGCGGTGGCTCACACCTGTAATATCAGCACTTTGGGAGGCCGAAGTGGGTGGATCACTTGAGGTCGGGAGTTCAAGATCAGCCTGGCCAACATGGTGAAACCCTGTCTCTACTAATAATACAAAAATTAATCAGGCGTGGTGGCGGGCGCCTGTAATCCCAGCTACTCAGGAGGCTGAGGCAGGAGAATCACTTGAATCCGGAAGAGGAGGCTGCAGTGAGCTGAGATTGTGTCACTGCACTCCAGCCTGGGTGACAGAGCAAAACTCCATTTCAAAAAAAAAAAAAAATTGTATGTAAAGATACAACTTTTCTTTGTTTGTGTATGTGTAGCGGCTTGTTTGTGTTTCTGTAAATTGGGGTTTAATTCTTTTTTTTTTTTTTTTTTTTTTTTGAGACCAAGTCTCGCTCTGTCACCCAGGCTGGAGCACAATGGCACAATCTCAGCCCACTACAACCTCCTCCTCCCAGGTTCAAGCGATTCTCTTGTCTCAGCCTCCCAAGTAGCTGGGAATACAGGCACATGCCGCCACACCCAGCTAATTTTTTGTATTTTAGTAGAGACGGGGTTTCATCATGTTGCCCAGGCTGGTCTTGAACTCTTGAGCTCAGGCAACCCACCCGTCTCAGCCTCCCAAAGTGCTAGGATTACAGGCGTGAGCCACCACCCCCGGCCAGGGTTTAATTCTGTAAATTGAATTGGAGGTCTCACTGTTACCCAGGCTGGCCTCCTTGGTTCAAACAAGCCTCCTGCCTCAGCCTCCCAAAGTGCTGGGATTGCAGGTGTGAACCACCAAGCGCAGCCTAAATTGGGTTTTTGATGCAGTATAGCACTGTCCGTGTTGAGTCAGGAAATCCCACACCAGACAACTGCGCTTTGATAAGTGAAGGAAAGTAAGGTAAGTGTATTTAAAGTAGGTGTCCTCTTCGTAGAGGCTGAAGAACTTTATGCTTTTGCACTTTTGGTCATAGCTTTGGATTAACAGGAGTAAACAAACTTTTTCTATAAAGGGCCGGGGAGTCAATATTTTAGGTAAGCCAGACTGTCACAACTGCTCAACTCTGGCCTTGTAGCTGGAAAGCAGCCCTAGACAATCCGTCACCAGGTGGGCATGGCTGTGCTCCGATAAAACTTGATTTACACAAACAAGTTGTTTGCAATCCCTGGATCAGAAGGAACTACCCTGTATCATGTCTCTGTAGGCTCTCCCTTATGGGTAGGAGTTCCCAATTTCTGGTGTGTGTGTTATACAGTAATTAGGTATAGGATCAAACCTTGTTTAACTGTTTATTTGTTGGATTTCAGGAGGCTGGTGGCATGTTGTCCTCAATCTCGACACTACTATCGCCATCACCCAAAATTTTGCCAGCAGCACCAACTTCCCTGTGGTATGGCACAAGACGGTAAGAGGGAGACCAAAGTTATCAAGGAAATGGTATAGGTGAGAGTCATTTTTTTCTTATTTCTGCTTGGTTTCAATTTCGACCCCAGAGATAAAATGGCTAGTCCACTGCTGCGATGATGTGTGCTGATCGTACACAGGCCTGGGCAAAGCTGGGGCTGCCGACCCTCTGGGTAGAGGAGAGAGGGGCCAAGGTCAGGGCAAGTCCTCAGGGTGTTCGCCAGCCTCGAGGTGGCAGGGTGAGACTCTGCATGTTGAATCCAAGCCACTCAGTCAAGACGTCATAATTGGGATTGTTTCTCGTTTTGTTTTGTGTTTTGTTTTTCAAAGCTAGCGCTAGCTAAAATCATTTTATTTGGGTTTTATTTGGGTTGTTTCTTTTTCTTACCTAGAAGCATTATTCCCATTTGAACTTAATACCTTCAGTTCTTGTGAGTGAGGTGACTGCCCTGGAGACTTAGCTCCTCTGTTTATCCACAGAACAGATACAGCACGGGCAGCGGCAGTGCAAGCCACCCACAGCCACCCCGTGCCACTGTGTCCCAACCCTGACCTGGAGGGACCAGCTCTCGGGGTAAGAGAGGGATTCTGGCTTGTTCCATGCTCAGCCTCCCTGCTGAGAGGGCCAGTAAGGGTGGTGGCTTCTGTTCTCCCTGGACTCTTGGGCATCTGAGGCCCACTTACCCCGCCCCGTAGGCCACTGCGTGCTGTGATTTGGTCACACCGCAGGCCTTATGATACAACAGGTCTTTTGTCACTGGATACAGTGGATGCCAGATAAGGTTTCTGAAGGGGAGGGCTGCTGCTCTTCAGTTCAGTTTTACGCTCCCAGTGAGGGGGGACCATCTCTGTTATTTGACACCTCGTATTTCTTACAAATCTAATTGTTTCTACTCTTAGAAATAGAATCTAACCAATGCAACTCTGATCATTATGTGCTGTGCTGTGGAAAGGAAAGATTTTTTTAAAAATCAACTGGGAAGGGTTCAGGAAGTAAAACTAGGAAGAGAAACTTTTTGTCCTAAGGGAATAAAACTAAGACTAACTTAAGGAAAATTGTGCCTCGTGTATTGGTGGCACGGCTGGCTCATTTATGCAGGTGGTAGTAAATTGTGTGTAGTTAGTATAATTTTCCTTGCAGAAAAACATGGGCACCGTATTGGGTTTCTCTTGTTCCCAGCCTGGGGTTTTGTCCTCACCATTGTACAGTATCCATTCTGAACGGACACACCTGGCATTCCCAGGTGTTTCTGAGAGACACAGGCCTCGACTCTGAGTGAGTCTTTGTGAGTGGGTATGGCTGTCAGTGCACTGAGAACAACACTTCTTGCCTCTCAGGATTTTGAAGCAAGAGCACCCCGAGTTGGCAGTCCTCGCAGACTCGGTTGACCTTCAGGAGTCCACAGGGATAGCTTCCGACAGCTCCAGCGACTCTTCCAGCTCCTCCAGCTCCAGTTCGTCAGACTCCGACTCAGAGGTGAGGCCTTGCTCTCTGGCTGACTCCTGGAGCCTCCAAGGCTCATGTAACTCAGTCATAACCAGGTGTGACTCTTCCTCCTCCTATCCAGGAGAAGGATATGAAAGTTTTTCCACGTTGTTCTAAGGGTTACACAGTTGTCACCATTCCTGCTGAGTGGTGTATCTTGCCCATTTTACAGCTTTGCACATGTGCATGAATTTTTGTTTGTTTGGAGACTGAGTTTCGCTCTTGTTGCCCAGGCTGGAGTGCAATGGCGCGATCTCGGCTCACTGTAACCTCTGCCTCCCAAGTTCAAGCGATTCTCCTGCCTCAGCCTCCCTGGTAGCTGGGATTACAGGCGCATGCCACCACACCCAGCTAATTTTTTGTATTTTTAGTAGAGACTATAAACTCTGTATACTTCAGTAGGGCTTCACTGTGTTGACCAGGCTGGTCTCGAACTCCTGACTTCAGGTGATCCACCCGCCTCAGCCTCCCAAAGTGCTGGGATTACAGGCATGAGCCACAGCGCCCGGCTAAGAATTGTTAAAATAGCCTCGAGGTATCAGGGGTATTTGGGGATTTAGTGAAGTAAATGGCTCAAGATGAAGCAGCAGTGTCAGATTTCAAACTCATCCTTCTGACCTCAAAGCTCATATGAAGAATTTCCCCCATGGATGGTGAATTGTAAGCCTGGAAATTCAGCAAATCCAGTAACCTTAAACTTGAAGCTGACAGTAATACTGGGTGAGAGGGCCCTGCACCTTTAACAGATGAAATTTCTATCTCAGCCTGGCGCAGTGGCTCACGCCTGTTAACCCAACACTTTGGGAGGCTAAAGTGGGTAGATTACTTGAGGTCAGGAGTTCAAGACCAGCCTGGCCAACATGATGAAATCCCATGTCTACTAAAAACACAAAAATTAGTTGGGTGTGGTGGTGCACACCTGTAATCCCAGCTACTCAGGAGGCTGAGGTGGGAGAATCACTTGAACCCAGGAGGCGAAGGCTACGGTGAGCCAAGATCATACCACTGCACTCCAGCCTGGGCGACAGAGTAAGACTTTGTCTCAAAAAAAAAAAAATTCTGTCTTTTCACACAGTCTACTGATTGAGTCTTTTCTCGTCAGGCGGGGAACAGGCTCTGGGAATGTTCAGTGCTATACCTACTTCTTTCATATATCAAGCTCTGTTGGTAGAGTGAAATCTTATAATGTACTTTCAGAATTCTGACTAAAAGATTTTTACAATGGGTATCCTATTCAGACAGATAACCACACGGTTAAGAGAACAGTGGAGGGATACTTGGCCTCTGAGGGAAGTTTGAAATTCTTAGGGAGCCAGGAACATCCAAGGAGGTGGCTATGAAGGCTACATTGTGGAGCTGTCATAATGACTGCTTTGCATTTGGGAGAAAGTGACCAATATCTGTGCTGTCTCCCGAGGTCAGAGGTTTGTTTAATGAAGAAGTGGGTTGCATCCAGGTTGACTCCTTGTTTTCTGTCCTCCTGTGTCCAGTGCGAGTCTGGATCCGAGGGCGATGGGACAGTGCACCGCAGGAAGAAGAGGAGGACGTGCAGCATGGTGGGAAACGGGGACACCACCTCCCAGGACGACTGTGTCAGCAAAGAGCGCAGCTCCTCCAGGTGACCCAGCAAGGCTGTTGTCTGTATGGAAGGACACGCTCGCGGCAAGGGCAGGGCCTGGGGAGGGTGGCCTGTCCAGTCCTGCAGACAAGGGGAGGCCTGACAGAGCCCAAGAATGAGGACACCCTCGGCACGGGAACCCATTCACTTAGCGTTTGCTCCAGTAGCTTTCCCTCTGCTACCAATGCAGATAAACGCGGCTTGTTTTACTCAGGCAAGAGAATGTGAATAGTGCCAAGAAAATCCTTTACATTATTTAATAAAAATTGAATCCATTTTCTATCTTGGAAATGTTTTCCTTTGAGAATACCAGAACATTCCCTTATTGCTCTTCTCCTCATGGTGGTCTTGGGGGAAAGCAGTGACTCCTGCTGTGCATCCTTGACCACAGAGTCGTCGTCCCAGCAGCGTAGGGAGAGCCATTGGAAAAGTCACCCGGCATCTTCTGCAGAACCTGAGGCGTGGCCTCTTGCTTTTTCTCCCAGTTTGCCGTTGCTGCTTGAGTGCTCAGCCAAATCAGACAGCAGCAGAAAACTCTGATTTGTCAAATCTTTTTTTTTTTTTTTTTTTTTGAGACAGGGTCTCGCTCTTGCCCATGCTGGAGTGCAGTGGCGTGATCATGGCTCACAGCAGCCTCAACCTTCCAAACTCAAGCAATCCTCCTGCCTCAGCCTCCCAAGTAGCTGGGACTACAGATTCACCCCACCATGCCCAGCTTATTTTTTTTTTATTATTTTTTTTTGAGACAGAGTCTCGCTCTGTTGTCCAGGCTGGAGTGCAGTGATGCGATCTCGGCTTATTGTAACCTCTACCTCCCAGGTTCAAGCAATTTTCCTGCCTCAGCCTCCCGAGTAGCTGGGATTACAGGCATGCGCCACCACGCCCAGCTAATTTTTTTTTATTTTTAGTAGAGACAGGGTTTCACCATATTGGCCAGGCTTGTCTCAAACTTCTGACCTTGTGATCCGCCCACCTTGGCCTCCCAAAGTGCTGGTATTACAGATGTGAGCCACCATGCCCGGCCAGCTAATTTTTTTTATTATTTTTAGTAGTGACAAAGTCTCTCTGTGTTGCCCAGGCTGGTCTTGAACTCCTCACCTCAAGTGATCCCCCCACCTCAGCCTCCCAAAGCAGCAGGATTATTACAACAAGCATGAGCCACCTCACCCAGCTTTTATAAAAACTTAATCACGTCTCCAAGTACAAGATTGGACCTAAATAAGTTAAAATTTAAACGTGTTTGCAAGCACCTGGGCATGTAACAGGCTCATAATGGAATTTGTTCACTCTGCATTTGTCTAGGGTCTTTAAATGCCACAGGTCTTTGATGTGCTGGTTGAAGTGTTAAGAGAGGTTGTTGGAAGATAGTAAAATACTGAAGTTGAAGCTAGGCATCGTAGCTCAAGCCTGTAATCCCAGCACTTTGGGAGGCCAAGGCAGGAGGATCACTTGAGCTCAGCAGTTCAAGACCAGCTTGGAGAATATAGTGATACCCTGTCTTTAAAATATATATATACATGTTTTAATACTGACGTTCATAGGGTTTTGAATGTCTGAAGCCCTTGACTGCTGAAGGTGACATTCCTGTTAACGTTTTCTCTCCCAGCAGCTCAGTCTTTCTTAAATGCATGGGGGAAGTGCAGGACCCGCAGCCCTCCTATCGCGTGGCCTCCATTCTCTGTGGTTTAGCTGAAATTCCATGGGGAAATTCAAGTGACTTACTCAAGTGAATTTATCAAACTGGAATGTGCATTTCTCAACCCTCGATGTCCTTTCACAGCCATACTTAGACTCTTCCTGCCTTTTTAAATTGTTTCTATTATTACATATTTATAGATTTATATCTGCACTTGATCTGTGACTTTGTAATTTGTAAGAAAACTCTGGAGAAAGCCCTGCCATGACTTCCACGTGGGGTCCCGGGGGTCCTGCTTTTAACATTGCCTTCCAGCTTTGTACCCAGCATGCTGTCTACGTGCTGATTACAGGCAGTTGTGCTTTCCTTGGCAGGATTAGGGACACTTGTGGAGGCCGGGCTCACCCCTGAGCAGATAAAGAGACTCTCCCTGAGGTGCTTTCAGCGTAAGCTTTTGGCAGCCACCCAACTCAGTTCTCGCATCTTCTGCTCCTACCTTCTCCTCTGTCTTCTTTGAATTTGGATATTCCTTCCCTGGTCCAAGCTCCTATCTTCGGTCAAATGCTGTTTTTACTGCTTCCTAAGGATAGATTATCAAGAAATTTAACAGCTCGGCCAGCTCAGTGAAACACTGAAGCTAATGGGATGTTGGGTAAGAAGGTTCTGTGCTGTCTCATTGAAAACCGAGCCAGTCAACCACAAGGCTGGCAGGGTGTGATCCTTGTAACGTCTTGTGTCTGTTACCTCACGGATGTCGGTAAGGAGTTTCCACAGAGCCAGCTGTGTACCACAGAGACTGAGAGTGGTGAGTGGACTTTGTGAGCCAATTATGTGTCGGAAGGACTTGGAGTCTGCCCTTCTTCCTGTATGTCATCATCAGCCCACAAATGCATTCAGTGGCAGTGACCCAGCACCATCACCATCACCCACTGCTCAGTCTGTCTTAGGATTCCTTATCTTTTTCTCCATCATCATAGAGACTGAAATTTCAGGGGTGTTTTTGTACAGTGTATTTTTTTGTGGGGGGGTGATACATTGGGGTTTTTTGTTTGCATAGAGTGGGAACGGTGTGCAATGTGCTCTTACCACAGAACTTAAAGTATGAATAGGCTCCATTCTTCCGCACCATGGGATCCATAAGAAGTGCTCACTTTGCGAGGTACTCTGAGATTAGCGTTCCCCATTTGTTTGACCTACAGACGTTAAGTGGGTGACTTGTGTTACACACGGGGAGTAAATTCAGAGATGGCACCTGTAGTCTTTGCAGTCTGTTGATACTTCTAAATAACTAACTGGATGACTTTTTGGGGATTGACCAGCAGATGCCATCTCTTGCCCTCTTGATTCACCTGCTTGCCTTAATTTGTCCCTAAATTCAACTAAACTTCAATAAGAGGGGTTGTCAAGGCCATGGGGCGCACTTGGAAGCACTGCCTGGGCTGGAGCGTTGGAGGCATTGGCAGGCAGGTGGGAAGGAGCTCTCACTGCAGTGTTCACAGGCAGGGAGGCTGTGTGTGGATGTGTTAGAATTGTGTGCTGTTGCCTCTCAAAATATCCACTAGAAACAGGTGTAACCAGGAAAATACAGGTCTCTGCTCACTGTTATTAACAGACTGTCATTTCCTGACATTGGGTCATGTGGCTTTACTCTAGGAGGCTGGTTCTCTATTTTTGTCTTAGTTCAATTTTCTGCATCCTCAAATGCCAACCCCAGTATGTGGCTGGGTAGGTAGAACTGTGCTGCCTGCCTGCCATGGGGGCTGCTCTCCCTCCTTACCCCCACGCCCACAGCCCCCTTGGTTCTGTGGTGGGCACAGGATGTGTTTGGGTGTGAGTAAAGTCAAACTCTGAATGTATAATCTCTTGGTAGTAATATCTGAGTGGTGTTGCTACTCCTGCTTTTTAAAAAGACTTTTCTTGCCATCTATAAAAAGCTTTTTTCTTTTTCCCAGCATTGCTCCTGTGCTGCCACGCTTGCCCTTTTTCCTTACCTTCCTTTCAGTTTTCTATCAACAACTCCTCTAAACTTCAGTTTAAAATAAAAAACAGCCCAAAAAGGCTCTTTGCCACCAGGGGGCGTGGTAGGACACGTTGCCAGTGGTCTGGATAGGGGAGCAGAAATTTTGAATTTTAAAAATTAGCCACCAAGGCCAGGTGCAGTGGCTCACACCTGTAATCCCAGCACTTTGGGAAGCTGAGGCAGGGGGATTGCTTGAGTCCAGGAGTTCAAGACCAGTCTGGGCAACATAGTGAGATCCCATCTCTCAAAAAAATAATAATCTAGAAAATAAAGATTAGCCACCCAGTTTTCTTTCTCCAGATGCTAAAGTTGATTCCTGTTTGATAACAGTATTCCAGAAATGAGGGGAATAACATATCTGATAGGCCCAAGTCAGCTCTGGATAGTACAGTGTCTGGATAGTACAGATTCTGTGCTCCTGGGACATGCTTTGTTTATTCCTGCCAGGCCAGGGATTCAGCAGCCCTATTCCCCAACCCCCGTTACTGTCTCTGTGGGCTAGCCAGGCTGTCCGTTATGTAAGCACAACAGGGGCAAGGTGGGGAAACCGTGTGTGGAAAAGGAGTGGAGTGGTGGCGGGTGGCCAAGGTAGACTAGGAAGAGTGGGTACCCAGAGACCACTTGTTCAGAAGTTAACTCCTCTTCCCATCTGGCGTGAGCTACTCCATTGAATGGTGCCAACAACAGTAAAGTGAAGGAGATAATGTTAGATTATTTTCAGGGATGATTCTCCAAGATGACAGCAGATCTTAAAACCAAAGAGCTGGGTCCTGGAAGAAGGGATCTTGGATTATTAACTTCTGATGGAAGGACCAGAGTGGGAGAGAGAAGAGTTGGGGACCTAGAACATCAGGAGGACCCTGGGTCTTTGGGGATGAGGCTTCACCATCAGCTGGAAGAATCCATGCTTCACACACATGCCTCTGCCATTAGTGGTACTGGGATGTTTAGGGTGACATCCTTGAGGGGAGAGCCACTGAAAAGAGGGACATTCACATTTTGCTGTATTCTTGCAGCTGTCCGTGTCTTAATAATTCAAGCGTTCAATAGGTGTTTGAGGGCCAGGCACTGCTCTTGAGGTGCTGGAGATAACGGTGACAAGCCCAGGTCCCTGACAAGCTCCACAAGCTTAATGGACAGTGAATGTGCGGCTGTTGCGGCTGTTCACAGGGCCGCTGGTGAGGGCAGGTAGAAGAAAGTGCAGACCTTCTTAAATGCAGGTGTAACGGATCTACATGAAAGAGCATAATTAACACCAATGTATACTTAAGGTAGTAACAGCTTCTTCATAAAGTAGCAAAACTAAGGATCTGTGGGAAGGTTGCTGGTGCAAATGCTTTATAAGCTTACTAGAGACTGAGCCTTGGATTTAGGACTTTAGACGAGTATAGGATGGAACAAAATTTTTGCAGTAAATGTAAAAAATGCTGTGTAGGAGGAAGGCGTATAAGGATGCCCCAGCTGTAGGTTCTTTAGATTGTCTGTAGTATTTCCACGAGTAAGTTGTTTTTGATGTGTGTACTGGTATTGCTGGTAGATTTGAAGTGGAGTCTGGCGGCTTCTTCCACACTCCCCTCCCACTAGCTTGTGTCAAGATGTGACATCCTATGCAGCAAAACTAGGTGAGCTTGCACCCCCAGGCGGTGGCTCTCAACTTTGTCTCATTGTTCAGAAATTTCGGCCAGGCGCCGTAGCTCACCCCTGTAATCCCAGCACTTTGGGAGGCCATGGCAGGTGGATCACTTGAGGTCAGGAGTTCAAGACCAGCCTGGCCAACACGGTGAAACCCCGTCTCTACTAAAAATACAAAAATTAGCCAGGTGTGGTGGCACATGCCTGTAGTCCCAGCTACTTGGTCAACTCAGGCAGGAGAATCACTTGAACCCAGGAGGCAGAGGTTGCAGTGAGCTGAGATCAAGCCACTCCAGCCTGGGTGACAGACCGAGACTCTGTCTTTAAAAAAAAAGAAATGTCATCTAAGCCCCAGTGAACCTCCTGGGAGGAGAGCTAGCCCTGGCCAGCTGTCTCCAAAGTGACTGGATGCTACAGAAGAACTGGGACTGTCTTCTGCACACTCGTGCCTCCTGGAGTTGTCAGAACACTGAGCAGTCTCCTAGTTCTGCGTCCGTCTAGCCATGGGGTCTGCCATGAAAGCCTGTGGATCTGCTATTGGGTTGGTATTTTAAACTTTCACTTGGGTGAAACTTGTTCATCATTTTAAATAAAGCAACATGATTTGGAGTTGTGTTTTTGGCATTGTTTTGTCCTTATTTTCTTTCTTACTCATTTGAAAGTCAACAATGTACTTTGTCAGCAGAACAGGACTTTAAAAAAATGTATTTACACTTTAAAACAATGGGATGGAGCACAAAATTAAGGCCCTGGGCCAGGAGCATTGATGCACACCTGTAATCCCAGCTGCCCAAGAGGCTAAGGCAGGAGGATCACTTGAGCCCAGGATGTCGAGGCTGCAGAAAGCTATGATCATGCCTGTGAATAGCCACTGCACTCCAGCCTGGGCAACATAGTGAGACCCTGTCTCTTTAAAAAAAAAAAAAGAAAGAAAGACCCTGTCTCTTTAAAAAAAAAAAAAAAAAATTGGCTGGGCGCGGAGGCTCACGCCTGTAATCCCAACACTTTGGGAGGCTGAGGCAGGCAGATTGCCTGAGGTCAGGAGTTCAAGACCAGTCTGGCCAACACGGTGAAACCCTGTCTACTAAAAACAGAAAAAAATTAGCCGGGCATGGTGGTGGGCGCCTGTAATCCCAGCTACTCAGGAGGCTGAGGTGGGAGTTTCGCTTGAACCCGGGAGGTGGAGGTTGCAGTGAGCCGCGATTGCGCCACTGCACTCCAGCCTGGGCAACAGAATAAGACTCCATCTCAAAAGAAAAAAAATAGGCCCATACACTGGCTGAAACTTCCACAGTGGTTAAAAGCTAGTCGCCCGTAGATAAAGCCTATTTCACATTTTATAGTTTATAGGCTCTTTTCATCAACCACCACTAAAAGGAAGTGCATGGCCCGCTTAATATCGTGCAGTGCAGCAGAATTCAGCTCTCCCTGTTGCTGAGGGGTCTCGTTTGTGTATCTTCATTTAAAAAGAAGCACTCCATCTAATATCTGGTTTATATCACAGATCAGCTCAGGCACTGTAATATTCCCAAAAAAGTATTAAAGGCATCCTCAGCAAAAACTGGAACCGTGTTTTTTTTAACATTAGGCCTTATGTTTGGCGTGATACCTGACATGCCCGTCCTGTGTTTATTTAAAATAACTAAAGAGTGGGTGGGGAGTGGTAGGAAAGTATGTTTTTGGTTACAACGTGTTTATCTCAAAATCCACTGTTCAGCAACAGAGGCCTGGGAGGATCTGGAGAAACAAAAACAATAGCCTTCATTTCCTTCATTGTACCCTCCCACCCTGCATGCATTCTGGAATTGTGCAAAGAAGAAAGTCTGGTAAGAGGAATAGCGTTGACCAAGGACCTGCAGCTGAATTTCAGGTCTAGGGGCGGGGGAGCCATGTTACTGTTAACAGGGAGGCCTGTGTTGAAGGCTGCTGGCCTCAGCTCCGAAGGGAGCATTCACTGGCCGGGATCTGGAGATGTCCTCTGTGAAAGTGCATTAAGGCAACCCTGAGGATTAAAAGCAACTCCTGACATGCCTATAAAAACGGCAGTGGCTGAACGTAATCCGGCATTATGATTGCTTTACAAGCCAATCCAGGCTGCCGTTTCCATGAAGCTTCCCGGGTTTGCTTGTCTCTCTGCATTCCCACATTTCCAAAATGCTCTAAGACGAACCGCCGTACTAAGGCCAAAGATGACAACCTAAGGGCACCTCATACAGTATTTCAAATTGAACCTGAGCTAAATTGTGCCCCAAAGCGTCAAGGCTGCCCAGGCCGGGCAGGGGTTGGCCCTCCTGTGCCTCCCAGGTGGTCAGGGCTCTGCCCCCTCAACACCCCCGCCCGCAGCCTGTGCGTCACCCTCCCGGGGCCGGAGGGGGCGGGGGCGGGGCGCGGCGATGGGGGCTCCGCCCCGAGGCGGGGCGCGGCGACCGGGCGCGGCGACGGGGCGCGGCGGGCTCCCTCGGGGTCCCAGCTGGCCCGCACTCGGCGGCCGCGGCGCGATGGAGGCGCCGGCCGAGCTACTGGCCGCGCTGCCTGCGCTGGCCACCGCGCTGGCCCTTCTGCTCGCCTGGCTACTGGTGCGGCGTGGGGCGGCCGCGAGCCCGGAGCCTGCCCGCGCGCCCCCGGAACCCGCGCCCCCGGCCGAGGCCACCGGGGCCCCGGCGCCGTCCCGCCCCTGCGCCCCCGAGCCGGCGGCCTCGCCCGCGGGGCCGGAGGAGCCTGGAGAGCCCGCGGGGCTGGGGGAGCTCGGGGAGCCTGCGGGACCGGGGGAGCCCGAAGGGCCAGGGGATCCCGCGGCGGCGCCAGCGGAGGCGGAGGAGCAGGCGGTGGAGGCGAGGCAGGTACGCACCGGGGCCCTCGCGGCCCCCTCCCCACCCCCGGGGCTCCGGCTGCCGCTGCCGTTCCCCGCCGAGCCAGGGAGCGGGGCCGCGGCCTCCAGCCCAGGCTGCCCCCAGGAAGCGCAGAACCCGCGGCCCGCAGGAAATGCAGGTCCCGCCATGCTAAGCCGCAGCCCCGCAAACTCGCCGCCCTCCCCCAGAAAGTGTGGCGAGGGGCGAGCCCGAAGGAGTTTGTTTGGAGGTGTTTTGCTCTCCCCTCCCCTCGGCCTCTCCCAGCCCAGGGCGTGCTCCGCAGCTGCTGGCTCCCAGGCCTCGGGACCAGGGCTTGGAATTTTGCTCCTCACCCACTTCTGACCCCTCCCGCCCACCGGTTCCCAAATCCACGTGCCTGTGGCTTATTTCCAGGCCTGCCATGAGAGTTATCTTGATGTTTAAAAAGTAGGACTTTCGGGGGGCGAGGGAGGAAAGCTGGCTTTTCTTTTTCAGCCAATTTGAAGTCCAGATTTCAGAGTCAGTGCTGTGGCGTTTTGTGAAGCCCGTGGGCTGGGACTGAAAGAAAAGGCACCCGATCCCAGCAGTCCTTTTTATTGTCGTTTTCAAGCTACACATCTAACACCCTCCTACCCCCACTCCCCCGGGTTGTAGGTAAGCTGGGCCTGGATGGAGTGAAGATGCAGGATAAAGCCCTCCTGGAGCACCAGTGAGCACCCCAAAGCGGCCCTCCCTGCCTCTGCCCCAGGCCTCCCGCCATGCTGTCCATCAGCTCGGCCTTGGCCACCTTGTCCTGCCTGTGGATATCTGAGAGGAGTCGGATTTCCCTCATCCACTCATCCCAGCCCCTACACTGTGTGCCCATGTTCCCTGGAGTTCACCACGCTTGGCCGGTCCAGGCCACCGCCAGGGTCTCCGAGTCGGATTGTAATCCCTTGTTCTTACCCCTGAGCTCCTTTTCTTGGAAGGGAGGAGAGCCGGGATGCGCATTGTCAGCGTGCCTGCGTGTCTGCGTGCCCACTCTGTCCTGTGCTGGACACAATGGTTTACCCTGGAGAGAAGCCCTTCGGGGGAGGAGGAGGCAGCCAGGCTGTGCTCAGAGGCATTTCTCTTTGCTGAGTAAGTGCGCCAGACCCCCTCTGAGCAGGCGCTTTGCTTGACAAGTGGGTGACTAATTGTGTCATTAGAGAGGATTCTAACCAGCCACATTTAATGGGGTGGAGCAGGGGCAGGCCCTGCCGTTCTTGCTTGGGGTGGGCTTCCAGACCTCACGCGGTGATGGTGGAGGGGGCGCGGTTTGGACATGTGCTGATCTGTTGTGTTTGCTCCCATATTTGGGATTCCTGCCTCCATCGAGGTCTCGCGGGAGCAGGAGAGGCCTTTAGACAGTTCTGGAGCCGTCATGCACACTCAGTCAGTCCTGGCCTTACAGGGCTGGCCCTTTATCACCCACACCAGGCTCTGGACTGAAGTGCAAAATGTCCTTTAGCGGCGCCCTGTCTTAGCTCAATCCTGTGGGGCACAGCGCTTAAAGAACTTTCTACAAGGCTTTCGGCTCTCAGCACATGGTACCTACAGGAATAGGTTCAGTGGTGTTTAAATAGGGCCACTCGCATAATTTGCCACTGTCTGGGTGAATGCACGTCCTCTGAAGCTGAATGGGTGCTCTGAAGGACAAGGCAGTATGGGGGTTCGCGTGCCAGGCAGCCCCCATGACATAGGTGCCAGTGAGGATGACTTGAGGCTTGTGTCTGTCCTCCCGCTAAGGCACCCTCCAGAGAGAACCCACCCCACAGGAGAATTCAATTGAAGTCAGTGCCCTTCCCCTTTGGGTTCAAGTCCCCAGGCCTTCCTGAGCTGGCCAAAGCTCCCCCAAAACTCCTGCCTGCAAACATTAAGCCAGGTGCTGTGGGGACACAGATATTGTGTCATCCCACCCACTCCCAGTGGTGGCATTAACCTAAGAAGCTGCTTAGAAATTGTCTTGATGAGCTTCGAGTCAGTGACAAGAAAAAAAAGAAAGGAAAACAAATTGTCCTGAAGTGGACTCCAGCGTTTCCAAGAGCTTCCAGTGCTTTCTTCTGATGATCACACTGCTGGGGCTTGGAGGACAGATAGGGAGAAAGGCCCCCTGGGGAAGATAACTCAAATCAGGGTTGGGAAGTGGGGCTATGCCCTCTGCCAGCCTCCTTCTCCCTCCGTCCCTAAGCGAACCCCACCAACAGCGAGGGAGGAGGGCAACTCCACCTGCTGTTAGCTCGGAAGTCACTGCCCTGGGGAGCAGCGTGTAACTCACCTCTCCCCTCCCTCTTCATTTTCCATTAACTGCCTCCTTTCTAATCCAGTCCTCTCCCTTCCCAGGGAGGCCTGGGCGGGCTGGGGCAGCTGCTGCCTCTGACTACAAAGCTGATTATTGAGAAGGATCTCTCGCCCCGGGAAGCAGCCTTCAGCTGCTATTGGGGATCGCTCAGGAGCGTCCCCTAGTGCACGGTGCCCTCTTTGGCCAAGGACAAAGTAGTGGGGAGGGGCTACTATAGGCCGAGACCCTGGAAATGGACCAAAGAAATGGGGATGAGATCAGTGCAGCTCTTGCTTCCCCAGGGCAGCACAGGCCAGGGCAGGGAGGCTGAGGAGAAGCGGAATGATACTGCTAGAACCTCTTTTCTCTCCTAAGGATTAGCACAGGGTGGGCTGTGAGGAAGCATTATAGGCAAGGCCTGTTCACGCAAAGAATCATGAGCCAACGAAGTCAAGAACAGGAGCCGGCCTCTTTTCAGGCCAGGACTCAGGGCTTTCTTGGTGCTCCTGTGTAGGTTGGGGTTTTAGGATTGCCAGGCCTCTTACCTAATGGACTTGTGGATTGGAGCAAGGCTGGATGGTCGGATTCCCAAACATTGGTAATTGGCAAAGCGTCAAGGGTCATTTGAATAGCACTAGAGTTAAATTTCTTGTCTGTGCCAGGACTCAAGTATCTCGGTACTTGGGGCCTAGCTCTGCTCATAGACAGACTAGAGCCCGGGCGCGATGGCTCACACCTGTAATCCCAGCACTTTGGGAGGCCGAGGCAGGAGGATCACCTGAGGTCAGGAGTTCGAGACCAACCTGGCCAACATGGCGAAACCCCGTCTCTACTAAAAATACAGAAATTAGCCAGGCATGGTGGCGTGCACGTCATCCCATCTACTCAGGAAACTGAGGCAGGAGAATCACTTGAACCCAGGAGGCTGAGGTTGCAGTTGAGCCAAGATCGTGCCACTGCACTTCAGCCTGGGCAACAGAACGAGACTCCATCTCAAAAAAAAAAAAAAAAAAAAAAAAAAAAAAAGAGTAGGGACTTCCTGCAAGGCAGTGGGCCGGTGTCATGAAGCACACAGAGACTCTTCTAGATTTAATTGGGATTTAGGAGATTAAAGCAATATGACAAATAAATACAATCTTGATCCTTGATTGGATTCTCCATCAGAGAAGGGAGCTATAAAGGACATACTGGAGATAATTGAGACATTTTTTAAATGAATGGCTGTGTTAGGTAAGCTTATTGAATCAACGCTGAATTTTTTGTGTACGATACCGGCAGATGGCTGTGTAAACAATGTCCTTATCCTTAGGAAGATGCAGGCTGAAACATTTTGGGATGACATGTCATGATTCAAATAGTTACATGCACACACACACACAGTGTGTGTGTGTATAGAGAGAGAATGCAAAGATGGCAAAATGTTAACCATTGGTGAATCTAGGTGAAGGGTGTATGGTATTCATTGTATTATTATTTCAACTTTTCTGTAGGTTTGGAATTTTTCAAAAGAGAATGTTGGAACAAAGAAGCCAACATTCTTCTTTGGGAAATTTCTTGGGAAAGGGGTTGGTTTTTCAGACACTCTGGAGGTGGTGGTCTGAGTGGGTAGCACAGCCTTCATCTGTCTGTCTTAACCATGTGACTTGGCCCTGGTTCCCCTGAAGTCACCCTGCTGTCAGGTCCACCTGTGTCCTCTGCCCTCACCAACCTGTTCACCATAGGTGTGGGCTCTGGAAGCTACAGAGACCCCAGCCTTCCCAGAATGACCCAGGAGCAGGTGAACTTCCCCATCATCTCTCCTGCCTTTGTGATGGCAGTGTGGTCCTTTTTGATGGCAGTGTGGTCCTTTTTGATGGCAGTGTGGTCCTTTTTGATGGCAGTGTGGTCCTTTGTGATGGCAGTGTGGGCCTCTGTGACGGCAGCGTGGGCCTCTGTGACGGCAGCGTGGGCCTCTGTGATGGCAGAGTGGGCCTCTGTGATGGCAGCGTGGTCCTTTGTGATGGCAGCGTGGGCCTCTGTGACGGCAGCGTGGGCCTCTGTGACGGCAGCGTGGGCCTCTGTGATGGCAGAGTGGGCCTCTGTGACGGCAGAGTGGGCCTTTGTGATGGCAGCGTGGGCCTCTGTGATGGCAGCGTGGGCCTCTGTGACGGCAGCGTGGGCCTCTGTGACGGCAGTGTGGTCCTTTGTGATGGCAGCGTGGGCCTTTGTGATGGCAGCGTGGGCCTTTGTGATGGCAGTGTGGTCCTCTGTGATGGCAGTGTGGTCCTTTGTGATAGCAGAGTGGGCCTTCGTGATGGCAGTGTGGTCCTCTGTGATGGCAGTGTGGGCCTTTGTGATGGCAGTGTGGTCCTACTTTCTGTTCTCTTAGCAAAATCTCAGAAGCCAAGTAGTGGAGGGCCAAGTAGATATTTGCCAGTTGTTTATATCACTTTAGGTCCTTGTCTTTAAGCAGCTTAGGCTGATATATCAAAATACCACAGACTGGGTTGCTTAAACAACAGGCATTATTTCCTACACTTTTGGAGGCTGGGAAGTCCAAGATGGAGGTGTTGGCAGATTCTGGTTTTGGTGAGGGCTCTCTTTTTGGCCTGCAGACAGCCACCTTCTTGCTGTACTTTCACATGCCAGAGAGAGAGGGATGTCTCTTCCTCTTCTTATCAGGGCCCTCATAGCATTGTAGGGACTCCACCATCGTGACCTCGTCTAAATCTCACCTCCCAAAGACCCCCACCTCCAGATACCATCACACTGGGGGTTAAGACTTCAACAGATAGATTTGCAGGGGACACAAATATTTAGTCCAGAACAGGCCCAGTGACTTACTGGGGAAAAAACTAGAAATAATCCAAATGTTCATTAATTAGCACATTGGATTCATTAGCAAATTAGTATGAAATAAGTAAAAAGGTAGAACATAAAATATTGTATTCACAATAACTATAACGATATAGAGCAACTGAATAGAAGATGCCTTGGAGGGCTGTAAGTAGAGTTCCCTGTTCAGTAGTTCCAGTGGGTATTTTTTTGTAAAGTTGTTTGAGTGCCTAACTTAATTTTTTTCCATATATGAAAGAAGTCCAGGGGCTTTCCTAATAGATAAACTTTGTTCTTTCAGAGAGAAAGAGCCTTGGTTACAGACTAATGTCAGCTAGAATTTTCTGCTTAGCAAGAAGGAGTATGTTTTTAAAGAATATGTCTTGAGAAAAAAAGCCACCTAGCTTTGGAGAGCTAGAAATGAAATGGTGAGCATGCAGACAGTTTCCTTTTTGTAGCCCCGCTCTTTCCCACTCGGCTCAAACCACACTGTGGGAGGAGGGAGACCAGCTTGGGCCTCTGGTAAACCGTCTTCCAGAGAAATGCCAGATCCCTGATGGTTAGGAGTATTTCTGGAACAACCTGCGTTTGGCCACACTGGGCTTGCCACTGTTAAGGACAGATGTATGGAACAGGATGAGGAGGTCAGGTTCAGAAGCCCCTTCTCTAAGGGGACCTCATGCAGAACTGTTTCCAGCATTCTTTTTTTTTTTTTTTTTTTTGAGACGGAGTTTTGCTCTTGTCGCCCAGGAGTGCAGTGGCGCAATCTCAGCTCACTGCAACCTCCACCTCCTGGGTTCAAGCAGTATTCCTGCCTCAGCCTCCCAAATAGCTGGGATTACAGTCATGCACCACTATGCTTGGCTAATTTTTGTATTTTTAGTAGAGGCGGGGTTTCGCCATGTTGGCCAGGGTGGTCTTGAACTCCTGGCCTCAAATGATCAGCCTGCCTCGGCCTCCCAAAGTGCTGGGATTACAGGCATGAAAAAAAAAAAAGCTGGCCGGGCGCGGTGGCTCACGACTGTAAACCTAGCACTTTGGGAGGCCGAGGCGGGCGGATCACGAGGTCAGGAGATCGAGACCATCCTGGCTAACACAGTGAAACCCCATCTCTACTAAAAATACAAAAAATTAGCCGGGCGTGGTGGCGGGCACCTGTAGTCCCAGCTACTCGAGAGGCTGAGGCAGGAGGATGGCGTGAACCCGGGAGGTGGAGCTTGCAGTGAGCTGAGATCGCACCACTGCACTCCAGCCTGGGCGACAGAGTGAGACTCCGTCTCAAAAAAAAAAAAAAAAAAAAAAATCTGAAGGAAGCTGGAGGGTGCTGCAGCAGTCATTCTAGTCATTCTATTCCCTGCTGCGGGGTGGTAGAAGCAATGCTATCTTCTTTTTCTCTTTTTTTGGAGACAGTCTCCCTCTGTCGCCCAGGCTGGAGCGCAGTGGCACAATCTTAGCTCACCGCAACCTCCGCCTCCCGGGTTCAAGTGATTCTTCTGCTTGCCTCAGCCTCCTGAGTAGCTGGGATTACAGGTGGCCACCACCACGCCCGGCTATGATGCTGTTTTCTGGACACAGGGTTACATTGGCTAAAACAATGTCTGCATGAGATTTGATGGCCCAGAGAAAACCCATTGCAGGACTCACGGAAGTTGTTTATCTTCAAATGTTGCCTCTGAATTGCCATAGAACTTACAGAAGTGATTGTCCACTTTCCAGGCATCAGCTCCAGTTTTTTGTTTTTTTCAATGTATTCTTTTTTTTTTGAGCTAGGACCTCAGCTGGTCCAATGGTGTTGGGTTATCAGAACTTGTTAACATTAGTGTCACTAAACTTGATATACAACCCCCTACTGCTAAAGTTAACTGGCTTTAAAAAACAAAAAACAAAACAGAGTCTCACTTTGTCGCCCAGGCTGGAGTGCAGTGGCACAATCTCAGTTCACTGCAACCTCTGCCTGCTAGGCTCAAGCCATCCTCCTACCTCAGCCGCCCGAGTAGCTGGGACCACAGGCACGCACCACTATGCCTGGATAAGTTTTGTATTTTTTGTAGAGATGGAGTTTCGCCATGTTGCAGGTTGGTCTCAAACTGCTGAGCTCAAGCAGTCTGCCAGCCGCTGCCTCCCAAAATGCTGGGATTACAGGTGCGAGCCACTGTGCCCAACCCTTCAGCTCCAGTTTTGTGGCCTGTGTATGTGTGTATTTAATGTTTTCAAGTGAGAACTCCTTGCGCACATTTATAACCCGCTGACCAACCTGACCTCTGGGTGAGACAACCCTGGCAGATTCTCAGCAAGGGCCTTCTTGTGTGATGTCCTTGGTATTCATCGTTTTTCTCCTGGCCTGATTCTTATTTGCTGAGGACTCAGAGTCTGAGATAAATCTTGCTGTTTTGAGACAAGGTCTGGTTCTGTCACCCAAGCTGCAGTGCAGTGGTGCAATCTCAGCTCACTGCAACCTCCACCTCCTGGGCTCAAGCCATCCTCCCACTTCAAGAGAAGAAAATGCCCCCAGCCCAGTGGTGTTCTGCTGGAGATCAGCAGGAAACCCTACTCCATAGTCAAGTCAGCCGTTAGCCTTTCAGGAAGTTCTTCCTATGGTGAGGCCTCCTCAAGATATATATATATATATACGTATATATATATATTTATTTTAAGAGGTAGTCTCGCTCTGTCACCCTGGCTGGAGTGCAGTGGCGCGATCTTGGCTCACTGCAACCTACCCCTCCCAGGTTCCAGCGATTCTCTTGCCTCAGGCTCCCAAATAGTTGGGATTACAGGCACCTACCACCACACCCAGCTAATTTTTGTATTTTTAGTAGAGATGAAGTTTCGCGTGTTACAGGCCAGGCTGGCCTCAAACTCCTGCCCTCAAGCAATGCATTCGCCTTGGCCTCCCAAAGTACTGGGATTACAGGCATAAGCCACTGCGCCCGGCCCTCAAGAGATTTTAAAAACTGACCACTTGTCTTCTTCTTCTTCTTCTTCTTTTATTTATTTATTTACTTATTTATTTAGAGAACCAGGCTGGGGTGCATTGGCACAATCATAGCTCACTGCAGCCTTGACCTCTTGGGCTCAAGGGATCCTCATGCCTCGGCCTCCTAAGTAGCTGGGACTACAGGTGCACACCACCACAGCCAGCTAATTGTTAAACTTTTTGTAGAGATGGTGTCTTGCTATGTTGCCTAGGCCTGGTCTCGAACTCCTGGCCTCAATCCAACCTCCTGCCTCTGCCTCCTGAGGCTGTGTGATTACAGATGTGAATTGCTGTGCCCAGCCCTTATCTTCTATTACTATATTTCAAGCTGGTCATGGTCAAAATTGTTCAACCTGGTTTTCCCCCATAAAATTAAGTCACTTTCTTCAACCCTCTTCCATCAGATTTTATTCATCTCTTAGTTTTCTTCTCTGTCCTATATTTTCTCTATCTCAAAATGTAGCACCTAGAATTCGACCTGATATTCCCTGATAGGGGTTGCGGAGAGTACAGATTGCTGCCCAAGAGTGTTTTGTTGTTATTGTTGTTTTCCTTTTTTGTTTTTTAAATGAAGCTTTTGGTGTCCTCTAAATCCTCTTTGTAGGAACTTGCCAGAAACTGTTAAATCTGATAGGATTGAATCTGGCATGCTCCAGTCATCTGAGCAAGAGTTTGTTTAGGGCTTGTGAATGTGCCCTTGATCGGGATGTGAGGTTGGAATGCAGGACGATGCTTTTGGTCTGGACATTGGAACGCAGCAGTCGGCCCTGGGCAGGGGTTGGGGCCCGGATGGGGTCGGCTCCTCGCAGGAACAGTGATCCTGTCTCTCCCCAGACACCCCCCACCCACAACATACTCCCTCCTTGTCTGCGGCTTACCCAGCACACTCCCTCTGCTCTTTGCCCTGCTGGAAGAGCTCATGCCCATAATATCAACTGCAGGACTCCTGGACCAGGCCTGCCTTGCTGCCTTCCAGAACACACCTGCCGCCCCCATCCCCCTGATCAATAGCTGATGGTGCCCACATCTATACGCCCAGCTCTCGCCTCCCCTGAGCTCCCTGGCCTGTGGGTTGTCTACGTGCACCTCAGCCCAACACGCTGACAAGTGCCTCATTTCTGCTGCCCCTCCACCCGGCATTCCTCATCTCATCCCGGATCCACCCCCCCGACGCTCAGCTGCTCAGACCAAAAGCCCAGACATGTCCTTGTTGTCCCCGCCTCCCTCACGCCCTGAAGACCTGCTGTCTGCAATTCTGGTCACCTCTCTCCAGAGTGTGTTCCGAGAGCAGCCCTCCCTCCTCTCATCTTTCTGGCTCCTGCTTCGGTGGCTGTTCAGTGACCTCCTCACTGGTCTCCCTGTTTCCCGTCCTCCCCACCCCTGCCAGGCTCTTCCAGCAACCAGCATGACCTTCCTAGCGCAGAGAGCACACCCCCCGGCCCCTGCTCACAGCCCTCCGCGTGCAATTCCAAACTTCCCACAGCCCCAGGTCCAGGAGCACCCTGCCTACTCGGCATCTGCTCCCAGCCCCCCACAGCCACAGACTCCTTTCTGGTGCTTAGACCTGCCAGCCCTGCGCCCACATCAGGACCCTGCCCAGCACACCCCTCCCTGCCTGAGCCTCCGCGCAGTCGGTCCTCACCTCTCTCCTCTCTATGTCCTTGCCCCCGTGAGCAGATGTAAAGTCCCCCGCCTGCCGCCCGCCCACTCTCTCTCTCTCTCCAGTGTATCATCACGTTTGGCTTTCTTCATAGCACTTCATCCGGTCTGAGGTCATCTTTTATTTCAGTGTGGCTTGTCTGCCGCAGTGGAACGCCTGTTCCGGAGAGCAGGGCCCTTGCCCGCCACATCCCAGCTCCTGCAACAGGCCCGCACGCAGTAGGCACCTGTTGAATAAATACGCCACAATGCCACAAAAAGAAAGAACAGAAATCGCTGTGGGCTCCTGCCTAGAGGCAGGTCCTGTCTCTTTGTCTCCCACCTGGGGCAGCAGGAAGGTATCTTGTTTCTGTCCCTGCCCAGGCCTGTAGCCCAGCGCCCTGCACAGCCGCCTGCAGTTCTTGCCCTCGTGCTGTTATGTTATGCCCCAGAGAGGAAGACTGCTCTGTAAGGTAGTGAGTTTCCTGTGCCAGAAGCGTTCAGACAGAGACGGGATACCAGCAGTTCATCCAAGTTTCCATCAGCGACTGTTTTTCCTTAGGCGGAAGCCACACTAGATCAGTGGTTTTCTAACATTTTCTAAAACACTGGATCCTGGCTGTGTCCGGTGGCTCACGCCTGTAATCCCAGCACTTTGGGAGGCTGAGGCGAGCAGATCACCTGAGGTCAGGAGTTCGAGACCAGCCTGGCCAACGTGGCAAAACCCAGTCTGTACTAAAAATACAAAAAGCCAGGTGTGGTGGCGCATGCCTGTAATCCCTACTTGGGACTAATCAGCTACTTGGGAGGCTGAGGCAGGAGAATCGCTTGAACCCAGGAGGTGGAGGTTGCAGTGAGCCGAGATTGTGCCACTGCACTCCAACCTGGGTGACAGAGTGAGACCCAGTCTCAAAAGTAAATAAATAAAAAATGATAATAATAAAACACTGGATCCCTTCTTGCCTCTTCAGTGTCTTATGGAAGCCCAGGACATAAAGCAAAAACAGAGCTGCTCTGGGTGGCAGTCTAGGCCCCTTTTACTCTGTCCCCTCCTCCTTGCAGCAGTCTCTGCAAACCTAGGGTAGAATTAAAGGGCCTCCAAATCAGGTCCTATGACCCTGGGGGACCCCTGCCCAGACAGAGGAAGGAGAGGGGTGTGTGCAGAGGTGAATGTGGAAGGACAGATCACATTCCTGAGGCCATGGTGCAAAGAGCACCCCAAGTCCCAGCCCACCACCCCTACCCAGTGGCACCCTCGGTTCTTAGCCATCGAGGAGAGAGACCTCACCCAATCTGATGGCAGGAGAATCTGGAAGTAGAACTTGGAGAAACAGAGATTATTGAAATTGAACAAGGTCAGGCAATGTAGGCAGGTGGCATGGGTTTTGAGCAGGAAACACATTATGAAGTTGGCATTTGAAGATGTTCTTAAAGCTGGATGAGGGCTGGGTGTGGTGGCTTCTGCCTGTAATCCCAGCACTTTGGGAAGTTGAGGCAGGAGAATGGCTTGACCCCAGGAGTTTGAGACCACTCTGAGCAACATAGTGAGACCCAATCTCTACAAAAAATAAGAAAACTAGCTGGGTGTTGTGGCACACTCCTGTGATCCCAGCTACTTAGGAGGCTGAGGGGGGAGGGTTGCTTAAGCCCAGGGAGGTTGAGGCTGCAGTGAGCCATGATTGCACCACTGCACTCCAGCCTGGGCTACAGAATGAGTCCGTCTCCCCAAAAAGGATGAATTGGAGGAGAGCAGATGTAGGTGCCACCTGAAGGCATTGAATGGTTGTAGCAGGAGAACAAAGGGGTGAAGCCAGAAGCCTGTTGGAGTGAAGGGGAGACTCTAGAATTCAGAATAGAAAGGAAGTCAGGGCTGGGCGCGGTGACTCACGCCTGTAATCCCAGCACTTTGGGAGGCTGAGGTGGGCGGATCACTTGAAGTCAGGAGTTCAAGACCAGCCTGGCCAACATGGTGAAACCCTGTCTACTAAAAATACAAAAATTAGCCGGGGATGCTGGCATGCACATGTAATTCCAGCTACTCGGGAGGCTGAGGCAGAAGAATCTCTTGAACCCGGGAGGCGGAGGTTGCAGTGAGCAGAGATCCCACCATTGCATCCCAGCCTGGGCAACAGAGCAAGACTCTTATCTCAAAAAAAAAAAAAAAAAAAAAAAAAAACAGAAAGGAAGGAAGTCAGGTTGGAATCAACATTCCCAGGCCATGTTAAGGTGTCAGAGATGCTGTGGCTGCCAAGAAAAACTGGACAAGTGAGAGGGGGACAGTTTGAGACTTGGGTTACTAGGTTCTGGACAGAAGTTCCTGGGACATGCCTCATCCAGTTGCAAATACGGATTTAGAGAGTGGAGCCTGCGTGTCCCCAGCCTGGAGCTGTAGTTTGGAGGGGGAGATGGCTGAGTTGTTTTGCCGGGTATGGAGGAACAGAGGTGACCCCTGCCCCAGCCTGCCCTCCCTGCCCACCACCAAGCCCCCGGAGCTGGCGCCAGCTGGGCTTTGCTGCTCCCCCCCCGCCCATTGCAAAAGATGAGCAGCTGATTGGCTAATGGAGTCCTTCTGGAAGGAGTGAGAGCATTGTCAGGCACTGTGGAGGCAGCCCTGGGCCCGGCCCATTCTGGGGTTGGGGGGCCTGGGCAGGCCCCTTGTCGCCTTCCTGTTATCTCCATCCTTGCCTGCTGCAGGCAGGGGAGGGACAGGTGTCCCCTTGGGAGTTAGGAACGGCCTGCCTCCTGGAGCCGCTGTCCTCTAAAGTCATTCTGGATTAGCCAGTGGGATTGGTGCAGTCACAGCATGCGGCAGCTCTGGTGGCCACAGGGCCACAAGAGACCTTCTTTGCACTGCCCCACAGCAGAACCATCTCCTTGGGCAGCAGACACGCAGGCAGAAATCTGTCTCTATCACTCTCTCTCCCTCTGTTAGTGTTCTCTCTCTCTCCCCTCCCCCCGCCTTATCTATCCCTCTCTTCTCTCCCCTCCCCTCTCTCCCTCTCCCGACTTCAGCACTTTGCATCACGCTTGAATTAGCTTGAATCAGCCAGGGCAGCCATAAATGGCAGCGTGCAGCCTGCAGGGCGTGAGCTTGGTTCACTGTGTCTCCCAGCTACTGCAGCCTGGCCGGGCCCCTCAGCTTGGCCTCCGGGGCACCCTGGTCCTAGGCTCCTAGCACTGGGGAGGCTGTCAGGAGGCACGTCCCGTTTGCCTTCCCCCTCCCGCCTCCACCTCCTCCATTGGAGGGAAAAGCTGAATTAGAAAATTATCCCAGAACATGACATTAAAATGTGGTCTCTATTCAGTCATAAAATGCTGAGACTCTGATCAGTGAAGTGATGGAGCTTGGGCTCAGCCCAGCCTGCCCTGGGGACCAGCCAGGGTGACGCCAGCTGCCTGTCTCAATTCACTGTTTCCATGAAATTGATTGACTTTCATCAGAAACATGATGTATTCATTTGCCAGGGCTGCTATAACAAAACACCACAGACCGGGCACCTTCAGCAACAGACGTTTCTTTTCCCAGAGTTCTGCAGACTGGAGGGCCAAGTTCAGGGTGTCCGCAGGTTCGGGTCCTCCTAAGCCCTGTCTCGCTGGCTTGCAGTTGGCCGCCTTCTCCGCCTCCTCACATGGTCTTTCCTCTGTGCACTCACAACTCTCATGTCTCTGTGTGTGTCCGAGTTTCCTCTTATAAGGACAGCAGTCCTTGGGTTAGGGCCCACCCTAATGGCTTCATTTTAACTTAATCACCTCTTTAAAGGCCCTGTTTCCAAATAGAGTCAGGCTGAGAGGTAGTTGGGGCCAAGGCTTCAGCATATGAATTGGGGCGTGGAACACAGTTCAGCCCATGAGCCGAGTAGCCTGAACACTCCTGGGACCAAGGGCATGGACAGGAACTCCGCGGTGATGATGGCCTTGGGTGAGGTTTGAGTCAGCGCTCGAGCAGCTGCTCTGTTCCGTTTCCTTTGAGACCTCAGGAAGAATCAGCTGCGTACTCTGTTGGGTTCGTGCCGCCTCCAGGAAATGATCCTGGTCGCACCCACCATGGCACAGCTGCCTGATGGTGGGGAGGACTCAGACCATGAGACCCTGGAGAGATTGCCTTTGGCTGGCCGCACCTTCACGGATTCATTCAACGCTGAGCTGAAGGCCAGGTGCCTTTAGCATCGCAGTTTGGGCCTTTATCATCTCTCCCCTGAGCTCTGTACCCTCTTCTCATAGTTCCTCCTGCCTCTTCTCTTGCCCCATTGCAATCCTCCCACCTCAGCCTCCCAAGTGCAGCTCTCACTCTGTTTGTCCGTGTTTATTTTTTTCGTTTAAAAAATTTGTATTGACACCTGTTTATTTTTTATTTTTATTTATTTTTTTAGAGGCAGGGTCTCCCACTGTCACTCAGTTGGAGTACAGTAACATCATCATAGCTCACTGCAGCCTCAAACTCCTGGACTCAAGCGATCCTCCCACCTCAGCCTCCGAAGTATCTGGGGCTACAAGCACATGCCACCACCCCCGGCTAATTTGTTAATTTTTTATAGAGATGGGGGTCTCACTTCATTGCCCAGGTTGGTCTCAAACCCCTGGCATCAAGCAGCCCTCCCACCATGGCCTCCCAAAGTACTGGCATTACAGGTGTGAGCCACCGCGCCCAGCCTTGTTTATCCCTGTTTGAAAGTTTCAGGTGGCTTCTCACTTCCTGAGGAATGAAACCAAACGCTTTAGTGTCCTGTATATGATCTCTGTGGTTGCAGACCCTGCATTTCTGCACACTGTTTCTTTCTTTCTTTTTTTCTTTTTGAGATAGAGTCACGCTCTGTCACCCAGGCTGGAGTGCAGTGGTGCGATCTCGGCTTACTGCAACCTCCGCCTCCTGGGTTCAAGAGATTCTCCTCCCTCAGCCTCCCAAGTAGCTGGGATTACAGGCACCCGCCACCACACCTAGCTAATTTTTGTATTTTTTTAGTAGAGAGGGGGTCTCACCGTGTTGGCCAAGCTGGTCTTGAACTCCTGGCCTCAAATGATCCACCTGCCTTAACCTCCCAAAGTGCTGGGATTACAGGCATAAGCCACAACACCCAGCCTCTGCACACTATTTCTGACTGTGTCACACCCACCCTGCAATCATACCCAAGTCTGTAGAGCCACTGGAAGAGCCGAGGTGTTCCGTGCCTCCATGCCTTTACATGGGCTGTGCACTCTGCCCAGATGCCCTTCTCTCTACATCTGCCTGGCAAGCCCATCTCGGACCCAGCGTGGCTTTCTCATCCACTCTGAGGCCTTCTTTGCTCCCTGCAGACACAGCTGAGCTCCCTTTCCTCCAGGCCCCCACCGTGCACACTCCTGAAAACATAGCTGCAAATTTGATTGTGCCAAAGCGGAAGGAAAGATGGGCGTGCTATGAGGGAGGCACGAAGGTAAAATCCTTAGTGCCAGCTCTCTGTTGAGCACAGCCTTAGACGATGGAGCTCTGGTATTTCGCACAAGGTTTTGCTTTATCCCTTCCCATCCCGTTGCACACACACACACACACACACACACCTGAAGCTAAAGAGCCACCCCTTGCAGAAGGGTTTGTGTCTTTGTCTCCATTGCACTGTGTCTGAAACCGGCACTTCTTACTACTGGAGTCAGCACTTTCACTTTTCTGTTGTGTCCACACTTTTATAAAATCAGGGCAAAATGCAGTCAACACTGGTGGTTTTATTGTTTTATTTTGTTTTGTTTTGTTTTTGAGACGGAGTTTCGCTCTTGTTGCCCAGGCTGGAGTGCAATGGCTTGATCTTGGCTCACTGCAACCCCCACCTCCCGGGTTCAAGCGATTCTCCTGACTCAGCCTCCCAAGTAGCTGGGATTACAGGTGCCTGCCACCATGCCCAGCTAATTTTTTTTATTTTTTAGTAGACCCAGGGTTTCACTATGTTGTCCAGGCTGGTCTCGAACTGCTGACCTCAGGTGATCCACCCACCTCAGCCTCCCAAAGTGCTGGGATTACAGGCCCCCGGCCCCCGTTATTTTTTAAAAAAGTAAAACACCACAGCCAGAAGCAGGGAGGCTGAGGCAGGCAGATCCCTTGGGCCCAGGAGTTCAAGCCCAGCCTGGGCAACATGGCAAAACCTCATCTATACCAAAAATACACAAATTAGCCAAGCCTCGTGGCCCATGTCTGTAGTCCCAGGTACTAGGGAAGCTGTGGTAGGAGGATTGACGGAGCCTGGAAGGGCAAGGATGCAGTGAGCCGAGATCGCATCACTCTACCAACAGCCTGGGTGACAGTAAGACCCTGTCTCAATAATAACAATAATAATAATTGGAATTCATTCAATTATTATTAGTATATTCTTTAAAAGCCTAACAAGTTACCCAGATAAAAGTGAGGATGTTATTTCCAGTAGAAGCCCAGGTGTGAGGCCCTGGGATGCCTCTATGAGGTGCAGTTTGATAACCACTCAAAAAAACATTCCATGGCTATCCAACCCTTGACTTCAGCAGAGCTGAGATTTGATGCAGGCAAATTTGAGATGTTCTTGGCCTGCAAAGTCTGAGTGTGGTGAGTGGTGGACAGGAGAGGTGTCAGTGGATGGCGGACACCGTGGTCCAGGGGCTGTGGGAGTTGGAATGGAGCGGTTCTCAGGCAGGGAAAGGCAGGGTGGAATGGCCTCAGGACAAGCACATGGTAGGGGAGGGGGCTCTCCAACGAGTCTCTCCACCCGGGCCCACTCTAGGCAGCTCACTGCTCTGGTCCCAGAGGGTCCTTGTCCCCCAAGCAGAAATTGGGCTCCTGGGCCTATGCCCCCGCCCATCCAGATAAGTAGATGGAAGGGGGAGGGTTTGACCGCCCCAACTGGGGCCACGGGATTCAAGGGACAACTTCCAAAAGAACAGGGGATTTCTGCACAGACAACAAAATAAATGGCCAATTGAGCAGTGTTTTCAAGCTTTTTTTAATTAGGTGTCACAATAAGAAAGAAATTTTAAATTACATCCTGTATATAAAGTCACACAGCTACACCAGAAGTTTTTTGTTGTGTTGTTGTTTTGTTTTCTTTTGTTTGAGACAGGCTTTCACTCTTTCACCTAGGCTGGAGTGTAGTGGTGTGATCTCGGCTCACTGCAGCCTTGACCTCCTGGGCTCAAGTGATCCTCCCACCTCAGCCTCAGCTGGGACTACAGGCACATCCCACCATGCCCAGCTAATTTTTGTAATTTTTTTGTAGAAATGAGGTTTGACATGTTGCCCAGGGCGGTCTCAAACTCCTGGGCTCAAGCAGTCCACTTGCCTCAGCCTCCCAAAGTGCTGGGATTACAGGCGTGAGCCACCTCACCTGGCCCCAGAAGTTTTATAAACCAGTATCTAACTCTACCACACACAAAACACTGTTTGTCTTTAATTTCTTTTTCTTTTTTTTTTTTTTTTTTGAGACAGATCTCAAAAAAAAATCCAGTCTGTTGCCCAGGCTGGATTGCAGTGGCGTGATCTCAGCTCATTGCAACTTCCGCCTCCCAGGGTCCAACGATTCTCCTGCCTCAGCCTCCCAAGTAGCTGAAGCAGTCGTGCACCACCACACCCAACTAATTTTTGTATTTTTAGTAGAGACGGGATTTCCCCATGTTGGCCAGACTGGTCTCGAACTAATGACCTCGTGATCCATCCGCCTCGGCCTCCCAAAGTGCTGGGATTACAGGCATGAGCCACCGCGCCCAGCCTTGTCTTTTATTTCATTCTGGGATACAGGGGTGTCCCCAGAGTCTTAGTGCAGTTTTAATAAATAACTTCAGATGTTTAAATGTACAAACCTACAAAACATCAGTTGAATATTTACTTATTTAAATTTCTTTTCCACTTAGTTTCCTGACAGTCAAGTGCTAGATTTTTTCATTTTAATTCTCCGCATGTGCTAGTGTCTGGAGGGACAGGCAGGCAAAGGACCCCTTTCCTGGGCTGAATTGACCTCCCTTGAGGTCACGTGTGCACAAAATCCAGTTCTTTGGAACCTGGTGAAGCTGGAATCACCAGTGCAATCTTTTCCCGTCACTGACCAACAGTCGATAAAAGGTTTTTCGAAGTTTGAACAACTAGAGCCATGTATAGCACTAGAGGGGGTACTGTAAGAATCTGAGTGAGAGATATCAAGGTATTTTAAATGTAAATAACCTTTCAAATGTCATTTTTTGGTACATTTGTAGTATCTATACTTCTGAAGTTATTAAAGCCTCAAACTTCACCAAGACTTTGGTCGCCCATTTTTTTTTTTTTTTAACAATACTAGTAAGGCCTTCTCATTTGCTTTCCTGACCCATCAATGGGTCATGACCACAGCTTTTTAAAAATCAGACTTCCAGGCCGGGCGCGGTGGCCCACACCTGTAATCCCAGCAGTTTGGGAGGCCGAGACGGGCGGATCACCTGAGGTCGGGAGTTCGAGACCAGCCTGACCAACATGGAGAAACCCCATCTCTACTAAAAATACAAAATTAGCCAGGTGTGGTGGCACATGCCCATAGTCCCAGCTACTCGGGAGGCTGAGGCAGGAGAGTCGCTTGAACCTGGGAGGTGGAGGCTGCAGTGAGGCAAGATCGTACCATTGCACTCCAACCTGGGCAACAAGAGTGAAACTGTCTCAAAAAAAAAAAAAGAAAAAATCAGACTTCCAAAGTCAAGTACAATTTTTTTTTTCTTTTGGTGACAGGGTCTTACTCTTGCCCAGGCTGGAATGCAGTGGCACCCCCATGGCTTACTACAGCCTCAACCTCTTGGGCTCAAGCGACGCACCTGCCTCGGCCTCCCAATGTGCTGTGATTACAGGTGTGAGCCACTGTGCCTGGCCCAGAATCTAAATGTGTACCAGCCTCTCTGTGCTCAGGAGGGCTTGGGCACGTCAGCTGATACTGGGTCCTTTGGGGATACGGATCTGCCCTGGCTCATGGACTCCTCGCCCTGGAGTGCAATTATTTGTTTGTCTTTCCTACTGGACCACGAGCTCCGTAAGGCAGGGACTGTGCTCATTGTTGCTGTTGTTTTTCATTTAATCTTTGTGTCCTTTGCACATAATAGGAGAACTGGCCTCCTGTCTATTCTTGATATTGGGCTTAGTTCCGGGGCCGTGCCCTGAATAGGTCAGTGACTGTTTGCCTGTCATTAAAGAGAGACATCAACCATGAGAAAAACCAACTGTTTTTCTGTCCATGCACACAACACTCCACAGAACCCTTCACTTCTGATACCAAATATGCAGCCAGCCCCACCCCTGCAACCAACACCTTCTCCAGCCACCCAGACACCAAGTGGGTGTCCTCCCGTTCAACTCTGACATTAACTGCCTGGAATCAGTGCAGACCCCACAGGTTAGGGCCCAGTCCCACAGACTGCCCCCTACTTCAGGGGCCAATCACAAGTATCAGGTCCCCTCGTTCCCCACACTTTGGTCCTACTTGCCTACAAATCAAGGGTTCCATGAACCCCTCCTCAAGTTGAGTAATTTGCTACAGCGTCTTACGGAGCTCAGGGAAGCACTTATGTTAACTGGTTTATTAGAAAGGAAGTGATAAAGGCTACAGATGAACAGCCAGATGGAGGTACCTAAGTAGAGTAAGGTCCAGTAGGGTCCTGAATGCAGGAGCTTCCGTCCCCATGGAGTTGGGGTACGCTACCCCCTGCGCACGGGAATGCATTCAGCAGCCTGGAAGCTCTCCAAACCCTATCGGGATGTTGACGGAGGCCTCATCACATAGGCGTCATCGATTCTTAACTCAATCTCCAGCTCCTCTCCAGTCTCTGGAGGAAGCTGGGGGGTGGTGGGGCTGAAAGTTCCAAGCTCCTCATTGCAGCTTGATCTCTCTGGTGATCAGCCCACCCAGGAGTTACCTCATTAGAACAAAAGACACTCCTGTCACCCGGGAAATTCCAACGGACTTAGGAGCTCTGTGCCAGGGACTGGGATCAAAACCAAATGTTAGAACAAAACATGCTGCTAGCACCCCTGTAACTTAGGAAATTCAAGGGACTTAGGAGCTCAGTGTCAGGGCTGGGCATGGTGGCATGCACCTGTGATCCCAGCTATTCCAGAGGCTGAGGCAGGAGGATCGCTTGAGCCCTGGAGGTCAAGACTGCAGTGAGCCGTGATTGCACCACTGCACTCCAGTCTGGGCAACAGAGCAAGATCCTGTCTCAAAAAACAAACAAAATAAAAACTGTGTCAAGAACTGGGGGCCGAAACCAAATATATATATATTTAGGATGTTACATTCTTTCTACTTTTTTTTTTCCAAGTGATCCTTCTGCCTCAGCCTTCTAAGTAGGTGGGATCACAGGTGCGTGCCACCATGCACAGCTAATTTTTAAATTTTCAGTAGAGGCGAGGTGTGCACTATGTTGCCAGGCTGGTCTTGAACTTCTGGGCTCAAGCAGCCCTCCCACCTCAGCCTCCCAAAGTGCTGAGATTGCAGGCATGAGCCACCACACCTGGCCTCTTACTTTTTTTTTCTTTTTTAGAATATATAAGAAAATAAATAAAGAAAAAATGGGGTCTTTGGATCTGACTGTCCAAAGACACCATTAGCATTTAAAAAATATATTTAGTCATTCATGCATATTAATGGAAAGTCCAAATTATACTGAACTCTATAAGACGGAAAGGAAAAGCTGCCCCCCAAGCTCCTTTCCCAAGAGGTAGCCACTGCTGACAGTTTCTCGTGGGCCCTTCCAAAAAACAAACCTTTTCTCTGCATTTTCGAGCACATGCGTGCATTTCCACTTTGCCATTTACAGCAAGATGACTGCGCTGCTCACGTGGGGCTGCTGCTTGCATTTTTCCCTCGATTTATCTTGATGTACTTTTCATGTCAGCACCTATCAACGCCTCCTTTTTTTTTTTTTTTCTTTTTTTAAGATGCAGTCTTGCTGTGTCACTAGGCTGGAGTGCAATGGCGCAATCTTGGCTTACTGCAACCTCCACCTCCCGGGTTCAAGCGATTCTCCTGCCTCAACCTCCTGAGTAGCTGGGATTAAAGGCACCTGCCACAACACTCGGCTAATTTTTTTTTGTATTTTTAGTAGAGACGGGGTTTTGCCATGTTGGCCAGGCTGGTCTCGAATTCCCAACCTCAGCTGATCCACCCACCTAGGCCTCCCAAAATTCTGGGATTACAGGCGTGAGCGACCGCACCCGGTCCCCAGTTCTGTCTTTTCAACTGCACGCGGTCAGAGTCATTATATAAAAATCCTGATGGACATTTCTCCAGTCTGGAGCAGATCCCTAGAAGTGGGTTTGCTGTGTCAAATGGAGCGGCTCCTCTTCCTGCCCCCGGAAGAGGCCTGCCCACTCCGACCTCAGCCATAGAGATACTTTGCTGTGCAAAATTTGGGAAACGTCAGGACACACAGGCACCACTTCGCCATAGATAGCACTAAGTCTGTGTGTACAAAGTGCCCAACAGGGAAGACGCTGTGTTGCCTGCGCAGCTCCCCCCAGGCAGCATTTTGTGTAGTCAAGGAAGTCCCTCAGGCCAGGCACAGTGGCTCACTCCTGTAATCCCAACACTCTGGGAGGCCGAGGCAGGCGGATCACCTGAGGTCAGGGGTTCGAGACCAGCCCGGCCAACATGGTGACATGCCATCTCTACTGAAAACACAAAAAAATTAGCTGGGCTTGGGTGGCGGGCGCCCGTAATCCCAGCTACTCGGGAGGCTGAGGCAGGAGAATCGCTTAAACCCAGGAGGCAGACGTTGCAGTGAGCCGAGATCGCGCCACTGCACGCCAGCCTGGGCAACAAGAGCCAAAACTCTGTCTCAGAAACACACTCAGAAAAAAACAGAAACCAAACAAACAAAAAGTCACTCAGAGGAGCTCAAGGCCCCTCTGGGTTTGCCACTTCCGACCCGCTGTGGGGCTTGTAAAAACTTTGCCTCCCGGCACAGCTCAGTGTTTTGTTAGGGAGCCTCCCGTGAGCGGCCGACGCTGGCTGGGCTCCATGGGATCAGCTGGGGCTGCTCATTCATTCATTTCCACATCTACCCACTGGGCTTCCAAGTTGAAGTTCCTGGGGCTCCCATGTCCCCTCCCCATGACCTTCAATCCCACAGAGCCCATGGGCACGGCACGTCGCTCTCATCCTCTGACATTCCTGCAAGCTGAAGTCACTTCTTCCTTCCACCAAGGCCATCCCGGGCCATTCCTCTGATCATCTGTTTATTGTGTCTCTGTGTGGGAGAGAACTGGCTGAAGAGGTGGGGCTCCAGTTTTGGGAACATGGACACTGAGAGAGTTGGGGATGGAAAACAACATAGAAGGAAGCAAAGCCAGAGGCTGCGATGGCCATGCTGCCTGGCCCTGGTCCCAGACAGACACCCCAGCCAGCTTTCCTCTTGCACCCTTTGTCTGCTGGCCGCAGCGTCGCAGTGGGAGTCCTGGGCCCACTTCTCCAAATGGCACACAGAAGCCTCAACAGGCACCCACCTGGGAAAGGCCAAGGCCGAGGGCTTGGGGTGCACAGTCAAGAACACGCCTCAGCTCAGCATTTGTGAGCCGAGTCACTTTGGCCCATCGTTTGTACACAGCCCCCACCTGCTGGTTGACCATGACCACAGGGCAGGCGCTGCCACAGGGCGTGGGCAGGCTGGACCTTCGAGGGCCTCCTCTGTCTCCCCTACCTTCTGCCCCCCCACCACTTCCCATCACCCAGTCTGTGCCAAGGGCACTGACCCTGTCCTTGTCTTGCAGGAAGAGGAGCAGGACTTGGATGGTGAGAAGGGGCCATCATCGGAAGGGCCTGAGGAGGAGGACGGTGAGTGGGACCTCTGCGCTCATGAGGGGGCCTGACAGTGTCGGGGGTGGTCTGTGTCCTGCTGGGGATCACAGGAGCTGGGGTTCGAGTGCCGAGGGGAGGGATGGGGTGGGACAGTGGCCTGAGTGGGGCATGAGAGGTAGAGTCTGGCGCCATGGATGTCCTGCCCTGGCCTGCCTGTAGCCCTCCCTCACCCCCATTGCACTTTGGGGCTTGGCTTTCCCATCCCGGGGCCCCTCTTGGGAACACACTACACGCCCTGCCTGGCTCTGTCCTGCGCTGCCTCCTAACTCCCCTTTTGTGACCGCGCTGTACATTTCACGATTCTCTCCAAACATCTCTGACCTATTTTACTGAGACGAAAACCACTCACACGGCCTCCCCCGTGCCTTCTTCAGAACGAAGGCCCCAGGAGGGCACACGCCTGCTTTCTAAGCAGCTCTGGCTGACTGGCCACAGGCCCCAGCCATGAGACTGAGAGGAGAAAGGGAGTGACCGAGAACAGGGGAGACACTGCCAGATCGGACCCGGCCAGGACAGACAGAGGCGGAACCAAACATGGAGTGGCTTCTGCTGGGTCCATCCACTTATTTCTCTAAAAAAGAAAGCGGAGGCAGACATGCAAGATGTCAGCGTTTGTTGGCTCTGTGTGGCAAGCACAGGGAGGATTAGTGCTTTCTGCATTTTTGTATGTTTGAAATATTTCATAATTTTAAAAAAGCAAGTCTGCTTTTGTGATGTTAAGTCGGCTGCTGGCAGGAGCAGTGGAAAGAGAAGGTTTCAGGAATGTAGGAACCAGCTCCTGCGGGCAGGCTGGGCTGGGGTGCAGAGCTTCCCCTGAGGCAGTGCCTTGGTTTCCATCAGCACAGCCTGAAGCAGGAGGGGAGAATGAAGCTTGGGTGCAGGCGGTGGGCTGCAGGTGGGGACATTAGTCCCTTACCAGGAAGGACCCTTGCTCCCTGCTTTTGGGGACTGGGGACTCACCGCAGCCATGGCCCTGGCATCTGTCCCTGCCATGTGGCCTGAGACAGCTGAAGGGATGCAGGGATCCTGTTAGTGACTTGGGGACACGGGAGGGAGGCCCTTTGGCAAGGACAAGGAGAGAGGCTCGCAGACCCCTCTCCCTGGCATAGCTGCCAGAGGGCACAGTCCCCCAGCACTGTCACCAGCCTCCCCCCTTATCTGCACCGCTGCTCCTGAACATCCCCCACCCCCAGCGCCTCCTGCCATCTTAGCCTCCTGCCATCTCTAGCAAGGCAGGGAAAGGAAAGGTTTATGGCTCCAGCTGTTGGAAGAATGTGTGAGCACCTCCAGCCCCTCTGCAGTACGAGGCAGCCTCAGAGGTTAATTATTAGTGTCGCTAAAATGACTTCCCTGAGCGACTAGGTGAATTCACAGGAGACTGGAGGAAGAAACCTCCCCCGTCCCTCGGAGGCTGTCACGTTGAATTCTGGTCTAGCAAAACTGGATGCGCTGCCTGGTGCACTGCATGTGACTGAGCGAAATCCTTTTCAAGTCGTTTGTTCTGTCTGGCTCAGAAAACAAAACTAATCAGACTTGCCCCATAAATTGAAACCTAAGACTGGGACCAAGGCAGGATTTTGTATGTTTTCTTTTTTTGGGGGGTAGGGGGATACTGGAATCTTACTCTATTGCCCAGGCTGGAGTACAGTGGCGCGATCTCGGCTCACTGCAACCTCTGCCTCCCGGGTTCAAGCGATTCTCCTGCCTCAGCCTCCTGAGTAGCTGGGATTACAGGCGCCTGCCACCACGCCCGGCTAATTTTTTGTATTTTTAGTAGAGACGGGGTTTTGCCACATTGGCCAGGTTGGTCTCGAACTCCTGGCCTCAAGTGATCCACCTGCCTTGGCCTCCCAAGGTGCTGGGATTACAGGCATGAGCCACCACACCCAACCAGATGTTTGGGTTCTGAATTCGCATCTAGAACCTTCTTCCTTTCACCCTGAGAGCCCCCCCGCCTCCCCATCGGTCCACATCAGCCTATCCGGTAGCATGAAGGCTGCAAGCTAGAGGGGAGGGGCCTGGCTTTTCGGGCTGCTGGACAGGATATGGAGGGACAGAGAGGGCAGCACTTCCAGAATAGCAGCTGAGGATCTCTCTATGCCTCCCTCACTGGGTCCTTTAGTTAGTGGAGGTCGATAAGAGGCCAGCCAGCTCTGCCCGACACCTGCTGGATTCAGGAACCAAGAGGTTGCTCCCCCATGGGGCTTTTCCCTCTGGAAGCTCAGCTTTTCTCTCCTCACCGTGGCTCATGTGCCCGGAGCCTGTGTCCACTCCAGGCCACAGGTCCTGGCTTCCTCTGTGCCCACCACCTACCCATCCATGTGCCCTCTTCAGGCCTCGAGATCTGTCCGTTTTTTGCAGGCAGCAATGGGGGGTCTCCCCTCGGGGACTGGCAAATCGGGCTCTGCCTCTTCAGCGGTACACACGTCAAACCTGCTGCAGCAAATCCCGCATCCCTGGCCTGGCCACTGTGGGCTGCCTGGATGCGTGTTTTCAGATTTCCAATAGCCACAGGGGGTGGGGGGATGACACAAGCCTCCCCAAGCCCAGGCAGGCGTGGTGTGTGTCCCAAGATGAGCTGTGCTCTGCTTGCCGGAGTTGTCGCCTCTGAGCTCAGTAGCCGAGAGGACCTGCTGGGCAGGGCCAGGGCAAGGCAGAGCACTGCAGATGTTGGGAGGGATGTGGCATCTGGAGACAGCTGTGGACTAGGAGTAGGACTGCTTTCTCTCTGGCTGTCTCGTTGTAGGATTTAAGGGAAAGCTATGGAACGAGAGGGGGTATAGGCGCTGGGGTGAGATGTCTCTGATAGCCAGATGTGGCCTCTGCTTGAGGTGTTTCTTTTTAAACCTAGGGAAAGGGGGCCGGGGTTTGTGGGGCCAGCCTCTACAGCACTCCTGGCACTTACTGGGTCCCCCCTCCACAGGAGAAGGCTTCTCCTTCAAATACAGCCCCGGGAAGCTGAGGGGAAACCAGTACAAGAAGATGATGACCAAAGAGGAGCTGGAGGAGGAGCAGAGGTAGGCTGCAGCCCCTTCGCTGGCGCCTGGCGGGCTCTTGGGGGAGGGGGGTGCCCCTCTGAGCCCTTCATGTTCCTGCCCCTTGGCAGAAGGGCCCAGAAAGGAGGTGGGGCTCCTACACGCTCTGCCCAACCACCGCCCCACCTTCCCAGTTTAGGAGTTCTTTCCTGCCCTGGTCAGCCAGGCTCGCACACCCCTGGCACCCCTCCCTGGCACTGACCAGAAGGAGGCCACTGGTGATGGGGGATACAGAGCCCATTTACTGCACCCCCCCACCCCCTCCACACCCCACTGCCCCCATCTAAAGAAATGAGATGCCAGGAAAGAGCCTGGAGCAGACCTGGCTGTCACTCACACACACAGTCCCCAACAGAGCTGATTTCTCCATTTCTCCTTCGGGACACAGCGGATTCTTGGTGCTCATCCTTCAGCGGCCTCCCAGGCCGGCGCCTGCAGCAGCGCCTTGTAGCTCCGGGCAGTGCAGCTATGGCTTCTCGTTGTTGGAATTGGCTCCCCCTTCCCATTTGGACACCCCCTGCACAGCCACTGGGCACCCCGCCACCTTTTCCCTCCACACCATCCTGCTGGGCGGGGAAGGGGTGCGCTGGGCACAGTGGGACAGCTGGGGAGGTCTCAGCAGAGGGACAGTCCTTTGCACCAGGCGCAGCAGGCTCCTGGTGCTCACCCACACTGCTGCCCTTCTGCAGCGTGGCCTGGAGTCCTTTGGTTAAAGCAGAAGTCTAGGTGGTAGCTGTGCCATTTTCCAAGCCTGGCGACCCAGAGCAGCTTGTGGGAATCACCCCCTACTTGTCAGCAGAAACCAGCGGTCTAGGGTCCGAGCAGGAGGGGTGGTTTATGATTTTGGAATCAGAACTCAACTGCCCTCTCATGGCTGCATGCCAAGCCACCCGCCGGGCAGCCCTCTAACCTCACAGCTGCTCTGCCGGTGACAGGCCCTGTCTCCCCTCCCGCTGCTGGCATCAGCGCTCTCGACCCTCAGCAGGAAAGCTCTTCACCCTGGGTGGGTGGGGGGCGGGCAGTGTAAGCACAGCCAGGAGGAAGAGCCCTGGCAGGAGCCCCGAGTCCTCAGGTGCTGAGGATGCTGCCGCTTGGCATGACCAGGTTTGCTGCATTTATATTTCAGGATTGAGCTGACCTCTGACCTCACTTCCCTGTAGCAAGTTCCTTAGGTCCTGAGCCACAAATATTCTTGCAAATCCTTTTGGTAAGGACACTGATTTCTTAGACTAGTGGTGCTCCCCTTCTACTGCGTGCTAACGTGCCCCCAAACAACTGACGCGGCCTCAACCTCCCCTCCTCCATCGCCTTCATAACCGATTAATACATTTCCCACCTGAGCCCTTCTCATTCTTCTCAAGCACGAGGAATCTCTGGCAGAAGAGGCCCCGTCTGGGGGCAGAGGTTCCTGGAGGGGAGTTAAGTCCCTGAGTTCCTGGAGGGGGCCTAATGGGCCGGCAGGTTGGGGTGCTAGCGCCCCCTCGCAAGGCTGGGGGAACTGTCACCCTGGGACCTCAGGCTTCGGAAATGTGGATGTCGTCACCCTGCAGCCTTGGGTCTCACCCTGAGAAGATGAGGCAGCTTCTGCACAGTGCACAGCAGATACTCTGAGAACGGTCCGTGCTCCCAAGCTGTGAGACAGGCAGGTTCTTAGGATCAGGGCAAGGGTTAGCAGACAACGGCCGGGCCACATCTGATCCCCCACCTGCCTGTGCCAATCCAGCGTGGCAGTAGTAGCAACACTCACCCATTTTCCTGTGGTCTGTGCCTCTTTGTGCCGCAGTGGCCGAGGTGAGTCACTGCAGCAGAGACCACACAGCCCCCCAAATCTAAGTAGTATCTGGCTGTTTGCAGAAAAAGGTTGCAGTCCCTGGACAGAGGCTAGAGGGGGCTGGACACAACTGCCAGCCCTTGAAGGTCCCTGGGGACAGAGGCTGCTCAGGCAGATGGATCTGGAGGGCCTCTTAGAACAAGAAAGACCAGGCCTCCGGCTGGGGGTGAAACTGCCACTGCCACCCACGTCCAGAGCTGGGACCTTGGCAGTGGGGAGGGAAAATCCCTTCCCCTTATTTTCAGAGAGTAGACCCTCTGCTGCCCATCCTTCCCCCACTGGATCTTTGGAGGTCTCTAGACCACCAACCCACACTTGGCTGTTCTGTGGGACCGAGACTGTGCCCGAGGTGCTGCTCCTGGGACGAGGGAAGACTCCTCGACTCCTCTGCATGCTGCAGTTACCACTTTGTGCCCTGAATTGAGAAGGAGGGGCCGGAGGACTTCTTGGGGCAGGACTGGAGTTCACGTTCATTCCCATCACTGCCCAGCCCGCATGCTCCCTGTGGCTCCTAGGCATGCCGGTGGCATCTGCTTGCTCCCCCACACCTCTGCCCCCCTGCATGTGGTTGCCCCTCGCAGCACTGCGTGGGGTCTCCGCGGCTCCACATCACGCTGTCCTCACACGGTGATGCTTGGGGTTGCAGAGGCTGGTCAGTTTGGCTTTGGCTCTTCATCTTCAGCACGATGGTTCTCATGGGGGTGGGGAGCGCTGGCAGCTGTGAGACAGTTCTGGTCCCAGCCAAGTCCAGGGAACCGCCCTAGAATCATCAGTATGAAAAATAACATGCCTGTTGTTATCAAACCACTAAAACCACAGGCCAGCTAGCAGGGTGCTCTCTCTCCGCCTGTCAGGTTCCACCCTCCCGGCCTCCATGCCTCTGATGCCTTTCCCAGCTCTCAGGGTCCAGTCGAGTTGCAGCTACAAGCTGCACGTCCCCTAACTTTAAATTTACTAGCTCAGCCAACAGATCTGCATCTAGAACCTGAAGCTTTAGTGGTTGCCAGTTCCAGCACTCCCCAGGAGCTTCAGTTCACAGGCTCTCATGACAATTAGGAAGTGGGACTGGAAGCAGAAGGCCCCCAATTAGTTCCCCGACATGCTGAAGTGGTCAGTCTCATCCTTGAACTACTCACAGATCAAATTCCTTCCGCCTGGGGCCAGAAAGCGGTCAGGTCTGTAAATCCAGAGGCAGCTGCTGCTTAAGATCCTGCTTGCCACTGTCTGCCCGCCTCCTCAGCTCTCCCCTCGGGCCGGAGTTTCACACACTTCATGCCTCTGGTGGCGTCCCTGGGTTCCGCTGAAGCTGCTGTGGGAAGTGCCACCTCCAGTTTCACAGTGTGGCTAGGACAGTGGGCTTGCAGGCTGGTGACAGCTCCCCTGAGCAAGAGGCCTCCTCCTCCTCCCCCAGAGCTAGGGAAGCTGGCAGGGCTTGGCTGGCTTCACAGCTTGGCAGGAGAAAGAACAGGCGCGGCTGTCAGCTCCTCTCCATCACTTCTTCCCACCTTGTGGTCTCAGAGGGAAAATGAACCCAGGCTATAGACTGGGCTGGCTCTGATAGATCAGGACCCACCCCTCCATTTGAGGTCTGCAGGGCTGTCTTGACTCCTCTGGAAATGGACATGACTCTAGAGGAAGGTGCTAGTGTGGTAAAACAGGGAAGGGGAGGAGGAGGCCAAGGAACCCCAGCTGTGGGGTAGTTCTGGTTCTTCCATCTGATGTATGCAAGAAACTACAGACAATAGACCTGCCAGTGTGAATTTCCAGCTCAGGCTGGAAATGCGTGCTGACTGTGACCACCAGGAGAGGGCGTCAGAGGGACAAGATCAGACCTGCTGGGTTCTCAGTGGTCCCAGGGCTGGCAGTGTGTCTTGGTTCATAAAAGACGGGCATGCAGTTGGCTCCATCTGGAAGCGTGCATCCTAGGGTGCCAGTATCCCCCGAGGGGACAAAACTCAGCCAGCGGGAATGGGAAATTATCTAGGGTGATAGGAATATTGTCAGCACAACCACACAACCCAAGATCAGAAAGGCCCTTGGCAACTCAAATGCCCAAGTTCCTTCCTTAAGTACCCTGCAGAGGCTGAACAGGGTCTGTGGGCTGCCAGGTTCTGTGCGGGATCAAGGGGAGCTCTGCAAGCTCTGGCCGGCTTGGCGGCACAGACTGTCTTGCTGCAAGCGATGAGAAGCAAATCAGCAGTGGTTTGAGAAACCAGAGTCTAGCGCAGCTTCTGCAATTCCAAACATTCTCCTTCCTCGTCCCCATTTCCCCCTTTCCTTGCCCATGGTGCAGGATGGAATGAGTAAAATAAATTATCTTTTTCTCCCCATTTCTCTTTACAGAACTGAAGAATAACGAAGTTATCCTTAGCGTCCTCCTAAAGGCTTTTCCTTTTGGCATCTTAAAAGCTTGAGAGATAAAACGGAAACCCCAGAGAGGAGTCTGGGCAGGCTCCCAGGGTGCATGCTGCCTCCATAAATCTGCTGAGCTCTAGACCCTCAATCAGGACTTGTCCCTTGGCTAGCAGGATCCTGGGAACACCTTTGGCCCTGCCCTGTGTAGAGATGTTCATGTCTGTTCCTGTGGGTCACTTTGTTAAGCTGAAGAGTTTTAAGAGGTAGAGCTCAGACCCTGGACTGGGATTTTTCTTACCACTCAAACTTGCTATCCACACACCCTGCACACCTTAGATAAAAAGAACATTTTAAAAGCAGAGTTCACTTTCACTCCAGTCTCCCCTCTTTTGCCCTCACTGAAGCCAAACCACAGAAGACTTTGAGGAATGAGAGACAAATGAGGTAGAGCTCACCTGTGCTCACCAGCTCCGTCAGGGTGGTCAGCCGACCCCTTTCCCTGGGAACCCCACTTCTCTCTGTGGCTGGCTTGGTTGTCGGGGGTGAGATGCCATATTGATTACAGGGCAGCAAAGAACCAGTACCAGGAATTTACTTGACCATTCCCCTTATTTTTCATCTAGAGGAATCTCGGATTCAGCCCTTTCATTGCTAAGACACCTTTTCACTGAGGTTCTTACCAGCTCAGCCAAATCTCCACTCTGCTATAGCAGAAGCAATAATGTTTGCTTTAAAAAGATTTCTTGACCTATGCCTTTTCTTAGAAAGTTTGATAGATTAGTTAGAACTTCAGATCATCAGATCAGTCTCAAATGGGTTTCTTGGAATTTTATATTTGACAATATTTATACTATACCAAACTCATTTGCAGTTCTTAGGTTTGTTGGTTAAAACATTTTTTTAAAGCAGTAAGTTTATAGAAAATGTTTTCATTTAATGGAAGGCTGGGGAATGTCCAGCATCAACCCCTATGGCATGCATTCCCAGGGGCCTTCTCATCTGGGCCTGGAACCTTTGGTTCAGGGCTTAGGGGAGAACAGGCCACATGGCAACAGCCACACAGTCATTGCCTTCAACACAGAGCCACGTGTCCCCAAACAGCAATAGTCATGCCCTTGTCCAGGCTGGGATCTAATTGACACAATAGGTCGTTGACTCCCTCCTAGTAGAGCTATCTAGGTTTGTCTGGAAAGTTTCCGACCCTGGCTTATAGGCACCACACCTCATGTACTCCTCATGGCTTGGATCTCTGTATTCAGCCTTTGTTCAGTCCAATAAACTTTGAGTAGATGATCTCAATTACTGTGTGTTTTTTCAGTTTGCTTTGTTTTAAAACAAAATCCCTTTTGAACCCATTGAAGTTTGACCTTTCTTTCATTTTGATGCCTCTTACTCTGCAGCAGAGTACAAAGCCATACATCCACCCTGTTAAAAAATATGCAGTCACCATGGCTGTCAAAACCACATGACATGATCTGTGTTCACTCAGGGACATATGGATTGTGCTTCCATCCACAGAGCTCAGCACATCCTTTCTGTTCACGGGAATTCCTCTTCTTCTTCTTTTTTTTTTTTTTTTTGAGACAGGGCCTCCCTCTGTTGCCCAAGCTGGAGTGCAGTGGTGCAATCACAGCTCACTGTGGCCTGGACCTCGTGGGCTTAAGTGATCCTCCCGTCTCAGCCTCCCAGGTAGCTGGGACTACAGGTGCTCACCACCACACCTGGCTAATTGTTTTATAGAGACAGAGTCTGACTATGTTGCTCAGGCTGGTCTTGAACTCCTGGGCTCAAGTGATCTTCCCATCTTGGCCTCCTAAAGTTCTAGGATTACAGGCATGAGCCACTGCACCTGACCCTCTTTCTTCTTACAGGAGGGCACAAAGCACACATCATAGGCTGCTGCTTCACCAGACAGGGGAACCGACTGTAGACACAGCTTTCCCAGGGGACAAGGGAGGCTGGGAAGTGGGACTTCAGTATTTCAACTACTAGATGCTGCTCTAGACAGAAAATTTTGCAGGATGGAAGATGCGGGGCTGAGGAGAGGAGGGAAGGGTGAAGCAAAGGAATATGGTAGCAAAAGTATGGGAGCGAACGTGGAGACCACCCCTCCAGGCAGTGTGGGGGATGCCAGTGGCCCAGGGCTATGCTGAGGTCCTGCGGTTGCAGAGCCTGTAACGTGCTTACAGCCGACCCAGCTGCAGAGCAGGGCTGAGAGGTCCGACACTGTGATGTGGTTTACGTTCTCTGAAGGCACTGAGCCCGTGGTGTGTGGGGGGCAGGAACTGCAGAAACCAGAAGAGTGAGATGCAGCCAGGATGCAGTGCCCGGCTGGGCTGAGGAGCACAGGGCACCAGAGTGGAGCAAACAACAAACATATGGCTCCCTGGGTTCGGCAGCCGCCTCGCCCCACCTGAGGTGTTTGTGCTGCAGAAGTTGTCCTGTGCTGGTCAGATGGTGTAGCTGAGCCTCATAAAGATAACAAGACATTGCTCCCAGCACAGAACCCGCGTGGAGCAAACATTTAGGCCAGTCTTCCTCCACACCCATCCCTTGATAAAAGGGGCAGGGCCGCCACCTGCCATAGGGTATCTTGTGCAAATTAGGAAAAGGCACCCCCCTTTCTCTGGCCAGTGAAACCCCACAGGCTTCCCTCCCCGCTCCTTTGCCAAGCACCGTCTTGCACACACTTGTATGCTCCCTGATTTCCCAGCTGATAATGTTTTTTCTTTCTCCACTTTCGGCTCATTCCTCTCAACGAAGGCTGTTTCTAACCTACTTCTTCATAGCACTACCTCAAGCTGCTTCATGGAGCCTATCTTCTTCCTCATTACATCACTGTGGGACATGCAGTCAACAATCAAATGAGGCCCAAAGGGAAACTGAGGCACAGAGCACCTAAGTGATACCTGGGGTCCCCAAACCTCCCCGGCAAACCTGAGATTTCGCATCCCAGTTTTTAGAGCCCTCAAAAGTTGCGTGTGTCAGACCCAACCAGCTCCGATGTTCTAAGTGGGTTTTATTTTCATTTTCTTCTTGTTCTGAAAAGCAACCGCAGTCACACAAGAGAGAGGAGAGTCCCAACTCCGCCGGCTGCACACAGGCTCCCTCTCTCCCCAGTGGGCTAGGAGCACCTTCTTCCTCTTTGTCCTTTCTTCTCGACAGAGTTCAGAAGGAACAGCTGGCTGCCATCTTCAAGCTCATGAAAGACAACAAGGAGACGTTTGGCGAGATGTCCGACGGCGACGTGCAGGAGCAGCTCCGGCTCTACGACATGTAGACTGCGCCCACGGGATGCACAGCGGCCATGCCTGATGCTGTCCCCACCCTTGCCCCATGCCCTTGTTCTTTCCAGACTTCTGTAGGCCTAATTTTCCCTTATAAACATAGATGCAGGCGTACATTCTATAGGTACTTGCCGAGTTCTTGCAGTGTGTATATTACTTTGCAGGAATCAAAATTGTTTTATTCAGAAGACAAAGTCCCTGACCCCTCTGGTTTCTGCTTGCTGGTGAGGTTCCAGCTGTTATTGGGCTCTGAGGCCCTCTCCTGATCCAAATCTTTTTTTGTTTGTTTGAGATGGAGTCTCACTCTGTCTCCCAGGCTGGAGTGCAGTGGCGTGATCTTGGCTCACTGCAACCTCCACCTCCCTGATTCAAGCGACTCTCCTGCCTCAGCCTCCCGAGTAGCTGGGATTGCAGGCATGCACCATCACACCTGGCTAATTTTGTATTTTCAGTAGAGACAGCGTTTTGCCATGCTGGCCAGGCTCGTCTCGAACTCCTGACCTCAGGTGATCCGCCCACCTTGGCCTCCCAAAGTGCTGGGATTACACGCGTGAGCCACCATGCCCGGCCAATACTACACTCTTATTCTGCCTTACGAGGATTTCTGGAAGCTTCTGTAACTGTAGGGAAGAAAGCTGTAGGGGAGCATGGTTTTTTTGTTTTGTTTTTGTTTTTGAGACGAGGTCTCACTGTCACCCAGGCTGGAGTGCAGTGGTGCCATCATGACTCACTGCAGCCTTGACCTCCCAGGCGCACAAAATCCTCCTCTCAGCCTGAGTAACTGGGACTACAGGTGTGTACCACTACATCCAGCTAAAGGAGAGCGTTTTTTTCTTTTTCTTTTTGAGACAGAGTCTCACTCTGGCGCCTGGTCACTGTGCCCTTCACCTTCTGGGTTCAAGTGATTCTCCTGCCTCAGCCTCCCTAGTAGCTGGGATTACAGGCATGCACCACCATACCCAGCTAATTTCTGTATTTTTAGTAGAGATGGAGTTTCACCATGTTGGCCAGGCTGGTCTCGAACTCCTGACCTCAGGTGATCCACCTGCCTCGGCCTCCCAAAGTGCTAGGATTACAGGCGTGAGCCACCATGCCCAGCTGGGAGCGTTCTTTCAGCAAAAAGTCTAATTCAGAGACTCACCTTCCATCCTGGCACTAAACAATAGTACTAGAGGTAAGATCTGCCAAGAATTTCTCTCACTTAAGCAGGATACTTACTTTAAATATAATTAGGCAAGACTTATTTGAGTACTTGCCTAATTGTATTTAATTAGAACTATGCTGGATGCTGTAGACAGAAGAAATAAAATACTCAACTTGGTCCCTATCTTCCAGCAGGTTAGAGGCCTTTAGGGAAGAAAAGCCTGTGTGCAGGGAAAGAGAACCTCACCAGAAAGTATTCAATAAAATGCCAAAGTGATCTTACAGAACAGTGCCTGTGACACCGGAGGGGATTGTTCTGTCTTTGTGAGTGAACATACAATGATGGGGATAACTGGTCCTCATACCATGCAGGTCCCATTTCTGATCACCCCACTGGCAGGACAATTCACAGTTCTTGAGCAAACTGAGTTAGGGAGGGTATGCTAACGACAGAACCTATGCAAGTTCTTAGAAATATTTTTTGTTTGCTGAAATAAAGCTCAATCAACACACTACCTTAAAAAAAAAGTGGAGCAGTGGCATTTCCATGCCTCATGCTCACCATCATGAGGTTAACTTCCCGCCGTCGCCTCTTGCCTGCCAGGGGTTTTTCGGGAGCCCCTCTCTGTTCCACTCTGATTCCTTTTGTTTCTTGCTGACCATTCACTCTCTGTGTCTGTTGTTGGATCCAAATACGAGTGTTTTTCTTTCTTTTTGTGGTCAGTGCTTTTTTCCTTCTTGAAATTGTTTTAATGTGTTTTGTCAAAAGCATTTAACCATGTTATGATTTAAGAATTCTCTGTTCACTTGAGGTCAGGAGTTCAAGACCAGCCTGGCCAATATGGCAAAACCCTGTCTCTACTACAAATACAAAAATTAGCCAGGCGTGGTAGCGCACGCCTGTAATCCCAGCTACTCAGGAGACTGAGGCAGGAGAATCGCTTGAACTCAGAAGGCGGAGGTTCCAGTGAGCCATCGCGCCACTGCACTCTAGCCTGGGTGACAGAGCAAGACTCTGTCTCAAAAAAAAAAAAAAAAAAAAAAAAAAATTATTTGTTCTGTCTCAGGTCTTAGGGACCCCTTACCTCAGCTAATGTCTCTGTCCCCTAAATGCACATCGGTGGGCAGGGCAAACCCGTAGGTGCCCTTATCCCTCCCAAGGCTGCACTGCAAAGCTCCTGTGTTTCCATTGCCCACTTTCTTCTCCCTCTCCTTTCTTTTCTGATTATACCAAACAGGAATGACTCGTGTACTTGAGTCAAAATCCTGATGGCATTGGGAAAAGTAAACTGAAGGAATTTTTGTACACTTGTACCAGCTAAGATGTTCTGACTGCAACGACAGAAAACTCCAGCTCAACTGGCTTAAACAAGAACAGGGCTCTCTCACGTGAGAAGCCAAGAGTTAGAACAACTCCAGGCCCAGAATGGTCGGAGCTCAAGCTGCAGTTCTCTTAGCTCAGTCTTCCTCGTACTGTGGGCTTTTATTGGAGACTAGCTCTCCTCATGGTGGCAAGATGGCTGCAGGAGTTCAGGTATCTCATCCAGAAGCAAGAAAAGGGCATGTCTTGCTTGCGTCTCTAGGCGTAAGGGAACTGGTCCAGATGTCCCCGCCCCACATCCCTTCAGATCCCAATTGGCCAGAATATGGCACGTGCCCATGTTTCAACCAATCATGGGCAAGGACATGGGACCAGCATGATTGGCCTAGACCCCTGGAGCCTGGGGCTGGGCCCAGCATCCCCTGAATACATGGCCATCTGGAGGAGAAGGTAACTGAATTTCACTGGGGATCTGTGATAAAAGGGAGCATGGGTGTTGGGGAGACACCTGTTCCAGTTGGGTTTCCTATGAGGTCCAGGACAGGGCTTGGTGGGCACTCGGAAGCCAGTGTCTGAAGTGCTCAGCATCCTCCTCTTCCTCGGTGGTGGGTGTCCACCGCCCAGGCCCCACCCCTGGCCTTGGACACTTCATGGAAACACTGCTGATTTGCTGTGGTGTTGGGTGGCTCCTATCTATTCCCCGTAAGTGCTGGCCTCTGTTGACACCATTTCTGCTACCTCATCTGAGATTGTTCTCATCAGCTCACAGAGATTCATTTCAGTGAATGAACCAAATCTAAGCTAAAAAGCATAAAGGAGGGCAGAAAGAAACAGCAGTGTGGGAGAAAGAGCGCAAACACCGAGAGAAAGATGTCTACCTGGCAGCCATGTCAGAGAATCACCAGTATGTATGTCACTGCCACCAAGAACCTAAGAGCCACAGAGGCCTACAGAAGCCAATCCCAATGGAACTCTCTCTGGGTGTGGGGGTTGAGAGAACCTAAAGCATTCAGCTGCACAGAGCCTCTTTCCAGCGATGGGAACCAGTCTCAAAGCCTTTACATCTCTCCCCTGCCCTCCATCACTGCTGAGAACCCTGCCCCAGGCTGGCCTGCCTACATGACACAAATAGCAGTGGACTGTCACTCATCAGTATCTGCAGTTCTGTTTACCAAAGCCTGCTTGCTAGAGACGTTTCAGGGCCTCCTTCCCTCAAAGCGTCCACTGTACCTCCATCTGGATACAATTAGCTGGCTCCCCACTTCCTGGACTGACGGTAACCACCTTTTCCAATGACCCTGAAGAAAACATGCAATCTAAGCTGCTTTAAGAGTAACCTACAACTGAGGACAAATTTTCTATCAACTCCCAGTACCCCTCTCTGCCGTGGCTGATTTGTTACTGGTTTTCCTTTTTTTTTTTTAATTTGAAAATGTAAGTAATTATACTAAGACCAGATCACTCTGAGATTGTTTTATTCTAATTTGTCCTAAGGACCTGCCTGTACTTAGAGCCTGATAGAAAGCCCAAGTTGATCTACTGGGCAGCTCTCTGGGCCTGGAAGGAAGAGCACACAACAAGACTTCAACAGTGAGCCTGGCTAGGTCCAGGCAGACCATGATTTCTGAAAGCAACAGTATAGTCCACATGGAATCAGGCTGCTGATGAACAGCAGCGAGAGGCTGCCTCTGAATCATATCTGCAGGGTCACCTGCGCCTGGTGGAGGCCCACAGTCATCCATTAGGCCCCAGTATCCTATGTGGGAGTATCCACGTCTAGTCTCTACTTCTCACTGCAGGAGAGGTGGCAGATGAGGAGGTTTCCTACTTTAAAGAAAGTAGAAGTTGTTTCCTTTCTTCCCTCCTCACAGCCTTGAGGGGGAGGTTGTGCCCAGCCTGACAGCAGCTGCCTTGCCCAAGATTACATCCTGTTCTGGGGGCAGCCCACCTCCAAACCAAGTCACTAGTGGGGTACAAAGGCCTGCCCTCTCTGCCAAAAGGCAGGTGCTGATGGACCATTCCAGTTCTAGAGTTCCCAAAGAGACGTCTTTTTGGAGAGCGGCAGGGTACCAGAAATCCTTCACTCAGGCTATAGCATGGCCACCAATTATAAGTAACTTGAGGCCCACCCAGCCAAACATGCCTTTCCGGGTCTAGTGCTGGGTTCCAGAACAGGAAGCCTGGCAGATTCCTACTGCCACAGATTCTTTTTACTATTATTATTGTCACCTTATTTTTCTTTTGGTGGAACCCCTCTAGGGCTTCCACCGGATTCTCCACCATTTACGCTATCAATTTTATCAGTTTTGGTTTTATCGTTTCAGTGCTTCTTTTTGCTAACGGTAGCAGCCAATATACATCATCTCTGGAGACAAATCACGCCATAGAAAATATTGTAGTTTTCCTCATTTTTCTTAACGCCACAGAGTCAGCTGGGCTGTAGTACCAGCCCGGATGTACCAGTTTACTCAGCCACTCCCCCTCTCATGGACATCTGCATGGTTTCCAGTCTTGCAAATTCATACAGTGCCACTACAAATAAAACCTTGCGCGTATGCTGTTTTCATATTTGTGCAAGTTTACTTTCAGAGTAGATTCTAGAGGTGGATTGCGGGTCAAAGGTAAATTTGCACTCCCTCCCAACAATGCAGGACAGATCAGGTTCCTGTATTGTCCTTAACAGCGTACCTCGCTTGTTAAACTTTTGGATTTTTGACAATCTGATGGATCAGAAGCCTTAGCTCAGTGAGGTTTTCGTTTGCATTCTTCTGATTATGAAAAAGGCTGAGCACCCACTTAAATGTTTAGGGGCCCCTTGCATTTTTTTTTCCTGTAAACTGTCCATTCATGTCTTGTCCCATTTTCTACTGAATACCATCCATTAAATCTCCGCTTTAGCTGAGTTGCGCACATTTCCGACGATCTTCGCGGTAATTTGGGCTCAGCGCGGTAGTTTTCCAACCCTGACCCTGCACGGGGAGGGGGTGCCTTAACTAAGGTAACGAAAAGGAATCTGGGTCATTCCAGGGAAAGCCTACTAAAATCAGGAGGCTTTGTGAGAGCCAAAATACTAACTTTCAAAAAAGCGAAAATACTCCCAAAACTCACCGGCAGCGGTTTTACTTAGGCGTTAATTTTAGCTACTGTGCCCGTTTTATCTACTGTAGGGACCAACGCACGGAGAAAACCACCCACCCGCGAAGTGAACCAATCACTGCCATAGCGCCGGTATCCCTCTGCGGCATTTCAGTGGTTCAAGCACCTGCCAATCTGCCGCGAAGCCAAAGGCCTTGATCCCCATTGGGTATCGCATCCTTCCATCTTCCCCACCTCAAGCCCGCCCCACGCCGAGGGTGGAAAGCCCCGGATGTCCGGCCACACTCAAGATCTATTTCCCTCAGTGATTGACAAAGGCCATCGTCCAATGAGAATGCGGCCCAGCCCGGCCTGGGATTACAGGCGTGAGCCACCGTGCCGGGCCTGGGGGAGCATTTCATGAGCTCCACGAACGGTCCTTGGGCACCAAGCTGGGCCCGGGAATACCAAGATGAGCTGAAACCAGTCCCTGCCCTCTGGGACACCTGTGTCTCCACCTTCCTCCCCCTGACGCTCCCAGGCTTGCCCTCGAGCAGCAGATTCAGAGGGTGGCCCAGGGTTTCAGGGGGTTTCAGACGGCGGTACTGCAGCTGGCGCCAAGACACACACACACACACACACACACACCCTTGCTTTTCACATTCCCTATTGTCCCAGGCCTAAGGTAAAACCAGCAGTTCCGTACACACCCAGCTTCACATCTCACCGTGGTGTCTGGTACTGGGCTGACAGTCACACCTTCCCTCACCTGTGCTTGCCCTTTCAAGTCCTGCCCCAGGCACCTCAGCTGGGCTTTACCAGAGCACGTAGAGTGCAGGCTGAGTGCGCGTGAAATGGGTTGGACTTACCACTCGGCTGAATGATCACATTCCTTTTCTGCACCCAGTCGTGGCCCCCTGCAGGCTCCACACCGCGGGGAGTGGCCCCACCAACCTGGACTCTTCGGGCCTGATGGCGGCCTGAGTCCTCTACAAGTGAAAATTCCTCAGACCACGGTTGCTGAACCGTGTTAAATAACTCAGTCTGCAATCAGCGTTTTTGAAAATCTCCCTTTTCTCATTCTTTTCAGTACTTTAATTACTTTTTGTGGCTCTTACTAAGATGGGACAGGCTATGCTCACAGGCTGTCAGACGCTCAGCTCCTTCAATGGTTTATCACATTCACCTCGGGACTGCCACAGGTGGTGTCTTTGGTTCTCTTTGTACTCAGCTTCAATGATACTGCAAGTTAAATTTCAGAAGAGGAGGCAGCTGGCAAGGGGAATAAAATTAAGAAAATTGTTCCAGGAAGAAAAGGTTCAATGAGAGAAATGGGAGAAAGGGGGCAAAGCACAGAGGATTCAGATTTGAATATTGAATGTTGTGAATTGGTCCATTTACTCTCAGACATTTATTGAGCCTGTCTTCATGCAAAACACTATGGTAGGTGACGTAATGCAGAACGAACTCCACTTGGTTTCTACTTGCAAGGCAAGGTGACAGGAAGTTTTGATAACTTTTTGGAGTGCATGCCAAGTGCCCTGCAGAGCACTGTGCTGTGTGCCTTGCAAATAAATGTTCTCATTAATCACTGCTCTATGAAGGCTGTAACATTCTTTTACAGATGAAGAAAACAAAACTCAAAACATTGAATAAGACTCAATAAATAAGCAAAAGATCTAAATAGACATTTTCCCAGAAAAGATACACAAATAACCTATAAGCACATGAAAAGATGCTCAACATGTCAATCAAATGCAAATCAAAAACTGCAACAACAAGACACCGCTTTACATCACGAGGATGGCTATAATAAAAAAGACAGATAATAACAAGTGGTGGGGAAGTGGAGGAATTGGAACCCTCACACACTCTTCATGGAAATGCAAAATGGTGCAGCTGCTTTGGAAAACTGGCAGTTTCTCCCAATATTAAAGTGATACCAAATGACGCAGCGATTCCGTTCTTAGGTGTATAACCGAAAGAATATGTACGTACTCTTAGGCATATGCCTATGAAAACATATGTCCACGTAAAAACTTGTACATGGATGCTTGGAGCAGCATTATTCATGATAGCCAAAAAGCGGAAATAATAGCTAAAAGGTGGTCAGGTGCAGTGGTTCACGCCTGTCATCCCAGCACTTTGGGAGGCCAAGGTGGGCAGATCACCTGAGGTAAGGAGTTCAAGACCAGCCTGGCCAACGTGATGAAACTCCTTCTCTACTAAAAAAATACAAAAATACAAAAATAAAAATAAAACTAGCTGGGCGTGATGGTATGCCCGTAATCCCAGCCACTGCAGAGACTGAAGCAGGAGAATCACTTGAACCCAGGAGGCAGAGGTTGCAGTGAGCCAAAATTGCGCCGCCGCACTCCAGCCTGGGTGACAGATGGAGGCTCTGTCTCAAAAAAAAAAAAGCTAAAAGGTGGAAAGAACATCCATCAACTGGATGCATGGATAAACAAAATGTGATCTATCCACATCACGGAATATTCAACAGTAACAAGGAATGAAGTACTGATACATTCTGCAACTTGGATGAACTCTGAAAACATCACGCTAAGTGACAGAAGTCAGACACAAAGACCACATAGTGTATGATTCCATTTACATGAAATGTCCAGGATAGCCAAATCTATAGAGACAGAAAGTAGATTTATGGTTGCCAGAGGCTGGGGGTGGGGAGGAGGGAAGAGAAGTGACTGCTGATGGGTACAGGGGTTTTTGGTGGGGGAGGACACGTAATGAAAATGTTCTAAAATGATTAGTGATGGTTGCACAACTCTGAATGTACAAAAAGCCATTGAATTGTATGCTTTAAATAGATGAATTGTATGGTATGTTAATTATATCTCAATAAAGCATGTATATACCTATGTATATATATATAGCATTGAAGATAAAAGATCCCAGTCAGAATGGCACCATGAGCACATATTGTGGTCTCTCCTTGGGACTTTTTGTTTTTGTTTTGAAATAGAGTCTCGCTCTGTCACCCAGGCTGGAGTGCAGTGGTGTGATCTCCCCTCACTGCAACCTCCGCCTCCCGGGTTCAAGCGATTCTCCAGCCTCAGCCTCCTTGGTAGCTGGGATTACAGGCACGTGCCACCACACCCGGCTAATTTTTGTATTTTTTGTAGAGACAGGGTTTCACTGTGTTGGCCAGGCTGGTCTCAAACTCCTGACCTCAAGTGATCCTTCTGCCTTCACCTCCCAAAGTGCTAGGATTACAGGCATGAGTCATCATACCCAGCCCCCTTTGGCCTTTTGAGAGGAATTTTATTTATTTTTTCATTTGTAACCATTAGAGAAAAGAAAGTATAATGATACCAACTAATGTTTATTGTTCGCTGTGTCTAGCTCTGGGATAAAAACTTTTATGTTCTTTTTTTTTTTTTGAGATGAAGTCTCTCTCTGTCGCCCAGGCTGGAGTGCAGTGGTGCAATCTTGGCTCACTGCAACCTCTGCCTTCCAGGATTCAAACAATTTTCATGCATCCTCTTCCCAAATAGCTGGGATTACAGGCATGCCTGGCTAATTTTTGTATTTTTAGTAGAAACAGGGTTTCACCATGTTGGCCAGGCTGGTCTCGAACTCCTGCCCTCAAGTGATCTGTCCACCTCTGCCTCCCAAAGTGTTGGGATTACAGGCGTGAGCCACAGCGCCCAGCTTAGAACTTTATGTTCTATGCAATTTAGTCCTTGTGAGAAACATGATACGTGGCAGGTTGAGTCTCCAGGAAGCCAATGGAGGTGGAGGTCGGCACGTAAGAGGTTTGTTAGGGGTGCTCCCAGGTCAAGACCTGCAGGAGGAGGAGGAAAGGGAGAGGACTCAGCGCAGGGAGGAGGGAGAGCTGTGATGCAGTCTCAGTAGAGGCTGAGCAGACACTGTGGGGAGTAGTTGTGAAGCTACTCTCCCCAGTGAAGTAGCACCCCCACCCCCATACATGATGACAGTGGAGGCTTTTTGACGGCAGCAGCACTCCAAGAACTGGGGGAAAGATCCTTAAAGATCCTTCATTCCTAATGAGAGATAAGGGTAGCACAGCAAAGTATCCACTATGATTATTAGTGCTGGCATCTGCCTTTTTTTTTTTTTTTGTAGGCAGGACCTTGTTCTACCGCCCAGGCTACAGTTCAGTGGCGTCATCACAGCTCACGGCAGCCTCAGTCTCCTTGGCTCAAGTCATTCTCCCACCTCGGCCTCCCAAAGTGCTGCGATTACAGTTATGAACCACCACACCCGACCTCTGCATTTTACAGGTGAGAAAATCCAAGCACAGAGAAGCTAAGTAACTAGCCCAACTTAGTGAATAAGAAGCAGGAGGCATTCAAATCCACTCTGCCTGGTGCAGAACTGGGGGCTCTTAGCTTTGAGGCTGTACTGCTTCCACCCTGAGGAGTCCTTGAGAGGCATGAAGAAGGGAACCCCTGTCCAGGCATACTGAAGAGGACTGCCCCCTCCACGGGGGCTGCACAGCTGGGAGTGAGGGGTCCCTGGAGCATGGCCCGGTTGGGACAACTGCCCACTTCCTAGAGGTATCAGGCCAGTGGATCCTCCACAACCCACAAGGCTTTGGACATGCCAAAAAGCAAGCAGCCCTCATCTTACGCTCAGCGACATAAACCAGACACAAGAGGACAGATATTCTGTGATTCCACTCATACAAGGTATCTAGACTGGACAAATTCATACAGACAGAAAGTTAAAGGGTGATTGTCAGGGGTTGAGAGGAGGGGAAACTGGAGAGTTATTATCCTTTTTTTTTTTTTTTTTTTGAGACACAGTCTTGCTCTGTTGCCCAGGCTGGAGTGCAGTGGTGTGATCTCGGTTCACTGCAATCCCCGCCTCCCGCGTTCAAGCCATTCTCGTGCCTCAAGCTCCAGAGTAGCTGGGATTCCAGGCACGTGCCAACACGCCTGGCTAATTTTTGTATTTTTAGTAGAGATGGGGTTTCAACATGTTGGCCAGGCTGGTCTCAAATTCCTGACTTCAAGTGATCCATCCACCTCGGCCTCCCAAAGTGCTGGGATTACAGGCATGAGCCACCGCACCTGGCCTGGAGAGTTATTGTCTAATGGCTACAGAGTTTCAGTTGGGGAAGATGAAAAAGTTCTGGAGATGGATGGTGGCAATGGTTGCACAACAATGTGAATGTATGTTAGCCACTGAAGGAATTAAGGATGATCAACCTGAAAATATGCAGATTGGGGCCAGGTGCAGGGCTCATGCCTGTAATCCCAAGACTTTGGGAGGCTGAAGTGGTAGGATTACTTGAGCCCAGGAGTTCAAAACCAGCCTGAGCAATAGAGGGACCCCAAATCTACAAAAAAAAATTTTTTTTTAAATTAGCTGAGCGTGGTGGCGCGTGCTTGTAGTGTCAGCTACCTGGGAAGGCTGAAGTGGAAGGATTGCTTGAGCCCAGGAGGACACAGCTGCAGTGAGCCATGATCAGTTGCACTCCAGCTTGAGTGACAGAGCGAGACCCTGTCTCAAAAAAGAAAAATGCAGATTTAGTAAATTGATTATTTCAGGTTGAAGGCATTTGAGAAACTGCAGTTGCAGTTTATCACAACGGGAAAAAAAAATTATACACACACAAGAATGTCTAGGTTTTGTTTACCTGGGTGTTTTATTTTCTATTTTAAATTGCAGAGAAAGAAAAGAACATAGCAAAGGGTATGAAAATTCATTGAAGCAAGTGGTCAATAAATATGAAAAAAGATGCTCAACCTCAGTAATCAGACAAATGCAAATGAAAGCAATAATCTTTTAAAAAAATTCTTAAACTACCAGAGCACCAAAATATTGAAAGGTTGATAATGTCATATTTTGTCAAGGGTATAGGGAAAGTCATATTACACTCTGCTAATAGTAATATGATATAATTATTAAAATTGTATTAACTTTAATAAATGGTCAAGCAATTTTATATAATTTATTAAAATGTAAACAAGATACGCTATGATGGAATAATCCTACATATATCTGCCCTAGAGAAACATTTTGGAGTCCACGGAAATATGTCCAGGGATGTTTACAACAACATCTGTGTGATAAGAAAAATTGGGAACAGCCTAACTTACAGGCTATTATGCAGCAGTTAGCAGCAGTTAAAAGGGATGAAGCCATGCTACCTACCTACAAGGAAAGATCCTTAAGACACATGGTCGGCCGGGCGCAATGGCTCATGCTTGTAATCCCAGCACTATGGGAGGCCGAGGTGGGCAGATCCAAAGGTCAGGAGTTTGAGAGCAGCCTAGCTAACATGGTGAAACCCCATCTCTACTAAAAATACAAAAATTAGCTGGGTGTGGTGGCGGGTGCCTGTAAGTCCAGCTACTCAGGAGGCTGAGGCAGGAGAATCTCTTGAACCCAGGAGACGGAGGTTGCAGTGAGCTGAGATCGTGCCACTGCACCCCAGCCTGGGCGACAGAGCAAGACTCTGTCTCAAAAAAAAAAAAAGAAAAGAAAAGAAAAAGAAAAAAGACACATGGTTAAGTAAAACAAGCAATTGCACAGCAGTGGTGTAATATGATCTCATTTATGTTACACCCTCATAAATATTACCTAGAGAGTTCTATAGAGAGGGGTATATAACATACTACTAACAGTGGGGTTGAAATGGTTGCCAAGAAAGGCTCTCCCCTCCGCCCTTAAAGACAAGTGTGATAGTAAAGAAAGACTTTAAACTTTGGGAGGCCATATTGGTCTCTCCGTTCCTCAGTTTACCGCAACAAAAGTGGGAGGATTGATTGAATCCATGAGTTTGAGACCAGCCTCAGCAACATGGTGAGACTCGTCTCTACAGAAAAATCAGAAGGCCAGATTCAGTAGCTCATGCCTGTAATCCCAGCACTTTGGGAGGCTGAGATGGGAGTATCACTTGAGCTCAGGAGCTCAAAAACAGCCTGGGTAACATAGCAAGACCTTATCTCTATACGAATAAATAAATAAATAAATAAATAAAGTAAAAATTAAAGAAAAATTTAAAAATTAGCCAGGTGTGGTGGTGCACACCTATAGTCTCAGCTACTCAGGGGGCTGAGGTGCGAGAATCCCTTGAGCCCAGGAGGTTGAGGCTGCAGTGAGCCCTGTTTGCACTACTGCACTCCAGCTTGGGAAACAGAATAAGACCCTGTCTCAAAAAGAAGAAAAAGAAAGAAGAAAGAAAAGAAAAGAAAGGAGGGAAGGAGGGAGAGAAGGAAAAGGCTTTAGCTTTATCTCTAATGTTTGAACTTTTTGCCCTGAGAATATAAATCCTGTCTTCCTTCAGTCATCAAAATAAACAAATTTCAAGGGTACCGTGTCCTCTCCCCCTACCCTGGAATGTGTCCTGACTCTTCCACTCCACACTGGCGCATAAGGAGGTATAAAATGACCCTCTCCTGTTGGAGGCCTTGGAGATAGTCGGTTCTGTTCCACCATGATTCCATCCAGGCTACCTTCAGGGAAAGTTTTGACAACTTTGGGCTATCAGTACCCTACATAGGTTAGTGATGGGGTCCTCACTGTCAGAGGGTGATCCAGCTTCAAATCCCATGTTAGAGTCTGTTTGTTAGGACCACTCCTGGGACTGATTGCCTGAGCTTGAGTCACCTGGAAACAGGTCCTATGGAGATTTGTGCACAAGCAGTTTAGTGGGGCATGCACTTGGGAACGACACTTGCAAGTGTAAGAAACCAGAATATTATGCCCCAAAATATGCCACTGTGGCATAAAAATTATTTTGAGCTAAAGGCAATTTAAAAATAGCAAACAGGCTGGGTGTGGTGGCTCACGCCTGTAATCCCAGCATTTTGGGAGGCTGAGGCAGGTGGATCACCCGAGGTCAGGAGTTCGAGACCAGCCTGGTCAACATGGTGAAACCCCATCCCTACTAAAAATACAAAAAATTTAGCTGGTCGTGGTGGTGGGCACCTGTAATCCTAGGTACTCGGGAGGCTGAGGCAGGAGAATCACTTGAACCCAGGAGGTGGAGTTTGCGGTGAGCCGAGATGGCGCCACTGCATTCCAGCCTGGGCGACAGAGTGAGACTCCATCTCCAAACAAAAACAAAAACAAAAGCAGCAAACACAGGAAAAGCTTTCTCTACCCTTCCCCTTTTTTGCCTAAAGGCAGGCATAGAAATTCTGCTTTACTGGAGACCACTCGAGACTTACCAGCCCAGAGAGGGCACCAGAGGAATCTACAAACCTTCCTTCCTCCTTTAGTGTTCTCCCAGTTTCCCACCCTTAAAAGCCTACAGCCACTTACTTTTGTCCTATCTCTTACCTACAACTTTATTGGTCTTTTTTGACCATGCTATATAAGCTGGAGGTCTTGGCCACATATTGAGTTACTTTTTGTTGAAGGGCAGGTGATGAGGTTTGGCGGGGTGGTGGGGGTCAAAGCAGACACCAGACCACCAGGCAAGGACAAGAAGGACATGACAGCCGTATTTTCTAAAGCCTTGACTGGTGGGAAAAAAGGGAACGAATTCGTGTTTGGAAATAAGAGAATTTAGACTGGGCGCAGTGGCTCATGCCTGTAATCCCAGCACTTTGGGGGGCCAAGGCACGCAAATCACTTGAGGTTAGGAGTTCAAGATCTGGCCAACATGATGCAACCCCATCTCTACTAAAAACTGCAAAAATTAGCCAGGCGTGGTGGCACAGGCCTGTAATCTCAGCTACTCGGGAGGCTGAGGCAGGAGAATCGCTTGAACCCGGGAGGTGGAGGTTGCAGTGAGCTGAGATCACGCCATTGCACTCCAGCCTGGGCAACAGAGTAAGACTCTGTCTCAAAAAAAAAAAAAAAAAAAAGGAAATAAGATAATCTAAATTGCGGTGGCTCACGCCTATGGCAGAAGGATCACTTGAGCAGAGGAGTTTGAGACCAGCCTGGGTAATGAAGTGAGACTTCATCTCTACAAAAAATAAACAATTTAGCTGGACGTTGTGGCGTTGCTGTAGTTCCAGCTATTCAGGAGGCTGAGGGGGAAGGATTGTTTCAGCCCAAGAGTTTGAGGCTGCAGTGAGCTATGATTAAGCCATTGCACTCCAACCTGGGTGACAGAGTGAGACCCTGTTTCTAAAATAAGAACATTTTAAAAAAACATAATCACCATATCACTGTCACCTTTAATACATGTAATAATTCCTTAATGTTATTTAATATCCGATTATTGAAATTGCTTGGTTTAGGGCGCAGTGGTTTACACCTGTAATCCCAGCACTTGAGCTCAGGAGTTCGAGACCAGCCTGGGCAGCATGGCAAAACCCTGCCTCTATTAAAAATACAAAAATTAGCCAGGTATGGTGGCGCGTGCCTGTAGTCCCAGCTACTTGGGAGTCTGGGGCATAAGTATCGCCTGAACGTGGGAGGCAGAGGTTGCAGTGAGCTGAGACTGCACCACTGCACTCCAGCCTGGGTGACAGAGTGAGACAGTCTGAAAAAAAAAATTTTTAATTTAAAAAATAAGAAATTAGTTGGTTTGTTCAAATCAGAATCCAAACAAGAGCCACCCACTGCAATTAGTTGTGCCCCCAAGTCTCTTTTATTCCACAACAGTCTCCTCATCTTTTTTTTTTTTTTTTTTTTTTTTGAGACGGAGTTTTGCTCTTGTCGCCCAGGCTGGAGTGCAATGGTGCGATCTCAGCTCACCGCAACCTCCGCCTACCGGGTTCAAGCGATTCTCCTGCCTCAGCCTTCCCGAGTAGCTGGGATTACAGGCACGCACCACCATGCCCGGCTAATTTTGTATTTTTAGTAGAGATGGGATTTCTTCATGTTGGTCAGGCTGGTCTCGAACTCCTGACCAGAGGTGATCCGCCCACCTCAGCCTCCCAAAGTGCTGGGATTACAGACGTGAGCCACCGCGCCCAGCTAAGTCTTCTCATCTTTTTTAAAAACTGACATTGATTTGCTAGAGAAGCCAGGTCTTACAGAATATTCACCTGGATTTGGCTGAGGGGGTATGCGATGCACTTCCTGCGCTGAGCTCTAAAGGCTGGACTGTATGCAAATGCATTCAAATTTGTGACCAGAATTCTTCCCAGGGCTATATCTGTCACCCCAAGTTTGATGACACTGGGATTGGCCAATGAAGTCAGCCTGTTCCCTCCATCAACCTGAGCTTCTGCCTCAAGGTCTTAGTGTTCATTTATGATCATTGTCGTAGGAGTTCGTAAAATGATGGTTTTCTGATTCTATTATTCCTCTTGCAATGAACTGTATAAATTCTATAAAGAACTTTCCCTCATTGGTTATGTGGTTTCACTAAAATATAGTTTGTATGGAAAGGGGAGCTTTTGTGTTGGCTCCTGGGAACTTCTTTTTCCTTTGGATTTTTTTTTTTTTTTTTGAATTGGAGTCTCACTCTGTCACCCAGGCTGGAGTGCAATGGCACGATCTCAGCTTACTGCAAAGTTCACCTCCCAGGTTCAAGCAATTCTCCTGCCTTGGCCTCCTGAGTAGCTGAGATTACAGGCATGTACCACCACACCCAGCTAATTTTTGTATTTTTAGTAGAGATGGGGTTTCACCATGTTGGCTAGGCTGGTCTCGAACTCCTGACCTCAGGTGATCCGCCTGCCTCAGCCTCCCAAGTGCTGGGATTACAGGCGTAAGCCACCACGCTCAGCCTCCTTTGGTAATTTTTCTTTAGTTTGAAATAAGACTTACAGAAAAGTTGCAAGGCTAGTACAACAGACTCCCATCTGCCCTTCACCCGGATTCCCCAGTAGTTAGCATTTTACCACATTTGTTTAATTATTTTTCTCTCTCATATATAGGCATACATATATATATCGTTTTAGCCACTTGAGAATGAATCACAGTGTCCTTTTCCTGTAAATATTGTAGTAAAGAACAGAACATACTGTTAAATAATCGCGAGCAATGATCAATATTAGGAAACTTATATTCATACAATTCTATTATTTAATCTATGAGTGTATTCATACTTTGCCAGTTGACCGACAATGTTTTTAATGTAAAAAAAAAAAAAAGTCTGTTCCAGGATCTAATCCATGATTAAACACTGCATTTACCTCTGTCTCTATAGTGTCACTTAATGTGGAATAGCTCCTCAGTCTCTTTGTCTTTTGTGACCTTGACATTTCCTAAGAGTACAGGCCAGTTATTTAATAGGATCTGTGAACTTGGAACAAATTTGTCTTTGATAATTTCGTTGCTTTCTGACAAAACAGGATGCCCACACCCATATACATTTCCTGGTCCTGATTCTCGACACCATTTCTTGCATGGGAAAGAAATGGGACCTGAGGCCAGGCAAGGTGATTCACACCTGTAATCCCAGCATTTCAGGAGGCTGAGGTGGGCGGATCACCTGAAGTCAGGAGTTTGAGACCAGCTTGGCCAACATGATGAAACCCTGTCTCTACTAAAAATACAAAAACTAGCTGGGCGTGGTGGCAGGCACCTGTAATCCCAGCCACTCAGGAGGCTGAGGCTGGAGAATAGCTTGAACCTGGGAGGTGAGGTTGCAATGAGCTGAGATCACACCACTGCACTCCAGCCTGGGTGACAGAGCAAGACACTGTCTCAATAAAAAAAAAAAAAAAAGGGACGTGAATCCTGATGATAGTGCTATTGATTGGGGTGAGATGCAAGTGGGGACAGGGGTTGCAACCAGCTGAGCATCCTGGGACTGCCTCTCCTCCAGCCCTGGAGACTCCTCATTCTGGGGAATGGCAACTTCGGGCTGGACTCTGTGGATGAGTTTCTCAGATGCCTGGGTGACACCAAGGTAGAGCGGGGGACCTGCAGACTTCGTTCCCTGCATGGCTCTGGGTGTGGCTCATGCAGGATAACCCTCAAATTTCCTCCTAGCCGTTTTTTTTAATGACAGATTTTATTGCATTTTAGGGCTTGAGATGTTTACTTGTTTTTCTTATCTACTATTATTGATTTACTGTAACCGCCAGCAGGGCAAACACAAAATTTGGGGCATCTGCTTGCTGTCAAGGAAGTGTCAAAATATGTGATAAACATAGGGTGACTCAGCAAAACAACTCAGACTCTAATTACATGGTGAATGCACCGTGCCGCAGAGGACTTGCCCTGTCCCGGGCGGTGCGGGTGGCTGCTCATCCATGGAGGCGATTGTTCTTGGCCGGTCCTTCCTGCAGGGATGGATGCAGGGCAGAGGGTTACTGACTCGCAGGGAATGGCTGCACTCACTGGCAAAATCCTCCCTCTGATTTTTGTGAATGTTCTCACAGAAGAAACTCCTAAGTGATCTACAGTCTTGGGGCTAGACTCCTACCACTACGGGATTCCTGGGCTACAGCTCCCAAGGAAATGGGGAGTCTGCAGGAAAAGGTCAACAACAGGTTGTTGCACCTTTGGCTTCTGAGTGTTCCAAACAGAAGGGTAGCAGAAAGTGCTGCAGGGCTGTCTGAGAAGAGGGCCTCAGGGCAGAACTGCCAGTGTCAGAGAAGAGGCAGACTGGGGACATCAAAGGAGAGGGGGAAATGTATCCAGACAGGAGTGTAAGTGCAGTTGTTTTCTTGAGAAGCCTCACCTCATTGAGGTATCAACATGAAACCATTTTCTTTTTCTTTTTTCTTTTTTTTTTTTTTTGAGATGAGGTCTGGCTGTGTTGCCCAGGCTGGAGTGCAGTGGGGTGATCTTGGTTCACTGCAACCTCCGCCTCCTGGGCTTAAGCCATCCTCCCACCTCAGCCTCCCGAGTACCTGTAGTAAGGCACACACCACCATGCCTGGCTAATTTTTGTATTTGTAGAGATGGGGTTTTGGCCGGACATGGGGGCTCACCCCTGTAATCCCAGCACTTTGGGAGGCTGAGGTGGGCAGATCACTTCAGGTCAGGAGTTCAAGGCCAGCCTGTCCAATGTGGTGAAATCCCATCTCTACTAAACACATAAAAATTAGCCGGGCATGATGGCAGGCACCTGTAATCTCAGCTACTCCAGAGGCTGAGGCAGGAGAATCGCTGGAACTCAGGAGGTAGAGGTTGCAGTGAGCCAAGATCACACCATTGCACTCCAGCCTGGGCATTGGAGTGAGACGCTGTCTCAAAAAAGAAAAAAAAAAAAAAACAAGAGATGGAGTTTTGCCATGTTTCCCAGGCTTGTCTTGAACTCCTGTGCTCAAGCGATCTGCCTTCCTTGGCCTCTCAAAGTGCTGGGATTCCAGGCATGAGCCATGGTGCCCAGCCCATTTTCTATTTTCTAATCACTGCTTCCACTCTATGCCAACTCCCTTCAGTCCCTTAGCAATATCTTGGGCAGATTCATCACTTTAGCCTGGTAAAGCTCAGGCCAGCCCTGTTTCAAGCCCCACTCGCATATCTGGTTCACAGTGCTTCACCTCCTCTTCCCAGCACAAGCTGGGCACTCACACTGCTTGCTGGGAGAATGAGGAGATTGGGGAGTGGGCCTGGTCTAGTTCTGTGATACCTGCTGCCTCCTCTCTTTACAAGGCCTCGCTTCCTAGCTGCCCTCGTGTGGAGAGCAGGAAATGGAAGTGGTCAGGACACGGAAGAAGACAGCAGAGGTGTCTTAATGTAGCTGACTATAGGTCCAAGGTGAGGAGGCCCCAGATCCAGCTGGACTTGGTTCCATCTATTGCTGCTGACCTCTGAGGATAGGGTAGACTCTGCATAGATGGTGTCCCCTCTTTAACGAAGCCCTGCTCAGAAAACCCAGCCTAGTCTTCCCTGGCCCCACCAGGAAATCCACTTTCCAATCTCCAGAGGGAGGGCCCTATTATTTGCTTCAGAGGCCACCTGGACAGCGTGTGAGCCCTGCCCTTCCTCTCAACTTTGTGCTTCCTCCTATGGAGACATCGAGGCTTTTCTGCACCTTCCAAAGGTCATGGGAGATGGCCTGGGGGTGCCCTCTTCTTGTTCCTCAACTCAGACAAGGTTTTCGAACCCTGCCAGCATATGGGCAGTGCTGGTGGAGAGGTAGACCGCCTTCAGCAATCACAGCACTGTCAATACTTGATTCCATTTCTAAATCTGTTTCCCAGGCTGGTCTGGAACTCTTAAATCTGGGCCACAAGCATAAAAGAAGCTGCATGTAATTAGTTTGCTTCTTTCCATAGACCTGTTTGTTGAAATGGAGTATTCTACTGGCAAATCGTCTCATAGAAAAAGAGGTGGGTACAAAGAGCCCAGATGGAAAGCCTGAAGAAAAAAACAAATGATTTTTTGGTCTGATTTGGGTAGAAATGATATTCTGAAGCAGAATATCAGTTGCAAAGAGATCATTATCCTCACTCCCTAAGCAAATATCAAGGGGGCAGACATTCTTTTCATCTTGGACGATTTTCACAAGCTGTATATCTCCGGGAATATTGACAAAGACATTTTCAACAGAACAAAAATCAATGATAATTATAGCTTGTGGCCTTTGAAGCAAAATAGAATGAGACCTATCAAGACACACCAAATCATTTATACCCCTTTTAAAATCAGTAAGAACGCTAGTATGTCCAGGACAATAGCAAACTAGGGGCCTCAAAACACATGTTTTGGCCAGGCACAGTGGCTCACGCCTGTAATCACAGCACTTTGGGAGGCCGAGGTGGGCAGATCACCTGAGGTCAGGAGTTCGAGGCCAGCCTGGGCAACATGGCGAAACCCTGTCTCTACTAAAAATACAAAAATTAGCCAGGCATGGTGGCAGGCACCTATAGTCACAGCTGCTCGGGAGGCTGAGGCAGAAGAATCACTTGAACCCAGGAGGTGGAGGTTGCTGTGAGCCGAGATCGCGCCACTGCACTCCAGCCTGGGCGATAGAGTGAGACTCCGTTTCAAAAAAAAAAGAGAAAAGAAATCTGGTTGTTTAAGAGTCTGGGACCTCCCCCTTCTCTCACTCCTGCTTTCTGCATGTGATGCGCCTGTTCCCCTTTGCCTTACGCCATGACTGTAAGCCACCTGAGTCATGGTGGTCCTGTACGGTCTGCAGAACCATGAGCAAATTAAACCTCTTTTCTTTATACATTTCCCAGCCTTTATAAATTTCTCATGGCTTACTTCCTCCTTTTACCTGGTCACTTCCTCAGAGAGGCCTTCCCTGACCACAGCTCTTACTCTATGCTTCATTTTTATTTGTTTATTTATTTATTTAGACAGAGTCCCACTCTCTCGCCCAGGCTGGAGTGCAATGGTTCAATTATAGCTCACTGCAGCCTCCAACTCCTCAGCTCAAGCAATCCTCCTGCCTCAGCCTCCCCAGCAACTGGGACCACAGGCACGAGCCACCACACCCAACCAATTTTTAAAATTTTATGTACAGATAGGGTCTTACTGTGTTGGCCAGGCTAGTCTCAAACTCCTGGACTCAAGCGATCTTCCTGCCTCGGCCTCCCAAAGTCCTGGGATTACAGGCGTGAGCCTTGGCGCCCTGCCACATTTTTCTTCATAGCATGGATTATTATCTGTTTAATTGATTCTCCACTGTCTCTGTTCTAGGAGCTTACCTCAATGAAGGCAGGACTGCTATATTTTGCTCATCACTATGTCCACGGCACCAATAGAGCCTGGTGCTGGAGAAATAATCATTAAAAATAAGTCTCCTGCTACTCCAGAAAACTTCTCCACAAAGGCGCCTTCAGCACAACAGCTAGTATTGTTACTACCTTTATATATGGAGCACTTCACAAATTTGCGTGTCATCCTTGCACAGGGGTCATGCTAATTTTCTCTGTATCGTTCCAATTTTAGTATATCTGCTGCTGAAGCAGGCACAGCACAGGTTATTAATATTGCAGCCTGACTAAGTGCAATGTGGCCATTAATTTTCAACCCTTCCTTTCTGGGGACTGGTGGCCAGGGTAGCGTTTTCCTGCTAGAATCTCATCCTCTGCCTTTTGTGTGCTGATGCCCTGTGTTACTCCGTGAGCCTCACTGGTCAGGTAGGGAACACTGGATAGGGAACCTTCCAGTACTTGAGCTGGCCAAGTGCCCCTCCTCTGTGTCTCTCTATTGGCCCCGTGTGTTTTCTGTCACTCATTGACACGACAGTTTACAGTACTTACCCCAGGAGTCAGTATATAGTAAACTCTTAGGAAATGTGAACTGAATTAATTCACAGGCAAAACCTTTGAGTTTGTGTCACATTTCTTTTAGATTGCACCTGTTACCACAATACTGGGCTGTGGTGTAGGCCTCCCTTGCTATCAAACTCATTCCTCCAAAAGGAGAGTACATGGGAAGGTGGAAGGACTTCCCATGTCCCAGGAAATGGTTGGCTATAATCTTAGAGAATGAACTAGGGCCCGGGCATGGTGGCTCATGCCTGTAATCCCAGCTCTTTGGGAGGCCAAGCTGGGTGGATCACCTGAGGTCAGGAGTTCGAGACCAGCCTGGCCAATATGGTGAAACCTCTTCTCTACTAAAAATACAAAAATTGGCTGGGCGTGGTGGTGCATGCCTGTAATCCCAGGTATTTGGGAGGCTAAGACATGAGAATTGCTTGAACTCAAGAGGCAGAGGTTGCAGTGAGCCAAGATGGCACCACTGCACTCCAGCCTGGGCAACAGAGCGAGACTTCTGTCTCAAAAAAAAGAAAATGAGGCCAGGCGTCGTGGCTCATGCCTGTAATCCCAGCACTTTGGGAAGCTGAGGTGGGCGGATCACCTGAGGTCAGGAGTTCAAGACCAGCCTTGCTAATATAGTGAAACCCCGTCTCTACCAAAAATACAAAAATTAGTCAGGCATAGTGGCATGTGCCTGTAGTCCCAGCTCCTTGGGAGGCTGAGGCAGAAGAATCGCTTGAACCCAGGAGGTGGAGGTTGCAGTGAGCTGAGATCATGCCACTGCACTCCAGCCTGGGTGACAGAGCAAGACTCCGTCTCAAAAAAAAAAAAAAGAAAATGAACTAGGGTTCTTTGGTCATTATTAGAGCCTTAGGAGAACAAGAAATATGGCAGTTGTATTCAGAGACCAAAGAAATGTTGTCAAACAAGTCTATTAGGGCCTATCTGATTTTTTCAGCTGCCTGAAAGAACAGCTGTTGGGCCGGGCGCGGCGGCTCACGCCTGTAATCCCAGCACTTTGGGAGGCCGAGGCGGGCAGGTCACGAGGTCAGGAGATCGAGACCATCCTGGCTAACACGGTGAAACCCCGTCTCTACTAAAAATACAAAAAATTAGCTGGGTGTGGTGGCGGATGCCTGTAGTCCCAGCTACTCGGGAGGCTGAGGCAGGAGGATGGCGTGAACCCGAGAGGCGGAGCTTACAGTGAGCCGAGATCGCGCCACTGCACTCCAGCCTGGATGAAAGAGCAAGACTCCGTCTCAAAAAAATAAAAAATAAAAAAAGAACAACAGGCATTTATGTTGCTTGGATCTGGTGAACAGTGATAATGCAGCACAATCTAGAGCCTTCAACACTGGCATTTCTGACTCACACTGTTCAGGCCCCAGAGAAAGGCTTCTCCACATCACTTGCCCTGTGTCTTCAAAATCAAAGATGACAGTGTCTGGATGCTATCTAGATTTGTGGGTTCTTCAGAGGCAAGCAGTGACTCAAGATACAGGAAGAATTTGAGCAGCAGAGGTGCTTGGTAACAAAAAGGACTAATTAATTAGCTTGTCAATTCCTACTTTCAGAGAGCAGAAATACAATTGATTTTTGCATAACAAAACACATTTCCCTACTCTTTTTTTTTTTTTTTTGAGACAGAGTCTCGCTCTGTTGCCCAGGCTGGAGTGCGATGGCACGATCTCAGCTCACTGCAACCTCTGCCACCCGGTTTCAAGCAATTCTCCTGCCTCAGCCTCCCAAGTTGCTGAGATTACAGGTGCCTGCTACCATGCCCGGCTACTTTTTTTTTTTTTTTTTGAGACAGAGTTTTGCTCTTGTTGCCCAGGCTGGAGTGCAATGGCGCAATCTCGGCTCACCGCAACCTCCGCCTCCTGGGTTTAAGCAATTCTCCTGCCTCAGCCTCCCAAGTAGATGGGATTACAGGCCTGCGCCACCACGTCCAGCTAATTTTGTATTTTTAGTAGAGATGGGGTTTCACCATGTTGGCCAGGCTGGTCTTGAACTCCTGACCTCAGGTGATCTGCCCACCTCGGCCTCCCAAAGTGCTGGAATTACAGGCGTGAGCTACCATGACCGGCCACATTTTCCCACTTGTATTGATTGTCCAGTTCCTGATTCTGGAGGTACTCCCAAATCAGTGCAATATTTGTCACAGTTCTAAAGAATATTTTGCGGCTATGCGTGGTAGCTCACACTCGTAATCCCAGCACTTTGGGACGCCAAGGCATGAGGACTGTTTGAGCCCAGGAGCTCCAGACAAGCTCGGGAAACATACTGAGACTCTGTCTCTACAAAAATTTAAAAAATTAAATTAAACTAAATTTTGCAATAGTAAAAACCTCATATTGCTCCTAGGTTTGGATAAATTGGATCTAGACATAACACGTGAAATGTGATGCCATTTCTTTATGTTGGCAACTAGATGGACATTGAACACTAAAATTGTGGACAGTTCGTTTTTTATAAAAATGCTTTTACAGGCATACCTTGTTTTATTGCATTTCACTTTACTGTATTTTGCAGATAGATAGTGCAATTTTACAAACTGAAGGTCTATAGCAACCCTCCATCAAGTAAGTCTATCAGCCTCATGTTTCCAACAGCAAGTGCTCACTTCATGTCTGTGTCACATTTTGGTAATTCTTGCGATATTTCAAACTTTTTCTTTCTTTTTCCTTTTTTTCTTTCTTTCTTCCTTTCTTTTTTTTTTTTTTTTTGACAGAGTCTCGCTCTATCGCCCAGGCTGGAGTGCAGTGACGTGATCTCAGCTCGCTGCAACCTCCACCTCCTGGGTTCAAGGGATTCTTCGGCCTCAGCCTCCCCAGTAAATGGAACTACAGGTGCATGCCACCATGCCCGACTAATTTTTATATTTTTAGTAAAGACGGGGGTTTCACCATGTTGGCCAGGCTGGTCTCGAACTCCTGACCTCAAGTGATCTGCCTTGGTCTCCCAAAGTGTTAGGATTACAGGCATGAGCCACTGCACCTGGCCACCAAACATTTCCTTTTTTTTTTTTTTTTGAGATGGAGTCTCACTCTGTTGCCCAGGCTGGAGTGCAGTGGCGCGATCTTGGCTCACTGCAACCTCCGCCTCCCAGATTCAAGTGACTCTCCTGCCTCAGTCTCCTGGGTAGCTGGGATTACAGGTGCATGCCACCATGCCCAGCTAATTTTTTGTATTTTTAGTAGAGATGGGTTTCACGGTGTTAGCCAGGATTGTCGTGATCACCTGACCTCGTGATCCGCCCACCTCAGCCTCCCAAAGTGCTGGGATTACAGGCATGAGTCACCACAACCAGCCATATTTACTGAATATTTTAAGCCCACTGTTGAGATCTACTGCTAAGAAGAAAAGACTCTTTTGAAAATATTACTGCTCATTGACAATGCACCTGGTCACCCAAGAGTTCTGATGAAGATATACAAGGAGATTAATGTTTTCATGCCTGTCAACGCAACGTTTATTCTGCAGCCCATGGAATAAGGAGTAATATTAACTTTCAAGTCTTATTATTCAAGCAATATATTTTATAAGGATATAGCTGCCATAGATAGTGATTTCTCTGATGGATCTAGGCAAAGTAAGTTGAAAACCTTCTGGAAAGGATTCATCATTTTAGAGTCCCTGAAGAACATTCATGATTCATGGGCAGAGGTCAAAATATCAACATAACAGGAGTTTGGAAGAAGTTGGTTCCAACCTTGGTGGATGACTTTGAGGGACTTAAGACTTCAGTAGAAGAAGTCACCACAGATGTGGTGTAAACAGCAAGAGAAGCAGAATTAGAGGTGGAGCCTGAAGATGTGGCTGAGTTGCTGCAATCTCATGATCAAACTTCTACAGATTAGAAGTTGCTTCTTATGCATGCACCAAGAGGGTTTCTTGAGATGGAATCTACTCCTCTGAACACTGTTGAAATGAAAACAGCCCCCACTGGCTGCTCTGAAAAGCCATCTTTGCATTGTTCCTCGTCTGGCTCCTTGGTTCCTCCTCCGTGGACTCCAGCAGCTTTATCACCAGAGTCCTCGAATTCTCGATTCCTTTTTAATCCCCTGTATCAGATCACCGGCATGCCCCATCATGTCAGATGCAGCCATAGACACCAGCTCCGAGATCACCACCAAGGACTTAAAGGAGAAGAAGGAAGTTGTGGAGGAGGCGGAAATGGAAGAGATGCCTCTGCTAATGGGAACACTAATGAGGAAAATTGGGAGCAGGAGGTTGACAATGAGGTAGATGAAGAAGAGGAAGAAGGTGATGGTGAGGAAGAGGATGGAGATGAAGACGAGGAAGCTGAGTTTGCTATGGGCAAGTGAGTAGCTGAAGATGATAAGGATGATGATGTCCATACCAAGAAGCAGAAGATTGATGAGGACAACTAGACAGCAAAAAAGGAAAAATTAAACTAAAAAAAAAAAAAATGACTGTGACCTAGTCACCCTCTACTTCCTGTCTCAGAATCCAAACGTAGTCACCTTCAGGTAGAGAGACCACCCGCAGATGACACGCACTCTCCACCACCCAACTCAAACCATGAGAATTTGCAACAGGGGAGGAAAAAAGAACCAAAACTTCCAAGGCCCTGCTCTTTTTCTTCAAAGTACTGAAAATGCAACCATAAAAAAGAATGAGTTCATGTCCTTTGCAGGGACATGGAGGAAGCTGGAAGTCATCATTCTCAGCAAATTAACACAGGAATAGAAAATCAAACACCGCATGTTCTCACTCATAAGTGGGAGTTGAACAATGAGAACACATGGACACAAGGAGGGGAACATCACACACCTGGGCCTCTTGGGGCAGGGGCAGAGGGTTGGGGAAGGGGAGGGAGAGCATTAGGACAAATACCTAATGCATGCAGGGCTTAAAACCTAGATGACAGGTTGATAGGTGCAGCAAACCACCATGGCACATGTATACCTATGTAACAAACCTGCATGTTCTGCACATGTATCCCAGAACTTAAAGTAAAATTTTTTTAAAAAGACTAATCTTATTGTAGGAATATTACTATGATTATTAGTATGAATTCACCTCCATAAAAATACTTGAAAAGGAAATTTGTGTTTTTTACTTACATTTTATATTTTTGCACATATTGTTAGGGTCAGCCTTTTTTTGTTTTTTTTCTTTTTTTGTGAGACGAAGTTTCTCTCGTGTCACCCAGGCTGGAGTGCAGTGGCGCTGTCTCAGCTCACTGCAACCTCTGCCTCCCAGGTTCAAGCGATCCTCCTGCCTCAGCCTCCCAAGCAGCTGGGTTTACAGTCGTAAGCCATCATGCCCAGCCTAGGGCCACCCATTTTTAATGATCTCAGATAACCAAACCAACCTTTGGAGCATTCTCTGTCCTACTTCTGACTTTACTTGTAGTGTGACCATGTTCACTGTAATCTCAAAGGAGAAAAAAAAACCTTGTTAAAAAAAAAAAAAAAAGACAACAGGAAAACAATCTTATTCTGAGCATTCCAGTAACTTTTCTGTGTATGTACTTAGTTTGTATGAGATGGTTAAAAAGGCTAAAGAGAAAAGGTTTCTTTTTTTTTCCTTTTTTGTCTATGAAGTTGCTGTGTTTTTGTTTTTTTGTGGTGTTTTTTTTTTCTAATTTTACAAAAATTAGCCAGGCGAGCTGGCGTGCACCTGTAATCCCAGCTACTCGGGAGGCTGAGGCAGGGGAATTGCTCGAACCCAGGAGGCAGAGATGGCAGTGAGCTGAGATCGCACCACTGCACTCTAGCCTGGGTGACAGAATGAGACTCCATCTCAAAAAAATAAAATAAAATAAAATAAAATAAAATAAGACAACAGTAAAGCTTGCTGCATAGATTGAAAGTTTCCTCTGTAATGTGACGTTTGATGCCATTTTGCCCATCCACATTAGAAATTCTTTCAACATTGAAGTAAATCCTCTCAAACCCTGCTGCCACTTTATGAACTAAGTTTATGTAATATTATTTATTCTTTGTTTTCATTTATTTTAGGACTCAGCAAAATAAAATTCCTGTTTATTGTTGGACAACATTGTTTCACACGTGTATGTTTCTTTTGTGTGCAATAGCATTATGTCTAAAATACCAATGTACATATGTTAATTTTAAAACACTTTATAGGCCGGGTGCGGTGGCTCACACCTGTAATCCCAGCACTTTGGGAGGCCGACGCGGGTGGATCACCTGAGGTCAGGAGTTCGAGACAAGCCTGGCCAATATGGCGAAACCCTGTGTCTACTAAAAATACAAAAATTAGCCGGGCGTGGTGATGGACGCCTGTAATCCCAGCTACTTGGGAGGCTTTGGCAGGAGAATCGCTTGAACCCAGGAGGTAGAGGTTGTAGTGAGCCGAGATTGTGCCACTGCACTGCAGCCTGGGCAACAGAAGTTAAACTCAGTCGAAGGAAGGAAGGAAGGAAAGAAGGAAAGAAGGAAGGAAGGAAGGAGAGGGAGGGAGGGAGGGAGGAAGGATGGAAGAGAAGGAAGGAAGGGAAGGAAGGAAAGAGAGAGAGAGGGAAGGAAGGAAGGAAGAAAACATTACGGTGTAAACATATATAAAAAAATTTCTGTTACTCACTTTGCTGCAATTGCAGTGGTCTGGAATCAAACCCACAATATCTCCAAGGTATGCTTTTAAAATATTTAATTACATTTTCAAAATCAAATGTACAATTTCAGTTTTATTTAAGTAACTTTGACTTAAAATTCGCTATATAACTTTTATATACTGAAACATATGCGCGGGGACAAGAGCGACTTTATTTTAAACGCTAATCTGCCTGACCGACCCTGAGTCCGAGAATACCTTCCAAATGTGTAGCTGATGTATTACTCTTTAGGTAGAACACCTATTCATTTTAACTTTCACTTTTCCTCCAAGACAATCCGAGATGCTGTTGCAGACATCATAGGCGTAGTGATACTCATAGCCACCTACACATTCCTTCCAGAGCACATATACTTTTCCCCAAGATAGAAGCCCTAGATTTGAGGTGTTGCATTGCAGAGATCTACATGTCTGCAGCCCCCCAAGACCATGCTTTTCTATCTGTAAATTTACCCAGTAAATCATCCCATGCTGACCAACTGGATTTGTCTGCCTCCTCCTCTGGTTGGTTGGCTCCTTCAGCATTTGGAGGTTGCTTTGTGGATACGGCTCTTTCATGGAGCAACAGGCCACGTGGCCTTCTTTTGTGCTCATATCAGTTCACCACAAGAGTTATGCGTGGCCTGTCTGAGATGGCTATGTGAGGAACTCAGCAGACCTCTCCCTACAAAACAGCCATTTAATTGGTGAAAATTATTTGTTTGTTTGTTTGTTTGTTTGAGACAGGGTCTGGCTCTGTCACCCAGGCTGGAGTGCAGTGGTGCCATCTCAGCTCACTGCAGATTTGATCTCCCAGGCTCAAGCGATCCTTCCACCTCAGCCCCTCAAGTAGCTGGGACTACAGGTATGCACCACCACGCCCAGCTAATTTTTGTACTTCTTGTAGAGGCAGGGTTTCAGCATGTTGCCCAGGCTGGTCTCAAACTTCTGGGCTCAAGTGATCCTCCCACCTCAGCCTCCCAAAGTGCTGGGATTACAGGTGTAAGCCGCTGCACCTGACCTAATTGGTGAAAATTATTTAAATAATTGAAATAAAATTATGTTGTCCTAAGGACATACAGCAAATGAAGAAATATTTATTCAAGAAAATCTCCTGAATACCAGTAAGAATAAACAGTCTGTGGCACCTGAGTCACATCCCACTCCTATCTTCTTCCCAAGCAGGTGTCGCTTCCCAAGAAGATGGGGGGCTCCCTCTGCCTCCACTCCAGGCTGCAGTTTCACTCTAAGAAGGGTGTGTCACTGGTGTCTCTCATCTCTTCCAGCTCTGCGTTGCAAAAACTGTATTCCATGCAGGTGTGGCCAAGAGGGCTGGGGCTCCCTTCCCCAACCCAGACCCCACTTGTAGGGTGGAAACTGTGTACCAGACACAGTGGTTAAGAAACTCAGCAGAAGACTGGGCGCGGTGGCTCACACCTGTAATCCCAGCACTTTGGGAGGCCGAGGTGGGTGGATCACGAGGTCAGGAGATTGAGATCATCCTGGCCAACATGGTGAAACCCTGTCTCTACTGAAAATACAAAAATTAGCTGGGCATGGTGGCACGCGCCTGTAGTTCCAGCCACTCGGGAGGCTGAGGCAGGAGAATCGCTTGAACCTGGGAGGCAGAGGTTACAGTGAGCCGAGATCGCGCCAGTGCACTGCAGCCTGGTGAAAGAGCACGACTCTGTCTCAAAAAAAAAAAAAAAAAAAAAAAGGAGAAAAGAAAGAAACTCAGCAGAAACATCAGAAATTATACACTCTGCACACAAACCAGGAAATAGGCTTCATAGAATTAGTTCAGAATTAAATAAACAAATGCCCAAGGAAACAACAGTTCCACCAACAAGCCCCAGTGTAGTGGGGAATTCAGCATCTAGAGGTGCTACAATATATTATCTAAAATGTCTGGTTTTCAACAAAAAATTATGACACGCAAAAAAACTGTGACAAATACACAGGAAAAGAAGTCAGGCAATAAAAAGTGCTTTTGAAGGGACCTAAATATTGGACACATTGGAAAAAGACTCCAAAGCAGCTATTATGAATATGTTTTAAAAATCGAAGTAGACCAGGCATAGTGGTTCACGCCTATAATCTCAATGCTTCAGGAGTTCTAGGCAGGAGGATTGCTTAAGGCCAGGAGTTCAAGACCAGCCTGGGCAACACAGTGAAAACCTGTTTCTACAAAATATATATATATTTAAATAAATTAGCCTGTAGTCTTAACTACTAGGGAGGTTGGGGAGAAAGGATCACGTGAGGCCAGGAGTTCAAGGTTACAGTGACCTATCATCACGCCACTGCACTTCAGCCTGAGTGACAGAGCAAGACCTTGTCTCCAAAAAAAAAAGTTTTTAATGTAAACCATGTTTAAAGAATTGAAGATTAAAGAAAGGCATGATAATAATGACTCATGAAATAGAGAATGTTCACTAAAAAGATAGAACAAAATTATTAAGTAAATGAAAATTCTGAAGTTGAAAAATAAATAATCAAAATGAAAAATTCACTAGAGGGGCTCAATAGTAGATTTGAGTTGGCAGAAGGAAGAATCAGCCAACATGAAGACAGATTAATACAGATGAAGAACACTACGAAAAATAATAAGTAAAAATGAACAGAGCCTCAGAGAAATGTAGAATACTGTTAAGCACACCAACATACTCATCCTAGGAAAGAATGCTCAAGAGGCAGAGATAGAGAGAAAAAAATATTCAAACAAATAATACCTGAAAACTTCTGAAATTTGTTGAAAAACACTAATACATAGATCCCAGAAACTCCAAGTGAATAAATGCAGGAAGACCCACACAGACACATCATAGTCAAAATACTGAAAGCCAAAGATAGAGAAAAATCTTGAAAGAAGCAAATGAAAAACAATCTAAATTACTTTGTGCTCATGCACTTCTCTTTTGAACTGGTTATTATATCTGCCTGGTCCTCTCATGAGTAGAATCAAATCTTTAGCACATTTTTATGTCTTCTATCTATTTGAGTAATGATTTTACCTTTTACTGAAAATTATCTTTTAACAACTCTTATCTGCATGTAAGTTCTCACATGTCCCATCAGCTGATGTATACTAAAGTTCAAAGACTCAAGCTCAAAGCTTTAGTTTAAAAAGGAGAAAAAGTTTTTGCCATTGAGCTTAAGAGAATAAAATAAAATAAAACAATAAAAAGGAGAGAAAGGTAGATCTTACCAAACACAAAATTGTGACGATGTTTAAAAAATAATTGGCAGCTGGGCGTGGCGGCTCACATGAAGTGCTCCCAGCACTTTGGGAGGCTGAAGTGGGGTCGCTTGAGACCAGGAGATCAAGACCAGACTGCACGACATAGCAAGACCCCCCCATCTCTACAAAAAAAATTTGCCAGGTGTGGTGGCACCCACCTGTAATCCCAGCTACTTTGGAGGGAGGCTGCCGCAGGAGGATCTTGTGAGCTCAGGAATTCAAGGCTTCAGTGAACTATGATTGCACCACTGCACTCCAGCCTGGATGACAGAAAGAGGCCTTGTCTCAAAAAGCAAAAACAAAATAATTGGAAAGTCAATTTCTCCTAAAACACACACTTCTCTGGATCCCACATTCTGCCCAGGCACATGCTACAGCAGCAGTGGGCTGGAACCTGAGAACCAGGAAACTAGGACTCTGGATTATCCTGCCACACCAGTTGGCCACAAGGTCTTCAAGTTCAACCTGCCTCTAATGTGGCGAGAGGGACAGATTGTCCACAGTAGCTCAGCTTGCACCCAGGAGCTCAGCTGGATCTCCATGCCCTGCGGAAGGCAGCGAGCACTGACAGCCAGTGCCTTCTTCAGAACACAGGGCACGATGAAAGAGATACTCTATTTAGTCACACTAGTACTGTGGGTAAGAACATGCCTTTTCACTGTGCACTTATTTGCATAGCGTTGCAAGCAGGCACCAGGATACAGGAATATAATTGTACATGTCAAGTGCATAAAGGAACTCAGGATAAGGGGCCAGTTAGGACAAAGAGTTATGACTTGATACAGATCAATTCAGAAAATGTTTATAGAGTTAACATATGAGCATCTGTAGGTTAGGCACGGTGAGAGAGAAAGAGAGAGGTTGAGTCAGTACTAACAGAGATGTTTCTCCTTGCCACCATGACTTGAAACAGTGCTGTGAGTTGCAGTGTACAGTAGGGGATAAAGGAAACCATCAGTCGTCTGTATTACCCTCAGCTGCTCAGACGTATGTTCCTGCCTTTTTCGTCCTCCTTGAGGAAGGTGGTTTAATCATTTATCGGTGCGTGCCATGGGTGAAGGCCAAGAGCCTTGTGTACAGAACTGAAAACTGTACGTTAGGAGAAATGCCCACCGCCAGGTGTGAACAGTGAGCCCAGGCTCCAAAACCTCTCCCACAGTTCAACACCCTGGACAATATTTTTATAAAATTACTAACTCACAGTACTTTATGGAGGGCTGCTTCTCTGAATTTTTAAAGTTTTCTACAAATGGTCTTGATGTTTTTCCTCTGAGGTGTACTTTTTTTTCCCAAGAATTATGTGGGTTTTGTTTTGCATTGCTTTGATCAAGGTAGAGTTAATGATTTCTCGTAGGTGCTACTAAGCAGTGGATACGAATGCAATCGGCCAGGCACGGTGGCTCACACCTGTAATCCTAGCACTTTGGGAGGCCGAGGCAGGTGGATCATGAGGTCAGAAGATCGAGACCATCCTGGCCAGCATGGTGAAACCCCGTCTCCACTAAAAATACAAAAATTAGCCGGGTGTGGTGTTGGGTGCCTGTAGTCCCAGCTACTCAGGAGGCTGAGGCAGGAGAATCACTTGAGCCCGGGAGGCGGAGGTTGCAGTGAGCCAAGATTGCGCCACTGCACTCCAGGCTGGCAACGAGTGAGAATGTCTCAAAAAAAAAAAAGAAAGAAAAATGCAATCATGGCTGGGCATGGTGGCCGATGCCTGTAATCCCAGCACTTTGGGAGGCTGAGGTGGGAGGATCACTTAAGTCCAGGAGTTTGAGACCAGCCTGGGCAACATACTGAGACCCATCTCTATTTCTTAAAAAAAGAATGCAATCTCTAGGTCAGTTGGATCTGGACCCCAAGCCAGTGGCTCACCATGTGCTCTTGGGCTGGCAGCTTGTTCTTGGAGGCCATTTCCTCCTCTGTCAAATGGAGGTGATGACAGTACCCAGCCCCTAGAGTGGCTGTGAGGGTTCCATGAGTGCCTGTGAAGACTCCCCACTGCCCAGCTCAGAGTGAGCCCTCATACGTGCTGGTCATTGTTGTAATGGTCATGATTTCAGAAGAGAAACAGAGAAGGTTGAGCTAAAGTGTTGAACATGTGTGTTGGGTGCCTACCACAAACAAAGCCCTGTGCATGGTGGCCTCAAGGTGTCTTCATGATAATCCCAAAAGGAAGATAACTGCTTTTTTCCATTTATATGGCGGCAGATGGGTTAAGTAACCTGACCAAGATGAGACTGCATATAATGTGGTTATATTTCTCATAAAGCTTGACTTTCAGATATTGGCTTCAAAGACAAAAAAGGAAGGTAAACATGTTTGAACACAAGGAGTTTCCCTTCCTTTAAGCCACGCCAGCTTATAAGCCTTCATACAGCAGTGAAGGCGGTTCCTCCCTTCCCAGGCAGAGACTGATAAACTCAGCACTTGCCGGAGTGGCTCATTGTTAAGACAAAGGGTGTGCACTTCCTGGCCAGGAAACCTGAGCGGTGAGACTCCCAGCTGCCTACATCAAGGCCCCAGGACATGCAGAACCTTCCTCTAGAACCCGACCCACCACCATGAGGTCCTGCCTGTGGAGATGCAGGCACCTGAGCCAAGGCGTCCAGTGGTCCTTGCTTCTGGCTGTCCTGGTCTTCTTTCTCTTCGCCTTGCCCTCTTTTATTAAGGAGCCTCAAACAAAGCCTTCCAGGTAAGATTCTTGTCCTTTCCACTCCTCATATTTCATTCATTTGAGGAAACAGAAAAATGATAGCCCAGGGAGGACTGGGGAAGTCTGAGCCACCTGTGTGTCCACATGGGAGTGTCAGGGGTCAGGAGTGTTCTCAAGAAGCACTGGGAAGAAAGACTAATGGGAAGACTTGCAGGGAACAGAAAGGGTGGCAGTGGGCAACCAAGACGCATGGGATGGACATGTCCAGATACTGTGGGACACGTACAGGAGTTTGAGAACTGATGGGTTAGGTCTGCAGAGTGCAGACAGAAGACATGACTGCTTTCCCCTCTGGGACTGTGAGTAATGGCAGCAGCACTGGGTTAGTTCTTACATGCCATTCTCTACGTCCTGAAGCGAAAGAGCCATGCTGTGTGTTCCACTTGTTTCAGACCCGGACTCACCCTAAGTTTGTCAGTTAAAATGGAGAGCCTCCCTCTTAGGGATGCAGTTTCAATTGTGGACGCCAAGTTAATCCTTCAAAAATACCTTCTAGACCATTTTTCTTAGAAAATACACACATCTCCAGCAGTGAGAGGCCCTCTTTTTTTTTTTTTTTTTTTTGAGACGGAGTCTCACTCTGCTGCCGGAGTGCTGGAGTGCAGTGGCATGATCTCAGCTCACTGCAACCTCCACCTCCCAGGTTCAAGCCTCAGCTTCCTGAGTAGCTGGGACTACAGGCGCATGCCACCAGGCCTGGCTAAGTTTTTGTATTTTTAGTAGAGACAGGTTTTCACCATGTTGGCCAGGCTGGTCTTGAACTCCCGACCTCAAGTGATCTACCCACCTCGGCCTCCCAAAGCGCTGGGATGACAGGCGTGAGCCACTGCGCCCAGCCAATAATTTCATTTCACTGTTCCTAAACGTTGAAAGTAATGCAGGTTCTCATAGAGTTAAAAAAAATACAGAAAGGTGAAGCAGGAAGTGAGGGTCTCCCTATTATACCTCCACCTCTATCCACTCTTCAAGGTGACCACTCTTGACACTTGAGGGTACACGGAATTCTATTATTATGTAGCTAACACTGCTATAGTATTTACTATGAGCTAGCCCCTATTCTAAGTGCTTGATATACGTTAACTCACTAATTCTCATTATTAGGACACTGAGATACACAGAACTGAAGTGATTCTCCCAAGGTCACCCTGCTAGTATGCGGCAGGGCCAAGATTCAAACCCAGGCATTTTGGTGCCATACCCTGTGCTCATTACCTTTATGCTATACAAGCCCGATAGATAGATGATAGATAGATAGATAGATAGATAGGCAGATAGAGAGAGAGAGAGATAGAGAGATAGGCAGATAGATGGACAGATAGATGGATAGATAGATGGAGATATAGATATCTATATATAGTATGGAGATATATATACAATATATACGCTATATATTGATATACTATATGTCAATATGTAGCATGAGAGATATGTATATATAGATATATTGTATATATAGATATAGATATATACACATATATATCATATAGATTTACATATATATGCACAAGAGAGCTTATATATATATCTCATATATACGTATATATACATATATATGTATCTCATGCTACATATTGTTCCACAGGTTGACCTTGTAAGTCACACTATATCATGGACATCTTTCCATGTCGGGACATACAGGTCCACTCCCTTCTTTCAACAGTTGCTTAGCATTCCACAGGGTAGGTACTGTTTACTTAACCAACCCCTATCAAGTTTCTCACATACCTTTGAGCACTTGCGTAAGTGATTTCCGGGTAGATTTCTTGAAGTGGAATTGCCAAGACAATGCATATGTTTACATGAAATGTCAGTGGACACCATTGAATTGTTGTCTCAGAATGCTACACTGACAGGTGCAAGTTTACTTTACCTCCCAGGACCACACTGGCTTTCATTAGGGTTTTGAAGTCTTAATCATCAGATAGGTGAAAGTGTTTCTCTTTTTAATTTGCATTTCTCAGATCACTGATGTATTGAGAATCTTAACTTTCTTAGTCATTTGTACTTTTCTATGAATGACCTGTTCATATCTTTTCTTCCTTTTTATTATTTTTTTCATATTTGTAGGAGCTTTTTGTATATTAGGGATATTAACCTTTTTATCATATATGTTACAATACTTCTAAATGCAGTGGGATAATTTAGGAATCAGAGAGACTGAAGGGTTGAGGAGGATTTATTATCATTATTAAGGTGCACTGGCCCAGTCACATTAACATCCAAAAAAACTGAGCCCCGAACAAAGCGTCAGGTTACCTTTTAAGCATTTCGTGGGGCAGGGGGAGATCTGTGCAGGGGGAAGCATATTACAGAAGCAAGAAACAAAGACAGTTACTCAATTGAGACATGCATTACATCATTTCTTACTTTTCAAGGAAAAATATGTTTTACGACTTGAGTTTATCTGCCTAGTGACCTTGCAGCTACACAGCTGCAGAGACAAGGTCTTCACAATGCCTGGGAAAGGGAGAGATAAGGCTCACTGGCCACAGACAGAAAAACAGGCAATTAATTTTTAAAGGATTCCACCTCTTTTTGTTTCTTAGAGGGAATTGGGTTTTTTTTACATACATCTGAGTTTTTGCTTACACATTCTTTAATTTCTTTTAATTCCTGTTTCAAAATATCTTCTTCAGCCTGATATTTGTTTGGTTTTATTTCACTGTTTGTGATATCTTTTGTCATACAGAAGTAATTGTTACATCAATAACATGTGTCCATCTTTTCCTTTGTGGTCACCGGACTTTGTGCAATTTTTAGGAAGGTCATTCCCAACCCTAATATTATATACATTTTCTTTTACACTTTCTATTAATATTTCTGTACTTTTGTTCTTTAAGCTTAATAAGAATCCATCAGAAATTTTCTTTTGTGTATGATGTGAATATAGGTTTGTATTTGTTGGAACACTTGATCGCAACTGACAAAAACCCAAGACAAGCTAGCTTAGATAAGAAGACAGGGGAGGAGAGAAACTCAGAGGGTTAGAGTCCTCCTGGGGCGATGTTTTGGGGTGGGAATGGGCTGCCTGAGAGTCACTCATAGTGACCGGGCCTGGCCTTCCCAGCAGATGCCACATGCCCTGGAGTTAAGGGGCAAATGTTAAGTAGAGCGATGCCTGGTTCTGGTCTAGAGATTTCTGAAGGCAGGAAGTTGTTGGAACTGTCCACGATGTAATGTACCTGGGAAGAGGCAGAACCACCCTGCCCCTCCCTCCCAGGTCTTCACAGCCCAGAAGGCAGTGGAAGGAAAGTTCAGCACTTCCCGGTGGGAGGGCAGAGACCAGAACCCTCAACTGCCCAGTTACCTGCCGGAGCAATAATGGGACACTCACTCCAGAACAGTGTTTGGGGACACTAAATGCCGCAGGGGGCAGTGGGAGACGTGATCCTAGAAAGGACCCTCCTGCGGGGATTCTCAGTGTAAAGGAGAACCCTTCCCCAGAGAAACCACATTTACTAATGTGCAGAGACCACCAAGTCAGCAGGGGCCCCCAACATCAGACAGAAGCCGAAAGAACCTCAGGGCAGGCAGGGACCCCCTAGCCCCACCCTCCAAGACAGGCGCTCACTTAAGTAACCATACCAGAGGAGTTAACGACTTGAAAAAAGAGGAGTTTTCTCAGTGCCTATGATTTTTACTGCCCGCCTCTCTCCAGCTTCCCCAATCTCCCCCTCATCTCATCCCCCACGTCTCCCACCCCCACTCCCTACCTCCAGCAGCCAAGGTCTGAGCTCTGGCCTGGCTGGCTTGGTGGAATAAAAGAGCTTAGAGCCAGGTAGAACACCTAGTGTGTGTGTGTGTGTGTGTGTGTGTGTGTGTGTGTGTGTGTGTGTGTGTGTGTGTGTTTATCATGTAATTATATGAATTTGTGAGATTACATGAATTATGTAATTTCTTCATTTATTTTTCGAGATGGAGTCTGGGTCTGTCACCCAGGCTGGAGTGCAGTGGCGCGATCTTGGCTCATTGCAACCTCACCTCCCAGGTTCAAGTGATTAGCCTGCCTCAGCCTCCAGAGTAGCTGGGACTACAGACGCACGCCACCACGCTCGGCTAATTATTGTACTTTTAGTGGAGACAGGGTTTTGCCATGTTGGCCAGGCTGGTCTTGAACTCCTGGCCTCAAGTGATCTACCTGCCTCAGCCTCCCAAAGTGCTGGGATTACAGCATGGGCCACCGCACCCGGCCGGCATTGTCTTATTTGTCTGTGTTTCCTCAGTGCTATGAACAGGGCCTGGACCCAGTGGAGGTGCTTTATAAATGCTTGTTGATGAAAGAATGAATTTGTCACCTTAAAAAACAGGCCAAAACGTTTAAACTTTATGGCTCTCAAAAACTTTAGAGTAAGGGAGTTAACTTGAGTAAATTCATGCTTTATGCAGAGTACTCTGTCAATAGATTACAGGATGGATGATCGGGGGAACGTGGTTTTAGAGGGGATAGTTTAGAGACCATTGCAACGGTTTAGGATAGCATTAATGAGACCGTGAGCGAGGACAGTTTGAACAGGAAGAAAGGACTGAGAAGAAGTCAGATCAGCTGGACTTGGCAACAAATAGGATGGTGGGAGGAGTGTAGCAGAAGAACTTCAAGACAATTCTGAGGCCAGGCACAGTGGCTCACGCCTAAATCCCAGCACTTTGGGAGACCGAGGTGGGCAGATCACCTGAGGTCAGGAGTTCGAGACCAGCCTGACTAACATGGTGAAACCCTGTCTCTCCTAAAAAATACAAAAATTAGCCGGGCATGGTCCGGTGCCTGTAATTCCAGCTACTTGGGAGGCTGAGGCAGGGAGAATTGCCTGAATCCGGGAGGCAGAGCTTGCTGTGAGCCGAGAGCATGCCACAGTACTCCAGCCTGGGCAGCAAGAGTGAAACTCCGTCTCAGAAAAATAATAATAATCAATAAATAAAAATACAAAAGTTAGCCAGGCGTGGTGGCGGTTGCCTGTAATCCCAGCTACTCAGGAGGCTGAGTATTATCGCTTTTATCACAGGAGAATCGCTTGAACTCGGGAGGCAGAGGTTGCAGTGAGCTAAGATTGCTCTACTGCACTCCAGCCTGGGTGACACAGCAAGACTCTGTCTCAAAAAAAAAATAAAAAATACAATTCTATGATTTCAAACCCATCGGGCCATCTCTCATATCATCTTAAGACGCACCCACGTGCATCATTTGTTCAGTGATGTGTAGATGTCATCTAAGACTATGTCTCTGCTTGGCTTCCATAGTCTGGTATAAATATGTTTTGGAAGATCTATGCTTGTTTTAGCTTTAGAGATGGTAATTAAGAGTGAGCTGTGTAGCATGGCCCCTGCACAAGGATGACGTGCAAATTCGTAAAGCGTTCCATTAAAAAAAAAAAAAAAAAAGAGTGAGCTGTAAAAACAGACCTATGGGTTCTGTTTGTCATTTTCTTGTTGTCACTTTATGTTCTCCAGCCTGGCCAGCATGGCAAAATTCCATCTCTACTAAAAATATGAAAATTAGCCGGGCACGGTGGCACATGCATGTAATCCCAGCTACTCAGGGGGTTGAGGCACAAGAATCGCTTGAACCTGGGCACTGGCTTCCAGTGAGCCGAGATCATGCCACTGCACTCTAGCCTGGACGACAGAGTGAGACTCTGTGTCCAAAAAGAAAAGAACAGAACTTTATTTTCTATCACCTCCTGATTTCTGATTCTGAACTCCCATCCACCAAGCTTCAGGAAAACTTAATCTCAGCTCTTCTTGCCCCTCTGCAGGATGGTATCAAGGGCTCCAGGACATCTGATGCGGTGCCAAGGCATGGGAGTGGGACGCTGACCCTTCGCTATTGAGTAGCTGCTGAAACAGCCATTGTTCCTGCCCCTTGGCTCTTTCAGGTCCACCTGGCTTATGTGTGAGAGACTTTTTTTGGGTTTTTTTTGTTCTGTTTTTTTGAAAAGCCAGTACCAAAAGCTTACATAATTGTATGATTGCATTCAAATAACATTCTTGAAATGATAAAATTATAAAAATACAGAACAGATGAGTGGTGTTTCTAGGGGTTGAGGAGGGGGTGGTGTAGGAAGAAAGTGGCTGTGGCTATAAAAGGACAACATGAGGGACCCTTGTGGTGACTGTTCTATGTCTTTTTTTTTTTTTTTTAATTCACATCTTTATTTATCCTAAACCTTTTAGGTTTAGGGTGTGATGGGAATCTTTTTTTTTTTTTTTTTTTTTTTTTAGTATTTATTGATCATTCTTGGGTGTTTCTCGGAGAGGGGGATTTGGCAGGGTCATAGGACAATAGTGGAGGGAAGGTCAGCAGATAAACATGTGAACAAAGGTCTCTGGTTTTCCTAGGCAGAGGGCCCTGCGGCCTTCCGCAGTGTTTGTGTCCCTGGGAACTTGAGATTAGGGAGTGGTGATGACTCTTAACGAGCATGCTGCCTTCAAGCATCTGTTTAACAAAGCACATCTTGCACCGCCCTTAATCCATTCAACCCTGAGTGGACACAGCACATGTTTCAGAGAGCACGGGGTTGGGGGTAAGGTCATAGATCAACAGGATCCCAAGGCAGAAGAATTTTTCTTAGTACAGAACAAAATGGAGTCTCCTATGTCTACTTCTTTCTACACAGACACAGTAACAATCTGATCTCTCTTTCTTTTCCCCACATTTCCCCCTTTTCTATTCGACAAAACCGCCATCGTCATCATGGCCCGTTCTCAATGAGCTGTTGGGTACACCTCCCAGATGGGGTGGCGGCCGGGCAGAGGGGCTCCTCACTTCCCAGACGGGGCGGCGGTCAGAGGCGCCCCCGACCTCCCAGACGGGGCGGCGGCTGGGTGGGGGCTACCCCCACCTCCCGGACGGGGAGGCTGGCCGGGCGGGAGGACTTTTCTTTTTTTGAAACGGAGTCTCGTTTTGCCATCCAGGCTGGAGTGCAGTGGCGTGATCTCAGCTCCGTGTGAGACTTTTCTGACACTGTCTGTGGTCCTGTCTTCCTAGGCTCAGGATTCTTTTTTTTTCCAGGGGTCTTGTTAGACCTTTGGAACACTGCCAGGAAGCAGGGTCCTCTGACCTTGGAACTCACAGATCCCTCCTTCTCTCATTTCCGCCACCCACCAGAGTAAAGGATCTTTCCAGGGGAAGGACAATGATGGTAAGAAGTAGTAAAGTCCTTCCCCCTCATAACTTCTCCAAGATTGATCTGTTTCACTACATCTTGAACATGAAACCAAATCTTAACTGCTGGAGGTATGGGGGTGGGGTGGAGAGGGAAACAAATAACATTTCAAAATAGTATATAATTGTATTCAAAAGCATGACAGGCGTAGAAAAGGGATGCGGCTGTTCATGCCCTGAGGTACTAACAGTAGATTCTTTGAAGGGACTGGGATAATAGGAGGTTGCTATCCTTTCATGTTTTAAGGCAGTTTCTGCTTTTTCCGTAATAAGCACACATTGCTTTTATAAAAATAAAAATAATTCATAAAAGTTCACTTCTGAAGACTCAGGAGAAAAAGACTCAGCTTAGGTAACCCCTACATACCAAAGTATCCCCCCGAGCAGAACTGCCTCCCTAGGCTGTCACCACTGCCTCGCACACGTATGACTAATATCATACCGATGACACTTTAAGGCAGCTGCTTATACTCATGTCTGTTTCTCTTATAGACTGTGAGCCTCTTAAAACCAGTGACCATTGCTTTTTTTATCTTTAATCTCTAGCAGATACCTCTGAATGCCTGTCATGTCATGGCTACTCAATGAATATTGCAGAATAAACATTGCATTGTGTTGTCAAGTTCTCGTAGAACTTTCCATAAGATGTCTCATTTAGTTGGTTTGTTGTTGTTATTGTTGTTGTTGTTTTGAGACAGAGTCTCTCTTTGCTGCCCAGACTGGAGTGCAGTGATGCGATCCCTGCTCACTGCAACCTCCACCTCGCAGGCTCAAACAATTCTCCTGCCTCAGCCTCCAGAGTAGCTGGGATTACAGGCGTGCACCACCACACCCAGCCGTTTGTATTTTTAGTAGAGACAGGGTTTCGCCATGTTGGCCAGGCTGGTCTCGAATTCCTGACCTCAAGTGATCCGCCTGCTTCAGCCTCCCAAAGTGCTGGGATTACAGGCGTAGGACATCTAACTTTCAAACCAGCTGACTGGCATTCTGGCCCACAGTGAATTCAGCTAGGCGAAGGGCATCTCTGAGAATGCTGGGGACCTGTCTGTTCAGGGGGAGCTCTGGAAGCTGTATCCAGCCACTGAAGTATGATGAGCAGCAACTGACTCATTTTCCTTCTGTTTTCTCTCGAGTCCCAGAACATAATAACATCCCCACTAGAATCTCCCCACTAAGATTGAGGTGGCTGAAAACCACCACACAGGCTTTGATTTGAGAAAAGAACACTCAGAATAACAAGAGAAAATGGATTTCTGCCATTTTTTTCCAGCATACAAAGATAATTAAGGCAATCATACAGCTTTTAGTCATGGAAGCAGCGTATAGACACATCTAAAGTCAAAGTAAAGTCGTAAAAATAAAGCATTCATTCACTTTTAGAAAACTTTCAGGATTTTCCAAGGAAGATAAACTTTGGAGTTTGTTTTTTGTTTTTGTTTTTTTTGAGACAGAGTCTTGCTGTATCACTCAGGCTGGAGTGCAGTGGTACGATCTCAGCTCACTGCAACCTCTGCCTCCCGAGTTCAAGCGATTCTCCTGCCTCAGCCTCCCAAGTAGCTGGGATTACAGGCATGCACCACCATGCCCAGCTAATTTTTGTATTTTTAATAGAGATGGGGTTTCACCATGTTGGCCAGGCTGGTCTCGAACTCCTGACCTCAGGTGATCCACCCCCCACCCCCACCCCCGGCCTCCCAAAGTGCTGGGATTACAGGCGTGAGGCACCACGCCTGGCCAACTTTAGAGTTGGAAAAGAAAAAGCAGAATGGCTGGTTTCTATCTCACATAAGACAGGAGACCCCGAAGAACTGATCAAATACCAAAAGGAGGCTGGAATAGCCCTCGTGGACACCAAGGGGGTCTTGGGAACTCCAGGCCCAGCTAACAATGTGGGGCACAGGAGGCAGGAGCAGTTCAAGGTAGAGAGCTCCACAGCAGGGAGTGGAGAGGGACACAGGGCAGAGCGAAGTGTTAGTTTGTCCTCCTTTCAAGGAGAAGCAGCATCAAAGCTGTGGGAACCAAACATGTAACCTGGAAGAGGAAAGCTCACCCAGCCAGGGGGCCTGAGATAAAATGAGGGCAAAGTTGATGGTGGGGACTGAGAAAGAGCCCAGGACTTAAGGACGTAAGTAGAGGCGATTCTGTGTGACCAGCCATTCCCACATACCAGGCGCAACTCACCTGCAGCCACTTCCGCTCGCTCTCCATGCCATAGAAGGCGGGAGCCCAGGTGCAAAATTATTTAGCGAATCAAAGGAGTCTTTTCAGCTCTTTTCTTATCCTCCTCCATAAAATAATCTTCTACTCATACTGGCTTTGTTAGTGAGTGACCTTTCCTTGGGGTATTTTTTCAAAATTCAGTTTCAGCCTCTTCAATATCCTAGTCAACTTCAACATTCCTGTGTTATCTCTCGTACTGTATTCTTGGAAAATACCGCTCTCTGGCCAATAGGTGTTTCATGGCTGCAGGCATAAACGAACTTTGAACCTTTTGCCATTTCTTCACTTCCAGGTTCCCCTTGGTGATGTACACTGAAGAATATAGAAGGCAGCTGGGCCTGGGGGCACATGCACCTGTAGTCCCAGCTACTCAGGAGGCCAAGGCAGGAGACTCGTTTGAGCCCGGGAGGTCGAGGCTGCAATGAGCTGTGAACGTGCCACCAGCCTAGACAACAGAGACTCAGTCTCAAAAAAAAAGAAAATATATATATACAGAGAGGGAGGATGTTGCCAGATAACTATTTTCCTGTTTCTTTTATTGTGCGATTCTTGTTCATGATAAATTGATTGATTGATTTTTAATTATTATTATTATTTGAGATGGAGTTTCGCTCTTGTTGCCCAGGCTGAAGTGCAATGGCACGATCTCGGTTCACCGCAACCTCCGCCTTCCAGGTTCAAGCGATTCTTCTGCCTCAGCCTCCCGAGTAGCTGGGATTACAGGCATGTGCCACCATGCCCGGCTAATTTTGTATTTTTAGTAGAGATGGGGTTTCTCCATGCTGGTCAGGCTGGTCTCGAACTCCCGACCTCAGGTGATCCACCCACCTCGGCCTCCCAAAGTGCTGGGATTACAGGCGTGAGCCACCACGCCTGGCCATTATTATTATTTTTTAATTGAGATGGAGTCTTGCTCTGTCACCCAGGCTGGAGTGCAGTAGTGCTATCTCAGCTCACTGCAACCTCTGCCGCCCAGGTTCGAGCAACTCTCGTGCCTCAGCCTCCGGAATAGCTGGGATTACAGGTGCGTGCCAACACACCAAACTAATTTTTTTTGCATTTTTAGTAGAGACGGGGTTTTGCCATGTTGGCCAGGCTGGTCTTGAACTCCTGACCTCAGGTGATCTGCCCGCCTCGGCCTCCCAAAATGCTGGCTCTATAGGCATGAGCCACCTCACCCAGCCAATAAATTCATTTATTAAAGTGCAACATTTTATATTTTTACTTCCCTAGTAGATCAGAATTATGCAGTTAAGTCGCTTTTTGTTTTGGTATGACCCATGATTAATTTGCCTGTGCCTCTGGACTAGAAGTCATTAATAGAAGAAAGCCTTCCCACACCCCAGCCCAGCTCACAGGGTCAGGACCACACAGGGCCGAACGCGTTGAATATGGGGCACTCAGCATATGGATACAATTTGAGCATTTAGTAAATACTGTGCATGAGAATAAGGAAATGTCTATCTCAACACCCACAGCCCTAGCAATCACAGGTGTATTTAATTATAGGGAATTAAATGAAACTTAATTACATAATTTTGTCACTACCTGGATTATTGCTGTGACTTCCTGCAAAACCTAAAGGAGTCATCAATCAATTGTAGATTTGCGGTTGAATAGGCCTTCCAGGAGTCACTGCGCCATTCCTGCTGCTAGACAGGGTTCCAGAGAGGAGTGCATTACCTCTTCAGGGTCAGTGTGGCCACTAAGCAGACGGCCAGCTGTCCATGCTATGTGTGGCCTGAGATGTGTGATGTCAAAAACCACCCCTGCCTCATCATCTCTCCCCGCCACGGCCAAGTTAAGGTGCCTGCCAGCCAGGCAGCTACATCCATGAAAATGTTCGAGATAGGGAAAATGTCATTCAGCAGAATTCCTCTCTGCCGAGGGCTGCCGGAGTTTGGAAGGGAAGTTTCCATAGGCTTCTTGAGGCTGGGGGTTGGGAAGTGGAGGTCAGGGTGAATCCACCAAGAGGCTTTGCTGGGTAACAAGAGCTGTTTGTTAAACCGGGTGAACAGCTTGGTTTTTGCTGAATGGCCCACGTGAGCTTAGAGGTTACACTGAGTAGTCAGACCAAGGGGAGTGGTGAGCCTCACACACACCCACACAGCACTCAGACCTTCTACTAGGCAAATGTGGAATGAATTGATCAAGAATGTGTTCTTCACTCACTCAGGTTTCTCACTCTGTGTTGAGTGGCATTCTTTCAGAATGGATATTTTGGGGGTGTCTTCCCAGTTCATGAACCAATAACCCCCTCTTTCTCTTGAAAGTGTCCTCCTCCCATGCACAGAGTGGGCCCCAGAATGTCATGTAGTATGTGACCGAGACCCCTGGAAAGGGATGGAGATAGGACCCAAGGGGGCCACAGTCTTCTGCTAGAGTGAAAAATTGGGAGAAAAGGGAGTCCACAGTCCCCAGTACAGGTGTTATGGGGTGGCCATCTTCCACCAGCCTGTGGGTTGGAGAGCAGAGGAGGCCTGTCTGCAGAGACAGAAAGAGTAGAAGAAAGCTGATTCAGAGGGAGAGGTGAGATAGAGACAAAGCCTTAGAGAGCGATTCCTGGTTCCAAGCCCCCCCAGAGGCTCAACTACTTCCTGCTCTTGGGTTCCTTGAAACACTTTCTATTCTTATAATAAATTTTTCCTTTTCTTTTTCTTAGTTGAAAATGAAAAATACAGAAAGAATTAGGGTTTGAAGCCCATTAGCCTTTTCGGGATGCTCCATATCTCAGTCCAACCCTGTCCTGAGGCCCATCTCTCCTTTCTGGTTAGAAATATCTCTCATCCAAGCTACTTCTTTGAGTCATATAACAAAGGCAGAGGCATTTTCTATGCAAGTCCAGTTAAAAATGTGTGTGTTTAGGCCAGACGCGGTGGCTCACGCCTTTAATACCAACATTCTGGGAGGCCAAGGGTGGAGGATCACTTGAGGTGAGGAATTTGAGACCAGCCTGGGTAACAGAGTGAGATCCAGTCTCTAAACACACACAAGTGCTCGCGCACGCGTGCACACACACACACACACACACACACACACACAGAGATTAGCTGGGCATGGTGGTGCATGCCTGTAGTCCCAGCTACTCGAGAGGCTGAGGCCACAGGATCGCTTGAGCCCAGGAGTTTGAGGCTGTAGTGAGCTGTGATTGTGCCACTGCACTCCAACCTGGGCGACAGAGCAAGACTCTGTCTCTTAAAGAAAAAAAAAAAAAAAAAATTGGGCGCGGTGGCTCACGCCTGTAAAATCCCAGCACCTTGGGAGGCCAAGGTGGGCAGATCACGAGATCAAGAGATCAAGACCATTCTGGCCAACATGGTGAAACCCCATCTCTACTAAAAATACAAAAAAAAAAAAGAGCCAGGCGTGGTGGCATGCGCTGTAATCCCAGCTACTCGGAAGGCTGAGGCAGGGGAATTGCTTGAACCAGGGAGATGGAGGGTGCAGTGAGCCAAGATCGCGCCACTGCACTCCAGCTTGGGTGACAGAGCCAGACTCCGTCTCAAAAAAAAAAAAAAAAAGAAGGGTTTCAAGGAGGAAGGATCCCTGGGAGGTAAGGAGGAAGAACTGTCAGCTGTCAGCCCTTTCCTAACACCCTTGGGAAGTTTAGGCTTCAGTTTCAAGGTCAGAATAGAGAGTGCCCCCGCTGGAGACCCTGAATAAATGTGTTGCTTTGAGGCTGAGAAAGGCTGGAAATACCACCCAGGGTCAGCTGCAGCTCAGGCTAGGAGGCCTTAATGGAGGAAGGGCTTGCATAGGTAATCAGCCTGCTTCCCATATTGCCTTGGCCGGCCCTGCCTTTCTCCAGTGATCAAAGACCTTTGTTTCCTGCCTCGAATAACAATAATCGTGTATCACATAGGTCCAAGGTCTGTGTCTTATTCCAATTTGTATTCCCAGTGCCTGCACAGCACACTGCACAGAATAGACATTTAGTAAACGTTTGTCGGATGAGATGCTCTCCTGTATGTCCTATGTACATATCTCAAATTCTATTCCGCTTTTGTTTGAATCTATTTTCTGGCCAGGCACGGTGGCTCACACGTGTCATCCCAACACTTTGGGAGGCCGAGGCAGGTGGATCACTGGGCAGGTCAGGAGTTCAAGACCAGCCTGGCCAGCATGGTGAAACCCCCATCTCTACTAAAAATACAAAAATTAGCCAGGCATGGTGGCGGGTGCCTGTAATCTCAGCTACTCAGGGGGGTGGGGCAGGAGAATGACTTGAACCCAGGAGATGGAGGTTGCAGTGAGCTGAAATCGTACCACTGCACTCCAGCCTGGGTGACAGAGCAAGACTGTGTCTCAAAAAAAAAAAAAAAAACAAAAAACTACTTATGCTTCTGACCTGTTTCCACAATCTTCAGCCTTCATCAAAGGTTATCTCTGTCCCTAGGCATCAACGCACAGAGAACATTAAAGAAAGGTCTCTACAGTCCCTGGCAAAGCCTAAGTCCCAGGCACCCACAAGGGCAAGGAGGACAACCATCTATGCAGAGCCAGTGCCAGAGAACAATGCCCTCAACACACAAACCCAGCCCAAGGCCCACACCACCGGAGACAGAGGAAAGGAGGCCAACCAGGCACCGCCGGAGGAGCAGGACAAGGTGCCCCACACAGCACAGAGGGCAGCATGGAAGAGCCCAGAAAAAGAGAAAACCATGGTGAACACACTGTCACCCAGAGGGCAAGATGCAGGGATGGCCTCTGGCAGGACAGAGGCACAATCATGGAAGAGCCAGGACACAAAGACGACCCAAGGAAATGGGGGCCAGACCAGGAAGCTGACGGCCTCCAGGACGGTGTCAGAGAAGCACCAGGGCAAAGCGGCAACCACAGCCAAGACGCTCATTCCCAAAAGTCAGCACAGAATGCTGGCTCCCACAGGAGCAGTGTCAACAAGGACGAGACAGAAAGGAGTGACCACAGCAGTCATCCCACCTAAGGAGAAGAAACCTCAGGCCACCCCACCCCCTGCCCCTTTCCAGAGCCCCACGACGCAGAGAAACCAAAGACTGAAGGCCGCCAACTTCAAATCTGAGCCTCGGTGGGATTTTGAGGAAAAATACAGCTTCGAAATAGGAGGCCTTCAGACGGTGAGTTTTTGCCACCACGCCTTCCCTCTGGCTCCCAGCTCTGAAGCCCCTCCTGAGAGGAAGCCCAGCCCACCCTCTCCTCACCTCCTGGGCTCTGCTTCTAGACTTTGTCTTGTCCTGCCCCAAGCTCATTATGAGGCAGAGCTCAGCCCTACAAGACTCTGCCCCACTTGTCTTTCCAATGATGGCCACAATGGGGGAGGAGGAGCAGGCAGGCCCCGGACCCCTGGTGTGGACAGCGTAAGAGGGGTGAGTGAGATGGGGCCTGCCCTGGAGCTCCTGAGGCCTGGAGGTCATCCATCTGGGGTGACAGAGTGTGATCTACTCTGGGGCTTGGCCCCTGAATCCCCATCCTCTCGCGGGGGCTGCAGGGGAGGGACTCACAGACAAGGACACCCCAACCTCATGCCCAGCTCTGTCCTCCAGGAATGCCTTGTCTTCCCTGCAAAGTCAATTCCACAGCCTTCGCTCTCTCCCAACCCTAAGGAAACAGTCTGACTGAACCACACCCACCCACATGGTCCTTCTCACCTGTCCTTGCAGAGGGGCAGTGTCCAAAATGTGTATGTTGCTGGGTATAGTGGCATATGCCTGTAGTCCCAGCTACTCAGGAGGCTGAGGCGGGAGGATCACTTGAGGTTAAAGTGAGCTATGATGGCACCACTGCACTCCCGCCTGGGCAACAGAGTGAGACCCTGTCGGAAGGAAGGAAGGAAAGACGGAAGGAAGGAAGGAAGGAAGGAGGGAGGGAGGGAGGGAGGGAGGGAGGGAGAAGGCCCATAAAATGCACACATTTACACACATATGACTGGAAGCATGGCCCTGACAGCACACTGGACACATGCCACATTCCCAGGATGCGGCCCCTCTCACACTTACAAAGGTGCATTTGCATTTTTTTTTTTTTTTTTTTTTGAGATGGACTCTCGCTCTGTCGCCCAGGCTGGAGTGCAGTGGCGCAATCTCGGCTCACTGCAAGCTCCGCTTCCCGGGTTCACGCCATTCTCCTGCCTCAGCCTCCCGAGTAGCTGGAACTACAGGCGCCCGCCACCACGCCCGGCTAATTTTTTGTATTTTTAGTAGAGACGGGGTTTCACCGTGTTAGCCAGGATGGTCTCGATCTCCTGACCTTGTGATCCACCCGCCTCGGCCTCCCAAAGTGCTAGGATTACAGGCGTGAGCCACCACACCCGGCCTAGGTGCATTTGCCTCGATGGCCGAGAACACCCATTTCCCAGAACCCTCAGGACCACAATGAGCCCAGACAATGGGAAGGGGAGGGTAAGCAGACCCTGAGAACAGAATGGAAGAGGTAGCAGAGGCCGCGCCTTCCAAACTGCGAGCCCCAGCCCTTGCTGCAGTGGTGCAGCCCCTGGCCGATGGCCTTTCTGGGTCTCTCCCTTCCTGACTTCGTCCTCCTGTATATAGACTTGCCCTGACTCTGTGAAGATCAAAGCCTCCAAGTCGCTGTGGCTCCAGAAACTCTTTCTGCCCAACCTCACTCTCTTCCTGGACTCCAGACACTTCAACCAGAGTGAGTGGGACCGCCTGGAACACTTTGCACCACCCTTTGGCTTCATGGAGCTCAACTACTCCTGTGAGTCCTTAACCCAGGGGAAGGTGTGGGTGCGCAGTAGGCCGGGGCAGAGGGCAGAGGGCAGCTGGCTTTCTGGTCTGCCTCTTCCCTGGGGTTTGCCAGACCTGGGAGGAATGATGGGTCGGACTCCTGTCCCTCCCAGGGCTCTGAATGGAGCACCCCCACTCTTGTTCCAGTGGTGCAGAAGGTCGTGACACGCTTCCCTCCAGTGCCCCAGCAGCAGCTGCTCCTGGCCAGCCTCCCCGCTGGGAGCCTCCGGTGCATCACCTGTGCCGTGGTGGGCAACGGGGGCATCCTGAACAACTCCCACATGGGCCAGGAGATAGACAGTCACGACTACGTGTTCCGGTAAGCTGTCCCCACCCAAGCTCCCTCTCCAGCCCCTCTCCTGCCCCCTCCAGCCCCCCTCCAGCCCCTCTCTTGCCCCTCTTCTGCAGACATGGACTCTTCTGAGAGACCCATAGGATGTTCCACGCCTGCATCTGGAAGGTGGAATTCCTGGGCTCTCGAGAGAATTTCCGCACATAACTGCTGCCTCCCCCATTTCTCCTTCCTTTCCCCATCCACCTACACAAATCTCCCTCCTCTGCTCACCTGTCCCGTCTGATTGTGTCTTTCTGCACAGATTGAGCGGAGCTCTCATTAAAGGCTACGAACAGGATGTGGGGACTCGGACATCCTTCTACGGCTTTACCGCCTTCTCCCTGACCCAGTCACTCCTTATATTGGGCAATCGGGGTTTCAAGAACGTGCCTCTTGGGAAGGTGAGCAAAGAGGAAGGAGCCTGGCCACACCCAGACTCTGGATGAGGGAGCACAGGAGGTGAGAAGGGAGAGGAGAGGCTTTCATCCGGATGGAGTCTGTGGTTGGTACAGGCTCCCCTCCTATAAGGGCAGGAGTGGGGAGGACAGTCAGACCAGTCCAGAGCAGAGCAAGTGGGCAGTCGGAGTCAGAGCTGGGCCACCCTCGGTGGTGGTCCTGAAGGCAGTACTTTTGGACCACTCCCTGTCCTTGGTCCTCAGGACGTCCGCTACTTGCACTTCCTGGAAGGCACCCGGGACTATGAGTGGCTGGAAGCACTGCTTATGAATCAGACGGTGATGTCAAAAAACCTTTTCTGGTTCAGGTACCCACTGTCCTCCTGCCATCCCCTTATCCCAGGCTGAGCCATGTCATGAGTGGCTCTAAAGGGTTGGACAGGTGGGGACAGCCTTAGCTATCACCTGGAGATGGGATACCAGTCATGCTCATGACCCTGACTTGGCCCACCCCAGACCAGGTAAGGGAGCTGAGTCTGAATGACCCCTTCCTAACCACAGGCACAGACCCCAGGAAGCTTTTCGGGAAGCCCTGCACATGGACAGGTACCTGTTGCTGCACCCAGACTTTCTCCGATACATGAAGAACAGGTTAGAGCAGAAAGCACGTGACACGTAGCCCAGGTCCCTGTTATCCTTGCAGCCTCCTGACAGTTGGGGGTTTGGGGCATTTCACAGGTTTCTGAGGTCTAAGACCCTGGATGGTGCCCACTGGAGGATATACCGCCCCACCACTGGGGCCCTCCTGCTGCTCACTGCCCTTCAGCTCTGTGACCAGGTAAGGCTCCACTGCAGCTGCAGAAATACCTGGAGAAACAGCTCCTGGGCTATTCCTGGGCCTGTTCAGCATAGGACAGTGCATGGGCTGGGTGCCCACATCTGCTGGGAAAGAGGGTGGGCATGAGTATGGGTGCATGCAGTTATGCGTGCGTATCCAGGGACCTGCACCCAGACCCCTAGGGACGGAGCCAGGGAAAAGAACCCCCACCCCTCAACACAGAATTAGCCATGAGAAGAAGCCTGGGCAACAGCAACTACAGGCCGTGTTTCTCCTCCAACCGTGATGTAGGTGAGTGCTTATGGCTTCATCACTGAGGGCCATGAGCGCTTTTCTGATCACTACTATGATACATCATGGAAGCGGCTGATCTTTTACATAAACCATGACTTCAAGCTGGAGAGAGAAGTCTGGAAGCGGCTACACGATGAAGGGATAATCCGGCTGTACCAGCGTCCTGGTCCCGGAACTGCCAAAGCCAAGAACTGACCGGGGCCAGGGCTGCCATGGTCTCCTTGCCTGCTCCAAGGCACAGGATACAGTGGGAATCTTGAGACTCTTTGGCCATTTCCCATGGCTCAGACTAAGCTCCAAGCCCTTCAGGAGTTCCAAGGGAACACTTGAACCATGGACAAGACTCTCTCAAGATGGCAAATGGCTAATTGAGGTTCTGAAGTTCTTCAGTACATTGCTGTAGGTCCTGAGGCCAGGGATTTTTAATTAAATGGGGTGATGGGTGGCCAATACCACAATTCCTGCTGAAAAACACTCTTCCAGTCCAAAAGCTTCTTGATACAGAAAAAAGAGCCTGGATTTACAGAAACATATAGATCTGGTTTGAATTCCAGATCGAGTTTACAGTTGTGAAATCTTGAAGGTATTACTTAACTTCACTACAGATTGTCTAGAAGACCTTTCTAGGAGTTATCTGATTCTAGAAGGGTCTATACTTGTCCTTGTCTTTAAGCTATTTGACAACTCTACGTGTTGTAGAAAACTGATAATAATACAAATGATTGTTGTCCATGGAAAGGCAAATAAATTTTCTACAGTGAAGATGCAACTAGTTGTTACTCCATGGATAGGGACCAGTTTTGCACATGGTCCCTTTCATTCTTCTATTCTCCCCATTAACCTGCTTTCTTTTTCAAACCCCCATGACGAGAATTGAGCTAAGCCAAAGACATTTCAGTTCACCTTACCCTTTGAGCTCTATCTGCAGGATTTGGACTCTGGAGCCTGGAACAACCCTAACAACTCTAAACAGAATAAAGTGGCCAGGCACGGTGGCCTGTAATCCCAGCACTTTGGGAGGCCAAGGCAGGCAGATCACTTGAGGACAGGAGATCTAGACCAGCCTGGCCAACATGGTGAAACCCCGTCTCTACTAAAAATACAAAAGTAAGCCGGGCGTGGTGGCGGGCGCCTGTAATCCCAGCTACTTGGGAGGCTGAGACAGGAGAATCACTTGAACCTGGGGGGCAGAGTTGCAGTGAGCCAAGATTACACCACTGCACTCCAGCCTGGGCGACAGAGCAAGACTCCGTCTCAAAAAAATAACAAAAATAAAAATAATAAATAAATAAACAAATAAATAAATAAATAGAATAAAGGACCCTCGGTAGGAGAGTGGAAGGGAGAGAGGGGAGCTTCGCTTTAGATTTCATGGTTAGGGAAGGAGGGGACCAATGGGACAGGGATTTGCTTTGCACTAAAAGGGTGCAGTGCCAGCTCCGGGCGGCAGGTGGCGGCAGCTCGGCGCCCTGCTCGCGGCGCCCTGTCCTCCGCGGCACCCCAGGCTCCTTACTTCAGCAATAAAAAGCAATAAATGCTTTTCCCCCACAAAGCTCTAGTCACAACGACTTTGACAGGGTGGACATCACATCAGGTCAGAGCAGGAGAGAAAATGAGTAGCCATGGGCAGAGAGCCCCCTTACTCCCATATTGGCCTCCTCAAATTTAAACTCAGGCTACCTAAACTTAACGACTGAGCCTCACCGAGTGTTACTCGAGTCCAAAGTAGAATATACTGATGGGTTAGATCACTCTGCTAGTATAAGCCAATAGAATTAGAAAAGATAGGTCAATTAGAGGCATAAGGATTGGAAAAGAAGAGGAAAACTGTGATAAATAGGCTACATATTATAGTAAGTTAGCAGGATATAAGATTGGCATACGGAAATCAGTAACTGTCATAAACATAAATGATAATCAAGTAGAGGATGTAATGTAGAGAAAACCCATTTACAAGAGCAACAAAGTCTGTATGAGGAAAACATTAACACTCCTGAAAGACACAGAAGTAGACCCAAATAAGCCAAGTCATCTTTTGTTCTTGGAAAAGATGACTCAATATCATAAATATGTCAGTTCTCCTCAAGTTAATTAATAAACTTAGTGCGATTCTAGTAAAATGCCAAAACATTTTTTCTAGAGCCTAAACTGATACACACATTCATACGGAAGGATAAAAATGTAAGAAGAGCTAGGAATACCTGCGAAAGAAAAGCTATGAGAGAGGTCTACCTCTACCAAATATTCAGACATACTATAAAGTCTCTATAATTAAAACAGTGTGGTACTGAAGCAGGAATAGACAGACCAGTGAAATGGAACAGAAGGTCCAGAAATAGACCCAAGCATTGTGATTAATGGTGCTCAGACAGCCAGGTGGTCATTTAGAAAGAAATCAAACTAGGTCTGTAACTCCCATCAACAATTAAATTCCAGATGGTTCAGAGATCTAAATGTAAAAAAATGAAATGACAGAGGCCGAGGCAGGCGGATCACAAGGTCGGGAGTTCAAGACCAGCCTGGCCAATATGGTGAAATGCTATCTTTAATAAAAATACAAAAAATTAGCCAGGCCTGGTGGCGCATGCCTGTAATCCCAGCTACTCTGGAGGCTGAGGCAGGAGAATCGCTTGAACCCAGGAGGCAGAGGTTGCAGTGAGCAGAGATCGCGACATTGCACTCCAGCCTGGGCGATAGAGCAAGACTGTCTCAAAAAAAAAAAAAAAGAAATGACAAGAGTTCTAAGAATTCATGGGTGAGTAGCTCTTTGACTAGAACGTAAGAAAAAGATTTCTAACTAGGACTCACAATCCAAAGGCAATACCAGACTGGTAAATTTTACTACATAAAATTAATAAAATGGGCCAGGCGCGGTGGCTCACGCCTATAATCCCAGCACTTTGGGAGGCCAAGGTGGGCCGATCATGAGGTCAAGAGATTGAGACCATTCTGGCCAACATGGCGAAACCCCATCTCTACTAAAAATACAAAAATTAGCTGGGCATGGTGGCGTGCACCTGTAGTCCCAGCTACTCAGGAAGCTGAGGCAGAAGAATTACTTGAACCCGGGAAGCCGAGGTTGCAGTGAGCCAAGATCACGCCACTGCACTCCAGCCTGGTAACAGGGTGAGACTCTGTCTCAAAATAATAATAATAATAATAAAATGTTGCATGGTGAAAAAAATCACCAGGAGGTCAAAAGACAAATTAAAAAGTGGGAGAAAATATTTGCCACATATATCACAGATAAATGGTTAATATATATATATATAGTAAAGGACTTTGAGGAAAATAGACCAAAAACCTAATAGAAAAATAGGCAAAAATATATATATATATATGAACAGCAACTCCCCAAAAAAGATGTAAAAATGATTCTTAGACATGTGAAAAAAATGTTCAGTTTGACTCATAGTGAGAAATGCAGGCCAGGCGCAGTGGCTCACACCTGTAATCCCAGGACTTTGGGAGGCTGAGGCAGGAGGATCACTAGAGGCCAGGATTTCAAGACCAGCCTGGGCAACATAACAAGACCCTGGTCTCTATTAAACAAAAACAAAAACAACAAAAAAAAAAAAAAAGAAAAGAAAGACTTTAAACAAATTAAATTTAGAAGGTTTTTTGAGCAAAGAAACAATGAATCAGGCAGCACCCTGAACCAGTAAAGGTTCAGAGAGCTCTACCCAGCAACCTGGGTAGGCAGTACTTATAGACAGAAAAGGGAAGTGATGTACAGAAACAGCTGGATTGGGCCAGGTGTGATGGCTCACGCCTGTAATGCCAACACTTTGGGAAGCCGAGGCGGGCGGATCACCTGAGGTCAGGAGTTCGAGACTAGCCTGGCCAAATGATGAAACCCCACCTCTACTAAAAATACAAAAATTAGCCGGGTGTGGTGGTGGGCGCCTGTAATTCCAGCTACTTGGGAGGCTGAGGCAGGAGCATTGCTTGAACCTGGGAGGCACAGGTTGCACTGAGCCGAGATCATGCCACTGCACTCTAGCCTGGTGACAGAGCGAAACTCCATCTCAAAAATAAAAAGAAGCCCGGGTGCGGTGGCTTATGCCTGTAATCCCAGCACTTTGGGAGGCCAAGGCAGGCAGATTACCAGGTCAAGAGATCGAGACCATTCTGGCCAGCATGGTGAAACCCCATCCCTACTAAAAGTACAAAAATTAGCTGGGCGTGGTGGCGTGCACCTGTAGTCCCAGCTACTCGGGAGGCTGAGGCAGGAGAATTGCTTGAACCCAAAAGGCGGAGGTTGCAGTGAGCCCAGATCGTGCCACTGCACTCCAGCCTGGTGACAGAGTGAGACTCCATCTCAAAAAAAAAAAAAAAGAAAGAAAGAAAGAAAGAAAAGAGAAGAAAAGAAACAGCTGGATTGGTTACGGCTCCACTTTTGTCTTCTTTGGACAAATCTGAACAGTTTACAGTCTGTGACTGGTTGAAAGCCCAGCTGCTAAGATTGACCAAGACTTGGCTATTTGTTACAAGAATATTCTCTCAGCTTTAGGTTGTAGTTTGTTTACAAACCAAGTTAGGTTACAGTTCTCTATCTACAGAGGCAGCCTTAGGACAAATTTAATTCAACAGTACTTATGCCTTGTACAAGATAGAATAAGAAATATGCGACCAGGCATGGTGGCTCATGCCTGTAATCCCAGTACTTTGGGAGGCCGAGGCGGGTGGATCACTTGGGGTTAGGAGTTCAAGACCAGCTTGACCAACATGGCAAAGAAGATGAGGATCTCTACAAAAAATACAAAATAAAAATTAAAAAAAATAGCTGGGCATGGTGGCACACGCCTGTAGTCCCAGCTATTCAGGAGGCTGAGGGAGGAGAATCACTTGAACCTGGGAGACGGAGGTTGCAGTGAGCCAAGATCGTGCCACTGCATTTCAGCCTGGGTGACAGAGCAAGACTTCATCTCAAAAAAAAAAAAGGAACACAAAGAAAAGATTTACCAAAACCTAATGAGATTGGTTACCTAAGGGGGCTAAATAGGAATAGGGCGGAAGGGATAAGAGATTGAATAAGGGTCAGCAGAGGCAGTGGCACTACTCCCAGTATACCTTTTTGCAGTTTTGCCTTTGCACTTTACATACCCAAAAAATAATGAAATCAACAGGATGGGGAAAAATACTAAAATTGAATACAAAGAGAAACAAATAAACCTAACAATAAGGCTGGGTGCGGTGGCTCACACCTGTAATCCCAGCACTTTGGGAGACCGAGGCAGGCAGATCACCTGAGGTCGAGAGTTCAAGACCAGCCTGACCAACACAAAGAAACCCCGTCTCCACTAAAAATACAAAATTAGCTGGGCATGGTGGCACGTGCCTGTAATCCCAGCTACTCATGAGGCTGAGGCAGAAGAATTGCTTGAACCCGAGGGGCAGAGGTTGCAATGAGCCAAGATCGCACCATTGCACTCCAGCCTGGGTGACAGAGCAAGACTCTGTATAAAAAATTTTTAAAAAGGCCGGGCACAGTGACTCATGCCTGTAATCCCAGCACTTTGGGAGGCCGAGGCAGGCGGATCACCTGAGGTCAGGAGTTCGAGACCAGCCTGGCCAACATGGTGAAACCCTGTCACTACTAAAAATACAAAAATTAGCCGGGTGTGGCGGTGCATGCCTGTAATCCCAGCTACTTGGGAAGCTGAGGCAGGAGAATCGCTTGAACTTGAGAGGCAGAGGTTGCCATGAGCAAGATTGCGCCATTGCACTCCAGCCTGGCGACAGAGTGAGACTCTGCCTAAAAAAAAAAAAAAAAAAAAAAAACTAACATTATTAAAATCTAATTTATAACCCCACAGAATGGGCAAAACAATATTTCAATTATATATCCTCAGAATAAAGACAAAAAGGATAACAAACATTGAACTCTAGTTGGTGGGTAGGTTTGTTTTTCACACTGCTTTATCATTCTGAAGCCACTTTCAATGAATTACAGGTTTCAACAATTAAGAAAATATGTTAAGGAAAATGGGACTCCTGTTTCTCATTGTCAAAAAAAGTTACAATTATGGAAAGAGGCAAGTCTATAATGAACAATGAACCCTCTGGTGTTGGACTAGAATTCAAGGTATCAGTATGAACTTGTGGTTTTAGATCTAAAGAAAGAATTCTATGGGTGGGAATCTGCCTATAAACATGCACACACGTATACATACATTCCCTAGATCCGTCAGTGAATAGAGTCTAGAAGCAACGAAACTCCGCTAACAGTGAGTACACGTAATCTTGGGTTCCTAGATAGCATTCTTCACTATAAGCAACCAGGACTTCTTAGAGAGAAATGGCTGATTCCAGGGCTGGGGTAGGGAAGGTACAAAATGAACCTGGAACATTTTATTGTTCTAGAAAGTAAGGACGTGCTTAAAGAATGGAACACATCAAAAGAACACAGAAGCCAGCCTGAAGACGCTCCCACTGGCTCAATACAAGATGATTTGAGAATGAAAATTGGTAATGATGGTAATGAATTTCAACACATTCAACAAATGGTAATCTAGGAGTCCACACTGATATAAATAAATACATACACACATACATAAGAAAGAAAATCTTTTTCTTTTGAGGCAGGGTCTCACTCTGTCATCCAGTCTGGAGTGCAGTGGCGTGATCTCAGCGCACTGCAACCTCCACCTCCTAGGTTCAAGCGATCCTCCCATCTCAGCCTCCTGAGTAGCTGGGACTACAGGCGCACACCACCAGGCCCAGCTAATTTTTTTTTTTTTTGATATGGAGTCTCGCTCTGTTGCCCAGGCTGGAGTGCAGTGGCGCGATCTCAGCTCACTGCAACCTCCACCTCCTGGGCTCAAGCGATTCTCCTGCCTCAGCCTCCCGAGTAGCTGGGACTACATGCGCCTGCCACCACGCCCGGCTAATTTTTTTGTATTTTTTAGTAGAGATGGAGTTTCACTATGTTGCCCAGGCTGGTCTTGAACTCCTGGGCTCAAGTGATCCACCCATCTCAACCTCCCAAAGTGCTGGGATTACAAACATGAGCCATTGTGCCCAGCCAAAAAATTTATAGCTTTCAATACAGTTCAAGATCAACCTAAAATTACATACACATTTACCACGAATTATCTTTCCTATTGATAAATTGTTTTTTCTGTCCTCCAGATGGTTTGTACAATAAAGGGGAAGATTAAAGAATCTCTCTGAAACATGACAGACAAGTTGGCAAATTCATGTCATGCCAGCCTGCCCCCACACCCGCATTCTCCTCAGCCCTCCTAGCTGTATCTGCTTCTTCTCTACAAACATAAGAAGAAATAGAAGTCTAGAGGGAATAATAATAGCCTGATACCCCATACTGATAGCCTGATGAAACCACCTGCTTATTGTCTGACCTGCTTTTCATCTGTGAACACATAAAAATGTGGCTCTGTTCATTAACATTAAGGACATAGAACGGGGAAACCTTGGCTGCTAAAATCAAAGGCCATGACAAGTTTGCTGTTTGAAGTCACATCAGTGAGAATGGAACAAGCCACTCTTGCCTGGAAGATGGAACATCCCAGTCTTGCCTCAGCAGCATGCGGGTCCCTTGACCCAGAGAAACAGCCCCAATCCCAACCCAGGTGCAGAGCTTCAGATAACCAGAATGAGCACAACATTCTACATTTTTCTTAACTATGTCAAACAGACAGGACCTTGAGTCAATTTTGAGGGCCAGGCCTTCAACTCCAGTCTGAAGTTATTCATCCAGCAAATTTTTTTTCTTTCTTTTTTTTTTTTTTGAGACAGAGTCTTGCTCTGTTGCCCAGGCTGGAGTGCAGTGGCGTGATCGCAGCTCACTGCAGCCTTGACCTCTTGGGCTCAGGTGACCCTCTCACCTCAGCCTCCCGAGCAACTGTGATCACAGGTGCATGTCACCACACCTGATAATTTTTAAAAACTTTTTGTAGAGACAGGCTCTCACTATATTTGTTTTAAACCTATCAAAGAACTGCTTCATTTACATTTTACCCCCATTCCATCCTTCCCCAAATCCTATAACCACATGTCCCTTCTTTTGCATGGGGAGGTGGCCCACAGTGCCTTGAATGGGAGCCAGTAACTCCCCTGCTAGAATAAGCTAATAAACCTAATTTGTGGACATATGGACGTGTCCCCCATGGTCTTTATCAGATGGGTTTGACCGCATCACTGGAGAGAACTGCCACAAGCCAAGACTCCATCCAGGTCTCTCCCATTCTCCTCCCAAACACTGTGCAGACCATGGCCTATGACTGTGGCAAAGGCACCTAGAGGCTGAGGTTCCCCAAGAAATACAGTGTGGGAGGCCAGAGGATGCCACTCCAAAATACACAGGCTTGTTGAGCTCAGGGCAGTTCTGAAGCGGCAGGTCCAGAAAGCTCTGCCCACCCTGTTTGCCTAAAAGCAAGACAAGGCCCAGCGTGGTGGCTCACACCTGTAATCCCAGCACTTAGGGAGGCCGAGGTGGGCAGATCACCCGAGGTCAGGAGTCCGAGACCAGCCTGGCCAACATGGTGAAACCCCATCTCTACTAAAAATACAAAAATTAGCCGGGCGTGGTGGTGGTTGCCTGTAATCCCAGCTATTCAGGAGGCTGAAGCAGAATTGCTTGAACCCGGGGGGCAGAGGTTGCAGTGAGCCGAGATCGTGCCACTGCACTCCAGCCTGGGTGACAAAGCAAGACTCTGTCTCAATAATAATAATAATAAAAGCAGGACATCAATTTACAGAGACAGAAGCCATCCTACTCCCCTTTCTACCACAGAGAGCAAAGCTGAACCACTGAAGACATCTTTGCGCCCTTGTGGGCCTGGAGCCGGCTCCAGAGGCACCCACAGGAACAGGCTTCCCCAACCAGCCTGCACCTGCCAGCTCCGTGCCTTCCCCAAGGGACTGCCCCTCAACACCCAAAGTCCTCTCCCCTGGTGACTTCTCTAAAGATGTACTGTTCTCTAGCCGGGCGCAGTGGCTCACACCTGTAATCCCAGCACTTTGGGAGGCTGAGGCGGGCAGATCACGAGGTCAGGAGTTCGAGAGCAGCCTGACCAACATGGCGAAACCCCATCTCTACTAAAAGCACAAAAATTAGCCGGGCATTGTGGTGGGCGCTTGTAATCCCAGCTACTCAGGAGGCTGAGGCAGGAGAATCGCGTGAACCAGGGAGGTGGAGGTTGCAGTGAGCCGAGATCGTGCCATTGCACTCCAGCCTGGCCAACAGAGAGAGACTCGGTCTCAAAAAAAAAAAAAAAAAAAAAAAGAGGTACTGTTCTCTGTGGAAGATGCAACACGAGCTGCGATTCAAAGCCACTTCGAGAACCAGGCACTCCCTGGGCGTCTCCCACGTGCACAGGAAATGTGCATGTTGACAAACCTCTCTCTTATTTTTTGGGATGTTGTTGTCATTGCTGTTTGAGACAGGGTCTCGCTCTTTCTCTTGTTTTTTTCGTTTGTGTTTTTTTTGAGACAGAGTCTTTTTTTTTCATATAGCTAATTTTGTCTTTTGAGACAGAGTCTTGCTCTGTTGCCCAGGCTGGAGTGCAATGGTATAATCTTGGCTCACTGCAACCTCCACCTCCTGGGTTCAAGCGATCCACCTGCCTCAGCCTCCCGTGTAGCTGGAATTACAGGCGCGTGCCACCACATCTGGCTAATTTTTGTATTTTTAGTAGAGATGGGGTTTCACCATGTTGGCCAGGCCAGTCTCGAACTCCTGACCTCAAGTGATCCGCCCGCCTTGGCCTCCCAAAATGCTGGAATTACAGGTGTGAGCCACCACGCCAGGCCTTGTCTTTCTCTTGTTAATCTGTCTTTTTATTCCAGGAGGCCAGATCAGCTAACAACTTATGAGAGGTGAAGAAAAAAAATGCTTTTTCTTCCCCTACAACAGCTATGCTGAATTCCATCATAGTAAACAGAGCTGTGTTCCTCCAGGAAAACGTCACATTTGGAAGTCAGGTATTAAAACCACAGCCAGGCAGCTCCTGGCCCTAGAGCTGAAGCCCAAACGCCTCCAGGGTTTTCCATTCATATTCCGTTACCACCTGTTCACCGATCTTGTCTCCACAGTGAGAGGTGACAGCGTGCTGGCAGCCCTCACTTGCTCTCAGTGCCTCCTTGGCCTCAGTGCCCACTCTGGCCACACTTGAGAAGCCCTTCAGCCCGCCACTGCACTGTGGGAGCCCCTCTCTGGGCTGGCCGAGGCCGGAGCCGGCTCCCTCTGCTTGCAGGGAGGTGTGGAGGGAGAGGCACGGGCAGGAACCAGGGCCGCGCATGGCCCTCGTGGGCCAGCGGGAGTGCTGGATGGGCGCCGGCTCAGCAGGCCCCACACTCAGAGCGGCTGGCCGGCGCTGGCCCCAGGGAGTGAGCATCTTAGCACCCAGGCCAGCAGGGGAGGAGGCAGCACCAGGTCCCCCAGCACTGCCGGCCTGCCCGCACCACGCTTGAATTCTTGCCAGGCCTCAGCCACCTCCCCATGGGGCAGGGCTCAGGACCTGCAGCCCACCATGCCCAAGCCCCCCCACGGTGGGCTCCCACAGGGCCCGAGCCTCCCCAACAGGCGTCACCCCATGCTCTGTGGTGCCCGGTCCAATCGACCGCCCAAGGGCTGAGGAGTGCAGGCACGCAGCGTGGGACTGGCGGGCAGCTCCGCCTGCAGTTCTGGTGCAGGATCCACTAGGGGAAGCCAGATGGGCTCTGGAGTCAGGTGGAGACCTGGAGAACTTTTATGTTTAGCCAGAGGATTCTATATGCACCAATCAGCACTCTGTGTCTAGCTCAGGGTTTGTAAATGCACCAATCAACACTCTGTGTCTAGCTCAAGGTTTGCAAACGCACTAACCAGTGCTCCGTGTCTAGCTAATCTAGTGGGCACTTGGAGAACTTTTACATCTAGCTAGAGGATTGTAAATACACCAATCAGCACTCTGTGTCTAGCTCAGGGATTGTAAACGTACCAATCAGCACCCTGTCAAAACGGACCAATCAGCTCTCTGTAAAACGGACCAATCAGCGCTCTGTAAAGTGGACCAATCAGCTCTCTGTAAAATGGGCCAATCAGCAGGATGTGGGTGGGGTCAGATAAGGGAATAAAAGCAGGCTGCCCGAGTCAGCAGTGGCAACCTACTGGGGTTCCCTTGTGAATTGTGGGTGCTTTGTTTGTTTTGCTCTTTGCAATAAATCTTGCTGCTGCTGAGTCTTTCAGTCTGCACCGCCTTAATGAGCTGTAACACTCACCACGAAAGTCTACAGCTTTACTCCTGAAGCCAGCGAGACCATAAACCCACTGGGAGGAATGAACAACTCCAGACACGCCACCTTAAGAGCTGTTAATACTCAGTTGGAAGGTCTGCAGCTTCATTCCTGAAGCCACCAAAACCACAAACCCACCAGAAAGGATAAACTTTGAACACGTCTGAATATCAGAAGGCACAAACGCTGGACACACCATCTTTAAGAATTGTAACACTCACTGCCTATCAGAAGGCACAAACCCCGGACACACCGTCTTTAAGAACTGTAACACTCACCGTGAGGGTCTGTGGCTTCCTTCTTGAGGTCAGTGAAGTCAGGAATCCACCAATTTTGGACACAACAGCATATGTCAAGGCTGTTTTTCTGGGTGGGGAAATACAAAAGAGACAGTTTTATTTTATTTTTTTATGTTTGCAAAGACTTCATCTCTGCCCACTGAGACCTGATGTGGCAGCTGCCACCAGCCTCCCCGGCAGGAAAGCCACATGCCAGAGGGCCGCTCTCTGAGATGCTCAAAGTCCATGTTCCTACACAGCTCTTTGGCAGCTGTCTCTCTATACTTGTACAACTGGAATTCAAATTCTTTGTACATCTGGTTATTCTGCTTCTCATTGAGATTGAGGGAAGGTGAGAGCACCTGGCAGCTGAGGAATTCTAGAAGAATCTTGTCAGGTCCAGAAGTCTTAGGAAAGCCGCCCTGGAGGTTATAATCTCAGTTACTCAGAAAGGGAAATCAGGAAAGAGAACGGGTGATTTGTTCTAGGTTTGGGTGTAAACCCTGCCTCCACCTTTGATCGGAAATTCCAAAAACCTGCAAATGCTCCTCAGCGCCACTCTGGGGCGTCAGAAGTCATCAGCTCAGGCGCTTTAGCCACTGCCAGTCTCCTTCCAGTCTAGAGAGGGAGACAACTGTCCTCAAACCTGTAGCCAATCAGGTCCCGCCCCTTTACTTGACCAAAGAAAAAAGGCCCAGAAGTCACAGTGAGGCCCATCCTGAGCCTTTGTGTGATTGACGGGCACTTCGTCCAATGAGAAGCAAGCCATAGTTATCCCTGGCGAGTGCAGCCAGCACGGCTGTTCCCTCCCCGGGTCTGCAAGGCCCCGCAAAGGGACTGACTTGTAAGCGGCAGGGTTGTTGAGTTGTTCAGTGCACCTGCCTTTCCTCAGCCCCTGGCCCTCGGAGGCCCTTCTGGAGACTCAGGGCCATGCCTCTCTCCTAGCTCCTGGTGCCCAGGTTGTCACTCCAACCTCTGCCTCCCCCTGCTCCCAGGTGTATGTTCCTGCCCCAATTTCCCTCTTTCTGTAAGGCCTCCAGTCATTGGATTAGGGCCCAAACGAATCCACTGTGCCCTCATTTCAGCTTGATTACCTCTGCAAAGACCCTGTAAGGTCATATTCACAGCTTCTGAGCAGACGTGAATTTGTGGGGACGCTATTCAACCCAGCACAGCCTGGAAGATCTGCTTTCCATTCTTTTCAGTTACTTATTCACCCAGCAAATTTTTTTCTTTTTTGTTTTGTTTTGAAACAGGGTCTTGCTCTGTTGCCCAGGCTGGAGTTGAGAGACAGGACTAGCTGGATTTCCTAGGCCGACTAAGAATTCCTAAGCCTAGCTGGGAAAGGTGACTGTACCTACCTTTAAACATGCGGCTTGTAACTGAGGTCACTCCCAACCAATCAGGTAGTAAAGAGGCCTCACTAAAATACAAATTAGGCCAAAGCAGGAGGTAAAGAAATAGTTAAATCATATATCACCTGAGAGCACAGGGGGAGGGACAATGATCAGGATATAAATCCAGGCATTCGAGCAGGGAGTGGCAACCCCCTTTGGGACCCCTCACATTGTATGGGAGCTCTGTTTTCACTGTTAAATCTTGCAACTGCACACTCTCCTGGCCCATGTTTGTTACTGCTCAAGCTGAGCTTTTGCTCACAGTCCACAACTGCTGTTCACCACCACTGCTGTTCGCCACCATCCCAGACCCACCATTGACTTCTGGCAGGGTGTCCGCTGTGTTTCTGATCAAGTGAGGTGCCCGTTGCTGCTCCCAATCGGGCTAAAGGCTCGCCATTGTTCCTGCATGGCTAAGTCCCGGGTTCGTCCTAATTGAGCTGAACACTAGTCACTGGGTGCCACAGTTCTCTTCCATGACCCACGGCTTCTAATAGAGCTACAACACTCACTGTATGGCCCAAGTCCTTGGAATCTGTGAGGCCAAGGACCCCAGGTCAGAGAACAAAAGGCTTGCTGCCATCTTGGGAGCAGCCCCACCCCATCTTGGGAGCTCTAAGAACAAAGACCCGCCCATAACAGAGTGAAGTGGTGTGATCACAGCTCACTGCAGCCTCAATCTCCTGGGCTCGAGCCACCCTCCCACCTCAGCCTCCTGAGTAGCTGGGATCACAGGTGCACGCCACCATGCCTGGATAATGTTTTAAAATAAAGCATAAGGAGGCTGTCAGTATGTTTGCCAGGCTGGTCTCAAACTCCTGGCTCAAGCAATCCTCCTTCCACAGCCTCCCAAAGTTCTGGGATTACTGGCATGAGCCACTGCTCAGGGCCTTTATTCAACAAATTTCTGTTCAGTGCCTGTCATGTGCCAGGCTGGGCAAGGTGCTGAAAATTGATTAGGAAGGCAGACAGTTCCTGTCCTCATAGACTCACTCACAGTCTAAGGGAAGACAGACAATTAAGCTAAGCATGCAGTGTGATGCAATTAGGGAGGGGCAGGGAGCTGTGAGAATAAACAGCAAGAAGATAGTGGTTATTGTCAGGCCTCTGAGCTGAAGCTAAGCCATCATATCCCCTGTGACCTGCACGTACACATCCAGATGGCCGGTTCCTGCCTTAACTGATGACGTTCCACCACAAAAGAAGTGAAAATGGCCTGTTCCCGCCTTAACTGATGACATTGTCTTGTGAAATTCCTTCTCCTGGCTCATCCTGGCTCAAAAGCTCCCCTGCTGAGCACCTTGTGACCTTCCCGCCTCCCCCCACCCCGCTCTGCCCGCCAGAGAACAAACCCCTTTGACTGTAATTTTCCTTTATCCACCCAAATCCTATAAAACGGCCCCACCCTTATCTCCCTTTGCTGACTCTCTTTTCGGACTCAGCCCGCCTGCACCCAGGTGAAATAAACAGCCATGTTGCTCACACACAGCCTGTTTGGTGGTTTCTTCACACGGCCGCGCATGAAATTTGGTGCCGTGACTCGGATCGGGGGACCTCCCTTGGGAGATCAATCCCCCATCCTCCTGCTCTTTGCTGTGTGAGAAAGATCCACCTATGACCTCAGGTCCTCAGACCGACCAGCCCAAGAAACATCTCACCAATTTCAAATCCGGTAAGCGGCCTCTTTTTACTCTCTTCTCCAACTTCCCTCACTATCTCTCAACCTCTTGCTCCTTTCAATCTTGGTGCCACACTTCAATCTCTCCCTTCTCTCAATTTCAATTCCTTTCATATTCTGGTGGAGACAAAGGAGACACGTTTTATCCATGGACCCAAAACTCCAGCGCTGGTCACAGACTGGGAAGGTAGCCTTCCCTTGGTGTTTAATCATTGCAGGGACGCCTCTCTGATTATTCACCCATGTTTCAAAGGTGTCAGACCACGCAGGGACGCCTGCCTTGGTCCTTCACCCTTAGCGGCAAGTCCCGCTTTTCTGAGGGAGGGGCAAGTACCCCTCAACCCCTTCTCCTTCACCCTTAGCGGTAAGTCCCGCTTTTCTATGGGGCAAGAACCCCCAATCCCTTATTTCCACACCCCGACCCCTTTCCCGCTTTTCTGGAGGGTAAGAACCCCCGAACCTCTTCCCTCCGTGTCTCTACTCTCTCTTTTCTCTGGGCTTGCCTCCTTCACTATGGGCAAGCTTCCACCTTCCATTTCTCCTTCTTCTCCCTAAGCCTGTGTCCTCAAGAACTTAAAACCTCTTCAACTCACACCTGACCTAAAACCTAAATGCCTTATTTTCTTCTGCAATGCCGCTTGACCCCAATACAAACTCGACAGTAATTCCAAATAGCCAGAAAATGGCACTTTGAATTTTTCCATCCTGCAAGATCTAAATAATTCTTGTCGTAAAATAGGCAAACGGTCTGAGGTGCCTGACGTCCAGGCATTCTTTTACACATCGGTCCCTTCCTAGTCTCTGTGCCCAGTGCAACTCATCCCAAATCTTCCTTCTTTCCCTCCCGCCTGTCCCCTCAGTCCCAACCCCAAGCATCGCTGAGTCTTTCTAATCTTCCTTTTCTACAGACCCATCTGACCTCTCCCCTCCTCGCCAGGCCGAGCTAGGTCCCAATTCTTCCTCAGCCTCCGCTCCTCCACCCTATAATCCTTTTATCACCTCCCCTCCTCACACCCGGTCCAGCTTACAGTTTCGTTCCGTGACTGGCCCTCCCCCACCTGCCCAGCAATTTACTCTTAAAAAGGTGGCTGGAGCTAAAGGCATAGTCAAGGTTAATGCTCCTTTTTCTTTATCCCAAATCAGATAGCGTTTAGGCTCTTTTTCATCAAATATAAAAACCCAGCCCAGTTCATGGCTCGTTTGGCAGCAACCCTGAGACGCTTTACAGCCCTAGACCCTAAAAGGTCAAAAGGCCGTCTTATGCTCAATATACATTTTATTACCCAATCTGCTCCCGATATTAAATAAAACTCCAAAAATTAAATTCCGGCCCTCAAACTCCACAACAGGATTTAATTAACCTCGCCTTCAAGGTGTACAATAATAGAAAAAAGTTGCAATTCCTTGCCTCCACTGTGAGACAAACCCCAGCCACATCTCCAGCACACAAGAACTTCCAAACGCCTGAACCTCAGCGGCCAGGCATTCCTCCGGAACCTCCTCCCCCAGGAGCTTGCTACAAGTGCCCGAAATCTGACCACCAGGCCGAGGAATGCCTGCAGCCCAGGATTCCTCCCAAGCCGTGTCCCATCTGTGCGGGACCCCACTGGAAATCGGACTGTTCAACTCACCTGGCAGCCACTCCCAGAGCCCCTGGAACTCTGGCCCAAGGCTCTCTGACTGACTCCTTCTCTGCTTAGCAGCTAAAGACTGACATTGCCCGATAGCCTCGGAAGCCCCGTAGACCATCACGGATGCCGAGCTTTAGGTAACCCTCACAGTGGAAGGTAAGTCCGTCCCCTTCTTAATCAATACGGAGGCTACCCACTCCACATTACCTTCTTTTCAAGGGCCTGTTTCCCTTGCCTCCATAACTGTTGTGGGTATTGACAGCCAGGCTTCTAAACCCCTTAAAACTCCCCAACTCTGGTGCCAACTTAGACAATACTCTTTTAAGCACTCCTTTTTAGTTATCCCCACCTGCCCAGTTCCCTTATTAGGCCGAGATATTTTAACCAAATTATCTGCTTCCCTGACTATTCCTGGACCACAGCCGCATCTCATTGCTGCCCTTCTTCCCAATCCAAAGCCTCCTTTGCGTCCTCCTCTTTTGTATTCCCCCCCACCTTAACCCACAAGTATAAGATACCTCTACTCCCTCCTTGGCGACCAATCATGCACCCCTTACCATCTCATTAAAACATAATCACCCTTACCCCACTCAATGCCAATATCCCATCCCACAGCATGCTTTGAAAGGAGTAAAGCCTGTTATCACATGCCTGCTACAGCATGGCCTTTTAAAGCCTATAAACTCTCCTTACAATTCCCCCATTTTACCTATCCTAAAACCAGACAAGCCTTACAAGTTAGTTCAGGATCTATGCCTTATCAACCAAATTGTTTTGCCTATCCACCCCATGGTACCAAACCATATACTCTCCTATCCTCAATACCTCCCTCCACAATCCATTATTCTGTTCTGGATCTCAAACATGCTTTCTTTACAATTCCTTTGCACCCGTCATCCCAGCCTCTCTTTGCTTTCACTTGGACTGACCCTGACATCCATTAGGCTCAGCAAATTACCCGGGCTGTACTGCTGCAAGGCTTCACAGACAGCCCCCATTACTTCAGTCAAGCCCAAATTTCATCCTCATCTGTTACCTGTCTCAGCATAATTCTCATAAAAACACACGTGCTCTCCCTGCTGATCATGTCTGATTAATCTCCCAAACCTCAATCCCTTACAAAACAACAACTCCTTTCCTTCCTAGGCATGGTTAGTGAGGTCAGAATTCTTACACAAGAGCCAGGACCGCACCTTGTAGCCTTTCTGTCCAAACAACTTGACCTTACTGTTTTAGCCTAGCCCTCAAGTCTGCGTGCAGCGGCTGCCGCTGCTTTAATACTTTTAGAGGCCCTAAAAATAACAAACTATGCTCAACTCACTCTCTACATTTCTCATAACTTCCAAAATTATTTTCTTCCTCATACCTGATGCATATACTTTCTGCTCCCTGGCTCCTTCAGCTGTACTCACTCTTTGTTAAGTCCCACAATTACCATTGTTCCTGGCCCGGACCTCAATCTGGCCTCCCACATTATTCCTGATACCACACCTGACCCCCATGACTGTATCTCTCTGATCCACCTGATGTTCTTCCCATTTCCCCACATTTCCTTCTTTCCTGTTTCTCACCCTGATCACGCTTGATTTATTGATGGCAGTTCCAGCAGGCCTAATCACCACACAGCAGCAAAAGCAGGCTATGCTATAGTACAAGCCACTAGCCCGCCTCTTAGAACCTCATTTCCTTTCCATTGTGGAAATCTATCCTCAAGGAAATAACTTCTCAGTGTTCCATCTGCTATTCTGCTACTCCTCAAGGATTCTTCAGGCCCCCTCCCTTCCCTACACATCAAGCTCAAGGATTTGCCCCCGCCCAGGACTGGCAAGTTAGCTTTACTCAACATGCACCGAGTCACAAAAACTAAAATACCTCTTAGTCTAGGTAGACACTTTCACTGGATAGGTAGAGGCCTTTCCTACAGGGTCTGAGAAGGCCACACAGTCATTTCTTCCCTTCTGTCAGACATAATTCCTCAGTTTAGCCTTCCCACCTCTATACAGTCTGATAACAGACCAGCCCTTATTAGTCAAATCAGCCAAGCAGTTTCTCAGGCTCTTAGTATTCAGTGAAACCTTTATATCCCTTACGGTCCTCCGTCTTCAGGAAAAGTAGAACGGACTAAAGGTCTTTTAAAAACACTTCACCAAGCTCAGCCACCAACTTAAAAAGGACTGGACAATACTTTTACCACTTTCCCTTCTCAGAAGTCAGACCTGTCCTCAGAATGCTACAAGGTACAGCCCATTTGAGCTCCTGTATAGACGTTCCTTTTTATTTGGTCCCAGTCTCATTCCAGACACCAGACCAACTTAGACTGTGCCCCAAAAAACTTGTCATCCCTACTATCTTCTGTCTAGTCATACTCCTATTCACCATTCTCAACTACTCATGCATTCCCTGCTCTTGTTTACACTGCTGGTTTACACTATTTCTCCAAGCCATCACAGCTGATATCTCCTGGTGCTATCCCCAAACTGCCACTCTTAACTCTTGAAGTAAATAAATAATCTTTGCTGGCAAGGCTATGCTGAATCTCCTTAGGTACTCTAATTAGATGTCCTAGGTCCTCCCAATTCTTAGACCTTTAATACCTGTTTTTCTCCTTCTCTTATTCCGTTTAGTTTTTCAATTCATACAAAACCGTATCCAGGCCATCACCAATAATTCTAAATGACAAATGTTTCTTCTAATAGTCCCACAGTATCACCCCTTACCACAAAATCTTCCTTCAGCTTAATCTCTCCCACTCTAGGTTCCCACGCCGCCCCTAATCCCGCTCGAAGCAGCCCTGAGAAACATCACCCATTATCTCTCCACACCACCCCCAAAAATTTTCACCGTCCCAACACTTTACCACTATTTCATTTTATTTTTCTTATTAATATAAGAAGACAGGAATGTCAGGCCTCTGAGCCGAAGCTAAGCCATCATATCCCCTGTGACCTGCACGTACACATCCAGATGGCCGGTTCCTGCCTCAACTGATGACATTCCACCACAAAAGAAGTGAAAATGGCCTGCTCCCGCCTTAACTGATGACATTGTCTTGTGAAATTCCTTCTCCTGGCTCATTCTGGCTCAAAAGCTCCCCTGCTGAGCACCTTGTGACCCCCACTCTGCCCACCAGAGAACAAACCCCCTTTGACTGTAATTTTCCTTTATCCACCCAAATCCTATAAAATGGCCCCACCCTTATCTCCCTTCGCTGACTCTCTTTTCGGACTCAGCCCACCTGCACCCAGGTGAAATAAACAGCCATGTTGCTCACCCAAAGCCTGTTTGGTGGTCTCTTCACACGGACGTGCATGAAAGTTATAGTTTCACAACGTGAATATACCAAACAATCACCTGAATTACACAACCTAAAAATGCAGCCAACATCTTATCTGTCTTCTTGGGAAATAAGGAGAATCTTTTAAAATGCTTTAGTACCTAAGACCCACTGTAATAAAGATGCAAAAAATGGAATCCTCCCACCCCATCACACATCACTACACACGTCTAACAGGTTATCTTACATGTCAGGCAGGAAGAAAAAAAACCAACACATTATCATTTAGCATTCATCAGCTACACTCATTTAATTAACTTGTGCTTCAGAAGCTTACCAAGATAGAGCTGGTGGCATAACAGAGGTGCAATTAATGCTACCATCTAGGACACTGTCCAAAGAAACACACAAGATTGGGGGAAGGGGGAATAAGTCACCTGCTTCTGAGACGGATCATTGTCTTCAGCCTCAAAAAAAGATGACATCTCTGTAGTTAGCATTTCTAATACCATAGTTCCATAATTTCCTGATACACTCTCAAAAGCAGAACTCTGGCTTATGTGAATAACAGACTATTGCCAGGGACCCACCCAAATGCCCTTTATCAGCCAGCAAAACACTACCCAGGCTAATGGCTGACACCTGTGACCTTCTCTGGAGGCTCCTGGAGAGCCTGTCACCCTGACGTGCTTGGGACATTCCACCCCATCCCCACTCCTGGGGAGTTGATGTCTCACTTAAGGGGTACAAAAGGGGACAGGACAATTCTGTGTTGGGATCTATGCTTGAGATCTTGGCAGGTCAAGCCAAGCCTTTACCTGAGACTTCACTCGATTATCCTTTTCTTCTCTCCCTTATAGATGCTTCCTGATGAGCCCTCCCTCAGTAAACCACATGCCCCAAATTCCTGGCTCAGGCTCTACTTCTGGGAGAGGACACCTAATACGAAGGCCTTTCTAGGTGGTTTTAACTCACACAGTTGCCTCTAATTCTGGGAATAAGCCCAACCCTGAAACAGCCGAAACAGACATCCCTTTCTTATATATGGTCACATGGTATTATCTAGTCTCTCTTTTTTTTTTTTTTTTTTTTTTGAGACAGAGTCTCGCTCTGTCCCTAGGCTGGAGTGCAGTGGCACAATCTTGGCTCACTGCAAGCTCTGCCTCCCGGGTTCATGCCATTCTCCTGCCTCAGCCTCCCAAGTAGCTGGGACTACAGGCGCCCCCCCACCACGCCCAACTAATTTTTTGTGTTTTTAGTAGAGACGGGGTTTCACCGTGTTAGCCAGGATGGTCTTGGTCTCCTGACCTCATGATCTGCCTGCCTCAGCCTCCCAAAGTGCTGGGACTACAGGTGTGAGCCACCACGCCTGGCCATCTAGTCTCTCTTTCTTGCTATGAAAACTCTACCAGAAATACATTTAGAACTGACTTTCTTAGAAGCCTAGTTCTCTTATAAATTTGAAATAAAATGTGGACAGGAACATATAATCTGTTCAATAAAAGAGGCTGCCATAAAGTATAGCTCCCACTCTGGCCAGATGCGGTGGCTCACGCCTGGAATCCCAGCACTTTGGGAGACAGAAGGGGGCAGATCACCTGAGGTTAGGAGTTTGAGACCAGCCTGGCCAACATAACGAAACCTGTCTCTTCTAAAAATACAAAGAATTAGCCGAGCTTGGTGGCAGGCACCTATAATCCCAGCTACTTGGGAGGCTGAGGCAAGAGAATCACTTGAACCTGGGAGGCAGAGATTGCAGTGAACCGAGATAGTGCCACTACATACTCCAGCCTGGGTGATATAGTGAGACTCCATTTCAAAAAAAAAAAAAAAAAAAAAAAAACATAGCTCCCACTCTGGCCAGGTATGGAGGCTCACACCTGTAATCCCAACATTTTGGGAGGCTGAGGTGGGAGGATTGCTTGAGACCAGCCTGGGCAATATGGCAAAACCCCTTCTCTATTATTTAAAAAAAAAAAAAATTAGGTGGGGCACAGTGGCTCACACATGTAATCCCAGCACTTTGGGATGCCAAGGCAGAAGGATCATTTGAGGTCAGGAGTTCGAGACCAGCCTGGCCAACATGGTGAAACCCCGTCTCTACTAAAAATACAAAAATTAGCTGGGCATGGTGGCGGGCACATGTAATCCAAGCTACTCAGGAGGCTGAGGCGGGAGAATTTCTTGAGCCTGGGAAGCAAAGGTTGTAGTGAGCAGAGACTCCGTCTCAAAAAAAAAAAAAAAGTAAAAAAAAAATTATTTAAAAAATCATAGTTCCCATCTCTGTCTCTCTTTTTTTTTTTTTTTTTTTTTGAGATGGAGTCTTGCTCTTGCCACCCAGGCTGGAGTGCAATAGTGTGATCTTGGCTCGCTGCAACCTCTGCCTCCTGTGTTCAAGCAATTCTCCTGCCTCAGCCTCCTGAGTAGCTGGGATCACAGGTGTGCACCACCACGCCTGGCTAATTTTTGTATTTTTAGTAGAGACGGAGTTCCACCATCTTAACCAGGCTGGTCTTGAACTCCTGACCTCAAGTGATCTGCCCACCTCAGCCTCCCAAAGTGCTGGGATTACAGGTGTGAGTCACCGCGCCCAGCCCCATCCTTTTTCTTGACTCCTTCCAGCTTAGACCAAAAACCCCAAGTGCAAGTTCAGGCTTCCAAACTCTACGGCCTCTGATATGGTTTGGATGTGTGTCCCCTCCAAACCTCATGTTGAAACATGATTCCTAATGTTAGATGTGGGGCCTGATGGGGGGTGATTCGATCATGGGGTAGATCCTTCATGAATGGCTCAGCAACATCCCCTTGGTGATAAGTGAGTTTTGCTCAGTTAGTTCATGCAAGGTCTGGTTGTTTAAGAGTCTGGGACCTCTCCCTTCTCTCTATTGCTCTCTCTCCAAGTGACATGCCTGCTCCCACTTCACCTTCCGCCATGAATAAGAGCTCCCTGAGGCCTCACCAGAAGCCAAGCAGATGTGGGCACCATGCTTCCTGTACAGCCTGCAGAACAATGAGCCAATTAAACCTCTTTTCTTTATAAATTATCCACTGTCAGGTATTTATAGCAATGTAAAAACAGACTAACAGCCTCCAACTATGTCCTCTTCCCAAGGAGTGCCCTTGCAATGATTCAAAGCCTGGGCCAGGAATTGAGTGTTTTACCGGTGGGTAAACCATGGCTTATCCATTAAACGTTGCAGCATAATTTATCTTTCAACAACCCCAGTCTCTCTTTCTCTTCCGCCTTTCAGAGTCACTGGTGCAAGGGCTCACACAGTTACTCACGGATTTAACATTATTTTTCCTCTTTTCTCACATGCCTGGGACTTAGACAACTAATTCAGCTGTTTTAGAGGATTTAAAAGGTTAAAGTACAGATCTAACACGTCTCGCAATTCTCTGCTTCTGGGTCAGCAGTTTTTTTGGGTTTTTTGTTTTTTTTTTGAGACAAAGTCTTGTTCTCTCGCCAAGGCTGGAATGTAATGGCACGATCTGGGCTCACTGCAACCTCTGCCTCCCAGGTACAAGTGATTCTCCTGCCTCAGCCTCCCGAGTAGCTGGGATTACAGGTGCCTGCCACCACACCTGGCTAATTTTTGTATTTTTAGTAGAGACGGGATTTCGCCATGTTGGCCAGGCTGGTCTCAAACTCTCGACCTCAGGCGGTCCGCCTGCCTTGGCCTCCCAAAATGCTGGGATTACAGGTGTGAGCCACCATGCCCAGCCTAGGATCAGCAGTTTTTGATCTTGTTCTTTTTTGCAGTGAGGAGTAGGCAAAGGGTCCAAAAGTTGCTCCTGGGTCGAGGGTGCATTGGAGAGATCAAGAGAGATTCAGAAGCAGGACAGATATTTGTGTTAGTAATGTTACAGGCACTTCAACCAGAGTGACTCCATCTTGAATAGGGACTGGGTAAAATGAGGTTGAGACCTGCTGTACTGCATTCCTAGGGGGTTAGACATTCTTAGTCATAGGGTGAGATAGGAGCTCGCAAGATACAGGTCACAAAGACCCTGCTGATAAAACAGGATGCAGTAAAGAAGCCAGCCAAAACCAAGATGGCAACAAATGTAACCTCTAATAGTCCTCACTGCCCATTATATGCTAATTATAATGCATTAGCATGCTAAAGTCACTCCCACCGGCACCATGAAAGCTTAGAAATGCCATGGCAACGTTCAGAAGTTACCTTATATGGTCTAAAAGGGGGAGGAAACCTCATTTCCAAAAAATCCCCACCCGTTTCCTGGAAAACATAATAATCCACTCCTCGTTTAGCATATGATCAAGAGATAACCATAAAAATAGCCACCCACTGGGAGGCGGAGGCGGGTGGATCACAAGGTCAGGAGATTGAGACCATCCAGGCTAACACCATGAAACCCCATCTCTACTAAAAATAAAAATAAATAAAAAAAATAGCCACCCAGCAGCTCTTGGGGCTGCTCTGCCTATGGAATAGCTATTCTTTTGTTTCTTTACTTCTCTAACAAACTTGCTTTCACTTTACTCTGGACTCACCCTAAATTCTTTATTGCATGAGATCCCAGAACCCTCTCTTGGGGTCTGGATTGGGACCCCTTTCTGGTGATAGTAATGGAAAGTCTAAAGTGTACTCAGAGGATAGTGTTGCATTCATGCTGGTCTCCATGGCAGTCCTCACATGTCCTGTTGACTGTATGTATTTATTTTTGAGAGAGGGTCTCACCCCATCACCCAGGCTGGAGTGCAGTGGCGCTATTGCAGCTCTCTGCAGCCTTGAACTCCCAGGCTCAAACGATCCTCCCACCTTAGCTTCCTGCATATGTGCCACCACACCCAGTTAACTTTTTTTCTCTCTTTTTGGTAGAGACAGGGTCTCACGATGTCGCCTAGGCTTGTCTCGAACTCTTGGGCTCAAGCGATCGGCCCACCTCGGCCTCCCAAAGTACTGGGATTACAGGCATAAGTCACTATTCCCTGCTTTGACTGGTATTTAAAGGAAAGCTTAAAGTCAAACATTGTGTTCACAGAAGGAGAAAAGTACACTGTACCAAGCTTGAGGATTTATACTTATCTACAAAATTGTTTGCAAATCGGTTTATACAAAAATGTGGCATTTTCTGGATTATCACATACTGGGTGGGCACAAAGAATAGTTCTGTGTTGGCACTGGGGAACAGGGAACTAGAGGCCTGACCCCGACCCCCTTCACATACACAAACACACACACACACTCACACACACACACTCACGCACACACCAGCTTCCTCAGAATCTCAAGGCAGGTTGGGTGTGGTGGCTTATGCCTGTATCCTAGTATTTTGGGAGGCCAAGGCAAACGGATTCCTTGAGCTCAGGAGTTCAAGACCAGTCTGGGCAACATGGCAAAACCCCATCTCTACTAAAAGTACAAAAATTAGCCAGGTGTGGTGGTGCGCATCTATAGTCCTAGCTACTCAGGAGGCTGAGGTGGAAGGATAGCTTGAGCCCAGGAGTTCAAGACTGCAGTGAGCCATGATCACGGCGCCACTGTACTCCAAGCTGGGTGACAGAGTAAGACCCTGTCCCCCCAGCCCCACCTAAAAAAAAACTCAAGGCAAATAGCACACCCAAGGTGATGCACGATATGGTGTCTACCCTTAGCTGAGCGCGAGGGCAGGAAGAAACAGGGTCTGCACGCCCTGCCATTTTGCACAGACACAGCACTCCTGAGCGTAGGAGGAGATGAAAGACAAACTCTTGACACAGCCAACCCCAGGCATGGGTGGAGAATTCCTCTCTTACAGATTCATCGGACTCGTCTAACCTTGCTCGTTGCTTCGGGGGTATTAGAAAACAGCAATGAGTATCATTGTCTCAGAGTCAGGGGCTAGTGAAATCAGGACCATGTCAGGCGATACAATTTGGGTACAGAAGAGAGGCTTGGCAAGAAAGGGGTTTGGGCCAAGGGAATAGGTAGGTTTCTCACTTAGGCAGACACCATTTAGACAACCAGAGCAGAATCATTCATCACAGTGCTTAGCTGGGCGTGGAGACACACATCACTTCTGGCTGGGGGCATTTGTGAATGTATAAATATACCCACGCGTCTCACAAGAAACTTGTCCTCTTGCCAAATTGTTCTCCAGCTTCTCATGTTAGAAACAAGAGAGAGTCCAATGTTAGGTTAATTCTCTTTCCCTTCTACGGAAATGCGTTTGCCCTTGGAAGCTTGCAACACTTCCTTTTTTTTTTTTTTTTTGAAATGAAATTTCCCTCTTGTCACCCAGGCTAGAGTACATTGGGCCAATCTCAGCTCACTGCAACCTCCACCTCCCGGGTTCAAGCGATTCTCCTGCCTCAGTCTCCCAAGTAGCTGGGATTATAGGTGTCTGCCACCATGCCCAGCTAATTTTTATATTTTTAGTAGAGAAGGGGTTTCGCCATGTTGGTCAGGCTGGTCTTGAACTCCTGACCTCAGGTGATCCGCCCACCTTGGCCTCCCAAAGTGCTGGGATTACAGGCATGAGCCACCGCACCCGGCCCAAGGATGCTTATTATTATTATTATTATTATTATTATTGAGATAGAATCTTGCTCTGTCACCCAGGCTGGAGTGCAATGGTGCGATCTCAGCTCACTGCAACCTCTGCCTCCCGGGTTCAAGTGATTCTCCTGCCTCACACTCCTGAGTAGCTAGGATTACGGTGCGCACCACCACACCCAACTAATTTTTGTATTTTTAGTACAGACGAGTTTTCACCATGTTGGCCAGGCTGGTCTCAAACTCCTGACCTCAGGTGATCGGCCTGCCTTGGCCTCCCAAAGTGCTGGGATTACAGGCGTGAGCCATTGCGCCCGGCAAGGACACTTATAATTGTTTGATTAAAGTTCCCACCTGGTCCTTTCCTCATTCTCCTTCAGTAGGAGACAGTTCTGGGTGTCTCCTTTCCTTTGGTCTCCCTTCCTCTGGTTGTGCAGTCCTCCCAAATTAGCCATTCTCTTTTAACCTGCTTACAGCTTTGTATTTGCCCAGCAACCAGGTCCAGCATCTAGAGTTTTTCAAGAAGTATGTGATGGCCAGGCACGGGAGCTCATGCCTGTAATCTCTTTGGGTGTCTGAGGCAGACAGATCGCTTGAGCCCAGGAGTTTGAGACCAGCCTGGGCAACATGGCGAAACCCTATCTGCACAAAAAAATACAAAAAACTAGCTGAGTGTAGTGGTGCATACCTTAGTCCCAGCTACTCAGGAGGCTGAGGCAGGTGGATGATTGAGCCTGGGAGGTCAGTGAGCTGGGATGGCACCGCTGCACTCCAGCCTGGGCGACAGAGTAAGAGCTTGCTTCAGAAAAAACAAAAAACAAAAAAAAAAAACAAAACAGAGAAGTGATATAAGAAATAACAGCTTCCATCTTTGTGGGTAAGGGATGAACAAACAGCACATCATGAGGCACCTGTTGGAGCCCAGGAAGAAAATGTCACCACTCCTGGGGCTCCCCAGGTGTAAGCAGCAGCTCTACCCTAAAGACAGGGCCCAAGAACAACTTCACTACCTGTGAAGCTGCCCTCCAAGTCTTCCAAAATCTGAAGGTTTAAAAGAATGACCATGTATTTGCTTATGATTTTACAGATCAGCAATTTGTGCTGGGATCAGCTTCCTTCTGCTCTGGCTTGGGGTTACCCATGCAGCTGCCGACATTCTGCAGGTGGGTAAACAGACTCAGCCTCTTGTTAGGAGGAGTGACAAAGTCACATTGCAAAGGGCTGTGCATTCAATGCCATCTTTGTCAGCAATCCAACACATCTGGTGACACCAGATTTGCAGGCAGAGTCCAGCTCTTCCCCTGTCCAATGCCTGGCAGTGTAGTTCTTCCTCCACAAAGAGCCCAGTCTTTCTCAAGGCCTAGGTCTGTCCCCAACACATCACTTTTCAGTCTGTTCAGGACTGTATCAGCCAACGTTTGTATAGTGCTTCCTGTTTCCAGAACTGTTGCAAGCACATTTAATGAGCACAGCAATCCTCTTGAAGTTGGTACTATCATCATTTCTGTGCTATAGATGAGGAAACTGACGCATAGAGAGTCTAAGTAATTTCCCCTGGGTTCACACGGTTAACAAATAGAGCTGAGATTGTTGGGCTTTGGAGTCCCCTCTCTTAAGTGCTCTACTGCCGTTTGGAGTGTGTGAAGCTCAGAGATGTTCGAAGTGTCCTCTTCCTTGGCATTCCTCCCCACTTCCTTTTTTTATTCCAAGGGAACCCAGCTACGGGATTCTCGGGGAACAGTGGCTGGAGCAGATGTCCCTGACTCTGTCTGTCCCCACAACTGCCTCTCTGAAGTAAGACAGCAGCCAGGGAGGCAATCACACAGGACTTGGCAAGTACATCTGAGATCCAGGGCTCCCTGGGGAAAGGAGCAGGTGAGGACTTGCTTTGTTTTGGTGCTGAGGTGAGAGATTGTCACTAGGGACCAGCAGCAAAAAGGAGAGCTTGCCTGGTCTTGCATTCTGGGGGAAAGTGCAGCCTCTGGGAGTTTCCCAAGAGGACTCAGCCAGAGTAGATTGGAGGCTGGGGAGGCATGCACAGTTTCAGAGTACCAGCTGGAGGTCACTGGGTGGCACTGCCCTCACCACACACCCACGCCTACACACACATAAAGTCTCAGTTACGTCCTCTGTTTCTTAATCCAGTTCTGAGTGCTTTCATAAGGTATAAAGTTGACTTCAAATAAGTGGTCATGTGACCAGGCAGTGAGACTACATCCAAGATCTTGCTGCTGGAACTGTCCATTTGGGACAACGCCATTGTATTGCTGCCACCAGGGATCTGCCACCAGCCCAGTGGACTCTTGATCTATCCATGCACAGTTGTAAGAAACTCTGTTTATCTTGGCCAGGCGCGGTGGCTCACGCCTGTAATCCCAGCACTTTGGGAGGCCAAGGCGGGCGGATCACGAGGTCAGGAGATCGAGACCATCCTGGCTAACACAGTGAAACCCCATCTCTACTAAAAATACAAAAAATTAGCCAGATGTGGTGGTGGGCGCCTGTAGTCCCAGCTACTTGGGAGGCTGAGGCAGGAGAATGGCGTGAACCCGGGAGGCGGAGCTTGCAGTGAGCCGAGATCGTGCCAGTGCACTCCAGCCTGGGTGACAGAGCGAGACTCCGTCTCAACAACAACGACAAAAAGAAACTCTGTTTTATCTCTGCATCTCTGTATCAATCTCTCAATATTCAAAGTCCCAGGAGCACCCAGGTGGCGGACTCTGCCCTGTGCTTGTGTTCTGGCTGCCATGAGCAGGGAGAGGGCCATCTGTCCTTCAGCTTCCCTGGCAGGAGAGGGACCCTTCCCTCTATGTATTCAACAATTGCAAACATCATAATGTTGTGCAACGGTCACCACTGTCCATCTCCAGAACTCTTTCATCATGGATAACAGAAACTTTGTACTCATTAAACACTAGGCTAGGCACTGTAGCTCATGCCTATAATCCCAGTACTTTGGGAAGCCGAGGCAGGTGGATCGCTTGAGCCCAGGAGTTCGAGACCAGCCCGGCCAACATGGCGAAACCCTGTCTCTACTAAAAATCCATAAAAATTAGCCAGGCATGGTGGTGTGTGCCTGTGGTCCCAGCTACTCCTTGGGAGGCTGAGGTGGGAGGATCACTTGAGCCTGGGAGGTTGAGGCTACAGTGAGCTGTGGTTGTACCCTTGCATTCCAGCCTACAGAACAACAGAGCAAGACTCCATCACTAAAAAATAAATAAATAAATAATTTTTTTGTTTTGAGGTGGAGTCTCGCTCTGTTACTCAGGCTGGAGTGCAGTGGCGCAATCTTGGCTCACTGCAACCTCCACCTCCCTGGTTCAAGCAATTCTCCTGCCTCAACCCCCTGAGTAGCTGGGATTACAGGCACGCGCCACCACACCCAGCTAATTTTTGTATTTTTAGTAGAGACGGGGTTTCACCATGTTGCTCAGGCTGGTCTCGAACTCCTGACCTCGTGATCCGCCCGCCTCAGCCTCCCAAAGTGCTGGGATTACAGGCGTGAGCCACTGCTCCCGGCCAAAAATACATAAATTTAAAAGTGAATTTAGCAAAATCTCAATACACAGGTAATTAAACAAACCATTGCATTTCTATATGTCAGCAATGAAAAAATAAAGAAATGAAATTTTAAAAACAAGGTTGTTTACAATAACATCAAAAAGCACCAAACAGAGGGCGGGTGCAGGCTCGGAATCGTTCCCATGGCCTCCCCGGTTGGAGCCCGGCGAGCCGCGCGCAGAGGAAGGTAGAATTAGAAGATCATGTGACGTTGGAGTAGGGGGATTTATCTTGGTGACTTTGGGATGCTGGTTTCACTGGAGGTATAATTATGCAAAGCAAAGAATCCAGGAAAGAATTGCCAGAGAAGGAATGAAAACTAAGATCTATGAAAGTACTCACCTTGAGCCTGAAAGAAAAGAAACCAACAGCAACAGCGGCAATCGAACAATCTTTTTTTTTTTTTTTTTGAGACAGAGTCTCCCTCAGTCGCCCAGGCTGGAGTGCAGTGGCTCGATCTCCGCTCACTGCAAGCTCCGCCTCCTGGGTTCACACCATTCTCCTGCCTCAGCCTCCCGAGTAGCTGGGACTACAGGCACCCGCCAACACGCCCGGCTAATTTTTTGTATATTTTAGTAGAGACTGGGTTTCACTGTGTTAGCCAGGATGGTCTCGATCTCCTGACCTCGTGATCCGCCCACCTCGGCCTCCCAGAGTGCTGGGATTACAGGCATGAGCCACCGCACCCGGCCAATCGAACAATCTTGAGCATAGAGAACCAGACCCCCTGAAGTCAGCATGAACAAAGCTAAGATCAACCACATAAGACATTTTCTGTACAATAAGTTCTTAATCAGTAAATAAAGTATGTTTAAGTTGAAAAAAAAAAGGACCAAACGCCTAGGTATACATTTACGGAAAAATGAGCACAATTGCATACTGAAAACTATGAAATATTATTGAGAAATTAACCCAAATACATGGAACTATATATAATGTTTCTGGATATCCCATTTACTCACATTAACCTATAATGTGATCCCAACCAAATCCCAAGAGGATTCTTGTAGAAATAACAAGCTGATTCTAAAACATTTGGAAATGCAAAAGGCCAAGAATAGCCAAGGCAATACTGAAGAAATCCCACAAAGCTAGAGGGCTTACATCACACATATCTAGATGTTTACGTAGCTAAAGTAATTAAGGCAATGTGGTATTGCCACGAAGATAGACTGACCCAAGGAAAGCAGTAGCGTCCAGACAAGATGAAGAAAACTAAGAGAATTGTCCCCAGAAGAACTGCCCTGAAAGAATAACTAAAGGAAGCTCTTCAAACAAGAAGGAAATGATAAAAGAAGAAAACATGGAACATGGGGAATAAAGAAAACAATGGAGCCGGGCACGGTGGCTCACGCCTGTAATCCCAGAACTTTAGGAGGCCAAGGCGGTGGATCACTTGAGGCCAAGAGTTTGAGACCAGCCTGGCCAACGTGGTGAAACCCCATCTCTACTAAAAATACAAAAATTATCCGGGTGTGGTGATGCGCACCTGTAATCCCAGCTACTCGGAAGGTTGAGGTGGGAGAATCGCTTGAACCCAGGAGGCAGAGGTTGCAGTGAGCTGAGATCATGCCACTGCACACCAGCCTGGGTGACAGAGTGAGACTCTGTCTCAAAAAACAAACAAACAAGAAACAAAAACAGAATGCTAAAAGCAAAATAATCCACAGGAAGGCAGGAGAAAAAGGTGATGGTGGGGCAGGTGGAGGGTGGAGGGAAGAAACAGCAAGCCAGGCAAAGAGGAATGCAGGAACAAGAATGGGGCGAGACAGCAACATGCACGTGTGGGGCCTACAAGACAGTAGGTGATGCTGTTGCAGAAAATATAACGCAGGAATCTTACTAGAGCAGCAGGCGAGGTCCAGCTCATTGGGAGCCCTGAATGAGAGGCATCAGAGCTTGGGCTTATTTTCTAGATGCTGGGCCTGAGGATAAAATTCAACTTGTGAATTCCCTGAGAGAATATTGTTTTTCAAAATTGGTAGTCCCCAGCTACTCTCCTGCTATTTCATCTATGCAGAGTCAGCCACTTTCAAATCTTCCAGCTGAGCCTTTGGCATTTACCTCCATACTTCGAAATTACATGTGTGCGTTGACAATTATGTTTTAGATTATCTACTGATGTCTCCCAGGGAAGATGAGGATCCGGCTCCCGGCCCTGCCCCACCCTCCCACACGTGCACATTTCCTTCGTGCGCATTTCCTACACGCATTTTTCCTCTGCTCTCACTCAACAACAATCAACACAGAAGACTTCTGTGACCAGATGTGTGCAGATCTCTCCCCACCAACAAGCAAGCAATCAATTCTGCAGCGGACACCAGCTGGGTGTCCTCTAATTCAGTTCACTTCTGAGACCATCTGCCTGGAGACAGCATCAGATCACGGGTTGAGGGCTCAGTCCCACAAGACTGCTCCCTCCCACTTCCAATTCCCATCACAACCCCCAGGGGTTGTATTACCTGTGCTACTGACTAACCAGCTATAAATTTGGGTTCCCATGACTCACTCCTCAAGTTCAATTAAATTGCTAGAGTGGCTCACAGAGGCAGGAAACACTTATGTTTACCAGTTTAATTGTAAAGGATATCACAATAGATACAGATGAAGAAATGCATAGGGCAAGGTATGGGGAAGGGACACGGAGCTTCCATGCCCTTCCTGGGCACCCTGCCCTCCTGGAACCTCCACATGCTCCGCTATCCAGAAGCTCCCCAAACTCTGTCTTCTTGGGCCTTCTATGAAGGCTTCATTGGATAGGCACGTTTGACGACCATGTAGAAATGAAATTAAACAAAAATGGTTTGGCCGGGCACAGTGGCTCACACCTGTAATCCCAGCACTTTGGGAGGCCAAGGCAGGTGGATCAACTGAGGTTGTGAGTTTGAGACCAGACTGGCCAACATGGTGAAACCCCATCTCTACTAAAAATACAAAAATAGCTGAGGGTGGTGGCGTGCACCTGTAATCCCAGCTACTTGGGAGGCTGGGGCAGTAGAGTCGCTTGAACCCAGGAAGTGGAGGTTGCAGTCAGCCAAGATCGCGCCACTGCACTCCAGCCTGGGCAACAAAAGGGAAACTCGGTCTCAAAAAAAAAATTAGTTTCTCATTTATGATAAAATAACATTTTTTTCAAAATGTTGACATTTTCAAGAAGTTAAAAAAAAAGTCTTCCCATTAATGAGTTTATAAAAAAAAATAAAAAAGAAACTTCTTAAACCCTGAAAAGCAGTAGGCTCTAATTTCGTGAATCTCAAGTGCTAATAATCCATTTTCTGACTGATCTAGAATATCCGGTTCATATTCAAATTTAAGCCATCAACTGTATTTTCTTTTTCCAAACTCGGTTTCTACTCAGCTTCAATTCAATGCATAAATTTGTCTTTTTATAAACTCTTGAAATACAACTGCAACAATTTTCATCATTGCTTTTTTTCATAAAATAATCAATCATCTAAAAATGGTTTTGATTGAAATGACAAAAACAGCCTCTGACACATAATTAGAACATCTAATACATTTTGATTAGGAACTTGCTCGACATTCATGCCAGTTTCAGATACTGAGAAATAAATTGATTTTAGTAAAAATATGTTTTTACAAAATGCTTACATGTGGTTGTTTTAGAACATAGAGTACTCGAAGTTTTGATCTCTTGGTTTTGCAAATCCGTAATCCATAGTTCATCTTATGTGAAAAGCATGTATATATACTTTTAAAGACTTTGATTGAAGTTAAGGATAACCTTATAGTTTTGAAATATCTAATGAAGCATATTTCAGCTAAAAAGAAAAATTTAGGTTTTTGTTAGGGAAAATTTCGAATATATACAAAAGTAGAGAGAATACTGTAATGCACCCTCATATCCCCATTATACAGCCCCAACAATGAGCCACACTCATAGCCAATTTGTTTCATCTGTGTCCCCATCCACTCTCCACTTCCGGCCCAGACTTGGTTATTTTTAAAGAATTCCATGTATCATATTCGTTTGTAAATATTCAGTATGTATTATTAACAATAAGGACACTTTTAAAAAATAACCACAATGCTACTATCACACATTTTCTTTCTTTCTTTTCTTTTGAGACGGAGTCTCATTCTGTCTCACAGGCTGGAGTGCAGTGGCGTGATCTTGGCTCACTGCAACTTCTGCCTCCTGGGTTCAAGCGATTCTCCCGTCTCAGCCTCCTGAGTAGCTGGGATTACAGGTGCCCGCCACCCACCCCAGACTAAATTTTGTATTTTTAGTAGAGACAGGGTTTTGCCATATTGGCCAGGCTGGTCTCAAACTCCTGACTTCAGGTGATCTGCCCGCCTTGGCCTCCCAAAGTGCTGGGATGACAGGTGTGAACCACTGCACCTGACCTCTTTCTTTTTAAAAATAGAGATGGAGTCTCACTAGGTTGCCCTGGCTGGTCTCAAACTCCTGGGCTCAAGATATCATCTTGCCTCAGCCTCCCAAAGTGCTGGATTACAGTGTGAGCCACCGCACCTAGCCACACATTTTAAAATTTAACAATTCCTTAGATTTATCAAACATCCAGATCAATTTTCCTGATTCAAAAAATAGAATTTTAAGATGACAAATCAATGAGGAAGTCAACATTAAATTAAAAACCATTGCGGCCGGGCGCGGTGGTTCACGCCTGTAATCCCAACACTTTGGGAGGCCGAGGCAAGTGGATCACTTGAAGTCAGGAGTTCGAGACCAGCCTGGCCAACACGGTGAAACCCTATCTCTACTAAAAATACAAAAATTAGCCGGGTGTGGTGGCAGGTGCCTGTAATCCCAGCTACTCTGGAGGCTGAGGCAGGAGAATCGTTTGAGCCCGGGAGGTGGAGGTTGCAGTGAGCTGAGATTGCGCCACTGCACTCCAGCCTGGGCAATACAGTGAGACTGTTTAAAAAAAAAATTGCAAAAGATGAACTGCCAGCATGAGGAACTCTATAGCCCCACTTTCTAGTGAAAGTGGACTCCAGCCTGGTCAACGTGGTGAAACCCTGTCTCTACTAAAAATACAAAAATTAGCCAGGTGTGGTGGCAGGTGCCTAGACACTTCTAAGTAAACAGAAAGTAAGAGGATTTATTGCTAGCAGACACACATTACAAGAAATACTAAAGGAATCTTCAGGCTGAAACAAGATTCAAATACACATGAGACAAAAAAAAAAAAAAACAACTCTGGTAAAGGAAATTCTGTAATTATAAAAAGTATAATTTTATAATTATATATTATATAATTGTATTTACATACAGTCATCCCTTATTATCCATGGGGGATTGGTTCCAGGACTGCCCGTATAACCAAACCAAATCCACACATACTCAAGTCCCATAGTTAGCCCTGAAAAACCCATGAGAAGTAGGCCCTCTGTGTCTGCAAGACCCTGTCTCTGCAAAAATTAAAACAAAAATAAATTAGATGGGTATAGTGGCACATGCCTATAGACCTGGCTACTTGGGAGGCTAAGGCAGGAGGATCGCTTGAGCCCAGGAGTTTAAGACTGCAGGAGCCAGCTGGGCACGGTGGCTCACGCCTGTAATCCCAGCACTTTGGGAGGCTGAGGCGGGCAAATCATGAGGTCAGGAGATCAAGACCATCCTGGCTAACATGGTGAAATCCCATCTCTACTAAAAATACAAAAACTTAGCTGGGCATGGTAGCACACGCCTGTGGTCCTAGCTACTTGGGAGGCTGAGGCAGGAGAATCAAGGCAGCTTGAACTCAGGAGGTGGAGGTTGCAGTGAGCCAAGATCATGCCACTGCACTCCAGCTTGGACAACAGAGTGAGACTCCGTCTCAAAAAAAAAGAAAAAGACTGCAGGAGCCATGATTTCACCACTGTACTACAGTCTGAACAACAAGAGTGAGACTCTGACTCAAAAAAAAAAAAAAAAAAAAAACAGTAAGAAAGAAAAAAAAACAGTAAGAAAGAAAGAAAAAAGTAACGCAGGTCTCCAGGGATGCCTTTATACACAGCTGAACAGGTTTGCAGCTGATAGAGATCTGGGCCTCAGATGGAGACTAATTCAGGAGTCACAAACAGAAAGCTGGTTGTTGAAACCATGAGAACAAAGAGTTGCAGGCTGGAATTACTGGGAGCTAAGTGTCAAATTCAGAGAGACAGATGCAGCAGAATTAGAACTGGAAAATGTGGACTCCCTTTGGAAGGATGATGGTTGCTAGTGACTTCAGTGGGTACAATTTCAATGGCATCGTAGGTAAGGAAGTCAGATGCAAAAAGAAGCAGAGACAGAATAGACTCTCTACCAAGAACTTGGATGAAAGAAAAAGAGAGTAGCTATGAAGGGGGCCAGCTCCATGGCGTTTTTTGTTTGTTTTGCTTTGCTTTGCTTTTTAGGATGAGCTATTTGGGGCATGTTCATAGGCTGTGATAAGGACCTTGCAGAGGGGGCAGGGAGGGCTGCTGAAGCAAGAGCTGAAGAATGGGAGGTCACAGTGAAGAGGCTGGCTCTCCCTGGAAGGAGGAGAGTCTGGAGCAATAAGGTGAGGGTGCATGGGCAGGATCATGCTGTGAGCAGAGGGACCAACTGACCTTTTGTTCCAGGCTCTTTTCAAGAACGTTGGTATAGGCCAGGTGCAGTGGCTCACGCCTGTAATCCCAGCACTTTGGGAGGCCGAGGCGGGCGGATCACGAGGTCAGGAGATCGAGTTCATCCTGGGTAACATGGTGAAACCCCATCTCTACTAAAAATACAAAAAATTAGCCAGATGTGGTGGCGGGCGCCTGTAGTCCCAGCTACTTGGGAGGCTGAGGCAGGAGAATGGCGTGAACCCGGGAGGTGGAGCTTGCAGTGAGCCGAGATCGTGCCACTGCACCCCAGCCTGGCGACAGAGCGAGACTCTGTCTAAAAAAGAAAAAAAAAAAAAAAGATTGTTGGTACAGCAGACTGCCTTGGAAGATAAAGATAGTGCCTCCCTCTGGAGCAGAGGGCAGATTTCCTCACTATCCAACGTAATAAAGATAATGTCTCCCTCTTGGACAAGAGCAGGTTTGCTTGCAGCCCATTATAAAAGATTCTGGTTTCCTTATCTCAGGGATTCTCAGCTGTGCTGCAAACCCATTGTGTGTGCAACACTCACCTGGGCCTCTCTGTATCACTCTCATGGGGCTTGAGGAGTAAAGAGAAGTGACACAAACATGATGCCTATGTTGCTTGCTGCACCATGAGTAATAAAGTCCTTTGTCTCTGATCCAGTAGTCTTGTGTCTTCTACCAGCATCCACAGAACTATGGCAGTTTCATTGGTTAGCTTGTAAGGAGAGCAAAATCTGCACAGTTCTTAACAAAAGATGACTTTGAACTTGGGGGCATGGGAAGTTGAAGGTCACTCCTGATGGGCTGCATTTTCTCACAGGTATGGCTGGGAAAAGAGGAGGCTTGAGGAAAGAAGTAAGTTCTAGAATCATTGTTGAGCAGGATAGAAGCTGGAGCTGAGCAAGGATAAGGAAATGGCTGATGTTGAGAGCCAGCTGAGGCCAAACTTGTGTTCCCAATTCACACTCTGGAATGAGCTACACCTGACCCCTGACCCCTGCAGCACTCAGCCAGGCCAGGGACAGGCAGCACAGGAGAGGCAGAGGCAAGAGTGAATCCAGGTCAGAGTTTTGCTGGGAAGAAAGCCAGGAACACAAGAGAATCTGGGTTACTGATGCAGGAGTAGCTCAGATTATAACCCAGGGAGTCCTGCCTAGATAGGAAAGAAAGCTGCTGAGAGAGGGTTGGCCCACTGGGAGAAAAGGGAAGGATGGAGACCCTGGAGGTCCTGTGAGGCTGAAGATGGGAGGAAGGAGAACTCCAGGTGGGTGGATAGGAGATCTTGGTGTGAGGGGAGTACTGCCATTTAAGGCATTGGAGGTGGACCTGGATTATTAACACAGATAGGGGGTTAACTCCCACACAGGAGGAGAGCACCCTCTCCCCAGCTCTTAAGACTGGAGTCCTGAGGCCTGGCGCAGTGGCTCGCACATGTAATCCCAGCAGTTTGGGAGGCCAAGGTGGGCAGATCACCTGAGGTCAGGAGTTTGAGACCAGCCTGGCCAACGTGGTAAAGCCCCCATCCCTACTAAAAATACAAAAAAAAAAAGCTGGGCATGGGGGTGCACTCCTGTAATCCCAGCTACTGGGGAGGCTGAGGCAGGAGAATCGCTTGAACCTGGGAGGTGGAAGTTGCAGTGAGCCGAGATCACGCCTCTGCACTCCAGCCTGGGTAACAGGCTGTTTCAAAAAAAAAAAAAAAAAAAAAGACTAGAGTCCCGGCAGGGAGAGGCTGGGCTGTGTGTGGGGGCCAAGTTTGTAGGTTTGTAAGTGGAAGTTGAATAAATTACTAATGAATGATTCTCCTTTTCTCCATGAAGTAGAGGGTAAGGCACTTACTGAGAGCAAGGGCTAGGAGGGATATTTATGGGCACAGAGAGAAGGTCTGAGGAAATGTGAGAAGCCAGTGATCAGGGGATAAGTAACATCTACAGGAATTTTGACAAGTAAACCCATAAAGATTGAAATGAAAGTCGTGACACCATAAATTCCAAGTAGTGCCCATCTGCGGGGTAGCAAGATGAGTCTGGCTCTGCTGAGCAGTCTTGGGGTGAAGGAAAGAACTGGCCCAATGTGAGTGACCTCCAGTGACCCTGACTTGGTAGGAGTACTGAGACTGGATGGACTGAATGGCCATTCCTGACCACAGGCCCAGGCCCTGGGAGGTTTTCGGGAAGCCTTGCAATCAGACAGGTACCTGTTGCTGCACCCAGACTTCCTCGGATACATGAAGAACAGATTAGAGCCAAAGGCCCGTGACACGGTAGCCTAGGTCCCTCTCATCCTTGCAGCCTGCTGACAGTTGGGAGTCTGGGGCATGTCACAGCCTGCCGCATGTCACAGCTTGCCGAACAGTGGCCACTGAAGCACACCCATCTCATCCATCACTCACTGCCAGGGAGTGTTCCACTTAGAGAGCACGGGTGCTGAGCTTCCCAGCCCTTTCTGATGCTGGAGCCTGCTAGACCAGGGGTCCCCAATCCCAAGCCTGGTCCGAGACCTGTTAGGAACAGGGCATCGCAGCAGGAGGTGAGTGGAGGGGGAAGGAGCATTACCGCCTGAGCTCCGCCTCCTTCAGATCAGCCTCGGCATTAGAGTCTCAAAGGAGTGCGAACCCTTTTGTGAAATGCGCATGCCAGGGATCTAGGTTGCGGGCTCCTTATGAGAGCATCTTAACTCATGCCTGATGATCTGAGGTGGAACAGTTTCATCCCCAACCCCCCCACCCCCACCCCCCTCCGTGGAAAAATTGTCTTCCAGGAAACCAGTCCCTGGTGCCAATAAGTTTGGGAACCCGTTGTGCTGAACATTTCAGGTGGTCTCTCTGACTGGCCTCGTTCTGTGAAAGGAACTCAATGCGATTGAGGGGACTGGCCACCCTGGATGGTTACCAAATAAGCGCTGACAGCCTTAGCTCCCCCACGAAACCCATCACGGCAAGCTCCCCACCTCACCCCCTTTTCCCCCCTCTACCGCCAGCCCAGAGACTGAGCTGTCGGGTTTTGCTCCTCCACCCTGCCCGCCCCCTCCCAGCTGTCCTGGCGTCCGCAGACTGACAGATCTGAGGGTCCTTTGGAGGGAGCCGGGCACATCTCCTCCCGGCCGCCGCCCACCCGCCACAGAGTCTAGAGGCCGAGTGCCGGGCCCGCAGAGGGCAGAGCGCAGCCAGCGCAGCAGGTGGCGGCGTCTACCCGCGCCTAGCTAGCCCCGGACGGCGCGAGGAAAGCGCCCTGCCCAACCCGAGACTGGCGGCCTCCCGGGGCTGGGCTCTGGAGAGAGCGCAGTGGCAGGAGTGGCCGCTGCCGAAGTCCCCCGGGCAGGGGGCAGGGCCAAAGGAGCGCGCGCTCTGGGCGCCGGGACGACACTCCAGCCCCGGGGGACCCGCCGCCCAGCTCCCGAGGGTGCGGCAGCCTCTGGCCACTCAGCCGGGGCCGAGAGGGAGCTGCCGGGCGGGCAGGCGCCGCAGGCACCCGGCGGGCAGGGCGGGGCAGGGCAAGACGGCCGCCTCCGCAAGTGCCACCCGGCCCACCCGGTTCTCTCCCTTCTGCCTGGGACGTCAGCGGACGGGGCGCTCGCGGGCCGGGGCTGTATGGGGCTCCCGCGCGGGTCGTTCTTCTGGCTGCTGCTCCTGCTCACGGCTGCCTGCTCGGGGCTCCTCTTTGCCCTGTACTTCTCGGCGGTGCAGCGGTACCCGGGGCCAGCGGCCGGAGCCAGGTAGGGGCTGCCGAGCGCAGAGCGGGAGGGCGCAGGGGCGACCAGGGCGCGGGGAGGGTCCCCAGCCCAGGGCTCCCCGGCGGCCCGCAGCCCTCAGCCCAACCTCCGCGTGGACCCCTCTGGGGCAGCTCTCAGCGAGGACTCGGCCGCGGCCCTTTGTCGCCAGAACCCTCTCCCAGCCTTGACCTCGCGCTGCCCGGACCCCGCGGCCTTTGCCTGGGTCCAAGGAAGACCTCGCCCCTGTGCACTGGCGACCCGCCCCGGTGCCCCTTGTTGGTGAAGTCCTCCCCGGCCTGATAAGTACACTTTCTATTGTCGAAATCTGGCTGGGTCCCCGAAGCAGATAAAAACTTCCTTTTTTGTCGGGAACTCTCCCTCGGTAACGTCAGATTCTGCTTTTTGGGCAGGGGCCCAAGTCTCCGGTTTCCAACTTCGCGGGGACCCTCCGTCGGGCCGCGGCCAGTCGCCTTTCCCGCCCGCTGCGGTCTCTGTCCGCCCCGCGCCCGCTCCCTTCTCCCCGGCTTCCGCTCGCCGTGTCTGGATAAGCCCAGTGCGGGCGCGATCCGCGAAGAGGCGGGCGCCCGAGGGAAAGAGGGGTGACTCCTGGCTCCATCCGCGTTCTCCTCCCCGCGCCGCGTCCTGCGCTCCACTCCCTCCTCCTCCCTAGGCACTTTCCTGGGTGTCCCACGAGGAGAACCTGGGAGCCGGCCTCTAGCAGGTGGTGGTTCCGGTGACTGAAGAAGCCGCAAAACGATTTCGCTTAGCTTAAGAAAGGCGGACCAAGCCGTGCGAAGTCTGGGTTTGGGAGGAGGGAAGGGCCCGGCAGCCTCAGGGAGAGGCCTCCAGCCCCAGCCTTTCCCTTCCTGGAGCTTTTCCATCTGCGCACCCCCTACCAACCTTGCTGGGGGGCTAACGGGATGAAAACAAAATAAGTATCTGGTCTCCACAGATGCTGTCAAAGGATACACCAAAAGTTGCAGAACAATGTGAAACAGCTTGCCAGTGATCAGGAGTCCAGCACTCTTAGAACAAAGGGTGCTTGCCCCGCCACGGTGACTTAACGCCTGTAGTCCCAGCACTCTGGGAGGCGGAGGTGGGAGGATAGCTTGAGGCCAGGAATTCGAGGCTGTGAGCTGTGATTGCACTACTGCATTCCAGCCTGGTTGACAGAGAGAGACCCTGTCTCAAAAGAAAAGGAATCCTTGTCACTTTTATGTAAAGATGTTTAAAACACAAAGTATCTCAATGCAAAGAAATAATACATGTTTGATATAAGCCTGGGCAACATGGCGAAACCTCGTCTCTACCAAAAATACAAAACTTATCCGGGGATGGTGGTGCATGCCTGTGCTTCCATCTATCTATTCCGGGAGCTGACCAAGAAGATCCCTTGAGTCTGGGAGGTCGAGGCTGCAGTGAGCTGTGATCGCGCCACTGCACTCCAGCCTGGGCAATACAGCAAGGTCCTGTCTCCAGAAAAAAAAAAAAAAGTTCGAGGTGATGGATATGCTAATTAGCTGGTTTGATTATTACACATTACATACACGTATTGAAATATCACACTGTGGCCGGGCGCGGTGGCTCACGCCTGTAGTCTCAGCATTTTGGGAGGCCGAGGCAGGCGGATCACGAGGTCAGGAGATCCTCCTGACCTGGCTTTCACCTGGCTAACACGGTGAAACCCCGTCTCTACTAAAAAATACAAAAAATTAGCTGGGCGTGGTGGCGGGCACCTGTAGTCCCAGCTACTCGGGAGGCTGAGGCAGGAGAATGGCGTGAACCTGGGAGGTGGAGCTTGCAGTGAGCCAAGATCGCGCCACTGCACTCCAGCCTGGTGACAGAGCGAGACTCCATCTCAAAAAAAAAAAAAAGAAATATCACACTGTACCCTATACATATGTGCAAGTATGTGCCAATTAAAAATAATTTTACAAAAAGGAAGAGACCTGATCTAGCAACTCAGCCCCACTCTGCATGTGACGTCCTGCCCCACCAACACCAAGGCCCTCTGGCTGCCCTGGACCACTGCCTATGGGGTAGCCCTGCTCCACAAGGAGCAGAAAAGAAAAAAAAAAAAAAAAGGCCTTCACCAAATGTGGTTCCTCGACCTTGGACTTCCCAGCCTCCATAACTGTAAGAAATGAATTCCTTTTCTTATAAAAATAATCTTTTGGGGACAGTCTCACTCTGTCACCCAGGCTTGCAGTACAGTGGGTCTATCTTGGCTCACTGTAACCTCCACCTCCTGAGCTAAAATGATTCTCCCACCTCAGCCTCCCAAGTAATACATTATCTTCTTTTTTTTTTTGGGACAGAGTCTCCCTCTGTCGCCCAGGCTGGAGTGCAGTGGCCCCATCTCGGCTCACTGCAAGCTCTGTCTCCCGGGTTCATGCCATTCTCCTACCTCAGCCTCCCGAGTAGCTGGGTCTACAGGTGCCCGCCACCATGCCCAGCTGATTTTTTGTATGTTTTAGTACAGACAGGTTTTCACCGTGTTAGCCAGGATGGTCTCGATCTCCTGACCTCGTGATCCGTCCACCTGGGCCTCCCAAAGTGCTGGGATTATAGGCGTGAGCCACCGCGCCCAGCCCCGAGTAATACATTTTTTAAAAAACACAAATTAAAATTGTTTCAGGGTATCTAATAGACTTTAAGTATGAAGTTTACTATACTTCTATTATAATGCAACAATGCTTTTTTAAAAAAAAGATCTTTCCTCTTTTCAAAATGTAGTATGACTCAAGCACCTGGCCCTTTCCTGCTGTTTCTCTGTATTTGCACTGTAGCTTAAACCCCAATGCGGGGCAGGTCAGGACTCAGCCTTGCTGTGGGAGGTGGATATTTAGTCTGGGAGAGAGTGGGAGGTGGACGGCATTCTGGGCAGAGCCGGCAGGCCACATGAGCTTCCCCAGCTTGGGACTGCAAATGGACATGCCTGGCTACAGGGGACAGTCCAGGAAGATGGGCATCTGGGACAGGGTCTACAGAGCCCAAGGAGAGGGCTCTTTAGTGCAGATTAGAGTGGAGCCCAGTCTGGGCATTTCCTCATGGCAGAATCTGGATCAGTGGGTCCCCACATGGGCATTTCTATTAAAAGTTGTTGTTGTTGTTTAATAGGAGAGTGAGAATCAACATAGGGCTGCCAGTTACTATCCATTGTCAACGTTATGTTTTTAAAAAGAGAACATTTTAGGGCTAAGTATTAAGAATATGAAGGCCGGGCATGGTGGCTCGTGCCTATAATCCTAGCACTTTGGGAGGCTGAGGCAGGCAGATTGCTTGAGCCCAGGAGTTTGAAACATGGCAAAACCCCGTTTCTACTAAAAATACCAAAAAAAAAAAAAATAGCCAGGCATGGTGACACATGCCTGTAAGCCACAGCTACTTGGGGGACTGAGATGGGAGGATCGCTTGAGCCCAGGAGGTCAAGGCTGTAGTGAGCCAAGATCCTGCCACTGCACTCCAGCCTGAGTGACAAAGTGAGACCCTGTCTCAAAAAAAAAAAAAAAAAAAAAAAAAGGCTGGGCACGGTGGCTCACGCTTGTAACCCCAGTACTTTGGGAGGCCGAGGCGGGTGGATCACAAGGTCAAGAGATCAAGACCATCGTGGCCAACATGGTGAAACTCGTCTCTACTAAAAATACAAAACTTAGCTGGGCATGGTGGCATGCGCCTGTAGTCCCAGCTACTTGGGAAGCTGAGGCAGGAGAATCGCTTGAACCCAGGAGGTGGAGGTTGCAGTGAGCCAAGATGCACCACTGTACTACTCCAGCCTGGTGACAGAGCGAGACTCCATCTTAAAAAAAATAAAAATAAAAATAAAAAAGAGAATATGATCTAAGTTGTGAGTAAAATTAGCTTTCTGAAAAACGCAGCACATGGTCTGTATACCTCCTCAGGCTGGTAAAACCTCCCAGAAGGGCATGTGCAGGCTGGTCCCCTTCCTACGCCCTCCCAGGTGTCCCAGGCACTTGGATTCCTGAGAGGGAGGGGCTGGAAGGATCAGTAGGAGCGGGGCTGGGAGAAGTGGCTGAGCACCAGGGATACTCTAAAGTCACACCAGGCCTCCCTGAGGGTGGGTAGTTCAGGGCAGCAAAACTGAACTTGGGGGTTCCCCATCATCTCCTTTACAGCTCTACCCCTGTCCCCCACCCGTCTCAACTCTGCCCTGTCCCGCAGCTCCTCCGTCAGGCTCTCCAGCCTGGCTGCACAGCAGAATCACCTGGTTGGGGTGGGAGGGTAGGGACTGGACTCACCAATGCCCTCCCCCGACCCCAGAACAGTCAGATCAGAATCTCAGGATTTCGGGGCTGAGCAATGGGGTTTTTCAAGCCTCCCTGGGGGTTCTCATAGGCAACCTAGGCTGAGCACCACCGTCCTAGTTCCTTCCCAGAGGGGGTCATATTGTGCTCATGAGCAGGAACTACGGGATTATGTGGGCAGACAAGTGGACAGTCCAAGGGGCAAGGGAGGGATGGGGGAAGGGATCAACTCTGCTCTTTCTGGGCCGTCCCTCCAGGGTCTTATAGGAAACCTGGAAACCAAAGGGAGGCAGATCCTGGGTTCCCTTGTGGCTCAGGCATCTCAGCACCTAGAAGCAGGTAACAAGAGACCTTTGTTTCTCTTGCAAGCTGCCAACCCAGAGTCCCCTCCACCTGTGGCTGCTGGGGTGAAGGGAGGGGTCTGAGAGAAGCCTGGCCACCTTTTGAAAGGGTAAGGACCCCTATTCCTTCCTTCATGTTTTCCTTCTGCCCTGATTCAGGGGCCACCTAGCGCCTGGGAATTGGGCATTGGGAGGGGATAGTAACACTATCCCCTTACTGCCCTCTAGAAGGGACACTAATAATAGAGGCTGACACAGCAAGATCCTTTCTCTTCCTCCTTTAGGAGGTAAAAATAATATTTAGAGAACACATTTTTCTTTTATTTTCTTTTTGAGACAAACTTTCACTCTTTTTTTTTTTGAGATGGAGTCTCACTCTGTCACCCAGGCTGGAGTGCAGTGGTGCGATCTCCCCTTACTACGAGCTCCACCTCCCAGGTTCACGCCATTCTCCTGCCTCAGCCTCCCGAGTAGCCTGGGCCTCAGCCTCCTAAGTAGCTGAGACTACAGGCACCCGCCGCCACACCTGGCTAATTTTTTTGTATTTTTAGTAGAGATGGGGTTTTACCGTGTTAGCCAGGATGGTCTCGATCTCCTGAACTTGTGATCCACCCGCCTAGGCCTCCCAAAGTGCTGGGATTACAGACGTGAGCCACCGCACCCGGCCAGGAGTTTCACTCTTTCACCCAGGCTGGAATGCAGTGGTGTGATCTCAGCTCACCACAACCTCCACCTTCCGGTTTCAAGCGATTCTCCTGCCTCAGCTTCCCAAGTAGCTGGGATTACAGGCATGTGCCAACATGCCAGCTAATTTTTGTATTTTTAGTAGAGATGGGGTTTCACCATGTTGGCCAGGTTGGTCTCGAACTCCTGACCTCGTGATCCACCCACCTCGGTCTCCCAAAGTACTGGGATTACAGGCATGAGCCACCGTGCCTGGCCACCTAGAGGACACTTTTTATATGTGCTAACATACAGTCTCTGTTTGAACCCTCCTAACAATCAAAGGAGCTCAATATGATTATCCCTATTGTATAAATGCAGAGACTGAGGTTCTGAGAAGTTCAGCAACTGCCCAAGATCACACAGCAGCCAAGTGGTGGAGACAGGTTGCAAACCCAGGAAGTGAGGTTTCAGAGCTGTCTTAGTCTGTTTTGTGCTGCTATCACAGAACACCTGAGTTGGATCATTTACAAAAAACAGAGAGTTACCTCTTATGGTTCTGGAGGCTGGGAAGTCCCAGGTCATAGGGTCTGTGTCTGGAGAGGGCCTTCTTGCTGCATCCTCATAGATGGAAGGCAGAAAGACAAGAGAGCACGTATGCTCCAGAGAAGAGAGGCTGGATTCATCCTTGTATCAGGAACCCACTCCACAATAACTAACCCACTCTTGCAATAACCAAATTAATCCATTCATGAAGGCAGAGCCCAAGTGACCTAATCACCTCTTAAAGGTCTCATCTCTCAACACTGTTGCATTGGGGATTCAGTTTCCAACACATAAACTTTGGGGGACTCATTCAAACCATAGCAAGAGCCATAACCTTAACCAGGATTGTACTTCAGGAGTGGTGGGCGTGACCCACACAAAGGGGAAGGAAGGCCCAGTCATCTCAGACCTAATGCCTGCCTCTGGGGCCCTGTCAGGGAGATCCTTCAGATGGTCACAGTTCCAGGTGGCTGGCAATCTTTTCTATTTTCATATATTTTAAGCCACCATCTCACTGTTCCTATAAACTCCACATTTCTGCCACTTGCTGAGGGACGCCTTGATCTTTGAGTTTACACAGTGAGGCAAAACATAAGAAAGTGACAGTATCCTGTGTGCCTAAAGAGAAAGACATGGCAAGAATAAGAGCACAGAGCTGGGCGCAGTGGCTTACGCCTGTAATCCCAGCACTTTGGAAGGCCAAGGTGGGCAGATCACCTGAAGTCGGGAGTTCGAGACCAGCCTGACCAACATGGAAAAACCCCGTCTCTACTAAAAATACAAAATTAGCTGGGTGTGGTGGCGCATGCCTGTAATCCCAGCTACTCAGGAGGCTGAGGCAGGAGAATCACTTGAACCCAGGAGGCAGAGGTTGCAGTGAGCCGAGATTGCACCACTGTACTCCAGCAAAGCACTGGGATTACAGATGTGAGCCACCACGATGGGCACAGACAGACTTTGTCCGCCCCTAGAGCTAAGGGGGTCGGTCAGTCCAAAAGCTTCCAAGGGGTAGGTCAGAGCTGCTGACCCCTGCTTTTTTCTGCTTTTTCCCCCAGGGACACCACATCATTTGAAGCATTCTTTCAATCCAAGGCATCGAATTCTTGGACAGGAAAGGTAGAGTGGTCGACTACCCTGTGGCAGTTTTGAGCACCCTCAAATTAGTGGGGAGGAGGGAAGAAGAGCAAACGAGAACACTCTCATGAGATTGCTGGGCAGGAGCTCTTTGGAACGCCCTAAGTTACAGCTGAGCATCCGTCCCTTCAGGGCCTCTCAGACCTGACCAATAGGGTTTCTTGTGGCCCAACAGCAGAGAAGGATGAATAAATATGTACTCATGGGGTGTAGCCAGCTGAACAGTTCTTTGGAGTCTTAAGATTGTATCTTAAATAGTCCTGTGAATTTTATATTCTACTCCTCAAAATATCTACTTCCTATAAAAGTCACATTTAAACTGCTCACCCTGGAGCAAACTCCAAGCTCTGAAAAGATGCCCTTGCTTGCCCAGAAGGTTTGAGAAGCTTCAGGGCCCTGCCTTATAACCGTAAGTAACAGACAGCATTAATTTTGGGACTTTACCTGCGTTCTCTCACGGAAGCCTCGCAGCAACCCTAGAATGTGGCCCTTACAAATGAGCAAAATGAGGCACCAAGAAGTTAAGTACCCCGCTTAGGTAGTAAGAGGTAGTCCTGGAGTTTGAGCCTCTTGTCTGGAACCTGGCTCAGAACCATTGCGCGATACAACCTCCCCAACCTCATCCCACTCCACCCCACCCTGGCTCCATGTGCTGCCGATAAGCAGGATGATGACTGTGTTGTTCTGGATTAATACAGGCTTAAGAGGTGTTTTCCATGCCCAAGAGACTAAAATGGGACATGCTGACTGGGGCCTCTAGGAGAAAGATTTCACTGCATGCTAGAGCTTAGCGACAGCCAAGCTGTTCAGAGACACAGCAAGTAGCCCGGGCAGGTGATGGGGGCCCTGTCTTAGGAACAGAGGCCGCTGGACGTGGTGGCTCACACCTGTAATCCCAGCACTTTGGGGGGCCGAGGTGGGCAGATTGCCTGAGTTCAGGAGTTCGAGACCAGCCTGGGCAACACAGTGAAACCCCATCTCTACTAAAATACAAAAAATTAGGCAGGCATGGTGGCGGGCTCCTGTAATCCCAGCTACTTGGGAGACTGAGGCAGAATTGCTTGAACCCAGGAGACGGAGGTTGCAGTGAGCTGAGATCGTGCCACTGCACTCCACCGTGAGTGACAGAGCGAAACTCCGTCTCAAAAAAAAAAAAAAAAAAAATACAGAGGCCAATGGGCACTTGGCCGGCAGGCTGAAGAGAGGCCTTGAGCACCTTAGGAGTGCTTGGACCAGGTCATCTTCAAGCTTCCTAAACTCTTTTCCACCTTGAGCCTTGAGCTGTTCATTGCTAACTGACGTATGTCCCCACCTGGTCTAAACCAAAGGGTCTGAGGTGGCTTTTGGACACATATAAGAAGACAAAAACGGCCAGGCGCAGTGGCTCATGCCTGTAATCCCAGCACTTTTGGGAGGCCGAGGTGGGTGGATCACCTGAGATCAGGAGTTCAAGACCAGCCTGGTCAACATGGTGAAACCCTGTCTCTACAAAAAATACAAAAAATTAGCCAGGCATGGTGGCAGGCGCCTGTAATCCCAGCTACTTGGGAGGCTAAGGCAGGAGAATCACTTGAACCTGGGAGGTGGAGGTTGCAGTTAGCTGAGATCATGCCATTGTACTCCAGCCTGGGCAACAAGAGCGAAACTCCGTCTCAAAAAAAAAAAAAAAAAAAAGAAAAAAAAGAATTTGTTAATTTGTTCCAACAAGATTGACATATTAGGAAACAATCTGAGCATCACATACATTTTGCATTTTTTTTTTTTTTTGAGATGGAGTTTCGCTCTTGTTGCCCAGGCTGGAGTGCAATGGCGCCATCTTGGCTCACTGCAACCTCCGCCTCCCACGTTCAAGCAATTCTTGTGCCTCAGCCCCCCAAGTAGCTGGAATTACAGGGATGTGCCACCACACCAGGCTAATTTTGTATTTTTAGTACAGACAGGGTTTCACCACGTTGCTCAGGCTGGTCTCAAACCCCTGAACTTAGGTGATCCACCCACCTCTGCTTCCCAAAGTGCTGGGATTATAGGCATGAGCCACCGTGCCCGGCCTGGATTTTTTTTTGAGTGGTTTTGTCAGTGAAAACTCTAGGTTAACATAGAAACCACACCCAACTCAGCAGAGCCATGTAGGAATACACAAAAAGTACACACATGCACACCTGAAATCTCCATCAGCTTCACCGAGTGTGTTATGGGTTCACCTGCCCTAGTGAGTCTGGTGGCACAATTCCCTCCGATTTCAGACAACTTCTTTCCACCATTTCACAATATCACACAAACTGCCCCCTTCCGACACCCACTTCCACACCCACTTCCACATCAATCTCAAGTATTCTTTAACCACGGGACATCAGTAAAACTGTGCTTCTGTCTTTCTTCGATTTGTATCTTTGGTTTTACGCATTCCTGACAGCGTTTCAGTGTTATGTCACTCATCCCATGTTCTCATAGGCCCGTGGTTTTTCGTTTTGCTATTGTTGTTTTGTTTTGTTTTTGAGATGGGGTCTCACTCTGTTGCCCAGGCTGCAGTGCAGTCTCAGTAGCTCACTGCAGCCTCAATCTCCCAGGTTCAAGCAATCCTCCCACCTCAGCTTCCCAAGTAGCTGGGACCATAGGTCTGGGCCACCATGCCTGGCTAATGAAAAAACATTTTTTTGCAGACATGGGGTCTTGTTATGTTGACCAAGCTAATCTGGAAACTCCTGGCCTCAAGTTATCCTCCCGCCTTGACCTCCCAAAGCGCTGGCATTAGAGGGGTGAGCCCCCATGCCCAGCTACCCCATGATCATGATTGCATAGCTTTGCATAGCATGGTGATATTTAGCCACTCATAAGTTGCATTATAGCAGAAATTACTGTACAGCTATTTCCTGCTTTGTCTTTTGATCAAACGAATGGCTTAACAAAGAGCCCCATTCAGGAGTAATAGAAGGCCCACCCAGGCCATGACTGTGTGTGATTCTGAACTTGTGGGGTCACGGGCAGACAAGGCTGGGGCCTGTTTCCTGACCTCACCCTCCCTCAAGGCCCACAAGTACAGAGGTGCTGTGTTCCTTCCCCGTGGCTGCTGGAACAAATGATCACAGCCTGGGGGGCTTCGATCCACAGAAATTGAATCGTCACAGTTCTGGAGCCCAGAAGCCCAGAATCAAGGTGCTGGCAGGGCCACGCTCCCTCCGAAGGCTCGAAGAAAGCCTCCCCTGCCTTTTCCCAGCTCTGGCGGCTCCACTGCTCTTTGGCTTATGGTGCATCGCACAGATCCCTGCTTCATCATCACCCGGCCTCTTTCCACGGATGCTAGTTAGGGCCTGACCTCACCCTATATGACCTCCTCCTAACTAATTCCATCTCCAAAGACCCTAGTTCCAACTAAGGTCACATTCCAAGGCTCTGGGTAATGAATTTTGGGGGGACACTTCCACTCCCTAAAGGCACCACTGGAAAGAAAGACTATCACGGATCTTCCTGGCAGCCTGTTCACACACAAATTATACAGCGAGTACCAGTAGGGTTAGGGTTTTGCATCCAGGGTGACAGCCTCAGCTCAGCCCAGGCTGAAACTACTCCACCAAAGGGCAGGCAGGTCAGACCCATACATCAGAAAATGCCCCAGAGTTTGCTCAAGCGTGAGATGAAGGAGTGTGAGGCCAGAACCACCAGGCCAAGGGGACATGGCCTCTGGGAGAGGAAGAGCTAGGCAGGCTAAATCCAGAAAGTTCCCAGACCCCCTAGCTGCCAGCTCAGTTCAAAAATGCAAGGATGGGCCAGGCGCGGTGGCTCACGCCTGTAATCCCAGCACTTTGGGAGGCCGAGGCGGGTGGATCACGAGGTCAGGAGATCAAGACCACCCTGGCTAACATGGTGAAACCCCGTCTCTACTAAAAATACAAAAAATTAGCCGGGCGTGGTGGCGGGCGCCTGTAGACCCAGCTACTCGGCAGGCTGAGGCAGGAGAATGGCGTGAACCCGGGAGACGGAGCTTGCAGTGAGCCGAGATGGGGCCACTGCACTCCAGCCTGGGCGACAGAGCGAGACTCTGTCTCAAAAAAAGAAAAAAAAAAATGCAAGGATGGCCCCAATCTGGAGGGGACAGGGCAGGCCTTCCCTCACAACTCGCAACTCCCCTGCAGGGTCTGCAGGGCCCCACCCACCCCAGCCCCTACCTAACGGGGCTCAGCCCTCACCTTCTCACCCACAGGGCCAGGCCTGCCGACACCTGCTTCACCTGGCCATTCAGCGGCACCCCCACTTCCGTGGCCTGTTCAATCTCTCCATTCCAGTGCTGCTGTGGGGGGACCTCTTCACCCCAGCGCTCTGGGACCGCCTGAGCCAACACAAAGCCCCGTATGGCTGGCGGGGGCTCTCTCACCAAGGTAACCCGCGCCCGCTGTCTCTCACCTGCCTTCTGCCTTAGCTTCCTGCTCTTTGCCCTGAAGTAGGCCAGGCCTCTCTGCCCTCATAGCACTGGTGATGCCAGGTCTCCCTGTCCCCCTCTCTCCTCCCAGAAGCCCCAGCTATGCAACTCCTGCCTCACCTCCCTCCTCCGTCCAAGCACCCAGGGGTCAGTGAGAGTCATGGGGCTGCCCCCGCCAGTGGGCCTCACCATCCTGGGGCCTCCCTGGCAAGAAAGGCTGCAGCGTCCAATGGTGGCCAAGGACAGAGGCTGTGGGGCCTCAAACCACCTCACTCACGGTTGCTGCTGCAGGAACCCCCACACTGCAGGCCCAGAGCCCCCTCTACATTATACCTGCACCCAAACCCCCACAGGCCTCCGATTCTTTTCTTTTGCAATATACAGTCTTTTTTATTTTTGAGATGGAGTCTCGCTCTGTCACTCAGGCTGGAGTGCAATGGCACAATCTCAGCTCACTACAACCTCCGCCTCCCGGGTTCAAGTGATTCTTGTGCCTCAGCCTCCCAAGTAGCTGGGATTAGGCACGCACCACCACGCCTGGCTAATTTTTGTATTTTTAATAGAGACATGGTTTCACCATGTTGCCCAGGCTGGTCTCGAACTCCTGGCCTCAAGTGATTCACCCACCTCACCCTTCCAAAGTTCTGGTATTACAGGTGTGAGCCACCGTGCCCAGCCCAGTCTTTTTTAAGCCCTGAGCTCACTTCTCTAGCACCAGTCTTAAGAAGATAAGGTATTCAAGTTCTTAAGACAAGTGAAGGCCGCCAAGCCCCCTCTTCCACTGTCAGCTTTTCAATTCTCCCCCCACAGACATCTCCTTCCCCTCCCACCCTCTGTGCTTCTTGGGAGGGGCTAGGGTCAGGCCTCAGGGGAGATGGGGCACCAGAACCAGCCTAGGGAAGGCCCCAGGTGCCCCCGATGCCAGCCCTCCTCATGGCTGCTCCCCATCTGCACCCACAGTCATCGCCTCCACCCTGAGCCTTCTGAACGGCTCAGAGAGTGCCAAGCTGTTTGCCCCGCCCAGGGACACCCCTCCAAAGTGTATCCGGTGTGCCGTGGTGGGCAACGGAGGCATTCTGAATGGGTCCCGCCAGGGTCCCAACATCGATGCCCATGACTATGTATTCAGGTATGAGGGGTAGGAGCTGGGGAGGGGCGGGAGGGAGAGTTGCCTGGAGGGTGGGGGTGTCTCCCCCAGGGGCAGTGGGCTATGGCAGCAGTGGCCTGGGCGGCTCAGCAGTTGTGACCAGCACACGGGCATGGACAAGGCAAAAACAAACAGTAGGCCCTGAGGACGGAGCATGGGTGCCCATGCAGGGGACCCAGGAGGAAGCAGCCGCCAGGGCCAGCTCTACCCACTCACAGGGCGTCACCCCTTGAGGTCTGGAGGAGTGGGGGTCTGGTTGACAACTGGGCACTGGTACTGCCATGGGCAGAAGGAGTGGTCATACAGAGGCAGGGGGATAGGCCAGGCAGAGCCGTGGAGATGGAAGCAGAACAGACGGCCTGGTGTAACCGCAGACACTGATGGGCCTCTGTGCCAACCAGACTCAATGGAGCTGTGATCAAAGGCTTCGAGCGCGATGTGGGCACCAAGACTTCCTTCTATGGTTTCACTGTGAACACGATGAAGAACTCCCTCGTCTCCTACTGGAATCTGGGCTTCACCTCCGTGCCACAAGGACAGGTGAGGCCTCTGGCGGGCATGCCATTGTGGTTGACAATGGCACCATTGTTCCTGGAGTCCCCTCAGTGGGGGCCACAGGGCTCACACACCCTGGTCCAGTGGATGCTGAGGGGGTGCCAGGATTCTGGATGCAAGATACAGCCACTGAAGGTGAGGGGGGATCTGGTCCCGGACTCCCTGCTGATTCAGGCGTCACGGGACTCCTCTGCAGTATGGGATGTGAATGGCCAGCATTTACCCAACGCTTGTGACTTGCCAGGCACTTTACAGAGACCGTGCAACCCATGGTTTTACTGGTGTGGGGATAAAAGCCTGGTGCCTTTCATTCAGTGAGTCAGCGGTAGGGTCAGGATTTGCACCCAGAGTACCCCCCACCTCGAGAGCTGGCATTCTTTGGGGAGCTCAGACTCCCAGGAGAAGGGGATTTATGGAGTTCCTCCTCCCAGCATGTTACAGGGCACACACACGGTCACCACAGCAGCCCTGAGTGGGACCCGTGTACCCATTTCCAGATGACAAAGCAGGGACGCTGAGAGGTTCAGGAACATGTCCAGGGTCACCCAGCTGGAACCATCTAGATCTAGGACCCTCTGACCCCAGCGCTGGGGTTGTTTCCATTTCCCCACACTGGCCCCTGGAAGAATGATGTGTGGCCTCTTGAAATCTCACAATAGCCCTGTGTGGGAAATTGAGGGTCAGAGACACTGAGGGACGTGTCCCAGGTGGCAGCCACTGCATGCGAGCTAGCATCTGGCCCTACCTGCTGGCCTCCAGGTTCCTCCACCCACACCCAAAGGCCGTTAACTCAAAGCTTCCCTCCTCAGGGGCTGTGGGTGCCACAGCCACAGGGTTAGGGGATCTCAGGAAAAGGGGATCTGCAGTGCCGGAGGAAGCTGAGTTGGGTTTCTAGAAGCTTCCTCCCCTGACCAGGGGCTTAAGGAGTGTCCTACCATAGTGTCTATGCCACACTGAGTCCTCACACTAGAACCTCTCTTCTGTGAAGTGGAACAAAATAGAGCAGCTTTAGACTTTTGTTTTGTTTTGAGACGGAGTCTCACTCTGTCACCCAGGCTGGAGTGCAATGGTGCAATCTCAGCTCACTGCAATGTCTGCCTCCTGGGTTCAAGCGATTCTCCTGCCTCAGCCTCTCAAGAAGCTGGGATTACAGGCACGCACCACCACGCCTGGCTAATTTTTGTATTTTTAGTGGAGATGGGGTTTCACCATGTTGGCCAGGCTGGTCTTGAACTCCTGACCTCAAATGATCCGTCTGCCTCGGCCACCCAAAGTGTTGGGATTATAGGCGTAAGCCACCGCGCCTGGCCTTAGTTTCAGTGTAGCCACAGTACATGTACGAGTTATCTATTACTGTGTAACAAATGACCTCAAAACTTGGTGGCTTTAAACAACAAATATTGACTATCTTGTGGTTTCAATGGGTCAGGAATTTGTGGGGAGCTTAGTGGGAGGTTTTGGCCCAGGTGCAGATGATGGGCTGCATCATCTGAGAGACCCAAAAGCTTGACTGGAGCTGACATCAAGATGGCGTCTCACGGGCCCTTGCCACTTGGGCCCTCTGTAGGCTATTTGAGTGTCCTCACGACATGGCAGCTAACTTCATCCAGAGTGAGTGATCTGAGAACGTAAAGGAAGCCACAGTGCCTTTTATGACCTAGTCTCTAAGCCACACACCATCACTTTCCTCTTTATCAGAAAAATCCTGTGCATGAGTCGCTAAGTCCAGCCCATACTCCAGGGGATGGCAATTGGGTGCCACCTCCTGAAGGAGCATTAGAGGATTTGTGGACCTACACTGAAACCAGTACAGCACCTCTGGGTGGGAATGAAAGGTATTTAAGGGAAATTCTCCAGTCGGCTCAGGGGGCAAGGTTGGGTGGAGGGCTGTCCACACTGAGGAGCTAAACATGTCCTGGTTCCCCTCTGGGCTCATTGTCTCTATTCTGACAGGACCTGCAGTATATCTTCATCCCCTCAGACATCCGCGACTATGTGATGCTGAGATCGGCCATTCTGGGCGTGCCTGTCCCTGAGGGCCTAGATAAAGGGGACAGGTGAGCAGCCAGGCCGTGGTGGTGTGGGGCGTGGCAGAGGGGCAAGGGACACTGTGGTTATCTCCTTTTTGCTCCCAGGGCCCATCATGGGGTAAGAGGAGGTGGGTGAAGGGCAGTAAGAACAGCCCTAAGAATTCAATCATCCCCAATTATTCACATAACAGCACTGGGAAATTCTACTTTTTGTCTACCCCTGGAAAGCCCAGGTGACCCTCCGGGTTCCCAGTAGCCCTCTGGGGGCAGTGGGCTGGGGGTGGGAGAGGCAGCTCTTCTGAATGGGGTGAGCAGGTCTGGCTTCTCGGCTTTGGGCTGCACTCTCCCTGCCCAGCCCAGCCGCCAGCGGCTCCGGGTCACAGACTGGGCTGGGTCCGCTGTCCCACTGAGCACACTGTGCTGGAAACAAGAGTTGGGGCCAGTCTGGGCCACTCCTCCTGCTGGGCATCCTTCCCAGGGTCATGCCCATGAAACGGGAGAGCAGACTCGAGGCCCAGTGTCCTGAGAGGCGGAAACAATGGGCCCTTTGTCTTCTTTCCCACCTTCCTGCACAGCAGGCCTGGGTCCAGCTCTCTTGAGCCACGACCTGACCCTCATCTGAACCTCCTCCCGGGGGTTCTGAGACAATTTCTTGTCCCTGAGATCAGGTCCCTAAAAATCGACGCCACTGCTGTGGCCCAGACAACCAGCCCTCCTATCTCGGCGTCTCGCTGAGGACATCTTCCCCACCCCCCACAGAGCAGCTTTACAGGTGGTCCTTATGGGTTAAGGGTTCTAAAGCCAGGCCCACCCCACCCCCGCTTGGTGATTACCCAACAATTGCTTCCACTGCTGGTCTGAGCTGGGCTTTGTGACACGCTGGGCTTGGGCCCTTAGGGGCTGCCTCAGAGACATCGGGTGGACCTAAGCCTCCCCAACACCAATGAGCTCCCCTTCCCACACCCCTAATCCATCCCCTACCCAGTCTCCCTCCCAGTCCCGTTCCAACAACATTGTCACCCCTCCAGGCCAGCAGCCTGCCCCTTCCCCCTCCCCCACTCGGGGCTCTTCCTCCCGGCCCCCCTCCCACCCTCCCACCCCAAATGCCTCACAGCCCTCTTCCCGGACTTCGTCCCTGAACCCCAGTCCTCAGGTCCAACACGTGCCCCGCGGGGCTGCCCAAACCCCCACCCCACCCACCTCCAAATCTCCCTCCCAGTCTGGTTTCAAATCCCTCTCTCGAAACCCTTCCCTAACCCCCGCTGTGCCCCCCAAGTCCTCCTTCTACAGCCCTGCCACCTCATCTTCCTATATCGGGCCAATTCAGAACATCCCGTCCTATATCACCCCCTATGTGCCCCGCTTTCTGAAGGAGCCCCCCTTTTTCCAGCCCCCCACAGCACCACTTCCCCAAAACCCATGCTTTGCCTGTCCCTCTCCCTGCCCTGCCCGGAAGCCCCCACCCCCTCCTGACTCACTCTACTTACCTCTCCTTCCCCCGCCCCCCCACCACCCCCAGTTTAACTGCCCCTTCCCAACTCCCCCCGGTCTGTTCATGCCCCCCTCCTCTCTCTCCTACACCCCGCCCGTGGAGGTCCTGGTGAGCGGGAAGCCGCACGTGGTCCCCAACGTACTGCCTGCCACCTTCTACACCCCCTTCTCCCGCTACTACTCCCAGCCCCGCTCCTACCGCTCAGGGTACCGCGGCTACTCCGGCGCCCTGACCCTCCCCTCCATCTCCCCCTTGCAATACGACGGCTCTGGGCGCTCTGTCCACTTCTATCATGGGTCCTAGGCCGCACGCCTATTTTGGACCAGAAGCCTCTGCCAGTAAATTCAAGCTGCTACATCCGGACTTCATCAGCTACCTGACAGAAAGGTACGGAGTGGGGTGCCTGAAGAACAGCGTCCCCTTCCTTCCCCCTTTTACACACCCACCCACATCCAGTCAGCGCCCTCGCACGAGCCCCACGCACTGACCGATAACCAGAGCTCCACTGTCCCGAGTGCTGTGTGCAAAGCACTGTCACTTCATTTACTGTTTTATTTAGCACCTTGATAGAGGGAGGGTGATATATGTCAGTCACCAGGAAATGGACAGGAAACTCAGGATAACTCAAGGAGGTTTATACAAAGGCACAGACTGGGAGCTGGGACCATAAGGTGCACAGCAGCAGTGGCGCCGTCAGCAGCAGGGCATCAGAACCTTCAGGCCCAAACACAGCCAACACAAGGTGCCGGAAGGAACCCGGGGACCAGCCTCAACCCCCTTCCCTCCCTCCTGCCAGGGGTTCTCAATGTGGATGTGCATATGGTCCTCGTCTGGGGTTGTCACAAGGGTGGTGGCGGCAAGTGCCATCAGTGGGTAGAGGCCAGGGATGCTGCTGAACATCACAAGAAGCACCTGGCCCCAAGTGTCAACAGCACTGAGACTGAGAAACCCTGCTGTGGACCAGAGGCTCGAATCCCAGGGCAGGGAGCAGTTGGAGAGGGGTGTGTGGATGTGGGGAGGCAAATGAAGCCCCTCTAATTAGTCCCGTGCTACAGAGGAAGACAGGCTCTGAGAGGTCAGGTGATCGGCCTGGCACAGCTCGATGTGAACTCAGGCCTGAGGGCAGAGCCCGTGGTCACACCCTGGCCTCACTCTTGGACTGTGTGGGTCCGGTCACAGGGTCTGAGCTCCCTGTCCCTCACACGTGATTCCTACTTAATCAAGATGTGGAGTAGAGAGAAACTGCAGTCTCAGGCTAAATAAACAGGCCACCTATGCCCTTGGCAGTGTGGTTACTTAGTAGCTTGGGGTGAAAACAAGCTGTTGCCAAAAGGGGGAACCTGTGGTTCCTTTCTCACCACCCCCTCCCCCAACCTTACCTAAGGTCTCAAAGATCTTTGTATTTAGTCCACTTGGACCGAATAAAGAACTGACTGGAGTAGAAGGCCCTCAGTTTTTGAAGTTTTCCCACCTATTTGAATGTGTAGTTGTGAAGTGTGATGATAGCCATCAAGCTAGTGAGCTGAAATGTCTCTTTTTGCTTCCAGGTTCTTGAAATCAAAGTTGATTAACACACATTTTGGAGACCTATATATGCCTAGTACCGGGGCTCTCATGCTGCTGACAGCTTTGCATACCTGTGACCAGGTAAGAGGCCTTCTCTTCCAGAAGCCCATGCCGGCAGAACACAGGATAACAGAACCCAACAGGATCCCCTGATATCCCTTACCTCGGAGCTGGGACTCTTGGCCTCTGTTCGTGGAATCCCCAGTTCCAAGAGTGCTGCTGGTACTGCTCACTTCCTTGCCCACAACCCTGGGGCCTTTGAAGGACAGGTCCTGGGCCAGCCTTGCCTTGGCTCCGGACACCTGCCTCAGGCTTGCCTTGGCTCCTGACACCTGCCCCAGGCTTCCTTCTTTCACTCTTCTCCAAGGCAGCCACTCAGTATGGTATTTAAGGCTCAAATCATCAAACTGCCCTTGTGAAAGCCAAAGTCCTCAACATACTGGGCCAAATAGGGACATTCTTTTATGGGGACATCCTAGAGCTGGGGTAGGGCAGCAGGTTTAGCCTCCCACATGCAACTACTTTGAAATCACCGTTAAGAGTCATTCCTGATGGGATATGACCCACGTGAAGCTCATGGAGGCAGGGGCCAAGCAGCAGCTTTCAAGGAGAGGCCGTGACCCATGCTAAAGCTGGTATGGAGAGCTGGGGGCCAAATGCCTCTCCACGACTCACACCTAAATCTTTTCCCTCTTTTTTGAGACAGGGTCTCAACTCTGTCACCCAGGCTTAAGTGCAGTGGTGTGATGATCCTCCTGCCTCAGCTTCCCAAGTAGCTGGGTAGCTGGGATCACAGGCATGTACTGCCACGCCCAGCTCTTTTTTTTTTTTTTTACTTTTTGTAGAGACAGGGTCTTACCATGTTGCCCAGGCTGGTCTCAAACTTCCAAGCTCAAGTGATCCTCCCACCTCAGCTTCCCAGTGTTGGGATTACAGGCGTGAGCCACCACACAGGGCCTTTTCCTATTCTGATGCAGGAGTGTCTTGACTGCAGTCCCCAGTTAGGATGGAGAGAGTAGTAATGGGCTTTTGCCTCCACCCTTGAGTTCCAAATCCAGCTCTGGCAATCACCAGCTATGCCAAGTGGGGACACAGTGAGTCACCCCTGAATCCATCTCCCCACTTGCTAAGTGGGAATAAGCCCTAGACCATTATCCTCACCTCAGCAGACGGACACCTTTCTAAACTCATGTCACTTCACCCAAGTGTCTGTACACACTAGACGCTCAACAAATACTAATCCAGCGACTATCCTTGCCCAGGTCAGTGCCTATGGATTCATCACAAGCAACTACTGGAAATTTTCCGACCACTATTTCGAACGAAAAATGAAGCCATTGATATTTTATGCAAACCACGATCTGTCCCTGGAAGCTGCCCTGTGGAGGGACCTGCACAAGGCCGGCATCCTTCAGCTGTACCAGCGCTGACCCCAATGCACTGAGCCCTTTGCTTCTTCAAGAGTTGCGGCCCTGATCCTCTCAAGTGGCCAAAAGCTTTTTTAACTTTTCAATCTTCACCTTCCCTTGCCAACAGAGGGCACTGGGGTGAATTCAAGATTTTCATCGAGGTCTGTTCAATATAGGACACCCCAGCTTGTCCTTGGCTCATCCAAGAACTCTTCTGTATCTAAAACAATACATCTCAATCTTGGCCAAGGGAAAATGGACTGCTTTGCTGGATTGGCACTGAGCAACTTTAGGAAATGTCGGTGGAGTGTTCAGCAAGATCAGACAGCAGTCCAGGTCAAAGGCAAACACACACGCTCCAGCCCAAATCCTCCTGGTGGCACATCCTACCCCAGATGCTAAAGTGATTCAAGGACTCCAGGACACCTCTTAAGAGCCTTTCTAAGAACATGATAGGCTTACTTCTGCTCCATAATAAAGTGGGAGAAAAAAGCCAGAATATAACTTAAGACTAGATAACTGCGTACATGATGGACCATTTTTTTTTTTTTGGCTGGGTAGAGAAATCATATAAAACGCAGGCTGTTTAGCATGGAGATGACTCTCAGAACACTGGGAGGGTCTGGCACTTGATGGGGGTTAGTTGCTTGGCAGCCTGCCTGCCACTGAGGGAAGTCCCATTAGAGATGTATCACCACCTTGTCACCAACAGGATGATGTCACCAGGTAATAAACCTTCATCCTCATATCATGGCGTCAGTAAATTTGAACTCAGCTGACGGTAGTTTCCCAAGTTTATTGTAAGTGGTTTTAAGTTAAGTCTCATCCAAACAAGTTATCACACAGCACTTAACCAAGCCCTGGGATTTACTGTCTTGATGACTACACGGCTTTGCACAGTCTGAGATGCTTCAGTGTGCAAGGCAGCAGCTGGGGGGGAGGAGGGGGGTCTTCACAGGGACAGCTGGCAAGAGACTTCCTGAGGCACATCAGTTACGTTGGTCAATTTAGGGCACGGTCTGGTTCTGCAGCTTTGAAAGGTGGATTCTTTCTATTAGCACACTTTACAAGAGGGATTGTAAAGGATTAACTCAGTCACCAGAAACGAAACACCACTTCAGAAATTCAGAGACCTCTGATCAACAGAACAGACATTTGGGCTTTAACTGCTAAAGCAGCTACCTACTTGGGGAAACCATGGCATTCTGCTGCCTGGACAGCAGGAATTAAGAGAGATTTCAGAGTTACTGGCACGAGGACAAAGCCTCTCAGCTCGCTTCACCTTGGCAACCTTAAACAGTCCCTCCTTGGTCTCTATGATAGCAGTATGTTCCTTTGGATGGAATACTTGGTTTGGAAATAATGTAGTCAAATGTAGGATATGTAAGTACTCCTCAACAGTCACAATCCATCCTAGTATCTTAAATAGTGATTTTTTTTTTTTAATTTACAAAAGAGGTTTATTGGACTTACAGTTCTACATGGCTGGGAAGGCCTCACAATCATGGCGGAAGGTGAAAGCCACATCTCACATGGCAGCAGATAAGAGAAAAAAAGGTAGTGATCTTTTAGTAAAGAAACCTGAGACTGGTAGTGGGCTTGGAGCCAGAGGATCGCTTAAGTCCGGGAGTTCGAGACCAGCCAGGGTAACAAATTGAGACCCCCCCCCAACTTTAAAATTAAAAAACGAAAGAAAAAATAGCTGGGTGTGGTGGCTCACACCTGTAATCCTAGCACTTTGGGAGGCCAAGGCGGGTGGATTGCCTGAGCTCAGGAGTTTGAGACCAACCTGGGCAACATGGTTGAAACCCTGTCTCTACTAAAACAAAAAAAATCAGCCAGGTGTGGTAGCGTGCACCTGTAGTCCCAGTTACTTGGGAGGCTGAGGCACAAGAATTGCTTGAACCTGGGAGGTAGAGGTTGCAGAGATCATGCCACTGCACTCCCAGCCTGGGTGACAGAGCAAGACTGTCTCAAAAACAACAACAACAACAACAACAAAACAAAACAAAAAAAACCTCTCAAAAAAATGAAAAAAAATTTAAATTTAAATTAAAAAAAAAAATGCTGGGTCTGATGGCTCACACCTGTCATCTCAGCACTTTGGGAAGCTGAGGCAGGCAGATCACAAGGTCAGGAGATAGAGACCATCCTGGCCAACATGGTGAAACCCAGTCTCTACTAAAGAAGGTACGCGCCTGTAGTCCCAGCACTCAGGAGGCTGAGCCAGGAGAATTGCTTGAACCCGGGAGGTGGAGGTTGCAGTGAGCCAAGATTGTACCACTTCACTCCAGCCTGGCGACAGAGTGGAACTCCGTCTCAAAAAATAAAATAAAATAAAATAAAATAAAATAAAATAAAATAAAATAAAGCAAAAATATAAAATGTTAAAAAAAAAACAAAAAAAGGGAAAAAGGAAGCTGATTGCCTTGGTGAGTCAACACTGGGTATTTTCTGACCACTATTTGAAACAAAAAAGGAAACCACTGATATTCTATGCAAAGATCTGTTCCTGGAAGGCACTCTGCGGAGACACCAGGAGAACTTTTATCAATCCTTCATTGATTTGAAGTAAAAGTGCTAAAGCAATGGTTGTGGGTGGCAACCCATTAGCAGATCACAAAATCACTGTAGTGGGTAACTAAACAAGAGGAAACACAAGACGGCATCCTGTGTAACTGGGGTTAAGCATTACTCTCTGAAACTCATGGCATCAGTTTCCTCTTAGGCTCTTCCAACAGAGTATAATCATGTTCATTTCAGTTTACAATCCTTGCAGTCCCATCGATTTGTGAGATTATACCCAGGTCATCCACAGTGGAGGTCTGAAAATGTTCTTAGTTGTACTCTAATTTCACTAACTGCCAAAAGGTTTTCCAGAATAATCTCAGTTGCTTCATTCCTTTAAAGATGAAGCCCAAAGAACGCATGGCGATTACTTTAGAGGAACAATTAGCAGCAGAGGCAGGGCTGTGCTGATCCCATCTGGCATCGCTGGGAGCTAACCTATAAAACAGAAGAATAATTTGAAGTAACAGCCAAGGAAGTGACTCAAAACTGAATGCTATATAACAACTAATTTGGGAGAACAGGCAGTCAGTCCAAGAGCACTCACTCTCACCACCGGCAGGCATGTGCGCGTTGGGGGAGCGTAACGGGGCACTATCACACCATTTTGGTGCAGGCTGGTGGAGATCCAGGATGACTCATTTTAAGGAGACAGTATCTCTGAGGGAGCAGTTTCTGGTAAGAGGCCAGTAAACAACTATCAGAAAGCACTCCCTCTGGATAGAAACATTTCAAGTCAAATCTTATGGTTTACTTGAGTTCTGTAGTCAAGTCCACTCAGCAGACAATAACCACTTGATAAGCTACCCTTTTCACTGTTTTACTTGCAGGCTGTAAACTACTGGGGCCAGTTTTTAGGCTCATTAAATCTCACCCAGAATACAGCTTCTTTGGTGTCCAGCAAAAACACAACCTTAAATACAAAGAGTTTGCACACACCTCCCCTTTCTTTTTTTTTTTTTTTTTTTTGAGACGGAGTCTCGCTCTGTCACCCAGGCAGGACTGCGGACTGCAGTGGCGCAATCTCGGCTCACTGCAAGCTCCGCTTCCCGGGTTCACGCCATTCTCCTGCCTCAGCCTCCCGAGTAGCTGGGACTACAGGCGCCCGCCACCGCGCCCGGCTAATTTTTTTGTATTTTTAGTAGAGACGGGGTTTCACCTTGTTAGCCAGGATGGTCTCGATCTCCTGACCTCATGATCCACCCGCCTCGGCCTCCCAAAGTGCTGGGATTACAGGCGTGAGCCACCGCGCCCGGCCCACACCTCCCCTTTCAACAGAAAAGAAAGGCAATCTGTGTGCACTTCAAGCCTGGCATTCCAGTGGGAACAAAGCTGGGCACCCCACTCTCCAGCACCACTTGGTTTCTTTCTTGCTCACATGCCAGTCGTGACATTCAGACAGGATCTAAGCTACAAACTTAGGAGACCTCCCTGGCGTCCTTAACAAAGCACATAGAAACCAAACAGCCGTGGTTTCCCCTAAATGTCAGGACCCTGGAGCAGAGGCAAGGTCAGAGTCATTAAGCATTCTCATTGCCACAAGCTGGCATACATCCTACATTCCAATCTGTTTCTAAGAGCGCATTCATTTTCTTGAAATATGTAACAAGCACTTTCATTCCACAATAAGGGCATAAATCAAATCCTGGGTACTTGTGCATTCCTGCCACCTCATACAGCCTGTATCCTCAGAGCCATAATCAAAGGACTAGAGAAAGCAGGACAATCACTCATTTGCTTTTCACGTTTTAGAGGAATGATGCTCTAGACTGGGCTCTCAGCAGGATATGCTGAGGGAAAAAAAAAGGGGAAAAAAAACAAAAACAAAAAAAAAACCATGGAGCCAAACCCTTAAGCCTCAGAATAGATTATTTCCCTCAGTCCAGATTTTCAGACAGGGATAACTAACCATCATAGGCTTGTGGGACTTCTTACGGATACGAAAGATGTAAACAAATCTTACAAACAGGAAAGCAATCATTTCACTTGTTTCCGGCAAAGCAGTTCAGTTTCGTCTCTTATTGCAGACACCTAGCAACAAAATGCTACTAAAGTCTCCCTGCCCCCATTGCTTTAAGTCCAGAGCAGGGGAAGCAAAAAAGATTACCACTCCCCCAAACCAAACCAAGCCTGTTTACCAGTTCGTCTACTTACTCACATTAAAGACATGGCACTTTGGGTCCGGGTCCAGGTCCTGGTTCAGAGCAGCTGCCACACCGTGGCTACTAGAGGATCCTTTTCCGGCTTTGGAAACTGAGGCTGACTGCACCTGGGAAGAGAAATTAAGAAAAAAAACTACTTAAGAAGATACACACAGAGTAACTCTCAAGTAACTTAAAATTTCTGTAAGGCAAACTTGGGAAACTGAGTTTCAGATATTCAAATTCCACACAGAAAGGCCTTTCTTTGCCTTCAGACAGGGATAACTTGAAATCATCATGGACTCAGCTCCCACCAACCTGCTGGACCATAGCACTAACAGCCACAGCACACGCAAACTATTTTTTTCTCATCAAATTGTTCACTTCCCTCACGCAAATTCTTTGTGGAGCAAGCATGTGACTTTCTTTTTTTGAAAAGTAGTTTCACTCTTGTTGCCCAGGCTGGAGTGCAATGACGCGATCTCGGCTCACTGCAACCTCCACCTCCCGGGTTCAAGTGATTCTCCTGCCTCAGACTCCCAAGTAAGTTGGGATTACAAGCATGCGCCACCACGCCAGGCTAATTTTGTATTTTTAGTAGAGACGGAGTTTCTCCATGTTGGTCAGGCTGGTCTCGAACTCCCGACCTCAGATGATCCACCTGCCTCGGCCTCCCCAAGTGCTGGGATTACAGGTGTCAGCCACCGTGCCCTCCAGGCTTTCAGTTTTTTAAGACAGAGGATTAGAGATTTGCCCAAGAGCTACTTAAAAATAGCCAGCACTATAATCTCACTATAATAAAATCCTTGCACTAAAAACAGATCAGATCATCTACTTCAAGCTTGTCTAACCCACAGCCTGCATGTGGCTCAGGACGGCTTTGAATGCAGCCCAACACAAATTTGTAAACTTTAGGACGGCTTTGAATGCAGCCCAACAAATTTGTAAACTTTCTCAAAATATTATGAGATTTTTTTTTTTTAGCTCATCAGCTATCATTAGTGTTAGTTTATTTTATGTGTGACCCAAGACAATTCTTCCAATGTGGCACAGGGAAGCCAAAAGATTGACACCCCTGATCTAGTTACTACCCACTTGCTCTTGGACTGGCCACATGATTCCTGGACTCCACTCCAGAGCCATTCTCACCCATGCCTGGAGGTGAGGCCCAGGAATGTGTATATTTTAACACTTTGTAGGTGGCTCTGATGTAATAATCAAGTTTGGAAATCACTAACCCTGTTTCACAAATGAAGAAACAAGACTCTGGTGAGAAAATAGGCTGAGACTAGAGCTCAGATCTCTAGTTAGCCTAACGTGTGGTATACAGGAGTTTCTCAACCTCAGCTCTACTGACATACTGGGTGGATCAATTATTCCTCATGCAGGCTGTTGTATGCATTGTAGGATATTTATTTATTTATTTATTTACAGAGTTTCGCTCTTGTCGCCTAGACTGGAGTACAATGGTGCCATCTCAGCTCACTGCAAACCTCTGCCTCCTGGGTTCAAGAGATTCTCCTGCCTTAGTCTCCCAAGTAGCTAGGATTACAGGTGCCCGCCACCACACCCAGCTAATTTTTGTATTTTTAGTAGAGACAAGGTTTCACCATGTTGGCCAGGCTGGTCTCGAACTCGAACTCCTGACCTCAGGTGATCCATCTGCTTCGGCCTCCCAAAGTGCTGGGATTACAGGCATGAGATAAATATCCAGGCCCAGCCAGGGTATTTATTAATAGTAGCATTCACCAGATGCCAGGAACACCATCGCTCCCCAGTTCAGAACTGCCAGTCTAACTCAGTAACTGCTTGTATAACTTTGGGCAAAAGAACTCTTTACGCCTCACTTTTACTTACTCAGCAGCAGAGTGGGGAAAAAAATTTACCTCATATGGGGTTGATATTAGAAATACTATTTATGGCCAGGCAAGGTGGCTCACGCCTGTAATCCCAGCACAGATCACCTTAAGTCGGGAGTTCAAGACCAGCCTGACCAACATGGAGAAACCCCGTCTCTACTAAAAACACAAAATTAGCTAGGCGTGGTGGTGCATGCCTGTAATCCCAGCTACTTGGGAGGCTGAGGCAGGAGACTAGCTTGAACCCAGGAGGCAGAGGTTGCGCTGAGCCAAGATCGCACCATCGCACTCCAGCCTGGGCAACAAGAGCAAAACTCTGTCTCAAAACAAACAAACAAAAAATGCTCTTTATGAGAGTGCTTGGCAAGGACCCTATCAAAAGGAATTCCATACTACTTCCATTATCTGGGCAATCGTAACCCTGGAAGACCAACACATCCCCAAAACTAACAAACCAATACTTAAAGAGGACCATAAGCATATTCAAGTCTATGAAAGTACTAAAAATCTCACCATTTACAGAAATTTCATCATGAAGATCCTTACACTTAACACCTTAAGGTGATGAGTTTTCACATGACTGTTTTCAAGGCCACAGCCACCACCTTTAATCTAAAAGAGAAGGATAACAGGCTTCATTCTAACAGAAACCACCTTAAGGTTTATTCTCCAGATTTGTATTAAACAGCTGAGCCTCAGCAAGTCAGACCTCCTCACAAAAGATACCATTTCAGACAGGGATAACTTTAAATCATCCTCAGCTCAGCCAATAACAAAGATTCCTAAATCCTAGCGATCCAAAATTCATTTGCCATGTCTCTTTCATCCCTGCATGCCCTAACGAGGATCCACGCTGGTTACAATGACACCTAGTGGCCCCAAATCACACGGGCAAAGACGCTACTCATTTTTATCATTAAAATAATTAGCATTCTGAATTTTGAGTAATTTCTTACCATAGCTGGCTTGTATGTCAACACGTATTCTCATACTTGAACTTCAGAATAAAGCAGGAGGTGAATGTATGTGATGGCACCAACTGTGCTTTCTCATTTCTAGTGACCACTCAGGCCCTGCCTGCACCCACTCTTACTCATGTTAAGGGCTCCATCTATTACTCTGATCCTTCAACCTGGAGCTCTGCTTTTCACCGTCTCTGCAGATGCCAAACAAAGAAAGGCCTCTGGGGGAGGAAAAAAGGCTCGTTGTTAAAACTACGGCTTTCCAGAAGTTTACAATCCTATTGACTCCTATCTGTAAAGCTAAATATGAACTACCGATTGGGGCCGTCCTCAAGACACTCCAAGCGGAATCACGTCTTCACACGTTAACACTCCTGATGCTGAATTAAGAACCACCATCGTCAGAGTCTGCCCGTGCGCGGGCACCGAAGACCCCTGGGCATGACGCTCAGCACACGCGCGGCGGAGGCGCACGGGGCTGCCCAGGTTGTTAGGCGCTCTCCCCCGCAGAAGCCGGCCCTATGACGCCGAGGACGGGCTTGAGCTCTCTCCCTTCACATAGTAACATTTTCTCAACGTTTGGAAAGCATTTTCTCATCCAGTACTTTTAACCCTCCTAACCACCCTATGAGGGAGAAACCGAGATTATCGTCACCACTTCGTCTCTGAGGAAGGGAAGCCAAGTATGTTAGTGTCGTGTCAAGGAAGACCCCGTTTTCCCACCCAGGCAGCCTTACCATCATCACTAAAGGCCTGAGACTGCTCGCCGTGCTCAACACCGACTGGAGTGGCCATGTCTTCCAGCCACGCGGCCGACCTCGAAAAGAACGCGAGACCGCCCCTGCGCGCAAGTCTTCTCGGCAATCTCTCCGGAACTCTCGCGATGTTGAGAAAGGGCTGGTGGGAAATGTAGTTCAAAACTACGGCGGCTGGGGGCTGGCCGCGTCCTCAGCGCGACCCTGGAGCTGGGGGTAAGATGGTGGCCGCCACCAGGGGCAGTGGAGGGTCCGGAGTGGGAAACCAGGCCTGTGAAGAACCACGGCTGTCAGAAAACGAAGCTGGAGGTTCACTTCTGCCAGAAAGTCATTGAGCTTCAACACAGTTTGTCCCTGGTCGAGACTGGGGAAGCACAGAAAGTTCGAGGGGGCAGGGACAGATGAGGAAACCGGGGCTTGGCCGAGTATCTTTGTTAATTGCTCTGCGGATTTTATTTGGGGGAGGATAGGGGCATTTGGGGTGGTTCGCTGGGTTAGTGAAGAGGAGAGATTCCGAGGGAATCGTTCAACCTCCTGCTCAGGTGTTTTTAAGTTTGGGGCGAGGCCGGTGAAGCCGAGGCGCGGGCGGCAAGGAGCGCTGGAGAGCGACGGGGCTCGGCCTCCGCGGCTGCCCAGGGGCCCGGGGCATTCCGAGAAGAGAAAAAAAGGCAAGTGTCACGAGCTGAATTACGAAAAGAACGGAGAATGATGTAACACCCACTGCTCTTCTGAGTGTTATTTTTCAGGCAAACACCTTGGCTTCATTTTTTTTTGTTTCTGGGTTTTTTTGGTTTGTTTTTGAGATAAGGTTTCACCCTGGCACGCAGGCTGGAGTGCAGTGGTGCAATCATAACTTATTGTAGCCTGGACCTCCCGGGCTCAAGTGATCCTCCCGCCTCAGCCTCCTGAGTGGCCGGGACGACAGGCGAGCGCCACCACGCCCAGCTGATTATTTTTATTTTGCAGAGATGAGGTCTCACTATGTTGCCCGGGTTGGTCTCAAACTCCTGGCCTCAAGCAGTCCTCCTGTTTTGGCCTCCCAAAGTGCTGGGATTACAAAGGTGAGCCACTGCGCCCGGTCTGGCTTCGTTTTTGAAATAAAAATAAGGCAAAAACGACATCAACAATCAGGGCCAGAATTTGCACCTATTTGAAAGCTAGTTTAAGTTTGCAAGACCGAGAGCCTTTTCTCCATTCCAGTCTCCCTGTTCTCATCCACCCATTAACAGTGATCTCTGTGGCCTTCGGTGTGGGTTATATTGTCCTGCAGATGGTAATATGTTGCAGATACTTATCTTCAAATTACCACATTTGCTTATGTTTACCTCCTTTCATTTGATTGTAAGCTCTTCAAGAGCAGAAGTCTCTTTTTATTATTATTATTATTTTTTTTTTTTTTTTTTTTTGAGATGGACTTTTGCTCTTGTTGCCCAGGCTGGAATGCAATGGCACGATCTCGGCTCACGGCAACCTCCGCCTCCCAAGCTCAAGTGATTCTCCTGCCTCAGCCTCCTGAGTAGCTGGGATTACAGGCATGCGCCACCACGCCCAGCTAATTTTGTATTTTTAGTAGAGATGGGGTTTCTCCATGTTAGGCTGTTCTCAAACTCCTGACCTCAGGTGATCCACCCGTCTCAGCCTCCCAAAGTGCTGGGATTACAGGCGTGAGCCACCACGCCCAGCCTCTTTTTATTTTTATTTTTTTCTTTTTAATTTCTTAACAGTGCAGGGTTTGGTATTTACCTGCTATGCTCACAGTAAGTCTTCAGCAAATAATCATTAATTCATTCAGCAGTAATTCTGGCCATTAGGTTTCTCTACCTTACCCTTGAAGACACGTTATTTTGTGTAATACTGAAAGGAAGAATGTGTTCTATCCCTGCAAACATAGTTCCTTTCATTTGAGACTTACAGTGGGAATTCTAAGTGTGGAATTTCCCAAAAGCTGCTAGCGGGCTGGTGACCTACTGTAGACAAGATAGTAATGATAGCTAATACTTCATAGCACTTACCAGGTGCCATTCCCTATACTGGTTTCTGTACATGTATGAACTCGTTTAATCCTCACAATGCGATGAAGTACTACTGTCAGAGGCATTGGAACCAGAAAACTCCATCTTGAATAGGAGCTGGGTGAAACGAGGCTGAAACCTACTGGGCTGCATTCCCGGACGGTTAAGGCATTCTAAGTCACAGGATGAGACAGGAGGTCGGCACAAGATACAGGCCATAAAGACCTTGCTGATAAAACAGTTTGCAGTAAATAAGCCCACCAAAACCAAAACCAAGATGGCGATGAGAGTGACCTCTGGTCGTCCTCACTGCTACACTCCCACCAGCGCCATGACAGTTTACAAATGCCATGGCAACATCAGGAAGTTACCCTATGTGGTCTAAAAATGGGAGGCGTAAATAATCCACCCCTTGTTTAGGATATAATCAAGAAATAACCATAAAAATGGGCAACCAGCAGCCCTCAGGGCTGCTCTGTGGAGTAGCCTTTTTTTTTTTTTTTTTTTTGAGACAGAGTCTCGCTCTGTCACCCAGGCTGCAGTGGTGCTGCTGTCTCGGCTCACTGCAGCCTCCACCTCCTGGGTTCAAGCAATTCTCCTGCTTCAGCCTCCCGAGTAGCTGGATTACAGGCGCACGCCACCACGCCCGGCTAATTTTTGTATTTTTAGTAGCAACAGGGTTTCACCATGTTGGCCAGGCTGGTCTCGAACTCCTGACCTCAAGTGATCTGCCTGCCTCAGCCTCCCAAAGTGCTAGGATTATAGGCTTGAGCCACCATGCCTGGCCAAGTAGCCATTCTTTTATTCCTTTACTTTTCTAATAAACTTGCTTTCACTTTAGTCTATAGACATCCCAAATTCCTTCTTGCTCAAGATCCAAGAACCCTCTTTTGGGGTCTGGATCAGGACTCCTCTCCGGTAACACTATCACTGTCCCCATTTTACGGATAAGGAAACAGAAGCACTGGGAAATTCGGTAACTTGCCCAAATTCACATAACCAGTAACTGGCAGGGTCAGGGTTTGCTCCCAGCCTGTAGAATCCATGCTTTTACCGCTAATGAATAAGGTGACCTTATGTATAAGGACTTTTGTTTTCGGGGAGGAAGGGAGAAGGAAGAAGATTTTCATGTGTTTGTAGGGGTGGTTGGGGACAAAATCAGAAATGAGGTTGAAAGGGGGAACAATGGGCACCTGCTCTGCCATTTGAGCCACTTCGTGGCAGGAAGAGTGAGGATGGGAGGCTGCAGAGCTGATGTGTGGAAGATGGAGGCTCTGGGCTCTAGCAGGGCTGTATTGGGCCTGGATGCCACCCAGTGTATAGTGAGGGCCATTCTTTACAGCTCTTCACTCTGCCGCAGGCCACCAAGTTGCTTTCACACCTGACTGGACATCGCTTCCCCAACAGCAGGTTCATGGCAGATGGGGATGCCAGGGCAGCTGGGCAGTGGCCAAGAGGCTGGAGCGAAATACAATGAGAGGCCTTGTGCCGAGCACATGTAAAGTACACTGTGCAGCCAACCCAGAAATAACTAGGGGGACTTCAGAGAATGCATCAGAATTCCTGAATGAGCCGGCAAGGGCTCAGAGCTGTTGAGACTGAAATGTGGATGTTACTGTGATCTCATTTGCACTCATTGCTGGTGAGAGCTAGGACATTTGAGTTTTACCTACCGTGGAATTATTATACAGCCTTTATACCAGGCTAGTGCAGACCTCTATTTATTGACATGGAAAGAGTCACAGTCTAGTGACTCTTTACAAACAGGAAAGCAAAAGTCCCCAGCGCTTTTCAGGGACCCAGGCTCTGAGTACAAAGGGAAAATCCAGTCAGCTGGCCTGCTGTATTGGGGTGGTCACTGACAGCGTTTAAGACATGGTATCTGAAACCCACAGTAATAGAAAACAGTCTTTGGGCTGGTCGCAGTGGCTCATGCCTATAATCCCAACACTTTGGTTGGCCAAGGCAGGAGGATCACTTGAGCCCAGGAGTTCAAGACCAGCCTGAGCAACATAGGGAGACCCCCGTCTCTACCAATAAAAAATGAGAAACAGCCAGGTGTGGTGGCACATGCCTGTGGTCCCAGCTGGATGGGAGGCTGAGGTGGGAGGATTGCTGGGGCCCGTGAGATTGAGGCTGTGCAGTGAGCCATGACTTCATCACTGCCCTCCAGCCTGGATGACAGAGCAAGACCTTGTCTCAAAAAAATAAATACATAAAAATAAAACAGTCTTTAGAATATTGAGGTTAATTTCTCTACCCAGAAAGCAATCTTTAATTTTATTAATAAGAACACAAAAGAAGGTAGGTAGTATCCCAGACAGCCAACTGCTTACATTTGGAACGGTGGCAGCAGCGATATCACAGGAAGCACATCTGTGTGTCAGGCACTGTTAGTGGCCAGTCTCTTCCTCCGTCTGGTGAACCTAGGCTTCGTTCAGCTGCTGGGCAAGAGTCTGCTTCAGCGGGACAAGCCCCTCCCCAGCCCCCAGGGGCAAACCTTGATTCATCTGTACCAGACATGGTAAGTCTATTCCCTTTGCTGGAAATTGTTTTAGGAAAGGGTCTGTGATGCAATTCTGGCCAAGTTTAGGAAAGTTTTCCTGCTTTTAAAAACAACAGCCTCTCTTCTGGCTTTGGGACACTGAGAAGAAGTGATGCTGGGCCTGCTGGAGCCATCTTGCATCTGCGAGGCTTCCATTAAGTAGGAGCTGAAGGACTGCGATGGCAGAGTAGAGAGAAGAAAGAACATGAGTCCTCAGTGATGCTGCTGACCCGCAGAAACCGCCAGTCCCAACACCCCTGAACTTCAGACCTCGTTTTGATTCAGAGACACATTTATACATTTCATATATATATACACACACATATATATGTATACATGTATACATATATATACACATATACATGTTTTATATATATATATTTTTATATATATATATATATTTTTTTTTTTTTTTTTTGAGACAGAGCTTTGCTCTTGTCGCCCAGGCTGGAATGCAGTGGCATGATCTCAGCTCACTGCAACCTCTACCTCCTGGATTCATGTGATTCTCCTGCCTCAGCCTCCCAAGTAGCTGGGATTACAGGTGTGCACCATCACACCCAGCTAATTTTTGTATTTTTGGTAGAGACAGAGTTTCACCATTCTGGCCAGGCTGGTCTCGAACTCCTGACCTCAGGTAACCCACCCACTTCAGCCTCCCAAAGTGCTGGAATCACAAGCATGAGCCATCACAGCTGGTCGCATTTTCATATTCTAAAATGCAGGATGTGTCTTACAAGCAATGGCATCTCAGTTTGAGTGAATTACAAAATGTGAGATTTTAGGCTGGGTGCAGTGGCTCACGCCTGTAATCCCAGCACTTTGGGAGGCCGAGGAGGGTGGATCACGAGGTCAGGAGATTGAGACCATCCTGGCTAACACAGTGAAACCCCATCTCTACTAAAAATACAAAAAAAAAAATTAGCCAGGCGTGGTGGCGGGTGCCTGTAGTCCCAGCTACTCAGGAGGCTGAGGCAGGAGAATGGCTTGAACCCGGGAGGCAGAGCTTGCAGTGAGTGGAGATCGTACCACTGCACTCCAGCCTGGGCGACAGAGCGAGACTCCATCTCAAAAAAAATAAATAAATAAAAAGTGAGATTTTAAAAAGAAATCTTATTAAGTCATTTTAAGTTGGGTGTTCTGTTTCAGTCAAATCATCCTAAATGATATCTTTTAAAAATAATTCTTCCCAGAAGAATGGATCATGGCAGAATACAGAAAATGAGCTCATGTGTGCAAGCCTCCTTCCGGAAATCATAACAGCTATGTGTATATGAAGTGTTTACTCTGTGGCAGGTACTCTGGAAGCACCTTTTATTCACTGTCTCATCTGATTCTCATGACAGCCCTGTCATTATCCCCCACCCCCCCACCTTCCCATTTCACAGCTGAGGAAGTCAAGGTGCAGAAAGGTTAAAGGAACTCATAAGTGAAGGCACTGCGATCTGAACTCAAACAATCCAGCCTAAAAACCCATGGTCTCAGCCACCATGCCATGTTTCCTAAAAAAATTACGCTATGACAGTGGACCGTTTTTGCTTAACTCCAGAGACTTTAATTCACCCACCTAGAAAACCTGTCATGAAAATATAGAGGATTTTTTCCTGAGAGTTCTTAGGACCGTGAAACAGTGTCACAAATCCTGTTCAGAAAGCTGGGATCATGCAGATGACCAGGCAGATGGAAGAAAAGTAAAAATATAAAAATTTAAAAACCTGGGATCACTGCTTTAAGTTTCACCGAGCTTTAACTTTCTGGAAGAGGAGAAATATAACACAGACCCTACGCATTGAGAATAGATGGCGTTGGAGTTGTGGATTATCTGTGCTTGCCAACAGTGTACAGGAAAAAAAGCGATGCATTTGACTTCCCTGCTTGGCAGAGCCACTGCCTCTAGAGTATTACTCAAAAATTGATTTTTTAAAAATAAAAATAAATGAATTTGAAGACGATATAATGCTCCATGGATCTCTTCTGTTATTTCCTGGGCATGTCTCTCCATGCCCAGAAACCCTTGCCTTCTCACAGCTGTTGCATAACCTTTGCTTGTGGTGGTGTTTGTTCCTGTTGCCTTGAAAGTCCCTTCACTGCATTCTCTTCTCTGCTCTGCAAATTCCAGCTTGTACTTAAATACTTCCTGCGAAGTTTTGACTGAGACGCTGCAACAATTCCCGAGCTGTTTCATCGTGGCACCTTCCTGGTGGCAGGTGGATTAGCACATTGTCTGCAACCCAGGAGGACTTGGAGGAAAGTCCCAGCTCTGCTGATTCTAGCTGAGTAACCTTGGCAAAGGTCACCTCACTTCTCTCTGAGTCTTATTTTCTCATCTGTAAAATGAGGAGGAGGAGGAGGATCATCCAAACATCACGGGACTTCGTTAAATCAGTGCTTCGGGGCACTTAGCACAGCGCCTGGCGCAAGGTAAGCACTTGATAAATGGGAGTTCGTGTTATTTCAACATACTTTGAACACTCATCCCACTGTTTGATGATTATTTGTATGTCTGGCTTTTCTGCTAGATGGTGAGCAAAACAAGCATCATTCTTCATTCTTGTTTTGTTTCTAACTCTCTAAATCATCTTTATTCTCGTGTAACTTACATACAATACAGTATAACCATTTACAATGTATGGTTCAGTAGTCCAATAAGTGTATAGACCCATGTAACCACAATCCCAGTTAAGATTTAGAACACTGTTGTCACCTCAAAAGCACCTTCTTAGGCGGGTGCGGTGGCTCATGCCTGTAATCCCAGCACTTTGGGAGGCTGAGGCCGGTGGATCACCTGAGGTCAGGAGTTTGAGACCAGCCTGGCCAACGTGGCGAAACCCCGTCTCTACTAAAAATACAAAAAATTAGCTGGGCGTGGTGGTGGGCATCTGTAATCCCAGCTACTCAGGAGGCTGAGGCAGGAGAATCACTTGAACCTGGGAGGCGAGGTTGCAATGAGCCGAGATCGCACCATTGCACTCCAGCCTAGGTGATGAGAGCAAAACTCCATCTCAAAAAAAAAAAAAGAACCTTCTAGGCTGGGCACGGTGGCTCACACCTGTAATCCCACCACTTTGGGAGGCCGAGGCGGGTGGATCACTTGAGGTCAGGAGTTCAAGACCAGCCTGGCCAATATGATGAAACCCCGTCTCTACTAAAAATACAAACATCAGCTGGGCGTGGTAGTGTAAGCTGGTAGTCCCTACTACTCAGGAGGCTGAGGCAGGAGAATTGCTTGAACTCAGGAGGTGGAGGTTGCAGTGAGCCAAGATCATGCCACTGCACTCCAGCCTGGGTGACAAAGTGAGACTCCATCTCAAAAAAAAGAAAAAAAAACAAACAAAAAAACAAAAACCTTCTTACCCTTGCAGTCAACCCCCACAATATCTAACCCCGGCCCCAGTCAACCACTGATGCCTTCTGTCACTATCAGTCGGTTCTGCCTGTTCTAGAATTCCGTGTACATGTCATCATCACACAGTAGGGGCTCTTTTGTGTCTGGCTTCTCTCAATTTACCCATGTCGTCGGCATCAGCAGTTCATTTCCTTTTCATTGCTGAGTATTATTCTATCTTTATATATCTCAGTGTGTTTATCTGTTCCCACGTCGAGGAATATTTGGGTTGTTTCCAGTTTGGAGCTGTTAGTAATAAAGCTGCCATGAACATCTTTGCAGTCTTTTTTGTGGATGTAAGTTTTCATTCCTCTGGGATAACTTTATAAGGAACCACCATGCTGGTTTCCCAAGTGGTTGTAACACTTCACCAGTCCCCAGCCGTGTATGACAGGGTGACATCTTGGACAGTACTTACTATGGTCGGCCTTCAGCTGTAACCACTCTGGTAGGCATGTAGTGGTATGTCATTGGGCTTTTGATTTGCATGTGGAGTATCTTTCTTCTTTCCCAAAGTGCTGGTATTACAGGCGTGAGCCACCGCGCCCAGCCGCATGTCGAACAACTTTCTATGTATTTTAGCTGTATGTTTATTTTTTGTTGTAGTGTCTATTAAAATCTTTCCCCACTTTTTTATTGGGCCATCTTATTATCGAATTGTAAAAGTTCTTTATGTATTCCGGATACAAGTCCTTTCTCAGATTTTTGTTTGGCAAATATTTACTCCTAGTCTTTCCAAGAGCAGAGGTTTAATTTTGATAAAGTCCAGTGTATTGATTTTTCTTTTCTGGTTAGTGCTTTTTGTATCCTGTTGAAAGGACCTTTCTTTCTCCATTGGATTGCCTTTCTGCATCTGTTTTTGGATTCCATTGATCTGTGTGTATATCCTTATGAATCTCACACTGTCTTGACCTCTGATTCTGTCTCCTCCTCACCTTAGCAAAGCCACTGTGGTCCGCTTGGGTTTCCCCTCCCCAAGGCACAGTCAGGGAACTGTCTCCAGGCAGAAGCTGAGGCAGTCATGGGGTCACTGTCCTGTGTGCTGCCTGTTGTCAAGTGTCTGCTGCTTATATCTTGCCCAGTTTTCTGGTTGTTTGTGGCAGAAGGTCTTAATCCGTTTCTGGATCCACAGTGCCTGGCACACAGCACTCCAGACACAGTTCATTACAGTTGCTTTCGATTGGGAAAGTCGGTGGGGCCCCCAGAGAGCTTCTGGTCCATCCCCTTCATTTTACTAAACTGTTCTTTTCCTGAGGAGATCATTAGTCCTCTGCGTCCTCACTCCAGCCCACCTGGGCTTGACAAATGTTTATCAAATGAGGAAACCGAGGTCCAGAGAACTAAAGGTCACAGGGACAGGCAGGGTTGGGCTGGCAGAACTAGGCCACCGAGGCTGGGGCCTTCCTATAGGACCAACCAGCAGGGCAGGGTCTGTCTCTCCTCGAGTGTCACTCCTGACACCTGATACAGGGTTTGTACATTGCAGGTTCCCAGGACACGCTTGTTAAATAAATGACCAAATGAACACATTAATTTATTTTAATGCTTAGTTCAAATGGCTTCTGCCTCTGCATATGATACTGTGTGTATTTGTGTATGTGTATGTCTCTCTGTGTGTATGTATGTTTATGTGTATCTGTGTGTGTGACTGTGTGTATGTGTATGCTATGTGTGTCTATAAGTGTATATGTCTGTATGTGTGTAAATGTGTATGTGTCGGTGTATATGTGTGTGTGTATGTGTGAATGTGTATGTCTGTGTATGCATGTGTATCTGTGATTATGTGTGTGTGTTTCTGTGTGTCTGTTTTATTTGTGTGTGTACATGTATGTCTGTGTGTATGTGTGTGAATGTTCGTATATGTGTATGTCTGTGTATGCATGTGTATGTGTGAATGTGTGTGTGAATGTGTATGTATGTGTATGTTTATGTGTATGTGTGTGTATATGTGTGTGAATATGTTTGTATATGTGTATGTGTGTGTGAATGTGTTATGTGTGTCTGTGTGTATGTGTATGTGTGTGAATATGTATATGTGTATGTCTGTGTGTGTGTGAATGTGTGTTGTGTGTGTGTGTGTGAATGTGTGTCTCTGTGAATGTGTGTATGTCTGTGTGTGTATTATATGTTTGTATAGGTATATGACTGTGTTTGTGTATGTGTGTGTGTGAATGTATGTGTCTCTGTGTGTGTGTGTCTGTGTGTGTGAATGTGGGTGTCTCTGTGTGTGAATATGTGTGTGTGTGTGTGTGTGAATGTGTGTGTGTTCACATAGGGACAGGATTGGCCTCTCCTCCCCAGGTGCACAGGCTGAGTCTGTTAGTAAATTTTTAAAAATTTTCTCAGTCCCCCACTACAGTCATCATCCCCACTAGGGGGCACATGTGTCACACAGAGAGGGTCTGTGCTCCTTAGGCACAAGGACTGGCTTCCCACTGTCAGCGGATCCCCCTGAAAGCCACCTCCTTGGTCTCCATGGCCTGCACCCTCCCCCTGCAAAAACAAATCAAAACAACCTTCCTCACCAGGCTCCGCATCTCCAGCTGGGCTGCTGGCTGCCATCCTGTCCTCTCCCCAGGGCCCTGCCCCTGGCTGAAGGAGGCAACAGAGTGGCAGTTGCAGTGACTGTGGGTGATGACCTCGCTGTCTGTCATCCCTGCCAGAGGCCACCACATCCTTCCTGAGGAAGACTGAGGGGTCCTAAAGGGGCAGCTCTCCTCTCCCCCTCACCTGGCAGGCAAGAACCAGCCTCTCAGGGCCTAGAGTCTGGTCTGCCCTTGAATGTGAGTTCCTGAAGACAGATTGGTGGCAATGACCCTGGCCAACACCAGCCCACTTGCAAAGGCAGGCTGGGCGGGACCACAGCTCCATTCCTTGTGCCTTGTAGACAGGTCACAATCAAAATTTCCTCACGGCCCCCAACTCGAGACTTGGGCCCCCTCTATCCCAAGCTTTGGTGTCAGATTTCCCAGGCTCAGGTCCTGGCTTCACTGCCAGCTATGAGTGACCTTGAGCAAGTTCTGTGAACCTCACTTTCCTTATTGGATAAATGATAACAGTTCCTGCCGCATAAATGAAACAGTGCGTAAAATACAGCAGCTGGCACAGTGCCTAGCACATAGTAAGCGCCCAATGCATGTTAGTGGTTATTAATCATACGATTAGTATCATCATTATGTTAACATAAGCTTCCGTGCGAACCAAACTGTTCTTCTGAGGTTCACAAAGAAGCATTATCTTCCTCTAGCTCTAGGTCTTGGGCTTCTTCCTAACAGTGAGGCCCCCCACAGAGAGGCTACGGGAGCCTGAGGAACCAGCAGGGTTTGCTCTCTCGCCATTGTGCCTGTCTCATAGTGGGCACTGTGCCCTACCCATCTAGTCTTGGCCCACCACCTGTACTGTTTGCCCTTGCCCAGGACTGCGCGCACACACACACACACACACACAAACCACACACACACACAACCGCACACTTGGAATGGGTGGGTACTCCCCAAGGTGACATCTACACCCCAGGGTGACAGTGGACAGCCACAGCTGCAGTGGCTACTTCCCTGGCTCCCACCACACCCCCACCGCCTCATTAGTTCCCTGGTCATGCTCCAGTCTCCAGGAGAGACTGGCAGCCGCTCTGAGCCTCAGTTGCAGGAGCAGCACCTCCCTGCTCCTGGTTGCTGCCCTCAGCCGCCCTGCAGCTCCAAGCAGCCTTTCCCCGTCACTCAGGCTCCCCCAGCAGAGATATTAGCATTCACACGGAGGAAGGTACCACAGCAGGGCAGCGCCTCCCGTCTTGTCAAGGAGCTGAGGTTCATTCCGGAAGCAGAGCCAGCTGGGAGTGGCGCTGTCCAGGTCGAGGTCACCACTGGAGGTTGGGACATGGTTCTGGGCACAGAGAGGCAGTGGTGGTCTTCTCCAGTACAGGCTTACAGGGGGCTTCCCCACCCCAGCAATGCCACCCTCTGCCATCCTCTGATCTGTTGCAGAACTACCGGTCGCCCAGCTCTGTGTATGTGGAGAGACGGCAGGAAGGACCAGAGAGTGAGGATGTGAGGAACTCTAGCCGTCCTGAATCTACCACTGTTCAGTAATTTACAGTTCAAACCGGATTGTGCCAGCTCACATATATGGGACACTTACCCAACATGCTAAGCATCTTCCACACGTTATCTAATCAACCCTTACAACTCTAAGAGACAGATACCAGTAGGATCTCCATCCTACAGCTAAAGAAACTGAGGCACAGAGGTGTTCAGAAACTTACCCAGGCCACAGAGGTAGGATGTGCTGGTGGAACAAGGTTCAAACCCAGGAGCTCTGACTCTGGACACCTTGCTCTTGGACTCTTGTTATTTCACAGTAGCCAGCACCCTAGACCAGAAGGGACCCCACCCTTTGGCTCAGCTCTCCCTCTCTAGCTGCCCTTTATCTGCCCTCTCCCAAGCCCCTGAGCACTCCTGCTCCCATTCCCAAGCAGCGGCTCTTTGCAAGGAAAGGGATGAAAAAGGACTCAGCCTCAGTGGGGACAGTGTCATAGTCAGGATTTAATTCCCCCATTTAAAGGTCCACCCTTGCCCTGAGCTTCACACTAAGCCCTGTGATGGGAGCCAGTGGGCCAAGGAAGGGGCACCCGGGTCCCAGGAGCCTTCTGTGGGGAGCTCTAGGCTGAGAGAGGTAACTTTCTGCAGCAGGAGCTGCAAATGTGCAGACTGCGCAGAGAGCCCAGGGGTGGGAGAGGCCCCGGGAATAAGAGGCGAGCGTGGGCTGGGTGTGCGGGGAAGGTGTAAACACAATCTGCTCCCACCAAAGCCAGCCTGCTCCCTGGGGGAGACAGCCCCCCCACCCGGCCCACATGGCACCCCAGCTGCCCAGGCAACCTCCAAGCCCAGGCAGCCACAGCCCCGCTGGCCGCCAGCAGCCCCTTCCTCTCTTTTTCCCGCCCTTCCTCTGGATGGATCCCTGGAGCAGCCACCACCTCCTGCGCAGGTTCTCGGAACAGTGGCGTGGAGGGGCGCTGCCCTGGGGAAGTGCGTCTGGGCCGTGAGCCAGCTCCATGACCTTGGCCTGACAATTCCTCAGACCAGTGGAAGGAGATGAGCAACTCGGAAATGGCAGCAAGGATGAGGTGACAGGAACATGGCAAATAGAGAATAAATGCAGATAGGATCGGGGAACACAGACTGGGTCCCGGGAACAGTGCCCTCTGGCCCTCAGCCTGACAGGCCTGTCACCAGGAAGGCCGATGCCTCCAAAGAGAGAGACAGGCTGACAGGAGCTGAGACAGGCGATCACGGGCTCACGGCCTGGGTCAGGCTGGCGCTCTGGCTTTGCCTCTGCAGGCTCCTTCCCTAGTGTGACTTTCCCCCTGCCTCCTGCCTGCCCTACTTTGAGAGGCTCCCACAGAACTGCCTTCGCACACACCCCAGCCAGGCTCCCCGAGGTACCAGCAGGCCCTCCCCAGCGGGGTGCACCTCCTCCCCCACCCTGAGCGCCTCCCCAGCGGTTCCCTCTGCTCTGCGGCATCCCTCACCCTTTCCCTTCCTTCCCTTCAGAGGCAGAGTGGCGGCTGAAGTGCTGCTGTCTAGAGAACTCCATCTTCTACTGCCTGGAAGTCAAGGGCACGGGCCAGCCAGGCAGAGACATCGCCGCTGGGCTGGGAGGGGGGCTGGCTGGGGAGGAGAGACGCGTGTGCACAGAGGCACGGGGGGTTTTTGAAGACTAATAGCTGTGAGACATCAGGAGCAGCTGCCTGCAGGGTCTGCTCCTGGATCTGGGAGCAGAAGCGGAAATCTGCTTTTATCTCTGCTCAGGATCATGCAGGATTGAAAAGAGAGAAATGGCAGAGCAGCTGGGGGCAAAGGAGGCAGCCGCCGGGACTGAGCATCAGCAAATTGATAAAAACAAGTGTCAGGCTTTTTCCTTCCCACACGCTACTGCCCGTTTGGAACACACGCGCTTGCACACATACAGAAAACACATTCGGAGGACAAGCTGTCCGTTGCTCCCATCCAGCTGCAGGCAGACATGTCACAGATCCAACTGGCATTTCTTATTGATAATTTCAGCAGAGCAGCCAGTGACAGGATGAGCTCTGGGAACTGGGGAAAGGCAAATGACACAAAAGCGAGTGCCACTGTGGCAAACCGACACCAGCACCTCGGACCACAAGTGGCGGCTTAACAGAATAGCTCCTGGGCTGACAGGCAGTTGGCCAGGCCAGCAAACCACCCCCAACCCCTGCAAACTGTTAGGTTCCAGGGGGAGGCCGCCTGCCATGGTGGGTAGGAGCGTGGGCTCTGCAGCTCCAGTGTGAGCCTGGGAGCCTCCACTTCCTAGCTAGGTGATGTTGGGCAAATTATTTAACCTGTCTCTGTGTTTCCCCATTTAGAAATTGTGGATAATAACATTACCAGGCTCTGTGGGTGACTGAAGATTAAATTACAGAATGAATGGAAGCCCTTGCTTAGTAAATGTGAGCTATCAGCCGTCCCTTGCTTCTGGGGTCTCCTCACTCCTTACTTATTCCTGCCTCTTGCCTGGGCTGCTGGCTGCCCCAGAATTAGCCTGGTGGACCCAGCAAGTCCCTCATCCTAGGCTTTCTCAGGCTCAGCAGTCCCTCAGAGGAGCCTCAGGAACTCAGAGGGAAGGAAGCCCGTCCGAGAGCAGCGAGCACGTCTGCTCTTTCTGCCAGGCCCAGCCAGGTCCTGCTCAGGAGCCCACACCCAGGGCCTGGGGGAAGGGGAGACTGGCAGGTCCCGGGCTGAGAGGGAGGCGTCTACCTTCTCTAGTGCTGCTTCCCCCCATTCTCCCTCTTGCCGCTGCTGCAGCTCCCACAGCATCCTCCTGGGCTAGGGGACGAACCAGGACCTGAGCTGAAACAGAAAACCAGAGCAGATCAGCACTTCTCCCACACCTGGGGATGGGACTCGCATTTCAGAGTGGATGTTTCCGAGCACCGCCTCTCCCTTGGGCGTCCTCCGACACTGCCCTCATGCCCCAGCACGACCACCTCGCCATCCCCAAGCCTAGAAAATGTGGTCAAACTACACCTGGTTCTCTTCAAACTCATCCTTGCCCCATGGCCCGGACCACAACAGGCTCAAGGTAGCAGCCAAAGGCATGAGTCCATCCGCCTACTTTGAACCTCCATCAGTGGCAAGAGCTGAACACTGCCTGCTATCCTCCCACATGGCCGGGACTTGCCTGTTGCTTCCTGCCTGTCCCAAGCCTTGCCCTCTGCCCTCCCCGGCTCCCAGCCCTGCCCTACCTGCCTGAGCCAGCTGATCCCAGTCTCTGGGCCTGAGCCCCACCTGCAGAGGTGAGGGCTTACTTCAGAGGTTCTTTCTCCCTAAACAGAGGAAAGCACTGGGGTCAGGATTGAAGGGCACGACCTTCCCATGTTTCTGACTCTCCTCTTCCTCCTCCTCCCATCCCTATCAATTCACCCCAATATTGAGGGGCAGGACCACCTAAGGAATCAGTTGGCATTTAGGACAGTGTGACTGGAGAGTAGAAATGTCACCCCCACTGCCAGCCTTCCACGGCAGCCACCATCGGCAGGTGGTTCCTCGATGTCAGACCAATTTTTCCAGTTAACTGGGTCCCAAGGAGTTAATAGGCAACTGCTTCCTTCTGGCTAAGTCACGCCAGGCCAGGCCTGGCCAGATGGTCCTCAGATTTGGCCTTTTCTCTCCTGCCAGGAGGTCCAGGCCCATTTCATGTAGAAGAGACCCTGCCTGGAATCGGGCCTGAGCATCCCGCATTAGCCACAAATGAGATAGATGATCTGGAGCAAGCCACCTAAATCTCCCTGTCCCTCAGTTTCCACAACCATTAACCAAAGATTAAAAACACATGTCCTGCCAATCCTCTGGGGTTACTGAGCCTCCCGAGTGACTTAATAGGTAGGAAACCTCTGGAGAAAACTAAAGCACAGGTCCCGAGCATGAAACAAGACAGCTGCTAGCATTTATGGAGCAATCACTCTGCACCCTCACCAAAACCTCACAACCACTGTTATTAATCCTAGTTTACATATAAATAAACTGATTGCATAAATTTCCCCCATAGTCTTTCCATTAGTAAGAGGGAAGCCAGAATTTAAATTCTCCCTGCCCAACTCTAGACCCGGGCTCAATAGCGTGGACCACCCAGCATTTGAGGGCCTCCTATCGGGGGAGGCCCAGGGGTGGTCATTGTAGCTGATTTAACTAGTGATATCAATTAGGCACTATTATGATGATGCCAGCTGGCCTATCGAGTTGAGGTGTCGCAGAAATGCCTCCGCTTCCTGTACAGGCCCAGGGCTTCCCATTGGGCCTTCTGATCATCAGAATCTCAGGACTCAGAATCCCAGGACTCAGACGACAGGAGACAGAAAGACGGAAGTTCTCTCGGTTGCCAGTTTCCGCATATCTAAGGGACACATTGCTGGCAGGTCCCCACTCAGAAAGAGACATGGATGGTCACAGTACCCGCCACCTGAGTCTTCCCTGTGTGGAGACACCCTCCTGCCAGTGCGCCCTGACCCAAAGATGTCATCGGATCTTTTTTACTCTTTGTTTCACTGGGAGCAAAAAAGTCACTCTTCAGACAGGTCTCCCACGCTAGGTGAGTCCATAGGCACAGAAGGAACCCCTCATGCATGGGAACTTCATAAAGATTTGCTGATTTTTTCCAGTGTTTGGTTGGGATAGGCGCCCCTATCATCGAACGACACTGGTCACCCAGGGAAGGAAAAGTCTGGAAGTTCCCCCAACTTCACCCCCTAAAGACCACATGGCTCCAGCCTAGGGAAGAGTTAACTTTCTGGCCACTGGAGACAGCGTCCTGCCCGCAGGGTCTGCCCAGCCAATGGCACTCTATGCTGATGATGTCATGCTCCTCCCGCGCCTTCTATTGGGGACTGGACAGCGAATCCTGCTGGAGGCTCAGGCAGCCTAGCTGAGGCAGGGCGGGGGCAGAGGAGGAGGAGGGGGAAGGGCAAGGAAAGGCGAGCAAAGCCACACAGAGCTACTCCTGCCTCATCCCTCCTTCCACTCCCCTGTGCCTTCTGACAGAAGGTGCCCCGGGGGACCGCCCCGTGCTGGAGATGAGAGGCACAGCGGCTTTGGTCCAGAGGAGCGAGCTGAGGGTTCCCATTCCCAACCGCAGAAAACAGACATCCAGCCTGCCCAGCAGGCGGACAGGGAGCAGGGTGCTTAGGGCAAGGGCCAGGATACGGTGCACGCACAGGCGCGCACAGGCACACACGTGCACCCCCAGGCATGCACAGCCACAGCTTCCTTGGCAGCACCCTCCCTCCCCCAGCCCAGACTCCTGCCTTACCTGCCTGAGGACTGAGGGTCCGCATCCAAGCTGCTGCCCCTAGCTGCCCCATCCACGTCGCTGGGCTCTCTGTGGGAGGCAAGAGTAGGGAGGAAGAGCTATGGCTGTGCCCAGCCCCTCACTGTCCCTCCACAGGTCCAGGCCGCATTGGGCTATGGGAGTAGAGGCTGCAACTAGAGCCTTTGAAGCTCTAAGTCCCCCTGCTCTGAGACTGTGCTCTCTCAAGGGTTCCTCAAAATGCCCTCCCAGCCCCGCTGAAGGTTCACGCAGCCCCTGCCCACCTTCAGCTTGGTGGCAGCCCAGCCCCATGCCCCCCCCCCCCGACCAACCGCCAGCCATAGCCCGGTCAGTTTCTCACGGTTGGACTCGGTTGGCAAATCGGCGGCGCCAGAGCATGGCCAGGGTGCTGAGCAGGAAAAGGGTGGTGCACATGGCGCAGCTGCCCCATCCCCTCCCAGGCCAAGTCTGCAGAAGGCCACAGGCGAGGGGCCAAAATGGCCCCAGCCAGCTCTCAGGAGCCACTGCCGTCTGTCCTGCGGTTCCTGCTGGGGATGGATTAGGAGGCTCAAGCTGATTAGTGGGTCAGCGGCCCCGACCTTGTGAGGACTGATTAAGCTCACTGGGCCCAGGTTCTCCCCTCCAGCGGTAGGGTCAAGGCATGCACTGTGGCATTGAGCACGTATTCGGAGTCTCGATCTGATGAGACTGGGCCTTGCTTGCAAGGAGCTGCCACTCTAAACAAATGTGCTGTCAAGTACAATGACTGCAGTAGAGTGACCCAGGAGTTATTCAAGGCGCCTACAGGGCACTTTCAGAGTTGCAGGCATCAGGGCAACGTTTAAAGAGGAGCAAGGGCCTCTGAATTTGCAGTGCACAAGGCAGGATGAGCCCTCAGACAGAAGACGCTGCCGAAGCTACTGACATGAAAGCATGGAGCATCTGCCAGTAACTGCAAGGTGAATGGAGGTGAAGCAATGATGTCACCGTGGAAGCATCAGGAGAGGAGGAAGAAAGGGGAGGAATATTGGATAATGAAGCCAGAGAGACGGGAGACTCAACAGTGAAGGGCTGGCAGTTTTACCCTCTGGACAATCCTCTCCAAACTTTTCTGATTACACGCCCTCTTCAGTAAAAGGCAGAATTCAAGTGTGCACTCACAAAATAGACAGGTGCAGCCACTTACAAATTATATGCTAGACTACTGTACAGATTCATTCCTACACCATACGACTATATTACATTTGCAAAGGATGAGATGAAAAGAAATAGTTACACGATTTCTCCTATTTTCTTTCCACATCCCAAGGGGACCTGTTGGGCAGCCACTTGGTCACACCAACTTTGAGAAGCTGTTCAGTGTGTGTGTGGAGCATGGAGCCAGCCATGGCCACGCTGAGACATGGGTCTGGGAGTGGTGTGAGAACCTGAACCCACCCGCTCCCCTCCAGCCCCTCCAAGACCCCCAGGAGGCATTAGATTTTCATTCCCTCAACAAGGGGGAGACAGTGTCAGAGGCACTGCCTCAGGGTCCCCCAGGCACCTGAACCCTGAGCTCCCAGGAGGGGCCCAGGCTGCAGCTGAGGCTGGCCAGGGTGAGTTCTCCTCGCCTCCCCCGGACCTTAAAGTCGGATTTTAAGAATAAATACATGAACCATAGTGAAAGCGCAGAGCCAACCCTTAGCAATGCTTGGGCAATGGGACATCAAGTCTTGAGCGAGGACAGGGGTCGCCGGGAGCCTGAGTGACATCTCTTCCCAACACTGCCAGGCCCTGTCTGGCCTCAGGCTGTCCCCAGGACTGAGCAGCCGCTGCAGGGCAGGCACCATGGGATTCTCCCCCCACCTCTGGCCCAATCTCACACTGCCCTGGATAGGGCCCACCAGGAGGAAGGATTTGCCTCCCCCAGGCCCGGAATCGGGCCCTTGGTGGCGGCTGAGATGTCCCCAGCAGCCTGCGCCTTCCTCAAGACTTTTTGTCTGCCAGGTCCTGTCTGCCCTATCCGGTGCCTCTCTGGACTTCCTCCGCCACCAGCTGGGCTAGAATTCAGGGCAGCGGCTGGTTCTTGCCTGTCCGTGTCATTCATAAGCCACGGGGGACTTCTGGCCGCCGCCGCCGCGTTCGTGCACCGAGGGCATGGAGGTGCTGGGCGGAAGGAGAGGGGGCGCAGGCCTCTGGCGCCCGAGGTCGGAGGTGCGCTCAAGTTCCGACAGCCGGGGCGGTGGGCGGGCAGGGGGACGACCCCCGTGCTAACCCCCCAGAGCCTGGGCGTCCAGAGCCGTGGGAGTGGCGCCGCGGCCCCCAGCGGCTGGCTCGGGGGCGCGGGGAGAGGCCCGGGCGAGGGGAGCCCAGCTAGGTCCACGGCGGCCGCCGGAGGGGCTCCTGTTCGCCCCCACGGGCGGGCTGGCGGTCGGCCTCGCCGCGAAAGCTCGGGAGTGTTGGACTTTGAGTCAGTTCCCCGCCGCGGGAAGGGTCCGCACGCGCACACTCGCGACGCCGCAAGCACTGGGACCCGGAACCCAGCGCTCCCGGCCCGCGCCCGCCCCAGCGCACTCCTGTGCGGCCCGCGCCGCCCAGCGCCGCGTGACCGCCCATTCCTCCCGGGACCCCCAGCGCCCCGGCCACACCTACCCGAGCCCCGCCCCGCGGTGCAACTCCGCCGTGGCCTGCGGGTGGGCGGGCGGCAGTCGCGTCGCCCCCACCCCGCGCAGCCTTCACCTTGCCGGCATTGGCTCTTACCCACACGGGGCTGGGGGTTTGGAGCGGATTTGTTTTTTTAAACATTTTCCAGCAGACCACATCCCCGCCCCACCGCTGGCTGTCCCCCGCCCCCCGCACATATACCCTGCACACACGCACGCACACACACACACACACCCGGCGCGCACAGACACACGCTCCCTCCCTCCGCGCTCTACCCCTCGCCCGCCCGCCGCGCACGCAGCCGGCCCCGGCTCCCGGCGCCCCGCGCCCCGCGCCCCGCGCCCCGCCACCGCCGCCGCCGAGCAAAGCCGGGCTGGGCTTGGAGCTGCTCATGGAGAAAGTGCCAGGCGAGATGGAGATCGAGCGCAGGGAGCGGAGCGAGGAGCTGTCCGAGGCGGAGAGGAAGGCGGTGCAGGCTATGTGGGCCCGGCTCTATGCCAACTGCGAGGACGTGGGGGTGGCCATCCTGGTGAGGTAGGTGTCGCCCGGCCCGGCCGGGCCCTGGGCAGGGAGGGCGGCAGCGGCTCCGGGCAGAGGAGGGCTGGGCCCGGGTCCGAGCTCCAGCGCCACCTCCCCAGCCGCGAATGGGGCCGGTCCGAGGTCGGCGGAGCAGGCGGCGTGGGGCGCCTTGGGGTGAACGAAGCCTGGGTTGAGCCTTCCCTGGCTCCGGCGCGGTGTTCACCAGGATCTAGGAACCAGATGCAGGAGAGCACCTCGGTCCCCCTCCTCTCCCCGGCCTCAGAACTCCTTGCTCGGCCAGCCACCCCAGACACCCAGCCAAACTGTCAGACACACACATTTTTCTGGCCTTTCAAAGGTAGTATAGCAGGGGCTCCCCATTTTAGAGATGGGAAAACCGAGGCTCAGCCAAGAAGCGGGACAAAGAGGAGCAGAACCCTGTCTCCAGCTCAGCGGCTTGCGGGATTCAAAGCCTCTTGGAAGAACAGAGAGCAAAGAGCAGAGGTTGAGAAAGAGGAGAGCCCGGGGGGTCCAGTGTTCCCAGCTGCCCCCTTCCCGCTGGAGGGCACGGGCCAGCAGGAGCGCCCAGGGCAGGCACAGGTGAGTGGAGAAGCAAACAGTCCCCTAGGATACAATCCCTGCTGAGTTTGGAGGGTGAGGGGAAGAAGAGAGAAGCTTCAGGAGACAGGGCCTAACCCTAAAACCTCCCACCTAGGGAGGAAATGCAGTGGCTTGGGCTTAGGGGTCATTCAGGCACTACATGCCCCCAAGAGACCCACAAACACAGAGCGCCCCGTTCTTCACACACCTAGGCTTAGAGCACACACACCATCCTTATAGAGGTGATGTGTCCAAGTCTCGAAAGCTAGTCACTGACTCTAGCTACAAATCCATGCTCTCTTTCCACACGTGCTGGTCCCTGGGGGTGCAGGCAGAGGAGCCCCAGACCATGCTCACCCTCAAGCCCCTCTTCTTGGCAGAGGAAAGCGGTCAAATCTAGGACAGAGCAGGGCAGCCTTGTCATGTGCAGATGGGGTGAAGCCTCGCTCTGGAAGGGCAGCTTTAGTGCATCCTTGACTACCAGGCCTGCTCCATCTCCAGCTTCTTCTCCCTGTGGCCTCTCCCAAGCCTGGGACCGACCCAGCTCCACCATGATATGCCCTGATTCCAACTCAGAAGCAGATTTTGGAGGAAAAAGAGCAGGAAGCACTTCTAAGGAGTTAGAGGAGCGCTCCTGAGGATGGGGCAGCTATCTCAGCAGCCCCCAAGCCCAGAAACACAGTCGGGAGTGGCAGGAAGCTAAGAGGGACATTGGGATACTAGGGCCTCAGACGCTCGGAACCACCAATCCCCACAGGTGCTGGCACCCACACAAGCACATTGTGGGTAGCAGAGCCGCAGATGTGCCAGACTGCGTCCTCGGAGGGTGCCGTCAGCCGTGTGTCAGCACCTGCAGCCCACCGGCCTTGCATGCGTCTGGCACACTCATGGGTCACCATGAAGAAGCGAGGCAGGGTCCTCAGGACCTTGGAGGTTTTGTGTCCCAACCCCTGCCAGGTACCTGTGCGGATACGTGGAGGAAGTGCTCACCGTCCACATCATGGAACACCATTGAACCTCCCCAGGAAGGGGACCAGGGTAGGGCAGATGCCAAGGGAGAAACGAAACACCGAGGCCAGGGCCATGTCTGGGCAGTCCGAGTTTTCAGCAAGGATTTCTTTCTCTCTCTACACCCCTCTTCCAGTTCCCCACTCCTGTCTCTTAGAGGGGCCTGGGCCTGGGCTGGGGGAGGTCATTACCAATGCACTCAGTGCCCAGAGTAACCCCTCACCACTCTGACTCCACTTCTTTGTGGACTAGAGCCCAGCCCCAGGACAGCCTGGCCCAGCTTTGTCTCAGCCACTCCCTGCCAGCCCAAGCCCCACAGGGCCTTGCTTTCCTTTTTCTCTCCTCCTGTCTCTGTCCAGGGCCTGGTCAGTGGGGGAAGGGGAAGAAAGGGGGATAAGGGCTCCTGAAGGTCCCTTCTCAGATCCTGGGCCCGTCAGTCTTGACACAGCACCCTGTCTTCCCACACACAACATACACATCCTCAAGGTCAAGACCCCAGCTGCAGCCCTCTGGCCAGCACTCTCACCTCTGCCCTCCCCACTGCGCCAGGCCAGCACCCTCAGCCCTTATGAGCCTGCAGGGCAGGAAGGAGGCAGCTGCACTTCCACACCCCCAACCTGGAGAAGTTGCCACATTGGTGGGGGTGGAGGAGGCGTTGCTTTAGAGCCTGAGGCAGACCCCACACTTCCATTCCCTGCCAGGGAGGAGACCAAGAGGGAACACCCACCCTCCCTGCTGGTTGTAACTCTGACACCTTCCTCCTCACACTCAGACAGGCCTATTTCAGGCTCTCTTGGAAGCCCAGATGCCTCTGGGAGCTGAGAAACTCCCCAGGGCTGGCTGTGGAGGCTCCTCCCTGGCAGCACAGGCTGAGACCGGGAGGGTCTCAGGTGGAAACACCGCAGAGCCAGGAGGAAGGAGCCAGGCACATGGGCCCCAGGGGCCACAGAACCGTGGAGGGTCTGGGTGGGGACTCCCTGAGACTGTCATTCCTCAGGGCCACAACCCGGTGGTGGGTGTTGAGGCAGGAGACACCTGGTTACCAGGCCACGATCCCCTGGCACAGCTGTCTCTCCAGGCAGTGTAGGGAAACTGTCAAAGCGGGCCTGCCTGGGCCCCTTCCTGGCACTGCCATCTACTTTGTTGGGCAATCTTGGACATCAATTCCTAATTCATAGGATGGGGATTAAAACAGTGCCTACCTCAGGAGAGAATTGCAAGGATTCGTGAGATCGTACAGTAAGTGCTCAATAAATGTTCCCTGTTGTTTCCTCATCAGTAAAATAGAGGTAATACCCGCTTAGCTGTGGCAATTAAATACAATAACAGGCCGGGCACCGTGGCTCACACCTGTAATCCCAGCACTTTGTGAGGCCGAGGCAGGCAGATCACCGGAGGTCAGGAGTTCGACACCAGCCTGGCCAGCATGGCGAAACCCCGTCTCTACTAAAAACACAAAAATTAGCCGGGTGTGGTGGCGGGCACCTGTAATCCCAGCTAACTTTGTGAGGCTGAGACAGGAGAATCCCTTGAACCCAGGAGGCAGAGGTTGCAGTGAGCCAAGATTGCACCAGTGCACTGCAGCCTGGGCAACAGAGTAAGATTCTGTCTCAAGAAAGAAAGAAAGAAAGAGAGAGAGAGAGAGAGAGAGAGAGAGAGAAAGAGAAAGAGAGAGAGAAAGAAAGAAAGAAAGAAGAAAGAAAGAAAAAGAAAAAAGGTACAATAACATTGTAACACAGCAGGCAAATATATATATCATTGTTATTATTTTGTCAGGGTCTTGCTCTGTCACCCAAGCTGGAGTACGGTGGCGCCATCATGGCTCATGGCAGCCTCCAATCCTGGGCTCGTGATGCGATCGGATCTTCCTGCTGCAGCCTCCCAAGTAGCTAGGACTACAGACGGGCACCACCACACCCAGCCAATTTTTTTCTTTTTTTCTGGAGACAGGATCTCACTATGTTGCCCAGGCTGGTCTCAAACTCCTGGCCTCAAGTGATCTTCCTGCCTTGGCCTCCCAAAGTTCTACAGGCATGAGCCACCACACCTGACCTTTTATTATTATTATTATCATTATTTCTTTGGATTCAGGGTCTCACTCTGTCACCCAGGCTGGAGTGCAATGGCACAATCTTGGCTCCCTGCAGCCTTGGCCTCCCGGGTTCAAGTGATCCTCCCACTTTAGGCCCCTGAGTAGCTGGAATCAAAGGTGTGTGCCACCACACCTGGCTAATTTTTTGTATTTTGTAGAGACAGGGTTTGCCACATTGCCCAGGCTGGTCTCAAATGCCTGAGCTCAAGCAATCCACCCGCCTCGGCCTCGTAAAGTGCTAGGATTATAGGCGTGAGCCACCGTGCCCGGCCATATCATTATTTTTTATTGCAATTGTAAAACCTCCAAAGTCTGAGATGCTTGTTTAAGTCCAAATTGGGTTTTTCACATTTGTCCCTCATTACAGTGCTTCTCCAGAAAATTCAATGTATTTTCAGACCCGTCGCCTCACGTGTCCTCACCCGTGTATCCATGAAGCAGTGAGCGGGGGCCCTCCTCTTGCCCTTCTGCAAACAGGGAGCTTGTGAAGCGGTTTGCCCAAGGTCACAGTTGGCCTCTGAGAGGGGCCCTCCTGAGTCTCCACACAGACTGTGCCCTGGTCACTGTGCAAACTTCCCCGCCAATAGCAGTTCCACCAGCAGCAGGGATGACCCGGCCAGATGCCCTCTCCGCATCTGTTCCAGCCCTCACATCTGAGACTCGACTCCTGGCCAAAGGGCTACTTCCGCAAATTATCAGCTCTCTCTGATCGCAAAGGGGACACACGAAGGGGCAGAACAACCTGGAAGAACAGGTCCAGGCCACTCCATACATTTTCTGGGGATTCACTTAAGTTATTTAAGTTCTGATTGAGTCGGTGCCCATGTCTCACATGACATCCAGCCCCGACAGGGAGGGGAGGTGAAAAAGTCATTGTCGGCCGGGCGTGGTGGCTCACACCTGTAATCCCAGCACTTTGGGAGGCTGAGGCAGGCGGATCGCCTGAGGTCAGGAATTTGAGACCAGCCTGGCCAACATGGTGAAACCCTGTCTCTACTAAAAATACAAAAAATTAGCTAGCCGGGCGTGGTGATGGATGCCTGTAGTCCCAGCTACTCAGGAAGCTGAGGCAAGAGAATCACTTGAACCCAGGAGGCAGAGGTTGCAGCGAGCCAAGATTGCACCACCACACTCCAGCCTGGATGACAGAGTGAGACTCCATCTCAAAAAAAAAAAAAAAAAAAGCCATTGTCATTTTTCACACTGCAGGGCCCCAGCTAGGGCAGGGGGTCAGAGGGTGCGTGAGAGCCTTGGGATCCAGTCTGACACGCTGGAAGGAGGGCAGGGAAGGTCACCTGAGTAGTGCCAATGGCCTCAGGGGCAAAGCATTTCCCCTGGGCCAGCCTGCTCCAGGTAAGGCATGTCTGACACAGGAAAAGGGTAGTAGAAAGGAATGTGGCTCACCCGAGGAACATTTTCCCAACTGTAAGTAAAGCCGCTGAGCCAGGACAGGGATGATGCGAGTATAGTGGGGAATGTGGACATGAGTTTGAAGAAGCGGGTGGGGGACAGTTCAGAAGTCTGGAATGCCCGGTTAAGGAGTTTCACTTTGGCAGACAATAGGGAGCCATTGAATGTTTTTGAGCATAAGCATGACTTCATGAAAGCAGTATTTTGGGAGAGTCAGAACAATTTCAGTCCAACTAGAGAGGATTTAATTTCAGATCAACTCATGATTCCAGAACCTGAGTTCTTACCCTCTCGGCTATGACTAGAGCAGGGCTTGAAGGGGGTGTAGAGTTTGGGAAGGAAGCAAGAAGCGAGGAAGACAGAGGCCTAGGAGATGAAGCCGCCAGCCTGAGCAAGCCTGGCAGATAGACATGGCCAGACTTGGTAGGGGTGAGCCGGCTTGGCCAGAGGGAGGAGGGTCTATGCTGAGGTCTACTGATGGTAGTGAAAACAGTGACGGTGCGGGGGTGGGGAGCACTGCGGTCCACTTCTTCAGCCCCCACTATCCTGGAAGCTTCAGGGTGGGCCCGAGGCAGCCTCCAGCTTCAGCGACCACCCCTGTTCCTCTTGCCAGGTTCTTTGTGAACTTCCCCTCGGCCAAGCAGTACTTCAGCCAGTTCAAGCACATGGAGGATCCCCTGGAGATGGAGCGGAGCCCCCAGCTGCGGAAGCACGCCTGCCGAGTCATGGGGGCCCTCAACACTGTCGTGGAGAACCTGCATGACCCCGACAAGGTGTCCTCTGTGCTCGCCCTTGTGGGGAAAGCCCACGCCCTCAAGCACAAGGTGGAACCGGTGTACTTCAAGGTATGCGCCCCCATCTGCTGCAGAGCCCCCACCGCCCACGCGTCATGGCCATCTGCAGCTCGCAGGCTCTGCGACGGCTCTCTGGAGCAACAGAGGTGATCCCCGGAGTGGCTGCGAGAGGGAGGGGCAGTGCCCGGCAGCAGGATGGAGGGGCTGGGTCCAGGGCAACCCTTGTCCTGAGAGCACGGGGTTCCCAAAGCTGCCAGACTGTTGCGTTAGGAATGATCCTCTCGGCCACACGTGGGGCGGAGGGGCCTGGGGGTTGCAGGACGCAGGGCGCCCGGGCGTTCACTCCCCCTTCCTCCCTTTGCCCCCAGATCCTCTCTGGGGTCATTCTGGAGGTGGTCGCCGAGGAATTTGCCAGTGACTTCCCACCTGAGACGCAGAGAGCCTGGGCCAAGCTGCGTGGCCTCATCTACAGCCACGTGACCGCTGCCTACAAGGAAGTGGGCTGGGTGCAGCAGGTCCCCAACGCCACCACGTGAGGAGGCGGGCGAGGGTGGGCTGGGCAGCCTCCCCGCCATGTCCTCTGCTGTCCCCGAGGTCTCCCATATCTCCTGAGGCCCTGGGGCTGATCACCTGGGCAGGCACACTTGAGGCAGGCCAACCCTGGGGTCTGACATGTAAGAACAGGCATAATAGGAAAGGCCTTCAAGATGGCTCCCCTGTGACTTCAGGCTGCTCAGAGCCATGAGCCCTGAGCAAAAATCCTCCCAAAGAGCCTTCCCCTTCCCTAGAGCCAGGGAGAGCTCAGAGCACCCAAAGCCACAGCTGCCCAGGCAGAGAGGCGCCAGAGGCTCCTGGCGGTAAGGTCCGATCATCAGGCTCGGAGGCAGCCCAGGTCAGCCCAGCCACTTCCTCCCTGGGTGCCAATCACAAGGGGCTGTTTTTTCATCTCATGCCGACCAGTGCTGCTAAATGCCCTCTGCCTCAATAGGGCTAGAGCCCGGAGGATCACGAGGACACATACACACACACACACACCCCAGCCCACGAGGAAGCTACATGGGTGTCGCTCACACGCACACGAGCAGGGGCATGTTTACTTCCAGGCTGACCTGGAGGCTGGGCTTCCAGTTCTGGGCCCAGGAGGTGGCTCAAGGAGGGTGGCCGCCCTCTGTGACTCCTGCTGACTCGGAGCGTGAGGGGAGGGCTAGCCCCCAGATGTGGCGGTTGGGAACACTCGGCCTCCCTGGGCCCCCAAGGGGAGGCTGACTCTGGGAGCTGAATGGAGAGGCGGAGGCAGGGCTGGAGTAGGAAGGAGGAGAGGAGCGGAGGCGGGAATGGGAAGCAGAGGTCAGCCAGCAGCCCGGGACACGCGTGGTAGAGAAACATTCCCGTGGTAGAGAAACATTCCCAGCAGTTTCCCATGGAAAAGGCGGCGTCTCCCGCCGGGCTCTGCACGGGCCCCCAAGACTGCCGGCCCTTCTGTTCACAGGCACAGCTCCTGGAGGAGGTCCCCTGAGGGCAGCTGGGGACGCCAGGCCTCCTGCCCTTCCTGCTGCTGACCACACTGGCCCCGGGCTGGCTCCTGCTCCCCTCCCCCCTCTCCCGTCAGCACCACCCCAAGAGAGTGGAGTCCTCGGGAACTGCTGGCTGGAGCCAAGCCAACTCCAGATGTGCACAGCTGGGCCCTGGCCTGCCTGAGACCTGGGAGTCAATGGGAAACAAGCAGATGTTGGCCCACCAGAGGAGGGCACTGGCAGGGCGTGGAGAGCAGTGGTTGCCCCCTCACCCCCCACCAGCTGTCACCCAGAGGGTCCAGGGAAAAGACAGGGGAAGAGGAGGGGAGGGGGCTTGCCTGCCCTCCCACCCCTCTCCCCACGCAGGCTCTGCTGCCAAAGATGAGTTTGTTTACAGCCAGGACACAAGACTTCCTGCTTCCAGAGAAAAGGGCTTTTTTACAAGGGCCAAGAGAGACTGGAAAGAGAGCTGGCTGGGCGCGAGCCCCAGTGAATCAGAAACACATGGCCCAAGTTCCCCAGCACGCTGCCCGTCCTGCCCTCCCCACCCTGCCCTAGGGACTAAGATCTCTCCAAACCCCAAACATTTTGAAACGGCCGAAGTCTCCTCCTCCGCCCACTTCTGCTCCTTGTGGACTGAATGGAGATGGGCTACCGTGGAAACTGGCACCCCATGGGGGTTACTCCCAGCTGTCAAGTGGTGGGGTGGTCCCCTCATCCCTTTACACCCTCTAGCCCACCCCTAGTGTCCCTGGCCTGAGCCTGCAGAGCCTCCCTGCTGCCAGGGTCCCCATGGGCTCGAGGGTAGGATGGAGTTACAGAGTAGAGTCCTAGAAGGCCCTCGCCCAACTTCTCTTATCAGGGAAGCAGGGGTGGGCCAGGCGCCACTGTTTATTGAGCCGTCTCTGCTCCAGGGTGTGCGCCTTTGCGTGGGTGGGGGGTGGGGGGGGGGCGCAATGACTGCAGGGGGCGCTGTGTGTACCGAGAATACGAGAATACAGATGGGTGGCCCGAGGAGGGACGAGACAGGCCGGACAGAATGCGCCACGTTTCAGAATTAATGGAAAAAGAGCTCACATTGGTATCGTGCTTTGCAGTTTGTGAAACACTTTTTTACCCAGTTTATGTCACAAGACAGACATTATTCACATTTTAGAGAAAAAGATCCGGAGCTCCCATGGGCCAGTAGACTTGCCTGAGATCACACAGCACGTTCGTAGCAGGACGGAGACTAGAACTTGGGTCTCACGGTTGCTTTCAACTGCACTGTGCCGGATCTCTTGGCAGGAAGTGAGCCTCGCCAGCCCCAGGTCCTCCCCCTTTCCCCCGAGGGTCCTTCCCTGCCTCTGGTAACGTTTGTCCTTCCCTTCCTATCTCGTCCACAGCCCACCGGCCACACTGCCCTCTTCGGGGCCGTAGGACCCCTAACTCCACCCCCCTCCCTGGCAGCACCTCGAGCAGAAGGCCGAGTTCTGAAGACCCTCCTTGACGCTCCATTTCTGGGTGCCAAGGAAGCTGGAGGAATCCCTGACTCAACTTCCCCGAAGGAGGCCTCTGTGGCGGCCAGGGTCCCCCCCTGGAGCTGCTGGGAGGCGGCGCTGGCTGCCTGGATGCTGACCCCAGCGCGGCGGGCAGAGCGGGGCCCACTCTTCTTAGCTTTTCTACTCACTGTTAGAGAGAGACCTAGCTGAGCGGCTGGCAGGAAGCGGGACAGGTCTAGGAGTCCCTTAGGGAATAAACCAGCCCCGTTTCTATCAGCCCGGCCAGCATGCAGGTCTCCACATCACCATCTAGAGTATCACGCACACATCTACCATATATACAGATATATTCTATATACGAGCTATATATAAATATATATATACATATATATATACACACATACATATCTAGAATGTGTATCCGCGGCGCCCAGAAGCCTCGGTTTGGCCCACCTGTGAGTGGGGCAGGGAGGGGTTCCGGTTGTGCAGAGAACAGAGTGTTCTGGCAAAGAGGAAATCCCACAGCAGCGCAGAGGACCTGGGCCTGGAGGGGCAGGGCTGGGGCAACCCGGCTTGGCGGCAAAGCCCAGCCCCTTCTCAGACCAGCTCCCCACATTCCTGAATTCCACTTCCAGGCAGAAAGGAGTGGGCTCCCCCTACTCCCTCAGAGGAACTGACTCACCGGCTGTCCTAGAATGGGCAGGGGCAGAGCGAAGTTCTGGGTGGGATGACCGCACTGGGGGAGGGGCCTCAGTCCAGAAACCTCGACCGCTAGCTCCACCTGCCTTGGCCACCAGGGCAGCCCCGGGGGATCCGGGCTGCTGGGCAGCAGGTCGGCGGGACCACATGCCTGGGTCTCACCCTCAGCTCCGAGGGCCGAGGGCTTTCCCCACCCCACCCTCCTCCTGGCCGGCAGTCGGCCCTGTCTATTCATCTGCGTCAGGCTTGCCAGGGGGGCCCCCCGTGTGTGCCCCTTGGTCACGTGTGTCGTCTTCAAGGATGTTTTGCTGCTGTGGCTCCTGCTGTGTCCCCTCCTGGCCCATCCTCATCCTCATCTTCATCCTCATCCTCATCTGTGCAACCGCCCGTCCTCCTTTTCTAGTTTCTGATGTTTGTAACCAGACCCAGCTGTGTCATTAAACAGACCCGTTCTTGCTGTACCTGTGCACACTCGTGCAGTCTCTTCCTGCCACCTTCCCTCACCTCTGTCCCCCATCCCCGGTTCTGGACGCAGGCCTTTTTCCTGAAAGTCCTCCCCTGACCTCCCACACCAAGGGCGCCCCATCCACTGTCCCACACCAAGGGCGCCCCATCCCCTCTCCCACACCAAGGGCGCCCCATCCCCTGTCCCACTACCAAGGGCGCCCCATCCCCTGTCCCACTACCAAGGGCACCCCATCCCCTCTCCCACACCAAGGGCGCCCCATCCCCTGTCCCACTACCAAGGGCACCCCATCCCCTGTCCCACTACCAAGGGCACCCCATCCCCTCTCCCACACCAAGGGCGCCCCATCCCCTGTCCCACAACAAGGGCGCCCCATCCCCTGTCCCACTACCAAGGGCACCCCATCCCCTCTCCCACACCAAGGGCGCCCCATCCCCTCTCCCACACCAAGGGCGCCCCATCCCCTGTCCCACACCAAGGGCGCCCCATCCCCTGTCCCACACCAAGGGCGGCCCATCCCCTCTCCCACACCAAGGGCGCCCCATCCCCTGTCCCACACCAAGGGCGCCCCATCCCCTCTCCCACACCAAGGGCGCCCCATCCCCTGTCCCACACCAAGGGTGCCCCATCCCCTGTCCCACACCAAGGGCGCCCCATCCCCTGTGTCTCACCTTTGGCTCCCCCTGGGCTTCTCTCTAAATTGGGGATTAAGATTGCTGTGGGTTCCTCACCTGGTTCATCAGGAACGCAGGGCTGGAAACTGGAACTGGGGTTTTGTGGGGGTTGGGGGAGGTCAGCCTTGTTAAAAGGTCAGGAGGCAAGGCCGGGCACGGTGCCTCACACCTGTAATCCCAGCACTTTGGGAGGCCGAGGTGGGCAGATCACTTGAGGTCAGGAGATCAAGACCATCCTGGCCAACATGGTGAAACCGCATCGCTACTAAAAATACAAAAATTAGCCAGGCGTGGTGGCGCGTGCCTGTAGTCCCGCTACTCAAGAGGCTGAGGCAGGAGAATCGCTTGAACCCAGGAGGAGGAGGTTGCAGTGAGCTGAGATCGGGCCACTGCACTCCAGCCTGGGCAACAGAGCAACACTCAGTCTCAAAAAAAAAAAAAAAAAACAAGGCCGGGTGTGGTGGCTGACACCTGTAATCCCAGCACTTTGGGAGGCTGAGGCGGGCAGATCACGAAGTCAGGAGATCGAGACCATCCTGGCTAACACGGTGAAACCCCGTCTCTACTAAAAATACAAAAAATTAGCCGGGCGTGGTGGCGGGCACCTGTAGTCCCAGCTACTCGGGAGGCTGAGGCAGGAGAATGGCGTGAACCCGGGAGGCGGAGCTTGCAGTGAGCCGAGATCTGGCCACTGCACTCCAGCCTGGGGGACAGAGCGAGACTCCGTCTTAAAAAAAAAAAAAAAGTCAGGAGGTTTTTAAGATTTGGTTCTGGAAATCGCCTCCCAGCAAGGGTACAATAGAGATGAAGGAATCAGAGGCGAGATATCCAGACAGAAGGCAGAAGGGCCCTGTTTGTCCCAGTGCTTTAGTGATAGATCCAAGGATTGAACCTTGAACCTTGACCTTCTTTTATTTATTTATTTATTTATTTTTGAGACGGAGTTTTGCTGTTGTTGCTCAGGCTGGAGTGCAATGGCACAATCTCAGCTCACCGCAACCTCTGCCTCCTGGGTTCAAGCGATTCTCTTGCCTCAGCCTCCCAAGTAGCTGGGATTACAAGCATGTGCCACCACGCCCGGCTAATTTTTGTATTTTTTAGCAGAGACGGGGTTTCAGCATGTTGGCCACGATGGTCTTGATCTCCTGACTTCAGGTGATCCGCCCACCTCGGCCTCCCAAAGTGCTGGGATTATAGGCGTGAGCCACCGTGCCTGGCCTGAACCTTGACCTTCTACACCTGAACACCGGAGGCTGCGCACAGGCAAAGCTGAGGGCCCGGCCCTGCTGCTCAAGTTACATGCGGTGGATCAGCCCTTGGGTGTTTGAGAAAGGAAGACTGCTTTCATCAGCTTTAAACCCCCAACACCTTCCCTGAGCTCTCAGCTCCCAGACCCCTTCCTCAGCCCTCTATCCTTCACCCCATAGTCTGCTGGGTCAGGCCTGCCCAGCCCCCACCCGACGATGGAGGCGGCAGCAGCAGCAGCTCCCTGAGAAGGGACCAGGAGGTCACCAGCCCCGGGTGGGCTGCAGGAGAAGCAGGAAACAGCCTCTGCCCCTTGGGAGTCCTGCGGGCTGCCTGGGAAGACTCAGCTGACACGCAGGAAGAGTCTTGTCTCCCAGACCATGAACTCCTTGAGTGCAGCCTCCGCCTTTGTCTCCTGGGCCTGGCACAGGGGAGGAACTAAGTAGAAATCCAAAGAATCAATAAATAAACACTCTTAGAAAGCAAGACAAATACCCGGCACGGGCCAAGAGTGAGCTGTGTGAACTAAAACAGTGCAGGGCAGAGAGGACAGTGCGGGCCCCGCCTTTCCAGGGAGGCAATGCCAAAAGACAGCGTGCTGGCTCTGGGCCCACACTCCATCTCTCACTGCTATGTGACCTTGGGCAAGTCACGCAGCCTTTCTGAGCCACAGTCACCTCTAACTTATGCGGTCTCTTCCTGCCTCATGTTCACTGCAGGAGTGAACATGAAGCCTGCCTTGCAAGGCAGGTACGAGGAGGAGGAGGATGGACGCCACAGTGCAGGGGACAGTGACTGTCAGGCCATCAGGGCCACGTCGGAAGGCAAAGCAAAAGAAATAGAAGGAACCAGCTGGGCGCGGTGGCTCATGCCTGTAATACCAGCACTTTGGGAAGCCGAGGCAGGTGGATCACTTGAGGTCAGGAGTTCCAGACCAGCCTTGCCAACATGGTGAAACCGTGTCTCTACTGAAACCCTGTCTCTACTAAAAATACAAAAATTAGCCAGGTGTGATGGCGGGCGCCTGTAATCCCAGCTACTCAGGAGGCTGAGGGAGGAGAATCACTTGAACTCAGGAGGCGGAGGTTGCAGCGAGCCGAGATCACGCCATTGCACTCCAGCCTGGGCGACAGAATGAGACTCCGTCTCAAAAAAAAAAAAAAAAAAAAAGAAAAGAAAGAAAAGAAAAAGGAAAAGAAAAGAGGCTGGGCATAGTGGCTCACGCCTGTAATCTCAGCACTTTGGGAGGCTGAGGCAGGAGGATCACGAAGTCACGAGTTCGAGACCAGCCTGGCCAACATGGCGAAACCCCGTCTCTACTAAAAATACAAAAATTAGCCGGGCGTGGTGGCAGGCGCCTGTAATCCCAGCTACTTGGGAGGCTGAGGCAGGAGAATCACTTGAACTCAGGAGGCGGAGGTTGCAGTGAGCCGAGATTGTGCCATTGCACTCCAGCCTGGGCAACAAGAGCAAGACTCTGTCTCAAAAACAAAAAAAAGAAAGAAAGAAAGAAAAGAAAAGAAATAGAAGGAACCCAGGAGAGCTTCTAAGTCCTGGGCCCAGGGCCCCTGGTGGGCCCAGGCAAGCCAGAGCTGGAACCGGAGCCAATGGGGATCACAGAGCCATGGGCCGTAGGGACTATCAGAGGAAAAGGGGCATCTGAGGTCGGGGGTGAGGGAGACGATCAGGGAAGAAAGGCCCCCCTCCTCATTTCATACCACTTGGCTTGAGAATGGTGAAGGGGCTTCTGAACTCATCAAAACTGGAATCCTTCGAGAATGTGGCCCTTCTGGAAGGTTCTTCCTGCTCTCCATTCCCAATAGAGAGGACACTGGCAATTAGCGAATCAGCCAGACCCGGGCTGGGGATGCTACTTGGACCTGGGACAAACAGGATACCCCAGAGGCCTTGCTGGGGGAAGGTGTGGTATTCTGGGTGGGCTATGCCTGGGTGCAGGGGACTAGTGGGTAAGGAGCAACGTCTCGGCTTTGGTTTTGTTCTCTACACCCAGAGTTAGCTATCTCGCCCAGGAGCTGAGCAAGTGGGTCAGCTCCCCGGGCGAGCTGGGGCTGTGAGCGACGCGGGTGTCACGAACCCAGGTGCGCGATGGCTTCTTCCCTGGCAAAACGGTCCTGGCGGCGCAGCCCCACAGCGTCCCCTGCTGGCCGCGGAGGGATCCTCACCCGGGAGCCGCCTCCTGCGCCGCGGATCCCATTACCCTCCTGGGGTGACCACTTGCTCCCTCACTTTCGGGAGCTGCAGCCGCGCTGCAGCCTGAGACCGAGGAAGCTGGAGGAATCCCTTCCCAGTTTATTTGCAGGAGAAGGAAGTGGGGGATTCTCTGTGCAGCCTTGTACACACTCAGGAAAATGTCACCCCCATAGTTGGAACCAAGTGGAAAAAGTTAATAAATGGTCAATTTTTTTTTAAAGAACGCCTGTAATCCCAGCACTTTGGGAGGCCGAGGTGGGAGAATTGCCTGAGCACAGGAGGTCCAGGCTACAGTGAGCTGTGATCGTGCTACTGCACTCTAGCCTGGGCAATAGAACAAGACCCCATCTCAAAACATAAAATAAAGTAAAATGATTTTATCTGGGCCGGGCGCAGTGGCTCGCCCCTGTAATCCCAGCACTTTGGGAGGCCTAGGCAGGAAAATCATGAGGTCAGGAGATCAAGACCATCCTGGCTAACACGGCGAAACCCTGTCTCGACTAAAAATACAAAAATTTGCCAGGCGTGGTGGCACAAGCCTGTAGTCCCAGCTACTGGGGAGGCTGAGGCAGGAGAATCGCTTGAACCCGGGAGGGGGAGGTTGCAGTGAGCTGAGATCATGACACTGCACTCCAGCCTGGGCGACGGAGCGAGACTCCATCTCAAAAACAAAAAAGTAAAATCAATTTCTCTTCATCATTGATATTTTTGTTTTAACATTGATTTTTTTAAGTATTGTATTTCAATATTATTTCTCTTGATTACTAGGCCCCTTAAATTTTGGGCCCCAGGCCAGCACCTCACTCGCTGCACCCTATTCCAGGTTCTGTCTTATTGTAGTGTCTTACTGTAGCACGTTCATGGGACCTCAGCCAAAGAACACTCATTTTTAAATCTTATTTATTTATTTATTTGAGACACTGTCTGGCTCTGTTGCCCAGGCTGGAGTGCAGTGTCGCGATCACAGCTCACTGCAACCTCAAACTCCTGGGTTCAACCGATCCTCCCTCCTCAGCCTCCCAAAGTGCTGATATTATAGACATGAGCCACCGTGCCCAGCACACACTCCTCTTGACCTCCAGAGAGTCGCCCCCACCCACCCACAGGGCAGCAGGTTTCATAGTTGCTCATTGGATGCCTTTGGTAAAAGAATTGATTGCAGCAGAGTATGAGTTTGGACTTGGCCCTTAGGGCTGAAGACACTGGGGCAGGAGCTTTTGGTGGCAAGGAGCAAAGGCCTATTTGGGCTCCCAGAGTGAGGGTGGGGAGGCTGGGCACGGCAGCTCACGCCTGTAATTCCAACACTTTGGGAGGCCGAGGCGGGAGGATCACCTGAGGTCAGCAGTTTGATACCAGCCTGACCAACATTGTGAAACCCGAGGTCAGGAGTTCGAGACCAGCCTGGCCAATATGGTGAAACCCGTCTCTACTAAAAATACAAAAAAATTAGCCAGGCGTGGTGGTGAGCGCCTGTAATTCCAGCTACTCAGGAGGCTGAGGCACGAGAATCACTTGAACCCAGGAGACAGAGGTTGCAGTGAGCCGAGATGGCACCAGGGCACTCCAACTTGGGCGACAGAGTGAGACTGTCTCAAAAAACAAACAAACAAAAAAACAAAAAACAAAGTGAGTGTGGGGAGTGCACAGTAAAGACATACTTGGAAATAAGGGAGTCCAGTCTCTGGGGATCAGGGAAAGCCACATGACCCAGCCTTGCTAGAAGGAGAGACCGGCGCAGCTGCCCAGGAGCCTGGGAACTGAACAGCAGACTAGGGGAAGGCAGCTCCCGGCCCAACCATCTCCTGACCCTCTGATAATTATCAGGGCCCCCATTGTCTTTTGCGCACCCCCACTGCAGCCTTAAGTCCCTGGGACACCACTCATGTTGGGCGGGCTTCTCCACTTTCCCTTCCTTCCATCACGGAGTGACCAGCTCTCAATCTCCTCTGTGAAAAAAACGCTGTAGAAACACTGTTGGATCCAGCCTTTCTCAGCGGCTGGGGTGGACAAAGCTCTCATTGGAGGCCACCCTGTAAGCCTGCCTGGGGCCCACCTGGGGTCTGATCAGCCCTGGCCATGTGGTCCAGAAACTGCCCCCTACTACCGCACCAGTACCAAGGTCCCATTTCACTATTTCCTGGGGGAAGAACGGAGACATCATCCCCCGGGTCTCACTCTGTCTCCCAGGCTGGAGCAAAGTGGCGAAATCTCGGCTCACTGTAACCTCCACTTCCTGGGCTCAAGCAATCCTCCCACCTCAGTCTCCCAAGTAGCTGGGACTATAGGCACGTGGCACCATGCCCGGCTCATTTTTGTGTTTTTTTGTAGAGATGGGTTTTTGCTGTGTTGCCCAGGCTGGTCTTGAACTACTGGGCTCAAGCAATCCACTCTCCTCGGCCTCCCAAAGTGCTGGGATTACAGGTGTGAGCCACTGTGCCCGGCAGTTTTAACTTCTTGATCATAGGTCCTCTCTGCCCCCACCCCACAGCAACCAGTTGCAGTCCTACCAGCCTGTCCGCCCGTCTTTATTTGTTCCTTCCACTGCCCTGGTTGCTTCAGGCCTAAGCACGGGGTGGCCTCCCTGCCTTCCCCAGTCCATCCTGCACAGGCCGCCAGCTCTGTGGCCACCACTGCTCCTGTTCCAGGATCTCCAGTGGCTCCAGGTCACCTCCCAAAGACAGTCCCAGCTCCTTAGCCATCGAGGGCCCCACGACCTGGCGCCAACACACTTGCCTGGTCTTACCTGGCATGTTCTTCGTCACAGATTTGGCTTTCTCTAGCTCCCAGTCTCTGCTCACTCGCCCCCAGGGTCTCCACTGCTGACATGGTCTCCCTTCCTCACGGAGCCTTGAGCCGCTCTGCGCCTCTTTCCCAGAACCTTCTTTGACTCCCCTTCTGGACAAGCCCCCTCCTCTGTGGTGTCCACGTCCATGTACGCAACCTCCCTCTTCTCTCATGGAGGGGTTTGAGAGGAGAAACAGGACCTCATTTAGTCTTTTTTTTTTTTTTTTTTTTTTTGGAGACAGAGTCTCACTCTGTTGTCCAGCCTTGAGTGCAGTGGTGCGATCTCGGCTCACTGCAACCTCCGCCCACTGGGTTCAAGCAATTCTTCCACCTCAGCCTCTCACGTAGCTGGAATTACAGGCACATGCCACTGTACCTAGCTAGTTTTTGTAGTTTTAGTAGAAACGGGGTTTTACCATGTTGGCCAGGCTGGTCTCAAACTCCTGACCTCATAGGTCAGGATCCTCCCGCTTCGCCCTCCCAAAGTGCTGGGACTACAGGCATGAGCCACCTCGCCCGGCCAGTCTCTTTTTAAATAATAGTCATGGGGTCTCACTATGTTGCCCAAGCCGGCCTGGAACTCCTGGGCTTAAGCGATCCTCCCACCTCTGCCACTCAAGTAGCTGGGAATACAGACAGGAGCCACCACGCCCCGTTTAATGTGATTTACTGATGGATGGGATGTGAGGGGTGAAAGAGAGGACAGTTGAGGGGGACTCCAGGGCTTCTGGCCTGTTTAACTTGGCAAACAGAGTCTCCACTTTCGAGGGGGAATAGCCAGGGGAGAGGAGGCTTTGGCAGAGGTTCCGCTTTGTCCACACGAAGCATGAGGGTCCAGGAAGCAACTGGAGGCTCCAGCCTGAATCAGGACAGAGACGTCAGGGCTGGGATTTAAATTTGGGATTGGATGAGCTCACTGAGAAAAGAGTGTGGGAAGAAAAGAGGGGCGAGGACAGAGCCCTGGAGCCATCAGCCCTGAGTCCGGAATAAAGGGACCAGGGAGAGGGAGGATCGGGAGAGGGAGGATTAGGAAGGAGGAGGATCAGGGAGATGGGGGGATAGGAAGGATCAGGCAGAGGGGGCACCAGGGAGGGGCAGCTGAGGGAGAAGGGGGACTAGGGAGAGGGCAAGGAGAGGGAGGACCAGGGAGAGAGGGAAGCAGGGGGAGGGGACGCCAGGTGGAGGAAGGATGTGGGGGGGAAGCCAGGGGGATAGGGGATCAGAAGGAGAAGGTCAGTGGGAGGGAGGATGGAGGAGGGGGCATCATGGAGAATAGGGGCCAGGGAGGGGGAGGAAAACCAGGAGGCTGCAAGGACAGCATTTTGGGCCAGTGGGCAGCTGTGTGGGCACTCTGCTTAGGTCCAGAGCAGTGAGGACAGATGGCAGGGTGGTTCCCAGGACCGTGACCTGGCTGATTCAGAGACTGGAGGGGAGAGGTCTGGGTGGGAAGTATGGGTAAACGATGGTGGTCAGGGAGAGATAGGAGGCTGAGGTGCAGGAGGACATGGGGTCAGGAGAGGGAGATGACAGCCCCTCTGTGTGGCCTGATCCCTGACAGAGAGAGAGAGAGAGATGGCAATGCAGGGGGCCAGGAGGCGGGGGCAAGACTGCTGGAGGGAAGTCCTCAAAAAAGAAAAGGAGGGGATATTGACCGGGTGTGATGGCTCACACCTGTAATCCCAGCACTTTGGGAGGCCAAGGTGGGAAGGTCGAGAGGTCAGGAGTTCGAGACCAGCCTGGCCAATATGGTGAAACCTACTCTCTACTAAAAATACAAAAAATTAGCCGGGCGTAGTGGTGGGTGCCTGTAATCCCAGCTACTCAGGAGGCTGAGGCAGGAGAATCACTTGAACCGGGGAGGTGGAGGTTGCAGTGAGCTGAGATGGCACCATTGTTCTCCAGCCTCTGTGACACAGCAAGACTCCATCTCAAAAAAAAAAAAAAAAAAAAGAGGGGATGTCTTCATCCATCTGAGCTTCCCTAACAATGTTCCATAAACCAGGTGCCTGGACTGCTTATAAACAATAGAAGTGTATTTCATATGGTTCTGGAGGCTGGAAGGTCCAAGACCAAGGAGGCTTCTAGTCGGTGTCTGGTGAGGACCCACTTGCTTGTCCACAGAGGGCACCTTCTTACTCTCCTCACCTGGTGGAAGGGCAAGGGTCTCTCTGAGAGGGCCTCTTTTGTAAGGGCACTAATCCCATTCATGAGGACACCCTAATGACCTAACTCCCTTCCAAAGATCCCACCTCCTAACACCATCACCTGGGGGTTAATTGCAACATGTGAATTTCTGGGGGACACAGACTTCAGACTCTAGCAGGGGGATGACCTTAAAGGGCCTGCCTGGGAAGGGGGAGGTGGGCTCTGCCACAGCTGGAAGACATGCAACAAGGGACGAGGGACGATGGTGGCCACCCCAGCTGGTGCTTCTCAATGCTGTGAGACAGCTCCTGACCTGAGAGGCCGGGGCTGTGGGGTACCTGGGGAGGTCTGAGGAGAGAAGGGCACACCAGCAGTCCAAGAGCAGGCAGCACTGGGTTTGCTGTGGACAGTGTTGGACTGGCCAGGGAATGGCATGTGATTACTGAGCCGTGCACCATGAACTGGAAGCAAGAGCAGCCCCTGCCGGGTGACTTTCTCCTTCAGAGCACAGAAAGTTCCTGCAAGACCGGGGTGTCCTGAATTACTGGGCCTCACAAGGTGGGTGAGTGCATAGGTCACGTGGGTGGGATGATACGCTCACCGCCCACAGCGCCATCCAGCTACTATGAGTGCACCAGTCTCCTTGCCCGACTTCAGTGGCCATTCCTCTGGGGGAAAACAGGCCCAATCCCAAACAGGGACCTGAAGGACCCACGCCCATCCCTGCCTCCCCTGAGCCTTTTCTGTAGTAGGGGTAGGAGGGGTGGGGGTGGGGGGGAGATAAGTGAGTCTTTGACTTTGTCTAAGTCCAAAAACAGAAAGTAAATACTGTTCATTGTCCAAAACAATAACAGTAATTTTCTGTTTAAAAAATTTTTCTTTTACAAAAATTAGCTGGGCATGGTAGTGTGCACCGGTAGTCTCAGCTACTCAGGAGGCTGAGGTGGGAGGATCTCCTGAGCCCAAGAGGTCGAGGCTACAGTGAGTCATGATCGTGCCACTCTACTCCAGCCTGGGTGACAGAGCAAGACCCCATCTTAAAAAAAAAAAAAAAATTAAACACTGCTGTCCAGCTTGGGCGACACAGAGAGACCCCATCTTAAAAAAACAAAAAACAAACAAACAAACAAACAAAAACCTTTTTTTTTCCTGAGACAGAGTCTGGCTCTGTAGCCTAGGCTGGAGTACAGTGGCACAATTTAGGCTCACTGCAACCTCCGCCTCCCAGGTTCAAGCGATTCTCCTGCCTCAGCCTCCCGAGTAGCTGGGATTACAGGCACCAGCCACCACGCCCGGCTAATTTTTGTATTTTTAGTAGAGATGGGGTTTCACCATGTTGGCCAGGCTGTTCTCGAACTCCTGACCTTGTGATCTGCCCGACTTAACTTCCCGAAGTGCTGGGATTACAGGCATAAGCCAGCGCGCCTGGCCAAAAAATTCTTTAACAAAGTTTTTTTTTTTTGTTTTTGTTTTTGTTTTAGAGACAGGTTCTCACTCTGTCGCCCAGGCTGGAGTGCAGTGGTGCAATCAGAGCTCACTGCAGCCTTGACCTCCAGGGCTCAGCCATCCTCCCACCTCAGCCTCCTGAGTAGCTGAGACTACAGGTGTACATACACCACGGTACCTGGCCTTATACATAGTTTTTGAAGTAGCATTCCTGGGGATTCTATATGATTACAAAGGCAATATGTATAAGATGACAGCGAGAGTGAAAAAAAGAAAATTTAAAAAAAAAACAACAGACCAGGTGCAGTGGCTCACGCCTGTAATCCCAGCACTTTGGGAGGCCGAGGCGGGCGGATCACCTGAGGTCGGGGGTTCGAGACCAGCCTGGCCAATATGGTGAAACCCTGTCTCTACTAAAAATACAAAAATTAGCTGGGTATGGTGGCAAGTGGCTATAGTCCCAGCTACTCGGGAGGCTGAGGCAGGAGAATCGCTTGAACCCAGGAGGCGGAGGTTGCAGTGAGCCGAGATCGCACCATGCACTCCGGCCTGGGTAACAGAGCGAGACTCCGTCTCAAACAACAACAACAAAAACAAAAACAAAAACAAAGGCAGCCGGGTGCGGTGGCTCAGGCCTGTAATCCCAGCACTTCAGGAGGGCAAGGCGGGCGGATCACAAGGTCAGGAGTTCGAGACCAGCCTGGACAACATGGTGAAACCCCATCTCTACTAAAAATACAAAAATTAGCTGGGCGTGGTGGCAGGCGCCAGTAATCCCAGCTACTCAGGAGACTGAGGTAGGAGAATTACTTAAAAACCCAGGGGCGAAGGTTGCAGTGAGCCGAGATCACACCACTGCACTCCAGCCTGGGTCACAGAGCAAGACTCTGTCTCGAAAAAAAAAAAAAAAACATTGCAGGAAATTTGAGGGGGAAAGAAAAGCACAAAGGGAGGTGTCCAGGAAGTGGTTGGAGAGTCTGGTCTGAAGCAGGACAGAAGTCAGGGCTGTGACAATAAAAGTCCCCTGTGGTCCCTCCACCCGAGAGTCACTGTGAGTGTTTTGCTGTAAATACTGGCAGTGGTTTTCCTGTGCACACGCACATTTTACGCGGCACACGCACATGACATTTTATGTTACGCCAGGATCTTAGCATGCATATGGGTTTTAGTGAAGAAGCCTCCAGCAGTTTCGCAAGTGAGTGGGTTTCGGTTCAGGTCACACAGGGATGATAGTAGCAGTTGACTCAGTGGCAGCGTATGTGGGTCTGACAAGTTCCCAAGGCTTTCTGGCTGGTCCCCAGTTTAGTGTGAAATGAGCCAGGAAAGAAAGCCATCGTCTCGCCCGGCGACTGCAAAGCCTCCTCCCAGTCGTCGGCCTCCGCTCTGCCCTCCCACGTTGTGGTCTCCACTCAGGGCCCAGGAAATGCTTTTATCGTGTGAATCAGATCGCGTGGACTCCTCCCTGGCCCATCAAAACCCTGCCCTAGCTTACTGAAGTCACAGCCAAACAGAAAGCAGAGTCCTGGCCTGGCTCCCCAGCCCGCCTGATTTGGCCCGGGCCATCTTTCCAGGCTCATTTCTCCCCCGGCTCCCCTTCTCGCCTTCTTTTTGTGTGTGTGTGTGTGAGACAGAGTCTCACTCTATAGCCCAGGCTGGTGTGCAGTGGCATGATCTCAGCTCACTGCACTCTGCCTCCCAGGTTCAAGTGATTCTCCTGCCTCAGCCTCCTGAGTAGCTGGGACTACAGGGCGAGCCACCACACCCAGCTAATTTTTGTATTTATAGTAGAAACGGGGTTTCACCATGTTGGTCAGGCTGGTCTTGAACTCCTGACCTCCAGTGATCCACCCACCTCAGCCTCCCAAAATGCTGGGATTACAGGTGTGAGCCACCGCGCCCGGCCATCTCTCTCTCTTTTTTTTTTTTTTTTTTTTTTGAGACAGAGTCTTGCTCTGCCACCCAGGCTGGTGTGCAGTGGTACGATCTTGGCTCATTGCAACCTCCACCTCCCAGGCTCAAGCAATTCTCCTGCCTCAGCTGCCCAAGTAGCTGGGATTACAGGCACCCGCCACCATGCCCAGCTAATTTTTGTATTTTCAGTAGAGACGGGGTTTCACTGTGTTGGCCAGGCTGGTCTTGAACTCCTGACCTCAAGTGATCCACCCACCTTGGGCTCCCAAAGTGCTGGGATTACAGATGTGAGCCACCACTCCCAGCAACAGTAGCTCTTAAAATCAAAATTAGCCGGGTACAGTGGCTCACACGCATAGCCCCAGCTACTTGGGAGGCCGAGGTGGGAGGATCACTTGAACTCAGGAATTTGAGACCAGCCTGGGCAACATAGCAAGACTCTCTCTCAAAAAACAAAACAAACAACAACAAAAAATACCTCCCCCCTCCCCAAATCCATGATGAAGAAAATGCCAAAATTTTAAATACAATGAGGATCCCTTTTCCCGGTCCCTCTATCCTCACTGTCCGGCCCTCCTGCCCACAACCCACACTTGGGAAATATGGCTGAATGAATTAGAAGAGCAGGGGAAGAAACTGAACATTAGTCGGGCAGAGGCAAAGAGCAAGAAGCAAGTGGGGTGGCTCACAGAGACAGCTCGATGAGACCTCCTACCTGGGGGCCAGGCTGGGGTGCTGAGGAGCCCCCTTCCCCTGCCTGGCTAGCAGGTCCTGGAAGCAGTGAAGGAAGAGACCAGCTGGGAGCCCCATGACAGGGCAGGGACCTGGGGGTTCTGCCTCCAGGAGAGCCAGGAGTGCAGGCCAGAAAAGCCCGTTAGGGAAAGGGAATCACCCATGATGTTGGTTTCCCTGGCTGCTGTAACAAATGACCACGAACTCGGTGGCTTAAAACAGCAGAAATCGGCCGGGCGCAGTGGCTCACGACTGTAATCCCAGACTTTGGGTGGCTGAGGCAGGTGGATCACCTGATGTCAGGCGTTTGAGACCAGCCTGCCCAACATGGCAAAACCCCATCTCTACTAAAAATACAAAAATTAGCTGTGTGTGGTGATGGGTGCCTGTAATCTCAGCTACTTGGGAGGCTGAGGCAGGAGAATTGCTTGAACCCGAGAGGCAGAGGTTGCAGTGAGCTGAGATTATCCCACTGCACTGCAGCCTGGGCGACAGAGCAAGACTCCATCTCAAAAAAAAAAAAAAAAGCAAAAAACAAAAAACAGCAGAGATCGATTCTCTTAGGGTGCTGGAGGCCACAGGTCTCAAGTCAAGGTGGGGGCCGGGGCCACACTCCCTCTGAAGCCTCTGGGAAGGATCCTTCCTCACCTCTGTCAGCCTTTGGTGGCCCCAGGAGTTCTTGGGCCAGGCCAGCGTCACTCCAGCCTCTGCCTCTGCGGTCACGTGGCCTTCTCTCTGTGTTGCTCTTGTCTCAAGTCTCTCTCTGTGTTTCTCTTCTAAGGACACGTGTCACTGGATTTAGGGCTCACCCTAAATCTGGGATGATCTCATCTTGAGATCCTCAGCTTAGTGACATCTGCAACAACTCTTTTCCAAAAACTTCACATGCACAGGTTCCTGGGCCTCATATCTCTGGGGGCCACCATTTAGCCCACTACCCTAGTGGACCAGGAGGAAGGAGCCAGGGAAGAGGCAGGGATCTGCCGCCCAGAGTCCCTTCCTCCTCCTCCTCTTGAGCCCTTTGGGAGCTGGGCCCTTCTGATCTGGGTGCCAGAGCAGACAGGCAGGGCCTGCCAGAGGAAGCATCCATCCCCAAGGACGAAGAGCATAGTAAGCAAACATGTGAACAGCGGGGTGAGTTCAGATGAGCAAGGACGGGGTTCCTGAGGTAGGGAGGGTCTCTTCTAGACGGGCCTCATCTGTTCCCCTCCATCACCCTCAGAGATGCACCTCATGACCCCATCTTACAGCCAAAGAGCTGGGCTCATCAACAAGCCGCCCACGGCCACGGGGCAAGGCAGGAGCCACAGGCTGACCCCAAAGTCCCAGCCTCTCCCACAGTCCCCACCATTAGAGAGAAGCAGAGAGGACACAGCAGGACAGGAAGACATCGCCCTGGCCCGGGCTCCCCACGGCCTCCCCGGTGGTCTCCAAGGTCACCTCCTACAGTCCAGGCTCCATCCAGCAAAGCTCTCTTCAGGAAAATTGACCTCGTCGGCCCCTGCTCAAACCTTCCGATGGCCCCACACCAGCAGCAGCTAACGGGGAAGGATGATGAGGGTGGCGAGGGCAGCTGGGATCTGAGGCGGGAAGAGCACAGGGGTGTGATCTAGGGGGACCAGTGACCAGAGACTTTTGCTCCCAGCTTCTTACCCTGGAGTGACATCTGGGCCAAGGGAGAAAGGGAGGGCCCAGGCGTCGGTGGCAGCTCGGGAGGTGAGATGGGACCCAGCCTCTGCCTCTCCTACCCTCTGGGGGCCTTGGGAGAGAAGAGCTCCTTGGAAGAGCCTCTTCCATTTCTCCTTGGTGACCGTGGAGCCAGCAAAGCAGTGTCTGAGGCTGCTTGGTTTTAGATTGGTCCCAAGAGACCCAGACGGGCTCCAATCTCCCTGGACTTGCTGTGCAACCACGAGCCAGCCTCTCACCCTCTCTGTGAAAGCTTGGTTACCTGCTGGCTTTGGGTTACCTGCTGTTCTTTCTGCTGAACCCAGTGGCCCCATGCACGACTCCCTAGGAGTTAGGATGAGGGTCCCAGGGAACAGAAAGCCCAGGGGGGCCAGCAGCCCCCACCCAGGCTGTTGCCTAGGCTGGTCTTGAACTCCGGGGTTCAAGTAATCCTCCTGCCTCAGCTTTCCGAGTAGCTGGGATGACAGTGTCATTTATTTTAAAATACAAATTTAAATTGTCAGCATGAATTTTACTATCCATCTTTATATTGTGCAATGCCAGTTTTTGCACACAAATAGAAGAGCATTGAATTCATAATGCAGAATCAGCAGAATTACACAATTGGTATTTCATAGTTCCTACATGCGTCTGTGGTGTGTGTTGTTCTTACCACAGCAGTGGAAACACTGCACAAAACTAACTCACCTGTTTTTATTTCACTTTTGTTTTTGTTTTTGTTTTTGAGACGGAGTCTCACTCTATCGCCTAGGCTGGAGTGCAGTGACACAATCTCGGCTCACCGTAACCTCCACCTCCCGAGTTCAAGCGATTCTCCTGCCTGAGCCTCCCGAGTAGCTGGGGCCACAGGTGCCCACCACCACACCTGGCTAGTTTTTGTATTTTTAGTGGAGACAGGGTATGGCCATGTTGGCCAGGCTGGTCTCCAACTCCTGACCTCAGATGATCTGCCCACCTTGGCCTCCCAAAGTGCTGGGATTACAGGCATGAGCCACCGCACCCCACCTTTATTTCACTTCTTGATTCTCCCAACACTCCGGGGAAGCCAGTGGCTTCCTTAACTCACTTACTTTGTATTCACATTGAATCTTGCTAGACTCCCACCCAACATGGATCCGCCAGACCACTGTGCCATGGACATGGAGAACGTTGTATGCGAGTCCAGTGGATGTCAGCTGTGGATAGGGTGCATGCTCCACTGTCCAGCTGGACTTCACTATAAGACACAAGTTCAAAGAAAAAATGATTACGCCTTCCAATGTGGGGACAGCAGAGCGTTAAACCAAGCACAGAGGCTTCTGAGCCCAGAGTCCTGTGCTACTGCCCAGCTGACACTCCTGTGTAGCGTCCCTGTCTCTGGACAACTGCCAGTGGGGAAAGAAAGCCTCAATCCAACAGCCAGACGGACATTGAATCCTGTCACCGAGGGAGTGAGCTTCAAAGTGGATTGTCCCCCAGTCAAGTCTCGAGATGACTGTAGCTTCTCGTTGACACCCTATGAGAGACCCTGAGCCAAAGGAACCAGCTAAGCCACGCCCAGATTCCTGGACCCACAGGAACTGAGTGATAATAAACGTGTGCTGTTTCAAGCAGCTAAGTTTTGGGATAAATTGTTTTGCAGCCAGAAATACCTAATACAGCTGGCATTCTTCTGTAAAGCAAAGCATTCCTTCCTCAAACCGGACAACTATTTGGCTGCTTTGAAATACAGTTTCTACTGGAAAGGCAGGATAGATGCTTGATTTTTTTGCCTCTCTGGGCCTGATACACACACACACACACACACACACACACACACACACACACATATATATATATACACACACACATATATACACATATATATATATACACATATATATATACACACATATATATACACACATATATATACACATATATATATATATATTTTTAAAGAGGTAGGATCTTGCTCTCTGGCTTGGGCTAGAATGCAGTGGCACAATCATGGCTCGCTGCAGCCTCAAACTCCTGGGCTCAAGCGATCCTCCTGCCTCAGCCTCCTGAGTAGCTTAGGACAACGGGTGCATGCCGCCACCTTCGGCTAATTTATTTTTCTTTCTTTCTTTCTTTCTTTTTTAGAAACTGAGTCTTGCTATGTTGCCCAGGCTGGTCTCAAACTCCTGAGCACAAGTGATCCTCCCACCTCAGCCTCCCTAAGTGCTGAGATTACCTGCCACTGGGCCTGGCCAAGAGTTTGGTTGAATAAATGCTTTGGTGGGGTCCCAAGAGTTTCTCTGGATTTCCCCAGTTTGAGTGTCTAATGAACAAATGACTTTTTTTTTTTTTTTTTTTTTAGACGGAGTCTCCCTCTGTCACCCAGGCTGGAGTGCAGTGGCGCAATCTTGGCTCACTGCAAGCTCCGCCTCCTGGGTTCACGCCATTCTCCTGCCTCAGGCTCCTGAGTAGCTGGGACTACAGGCACCCGCCACCACGCCCAGCTAATTTTTTTGTATTTTTAGTAGAGGCGGGGTTTCACCATGTTAGCCAGGAGGGTCTTGATCTCCTGACCTCGTGATCCACCCGCCTCGGAATCCCAAAGTGCTGGGATTACAGGCGTGAGTCACAGCACCCGGCCAATCGTTTTTCTTTCTGATGTTCAAATTGTTACAACTTGGCCAGTAGGAGTCCCTTCCAGCTGGCTCCTGTGTCCTTTTGACATGGCCCCATTAATCTTTTAAAGCTTCCTTGCTTTCTGCTGCGAACAACATGTGCCAGGCTCCTCATGCTCTTGCCCGGCCCTGGCCCTGGCCCTGGCCCTGGAGCCAGCCACTTCCCCAGGGTTCCTTGAGTGGCACCTGCCATTCAGACATGGAGATCTGGTTGCTAGGGATCATCACAGATTTGATTTACATCTCCCAAATTACTAGTGAGGTTGGATATCTTCTATATTCATTGACCATTTTTACTTATTCTTCTGTGAATTGTTCTTATCCTTTCTACCAAATTTCTATTAGATTTTTTTGTAATTTTTTTTTTTTTTGAGACGGAGTTTCGCTCTTATTGCCCAGGCTAAATGCAATGGCATGATCTCGGCTCACTGCAACCTCTGCCTCCTGGGTTCAAGCAATTCTCCTGCCTCAGCCTCCTGAGTAGCTGGGATTACAGGCACCCACCACCACACTCGGCTATTTTTTTTTTGTATTTTTAGTAGAACAGGATTTCACCATGTTGGCTAGGCTGGTCTTGAACTCCTGACCTCAGGTGATCCACCTGTCTCGGCCTCCCAAAGTGCTGGGATTATAGGCGTGAGCCACCACACCCGGCCTTATTTTGTAATTTTTTTAATTTTATTTTATTTTTTGAGACACGGTCTTGCTTAGTAGCCCAGGCTGGAATGCAGTGGCTCGATCTCAGCTCAATGCCACCTCCCCCTTCCTAATCCTCCCTCTCCCAATCCTCCCTCTCCCTGGTCCCTTTATTCTGGACTCAGGGCTGATGGCTCCAGGGCTCTGTCCTTGCCCCTCTTTTCTTCCCACACTCTTTTCTCAGTGAGCTCATCCAATCCCAAATTTAAATCCCAGCCCTGACATCTCTATCCTGATTCAGGCTGGAGCCTCCAGCTGCTTCCTGGACCCCTCACGCTTCGTGTGGACGAAGCGGAACCCCTGCCAAAGCCTCCTCTTCCCTGGCTATTTCCCCTCGAAAGTGGAGGCTCTGTTTGCCAATTTAAATAGGCAAGAAGCCCTGGAGTCCTCCTCAACTGTCCTCTCTTTCACCCCTCACATCCCATCCATCAGTAAATCACGTTAAACAGGGCGCGATGGCTCGAGCTTGTATTCCCAGCTACTAGAGAGGTGGAGGCAGGAGGATTGTTTAAGCCCAGGAGTTTGAGGCCAGCCTGGGCAACATAGTGAGACCCCATCACTATTACTTTTTTTAAAAGAGACTAGGGCTGGGCACGGTGGCTCACGCCTGTAATCCCAGCACTTTAGGAGGCTGAGGAAGGCGGATCACGAGGTCAGGAGATAGAGACCATCCTGGCTAACACAATGAAATCCCGTCTCTACTAAAAATACAAAAAATTAGCCGGGCGTGGTGGTGGGTACCTGTAGCCCCAGATACTCAGGAAGCTGAGGCAGGAGAATGGTGTGAACTGGGGAGGCAGAGCTTGCAGTGAACCGAGATCGTGCCATTGCACTCCAGCCTGGGCGACAGAGCAAGACTCTGTCTCAAAAAAAAAAAAAAAAAAAAAAAGACTAAATGAGGTCCTGTTTCTCCTCTCAAATCTCTCCATGAGAGAAGAAGGAGGTTGTGTACATGAGCGTGGACACCACAGAGGAGGGAGCTTGTCCAGAAGGGGCGTCAAGGAAAGTTCTGGAAAAGAGGTGCAGAGCAGCTCAAGGCTCCGTGAGGAAGGGAGACCATGTCAGCGGTGGAGACCCTGGAGGCAAGTGAGCAGAGACTGGGAGCTACAGAAAGCCAAATCTGTGATGGAGAACATACCAGGTAAGACCAGGGAAGTATGTTGGCACCAGGTTGTGGGGCTCTCGATGGCTGAGGAGCTCAGACTGTCTTTGGGAGGTGACCTAGAGCCACTGGAGATCCTGGAACAGGAGCAGTGGTGGCCACAGAGCTGGCAGCCTGTGCAGGGTGGACTAGGGAAGGCATGGAGGCCACCCCGGGCTTACGCCTGAAGCAACCAGGGCAGCGGAAGAAACGGAAGGAGATGTGTGGATGGGCTGGTAGGACTGTAGCTGGTTGCTGTGGAGCAGGGGCAGAGAGGACCTATGATCAAGAAGTTAAAACTGTCAGACGCAGTGGCTCACACCTGTAATCCCAGCACTTTGGGAGGCCAAGGCAGATGGATCACTTGAGCCTAATAGTTCAAGACCAGCCTGGGCAACATAGCAAAACCCCATCTCTACAAAAATATAAAAATTAGACGGGTTTTATTTTTTTGTAGAGATGGCATCTGGCCACGTTGCCCAGGCTGAGCTCAAACTCCTGGACTCAAGTGATCCTCCCGCCTCAGCCTCCCAAAATGCTGGGATTATAGATGTGGGCCACCTTGCCCAGCTGTTTGGCTTTTAACTTTGTCTACAGTGCCTTTTGTGGCACGGAAATTGGTGGCATTTATGTCAATCTGTCAATCTTCTGGTTTATGGCTTCTGGATGGCATGTCTTTCTAGGGTGGCCTCAGTATTCCAAAGTTAAGTAACTTGCTTAATCTCACAAGCTAATTAGTGATGAGCTGGGTGTACCTGAACATTTGCATGCCCCCGAGGCCAGCGCCCTTCCCCCGGGCCTCACTCTCCTCCCAGGGTGACTGAGGCCTCCAAGGTTGGGGAGGGAAGATACAGCAGTGATGGGCGCCTGAAAAATGAGCACAGCTGGGCTGAGCAGGTGACAGGGGCTCTGGAATAGCTTTCAAAGTCCATTCCCAAGGGCTAATGGGAATGACCGAGCCCTGGCTGAGACTAGGATGACCCAGTGGAGGGCTGACAGTGGGGTGAGAACACTGGTGAGGAGCAGCCTGCTGGGAGGGAGGTGGAGATGGATTTCAAGGGCACCATGGGGGAAGGAATAGCACCAGGAGGAGATAGCTGAAAAGTATCTCTGGGCCTAAGGAGTCTGACCACATCCGCCTCCTCCCCAGCACCCAGGAATGCCAGGCACCCTGGCTTCTCCCCTGGTGGCAGGCAGCTCCCAAGGTGCCTAAGGGTCTGGTGGCCCATGAACCCTTGGAGAGAGGTCACTCACTGGTGCCCTCCCCGGCATGTCGTAAAGGCAGGCAGGGTGGCAAGGAGAGGCGTTACAGAGGCTTTGGCATCTTGCTAACCACTGACGAGTCCTGTTGAGAGCGAGCCTGTGCCTCTGTGCCCTTAACCTTCAGGCTGGACTGCCAGGGTATCTGGTGAGAAAGCAGGTGGCGGGGAGCACTAAGACTGCGGCTTCCCCGGGTTCCCCTGACCACGTGGATTCCTTGGCGCGGTACCTCTTCTCGCCACCAGATGGCGATCCCGCATCATCAATCTCTGCGGCCAGGCGGGCAAGATCCTGTGGTTCCTTTCTCTGGGGCTCCCACCTGGGCCCACTCCCGCTGCCGACTCTCCCTGCTGGAGGCCTGGGGGTAAGGGGAGGTAAATCCAGAGCATATATGGAGAGGAAGTCTGGGGGCTTGTGTCAGCTAAATTCCGAAGAGAGGGGATGCCCTTCTCATCCCTCCCTCTACTCTGCTCCCCCAGCCACTCCCCTGCTCCCTCTCACCTGGCCTCCCCACCTTTGCCCAAACCCATCTGTCCTGAGCACAGCCAGAATGGCCCTTCCAAAAGATGGGAATGGTCCACCGGAATGGCTGGAAAGAGTATGGGTGTGGGGCCCAGCACCCAGCCCTGCTCTCTCTCACCACCTGTGCGTTCTTGGGCACAGTCCTACACTTCTCTGAACCTTGACAAGGAAGTCAGCATCCAGCATCCTCTCATTCAAAAGATTCACTGTTCCTTTTTTTTTTTTTTTTTTTTTTTTTGAGATGGAGTCTCACTCTGTCGCCCAGGGTGGAGTGCAGAGGCGCGATCTCAGCTCACTGCAGCCTCCACCTCCCAGGTTCAAGCGATTCTCCTGCCTCAGCCTCCCAAGTAGCTGGGATTACAGGCATGTGCGATCATGCCTGGCTAATTTTTGTATTTTTAGTAGAGATGGGGGTTCCATCATGTTGTCCAGGTGGGTCTCGAATTCCTGACCTCAAGTGATCCACCACCGGCTTGGCCTCCGAAAGTGCTGGGATTACAGGTGTGAGCCACCACACCCGGCCGCTCACGTTCTAAAAATGAAAAAAGCTAAACATAGACCCCTAATATTTTACTCCCGTGGACAAATACCAGGGCGTCCTTCAAAGGTGTGTTGTCGGAGCTTTTCTGAGTTTGCTAACTAATGGCTTCAAGACCCTCTGCCCTTTTCTTCCGAGGATCACAAAGTGAGTCTTGAGGGGGTCTCAGGGTGTGCAGTTCCCAGGGTGGGTCCCTCTCTGGGGCATGTTCTCCTGCCTTCCTCTAAGGCAGTACTCACTGAGGACCAACGCTTCTCAATGTCAAACTCTGTCGCTGGTCTTAATTCCACAGCAGCCTCAGTGTCCTCATCTGTAAAGCCTGACCTGCCTATCTGCAGAATTGTTGTCAAGATTTAAAAAATAAAATAGGCTGGGCGCAGTGGCTCATGCCTGTAAACCCAGCACTGTGGGAGGCCGAGGCGGGAAGATCGCTTGAGTCCAGGAGTTCAAGACCAGCCTGGGCAACATAGTGAGACCTCCATCTCTACAAACAATAAAGCAAAATTAGCTGAGTGTGGTGGCCTGTAGTCCCAGCTACTCAGGAGGTTGAGGTGGGAGGATCACTTGAGCCCAGGAGGTTGAGGCTACAGTGATTCCCATTGTACCACTGCACTCCAGCCTGGATGACAGAGCAAGATAACGGCCTCAAAAAATAATAATAGGCCGGGCACAGTGGCTCACACCTGTAATCCCAGTGCTTTGGGAGGCTGAAGTGGGCAGATCACGAGGTCAGGAGATCGAGACCATCCTGGCCAATATGGTGAAACCCCATCTCTACTAAAAATACAAAAAAAAAGGCCAGGCACAGTGGCTCATACTTGTAATCCCAGCACTTTGGGAGACAGAGGCAGGAGGATCACCTGAGGTTGGGAGTTCGAGACCAGCCTGACCAACATGGAGAAACCCCATCTCTACTAAAAATATACAAAATTAGCCAGGTGTGGTGGTGCATGCCTGTAATCCCAGCTACTTGGGAGGCTGAGGCAGGAGAATCGCTTGAACCCGAGAGGTGGAGGTTGTGGTGAGCCGAGATTGCGCCATTGCACTCCAGCCTGGGCAACAAGAGAGAAACTCTGTCTCAAAAAAAAAAAATTAGTTGGATGTGGTGGCGCATGCCTGTAATCCCAGCTGCTCGGGAAACTGAGACACGAGAATCACTTGAACCCAGAAGGCCGAGGTTGCAGTGAGTGGAGATTGCGCCACTGCACTCCAGCCTGGCGACAGAGCGAGACTGCGGTTCAAAAATAAATAAATAATAATAATAAATGAAATAGTGTCTGTGAAAGCATGTTTTAAAGGAGGGGACACAAGCAGAAAATATGAGGGTGCAATTTCCTAGTTGAAGAATGCCTCATGGGCTCCCCCTTGCTTACAGAAGAAAGTAAAAACCCTTATCCAGACACACAGCAGCCTCCACCCTGAGCCCCCGCTGCCTCCCCAGGCTTCTCCTGTCCTCCTCCTCACACAGCCTGCGATGTAGCCAAGCCATAGCACCAGAAGCTTCCCCACCACAGCCAGTTTCCCGGCTGTGTCTTCGTTCTTGTTCTTCCCACTAGAAATCCCTTTCCTTATCCCAATCTGTGAAGATCTTCCCTACACCTGTAGGTCCATAAAAATAAAAAAGCTTAGACGGTGTTTTTCACTTATTCTTTCTTTTTCTTTTCCTTTTTTTTTTTTTTTTTTTTTTGAGACAGAGTTTCCCTCTTATTGCTTAGGCTGGAGTGCAATGGTGCAATCTCAGCTCACTGCAACCTCTGCCTCCCGGGTTCAAGCGATTCTCCTGCCTCAGCCTCCCGAGTAGCTGGGATTACAGGCATGTGCCACCACGCCTGGCTAATTTTGTATTTTTAGTAGAGATGGGGTTTCTCCATGTTGGCCAGGCTGGTCTCGAACTCCCGACCTCAGGTGATCTGCCCGCCTCGGCCTCCCAAAATGCTGGTATTACAGGAGTGAGCCACTGCGCCCGGCCAACAGTGTTTTTCTTTAAGTTATAAAAGTAAAATATGTAAAGTGTAATCCCACCGATTTTGGAGGCCAAAGCAGGATCACTTGAATCCAGGAGTTTGAGGCCAGCCTGAGCGACGTAGTGAGGCCCCCCCCCACCGCCCACCACCATCTCTACAAAAAAAAAATTTAGTTAGCCAGAAAGGATGGCGTGCACCTATAGTCCCAGCTACTCAGGAGGCTGAAGTGGGAGGATCACTTGAGCCCCAGAGGTCGAGGCTGCAATAAGCCATGAGTATACTGTACTCCAGCCTGGGTGACACCAAAACCTTGTCTCAAAACAAAAACAAAGAGTTTAGACAGTGTTTCTCTTTAAGTTATGTAAGTAATATATGCACATGATACAAAATGAAAAGCAAGTGACTCTCTCCCCCTAAACCCCTGCAGGGTTACTCCACAGATATCCTTCCAGAAAGTTTGTATGGATCTACCAACATATATATGTCTGTTCTATTTAAATTTAGGTAAATAGGATTATACTAAACATGCAGCTTGCTTTTTTTTTTTTAACTTACTATAAGTTGGAGATAATTCCTTTCTCAGTACATGGATAGCTGCCTCGTTGCTTTTAACAGCTGTGTGACATTATCACAAGTTATACCCCTGGCCTATTTAACATTCTTCCCTCTCTGGCCTCACAGGTGCGTGTTGCTGCAGCCAAGGCTGTAATCAGCCTCCCTGCACCTATGTGGCCGGGCAGCACGCCATGTTTGCATGGGACAAATCCCTGACACCAGCTTAAGCACCACCATGAATCCCTCCCCTCCTGGGGACTCCTGCAGAGCTTCCAGTAGAGCTCCAGGAGAGAGAACCCAGCTCAGGCATTTGCAGCAGTGTTTGTTAGAGTCTAAAGTCAGATCATGACCGAGTTTAAACCCCAGCTGCTCCCCTCACATCTCCCTCTGCCTCAGTTTTCTCATCCCTAAAATGGGGATGATCATAATGGTACCCACTTCATAGACCTGTACTGCGGATTATACAGACTAAAGCACTTTGGAATGGCTAGCTGCTCTCACCCTTCCTGTTACAGTATTGAGTTCCAACGTCTCCCTGTAGAATGCTGGCACTTCGTGGGCAGGCCCTGGTTTTGTTCCTCTCTGCACATAACCCCAGGATGTGCTGGTTGCACAATAAATGGTCCCTTACATTTGTTACTAGGAGCAACCCCCACCCCAGCTTTGGCCCACTCCCCCTCCTTCCAGCCTGTGCCCTCCTCATGGCCCCAGAGCTGGGGAGGAGAGATGCATCTCTCAGGATAATCTCCAGCAGCCAGGTGCTCCCCACCTCCACCCAGGTCAGCAATAAACACCAGAGTCCTTGGGTTGGGGGGCAGGGTGGCTCAGGAGCTCTCTAAGGGCCAGAGGTTTTGCCTTGGCCCTGACAACCCCACCCCCACCCCTCCAAGCCTGAGTCTCTTCAAACTCTGCTCCTCCTGGCCTAGCCAGGCCTCCTGGAGAGGGACGGCGAGATGATAAGCGCTGGGGCTGAGAACGGGGCATCCAGACCTTGGAGTTCGGTCCTAGCTGCCCTGGCCAAGGTTTTGTTTGTCTAGTCCCAAGAGGCAGGCCCTTGGAGTCCAGGGAAGAGAGAAGGAACCACCTGGGCAGACAGACCCAAGCCAAGGGGCCAGGTGTCGCCAGCGTCCCCAATCTCCAGTCTGGCTCTGGCCCGCATGGCAGCTGGAAGGGCCAGAGCTGGGTGGGTTCTGTCAATGCTTCTACGGGGTGTGTAGGGGGTTGGCAGGAGTCACAAATGTTGGCCTTAGCTGCAGGGCAAATGCAGATAGGACCTCCACGGAGTGCCTGTTCCCAACCCAAGGGCACAGCAGAGCTAGGAGAGAGGCCTCAGGGTCCAGGAGGGAGAGGAGGTGTTCAGGCCCAGCTTCCCGGAGAGAGTGTGACTACAGACTAAAAGGGTCAAGGGAACAGGCCCACTTGGCCTGAGGATGAGGGCGCTGGAAGAAGGGGATGGGAGATTGGGTGCTTTTTCTTGATGGGGAGGGGCGACTTGAAGACGGCAATCAAGACCTAGATGACGTGTTTGGTCTGGGGTGGAGTGAGGACGCCAAGAGGGAAAGGACGGCGCCCTGAAGAGACCAGCTCAGGCGAAAACAGGGCTCTGCCCAGGCGGGGACCCAGCTGGGTGGAGGGCGGAGGCAGGAACCCAGGAAGCCGACTGAGCAAAGACTGCGTCCAGGCCCCGCCCCCATGAGCCCGGCCACGCCCCCTGGAGCCCAGCCCCGCCTCCCGGCCGCCCGCGCGCAGGTAGGGAAGAGGCGGAGCGCCGCCGCCCCGCCCCCGAGGAGCCACCGCCCAGCCGCTCGCAGGCGCCGCACGGAGTTGCGTCCCGGGGACTTGGGGCCGCAGGGAGGTGAGCGCGGGGCGACGAGCGGGGCAGGACTCACGGCCGCCCAGCCGCAGGCGCCGGAAGGGTCCCGAGGTTGTGCCCGAGCCTGCCCTGGAGCGGTGGTGCGCGGCCAGGAAGGGTGCCCAGTGCCCGGTGCCCGCCCTGCGGAGCGCCTGGGTCCCACGTGGGCTCGGCTGGAGGCCCGGGCTGGCTCAGACGGCGCCGGCGGGGCCGCTGGACCCGGTCTGCTGGCCCCTAGGGCTCGGCTCGGACAGGACGCCTAAGGGGTCCCTGGGCGACGGGGCGCCAGATGTAGGGGCAAGACGATTGGGCAGAGATTTAAACCTCCGGAGGAAGAGAGGAGACTGCGCAGGGCAGTCCCGCCTGCGTCCCAGAAGTGCCTGCAGTTCAGACCCTTCTCTCCCCTCCACTTTCTCCCGGGTGAGCACCGGGCGGACCGGGGCCGAAGTTTGTTGGTTGAGCCAGCCAAGGTGGAAACAGGTGCGGGGGTGGGGATGAGGGACTCACACAGCAGGGCTGGACCGGAGCTCAGAAATTGGACCCAGGAGTCCTGACTTCTGGATGGAGGGGCTGGGGAAGGTTGGCCCTGGGCTTGCCTTTTACCTGTTTGGCCCCTCGGATGTTCCCCCAGGGCATTGGGATAGAGACGGATAAGTTCCCTAGGGTACAGACCCCGCCCCACTCCCACGCCAGGGCGCAAAGGAAGCCTAGGTTTTGGCCCTGCCCCATTCCATGAAAGATTAACGGAGGGGGCTCTAGGGTTGGAGCTACTGAGAGGGTGGCAGCGGGTGTGTCTGAGGAGCAGAAGGCGGTGGGGAGCTGACCCCACTTGGGGAGAGGCTGCTGTTGCCTGGGCGGCTGGCATCAGGCCCCCAGTGTGTGCCATTTGCTGGTAATATAATGAGACCAGCATCTGCCTTATTCGACCCTCACTGTCCGTAGGGCAGGCAGTGGAAAGGGAGGCGTGTTTTAGAGCTGTGGTTCTCAACCAGGGGCGACTTTGCCTGCCATGGGATATTTGGCAATGTTGGAGTCATTTTGGGTGTCACACACTTGGGAGGGGAAGTGAGTGTTGTTGTTACTGGCAGGTAGTGGGTAGAGGCCAGGGACGCTACCAGACATCTTCAGGGCACGGAACAGCCCACATAACGAGGAATTATCCAGCCCAAGGTGTTGGGCTGTGCTGAGGCTGAGAAACCCTGCGCAGCAGCTGGTCCATCAGGTTCCTTCTCAATGATGCTCCCTCACTGGGGAAACTACCTCAGTTTTCCAGAGTGGTTAGGGGAGGAACTTGGAATAAACCTGAATGAGATGAGGGGTAAGGCAGTGTGAGGGCACTTATTCCCCTCACAAGAGTCTTCCTTTGGTGCCATGAGACACCGCCTTTCCCAATCTCCACTGGCCCTGCAGGAAGCTGGTCTAGGTGCTGTGGGGGAGAGGTTGGGAACAGAGGACCCCCTTGCAGCCCAGGCCTGGGGTGCTTAACCCCAGGGCAATCTCCCAGGAAGGCTGGGCTGAGGCAGCCCTTGAGCTCAAATATCCCTGGGCTGGGAGGGTGGGCAGAGGGCGAGCTCTCTTCCCATAGATTTTCCCAAAGCTGGATTGCTGAAGCTGGCATGGTTGCCTGATACCATGTGACCTGCTGGAATTTTCCCTTCTGAACTCACACCTAACTCCTCCAATTATGTACACCTTTTGAAAGTGACATCCAAGGAGTATCAGGGCTCCTAATTCCTGGGGGGTCCCCAGGCTGCTTTTGTCCTGCAATAAAGAGGGCACCCTGGGTTAGCTGACGAGCCCTGGAGTGGGCCCAGCTGCTGATGGGGTGGAGGCACCCCTGCCCATGGTGTTAGCTGAGCAGAGGTGAGAGATGGGAGACATCAAAGCACAGGCCAGGTGGCCCCCCAGTAGGGATGACTCAGAGTTGTTTGTATTGGGCTGGAGGAATGTACTTCCAGTTTTCTGGCAACAAGGAGGGGTGGCTGGCACGGTGGGAGAGGATCGGATGAAGCAGCCACGTCCATGCCCAGGAGCTGGGGCCACCTCGCTGCCCTCCCTCCCTGTTTTCTTGCAGTAGCCATTATACCCATCCTGTTCACTTCTGGACCCAGCCTTCTTGCCTGGGAACCCTGGTGGAGGTTTCGAGCTTGGGTTCTTTTTGTTGGTGTTGGTGGCTTTTGTTTTTTTTGTTTTGTTTTGTTTTTGTTTTTGTTTTTTTGGTCTCTTGACTGTAAAAGGCTGAAGTGAAACTCCCACCTTTTCATTTGCACAAAAAACAAAAGTGGCCTCCATTGCTGTGAGCCTCTCAAGGGACAGGGCTGAGCACCCAGGCTTGTACAAAGTTGTTCAGGAAGTCGGCAGTGGAGCTCGGGTGTGAACCCAGTTGCCCACCCTCAGGCCCCACCCAAGAGCCCCACGAACAAACCCTCAGTGACTCCTACCTGTCTGTACCTGGTGTAACCACACACACACACAGACACACACAAACAGACACACAGAGACACACACAAACACACAGACACACACAGACTCACACACACACACACACACACACACACACACACACTCTCTTTCTCTCCAGCCCAGGAGGGGGACTTTTGTTCCTATAAGAGGAGGAATAAATCACACTACAAATGCTTTGGGTGACGCACTTGGGGCCCGAGTCCTGCTCTGGGGTCAGTGGTGCTGTTTTTCCTGTGGCCTCAGCTCTGGATACTGTGGTGGCCTCTCCACCAAGGTTTCTGTCCTTGCTGTGTAAACTCTGCCCCAGACAAGGTGACAGATGACAGCAGAAGTCAAGGAGCTGTGCACGCCTGCCCGTGAGTGTGCGAGTGGCATGGCTCAGCTGGCTGGTGCTTCCCTTTGGGCCTGGCCCCCGCCTGCCGCTGGCACAGCACAGGGAAGACGTGTGCCCTCCTGGCTGCCTCTCCCCCTCCACACTCTCCTCAGATCTCTGTGCCTCGCACTCTGGAGCAGGCCTCGGCGCTGCCCCATCTGCCCCAGGGGATTTCCAGAGTGAGCTCAGGCATCTGCACCGGCTGTGGAAGCGCTGGCTGTCGGAAGCGGCTCCCAGTTTCCTATCCAGCTGAGCCAGGCTGGGGGAGGAGTGGCGGGGACGTCTGCGCCTGCCCAAGTACAGGCTGACCTCGGCGGTGGTGGTGGCTAGGCAGGGACAGCTCTCAGGGCACGGGCGGCTTCACAGGGAAACCAAGCCTGCCCGGAACGTCGTTTTGCCTCCCAGGAGACCTAGGATGGGTGTAAGGAAAAACACATCTTCCGGGAAGTACAAAGCGCCACCGTGTCCACGGCCCCTCCTTCAGCAAATGTATCCGGGCGCCCAGCTGGGAGTTGTTTGTGGTCCAAAAGCTACTGGAAGGCAGTTCCAGCCCCAGTGCCCGGCTCCTGCAGGAAAGTGGTTTCAGCCAAGTGGGCAGTGCAGGAGGTGGGCCAGAGACACTGTTTGGAGTGTGAGGGGAACCTTGTGACCAGCAGAAAAGGATGGAGGAGGATTCCAAACTTCAGGAGCTGGGCCAAGGTCCAGGGGCTGCTGGGCACAGTCGTCCATGTGTGTGCTCAGTAGGATGAGTTCACTTAATTAGTCTGTGCCTCAGTTTCCCCAGCTGCACAGTGGGCTCACTAACAGTAATCTACCTGGAGGGTTGTGTGAGGTGAGGACTCCCGTGGTAAAGGTGTGCAGCCTGCAGTGCAGTGCCCGGCCATGGCAGGAGCAGTGCGGGGAGCCATCGTGATAATGGTGTTAGGGTGGCTTCAGGTAGGGGCGTGGCTGCCGGTCCATGGCACAGACTTGGGAGATGGCCGAGGCCCTGCCTCGTGGGCTGTCAAGGACTAGATGGGAACACGCATATGGAGCAGTGGCACTGTTGTTATTGTTATTCTGTAGGAGTGGCTGTGTCTGGGGTAGGGGGACCTCAGTGCCTTGCTGGCCAAGGGAAGTGAGGGTGGGTTTCCATCTGGGCATGAACTGCTGACCTCTGCCCAGGGGTTTTCCTGGCCTGCCAGTGTGTGTGTGTCACTGACAGTGGGGTGGGGGGCAGCTCATGGAGTTGGTGCCCCTCAGCTGTGCTTTCCCTGGCGTAGGTTCCTGGGGCTGGGAGCAGGGTAAAGCTGCCTCAAGTCTTGGTTTTCTCCTCTGCCTCCCCCGTGTGGCCGCCAACCCTGTGCCAGCAGGTGGTGCAGGGATGGCTTCCTGCCCCGGTCTCTGGCAAGAAACCCTTTTCCCTCTCCCAGTGGGTCTCCCCAGGTTGTCAGCTCCATTTAGTCATAAGAAGATCTGGGGCCAGGCGCGGTGGCTCACGCCTGTAATCCCAGCACTTTGGGAGGCTGAAGCAGGCAGTCACAAGGTCAGGAGATCGGGACCATCCTGGCTAATACGGTGAAACCCCGTCTCTACTAAAAATACAAAAAAATTAGCCAGGTGTGGTGGCATGCACCTGTAGTCCCAGCTACTCAGGAGGCTGAGGCAGGAGAATCGCTTGAACCCAGAAGGCAGAGCTTACAGTGAGCCGAGATCACCCTACTGCACTCCAGCCTGGGCAGCAGAGCGAGACTCCGTCTCAAAAAATAAAAGAAAAAAAAAAGAGATCTGGAAGAGGAGGGTTGAGGATCTGCTGTGGGGTTTGGAGTGGGAACAGGACTTTGAACCCTGGCCTAAGCCCCTTTTGACCTTGCCAGCCCGTGAGGATGATGACAGCCGCCTCTCACCCTTAGCCTCAACTAAATGAGATCATGTCTGTAAAAGTCCTTTGCAAGCTGAGCAGTGCTGCCCAGGCAGTTAGGTGCTGTCCCTTCTTCATGAATCAAAGGCCTTTGCATGCAGGACTCACTCCAGCACCCCAAACACTCAGAGTCCTCACCCGTTCTTTTTCTCCTGCCCCTCACCAGTTCCAGGGTGGCAAGAGGCTGCAGAGTGTGGAGGTTAAGAGCGCGGGACCCTGGCTGGGGTTGTAGCCCCACCACCTCCCTAACTGTGGGACCTTGGACAGGTGACTTCATCTCTCTGAGCCTCAGTTTCCCCACCTGTCGAATAGAGATCTGTCCCCTGTGGGGCTCGTGGCTCAGATAGAGACTAAGTGAGCGATGGTGGCAGAGCTCAGCCAGGAATAAAAGAAACTTCCAACTGGGCGTTGGGTGTGTGCCAGGCACTGTACATTCATATCTGCTGTCATCTTCCCTGGCTCCCTCCGTGGTGGGGCATCAACCCATCTCACAGCAGAGGAGGCAGGCTCTGCAGCACCCACTTGCCCAAAGTCTCCCAGCAGGTAGGTGGCCCAGGCAGGTTTGAGTCCCATCTCTGGCCCCTTATTCCTCCTCATTCCTCAGCAAGAGAGCTCCACGCTGCCCCGAAGCAAGGTGTGGGCCATAAGCACGTGGCTTTGCAGGCCTGCTTGGGACAAGCAACCTGGTGTCCCCGTGTCCTGAAACCCTGGCAGTCACTGGGGCTAGGGCCAGCCTCTTCCCTGGGAAGCAGGGAGCCCCAGGGCAACGTTCTGGGAAATCAGGTTTATTAGTTCCTTAATGACCGTTTACAAGCTCAGAAGTGTCTGCCTGGCATTTTCCCTCCCTGCTGAGGGGCTCCATGCAGCCGGAGGCAGAACTGGGCCTCCAGAAGCGCTCTGAGTGTGTCGAGGTGAGGGCCCAGGGATGCCGTCGGCTCCCTGGGCTCTGCATGCTCACACCCAGCCAGTCCAGGCCTATTTCTGGCTGGGTGGCACTGGGCAAGGTGCTTACCTCTCTGTACAATAGGTGAGACCTTGTACCTCAGCTGAGCTGTTCCTGGGGTGAGCCCTCGTTCATGGTGACAAAGTCACATAGATCTTAGACCCTGGGAGGATACTAGCATCTTATGCATACACAAACTGAGGCTCAGAGATGTTAAGTGGCTTGCCCAAGATCGCACAGTGGTTAGAGATGGGCCTGTGACCCTGTCTTCTGCCATCGGGACAGATTTTCACTGTCTGGAGGCAGGTGGAAACCGGGTGGGCTCCTACTTTGTAAGCACAGGACAGTGCCCTGTCTGTGTACATGGGACAGTCACAAACGGAAATGGCCTGGTCACACCTTAGTGTCAAGGAGCCTCCAGCAGGAGTGAAACGGACCTCTCACACAGACCCCAGGCTGCATCTCATCCTGCCCCAACCGCTGGGCTTGTGCTGGACCACCACTGCTTCCAAGGACCCGTGAAAACCCGGCTGCCGGGATGCAGAGAGGCAGACTTTCATGAACGTTTGCAGCAAAGGGCAGTTCCCACCGAGCCTGTGTTGCTGTGGCACTGTGTGGTGCACACCCCACCCCGGAAACCCTCCAGTGTCCTGGTGTCTGACCCCAAATGGACAGGGCCTTTTGGCCCCCAGGGGCCACTTCTGACTCCTCCCCTTCACAACGATGCTGAGGGAGCAGGAGAACTGGGGCCCGGCTGCTGTGCGTGCCCCCTTCCCTTCATTGCCCCAAAGCCTGCAGTCCAGCCCCAGGCTCGGGAGCTGCTGCCTCTTCCCTGGGATGTGGAAGGCACCTGCATCCCCGCCCAGCTGCTGCCACTTGCCTGCCTCCATCAGCAGCTTTGTTTTATTTTGTCTGTGTGTTTTTTGAGATGGAGTCTTGCTCTGTCGCCCAGGCTGGAGTGCAGTGGCGTGATCTCGGCTCACTTCAACCTCCGCCTCCCAGGTTCAAGCGATTCTTCTGCCTCAGCCTCCTCAGTAGCTGGGATTACAGGCACCCGCCACCATGCCTGGCTAATTTTTGTATTTTTAGTAGAGATGGGGTTTCACCATGTTGGCCAGGCTAGTCTAGAACTCCTGACCTCAGGTGATCTGCCCACCTCAGCCTCCCAAAGTGCTGGGATTACAGGTGTGAGCCACTGTGCCCAGCCTCCACCAGCAGCTTTTGAAATCCAGAAATTTCCAGGGGAGGGCACTGTGGTGGGTGGGGCCCAGCGCTGTGTCCAGCTCGAGGCCTGGCTGCACTGCCACCTCCTTTGGTGCCCACCCCTGTGTCTTGCCAGCAGCTGCTGCACATTGGGCTTCGGGGATGCAGGACTCCAGCACCCCCAGCTCAGCCTGCTTCCTGGACCAGGAACCCCAGCCGAGGAGGGGGCATTTGTATCTCTGCCATCCCTGCTGGCAACTGGTCCTGAGAAAGCCCAGATGGTTGGTGCAGAGGGGGCGTCAGGGGCTGCACCACCCTAAGAACATGACATGTCACCCCCCAGCCCCCCGCAACACACACACACAGGTTCACACCTCACACCCCTGATCTTGGCGGCTCCCTGGAGCACAGCACCCGCTTCCCGTGTCTGTGGTTGGCTTATGACGCCCCAGCCACTCTAACCGGGTTAAGGGGAGCCCAGAGCCTGGGGCCGGATAGGAAAAAGCCCAGAGAAGTCAGGGGATGGTCAGTCCCCTGAAGCTGCCCCTGGGGGTTCTTGATCTTCTGAACTGAGTTCGAGGCAAGCCCTGGAGGGGCGAGGAGGAGAAAGAAACAGCTCTCTGGGCCAGGACCCGCTGTTCGTGGGATGTCTGGGGAGCTGTGTGAACCCACAGGCCGTTTTGTTTCTCTCCATCAGCAGCTGTGGGCTGAAGCGTGTACCGGCGGAGTGGGTTGAGATCGTGTCTGCGCCCACTTGCCACCAGCTCCGGCCTCTGGGGAGGTGGTGCTGAGAGGGAGGGAGAGTGGCTCCTGTTTGGCTCCTGGAGACAGACAGCTGGGTGTCCCACCCTCAGAGTCCCCAGCCCCCTCTCCCCTCTGCTAACTCTGCCGGTGGAGCTCACGCCGCAGCTCATGCCAACCCTGCCCTTCTGTTTTGCCTCTCATGACTCTCCCCAAATTCTGCCCCCAGGCCCCCAGCCAGCCTTCTTGCCACTTTCCTGCCCTTTACTCTTGCCCCTTCTACCTCTTGCCAGGGCAGCGTCACTGGCTACGTGAGGCCCAGCTTGGGGATGCATGGGGAGGTGTAAGAACAGCTGTGCCATGAGCTGTCCTTCCGGGCCTCTGGGGCTGGAGAAACCCCGGGGTCAGCAGTACCACGGGTTTTGCTGGGGATTGCACAGTGGGTGAGGCTCAGCTTCCTCTTTGCAGCTTTCTAAAAATGCCCTGGTTCCCAGCAGGGCCACAGGCAGGGAAAATGAGTTTCAGTTTCTGTGGCAAGGGAGCTGGGGAGAGAAGCAGTTTCCTTGTCCCCAGCCCTCACCCTAGCATCCTGTGATTCAGCCGCGAAGACGTGGCCCCAAGCCTCCCACCGCCCTCCTTCTGTCCTGACTGCCCACTCCCAGGGACACCAGGTGACGCCTCGCCCACCCGCGGCTCCGGAGCCAGGCTGGAAGCAGCTTCCCGCCCAGGGGGTGGTTTCCCCACATCCTGTCTTCAGATGGCTTGAGCCCCCTAAACTTCCTGGTCATATCCAGTGGATAATAATGGTCTCCCTCTTTCCTGTCTGGAGGGGAGGGGGCTGCTTACTTCTTATCCAAGGGCCTGTCCCGTCCCACCCCTGTGTCCCCATTTCTGGCCACACGCAGGCTCAGCCCTTGCATCAAGCCTCTGCCTGTTTCCCTCTGGGCTGCACCTGTCACGCTCTCCCTGCCCTGCCCCATAAAGCCCATAGAGCCCAGGGCTTGTGGGGACTGCACCCTTCATTAGCAAGACTCAGAGCTTCTAGAAACCCACTTGTGTGGGGGTGGGGAGTGCAGGGAGATTGGTGGCACCAGGTGGAGAGAGGGAACTGCACCTGGGGGAGTTGGGAGGGGCAGTGGGCTGGGCCCGCGTGGAGGAGTGTGGCTTGTACAGTCCGCATGGCGGGGGGACCCTTGTACCCTGCCTGGACTGGCTGGTAGAGCTGTTGGGGACCTCCCTGGGGGTGGCCTTGCTTACCCAGCTGTGCGGAACAGGCTTGGTTGGGAGTGCCTGGCCTCACCCTTTGTGGGGAAACCAGATTCTCTGGGCAGCAGTGGTAAATGGTGTCTGAGTCTGTGTTTCGTTGGATGTGTCTGAGGTCCGCTGCTGCCAGCTGGGTTATGCTGTCTCCAAAGCTATCTGCAGTGGGGGAGGCCCTGAGCCTGGGCAGGGGAGGGTACAGAGGCCTCAACCCATGGGACCTGGGGGTGATCTGAACTCTGCACTTCACTTTTTTTCAGGATTTCCCCCGCCCCACCCTAAAGGAGGAGGAAATAGAGTCTGTCCCACCCTAAGCCCCAGTCCCTCTCCCCAGGTCTCTTTGGCATCTCCCAGCTGGGCTGGGGCTGAAGGCCCTTCTCTGGGGTTGGCCACAGTGAGGCCAGGATCTGGCTGGGCAGGTGGCAGTGTTCCGCCTGTGGGCTGGGTGCGGAGGCGGGCCTGGGGGTCTTAGAGAGAGAGCGGCGGATGTGACTGCGGGCCAGGAGGAAGCCTGGTCCCAGGATGTCACCATTTCCCCTGCAGTGAGCAAGCATCTCTAGGGCTCGGAGATAAGTGCTGGGTGGGGTAGCTCCAGCTCTCCAGCGCTTTTTTCTGTCTGGTTCCTGCCATCTGGACTTGAGCCATGAGGAAGGCCAGAGTGGGTCTGACAGTCCCCACTCCTTTCCCCGCTGAGCCCCAAGGAAGGGGCTGGGCCTTTGCACCCCCACCCCAACTTCTGCACGAGTTGGAGGCAGTTGATCTCAATGGTGGAAAGTGGCTGGTGCAAAGTCATGCTTCCATACTCCATGTTTAGGCTTCATGGGTGTCAAAGCTGGGCCGTGACCTTGTCCCATTCCCTCAGAGAAGGGAACTGAGGCCAGAGGGTGGAGCTGCTCTCAGGCCGCTGCCCAGGCCTCTTGTGCTCTGCGGTTCAGATGGCACTCCCGATGCCAGGCTCCTGCCCAGGAAGACATGCCCACCCGCCCTGGCCCTGTCTCTGCTGTCTGGTGTCAGGCCACCTCTCTTCGGGACCCCCCCCCAACTGATTGCCCTGGGGCTGACCAGGCTCTCCTCTCCCTCAGTGTTGGGTTTTGGGAGCCTCTCTCATCAGGAGGTTGGCACAGATGCCAGCCATGCAGCGGATCCTGGGCAGGGGTCTCAGCTGGGATGGCCTGGCCTTGGGACAGGGAGGCTGGCTGGGCAGAACCCTAGAACCAAAAGCGGTGCCTGTGGTGGGCTAGGGAGCTAGGTGGGGAGTCTAGTGGGGAGTCTAGTGGGGAGGTCCACTAGACACTCGTTCTGGCACAGCATGCAGCGTCCTCCATCCTGGCCCTGCTGTGGGTACGGAGCCAGCAGGGCAGGAGCTCTCAGTGGAGCCCTCCAAAGAGGGCTGCTTCCTGGACCAGCTGCAGGATGAGGGAGACCCCTTCTGTCCAGGGCTGACATAGGCTGACCACCGCCAGCCCCACCCTCTCACTAGCTTCCCATTCAGTTAGCCATTGATGAGGGCTCACTGGGTGCAGGATCCTGGGCTGCCCGGGGTTGGGTAGGGGACTCCTACATGTAGGTAAATCCGCGAGATGCTGGAGAGAGCAGGCAATAAAGTGGTTGATTCTCTCTGGAGGTGACATTTTACTTTCCTAGTAGGGCTTGGCCAGGCAGGCAAGGTGGAGCCTGGTGTGCCAGGCGCAGCGCTTCAGATGAGAGGAGGTGAGAGCTTGGGGATGGCACAGGGAAGTGTTTTGTCTGGTGAGGGTGTGGCAGGGAGGGCAGGCCTGAAGGGACCTCCAGGGAGGTGTGATCAGATCTGGGTTCCAGAAAGATCCTACCTGCTTGGCGACCTTAACTGAGCTGGAGTCTGGAGGCCCCACCCTTGCACCCAGCTGCTTCCACTGCTTGCCTCCCATCCCCCAGTGCCAGTTCCCCAGGGCAGTGCCCTCCCCATGCCCTCTTGGTGTACCCTGGTCCCAAAGGAGGCCAAGCTATGAACTTTTCTTGCAGAGGTCCCAGGTGAGGCTGTTGTCCTGGAGCTGTCCCCAGAGCAGGCTTAGGATGAGGGGACCTAGCCACAGCTTCAACCGAGTGGGGTCCCGGTGTGGCTGCCAGGGCTCCTTGGCACCAACCCAGCCCAGTGGGTTGATCTCTGAGGACCTCGTCATACTCAGCCGGGCAGTCTGCCCTGGGGGGTGGGGTCAGGACTCCCCAGCACTTCGGGATGGAAGGAGGCGAAGCCAGCGCTGCTGGACTAGCCTTAAAGAAGCGGGAGACATCCTAGCTCCGCCTCAAGATTTCTCCTCTGCACCCAGCATTCTGCTCCCCAAATGTCCCAAATATGCAGGGGGTCAAGGAACATTGCTCAGTGGAATCAATGGGGAGCGTGGGCTACTCCCCAGCCTCTGGTTTGCCCCATAGCAGCCCCTTGGGCACCGCTGGGGACCCCCAGGCCTCTGAGGAGCTTGGTTTGGAAAGCGCTGGAATGCTGGACCAAGTTCCCTCTCTGGCTCCCTGAGAGGGGGTCTTCTAGCCCCAGTCTTAGGGCAAGAGGAGCCCGTCCCCTAGGAGCCTCCAGGCCCTGGAGCCAGACATCGGGCGTCCTAGCTACACCCTTTCCTGGCTATGTGAGCTTGGGCAAGTTACCAAACCCCTCTGAGCCTCCATTCACCATCTACAGAATGGAAGAGACGCTAATGTCACCCTGGAAGGTGTTTTGAAGGGTAATGTGTGTAAAGGGCCAAACAAGGCCCCGCACAGTTAAGGACTTAAATCCTGCCCGGCCCCGGGAGGGCTTCCGGCATCTTGGGGTTCCCCTCAAAGGATGGCCTGGGCAGGACTTCTTAAAAACAAACAGGCGGCTGGGCGCGGTGGCTCACGCCTGTAATCCCAGCACTTTGGGAGGCCGAGGCAGGCGGATCACGAGGTCAGGGGATCGAGACCATCCTGGCTAACATGGTGAAACCCCGTCTCTACTAAAAGTATAAAAAATTAGCCGGGTGTGGTGGCGGGCGTCTGTAGTCCCAGCTCCTCCGGAGGCTGAGGCAGGAGAATGGCGTGAACCCGGGAGGCGGTGCTTGAAGGGAGCTGAGATCATGCCACTGCACTCCAGCCTGGGCTACAGAGCGAGACTCCATCTCAAAAAAAAAAAAAAAACAGGAATGCCCCTGGGTTTCGTGCTTTAAAATGGTTGATTTTATGTTGTGTGACTTTTAAGTTCAATAAATTACCAATCAAAGCAACAAAACACTTCCAGATCATTTGAACTTTGCCTTAAGTATCAGAAGGCAGTTAGTAATTCCTGGACTTTGAATGTTAAATATGTGGGGTTCTTTTGTTTTGTTTTGTTTTGTTTCGAGACGGAGTCTTGCTCTGTCACCCAGGCTGGAGTGCAGTGGCGCGATCTCGGCTCACTGCAACCTCCATCTCCCGGGTTCAAGTAACTCTCCTGCCTCAGCCTCCCGAGTAGCTGGGATTACAGGCCCACCACACCCAGCTAATTATTTTGTTGTTTTTGGTTTTGGTTTTGGTTGTGAGACAGAGTCTCACACTGTCATCTGGGCTGGAGTACAATGGCGCGATCTTGGCTCACTGCAACCTCCGCCTCCCATGTTTAAGTGATTCTCCTGCCTCAGCCTCCTGAGTAGCTGGGATTACAGGCGCCCGCCACCACACCCGGCTACTTTTTTGTATTTTTAGTAGAGATGGGGTTTCACTATGTTGGCCAGACTGGTCTCGAACTCCTGACCTCGTGATCCACCCTCCTCAGCCTCCCAAAGTGCTGGGATTACAGGCGTGAGCCACTGCACCCAGCCCCGGCTAATTTTTGTATTCTTAGTAGAGACAGGGTTTCACCATGTTGGCCAGGCTGGTCTCGAACTCTTGACCTCATGATTCCCCCACCTTGGCCTCCCAAAGTGCTGGGATTACAGGTGTGAGCGCCTGCACCCTGCCCAAAAATATGTGGTTTTGTTTGTTTTTTGAGGCAGAGTCTCCCTCTGTCGCCCAGGCTGGAGTGTAATGGCACAATCTCGGCTCACTGCAACCTCCGCCTCCCAGGTTCAAGCAATTCTCCTGCCTCAACCTCCCGAGTAGCTGGGACTAAAGGTGTGCACCACCATACCCAGCTAACTTTTGTATTTTTAGTAGAGATGGGTTTTTACCATGTTGGCCAGGCCGATCTCGAACTCCTGACCTCAGGTGATCCACCTGCCTCAGCCTCCCAAAATGCTGGGATTACAGGTGTGAGCTACTGCCCCTGGCCGAAAGTTAAATGTTTCTGTTCTGTTCAAGTAATATTGAGAAAAATAACAGGGGCCATCTTGACTCTAATGTTCTGCTCCAATCAGGTTCCCAGACCAGAGGACTGTTGTTAGGTGATTGGCTGTGAACACCCTGAGGCCAGTGCCCCTCGCTGCTTGGCACTCGGAGATGCCTGATTAGCACCTTTAATCCCTTACCAGTGAGGCAGGTGGAATTGGCCCCATTTTACAGATGGGGAGACTGAGGTGAGGAAGGTTAAAGCACTCAGTGGTGGGCATGCCCCCTGGAGCCGGCCCTCCTTTCTTCCAGCTGTGAGTACCCAGGAAGCTGCACCGTGTGGCCTGGAGCTGTCTATCTGTCCTTCCAGCCACCTGTCTGTCCAGCCACCCTTCCACAGACTGAGGCTTGACACCGGAGCATCTGTACAGAGCAAGGAGAAGACAAGAACATGCTCTAAAGCCCTTCACAGCAAGACCCAGGAAGCCGCGGGCAAACTCAGACTCGAAGGTAGGAAGCTGGGCGGCCGGGTGGCTGGACCCAGGGCGCTGGCTGCTGTGCCCACGTCCAGATACCTCCTGCGGGGCCCACGCTCTCTGTCTGAACAGCGGTGGACAGTGAATGAAGAAAGTCAATTCAGGGAGCGAGAGGGAGGAATAAGGGCAGGGAAGGGACGGGCGCGGTGGCTCACGCCTGTAATCCCAGCATTTTGGGAGGCCGAGGTGAGTGGATCACCTGAGGTCAGGAGTTCGAGACTGGCCTGGCCAACATGGCAAAACCCCATCTCTACTAAAAATACAAAAAATTTAGCTGGGCGTGGTGGTGCGCGCCTGTAGTCCCAGCTACTTGGGAGGCTGAGGCAGGAGAATCGCTCGAACCTGGGAGGCAGAGGTTGCAGTGAGCCAAGATCATGCCACTGCACTCCAGCCTGGGCTGCAGAGTGAGACTACATCTCAAAAAAAAAAAAAATTTGCCAGGCATGCTGGCTCACGCCTGTAATCCAAGCACTTTGGGAGGCCAAGGCGGGTGGAGGCCAGGAGTTTGAGACCAGCCTGACCAACATGGAGAAACCCAGTCTCTACTAAAAAATACAAAATTAGCTGGGCATGGCGGTGCATGCCTGTAATCCCAACTACTCGGGAGGCTGAGGCAGGAGAATTGCTTGAACCCAGGAGGCGGAGGCTGCAGTGAGCTCAGATCGTGCCACTGCACTCCAGCCTGGGCAACAAGAATGAAACTCAGTCTCAAAAAAAAAAAAAAAAAAAAAAAGGCAGGAAGCGAGGTGGGACCGGCACTGCTCAAGGTGGGGCAGGAGGGCACTTGAACTGCAACCAGGAGGCTGAGAAGAGCCAGCCCCTCCTCTGTGTGATGGTCTGGGACAGAGTGACTGGCTCGGACAGAGGCCCAACATTATGGAGCACCTGCTTCATTGAGAGAGAATTCACACACCAGTCGATTCACCCATTTAAAGTGTACCATCAGTGTTTTTATTTATTTATTTATATTTTGAGACAGGGTCTCACTCTGTTACCCAGGCTGGAGTACAGTGGCGCGATCACGGTTCACTGCAGCCTCGACCTTCCTAGCTCAAGCCATCCTTCTGCCTCAGCCTCCTGAGTAGCTGGGACTATATGCACGCACCACCATATCTGGCTAATTTTTTAATTTTTTTATACAGATGGGATCTCACTATGTTGCTCAGGCTGGTCTTGAACTCCTGGGCTCAAGTGATCTTCCTGCCTCAGTCTCTCAAATTGCTGGGATTACAGGCATGAACCACCGCTCCCAACCTTCAGTGATTTTGATATATTCACAGAGGCTGGGCACAGTGGCTCACACCTGTAATCTCAGCACTTTCTGAGAGGCCGAAGCAAACTTGAGGTAAGGAGTTCGAGACTAGCCTGGCCAACATGGTGAAACCCCATCTCTACTAAAGATACAAACATTACCCAGGCATGGTGGCTTGCGCCTGTAGTCCCAGCTACTCGGGAGACTGAGGCAGGAGAATCGCTTGAACCTGGGAAGTGGAGGTTGGCAGTGAGCCAAAATCGCACCACTGCGCTCTAGCCTGGGTGACAGAGCAAGACTCTGTCTCAAAAACTATATGTGTGTGTGTGTGTGTGTGTGTGTGTGTGTGTGTGTGTACATATATATACATATTCACAGAATTGTGCCACCATCACCACAGTTTCAGATTGCTTTCATCACCCCCTAAAGAAAGCCTGCACCCTTTAGCTGTCACCCCCTGCCCAGTCCCCACCTTCCCAGTCCTAAGAACCACTACCCTGCTTCTGTCTATAGATTTCCCTCTTCTATTCCGAGCTTTCATATGAATGGACTCATGCAGAGGTGGCCATCGTGACTGGCTCCTGTCCCTGGACACAATGTTCTCAAAGCTCGTCCACGTTGTAGCTTTGTTAGGACTTCCTTCCTTTTGTGGCTGAAGGATGCTCCATTGTGTGGCTCAACCACATTTTATATTTGTGCCTTCATCTGCTGACGGGCGCTTGTGCTGTTTTCCTGCTCCGGCTCTGCAGAGCCGTGCTGCCGGGCACTTCCTGTCCAGGTTTCTGTGTGGACACAGTGCTTCAGTGTGTGAAGCCATCTGCTCATTTTTTGTTGTTGTTTGAGACGGAGTCTCACTCTGTCGCCCAGGCTGGAGGCCTGGAGTGCAGTGGCGAGATCTCGGCTCACTGTAACCACACCCCCCGTCCTGGGTTCAAGTGATTCTCCTGCCTCAGTCTCCCGAATAGCTGGGACTACAGTTGCCCACCACCACACCCAGCTCTTTTTTTTTTTTTTTTTTTTTTGAGACAGAGTTTTGCTGTTGTTGCCCAGGCTGGAGTGCAATGGCGAGATTTCGGCTCACCGCTAACTCCACCTTCCAGGTTCAAGCGATTCTCCTGCCTCAGCCTCCCGAGTAGCTGGGATTACAGGGATGCACCACCATGCCTGGCTAATGTTTTTTGTATTTTTAGTAGAGATAGGCTTTCTCCATGTTGGTCAGGCTGGTCTCGAACTCCCGACCTCAGGTGATCCGCCCGCCTCGGCCTCCCAAAATGCTGGGATTACAGGCATGAGCCACCGCGCCCAGCCTAATTTTTGTATTTTTAGTAGAGATGGGGTTTCACCATGTTGGCCAGGCTGGTCTTGAACTCCTGGCCTTAGGTGATCCGCCCACCTCAGCCTCCCAAAATGCTGAGATTACAGGCGTGAGCCACTGTGCCCGGTGACATCATCCACTCATTTGCTCCTCCAGACGCTTCTCTGGGGAGGAACCGTTACTCTCCCCCTTGTGCAGGTCAGGACTTGGGTGATGAGTTGTCAGGTGACTAACCCGACAGCAAATGCAAGACCATTGGCCCAGTATGCGCTGCCGGCTCCATTGCTTTTGATCATGAACCCCACCCCCAGCAGAGCTTGGCCAGTTTGAGACAATGAGGGGCCCAGGAAAGCTGGGTCAGGGGTAAGCAAGGGCACAGGAAGAGACGAAGAGAGGTCCTGGAAGTCCCAGTGAGACGTTTGGACTTTGGGTGAGAACAGGAAATCCTGGGAGAGAGTTGAGCAGGGAAGCAACAGGTGTGATCTATGCTTTTGGGAGGTGACCCCAGCTGCGGTGCGGAGAATGATCAGTCTCAGGGGGCTTGAGGCAGCAGGTAGAGGAATTGAGAGAGTGGAGTGAGCCTCCAGGTGAGGAGATGGTGGAGGTGAGGTGGAGATGGTGGAGGTGAGGTAGAGATGGAGGAGGAGGACAGGTTCAGATGGCTGCTGTCTCGCCGACCCGTGCATGCCACGCCTCAGCCCACACACGCCCTTGGCTGAAGGGCTCCCAGGGAGATGGGTATGGAGTCCCTGGCTTCGTACAAGGAGAGGAAAAACAAAACTTGCCCAGGAACCTTGGGATGTGAAGGAGAGGAAACAGCTGGGGGGGTTTATTTTTATTTTTATTTTTATTTTTGAGACGAAGTTTCGCTCTTGTTGCCCAGGCTGGAGTGCAATGGTGCAATCTCGGCTCACTGCAACCTCTGCCTCCCGGGTTCAAGCAATTCTCCTACCTCAGCCTCCCGAGTAGCTGAGATTACAGGCATGCGCCACCACACCCAGCTAATTTTTTGTATTTTTAGTAGAGACGGGGTTTCTCCATGTTGGTCATGCTGGTCTCGAACTCCCGACCTCAGGTGATCTGCCCACCTTGGCCTCCCAAAGTGCTGGGAGTACAGGCATGAGCCACCGCGCCCGGCCACAGCTGGGGGTTTTAACAAGAAGACGGTCATGGGGCAGAGCAAGAGACGAAACGAAGAGAATGAAACAGGCAGAGGGTGTTAATTCTGGTGGAGTCAGAGGGGAACTGGGGACTGGTGGCACACGCACAGGAAAGCCCCAGATGGGGTACTGGGCAACAGCCACTGAAATTTGGGATGTACTTACTCTTCAACCCAGCCATTCTGCTTCCAGAACTTGGTCTTGTAATAGTTAAACAAGCACACGCGGTGTATGCAAGGGTGTTAGTTGCAACATCAGACCCATGTCTCAAATTCCGGAAACATCCTAAATAACCAGCAGTCTGGACTTAAGTAAATCTTGGTGCATTCCACTTATGAAATCTTTGCATTCATCAAAAAAGACAAGAGGCCTAGGGCCGGGTGTGGTGGCTGAAACCTGTAATCCCAGCACTTTGGGAGGCCGAGGCAGGTGGATCACCTGAGGTCAGGAGTTCGAGACCAGCCTGACCAACATGGAGAAACCCCATCTCTACTAAAAATACAAAATTAGCTGGGCGTGGTGGCGCATGCCCGTAATCCGAGCTTCTTGGGAGGCTGAGGCAGGAGAATCACTTGAACCTGGGAGGTGGAGGTTGCGGTGAGCCGAGATCGCGCCACTGCACTCCAATCTGGGTGACAGAATGAGACCCCATCACAAAAAAAAAGAAAAAAGAAAAAAAGTAGGTCTGTCCGTATGTGTTGACAGGGAAAGATGTCTACAATGCAGGTAAAATGATAGAGTGTGGGCTGGGCTTGGTGGCTCACGCCCATAACCCCGGCTACTTGGGAGGCTGAGGCAAGAGAATTGCTTGAACCTGGGAGGTGGAGGGTGCAATGAGATTGGCTCACAGCAATCTCTTCCTCTCGGGTTCAAGTGATTCTCCTGCCTCAGCCTCCCGAGTAGCTGGAACTACAGGAATGAGGCACTATGCCTGGCTAATTTTTGTATTTTAGTAGAGATGGTGTTTCACTGTGTTGGCCAGGCTAGTCTCGAACTCCTGACCTTAAGTGATCCATCCACCTTGGTCTCCCAAAGTGTTGGGATTGTACGTGTAAGCCACCACACACAGCTGTGTGATTTTTTTTTTTTTTCAATGAGCATATGCCACTTTTATTGTTAAACAGTGTTCTCACTATGGGGGAGAAAAGTGCCAGACAGGTGGCAGTTTCAGTTATCTTTTTTTTTTGAGACATTTTCTCACTCTGTCGCCCAGGCTGGAGTGCAGTGGCATGATCTTGGCTCACTGCAACCTCTGCCTCCTGGGTTCAAGCAATTCTCGTGCCTCAGCCTCCCAAGTAGCTGGGATTATAGGCATGCGCCACCACACCTGGCTAATTTTGTATTTTTAGTAGAGACAGGGTTTTACCATGTTGGCCAGGCTGGTCTCAAACTCCTGACCTCAGGTGATCCACCTACCTCGGCCTCCCAAAGTGCTGGGATTACAGGCATGAGCCACGCACCCAGCCAGTTTTAGTTATCTTTGAAAAATGAACTGGGGCTGGGCACAGTGAGCTTGCACCTGTAATCCCAGCACTTGGGAGGCCAAGGCAGGCAGATGGCTTAAGCCCAGGAGTTCCAGACCAGCCTGGCTAACATGGAGAGACCCCCACCTCTACAGAAAAAAGACAAGAAAAATAAACTGGGTGGCCTTGGGGGACAGGGACCAGCACAGTAGGTTTCTCATCTCTCGGCCCACCTCGGCCTCCCCAAGTGCTGGTATTACAGGTGTGAGCCACCGTCCCTGGCCTGCATCTTCATGCTCTTTTCAGGGTTTGGTTCTTGCCTCAAGCGGAGAGATCAGAAATTGAATGAGGTAGTAAGTTGAGGACCTCCCAGACCCATATGGTCCGGGATGCAAATGATGGTCAGAAATAGACCTCACTCCAACCACTGGGCCTGAGGTTCAGCCTGGTTCAGGCTGGGTTTAGTCCCCAGGGATGGTTTGTTTTTGGTTTTGTGTGTGTGTGTGTGTGTGTGTGTGTGTGTGTGTGTGTGTGTGTGTGTGTTTTCAGACAGAGTCTTGCTCTGTCGCCAGGCTGGAGTGCAGTGGCGCGATCTCGGCTTACTATAACCGCTGCCTCCTGGGTTCAAGCCATCCTGCCTCAGCCTCCCGAGTAGCTGGGATTACAGGCACGTGCCACCACGCCTAGCTAATTTTTTGTATTTTTAGTAGAGACGGGGTTTCACCATGTTGGCCAGGATGGTCTCGATCTCCTGACCTCGTGATCCCCCCACCTCGGCCTCCCAAAGTGCTGGGATTACAGGCGTGAGCCACCGCGCCCAGCCGCCCAGAGATGTTTGAACCAACTTTAGGCAAGTTGGTTCTTGGTCTGGGCTGCGTGCCCTGGCGTCAGGGTCCTGACACTGCGCCACCCCGCACCGCCCACCGCTGCTCTCCCGGTCTCCATTCCAGCCCTCCCGCCTCCTGCCCACAATGGCCTCTGCTGACAAGAATGGCGGGAGCGTGTCCTCTGTGTCCAGCAGCCGCCTGCAGAGCCGGAAGCCACCCAACCTCTCCATCACCATCCCGCCACCCGAGAAAGAGACCCAGGCCCCTGGCGAGCAGGACAGCATGCTGCCTGAGGTAAGGGGGCTGGCCTGGGGGCTCACTGTTCTGCCGTAGGTAACAGATGTACCCACGTGACACTTTCTGGTCAGTTTCACTTCCCAGAGGGGCTCCTTCCTGAGCCACAGCTGCTGTCTGTGCAGCCCTTGACTCGGGCCCTACCCCCTCCTTCCTGGGCCCGAAATATCACAGGGAGTAAAGCCAGGAACCGGGCTCACTCTCATCGTGGTCAGGGGCACACAGGAAGGGCCAGCCCCAAGAAAGTGCTTGCTGGTAACCCTGGGGCCCTGGCTGTTCTCATTTCACCCCCTAGGCCTGGACTCTCAGTCTCTCTTCTGAGGGCTGGGGGCTTTCTTTGACATGGGTGAGCAGGGGACAGTGTCTCCCTGGCATCAGCAGCCCGCCTAGGCAGTGTCCGCTTCCTTTGGGAGGACGAGAACAGATCAGTGTTTCTGACAGTCTGGTCTAGTGCCCCATAAAGAGCTCATTGAAAACCGGCTTGTGGCAGCGTGGGCTTCCTGCACAGTCTGGAGTATAAAGGGAAGCGATGTTAACGCCCCCCGTTCACCCGAGAGCTCTGCAGAAGACACAGCAGCAGGCAGGAGCGTCATGGTGCAGAGGGGAGGGACTGGATGAGGAGTTAGGAAAACACACGCTGGCCTTGACGGAGAAAAGTTAGACAATGGCGATTTTAAATTCAGAATGAGGCTGGGCGAGGTCGCCTCATGCCTGTAATCTCATCACTTTGGGAGGCTGAGGCAGCCAGATCACTTGAGCCCAGGAGTTCGAGACCAGACTAGACAACATAGCAAGACTCTGTCTCTGCAAAAAAAATTAAAAAAGAGCTGGGTGTGGTGGCACATGCCTGTAATCCCAGCTACTTAGGACACTGAGGTAGAAGGCTTGCTTGAGCCTGGGAGGTCGAGGCTCCAGTGAGCTATGATGGTGCCACTGCCCTCCAACCTGGGCAACAGAGCAAGACTCTGTCCCAAAAAATATATATATAGGCCGGGCATGGTAGCTCATGCCTGTAATCCCAGCACTTTGGGAGGCCGAGGCGGCCAGATCACTTGAGGTCAGGCAGGAGTTCGAGACCAGCCTGGCCAACATGGTGAAACCCCGTCTCTACTAAAAATACAAAAATTAGCCGGGTGTGGTGGCACATGCCTATAGTCCCAGCTACTCAGGAGGCTGAGGCAGAAGAATCGCTTGAACCTGGGAGGCGGAGGTGTCAGTGAGTCGAGACCACACCACTGCACTCCAGCCTGGACAATACAGTGAGATTCCATCTCCAAAAAAAAAAAAAAAAAAAAAAAAAAAATATATATATATATATATATACATATACAAACACACACACACACACACACACACACACACACACATTATATATATATATTTCCAAATGAAAGCAAATTGGGGCATAAATCAGGGTTGAAGTTTGTTCTCAGGGTTTTCAGAATAGGAGGCTAAAGAAAAGCCAGCCCAGGACCTGGGCTGCACACACCACCGCCTGCCCTCCCTCCTTCCTCCCCAAGAGGAAGAACCCAGCCTACTTGAAGAGCGTCAGCCTCCAGGAGCCACGCAGCCGATGGCAGGAGAGTTCAGAGAAGCGCCCTGGCTTCCGCCGCCAGGCCTCACTGTCCCAGAGCATCCGCAAGTGAGCCCCCCTACACCCAAGCCCAGCACCCCCCACCCAGCAACCTGTGGATTCTCGGGGCCTGGACATGATTGGGCCTGGTCCCTGCGTCCCCTCTCTGGAAGGAGGAGGCCGGCATTAATGAGCAATGTCTCCCTGTGGCCTATTATCATGGTATAGATGGGGAAATGGGTATGTGCTTTGCGGAATATCACGGTGTGGAGGCTGGGGGGCTTCGAGGAGCTGGGTGGATCAGTGTGGGGGTGCCTGGGGCCCTAGCCTGGCTCCTCACGCTCCCGTCATCCCCTGCTTCTGCTCATCTGGTCACTGGGCTCCAGCCAGGGGCCTCACAGGCAGATCCGCCCCCCACCTCCCTGTAGGCACGCGGGCACACACGTGCCATCACCCCTTCCACACACTCAGGTGCACAGGCGTAGACAAGCGTATGCCCACCTGTCCCTTGTCTGCTTCCGCAGGGGCGCAGCCCAGTGGTTTGGAGTCAGCGGCGACTGGGAGGGGCAGCGGCAGCAGTGGCAGCGCCGCAGCCTGCACCACTGCAGCATGCGCTACGGCCGCCTGAAGGCCTCGTGCCAGCGTGACCTGGAGCTCCCCAGCCAGGAGGCACCGTCCTTCCAGGGCACTGAGTCCCCAAAGCCCTGCAAGATGCCCAAGGTGGGATCCATGGGGAAAGGAGGCAGGGGTGGGGACCCTAATGGCTCTGCTTACCGCCCCCCTCCCTTCCAGATTGTGGATCCGCTGGCCCGGGGCCGGGCCTTCCGCCACCCGGAGGAGATGGACAGGCCCCACGCCCCGCACCCACCGCTGACCCCCGGAGTCCTGTCCCTCACCTCCTTCACCAGTGTCCGTTCTGGCTACTCCCACCTGCCACGCCGCAAGAGAATGTCTGTGGCCCACATGAGCTTGCAAGCTGCCGCTGCCCTCCTCAAGGTGCGGGGCTCCCTCCTGCAGGGCCCCCACCTCTGCCCGGCCTCCCTTCCTTGCCCCTCCCTTCCACTCCTCATAGTAGCATCCCCTAAAGCTCACCTGGGCATCTGCCTACGGTGCCAAGGACAGTGGATGTGCTGGGATCCCTGGGCAAAGAGGGACCCCGAAGCCCAGCACCCAGGCGTCCATCCTTCTGTCTTAAATCTCGTGTGACCCCCTGCCAAGTTTTGGAACCTGGTCTCTGCACTGACTCTTAAGCTGGGGAAGTGGGAAGTGAGATGCATACTTGCTCCTCATCCACCCGGGTTTTCCAAGTCCCTGTTACGTGCTGGGCACCGCGTGCAGAGCCATCGCCATCCTGGCTGAGCTCGCAGCCCAGGGTGAGGGTCACCATTCAGGGTGGTCAGTTTAGGAGAGCGGCTGTTATCAGGGAAGACATTGAGTTAAGCCCAGAAGACACAAGGAGACGTTCACTAGGGAAGGAAGGGAACAGCATTCTCAGCAGAGGGAATGGCCTATGCAAGGGCCAGGAGCCCAGAGGAAGTACAGTGCTTTGAGGGGGCAGCAGGCGGTTTGATGTGGTTTTAGTGAAGGGTGGTTATAGGAGCTGTGGCAGGAGATGGGGTCAGAAAGGTGGGCAGGGACCTGGTATTCCGTGCCAAGAAACAGGGACAGGGAGACATGGCCCAAGCCTCGGGAGTGAGGGTATAGAATGTGGGTTGCTTTGAGTGTTAGGGTACCAGCAGCCCAAGGCAGAGGGGCAGCAGGGACCAAGGGAAAGGTGACTCCAAACTGTGCCAAGAGTGGTGTGCCAACGGAAGCTGGTGTCTCATTTCCTGGCCTTCCAGTCTCAGGAGCTCCTCTTGCCCGTTCAGCTTGCAGAATCTCCACGCTTTGGGCAGGATCCCTCCTCCCAAGGCGCTGCCTGCAGGCGGATGGGCTTGATGATTCCTTCGGTGTTGGGGCTGGGGGCCTAGGTGGCCAGGCTGTGGTCCTGATGGCTGTGCCTCTGCCCGTGCACAGGGGCGCTCGGTGCTGGATGCCACCGGACAGCGGTGCCGGGTGGTCAAGCGCAGCTTTGCCTTCCCGAGCTTCCTGGAGGAGGATGTGGTCGATGGGGCAGACACGTTTGACTCCTCCTTTTTTAGTAAGGCAAGCATGGGGTGTGGGACAGCAGGAGTTGGGTGGGGTGGCCTGGGAGCTGGGTGAGGTGACCTTGGCATTGATCATATTCAGGAACCCCTGAGGGACCCAGAGGCCCACTGCTGGGATGTGGCATGGTCCTATGTGGAGCTGCTGGGCCCCCATCTTTCTGTTGGGTAGGGTGAAGACCTGCGGTGGGGCACAGTGCCACCCGGGAAAGTCACCATTGGGGCTGACGGGCATGTGGCTTCCCAATTCATTGTGAAGAGCCCGTCTGTTCAGCTGTGTCCTGCCCTTGAATTGAGGTTCCGGGGGGCAGTGTTTGGGACAGACTCCTTACACTGTATTTTCTTGTCCCCCACCCCAGGAAGAAATGAGCTCCATGCCTGATGATGTCTTTGAGTCCCCCCCACTCTCTGCCAGCTACTTCCGAGGGATCCCACACTCAGCCTCCCCTGTCTCCCCCGATGGGGTGCAAATCCCTCTGTGAGTGCTGGGGCAGAGTCCCTCCTCCAGGCCAGCCACCAGCCTGGGGGCATCCCCAGACCTCACCCTGGCCCCCAAGCCCCTTCTGAGCACCCTGGTGGGGTCTGGGAGTATTTTGGTGGGGGATTCAGGCTGAAAGCCACCATCCCCACCAGGAAGGAGTATGGCCGAGCCCCAGTCCCCGGGCCCCGGCGCGGCAAGCGCATCGCCTCCAAGGTGAAGCACTTTGCCTTTGATCGGAAGAAGCGGCACTACGGCCTCGGCGTGGTGGGCAACTGGCTGAACCGCAGCTACCGCCGCAGCATCAGCAGCACTGTGCAGCGGCAGCTGGAGAGCTTCGACAGCCACCGGTGAGGTGTCGCCCTGGAGCCCCCAGGAGAGCCTGGAAGGTTCCAAATTCCTCTGGGCCCTCCTGAAGCGCCCCCTTACTCATTCAGCAAGTGTTTCATGAGCATCTTCTGCGGATCAGGAGTGTAGTGACAAGCTCGAAGGCGCACCCTGTCCCAAGGGTTGTGCACATGACCTGGGAAGGGCCAGGGGTGCTTGCTGCCTCTCTTCCACCCCATGCTTTCTGAGCCTGGTCCCCAGCCTTGCTCCCAGACAGCAGTCAGTCAACAAATGTTCATTGAGTGTCACTGCCTGCAGGCCCTAAAATGGAACCCCCAGAGGGTGGAGCAGGGAGGGCAGGGTCGGTCAGAGGACAGTTAGAAGCTGGGGCCAGGGCTGGGCGCCGTGGCTCACACTTGTAATTATAGCACTTTGGGAGGCTGAGTCAGAAGGATTGCTTGAGCCTAGGAGTTTGAGACCAGCCTGGGCAACATAGTGAGACCCTACCTCTACTTTAAAAGAAGAAGCTGGGGCTGGGAGGGAGGGGACTCTGGGAGAGGCTATGCAGAGCCCTTGGGGAAGAACAGGGCATCTGATTTGCAGCAGCCCAATAAACACTGGGCCCAAATTAGAAAATAACAAGCAGGCAGGGCGCGGTGGCTCACGCCTGTAATTCCAGCACTTTCTGAGGCCGAGGCAGGCGGATCACCTGAGGTCAGGAGTTCAAGACCAGCCTGGCCAACATGGTGAAACCCCATCTCTACTAAAAATACAAAAAATTAGCCGGGCGTGGTGGTGCATGCCTGTAATCCCAGCTACTCGGGAGGCTTGAGGCAGGAGAATCACTTGAACCTGGGAGGCAGAGGTTGCAGTGAGCCAGGATCGCACCATTGTACTCCAGCCTGGGCAACAAGAGCGAAATTCCATCTCAAAAAAAAAAGAAAGAAAAGAAAAAGAAAATAACAAGCAATGGCCAGGCCCGGTGGCTCACACCTGTAATCCCAGCACTTCGGGAGGCCTAGGTGGGCAGATCACCTGAGGTCAGGAGTTCGAGACCAGCCTGGCCAACACAGTGAAAACTGGTCTCTACTAAAAAGACAAACAAAATTAGGCAGGTATGGTGGGTGCTTGTAATCCCAGCTACGAGGGAGGCTGAGGCAGGAGAATCGCTTGAACCTGGGGGCGAAGGTTGCAGTGAGCTGAGATCGCACAACTGCATTCCAGCCTAGGTGACAGAGCGAGACTCTGTCTCAAAAAAAAAAAAAGAAAAGAAAAGAACAAGCAATGATAGGTGTGGTGGGTGTCCCGGAGGAGGATAGAGAGGGAGAGTGAACAGCTGGTGGGGAGGGGTGCAGTCAGGACAAACTGTGATGTCATGTGCAAAGGCCCTGGGGCTGGAAGGGCAAAGTACATCCCAGGAAATGCAGGCAAAGAGGCCAGAGAGGTGGTCGGTCAGGCAAAGCTTTGCAGCCAGCAAGAGGGGGTGATTCTGGAATTTGTCCCAAGGCCAGTGGAAAGCTATCAAAAGGTTTTAAGCTAGGAGAGAGATGCTTGGAGGCTCGTCTTAAAAGTTCCTCTGGTTTGAGATGAGTTGACGGGGCAGAACAGGGAGCCCAGGCGAGCCATGTGACCAGGCCAGGGTGGCCCTGTGGCCGGGACTGGGGGTTGGGATAGGAGCTCGGCTCAGCTGACCCGAGGTGTCTCTGCACAGGCCCTACTTCACCTACTGGCTGACCTTCGTCCATGTCATCATCACGCTGCTGGTGATTTGCACGTATGGCATCGCACCCGTGGGCTTTGCCCAGCACGTCACCACCCAGCTGGTGAGTCGGGTCAGGCTCCATGCTGGGGGTCCCAGCCTCTCCTAGGAGGCCTCAGTGTCGTGGGTACCTAATCCCTCCCACCGCAACAATCTGGCCCCAGCAGGGTGGTGCTCACCATAGCCTGGCCCCTTCCTGGAGGCTCTATCCTGGGGACAGCTGCCCCAGCTCCCCATGCCCAGGGCCCACACTGTTCTGACGCCCTCCTCTGTGCTACCTCCACGATAGGTGCTGCGGAACAAAGGTGTGTACGAGAGCGTGAAGTACATCCAGCAGGAGAACTTCTGGGTTGGCCCCAGCTCGGTGAGGGCCCAGGCTGGGGGACATCATCTGAGCCAGGAGTCCCTGTGCCCTGTCACTCCCAGCTGGGCAGGTGGGCTCCTCACCCACCCGCAGGCCCCTCATCAGGGGAGACTCTGCGGGGCAGAGGTGGAGTGATGGACCCCTCCCAGGTCTGGGGCTCAAACTCACTCTCTCCCCTCCCTTTCCCTTCCCCAGATTGACCTGATCCACCTGGGGGCCAAGTTCTCACCCTGCATCCGGAAGGACGGGCAGATCGAGCAGCTGGTGCTGCGCGAGCGAGACCTGGAGCGGGACTCAGGCTGCTGTGTCCAGAATGACCACTCCGGATGCATCCAGACCCAGCGGAAGGACTGCTCGGTGGGGGCAGGCCCTCCCTCCTACCCCTGCCAGACCCTGGTCCCGGACTAGCTCCACTTGCCCTGTCCTTCAAGGGCAGTGACCACGTTCCCTCCTCCCCGCCCCACCTTTCCCAGACCCCCATAGATGAGACTGAGCCCTGGGGAGATGGGAAAAGCCTCTGTCCTTGCCCACTCCAGTGGGGGTGACCTGGCCCCGACATGACCCACCAGCCTTCTTCTGCCCTCCAGGAGACTTTGGCCACTTTTGTCAAGTGGCAGGATGACACTGGGCCCCCCATGGACAAGTCTGATCTGGGCCAGAAGCGGACTTCGGGGGCTGTCTGCCACCAGGACCCCAGGTAGGGCCTGGAGCCTCTGCTGGGCCTCAGGGTCAGGCATAGCCATGCCATCTGAGCCACCCACAGGGACGTGGGTAGGTGGACGTGGCACGCTGGGTGTGCCACAGCCCAATCTGAACCCTGTCTCCAGGACCTGCGAGGAGCCAGCCTCCAGCGGTGCCCACATCTGGCCCGATGACATCACTAAGTGGCCGGTGAGTGTCCCTGGCGGGGAGTGGTCTGGGAAGGTCAGGGATGGGGGACCTGCCTGCTGCACAGCCCACTTCCCTGCCGGTGCCCCCTCCTGGCAGATCTGCACAGAGCAGGCCAGGAGCAACCACACAGGCTTCCTGCACATGGACTGCGAGATCAAGGGCCGCCCCTGCTGCATCGGCACCAAGGGCAGGTGAGCGACCTGGGCCCTGGCCTCAGCCATCCCACTGCCCCCCCGAGCTGCGGCTTCCTGTGGGCCCTCTGCTCCTCCACCGTCACCACCCACAGCCGCTGGGCCGATGCCCTCCAATAACTGTCCTTTGCTCCCCTGCTCTGGGGCTACCCATGGTGCGAGCTGGAGGAAGGAAGCTTGCTCCAGAGTCGAAGGTTCTGGATGCGGCATCCCCCTTCCTGCCAGCGATGCCTCCTGTAGCCAGGTGCTGGGCTCTGGGCAAAGGTGGGCAGTGGTTATTCGGCGCCCTGATGTCCCCTCTTGCCTCACCACCCCCTTAGCTGTGAGATCACCACCCGGGAATACTGTGAGTTCATGCACGGCTATTTCCATGAGGAAGCAACACTCTGCTCCCAGGTGAGGCGAGGCAGGCCTGGAGTAGTGGAGGAGAGGACGCTGGGCATGGCAGCCTGCTGGGGCCGGGGCTCACGCACTCCCTCCCATGTCGGAGCCTCAGACTCAGCCTGCTTCTGGGGCGCTGAGCACCATATGCCCACTCCCAGGTGCACTGCTTGGACAAGGTGTGTGGGCTGCTGCCCTTCCTCAACCCTGAGGTCCCAGATCAGTTCTACAGGCTCTGGCTGTCTCTCTTCCTACATGCTGGGTAAGAGGCTCCTCACTGCCCCCGAACCCGACCCCTGTGATGGCCACCCAGCCGGACCCCTGGGGAAAGGTTCCTGGGCCAGGGCATGGCCGGCCCAACCTGCCGAAGCCTACTGCTCCTGAAGTGCCTGGCTGAAGGCCGCTGCCTGGTGTGTCCCTCCCCCAGCGTGGTGCACTGCCTCGTGTCTGTGGTCTTTCAAATGACCATCCTGAGGGACCTGGAGAAGCTGGCCGGCTGGCACCGTATCGCCATCATCTTCATCCTCAGTGGCATCACAGGCAACCTCGCCAGTGCCATCTTTCTCCCATACCGGGCAGAGGTAAGGATGTGGAGGATGGGACCCCTTCCGCACATAGGGGGCCAGCCCTGCTGCTCCTATTCCACCCACCTGGGATCTGCCAGAGGGACACGGTGCCCCTCCTGTACTGGGCTCCACAGCGGAGGGACAGCTAATCTGGGGGCTTACTGGCTGGTCTCTTAATCCCAGTGAGAGGGAACAGTGATGCTCTTGAGTCACCCTGTCCCTCCACCGCCTCATTTATCTTCCTAACCGTGCCCACTGCCTGACAGTATGCTAGGTATCTGCAGGTCGAGCGGTAGGAAATGGCCTCCGTGCGCCGTCGGCAGTCTGATCAGTTCCACCTGACTGATCTAGTTTGTTCAGTGTCCGTCCTCTCCCCACCGTGTGCGGCCTGGAACAGGCTTGTCTGTCTTGCTTATTGCTACGGACCCACACCAGGCACGTACACAGTAGGCGCTCAGTGTTTGCTGAAAGAATGGGCGGAGCAGGCCCAGCTTTGGTCCAGCAGCTCCAGCCGACCCCCTGCCCCTCAGCCTCAGGGGTCCCCATGCCTGCCAGGGAGGAGCTGATCGATGGGATGACCCAGGGTGCAGGCCCGGCCCAGGCCACCCACCTGATGCCTGAAGCCACGTCTCCCCTGCCCCGCCCCAGGTGGGCCCGGCCGGCTCACAGTTCGGCCTCCTCGCCTGCCTCTTCGTGGAGCTCTTCCAGAGCTGGCCGCTGCTGGAGAGGCCCTGGAAGGCCTTCCTCAACCTCTCGGCCATCGTGCTCTTCCTGTTCATCTGTGGCCTCCTGCCCTGGATCGACAACATCGCCCACATCTTCGGCTTCCTCAGTGGCCTGCTGCTGGCCTTCGCCTTCCTGCCCTACATCACCTTCGGCACCAGCGACAAGTACCGCAAGCGGGCACTCATCCTGGTGTCACTGCTGGCCTTTGCCGGCCTCTTCGCCGCCCTCGTGCTGTGGCTGTACATCTACCCCATTAACTGGCCCTGGATCGAGCACCTCACCTGCTTCCCCTTCACCAGCCGCTTCTGCGAGAAGTATGAGCTGGACCAGGTGCTGCACTGACCGCTGGGCCACACGGCTGCCCCTCAGCCCTGCTGGAACAGGGTCTGCCTGCGAGGGCTGCCCTCTGCAGAGCGCTCTCTGTGTGCCAGAGAGCCAGAGACCCAAGACAGGGCCCGGGCTCTGGACCTGGGTGCCCCCCTGCCAGGCGAGGCTGACTCCGCGTGAGATGGTTGGTTAAGGCGGGGTTTTTCTGGGGCGTGAGGCCTGTGAGATCCTGACCCAAGCTCAGGCACACCCAAGGCACCTGCCTCTCTGAGTCTTGGGTCTCAGTTCCTAATATCCCGCTCCTTGCTGAGACCATCTCCTGGGGCAGGGTCCTTTTCTTCCCAGGTCCTCAGCGCTGCCTCTGCTGGTGCCTTCTCCCCCACTACTACTGGAGCGTGCCCTTGCTGGGGACGTGGCTGTGCCCTCAGTTGCCCCCAGGGCTGGGTGCCCACCATGCCCCTTCCTCTTTCTCCTCCTACCTCTGCCCTGTGAGCCCATCCATAAGGCTCTCAGATGGGACATTGTGGGAAAGGCTTTGGCCATGGTCTGGGGGCAGAGAACAAGGGGGGAGACACAAGTAGACCTCAGGTAGAACGACACTGGGCGGAGCCACCCCAGGGCCTGCTCCCAGGGAGTGCTCGAGGCGCATCAGGCCCGTTTTTTACCAGTTTATATCACGGTCTTCATTTTTAAAAGTAACGCTAACTTTGTACGGACGATGTCTCATGGATTAAATAATATTCTTTATGGCAGTACATTGTCTTTAACGGAGACCTCAGGTAGCATGAAACTGGGATTTGGGGGTGAGGTGAGGGGTCAGCCATCAGCTGCTCAGAGACAGCAGTTTGGCCCGGTGGACAGCAGAAAACTTGTGGAGCATCTTGGGGAATTAGTTGGGCCAGAAAGCAGATTGGGGTCACGTGGGAGACCCCAGGGGTCCACTTGGGAGGGCTGGGTTGAATCCTTAGGGCCCTGGGGTTCCCACCCCTACCTGTTCTGCCTTGGCTCCAGAGCAGGGAAGGGGCTGCCTGGGCCCAGGGTGGCCTGCCCTGATGGGGATGGCACTGAGGGGACCTGTCACCCCACCCGGGGACGAGTCCACTCCCTGTGCCAGTGCCTCACCCACCACACTGAGGATGGCCAGTGAGGCACCGGGTATGACCACTTGATTACCATGGGCAGAGGGCCCTGCACCAGCTTCCCTGCCCCAAGCTGCCTCTACAGCACAGGCCTCCCGCCTCTGCCCCATCCTGCTGCTCCCCACTCTCCCCCACCCTAGGGGCTAAGGGTGGGAAGCGGCATCCATGAGGCTGGGGAGAATAAGGACACCCCCCCCCCCCACCGAGCAATGGGCTACTGTGAGGATGCCGCCTTGGTGCCTTTGCCCACCTGCCAGGAGGAAAGGAGCCAGGAACCCCACAGCACCTCCCATTGTCCCCGCTTACCAACCCAGCCCGGTCTCAGGTACAGAGTTCAGAACACAGGAGGTCCAGAGGCCTCGTGGGGACAGACAAGACACACCACTCCAGCTCAGGCCGTGAGAAGCCACCTTATCTCCTCTTTATTTAGCCCTGCTCTCTCCACTCTCTGGAAACTGCTGTCTCCATGCTCAGCTGAGCTAAGAGGAGCCCAGGGCAGAGACGGGGATCATGTTGGCAGCCAGGTGGGCAGCCCAGTTCAGCAGCCGCTGTTCCTGCGCAGGAAGGGGTGGCCCCGCAGGGAGCAGTGGAGCTCCATGAAGGTGAGGGAGCCCACGGTGATGGCGCAGGGGCCCACGGCGTGGAAGCTGAACCTCTCATAGAAGGGTACCAGCGCGTCCTCGCACATGAGCGCGGCCCGGCGCACGGCCGGCTGGCTGCCCAGGTGGTGCAGGTAGCGCCACAGCAGGATGGGGCCCCTGCCCTGCTGCCGGAAGGCGCGGTGCACGGCCAGCACATGCAGGTGGGCTATGTGGCCCCCAGACCTGTGCAGCGTCAGTGACTCCTGGGAGCGAGCAAGGGATGAGATCCCAGGTCACTTCTGCTGACACGTGCTCCCCCCCAACCACCAACCCAGGCAGGGAGCAGGTGTCCCCTGGGTGCCTGTGGTCAGGGCACCCACCCCAGCAAAGGAGGGCCCCAAATTGGGAGCCATACCCCCAACCCCATGGAGAAAACTTGAAGACCCAGAAGGTCTTGCTCTGGGAGGGGCCTGTGGCCTGTACTCATCTCTCCAGTTCTGGAGGAAGAAATCCCAGCCCCTGGGCTCCCCTCCCCGCCATCTGGCTGACCTCTGTCTTCAGAGGCCTCCCTGGAGCTGGGCGTCGCAGCCCTGTCCTCACCTGCATGAGTCTCTCCTTGTCCCAGAGCGAGCCGATGATGAAGGCCACAAGGCAGCCCTCCTCGAACCAGCCCAGGGACAGCTCTGGACATAGGGTCAGGAAGTGCCGGATCTCATCCAGGTACAGGGGGCAGACGCCCAAGACGGAGATGAAGGCTGTGGCAGGAGGCTCAGGTGGGTGACTGGTAGTCGCTGTGCCTCGCGTCCACTGTCTGCTGCACCCCGAGTGTCCACTCAGATGCCCCGTTCCCCACAGGAAAATGGGGGTTAGGGCTGCTGTTTCCCCCACTTTCTTGAGCGCACACATGGTCTGATACTCTGGGACCCAGCCTCCAAGGACAGGAGACTAAGGGTCTCCTCCCCACAGGATAACTGGACCAGAGTGGAGCATCCCTCTGACCCTGTGCGGGGCCACTCACCTTCACGCTCGATCTCAAAGGCGCTGACAGCGTCCTCCGGGGTGAGGCAGCGAAACTCACTGGCAGGGAGTGTGTGGCGCCGCTGACAGCTCGGGGACTCGGGGATCCCAGGTGGCAGACGTGGGGCCTCAGGTTTCAGGGGGTGGGTGCTCTGCGTGGACATTCTGGCCACTGGTGCCTCCTTGGGGCGCCCCAGCTTTGGAAGTGTCCTCCTAAGCCAAGGAGGGCCTCCCAGCACCTGTTGGAGAACAGCAAGGGACAGGGGTCTCATCCTCATCTCCAGGGAGGCAGGCCCCAGAGTATGTATCTGGCCTCTTTTGTAGCAGGAACTGGGGTGGAGACAGCCCCTAAATCAATGGGCACATTCCCCAGGTACCTGGTCCCCGAGGCTGTTACCAGGCATTGCAAACATTGGCACTGTCTCCCCACCTTTCCCTCTCAGCCAGAAGGATCCCTGGAGGTTTGCCACCTTGCAGACCTGCAGACATTGGTCTCAGGGTGCCGTCTGGGTGCTTCTGAGCCCCAGAGATGGTGGCAGGGATGAGCAGGGCTCAGTGGAGCCTGGGGCACCCCAACCCTGCTGCCCACGGTGGGAGGGGAGGCAGGACTCGTGACCCTCCACTGACCACGTCTAATGCAACTGTGCAGTGGGTGGGCGCCCGGTTCCCCCACACCACCATTCATGTGGTTTATCTTACCTCCCCAGAGGGAGGCTTCTGGTCCTTTGGGTGCAAGATCCTGTGGCAGAGAGCTTTTTAGGTAGCCTCAGCCCTTGGTCCTAGAGAGCCCCTTAATCAAAGTGGGCCCTTAGGGAGCCTCTACTTCTATCCAGATGGCCTCAGACTGGGCCACACACATGCAGGATTTGTGGTGGGGGGTGGGGAGGTTAGAGGGAGCCGGGGGCTGCAGAGGGCCTGGGGAATGGGGAGGAGCAGGCAAGGAGAGTGCATAGGACACCCCCTGCCCCACACATCCAGCTCATCAGACATTCCCCTCTGGGCACTCTTGTCTCCCAAGACACCCTGCAGATTTGCAGTTCTTAGAGGAGGCCATCCCTCCCTCCACCTTCCAAGACACTTAATAAACTCCATGGCTTCCATGTTTCCCTCCATGTCTAGAAGCTCCAAGTAGAGAAGCTCCTGTTCCTAAAGGCTGAGAGCCAGGAGTGGGGGTCCCACCTACCTGGACTGTGGAGAGGATACCCAGTGTTCCCTCCACAAAGCCGCTAGCCCTGGGGGCCTGTCCGCAGGCACGGGAACCAGTAAAATCCGGGACTCCGGGCTGCAAGGCTGTAGTAGCAGATGTTCCCCGGGCAGCCTGTGGTGCTGTTAGAGGTTTGTAATCCCCCCACCCCACCTCTCGAGCTATCCCAGGCAGGATGACGCCAGCAGGGCTCTGGCAGCCTCGGCCCCTGCCTTGCTGAAGGGAAACGTCAGCTCTGGTGCCCTGGGCACAGAAGGGATTACCAGAGGCTGACTGAGGCCCCAGGGTTTGGGGAAGAGAGCGTGGGGCTAAGCCTCAGGGGTCCATCTCTAATCCCTGCTCTGTCACCGACTGGCTGGGCACCAGCGATTCTCCCTCTGTCCCTCGGAGTCTTGGACAAGCCCACCTCTTATGTGGGGGGAGGGGGTGGGAATTCAAGCTACCAATTTGTGCACTTTAAGTACGTTCTACTTCAAGTTTATTTAAATATTTAATTTAATTAAATATTTAAATATTCAGGAGGTTGCCCTACCAAACATCTCAACTACAAAGCTCTCTGCTATTGACCTTGGCTCCACCCATTCCCAGGGCTGCCCAGGCCTTGGCACTTGGTGCTGGCATTCCCTCGGGATGCAGGCCCCTCTCCCTGTTGGCTCTGACTACCCCCTGCCCTCCAGCTCACACCCCATCCTGCACCCCTTAGCTCTTCTCTCGCCAGCACCTGCCTCTCCGCCCCACCCAGCAGTGCAGATCCTGTGTCCATCTCGGGCTCCTGGGGGTCCTGGAGGTTGGATTTCACAGGTGCACTCTTTTGACCCCCTGCAGAGGAAGCTTCTGCTCCTACCCACACAGCTTGGGACGGACCTCTGAGGGTCCTTCCTGTCCTGGCAGCCTGTGAGTGCCACTGCTTACAGCACTTGCTATGTGCCGGGCCCTGGATACGCGTCTCCTTTAATCCACACGGAAGCCCGGCCAAATGAGTATTAACCACGTTATAGAGAAGGAAACCGAGGCACAGACAGGTTCAGTAACCTGCTCAGAGCCATCCAACAAGTGAAGGGGGAGGGGCAAAGCCGGGTCAGCCTCCTGACATGCACTGCCACGGCTGCACTGGTGGGACCCACTCATCTCACAATGAGACTCCTGTTTCCTGTCTTCATGATTCTCCTGCTGGTTTTCAGTGTCCTCACAGGTGCACTCTTTCGACCCCCCCGCAGAGGAAGCTCCTGTTCCTACCCATACGGTTTGGGACACAGCCCCTGACCGTGGAGTGACCCCGTCCCGATGCCCCCGCCCACCCACCACATGCATTCCTCCTGTCTCTGGGTCCCCTTCTCCCAGGGCCCCTCTGCACTCTGAGGCCCACCTGCCTGCTAGAAGGGACCCTCAACAGACCTCTCAGGACCGACCAGAGACCTCCTTGGGCTTGGTTGGTGGGGTGGTCATGTCCAAGACCTCAGCTGGGCATCCCCACCTTCAACCTCCAGGGTCCCCCAAAAGGCCTCTTCTGTCCCTTCATAGACTGTGGCTCCATGGCACCCCCTGGTGGCCAATCCTAATCAGTCACTTGGCGATGCCTGAGAAGAGCCTGCTGTTCAATCGGCCTCTCTCTTTGCTGACTTCCACATGGCCCTGTTCTTTCCGGACAACACCCTAGAGGTCTAGAACCTCAGGGAACAAGATGAGGCAGTAAGCCAGGCACAGTGGCTCACCGCTGTAATCCCAGCACTTTGGGAGACAGAGACGGGAGGATGGCTTGAGCCGGAGAGGTCGAGGCTGTAGTGACTCGCCACTGCACTCCAGCCTGGGCGACAGAGCGAGACCCTGTCTCAAAAAAATACAAATAAAAATAAATTTTTTTTAAAGATGAGGCGGTATGTTAAACATGGTGAAACTGGGAAGTTCAAACCCTTGTGGGACAGGAGAGGAGACAGGGGAGGGCAGGGTGATCGCTGGGACCTTTGTCCTGGTCAACAGGAAGAAAACCACATACCACCACCAATGAGAAGGAAAATAAGGAGGGTGAGGGGCCCAACAGGGTGATGGGTACAGAGAGAAGGAGATCCCTGGGGCTGGGCATAGTGGCTCACACCTGTAATCCCAGCACTTTGGGAGGCCAAGGCAGGAGGATCACTTGAGCCCAGGAGTTTGAGACCAGCCTGGGCAACATAGCAAGACCCCTGTCTCTACAAAAAATTTAAAAATCAGCCAAGCATGGTGGCACACACCTGTAGCCCCAGCTACTTGGGAGGCTGAGGTGGGAAGATCACTTGAGCCTAGGTGGTTCAGGCTGCAGTGATGAGCCACTGCACTCCAGCCTGGGTAACTGAGCAAGATGTTGTCTCAAAAAAAAAAAAAAAAATCCTGACCTCAGGTGGGCTCTAAAAAAGAAGCACCTCCGAGATCATCCTCACGCCAGGGACACCGATTGCACTGTTTATCAGATGCCCAGTCTTGTCCTGCTATTGCAGTTAAGAGTGCTGGCAACGCCTCTGGTGACTGCCTCTCAGGTGGATCTTGGGGATGGGGGGGAGAATGTGTCCTTTGCCCCCCAAGTCGTACCTGTTCAGTCACTCTAGACAGCTGATAAACACCTAACCTGATGGGCAAGGCCGGGCACGGTGGCTCATGCCTGTAATCCCAGCACTTTGGGAGGCTGAGGCGGGTGGATCACCTGAGGTCAAGAGTTCGAGACCAGCCTGGCCAATATGGTGAAACTCCGTCTCTACTAAAAATACAAAAAATCAGCCAGGTGTGGTGGTGGGCGCTTGTAATCCCAGCCACTTGGGAGGCTGAGGCAGGAGAATTGCTTGAACCCAGGAAGCAGAGGTTGCAGTGAGCCAAGATCGTGCCATTGTACTCCAGCCTGGGCAAAAAGAGTGAAACTGCTATCTCAAAAAAAAAAAATATATAGATACAGACAGGGAGAAGCTGGCATCTGTATGTTTCCCAGGGGTGCTGTAACAGATGATACACAAACTGGATGACTGTAAACCACAGAAATGGCTTGACGTCGTGGCTCATGCCTGTAATCCCAGCACTTTGGGAGGCCGAGGCTCTTTGTTCCCAGCCTCTCCCTCCAGCAGCAGCTCCCTTGAAAGTCCTGTATCCACAACTCACCCACCGCGACTCCCTGCCCAGTGTGTACCATGCCACCCTGCCTCACCCATGATGGCTCCCCTCAGGGGTCCCCCTGTCTCTCCACCCAGCCTGGCCTCTTTCGATCTCCCAGACAGATTTACACATTTCAAATGCCAGATGGGGTTCAGTTTTCTCCCAAAAGGCTCTTCGGTCCCATGAAAATCATGGTCTGTGACTGGGCTTCCACTTCAAGACTCCAGAATATTCTTTTTTTTTTTTTTTTTAAGACAGAGTCTTGCTCTGTGGCCCAGGCTGGAGTGCAATGGCACAATCTCGGCTCACTGCAACCTCCGCCTCCCAGGTTCAAGCAATTCTCCTGCCTTAGCCTCCCAAGTAGCTGGGATTACGGGCGCACACCACCATGCCTGGCTAATTTTTTTTATTTTTCCTAGAGATGGGCTTTCGCCATATTGGTCAGGCTGGTCTCAAACTCCTGAACTCAGGTGATCCACCTGCCTCAGCCTCCTAAAGTGTTGGGATTACAGGCGTGAGCCACCGCACCCAGGCAGGACTCCAGAATATTCTATAGCAGTTTGGAGAGGGGTTGTCCAGGGCACACAGAGAACTGCCAGGGACCATGCTACCTAACTCCCCACCTGCCCTGGTAGAGCCTCACCTCTGACCCATCAGAGCCCCCATCCCACTCCTAATCAGATGTGGTGAGGATGATGACGACAGTTATTGAGCGGATAACTGATATCATGACAGTAAAAAAGGTTCTGAGAGGATGTGTATCACCACACGAAAGCTGAGAACCAAGCTTTTGGGATGTCCACTGTTAGCAGGGAAAGGAGTTATTAACAGGAACACAGGTGAAGCCACAAGAAGGGAAGAACCCAGGGGAGAATGTCCAAGAAATGGGGCAGATAGAGCCTGAAATGCCACAAAGAATGGAGAACAGATCTCAGATTCTGCCAACAGGGAGGCTCCGATGACCTTTAAGAATCCTTCCAGAAAAGGCCGGGCACGGTGGCTCACACCTGTAATCCCAGCACTTTAGGAGGCTGAGGTGGGTGGATAGCTCGAGGTCAGGAGTTCAATAGCAGTCTGGCTAACATGGTGAAACCCCGTCTCTACTAAAAATACAAAAATGATCTGGGCGTGGTGGTGGGTGCCTGTAATCCCAGCTACTCGGGAGGCTGAGGCAGGAGAATTGCTGGAACCCAGGAGGCAGAGGTTGCAGTGAGCCAAGATTGCACCACTGCACTCCAACTTGGGCCACAGAGCAAGACTGTATCTCAAAAAAAAAAAAAAAAGGAATCCTTCCAGAAGGGAGAAATGGGTGGAGAGGCCAGATGCAGAGGAATGGCCTTAATGGTGACAGTGAGAGGTGGAGTGCAGAGGCCGTTGATTAAAGGCACACTGACTCGCTGCCACGGCCGGGGGTTGGAGAAAACCTCCCCACGGCCCCCACCCCATCCCGGGCACCGAGCCTGCTGCAGCTGCTGATACCCCCGGAGAGCCTGGTGCAGGGGCAGTGAGCATCCCCACCGGGCCCAGTGCAGAAGCCCTGGACCTGGAATCTGGGAGCTTCCCGCATGGAGACACACCCCCTCCCCTCCGTGTGTCAGCTGCCCAGTTTCACACCCAGACTGAAGGGAGCCCATTTGGGGCAGACCAAGGAGTGGGCCCCATGGCCATGTCCCAGGGACACCTTGACGATGCCTCTGAGATACCGGTTTTCCATGCAGAGCAGTTGAGAGGCCCGGCGTGCAGGAAGCATAGCCCTCTCTTCAGGCTCTTGTGCAATGGCTGCATTTTTTTGGTGGTTTCGATGGTCACTTTCTCTCTCAACTCCTCCCCTGCACTAAAGGTCTGCCCCACAGACCTGGCACTGAGCACATCTCGCGTTATCGTCTTTACCTTTCCAGCCTGAGTACTACCACGTGGCAGGCTCCCCGGGGGATGAGAGATGGAGAACTGTGTGCGGCAAGTTTATTGGGGAGAGGTCTCATGAGCGACCCCTACCATGGAGCAGGGCAGAGGGCTGGACAGTGGAAGCTGAGCCGTGATGGTGCAGCTGTAACCGAGGCCTTGGCGCATCCCCCGAGGAGCTTCAGACTTGGGAAGCCCTTCTGGACCCACCTCTTTGTCCTGCATCAACCTTGGGTGGAACAGCTTGCTTCATTGAGGGCAGTTGCAGGAAAATCCAGCTGGGAGCCGTCAGCAGTCCTGCCCACTGCGGGTAAGAGCCCTGAATCACTTTCTCCAAGCTTCCAAGTACCAGGGTCCTTGCCAGGGTGATAAATTCTGTAACAGGGAAAAGAGCTCCCATACCAACACACGTTCCTTATCCAACTTTATGCTCTGATCCCCTTGGCCCAGCCAGCATCCTCTGATTCCAGTCCCCACTCTCCTGGCTCTGGCTGGGACCTGCAGCTCCTTCAGGACAGAGCCTCCTTCCTCCCTTAGCCGACCCAGCACTTCACCAGTAGGTGAGGTTGCGATTTAGCCCTAGTTACTGGCCCAGTGCAAGAAGAGGAGGTGCAGTATATACTCAGGGTTGGGAAGGGGGTAGTACATGTCTCCTAAGGAAGAGGCATTGTCCCCAAGGAAGGAGGGGCACTAACCTCTGTCCCTGGATGGCTCCCGCTTCTCCCCAGGGGCCTCCTCTGTATCGCTGACTCATTAAGGTTGGGAATTCAACCTGCTCTCAGGCTCTGCCATGCTGACTTCTCTCTGTTCCTTAACTTCAGGAGGCGAGTTTCTTTACATGCTGCCAAGGAGGCCCTCTGGCTTTTCCACTTTGCCTTCAAGCAGTGATTCTTCACCCCCAGCCTCTGACTGCCTTTCTCCTCTGCACTGACTGCCCCAACAGCCATCCAGCCCCCCAGTCCTTACACTTACTCCATCCCTGTACCTCTCAGACACCTGAGATGTTGCACCCACCACTGACTGATTGATTGATTGATTGATTTCTTCCTTCCTTCCTTCCTTTTTTTTTTTTTTTTTTTTTTTTTGGTGGAGGCTCACTCTGTCACCCAGGCTGGAGTGCAGTGGCACAATCTCAGTTCACCAACCTCCACTTCCCAGGTTCAAGTAATTCTCCTGCCTCAGCCTCCCAAGTAGCTGGGATTACAGGTGCCCACCACCATACCCAGCAAATTTTGCATTTTTAATAGAGACGGGGTTTCACCATGTTGGCCAGGCTTTGTGCCCCTTACAGACAGTCAGTGGTTGGGGGAGGCATCTTCTTTTAGCCAAGGGCAGTGTTTGGAGAGGGATGTGATGGGGAGGTGCACCACAGCATCCACTACACACCTGTCCCCCCAAGAGGCTTATGCACTCCTGGAAAACAGAGGCTGGGTTGAGAATGTGGCATCGTGCCACCCACAGAGCAGGTGCCTATCAGCTAGAGGCACAGTCTTCTGTTTTTTTGTTTTTGTTTTTGTTTTTTTTTTAAGATGGAATCTCACTCTGTCGCCCAGGCTGGAGTGCAGTGGCGCGATTTCGGCTCACTGAAACCCCCGCCTCCCGGGTTCAAGCAATTCTCCTGCCTCAGCCTCCTGAGTAGCTGGGATTACAGGCACATGCCACCACGCCTGGCTATTTTTTGTATTTTTAGTAGAGACGGGGTTTCACCATGTTGGCCAGGCCAGTCTCAAACTCCTGACCTCAAACAATCTGCCCCCCTCAGCCTCCCAAATTGCTGGGATTATAGGCATGAGCCACCACGCCCGGCCCAGAGTCTTCCGTTGAGGTGGGTGACTCAAAGGCAGGGCTGAGTGGGACCCTGCCTTATTTGGGGCTCAATATCGCCGTATTAGATAGGCACTTACCTCAGGAACCTTCCAGACCATTCTGGAATGGAAGCATCCAAGGCAGGGAGGGATTGCCACCTCCTGGACAAAGAAGGGACCTACGGCTCCCCAAGTAATGGAGCCAAACTGCCCAATAGTAAGATTGTGTGAGCCCCACATGTGATTTTAAATGTTCTAGTAGCCACATTTTAAAAAGCCAAAAGAGGCTGGGCACGGTGGCTCATGCCTATAATCCTGGCACTTTGGGAGGCCAAGGCAGGAGGATCGCTTGAGCCCAAGGAGTTCAAGACCAGTCCGGCCAATATAGTGAGACCTTCTCTCTATTATTTTTTTTAATAAAAAAATAAAAAACAGGCCAAGCTTGGTGGCTCATGCCTGTAATCCCAGCACTTTGGGAGGCCGAGGCAGGTGGATCACCTGAGGTCAGGAGTTTGAGACCAGCCTGGCCAACATGGCAAAACCCCATCTCTACTAAAAATACAAAAAAATTACCCAGGTGTGGTGGTGGGGCATTTGTAATCCCAGCTACTCAGAAGGCTGAGGCACAAGAATGTCTTGAACCCGGGATGCGGAGGTTGCAGTGAGTCGAGGTCCTGCCAGGACACTCCAGCCTGAGCAACAGAGAGAGACTCTGTCTCAAAAAAAAAAAAAAAAAAAAAAAAAAAAAAAAAAAATTTCCTGAAGTAGGTGACTGAGGCTGGAGCACAGAGCACTCCATGCTGGATGCAGAGGGGGAAGGGGGGTTGGAAGGATCAGATCAGTTTATGAAAGGCCACATGCACCTTCTTGGGTGGACCCTGGGGAGCCACAGAAAGATATAAAGCCAAGAGTCCAATGACCGTGCTTGCATTTTCAGTCACCCTGGGAACAAGGCAGCAGACAGATTAGACGGCCTGGGGCCTGGTGAGGGGCCTACAGCCGAGGTCTAGGCAAGAGATGGAAATGAATTCCTAAGAAAAGCTAATGTTATCAGGCCTGCCATCATGCACTCACTGGGCAAAGCACGTTATATTCAGTTGGTCAGTTACAGTCTCCACAGTCCTATGAAGTAGGTATTATTATTATTCCCACCTTACAGAAAGGAAACTGAGGCTTAGAGAGTAAAATAACTTGCCCAAGGTCACATAGTGACCAGCAGCAGCACAAGCTTCAAACCCAGGTCCCTGTGACTCCGGAAGCTCACTCTCAGCCACTGTACCTCCCACCTCCCCACATCTCCATGGATCTGCCCCCCTGGTGGGGCAGCTCTGGACAGGAAGGGTGTGAAAAGGCAGTGAGGGGCCAAGACCCAGGCTTTGATTGCATGTAGAGCTTAAGAGTGAGGGCTGACCCTCAGGTGGCCAGCTCAGTACCCAGGTAAGTGATACTGCCATCCATCAGGATGAGAACTCTGGGAGAAGAAACTATTTGAGGAAAAGATGATGAGTCTACTTTGTACCTATGGCTGGTCACATCCAGGAAGCACCCACGAGTCTGGAGCTGTGGGAGGTGGCAGTGGATAGGCTGACATATTGTTCTTGAAGCTGGTCCAGCAGATTCACTGTGCCTCACCCTGTATCTTCAGGAAGGAGGGAAACAGGACGAACCTGGTGATCCTATGCTGTCACTATTGCTCAAACTTTTCACTGTTGCCCCAGCATAAAGTGTTTTGCCCAGTGGATTGCAACCCACCCTCACAGCAGGAGTCAGAATGGCCAAGGGCCAGCTGGGCTGGGTCCTGATCCTGACTGTACTGCAGAGTGACCTTGGGCAAGTCCCACAGTTTTCCCAGGGCACCTGTGCAAGGAGCAGGTGAGGCTCCAGGAATGAGAAGGGCCGTTTTAACTCCAAAAGCCTTGAGCGGCATTCAGCTGGAGCCTCGGAGGCATTTCTTCAGCCAGCCACATGAGGGTGTGGGGGGTTTCCCAAGGCAGCTCACCTCCCACCCCACCCCCCAGCTGAAGTCCCCAGTGCCTAAGGCACCCTAGCCTTCCCAAACACCTGCTCCAGGGTGGAAGGAGCTCTTTGGGCCAGGCTGAAATCGCTTGCACAGCAATGGAGAGGCCAAGCAGGCTCCCGCAGAGGGCAGTGTTGGGCCTGAGCATACTTTGTGGGTCCAGAGAGGTGCTCCAGTGGCTGGTTAAGATAGGGACGAGACAGGGCCTGCTTCCCTGAGACCAGTTCACTCTGCTGCTGGCTCTGCCGCCTCCTGCACACCACCCACCCCACTTAGCAAGGGGAGAGGCCAGACCAGCTCAGTTTCTGGAAGCACATTTATAAATAAGTGAAATCCTCCCAAGAAATAGCTCTATTCCCCACGAAAGGCTGGGAGATGGGGCCATGATAAGAGAGGGTTTCTTCATTAGGGAATCAAGTTTTTTTCCTCCTTCCTACACCTCAACAATGACAAAAATAAAAACTAAGCAGCGGCTTCCATCCACACTTACCCTGCTAGCCAGCCTGAGTGTATGGAGACCGTGGCTGGGGGCTCAGGGTCTGGGAAGGAGTCAAGCCTCAAACCTTATCCAGAGCATCTTGGGTCTGAGTGAGGTCCATAAAAGACACCATCGGATGGGTAGGAATTTACTGAGTCTCATTCTCTAAAGCAGCTCAGATGCAGTTGAAACTGGGGGCACTTGAAAGGATTTGGAGCAGCCAAAGAGGGCAGCTCTGTCCCAGCTTCTTCAACTTTTGGTTGTTGGAAAAAGGATAGGAAACTGACAGAATGGAGGTACAGGTTCTCAGGCCTTTGATATCCGCTAACATGATAATTTTCTTTTTTTCTTTTTCAAGACGGAGTCTTGCTCTATCTCCCAGGCTGAAGTGCAGTGGCACAATCTCAGCTCACTGCAGCCTCCGCCTCCCGGGTTCAAGTGATTCTCCAGCCTCAGCCTCCTGAGTAGCTGGGATTTCAGGCGCCCGCCACCAAGCCTGGCTAATTTTTGTATATTTAGTAGAGATATGGTTTTGCCATGTTGGCCAGGTCTCAAGCTCCTGACCTCAGGTGATCCACCCACCTTGGCCTCCCAAAATGCTGGGATTACAGGCGTGAGCCACTGTATGGGCCTAGCCTAATACGACACATTATTGAGCTCCATCCCTATGCCAGGTACTGTCCTAGGCACCAGGGTTACACACACAAATACAACATGGTCCACATGCTTAAGGGTTTAGTCTAGTGAGGGAGAGATCAGCATGTAAAATCAAGGAGTCTTACCTCCAACCTGGCAGTATCCTGATAATCTATGTAAAGCACTTAGTAGAGTATCTGGCATGAAGTTACAGCTCAATAAGTGATAGCTATTATTAGCCATTATTACAAGAAGCCGCAGAATAAACACAACACGTCTTCCAGGAGTGCCGATATTACTCAATGATTAGGGAGGAAAGGGCATTAGTTTTTACATTAAAACAACAAACATAGGCATACTCTGGAGTACAATGCAAAACTCACTTGATTTTTTGACAACAAAAGCAGATTTGAGGCCGGGTGCGGTGGCTTATGCCTGTAATCCCAACACTTTGGGAGGGCAAGGCGGGTGGATCATTTGAGGTCAGGAGTTCGAGACCAGCCTGGCCAACATGGTAAACCCCGTCTCTACTAAAAATACAAAAATTAGCCAGCCGTGGTGGTGGGCGCCTGTAATCCCAGCTACTCAGGAGGCTGAGGCAGGAGAATCGCTGGAACCTGGGAGACGGAGGTTGCAGTGAGTCAAGATCACGCTACTGCACTCCAGCATGGGCGACAGAGTGAGACCCTGCCATGAAACAAAAAGCAGATTTGAGGTCTGCACTGCCTTATCCCGCCGTGGGACACATAGACACATGGACTCCCCTGTGCAATCAGGAGTTCTTCTGAGGGAAGCCTAAAGAAATAGCATAACTACAAAAGCCCCTGCCCTTAGAGTGGGGAAACTCCTCAGGTTACTACCTGTTACCTTAGGCGCCAAATTCCTTGGGCCCTATTTCTTCATTGGTAAAATGAGGTTAAAAACTCTCTATATCCAAGATTGTGATAACAGACAAGATAATGTGCTTGGAAGTACCTGGTACAATGCCTGGTCAATAATATGTGCTTAATAAATGCTATGTTATCAGGGGGCAAGAAAACAGGGCTGAAAGGGTCATGGGAGGCAGAACAGAAGCTACTATGTTACTGCTGTTTAATCTCCCAGGTCTCTACAGGAGAGGGAGTAGGGACCTGCGTCCTTACAGCAGTGATTCCAGATGGTCATTTGGCATTGTGTTCTGGGATGGGAAGGCCATGGTTTGAGAACCCAGCCTTGCCCCAAAATCATATCCTAACTCCCCCTTCAGCTGATTCAGCCCATTTGTTCTATATCTTAGTAGATAAATTTTCTAAGATTTGGGTCCATTGACAACCACCCTGATCCCAATATTACATCAATACTCTATTAGTACTTGGCCTAAGACATCTTAAGTACTTAGGCTGCCATCTGTTTTGTGCATGTTCTTTTTTTTTTTTTTTTTCCTGAGATGGAGTTTTGCTCTTGTTGCCCATGCTGGAGTTCAATGGCTCGATCTTGGCTCACCACAACCTCCACCTCCCGGGTTCAAGTGATTCTCCTGCCTCAGCCTCCTGAGTAGCTGGGATTACAGGCATGGGCTACCATGCCTGGCTAATTTTGTATTTTTAGTAGAGATGGGGTTTCTCCATGTTGGTTAGGCTGGTCTTGAACTCCTCACCTCAAGTGATCCGCCTGCCTCAGCCTCCCAAAGTGCTGGGATTACAGGCGTGAGCCACCGTGCCCGACCTTGTGCATGTTCTTTTAACTTTTCTCTCTCTTTTTTTGAGACGCAGTCTCGCTCTGTCGCCCAGGCTGGAGTGCAGTGATGTGTTCTTGGCTCACTGTAACCTCCTGCTCCCGGGTTCAAGCGATTCTCCTGCATCAGCCTCCCGAGTAGCTGGGACTACAAGCATGCGCCACTACACCTGGCTAATTTTGTGTTTTTAGCAGAGACGGGGTTTCACCATGTTGGCCAGGGTGCTCTTGAACTCCTGACTTCAAATGATCCATCTGCCTTGGCCTCCCAAAGTGCTGGGATTACAGATGTGAGCCACCACACCCAACCAACTTTTCTATGAACATAGTTCTGTATCTTCAGGATCCTGTAAACAACACAAAGAGCTGGGATTCTGCCTTCTTTGAAGAACCTAAATACTGTAATATCCAACTTACTAGTCTTTCGTTGATGATCGTGTAGAAAAATGTGGAAAAAATGATGTTGACTGAGAAAGGTTAGGGCCAGATCTTGTTTTCCTTAACAATCCATTTAAATCTGTCCTCTGAGAATGTATCTAAACCCTTTGAAACTTAGGTGACACATTAAATTAGAGTTAGTTTTTTTCTTTTGAGATAGAGTCTCACTCTGTCACCCAAGCTGGAGTGCAGTGGTGTGATCTAGGCTCACTGCAACCTCCAACCCCCAGGTTCAAGTGGTTCTCGTGTCTCAGCCTCCCAAGTAGCTGGAATTACAGGCGCCTGCCACCTTGCCCAGCTAATTTTGGATTTTTAGTAGACATGGGGTTTTGCCATGTTGGCCAGGCTAGTTTTGAACTCCTGACCTCAACTGATCCACCCACCTTGGCATCCCAAAGTGTTGGGATTTCAGGCGCAGTCAAAGTGTTGGGATTTCAGGCGTGAGCCACTGTGCCCGGCCTAGAGTTACTTTTTTTTGAGACGGAATCTCACTCTGTCGCCCAGGCTGGAGTGCAGCGGCGCGATCTAGGCTCACTACAACCTCCACTCCCCAGGTTCAAGTGATTCTCCTGCCTCAGCCTTCCGAGTAGCTGGGATTACAGGCGGCTGCCACCGCGCCCGGCTAATTTTTGTATTTTTAGTAGAGACAGGGTTTCACCATCTTGGCCAGGCTGGTCTTGAACTCCTGACCTCGGGTCTCCCACCCGCCTCGGTCTCCCAAAGTGCTGGGATTACAGGCAAGAGCCACCACATCCAGCCTTTTTTTTGTTTTTTGTTTTTTGAGACAGAGTCCTGCTCTGTTGCCAAGGCTGGAGTGTAGTGGCATGATCTCGGCTCACTGCAACTTCTGCCTCCCAGATTCAAGCAATTCTCCTGCCTCAGCCTCCCAAGTAGCTGGGACTACAGGTGCACACCACCACGCCCAGCTAATTTTTGTACTTTTAGTAGAGAAGGGATTTCGCCATGTTGGCCAGGGCGGTCTTGAACTCCTGACCTCAGGTGATCAGGTGATCCATCTGCTTCTGCCTCCCAAAGTGCTGGGATTACAGGCATGAGCCACCACGCCTGGCCCTAGAGTTACTTTTTATATTTTATTTATTTTTATTTATTTATTTTTTTGAGACAGAGTCTTGCTCTGTTGCCCAGGGTGGAGTGCAGTGGCGCGATCTGGGCTCACTGCAACCTCAGCCTCCCAGGTTCAAGCGATTTGCCTGCCTCAGCCTCCTGAGTAGCTGGGACTACAGCCATGTGCCACCACGCCCAGCTATTTTTTTTTTTTTTCCGTATTTTTAGTAGAGATGGGGTTTCGCCATGTTGGCCAGGATGGTCTCAATCTCTTGACCTCGTGATCCGCCCACCTCAGCCTCCCAAAGTACTGGGATGACAGGTGTGAGCTGCCGCGCCCGGCCTACTTTTTATATTTTAAAATGACAATATGGAGCAGACCATAACAGTTCTGCCAGTCTGGAATTTAGTCTAGGCAGGGAGTTTGGAAATAGTACAACAATGGTTAAGCTTATCGAAGGAGCTAAATGCCAGGCACTGTTCTACTTCACTTAATCCTCCAATTGCCCAATGAGATGAGTATTGCTATTATCATCCCTATTTCACAGATGAGCAAATTAAGATGAAAATAAGTTAATCAGTGTGCCTATTTTTATAGATTAGTAAGTGGCAGTGCCAAAAATTGGAATCCGTGGTCCCCACTCTTAGCTACCTTACTATACTACCTCTTGCCATTCATTCTTGGCTTCAGGGAGCTTTGAATTTATCTGCATGGATTTGTAGCCAAACCACTGGGACCACTGATCCTTTTGTTACCTTTCTCTGGGCCTCCTTCACCAGCTTCTGGGTCAACTTCTGAGGGGTCATGACGTTCGAACTGCTTGGAATTCCTGAATACAGTGCATTATACATATGCTCTACACGTATCTATTATAGCCTTACAAGTTGGAGTTGTTTGTTATCTATTTAATGTGTATTTGTTTTGTCTCCCCAACTAGACTGGAAACACCTAGAGGACAGGGACAGTATCTTTCTCTTTCTGCAATGCTCCCAGTGCCTGGGGGCTAGGCTAGGACGCCAAGGGAGCTCATTAAAAGTTGTTGACAGTCTCTCCACCATCCTGTGCCCCACCCCGACCACTCCCCTCTTCCTCGGTGGCCACTCCACTTCCTCCTCCCGGGTCCCCGCCCCTTCTCGCTCCCTTTAGTTGAATCCTCACTGGTCTCGCCCCTTCTTAGTGGATTCCATCCTGCCCCCGCCCCCCGCGGCATCTTCAGCGTCCCCTAGCGACGAGGCGGTGGCTCCTAGCAACTGCATCCCGGCTCCCTGACGACGGCGCCACGCAGGGACACGTCAGCGCGCTATGGCCCCGCCCCCGGCGCCCGCTGGTCCCGCCTCCCCGCGCCTCGTTCGCCGCCGCTGTCGCCGCCGCCGCCCGAGACTCGCGCAGAGCAGTTATGGCGGATCCCGCAGCCCCCACGCCCGCAGCTCCCGCTCCAGCCCAGGCCCCGGCTCCAGCCCCGGAGGCAGTCCCGGCCCCAGCCGCAGCCCCCGTCCCGGCGCCGGCGCCCGCCTCGGACTCGGCCTCCGGGCCGTCCTCGGACTCCGGCCCAGAAGCCGGCTCGCAGCGCCTGCTGTTTTCTCACGACCTGGTGTCGGGCCGTTACCGTGGCTCCGTGCACTTCGGGCTGGTGCGCCTCATCCACGGCGAGGACTCGGACTCGGAGGGCGAGGAGGAGGGCCGCGGGAGCTCGGGGTGCTCCGAGGCCGGGGGCGCGGGCCACGAGGAGGGCCGGGCCAGCCCCCTGCGCCGCGGCTACGTGCGCGTCCAGTGGTACCCGGAGGGCGTCAAGCAGCATGTGAAGGAGACCAAGGTGCGGCGGGCGGGGGCTGGGCGGCGCGGGCGGCAGGGGGTCGGCGGCCGGGCCGAGGCCAGGGAAGGACGGCGTGCAGGGCCCTGCCCGGAGCGGTGCCACTGCAGTGGCCGACGCGGGAGGACAGCCCCAGTGGAGGGTACACTCCATGCAAAGTCATTGCAGCAGCTCTGGGCGCACACGCCAGCCAGGCACTGCTGGCCCGGGACCGGGCGGGCCCTGGGCTTCCCGACTTGAGGGGACTTCTAAGACATGTTATGCTGTGGTGTCGGCCTCGAGATTTAGAGACGTGGACCGACTCCCGTGGGGACTCAGGTTCTGGGGCGCGTTCGGCGTTACACCAGTGCGGCGTTTTGCTGACCCCCAAGGAGCTCGGTACTGCATTGTGCATCCAGAAATGAAGGCCGTGCCGGGTCCGTGCAGGGAGGGGTTGTGGGCATTCCAAAACAAAGATAGAGGTGAAAATCCCAGCCGAACCCAAGAAGTTCACTAGCTTACAGGCTGCATTATGGTGAAGCCACCCAGCCTCTTTTTGTTTTACCCTGCTGCCTCCTTTTAATTGCTGCAGGGAACTTTGTGAGTAAAATCATTAGCAATCAGAGCCCCGGTATGAATAGTACTTGGGGGGGAGGATTCTGACAGCTGCGACCGGGATTGATGACTCCTAAGTGCATATGGACTCCTTGAAAAAAATAATCCAGAACCCTGGGTAGAGGGGAGTCACCAATTTGGAAACCCGAAGGTTTTTTCTTGACCTGAAGCTGTTAAGCAGACATCTGACTCCCGTATGGTTTTTGGGGTGATGCTAGTGAGTATAGCAGTTTTACAAAACAAAGAGGCTTGTCATCATAAACCCGAAACCTTGAACCCGGGTTGGTTTGGTGGCTTGTTTTCCAGAATGTGAATTCCTATCAGTAATTGACACACACACACACACACACACACCCCCCTGTATCTCACACCCCTTCTTTCTCTCCTACTTCCCCTCCCCTTCAAGAAAACATTTCTAAGCAGGAATCAGGCCTACGCTGTTTTAGGTCCTTGGGAGGTTGAGAGGTCTGATTTCAGGGGAGGGCACTTTGGAAGTTGATCTGGGTTTCTCACACAGTGGGAGACAAAGACTACAGAGGAACGGGGTTTCATGTCAAACTACAAAGCGGGGTCTGTGACAACGGCTTGAGAAGGAAAAAGGCCCCACTCCAGAGAAGAGCACATGATCCATTTCCTAGAGGCAGAAGTGACTGCTGATACCAGCGGGGTCTTTTTGTTGGGGATGCACATACATCCACAGACACAAATCCACACACAGGACCCTGCTTCCCCTCAGAGAAATGTGAATCAGGCAACAGCTCTGAGACTTGGAAGGAAAATTATCAGTCCATTTACAAGAGTATTTGGAAAATATTACTTTTGTGCAACAGAATGCTTGTTAAAAATTACCCAGTATTGTGTCAGTAAAAGAGGGTTATTGCTGTATACTGTGTGACACCAGATGATTGCTGGTGTCTTTCTGTGAGTTTTTAAGAATGTTTTTCACCACCCATCTATTTGAGAGATTCGTGATTTTTGGAACGCAACTCATTTGACTGCAGCATCCTCTGTGTTGTGGCCTCCTGCCCTAGGACTCAGGGAGGTAGGCCCAGCTCACTACTGGGAGCCGCTATGTTTATCAGTTGTTGTTCCCGTCCGTCTTGACTTTGGTGGTTAACTTTGTTTGCAGTTATGCTCCGTTTGCCTCCTGCACTATGTGTAATTATACAGAGTTTGACTTGAAATACCTATTTTGGAGTTAAATCGAAAACAACGGCCGGGTGTGGTAGCTCATGCCTGTAATCCCAGCACTTGGGAGGCCGAGGCGGGCGGATCACCTGAGGTCAGGAGTTCGAGACCAGCCTGACCAACATGGAGAAACCCTGTCTCTACTAAAAATACAAAATTAGCTGGGCTTGGTGGCGCATGCCTGTAACCTGAGCTACTCGGGAGGCTGAGGCGGGAGAATTGCTTGAACCAGGGAGGCGGAGGTTGCGGTGAGCTGAGATGGCACCATTGCACTCCAACCTGGGCAGCAAGAGTTAAACTCTGTCTCAAAAGAAAAGAAAAAAAAAACAACAACTTTGAGGCACCACTTTGGATAGATTTTGCAGCTGGCCTCCTGTGACTTGCTTTGAATTTGTTGAAATCCGTTTTGTGGCTCGGTGGTGGTATTTTGTCATTGTAGCATCTGGGTTTAGCAAAAGCCAAGGGACGCAGAAATTCCAAGGAAGTGGTGGAATGGGATGCCCATTTATGGGTGGCAAGATATAGTTCTTTTAGGATTTAGAATAGGTTTGTTTTGGAGGGTGGAGTTTATACCTGATAGGTAGCTCTGTTACCATGAGCTATAGATACAGGTGACTGATTAGCTGAATGTCTCCTGGTCTGTTACTGACCACCAAGCAGGGTGGTAGGGTGGGTCCTGGGACCTTGCAGAACTGTGGCTTAGGATGATTTTTCTTCTCACCTCCTGCTCCTTATGAATTCCATCAAGGTGATAGTATGCCGTAAAGGAAAGACCATTAGACCAAGATTGACTAATCTAGTTATGAGATTTGAGAACCCAATTATTGACAAAATAATGTAGTGGCAGATTTTTTTTTTTTTTTGAGTTACTGGTTTGTTTATTATTTTTGGGATGGGGTCTCACTGTTACTCAGGTGTCCTTGAATTCCTGGTCTCACACAATCCTCCTGCCTCAGCCTCCCAGGTAGCTGGGACTACAGTAGTGATGGTTTTGAGAAACTTATTTTTTATTTATTTATGTTTTTGAGACGGAGTTTTGCTCTTGTTGCCCAGGCTGGAGTGCAATGGCGCCAGCTCGGCTCACCGCAACCTCTGCCTCCCGGGTTCAAGCGATTCTCCTACCTCAGCCTCCCGAGTAGCTGGGATTACAGGCATACGCCATCACGCCCGGCTAATTTTTTGTATTTTTAGTGGAGACGGGGTTTCTCCGTGGTGGCCAGGCTGTTCTTGAACTCCTGACCTCAGGTGATCCGCCCGCCTCGGCCTCCCAAAGTGCTGGGATTACAGGCAGGAGCCACCGCACCCGCCCGAAACTTATTTTTTTTAATAAGCTGCTACCTATTGAAAATTTTTGTGTGTGAGTTTCTTTTTTAAACAGAGTCTCTCTCTGTCACCCAGGCTGGAGTGCAGTGGCACGATCTCAGCTCATTACAACCTCAACTTCCCGGGTTCAAGTGATTCTTGTGCCTCAGCCTCCCGCATAGCTGGGATTATGGGCATGCGCCATCACACCCAGCTAATTTTTGTATTTTTAGTAGAGACGGCAGTTTGCCATTTTGGCCAGGCTGGTCTTGAACTTCTGGCCTCAAGTGATTCACCGGCCTTGGCCTCCCCAAGTGCTGGAATTACAGGCATAAGCCACAGTGCCTTGCCCCATTGAAATTTTTTAGTAGTATCTATTTAATGTGGAGTGTTTCATAGGGTGTGGCGTATTTTTGTAGTTTTCTCTGTAAATTGGAGGGCAATGAGTAAAGGCTTAATCTTAGTCTCAAGTTTTTAGTGAACAAATTTACAAAGAGAGATGAAGAGACTGGGCAGCAAGTCATGTCCTTTCCCTGCTGCCTTCATGAAAATAGCAACAGAAACAAAGTAAGTTCTTCCATGAAGCTATGGAATTTGTCGTGTTCCTGAGGCTTCCAGCCACCAAAATTAAGCCTCTTAAGGACTCAAAAGGAGCTAGTGGCCAGTGTCTCTTATATGCTTCTTCCTTTCTCCAGTCTTCTGACCTGTTCAGCGAGGTAGCCACTTGAAACTGTCCATCTGGCCATGGATCTCCTTAGAGGAGGCTTGCCCCTTCCCCATCACCAGTCATCCTTTGAATAAAATTTTGTAACAAAGCCAAATGCCAGCAGCCACTTAAACCTTCATGAGCACTGGCTAGACGTGGTGGGTCCTTCTGGTCTCCACCTGTCATGGTTGGGCAGAACAGCCCCCTGCGAGGTAAGGGAGCAGGACTGCTGTCTGTCAGTTCAAGTTCAGCCTTCGTTTCGGAGGCAAAGCGTTTATGCTTTAGCTTTCTTGTGCTTTTTCATCTCTTTTGCATTGTCTTTTGTTTTAAGTTGCCATGACATTCAGGGTTTCACCAGGTTTGAGATATAGTGCCTCTAAATTAGGGCTGTCTGTGATCACCCTGCTTTTATGAAGCTGTGTGTGTGAAACATCCCTGATGACAGGTCCCTCGGGAATTGGCTTTGCAGTTTATTTTTGGCTCCTACGCTGGCCAGCATTTCCATGGGGAAAGCTATTTAGGTGTAGCATCATGGCACGTGAAGTTTGTCTCACTTGTCTGGGTGCTGGGCCCATTAAAAGCAATTGTTCTTAGTGATGTAATGTGAAGAAGTTATATAAGGTTAACCAAGATGCAGGACTAAGTGAATCTAAATTGCGTTTTATTCAGATAGGATCACAGCACTTGTAGACTCTTAACAGCTGTTCTGTGATTTTATTCTTTGTCCCTTGATTTTTCCCCTTCTAGCCCTCGGGCCTCAGTGCCCTGATGGTGCTTCTGTCTGGCTGCTGCCTGACTCAAGGGTACTTTCCCCAGATGAAGGGTGTGTGTTTTGTACTGTGATTGGAAGCCAAAACCCTTGGGTGCTCTTCCTGGCTGTCACCTACTCTGAATGACCTTGACCAAGTCACTGCCTCATTTTCTCCCTCTGCAATGAAATAAGAGGTCTATCTTCCTAACCCCGATATGATCCTGCTCGGATGGAATAACCAGAAGTGTAGCTGGGTCAAGCCTAGGATGGCCACTTGGTTATTAGCAGACAGCATTCTGATGTCTGTCAGAGAGAGCCAGCCCTGTGCCTTCAGAAGATCACTTCCATGAGAAAGAGGGTGATGCTGCACCAAAGAGGCACCTTGGGAAGCAAAAGGTGCACGAGGCGGGTTGTGGGGAAGGTGGTTGTTTCAGGGGCATAGGAATTCCTAATGGCTCGTGTTGCTAGTGACCAGATGGATTATAGGTTTGACTTTATTAAACCTCTTCTAGAAATACTCATGAACTTCCTACCTCTGTTACTTTGTGAGAAATTCAGTAATGCACATTTAAAGTAACCCCGGCCGTCCTCCAGGAGGGGGATGGAATGAATCTGTATGTATGTATGTATGTTTCCAGAGTCTGAAAGGTCTCTTGAAATTCTCAAGACTGGTAATGAGATTATAAATTACAAAGATGATAGAGTATTGCTTTATATTTTAAGGTAATAAGAGCAGTCATGATCCAGGATACTGTTACTGTGTGCCAGGCACTCTTAGTGCTTTAGATGTTTTACTTCACGCTCACAACAACCCTGTGGTGCTATTATTAGCCCCATATTCCAGAGAAGGAAGCTGAGGAACAGAGAGGTTAAGTAAATTGCCCAGTGTCACACTTCTAAGTGGAGGAATCTGAATACAAATTGAACTAAATGTACTTTGTTCTCACCTGAGAATACTTAAGTTCAGGATTCAGAGATCATTACTATACGTGACCGAGTGCCCTGATCCAACATGAATCACAAGCCTTGTGGTTGGCATTAATCATCCCTTCTTTAAACAGTTGAAAGTCTTAGTGTAATAGGAGGTACTACAAGTGAGGAAGGAGAGAGGCACAGGATGTTGGGATAGGTGGAAGTTGTGCCAGTGGGCAGGCAGGAGGGAGGGAGATGATGGGTAGGGAGCAGGACGGGAGGAACACTGCATTCGCACTGGCGGTGTGCTTCTGCAGATTCCACTCTTTTCATTCCCTGACCCCTCAGTCATTCTCAAAATAACTGTCAAAAACACATTGCATTTCTAGAGAACCTTTGACTGCCCCTCAATGTTGAATGAAGCAACCTCTGTAGTCTGATTCATTCCAACACTGAACTGCAGTTCAGTTTTATTCCCCAACTCCACCTCCTAGAGCAAAACAAGTGTGCAGACACTCCACGTAACTGGCATTTCTGTGTTGCCTCAGAAGTGGTCAGCTCCATTAGGAGCTCCAACTTGACCTCCTGTCCGCTCTGCTGCTGTCATCCTTCGGCTGGGAATGCTGAGTCATGAGACAGGTTCAGGAAGGATTCCTTGGAGAGGCTGAGTTCCACCTCAATTTCAGTTTCTGTTCCCTTCAGTTTCCGTGTGTTTTTGCTTTAGGACATTAGAGGCCTCTTTGCACCTTCCCCATCTCTACTTCACTTTTATCCCTGTTTCTCTCTGTTTTGTTTGTTTGGTTTTTTTTTTTGTTTGTTTTTGTTTTTTCATTTTCCTGTTATACTAAGAGGAACTTTTTCTATTTTTTACTACTTAACCCACCATGGGGGCTCATGGAATCCAGTGGAACCTGTTGGGGGCCAGCACTTTTTAAAAGGGTGCAATTGTCGTGTATAACATGAATTGCCAGCACAACAGTCCTGGGCACGTGATCAGTGTCAGCTGCCGCTGGTGGTCGGTCCCCTCAGAGTTGGAGTCAGGGTGGTTTTCTGTGACATGTGGGTTTTCACCCAGGAGGATATGATCTGTGCTCCTATTCTGATGGAAGCTTTTGGAATTTCCTTGCCCAAGGCTTAGCCTGCTTCTGGATGGCGATGGGGAGTTGCTGATTTAAAATGACAATCAAAAGGGGCAAGTTACAATCAGGAACGTCTATAATGTGCTTTCCAGTTTACAAGAGGCTATCACTTTTCTCACTTAATAGGATCTCGGTATTTTTAACTGTAGCTCCTTCCTGAGGCTCCACTTGCCCATGAATGGGTGCCAGTCCTGGAGAAGGTCATGGTCTAAATGCTGCCCATCCACATTTGCAGCTCTTACTGAGCAAGAGTGCCCGTTCGGAATTGCTTCATCTTCTGACATTCCAGCCAGCCACGGGGGGACTCTGTCAGGAGCCACTTGATGTGTGCAGTTATAGCCAGGGAAGAGCAAAATGCTTATTGGAATTTGCTGTAGTTGAGAATAAAATTGAATTGTGTTACTGGATAACTCTCTGGATTTATCTACTCCAAGTTATTTGCCTTTGTTTCATTCGTTAGCTATACTCTGTGATTGAGGATTTAATGTCCTTCAATCCAGGCTGACTGTATTGGATGGATCCTTGGGTCAGCTTTGTCCAGGTCACCCCTAGACACAGGTAGGCTGTGTTCTCCTGAAGCAGTATTGTGAAAAGCACATTTTTATGGTTTAAACATTGCAGTCAGTTGACATACCACTCAGAAGTATTCAGTGGGCAATAAGGATTGGAATGAATGTCCTTTTTGGGTTTAATCTGGTTCTTTGGTTGGGGGATTTTGAGTTGGTTTGCATTTTTAGAGAGGCCACAGCAATATTTAATATTCTGCAGCTAAGTCAAAGGAGTAAGACATTTTTCAGGTCACTTTTGGTTTAAATTGATAGCATAACTATACCTGGGAAACAGTCTGACTATGATAATTGAAAGTAAAAAAAAAAATTAAAACACTGAGTCATGCTTGGAAAAAGAAAAAAAAAAAGGCAGTCAGTCCTACCCAACAATGACATGAATATTCCCAGCTAGCACTGACAGAGAGATTTCCTGCAGGCACCCTTAAAAAGAGAGGCCTTCATTTGCATCCTGCAAGAGAGCTGGTCTTTTCACACTCAGCAGCTCCGATGATGTTCTTCCTCCTCCTTTTAATTCTGGTCCTTTTTGTGGGAGCTCCCTCTGGAAGAGGGCAGTTGAAGATAGATACCTTGACCGGCAGATTCAGCGGACTGTGTGTGTGGTCACCGGACTGTGTGTGTGGTCACCGCTAGTGCAGGTGGGAAGTGTAGACACACAAATACGTCTCCAGGGATTCTGGGAGCCTCAGGGCTTGACATATGCAGTGCTGAAAGCATCCCGGTATTCATGTGCTCTGACTGTTTTATTATTTAAGGGATTCTGAGGGCCCTGAAGGTTGATGACATCATCTTCAAGCCAAGGAAGAAAGCATTTCTCTGGTCCCCCAGTGTGCTTTTGGGTCATCCCAGCACTGTACTGGGGGAAATGGATGTCTGCCTCCATTTCCTCATGACCTGCTCTCGCCTTCAGTCATTTTCTGTCTAACCTCTCACACCACTGAGTGTGACGGCTCCCCTGAAGGTCACAAATGACTAGTGAATTTCTGATCACTGCATTTGCTGACATTTTCTCAGTCCTTGTCCTCATTTTGATCCATCAGCCTTATGCTCTGTCACCCAGGCTGGAATGCAGTGGCGTGATCACACCTTACTGCAGCCTCCGCCTCCTGGGCTCAAGCAGTGCTCCCACCTCAGCCTCCTGTGCAGCTGGAACTACACACTCGGCTTTTTAAAATATTTTTGTAGAAACAGGGTCTCACCATGGTATTGGCCAGGCTGGTCTCGAACTCCTGACCCCAAGTGATCCTCCCACTTCAGCTTCCCAAAGTGTTGGGATTACAGACGTGAGCCACGGTGCCTAGCTGACCACACCCTCTTTGTTTTGTTTTGTTTTGTTTTGCTTTGTTTGTGAGATGGAGTCTCAGTCTGTCGCCCAGGCTGGAGTGCAGTGGTGCAACCTTGGCTCACTGCAACCTCTGCCTTCTGGGTTCTAGCGATTCTCCTGCCTCAGCCTCCCAAGTAGCTGGGATTACAGGCTCCCGCCACCACGTCCGAGTAATATTTGTCTTTTTAGCAGAGACGGGGTTTCACCATATTGGTCAGGCTGGTCTCGAACTCTTGACCTCAGGTGATCCATCCGCCTCAGCTTCCCAAAGTGCTGGGATTACAGGCATGAGCTACCGCGCCTGGCCGACCATGCCCTCTTAACGGTATTTCCTTCCTTGGGGTTCTATTATACCAGACTATACCAAATGTTTCTCTTTTTTGCCTTTTGTCTTCTTCCTCTTACCCATAGATGTGCAGCTTTTCCAAAGACCTCTCTTTTCTTTATCTCTTCCTCCCCAGTTTTTTGGAGTGACCTCCCTGCTTGTAGCTGCATCTGGTACCTGTATTTAGGTGACTTCCACAGTGACATCACATGCCCAGCTGCTTACTTGATAGCTCCATTGTGCCATGTAGACTTTGTGGGTATAAAATCTTGTGATTGTGACTGCCCTTCCCATCCCCAAGTCTGTGGACTTAAAAAAAAAAAAAATGTTCTGACTGGGCACAGTGGCTCACGCCTGTAATCCCAGCATTTTGGGAGGCCGAGGTGGGTGGATCACTTGAGGTCAGGAGTTCGAGACCAGCCTGGCCAACATGGTGAAACCCCATCTCTACTAAAAATGCAAAAATTAGCCATGCGTGGTGGTGGGTGCCTGTGATCCCAGCTACTCGGGAGGCTAGGGCAGGAGAATTGCTTGAACCCAGGAGGCAGAGGTTGCAGTGAGCCGAGATCGTGCCCCGGCACTCCAGCCTGGGCGACAGAGTGAGACTCTTTCTCGAGGAAAAAAATATATATATATATTCCCCAACTTTTTTTGTTTTTGGTTCTGAACCCAAGACCCAACTTTTTAATAGGAAAAAATATTGACCATACCAAAATGTTGAAAGCCAGTAATTGCTAACCCCCAACCATTATGAGTCAGCAGTTGTTAACATCCTGCCATATTTGCCTTATCTGTATGCTTATGTAAATATATTTCCTCCTGAATTATGTCTGGTACTAACTCCTGCTAAGTTAGTGGCAGACATGATAGCACTTCACCCCTAAATACCTAAGCTTGAATCTTCTCAAAATTAGAGCATTTGGGGTCATTTTTAATTTACCTTCTTTGGCCCTCATTCTAACTTGTCATCAGTTCTTTGAGAGGCCTCTTGCATCCTGTGCCTGCATTTCCCTTTCACAACCCTGGTTTGCTCTCTGCTTGCCTCATGCCTGCACTGTGTAGCCTTCTCCCTGGTCTCCCTGCCTCTAGTCCTCCTTCAACCAGTGAACAGCGCTGCCGCCAACTGACCTCCAAAGGGCTGACCTCCCAAGTGATCGCCTGGATTGTGTCAGGACCCAGCCTCTGATCATGCCTTGGTTGTCATTCAGGGCCCCTCACCTACACATCCTGCTCTATCTCCTGCCTCTTCAGTTGATTCCAGCCAATCTGACTGCTTTTCCCCAACTCAATTGTGCCGTTCCCTTCCTCTCATGCCCCATGGCACACCCACATTCTCTCCTGGATGGGAAGCTCCTTGAGAAACAGAGACAGCAAATCCTAAAGCTTGTGTGCTATCACGCACATGCAGACTCTTGGGAAACATCTTCATGAATGACCAGTTTGCTCCCTCCCACTTACTACAAATAGTATTCTTAGTCTTCTTCCAGATGCCCTGTGGTCTGTGCTGGAGCTGTATGGGCCCCTTACTAGACCACTCTGTCTCCCACCCCCCGTACTAGGTGTGTTGACCATGTACAGTAATTTATTGCCCAAGTTGGGTTCTTTTGAGAGTACTATGAATAATTACTCCAGGACTGGGACGTATGGGCATCCTAATACTAGGAAGAGCAGATTAATCAGAATACACCATATTGTAGTTACTACTTTGGCAACTTCCGTCGCGGGCTCCCCAGGCAGACTACGTGCATTGTGGACTAGGCTAGAGCTAGCTAGAGCTGGTGTCACCTGTGGTCGAAATGAAGCTGCTTCTGGCTGCATTTCCCCTGTAAGAACCCCGCCTAAAGCACTTGACAAATGGCAGATTCCACACACGTGGGTTTCCTGAATGGTTATCAGCACCCAGTCCTCACCTTAGGAGGATGGCTAAGTACGAACGAGGCTCTCTATTGGAAAAAGAATGCCCCACCCGACTGCAAATGAATCAGGAACGCAGCTTAGGCTATGCACTCTGCCTGCACCAAGACCCTTGGGGGCGGGGCCTGGAGTTGCAGTGGCTATGCCAGGCCTATTACTTTGAAGGAGTCAGGAACCATCTATTGAAAGTAGATATAACCACCCCTGTTTATCAGTGGAGGGGGAGGGGGAAGTGAAGAGAGCATGAATAAATGGATTCTAATCCAGCACTTTTCCAAGGTGAATGCCACATGCCATCACCTAGGGTCTCCTAATGCAAATTGTCCTAATTCCATTGGGCTGAAGAATCTGCGTGTCTAACAAACTCCCAGTGACATTGATGCTGCTGGCTGGGACTGTCTTTTGAATTGCACTTATATGGGCCCTTCCAAACCTCGTTGATGTCAATGGGTTCAGTTTTAGTACGTCTTTGGTTCGAGGCTTTTTCTCTCCCCTCTGCTTATTCTTCTAGTGCCAGTGTTAATGAACCGGGAATTGTCCAAAGGTGGGCTGCAGGAGGGGCAGGAAAGGGATGAGGCGGACTCATCATCCGCCAGTGCTTTAGTGTTAGAAAGGCTTGCCTCTTTCTTCCTCCCCATTGCTTGCTGGTGGTTATTATTAATGCACTGCTGTTGCTAAGAAGTTTCATTTGATTTCATTTCATTTTAGGATGTAAATATGGTAGTTGTTTTGAGTATAACACACCCAATCCAAGAGGAGAATGATTATTCAGCATTTTAATGAAATTGCTGTCTTTTATCCAGCCAGTGTCAATGGATTCCTGCTGTGAGCCAGGCATGTTAACTCACACTTTACCTGTGTCATCTCACTTCCCTTAAAGTGGCCAGTGCCCCATTTTAGAAAAGGAAAGACTGAAACCCAGAGAAAGCTTATAACTCACCAAGGCCACATAGCAAGTGGGAGGCCAACCCAAATTCAAACTTAGGCCAGTTTGTGCTGCCCGAATGCAGGTTCTCTTCACTGACTACACGGGTGCCCCCTGCACTGTGCTGGGTGCTGTGGGGAGAGAGATACCCCCACACAGGCCCTGCCCTCTAGATAAGGGGCCAGCCAAACTTTCTGTAAAGGGCCAGATGATAAATGTCCTAGTGTTGCAGGCTATACTGTCTCCTTCACAACAACTCAGCTTTGCCATTATAGCACAAAAGCATTCAGAGGCAGTAAGCAAATGAATGGGCATGGTCATGTTCCAATAAAATTTTAAGAAACAGGCAGTAGGCTGGACATGACCTGCAGGCTGTAGTTTTCCCACCTCTGCTCTGGAAGGATCCTGAAAAATAGAGATACAATGTGAGCCACAGCTGAAAAAAGTAAATAGAGGCCAGGCATGGTGGCTCATGGCTATAATCCCAACACTTTGGGAGGCCAAGCCAGGCGGATCACTTGAGGCCAGGAGTTCGAGACCAGCCTGGGCAACATGATGAAACCCCATCTCTTCAAAAAGTACAGAAATCATCTTAGCGTGGCAGCTTACGCCTGTAGTCCCAACTACTCAGTAGGCTGAGGTGAGAGGATCGCTTGAGTCCTGGCGGTCGAGGTGGCAATGGGCCGTGATCGTGCGACCCATTGCCCTTAAGCCTAGGCAACAGAGCAAGACCCTGTCTCAAAGTAAAAAAAACAAAGAGATGAAATTAATTTTAATATATTTTACTTAACCCAATGTATTCAAAATATTATATCAACATATAACTCATATGATAAGTACTAATGAGAGACTGTGCGTTCTTTTTACCATAGTGGCTACTGGATTGGGTAGCACTGCTTCAGAGACTTAGATAGGAGAGAGAACCATCGCTGTGATCTCCTACTCAGCTTTTTTCCCTCATAGCACCTGGCATTACCTGAGATTATACTACTTCATGTCCTGTTTACTGTCCCCAGCCGGAAGGTAAGAGAAGCACAGAAGCATCTCTGTCACTGCTATATCCTCAGTGACTGGCCCAAAGTAGGTGCTAGGAGAGATTTGTTTAGTGAGCACTTGGGAAATGGCAGATTGCACACATGCGAATGAGTGGAATTAGTGGGTGAATGACTGATGCACATAAGGGAGCGAGAGCCTAGTTCCACCTGCAGGACACAGTTGAGATGCTGAAGGATGTGGTGGGGAGCATTAGGAGATGCTGTCATGGAGGTGCCTTTTGAGTTCACTCTTGAAAGATAAGAGCTTGGAATAGCAGCAGTGGAGGGCAGGGCGTCCTGGGCGGGAAGTCCAGTGCGCATAAAGGCAAGAGAGGCAGGAAGTTCATTTCAGTGGTTTCAGACTTAGGCCTCAGAACTCCTTTAACTTAAAAATTATTGAGGACCACAATAATTTTTTAGCTTTGTGAGCTTTTATTTGTATGGGTTGTTTCTATTAACATCTACCATTTAAGAAAACAAACTTAAAAACCAAGAATGCCTGGGCATACATTCTATTGGCCATCAGAGCAGTGACGTCATCACACATCATGTAGCCTCTGGAAAATTCCACTGCAGACTTTGGAGAGGATGAGAGGAAAAAAGGCAAATAACGTCTTGGTCTTGTTATAGAAAATTTTTGACTTTGGACCTCCTGAAAGGGTTTCAGGGATCCCTGGGCCATATTTTGAGGACCACTGAGCTAGAGGTGGGGTGGAAGAAGTCAGGTGAGAGAGTGCTGGCAGGCGAGGCTGCACAGGACTGTAAATAACGATAACAACAAAGGTTTGTTGGCACCTGCCGCGTTCTAGGCACAGTCACTGGAGAACCCCGTGAAGTAGGTGTTCTTACTTCACAGAGGAGGAGAGGTTAAGGCAGTGAGCAGAAAGGCTTGGGCTAAAGCCAGGCAAGCGCCTCCAAACCACGCCGTCAGCTGCCCCTGGAAAGGCCACTGGTGTCATGCTTGCTGTGTGTGTGCAGGTCTTTGGATGACTGACTCAGGAGTTGGGATTTGTTTTTTACATAAAGAGGACTTACATCAGAGTTTACAATGGGTGATTTGGCGGCAGTTTACAAGGTGGAATGTGGGGAGCTAGGAAGCCTGGAGGCCAGTTAGGAGGATTTTATGGGGCAGATGAGTTGTGTCCTCTGTGCCCTCGGTGTGCATGGCGTCACCTATGCATGCATGGCGTGGAGTGCTAGAGGTGCTGACTTCTCACACAAAATGACCCGGAAGTGTGAACAAACATCTTCATTCCGTATTCAGTGGAAGAAGCAGTGATCTGTTCCAGTGCAAGAGGAAACACTGGTTATGTTGGTCTTACTGATGGATTTAAGGGATTTTTCAAGGATAATTTTAATGATGTTCAATTTGACTTAGTACCTAACCCCCCAGTAAAATCTGAAATCTATCGAACCTAAGAGAACAGTAATAAAGCTTTCAATTATTAGAGTAGTGAGGTAGAGAGAAAGGTGAGGTGGTTGGAGAAGGTTTCTCAGATGGGGCGCAAAGGTGTGAAGGACGTTTGAGGAATAACAGGTAAAGCATGTGTTTCACAGCCTTGCACGTACAGCTGAGCCGGGGTGTAGTGGGGGAGGTGGGAGACAGAGCAGGAGTAGGGACATTAGTGTGCCAGGGCTTTGAGGTGATCAGAAGAGCGACGAGGAGCCTTTAAGTTTTTCTTTTTTAATTGTAGTAAAATATGCATAACAAAATTTACCATTTTAACCATTTTTAAATAAACAGTTCAGTGCCATTAAGTACATTCCCATTGTTGTGCAACCATCCCCACCATCCACCCCCAGAACTTTTCATCATTCCCCACTGAAACTCTGTCTCAATTAAATAATAACTCCTCAAACCATTAAGTTTTATAGCTTTTAGAAAAACCTTTTCTAAAAGCAGTGGATGTAGACATGTGGTCACCTACCAAAAGGCAGTAAGAAGAGGGAAGCGTGGCAGAGACTCAAGCTTCTCATGAGCATGGCCAGGTGGCTGGTCCTGCCGGTAATAGCAGTGTGGACAGAGGAGTGGGGAGGGAGATTCCGTTTTGAACACATTGCAAATTAGATGCCTGGAGGCATCCAGGCAACGAGAGACACCTCCCTTCGAAGCGTGTATTTAGCCTGTCCCCCATCTTCCTTTAATTCTTATTGCTGTCCTATTTCATAACCTCATAATTGCAGTTTCTAAACAAACATTTTTTAGATTTATAGAACAGTTTCAAAGATCATACAGAAAGTCCTCGTATCCCCTTCACCCAGTTTTCCCTAATGTTCACATCTTACATATCATGATATATATTTGTCGAAAGTAAAAAAATTGACATTGAGCCAGGCACAGTGGCACGTGCCTGTAATCCAAGCTACTCAGGAGGTTGAGGCCAGAGGGAGGATCGCTTGGGTCCAGGAGTTCAAGGCCAGCCTGGGCATTGTGGTGAGACTGCATCTCGCAAAAAAGATATTAACATCAGCCACATACTGTTATCTAAACCATACACTTTTATTTGGATTAGTTTTCTTTTCCAGGATCCAATCCAGGATACTACATTGCATTTAACATAATTGCCTTTTTTTTTCTTTTTCTTTTTTTTTTTTTTTGAGATGGAATCTCGCTCTGTCGCCCAGGCTGGAGTGCAGTGGCATGATCTTGGCTCACTGCAAGCTCCGCCTCCCAGGTTCATGCCATTCTCCTGCCTCAGGCTCCTGAGTAGCTGGGACTACAGGTGCCCGCCACCACGCCCGGCTAATTTTGTGTATTTTTAGTAGAGACGGGGTTTCACCGTGTTAGCCAGGATGGTCTCGATCTCCTGACCTCGTGATCCGCCTGCCTTGGCCTCCCAAAGTGCTGGGATTACCGGAGTGAGCCACTGTGCCCTGCCACCTTTTTTTTTTTTTTTTAAAGATGGAGTCTCACTTTGTTGCCCAGGCTGGAGTACAGTGGTGGGATCTCAGCTCACTGCAACCTCTACCTCCTAGGTTCAGGCGATTCTCCTGCCTCAGCCTCCTGAGCAGCTAGGATTATGGGTGCCCACCACCATGCCAGCTAATTGTTTTGTTGTTGTTGTTTGTTTTGCATTTTTAGTAGAAATGGTTTCAACATGTTGGCCAGGCTGGTCTGGAACTGCTGACCTCAAGTGATCTGCCCACCTTGACCTCTCAAAGGCATGAGCCACTGCACCCAGCCTAGCATAATTGCCTTTTAAATGTTGAAATAAATGCTCCTCGTTGATCTTTCACTAATCCCCATTTTATACTCTGTCCTAAGAGGCGTTACCTTTTTTGAATTTTGTTCAGAAGGAGGGTGCTAGCCAGTGGCTTTTGATGTCAGGGCAAGGGGTCAAGTAGGATGCTTTGTAAAGAGAGGCAGTTTGGGAGTTGTGAGGAACCTTGGATAGCACTTTTGAGTAGAGAGGTGGTGGCTGGACACCAGAGCAGCAGCAGGCGAGGGACAGCGTGCAGGGCAGGGGCCTGGAGGCATCGTCTAGGCTCTCGGGGATTCAGGGTCCAGCAAGGAGGGAAAGTCCCAGGTGTAATAGTCTGTTCTTCAGTCTCTGACAATCCAGCACCGAAGAAAAATTGCTGGAGTCATCCTCTTATTTGCCTTAGATTTATAGCTTTATTCCTGATTGGTCTATTAAGTTATTTATATACTTAATACAAAAGTGCAAGGACATAGGAAAGGTGGGTAAAAAAAAAGTCACCCATAATTCTACCACTCGGGGATAACTTCTCTTTATTATTTCAGTGGATGGCTGTTCTAGTCTTTTATTTGTTAATTAATTAATAAATTAATTAATTTTTGAGATGGAGTTTGCTCTTGTTGCCCAGGCTGGAGTGCAATGGTGCTATCTCGGCTCACTGTAACCTCCGCCTCCCGGGTTCAAGCAATTCTCCTGCCTCAGCCTCCTGAGTAGCTGGGATTACAGGTGCACACCACCATGCCTGGCTAATGTTTTGTATTTTAGTAGAGACAGGCTTTCGCCATGTTGCCCAGGCTAGTCTCATACTCCTGAGCTCAGGTGATCCGCCCGTCTCAGCCTCCCAAAGTGCTAGGATTACAGGCGTGAGCCACCGCACGGGGCCTAACGATGATGAGAATTTGATGTGACATCTGCAGGATCCCCAGCTAGTCAGCAGCATCTAGAGGGCTAGAACTCTGGCCAGCTGACTGGGCCTTTTGCTAACTGTTTTCTGTCCCCTCTGTGCCGGGGTGTCACTGAGCTTTGCGGGACAGGCTGGTCTGTCGTGCCTTCAGCTCAGGGAATGTGGCTCCCGAGCATAGGGCTGGACTGAGAGGCGTTAGGTGAGCCAGAGAAGGCCTCAGACACAGGGCTTAGAGAGGGCATGTAGACCTGTGATTGCTTAGTGTCCATGACTAGAAAAGACAGAATCTTGTAGTTACTGGGGATTGCACGAGATCACCTTCGAGAGGGCTCAGCACAGCACCTGACCAGTGGTCACTGCTGCTGGGGGATAATTTAGCTCTGCGTCTGTTTCCCTGTGTTTCCAAGCCCATGCAGTAAACGGGGGGAATATTGCGAATTAGCTTGTCTGCCTCGTAAGGCCAACCTGAAAACTAAATCTTAATCTTTGTGTGTGTGTGTGTGTGTGTGTGTGTGTGTGTGTGTGTATGTGTGTGTGTGTGTATCTGTATATTTAAACAGATAATATATGCAAATATCACAACATTCAAAAGGTTTAAACAAATATGTAGTGAAATGTTTGTCTCCCTCCTACCATTTTCACTCTCCAGGGATAGCCACTGTGACCAAACTCTATGTGTGTGAGTATACCTTTTTTATATTTTAGCTTTTTACATAAATAGTAGCTTTCTGTACAACTGCTCTGTATTTGGCAGGTCAGAGCTTTGGATTCAGACAAACCTGGATCTGGATCCTGACCTTCCCGTTTGCTTCGTGGTGACTCACAGCTGGCTTGGTGCATCTCATCCCTTAGTGCCTTGCCAGGTGCGTCACCTCCCCTTTCCTCTCCTCATTGTTGTCCTTTGTGCCAGGCTGTTGGGCTAAATCCAGCCTAGTGTGCCACTGCAGGGAGAGCCCAGCTCTGCCATTTTGGGGATAGTGTAGGAATCCATGATCCCTGGATGGGCGCGCCCGAGCCCCTCTATTGGGGCAGGGTTTTCTCAGTAGCCAGAGGTACCACCGATGGAGGTGGAAGGACTATAACAGAGGTATTTGACCCAGAAGACCTTTGTGAGGGCAGAGACAAAGTTGTTTTTTTGTTTGTTTTTTTAAAAAAAAAAAAAAAAAAAAGCTTAAGTGAAAAAGCATTTCCAGAACATCGCAGGTGCCTTTCGACTTCACTCCTGACCTTTGCCATGTCGGAATTGCTTAGTTTGTGTTAGCAGTGTGGGACCACTCTGAGCTCCTTGCAGAAGCCAAGGCAAGACTCTTAAAAGGACTCTCCACAACCCAAAAGCAAACCACGGCCATATAAGGTGGGTTCTGTTGCCTTTCCCCAGGACGAGGAGTCACCCTAATTCATGCTTGGAATCCTTTTTTCTTCATGTGATTCCTGTGAGACATATCTCAGGTAACACAGTTCATGGCAGGACTATTGGCGTGTCCTTTACAGTTTCCAGGAAGACAAATGTGCCCTGTGATTTCCAGGGTAGGACTGTGTTTCCTACGCGTTGGGGTTTCCTTCCTCTCCGTTTCTCCCATAGACCCTTGCCCCTCTCACTTTCCTTTTCTGTGCTGGGAACATCAGAATAAGAAGGAGTTTTCAGCCACCGTGTGCTTATTGCAGGTGGGGTCTTCATCTGAACCTCTGAGATAGGACTGTGTGCTGGGTTTCCATGTATGTCTAGGTCTATAGTGGTAAGACTGGAAGGGATCCTCGGGGTCATTTCGCTGGAGCCCCTTATTTTATAGTCAGGCCCAGAGAGGCTTACGTGGTTAAGTAAGATGGATGGAAGCCACAGACAAAGAAAACAGACTTCTTTCTTAGGAAATAAAAGTCTATAGGAGGACACTCATCTAATTTCTAAGAGTAGAAGATGTTAGGAGGGCTCGTTTTTGTCTTCTGGTGAGTATAGTTTGAGACAAGTTCTGGTATTTGACTTGAAAAATAGAATTGATAGCACAGGATTTACAGGAAACACTGTAGCTGGGCCTGTAGGCGCGCACCGCCACGCCTGGCTAATTTTCATTTCTTTTTAAGTTTTTTGTAGAGTCACCATCTCACTATGTTGCCCAGGCTGGTCTCAAACTCCTTTCCTCAAGCGATCCTCCTACCTTGGCCTCCCAAAGTGCTGGCATTACAGGCCACCGCACTGGCCGAAACCCCATCTCTCTCTCTCTTTTTTTTTTTTCTGAGATGGAGTCTCGCTCTGTCACCCAGGCTGGAATGCAGTGGCGCAATACTCACTCCACCTCCTGGGTTCAAGCGATCGAGACCCCATCTCTTAAAAAAAAAAAGGTTTATTGAGACAATTCACATACCATAAAATTCACCCTTTTAAAGTGTGCAGTTCAAGTGGTTTTTAGTATACTCAAACGGTTGTACGGTCATCACCGCTATCTAATTTTAGAACATTTTCATCACCCTAAAAAGAAACCTCATACCCATTAGGAGTCATACCATATTTCCCTGCACCCCTCCCAACTCCTGGAAGCCATGTTCTGTCTCTGTGGGTTTGCCTATTTTGGACATTTCATATAAATGGAAGCATACTAGATGTGGCCTTCGTGACTGATTTATTTAACGTGATGTTTTCAAGGTTCATCCATGTTGTAGCATGTATCAGTACTTCATTTGTTTTTATTGTTGAATAATATTCTATCATATGGATAGATCACATTTTGTGTATCCATTCATTAGTTGATGGACATTTGTTGTTGTGTCATTTTCACCTTTTGGCTATTCTGAATAATGCTGCTATAAGCATTCAAGTCCACGTTTTTGTGTGAATGTATATTTTCAATTCTCTTGGATATTATACCCAGGAGAGGAGTTGTTGGGTCGTATGGTAGGTAAATCTATGTTTAGCATTTTGAGCAACTGCCAAACTGCTTTCTGAAGCAACTGCACCATTTTACATACCCACCAGCAATGTTGGTGGGTTCCAGTTTCTCCACATGCTCACCAATGCTTGTGACTGTCACTTTGTTTATAGCCATCCTAGTGGGCATGCATGGGTATTGCATTGTGATTTGGCATGCATTCCTAGTGATGAGTGATGCTGAGCATCTTTTCATGTGCTTATTGGCCATGTGTATATCTTCTTTAGATAAATGTTTATTCAAATAAGTCCTGTGCTTATTTTTGAACTGAGTTTTCTGTTGGTCTGCTTATTACACCCTGCATTTGGATCTTCCCTCTCTCCCATGGAGTCTCGCAGGTGGGCTACCTCTTGTGGCAGGTGCCTGTCAGTGTCATTGGGATCTGTGCTAGCCATTTTGCATTATGTTGGGATTTAACCCCCTTTCCTATTTCAGTATGCTTAAGACCCTTAGAAACTGAAAGGGCTTTAAGTCCTAAGTCTTTCCAGGAACACAGATGTAATTGTTTTAAATCTGGGGCTCCACAAGCATCCTAGGATGAGAAAGGGGTTGCTAAATAGGTTTTCTTGGACAGTGGGCAAGCTTTCAAATATTTACCAGTCACATGTACCGTGGCATGCTGGGTATAAGTCTTTCTAAGGCGGAGACCATACAATCTATTTCTTTTGAGTCTCTCTCATAGTACAATTATAGTACTTCTTACACAGTGGGATGATGAAATATTTGTGGATTGACAGGAACATACTTTGATAACTGAGTCCTTTCCGTAGCAGTTTGACGGGTCTAAGACATGGTTGTGCCGAAATGTGCATGAGAGTGTCGGGTGTGTGTGCCTGGCGATAGGGGGCCTTGAGTTTCCAAAGGCTCTTGGCTGCTGCTGCCTCACAGATTCTCCATGCTGTGTGGCTGTCTGCTGAGGGGCACATGTGCTGCTATTTATGTTTGGTGACTTTCTCAGTGATTGTTTTTAGTTTAGCCTTTTAAGAATCTAATCTAATTTTGTGAGTGTGTAAAGTGTGGATTTATCCATGCCTGCTGCGTGACACTGACAGGGAGTGTCTTCCACCCTAAGCCTGGATCAGTTCTGACTGTCATGGTTAGATCACAGCAATCCATGGGACTTAAACTTTCTTTAACATTTGAAACAAAAAGCCATTTGTAGGAGCGGATGTGTGGCCCTTTCAGGTGTCTGGGGGAGTTTCTAATGGAGCTGTTCTTTTTAAAATTTTTTATTCTTAATTTTACTTTTTCATAGAGATGGAGTCTTGGCCCAGGCTGGTCCCAAACTCCTGGTTTCAAGCAGTCCCCCCCGCTGGGCTTCCCAGCTCCTGGGATTACAGGTGTGAGCCACAGTGTCTGGCCCTAATAGTCTTTCTTTTCCCTACCCACTATTTCACATCTCAGAATAGCAACATGAGGAGAGTCCATCAAAATGAATTGGTGAGTAGGTGAATGTCTGAACTAAGGATGGCTAATTTTTGAATTTGTGATTTCCTGGGTTTTGTTGACTTTTTTTTTGAGACAGAGCACCCTGTCGCCCAGGCTGGAGTGCGATCTCGGCTCACTGCAACCTGTGCCTCCCGGATTCAAGCAATTCTCCTGCCTCAGCCTCCCAAGTAGCTGGGATTACAGGCGTGCACCAGCACGCCCAGCTAATTTTTTTTTGTATCTTTAGTAGAGGCGGGATTTCACCATGTTGGCCAGGCTGCTCTTGAGCTCCTGACTGCAAGTGATCTACCCACCTCAGCCTCCCAAAGTGCTGGGATTACAGGCATGAGCCACCGTGGCCGGCTTTTGTTGACTTATTACTTCTCCTTCATCTTCAGATCTAGTTGTATATAAGTACTTTGCAAAACAAAGATTAAAAACCTCCGGTTGCCTCTTTTTTGGCTGGAACCATGGAGGGTGTCGAAGAGAAGCAGCAGCTTCCTGTTGTGCCAGAAACCCTTGGGAAAAAGCAAAGGAATTTCACAGAACTAAAGATCAAGCACCTGAATAAGAAGTTTGCCCAAAAGATGCTTCAAAAGGCAGGGAGGAAACTTATGCACGAAGAAGTGAAGCACTACCACAAGGAATCTAGGCAGATGTACAGAACTGAAATTTGAAAGGCTAGGATGGCAAGAAAAGCTGGCAACTTTTTTGTGCCTGCAGAACCCGAATTGGCATTTGTCATCAGGGTCAGAGGTATCAGTGGTGTGAGCCCAAAGGGCCAAAAGATGTTGCAGCTTCTTTGCCTTTGTCAGATCTTTAATGGAACCTTTGTGAAGTTCAGCAGACCTTCAGTTAACATGCTGAGGATTGTGAAACCATGTATTACAAGGGGAACCCAAATCTGAAATCAGTAAATAAACTCATCTACAAGCATGGCCGTGGCAAAATCAATAAGAAGCGAATTGCTTTGACAGATAACACTTTGATTGATCAGTCTCATGGTCAATATGGCATCATCTGCATCGAGGATCTGATTCATGAGCTCTATACTGTGGCCCTTCAAGTTATCCTCTCCACAAAGTGGAATGAAGAAAAAGACCACCCATTTTGTAGAAAATGGAGCTGCTGCCAACAGGGAGGGCCAGATCCACAGGCTTCTTAGAAGAATGAACTGCGGTGTCTACCGTGATTATTTTTCTAATCTGGTCAGTTAATAAATAGTACCTGCTCTCAAATTGAAAAAAAAAATCTTCGGTTAGCATACTTTAGGTAAACATGGTAGATTGAACATATTCATTTAAATCTACTTCCCCTAGAAACTCTGCTAAAATAACAGCAAAATAATTGTTTTTAGATGTATAAACCCACAAGGACACAGAATGGGAGAGAAAACAATAACAAAAGATCTCCAATTTCTAGAAGGTGGAAGGCAAACAGAAGACTGAGCAGAGCAGAGGCTGAAATGTTGGTACCTGCGGAAAAACACCAAGGAAAAGCACTTTAGAAAGCATCAGGAATTGGAGGCAATTGGTGGCACTCAAGGTGGGAATAAGGTTTGGGCCTAAAAGCAGAGGGATTATGATTAGTTGACAGTCTGTATAGGGAGGGATGAAACTTCCCAAGTCATCTCTTTGAATTCTGCAAACCAGAAAATACTCAATCCCCTTTGCTGGCGAGTGAGAGAGCAGAGGCTTATGCACCAGATTGAGGTACCTTGGGCAGAGCAAGGGGCAGGGTAACGCTGGACTGAAAGAGGGATTCATGAACGTCTGCACACTAAAAGAGCAAATCCCAGCCATGCCCCTGCCTGCTCCTGGAGTGCTGAGGCCAGGCATGAGGCATGGCATTGGATTCCAGTCTGGAAAAAATGAGCATGTCAGCAACAAGACCTGCCATTGCCAGTATGTAGTGGCTCCTCACAGCAGTGGCCAGCTTTCTACTCCATCTAATGTGGTCCTCACCTGTCCAGAGCCTTGCTTATGTTCACAGGGTTTCTATCATCTTTTTATCACCTCAACTTTTTTAACTTTTTTTTTTTTTTTTTTTTTTTGAGACAGAGTCTCACTCTGTCACCCAGGCTGGAGTACAGTGGTGTAATCTTGGCTCACTGCAACCTCTGCCTCCCAGGCTGAAGCACTTCTCCCACCTCAGCCTCCCAAGTAGCTGGGATTACAGCCATGCGCCACCACTCCTGGCTAATTTGTGTGTTTTTTGTCAAGATGGGGTTTTGCCATGTTGCCTAGGCAGGTTTCAAACTCCTGAGCTCAAGTGATCTGCCCACCTCAGCCTCACAAAGTGCTGGGATCACAGGCATGAGCCACCATCCCCAGCCCAACTTTTTATTTTGAAATAATTATAGATGCATAGGAAGTTGCAAACATAGTAGAGGGCTGGCTGGACGCGGTGGCTCATGCCTGTAATCCCAGCACTTTGGGAGGCCGAGGCGGGCAGATCACGAGGTCAGGAGTTCGAGACCAGCCTGGCCAACATGGTTAAACCCCGTCTCTACTAAAAATACAAAAATTAGCCGGGCATGGTGGCATGCGCCCGTAATCCCAGCTACTCGGGAGGCTGAGGCAGGAGAATTGCTTGAACCCAGGAGGCAGAGGTTGCAGTGAACCAAGATCATGCCACTGCACTCCAGCCTGGGCGACAGAGCAAGACTCCATCTCAAAAAAAAAAAAAAAAATAGTAGAGGGGTCCCCTCTACCCTTCATGCAGTTTCCCTTGATGGTCATGTCTTATATAATCACAGACAATATGAAAATCAGGGAATTGACATGGGTACACAATATGTGCATACAGTTTCACACCCTTTATCACATCTGTGGATTCATGTAACCACATGTAACAGCAGTCAAGATACACAACTCTTCCATCACCACAAAGATCTCTTATTGCCTCACTTTTAAATAGGAATGGATGCCAAGAATAACTGGATATGTTCAGAAAGCTTCCAGTATGGAAGGTAGAGGCCAGAGAAAGCAAAGAGAAAAATGTATCTCCGAGGAATCAGAGCTGATTCAGGTAGGAGAAAGCCTTAAAGCACATGGCAAATATACTCAGAAAGAAGAGCCAATATTTTATCCATGAAATAAAAAGTTACTATAAAAATCAGAACAAGAAAGAGTTCTCGGAAATTAAAACCATTACTTTTTCTTTGAAGTTGACGAAGGCTCCCAGGAAACAGATTAAAAACGTCTGACATCTAGGAAGTCTATAAAGAGAGAAAGGGAAAATTAAGGACCATAATGTATCAGAGAAACAAGAATTATTTCAGAATGGACAGTCATAAGTTTCAAAAATGGTAAATGGAAAATGTCCTGTGGCACATTGTGTGATTCCAGAGCACTGGGCATAAAGCTTCCGAAGAGCAAAAACGGGTCACATACAAAAGACTGGGAATGAAGATGGATTGGATTTTTCAACCTCATTGGAAGCCAGAAGACAATGGGGTGGATTTCCTGTTTCAGTGACATGGTAGCTTGAGCTAAAGTTAGAACCGCTCCCATTACAATCACTTAAAATGCTATATAAGCTATAACAACAGAATAAGAAAGAAAAACAGAGAACCGAAAGCAAAGCAGGAATATAAAGCCAGAGCAGAGTAGGCAGCTCTGGGGAGGGGCAAGGTGGGTTCATTGGACCCTGAAATCGACCCTAACAATAATAGAGGTTTGGATTTGCATGAACACGTGAAGCATGGAGTTGAAACAGAAATCCCCTCAAAAGAGCCATTCCCAGGTAAAAGGGATGCAAGAAAATTTCCCCCATGGGATCAGAGAAATGTCAAGGGAGCTGATCATTGCCCCACACTCTGGATTGTGTTGGAGGAAGTCTTCTGTGAACAGTGGAAAACATCCAAGTTCTAAGTCTGTGTTTATAACATCTACATGTTGCAGGAATGCCCGAGCTGGCACCAGACCAGCCAGCAGACTGGCGATACCCCTGAAGCTTCTTGCTTGCAGAACAAAGGCAGAACTTTTCTAGAGTGACCCTTGCACAGTACAGGCCTTTTGGAATCCTAGGATGCCCACAGATGATGAGCTTGTTCTAGGAAATTACCAAGCATGTAGAAATTAGAACATGAGTCAGCGATCACAACAAACACAAGATTCTCAACATGAGAATTCAAATAATAGAAGAGATTATAATAGAAATGTCTAAAGTGATTGAAGGGCTAAAAGAAGAAATAGATGTCAAAGGAAAGAATAAGACAGAATACATCTTAAAAGGGATTATTTTTTAAAGAATCAAATAAAGCCTCTAGAGTGAAAACATTGAGTTAAAACCCCAGTGGAAATGTTAAACAGCAAATAGCATAAATTCTCAAGAGAGAACTATGGGAACTGGAAAACAGATCTGCAGAAGTTAGTTAGAATTCTGCAGAGATAAAAGAGATGCTTGTGAGGAAGAGACATTACAAACATGGATGGTGGTATGAGGGCCCAGTGGGAAAAATAGCATCCTAAAGGCAGCTTGAGAAGAAAGGCAGATTACTCCCCAGGTTCAACAGTGAAACTCAGGAAATGCCAAGTAGCAACAGTAGAGGCCATAAGGAAGTAAAATCTTCAGTGTGCTAAGGAAAATCAGTTGTTGGCTTAGTTTTCAGCAACCAGCTTAAATTATCGTTCAATAATGGGAACAAATAAGGACATTTTCACAGAAAAAAAAAAAAGTTGTATTTACTAAGAGACCTTCGCTGTACTTCGGGAAGAAGGAAGTAAGGAGAAAGGAGAAATGCGGACAGTAATGGTATCCAGAGGCGTTGGGAAGTGCAGGTAAATCTGAATAAGCATTCGCTTCTGAAAGTGATCGTCACTAATTTGGAGAGGATTAAAAACCAAAGTCCCAACAAAAAATGGAAATCAGTGAGGGGGTGATTTGAATGAACACACTCTTAAGTTCTTTGAACTGTTTGGGAAGTGTAGGAGGGATATTGATTGACTTCAAACTTTCTGAGTCAAGTAGACATGTTCCAATTTTAAGGGTAACCACCAAAAGAATAGAAATAGTGTTTAAAGCTTTCAAACTCACAGAGGGTAAAAATATGGAATTTTAAAACTAGGTCATTTGTCTAAAAGAAAGAGAGCAAAGAAAAAATATGGTAGCCAGAAAGCCCTAAAGGTAGTAGAAATAAATCCACATGGATCACAATGAAAGTAAACAATTATATGTGCCAGTTAAGACAGGTACTCAGACTGGAAGACAGCAGAGCAAATCCTGCAACATTCTGAGAGAATTCCGTATCCAGCCCAACTACGTCAAGTAGAGTAGAAAAAAGTTCTTTTGGCTGGGCATGGTGGTTCACGCCTGTAATCCCAGCACTTTGGGAAGCCAAGACAGGAGGATCGCTTGAGCCCCGTTCGAGACCAGCCTGGGAAACATGGCAAAACCCTGTCTCTACAAAAAAATACAAAAATTAGCCAAGTGTGGTGTTGTGCATCTGTAGTCCCAGCTACTCAGGAGGCTGAAGTAAGAGGATCATTTGAGCCCAGGAGGTTGAGGCTGCAGTGAACCATGATCACACCACTACACTCCAGCCTAGGTGACAGAGTGAGACCCTCCTTTTAGGCATGTAAGGGCTGGAAAAAAAGTGCCTCCTGTGAACCTCTTGTGGGGAGGAGATAGAAGGAGTTGTTCTTCACCAAAACCAGGGACTTTTCCCAGGATCCAGGAAACGGGATCTGACACAGGTGAGCGGCAGAGGAAAGTCTGAGTTAGAGAGACAGGATGGAATTCTGCAGGAGGGAGAGAGATCGACAAGAAAAAGACACAAAGCCCAAAGATACCTGATCGATAATTTGTAGGTAATTTGAAGATATTTAGAAAAGTTATGGATAGGTATTTGACAAAAGTATCAATATGTACATAGTTGTGTGAGGACACGGAACACCACTTGGTTCAGCTGTGAGCTCTGTCCTCCATCATAACACATTTAGATTTTTCAATTAATGCAGTGGAACTGTTGAAAGGATGGAGTACAGGCAAAGGGCTTCAGAGGGGAGGGTAAGAGTTAGGTCATCAGGTACCAAAACAGGACGTCAATAGATAATGTCTATAATAAGTTAGGAATTAGGGTGCAAGCATGTTGTTTATATGTATGGAGGTAAATATTCAAACAGCTAAAAAATTAAAAAGTATTTGCTTCAAAAGAGCACAGTTGAGAGGGTAAGATGGGGGACTGCCTGTTTTTGTTAAGCCTTTTAGTACTATGTTTTTTTTTTAACTTAGGCATGCATTGTTTTGATACAATTAAGCTAAACTATTATTTAAAAAAATACAATATGAGCCAAGTAGGTCCTTTAAAATTTTTTAGTGACCACATTTTTTTCTTTTACTTTTTTTTTTTTTTTTTTTTTTTTTGTCGAAAGGACCTTGAGAAGTGACCACATTTTAAAAACATTAAAAGAAACAGGTGAACCGGGTGCGGTGGCTCACGCCTGTAATCCCAGCACTTCAGGAGGCCCAGACGGGTGGATCACGAGGTCAGGAGATCGAGACCATCCTGGCTAACATGGTCAAATCCCGTCTCTACTAAAAATACAAAAAAGTTAGCTGGGCGTGGTGGCGGGTGCCTGTAGTCCCAGCTACTCGGGAGGCTGAGGCAGGAGAATGGCATGAACCTGGGAGGCGGAGCTTGCAGTGAGCTGAGATCGCGCCACTGCACTCCAGCCTGGGTGACAGGGTGAGGGCGAGACTCTGTCTCAAAAAAAAAAAATAAAAAATAAAAAAAAAAAAAGAAACAGGTGAAATTAATTTTGGAGGTAGAGGTGGATGGAGTCTTGCTCTGTTGCCCGGGCTGGAGTGCAGTGGCTCGATCATAGCTCATTGTAACCTCAAACACCTGGCTTAAGGGATCCTGCTGCCATTTTTTTATGTAGAGATAGGGTCTTACTCTGTTGCCCAGGCTGGTCTTGAACTCCTGGCCTCAAGCAATCCTCCCACCTTGGCTTCCCAAAGTGCTGGAATTACAGACATGAGCCACCTCACTCAGCCAGAAATTAATTTTAATGTTTTATTTAACTCAGTATATATCCAAGATACCATTTCAGAATGTAACGAATATAAAAAATACTAGTGGGCTGGGCACGGTGGTTCACGCCTGTAATCCCAGCACTTTGGGAGGCTGAGGTGGGCGAATCACGTGAGGTCAGGAGTTCGAGACCAGCCTGGCCAATATGGTGAAACCCTGTCTCTACAAAAATACAAAAAATTAGCAGAGTGTGGTGGCTCACACTTGTAATCCCAGCTACTGGGGAGGCTGAGACAGGAGAATCGCTTGAACCTGGGAGACAGAGGTTGCAGTGAGCCTAGGTTGTGCCATTGCACTCCAGGCTGGGCAACAAAAGTTAAATTCTGTCTCAAAAAAAAAAAAAAAAAAGGCCGGGCGCGGTGGCTCACGCCTGTAATCCCAGCACTTTGGGAGGCCGAGACGGACGGATCACAAGGTCAGGAGATCGAGACCATCCTGGCTAACATGGTGAAACCCCGTCTCTACTAAAAATACAAAAAAATTAGCTGGGCATGGTGGCGGGGGCCTGTAGTCCCAGCTACTCAGGAGGCTGAGGCAGGAGAACGGCGTGAACTTGGGAGGTGGAGCTTGCAGTGAGCCAAGATCGCGCCGCTGCACTAGCACTACAGCCTGGGTGACAGAGCGAGACTCCGTCTCAAAAAAAAAAAAAAAAAAAAAAAGAACCCAACCTGGAAGTAGCTGAGAGCCACCTGGTGTGAAGAGAGGAAGTCTCCTCTCCTGTGTTCTGGTTCCTTTGCGGACACTGTGCCGTAGGCCACCTCTATCAATTATGTCCTGGGCCTGAATCTTCAGGCTCTCCCTTGGCAGCTTCCTGCCTGACCTTATTTTTTATTTATTTATTTATTTATTTATTTATTTATTTTGAGATGGAGTGTCCCTCTGTCACCCAGGCTGGAGTGCAGTGTTGTGATCTCGGCTCACTGCAAGCTCCGCCTCCCAGGTTCAAGCGATTTTCCTGCCTCAGCCCCCCAAGTAGCTGGGACTATAGGTACGTGCCACCATGCCTGGCTAATTTTTTGTATTTTTAGTAGAGACTGGGTTTCACCATGTTAGCCAGGATGGTCTTGATCTTCTGACCTCATGATCCTCCCACCTCGGCCTCCCGAAGTGCTGGGATTACAGGCATGAGCCACCACGCCGGGCCCTCATTTTTATTTTTACTGTATTTATTTTTTAGAGATAGGGTCTTACTCTTGTCACCCAGGCTGGAGTGCATTGGCACAATCAGGGCTCACTGCAGCGTCGAATTCCTGGGCTTAAGCAATCCTCCCACCTCAGCCTCTTGAGTAGCTGGGGCTCCAGGTGCGTACCACCGTGCCCAGCTTGACCCCATTTTTAATGTCTTGAAAAGAGACCCTTCCTCAGCCCACATCCACCCCCTCACCTACCTCTTCCTCCTTTTCCTGCTCTTCAGCCGTAGTTCCTGAATGAGCTCCATGCTGTGATTCCTGTTTCCTGCATTGCCAGATGTTCTCCAGGCCCCGCCATTGGGGATTCTGCCCACGCCACCCATTGGGACTGCTGAGCCCAGGTCAGCAGGGACACTTCCCCGTGGCACTGGATCTCTCAGCAGCATCAGGCATTGCTAGCCACTCCTTTCTTGACACTTGTTCCCAATTCCCATGGCTTTTCCTTCAGCTGTCTCTAGTGACTCCTCAGAGGCACCCTTCTGTGTTCCAGGCACTTGCTGGGGTGCACTGGTGCCCAGTGCCTGCCCTTGTGTGGTTCACATTCTAACCCCCATGGGGCACACAGACTGCAGGTGTGGGAACAGTAAGTGCTGTGAAGAAAAATAAAGCAGGTGGATAGAGAATGAGGAGGAGCAATTCCAGACAGGGTGGCCAGAGAAGCCCTTCTGAGGAGGTGACATCTGAGCAGAAACTTGGGTGCAGCTATCTGGGGGAACATTTGAGCCATGGCTGTTCCCTGTGGTGGCCACACCTCCCCAAGCCTGGCGTGCCTCGGCTTCATTGCAGATGGAACCTCCGTCCTGCTCGGACACCTGCAGGACTGTCTCGTGTTCCAGATGTTTCATTGGCATCTGGCACAGCGTCTGCCCACCCAGTGGTTATTCAGTTTGCTGAATGGGCGAGGGAACAACTGAATGGATGGTCTACAGCATATGATGAACGGGAGGAAGAGGCCACTGGGTGCCCAGACCTTATGACAGAGCAGGTTGTGTCTGTGTCAAGCCCTTGCTGGAGGAGAGATGGGACTTGAGCTCAGCCTGGGAAAAGCCAGGTTAAAGTGAGCCGCCCTTTGCCCATGCCCTCTCCCCGTGTTGTTCATTTAGGTCGTGCTTCCACACATCATCTTCCCTTTCAGGACCACTCAGGCTGTGAATGAGTGGAGTGACTGAAATAGTTGGGAGCCATTGAGGAAAAGCCGGAGAGAGAGGCCACGAGAACTAGCATTTTGGGGTTACTTAGCACACGTCCCATTACTTATCACACATAGAGGTCTCAAAAACATCACCACAGGCCTGCCTGACCCTCCTGTGGCTTGGTTGTCCCTTAAAGGAAGGACACAGCAGATCCTTTGAGACATCTCCATCTTCCCATTTTCCTCCACCTGGGATTTGTGGTCCTTGAGCACTCTGGATGCAGATCCATTGGAGAGGGGATGGGTCCTCAGATGCAGTCTGGTGGCGTCATCTTGTCTTTTCCAGACTCCTGGCCAGCGACTTGTTGACTTCCTCCTGGGACCCAGTGACTGAGGGAAATAGAGCCAGCCAGGATGGGAGAAATGGGAAGCACGTGGCATTTACTCCATGAAAGAAAGGCCACAAGCCCTTCTCAGCCAGCAGTCCCAAGGCATCAGTTACCAGTTGTAATGGATCTCAAATGGTGCTAATTACTCCATCCCTGGGAAAATAGAAAATAGTCACTCAGGGCCGGGCGTGGTGGCTCACGCCTGTAATCCTAGCACCTTGGGAGGCCAAGGTGGGCGGATCACCTGAGGTCGGAAGTTCAAGACCAGCCTGACCAACATGGAGAAACCCCATCTCTACTAAAAATACAAAATTAGTTGGGCGTGGTGGCACATGCCTGTAATCCCAGCTACTTGTGAGGCTGAGGCAGGACAATCGCTTGAACCGGGGAAGCAGGCTATGGTGTGCCGAGATCACGCCATTGCACTCCAGCCTGGGCAACAAGAGCGAAACTCCGTCTCAAAAAAAAAAAGACAAAAGAAAATAGTCACTCAAATTATGTTCCATGCTCTAGTGTCTTTAATGTGGGTGACTCCAGTGTTTCAGTATCTGGAAGAATGGTGACCATGTGGTGTCAGCCATGAGCGCTGACAGCAGGCCGTCACTTCTTTCTGCAGTGTTTCCCTACGGTTGGGCTCAGCTCTAGGGAGCTCACTGTAGCTGTGAGTTTCCCATTTCCTGTCAGAGGAGCAACGGCCTTTTGGAGCGAAGTCTGCAGTACTGATGGACTGCACCCACTTAGCAAATGGGTGGTGCTGAGTCCTGTTCACTTTCCCATCCATGCCTTTTACCAGGAACTCAGCCCAAATACATGCTGCTATGTGTTTGTATTTATTTTTGTTGGAAATCTTGGCTTAGAAAGCAGACTACCTGATCCTGTCCTGACCTAATTGCAGGGATGTGGGGGGCTGAAGAAAGGGAGGACTCCTACTGTCAAGGTTAGCATTTGGAAGTCTAGGGGGGTGAGTGACAAGGCCGTCCCTGCCAACTCACTGGGGTCAGCCTGTCTCGGGCTTTCTGTGGCCACAGACATAAACAGTGTGTGGCAGGCCGATTTTGAATGCTGGCAGGACCAACACCTGGTGGTGCAAGACCCCAGCTTGCACTCGATCCCAGGACGTCTTGTGTCTCTTCCTCCTTGGCTTCCCATGCCTTTATCAAGCTCCTGCTTCTCTGTGAAAAAGAAATGTCTGCAGCGCCCCAGCCCAGTTTGTCTCGCAAAGATGTAGTTACAGAGTTGTAAGGAGTGGAGAATCATCATTGTTTTGACATAGTCATTCCAGGGTGGGTCATGAAACCTGCCAGTGCCTCTAGTGTAGGTTCTCCTGGCCTGCATGTAGGGTTGCTCGGTGGTGTGTTTGGGTAAAGATGTGGGCGAGTCTGTAACATTTCTGGCCACTGGGATTGATCTAAAATCACAGGTATTAGGAAAACAAAACGATGCAGGAAGCCAGGACCACTGTGGGAAGATAGGCCCCCCTGCACTTCCATAGCCCCCTGCTCCTCCATAGCCCCCTGCTCCCACTTCAGTGGGAACTTGGCCCCCGGGGAAACAACTGGCCTTGGATCAGGGCTCTTGTGTGTTATTTTTACTGCCTTTTCCTACCATATTTGCATTTTTAAAAATAGCACTGCTGAGTGGCTCCTTTTCAGCATGAGTCTGCCTAGGAAGGTACGGTGCATTTTCAGAGTGTGGCTGTTGATTAGCAGCCAAGGCTTGGCATTTGGGGGAGTGTGGTGCGAAGGGGGCCACTGCTGCGCTGGGTAGGGGTGAGGCTCCGGATCATGAGCTGTGGCAGGAGTGAGGCAGCAGCTTTCTGCTGCCCCAAGGTTATGTCATGCTTCTGTGCATTCGCAGTTGCAGGGAGGTGATGAAGGAGGGGCAGGGAGCACCAGGGTCCCGAGGGCCATGGCCGAGGAATGGGGCCAAGCAGGCATGCCTCCTTCTGCCGGCATGCTTCTTTCTCAGACTCTGAGGTTTCCGCGTGGGTAGAGCCACGCTTTCACACCAGCTCGCTCCCTTCTAGTCACAGCTCTGAGCATCGGGTTCTCAGGGCCACAGCATGGCCTTCCTGCCTGGAAGTCTTCAAGGTGGCGAAACCATGTCCACCAGGTTCCCAAGGATGCGTGCTGGCGGGATCTGCTCTTTGCCACTGTGACAGCAACTGGCCCGGGGCCTTGTTCTTGTCAGCATGGAAACTGGCCCAGGCTGGGATCTGGACCACCTGAGCAGAGGTGGGTCAAGGTTGGGGCCATATCAGTTTGAGGACCTGGTGCCTCTGTGTCTTTCCCAAGGGCTGGACCACAGGAAGGGTGTGTCAGGGAGTGCCGAAGGGTGGGCATCAGTCAACTCTCGCTTTCTTAGTTATTTTCAGTCACCTTGCTTTTACGCCTTGATCCCTGGATTTAACTTAAAATGTTTTTTCTATTTTTTTCTTCATTACACCCCCATATCAGCAGTAAACTTAAAAACTTTTTTTAATTAAAGACAAATATTCCTAAGTAGTCAGAGTATATTTTGTTTCAGGAGAAAGGGATTTTTTTTTTTTTTTTTTTTTTTTTGAGATAGGGTCTTACTCTGTCACCCAGGCCAGAGTGCAGTGGTGCGATCGTGGCTCACTGCAGCCTTGACCCCCTGGGCTCAAGTGATCCTCTCACCAGAGCCCCCCAAGTAGCTGAGACCATGAGCATGAGCCACCAGGCCTAATTTAAAAAAAAAAAATCTGTAGAGATAGGGTCTCACTAGGTTGCCCAGGCTGGTTCTCGAACTCCTGGGCTTAAGTGATTCTCAAAGCTCAGCCTCTCAAAGTACTGGTATTACAGCGCGAGTCACCGTGGCAGTCAGAAGTTGAACTGTTTTAACTATCAGATTCACCTAGGGAACATTAATCTCTCCACCCAGAAATTTATTCAATGGGTTTGGGTTGAAAAATCCGTGTTTTTCAAGCTGATAAACAACTGCCTTAAAATCTGTTCCGGACAGGCGCGGTGGCTCACGCCTGTAATCCCAGCACTTTGGGAGGCCGACGCGGGTGGATCACGAGGTCAGGAGATCAAGACCATCCTGGCCAACACGGTGAAACCCTGTCTCTACTAAAAATACAAAAAGTTAGCCGGGCGTGGTGGCGGGTGCCTGTAGTCCCAGCTACTCAGGAGGCTGAGGCAGGAGAATGGCGTGAACCCAGGAGGTGGAGCTTGCAGTGAGCCGAGATCGCGCCACTGCACTCCAGCCTGGGTGACAGAGCGAGACTCCGTCTCAAAAAAAAAAAAAAAAAACCTGTTCCTCCTTCCAAGGGACCTGTGGAGGCTGCTCCATTTTCCACAGCTTCATGGTCTTTTGCTTTCAGCACTGCTGAATTGAATATCTAAACTTCCTCCAACTGTTGGCTTCCACCATTGCCCTTCAGAGGCCAGCACAGGGTGCAGACAGCCAAATGGCGCCTCGCAGTTGCTGGTTGTAAGGCATGGCTCCTGGAAGAGGGTGTCCTATAGTCCAAGTACAGTTTAGTCTGTTACTTTCAGGAATTGTGTACCTCCTTCAGGACTGTGATAAAATGAGTTTTTGTGTGAGGCCTGGAGAGCCCTCCGGGAGGCTGTGGGCTCCTAGAAGAGGGAAGTTTTTTGCCTAATAGTATAGAAAACATTGTCAGAAGGCTGAGGTTCCAGGTCTCACATGTTGGTGTCTGTTCTCTATTATCCCTTCTTCAGGGCGTCCCAGGGCAGTGTGGGGCAGCTATCCCAGACCCCAGGGTGGGACTGGGTGTAGGCCCACTCCACGTGTCCCAGCTCTGTGACCTCCCCCTGCGCCTTCCTCCTGAGGTGGTGAAGAGCATTGAACCTCATCTGCCCACTTCTCCACCTCCACTTCTCCCAAGGCACAACAGCAGCAAGCAGCTCCTCTAAATGCAGTGAGCCAGGACTCAAATACCAGCGGAAACAGCACCATCATGGAGACTGGGAGGAGTTTCTGCCCAATTCTGCAGGTGCAGTGAGACATTCATCTCTTCACCCAGACGTCTCTTCGCGGACGCTGATGCATCCATGCAGCATCAAACACCTGCTCCTCTTCCCTTCCTCCTGTCTCGCCTGGGCCTGCAATAGCTGTTTCCTGCCCCTGGACATGCTTAGCATTCTTTCCTCCTGTAGTCGAAGGCCCTTCGTGGTGCTCTCTGCCAGGTGGTTTTAGTGATGGCCTCTAAAGACCCAGCTCAGTTCAGCCACCCAGTGCACTCTCATTTGGCCTCCATCCATGTCCTCTTATCACTGGTGGTGGGTGTGTCCACACTCATAAAAAGGAGGGGGTAGAGAATTTTGACCATATTAACAAGGAGGTGGTTAATACTCTAAGATTTCCTGTTGGTTCTCTTCAGATAGCTCTCCTGGTGTATCTAAAATCCCCTCACTGTAATAATACATTTAAATCCTGATGTGCCCATACATGAAATTTTGCATTGTGTTCTGTTCTTTGTAAATGTTATCGTCTTCTCCAGGGAAGAGGTCCTCGTCTAGGGACCTGCCCTGGTGCCCCAGCCATGGGGGCCTCCTTGGGCCATGCTGCCCAGGGATGTCGTTGACTTTCGGCTGGCCTGCTCTGATGGTCAATGGGGGTGCCCACATGTGAAGAGCAGAAGCCTGCCCCTGAGTCAGGGAGAGGTGCCAGGCAGGTGGAAATCAGGACCCCAGGAGGTGTTTAGGGGACAAGCTCTGGAGCTGTAGCCGGAAGGGCCTGGAGCTCATTCAGCTCAGTGTTGCCCAACCCCCTGATGAGGCATCTGGTGCCCAGAGATGTGACATGACTCCAGCACACACAGCTGGGGAGTGGCAACTCTGTGGCCCCTGCAGGACCTGGTCCCTGTGCCCTGAAGCTTATACTCCACATCTCTGTCCCCTGCAGTGTGTAGCCTCCATGTGACCAGCCGCAGCTTTGTCTCACTGCACCTGCAGAATTGGGCAGAAACTCCTCCCAGTCTCCATGATGGTGCTGTTCTAGTTAGTATTTGAGTCCTGTTTCACTGTCCTGAGATGAGCTGCTTGTTGCTGTTGTGCCTTGGGAGAGATGGAGGTGCAAAGGTGGGCAGTTGAGGGTCTTAGGACCTAATGACCCAGCCAAGAAGTGACATTTTGGTCAACTCCCACTCTCCAGGCCAGCTGGTGTCCCAGTGATGCCAGCATCCCGGGATGGTATTCATTTCATCTGCCTTGAAATAGTAACTGCAGGTGTTTGAGAAGCGCGGGGAGGTTGGTGTGGGCTCAGGGAGGTTGTGTCTCTTCCACGTGCGGTCTGTCATGGCTGAGAGCAGGCCCTGCCCCACTTCTTGGACACAGCCCCTCCAGGGCTCCTCTTCTCCTGGGGAGCATAGCTACAGGGGAACACCGCTGTTTCCCCCAAATTTTCCCAGAAGCAGCTCAGAGGGATGCAGTCCCTTTTAGCTGTTTCTCTGGGGGGTGTGCATCAGAATCATTTGGGGAACTTTTTCAGATGATTCCCAGGCAGCAGGTCTGGGATGGGGCCTGAGAGTCTGCGTTTCCAGCAAGCTCAGGGAAGATGCTGGGCTGCCAGTCCAGGGCCATGCTTTATATATATACATATACATACATATACACACATATATACACATATACATATACATACATATACACACACATATACACATATACATATACACACACACACGTATGTGTATATAAAGCCACACTTTATATATCTATACACGCACATATATGTATATATGTATACACATACGCATATACATGTATGTACATATGTATACACATACGTATATACGTGTATGTACATATGTACACACACATATATACGTGTGTGTACATATGTATACACATACGTATATACGTGTATGTGCATATGTATACGCATACGTATATACGTGTATGTGCATATGTATACGCATACGTATATACGTGTATGTGCATGTGTATATATTTGTATATACGTGTATGTACATATATTTGTATATACATGTATGTATATATATTTGTATATACATATATGTGTATGCACACACACACACACACACACACACACACACACAGTCTTGCTCTGTTGCCCAAGCTGGAGTGCAGTGGCGTGATCTCAGCTCACTCAAACTCCACCTCCTGGGTCCAAGCAATTCTCCTACCTCGGCCTCCTAAGTAGCTGGGATTACAGGTGCGCACCACCACACCCAGCTGATTTTTGTATTTTTAGTAGAGACCAGGTTTCACCATGTTGGCCAGGCTGGTCTGCAACTCCTGACCTCAAGTGATCCAACCGCCTTGCCCTCTCAAAGTGCTGGGATTACAGGTGTGAGCCACCTCGCCAGGCCCAGGGCCACACTTGAATGGCAGCATGGTTCCAATTGGTCCAGGTGTAGCAAGGGCCATGCTTGGAGACCAGACAGGTCAAATGAGGAAGGGCAGGTGAGCAAAACAAAGGCTCTGGAGTCCTGGCACTTGGGTGACCTTAGGCAGCTCACTTACTTCTCCAAGCCACCCAGTCTCCTGTGGAATGAGAACAAGAGTGGTGCCTCCTTCGTGGGGGTCATAGGGTTGGGAGAGGCAGTGCACGTGGGGTTCTTTCCTGGCAGGCTCCGTCAGGATCAGTTTGTGTGATTAGCAGCCTGGGTCCTCATTCCGTGAACTAACATGGCATCAGACACTGAGGGGTGTTGAGGCTGTGAACTTGCTCTGTGCCTGGCCAGCTGGCCGACTCCCTTCTTGTTCTCAGGGATGCCCGGCAGCCACAGGACCGCAGCCTGTCGCATCTGAAATGGAGCAGTCCGGGGCCACTGGTTAGGTAGTGATACCCAGTCAGGCCTGACAAGAACAGAACATGGAATCATGCTGATCACTTTTCTGCCTTCTACTTATACTTTTGAGGAAGGAGGCGGCCTTCTCCTAAAGATGCCCATCTGTCCCCTCCCTTCAAATGCAGGAGCCAGGCCTGGGCTGTTCTTGTCTTTTTTTAAGCCAGGTTGACAAGCCCAGAGCCAAGACAGAGGGGTGCAGGGCTGGGCTCCTCGGCTCCCAGCTCCTGCCGCCAAGTGCACATATTGCTTATCAAACACCGCAGCATCTGCAGAGACCAGCCCGCTGGCCCCCTGCCAGGCCAAGCTCTGCAGTCCTTCCCCCTCACTTAGCAGGCAGTTGGACTCAGTCCCCTTTCTCTGTCCCTCGGGCAGGCTGTGCCTCCAGGCCATTCCAGCAAGCTGGCGAGCTGCAGCCGAGTTTCCAGGCGGTGATGCAGCAGCACTGTATTGCCCAGCCTGAGAGTCTGCGTTGTGAGATCAGAGAGGGTGTCAGGGGTGAGGGCGTGGGGGCTGTCCCTGGTGTGCAGTTCCCCTGCAACCCCGGTCCTCCTGCCTTCCCCCACCGCCATCCAGACAGGACTCAGTTTCTGGTCTCCCCACCCAGCTTAGTGCTCTATTTACTTGTGTATAACTGTTTTCAGGTGTAATTTCATCTTACCTCCCTCATCTCAGTGTAAGTTCTAGAAAGCTAATTCCCATTCTTAATTATATATTTGTATTCTTGTCTTGTCTTAAGTCTATAGAAAACACTCAAAAACTATTCAATCAGTTGACCTCAGTCTTAGCACAGCTTCTCTGTTGAATGGCTTCCGTAGCTCATGATTGACAGAATTTTCCAGCTAGGGGCACCAACATTTCTTTTACTTCCAGCCATTTCCGGAGGTTCTCCCTCCCCTCCCCCAAGCATGTGAGGCCCCCTGGCCATTTGTGCTTTGCTGGTAAAACCTTCTGTCCTCAGGTGGGCAGTGAGCTGATTGCCGGGTTATCAGGGCTCAGCCACATGATGGTCAACTGCTCTGAGAAAGTCCTTACACTGGCACCAGCCGGAATTACTGACCATTCACATCCTCAAATCCAGTCCAAACTGGAAACTCGGGCTTAGGAAGAAGCTGGAAGAGGAGTCCAGCTCCAACAGGAGGCCCCATTTTCTGCCTCTCCTGGTTTTACTGTTTGAGCCAATTTAGTAACATTTTAAGTCAGGTCAGAAAGTTAAAGTTCCTCACCCTAAAAGTGCCTGAGTGTGACTGTGTGGGTCTTGGGTTTTGTGTTGGTTTGCATGTTTTTTGGTTCCAAGACCAGCTTCTCATGAGAGGGATGTCCTCCCTCTGATGTAACTGCCCTGAAGCCTGGCCAGAAAGGACCGAGAGTCGGCGCAGGTGCTGGGCAGAGAATTCAGTAGAGTGGAGATTCTCCAGCTTCTCAGCAGTCACTCACGGTAAAATACACATTTTATATCATGACCCGGGACACATACGTGTTATATATGCAACTGAACGGGTTTTTTCAAAATATTTTAACTGCAGTTACTTTTTGCCAACCTAATAGTACTTATTCTTACCACATGTATATTAATGCACTCAGGTTTTTTTTTGTCCAGTGTTGACCATGACCCACTAAATTGGTTCTATAACCCACTAATGGGTCACAACACATGGTTTGAAAAAAAGTGCTGCTTTGGGGAATATGCCATTCTACGATTTCCGCAGCTTTTTCAGAAATCCACACTGGGATAAACTTTCCAATCTGGTGTAAGTAGCTTCTCAGGCCATCAAGCTGCATTAACATTGTGGGATGGGGGTGAATGTCACTGGTCCTTACTTCCTCCACCCCATCCCTACGTCAGATTCTTGCAAAATCTTTAAAGACCATATGTGTACCTTATTTTATGTTTGTATTCTTGTCTAGCCTTGAATATATAGGAATCACTAAAAAAGTGGGATCCTAGGCCTCAGCAAGGTTTCCTGCTTCCACCCCCGCAAAACTGAGTTGGGTTTTTTTGTTTCATTTTGTTTTGTTTTGTTTTTGAGACAGAGTCTTGCCCTGTCTTCCAGTCACCTAGGCTGGAGTGCAATGGCGCAATCTCGGCTCACTGCAACCTCCGCCTCCCGGGTTCAAACGATTCTCCTGCCTCAGCCTCCCAAGTAGCTGGGATTACAGGTGCCCACCACCACGCCCAGGTAATTTTTGTATTTTTAATAGAGACGGGGTTTCACCGTGTTGGCCAGGCTGGTCTCGAACTCCTGACCTTGTGATCTGTCTGCCTCAGCCTTCCAAAGCACTGGGATTACAGGCTTGAGCCACTGCGCCCGGCCGAGTTGGTTTTCTTAGTTTGAAAAATATATATGCACTAACACACGTGACCCCTGTCTTGAACTATAGTGGCGCCACACCTGTGCTGGCAGTGGAGTGGGCACATGGCAGCGTGGAGCTAGACCCTTCAAGCTCAGGGACAACCAAAGAGCCAGAGAGGCCTCAGCTGAGACAGGAGGGGAGGGAGAGAGGCTGGTTAGGAGCCCCTGAGGTCCCCAGCACAATTGGAAGCTCTGTCTCTCCCACACCCCCAGTTGGCCACTGTCAAGTTCACTCTTTTTCTATACACCTAGGACTCAGACCCAGCTCAGACAATAAGAGATGGGGGGTCAGGGAGGGGGTGGAGGAGTGGCGTTTCTCAGATTGTTTTTACTCTTTGGGAAGTATCAAGTTGGAATTTAGAAGTTTCCAGTGCTGGTCTAACCTCATCTTCCTTTTAGGAATCTGGTCTTTGAGTCCTGGCCTAGGTCAACAGCTTCAGTCCTGTGTGTGGCTGCTGGACCTTCAGAGGTCTAGGGTCTGGCTTAGTCCTACAAAGGGAAAGCCTCACTCTTTGAACACAAATCCAGGAGCCATTGCAAGCTGACCTGTTGTCTACACACTCACCAGGGACCTAGTGTGGGGCTGGTCGTCCGCTTGTCCTTGAGGTCCCAGGCTGTCTGTGAAGCCTCAGCGGGCACTTGGCATGATGCTGGACCTTTTCTGTTTGAGACTACTGCAAGCTGTGAGCTGAAAACCTAGTATTGGGGCCAGGCACAGTGGCTCACGCCTGTAATCCCAGCACTTTGGGAGGCTGAGGCAAGAGGATCACTTGAGCTCAGGAGTTCAAGAACAGCCTGGGCAACATGGTAAAACCCAGTCTCTACAAAAAAAATAAAATTAGCCGGGTGGTGGCATGTGCCTGTAGTCCCAGCTACTCAGGAGGCTGAGGCAGAAGGATTACTTGAGCCCAGGTGGTTGAGGCTGCAGTGAACCCTGCTTGCGCCACTGCCCTCCAACCTGGGTGGCAGAGTGAGACCCTGTCTCAAGAAAAAAAAGAAAAAATCTGGTATTGATTACATCACTAACCTCCAGAAGCGGTGGGGTTGCCTTTTACCCCGGGATTAAAAGAGAGCACCCATGTCTCGTCCTGTTTGGCCTTCCCTGGTGTCTGACACCTGGAGATGACTGTGGCATGGCTGGTGGCTTCCAGCCTTGAGCTGTAAGTGCTTAGGCTCCATGCAGGCCCCTGCTTTTGGACTTCTTCCAGCTCCCCTTTTTGAACTGGGAGCCCATTTAGTGTTCAAATGCTGGTGCTAGTGGCCAGGCACAAAGCCGCCTTTTCCCTTGGGGCAAGGGCATGGCCTCCAGGAGCAGCCCAGCCTTTAGGAGCCATCCGCTCCTACAGGGACATGACAATCAAAATCACTTGAAAGTAGCTTCTTGGCCAGGTGGAGCGGCTCACACCTGTAATCCCAACACTTTGGTGGCAGGAGGATTGCTTCAGCCCAGGAATTTGAGACCAGCCTGGGTAACATGGCAAAACCCTTTCTCTACAAAAAATTACAAAAATTAGCCAAGCATGGTGGCGTACGCCTGTAGTCCCAGCTATTCAGGAGACAGGTGGGAGTATTACCTGGAAGATGGAGCCATGATTGCACTCCAGCCTGGGCGACAGAGTGAAACTCTGTTCTTCCCACCCACCCCCTCCCCCACCACACCAAAAAAAAGTAGCTTCTTTATTTAGCGTCTTTGTATTTTCAACATGTTGATCAGCCTCAGTTTGTGTTTTCTATTCCTGGATCACTTTATACAGTGAATTTGGATTCCACCTGGTCAGTCAAGGTCAGTGTTATGAATGAGAGTCTGGACCAGGAGCTGCAGGACGAGCTAGTTGCTTTTGCTGTGTTATTGGGGGTCAGCCTCAAGACTGCAGCTCAGAGAAGCAGCATGTGCCTTGGGAGTCAGGCAGCCGTGGAGGGAGAGTGCTCCTGGCAGGAGAGGCCCCCGGTGAGCTTCCCCGGCTCCTGAATGCCTGCTCTGAGTGGCCCCCAGCATAGCTTCGGGGAGCTCAAATGGGGCACAACAGAAGTGCCCAGCCTCCTGCCACGTTGCCCTCTGCCCTGGCATTGTCCCTGACCCCTCACTTACCATTTGATTGCTTTCCTACTTGATGTATCCAGAGGCTGGTCCGCAGACCCACCTTCTCTGCCATTGTTCGGGTCTCAGCACCTGCGTCTCCAGAGCACCTTCAGGGCTTCTCAGCTGTGGCACTGCGGGTGCGTTGGCCACGCCATTCTTCGTTGAGGGATGTCCTGTGCGTTGTTAGATGCTCAGCATTCTGGCCTCTGCCCACTAGATACCAGAACCCCCACCACCCTTTATGACCACCGAAAGTGTCTCCAGACATTGCCAAATGTCCTTTGAGGAGCAAAATTACCCCTAGGTGAGAACCACTGGGCTAACCAGCCTCCGTGCTCCCTCTCTCAGCACGTTCCCTGCCCAAAAATCAGGTAATGTTTTGGATATCACCATCAGGCAGGGCTCTGAGTGGAGGCCTTCAGGGGCTTCCATCTTGCTCAGGATAGAATCTCAAGCCCTCCCTGTGGCTCTCTAAGGCCTGAATAACAGCACCATGCCTTCTGCCTTCTTGAAGCCTTGCCGGCCTGTGCCAGTCACCCCACCCAGCACCTTGACAGCTACTCCTCCCTGCTTGGTAAGCTCATTCCCCATCTCATCCCGATCTCTGGTTCAGCATCACCTCGGAGGGGCCTTTCCTGACCACACATTTAAAATTCTTCACTGTGCTCTCCCTCTGCTGGCCCCCATGTGGCCTAGTTTTTCTTCATGGCACTTGGTACCACCTTCTCTGCGTCTGTCTGTCTGCATCCCCCCTGCAGGAGAATGGGCGCTTAGCATGTGCCAGAATCCCTCTCCTCGGAGGGCAACTGTGTTGTTTGCTGCTCCTGTTTCCAGAGGAGGCACAGAGGATGTCGGTCCTGGGTTCCACTGGGCAGCCCCACTGTTGAGTCACATGTGTGCAAAGTGGTGTGTGTTTGCCAGGGGCGGTGGCTCACGCCTGTAATCCCAGCACTTTGGGAGGCTGAGGAGGGCAGGTCATGGGGTCAGGAGTTGGAGACCAGCCTGACCAACATGGTGAAACTCCATCTCTACTAGAAATACAAAAATTAGCCGGGCATGGTTGTGCATGCCTGTAATCCCACTACTCAGGAGGCTGAGGCAGGAGAATCACTTGAACCCCAGAGGCGGAGGTTGCAGTGAGCTGAGGTCGTGCCACTGCACTCCAACCTGGGCGACAAAGCGAGACTCTGTCTCAAAAAAAAAAAAAGTAGTGTGTGTTCATTTTAAACCAGCCACCACCCCTTCTGGCTTAGAGACACTGTTAGCATTTTGGCATCTTGTCTTGTCCTTTTTCTGTTCAGAAACCTCTGATAGTTACGACTCTCTAAGAAATAGACAATAGGCTGGGCGCGGTGGCTCACGCCTGTAATCCCAGCACTTTGGGAGGCCGAGGCTGGCAGATCACGAGGTTAGGAGATCGAGAGCATCGTGGCTAATATGGTGAAACCCCGTCTCTACTGAAAATACAAAAAATTAGCCGGGCGTGGTGGCGGGCGCCTGTAGTCCCAGCTACTCAGGAGGCTGAGGCAGGAGGATGGCGTGAACCCGGGAGGCGGAGCTTGCAGTGAGCCGAGATCGCGCCACTGCACTCCAGCCTGGGCCAGAGAGTGAGACTCCATCTCAAAAAAAAAAAAGAAATGTTAGACAATAAATAGCTCACCAACTCTGAGGTTGTTTAGAATTTCAGAGCCCATGAGGACAGTTGAAATCTCTTCACCCCCGACCCCAGATCCCCTCCTAGTAACAATTTTTTTTTAAACTACAAGCAGGGCACCCCTTAACAGTAGGGATTGGGTTTATTCCAAGGTTTAGTTTTGTTCACAAATCTGGTGCTTTCCCAGAGTGGGCACAGTGCCCTCTAGTGTTCACCTGCCAGGCCGGCTGGCACCTGTCATTTGCTCTTTGGAGGTAGAAGGGGAAGTGGAGGGCAAACTGTGCCTAGCAGGCATCCGCAGTCAGTGGCCACCATTGCTGCCTTCCACTTGCCTCAGAAATGAAGAGAGTTTTTCTTTCTTTCATAAGCAGAAGAATCACTGTCTTTAAATGTGTAGACCTGCCAGAAGTCTTTCCCTGTCTCTGTAGCTCTGGGGAGAGATGAGCTTTTTATTTGGTTAAGAGAATGGACTCTGGAGCCAAACTGCCTGCGTTCAGGTCCCAGCTCCACTACTTGTGACATTGAATGAGTTGCTTATTTTCTCTTGGTCTCAGTTTGCGTATCTGCAAAATGAGCATGGCAGTGATGTGCTTCATGGGTTGTGGAGCACCTCATGGGCGAAGACAGTGAAACGCTTGGAGAACTGTCTGCCAGGTAGGAAGCACCTGGTTAGCATGAGGCGAAAAACTCCAGAGCTCTTGCATTCGCCAGGAGCACGTCGGTTCCTTCCTGACGGGGGCACTGAAAGGCTTTGTGAAGCAGGTTGTGCATACGGGGGCAGGGAGAGGAGGACATTTGGAAGTAACTGTTCAGTGGAGTGGCTCACAGATGGGAGGGTATGGGCTTATTTGGAGAAAGCCAGTGCCCAGTATGGGTGGGGTATAGGAAGTTAGGAAGGAAAGTCACAAGAGCCTCCCAAGTCATCCTAAGTCCTTCCACATGCCGTTGTCTTGGGTTCTAATTCCCAGTGGAAGGGAGTGTAGCCACCATGTTACCATCCCCCAGCCCCTTGTCGCTCCCACTCTGCTCCCAGCACCATCAGGTCTTTGGAGAAATGTAACTCCTTGTCATAGAAAGGTCAGAAGAGCCCCTGGAGGCAGCATCCTGGTGAGGTGGAGCTGCTGTTGTCTGGAGACCCCACGGGAAGAATGGCATTTGCTGCCAGCCTCCCTCTCCTGGGAGCACTGGGCACTGCCTGCCCTGCCAGCCTCTGGCCTTGCCATGATGCCAGCTTTCACCAGCTGTTTTTTTCTGCTTCAGCCTCAGAGTTGACACCTCGGTTTCCCCTGCACTCCCAAGGGTGCTGTTAGGCTGAACAGGGTGTTTCATCAGTGACGGCACTGATTTAGGTCTGTGTCTGCGTTCTTCTCTCCTCCTTTCCTGGCTGCTCTCTCAGGGACCCCCAAGTGGTGGAGGCAGCCCTCCTGCCACACATGGTGCAGCCCCCCTTGCATTGGATTCTCCTGTCCTGCCGCTTCTGGCTTCTCTGGGAGCAATTGTGGCTTTTTGAAGTCTAAAATGGGAGCAGGGGATTAAGATAGGGTGGGGCAGCACAAAAAAATGCCGTATCTCAGAGTGGAGATTTGGGCACAGAGGGTTACAGGCACAGAATATTCTTTGATTTAGAAAAGTGGCACCGTCACGCCAGCATGCCTCTCCAGCCTCCTGGGGTCTTGGAGCAGAGATAAGGAGAGCCTGACCTTTCAGGGGTCTTCACCCTGCAGCTCACAGGGCCAGTGATCACAGCTGCCGACCTTGCTGAGCACCTACTCTGTACCGTGCACCATGTGCCACCTGCGGTCCGCTGCCTTGGTGACTCCACCTCAGCCATGCTGAGACAGCTGCCATCATCTCTCCTTCCACATGTCGGCAGGAGTGGTTTGCCTGACGTTCCTGTGTCTGACTCAAGAACCCTGCGTTTAAGGACTGGGCAAGTTGTCATTTGAAACAGGCTCATACCTGGATGCAGTGGCTCACGCCTGTAATCCCAGCACTTTGGGAGGCTGAGGTGGGCAGATCACGAGGTCAGGAGTTCGAGACCAGCCTGGCCAACATGGTGAAGCCCCATCTCTACTAAAAATACAAAAATTAGCCGGGCGTGGTGGCACGTGCCTGCAGTCCCACCTACTCGGGAGGCTGAGACGGGAGAATTGCTTGAACCTGGGAGGCGAAGGTTGCAGCGAGCCGAGACTGCGCCATTGCACTCCAGTTTGGGCAACACAGCGAGACTCCATCTCAAAAAAAAAAAAAAAAAAAAAAAAACAACTTGGGCTCATGAGTTCCCATGGGACTCTCTGCACTGCTGGTTGGTGGTGGGGTTCATTGCTTTTCTTTCCTTTTTTTTTTTGTGAGTCACGTTCTTCTACTAGCAGAGTTTGTTTTAGTTGTCATTGCCAGCATTTAAGTGACCTTGAGCCAGTATCTTCCTTTTTCGGCGACTCAGTTCTCCTTTCTTGGTGGTGACCTCTCAGTGCCCCCAGGTCAAGAGAGGCCACCACGGAGGAGTGTCTGGTTGGCTATTTGAGGAAACAGCTCTCCAGCCATGTGGTTTGGGGTCTCGGAGGTGGACACACACAGAGACCCATCCATGATTATGACCCAGTGAAGAACCATAGAGGAGCTGCCCCAGGTTTGAGGAACCAGCTAAAAAAGACGCAGGCTGGCCTGGTGGGAGCATCACGTGCCTGGGCTTTTGGGCGATGGAGCAGCAGGAGGCAGTGGCCGCTGCCAGCTGTGCGTAAAGAGACAATCAGGTGCTCGTGCAGTTGGCCGGGCTCCAAGAGCCAACCATCCTGAGGGTTACTTAGCAGCCTGCAGGGCTCCAAGCGCAGCAGATAAGGTGCAGGCCGCAGCTGGTCAGGAGGATAACCCAGATTAGAACATGGTGTCCGGTGATAGCCAGGCTTCAGGGTGACCCACCGCAGCCCAGTGTCCTGCTTCTCCCCCAGCCCACTCTCCCTCAGCACTGATCAGCTAGGGCAGGCACTTGCAGAGGGCAGAAAAAAGATTGAACGCAAAGCAAATGTTTTGCTCTCTGTAGAATGGGCTGTTAAATCCTTCATTAAAGTGCAGCCTTATGTGATCTGTCATTGAGCTGCACTGTTCAGTGTGAGGAAGGCTACCTCCGGCAAGCCAAGTGCCTCTGGTGGGTGAGACAGTGACCACAGGGGCCCCAGGAGGCCTGTGGGCGTGACGCGCTCTGCCTGTGGGTCTGGGTGCTGGTCGGAGGTGTGTGCGGTCTGTGAAGATACTGCTAGCCAAACGCTTAGGATTTGTGCACTTAGCAGTGTGGATGTGACGCTTTCCTTCAGAAGCTGGAAGAAAACTGTATTCTGTGGTGGCTTCAGAGTCCATTCTCTCACACCTGTATTTTCTTTTACAGCTGAAACTAGAGGACCGTTCTGTGGTGCCCCGAGATGTGGTCCGGCACATGCGATCCACCGTGAGTCCTGCGTCCCCACCCCAGCCCCGGGCCTGGGGGCAGCCACCTTAGGGACTTGAGCCTGCCCACCTCGCACTCTGCATGTGGGAGAACTGGCCAGCTCTGCAGGGGGTGCGCTGGGGTTGCCTGGGCTGGGTCTCCCCTGGTGACCAGGGCTGCTGCACCACGGGACTTGCATGTCTCCTCCCTCCCCCAGGACAGTCAGTGTGGCACGGTGATCGACGTCAACATCGACTGTGCCGTCAAGCTCATCGGCACCAACTGCATCATCTATCCCGTCAACAGCAAGGACCTGCAGCACATCTGGGTGAGCCGGCCCTGTCTTCTCATCATCCTTTCTGGGCCCTCTGGTTCTCTCGGCGGCACGACCTCTGGGCTACAGCCTCCTCCGTGCTCTTGCCAAGCACAGCCTTCCTGGGTCAGAAGGCGGAGCACAGCAGCCAGCTGGCTCCTGTAGCCTTGTTTTCGCTGCTTTCAAGTAAGCCATTTAGACATGAGGTCAGGACGTGCCCTTCCCCAACCCCAGCATAGGCTGCCAGTGTGGTTATCTTTAAGTGTTTTTCCTTTCTCCTCTAACATTTCTTTAAAAAAATAAATTATTGGAAATAGTTTATTTTTTTAATGATTTCAAACTTACCAAAAGTTGTAAATTCCTGTGTCCCTCCATCCAGGTTCCTCAGCTGTTAAGATTTCACTTCGTTTGCTCCATCACCTTCCCTCCCTCCTTTTCCCCGAGATCCCCCTCCGGTCTTTTTTCTTCCCAAAACATTTGACAGCAAGCTATAGATGTGATGCCCTGTCACCCACCCCGGAATACACACACCTCTTGTGTGTTTTCCAAAAATGAGGACAGCCTCCTGTGCAACCACCATATAACCCCCAGATTGGGAAATCAACGTTGATAATTACTGTCCAGTCCACAGACCACATGCAGTTGTCCCAACACTACTCTTTTCTTCTTTGCGGATCCAGGACCCAATTCAGGAACACATCTTGCATTGAGTTGTCATCTCTTCATTTTCTCTCCAATCTGGAATCGCTTCCCAGCCTTTCTTTGTCTTCCATGCCCTGAACAGTGATACATTCAGTAATTTGACCCTCAGCCTGGGTCTTCCTGGTGTTGCCTCATGCCCACGTGTTCTTGGCAGGCCCGCCGCAGAGCTCTGCCCTGGTTCATGGTACCCCATAGCCAAAGTGCTGGGGTTGTTCACTTTTACCCCTGGTCATGTTGGTGTCCACCAGGTCTCTCCACCATAAACTCACCATTTACCCCCTTTAAGTGATTGTATTTTGTGGGAACGTAGTCCCAGATTATGTCTATAACCTGTCATTTGTCAAACTGAAATCCACCAGCTTTGGCCTCCATTCACAGTTCCCCCTGCGCCAGCCATTGCTCTGATGTTGCTAAATGGTGGTTCTATGACTCCCTTGTTCCCCTCATTTCTTTTAGCTGGCATTCTGCTCTGTAGAAGAGCTTTATCTTCTGCCCTATTTATGTATTCTTTTTTTTTATCAGTATGGACTTAGAGATTTCTGTTTTATTCATTGGTTATAATTAATTACTACTATTATCTGTTCTGTTGCTTGGATGGTCCCAGATTTAGCCAGTGGGAACCCCTTCAAGCTGGCTTTCATGTCCTTCTCACATGGCCCTTTTTGTTGGTTTTTTAAGAACTTTCTTTCTTTCTGGCATGAGATGTGCCAGGCTCATCTTGTACTTTTTGTGATCCAGCCCCAGAATCAACCATTTCTCCAAGAAGCCTCATTGTTTTCAGAGAATGGTATTTTTAAAACCCAAGATCTGGATGCTAGGTGTGCTAATTGCTACTTGGCTCTTTTGGGACACACTAGGAAATACATATGTATTATATGTATACACACATCTAAATATGTCACTACCTGCTCTATGTGTATATTAAAATATATGAGTTCAGGCAGAGTTCACGGGCGCAGTGGCTCACCCCTGTAATCCCAACACTTTGAGAGGCTGAGGCAGATGGATCACTTGAGCTCAAGAGTTTAAGACCAGCTTGGGCAACATGGCGAAACCCCATCTCAACCAAAATATATGAAAAAATTGGCCAGGCACGGTGATGCATGCCTGTAGTCCCAGCTACTCAGAAGACTGAGGTGGGAGAGTCGCTTGAGCCCAAAGATGGAGGTTGCATTAAGCCAAGATCACACCATTGCACTCCAGCCTGGGCAATAGAGCAAGACCCTGTCTCTAAAAAAAATAATAATAAAGTAAAATAAAATATATGAGTTCATCCTGATAGATCCACTTCCACCTAAACACCTCAGACTCCTCTTCCTTCTTCTCCTTCCTGCTCCCTTTCTGTTAGTAAACACCTGGGCACCTTCTCCAACAATGAGGGACTTGGCTCTCGATATCCTTGATGTGTTAACGTATTTACTCAGAGCACTGTCCATGTAGCCACCCCCCAGTGGTGTGGCTGCCTCCTCTGCCTGCCACCTCCACAGCCTACTTTGCCAGGTGTCCTGTGTCCATGGATGTCCCATGTCCATGGATGCCATCAGGCCTCTCTGCCCCTGCATCACCCACCCCGTTCCCTCCAGGCAGCCCCACCACCACCACCACTTCCTCCTCACTGGGAAGAGCAGCTGGGATGCAGCCTAGAACTTGTAGGGAGGGCCTGCTGCAGCAGCTGTTTAGGGCTAGTAGCCAACCGGTCCAGTCAGTGAGCTGTCTAGATCCTCCCCCATCCTGTCTTCGGTGGGGCATAGAGGAATCTGTGCCCTGGACATGAACGTTGTCTGCTGTGTCTCACTGCCCCTGCCTCCTTGGTCTGCAGCCCTTCATGTATGGGGACTACATTGCCTATGACTGCTGGCTGGGGAAGGTCTACGACTTGAAGAACCAGATCATCCTGAAGCTATCCAACGGCGCCAGGTAGAGTCTCACCACCAGAGAGCCATCGGCTTGGGAAGGATAGCCTCTTGGAAAGAGGGGAGGAGGAGGGTGTTTCCTCCTGGGGACAGTGATGACAGGTTTGATCAAGGGCAGTGACAGATGTTGCAGGCATCCAGGGCCTAACCCTGTACCGTTCTCCTTATCTGCCGTGGCCTATTTCTGTTGCTCAGTTTCTGATCTGTCCTGGCATGGGGAGAAACGTTTTCACTGAGGATATCTGCTAGAGGCTGATGCTTTACTTGAGGCACTGTGATGGTGCTGAGCAAGCACTCCAGTGGCACTTGGGGTCTTGTTCGTTGTGGGAGAGTTTCTTGTACTACCTCGGGCTGAGTTGATGGTAGAAGACGAATTGTGCTATTTAGGGCATGTGGGCGCATTGGCATCTCAGAATCGCAACTTTTTGGTACTCACTGTGTCCCCTGGTGGAGACCAAACCTCTGTTCTCTGTTTTAGGTGCTCCATGAACACGGAAGATGGCGCCAAGCTCTACGACGTCTGCCCGCACGTCAGCGACTCGGTAGTGTGCTCCATCCAGGCCAGCACCCTTCTCTGATTGCTCAGTCCTCTGGAAGGAGGACTTCGTAGCAAAGACCTGGACCCAGCTAAACAGAGCGGTTTCCTAGAAAAGGGGCGGGTGCGCGCCAGAGGGTCTAAAAGTTTGGGTATAGGCAGAAAGTATTAGAACTTTTTTTTTTTTTTTTTTTTTTGAGACAGAGTCTCACTGTCGCCCAGGCTGGAGTGCAACGGTGCGATCTCGGCTCACTGCAACCTCCACCTCCCGGGTTCAAGTGATTCTTTGGCCTCAGCCTCCCGAGTAGCTGGGATTACAGGCGTGTGCCACCACACCCGTCTAATTTTTGTATTTTTAGTGGAGATGAGGTTTCACCATGTTGGCCAGGCTGGTCTCGAACTCTTGACCTCGGGTGATCTGCCCACAGCCTCCCAAAGTGCTGGGATTACAGGCGTGAGCCACCGCGCCCGGCAGTATTAGAACTTTTATTTGCATTTTTGGTAGCTTTTTTTTCTCATCCTTTAAGGTTCCACTTTGTCTCTCTCAGTACAGGATGATGTGTTAGTTACAATAGTACATGGACACACACAGCAAACAAGTAGATATACAGGGGGTGCGTGAGCAAACAGGTTTCAGGACCACTGCTCTCTGGAGTCTTATTCCTCAGAGTATGAGCCCTTGACCAAGGAGCATGGAATGCATCACCTATGTTTGAACAAGGGCGCCAGATGACCTCTGCGGACCCAGGGTTTGGGAAGTGCTGATGTGGAGCCACAGGACTTGTTTTAGGGCGTGTGGGGCGTGTGTGTGAGTGGGCTTCTGCAGGTGGGCAGCCAGCGGGCACAGGCGTGGAGAGCATGGTCACCCATGGAGACACCGCTCACGGGGACTTTCCTTTGGCCCCACATCCCGCAGGGTCTCTTCTTCGATGATTCCTATGGCTTCTACCCAGGCCAGGTGCTCATTGGCCCTGCCAAGATCTTCTCCAGCGTCCAGTGGCTGTCAGGTGTCAAGCCCGTGCTCAGCACCAAGAGCAAGTTCCGAGTGGTGGTGGAAGAGGTGGGTCCGGGCCCAAGGGTAGGAGATGGAGTCCTTGACCTCCACACCCTGGAGCTGAGCTGCTGCCCCTTTCCTTCCTGCTCTTGAGGGTTGAGCCCCGCTCCTCAGCATCTGGACCCTGTTGATCTCAAAGGGCTTTGGGGATAAAGGGAACCCAGGCTCTGGTCATAGTGACCAAAAGACAGATGTGCCCCAGCCCAGCCTGTACAGGCTGAGCAAGGTGGGAGGGTGGCAAGTGGCAGTTCCAGTGGCCCCTGGCTGGTATGAGCAGTGACACTGGTCCTGGGCATTGGGTGGGGGCCGTGGTTACAGTTGGGGCCTGCTCTGATGTGTCTGTACTTGGTGCTGCACTAGGAAGATCAGTTTCCTGCTCTGGAGGTCAAGTGGGCTTTGGGCAGCTGGCTAAAGAGAGTGCTGTCAGAGCCTGCCCTGACTGGCGTGTCCCACCTGCCATCCCCAGGTGCAGGTTGTAGAGTTGAAAGTTACATGGATTACCAAGAGTTTCTGTCCAGGGGGCACGGACAGCGTCAGCCCCCCACCCTCTGTCATCACCCAGGAAAACCTAGGCAGGTAAGCATGCCCTTACTGCCAGCAACCCAGGGGCACGCGTGGGACAGGGCTCTGGGCCCTGGTCACATGCCTGGGGAGGCTTAAGAACACTGCTGGCCTCCCAGGAGTCCAGCCCAGCTCACCCCCACTTCTTCCCCAACCAGGGTGAAGCGTCTCGGATGCTTTGACCATGCTCAGCGGCAGCTTGGGGAGCGCTGTCTGTATGTCTTCCCAGCCAAGGTAGAGCCAGCCAAGATTGCCTGGGAATGTCCAGAAAAAAACTGCGCCCAGGGGGAGGGCTCTATGGCCAAGAAGGTATGTCCTTGGGGTTGGGGATTGGTGGGCATTTGAGGAACTGGCCTTGAGCCATTTCCATGGCCAAGAAGGACAGTCTGTGCTTTAGGCCTTGGGGGGCAGCCCTGATGACCCTTGCCGGCTACTCAGGTGTATACAGCTGTCATCCCCCCAGCCTGAGATGCCTAGGGCCAGGCCTGCCCAGGTGCACCTCACAGCCCTGTCCTCTCTGCTCCGCCCTTGCAGGTGAAGCGCCTGTTGAAGAAGCAGGTTGTGCGGATCATGTCATGCTCCCCAGACACCCAGTGTTCCCGGGACCATTCCATGGAAGACCCAGACAAGAAGGGGGAATCCAAAACCAAGAGCGAAGCGGAGTCTGCCAGCCCTGAGGAGACGCCCGATGGCTCTGCCAGTCCAGTGGAGATGCAGGACGAGGGTGCAGAGGAGCCCCACGAGGCAGGAGAGCAGCTGCCCCCATTCCTGCTAAAAGAAGGCAGAGATGACAGGCTGCACTCGGCAGAGCAGGACGCAGATGATGAGGCTGCTGATGACACGGACGACACCAGTTCGGTGACCTCCTCTGCCAGCTCCACCACTTCCTCCCAGAGCGGCAGCGGCACGAGTCGCAAAAAGAGCATCCCCTTGTCCATCAAGAACTTAAAGCGCAAACACAAGAGGAAGAAGAATAAAATCACTCGAGACTTCAAGCCAGGGGACAGGTAAACTCAGAGTTGTGCCCCTCCCCAATGGCGTCAGCGTGAAGCCAGGCAGAGTGCGCGTCCCCTCGGTGTGCGTGCCTGCGCTCGCACACACACCTCTGCATGCCTTGTAGTGGCTCCGGGGCTCCCACCCGAGACAACGTAGGTGCCTGGGGTAGGCCCTGGTGGAAAGCAGAGACTGAGGAGTGGTGCAGAGGGTGGGATGGTGGTGGCCTTAAGCTTGGCCTTCTGGAACCACATTTGCCTGAGCTCTCCCAAGTGGATCCTGTTCTCAGAGAATGCGTGGCCTTGGAACCCTGGGTGAGCTTCCTGTGCACCAGAGACTCATCCTGCCAACCTGGGATTCAGAGTTTCAGGTTACCAAGCCCACAGGGACAGGAAGGGACAGAAAGACTCTCTGCCCTTTCCGCGGAGGGGGTGGGGTTTGCATGGCCTGCTGACTGGCCTGCACCCGCAGGGTGGCAGTGGAGGTGGTGACCACGATGACCTCAGCCGACGTGATGTGGCAGGATGGCTCCGTGGAATGCAACATCCGCTCCAACGACCTCTTCCCTGTGCACCACCTGGACAACAACGAGTTCTGCCCTGGAGACTTCGTGGTAGATAAGCGAGGTAGTGCCAGCTCTGGAAGGGCAGCCAGCAGGGTGGTCGCCAATGAGGGCCCGGGTTGGGGCTTGTGGAGAATGGGCAGTGGATCTGGGGTCAGAGCTAAAATGAGGTCCAGAAGGGGACTGCCCTCATGAAGGGGTCTCACCACTTCCAAGACGGGGGAAGGTCAGGGTTCTGCACTCTGCACTGGCTTGAGATGTGGGCTCCTTAGCCGGGATCCCTTAGCTAGTCACTTCCCTTTCTCTGGTTCCCTAGTCCAGAGCTGTCCAGACCCTGCTGTCTACGGTGTGGTACAGTCTGGGGACCACATCGGCCGTACCTGCATGGTGAAGTGGTTCAAGCTGAGGCCGAGTGGGGACGACGTGGAGGTGTGTGCAGCCCCTACTGCTTGCTTCAGGTGGGCTCTGGGGTTGGGTGTAGGACCCCTAGCTCATGACAACCTGTCCTGTGCCACAGCTGATTGGAGAAGAGGAAGATGTGAGTGTTTACGACATTGCTGACCACCCTGACTTTAGGTTCCGTACAACTGACATCGTCATCCGCATCGGCAATACTGAGGATGGGGCTCCTCACAAGGAGGATGAGGTACGCCTTCAAATTCAAGTTCTGGATGGCTGCTCACTGCCCTGTGCACCAGCTGCAGTCCCTGATGCTGCCACCAGGTGGCTCTAGGAGACAAGACCTGAAAGTCCTCTGGGCTCAGTGTCCTCAGAAGGGCAGCTGCCCCAGAGTCAAGCTGCCGCTCAGCACTAGCAGCTGCAGAAGGACTTGTTTCCCTGCCTCCCTTCTGGGGTCAGGCTTCTTGAGCTGCCGCTGGTTACATTTACCAGAGGAGCTAAGTTCCTTGTCACAAGCCAGGTGGGCATGATGTCAGTCACTGCAGAGCACAGGAGGGGCTGGGGAGCTGGAGCTTGAGCTGGGCCCCCTGACTTTGTCCCCTTTGCCCAGCAGCCATCGGTGGGCCAGGTGGCCCGTGTGGACGTCAGCAGCAAGGTGGAGGTGGTGTGGGCTGACAACTCAAAGACCATCATCCTGCCCCAGGTGAGGCTCTGGCAAGACCCCCCTGCTGAGCTTGTGACTATGGCAACTTGGGCCGGGGGCCACAGGCGTGTAGCCAGAAGATGGGCTCTCAGGTCTTCCTGGTGAGATCTCAGCGAAAGCGTGAGGGGAAAGGCAGGCATTCCACACAGCCCTTGGTGCAGGCCTGCAGTTGGCCCACCAGCCTCGCTTCTCCCAGCAATCTCTTCACGTCCATCTCTGGGTGCATGTAGACTTTCACAAACCTCCAGGATTTTCCTGGATTGTCAGCTCACTATGCTACGAAGAATGCAAGTTCCCTCCTAAAAGGAGATGGAGACTTTCCTACCACCCTTTTTAGAAAGCTCTAACAGAGAAGGAGAGAAAGGAGAGAGCCGACCCAGTTCTAGCCCCACCTGCTGGGTCCTGAGCAGAAGGGCTACACGGGCTCTCCTTCCCTCGCCTCCTGGTTGGAGCCACACAGCCCAGCTCTCCTCTCCTGGTCCACACAGGGGGCAGGAGTGGGGGCGGGAATGGCTTGCCCCATCACCTTAACGGCCATTCCAGGGAACGCAGCAGGATATGTCGGCCCTTCTACATGTCCCCTCTTGTCATATGTTCCCAGCTCCCCACACAGGCCTCCTTGGCTGCATCATTAGCTGACCCTGCGCTTTTCAGGTGTGGGACTGGGCCTGCCAAGGTCCCCTAACGCCTTGGACAGATGCTGACGAAGTGCACAGAGCAGGAGGAGAGGCTGGAACAGACCACTGGCTGGGGCTTTGGGTCCAGCTGGAGGGTGGGACAGGTGAAGGGCCTCTCCCAGAGACCTAGGGACTGCAAAAGCCAGAGCAGAGGTCAGGGAAAGGGTGGAATGAGGTTGCCAAGGCCTCATGAGCCCAGTCGCCATCAGCTGTGCGGATCAGGGATCCCCAGAGCTCCTCCTTAGTGGTGGGGAGGTGACTTCCTGTCTGCTTACCCTGGCACTTCCCTTCTGCCCCCAGCACTTGTACAACATAGAGTCTGAGATTGAGGAGTCAGACTACGATTCGGTAGAAGGCAGCACCAGCGGGGCATCCTCGGATGAATGGGAAGATGATAGTGACAGCTGGGAGACGGACAATGGGCTGGTGGAGGACGAGCACCCCAAGATAGAGGAGCCCCCCATCCCACCCCTGGAGCAGCCGGTGGCCCCTGAGGACAAGGGAGTGGTGATCAGTGAAGAGGCAGCCACAGCTGCCGTCCAGGGGGCTGTGGCCATGGCTGCCCCCATGGCCGGGCTGATGGAGAAGGCTGGCAAGGACGGGCCACCCAAGAGCTTCCGGGAGTTGAAAGAGGCCATCAAGATCCTGGAGAGCCTCAAGAACATGACTGTGGAGCAGCTGCTGACGGGCTCGCCCACCTCTCCGACTGTGGAGCCTGAGAAGCCAACTCGGGAGAAGAAGTTTCTGGATGACATCAAGAAGCTACAGGAAAACCTCAAGAAGACCCTGGACAATGTGGCCATTGTAGAGGAGGAGAAGATGGAAGCAGTGCCCGACGTAGAGCGCAAGGAGGACAAGCCCGAGGGGCAGTCACCTGTGAAGGCTGAGTGGCCCAGCGAAACCCCGGTGCTGTGCCAGCAGTGTGGCGGCAAGCCTGGCGTCACCTTCACCAGCGCCAAGGGCGAGGTCTTCTCCGTACTGGAGTTTGCACCCTGTGAGTCAGCCCTTGCCTGGTCTTCGCCTTCCCCCGCCTTCTCGGGGCTCCTGTTTGTGTCACCAGATCTGGGTGCAGGGTGGTTAGTCCCCTCGCCAGACCCCAGCTACTGCCCCAGGGCAAACCATTTCCCTGTGTGGTCACAGTGCTGAGGCCAGCAGCGGCGAGTGGGAAGTCTGTGGGTGTGCTCACCTGTCCAGCCAGGTTGGCAGATGGAGCTCCAGGGCCTCTCCATGAGGGACTGACTATTCTCTTCCCCCCTCTAGCAAATCATTCTTTTAAGAAAATTGAGTTCCAGCCTCCAGAAGCCAAGAAGTTCTTCAGCACAGTGCGGAAGGAGATGGCGCTGCTGGCTACCTCACTGCCTGAGGGCATCATGGTCAAGACTTTTGAAGATAGAATGGCAAGTAGGCTTGGCATGGGCAGGTGCAGATGTGCTGTGTGGGCACCCAGTGCCCAAGAGGCCACCAACCTTGGGTCCCCAAACCTCCGGGGCTGACTGGCACCTGCGAGGACACTCACCCACCCACCTTTTACAGGGGCGGTCACAGGCTCAGTCAGGTGAGGGCTGACTCAGCCGTGTGTCCAGGCCAGATGGTTCTTTCTTTCCTCCCTCCTTTAAAAAATTACTTTCTCGGCCGGGCGCAGTGGCTCACACCCGTAATCCCAGCACTTTGGGAGGCCGAGGTGGGTGGATCACGAGGTCAGGAGATCGAGACCATCCTGGCTAACACAGTGAAACCCCGTCTCCACTAAAAAAAAAAAAAAAATTACAAAAAACTCTCCCGCCACCATGCGGGCGCCTGTAGTCCCAGCTACTCTGGAGGCTGAGGCAGGAGAATGGCGTGAACCTGGGAGGTGGAGCTTGCAGTGAGCCGAGATCACGCCACTGCACTCCAGCCTGGGTGACAGAGCGAGATTCTGTCTCAAAAAAAAAAATTACTTTGAAATAGGCCGGGTGCGGTGGCTCACGACTGTAATCCCAGCACTTCGGGAAGCCGAGGCAGGTGGATCACCTGAGGTCAGAAGTTTGAGACCAGCCTGACCAACCCGGTGAAACCCTGTCTCTACTAAAAATACAAAAATTAGCCGGATGTGGTGGCGGGTGCCAGTAATCCCAGCTACTCGGGAGACTGAGGCAGGAGAATCACTTGAACCTGGGAGGCAGAGGTTGTAGTGAGCCAAGATCGCACCATTGCACTCCAGCCTGGGCAACAGAGCGAGACTTCATCTCAAAAAAAAAAAAATTACTTTGAAATTAATTATATTATGATTACTCCTCAAGCCTACTTTTCTTTTTGAAAAATTAGAACATTACAGATCCTTTGAGTGGAAATGGAAGAGCTAAAGTTGCCTTTGACCAGACCTCACTTCCCTTTCTCCCCGAATCATAGGCCTCTTCCCACACCCAGAGGATTGTTGGAAGTTTAGTGGGTCTCCTTCCAAACGGATGACCTTTTTTTTATACTTTTACATTATTTATACACTAAAAAAATATTTTTACATTTTCATGTATCACCATAAGTACATAATATTTTGTATGATTTGTTTACACACAGAATATGTCGTCGTACACATCATCTCTAATTTGCTTAAGACCAACCTGTGTTGATTCATAATGATCTAGTTTCTTCCTTTTTACCTGCAAAATAGGATGACAGCATGTGGCCACACCACATTCCATTTTCCCACTCCTCTGTTCGTGGACGGGGCCTAGTGTCTCTGAGTCATGTTTACTGAGGCAGCGCTGAGTGCATCCTTCCGGAACAGGCAAGCCCGTTTGCCTGCCACCTTGTTGACTCCGCAGTCCCTTACTGGGCCTGTGCATCGAGCCAAGCACTATGCTAGACTCTGAATCTGAGTCTGAGGCCCCAGTTCTGGCCCTGTCCTGGAAGGAAGGGAGTAAGAAAAGAAAGAGCAGGGATCCTGAGAGCAGCCAAGCGATCCTGAGAGCAGCCAAGCGGGATGCTGTTGAGATGGGCCCGGAGTAGCCACAACCCTGGAACAGGGCTAGGCAGAGTCCTAAGGCCCAGTGCTGCTTGAGATTCTTAATAACGCTTTTGGTTTTTTCTTGGGTTGTAGGAAAATTCCTTTTGAAAATTCTAGCCTGTCTCAGCTCTGCTGAGGGAAGATGGAAACAGTATTTTTTGTTTTGTTCTGTTTTCCCCACATCTCACTCAGGAGAAGAAAAGTAGTGCATTCCCTGGAGGCTCCCAGGGTGGCACCGATAAGAGCATGTGCAGAGGTTCCCTCGCCCCAGCTAGCGCTCTGCCTTCCCTGCTTCTCAGCTCATCACTGACCTCGCCCATTGCCCTGTCAGTTGAGATCCCACACACACGCGTGTGTGCACAGATGCACGCAAATAGATGCACAGATTCCAGATGTCTGTGGAGCGGTGGTCTCCCAACCTCCCCCATGGAGTTCAAACCCTCACTGTCAGCTTCTGGTTGTGAGACCATCCCCCCTTCCCCAGGCCTCACCAGCCTGGAACTGCCTTTCAGCTTGAAACTGCTTGTACTACTTGCCTTGTTGGGGATAAGGGTTGGAGCAGGTGTTTAGAGGAATTGTTTTGTTTTGTTTTTAAAAGACAGGGTTGGCCGGGCGTGGTGGCTCACGCCTGTAATCCCAGCACTTTGGGAGGCCAAGGTGGGCGGATCACAAGGTCAGGAGTTCGAGACCAGCCTGACCAACATGGTGAAACCCCGTCTCTATTAAAATACAAAAAATTAGCCGGGCGTGAGGAGACTGAAGCAGAGAATCGCTTGAACCTGGGAGGCAGAGGTTGCAGTGAGCCAAGATCACACCACTGCACTCCAGCCTGGGGACAGAGCTATACTCCATCTCAAAAAAACACATAAGCCAAAAAATAAAAGACAGGGTCTCACTCTGTCGCCCAGGCTGGAGTGCAGTGGTGTGATCATAGCTCACTGCAGCCTCAGCCTCCTGGAGTCAAGTGATCCTCCCATCTAAGCTTTTTGAGTAGCTGGGACTGTAGGTATGCACCACCATGCCCAGCTAATTTTTTATTTTTTGTAGAGATAGGGTCCCACTATGTTGCCCAGGTTGGTTTTGACCTCCTGGCCTCAAGCAGTCCTCCCACCTTGGCCTCCCAAAAGTGCTGGGATTACAGGTGTGAGCCATCACGTCTGGCTGAGGAATACAATCTTTTTTTTTTTTTGAGATAGCGTCGCACTGTCACCCAGGCTAGAGTTCAATGGCACAATCTCGGCTCACTGCAACCTCCGCCTCCGGGTTGAAGCAATTCTCCCACCTCAGCCTCCCGAGTAGCTGGGACTGCAGGCATGCATCACCACGCCTGGCTAATTTTTGTATTTTTAGTAGAGACGGGGTTTCACCACGTTGGCCAGACTGCTCTTGAACTCCTGACCTTAAGTGATCCACCCGTCTCGGCCTCCCAAAGTGCTGGGATTACAGGCACGAACCACCGCGCCCAGCTGGAATACAGTCTTAAAGTAATGATTTATGAGGAAAAACACCTGATAAGATAAAAACTCACTTCGAGTATTTCTCTTAGCCAGGGTTCAATGATTCCAGGCAAGGGCCAGGCACAGTGACGGCTCAGGGCTGTAAACCCAGCACTTTGGGAGGCCGAGGCAGGCGGATCACTTGAGCCCAGGAGTTCGAGACCAACCTAGGCAACATAGTGAAACCCTGTCTGTACACAAAATAAAAAAATCATCTGGGCACGGTGGCCCACACTGTAGTCCCGGCTACTTGGGAGGCTGCAGTGAGCCATTATTGCACTAGTGTACTCCAGCCTGGGGGACACAGCAAGACCCTGTCTCAAAAAAAAAAGATTCCAGGCTGTTCTGCAGAGAGAGATTTGTCCTTAGCTTCTCCACTGCTGGTGGCATCTGGAGTCCCAGGTGCTGCTCTTCCTGCGTGATCTGCACAGTGTCCTGGGAAAGAGCAGGTGCAGATGCAGATGCCACATGTAGGACACCCCCTTCCACCCCTGCCAACCTTGGCCTCCCTCCCTCCCTCCCTACCTAGGACCTCTTCTCAGCTCTCATCAAGGGCCCCACTCGAACCCCCTACGAGGATGGCCTCTACTTGTTTGACATCCAGCTCCCCAACATCTACCCAGCCGTGCCCCCCCACTTCTGCTACCTCTCCCAATGCAGTGGCCGCCTGAACCCCAACCTGTATGACAATGGGAAGGTGTGTGTCAGCCTCCTGGGCACCTGGATTGGAAAGGTGAGTATAGGGCCAGGCCCCCAGCCAAGAAGGAGGAAGAGCCACTGGTGGATAGGGGCCTGGGGAACAGAATTGATGGTGCCCTGTGTGTTTCAGGGGACAGAGAGGTGGACAAGCAAGTCCAGCCTTCTCCAGGTGCTCATCTCCATCCAAGGTACAGTTGGGCTGAAGCGGGGGTGCGGACAAGGGAGGGCCGGTGGAGGAAAGTGACTCTGATAGTCCCCCTGGCAGGTGGAGGGTAGGCCTGCATTGTGGGCCTCTCTCACCCACTGAGGGAAGGTGTCCCGCCCACACAGGTCTGATCCTGGTAAATGAACCATACTACAACGAAGCCGGCTTCGACAGTGACCGAGGCCTGCAGGAAGGCTATGAAAACAGTCGCTGTTACAATGAGATGGCGCTGATCCGCGTGGTGCAGTCCATGACCCAGCTGGTGCGGCGGCCCCCCGAGGTCTTTGAGCAGGAGATCAGGCAACACTTTAGCACTGGTGGCTGGCGGCTGGTGAACCGTATCGAGTCCTGGCTGGAAACCCATGCCCTGCTGGAGAAGGCCCAGGCACTGCCCAACGGGGTGCCCAAGGCCAGCAGCTCGCCAGAGCCCCCAGCTGTAGCCGAGCTGTCAGACTCCGGCCAACAAGAACCTGAGGATGGAGGGCCAGCCCCAGGAGAGGCCTCCCAGGGCTCAGACTCAGAGGGCGGTGCCCAGGGCCTGGCCTCAGCTAGCAGGGACCACACAGACCAGACTTCGGAGACCGCACCAGACGCATCGGTGCCACCCAGTGTGAAACCAAAGAAGCGGAGAAAGAGCTACCGGAGCTTCTTACCTGAGAAGAGTGGCTACCCTGACATCGGCTTCCCCCTCTTCCCACTTTCCAAGGGTTTCATCAAGAGCATCCGGGGTGTCCTGACGCAGTTCCGGGCTGCCCTGCTAGAGGCAGGCATGCCGGAGTGCACAGAGGACAAGTAGCTGCCAGGCACAGAGGAAAGAGCATCACCGTGGGAGAGGCCAGCCGCCGCCTGCTCACTCCCCCCCGGAATCACCCCTCTTCCCATGCCCCTCTGTCCCCACTGCAAACCCACTGCCCTCTTCTCCCCAAGGTGAGTTTGATGCTGAAGTGCAAGAAGTGTGTTGAGATGCTGCCGTTTCTATTTTGAAGCGAGCTTTCAACAGGCGGGTCCCCTGTGGCAAAGAAAATCGGAACCCTGTTGCCGATTTTCCATTTGTCACCCCAGCAGAATGTCCGGCACTTGCTCCCTTGCTGCCCCTTCTCAGGTCAGAGGCGGGTGTTCCAGGGCCTGCCGCGGGGCTCTCTGGGCCGGTTCCCTGCAGACCCGCAGGAGAGCACATGTGCCTTGCATGAAGTGTGGGTTGCGCCAACAATTCCCCTGGTCCCTTTCAACCTGTTTAGTTCAACTCAAGCCTCCCTGTGTCCCAGACCCTCCTGCTGCCACCACCACCCAGGTCCTCCCTAGTCCTCCAGCGTCAACACTATCCCTTGGGAGTTGTAGCTGCTGTCACTGACTCCCGGCTATACATGGCCTGTCGACCACGTTATAGCCCTCAGGCCTGTTGAACTTGCTCTCTAAGAGAGGTTGGGACCAGGCTAGGTTCCGGGTGACGCCCAGGAGAGGTGGTGGCCTTCACACATGCACATGGAGTTGAGGACCAGGGAGCTGCAGGGAAAGCAACAGCTATAGGTGCCTTGCTCTTCTGTCGGAGGCTGCTGGGGGCAAGAGCAGCTGCACAAGGCCAGGGCAAGTGCTAGGGCCCCTCCCCCATCACATGGTCACACTGGGACAGGCGTGCAGCTCACTGAACTCCAAGCGAGCCAGCCCTCTCTTGGACTAGAAGGCCTACTGTCAGCCCTTCGCTTACAAACTGCAGGCTCAATCCGAAGGGGACGGCCGGCGGGGGCTCTCCTAGTGCCCAGAGACAGGCCCAGAGGTTTACAAGTTTTCTAAGCTTTTGATAATGTGAAGCTCCAGGCCGAGAGGATGCTGTTGAGCACATTGCAGCTATGTAATTTTTGGTGTATGTATGTAATATTTAAGGTTGGAAAAAAAACTCAAAAGCAAAGATATTAACTCTTATTAGAAAAAAAGACAAAAAAAAAGCCAAAGCATGATGCGTCTTGTCAGCCTTAAGTGGGCTCCACACCTGTGCTGTGCTGTGACCGCCCAGCCAGCAGAGCTGCGGGAGGATGGAGCCGGACCACACACCGTGGCATTTGGAACCGAGTCGGTATCTTGTTTGAGAAACACCCGGAGTGACTGGTGGGGCTGTGCTTCCCAGTGCATTGTACATGTGGAGATGTGAATGCCTACTGCTTACGATATCTGTATAAAGTGCTGTGTGATTAAACTTTTTTTTACTTGCATTTTTTTTTTTTTTTTTTTTTGTGTTGGCTCATTAGCAAGACAAGGTGACACCATTAAACCTCCCTCTGCCATTCATCTGGGCTCCGTTGCCTTTGTGTCCCTCACACACACCCTTCCTGGGGAAGGAAAGACCTTGTTTGTTGCCAGGGAAGGCATGTGGCAGTGGGTCCTGGCTTTCCTGGCCAGGTGGGGGCCACTGTGAACAGCACCCCCACCCGCCCACACTGCCCTCTGCCTGCCAGACCTGCTTGCATGCCTTTTGTACTTCTTGTCCTGGAGCAGTCCTCTGGCCTCCTCCTGGCCGGTGGTGTGCCCCTCAGGAGCCAGCTTAGAGCAGCCTCCCAGCAGCTGTAGTCTCCAGAGACCTACAACTGACCAGTTCAGCTCCTTCCAGGTTCTGGGAGAGCCGACGTCATAGCACCTGGCGGTGGACAGGTGCCACAACTCCTGGACGCTAAGCCAAAATGGTTGCCCAGTTTAGACTTGGATGGATCCTTCCCTGCCACATTCTTTCCACTCCTGCCTGGCACTCCTCCACAGGGACAGGTAGGGAAAGGAGACAGCTGAGGGAGGCTGGGAGAACCCTAGAACCCTAGACCATTGTGGTGGATGACAGACTCCTTTTAAAAAGGTAAGATACCAGGTGTGGTGGCTCATGACTGTAATCCCAGCACTTTGGGAGGCAGAGGCGGGCAGATGACTTGAGGTCAGGGGTTTGGGATCAGCCTGGCCAACATGGTGAAACCCCATCTCTACTAAAACTACAAAAATTAGCTGGGCATGGTGGCATGCACCTGTAATCCCAGCTACTCAGGAGGCTGAGCACAAGAATCACTTGAACCCGGGAGGTAGAGGTTGCAGTGAGCCAAAAAAAAAAAAAAAAAAAAAAAGCAAGATATTGCCATTTTTTACTTCTGAGGTCTCCTGCTCCTTGCCAATTTTTTTGGGGGGGGGCGGGGGCGGTGGCCAGTGGTTTTATTGTTTTTGTTTTTGAGACATTCTCACTCTGTCTCACCCAGCCAGGCTGGGGTGCAATGGCGCGATCTCGGCTCACTGCAGCCTCAACCTCCCGGGCTCAAGCGATTCTCCTGCCTCAGCCTCCCAAGTAGCTGGGACTACAGGTGTCCGCCACCACACCCTGCTAATGTTTGCACATTTTGTAGAGATGAGATTTTACCATGTTGCCCAGGCTGGTCTCAAACTTCTGGGCTCAAGTGATCCACCCACCTCAGCCTCCCAAAGTGCTGGGATTACAGGTGTGAGCCACCACGCCTGGCCCATCAGTTTTCTAATGCCCTTAACTCAGATATTTCCCCTTTCCTGCTAAATCCACATGGGGCTCTGATGAGATTTGCTGGGACTAGCTGCTTGTGTGGCCCTGGCTGAGACATGCCAGCTCCGAGCTGCATCCTGTGTGTGGTCAGGCAGCTGGCTGAGCTCTGAGGCTGCTTCAGGTTGGAGGTGCTATAATTATCAGGGTGGTAGAGGCCCCCCCACCATTAGGCTGAACCAGCTCTGGTCCTGAGTCCCCCACCAGAATGACTATGCCTGGGGCCAGTAAAATCCATTGCCCATCCCAGGGGGCACCATTGGCCATCATTACCATTAAATTCTATAGTCCCGGCCAGAACGAGAACCCATTCTCTCCCCAGTCACCAGGACAGGACGAGCAGGCTGGGAATGTCACTTTATTTGGATTTGGTTCGTGGGGTGGGGGTCTCAGAACAAACTAGAAGGCCTTACATAGGCAGCTGGGCCCAGCCAGCTGGGCTCCTGACCCAGGACTTCATTCTGGCCTGTCCCCCCAAAGCATAGCCTCCACCTTCTCACCCTTCTCCAGAGGAGTCTCCTCCACCCCCACAGGAGCTGTGGACAGGCCCTGCAGCCCTAGGGAAGGAGGAAGGGTCCTGCAAGTAGACACTAAGGCACAGCGCGGCCCAGGGGTCATAAGGGCTCTTCTGGCGGTGGCATCTGCTGGGGCTTCCAGCTGGGCGGGGGCTCCACGCAACCGCTGACCATCCAGAAGTAGTTTGGGTGCACCTGGCCCTGCACGGCCTCGCTAACCATCAATTCCCCATCCACTGCAAACACACCTTTCCCATCCTTGGGCTCCAAGCGGAAGGCGACCACGGGCACATATACCAAGTAGGGGCATTCATACTCCATATGCCTGCCCTTCTCCATGGCCAGGAAGAGGCGCAGCAGCATGGCACGAGACACTCCCGCCCGCACGTAGAACAGATGCATGACGCCAGCTGCACAGCGGCCCATGGGTGCAGCAAACATCTCACTGCCCAGGTGCGAGTGCAGCAGTGCCAGGACTAGCACAAAGTCCTCGTCGGGCACCACTGTCCAGTGAGAGGGCACTGGCTCCTCCAGTGGCACAAGGTGTGCATCTACCGGGCCCTGCTGGACCACAACGGGGGAGGCAGGTGTCTTGGAACCCACTCTTCCTACAGGGAGGTAGGCCAGTCGGCCGCGGTAGGTGCGCAGGGCTGCCAGACGCAGGAAGGTGCCCAGAGTGAAGCGCATCTCCCCCAGACGCCGATACTTCTCACTCTCTAGGTCCACATCAGCAATGAAGCCCCAGGCCAGGCTGAGCACAGAGAAGAGGCGCAGCCCCGAAGCCGTGTGCAGAGACAGCAGGTTCATGGGTGACAGCAGCCGGCGGCACAGCAATAGCGTGCAGTTGGTCAGGAGGTCTTCATTGGTGACCTGCTCATAGCTGCAGGGGGAAAAAGTCAGATAAGGCAGGACAGGAGCCCCCATGTATCCCCCGCTTCCTCCTCCCGGGGAGTGGGAGCTGGCAAAGCGCCATGTGGTCCCTGGGGAGTTGGCAGGACTGGTAGGTGACAGATGGAGCAAATGGAAGCAGTCAGCTGGGGTCACCAGGAGAGGGCCCCAGGACTAAGGGAGAAGGGGAAATGGAAATGATCTCAGCCTATGGGAGCTTAGACAAGAAAACCCCCGCGGTAGAGGAGCACTGACGGGAAACAGGCCTACTCTGGCCCTGGGCTCTCACCCAGCATAATGGTTCAAGGAAGCTGCCAGCGCGTTGCCAGAGCCTGCTGGGAGGCTACACAGGGGCTTCTGGATGGCGGTCTCCCAGTCAGGCCGCTCCATGAGCCCGTTCACCACCTGTTGAAGCACACGTGGCCTCAGCCTGGGACGCACCGCGCCAAGCCCCAGGCCTAGCCGCGCAGTGCGGTCCTCACCTCGTGCATCAGCCCGTCTCCAGACATGACCACCAGAGCGTCCCAGCGGCCCAGCTCCTCCGACCGCACCAGCTCCCGCGCGTGGTTCCGCCGCTCTGCAGGGAGACCGGCAGCTATCAGGACTGGGGGGGTCCCCTGCCAGGGGATGCTCCCGAAACCCCCTCCGAGAGGTACTCACCAGTGAGCATCAGCGTGAAGGAGATTTCAGCCTCAGCCAAAAGGGGCTGCACGTGACTCCGGAAGAGCTGCAAGGCCTTGCCCTTGCCGCCGCGCGGGTTCAGCAGCACCAGCACGCGGCAGGGCCGCGGGAGCACGCCCCGGGGGCCGCCCGCTGAGAAAACAAAACCAAAGAGGCCACGTCCGCAACCGACCACTAGGGGGCCACGGGTAACAATGGGGCACTAGTGTGGGAACTTGGTGCCCGAAACACCCCGGTAATTGACCCTGGCCAGAGGAGCGGCCTTTGCTGGGAGACCTGGGGTGGGGACGCGGCGCCCCTGCCACCCCCTTCCTTGGCTCAGATTCGGCCGGCTTCTGGCCTCGTGAGGGATAATGTTTCTCCCGATCGTCCACAGCCCCTTTCGTCCAGCTGGGCGTTCCATCATTCCTGGCGAGGAACAGGAATCCCCCTACAGCCCTTCCCAGCAGGAACCCCACAAACCTGGATCCATAACCTCGACCCGCGGCTCCCGCTGCCAGGGGGTCCCTGGCGCTGTGGGGGCGCTGCCCGTGGCGGCGGCTCCTGCCTTCAGCTCCTTATCGGTGCTGCCCAGGCGGGCGTCGCAGGGCCGGCTGTGGGGCTCGCCTTCCCCGCCCGGAGCCGTGGCTGCAGGAGCACCGGCGTCATTCCCTGCGGCGGCTGGACCTGAGGGAGAGAAGACAGCGCTGGCGGAGTCCGGGGCCGCAGCTGCCAGAGGTGGGGAGCGCCCGACTAAATCCCGGGACCACGCGCGGGGAGCCAGGTTCCCGGGAAGTCCAGAGAGCTGAGGTCCGGTGCCTCCGAGGGCGCCCCCGCCGTGTGACTAAGCCTACAATCCCTGAGAAGGGCGCCTGCTCCGGGGCTTTCTCCCTGGGGCTTGGGGTTCGGTTCCGGCCCGACGGATGAGTCAGAGCCCCGTGGCTCCCTCCGACGGACTAGCTCCTCACCCCTCGGGGCTGCCAGGGGGAGGGGAGTCCAGCTGCGTAAAAATCCCAGAACTTGAGCGGACATTGCTGGGCACGAAGTTCTGGGAGAGGATCCCTGCCCCAGCCATCCAGGTTGCCGTGTCCCCTGCCCGGAGCTCCAGAGCGGTGGGAGCCGCGGCGCGCGCTTCTCAGGGCCCCGCTCCGTTGCGACGCGCGCGGCGCTCGTGGGAGCCGCTCCCGGGTCGCGCCAAAGCCAAGCCCGAACCGGGCCACCAGCTGCCGCCTGCTCTCGCCCAAGCGACAAGTGGCCCAGTTCCCGGGGCCCCGCGAGGGCGGGCCGCACAGGAGCCACGAGCGGCGCGAAGGCAGGGTGGGCGGCCCTACCCAGTCGGTCCGGTTTGCTGGGGAGGCGCCACCGCCGTTCCCTACAGTGGCCTGGGGCGGAACGCAGCTCGTCCCAAGCTCAGCCCACGTCTGAGGGACTGGAGCGCCCCGCTGGAGCGGACTCCCCGGCCTCGCTCCCTCCGGCCTCAAACTTTTCGCTCAACTTCGCAGCCGGCGCCGCGGAGCGGGGAGGGCACTGAGCCTCGGCGCCGGCCTGGCTCCGCCCCGCGCTCCCGGGGGTGGAACCTGAGCCCGGCGCGGCCTCGGCCTCTGCCCGCCTCCGGCCTCAGCGCGCCGCCTCCGGCACGGCCCGCGCCCACGGCCGGGCCACGAGCTGGTTCCCGCCCGGGTCCTAGGAAGCGGCAAGCGCGCCCCCGCCGCTCGTCCTAGGCGTCTGGCTAGAAGGCGGCGCCGCGACCTGGCCGGGTGAGCTGAGGCGGCAGGCCGCGAGGCGCGGAGTCCCGGGCCCGGCCGCGAGCGCAGTGTCTGGGGCGCGCGAAAGCGACCGCGCAGCGCAGACGGAGGCGCGGGCTCCGCGCGAACTCGTGTCGGAGCGAGCGCCGGGCGCGCGCGGCTCCGCTCTCCCGGGGGACCCTTGGTTTCACCTCGACGCCACGACCTCGCCCCCGCGGGTGCTGTCGGCGCCGGGATGCAGCGCCCCTTTTGCGCGCTCTGCCCTAGCCCACCCGAAATTCGAGGCCCGCACGCCACCCGGGGCGCCTCTCCAGGCCGGGGCGTCTCGCCCGCCGCCCACCAGCTTCCCTCTTTCTTCCTCCCCCGCGCTCCCACGGAGGTTATTTTTAACTTCCCGACGCTGCAGCTGGGCTACCGAGCCTGAGGCCGCCTAGCGCGCTGTCCCGGGTAGAGCAGGCGACAGGCCGGGGGCTCCGAGCCGGAGAGGAGGCTTGACAGTGTAGATGGGCCTGGGGGCCCCCGTCGGGATTGGAAAGCCAAGCATGTGGTACGTGCCCCCCGCCCCCTCTGGCTCAGCGTGAAGAAGGGGCGCCGGAAACGCGCTCAGAAGTTGTCACTTCTTTGGAGGCCAGTAGGGACGCGTTTGTCAGTGTGTTTGTGATACACTTATCGCGGCAAGCCACAGAACGTGTCCGCGAGCACCTCGAGTTAGATCCCTGGGGGGTTACGGCGGAGACGGAGGAAGAAGTTGCCAAGGCCCATTGGTGACCTGCCCAGGTAGGGCCAGAGTTAGGAGAAACCAAGCCCCTGCGGGAGGCTGCGGGGCTCGCGCGCCCCCGCCGGCCCCACCCGCCCCCACACACCTCTCTCATCGCTTCTTAAAGTCGAGAAGAGGCAGGTCCAGGAGGAGCACGCAGCCAATTAGCCGGGCGGCGCCCTGAACTCCGGCACGCCTCCGCGGTGTCTTCTCTTCCGGAGGACCCAGGCAGCTCGGCCCCGTTTCCCAACACTTGGGGGGTCAGACGGGCGGGACCCGAGAGTCCCCGGGCGGGTCGGGGGGCACTGGCTGGGACGCGGGGTCCCTGGGGCCGCAGCTCCGCGCGCGTATCGGCGGGTGCGCCTTCGCCTTGCGCGGCCCCCGGGCAGTCCCCGCTGGGTCCAGAGCGTCCCGAGCGCGTTCCGGGAAGGTGACTCAGCGACGCGCTCAGGGGTCGAAAAACTCCGAGAAACAGGAACGAGGGGAGGGAGCAGGGGCGTCATCCCCGACTCCTGGCGTCGCGGCGCGTGTCGGAATGATGGGTCCTGCACCTCCGAGCCCCCCACCCCCTTGCTCCAGGAATCCGGCGCGGGCGGGGGAGAGAGCCCTGCAGCCGCAGTGCCGCGGTCATGCGCTGCGGGGACGCGAGCGGCGGCTGTGGGAGGAGGGGGCTCCGCGCGGGAGCCCAGGACCAGATCCGTCCGCCCCTCCCCTCTCCTCTGCCTTCTTCCCCTCCTCTTCCTCCAGCGAGGGACTTTGGTGCCTAGAAAACGCGAATCGGAGGCTGTGCTCCCCGAGATCTCAGCCTTCGAGGGTACTGGCTGCGGAGATTAGCTGGGGCAGCCTTCCCCGTCTGCTCCCCGCCCCGGAGAGCATTTCCACCAAATCTGAAAAGCTCTGTCATTAGCCATAGAGTCTGAAGAGGGGAAACTGAGGCACAGGGAAGCACTGTGAGTTCGTGGTGATAAAGCCCACCTGGTTCAGGGTCCCCCCTTTTTTTTTCCTCCTGGGGCCCCAGAAAGGTCGGATCCTGCGCCTCCAGGCCCACTACCACCAGCCTTGAGTCCGCGGAGCGGGCGGGGGCGGGGTTGACTGCAAACTGAGTTGGCAAGGGGAGGCGGGGCACGGGCTCTTTATCCAACGCCTCCGGGCCCCAGCTCCCCTCCTGGCTCTGGAAGGCCCCGCGGGAGGGAGGCGAAGGGCAAAGCCCTCTGGCCCCGGTTCCAGGCCGCACAATGGGTCCTCTGTCCTCCCTGGCGCCTAACCCCCTGCCCCCCTCACCTCCAAGGCCTTTGCCCCCCTCATTCTTGTCATTCACTTCCCCCAACCCAGGCTGCCTTTCTCCAGACCCCTTTCCCCTTCTCCCTTTCTAAAGAATTTGATCCTATCTCCAGAAACTCCCCCAGCTGCATCCCTGCTCAGAGAGGCAGGATTGGCCAAGAGCAAGATGGTTCCCCTTCCCACGGTTGCGGGTCGGGGGGCGGGCACTTGGATCTCTCAAGCTGCCAGCTTGGCCCGTTTCCCACTGTACTTTACTTCCTTTTTTAAAAAAGAAAAAAGGACAAGGCGGGAAGGAGTTGGGGGGGCCTGAAACCCTGAGAGGTGAAGAGGCTTGCACAAGCCTCCAACCAGTTCCCCACAAAGCAGAGAAGCAAACCTGTGAACCCAGACCCCACGCTGAGAAGCCAAGTCCAGCCAGAGCTCCCCTCTGGGCCTCTCTGTATCCCAGGCTATTTCTCCCTGAAGGGCAGGTATCTGGGGATCTGGTGCCTGGTGGATTGCTTGCCGCAGAGCTGTGGCGTCTCCCTGAGGAGGAGGAAGCAGCAGGCCGGGCGCAGTGGCTCACTCCTGTAATCCTAGCACTTTGGGAGGCCGACGTGGGTGGATCACCTGAGATCGGGGGTTGGAGACCAGCCTGACCAACGTGGAGAAACCCGTCTCAAACCCCGTCTCTACACCGGGTGTGGTGGCGCATACCTGTAGTCCCAGCTACTTGGGAGGCTGAGGCAGGAGAATTGCTTGCACCCAGGAGGCAGAGGTTGTGGTGAGCTGAGATCGTCCCATTGCACTCCAGCCTGGGTGACAGGGCGAAACTCCATCTCAAAAAAAAAAAGAAAGAGGAAGCAGCTCCAAGCCCTCCCCAGGCTTCATCCTGAGTCTGGAAACAGCTGAGCAGCCGCTGTGCTCAGCAAGGCCCACCGTGGGCCTGGGAACAGGCCTGGGCCGGCAGAGAGGTCTGATTTGATCACCAACCCAGAGCTTGGCTTGCAGGTAATCTGCTTCACAGGTGGGAGACTTTTTCTAACTTCCCCAGCCTCCCCTTCCTTGTGGGCAGCCTCCCCAGGGAGACACACCTGAGAACCCCCTTTTTTCTTTTCCCGAGAAAGAAAGCAGGCATTCACCTGGCCTGGTCCCAGCTCTCCAGAAACTTGGAGTCAAGGCTGCCAGATGGCAAATTACTTGCTTTTATGAGGAGAGGATTCCTGCCATCTCACCCTTCCCTGAAGCTACCTTCCCTAGGAGATTTCAGCTCCCTAATTGCATAGCCTCAAGGTCTTCCTTGACCTCAACTTCTTTCCCTTTTTTTTTTTTTGAGACAGAGTCTCGCTCTGTTGCCCAGGCTGAGGCTGGAGTGCAGTGGCGCGATCTTGGCTCACTGCAACCTCTGCCTCCCGGTTTCAAGCAATACTCTTGCCTCAGCCTCCCGAATAGCTGTGATTACAAGTGTGAGCCACTGCACCTAGCTAATTTTTGTATTTTTAGTAGAGTTTGTGTTTCACATGTTGGCCAAGCTGGTCTCAAACTCCTGACCTCAAGTGATCCGCCTGCCTCGGCCTCCCAAAGTGCTGGGGTTATAGGCATGAGCCACCACTCCGGTTTTTCCCTTTTTATGGTACTTTACTGCCTAGGGGGTTGCAAGGACCGGGGAAGGGGGAGGTTCTATCTCACAAGCTCTTTGAGCTTAGGGGCCGGGCACGGTGGCTCACATCTGTAATCCCAGCACTTTGGGAGGCCAAGGCGGGTGATCATGAGGTCAGGAGATTTGAGACCATCCTGGCCAACATGGTGAAACCCCCGTCTCTACTGAAAATACAAAAATTAGCTGGGTGTTGTGGTGCATGCCTGTAATCCTAGCTACTTGGGAGGCTGAGGCAGGAGAATCGCTTGGACCCGGGAGGCGAAGGTTGCAGTGAGCTGAGATGGTGCCACTGCACTCCTGCCTGGGGACAGAGCAAGACTATGTCTCAAAAAAAAAAAAAAAAGCTTAGGGCTGGTTGGGCGCAGTGGCTCACGCCCGTAATCCCAGCACTTTGGGAGGCTGAGGCGGGTGGATCACGAGGTCAGGAATTTGAGACCAGCCTGGCCAAGATGATGAAACCCCATCTCTACTAAAAATACAAAAATTCGTCGGACGCGGTGGCAGGTGCCTGTAGTCCCAGCTGCTCAGGAGGCTGAGACAGGAGAACTGCTTGAACCCAAGAGCGAGCCGAGATTGCACCACTGTACTCCAGCCTGGGCAACAGAGCAAGACTCCGTCTCAAAAAAAGAAAAAGAAAAAAAAAAGCTTAGCGCTGCCCCCACATGGCTTTCCATTCTCAGTTTCCTAGATGTCATTTCCAGGTCGACCATACCAGGCATTGGGGTGGAGGGGATGCCACGCGCCACACGTGGCCACATGTGGAGATCCAGAGGACCAGACTGGTCATGCGAGATTCTTGGCTGCTTGCAGGGAGTGTGTGCTTTGCCCGAGTTTCTGATTCTCCCCAGTGGTTTGACTATGATGAGTGTATGGTGGGGTGACCCTAGCTCTATCCCTTGGGTGGTCTCCTTGTCCTTGTCGTCCTTGCTGAGGCTGGGGACCCAGGTCTCTTCTGGGCCTCTGGGCTCTGCCTGTCACATGCCCTCACCTCCAGGCTGCTGACTGTGGCTGCAATTCAGGGTGATTCTCTTCAGAGCCCTCTCAAGGTGGCGAGCTGCAGCCCTACCCACTCCATTTGTCTCAGCTGCCTGCCCAGCATCTATAGGCATTTGTATTAGTGTCCTGGTGGCGTAGACAACAGAAATTGACTGTCTCACAGTTTTGGAGGTTGGGAAGTCTACGATCACGGTGTTGGCAGGGTTGGTTCCTTCTGAGGCTGTGACTCTGTCCCAGGCCTGTGTCCTGGTGGTTTGCCGACAGCCTTTGGTCATCCGTGTCTTGCTGCTGCGTCGTCCCCGTCTCTGCCTTCACCTTCAGAGGGCCCTCTCCCTGGGAAAGAGTTGGAACTTTTTCCGTAGGGCCCGTGGGCCTGTTCTTTTTCTGCTACAGATGACTCGGAGGGAAAACCAGTGAGTTATTAGGGCCCTAGTGTGAATCAGTGTTTCATGTTTTATTTATTTTTTTTTTTGAAACAGGGTCTTACATCGTCACCCAAGCTGGAGTGCAGTGGCACAGTCACAGCTCACTGCAGCCTCGACCTCCTGGGCTCAAGTGATCCTCCCACCTCCATCCCCTTTAGTAGCTGAGACTACAGGTGCATGCCACCAAGCCCAGCCAATTTTGTTTTTTTATTTTTTGTAGAGATGTGGTCTCCCTATGTTGCCCAGGCTGGTCTCAAACACCTGGGCTCAAGTAATCATCCCGTCTCAGCTGCCCAAAGCCCTGGGATTACAGGCATGAGCCACTGCACCTGGCCAGTGTTTCAAGTTTTGAATGAAAAGATGTAACAATACCAGGGGTCTTGATAGAAGATAGTGTAGTCTCCTAAGGGTACAGGAGGAAAGGGGTTTTTGGCTGCCAGGCCTCCATCCTCCCAGCCTTGCCAAGGTGTGATCTACTGGGAGGAGTTGTTTATGCCTATGCTGGCAGCCAGACTTCCTGTGCTCCTGCTCCCTTGACTTTCAGATGTTATCTTACACCTTGGCGTATGGCATCCTCAGCTTCCTGAGCAGATGGGTTTCTTCCCCAGTCTTTGGAAGAGCAAAGCTGAGTGTCGTGTTGGATGGGGTATTAGGTTCCTATTGCTACACACAATTAAAACAACACAAATTTTTTATCTTGCAGAAGATCAGAAGTATTAGAATGGTTGCTAATACCATTACTTTTAATGCCAAAAAACGCAATTTCCCCAGGCCAGAAGCGGTGGCTCATGCCTGTAATCCCAGCACTTTGAGAGGTCCAGGCGGGTGGATCACCTGAGGTCAGGAGTTCGAGATCAGCCTGGCCAACGTAGTGAAACCTCCTCTCTACTAAAAACTACAAAAATTCGCTGGGTGTGGTGGTGCACACCTGCAGTCCCAGCTATTCGGGAGGGTGAGGCAGGAAAATCGCTTGAACCTGGGAGGCGGAGGTTGCAGTGAGCCTGAGATCGTGCCACTGCACTCCAGCCTGGGCAGCAGAGTGAGACTCTGTCTCAAAAAACAAACAGGCCGGGTGCGGTGGCTCACTCCTGTAATCCCAGCACTTTGGGAGGCTGAGGCGGGTGGATCACCCGACGTCAGGAGCTTGAGACCAGCCTGGCCAACATAGTGAAACCCCGTCTCTACTAAAAATAAAAAATTAGCTAGGCGTGGTGGCGTGTGCCTGTAGTCCCAGCTACTCGGGAAGCTGAGGCAGGAGAATCTCTTGAACCCAGGAGGCAGAGGTTGCAGTGAGCCAAGATTGCGCCACTGCACTCCAGCCTGGGAGGTTGCAGTGAGCTGAGATCGCGCCACCGCACTCCAGCCTGGGCGACAGTGAGACTCCGTCTCAAAAAAAAAAAAAAAAAAACAGTTCCTCGTGCACCAACCTAATATAAGATGAATTGCAGGGCTGTGTTCCCTTGCCTTTTCTGGCTTCTAGAAGCCACCTGCATCCCTTGGCTCAGGGCCCCTTCCTTTACCTCGAGAGCCGGCAGCATAGCATCTTCCAGTCTATCTCTGTGTGACCTCTGCTCCCATTGACACAACTCTTCTGACTCTGACCTTCCTGCCTCCCTCATATAAGGACCCTGTGATGACATTCACCCCACCCAGAGAACCCAGGACAATCTCCCCTTCTCAAAATCCGTAATCATATCTGCAAAATCCCTCTTGCCATATAGGGTAACACGCACTCACAAGTTCCAGTGATTATGACGTGGACATCTTTGAGGGGTTTTGCCAACCACAGATGATTAGGCAAACTTAGTCTGGGAACAGTGGCTTTTGGGCTCCAGAACCTTCATTTCTGACTCCTACTCCCTCCCCAGCTCTACCCAAATGAACACAAACCAGGAACCAGCCTTCCACCAAAGAAGCATTTGTGGAGTGAGGCTGGGGTGGAGACATGTTTCTGTAGACTTTGTGGTGGTTGGTTTATCCAGCAGAAGCCCCTACAAAGAAAATTGGTTTCCATTTTTGAAAATTACCCTAAAGGGAGAAATTGGCAACTTTGCTAAACATAGTAATTACAGGATCGCAAAACCCCAACTTTGCACCTGAGGAAGGGGTGGAAGCAGACCGGCCCATCCATCTGCAGCCTGGCAGAATTCCCCACACTGCTTTGCAGGAAGGGCTTGCTGCTGGCACAGGTCCCCTGGGCACAAAATGGAGGTGGGAAATGTGTGGCCCTCCCAGGTCCTGTCCTGTGCCAGGCTGGACCAGGCCAGCCACACTGAGAACCACAGCTAGCAGGAAGAGCCGTTCAATGGGAACAGTCCACAGGCCCCTGCTGACATTAGCTCCCATGTGGGCCCAAAGTGGGTTCTGGTCTGGTCAATATCCAGTCCCACATCCTGGATACTCGTGAGGAGAGAGGCGGGTCCCCTTCTGCCGAGGCTACAGCCAGCACCCCCATTCCACCCCACTCCGCTTTTGTGTTTACCTGCATGGGTGCCCTGGTTCAGAGACCTCAAGGGAAGAGAAGCCCAACAGCTGTGTGTCAAACCACCTCAGGCAGTTCCCAAAAGGAAAGCTGGGAACCAGGAAGCAGGAGCCGGCACCTCTGCACAGGGAGCAGGAAGGCAGAGCTGCATTGATCTCCTAGCAGCCAAGCTGGAGCATCAGGCTGAGGGGATGGGTGTGTGCACAGTTTTCCAGGGGCTTTTTGTTTTGCAATGTTTTCCACTTTCACATTTCTCAAAAGCTAAAATGTGACCTTGGGTGGGTCCCAAAGCAAACAGACAGTGGGCTGAACGTGGCCCTGGGCCAGGCAGGGGATTTGCACTAATGGCCTGGGCTGTTTCCACCCACCTGAGGGTGGAACCTCATCTGTGCTACAGGACAGTGAAGTCCTTTGTCACCCTGGTCACAAACAAGCACAAGCTGCCTTTGGAGACACCCCGTTGAGGCACCCAGCTGGCCACTCAGGGGTTCACTCCTTTCCTCTATTTTTTTTTTTTTTTTTTTTTTGAGATGGAGTCTTGCTCTGTCACCCAGGCTGGAGTGCAGTGGCGCAATCTTGGCTCACTGCAACCTCCGTCTCCTGGGTTCAAGCGATTCTCCTGCCTCAGCCTCCTGAGTAGCTGGGATTACAGGCATGCACCACCATGCCCGGCTAATTTTTATATTTTTAGTAGAGACGGTGTTTCTCCATGTTGTTCAGGCCAGTCTCGAACTCCTGACCTTGTGATCTGCCCGCCTCGGCCTCCCAAAGTGCTGGGATTACAGGCGTGAGCCACTGCGCCCCACCCCACCCCTTTCCTCTTTTACCTAAACATGCAGTCGCTCAGACTTCCTCGATTGATGCCAATTAGTGGGGGGACTTGGGGGCAAAGGAGGGTGTGGACGTCCTATTTTGACAAGCTGGAAAAAGACATGGAGCCCGGAGCAGGGATTGCCCTCCCCTGTGTTCATTATCCACATGCCAAAAAATAGAAATTCCCCTCCCCTGGAGGCTTGTCTTCTGAAGGTCAAACCCTTCAATTCTTTCCAGACACAACCCTGGTAATTTAAGTAATGATTAGACAGGATGGGCTGGACAGCTGGGGCTGGGGAGGGGTGCTTAGGACAAGGGACGCCTAATTCCAGGCTGGTGCCCATGAGCTTTTGTGCAGCTACAGGAGTGACGCTAGGCTGATCCGACAGGAGAGCTGTTTCAGACAGCAGAGTTCCTTGTTCTCTTTGCTCATTGCCCTAAAGTCCTGATCACGGCAACGTGACTGGCATCTTGAGAATGAGTTAAGATGTCATTTTTCCTTCAAGGCACCATTTGATGATCCTAGCAGTGCCTGAAACTCACCATTTTGAAACTGAATGGGTAACCAAGTGATTACCTTTATAAGGGCTGGAGAGTTTGATTTTTTAATTTTATTTTGTTAACATATTTTTTTGAGACAGAGCCTCACTCTGTCACCCAGGCTGGAGTGCAGTGGTGCGATTTTGGCTCACTGCAACCTCCACCTCCTGGATTCAAGAGATTCTCCTGCCTCAGCCTCCCAAGTAGCTGAGATTACAGGCGGCTGCCACCACTCCCAGCTAATTTTTGTATTTTTAGTAGATACAGGGTTTCTCCATGTTGGTCAGGCTAGTCTTGAACTCCTGACCTCAGGGGACCTGCAAGTTTGATATTTTAATGTCTCTGATACCTCAACGCATGCAGGCTAATACTGAAATTATTTTAAAAAACAAAATTGAGGGGCTGGGCGCAGTGGCTCACGCCTGTAATCCTAACACTTTGGGAGGCCGTGGCGGGCAGATCACCTGAGTTTGGGAGTTCGAGACCAGGCTGACCAACATGGAGAAACCCCGTCTCTACTAAATATAAAAAAAAATTAACCGGGCGTGGTGGCGCATGCCTGTAATCCCAGCTACTCCGGAGGCTGAGGCAGGAAAAGTGCTTGAACCCGGGAGGCGGAAGTTGTGGTGAGCCGAGATGGCGCCATTGCACTCCAGCCTGGGCAACAAGAGCAAAACTCCATCTCAAAAAAAAAAAAAAAAAAAAAAAAAAAAAAATTGAGAGGGCCCAGAGAGTGCTCCTTTCAGATCAGTGAGGAGCATACAAGTGGCTGGAGGACATACCTTTTCTTTTCTCTTTTCGCATCTTCCCTAGAACTATAATCAGCAAGGTTCTGCACACAAAAATCCTCAAGAAATGCCCGCAGGCAGACCTCTCCCATTGGAATCGCTGGCAGATGCAGCACGGCACCCCAGGGAGGGAGCCGGGTGCATTGCAGCAATGGAGGGCCAGGAAAGGCACCGTCCAACACTCCACCTCCTCCTGGCTGGGCACAGCAGGCTGATGGGTCCCTTGAGGTACAGATGGTCCCAATGCAGAGTTAAAAAGACACATCAGTCTTCGTGACTCTGCATGGCCTAGAAAAATCTATAGCATCAGGACGTGCGGCATTTGCAAACAAGCACAAACCATTTAAGACTGGGTTCAGTGGCACACGCCTATAATCCCAGCATCTTGGGAGGCTGAGGCGGGCGGATCACCTGAGATCAGGAGTTTGAGACCAGCCTGACCAACATGGTGAAACCCCGTCTCTACTAAAAATACAAAATTAGCTGGGCGTGGTGTCACATGCCTGTAATCCCAGCTACTCAGGAGGCTGAGGCAGGAGAATTGCTTGAACCCGGGAAGCGGAGGTTGCAGTGAGCTGAGGTTGCGCCACTGCACTCCAGCCTGGGCAACAAGAGCGAAACTCCGCCTAAAAAAAAAAAGACCGAGTTCCGATTCCAATTGCCGTGTGACAAGTATCTGCCATTACTTGACTCTCAGATTGAGAATTTTGAGCTTCTAAAGAAAGAAAACACTCAATAACTGCAAAAGATGATAAACTCAGGGTTGGCTCTGCCTCCTTTCAGCTCTTGGCAGGCGTGTCATTCCTGAGGGAAGAGGCATGTGCAGTCCCACTAGCAGATCTGTCACCTCAATTTGCAGCCTTTAGTGGTATAGGAGCATGCCGCCTGGGAAAGGCTGAGCGGGAGCCAGGAGCCACAGCAAAGCCCAGGACGCTGAAGAGCGTGCTTGTCTCGGAGGCCTGAGTCTTTTTTTTTTTTTTTTTTTGAGACAGGGTCTTGCTCTGTCACCCCAGGCTGGAGTGCAGTGGCGCCATCTCAGCTCACTGCAACCTCCGCCTCAAATCTTTTTTTTTTTTTCTTCCGGATGGGGTCTCACTCTGTCACCCAGGCTGGAGTGCAGTAGCGCTATCCCAGCTCACTGCAACTTCCACCTCCTGGGCCCAAGCAATCCTTCCACCTCAGCTTCCTGAGTAGCTGGGACTACAGTCACGCACCACAACCCCCAGCTACTTTTTTTTTTATTTTGTATTTTTTCTAGAGACTGGGTCTCACTCTGTTACCCAGACTAGTCTCAAACTCCTGGACTCAAGCAATCTGCACACCTCGGCCTCCCAAAGTGCTGGGATTACAGGCATGAGTCACACCTGATCAATTTAGTTTTTAAAAGCATGCTTGGAGCCGGGCGCGGTGGCTCGCGACTGTAATCCCAGCACTTTGGGAGGCCAAGGCGGGCAGATGACGAGCTCAGGAGTTCGAGACCAGCCTGGCCAACATGGTGAAACCCCATCTGTACTAAAAATACAAAAATTAGCTGGGCATAGTGGTGCGCGCCTGTAGTCCCAGCCTCTTGGGAGGCTGAGGCAGGAGAATTGCTTGAACCTGGAAGGTGGAGTTTGTGGTGAGCCGAGATCGTGCCACTGCACTCCAGCCTGGGCAGCAGAGCGAGACTCCGTCTCAGAAAAAAAAAAAAAAGAAGCATGGTTGGGTGGCTGTCTGGGTGACGGCTGCTGCAGGAGGGCAGTGTGGCAGGGGTTTCTCATCTGCAAGGACCCTGAGCAGAACAGCAGGAACCTAATTCTAGTTCTAAACCAACAGCCTGCGTGTCACGTATGCTCAAGGAAGGCTGGCATGTCACCCATGAAAATGGTCTTCACAGATGTGGAAAACTAAGCCAGATTTACCAACCGGTGCTTGAGAAAAATGTCTTTTAGAATGAGAGACTCAGATTCCTTAAAAAATTAAGCATAGGGTTACTATATGACCTAGTAATTCCACTTCTAGTTCTGGTCTGTACCTAAGAGAGATAAAAACATGTCCACACAAAAACTCATCCAGGAATGTTCATAGAAGCATTATTCACAATAGTCAAGAGGTGGAAACAACCCAAATGTTGATGGATGACTGGATAAAGAAAATGTGGCCTAGTCACACAATGGAATATTATTTGTCCATAGAAGGGAATGAGGTCCTGACACATGCTACAGCGTGAATGAACTTCGAAAACATGACGCAGAGTGAGAGTCCAGATGCAAAAGGTCACCTATTGTATGAGTCAATTTCTACGAAATGTCCAGAATAAGCAAATTTGTAGACAGAAGGCAGGTTGGTGGTTGCCAGAGACTCTGGGGAGAGGGAGAATGAGGTAGAACTGCTTACTGGGCATGGGATTTCCTTTTGGGGTGATGAAGATGTTTTGGAACTACATAGACGTAGTGGTTTCACAACGTTGTGAGTGTACTTAATGCCACTGATTATGCACTTTAAGATGTTATGTGAATTTCACCACAGATTATTTATTTTTCTTTTTATTATTATTATTTAAAATGTCCGCTATTTAAAAAGGAATCTTGGCTCGCTGCAACCTCCGTCTCTCTGGTTCAAGTGATTTTCCTGCCTCAGCCTCCCCAGTAGCTGGGACTACAGGCGCGTGCCACCACGCTCGGATGTGGTAAGTACTAAGAGGACTCCTGAGTTTGGCCTCGGGCTATCCCTTAAGAAAAGCTGCTTTCTGGAGAGAAGGCAACAGATGCACACAAGGGTGCCTGCCTAGGGAATGGCTGAGGGCCGCATCTACTTCTGGGGTCATTTAGCACTGAGGTTTCCAACTAGGGAGCACGTAGGAATCACCTGCAGAGCCTGTGCCCCACTGCCAATGACTATGACTTCACTCACTGCTCTGGAATTTTTCATTTTCTTTCTTTCTTTTTTTTTTTTTTTTTTTTTTTTGAGACAGGGTCTCTGTCACCCAGGTGGGAGTGCAGAGGCACAAACACAGCTCACTACAGCCTCAACCTCCTGGGCTCAAGCAATCCTCCCACCTCAGCTTCCCGAGTAGCTAGGACCACAGGGGCATGCCACTGTGCCCAATTTTTTTTTTTTTTTTTTTTTTTTGGTAGAGACAGAGTCTCACTATGTGGCCCAGGCTGGCCACTCTTGAGCTCAAGTGATCCTCCCACTACAGCTTCCCAAAGTACTGGGATTATAGGCATGAGCCACTGTACCCAGCCTGGTCTGGAATTTTCCAGAGTTCCCCAGTGATTCTAAGGTACAGACAAGTTTGGGAACTACTGACTTAGTATAAAGGAAGGCTGTTTTCCAAGTAGATGAACAAACTAAATAAGGATTCAGGGAGATTTGTGTAATTGCCACAGAAAACTTCTTGAAAGGCATTAGGCCGTGCACGGTGGCTCACACCTGTAATCCCAACACTTTGGGAGGCTGAGGCGGGCGGATCACTTGCGATCGGGAGTTCGAGACCAGCCTGGCCAACATGGCGAAACCTCATCTCTACTGAAAATACAAAACTTAGACGAGCATGGTGGTGGGCGCCTGTAATCCCTGCTATTTGGGAGGCTGATGCAGGAGAATTGCCTGAATCCAGGAGGCGGAGGCTGCAGTCAGCTGAGGTCGCACCGCTGCACTCCAGCCTGGGTGACAAGAGCAAAACTCTGTCTCAAAAAAAGAAAAAAAAAAGAAAGGCATTAGGAACTATAGTGATCCCAGTGACTATTTCACATCTGGAAATGAATCAGGCATACTGCAGAAATGACACATACTATTATAATCTCTCCCCACATCCTCCCAGACACCGGCGTGGGAATGTGGGAACAGTGACAGCACTGGCTGCCACCCAGGCTCTACGAGAAGCGGGGTCAGGCCTGGCTTTGCCGTTCCTACAGTGGCTCCCGCTAGGTGGTGTCAAAGCAGGCGCTCTTGTGAATTAAAAAAAAAAAAAAGCTAAATTAAATCCTATTTCCCTGTTGAACAGTAATACAATTTTGAAAATGCATTTTTCTTAAGAGCTAATTGGTATTTAATTACTGAGGGAGTCTATTTTCCCTAGTGTGTAAAATGAAGATAAACTTACCTTCCTACCATGAGGACTTTGAGACCGCACCCTGGTGGCCAGCTAGGATGTTAGCCTAGAATTTTCCTGCTGCCTCCACCTCTCGCCGCACTGTTATTTCCCAATATGGGTTAGGTTTCTAAGAACCTGACCGTGTTTCCATGGTGGTAGTTTTGGAATAGCAGCTTGAAATGTGTGAAGGAATGGGAAAGGAATGATGAGAAGAGGAGAATGAAGGAGGAAGCCATGGGTCAGTGGGGAAGGGGAAGGAGGTGCTGGGAAGCTCTCAGGTCAAGGCTACCTGGCTTAGGAGTTGGCTCTATGCACAGTCTGGAACTTGGGCTCATAACGGTGTCCGACTCGTGTCTTTCCACCAGCCCTGATATCCCATTTGTGTGAACCCTTCCTGGATAATCACTAGAAAGACAATTTTTCATCCAAGAAAACAGCATATGTTTCTGAAAGCACTTGACTCCCTGGGGAAGTGTTCACATTATCTGCTTCTGAGTAGTGAACCATCCTAAAGTGCAGTGGCCTGAAGCAGTAATTTACTAACCCCCACTGTGGGCTGCCGGCTGATGGGTCTCAGCTGGGTGGTCCTCACTTGGAGTCTCCGGTGGTTGCAGCGTCAGCGGGGCTAAACATCTGAGACAGCTCCTTACCATGGCGATGATAACAGGCGCTGGCTGTCAGCTGTCAGCTCAGCTGGGGCTGCTGGCCAGAGTGTGGCCCCTTGTGTGACATGGCGGCAGGGCTCCAGGAGGGAATGTCCCAGGAGTAGTCAGTCCAGGAGACCCAGGCCGAAGCTGCAAGGCTTTTCATGCCTGAGCCTCAGACATCCCAGAATGTCCCTTCTACCACTTTTTGGTCAAGCAAGTCACTGAGACCAACCCAGATTCCAGGGACAGGAGTTAGAATCCCCACCGCCTTTTGAAGAGCAGTTCATGCTGTGTCGCCCAGGCTAGAGTGCAGTGGCGCAGTCTTAGTTCACCGTAACCTCTAACTCCTGGGGCTAAAGCAATCTTCCTGCCTCACTTCCCAAGCAGTTGGGACTACAGGCATGCAGCACCACCACCGGCTCACTTCCCTCTCAATACAAGCGGCTAACGTTTATCCAGCTCTTGTTTTGTGCCGGCCCCGGGCTAAGCGATGCACATATGTAGCCAGTTTCATGAAGGACACATGTCCTGTTAAAGTGAACATTAACAAAAGGTTTAATTTTCTCTGATAAACACCACCAGCTCTGTTTGTTCGAAATCTCCATTTCCACTGAGCATAAGATTCCCCACGAGGGCACTCAGTATGATTCCACATTTTTCTAGCCATGTTTTGCTATTAAGACAGCCTAGTGCCGGGCGCAGTGGCTCACGCCTGTAATTCCAGCACTTTGGGAAGCCAAGGTGGGCAGATCACTTGAGGTCAGGAGTTCGAGACCAGCCTGGCCAACATGGTGAAACCCCATCACTACTCAAAATACAAAAATTAGCACAGGGTGTGGAGGTGCATACCTGTAATCCCAGCTACTCAGGAGGCTGAAGCATGAGAATCGCTTGAACCAGAGAGATGGAGGTTGCAGTGAGCCAAGATCGCACCACTGCACTCTAGCCTGAGCGACAGAGTGAGACTGTCTCAAAAAAAAAAAAAAAAATGAAAAAAAAAGTCAATCCTGCCTCAAAAGACCCTCATCCCTTCCCAGCACAGGCGCCAACACTGGGGTGAAGACACGGCACGTCTCTTCCCCCACCGCCCCATCCCTGTGCTGATTCTGTGAGGCTGCGGCAGGAAGGAGAGAAATTGAAAGCAGATGTGATTCCCGCAGGGCCTGATGGGTGGTGGCGCTGCTTTCCCCTTGCTGGGGGCTTTGTTGCAGAGACCAGGCTTTCTCAAGCTCAGCACTGTTGATGTTTGGGGCTGGCTCATTCTCTGCGGCAGGGGCCTGTCAGTGCACTGTTCCTCAGCGTCCCTGGCTTCTGCTCACCAGATGCCAGTAGCAGCCCCCAAGTTGTGACAACCAAAAATGTCTCCGGACCTTGCCAAATGCCCCTGCGGGACACACTTGCCACTGACTGAGAACCAGGGCTCTACTGATTTGGTGTGGCCAAGGGACAGCTGCTCAGGCCTGCTGATGAGAGGCGGTCTCCTAAGCGGCTCCCCTGGGTGACACGTTCTGCTGACTCCAGGAGGTGGCCTCATGCCATATTGCTCTGAGAGGGTACCCCCACTCCCAGTCCCGTAATCCGCAGGACTGGGATTCCCATACTCTGGACTCGACCATACTCTAGACTTGACTCTGGGCCCTTAGGTTCAGCATCCATCTTCTGAAGGGGACCAGGTGCGGTGGCTCACGCCTGTAATCCCAGCACTTTGGGAGGCCGAGATGGGCAGATCATTTGAGGTCAGGAGTTCAAGACCAGCCTGACCAACATGGTGAAAACCTGTCTCTACTAAAAATACAAAAATTAGCCACGTGTCGTGGCCCACACCTGTAATCCCAGCTACTTAGGAGGCTGAGGCAGGAGAATCATTTGAACCTGGGAGGTACAGTGCGGGGGTGGGGGGAGTCCGTCCCGCAGATCCTGACCCAACGACGGATGAATAACTTACACTGACACAGATATTCTGCTTGTCAGTCCAGCTAAGGGTCTGGGCCCCTCACAGACACCAAGGAAGGTGCTGTAAAGAATAGCAGCCATGGCCTCGACTGGCTGGCCCTGCTGGCATTTGTTCAGCACACATTAAATGACAAACGTCTCAAGTAAACACCACTAGAAGGTAATTACCATTGCTCACCCCCCAGGTAGACAGCAATCTTGCACCCATGGATGGTCAAAGGTTAGTCTTAGGACCACGTGGGTAAACAAGCTATTTAGATAGACTCCTCTACATTCCTGTGTTAATTACCCTTGCTATAACTCAAAGAGGATTAGGCTGCCTTCAGCCATAACTCTATTTTGAGGCTTTTGCAAAAACCTTCAGGCCTTCCAAGAAAGTTTGTGTTTATTTTACAATTTCTCCCACCATCCTGACTGAACCCCTCCAGTGGAGGTTGCAGTGAGCCGAGATTGTGCCACTGCACTCCAGCCTGAGCTACAGAGCGAGACTGGTCTCAAAAAACAAACAAACAAACAAAAACGTCTCCTGAAGGGATGGGTGGTCCCAGCCCTCAGTGCTTTCCAAACCTCAGGAGCCCCAGGGCAGAGCAGCCAATGCACAGCCAAGACAGCCAGCAGGAACACAGGTGTGCTTCCCTGCCCTCCCACACACTTGACAGACAGTGATTCCACTGTGTCCCCAACCCCTACAACCTCCATCTGGTTTCAAGAGAAACCAGTCAAGTCCTCTCAAAAGAGTGAGGCTTGGCCGGGCACGGTGGCTAACGCCTGTAATCCCAGCACTTTGGGAGGCCGAGGCAGACAGATCACTTGAGATCAGGAGTTGGAGACCAGCCTGACCAACATGGTGAAACCCCGTCTCTACGAAAAATACAAAAATTAGTTGGGTGTCGTGGCAGGCACCTGTAATCCCAGCTGTTCAGGAGGCTAAGGCAGGAGAATCACTTGAACCCGGGAGGCGGAGGTTGCAGTGAGTCGAGATCGCGCCATTGCACCCCAGCCTGGGTGACAGACCGAGACTCTGTCTCAAAAGAAAAAAAAAAAAGAGTGAGGCTTGCTCAGGCATGGCTCACACTTGTAATCCTAGTACTTTGGGAAGCCGAGGCAGGCAGATCACCTGAGGTCAGGTGAGAGAGAGAAAGAGAAAAATGAGGGGCTGGGCGGGGTGGCTCACGTCTGTAATCCCAGCACTTTGGGAGGTCAAGGTGGGTGGATCACCTGAGGTCAGAAGTTCGAGACCAGCCTGACCAACATGGTGAAACCCCGTCTCTACTAAAAATACAAATATTAGCCAGGTGTGGTGGCAGGCGCCTATAATCCCAGCTACCCGGGAGGATGAGCAGGAGAATCACTTGAACCTGGGGGTTGGAGGTTGCAGTGAGCTGAGATCACGCCACTTCTTTCCAGCCTGGGCGAAAGAGCGAAACTCCATCTCAAAAAAAAAAAAGATTGAGGCCTTTTCTCACAGACACCAGCTCTCCCCAAAAGGTGGCCCCTTCCCTCACTTCTCTCCCTCTTTCTTTCAGGGCAGGTGCAATGACATTTGACACCAACTACCTGGGGTTGGGCCTCAGGTGATGCCTTCCTCCACAGGACAGCCCTCACTTCAGACACCAGCTGCAAGTTCAGGGTCCTCACTTTTGACCAGATGGCCTCAAATTCAGGGGTTCCCACCACCCCCTCAGATTCCTAATTCACTAGAATGACTCACAGCACTCAGGTAAATGCTGAAGTTTCATTTACAGTTTTATTACAGCAAAAGAACACGAATCAGAACCAGCCACAGCCAGAAGCACTGCGTCCGGGCTGGGTGGGTCCCCGGTGCAAAGCGCTGTTATCCTCAGGGACACCTTAACCCTCCTGGTACCTCCATCTGTGACAATAGACAGAGCATCACTAACCAGGGAAGCTCACCCGAGCCTCTGTGTAGAGTTGTCCTTGGGGTTTTATATGCAGGCATGATGGAGGAATCATACACCACACACTAAACTCAAGCTCCAGCCCCTCCGTCCCCGGAAGTCAGGCTGATAACAAGTGGCTCAAAGACCCAACCTTCTAATTTTGTTTTCTTTTTCTTTCTGCTTTTTTTTTTTTTTTTTTTTTTGAGACAGGTTCTTGCTGTGTTGTTCAGGCTGGAGTGCAGTGGTGTGATCACGGCTCACTGCAGCCTCAAACTCCTGGGCTCAAATGATCCTCCCTTATGGTCCCTCTTATGGGACCGTAAGCATGCACCAACACACCCAGCTAATTTTTAAATTTTTTTGTTTGTTTGTTTGTTTTGAGACAAGGGCTCCCTCTGTCGCCCAGGCTGGAGTGCAGTGGAAGGATCATAGCTCACTGTAGCCTCAATCACCTTCCATCACCCAGGCTCCAGAGCCACAGCCTTCTAATCTCACGGTTGGTCTTCCTGGACCTAGAGTCATTTGCATAAATGATCGGGTGTCCTCCGAGGCCCGATCGTGAGTAACACAGACACTACTATCACTCAGGAAATTCTGAGGATTTACAGGTTACCTCCCAGGAACCAGGAACAAAAGCCAGTGGAATTCTCAATTCCACACAGGGTTGACAGCGTCAGTGTCGAGAGGCATCTCCCAGCCAGCCCCCTCAGTGGGTGGTTCCCTGAACCAAGAATTGGGGGTGCATTTTATTCTCAGCGGTGGGCTCTCCTAATTCCAGGAAAACGTGGAGGATCACACAGGGCACCTCACTCCTCCTTGTCATCCACTCTCCATCTCATTTAGCTCTCACAGCAACCTCCAGGCAGGGTCAGGCATGAGCCACTGTACCCAGCCTTTTTTTTTTTTTTTTTTTGAGACAGAGTCTCTCTCTGTTTCCCCGGCTGGAGTAAAGTGGTGCGATCTCTGCAACCTCCACATCCTGGGTTCAAGCAATTCTCCTGCCTCAGCCTCCCAAGTAGCTGGAATTACAGGCTCGCGCCACCACACCCAGCTAATTTTTTGTATTTTTAGTAGAGATGGAGTTTCGCCATGTTGCCCAGGCTGGTCTCAAACTTCTGACCTCGAGTGATCCGCCCGCCTCGGCCAGCCAAAGTGCTGGGATTACAGGCATGAGCCACTGTGCCCGGCCTAAGGCTTGATTTATACATTTTAGGAAGACAGAAGTTACAGGAAAAGACATAAATGGACAGAGGTAAGGTATACATTGGCTCAGCCCAGAAAGGTGGGACATCTTGAAGTGGGGGTGGTTTCCAGGTCATAGGTAGATTTCAACATTTGCTGATTGGCAATTTGTTGAAAATGGTAAGCTCTGCCTGAAGAGCTGAAATCAGCTTGAGTTATGGTAAGTGGTGGGTGGTTGTGGAAGCCAAAGTTCTTGTCTTGTAGATGACGCCTTCAGGTAGCAGGCTTCTGAGAGAAGAGATGTGAATGTCACAGGTGCCAGTCTCTCCAGAGAGACCTGAGAAGGGAAGGGGATTCTCTACAGAATGCAGATTTCCCCCATAAAAGAAAGCTTTGGAGGGCCATTTCAAAATATGTCAAAAAAATGTATTTTGGGAGACCAGGCGCGGTGGCTCATGCCTGTAATCCCAACACTTTGGGAGGCCAAGGTGGCTGGTGGATCACCTGAGGTCAAGAGTTCAAGACCAGCCTGGCCACCATGGTGAAACCCCATCTACTAAAAATACAAAAATTAGCTGGGCATGGTGGCAGGCACCTGTAATCCCACTACTCGGGAGGCTGAGGCAGGAGGCCAAGGTTGCAGTGAGCCAAGATGGCACCATTGCACTCCAGTCTAGACAAGAGCGAAACTCCATCTCAAAATTTAAAAAAAGAAATATACTTTGGGGAAAATCCTTTTGTTACTGGTGGAGGGTGTCCAGGTTTTTGGTGTCTTAAATAATTGTACAAAATTCACAAACAAACAAAGGAAAGAATGAAGCAACAAAAGCAGAGACTTATTGAAAACAAAAGTACAGGCCGGGCGCGGTGGCTCACGCCTGTAATCCCTGCAGCATTTTGGGAGGCCAAGGCAGGCGGATTACTTGGGGCCAGGAGTTCGAGACCAGCCTGGCCAACATGGTGAAACCCCGACTCTACTAAAAATACAAAAATTAGGCCAGGCGCGGTAGCTCATGCCTGTAATCCCAGCACTTTGGGAGGCCAAGGCAGGCGGATCACGAGATCAGGAGTTCAAAACCAGCCTGGCCAATATGGTGAAACCCCCATCTTTACTAAAAATACAAAAATTAGCTGGGCGTGGTGGTGCGTGCCTGTAATTCCAGCTACTCAGGAGGCTGAGGCAGAAGAATCGCTTGAACCCAAGAGGCGGGGTTTGCAGTGAGCTGAGATCGTGCAGCTGCACTCCACCCTGGGCAACAGAGGAAGACTCTGTCTCAGAAACAAAACAAAACAAAAATTATCTGGGCGTGGTGGCGATGCCTATAATCCCAGCTACTCAGGAGGCTGAGACATGAGAATTTCTTGAACCTGAGATCGTGTCACTGCATTCCAACTTGGGTGACAGGGCAAGACTCTGTCTCAAAAAAAAAAGAAAAAACAAAACAAAAGTACACTCCACAGGGTGAGAGCAGCCTGAGCATAGGGGCTAATTTTTGGGGGTTTAAATACCCTCTAGAAGTTTCCATTGGTTACTTGGTGTACGCCCTATGTAAATGAAGGGATGAAGTAAAGTTACAAAGTCATTCACTCGGTGTACGCCCTATGTAAATGGAGAGGATATTTCCTGTCATAGTTGAAGTGTTTCCATTTGATTCAGTTCTAGGAAGTCCTTAGAGTCCCTGCTTCCAGATCCTATTCTCCTGTCTCACTTTGATTGCCTTTTTTTTTTTTTTTTTTTTAAGAGACAGGGTCTCACAGCTCACTGCATCCTCAACCTCCTGGGCTCAAGGGATCCTCCCACCTCAGCTTCCCAATTAGCTGGGAATACAGACATGAACCACCATGCCCAGCTAACTTTTGTGTTTTTTGTAGAGATAGGGTTTCACCATGTTGCCCAGGCTGGTCTTGAATTCTAGGCTCAAGCCATCCGCCCGCCTTGGCCTCCCAAAGTGCTGGGATTACAGGCGTGAGCCACCACGCCCAGCCTTATTTTTTTTACTATTTTATTTTTTGAGACAGGGTTTTGCTCTTGTTGCCCAGGCTGGAGTACAGTGGCGCCATCTCAGCTCGCTGCAACCTCTGCCTCCCAGCTTCAAGCAATTCTCCTGCCTCAGCCTCCTGAGTAGCTGGAATTGCAGGCATCTGCCACCATGCCCAGCTAGTTTTTTGTATTTTTAGTAGAGATGGGTTTCACCATGTTGGCCAGGCTGGTCTCAAACTCCTGACCTCAGGTGATCCTCCCGCCTTGGCCTCCCAAGGGAGGCTGGGATTATAAATGTGAGCCTCCATGGCCGGCCCATAGCTGCCTTTGGACATTTGCATTGTTTGGGGGTTTTTAGCTCTCATAGACCTGGACCCTCTTGAACTGACAAATTTGGCACAGTTGAGCCAAGAACCTTGTGACTTCCTGAATCATTTGCCTCCTGAGTTGTTATAATGTCTCCTTAGTGTTTGCCTCCTGCCTTCTCAGCCCCTACAGCCCTGGCCTTTTTCCTTGCTCCGTTTCTGTCTCTTCCACCCCATCTTGCCAGTGCAGCTATGAATCCGGCCATAGGGGCAAGGAAGCATGTCATTTGGCAGGAGCTTCTGCGGTGCACAGAGAGAAGGCACTAGAAGCCCCTTGAGGGTTTCCACTTGAACCAAAGTCTTCAATGATGTTCGGGCATTTCAGACCCCCTCAAATGCCTCCAAAGACTCCCACCAAGAGCTACTGAAACCGAGGCATAGGTGAGGTCGAGGACTCAGTGCCTTGTGATTCCATTTCAGATTTTCCAGAGACCAGCCCAGCAGCTGCTGCCTACCACTGTCCTTGCTGAAGCTGGGAAGGGTCACTCCTAGCAGGCTTGGCTCTGTCTGCCTGTATTTTGCTCCTGCCCCCAGCATGGTTTCTGGTACCCTATAGAGAGAATCAGCTTAGAGATCCAAGTTGGTATTATTTTTAGAAATAAAGATCACTCAGTCCCAGCTTGCTGAGGCTTGTTTGGAGAATGAAAACAGGGAAAGGCCTCATATTTTTCCAAAGTTCAAGTTGGAGTGGCGCAACGTGGATGCAAAACTTCTGAATTATTGCCTGAAATGTTCTTTATCCTTGCAAAGACTGACCTTGTCTTCCAATTAGTTCCTCCCTTGGGGACAGGGCTGAGCAATCCTAAACACACCCCTCTTTGTCTTGTCCTGTTTGTTCCTGGACAATATTTCATGCCAAATCTCTACTTATGCCACCCTTTGTCTTCTAGTTTCTAGTACAGAGGAGATCTTTCTATAATTCATGCCGAAACTGGCCCGGTTAACAAGCAGCTCATTTTTTAAAACTTGAAAACTGAAATAGGGTTGTAGATGCAAAATGTCATTTTGTGGAGGCACAGCTGTCTTCGTTCTGGCAGGAGGTATCCAGCTGGTCTGGAACCTCAAGAGTCAGTCTGGTCTTATAAAGAGAAACGGTAAAAAAAACAAAACTGGTCAAGTGAAGTCTCACTTCAAACGTCAAAAAAGACATGTTAAGGCCGGGCGCGGTGGCTCACGCCTGTAATCCCAGCACTTTGGGAGGCCGAGGCGGGCGGATCACAAGGTCAGGAGTTCAAGACCACCCTGGCCAATATGGTTGAAACCCCATCTCTACTAAAAATACAAAAATTACCCAGGCGTGGTGGCGCATGCCTGTAATCCCAGCTACTTGGGAGGCTGAGGCAGGATAATTGCTTGAACCCAGGAGGCGGAGGTTGTGGTGAGCCGAGATTGTGCCGTTGCACTCCAGCCTGGGTGACAAGAGCAAAACTTCATTTCAAAAAAAGAAAAAATCAGCCGGGCGCGGTGGCTCATGCCTGTAATCCCAGCACTTTGGGAGGCCGAGGAGGGCGGATCACAAGGTCAGGAGATCGAGACCATCCTGGCTAACACGGTGAAACCCCGTCTCTACTAAAAATACAAAAAATTAGCCAGGCGTGGTGGCGGGCGCCTGTCGTCCCAGCTACTCAGGAGGCTGAGGCAGGAGAATGGCGTGAACCCGGGAGGCGGAACTTGCAGTGAGCCGAGATTGTGCCACTGCACTCCAGCCTGGGTGACAGAGCAAGACTCAGTCTCAAAAAAAAAAGAAAGAAAGAAAGAAAAAAATCCCTGACCCATCAGTAAAAATGAAGACTCTGTGGAAGTTGTCAGAAGCAAAATTGAGTCACTTGTGTTAAAACAAAACAAAAAGCTCTGACAAATAGAGCTGGGAAAGGCTATAAAGAGAAGGTTCTTATGCATAAATGCCAGATAACAAAAACTATCACGGAAGACTCAGCAAAAATCACAACCTTGCACAAAGGCCACTGAAACCTTACACAAAAAATACTTCTGCGAGGGCATCTGCCCAGCAACTGCCTGTACAACCTGGCACTGGGTCACACTTGTTGTTGATCCTTGTAGCCAAGGAAAATTATCCCAAAACAATTGTGTAATCCCCCTCAATCTTCCTCTAAAAACGTTCGTCCTCCTTTACCTAGTTGGATACACACATAGTTTACTATGGCACACATATTCCCATTGTCATGCCCGATCCCAAATAAACGTTGCTTTATTTCAGAGAGTCTCTCTCTCTTTTTTGTTTTGAGACAGAGTCTCACTCTGTTGCCCAGGCTGGAGTGCAATGGGGCGATCTCGGCTCACTGCAACCTCAGCCTCCCGGATTCAAGCGATTCTCCTGCCCTAGCCTCACTAGCAGCTGCGAATATAGGCGGATGCCACAACACCCAGCTAATTTTTGTATTTTTAGTAGAGACAGGCTTTCACCATGTTGGTCAGGCTGGTCTCGAACTCCTGACCTCAGGTGATCCTCCCACCTCGGCCTCCCAAAGTGCTGGAATTACAGGCGTGAGCCACCATGCTGGGCCACAAATTCTGTTTAACAAGATTAAATCTGACTCCAAGTCCTCTGCCAGGACTGGTACATAAAAGAGCCCCAGGGCCTTCCGCAGTTCCTGAGCTTCAAGGAGAGCCTCCGGTCTTCATTCTTTCCTCATCTTTATGAGAGTCCCCAGGGTACTTGTTGGAGTCCCCACCTCCTCGTCCAACTGTCCCTTCAATTTGTGAGGACTCCCCCTCTCCAAGGCTGGGGCACTCAGGGACACTTCAGTTCTTGCCTTTGGGAATTTAGGCTTTCAATAATAAAAGCCTCAATTCCAGCTGCTCGGGAGCGTCATTTGAACCCAGGAGTTTGAGTCCAGCCTGGGTAACATAGTGAGACCCTGTCTCTTAAAAAATAAATAAATAAAAATAATAAAAGCCTCTTAAGGGAGTCTCAGGTCCTCAAACACGTCCCTGTGCGCCTTCTTTCTCTTAAGACATGCAGGAAAATATGACTCAGATAATGTCTAAGTCAGGTTATTTTGCCACTTTGTTTATGAGCATTTCCCCATCATCAATGATTCTTTTAAAAGCAAACCTTTTTTTTTTCGTTTGAGACAGTCTTGCTCTGTCACCCAGGCTGGAGTGCAATGGTGTGGTCTTGGCTCACTGCAACCTCCACCTCCCGGGTTTAAGTGATTCTCATGCCTCAGCCTCCCGAGTAGCTGGGATCCGAGGTGCTCCTCACCACATCTGGTTAATTTTTGTATTTTTAGTAGAGATGTGGTTTCGCCATGTTGGCCAGGCTGGCCTTGAACTCCTGATCTCAGGTGATCCACCTGCCTTGGCCTCCCGAAGTGCTGGGATTGTAGGCGTGAGCCATTGTGCCAGACAAAGCAAACGTTTTTTTTTTAATTTTAATTTATTATTTATTTATTTAGAGACAGGGTCTCGCTCTGTGGCCCAAGCTAGAGTGCAGTGGCGCAATCTCGGCTCACTGCAACCTCCACCTCCCAGGTTAAAGCGATTCTCCTACCTCAGCCTCCTGAGTAACTGAGATTACAGGTGCCTGCTACCACACCTGGCTAATTTTTGTTATTTTTAGTAGAGATGGGTTTTGCCATGTTGGCCAGGCTGGTCTCAAACTCCTGACCTCAGGTAATCCACTAGCCTCGGCCGCCCAAAATGCTGAGATTACAGGCATGAGCCACCATGCCCAGCCTTGTTTGATTAATTGATTGATTGCTTGATTGATTTTGAGATGGAGTCTCGCTCTGTCGCGCAGGCTGGAGTGCAATGGCGTGATCTTGGCTCGCTGCAACCTCCACCTCTGGGTTCAAGCCATTCTCCTGCCTCAGCCTCCCGAGTAGCTGGGATTACAGGCGCCCACCACCACGCCCAGCTACTTTTTTGTATTTTTAGTAGAGACAGGGTTTCACTATGTTGGCCAGGCTGGTCTCGAACTCCTGACCGTGTGATCTGCCCACCCTGGCCTCTCAAGGTGCTGGGATTAGAGGCGTGAGCCACCGTGCCCAGCTCCAGCCTTTTTTTTTTTTTTTTTTTTTTTTAAAGTGATAGAGTTTTATGATGCTGTCCAGGCTGGAGTGCAGTGGCTGTTCACATTTGTGAGCCTTGAACTCCTGGGCTCAAGGGATCCTCCTGCCTTAGCCTTCTGAGTAGCTGGGACCACAGGTGTGGGCCACCACACCCAGCTCCTAAAAAGCAAACTTTCTGATGGTTGCCAAATATTCCATCATTCGGAGGCATCATCATTTGTATAGCTATTCTGTTATTTGGGGGCATTTCGGTTGTTTCTAATTTTTTAGTGGCTAAATTGAGTAGGTGCTCCTGAGGCCCAACGTGCTATCTTTGGGCATTGAGCAATGAGCTGTTTCTGTCCCTTCACTTCCCTCCTCAGGTACACAGACCCCTGCAATGCTTCTGTGGGAGGGGGGACTGCAGGGGAAACGTGGGTCACAAGCATTGCAGAGGGCTTTGAGCATCAACCTCTTCTGAGGAGGACATGGGAGAAAGCAAGCCAGACCATGGCAGGCCTACGTGTCAGACGGGATGCGTGACACCCTAGGCAGGCTCAGCATGCCTGCTTTAGTCTGTCTGGGCTGCTACAAAATAGACTGGGTGGCTTAAAAAACAGACACTTACTTCTCACAGTCCTAGAGGCTGGAAGTCCCAGCTCAGGGAGCCACATGGTCGGGTTCTGGTGAGGGCTCTCTTCTAGGCTGCAGACGGCCACCTTCTCCCTATGTTCTTACATGGCAGAGAGAGGAGAAGCCCTGATGTCTCTTCCTCCTTTAGGGGCACTAATCCCATCATGGGGTCCCCACCCTCATCTAACTCCAGCTCACCTCCAAACATTCCACCTCCTAGTCCCATCACACTGGGGGTTAGAACTTCAACATATTAATTTTGGGAGGACACAAACTTTCAGTCCATAACAATGACCATTGGCCACCCTGGGCATCCCCACATTGTTGCAAAGCCCATGCTTGTGCTGAGGAGTGGGATCCCGGAAGTGTTACCGGTGGAGGGTGTCCACGTTCTTGGCATCTTGAACAAAGAATTAGACAAAACGCACAAACAAAGCAAGGAAAGAATGAGGCAACAAAAGCAGAGATTTATTGAAAATGAAAGTACACCCCACAGGGTGGGAGTATGCCGAGCATAGGGGCTCAAGAGCCCCGTTACAGAATTTTCTGGGGTTTCAGTACCCTCTAGAGGTTTCCATTGGTTACCTGGTGCACGCCCTATGTAAATGAAGGGAATGAAGTCAAGTTACAAAGTCATTCACTCAGTGTATGCCCTATGTAAATAGGATTATTTCCTGTATGCCCTATGTAAATGGAGAGGATATTTCTTGTCATAGCTGAAGTATTTCCATTTTATTTCGTTCTAAGAAGTCAGCGTGAATTGGCCTTACGTACCCTGCCTCCAGACCCTATTCTCCTGCCTCAGAAGTGTTTCGTGCTCCCCTTTTCAGCAAGCATTTATTTTTAATTTTTTTGAGTCAGAGTCTTTCTCTGTTGCCCATGCTGGAGTGGAGTGGCTCAATCGTAGCTCACTGCAGCCTTGGACTTCCGGGCTCAAGGGATCCTCCTGCCTCATCCTCCCAAGTAGCTGGGGCTATAGGCTGATTAACTTTTTATTGTTGTTATTGAGACAGAGACTCACTCTGTTGCCCAGGCTAGAGTGCAGTGGCACGATCTCGGCTCACTGCAACCTCTGCCTCCTGGATTCAAGTGATTCTTCTGCCTCAGCCTCCGGAGTAGAAGGGACTACAGGCATGTGCCACCACATCTGGCTAATTTTTTTTTTTTGAGATGGAGTCTCGCTCTGTTGCCAGGCTGGAGTGCAGTGGCTTGATCTTGGCTCACTGAAATCTCCACCTCCTGGGTTCAAGTGATTCTCCTGCCCCAGCCTCCCGAGTAGCTGGGACCACAGGCGCGCCACCACCCCCGGCTAATTTTTGTATTTTTAGTAGAGATGGGGTTTAAGCATGTTGACCAGGATGGTCTCAATCTCCTGACCTCGTGATCTGCCCACCTCGGCCACCCAAAGTGCTGGGATTGCAGGCGTGAGCCACCGTGCCCAACCTGTTTTTTTTTTTTTTTTTTTTTTTTGAGAGGAGGTCTCACTCTGTTGCCCAGGCTGGCACAATCTCGGCTCACTACAACCTCCGCCTCCCAGGTTCAAGCGATTCTCCTGCCTTAGCCTCCCAAGTAACTGGGATTACAGTTGCCTGCCACCACACCTGGCTAATTGTGTGTGTGTGTGTGTGTGTGTGTGTGTGTGTGTGTATGAGAGAGAGATGGAGTCTTGCTGTGTTGCCCAGGATGGAGTGCAGTGGCCTGATCTCAGCTCACTGCAACCTCCGCCTCCCGAGCTCAAGCGGTTCTCCTGCCTCAGCCTCTTGAGTAGGTGGGATTACAGGTGTGTGCCACCGCGCCACCACATCTGGCTGATTTTTTTTTTTTTTTTTTGAGACAGAGTCGCGCCCTCGCCCGGTCGTCCAGGCTGGAGTTCAGTGGCACAATGTCAGCTCACTGCAAGCTCCGCCTCCCGGGTTCACGCCATTCTCCTGCCTCAGCCTCCCGAGTAGCTGGGACTACAGGCGCCCGCCACTGCGCCCGGCTAATTTTTTGTATTTTTAGTAGAGATGGGGTTTCACCGTGTTAGCCAGGATGGTCTCGATCTCCTGACCTTGTGATCCGCCCGCCTCAGCCTCTCAAAGTGCTGGGATTACAGGCGTGAGCCACCGCGCCCGGCCACATCTGGCTAATTTTTTGTATTATTAGTAGAGACAGGGTTTCACCATGTTGGCCAGGCTGGTATCGAATTCCTGACCTCGTGATCCACCCACCATAGCCTCCCAAAGTGCTGGGATTACAGGCATGAGCCACCGTGCCCAGCCTAATTTTTGCATTTTTAGTAGAGACAGTGTTTTGCCACCTTGGCCAGGCTTGTCTCAAACTCCTGACCTCAGGTGATCCACCCACCTCAGCCTCCCAAAGTGCTGGGATTAAAGGAGTGAGCCACCACGCTCAGCCAACACCTGGCTAATTTTTGTATTTTTAGTACAGATTGGGTTTCGCCATGTTGCCCAGGCTGGTCTTGAACTCCTGACCTCAAACTATCATCCGCCTCGGCCTCCCAAAGTGCTGGGATTACAGGCATGAGCTACTGCACCTATCCCATTCCCCCTTTTTTTTAAGAAGGTAACAAGGTTTTTGTCAGGGTCTGTGAGCTGGACATGTGTGCAGTGGTTAAATAATTTGGCCTAGGCTGTGCACCCACTGTCCTTTTTTTTTTTTTTTTTTTTTCTAGAGAGCTATTGGAATAGGGGCCAGGCTGCTGCAGGCTCAGGGCAGCTCAACTTCCAAATCCTGTAGCTTCAGACTTGTGGTCCTTCACGACATGCTGAGTCACAATCTACTGCTCCCTCAAGCCCAATGTCACCACAAGCAGAGTCTCTAAAGGACATTCTCAGAAGATGGTACTGTCAATGTGAGAGGCACCTCTCCTCCCCTCGAGTTCTGGTGCAGCTGATAACTAGAGATCTCAAATGCTTCCCTGGGCTTTACTTTCTACTTCAACAAGTACTGATTGCGGGCCTCTGGAGCCCACACACTGCCCTATACACTGGGTAACACGGAGCACTCAGGAATACACGATCTTGGCGGGGCGTGATGGCTGAGGCCTGTAATGTCGGCATTTTGAATGACTGAGGTAGGAGGATGGCTTGAGCCCGGGAGGTAGAGGCTGCAGTGAGCCGTGATCGCGCCACTGCACTCCAGCCTGGGCGGCAGAGGGAGACCCTATTTCAAAAAATAAATAAATAATAATAAAATTAAAAAAAAAAAAAAGGAACTCACGATGTGGCCGTAAAATGGGTTACATCCTAGTTAGGAAAATAGATGTTTGCAAAGGTACATAAATATGCAAGCATCAAAACAATAACAACAACAACAAAAATTTAAAAAATGCAAGCATCTACGTGTGGCACAGTCCCGCGGGCCGGGCGGCTTACTGTGGTTGAGGTCACCAGAAAGACTGTGGAACAGACGCATCGCGAGTGGGTCTCGGAGGGGTGGCGCATATGGAAAGAGGAGAAGGAGGGCTTTTTTGATTGAAAGCGAATACCGGCAAGAGGGCCTTTGGCACGTTCAGGGAACCTTGCCTTACACGCAGACACAGGGTTGGGGATCTGTTCGGAAACGCCTGAAAGATCAGGCTCAGGAGAAGACCACTTTTTGGCCGCTTCAGTACTGCGGTCAACCAGCTGGAAAGAACCCCCGCCCTCTACTTTTCAAATTAATCTCCGGCCGGCGCACGCGCCTCGTGGGGCGGGCGCTGTGCTACCATAGACATGCAGAGCTAGATCGTATACCTCCTCGGAGGCGGACATGTTGGGTCCTGGCCAAAAAGTTGGAAACACCTGGGGCCACTACCGAGGTAGGCTGCTCCTCCCAAGAAAGTGAGACCGAAAGAGCTCCCGTGGAAGCGGTCAAAGCAGGGGCGGGGCGAACCTGTGACATGCCCCTCGGAAGAACAGGCTTTTAGAGAGTCGCCAGGCTCCCTGCCCTCATCCGAGATGGCGGCCTGAGGGCGCTCTAGCCGACGCTCTTCGGATGCCCGGAGGGGGCGGTGGCCTTGCCTCTGGCTCTGAGGCGGCGGCGCCGGGCGCTGCGAAGGCTCGGCCGCTGTAGTCAGTGGTGTGGGGTGCGCAAGGGCACGGACCTCGGAGCTCTCCCCGCTTGCGCCGAGTTTCTCAGCGCCTTCCCCACCCAAACCGGGGTCTCGCAGTCGGAAGCACTCAGAGTGCAGCCCCGCGCGGGGCCGGTCGTAACCGCGCCGCGGGCCGGACGATGCCCAAGAAGCTGCTGCTGTTGCCCCCGCCCTCCGCGTCCTCGGCTTTCCGCGTCCCGCGCGCCCGCCCCGTTCCCCCGCCGGCCATGAACGCCGCTCGCACCGGCTACCGAGTCTTCTCGGCCAACTCCACGGCCGCCTGCACGGAGCTGGCCAAGCGCATCACAGAGTAAGGGGGCGGTGGGAGGGCCGGGCCGGGGGCGGCGGCGCCTAGCTCTCCTTCGCGCCCGGAGGGACCCGCTCCCCTCCACCCGCCCCACCTCCTGCACCTGGGGCGGGAGGCGCGGGCCTTCCCAGCCGGACAAAGCTTGGAGGTGACGGATACCGCCCCCCGCTCCCCGGTTTTGCAGCTGGGAGGCTTGGGGCGGACTCTCGGTGACCTCAGCCCCCCGCCCCGTGACTGGGTCCGCGGCCTGCCTGCCTTTCGTCTCCGCAGTCCCACACCCCGGGGCGGGCCGAGCTTTCTGGAGCCCCGGAGTGCGTGTCTTGGGGAAAGGGGCTCAGGGCTTGGCTTCCTTTCCCACGGCTGGAGTTGACCTGGGAATCTGACCGCCGCCACTCTCAAGTCTCACTGCAGTGAGACCCGCGGGCGTGGTTGTGAGTTGGGGGATCCGACGCGGCAGGTGCGGTCGCAGAGCAAAGGTGTGGGGACTGGCAGTGCGAAGAAGGCAATTCCAGGGAGGCAGATGGGCCGGAGCTGGTGGTAGAAATGACAGGCCTGACCCTGCTTTGTAAATCAGCTTGGGATAAGATCAGTCATTTGTGTCTTTAACCCAACCAAGCCCCTGGTCTTAAGTCGCCTTTGGGGTCTGACAGCTCTGAGATGCCCTCCCAGCCTTGCCACTTACTAGCTCTGTGTCAGTGGGCAAGAGACTTGATTTCCCTGAACCTCATCTGTGAAATGGGCATGGTTGAGAATATTGTATGATCGGGATAATGTAGAAGTAGTATCTGGTTCTAGCAGAGTAGGGGCTCATAGTGGCCCTCTGAATAGTTGTTTACTAAGTGGCCTCTTTTCTTTTTCTTTTTCTTTTCTTTTTTTTTTTTTTTTTTTTTTTGAGACGGAGTCTCGCTCTGTCACCCAGGCTGGAGTGCAGTGGCGAGATCTCGGCTCACTGCAAGCTCCGCCTCCCGGGTTCACGCCATTGTCCTGCCCCAGCCTCCCAAGTAGCTGGGACTACAGGCACCCGCCACCACACCCGGCTCATTTTTTGTATTTTTAGTAGAGACTGGGTTTCACCGTGTTAGCCAGGATGGTTTCGATCTTCTGACCTCGTGATCCGCCCGCCTCGGCCTCCCAAAGTGCTGGGATTACAGGCTTCAGCCACCGCGCCCGGTGAAATGGCCTCTTTTCTAGTTGGCTCTTTTGGAGAATCCCAGAGCTCTGATATAAAGGAGGAGCCTTATATGCCCTTTCTACATACACTTGTTAGAAATCTAAGACATAAAATGAATAGCTCGTCTTTTAATATTTAAAGCCATTTTCACATTTTAAACAGTTTTCATAGAGTTACTTCGTTACTTTTTTAGGGTTGACAAATGATTGCAGGGATATATCTTAAACTTCTGGGGGGAAATGTAGAAGAAAGGGAAAACTTTAGTCATTTTTTTTTCAGCTCTGCTTGTTTTTTTTTTTAATAGTTGGAGTTTTGGAGAGTGGAAGAATGTTAAAAAAACAAATCAATCCTTTTGCAGTCTACTACCTAGTTTCTATTTCTAACCCCTGATTGTTTGTCTTTCTTTCTGAGGCCAACGAAAACACTGACTTTAAACGAAGCTTCTGTGTGTATCTAGTGGTTCAGATTTACCCTACCTGACCTTGAGGGAGAGCAGAGGGGAGCAGGGCACATTTTAAAAGTCAGTGAGGGTTTTTTTTGTTTGTTTGTTTTAGATTCTTTCCTGGCAAATTCCCGAAAGATTTTGAATTACTATAAATGATACATATTCATAAATACTTCCCTTACCTGTTTTACTTGTCGCTCAGTAAGATTTTGTTTTATCTTATCTGTTTTATTTATTTTGAGACAGTCTTGTGTCACCCAGGCTGGAGTGCAGTGGTGCCATCTCGGCTTACTGCAACCTCCACGTCCCAAGTTCAAGCGATTCTCCTGCCTCAGCCTCGAAAGTAGCTGGGATCACAGATGCCCGACACCACACCTGGCTAGTTTTTTGTTTTTTGTTTTTTGTTTTGAGACGGAGTCTCGCTGTCGCCCAGGCTGGAGTGCAGTGGCGCGATCTCGGCTCACTGCAGGCTACGCCCCCAGGGTTCACGCCATTCTCCTGCCTCAGCCTTCCGAGTAGCTGGGACTACAGGCCCCCGCCACCTCGCACAGCTAATTTTTTGTATTTTTAGTAGAGACGGGTTTCACTGTGTTAGCCAGGTTGGTCTCAATCTCCTGACCTCGTGATCCACTCGCCTCGGCCTCCCAAAGTGCTGGGATTACAGGCGTGAGCCACCGCGCCCGGCCACACCTGGCTAGTTTTTGTATTTTTAGTAGAGATGGGTTTCACCACGTTGGCCAGGCTGGTCTCAAACTCCTGACCTCAGACGATCTGGGATTATAGGCGTGAGCTACTGCGCCCGGCCCACCTGGAGTATTTTTAAAAATTGTTATATACATAACATAAAGTTTACCTTTTTAACCGTTTTTTGTTTGTTTGTTTGTTTTTGAGACGAAGTTTTGCTCTTGTTGCCCAGGCTGGAGTGCAATAGAGCCATCTTGGCTCACCCACAACCTCCGCCTCCCGAGTTCAAGTGATTCTCCTGCCTCAGCCTCCCAAGTAGCTGGGATTACAGGCTGCACCACCACACCCCGCTAATTTTGTGTTTTTAGTAGAGACGGGGTTTCTCCATGTTGGTCAGGCTGGTCTCAAACTCCCAACTTCAGGTGATCCACCTACCTTGGCCTCCCGAAGTGCCGCCTTTACAGGCATGAGCCACTGTGCCTGGCCTACCTTTTTAACCATTTTTAAGTGTACACTTCAGTGGCTTTAACTACATTCACAGTGTTGCACAACCATCACCACTATTCATTTCCAGAACTTTTCATCATCCCAAACAGAAACTCTGTACCCATTAAATACTAAGTCCCCATTCCCTGGTAGCCTCCATTCTACTTTGTCTCTATGAATTGCCTATTCTTGGGACTTCATACAAATAGAATCATAGCGTTTGTCTGTGTCTGGCTTATTTTCCTCAGCATACCTTGTCCAAGGCTCCCTCATGTCATAGCACGTACCAGAATTTATTCTTTTTTTTTTTTTGAGACGGAATCTCACTCTGTCGCACAGGCTGGAGTGCAGTGGCACGATCTCTGCTCACTGTAAGCTCCGCCCCCTGGGTTCACGCCATTCCCCTGCCTCAGCCTCCCGAGTAGCTGGGACTACAGGCGCCCTCCACCACGCCCGGCTAATTTTTTGTATTTTTAGTAGAGATGGGGTTTCACCGTGTTAGCCAGGGTGGTCTCGATCTCCTGACCTCGTGATCCGCCCGCCTCGGCCTCCCAAAGTGCTGGGATTACAGGCATGAGCCACTGCGCCTGGCTGCAGAATTTATTCTTTTTTTAAGGCCAAATAATATTCCATTGTATGTGTATACCTGGCTGGAGTTTTGTTGTTTTTTTTTTTTGAGATAAAGTCACCCAGGCTGGAGTGCAGTGGCACAATCTTGGCTCACTGCAGCCCCCGCCTCCCAGGTTCAAGTGATTCTCGTGCCTCAGCTCCCAAGTAACTGGGATTACAGGTGCCCACCACCACACCCAGCTAATTTTTGTGTTTTTAGTAGAGATGGGGTTTTTCCATGTTGCCCAGGCGGGTCTCGAACTCCTGGCCTCAAGTGTTCTGCCCACCTTGGCCTCCCAAAATGCTGAGATTACAAGCATGAACCACTGCGCCTGGCCTGGCTGGAGATGTTAATTTTATTTTTTTTATTATTATTTTTTGAGATGGAGTTTCGCTCCTGTTGCCGAGGCTGGAGTGCGATGGTGTGATCTCGGCTCACGGCAACCTCTGCCTCCTGGATTCTGGCAATTCTCCTGTCTCAGCCTCCTGAGTAGCTGGGATTATAGACGCTCGCCACCACACCCAGCTAATTTTTGTATTTTTAGTAGAGATGGGGTTTTATTATATTAGTTAGGCTGGTCTCGAACTCCTGACCTCAGGTGATCCGCCCACCTCAGCTTCCCAAAGTGCTGGGATTGCAGACGTGAGCCACCGCACCCGGCCTGGAATATTTTTAAATAGATTATCTTACATCATATCATTTCACTTGTAAAAAGAGTAATGCTTACTAATCAGGACTTAAAACCTCACACTACTATTAATTCCTTAATATTATGTAGTATCTAGTCTTTGTCCATATTTCTCTGATTATTTTTTAAAATGGCTTTTTTTTTTTTTGAGACGGAGTTTTGCTCTTGTTACCCAGGCGGGAGTGCAATGGCGCGATCTCGGCTCACCACAACCTCCGCCTCCCGGGTTCAAGCAATTCTCCTGCCTCAGCCTCCCTAGTAGCTGAGATTACAGGCATGCTCCACCATGCCCAGCTGATTTTGTATTTTAGACGGGGTTTCTCCATGTTGGTCAGGCTGGTCTCAAACTCCCGACCTCAGGTGATCCGCCCGCCTTGGCCTCCCAAAGTGCTGGGATTACAGGCATCAGCCACCACGCCTGGCCAAAAATGGCTTTTTACACTTGGTTTATTCTAATTAGGATCCAAACAAGATCCACACCACATTTGGTCAGAGTGCTGAAGCCTCTTTCCTTCTCTATGCTTTTGATAATTGAGGCATTTATCTCTGGTGTGTGTTATTGAAATCATTGCTTGTAACCAAGTATTTGGAAGTGATTTTCCAAGAAAATTACTATTCAAAGAACAACGCGCACCAGACATTAACCATGGGTTGTGAGCTCTGTCTGGTAAAGCAGTATGTTACAACGTGGTGAGCTGCTTATGGAGTGACAGCAGAATTTTAGTTTAATGAATTAGATTTTCTGAATTATTTTTTGGAAAGAATGGCAGCTTAATTATTTGAGTCTTTTTATTAGACATATGCATATGAACTGGAATTTTTTTAAAAAGAGTAATCTTAATTTCCCTTTTTTGTTCTTTTTGATCTATAGGCGCCTTGGTGCTGAATTGGGGAAGTCTGTTGTATATCAAGAGACCAATGGAGGTAAGTTAAAATTATTTCTTTTTTTTAAAATTATTTTTTATTTATTTAGTTTTTTTGAGACAGAGCCTCACTCTGTCGCCCAGGCTGGAGTGCAGTGGCATGATCTTGGCTCACTGCAACCTCTGCCTCCCAGGTTCAAGCAATTCTCCTGCCTCAGCCTGCTGAGTAGCTGGGATTACAGACGCCCGCCACCACACCCGGCTAATTTTTGTATTTTTAGTAGAGATGGGGTTTCACCCTGTTGGCCAGGCTGGTCTCAAACTCCTGACCTCAGGGGACCCTATTGCCTCGGCCTCCCAAAGTGCTAGGATTACAGGCATGACCACTGTGCCCAGCCTTTATTTATTTATTTATTTATTTATTTATTTTTATTAAGATGGGGTCTCACTATGTTGGCCAGGCTGGTCTTGAACTTCTGAGCTCAAGCAGTCTTCCCACCGCAGCTTCCCAAAGTGCTGGGATTACAGGCGTGAGCCACCGCACTCGGCTTCCACCACGTTATTTCTAAAATGCAAATATTTTTTCTTACTACTGCTTCCTTACTCCTACCCTGTAGGCTGGGGTCCAGTCTTTTTAGCAATCACATGGGGCCCTTTGGGAATCCAGATTCTACCCCTTTACCTGCCTCATCTTTGATCCACCCATTACCACATCTTGTGTGCTCTGACTTTGGAATACATCTTATATCTGACCCTTTCTCACAACCTCTGCTGCTCCCACTTAAGTCCAGCCTGCCGTTTGCTGCTTGCTAGACACCTTCCAAAACAGACGCCATGGCCTCCCCGTGGCCACTCCTGCCCTGCCACGGTTTTCTTCACACAGTAGCCAGCAGTCTTTTTAAAACAAGTAGATGAAACCCTTCCCAACCTTAAATCTTCCAGTGGCTTTCCTGTCACTGCTAGAATAAATTCCAGACTCTTCAGCGAGTAAGAAATGAAATCCAGAGTCCTGCAAGTCCTGGCCCCTTGGCTCCCTGACCTCCTGTCTCTCTCTTTCCCCTCACTCTGTCTGCTTTCTTTTTTTTTTTTTTTTTTTTTTTTTTTTGACGGAGTCTTGCTCTGTCACCCAGGCTGGAGTGCAGTGGCATGATCTTGGCTCACTGCAACCTCCACCTCCCAGGTTCAAGCAATCCTCTTGCCTCAGCCTCCCAAGTAGCTGGGATTACAGGCATACGCCACCAAACCCGGCTAATTTTGTATTTTTAGCAGAGACGGGGGTTTTGCCATGTTGGTCAGGCTGGTCTTGAACTCCTGACCTCAGGTGATCCACCCGTCTTGGCCTCCCAAAGTGTTGGGATTACAGGCATGAGCCACCGCGCCCGGCCCACTCTGTCTGCTTTCTAAGTGGACTAACTGCCTGCCCCTCTGCTTGGCACACTCGGATCCCACATCTTCCCATGTTCCCAAACCCCCTTCTGCGCTGCTCGTTCTGGATTGCAGTGAGGCCCTTTTTTCCAGCCCCATTGTTCTTTCTCCTTCGTCATGGCTAGCGTCTCTGGCATATTGGGCCCGGAGGGTTTGCTGGCCTTGTTGTTGTATCATCTCTCCTGGGTCAGTCTTTGTCCCTTCTTCCAAGTCCTGCATTTTGGGGTTCCCAGTACAGTTCCTGACATGGAGGAGGCTTCAGCATTTGTTGAAAAAATAATAAGGATGTCGCCCGGGCTGGAGTGCAGTGGTGCAATCTCAGCTTACTGCAGCCTCTGCCTCCCAGGTTCGAGCAATTCTCCTGCCTCAGCCTCCCAAAGTGCTGGGATTACAGGCGGAGCCACCGCGCCCGGCCAAACTCCCTTTTTCAGTGCACAACCAAAAATCAGAAAGCCACTGTAAAACCCAGTGAACATTTAGCATGTTGTTTAACAACTTTTCACAAGCTGACCCTGACTTTCCGGAAGTGAAATGAATATGGCAGAGTTTATCTGAAGATCCACAGTCTAGAAACGGAACTACTGCTCTTTTGAGGGGCGCCATCTCAGTGGCATCACTGGAAGGTCCAGATTGCCTGCCACACTGGTAATCAATTATGGGGGGGTCAGGTGCCAACAGATGTCTGGCTTTAAGGGATTTAAGTCCATGCTGAAAGGTGGAAAGGGAGAAGAGGACATAGAAACAAATTTGTCTTTTCAGAGCACAAGGCTTTTGTGTGCTGAGGTGGCCATGTGTGTCAAAGTCAGGGAGCCCCTCTTCCTGGGAGCCGAGAGGAAGTCTCTCAAAACTAGAAGGGAAAGGTGCTTTCCCCACATCAATCCAGCTTCGGAGACATTCTATTCATGACATATGCTCCTTTCCCCAGAACAACAATGAAGCGTTCTGTGTGCTAACAACATAGCTTAGAAAACAAAAATTCTGCGTTTTTATAAAACTTGATAAAAAATAGTATTTCAAACTGTACAGTCACCAGAAGTACACAGTTATCCAAAATGCACACGCTTCCCTCAGCATCTCCAGCAGGTGCCTGGTGTGTTCAGGCATCTCCACTTCCCATAGAGTCATTCCCCTCCTCGCCAGTGTCAGCTTTTTCCTTTTTCCCTTGGGTACCTTCTCTCCCTTCTTTGCAGTGGCCTTTTTAGGCCTGGGCTCTGGCTTTGGAGGGAGGAGCAGGTTTAGCAGACAGCCTCACAGATCTTCTCTGTGGTTCGTCTTTCACCTTGGCCTCATCTCCCTTAGCATCCCCTTCAGCCTTTCTCTTGGGCATGGTGGCAACGAAAGCAGCCGGACGTAGGCACTGGGAGCGGGATGCAGTGGCGGTGCACGGACTGCGCTCAGTCGGGGGTCATTCTCGCTTCCTCTTCTTCATACTGCTCCAAGACTTATTCTTTTGCCCCAGATAAAATGTTGGTTTAGATTAATCTTTACTCCCTCCAAATGTTTCTAGCTGTTGCATCATGAGTGCTTTGCTTTTCTGCTTTTTTTTTTTTTTTTTCTCCAGACAAGGTCTCTGTTGTCCAGGCTGAAGTGCAGTGGCACAGTTTCAGCTCACACTGCAGCCATGACCTTCCCTGGCTCAGGTGATCCTCCCACTGGGACTACAGGCACTTGTCACCATGTCCAGCTAATTATTTTTTTGAGATAGAATCTCGCTGTGTCACCCAGACTGGAGTGCAGTGGCGCGATCACGGCTCACTGCAAGCTCTGCCTCCCAGGTTCAAGTGATTCTTCTGCCTCAGCCTCCTGAGTAGCTGGGATTATAGTTGTGCGCCACCATGCCTGGCTAATTTTTGTATTTTTAGTAGAGACAGGGTTTCACCATATTGGCCGGGCTGGTCTCGAAGAACTCTTTTTTTTTTTTTTTTTTAATGAGACGGAATCTTGCTCTGTCACCCAGGCTGGAGTGCAGTGGCGCGATCTCGGCTCACTGCAAGCTCTGCCTCCCAGGTTCACGCCATTCTCCTGCCTCAGCCTCCCGAGTAGCTGGGACTACAGGCACCCGCCACCACGCCCGGCTAATTTTTTGTGTTTTTAGTAGAGACGGGGTTTCACTGTGTTAGCCAGGATGGTCTCGATCTCCTGACCTCGTGATCTGCCCACCTCGGCCTCCCAAAGTGCTGGGATTACAGGCGTGAGCCACCGCGCCCAGCTAATTCTTGTATTTTTTGTAGAGACAGGATTTTGTCATGTTGCCTAGGCTGTTCTTGAACTCTGGTGCTCAAGTGATCTGCTTTCCTCAGCCCTCCTAAAGTGCTAGGATTACAGGCATGTGCCACCGCGCCCGGCATGAAGTACTTTTGTTTTTCTTTTTTCTCCTTTTTAACATAGGAGCTTTTCTTAAAACTTCAGAACATTTTTATTTTTCAGAAACAAGAGTTGAAATAAAAGAATCTGTTCGTGGCCAAGATATTTTCATTATACAGACAATACCCAGGTAAGAGGACTGACTACTTTATCTCTTTTCTGTAAAAACCTTAACAATATAATTGATTATCTTTTCATATGAACAACAACTTAGTGTTTTTAAAAGTTATATATTCAGGCCGGGCGTGTGGCTCACGCCTGTTATGCCAACACTTTGGGAGGCCGAGGTGGGCGGATCACGAGGTCAGGAGTTCGAGACCAGCCTGACCAATATGTTGAAACCCTGTCTCTGTTAAAAATACAGAAATTGCTGGCTGGGCACGATGGCTCACGCCTGTAATCCCAGCACTTTGGGAGGCCGAGGCGGGCGGATCACGAGGTCAGGAGATCGAGACCATCCTGGCTAACATGGTGAAACCCCGTCTCCACTAAAAAATACAAAAAAATTAGCCGGGCGTGGTGGCGGGCACCTATAGTCCCAGCTACTTAGGAGGCTGAGATAGGAGAAAGGCGTGAACCCAGGAGGCAGAGCTTGCAGTGAGCCGAGATCGCGCCACTGCACTCCAGCCTGGGCTACAGAGCAAGACTCCATCTCAAAAAAAAACAAAATAAATGAATAAAAAACAAAAGTTAGCTGGGCATGGTGGCATGCGCCTGTAGTCCAGCTGTTTGAGAGGCTAAGGCAGGAGAAGTGCTTGAACCCAGGAGGCAGAGGTGAGCTGAGATCGCGCCACTGCACTCTAGCCTGGGCGACAGAGTGAGACTGTCTCACCAAAGAAAAAAAAAAGTTATACATTCGTTTGCATGTTAAACTAAATGCTTCCCCAAATACAATTACTGTCTTCTGGAATTCCTACCATTTGTCACACTGTACTGTTACCTGTTTACTTCTCTCCAGGCTTTTTTTGGGGACAGTCTCACTCTGTCACCCCGGCTGGAGTGCAGTGGCACAGTCTTGGCTCACTGCAGCCTCTACCTCCTGGGTTCAAGTGATTCTCCTGCCTCAGCCTCCCTAGTAGGTGGGATTACAGGTGCCCACCACCATGCCCAGTTAATTTTTGTATTTTTAGTAGAGACAGGGTTTCACTATGTTGGCCAGGCTGGTCTTGAACTCCTGACCTCAAGTGATCCATGCACCTCAGCCTCCCAAAGTTTTGGGATTTCAGGCGTGAGCCACCACTCCCCAAGCTTTAAACTCCTCAAGGACAAAGGGTTTTCCCATGGTTTGCACTGACCCCAGGCCAGTGTCCGTCAGCTCAGCTCTGCTGAAAAGCTTCTAGTTGTTACGTGTGGTGCATAAACTGCTCCTGGTTCATACCCATCAAGAGAGGTTTTTGCACTGCATTTTATCTTGCACCGTGGCCTGTTTCTAGCCTATCTCTGTTTCAGAGATCGTCGCCCTTGCTTCCCTCAGGGCAGGGGGCTGACACCTGGGGAATCCTGGCCTGCTTGAGTGAGAACGTTCATGCTTCTATGGGACTATCTCCTTTCTCATCGCCTGACAGGGAGTGGGCCATTACACCATCTGTGTCTCTGAAAAATCCAGACCTTCATGTCCTGATCAGTGTACATTCCCCAGACCATATTAGTAATAAGAATGGCACTGAGTGCTACCAGTGTGCTGGATGCTTTATATGTTTCGTTTTTGTTTGTTTTGGTTTTTTGAGACGGAGTCTCACTCTGTTGCCCAGGCTGGAGTGCAGTGGTGTGATCTTGGCTCACTGCAGCCTCCACCTCCCGGGTTCAAGTGATTCTACCTCAGCCTCCCGAGTATCTGGGATTACAGGTGCCTGCCACCATGCCCGGGTAATTTTTTTGTATTTTTAGTAGTGATGGGGTTTTACCATGTTGGCCAGGCTGGTCTTGAACTCCTGGCCTCAAGTGATCCGCCTGCCTCAGCCTCCTAAAGTGCTGGCTGGGATTATAGGCGTGAGCCACTGCGCCCGGCCCTATTCAGTCTTCTTTAGTTTGGAGCAGTTCCTCATGGCCTTTATTTGACTTTCTTTTTTTTTTTTTTTAATTTGAGACAGGGTCTTGCTGTGTCACTCATGCAGGAATGCAGTGACACGATCATGGCTCACTGCAGCCTTAAGCTCCTGAACTCAAAGCGATCCTCCCACCTCAGCCTCCTTAGTAGCTGGGACCATAGGTGTGTGCCACCATCCTGGGCTAATTTTTTGTATTTTTAGTAGAGATGAGGTTTTGCCATGTTGCCCAGGCTGGTCTTGAACTCCTGGACTAAGAAGTGATCCACCCGCCTCAGCCTCCCAAAGTGCTGGGATTACAGACATGAACCACCACACCCGGCCTTGACTTTGAAAACTTTGACACATTTGAAGACTGACATTTTGCCGATTACTTTGTCGAATGTCCCTCAATTTGGGTTTCACCGTGATGGCTCTTTCACTATGATGAGATTCAGGTACCTCGGAAGGAAGCTGTGTTCCTGTTGTCTTGTCTTCCTGCTGCTTCATGACATCTTGTGTGGATGCATCGGTTTATTCAGTCTCTTGTGTGTCAGTTTGTTTCTAGTCTTATGCTGATACAATAGAGGCTGCTGTGAGCCTCATCGTATATACATCATATTGTCGGTGTTTCAGGTGTATCTGTAGGAAGATCCTAAGAAATTTCTGGTTGTGAGGGTCCATGCCCTGTGGTATTGAGGGAAGGGGCTGCGTTGCCCTCATTGAGGATATACTAATTCACATTTTCTCCAACAGTTTTGGTTTTGTATTGTTTGCCTCCTGGTGACTGGAGTCTTTTTTGCCTGGTGGTTTTGTTTGACTCTCCATCTTTTATTTTTAGACGGAGTCTCACTCTGTCGCCCAGGCTGGGGTGCAGTGGCGCAATCTTGGCTCACTGCAAGCTCCGCCTCCCGAGTTCACGCCATTCTCCTGCCTCAGCCTCCCGAGTAGCTGGGACTACAGGCGCCCACCACCACGCCCGGCTAATTTTTTGTATTTTTAGTAGAGACGGGGTTTCACCATGTTAGCCAGGATGGTCTCGATCTCCTAACCTCGTGATCCGCCTGCCTCGGCCTCCCAAAGTGCTGGGATTATAGGCGTGAGCCACGGTGCCCAGCCATTGGGGTCTAATTCTAAAAGCATGATTGATTGGTGAAGTCTCTTTACTACCCTAATTGAATTTGTGATAACGAAAGAATTTGTCATGTAAAGAGTTATCTTTAAGAAATCTTGTTGGCCAGGTACAGTGACTCACACCTGTAATCCCAGGACTTTGAGACACCAAGGCAGGAGGATCACTTGAGTCCAAGATGGCTTGGGAACAGCCTGGGCAACATAGTGAGACTCCATCTCTACAAATAAAATTTGAAAATTAGCCAGGCGTGGTGGTGTGCACCTGTAGTCTGAGCTACTCGGGTGGTTGAGTTGGGAGGATTGCTTGAGCCTGGGTGGTCGAGGCTACAGTGAGCTGTGATTACACCACTCTACTCTAACCTGGGCAACAGAGCCAGATCTTATCTCAAAAAAAAAAAAAAAAAAAAACAAAAAAAAGTCAAATTGTTAACACTAATTCGTTGGTCTGCATTGTAATCTGGAATTTGAGTTGGACTTCTCCAGGAAAAGACTGAACTGAGTTGGTGCATGATCAGAGCAGTTCTCCTCTGGCACATGAGCAGCTGTGCTCTTGGCATCTTTGTTTTGTTACATGTATTTAGGGATCATCTATGAGTCAGGGGAGGAGCTAAGACGTTATAACCTTCTCACGGCAGAGACCCCATTTTGTTAGATAGTCCAGCAGTCTCCAACCTTTTTGGCACCAGGGACCAGTTTTGTGAAAGACAGTCCCCCCCTACCCCCCGCTTTTTTTTTTTTTTGAGATGGAGTTTCGTTCTTGTTGCCCAGGCTGGAGTGCAATGGCGCGATCTCGGTTCACTGCAAACCCCACCACAACCCCCGCCTCCCAGGTTCAAGCAATTCTCCTGCCTCAGCCTCCCGAGTAGCTGGGACTACAGGCATGTGCCACTACGCCCGGCTAATTTTGTATTTTTAGTAGTGACGGGGTTTCTCCATGTTGGTCAGGCTGGTCTCGAACTCCCAACCTCAAGTGATCTGCCCGCCTCGGCCTCCCAAAGTGCTGGCATTACAGGCGCGAGCCACCGTGCGAGGCCGTTCATGGTTATTTCAAACTAGTCGAGCATAGAAACAGCATATTGTTAGTGTCCTTTGTGATACGAAGTTGAATTTTATAAAATTCTTGGCTTTGATATCACATGGTAACCAAGAGTGCTCAATATAAGTATTTAACACGTGCAATCTAGAGTGATGCTGGGGGTAGTAAAGACTGAACTTGACAAACAAAGGATCATCAGTGTGCAAGTGTCTTCCAGGGAAGGGACAAAAGAAGCATGAAGAAATGACTTAGTTAATAGCCAATTGGGAAACACTTACCGTTTTTCTCACTTGTATCTTGAGTATTAGGAAATTGGACCATGGTCAGGTGTGGTGGCTCATGCCTTTAATCCTAGTACTTTGGGAGACCAAGGTGAGAGGATCACTTGAGGCCAGGAGTTCAAGACCAGCCTGGGCAATATACTAAGACCCTGTCTCTATTCTTTTTTTTTTTTTTTTTTTGAGACAAGGCCTTGCTCTGTCACACAGGCTGGAGTGCAGTGGCACGATCTCGGCTCACTGCAGCCTCCACCTCCCAGGCTCAAGTGATTCTCCTGTCTCAGCACCCACCGTCTTACCCTCCCAAGTAGCTGGGGCTACAGGCACATGCCACCATGCATGGCTAATTTTGTATTTTTAGTAGAGACAGGGTTTTGCCATGTTGCCCAGGCTGGTCTTGAACTCCTGAGCTCAGCTGATCTGCTTGCCCCGGCCTCCCGAGGTGCTTGGATTACATGCATGAGGCACTGTGCCCAGCTTTTATTTAAAAGAAAAAAGAAATTTTGGCCAAAGGAAGAAGTAGGAAGCACTTCATAGAGTTGTAGCAGAGTCTTGTACAATAACAATGACAATTTTACATAAGTCAACATGGAAAGGCACCTTCCCTGTTGAAAAAGGCACATAGGTATAAATGGGTACTTCTGAAAACCAGAACCCTCTCCTGAAGATGGTGAAGTTTCTTTATGTGTATTTGGTGTTGAGATAAAAGCCGCAAGTCTCTTCCCAGTGGTTCAGTTTAAGAGCATCAAAGCAAAAATATCATCACCTGGCATTTTCTCTGTCTCTTAAGCTGATAGGGATGGAAGAAGAAAGGAAAAATTTGGAAAAAAGACAGGTTGGATGTGTTGTTTTGTGTGGGTGTGCAGCCCATAAAGAAGGTTATTAGGTTTGTCACAATAAACTGGTTCTTTTTGTTGTTTTTTTGAGACGGAGGCTTGCTGTGTTGCCCAGGCTGGAGTGCAGTGGCGTGATCTCGGCTCACTGCAACCTCTGCCTCCCAGGTTCAAGCAATTCTCCTGCCTCAGCCTCCTGAGTAGCTGGGATTATAGGCGTGTGCCACCACAGCCAGCTGATTTTTGTATTTTTAGTAGAGACGGGGTTTCACAGTGTTGACCAGAATGGTCTCAAACTCCTGACCTCAGGTGATCCACCCGCCTTGGCCTCCCAAAGTGCTGAGATTATAGACGTGAGCCACCGTGCCCAGTCAATAAACTAGTTTTTGTAGTGCTTGAGTACTGGATACTTTAGTACCAACTAAAGAACACAGATAATTTAATTTAATTTAATTTTTTTTTTGAGACGAGTTTCTTTCTTGTTGCCCAGGCTGGAGTGCAGTGGTGTGACCTTGGCTCACTGCAACCTCCACTTTCCAGGTTCAAGTGATTCTCCTGCCTGAGCCTCCCGAGTAGCTGGGATTACTGGCATGTACCACCATGCCTGGCTAATTTTGTATTTTTAGTAGAGATGGGGTTTTACCATGTTGGCCAGGCTGGTTTTGAACCCCTGACCTCAGGTGATCCATCCACCTCGGCCTCCCAAAGTCCTGGGATTACAGGCATGAGCCACCATGCCTGGCCTAATTTTTTATTTTATTTTATATTTTATATTTTATTTTATTTATTTTTTGAGACGGAGTCTTGCTGTGTTGCCCAGGTTGGAGTGCAGTGGCACAATCTCGGCTTACTGCAACTTCTGCCTCCTGGGTTCAAGCAATTCTCCTGTCTCAGCTTCCTGAGTAGCTGGGATTACAGGTGCACACCACCACACCCAGCTAATTTTTGTATTTTTAGTAGAGATGGGGTTTCTCCATGTTGCCTAGGCTGGTCTCGAACTCCTGACCTTAGGTGATTCACCTGCCTCAGCCTCCCAGAATGTTAGGATTACAGGCATGAGCCACTGTGCCCGACCTGGTTTTTTAATATTATCTGCGGTTACATAGATGAAGGAATATCTTTTACAGGTTTTTCTGTTGTTGGGAGGAAGGGGGCATTGCCTAAAGTAATAAGGCTAATTTTAGGCAAACAGACCAAAGCTTAGACATTAAAATAAGCTTAGTTGCCTTCAGAGCTGTTGTTCTAAAATCACATAGATACCTTTTTTTGGTGCTGTTTTTGCTTGGAATAGCTTTGGAACTACTGCTTCCAAACTTGCAGCATATTTCTTTTGACTGTTCTAATAATAGCAACCTTTTGGTCGTTGAGGATAGGTTTAATTTTTGGAAATGGCAAAAAGCCATTCAGAACAAAATGATTATTTTGGGTAATTGAACTGTGCGATACTCAGAGATTTTCCAGATATACCAAGCAATGGAACTAAGTAAAATATGAAGCTTATGAAGTATATTTTAAAGGTTAATTTTTATGTTTATGTACAAGTTCTAGTGTGTTGATGTAAAGTAAGCAGACTCATTAAAATAACATTTACAGCTGGGCACGGTGGCTCACACCTGTAATCCCAGCACTTTGGGAGGCCGAGGCAGGTGGATCAGTTGGTCAGGAGTTTGAGACCAGACTAGCCAACATGGTGAAACCCCGTCTCTACTAAAAATACAAAAAATTAACCAGGCATGGTGGCAGGTGCCTGTAATCCCAGATATTCGGAAGGCTGAGGTGGGAGAATCGATTGAACCCGGAAGGCAGAGGTTGCAGTGAGCCAAGATGGTGCTACTGCACTCTCGCCTTCCAGCCTGGGTGACAGAGTGACTCAGTCTCAAAACAACAACAAAAAATTCCCAGCTGCTGCAGATGATTAATTGTTACAGTTGGGAGCAGGGTAAATTCTCCCCCATTACTTCCAGCTGTGGTGTGGTTTCTCTTTTTGCGAGCCTGGCTAGTTTAATGAATGCGTATACCATGCCTGTTTCCTCATCTCAGGTTAGTTTGTTGTTGTTGTTGTTGTTGTTGTTTTCCAATATGGAACACTTCACGAATTTGCGTGTCATCCTTGCACAGGGGCCATGCTAATCTTCTCTGTATCATTCCAATTTTAGTATATGTGCTGCTGAAGAGAGCACACCTCAGGTTAGTTTTTGCCTGTCCAAAATGCTAGAGCAGTAAGGGCTGGACTTAATATAGGATGTGGTTTTCTTAGGGGAAAGAAAAGTAGTTGGTTGTCTGGGCATGATGGCTCAAGCTGTACTCCCAGCACTTTGGGAGGCCAAGGCGGGAGGATTGCCTGAGCCCAGGAGTACAAGACCAGCTGGGCAACATGGTGAGACCTTTCTCTATTTAAAAAAAAGAAAGAAAAGTAGTTGGTAAAACAATTAAGAATGTCCTACTTAGAGATAAAGACTACAAGAGCTAGCCAGGGTGTACTTGCAACATTCTTAGGGAACAGATAAAGCAGAGACTGCCAGCCGATTTCCCTTCGCCCTGCTAGTTCACAAAGTAACTGCCTGGTGTCCAATTTGTCCGGTATCTCTCAGTGAATGGGTAAAGCCAATGTGACAAAGCCCCTTTTGTCACCTTTCTGACCAATAAGGGGTGAGGTATGGAGCTTTCTTTAGCGTTGGGCTGGAGGATGTTGAATCCCTTGGAAAAATGGAAAATAAAAACCTCATGGGAAATTGCTCTTTTTTTTTTTTTTTTTTTTTTTTTGAGATGGAGTTTCACTCTTGTTGCCCAGGCTGGAGTGCAATGGCATGATCTCGGCTCACCACAACCTCCACCTCCCAGGTTCAAGCTATTCTCCTGCCTCAGCCTCCTGAGTAACTGGGATTACAGGCATGCACCACCATGCCTGGCTAATTTTGTATTTTTAGTTGAGACGGGGGTTTCTCCATGTTGGTCAGGCTGGTCTCGAACTCCCGACCCAGGTAATCCACCTGCCTCGGCCTCCCAAAGTGCTGGGATTACAGGTGTGAGCCACCGTGCCTGGCCTTTTTTTTTTTTTGAGAAAGATTCTCGCTCTGTAGCCCAAGCTGGAGTGCAGTGGTATGATGTCGGCTCACTACAACCTCTGCCTCCCAGGTTCAAGCAATTCTTCTGCCTCAGCCTCCCAAGTAGCTGGGATTACAGGCACCTGCAACCATGCCCGGCTAAGTTTTGAATTTTTAGTAGAGACGGGCTTTCACCATGTTGGTTAGGCTGGTCTCTAACTCCTGACCTCAGGTGATCCACCTGTCTTGGCCTCTCGGATTACTGGCGTGAGCCACCGCGTCCGGCCCAGAAATTGCTTATTAATGAAAGGAATGTTACCCTGAAATCAAGACTTCTCAAAAATTGTTTATCTTGTTCATTAATGTTTTATTATCTGGGCCTCCCTTGTGCTGTGTTCTCCAAAACTCATGGTGTCATACACTTGTGTATTTTACTTGATTTTGTTTTTATTTTTTTGTGTGTTTTTTGAGAGATGGGGTCTCACTCTGTTGCCCAGGTTGGAGTGCAGTGGTGCAGTCACAGCTCATTATATGGGTTTGAGGGATCCTCCCACCTCAGCCTCCCGAATAGCTAGGACTACAGGTGAGCACCACCGTGCCTGGCTGATTTTTAAATTTTATTTTATTTTTAGAGACCAGGTCTTGCTATGTTGCCCAGGCTGGTATCAAACTCCTGGCTTCAAGCAATACTCCTGCCTTGGCCTCTCAAAGTGCTGGGATTACAAGCATAAACTACTGCACTTGGTCCACTTGTGTATTGTCTATGACAAAGCCAGCTAAAAACCCACTACTTGAGCCTGGGTGTGGTGGCTCACACCTGTAATCCCAACACACTTTGGGAGGCCGAGGCGGTTGGATCACCTGAGGTCAGGAGTTAAGACCAGCCTGGCCAACATGGTGAAACCCCATCTCTACTAAAAATACAAAAATTAGCTGGGCATGGTGGTGGGTGCCTGTAATCCCCGCTACTTGAGAGGCTGAGGCAGGAGAATTGCTTGAACCCAGGAGGCAGAGGTTGCAGTGAGCTGAGATCGCACCATTACACTCCAGCCTGGGTGACAAAAACGAATTTCCATCTCCAAAACAAAACAAAAAACAAAAAAAACCTCACTACTTGAACAGATAACGCTTACAGAAGCTACTAAATTAACTGACTCCAAACATATTGTGGATATTGGGTTCTGGTTTATGAAGCCACAGCCAGCCTGGGTGTGGTGGCTCATGCCTGTAATCCCAGCACTTTGGGAGGCTGAGATGGGAAGATTGCATGAACCCAGGAGTTCAAGACCAGCCATGGCAACATAGTGAGACCCTGCCTCTTACAAAACAGAAAAGAAAAGAAAAAAAATCTTTTAAACAAAAGAGTCTCTGGGAAGGGGACCACACATTCTTCCATGAGTCAGATGTGCTCCTTCTTGGGAAGAATGAGTACCTCGAGAGTGGTCCCAGATGGCCTTTGGCTTTCTCTAGAGGTGGTTTGCCTTGTTTACCTACCACAGTGCTTGCCTCAAGTTGCCCCCTAAATATGTGTTGCATGGATGATGAACTAAAATTGACTATTATGAATTCCCAACTTTCTTGAAAGTGTTTGATAATTGCTTTGATTCTACCAAAGATTATCTGACCTTTTGATGCCAGACTTGGCATTATTAATTTGGAAGTCTGAAGGAGAAAAATGCTCCAATTTATTGAGAGAAAAAATAAAAGGTAACTGGAAAACAATGGAATGGATTAGCAGTCTAAAAGGAATGTCTTAGTTGTCTTGAAGTTGAGCCCTGCATCAGTCTCCTCAGGGAGACATTTTTTGTTTTTGTTTTTGTTTTTTTTAATCATAGAATGCTTGCAATAGTTAAGAAAAATCCAAATTACAAGGGTGAAATTGGAAGTTCCAGGAATTGAACCTGGAAGTGGAAAACATTGTCAGAATAAAAGGATGTCTTTGAAATCGCTCACTCCCAAATGCACTCTGCCTTAGAGAGAAGTGTAAACATAAATTGGAAGAGACTGGAAGGAAATGGCTCGATTACCCTTCAAGCTAGAAAGCATCTCTTGCTGAGTATTTCATTCAGCCACCTATTCAGCAAACGCTAACTCTGCTGTGTGTATGGCAGGCTTTCTGCTTTGCTGTAATGAGGGCAGCATCACCTACGTGTCAGTGTAGAGCTGATAATTGTTCAAGAACTGGTACCTGAAGAACCTGCTGCCATGGGTAGGAACTGATGACGTGGGGAAGGGAAGGGAGATACAGTCCTGACCCCCACCCCCACCCCAAGACGGGGATGTTTGAGGATGCGTGGATAGTCCAGGAAGAGCAGGAGGAAGCTAATGTGAGAAGTGAATACTGAGAGAGGTCCTGGAAGGATTTCAAGGCTCTCACCCCTTTTTAAAGGAAGAGCCTGTCTGGGAATGGTGGCGCATGCCTGTAATCCCAGTGCTTTGATAGGCTGAGGCGGGAGCATCACTTGAGCCCGGGAGTTCGAGGCTGCAGTGAGCTAAGATTGTACCACTGCACTCTAGCCTGGGTGACAGGGTGAGACCATTTCTTAATAAGTGAGTGAGTGAGTAAGTGAAAGAAAGAATGAATGAATGAATGAATGAATGCAGAGTCTACATTAGGTTTGATTATCCTTGGCAAAAGCTAGCAATCCAAATTTATAATCATTGGAAATTGCCTTTCCTTCTAATATCTTCCAGATTCATATTTCATTTTTTGTCTCTCTGGGTAATCTTTGTCAGGAATTTATATGTCAGGGAAAGAAAGGTCCAGGGAGGTTTTTTTTTGTTTGTTTTGTTTTGTTTTGTTTTTTGAGACAGAGCCTCACTCTGTTGCCCAGGCTGGAGTGCAGTGGCATGATCTCGGCTCACTGCAACCTCTGCCTCCCAGGTTCAAGAGATTCTCCTGCCTCAGCCTCCCCAGTAGCTGGGACTACAGGCACGTGCCACCACACCTGGCTAATTTTTGTATTTTTAGTAGAGACAAGGTTTCACCATATTGGCTGGGCTGCGTCCAGCCTCCAGGGAGGTTTTCGAAAATTAAGTTCCAGCTGGGTATAGTGGGTCATGCCTGTAATCCCAGCACTTTGGGAGGCCGAGGTGGGCGGATCACCTAAGGTCGGGAGTTCGAGACCAGCCTGACCAACATGGAGAAACCCCGTTTCTACTAAAAATACAAAATTAGCCACGTGTGGTGGTGCACGCCTATAATCCCAGTTACTCGGGAGGATGAGCCAGGAGAATTGCCTGAACCTGGGAGGCGGAGGTTGCAGTGAACTGAGATCACACCACTGCAGTCCAGCCTGGGCGACAGAGTGAGACTTCATCTCAAAAGGTCAGGAGATGAAGACCATCCTGGCTAACATGGTGAAACCCCGTCTCTACTAAAAATACAAAAAATTAGCCGGGCGAGGTGGCGGGCGCCTGTAGTCCCAGCTACTCGGGAGGCTGAGGCAGGAGAATGGCGTGAACCTCGGGGGGCGGAGCCTGCAGTGAGCTGAGATCGCGCCACTGCACTCCAACCTGGGCGACAGCGAGACTCCGTCTCAAAAAAAAAAAAAAAAAATTATATTCCAAGACCTCCCCACACTCAATGGAAAGAGACCAAATCTTTCTGTTAATGGCAGCTAAATGGAAGGGCAGTTGGGTTTCCCTTGGCATTCAAGCTGGCCTAAGCCCAAATCCCTGGGAGGCTGCCAGCAGGTGTTGGGTAACTCTGGTCACCAGCAGTTGCTTCAGATGTCACTGCAGTAACGGGGTATGACACAGGAGACCCAGGCAAATGTGAGGGTGGGTTAACTGTGCTGTGAATAGGAGTAACCTCAGATGAAAGCTAGGGCTTACTCAGCTACAAAAAGTCAGAAAGCTTCCCCTGCCTTCATGAGGTGCCATTGTAAGCTAGTGTGATGGTAAAATTCCCACAACACCCATCTGGGCAGCCCATGTTAAGTTGATAAAGTCAAGATCTTTTCTAGGGTTGATACATGGAATTAATCCCCAAATACAAACTTTGACTGTTTCAGAGATGTGAATACAGCTGTGATGGAGTTGCTCATCATGGCTTACGCACTGAAGACTGCCTGTGCCAGGAACATTATTGGGGTCATCCCCTACTTCCCCTACAGCAAGCAGAGCAAGATGAGGAAGAGGGGTTCCATTGTGTGCAAGCTGCTAGCATCCATGCTGGCGAAAGCAGGTGAGTGTGCGCGGGGGCCCTGGGGTTCCAGCATGATCCTTTAGGGCTCTTTCCTAGTTGGACTTAGCTCATACCTCAGATATCCAATCTGGGATCTGAGTGTTTGTTTCCTTTTGAACAGTTTTGGCTAAGGATATGTGAGCTCGGTTAGAAATTCTTTTTTTTCCCTTATTCGCTTTGTCCTACTTTAGAATACCATTGCTTTAGTGTCTTCTCTTCTCTGTCATCTGTCACATATTTTCTATTTCATCTTGTCATCGCTAAATTCTTAGCTGGCAGTCTTGGCATTCTTATGTGATCTTTTGATCTTCAGGTCTAGATTTCTATATCTGCTTTGTTAGCTAAATTCCATTTTTGTTCATAGTATTCAAGCTGGATTTTCTTTTACTCCCTCTCCCCCACCCTTGCCTTTCTACATAGTGGCTCATTTTCATTGCTTTATTCTCCTTGTGTGGCGGGGGCACGCTTTCTGGCCTGTAAATCAATGTAATATTTTACAATTGGGTTTCTATTCATCTGATGTCTGTTCTAAAACTTTAACGTATATTTGGGTCCTCGGAAAGAAATGTATGGTCCTCCCTCAATGTCCTTATAGGATTGGTTCCAGGAACCCATCTCCCGCTTCCCCGGCTCCTCAGCAGATACAAAAACCCAAAGATACTCAAGTCTTCCATATAAAATGCCATAGTATTTGCATATAACCAACACAGTCATCTGTAGATTATTTATAAATACCTAATACCATATAAACACTATATAAATTGTTGTTATGCTGTCTTGTTTAGGGAATAATGATGAGAAAAAAGTTTCATACCTGCTCAGTACAGACACAACCATTGTAGGCCTAACTACCTTTTCAGTCTGTGTTTCGTTGAATCCACACGTGGAACCCATAGATCCAGATGGTCAACTGTATGTGAATTTCATCCTCTCCAAAAAACTATAGTGTTTCTGGAAAGAACAAGTAATACTGGTTCTACACCCTGGAAGTTTTGCTGTGACCTTTGACCATTTGCAATGTGTTTATATATATGTACCTTTTCCTCTTCAGTACTCTTGATTATAAGAGTATCTCTTCATTGTTTTTCTATAAGAATACTTGAAACATTCTTTGTTACATACAGAAATTATTCTAAGCTTCAATATCTTTGTGTTATATGAGTTTCTTTTCTTCTAATATGTATATTACTTTGCGTTTGTGTTCTTGCTACTTTTTGCCTTCGCTACAGTTCTTTATCCTTTCTTTTAAGATTCTGTAATCAAGGCCTTACTGTTTTTTCCATCTCTTCGGTATTAATTCCATATTCATATTTTTGCTTCTGCCACATTATTCTTTTCTCAATTTTCTGGACCAAGCCAAAAGTCAATAATTCCCACTTTCTTAGCTTTAGTTCTTTGTCCATGTGGAAGGTTGTAGCCTTCTCTACATTAAGGCTTTATTAAGGTTAACAATCAAGCCTGTGACTGCAGTGCTTAATCACAGTACCCCGTCTTCAGTCTGCTGGTAGGAAGCAGGAGTTGAGCATCTAGTTTAGGTCCACTGTAGCCATTTACCTGTAGGGGTGAACTTTGTAATTTTTTGTTTTAAAATTTCAGGTTTAACTCACATTATCACTATGGATCTTCATCAAAAGGAAATACAAGGCTTTTTCAGCTTTCCTGTGGACAACCTTAGAGCCTCACCTTTCCTGCTTCAGTATATCCAGGAAGAAGTGAGGAACCACCAGCAAACACCCCATTGTCCTCAAAAGAGATCTTATTTAGTTTTTCTCTGGTATCAGATTTCGTTACTGGAAGGCACATCAAATGAGCTCTCCCTTAAGTCACAATGCCTGAGGCAGCAGACAGGGTCAGCTTTAGTCGTGGACGATCATAGCTTTAAAAGACACTAAAAACAGATTTTTTTTCTACGTATCTTTAGCAATTTGCTTATGTTTTCTAAAATGAATGTTTTAAGAATTATTTTTAAAAAATTCTTGACGTAGGAGTGCTTTTTCCAGTGATGTTAATTGATAAATATTGAAAAATCTAAAACTTGTGACTAAAATTCTAGCATATTTGATGACTAGTTTGGATCATTATAAGAGGGAAAACTTGAATACCAGCATCCAGGTGTTATTTTCTGATAACTTTTCAGTATTTTCTATTTTTCCTTCAAATCTAGATTCCAAATTACAGAAATGCAGTCATTGTAGCTAAGTCTCCTGATGCTGCAAAGAGGTAAGTAAGCTAGACATGGGTCCTGATCCCTCCTGAGTGCTCCCGAAGTCAGAATGAGCTGCTTTGGAATCCAGAGGCTGTCACTCGTGGCCTTTGAAAGCCCACTGGCTCTCATGTTAACCCCTCCATCGTTGTCATGTCCCATGCCACACACAGCTTTATCTCCAGCCTCCAGACAGCACACATGATCGCTGAGTTGCTCAGCTTTCCTCTGGGAAAACAAAGTTCCTTCAAGTTCTCAGAGAAAGGAAAGCAATGAGGCTATGAGCATTTTTCAAGCAATGGTTTTTTTTTTTGTTTTTTTTTTGAAATGGAGTTTCATTCTGTCACCTAGGCTGGAGTGCAATGGCGCGATCTCGGCTCACTGCAACCTCCGCCTCCTGGGTTCAAGCAGCTCTCCTGCCTCAGCCTCCCCAGTAGCTGGGATTACAGGCGCCTGTCACCACTCCTGGCTAGTTTTTTGTATTTTTAGTAGAGATGGGGTTTCACCATGTTCATCAGACTAGTCTTGAACTCCTGACCTCAAGTGATCTGTCTGCCTTGGTCTCCCAAAGTGCTGGGTTTACAGGCGTAAGCCACTGTGCCCGGCCCAGGCAATGGTTTTTAACGTTGTTCTTTCTTCTGAAGATGACTATCAGAATATTGGACAAAGGATAGAATCAAAATTATCTAGAATCAGGGCCAGGCGGGGTGGCTCACGCCTGTAATTCCAGCACTTTGGGAGGCCAAAGCGGGAGATCGCTTGAGCCCAGGGGTTCAAGACCAGCCTGGGCAACATAGACCCCGTCTCTACAAAATACAAAAAATAGCCAGTTGTGGCAACACATGCCTGTGGTCCCCGCTACTCGGGAGGTTGAGGTGGGAGGATCACCTGAGCCTCAGGAGGTTGAGGCTGCAGTGAGCCATGTTGACGCCACTGCACTCCAGCCTGGGTGACAGTGAGACCTTGTCTCAAAAAAAAAAAAAAATGTCTAGAATCAGATACAATCCCAAACCCTAACTCACGTGCCCTTTGAGTCATTTACATGCTGGCCTGGGCCTCACATTCTCATTTATATAAATAATGCCTTTGTATGTCCCTGAAACGTTAAATATTTTCATTTTATGGTTAAAAAATGATGCCGTAGTGATGCGTGGGATTTCTTCCTGTCAGTTTCACCATTTCCCTTTGTCCTTCTAGGGCCCAGTCCTATGCGGAGAGACTGCGTCTGGGTTTGGCCGTCATTCACGGGGAAGCTCAGTGCACGGAACTGGACATGGACGATGGTCGTCACTCCCCGCCTATGGTCAAAAATGCTACTGTGCACCCAGGCCTGGAGTTGCCATGTAAGATGAGCTCTGTGTTTTTATTTTATTTGTAAATTGAAGAAAGTTTTTTTTTGTTGGTTTTGTTGGTTTTGTTGTTGTTGTTTTGTTTTGTTTTGTTTTGTTTTTGAGATGGAGTCTCACTCTGTCACCCAGGCTAGAGTGCAGTGGCGTGATCTTGGCTGACTGCAACCTCTGCCTCCTGGGTTCAAGCAATTCTCCTGCCTCAGCCTCGTGAGTGGCAAAGATTACAGGTGTGTGCCACCACGCCCAGCTAATTTTTGTATTTTTAGTAGAGACAGGGTTTCACCATGTTGGCCAGGCTGGTCTCAAACTCCAGACCTCGTGATCTGCTCCAGACCTGGTGATCTGCTCGCCTCAGCCTCCCAGAGTGCTGGGATTACAGGCATGAGCCACTGCACCTGGCCCTGAAGAAAGTTTTAAGTAGTATGAATGGCTAGGAGTTATCGACTATGTAGATATATGCTGTCTTGTTGTTTTTTAATAATGGAATGGTATTTGCTATCCTCCGCCTTTTTTTTTTTTTTTTTGAGAAAGGATCTCCCCCTGTTGCTCTGTACAGTGGCACAGTCATGGCTCACTGCAGCCTTGACCGGGGCGCAAGTGATTCTCCCACCTCCGCCTCCTGGGTAGCTGGGACTGTAGGGGTACACTACCATGCCTGGATAGTTTTCTGTTCCTTTTTTTTTCTTTTTGTATGGAGACGGGGCTCCCTGCATTGCCCAGGCTGGTTTTGAACTTCTTTGCTCAAACAATCCTCCTGTCATGGTCTCCCAAAATGCCGAGATTACATAAGATTACAGACATGAGCCCCATGCCAGGCCCGATTTCCTCTTTTGTAAAAGGAAGTTGTGTTATACACATTTGTAGACTGTGTATGGACGGTTCTGCGTAGCACTCAGCATTCAGACGGTGTTTGATAATTTTAGCTTCAGTAAAAAAGTTGTATGTGTGATGGTGTGAAATCTTAAGCTTTTACATTATCATAAGCTGGGTGACAGCTGTTGATCAAATACCAGGCTTTGGGGATCAGGTAACTTTTATTTTTACTTATTTATTTATTTTGAGATGGAGTCTCACTCTGTCGCCAGGCTGGAGTGCAGTGGTGCAATCTTGGCTCACTGCAACCTCTTCCTCCCGGGTTCAAGCAATTCTCCTGCCTCAGCCTCTCCAGTGGCTGGGGCTATAGGTGCGCGCCAACACGCCGAGCTAATTTTTGTATTTTTAGTAGAGATGAGCTTTCACCATGTTGGCCAGGATGGTCTCGATCTCTTGACATTGTGATCCGCCTGCCTCAGCCTCCCAAAGTGCTGGGATTACAGGTGTGAGCCACCGTGCCCGGCCTATTTTTATTTATTTTTATTTTGTTTGAGACTGAACTCGTTCTGTCGCCCAGGCTGGAGTGCAGTGGCATGATCTTGGCTCACTGCAGCCTCCGCCTCTTGGGTTCAAGCAGTTCTCCTGTCTCAGCCTCCCAAGTAGCTGTGACTTCAGGCACACACCACCACACCCAGCTAATTTTTGTATTTTTAGTAGAGACAGGGTTTTACCATGTTGGTCAGGCTGGTCTCGAGCTGCTAACCTTAGGTCATCCGCCTGCCTCGACCTCCCAGTGTGCTGGGATTACAGGTGTGAGCCACCGTGCCAAGCCGTAATCTGCATTTTTAGCTTTTTATTTTCAACTGACTTTAGACTTAAAGTTGAAAGAATAGTACAGATTTCCAGCATATGCTCTTCACTCGGAGTCCCCAAATTTAACATTTATATACATGGGGTTTTTTTTTTTCCACCATTTGAGGGTGAGTTGCAGACGTAATGTCCCTTCATTCCTAAATACCTTCGTGTATATTTGTAAAGACAAAAGACTCTTATATAACCAGAGTATCATTATCAGACTCAGGAAGCTAACATTGCTGTAACACTGTAATCTACAGACCTTACTCAGGTTTCACCAGTGGTCCCAGCAGTGTCCTTTAGAGCAAAAGAATAAACTTGTTTTCTTGTTCAAGACCTAACCCAGGGTCACACATTGCATTTAGTTGTCATTTCTTTTTAGTCTCATTTAATCTGGAGTGGCTGCTTTATTCTTTGTTTCTTATGACCTTGATACTTTTGAACAGTGCGATCAAGTGATTTTGTAGACTCTCCCTTAATTGGGGCTTGTTTGTGTCCTCAGGATTAGATTCAGGTTATGCATTTTTGGCAGAAAATCACAGGAAACACATGATGTGTCCCATTACTGGTGATGTGCATTCTGATAAGTTGGTTAAGGTTTCTCTGGCAGGTTTCTCCACTGTAAAGTTACTCTTTTTTTTTTCCTCTTTGTAATTAATACTACCTCATGTTAAGACTATGTTTTAACTGTAAATATTCTGCTTCTCATCAAAATGAACATCTACTGATGATTCTTGCCTGAATCAATTATTGACTGTGATTGTTGTCAGTGTTCATTTTTCTAACTCTATCATTCCTTCTACATTTATTAGTTGACCTTCTAATGCAAGAAAGCTTTCTCTTCTTCCCTATTCATTTCTTCATTTATATCAGTATGGATTCATAGGCCTATTTCATTCAGTGGGTTATAATTCATTGTCGTCACAGGAATACCTTAAATATTGCAGGTTCAGTTCTGCACCATTGCAGTAGGTGAATATTATAATAAAGTGAGTCTCATGAATTTTTTGATGTCCCAGCACATGTAAAAGTTATGTTTATACTGTAGTCTGTTAAATGCTCAATATCATTGTGTCTAAAAACCAATGTACGTACCTTAATTTAAAAATACTTTACTGCTAAAAAATACTAGCAGTTGGCCAGGCGCAATGGCTCAGGCCTGTAATCCCAGCACTTTGGGAGGCTGAGGCGGGCAGATCACGAGGTCAGGAGATCGAGACCGTCCTGACTAACACTGTGAAATCGCGTCTCTACTAAAAAAATGCAAAAAATTAGCCGGGCGTAGTGGCGGGCGCCTGTAGTCCCAGCTACCGGGTGGCTGAGGCAGGAGAATGGCATGGAGGCAGGAGAATGGAGGTGGAGCTTACAGTGAGCTGAAATCGCGCCACTGCACTCCAGCCTGGGTGACAGAGCGAGACTCTGTCTCAAAAAAAAAAAAAAAAAATTAGCAGTCATCTGAGCCTCCATCTTGTTGGTGGAGGGTCTTGCCTCGATGTTGATGGCTGCTGACTGATCAGGGTGGTGGTTGTTGAAAGTTGGGATGGGCTGTGGAAATTTCTTTTCTTTCTTTTTTTTAAGAGATGGGGTCTGTTTCCCAGGTTGGTCTTTTTTTTTTTTTTTTTTTTTTTTTTGAGACTGAGTCTCCTCGCTCTGTCGCCCAGGCTGGAGTGCAGTGGCGCGATCTCAGCTCACTGCAAGCTCCGCCTCCCGGGTTCACGCCATTCTCCTGCCTCAGCCTCCCGAATAGCTGGGACTACAGGCACCCGCTACCACGCCCGGGTAATTTTTTGTATTTTTAGTAGAGACGGCATTTCACCGAGTTAGCCAGGATGGTCTCCATCTCCTGACCTCATGATCCGCCCGCCTCGGCTTCCCAAAGTGCTGGGATTACAGGCGTAAACCACTGTGCCCGGACCCAGGTTGGTCTTGAATTCCTGGCCTCAGGCAATTTTTCTTTTCTTTTTTTTTTTTTTGTTTTGAGACGAGTCTCTCTCTGTCGTCCAGGCTGGAGTGCAGTGGTTCACCCAGTTCACTGCAAGCTCCACCCCCCAGGTTCACACCATTCTCCTGCCGCAGCCTCCCAAGTAGCTGGGACTACAGGTGCCTGCCACCACACCTGGCTAATTTTTTTTTTTTTGTATTTTTAGTAGAGATGGGGTTTCACCATGTTAGCCAGGATGGTCTCGATCTCCTGACCTCATGATCCGCCCGCCTTGGCCTCCCAAAGTGCTGGGATTACAGGAGTGAGCCACTGCACCCTGCCAGCCTCAGGCAATTTTTATACCTCAGCCTCCTGAGTAGCTGGGATTACAGGCAAGAGTGATTGTGCTCAGCTGTGGCAATTTCTTAAAACAACGAAGTTTGCCTCGTTGATTGACTCTTCCTTTCACAAAAGATCTTTCTGTAGCATGTAATGCTGTTTTATAGCTTTTTTTTTTTTGAGATGGAGTTTTCGCTCTTGTTGCCCAGGCTGGAGTGCAGTGGTGCAGTCTTGGCTCACTGCAACTTCCACCTCCTGGATTTAAGTGATTCTCCTGCCTCGGCCTCCCTAAGTAGCTGGGATTATAGGTATGCATCACCACACCTGGCTAATTTTTTTTGTATTTAGTAGAGACAGGGTTTCACCATGTTGGTCAGGCTGGTCTGGAACTCCTGACCTCAGATGATCCACCCGCCTTAGCCTCCCAAAGTGCTGGGATTACAGGCGTGAGCCACTGCGCCCGGCTGACAGCATTTTTTAAAATGTCAGCCAGGTGATGTACTGATGTTCTAACAAGGTTCAAGGATGGCACATCTCACATGTAAGCGTGAACACCCAATGATCACACTTATGAACTACAAAATGATCTGTTTGATAGCATTTTACCTAGAAGAAAGAACTACTTTCTTTTTTTTTTTTTTTGAGACAGTCTCACTCTGTTGCCCAGGCTGGAGTGCAGTGGCACCATCTCGGCTCCCTGCAACTTCTGCCTCCTGGGTCCAAGCAATTCTGCCTCAGCTTCCCGAGTAGCTGGGATTACAGATGTGTGCCACCACACCCGCCTAATTTTTGTATTATTAGTAGAGACAGGGTTTTACCATGTCAGCCACGCTGGTCTCGAACTCCTGACCTCAGGTGATCTGCCCGCCTCGGCCTCCAAAAGTGCTGGGATTACAGGCGTGAGCCACTGCGCCCAGCCGAAAGAACTACTTTCAAAATTGTAGTCACTGTTCTCAAACCCTGCCACTGTGTTATCAAATAATTTTTGTAATACTTCTAAATCCTTGTTTTCATTTCAGCAGAGTTCACAGCATCTTCAGCAGTAGATTCATCTCAAAAAAAAAAACAAAAAACCTTCTTTGCTTATCTATCAAAGCAACTCCTTATCCATTACAGTTTTATCATAAGATTGAAGCAGCCCAGTCACAGCTTCAGGTTCCAGTTCTAATTCTAGTTCTTTTGCTCTTTCCACCACATCTGCAGTTACTTCTACCATGGAGGCCCTGAACTCCTCAGAGTCATCCATGAGGGTTAGAATCAACTTCTTCCAAACTCCTGTTAATGTTGATATTTTGGCCTCCTCCCATGAATCACGCGTGTTCTTCATGGCATCTAGAATGGTGCATCCTTTCCAGAGATTTTCAGTTTACTTTGGGTCCTTCAGAGGAATCACTATCTATGGCATCTATAGTCTTATAAAATGTATTTCTTTTTTTTTTTTGATACAGAGTCTTGCTCTGTCACCCAGGCTGGAGTGCAGTGGCGCAATCTCGGCTCAGTGCAACCTCTGCTTTCCAGGTTCAGGTGATTCTCGTGCCTCATTCTCTCGAGTTTCTGGGATTGCAGGTGTGCACCACCACGCCCAGCTAATTTTTGTATTTTTAATAGAGACAGGGTTTCACCATGTTGGCCAGGCTGATCTCAAACTCCTGACCTCAGGTGATCTGCGTGCTTCAGCCTCCCAAAGTGCTGGGATTATAGGTGTGAGCCACCACGCCCAGCCAAATGTATTTCTTTTTATTTTATTTTAGAGGCGGGGTCTCTGTCTGCTGTCCAGGCTGGAGTACAGTGACAGGATCTCCCTCTCTCACCCAGACCTGCAGTGCAGTGGTGCGATCACTGCTCACTGCAGCCTCTACCACCTGGGCTCAGGTGATCCTCCCACCTCAGCCTCCTGAGTAGCTTGGAAGCTGGGACCACAGGTACGTGCCACCACACCTGACTAATTTTTGTATTTTTTGTGGAGACGGAGTTTTGCCATGTTGCCCAGGCTGGTCATGAACTCCTGGGCTCAAGCAGTCAACCCATCTTGGCCTCCCGAAGTGCTAGGATTAGAGGTATGAGCCACTGTGCCCAAGCACCCAGCTAATTTTTAGAAATTTTTAGTAGAGACAGGGTCTTGTCTTGTTGTCCAGGCTGGTATCAAATTCATTGGCTCAAGTAATCCTCCCGCCTCAGCCTGTATTCTTGACAGTTTGGGAGGGTGAGGTGGGAGGATCACCTTATTGTTATTACTCTTAATAATAAGACTTGGAAGTTGAAATTACTCCTTGTTCAATGGGCTGCAGAATGGATGTTGTATTAGCGGGCATGAAAACATCACTAATCTCCTTGTGTATCTCCATCAGAGCTGTCGAAAGACTGTTGTTTGATAAATATATTTTTTTGAGATGGAGTCTTGCTCTGTCGCCCAGGCTGGAGTGCAATGGCACGATCTCGGCTTAGTGCAATCTTCACCTCCTGGGTTCAAGCGATTCTCCTGCCTCAGCTTCCCGAGTAGCTGGGATTACAGGCGTACACCACCACGCCTGGCTAATTTAGTATTTTTAGTAGAGATGAGGTTTCACCATGTTGGTCGGGCTGGTCACGAACTCCTGACCTCAAATGATCTAACTGCCTCAGCCTCCCAAAGTGCTGGGATTACAGGTGTGAACTACTGCGCCCGGCCTGTTGTTTGATATTGTTTGAACTTTTATCAATTATCTTAGTTAGATCTTCGGAGTAACTTATTGCAGCTTCTACATGAGCACTTACTGCTTCACCTTGCACTCTTAGGTCACGGAAACGGCTTCTTTCCTTAAACTTCATGAAAAAGCCTTGCTCTGGATTAGGCTTTGGCTTAAGGGAATTTTATTTTGTGTCTGGTTTGATCTATCCAGATCACTCAAACTTCTCTGTATCAGTAATAAGGCTGTTTTATTTTCTCATCATTTGTGTGTTCCCTGGAGTCACATTTTTAATGTCCTTCATGAACTTTTCCTTTGCATTCACAGCCTGGCTGTTTGACTAAAGAGGTGTAGCTTTTGGCTTTTGACACACTAAGCTTAATTATTTCTAGCTTTTGATTTAAAGTAAGAGACATGGGGCTCTTCCTTTCACTTAAACACTTAGAGGCCATTGTAGGGTTATTGGCCTAATTTCAATATATTGTGTCTCAGGGAATAGGGAGGTCCAACAAGAGGAAGAGACGGGAACAGCAGGTCAGTGGAGCAGTCAGAATACACATTTACTAAGTTTGCTGTCTTTTTTTTTGTGCGTGTGTGTGTGTGTGACAGAGTTTCACTCTGGCTCTCGGCTCACTGCAACCTCCGCCTCCCGGGTCCAAGTAATTCTCCTGCCTCAGCCCCTGAGTAGCATGCTTCACCACACCCAGCTAATTTTTGTATTTTTAGTAACGACGGGGTTTCACCATGTTGGTCAGGCTGGTCTTGAACTCCTGACCTCATGATCCACCTGCCTCGGCCTCCCAAAGTGCTGGGATTACATGTGTGAGCCACCACTGCATCCAGCCAGTTTGCTATCTTATATGAGCATGGTTCATGCTGCCCCAAAACAATTGGAATAGTAACATCCAAGATCACTGATTACAGATACCAGAAAAGACGTAACAATAATGAGAAAAGTGGAAATATTGCAAGAATTACCAAAATGTGACACAGAAACATGAAACGAGCACATGCTGTTAGAAAAATGGCACCCTGGCTGGGCACGGTGGCTCATGCCTGTAGTCCCAACACTTTGGGAGGCCAAAGTGCCAGGATCAGTTGAGCCCAGGAGTTCGAGACTAGCCTGGGCAACATGGTGAAACCTTGTCTCTACAAAAAAAAATACAAAAAATTAGCCAGGTGTGGCATGCACCTGTGGTCCCAGCTGTTCAGGAGGCTGAGATGGGAGGTTCCCTTGAGTCCAGGAGGCAGAGGTTGCAGTGAGCCGAGATCGCACCACTGCACTCCAGCCTGGGTTATAGAGCAAGACCCTGTCTTTAAAAAAAAAAAAGAGAGAAAAATGGCTCCCATAGACTTGCTTGACACAGGGTTGCCACAAACTTCAATCTGTAAAAATTTTATTATCTGGTAATCTAGCACTTTGGGAGGCCGAGGTGGGTGCATCAGCTGAGGTCAGGAGTTCGAGACCAGCCTGGCCAACATGGTGAAACCCTGTCTCTACTAGAAATACAAAAAAAAAAAAAAATTAGCTGGACGTGGTGGTGTGTGCCTGTAGTCCCAGCTACTTGGTAGGCTGAGTCAGGAAAATCACTTGAACCTGGGAGGCAGAGGTTGGAGTGAACTGAGATCGTGCCACTGCACTCCAACCTGGGCAACAAAGGGAGACTCCATCTCAAAAAAAAAAAAAAAAAAAGCATTATCTGCAAAGCAACATAAAGCAAAGTGCAATAAAATGAAGTATGCCTGCCTTTCTTCCTTTTTCTTCCTTCCTTCCTCCCTCCCTCCCTCCCTTCTTCCCTTCCTCCCTTCCTTTCTTTTCTTTCTTTCTTTCTTTTCTTTCTTTCTTTCTTTTCTTTCTTTCTTGTCTCACCCAGGCTGGAGTGCACTGGCACTATCTCAGCTCACTGCAACCTTTGCTTTCCAGTTTCAAGTGATTCTCGTGGCTCGTTCTCTCAAGTTTCTGGGATTACAGGCATGCACCACCACACCCGGCTAATTTTTGCTTTTTTAGTAGAGACAGGGTTTCGCCATGTTGGCCAGACTGGTCTCCATCTCCTGACCTCAAGTGATCCGCCTGCCTTGGCCTCCCAAAGTGCTGGGATTACAGATGTGAGCCACCATGCCCAGCCTACATTTATTTTAATGCTCAGTTTGTCTCATATTTGGCCAGAGAGAGCTCCTTGCAGCTGCCTCCTGTGTTCTTTTGGCATGTCCCCAACACTTTTGGAGACTCCCTTACTTTTGTGCTATAACCACGCCCCGTGTTCATCTTGTGCTTTCTTAGCACTGTACTTGGCCATTTCTCCAAGGAGCCCTTATACCTTTAGTGGAGAATGGTATTTATTTATTTTTAAAAATCAGTCAGGCCAGGCACGGTGGCTCACGCCTGTAATCCCAGCACTTTGGGAGGCCAAGGAGGGCGAATCACGAGGTCAGCCTGGCCAACACGGTGAAACCCCGTCTCTACTAAAATTACAAAAATTAGCCGAGCATGGTGGCGGGCACCTGTAATCCCAACTACTCAGGAGGCTGAGGCAGGAGAATGGCTTGAACCCGGGAGGCGGAGGTTGCAGTGAGCCAAGATGGTGCCACTGCATTCCAGCGTGGGTGACAGAGCAAGACTCCGTCTAGAAAAAAAAATAAAATAAATCGGTCAGATTTAGCAGTGCTGGATTGTATGCCAACTTTTTAGTGACACTAATATTAATAAGTATTGATAACCCATTAGCATCAGACCAGCTGAGAATGGTATTTAGAAACCAAGATTTGGGCTCAGGGTGGACATGCTCAGTTACCACACGTCACTACCTGTGAGTTACCTTGATTTAATGTCCTTTTGTAAGCAGCTGAGTATGTTGTGGGATAAAGACCGAGAAATAGGCCAGGCGTGGTGGCTCATGCCTATAATTCCAGCACTTTGGGAGGCCGAGGCAGGCAGATCACGAGGTCAGGAGTTCGAGACCAGCCTGACAAACATGGTGAAACCCCGTCTCTACTAAAAATACAAAAATTAGCCAGGCCTGGTGGCACACATCTGTAATCCCAGCTACTTGGGAGGCTGAGGCAGGAGAATCGCTTGAACCTGGGAGGCGGAGGTTGCAGTGAGCTGAGATCACGCCACTGCACTCCAGCCTGAGCAACAGAGTGAGACTCCATCTCAAAAAAATAAAAATAAAAAAAGACCGAGAAATAAAATTACTGGGTCAGAGGTTATTTTGATAGATGTTGTATTATCAGAGTATTTTATGTGGTGAGATTATTTATTCTGAGGATGTTGCTTTGTTGCTTAACGGTCATAACCATGGTTTCCCCGGCAGTCATCTTTGTGTGTCATAGGAAAAGAGTGCATTACTTCTAGACATAGTGGTATGTTTACATTGCAACTTTCACAGTTATCATCACATTGCTTTCTGTGACTCTCTTTAATAGGCTTAGCCAAGAAAATTCTGAAAAAATTATTTCTTGTATATGTAATAAATTGCACCTCCCAAATTAAATATGCCTCACATCTGTGTGTCAGTTATCCAATGTGTGCCAGTGGTTCGTTGGTTGGTAAAGAAGATTAAGATCTTAGAATGGTTATGACAGAATAAATATTCAACCTTGGACTCTTTGCATTTTTTAGGAAGATGAACTATTTTATTTTCCTCAAATCTATTCTTGTTTTTTCAGATAGAGTCTTGCTGTCACCCAGACTAGAGTGCAGTGGTGCGATCCCAGCTCACTGCCACCTCCGCCTCCCAGGTTCAAGCGATTCTCCTGCCTCAGCCTCCCGAGTAGCTGGGATTACAGGTGCTTGACACCACCCCCAGCTAATTTTTTTGTATTTTTAGTAGAGATGGGGTTTCACCATCTTGGCCAGGCTGGTCTCTAACTCCTGACCTCGTGATCCACCCACCTTGGCCTCTAAAAGTGCTGGAATTACAGGCATGAGCCACCGCACCTGGCCAAACCCATTCTTTAGAGCACTACTTCTTGCCCATGGGTGAGTTTTGCCTCACAGTGAATATTTGGCAATGTCTGGAGATGTTTGTGGTTGTCACAACCATGGGAGCTGGGGTGCTGCTGGCATCTTGTAGGTAAAGGCCAGGATGCTGCTTAGCATCCTGCAGTGTGATAATCACCCAGTCCAAAATGTCAGTAGTGCTAAGGCTGAGAAGCTCATTTTAGAGTAATTTGTTAAAAGAGAAGTTGTATGAATGAAGGAGTGAAACCTTAAATCTTTTCCATCTTATAGGTAGACTTGATACAGATGATGGGCAAGGGCATCTAACAAACTTGAAAAGATTATATGTTGGGGGTTCTGCTGAAGAAGACTACATTTGCCACAGGGGTGAAAAGTAAGAGTTTGGATCACAAAAGTGAGAGGAGGTCACTTTTTCTGGCTCGCTTTTCCTGGCTTCTTAATTTCACGAGTGAAGATGTGGTTTTCACCACTGAAGTGAAAACAGACATTGGCACCTCTTGAGCATGTTAAATGTAAATTTTGATTTGTTTGCATGCAGATAGGGGTTATGAGCTTGAAATCAGTTCATTTCTGTTCTACAGAAGACCTCATTTTATTTACTCATCTAATTTATTTATTTATTTTTCTGAGATGGAGTCTCGTTCTGTCACCCAGGCTAGAGTGCAGTGGGCGATCTCAGCCCACTGCATCCTCCACCTCCCGGGTTCAAGCAATTCTCCTGCCTCAGCCTCCCAAGTAGCTGGGATTATGGGCATGAGCCACCATGCCTGACTGTTGATTTTTTTTTTTCTTTCTTTTCTTTGAGACAGTCTTGCTCTGTCGGCCAGGCTGGAGTGCAGTGGCATGATGTCGGTTCACTGCAACCTCCACCTCCCGGGCCCAAGCAATTCTCCTGCCTCAGCCTCCCAAGTAGCTGAGATTACAGGCATGTACCACCACGCCTGGCTAATTTTTATATTTTTAGTAGAGAAGGGGTTTTGCCATGTTGGCCAGGCTGGTCTTCAACTCCTGACCTCAGGTGATCTGCCAAAGTGCTGGGATCACAGGCGTGAGCCATCATGCCCAGCCACTCATCTCTTTTTAATGTCAGTTTGTTGATATGGTTTGACATTTCATTGAACTAGAAATAGACAAAGGTCAAAATGGGTAAGGAATGAATTTTCTCATAGTTCTTTTTTGCTGTTTACTTTAGCAGAGGAAGGTTTGGTTAATTGGCTCCCAGGAAAGAGTAAATGTGTGCACATGTGTGCAGGTGCTTGTACTTGTGATGGAAGCGTGCGTAAGGTAAGGAGGGTTGTCAGTGCAGCTTTATTTTACTTGGAAAAGGCTACCTTTAAAAGCAAAAGACAACTTCCTACATCCTTCATAAGAGCATTGGAAATCGTTTGATGAATTGGAAACATTTTCACTGCAGCTGATGTAGTTTTCACAGTGATTTCTGGCCGCAAGTAATGTTGCACAATTCATTTTATTCATGGATTAGATTTTGTTTGATAAAATGGAAAGAGAGAGCAGAATCTAAACTTAGGGTAGTTTTAGCACTCTATTCTTGACCTTGTATGAAAACTGGAATTTTTAGTGTTTTATTTTTTGGGTAAGCTATTCAAAAACTGTTGGCCTGTGAGGTACTAGTCATTTTTTTCTACCCTGTAATAATAAAGTCTGTCTCTGTTTTGTGGCAGCCACCAGATTATGTGTTCACTTTTATTCAGAACCTAAAGGCAGTATCAGCAGGGAATGAGTATATTGGGCAGAAAGGCTTTCATTTTAGCCTTTTTTAGCCTCCCTCCTAGCAGAGCCTAGGTTTTTCATGCGAAACTAACAGTAGTTCTTTGTGGGAGGTAGGGTTGCAAAAAAGTAAACAAATATACTGTGATGTTTTCCGCATCAAACTAGAGCTGAATTTCCATTGATATTTGATGAGAGGTATTGGCTTGCAATCTTTCTTTTTTTTTTTCTTTTTTTTTTTTTTTTTAGACGGAGTCTCACTCTGTTGCCCAGGCTGGTGTGCAGTGGTGCGATCTCAATTCACTGCAACCTTTGCCTCCTGGGTTCAAGCAAGTCTTGTTTCAGTCTCCTGAGTAGCTAGGATTACAGGCGTGTGCCACCATGCCTGGCTAATTTTTATATTTTTAGTAGAGACAGAGTTTCACCATGTTGGCCAGGCTGGTCTTGAACTCCTGACCTCAGGTGATCCGCCTGCCTTGGCCTCTCAAAGGTGGCCTGGCCAACGTGGTGAAACCCCACCTCTGCTAAAAATACAAAAAATTAGCCAGATGTGGTGGCACGTGCCTGTAATCCCAGCTACTTAGGAGGCTGAAGCAGGAGAATCGCTTGAGCCCAGGAGGCAGAGGTTGCAGTGAGCCGAGATCGTGCCACTGCACTCCAGCCTGGGAGACAGAGTGAGACTCTGTCTCAAGAAAAAAAAAAAAAAAAAAAAAAAAAAAAAGCGGATAGGTCAACATAACTGCGTGTTTACATGGTTTAATTTAAAAACAGAATCTCAGGAAGCTGCTCCTAATGTTGGTGGTTTGAAACCCCCCTCCCCCCATTTTAAGTGATTTTATATGCAAAGCCTTCTTGTCTTGCCCAAATTCAAGAAGTTGTCTTTGTTTCTAGGATGTGAAATCAGGAAATATATGTTTGTTGAAATGTATAAAGTAGTGGTGAATTTCAGCTCAACTGATTTGCCAGTATACAGAGAAAAACACCTGTTCTTTGAGATACACAGTGCCTGTTGGGAATCTGCAAAAATTGTTTGTTGGTAGTCACTAAACTCTTGTTACCCTGAATTTTATTCTCTTTCGCTTCCCCCACTACTAGCCTAATAAATATTTCAGAATAATAACAAAGTTTAAAGAAAGAATACTTAGCCTGTTCTTCTGAAGTAGTCTTTGTTTTTCTTCTCTGTTTACTAACCTCCTTTTGAGGATAAAATCTTATTTCCTTTCTTTATCCTGTAGTTTCCTTTGTACACTCATAGCCTTTCTTCAGATGCAGATTTTGCAGTCAGATAAAAGTCTCTACTTTAAGCACCAATTAAATCAGGAAAAGATGATGGGCCTGGAGTTATTGTCTTCAAGTTCCTGATTTTGAGGAAACTCTGATTATGTCAGTAGTGCAGTTATCTGATAGTAAGGTTACACTGTCCAAATAAGGTGACTTTGGAAGAAAATAACATAAAGCCATCTCATGATCTGGCAGCCTTTCGCTGTTTCGCTTTCTGCAGAGCGGCATTCCTTCTGCATGTCTCTGTCAGTCTCTGTGAGAGTGGGGTTTCTATCCACACAGCACTGCGGTGCAGCTTCTCCGTGTTGGCAGAATCTTCCATGCTCTGCTGGTTCGTTGTCTTTCCAGCTGTGCTGTGCAGTGCAATGTGCTGGCTGCTGAGCTCATGAGACACGGCCCGTCTCAACTGAGAAGTGCTGTGCGTATAAAACACACACCAAGTAGAGAAGACTTGATAGGAAAAAAGTGTAAGGCTGGGTGCGGTGGCTCATGCCTATAATCCTAGCACTTTGGGAGGCTGAGGTAGGAGGATTGTTTGCTTCCAGTTTGAAATGAGCCGGGGCAACATAGCAAGATCCCCTCTGAGAAAAAAAAGTGTAAAACATCTCATTAATTTTTATATCAGGTTGGGCGTGGTGGCTCAAGCTTGTAATCCCAGCACTTTGGGAGGCTGAGGCGGGTGGATCACCTGAGGTCAGGAGTTCGAGACCAGCCTGACCAACGTGGAGAAACCCCATCTCTACTAAAAATACAAAACTCAGCTGGGTGTGGTGGCGCATGCCTATAATCCCAGCTACTCGGGAGGCTGAGGCAGAATTGCTTGAACCTGGGAGGCGGAGGTTGCAGTGAGCCAAGATCGCGTCATTGCACTCCAGCCTGGGCAACAAGAGCAAAACTCCGTCTCAAAAAATACATACATACATACATACATACATACATTTTTATATCAGTTACATGTTGAAATTATAATATTTTGGGAATTGCATAAAATAAAATGTATTAATTTCATCTGTTTTTAATGTGGCTACTAGAAAATTCAAAGTAACATGTATGGCATGCCTTCTATTTCTTTTGGCCAATGCTGCTGTTTCTGAGAGATTGCAGGTTCATTGAGGGGGAATTTGCATGGTTTGTTTGTTTTTTGTCTGTATAGTGGTTTTGCCACCATTTCCAGGGAATTAGGTTGTGATTACATTTCTCTAGTGATACATGAATGACTGAGATCTTGTAATTTGTTTTGTTTTGCTAGTGATGATGGCCAAAGAGAAGCCACCGATAACTGTAGTTGGAGATGTTGGAGGCCGCATCGCAATCATCGTGGTATGGTTATATGTCATCCATGTGCAGAGGTGGCACTCCTGGCTCTTGGTCAGTAGGTTGTCCACTCTGGGACTGTATTTCTAGGAACGATGATCCGAATGGATCCATGTATCCTTTCTCACCCAAACTCCCTTGTGCCAAGTGGCAGAAACCTGTATCCAGGTGAACATACATTAAAGTATAACCTACAGATAGGAAATGAGCACAGTACTCCCGTGAGAAAATTCAGCACCTTCACCTTCATCATGTGGATTCTAGGTTCTTTAAACCAGCTCACCTAATCATGCTTGAGCGTTAGGGCCGAAAGATGAACTGAAGATGAGCTGTTCCGTTTTCACAAGTAAGAATGGGTGTCCCCGTGCAGACTCGTTCTGCATGTTGACATACTTTTTTTCCCAGCTCTAAATATCTGCTGGCTAGTGGGTCATGAGTCCTTTGCAGTAGCACACTTTATTTCAGTTTTCTTCTCATGTCACAGTCTATTTGAAAAAAAAATAAATGGAACGCTGGCTATGTGGGATTCACCAGAAACGTGAGACAGGAAAATGAGTGTTGGCAATCCTCAGCTCCAGCCGTAATGTCACAGGTGCTTGACTGCGCCCGCCTCTGACAGACACACAAGGTACTGTCAGGTGCTTCTGTTGCCATTTCTGGATGCTCGTTCTTTGACCCAGGCACACAGCTCTGATTTTCCATCAGAAATCCTCTGAAACTGAGTGCAGAAGAGAGTAGAGTGGTGTGTGCATTGACAGTATGGGCTAGAGGGTGTTTCTTTCCTACCAACTCACTCTGTTCTCCTCCCAGGATGACATTATTGACGATGTGGAGAGTTTTGTTGCTGCCGCGGAGATCCTGAAAGAGAGAGGCGCCTATAAGATCTATGTTATGGCCACCCACGGCATCCTGTCTGCAGAGGCCCCTCGCCTGATTGAGGAGTCCTCCGTAGACGAGGTCAGGCTGCTTCTAAATCTTGAGCCAAGATTTACTGCTGTGTTTTCTGGGAATAATAAAATGATTCAGTCAATACTAAATTGCTTAATCTGTCTATAGCTTTTCTAGCTTTTGCTGGCTAGCAGTTCGTTGGGACAGATACATGTTTAGGAATACAGATAGTCCACGACTTACCATGGTTCAACTTAGAAGTTTTTGACTTTATGATGATGCAAAACCATTGCAATTACGATGTAATGTATAGTATTCGATAAATTACTTGAGACACTTTATTTTAAAATAATCGCTTTTATTATAAAATGAAAGCCTTTGCCCTAGATGATTTTGCCACCTGCAGTCTAATGTAACTGTTCTGGGCATGTTTAAGGTAGGGCTAGGCCAAGTTAATGATGTTTAGTAGGTTAGGCGTATTAAATGCTTTTTTTTTTTTTTGAGATGGAATCTTGCTCTGTTGCCTAGGCTGGGAGTGCAGTGTGGCAATCTCGGCTCACTGCAACCTCTGCCTCCCGGGTTCAAACGATTCTCCTGTCTCAGTCTCCCAAGTAACTGGGATTACACGCGCCGGCCACCAGGCCTAATTTTTGTGTTTTTCTTAGAAACGGGGTTTCACCATGTTGGCCAGGCTGGTCTCAAACTCCTGACCTCAGGTGATCCACCTGCCTCGGCCTCCCAAAGTGCTAGGATTACAAGCATGAGCCACTGTGCCCGGCCTAAATGCATTTTCTACTTAAAATATTTTCAACTTATAATGATGCGTTTATCCAGACATAACCCTGTCATAAGTTGAGAGTTATGTTGAGGGTCTGTATATGTCTATTTGCATAACGGTTTGCTTGGGTACTTTAATTTGACACCCTAGGAGCATTTCTCTTGAGGCTGGAATTCTTCCCTTATGATCTGAGAGTTTTGCATAGCACTGGGGCTCACTGTGTTTCTGCATGGAGACCATGCCATTCCTAAGATTTTTGTCTTGTGTTCTGAGGCCATGTAACTTTTCCTTTGCATAAAATTAGTTAATTTTGGTTTATAAAAACTATACTCGGTGGAACAAGGTTTTGTAGTTTGGAACTTAGGCTGTGGGAACTCAATGTTAGATAAGCTTTTCTGTGTAACCAGCTTGGAGAACAGACTTCAGTAACAGCGTTTGTTTTCCATCACTGTGTGACTAGGTGGTGGTGACGAATACTGTCCCTCATGAGGTTCAGAAGCTGCAATGTCCCAAGATAAAGACTGTGGATATCAGTTTGATTCTTTCTGAAGCCATTCGGAGAATCCACAATGGAGAGTCCATGGCCTACCTTTTCCGAAACATCACTGTGGATGACTAGCTTTCACGAGGGTCTCGACCCTGGACCTCCTGAGGGAAACATGGAAAAAGCAGTGCCATGAGTGATACAGTGTTTCCTTGCAAGGGAGGACTCGAAACAGCCTGGAGTTAGATATCTTCTTTTGCCCGGATTGATGGGGAGGAGGGATTAAAAGAGTCAGGAAGAAGACAGAGCTAATGGATAAATATCATAACATGGCCTTACATGTCTGCTGTCATCAGCCCTGTTCCTTAAAAGTTCTAGCTGCTTTCTTAAAAATAATCTGAAAATCTTATTGATACTAAAGAGGAGTTAAAGGCACATAAAGTCTTAACTCTATAATGTTCATTTAGTTGTTTCAGCTCCAGGGAAATGGAGGTATTGATGTTGAACCTGGTTAGGGAAGCTGAGCGCCTGTGGCCCTATTACTATCCAGTTGGCCTCTCCCAAATCAACTTCAAGTCTTTTATAGAGAATCGTATTTTTCTTTCAGAAATTGTTATGCCTACAGCCATTGAAAAATGAAGCATTCATGTTGTTACATCTTCCAAGGATGTCAGATTAGAAAATAGCATCCCACCTCTGGGTATCTGAGTGGCTCTGAAGTTGCAAATAAAATAATTTGTTGTCTTGCTAGTCTTTTCATTAGACAGCAGAAGACCATGGATACAGAACAGCAGTCAGGTCTGTGGCTGGACACAAACACTTTCCCAGGTTCCACCCTCTTCCTAAGTGTTGAAGCTAAATCCTTGTTGAATACTGTATTTTAAATCTTTAAAAAAAAAAAAAAAAAGTCTAGGTGTGGTGGCTCACACCTATAATCTGAGTACTTTGGGAGGCTGAGGCAAGGAGGATTGCTTGAGCCCAGGAGTTTCAGACCAGCCTGGGAAACATGGCGAAACCCCCATGTCTACAAAAAATACAAAAATTAGCCAGGCATTGGTAGCATGTGCCTGTAGTTCCAGCTACCTTGGGAGGCTGAGGTGGGAGGATTGCCTGAGCCAAGGAGGTTGAAGCTGCAGTGAACTATGATTGTACCACTGCCATCCATCCTGGGTGACAGAGCAACACCCTGTCTCAAAAAAAAAAAACAGGCCAGGGATCGTGTCTTATGCCTGTAATCCCTGCACTTTGGGAGGCCGAGGCAGGTAGATCACCTGAGGTCAGGAGTTTGAGACCAGCCTGGCCAACATGGCAAAACCCCGTCTCTACTAAAAATACAAAAATTAGCCTAGCTAAGTTAAAAGCATAAAAAGACTACAAAGAGGCCAGGCATCATGGCTCACGCCTGTAATCCCAGCACTTTGGGAGGCCGAGGTGGGCAGATCACTTGAGGTCAGGAGTTTGAGACCAGCCTGGCCAATATGGTGAAACCCTGTCCCTACTAAAAATACAAAAATTAGCCGGGTGTTGGGGGAGGGGGTGCACGCCTGTAATCCCAGCTACTCGGGAGGCTGAGGCAGGAGAATTAATTGGTTGAACCCAAGAGGCAGAGATTGCAGTGAGCTGAGATTGTGCCACTGCACTCCAGCCCAAGTGACAGAGCAAGATTCCATCTCAAAAAAAAAAAAAGACTGCAAAGAACTAGTTATTTTGATAACCCCTTAAAGGCCTACTGTGTCCCAAGTTATTGGAATATAATGATGATCGAAAATCCTTCAATTAAATAAACAGTACCTCTCAGGCTGAAGTGAAAAATCTGAACTTGAACAGTAGTTAAAATAGTACAGTTATTCCTTACAATCCATGGGTGATTGGTTCCAGGACTCAACCTCCTGCCCATGGATGTGCAAGTCCCTGATAGAAAATGGTGTAGTATCTGCATATAAGCTATGCACATCCTGGATGACTTGTAATACCTACTGCAATATCCTGTGTAGATGGTGGTCATGCTGTATTATTTAGAGAATCATGACAGGAATCTGTACGTGTTCAGTCGTGGTTGGTTAAATCTGCAGATGCAGAGCTCACGGAGGAGGCTGGCCATGCATGGCACACATTCATAGGTTCTCTTTAAGTAGCCTTGCTGTGCTTCTGTTAGGAAGTTTTATTTATACGTTTTTGGGAAGAATCTTGTATGGGGAAGTCATGTCTCAATTGTTAACACCAGATTTGTCTCGTGCTGTTTAATCCTGCTTTGTAATGAGCTCAAGCACAGGCGCTTGACCAGGTGAGTGGTTTCTTTTCTTTTCTTTTTTTTTTTTTTTGAGACAGAGTCTTGCACTGTCGCCCAGGCTGGGGTGCAGTGGTGCGATCTTGGCTCACTGCAACCTCTGCCTCCCGGGTTGACGCGATTCTCCTGCCTCAGCCTCCCGAGTAGCTGGGATTACAGATGCGCGGTACCATGCCCGGCTAATTTTTTGTATTTTTAGCAGAGGGGTTTCACTATGTTGGCTAGGCTGGCCTTGAACCCCTTACCTCAGGTGATCCACCCGCCTCGGCCTCCCAAAGTGCTGGGATTACAGGTGTGAGCCACCAAGCCTGGCCGTTTTTTTGAGATCAATTAATTTATGGCAGGCTGGGCGCGGTGGCTTACACCTGTAATCCCAGCACTTTGGGAGGCCGAGGTGGGTCGATCACTTGAGGTCGGGAGTTCAAGACCAGCCTGGCCAACATAGTGAAACCCCGTCTCTGCTAAAAATACAAAAAATTAGCCGGGCATGGTACCACGCATCTGTAATCCCAGCTACTCGGGAGGCTGAGGCAGGAGAATCATGTCAACCCGGGAGGCAGAGGTTGCAGTGAGCCGAGATCGTGCCATTGCACTACAGCCTGGGCGACAGAGCAAGACTCCCTCTCAAAAGTAAAAAAAAAATTATGGCAGCACAGAAAAGGGACAATTAGCCACCAGTTAGTCATCTAGTGGCTAATTGGAACTGCCTGAATAGTGAGTGGGTTGTCTTTTCCAAGTTGCTTCACCTTTGATTGAACAAAATATGTGGACTGTCTGAGGGGACCAGGGCCCCAGGACTGCATCCCTTAGACATGGGGCCATAGACATGGGGCCACCACTCTGGAATGGACGCAGCTGATGACACAAAGCATGGTTGCCAGGAAACCCTCAAGTCTTTCCTTATGTGGCCCCGCCAAGAGTGAGTGAATCCTGGCCTTTCTAGGTTAAGGGGATGGATGGAGTCTAGCTGGATCTTAGGAGGCCTCCTCAGCCCGTTGCCAAGGCTCCCCTTGTGATCCTTGTGGTGGCCTTTACTTCCCCCCGCCCCCGTGGCTCGCAGGGAGGCGTGTTGTTACGTGGAATCTTCAGGGCACGCGGGGGCCCCCACGTTTCAAACGTCCGCCGGCGCGGGGACTGGGAGTCCAGGGCTCCAGCTCGGGGACCCGAGGCCAGCGACAGACAGCGGAGGGGTGGCCATCGCGGACCCCGCCGGGGAGCGGAGGCGCAGATTCCCTGGAGGCAGGAGCTCTGTCCAGTGACTCGGCCGGACCCGGGGCAGGGGCGCCCCGAGGACCTCGCAGGGCCCCCGAAAGGCCCCAAGGCGCGGCGTGCAGTGAGCGGGAAGTGGTTGGCCGGCGCCCCGCGGCGGCGCACAGCTCCTGACAGCCACGATGCCGCCCGCGACCACGGTCTCCCTCCGGGAGCTGGCGGACCTCTCCATCGGCACGCCAGAGGTGGGCGCCGTCAACTTCACGGCCCTGCACACGCTCATCGTGGCCATGCTCAAGAACCTCGACCTCCAAAATACCCGGATCGACTTCCAGCCCTCGTCGCCCGAGCCCAGCCGCTCGCTGCAGTCCGTCCGGAGCTCGTTCAGCATCCCGCACCTGCCCGCGCCCAAGGAGGTGCCCAAGGGGGCGCCCCGGGAGAAGCGCAGGGGCGTGGGCCAGGCGCCTTCGTCAGCGCTGGAGAGCCAAGTGAAGGACCTGGGCGGCCAGGTGGAGGACCTGAGCAAGCAGCTCAAGCGTGTGGACGGCCAGGTGCAGGGCATCGCCACGCACGTGCAGCACTTCTCCCAGGCCAGCGGGCTTGACCTGGCCGCGCTAGAGTGGCCGGAGGAGCAGGAGGTGGGCGTGCGGGCGTTCGATAGGGTGCGGACTGGGAGTATCATGAAGGACGCCGCCGAGGAGCTCAGCTTTGCCAGGGTGAGCACGCACACGGAGGCACGCGCAGGCCGTCTGCCTCCTCCAGGCCGCCCTCCAGGCCTAGCCGAGTCCCCACCACCCTGGAGGGGTGAGCGGTGGTGGGGACGGAGGGGATGGGGACCGAGGAGGTGCCAGACCTCAGTGCGACTGGCTAAATAGAGTGGCCCATGCTCTACCTTGCAGTCCACGGGGCTGCAAGACGTGAAAATCCTAAAAGAACGCCACCAAAAGGCCTAGGGCCTCCCCGAGCTGGAGGGGCCTGGGGACCCCACCTCCTAAGTGTAGTGGCCCCATCCCACCCCCTCCTTCCTAGCCCCTGTTTACGGGAGAGGTTCGCCCACCACTTATCAGACATCCAAGGACCCAGAGCTGGCTCAGAGTGGGGCCGGCAACTTCTCAGAAGATTCTTAGAGTGAATTCCCTTTTTAAAATGAATAAGGACATGAAGAGATACGTGTTGAGGACAAAGGCTCCCAGAGAAGGGGAGTCAGGATGGAGAGTTGGACCTCAGCTTCCTATGGCCATGACACAAGCCACAGCAGGCAGGGGACCGTTTCACTTGGACTTTTTTTTTTTTTGAGAAGGAGTCTCACTCTATCACCCAGGCTGAAATGCAGTGGTGCAGTCTCGGCTCACTGCAACTTCCGCCTCCCAGACTCAAGCGATTCTCCTGCCTCAGCCTCCCGAGTAGCTGGGATTATAGGCGCGCGCCACCCCGCCTGGCTAATATTTGTGTTTTTAGTAGAGAAGGAGTTTCACCATGTTGGCGGGGCTGGTCTCAAACTCCTGACCTCAAGTGATCTGCCCGCCTCGGCCTCCCAAAGTGCTGGGCATTACAGGCGTGAGCCACTGAGCCCTGCCTTCAACTGGACTTTTGTTTTCTTGGAGGGACAAATGCATGTAATCATTGAGTATAAGTATTGTCCAGTGAACAGCAGGAAGCAACGCAGGTCAGCGCCAGGAGGTAATAGACACGTGCATGTCTCAGAGCCACCTTAGGTTGGTTCTGAAAGAAAAAGCAGAAGCAACTAGGAAGGCAGCTGGGTGGGGAGGCCAAGAGGAGAGACAGGAGGGGAAAAAGAGGCCGGGAAGAGGCAGGAAGAAGAGGCCAAGCCCCAGCAGGGGAGCCCTGGCCGCTCATGCCCTCCTGCCATATCACCCCAGGTCTCGAGACCGCAGCACCAACTCACTTTTGCTCTGGGAAGCATGTCTGCTTTCCTTTTCAAACTTTAAAGTGTGGTGGGGGTTTTTTTTGTTTTAATTTTTTTGGGTTTTTTTTTTTTTTTTTTTTTTTTTGAGACACATTCTCACTCTGTCACCCAGGCTGGAGTGCAGTGGTGCATTGTCGGCTCACTGCAACTCCATCTCCTGGGTTCAAGGAATTCTCCTGCCTCGGCTTCCCGAGTAGCTAGGATTATAGGTGCACACCACCATGCCCAGCTAACTTTTGTACTTTTAGTAGAGATGGGGTTTTGCCGTGTTGGCCAGGCTGGTCTCGAACTCCTGACCTAAAGTGATCCTCCTGCCTCGGCTTCCCAAAGTGTTGGGATTACAGGCAAGAGCCACTGCGCCTGGCCTTTTGTTTTAATTTTTACGTAATCTTAGATTCTAGAAGTTTGCAAAAGTTATAAAAAGTAACTTGTTTTATTTTTGTTTATTAATATATTTTTTCTTAATCCCAAATATGATAGCACCTTATGTTGTAGCGATTTGCTTTGGTTCTTTTGAGGTGCTTTTCTCTTTAGATAGCACAGATGTTCAGCTACTGTTGAGGTACCTGGCACCCTTCCTTCCTTGTAAGGCAAGGTGGGCCTCATCCTACAGGCTTTCACAAGTGGGTTGGAGCAAACTGAATCCCAGGACCAAAGGGTCCCATCCCTGCAGCAGCACTTACTCCTGCCATGCTACCAGCCAGGTCCCCCACTGCATCTCACTTCCCTTCCTGCACTTGGCTGGGAAAAGACCCAGGAGCCTGGGCTGACTGGCCAGGTAAAAACCAGGTAGAAAGCAGGGGCTCCTGCCTGTAATCTCAGCACTGTGGGAGGCCGAGGCTGGAGGATTGCTCGGACCCAGGAGTTCAAGACCAGCCTGGGCAACATTGCAAGATCTTATCTCTACAAAAAAATGTTTAAAATTAGCTGGATGTGGTGGTGCATGCCTGAAGTCCCAGCTACTCAGGAGGCTGAGGTGGGAGGATCGCTTGAGCCTGAGAGGTTGAGGCTGCAGTGAGCTGTGGTGGCATCACTGCACTGCAGCTTGGGTGACAGAGCAAGACCCTGTCTCAAAAAAAAAAAAAAAAGGAAACCAAAAAAACCCAAGTAGAAGAAGAAACCCTCCCTTTCCATAAGAGCCACACAAATTCCCCCTTTCCTCGTCTCCTGGCACTGAGTCAGTGTGTGAATGTGCGTGTATGCATGTGTGTGTCTGAGTGTGAGAGTGTGTGTGCGCATCTGTGTGTGTGTGCATGTGAGTGTGCGTGTGTAGGGGCCACTGTCATTCTCCTTTCCTGAACTCTTCTTCCAGGTACTTTTACAGCGGGTTGATGAACTAGAGAAGCTATTCAAAGATCGGGAGCAATTCCTGGTAATACCAGCCAGTTCCATGGGAAAGGGCTCTCCAGGGGGCTGGCCGTCTCTCAGTGTGGCCCTCTCTCCAGGGCTTGTCCATCCAGGGCAGGCAGTGTGTGCCCTCTGCCTCTCAAGTCTCTGCCCCAGGGTTGGAGGGAAATCTGCCCCAGCCCTGCCCAGCGCTCTGCTGGGTGCTCACATGGGACAGATAACTGGCTGCCCAACCTTCACTGGTCACTTGAAGGGTGATGAATTCTCCCTGGGGCTGGGGCTGTGAAGGACCCACCCAGATCCTGTTAGACCAAGTCTGTTCCTAAAGCTGCTTGGGATTAATCAAGGGGTGTATGTGTGTGTCTTTTCTGTCACTGTCAGGAACTAGTCAGCCGGAAGCTGAGTTTGGTTCCTGGTGCAGAAGAAGTCACCATGGTCACCTGGGAAGAGCTGGAGCAGGCGATTACGGACGGCTGGAGAGCCTCACAAGCGGTGAACCAGTGGGGGCCTGGGCCGTGGTCTTGGGTGGGGCTCCCCAGAACTTCTCGCTTTGTACAGCTGCACAGGATTCTGTTCTATGGATATTCATAGTTCGCAAGTTTCATTGATATGGGTGTTTTAAATGCTTTTTCCAATCTTAAGAACAAGGTGTCATTCACGTGTGAATAACATGCATCCCTAGAAAGGGATGTGTGTTAGTGATTTGGCTAGCCATTGATAAATTGCCTTCCATGGCTGCTGTTCCAGTGTAGACCCCCACCATCAATGGGAGAGAGAGCTTGTTCCCTGACATCCCCCCAGCGCTGTATGGTTGGTACCCAATTTTTTTAGCTTTGCCAACCCACTGGATCAATAGAAAAATCGTACCTGAGTGTAGTTTTTATTTGCTTTTATACCTTCTCAAACTTTCTTTACAGTCTGTCCTGAAATGCAGGGATCTTTCCTTATTAGTGGACCATGGTGACAGACCCTGGAAGTAAAACCTCTGTAGGGGGCCCTTTGCTGGTGGCGACTTTTTTTTTTTTTTTTTTTTTGAGACAGAGTTTTGCTCTATTACCCAGGCTGGAGTGCAGTGGCGCGATCTCGGCTCACTGCAAGCTCCGCCTCCCGGGTTCACGCCATTCTCCTGTCTCAGCCTCCAGAGTAGCTGGGACTACAGGCGCCCACCACCACGCCTGGCTAATTTCTTTTTGTATTTTTAGTAGAGACGGGGTTTCACGGTGTTGCCCAGGAAAGTCTCGATCTCCTCACCTCGTGATCCGCCCGCCTCGGCCTCCCAAAGTGCTGGGATTACAGGCGTGAGCCACCGCGCCCGGCCGCTGGTGGCGACTTTTGCACACAGGCATGCATCTGTCTGTCTTGAGACAGTGTACAGATGACCAAATTGTTTTCCGATCCCCGACCTACTTTCATCTGATTAAAATCAAGCTGGATATATTCAAATGGCCCTCAAAGATGAGGCTTAACTTCCCTTTTGGTCTTGACATCCCTCCCGCTGGCTTTGGGCTAGTGGGTTATCAAAACAAGCAAGCCAACTTTGAGGGCCATTTGAAAATGTAGACGGAAGCAGGGTGAAGAGTAAAGCTTTTGGCGCCACCAAGTGGCCATCTTGGGGAGCGCCAAATATCTGGGTACAAAAAACAACCTGGGATCTCCAGGACCATTTTCTGATTTCAGGGCTCATTCTCAGAGGAAAGCGGCATCAGAAAGATGTTGCAAGAGGGGCCGGGCGCGGTGGCTCCAGCCTGTAATCCCAGCACTTTGAGAAGTCGAGGGGGGCGGATCACTTGCGTTCAGGAGTTCGAGCCCAGCCTGGACAACATGATGAAACCCTGTCCCTACCAAAAATACAAAAATTAGGTGGGTGTGGTGGTGCACACCTGTAATCGCAGTTACTCAGGAGACTGAGGCAGAAGAATCGCTTGAACTCGGGAGGCGGAGGTTGCAGTGAGCTGAGATCTCACCACTGCACTCTAGCCTGGGCCACAAGAGCAAGAACTCCATCTCAAAAAAAAAAACAAAAGTAGGTAAACTGGAAAGACTAACCAGTCAGTCATGCAGTGCCTCGGGAGGAAAAAGGGGACAGTATGCGCTTCTTGTGGCTGTTCCAACAAATGACCAGAGACCGATCTGTGTGGCTTAAAACCACACAGATCTGTTATCTTACAGTTCGGGAGGACACAAGGCCAGTACCAGTTTCACTGGGCAGAAGTCAAGGTGTTGGCAGGGCTGGTTTCCTCTGGCAGCTCTGGGGGGAGAATCCATTTCCTGGTCATTTTCAGCCTCTAAGTGTGGCTGGCAGCCCCTGGTTCTGGCCATATCAGCTTCAGCCTCCTTCTTGTAAAGACCTTTGTGACTTCATCACTGCATCCACCCGGATAATCCGGGATACTCCCTCCGTCTCAAGATCCTTAATTGTACCTGCAAAGTCCCTTTTACCACGTAAGGTAATGCTCCCAGGTTCAGGGGATGGGGACATGGATATCTTTGGGAGTTTATATTCAGCACACCATAGTGACTAAAACCAAAATAATGGTTTTTCAGAACAAACACCTTGAAGTCCTAGACAAATGGACATGACAGCTACAGAGGTGGGGGTGGGGTGGGGGGGAAACGGGGTCCTAGAAAGGTCGGTACAGTTTTCATTAAGGGCATCAGATGAGACTCCTGTCATTTCTGAGGATGACAGGAATTATAAATAATGAGTGCCGGCCGGCGCGGTGGCTCACAGCTGGAATCCCAGCACTTTGGGAGGCTGAGGTGGGGGATCACCTGAGGTCAGGAGTTGGAGACCAGCCTGGCCAACATGGTGAAACGCCATCTCTACTAAAAATACAAAAATTAGCCGGGTGTGGTGGCACATGCCTGTAATCCCAAGCACTTGGGAGGCTGAGGCAGGAAAATCATTTGAACCCGGGAAACGAAGTTGCAGTGAGCTAAGATCGTGCCACTGCACTCCAGCCTAGCTGACAGAGTGAGACTCTGTCTCACACACACACACACACACACACACACACACACACACACACACACAAAATTAGCCAGGTGTGGTGGCAGGAGCCTGTAATCCCAGCTACTTGGGAGGCTGAAGCAGGAGAATCTATAGAACCTGGGAGGCAGAGGTTGCAGTGAGCCGAGATTGCACCACTGCAGTCCAACCTGGGTGACAGAGTGAGACCCTGTCTCAAAAAAAAAAAAAAAAATTATAAAACACCACCAACTCTAAGATACATCCTGATTTCAGAGATGTTAAAATGTATGTGTGGGTGTCGGGGCAGGATGTCCATCTTAGAATCAGTGAATGTATTTTGAGTCCCAAATGGACTTCTTCATTTTTTTTGAGACAGAGTCTCTGTCGTCACCCAGGCTGGAGTGCAGTGGTGTGATCTCGGCTCACTGCAACCTTCCCCTCTGGGGCTCAAGCAATCCTCCTGCCTCAGCCTCCCCGGTAGTTGGGACCACAGGTGCGTACCACCATACCTAGCTAATTTTTGTATTTTTAGTAGAGACAAGGTGTTGTCATGTTGCCCAGGCTGGTCTCAAACTCCAGAGCTCAAGTGATCCACCCGCCTCGGCCTCCCAAAGGGCTGGGATTACAGGCATGAGCTACCGCCCTGGCCTATCATATATTTTGTTCAAGATTTTGGCTCATTTGTTGTAATGTTAGGGCATGTTAAAGAAAAAATATTTTTGAGACAGTCTTGCTCTGCTGCCCAGGCTGGAGTGCAGTGGTACCATAAGGGCTTACTGCAACCTCGACCTCCTGGACTCAAGTGATCCTCTCACCTCAGCCTCCTGAGTACCTGGGACTACAGGTGCATGCCACCACACCTGACTAATATTTTGCATTTTTGAGACAGAGTCTTGCTCTGTTGCCCAGGCTGGAGTGCAGTGGCATGATCTTGGCTCACTGCAACCTCCACCTCCCGAGCTCAAGTGATTCTCCTGCCTCAGCCTCCCGAGTAGCTGGGATTACAGGTGCCCACCACCACGCCCGGCTAATTTTTTTGTATTTTTAGTAAAGATGGGGTTTCACCGTGTTGGCCAGGCTGGTCTTAAACTCCTGACCTCGGGTGATCTGCCTGCCTTGGCCTCCCAAAGTGCTGGGATTACAGGCGTGAGCCACCATGCCTGGTCATATTTTGTATTTTGTAGAAAGGTTTTTGCCATGTTGCCCAGGCTGGTCTCAAACTCCTGGCCTCGAGCAGTCTGCCAGCCTTGGCCTCCCATAGTGCTGGGATTGAGCCACTGCACCCAGTCTCAATCCTGGCCCTCTACTCATGATGCAGGCACACCGCACAATTTCCATAAAGTCACCACTGTCTGCCAAAACCCATAATGGAGGTTAACACCCAGTTTCAAAATCTTTATTTTACGTTTATGCTAAAGGACTCTACCAACCATGCAGGCAGGTCAAATTGGTCTCAGGTCATATTTGTCTCAGGTGTGTTGTATGTGCTTACCTGGGGCTAGTGGCACTCCCCCACTGCTTTCATCCTGGTCTGTGCGAGGGCTGAAGTGGCCATTACCAGAGCTTGTTCTCTTGCTTCTCAACAATCTTTTAATATTTATATTTATCTTTATTTGCTTTTGGAGTTGTTCATAATTATGAGCAGTAATCAAACGCACATGCTTTCTTACCTCTGGAGAAGTAAAAATGTTTAAAGGTGTCTATGCTTATGTGTAAGTCTCATGGTGTCTGCCGCCATCACCCTGAGAAGATGTACTGCTCGGTAAAAACAGTACGATAGTGGCATGTGCAAAAAAGATTTGGCTTGGCCAGGTGCGGTGGCTCACGCCTGTAATTCCAGCACTTTGGGAGGCCGAGGCAGGCAGATCACAAGGTCAAGAGATCGAGACCATCCTGACCAACATGGTGAAACCCCGTCTCTACTAAAAATACAAAAAGTTAGCTGGGCGTGGTGGTGTGTGCCTGTAGTCCCAGCTATTCGGGAGGCTGAGGCAGGAGACTCGCTTGAAACCACCGGAAGGCGGAGGTTGCAGTGAGCCGAGATCGCATCACTGCACTCCAGCCTGGGCAACAAGAGCGAAACTCCGTCTCAAAAAAAAAAAAGGTTTGGCTTTAAAAAAGTGAAAGTGGAGGCCACTTTTTTCTAGTCCATTCCTTTTGTGTTCAGGGTCCTCTTGCAATATCGTTTAGTTTTGTTTTTTGAGACAGTCTTGCTTTGTCGCCCATGCTGGAGTGCAGTGGCGCAATCTTGGCTCACTGCAACGTTCACCTCCTGGGTTCAAATGATTCTCCTGCCTCAGTCTCCCGAGTAGCTGAGATTACAGGCGCCCACCATCACGCCCAGCTAATTTTTGTATTTTTACTAGGGACAGGGTTTCACCATGTTGTCCAGGCTGGGCTCGAACTTCTGACCTCAGGTGATCCGCCCGCCTCGGCTTCCCAAAGTGCTAGGATTACAGGCTGGAGCCACCGCGCCCGGCCCCTCTTGCAACATCTTTCTGATGCCGCTTTCCTCTGAGAATGAGCCCTGAAATCAGAAAATGGTCCTGGAGATCCCAGGTTGTCTTTTGTACCCAGATATTTGGCGCTCCCCAAGATGGCCACTTGGTGGCGCCAAAAGCTTTACTCTTCACCCTGCTTCCGTCTACATTTTCAAATGGCCCTCAAAGTTGGCTTGCTTGTTTTGATAACCCACTAGCCCAAAGCCAGCGGGAGGGATGTCAAGACCAAAAGGGAAGTTAAGCCTCATCTTTGAGGGCCATTTGAACATATTCAGCTTGATTTTATTCAGGTGAAGGTAGGTTGGCGATCGGAAAACAATTTGGTCATCTGTACACTGTCTCAAGACAGACAGATGCATGCCTGTGTGCAAAAGTTGCCATCAGCAGAGGGCCCCCTACAGAAGTTTTATTTCCAGGGTCTGTCACCATGGCCCACTAATAAGGAAAGATCCCTGCATTTCAGGACAGACTGTAAAGAAAGTTTGAAAAGCTACAAAAGCAAATAAAAACTACACTCAGGGCCGGGCGCTGTGGCTCACACCTATAATTCCAGCACTTTGGGAAGCCGAGGCAGACGGATCACTTGAGGTCGGGAATTTGAGACCAGCCTGACCAATATGGTGAAGCCCCATCTCTACTAAAAATATAAAAATTAGCCGGGCGTGGTGGCATGCGCCTGTAATCCCAGCTACTCGGGAGGCCGAGGCAGGAGAATCGCTTGAACCCGGGAGGCAGAGGTTGCAGTGAGCCGAGATCGCGCCACTGAACTCCAGCCTGGGCGACAGAGCGAGACTCTGTCTTAAAAAAAAGACAAAGAGGTCAGACATGGTTGCTCACGCCTTTAATTCCAGTACTTAAAGTCAAGGCGGGAGAAGTGCTTGAGGCCAGGAGTTTGAGACCAGCCTAGGCAACATATTAAGACCCCGTCTCTACAAAAAGTTTTTAAAAGGTCACGTGGCCGGGGGCAGTGGCTCATGCCTGTAATCCCAGCACTTTGGGAGGCTGAGGCGGGCGGATCACCAGGTCAGGAGATCAAGACCATCCTGGCTAACACGGTGAAACCCCGTCTCTACTAAAAATACAAAAAAATTATCCGGGCGTGGTGGTGGGCGCCTGTAGTCCCAGCTACTCGGGAGGCTGAGGCAGGAGAATGGCGCCGGGAGGTGGAGCTTGCAGTGAGCCGACATTGCACCACTGCACTCCAGCCTGGGTGACAGAGTGAGACTCCGTCTCAAAAAAAAAAAAAAAAAAAATTAGCCAGAAAGCCAGGCAGCGTGGCTCATGCCTGTAATCCCAGCACTTTGGGAGGCTGAGGTGGATGGATCACCTGAAGTCAGGAGTTCAAGACCAGCCTGGCCTACATGGTGAAACCCCATCTTTACTGAAAAATTCAAAAAATTAGCCGGGCATGGTGGTGCGTGCCTGTGATCCCATCTACTCAGGAGGCTGAGGCACTGGAAACTTGGAGGCGGAGGTTTCAGTGAGCTGAGATTGTGCCACTGCACTCCAGCCTGGGTGACACAGCAAGACTCTGTCTCAAAAAAAAAAAAAAAAAAAAAAAAAACAGATTCCTAAGTAGTCCTAGCTACTTGGGAGGCTGAAGGGGGAAGATTGCTTGAGCCCAGGAGTTAAAGGTTGCAGTGAGCTGTGATCATGCCACTGCACTCCAGACTGAGTGACAGAGTGAGACCCTGTCTCTAAAGTGTGTGCTTGTGTGTGTGTAGCCATAATAACTGTTTTAATATCCATCTCTGCTAATTCTAACACATATGCCAGTGTTGAGTTGGTCTCAGTTGGTTGAGTTATCTCCTCATTATGGGTCATGTCTTCCTGCCTCTTTGTATGCCTGGCAATCTTTGATCAGGTGCCAGCCATTGTGACTTTTCCTGCATTGGATGGTACATATTTTTGTATTTTTTTTTTCTTTTGAGATGGAGTCTTGCTGTGTCGCCCAGGCCGGAGTGCAGTGGCACAATCTCTGCTCACTGCAATCTCCGCCTCCTGGGTTCAAGCGATTCTCCTGCCTCAGCCTCCTGAGTAGCTGGGATTACAGGTGTGTGCCACCATGCCTGGCTAATTTTTGTATTTTTAGTAGAGACGGGGTTTCACCATGTTGGCCAGGCTGGTTCCGAACTCCTGCACTCAGGTGATCCTCCCGCGTTGGCCTCCCAAAGTGTTGGGATTACCGGTGTGGGACACCACACCCGGCCATATTTTTGTATTCTTATACATTTTATTGAGCCTGTTTCCCCCAGGACACAGCTACTTAAAAACAGTTTGATTGCTTCAGGCCTTGCTTTTATGATTTTATGATTTGTTAGGTGGGTCCATAGGTGTGTTCAGTCTAGGGCTGATTATTCTCCATTTCTGAGGCAACACTTTTCTGAGTACACTCTGCTCTGTGCTACTTGAATGATGAGTTTTTCCAAACTGGTTGATAAGAACAGGCACCATTTCCAGCCCCATGGCAGGCAGGGCACTGCTTCTTCAAGCCCTGCAGGTGGTTCTTTCCCCAATCTTGGGACGTCTCCCCACATGCATGTACTCATCAAATGCGTGCTCATCACTCGGAGGGGATCCTCCACAGACCTCTGGAGTGGGAGTGGGCTTTCTGTCATCTCCCTTCTTTCTGGTTATTTTTTTTTTTTTTTTTTTTTGAGACAGAGCCATGCTCTGTTGCCCAGGCCGGAGTGCAGTGGTGTGATCTCAGCTCACTGCAACCTCCGCCTCCTGGGTTCAAGTGATTCTCCTGCCTCAGCCTCCCAAGTAGCTGCGACTACAAGCATGTGCCACTGTGCCTGGCTAACTTTTGTATTTTTAGTAGAGATGGGGTTTCGCCTTGTTGGCCAGGCTGGTCTCAAACTGCTAACCTCGGGTAATCCACCCACTGAAAGTTCTGGGATTACAGGCATGAGCCACCACGCCTGGATAACTCCCTTCTTTCTGATACTCTATCCTGTGACCTTCAGTTGCCTGAATCTCCCTGAATGCTCACTTCTGTCTCCTCAACTCAGAGAGTCTGCCAGACTCCACCTCAATTCCCCCTCCCTGCACTGCAGTCTGGAAACTCCAGCAAGGCAGCAAGCCAGGGTGATACAGGCTTCCCAGTTTTCCTTTCTCCACCGCTTGGGGATTATTGTCCTTCATAACTTGATATCCAGTATGTAGGAAACCACCGTTTCATAGCTGTTGTTGGGTTTGTTTGTTTTTTTGAGATAGAGTCTCACTCTGTCTCCCAGGCTGGAGTGCAATGGTGCTATCTCGGCTCACTGCAACCTCCGACTTCTGGGTTCAAGCAATTCTCCTGCCTCAGCCTCCTAAGTAGCTGGGATTACAGGCATGTGCCACCACACCCAGCTAGTTTTTGTATTTTTAGTAGAGACGGGGTTTCACCATGTTGGTCAGGCTGGTCTTGAACTCCTGACCTCATGATCCACCCACATCGGACTCCCAAAGTGCTGGGATTACAGGCGTGAGCCACTGCGCCCAGCCTCAGTTTTGTTTTTTCTTGTCACAGACAGGAGGGTAAATCCAGCCCCTGTTAACTTCATCTTGGCTGGAAATGGCAGTGGTTCATTCTTCTTTTTCATGGATTCATAGCATCTACTGTATTGGTGACCAGAAATATCTCAGTCCCTTATTGATGATCTATTTTATCAAGATGCTGCAGACCCCATCATTGTATGTATAGCTTGGCATCCTTTGGTGAGGATTCATAGAGAAAATTCCTGTCTATGGAGTTTCTGGGTCCATGGGTTTGCATGTTTACATTTTATTTATTTATTTCTTTTTGAGATGGTGTCTCGCTCTGTTGCACAGGCTGGAGTGCAGTGGCGTGATCTCGGCTCACTGCATCCTCTGCCTTTTGGGTTCAAGTGATTCTCCTGAGTAGCTGGGATTACAGGTGTGCAGTACCACACCTGGCTAATATTTTATATTTTTAGTAGAGACCAGGTTTCACCATGTTGGCCAAGCTGGTCTTGAACTCCTGACCTCAAATGATCCACCTGCCTTGGTCTCCCAAAATGCTGGGATGACAGGCGTGAGCCACTGTGCCCAGCCTATACATTTTAAATATATGGTTTACATGCATTCCAGTATACACTTTTATCAGCAGCAATGGGTCAACAATGGAGCAAACTTTATATTTTATTTTATTTTATTTATTTATTTTTTGAGATGGAGTCTTGCTCTGTCACCCAGGCTGAAGTGCAGTGGTGCGATCTCAGCTCACTGTAACCTCTGCCTCCTGGGTTCAGGCGATTCTCATGACTTGTCCTCCCAAGTAGCTGGGACGACAGGCACGTGCCACCACACCCAGCTAATTTTATTTATTTATTTATTTATTTATTTATTTATTTGTTTTTAGTAGAGACGGGGTTTCATCATGTTGGCCAGGATGGTCTCAATCTCTTGACCTTGTGATCTGCCCACCTCGGCCTCCCAAAGTGCTGGGATTACAGGCATGAGCCACCGTGCCAGACCCAGACTTTATATTTTAAACTTAATAAATTACTTATGTCCTTTATTTAAAGGCTAAGCAAAAGTCCAGAGAGATCACTTGTATTTTGCAGTTTTCCCCATCTTTTATGAAGAAAAATTACACTTTTTTTTTTTTTTTTGAGAAGGAGTCTCACTCTGTCACCCAGGCTGGAGTGCAATGGTGCAATCTCGGCTCACTGCAACCTCCACCTCCCGGGTTCAAGCGATTCTCCTGCCTCAGTCTCCTGAGTAGCTGGGATTACAGGCATGCACTATCACACCCAGCTAATTTTTGTATTTTCAGTAGAGATGGGGTTTTGCCATGTTGGCCAGGCAGGTCTCAAAGTCCTGACCTCAAATGATCCACCCGCCTTGGCCTCCCAAAGTGCTGGGACTATAAGCATAAGCCACCGCACCTGGCCACAAAAATTACATATTTTTGTACATGCCATTTTCAAATATGCAGAGTCTCAAAAATATGGAGACCTAGCCTCCCAGAACGTCAGTGTGTTTCTTTTCCTTTTCTTTTTTTTGAGATGGAGTTTCACTCTTGTCACCCAGGCTGGAGCACAATGGCACAATCTCACGGCAACCTCCATCTCCCAGGTTCAAGCAATTCTCCTGCCTCAGCTTCCTGAGTAGCTGAGATTACAGACACATGCCACCACGCCTGGCTAATTTTGTATTTTTAGTAGAGATAGGGTTTCACCATATTGGTCAGGCTGGTCTCGAACTCCTGATCTCAAGTAATCCACCCGCCTCGGCCTCCCATCAGTGTGTTTCTTTATGTCAAGCTTAGCTTTTAGGACCAGAGGGCTTTTTTCTCCAGGGGCCCTAAATCATCCTAGTCAGAACTTCCAGATTTCCTTTCTTCCCACTCTGATAGTGAATATTTTGACTGTTATTGATTTCCTTCTTCCTCTCCAACCAGGGCTCAGAAACACTTATGGGATTTTCTAAGCACGGAGGGTTCACTTCCTTAACATCACCTGAAGGGACTCTAAGCGGAGACTCTACCAAGCAACCAAGTATTGAGCAGGCTCTGGATTCTGCCAGTGGTCTTGGCCCGGATCGGACTGCATCAGGATCTGGTGGCACAGCACACCCCTCTGATGGGGTTTCCAGTAGGGAACAAAGCAAGGTCCCCTCTGGTACTGGGAGACAGCAGCAGCCGAGGGCCCGTGATGAAGCTGGCGTGCCACGACTCCATCAGTCTTCTACATTCCAATTCAAATCAGACTCAGATCGTCACAGGAGTAGAGAGAAGCTTACCTCGACACAACCAAGAAGAAATGCACGTCCTGGTCCAGTTCAACAGGACTTACCCTTGGCCAGAGACCAGCCCAGTAGTGTGCCCGCTAGCCAGAGTCAGGTCCATCTAAGGCCAGATCGTCGTGGGTTAGAACCAACTGGCATGAATCAGCCTGGATTAGTGCCTGCTAGCACTTACCCACATGGTGTGGTACCCCTCAGCATGGGTCAGCTTGGTGTGCCACCACCTGAAATGGATGATCGGGAATTGATACCATTTGTCGTGGATGAGCAACGTATGTTGCCACCATCAGTACCTGGCAGAGACCAGCAAGGATTGGAACTACCTAGCACAGACCAACATGGTCTGGTTTCAGTCAGTGCATATCAGCATGGTATGACATTTCCTGGCACAGACCAACGCAGTATGGAACCACTTGGCATGGATCAGCGTGGATGTGTAATATCAGGCATGGGTCAGCAAGGACTAGTACCCCCTGGTATAGACCAGCAAGGATTGACATTGCCTGTCGTCGATCAACATGGCCTGGTTCTACCTTTTACAGACCAGCATGGTTTGGTATCACCTGGTTTGATGCCAATTAGTGCAGATCAGCAAGGTTTTGTGCAGCCCAGTTTGGAAGCAACTGGCTTCATACAACCTGGCACAGAGCAGCATGATTTGATCCAGTCTGGCAGATTTCAGCGTGCTTTGGTGCAGCGTGGTGCATATCAGCCTGGCTTGGTCCAACCTGGTGCAGATCAGCGTGGTTTGGTCCGGCCTGGAATGGATCAGTCTGGTTTGGCCCAACCTGGTGCAGATCAGCGTGGTTTGGTCTGGCCTGGAATGGATCAGTCTGGTTTGGCCCAACCTGGTAGAGATCAGCATGGTTTGATCCAGCCTGGCACAGGTCAGCATGATTTGGTCCAATCTGGCACAGGTCAGGGTGTCTTGGTACAGCCTGGTGTAGATCAGCCTGGCATGGTCCAACCTGGCAGATTTCAGCGTGCTTTGGTGCAGCCTGGTGCATATCAGCCTGGCTTGGTCCAACCTGGTGCAGATCAGATTGATGTGGTGCAACCTGGTGCAGATCAGCATGGTTTGGTACAATCTGGTGCAGATCAGAGTGATTTGGCTCAACCTGGTGCAGTTCAGCATGGTTTGGTCCAACCTGGAGTAGATCAGCGTGGTTTGGCACAACCTCGTGCAGATCATCAGCGTGGTTTGGTCCCACCTGGTGCAGATCAGCGTGGTTTGGTCCAACCTGGTGCAGATCAGCATGGTTTGGTCCAACCTGGAGTGGATCAGCATGGTTTGGCACAACCTGGTGAAGTTCAGCGTAGTTTGGTGCAACCTGGTATAGTTCAGCGTGGTTTGGTGCAACCTGGTGCAGTTCAGCGTGGTTTGGTGCAACCTGGTGCAGTTCAGCGTGGTTTGGTCCAACCTGGAGTGGATCAGCGTGGTTTGGTTCAACCTGGTGCAGTTCAGCGTGGTTTGGTCCAACCTGGTGCAGTTCAGCATGGTTTGGTCCAACCTGGTGCAGATCAGCGTGGTTTGGTCCAACCTGGAGTGGATCAGCGTGGTTTGGTGCAACCTGGAGTGGATCAGCGTGGTTTGGTCCAACCTGGAATGGACCAGCGTGGTTTGATCCAACCTGGTGCAGATCAGCCTGGTTTGGTCCAGCCTGGTGCAGGTCAGCTGGGTATGGTGCAGCCTGGAATAGGTCAGCAAGGTATGGTGCAACCTCAGGCAGATCCACATGGCCTGGTACAACCTGGTGCCTATCCTCTTGGTTTGGTACAACCTGGTGCATATTTGCATGATTTATCTCAATCTGGGACATATCCACGTGGTCTGGTGCAGCCAGGAATGGATCAGTATGGTTTGAGACAACCTGGTGCATATCAGCCAGGCTTGATAGCACCAGGCACAAAGCTTCGTGGCTCTTCAACATTCCAGGCAGATTCTACAGGTTTTATATCAGTACGTCCATATCAACATGGTATGGTACCTCCTGGCAGAGAACAATACGGCCAGGTGTCACCACTCCTAGCCAGTCAAGGTTTGGCATCACCTGGTATAGATCGAAGGAGTTTGGTACCACCAGAAACTTATCAGCAAGGTTTGATGCATCCTGGCACAGACCAGCACAGCCCAATACCACTGAGTACAGGTTTGGGATCTACACACCCAGATCAACAGCATGTGGCATCACCTGGCCCAGGTGAGCATGACCAGGTATACCCAGATGCAGCTCAGCATGGCCATGCTTTCTCTCTCTTTGACAGTCATGATTCAATGTATCCTGGTTATCGTGGCCCAGGGTATCTAAGTGCTGATCAGCATGGCCAGGAAGGTTTGGATCCAAATAGAACACGAGCCTCGGACCGACATGGAATTCCTGCCCAGAAGGCCCCAGGCCAAGATGTCACTCTTTTCAGGAGTCCAGACTCCGTCGACCGAGTCTTATCAGAAGGGAGCGAAGTCTCGAGTGAAGTCCTGAGTGAGCGACGCAATTCACTGCGTAGAATGAGTTCTAGTTTCCCCACGGCAGTGGAGACATTTCATCTGATGGGAGAGCTCAGTAGCCTCTATGTGGGGCTAAAGGAGAGTATGAAGGATCTGGATGAGGAGCAGGCCGGCCAAACCGACTTGGAGAAGATCCAGTTCCTGCTGGCACAGATGGGTGGGTGCCGCTTGCCGATAGAGGAGAAACCATTGTCTCTGTTTTCAGTTGGTTTCATCCTTTTCTTCCCCTGGCCTCAACTCCTGGCTGCTACACATCTCCCTGAGTCCCTGAAAACAGCATGTCATTCAGAGCATGTCCCACAGCCTTCAGAGTCCAAAAAAATGGGTGGGCAAAGGAGAGAACTAAGCCCCAGGAGAGGAGTGGAGCGGGTTCTTGTGGCTTTGTCAGGCTCTCTGCACAGCAGTGGGGGAAAGTGTCTGGTTATAGAGAGCAGTAGCATTGGGAGGTGGGCGGGAGAGAATGTTGAAGAATTAAACTTAACATTTTGACTGGGAGCAATGGCTCACACCTGTAATCCCAGCACCTTGGGAAGCAGAGCTGGGTGGATAGCTTGAGGCCGAGTTCGAGACCAGCCTAGGCAATGTGGCAAAACTCTATCTCTACCAAAAAAAACAAAAAAAAAATTAGCCAGGCGTGGTGGCACACACCTGTAGTCCCAGCTACTTGGGAAGCTGAGGTGGGAAGATTGTTGGAGCCAGGGAGGCAGAGGTTGCAGTGAGCTGTGATGGATCACTGCACTCCAGCCTGGGTGACAGAGCAAGACCCTGTCTCAAACAAAACAAAACTTAACATTTGCCTGTTCCCAACTCCAAGCCCAGAGAGTAATTAAGATTTTTTGCAGTGGTTGGAATTCGGGAGTCAGTTGTCCCAAAGCCCTTTAGGATGTCAGGCATTAGGTGGATGTTTCATGGGCTAAGGACAGCTCTCTCTCCCTTCTTCCCACCTCCCTTTCCCAGTCACCAGGAGACACAGGATAAAGTAATAGGTCCTGCTGTCCTCTAGGGTAGCTTCAGTGTTACAGGGGCTGGAAATGGAGATTGGGAGCCCACTAGAGATCTAACCCCTCTGATCATAAGGCTTCTGCTTTCCATAGTCAAAAGGACCATACCTCCTGAACTGCAGGAGCAGCTGAAGACCGTAAAGACGCTAGCCAAAGAAGTTTGGCAGGAGAAAGCAAAAGTAAGGAAGAGTCAACCCACTTTGTCTTTTTTTTTTTTTTGAGATGGAGTTTTGCTCTTGTCGCCCTGGCTGGAGTGCAGTGGCACCATCTCAGCTCACTCAACCTCCACCTCCCAGGTTCAAGCGATTCTCATGCCTCAGCCTCCCGAGTAGCTGGGATTACAGGCATGTGCCACCATGCCCGGCTAATTTTGTATTATTATTTGTATTATTATTAGTAGAGATGGGGTTTCTCCATGTTGGTCAGCCTGGTCTTGAACTCCCAACCTCAGATGATCTGCCTACCTTGACCTCCCAAAGTGCTGGGATTACAGGCGTGAGCCACCGTGCCCAGCCCCCACTTTGTCTTTTAATGCTAATAATAGCACTTTCCATTTGTATTTTACGGATTAAATAGCTCTTTCTTTTACATTATTATCTAATTGGATCTTTGCAATCTTATCAGATAGGAACTGCACCTTGGGTATCATCGTGTTCATTTCCTGGATCTAAAACCTGATGCTCAGGCTGGGCACGCTGGCTCATGCCTATAATCCCAGCACTTTGGGAGGCCAAGGCAGGAGGATCACTTGAGCCCGGGAGCTCGAGACCAGCCTGGGCAACATAGCAAGGACTTATCTCTACAAAAAATTTAAAAATTAGCCAGACATGGTGGTGCATGCCTGTAGTCTCAGCTACTTGGGAGGCTGAGGCAGGAGGATCACTTGAGCCTGAGTTTGAGGCTGCAGTAAGCTATGATCACGCCATGGCACTCTAGCCTGAGTGACAGGGCAAGACCCTGTCTCTAAAAAAATTTTTTTTAAAAACTGATGCTCAAAGCTATTATGATTCAGCTGAGCCAAATAATGAGGGCTTTGCTCTTTTCTTTTTTTCTTTTTTTTTTTTTTTGAGACACAGTCTCACTCTGTCGCCAAGGCTGGAGTACAGTGGCGCAATCTCGGCTCACTGCAAGCTCCACCTCCCAGGTTCACGCCATTTTCCTGCCTCAGCCTCCCAAGTAGCTGGGACTACAGGTGCTCGCCACCACGCCCGGCTAATTTTTTGTATTTTTAGTAGAGATGGGGTTTCACCGTGTTAGCCAGGATGGTCTCGATTTCCTGACCTTGTGATCTGCCTGCCTCGGCCTCCCAAAGTGCTGGGATTACAGGCGTGAGCCACCACACCCGGCCTTGCTCTTTTCATTATCTGTGGCAGCCTTGGAGTCCAGTTTGTGGATTTTCTGGGGCCAGAGGTCATTGCAAGGGACGGCCAGATCCCTTCAGACATTCTCCTTTTTTTTTTTAAATTGAGACGGAGTCTCGCTCTGTTGCCCAGGCTAGAGTGCAATGATGCGATCTCGGCTCACTGCAACCTCTGCCCCCTGGGTTCAAGCTATTCTCATGCCTCAGCCTCCCAAGTAGCTGGGATTACAGGCATGCATGTTCATGCCCAGCTAATTTTAGTATTTTTAGTAGAGACAGGGTTTCACCATGTTGGTCAGGCTTGTCTGGAACTCCTGACCTCAGGTGATCCTCCCACCTCAGCCTCCCAAAGTGCTGGGATTACAGGTGTGATCCACCACGCCCGGCCCAGTCATTCCTTTTTTTTTTTTTTTTTTTTTTTTTTTTTAAGACTGATTCTTGCTCTGTTGCCCAGGCTGGAGTGCAGTGGCACAATCTCGCCTCACTGCAACCTCTGCCTCCTAGGTTCAAATGATTCTCGTGTCTCAGCCTCCTGAGTAGCTGGGATTACAGGCGCCAGCCACCACGCCCAGCTGATTTTTGTATTTTTTAGTAGAGATGGGTTTCCCCTTGTTGGCAAGGCTGGTCTTGAACTCCTGACCTCAGGTGATCCACCCGCCTCGGCCTCTCAAAAGTGCTGGGATTACAGGCGTGAGCCATCGTGCCTGGCCCAGTCATTCTCTTAATGCCAGCTTTCTACATCCATGGGATGGATGAATGGGCGGATGGATGTCCACAAGGGCTCCTGGCTTTTGTCGGAGGGGGTTGGGTTAGTAGAGGGAACGGGGAGGGCTGGCATGAGCTGCATGCAAGGGCACACTTGGGAAGCGGGAGCTCAGGCCTGCCTGACCCTCCTCATTCACTGGGTTTGTAGGTGGAAAGGCTGCAGAGGATCCTGGAAGGGGAAGGGAATCAAGAAGCAGGGAAGGAACTGAAAGCTGGAGAGCTGAGATTGCAGCTGGGTGTCCTCAGGTAAAATGCCCCAGCTAAGAGCAGCTGGTCCCCTGGCATCACGAATTCTCAGCCAAGGAGGTGATGGCGGCCAGTGGCTCCCTTATGCCCCTGAATGGACCACTGTCTTTGACCTGGATTGTGTCTGCTCTTCACATTGTCCATGTCTAGTTCAAGGAACTGGTAGAAGTTCCCCAGGTTCCCAAAGCAACTCAGGACCAGGTCTTGGAAATGCAAAAATAAGCTTCTTAGACTGTGTCCCCAGTCGGAGGCTGAAGGAGACAACTTCTGACGGCCCCTCTGAGCTCTCTCTTTGCAGTGCCCAGTCCTACCGCCCAGAAGCCTCCCAGGACAGAGGCATAGCCCGGGACTCCCTAGACAAAATCCATTGGAGGGGGGTGGAGGGTGAGAGACCTCCAGCTGTGTCTGCATCCCCCTGCGTCCCTGATGGCCCAGGCTCTGCATGGGTCTGGCCTGAGTGTGGAGTCTGGCAGTCTCTCATCGTGCACCACAGAGTCACCGTGGCTGACATAGAAAAGGAGCTGGCCGAGTTGAGGGAGAGCCAAGACAGGGGCAAGGCTGCCATGGAAAATTCTGTCTCTGAAGCCTCCCTTTACCTGCAGGACCAGGTGAGGATTCCCCACTCTTTAGCTCCAGGGACCAAGGGCCCTTCTCAGAGCTGGCTTGGCCCTGCCCTCCCACCTCTCATCAAAAACTAGGTCCCTCCCATCATGTGTGTGTGTGTGTGTGTGTGTGTGTGTGTGTGTGTGTGTGTGTTATGTGGTGTGTGGGCAGGGGGTGGGGGGGCGGTGGCGAATGTGTCCAGGATCCAGATTCCTTATCCAAAGCCAGCTCTGAGTCCACAAGTGGCAAGGGAAAGGAACCCCTACAACACCTGTTTACCTCCCATTCGATCTTTCCCTATCTTTTTTTTTTTTTTTTTTTGAGATGGAATTTCGCTCTCGTCATCCAGGCTGTAGTGCAGTGTCGCCATCTTGGCTCACTGCAACCTCCGCCTCCCAGGTTCAAGCAATTCTCCTGCCTCAGCCTCCTGAGTAGCCAGGACTACAGGCATATGCCACCACGCCCAGCTAATTTTTGTATTTTTAGTAGAGACGGGGTTTCACCATTTTGGCCAGGCTGATCACGATCTTTCCCTATCTTTTTTATGATATAATCATATATCAATGAATTCACCCTTTTAAATTGAATAAGGTAGTTTTTAGTACAAAGTTGTGCAACTATCACCACAATCTAATTCCAAAACATTTAATCACCCCAGAAAGAACCCTGTGACTCTTAGCAGTCTCTCCCTGTTCCCTTCTGTCCCTCAGCCCCTGACAACCACGAACCTGCTTTCTGCCACTATGGATTTGTCTATTCTGGACATTTCATATAAATGGAATCATGCAACATACACTTTTGTATCTGGCTTCTTTCACTTAGCATGATGTTTTCAAGGCTCATCCATGTTGTAGCATGTGTCAATACTCCATTCTTTTTTATGGCTTCATAGCATTCCATTCTGCGTCTATGCCACAATTTCTTTATCTAGTCATCAGTTGAAAGACATCTGGGTTGTTTCCATCCTTTGGCTATTATGAATAATGCTGCTATGCACATTCATGTATACATTTTTTTTTTTTGAGACGGAGTCTTGCTCTCTCGCCTAGGCTGGAGTGCAGTGGCACGATCTCGGCTCACTGCAAGCTCTGCCTCCCGGGTTCCTGCCATTCTCCTGCCTCAGCCTCCCGAGTAGCTGGGACTACAGGCACCTGCCACCACGCCCGGCTAATTTTTCAAAATATTTTTAGCAGAGACGGGGTTTCACTGTGTTAGCCAGGATGGTCTCAATCTCCTGACCTTGTGATCTGCCCGCCTTGGCCTCCCAAAGTGCTGGGATTATAGGCGTGAGCCACCGCACCTGGCCATAATAAGTTGTTTTTTTGTTGTTATTTTGTTTTGTTTTTGGAGATGGAGTTTCGCTCTTGTTATCCAGGCTGGAGGGAAATGGCACGATCTTGGCTCACTGCAATCTCCAACTCCTGGGTTCAAGTGATTCTCTTGCCTCAGCCTCCCAAGTAGCTGGGATTACAGGTGCCTGCCACCATGCCCAGGTAATTTTGTATTTTTAGGAGAGAATGGGGTTTCACCATGTTGGCCAGGCTGGTCTCAAACTCCTGACCTCAGGTGATCCACCCGCCTCGGTCTCCCAAAGTACTGGCCTGGCCTCATGTATAAGTTTTTGTGTGGGGCCGGCTGCGGTGACTCACGCCTGTAGTCCCAGCACTTTGGGAGGACGACGCAGGTAGATCACTTGAGGTCAGGAGTTGGAGACCAACCTGGCCAACATGATGAAACCCCATCTCTACTAAAAATACAGAAAATAGGCCAGGTGTGGTGGCTCACGCCTGTAATCCCAGCACTTTGGGAGGCCCAGACGGGTGGATCACGAGGTCAGGAGTTCGAGACCAGCCTGACCAACATGGTGAAACCCCGTCTCTACTAAAAAAATACAAAAATTAGCCGGGCGAGGTGGCACGTGCCTGTAATCCCAGCTACTCAGGAGGCTGGGGCAGGAGAATCACTTGAATCTGGGAGGCAGAGGTTGCAGTGAGCTGAGATCGCACCATGCACTCCAGGTTGGGTGAAAAAGCGAGACTCCATCTCAAAAACAACAACAACAACAACAACAGAAAATAGCTGGGTGTGGTGGTGCACACCTGTAATCCCACCTTCTCAGGAGGCTGAGGTAGGAGAATCACTTGAACCTGGGAGGCGGAGGTTGCAGTGAGCCATGATCGCGCCACTGGACGCCAGCCTGGGTGACAGCGAGACCCTGTCTCAAAAAAAAAAAAAAATTATAGCCACTTTAGTGGGTGTGAGGTGGGATCTCATTATAGTTTTGATGTGCGTTTCCCTAGTGACTAAAGATGCTGAGCATCTTTTCATGTGCTTTTTGGCCATTTGTATACTTTCTTTTTCATCTTTTTTTTTTTTCTTTGAGACGGAGTCTCACTCTGTTGTCAGGCTGGAGTGCAGTGGCGCAATCTCAGCTCACTGCAACCTCCGCCCTCTGAGTTCAAGTGATTCTCCTGCCTCAGCCTCCCAAGCAGCTGGGATTACAGGCGCCTGCCACTGCACCCGGCTAATTTTTTGTATTTTCAGTAGAGACGGGGTTTCACCTTCTTGGCCAGGCTGGTCTTGAACTCCTGACCTCGTGATCCACCCGCCTCGGTCTCCCAAAGTGCTGGGATTACAGGCGTGAGCCACCACGCCTGGCCTGTATACTTTCTTTAGAGATAAAATATACATATCCAAATCCTTCATCCATTTTTTCAGGTGAGTTATTTGTCATTTTATTGTTGAGTTGAAAGAGCTCTTTACATGTTCTGGATGCTACACTCTTATTTGATAGATGACTTGCAAATATTTTCTCCCATTCTGTGGGTCATCTTTTCATTTTCTTGACAGTGTCTGTCTTTAAGCCTTGCAATGCAATTCTTGGTCATTTTCTCACTAAGGATTGTCTGAATCAGGAGCAGCCCTCTGAGTGCTCACAGAAGAACCACCTAGGAAAAGCCACTGGGCCAAGCGGGTTCATGTCAGGAACCTCTTTGTGCATTTTTTTTTTTTTTTTTTTTTTTTTTTTGGAGACAGAGTTTTGCTCTGTTGCCCAGGCTGGAGTGCAGTGGCACCATCTCAGCTCACTGCATTCTCCACCTCCCGGGTTCAAGTGATTCTCCTATCTCAGACTCCTGGGTAGCTGGGACTACAGGTGCACACCGCCATGCCTGGGTAATTTTTTTGTATTTTTAGTAGATACAGGGTTTCACCACATTGGTCAGGCCGGTCTTGAACTCCTGACCTCAGGTCATTCACCTGCCTTGGCCTCCCAAAGTGCTAGGATTATAGGCATGAGCCACTGCACCCCGCTTTTTTTTTTGAGACAGAGTTTCGCTCTTGTTGCCCAGGCTGGAGTCCAATGGCATGATTTCAGCTCACTGCAACCTCCGTCTCCCAGGTTCAAGCAATTCTCCTGCCTCAGCCTCCCAAGTAGCTGAGACTACAGGCACCCACCAGCACACCTGGATAATTTTTGTATTTTTAGTAGAGATGGGGTTTCACCATGTTAGCCAGGCTGGTCTCAAACTCCTGACCTCAGGTGATCCACCCACCTTGGCCTCCCAAAGTGCTGGGATTACAGGCGTGAGCCACGTGCCTGGCCCGCTTTGTGCTTTGAGCCACATTCCAGGCTCCCAAGTTGCTGGAACTGTGGTGTGCCCCATGTCATGACCCCGGGCCAGGAGTCCTGCCTGAGGAGCAGCTGGGAGCGTTTAAGAGTCACCTGTCAGTCCAAGCTCATGTCTGGCTGTCCCAGGACCACACTCAGGAGACAATCCACTTCCTGTTGGGCTGGCCTAGCCTCCTTTTGCAGGCTTTTTTTGGAGGCCCCACTTCCACATGCCCCATCTTTAGCCACCTTGGCCTCCTGCCTTTCTCTGAACACACTCCTATTCTTTCCTGCTGTTCTTTACACAGATAGCTGCGGCTTAGTGTTAAGACTCCACTGAAATGCCCATTTTTCTAGGAGGCCTCTTCCTCTTTTCGAGAGAGAACTGGCCAGTCCTTCTGCATCCGGGGCCCTCGGAGGTACCTGCCTCCGGGCAGGCTCTTCTGGTTGTAAGTGGCAGCATCTCTGTGAGCCCAGGCAAGAGGATGCTGCCCTGGGGATGTGCAGCTGTAGGCCGTGGAGGAAAAGGGAACTTCCAGGCCATGGGGGCAGGCCAGGGTGGGCCACCCCACCTGTCCCTCTGCATCTGCTTTTGTGGGTACCTGTGTCCCTCTCCTTACCCATCCTCTCAGCCCCCACGTCACTCTCCCATTCCACTCTCAATCCACCTTGCTCTCCCTCGCGCTCTGCAGTGGCTGCCCCAGCCCTGCAGAGTCCTTTCTGTTCCATCACCCACTCCCCAGAGAGGAGCCCAGGTTGGCCCAGCCTCTCTTTTTGAGCCAAGCAACATGTCTCAGGTCTTTGGCCAGTTGAGGGACCGGCTGCCCTTGGATCAGCTGTCTACCTGGGAACTCTCATTTGGGGTGACGAATGGGGCCTGCGGGATGCAGAGGAGAACACCAGGGCAGCCTTCAAGGCACTTGCCCTGGAAGGGGTTTGCACCGCCCAGCCTTGGAGAGGCCCCTGGAGCAGTGTCAGCACCTGCCAAGTTCCTGTATCGTGAGTTATTTACATGCTAGGTGGATGGAGCATGTCCGTTCCCCATGGCATGTGAGCAGGAGCGTGTGCAAGCCCACCCCTCACAGCCCCAGAGCCTGGGGCGGGGCCTGTGTGTCATTACGGTCCTCTGTGTGTTTATGGCCCGGCTAACTGGCAGCAGCACTTTACGATTTAGCTAAAGAAGAGATGTTCTCATGCTGAGCTGGTGGGCTGGCTGGAGAAAGCTCCAGAGGCCTTCTTCTGGCAAGGGCTTGGTTCAGTGTTGACACTGTGTTCTCGGAGAACTCTCTCTACTCACCGTTTACTGGATAGATGCCCATGATGGCACATGCTCTGGGAGGCACTGAGGATGCAGCAACTGCCCAGGGCACGACAGGGGAGAGGCACACAGGCTAGGGGCAGTGCCAGCATGGGCAGAGCGTGGCCGTGACTGGCCTCACTGCCCTGCTGCTGCCGTCTCTCCTGCACGCAGTTGGACAAGCTCAGGATGATCATTGAGAGCATGCTGACCTCCTCCTCCACGCTCCTGTCCATGAGCATGGCCCCGCACAAGGCCCACACCTTGGCTCCTGGCCAGATCGACCCTGAGGCCACCTGTCCAGCCTGCAGCCTGGATGTGAGCCATCAGGTCAGCACGCTGGTGCGGCGCTATGAGCAACTCCAAGACATGGTCAACAGCCTGGCCGTCTCCCGACCCTCCAAGAAGGCCAAGCTCCAGAGACAGGTGGGGCTCTGCTCGCCTCCCTCCTGCTGCAACTGGACATGGCCCCACAGAGGAGGGCCACCCTGCTGCAGACCCACAGAAGTGGGGCGGGTGTTTGGGCCTCAAGGTCAGCTCTCCGTGGCGGAGCCCTTTAGCCAGATCCCACAAGAGTCCCTGGTCTTTCTGCAGGTCCACAGCGAGGGTAGCAGCAGAACTAGCTTTGGGGACAGGAGACCATGGGGAAGAGCTGGCTTGATGGGGTGGGACAGCACAGGCCGGCTGAGGACAGATCAGTGCCCTTCGCGTGCCCTGGAGACACAGGCCCAACTGTAGGAGATGTTGACTCCCTGGCACGCGAGTCTTCCAACCCCTTCTCAATTTCCCTAGAAAGGGCAGGCTTGCTGGTGGGGGCGGGCACAGCCACAAATCCTGGGTCCTGCCTCTTGGGCTGAGGAACTCAGATTTGGGCCAGGAGAGGAGGGGAGAATAAAGCCCACAGCCCAGCTCTCAAGTGCCCCGGGACAGCACATCACTCCTGAGCCTCCATCACCTCTAATGACCCCTGACCGGCAGGCCAGGGTCACAAGGCTAGTCCATGGGGATGTAGGTGACTGACGCTTGTGTCCTGTGGGGGTGGACACCCAGAAAGGGCAGACAGAGGGCCTCCCGCACTGTTAGTGGAAAATTGTTTTCCATTGTTTTTGAGACAGGGTCTCCCTATGTTGCCCAGGCTGTTCTTGAACTCCTGGGCTCAAGTGATCCTCTCGCCTCACCTCAGCTTCCCAAAGTGCCAGGACTACAGGCATGAGCCACCGCTCCCAGCCTTGCAGATGTTTTAAGGGCCAACTTACCTGGGGCAGCAATATTATGGCAGCAGGGGGTGGGATCGCGCCAGCAGCCTCCGAGAGCCTTCCCATCCCTCCTGCCGCAGGACGAGGAGCTGCTGGGCCGTGTGCAGAGTGCCATCCTGCAGGTGCAGGGTGACTGCGAGAAGCTCAACATCACCACCAGCAACCTCATCGAGGACCATCGGCAGAAACAGAAGGACATTGCTGTGAGCGGCCGCAGGGTGGCTGGGATGGGGCCGGGGCTCAATGTGGTGCCCTAGCCCCGCAGCTGCTGGCTCTTTTTTTCTCTGTTCACTTGGCCTCCCCAGATGCTGTACCAGGGTCTGGAGAAGCTCGAAAAGGAAAAGGCCAACAGGGAGCACCTGGAGATGGAGATCGATGTGGTGGGTGCCAGGCCCCAGGAGCCACGCTGTGTCCCAGGGCGGTCTCGCTGACTGTTCTTTGAGAGACTGAGTGGAGGGGAGCTGGCGAGACGAGTGTGGGCTCTCAGAAACCTGCCTGGTGATAGGGGTCGACACCCCCAGGGAATGGGGCCCCTCCATGGCCATCTCCCAGATGCGGGGACCTCTGTCTGTCTCTGGGCAGAAAGCCGACAAGAGTGCTCTGGCCACCAAAGTGAGCCGTGTCCAGTTTGATGCCACCACGGAGCAGCTGAACCACATGATGCAGGAGCTGGTGGCCAAGATGAGCGGGCAGGAGCAGGACTGGCAGAAGATGCTGGACAGGCTGCTCACAGAGATGGACAACAAGGTGAGGCAGGGGCATGGCGGGGCTCTCCATCCCACAGCCTTGCCCCCAGGATCGGGACAGCACCACCTTCTCCTGGGTCAGCCCCCTACCTGCTTCCTTAGAGGTCCCCTGGCCCCTCTTTCCCCGCCACAGCTGGACCGCCTGGAGCTGGACCCAGTGAAGCAGTTGCTGGAGGATCGGTGGAAATCGCTGCGACAGCAGCTCAGGGAGCGCCCCCCACTCTACCAGGCAGACGAGGCGGCTGCCATGCGGAGGTGAGGCCTGGGAGGCAGGGGAGGAGGCTGGCACGCTCTTCAGGGGGTGAGGGCAGAGGGGGCTGGGGGTCTCCAGACAAACAGCTCCTGCCAGCACACAGCGGATCCTGCCCAGGACTGTCCCATGGTTGGAGGGACAGAATTTTAGAGCTTGAAACGCTCTTCTAGCTCAGGCCCCTTCGTATTACAGCAGAGAAAGGGAGGAGGGGAGGCTTAAGGCTCTCAGGGTTTGGCTGAGCTAAGCTGGGCCTTTGGGACAGGGAGAGGTCCTCAGTACCCAGAGCTGAGACAGCTCCTGGGGGCCTGGCCCATAGGACCTGGCCCGTGGTAGGCTTGAATTCCAGGATTCCCATTCGTGGCCGCCAGGGGGCGCCCGAGACTTGCACAGGGCACCCTCAGGGGCCCATGGGAAGCCTGCTGGCTTTGGGTTAGGACAGGGAGGTCTGGGATGTGAGCCCAGAGGTGGGAGCAGATGGATTCCTGGGGAGCAGGGACATGATCTGCACCCTGGTGGGCTGAGCTTCCAGGGGCCTGCAGAGCCCCAAGCCCTTCTGGGTCTTCCGGGCAGAGCACTCACCCTGCGTGTGCGTCCCATTCCTAACAGGCAGCTCCTGGCACATTTCCACTGCCTCTCATGTGACCGGCCCTTGGAGACACCTGTGACTGGACAGTGAGTGCCCACACCGCCGGCACGTGGCCTCGCATGGCAGGGCTGCGTCTCCTCCCTTCACCTGTGTCCACCTGTCCTCTCCCTTTCTTTCATGTGTCTGCTTCCAGCCCTCGCTCCCTTCCAGGCCGGGGGCGGGTGGGAAGGTTCTTTAGGCAGGTGGATTTGGGGGACCGGACTTGTCCCACTCTGACCCGCCCCTTCTCCCTCTGTCCCTGCCCAGTGCCATCCCCGTGACCCCCGCGGGTCCAGGCCTACCTGGGCACCATTCCATCCGCCCCTACACGGTGTTTGAACTGGAGCAGGTCCGGCAGCATAGCCGCAAGTATGCTATGGGACAGCATATGGGACATATGGGTCCGGGGCCAGGGCTCTGGATGGGGAAGGCAGGGGACAGGGATGACTCCGGAGGGCCCAGCGGAACGTGACAGAAGGCAGTGCTGTGGGACAGTGTGGAGAGCCTCCTCCTTGGAATGGGACAGTGGGGGCCGCAGGCCGATTTCTGAACTAGCTCCCTGGCAGTTCCCAAGGCATGAGCGTAGGAGGCAGACCTAGTCACACCTGCTTTTGGGAGTTACGGTGGGACTTCGTCAAGGGCGCCAGCTGCCTCTGAGAGCTCCTCTACTTCTCAACCTCTTCCTCAGCCTTCGGCTGTCTCAGCAACCCCGGGATTAGAGCGGTGGGGGGAGGGTCCGGTATAGCTCAGCCAGAGGGTGGGCTCAGCCAACGAAGGAGGCTGGCGGTGGGCATCTCATGCTCCCTCCGGCTCCTGCCCACCTCTCTGCTGCTCCCCTTCTCCTAAGGATGGGAGTCCATAGTTCAGAGGACTTCAGGCTGCTCTTGGAGCCCTGTGGGTTCCAGGTATGCTAGGCCAGGTGCGCCGAGATGGGAAGGCCCGGGGCTGCCCTCAGCTCCTCCACCCACAGCTGCAGACAGGCAGCAGGGCTTTCTTCCATTTGGCTGGCCTGCACTTCCCCATCTGAGGAAAGCCTTCCCGGCAAGTCTGGCCCTCAGATGCTGTGGAAAGGACTACTGCTGAGGGGTCAAGCTGCCCAGCGACCCCCAGCCTAGCTGGGTCCTGCACAAAAGGGACCCGGAACTGAAGGATTCGGCTTACACAAGGTCAAGGCCCCCGCCATGGGCCAACCCTCCCTCTGTTCTGCTCACACCCTGCAGCCTCAAGCTGGGCAGCGCCTTCCCTCGGGGTGACCTGGCGCAGATGGAGCAGAGCGTGGGGCGCCTGCGCTCCATGCACTCCAAGATGCTGATGAACATTGAGAAGGTGCAGATCCACTTCGGGGGCTCCACCAAGGCCAGCAGCCAGATAATCCGCGAGCTGCTGCACGCCCAGTGCCTGGGCTCCCCCTGCTACAAACGGTACAGGAGAGGCGGGCGAGGCCATGGGAGCAGGCACCCAGTGACCAGGCTTGGCTTCTGCTCGTGCACGGCTGTGCAAATGCCTTGCCCCACTGCTGGGGGAGAAAAGGGAGTGTGTGTGTGTGAGAGAAAGTGTGGGCGAGGGGTGTTAGTGTGTGTGATGTGTGTAAGCCATGTGTCTATGGGTGTGTCAATGTATGAGTGTGTGTAAGGGTGTGTGTGTATGAGTGCGTGTGTGTATGAGTGTGGGAGTGAGTGCGTGAGTGTGGGTGTTTGAGTATGTGTGTGCATGTATGAGTACGTGTGTATGAGTACGTGTGTGTGTGTGCATGTGTATGAGTATGTATGTATATGTTCGTGTGTATGTGCATCTTCGTGTGTATGTGCATAAGTATGTGTGTGTGCATGTATGTGTGTGTGTGACTGTGTGTATGAGTACATGTGTGAGTGTGTGGGTGTGTGTGTGCACGCCTGCCCATGTGCACAGTCACTGGGGTGGCCCGGCCTCACGGCTGCTCTACCCCCGCCCGCCTGTTCTGGGCCCCTGCTGCTCAGCCTCCCGGCAGCCCCCGAAGAGAAGCTGTGCCCCTTCCCTCTGGTCAGCCCCATGGGTGGGTGAGTCCCAGGTGACATCCCTGGTGGTCTGCTCCCAATGACTCCATCCTGTCTTCATCACAGGGTGACAGATATGGCTGATTACACCTACTCAACTGTGCCCCGGCGCTGCGGGGGCAGCCACACCCTCACCTACCCCTACCACCGCAGCCGCCCGCAGCACCTTCCCCGGGGCCTGTATCCTACTGAAGAGATCCAGATTGCCATGAAGGTCAGGGCCCTGCCTGGAGCCACCAGGGAGGGAGGCCCTGACATGGCTCCAGATTCCTGAGTCATTCTCTAAAGCCACCAGAAAATCAGCCAGCCCTCTGCCTTGAGGCAATTCCTTAATCAGACCCAGTCAAAGCCTCAGGTTCTTACCCTTTTCTGGGAAGAAAGATTCACCCCGGCCACCTGCCTGCCCAGCAGCATTCCGGCCTCCCAGGCCTCCCACCGTGGCCCAGATACTGTTTCACCTCCCTCCACCTTCTCGCTCCACCCTAGTGCCTCCCAGAGCCCCCCAGGAGGGTTCTGAGACCACAGTGCTCTGTGCCTCAGTCCCGTGTGAAGGGGCCAGGGGAGGGCTGTGGCTGCTACAGTGGCGACGGTATCTGTTCACTTCTACAGCATGATGAGGTGGACATCTTGGGCCTGGATGGCCACATTTACAAGGGACGGATGGACACAAGGCTGCCAGGCATCCTCCGAAAAGACAGTGAGTGGAGTCCAGAGGCCCCCAGGCACCTCACGTGGGTCCCACAGGGCGTGCATCCATTGTGGGGCCTGGCACTTTTATGGGCCACTAGACCCTGGGTGTCTTCCTTCTCCATTCCCCTCACTCCAAATGTGCAGGTCTCTCGAAAAGCCACCAAGTAAATGTTCACAGGTGGAGGACAGCTGTCCAGCCTCAGCCATCAGCTGGGATGGGGTGGCCCCGTGTTTTCTTGCCAGCCTCCATCCCGGCTGCACTGCTGGGCTCTCCTGTCTTGGCCTCTGTCCATGGCATCATCAGGGCCTCCTCCTCCTTCAAAACTCAGCACAGTGCCCTCTGCTGAGCCCCACCGCTTCAGCCCCCGAATGCCCGCCTCCCGTGGCAATGCCCGAAGCCTGCGCTTTGTCACTTCCCATCATGCATTTAGCTGTGTATGCGCCTTTCTAGATGCCTCCCTTCCTGCCCTGGAAACCCCAGGTCAGAACTCACCCCACACCTGGCACAGGGCTGACGTGTGCAGGTCCTCAGGGACTCTGTGTGAGTGGGTGGGTGGCCACGAGAATGAATGAAGACCGCTTCTCTGGGGCATAGCCACAAATTCAGAATGACGAGGACCCCACTCAGCTGAGGCCGGCCATGACCAGCAGCCCTGCGGCCCTCTCCCCACCCCCAGGGGTTCCCACAGAGCTCTCACCGCTGCCTCAGCACTGACCCTTCCCTCCTGTCCCCCATCAGGCTCAGGGACCTCAAAGCGCAAGTCCCAGCAGCCCAGGCCCCACGTGCACAGGCCGCCATCCCTCAGCAGCAATGGCCAGCTGCCCTCTCGGCCACAGAGCGCCCAGATTTCGGCTGGCAACACCTCAGGTAGCTTCCCTCTGGGTGGGGCGTCCTGCCAGGCCTCCCCGCTGGCCCTGCCGGCCCCCTTTCCTGCTCATGTAGGGCCTTTATCTCCCCGGAGAGGGGAGGGCCTGGGAGCCGAAGGGGGGGATGGGTGTGGAAAAGAGGAACCCCGAGTGACTGAGTGATTTGTGCCCCTTCTGGGAGGTGGGTAGGTGCTGTTACTGTCCCATTCCACAGAAGATGAAATAGGGACAGGGTCACCACCCACATCTCTGGCTCCAGGTCCATGCCCTTGCCCTGCTCACGTGCACTCACTGTCATGGAGCTCGTGCGCCTGGGCTCTGCATGGTGGCTGCTGGGCACAGGCCATGCCCGGGTCCCCAAGAGGCCACGACCCTGTCATGGAGGAACCTCTCTCTGCCTCCCGCCTGGAAGATCCCTTGGGTCCTTGATCTCCGCAGGAGCTAAGTTGGGCCTGAAGGTCAGGAGGGTTTGGTAACAAGGCCCTGCAGCCAGGAGGCTGGATCACTGACAAGTGACCCTGGGCAAGGTCACTCTTGACAAGGGCTCTCCCCTCTCCAGACCTCAGTTTCCTCGTCTGTCATCAAGGGGGTGCTGGGTTAGTGCTGCTTGGAGTCAGGCCCCCCCCAAGAATCTAATAAAAGCTGCCGACCTTCCTCCTGTAAAACAGTTATGCACCCACATTCCTTGTGAATGTCTGTGGGAGGTTCAGGGACCCTCCCCAACCAGAGCCTCCACCCTCCCCTGCCCCTCGGCTAGATGCTCTCCAGCATCACTCCAGCCCTCAGTGAGGACCCGGCGCTGAGGGAGGAGGAAATCACAACAGAAAAGTGGCTGCGGTGCTCATGGCTCCTCAGCATCATCCAGGGCCCCCCACAGACCAGGTAGTTTAGGAGCTTTACATGGACGAACCACTTTCAATCTATGTACCAGCACTTAGAGGTAGGGGCCGTTAGCACCACTTACAGCTGAGAAAACTGAGGCACAGAGAGGTGAAGGTCCTTGCTCTAGGTCACACAGCCAGGAAGCGGCAGAGCTGGAGTTCAAAGCCAAGCCCTCTGGCCCAGAGGCTGTGCTGGGAACGGCAGGTCTCAGTGGTGGACAGTGAGCACATGACTGTCACCCTGGCTCCCAGAACTCTGTTTTCTTGGGAATACTTAGCTCCCTTCTCCCAGTGTCTACTCTAAGGGCACTGAAAATGCCCTGGAAGCAGGAGAGAGGGACTGGTAGTCTCAGGAAAATTCCTGTGCCTGTTGGTGTGGATGTCACCTCGTGTCTGTATTAACAGGAAACAGTACCAAAGAGGCAGCTCTTGGCTCCTGCAGAAGGACGTGTTTGCTTATTTTTCATTCACAAGATCATGAAGGGTGCTTCATGACTGCTTAGGAGCTCAGATGGGCCTGCGCCGTGCCCCCCGGCCCCGGCAGCTCCCCTCCAGCCTGTGTCAGCCCAGCATGGCGAACAGAACTGCTCTCAACCTCCCTGGGCATTGGGCAGGCTGGGGTGACCCCTGGTGGGCTTGGGGAATGTGTTGAGCAACCTCAGCACCCCTGTCTTACAGTTTCTTCTCGTCAACAGAAAGATAGACCTTCCTCCGAGGGCCGTCTCTCCCAGCCGAACACAGCCCACCCGCCCAGCTCCGCCGCGGTGGCAAACAGGGGGCTGGAGAGGCACGTGGACATGCCTCCTGGGGAGGGGCTCGAGGAGCCCACGCGGGGGCCGCGGTCCAGCACCGCTCAGTGAGCGGAGGTGTAAATAAACATTCAGGAGGAAGCTTAGGTGTGGCGAATCGTCTCTGACAGTCCTGGCTCAGGAAGATGGAGGGAAAGGGAAATACCCGCTGTTGGCCAGGCAGCCCCCCACGTGCCTCCAGACCACCCCCAGGCCCGCCCACTCGGTAGACCTTCTCTTGGACAGTGGGTCTGGTTTGTAGCCTGAAAGTGAGTCCTCAGCTTCCATTCTTCAAGGGCGCCGGGGCTTCGGAGGGCTGGACACTGCACTGGGGACAGGGAGACTCCTGGCCCCGGGACCAGCTGGGCCGGTGCTCACCCCACCAGCTCTCTCCTGGCCTCAGCTAGATTGGGGGTGCCCTGCCTTCTGGCTCTAGACCTGCCTTCTAGCCTGGGGTGCTGGGGCCCGTGCTGTCAGTGTCCAGCACTCTGGGGGTGAGGGTGGCAGCTGCCTGCTGCGCTCTTGCTGCTGGCTCAGGGTGGTTCCTGACCCCTGGCGTGGGATTCCGGGGAAGCAGTGCCAATGGCTGGAGGCGAACCCCTGCAGCCGGCTGGGCAGGTTTCTGTTTGCCGCCCTCCGCTTCTCTCCCTTGAGTGGGCTGCTGCAGAGACAGCCGGGGCCTGAAGGCACAGAGCAGGGGCTGCTGTGGCTGTGACCCAGTTTCCCCATTCCCCTCCTAGAAAAAGACATCCAGGCGGCGGGTGGAGAGGTGGTGCGAGCCTGGCGCTTGTCGCTTGTGATTTGCTTCCCTCTGCCCTAGCCCCAACACCTGCAGGCAAGGGACTCACTAAAGGTCTTGGCAGGTGAGGGGACAGAGGACTGCAAGTGAGACTGAGCTTGGGCCAGTGCAGCAACTGCTAGAGACGAGCCCCTATCACTGCTGCAACCCACTTGAAGCTCCTGAGACCAAGGAGTCCCCTGACCTCCTGAGCTTGGGCTCCAGCCAGATTCTAGGGGTCCCCCAGTAGATGAGAGTGGCCCCCCCACCCTGAGGTTTATAAAGCCCTGAGGTCACCAAAGCCTTTCTGCCTCAGAGGCTCCCTCCTCAGAGAAAAGGAAGTGCTCAGAGTTGACAAAGGGGCTCCCCCCACCCCCAGTTCCCATCTCCCCAGCATGGGAAAGGGATGTCTAGAGTAAGAGGCCCGCTTTGGGGTGTGAGGAGACAAAATCACACAGGAAAGGAAAATGTGGCGAGAAACAGCCCAGAAACAGGTTTCTGGCCCCTGACCCCCGCGTGGGCAAAGCGGGGCAGGCTTGGCTGGGTCGGGTGGCCGCTCCCTCCTGGCCTGCTCTTCAGAGACCCTGGGAGTCTTCATGTGATGATGTCATGCTCAGAGCTGGACAGAAGAGAGGAGCTGCTCAGACAGCGGAGCCCCGGGCGGGCACCCCTGGGCCCCAGCCCCTTTCTCCCCGGGCAGGAGGCAGAGGCAGGGCCACCCCTCCCAGGCTCCAGCTGGGCTCCTGTTGCTCTCGGCCCCACCCTGGCTGTGAAATGTCAGAAGGTGGCTCAGTTTCCCGGGTCTAGAAGCCAAATTCACCAGCTTGGCAGGGAGGTGCAGCCCAGCCCTCCTCACCCAGGCCTTCCCCACGCCCACAGAAGGTCCCAGAGCGACATTCCCTAAGCCGGCCAGGGCAACCCCCGACCATTCCCGCACCTGGGCATGGCCCACACCTGGGTGGACCCCGGTGCAGGCCCAGGAGGCCTGGGGACGTCACAGCCTAACCACCCACGTGCTGAGAGGGGCTGCCCCTTCCAGCCTGGGAAAGCACAGGTGGGCAGGGGCGGGGGGAGGGGGAGGAGTCTCAGGGGTTTCCAACCAGGAAACAAAACTGAAAGGACGAACCCAGCTTCCAAGCACGTCCGTGTCACACGCAGGGGTGGAGGGGCAGCGGGGCCCACCGTTCCGCTCCACTGGAGGAGGGGCTGCCCCACCGTGTGAGGGGCCCGAGGAGGCCCGGAGGCAGGATGCGGTGGGTGCCGGGCCCGGCCCCTCTCGACTTTTATTTCACTTCCGGCCTGAACCTCCAGAACCCTTGTCCTGCCTGTGTTCCAGCAAGACTTGGGCCCCGTAGACCCCAGCAGAGGGCGAGGCAGGAGGACGGGACAGGAAGGGGCTGCCCAGACTGTATGGCGGTGAAGGGCAGGGCTGGAGGAGGAATCCCAGCCACGCGGCCATCACCCCCATCAGCCAGGTGGACAGGCTCCCCACGCAGCTGACCTCCCGAGCAGCAGGACCACCTGAGGACGAGCTGCTGGGTCAGGAACTGGTAACCTCGCCCCATGCTGACGCCTGCAGGGCTGCGGGGAAGGGGGAATGGAAGCAGGCCCCTCTGGGGACCCGCCAGCCTTAATTGAACTTTGGGTCATGGCCACTCCACAGGCCATGACCCAAAGGGACATACTGCCCCCGGGAAGCTGAGGAGAGGAGTATCGGAGATGAGCCCAGCTGGAAGATGCTTCCTGGGAGGGCCTGGGGGGGCCATCAGGAGGCCCCCAGCTAGAAGGAAGCTCTCCCCACTGTAGATGAAAATGGCTTCCAGCTCTTCTCACTAGGGCTCTGTGGGTGGGGGCTACACCGATGGGGCCAAGAAGGGAAGGTCACAGAAACTCAGGACGGACCCCGGCCCCTCTCTCCTCCCCACACCAACCTGGACCTTGCTGTCAGAGCCCCTGGTGTGACCATCCCACAGCAAAAACATCCAGACCAGCCCAGTGGCAAGGGACCCCCACCACCCCTCTTCTGAGGAGACCGCTTTTCCCACCAACGGAAATAAAAGCACCGCAAACCAGGGAAGTTAGAAAAGTCTCTTTTTAAGTTTTTAAATTAAAATTTCGCCCTGGTGAGATGGGATTCTGATTCGGGAACTAAACCCAAAGGCAGGCTCTCCACTTTGGACCTGGACACGCAGCGGGAGGGGCAGGGCGCCCAGGGCAGTCAAGTCCCCTGCTGGGCAGAGCCTGGCCTTTGACCAAAGTCAGCTCCTCAGTGCCACATCAGCCCTGCACATTCAGCAGGAGACAGGGGTGATGAGCTATGGGGCCACAACCAGCAATCAGAGGTGGGGAAGAGGCCATGGGGAGAGAGCCCTGATACCAAGAGGGCCTTCCACAGCTTTGACCTCAGGCCCTCCTGGGACCTGCAGCTGCTATGTGGCTGCCCAGTGACTGCAGGAGTGGTGTCCTCTTCCAGATTCCAGAAGGCATGGCTGTTAAAGGAGGCAGCTGACAGATGCCTTGTGCCCACAACATCACTCCATCAGCTCTGCAGCATGGCAGCCCTACCCCCGAGCACCCCAGGTGTGCCAGGCCCATTCTCACGCACATTAGTTATATTTATCTATTCATATATATTATAGTTATATATTAAAAACAGAGGAAAAACTTGCCTGAAAAACTCCTGAAGGACCCACGTGGCCCAGGAAGTTTACTGTCCCCCCGACCCACAAAAATTCTTTTATAAAATCTTCCAGTGCGATCTTCGGGAAACCCCCTGCCCTCCCCGGCTCCCCCCTCCCTGGCCCTCCTGTGTCCCCACAACCCTGGGCTGCCCCCAGCTCCAGCCCAGCGCCCGGCGGCGTCCAGTCTCATCTCTGGCCGTCCATGGCCGCCATGGCTTTCTGCTGGGCGCCCCCCTGCTGTGCTCCTGGGGGCCACGTGGGCTGTGGGCGGTGGAGGTGGTGGAAGGTGGTGGGGGAGGAGGGCGGGATCCAGGGCGCCTGGTGGCTGGGCGGGGACGAGGCCCAGAAGGGGCTGAAGTTTGCAGGTGGGGAGCAGGCTGCGGCTGTCATGGGGCTGTTGCTGCTCTGCAGGCCCTCGGAGGCGCGGAGCTTGGAGAACATGGCCAGCGCATCGGGGAAGTTGGGCGGCGTGGCAGGGGTGTTGCTGGGAGTGCACATCTGCGGGAGAGAACACGGGTGTGGGGAGGCTGCCTCGGGGGTCCCCGAGCCACTGGATGGGGCTTACCCAGGCCAGCCGCTCCTTTACTCCCATTTTTCAGCTTCATTCATTTTCGCACAAGCAGCTTCCACAGGACAAAAGTGCCCTCTCCCCGAGGCAATACAAACAGAAAACAAGGACAAAACCCAAGAACCTTATCAAAACCAACGGGGTTTCATGAGGCCTGGAAATGACACCCCGAGGAGCATTCAAAGTAAATGGTTAATTGCACCCAGGAGCTAAGGTGTCAGATTAAAGTGAAAGGGCAAGGGGGCAGCCCAGGACACCACTGTTCCGCACCTTCCCTGGGCAGGGAGACCAGCTGACTGCCCCACCAGCCACCCTCAGATGCTCCCAGGCTGCTAGGCAAGGGAGAGCGGCCAGCGGGGAGGCTCTCCCTCCTGTGCCAACCCTGGAAAAGTTAAGCCACCTTGGTGGATGGGTTCACACCACACTAAGGGTGACAGCCACCAGGCCTTGAAGGCTTTGCCTCCCTTAACAATGACACTTAGTGGCTTCAATTATCCTCTCTTTATGACAAATGAGGAAACTGAGGCCCAGAAGTCAAGTCACTTGCCCGAAAATGCACCCACAGCAGAGGGCAAGTTGAGAAGACGGACCTCCCCAGCTCCCAAGTCTGCAGGCCCAAGCTCTTAACATCTACTGGGCCACGCTGCACAGAGTCAAGAGCCCCTTTATATCTGGGCCCCTTGAGGACACAAACCAGGGATTTCAATGTCCTGTGTCTGTAGCCTCAGGCCACAAACACAGCTGGCCTGCCCTTGCCTGCAGGCTGGCAGTTTCTCAGTCTGTCCAGCCCCTCAGTCCTCTTCCTGGGGGTAGCTACAGTCCCCCATCTGCTGTCTTCTGTCACTACCCTGGGGGCAGGGGCTGGAGTGCCATCCAGGAGCACCTCGTCAGCAGCATGGGCAAGAGGCAACACAGAGAACAAGACCACACAAAACTGGCTGGGACCTCAAAGCTGCTTTCTCCCTTTCCCAGGAAGCCACAGGAGTCCTTCTTTGAATTTCTCCTAATTTTAGCAACACTGGCCCCTCCCCCAGGCGCAGGAGTTGGGGGAACGACTTGAGGGCTCTTCACCTTGAAAGAGGGAGCTTTGGCAGGGCGCAGTGGCTCACGTCTGTAATCCCAGCACTTTGGGAGGCCGAGGCGGGTGGATCACCTGAGGTTAGGAGTTCGAGACCAGCCTGACCAACATGGTGAAACCCTGTCTCTATTAAAAAATACAAAAATTAGCTGGGTGTGGTGATGGGCGTCTATAATCCCAGCTACTTGGGAGGTTGAGGCCGGAGAATCACTTGAACCCGGGAGGTGGAGGTTGTAGTGAGCTGAGATCACGTCACTGCACTCCAGCCTAGGTGGCAGAGCAAAACTCCGTCTCAAAAAAAAAAAAAAAAAAAACAGAGGGAGCTTTCACAGCTAGAAACCGGAGGTTGTGTAGGGGGTGTGTAACATACATGGAATGGGGACACTAGCACACCCTGTCCATTGAGCCCCACACCATGTCAGCACCCAGGGCACCAAGGGAGCTCTGACCCTTGCCTTTCTAGGGGTCCTCAGGGGGAGGCCAAAGGACCCAATGCAGAGGCCTGGCCCCACCCAGACCTTTCCCCTCCTCCCTCCACTACTCCCTGCCCCCCCCCCACCCTCTGGGGATGACTTCTCGGCAGCAGGAAACAATGAATGAAGGGTGGGGGTGGAGGCCAATTGCATCACAGCATCGTGACCGACTTCCCCAGTTCCCCGCCAGCCAGCGAGGCCTGTCTCCTCAAACAGCCGCCAGAGAACAGCAGGGATGATGGCTGGCAGGCCTGTGGTGGCCTGCCTGTGTAAGCTTGGGCAAGTTCCTGAACCTCTCTGGAGCTTCTCTCTGCTTTTGTAAAATGAGGGTTTTGAACCAGATATGCCCTCTCGGCCAGTTCTCAAGAAAACCCATTGTCCCCTGTACCTTTGTCCTCCCACTTCAAGTCTGTAGTGCCTTTCTCCACTTCCAACTGGGAAGCCCTCCTTATCAACTGGGAAGCTTCCAACTATGGGAATCTACAGTAATGTACGGGACAACCATTTATCAGTTACTCATGACTTCTGGTTTTGCCATTTTGCTGTTACTGGTCTCTAGTGTTTCGTTTTTTGATCTTTTTCCTTTGACTTACTTTGTCCAAAATAAATTGCCAGGCCGGGTGCAGTGGCTCACGCCTGTAATCCCTGAACTTTGGGAGGCCGAGGCAGGCGGACCACCTGAGGTTGGGAGTTCGAGACCAGCCTGATCAACATGGAGAAACCCCGTCTCTACTAAAAATACAAAATTAGCCAGGTGTGGGATTACAGGTGGCACGTGCCTGTAATCCCATGAGGCAGGAGAATCGTTTGAACCCAGGAGGTGAAGGTTGCGGTGAGCCGAGATCACACCATTGCACTCCGCCTAGGCAATAAGAGTGAAACTCTGTCTCAAAAAAAAAAAAAAAGAAAAGAAATTGCCAGCTGGGTGCAGTGGCTCACACCTATAATCCCAGCACTTCGGGAGGCTGAGGCGGAAGGATAGCTTGAGGCCAGGAGTTCAAGACCAGCTTGGGCCACATAGAGACTCCCCCTGCCCTGGCCTTTCTCAAAAATAAAATTAGAAAAAAAAAAAAAAAAAAAAAGAAACCATGAACTTTTTGAGAGCAGGGATGGTGTCCTCCACTGTGCTGCTAAGGCACTCAGACTTGGGCACTGATGGACACACTGGTTATGTGTGTTACAAAACCTGCTGCCTTCCTTGAGGGAAGCTTCAAAAGAGACTTAGCATCTCCTTGGGATTTGCAGAGGAGGGGCAATAGGAACTAAACAGGATGCCAGACCAGCTCTTCCTGGGGAGCCTCCCTGTTCTCAGCCCCTCAGAATGGCTGTAGTATCTGGAAGTTCTGAGTTTTTTGGGATGGCCACAGCTGGTGGAAGGAAATCTCAAGGATCCGGTGACAGGAGATGGCAGGAAGCTTCGAGACTCAAGCATAGGCGGGTGCTGGCCATTTCTCCTGGTCAAGTGCAGGGGACGGTGTCCCCTGGAGATGAAACCCTCTTGGGTTTCTAAGAGCCCTGTGGCCAGCACCATGCTCCCATCATACTCAAATGCCATTTTGGCTTGATTTATATACAGCATCAGCCATTCTGAGAAAAACTAGCTAACAAGGTCAAGACAGACCCCTCTACTTGTCCTCTGTGACTAGATGAAAACAGAGAGCCAAAGGCAAGGGCACCAAGTGTTAAAAATCCCAAAAATGCACCTAGAGTCCACAACAGCTCTCCTGGGGAACAATGTTTTAAGATCCCTATCGCTGAGCCCTGCCCCTCCTCCCCCAGCAGGGCTAATAGGTAACTAGGGGGGTAGGGTACAGGAGAGATGTCCTGGGCCTCAAGAAAGCAGAGTACCCCATGGCCAGGAGGGCAAAAGCTTGGGCCTGGGCTAGAATGAAAAAGAAAGCAAATCCAGACCCCGGACCACTTCTCTGTGTGCTGGGCTGGTGGAGCTCAACACAGAGATTAAAGACACATTCCTGGCCTTATCTTGGGTCAAAATCTGTGTGTCCTCCTGGCTTGGGGGATGTATGTCCTTCCAACTTCCCAGTCCCCTTGGGCTTCGGAAGGTTGAACAGATCTTTGTGGGTAGAGCCCGGCTTCCTGAGCCAGGGTGGATTCATGCCTTTCCTGTTCCCTGTAGCGCTGGGTGTGTGTGTGTGTGGAGGGGGAGGGGGGAAACCACTCAACAGCACGAGGGGGTCCCCATAAACACAAGCACCCCCATCGCCCTCCCTGGGCCCTTCGCGCGGGCTTCCCAGTGCCCCAGACGTCCGGGCATCACCCTCTCCCCCTCCCCATCCCCTGGCTCTGGGGTCCCCCAGCTCCTGAGCCCCTCGCCAGGCCCCCGGCCCTCTCCCCCTCCCCCCAACTTTGGCGCCGCTTCCCCCCAGGGACCAGTGCCGGGCACCAGTCCCGAGGCCAAGCAGCAGCAGCCCGGGAGGCGGGCCTCAAAGTTGGAGGCGCCAGCGCCGGCCCGGGAGCCGCTCTTTCCTGGAAGACATTTTGGCTCTTTGTTTACATTCGCGGCGCGGCGCTCCCCGGCAACATGGCTGTCACCGCCGCGCTGACAGCGGCCCCGGCCCGCGCCCCTGCCCGCCGCCGCTTACCATCTGGTGGTGGTGGTGGCTGTTGGGAATGTTGGTTTCTTGGAAGAACGTGCTCAGCGCGGTCTGCGGACAAACAGGGCAGTGACACGGCGGGCCAGGCGGAGTCAGGAAACGCAGCGGCTGGGCCCCCCACCGGCTCTCCCCGCCTCCGCGCCCGGCCCGCGGCCCCCGACCCTCGGCTGCCCCACGTGCAGAGGGGAGCCGGTCCCGGCCCCGGTCCCGCGTAAGACCCGCTCGCGGGCGCCGATCGCCTTCCGGGCCGACAACAGGAGCGCTCCCCGCCCCCGCCGCCGCCCGGCGTCCCCGACCCCCGCGGCCCGGCCCCGCGGCGGCCAGGCTCGCACCTCGAACTGCCAGTGGGCCGCCTGCAGCAACTGCTTCGCCTGGTCGGCCGCGCAGCCCGCGGCCAGCACGAACTGGTTGATCATGACCTGGTGCCGCAGCTCGTCCATGTTCACCGACATGGCGCGGCGCGGCGCGGGGCCCGGCGTCTCCGGCCGGACGCAGACGCGGGGCTGCGCGGGCGCGGGAGGCCGGCCGCCCGGGGCTCCGGGGCTCGCGCTCACCGCTGCTGCCGCCGCTCCGCCGCCCGCTCCGCCGCCGCCCGCCCGGCGAATGTTGTGGTTCGACTCCCGCGGCCCGGCCGACACCACAAACAACAGCGCGGGGCGGGGCTGGGCCGGCCCAACGTTCGGGGACTGCCGCTGATTGGCCGGGGCGCCGCTCCGCCAGCGCCCGGCTCCCGTAAGGACGTTCGATTCGAATCCTGCGGCCTGTGGGGCCCTCACTGTTTCTCTTTTCGCCCGGCCGCGCCCATTGGCGGAGCTCGGCGCCGTGGGGCTCCCCAGCATTGGCCGGCCGCTGTGTTTTGGCTCATCCGGCCTCGTGGTTGGTCACGGCCGGGCGTTCGGGGCGGGGCCGCGCACTCTGATTGGCCTCCGGTGGTCCTGTTTGAACTCAACTTGAAAACCCGGAGTGCCTGCTGATTGGCCGAGGGCCCTCTGTTTGCTGTTGTAGGCTTGGGGGTGGTGCGGCCAAGTTCATTCATTACTTCATTGAAACAGAACATGCTCAGCTGGAAAAGCAAGACAGAGTGGCTTTGACTCATTTCCTCTGAAAGATGTGGTCATCTCGAGAAACAGAATGATCAAAATAGAAAACAGAGCCTTTGCAGCTGCTCAAGTCTCAAAAGCATGTAATTTTTAAAAATAACTTTCAAGCAGTCCAATTTAAAAAAATCTTTTATTGAAATATAACGTACATTAGGAAAGTGCGATGTCGCAGGTACAGCTTCCAGACTTTTCACCAAGTGAACACCCAGATCAATTAACAGAACGTTACTTGCACCCTAGGAACCCGCGTCCTGCCCTCTTCTAATCACTACCCACCGCAAGGATCGAGCAGTATTTTCTCAGTTTTTAGACCAAAGACTTTGCTCTCTGAAGATGGAAGCCAAGATTTATGTACAATAAATACGATATGCAAGGAAATATGCAAGGAAAAAAGTGAGACTTTCTCAGTGGCCAAAATGCCAAGTCAAGAATTTTTTCTTGTTAAATCGGTTGACCTAACTGAAGCTTTAATTTTCTTTTTTTTTTTTTCTCTTGCTTGTCACGAAAGCTAAGATGAAGCTTTAATTTCTACCATCTTTTAAAAAAACAACGGGTGGCAGTAGGGGTGGAGTCTGGGGTTGGGATGGCTTACACCTATAATCCCAGCACTTTGGGAGGCCGAGACAGGAGGATAACTTGAGGCCGGGAGTTCAACACCAGCTTGGGCAACATAGCACAGACTCCATCTCTACCAAATAAAAACAAACAATAACAAACAGTGAGTGTTTCTACAGAGATACTGTTTCTCAGTGGTAGCCCTTTAAAGTCCAAAATTTGGTGGTGGTGGTTGTTAGATAGGGCTAGAGTGACATGATCATGGCTCACTGTAACTTCGAGCGATCCTCTTGCCTCAGCCTCTCGAGTAGCTGGGACTACAGGCACACACCACCATGCCTGACTAATTTTTGAATTTTTGGTAGAGATGAGATCTCACTATTGTTGCCCAGGCTGGTCTTGAACTCCTGGACTAAAGTGATCCTCCTGCCTCAGCCTCCCAAAGCACAGGGATTACAGGTGTGAGCCACCATGCCTGGCCCCAAATTTGTTTGTATGTGCTGAGCTTCCATCTTCTGGATTAGAGTTTGATCTTCAGGGCTGTGTTTGAGAATTGTGGGGGTAGGAAAAGAACTAGGAGTTTAAGCAGATTGGGGAAGGGGCAGAAGAGATTGGGAAGATAAATATTGTTAGGGATTCACTGTTAAGAGTTTCTGTTTCAGGAGAACTTTGTGAGTTTTTTATCTGAACTACTAATTACAGAGTGTATTTTAACCAGCTAAAGGTCTGCAGAACAGAAGGAGGCTTATAATAAGAAAGCACGTCGTGGTTCTATCTTGACTTTGCCTAAATTGGATTTAACTCCCTATCTAAGAAAACTTGACAGTATGTATTTTTAAAGTTTACAAACAAGAAGAAGATTACAATTAATGTTAATGTTTCTGTACTGATGAAAAACAAATTCAGGTACTATCATGAGCTCATTCCATTTGGTTCGTTTTTTGTTTATTTGTTTGTTTTGAAGGAGTAGGAGTCAGCTTTTTCCTGGGAATGGCCCTGAAGTACACGTGGGCTGGGACCTGGCGTGTGGCTGGAGACTCCAGTATAGCTTGCAGCCTTCCCGTCCAGTAATTGCAAGGTGAAAACAAAAGTGAGCAGCTGGCAGCATACACTGCCAGGGAGCTCAGGCCGCAAGCAGCCCAGAAGAAGGAAGTACTGTCACTGTGGGGCTCCAGGTTTTCATAAGTACATGCGGGTGTCAAACATGCCAGGGCCGTGAGTAGGAGGGTCTACCCTGGGGAGAGACATTTCTGGCTGTAGTGGAATGTCCCCTATGAGCCCGTAGGTCTTAATTCAGAAGTAAGTTCCCAAGGAAAGCAAGAGTCCAAAGTTGCCAAACCTGTTATTTCCTGGAAATCAAGGCAGTTTATCCAGTTTATGTAATGTTTAACAATTGCAGGGCCCAGCTGTGGGCACCTGGGCGGGGCATGGAGGGCAAGGCCCCCAAGCCAGAGAGACTCAGGTACTAGTTATCTTCTGTGGGCCTAAGGTCACTCAGGAAGAAGGAAGGAGAGCAACAGAGCCCGTGATTTGTGGTCCTGAGACATGGAAGTGCTTAATCCATATTTTGGCTTCTGAGAATCCGGTTGGAGATGAGTAGCTGGGAAACTTAGGACTGTCCCACTCCTGGGAGAATGAATGAGGTCATGTTTGTAGAGGGCTTTGAGCTGATGGGAGGAAAGCAACTTCCTAAATGCAAGGTATTATTAACTGAAGGTACTATTATTTTAATCTGAGAGGACAATGTATGGTAGGTAAAATAGAGCAACTTTGGGAGGCCGAGGCGGGTGGATCACGAGGTCAGGAGATCGAGACCATCCTGGCTAACATGGTGAAACCCTGTCTCTGCTAAAAATACAAAAAATTAGCCAGGCATGGTGGCAGGCGCCTGCAGTCCCAGCTACTCGGGATGCTGAGGCAGGAGGATGGCATGAACCTGGGAGGCAGAGCTTGCAGTGAGCCGATTTTGTGCCACTGCACTCCAGCCTGGGTGACACAGCGAGACTCCATCTCAAAAAAAAAAAAAGGCTTGAATCACAAATAAAACATGGTATCCTCAGAAAGAAAATCCTTGTTACATCAATGGTCTGGGCTCCAGGACAAGCGGTGAGGCAGCAACCAAGAAGAGAAACAATCTTAGCAGTATTTCCTCCGTTCCCGGATGACAAGGTTGTTGTGAATGCAAGTCATTGAATGAGTCCTGAAACAGGCACACAATAGCCGGACCATAACAAGCAGCTGCCAGTTACCAAGCACTTCCTGTGAGCCAGGCAGCTCTCTAAGACTTGAATGTCTATTAACTCATTTCAATCCTCCCCCAAATCCAGAATCTCATTTCACAGATGGGGCTGCTGAGGGACAGTGGAGGGGAAGAGTGTCCAGCGGTGGAGCGAGGCAGTGGTTAGCTCACCCATGCTACCTCCCTTCCCGCTGCAGCTGTCACTTCCGTGGGACTCTCAAAGGGCCCCTTCCCCAAAAGATCTATAGAGGGCACTAAGAGTTCCACTGGAGATGCTTGAAATGAGTGAACCCTCCCCGCCTCTGTGGGGATGGGGAGAAAAGGACACCAGCTCTCTTGGGTAATGGGTTTGGGGGAAGGGTAGAGAACTGGCATTCCCAACCTCCATCTCTGCAGTGCGTTAAATTCTTGTTCTGGCCGGGCGCAGTGGCTGACACCCGTAATCCTAGCACTTTGGGAAGTCGAGGCGGGCGGATCACTTGAGGTCGGGAGTTCAAGACCAGCCTGGCCTATATGGTGAAACCACCGTCTCTACTAAAAAAAAAAAAAAATACAAAAATTAGCCAGGCGTGGTGGTGCGTGCCTGTAGTCTGTAATCCCAGCTACTCGGGAGGCTGAGGCACGAGAATTGCTTGAACCCCGTAGGTGGAGGTTGCAGTGGGCCGATATCGTGCCACTGCGCTCCAGCCTGGGCGACAGAGTGAGACTCTGTCTCAAAAATAATGACAATAAAAAATAAAAATAAATTTTTGTTCCTTTCTTCCTCCTTTCCACCTCTTATTTCCCTAAATCCAAACAGATCCAACAAAGCTGAAAGATGGAATCTGAGGGCTCTCAGAACTCCCAATAGGCCCAAGGCTCAGAGAGGAAACAAAATCCACTCAAGGTCATGAACACTCGCTTTTCCCTGCTGACTGATGGTAGCACTGGGATTCGATTCAGGTTTGGTTGATCCAAAAGCTCATTTCCTTCCTCCCTCCCTTCCTTTCCTTTCCTTTCTTCCTTTCTTTTTTCCATCCTCTAATTTTTATTTCTTGCTTCCCTATTGTTTCTTCAAGATGCCAGGACAAAAGGACAAGGTGGCCAAGAGAAGTAGAAAGGTGTTGAGAGGAGAAGGAGAATGGGAAAGGGCCAATAAGAAGACAATGAAAACAAGCAGCGCCAAGGCAGCTGGGCCAGGCTGGACTCACACACTCCCTGAAGGCTCGGGTCCAGGAGGCACTGGTGGTGCGATGGTTTTCTTCTCCTTTTGAGGATTTCCAACGCTATTGCTAGCCTTTGTTTGTTTAACATAACCTATTTTTTGCTGCTATTTTTCCTTGCAAATTTATGCTTTGTTTTTCTTTTTTTGGAGACAACTTCTCGCTCTATCACCCAGGCTGGAGTGCAGTGGTACGACTTCGGCTACTACAACCTCTGCCTCCTGGGTTCAAGCGATTCTCGTGCCTCAGCCTCCCTAGTAGCTGGAACTACAGGCATGCGCTGCCACACCCGGCTAATTTTTGTATTTTCAGTAGAGACAAGGTTTTGCCATGTTTTCCAGGCTGGTCTCGAACTACCTGCCTCAAGCGATCTGACCGCCTCGGCTTCTGAAAGTGCTGGGATTACAGGTATGAGCCACCATGCCCAGCCAGTTTGTTTGTTTTTTTTGAGACACGGTCTTGCTCTGTTGCACAGGCTAGAGTGTAGTAGCTCACTGCAGCAACCCTCAACTCCCCTGGGCTCAAGCAATCCTCCAGCCCAGCCCCCTAAGAAGCTAGGACTACAAGCACACAACACTACAACTGGCTGATTTTTATTTTTATTTTTTTTGCCCAGGCTGGTCTTGAACTCCTGGCCTCAAGCGATCCTCTCACCTTGACCTTACAAAGTGCTGGGTTTACAGGCATGAGCCACTGCGCCTAGCCATTTTTTGTGTGTGTGTGTCTATTCTTTTGCCTCAAAGAGGAAGGAAACTGAGCAGAAGGGCTGCTTCTACTCCAGGCATATCCCAGTCTTCCTGGGTGATGAGAAGAGCTCTGTCTATTGGGAACACACTAAGAGCCCAGCTCTGTGCTATATTTGGATTTTACATCGTTTAATAATTTTTTTTCTTTTTTGAGACAAGGTCTTGCTATGTTGCCCACACTGGTCTTAAACTCCTGGGCTCAAGTAGTCCACCTGCCTCGGCCTCCTCAAGTGGTAGGATTACAGGTGTGAGCCACTATGCCTGGCCTGGGTTACATCATTTAATACTCACAACTACCCAATTAGGTGGGACTCTGCATATCCCCAGTTAATAAAAGGGAAAATGAAGGAGGTCAGGGTCGCTAAGTGATTTGCCCAACATCACTCGCTAGCTCAGGGAGCTGAGATTTGAGCCCAGATACTTGGTGTTTGCTTCCAGAGCTGGCTCTCTTAATGATCACATTCGACTTTGTAAGCCCTGTCCGCCCCCTGGAGTCCCCCTTAGCTCTCCCTCAATGATACTGAAAAGATACAAAAGCTTATCTGTGCTGTTGGAAGCAGCAGGATGGTGAAAGCCAATTCCCCAGTGATGAATTCATTGCTGGCTTATGCCAGATTACATTTTTCACCAATTGTCACATGTCCCACAAGGGACAAAGGCCGCACCACTCCCAGCACAGTTAATGGCATTTCCTAAAAGCAGCACTCTGACTGGTGAGTACTTTCTGTCCTGTACCTGCCAACCCAGTGATAAGGTGGCCCTGCCTCTGCTTGCTAGGTGTGTCTAATGGTAGGTGAGTCCCTGGCAATCTTTCTTTTTTTTTTTTTTTTTTCTTTTTTTGAGACACTTGCTCTGTCACCCAGGCTGGAATGCAGTGGTGCGATCTCGGCTCACTGCAAGCTCTGCCTCCTGGATTCAAGCGATTCTCCTGCCTCAGCCTCCTCAGTAGCTGGGATTACAGGCGCCCACCACCACGCCTGGCTAATTTTTGTATTTTTAGTAGAGACAGGGTTTCACCATGTTGGCCAGGCTGGTCTCTAACTCCTGACCTTAGGTGATTTGCCCACCTTGGCCTTCCAACGTGCTGGGATTACAGGCATGAGCCACCATGCCCAGCGCTGGCAATCTTTTCAAAGAGACACTTGGCTGGACACAGGAGGTTGCCTCTCTGCTAAGGAAAAGACAAGAAGTAAAAGCTTTCTAAGGAGGGTCCTCCTTCTCAGGGGTCCTTAGTTATCTGCTCAGACTCAGGACTCCCAGCCACTTTCTCTGGGGAGGACAGAAATGGATGGGCCTGGAGCTAGGCCACTATAGCTTCATGTCCAAAACACAAGAGGCCTATTGTTGTGGCAGGCACTGACTTCAGATACAAGGCAGCTTTCCCACCTGGCCCGCCCTTTTTTTTTTTTTTAAGAGTGTCTCAATGTCATTCCAGCTGCAGTGCAGTGGTGCAATGCAGCTCACTGCAGCCTCGACCTCCCGGGTTAAGTGATCCTTCTGCCCTAGCTTCCTGGGCAGCTGGGACTACGAACATGTACCAGTGCCCCAAGAGGCCCCCAGCTGCCCAGGCCAGGTCTCAGCCCCATCTCCGTGGGTGCGCCCTGCAGGATGGTGGGTGGGAAGCAGATGTAGAGGTAGCAGTTTTAAGTATGTAAATATTGATCTACTGTAATTGAAAATAAATAATTTCTAAAATTGATAAATCAAGAAATGGCAGTATAATCATTTTATTCAGGCCGAGGTGGACAGATCACTTGAGCCCAGGAGTTCAATACCAGCTTGGACAACATAGTGGGACCCTGTCTGTACTACAAAATAAAAAATTTTAATTTGTGGCCGAGTGCCGTAGCTCATGCCTATAATCCCAGCACTTTGGGAGGCTGAGGTGGGCAGATCACCTATTGAGAGGTGACAGCGTGCTGGCAGTCCTCACAGCCCTCGCACGCTCTCCGCGCCTCCTCTGCCTGGGCTCCCACTTTGGCGGCACTTGAGGAGTCCTTCAGCCCACCGCTGCACTGTGGGAGCCCCTTTCTGGGCTGGCCAAGGCCGGAGCCGGCTCCCTCAGCTTGCAGGGAGGCGTGGAGGGAGAGGCGCGAGCGGGAACCGGGGCTGCGCGCGGCGCTTGCAGGCCAGCTGGAGTTCTGGGTGGGCGTGGGCTTGGCGGGCTCCGCACCAATGGCAGGGCTCATTGCCCTGCCGGCCCGGGGCAATGAGGGGCTTAGCACCCGGGCCAGCGGCTGCGGAGGGTGTACTGGGTCCCCCAGCAGTGCCAGCCCACCGGCTCTGCGCTCAATTTCTCGCCGGGCCTTAGCTGCCTTCCCGCGGGGCAGGGCTCGCGACCTGCAGCCCGCCATGCCTGAGCCTCCCACCCCCTCCGTGGGCTCCTGTGCAGCCCCAGCCTCCCCGATGAGCGCCGCCCCCTGCTCCACAGCCCCCAGTCCCATCGACCACCCAAGGGCTGAGGAGTGCGGGCACACGGCGCGGGACTGGCAGGCAGCTCCACCTGCAGCCCCAGTGCGGGATCCACTGGGTGAAGCTAGCTGGGCTCCTGAGTCTGGTGGGGACGTGGAGAACCTTTATGTCCAGCTCAGGGATTGTAAATACACCAATCAGCATCCTGTCTAGCTCAGGGTTTGTGAATGCACCAATCGACACTCTGTATCTAGCTACTCTGGTGGGGCCTTGGAGAACCTTTATGTCTAGCTCAGGGATTCTAAATACACCAATCGGCACTCTGTATCTAGCTCAAGGTTTGTAAACACACCAATCAGCACCCTGTGTCTAGCTCAGGGTTTGTGAATGCACCAATCGACACTCTGTATCTAGCTACTCTGGTGGGGCCTTGGAGAACCTTTATGTCTAGCTCAGGGATTCTAAATACACCAATCGGCACTCTGTATCTAGCTCAAGGTTTGTAAACACACCAATCAGCACCCTGTGTCTAGCTCAGGGTTTGTGAATGCACCAATCGGCACTCTGTATCTAGCTACTCTGGTGGGGCCTTAGAGAACCTTTGTGTAGACGCTCTGTATCTAGCTAATCTGGTGGGGACGTGGAGAACCTTTGTGTGTAGCTCAGGGATTGTAAACGCACCAATCAGTGCCCTGTCAAAACAGACCACTGGGCTCTACCAATCAACAGGATGTGGGTGGGGCCAGATAAGAGAATAAAAGCAGGCTGCCGGAGCTAGCAGTGGCAACCTGGTCTGATCCTCTTCTACACTGTGGAAGCTTTGTTCTTTGCAATAAATCTTGCTAGTGCTATGCACCACCTTAAGGGCTGTAACACTCACAGCAAAGTTCTGCAGTTTCACTCCTGAGCCAGCGAGACCACGAACCCACCAGAAGGGAGAAACTCTGAACACATCTGAACGTCAGAAGGAACAAACTCCAGACGCGCCACGTTAAGAGCTGTAACGTTGGCGGCTTCATTCTTTTAAGTCAGTGAGACCAAGAACCCACCAATTCCGGACACACTATGGTTAGGAGTTTGAGACCAGCGTGGCTAACATGGTGAAACCCTGTATCTACTTAAAATTAGCCAGGCGTGGGGGCGGGCACCTGTAATCTCAGATACTTGGGAGGCTGAGGCACGAGAATTGCTTGAGCCTGCGAGACGGAGATTGCAGTGAGCCGAGATAGCGCCATTGCACTCTAGCCTGGACTACAGAGCATGACTCAGTCTCAAAAAAAAAAAAAAAATTTCTATAGCTGTGTTCCAATAAAAAAAATTTTTTTTGAGACAGGGTCTCAATCACCCAGGCTGGAGTCCAGTGGCTCCTTCTTACCTCACTGCAGCCTGGACCTCCCAGGCTCAAGCCATCCTCCTGCCTCAGCTTCCTGAGTACCTGGGACCACAGGGGAGCACCAGCATGCCTGGCTAATTTTCAGCAAAACTTTATTTACAAAAACTGGCAGCAGCTTCACGGCTACAGTTTGTCAACTCACAGCTGGGAGAGAGGAGGGAAGATTCCCCATATGGGTCATGATATTACTGCCCCAAGGGGAGATTTTCTTGAGTCACTGCAGCCGCCTTTGTATGGGTGAGAAGGAAAACTGTCTGTTACCTCGGTATGGCTGAGCCTTACCTGATGAATCTGAGGCATCTCTGGGCCAACCTGACAGCATGTGCCGCTTTTCATGGATGAAGGATGTATGCCCCCCACCCCGTCTCCTTCACTGCCCAGAGCACGTTCATTCCAGCCATTGCCTGTCCAAACTTAGCACCCCCACAGGCTCCCAACAGATGCCCTGAATGTGTGTGGCTATGAACTTGCTTTGGTTTGCACTGTTCTCTCTTCCAAAAATTCCCTTTCTTCCCCTTCCTGTTTATCCAAATCCTTCCCAGGTTCAATTTTCCCTGCTCTAAGGAGCCTTCTTGGATTATCTCCTTATGACCTGTGGTTGCTCGTTTGGGTCAGAGTCGCTGTCTGAGGTCACAGAAAACGGAAAAAGGGCCAGCCCTTGCTTGGAGGAATCTACCTTGGTAAGAGAACTCCACTGAGCTCACCCACCAGAAGTTAGGGAGAGGGACTGGGTCACATATGCAGTGGAATCAATGTGCCAACCCACAATGCATTGCTCAGGGATACACATGTATAGGATTAAATGACAATGAAAAGCAAGGGACCGATTAATGCAAATTGGAGGATACTGAGTCTCTGGTGAAGAAAGGAGGATATGCATCTGGGAGAGGTCATTCAAGAGTCTTCAAAGGTCTTGGACTTCTTAAATTCTGTGTCGGGGACACAGGTGATTGTTTATTATTCTTTAAATTGTGTATATTCCAGCTTAGCCAACATGGCAAAACCCCGTCTCTACTAAAAATACAAAAATTAGGTGTGGTGGCATGCGCCTGTAATTCCAGCTACTCGGGAGGCTGAGGCATGAGAATTGCTTGAACCTGAGAGGCACGAGGCTGCAGTGAGCCGAGATCTCCACAGCACTCCAACTTGGGTGACAGAGCGAGATCCTGTTTTGTTTTGTTTTTTTCTGAGACGGAGTTTAGCTGTTGTTGCCCATGCTGGAGTGCAATGGTGCAATCTCGGCTCACTACAATCTCCACCTCCCGGGTTCACGTGATTCTCCTGCCTCTGCCTCCCAAGTAGCTGGGATTACAGGCATTAGCCACTGTGCCCAACTAATTTTTGTATTTTTAGTAGGGACAGTGTTTCACCATGTTGATCAGGCTGGTCTCGAACTCCAGACCTCAGGTGGTCCACCTGCCTCAGCCTGCCAAAGTGCTGAGATTACAGGTGTGAGCCACCGTACCTGGCCTCTGTCTTTTTTTTTTTAATTGTGCATGTAAATTATAAACACACTTTGGGTGTATGATTGTTTTTTCTCAAAAAATAAAATGCAGAGCTGGGCACGGTGGCTCACACCCATAGTCCCAGCACTGTGGGAGGCTGAGGCGAGTGGGCGGGTGGATCGCTTGAGCCCAGGAGTTCAAGACCAGCCTGGGCAAAAAAGCAAGAACCCATTTCTACGAAATATAAAAAATTAGCTGAATGTAGTTCACGCTTCTCAAGAGGACCTCAGATATTCTTCCACAGTGTAGAGAAAAATACTCTGTCCGTGGTCAAGGCCTGCCAGCTATTGTGTGTGCCTGCTAGTATGCTGACAGTCAGTCCTACTATGTGTGTGTGTTAATGCACTAATGTCTACCTACTGTGCATTAGGTCAGTCTCCCTACTGTGTGCCTGCTAGTGCACCGTCATTACACCTATTGCATGTAATGCCTTGTGATGGCACATTCCAAAGAGGGAAGGGTCTGACAACCACTGTGAGGCTGCCAGGGAACCCACAAATTCCCCCAAGTCCTGATCCTCCTCTGAAGACGTCGACGTCTCCTAGCTCACCGTTTCCCAGCCACTGGTGAAATCCTCAATACAGCCCCCTTCACAGCCCATGCAGTTTCTCCACTGCTCCCCTTGTATGTGACCCTGGGGCGAACCTCTCCTCCTTTGGAACCTTGATCTCCCAGTTTATCTCCCAAATTAATAATTTTTTTTATTTGAGTAGCTGCAATATACAAGCCATAAGCCATAACGATGTCCTCTCTGGCACTTTGCACCATATGGAACATGCCAGCAGACAATGAGAGGACTGAAGAGCTGAGCATCGGCAATGAAACGCTTAGCCTGGGAGCACAGCACACGCTGCATAACGACCTTTCTGTCAATGATGGGTTGCGTCTGTGAAGGTGGGCCCACTCAATTAGAATGCTGTATTTCTACTGTATCTTTTCTATGTTTATTTATTTATTTTTTATTTTTTTTGAGACGGAGTCTTATTCTGTCCCTCAGGCTAGAGTGCAATGGCCTGATCTCGGCTCACTGCAACCTCCGCCTCCCGGGTTCAAGCGATTCTCCTGCCTCAGCCTCTTGAGTAGCTGGGATTACAGGCACCTGCCACCATGCCTGGCTAATTTTTGTATTTTTAGTAGAGATAGGGTTTCACCATGTTAGCCAGGCTGGTCTCAAATTCCTGACCTCAAGTCATCTGCCCGCCTTGGCCTCCCAAAGTGCTTTTCTATGTTTAGATGGACAAATACTTCACCACTGTGCTACAATTCCCTACAGTATTTAGTATAGTAACATGCTGGATAGGTTTGTAGCCTGGGAGCAATGGCTATGCCACATGGCCTAGGTGTGTGGTAGGCTAGCCCATTTAGGTGTGTGTGAGTACACTCTAGAATGTTCACACGACGACAGAATCGCCTAATGACGCATTTCTCGGAGCGTATACGGGTCTTTAAGCAACACATGACTGCAGTACACCTTTGTTCATGGTTCACTGTCCCGAAGAATCATGTGGCCTCTTCTAACTTGACGCGGGCAGCAAAAGAGAGCCTCTGCATACCCGAAAGTAGAGGACGGGGGTCAGGTGAATGTCAGCTCCTCATTGCCTCCACAGGCAGCCAGGCTGTGAGTCAAAGAGGATGAACCTATTTTCACTTGGTTATCTTTAAATCCCAGAGTCCGGCTGGGCGCGGTGGCTCACGCCTGTAATCTCAGCACTTTGGGAGGCCGAGGTGGGCGGATCATTTGAGGTCAGGAGTTTGAGGTCAGTCTGACCAATATGGTGAAACCCCGTCTCTGTTAAAAATACAAAATCAGCCGGGCATGGTGGTGCATGCCTGTAGTCCCAGCTACTTGGGAGACTGAGGCAGGAGAATCGCTTTAACTTGGGAGGCAGAGATTGCAGTGAGCTGAGATCAGCCCATTGCACTTCCAGCCTGGGCAACAAGAGCGAGACTGTGTCTCAAGGAAAAAAAATTCCCAGAGTCACAGAGGAAATTTAAATGGACTAGGACTCAGCAGAAGGGAAAGAAATGTTAAAAGAAGCCAGAGTTTCTGATGAGATCATGCTTGAGGCTTTAGAAATTGTCAGGAACTCAGGAAGCCCGGGTATAGTGAAAAAAAAAAAAAAGTGAAAGAGAGAGAAAATCAAAAACAGAGAGCAAGAAACAAGTGCTGGGAAGAGAGGAGTTTGTTTACCATAAAGCCCCTGATTTGTTTGCCAGGATAGGTCCCCTTCTCCTTCAGAAACACAGCACCTCCAGAGTGAATGATGAATGAATGCCATTTCTGACCCCAACAGCCCAAGCCACACAAATCATTCTTTGGGCCAGGCATGAGGTGCTGTTAATAAAACACAGAGCCAGTGTTCTGCCTAAAGAGGAAGGAAGTATTTACTGAACACTAGAGCACTGGGTTGTACACAACCGAATTGGGAAACCACTAGAATATGCCTCATCACGAACAACATCCGTGCCACACGCTCCCGTGCCCAACACGCCCTGGGGCCTGGGAACAGTCAGAGAAAATCTTGTGTCCTGCCTTTGGGAGCTTCCAGATCAGAGCTGACCCACTGACCACACTGTGTACAGAGTCCAGTCATCAGAAGGGATTGAGCAAGGAAACAGGGTGTCCATCCAGCCCTGAAGGCAGGCAGCTGCCTACGCACTTCATGGCAGTGTTTGCAGGAGGACAGGTTACTCATCTGCTGGAGCTCTTAGAGGGAAGCTTAAGGCCAAAGAGGACTTCCATAGACAAGAGCTTCCCCGGGCCTGTTGAGGAAATAGTCCCGATACAGGAAGGAGATTGATAATACAGAGGGAAGTGAGGAGGAAAAGGAAGAAAGATTAAACCTAGAGAGAGGCACAGTGAAGGTGGAGGTGGTGGTGTGACAATGATGGAGACGTCCCCATGCATTGCCCTTTGTCACTGGCACCACCCTGGGAGAATCACTCCGCTAGCTTGGTGGGCAGTAGGGCTGGCACCCAGGCAGGCTTTCCCCACAGAGGCTGGTGAGATGATGATCCATGGGTAAAATGTAGGACTTTGAACCTGGAAGAACCTGGGGCCAGTTCCTGCTCCCTGTGCCTACTTGAGTTCCAGTTTCCTCATCTGGGAAGTGGGAACAATAATACTTATCTCTTAGGGTTGTTTTGAAGATTAAATGAGGCTCAGGTGGGAGGATCGCTTGAGCCCAGGAGGTTGAGACTGCAGTGAACTGTGATCACACCACTGCACTCCAGCTCGGGTGACAACGCATTCCAAAGTGCTTGGACAGAGTCATTGCTCAAAAATGACTATTCTTGGCTGGGCTCGGTGGTTCACGCCTATAATCCCAGCACTTTGGGAGGCCAAGGCAGGTGGATCACCTGAGGTCAGGAGTTCAAGACCAGCCTTACCAGCATGGTGAAACCCTATCTCTACTAAAAATACAAAAATTAGCTGGGCATGGTGGCATTCACCTGTAATCCCAGCTATTCGGGAGGCTGAGGCAGGAGAATCACTTGAACCTGGGAGGCAGAGGTTGCAGTGAGTCAAGATTGCGCCATTGCACATCAGCCTGGGCTACAGAGGGAGACTCCGTCTCAAAACAACAACAACAACAACAACTAAATAGTCATTCATTTAGTGAGCACTTTCTATATGGGAAGCAATGTACCCAGCCCTTCTGGGGGATTAGAAGAAACCTAAGACCAGGGGTATGCTGGTAAACTGGCTCTGGAGAATGGGAGGAAGCTGTGATTTGCAGCATTTGATGGTTTCTGTGTTGTAAATACTCCCATTACGCTACCAACAATTTAACAACTGGCTGGCAAAATTCCTGAACTATGAGCCCTGGAGAGCTGGCCCCAACTCAGTGAACTTGAACATTCTTTCTAGTTAGCAAATGGCACTTAAGTGAGAAGTTAACAATGGCAGAAGGCCGTGCACGGTGGCTCACGCCTATAATTCCAGCACTTTGGGAGGCTGAGGCGGGAGGATCACCTGAGCCCAGGAGTTCGAGACCAACCTGGGCAACATAGTGAGACCCTATCTCTTAAAAAAAATAGCCGGGTGTGGTGGCGCACTTTAGTCCCAGCTCCTCAGGAGGCTGAGGTGGGAGGATCGCCTGAGCACAGGAGGTCGAGGCTGCTGTGGGCCACGTTCATGCCACTGTATTCCAGCCTGGTGACCGTATCTCAAAACAAAAAGCAAACCCCCCAAAACAATGGCAGACAAACTCTGACCCACAAATACACACATCCGCAAATACACACACCACACACGTCCACAGATGGCTAATCCAGACAGCAGGGGCAAGAGGGCCGATTAGGGGCCTTGCTTTCTTCTAGTGCAGTGACTTGTTGGCAGTACTTTGTTAAGAAGGAGCAGGGCTGGGCTATCTTTTTCTCTGGCCCTTTAGCAGCCACCACACGTGATAAGGGAGACATGTTTCTGGCATTTTGAGTTTCAATGAACACAGAAAAGTGATGTCTCAGGAAATCGAAACCCCTGGGCTCTGCCTTCACCTGGTATGGGAAGTGCGTGGACCTCGGTTTCATCTTGGGCAGACTCTCAAATACATATCCTGACTTGGAAATCCAGAAACTCTGACTTTAAAATTATTATTATTATTATTATTTGAGACGGAGTCTCTCACTGTCACCCAGGCTGGAGTGCAGTGGCTCAATCTCGGCTCACTGCAAGCTCTGCCTCCTGGGTTCACACCATTCTCCTGCCTCAGCCTCCCAAGTAGCTGGGACTACAGGTGCCCGCCACCACACCTGGCTAATTTTTTTTTGTATTTTTAGTAGAGATGGGGTTTCACCATGTTGGCCAGGATGGTCTCGATCTCCTGACCTCGTGATCTGCTTGCCTCGGCCTCCCAAAGTGCTGGGATTACAGGCGTGAGCCACCACGCCTAGCCTTAAAAATTATTTTTTTGGAAGCTAATCTCTTTGTTAAAGAAGGGATTTTTTTTGCTTTGTTTTTGCTTTTGAGATGGAGTCTCGCTCTGTCACCCAGGCTGGAGTGCAGTGGTGCGATCTCGGGTCACTGCAACCTCTGCCTCCCGGGTTCATGCAATTCTCCTGCCTCAGCCTCTCAAGTAGCTGGGATTACAGGCACCCACCACCACATGCAGCTAATTTTTGTATTTTTAGTAGAGAAGCGGTTTCACCATGTTGGCCAGGCTGGTCTTGAACTCCTGGCCTCAAGTGATCCGCCTGCCTCTGCCTCCCAAAGTGCTGGGATTACAGGCATGAGCCATCATGCCCAGCCAGCTTTTTTTTTTTTTTAATTAAAAAAGTTAGCATTCATTGAGCACCCGCTGTATGTCAGGAACTGTGTGAGGGCTGCACATGCTTTGGCTAACTTAATGTTCAAAGAGCTCTTAGATGTTCTCATGGATGAAGCATAAATGAACTCAGAGAAGTCAAAGAACTTTCCCAGATACACAGCCAATAATGGAAGACCTGGATTTTGAACTTTGCTCTGTTTGACTCTAGAGCTTTATGAAGTTGATCCTTCAAGTCCCTGAGTTCCATATCCATGGATCCAATCAACCATGGATCAAAAACATTAGAAAAGAGGCTGAGCGCAGTGGCTCATATCTGTAATCCCAGCACTCTGGGAGGCCAAGGTGGGCAGATCACCTGAGGTCAGGAGTTTGAGACCAGTCTGGCCAACATGGTGAAACCCCATCTCTACCAAAAATACAAAAACTAGCCAGGCGTGATGGCGCATGTCTATAATCTCAGCTAGTCGGGAGGCTGAGGCAGGAGAATCGCTTGAACCCAGGAGGCAGAGGTTGCAGTGAGCCGAGATTGTGACACTGCATTCCAGACTGGTTGACAGAGCGAGACTCTGTTTAAAAAAAAAAAAAAATTAGAAAAGAAACAATGAAAAATAATACAATAAAAGGTAATACAACTATTTGAATTGTATTTGGTATTATAAGTAATCTAGAGATGATTTAAAGCCTACCCGACATTGTGCATAGTAGGTTGTATGCAAATACTGTGCCATTTCATATCAGGGACTTGAGCATCCAAGGATTTTGGTATCTAGCGCCAATCCCCCATAGATACAGAGGGACAACTGTATATGTCTTTTGCCTTTGTAGACTGAGGGCATCTTGCACATAAATATCAAGTTATACTGAAAATAATTCATGCAATAGAACTTCTGAGAAAGAAGAGCCACCTATTGGCAGCAGTTCTCAGAGGCGGCTTCATGGAAGAGGCAGGATTTCAGCTGAGTGGAATTCACCTTGGCAGACAGGAATGGAAAGGGCACAAGTGGAAGGGTTTTTTTGTGAGCAAAAACATGAGCGGGAGCCACACGCAGTGGTTCACGCCTGTAATTCCAGCACTTTGGGAGGCTAAGGTAGGTGGATCGCTTGAGCCCAGGAGTTTGAGACCAGCCTGGGCAACATGGCGAAACTCCTTCTATAAAAGGGGTTTTGTGTCTACCAAAAATACAAAAATTAGCTGGGAGTGGTTCTGTATGCTGGTAGTTCCAACTACTCGGTAGGCTGAAGTGGGAGGATCGCTTGATCCCGAGAGGTGGAGGCTGCAGTGAGCCGTGATTGCATCACTGCACTCCAGCCTGGGTGACAGAGCAAGACCTTGTCTCAAAACAAAACAAAAACAAAAAACTCATACATGAGCAGGAATGATAAGCTGCATTTGGGGTATGAGCAGGTGTTTATTGGGAAGCAGAGAGAGGAAAGGGCTCAGGGATGAAGCACCTGTCTTCTGTAAGGTAACAGGGAGCCACTGAAAGTATATAGATAAGGGAGTAACATGATGACAGCTGTATATTGGTGACGCTAACCTGAGAATAATTTAGAGAATGGATAAGGGGAAGGAAGACCAAGAGGTAGGAAAATAGGAAAACCAGAGAGGAAGCTAATGAAATTACCAGACCTCTTTTCATACACAGATTTCATCTTGGAATATAAAAGATAACAGGGGCCAGGCACAGTGGCTCACTCATGTAATCCCAGCACTTCGGGAGGCCGAGGCAGGTGGATCACCTGAGGCTAGGAGTTTAAGCCTGGCCTGGCCAACATGGTGAAACCCCGTCTCTACTAAAAATACAAAAAGTTAGCTGGGCGTGGTGGCGCATGCCTACAATCCTAGCTAGCTACTTGGGAGGCTGAGGCATGAGTATCTCTTGAATCAGGGAGGCGGAGGTTGCAGTGAACCAAGATCGTGCCACTTTACTCCAGCCTGGGCGACAGAATGAGACTCTGTCTCAACAACAACAACAACAAAAAATAAATATGTTTATTATATTTATTATATTTATATCTTTATAAACAAAGATATTTATTATATATTATTATTATAAAAAATAATAATAAAATAAAAGATAACAGGGCCAGGCGTGGTGGCTCACGCCTGTAATCCAAGCACATTGGGAGGCCGAGGCAGGTGGATCACTTGAGGTCAGGAGTTCAAGACCAGCCCCGCTAACATGGTGAAACCTCGTCTCTGCTAAAAATACAGAAATTAGCTGGGCATGGTGGCGTGCGCCTGTAGTCCCAGCTACTCAGGAGGCTGAGGCAGGAGAATCGCTTGAACCTGGGAGGTGGAGGTTGCAGTGAGCCGAGATCAGGCCAGTGCACTCTAGCCTGGGTGACAGAGAGACTCCATCTTAAAAAAAAAAAAAAAGATAACAGGATACGGCTAACAATGTAATAAATATATACCTCATGGTGCGTAAAAAAGACCTAAGGCTTCCAATAGCTTACTGTGAGAACCATAACAGTGAGTGGTATTTCTGTTTATTACTTTGTCAGGATCAACACACAGTCTTTGAAATACCCTAATAGGATAGTAGTTATCACATAAATAAACAAGCAATTTGCTCAGAAATAAATGTGTCATTGTAAACAAATTGCTTGTCTGTAGTGGACTTTGGCTGGCACTCAGACTTTAGCTGGACACACTATTAGCATGCATACGGCACTTTTAACCTACTTGCTAAGAATCTGATCTCCTAACCCTCAGTGGCCTCTCATTTCTCTTTTCTCAGCAGCCCTTTGGTTCCTGTGCCTGGGAGGAGTTAGGTGACTGGTTGATCAGTTCAGTTCTGCAGCCCTGACCTCAGCTCCAGTTTCAGAAGAGCAGAGGGAGGGTGCAGGGAGTCTCCAGCTGAGAGGAGCTCAGTGGTTTTCTGATTCTGACTTGAGCACAGTTACAGACAACTTTCCTGTGAGTGCAGTTGATTGCATGCTCACACTGATATTGCAACAGCTGAACACGTGTGTGCACTTGTGTTGAGCTTCAGAGCTCAACCTCAAGTCGGCTTGTCCTCTTATGACAGCTGTAGGAGATGGCTCACCAAGGAGAGACAGAGAGAGATAAAACCAGCATAGCACCAGCTTCCCATATCAAGACCCAGTGCACAGGGAGCCAGGGATCCCTGGGTTCTGAGCTATGGCTACCACTTGTATGGTCTTGGGCAAGCCCCTTACCCTGTAGAGGTTGCAGCTGCCTCATCTGTCAGGGGAGGGGCTGTACCTTTGAGATTCCTTCCAAATCTGACCATCTAGCCAGGACAGGCATTTTCAAGAAACCCTGTTTGTTATTTTCTTCTTTTGATCTAAGTAACCGCAGGTGAGTATTTGTTTTGTTAAAGAAAGGTTTGGGGCTGTCACCACGCTGCCGCTTCCACATTCTACCTTTTCTAGGTAGCAAGAGGCAGACGCTGGGCTTTGTGCCTATTTGGTCTGGTCTGTTTCTCCAAGAAGGGCAGCTGGAGTCGATGCTGGGCTGAAATGTTCTTTTTTTTCCTTTTTTCGAGACAGGGTCTTGCTCTGTCACCCAGGCTGGAGTGCAGTGGCGCCATCTCTGCTCACTGCAACCTCCACCTCCCGGGTTCAAGCAATTCTTTTGCCTCAGCCTCCTGAGTAGCTGGGATTACAGGCGCGCGCCATCACGCCTGGCTAATTTTTGTATTTGTAGTAGAGACAGGGTTTCACCATGTTGGGCAGGCTGGTCTTGAGCTACTGACCTCGTGATCCACCCGCGTCAGCCTCCCAGTGCTGGGATTGCAGGCATGAGCCACCGCGCCTGGCCTGCACAGCTAATTTTTAAATATTTTTTTTGTAGAGATAGGATCTCACTATGTTGCCCAGGCTGGTGCTGAACTCCTGGGCTCAGGCAATCCTCCCACCTCAGCCTCCCAAAGCACTGGGATTACAGGTGTGAGCTACCAGGCCTGCCCTGCCAAGCTGAAATGTTAGCCTCACACTTTTTTTTTTTTTTTTTTTGAGACGCAGTCTCCTTCTGTGGCCCCAGGCTGGAGTGCAGTGGCGCAATCTGGACTCGCTTCAACCTCCGCTTCACTGGTTCAAGCGATTCTCCTGCCTCAGCCTCCCGAGTAGCTGGGATTACAGGCGTGTGCCACCACGCCTGGCTAATTTTTGTATTTTTAGTAGAAACGGGGTTTCACCATGTTGGCCAGGATGGTCTCAAACTCCTGACCTCAGGTGATACATCTGCCTCGGCCTCCCAAAGTGCTGGGATTACAGGCGTGGGCCACTGCACCCAGCCCGCACATTCTTTTTACACCAACTTTAGGATGCAGAATGTGTAGTCCCAGGTGGAGTGAGCTCAAAGCCAAAAGAAGAGCAGGACCAACAAGGAAGAGAATGAAGGCAGAAGTGAACAGGTAGAACCAAGCTTACAAGGTCTGGTATTTGATAGAAACAACAAAAAATAGAACAGACTCTCCCAATTTCTTCAAACTAGTCTGTAAACATAAATAGAGTCTTGGGCCCCTCATTTCTCCAATGCCAGATGCCTGGGCAGCAGGGCTGGAACCAGAGTGAGGCAGGTGAGGCAATTGCATGACACTGAGAGTAAGAACTGTTCTTTTTTTTGAGATGGTGTCCTGCTCTGTTGCCAGGCTGGAGTGCAGTGGCCTGATATCAGCTCAGTGCAAACTCCGCCTCCCGGGTTCAAGCGATTCTCCTGGCTCAGCCTCCCGAGTAGCTGGGACTACAGGTGCGTGCCACCATGCCCAGCTAATTTTTGTATTTTTAGTAAAGATGGGGTTGGCCAGGATGGTCTCGATCTCTTGACCTCGTGATCCGCCCATCTTGGCCTCCCAAAGTGCTGGGATTACAGGTGTGAGCCACTGTGCGTGGCTGAGAATGAGAACTTAAAGTTGACATTCTGGGTGCCCCACTCACTTCGCCTTATCCCCAACACATTGGGCCGTGTAAACATCATCTTTCATTTTAGTCTTAACTTGAAAAATAGATTAATAGGCTACAAACTGGACTGGAGTCTGCATCCATTTGAACAACTCTTCTTTATTGGCAGCCCAGAGTGGAGGACGAAATTAACAATGAGGAATTCACACTCAGCAAAAAGCAAAATATGAAAGCCTGATTGCGGATTTCCTAATGGACAAGATTATTTTCCTCTACAGAGAGCCTTAGGTTGCCAGAGGAACCATCTGCAGGGCCCCAAAGCATTTAGGATCAGACTATTCTGTCGACGTTAGCCTAGCCCACTGATCTGGAGCAGGATGTGACATTCTCCGCTGGTGGTTTTGGCTTCAATCCACCGAAGCCACATGTCGAGGACTAAAAGAGGGATCGGGCCCATGTGTGGCTGATTGGGCCCTATCTTCTGGAGAGAGCTGGTACTCATTAAGAACAGCCAAGATTCTCATCTTCCTGTCCCAAAATCAGAGACCTTTCTTAGCTCTTTCAGGTCACCTGAGATACTGGTTTGCCTCCCAAACCCTGCTGCCTCAGGAATGCTGTGCTGCAGGGCTGTGTCTGTCAGTTTCCACCTGCAGGCTCCCTCACTCCTTCCTGCACTAAGCTAATCATTGCATGTGTTACAAGGGTGGAAATGGCACATCTGGGCTGAAACCAGGACAGCAACATGAACAAAATGAAAAGTCCAAAGGGACAAGCTCACCTAAAAATTACTTGTCCCCGTACTTCCCCCACCCTTCTCCTTTCTCCCTTAGACCCAAGTTGCAGAAGAAGAGCTTCAATGTGATAGAAATACCTGGCTTTGCCCCTTGCCTTCCAGGGATGTTTAGAGAAAACCGCTGAGACCCTTGGATGTTGTGTTGTCTGCTGGGATTCTCCCAAGGGCTGCATCCATAGTGTGGAAATGGATAGGGTGCTACAAGGCTATTTCCACAAAGCACGTGTGGTATTTGCATGTGATTTCCCTATGCACACTGTGCAACCCCTCCCCAGACCATTTTTCAAGTTAAAAACATTTTTATGGCTCTCTTGGTGCAGTCACTTCTGGATTTTTCCTCCTATCTGAGCTGCCTTCTCCCTCGGGCACTCTCCCTGGCCCAGATCTTTGGCGAGGGAGCCAAGTGGAGCCAGGGAAGAACCATAGAGGAATGCAGGACTCAGCCCCTCTAGAGTCGGCTGCTCCGAGGGTCTAGCTGCTTATCTCGCCTTTGCCCAGGGCACTGGCTGAGATTCTATTTCCAAAATTGTTCACACTAGGTGATTACACTGTAGACTGTGGGACTGTAGCTCAATTCACAAAAAGTCTCTTTGATCTAGAAGTTTCTAAACTGCCTTCTATCCGTTTCTCTTCTGTCTCTGGTCAACATTCTTTTAAAAATGAGTCTTGGCTGGGTGTGGTGGCTCACGCCTTTAATCCCACCACTTTGGGAGACCAAGGCGAGCGGATCACCTGTGGTCAGGAGTTGGAGACCAGCCTGGACAACATGGTGAAACTCCATCTCTACTAAAAATACAAAAGTTAGCCGGGCGTGGTGGCGGGCGCCTGTAGTCCCAGTTACTCAGGACGCTGAGGCAGGAGAATCACTTGAACCCGGAAGGTGGAGGTTGCAGTGAGCCGAGATCACACCATTGCACTCCAACCTAGGCAGCAGAGTGAGGCTCTGTCTCAAAAACAAAACAAAACAAAAGAGTCTTGATTCACTTATTGCATCTTTGCAATAACCATTGGAGACTGGGCTATTTTCAGAGGAGGAAACGGAGACCGTTTCTAAGGGCTTAAGTCAAAGTTACATAGCTGCTTAGGGGTTTGATTTGTCCAACTCAAAGTCTAGTGCTCTTTCTGTGCCTCATTCTCTTCGACTGTAAAATCGGGGTGTAAATAGCATGTATTTGATAGGGTTGTTGGGAGGGTTGAATGCTTTAATACGTGTGAAGTGTTTAAAACAGCCTGGCACATAGAGTGTTCCATAAATATCCACTAATTTTATTGTGCTATGCCTTGTTTTTCTTTACTATTCTAAGCATTGGACTCATGACTCCTTCGTGGGAGGAGGAACCAACTTCTAGGCTTGGGGAGTATTATTCAAGATGGAGAAGCTGGCTTCCCAGGGTCAGGCCAAGGTGGGACCAGAAGAGACACCCCATAAGCAACAGGACTGGGCTGCTTGACTAAGCCACATCCCTGCCTGGCCCTGGCTAAGCAGAAGAAACTCTCAGACATGGATAAACCCACAAAGGGAAGGGATGTCCCGTTTACAAAATGCCGAGGGCAGGAAGAACCAAGGCTTCTGAACAGAGCCGAGGAGCATAAGGCAACATTTTACTCTGTGATGTGTCGAAGGCCTTGTGTTTTGAGGTGGTTCTAGATTCTTATTTGCATTTTACCTTTACCCAGCAGTTACAAGGTAGGGCCTGTGTGTGCTGAAAGGAGTATGGAGGAGGACACCAGTTCCCTCCCACAGGGATGACTGAAAGCCCTGGAGTAGTTAGGACCAGGGACTCTGCCAGAGAGCTCTGGTGCTTGGGAGAAGCTGCCGGGGCAGGGACTTGCCCTGTAACCCAAGCCTTCGTTAGCAGCAGCCAATATAAATGACAGGGATGTGTTCCCACCATCCTGAGGACCCTGGAGGAAACCAAGGCACTTAGCATCAGGTCTGTTGGCTGCTGCTGAAAAGACGGCAATGAAAAATACGAAATGTGCCGGGCGCGGTGGCTCACGCCTGTAATCCCAGCGCTTTGGGGGGCGGAGGTCAGGAATTGGAGACCAGTCTGGCCAGCATGGTGAAACCCCATCTCTACTAAAAGTAGAAAAATTAGCCGGGTGTGGTGGCACATGCCCGTAGTCTCAGCTACTCGGGAGGCTGAGGCAGGAGAATCCCTTGAACCCAGGAGGCGGAGGTTGCAGTGAGCTGAGATCACGCCACTGCACTCCAGCCTGGGCGACAGAGGGAGACTCCGTCTCAAAACACAGAAAAACAAAAACAAAATATAACCAGGAAAGACCTAGACTCCGTAAAATAGCTTTACAAACCTAATCAAGGGAACCAGACACCCCAAACTGTACTTCGAACACTGTTGAAAAGTTGTGAAAGTCATGTTCTAGCAGTTGAAATGTTTGCTGATCAGTCCACTCTCTCAGGAAAAAAAACACCAGACCCACAAAGAAAATAGAAGGTTTAAAACACAAATGTCTGTAATTAAGCAATGGAATGACGTCTTCCGCCGGCCCAAGCTTCCCACTGTTGTGTGTGTTTTTATCAACAGGAGCTCCCGGTTCTGCCTGGCCCGGTTCGCTTTCGCCTGCGTTGACTCTCTTGGCACTCAGGCCTTTCCAAAGTTTCCGGGGTCCCGTTTCCACGATACAGACAGAGGCTGGATGTCTTGATCTTATCCTCAGTCGATGTTCTCCTAACTTTAGGGCTACAAGGAGCCTTAAACAGCATGTATAGAGTTGGGAGCGCTTTGAATAGACGCACGTGAGAGGGAGGCGGCATCTTCCTAGCCGGTCACCAGCATTAACACGGGGCAGGAGACATGCGAATGCACCGTGGGACCCCTCTCCCTACCCCCCTGCATGAGATTTCCGAAGACCTCCGCCGGCCGACGCTGAGGGGCGGGGTTGGGAAGGCTTCCTCCAGGCGCGGGAGCAGCGGAGCGGGGACCGCCCGCTTTGGGACGCCCAGGACAATGGCGAGCGAGCTCCCGGCCAGTCCTCGCGGACCGCGGGAGGGGGCGGCTCCCTGCGCGGTAATCCGAGCCGGGATAAACAGGCGCGGAGGGGCGACGCGTCCCGGCCGGGTGCAGCGCTCGTCTCCTGGGGTCCCAGCTCCGGCCGGTCCCGCCCCGCCCCGCCGCGGGCACCCGGCCGCGCCCCCGTCCCCGTCGCGAGTCCCCGCCCACGCCCACGCCCCCGCCGCGAGGCCCTGGGCCGCGTCCACGCGCGCCGAGTCCAGCCGCGGCTCCCCGCGCGAGGCACGCGCCGCCGGCTCCTGCTGCAGTCCCGCGCTCATTGGCTGCTCCGGCGCGGGCGCTCCCGCCCCGCCTCGCCATTGGCTGGGGCCGCCGCGGTCCCCGCGCGGAGCGGCCGCTGACATCACGCGGCCTGAGGCGGCGGCGGCGCCCCCGGCCCAGACCCGCAGCCCCCTTGGCAGAGGCGCCGCCGCGGTGCCCGGCGGAGGATGGTGCGCGGCGCGCCGGGGGCTCCCCGCCGCCAGAGCCGCAGCGCCGCAGCGGAGCCGGCCGCGGCGGGCAGTCGGCCCCCGCACCGGGCGCGGGGCGGGCGGCCGCGGTGAAGCGCGGAGGGCGGCGCGGGCACCGGGGCCGGGCCGGGGCTGCAGCCGCAGCGGCCATGGGGGCCCTGACGAGCCGGCAGCACGCGGGCGTGGAGGAGGTGGACATCCCGTCTAATTCCGTGTACCGCTACCCGCCCAAGTCCGGTGAGGGCGGGCGGGCGCCGCAGCCGCGAGGAGGGAGAGGGGCAGGGGCAGGGGTCTGGGTCGGGACGGCCTGAGGGGGCCCCGCGGGTCTTCGGGGACTCAGTGGTTGCGGACGCTCCGAAACGGTCTTCGAGCGCGGGAGGTCTTCGAGAAGGCCGAGGTCTCCCCCGCCCCGGGCGAATTAGCCCAAGGGGCGTCCTGCCGGGTCTAGCAGGGTCACCGAGGGCACCGAGCCCCTCCACGGGAGGACGGGAGCGGCCTCCATTGTAATCGGCCCCGTGACGGGGACGCGTGCCCGCAGGGACCGAGGCTCCTGGGGAGCGGGGCTGCGGCGTCGTAGGCGAGGTCGGCGCCCCGCACGGACCCGGCCGGCCCGGCCCAAAGCCTACCTGCCTCGCGGGGTCCGAGGGCCGCGAGGGAGGCGACCTCGGCATCCAAACAGGCACTTGCGCCAGGTGCTATCCCTGCGCTGCCGTCTCCTGGCCTCTGGAAAGGTTAGAATTAGGTTTCTCCTGGAAAAGCTTCCATTGCCTGCTGAAGGATGGAAGCCAAACAGGCATTTGCAGTGCTGGTGCTTTTGCAGAGGCTGTCAGAAGCCGGGGGGTGGGGGGGGTGGTGGTGGTGGAAAGTAACAGAAATGTTTGGGAATCTGAGTATCAGAGTTACTCGGATTGCCCCTTTGCTAGCGTAGTGGCAAGCCTGGGTTTTGGAGTGGGACCAGCTCTGGGACAGGGCAGAGGTATTGGAAACGTATAGAAGTATGTTTGTTATTAGAATCATCCCTTCACTTAAATGTCTCTAGCCTCTGGATTGTGGTATCAGCATTGGAGGTGGAGGAGGATTTTGACAGCAAAGCAGAGAATCACAAGGTAGTTCAGTTATGTGAGCACCGGCCAGTATGAATTGCATGACCTAGCCGGTGTTTACTTTTAATTGCAAGTAGTTTTATTTTAATTAATTACTTTTAATTTTATTCTCAAGACTTCTGAGGATGAATGGCTGCGACATTCTGTCTGCTTAGGACCCGATGGAGATTTTGGTGATTTCGGAATGAGGTGTCAGAATTGGAGCAGAGCCTCGTCTCTTTTTGGTAGAATAGAGACATACTGAGATGAGCTGGTTTCTCAGCAGTGTGTCCAGTGTCTGCCAGGTGAAAGCAGGGGCCAGACGATGAACCTGCCCGCATCCCTGCAGAGTGTCTGCCAGAGCTGTGTTTCTCACTGCTTTTGTACCAAAGAATGAATCCTTGCAAAGATGAATATGGTGAAGAATTGTTTTAGAAAGGTCTAAGATAAAGCTGTGGGTCGTTAGTATTTTAATAAAGCTCTGACTGATTATGACTACATAAAATCAACGCTAACCAAGGCATAGATTTTGTTTTTTAATAGACAAAAATATTCTTAGGGCGGCATGAGGAAAACTTTTTAAAATAGACAAAAATATGCAGCAGTATTTGTGGGCTCTGTTTTTCTTAAACCACATGGCTTTTATTGATCAAAATATGGAGCATACTTTGCTGAGCTTGGAATTTTCAATAGTGTTTGCTGCCTCAGGAAAGTATTCACCGCTCTTTCATATGTGGGACTTAACATAGGTAAACCTCTGGAAGGCTGTTCCCCAAAGCATATTTGTACAAGTATGAATCTTGGGTGATGATAATAAAAAGACAATAGACCAAACCAAAACTTTTGTTAATTAGCACACTCAATAAATAATCCTCTCCTCTCTACCAGTTTTAAAAGTTTAACTGTAAAACTGTAATTCATGTTAAATCAGAAGTTATACATGAGAGAAGTCTTTATAGCAAGTGGACCACATTATTTCTGTTGAAGCTAAAACATAGAAAATAGAATCAGAACATCCTGTCTCTGTCAGCAAACCTTTGTGTATTTGAAACCTTATGTGAGCTTGCATATATGCTCTAGACGGAGGCATCGCCTTTCTTCTGATCTTTGAATTGACCTGGCTCTTTATGGGATTACAGTATTAGTCCTGAAAGGAACCGTTGACAGAGTTTGGCCATGACCACCATGCCTAGCTAATGTTTAATTTTTTTTTTTTTTTTTTGAGTCATCGTCTCTCTCTGTCACGCCCAGGCTGGAATGAAGTGGTGCAATATTGGCTTACTGCAACCTCTGCCTCTAGGGTTCAAGCAATTCTCCCGCCTCAGTCTCCCAAGTAGCTGGGATTACAGGTGTTTGCCACCACACCCGGCTAATTGTTTGTATTTTTAGTGGAGATGGGGTTTCACCATATTGGCCAGGCAAGTCTTGAACTCCTGACCTCTCAGGTGATCCGCCTGCCTCGGCCTCCCAAAGTGCTGGGATTACGGGTGTGAGCTACCACGCCCAGGCAAGTTTTTTGTAGAGACACTCTCTCACTATGTTGCCCAGGCTGGTCTTGAACTCGTGGTCTCAAGCAATCCTCCCGCCTTGGCCTCCCATTCATTTCACTGATAAGAAAATGGAGACCCAGAGAAATGAATTGGTATGGCCAGGGTCTCTCAGCCAGTTAGTGTTCTTCCTACTATACTGTCTGCCTCCACCTCTCAAGGAATTGGGTTTTGAACTTGTACTCAAAAAACAAGACTTAAAACAATCATTCCATGATTATGGAATGAAGGCTATTTCGTGTCATAATTGAAGTCCCTATAGAGGAATCAACCTGGGTTGATTTTGAGAAGTCTCCTTATCCTGAGTACTAACAGTGGAACAAAGCAAGTGGCAGAGTCAGCTTTCTCCAGATGACATACCTTGTAGTTTGAGTGTTAAGTTGAGACCACTATCTGGCTCGCTGGAAAGCGGCTAGACCTGCACTGCCGGTGGAACAGTTGTTTCGGAAAGAAGCACCATCATCTGTCCTTGTAATGACGGTCACAGTGTCCAGCTGAAATTGCTTTTTTCTTAGTATATTTAATGGAACTTCTTAGTTTTGTATGCACATTGAAACAAACATTTAAATCCTATCAAGAATGGCAGATTTCAAGTTGAGACTTGGGTTTGTAGCTTTTTTCTATCCTTAAATAGAGGTAGATAGAAATAAATAGCCTAAATTATTTAGAATTATTTATTTTTGAATAGGTAATATAGTCACACGGTTCAAACTTTAAAAGAATGAAAACGTGTACAGTGAAAGCCTTGTTCTCACCGCTGTTGTCCATCCACCTGGTTCTCCTTCCTCCCTCTAAACCTCCCATCCCATGTAACCACTTTTGGTTTCTTTGGAATTCTTTTAGAGTTTCTTGTGTAAATGCAAGCATAGCATGCTATTAGACTGTTCTACACCTTGCTCTGTTTGCTTTCAGAGATATTGGAGATCTTTTTATATTGTCTCATATTTGATAAGTTTCTTTGTGCTTTTTAACAACTATATAGTATTCCTCTGCATGCATATGCCATCTTTTTTTTTACATAGTCTCCTGTTGATAAACATCTGTGAGTTGTTTTTTCAGTATCTTACTATTGCAAACAGTGCAACAATGAATAATGTTATGCATTAGGTGATTTTTAGATTTATTAATAATTGTGTGAATATTAATCATTTAAGTAATAGAAAGTATGGTGGGAGTTTCTGTATAGCATTTCTACATTAGCATAGAAAGCAATTTAGAGCACGGTTCTACTGTATTTGGATGTACTTTTGTAATTTTTGAGTTAGAAGTCATACATGCTTCTCTAAGATCTTTGCATCTTTAAAAGCCCAAGATCATTTGTTTAGCAAAGAAAGGTATGGCTTTGCGGAGATGGTTGCTTTTATGAAGCTCATCTTTTGACAGAAGTATCCACGTTGATAAAAGTCCACATTGATAAAAGCCTGTTTTCTCTATCCAGGAAGAAATAGGCATAATATAAAGACAGTTTAATTTATATAAAGCAGTACCTCATAAATCTAGTTTGTTTCCCTCCACATACTTGGGCAAGTTGGAAAATAGGAATAATTTGTTTTGCTGAAGTCTTTAAGAAGTAAACCTACTACAGAAATTCAGAATGGTAATCAGAGTCCTGACCAGCTAGCTTGGTTAAACCCGGGTTTTTGCTTTTAAGGCCTTCAACTGACTAGAGGCCCACCCACATAATCAAGGATAATCTCCTTTACTTAAAGTCAACTGATTGTAGATTTTAAAAAATTAAATAATTTATTTTTAGAGACAGGGTCTCACTCTGGCATCCAGGCTGGAGTGCAGTGGTGTTATCAAAGCTCACTGTAACCTCAAAGTCCTGGGCTCAAGCGATCTTCCTGCCTCAGCCTCCTCAGTAGCTGGGATTACAGGCACATACCACCATGCCTGGCTAATGTTTAAAGTTTTTGTAGAGACAGTATCTCACTGTGTTGCCCAGGCTGGTCTTGAACTCCTGGTCTCAAGCAGTCCTCCCACCTCGGGGTCCCAAAGCAGTGGGATTACAGAAGTGATCTACCGTACCCAGCCATAGATGTATCACATCTGTCTACATCATCATTCTCCAAATTTTTGTTATTTTAGAGTACACATATTCTTGTCAAATGGGTCTTTCCTATTGCAAGAACAGTTTTTAAAGGCATGGATAATAAGTCTTTGTCGAATAACTATAAAAGTTTTAATGTAAGTTTCTCCTAGCTTTAGGAGTATCAATTTAATATTAGATTTGAAACCATACACTTAAAAATATGCAATTTACGGCTGGGCGCAGTGGCTCACGCCTGTAATCCCAGCACTTTGGGAGGCCGAGGCGGGCAGATCACGAGGTCAGGAGATCAAGACCATCCTGGCTAACATGGTGAAACCCCGTCTCTACTAAAAATACAAAAAAATTAGCCAGGCATGGTGACAGAAGCCTGTAGTCCCAACTACTCGGGAGGCTGAGGCAGGAGAATGATGTGAACCCAGGAGGCGGAGCTTGCAGTGAGCCGAGATCGTGCCACTGCACTCCAGCCTGGGCGACAGAGCGAGACTCCGTCTCAAAAAAAAAAAAAAAAGTAACCTACTACAAAATAAGGAATTATTTGGTTGGCACAGTTTGACACTTTAAAATATCCAAAACAATTTTGAAAAAGGAACAAAGTTGGAGGACTATCGCTACCCTATTTTAAAAGTTACTATGCATATAATTACTATAATGCCACAGTAATCAAGATAGTGTGGTATTGGCACAATGAAGAGCATATAGATCAGTGGAACAGAGTTATGAACCAGAAATCCTTACATTTATTTTCGGTTGATTTTGACAAAAGTACCGAGACAATTGAATGGGGAAAGGATAGTGGTTTCAACAAATGATGCTGGGATGAGCAAAAAAGAAAATGAACTCAGACCTATTCTTTACATCACCAAAATTAACTCAAAATGGATTATAGAGTTAAAAGAGAGAACTCAGAGAATGGGAGAAATTTTTATAAATCATAGGTATGACAAGAATTTGTATCTAGAATATATAAGGAACTCATATGCTCAATAATAAAAAGACAACCCAATTAAAAATGGTCACAGCACTTGAATAGACATTTCTCCAAAAAAGATATACAGTGGACAATAAGCACTTGAAGAGATGATCATTATTAACTTTCAAGGAAATACAAATCAAAACTACAATTAGATACCACTTCACACCCACTAGGATGGCTATAATTTTAAAAAATGATAATGACGAGTACTGGTAAGGATATGGAGAGAGCGAAACCCTCATACCCTGCCGGTGTGAATGTAAAATGGGGCAGCCACTTTGGAAAACGGTTTGACAGTTTCTCAGATGGCTAGTTACTAGATGACTCAGCAGTTCTACTCCTAGGTATACGCTCAAGAAAAATGAAGAAAATACATTCACATAAAAACTTGCACATGAATTACTCATAATAGCTAAAATGTGGAAATAACCCAAATGTTCATCAACCGATGAATAGAACTACTGATAAATAAAATATGGTAAGTCTGCACAATAGAATATTATTTGGCAATAAAAAGGAATGAAGATTTGATATGTGCTACAACCTGGATGAACCTTGAAAATGTTATACTCAGTGAAATAAGCCAGGTGCAAAAGGCCATCTATTGAATAATCTCATTTATAAGAAATGCCCAGAAGAGGCAAATCCACAGAGACAGAAAGTAGATTAGTGGCAGTGGCGCAGTGGCTGTGCCTGCGGCTGCCAGAGGCTGAGGAGAGGGAGAAATGAGCTGTGACTGCTAATGGATTTCTTTTTGGGATAATGGCAGTGTTCTAAAATTAGATAGTGGTGAATAGTTGTATAACACGGTCAATATACTAAAAACCATTGGATTGTACACACTAAATAGGTGAATTCTGTGGTATATAAATTGTATCTCCACAAAGCTATTTTCAAAATGGGGCTGGGTATGGTGACTCATGCCTGTAATCCCAGCACTTTGGGAGGCCAAGGCTGAAGGATGGCTTAAGCCCAGGAGTTCAAGAGCAGCCTGGGCAACAGAGTGAGACCCTGTCTCTACAAAAATTGTTTTTAAAAATTACCTGGGCATGGTGGCATGATATCAGCTACTCGGCAGGTTGAGGCAGAAGGATTGCTTTGCCTAGGATTTCAAGGCTGCAGTGAGCTATGATTGTGCCACTGCGCTTCAGCCTGGGTGACAGATTGAGACCCTGTCACTAATAAAAAAATAAAAATGGATCATAGACATAAATGCAAAAACAATGAAACCCCTAAAAGAAGACATAGGAGAAAAATGTTATTTGATTTGGATTGGGCGAAGAGTTCTTAGATGTGACACCAAAAGCAAAATCCATACAAGTAAAAAATAATAATAAATTGGATTTCTTCGAAATTAAAAACATTACCACCTCAAAAGACAGTAAAAAGTTGAAAAGACAAGCCACTTTCTGAAAGAAAATATTTGCAAATCACATAAAGGATGTGTATCAATATTAAGAACTCTTACAACTCAATATTATGGAGACAAACCATCCAATTAAAAAATGTGCAAGAGGCCAGGCACGGTGGCTCACGCCTGTAATCCCAGCACTTTGGGAGGCTGAGGCAGGTGGGTCATGAGGTCAGGAGATCGAGACCATCCTGGCTAACATGGTGAAACCCTGTCTCTGCTAAAAATACAAAAAATTAGCTGGGCGTGGTGGCCGGTACCTGTAGTCACAGCTACTCAGGAGGCTGAGACAGGAGAATCACTTGAACCCAGGAGGCAGAGGTTGCAGTGAGCGGAGACTGGGCCACTGCACTCCATCCTGGGTGACAGAGCAAGACTGTGTCTCAAAAAAAAAAAATATGCGAGATTTCAATAGATACTTCACTGAAAAAGATGTAGGAATGGCTGATGAACACATGGAAAGATACTCAACATCAGCAGCCATTAGGGAAATATAATTAAAACTGCAATGAGATACCATTTCACACCTATTAGAATTAGGATAACTAAAATAGAAAAGGCAGACAGTGTCAAATGTTGAGAATGCAGAGGAATTGGAATCTTTATGAAGTGTTATGGGAAATGTAAAATAGTACAGCCACTTTGGAAAGTTGGACAGTGTCTTAAACAGTGGAACATAAATTTGCCTTATGATTCAGCAGTTCCACTCCTATGAATCTGTCCAAAAAAATGAAAACATATGTACACTCAAAGACATGGATGCAGATGTTCATAGCGGCATTGCTCATAATAGCCAAGAAACTGGAAATAATCCAAGTGTACATCAGCTGGTGAATGGATAAACAAAATCCATTGTTTATTTCATGGTACAGTCATATAATGAAACACTGCTCAGCAATTTAATTTTTTGTTTGTTTCTTTGCTTTTTTTTTTTAGAGACAGAGTCTTGCTCTAAGTGCTCAGGCTGGAGTGCAGTGGTGCGATCATAGCTCCCTGCAGCGTCGACCTACTGGGCTCAGGCACTCCTCCAGCCTCAGCCTCCCAAGTAGCTGGGACTACAGGCACATGCCACCACTCCCATCTAATTTTTTAAATTTATGTTTTGTAAAGACGGGGTCCCACTACGTTGCCCTGGCTGGTCTCGAACTCCTAGTCTTGAGCCATCCTTCAGCCTCGGCCTCTCAAAGTGCAGGAATTACAGGCATGAGACAACACGCCTGGCCATGTTCAACAATTTAAAGGGATAAACTACTGATACATGCTATACAACATGATTTAACTTCAAAAACATTATGCTAAGGGAAAGAAACTAGATGCAAGACTATATATCGTATGAGTTTGTTTATATGAAATGGCTAGAAGAAGCACATTTATAGAGATAGAAAGCAGAATAGTGTTTGCCTAAGGCTGGTAATAAGAGTAGGAATTAACTGTAAATGGGCATGATGGAACATTTTGGGGTAATGGAAATGTTTTCAGCTGGATTGTGATGATGGTTGCCAAAATCATTGAATTGTTCAATGGATGAATTTTATGCCATGTTTATTATACTTCAATAAAGCTCTTAAAAATAACAGCACAGAGGGGTTTGTGCCTTTTGGATAAAATAAAGACAAGAGCTTGATGATTGAAAGGGTGGGGTTCTTGGTAGCAAAAGGCATTGAAGGTAGACTTTTTTTTTTCTTTTTTAAATAAGTGGAGATGGGGTCTCACTATATTACCCAGGCTGATCTTCTACTCCTGGGCTCAAGCAATCCTTCCACTTTGGGAGGCCAAGGCCAGAAGATCACCTGAGGTTAGGAGTTTGAGACCAGCCCAGTCAACGTGGTGAGATCTCATCTCTACAAAAAATTTTAAAAATTAGCCAGGCATGGTGGTGGGCCTCAAAAGACAGTAAAAAGTTGAGAAGACAAGCCACTTTCTGAAAGAAAATATTTGCAAATCACATAAAGGATGTGTATCAATATTAAGAACTCTTACAACTCAATATTATAGAGACAAACCACCCAATTAAAAAATGTGCAAGAGGCCGGGCACGGTGGCTCACGCCTGTAATCTGAGCACTTTGGGAGGCCGAGGCGGGCGGATCATGAGGTCAGGAGATCGAGACCATCCTGGCTAACACGGTGAAACCCTGTCTCTGCTAAAAATACAAAAAATTAGCTGGGCGTTGTGGCCGGTGCCTGTAGTCACAGCTGCTTGGGAGGCTGAGACAGGAGAATCACTTGAACCCAGGAGGCAGAGGTAGTCCCAGCTACTCAGAAGGCACAAACAAGAGGATCGCCTCAGCCCAGGAGGTCAAGGCTGCAGTGGACTATGATCTGGTCACTGCACTCTAGCCTGAGTGATAGAGTGAGACCCTAACTTTAAAAAAGAAAAAAAAAAAAAGATTAAATCTTTTAATCTAAGAAAAGTCTCTCTCTCTCTCTTTCTCTCTTTCTCTTTCTCTCTCTCTCTCTCTCTCTTTTTTTTTTTTTTTTTTTTTTTAGATGGAGTCTTGTTCTTTCGCCCAGGCTGGAGTACAATAGCGTGATCCTGGCTCATTGCAACCTCCGTCTCCTGGGTTCAAGCGATTCTCCTGCCCCAGCCTCCCGAGTAGCTGGGATTGCAGGTGCCTGCCACCATGCCTGGCTAATTTTTGTATTTTTAGTAGAGATGTGGTTTCACCATGTTGGTCAGGCTGGTCTCAAACTCCTGACCTCGTGATCCACCCACCTCAGCCTCCCAAAATGCTGGGATTATAGGTGTGAGCCACCATGCCCGGCTCAGTATCTCCTTTTAAGAAATATGAGTGATTGGGAGGAGAGACTGGAAGCAGAGAGATTTGGTAGGAAACTCTTAGAAGATAACCCATTGTAATTGAACTTGGAAAAGGCTAAGGTCTTGACTCAGGATGCTTTGCATAGAGCACATGTTCAGTGTTTTTGTTTCTTTGATGACTGACATTTTTAGCCTGGGTGACCAGAGAAGTGAGATACCATTGACAGAAATTGGAATTCTGGAGCAGAAACTGCTTTTGAAGTGAGTCCTAAATGTCGGCTGGTTGCTTTACTTTGCCTCAAGATCCGGGGAAATTAGACAGAAACCCACTTATTTCCCAAAACCACAGAATAGAGGATTTTAATGCCCCCTCAAAGGTTTCTGTGGATTGCCAAAGGACTCACATTATGATCATTTTGACTCCCATGATCCAGTTTGCTGTCTTTGCCCCACTGCAGATGAGACATCAGTCCATTCTTCAGTTTCTCCAAAAAAATCCATTCACATGATATATTCAGAATATGGATTTTACTAATGATTTGTGGGGAATGATGAGTTGGGGTGTACCTTATAGAAATGCACACAACTCCAGAGGAGTCATAAGCATGGTTACCCTAAACAGTACTTTAAAGTTTTACTGACTCTTTAAGTTCTCCAACCCCAGCCTTTCTTTGTCCTAATGTCTCCTTCCTCTTATCTTTCCTTTTTTTCTTTTTTTGACTCTTCACTCTTATATCTTAGAAGAAAAACAAATTACAAGCAGTTTAGGTTCCATCAAGGAGCAACAGAAGCACCCATACGTACCCTTAGTGTGCCACTCTCCATTCTAAGTAGCTCATTAAGGTGCATCCTCCAAAAAGATAGTGCCTTCCCTAAGAGGAGTTCTGGTGCCAGCTCTTCAGATAAAGTGCCCTTGATTCCTCCTCCTTCCAGAAGAAAAGGTTATTGAGTTTGAGGCAAAGATGGGCTATCTGGATGAAAAGATATGGCAGGTGATTGAAGATTTGGACTGAAATGCTGAAGATCAGAGACAAAGGTTTGGGAGTTGAGTATGGGAAGGGAGAAGCCAAAATTTATCAGTTGCCCACTGGGCTTAGCCAGCTTCTATACACATGTGATCTTACTTGATCTCAACAATAATCTGTTGAAAGAAGTATTATTGTCTCTATTTTACAAATAAACCAAAGCTCAAAAAGTTTAAATAATTTGTCCTGGGTCACAAAGCTGATAGGCAGCAGCATCAGGATAAAATCCAGCTCTCTTGTAAGTCAAAACCTTTGCTTCGATTCTGTGAAGAAGAGAGAAAGTGTGAAGGAAGAGGAGAGGGCTGAACCCTTAAGATATGTCCATCTGTATGGTGAAAAGTGAAACAAGTGAGAGGCAGAAGAGACACAAACTATCCAGGGTTTTGAGGAAAGAGAGCCTCAGAAATGAGTGTTGAATTCTGCAGAGGTAAATGAAGTGTGAGACAAGACTTGGTTTGGTTGGTGTTCCAGAGAACAGTTTTAGTAGAGGGGTGGAAACTATTGTAAATATTTGAGGAATTACTGGATGTGTGGTGTGAAAGGACAGGATGAATCGATGGATGGGTGAGTGGGTGGGTGAGTGAATTTTTTTTTTTGTATTATTATTATTATTTTGAAATGGAGTCTCACTCTGTCGCCCAGGCTGGAGTCCAATGGCGCAGTCTCAGCTCACTGCAACCTCTGCCTCCCAGGTTCAGGTGATTCTCCGCCTGCCTCAGCCTCCCGAGTAGCTGGGATTACAGGCGCCCACCACCACGCCCGGCTAAGTTTGTATTTTAGTAGAGAGGGGGTTTCACCATGTTGGCCAGGCTGGTCTCGAACTCCTGACCTCAGGTGATTCATCTGCCTCAGCCTCCCAAAGTGCTGGGATTACAGGTGTGAGCCACTGTGCCCAGCCCAAGTGACTGGTTAGTAAGACATGGCAGATGGAACTTTTTTGGTATTTGTTATTTGAGTTGGGGAGACCAGTATATGCTTGTAGGATGAGGTAAGTAAGAAGCCAGTGGAGAGAGAGGAACGCAAGTGTTAAACAAGAAGGATGGTTACAGATGTGGTCTCAGGTGAGGTAGAGGCAGTTGGGAATGAGAACTCAGGTGAAGAAGTTAACCTTGGAAAGGAGGAATGCCTCCTTGAGACTGGAAGAAAGTATGGGTAGAAATATGGGGAAGTTGTTAGGTGTTGAAACTATTGTAATGCATAAGGGTTCTGAGAGCACCACAAGGAAGAAGGGTACAGGGTTGGGGTTGGGACTTGAGAATGTGGGAAGGGTTTTAGACGCATTGATGTGTGCCTTTCTCTAAATGCTGTGAAGCTACCGTTGTTCAGTCTGTGTTGTACTGGTCCAGAATAGAAGAGTCCAGATCTAAGTATATTTAGCATAAGAATAGAATTTAAATTAGTGGGGGGAAATGGAATATTCCATAAATGGTTTTTTTTATTTCTTTTTAGAAAAAAACCCCACAAAGTCTACATCTATGAATTCCATTTGTAAAAAACAGGAAGCAACATAAACTGTAAAGAGAATGTTTATCAGTAGGGAAACAGTTAATTAAATCTGGACATTCAATGGGAATACATTATAATGGTTAAGAGCACAGGTTCTGGAATAAATATAGCTAGATTTGGGGACCTGACACTACCTCTTTTTTTAAATTTTTTTTGAGATGGAGTTTCGCTCTTGTTGCCCAGGCTGGAGTGCAATGGGGCGATCTTGGCTCACCGCAACCTCTGCCTCCCGGGTTCAAGCGATTCTCCTGCCTGAGCCTCCTGAGTAGCTGGGACTACAGGCCTGCATCACCACGCCCGGCTAATTTTGTATTTTTGGTAGAGACAGGGTTTCTCCATGTTGGTCAGGCTGGTCTCCAACTCTCGACCTCAGGTGATCCGCCCACCTCGGCCTCCCAAACTGCTGGGATTACAGGCGTGAGCCACCATGCCGGGCCACTACCTCTTACTATCTGTGTGACCTTGGACAGATTATTTAACCTCTGTGCATTAGTTTCCTCTTCTATAAAATGAAAAGAAAATAGCAACATCTTCAAAGGGTTGTGAAGAATAACCCGTGTAGTACTTGCTAGTACAGTGCTGTTATAGAGTCAGTCCTCTGAAGAGATTATAGGCCAGGCGCAGTGACTCACGCCTGTAATCCCAGCAGTTTGGGAAGCTGAGGTGGGCGGATCACCTGAGGTCAGGAGTTCAAGACCAGCCTGGCCAACATGGTAAAACCCTGTCTCTACTAAAAATACAAAAATTAGCTGAGTGTGGTGGCAGGTGCCTGTAGTCCCAGATACTTGGGAGGCTGAGGCAGGAGAATCTCTTGAACCCAGGAAGCAGAGGTTGCAGTGAGCCAAGATCGTGTCATTCATTGCACTCCAGCCTAGGCGACAAGAGTGAGACTCCCGTCTCAAAAAAAAAAAAAAACAAAAAAAGAGGTTATTAATATTATTTGGCATTTCTACTTTGCCTGCCCACAGATGTAGTTTTTTCCGCACGTGCACGCCTTCCCTCCTCCCCGCCCTCAGGGTCCACGGCCACCATGGCATATTAGGGGCAGCAGTGCCTGCGGCAGCATTGGCCTTTGCAGCGGCGGCAGCAGCACCAGGCTCTGCAGCGGCACCCCCCAGCGGCTTAAGCCATGGCGCTTCCCACGGCATTCAGCAGCAGCATTGCTGTAACCGACAAAGACACCTTCGAATTAAGCACATTACTCGATTCCAGCAAAGCACCGCAACATGACCGAAATGAGCTTCCTGAGCAACGAGGTGTTGGTGGGGGACTTGATGTCCCCCTTCGACCAGTCGGGTTTGGGGGCTGAAGAAAGCATAGGTCTCTTAGATGACTACGTGGAGGTGGCCAAGCACTTCAAACCTCATGGGTTCTCCAGCGACAAGGCTAAGGCGGGCTCCTCCGAATGGCTGACTGTGGATGGGTTGGTCAGTCCCTCCAACAACAGCAAGGAGGATGCCTTCTCTGGGACACATTGGATGTTGGAGAAAATGGATTTGAAGGAGTTCGACTTTGGTGCCCTGTTGGGTATAGATGACCTGGAAACCATGCCAGATGACCTTTTGACCACGTTGGATGACACTTGTAATCTCTTTGCCCCCCTAGTCCAGGAGACTAATAAGGTGCCCCCCCAGATGGTGAACCCAATTGGCCATCTCCCAGAAAGTTTAACAAAACCCGACCAGGTTGCCCCCTTCACCTTCTTGCAACTTCTTCCCCTTTCCCCAGGGGTCCAGTCCTCCACTCCAGATCATTCCTTTAGTTTAGAGCTGGGCAGTGAAGTGGATATCACTGAAGAAGATAGGAAGCCGGACTCCACTGCTTACGTTGCCATGATCCCTCAGTGCATAAAGGAGGAAGACACCCCTTCAGATAATGATAGTGGCATCTGTATGAGCCCAGAGTCCTATCTGGGGTCTCCTCAGCATAGCCCCTCTACCAGGGGCTCTCCAAATAGGAGCCTCCCATCTCCAGGTGTTCTCTGTGGGTCTGCCCACCCCAAACCTTACGATCCTCCTGGAGAGAAGATGGTAGCAGCAAAAGTAAAGGGTGAGAAACTGGATAAGAAGCTGAAAAAAATGGAGCAAAACAAGACAGCAGCCACTAGGTACCGCCAGAAGAAGAGGGCGGAGCAGGAGGCTCTCACTGGCGAGTGCAAAGAGCTGGAAAAGAAGAACGAGGCTCTAAAAGAGAGGGCAGATTCCCTGGCCAAGGAGATCCAGTACCTGAAAGATTTGATAGAAGAGGTCCGCAAGGCAAGGGGGAAGAAAAGGGTCCCCTAGTTGAGGGTAGGTCAGGAGTGTCAACGTGCTTGTACATAGAGTGTCTGCTGTAGCTGTGTGTTCCAATAAATTATTTTGTAGGGAAAAAAATACATATTATTTGGCCACTAAAAACAATGAGGTCATGCCATAAATACAGACATAGATGCCTACAGTATATTAGGTGAAAGCAACTTGCAGATCAATATGTGCATTCAATTATGCAGACAATATGTGCATTCAAATAGTCCATTCAATTAAAAAAAATAATAGAACAGGAAGACCTGGACATATTTGTATATGTATAAAAAAATCTGGAAGGCCACACCCAATTGTGAATAGTGGAGTTACTTCTTATGGAGTAGGGTTAAATTTTAAATTATTAACTTATATATACTAATTTTTTTGGCAAAGGACATGTATTGTGTATTTCTATTTCTTTTTCTTTTTGTGGAGATGGAGTCTTGCTATGTTGCCCAGGCTGGTTTGAACTCCTGGGCTCAAGTGATCCTCCCACCTCAGCCTCCCAAAGTGCTGGGATTACAGTTGTGAGCCATTGCACCTAACATGTAATATTTTTGTTTTTATTTTTATATTTTTGAGATGGAGGCTCACTCTGTTGCCTAGGCTGGAGTGCAGTAGTGCAATCTTGGCTCACTGCAGCCTCTGCCTCCCAGGTTCAAGCGATTCTTCTGCCTCAGCCTCCCAAGTAGCTGGGATTACAGATGCCCGCCACCATACCCGGCTAATTTTTGTGTTTTTGGTAGAGACAGGGTTTCACCATGTTGGCCAGGTTGGTCTCGAACTCCTGACCTCAAGTGATCTGCCCACCTTGGCCTCCCAAAGTGCTGGGATTACAGGCATGAGCCACTGCTCCCAGCCCTAATTTTTTAAATAATTAAAAATATGCTCTAGGGCAAGTTTGTACAACCCACGCCCCATGGGCTGGGCTACATGTGGCCCAGGATGGCTTTGAATGCAGCGCAACACAAATTAGTAAACTTTCTTAAAACATTATGAGTTTTTTTGCAGTTTCTTTCTTTTTTTTTTTTAAAGCTTATCAGCTATCAGTAGTGTTAGTGTATTTCAAGTGTGGCGTAAGACCATTCTTCTTTTTCCAGTGTGGCCAAGGGAAGTCAAAAGATTAGGCACCCTTGCTCTAGGGGGAAAACTTAAAAATGAAGAACAAAAGCAGCACTGTAGCATTATAGAATTGAGCTGAATATTTAGAGGTGTTTGCAGTTTTCTAGTTTTCTTCTTATTTTTGTGATCTAAAGCTTATTGTTATTGAAATGTCATGTAGATGAAGATTTTTTCAAATATATGAAAATTTACTAGGATTCCCATAGCCTATAGATTCCCATAGAATTGTAGAAGAATAGAAAATGGGTTTAATTGTCCTTTATTATATGTTGTTATAATTCATAGTGGTTTGCTAACAAATGTCACAATATCTTATTGAGGCAGACATAATTTAGGGAACCCATTGCTCAATATTTAATTTCACTGTGGTATTAGGAATATGTCCCAAAAACTTAAATTCAAAATGATTAGGCAAATTATTTAATACAATGAATTTTAAATGAGATTTTTCTTTTTTGTTCACATTATAAGGAACAAATAGTTGATTTTCCTTTGTTGAAGTCAATTTATTGATTTTGGGCTTTCGCTTCAAAAATTGCCATTGATAGGGTAGGGCTCCCTCAGTGTAATGCAAGTTCCCTTTGCATTGCCCTGAGTTCTTGTAGAGCCAGAAAGTGCTGATAGTGACTAAGATAAAGTCAGATGTTAAGGAGTAGTGTCTGGAGCTGCTCTGGCCAGTGTGGGCCTTGCCCTGTGTTATTATACTTACTTCTTTCTGATGGTGCTCTGCAAAGTTGTATATGAATTGTGTATGTGTTGAAAACACTGCATGTTCTAACATTTTTTACTGAGGTTCAGAGTTATTTTGCTTTTGTTTCCAAAAATATAAAGTTGGGCAGTGCAGTCTGTTTGGTTTTTTGTTTCATTATATTCCATATTTTATTCTGAACAGGGAGGCTGTACGTTGAACTTAGTGGTTCTTCCACTAGATATGTAAAACACAATATTTAACGTTTATGTGGAAAACAAAATGTTTTTGAGACTAAGGGGTTTGATTTACAATTCCTGTTTGTCAGAAAGAAAAAAATTTGGGTTTTATATGGTTAAGCATTTTATCATCAATTCATTATCCCTCTTTCTTTTTTCCTATTACAGTACAGGAAAAGGAAGAGTCAGGTATTGTTTATGTGTAAAGAACCTTGGCCGAGCATGGTGGCCCATGCCTGTAATCCCAGCACTTTGGGAGGCCGAGGCGGATGGATCACCTGAGGTCAGGAGTTCGAGACCAGTCTGGCCAACATGGTGAAACCCCGTCTCTACTAAAAATACAAAAATTAGCCAGGTTTGGTGGCACATGCCTGTAATCCCAGCTACTTGCAAGGCTGAGGCAGAAGAATCACTTGAACCTGGGAGGCGGATGTTGCAGCGAGCAGAGATTGGACTACTGCACTCCAGCCTGGGTGACAGAGTGAGACTACGTCTCAAAAAAAAAAAAAAAAGGCCGGGTGCGGTGGCTCACCCCTGTAATCCCAGCACTTTGGGAGGCCCAGGTGGGCGGATCACGAGGTCAGGAGATCAAAACCATCCTGGCTAACACGGTGAAACCCCGTCTCTACTAAAAATACAAAAAATTAGCCAGGCATGGTGGCGGGCGCCTGTAGTCCCAGCTACTCGGAAGGCTGAGGCAGGAGAACGGCGTGAACCCAGGAGGCGGAGCTTGCAGTGAGCCAGGATCGGGCCTCTGCACTCCAACCTGGGCAACAGAGCGAGACTCTGTCTCAAAAAAAAAAAAAGAACCTTAAACATTTGGCTCGTCTTCCACATATATATGAAATAATAGACATTACATTTACACACACACACAGTTGTTTGATTTCATTTCTCTCACACACATGCTATTCTTTGCCACTGTCAGATGGAGAGACAGGTGCAGGGTTGAGATGTGGAGTTAGCCAGACCTTCGGTTCAAACCTTGCATCTCTCGGTCTCTGCTGTTTCTTAACTGTGGGACGTTGTGTGAGTCACTGAACTCTTCTAATCCTTAGTTTCCTCAACTGAAAAATGGACGTAAGAGAATATCTTACAGATGAAAATCAGGGATAATTTTGGTAAAGTTCTGTATCTTGCTTACGATACATGCTTGGAAGTTAAAATAAAAATTCAAATGACAGCATTATAACCTGACTGTGCCAAATTCTTCCTCCCCATGTGATTTTTTAAAATTGAGGCGAAGTTCACGTAACATAAAATTATCTTAAAGTGAACGACTCAGTGGCATTTTGAACATTCACAGTGTTGCACAATCCACTACCTCTATTCTAGAACTTTTTTTTTTTTTTTTTGAGACGGGGTCTTGCTCTGTCACCCAGGCTGGAGTGCAGTGACACGATCCTCAGCTCACTGCAACTTCTGCCTCCCAGGTTCAAGCTGTTCTTGTGCCTCAGCCTCCCAAGTAGCTGGGATCACAGGCGTGTGCCACTACACCCAGCTCATTTTTGTATTTTTAGTAGAGACGGGGTTGCTTCATGTTGGCCAGGCTGGTCTCGAACTCCTGACCTTAAGTGATCCACCTGCCTCAGCCTCCCAAAAGGTGTGCGCCACTGCGCCCGGCCTCTAGAACATTTTTATCACCTCAAAATAAAACCAATTAAGCAGTTTGTCCCCACTCTCCCCTGCCCCCATCCCCTGGCAATCACCAGTCTACTCTCTCTGTGGATTTACCTATCTGGATATTTCATATACATGGAATCATACTACAGTATGTGACCTTTTGTGTTTGGCTTCTTTGTCTCAGCATACTGTTTTGGAGGTTCATTCATGTTGTAGCATGTATCAGAACTTCACTTCTTTTTATGGCTGAATAATATTCCGTTGTAAGGACATATGTCGGACACATTATACCTCACATTTTGTTTACCCATTTGTTGTTTGACATTTGTTTCCACCTTTTGATTATTATAAATAGTACTTCTGTGAACCCATATGATTTAAACATCTATTATTTCCTTGTATTTTATTTCTTATAGTTATTTTAGAAGAACCAATGAAGGAGCATGAACAATAGCTGGTACCAAGAAAGTCCTGGTTTTTGTTGATTGTATACAGTAAAATATTTGGAAATTAAAGGGTTTAATAAAATAAAGTCTGTACTTTGGATTTTCTGTTGCCATACTTTCCCCCCTTACAATATATTCTTTGAGGAAACCTGGTCATTTTTCTTGTTAAGGTTTTCTGCAGCCTGAGTTTTGCCAGTTGCCTCCTTGAACTCTCATTAATCATGTTCTGTTTTATTCCCTATAAGCTGGTGGTTAACTGGTTTCAGCAGCTTGATCAAGTTCATTTTTTTTAAAGCTTTAAAATTTGAAGCTACTTACTTTGGTAAGACTACTTTGTTGTATTTGCTGTCACTAGCGTGTATCTGGTTGTCTTTTTTGTGGGGGAGAGGTTTGGTAATGGATGATTTATTAATTTATTAAGACTTACATTCTAATCCTATCATTCCTTCTTTGTTTATTAGCTAGAATATTTCTGTAAAGAGAAACTTTCCCTCATCTACCTTTTCTTTTTGTTTTGAAATAGGGTCTCTGTTGCCCAGGCTGGAGTGCAGTGGTGCAAACACGGTTCACTGCAGCCTTGACCTACTGAGTTCAAGTAATTCTCCCGCCTCAGCCTCCTGAATAGCTAGGACCAAGGCCCTTGCCACCAAGCCGGCTAATTTTTTTTTTTTTTTTGAGACAGCATCTCACTTTATTGCCCAGGTCAGAGTACAATGGCGCAATCTCGGCTCACTACAACCTCTGCCTCCCCGGTTCAAGTGATTCTCCTGTTTCAGCCTCCTGAGTAGCTGGGATTAAAGGTGCACACTACCACACCCAGCTAATTTTTGTATTTTTAGTAGAGACAGGGTTTCACCATGTTGGCCAGGCTGGTGTCAAACTCCTGACCTCGTGATCCACCCACCTCGGCCTCCCAAAGTGTTGGGATTACAGGCGTGAGCCACTGCGCCTGGCCCAGCTAACTAAAAAAAAAAAAATAATAAATTTGTAGAGACAGTGTCTTGCCATGTTGCCTCGGCTGGTCTCAAACTTCTGGGCTCAAGGCCTTCCCAAGTGCTGGGATTACAGGTGTGAGCCATGGTACCCGGCCTCCCCTCATCTATTAATTATTCACTCACCCAGAGGTACAGTTCATGTAGGAAAGGCAAGATAAATGCTTGAGGCTTTCCCTTTAATTGCTAGTTTCCAAAATAATGAATTGGTTTACTAGCATCCTTCAAAGGTAACCTTTTTTTTTTTTTTTTTTTAGATATCATTACGAACTCATTGACTTAGACTTATTCCTTGCCCTTATTATCCTGATGAAGCTTAATATATTCCATCTTTGCTCTGCGGGAACCTCTTTAAGTCAGCTCTTGAGTCCCTTGGATATGACCCTAGTAGGTTTAGAGAGCGTCCTTGTTATCTGGTATGACAAGATGTTCTAGTCCCATCTTGTGTATTTCCTGCCACAGACTTGGAATGTGGCCTCCAAAGAGCCCTTGTTCCTGTTAGTGGGGAATGACTTTTGCAGACTTACAGGCTGGATGCTAGCGGCACCCCCTCCTACTTTGTTGGTCTATGTTTCTAGGCCTTTTCAGTGGCCCAAGCTAGGAAACATTGTTTGTAAAGATAAAATACACATCATGCATTTTTATTGATATTTCTAATACAAATTCAGGACTATATGGTTTTTGTTTAACCTTGGCTTTTTTTAACTTTCTCTCTGATTCTCAATACGCTAGGTATGATAAAATTGAAAATCACATAATTACTCATCTGCTTAATGCCACATTCTCGGAAGAAAATACTGTCACCAATAATATGATTACTGTAAACTGTTTGAGATATATTTTTCGCAGTTTTCTTTCCTATTGAGATGTACAGTTAAATTACAGTCTCTTAAAGTTCTTGGGAATAGTTTCTCTTTCTGTAGTTATTCCACTACACACACACCTAGGTTCATTTGTTTCACTTTACTTTTGATTTTTAGGGATTGCTTTACAGAAATTTTAATTTTATAATTATGTAAAATGTTTACATGGTTCCAGTGGTAGATACATAAAGCAATGCGTATTCAAAGAAATCTACCTTCTGTCTGGTCCCTTCTACTTCGTTCCCTCCCTCCTCCTATAGATAATCACTTTAAGATTATTATGATTTATCCTTACATTGCTTGTTTTAAAAATATTAATTAATATGTATATATCTTCATAGCCACTCTTCCTTACACACATGGTAGCATAATATAAATTAAGCCTATTTGTATTTATTGATATGATTGATATGTTTGGCTTAAGGCTGGCCATTTTATGTTATATTTATATGTATATAAATATATGTAAAAATTTATATAGTCTTTATGTAGTCTGTTTTGTTTGCTCTTTTTTTAAGATGTATTTTTTGGATTTAGGAAGGTTTGTATTTTTCTCTAATGGTTACCCTTATTTAATCTTTATATACTGCTGTTAAATTGTTATTATTATTATTTTTGTCTGTTAGTTTCCTACTGTGAATAATATGGATATAACTAGTAACCTCTTCACTCACCTCTCCTCTTTACTCCAGCATTTGAAGTATCTCCTTTGACTCTCACTTACACCTAAAGTTTGTCAGCAAACATATTCTGCTTTTTCTCTGCTATCCATCCCCCTTCTTTATTTTTTGAGAGCTGTACTGTATTTTCTTTGTTTTTATTTTTTATTTTTTTTTATTTTTTTGAGATGGAGTCTTGCTCTGTCACCCAGGCTGGAGTGCCGTGGTGTGATCTTGGCCCACTGCAACCTCCACTTCCCGGGTTCAAGTGATTCTTCTGCCTCAGCCTCCCGAGTAGCTGGGACTACAGACACATGCCATCACTCCCGGCTAATTTTTGTATTTTTAGTAGAGACGAAGTTTCACTATGGTGGACAGGCTGGTCTCAAACTCCTGACCTCAGTTGATCTGCCCACCTTGGCCTCCCAAAGTGCTGGGATTACAGGTGTGAGCCACCATGCCTGGCCTGTTTTTCCTTTATTGAGACAGAGTCTCACTCTGTTGCCCAGGCTGGAGTCCAGGGGTGTGATCATAGCTCACTCCTGCCTTGACCTCCAGCAATCCTCCCACCTTAGCTTCCCGAGTATCTAGGACCACAAGCACATGCCACCATGCCTGGCTAACTTTTTAATTTTTTTATTGTAGAGATGAGGTCTTGCTATGTTGCCCAGGCTGATCTTGAACTTCTGGGCTCAAGCAATCCTCCTGCCTTGGCCTCCCAAAGTACTGGGATTGCAGGCGTGAGCCACTGGGCTTGGCCTGGAAGCTTATTCCTTAGTAGACTCCTCAGATGAGCTCAGGGGCTTTTCTTTCTTTGACTACCTTAGAATGTTACTCCCTTGTCTTCTGACATAAAGTGTTTCTGTTGAAAAGTCTGATGACACCGATTTTCTTCCCCTCTAGAATTTTGACTTTTTGCCTGGGTGCCTTTCTTTCTTTAAAGGTCAGTCATTTTACTGAACTTGTCTTAGTGTTGATCATTCTGGCTCATACCTTTTGGTTTTTTTTCTTGATATTTATGTGTTTATTATTGTGGCAAAAAAACACATAACGTTAAATTTAATCATAGTAACCATTTTTAAGCATTCATTAGTGTTACATATATTCACTCTGTTTTGCAACAGATGTCTAGAACTTTTTTATTTTATAAAACTAAAACTATGTACTTGTTAAACATTAATTTCCCCTTTCTCCTTCCCACTCATACCTTACGGTTTACGTATAATCTTGGAGATATGTGTATGATGTGACTTTTTAAAGCCTGCAAAGAATTCTGAATATGAGTTTTGATTAATAAATTATAGCTCACTAATAATGAAACACTCGAAGTTTATCTACTAGTGACATATGTTTTTTTCCCGTTAGCAAATAGGCAAGGGTGTATTTTAGTTGAGTTCTGCAGTTTATCTGTGAGTGACGTGTTTCTCCTGGTAACAAATAGGCAAAGAAGTACTTTAGTAGAGTTCTTTTCCCCCACCACTGATTTTGAAGCACAGTTCATTGTGTTAAGAAGTAAAAATATGCATAAGCTGTCTAAAAGTCATCTTGTTTGGGGACTGTTGATGTGTTTGGTGTTGGTATCTGATGATCTAGTAGCTATACATAGCTGTGCACCAATTTGTCCCTCTAGAAAGACTGAGCAAGTAGAAAGCTTTATTCAGTCTGAAAAAGGCTGATTTGCTTTTCTCATTTGTCTAAATGAAAGCAAGCTGCTAGAGGGGTTCATTTCAAAGAAAGGAAAAAGCAAATTTTTGGTTGTAAAATGAAATACCAATAAGTAAATTTATTTTTCCTTTTAACAGATGAGGATGGCTGGGCTCGGTGGCTCACACCTGTAATCCCAACACTTTGGGAGGCTGAGGCGGGCAGGTCTCTTGACCCAGGAGTTTGAGACCAGCCTGGCCAACATGGTGAAACTCCATCTCTACAGAAAAACAAAAACAAACAAAAAATAGATGAAGGTTTGGGGAGCTCTTTTTAATTCATACAATCTTGCACATTTTATGCGTCTTCCCCTTAATAACCAAAAGTTTAGAAATTAATATTGCTAAAGAATTATTGAGTGATTGAACAGGTGTTCAAGCTAATTTTAAGTAAAAGTAAGAACAATTTTGCCAACTTTGTAATTTTGAGAAAATCATTCCCAGTTATAAGTATACAGCTTATATAGCTTTTATGGGGTTTTTTGTTTGTTTGTTTGTTTTTTGTTTTTGTTTTTGTTTTTTTTTGACACAGGGTCTTGCTCTTTTACCCAGACTGGAATGTAATGGCGCAGTCATGGCTCACTGCAGGCCTGACCTCCTGGGCTCAAGTGATCCTCCCACCTCAGCCTATTGAGTAGCTGGGACCACAGGCTTGGGCCATCATACCCAGCTAATTTTTTAATTTTTTGTCGAGACAAGGGTCTAATTATAATATATTGTGAACATTTTTAATGTCAGTAGATATAGATTTACAACACCACTTTGAAAGGCTTCATAATACTCTACTGACTGAATATACCATAGTATTATTATTATTATTATTTTTAAATATACAGAGACAGAGCCTCACCATGTTGCCTAGGCTGGTCTTGAGCTCCTGGGCTCAAGTGATCCTCTCACCTTGGCCTCCCAAAGTGCTAGGATTACAGGTGTGAGCCACCACACCCAGACTATTCTTGATTTTAATGCAAGGCAAAACTACAATTAGCTCTACACATCTTTTGTGGTCATTTCTTTTCTTTTAATATTATGGCATAAAAGGGCATTTCTAATCGAACCCTGTTGCCTGCTTTAACTCTTTAGCCCCCAAATCATTAGGGGTCCTCTCTCGCTAGGTTCAATCATGGCCACCTCTAAGCCAATCATCCATGGATTTTTACTGCCCCAGATCCCTCCCCTGAGATCTCACAGGTACTGGAAACTCAGTGGTCCCACACTGAGGTCAACCTAGACAATTCCAGACATCAAACTCTCTTCTCTCCCTTTCTTTTTTCATGATTTGGGCAAGCCATCCATCTGTGTAACATCTTTAACTTTTCCAATTTTACCTAATATATGATAAATGTATAATTCCTGATGCATAGAAAATATATCTTGCTGAAGTTCATCAGTAAATGACTTAAATTATTTGAGATTGCTGCTTCTACTTAAGGCAACTAGGTACCTCCCCTCTCCATAAATTATGCACTTGGAAAATAGGGCTAGCAAGTGCCAGACATAAATAATTGATAATTAAGCTTTCCTAAATGATGAATTCTGCTGTTGTATCACTGTATCAGATGGCTGCCCTTTGTCTTTTTAAGTTTTAATGGGTGACTTTCAGTAGTTCCTCAGTGATTGCTTTGATCTGGGTTGCATTATTACTCTCAAAGAATGTTTTCCTGCTTGTTTAATTCAATAGTTGCCTCACTTTGTGGTGAGTGATTTTATCCACATTGTTTTATTTAATAGATGTTTCTAGACTAAAGCTCCTTGTGTAGAAAGTTTTAAAAATGAATGTTTGGTTCAGTTTTTGCTAGAATTTTCTTCTCTGTCTTCCTTCCTATGGCTTCTCCACAGGCTCAAAGTACTGAATCTCATTTTTTTTTTTTTTTTAGTTTGCTATAAATCTTTTTTTCCTTTTTTCTTTTCTTTTCTTTTTTCTTTCTTTCTTTTTTTTTTCTTAGAGAGGGTCTCACTCTGTCACCCAGGCTGGAGTGCAGTGGCAATCATAGCTCGCTGCAACCTTGAACTCCTGAACTCAAGCGACCCTTCTGCGTCAGCCTTCTGAGTAGCTAGAACTCCAGACGCATGCTACCATGCCCAACTAATTTTTGTATTTTTATTTATTTTTTGTTTTGTTTTTAGTAGAGACAAGGTCTTGCTAAGCTTGCTAAGTTGCCCAAGCTGGTCTCCAACTCCTGGCCTAAAGCAATTCTCCTGCCTCAGCCATCCAGAGTTTTAGGATTACAGGCAAGATCCATCACACCCTGCCTGCTACAAATCTTCAACAAAAATTGCAACTGATTTAGGGAGTTTGTGTATATCCTCAATGTATTATACACAAGCAAGCCTTTTGCCACTTAATAAGTTCCTTGTGTTAATTTCAGAAATGGGGTATATGAGAGTGTTGATAAAGGTATATTATGGGATGTGTCCTTTACTTTGGACAGCTTACCTTCATGGGAGAATTAGATAATAGAAATTAGAGGTAAGCGGCATTCGTTTAATCATCAAACTTAAAATGTATTCCCAGATGTAATTTTCAGCATAACCTAAGCCTCCTTTGGTGACTTCTCAGTTCCATCATATCCTGTCACAGTTCCTTGGTTTGTCCGGATGAGGCTGATGGGAATTTTGGCCCCTGACTGCTGATTTCATTTGGTTATTATATTGCACTGAAAATATTTCTGCCTCCTGGCTGATTAAGAAGGGGCAAAGGGGCCCTGCCATGACTGATGTCCCAGCAGTTCTGGCCATTAGCACTGTTAATGAATTTGAGGTGGAGAGGGTATGTGTGTAGCCTTCTTTCATAGCATTAAATTGTCCCCTTATTTTACACCATAGTCTGTGTAGTAATTGGTAGAGAAAGCCAGGGATAACTGTATTATCTAAATTCGTATTTTCCTGTGAAACAATAATGTTTGCAGCAAGTTAAAGTGTGAAGAACCTTCATCATAGAAGGTTATGGAGGTATAGCAGTAGTGGTGGGTGGGTACTGAGACTTCTGTGTGTAGGTATAAGCTGGCTTATGAAAATCTAGGCAAAGAAATGTGTGCGTCTGCGGATATAGGAAAAAAACTCAGTTTCTCCTATACACTCACAACACAAGCAGCACAGAAAACTTCTGTGACCTCTGGTCAGCAAAATGTGTGGGGATTCTCTCCACCAGCAACCACTCAGTTCTGCAGAGGACACCAGCTGGGTGTCCTCCAATTCATTTCACTTCTGATACTACTTGAAGATAGTGTCCCATCCCACAGGTTGAGGGTGCAATCTCACAAGACTGCCCCCCACTTCTGATGCCCATCGCAAGCCCCAGGTTGTTTTACCTGTGCTTCCAACTAACCAACCAGAAAGCAGGGTTCCCATAACCCCCTCCTTGGGTGTGATTAACTTGCTAGAGGGACTCACAGAACTAGAGAAACACATTTACGAGTTTATTATCAAGGATATTACAAAGGATACAGAGAGAGATACATAGGGCGAGGTTATGTGAGAAGGGGCACAGAGCTTCTATGCCGTCTCTGGGCATGTTACCCTCCAGAAACCTGTAAGTGTTCCCCTGTTTGGAAGCTTTCTGAACCAGTCCTTTGGGTATTTATAGAAGCTTCATTACATAGCATGGTTGATTACATCATTGGACATTGATGATCAACTTAACTTTCATCCCCTCTCCCTTCCTCAGTGGTTGGGGGATGGGCTGAAAGTCCCCACCCTCTAATCCTGCCTTTTCTTTCCAGTGACCAGCCGCCATCCTGAGGCTACCTAGGGGCTGCCAGGCAGTGGTTAATTCATTAGCATATGTAAAGACAAAAAAAAAAGACATCACTTTGGATATTCCAAGCATTTTTTTTTTTTTTTTTTGAGATGGAGTTTTGCTCTGTCACCTAGGCTGGAGTGTAGTGGTGTGATCTTGGCTTACTGCAACCTCTGCCTCCCGGGTTCGAGAGATTCTCCTGCCTCAGCCTCCCAAGTACCTGGGACTTCAGGCGCATGCCACCATGCCTGGCTAATTTTTGTATTTTTAGTAGAGATGGGGTTTCACCGTGTTGGCCAGGCTGGTCTCTAACTCCTGACCTCAAGTGATCCGCCCTCCTCAGCCTCCCAAAGTGCTGGGATTACAGGCATGAGCCACCATGCCGGCCTGGATATTCCAAGGATTTTAAGAGTTGCATTCCAGGAAATAGGGTTGAAGATCAAACATATATTTTACAATATCACAGTGTATGTATATGCCGATACCTGTAGCTGAGATTCTTCAATACATGGAATAACTACTTCAAGTTTAAAGGCAAAAGTCAGGAACCAAAAAATATATATGATCATTAATGTGCATTGTAGAACCTTTTGGTCTTTTGGCTGGAGGTATTTTAAACAGATCATTAGAAGAATTCAGTTAAGAATGTTAAAAGGAAAACAGTGATCTAGTCTACGTTTGGTATCTGGGGTTTTCCCTGCTATGATTTTACTTATTTTGTGCCATTGTCCCAAATCAGGAAAAGAAAACACTCTGGGATTAGAAATTGCTCTAATTATTCATTCAGAGGGTTAACTTTTTTGTTTTTGTTTTTTTGAAACAGAGTCTCACTCTGTCGCCCAGACTGGAGTGTAGTGCTAGGATCTCGGCTCACTGCACTTCTGTTTCCTGGGTTCAAGCCATCCTCCTGCCTCAGCTTCCTGAGTAGCTGGGACTACAGGCATGTGCCACCACACCCGGCTAATTTTTACATTTTTAGTAGAGACAGGGTTTTGCCATGTTGGCCAGGCTGGTCTCGAACTCCTTATCTCAGGCGATCTGTCTGCCTCAGCCTCCCAAAGTGCTGGGATTACAGGTGTGAGCCACCACGCACAGCCCAAAAGGTTAACATTTTAAAAATCAGCTTTTTTTTTTTACTAGATTTAGGTTGACTGTTTTCTGCTTGTTTGATTTTTTTTGTTTGTTCCTCTCTAGGAAGCTATTTTGCCAGCCACTTCATTATGGGAGGAGAGAAGTTTGACTCAACTCATCCTGAAGGTTACCTGTTTGGAGAGAACAGCGATCTGAACTTTCTGGGGAACAGACCAGTTGTGGTATGGCTGTAATCAGTTTACTCCTACTTGGAGCTTAAGTGGCCAATTCAAAAAATGTAACAAAAATAAGTTTGCAGTTGCTTGTTCAGCAGTTTGTAGCTTGGTCTGAGTTGAGAGAGATGCACTAGAAGACAAACTGCAGCCTCCTTGGTTGTATGGGATCTCTTGTTGCTAGAGGACTGGAAGAGCTCCTGGAGTCTTGTGAGGGAGAGGATGAGTCTCACAAATTAAGCTAGGACAGATCTCTCCCTGTCACCTCTTTAGGCAACCCTTTTCCAAGGGCTTACCTTTTTTTTTTTTCTTCATGGCACTTAACACCAACCTTTTATTGATTTGTCTCTTTCTCTGCTTATTGTCTGCCTCCTCCTCTAGAACGTAAGTTTCATAAGGCAAGGACTGTTTTTACTGTAGTATCCCAAACCTAGAACAAAGCCTGGCACGTAATGTTAAGCCCTTAATAAATGATTGTTGAATGAATGACTGAAAATTTTTCTCTTGATATATGAGTTGATATGAGAATACATTTCTCTCACTTGTTCCTTCTCATAAATTTCTATTGCGCACCTTCTCTGCATCATGCAGGAGGCTTTGTAATAATAGCCGCCAGGTGGCTATTGAGTGGCTACCGTGTGCTAGGAAGGTCCTAGAGACCCCTGTTCCATATGAAGACCACTTGACTTAGGACTTATCACTCTATTTTATAAGCGAGAGAACTGAGGTGTTCAGAGAGATGAATAATGACAGAAGCTAGGAAGTGCACACTATGTTCTAAGCACTGTTCTAAGGGTTTTATATACATTTTTCTCAAAGTCATGTAACTAGGTTTGCCTGGTCACAGATCAGTAATCTTTCCAGTGCTCCTCACTGCCTTGAAATATTCTGCAAGTTTGGTGGAGCAGACAAAACACAGAAAACAGGAAATGTTTAATTAACAATAAAGATCAGAAGTGATTGAATGTGGTGGGAATTGAGAGTGGGAGAAGACAATGGCAAGGGCAGGTTGCTTCAGTGTTACACTGGGAAGAGGTGCAGGGAGTTGAACTGGCCTTTGAAGAATGGTGGGTTGGATGAGGCCTTTCCAGGAGTAGAGCACGGCACAGGCCTAAGAGCATTCAAGTTGTTGAATTGGCAAACATTTACTGAGCAACTACTGCGTGTCAGGTACTGTGATAGGCGCTGTGGATACAGAGCTGAAATGAGCATGGTTTGTTCTTCCCTGGAACAAATAAGGAAACCAGTCTGGCCCGATTGGAAAGGTGGGCCAGGCACAGTGGCCAACACCTGTAATCCCAGCACTTTGGGAGGCCGAGGTGGACAGATCACCTGAGGTTGGGAGCTCAAGACCAGCCTGGCCAACATGGTGAAACCCTATCTCTATTAAAAACACAAAAATTAGCCCGGGGTGGTGGCACACCCCTATAATCCCAGCTGCTCCAGAGACTGAAGCAGGAGAATCGCTTGAACCCGGGAAGTGGAGGTTGCAGTGAGCTGAGGTTGCCCCAGTGCGCTCCAGCCTAGGGGATAGAATGAGACTCTGTTTCAAAAAAAAGAGAAAGGTAGGTGGCGGCTGTGTTACCTTGATAGGTTTTTTACTCTCTCCTGTAGACCGTGAGGAATATTTAAGACTTGTAGGTAGGTGAGTGACCTGGAGAAATTGCTTTTTTAGGAAGATTGATCTGATGATGGTCTTCCATCTTGACCTTTAACATAAAAATAATTATTTTTTTGGTTTTCATTGTTCTCTTTCTTTCTTTCTTTCTTTTTTTTTTTTTTTTGGACGGAGTCTGGCTCTGTCGCCCAGGCTGGAGTACAGTGGCACGATCTTGGCTCACTGAAAGCTCTGCCTCCCGGGTTCACGCCATTCTCCTGCCTCAGCCTCCTGAGTAGCTGGGACTACAGGCACCCGCCACTACACCCGGCTAATTTTTTGTATTTTTAGTAGAGACGGGGTTTCACTGTGTTAGCCAGGATGGTCTCGATCTGACCTCGTGATCCGCCCACCTTGGCCTCCCAAAGTGCTGGGATTACAGGCATGAGCCACTGCGCCCGGCGGGTTCTCTTCCTTTCTATCTGGAGTGACCCCTCTGCTAATTTTTCGTCCAGTAGTACACTTTTCAAAATACCAAATCTTGTCTGCTTCAAGTTAAGTTATGTCAAGTAATACTTATCAGATGTCTACTCTTTGATTTTGTTACTACTGCCTTGGTAATTAGAGTAGACAGATCTTTCTTTTTTTCTGATAGAGCCAGATAAAAATGTTGCCTCACTCACAGGGAGTCAGCTTGTGCTTTGAAAGTAGCCCTTTCTGCTGGGCACGGTGACTCATGTCTGTAATCCCAGCACTCTGGGAGGCCGAGGCGGGCGGATCACAAGGTCAAGAGATCGAGACCATCCTGACCAATGTGGTGAAACCCCATCTCTACTAAAAATACAAAAATTAGCTGGGCGTGGTGGTGTGAGCCTGTAGTCCCAGCTACTCAGGAGGCTGAGGCAGGAGAATCGCTTGAACCCAGGAGGCGGAGGTTGCAGTAAGCCAAGATCATTCCACTGCACTCCAGCCTGGGCGACAGAGTGAGACTCCGTCTCAAAAAAACAAAAACAAAAATGAAAGTAGCCGTTTCTTCTATTAATAACATGGACTTGATGTTTGCATCTGTTTCTGTCTTTTTCCTTTCATCTGATGTAAAGATAGTTTATATATTTTTAAAAAAATTTTGGCCTTTTCAGTCCATAAAGATGATATAAAAATAAGTAAATCAGGGATGTCCAATCTTTTGGGTTCCCTGGGCCACATTGGAAGAAGAAGAATTGTCACATTGGGCCACACACGGAATACACTAGCAGTAACGATAGCTGATGAGCTAAAAAAGAAAAAAAAAAACGCAAAAAAATCTTACAATGTTTTAAGAAAGTTTACGAGTTTCTGTTGGGCCACATTAAAAGCCATCTACCCCTGGGCCGCAGGTTGGACAAGCTTGAAGTAAATGCTGCTTTAGGTTCAACTTGAAGTTTATGCTGGCTGGCAGACTTTTCCTAAGTTTGCCTATGCCGACCTATGAATGACTGAGCTCTTTCTGAAATGCTAGGTAGCAGCCTTAACCTTAAAGTTGAGGCTTTTTCCCAAAGAAGATCAAGCTGGGCACAGTGGCATGTGCCTGTGGTCCCAGCTACTCAGGAGGCTGAGGCTGAGATGGGAGGATCACCTGAGCCCAGGAGAATTCGAGTCCAGTTTGAGCAATATAGCAAGACCTCCATCTTAATCAATCAATCAATAAATGCCACTTAAAAAAAAAAAGAACATCAACATTGGAGTTTTTGTTGTTGCTTTTATGTAGTAATCATTAAGTATGCTTAATGTTACACATAGCAAATGAATTTTTTTTTTTTTTTGAGGCAGAGTCTCACTCTGTCACCCAAGCTGGAGTGCAGTGGCACGATCTTGGCTTACTGCAGCCACAGTCTCCTAGGCTCAAGTGATTCTCCTGCCTCAGCCTCCTGACTAGCTGGGATTACAGGTGCCTGCCACCACACCTGGCTAATTTTTGTGTTTTTTTAGTAGAGATGGGGTTTCACCATGTTGGACAGGTTGGTCTTGAACTCCTGATCTCAGGTGATCTGCCCATCTCGGCCTCCCAAAGTGCTGGGATTACAGGTGTGAGCCACCGCGCTGGCAAATGTTTTTAAAAGACATAATTTTATATTAGGAAAGCAAATCAGAGTAACTTCATATAGCTGCATAAAAATGTAGTATAGAGAATAAATGCCACATGTTTCTCTTTTTCTTTTCCCCACAGGTTATTTGATAATAATAATGATGGCTAACATTTGAACACCTAGTTTTTGCCAGGGCTGATTGTTCTAAGCTTTTCATCTGTGTTGTCTCATTTTGTCCTCACATCATGATGAAAAAGGTCCTCATTCAACAGGTGAAGAACATGTGGCACAGAGAGTTTAAAGACTGCACAGCCTGTAAGGGATCAGGATTGGAACCTAACAGTCTGGCTCCAGAGCCTGAACCATGCTGCCATTTTTGCTAATTAGGCCAGGTGTACTCAGAAACTCTGCCCACATCCTGTTTGTGAGTCCATTGTGTAGATCTTCAAGTGCAATTTCTGAAATATTGGTATCTGAAAGTGGAATGAGGCCAGCACAGTGGCTCATGCCTGTAGTCCCAGCTGCTCAGGAGGCCGAGGCCTATAGATCTCTTGAGCCTAGAAATTGAAAACCAGCCTGGGCAACATAGCGAGACCCTCATCTCTACAAAATATAAAATGATAAAAATTAGCCAGGCGTGGTGGTGCATGCCTCTAGTCCCAGCTACTCAGGAGACTGAGGTGGGAGGATCACTTGAGCCCAGGATGCCAAGGCTTCAGTGAGCTATGATCACTGCAGCCTGGGCAACAGAGCAAGAACCTGTCTCAATAAATAAATAAATAAAAGTAGACGAGTGGCAGTGATATGTTCTCTTGGAGCGCCTCTTCAGAGTTCGTATTCCATGTGTAATTCCATCTGCTGAGCTGACCTCTGGGTTTTGCCATTACTGCACAACATGCTTGTTTAGGGGAAGGCTCAGAGATTGAAGATTGACATGTAGCTTGAGTTCTAAACAGCTGACTTCCACTCTCTAGCAAAAGATCTTGGGTGTCAGCACATGAGTGTTAGGTTACAGGGGAGCAAGAAAGAGAACAACCTTTTAAAGCCATCCAGCAGCATGCGGCAAGAACGACTCCTCTTTGCAGAGAGAGTGAATATGGGCAGTGAAATATGTTAAAATGAATTGTTATATTAAGCTATAAATGCCATAGACTTCCTGGCTTGTGCAATTCCCTGTCATTTCTGAATGAGCAGACTAAAAAGTTTGTCATTTGACTGAGCTGTACTTCGCACCACAGATCTACCACTTAGGATAATCCATCAAAGCCAATTTTTTTTTTTCCCCTAGAGATAGGGACTTGCCCTGTCACCCAGGCTGGAGTGCAGTGGCGTGATCATTGCTCACTGCAGCCTCAAACTCTTGGGCTTAAATGATCTGCCTGCCTCAGTCTCCTGAGTAGCTGGGAATAAAGGTGCATGCTACTACACTGGGCTAATTTTTAAAATTTTTTTTGTAGAGACAGGGTCTTTCTTGCTTTATTGCCCAGGCTGATCTCAATCTCCTAGCTTCAAGCAGTCCTCCTGCCTCAGCCTTCCAAAGTGTTGGGATTGCAGGTGTGAGCCACCAAGCCCGGCCCAAAGCCAAATTTATTATCAAGTCTTAAGGGTCAGATTTAAAGAAACTAGAGTGTGTGTATATACAGAAAGATGGTGGAAGAAAGTTGGAATCTAGATTTCAAGTTTTATTTATATCTTACCATTAAACTCTTTGTAACCTTGGCAAACGTATCACTCAGGTGCTCAGATTACCTGCTTGTAGCATGGAGGTAGTTCTGACTTTAGAATAATGTAATGCTTGGAAGATTCCTTGTAATTGCTGGACAAAAAGCAGCATGCAGCAATGTTAGCTATACTTGCTACCTTTCCAGTTGGTTATTTCTACAGCTACTTGTCATTCTAGGTAGGGTTCTTCACTGTTTTCTTTGTTTGTTTTTTGAGACAAAGGTTCACTCTTGTTGCCCAGGCTGGAGTGAGCCGATTGCAGTGAGCCGAGATCCCAAGATCACGCCATTGCAGTCCAGCCTGGGCAACAAGAGCGAACCACCATGCCCAGGTAATTTTTTGTATTTTTAGTAGAGACAGGGTTTCACTATGTTGTTCCAGGCTGGTCTCGAACTCCTGACCTCAGGCAATCCACCCACCTCGGCCTCCCAAAGTGCTAGGTGGCATGAGCCACCTTGGCCGGCCTCTTCACTGGTTTTTAAATACTGTCTTAAGTAGTAAACTGGGCTTCTGAAGGTCTTTCTGCTCTGGTCCCTTATATAAAGGAACTAAGGTATCTGTGAATCAGTTACAAAATGTTAAATAAAGACCATCCCTTCCCTTCCTAGGTGGCAGAAGAGCTGGTGTTGCTTTTCTGCTCCTTTATTGAGTTAGATCTTGTTTTGTTGGGATAATTACTGCCCAACTCTAAGTTATTAGAGGCTTAGAAATTAGTCAAGTAATGCCTTGACTCCTTCCTGGCCTTTTTTTTCCTTTTGAGACAAGGTCTTGCCCTGTTGCCCAAGCTGAGGTACAGTGGCACAACTACAGCTCACTGCAGCCTCGACTTCCTAGGCTTAAGTGATCCTCCCACCTCAGATTCTCCAGTAGCTGGGACTACAAGCACGCCCCACCATGCCTGGCTTTTTAAAAAAAATTTCTATAGAGAGAATGTCTTACTACATAGCCCAGGCTGGTCTCAAACTCCTTTGCTCAAGTAGTCTTCCTGTCTTGGCCTCTGAGAGTGCTGGGATTATAGCTATGAGCCACTGTGCCCCACCTCTGCCTGCCTTTTGTAGGCAGGAGTTCAAACCGCTCCTCTCATTTTATAAGGAAAGTAGTTGAGTTTTAACCTAGTTCCTAATAGTCTGTATCCTCTCGTGTGTTCTGTAGCTGGGCCGCATTGACACAGTTTCTTCTTCCTCATGCTCCCTGCAATCAGAGCTGCACAGCTGGCATTATTATTTTATTTATTTATTTATTTATTTATTTATTTATTTATTTAGAGATGGAGTCTTGCTCCGTCGCCAGGCTAGAGTGCAGTGGCACGATCTTGGCTCACTGCAACCTCTGCTTCCCAGGTTCAAGCAATTCTTCTGCTTCAGCCTCCCAAGTAGCTGGGACTACAGGCACACACCACCACGCTCAGCTAGTTTTTGTATTTTTAGTAGAGACGGGGTTTCACCATCTTGGCCAGGATGGTCTCAATATCTTGACCTCGTGATCTACCCATCTCAGCCTCCCAAAGGGCTGAGCCACTGCGCTCAGCCGCTGGCATTATTTTAAGAACTAAAATGTGCCCGGCATGGCGGCTTATCCCTATTCCCAGCACTTTGGGAGGCTGAGGCGGGAGGATCACTTGAGGCCAGAAGTTTGAGACCAGCCTGGGCAACATAGCAAAACCCCGACTCTACAAAAAAAAATTAGCCAGGGGTGGTGGTACACACCTATATTCCTAGCTACTTGGGTGGTTGAGGCTAGAGGATTACTTGAGCCCAGGAGGTCAAAGCTGCAGTGAGCCATGATTATGCTACTGCACTCTAGCCTGGGCTACAGAGCATGACCCTGTCAAAAAAAAAAAAAGAAAGAAAAAAAGAAAAGAAAAGAGGAAGGGAGGGAACGAGGGAGGGAGGAAGGAAGGAGACTGGGCATGGTGGCTCACGCCTCTAATCCCAGCACTTTGGGACACCGAGGCAGGTGGATCACTTGAGGTCGGGAGAGATCAAGACCAGCCTGGCCAACATGGTGAAACCCTGCCTCTACTAAAAATACAAAAATTAGCTGGGCGTGGTGGCAGGTGCTTGTAATCCCAGCTACTCAGGAGGCTGAGGCAGGAGAATCGCTTGAACCCAGGATGCACAGGTTTCAGTGAGCCGAGATCGCACCACTGTACTCCAGCCTGGGTGATAGAGTGAGAGTGAGACTCAGTCTCAAAAAAAAAAAAAAGAAAGAAAGAAAGAAAAGAAATAAGATGCATACAGTGTACTTTTCTTCTTTCTCTAGTACAGATAGACCAAAAGTTGTACTCAAATCCAGTTTCTGTAAATTGAACCCTATTATCATATGTGTCAGGAAGAGCAAGTTATTTAAAGGAACTTGGTAGTATATCCATTTGTAACATAGAGTTTTGCACTTATAGAGCTTTGTGGCAAAAAAAGAGAACATGATTCTGTTAGTCCCGGTGCTATTCATTCATTCAACAAGTATTTATGAGTCACATACTGTGCTGGGAACTAGGAATGCAGAGATGAAAAGACATGACCCTTGACCTGAAGATGCTTGCTGCAGAGTGGGGCAGCTGATGTGCCCCCACTGCGAGGGACTGTGATAGGTTCTACGAGAGAGGACCAGAGTGCCCTGGAGCACAGACCAGTGGGGATGCCCTCTCTCCAGGGAAGGGGCTTCTGGGAGGGGACTCCTTTAACCTGGAGGGATAAGTAGGATTTCCTAGGTAGGGGAGATGAGGAGAGGCATCTGAGGCAGAATTAATTAATAAGCAATACAAGGAAGCATAAAGATGCAGAAGTGTGCTTTTGGCGCTCAGAGTGGTGAGTAGTCAATAAGTATTGGACTGTGAGGGATGCTGGTTGGAGTTGAGGCTGGAAAGACAAATTGGGTTCATATCTGAAGAGCTATGAATATTGTATTAAGAAGTTTTTATGGGCTGGGCGCGGTGGCTCACGCCTGTAATCCCAGCACTTTGGGAGGCTGAGGAGGGCAGATCACGAGGTCAGGAGATCGAGACCATCCTGGCTAACACAGTGAAACCCCGTCTCTACTAAAAATACAAAAAATTAGCCGAGCATGGTGGCGGGCGCCTGTAGTCCCAGCTACTCAGGAGGCTGAGGCAGGAGAATGGCGTGAACCCGGGTGGCGGAGTTTGCAGTGAGCCGAGATCGTGCCACTGCACTCCAGCCTGGGCGACAGAGCGAGACTCCGTCCCAAAAAAAAAAAAAAAAGCAACAAAACTTTTTACAGGCCAGGCGTGGTGGGTCATGCTTGTAATCCCAGCACTTTGGGAGGCTGAGGCGGGGAGGTCACCTTAGGTCAGGAGTTTAAGACCAGCCTGGCCAGCGTGGTGAAACCCCGTCTCTACAAAAATACAAAAATTAGCCAGGCATGATGGCGGGTTCCCGTAATCCCAACTACTCAGGAAGCTGAGGCAGGAGAATTGCTTAAACCCAGGAGGCAGAGGTTGCAGCGAGCTGAGATTGCGCCATTGCACTCCAGCCTGGGTGACAAGAGCAAGACTCCATCTCAAAAAAAAAAAAAAAAAGTTTTTACTTTTCCTTCTATGGCAGTAAAGGTCATAGTCATGAATGGCTTTGCCACTGACTGACTTTGTCATGTTGGTTAAGACGATGGCCAATCAGTGAGTCTCAATTTCCCCATCTATAAAATTACCTTGCAGGAATATTTTAAGGACTCAAAAAATGATGGCGGGACCTGATGGCTGACGCCTGTAGTCGCAGCATTTTGGGAGACTGAGGTGGGTGGATTGCTTGAGGCCAGGAGTTTGAGACCAGCCTGGCCAACATGGCGAAACCCTGTCTCTACTAAAAATACAAAAATTAGCCAGGCATGGTGGTGCATGCCTGTAATCCCAGCCGCTTGGGAGGCTGAGGCATAAGAATCGCTTGAACCCAGAAGGCGGAGGTTGCAGCGAGCGGAGATCATGCCACTGCACTCCAGCCTGGGCTGGACGAGACCCTCTCTCAAAAAAAAAGATAACTATTACAATCTAATTTGCATTTTAGAAAATTAATTCTATAAATTAATTCACAGTATAGGTAATGAATCAGAGAGACAGAAAATAAGAAGACCAGTTAGGAAGTAATTTATTTTAAGAAAAAATACATGAAATAACTGAATAGGATTAACAGCATTGCAAATAAACATGGTGCAGACTTTCTACCCTAGAACCATGGACCAATTTATAACCTTGCAGAGAAGGCCCCAGGGCTGATGATCATTGTTGTGACTTGTTTGAAGCCTCGATTGGCCACTTTTTGGTACTATGCCAAGGCTGAGCTGCTTCCTCCAACCCCTGGTGAGATCCCTAGAACTATTCAGAGCCTGAAAAAAAAAATAGTAGCGCTCTAATAGCTCACAGTTAAGGAAGCTTTGCTGAATGATGTGGTCCACACATGAGGTGTGGACGTGATTTTATGTCAGAGAGCTCACAGGCAAGTGTGGCATCATTGCTGTAATCTTTGAAGACCCATCTTTAACATCTGATTACATTTGATTTATGACTTGTGTGTTCTTGGACCATGTGTGATCAGACTAAAATGTGTCTAAAAAACAGAAAATAAAATGAATGCAGTGCAGATTAGAGAATTGCAGCAGTGTGAGTTGAGGCAAAGGACACTCCAAGGAACAGCCTCTGTGAGAGGCCACCACTTACCCCAGATGCTGTGCACGTGTTATGTTTGGAGATTTATTTGTGCCTTGGACTTGGAGTAACTGGCCTAATAGGTCACATCACAAGGACCTGGCACTTAACTGCCCTACAGGCCTAAAGCCCATGGTGGGAACGGGTGTCTTTCTCATGCACGTGTGTGTGTGTGTGTGTGTGTGTGTGTGTGTGTGTGTGTGTGAGAGAGAGAGAGAGAGAAACTGAGATTGGGTTATTTGCCTTTTGCATGCTATCTTCTTTCCTTCTTCCTTCCTTTATAATTTTACTACAATTTTTTTTTGTCCTTTAGCCTGGAAATATTGATTAAATTTTGAGCTGTGCGTACCCTTTGGCCCAACTGTTTCACCTCTCCGAATCTCTCCTACAGAAATATTTTGAAGAGTGTGAAATGATTCCTATTTACAATGTATATTGTAGCATTACTTGTAGTAGTGCAAAATTAGAAAATATCTAATGGCCATTATAGTGGAATGGTTAAATAAATTATAATGTGCCTATGCCATGAACTGTTATTCAGCAAAAATTAGATAGATCTGCGTCCACTGAGATGGCAATATGTCCACAACCACATGACTTACTGAATAAAGCAAGTTGCAGTGTATAATGTAGAGTCTGATTTCATTTCGGATAAAAATAATATATGTATGTGTGTGCATTATGTACATATATTTATAGCTACACAAATATACTATTACAATGCATTTTGAACTGTTAACAATGGTAACTCTTGGGATATATCAAGAAGGGGGGTATTCACTTCTTAATTCATATTTTCTAAAATTTTCTTTATTTTTTTTTTAGAAATAAGCTTGTTCTGTCACCCAAGCTGGAGTGCAGTGGTGCAATCATAGCTCACTGTAACCTGGAACTCCTGGGCTCAAGCAGTCCTCCTGCCTCAGCCTTCCTGGTAGCTGGGACTACAGATACATGACACCATGCACAGCTAATTTAAAATTTTTTCTTTTTCTCTTTTTTTTTTTTTTTTTGTAGAGACTAGGGTCTCACTATGTTGCCAAGGCTGGTCTTGAACTCTTGGGCTCAAACAATCCTCCTGCCTCAGCCTCCCAAAGTGCTGGGATTACAGGTGTGAGCCACTGTGCCCGGCTCTTCATATTCTTCTATGTTGTTTGAATTTTTTCCAGTGAACGTGTTTTCATTTTTAAATGAAAAGTATTTTAATTTTCTTTAAAAATAGAGGTGGAAATACTTCTAAGTAGAGGAAGGAAATAGGTTTAGAAGAATATTTAGAAGTAGGAAAATTAAGGGAGTTCACAAAATAATGGTTTTAATTTTTTAGTGAACTACAGGAAAGGTAGGGTCTGCTCGCTGGGGTTGGGATGTGTGCCAGGAAGTGTCTGGGGGCTTGCGGAGAAAGACAGAAAACCAGAGTAAGCATGGGGAGGAGGAGAGTCAGGGAGCTCGGTCCTCTTGGTGCCAACATGCAGTAATTCACCTTTAGAAACAGTTGATTCGAAATGGTATGAGATTCAGTATGGAAGTGGCCTGCTTTTCAGCAACCTGACAGTAAAAGAACTAGAGGATGAATATTCATACTTTTAAAATGGTTTAGGGCTTTAAAGAGTTTCACTTAAGGCATTCTTATAATACATGTCTCCCTACTTCCACGCCTTCCCCAGGGGTGACCACCCTGCTCATCACACATCGTTGTACAGTCTCCAGAACTCCTTTCATCTCACAAAACTGAAACTCTGTCCCCACTGGACACTGACTCACCATTTCCCTCTCCTACCAGCCTCTGGCCTCCACCATTCTGTTTTCTGCCTCTATGAGTTTGACTACTCTAGGTACCTCATACGAGTTGAATCATAGAATATTTGTTCTTTTGTGACTGGCTTATTTCACTTGGCATGTGCTTGGTTCATCCATGTTGTAGCATGTGTCAGAATTTCCTTTTTAAGGCTGAATAATATGCCATTATATCGATACACTGTATATCCATTCATCCATCAATAGACAGACACTTGGGTTGCTCCTGCCTTTTGGCTATTGGGCTAGGGAAGAAATGCCTCGGTTTTTTTTGGTTTTTGTTTTTGTTTTTTTTTTTGACAAGACGGAGTCCCGCTCTGTCGCCCAGGCTGGCATGGAGTGGCGCGATCTTGGCTCACTGCAAGCTCCGCTTCCCAGGTTCACAGCATTCTCCTGCCTCAGCCTCCGGAGTGGCTGGGACTACAGGCGCCCGCCACCACACCCGGCTAATTTTTTTTTTTGTATTTTTAATAGAGACGGGGTTTCACTATGTTAGCCAGGATGGTCTCGATCTCCTGACCTCGTGATCCGCCCGCCTCGGCCTCCCAAAGTGCTGGGATTACAGGCGTGAGCCACCGCGCCCGACCTGAAATGCCTAGTTTTATGAAATTATGTAGGCTTGTTGTAGGTTCAGTTTTGAAATTTAACTTGTTTTTATGTTCTTACAAAAAGCACTTTATTCAACTTATATTACTTTTCATCCTTAATAAAGATGAGGACATTATCCCTCTGTTTTATGGAGTTGGATTTCTATGGTAGGTGGATCTTCAGAGAGACGGGGTCCCAGTAGCATGAGCAGGTGGCAGTAGGATGGAGACCAGCGAGCTGCGTCACCAAGTGCAGTCACACTTCACGTTGAGATCACCAGTGATAAGAAGGGGCACTCCCAGAGAAGTTGAATCAGTGTTTATACCTATTAGTATTGATGTGGCTCTTCCTGCCAGCTGTTCTTTTTTTTTTTTTTTTTTTTTTAACTTTCAGCTGCTTTTGGCAGGGCACAGTGGCTCACATCTATAAACCCAGCACTTTGGGAGGCCAAAGTGGGAGGATCACTTGAGCCCAGGAGTTCAAGACCAGCCTGGGCAACATAGTGAGACCCTCTACAAAAAATAAAGGAAATTAGCTGTGTATGATGGAGCGTGCCTATAGTCCCAGCTACTCAAGAGGCTGAGGTGGAAGGATCACTTGAGCCTGTGAGGTTGAGGCCACAGTGAGCTGTGATCAAGCCACTGCACTCCAGCCAAAACCAATTTGGAATATAAGTACACTGGGAGAAGGAGGAAGAGAAAGTAGAGGAAGGAATAGTTTCTTCTTTGTTCATGTTTTAATCTGGTCTCTGTACTAGTTGAGAAGATAGTTTTCTTAAATGATCATAACATGTTGCCAACTTTGATCTTCTTTCCCCTCTCTGTTACACAAATCACTGACTAACTGGCTCACTCCTTCATTATTCCCTCAATCATTTACATTCTGTGGAATACCCATTGTTCTCCAGGCTGATGTTAGACACTAGAAATACCGATGAAATGCAGTCCCTGCCTGAAGGAGTTGTACAGCTAGGAAACATGAACACGTCGGAGGAGGGCCCATGAGCAGAGGCACAGAGACATCTCACCAACAGACGGTGTGTGCACTGCAGGTGATTCAGCATAAGCAGGTGTGGCATCCAGAGGGTGGGAGGAGACTTTGCAAGAGATAAGACTGAGATGCCAGGCCTGGACCAAGGGGCCTGGTATGCCTCCCTGTGAGCTTCGAATTTTTGTCCTGTAGGTGTGGGGAACCACTAATGGGCTTTAAACTGGGGCTCACAGAAGACACATTTTAAAAGATCTCTCAGATGAAGTGTAGAAGGTAGATTAGAGAGTCATGAGAACGGATACAGGGTAACCAGTTGTCCAACTGAGATTTGATGGAGGTTTGACCTCAGGCTGCAGAAGGAATGAAGAGGACACTGACGTATACGGCAGAACCTATGCTGGTAACCAGTGTGGGGCAGAATCTAGGGTGTGGTAATTAGAGTATGTTCAGGCCCCCCAAAGGACGCAGCCAGCTAGTGGATTTTCCCACTTTATGTGCAGACCTATTCTCGTGGAGTAGACACGAAGCCTTTTGAACTTTTCCTCTAAAGATCTCTGTGGCAGTTTTGGAATCAATTACTGTGGTCCATCATTTTTCCAAGCTCCCAAGAACCCCCCTCCCCCAGCACATATCAGATCCAAGGCTCTTGCCAAGGTGTTCATTCTGTGTCATAAGAGAATGTCCCTGTATCAACAGGCTCTCCCTCATCCAACTTTGTATTCCAACACCCTCAGGAACCCCTCCCACACATCCTCCAGGTCCTGCTAGTGCCTTTGTTGGCCAGGTCCCAAGCACCTCTGGCATGATAAGCCCTCTCCTCTCTTTGCAGGTCCAGCAGGCCCCGGTTGAGTAATACTCAGATAATGGCCCTAATTATGGTTGGGTGGCCAGAAAGGAAGGTGGGGGCAGGTCCTCTGTAGGGTGAGCATTGTCTTTTAAGTTACTCGCCTCATTTGAGACCTCTGTGTAATCATGAAGGGTGGAGGAGCAGGTTCCTCCCATCTTCAAGGGAGAGGGCTATTTGCAAGCCTAGGGAATCTGGGGTTCATGTTCCTCAAATAAATATACACAGACGTTCCCATCTCAAGTCTTAGAGTTCACTCCTTCCCTACCAGGGCCTGAATCTGGCACAGTAGACTAGTATAGGCTGAGAGTTCATCCTTTTTGATTCTGCCACTCTTAAAATTAGGTCTTGTGCCTGCAGGAAATGATTGTCTTTAAATGCTGCCAAAGCAGCCTGGCATGGTGGCACATCTGTAATCCCAGCACTCGGGAGGCTGAGGTGGGAAGATGGCTTGAGACAGAAGTTTGAGGCTGCAGTGAACTATGTTCACACCACTGCACTCCAAGCCTGGGTACCATATTGAGACCCTATCTCAAATAAATTAATAAATAAGTAAAAATTGCCAAAGGAAGCTTACTGACTATCATAGCTGGCTTTATTTCTTTATTTTTAGTTTTTCTTATAAAGATGGGGTCTTGCTGTGTTGCCCAGGGTGGTCTCAAACACCTGGCCTCAAGTGATCTTCCCGCCTCAGCCTTCCAAATTTCTGGGATTACAGGCATGAGCCACCACATCCAGGCTCATAGTTGGCTTTACATTTTTGATTGCTATACCTGAAACTCATTTTCTCTTTTCAATGAAACAGTCCTCTTAATAGCAGTCACCCAGTTTCACAGTCCTTACTGTAACTGTTTCTCCTGTACCTCCTGTACCAAGACATCAAAATCGCCTGGATATTATACAGCCCCGTGTCTCCTATTCCCCTTCACCACAGGGGAATGTCTGCAGCATGCTGGGGACCATCCACTTTCCACCCACCTCAGTGATGGGTCCTCATTGCCATCTGGCTGTGGGTGATCCACCCCCAAATTCCATCCATAGACAACATCTGATATCAACCGGTTTAGGTTGGGTTCTCTGGGAGCAAAGCCTGAGATGGAGATCTTTGTGAAAGCTGTTTATTGAGGGAATGCTCTCTAGAGATGAGGAAGACAGATGGGGCAGTGGAGCAAAACCAAACATGAGTGCGGTCTTGGCCAAGACCCATTTTGGCCTGGTCCCACGGGAAAGCTTTGGAGTACAGCTTGTACCACAGAGTTGCTTCATCTCAAGGTAAAGGGGCCAGCTTTTTGTACAGCCCTGTCAATCAGTCACTGGCTGTTGGTGGCTGTCCTGGAGTGAGATAGGGAATCAGGAAGACTCTTGGATCAGGTGGCTCTGGTTCCCAGTTCTTGGAGAAGGGGTAGCTATGGCTGTTTGTAGCCAAAACTCTCCACAGCAGGGGTACAGAGACCTGGGGAGGGAGTTGGGGAAGGTTGGGACGCCAGCACATGACTACACTCCCGTACATACTTCGGCCCTTGCTTTTTAATTTAATGGTGTATCATATTGGAGATCATTCTAGATCCATTTACCTAGGGCTGACTTGTCCTCTTTAAAAATATTTATTGATGTATAACATACACACAGAAAGATGACAAGTCATCCATGCACAGTTGATTTTCACAAAGTGAGCCCTCCGCTGTGGCCAGCATTCAGATGAAGAAGTAGCACATGGCCAGCACCCCCAGAAGCTCCCCTTCTGCTCCTTTCCTGTTGTTACCTCTAGCCTAAGGTAACCGCAATCCTAACTTCTGTCCTGGTTTGAACTTTATATAAGTGGAACTGTGTTCAATTTGCTCTTTAATGTCTGGCTCCTTTCACTCAGCATCTTTGTGACATTTATTTATCTCATGGTAGCTTAGCCCAGGAGGGTCCTTGGCTTTGCTCAGGAAAGAATTTAAGAGCCAGTGGTGGAAGAAAACAGCTTTATTGAGGCGGCAGTGTTACAGCTCTGTGACTGCTCCTGCAGAGCAGGGCTACCCAAAGGCAGTGTGTTGAGAGTAGCGGCTCAGAGCAGGTTTGTAATCATATTTATACCCACTTTTAATTATGTGCAAATTAAGGGACAAATTATAAAGAAATTTCAAGAAGGATAGTACCTTCCGGGTCATTGGGTCATTGCCATGAAAGAGGGTGGTAACTTCCAGGTGTTGCCGTGGCAATAGTAAACTGACATGGCACACACTGACAGGTATGGGAGGTATGGGCTATCTTATGGAAAGCTGCTTCTGCCCAGTCCCTGTTTTAGCTTGTGCTCAATTTAGTCTGATGTGCGAGCCCCACCTCTGGAGTTGAGTCTCACTTCTTGAGTCAAGTCCTACATCCTACCTCAATGGCGTACAGCAACGAGAAGGAACAAACTATTCCTGTGCTGTGTACGGTTCATTTCCATTGCTGCATAGTATTTCATTGTGTGAATACACCATAATTTATCCACTCTATTGTTTGCAGGCATTGAGCTTTTTTGGGGCATTTTGGCTATTACACATAGTGCTGCTATGAACGTTCTATTATTACATGTATTTTGTTGTGTATATGTATGCATACCTGTTAAGGCTATAGCTAGGAGAATTGCTGAGTCATAGAATATGCTGTAGTAGATACCGCTAACCGCTTTTCAAAGTGATTCTACCAATTTTTTTTTCCCACTAGCAGTGTTTAGAATGTCCAGCACCTAGTATTTTCCATCTTTTTAATCTTAGCCATTGTGGTAGGTTTGTAGAATTTATTTTCATTTTCCCGATAACCAATGAAGTTGGAGAGACAGGTGATCTCCTGGTTACGTGGTGTCTGGAAAAAGATCTAGGGGTCTAAATGCTTTTCACACCAACCCCAGTCTCCTGTTTCCAGCCTTGCTCTACCCCGCTTGTAGGAGGACCTACACCTCCATTTCCTAAGCCTGTCTGGAGTTCTGTGACATGAATATGTTTCTGCCATTTGGGATTTCGGCCCTTTCTGTTCTCCTGAATCGCTTTCCACTTGTCAGTGTGTGTTTCAGCTTCCAAGTTTTTATTATAATATCCTCTCCCATTCCCTCTGCTCTTGTGTTTTGTTTTGTTTTTTTGAGACAGAGTCTCGCTCTGTCACCCAGGCTGGAGTGCAGTGGTGCTATCTCGGCTCACTGTAAACTCCACCTCCCGGGTTCACGCCATTCTGCTGCCTCAGCCTCCTGAGTAGCTGGGACTACAGGCGCCCGCCACCACGCCTGGCTAATTTTTTGTATTTTTAGTAGAGACGGGGTTTCACCATGTTAGCCAGGATGGTCTCGATCTCCTGACCTCGTGATCTGCCCACCTTGGCCTCCCAAAGTGCTGGGATTACAGGTGTGAGCCACCGTGCCCGGCCTGCTCTTGTGGTTTTATATTTTTCTCTCTCTCTTTTTAAATCTCTTTACTATTGTTTTAGTAGCAATTCAGAAGAAAGCAGAGTTATCTAAACTGGAAGGAAACCTAATCGTGTCTGGTACTGTATATTATACAATCATGGAAGAGGACATAGGCCATTTCTATAGAGACTATTTTAAATGAGTTATTTGTCTTTGGGTTTAAACTATCCACTTCACAGCCCACTAAGAAGCGTCCTGCTTTCGGGGGTCTTTCAGCAGAGCCTGCAGAGTCATCTCAGGCTCTAGTGAATTTACCGCCCTTCCCACCATCAGACTGGCTTCACTATTTCTGATGTATTTGAAAGTCTCCTATGGTGGCTGAGTGCGTGGTGTTCTATGCGAACTGAATGAGGCCTTTGGCTATTTTACTTAAGCATTGTAAAGAGTGTTGTGTCATTCTGGAAAGAGCAAAACGATAGAGATAAGAAATAGATCAATGGTTGCCAGGGACTGGGGTGCATGGAGGAGTTGACTAGAGAGGGCACAAGGGAATGTGGGGGTAATGGAAATGTTCTTTATTTTGTTTGTAATGGTGGTTACACTGTTGTGTGTGTTTGTCAAAATTCACAGAACTGTACACCAAAAAGGCTGAATTTTACTGTATATAAATTATACCTTGATAAACAAACCAACAAAAAAACAGAATGTGCCTTGGAAAGAGGTGATTAATAGAAATGTGATTGCCTTCTCTGTGGCCTGGTTCCCATGTAGTCCAGGGAGTCCCGTTTGTGGACGTGTACCCCAGAGAAGTGGTAGCCGTGTCCCCCAGGGCTGTCTGTGGATGTGGAGGTGGGAGGGGTAGCAGGGCAGCATTGCTCCTGCATCAGCAGCCCTCGGCCAGGCGCTAATCTCAGATCTGAAACTATGGGTGCGGCAGCCTCACTGCAGGATGCGGGAGAGCCTGCCCAGGAGCTGTGCCTCAGACCTCTGTTTTGTTTTCTCGCTCAGCTCCTGATTGTTTCGGATCAGGCTTCAGAAGTCACGTTTGTTTGTTAGACAGTCAGGGTCACAACAGACAAAAGGAGAACGTGCTTAACTCTCACGTTACCTTAGACAGTGTCTTCCATTTCCCTAGTGATCCTAAACCGAGAATCTCAGAGAGCCTTTCAGTCACTATGGTAGAAACTTGTATGTGTCCGTGGGTGGGGGGTGGTGGGGGTAGCTGTTTCCAAGATGTTAAATTCCAGTAGAATATAGGGCAGATCTACAATAATTCTTCTGGGTCACGACCAAGTGAGATATATCCTAACTGTATTTACTTCAAGTGCTTTGGGATTTGTAGATAAGAGATACTTACCTAATTGCTTGTATTTCATTTGTGCATTATTTTTTCCAAGCATTCAAAATAGCATTACAAGTTCTTTAATGAAGATGTTATCACTAATGCTAATCACTAAGGATCACTAATGATAACATATATTTTTATAGCACTGTATGGTTTTCAAAACATTTTTATTTGATCTTAATGACCCTATGAGATAGACAGAAGCTATAAATCTCATTTTACAGATAAGGACATTGATGCTCAGAGATGTTAAGTTATTTGCCCAAAGTCTTGTGTATGAAGTGAGAGAAGGCTGAGTGCTCTGGCCCACGCCTGTAATCCCAGCATGTTGGGAGGCCGAGGCGGGAGGATCACTTGAGCTCTGGAGTTTGAGACCAGCCTGGGAAACAGCGAGGTCCCGTCTCTACAAAAAGTCAAAAATTAGCTAGGTGTGGTGGCGCGCGGCTGTTACTCACGTGGCTGAAGTGGGAGAATCACTTGAGCCTGAGAGGTTGAGACTGCAGTGATGGCCATCGCAGTCACCCTGTGCAAGAGAGCGGATGCTGTCTCAAAAAAAAAAAAAAAAAAGGAAAGAAAGTGGGAGAGCTGAAACAAGAACCTGTGTCTTCTGGCTGTTGATATCATACTTGTTTTATTAAATCATTTCATCTTCATTTTCCAGTCTTTCATACAACTCACTGGCAGAACCAGAGGGTTTCAGCTGCTAGTCAAGCTTACTCAGTATTACTCCACAAACCCTTAATTTAAAAACACATGGTGGTCTGTGTTTTTCAGTTATTTTGTGAGCATTAATTGTACCAGTCTGCCATTTAGTCTGCGGGGCAAATATTCAAAATCTAAAGAGTCACCATGGGCATATGCTGTACTCTTCCGAAGATCTTGTTGTTCGTGTATTCATTCTACAGACATCTATTTCTGCCTTCTGTATGTGCTGGTCTAATCACTAGGGGTAACACGAAGAGGATTCCTACATGGATTTTGCCCTCAAGTTTATAATTTCATGGAGAAGATCAGACTTGGACATACATAGCTATAATACAGAGCAGGGAGTGAAAAATGAAGTATAAAAATAGTCATGTAAAAGCTTGGAGAAAGGAACTTTATAATGTAAATGTTGCTGACTCGAAAAGTGCCACTAAGTGCTTGAACTTTTGCTTCGTTGTTTGATGCCATGTTTCTTAACAAACCAGAGTACAAAGAACTGCTGTGGTATTCAGTAGTGGAACTAAAGCATCTGTGTTGTAGGAATTTCCTCGAAATTTCTTTGAAACATATTGAAACCAAGTGTGCACACTCTCACCTCTGTTTCCTGTTGTCATTGTGCACCCCATCTGACGGGAAACTATACTTACTGGTTTTGCATTTCAAAGAAAAATCTGGTTAACTTTTTCAGCATTTAAAGAGATGCATAGTGGCCTTAACTGTTACTGAAACTGTTATATAAAAGTCTGTATTGTATTGTCAAAGACTTACGAGTCAAATAGCTTAACAGTTGATTACACGTAAATTTTGTCCCTAAGCAGCACACTTCATTCTCTAAGATGGTCTTTCCCGGCCAATCAAATAAAATAGTAGCCCTGATTATTACAGAAATTAATCAGACATATACTTTATCTTTACATTTTAATATTTTTTTAGACAGGGTCTGCCTCTGTCACCCAGGCTGAAGTGCAGTGGTGCAATTATAGCTCATTGTAGTTTCAACCTCCCAGGCTCAAGCAGTCCTCCCACGTCAGCCTTCCTAGGAGCTGGGACTACAGGCACATACCACTACACCTGGCTAATGTTTTTTTTTTTTTTTTTTTTTTGAGGCGGAGTCTTGCTCTGTCGCCCAGGCTGGAGTGCAGTGGCGTGATCTCAGCTCACTGCAACCTCCACCTCCGGGTTCAAGCAATTCTCTGCCTCAGCCTCCTGAGTAACTGGGATTACAGGTGCCTGCCACCACGCCCAGCTAATTTTTGTATTTTTAGTAGAGACAGGGTTTTGGCCAGGCTGGTCTTAAACTCCTGACCTCATGATCCTCCCGCCTCAGCCTCCCAAAGTGTTGGGATTACAGGTGTGAGCCACCGCGCCCAGCCCTAATTTTTTATTTTTTTGTAGAGACGGTGTCTCACTATGTTGCCCTAACCGATCTTGAACTCCTGGGCTCCAGCGATCCTCCTGCCTCAGCTTCCCAAAGTACTGGGATTATAGGCATAAGCCACCACACCCAGCCCACTTTATCTATAGAAGGCAGCACTGAACTTTAGGGTAAATGTTGGTATAATTATAGAATAGAATGTAGTCCTTAGCCATATTTTCTACTTATTAAAAACTTAAATGCTGGTAACACAAGAGGTTTATGTCCTCTGCTAATCCATATCGTAACTTTTTTTTTTTTCTTTTTGTAGAAACAGTCCCACTATGTTGCCCAGGCTGGTCTTGAACTCCTGGCCTCCCAAAGTGCCGGGACTACAGGTGTGAGCCACTGCATTCAGCCGTGTAAACTTTTTTTTTTTTTTGAGACAGAGTCTCGCCCTGTCGCCCAGGCTGGAGTGCAGTGGCACGATCTCGGCTCACTGCAAGCTCCGCCTCCCGGGTTCGTGCCATTCTTCTGTCTCAGCCTCTGGAGTAGCTGGGACTACAGGGCGCCTGCCACCATGCCCGGCTAATTTTTTGTGTTTTTAGTAGAGACGGGGTTTCATCGTGGTCTCGATCTCCTGACCTCGTGATCCACCCGTCTCGGCCTCCCAAAGTGCTGGGATTACAGGCGTGAGCCATCACGCCCGGCCGTAAACTATTTTTTTAATTCTTTTTTTTTTTTTTTGAGATGGGGTCTCACTCTGTCACCCAGGCTGGAGTGCAGTGGCATGATCATGGCTCACTGCAGCTTTGACTTCCCTGGACTCAAGCGATTTCCCTGGACACTGTGCCCAGTGTAAACTATTTTTAAAAGAGAGAATGGCCAAGCACAGTGGCTCACACCTGTAATCCCAGCACTTTGGGAAGCTGAGGCAGGCAGATCACTTGGGGCCAGGGGTTTGAGGCCAGCCTGGCCAACATGGCGAAACTCCGTCTCTACTAAAAATATAAAAATTAGCTGGGTATGGTGGCACGTGCCTGTGGACCTAGCTATTCAGGAGGCTGAGGCAAGGGAATTACTTGAACCCGGGAGGTGGAAGTCGCAGTGAGGCGAAATTGTGCCACTGCACTCCAGCCTGGTTGACAGTGAGAATCTATTTCAAAAAAAAAAAAAAAAGAGAGAGCAAGCAGTTAGCCTGAGCACTTAACAGAAGTAAGGGTAATAAGTATCAGTGGGTCACATCTACCCTTTACAAAGTTATTTGTCTCCACAATTCCACTGTTATTTCCTGGCCCCACACCACCCTGTGAACACTGGGGCTGGGACTCTGCGGCTCTCTCCATTGCTTGCTACACTTGGCCATGTGCTGCCAGTGGGAGGTGCTGGAAGGTCTACAGGGCTGGAGGAGAAGGACCCACTGCTTCTTGCGCCTGGCTGTTCCTATGACCACCATCCCAGCAATGCCTTTTCATCCCACCAGCTGCAGTTTGTTTCAGCCTTCAGTTGTTTTTGTTTGTGTTCTCCTCCCAACAAACCCAGAACCAGCTGGGCAGTACCCTCACCTCAGAAGTCTGAGTCCCAGCTTCGGAGGGTCCCTTCTCCGGGCTTCCAGGATCTGAGAACCCAACCTCTCCCTTTTGTTTCCTCAGCCATGGGGATGGAAACCGTTTCCTGCAGTTTCTCTCTGTCAGCTCCGTGCCCCCTTTTCGTGTTTTAGTTCTCTGATATCCATTTAACCAGTTCCTTGTATTTAATTCTGCCTATTAAAATACCTTGTGTAGTACCTGTTTTCCTGACTAAACCATGATTAATACAACTTCTACTCTCACAACTTTTGAGGTCGCTGTTATGGAGCTCATTTCACTGATAAGGAAATGGAGGCTTAGTAGGGCAAAGCAGCTTGTCTAAAGTCACCGTAACCAGCAGCACAGGAGCTGAGACCCACGCCTTCTGCTCATAGATCCTGAGCTCCTTCCATTTCATCTCTGCATTTCTCTTGCTGAATTAATTTTTTTAATAATTTATTCTTACAGAAGAATCACAAAAGATAACAGAGTTGCCATATAGCCTTTATCCAGCTCCACCTAAGGTTAACATCTTACATAACTGCAACACATTTATCCAGACTGAAAATTAACACAGTTACATTACTATTTTTAAAACTAGACTTTATTAGGATTTTACCAGCTTTTCCTCTATTGTCCTTTCTTAGTTCTAGGATCTAGTCCAGGATACTTTTGGTTCTCATGTTTCCTTCATCTCCTCCAATGTGTGCTAGTTTCTCAATTTTTCCTTGTTCTTCATGACCTTGAAAATTTTTAGATGTACTTGGCTAGGTATTTTGTAGAACTTCCCTTGATTTGGGTTTTTCTAATGTTTTCTTTTGAAATATCAAAAGACCAGGATTATAGACTTTGGGAAAGAAAACCACAGATGTAGTTGCATCATATCAGAGGTACATAATATCACATGACTTATTGCTGTTGATATCAGCCCTGTTTACATGGTCCGGGTGGTACAGGTTTATCCACTGTAAATCTTCCCCTTTCCATGATGTATTCGTTAGAAGCCAGTCACTAAATCCTCTTGCTGAACTTTTGACTTCCCACTTAATTATGGAGCCATGCTTTCTTTACAGACTATTAACTAGCATAAGAGAATGTTTGTATTAATGACCAGACTGAGAATTATAAACTTAGAAGCCAAACTAACACTGTTGGGAGATACTAGCATGCATTGCTTTGGGGGGAATTATCTGTTGCATCTATTGCACCATCTTTGCTTGCACCTTGTTTAAAGTTGGAACTTGGCTATTTTTAGTCTCAGAAAGCTTGTGGTTAATGCTAAGACACCTATTTATTCTTCAGGGAGTGTAATCACCTCTGACAAGCCCTGAAAGATGATCAGAAGCCCAGGGTCTTAATGAAATGCAGAAAATCAGTAAAAAGAGGAAGAACCACAGAGAAGAGGTTGCTGAGAATAAGGAAAATTGGAGGTGATGAAGGATGTGGCTCAAGGAGTGGAGATTTACAAGGATGGGCTGAGAAGTGATGGGTGACCACATGGGGCAGTGGAGTGATCCCAGGTAGGAGGCCGTGGGATGCAGTACAAGAGAACGTAAGTCACCTTGGAGTTGGAGCATGATAGAGTATGGGTGTTCACCATCTAGAACCTAAAGTTCTAGCCACTGCATTTCACTATATCCGGTCTTTAAATGAGTTTAGACTTTCATAAAAGCCAAAGAAAGTAGTTCACTTGGTTTACAGAATCTTGGCTGCCCACTGCTATTGGGGGGTGACTGAAGAATAATCAGAGCTCTCAAGACTCTTAGAAGCTTAGCAATGCAAAACGGAACAAGTGCCACCTTATTAAACTAGCTGCAGAATAGATTTTTCCATTAGGGTTTCCGCACATCTTTACATTAATAACTCAGAAAATAGAACTATCAGGGCTGGGCGTGGTGGCTCACACTTGTAATCTCAGCATTTTGGAAGGCTAAGGCAGGCAGATCATTTGAGGTCAGGAGTTCAAGAGCAGCCTGACCAACATGGTAAAACCCTATCTCTACTAAAAATTACAAAACAAATTAGCTGGATGTGGTGGCAAGCACCTGTAATCCCAGCTACTCGAGAAGCTGAGGCAGGAGAGTCGCTTGAACCCCGGATGTGGAGGTTGCAGTGAGCTGAGATTGCCACACTGCACTCCAGCCTGGGCGACAGAGTGAGAACCTGTCTCAGAAAAAAATAAATAAATAAATAAAATAAAACTATCAGGTATATGCTATGGATTTTTATTTTATGCTATTTTGTTCTAATTATCTAGGGCTTCTATACCACAGGATTAACTAAAGAAAATAAAATCCTGGCCAGACGCCGTGGCTCATGCCTGTAATCCCAGCACTTTGGGTGGCTGAGGTGGGTGGATCACAAGGTCAGGAGTTCAAGACCAGCCTGGCCAACATGATGAAACCCCCATCTCTACTCAAAATACAAAAAATTAGCTGGGCATGGTGTCATGCACCTGTAATCCCAGCTACTCGGGAGACTGAGGCAGGAGAATGGCTTGAACCTGGGAGGCGGAGGTTGTGGTGAGCCGAGATCGCACCACTGCACTCCAGCCTGGGTGACAGAGCGAGACTCCATCTTAAGAAAAAAAAAAGAAGAAGAAAAAAAGAAAATCCTATTAGAGTTATTGATTGAATAGTGACTTTCTTCCCAGGGCTGTATCTGCAAATACATAGCCTAGCCAGAGTAACCAGACCTTGCCAGGGCTTTGAATTCCATGTTTGTTTGGCTTATAAACTTAACTATTTCCATTGATATATTTCATACTATTATTATTTTTCTCAAACCAGAGTTGAGATTTTATTTATTTATTTATTTATTTATTTATTTATTTATTTATTTTGAGTCGGAGTCTCATTCTGTCACCCAGGCTGGAGTACAGTGGTGCGATCTCAGCTCACTGCAACCTCTGCCTCCTGGGTTCAGGCAATTCTCCTGCCTCAGCCTCCCAAGTAGCTGTGATTACAAATGTGCACTACCATGCCTGGCTAATTTTTGTATTTGTAATAGAGATGGGGTTTCACCAGTTTGGCCAGGCTGGTCTCAAACTCCTGACCTCAGGTTATCTGCCCGCCTCGGCCTCCCAAAGTGCTGGGATTACAGGCGTGAGCCACTGCCCCCCCGGCCCAGACCTGAGATTTCTAGCCTAGTAGACCTCAGAGCATATTTTCCTTCCAGGAATATGAGAGAAATCTTGACAACTCTTGTAATTAATCTTGAATCTTACATAAGTAGTTTTTTTGGGGTTTTTTTGTTTCGTTTTGTTTTTTGTTTTGAGACAGAGTCTCACTCTTGTTGCTCAGGCTGGAGTGCAGTGGTGTGATCTCGGCTCACTGCAACCTCTGCCTCCTCAGTTCAAGTGTTTCTCCTGCCTCAGCCTCCTGAGTAGCTGGGATTACAGGCACCCGCCACCACGCCCAGCTAATTTTTTGTATTTTTAGTAGAGACGGGGTTTCACCATGTTGGCCAGGCTGGTCTCAAACTCCTGACCTCAGGTGATCCACCCACCTCAGCCTCCCAAAGTGCTGGGATTACAGGCATGAGTCACCGCACCTGGCCCATAAATAGTTTTAGAGTCGATGTTTTTTAATGGGACATGAAAGGACAGCTTGGAGTTTTTCAGCTTGAAGACCAGTTTACAGTTTCTTATTTTTTATTTTTGAAATAGAGAGTAGGGAAGATTTTGGTCCTCTTGCCCTTAGTAATTGGCCTATCAAAAATGCCTCTGTTTTAAAATATCTGGGAAACTTAATACTTGGCATTAGAACGTTCAAATACTTGCTTAGGAAGAAATATATATATATATGTTTTATATTTTTAAATGCCTATTTAGTCTGATACTGGTGCTTGCTTCTGTAAGCATATTCTTCACATACATACAGTATCAAGGCATCTCAAAACCTGCTGCTTAAAAGTGTATTCTAATTTGTGAGCTGGTTTATGAATCTCCTGACCAAATGAAATCAGGAAGTGAGGTAGTGAGGATGGGTTGCTCGTGTGAAAGGAGTAATCTCGGCCGGGCGCGGTGGCTCACGCCTGTAATCCCAGCACTTTGGGAGGCCGAGGCGGGCGGATCACGAGGTCAGGAGATCGAGACCATCCTGGCTAACACGGTGAAACCCCGTCTCTACTGAAAATACAAAAAATTAGCCGGGCGTGGTAGCGGGTGCCTGTAGTCCCAGCTACTCGGGAGGCTGAGGCAGGAGAATGGCGTGAACCCGGGAGGCGGAGCTTGCAGTGAGCCGAGATCGCGCCACTGCACTCCAGCCTGGGCGACAGAGCGAGACTCCGTCTCAAAAAAAAAAAAGAAAGGACTAATCTCTGACCACTAGTCATTATTTACCAACTCGCTGGAGGGGAAAAGATGACTGTGTCTGCTTTATTAAGAGCACGCTTTTCTCCTTTTAACTCAACTTAAAATTAGCTGGTGTTAGGCAAAATCTTTTGCAACTAAAAGCAATTCGTCTTCTGGAAGGTAGTTTTATTCTAGAAGCACAGCATGATTGGGTAGAAGGTTTTAGCCTGCTGGGAAGGGAGGCTTCCTATCTGGGGGGGCCTGGAAGTCAAGTAGGTTCATTTGTCATCTAAGCAGTTCACGTAGCCATGTAGGTGTGTTTAATGACAGAGTGGGACTGAGCATGTTGCCCAGTCTCAGTATTCTCAAACAATGAGTCAAGACCTAAAACATAAGGAGAGATATAGAATGGATCTGTGATGGTCATTACCAAGATCTATGCCATTTTATGATGTGTTCTTTACTCTGTGGTAGGTTTTTCGTACCCTTATCACCTGTTAAGGTGAACAGAGAGAATTGCTTAACTGTGCAATTGCTTAATTAAATATTTTGGAAAAGGTCAACATTAGGTGGGAGGTCATATAGCCATGACGTTGGTCTTGTGTACTTCCTGCCAAGAGACCTAGCAGAGGAGTTCGAAGACTATAAATGGAGTGCTTTCTTGGATTGATTTCTTTGATAGCCAAATCTGAAGACAAAGCATTTTTGTGTGCAAGGTCATCTGTGACACTCTCTTGCTATCTCCCTCATATCTTTGATTTGGGTACAAAGAATATCTTTTATCTTGTCAGCTTTGTGATTACCATTCATTCTAAGCTGGTGATTGGCTCCCCATGAGGATTGGTTGAAAAATTAGTGAAAAGAGGTTTACTGCAGTTAATATAGATCATTGTTGTTCTGATCTACAGCAGGCACATCAGTCTGTCTCAGGGATGAATCTGGGTAAATAGGCAAATTTGTATTCACTTCACAGCATTCAAGCAAATACGAAGCTGCTCTCCCCAACACTGATCCATCACCAGTCTAAAAATATCCACTGGTAAGCCTTGGACACGTTATGTATCTCAGGAGAAGGGAAGCAGAGAAAGCTGGGAAAATAACCAGGCATCAAATAAAAATGAAATAGAATTTAAACACAAAACCCTATAAAAAAAGAGATTATGTAGTACCATGAATGAGTTTTTGATATGACCCCAGGTGTTGGTTTCTATAGTAATTATTATTTGATTCTCTGGCATAAATATTAAATGTCTGCCCAATATACAAAATGTGTACTTTGCTTTTTTTTTTTTTTTTTTAGATGGAGTCTTGCTCTGTCGCCCAGGCTGGAGTACAGTGGCACTATCTTGGCTCACTGAAACCTCTGCCTCCCAGGTTCAAGTGATTATCTTGCCTCAGCCTCCCAAGTAGCTAGGATTACAGGCGCGTGCCGCTGTGCCTGGCTAATTTTTTGTGTTTTTAGTAGAGACGGGGTTTCACCATGCTGGCCAGGCTGGTCTCAAACTCCTGGCCTCAACCAACCCGCCCACCTCAGCTTCCCAAAGTGCTGGGATTACAGGTGTGAGCCACCGCTCCCAGCCTGTACTTTGCTATTTTAATTATAAATTGTCTAAAATGGTTTCCTGTCTTTGGAAGCATATTTTTGGTATTTTGGGTTTTTTGTTTTTACTTAAGTAAAAAAATTAATATAAAATAAATTACATAAATACATAATTTATAATTAAACAAATGAAGAAATAATTGAATAATTGAATGATAAAGGACAGCTCTTCCTTACAGTAGAATCCCAGCTAATAAATGTAGAAAGCTATAATTATTCTATATCCATAAATGTTTTTTAATGTGGAAGAAATGATAGAAATTAGCCAGCTGTGATGACTTGCTTGTAGTCCCAGCTACTCGGGAAGCTGAGGCAGGAGGATCACTTGAGCCCAGTAGTTCAAGGCTGTAGTGCACTATGGTCACAGTGAATAGCCACTGCATTCCAGCATGGAAACATAGCAAGACCCTACCTCTAAAAAACAAAACAAAAAAAAACTTTATGTGAATTTATTTTGGTATATAATTAAATATTATTAGCTGCAGAAGACCAGCATTTTTTCTTTCAGTGGGGTCTCTAACCTACCTGCATCAGAATTGGTTGGAATGTTTATTAAAATACAGATTCCTAGTTCCTACCCCAAACTAGCTGAATCAGAATTCTAGTGACAGGGCCCTGGGATCTGCAGTTTTCAAAAATATTCCCACGTGAGGCCGGGCGTGGTGGCTCACACCTGGAATCCCAGCACTTTGGGAGGCTGAGGCGGGCGGATCGCCTGAGGTCAGGAGTTCGAGACCAGCCTGACCAACATGGAGAAACCCTATCTCTACTAAAAATACAAAAAAATTAGCCAGGCATGGTGGCAGACGCCTGTAATCCCAGCTACTCGGGAAGCAAGGCTGAGGCAGGAGAATCGCTTGAACCCGGGAGGCGGAGGTTGCAGTGAGCCAAGATCGTGCCATTGCACTCCAGCCAGGGCAACAAGAGCGAAAAGTAACCAACAGAAGTATACAATATCAATACTTTCTTTACCTGAGAATTGATGGTAATAATATAGTTTTCATATTATTATGATATATAGGATATATATATCCTATATATCCTATATATCATATATAGGATATATAGGATATATATCTCTCTCATATATATATCTCTCATATATATATATATATATATATATATATGAGACGAGGCCTGAATCTAATAGCAAATGAAAACAAAGTATATACTTTAAAAAAAGATTTATGTTGAAGTTAACTTTATTTTTATGGATGGGATGAATGGATTATTGTGTTTTTTTGTAGACTACTGGGAATTGCCTAATAATTTACACACAGAGTAAGATGTCCTTTCACATGTACTGTGACCATATTTTTTTACAGCAAAAATAGTACAACCGTAGGAGTAGTGTAATATTTGAAATCAGAATGGTAAAAAAAAAAATCTAGGACATGTGATTGATACACACACACACACACACACACACACACACAGACTAAATGCGTGTGTGCCCATGTGTATGTGAATGCACGTGCACCCTTCTGGCCTGCATTTGGGCATGGTCTGGCAATTTCATCTTTCGTCACCAGGTGGCGCTTTGCCGATGTGATGTGCTGGTAAAAGGAAGCTGATGAGCACCAGGGTCAAAAGCCAAAGAGGAGTTGCTCACGTAACACACAGAGCCTTCGTCAGCAAACGCCTGAGGTCCACCAAAAGAGGTCTTCTGGCTGAGCCCAACTCTACTTCCATTCTGGGTTTGAGATGTTTGGGATTTAAGTTATTCTCAGATTCAGGCTTACTTCAGGACAGACACAGCAGCCCAGTCCCAGGAGGATGTTGTATCCAAGCATGCAGGGCACCAGATGCAAGCTTGACGCCCCTTTACAGATGGAACTAAGAGAGGTTTGCTTGACTCTTCACTGTGTCCCTCAGGCCTAGTTCAGTACTCAGGATATAGTGAGAGTGCTGAATGAATGGGTAAATGTCTTTGTTTTTTGAAAATTATTTATTTATTTATTCTTTTTTTTTTTTTTTTTTGAGACAGAGTCTCACTCGGTCACCCAGGCTGGAGTGCAGTGGTGTGATCTCAGCTCACTGCAACCTCTGCCTCCTGGGTTCAAGTGATTCTCCTGCCTCAGCCTTCTGAGTAACTGGGAGTACAGGCACACGCCACCACACCCAGCTGATTTTTGTATTTTTAGTAGAGATGAGGTTTCACCATGTTGGCCAGCCTGGTCTCAAACTCTGGACCTCAGGTGATCTGCCTGTCTCGGCTTCCCAAAGTGCTGGGATTAGATGTGAGCCACCGCACCCGACCATTTTTTGAAAACAATTTAGTGAAGAAGTCGCCATATTTTAGAACTATCTGGCAGTAACACATCTTTGAGCATCTTGGGTGGAAGGTAAACGCTGACTGACGTATCCATTGTGGCTGTGGCTGCTGGCAGTGTTCTCTGACATCACCCTGCCCTCAGTGTACATTTGTATCTTCTGCAGGTACTGTTAGATCTTATAGACAAAGATTTTGTCATACTGTGCTCCAAGAAAGCTCTTCTCTAAGAAGACCTTAGATACTCCTGTTAAAGATAGAAAGGAGTGTGGTGCGTGGTATGATTTTGTACATACTGCCATCTAAGCATAGGGCGCCATTGGAGATTTTTGGCTAGCTTCCAGAACCTTCACAGAATTCAGTACTGTTTGCCATGATGGTATAACTTTCAGACTCCCCGAACTCTGCTCAGGTCCCTGGAACACTCCTAGGATTAGAAGAGCCTGTAGACTTGCCCTACAGTAGAAGCAGTGCAATAGAGTATGGCTTTTGGAGTCAGATGTACCTGGGTTCAAATTGTGGTTCTGCTGCTCATTAGCTCTGGGACCCTGGATGATTACGTGAATCTTTTGAGTCTCGGTTTCTTTATCTGTAGAATGTCAGTTTGTTTAACTGACATTCTTCATTTTTCAGTCGGCTACTGTATTTCTCCGGCATGTTGGACTGTCCTCCAGCATACACACGGAACTTACAGGCTGGTGAGAGGGGCAGGCATGTTGTTCCTTTCGAGAATGTGAAATAAGAGCATACCTAAACTAGAGCTGGATGGCGGTGATGGCCGCACGATAATGCGAATGTGAATGTTACTTAATGCCGCTGAACTGTATACTTGAATATGATTGAGATAGTAAATTTCATGTTATGTGTATTTTACCAAGATAAAAATAAAAAGACCAGGTGTGGTGGCTTACACCTCTAATCCCCGCACTTTGGGAAGCTGAGGCGAGAAGATCACTTGAACTCAAGAGTTTGAGACCAGCCTGGGCAACATAGTAAAACCCCATCTCTACGAAAATTTAAAAATAAAGATAAAAAATATGTAAAGTAAAATGGGGGACAAAAAGAATCTATCTAAAGTACCTAGCATAATGCCTGGCACATAGTAGATACTCAGTTAAATATTTCCTTACATTCTCTTTTTTCATGATTTGCCAAGCTGTAATTGCAGGTTACCCAAGTTTTACCCCATGAAAGGGGCTTTCTTTTGGCAGAGTTTTCTGGTTAGATGAATAGATTAGGGGGATCTGTGCCTTGCTTTTCTGTCGTAAAGGTACTCACACTTAATGTTTGGTCCCCAAATCCCTGAGCAGACCAAATTTCATTCTTTGTTCATGAGTCTTGATCTGAGGCCTGTTTTCATTATAAAAAGTGAAATAGGATTCTAGAAGCTGCATTTAGTTGTCCTTCATAAGGCTGTTAAGGGTTTATTTACTCCAGAATGATACCTGAGAAACAGGAAGCCATTCTATAAATCCATACTGAGCTTGAGGTAAGAGATCAGAAAGCTTCTCAGTCTCCCTCTGTCTGTGGACCTGGGGCATGTTGTGTGCAAGACAGAAAAGGAAGCTCTTCCTGTTTCCGGATATGCCAGGATGCTTACATCAGAAAGACTTTATCTGGTCTTCCTTGTCACCATGCACTCCCTTACTCAGTAGACCTAGGGCTGAGAAAATTACCCTTTGCAGACTCTAAAAAAGAAAACAGAAACTCTGTGGATATGAACTGAGAAAACGATTGCTAATGCTAAGTACAGTGGACTGGTGCATGAGTACTTCAGAAAAATGCTTGGCCCTGAATCTGTTCTGAGCTTCATCTTTCTTGGTCCCAAGAAGGCATTAGTTTTCTTTCCTTTCATACTTACCTGTTAGCATATGAGTGAGATCTCTGGTTTTAGGTTGAAATAAGATACTTATTTTTTGTTTTTGAGACAGAGTCTCGCTTGTTGCCCAGGCTGGAGTGCAGTGGCATGAGCTCAGCTCACTGCAACCTCCACCTCCTGGGTTCAAACAATTCTTCTGCCTCAGCCTCCCTAGTAGCTGGGACTACAGGCCTGTGCCACCACACCCAGCTAATTTTTGTATTTTTAGTACAGATGGGGTTTCGCTATGTTGGCCAGGCCGGTCTCAAAGCTCCTGACCTCAAGTGATCTGCCCACCTCGACCTCCCAAAGTGCTGGGATTAGAGACATGAACCACCACGCTTGGCCTCTTTTTTTTTCCTTTTTGGGATGGTCTCACTCTCTCCCCCAAGCTGGAGTGCAGTGATGCTATCATAGCTCACTGCAGCCTCAATCTCCTGGGCTCAAGTGATCCTCTTGCGTCAGCCTTCTGAGTAGCTGGGACTACAGGTGTGTGCCACCATGCTGACTAAGTTCTACATTTTTTGTGGGGACAAAGTCTCGCCATGTTGCCCAGGCTGGTCTCAAAACTCCTAAGCTCAAGCGATCTTTCTGCCTCAGCCTCCCAAAATGCTGGAATTACAAGCGTGAGCTACTGTGCCCGGCCAGGATACACCTTTTGTCTTAAATATAACTTAGTAATGGTGCATGTATTGAGGAGATAGTGTGGACAAACACAAACATTTATCTGATGTCTTGACTTTAGAAAGGAATGAGAAAATAAATAAATTTGTGTCTTCAGATCTTTTAATAACCAGCACTTTAATCCTTGGAAATCTCATCTCTAGATTAAAAAGCTGCATCCAGAGCGTCTTGGGGAAAGATAAAGGTAGAACGTGTTCAAACCTCAACTCTGCTCCCTTTAAGACATGTTAGTTACTGGAAAAAAAAAAGAGAGAAAAATAACCTCTGCTCCCTAAAACTTGGGGGACTTTAGAGAAGTTTTTCAACCTCTTTGCAACCTCTGTTTTCTTACCTGCAAAAATGGGAACAACCATGACTATTTCACAGGATTCCTCCAAAGATTAAATAAGATAATATAAATAAAGAGCTCAGCATAGTGCCTGGCACATAGTATTATGTGATCTTTGGGGTGTCACTTTTCTGGCTGGAAACCTGTGGCCAGTGGTGCCTTGCACAGGTTCGGCTCAGGCACATTGGGCTTCTTCCACCCACTTGGCCTGACAGGCTGCACTCAGCTCACACTACCAGCCTATATCCCACGCCTCCAAGGGAGACTGCAAGTCAGGCATGGAGCAGCAAGGGGTGTGTGAGCGAGAGTGGGGTCCGGCCACTGTGCAGTCAGACACGCCAGCTGCCGCTGTGGGGCTGGCAGCCCCAGGTGCCAGTATAGGTGCCAGCTGTCTGCGAGGCTGTGGCTGGACCAGGTGCACTGCAAGCAGCTCTCCCGGTTGGCACCAGGGAATGTGGTGGCACCCGGAAGCTTGGAGATGCCAGGAACTACAGGGCCACAAAGAGGAAGTCATAGCCCTGGCTTGGGCAGCTCCCAGGTCTGGGCTCCCCGACGGGCCACAGCTCTTCTCTCCTCTTTGCCTGCAACATGACAAGCAAGGAGCATGTTTCAGTCCTGTTTGTGTTACAGCTCTTTTAGTCCCACCATTCCATGGGTCCAAAATTCTTGTCCTGCAACAAGGAAGAATGAGATACACAGACAAACATAGGGTGAGCAAGACGAAGAGGAGCCTTATTGAGCCTTGGAACAGCTCAGAGGATACCCGCAGTGGGTAGCTCTTTCCGCAGCCAGGGTGTCCTGACAAGTGTCCTAGCATAGAGACCCTGGAGTGGGAAGCTCTTTTCCGCAGGAAGGTCATCCTGTCTTCTCTGCAGCTCTCAGCAGAGAGGAGGCCCTGGAGTGCGTAGCTCCTCTCTGCAGCTGGTCTTATGGACATCTCTGCAGCTATCAGCAGAGAGGAGGCACTGGAGTAGGTTGCTCCTCTCTGCAGCTGGTGGTCCCAACCTCTGCTCTGTTCTGGCTGAGCCTGGGCCTTTTATGGGCCTCAGAGGGGAGGAAGTGCAGGTAGACTGGTCCCTGGGCATCCATGGGCAGGCCTAGAAAAGGCAACACAAGTTCCCACTCCAGTGGGCGGGACTGGCAGCCAGGCCCCCAGCCTTCACGTCCTCCCTGAAGGCCAGCACCAAGCTGCCCTCAGCACCCCCTCGCCTCTCCCCCTTCCCCTTCCCTCATGCTCATCAGTGCCCAAAGTCTGGAAGGGGCCGAGGCAGCAGGGGGCTGGCTTGTCAGCGCTACCCCGAGCATGTGCACTCCTAGCCTGGCTGCAACAGCACCTTGGCTTGGCCCCACACTGCTCTAAGATCAGAGCCAGCACCAAGAGCAAGCAGAAGCTAGGCGGCAGGAGCAGGCACTTCCGAGCCTGCTGGGGCGGGGGGGTGGGAGGGCTTTTCCGTGTCTCCAAGAGCTTATGGAGGCCCCCGATCCACAGCCCAAGGCGGGGCTGCTGCCTGTTCCTGGCTTCCACCGGCTCTGTGGAGCATGCAGCCCCTGCAGCACCCCCTTGCAGCCTGGGGCAGGGGCTCCAGGTCCTCACTGGGCCGGGGCCAGGGCCGGGGCCAGTGTCCAGGGCAGGGTGACATCGCCATGAGCTCTGCCTGTTCCCCCGGTGCTTCACGGGCAGTCTGGGACAGAGTGGATCCTGGGCCTGGGCCTGGGCCAGGCCATCTGCCCAGGAGTGTCAGGCTCAGTGGTCACCCCAATGTGGGGCAGACCTGGGGGCGCAGCCCCAGACGGGCTGCGCAGAACCTCCTCCCGAGGCACAGGAACCTGGCACCCTCGGCAGGGTGGGCACAGTGGCTGCGCCAATGGCCAGGTGCCCGAAGCGGAAGCTGCTCCCACTTCCTGCCCGGGGCCCCTGAAGCATGGCCCCAGCTCCGCGCCCAGGCCTGGCCCTGGCGCTCCATGAGCAAGCGGGACACTGGCCAAGGCCCAGCTCCGCCTCGGGGCTCCTCTTTGCCCTACCGCGCTGCTCTTCTGCCACGCTGCTCCTCTGCTGGTGGGTAACCCGGCCAGCCCCATGGGGTGGCCTCCAGGGCGGCAAGCTGTGGAGGGGCTGTCTGTCTGCTCCCTGCGACCCCCCTGCAGCAGCCGTTGTGATGGCAGCGGCTGCTCTGGACAGCCCACCACTGTCATCAATAGTAAGCACTCAATAAATGGTAATTTTTGAAAGGAAGATAACTCACTAAGAAATTTCGAGAGTAATAGTAGGCAAAATCGATTTACAGAAGAATGGGAGACAACTCTAAGAGCAGAAAAAAAATTTTTTTTAATTTGCCTCTGATCCTACTGTCCCCTCCATCTTCTCTGTTATCTCTGAATTTGCAAATTTCATTTATCCTTTAGGATCCCAGATCAACTACCAACTCCTCCATGAAGCCTTCAGATTACCTCAGCCAGAAATGATCACTTCCTTTATTTTTGCCTTTTGTGGCAAAAAAATATCCATATATTTAATCTCTTTGATATTACAATTACTATGTCAGCTGCCTTATAATGCAGCTTCCTGAAAGAGCAGGGCCTTATCTTCTTGGTTTTCAATCTCTCCTTACTCCTGGCATGGAGTGTTGCATGTAGACTCTGATTGCATGAATGCAAGGCCAGCAAGGCACAAACTTTGGTGGGTAGCAGCCCACGAACAAGCTTCTCCTGAACAGATTTGCCGTTGTTGTCTTGTGCGTGTATGTGTGTGTACAGGGAGAGCCTAAAGTATAGGGGTGGATTTATAAACAATTGAACTCATTGATACCTTTCCTTAAGAGCCAAATAGCTTATGTTTCATTGCCACAGTTATCATCAAATATATTCAAAATGGAGGATAAAGAGTGCCAGGATTTTTTTTTCTTTCTTTTTATTTTTCTCTCTTTTGCGGCAGGGAGTGGCTATGGAGGAGAAAGAGTAAAGAATAAGGGAAAAGACGCATCTTTTTTTTGAAATGCAGGTAGGAGTTATGGATAACGCCCAAGTACCTGTACAAATGAAAATGATTAACTTTGCTACTCCAGAAAAAAATTTTAATCCCAAAGTCATTTATTTTGGCTTTAGAATAGACTAGCGTTTGTGTCGGATTTTCCTGCCTAATTACTTTTTGCTTAAGCTTATTTAAAAATTGTTTTAAATTCCTTTAGTATGACAGCCTAGGAAAGTTGGGGGAGGAGAAACAGGCCACAGATGGGATCTGAACTAGAATTTCAGTTTTACCATGTCAAGGCCTCCTGATGCACTGCTTGCAGGAGGGCAAAGTTGGAGTCAGCTTTGTGGAAAACTGTTTGGCAAAATAATTTTTAAAGTCTTAAAAATATGCTTACTCTTTGATCCTGTAATTCCACTTCTAGGAATTTGTCCTTAGGAAATAATCAAACAAGCATGCAGAAATATAGGGACAAGGATATTCACCACAACATTTATAGCTGCGAAAAAAAGTAAAACCAACATAAAATATTGAATAATATGGAATTGATTAAAGTATGCTATTATCTGCAATGTTATCAAAATTATGGACTTTAAAAATGTTTACCACATCTTTTTAGGTGAAAAAGAAACTGCAAAATAGTATGTTCAGTGTGAAACAGCACATAGATATAGAGGTGGACAGGATGGATGGATAGACGGACGGATGGAGATACGTATTCCATAATGTTAATTTTGGTATTGCCGAGTAGTAAAATTAGGGATAGTTTTGTACTTTTTTGTGTTTTTCAAGTTTTCTGCTTAAACATATATTACTTTGTAATTAGAAAAAACTATCATTTTTAAAAGAATGTATGGTTAATATATCAATGAAAAAGTAAATTACTGCATCATGCCCACAAAGTGAGTAATCTGAATGAAGATAATTTCTATTGAATGTAAGAGTCACATTCATACCTGTGAATTATAAGCAATTATACTGCGTACATTAAGTCAGATGCACCTTAACTATGGTTTAACTATATTGTTTCCCAAGTAAAATAACCATATTCAATAAAAACCTGTGAGGGCACAATTTGATTATAACTTGGGTGTCCTGTTTTGTGATACCACACTATGGAGGTAGACTCTTCTTGAGCCAAGAGAACCACAGTTTTGCAAAGCTGCAGAGACCAGTAGGTTTTTTGGGAATTATATGTTAAAACATTTTGATTGCCCAAATAACATTTTAAAAATACCGGGAACATTTGAAATCATTCTTGATCCTCAGAAGGCAATTCCCAGTGAAATTTTTGGCTATTTCCCCTTTCTTTATCTCATCATTATCAACAACTCAGAACTTCAAATCCAAAGGTCTAAACGGGCAAAGGGGGAAGAAGCGGATGGTAAATGATGAAGACAACCATAAACCTTTGGTGACCCCAAAATAACTCTTGGCTCACATGTTAAAGAGCTCTGCTTTATATGATCAGCTGCAGGGGAAGTTTGTTCTTTACTGTTTGCAAACTTCAGCTCTGTACACATGATGGGGCCCTCTTTTATTTGCGGTCCCTAAACTCCTGGGATACCGCATGGCCTCACCGAAGGAAAGGGCTTGCAGGTCTGGTTCCCTGTCGTCTGAGGTCAGATGGAAAAGCCTTTTGTGATTAACTCGGCCACAGTGTGTCCTTTGGTATTTGGAACTTCAGCGGTTTTTTTTTTTATTATTAATTCTCCAGGTTTTGAACACTGACCGAAATAAGCTTCATATAATGGAAAAAGAAGATAAATCTGGCTCTTTGGGCCCCAAATTGCATCCCAGTTTTCCCGCTAGCTGTGACCTTGAGCAGGTTGACTCAGTATGTCGGAGTTTCAGTTTCCTCACTTAATTAGGAGAGTTGTGCCTTCCTGCCTCACCTCTTAGGGCTATTCTTGGCAAACTGTAAAGCGAGGGACAGCTGTGGGTCTTTTTAAACACACCACCTTCTCCTGCTTTGTTTCTGACACAGTTTCCTTACGCCGCCCCACCTCCCCAAGAACCCGTGAAGACTCTGAGAAGCCTGGTCAATATCCGAAAGGACACACTGAGGCTCGTCAAGTAAGTTCCCAGAGGCTGGGGCCAGGTCCCAGGCACCTTCCTTTGGGGAGGCTGGGGGCTGGGGGACAGACTTCCCAAGGAACTCATACAGCAGTTTCCGGCAGCCCCAGAGCTTGCTTCTCTGGGCCTCAGACAGGAGTGCGGGCGCTACTTTCTGCTGAGATCAGGCCGTCCACACCCATGTTGTTCAGCACTGGATGCAATCGTCTGTGTTTGTGAAAAACTTTCGCTTGCCTAGAAATGCTTAGTATCCTTATTTTATGGATATTTTTTAAAAGGGAAGAAGAATTATTAAGGGAAAATGGGAATTTTTGCAGCTACTCCAACAAGCCAATGTAAAAATGGGAAATTTGAACTTAGAATATCAAATCCTTTATTTTATTGCTATATTTTCTTTTTCTTTTCTTTTTTTTTTTGAGACGGAGTCTCGCTCTGTCACCCAGGCTGGAGTGCAGTGGCGCAATCTCGGCTCACTGCACGCTCCATCTCCAGGGTTCACGCCATTCTCCTGCCTCAGCCTCCCGAGTAGCTGGGACTACAGGCGCCCGCCACCACGTCCGGCTAATTTTTTGTATTTTTAATAGAGACGGGGTTTCACCATGTTAGCCAGGATGGTCTCGATCTCCTGACCTCGTGATCCACCTGCCTTGGCCTCCCAAAGTGCTGGGATTACAGGCGTGAGCCACCGCGCCCAGCCTTCTTTTTCTTTTTTATTCCCTATATCATGTGTCTGTTCTCTAAGGAACTCATAGTGCACTGGGTTGGTTGCTTAATCCTCATCATCAATGTTAATTATCGTCATTTGCCTTCTTGGTGCCATCCTTGAGACAGTGTAATTTTTAGTCTGATACATTCCCACTGCCCGCCACCCCTAGATGATATGTCTACCAAGGCTGTCTGATTCTCTGGTGAAAAAATTTGGTTAGGGCAAATCAAGGTCCCAGATTTTTCTGAATAGGCAAGGAAGATGACTCAGAGACCATCTCATGCTTGTATAGAACAGCCTTATTAGCATTACAATGTTTCTGTCTGATATATATATATATATATTTGAGACAGAGTCTCGCCTTTTTTTTTTTTTTTTTTTTTTTTTTGAGATGGAGTTTTGCTCTTGTTGCCCAGGCTGGAGTGCAATGGCACGATCTCGGCTCACTGCGATCTCGGCTCACTGCAACCTCCACCTCCCAGGTTCAAGGGATTCTTCTGCCTTATCCTCCTAAGTAGCTGTGATTACAGGCATGCATCACCACGCCCGGTTAATTTTGTGTTTTTAGTAGAGACAGAGTTTCTCCATGTTGGTCAGGCTGGTCTTGAACTCCCAACCTCAGGTGATCTGCCCGTCTCAGCCTCCCAAAGTGCTGGGATTACAGGCGTGAGCCACCGCACCTGGCCCAGAGTCTCACTTTGTCACCCAGGCTGCAGTACAGTGGCACGATCTCAGCTCACTGCAGCCTTAACTTCCCGGGCTCAAGCAGTCCTCCCAGCCCTAAGTAACCACTAATCTATTTTCTGTTTCTCTCTCTTAATTTTTTATATTTTATTTGTCCCTGAAGTTTCTGCTGGTTCCCCAGCTATGCTTCTCTCCACCCCAGGGTCAACTCTGGGGAGGAGAGATTCAAGGAGGTACCTGTCTGCTGCAGAACAGTCCCCCGACCTGACCCAGGGGAGTTCATCCAGCAGCAGAGCAGACTAACGAGGCCTCTGGGGCCTGCCATTGCCAGCTACTCTGTCCACTTGGTTTCTCTCATCACATATGGCACATTCACACATTTGATGGAGACCATTCAAGGGCCTGAGCTGCTGTGAGGTCATAGCCTCTGCCGTGGCAGCCTGGCTGCAGCTCTAGAATAGGATGAAGCAGCTGTCATGCGCTAGAAGAACCAGACTTGGAAGCAGCAGAGCAGTTTGCCTCCCAGGTCCACAGATGCTTGCTTGAATGAGTGTCTGAGCTTCAGGTTCTTTTATCTGTAAAATGGTGATAATCAACTTTACCTTTCATGGTGGTTGTCAAAATTAAGGTAACAGAAGGGAAAACACCTGGTGTTCAATAAATGTTAACTTGAAGGGTGTTCTTTGTTTTGTTTTTCTGTGATTATGGGAATAAATTCTGATTCTCGGATTTCCAGGTAAAGATGGAGGATTGAACACCTACTTTTGCTTCCTCTGAAAACCCCATTAAGTAATTATAAACATGTATTTAAAAGGCATAAATCTGGCCGGGCATGATGGCTCATGCATGTAATCCCAGCACTTTGGGAGACCAAGGCGGGCGGATCACCGAGGTCAGGAGTTCAAGACCAGCCTGGCCAACATGGTAAAAACCCGTCTCTACTAAAAATACAAAAATTAGCCAGACATGGTGGCACGCATCTGTAATCCTAGCTGCTCCGGAGGCTGAAGCAGGAGAATTGCTTGAACCCAGGAGACAGAGGTTGCAGTGAGCCGAGATTGTACCACTGCACTCCACTCTGGGTGACAGAGTGAGACTCCAACTAAAAAATAAAAAATAAGGCCCGGTGCAGTGGCTCATGCCTGTAATCCCAGCACTTTGGGAGGCCAAGGCGGGCGGATCACGAGGTCAGGAGATCGAGACCATCCTGGCTAACACAGTGAAACCCCGTCTCCACTAAAAATACAAAAAATTAGCCGGGCATGGTGGCAGGCACCTGTAATCCCAGCTATTTGGGAGGCTGAGGCAGGAGAATGATGTGAACCCGGGAGACAGAGGTTGCAGTGAGGCGAGATTGTGCCACTGCACTTCAGCCTGGGCGACAGAGTGAGACTCCATCTCAATAAAATAAATAAATAAAAAATTTTAAAAATTTCTTTAAAAAGGCATAAATCTGTAAATATTTGGAGAATGGGAAGAGAGCAACAGCAACAACATTTTAGAAGCTGGAAACACATAGTGAACGTTAAATGACTTAGTAGACCCAGGAAATCAGAATCCTGAACTAGCAGAAAGAAAAGCTGAGAATCACCCAATTTATACTGTGATATTATCCCCCAAAGGGTTCAGAAATTAGCAGTGCCAGGTCCCTCTAGAAGTTGAGGTGGGAGGCTAAAATGAAGAGGATTGGTAGAAAGTCTGCCTTCAAGGTAGGCAGATCCTCTCCCTTGTACCACACAGCCAGAACTACATTCCTACACCTTGGCCAAAGGCAGGCAGATGACTCTCCCTGGAAAGGTCAAAACAGAGAATCTCTGGACAAGAGAGACCCAGGCACAGCTAATGGCCAGTACTAAAAACAGGCTAACCAGCCTGGGCAATATGGTAAAGCCCTGTCTCTACAAGAAATACAAAAATTAGCCAAGCATGGTAGTGCACACCTGTAGTCCCAGCTACTTGGGAGGCTGAAGTGGGAGGATCACCTGGGCCTAGGGAGGTCAAGGCTGCAATGAGTCACGATCACAGCACTGCACTCCAGCCTGGGCAAGAGTGAGACCCTGTCTCAAAACAAAACAGCAGGTGAGTGGATCCTGGCATACTGGATGTTGAGCCCTCCAGCTGCCTCTCCATTCTGCCCCTAGAATGCTGGCAGCCAGGCCTTTGTCAAGAGAGAGGAAAACTGTTTTCTGGAAATTGGACCTGCCTGGATAGGAAAACCTAAGAGACTAGAGTTAGAGGTTCCTCAACAGATCCAGGTCAGCCCACAGTGAAGCCCAGGATCCCCAAGTCCTGCTGTGCACTCAGAGCTCTAATCAGCAGTTTAAATATCTTAAATACAAGCAGACAGCCACAGATTCTTAGATGTGTAAGGAATGCCTATAATAGGAAAGACAGTAGCAAAACAAACCAACATTTTAAAACAACCTAACTAGGCCAGGTGCGGTGGCTCACGCCTATAATCCCAGCACTTTGGGAAGGTGAGGCGGGTGGATCACTTGAGGTCAGGAGTTCGAGACCAGCCTGGCCAACATGGAGAAACCCCATCTCTACAAAAATACAAAAAAATTAGCTGGGCCTGGTGGCACACGCCTATAATCCCAGCTACTTGGGAGGCTGAGACGGGAGAATCACTTGAATCCAGGAGGCAGAGGTTGCAATGAGCCAAGATCGTGCCATTGCACTCCAGCCTGGGTGACAGATCAAGACTTCATCTCAAAAAAAAAAAAAAAAAACCTAACTAGGCCGGGTGTGGTGGCTCACACCTCTAATCCCAGACCTTTGGGAGGCCAAAACAGGAGGATCACTTAAGCCCAGGAGTTTGAGACCAGCCTGGGCAACATAGTGAGACCCCATCTCTATATAAAATAATAATAAAGTAAAAAAAATCTAATTGGAAACAAAAGCTATGCAGGAAGAAGAAAACTTCATTAATAGTCTCAAAGACATGAGAGAAGTTATCTTTTTCTTTCATGGACACAATGACACAAAGTGTTTATGAAACCAAAAAAATAGCTTTTAGAAATTAAAAACAGGGAGCAGAAATGAAAATTTCAATAGAATGATAGGAAGAAAACTTGAAATATTCTAGAAAGTAGAGCAAAAATCCAGAGAGAAGGAAAATAGAAGAAGAAAGACGCAAGTAATAGAGCACCCATTTAGAAGGTCTGACATCCAACTAACGGGTTCTACAGAGAACAGAGAATGTAAAAGGAAGGAAATCATCAGTGACATAGAATTTAAGAAAACTTCTCAGAACCAGAGGGTACAAGTTTCTAAATGGAAAGGACCACCAAGTGCCCACACAGTGGCTGAGAAAGAGGACCGTCTGTAAGCTTTCAGAAGAAGAAGGATCAACAGTTGGAACGACTTCAGACTTCTTGGGAGCAACGCTGGGAGGTGAAAAATAAGGCAGTGAAAAGGCTTTCAGTGTCTTTTAGAAATTATTTATAATCTAGAATACTTTGCTCAGCCAAACTTTCAGTGAAGTGTGAATGTTGAATAATAGCTCTCAAAAGTTTATTTCCCAACACACCCTTTTTCAGGAAGCTGGCAGGACACGTGCTCCACCGATATGAAAGAATAACCCAAGACAGAGGAAGACTTGAGGTGCAGGAAACATGAGCTTCTACAGGAGGACAGAGGCAAAAGGGACCCACCAGGATGTTGGAGGGGGAGAGAGATTCCAGGGTGGCGACTGGGAGCCAGGTGCAGAGGGCCAAGTACAGATGGGAGCAAGTCCAAGGGACCTCCTCAATAAGATGAAATGAATAGACCGCTTGGTGCATCTGAACGTCTTGAGAGATTTAGACAGCCCCAGAGAGCTTGGGTTGGAATTTGTGATGAGTACATAGGAAACTACGCAACTGGAAGAAAAAAAAAAAAATAGGATGAGCACTAAGAAAAAGTTATGCAGGAAAAGAAAAATAATCATAGATTATAAGTTTGTGTAATCACAGTAATACAGACACAAATGTACTGGACTATTATAATAAAATCATGATGCAGCTACACTGGGGGGATGGCGGAGTTCCTACATGGAGCACAGTGAGGAAAGAGAAAGAAATCCTTGTTTCCATAGTAGGAAACCCATAGATAGCGCCTGAAACTGAAAAATCAAGAAGTAGTAACCCAAGTATATTTTTTAGAAACGTGGGTAAATGCCAAAATGATCACTAAAAGGGGTGTCCTCTGAAGACGAGGAAAGGGAAGAAGTAAGGCCTGCTGTTTTTTGCCTTGAGGAAACTATTTAAACTATGTGATTAATAACTTTTATTAAAATAAAAACAAAAGTGCCAAATGCACAATGGTGTAGTGGTAGCACTATGAGATACCAGAAGTAACCTGAATGCCCAGCAACATGGGTCATGAAGCACTCTGTGATCATTCAGAATGAAGAGGTAGACCTATGCTTATGATCATTCAGAGAAGCCCACAATATATTGCTAATTTTTTTAAAGGTAAATTTTAAAATATTGATATGCTACTCTGCAAATGCTGAGTCTCTGGTTTTCTAGATGTGCTGAGGAAGTGAAGAGCCCTGGAGAAGAGGCCAGTAAAGCTAAAGTCCACTACAATGTTGAGTTCACCTTTGACACAGATGCTCGGGTAGCCATCACCATCTATTACCAGGCCACGGAAGAGTTCCAGAATGGTATTGCCAGGTAAGATCAGGAGACCAGGAGAGCCACTTCCTTCCCAGATTATTACCAGGCCACGGAAGAGTTCCAGAATGGTATTACCAGGTAAGATCAGGAGACCAGGCGAGCCACTTCCTTCCCAGATAGGGAGAGTCCATGTCTTATCCACTCAGCAAGGGCGGAAAACATTCTTTTTCTGCAGCCAGATGAGATCTGGTTCCTGAATTTAGACTTTCTTCTACAAAGCCCTACCCTTTACCTTTTCCCTTCAAATTGTGCCATCTTGGTATAGTGACAAATGGTGGTATAGTCCTTCAGGTCCTTAACATGCTGTTAAAAATCTAGTAAGCTACCTTTCTTTGGATGTGTGGGTTGAATAGAAAAGTTTAACGTTGCCAAGCAAGAGCAAAGGAAATGGATTATAAAGGACCCTTTCTTCTCTTCGCTAGACCCTGTTGATAATTGAGAACAGGCATGAGCAGAGGAAGTTGTCAGACCCATCTGTGCCGGATACTGACTTTTGCTTTGCCTCCCACTTGTATCAATAGCTACATTCCCAAAGACAACAGCCTCCAGTCGGAGACTGTGCAGTACAAGCGAGGAGTGTGTCAGCAGTTCTGCCTGCCCTCCCACACCGTGGATCCCTCCGAGTGGGCCGAAGAGGAGGTGAGCTGCCTCTGGGGAGGGTTTCCCACATCCACTCAGAAGGGCCTAGGGGCTACTTAGGACTCGGTCTGACAGCAAAGGGGCTGCTCGGATGCTTGAAGGCCATGCTTACCTTTCAGCCTTGTGACTTCATCATGTCCTTTTAAAGCTCTGCTTATTTTGCATCAAGGATATACCTAACTTTGTTAATTTTTCCATTCCCTAGGAATGGAAATAGCCCATTAGCCTAGGATACTTTGAGAAAGCCATGCTCAAAGAAAAAAAAAATCTATAGGTTAGAGGTTCTTATTTACATCTATGACATTTTTAAAAAGCAGCTGATGGCCCTCAGTTAACAAACTTGGGTAATTAACAAGGCTAAAGAATGAGGAGCAGAGATGAGATTAATGCTTCTTGACAGTATCGCCCTTTCTGAGATTAGCTGTGCCATGTAAATGTGTTAAGTCCTCTTTTTTTTTCCTTTCCTTTTCTTTCCCTTCAGCTTGGCTTTGATTTAGACCGAGAAGTTTACCCTCTAGTGGTACATGCCGTGGTGGATGAAGGAGACGGTAGGGGCGATTTCTGTCCTCTTTGGCTGTGCACACTGCTCTTTTGTGGCATATTCCTGGCAGCAGCTGTGGCCCCAGAACAACATGCCTTCTTTGTGGGTGTTTGTGACTGTGAGTCAGGCAGTCTCTGCATCCTCTCACATCTGTGACTCCAAGCTCCTGGGCTGATGTGAAAAGTGTGGGTTTGGCTGGGCACAGTGGCTCACACGTATAATCCCAGCAGTTTGGGAGGCCGAGGTGGGTGGATCACCTGAGGTCAGGAGTTCGAGACCAGCCTAGGCAACATGGGGAAACCCTGTCTCTACTAAAAATACAAAAATCAGCTGGGTATGGCAGTGTGCACCTCTAATCTCAACTACTTGGGAGGCTGAGGCAGCAGAATCGTTTGAACCTGGGAGGCGGAGGTTGCAGTGAGCCGAGATTGTGCCACTGCACTCCAGCCTGGGTGACAGAGTGAGGCTCAGTCTCAAAAAAATGTGGTTTAGCTGGGCGTAGTGGCTCATCCCTGTAATCCTAGCACTTTGGGAGGCTGAGGCGGGCAGATCACCTGAAGTCAAGAGTTTGAGACCAGCCTGACCAACATAGTGAAACCCCGTCTCTACTAAAAATACAGAAAAGTAACCGGGCATGGTGGCTCATGCGTATAATCCCAGATACTTGGGAGGCTGAGGCAGGAGAATTGCTGGAACCGGGAGGCGGAGGCCACAGTGAGCCAAGATCATGCCACCGCACTCCAGCCCAGGCAACAGAGCCAGACTCTGTCTCAAAAAAAAAAAAGTATGGGTTATATAACGTGCCCCTTCTAGAGACAGACTGGCACATTTGGTTTGCCAGATTGCAGGGAACTGGAGAAAGTCATGGGCATCAAGATGTGCTGTTTGGGCTTCTTCACTCACGTGCCTTTGTTTCTTTCAGAGTATTTTGGCCATTGCCATGTACTGCTGGGTACTTTTGAGAAGGTGAGTGACTTTAGAGGGCCTCGCTTTATTGCCTTTAGCCCTTTCTTTCGTGTGAGACACATGTAACCCGTTTGCTGGGTGCCTGAGCTCAGCAGAATGGGTCTGGCTTTAGAGGCTATAATGGTGAAAGAGGTTGCAGTGAGCTGAGATGGCACCACCGCACTCCAGCCTGGGCGATAGAGTGAGGCTCTGTCTCAAAAAAAATAAATAAATAAAAGAAAGAAAGGCTAGACTGGATAATTATAAGACCTTTAAAGAATTAGGATTGTATAATTCTGCTCTGAGAGTGTCCAGGAACATGTGTACAGTAGTCCCCCCTTATCCTCAGGAGATAAGTTCCAAGACCCCCAGTGGATGCCTGAAACTGCAGATCGTACAGAACCCTCATATACACTGTGGTTTTTCCCATACTACATCCACACCTATGATAAAGTTTAATTCATAAGTTAGGCACAGTAAGAGACTAAGAATAATAGTAAACTAAAACAATTATAACTATAAGGTAATAGAAGTCTGAATGTGATCTTTCTCTCTCAAAATATTGTATGTAATATTTTCAGACAGTGGTTGATGGCGGGTAATTGAAACCATGGAAAATGAAACTGCAGATCAGGGAGGGCGACTGTAACTGGGAGATGTAACAGAAGAATACCTGGTGCTTTATTACCCTCCCTTCCTTGTCATAACTTTCATATTTTCATTCCAGCACACAGATGGAACTTTCTGTGTCAAGCCCCTCAAACAGAAACAAGTAGTAAGTATTTGAAGACCACAGACTGTTAGTATTAGGGTCCTTCCTTCCTTTTATTCTTTCCTTTCTTCTTCTCTCTCCCTCTTTTTTTATTTTTGTTTTACTTTTTGCTCTCTCCTTTTCCTCTTTTTTTTTTTTTAATCAAAGAAGAAAAGAAAAAAAGGGAGTGCTTTTGAATGTTACAAGCTATTACAAACGACTTGGGTGGCCTGAAAGGAATGCTGATTTTTGAGGTCTTCATTGTTCCAGAAGTGTTGGTGTTGAGGGAGCCTTTATCTGAGCAAAGGACTTGAGAAATGAAAGAACAAGATTTATTTCCCAACATTGGGTTTAGGGAGAACTCTTTTTATTTAAAATGCCAGAGTGAGAAACATTTCAAGCGAAAGGATAAAGCATTAGGGTCCAATTTAGTGTAATTAGAGTCATTGGCTTAATTTATCCATTCCTTTTCTAAAATTCAAAGTTAGCCATCCATTCTCCCTCTTCCAGAATGATCAGCACCTTGTGCATATGTCTGCTAGAAAGTCCCAGCCCCTACCATGTGCCAGCACTTTTCTTTCCACTCTTGTAGAGGTAGGAGGAGACATCACTGGGAGGAGAGAGAGTGGTGCCAGTGGCATTGGCAAGGGAGGGTGGGTGAGGGGCAGGTCATCTCACGGAGGGTGTAGAGCAGCTGGGTAGGAGGCAGGGTTGGGCTTCCTCGAGATGCAAAGAAAAGCCTTCCTGTAGATGGGTGATAGATACCTGAAATTCTACACTGTTCGTTCTTTTAGGTTAATTACTCGCCTCTCTTTTAATGAGGTCAATAATAAGAATATCTTAGGATAAATTAGTTTTCCAATATAATCACTGCATGAAAACAAGTTTTAAGAGCAGCAGAGGAGGAAACAGATCCTGGGCTCAGGCCCAGGGCACTACCTGGGCAGGCCAGGCCTTGGTGAGTTGCCTCATGGGGGAAGGCCTGGTTCTCCAGGAGGCCTGGATGGGATGGAAAGGCTCGTGTAGCTAGAGGAAGATGGTTTGTCCATTTTCCTCTTGTTAGATTGGCATTAGCAACAGACTGTTAAAACGGAGAGTGGGATATAAAATCAGCGACAGGCTATGTCTTAGGGGAAGGGATGGCTAAGAAACAGAGGTGAGGCAGAAGAGTGTGCTCCTAAAAGTAAATGGGGCAGGGCCAACTTAGACACTGACATGGCCCAGGTTAATGGGAGTGGGATTGGGCCTTGGTAGTTGGGGTTTTAAGAAACAGGGCTGGCCGGGCTTGATGGCTCATCTCTGTTATCCTAGCAGTTCGGGAGCCTGAGGCAGGTGGATCACTTGAGGTCAGGAGTTTGAGACCAGCCTGGTCAACATGGTGAAACCCCGTCTCTACCACAAAATACAAAAATTAGCCAGGCATGGTGGTGCACACCCTGTAATCGCAGCTACTCAGGAGGCTGAGACAGGAGAATCGCTTGAACCCAGGAGGTGGAGGTTGCAGCGAGCCAAGATGGTGCCACTGCACTCCAGCCTGGATGACAGAGCAAGACCCTATCTCAAAAAAAAAAAAAAAAAAAAGGAAACAGGGCCAAGAGGTGTAATTTTGCTGCATGTTGGGGATGGGGTGGCTTCATGGTGTGGGGTACACACCATTAGCCTCTCCCTCAAGGTCTTGCTATCGCCCTTTGCATCCATATTTTCCCTTCCCATCTTTTTCCTTGCCAACTTCTTCTTCTTTTTCTTTCTCTTTTCCATTCCTTTATTTGTATAATGTCTGAACTCAAATTGGATTATATAGCAAATGCCTAGATTTTAATGCATGCCCTTCCATCCTTTTTCTAGTCTGTGCCTTCTTAATTGTCCATAATAGTATGCTGCAGTGCAAGTATTATTATTGTATTTGTGAAATTTTATGTTCCCTGTTGTATATAATGATGGGTGAATTAAATATTTGATTTTCTTTCTTCTCTCAAAGAGAAAACATAAGTAAATAAAAGCATCTTTTACTTATCCAGGCCTTTGATTTTTTTTCTCATTATGAATCGGTAGTCCTTGGTTACCAAAAGAGGTAAGATTGGAGGGAGTTCCCACTCTTGTCTCTCAGTAGAGACAGCCTGTCCTTGAACCTTTCTGTTTGCTGTTCAGGTAGACGGGGTCAGCTACCTCCTTCAGGAGATCTATGGAATTGAAAACAAGTACAACACACAAGATTCTAAGGTAAGTTTTACCCAAAATTCTGAATGTACTCTTTCCAGGAGGCCAAGTGAGAAATCGTAAGCCAGCGTCCAGAAATTTAGCGTGCCAAACTCTGAAATCAGTTAGGTCTTAGAAGGGTATTTTCTTGTTCCTCATTTCAGATCATTACGCTTTTACCACTTTGGAAATGAGAAAAGTAGGCTGGTTTGGCTTTGTTCTGCCACAGAGCTCTGTCCAACTCGGTTTCCACCAGGGCCCTTTCTTTGCTCCTTTTCCTTTATCTGTGTGATCCCCTAAGTCCCTTCAGCTGAGATTTGAGAGGCCCAGCTCTGGGCCTTATAGGAGGAGCTCGAGTGGTTAGTCTCGTCCTCTCAATTTTAGATAAACACTTCCCAGAAGAAGTGAAGCTAAGTGTGTGGACGCACTGGGAAAATGACAAAGTCCAATGTCAATGCAGATTTTGTTCGTAATTATTACTTATCTTAGCTCTTCAGCCACGCTGCCTTGTCAGTAAAGTATGGGACAGGAAGGGCTTTGTGCCATTGGCTACATTTCTTTCTCCTTGGCCAGGTGGCTGAAGACGAAGTGAGTGATAACAGTGCCGAGTGTGTGGTGTGTCTCTCGGATGTCCGGGACACCTTGATTCTGCCCTGTCGCCACCTCTGCCTCTGTAACACCTGTGCAGACACGCTGCGCTACCAGGCCAACAACTGCCCCATCTGCCGACTGCGTAAGCCCCAGAGCGGCAGGGGGACTGGTGGGTGGGAGAGGGGACAAGAGGACATTTACAAAACACTGAAGCATGTGCTGCTGCTGGATCTGACAAACGGATGCGCGCTGGGAGGGATCATGGTTTCTGTCTGGGCTCTTGTTCATTCTTAATCCTGTATCAGGATGTCCTGATTGCCTGTTTTCTCCTTCACAGCCTTCCGGGCACTGCTTCAGATCCGAGCCATGAGGAAAAAATTGGGCCCCTTGTCCCCAACCAGCTTTAACCCCATCATCTCATCCCAGACATCTGACTCTGAAGAGCATCCAGTAAGTTGGGCTCGGAACCACGGCCCCTCTGAAGCAAATGCCTCATTGGCTTTTTTAAACTTTTCATGCTTCTCTACGTGGCATTGCAGCAAGGAATTAGACCAGGGCATGCTGCAGTATTTAGCAAGCCGGCTGAGAGCATGCGTTAAAACCAACTTATTACTGTGGAAAATTGAATACTGAAAACCTCCCTTTTCCTCCTTGGGAACTTGGTGTCCAGTTAATGTTTACCATTCCTAGAGCCATCTGCTTGCAGTTTCACTCCAGTGAGGTTCAACTTGAACTCCCCCAGGCAGAAACAATGGGACGATTATTTTGGATTTAAATACAATTTATTATCTTTATTTGAATCCTCGAAGAAAGTAACTGTTTTTCTTTATCCTGTTTTGTGGCCTCAGTGCCTGAGATAAAGTAACTGACTTCAGTTTCCTAGTGTAAGTGCTGATATTAGGGTGAAACCTCAAAGCTTTGCAGTTAGAGAGCAGCAGATACTGTCTTTCTTTAGACTAACGCACTGCTGGGAGAGATTATTATTTAGTGAATGGTATTGGGATAATTAGTTAGCTATTTCAGGAGGAAAAATTAGTTTAGCACTTTACTCCTTACCAAATAAATTCCAGCTGGAGTAACTAGTTAACTATATTAAGAGCATCAAACCAAACAAACATTACAGCAAACCAAGCAAAACATTCAAAATCTAGAATAAATTATAGATGATTATTTAGTTGACTTTGGATTGGAAAGGATTCTCTAAGCTTGAAAGCAAGAACCATACATTTTACCACCTAAAAAGTTTAGCACTTCAGAGGTCTAAAAGGTAACCAAAATTAAAAGTTAGACAACAAATAGTGTTTTTTTAAAAACTATTTACAATGTGTGTATCAGAGGAAAAGCTAATGTCTTTGCCATAGTTCATATTGAATAAAACAGTAGATAAAAGGGCAAAGGGCATAAACAAAACACACTCAACATAGAATTTTTTAAAAAGTTCAACCACATTAAAAATCAATGATATGCAAATATGAGAATACCATTTTCCAACTTTCAAATTTTAAAAACTTTTCTTTTTAGCGATTCTCCCTGCTTTCGGGGAAGCAGTCAGAATAGGTCTTCTGTATTACTTATAGGAGTGTAACTAGAAAAGGCACTGAAAAAAAAAACAGCAGAAAACAGCAGTATATATCAAGGCCTTAAAAACATTTATACCTCATCATCTAAGAGCTAATAATTTAATAACAAGAACATAATTTGAAAAAAAGGCATTCAAGGATGTTCATCAAAACTTGTTTACAATAGGATGTGTTAGACACAACTAGATTCCCAGCACTAGGAGAATAGTTAGAAAACTTAGGGGATCTATGAGAAGGGGACATATATAAAGAGGCTTCAGAAACAAAGGAAAATATTTATGTTCTGGCCAGGCATGGTGGCTTACATCTGTAATCCTAGCACTTTGGGAGGCCATGGTGGGAGGATCAATTGAGACCAGGAGCTCAAGACCAGCCTGGGCAACATAGTGAGATCCCATCTCTATTTTTTTAAAGAGGAAAGTATAATAAAATAAGCAGAATATAAAATTGTTATTTACAGATTGATCAAAACTGTGTAAATAGTACACAGAAAAAAAATGGGAAGAAGAGACACCAGAATGCTAACAAAAGTAACTTTGGGTGATTTGATTACTGGTGATTTTTTTTCCTTACTTTTACTTTTATGTATTTTCCAAATTTCCATTATAATCAGAAAAAAAATAGAGATTATTAAGAAAAAGCTTACCAATAAGCAGGATCTACAGTGTGTGATTCTTTGATATTTTATCTCTGCCTCTAGTACAGTTGTTCTTACCAGACCCCCCCAAGAACAGATATAAAACATTTTTTTCAGTGTAGAGAAGTAGCATGATCACGTCATAAAACAAAAAGGACCTAATTAATTTTTCAACCTGTCTCTGATTCCCCTAGTCCTCAGAGAATATTCCACCAGGCTATGAAGTAGTATCTCTTCTGGAGGCCCTCAACGGGCCCCTCACCCCGTCCCCAGCAGTTCCTCCACTTCACGTGCTTGGAGATGGCCACCTCTCAGGAATGCTCCCTTCATATGGCAGTGATGGCCACCTGCCCCCCGTCAGGACGATCTCGCCTCTTGACCGCCTGTCTGACAGCAGCAGTCAGGGACTCAAACTCAAAAAGAGTCTCTCCAAGTGAGTAGCCAGTGCTCCACACTGTTGCCCCCGGAATCCTTGATGAAATGCTTCATCCCTCCTTGGTGCTGGCCCACATCCTGGGGACTTAGGGCAGAGTAACCCTCTGGGCTGTTCCCAGAGCTGCTTGCGTGAAGGTTATCCCATCCATTAAGAGATGAAAATAAGATGGTATGTAGGTACTTAAGAAAACTCTGATGAGACAAATCTCTTATGTATTCTTTTTTTCTTTCAAGGATAGGGGATGGGATATAGGGAAGAGGATGTTGAACACTGTGGATAGGGCCTTCTAGGCCCCTGGGAGCATTGCTTAGTCCGAAGACTGAAGGAACCTTGTGATCCGTATCTCTTAAACATCTAAATCCAGCTAGGCACAAATCATGACAAGGTTTCTGTGGCAGAGTAAAGGGGAGGGTATTTTACAGATGAAAATATTGAGACCCTGTAAATGGCAGTGGTTTTTCCCAAGTTTAGATAGCAAGTCATCAGAGGAGCTAAAAGTAAAACTTAGCGCTTCTGACACCCAAAAGAGGTCTCCATCCCTCTCTGGTTCTATTTCCCTAGTCCTACTTAAGATTTGGGTTTCGAGCCAGGCAAGTTAGCCCAGACCTACTCGGCTACTCAGGAGGCTGTACTCCTCCTCTGTTAAAGCGTCAACAAGAGGATCGCTGAAGCCCAGGAGTCCCAGCCCAGCCTGGGAAACATAATGAGATGCTGTCTCAAAAAATAAACAAGCAAAAAATATTTGGGTTTTCCCCTCAGCTCCCCTTGCAGTAAGTTCTGTTCTTTAAATGGACGTTGGATATAGCTGCTTTTCCACTGGACTCCTACAGATCCACTTCCCAAAACTCTTCCGTGCTGCATGAAGAGGAAGATGAGCATTCCTGCAGCGAGTCGGAGACACAGCTCTCTCAGAGACCGTCGGTTCAGCATCTCGGAGAGGTAATTGACATTCCTCTCCTCTTCTTGGGTGTTGTACTCCAGGGACTTCCCTCCTACCTGCATGCCTCATCAGGTCCCTCTGCTCTCATTCACTCATCAAACACCTTGTCAGCACCCTCTGAGGCAGTGGCAAAGGTTTCACTGGATTCATGCATTCAACAGTGTATGCAGCCTGTATTATTTGCCAGGCACTGTGCTATATGCTGAGGATAGTAGCTGGGACACTACAAAAGTCCCTGCCCTTGTAGCATTTATATTCTTGCTATCTGGGGTGGGGGGCACAAAAGACAATAGGTAAAAAAATACATGTGTGCCTGATGGTGCTGTGGATCAGCATGTGTGACATGTGGGAAGGGAGTGTCACGGCTGGAAGTGGGGGCTGCCATTCTTAAAAAGCGGTCCAGGAGCCAAGACCAAGGGAAGTGGTAGAGCTAGCTATGCAGATATACGAGGAGAGAGGGCCCTAGGTCTGGGAACAGCAAGGAGAAAGTCCTGGGGGTAAGTGGGGGGTGTCGGGAGGCCCATGTGGAAGAATGGAAGAGAAGGCTGGAATTTTCTACTCTGTGCGTCCCACAGAGACCTCACTTAACAAAGGTTTATGCAGCTTCTCTCTGTAGGGCACTGAGCTAGATACAGCAGGGCACAGGAAGGTAAATAAAGTGGTCCCTGCCCTTAGGTGCTCAGGTCTGGCTGGGACAGGACATATACATGGGAATAGCATGTGCCTGGCACGTTGTTGTTGCTCAGTAAGTATTTGTTCAATGACTAAGTAAATTTTATAAAAAAGAAGTATGCCCAAAACAGAGACGATAAATTGCTGTGTCAGAGATGGAAAAGATCATTGTAAGTGGAGGAAATCAGAAAATGTGTTATGGAGGAATAGCATTTTAGCTAAACCTGGAAGTTTTTTAGACATGGAGAAAGAGGTGAGAGAAACATCCATGTGGAGAAGACGATGCATGCAAAGGCACAGAGCAGGAAGTCGGGGCTCGGAGCAAGCCAGGGGCACAGTGAGTGCTTCACACCCCAAAGGCCCACCCGACCGCAGTGTGCAGCCTGGACTAGACGGGAGACAGACCCAGCCAGGAGAGGGTTTCAGTAGCCCAGGCAAGAAGGACTGTGTGACTGGCCGGGCGCGGAGGCTCACGCCTGGAATCCCGGCACTTTGGGAGGCCGAGGCGGGCGGATCACGAGGTCAGGAGATCGAGACCATCCTGGCTAACATGGTGAAACCCCGTCTCTACTAAAAATACAAAAAATTAGCCAGGTGTGGTGGCATGCACCTGTAGTCCCAGCTACTCGGGAGGCTGAGGCAGGAGAATCGCTTGAACCCAGGAGGCAGGGGTTGCAGTGAGCCAAGACCGCACCACTGCACTCCAGCCTGGGCTGGGCAACAGAGCGAGACTCCATCTCAAAAAAAAAAAGTGAAAAAAAAAAGAAGGACTGCGTGAACTAAGACAAAAGAGGAGCGCCTGGAGGGAAGGGAAGGGATTATGGAGATACAGTTCGTAGAACTTTGCATCCATCTTGGACGGGTGAGGCTGTGCACCCAGATGCCTGACAGGTCGGGGCTGGGATCGGAGGTGGGGGTGTGGGAGGAGCAGCAGGCTGGGGAGCAAGGTGGTGTTTGTATCAGAAAGCAGCTGGGCAGGAATTAACTGGGGTCCACGTGGAGATACCCTGCAGGCAGGAAGTCCTCTGCTGGCTTTGTATGCTTTTGCCGCAGAAGGAAAGCTGATCATAATCCTGGGGAAACCTGGGGTGTCCCCATGTCACAGCTGCAGGGTGACCTGTGTCACCCGAGCTGCAGTCTTTGTATGGCCGCAGCAGATGCTGTGCCCTGGGCAGGAGGTGTTGACTGAAGTGTGCGCCTCCCCTGGGAGGCAGTCATTCCAGGCTTGGGCTGAAGTGAGGACGGAAGAGAGAAGCTGCGGCCTCTGCATGCCACTCAGTCCCTCCCAGTGTCGCCTTTCCTCCTCATCTCTACCCAGACCTCCGCCCTGACCCCTTCCTCCAGCACAGGTGACTGGCGCTTGCTCCATGTCCTGTTGTGTCCCCCCACAACCCCCAGGAATGTGGTGTGACTCCAGAAAGTGAGAATCTCACCTTGTCGTCATCTGGAGCTATTGACCAGTCGTCTTGCACAGGGACGCCTCTGTCATCCACTATTTCCTCCCCAGAAGGTACATAAGGAGCGGGGAGTGGCTGCATGTCCTTCCCCCTTACCCAGCCCACAGTGTCCTGGTGCTTCTTCCGGGAAGGGACATGGGAGTGGCAAGCTAATACCTGTACTGCATGACAAGTAGGCCCTGGCTTGAGAGGGAAGAGGACTTGCTTTCCTACCATGGGATAGCAGGCTTGCCTGTAGCTAGTGGGGTGTTAATTCTCTCAGCCCCAGTCCTCCTGTAATGAGGTTTCCTTTAGCATTATGACAGGGAAAAGCAAATGTCTTGTCCCCAAGGCTGAGTTCTGAGCTCTAAAATATAAAGGAGCAGAATTTTGGAAAACCATAAACCTAAAACCACTTTTAGGGGAGGGCAAGATACGGCCACTTCACTCCTCAATGCCTGAATGCAGGGAGAGGGCTCTGCTCCCCAGAAAGCTTGCAGAAGCCCTGCCTGACCTCCAGGCTCCTTTCCCCATCCCCTGTCTCCAAAGGCCCTGCCAGCAGCAGCTTGGCCCAGTCTGTCATGTCCATGGCATCCTCCCAGATCAGCACTGACACCGTCTCCTCCATGTCTGGCTCCTACATCGCCCCTGGCACTGAAGAGGAGGGAGAGGCTCTCTCTTCCCCCCAGCCTGCCAGCAGGGCCCCCTCAGAAGAAGGAGAGGTAAGGGAAGGGACGGGAACCGCCCTGGCTTCTCTGTTCTTTGTGCACATGTCCAAAGTAGCATAACCAAAGGTCTGCCATGCATGGCTGCAAAGCCCCCAAAATGCCAGGAGTGCTGCAGAAAACAAGGCATTCCCTTAGGTCTGACCCTCCTATTTGACACCAATTTTGTTCTGAAGAAGGTTTGGGTTTGCTGTCACGAGACCTTTATGGAAGAGCCTGTAAAAACTGTGCTCTTCTGCAGGGGCTGCCAGCGGAGTCTCCAGACAGCAACTTTGCTGGCCTCCCAGCTGGAGAGCAGGATGCAGAGGTAACCCCAACAGCACGGAGTGGTGCCCCCTTCCCACAACCAGAGGAGTGCTGGCCTTGGCTGGGGATGCCAGTAAGGACCAGGGCCAGGAGGCTGCGCTGACGAAGCCTTCCTAGGGGACATGCCTAGATCAGTGAGAAGTGGAATGTGGGTAGAGATGAGAGCAGCTGCTCCCGGGCCTGTGGACTGTCCAGTGAGTGGGGCCACTGGTTCCCAGGGTCACTGGTGTGGAGTGAGTTCAAGAGGGAACTTTTCTGGCCAGCCCCTGGCCTTGAGAATATATTGTCCTTCATTCCACTAGTATTTACATGGAGGACTGTGTCACAGGTGCTCTACTGGTGCTAGGGCACATATAGACCTATACAGACCTGTGTGGTGAGGTTTCTGCCTACCCCCAGCCCACTGCACCCATCTAGGAGCCCAGTCTAGCAGGCAGACAGGACCACAGTTCAGTGTGAGACGTGCCCTGACCATGGTGTGCTGTGGAACGCCAGCTCACAGTGAGAGCCCTAGAACTCTTCTTGAGCCAACTCCTGTCAATGGAGGATCTGGATGGGGTTTGGGATCTTAAGGGATTTCTGAAAGTCTTATGATCTCACAATTTGCTCTTTCATTTAGTAATTTTTACTTCCACCTTAGAGAAACAGTATCAGCTAAACTATTAACAAGGGTGTTCCTGACAGACCATTCTGAGCATATATGGGTAATGTGGCTCGGATCTAATCCCTGTAGGCAGATGGTGCCTCTCCAAGCAAGATCTGCCTCTACTCAGCCTCTGAGGCATATTAAACACAGATGGAAATATATGCTATTAACGTAGGCCCTGGAGTTAGATACCAGTAGGATGATTAGTTCTGTCTTCAGCCAATCAGTTTACTCATTTTGCCGCTTCATAGACTCACAGGGCCTTCCTTCTGTCCTAGGGAAATGATGTTATAGAGGAAGAGGATGGATCACCCACGCAGGAAGGTGGTAAAAGATCTGGTCCTTTACTTCCTTTAGTTATCTTTCTTTCCTGGGTATTCTTTAAGGGGTAAAGAAAAGGGTACCGGTATGACGTGGTGGCGCTGCTCAGTTGTATGGGGCTGTTAGAGGAAAGATCGTCTTCTTAATGGTACATCAAAGCAAGCAGAGCATTGATGATCTCTATGACCTCCTCAGCTCTTTCTGGGCCTCAGAGCCATGGATGTCAGGTGCGGGTGCTGCAGGAGATACATACAGGTCCATATTTACCTGAAGTAGATTCGGAAGCTCTCTAAGCAGCTCCCATCATCAGCCTCCCTGCTGCAGGTTTTCAGTGGAGCCCCACAGAGCTGTTCTGGCATTCTCAGTGTTGAATAGCAGTAGCCATTTCTTCCACTGGGGGGAGGGGGAGGACTATTTGGCAGCTGGTCAGGTCTTGCTTTAGTTAGGAATATGGTCAACATTACTGTAAAAGAGGACTCTCGGGCCGGCAGACGTACTAAAGGCGTGGTCAAGGAGACAGGTCCAAGTTTCTTCAGGAGCTCAGCTTAGGCAAGTATTTTAAAGGCTGTTGTAATAATCTTCCTTTACCATAATTCAGGCCTCAGTTACATCTTCAGTTGGAAGAATGTTGTTTCCAGTAAGGCTAGAAGAGAAGGAATGGCCCACAGAGCAAGGACGTAGGAGGAAGAAGGAGGGCAGGAAAGTCTCCCCCAAGCAGGGAACACTATGTGTTCCAGGAGCCAGACTCTTCCCCCTGCTGCTCTGAGGCCCCTCCCTCAGGGGCACCTCCAGAGCACACGTATGCCCGGCCTGGATACAGACGCACCAGCAGATGTCATCCTATTGCTTCTGCTTTAGCGCTGGCCATCGCTTGGGAAGTGTTGGAGGTGTGCATGTGGACCTGACGGCTCCCACCTGGCCAAGGAGCTTGAAGGAGAAGGTGGCCGCCAAGGCTGCGTCCGTCAGCTCTTGCACCCCAGCCCAAGGGGGTTTGGAGTGTCACCAACTCAGTTGATGACTTCAGTGCTTGAGGCTCTAGAGTTACCCCTTGTGATTGTTTCTCCCATAGAATATTTGCTTCTAAGAAGTGCGGTGTGGCCAGGTTGTTTCACCGACATTCCCTAGCCCGTGGAATGGATTTGTTTTCTTCTCTCTGTTTCACTGAGAAAAAAAGAGGGGAGCTTGATAAAAAACAACTTTTAAAACTTTTCCCTTCCCTTCTTACATGTCTGTAGATTTCTGGTTAGCCACTTAAAACACACTGAAAATAACAACTCAGGTCTCATAAAGAAGGAAATCATAATTTTGTGAATGTAGTCATTCTGATTTGATATGCAAAATTATGGACCCTAAGACCTTTAGTTGTTGTTTCATGTACTTATTTTGCAGAGCCATGTGGTCCTAAACACACCCAGCTCACACCCAAGGCAGATGCAGGCATGAGCAGGATGACCTCCCCACTGGCGCTCCCTAGCTTCTGCTGGTTGGTCGCAGCCTCACCAGCCTGGCCTCTGCCCAGCTCTGCTCGCTCTAGTATTCTCTGTTGAGCCTGTGTCCCACAGCCCTCCTCAGTGATCTGACTTGTTAGGGAGCAGCAGACAGAAAGGGCTCTAGGGAAACAGCAGGAAAGCGCGAGAACACAGACATGCCCACACAACGTGATTCCTTTCTTGTCCACTCTTTATCCGCTTAATTATTGTCTTTTTTTTAACATATGATTTGATTTTTTTTGTCTCCATCCTTAAGATTTTTATTTTAAGGACAGCAACGCAGAGAAAAACACAGCCAGCCCCTCTCTAACTGCATTAACTCCGTTACAGGCCAGAGGACGTGCGCATTTCTAGGTATGGAGTGTGACAATAACAATGACTTTGACATCGCAAGCGTGAAAGCACTGGACAATAAGCTGTGCTCTGAGGTCTGCTTACCTGGTGAGTGTCAGTCTGCTGAACATGAACTTGGTGGGAGACGATCCCTGTGCTCTTACCCCTGCTCTCACCCTGGTACACCCATCTCCTGCCCTGCAGTTCCTGCCAAGAAGGCCTGGGGTGTGCTAGTGCTGGAGACCAGTTGCTGAAGGAAGTAAGAAGGCCTGGGAGAGTCCTTGAGCTTTTTGCAATGAGCCAGCCTTGCTCTGAGTGAGAGTATTAGGATAGGAAGAAAGAAGCAAAACTTAACGATTTGGCCTAACCACTCTCCACCCCACATCACGGCCTTGCAGGTACCATGTCAGGTGGCCCAGTCTTGTTTTCATCAACAGGAAGTTTGAGCAGACAGACACCACCTCTCTACGAAGGTCTTGGAAGGATTGCCTGCGCCCTTTAAAAGTGAAGCTGTAGCTCCTCAGAAGAAATGTGTTTCAGCTAGGATCAGAGAGGAATGTGAAAGCCAGCGTTTCAGAGGCTAGGGAATGGCTCTGTGATCCAGTGAGCTTTGGGTTACCAGTTGCATTGTACATACTACTGGATTTGGATCCCAACGGAGAGGTCGAGTTAGGGCTCCTCTATGCTCCCTGGAGCTGTAACTTCACAGGTGATCAGGTTGTCAGAGTGCCCCTTATTCCTCCTCATGATGCTAAACCAAATCTAGGTAATGCCTTACACAGGATCATGTTAATCACACTTTAAGCACCGAGTGCCTTTTTAGTTAGTGTGCCCGTTCAAGGGCTCCAAAAACTGCTTTTCTAAAATCCACATCTTGCCCAAGCGGACTGAGTCAAATGTCCCCTCCGGGTTTCACGACAGAAATTGTCCTTCACATCGTGTTGTTTGAATCCTCTTAAACATTCCCTGAACGAAGACTCACTTCAGCTTCAGAACAGCCACATCACGGGTCCAGTGCTTTACTCGCTCAGCGACGTGGCTGGAGGCGTTGGAGCCACACGACCTCTGTGGTTGCCACTCTCCATCAGCCTGTGCAAGACACAGTCCAAGCACACTCTGGCCCCACACAAGCTTGTGGCAGGGGAAGCTGGAATTCTCTAGAGATACTTTCTCCAGCCCTTCAAAGGGCTTTCTTGAGTCATTTTCTATTTAGTTTGTTCTAAAGACACTGCCCAGGCCTCTTCATTTTCAGTGAGACCAAAAGAGGCAGTATCAGTTCCCCTGCTTCTCCTGCGCAGGCCCAGGGAAGACCCCCTTCCTGCCTGAGCGTGGAGGAGGGAGCGTTGACCACGGGGCCAGCCTCCTGCCAGTTAGGCCTGGACTGGAGCTGCTGGGGCCCAGGGGCTGCTTCACTCCCTGCCTTCCCGCTCCTGGCCTGGCTTCCATCTGTCCATTTGTGTTTCACATCATTTTGCCAAATGTAAATCTGTCTGTCTGGTTTGTTTATTTTCTAAACTCATGTATGTTCTCTAGACTTGGTATGAAAGTTCGTGTTCACTCCGTGCCAGCACTGTCCTCCCTGCCAATGCTTCACCCCGTCCAAGCTTGCTGGGCACGCACACACCTGGGAGGCGCTCGCGTGGGGCTGTGAGCAAGGCTCCCATTCCTAATTGGCAAGGGCCTGTATCCAGGGTACTAAGAGCTTATGAGAAAAAATATTTGTGAGACTGTATTAATTTCTGCTTTACAAAAATGGGAATGCTTCTGTGGCAAGGGCTATGGAAAGGATTTGGTTTTAACTGGCATCCTCTGTCAGTAGTTGGGTGAAGATGATGTCTCTTTCTTAGCTGTGCCCTGTGTCTGAGGCAGCTCTACCCTGGTCAACCCCTTACTTGGCTTTAGGAGAGAAATTTAGGTTCCTGCCTCCCTCAAGGGACTCCCTTACCCACCCCTATTTTTTTGGCAGAGGGAGCTGCTGGGAGTTGTTTTAGCCAACAGTGCTAGTGGAAACAGCTTATTCCTCCTCTTCCTGACTCCCTCCAGCTAACCTGCTTGTTGATAGTTACTCCATGGAATCATGGGAGGAGAGTGAGGACTGGGAGGAAGAGAGAAGCCCTGGGGTTCCCTAGGGTGACTTGTGGAGCCAGCTATTTAGAGATTATGGTGGGCTCACAGTTTGTGCCAGACACGAAATCAAATGCCTGTGTTGGCTCTCGGGAGAGGGCCTCAGGTATAGGCATGTTAAGTGTCCCATTATATCCTCACCAGAGGCCTCAAGATGAGGGGCTGTATTCAATATACTAAGATTTTCCAAGAAAAAAAATATGTGTGAGACTATATGGATTTCTGTTCAGTAAAAATGGGAACGCTTCTGTGGCAAGGACAATGGAAAGGATTTGAGTTTTTTTGTTTTTGTTTTTTGTTTTTTTTGAGACAGAGTCTCGCTCTGTCGCCCAGCCTGGAGTGCAGTGGCGCGATCTCGGCTCACTGCAACCTCCACCTCCTGGGGTCAAGTGATTCTCTGCCTCAGCCTCCTGAGTAGCTGGGATTACAGGCGCCCGCCACCACGCCCGGCTAATTTTTGTATTTTTAGCAGAGACGGAGTTTTACCATGTTGGTCAGGGTGGTCTTGAACTCCTGACCTCAGGTGATCTGCCCACCTCGGCCCCCCAAAGTGCTGAGATTACAGGTGTGAGCCACTGCGCCCAGCCATGATTTGTTTTTAATTGGCATCCTTGGTCAGTAGTTGGGTGAAAGTGATGTCTCAAAACCTCTGGTTGCCTTTTTACTTGAGAGGGAAAAGCACGTCTCTCTAGGCAGAATGTGTCTCTGCTTCCACTGTTAGCATCACACTGGCAGAAAATTTGCTGGAGAACTCTCTGGAAGTGTCTGCTAGGTTACAGACAGGAATATCCACTTTGGTAGGTCCCGTGGAATAAATAGGCGTCTTCACACTCAGCTGTAAGTTCAGCTTTCTATCCTGGGGCTGAGATACCACTGGCCGTCTTGGCGCCTCATTGCTCCTGTGGCCAGCTCTCTCCCGTCAGAACAGCTGCACATGCGCCTGGTCTCTGCTTGAGTCTATTTCCCTCTTCAAGTGGGTGCCACTCCCTTCATGGAGGGCCAGTGGGAAATGGAGCCCGGGCTGCATCCCATGTTGTCCCTGTGCCCTGCACCTTGCTCACGGGCTCTGCCAGGAGACCTGGCTGGTGGCAAGGACTGCGAACCTTGTTGGTTCCCGTCCTCACCACTCTGATAACACTGGTGAGGGGCTTAGAGGCACTTTTGTCATTCTAGCCCTCTCCCCCTAAGAAGCTTCTGGGTCTTCCAGGGCCCCAAGACCAAGGGTGGATTTTTGGTTTTTCACTGGGGAGTAGTGTGTTCTGAGATTCCTTCTGAAAGGAATAAAGGAAGGAGATCTCAGTTGATGGGTGTGACAGGTTGTAGTAAGACTAGAATTGCGAGACCACGCTAAGCAGATGTGGCTCTGAGGAGTTTGGCAGACTGTTACATAGGTGGCAGGAAAGTCATCGTGGCAAGTGATAGTTCTATGAAGGCCCTGGGGTAGTCAGTGATGGAAAAAGGCAAAGATAGGCCGGGCACAGTGGCTCACGCCTGTAATCCCAGCATTTTGAGAGGCTGAGGCAAGTGATCACTTGAGCCCAGGAGCTGGAGACCAGCCTGGGCAATGCAGTGAAACCCCATCTCTACAGAAAATACAAAAATTAGCCAGGCTTGGTGGCGTACGCCTGTGGTCCCAGATACTCGAGAGGCTGAGGCAGGAGGATCAATTGAGCCTGGGAACCGGAGGTTGCAGGGAGTCAAGATCACACCACTGCACTCCAGCCTGGGAGGCTGAGATGGAGTGAGACTCCATCTTAAAAAAAAAAAAAAAAGGCGGGGCACGGTGGCTCCCGCCTGTAATCCCAGCACTTTGGGAGGCCGAGATGGGCGGATCACAAGATCAGGAGATCGAGACCATCCTGGCTAACACGGTGAAACCTCATCTCTACCAAAAATACAAAAAAATTAGCCAGGCGTGGTGGCGAGTGCCTGTAGTCCCAGCTACTCAGGAGGCTGCGACAGTAGAATGGCGTGAACCCGGGAGGCGGAGCTTGCAGTGAGCCGAGGTCACGCCACTGCACTCCAGCCTGGGCGACAGAGCAAGAGACCCTGTCTCAAAAAAAAAAAAAAAAAAAAAGGCAAAGATAATTTGGATCTTTTTAGTGGAAATACCAATACAATTTTTAAATGACTGCATTCCACTGGAATGAGCATATCCAGTGAAATCTAAAAAGGTTTGTGGAGACCTGAAATTGAATTCTCTCCTCTTTTTGAGAGGCCTCAAAACTCAAGACTAAGATGCTACTTGCACTTTGTGGGCACTAAGGAAAATTTCAAACTAAGTTTCTCCTTCCCCTGGAGAGCAACTCTACAAAGACAGTTGAACTATTACAGTCCTTATATTTAATAAGTGGCTTTGTAGAGGCAGGAAAGGGGCTTGTGAAATTTTCCTGAATGTACTCCCAAAATCTACCTCTAGAGGTCTCTTCATACTCCCATTTTTGATATCCCAAAAACTGAGACATGAACGGAAAGCACCTTTATCCATTTCCCTCTAAGGATTTTGAATCTCTGTGCTCCATTTTTTGGCTGGAGGGGCCTGGATTCAGCCAGACAAAATGGCGGCACCTGCTCTGGAAGGCCCCTCAGCACCCACACTGACTTTCCGCAGACAGGCTTACTGTGAGAATGAGGCTGAGGAGGGAGCAGCAGCAGGGCTTTGCCGTGGGCCCCTCAGGGTCCTTGCCAGGGGAAGGTGCCCCCCGCTTGCTGCCGGATCTCCCTCACCACAGAGCATACCAAGAGGCCAGGAGAGCAGACTTCAGATCTGATTCTTGAGTCTTCCACAAGTAACCGATGTTCTGCCCTGGCTAAGGCTTCTATAGAATAGAAGGTTGGAGTTTGTAGCAAGGACTTCTGTGAATTCAGAGTCAGGACAGCTCTCTGGGCAGCCTCTCCGGCCCAGCATTCCATGGCTTGCTGGTGGTGGCGGCGGCGGTGGTGGTGGTGGTGCTGCTGTTTTTATTTGTGCATGCATGTGTGTCTTCTCTCTTGTTTACCATTTGCTTTTGGTCTTTCCTACTGAACAGCCGCAGCTCCGGAGTCCTGCCCCATAAACATTGAGGAATAGGTATGAGATCTACCAAATTATATAAATGAACAAACAGCTCATTTTATTTTGGGTTCTTCACTTTAAAGGCAATATTAATATTGCCTTATATTTATCCTGCCACACTTAGACACATAGTGCCACCATTAGAGGTGAAAAAAAACACCTTGACTCATGTCCCAGGCTCCAGTACCCACCCCCAGGGAGTAAAGATCCCAAATTCAGTTTGGATATGAGAGAGAGATCCAAGACTCTCCTGTTCTCACTGTTCCCCTGGGGTCAAGCACCAGAGACTGTTACTAGAGCCTGAGGTGGATTAGCACACCAAGGCATTGATGGAAATAAGCCATTTATACCTGTTGACTCTACATGCCATTAAAGGGTTTCATGTCCTGGGCTGGCCTGAGGCTGACCCTGGACACTTGTGAGTGGCCTCTCTCAACCTCACGGCCACACTCTACAGTTGGTCGGCCTTGTCCGCTGAACAGGTCCTCCTATGGGTCAGGTGTTGTGCTGGGCTCTGGACTGCAACAGTGAAGAAGTCACGGCCCCTGCCCAGGAGGAGCTTTGTCCCATGGAGGAGCTCCAGGACCTAGCGGTTTCTGCCATGTGACGTGTGCGTGGAGCAGTAGTTCAGGCTGCAGGGAGCACTTAGGAGCACACTGGGCCTCCCCCGGCCAGAGATGCCTCGTGAGGGGAGGCCACTGGGAGACACGGCTGGGGAGGCCCACAGGGTCCGGAGGACGACATGCCTTCCCTACCCCAGGGAGCCAGGGGACCCTGAGAGTGGAGGCAGCCGAGGCCCAAGGCAGGAGCGCCCTAGCCTCACTGGAGGGAGGGCACTGGAGGGAGGAGCTCATCTGTGGGCAGGAGATGAAGAGGACTCCCAGGGGAGAGGCGAGATGGCCTGGAGGAGCCTGAGCACAGGCTATTCTAGGAGTCAGATACTCACCAACGCTCGCATTCTCTCATCTAGTCCTCACAGCAAGCCCGTGAGGTCAGTACGCATGTCCCATCTGATGGGTGAGAAAACCAAGGCCCACAGTAAACTGATGTGCCCAAGGTCACACTGCTGTAAACTGGGAGTGGAGCCCAGGTTAGCGTGACTACAGATGGAGTCACAACACGGCCAGGAAGTGAGCCCACAGGAGGCTGTGGAGGATTGGATCCACAGCACAAGGGAAAGAGAAGCACCAAGAATGGGTTTCCAGACAGGCGCTGGCACTCCTCATGTGGGGGCAGCAGCAGATTTGGGGAGCGGATGCGTTTAGTGATGGTATCTGTGGGACCCCGAGGCTCTTGGGCTGGTGTCTGCTGGGCTGATGGCACCAGCTAGTAGCAAACCTCAACAGCTGCGTAGGTGCAGGAGGAGAGGAAAACGGCAGGTGACGGGGACTGGAGCCTCACACTGTCCTCCCTCCAGGCAGCCTTCCATCCCAGGAACCCTGCTGGGTGGCCAGTCCTTTCCTGCCCCGCCTGGGCCCCCACAGAAAACATTAACACTCGGCCAGAACGAACAGTCTTCTCACTTCCCCCCACCTCTTCCTGCCCCAATGAAAATAGCTCAGCAAGGCCCAATTTCCTTTTCCTGTCTATTGTAACATATAGGCAAACTTTAAAACCAAGTAATTAAAATACAAAAGTGGATCCCAGGGTAAGTTCGCAAAACAAGGAACATCTTTCATGTCCCTCCCTGTCCGGGAGCCACAGTGGCAGTGACTGTACCTAGCCCAGGGGGCAGGAGCAGGCTCTGCACCTGTCAGCACCTGCTTCTCTCCGTTCTCACACACGAGTGCTGTGGCTCGCACCGTCATCGGAGTCTCAGGTGACACGCATCCTGCTCCTTCCGTGCCGGCTCCTGGGCTGCCCTGCTGGAGACACCATCTGGATTTGGCCAAAGGTCTGGCTCCTGTAATGTTCATTTTCTCTTCCCCAGGTGCCTGGCAGGCTGATGACAATGCCGTCAGTCGGAATGCCCAGCGCCGGCGCTTGTCATCCAGCAGCCTGGAGGACTCTGAGACGAGGCCCTGTGTGTGGGGCCCTTTGGCTGTCTGAGCCCCAGCCTCTGCACTTGGGCTCCCCTCCTGCCCTGCATTCCATCCATCCTCACTCAGCTGCTGCCTACTGGGCATCCTCAGCAAGATGCTGGAGACTTTTTACCCTCCTGTGACAGCTGTTACAACCTGTAACCACAATCCCTCACCTCTCAGAGGGAACTGGAACCCTCCTTTCTCCGTGTGACCTAAAGCCACTCAATGAACTGCAGCTCACGAGACCTTTTGCAGGGACTCTGGAATGTCCTCACGGTATATTGATGTTCAGGTGGAGCTGGGGTCCATGGGCTAATTTCTTACACATCTTTTTTCTCCTTAGGGGGTAGAACAAGAAGGCTTAGAGTTTGGCAGCTTTGTTACAAACATCCCTCTGGCATTTCCTGGTCTCTGGCACATCATAACCAATTGGAAACCTGCAGTTTGGGGTAGGGCTGGAGGATCGCTCCTGTGGAAAGGGAGAGCCATACTGCACGGACGTAGCGTTTCCCTCTACAAGCACTAGGAGCACCTTTCTCAAGGACAAGAAATGGTAGCAACCAAAAGGTTGGTTGAAGGAAACAATCCTTCCTTCTGGTGGCAGAGCCAGTCTTCTGGGCCTCACATGCCTGTGCGGTTAAGAAGGAGCTCTTGGCCGGGCGCGGTGGCTCACGCCTGTAATCCCAGCACTTTGGGAGGCCGAGGCGGGTGGATCATGAGATCAGGAGATCGAGACCATCCTGGCTAACACGGCGAAACCCCGTCTCTACTAAAAATACAAAAAATTAGCTGGGCATGGTTGCAGGCGCCTGTAGTCCCAGCTACTTGGGAGGCTGAGGCAGGAGAATGGCCTGAACCCGGGAGGCGGAGCTTGCAGTGAGCCGAGATCGCGCCAATGCACTCCAGCCTGGGCGACAGAGAAAAAAAAAAAAAAAGAAGGAGCCCTTGAATCTGAGAATCCCCCAGTTAAGATGATTTCCCTTAAGGAGCATTTCTCCTGATCAGGTGCATTCAGGGAGGCCTGCAACTCCATCCTAAGGTGACATTTCAAGAAACACATGTGTTGACCACCTCTGTGTGCCAAGCACTGGGTGAGGAGTGGTCGTATATTACCATAATTCATCCTCACTCAATTGGGAGGTGGCATTCTTGTCCCTGTTGCCCCCATCTCTACCCCCTTTTGTTAATGGTTGAGAGAAATGTGGACCAGTGATTCTCAGTTTGGTGCCCAGGTCCCCAAAGGAAGTGATGGAGAGCCTTGAGCTAAGTTCAGGCAGCAGCATGTGGCCAGCAGCAGTGTGCTGGGAGCAGAGGTTGGAATCAGGGCTCAGGGCCTTCACTTCAAGGGCCCTCCCCAGCTACTCGGGAGGCTGAGGCAGGAGAATCGCTTGAACTCAGGAGGTGGAGGTTGCGGTGAGCCAAGATCGTGCCACTGCACTCCAGCCTGGGCTACAAGATTGAAAAGATCGAAACTCTGTCTCAAACAAAAAAAAAAAAATTCAAGGCTGTTTCCAAGGCAGCCTCAAAAAGAGCCTGGTGCCCAGGGGGTCCTTCGTTTCTGTGTGGCTGCAGAGGCCAGGAGTGCAGTGACTGTCTCACTGCCTAGTGGTTGTGGCTCACATCCTGCCCTGATGGAGAGGGGGGCCTGTCGTCCAACCCTCTCTGAAAAACTGCAGTAGACTTTACCATTTCAGGCCCCACCTAATGTTCTTTCCTTCCTTCCCCCTACATTCTTCCCGCCCCTTTCATAGTTAAGATGCATAAGCTGAGCAATAACCCCACTTCCTGATTTCCCTGAAATATGAGCCCAGAAGCAGCAGGTGACAGGGAGCTTCCCTTACCCTGGGGTGGTGGCACACAGACCACCTCCTGTCCTGTCCCCTGCAGGTAGTATTCACAGTGTGGTGTTACCTGGGAGGAGGGAGGAAGGAGCTGAGATGAAGGAGATTCAGGTAAACAGTAGCCACAGTGGCCAGGACCCCCTTCCTGAGGATCCCTGTCCTTCCTCGCAGCAGGTGCTTAGTCCTCTCCTAGGGAGAAGCACGGAAAGATTCCTCAAGGCCTCAGTCCCATGTCCAAGGCATACCTAGGTTAGAAATGTCCTTTACTTGTTTCTCAGTTACTATTTCTCCTCTTCCTCCCTCCCCCTGCCTTCTCTTGGCTGTCATTTAGCTCTCTGGCCCACAGAAATACTCCATCCAAGGAGCTGGTCCTCAGTCAGCCTGATGAGGACAGGTCAGTGGCCAACCCTTTTGCCCCAGTCCTTCATCTGGAGACAGTCACATAGTCACGTCAACAGTTCACCCAAAGAGAAGAGGTGGGGCCTGGCTTCTCCCACAGGGCACAGCCTAACTATGGAGACCCAGGGCTCCTTCCTGCTGCACTAGGCCTGTGCTCTCCCTATTGCCTTCAGGTGGTGTGATCCCGGCTTCCTCACAGAGCCCTTTTTTCCTTCTGCCCAGCTCCATCCCACCAGAGTTTCTACCCCCGCTGAGGCATCTCCTGGGCACAGACCACCACACTCTAAGCCGGCTGGCCTGGGAGTTAGGGTCCTGCCCACCTCACCTGGGAGTTGGGGTCCTGCCCACCTGGAGTTTAGCACGCTGGTCGCTCACTTTGCTTTGGTCTGCACACCTGGTGTGTGCATGTGTATACTGCTTGTGCCATCTGTGTACCCCTCTCCCTGGAGTACACTTGTGGTCACACTACAGTGGGGACATCAAGAATGCAATATTTATGGATTGCTGCATGATTCTTAAAAATGAATAAAACTGTTTACAAGGGAAGGAGAGCTAACTGCAAAGTGAGCTTATCTGTGAAAGTTTCTGTCTGACTTTCGCCAGCACTCTTTAATACTTTTACTCAAGAGGATCTGGAGTTGGAGGAGTGGGAGAGGCAAGGGCTAGGGAAAGGCATGTTGGCGGGGGAGTGATGCGCCATAGCCGGGCCTTCTTCATGGTCTGGGCACCAGCCTCCCCGACCCCGGCTCTCCAGCTCCTGGGCAGAGGCGGGGTAATCAACCCAGCCCCCACCACTGCCTCTGCAGCCGCCTTAAACCGGAGAACGTCCAACCCTGCAGCTCCTCAATAATTAAAGAGCAGGAAAGCTGGTGACAGGAGGGAGGCCAGGGGAAGGGAGGAGGAAGGGACACAGTCCCCAGAGTCCCTCTACTCTTAATCCCTGTGACTTAAAGGTTGGTGAAATTAATTGGGCAAATGACCCCGCTAGGAGAATTTGACAAGTCCATGACTTCAGAGTTTTACCCACGGGCTCTGCTTCATCAGCTGTCTCCAGAGGAGTGAGTGCGCTTCTGCAGAAGCCTCTGGAATGTCAGCTTCCTGGAACCTCGAGGATACGGGTGGGGAAGGAGCTGCTTACTGGGACACACTGGATTACCCTACCCCCTTGGTGTGTCTGCCGCCTCTGTGGATGTAAGCGGCAGGTGGCATCGGAAAGTCAGACCTGCCTGGGACACCAGAGAAAGACCCTAAGAGTCGGGGGAGAGGGAAAGGCTGCAGAAACATGAGAAAGTGCCACTCGTAGCGGAGAGGAAAGAAAACCTCAAGGATACGGTTCCCGAGCCTGAGCCCGCTCCCAGCCTTAGCCCCCCAACCCCAGGCTCCGTCCCAGGAGCAGTCGACGCCTCAAAGCGTACGGGACAGGAAGGGGGTGGGGGCGAGAGTCTTGGTTCCCCAGAACGAACGGATCCATAGCGGTTCCCGGTGCCGCAGGCCGCGCGCTTCTCCGACCCCAGCGCGGGGCCCTCGGGCGGGAATGAGCCGAGCCGGGACTTAGCGGCGGGTAGGGGGTTGGGTGGCGCGGGAGAGGGCGGCAGAAGGAGGGAGTTCGAAGAGAGTTGCCGCCAGGGAGAGTGGCAAGTGCCCGCGGTCTCCTTGGAGACGTGCTGGCCAATGGCAGAGGCGGAAGCTGTTTATGGGGGCGGAGCGTCGCCATGGCAGCAGGAGAAGCCTTTGGAGCGGCTACTTAATGCCGGTCCCGGGGCCGCGGTAGCTCAGAGAAGCGCCGTCGGGCGGGGGGGCGGCAAGAGGCGCTGGCAGGGCCCCCGAGCTGGGGGCAGAGAGCCGCAGGGGGTGGGAGCAACTTCTTCCAGAACCTTCCTCTGGCCCGGGCTGCGCTCTGAGCCAGGTAAGGGATGGGGAGGGCTGCAGGCCAGGGGGAAGGGTGGGCAACGGTACCAACCCGCTCTCTCATTCGTCCTTAACGGAAGTGGTGGGCCCAGGGACTGACATCGGAGAAGTCTGGGGGAAACTCGCCTCCTGCCCCCCGTTACTGTTCCGTCCCCTTCCTTCCCAATGATCCCCTATCATAATATTCCTTTTCAAGGATCAGAGGACCTCCACCGCCCCCGCCCCGTCGTACCGCCCTCCCAAACTTCTCGCCCCACTTCCATTTGTTGCGAGGAGGAAGGGGGTCCTGATTTCCTGCTCTTCGGGAGAAAAGGATAGCCTCGGATGCCCCTACCCTCTTCATTTGGCTAATAAAACCTCGAAGAGGAAAGGAAGAGGGAGGCAGATCTGATGGGGGTGGGACCCCAGGGCCTTGCTTCTGTTTCCCATACCTCGGCACTAAAAGATCCTCCCCAGCTGCGGGGATGATGTTAGAGAGGGCGTCCCCGTACACACACTGTCCCCTCGGGGGTGGGGTAGTGCTCAGCTCCCACCGTGGTCCTCGCAGGCACCACATACTTATTCGGAGGAGGCGCCCCCGGGGTCGCGAGATGGAAGCGCGCGTCCGGGAGGCCGTGTAACGGGAGCTGCGGGACTCAGCGGGCCAGAGAGCGCGGCGGGCCACCCCCGGCTCAGCCCGTGGATGCTGACCGCCCCCTCGGAGAGTCCCCGCAGACATGGCGGAGAGCTGGCTGCGCCTCTCGGGAGCCGGGCCGGCGGAGGAGGCCGGGCCGGAGGGCGGCCTGGAGGAGCCCGACGCCCTGGATGACAGCCTGACCAGCCTGCAGTGGCTGCAGGAATTCTCCATTCTCAACGCCAAGGCCCCCGCCCTGCCCCCGGGGGGCACCGACCCCCACGGCTACCACCAGGTGCCAGGTTCAGCGGCGCCCGGGTCCCCCCTGGCGGCCGACCCCGCCTGCCTGGGGCAGCCACACACGCCGGGCAAGCCCACGTCGTCGTGCACGTCGCGGAGCGCGCCCCCGGGGCTGCAGGCCCCACCCCCCGACGACGTGGACTACGCCACCAATCCGCACGTGAAGCCTCCCTACTCGTATGCCACGCTCATCTGCATGGCCATGCAGGCCAGCAAGGCCACCAAGATCACCCTGTCGGCCATCTACAAGTGGATCACGGACAACTTCTGCTACTTCCGCCACGCAGATCCCACCTGGCAGGTAGAGGAGGCACGGGCGGCGGCCGCTCCCTCCCCATTCCCTCCTCGCTCCCCACGCTGCACTGGATTCATATCCCAAATCTGCAGGCCAAGTAGGCTCTGCGGTGCGGCCAGCGCCCCAGAAGGGAGCCCTGCAAAGGAGCCCAGTTCTTGCAACTGCCCCTCCTTTGACTTCCAGAGAGAGAGAGAGAGAGAAGGGAGAATGTCCAGAGGTGGAGGGCTTTAGGGGTGCAGAGGCTGAGATTCAAGGGGAAATAACCTGCCATTCATCCAGCAGGCCCAGGCCAAAGACCAGGGCTAGACTCTGCGTGGACAGAATCTCCTTGGGGAGAGCGATGAACTGAAGGCGCATTCTTGTCCCAAGTCCTAGAATTCCTAGACACTGCCCTGCCCCGGGATGGTTTGTCGGGGCCGGGAGTCAGAAACGGAAACTGGAACGTGGCCTCCCTGCCAGGCTCTACGTCCTGCCCTTTTGCAGTTGGCTTGGGGAGGGTGGAATGGAAGGGGTGCCTTAGCATGTGAGGGCCAGGTGTGTCCCAATGGAGGGTGGAGGGGGTAAGGGGCCTTCCTAAAGCTGCTGTCCCAGCCCCCCACCTCAACCTCTGCTCAGTTTCCTGCCTCCAACCCCCGCTGTCAGCCAACCTCCCTGGGGGGACAATTACCTGAGCCAGGTGCCTTCCACTGGGGCTCTGCCTACCACACTCACTTCGTGTTCCACGTCTCTGGAACCAGGCACTGAGCAGCCAAGGGGCCCAGGCCACCATGTAAACATCCCAGCCTTGCTGCCGGGCATTATCCACCCACCTGCCCTGCCGTCCCAGCCCAGGACCCCTGTCCCCCAGCAGGCTTTGGACAAGATTAAGCACCTAAGAATGGACAAGGCAGGAGGATGGTGGATTTGAGGCTGGGTAGGCAGTGCCCTAAGAGTCTTCAGCCATCACCATCAAGGGCTAGTTGGAGTCAGGGGCCCCCCAAGGACGCCCAGACTCTTCCCTGAAGCACCCAAAGCGGGCAGGCCACAGGACCGCAGTCCCAAGCCATTTCCAATGCCCCTGACCCTAGAGCAGGGTCATTTGCAGCTGCACCGAAAAAGCAGAGACCCTCAGCCCCACCCTACCCTAAGCCTGTGCAGCTGCGCTTCGAGAAACGGGCCCCAGGAATGAGTGCTATGCTCTTAGCTCTTGGCTGGGTAATAATCAACTGAGCCTGGAGTGGGGGGAGGGGGCCGTGGGGGGTGAAGGCCCAGGCCAGCAGCCGGCTCAACAAACAAGGAAAGTCATCAGATCCCCCACCTCTCATCCCTGCGCGCTCTCTCTCTCTCTCCCCCTTCCTCTCCACTCTCGGCTGCCCAGCCCCCTCCCTGGACCCACTCACTCACAGAGAGGGCCAGCCAGGCCCAGGCAAAGGGAGACGGTGGTCCAGGCCCTGGGGGAGCCGAGGGCTTTGGCCAGAGGCTGTCAGCGGCAGGGTGAGGGAGGGAGGGCAGGCGACGGGGGTGGCACCGAGAGCCACCCTGCGGCTCAGAGCTCGGATGACTGAGCAGGCAGATATCCCGGCAACAGGGAACAAAAGCCTCCGACAGCACTCCGGGCTCCCAGTGCCCTGTGGCTGGTGTCCCAGAGCTGCAGCCGCCTGGGCAGACCAGTGTGTCTGTCCCCCCCTCCTCTCCCCTGCCAGAGAAAAGATGGGGGGTGCGCAGCAGCGCCAGGTGCCATTTCATCTCCCCGTCCCCACTGACCTAGCGGTTCCTCTCTCTCTTGCTCTCTCCCTGCACCCAGAATTCAATCCGCCACAACCTGTCTCTGAACAAGTGCTTCATCAAAGTGCCTCGGGAGAAGGACGAACCAGGCAAGGGGGGCTTCTGGCGCATTGACCCCCAGTACGCGGAGCGGCTACTGAGCGGCGCTTTCAAGAAGCGGCGACTGCCCCCTGTCCACATCCACCCAGCCTTTGCCCGCCAGGCCGCGCAGGAGCCCAGCGCTGTCCCCCGGGCCGGGCCGCTGACGGTGAATACCGAGGCCCAGCAGCTGCTGCGGGAGTTCGAGGAGGCCACCGGGGAGGCGGGCTGGGGTGCAGGCGAGGGCAGGCTGGGGCATAAGCGCAAACAGCCGCTGCCCAAGCGGGTGGCCAAGGTCCCGCGGCCCCCCAGCACCCTGCTGCCCACCCCGGAGGAGCAGGGTGAGCTGGAACCCCTCAAAGGCAACTTTGACTGGGAGGCCATCTTCGACGCCGGCACTCTGGGCGGGGAGCTGGGTGCACTGGAGGCCCTGGAGCTGAGCCCGCCTCTGAGCCCCGCCTCACACGTGGACGTGGACCTCACCATCCACGGCCGCCACATCGACTGCCCTGCCACCTGGGGGCCTTCGGTGGAGCAGGCTGCCGACAGCCTGGACTTCGATGAGACCTTCCTGGCCACATCCTTCCTGCAGCACCCCTGGGACGAGAGCGGCAGTGGCTGCCTGCCCCCGGAGCCCCTCTTTGAGGCTGGGGATGCCACCCTGGCCTCCGACCTGCAGGACTGGGCCAGCGTGGGGGCCTTCTTGTAAGAGGCCAGGCCCTGCCCCACCTCTGGACAGTGCCCAAGTCAGGGTCCAGAACTGCCCCCCAACACAGGTCCACAGACACCCCACCACCTAGGCAGGGGCTGGGCCAGGGCTCCAAGGCTTGCCCCAGAGGCCACATGGCCACCAGCCCCAGCTGCCATCAGATTCAAGCCCAGGAGGCTGAAAACGAGGGCCCAGGACCAGAATCGCTGCCTCCTCTCCCCAGCCCCACCTTGTACACACAGTGTTTCATTGCTCCGCGTCTTCCCAGCCCCAGAAACCGGCTAAAGGACCCTGCACCATGAGAGCCGAGGCCTGGAGGAGCCCGGGTCAGGCTGGGGAGGAACAGAACTGGGCCCTCCCAGAGCACCTCCGCTTCCCCCCTGCTTCCCCAGGTCTCTATCCAGAGAGAGTCCCCAGGTACAACAAATGCTAATTAGATGACAGCAAATTAACCCCCTGGAGGCTTCTCCTGGCAGAGCCTCCCTGGGGCCGGGGCAGGCTGTGGATGGGGCGGAGCAGGGCAGAAGATGGACTGGGGGAGGGGGCAGAGAGAGGAGACCAAAATGAGGTGGTGGCACAGGGTGGGGCAAGGAGATCCTCTCTAAGGCCTCTGGGGTCTTTGCCTGGCCCCATCCCTAGGGGGCGGGGAGGGGACGTAAATCCCTAATCTTTAAGCCCGACTTGAGGCTGAGAGCAGCTGGAAGTTTGGGTTTGGTGGTTTGGGGGCCGGGGCAGCCAAGCTGTATGGGGCAGGACAGACAGACTAATGTAGTGAGTGTAGCTGTAGCTGAGGCTTAACTGGGAGGGATGCCGAGCTTGCTGGAACTACTGGGACCAAGAAGCGGGGTACCCCACGCCCCTGCCTGCACTCCTCGGGGGCGTGGGGCGTGCCTTGCTCCACCCGGACTCCCTGGGCTGCGTCCCACATCCACCCTCCTGCCCCGTGGGGCAATTTAACCTTTTTCATGAAAGTTATTTACAATGAAAAGTTTTTAAAAATAAAATTTTTAAAAATCTAAATATGGACCTGCTCAAAACTTTCTTTGGGAACAGGTGAGGGCTCAGTGTTCTGGAGAGGCAGCGCTTCTCTTTGCTGGAGGGAGGGATGGCTGAGAGGAAGATGCGGGGGCACTTACGGCCTGCAAAGAGCACTAACCAACTCCCCATGACCTCAGCATCCCCGGGGAGGAAGGGGCTGAGGGGTGGCTCTCGGTTGTCCCCTGCAGCCTAGGCCTCAGTGCCTCCATCTGTGCAATGGGGAGACTGGGGTCCACAGCCCTGGGGGATCAGGAGACAAAGGGAGGAGGAGTGGCCTCAGTCCCCAGACCCAGGGAATCTCAAAGGCTAAGTGTGCCCTGGGCTCGGCCCCTGCTGTCCCCTACTGCGAGGGCCTGCCCGGGCCCGCCTGCCCCAGTCAGCCATCCCCGGCCTGGGCTGGTCTCCAGCACCTCCCTCGCTTGGTCCTCTCCTGGAGGGACCCAGCTCCAGGGCCCCCACTTGCCACACAACCTGGCCCAATGCAGGTTTGGAGAGGAGGAAGGCCACCAGGGAAGGGAGTGAGCTCAGACCCACCCCTCCCACCTACACTGGCAGGAACCAGACTACCGGAGTTCTGATGGGGAAACTGAGGCATGGGAAATTTGTGTCTGGGTGACACTCAGCCAGCACCTTTCAATCCCCCGCCCCCCTTGCTTTGCCCGGGAGCCACCTTCCAACTCAGTCCCCGCCACATATACACCCTCATGGGTGCACGACGCCTCCAGAAAGCCACTTCCTCGCACACGGGCGCACACACACAGGGGCACAAACAGGCAACGTCCCAAGCATTCCTGCCCAGCCTCCACGGACCCCTTTCTCCCAAAGCCCCTTTCTTTCTTCGTCCTCGGGGTTGGCTCTAGGCCAACCTGGCATTCCCCTGCTAACCGGCTGCTTTCACTTGCTAATTATTCTAAATACTGCAGGAGGGCACGCAGCCTGCAGGGTCCAGGAAGGCAGGCTGAGGGCTGCCCCAATTCCCTTCACCCCGCAAGCAACTCCCCTCTCCTTTTCCCCACTGTCCGCCCCCTTCCTCTCCATGGACCCCAGCAATGGGGGAACAAGCTGGGCTCCAGCCTTCTCCCCACAGGATCAGCCTCCAGCTTTGGACTGACAGGCTGGGCGTGTAGCTGTGTGCCCCAGGCCTGTGCTGGGGGGAAGGGGGGCAATGTCTGGGGCAGGCAGGACACCCCACTGGGGGAGCACCAGGCCTGAGAAGCAGATCGAGGTTTGCCCCAGCTTGACAGTCACCTGGAGGCTCCTGAAAAATCCCACTGCTGGGCTGCACCCTGGACCAATTAGACCAGAATTTCCGGGGTGGGACCCAGGCATCAGCATTTGTAAGGTCCCCAGATGTTTCCAATGTGCGGCAAAACCGAGAGGGGGCCCTGGAGAGGGCATGACTTTCAGCAGGCCAAGCTGGGGAGTGGCGAGAGTGTGGGCTAGGAGCTCCTCACTCCTATTCACCCCTGCCTTGCCCCTCAGTGGGGTGGCTTTTTCGTAAAAAGATGTTCATTTACCTCTTTTTTTTTCTTCTTTTTTTGAGTCGTCTGGCTCTGTCGCCCATACTGGAGTGCAGCGGCGCGATCTCAGCTCACTGCAACCTGTGCGCCCCGCCCCACCGGGTTCAAGCAATTCTCTTGCCTCAGCCTCCCGAGTAGCTGGGACTACAGGCGCCCGCCGCCACGCCCGGCTAATTTTTGTAGTTTTAGTAGAGATGGGGTTTTACCACGTTGGCCAGGCTGGTCTCAAACTTCTGACCTCAAGTGATCCACCCACCTCAGCCTCCCAAAGTGCTGGGATTACAGGCGTGAGCCACCTCACCCAGCCCATTTACCTCTTATTTATTTCCAGGTTCAATGTAATCCCAACCAAAATATGTTTTGCACCATTTGACAGTACGTTGAAGACCTGACTCCCCATACCACTAAATACTTCAGTAAGTATTTCCTTAAAACAAGGGCACTTCTGGATTTTGTTTGTTTGTTTTGTTGTTGTTGTTGTTTTGATTTGAGACGGAGTCTCGTTCTGTGCCCAGGCTGGAGTGCAGTGGCGCGATCTCGGCTCACTGCAAGCTCCGCCTCCCAGGTTCACGCCATTCTCCTGCCTCAGCCTCCCGAGTAGCTGGGACTACAGGTGCCCACCACCACGCCTGGCTAAGCTTTTGTATTTTTAGTAAAGACGGGGTTTCACCGTGTTATCCAGGATGGCCTCGATCTCCTGACCTCATGATTCGCCTGCCTCGGCCTCCCAAAGTGCTGGGATTACAGGCGTGAGCCACCGCACCCGACCTCTACAGATAATTTTTAAAATTAGCCAGGCATGGTGGTGTGCATCTGTGGTCCCAGCTACTCTCTACACAGGAGGCTGAAGCAGGAGAATCGCCTGAGCTGAACCCAGGAGGTCAAGGCTTCAGTGAGCTCTGATTGCACCACTACATTCCTGCAGGGGTGGCAGAGTGACATCCTGTCTCAAGACAAAACAACACAAAACAGGAAATTAACATTGGCCTGGTAATCCCATCTAATCCACGGACCCCATTCAAACTTTGCAGATTGCCCCGTCACGCTCCTCCCTGTGCCAGCATCCCAATCCGAGATCACCGTTCATTCACTGTCCTATCTCTTTGGAGCTGTGTGGCTTTGAGCTCATAACTCAAGTTCCCTGGCCGGTTCCTCATCTCCTTTCATTCTAACCTGCAATCTCCACTTTTGGGGTAACCAGCCCCTGCTGCACGTGACAGCCCCTGCCTGAACCACCTCTTTTGTTTTGTTTTGAGACAGAGTCTTGCTTTGTCGCTCAGGCTGGAGTGCAGTGGCACAAACTCGGCTCACTGCAACCTCCGCCTCCCAGGTTCAAGCGATTCTCCTGCCTCAGCCTCCTGAGTAGCTGGGATAACAGGCGTGCACCACCATGCCCAAATAATTTTGTATTTTTAGTAGAGACGGGGTTTCACCATGTTAGCCAGGCTGGATCCTCAAGTGATCCGCCCGCCTTGGGCTCCCAAAGTGCTGGGATTACAGGAGTGAGCCACCACGCCCAGCCCCACCTCATTTTAAGTGTTGGGGAAAGCCTGTTCCCAAAGCACGGAGCCACCCTTCTGTCCCAGAATGTCCAGCCTCTTCCCCATTCTGTCTTCCAGCTGTATCCCCCAGCTAGGAATGTGATGGAGAGAGCGGGGAGGGCCAGGATGTGGGAGGAAAGGCCAGGAGCTCAGACCTTGGATGGCTCCCCGTCCCTGCCCAGGGCACATCCTGTTAAATAGGACAGGCCACCCAGGGCCCAGTGACTCTCAGGTCTGGAAGGTCCCCAGGGATCCCCCTCAACCCTGCACTTTATGCTCCGCTGGGACAAACTGACCAGGCCCCCTGCAGAGCTGAGCTCCATCTGGGGCAGGAGTCAGGAATGGTTCTCCACCTCCTCCCCCGCCCCAGGACCCAGACTTGCCGGAAGAGGGTGAGCTGGAGGGCAGGAAAGAAGGCGGGGCGGTGGAGGGTCAGGTGCAGCTCCCTCCTGGGCTGAGGCCCAAAGGTAAATAGGTGTAGGTGCGCTCCCGGCAGGGGGCAGTGGGCTGGTCCCTTGGGGCAGGCCTGGGCCTGTCGGGGGTGGGGATGTGGGAAGGGGCCGCCGAGCCGGCCTTGTTAACAATGGGGTGGGGGAGGAGCCCGGGCCCTGCTGACACATTCTTGTTTGGTGAGGAGGAAAACACAGGTGACCGGGGCGGGCGGGGGGGGAGGATGGGGGCGGCACCTCGGGCAGGGGAGGGGGCTTTATGGGCCCCCGCATGCCAAAGCCTCGCTGACTGGTGTGAGCTGAGGAGCAGGTGAAGCGCAGAAGGCCCTCAGGGGCTGCATTCTTCCCGGGGCACCTGTGTCTGCCCCACTCTGTGGCTCCCAGGTGAGCAGGTCAAAGCTTCTGGGCATGCTGGGGCTTGAACCTTCCCTGCCTGCGTCAGAAGTTGGCAGGGGCCAACTGGAAGGACATTGTCCCCCAGAAGCCAGCCAGCCTGAGCTGGCAGGGCAAGGAGAGGTTGGGGGACCGTAACGGAAGGGGCTGTCGGGGATGAGGGTCTCCCTACTGGCCCCTGATAGCCTTCCAGTACAGCCCTGAACTGACTCCCACCAGCCCCTCACCTGCCCTTGGGCCGCACCACCCTGTTCTGAGGACAGAGAGGTCTGAGCCCCAGGACCCGCGCTCCCAGGAAAGTAGGAGTTCCAGGAATTGGAGAGGGTGTGCATACCTCCACGAAGCCCACCCCGCCCACAGCCCCCAGGGCCCTTTGAAGCCAGAACCGCAGCGGGATTGCGGTGGGCAGGCCTCCCAATGCTGCTGTTTGCCCAGGGAATTAAGTTGAGGTGGGGCAGCTGCCCACAGCTCTCCCCTTGCCCAGCCACCCACAGGCTCCGTCTACAGCCCCGCACACCCCTACCAGCTGCCCTGCCTCTCTTCCTGCCTAACCCTGGGTACCAAGCCCTGTCCCCATCCCCACTGAGCAACAGAGTGCCTTCAATTTCCTTCGAGTGAACTGTGCCCATGAGTTGGGCAGGGGAAAAGGAGGGGTGGACTGGGATACAGACCCTACCTACTAAGCCCACAGGTCTGCAGACCCCTGTGGGAAGATGGCCTGTCTTGGTGATTCCTACCTTTGAAGCATCACAGCCCCCAACGTGTTAAGTATTTTTTGAATAGATGAATGAATATATGTGCTGGCTGGCAGATCAACACAAGATAGAAAAGCAGCCGAGAAGCCAGATAGTCAACACCCAGGGGTTCTCCAGTCCCTGGGCTGGGAACATTCCCGAGGCCTCTGGAGGCAGTGGTTTGACCCAAGGGTGTGCAGAGGTAGAAGGCATTGCAGCCCAGGGAGAACTTGGAGGAAAGCCCCATTGCTGCCCCGTTCTGGAATTGAGCGAGGGGGGCAGGCTGTTGACCCTGTGGATTTGGGGGCCTCTCGTGTGGAAGTGAGAACAGAGGGAGGGTAGCGGAGAACGAGGACCACCACTAGGAAACCAGGGGACCAGGGAGGAGGAGGCAAAGCCGAGAGGGAGCGGGAGGACGCCTGGGAACTCGGGCAGGGGGAGCCACTGCGCTCACACACCTGTTCCCCACCCCCTGAAGGGAGCGCCCACAGTGCTGAGCGCCGCAGGGCAGCCTGAGTGGGGGCAGCGGAAGCCGGCATTGGCCCTGGAGGTCCCGGCGGCCTCCCATGGGGCTGTGTCCTTAGTGCAGTTGGTGGGGTGCGGGGAGAGTGAGAGCAGGCAGCAAACTCCAGCTCCAAATGGGGAGAAAGAAAGGAGAGGGGTGCGGACAGGGGTGAGGGCAGACCCAAGGAGAGCTTTAAGATGGGAGGCCTGGGGGTGTTTGAAGGAAAGAAGGGGTACGGGTGACCCCGAGGGGTTGGCAGTGCTGAGAGAGCTCCTGGTGAGAGCAGGAGGAAGAGGGTCTCAGAGGAGGCAGGAAGGGTAAGCGCCGGCCCCTTTCTTGGAGAGGGAAGAGGAAGAGGATGGGGAGGTGGTGGGGCCGCGCCAGGGTGAACCGGAGGGTGTGGGGAGCTCTGGCTAATGTGCGGAACTATGGGGTGTAAGGGGCGGAACGGTGGAGGAGCAGGTCTGCAGTAACTTGGAAGGGCACTCAGGAGCAAGAGGAGCAGAGAGGAGGGACAGGAGCCCCGAGAGGGGCAGGGGCCCCGGGAGGTCAGGGTAGCTGACCTGCACCCAGCTCGCAGGACGCAGCTGGAGGCCGGAGATTCTCAGCTGCAGGAGAGGAAGGCCAGGGTCCCAGGTGCTGCTGGATACTGGTCAGTCACTCACCTGGTGACCTGGTTCCTTAGACCTTTGAGCTGAGTCAGGGAGGGGCAACAAGGAATGAGACCTCGTCTTGGGGAGCCTTTCTAACCCACCGAGCTGGGAAGCCCACAGCCTTACCCATAGGACTCACAGACTCTGAGGCTAAAATGTTTGGGCATTGCAGCTTCAAGGCAAGAATCCTGTTCTCGGAGCTTTGCTCATGAGGTATGGTTCCTTTTCCAAGCTGAGTCTCCTAGAACCCTCCTTCATTACCCAGAAGCCTCTCAGGCACCCCTCAAACATGCTATGGGCACCTCAAACTCTCCGTATGCCTGGCTGGATTCCCCTTCTCCCTGCGTGGGCCTTCCTCACGCTGCACCCCCACTCGGGACTGGCACCCCCAGCCAGCTGTCTCCCAGCCCACTGCCCTCGCTCCAGTATGTTCTCTACCTAACAGCCACTGGGCCTTTCTTTTTTCTTTTTCTATTCTTTTTCTTTTCTTTTCTTTTCTTTTTTTTTTTTTAATGGAATCTTACTCTGTCGCCCAGGTTGGAGTGCAGTGGCGTGATTTCGGCTCACTGCAACCTCCACCTCCTGGGTTCAAGCAATCCTCTTGCCTCAGTCTCCCGAGTAGCTGGGATTACAGGTGTCCACCACCATGCCCGGCTAATGTTTTGTATTTTTAGTAGAGATGGGGTTTCACCATGTTGGCCAGGCTGGTCTTGAACTCCTGACCTCAGGTGATCCACCCACCTCGGCCTGCCAAAGTGCTGGGATTACAAGCGTGAGCCACCACACCCTGTCTCTTTCTCTTTTTCTTTTTTTTTTTTTCTTTGAAACTGAGTCTCTCACTCTTGCCCAGGCTGGAGTGCAGTGACACAATCACAGATCACTGCAGCCTCGACTTCCTGGGTTCAAGCAATCTTCCCAGCTCAGCCTCCCGAGTAGCTGGGACTAGAGGCACATGCCACCACGCCTGGCTGTTTTTTTAATTTTTTATGGAGATGGGGTCTCACCAGTTTGCCCAGGCTGGTCTCAAACTCCTGGGCTCAAGTGATCCTCCTGCCTCAGCCTCTGAAAGTGCTCAGATTACAGGTGTGAGCCACCACACCTGGCTTTTTTTTTTTTTTTAAGGAAAAATTTTTACATCATAACAGTACATGCACCTGGAATAAATATCAATCTTTTTTTTTTTCTTTTTTGAGATGGAGTCTCGCTCTGTCGCCCAGGCTGGAGTGCAGTGGCGCGATCTCGGCTCACTGCAAGCTCCGCCTCCGGGGTTCACGCCATTCTCCTGCCTCAGCCTCCCGAGCAGCTGGGACTACAGGCGCCCACCACCACGCCCAGCTAATTTTTTGTATTTTTAGTAGAGACGGGGTTTCACCGTGTTAGCCAGGATGGTCTCGATCTCCTGACCTTGTGATCCGCCCTCCTTGGCCTCCCAAAGTGCTGGGATTACAGGCGGAAGCCACCGCACCCGGCCATAAATATCAATCTTAAAAAGACTTAGTATGTTAAAAAGTTTAAAAAAAAACACAAAAGGTCACTAGCTCTTCCTTCAGGTCCTGCTCCTCTGGTAACCATAACCAACCACTTTCAGTTCTTTCACTGGTTCAAATAATCCCTGCTGTTCTTTTTTTTTTTTTTTTTTTTGGGACGGAGTCTCACTGTGTCGCCCAAACTGGTGTGCAGTGACACTATCTTGGCTCACTGCAACCTTCGCCTCCTGGATTCAAGCAATTCTCCTGCCTCAGCATCCCAAGTAGCTGGGATTACAGGTGTGCACCACCACGCCCAGCTAAATTTTGTATTTTTGGTAGAGACGGGGTTTCACCACGTTGAACAGGCTGGTCTCGAACTCCTGACGTCAAGTGATCTGCCCACCTTGGCCTCCCAAGGTGCTGGGATTACAGGCATGCGCCACCATGCCCAGCCTTATGCTTCTAATTAATACTACCATCGCTGGATCTTCAATTTATTTGAATGTTATCCAATGGCTTCCTGCCATAGAAGGTAAGGATATGGCTCGATTCCCTCCTCTATCCTCCTATTTGGTCAGATTTTTGGTTAAACAGCCAGACACCATGTGATTGCCATGGCGTGGTGCATATTGCTCACTGCAGAGCCCAGCAGTGCACTCTGAGTATATGTCCTTTCATAAAGGATGCAGGAGTTAATAATTACCTCATTTCTTGTCATTTTTTAGATTTTTTGTGCTCTTATAGCTGATTATTCACAAATGTCCCAAAAAGTCTTACAAATCCTTATCAATGCCATTCTCTATGAATACCTTTTAAAAAATCCATAAATAGGCCAGGCATGGTGGCTCATGCCTGTAATCTCAGCACTTTGGGAGGCAGAGGCAGGTGGATCACCTGAGGTCAGGAGTTCGAGACCAGCCTGGCCAACATGGCGAAACCCCGTCTCTACTAAAAAATGCAAAAATTAGCCAGGCATGGTGGCACGCACCTGTAATCCCAGCTACTCAGGAGGCTGAGACAGGAGAATCGCTTGAACCCAGGAGGCGGAGGTTGCAGTGAGCCGAGATTGTGCCACTGTACTCCAGCCTGGGCAAGAGGCGCAAGACTCCGTCTCAAAAGAAAAATAAAAAGGCTGGGCATGGTGGCTTATGCCTGTAATCCAAGCACTTTGGGAGGCCAAGGTGGGTAGATCACTTGAGGTCAGGATTCCTTCCTTCCTTCCTTCCTTCCTTCCTCTTTTTTTTTTTTTTTTTTCGAGATGGAGTCTCGCTCTGTCACCCAGGCTGGAGTGCAATGGCGTGATCTTGGCTTACTGCAATCTCCGCCTCCTGGGTTCAAGCGATTCTCCTGCCTCAGCATCCCGAGTAGCTGCGACTACAGGCGCCCACCACCACTCCCAGCTAATTTTTTGTATTTTTAGTAGAGATGGGGTTTCACCGTGTTAGCCAGGATGGTCTCGATCTCCTGACCTTGTGATCCACCCGCCTCGGCCTCCCAAAGTGCTGGGATTACAGGCATGAGCTACTGCACCCAGCCTCTTTTTTCTTTCTTGTTTTGCTTTCTTTCTTTCACTTTGGAGCTACCTATCATAAGCTCTCACTTTCAAGTTGAAGGTTTTTCTCAAATGTCTAGTCGTACTGGCTGTAAATTCATTTTTTAAATTGAAGTGCTAAAAAGCTAACTACAAGGTCAGCAAGTAGAGGCAGTTGGTCAACTATTGGGCTTTATTGTAGGACAACCTAGCCTTTTTGCAGGAGGGCTCTAATGATCAATACCAGCAGACCTTTCCTCCAAGGTCATGTTATTAGCTCAGAGAAAAATCTTCTAGTTTACCCCTACAGGGTTTGAGCCTGGCGTGATGGCTGCTGAGCCAGGAAGGGGTTTGGGGTTTTGTTTTTCAAGATGCAGACTTCTTTCACTTAATATCCTTGTTTTCACCCCAGTGTCTGATCCCTACCACCTACAAGTGCCTAGTGTCCCCTGGTCCAGGACCCAGTTCAATTGCTCCAGAAAATAAACCCCAATCTCAGTGGGGTTGGAGCTGGGGAGGAACATTGTAGGGAGGGGGAAGACAGGGGGCTAGAGATCTGCTCAGTGCAAAAACTTCAGCTTTGTGTTCTGACCTTTTGCAGAATCTGGGGGAAAAATCATTCAACTTCCTTTTGGTATCCCCTTCTGCATACCTGCCCAGGAGCTGGCCCCTCTGCTCTCTGACACTTCCTCTTCATCTTCATGTGTTCTCAGCCTAGATTTGCTGAAATCTCTCATCAGACGTTATCTCCCCTTCTGGTTTTTTATTTTTTTTTCCTTGTGGATTCATGTTTTTTTGTTTTTTATTTTTGAGATGGAGTCTGGCTCTGTCTCACCCAGGCTGGAGTGAAGTGGTGTAATCTCAGCTTACTGCAGCCTCTGCCTCCTGGGTTCAAGTGATTCTCCTGCCTCAGCCTCCCATGTAGCTGGACTACAGGCATGTGCCACCACATCTGGCTAATTTTTGTATTTTTGGTAGAGATGGGGTTTTGTCATGTTGGTCAGGCTGGTCTTGAACTCCCGACCTCGTGATCCACCCGCCTCGGCCTCCCAAAGTGCTGGGATTAAGGCGTGAGCCACCGCGCCCGGCCTATTTTGTTCTTATTGAGGTAAAATTCATGTACAATTAAATGAGCTGATCTTAAGTGTACTGTTCAAACCATTTTGACAAATATATATCAAAACACAGAAAATTTCCTCATGCCCCTTTCCAGGGGATCCCTACCATCACCCCATCCCTAAGCAACCACTCATTTGATTTCTATTGCCATCGGTCAGTTTTGCCTGTTCTAGAATTTCCTATGAATGGCACCAGACAGTTTGTACTTTGTGTTCAGCTTCCTTCACTCAGCATGTTAGTTTTGGAATTTAACTATGTTGTTGCATGCATCAGTAGTTTGTTCCTCTTCATGGCTGAGTAGTATTTCATCAGCTGATGGTAGCTATTTGTTTATCCAGTCCCCTCTTGATGGATATCTGGGTTGTTTCCAATTTTGATCTATTGTGAATAAAGCTGCTATGAACAGTCTTGTACAGGGCTTTTTGTCATACAGCTTTGTTTAAAAAAAATCCCTTTACTTTTCACTTGCATGGGGTTTCGGAAGTGAAGACATACATGTGTATAATATATCTGCCATGTCCAACAGGACTACCCTGAGTTGATTCTTTTTTTTATTTTTTATTTTTGAGATGGAGTCTTGTTCTGTCGCCCAGGCTGGAGTGCAGTGGTGCGATCTCAACTCACTGCAACCTCCGCTTCCCAGGTTCAAGCGATTCTCCTGCCTCAGCCTCCCCAGTAGCTGGGGACTACAGGTGCCTGCCATCACGCCTGGCTAATTTTTGTGTTTTTAGTAGAGACGAGATAGGGTTTCACCATGTTGCCTGGGCTGGTCTCGAACTCCTGATCTCAAGTGGTCTGCCCACCTCAGCCTCCCGAAGTGCTGGGATTAGAGGCACGAGCCACTGCACCCAGCCCCTGACTTGATTCTTCAAACAGATGGCCCAGGTATCCAGCAGGAGTGCAGGGAGGAAAAGAGTTTCAGGCAGAAGGCGGGGAGTGAGCAAAGGCATGGAGGTGGGACCCCCACCAGTGTGCCCAGGGGCTGCTAGCCTCTCAGTGCTAGGGAAGATGAGGGGCCAGGGTGACCCTTTTCAAGTGCCGCTCTGGCCACTCCTCAGCTAACTGCAATGAGTTCCTTCGCCTACAGGAGGAGCTTCGGGCCCCCTAAGCTCCATCAAGATCTGACTCCTGCTCATCCCTCATCTTCTCCCCTCCCCTCCCCTCTGTGACCAGTCACACTAATGCACCACTGAGAATCACTATTTCCACTCTTCCTGTCCCAATCCCTGCCTTCTGCCTTGAATGAGCACCCTCCCGCTCTCCCGCTTCACCTGGGTAACGCCCTTCAGGACTTAGTTCCAGAGTCCCCAGTCCTGGTCTCCACCTGGGTTAGGTGTGGGCTCTGGGCCCCCACAGCATCCTCAACACACCCCACCTGCCAGAGCCCGGGACAGCAGGCGCATGGTATTGATGACCATACAATGGCCAGCGAGGTTGTCAGTCCCCTTCCCAAGTGGTTCTCTTGGCCCTCTCCGTGTCTAGCACCTGAAGGAGATGTGAAGAGGTGGGAAGGAGGAAAATAAACCAGCCCGCGGGGTGCGTGTCACCGTGCCATCCAAGCCCAGGTCTTAAAACTCAGGCGCGAGCCTTTTCTCTCAGTGCGGCTGGTGACACCTGCAGAGGGAGGGTCCTCCCTGCATCGCCATCCTGGCAGAACTTGTGCCAGCCTTTTTGGCTCTTCTGTTTGAGCAGGCGGTTGGTAAGACACATCGGGATCCCCAGGCTGGTACCTGAACCAACATCAGCTCTGGCAATGCCACCTCTCTCACAGAAGAGCGGGCCTGGCTGGAGCAGAGTTGGGGCTGGGGGTCCCCGGACACTCGCTCTGCCCCTAGCTGGCCAGAGTTCCAGAAAGCCCACATCCCATGGTCCACCCTTGACCCTGAGCCCTTTGAGCTGGTGGGTCTAGAACTCAGTTTGGGGGATGACCTCCACCACAATCCCTTTCCCTGCTTCACCCCTGCAGCCTGGTGAGTGCCTCCAGGGCAGAGGACAAGTGCGGGGGGCCTCTGTTCCTGCCTGCCCAGGACCCGTGCCCCTCGCCTGCTGCCAGCACAGACTGCCCACTGTGGGGCTCCTGGCTGCTGGCTGGGGTTCAAGTTTGTTGGGGGAAGCACCTTGGCTGGGCCCTGAGCTCTGGGAGACACCACATCAGCTGGCTGGGCCTCTGGCAGACCCCAGCTCCAAGTCTGGTCCTGAGGAGCTGCAGGCCCAGATTCCTTCAGGGGTGCTAGCCGGAGGTGGGGTTTGTCTGTTTGCCCTTTTGTGGGAGGCAGGAGCAGCTGGAGTACCCCTCAATGACAGCAGCAAGCACCTGTCATCTGCAGGAGGCCTCAGGAGCCATCTAGTGTCACCTATAGCTGAAGAAAATGAGGCACAGAGAGGACACAGCTCTGAGGACGGTGGCACAGGTGAGGCTGGCTTCTCGTGGGCACTGCCTGCTGGGGGACCTATGTGGATGTCTGCCACCTCTCCACTCACCACAGCAGCATCTGTGTCTCCCCTGCTGGACTGGGAGCTCCGGGAGGGCAGTGTGCAGTTCTCTGTGGCACCTGGCCGGAGTCAGGTATGGCACATGCTTGGTGCTCAGCAGAGCATGGTGGCATGGATAGGGGGTGGCAGGATGCACCCTAATTCTCACAATGACTTACTGGCAGAGCCAGATCCAAAAGCCAGAGTTTCCAGCTGGGCAGATAGAGGGGAACTATCAGAAAGGCAGCTCAGGAGGCTGGGCATGGTGGCTCACGCCTGTAATCCCAGCACTTTCGGAGGCTGAGGCGGGGAGAATCACCTGAGGTCAGGAGTTCGAGATCAGCCTGACCAACGCGGTGAAATCCCATCCCTACTAAAAATAAAAAAATTAACCTTGCGTGGTGGTGCACACCTGTAGTCCCAGCTACTTGGGAGGCTGAGGCAGGAGAATCGCTTGAACCCGAGAGGTGGAGGTTGCAGTGAGTGCAGTGGCGCAATCTCAGCTCACTGCACTCCAGGCTGGGCTACAAGAGTGAAACTCTGAAAAAGAAAAAGAAGGAAGGAAGGAGGGAGGGAGGGAGAGAGCGAAAGAAAGCGAGAAAGAGAAGGGAGAGAGAAAGAAGAGAGAGAGAAGGAAGGAAGGAAAGAAGGAAGGAAGCAAAGAAGGAAGGAAGGAAAGAAGGAAGGAAGGAAGGAGAGAGAGAGAGAAAGAAAGGAAGGAAGGAAGGCAAGCAAAGCAAGGCAACTCAGGCCTGTCCCGCCTGTCCCTCTGCCCTCAGGGGCCCAGGCCTCACCTCCAGCCCAGTCTCCTCCCTGGCCTCATTAAAAAGCCCTTATTGAAGAAGGAAGTGTGTGTGGTGTCCCCCCAGGGAATACACGCTGAGATATCTCTGCTCATTCATTCATTCATTTCAGGCAGACAGGAGGACCCTTCCGTGAGTGTGAACGACAGGCAAGCCCACAGAACAAGAGCACACTGGGGACTCCCTTCAGGGTCATCTCACTCAATCCCCTGCCTCAGGGCAGCTATCCAGTCAGGGAAAGAGGCCTCCTGGTTTCCCACCGCAGGGGCAGGATCCATCGGTCCTCAGTTTGGGGTTGGCGGGGAACGGTGGAAACCTAGCTCTCGGCCTGCTCCCGGGCAGGGCTTCCCTGTGCCCTCCCGCCCCCAGCCAGCAGCCTGTGTCTTCTAATTTACTGCCCAAGGCACTGCACCCTCCTCATTTGCGGCCCCCAGGCCACTGCTGCCAGGCAGCCCACCCCTCCGAGGCTCCTCTCCAAACACAGTGCAACCTCAGCTGACGCCGGGGCCCCAGGGCCGCTCTGCCTCCGCTCCCGCCACACTCAGCTGTCCTCTCCGACACCCCCGGCCCCCTCCCTACTTCCCAGCTTTCCTTCCATAAGGCCGGTTCCTGTCCTGAGGCCCCCTTCTCCCATCCTTCAAAATCCAGTCCATACGCCTGTGCCTCGGCCTCCTTGAAACGCCCCACAGCTGTGGCTGTTCCCCCAACCCAGGCCGCAGCCCTGTGCCTCTCCTGTGGCCTGGATGACCCAGGCCTGCAGCGCACCCCAAATTCCCAAATGTTTCCAACAGCACCATCTTCTTATCCGGGGTCTCCTCTCTCTTCCCGCTTCCTGCCTCGCTGACGCTGAGTTCGTGAACAAATGAACGAACCTGCCCGACCCGGGAAAGATCCCGCCTGGCGGGGGCCTGTGCGGGGCCCTTCCTGGGGACAGCGCCACTCGCCTCCGTCCCGCTCCCCACCGCAGCCCGGCACGGAGAAAGCGCTGAGTCACGTTCCGGGCACGCGGCCCCAGGGGAGCCAGGCCTCAGGGGCGCACCTGGACCCGTGGGGGCTCCTGGGCCTGCTGGGGGAACGCCTGGGCCCGCGATGGGGGGCGCCCGCACCCGCACCCGCTGCCCAGCGCAGCCCCCGCAGCGTCCCCGGTTGCCTGGAGCCACGGGCCGGGCAGCAGCGGGTGCCAGAGGCTGACGCCACCGCGGCTTGCCAGCCGAACCCCCCTTCCGGACTGGTTCAGAGGAATGGAGGGTGGGGGGCACGAGACGCCCCCAGCAGGCTGCCCCGACCCCTGGTTTCCTGTCCAACCCCCAGGTCGCGTTCCCGGGACCCTCTGGATGCCCCCTCGTTGTTTGCCTCCCCTCCATCTCCACGTTCCCTCCCTCTTCAGCGCCCCCTCCTGCCCCCGTTCTGTCCCCACCCATGACCCTGGCCCCTGGGCCTCTCCCTTCCTCTGCACCCTGGGCCTTCTCGGAGGTTCCAGCTGCGCGAGCGCGGTGGAGGCCAAGGGTGGTGTGGGGCGCCCCCTCGCGGCCCGGCCTGGCCCGGCCCGGCCCGGGCTCGCCTCACCTCCCCGCCTGCTTAAGCCCTCCCGGAGCGCTCGGGGTTCGACCCCCGAGCACGGCGGGAGGAGGGCGCCCCCCTGCGGCACAGCCACGTCCACGAAGCCCCTCCCGGGGTTCTAGAAAGCGGAGGCCTCCGGTAATAGGGGCTAAGGCTGGGCTAGGGGGACAGGGGACAGGCCCTCCCAGCTCCTCCCCTGTCGAGCCAGGAGGGGTGAGGGAGAGGGGGAGAAGTGTGTGTGTGTGTGTGTGTGTGTGTGTGTGTGTGTGTGTGTGTGTGTGTGTGTGTGTGTGTGTGTGTGATGTGTGTGGTGTGTGTGTGTGTAGTGTGTGTGTGTGTGTGTGTGTGTGGCGCAGATAAGGGGCCATGGCCTAGGACAGCCAGGCAGTGAGTGGCAAGCGCCTGATGGGTTGCTTTTCCTTCATTTTACAAGCCAGGAAGTCTTCCTGCGGTGGGGTTTGCAGAACCAGCAGAATCCCTCCTGGGGCCACCATGTTCCCGGCACCGTTCTGAGCCTTTGTAACGCTAATCTCCTGTAGTGAGTGCCTGGGGAGGGTTGGGGGGCTGTAATATTGTTGTCCTTGCAGAAGGAAAGACCAAGATGCAGAGAGATGTCTAAAAGGTGCCAGAAGGTGACTATCCAGCCCTGGTATCACTGCCTGGTGATTTCGTTTCTTTGATCTTCACGAATGGCCTCACTGGGTGAGTCCAGGGGCCAGGAGGTTCAAGATGCTGTCAATGACTCAGGACTGTTTGGGGGCAGATAAGAGGAGGTGAGGGGTTCCACGGGTTCTGGATAAATTGATCAGAACTCAGAACACATTTCTAAGCAGTGATCATTAGCTGCAGAAGCCGATTTTGTTCCTAACGTACTCCAACTACAGCTGGAAAGGCCAGGGAAGAACTGGAGTGGGCACCGGCTAACATTTCTTGAGCACCTACTAGGTACCAGGCCTTTTATATGCGCCATGTCACTTAATTTACCTCAAATCCAAGGGGCCTTTGTGGTGTGTTATTCAGAAGTCACAGGGCTAATTAGGGGCAGGGCTGGGATCAGACGGGCCTGTCTGGCCTCACACCTGGGTTCTTTTTCCTCCACTCTGCCATTCAGCTGTGATTTGGACAGAAATCAGCTGCCACGTGCAACATTCTCCCATGGGAACATGTGTCCGCAGTACCTATCTCAGAGCCCAAATCCTTCCTGCCCCACAGCCTTCTCCTGGAACCTGCCTTGGGTAAGCTGAGAAATTGGTATGGGAGGTGTGGGGGTGGGACAGAGTGTGCAGGTCTCTGGCCACAAGAGAAGCAGGAAGGGATAAAGATTCCTCCCAATGTATCTCCTGGCCTGGGTGTTTCTGCTGCCCACAAGTATGTTGCTGTGATTCTCAGGTCAAAGAGGCTCTCAGTTGCCTCAAAAGCTGCACCCTCGGCTGGGCTTGGTGGCTCACGCTTGTAATTCCGGCGCTTTGGGAGGCCAAGGCAGGTAGATCACTTGAGGTCAGGAGTTCGAGACTAGCCTGACCAATATGGTGAAACCCTGTCTCCACTAAAAATACAAAAAAATTAGTTGGGCATGGTGGTGGGTGCCTGTAGTCCTAGCTTCTCGGAAGGCTGAGACAGGAGAATTGCTTGAACCCAGCAGGCAGAGGTTGCAGTGAACCGAGATCGTGCCACTGCACTCCAGCCTGGGTGACATAGTGAGACTCTGTCTCAAAAAAAAAAAATACTGCACCCCGACCTCCTTCACTTTGCCTTCCCTGGGACGTGTACGCCATCCCTTTGATCCTCCTTCCTCGCCCCTCCTCCTCCTCCTGGAGTTAGCCTTCATGCACTTGTTTATTTGCTCATCATAGATTTACTGGGTACCCTGAACACCCTCTGGGTCGGGCCAAGGCCAGGTGCTGGGGAGGTGCCCTTTAGAGGCCCCGCTGAGCCTTCTGGTCACGCATGGCAATTCCATCAGCCCTGGCCCGGCACCCCTCTTGTTTGTGTCACTCAGCTGTGAAGACCTGTTGCCCATGCTTGTCTTTGATCTCCCCCAGCGGGGCTTCTGCTGGCTTAGCCTTTCCTCCCTCCAGCTCTGCCTGTGAGGTCCAGTGATCCTTCCGGGCAGTGGACCCTGCTCTGTGGGCACCTCACAGGCTCCGCAGGAAGCTTCTGGCTTCCAGCACCCCCTCACCTTGCTCACACTTTGCCTCCACCCCTCAAGCAGGCATGATTCCTCAGTGATGCCCCAGACTCTATAAGGACCTGAATTCAAACCAGTTTGCTTAGGGGACATTCAATTTGTAGCTGTGAAAATGAATTTAAAGTTCACCTGAAAAAAAAAGAACAAAAGTAGACTATCCAGGCCGGGCGCTGTGGCTCACGCCTGTAATCCCAGTACTTTGGGAGGCCGAGGCGGGCGGATCACGAGGTCAGGAGATCGAGACCATCCTGGCTAACACGGTGAAACCCCATCTTTACTAAAAATACAAAAAATTAGCTGGCGTAGTGGCGGACACCTGTAGTCCCAGCTACTCGGGAGGCTGAGGCAGAAGAATGGCGTGAACCCGGGAGGCGGAGCTTGCAGTGAGCCGAGATCACGCCACTGCACTCCCTCCTGGGCGACAGAGCGAGACTCCGTCTCAAAAAAAAAAGTAGACTATCCAGGACTTTTTTTAGGAGGGGGGAAAATAAAAAACCATGAAAGATATATCCCTCACCAAATATTAAATGAATAATTAAGTTAAAAAGCTTTTTTGCTTTAACTGGTTTGGTACTGTTGCTGAAATATGCAAAAGCAATTCAATGGAACAGAATACACCCAAGAAATAGATCCAGATATCTACATGGAAGAAACGGTATCCAGACTGCGAAAAAACTCAGATGGCTCAGTAATATAAACTTAAAAAAAAAAAAGTACGAGAAAAGAACACAGGTGTTTTATTTATCCCAAGCTAAGCTTTTTTTTTTTTTTTCCTCAGACAGAGTCTCATTCTGTCTTCCCAGTTGGAGTGCAGTGGAATGATCTCGGTTCAAACGATTCTCCTGCCTCAGCTTCCTGAGTAGCTGGGATTACAGGCGTGCGGCACCAGGCCCAGCTAATTTTTGTATTTTTAGTAGAGACGGGGTTTCACCATGTTGGCCAGGCTGGTCTCACACTGCTCACATCAGGTGATCTGCCTACCTCGGTCTCTCAAAGTGCTGGGATTACAGGTATGAGCCACCGCGCCCTGCCTGGGATAAGCTTTTCTAAGCAAGACACAAAACCAAAAAGCTGTAAAACAGAAAGTATGAATGGCCAGGCATGGTGGCTCACGCCTGTAATCCCAACACTTCGGGAGACCAAGGTGGGCAAATCACAAGGTCAAGAGATCAAGACCATCCTGGCAACGTGGTGAAACCCCGTCTCTACTAAAAATACAAAAACAAAAATTTTTACAAATTACAAAAATTAAAAATACAAAAATTAACTGGGCATGGTGGCGTGCACCTGTAGTCCCAGCTACTCAGGAGGCCGAGGCAGGAGAATCGCTTGAACCCAGGAGACAGAGGTTGCAGTGAGCCGAGATCGCACCACTGCACTCCAGCCTGGGCAACAGAGCGAGACTCCATCTCAAAAAAAAAAAGAAAAAAGAAAGAAAGTCTGATAAACATAAATCATAAATAAAACATGAACAAATGAAAGAATTAAAACTCCACTAGCACAAAATAGCAACAATAAATGAAATTAAACCGCATATTTTTATTTTTTTCAAGACAGGGCCTTGCTCTGTCACCCAGGCTGCAATGCAGTGGCACAATCAACGTTCACTGCACTCTCAACCTTTCAGGTTCAAGCAATTCTCCCGCCTTAGCTTCCCAAGTAGCTGGGACCCACCTAATTTTTGTATTTTTTGCAGAGACAGGGTTTTGCCATGTTGACCATGCTGGTCTCAAACTCCTAAACTCAGGGAATCCACCCGAAATGGCCTCCCAAAGTGCTGGGATTATAAGCGTGAGCCACCATGCCTGGCCCACATGATAATGAAAATGGGAAAAAATAAGAAAAAGATTTTCATATAAATGATTAAATAATATTCTTTAACGGCCAAAGAATTGGCTGGGTGCAGTGGCTAATGCCCGTAATCCTAACACTTTGGGAGGCCGAAGTGGGTGGATCACTTGGGGTCAGGATTTTGAAACCAACCTGGCCAACATGGTGAAACCCCATCTCTACTAAAATACAAAAAAAAAAAAAAAAAATAGCCATTCGTGGTGGCAGGTGCCTGTAATCCCAGCTACTCAGGAGGCAGAGGCATGAGAATCGCTTAAACTCTGGAGGCAGAGGTTGCAGTAAGCCGAGATCACGCCACTGCACTCCAGCCTGGGCAACAGAGCGAGACTGCCTCAAGAAATAATAATAATAAAATAGGCCGGGCACGGTGGCTCACGCCTGTAATCCCAGCACTTTGGGAGGCAGAGATGGGCGGATCACCTGGGGTCAGGAGTTCAAGACCAGCCTGGCCAACATGGCAAAACCCCGTCTCTACTAAAAGTACAAAAATTAGCCGGGGTGGTGGTGGGCACCTGTAATCCCAGCTACTCAGGAGGCTGAGGGAGGAGAAGCTTGAATGCAGGAGGTGGAGGTTGCAGTGAGCTGAGATCAGGCCACTGCACTCCAGCCTGGGCGACAAGAGCACGACTCCATCTCAAATAATAATAATAATAATAAAATTTAAAAATAGGAGGCCAGGCATGGTGGCTCACGCCTGTAATCCCGCACTTTGGGAGGCCAAGGCGGGCGGATCATGAGGTCAGGAGATCGAGACCATCCTGGCTAACACGGTGAAACCTCATCTCTACTAAAAAATAGAAAAAATTAGCTAGGTGTGGTGGCAGGCACCTGTAGTCCCAACTAGTTGGAGGCTGAGGCAGGAGAATGGCGTGAACCTGGGAGGTGGAGCTTGCAGTGAGCCAAGATTGCACCACTGCACTCCAGCCTGGGCGACAGAGCGAGACTCTGTCTCAAAAAAAAAAAAATTAAAAAATAGTATATAAAGAATTCTGAAAATTTAGTAAGAAAATATGAACATCATTATATAAAATGGACAAAGGGCTGGGCATGGTGGCTCACGCCTATAATCCCAGCAATTTGGGAGGCTGAGGTGAAAGGATCTTTTGAGCCCAGGAGTTCTATACCAGCCTGGGCAACATGGTGAAACCCTGTCTCTATAAAAAAATACAAAAATTAGCCGGGCATGGTGGCACATGCCTGTAGTCCCAGATACTTGGGAGGGTGAGGTGGGAGGATGGCTTAAGCCTGGGAGGCAGAGGTTGCAGTGAGCCAAGATCCCCCACTGCACTCCTGCCTGGGCAACAGAGCTAGACCCTATCTCAAAAACAAGCAAACGAAAAAGGACAAAGTGCATTAAACAGGCAGTTTTAACCTGAGATGTCATTTAAAAAAAAAATTTTTTTTTTTTTGAGACAGAGTCTCACTCTGTCGCCCAGGCTGGAGTGCAGTGGCATGATTTTAGCTCACTGCAACCTCCTACCTCCCGGGTTCAAGCGATTCTCCACCTCAGCCTCCTGAGTAGCTGGGACTACAGGTGCAGGCCACCATGCCCAGCTAATTTTTGTATTTTTAGTAGAGACAGGGTTTCACCATGCTGGCTAGGCTGGTCTCGAACCCCTGACCTCGTGATCCACTTGCCTCAGCTTCCCAAAGTGCTTGGATTACAGGCGTGAGCCACCGCACCTGGCCTAAAAATTTTTTTCTTAGACTTTTTTTTATTTTTTTGAGATAGGGCTTCGCTCTGTCACCCAAGCTGGAGTGCAGTGGCACAGTCATAGCTCACTGCCGCCTCCAACTCCTGGGCTCAAGCCATCCTCCTGCCTCATTCTCCTGAGTAGCTGGGACTACAGGCACATGCTACCATGCCTGGCTAATTTTTTATTTTTTATAGAGATGGGGTCTCGCTATGTTGCCCAGGCTGGTCTCGAACTCCTGGCCTCAAATGATCCTCCCACCTCGGCCTCCCAAAACTCTGAGATTACAGGTGTGAGTTATTGTGCCCAACAGACATGTTTTAGAGCAGCTTCAGGTTTACAGAAAAAAAAATCATGCAGAAAGGATAGAGTTGTCATATATCTCCTCCTGCTCCCTGTCCCTCAGTTTCCACTATTATTAAGAACTAGCAAGGCCGGAAGTGGTGGCTTATGCCTGTAACCCCAGAGCTTTAGGAGGCTGAGGCGAGATGATTAATTGAGCCCAGGAGTTTGTGACCAGCCTGGACAATATAGCAAGACCCCATCTCTACAAAACAATTAAATAATTAGCTGAGTGTGATGGCACACACTCGAGGTTGCAGTGAGCTATGATTGGGCCACTGAACTCCAGCCTGGGTGACAGAGCTGGACCCTGTCTCTAAATAAATAAATAACTTGAATGAGTGTGGTACATTTACTACAACTGATGGACAAATTGATTGATACATTATTATTAACTAAAGCCCATAGTTTACTTTTTATTTCTAAAAATCTTTTTTTAATTTTTGTGGGTACGTAGTAGGTATATATATTTATGGGTTACATGAGATATCTTGATACAGGCATAATCACATCAGGGTAAATGGAGTGTCCATCACCTCAAGCACTTATCCTTTCTTTGTGTTACAAACAATCCAATTATACTCTTTTTTTCTTTTCTTTTCTTTTTTTTTTTTTTTTTGAGACAGCATCTCTCTCTGTTGCCCAGGCTGGAGTGCAGTGGTGCCATCTCAGATGCTCACTGCGACCTCCGCCTCCCAGGTTCAAGCGATTCTCCTGCCTCAGCCTCCCGAGTAGCTGGGACTACAGGCGCCTGCCACCATGTCTGGCTAATTTTTGTATTTTTTAGTAGAGACATGGTTTTGCCATGTTGGCCAGGCTGGTCTCGAACTCCTAGCCTCAAGTGATCCGCCTGCCTCAGCCTTTCAAAGTGCTGGGATTACAGGCGTAAGCCACTGCACCCGGCCCAATTATACTCTTTCAGTTATTTTTATTTATTTTATTTTTTGATATGGAGTCTCGCTGTGTCACCCATGCTGGAGTGCAGTGGAATGATCTCGGCTCACTGAAACCTCCGCCTCCTGGGTTCAAGCAATTCTCCTGCCTCAGCCTCCCGAGTAGCTGGGATTACAGGTGCCCGCCACCACGCCTGGCTAATTTTTGTATTTTTAGTAGAGACAGGGTTTCACCATGTTGGCCACGCTGGTCTCGAACTCCTGACTTCAGGTGATCTACCCGCCTCGGCCTCCCAAAGTGTTGGGATTACAGGTGTGAGCCACCATGCCCGGCCCATAGTTTTTTTTTTTTTTTTGAGACGGAGTCTCACTCTTCGCCCAGGCTGGAGTGCAGTGGCGCGATCTTGGCTCACTGCAAGCTCCACCTCCCGGGTTCATGCCATTCTCCTGCCTCAGCCTCCCGAGTAGCTGGGACTACAGGCGCCCCGCCACCATGCCTGGCTAATTTTTTGTGTTTTTAGTGGAGATGGGGTTTCACCGTGTTAGCCAGGCTGGTCTCGATCTCCTGACCTCATGATCCGCCCGCCTCAGCCTCTCAAAGTGCTGGGATTATAGGCGTGAGCCACTGCGCCCGGCCGCCCATAGTTATTTTTAATGTACAATAAATTATTATTGACTGTAATCACCCTATTGTGCTATCAAATACTAGGTCTTATTCATTCTAGCTAATTATATTTTTGTGCACATTAACCAGCCCCCCTTCTCCCTCTTTCCCCACCATTACTTTTCCCAGCCTCTGCTCTCTATCTCCATGAGTTCCATTCTTTTAAGTTTTAGCTCCCACAAATAAGTGAGAACACATGAAGTTTTTCTTTCTGTGCCTGGCTTATTTCACGTAACACAATGACCTCCTGCTCCATCCAAGTTATTGCAAATGACAGGGTCTCATTCTTTTTTATGGGTGACTAGTACTCCCAGGTGTATATGAACCACATTTTCTTTATCCATTTGTTTGTTGATGGACACTTAGTGTATTAGTCCATTTCATACCACTGTGAAGAAATACCCAAGACTGGGTAATTTATAAAGAAAAAGAGGTTTAATGGACTCAGTTTCACGTGGCTGGGGAGGCCTCACAATCATGGAAGAAGGCGAAGGAGGAGAAAAGGCACATCTTACATGGTGGCAGGCAAGGAAAGTGTGTACAGGGGAACTGCCCTTTGTGAAACCATCAGATCTCATGAGACTTACTCACTATCACGAGAAGAGCACAGGAAAAACCTACCCCTAAAATAATTAGCCAGGCATGGAGGTGGGCACCTGCAATCCCAGCTATTCAGGAGGCTGAGGCAGAGAATTACATGAACCCAAGAGGCGGAGGTTGCAGTGAGCCAAGATCACGCCACTGCACTCCGGCCTGGGTGACAGAGTGAGATTCCGTCTCAAAAGAAACAAAACAAAACAAAAACAGAAAAATCCGCCCCTGTCATTCAATTACCTCCCACTGGGTCCCTCCCATGACATATGGGGATTATGGGAACTATAATTCAAGATGAGATTTGAGTGGGGACACAGGTTGCTTCCAATTCTTAGCTGTTGTGAATAGTGCTGCAATAAACACGGGAGTATAGATATCTTTTCAATATATTGATTTCCTTTCTTTTGGGTATATACCTACCAGTGGGATTGCTGGATCACCTGGTGGCTCTATTTTTAGTTTTTTGAGGAACCTCCATACTGTTCCATAGGAGTTATACTAATTCGCATTGCCACCAACAGTGTACGAGGGTACCCTTTTCTCCACATCCTCACCAGCATTTGTTATGGCCTGTCCTTTGGATAAAAGCCATTTTAACTGGGGTGAGAAAATACCTCATTATAATTTTGATTTGCATCTCTGATGATCAATGATGTTGAGCACCTTTTCATATATCTGTTTGCCATTTGTATATCGCCTTTTAAGAAATGTCTATTCAGATCTTTTGCCCATTTTTGGTTGTATTATTAGATTTTTTTTCCCATAGAATTGTTTGAGCTCCTTATATATTCCCATTACTAAATCCCGTCAGATAGCTAGTTGGCAAATATTTCTCCCATTCTGTGAGTTGTCTCTTCACTTTGTTAATTGTTTCCTTAAAGTCCATAGTTTAAAATGGGGTTTGTGCTTTGTGTTATATAGTTCTGTGTGTTTTGCCAATTGCATAATGTCAATATCCACAATTACAGTATCATACAGCGTGGTCCATCACCCTAAAAATCATCTGTGCTCCACCAACTCATCCCTCCCTTCCTCCCTCTGTCTCCCTCCCCCAACCCCGCAAACCCTTGGCAATCATTGATCACTTCAATGTCTCCATGGTTTTGCCTTTTCCAGAATGTCACATGGTTGAAATCATACAGTATGTTGCCTTTTCGGATTGGCTTCTTCACTGATTAATATTCATTTGAGGTTCCTTTATGGCTTTTTGTGGCTTGCTAGCTCATTTCCTATCTCTGAATAATATGTCTTTTTTTTTTCTTTTTTTTGAGATGGAGTCTTGTTCTGTTACTCAGGCTGGAGTGCAGTGGTGCAACCTCTACTCACTGCAACCTCTGTCTCCCAGGTTCAAGTGATTCTCCTGCCTCAGCCTCCCCAGTAGCTGGGATTACAGGCACGCACCACCACACCCAGATAATATTTGCATTTTTAGTAGAGATGGAGTTTCACCATGTTGGCCAGGCTGGTCTCAAACTCCTGACCTCAGGTGATCAACCCACCTCAGCCTCCCAAACTGCTGGGATTACAGGCGTGAGCCACCACCATACCTGGCTGCTTAATAGTATATCTTTTTTTTTTTTTTTTTTGAGCTGGAGTCTTGTTTGTCACCTAGGCTGGAGTGCAGTGGCGCAATCTTGGCTCACTGCATCCTCTGCCTCCCAGGTTCAAGCAATTCTCCTGCCTCAGCCTCCCGAGTAGCTGGGATTACAGGCACCCACCATCATATCCAGCTAATTTTTGTGTTTTTAGTACAGACAGGGTTTCACCATGTCGGCCAGGCTGGTCTCGAACTCCTGACCTTGTGATCTGCCCGCCTTGGCCTCCCAAAGTGCTGGGATTACAGGCGTGAGCCACCGCGCCTGGCCTAATAGTATATCTTATATGAATGTACCTTAGTTTGCTTATCTATTCACCTAGTAAAGGATGTCAATTGCTTCCAATTTTCGGCAGTGATGAATAAGGCTGCTATAAACATTCTTGTGTAGGTTTTTGTGTGGATGTAAATTTTCAACTCATTTGGATAAATAGCAAGCAACACGATTCCCGGATCATATGGTAAGAGTACGTTTAGCTTTCTAAAAACTGCCACACTGTCTTCCAAAGTGGCTATAGCATTTTGCATTCCTACCAGTAATGAGTGAGAACTCCTGTTGCTCCACACTCTCACCAGCATTTGGTGTTCTCAGTGTTTTGGATTTTAGCCATGGTGATAGCCGTGTAGTGGCATCTCATTGTTGTTTAAATTTGCAGGTCCCAGCTGGGCATGGTGGCTCATTTTTGTAATCCCAGCATAATCCCGAGGCCAAGGTAGACTTGAGACCAGGAGTTTGTGATCAGCGTAGGCAACAAAGCAAGATCCTGTCTCCATAAAAAAATTTTAAATTAACCGGGGGCGGTGGTGAGTTCCTGTAGTCTCAGCTACTTGGGAGGCTGGGGCACCCATAATCATGCAACTGCACTTCAGCCTGAGCCACAGAGCAAGATCTTGAATTTAAAAAAAAAAAAAAAAAAAAAAAGGCCGGGCTCAGTGGCTCACACCTGTAATCCCAGCACTTTGGGAGGCTGAGGCAGGTGGATCACCTGAGGTCAGGAGTTCGAGACCAACCTGACCAATGTGGTGAAACCCCATCTCTACTTAAAAAAACACAAAAATTAGCCAGGCATGGTGGAGGGCGCCTGTAATCCCAATTACTTGGGAGGCTGAGGTGGGAGGTCAAGGCTGCAGTGAGCCATGATTGTACCACTGCACTCCAGCCTGGGTGACAGAGTGAGACCCTGTCTCAAAAAAAAAAAAAAAAAAAAAAAAAAACCACAAAAAAACCTGCAATTCCCTACTGACATCTGATGCTGAGCATCTTTTCATATGTTTGTTTGTCATCTGCATATCTTCTCTGGTGAGGTGTCTGTTCAGATCTTTTGTCTCTGTTTTAATCAGGTGTTTATTTTCCTATCATTGAATTTTTTCTCTTTTTAAAAATTTTTTGTAGAGGCCGGACGCGGTGGCTCATGCCTGTAATCCCAGCACTTTGGGAGGCCGAGGCGGGCAGATCACGACGTCAGGAGATCGAGACCATCCTGACTAACACGGTGAAACCCCATCTCTACTAAAAATACAAAAAAAAAATAGCTGGGTGTGGTAGCGGGCACCTGTCATCCCAGCTACTCAGGAGGCTGAGGCAGGAGAATGGCATGAACCCAGGGGGTGGAGCTTGCAGTGAGCCAAGATCGCACCACTGCACTCCAGCCTGGGTAACAGAGCAAGACTCTGTCTCAAAAAAAAAAAAAAAAAAAAATTTGTAGAGATGAGGGTCTCACTTTGTTGCCCAGGCTGGTCTCAAACTCTTGAGCTTAAGCAGTCCTCCTACCTCAGCCTCATAAAGTGCTGGGACTACAGGTGTGAATCACCTCGCTGGGCTAATTTTTGTATTTTTTGTAGAGACAGGATCTCACTTTGTTGCCCAGGCTGGTCTCGAACTCCTGAGCTCAAGCGATCTGCCTGCCTTGGCCTCCCAAAGTGCTGGGATTATAGGCATGAGCCACCATGCCCGGCTTATAGTAACTCTTAAAGTCGAGTATTGTCCATCCATCCTTCAGCTTTGTTCTTCTTGTTTAATTTTGTGTTGCAGCATCCTACAGATTTCTTTTTCCTTTTTTCTTTTCTTTTCCTTTTTTTTTTTTTTTTTTTTTTTGAGACGGAGTCTCACCCTTGTTGCTCAGGCTGGAGTGCAATGGCACAATCTCGGCTCACCACAACCTCCGCCTTCTGGGTTCAAGCAATTCTCCTGCCTCAGCCTCCCGAGTAGCTGGGATTACAGGCATGTGCCACCATGCCCGGCTAATTTTTGTATTTTTAGTACAGATGGGGTTTTAGTACAGATGGGGTTTCTCCATGTTGGTCAGGCTGGTCTTGAACTCAGGTAATCCCCCCACCTCAGATTCCCAAAGTGCTGGGATTACAGGTGTGAGCCACTGTGCCCGGCCCTCACCTCTTTTTTTTTTTTTTTTTTTTTCTTCAATTGAGACAGAGTCTCACTCCGTCACCCAGGCTGGAGTGTAGTGATGCAATCTCGGTTCATTGCTGCCTTCGCCTTCCAGGTTCAAATAATTCTCCCACCTCAGCCTCCCGAGTAGCTGGGATTACAGGTGTGTGCCACCACGCTCGACTAATTTTGTATTTTTAGTAGAGACAGGGTTTCACCATGTTGGCCAGGCTGGTCTGGAACTCCTGGCCTCAAGGGATCCGCCCACCTCAGCCTCCCAAAGTGCTGGGATTATAGGTGTGAGCCACCGCGCCCAGCCTTATTTTATTTTTTTAGACAAGGTCTTGCTCTGTTGCCCAGGCTGCAGTGCAATGGCCCAATCACAGCACACTGCAGCCTCAACCTTCCAAGCTCAGGCAATCCTCCTGTCTCAGCCTCCTGAGTAGCTGGGACCACAGGCGTGTGCTACCATGCTGGGCTATTTTTTTTCATTATTTGTAGAGACGACGTCTCCTAGTGTTGCTCAGGCTGTATCCCACAAATTTTGATAAGCTATATTTTCATTTTCTTTTAGTCCAAAATTAAACATGAGATGTAATTTTTCACCTATCGGATTGGCAAAAATGTCAGTTCGATAATACTGTGGGTTAAGGTATAGGGAAATAGGGCATATGTACATTGGTATTGGAAATATAGGCTAGTTCAACCATTTTGGAGGGCAATTTGTATGTATCTATAAAAATTATCGGCCGAGTGCAGTGGCTCATGCCTGTAATCCCAACACTTTGGGAGGCCGAGGCAGGCGGATCACCTGAGGTCGGGAGTTCGAGACCAGCCTGATCAACATGGAAAAACCCCATCTCTACTAAAAATACAAAATTAGCCGGGTGTGGTGGCTCACGCCTGTAATCCCAGCTACTCAGTAGGCTGAGGCAGGAGAATCGCTTGAACCCGGGAGGCAGAGGTTGTGATGAGCCAAGATCTCGTCATTGCACTCCAGCCTGGGCAACAACAGTGAAACTCCATCTAAAAAAAAAAAAAATTATCTAGCCAGGCATGGGGGTGAGCACCTGTAATCCCAGCTACAGGAGGCTGAGGTGGGAAGATCACTTGAGCCCAGGAGATGAGACCAGCCTGGGCAGCATAGAGAGATTTTATCCTTAAGAGACTAATAATAATTAATTAAAAATAAATTTTAAGGCCAGGCACAGTGGCTCACACCTGTAATCCCAGCACTTTGGGAGGCCGAGGCGGGTGGACCACCTGAGGTCAGGAGTTTGTGACCAGCCTAGCCAACCTGGTGAAGCCCCATCTCCTCTACTAAAAATACAAAAAGTTAGCTGGGCGTGGTGACGGGTGCCTGTAATCCCAGCTACTCGGGAGGCTGAGGCAGGAGAATCACTTGAACCCGGGAGGCAGAGGTTGCAGTAAGCCGAGATCGTGCCATTATACTCCAGCCTGGGTGACAAAGTGAGACTCCGTCTCAAAAAGAAAAAATTTTTAAATAAATAAAATAAAATAATAAATTATAAAGATACATACGTTTTGATTTAGCAATTCAACTCTTGGAATGTGTCCGGCATATAGATGTCTATACAAAGGTGGTCACGTACAGGACACGTATATATGTATATTTTCTACCCCAAGGGGGCAGAATTTGCAATAGCAAGAAACCTGGAAACAACTTAAGTGTCCATTAATAGATAACTGGTCCAATCTATTATATCCATTCAGTGAAATACTATACAAAGAATGGAGCTGCCCGCCTTGGCCTCCCAAAGTGCTGGGATTACAAGTGTGAGCCACCATGCCTGGACAGCATTTTATTTTATTATTAATTTATTTAGATGGAGTCTCGCCCTGTCACCCAGGCTGGAGTGCAGCGGCGCAATCTCGGCTCACTGCAACCTCCACCTCCCGGGTTCAAGCGATTCTCCTGTCCAGGCTTCTCAAAGTGCTGGGATTACAAACATGAGCCACTGTGCCCGGCCAGAAGCAGATTTTTTTTTTTTTTTTTTTTGAGACAGAGTCTTGCTCTGTCACCCAGGCTGGAGTACAGTGGCATAATCTCAGCTCACTGCAACCTCTGCCTTCCTCGTTCAAGCAATTCTCTGCCTCAGCCTCCCAAGTAGCTGGGATTACAGGTACCCACCATGCCTGGCTAATTTTTGTATTTTTAGTAGAGACAGGGTTTCACCATATTGGCCAGGCTGGTCTTGAACTTCTGACCTCGTGATCCACCCGCCTTGGCCTCCCAAAGTGTTGGGATTACAGGCGTGAGCCAACACGCCTGACTCAGAAGCATTTTAATAGAAAGGTAATTTAAACTATTTTTAGAAACTAGAAAAAAAGAATCCTCCATCTGTTCTACTTACCCTTTAGTATTTTGTGGTGTTTTCCTGTAGTCATTTTTTGCAATGCATCTGTTATATGTTAAATGGTTGTAATCTCGATATATACTATTATGACCTGCTTTTCTGGTTATGTCATAGCATATACATTTGCAATATGGTTACAGGGCCAGGAAACATTAATTTGGAGGAATTATATACATCTGATTCCTCAGACAGAGCATGAAGTCTAAAATTAGGAAGTTATGAAACTGAAGAACACATTTGTGGGGTGGGGAGGCCCTTCCTTCCTTCTGTCCTTTCCTACCTTCCTTCCTTCTTACCTCCTTTCCTCCCTCTGGAAAGATCATCTCTGCAAGTGGGAAGTGGGGGCCACGACTATGGCTGGCACCTTGGTGTTCTGCACAAGTTTGTGGATGTGAGACCTAAGATTTCTGAGACTGCAGCTAAAGCACCACTTGTTCCTTTCGCTAAAGTAGCTCGTGTTGAGTATAGTTAGGAAATTATAGTTTTAGCTGAATCAATACCTATTTGTTGTCAACCCAAGGTTGATAATAGGTTGAGAATAATTTAAATTCATTTTTTCATTCTGTCTACTCTTAGTAAATATAGTTGTCTTGAATACAACATGCTTTTCACAATGAATTTTTTTGAAAATCAGATTGGCAGCTTTGCATAACAAACACCACTCCTGAGCTGCCCAGCATGGGGAGAAAGAAGAGACCGCCTGAGCCTCACCCTTTGCTGGCCAGCTGTGTTGACTTACTACAGCTGACTTCTCTGAGCCGGAGCTTCCTCGTCTGCACAAGGGAGACGACAGCTGGGCCTGACTCCCAGGTTTATGATAAGGATTAGAGGAGCATTAGCAAGGGCAATGTTTGTAGTAGAGACAGGCAAACAGAAGACTCTCAGTACATGGTATTGTACTAATGGTATCTAACCCCATTAGACTCAGACACTGAAGGAAATGCAGTAAAGCACACACAGCTGATTGACAAAAATGCAATGACATTGTACAGATTTGAAAATATTAGCTTCCTCACGCACATAAAGGATTCCCAAGACCTATGGAGCAAAAAAAAAACAAAATTTTTTTTTTGCTTGAGATGGAGTCTTGCTCTGTTGCCCAGGCTGGAGTGCAATGGCACCATCTCGGCTCACCGCAACCTTTGCCTCCTGGGTTCAAGCAATTCTGCCTCAGCCTCCCGAGTAGCTGGGACTACAGGTGCACACCACCACACCCAGCTAATTTTTGTATTTTTAGTAGAGATGGGGTTTCACTATGTTGGCCAGGCTGGTCTCGAACTCCTGACCTCGTGATCCACCCGCCTCGGCCTCCCAAAGTGCTGGGATTACAGGCATGAGCCACCACACCTGGCCGGAGCAAAATATTTATTATCAGTATTTTTATTAAGCATCTACTATGGGCCAGGAACTGTTTAGAGACTCAGGCCAAGCACGGTGGCTCACACCTGTAATCCCAGCACTTTGGGAGGCCGAGGCGGGCGGATCAACTGAGGTTGGGAGTTCAAGACTAGCCTGACCAACATGGAGAAACCCCATCTCTACTAAAAATACAAAATTAGCCAGGGTGGTGGCCCATGCCTGTAATCCCAGCTACTCGAGAGGCTGAGGCAGGAGAATCGCTTGAACCCGGGAGGCAGAAGTTGCAGTGAGGCGAGATCACGCCATTGCACTCGAGCCTGGGCAACACAGCAAGACTCCGTCTCAAGAAAAAAAAAAGAGAGAGAGAGAGAGACTCAGGTTAAATGCTGGACCAGGCCCTCAAAGGTAGTCCACCTGAGCCCAAAACACCCTCTCTACAGCGGCTAACTAGCCCCGCTACTCTATTCTGTGACATCTAACAGTTTAAACTTTCTCCTACTTAGCCCTTTGGACTACACAAGGACCATGTCAGCGAAATCATCCTGGGTATTTCCTGACACAGGAATCAGCCTTTTATCTCCCCCACCTACAACAGGATTGAAATTGTCCTCTTGCCTGAGGGAAGGCTGCCCATCCCTCTCCAGGCTCTGTGCACCCACTTCCTCCTCCTCCTCCTCTTCGGGTGACTATGGGTGGAGTGAGCGCTTGGGAACCCTAGAGCTTGGGTTCTTCCTTCTCTCCTTCTCTCCTTAGGCCGGGAGCAGGGGCTCACGCCTGTAATCTCAGGACTTTGGAAGGCCAAGGCGGGTGGATCACTTGAGGTCAGGAGTTCGAGACTAGCCTGGGCAACATGGCGAAACCCTGTCTCTACTAATAATACAAAAAAATTAGCCGGGCGTGTTGGCAGCCGCCTGTAATCCCAGCTACTCGGGACGCTGAGGCACGAGAATCACTTGAACCCGGGAGGCAGAGACTGCAATGAGCCAAGATCGTGCCACTTGCACTCCAGCCTGGGCGACAGAGTGAGACTCTCTCTCAAAAGAAAAGAAAGGAAAAAAAAAGCTTGGTGTCCCCCCTGCCCGCCCCAAACCTTCTCATCTACCAGCACATGCCTCCTTGTCTATCTTCCGGGTGTCTGGACACTGAGGCCACAGAAGGACTGAACCAAGCTGGTCGGCCTTGTCCTTTCTCAAGGCTGGGGGCCAGAGGCAGGGTGGGCAGGGACGGGTTAGAGGAAGGAGTAACTCGAGGTTTTGCAGGAGCTGGGTCTGCAACCACAACATCCAGCCCCGCAGGGAAGTTGATCCAGGGGCGCCCCCCACCCCGTCCCCTGGAGCTGCAGTTGGACGCTGGGTCTGGGCCTGGAGCTCCGGAGCAGCCCCGCCAGCCCACAGGATACGTTTTTGCGTAATGCAGGGTGGAAGGCGGAAACAAGTACACAAGCCCCTGGTTCATTACATGGACACACGTTAGGCATCTACTGTGTCACCTGCTCCGTGCGGGGCTTTGTGGGAAACGCAATTGGCCTTGGTGCCTGCCCATAGAATGCGACCTGGGGAAAGGAATTCGTCGCCTTCCCCAGCAGTCTTTATCAAAAGGGTCGGTCTTTCAACGAAAACAGCAAGTGAGCTCTAAGTGTCCTGCCAGCCGCGGGACATAAGGCCGATCGAAAACCTCTGCTGAGGCAAGGAACCCGCGTCGAGGTCCCTTGCAGCATCCGAATACACTTCTCTTCCCAGCCACGCTCAAAATGGCCGTCGGTCCGTTCTTGGGCTCCGCGCAGGCGCACTTCAGCCTGCGATTCCCAACATGGCTCCGCCCAGGCGTCCCGGGGCGGGACCAAGAGCGGAAGTGGGTGTGACGGGGACGGGGGCCCGGTGGGCCCGCGGAGGAAAGATACTGGGGAGTGGGAGCCGCGGGGTTCAGAGCGATGATTCCCCCACAGGAGGCATCCGCTCGACGGCGGGAGATTGAGGACAAGCTGAAGCAGGTGGGCGTGGGCCTGGGGAGGCTGGGGAGGAGGTGAGGGAAAGGGGCCAACAGCGGGGCCTGATTGTCTACTCATGGAGGAGGCAGGGGTGGGAGGGAGCGCACCCAGCGAGGAGATGGGGTTGGGGGCTAGGCCGTGGGGTTGGGACGCAGTGGTCTCCTTTAGCTTCTGGTTTCTGGTGATGTCCTCCCCTTGCCTGCCCCCAGGAGGAGGAGACTCTGTCCTTCATCCGAGACAGCCTGGAGAAGAGCGACCAGCTCACTAAGAACATGGTGAGTCTCCCCGCAGCTGGGGGAGAGGGCAGGCCTCCGGACCCTGGGGGAGAGCCTTGCGACCTGGCGGTTCCGGTTCCTGCGGCCTGGAGTTCTGGAATGGGCAGCGACGGAGGCAGTGTGTGGGTTTATCTAGCAACAGTTTGGCATCTCTCCTGCCTAGCCCCCTCCCCATGTTCCGTACCCTCACTGAGGAGGCTGCACTTCCCACTGGCCTGGACTTGCTGCTTTCTGTCTAAGCTCGCCATTCTTCCTTCTCTCCTTCTGCAAACACTCAGTGAGTCTGACCAGTTGGGCTAGGTACTGGGCATATGTCATTGTCAGTGGACTCTCTGCCCAGGAGGTTGGCACTTTGAGATTCCTGAGGGCAGAGAAGACTCAGCCTTCACTCCAGAGGACTTTAGGGAAAGAAAGAGCTCTAAAGTCAGGCAGATCTGGGATCTAGTCCTTGCCCTTCTGCTTAAATGTGCGGCTCCTGATAGGTAACTGGTGTCAGCGAATTCATCTGCTAAAACAGAGACTGTGCCAGCCTCCCAGTGTGTCTGTGAAGGTCATATGCGCTAATGCATGCGACTGCATCTTGCACAGTGCCTGGTATACAATAGGTGCTCAATAAGTGAGTTTCCTTCTTTATTCCTAGGGGAGACTGGAAAAGCACAAAGTGAGTAAATACAAACTTGTATTTGCATTTAGTCACACAATAATAAAGTCCTAGTCCTTTTCTAAAAATTTTAATTTTTAAATTTTTTTTTTTAGAGGCAGAGTCTGGCTGTGTTGTGCAGGCTAGAGTGCAGTGGCATGACTGTAGCTCACTGCAGTCTCTAACTCCTGGGCTCAGGCAGTCCTCCTGCCTCGGCCTCCTAGCAGCTGGGACTGTAGGCACACACCACCACGCCTTGCTAATTGTGTGTGTGTGTGTGTGTGTGTGTGTGTGTGTGTGTGTCTGTGTGTGTAGACAGGGTCTCACTGTGTTGTCCAGGCTTGTCTTGAACTCCTAGTCTCAAGCTAACCTCCCGCCTCAGCCTCCCAAATTCTGGGTATTACAGGCATGAACCATCACGCCCAGCCTCTAGTCCTTATTCAATGAGTTTCATCCTTAGAGAGGGTTTTGAAGATACAGCAATGCATTTGAGGCTACTCTGTATGAAACTACTTCCAGTCCGGTTTAGGAATGCTTCAGAGAGAACAGAAGTTGAGATTTGGCTTCAAAGGGTGGAAGGGAAGCCATCTTGGGCTGATTATTTTAAGAAGAATTAATTTGATGCTTGGTTTGCCTTCAAATAAAATTTCAACCAATTTGTCTTAGACCACCTACTATATGCCAGGCACATGATAGGTGCTGAAGATACAGTGGGGAACAGGTACACCCTGTTCCTTCGCTTGTGGAGTTTATTGTCTAGAAAACCAGAGAAAAGGCAGGAAATGCCGAAGGTGGGTGTGTAGAAGCAGTGCTGGGACCACTGTGAGTCCCAAGATCAAGAGGCTTCCCTCCCGCAGGTGTCTATCTTATCATCCTTTGAGAGCCGCCTTATGAAGCTGGAGAACTCCATCATCCCTGTGCACAAGCAGACGGAGAATCTGCAGCGGCTGCAGGAGAATGTTGAGAAGACGCTGTCCTGCCTGGACCATGTCATCAGCTACTACCATGTGGCCAGTGACACTGAGAAGATCATCAGAGAGGGGTGAGTGAGTGAGGCCCAGAGGGTCAATTCCTAATGCCTCCTGGGCCAACAGGAGGGTTGGTCTGTAATCCCAACAATTTGGGAGGCTGAGGTGGGAGGATCGCTTGAGACTAGGAGTTCAAGACCAGTCTGGACAACACAGTGAGACGCCTTTTAAGCCCTAGGCCTTAAAAGGCAGTGGGGGGATAGAATATATTTGAGCCTGGAGTCCCCTGTATTAATTTTCTTTTTCCCAAATACTGTGTCCTTAGTCCTTCTTCATCCCCCATGCCCCAGCCTGACCTGGCTCTTTTCTTTCCCAGCCCCACAGGTAGGCTGGAAGAGTACCTGGGAAGCATGGCCAAGATTCAGAAGGCAGTGGAGTATTTCCAGGACAACAGCCCAGACAGCCCGGAACTCAACAAAGTGGTAAGGGGTCCGCAGAATAACGTGAGAAGCTTGGGGATATCAGTCTCTGCCCTGGTCTCATGAGGGACATGGAGCCAGCTTGAGGATGTATGCAGTAGAATACACAGAAGGATATAGCACAGTACATCCTATAGGCATTAGGATCTCTGCTTCAAGAATTGCACATTTTTTATTATTAAAAATTCTTTATTATAAAACTTGTTAATGTATTATAAAAATTAAATTATAAATTACATATAAAATATAAACTTAACATTTGATTTGTTGTTGTTGTTGTTGTTGTTGTTGTTTTTTCCTGAGACAGAGTCTTGCTCTGTCACCCAAGCTGGAGTACAGTGCTCAGCTCACTGCAACCTCTGCCTCCCAGGTCCATGTGATTCTCCCACCTCAGCCTCCCAAGTAGCTGGGATTACAGGCACTCGCCACCGCACCTGGCTAATTTTTGTATTTTTAGTAGAGACGGGGTTTCGCCATGTTGGCCAGACTGGTCTCGAACTCCTGACCTCAGATGATCCCCCGCCTTGGCCTGGGATTACAGGCGTGAGCCATTGCACCCAGCCACGTTTGATTTTTATAAATGCATTTGTTGTTCCTTTATTTTGGTTAAAAATACATAATATAAATTTTTTTTTTTTTTGAGATGGAGTTTTGCTCTTGTTTCCCAAGCTGGAGTGCAATGGCACGATCTCGGCTCACTGCAACCTCTGCCTCCGAGGTTCAAGTGATTCCCCTGCCTCAGCCTCCTGAGTAGCTGGGAGGGTGTGCGCCACCACTCTCGGCTAATTTTTTTTTTTTTTTGTAGTTTTAGTAGAAACGGGATTTCACCATGTTAGCCAGTTTGGTCACAAACTTCTGACCTCAGGTGATCCGCCCGCCTCAGCTCCCAAGGTGCTGGGATTACAGGTGTGAGCCACCGTGCCTGGCCAAAATGTGCTATTTTAACTCTAAGTTAACAGTGGCATTAAGTAGATTCACAATGTTATGTAGCCATCACCATTATCTCCACAAATATGTTCATCTTCTCCAAGTGAAACTCCACTCCCATCAAACACTAATTTCCCATTCTCCCTTCCTCTGTCTTCTGGTAACCACCATTCCACTTTCTGTTTCTGTGAATCTACTCTAGGAACTTGAATCTATGTGATTTTTTTTTTTGCATTATTATCTTAAGAGACAGGATCTGGCTTTGTCATCTAGGCCAGACTGCAGTGGTACAACCATAGCTACTGCAGCCTCGAACTCCTGGGCTCAGGCAGTCTTCCCACCTCAGCCTTCCAAGTAGCTGGGCCCACAGGCATGTGCAACCATACCCAGCTAAGTTTTAAATTTTTTGTAGAGATGAGGTCTCCTGTGTTGTTCAGGCTGGTCTCAAACTACTGTCCTCAGGTGATCCTCCCACCTTGGCCTCTCAAAGTGTTGGGAGGGATTACGGGCATTACCCACTGTACCTGCCTTCATCATATTTTTGTGTTTAAGTTTTGGGGTCATTAGATCATCAGAGCAAGATGGTGACTTGGCCTCTGGAAATCACAAATCTATTTTCTGTCTTTATGGATTTGCCTATTCTGAATTTCTAATATAAATGGTATCTTATAATACATGGCCTTTTGTGACTGGCCTCTTTCACTTAGCGTGATGCTTTCAAGATCAATCCATGCTATAGCATGTATCAGTACTTCATTTCATTTTCATGCCATATGATATTCCTTTTTGTGGATAGACCACAGTTTCTTTTTTTGGTTTTTTGTTTTGTTTTGTTTTTTGAGACGGAGTTATGCTCTTGTTGCCCGGGCTGGAGTACAATGGCGCAATCTTGGCTCACTGCAACCTCCACCTCCTGGGTTCAAGCGATTCTCCTGTCCCAGCCTCCCGAGTAGCTGGGATTATAGGTGCCTGCCACCACACCGAGCTAATTTTTTGTATTTTTAGTAGAAACGGGGTTTCACCATGTTGGCCAGGCTGGTCTTGAACTCCTGACCTCAGGTGATCTGCTTGCCTCGGCCTCCCAAAGTGCTGGGATTACAGGCGTAAGCCACCGTGCCCAGCCAGACCACATTTTCTTTAGCCATTTATCCTTTGATGGACACTTGGGTTGTTTCCAATTTTTGTCTCTTGTGAATAATGCTGCTATAAACCCTCTTATATATGTCATCGTGTGGACAGATTCATTCTCTTTTATGTTTGGGATACCTGTCTTTTATCAGATACATAGTTTACAAATATTTTCTCTCATTCTGTGGGTTATCCTCACTTTGTTGGTGGTATCATTTGCAGCACAAAAGTTTTCAACTTGATATTGTTCAATTTATTTATTTATTTTCTTTTGCAAACCCCCCACTAACAAGAAGACAAATTAACGGTTCAGTGAGAAAATAATCGGCCAGTATTTTTTTTTTTTTTTTTTTGAGACGGAGTCTCACTCTGTTACCCAGGCTGGAGTGCAGTGACGCAATCTTGGCTCACTGCAAGCTCCGCCTCCTGGGTTCACACCTTTCTCCTGCCTCAGCCTCCCGAGTAGCTGGGACTACAGGTGCCCACCACCACGCCCGGCTAATTTTTTTTTTTGTATTTTTAGTAGAGATGGAGTTTCACCTTGTTAGCCAGGATGGTCTCGATCTCCTGACCTTGTGATCTGCCCGCCTCGGCCTCCCAAAGTGCTGGGATTACAGGCGTGAGCCACCGTGCACGGCCAATCAGCCAGTATTTATTAAGCACCTACTTCTTGTAAAACCCTGGGTTTTACCTGTAAACACAAATTTTGAGAGAACATGAAGTAAAGGAGTCACCAAGGCCGCTTCCCAGCGTTTCTTCTTTGGGTTAAAGGATATCAGGGCAGGCCAGGTGCAGTGGCTCATGCCTGTAATCCCAGCACTTTGGGAGGCTGAGGCGGGTGGATCACCTGAGGTCAGGAGATCAAGACCATCCTGCCAACATGGTGAAACCCCGTCTCTACTAAAAATACAAAAATTATCTGGGCATGGTGGCACGTGCCTGTAATCCCAGCTGCTCAGGAGGCTGAGGCAGGAGAATTGCTTGAACCAGGAAGTCGGAGGTTGCAGTGAGCCAAGATTGTGTCACTGCACTCCAGCCTGGTGACAGAGCGAGACTCCCTCTCAAAAAAAAAAAAGATATCAGGGCAGAAAAGGGCAGAGGCCCTGAGTTAAGAAGACAGAGCTGGCACAGGCAGGGGAAGGCCAGGACTGGCAGAACACTGAAGCAGCAGGCACCTGCTTCCTTCTGTTGTCTGTGCAGAAACTGCTCTTTGAGCGCGGGAAGGAGGCCCTGGAGTCCGAATTTCGCAGCCTGATGACGCGGCACAGTAAGGTCGTCTCGCCCGTGCTCATCTTGGATCTGATCAGTGGTGACGATGATCTGGAGGCCCAGGAGGACGTGACCCTGGAGCACCTGCCCGAGAGCGTGCTCCAGGATGTCATTCGCATCTCCCGCTGGCTGGTGGAATATGGCCGCAACCAAGGTAAGGGATTCTGGCTTGGCCACATGACACACCAGAGGCAGAGGGAGTTTTCTCCCCTTTGTTCTTTTTTTTTTTTTTTTTTTTTTTTTTTTGAGATGGAGTCTTGCTCTGTTGCCCATGCTGGAGTGCAATGGTGCAACTCGGCTTGCTGCAGCCTCTGCATACCCGGGTTCCAGCGATTCTCCTGCCTCAGCCTCCCGAGTAGCTGGGATTACTGGCGCATGCCACCATGCCTGGCTAAGTTTTGTATTGTTAGTAGAGATGGGGTTTCACCATGTTGGCCAGGCTGGTCTTGAACTTCTGACCTCAGGTGATCTGCCCACCTCAGCCTCCCAAAGTGCTGGGATTACAGATGTGAGCCACCATGCCTGGCCCCCTTTATTCTTTAATCCACCTGTCATGGTTTTTTTGATAAAAGGATGTTTAACTGGAACCAATATAAGAATATAAGCAACCATTCTATGACTTGTATATCAAGTGGTGAATCTAGGCAAATTCAAACTTTTCTTGTCTTGATTTTTATGTTCCTTTGCCTTTTTTGATTAGTTGTAAAATTTTCAAAGCCATGGGTGAAAAGTAAAAGTCCATCTCCCATTCCCTGATGCCTCCATTACATAAGCCAAAGATGAGCACTATTAAGGTTTATTTATGCCAGGTGCTGTGGCTATGCCTGTAATCCTAACAGTTTGGGAGGCTGAGGTGAGTGGATCGCTTCAGCTCAGGAGTTCGAGACCTGGCCAACATGGCAAAACCCTGTCTCTACAAAAAATAAAAAAATTAGCTGGGTGTGGTGACGCATGCCTGCAGAGCCAGCTACTTGGGAGGCTGAGGTGGCGGGGAATGACTTGAGCCTGGGAGGTGGAGGTTGCAATGAGCTAAGATCACGCCACTGTACTCCAGCCTGGTTGACAAAGTGAGACTCTTGTCTCAAAAGAAAGAAGGCCAGGTGCAGTGGCTCATGCCTGTAATCCCAGCACTTTGGGGGGCCAAGGTGGGCGGATCACCTGAGGTCAGAAGTTCAAGACCAGCCTGACCAACATAGAGAAACCCCATCTCTACTAAAAATACAAAATTAGCTGGGCGTGGTGGCGCATGCCTGTAATCCCAGCTATTACTGAGGCTGAGGCAAGAGAATCTCTTGAACCCGAGAGGTTACAGTGAGAGTGCACTATTGCGCTCCAGCCTGGGCAACAAGAGCAAAACTCCATCTCAAAAAAAAGAAAGGAAGAAAGAAAAACTCCAATAGATATTCAGTGTTGCACTTTTTTTTTTTTTTTTTTTTTTGAGACAGAGTCTCGCTCTGTCACCCACGCTGGAGTGCAGTGGCATGATATTGGCTCACCGCAACCTCTGCCTCCTGGGTTCAAGCAATTCTGCCTCAGCCTCCCAAGTAGCTGGGGTTACAGGTGCCCGCCACCATGCCCAGCTAATTTTTGTATTTTTTGGTAGGGACAGGGTTTCACCATGTTGCCCAGGCTGGTTTTGAACTCCTGACCTCAGGTGATCCACCTGCCTCGGCCTCTGTAAGTTCTGGGATTGCAGGCATGAGCCACCTCGCCTGGCAATGTTGCACTTTTTAGCCCTCCAACTCTTCTCTTTGTTTGTGTGTACACATACCAAGTTGTCAGCGCGGGCTTGCCTTGCCCCAGAACTGTGTGGCGGCAGGTCTCACGGCCGCGATGTATCTGATCACATGAACACGTTGTGGCTCGTGAGCTGATGACAGCTCGGCAGAAGATTTTCAGGAGCTCCTTAGGATCAAGAGGGAGGCGCAGTGGACAGCCTCCAGACCTCTCAGCCTGTGCCTCTGTGTTTTGGTTCATTTCTTCTGTCGGGGTTCCTTGTAAACTATTTGTTGGGAACTTCTGAAATCCACCATAGTTTTCATGTCCTTTTCCTCAGTCATGTGTGCAAGGAGCTCTTCCTGTTTTTCAGCATTGATGAATGGTACCAAAATGGACATACCTTTGTGAATTGCTTTTTTCTTTGAGGAAGTTCTTGAGGGTTTATTCTCAAGGGTGCAGGGATTAGGTGTAAGTGTCTGAAGATACTTGTAACCTTCTTGCCATCACTAGCTCCTCTCTAAATAGATCAGGCCAATCGATGGACTCATCGACAGTTCCATGGCCATTTGTTCTTCATTAATTTTTGTTTTTGCTATCTGATAGGACTATCACAGTCCTCTAATTTTTTTAATTTATACTTTATTAATGGCTAAAGATGTGTGTTTTTCATTCACTGACATTTGTTGTCTTTTTGCTTCCTATAGAGCTCATGTTCTTTGACCCCTTACCAAGTTGAATCTGGATATTAACTTTGTTTTTTTATTTAAAAAAAAGTACTATTTAAAACTTACAACTAGGGCTGGGCGCCATGGCTCATGCCTGTAATCCCAGCTACTTGGGAGGCTGAGGCGGGAGAATCACTTTAACCCGGGAGGCAGAGGTTGCAGTGAGCCAAGATCGTGCCATTGTATTCCAGCCTGGATGACAAGAATGAAACTCTGTCTCAAAAAAAAAAAAAAGCTTACAACTAGGGCTGGGCGGTGGCTCATGCCTGTAATCCCAGCACTTTGGGAGGCTGAAGCTGGTGAATCATTTGAGGTCAGGAGTTCAAAACCAGCCTGGCCAACATGGTGAAACCCCATCTCTACTAAAAATACAAAAATTAGCTGGGTGGTAGTGGCTCATGCCTGTAATCCCAGCTATTCAAGAGTCTGAGGCAAGATAATTGGTTGAGCCTGGGAGGCAGAGTTTGCGGTGAGCCAAGATCACACCACTGCACTCCAGCCTGGGCGACAGAGTAAGACCTTGTCTCAAAAAAAAAACAACTTACAACTAATTATCAGTTCTATCAGAGGGTGTTTTTCTCTTTTAAGACTGCCTGGCCAGGCATGGTGACTCACGCCTGTAATCCCAGCACTCTGGGAGGCTGAAGTGGTCAGATTACTTGAGCCCAGGAGGTCGAGCCTGCAGTGAGCTGACATCGTGCCACTGCACTGCAGCCTGGGCAACAGAGCAAGACCCTATCTCAAAAAAAAAAAAAAAGACTTTGAAAGACTTTGCCTGATTTGGGACAAGATATGGGTGGCTTGTGACCAGAGCAGGGAGCAGATGCTAAGAAGGGTTGACAGGTTTGACAGGTAGACATGGTGGGTCTGCAAGGCAGAGACAGGGCCTGGCAGCCGTACCTCTATCCCTCTGTGTCTCCTCAGATTTCATGAACGTCTACTACCAGATACGCTCCAGCCAGCTGGACCGCTCCATCAAAGGACTGAAGGAGCATTTCCATAAGAGCAGTTCTTCCTCTGGGGTTCCCTACTCCCCTGCTATCCCCAACAAGAGGAAAGACACACCTACCAAGAAGCCAGTCAAGCGGCCAGGTGAGCCCCCATCCTGGCCCATCTCTGCAACAGCCAGAGGCTGACTGGGACTGTACTGCTTTAGTCCAATCTAGCGTTCGCAGCGTCAGGCCCCTCCAGAGCTTGTCGTCGTGGTAACCCCGACTGTAGGTACACAGGACAGAAAGCAAGTGTCTACCCACCCAGTGAAGCCCCCCAAGAGCAAGACTCTTCCTTCCAGCTAGCAGAGCCTGGGGTTACACAGCTTCTTTGGAGTAGGGGAGTAACACAGGTGCTCAGCGAATCCCGCCTGAGGCAGAGCCCCTGCCTAGGCCTCCTCCCTCACACACACGTCGCCCTGTCAGAAGGCCAGGCACACTACTGCAGCCAGGATGCTGGGATAGCAAGGGGATAGGTGCTCCAACCTTCACCTTCCAGAAAGGCAGGGTGATCTGAAGTGACGTGTAGCTGAGAGCTGGATGGGGAGAATTTCACTTTCCCAGTTGATCCAGAAAGGAAAGAAACCCCAGAGCATCCTCTCGGAAGAACTTAAACTGGCTTTGGGCTCCAGTGCGAGCGAGTGACTTGTGGAAAGGGGCACCATGATGAGAGGCCGGGGCCGGTGGGTGTTGCTGTCCTGGGTGAACATCTCGTCATCTGTCTGTTCTTTCTCCCCGGCATCATATCCCTTATAGTCTGTGCTCCAGGTAAACAGTGTCTCTGCCAGCCACAGCTTGGCAAGCCCGGCTATGTCTGGCCACTGAGAGATGCTGCCCGCAGCTCGATGATGTGCTGGGATGTTCTGGGGTGGGGCTGCTGAGATTGCACTGAAAAAGAAAGCTGGAGAAGCCGGGGCTGCTCCCACCCAGGCTGGCCCCCTGTCCAGCTGCTGCTGTGGGCACATGCCCTAGTTGTGGCCTGTGGCACCTGCTTATGACAACAAGCTTTGGGTAGAGCTTACTTACACCCTTGGTTTCTCCAGTCCCTGCCTGCTCATGCCCCTCAGAGAGTGAGGTGTCTGTTCCACAAGAGCACCCGCTCCCCTGCAGGCCTTTGTTTAGGGTTTGGAGAAACAGGCAGAGCAGGGGCTGCCCTCAGGGAGTAGAGCATTAGGGAGCTGGTGCCTGGGGCCTTCTCCCTCCAGTGTGGAAATCCTGCCCACCAGCCAAAACCTGCTGCAAATGGGGACTGCCAGCCCAGCCTGTGGGCGCAGCTGCCTGCACAGTGGATGGAGCAGCTCTGTGCCTTCTGTGTGGTGGGGAGTGGCTGTCTCTATGAGGCTGCTAGGATGCTTGGGCCCCAGCCAGTCTGTGCTTGCTTCCTCTTCTGCCTGGCTCCCTGACAGGTCCCCCAGAAGCCCCAGAGCCCTATTTGCACTGCCTTAAGAGTGCCCGCTGGCCATGCAGCTACCTGGCCTTTCAGGCAGGAGGGATCTGATCTCAGGTGGCTCACAGTGGACCACATCCATCCTTGGGCCAGAGACACTAGAGGAAAACTCCAGCTGTGGGGTTTCAGAGTTGTCAGGAACTGGTGGGCTCAGGACCGATGTCAGGCTCTAGGGAGTCAGGCTCTGGGGATGTCGGTTCCCACTTCTGAGGAGAGGGACAGGGAGGCCTCCCAGGTGGTGAAGCACCGACCTCAGCATCCCTGGAGGCAATTGGGAGCCTGACGGGTTTGGCGGCTGCTAGATCCACATCGGCGACCCACATCCTGCCGGCGTGCACCTGCGTCTGTGTCTGCTCCTGGTGGGTTGTGGGGCAGGAATCAGATTCACTCATTAGTAAGCCGCACTCGCTGAAGGGGAGAGCATGAGCAAGGGAGACGTGAGCCAGGCCTTGGTTATTAGGAGCTAATTATGGGCCAAGTATGGTGGCTCACGCCTGTAATCCTAGCACTTCGGGAGGCCGAGGCGGGCGGATCACCTGAGGTCAGGAGTTCGAGACCAGCCTGGCCAACATGGTGAAACCCTGTCTCTACTAAAAATAGAAAAAAAATTAGTTGGGTGTGGTGACGCACGCCTATAATCCCAGCTACCTGGGAGGCTGAGGCAGGAGAATCACTTGAACCCAGGAGGCAGAGGTTGCAGTGAGCCGAGGTCGTGCCACCGTACTCCAGCCTGGGCGACAGAGTGAGACTGTCTCAAAAAAAAAAAAAAAAAAAAAAACAAGCTAATTGTGGTGTTGTGCGGTGCGGTGCGGTGCAGGTGTAAGCAGTGAGCCTCCAGACACTGCCCCTTTCTCCCTCAGCTTTCTGGGGAGCTGCCAGGACACAGCAGCCTCACTGTGCTCAGATAGACTGTGGGGGTGGGAGGCATCCCGGGTGCCTTTCTGCCCCTATACATTTTGTTAACAAGGCAGCTGCACTTGTCTGCTTGAGATGCGAGTTGATTTCCCGACGTCTTCTGGCCCGAGATGTCTCATTCCCACAAAGGAGGCTGACCCAGGCGGCTGTGGGTGCTGCCATTTTGTTCTCATTGTTTTCACTTGTGATACTAACTATTGTTTTTCTCCCCCATGCCAAGAGCATGTGCCCTCTCCTTCCGTGCACACCCTCCAGGCGCTCTGTGTGGTGGCTTCTGTTAACCCCTTCTTGACTTTTGGATTTTTTCTTGTCGCTTTGGTGGTTTGGGGAACTCTGGTGTGGGGCTAGGCTGCCTCTGGGTCTCTGAGCCGTCCGCCTTGGGCACAGCGCTCCCCCGGAAGTTCAGTCAGGGTGGCTTCCTGCTGGCTGCTGTTTGGCGTACGTCCCAACACTGAGCATGCTCGGAGAACTCTGCCTGGAGTTTGGGGCTGGGCTGGGGGCCTGCTGGCTTCAGGGTGCCCCCCAGGCTCTCCCACCCTGGTTGTGCCCTCTGGGTATGCGAGCTTTGTCACGGGCTCCTCCGACCTGAGCCCTCGCCTGTTCTGATTATGATGCCACTCCATATTTTTGACTTCTCCTGGTGGATCTTGGTCCATCTTCATTACCCTCTGTCCTTTCAGAAATGAGCTGAAATCCAGAACAAGGAGGGTCGGTAGTAGAATCAAGGCTCCATTTGGAGAAGGAAATGACTCCTTTCCTTCATCCTTGTCCCCAGCGTCTCTGGTGGTCTCAGGGAAAGGCCTGCTCACTGTTGGGGAGCTGGGTGCGGGGCCTGGGGGGCAGGTGGAGGGCCGCTGCTGTTTTCTCTCACTCATTTCCTAGGTCTTCTTATCTCCTCTCTGTGTGGCTCTGGTGACAGGGACGATCCGTAAGGCTCAGAACCTTCTGAAACAGTATTCCCAGCATGGTCTAGATGGGAAAAAGGGGGGCTCTAACCTCATTCCTCTGGAAGGTAATCACCCTGTGTTCCCCTCCTGTCCCTTCCTCCTCCACTGTGTGTCCACGCACTTGGCAGGGCAGAGCCTCCCCCAGGAGGGCCTCGGGAGAAACCCTGAGGGGAGCAGGGTGGGAACGGCAGGTCCCCGATGCCACTCGGGCTTCAGCGGGCACAGGGACAGTTTCGCAGCCCTCGGCCTGGTCCTCTCTGGCTGATGGCAGCTCTGCCCTCCCTGAGGCTTCCCTCCTCCCTTCCCTGTCTCTGTCCTTGTCTCCTGTGTGAACTCAGAAAAAGTTATTTGTCTTGGGGCAGCCCTTTCACGCTCAGACCAGCAGTGGCAGGCCCCAGCTGGCCGAGGCCTCCCGGCCTTCCCATCTTTAGAAAGGGGAGTGTGTGCAGCAGAGGACAGGCAAACTGGGGCTTTCCCCAAATACAGCGAGGTGGGGAACCCCCCTGGGGCCAAGCATCAGCTCTTCAGCCCCTCCTTGGTCCTTCTCCGCTTTCCCTGGGCCTCCAGGCTCGGGGAAATGAGCAGCTAAGGACGGTCCTGGGTGCTCACTGAAGTCAGGCTTGAAACGGCTGTTCCCAAGGTGGCTTGAGGTAGAGGAGGGGCTCAGGGCCCTCTCCGATGCCCCCTTCCCCATCCCCATCTGACGTCCCCCTCCTGGAGATGAAGGGCTTCTTCCCTGTACCCCAAGGGGCGGCCTGCCTGGCCCCTGGATAAACGCTGCTTGTGTTTGTGCGGCCGACATCTCGCCAGGTCACGAGCATGATTTCCGAGTTAAGCACCTGTCCGAGGCCTTGAACGACAAGCACGGGCCGCTGGCCGGTGAGTACCGCAGCCCAGCCCGAGGGCAGCCGCTGACACTGCCTTCGCAGCGGTCCCCGGATGGCCTGCTCCTGCCTGGCCCAGCTGGGCCCACTCTGCTCTGAGGATGGGCCAGGCCTATGCGCCTCTCTCTCCACTCTCTCTCTTTTGGGCCTAGGTCTCCTTGCCTCTCTCCAGATGGGAGTGCGTGCCTGTCTGTCAGGCCTGGGCCAAGGGGAGAAGCCGCTGCTCCTCGGAAAGCAGGCAGAGAGGGAAGGTGGCTCCCTTGAGGGCAGGGAGCCCTGACGTCCGCCTCCTGCAACAATTCAGAGCTCTGATCCCCTCGGAGCCCATCCCTTGGCACATAGGACCAGGCAGTTCTGCCGCCGGTTTTGCCTGCAGGCGCCCCCGCCGTGGCCTCCAGTAATAGGGTCTGGCCTCCTCCTGGGGCAGCTGGCAACCCCTCCTCTCTGGGACTTACCAGCCTCTTAGATTTTGACCCCATGCCAGCCAGCCTCAGAAGCTGCAGCCAACCACCCTCTTAGATGTTCCAGAAGCCCTGACTGGGCTGGTCACTTCCTTCACAGGCCCCGCATTTGCCCACATGGATGACCCCAGTGCCAGCCTCCTTGAGGTGGCACAGCCACCTGCCCACCCTGGGCTGCCCTCTTTCAGGTACAACTCAGAATGCTCAGTCCTGGGGTCAAACCACCTTATCCAGGACGCTGATTCAGGAATCTTCCCTCCTTATCTTTCCATCCGTCACTCTCCTGCCTCTGGTGTCTGATCCCACTGTCTGCGCAGAGCCGAGAATGAAGCCAGAACAAAGGCTGGGCTCAGCTCCTTTTATTCCCCTCGAACCTGGCGGGGCCTGCTGGCTCCCTTGCAGCTTTCTGCCAGAACAGTCAGCCTCTTCCCCATCCTCTGCCAGTGTGGGGTACAGGCCAGGAGCTGGGGGACCCACGCCGCCCCCAGCCAGGAGTGTGGCTGGCCCCAGACCAGCAGCTCAAGAGTTGTGCCATCCCCCAGGGAGAGATGACATGCTGGACGTGGAGACCGATGCCTACATCCACTGCGTCAGTGCCTTCGTCAAGCTGGCGCAGAGCGAGTACCAGCTGCTGGCCGACATCATCCCCGAGCACCACCAGAAGAAGACCTTCGACTCCCTGATACAGGTCCCGCCCCGCCCCGGGGGCTCTGCAGCCAGCCCCAGCAAGAGCTGTCACAACAGACTCTTGCAGCCCTCAACTCCACCCACCACCACCACCTCGTGCCCTGGGGACCGGTCCTGGGTGGACGCTCACCACCTCCCCGTCACCCCTCTTCCTGCACACTGGCCCCCCTACATACTGCAAGGATCCCCCACTAGCCCAGAACTAGCTCCCACCGCCCCACCCTTCCCTGAACTGTCTCCCTGCCCCCTCAGGATGCCCTGGATGGGCTGATGCTTGAAGGGGAGAACATCGTGTCTGCTGCCCGGAAGGCCATTGTGCGACACGACTTCTCCACGGTGCTCACCGTCTTCCCCATCCTGCGACACCTCAAGCAGACCAAGCCTGAGTTTGACCAGGTGCTCCAGGTATGTGGGCGAGGGGCCCTCAAAAACACAGCCAGGAGGCATCGTGCTGCCGGGTGTGGCCGCCCCATCCCTCCCTGGGAGAACCCCATTCTCTGTCCCACACTTCTGCTCTGAAGGTGCATGGAAGCAGCTTAGGAAGGGCCCTGGGTGAGTGAGATGCTCACAGAGCGACTGGAGGTGAGCTGGGGGCTCCCCTGTGCTTCCTCAGGGCACGGCTGCCAGCACAAAGAACAAGCTGCCTGGCCTCATCACATCCATGGAGACCATCGGTGCCAAAGCGCTGGAGGACTTCGCAGACAACATCAAGGTCCCTGCTGTCCTCCCCTTTCTCCCTCCCTCCCGGCCCAGCACCACAGTGACCTGGCCCTGGGGGACTCTCAGAGCAGGCCTCCAAGAGGGTGCGTTGTCCCGGGGCAGCCAGCTGCGCCACTGGCCTGTCAGCACCCATGTGCCTTCCTTTCCTTCCTGGGGCCTCCAAGCCCTCTGAAGTGGGAAGGGCCTCTCCCCCTTGGTCCAGCCTGGCTCAGCCTTTGTGCCTGAGAGGTGTCCTAGCACCCGTCTGCCAGGAGGCGGCACCATGAGCAGGTGCACTGGGGCATGGGGTGGGCTGGGGGCTGCTTCAGGGAACCAGAGGCTGTTTTTCCACAGAATGACCCGGACAAGGAGTACAACATGCCGAAGGACGGCACCGTACACGAGCTCACCAGCAATGTGGGTGCTGCCTGAGGACACCAGGGAGAGGGGAGGAAGGAGGGCCCAGGCCCAGGCCCAGGGCCAGGCAGAGTACTGGTGGAAGGGACTCAGCCTGGCCCAGAGCCGCTCGCACCTTTGTGAGCAGTCCTGGGTGGCAGGATGGACAGTGACATGTTTAGTGTCTCTAGCAGACAGGGCCTTTCCTGGCAGGCTAGAGTGAAAATGAAGTTTCCAGCCGCGCTCTTCACTGGGCGGATCCCAGCCCTGGGCTGGCCCTGGGCACTCAGAGGGGTCGCTGTGGGAGGCCGTCGGCCGGGCCTGCCACTTGCCCTTCTGCACCGTTTTCTTCCCACCCAGGCCATCCTCTTCCTGCAGCAGCTTTTGGACTTCCAGGAGACGGCAGGCGCCATGCTGGCCTCCCAAGGTACTGGTACCTCCCAGTTGGGCCCCCTGCCCCACTCGCCTCCTTGCCTGGAGACATGGGGTTAGAGGGCAGGTAGCAGTGAGGAGGTATCTCCAGTCTGTGGAGGGGTTGAGGTGTGCTCAGCAGAGGGTCCCTGGGGCTGAGCATCAGGAGAGCAAGGTTTGCCTGCACCTTTCAAGACCAGACACTGGACCTCTGGCCCCTCCCTCAGCCCCTTTGACCGTCCTCGCCCTGGAAGCAGTGTCCTCACTCTGGGAGCGGTGCTGGTTGGTTGGAAGGTGTCCTTTCTGCCCCTGCCCCCCTCCCAAATCCTTCTCTCGTGTCTGCCTGCTCTCCTAATCAGGCTCGCTCAGCTGGCCTTCAGAGGGTAGCAAGTGTCTCAGGGCCCGCTGGGCGTCTTCCTGCTGGCCCTGCCCTGGGACTGGAGCTCAGGGGGTTGGCCTGTAAGCAAGAGCACCTTTCTGGGTCATTCCAAGCACTGAGGTCCCTGGGCCCTCTCCTCCCGTCCCATTTTGGGGGCAAGGAGCCTGTGGGCAGCCTCCAGCCTGCAGTTCTCAGCTCTCTACTTTCCAGGGTGTTCCCTGGTCCTCAGAGGGTCCCGCCTGCTGTGTCTTGCTATCTGTGTTTTGGCTGTCGTGGGGAGAGGTCTGCTTAATTCGGGTTGACATGCCGTTTCTAACCTGTTTTTTGCACTTTGCATCTTTCTCCCTCCTTTGTCTCTCCCTCTGTCCCCTCTGTGTGCACTGCCTTTCACTCCGTAGTTCTTGGGGACACATACAATATTCCTTTAGACCCCCGAGGTAAGCAGTGCGGTTCTGCAGCCCCCTCCTGTCCCTCTGAAGCTTGGTGGGTGAGGTTCCCTGGGGACTGACTCTCAGTACCTACTGGGGAGCCTGAGTCAGAGGGGACATGAGTTTTCTCGGGGTGCTCTCAACTCTCTCTGCTCCCTTCAAGGCCACTCTGTCTCTGAGCTTATCCGCAGCACCTGCCCAGGCTAGAGCCCTGGATACACCCCCTAGGCTCGCCCGGCCTCCCTGCCTTGCTGTCCCCACTCGGCCTTCCCCACTGTGCAGGCCGCAGCTTCGTCTGTTCAGTAGGGTCTGGTAGAGGGGATGTTCGAATGTAGGGGAGAAGGTGGAGAGGCTGTGGGGAGCCCATTCTAAGACTCTGCTGTTGACAAAAGGAAAAAGGGGGCCTTGTAGAAACCACCCAGGGTGGGTGGGGGCAGGAGGGGACAGGGCGCTGGCATCTCACTCTTTTCCTGCCAGCTTTTCTGCTGACATGGGCCAGCTCCATCCCATCATAGAGGGCAGCTCTGGGTTCCAAAAACTCCAGGGCTGGTGCTTCCTGCGGCAGGGGCCACCCTGTGGCTTAGCAGGCAGCCAGCTCTGCCCAAGGAAGCCCAGGGCCTGTCTCAGTGTCCCCTCAGACTGCTGCATGGCCTGGGGGAAGGGCCGTTGAGGGTCTTGGCTGCTGCCACTGCAATAACAGGACTTCTCCTCTCACAGAGACCAGCTCTTCGGCCACCAGCTACAGCTCTGAGTTCAGCAAGCGGCTGCTAAGCACCTATATCTGTGAGTGTTCTCCCGGGCAGACCAGCAGCCCTGCTGCCTGCATGCCCTGCCTTTCCCTTCCTTCTGTCTGTGCTCTCTGGCTATTCCCAGGGCCCTCTCCTAAGTGCCATCTGATCTTTGGAACCACAACCTGACCTCTAGTTCAGAGGCTGAGGGGAGTTGGGCTAAGGCCTCCTGAGGCAGGACGAGGAGCGATGGATAGGAGCGCGTTCGCGGGTCCTGGGGTGGGGTCGTTTGGGTCAGACTGCCATGGTGGGTGTGGCCCCATTTTTCCCTGTGCAGGTAAAGTGCTGGGCAACCTGCAGTTGAACTTGCTGAGCAAGTCCAAGGTGTACGAGGACCCAGCTCTGAGCGCCATCTTCCTGCACAACAACTACAATTACATCCTCAAGTCCCTGGAGAAGTAAGTGGCCTGCGGGAGTGAGTCTGCGGCTCTCACCTTCCCCTCGGCTGTGCAGCTGTGCCAGCCCCTGCCCCCCTGGGCTCCTTCTCTTGTGGACGAGAGGGGAGGGGGTGCTTCAGTCTCCTCCACCCCAGGACCCGGAAGGTGGGATGCCATAGAGCTTGTGGAGTTTGGGGTGCAATGGGAGGCCCTCCCGGCATTGCCGCAGCCTTTGGGCCTGAGGAGCCAATCCTGTCCTCCTCTCCTCTGTCCCCTACCCCGACCCAGGTCTGAACTGATCCAGCTGGTGGCAGTGACACAGAAGACTGCTGAGCGCTCCTACCGGGAGCACATTGAGCAGCAGATCCAGACCTACCAGCGCAGGTGAGAGGCTGGGCCCGCCCTGCTCCTGCATGGGCCCCTGTGCCACCACGCACTCTTCCTTCTCAGCACCTCAGGACACAGAGTCGGTCACGGGGAACTCCTGTCCTCTGGACCCTAATCCTCCACTTGGTTTCTAATCAAACTCACGGGGTGGAGAGAGAAGCCCCCTCCTCTACCACTACCTGCTCCTAGGGGCCCACTATGGCCACTTTAGAGGGGAGTCTGCCAAGTGTCAAGGCTAAGAATGATTGAAGAGCTGGCTCTCAGAGACGTGGGTAATGTTTACCTAGGAGAAGAGCAAGGTCGCGAGAGCACTTGAACGTGGCTGAGCCTTGCTCTGTGAGGATCCCGCTGCTTCTCTGGTCCTCTTTCTTCCTGGCTTTGTTTCTTCCCTTTGAATGTGTCTACCTCTTCCTTCTCATTTATCTGCCCTCCACTCCTTTCTTTCTCATCTGTTTCTCCATCTTAGTTTGCCACGATATTGATGTGAAGTATAGTTGACAGTATTTGTCCAATTTATTGAACACTCAAGTGTTTCCTAATGTTATCTCAAAAAGTGACCAGTTTAAAGATTTTCTCTTCCCAGGAAGAAAACCTGTTGTTTGCTTAGTTGTGACCCACATCCCTTCCTACCACCACCCACCAAGTAGATCCAGAGATTTAGCAAACGAAACAAGCCAGGCCACTGAGGCAGGCCACCCTCTGCCCTCATGCTTCTCTTTCTGTCTGGCAGCTGGTTAAAGGTGACTGATTACATCGCAGAGAAGAATCTACCTGTGTTCCAGCCGGGAGTCAAGGTGGGCTCAAGACCTGGGCTGGGAAGGGGTGTCTGGCAGACGGGATACTTTTTGTCGTGTCTCTGGGAAAAAGTGGACAAGCATCCCTCTGGGATCAGAGAGCAAAGGATGCATGTGGCCATCAGGACACAGGAGACAGGCCCAGACCAAGGGTGTTTGGGGAAGAGTGGGGGAAGGCTGCTCTGCTCTGAAGTGAGCTTTCTCTGCTATCTCTCCTGGCTTCCCAGCTCCGGGACAAGGAGCGGCAGATTATCAAGGAGCGTTTTAAGGTGAGTCGGGGTCCTCTCCCCTCCACTGCTTGCTGCTGCTGTTGAGGCAACACAGACCCAAAATGTTTGTCTCTGGGTGCCTTCCTTTTTCACCTTTTTGGTGGCCAGGGCTTCAATGATGGCCTCGAAGAACTGTGCAAAATCCAGAAGGCCTGGGCTATTCCAGACACAGAGCAGAGGGACAGGATTCGCCAGGCCCAGAAGACCATTGTCAAGGAGACCTACGGGGCCTTTCTACAGAAGTGAGGCCTCCATTCCCCTCCCAGCCTGTGCTGCCCACAGCCCCAGTGGGCCTCTTCAAGCTCCTCTTCCTCAAGGGAAAAAGGAGAAGGGTGGTGGATTTAGGCAGCAGATCCAGCGACCTGGGCTTTGGGGCGGGGCCAGACAGGGAATCGCTCAGGGCCACCCCTTCCAAGACTATCAGGAGTGCCTTAGGCTGAGGGTGGAGCTGGGGAGGGGTCGGCCCTCCCTGTCCCCTGACCACAGTGCCTCCTCAGGTTTGGCAGCGTGCCCTTCACCAAGAACCCGGAGAAGTACATCAAGTACGGGGTGGAGCAGGTGGGCGACATGATCGATCGCCTTTTCGACACCTCTGCCTGAGCCTGCTGCTAGCCCTGCCTGGTTCCACCAGACTGGCGTGTCATTGGACAGATAAACCAGTGTTAGCTTGCCTCTGGGCTGGGTGAGCTTGAAGTCCTCTGGGACAGAGACCTGTCTCCACGCCTCCGGGAGCTGTGTCCCTGAGCCCCCTAGTCCTGGCTCCTGCTTTTTCCCCACAGCCCGTGTTCCCAGCCGAACCAGCACTCTCCCGGAAGCCTGGGGTCCCTCCACACCTTGGCTTTTATGACCCTGATGGCTTCTGAAACAGGAAAAGAGAGAAGGAAGACAGAGGCCTGTGCCCACTGCTGCTCCATGTGTACCAAGAGCAGCAGGGCAGAAGGGCCCTCCCTCCAGCCTAGGTCAGAGGTGGGGACAGAGAACTCCCCTACAGCCCAGAGATGTGGCAGGGCTCAGAGAAGCAGCCAGAGCTCCTGGAGGAAAGGCAGTCGGGACTGACCCCCTCTCTTAAAACACATTCCCGCCCGCCCACAGGCCTGAGGTCTGGGACCTTTCCCTCCCAGGAGTCCCCTAGGTGGCTGGGGGAGGCAGGCTCACTGGCCATTTTCCCTAGAGTCCAGCACACTGCAGGAGGCGTTCGGAGGAGGAGTTCCGCCCCACCCTCTACAGCCTTCCTCAGGCCCCTGTCTCTGGCCCCCAGCCTCAGTGCCTCTTGGCCCAGGGCCAGGCAGTCGTGGTTGCAGAAGGAGCAATTAGGCTGCCTGCCTGTGGGCTGGGAGACAGGGACAATGGGGAAAAGTTAAGGAGCAAAATGGGGGTTGGAAGCAAAAAATAGGGCCCCACCTATTTAGGACGAGATTGAAGACTGACCCTTGAGGCACACTTGCACTGGAGATGGGTTTATTTCACGCTCTGTGCTTGTGTGCTAGCGGAGGGAGAGCTCAGGGTGGCTTAATCCAGAGGCCCTGTCATGGCCCGCCCCCAGCCATGGGAAAGCAAACTTCATCCTAAGGTGTGCAGCCCAGGCCCTGCCCCTTTACAGTCTAGGCCGCCTGCCATGGGGTGCAGCCTCTCCAGGGGCTGCGTCAGACTTGCACGCTGCCCACATCCAGATTCCTGCAAAGACGAATTGGGTGCACAGCACCCCAACCACATACACGAGGAAGAAGATGCGGTCAGCAGTCTCAGGCCAGCTTCTCTGTGACCCCTTTACTCCTCTGGAGGGCTCTGTGGGGAGAGATACAGGGAAAGGAGCTGTTCTTCAAGGTCCCCTCAACATGAGCGGAAGAGCGAACCCCAGGGGTCATCAGCCTGTATCGCTTCCTTTCTTAGATTCTCAGCTGATGAAAATTTGGGTCTGGCCCATTTCAGGCCATCTTCAGTTGAAGAAACACCCTCTTAGGCTGTGCAAGGCATGGGTTATCAGGGGATTGAGGTCACCTGGGACTTCAGGGAGGCTCAGCTTGCTCCCTGCCCCAGACCTGTTTCTTCTAAGGGAGGAGGACATGGTGGAGACCAGGGACAGGAGAGCCAGCAGGGTGGATGCAAGGGGCCTCTACCCACACCTGGACCTCCGTGCCCTCACCCCAGCCCTAGGTGTGCACCTAGGCCTCATTCCTTACCCCCCAGCCCCTGCCCACCTTCAGCAGGATGAGGCCCTGGGTTGCCGTGCTCTCGCTGTTCCCCTCTCGGGGCTGGGCTGGGGCCGCTCTTGGCCCCAAGGTTGCCCCGGGCCAGCAGCCCAGCCAGCAGCACAGTCTCTATGGTGCTGAGGAAGAGCAGCAGCAGCAGGATGGTGAAGTAGTAAACTGGGGGAGGCAGGGCACAGGGAGATGCTCAGGGGCCAGTCCCTGTGTCTCTGGTGCCCAGCGAGCTGAGCACCAGTGGGTGACCGGGGAGAAACAGGGCAGACTGGGTAAGGGAGCAGGGCTTACTGAGCAGTGGGTTGCAGGAGGAGGAGCTGGGCAGGGCCTGCACCAGGGAGGAGTGGAGGACGAGGTAACTCAGCAGCAATGTCACCTTGTAGCCTATGCGCTCAATGGCCCGGAGGGGCAGCAACCCCCCGCACACGTCAGCCAACAGCAGTGCCTCTGCAGGCACCAAGAGAGCGATGATGGACTTGAGCGCCGTGTTCTTCAGCCTCAGCTGGAAGGGGAAAAGTCAGGGCCTTCCCGGCGGGGGGGAAGGAGGTGGGCATCGGGGGCATGGGGCCTGGCCTCTGGCCGTGCATCCTCACTCCCACCCGCCTCCAGCAGCCCTCTGTCGGCCTCCTCCCGACTTGACTCACCGTCACCTGGAAGCAGGGCACCAGCTGCTGGGGTGGGACTTGGGTCTTCAGATCATAAACTACGTATTCCCTCTTGACACTCACAATCTCGTTCACCACGTGGGCCTGGAACTCTAACTCCATCGCTGAGGGGTGGGAATGAGAACTATGAACCAGGAAGGAGAGATCCCAGCTGCCAAGTCTGGGGGTAGCAGACTGGAGCCCAGGGGTGATGGAGACTTTTGATGGCTTTTGGCAGGGACAGACTTGGACACAAAACCGATCCATAGAAGGGCTTCCCAAACCTTGTTTTGCAACATCCCAAATTGTCTCCAGTTGAAGGAAGGCCTTTATCAGATTCATAGATGAGCTTTCATTGTAAAAATAAATGTACTTTGCACCACTTCATGATGGAGGGAGAAGTGGTCACAGGCTCGTCAGTCTATCATCTCACAGCTGAAGCAGGATCCCCAGGGCTACCGCTGTGGTCTCTCATGGAGGGAAGGGTAGGACTTCTCTGCCAAGTTAGATGTCACCTGATGGGTTTATACAGGGTGGCTGCACCTTCAGGTGGTTTCCAGGAGTGAGGCCATGGCAACCTGAGCCTCTGGCCTTGCTGCAAGGGGCCGAGCCACTGCAGTCGCCATGGCTGTGGAGGGCAGTTGCTCTGGGGAGGACAGAAGACTGATGTGCTCGGACCTCTGGGATTGCAGAGCTGCTGCGAATGTTTGAGTCTGTCACCCTAGAGAGGGGCCCTGAGGCTACCGCTGAGCACAGAGATGGGCTGCCACTCGAGTGGGGGGCGCAGTGGGAGAGCAGGTGCTGCCCGCCTAAGCCTGGGGTAGACTGCTCTGAACACAGACCTGGGAGTTCGCCTTCTGTCTGCCTTTGCCCCTTCCCCTTGCCCCGCACCCTGCCCCTGCACCACAGACCTGGGAGTTCCCCTCCCCCACCTTCCTCCTCCCCTCCTCAACCCTGCAGCCCCTGCCCTGTCAGCACCCGTGTTGCTGAGAGCGTAGAAGCTGAGGCTGCAGTTGCTGTGGTCCCGGGGGAAGTGGAGGAGCTCAAAGTTGCAGTTGGTCTCCGTGGCGAGGGCCAGGTTGAGCTTCACGTGGCCGTCCTGGTCTACTCGAGCCTGGGGGCTCTGGTCCCTCCAGTCCACCCAGAGCCTGTGGGGAAAGGCACCACAGCCAGAGCCCCAGCCCCTTCTTGGACGGGGCCGGGGGGAGACCCTGGCATCCCAACCCCAACCCCAGCTGCTTTCAGAGTTCTGGCAGTGGGAGGGGAATTCGAGGCAGTGAAGGTGCACTGCTAGTCCGGCGGGGACCGCCAGGAGGGTCATATTCACTCAGACAGCCTCTAGGTTGTAGATGGGGGAAAAGGAGGGCTATGCATGGCAGATTCCTGGGGCAGGAACTGTCTCACTTACGCCTCCAGGATGGTGAGCCTTGGTGTCCAGAGAGACTCCCAGGGCAGCGTGATGGCGTGCCGCGGGTGTGCACTAGTGTTCCAGGCCAGGCGAGTGTCCAGCCAGGACTGGGGACACAAGGGCACCACTGAGGCTCCTGCTCTCCACATATCCATGCCCCTAAGCTCAGCATGTTGATGAAGGCTGGTAGTTCTGAGCTGGACTCAGCTGGGCTTTCCCATCCCACCTCCCCAGGCATAGGAGCTCACCAGCCTAAGCAGCAGCATGGAGGACATTGTGTATCGCAGGATGTCCTGGGGGAAGGGCAATGCATCACCTCAGGGTGAGCGCTGTGTTGAAAGAACGCAGCAGGAGACCCCAGCACTATCCAGGGCTGAGTCCTGTTCCCTGCCCAGCTCAGCACTTGGGGCCCTTGGCCTAGAGGCACTTACCACATTAAACACGTTGGAGACAAACACCCGCACATCCACGAGCAGGGGCGCACTCCCATTGTTCGGGATCTGGATGCTTTCCTGAACCTTCTTGGACAAGTTGACGTTGAAGAGGGATGGCCAGACTGAGAGAGAAAAGTCAAGGTCACTCAGGTGCCCTAGGGCCCAAGTCCCAAAGCTTATGACCTTGCCCTCCACCTACTGGCTGCTGTCCCTTGGAAGCCCTGCCCGTGGACCAACAGCAAGGTAATGCTGAACCCCAGGAAGGTGAGATGGAGCAGGGACCATAGGGCCATCATCGGCTGCACGGAGGGACTGGAGGGAGCAGCGGTGCCTAAGCTACAACCTCTATTCCAGTCACTTCTCTGGCAGCTGAGCAATTAGCCAGAGGCAGCTGCTCTGGGCAAGGACTCTGGGGCCGTGCACTTGGCAGCCCCTGCCCCAGTTCCGCAAACGCTCAAAGATAAAGCCCAGGACCCAGCCCCGCCCACACTGCACCTGCCTTGGTGTCCCTGTCCCGCTCCATTTCCACCACCTGGAACCCGTTGAGACGCTCAATGCCTGCCCAGGGGGACCTGGCAGGTGTAGGACCTCTACCTCTCCCTGACTTTGTACTTCCAATCAGGGCCCACGAGTGTCCCCTGCATTTCGGTGGCTGACACCAGCCTACCTAAGACCCAAACCTTTGGGCAGAGTGTTCTGTGCTTAACGATGTGAGATGGGGACAGCCTTGAGAGTCTCCTTGCTCTCCTTAAACACTGAAGTGATTTTGTGTAAAGAGCCTTGGCTCAAGAACCCTGGATGTGGTGGCTCATGCCTGTAATCTCAGCACTTTGGGAGACCAAGGAGGGCAGACTGCTTGAGCCCAGGGGTTTGAGACCAGAGTAACATAGGGAGACTCTGTCTCTATCAAAAACACAAGAGTTAGCTGGGCGTGGTGGCATGCACCTGTAGTCCCAGCTACTCAGGAGGCTGAAGCTGGATCACTTGAGCCCAGGAAGTGGAGGTTGCAGTGAGCCGAGATTGCAACACTGCACTCCAGTCTGAGCGACAGAGCGAGATTCTGCCTTCCACCCCACTTCCCCCCAACAACAACAACAAAAAGAACAAAAGAACTCTGGTAATCCCAGCACTTTGGGAAGCTGAGGTCAGGAGTTTGAGACCAGCCTGGCCAATATGGTGAAACCCCGTATCTACTAAAAATACAGAAATTAGCCGTATTAGCGTCCATGGTGGTCGACGCCTGTAAGCTCAGCTACTCAGGAGGCTGAGGCAGGAGAATCACTTGAACCTGGGAGGCAGAGGTTGCGGTGAGCCAAGATTGTGCCATTGCATTCCAGCCTGGGCAACAAGAACAAAACTCCGTCTCAAAAGAAAAACAAACAACAACAACCAAAAAAAAAAAAAAAAAAAAAACAGAAGCAAAAAAAACCTCTGGGAAGGGAGTTTTACCTGACAACAGGTAAAGGCCAACTCATGAGCAAAGCCCTGGGACATTCTTGTCCTGAAGTGGATTCTCAGCTTGCGCCAGCCCAGCAGTGCTGTGCACCTGGAGCCCAACCTGCCAGGGAAAGACTTTCCTGCCCCCCCCCCCCCCGCCGGGGAGTGAAACAGCTGCTGGAGACTTGATCCTGGCCCAGATGTAGCCAGGGAAGGAAAAGCTAAGGCCAAAAATGGACGGGGACTGACTGGGCTGCCCAGACTCAAAGGGGCCCTGGGAGCTGAAAGCAGGCAAGGACAGACCTGTCACACACCAGAGCACAAATGCGGCTGGGAACACACATCTGTGTCTGTCATCAACCGACTTTATCGAACGCCTTAAACAATCTGCCTGCCTCTGTCGCACGCTCCCCAGACTCAGATTTTTATGCGGATTGTAACCCGGCTGCCTGAGGTGTGATCAGCCCTCTTTCCTGGTAGCTCTGCAAAGGGTCCTGCACTTACCCCTAGGGAGCCCCTCTGTGAAGCCCCAGAGGCTTCCTCCCAGAATCTCAAGACAATGAGAAACGCGAAACAGCGCTGTCACTGTGTGTGAAATGGTTTGTGCGTTTTATTAACAGGCAAAGCTCTCCCCACGGTCCCCCAACAATGACTCCAACTCTGTGACATCCCAGCGCGCCCGCTAAGTGCTTTCAGGCCACATCAACCGTCAGGATGCTGTCGCCTGCCTTTGGGCCCTGCCAGGACGGGCCAGGACAGGGCTCGAGGATGCATGGCTGGGAAGCGCCGGGGCAGGGACGAAGGGCCCCCGCCGCCTCGCTCATGTGCAACAGGTCGCTGGACTCGCGCTCCAACACGCTGCCACTGTGGGTGCCCCGCGCGGCAGCGCACACACGGCCCGAGGCTCGGCCTGGGGCACGGCCCAGCAGGCCCGCGCAGATCGTGCGGAAGCCTTTGCGGAAGTGCTTGGAGACCAGCGCGTAAACGATGGGGTTGACGCAGGAGTTGGCGTAGGAGACCAGGTGCGAGAGGATGCGAAGCGCATAAGTGGCGCGCGTGAGCGGGAACTGGCCGAACCACACGCAGAGGATGAGCGCGTGGTGGGGCATCCAGCAGAGGCAGAAGAGCGCGGCCACGATGAGGATCATGCGTGTCACCTTGCGCTTGGCGCGCCGGGCACCCGAGCCCGCGGCCACCGGGTCGACGGCGCGCCAGAGGTAGCGCAAGGTGCGCGCGTAGGTCAGGCCGAGAACCAGCACAGGAAGCAGGTAGCTGAAGACGAAGGTGCAGATGTCCATGGCGCGGCGGCGAGGGGCGCTCCACGCGGGATGGCACACGGTCAGGTTGGCCAGCTGCGACTGGCGGTAGTAGCTCAGGTAGGGCCCGGAGAAGAGCAGCGACAGCCCCCAGATGAGCCCGATGGCTGCCAGCGCGTTTCGAGGCGTGCGCAGCTCGCGGGAGTGCAGCGGGTAGCGGATGGCCAGATACCTGCGGTCAGACCGGGAAGGGAGACGTCGGCTGAGCGGGCACATTCATGCTGGAGGGCCGCGACCCCTGCACCTCGGTCCCAAGGCTGCTCTCGAGGAAGGTCCTTAGCGCATGGTTACACCGCACACAGAGGAGGTGGGGGTGAGGCTCGGCGTGAGGGCGGAGGTGGGGGCCTCCCAGCGTGTCCCAGACACTCAGCGGAGCCTGGAAATGGGGCGGGCCCGGCAGCAGGAAAGGTGTGCCTTCAAGCCATTCTCCCGCTGCCCCCGGGGACTGCAACCACAGTCTCCACTGAGAGGGCACCCCAAAGCCACTGAAGACTAAAGGTTGGAGAACCGGCTATGGGCTCCGGGAGGCTGTGACTACCCACTGGTGACGGTGCCGCGGGAGGGAGGGCGGAGGCGCCTGAGGCTCTAGCAGACAGCCTGGAGAAGACATGTTGGGCAAGGGACAGTTAATTTCTCAGGGGATTCCTGAGAGAATGCGAGCTTTGTGGATCCCACCAGCGCGCTCGGAACCAACGCACTTCGCGCTCAGTGGCTACAGGAGGTGTGGGGGCAGTCTGGCCTCGCCTCTCTGTTTTTCCAGAGGATGGAGAGGGGAAATACCCGGATTTCCTCCCCAGGAACCATCCCAGTGTCCTTTCAAGCTCCACCTGAGTCCCGCGCTCTCCCGAATGTGCGTCTCTCGCTCTCCTCTGGCTGGGGAGGAAGAACCCCAGGGCACGCTCCTCTCCCGGCCCCGACTTGTTTTGGATTTTATTTTGTTTTGTTTTGTTTGGAGGCGAGAGGCAGAGTGGGCTGGGACTGAGCTAGGGACCTTTAGGCACGCTCGCTGGGACTCCGGAGTGGATCCTTGCAAAGGACCCAAGATCCACAGCCTGGACCTGAGCCAGCTGCACCAACCAACCAAACCGTGGCTTGGAGGCGAGCGCAGTGGAGGCGCCTGAAGTTGGCTGCAGGAGACAGACGGTCACTTCACGCACCCGATCCCTGGCTGGCGACTCTGAGCGAGTTACTTAGGAACTCAACTCTTCTGTATATTGGGCACTTTGTCCTATCCCACCCTCACGGAGGGCATTAAGCTCAAGCGAGATGAACGCGCACAAACGCGTCGTACTGGGAAACGCTGCGCGTTGTCAGGCACGGGCGGCGCTGGAGAGCCACATTCTCCAGGCTTCCAGGCCCCAGGACGCATCTAACCGAGGGACACCACGGTCCCCCATTCTTATTCCTCTTTTTCCTCCTCCGCGCCCGCTTGTCTTCCACTGCCTTCTTAGTGTCCTGTCCCACTCTGCGCGTCCCTTCTTGGTCCCCAGTCCCGCCTCCCGCTCCATCCCCCGCGTGGATGCCCATCTCCCAGGGAGGCCAAGGCGCTGGCTCACCTGTCCAGGGAGACGGCGGCCAGCGTGAAGCTGCTGGCGTGCATGGTGAGGAAGATGAGGAAGTGCACCGCCTTGCACAGCAGCGAGCCGAACACCCAGCCGTCCAGGGTGTAGATGGTGGCCTGGAAGGGCACGCAGCACAGGATGAAACACAGGTCGGCCACGCCCAGGTTAAGGATGAACAGGTTGGTAGTGCTGACCGCCTGGCCGCCGCGCAGCAGCACCGCCAGCACCAGCGTGTTGCCCACGGTGCCCACGAGGAAGATGAGCGCGAAGAGCAGGGGCACGATGACCGCCTCGGGGTGCCAGCCTCCCCCGCCGCCCGCCTGGCTCGCGTTCCCGGCCCCTGGGCAGCCCGAGACGTTCATGGTGCCGCTGACCCCGAGGCTGCCCGGGCTCCTGCAGCCGTCTGGGTCTCCGCGAGCGGGAAGCTCCCGGGGCTGCGGCCGCTGCAACTCCTAGTGCGACTCTGCCGGGCTGAAGGCGGAGGGAGCCTTGCCTCATCTGGGGCGGGGATGGGGGTGCGCTGGGGTCAGGAGGAGGAGCAAGAGACAGGAGGGCGAGGTTGTCCCCAGCAGCGGCCGGCGGCGCTGGGGGAAGGGCTGCGGAGTGGTCCCGGCGCGCATTCCACGGCGCAGGCGGAGAGTGGCGCTTGTACCTGCTTCCGAGCTCCAGCCCCCGCAGTCGGGGGTTCTGGGCTGACCAGGCGGACTGACTTCCCCGGCAGACGCCGGAGCGGTGGAGGGGTCGACCCCGGACCCTGCGTGTGCGCCGCGCCGCAGGGAGCACGGACCTCGCACTCCGCGCGCCTCGGCGCTTCCCTGCAGCCTGGCAGGGGTGCAGGATATCCCGGGACCGTCGAGGGGCTGGGGTGCCCTCAAAAGAGGACCCCTGGGAGATCGGGGGGAGGAAACGCGGGGCGGAGGCGGATGAGGGGCCCCGGAGTCTGGCTCTTTCGCCCAGGCTAGAGTGCAGTGGCGCGATCTCGGCTCACTGCAACCTCCGTCTCCCGGGTTCAAACGGTTCTCCTGCCTCGGCCTTCTGAGGGGCTGGGACTACAGGCGTCCGCCACAACGTCTGGCTAGTTTTTTGTATTTGTATTTGTTGAGACAGAGTCTCACTCTGTCGCCCAGGCTGGAGTGTAGTGGCATGATATCGGCTCACTGCAACCTCCGCCTCCCGGGTTCAAGCGATCCTCCTGCCTCAGCCTCCCGAGTAGCTGGGATGACGGGCGCCTGCCACCACGCCTGGCTTATTTTCGTATTTTTAGTAGAAATGGGGTTTCACCATGTTGGCCAAGCTGGTCTCAAACTCCTGACCTCAAGTGATCCGCCCACCTCGGCCTCCCAAAGTGCTGGGATTACAGGCGTAAGCCACCGAGCCCGGCCACCTTTTTCCCTTCTCTTACCCATTGAACGTTTTCCCTCCAATTCAATCCAATATACTGAGCATCTATTGTGTCAGGCTCTGTCTTTGGCTCCATGCCTCAGTTTCCTCAGCTGTAACAAGGAAATGGTAACACTTCCTTCTAAGAGGGATCTGCTGAGAAAGGAATGAGATGTATGGGAGAGTTAGTTAAATCTGAATGCATCAGATCCTTATTCTTTTTCTCCTGACCTTATTCCGTATACCTTGAGGAAATTCAAAATAGAGTTCAGGGCCGGGCGCGGTGGTTCACGCCTGTAATCCCAGCACTTTGGGAGGCCGAGGCGGGCGGATCACGAGGTCAGGAGATCGAGACCATCCTGACCAACATGGTGAAACCCCGTCTCCACTAAAAATACAAAAATTAGCGGGACGTGGTGGCAGGCGCCTGTAATCCCAGCTACTCGGGAGGCTGAGGCAGGAGAATGGCTTGAACCCAGGAGGCAGAGGTTGCAGTGAGCCGAGATCACACCATTGCACTCCAGCCTGGGCAACAAGAGCGAAACTCTATCTAAAAAAAAAAAAAAAATCCGTCATTTAATCTTCCTAACAACCACTTAAATTGGTTATCCCCATTTCATAGATGAAGGAACAGATTTACAGGGAGATTAAGTTACGTGCCCAACATGTCCCTGCCGCTAATGACGGAGCGGGGATTGGAATCCCAGGTCTCAGACTCTAGAAGGTGCAAAGCAAAAATTCATATTTTCCCATGTCTCAACACTTCTCCCTCTTTGGACTGACGGCCCCAAAGTGCAGTGGTCCACGGCCCCAAGCGGTCTGAGAAAGTCACCCCGTTAGGACACCGTCTGCTGACTGCGCAGCGCTTCCTCCGGCTTGGCGTTCTTACGGCCAGCCTCAGAGGAAAGGGCAGGCAGAGGCGGGTCCCTTACGGACGGGGTGTCCCGTTCCGGTAGGGAGGACCCCATCTCTTGAGTCCCTGGGGATGCAGACACCCCGAAATCCAGTATCTTTGGTCTCCTGCTTTCTGCTGGGCAGGACGTGAACCAGATCCCCAGTCCAGGATGCAGGACCTGGGGTCCACCTCCGGTTCTCCGCCCTTAGTGGGTGGGAGGTGGGACTGCCCCCTGAGATCTCAGCAGCCACGGTCTCACTGCGGCCTCAAGTCCCCACCTAGCCAGCCACAATTCCGGACCCGGGATGACAGGATCCCTCGCGCAGGCGCGCTCCAGCACATGGCGCCCTGCTGCAGCAAGGGCCGACGGCGGCGGAGTCCGCCGCTATCCCATCAGCCCGGCCAGGCAGGTCCAGCTCTCACCCGCCCAGGTCGTCCCGCCTCCCCTATCCCGTCTTGCTCTGCGGCGCAGGGGCAAGATGGCTGCTGAGAAGCAGGTCCCAGGCGGCGGCGGCGGCGGCGGCAGTGGCGGCGGCGGTGGCAGTGGCGGCGGCGGTAGCGGCGGTGGACGTGGTGCCGGAGGGGAAGAAAATAAAGAAAACGAACGCCCTTCGGCCGGATCGAAGGCAAACAAAGAATTTGGGGATAGCCTGAGTTTGGAGAGTATCCTAGAGTAATCGGGCCTAACTCGCAATGATTACGTGTCGAACTGGAGGGCTGGGGGCGGGAGAGGCGGCGGGTCCCGACAAGTCCTGGCAGGAGAGGCCGAGGGTTGCAGTTTCTCTCGCCCTTACCTTTTGGTGCTCAGAATTCCGGGGGGGGTCTGTCTCTCGACTAGTCTTTCCTCGTGTCCCCCTCGCCGTCCTGGCTAGGTCCGTTTCTTCCAGTGGCACTGGGATATCAGGCAGGTTTCCCCTGGTGCCCCGCAGTTGTCCAGTTGGAGGGCTTGTGACCAAGTGACACCTTGAGCACCTTGCTTTGGCACCTTGAGCCACTGAACTGGGGAGAGGAAACTGCAGTCTTGACATTTGGCTTAATACTCTTGTCTGACAGTCGTCATAGACTGAGTAGTAAAACCTACAGCTCGATACTTTGAAAGTGGAGGTAAAGATTGACTCAGGAAAAGCTTGTTGCCCATTTTGATTGTAAGTTACCGTAGTTAATATCGATTGTGTCATTTTTTTCTGATCGGTCTGTAGGCATTTTATCTTGCTGACAGTCATTCATATAAGCTGGAGGAATCGGTTTCTAGTTTCCATCAGTGTGTATCTCAACCAAGTGCTTGTGGTACTAGTTTGTGACCTTTTGAAATGAATAACAAATGGAGAAAACGTAGGCGAGTTTCTGAAATAACACATTCAACTTGACATCTTAATGTGCTTAAAGTTCTCAGGCGCTTGGAGTTAAATATTTTGAATTACTGGTAATAGTTCCAAGTAGACGCTAGCGAGCCCTGATTTTACTGAGACCTTTATATCTCTTTGTCCCGTTTTAGTAATTTAAAGAGTCCTTTTAGCGTTCACTATTTTAAAATATGTCTCTAGAGAAGTGTTGAGGAAACATTAAAACTATACCTATATAGATGAAGGTCATTGGACTTTCTAAAGATTAGTACATAATCTTAAATATTTTAAGATTATTAAAAGGAGAATCTGGCCATTCTTCTTTTGAAAGAAAAACCTTAATACTTTTATGCAAACTGTAGCCTAGCTTGGTTGACATGTGCTAATCATAGACTCTCTAAGCATCACAGCTGTTAAGGAAAGTTAGATTTGGCAGGTGTTGGAGATTATGCAAATGGAGGCTTAGTACATGTCATTTATAACCTGAATCTGAATGAATAAAATGTGGGGTCTAGGTGTTAATTGGTGTGAAGCACCCCAATTATAGTCAGCATTTAGAATCCATCAGCTTAATTTAAACTGGGTTTTGGCAGTTTCCAGTGGCCAGTAGTGCCCTCCTTTTTCAGTTTGCAAGTAGTAACAGTTCAGGCAATCAGTTTTCCTGTAGGTTAGCCCTGTCCTGTGACAAGATAGATATTGAAAATGGTTACAAAAGATCTCACCAGTGTACTAAATATTTCACAAATTTGTGTGTGTGTGTGTGTGTGTGTGTGTGTGCATGTGCATGTGTGACTGAATCTCACTCTCACCTAGGCTGGAGTGCAGTGGCGCTGTCTTGGCTCATTGCAACCTCTGCCTTCCAAGTTCAAGCGATTCTCCTGCCTCAGCCTCCCGAGTAGCTGGGATTACAGGTGCTAGCCATTGCGCCCGGCTAATTTTTTGTGTTTTTAGTAGAGACGGGGTTTCACCATGCTGGCCAGGCTGGTCTTGAACTCCTGACCTCAGGTGATACACCCGCCTCGGCCTCCCACAGTGCTGGGATTACAGGCATGAGCCACCGTACCTGGCTATATTTCACAAATGTTTAATGTGTTGTGGTTTGACACAGATATAGACTGATGGTACAGGTTTTGATTTGTTTGGATTCTTGCTATGGTAAGATTTTCCTTAATCTCGACTCTAGTTCTTCAGATTATTAAGGAATCCCAGCAGCAGCATGGTTTACGGCATGGAGATTTTCAGAGGTACAGGTTAGTATCACATACAAGATGTTTGGAAATCATTGTGGGACTTGCTTTGCTTTTGTTAATATCCTGTTTACTCTGCTATATCAGCAAATATGCTAGAAAGTCTAGAGCATTGTTTTTTTTGTTTGTTTGTTTGCTTTGTTTTTTTTTTTTTTTTTGAGATGGAGTCTCGCTCTGTCGCCAGGCTGGAGTGCAGTGGCGCAATGTTGGCTCACTGCAACCTCCACCTCCTGGGTTCCAGCGATTCTCCTGCCTCAGCCTCCTGAGTAGCTGTTTTTTTTGTTTGTTTGTTTGTTTGTTTTTTGAGATGGAGTCTCACTCTGTCACCCAGGCTGGAGTGTAGTGGCGCAATCCTGGCTCACTGCAGCCCATGCCTCCCGGGTTCAGGTGATTCTCCTGCTTCTGCCTCCAGAGTACCTGGGATTATAGGCATGTGCCACCATGCCTGGCTAATTTTTGTATTTTTAGTAGAGATGGGGTTTCGCCATGTTGGCCAGGCTGGTCTCAAACTCCTGACCTCAGGTGATCCACCCACCTCAGCTTCCCAAAGTGTTGGAATTACAGGCGTGAGCCACCGTGTCTGGCCTATTTCTTTTTTTTTTTTTCTTTTAAATAATCTATACCCTGGTAGCTTTGATTGAGATGCTGAAGTAGTATTTATTTTATTTATTTTTGATACGGAGTCTCACTCTGTTGCCCAGGCTGGAGTATAGTGGCGCGATCTCGGCTCACTGCAACCTCCGCCTCCCGGGTTCAAGTGATTCTTCTGCCTCAGCCTCCTGAGTGGCTGGGACTGAAGGCACATGCCACCATGCCCGGCTAATTTTTAGTAGAGACAAGATTTCACCATGTTGGCCAGGCTGGTCTTGAACTCCTGACCTCAGGTGATCCACCTGCCTCAGCCTCCCAAAGTACTGGGATTACGGGTGTGAGCCAATGTGCCTGGCCTATTTATTTATTTTTATTTCATTTTATTTATTTACTTATTTTTTTGAGACAGAGTCTTTGTCTGTCACCCAGTCTGGAATGCAGTGGCACGATCTCGGTGTACTGCAACCTCCGCCTTCCGGGTTCAAGCAGTTCTCCTGCCTCAGCCTCCCGAGTACCTGGGACTACAGGCATGCACCACCATGCCTGGCTAATTTTTGTATTTTTAGTAGAGATGGGGTTTCACCATGTTGCCCAGGCTGGTCTCGAACTCCTGACCTCAAGTGATCTGCCTGCCTCAGCCTCCCAAAGTGCTAGGATTACAGGCGTGAACCACCACGCCCGGCCCCTGAAGTAGTATTGAAATATCATTTTGTATTGTAAATTATGTGCTGTATTACTTTGACTTAAAGGTTGGTGCAATTTTATATATATATATATTTATTTATTTATATATATATTTTAAACTAATTTAGTCAAAATGTATGTATTGAACATCTGCATATTAGACACTGTGGTAAGGCATTGTGGAAAATTTAAAAATGAAATCCTAGCTGGAATGGTGGCACATGCCATAGTGCCAGTTACTTGGGAGGATGAGGCCCGAGAATTGCTTAAGCCCCGGAGTTCGAGCCCAGCCTGGGCAACAGCAACATAGTGAGACTCTGTCTCAAAAAAATAATTCTCCCTGCACTAAAGGGATTTATATTAGTGGACAACTATGTGAGAACATAATTATAATGTCACACACTGTAATAGAAGGAAGAATAAAGAGCTACATGAGCATAGAGGAGGAGGCTTGGCATAGAGGTGACATTTGTAGTGCTTCTTGGCGATAACCTAATTGGCTTCCTCACTTTTCTTCAGACCTGCCTGCAGTTCTTTCTCCATATGTTTGGTGTCATCTTAGTCTTCCTCAGGATGCCCCTTTCCCTGCTTTCTTTACATTTATTAGAATCCTCCTCATTCTTCTTCTTCTTCTTTTTTTTTTTTTTTTTCAGACACAGTCTTGCTCTGTTGCCTAGGCTGGAGTGCAATGGCGTGTTCTCGGCTCACTGCAACCTCCACCTCCCGGGTTTAAGCAGTTCTCTGCCTCAGCCTCCCGAGTAGCTAGAATTATAGGCGCCCGCCCGCCATGCCTGGCTAATTTTTTTTTTTTTCGAGACGGAGTTTTACTGTTGTTGCCCAGGCTGAAGTGCAATGGCGCAATCTTGGCTCAACGCAACCCCCACCTCCTGAGTTTAAGCGAATGTCCTGCCTCATCCTCCCGAGTAGGCTGGGATTACAGGCATGTGCCACCACAACTGGCTAATTTTGTATTTTTAGTAGAGACGGGGTTTCTGCATGTTGGGCAGGCTGGTCTCGAACTCTTGACATCAAGTGATCCGCCCACCTCGGCCTCCCAAAGTGCTGGGATTACAGGTGTGAGCCACTGCACCCAGCCCCTCATTCTTTCTAGGCCCCGCCATCAGTCCACTGCAGCTGAAGGTGCTAACAAGAGAATGATTACCCATGTCCTTTCAACTTGACATTTGCCTTGTTTTCTTGGTTGCCATTTTCTCTGCATGATTCTACTCAATTTTAATGTGGGTTCCTTGAACATGGGCACTGTGTCCTCCATCTCTTTGTGTTTCCTATAATACCAATCATATTGCCCTCCATGTTTTAGTTGTTCAATAAATGTTTAGGGCCGGGTATGGTGGCTCATGCCTGTAATCCCAGCACTTTGGAAGGCTGGGGTGGGCGGATTGCTGGAGTCCAAGGATTTCGAGACCAGCCTGGGTGACATAGTGAAACCCTGTCTCTACAAAAAGTACAAAAATTAGCCATGTGTGGTGGTACACCTCTGTTGGTCACATCTACCCAGGAGGCTGAGGTGGGAGGATTGACTGAGCCTGGCTGCAGTGAGCCAAGATCACACCACTGCACTCCAGCCTGGGTGACAGAGCCAGACTCTGTCTCAAAGAAAAGAAAAAAATGTTTGGAAGCTGATATGTGATAATTCTAGTAACCATAAGTATAATATCCCAAACCATTGACCCTTGACCTTGCCTTATTGCAGAATTTATTATTCAAAATACTCTCAGCTTGGCTGAGTGAGTTTTGTTTGTGGTTTCTTACAGGGGCTACTGTTCCCGTAGACAAAGACGTCTTCGAAAAACACTCAACTTCAAGATGGGTAACAGACACAAATTCACAGGGAAGAAAGTGACTGAAGAGCTTCTGACCGATAATAGGTATTGACTGCTCCATGCTAGTTGCAAATTACTTCTTGCTAATACATTTATTGAACAATGACGTGGTAGACTTCATGCCAAACCTTTTAATTATCTCTGTGGGCTGGGCATTGTTTACTATTCCTGTGTTCTAAGGCAAGGAAACTGAGGCTCAAAGAGATACATTAGGTTGTTCAAGAACTGTGTTGGGGCCAGGTGCAGTGGTTCACGCCTATAATCCCAGCACGTTGGGAGGCCAAGGTGGGTGGATCACCTGAGGTCAGGAGTTCAAGACCAGCCTGGCCAACATGGCAAAACCCCTACTTTACTAAAAATATAAAAATTACCCGGGCATGGTGGCAGGCGCCTGTAATCCCAGCTACTCAGGAGGCTGAGGCACAAGAATTACTTGAACCCGGGAGGCAGAGGTTGCAGTGAGCCAAGATCACACCATTGCACTTCAGCCTGGGCAACAAGAGTGACACTCCATCTCAAAAAAAAAAAAAGGAGGGGGTGAGATTCACTGTCTCAGCTTTGGAGCCCCCCTTCCTCTGTCTCTGTACAGGGAAGCTTCTTCTCCCTTCTTGCCTATTAAACTCTGCTTTTTAAAACCAAAAAAAAAAAAAAAAAACCTGTTGGGATGGCAAATGTTGAAGTCAGTGATTAGAATCTAATTGATTATTAGGTAAGGTTTCTAGAATATAAATTTCAATGTCTGAAACTAGATGCATATATCAATATATCTTAATGAAATTGAGTGGTTGAGTGGTGTGTTTTTTTTTTTTTTTGAGACGGAGTCTCACTCTGTTGCCCAGGTTGGAGTGCAGTGGTGTCGTCTCACCTCACTGCAACTTCCACCTCCCGGGTTCAAGCTTCTCCTGCCTCAGCCTCCGGAGTAGCTGGGATTACAGGCACGTGACACCACGCCCAGCTGAGTTTTGTATTTTTAGTAGAGACAGGGTTTCACCATGTTGGCCAGGCTTGTCTTGAACTCCTGACCTCAGGTGATCCACCCACCTCTTGCCTTCCAAAGTGCTGGGATTACAGACGTGAGCTACTGCGCCAGGCTGGTGTGTAAATTATTATAGAAGAGTCTTGTATTTCAGTGCTGAATACACCAGTGCTTGGCATTTGCTGAAGAATTTTTAGTCTGTCAGGCAACATGTAGTCAAGGCCCCCGGGTCTTCCTCACAGTTACGGGCCAAATTACGCTGCTGCCACCTTTTGTGTAAATGAAGTTTTATTGGAACCCAGCCACGCCCATTCACATAGGTATTGTTTAGAGCTGCTTTGTGCTACATCAGCAGAGTAGTTGTGACACACTAGATATAGAAGGAGAGGAGGCATGGTCCTTGAACCTCATTGACTTTCATCTTATTGGAAAATGTTGGTCAGTGCAAACCAGGGAATGCTACAGTAAAAGTGCAATGTTGTATATCATTTACTGTTCAGCATTCTAAAGCCTTGGAAAGGAGACTTGAGCTTGAAGGCTTTTGACAGGGAAGTCAGTAAGCCCACACAGAGGAGGCTTGACCTTGAAGGATTTGTGAGAGTGAAGAACATTCTGTGTCGGGGGAAGCAGCATGCCCTGGTATCCGTGCATGCAGTCTAGGAACTGTAAAGCTCTGGACACTTGTTAGCTGCTACTCAGGCAGTGAAAAGGTTGTGAGCTTGGTGTGTACAGTCAGAAAGCTAGAGCCTGGAGACCATAATAGGATGCAGCAGGATGTAGTGATTAAATCTCATGAGAACCAGTTGGGAGAAATCTGGACTCTCCCTTTTTTTTTTTTTTTTTTTTTTGAGACAGGGTCTCACTGTCACCCAGGCTGGAGTGTAGCAGTGGGATCATAGCTTACTGCAGCCTTGAACAACTCCTGTCTCACCCTCCTGAGTAGCTGGGACTATAGGCATGTACCACCATGCCCAGCTAACTTTTCTCTTTTTTTCTTTTGTAAAGATGGGATCTCGCTGTGCTGACCAGGCTGGTTTCAAACTCCTGGCCTCAAGTGATCCTCCCACCTCAGCCTCCCAGTGTACTGGGATTACAGACATGAGCCACTACACCGAGCCTGGACTATCTTATGATAGCAAGATCCTTTACTCTGAAGAGACAAGGTTAAGCTGAAGTTTAAGACAGATTGATCAAGGCAGTAAAGAAAGATTCACCAGTATAATAATAAAGTAGTTAACGACCTTACTGAGCACTTAGTAAGTGCCAGGTTCTGGTCTAAATGTGTTATTTGTATTACTACATGGGAGAGCGGTGCGCAGAAAGGTTAGTACTTTGCCCACAGTCACACAGCTAGTAAGCGGTGGCACTGGGATTCTGTCCCGGGCTCTGGAGCTCTTGTTTATCACCACTTTAATATACTGCCTCTTTTTTTTTTTTTTTTTTTTGAGATGGAGTCTTGCCCTGTTGCCCAAACGAGAGTATAGTGGCGTGATCTCAGCTCACTGCAACCTCCGCCTCCTCGGTTCAAGAGATACTCCTGCCTCAGCCTCCCAAGTAGCTGGGATTACAGGCGCATACCAACACACCCAGCTAATTTTTGTATTTTTAGTAGAGATGGGGTTTCACCATGTTGGCCAGGCTGATCTCGAACTCCTGACCTCAGGTGATATGCCTGGCTCAGCCTCCCAAAGTGCTGGGATTATAGGTGTGAACCACCGCACCTAGGCAATATACTGCCTCTTAAGGACTTTTCTAACTGGATTGAGATGAAGGAAGTGTTGATTCAAAAATGAGGCCAGATCGTGTGCCTAGACCGTGTCTGTTTGACAACATTCAGGAGGGGTAGGTCATGATTCTGGATTTACCGTGTTTGAGGTGGTAGAGGCTTTTCAATGAGATGTGTCTAGTAGATGATGAGAAACCTGAGATTGAGCCCAGGTTAGGAATAGAGATACTGGTTTAGAGTCATGGCTGAGAATATCAGAAGAGTTGTTTTGAGAGTGGCAAAGGCGGGAGAGTATAAAGAAAAGCCGAGAAGCCGAAGATTACACCTCAGAGAATATCTGGGTCTGTTGATGGCCTTTATTGTCTCCCCACTTCTGTCTCTGGTCTAGATACTTGCTTCTGGTTCTGATGGATGCTGAAAGAGCCTGGAGCTACGCCATGCAGCTGAAACAGGAAGCCAACACTGAACCCCGAAAACGGTTTCACTTGTTATCTCGCCTACGCAAAGCCGTGAAGCATGCAGAGGAATTGGAACGCTTGTGTGAGAGCAATCGCGTGGATGCCAAGACCAAATTAGAGGCTCAGGTTAGTACCTCAACATTCAGCTTGTTTATTGTGGAGATTAAAGACATTTTAAAAAGCTGCAGTTAAACAGAACAGAGTTTCTTAGTGTTAGAAAGTGACAGTCAGAAGAGGAAAAAAACTTTCCGAACTTGCTTTTAAGAGGAGAAGTTAGCATGTTTTGTTTATCAGCTCTTGATTTTTTTTATCCTTTTTTTAAAATTGGGCAACGCTTCATTCCATAAAATAGAATGAGTATTCCCAAGCTCTTGGTTTTTTATAACTAGCTGTAACTTTTTTTTTTTTTTTTTTCAGACAGAGTCTTGCTTTGTCGCCCAGGCTGGAGTGCAGTGGCGCGTTCTCAGCTCACTGCAACGTCTGCCTGTCAGGTTCAAGCAATTCTCCTGCCTCAGCCTCCCGAGTAGGTGGGATTATAGGCACGTGCCACCACGCCTGGCTAATTTTTTTATTTTTAGTAGAGACAGGGTTTCACTGTGTTGGCCAGGCTGGTCCCGAGCTCCTGACCTCGTGATCCACCCACCTGCCTTGACCTCCCAAAGTGCTGGGATTGCAAGCGTGAGCCACTGCACGTGGCCATCTAGCTGTAACTTTTTAAGAAAGGTCATGTTTTGATATATAGATGAAAGCTTACAATCTTGTACCTGGAAAGTTCACAAAGTAAACTTTTTTTTGGAAGTGAGTTTTTTAAAAAAGAGATGGTAGATATTGCAAGGTTTTATTCAACTTCTGATGCTTATGTTATAGCTCAGAAAATGGTTAAGTAAAATGCAGAAAACAAATTTCCTTCTTTTGAAGTTCTTTCCTGGGAAGTGAATAAATCATAATAAATTGCCTATGTATCACATTTTATTGGTTAAATACGTATTTCTCTTTAAAAATCAACCTGTGATTAATATATCTATATTCTTAGGCCGGGCGTGGTGGCTCACGCCTGTAATCCCAGCACTTTGGGAGGCCAAGGTGGGCAGATCACAAAGTCAGGAGATCGAGACCATCCTGGCTAACACGGTGAAACCCCATCTCTACTAAAAATACAAAAAATTAGCTGGGCGTAGTGGCGGACACCTGTAGTCCCAGCTACTCAGGAGGCAGAGGCAGGAGAATGGTGTGAACCCGGGAGGCGGAGCTTGCAGTGAGCTGAGATTGTGCCACTGCGCTCCAGCCTGGGGGACAGAGCAAGACTCCATCTCAAAAAAAATATATATATATATTTTATATATATATATATATATATATATATATATATATAAAATAAATATAATATATTGTATAATATACAATATATAATGTATATTATATATTATATAATGTATATTATATAATATATAATGTATATTATATAATATATAATGTATATTATATATTATATAATATATAATGTATATTATATATTATATAATGTATATTATATAATATATAATGTATATTATATAATATATAATGTATATTATATAATATATAATGTATATTATATATATATTATATATATATATCTCCATATTCTTTGTTTGGGTTTTTTGTTTGTTTTTTAGAAAGAGAGTCTCACTGTGTCCCAAGCTGGAGTGCACAGTCATGGCTCGCTGCAGTCATGAACTCCTGGGCTCATGCAGTCCTCCTGCCATGGCCTCCTGAGTAGTTGGGACTAGAGGTGCACACCACCACACCTGGCTAAATTTTTTTTTTTTTTTTTCTGAGACAGAGTCTCACTCTGTCGCCCAGATTGGAATGCAGTGGTGCAGTCTCAGCCCATTGCAACCTCTGCCTCCCAGTTTCAAGCAATTCTCCTGCCTCAGCCTCCCGAGTAGCTGGGATTACAGGCGCCTGCCGCCATGTCCAGCTAATTTTTTTGTATTTTTAGTAGAGACAGGTTTTCACCATGTTGGCCAGGCTGGTCCCCAACTCCTGACCTCAGGTGATCCGTTCACCTCGGCCTCCCAGTGTTGGGATTACAGGCATGAGCCACTGCGCCTGGCCACACCCGGGTAATTTTTTTTTAATTTTTGGTAGAGATGAGATCTTGCTGTGTTGCCCAGGCCGATCTTGAACTCTTGAGCTCAAGTAACCCTCCTGCCTCGGCCTCCCAAATTGCTAGGATTACAGGTGTGAGCCCCATGCCCAGCCCATATCCATGTTCTTTTTTTTCTTCTTTTTTTAAAATTTATTCTTATTTTTAAATTTTTTTGTAGAGGCAGGGTCTTGCTATATTGCCCTGGCTTGTCTTCAACTGTGGGTTCAAGTGATCCTCCCACCTGGGCCTCCCAAAGTGCTGGGATTACAGGTGTGAGCCACTGCACCTGGCCCATATCCATATTCTTGATATCAAAGTTAGAAGCCAATAAAGGAAGATTGAGTGGGAGCACTGGTTTGCTGTTGAAGCAGTTCCTCCTCTTCCATCTCCTCACAGGCTTACACAGCTTACCTCTCAGGAATGCTACGTTTTGAACATCAAGAATGGAAAGCTGCCATTGAGGCTTTTAACAAATGCAAGTAAGTCCTATAGTCCAAAGGCTGTGGCCAGTTTTAATTACAGATTGTCAAATTTAAGCTGCAGATCAGATAGTGGATTGTTTCTGTGAAAGTGAGGGTGACTTTTCTTTCCTATAGAAATGTTGATGATTCTCTTTCAACCTTAGAACATGCCAGTTATGGTAGTTGGTAGGAGAGCTTCAAAAGGCCATAATTTGTTTTTAGTCACTGTGTTCCCCATGAGTTTTTCTTATATAAGGCTGATGTAAAACCTGGCTTTTCTTTTCTCGCAGAACTATCTATGAGAAGCTAGCCAGTGCTTTCACAGAGGAGCAGGCTGTGCTGTATAACCAACGTGTGGAAGAGATTTCACCCAACATCCGCTATTGTGCATATAATATTGGTGAGAGCAGGGATCAAGGCATTATACTCAACTTGAACATTGATAGATGGCCTATTGGGAGCTCACTTCAGAGAGCCTAGAGAGTTGATGTAACTTTCTTCTTCGCTTGCCTCCATCATTGACCTGAGTTTTGGTTGATGGCAAAAGCAGAACTGTTGAAGCCAGCCCTGCCCAAAATTATAGAAGACGGTTCTGCTTCTGTGTCTGTCCTGCTGTGCTGTGTACCCCCGAAGAGCAGTCTTGAGTCTCCGGCTGAGTTCATTTTTTACTGTTTTAGAGCAGTTTTAGGTTCACAGCAAGGCTGAGAGAAAGATACAGAGATCCATGTAACCCCACCTCCCCACATCCATAGCCTCTCTCATTAGCATCTTCCCCCACCAGAGGGGTGCATTTGTTACAATTGATGGCCCTTTATAGACACACCATCATCTCCCAAAGTCCATAGTTTACATCAGGGTTCACGCTTGATGTTGTACATTCTATGGGTTTGGACAAATGTTTCATGATGTGTATTTACCATTATATACCATATGGAGTATTTTCATTGCCCCAGTCAATTTCATTCTTTATAAAAGACTTGTCTTCAGAGAACAGATTGTGCTGCAGATTCATTGAAGTAGCATGTGGAGGGGGAAGAGCTCTTTAAGTCTGAGTTGAATCTAGTGATTCTCAAGAAAACAGACCAGACCCTTGAAGATTTTCCTGTCTTTCTCTCTTAGGGGACCAGTCAGCCATCAATGAACTCATGCAGATGAGATTGAGGTCTGGGGGCACTGAGGGTCTCTTGGCTGAAAAATTGGAGGTAATCTAGTATGTACATTTTTGTGAAAAGTCTTTGGACAAAGTCCAGAAGGAGTAATTCATAATCCCCTAGGGATATTTGATATTAATATATGGATATTTATATCTGTATTAGCAAATATCTACATTTGCTAAAAGTTTGAACAAAAAACTTTTTCTTTTTTTTTTTTTTTTTTTTTTTTTGAGATGGAGTCTCGCTCTGTCACCCAGGCTGGAGTGCGGTGGCACGATCTCGGCTTACTGCAAGCTCCACCTCCCAGGTTCACGACATTCTCCTGCCTCAGCCTCCCAAGTAGCTGGGACTACAGCCGCCTGCCACCATGCCTGGCTAATTTTTTTATATTTGTAGTAGAGATGGGGTTTCACCGCCTTAGCCAGGATGGTCTCGATCTCCTGACCTCGAGATCCGCCCGCCTCAGCCTCCCAAAGTGCTGGGATTACAGGCATGAGCCACCGCGCCCGGCCCAAAAAACTTTTTGCAGTTAACACTTGAAGTATTCTTTTTTTTTTTTTTTTTTTGAGACAGTCTTACTCTGTCGCTCAGGCTAAAGTGCAGTGGCGTGATCTCAGCTCACTGCAAGTGATCTGCCCGCCTCGGCCTCCCAGCGTTCTGGGATTACAGGCATGAGCCACTGTTCTCGGCCAAGTATTCAATTGTTTAACCTCATTACATTTATTTTCTAAGCAAGTAATATAGAAAAAGCAAGAAATACAAAAGATCAGGGAAAAATATAAACCACATGGTTGCCATATTTATTTATTTATTTAGAGTCGGAGTCTTGCTCTATCGCCAGGCTGGAGTGCAATGGTGCAATCTTGGCTCACTGCAACCTCCACCTCCCAGGTTCAAGCGATTCCCCTGCCTCAACCTCCCAAGTAGCTGGGATTACAGGCGCCCGCCACCACGCCCGGCTAATTTTTGTATTTTAGTAGAGACGGGGTTTCACCATGTTGGCCAGGATAGTCTCAATCTCCTAACCTCGTGATCCACCTGCCTCTGCCTCCCAGAGTGCTGGGAGTATAGGCGTGAGCCACCGCGCCCGGCTTACTTATTATTATTTTTTTGAACAGCGTCTCTTTTGCCCAGGCCAGAGTGCAGTAGCTTGATTTTGACTCACTGCTGCCTTGATTTCCTGCTCTCAAGTGATCCTCCTGCCTCAGCCTCCTGAGTAGCTGGAACTACAGGTGAAGGTTACCACTCCTAGCTAACTTTTTTTTGTTTTTTGGTAGAGACAGAGTCTCACTGTGTTTCCCAGGCTGGTCTCATTCTCGAACTCCTGCGCTCAAGCAATCTGTTCGCCTTAGCCTCCCAAAGTGCTGGGATCACAGGGGATCACAGGCATGATCCACCTTATCCAGCCATACACCATCATCCTTTGATGGCTGCATGGTACTCCGTTGCATAGAAGTCTGTTTTATTTAACCATTCATTGTTCATTAAGTGGTAAACAGTATTACCATGAATGTCCATGTCCTCAGATTTTGCACACATTCTTGATTATTTCCTTAGGATAAATTCCTAAAACTGGAATTAAATGGTTTGGAAACTTGATACATACTGACAAATGTCTTTAAGTTTCTACTGATTAGCATTCCTGCTTGTAGCGTATACAGATATGCTTTTCTCCTTACATCCTTACCAAAACTTAGTGTTACTCTTTTTAACCTTCCGCTATGTCCTTTTAATATTTGAATTTCTGTAGCTAAAATATATGATACCAGGGAGAAATTTAAAACAAATAGAAATTGGTGGCCAGCAGGGTGGTTCACACCTGTAATCCTGGCACTGTGGGAGGCTGAGGTGAAAGGATAACTCGAGCCCAGGAGTTCAAGACCAGCCGGGGCAACACAGTGAGACCCCACCTCTACAAAAAAAATTTTTTTCAGAGGCTGGGCACAGTGGCTTATGTCTGTAATCCCAGCACTTTGGGAGGCCAAGGTGAATGGATCACCTGAGGTCAGGAGTTCGAGACCAGTCTGACCAACACGGAGAAACCCCGTCTGTACTAAAAATACAAAATTAGCTGGATGTGGTGGTGCAGGCCTCTAATCCCAGCTACTTGGGAGGTGGAGGTTGCAGTAAGCTGAGCTCATACCATTGCATTCCAGCCTGGGCAACAAGAGCAAAACTCCGTCTCAAAAAAAAAAAAAATTTTTTTTTTTCTTAAATTAGCCAGGCATGGTGACACATACCTGTAGTCCTAGCTGCTCGAGAGGCTGAGGCAAAAGGATCACTTGAGCCCAGGAGTTGGAGGTTGCAGTAAGCTGTCATTAGGCCACTGCACTCCAGCCTGGGCAACAGAGCAAGACCCTGTCTACTAAAAAAATTAAAGAGGCCTGGCACAGTGGCTCATGCTTGTAATCCCAGCACTTTGGGAGGCTGAGGCAAGTGGATCACTTGAGGCCAGGAGTTTGAGACCAGTCTGGCCAACGTGGTGAAACCTCGTCTCTACTAAAAATACAAAAATTAGTCGGGCATGGTGGCATGTGCCTGTAGTTCTAGCTTCTCAGGAGGCTAAGGCACAAGAATTCCTTGAACCTGGGAAGCAGAGGTTGCAGTGAGCCTAGATAGCGCCACTGCACTCCAGCCTGGGTGACAGAGCAAGACTGTCTCAAAAAAAATGAAAGAAATTGGTGTATACTCTACTTTCTATGGAGTATAATATGTTGGTTATACAAAGAGACAAATGATAGATTCCACTTATTTTCACCTCCATCACTCATATCCCCAGTTAAAGCTTTAACTTTTTTAAACTATTTTTCAGGCTTTGATCACTCAGACTCGAGCCAAACAGGCAGCTACCATGAGTGAAGTGGAGTGGAGAGGGAGAACGGTTCCAGTGAAGATTGACAAAGTGCGCATTTTCTTATTAGGACTGGCTGATAACGAAGCAGCTATTGTCCAGGTGAGGAGGAAGAACTTACTGTGCTGTCTTCTGTATGTGTCTGAAGGTTGTCCTGTGTGTTTAAGATGTAGTGGCTCGTTGGTATTCAGTTCTCATAAAACAAACTTTTAATGCTGTTTTGGATTTGGTAAGTACGGAGATGTGCCTTATTGAATAAAATTATTTTGAAAACTGAGTTTATAGAGGAATTCTTAATGTTTAGAGGGCAAAGAAATTGACAGCAACAGTCATCAACATAAAAATGGGAGGCATTAGAGGCTGGCTTAAAGTAAGGGGTCACATTTGGCCCAGCAGGTGGTGCAGCAGCTTAACTATTATGTCTCTGAAGTTTCTCTGACATGTTGTCGTAACCTCCTAGCCCTAAAGGGTTCACCTCTTAGTCCTGGGGCTTTGCAGGATAGCCTGGTTAAACCAGAATGTCTTGTTTTGTGTGCGGTGTACATGTAATATTCATGCAAAACTGTTATCACTTGATACTGCCTACTGACATAGTTACCTATTGGTGGGTACAAACAACCAAATGCGTCCTAAAAGATAAGACATCCTGGTGACCTTTGTATGACATAGACAGTGATGGGGGCACTTTTTAGAGCTTCTTTTCCACATGAGTTAAAGGACATCTTTAAAAAAACAGGCTGCTGACAGTCTACTGCCTCATCAGGGAACAGTGGCATTTCCGAAGACCTCACAGTTATCTTTTGCACCCTGAATAATTTGTGTATGGGTTGGTGGGGTGGTGTTTTGTTAATGTGTTGAGGAATTGGCTTAAGCATCTAAAATTTCAGCAACTTGCTCCAGAATGGCTACTATGGGTTGGAGGCAGCCTTCAACAGCTGAAGAGTTGATGTGTGTCCTTGTCTGTGTTTCGTATTGCCTGTCTCATATCCCTTTTATTTGCTTAAAGGACAGAAGACTAGAACAGTACTAGAAAGTTAATTTTTGCTTAAACTGAAAGGCTAAGGAACTTTTTTTGAGAGCATTCTATTGGCACTGTTGTATGGTGCTACCTCCACTGGACAACGGCTCTGGTAGCAACTATTCAGATTATGTGATTGGGTTAGTGCTTTGGTTTTAAAAGTGATCAATGCTGGAAGAAAGAAACTACTTCTGTCCTCAGTTCAGTGCCAGACAGCAGAGACAGTGGGGCAGGAATTCTGACTTGAAGAGGAGTTGGGGGAGAGAGATCCATAGGGGCAAGTTAAATGAGGGCTCTTTCAGAGTGGGGCTACAGACACGTACCAAATGAAGAACAGGAAAAGCTAGCATTTATTAAGTAATTTTGAAAAGTTACTGCTGGCACGGTGGCTCATGGCTATAATCCTAGTGCTTTGAGAAGCGGAGGAAGGCAGATCACTTGAGCTCAGGAGTTGGAGACCAGCCTGGGCATCATGGTGAAACCCCATCTCTACAAAAAAAAGTACCAAAAAATTTAGCTGGGCGTGGTGGCGTGCACCTGTAGTCCCAGCTACTTGGAGGCTGAGGCAAGAGGATCACTTGAGCCCGGGAGCTTGAGGCTGCAGTGAGCTGAAATCACACCACTATGCTGCAGCCTGGGTAACTGTGCAACTCTGTCTCCAAAAAAAAAAAAAAAAAAAGAAGAAAAAAAAGTTAATAACTTAAAGTTTAAATACACATTTTTTTTTTTTTTAAAGACAGAGTCTCTCTCTGTCACCCAGGCTGGAGTGCAGCGGTGCAATCTCTGCTCACTGCAAGCTCCACCTCCCAGGTTCACGCCATTCTCCTGCCTCAGCCTCCAGAGTAGCTGGGACTACAGGCACCCACCATCACACCCGGCTAATTTTTTTATTTTTAGTAGAGACGGGGTTTCACCATGTTAGCCAGGATGGTCTCAAACTCCTGCCCTCGTGATCCACCCGCCTCAGCCTCCCAAAGTGCTGGAATTACAGGCATCAGCCACTGCACCGGGCCCACATGATGTTTTAAGAAGATCAGCCTGGAAAGGGTGGGAGGGAGTGAGAGATAAAAGACTACACATTGGGTACCGTGTACACTGCTTGGGTGACAGGTGCACCAGAGTCTCAGAAATCACCATAGAAGAACTTATCCATGTAACCAGAAACCACCTGTTCCCCCAAAACTATTGAAATTTAATTTAATTTTTAAAAGATCAGCCTAGGCCGGGTGCGGTGGCTCACGCCTGTAATTCCAGCACTTTGGGAGGCCAAGGCTGGCGGATTACCTGAGATCAGGAGTTCGAAATGAGACCAGCCTGGCCAACATGGTGAAACCCCATCTCTACTAAAAGTACAAAAAAAAAATTAGCCGGGTGTGGTGGTAGACGTCTGTAATCCCAGCTACTCGGGAGGCTGAGGCAGGAGAATCACTTAAACCCGGGAGGCGGAGGTTGCAGTGAGCCGAGATTGCGCCATTGCACTCCAGCCTGGGGGATAAGAGCGAGACTTTGTCTCAAAAAAAAAAAGATCAGCCTATTGTCTCACTTCCTATATGCCTTCATTGATATGACATCATACTGAAAGGAAAGCACTGTTTCTTTTTAATGTTTTTTATATTCATGAGAGTTCTTATGTTTTTTTTTCCCTTGCTGGAATTATACTAAGATACAGTTCTGTATCCTGTTTTTATTAACGCGTTGTGCAATGGTGTGATCTCAGCTCACTGCAACCTCCGTGTCCCGGGTTCAAGTGATTCTCCTGCCTCAGCCTCCCAAGTAGCTGGGATTACAGGCGCATACCACCATGCCCAACTAATTTTTTGTATTTTTAGTAGGTCTCGAACTCCTGACTTCAGGCAATCCACCCGCCTCGGCCTCCCAAAGTGCTGGGATTACAGGCGTGAGCCACAGCGCCCAGCTCAGGCTTGGTGATTCTTATCCTCAAGTTATGGTTAATATTTTAATATTTGAGTGGAAGAGGGACCATTTATCTTTTTCTTAAAAAACAATGTATATTTATATATATTCATGTATATTCTCAAGTGAGATTTGTTTCCTTCTTTACCAGATTTCCATGTATTTTTTTCCTAAACCTCACTGGGCTGGGTAAGGTTTGATTCTTGTCCCCATAGTAGGGGTGTGGTTGGGAATGTGGTCAGACTTGCCTTGTGTGTCTCTTAGTCATACTACCACCTTCCAGCAATTTCCATAGACAAGTGAAAACAATCTGAGAATGTGCTTTTTAAAGCGGGAGGTCTGTACCTCAGGACACACTGCAGCTCGCTTTCCTCCGCACCAGTCAGTTTTGAAACTGAGCCTGACGAGAGAACCTGAGACTGCAGAAAAGCCCATCCTGAAGGTTTCAAGTTTTGTAAAAGCTGACCTAGGATTGATTGATTCATTTGGACTAATCAGTAACATATTACTTCTGGGCTTAAGATTTCTCACTGTCATAGGCACACCTGGGAAAAGGTCTAGTCAGACCACCAATTTTTGTGCAGGGAGTTTTGCCACTTATGTTTAAGAGCACGTTCTGGTTGGTCCAGTGGCTGGCGGAGAAGGTCGGTGTACAGGTGGCCAGGAATCCTGCCTCTGCGTGTTGAGAGGAGTTTCTTATTCCACTGTCCTTTCAGGAATCATCTTAGCCTTGAATATAGATTTATAGAATAAAAGTGTAAATAGCAAAATATATTGAAGGCTTCCTGTTTGGAGACATTTTGCCCTGCCCAGGGAGAATCATGAGAGCTTCTCCTTCAGAGATTAGTGGTCTGAGTCATTGCAGTGTGGGCGTCGTAAGAAAAACACAACTGACTTAAGTCCCGCCCTTCAAATCGACTTTTTCCTTCATTGCTTTTTAGGATGTTTGTAAAATTCCCAGTGGGAACTTAGAGCTTTGTGGGAGCAGTGGGGAGGTTTTTTGGTTTCAGCACCTTGATGCAGAGGCTTAGTTAAAGGGAGCAGAGGTGATACGTGGCAGTCAAGAGGTTTTAAACTTGAACTGTACCCTACCGACAGGAAAAGAGGCAAATCCTGTGTAGCTGGTAAGACGAAGTTCGCTCTTTTCTTGAACGCCGGTTGCTCCAACCACTTAACCCCACTTGTCTGAGAAGGGTGTTGGCATGTTTGTTGGATTGCATGGAATTAAAACGGGCGCCGTAGCTCTTCCTTTCTGCTGAGAATGTGGCTGTGGTATATGTGTGTTTCTTTTTTTTTTTTTTTTTTTTGAGACAGGGTCTCACCCTGTCACCCAGGCCAAAGTGCAGTGGCACAATCTCAGCTCACTGCAACCTCCACCTCCTGGTCTCAGTTGGTCCTCCCACCTTTGCCTCCTGGAATAGCTGGGACCACAGGCATGCACCACCACACCTGGCTAATTTTTTTTGCATTTTTTGTAGACATGGGGTTTTGTCATGTTGCCCAGGCTGGTCTCAAACTCCTGGACTCAAGTGATCTGCCCACATCTGCCTCCCAAAGTGCTGGGATTACAGGCGTGAGCCACCGCGTCCGACGCCATGTGTGTTTCTTAAGTAGTGGTGCCAAGTCCATTCACATGTCTTTTTTTTTTTTTTTTTAAGTTCTGGGATACATGTGCAGAACATGCAGGTTTGTTATATAGGTATATATGTGCCATGGTGGTTTGCTGCACCTATCAACTCATCATCTAGGGATTTTTTTTTTTTTTTTTTGAGATGGAGTCTGGCTCTGTCGCCCAGGCTGGAGTGCAGTGGCGCGATCTCGGCTCACTGAAACCTCCGCCTCCCGGGTTCACGCCATTCTCCTGCCTCAGCCTCCCTAGTAGCTGGGACTACAGGTGCCCACCACCATGCCCAGCTAATTTTTTGTATTTTTAGTAGAGACGGGGTTTCATCGTGTTAGCCAGGATGGTCTCGATCTCCTGAGCTCGTGATCCGCCCGCCTCAGCCTCCCAAAGTGCTGGGATTACAGGCGTGAGCCACCGCGCCCAGCCCATCATCTAGGTTTTAAGCCCTGTGTGCATTAGGTATTTGTCCTAATACTTTCCCTCCCCTTGCCTCCCACCCCCTGCCATTCACATGTCTTACTCGAGTTTTTAAGCACTCTAGACTTATGTATCTTATTCCAGTTGCTGAGTATTATATGGCGGCACCATTCCACAGATTTGTACTTTGAAAAATTAGGCCAGTAAGGTTGACGAAGTGATTCTAAAGAATCTTGCCAACCTGGGGTCGGCCAACAATATTCTATAAAGCATGTGCTCCAGTGCTGCACTGTCCAGTGCAGTAGCCGCTCAACACATGTGGTTATTGAAATTTAAATTAATAAAACTTCCAGCCAGGCTCTGTGGCTCCTGCCTGTAACCCCAGCACTTTGGGAGGCCAAGACAGGTGGATCACCTGAGGTCAGGAGTTCGAGACCAGCCTGGCCAACATGGTGAAATAGCCAGGCGTGGTGGCGGGCACCTGTAGTCCCAGCTACTCCGGAGGCTGAGGCAGGAGAATCTCATGAACCCAGGAGGCGGTGGTTACAGTGAGACGAGATCACGGCACTATACTCCAGCCTGGGTAGCAGAGCAAGACTCTGTCTCAAAAACATAAAATAATAAAAAGATAGATAAATTAATAAAACTTCCGAGTGCTCAGGTGTTCATTGGACGGTGCACGTAGAGGACATTGCCCGTGGCAGAGAGTTCTATTGGATGGTGCTGCTCTGGTGGTTCCAGGAGTGAATGGTGGCCGTGTTTGCTTTACTAGATTTATAGCATGAATGAGCCCCAGTTCGTTCCCAAGTTAGTGAACAACAGGAAAGTCAAGTAACTTATAAGTGGAAAAGTATGTTTGATTTGTATTGGGTAAGTTACAAGGAAGATTTTTTTTTTCACACTGGAGACTAAGAAAAGAGAAGAAATAGATTCTTAAGAGAACTTTTAAGAAAAGCTTTCTTAAGAGAAGAAAAAGGGTTTTTCTTTAAGCCCCTGTTCCCCCAACCATCTCTTAAAGGGGTGGGCAGCACTGGGTTTTCGTTTGAGCTTTCTTAGAGGTCAGTTGAATATTAACACATTTTTTCAGATTGAGTGTTAATTTCTATGGGAAGTCAAATACCATAATGGAATGTTGATGTTTTAATTTCACAGTGGGTCTGCCAGTCACACAGGTTCATCCCCTTTCTGCCTTTTGTCCATTTCTATCTGCTCGGTCAGATTCTTTGGGACGATAATGTGGCTTGGCAGGTATTCAGTTAGTGAATCACTTTCTCACTTACCCTAGCTGTGTAGCAGACAGGTGACACCCAGTACTTGTGCAAAGACTGTCGTCTCATGCGTGTCAACCTTGTATGTCCTAAAAATTGTTCTCAGAGTAGTCATGTGGAATATCTGAGTGCAGCACGTCTGTGGCGAAAAGAACTTAGTGTGATATTTAGGAGAACTGTCTTTTTGGTGGGTATTGATTAGTCTTTTTTATTATTTCCTTGTACCTAAAAGAAACAATCTTTGAGTTGGGTCACATTTGTAAAAGGTAATTGTGTTGGCATACAGTAGAGCTTGACAAGTTTGTTCTGGAAGGAAAAGATAAGGAAAGTTCTGGTGTGCTGTGCTTCAGTGTAGAGTGTCCCAAGTCCAGTCTGTAAGGCCCCTCAAGGGGTGCCAGGTCCTGAGCAGAGGGTGAAGCGCTGCAGGGAAGTAGCAGGAAGCTGTGCTGGGAAGAGACGTAAAGCCTTTGCTAAGTCTCAGATCAGTTATGCAGACAGCTTTTTCAGCATGTTTGCTTTTAAAAATAGAACTCCCCTTTCCATATGAATAATGAATGACTAAGGCTATGAGAAACCATTATATGGTAGAGAACAGTAACAATTAAAATGATATCTGGTGTGGCGTGCGTGAGTGAGTGTGTGGTTGGGGGACTCCATGTGCGATTTTGCTCCTCTCCCATTAGGTGACTATGGTTTGCTCAAAGGAAAGTCTCTTACTTTGATCTGCCCTTGTTTAGGCTGAAAGCGAAGAAACTAAGGAGCGCCTGTTTGAATCAATGCTCAGCGAGTGTCGGGACGCCATCCAGGTGGTTCGGGAGGAGCTCAAGCCAGATCAGGTAGGACCCTCAGCCGAGCCCTGGTTCTTGCTCTGGGCGGGTCCAGGTCAGCCTGTGTCCCCTTCTCAGGTGGACCCCAGTGCTCTGAGTGCACTGCTCGCTTGGCCACTGTTTCGTTTTTGTTTTTTTGAGGTGAGGTCGTAAGGGAGCAAACAAGGGCCTCTGGGCTCCATCACATTGAGAAATTAATTTCTCCCTCCCCTGTTCCTCCTAATGGTTTCCTATATGGCCTGTGAAGCCTGTGGCCTCCAATTCTGTCTCCAGGTGGACTTCTCCAGTGCCTCCCTTTTCTGAAAACACTATCCCTGTGGTTGATTCAGGCATCTAGGCTGAAAACCTCAGATCTATTTGTCTCTTTTGTCCCTGTCACCAAACCCACCTTCTTCTCCCTTTGCAGGGCCTCTTGCCTATTGTTGCTTCACCTGTTTCTATTAGCCTTTTCTCGTGTGCCTAGGCAACCGCAAAGGTCTCCTAATTGCTTCTTCTGGCTTGGTCTCGGTTCCCTTCTCCAGGCCTTTCTTTCGCAAAGTACAAATGGAATCTTTCTAAATCTAGTTTCCCTGTCTAATTTTAAAAAGCCCAGTGATTTCCTCTAGGGATTGAGCAATGGCCTCCAAACTTTTATGCTGATAAACCCCATAGGCAGCATTGAGCCTGCACCACTGATGCATTTATTTATGAATTATATAGCTTATTATTTGACTAATTTGTCATATATAAACTGCATTAAAATAAGGGCTTTTTTGAATGAGATAAATAGAAATAGAAATTCTAATTTTCGTTTCATACCCAGACTCCCTGGGTTTTATGCGCCCTACTTAGAGACCACTGGCCTCTCAGTTCAGACTTGAGCTGGTGTACAAGCCTTCCTTAGTCTGTTCCCAGCCTTGTACTTCACTGCATCCTTCTGAGTCCTCTGCCTCAAGCTGTTCCACTTACTGGCATCTCAGTAATGCCTTTCCCACCCCGTGTGTTACACTGTTCTCATTCCCCTCCCTCCGCACACTTGGGTAATCTTTCCTGCCCCTCTTCACCTGTCCAAACCCCATCTGTTTTTCAAGGTCCAGCTCATAGCTTACCATTTCTGAAAAGCATATGCCTGCACCATCCTAGCCCACAGAGATCTCTGCAGTTTCTAAATATCTGATACTTGCAGCTATAAGCTTTGATAGTTAATTAAGTATTACCTCTTCATAAAAACTTTATTGTGGTAAAAAACGTTAAACATAAAACCTTAACCATTTTTAAGTGTATGGTTCAGTGGTAATTAAATGCATTCATAACGTACAACCATCACCAACAGTCCATCTCCAGAACTCTCTGCATTTTGTAAAACTGAAACGCTGAACCCATTAAACAACAATAACTTCGTTGCCTAGCAACTATTTTTTTTTCAGCATCTGCCACAAAGCCTTGAGTATAAACTTTGTTTTGAATCACTGCTTTCTCTAAGGAGTCACCTGCTTCCTTGCCCCGTTAGGCTGCCTTTATGTATTGTGCTTCCCTTCATCGACTTAACAGAGGTGCCTACAGAGTCCCAGCCCCTGTCACTGTCATTCACCTTGAATGCATAGCAGTTGGGAGACACCTCACAGAATGTAAGGAATGTGATGCCGCAAAGGCGCATTCATTTCCTGTTGCTGCGATCATATTAACCACAAACTTGATGGTTTAAGATGATCCAAATGTATTATCTTACGCTTCTCGAGGTCAGAAATCTAGTGGGTTCACAGGGCTGTGTTCCTTTAGAAACCCTAGGGGAATCCTTTTCCAGTATTCCCAAGAATGCATCTCCTGGCTTCTAGCGGCTGCCTGTAGTCCTTGGCTTGTGGCTCTCCGTTTGTGCTTCAAAGCGATCAGCTCCTCTCCCCTCTGCTTCCGTTCCTTCATCTTCTGCATCTCTGACCCATCTGCCTCCCTCTTCTCAGGACCCTGGGATGACATTGGACCCACCCAGATAATTCAGAGATCCCTAATTTAATCACATCTGTAGAGTCTCTTTTACCATATATGGTAACATCTTCCCAGATTGCACGGAGGCTAGCATATAGACAGCTCTGGCGTATGTTATTCGGCCAGCCACAAAAGGCACACTCTGACAGCACAAGGGGTGGAACTGGGATCTGTGGCACAGACCTTCACACAGAGCCGTGGACTGTGGAATGTCTGATTTTAATGCTTTGGGGTTAGGCACGGGGAGGAGTGGACAGGAAGTCTCATCTGGCCGTTACTCTCAGTTCTCTTATTTGAGGTCAATTTTTAGATGCCAGTGGCAACTTGAGTGCCACTGTCATTCTAGATTATGTCAAGTATAGATCTTTGATATTTGAGGACTCCTGTCTTACTAGAGTTTGTGTCTATGTTCAGGGCACTTTGGAGACCCCACCATTCCATGAGGTGGTCAGAGCGATGGAGAGCATCAGTTGCTTTACTTTTTACCTTTTTCACTTTCTGCAGAAACAGAGAGATTATATCCTTGAAGGAGAGCCAGGGAAGGTGTCTAATCTTCAATACTTGCATAGGTAAGGGTTATTTTAATTTTTTTACTTTTTAATATTATTAAAATATTTGAACAAAAGAGTATATGTAATATTTATGTATATTTACATTTATAATTTCTTTTCTTTGTTTTTTTTTTTGAGACAGGATCTAGCTCTGTCACTCAGGCTGGAGTGCAGTGATGTGATCTCAGCTCACTGCAGCCTCAATGGCCTGGGCTCAATCAATCCTCTAACCTCAGCCTCCCACTGAGTAGCTGGGACTACAGGCATGCACCACTACATCCAGCTAATTTTTGTATTTGTTTTGTAGAGATGGGATTTTGCCATGTTACCTGGGCTGGTCTCAAACTCCTGGACTCAAGCAATCTGCCCATCTCAGCCTCCCACAGTGCGGGGATTATAGGCGTGAACCACTGCACCTGGCTTACATTTATAATTTCTTAATGCATACAAATGCTAATGCATGTATGTCCATTTTATCAAATAAGTATATATGCTACATTTACATTTTATTTTAATATGCCTAATTTAAGATTTTTATATAGCTTAACTAGAACACAGCCAGGCATGGTGGCTCACGCCTGTAATCCCAATACTTTGGGAGGCTGAGGCAAATGGATTGCTTGAGCCCAAGAGTTTGAATTAGCTGGGTGTGATGGTGCACACCTGTGGTCTCAGATACTCCAGAGGCTCAGGTGGGAGGATCCCCTGAGCCCAGGGAGGTCAAGGCTGCGGTCAGCCATGATCATGGTCATGTCACTGCATTCCAGCCTGAGACAGCCCTGACTCAAGATTCTCAAAACAAAAACGAGAACACAACCAGTGTTTGAAGCTCCCTGCGGCCCTTGCCTCATTTCCTTCCACTCCTAGAGCTAACTGCAACCTTTGCCTCCCGGGCTCAGGTGATCCTCCCACCTCAGCCTCCTGAGTAGCTGGGACCAGAGGCATGAGCCACCATGCCTGGCCTGTTTATTTATTTATTTAGAGAGATGGAGTCTCGCTCTGTCGCCCAGGCTGGAGTGCAGTGGCGCAATCTTGGCTCACTGCAAGCTCCGCCTCCCAGGTTCACACCATTTTCCTACCTCAGCCTCCCAAGTAGCTGGGACTACAGGTGCCCACCACCATGCCCAGCTAATTTTTTGTATTTTTAATAGAGACGGGGTTTCACTGTGTTAGCCAGGATGGTCTCAATCTCCTGACCTCATGATCCGCCCGCCTCGGCCTCCTACAGTGCTGGGATTACAGATGGGAGCCACTGCCCCTGGCCCCCCGTTTTTTTTGTTTTGTTGTTGTTGTTGTTTTCAATTTTTAGAGTCAAGGTTTTGCTCTATTACTCGGGCTGGAGTGCAGTGGTGTGATCGTAGCTCACTGCTGCCTTGAATACCCAGGCTCAGGTGATCTCCTGCCTCGTGAGTTGCTGGGATCCCACTCTCTGTTTTTTGTTTTTTTTTTTTTTTTTTTCCACTGTGTGGTTCTTGAAAAAGGATGCAGAAGGTATAAATCAAGCTAAAAATCAAATTTTGTGATAAGATCTCATGCGGGTCCCCTGCAAACTTGCCACTGGATAGTAGCCAAATGGAGGGTCCCTTGAAGCCCAAGCCAAATGGCCCTGCTGTGGCCACGCCCCCACCCGCCCCCTGCTTCCTCTGGGTCAGCCCCAACTTGTAGTCCAGTCCTCCCAGTTCCTCCGCTTCTCTGAGTATAACTTGAGCTGACTTGTGGTGCATTCCAGCTACCTGACTTACATCAAGCTATCAACGGCAATCAAGCGTAATGAGAACATGGCCAAAGGTCTGCAGAGGGCTCTGCTGCAGCAGCAGCCAGAGGATGACAGCAAGCGCTCACCCCGGCCCCAGGACCTGATCCGACTCTATGACATCATCTTACAGGTGACCCTTGAGGACCGGGAAGGCAAGGGCCTGTGGTTTTCCTTTGCCTGTGTCGGACACAAAGTGACTTAACTTTGTATCACGGAAGGGCTGTGACAAGCAGGACCTATTAGTAGCTGGGAAGAGACAAAGATCTTACACCAGTTCTGCAGTCTGTGAGCCCCTACCTCTCAGACATGCTGATCTGCAGAGAATAGTGACCCCAGATCATCACTGAGCACTTGACCTGTGTAAGACGCTCCCAGGTGCCATAGAGCATCTGAGACCTGAGTCCATGCCATCTCGGCCCCCAGGGAGTTTGTCAGTCAGTAGGACTGTGAGACACACACAGTCAAGGCATCTGAGTAGATGCTAAGCAAAATAAAAGCTCAGCGCTGGAACAGATCCCTTCCAGCTAAGATGGGCCAAGAAGTCTCTGAAGGTGGGTGAGCTGAGTTGAGTTGTAAAGGGCAAATATGTTTCCAAGATCAGAGGGGAGTGGAGGTGACAGCAGGTGTGGCTGCTGCCCAATCTCTTCACAGGCTTTTCCCCATCGTATTGACCTCGGGCTTTTTTTTTTCCTCACTCTTGTCCGTTCTTACAAGGTCTTCTGTCAAAAATTCAACCTAAGATCTACTCTTCATGAATTTTCTTGTTGCATCTGTTGTACAGAATCTGGTGGAATTGCTCCAGCTTCCTGGTTTAGAGGAAGACAAAGCCTTCCAGAAAGAGATAGGCCTCAAGACTCTGGTGTTCAAAGCTTACAGGTAACGTCCCATGGGATGGGCAGTTTTCCTCCGCCTCCCAGGTTCTATAAGCATTGGGAGCATGACCCAGCCCACAGCAGATGGGACCGTTGGCCTTGAGTGTATGGTTACCTTGCCTGTGATCAGAGGAAGGTCAGCCCAGCATGTTCAAGGGGAGTTTCTAAAGGCTGTGGTCAGTAGTGGCCAGTGATGATGTCTGCCTTTTGGCCAGGTCGGAGGAGTGGAGCACACACGTTAAACTTGGCTTCCTCGCTGGGCGCGGTGGCTCACACTTGTCATCCCAGAACTTTGGGAGGCTGAGGCAGGTGGATCACCTGAGGTCGGGAGTTCGAGACCAGCCTGACCAACATGGAGAAACTCCGTCTCTATTAAAAATACAAAATTAGCCAGGCATGGTGGTGCATGCCTGTAAACCCAGCTCCTTGGGAGCCTGAGGCAGGAGAATCGCTTGAACCCGGGAGGCTCACCGCAACTTGGCGGTGAGCCAAGATCGCACCATTGCACTCCAGCCTGGGAGACAAGAGCGAAACTCCATCTCAAAAAAAACAAAAACACTTGTCTTCCTGTACTTTCCTCCTCCCTTCCAGGGGAAAAGGGGCACGCCTTGAAAGGGTGTTAATTAGCAGAACCAGTGTGGCCAGTTCAAGGAACTTGAACTGACTTGGGATAAAGCTAAACTCAGTTTCTTAAATGACTTGTGTCATTTGTAACTTGGAAGTGGGCTGGGTAGCACGATGGGGCCCAGCCAGGATGGAAGGCAGAGCCCCATGCATTCTTGCCCTTCCTCTTGTGGCCCTCACATGCCAGTGTGCTCTGGTGCTCCAGCATGCCCCGTCTTCACTCCATGGCCCCTTCTGTCCTGTCAGGGACCAGCAGCGCTCAGGCTCTGCTGAGCCCAGGAGAGGAATTTGACTCAGGAAGAACCTTCTGTGAGTTTTGTTTTTGGAAAGCGATGAGCAGAGATGAATGATTGCGACTTGGGTGTGTGGATGGGTTTGGGATTTCTATTTGAGCCGGGCAGCGTTCTTCCTTCCTTCCTGTCCCCAGCCTCACCATGCTCCTTTTGGGAACTGTTCCTCCTCTGCAGAGTCAGCCAGTCAGTAAAAAACCGTGGCTCAGTGTTGGGCCTACCTGGGCATCTCTGATTGCTGGGAAGCATCTCTGCAGGGTAGCCTACAAATCTGAACACTTCCCATGAAGGGGGCTCCCATGCGGTGATCCCACGTTAAGAAACCTGTTTCCAAATGTGAAATTTCGCCTAAACTGCAAGGAAAGCCTTGGTCTTGGGTAATTGCTGCTTTAGAATATTGTGGCTCTTTTCCCTCCCCATCAGGTGTTTTTTCATTGCTCAGTCCTATGTGCTGGTGAAGAAGTGGAGCGAAGCCCTTGTCCTGTATGACAGAGTCCTGAAATATGCAAATGAAGTAAATTCTGATGCTGGCGCCTTCAAGAACAGCCTAAAGGTGAGAGGTTGGCCTCTCCTTGTTTGCAAGCCCTGGCAGGTTATGGAGTCAGCTGTGGAGGAGCTGTGAGGGTACAACAGCTGGGCGCCACCTCAGGCTGGTCCTCCCTGGCTGCCCGTGGGACCTGGTGTAGCCCTGACTGCCCAGGAGCTGCAGGCTGTGTCACTCATGGCTGTGCTCCAGGCCTGAGGAGGATTTAGGTATGAAGAAGGGAAGGCATTTTTCTGATTTAAAAGAAACAAAAACCACCACAGGAAAACCTGAAGTACTGCTCTCAGACTTGACTGCACGTTGAAATCTCTTAGGAAGATTTTTTTCAAGGTAGATGTCTGGGTCGCACCCCCAGAGATTGTGGTTCTAATCAGTGTGAGGGATCTGAAGTGGGCATTGGGACTTAGAAAGGCCCCTTAGTGATTCTGACATGCAACCAAGTGAGAAGCACTGGTGAAGCTGTCCTGCAGGGCATGCGCAAGACCAGCAGCAGCGGCGGGGCCTCACTAGGAATGCAGCCTCTCAGCTCCCACCCGGAACCTTCTGCTTGTTTTCTTTCTTTCTGTCTTTCTTGAGACAGGGTCTCGCTCTGTCACCCAGGCTGGAATGCAAGTAGCACCATCATAGTTCACTGCAGCCTCGAACTCCTGGGCTCAAGTGACCCTCCCACCTCAGCCTCCTGAGTAGCTGGGACTACAGGCATGAGCCACCATACCAGGCCAATTTTTATTTTTTTGTAGAGATGGGGGTCTCACTATGTTGCCCAGGCTGGCCTTGAACTCATGGCCTCGAACTCCTGGCCTCAAGCAGTCCTCCTGCCTCTGCCTCCCAAAACCTTGAGATTGGAGGCATGAGCCACCATGCTGGCCAATATCTGCATTTTAACAAGATCCCCAGGCCATTTGGGGGTCTGTTAAAGCTAAGGAAATGCTTGATCTAAAGTACAGCCACAGGGCTGGATGCAGTGGCTCATGCCTGTAATCCCAGCAGTTTGGGAAGCTGAGGTGGGCAGATCACTTGAGGTAAGGAGTTCGAGACCAGCCTGGGCAACATGGCGAAACTCTGTCTCTACAAAAATAGAAAAAAATAGCCAGGTGTGGTGGTGCACACCTGTAATCCCAGCTACTTGAGAAGCTGAGGCAGGAGAATCACTTGAATCTGGGAGGCAGAGGTTGCAGTGAGCCAAGATCAAGCCACTGCACTCCAGCCTGAGTGACAGAGCAAGACTCCATCTCAAAATAAATAAATAAAGTGCAGCCATGGAAGGCTTTCTTTGCTTTACTTTTTTTTTTTTTTTTTTTTAAGATGGAGTCTCTGTCTCCTAGGCTAGAGTGCAGTGGCACGATCTCGGCTTGTGCCACCAAGCCCAGCTAATTTTTGTATTTTTAGTAGAGGGTTTCACCATGTTGGCCAGGCTGGTTTCAAACTCCTGACTTCAAGTGATCAAGCCTCTTGATCCGCTGACCTCAGCCTCCCAAAGTGCTAGGATTACAGGCGTGAGCCACTACTCCCGGTGCTTTACTGATTATTGAACGATAACTAGCTTCTTAAGCTTGTGGCGTGCTGTGATGGTATAGAACTTGTTGCAACATCAGCTGGTCTAAGGAATCCATGTATATTTGACAAGTAGAGACCATTTAGAAAAGCAAGCAGGGGCCGGGCACCGTGGCTCACGCCTGTAATCCCAGCACTGTGGGAGGCCGAGGCGGGCAGATCACGAGGTCAGGAGATCGAGACCATCCTGGCCAACATAGTGAAACCCCACCTCTACTAAAAATACAAAAAAATTAGCCGGGCATGGTGGCAGGCGCCTGTGGTCCCAGCTACTCGGGAGGCTGAGGCAGGAGAATGGCGTGAACGCGGGAGGCGGAGCTTGCAGTGAGCCAAGATCACGCCCCTGGGCGGCAACAGAGTGAGACTCCGTCTCAAAAAAAGAAAAAAAAAAGCAAGCAAAGGTTCCTGTCGTTGATGGAGTCACGCCAGCCAGTGTAGGAGCTGCTGGATCCCGTGCAAGCTCAGAGGGGTAGAGAAGAAGCTCTCTGCCTTCAGAGAGCTTGTAGTTTTGTTGTAGCCACAGACTGGCATGCAGGAGCCCACCTATGGATGCAGAAGAAATAAAAGAGACCCCAAGCAAAGGCAGAGCTAGAAAACAGCACAGGGATGTGGGCAGGTGGGAGTGACAGGCATGGCAGCGTCACCACCATGGAATATCATCTTGGGACGCGGGGCAAACCAGTGTGGACCTGATTTCATGTGCTGAATTGTTTTGTGGGGGAAGTGTCAGAATGGAGGCATGAAGGATTCTGTGGCATCCAGACCTTCTCAGGTCATTCCCAATATGCCAAGCAAGAGACCGAGGCCAGGAAAATTCATCACCCTCGTTGAAGCAGTGGGATGTAACGACTAAGGGCTTATGCCCTTGAGCCAGATGGCCCAGCCCTTTACCCCAGCCCGCTGCCACTTGGGCGCATGGCTGGCACATTGCTTAACCTCTCCATGCTTCCATTTTCTCATCTGTAAAATGGGAGTGCAAACTGCCTCAGGATTATTGAGAAGGTTAAGCTAGTGATTATGTAACCTGCTTAGAACAATGCCTGGCACACTGTTTAGTGTATGATAAATTTATTAATATTAACATCATCTTTATTTCCAGGCATTATTACTTAAGCCGTGGCATAGCTTTTCCCATTTGAAACAGGCTAGTGTTTTGCTTTGTTTTGTTTTGTTCTAATAGTGAGAACCGTTTAGAAAGTCTAAAGTCCTGTGAAAATACCAGTGGGGTCGGTTAACTCGGGTTAGCTTGGTGTGCTTCTCTGACCTGGCCCTGGCTCGGGAGTACACGTTTTCTGAATCTTACAGGACCTGCCTGATGTGCAAGAGCTCATCACTCAAGTGCGGTCAGAGAAGTGCTCCCTGCAGGCCGCAGCCATCCTTGGTGAGCCCCCTGCCTGGCCTTTGTATCCCCAGACTTCCCTTCCTGCCACTCCCCTTCTCTGTCACACCCCATACTACTGTTTTAAGGTTGAAAGGGTTGTCTTGGTTCATCTGTAAGATGTTCCTGGCCTTTACTTGTGCCAGCTGGGCATCAGATTGTGTAGAAGCATTTCGAGTGCACTGTTACACTGGCCCTTCTCCCTGTTACTGTCCTCATGCAACTGTGCTGGCTTCACTGGGCCGACGGCATTGGATCTGGGATTGATCTGTTTATCTCCACCACTTCTCAGCAGGAGACAGGCCTGGCTTCCCCACATGCTGGCTCCTTTTGCTTTTGGGATGTAGGGGCCACCTGTGTGATAGGCCTCATTTGTGATTAGTGTGCTATTATAAATCCTTGTTCTTACTGAATCCCTGTGAAACTTTCAGATGCAAACGACGCTCATCAAACAGAGACCTCCTCCTCCCAAGTCAAGGACAATAAGGTAAGTCTGGGCCATGGTTTTTGAGGAATACGAAGCAGGATTAGTAACAAACTAGGAATGCATGCTCATTATAGAGCAGTGGACCCTAAATTTCTAAGGAAACCCCCCACCTCCCTCCCTTCTCTTACCCAACCTCAAAGCTTCTTGCATAAAGCTTCCTAGATGTCAGATCATCCCTGGGAAGAGGGTTGAGGAACCTGTTGCTGTAAAGAGTAGCACCCGTGGGTAAGAGCTCTAACTCGTAACATGGCCAACAGGCCTGCACCCCAGTCCTAGCCTGCCACTCTCTTAGCCTCTCTGGGTTTCAGTGACTTTGACTACAAGGCAGGGATGTGGTAGCCCCTCCTCGTAGGAGGCTGTCGGGATTGAGTGATTGAGTGAGATGGCCCCTGTAAAGCTCTGAACCAGGCAGTCGGCACTCAGGAATGTTCACCAAGGGTGTTCTGTGACCGATGCTACATACGTCTCTTTGATTTGACTTCCAGCCTCTGGTTGAACGGTTTGAGACATTCTGCCTGGACCCTTCCCTTGTCACCAAGCAAGCCAACCTTGTGCACTTCCCACCAGGCTTCCAGCCCATTCCCTGCAAGCCTTTGTTCTTTGACCTGGCCCTCAACCATGTGGCTTTCCCACCCCTTGAGGACAAGTTGGAACAGAAGACCAAGAGTGGCCTCACTGGATACATCAAGGGCATCTTTGGATTCAGGAGCTAACCAGGCTCTTCCTCGGGGGCGGGGGAGATTCTGACTCTTAATCTGTATTGTGAGAAAATCCCAGCAAGTTCCATGATATTAAATCCAGGTCTGCATTGGCCCGGGGCAAGAGTTTAACATCTTCGGCCCTGCATTCCTACATCTTGTGTCTGTACACGTTCTTAAGCAGCGTGTCAGGAGAGCACCCTGTTGTCTTCTGGTAAATGTGTGCAGGGTCATCCTGTCTCCTGTACCTCCTGGGAAAGGGGCCGCTGCTGTCTGGTGCCCTGTGAGCTGTGATTGATTGCCTTTGGTCAGTAATGCGTTCAGGAGTCCACACCAGGCACAGATGGGGCCTTGAAACGCTTTGTCATGCTTCTTCAGTACCATGGATTTGAAATGAACTCATCCTTGCTGTGAGCATCCAGGAGCCCTTGAGAAGTTTATCTATGACTATGAAACTGGCAACGTCACCCCAGAATTACGGTCAGCCTTATTCCCCTTCACCTCCCAGTGAACGCTAAGAAGTTTCAGACAAGCAGAGAGCTCTATTTTTAGAAGAAATATGTTACACTCAGAAATGATGAAACCAAATCTTATATTAAAAGGCAAAGATGACGGAGACTGTGCCCATTTCTTATATGCCCTCCCTCATGTCCAGTCCCCGTTCTCTCCTCGGGAGCCTAGTTGCGTGAAGCCGGTGAGGTCAAGTGTAACCTGACTTACCGGCAACTAGGTGAGGCTGATGCCAGATACACATGTTAGAGGCACTATTTTTCAGGACTTCCCAATGTGTAATTTTTAGATGCCATTATATTTTAATCCCCTTCGTTACCCCCCGTTTTTCCTTAGTCATCCCTTTTCACTTCTATTATAACATCAATAATAGAAGTCACAAAAACAATGTAAGAAAGCAAGGAATAAAAGTGATTTAAACATGTACCTGACACTTAACGATTCCCTTTGGAAATCAAAACTCATCTGTCACATAGGAAAGAAAATTCGTCACAAGAAATGTTGGCTTAGATGTTTTCCGTTTTTGAGCAAACCCAGTGGCTTGAAGAAAAGGCTGACTGGTTAAAAATCCAAGAGCATTGTTTCAGGATGGCATTGTAACCCCCCGAGGGTTCTTGCCCGCTGCCCAGATGGAGTTGATTCATGGAAACAGGAATTGCAATAGAGAGTTTAGTTCACACACAGCCGTCTAAACAGGAGACTGGAGTTTATTACTCACATTGGTCTCCCTGAAAATTCAGAGACTGGGAATTTTAAGGATAATTTGGTGGGTAGGGGGTCAGGAAATGGGGAGTGCTGATTGGTCAGGTTGGAGATGAAGTCATAGGGAGTTGGAGATGAAGTCAGGGAGTTGGAGATGAAGTCATAGGGAGTTGAAGCTGGCCTCTTGTGCTGAGTCGGTTTCCTGGGTGGGGGCTACAAGACCAGATGAGCCAGTTTGGATGGATGGTGCCAGCTGATCCATAAAGTGCAGGGTCTGAAAAATATCTCGAGCACCATTCTTAGGTTTTACAACAGTGATGTCATCCCTAGGAGCAACTGGGAAGGTTCAGAATCTTGGGCCTCTGGCTGCATGACTCCTAAACCATAATTTCAATTTTTGTGGCTAATTCGTTAGTCCTACAAAGGCAGTCTGGGCCCCAGGCAAGAAGGGGGTTTATTTCCGGAAAGTGCTGTTACCATCTTTGTTTCAAAGTTAAACAGTAAACTGTAAGCTTCTCCCAAAGTGAGTTCGGCTTATTCCCAGGAATGAACAAGGACAGCTTGGAGGTTAGAAGCAAGATGGAGTGGGTTAGGCTAGACCTTTTTCACTCTAATAATCTCACCGTTAGAATTTTTGTAAAGGTGGTTTTAGAATGCCACTGTGGGCTTGGCTGTGCCTTTTGTTTTCCCAGTAAGTTGCAGGGAGGGAAGGCTATAAGAGCTAGAAAGGATGGTGAGACACAAATCAGGCTTCTTGTTAGAATTGTGTTGTGGCTTAGAACCTTGAGATGCTCGCAGAGAGGCCCTGATCCCCCGGGGTTTGTTTTGGGTTGGAGAGCCTCAGGAAGCTGGGGTTTTTTTTTTTAATTGAAAGTTTCATCATCTATGCCATATAAATTTAGGACTATCCTCACCCCTTCTGAAAATATAGCACAGATAGGCTGGACACAGTGGCTTACGCCTGTAATCCCAGCACTTTGAGAGGCCAAGGCAGGCAGATCACTTGAGGCCAGAAGTTCGAGACCAGCCTGGGCAACATGGTGAGACCTTGTCTCTACCAAAAAAACTTTTTTAAAAGAAAAATATATATAGCACAGATGACTGGTCTCAGGTTGAGGTCCTGGGTTTTGATCAGGTCAGCGTCCCTGCGGGCTGAGGAACCACGATTTGGGGGTTAGGGGGTCTTCATCCATGTCCTCATCCTCCTCCCAGGGCCATGGGCCAAGATTCTGCACCTCCCTTGTCTCGTCTCTGTGCTGACAGCCACGCTGTCCTCCAGCTCCAAGAACCCAATTGCAGGCCCTGCTGTGCTGCAGTCTCAGGCCGTTGCCTGCAGCATCGTGAGGGGGACGGGCATGGGGAACCGCTCATCCTCCTGGAAGATGTCCCTTTGTCCTTCCCACAGCCCTCCCAGCCCCTCCCACTCTAGAGTGCTGGCCTCAGTGGGGACCCAGGACCTATAAACTAGAGATGGAGGCGAATCCCAACTGCACCTTTTCCTTCTCAGGTTGCCTAATGCTTTGTCTCGCGGCCACACTACAAATTCCATTCCTCCCGGTGCTCCTGCCAGGCGCTCTGAGCAGCATTGGCTGTTAACGGCCAGTGATGCTGTTTAGTATTAAAAGCAGGTGTTTACATAAGAAGACAGATCTGGCAGGGCCAAGGTCTCCGGCGAGCTTGCACATCCCTTCACATGGGATTCCTGGACATTAAGCAGGCTGTGTCGTGGGGGACAGAGCGCCAGATGCAGGACCCCCTCCTGTCCTCAGGCCCTGGGAAGTGGCTCTGCCTCTGATGGGAGCAGGTTTCAAGTCAGGCCCTCACTGCCCCTGGGCCCTGCAGGCTGTTCGCTGGGGGTTTTCACAAAAAGACACTTCGGAGGCCACACAGTCCTGCCTTCCCACGGGGCAGGACATGCAGATGAGGCCCCGGGGGCCGCGAATGGGTCTGTTCCAAGTGGGTGTTCCCGTGTTGTGCTGGCTCCAGTCCCTCCTCCAGGATGGACTCTGGTGCTGTCAGCAAGCTCTGACCCTGGAGGAGGCTTCTGTCTCCAACATCAAGAGAGGACGAAGAGAGCTCCATTCAGTCCCCTTATACTTTTATTTATTTATTTATTTAGAGACAGTCTCACTCTTGTCACCCAGGCTGGAGTGCAGTGGCACGATCTCAGCTCACTGCAGCCTCCGCCTCCCAGGTTCAAGCGATTCTCCTGCCTCAATCTCCCAAGTAGCTGGGACTACAGGTGCGTGCCATCATGCCCAGCTAATATTTGTATTTTTAGTAGAGGCGGAGTTTCACCGTGTTGGGCAGGCTGGTCTCGAACTCCTGGCCTCAAGTGATCCACCTGCCTCGACCTCCCAAAGTGCTGGGATTACAGGCATGAGTCACCACGCCTGGCCCGGTCTCATACTTTTAAAGCCTGCCCTAGGTCTGCTGTGGATGTGGTCGTGGTCGTGGTTTCTGTCCTTTTTTTTTTTTTTTTTTTTTTTTTTTGAGATGGAGTCTCGCTCTGTCGCCTAGGCTGGAGTGCAGTGGTGTAATCTCGGCTCACTCCACCTCCCAGGTTCAAGCAATTCTCCTGCCTCAGCCTCCCGAGTAGCTGGGATTACAGGTGGCCACCACCACGCCCAGCTAATTTTTGTATTTTTAGTAGAGATGGGGATTTCACCATTTTGGCCAGGTTGGTCTCAAACTCCTGACCTCATGATCTACCCGCCTCAGCCTCCCAAAGTGCTGGGATTACAGGCATGAGCCACCGCACCTGGGCTTTTCTTTTTTTGAGATGGAGTCTGACACTGTCGCCCGGGCTGGAGAGCAGTGGTGTGATCTTGGCTGACTGCAACCTCCGCCTCCCATTCAAGCGATTCTCCTGCCTCAGCCTTCCGAGTAGCTGGGATTACAGACATGCGCCACCACGCCTAGCTAATTTTTTGTATTTTTAGTAGAGATGGGGTTTTACTCTATTGGCCAGGTTGGTCTCAAATGCCTGACCTCGTGATCCACCCGCCTCAGCCTCCCAAGGTGCTGGGATTACAGGCGTCAGCCACCACGCCTGGCCTATGTGATCATAGTTTCTATTCTCTGTTCCAGGCAAGCCCCACCAGGCCTGCTGGGTGAGGGTCAGGAGCACGAGGTGGCTGAGGATGGCACTGGCCTTTGCTGCTGGGTCTCCTGGCCTGTTCCTCTCTTCCCGAATGTTGTTTGGATTTGCTGTCTCCTCTCTGGTTTTACATTAAATCAGTGAGAACTCTTGGATTCCCTCTTTGAAATGAAACGGTGCTGGGCTTGGTTCCGACCCCTTCCCCTGGTGGCAACCTGAGCCTGTCACCACAAGCACAAGGTGACAGCCTGTGATGACAGGCCATCCTCAACCCATAGCGGCTCTGGGCCAGAGCCAGGACTTTCCTCCCAAAAGCTGAGGCAGAGGCTTCACCCCCTCTAGGAGAGGAAGGCCAACGCCAGGGGCTTTGAGGGTGGGACTGTGCTCTGTTCACTGTCATCGCTGTGGCAGCGCTAATTTTTCACATACGAGGTGTCGTTAGTCACACACAAAAAAGCCAACTGATCACAGAATTCTAAACAGCACAATTCTGTCTGCAGCCTTGAAAAGCCTGGGACATTTAGAGGTCTAGGAAAATATCCAAAGATAGCAAAAATATGTGTTGGTTCTAATTTTTTGTTTGAAGACAGTTGTTGCTACAGAGGAGATGGAAAGCAGATTTAGCTGTAAAATTTATCGATGTTCCAAAGCAAAGAGAATAAATTGGAAATTGCCTGCATCCTGACAACACCAACTGGAAGAATCCAACCTGTTATTCTGTTAGATGTTAGAGACACTTGGGAGGAGGACCTGGGAGGGGCTGTGGCTGGGGGCACCGCCCAGGGCCAGCTGGGGTGGCAGGCTGTGCGGGTTGCACACAGTAGATAGGCCCTGGCCTCTGGGTCCACCCTCTGCTCTGAGCACCATCTGGCACAGAGTGAGGGGCTCTACAAGCATCCAGTAGAAGTATTATTATTATTATTATTCCAAGATGAGGTTTCACTCTTGTTGCCCACACTGGAGTGCAATGGCACGATCTCAGCTTACTGCAACCTCTGCCTCCCGGGTTCAAGTGATTCTCCTGCCTCAGCCTCCTGAGTAGCTGGGATTACAGGCATGTGCCACCATGCTCAGCTAATTTTTGTATTTTTAGTAGAGACGAGGTTTCACCAAGTTGGATAGGCTGGTCTCGAACTCCTGACCTCAGGTGATCCGCAGCTTCGGCCCCCCAAAGTGCTTCCCCAGGGATCTTCTGACCTAGCAATCCAGCTATGACGGGCAGGTACCTGGGCCAGTGAAAGCTGAGTAACGTTAGCTGCGGCTCATCTGTGGAATGGAGACAGACGTGGCTGTGCAAAGGCCTCACCAGGCAGTGCCTCCCATGCTGCCTAAGAAGAGGTGTGAGGCAGAGAGAGCAGGTGCCCAGGGTCCTCCGAGCTCCTGGATCCCTGCCCCACACTGACTAGTCCATTGCCTCTGAGCACACTCCAGCTCCTGTACAACAGGGGCGGCTGCGTCTCAAAGTTGCTGGGAGGAGACAGTGAGGAGGTTCCCCCAAAATGTTCTGAGCCCAGACCCCAAGACAGTGTGGGCTGCTGTACCCTGAGTCGATGGGTACACATAGCTGAGAGAGCCTTCCACTCAGCCAGCCTGCGTCCTTGTCTTCCCCTTCCCAGGAAGTCCTCCTAAGTCTATGCAATGCCATTCAGACAATAGTTTGGGTCTGACTAGCTGCTGTCTGTGCTGGGTGGTTTAACCTCCCCTTTCCAGCTTCCTGACAATAGAGACAAATCAGGCAGCTATGAGAACTTCTTGTTCCTTCGTTTTCATGTTTGTCTGTTTTATAAACCTTTTTCTCCCTCTGAACAGTGAACAGTGCCAGATGCCACCAGACCCCTGCTGCTGTGGTGCAGCCGGTGGGACATTTTCTCAAGCGGCAACGCAGGTCATTATCTTGGCATGGACAGTTAGCTGGCTGCCTCCGTCACATCCGCACTTCTCCAAAATAGGGCTGCAGGTCCCCGGACCTAGCTAGTAAGGACAGCTATTATCTTAAAGGTGGCAGAGAGGCCCAGAGCCCTTGGGCCTACCAGTTCCTGAGTAAGACTGGCTGGGCTGCAGACTTCTGGAATGCAGGGATGGCTCATGCACGAGATGGCTGCAGGGGCTGGGGAGTGGGCTGCACCAGCATCAGTCCTACAGCTGAACTGGGGCTGGTGCTGTGGGTCCCCTTTCTCCCAGGGAAAGGGGATGGTTCAGAGGGAGGGACAGATACCCTAAGGCAGCCTTGGTTTTGAGGATTCCAGGGGTTCCCTCTATGTTCTCTTTCTTGCCATTTAGTATGAGGAATCCTGCCTGCTCTCTTAACACACACAAGATTTGGTTGTTTTCTGTTTTTTGGAGTTTTGGTAGTTGCTTCCTCTAAACCTTCCCCGTAAAAGTCCCAAAAGGAATCACTAGCACCTGTTCCTCCCCACTCTTGTCTGGTTAGGCAAGCTGTACCACCTTTTGCTTCTCTCTAGGCTGACCTTGGCATTTCAGTTCTTTTTATCGGACTTGCCAGGCAGACTCACAGCCAAAAGAGCCTCCTCCTGGTGGCCCTGCAGATTCCTGGGCCACAGCCTCTACCCGCCAATCCTATACCTGTAGACAACGGAAGGAGGCTGGTCCCTTGAACCCCCAGTCCGCCAGACTGTGCTCCTCTAGGCCCAGCTGGAGGAGGGTGCCTCTGCTTTGCTCAGTGGGCGAAGGGAGTGAAGGGAAGAGGTCATTACTCAACTTCGGTCCAAGGGTCTGGCAGCGGAGCTTTTGTACAAACAGGGCAATTTCCTGAGACGGCAAAGCCTCGCCTCATCAGGAACACATGGGCGCCTGGTAGCTTACGGCTCCCGGGACAAAGGAGGCAATTACCACCATCTGCCTCAGCAGGGAGAAGAATGCCTCCCCACAGGAGCCCGGAGCTGGAGGAGAGAGTGGGCACCAGAGGGCTTAACTGCTGGCACACATGCCAAGTGGCCACCCTGTGGCCGGGCTGCACATATGCCCAGCTGTGTCTGGCAGTCTTGGAGCCGAGAGTCTCACTGTTCTTGGTCTGATCAAGCCTCTTGCTCAGGTCCCAGGCCAGGTGAGCTGCCAGCTGCCCACATCAGCGTGGCGCTCCAGGCGCAAGGAGTGAGTAAGCTGCCGCGCAAAGTCATGGCTGGCAGAGGGTTGAGCAGCCCCAGGGATCGTTTCATCTCTAACCTCTCAATCCACCAAGGAGCAAGCCAGGGCCAGGTGAGAGGAAGGACTCACCAGGCCCTTCAAGGTGGGGAGATGCTATCTTTGCATGCATGCCTTTAAAAAAATTTTTTTTTGGTTTTTTTTTTTTTTTGAGCCGGAGTCTCGCTCCGTCACCCAGGCTGGAGTGCAGTGATGCGATCTCGGTTCACTGCAACTTCCACCTCCCAGGTTCAAGCGATTCTCCTGCCTCAGCCTCCTGAGTAGCTGGGATTACAGGTGTGCGCCACCACGCCCAGCTAATTTTTGTGTTTTTAGTAGAGATGAGGTTTCACCATATTGGTCAGGATGGTCTCGAACTCTTGACCTCGTGATCCACCCACCTTGGCCTCCCAAAGTGCTGGGATTATAAGCATGAGCCACCATGCCTGGCCAAAAAACATTTTTTTTTTTTTTTGGAGATGGAGTCTCACTTCTGTCATCCAGGCTGGAGTGCAGTGACTCAATCTCGGCTCACTGCAACCTCCCTCCACCTCCTGGGTTCATGCCATTCTCCTGCCTCAGCCTCCCGAGTAGCTGGGACCACAGGCACCCGCCACGATGCCTGGCTAATTTTTTTGTTTTTGTAGTTTTAGTAGAGACGGGATTTTGGTTTTTTTTTGAGACGAAGTCTCACTCTGTCACCCACGTCACCCAGGATGGAATGTAGTGGCGCAATTTTGACTCACCTCCACCTACTGGGTTCAAGCAATTCTACTGCCTCAGCCTCCCAGGTAGCTGGGATTACAGGCACCCACCACAACGCCTGGCTAATTTTTGTATTTTTAGTAGAAATGGGGTTTCACCATGTTGGCCAGGCTGGTCTCGAACTCCTGACTTCAAGTGATCCGCCCTCCTCGGCCTCCCAAAGTGCTGGGATTACAAGCGTGAGCCACTGCCCGGCCAAAAAAAAAAAAAAAAAAATATATATATATATATATATATATATATATATTTTTTTTTTTTTTTTTTTTTTTGAGGTGGAGTTTCGCTCTTGTGCAATGGCGCGATCTCGGCTCACCGCAACCTCCACCTCCTGGGTTCAAGCAATTCTCCTGCCTCAGCCTCACAAGTAGCTGGGATTACAGGCATGTGCCACCACGCCCATGCCTGGTTTTGTTATTTTGTATTTTTAGTAGAGACGGGGTTTCTCCATGTTGGTCAGGCTGGTCTCAAACTCCTGACCTCAGGTGATCTGCCCGCCTTGGCCTCCCAAAGTGCTGGGATTACAGGCATGAGCCACCCCACCTCGCCAAAAGAAAGTTTTTTTTAACTGCAAGCAAAGAGACATGGCAGAAGCCAGGGCTTAGGAGGGTTGAAGGTTGGGGCATCCTATCTAACTTCCAGGCCAGAGCTGTCTGAAGGAATCCTGATGAGCCCCAAATGCAAGCTTCATTTGTCACTTTAAATTTATCAGTAGCCACATTTTAAAGAGTAAAAAGCAACAGGTCAAAATTTAAAATATGCCTGTAACCCCGGATCATGAGGTCAGGAGTTCGAGATCAGCCTGACCAACATGGTGAAACCTCATCTCTACTAAAAATACAAAAATTAGCCGGGTGTGGTGGCGCGCGCCTGTAGTCCCAGCTACTCGGGAGGCTGAAGTAGGAGAATCACTTGAACCTGGGAGGTGGAGGTTGCAGTGGGCCGAGATTGTGCCACTGCACTCCAGCCTGGGCGACAGAGCAAGACTCTGTCTCAAAAAGAAAAAAACTAAAACTAAAAATACATTTCATTTAATTCAACATATCCAAAATATTTCAATATGTAATCAATAGAAAAATTAATGAGATGCTTTACATTCTTTTTTTCTTTTTTTTTTTTTTTTTTTAGATCGAGTTTCGCTCTGTCTCCTATGCTGGAGTGCAGTGGCGCGATCTCGGCTCACTGCAATCTCCGCCTCCAAGATTCAAGTGATTCTTCTGCCTCAGCCTCCCGAGTAGCTGGGATTACAGGCACGCGCCACTACGCCCAGCTAATTTTTGTATTTTTAGTAGAGACGAGGTTTCACCATGTTGGTCAGGCTGGTCTTGAACTCCTGACCTCGTGATCCGCCCACCTTGGCCCCCCAAAGTGCTGGGATTACAGGCATGAGCCACCGCAGCTGGTCGTTTTACATTCTTTTTCCATAGTACGTCTTTGAAATCTGGTGTGAATTTTGCACATATAACACATCTCACTTCGGTCCGGGCACCTTCAAATGCGCTACAGCCACACACAGCAGGAGTTGTGGTTGCAGAAACGGACGCTGAGGGTCTTGACCCAGGCAGTCAGCCCCATCTTGACCTTTTAGATAAAGGGCTCCTTTCTCTCCAAAGGGTGAGGCCAGAGGTGAAGCACAAAGACAGCCATGCCTCACTCTGTGTCCCTGTCCTTTCTCCTGTTTTCTTCTGGGGCCAGGGTTGCTGCCATCTGACAGGAGCATCCCACGTGAGAGGACGCCTCAGGACTCAGGGTGTTCCTGCCTGCCGCCTGGCAGCCCTTATCAGAGGAGCGGGGCCTGATTTGATCCAGCATGAGAAGATCACGCCAGGAAGTCAGCTCTTGTTTTTCTTGCAGTAAATCAGTTAGCCCTTAATCTCCGGGGCGTGTGAGGGCCCCCTGCAGTGCTCATTTCCTTCCTGGAGGGCTTCTGAAGAGGGGAGGAAGCTCGAGTGTTCCAGACCTCAGACTCGCTGCCCTCCGCCCAGGGCACCTCCCCCTGCACAGCTCAGGGGCCTCACCCGGCTGCTCTCTGTCTGGAGTCTGGACACCTCTCCCCAGGGCCCCACTTCCAATGACTGCCACCTCCCAGGGAGGGGCCAAGCTCAAAGGTGAAGCAGGCGGGCTCAGTGGCTGATGCCTGTAATCCCAGCACTTTGGGAGGCTGAGGTGGGCGAATCACCTGAGGTCAGGAGTTCGAGACCAGCCTGGCCAACGTGGTGAAACCCTGTCTCTACTAAAAATACAAAAAATTAGTCGCGCGTGGTGGCGGGCGCCTGTAATCCCAGCTACTCGGGAGGCTGAGACAGGAGAATCACTTGAACCTGGGAGGCAGGGGTTGCAGTGAGCCGAGATGGCGCCACTGCACTCCAGCCTGGGAGACAGAGCGAGACTCAGTCTCAAAAAAAAAAGAAAGAAAAGAAAAAGGCGAGTCAGGGAGGCCAGGGGTGAGGCTGGCGTTGGCCCCCGTAGTCATTCACACAAACGGCTCCTTTCTGAAGACAGCTGATTGCAGGTGTGCAATGAGTGGCTAGAAGACAAGTGTCACCAGGAATAAAGTGGGAGCAGGCTGGGGCAGAGGCTGAGTGGCCAGTCATCCCTGGTGCCATCTCACTCAAGACACGGGCTGGGAGCCAAGGACACTGGAGACCTCTTTGTTTCCTCATTGCTGTCAGGGGCTGCCACTGCCCTCCCCACCCCTACTGCCCCTGTCAGCTCCTCCACCTCTAGGAATGGGGGTGTCCTGCATCCCCTCTCCACGGCCGAGTTCAGGGACTTCCCATGAAATTCAGCCAAAAAGGGCGCAGGACTTTTCTATCCCATGGGGGCCTGAGGCCAGTATCAGGCGTCGGTCCCTGGTCTCCCCCGTCTGCTGGGATCTTTCTCTCCTGCCAGGCTGTGCTTTGTCCTCAGCGAGGCCTGCCAGGATGTCCAGGTGATGTCACCCAGTCAGTCTGTTCCATCCCCTGGCTCCCCCTCAAGCCCTCCTTCCACTAAAACCACGGGGGTTTCAGGAATGACCTGGAAAGCGACGCCACCCCGCAGAAGGGGCCTGTTACGCTGGGCCAGTGAAATGAGCGCCTGGAAAGGGGGGTGCCATCGCCTCTTTCTTGAAGACGCTCAGGGCCACCACAGAAGGAAAAGGCAGCAGCCCTGGTACCCAGTGTGAGGAAAAGACCAATAAGCTGGCATCACTGTCTGCCACTCAATCTGACTTCATAAAAGCCACCAGGGGCCATTTCTGGGTGGGGGAAGAGGCAGGTAGGAAAAGCCAAGTGCATCAGGCTCCCGGGCCTCAGCCAGAGCCCAGGCTTACTGGCGCCTGAAGCCAGCCCTGGTGCTGCTGCACTGTGCACACTTTATAAAATGGGGCCAGGCGTGGTGGCTCATGCCTGTGATCCCAGCATTTTGGGAGGCCGAGGCGGGTGGATCACTTGAGGTCAGGAGTTCGAGACCAGCCTGGCCAACATGGTGAAGCCCCTTCTCTGCTAAAAATACAAAAATTTTCTGGGCGTGGTGACGGGCACCTGTAATCCCAGCTACTCAGGAGGCTGAGGCAGGAGAATCGCTTGAACCCGGGAGGTAGAGGTTGCAGTGAGCCGAGATCATGCCATTGCACTCCAGCCTGGGTGACAGAGCGAGACTTTGTCTCTTAAAAAAAAAAAAAATGGACCTTGTGCCAGTTGTCTGGAGTGAACGTCCCCTGACTGCCCCATCATGTCAGTGGAGAACAGAGAGTCAGGCCCTGGGCTGGCAGGACACCCCCTCCTCTCCTGGGGGATTGAGAGCTGTGGGTGGGGGCCTGCCTGGCAGCAGGTCCTCTGAGCTGGCTGGAGGTGTTTATTAATCCTGAGCTCCGGGGCTGGGGCCTCTCCGCTGAGCCTGCACCTGCATGTGCACGTCTGTCTCCAGCCCTGTCTGTCCTGGCCCAACTCCTTCCCTATCTGGGTGTGATCGCCGCTGCGCTCCCCTAGGCATGTGGGTGTAACAAGTCCAAACCTTCTGTGGGAGTCGGGCAGGCTCGGCCCCGCCCTCAGGGCTGTGCCCTTTCCTCCCAGACTGGTTGTGCAGGAGGAGGCATGAGTGTGGCCGTTGTGGGTGCATGCGCGTCAGGCCTGGGACCCGGCCGCCCGCCCGCTGCCTCACCTGCAAGGAGGGGCCTCCCAGAAACTCCCTTCCCCAGTGCCCAGCCGCCCCACCTCGCCAGACTTAGCTGACCAGCCAGTGAGGACGCCCGCTGCCTCCCACCTGCCCTCCTGCCGTCTTTCGCCAGCCAAGCCCAGCCTGAGCCAGCACTTGCCTTTACGACCATGTTCAAGGGGCTGAGCAAAGGCTCCCAGGGGAAGGGGTCCCCCAAGGGCTCCCCCGCCAAGGGGTCCCCCAAAGGCTCCCCCAGCAGGCACAGCCGGTAAGTGGGACTGGGGGATGGGGAGCCGGGGAACTGGGGTGGGGGTGGTGCCAGGCCCAGGTCCTTGAGCCACCTGGCGGCGGCGGCGGCCCAGAGCCCAGGACCAGCCCCGTGCTGGCATTTGGTGTCCTGAGGCCAAAGGGCCCAGGGATGGACTCTCTCCCTGCCTTGGGAGCCGCAGGCCCAGGCCGAACTTCAGCCCTGGCAGGAGGCAGGGGATGACCTGGGGCTCCCTACATCCTCTAAGGGGGCCTGAGGGCCACGGATTGAGGCCGCTTCGCGGGAGAAGTGCTGGACAGGAGCCTGCACGGAGGCCCTCCTCTGCCAGAGGCTGGGAGACAGGAGAGCCTGGGAGACAGGAGAGCCTGGGAGACAGGAGAGCCTGGCTGCCTGACTGCAGCTCTGCCCCAAGGCTCTACTTGGCTGGGATGACCCCTGGAGCCTGGGTACAGGGCATGAGGACTGAGGGGACGGGGTGGGATCCCTGGGGTAGGGATGCAGGGGCTGTGCTGCCTCCTGCCTAAGCCACAGCCCTCCCCAGAGTTCTCACCCAGGGCCTTGTTGTATTGAAGAGTTAGGGGTTCATGGCCGGGCGCCGTGGCTCACGCCTATAATCCCCGAACTTCAGGAGGCCAATGCGGGAGGATTCCTTGAGCCCAGGAGCTCGAGACCAGCCTGGACAACATAGGGAGATCTTGTTTCTGTAAAAAAATAAAAATAAAAAATAGCCAGGCATGGTGGCTCGTGCCTATTGCTTGAGCCCAGGAGTTTGAGGCTGCAGTGAGCCATGATCACACCCCTGCGCTCCCGCCTGGGTGACAGACTGAGACTCTGTCTTAAAAAAAAAAAAAAAAAAAATCCTGGCGCAATACCTCACGCCTGCAATCCTACAACTTTGGGAGGCCGAGGCGGGTAGATCACTTGAGCCCGGGAGTTCGAGACCAGCCTGGGCAACATGATGAAATCCCGTCTCTACAAAAAATATACAAAAATTATCTGGATGTAGTGGCGCATGCCTGTAGTCAGAGCTACTTGGGAGGCTGAGGTGAGAGGATCACTTGAGCCCGGGAAGTCGAGGCTGCAGTGAGCCGTGATCACTCCACTGCCCTCTAGCCTGGGTGACAGAGCAAGACCCTGTCTGTTAAAACAAAATAGAGCTGGGGCTTCCTTTTCCAGTGGGTGTGGTGCAGGGGGCACTGGGCCTCCCTTGGACCACCCGGCTCTCTGGAGCCCAGCCTCAGCAATCTGTGGATGGATTGGGCGGTGTTCTTCCCACTCACTGGCTTCAGCTCGTCTGCAGAGGAGGCAGCAGCCCGCCTGGGTCCAGGGTGTCGAGATGACCTCAGGGATGAAAGGCTGGTGTGGGAGTGGGGGTGCCCATTACCCCGATAGGGATCAAGGCACCAACAGACACCGAGGCTGGGTGTCTGGGCGGACGGGAAAGACAGTGGTTAAGACTCTCAGCTAACACTCTCGCTGAGTGACCTGTCCTCCCTGGGGCACCTGAGCCCCACCCAGGGTGGAGTGTGCAGCTCCCGGTGGGAGCAGCCATCCCAGGAGGCGGGACCTGAGGAGGGGCGCCCAGGGCCCAGCACCTGCAGCTCCCACTGTCCAGGCAGGCTCCCCAGCAGTGCGCTCCTGGCCTGGGGCAGCTCCGTCCTCAGGGCCCTGTTGGCTCTCCCCTCACGTGCGATCCACTCGTTTGACATGAACTTACTGAGCACTTACTGTATGCCAGGACTGTTCTAGGCACTGGAGATGTCACTGTAGACAGAACCAACAAGCCCCTGCCTTCAAGGCACTAGCCCTCTAATGGGATAAAAACTAACACGTGCTGGGTGCCGACCCTGCACCAGGCCTGCACTGGACGTTTCAGATGGATAAATTCAATTAATGCTCACAATAGCCCTAAGGCATAGATATTTTTATTAAAATCCCGCTTTACAAGTGAGGAACCTCAGGCACAGAGAGGTTGAGTAACTTGACCAAGGTCAAGTCCATCATCTTTCTGATGGAGAAAGATGAAACCAGGGTGTCTTGGCCACAGAGTTCTTCCAGACTGCTGTGCCTTCACCAGCACTGTCCCTTTGCCTGGGGGGGCCCATCCTTTGACCCAGTTCAAGGCTTCTCCTGCCCCAGCATAATGATCCCCCATAAGGCACTGTGCTCATAAGGCTTGGACCAATCTGCCCTCTTTTAGGTCTGCTTGACCTTGTGACCTCCGCACAGTGAGTGCATGCACACAGCAGGTGCTCTATGGAGGCTGCAGGGCGAATGCACAGAAAAAGCCCTGGGGTGGAAGCAAGGTTTCCCCTCCACCCCTGACCATGTGACTCAGAGCAAGTCAGAGCCCAATCTGGGCTTTGAACCCTCAACTCTGGAGAATGTTAGGGTGCCCAGTAGTCTCTTGCGCCTGCCCCACCTCCCCGGCTCCGACAGTGTGAGGCTCCTCTAGATGGCTACTGAAGCCAGCATGCTGGCAAGGCTCCCTGGGGTGGAGGAGGTATAGGGGAACACAGGGCTGGAGTGCGAGGAGGTGGGGATGGGGGACATGCTGCTGCCTCCCTGCCCCAGCCAGCCCAACTACCCCTCCCAGGGCCCAGCCAGGCTGGCTCAGGTGCTAGTGGCTGAGCCGGTGATTCACTGGCTCGGGGAGGGAAGTGGCAGGTAGCTAGGTGGGGTCGGGAACTCACTGCCAGCACAGCTGGCTAAGGCTGGGACACCGAGGCCGCCTGCCCCCTCCCCAGCACCACACAAACCTGAGACCCTCACCTTTTGACCCCTCATGTGGCGGGGCAGTGCTAACACCCCCAACCAGGACTAGCTCACAGAGCCTTCTGCAGAGAGAGACCCCAAAGTCAGGGCAGTGAGCTAGGCTGTGGGGGCAGGATGGGGTGGAGGGAGGGCAGGGGATGCCACCTGGATGGGGCACAGAGGGGCCTCTTCCACCGAGCTACCCGCTGTCCCCTCCACACACTAGGGCTGCCACCCAGGAGCTGGCCCTTCTCATCTCCCGCATGCAAGCCAACGCCGACCAGGTGGAGCGGGACATCCTGGAGACGCAGAAGAGGCTGCAGCAGGTGAGGCCCCGGCAGCAGTTGGCAGGGCGTGGACAGGCTGGGTGGCATGGGAGGCCCATCATCAGGCCTGGCACTCCCTGAGTGCCCCTTGGTGATGGTGAAGATGGGACAGATGACCTTTGTCCTGCACCGCCCATCCCCTAACACACGGTGGGAGAGAGGGCTCAGCTTCCTTCTTTTCTGGGCTCCCCTGTGTCCTTGTCACCTGCCCCACGGACGCCCTGGTCCTGACCCTGTGCCTGGCGTGGGCCTCAAGGTTGGCTAGCATAGCTGGGGTCCCAAAGTTGGGGCTCAGGCCCACAGTGATGGGCAGCAGGGGTGTGGGGGCTCTGGGCCCTGGCCAGTCTGCCCATCTCCTGCCCACAGGACCGGCTGAACAGTGAGCAGAGCCAGGCCCTGCAGCACCAGCAGGAGACGGGCCGCAGCCTGAAGGAGGCTGAGGTGCTGCTCAAGGACCTCTTCCTGGACGTGGACAAGGCCCGGCGGCTCAAGCACCCGCAGGCTGAGGAGATTGAGAAGGAGTGAGTGGAGCTGCGGCAGGGCTGGGGGTCCCTGGGGAAGACCCAGGTCCAGCCCTGACCTGCCGGCCACCTTCTTGACAGCATCAAGCAGCTGCACGAGCGGGTGACCCAGGAGTGTGCGGAGTACCGTGCCCTGTACGAGAAGATGGTGCTGCCCCCCGACGTGGGACCCAGGGTCGACTGGGCACGCGTGCTGGAGCAGAAACAGGTCAGGAACTCAAAGTCACACCCCAGTGTGATCAGAGGGCGATACGGAACTGCATTTAATCCAGGGCCTGACTGCAGGCTTGAATAGTCAGGGTGTAGGGGTGGCTCAGGGGTCTGGGCAGAGAGACAGCAGAGTAGACAGTGCAGTCAGGGAAGACTTCCTGCAGGAGGAGGTACATGAAGAGACCTCAGAGGGGTGAGAGGGCTCAGTTGGGCCAGGGTGAAGTAGTGAGGAGAGGACAATTCCAGAAAGAAGGAGCAAAGGTTCCTGCCAGGAGGAAGCCTGGGCTTCGACGGGAAGTGGGGATTTCTGGGCAGGTGGGCAGAGCCAGGTCATGGGACATTCTGATCCCTGGTTGAGGAGTTGTGCTTTGATGCCACACAGAAGGGGTGTCATCATGACAATAGAGGGACAGTGGGGAAGGGCCCGGCTGGAGCAGGGCATTCTGAGGGCCCTAGAGCTTGGCTGGTGGTGTCCAGGCAGGAAGCACTGAGGCTGGGTCACAGACAAGGCAGGATGGAGCTGGAGACTTCTTAGAGGCTGAGCCCAGCGTCTGGGAACCAGTGGGACTCAGGGGCCACTGCAGAATGGCCTCGCCCCTGGGGGAGCTGCAGGGCATGCACCCGGGCTGCTCCCAGGCTCGTCCACGCTCTGCCCAAATGACCAAGTCCACTTCTCCGGGTGGGAGGCGTGTGGGGTTCTCTGGCTCCCCACCGCGGTCCTTTGGGGACTGAGCCGCCGGCTCTCCTGCAGAAGCAGGTCTGCGCAGGCCAGTACGGGCCGGGCATGGCGGAGCTGGAGCAACAGATCGCCGAGCACAACATCCTGCAGAAGGAGATCGACGCCTATGGGCAGCAGCTGCGGAGCCTCGTGGGGCCGGTAGGTGAGCCTGGAGGATGTCACATCCGGGGCCAGCCCCAGCCCGTTTCTCCAGTCAGAGCCGGAGCTAGATCGGCTGGGCCCTGGGGATAGGGGTGGGTGGGGTATGGCTGGCCCAGATCTTAGGGGGCCGTCTCCCTGCACCCCACCTCTCACGGGCTTGTTTCTCCCCTTGGTCGAGGCAGGATGCAGCCACCATCCGGAGCCAATACCGAGACCTACTGGTGAGCAGGAGGGAGGGTCGGGCAGGGAGGCTGCGGGTGGGCCTGGGTGGCCGCCCGGACCCTGCCCGGGGCCAGTGTTCCTGAGCGCGGCCCAATGGCGCCTTTTGCCCCCCACTTTCTGTCTCCCCACCCTGCTGCTGGCGGCGGGTCCTGAGCACAGAAGGCGGCGTCGTGGCGCGGGCAGAGCCTGGGCAGCCTGTACACGCACCTCCAGGGCTGCACGCGGCAGCTGAGCGCCCTGGCTGAGCAGCAGCGCCGCATCCTGCAGCAGGACTGGAGCGACCTCATGGCCGACCCTGCGGGCGTGCGGCGGGAGTACGAGGTCGGCTGGCAGAGGTCGGGGCCAGGTGGGGGCGGCCAGGGCCATCCGGGTCCTCACCGCCGCTCCCCACCCGACTCGCCCCCAGCACTTCAAGCAGCACGAGCTGCTGAGCCAGGAGCAGAGCGTGAACCAGCTGGAGGACGACGGCGAGCGCATGGTGGAGCTGCGGCACCCCGCGGTGGGGCCCATCCAGGTGCGCTGGGGCAGGGCGAGAGTGAGAAGGGACGTGGTGGGCGGGGAAGGGGGGAGGTGGGGCGGACGTGGGGGGGGCGTGGTCCGAGGGCTCCATGCTGCCGTACCCAGGCCCACCAGGAGGCCCTGAAGATGGAGTGGCAGAACTTCCTGAACCTGTGTATCTGCCAGGAGACCCAGCTGCAGCACGTGGAGGACTACCGCCGGGTGAGCCCTCGGGCAGGCGGCAGGGGCGGCAGGGGCGGCAGGGGCGGCAGGGGCGGGAGCACAGCACCCCTGCCCACAGGAGAGGCACTGCACCTCCCAACTAGACAGAGCTGGCAGGGCGCGGTGGCTCACACCTGTAATCCCAGCACTTTGGGAGGCCGAGGCTGGTGGATCACTTGAGGTCAGGAGTTCGAGATCAGCCTGGCCAACATGGTGAAACCCTGTCTCTACTAAAAATACCAAAATTAGCCAGATGTGGTGGCACGCGCCTGTAATCCGAGCTACTCAGGAGGCTGAGGCAGGAGAATCGCTTGAACCCAGGAGGCGGAGGTTGCAGTGGGCCGAGATTGGTCCACTGCACTCCAGCCTGGGTGACAGAGAGAGACTCCACCTCAAAAATAAAATAAAATAGAGCTGTGTGGTTGCCACTCGGTCCCAGAGGGAAAGAAAGGCATGGGCACATTCTCAACAGGGTGAAGCGGTTCCCAGGGGGGTGAAAATTGGTTCTTACTGGCAGAAAAATATCTTAACTCTTTTTATGCATGAAGTCCAGATCCACATACAGCACCTAAGCTGTATACAGCATATCTGTGGTATTAAAATTTCGTGGGGGCCAGGTGTGGTGGCTCACATCTGTAATTCCAGCACTTTGGGAAGCCGAGCCAGGAGAATTGCTTGACACCAGTAGTTCCAGACCAGCCTGGGCAACATAGCAAGACCCTGTCTCTATACAAATAGATACATCTCTATCAAAATAAATAAATAAATAAAATTTTATGGGGATGAGGTGGGGGGAAATTAAATAAAATATTTCTTAAAAGGCTCTTTAGGAGAATAATAATGAAAAAAAAAACGGTTGAGAAACCCTGATATAATATGCAACTGGGATTTGGGGGCAGATAATGTTTCATACATTTTCCTATAGAACCACAAGACTGTGATCACACACGTTGACAAAAATTCCGTCAAAGCACCTGGAATGCTTCTTTAAAGCACAGCTTCTTCTCCGGGGCTGGGACAAGTGCAGCTCCAATACCCTCTGTCCCAGCAAGAAAGACTTCAGGTGCTGGAGGGAGGCAGGTGACGGTGCCCTTCATTTGTGCAGGAAGGACGAAGACCAAGTGTTTTATGACCCACTTAAAAAAATTAAGTTCAGTGCACAAATAAGACCCCATTTGCAAGAGCACACCAGTGATAAAAGGTCCTGCCGCCTGGGTAGGAAAAAGAAAGACCGACCAGAGTAGGGGAGAGTGACAGTTTAGGTTTAGCTGGTTTAAGTTTAGCTGGTTTAGGTTTATCTGGTTTAAGTTTATCTGGTTTGTGTTTAGCTGGTTTAGGTTTATCTGGTTTAAGTTTATCTGGTTTGTGTTTAGCTGGTTTAGGTTTAGCTGGTTTAGGTTTATCTGGTTTAAGTTTATCTGGTTTGTGTTTAGCTGGTTTAGGTTTAGCTGGTTTAGGTTTATCTGGTTTGTGTTTGGCTGGTTTAGGTTTAGCTGGTTTCGGTTTAGGTGGTTTGTGTTTAGCTGGTTTAGATTTAGCTGGTTTAAGTTTAGCTGGTTTAGGTTTACCTGGCTTAGGTTTTTCTGGTTTAGGTTTAGCTGATTTGTGTTTAGTTGGTTTAGGTTTAGCTGGCTTAGCGGTTACTGGTTTAGTTTAGCTGTTTCACATTTATCTGGTTTGTGTTTAGCTGGTTTGTGTTTAGCTGGTTTAGGTTTAGCTGCTTTGTGTTTAGCTGGCTTAGGTTCAGCTGGTTTGTAGGGTCAGTGGGCAGCAGGTTGCACGAGGCTCTGCCCTTGACCACCCAGTGAACTCAGTTCCAGGAAGAGGCCGACTCAGTCAGCCAGACCCTGGCGAAGCTCAACTCCAACTTGGATGCCAAGTACAGCCCTGCACCTGGGGGCCCCCCTGGCGCCCCCACAGAGCTGCTGCAACAGCTGGAGGTGAGACAACCCCACCAGGCCGTCTGCACCCCACTTCTGGGAATTGGTCCTGTCCATTTTTCTGGGCCTCACCCCTTCTGCCTTGGTACCTAGTCCTATCCCAAGCCCTGGCCTGGGTGCTGGCAGGGGGGTTTACTCTAGCAGGAGGCTGGCCAGGTACCAGCAAGCTCCTCCCACTTCTGGACGTCAGTTTCCTCATTTGCAGTGGGACAAGGGCAGCCTGGGAGAGCTCTGAGGCCTGTCTAGCTTCTGCTTGGTGGCCTGGGTGATGCTGTGCCATCCCCCTCCCTGCAACTAGCAGATCCCAGGATCCTAGGTCCCCCAGAGAGGGGCTCCTTTTACTTTGCTGACTTAGAGACCCCTGCCTTCATGAAGGCCAGCCTCTAGGCCTTTTGAAGGACAGGTATGGTGTGGCCAGCCTCCAATGCAGCCTGGCCTGAGTCCCCCACTGCCTGGGCCCCCGGCAGGCAGAGGAAAAACGGCTGGCCGTCACCGAGAGGGCCACTGGGGACCTGCAGCGGCGAAGCCGGGATGTGGCCCCTCTGCCACAGCGAAGAAACCCCCCTCAGCAGCCCCTGCACGTGGACAGCATCTGCGACTGGGACTCAGGAGAAGTGCGAACTCCCCCACCTCACCCCTGCCACCATCCAGCCCCGCCCAACCCATCCCCTGCCCCTGCCCAAGCCCATCCCTGCTCCATCCCCAGCTGTCTCCTGCGCCCACTTTTGCCCTACTCCTTCCCTTGACTCAGACCCTCCTCTCTCCAAGTCCTGTCCTGCCTCTTTTCTACCCCAGCACCTCCCACCCTACTCTTGTCCCTGTTCCAGCTGCTGTCCCCATTTGTCTCTGTCCCCAGCCCCTACTCTGCCCTGGCCTTGGCCCCCTGCCCCTGAGCCCTCAGGAGCTGCTCCCTTTCTGTGCCCCCAGGTGCAGCTGCTGCAGGGTGAGCGGTATAAGCTGGTAGATAACACTGACCCGCACGCCTGGGTCGTGCAGGGCCCTGGCGGGGAGACCAAGCGTGCTCCCGCCGCCTGCTTCTGCATCCCAGCACCAGACCCTGATGCTGTGGCCAGGGCCTCCCGGTAGGTCTGTGTAGGGATACTCAGGGGCAGGCTGTGGGCAGAGCAGGCCGGCCCTGCGGTGTCCAAGCCCATGGCCCAACAGACCCCTGCTCAAAGGCTGGCCTTCACCTGAAGCTGCGTCTACTGGGGCTGGGGAGGGAGAGAGGCAGAGTGGGGACCTCTTTCTTCAATCTCCTCTTCATTCTAGGCTGGCCTCAGAGCTGCAGGCCCTGAAGCAGAAATTGGCCACAGTCCAGAGCCGCCTGAAGGCCAGTGCTGTGGAGTCTCTTCGGCCCAGCCAGCAGGGTACCCAGGGTGGCCCGGGGAGAGGTGGCTGTGGGGCTAGAAGGAGTAGATTCCGACTTCCGACTGGTCTGTGATGGGCAGGGGTCGCCTTGGGTTAGGGACCATCACTCTGGGGATTTCATCTCTGGGGTGGCCCTGCCCATCCCCTCCACCCTACCCCGACAGGACCCTCTGTGGGCACCTGGTGGGGGCACCTATCTGGCAGTCTGGAGATAGGCCCTGGGCCCTCACCAGCACCTCTGCCCCCAGCTCCATCTGGCTCAGACCTGGCCAACCCACAGGCCCAGAAGCTCCTGACACAGATGACCCGGCTGGATGGAGACCTGGGACAGATAGAGAGGCAGGTGCTGGCCTGGGCGCGGGCCCCGCTGAGCCGCCCCACACCCTTGGAGGACTTGGAGGGCCGCATCCACAGCCATGAGGTGGGTGAGCAGCGGGAAGGGGCGGCTGGGATGAGAAGCGGCCCGGCCCTGGTGCTCACACTTGAGGGAGGTGAGGCAAGTGCAGGAGCGGTGGCTGGGATGGAGATGGAGAAGGGTGTGGACAGACCCGGGCTCAGACAAGCTGGTTCCCCTCCTGGCTCCTCCACTGACCAGCTCCAGGATCTTGGACTACATAACTCTCTGGGCCTTGGTTTCCTCATCCCTGAAGCAGATGTAATAATGCCCAGCTCGCCTGATCATTCAGGAAGGTTCCAGTAGGGCCCAATGTCAACACCCCAGGAGGTATTCTGGTGAAGCTCCTGAAATAGCAAGGAAGCCTGGAGAATCTTAGGAAGAGATGTCCCCTGGCTGCAAGGGGGAGCCTACCTGGGGAGGTTGCAGCATTGTGTAAACTCCTTACCCAAGAACAGCACGTGGACTCAACACTCCCAAAAGTGCTCAGAGTGAAACCCACACCGGGCCGCAGTCTGGGTTATCCTTCCAAACCAGTTTCTTTTCTTTTCTTGAGACAAAGTCTCTCTGCATCACCCAGGCTGGAGTGCAGTGGCACGATCTTGGCTCACTGCAACTTCTGCCTCCCAGGTTCAAGCAATTCTCCTGCCTCAACCTCCGGAGTAGCTGGGATTACAGGCACACACCACCATGCCCAACTAATTTTTGTATTTTTAGTAGAGATGGGGTTTCACCATGTTGGCCAGGCTGATGTCGAACTCCTGACCTTAAGTGATCCACCCATCTCGGCCTCCCAGAGTGCTGGGATTACAGGCGTGAGCCACCGCACCTGGTCTGTTTTTTGTTTTATGAGATGGGGTCTCACTTTGTCACCCAGGCTGGAGTGCAGTGGTGTGCAATGGTATAATCTCAGCTCACTGCAACCTCCACCTCCCAGGCTTGAGTGATCCTCCCACCTCAGCCTCCCGAGTAGTTGGGACCACAGGTACAACACTGAGCCCAGCTAATTTTTTTGGTAGAGATGGGGTTTTGCCATGTTGCCCAGGCTGGTCTCAAACTCCTGAGCTCAAGCGATCCTCCCGCATTGGCCTCCCAAAGTGCTAGGATTACAGGCATGAGCTACTGCACTTGGCCATATTATTATTATTTTGAGACGGGGTCTTGCTTTGTTGCCCAGGCTGGAGGGCCAGTGGCATGATCAAGGCTCACTGTAGCCTCAACCTCCTGGTCTCAAACAATCCCCCTGTCTTCACCTCCCAAGAAGCTGGGTCCTTAGGTTTTGAAGTCATAGCATCTGCCACATCAGCGGTGTTGGGGTCCAGGAGAAGCCCAGTTAGACTGGGCGGTGGGTGGTGCCTGGTGCAGAGTCAGCACTGCTCGGTGATGGACCAGGCAGATGAGTGAATAACTGATGAAAGAATGAGGGCAACAGTCCCTAGTGGGCAGAGCCAGGGCTTTGGCTGGAGCGACAGGGCCAGGGGACCTGATGGTCTTGTGAGCAGGACAGTGACATGAAGATGACTGTAGGTAACTGTGCCTGGCGCTCACTGCTGAGCTCAGGACACAGGCTCTTGTGTCATCCTCCCATCAATCATTCTTTTTTATTTATTTTATTTTTTTGAGATGGAGTCTTGCTCTTGTCTGCCAGGCTGGAGTGCAGCGGTGTGATCTCAGCTTGCTGCAACCCCCACCTCCTGGGGTTCAAGCAATTCTCCTGCCTCAGCCTCCTGGGTAGCTGGGATTGCAGGTGCGCGCTGCTACGGCCGGCTAATTTTTGTATTTTTAGTAGAGACAGGGTTTCGCCATGTTGGCCAGGCTGGTCTCGATCTCCTGACCTCAAGCAACCCACCCGCCTTGGCCTCCCAAAGTGCTAGGATTACAGGTGTGAGCCACTGCGCCCGGCCCCTCCTATCAGTCATTTTGTAGATGAGGAGACTGAGGGTCAGACAGTTTGCTCTGCCCCAGGTCATCCACAGAGGAACGAGTAGCGCCAGGACTGAACGCAGTTCTCTGGCCTGAGCCCAAGCATGTACCCACCACACTCTACTGCCTCCATGGGCGCAGAGTTAGGGTATCCTGGTAGAAGAGTCGGGCGGAACCCACCTGCCCAGAGATCCCTGACCCCGCCCCTCTTTAGGGCACAGCCCAGCGCCTGCAGAGCCTGGGAACGGAGAAGGAGACAGCCCAGAAGGAGTGCGAGGCGTTTCTGTCCACGCGGCCCGTGGGCCCCGCTGCCCTGCAGCTGCCCGTAGCCCTCAACAGCGTGAAGAACAAGTTCAGTGACGTGCAGGTTCTGTGCAGCCTCTACGGGGAGAAGTGAGTGCTCTGGGGACAGGGCAGCCACGCAGGGCAGCAGCGTGTGGCCCAGGGAGTGTCTGAGCCTTGCCTCCTCTGCGGCAGAGCCAAGGCTGCCCTGGATCTGGAGCGGCAGATCCAGGATGCGGACAGGGTCATCCGAGGCTTCGAGGCCACCCTGGTGCAGGAGGCCCCCATCCCTGCTGAACCGGGGGCTCTGCAGGAGAGGGTCAGCGAGCTGCAGGTAAGGGACCAGCCGGGGCCTCCTGGTGTCAGGGGAACCCAGCATTCAGGGGCGGGTGGGTGGACACGGCGTCTCCCCAGCCACGAGGGTGCACGGCTGCGTCCCCTCCTCCTGCAGCGCCAGCGGAGGGAGCTGCTGGAACAGCAGACCTGCGTGCTGCGGCTACACCGCGCGCTGAAGGCCTCGGAGCACGCATGCGCTGCCCTGCAGAACAACTTCCAGGAGTTCTGCCAAGACCTGCCTCGCCAGCAGCGCCAGGTGCGAGCCCTCACCGACCGCTACCACGCCGTAGGGGACCAGCTGGACCTGCGGTGAGCGACTGGGTCCTCGGGGCACAGGGTGTGGGCTGGTGCAGAGCCAGGCATTGCTGTCTACAAGCTGTGTGATCCTGGGCTAGTGACTTCACGTCTCTGAAGCTGTTTCCTCATCTCTAAAATGGGATAACAACAGCACTTACCTCCCAGGGTGGTGCCTGGTAGAGACTGTCCCATCTCTGAATTCCCAGGGTCAGGGAGTGGGGATCTGCACAGCAGGCCACTCGGGCCTCCTGACCTGCCCCCAGGAGGAGGCTCCCATCAGCCTCCCTGTGCACCTGCCCCTGTCCCCACGGGGCAGGTCTTATCTCTGTTCTGGGCCTCGTCCTCCTGCAGGGAGAAGGTGGTGCAGGATGCCGCCCTCACCTACCAGCAGTTCAAGAACTGCAAGGATAACCTGAGCTCCTGGCTGGAGCACCTGCCCCGCAGCCAGGTGCGGCCCAGCGACGGCCCCAGCCAGATCGCCTACAAGCTGCAGGCGCAGAAGGTGAGGCTGGGGCAGGGACAGCTGCCTGTGCCCATGTGGCCCCCTAGTGGCCAAAGCTCAGAAGCGCTCTAAGGGGCTTCAAAGCCCAGGCCACGGAGGCCCTGGGCCCCTTCCCTGGCCTCCAGCTGAAATGCTCCTCTTTGCCCACAGACGGGGCCAGCCCATCTCTGTCTGGCCCGACTGGGGCAGTGGGATTTACAAGCTCAGGCCACAGAGCCCTGAGGGTTCCGGCCACTTTCTCATGCTCATCAAGCCCCTGCCATGTACCAGGCAATGTGTTCACTGGGGTACAACCCTGCACCCTGGCAGCTCCCAGCCTGGTGGGGGAGGTCTGTGATGCCGACAAGCATTGGTGGGAGAAGCTGGAGTGCTGTGGGTGCCCCCAGGCTGGACACACTTGCGGGTCAGGATCGGTAGTGTGGGAGGAAGCAAGTGTAGCCGGGGGAGGGATGAAATGTCCCATGCAGAAGGCATGGCAGTCAGGGGAAAGGAGGGGGACTCAGGGGCGAGGGCGACCAGATGGGCAGACCACACAGGCCCTTCCGGCACAGGACCCAGGCTGCACTCTCTCCTGCAGCCCCCAGAAGCTGCTGGGGAGGGGATGCTTCCAGGCCAGTGTTTAGAAGCTGGCTCTGGCTGCCATGTAGAGAATGACTAAGAGGGTGGGAATGAAGACACGGAGGCCCACGAGGAGCCAGGGTGGAAATCCAGCGGAGAGAGAGTGGTGGCCTGGCCGGGGAAGGGACCATGGCACAGGGCGAGGTGGGCAGATCTGAGATGGAGATGGCAGAATTAGGTGGACTTGGTGACTGCTTGAAGGGGACAGTGAGTGAGATGGACGGGGCCCGGTGATGCCCAGGGTTCTGTTGGGGACAACTGGGAAGAGGGGGCACCTCCACTTGAGGCGGGAACACAGGAAACAGAGCATATTTGGGGAGAGGAATGGGGCCGGCTGGGTCATGCTGAAATGAGGTGGCCAGGACAGCCGAGGGCAGCGGGGAGGTGGACGTAGGCATATGGGAGGGAACTGGGGCTGGGGGTTCCCCTAGGAGCTCGTGAGAGCAAAGATGGGTCTGGGACTGCCGGAAAATGAGAATATCTGGGGAGAGAGTAGGGAGGTGACATTGGGAAGGGGGCCTGGGACAGAGATTCTCAGCCCTGGCTGCAAACTAGAATCTCCCAGAGAGCTTTTAAAACATCCCCAGGCCAGGACCCCTCCCCAGACCAAATAAGTTGGATTATTGTGGTCAGAGCATCAGTATATTAAGTTCCCAGGTGAATAAAAGTGGGCATCCCGTATTGAGAACTTTCCAATTGGAGCCATGGTTCTGGATGAGCTGTAGCAGCATCACCTGGGGACTTATCAGAAATATGAATTCTCAGGCCGGGCGCGGTGGCTCACGCCTGTAATCCCAGCACTTTGGGAGGCCAAGGCGGGCGGATCACAAGGTCAGGAGATCGAGACCATCCTGGCTAACACGGTGAAACCCCATCTCTACTAAAAATACAAAAAATTAGCCGGGCACGGTGCTGGGCACCTGTAGTCCCGGCTACTCGAGAGGCTGAGGCAGGAGAATGGTGTGAATCCAGGAGGCGGAGCTTGCAGTGAGTCCGGATAGCGCCACTGCACTCCAGCCTGGGCGACAGAGCAAGACTCCGTCTCAAAAAAAAAAAAAAAAAAAAGAAAAGAAAGAAATATGAATTCTCAGGGCCACCCGGACCTGCTGGATCTGATGTGCAGGTGGGCCCTGCATGCCTGCCTGCCTCCCACAGGCCCCAGGTGATGCTCGCAGATACTACTGTGCTAGAACGGAACTCTGAGGGGCACAAGGCCAAAGAAAGGTGGCTCATGCCTGTAATCCCAGCACTTTGGGAGGCCGAGGCTGGCGGATCACCTGAGGTCAGGAGTTCGAGACCAGCCTTGCCAACATGGCGAAACCCCATCTCTACTAAAAATATAAAAATTAGCCTGGCATGGTGGCAGGCACCTGTCATTCCAGCTACTCAGGAAGCTGAGGCATGAAAATCGCTTGAACCCAGGAGGCTGCTGTGAGCCGAGATCACGCACTCCAACCTGGGTGACAGAGTGAGACTTGGTCTCAAAAAAAAAAAAAAGGAAAGAAAGGGATTCTGCCAAGGTGCCTCGGAGAGGAAGGAGGAAAAGCAGAGAGAATGATGTCAGGGAAAGGAGGGAGTTTGGCCCAGGTCTCCCTCCCTGCCCTTTCTTGTCCCTGGGAGGCAGCTCTGCCTGACTGTGGCCCTGGAGGCACTGGCTAGAGGAGAGTCAGGGTGATTGGCATTTCCTGGCCTCCTGACTCTGGGTTCTTCCCTGGCAGAGGCTGACGCAGGAGATCCAGAGCCGAGAGCGGGACAGGGCCACAGCATCCCACCTCTCCCAGGCCCTGCAGGCAGCGCTCCAGGTAAGCAGCTTGCCTTCAGCTTGCCCCTCTCCATGCATCACCCTTGTCCCTCTTCCAGCCCTATCCCCCACACCCAGCCTCCCCCACTGGTTGCCAGCCTGCTGTCCTTTCCTCCCTGCTCAGGACTATGAGCTCCAGGCAGACACCTACCGCTGCTCTTTGGAGCCCACCCTGGCAGTGTCAGCCCCCAAGAGACCCCGAGTGGCTCCCCTGCAAGAGAGCATCCAAGCCCAGGTGAGATGGGACCTTGCGGGGCTCAGTGGACCTTGACACCAGCTCTGTAGGGTCCAAGGCAGGAGCTGACTCTGCCCTTCCCCTCTCCCTCTGCCTTCTCCAGGAGAAGAACCTTGCAAAGGCCTATACTGAGGTTGCAGCAGCACAGCAGCAGCTGCTCCAGCAGCTGGAGTTTGCTAGAAAAATGCTGGAGAAGGTACACAGACAACACCTACAGCTTTCCCACAATAGCCAGGAATAACCAGGAATGCCCACTCCATTCCCAAAATGCCAGGCTGTCACCCTGGTAGTCTCCTTCCCTCCTCTCCCTCCTGCCTGCAGCCCCTGGGCAGCTCTGGCTGCTGGAGAGGGGAGCGGATTCCAGCCACCCAGTTTTCTCTCCAGCAGCTCTTACAGGCTGGTGTCCATCCCAGGGTTAGGCCCTGGAGATGGCATTCATGGCCACTGGGCATCCTCCAATGGGACAAGACCTCTAACCCCAGAGAGCAGAGAAAATCCCCTAGAGCTTCACCCTCAGCCACCTGGCTCTCCACCTTCGGCCTACACACCCTCAAGCCAGAACTTCTCCAGGACTCCTGGTGACTTGCCAGCTTTTCTGTTACCCTCGGCCACAGTCAGGGTCCCTGGATGGAAGGGGAAAAGGGAGAGGTTCTGGAGGGACAGGGAGAACCTGTCCTGTTTGCACTTTTTTTTTGTTTTTTGTTTTTTTTGAGACGGAGTCTCGCTCTATCACCAAGGCTGGAGTGCAGTGGCACAATCTCAGCTCACTGCAACCTCCGCCTCCCTGGTTCAAGCGATTCTCCTGCCTCGGCCTCCTGAGTAACTGGGATTACAGGCATGCGTCACCACGCCCAGCTAATTTTTTGGATTTTTAGTAGAGATGGGGTTTCACTATGTTGATCAGGCTGGTCTCGAACTCCTGACCTCAGGTGATCCGCCCACCTTGGCCTCCCAAAGTGTTGGGATTAAAGGCATCAGCCATTGCACCTGGCCCTTACTTGCACTTTCTAATGCAAACCAGGCCTGCGCACTGCCTTGGGTCCTAAAATCATTGCATTGACTGGGTCTTCTCAAAATCCTATATCCAAGCATCTTAGGTCTTCAGCTCCACCTCTGAGGACCCACTGGGGAGTCTCAGGAAACAGGGAGGGGTCTTTCATCTCAGGAAAAACATGGAGCTCCTATCTCTACCGCCCACCCCGTGCTCTACCCTTCTTCCTCTCTGCAGAAGGAGCTCAGTGAGGACATCCGAAGGACCCATGATGCAAAGCAGGGCTCCGAGAGCCCTGCCCAAGCAGGGAGAGAGTCAGAGGCCCTGAAGGCCCAGCTGGAAGAGGAGAGGAAGCGGGTGGCCCGGGTGCAGCATGAGCTGGAGGCGCAGAGGAGCCAACTGCTGCAGCTGAGGACCCAGCGGCCCTTGGAGAGGCTGGAGGAGAAGGAAGTGGTAGAGTTCTACCGGGACCCCCAGCTGGAGGGCAGCCTGTCCAGGGTGAAGGCCCAGGTGGAGGAGGAGGGCAAGCGGCGGGCTGGCCTGCAGGCAGACCTGGAAGTGGCAGCCCAGAAGGTCGTGCAGCTGGAAAGCAAGAGGAAGACCATGCAGCCTCATCTGCTGACCAAGGAGGTCACCCAGGTGGAGAGGGACCCCGGCCTGGACAGCCAGGCGGCCCAGCTCAGGATCCAGATCCAGCAGCTCCGCGGGGAGGATGCCGTCATCTCGGCCCGGCTGGAAGGGCTGAAGAAGGAGCTACTGGCCCTTGAGAAGAGGGAGGTGGACGTGAAGGAGAAGGTCGTGGTGAAAGAGGTAGTCAAGGTGGAGAAGAATCTGGAAATGGTCAAGGCAGCCCAGGCTCTGAGGCTGCAGATGGAGGAGGATGCTGCGCGGAGGAAGCAGGCGGAGGAGGCTGTGGCCAAGCTACAGGCTCGCATCGAAGACCTGGAGCGGGCTATCAGCTCGGTGGAGCCCAAGGTCATCGTGAAGGAGGTGAAGAAGGTGGAGCAGGACCCAGGGCTCCTCCAGGAGTCCTCCAGGCTGAGGAGCCTCCTCGAGGAGGAGAGGACCAAGAACGCGACGCTGGCCAGGGAGCTGAGCGACCTGCACAGCAAGTACAGCGTGGTGGAGAAGCAGAGGCCCAAAGTGCAGCTCCAGGAGCGCGTCCACGAGATCTTCCAGGTGGATCCGGAGACAGAGCAGGAGATCACTCGGCTCAAGGCCAAGCTGCAGGAGATGGCGGGCAAGAGGAGCGGTGTGGAGAAGGAGGTGGAGAAGCTGCTGCCCGACCTGGAGGTCCTGCGGGCCCAGAAGCCCACGGTGGAGTACAAGGAGGTGACCCAGGAGGTGGTGAGGCATGAGAGGAGCCCCGAGGTGCTGCGTGAGATCGACCGCCTGAAGGCTCAGCTCAACGAGCTCGTCAACAGCCACGGGCGCTCCCAGGAGCAGCTCATCCGCCTGCAGGGTGAGCGCGACGAGTGGAGGCGCGAGCGGGCCAAGGTGGAGACCAAGACGGTGAGCAAGGAGGTGGTGCGCCACGAGAAGGACCCGGTGCTGGAGAAAGAAGCAGAGCGGCTCCGCCAGGAGGTGCGGGAGGCGGCCCAGAAGAGGCGGGCCGCGGAGGACGCGGTGTACGAGCTGCAGAGCAAGCGCCTGCTGCTGGAGAGGAGGAAGCCCGAGGAGAAGGTGGTGGTGCAGGAGGTGGTGGTCACCCAGAAGGACCCGAAGCTGCGCGAGGAGCACAGCCGGCTGAGCGGGAGCCTGGATGAGGAGGTGGGCCGGCGGCGCCAGCTAGAGCTTGAGGTGCAGCAGCTGCGGGCCGGCGTGGAGGAGCAGGAGGGCCTGCTCAGCTTCCAGGAGGACCGCAGCAAGAAGCTGGCCGTGGAGAGGGAGCTGCGGCAGCTGACCTTGAGGATCCAGGAGCTCGAGAAGCGGCCTCCCACGGTGCAGGAGAAGATCATCATGGAGGAAGTGGTCAAGCTGGAGAAGGACCCGGACCTGGAGAAGTCCACGGAAGCCCTGCGGTGGGACCTGGACCAGGAGAAGACCCAGGTAACCGAGCTGAATCGGGAGTGCAAGAACCTGCAGGTCCAGATTGACGTCCTCCAGAAAGCCAAATCGCAGGAGAAGACCATCTACAAGGAAGTGATCCGGGTGCAGAAGGACCGCGTCCTGGAAGATGAGCGGGCCCGCGTGTGGGAGATGCTCAACAGGGAGCGCACGGCCCGGCAGGCCCGGGAGGAGGAGGCACGGCGCCTGCGGGAGCGCATTGACCGGGCCGAGACGCTGGGGAGAACCTGGTCCCGGGAGGAGTCCGAGCTGCAGAGGGCCCGGGACCAGGCCGACCAGGAGTGTGGGCGGCTGCAGCAGGAGCTGCGGGCTCTGGAGAGGCAGAAGCAGCAGCAGACACTGCAGCTGCAGGAGGAGTCGAAGCTGCTCAGCCAGAAGACGGAGAGCGAGCGACAGAAGGCGGCCCAGCGGGGCCAGGAGCTCTCGCGGCTGGAGGCGGCCATCCTCCGCGAGAAGGACCAGATCTACGAGAAGGAGCGGACGCTCCGGGACCTCCACGCCAAGGTGAGCCGGGAGGAGCTCAGCCAGGAGACCCAGACGCGAGAGACCAACCTTTCCACCAAGATCTCCATCCTGGAACCCGAGACGGGGAAGGACATGTCCCCATACGAGGCCTACAAGAGGGGCATCATCGACAGGGGCCAGTACTTGCAGCTGCAGGAGCTCGAGTGTGACTGGGAGGAGGTCACCACCTCGGGGCCCTGTGGGGAGGAGTCTGTGCTCCTGGACCGCAAGAGCGGGAAGCAGTACTCCATCGAGGCCGCCCTCCGCTGCCGGCGCATCTCTAAGGAGGAGTACCATCTGTACAAGGACGGCCACCTGCCCATCTCCGAGTTTGCGCTGCTTGTAGCTGGGGAGACCAAGCCAAGCTCCTCACTCTCCATCGGCTCTATCATCTCCAAGTCCCCGCTCGCCTCCCCGGCCCCCCAGAGCACCAGTTTCTTCTCTCCCAGCTTCTCTCTCGGGCTCGGTGATGACAGCTTCCCTATCGCCGGGATCTATGACACAACCACAGACAACAAGTGCAGCATCAAGACGGCCGTGGCCAAGAACATGCTGGACCCCATCACTGGGCAGAAGCTACTGGAGGCCCAGGCGGCCACAGGGGGCATCGTGGACCTGCTCAGCCGTGAGCGCTACTCTGTGCACAAGGCGATGGAGAGGGGCCTGATCGAGAACACCTCCACACAGAGGCTGCTTAACGCCCAGAAGGCCTTCACCGGCATCGAGGACCCCGTCACCAAGAAGAGGCTCTCGGTGGGCGAGGCCGTCCAGAAGGGCTGGATGCCCCGGGAGAGCGTGCTCCCACACCTGCAGGTGCAGCACCTGACCGGGGGGCTCATCGACCCCAAGAGGACAGGCCGCATCCCCATCCAGCAGGCCCTCCTCTCCGGGATGATCAGTGAAGAGCTGGCCCAGCTCCTGCAGGACGAGTCCAGCTACGAGAAGGATTTGACAGACCCCATCTCCAAGGAACGGCTGAGCTACAAGGAGGCCATGGGCCGCTGCCGCAAAGACCCCCTGAGCGGCCTGCTGCTCCTGCCAGCGGCACTGGAGGGGTACCGCTGCTACCGCTCCGCCTCCCCCACCGTCCCGCGCTCCCTTCGCTGACACGGGCCAAGGAGCCAGTGGGGAAGTGCGTGTGTTGGGCCAGGTAGGATACGTACACCTCTTGCCTCAGAGCAGCCTCATCCCAGGCAGTGGGTCTTCCCTCTGTCCAACCACTGTTTTATTATTTTACTAACATGGTGATGGGCTCCCTCCCCTAACCTTGGTGCCTGATCCATCCCCAGACCAGGACAGCAGCCACTCAGTTCTTCCTCCACCTCCACCCAGTGATCCCAATAAACGAATTCTGTCTCCCCGTGCCATGTGGTGTCCCATTCATTCACATTTGAGAGTGCAGGACCCATGTGTCTGGGGGATGAGTGCAAGGACAGCGTTGCTCAAGTCCTTGCCTGGGCGGACGTGCTCAATTTGCCTGCCTGGGAAACAGGCATCCTCGGAGGGCTGTGCCTCCTTGAGTGCGGGGCAGGGATGCAGTGGCAGGTCATGGAAAGAGATTATGGTTTAAAATCACTAAAGGAGGCCGGGCACAGTGGCTCACACCTGTAATACCAGCATTTAGGGGGGCCAAGGCGGGTGGATCCGAGGTCAGGAGTTCGAGACCAGCCTGACGAACACGGTGAAACCCCGACTCTACTAAAAATACAAAAATTAGCTGGGTGTGGTGGTGCACACCTAAAATTCCCGCTACTCAGGAGGCTGAGGCAGGAGAATCACTTGAACCTGGGAGGCGGACGTTCCAGTGAGCAGAGATCATGCCACTGCACTCTACCCTGGGCAACAGGGTAGACCTGAGACAGCGAGACTCCATCTCAAAAAAAAAAAAAAAAATGGGGGCTTGGTGGCATATGCCTGTAATCCCAGCTACTCGGGAGACTGAGGCAGGAGAACTGCTTGAACCCATGAGGCAGAGGTTGCAGTGAGCTGAGATTATGTCACTGCACTCTAGCCTGGGTGACAGAGTGAGACTCTGTCTCAAAAAAAAAAAAAAAAAAAAAAAAAAATCATGGACTAGCCCCTGTCTCCCCACCTACTCCTTGCCCATTTCCCCACTGTCTCAGTTTGGGCCAGAGCTGTCTCCAGCCCTGTGTCAATGTTCCCCTTGTCAGGAAGCCCAGGTGTCCCCTGTGAGCAGAACAATCAGAAAACTCAGGAACATACCACGTTTATTTATTGTTGTCAAGCCAGAAATGAACCAAAAGAAGCACATCTCAGGTGAAGGAACAACTCCTTATTGCAGTCATAGCCCAGCTCTCCTGGGATCCGGGGAACGCCCTCTCTCCTCTCCCTCACTCCCTCCTGTTTAACTTGGGACTGAACTGGAACTCAACTCTTCCCCCAAACATTTTAAATCCAAAAAGACCAGCAGGGGGCGCCCTTTCCTCAGGGTCTGGCCCTGCAGGCAGGGCAGGTGAGGGCCTGAATACCCACACCCAGCTCTGGCAGGCCCCCTGCCTTCAACTTGGCACTTGTTCCAGTGCCCGGGGACCCCTCGTGCATGGAGCATCTGTGCCTCTATTTTGAAACGGCACCGTCCAACCCAAAAAACAACACAGGATCTCGCTAACCTGCGGGCAGGACTAACCCAGACTCAGCCCTCTGCAGGCTGATGCTGAATTCCTTAGTGCTTTGCTCTCCCCAGATGCATCCTCTCTTGGCAATGGGTAGGAGGCAGCTGGGGCAGCAGCTGCTCGAGAAAGGATCTGAGTGTGGCCTTGACATTCTCAATGGCGGAATCGCTGCAGCACATACTGGCGGGCAGCTGGGGAGGGCTCAGGGGATGAGAAGTACGGGTGGGCCAGGGCAGTCTTGGCTGTGATCCGCTGGCTGGGGTCATACTGCAGGAGTTGCTAGGAAGAAAGAAGGAAGAAGATGTGGTCTGGGTGCAGCCAGGGTGGGGTGAGAAATTCCCCTCCCAGGTCCCAGATCAAGGGCCTGGGCCCCAAATTGGCTGCCCTCAAACCCAGAACCGCATGAAGCCATGACCTCCCAGCTCTCCAGCCAGTTCCGGACACTCCTGGAATCTGGACAGTCCTAACGAGTCACCCAGGTCTCCTCAGGCCACTGAAGCTGAGTCACCCCCCTTCTCGGGGAGGGTCCCAGGTCCCAGCCTGCTTCTAGTTGGGAAGAGCACAGAACCCCACGTATCAGGAAGCAGGGGACTGAAGCTGTCCAGGGAGGAACACTGAGTGGGGGCTCAGGGACTGACACTCCAAGAGGCCAAACCTGTCCAGCCCTCTGCCCTAGAGTCCCTAAACCCAGACAGGATGTGGAAGGACCCCCTGTGGTGGAGTAGCCCAGCTGGAGGGCTCGGGGCCTTGGCTGGAGTCTGTGCCGTCCTGCTGCCATTGGGCGGGTACACAACACACAGAGACTTCTGGAGAGCTGGACACACAGCCTGAAGATGAAAATACTGACCCACCTTCCTCTCATTCAACACCAGATTAAGGAGAGAAATGTGGCTCCAAGACTTTGTGGGCAAGAATGGACAGTGGACGGGCGCAGTGGCTCACACCTGTGATCCCCCCAGCACTTTGAGAGGCCAAGGTAGGAGGATCGCTTGAGCCCAGGAGTTCGAGACCAGTCTGAGCAACATAGTGAGACCCCATTTCTACAAAAATAAAATTAGCTGGGCATGGTGGTGCACCCCTATAGTCTCAGCTACTCAGGAAGCTGAGGTGGGAGGATCAATTGAGCCCAGGAGTTCGAGACCAGCCTGGGCAACGTGGTGAAATGCTGTCTCTACAAAAAAAATACAAAAGGTAGCCAGGCATAGTGGCGTATACCTGTGGTCCCAGCTACTCAGGAGGCTGAGATGGGAGGATCGCTTGTGCCTGGGAGGTCAAGGCTGCAGTAAGTCATGGTCACACCACTGCACGCCAGCCTGAGTGACAGACTGAGACCCTGTCTCAAAAAAAAAAAAAAAAACAGACGGTTCTGCCAGAGACTTCCTGGGCAGTCCGGCCTGGGTCAGCTCAAGACACCAACAGGAGGGGTGAGTGAGAACTGTGGCATGGGCCCAGGCAGTAGGGAACAGCCTGTTCTGAAGACTGACCACTGTAGGAGTCACAGGGGAACAGCCAGGCAGTAGAACGAGAGGCCCCAGCCGGGCACAGTGGCTCATGCCTGTAATCCCAGCACTTTGGGAAGCCGAGGTGGGCAGATCACCTGAGGAGTTCAAGACCAGTCTGGCCAACATGGTGAAACCCTGTCTCTACTAAAAAAAAAAATACAAAAATTAGCTGGGCGTGGTGGCAGGCACCTGTAGTCCCAGCTACTCGGGAGGCTGAGGCAGGAGAATGACTTGAACCCAGGAGGCAGAAGTTGCAGTGAGCTGAGATCACGCCATTGCACTCCAGCCCGGGCAACAAGAGCAAAACTCCATCTCAAAAAAAAGAAAAGAAAAGAAGGTATGGCCCCAGCCTGGGGAGGCATACAGCTTAGATGGAGCAGTAATGTCCACAAAGTAGAATAACCAAACACACAAGACAACTAGGGAAAAAGGGCGTGTAGCACAGCATAAAGACAGAGCTAACTCAATGAGCGCCACTTTCACAGGGAAGATAAATACTGCACTTATCCTGGGGGAGGCTTCCGGGTTGAACAATCAGTATACCCAAGCCAGTTGTGTACAAAGGTCAGGAAAGAGACCCTGGCCTTGGACTCAGAAAGTGCCAGGGTTATGTAAGAGGCTGGCTGATGAGGGGAAACTGTAGTCGGAGCAGCAGCTGGAGCCCACATGCACCTACCATGAGCAGGTCCCTGCCCTCTGGCTCCAGATTGGGCACAATCTCTTCCAGTCCCTTCCTGGTCCACTTAGGGAAGCTGCCCTTATAGTCAGGCAGCTGGGTGACCCCGGGCCATGTGTCTTCGCTGGGTGTCCCCAGCATACGAAAGATACGAAAGAGCTGGTCAATCTCAGAGTCACCAGGAAACAGGGCTTTTCGAGTCACCTGAAATGGGGAAGAAGAGAAGGTGTGGGGTCCGCCACTTTGTTATACAGAATCCAATACCAGATAAGTGGCCAGACCCAGGGAGAGGCCTGTCAAGATATCTTTTCCATGACTGTGCAAAGAATTCTGGCCTCTTTTGGAATAAAGCTACCTTCCTCAGTCCTTTAGCCAGTACCAAACACCTTTTTTTAAAAAATAGAGACGGAGTCTTGCTCTGTCACCCAGGCTAGAGTGCAGTCGTGCGATCACAGCTCACTGCAGCCTCAACCACAGGCTCAAGCAATCCTCCTGCCTCAACCTCCCAAGTAGCTGGGACTACAAGCATGCACCACCACACCCAGCTAATTTTTGTAGTTTTTTAAGAGCTGGGGATTTGTTACGTTGCCCAGGCTGGTCTCAAACTCCTGGGCTCAAGCCATCCTCCCATCTCAGCCTCCCAAAGTGCTGGGATTACGGGCGTGAGCCATGTCCAGCCCCAAACACTCTTTAATCCGCCTCGAATGGGAGCATCAGTGGACCCCACCCAACCCCAGTAGGACCCTGCCTGTGGCACCCTGTGGCCATGTGTGCCCCTCTCTCTACCATCTCTGCAAAGATGCAACCAATGCTCCAGATATCCACAGCTGTGGTATAGAACTTGCTGCCCAAGAGAATCTCGGGGGCGCGATACCACAGTGTCACCACCTGCAGGGCAAAGAAACAGTATCACTCAGGGTGGCTGAGTGCATGGGTGACACTCCTCCTGCTGCCCCTCTCTCCTCTTTGTCTCACAATACCTCATGGGTGTAGGTGCGCAGGGGCACCCCGAAGGCGCGAGCCAGGCCGAAGTCAGCCAGCTTGATGGCACCCAACTCATTGATGAGCAGGTTCTGGGGCTTCAGGTCTCGGTGGATGACCCGATGTGAGTGGCAGAAACTCACCCCCTGCAGCAGCTGGAAGAGGTAGCTCTGGAGAAACGAGCGCGAGGTGCAGCCAGCTGAGCGGAGGTGCTGCGTGGACAGGGATGGCAGGGATGGGGTGTCACCTCTCCTTCCCTGCCCTTCCTTCCCTACCTTGATGAGGTGCAGGGGGAGCTCTGAGCCTGGGGTGGAGTCCATGTACTTCTTCAGGTCCTGGCTGAGGAACTCAAACACCAGATAGAGCTTCCTCTCGTTGTGCACCACGTCCAGCAGTCTGACAGGGAGATGGCAGTCAGGATGCTACCTTCGCCATCCCAGCTTCCCCACCTCAATCCCCAACTCACCGGACGATGTTGGGGTGCTTCAGTTCCTTGAGCAGCGAGATCTCCCTGATGGCAGTGCTTGGGACCCCCTCCATCTCCCTGCAAGAAACAAGGGCACAGCCGTGGGCAGAGACTTGGGCCAAGAAGGGCACTTCCAGCCAGGGGGATCGGCTTCTCCTTAACCCCACAGAATGACCAGGGCCCCGGCAATGGAGACCTGTGCTCCTTGGCACGTCATCCACCAAACTCCACAGTCAGGGCCCCGGCAAAGGCTGGTCAGAAGGCAGTGAACTGGGGAGAGGACAGGTAAGGGCTGCTGGGCAGCACCCAGAGGAGTTAAACGTGGACTCCAGGAAAGAGGGAACGGATCAGGGAGCGCCCAGGTTGTGATGGCCCAGGGTGGGTAACTCAGGGGCCGTCCCAGCACTCACAAATCCAGTCTGATCTTCTTCAGGGCCACCAGCTGCCCTGTCTCCCTGTTCTTGGCCTTGTACACCACCCCATAGGTGCCCTCTCCGATCTTCTCTACCTTCTGGAACATATCCATGGCCACAGAGCTGCCTGGGAAACAGAAGGCACCGGGCAATTTGCACCCCACGCCCAGCGCTCCCGTTGCTCCTCCAGCTTCCATGTGGCGCCCTGCCCAGCCCAGCCCAGCCCAGACTGCCCAGCTCCCAAGGCCCACGGCCTAGCCACCCCAACCCCAGCTCATCCTGCCTGGGAACCTGGCTGGGGGTCGGAAACCGCCCCTCACCCAGCCCAGCCCGGACCCCAAGGGGGTCAGGGGGCCCCCTTCACCCAGCCCAGTTCAGCCAGGACCCCCAGGCTTCTCGCCCATGCCCGGCCTCGGAGGGCAGGGCCCACACTCTCCCACCCAGCCCCCTGCCCATCCCAGCCAGAACCCCCAGGAAGTCAGAGACCACCCCTCGCCCAGCCCAGCCCAACATGGACCCCCAGGCCTCTCACTTGTGCCGGGCCTTAGAGGGCAAGACCACCCTTTCCCACCTGGGTCACTGCCCAGCCCAGCCAGTCCCAGGCTCTGGGTACACATGGCGGCCAGGAAGGGCTGCCCAGGGGCCAGGGCCACTGGGGGCAGAGGTCAGGGGTCAGGAGGGTCTTAAAGCCACAGTCCTGTCTTAGGCTGCACGGTCAGGGCCCAGGGCCTCAGCCCGGCCCGTGTGACGACGCTCAGCCTCCTCTGAAGGCAGAGCCTGGCCAGGGGCAGACCCCTGCATCCTGGGCCCCCCACCCCAGCCCCTGGGCCCCTGGTGCCCTACCCTGAGGCCCCAGGCCCAGAATTCACCAGAAGCCCTGAGAGGCTGCAGCCCACAGCCTGGGTTGCAGCTCCCCCTCCTGGCCCCCGCCGGCGCTGCACCACGAGCACACTTCAAGAGCACGCCCCCTGGGCCTTTATTCACCAGGACCTTCTGGAACCCTCCATGGCCCCACACCAAGCACGGCCCCGGCGCCCAAGCTCGGCCACCTGCAGTCTCCTGGGGTGGGGCTGTCGGATTTATGGCATGCTTTCTGGGTTCTCATTGCTGAGCCAATCCCAAAGTAGGGGAAGGGGCTGGATTCATCACCCGCCCCTCGGCTTTCGAGCTCCAGACAAGGCCGTCGCTGGGGAGGCGTCTGTGCTCTCCCGGGCTCCTGCAGCTCCAGAGGGTTCGGGCTCTGAAGCAGGTGAGGGTGTTGCTAGGCTGCTGTTTCCTACTGGCTGCCGCCCCGCTCCTGCTTGTACAGTCTCTGCTCCCGGATGGCTTGTTCCAACAAGGGCAGGTTCATCCCCTCCACACAGGTCAGCACGCGCGCCTTCACCACGGAGCCTCTGTCTGCAAGACAAACACCAGGGCACGAACGGCGACTGAGCGGCGTGTCAACAACGTCCTCCAAGGTGCATTCCAGCTGTTCCCTCCACAGCTCAGTCCTGGGTTTTGGCAGCAAGTGATGTGGACAATAACAGCATATGGGGCAAAGGCAACTGAGTATTTGGGCCTAGAACCGTGGGCCTGTCATGCACAGTCGGCCCGTGTCTGGAACTTAGCAGGTGGTCAGAAAACCCCTCTGGACTGAGGGAAAGGCCCCCTTGGCACCTTGGGACACAATGTCATCAGGAACCGGGGAAAAGAGACACCCATATTTTAAAAATCCAAGAGACTGAGCTCCCGGTAAGTTTGGCTTTATAGGAGCAGGTCATCCCACCCTGGACGAGGGGGGCTTCTAGCAGATGCGGTGGTGACCTGATACATAATGGAAAGGTTTGCCACTATTCAGGTGGCACCAAACAGGAAAGACATCTCCGAGAGACTTTTTAAAAATTTTCTTTCTTTTGACAGGTGAACTGGCTCACACCTGTAATCTCAGCACTTTGGGAGGCCAAGGCATGTGGAACACTTGAGGTCAGGAGTTCAAGACCAGCCTGGCCAACATGATGAAACCCCATCTCTACTAAAAATACAAAAATTAGCCGCGTGTAGTGGTGCATGCCTGTAATCCCAGCTACTTGGAAGGCTGAGGCAGGAGAATTGCTTGAACCCAGGAGGTGGAGGTTGCAGTGAGCCAAGATCACGCCACTGCACTCCAGCCTGGGCAACAGAGCAAGACTCCACCTAAAAAAAAAAATTTTTTTTTTGAGACAGGGTGTTGCTCTGTCACTTGGGCTGGAATGCAGTGGCTCAATCATGGCTCAATGTAGCCTCCACCTCCCAGGCTCAGGTGATCATCTCAGCTTCCTGAGGAGCTGGGACTACAGGGACGCACCACCACACCCAGCTAATTTTTGTATTTCTTGTAGAGATGGGGTCTCGCCATGTTGCCCAGGCTGGTTTCAAACTCCTGGGGTCAAGTGATCTGCCCGCCTCGGCCTCCCAACATGCATGGATTATAGGCGTGAGCCACTGTGCATTGCTGACATTTTTTTTTTCTTTCTTTTTTCCCCAGTCATAGCTTGCAAGAGAAAAAAAAAAGTTAAAAAAATTTTTTGCACTCATGCTCTTTCTGCTCTCTGAGCACTTTAATAAATAGATTTCCGAGATGGGTGGATCACCTGAGGTCAGGAGTTCATGACCAGCTTGGCCAACACGGCAAAACCCCGTCTCTACTAAAAATACAAAAATTAGCCAGGTGTGGTAGCTGGCACCTGTAAACCCAGCTACTCGGGAGGCTGAGGCAGGAGAATCGCTTGAACCTGGGAGGCAGACGTTGCAGTGAGCCGAGATCAAGCCACTGCACTCCAGCCTGGGCAACAGAGTGAGACTCTGTCTCAAAATAAGTAAATAAATAGATTCAATGTTCTAGGCTATTACATTGTTTTCTTTTGACGCTGTTTGAGATAAAGGCTCTGCCTGCCCTTTCCTCTAGTCTAGGTCATTTATAGCACAGCCTGAGGGCAGAATTCAGGGTGTCATCCTGCCTAGCTGTCTATACAGGCTACCCTTAGGCAATGAACTCATTTGAAACATGAGGTTGCCTGTGTGTCTCAGCTTCTGTTAGCCCCAGTGCTGACACAGGTCAGAGAGGAATCGGGGCGTGGCGCGGTGGCTCCCAACACTGTAATCCCAACACTTTGGGAGGGCAAGACAAGCAGATCACTTGAGGCCAGGAGCTCAAGACCAGCCTGGCCAACAAGCGAAAACCCTGTCTCTACTAAAAATACAAAAGTTACCCAGGCCCGACTACTTGGGAGGCTGAGGCACGAGAATCACTTGAACCGGGGAGGTGGATGTCGCAGTGAGCCAAGATTGCGCCACTGCACTCCAGCCTGGGAAACAGAATGAGACTCTGTCTCAAAAAAAAAAAAAAAAGGAAAAAAAAAGGAAAAAGGCCAGGCGCAGTGGCTCACATCTGTAATCCCAGCACTCTGGGAGGCTGACGCAGGCGGATCACCTGAGGTCAGGAGCTGAAGACCAGCCTGGCCAACATGGTGAAACCCTGTCTCTACTAAAAAGACAAAAATTAGCTGGGTGTGGTGGCGGGCACCTGTAATCCCAGCTACTAGGGAGGCTGAGGCAGAATCGCTTGAACCCAGGAAGCAGAGGTTGCAGTAAGCAGAGATCGTGCCACTGCACTCCCAGCCTGGGTGACAGAGCGAGACTCCATCTCAGGAAAAAAAAAAAAAGATTAAGAACCTGGAGCAAAGAAGAAGGGCCTGGGTTATAAAAAGCAGTCAGAATGCAGTGGGGTGAGGCCTGGGAAGAGGAAGGGGTTATACGGAGCACAGATGTTCTTTTAGGAGGTTTGTCTGCAAAGGGAGGGAAGGTCATGGGCAGGTAGGTCAGACTCTAGTGTAGAAGATGACTTCTTGTCATTGAGACTATTATTTCCATATAGAGGAGGCTTGAACACCTTATATGTGGACAGGGAAGAACTGTGGTAACCCCTTAGGTAGGAGGGACCCCGCTTCCTCTTAGACTAGAGGAAGGAGCTAACGGTGGCCGTTTCAGTGTCTGATGGTCGGTGGCCGTTTCAGTGTCTGATGGTAGGAGGAAGAACGGCTGCCTGTGGCCTCGATTCTAGCTGGCTCATAAAGCAATAAGCCGGGAGGGACAGGGGAGGAGAGGAAGTGGGTTCTTGTGAGGCAGGGGAATTTCTGGACTAGCTGTGGTGGCGCCGGGGAGGGGGGTGTGGCCAGGACACAGGAAGGATTTCTAGGCAGAGCAGGGGAATGCCAGTGAGCCCCTGAAATCATTGAGCTCCAAATCCTTGGAGTTCTGTGATCTTTCTGCACTCAACAGTTGGCAGAACCAGGAGGGTGGAGGCTGGGGTCTTGGGGCAGGAGTGAAGCTGCCAGGAAAGTGGCTGAAATGGTAGTGAGGCCCAACGGGGAAGAGAGATGGGGGAGAAAGCCCGGGAGTCCTGAGTCCACAGGTCCTGATAGGGCAAGAGGGACGCAGCAGAAGTAGAAGGGAGAGTGGATGGCATGCAATTTCAGGAAAACAAGTCCAAGGTGCAGCAGCAGGCGTGGGAGGTGGAATTGGGGCAGAGGTGCACAGTGGTGGAACTGGTTGGCAGCAGGGAGACAGGGAGGGATGTGTGATGCTGACACACCCGAGGAGCCGGGGAAACTCCGGCCCTGCTCCAGACTCTGTGGGTGTGTGGTTTGGGGAGAAAGGTTTGGGCAAGTCCCAGAGCTGTAAGGATGCTCGAAGAGGGAGGTGCACAGGGGACACACAGGAAGGTTTCCCTCCCTCCCTTTCTCTTCTCTTTTCTCTTTCTTTTCTTTTCTTTCTTTTTCTTTCTTTCTCTCTCTCTTTTTTTTTTTTTTTTTGACAGGGTCTCACTCTGTCACCCAGGCTGCAGTACAGTGGTACAGTCTCAGCTCACTGCAATCTCTGCCTCCCTGGCTCAAGTGATCCTCCCACCTCAGCCTCCCCAGTAGCTGGGACTACAGGCATGTGTGCAACAACGCACCCTGCTAATTTTTGCATTTTTTGTAGAGACGGGGTTTCACCATGTTACCCAGGCTGGTTATTATTATTATTTTTTTTTGAGATGGAGTTTTGCTCTTGTCACCCAGGCTGGAGTGCAATGGTGTGATCTCAGCTCACTGCAACCTCCGCCTCCCAGTTTCAAGCGATTCTCCTGCCTTGGCCTCCTGAATAGCTGGGATTACAGGCATGTGCCACCACGCTCAGCTAATTTCGTATTTTTTGTAGAGACAGGGTTTCACCATGTTGGTCAGGCCGGTCTCGAACTCCTGACCTCAAGTGATCCACCCACCTCGGCCTCCCAAAGTGCTGGGATTACAGGCGTGAGCCACCACACCCGGCCGTCCAGGCTGGTCTTGAACTCCTGGACTCAAGTAATCCACCAGCCTCAGCCTCCCAAAAGTTCTGAGATTACAGGCATGAGCCACTGTGCCCAGCCTCTTTTCTTTTTCTTTAGAAACAGGGTCTCATTTTGTCACCCAGGTTGGAGTGCAGTGGCATGATCATAGCTCACTGCAGCATCGAACTCCTGCCTCAAGCCATCCTCCTGCCTCAGCCTCCCAAGTAGCTGGGACTACAAGCACAAGCCACCACACCCCACTAATATTTTCATTTTTGTAGAGATGGCGTCTCTCTGCGTTGCCCAGGTTGGTCTCAAACTCCTGGGTTCAAGTGATCCTCCCACCTCAGCCTCCGAACATGCTAGATTAGTGAGCTCCTGAGCCCAGCCACACAAGGAAGGTTTCTGAGGGCAAAGTGCAGGGGTGCAGTGAGAGAAAAGCAGAAGGCAGAGGATGCATGGCAAGGGCTTGTGGGCAGCTGCTTGCTGTTTGCTGTGGTCCAGTGCCCTTCAGCCTGGGCATGCTCCGAGGGCCTCTGGAGTAGGCCTGGGAAAGGCTGTGCCCCACACCTTAGTTCCAGAACAGGGGGCCCTCGGGCCTTTGGATGGCGCCAGCGGGTGTCAGGTCCATGGGTTTTATCACACACCAGCATGTCTTCACCTGTTGGTCTTCTTAGCTAGCTCTTAGGCAAACATTTGAGAAGGGTGACCTCTCACCTGTCCTCAGTACTGTCAGTCTGGCCACAGGGCAGGATTCACATCTGATCAACCTTTGTGTCCCCATAGAGCTTTGGGCCTGGCACAGGAAGGTTTATGGTTTTATTTCTACTTATTTATTATTTTGTAGAGACAGGCTCTTGCTACATTTCCCAGGCTGGTCTTGAACTCCTGGGCTCAAGCGATCCTCCCTCCCTAGCCTCTCAAAGTGCTGGGATTACAGGTGTGAGCAACCACACCTGGACTTTTTTTTCCTTTTTTTTTTTTTTGAAACAGGGTCTCACTCTGTCATCCAGGCTGGAGTGCAGTAGAGCAATCTTGGCTCACTGTAACCTTGAACTCCTGGACTCAAGCAATCCTGCCACCTCAGCGTCTCAAGTAACTGGGACTACAAGCCTGTGCCACCACACCTGGATAACTTTTTAATTTTTGTAAAGATGGGGTCTCACTATGTTGCCCAGGTTGGTCTTAAACTCCTGATCTCAAGCAGTCCTCCTTCCTTGGCATCCCAAATTGCTGAGATTACAGGCATGAGCCACCACACTTGGTTTTCACAGGGAGGTTTAAAGCAGCCACAGGGTGCCCCCTCTGCCCAGGCCAGAGGTCAGGGTGGACAGAGCACAGTCAGCCAGGATGCTCTCCTCCCACCTCCTCATCTTTGATTCGAGTTCCCTCCGTGAATGACGAGCGTGTATGACTTAGATAATCAAGACAGGCCGGGCGCGGTGGCTCACGCTTGTAATCCCAGCACTTTGGGAAGCTGAGGCAGGTGGATCATGAGGTCAGGAGCTCAAGACCAGCCTGGCCAAGATGGTGAAACCCTGTCTCTACTAAAAATACAAAACTTAGCCAGGCACAGTGGCAGGCGCCTGTAATCCCAGCTACTCAGGAGGCCAAGGCAGGAGAATCGCTTGAACCTGGGAGGCGGAGGTTGCAGTGAGCTGAGATCACGCCACTGCACTCCAGGCTGGGTGACAGAGTGAGAGAGTGAGACTCCGTCTCACAAAAAATAAGAGAAAATCAAGACAAACTTTTTCTTTTTCTTTTTTTTTTTTGAGACGGAGTTTTGCTCTTGTTGCCCAGGCTGGAGTGCAATGGTGCGATCTCGGCTCACAGCAACCTCCGCCTCCCGGGTTCAAGCGATTCTCCTGCCTCAGCCTCCCGAGTAGCTGGGATTACAGGCATGCACCACCACGCCCAGCTAATTTTGTATTTTTAGTAGAGGCAGGGTTTCTCCATGTTGGTCAGGCTGGTCTTGAATTTCCGACCTCCGGTGATCCTCCTGCCTTAGCCTCCCAAAGTGCTAGGATTACAGGTGTGAGCCACCGCGCCCAGCGACAAAAATGTTTTAAGAAAAAACCCCACAAAAAACAGGTTGTGATGCAAATTATAAGAGTACTAAACTAGCCAGTGCCCGGTAACAGGCTACTTCCTCTGAGGCCTGATTAGCTTCAGGTTCAATTTTTTTTGTTTTTTCTTCTGTTGTTGTTTTTTTGAGATGGAGTCTCGCTCTGCCAGGCTGGAGTGCAGTGGCACGATCTCCGCTCACTGCAACCTCCTCCGCCTCCCGGGTTCAAGCGATTCTCCTGCCTCAGCCTCCTGAGTAGCTGGGACTACAGGCGTGTGCCACCACGCCCGGCTAACTTTTTGTATTTTTAGTAGAGACGGGGTTTCGCCATGTTAGCCAGGATGGTCTCAATCTCCTGACCTCGAGATCCGCCCGCCTCGGCCTCCCAAAGTGCTGGGATTACAGGCGTGAGCCACGGCGCCCAGCCCAGGTTCAATTTTTTTGGCAAGAACCCAACAGAGGTGTTGCTATGTGTGTCTTCCTCATGACTCACATCGGAGGTACCTGATGTTTGCCCTTCTGATTTTTATCACGTCGACATTGATCAGGCCAGCCTAGGCACTGCTGGCGGGTCCCTCCATCACAATGATCTCATCAAGATGTTTCCTAATGATTTTGGCCACTAGCGAGGACTGTTGCCTGGATTTTTTATTTTGTCAGGGCTTTTAAAGTGATGACTTTGAATTTACGGATTTCTCCTGCGTTCATTCGCTGTGACTCTTCTCTAAAGAACTTTCCAGGCCAGGCGCGGTAGCTCACGCTTGTAATCCCAACACTTTGGGAGGCCGAGGCGGGCAGATCACAAGGTCAAGAGATCGAGACCATCCTGGCCAACATGGTGAAACCCCCATCTCTACTAAAAATACAAAAATTAGCCAGGCGTGGTGGCGCATGCCTGTAGTCCCAGCTACTCGGAAGGCTGAGGCAGGAGAATCGCTTGAACCCGGGAGGCGGAGGTTGCAGTGAGCTGAGATCATGCCACTACACTCCAGCCTGGCGAGAGCGACACTCCGTCTCAAAAAAAAAAAAAAAAGAAATAACTTTCCTTCATCAACCATTTGGTTTCCACTACAGGCAATCCATACAGAAATGGCAGGATAGAGCCTGGTGCCAAGATCGCGCCACTGCACTCAGCCTGGACAGCAGACCAAGACTCTGTCTCGAGACAAAAAAAAAAAAAAACCAGCAGTAAGAATCAGAAGCAGGCAGGGCTACTCGGGAGGCTGAGACAGGAGAATCGCTTGATCCAGGGAGCTGGAGGTTGCAGTGGGCTGAGATCGCGCCACTGCACTCCAGCCTGGTGACAGAGCAAGGCACTGTCTAAAAAAAAAAAAAAAAACGGTGGCTCACGCCTGTAATCCCAGCACTTTGGGAGGCCGAGGCGGGTGGATCACAAGGTCAGGAGATCAAGACCATCCTGGCTAATACGGTGAAACCCCGTCTCTACTAAAAATACAAAAAATTAGCCAGGCGTGGTGGCGGGCGCCCATAGTCCCAGCTACTTGGGAGGCTGAGGCAGGAGAATGGCGTGAACCCGGGAGGCGGAGCTTGCAGTGAGCCGAGATCGCGCCACTGCACTCCAGCCTGGGCGACAGAGCAAGACTCCGTCTCAAAAAATAAAAAGGAATCAGAAGTAAGGCTGAGTTTGGTGCTGCACACCTGTAATCCCAGCATTTTGGGAGGCCAAGGCACGCAGATCCCTCATCCCAAAATAATGACACCTTGTCTCCACAGAAAATTTTAAAATTAGCCAGGTGTGGTGGTGCACGCCTGTGGTCCCAGCTACTCAGGAGGCTGAGGTGGGAGCCTCATGAGCCCAGGAGATGGAGGTTGCAGTGAGCTGTGATCATACCACTGCACTCCAGCCTGGGTAACAGAGAGAGATCTTGTCTCAAAAAAACTAAAAAAAAAAAATTTTTAAGACTCAGATTAAAGGCTGACAGGCAAATTCAAAAAGATCTAAGCAAGCTGCCTCACATCAGGCCTGGTGTGTTGTAGGCCTTGAGAAATTAGTGGTTTCTCTCTCCTCGTTCTCACTTCCCCATGGGGGATTGTCTCTTCACTGTACCTGTCTTTTTTTTTTTTTTTTTTTTTTGAGACGGAGTCTCACTCTGTCATCTAGGCTGGAGTGCAGTGGAACGATCTTGGCTCACTGCAACCTGTACCTCCCTGGTGCAAGTGATTCTCCTGCCTCAGTCTCCTGAGTAGCTGGGACTACAGGCACATGCCACCACGCCCAGCTAAGTTTTGTACTTTTAGTAGGGATGGGGTTTCGCCATGTTGGCTAGGCTGGTCTCGAACTCCTGACCAGCCACCCTGTCTTTGAGTTGGCACCATGAGGCCAGTCCACTCTGAGTTGAATCCTCAAGAGTGTTGAACTTGTGGGCTAATTTGGAAGAAACATTAACCCTGATGAGACATTGCTGTTGGGTCACGAGCCCATTTCTCACTGACTGCCCCGAAGACTGCCCCAGCTCAGGCCCCAGGATGAGAAAGGGGATCTGAGGCTGCAGCTCACCCTGCTGATGCTGGAGCTCCCCGAGGACGATGTACAGGGAGCCCACCTGGGCGTGGAAGGGCTCCACCAACTTGGTACAGACAAGAACCTGGTGCTGATCGGATCCGTGCTGAGCCATCAGTGTTACTCTGGACTGAATCATGTCATAGAGGCACAACCTGGAAGGCAGAAGAAATGCAATAATTTCCATCCATACGTAGAATCACCACCACGCTCAAAAGGTTTGCATGGCCAAGAAATCTATAGAAAAGTGTTCAGCCTCAGTCTCATCACAGAAATGCAAATTGCAGCAACAAACCAGAAAAAAATGTTTCAGTCTACACTGTAGAATATGAAGGAATTCCTTTTAATTTTCATCTCCTTGCCTTCAATTTTCTTAATGGCATATTTTGATAAGCAGAAGCTTTTAATTTTGTTGATGATCAGTTTATTCATTTTTTTCTTTTTCTTTTTTCTTTTTTTTTTTTTTTTTTTGAGATGGAGTCTCGCTTTGTTGCCCAGGCTGGAGTGCAATGGAGCAATCTCGGCTCACTGCAACCTCCGCCTCCTGGGTTCAAGCAATTCTTGTGCCTCAGCCTCCCGAGTAGCTGGGATTACAGGTGCCTGCCACCAGGCCTGGCTAATTTTTGTATTTTTAGTAGAGAAGGGGTTTTACCATATTGTCCAGGCTGGTCTCCAACTCCTGACCTCAAGGGATCCACCCACCTCAGCCTCCCAAAGTACTGGGATTACAGGCATGAGCCACCACACCTGATCATTTTTTTCTTTTATGACTTTTGCTTTCTATGTCTTGTCTAAGAAATCTTTTTCTTCCTTTCTTTTTTTTTTTTTTCTGTATCCCAGGCTGCAGCCTTGACCTTCCAGGCTGCTCAAGCAATCCTCCCATCTCAGCCTCCTGAGTAGCTGGGACTATAGGTACTTGCCATCACACGTGGCTAATATTTTAATTTTTTGTACAGACAGGGTTTTGCTATGTTGTCCACACTGGTCTCGAACTCCTGGGCTCACGTGATCCACCTGCCTCAGCCTCCCAAAGTGCTGGGATTACACTCATGAGCCACTGTGCCTGGCCATCTTTTTTTTTTCAATATGGGCTACAAATGCTATAAATAGAAAAAAAAAAAAGAAATCTTTGCCTACTCAAAGTTGTAAAGATATTCTGCTGTTTACTTGAGACATTTCAGTCTTAGCTTGTAATCTATGACACAGTGTAAATTTTTTTTTGTATGTTGTGAAGTAAAGATCAAGATGTTTTCCCCTACCATAAGAATATCTAGCTGGGCGTGGTGGCTCATGCTGGTAATCCCAGCACTTTGGGAGGCCAAGGCAGATGGATCACTTGAGTCCAAGAGTTTGAGACCAACCTGGGCAACATGTTGAAACCCTGTCTCTACTAAAAATATAAAAAAAATTAGCCAGGCATGGTGGCACGCAGCTGTGGTCCCAGATACTTGGGAGGCCAAGACGGGAGGATCACTGGAGCCCAAGAGGCAGAGGCTGCAGTGAGCCGAGATCGTACCACTGCACTCCAGTCTGGGCAACAGAGCAAGACTCCGTCTCAAAAAAAAAAAAATCTAGGTTGGGCATGGTGGCTCACATCTGTAATCCCAGCACTTTGGGAGGCTGAGGCAAGAGGATTGCTTGAGCCCAGGTGTTAGAGACCAGCCTGGGCAATACAGCGAGATGCCGTCTCTATAATTTTTTTTTTTTTTTAATTAGCCAGGTACAGTGGTGCACGCCTGTGGTCTCAGCTACTTGGGAGGCTGAGGGGTCAAGGCTGTTGTGAGCCATGATCATGTCACTTGCACTTCAGCCTGGGCGACACAGTGTCAATATCCAGTAGTTCCACTTGTTGAAAGGACTATGCTTTCCCTACTGAATTATCTTGATGTCTTTATTGAAAATCAATAAAGCCAGGCACGATGGCTCACGCCTGTAATCCCAGCACTTTGGTAGGCTGAGGCAGACAGATCACAAGGTCAAGAGATGGAGACCATCCTGGCCAACATGGTGAAATCCCATCTCTACTTAAAAAAATACAAAAATTAGCTGGGTGTGGTGGGGCACGCCTGTAATCCCACCTACTTGGGAGGCTGAGACAGGAGAATCGCTTGAACCAGGGAGTTGGAGGTTGCAGTGAGCCAAGCTCACGCCACTGCACTCCAGCCTGGCGACAGAGCAAGACTCCATCTCAATTTAAAAAAACAAAAAAGGCCAGGTGCGGTGGCTCACATCTGTAATCCCAGCACTTTGGGAGGCCTAGGCAGGCAGATCACGAGGTCAGGAGATCGAGACCATCCTGGCTAACACGGTGAAACCCCATCTCTACAAAAACAAAAAAAAAACAAAAAAAAAAATTAGCCGGGCGTGGTGGCAGGTGCCTGTAGTCCCAGCTACTTGGGAGGCTGAGGCAGGAGAATGGCGTGAACCTGGGAGGCAGAACTTGCAGTGAGCTGAGATCGCGCCACTGCACTCCAGCCTGGGCAACAGAGCAAGGCTCTGTCTCAAAAAAAGAAAAAAAGAAAAGAAAATCAATAAAGAATTGGCTAAGTAGGCCGGGCGTGGTGGCTCACGCCTGTAATCCCAGCACTTTGGGGGGCCGAGGCGGGTGGATTACAAGGTCAGGAGTTCGAGACCAGCCTGGCCAAGATGGTGAAACACCGTTTCTACTAAAAAATAAAAAAAATTAGCCGGGTGTGATGGCAGTTGCCTGTAATACCAGCTACTCGGGAGGCTGAGGCAGGAGAATCGCTTGAACCTGGCAGGCAGAGGTTGCAGTGAGCCGAGATTGCACCACTGCACTCCAGCCTGGTGACAGAGTTAGACTCCGTCTCAAAAAAAAACAAAAGACTTGGCTAAGTAAATGATGCAATATCACCACAGTGAAACAAAATGGAACCATTCAAAATGATGATATAGATCTACATGTCTGAGATGGCACTAGGTCTACCATACACAGCTAAGTAAATAAATGCTACAATACAGTAATATAATAGGATCTCATCTAGGTTAAAATATTGCTTTCTTCTTCTTTTCTTTTTTTTTTTTTTTTTTTTTTTTTTGAGGCAGGATCTCACTCTGTCACCCAGGATAAAGTACAGTGGTGCAGTCTCGGCTCACTGCAGCCTAAACCTCCCAGGTTCAGGTGATCCTCCCACTTCAGCCTCCCCAGTAGCTGGGGCTACAGGCGCACACTGCCATGCCTGGCTAATTTTTTGTATATTTTGTAGAGACAGGGTTTCACCATGTTGCCCAGGCTTGTCTCAAACTCCTGGACTCAAGCAATCCTCCCACCTCAGCCTCCCAAAGTGCTAGGATCACAGGTGTAAGCCTCCACACCCAGCCCTTAACTAGGTTAAAATACTTCTTTTTTTTTTTTTTTTGAGGCCGAATTTCACTCTTGTCACCCAGGCTGGAGTGTAATGGCATGATCTCAGCTCACTGCCACCTCTGCCTCCCGGGTTCAAGCAATTCTCCTGCCTCAGCCTCCCGAATAGCTGGGATTACAGGCGCCTGCCACCACACCTGGCTAATTTTTGTATTTTTTATAGAGACGGGGTTTCACCATGTTGGCCAGGCTGGTTTTGAACTTCTGACCTCAGGTGATCTGCCCACTTAGGCTTCCCAAAGTGTTGGCATTACAGGCGTGAACCACCGCACCCAGGCTAGGTTAAAATACTAGTCTTTTTTTTTTTTTTTTTTTTTTTGAGATGGAGTCTCACCCTGTCCCCCAGGCTGGAGTGCAGTGGCGCAATCTCAGCTCACTGCAACCTCCACCTCCTAGGTTTAAGCGATTCTCCTGCCTCAGCCTCCTGAGTAGCTGGGATTATAGGCACCCACCACCAAGCCCGGCTAATTTTTGTATTTTTAGTAGAGACAGGGTTTCGCCATTTTGGTCCGGCTAGTCTCAAACTCCTGACCTCAGGTGATCCGCCTGCCTCGGCCTCCCAAAGTGCTGGGGTTACAGGCGTGAGCCACCGCACCTGGCCTAGGTTAAAATACTTCTATATGTATGTACACGTGTCTCTAAGATGGTCCCCTGTGATTCTCACCCCCGATATTTACATCCTTGTGCATCCCCTACGATGCTGAGTAAGGCTGACCTGTGTAATCAGTAGGATACTGCAGAAATGACTGAGACTGACTCTGGAAGCTAAGTCATGAAAGACACTGTGGTTTTCACCCTGCTCTTTCTCTTGGTCACTGCTTCTGGCAGAAACTGCTGTGTTATGAGGACCCTCACACAGAACTACAGAGAAATCCACATTGTCTGGAACTGAGTTATCTTGCCAAGAGCCAGCACTAATTTGCCAAACGTGAACAAGCCATCTTGGAAGTAGAGGTCCTGGCCCCAGTCAAGCCTCCAGATAACTGCAGCCCTGGCCAACATCTGGATGCCACTCCCATGAGCGACCCTGAGCCAGATCCAAACAGTTAAACCACTCCCAAATTCCTGACCCACAGTAACTATGAGACAATAATTATTTTAAATTTGGGGGAGGCTGGGCACAGTGGCTTACGCCTGTAATCCCAGCACTTTGGGAGGCTGAGTCAGGAGGATCGCTTGAGCCCAGGAGTTAGACACCAGCCTTGAGAATATAGGGATACCCTGTCTCTACGAAAAACTAAAATTGTGTGTATGGGTAATATGTTACATAGCAATATATAACTGATAAATAACTGACAGAGTATATATGTATATACGTATATTGGGTGTCTCCATACCCACCCACATATACAAACACATACATATGGAAAAGCACGAGGATAATCACCAAAGGTTAGCAGTGGTTGTCTGGGTAATGGGATTATGGGTGACTTTTCCTTCCTCTCTACACCTTTATGGACTATCTACACTTTTTACAATGAATATTAATTTTTTCAATATATATATGTATATATATTTATTATTATTATTTTTTGAGACAGAGTTTTGCTCTTGTCGCCCAGGCTGGAGTGCAATGGCGCGATTTCGGCTCGCTACAACCTCCACCTTCCACGTTCAAGCAATTCTCCTGCCTCAGCCTCTCGATTAGCTGGGATTATAGGCATGCGCCACCACGCCCAGCTAATTTTGTATTTTTAGTAGAGACAGGGTTTCTCCATGTTGGTCAGGCTGGTCTCAAACTCCCAACCTCAGGTGATCCACCCACCTCGGCCTCCCAAAGTGCTGCGATTACAGGCATGAGCCACCGCGCCCGGCAACTAATTTTTTTTTTAGTATTTTAACATAATTAGATGAAGTTATAAAAATCTTTTCTAATTATGTCTTTTTGGAGGTAGAGAAAGACATTTAACATATCATCACCCCCACCAGTGAAAAAAATAACCGTTCTCACCTGCCAAATGTTCTCAGCGTGCTCCCATCAGGAACTTGGCCTGCACTAACCTCCCAGGGGAGGTAATAGGTCCCAGGTTTGGGCAGCATCATGGGCTCCTGTAACCAAATAGTTGAGAGGGATTTTGAAGATTCCTGATAAACCGGATAGACTACAAAACAGAGATTAGCAGATATATGAGACCAACAGCATCTTGAAGACTAATTCCAGTAGGCAGTGTTTTAAAATTAAAAAAAAAATTTTTTGGGGGGAGGGATAGCATTAGGAGATATACCTAATGTAAATGACGAGTTAATGGGTGCAGCACACCAACATGGCACATGTATACATATGTAACAAACCTGCATGTTGTGCACATGGACCCTAGAACTTAAAGTATAATAAAAAATATATATAAAAAAGAAAAAATTTTTTTGATATAATATACATTCATGTATTAAAAAAAAAAGAAAAAAAAACATGGCCGGGTGCAGTGGCTCATGCCTATAATCCCAGCACTTTGGGAGGCTGAGGCGGGCGGATCACCTGAGGTCAGGAGTTCAAGACCAGCCTGACCAACATGGAGAAACGCTGTCTCTACTAAAAATACAAAATTAGCCGGGCATGGTGGCGCATGCCTGTAATCCCAGCTACTTGGGAGGCTGAGGCAGGAGAATAGCTTGAACCCAGGAGGTGGAAGTTTCAGTGAGCCAAGATCGTGCCATTGCACTCCAGCCAGGGCAATAAGAGCGAGACTCCGTCTCAAAAAACAAAGCAAGACAAACAAACAAAAAACAAACACAGACCAGCCTTGACAACATAGTGAGACTTCATCTCTATGAAAAAATTAAAACATTAGGCCAGGCACAGTGGCTCATGCCTGTAATCCCAGCTCTTTCGGAGGCCAAGCCAGGTGGATCCCTTGAGACTAGGAATTCGGGACCAGTCTGGGCAACATGGCAACAGCCCATCTCCACAAAAAAAATACAAAAATGGGCCAGGTGTGGTGTCTCTCACCTGTAGTCCCAGCAACTTAGGAGGCTGAGGCAGGAGGATCACCACCACAGGAGGTTGAAGCTGCAGTGAGCTATGATCACACCACTATACTGTAGCCTCGGCAATAGAGTAAGACCCTGTCTCAAAATAATAATAAACCAAAACAATATTTAAAAAGCTATGTGTGGCCCAGAATGGTGGCTCACACCTGTAATCCCAGTGCTTTTTAGTAGAGATGGGGTTTCACCATGTTTGTCAGCCTGGTCTCGAACTCTTGACCTCAGATGATCTACCCACCTTGGCCTCCCAAAGTGCTGGGATTACAGGCATGAGCCACCGCGCCTTGCCCAATTTGACTCTCTTCATCAACACGTTCCTCTTGCACCCTCTCAGGCACATAGTGCCAGGAAGAACTGTTCTGTTTGTCAGCAAAAGAGACAGAGACTGCCTGTGGCTATGGTGCAGATAACGTGGTGGAAGGTCCTGATCATAGCTGGCAAGTGAGACTCATGCTGGTAGCTCTGGGGCAGTACCACTGAACTCTGTTCCTTGACAGGAACAGACTGTGACTCTGGACTGGGCTTTGCTTACCTGCTAGAAGCTACAAATGCTTCAAAACAATCAGAACAAGGTTGGGTGCAGTGGCTCATGCCTATAATCCCAGCACTTGAGGAGGCTGAGGCGGGCAGATCACTTGAGCTCAGGAGTTTGAGGGCAACCTCGTCTCTACTAAAAATATAAAAATTATCCGGGTGTGGTCGTGCATGCCTGTAATCCCAGCTACTTGGGAGGATGAGATGGGAGGATCGCTTGAGTCTGCGAGGTCGAGGCTGCAGTGAGCTATGATTGCACCATTGCACTCCAGCCTGGGTGACAGAGTGAGATGCTGTCTCACAAAAACAAAATTAAATTTAAAAAAATGAAAAAGTAGAACAAGAGACAGTGCACAGATTTGGAAAGCCGACCATTATTTCTTCAGAACAAGGAACACATTGTACAGCCCATAATGGCCAACAATGAGCAAAAAGATCTCCTCCTCAGAGTCATAGTTTGATAGAGAAGTAAGATGTCCTTTGCAAAAATTGTATCAGTGAGAGAATTAGGACAGCGGGGGAGAGCTGATCTAGCCAGTCCCCCTCTTGCCTTTGGCCTCTAAGCTGCCCTTAATTATTCCTGGATTTGGGCCAAGCTAACTTTGGGAGACATTTAGTTTACAGTTTAAATGAAAATAGCCCTTCCCTAAAACGCAGCCACCTTTGTAAAGCTAATGAGAAACCACCAGGCTAGGAGCACAGAGAAGCCCGAACTCTGCTAAGATTGCCAGCCATTATTCCAGGGGTCACAAGCTAGGCAACTTCCCCAGTTACTCCTGCAGATAACATCACTATTGCAGAACCTAAGATTGGCCTTTGGAGATATCTTTTCAGGTTTTTTGCATGTCTGACACCAACAACTCCACATGGACCCCACCCACCACTCCTGCGGCCCCCCTCAGAGGTGACTCAGCCTGCAGGAGGACCATTTGCCACACCCCTAAGGTTGCACCCCCAACCAATCAGCAGCAAGCACCCATTGCCTAGCTGCCACCACCCCTTCCCCGAAACTACATTTAAATAATGTCTAATCTCTGAGCCTTCCAGAAGATTGACTAATAATACCAACTCCCACGTGGTGTGGCCAGCCTTGTGTCAATTAGTCTTTCTTGACTGTAATGCCATGCTCTCCATGAAATGATTTCGTTTGTGCTGTGGGAACCCATCAGGTGGTTATAGAGGTGGCATAGGCTATGAAAACACTGGTTGTCTAAAACAGGGGGAGATAACAATTATGAAGGGCTAGTGTACACGAGTGTGTGCTCACTAACATGAGGGGACTAAAGGAGTGTCCCCACTAGATGTTCCTGTTTTTCTGGTGGATCTGGGGAAAAAGAGGTGGGGAGGATGCTGGGGTTGCTATGCAATTCTCACCGAGGGAGGAATTTGCTGGTATAATGATTATACATTTTTCTTTCTTTCTTTCTTTCTTTTTTGAGATGGAGTCTCGCTCTGTCTGCCAGGCTGGAGTGCAGTGGCGGGATCTCGGCTCACTGTAACCACTGCCTCCCGGGTTCAAGCGATTTTCCTGCCTCAGCCTCCTGAGTAGCTGGGAATACAGGCGTGTGCCACCATGCCCGGCTAATTTTTGTATTTTTAGTAGAGACGGGGTTTCACCATGTTGGCCAGGCTGGTCATGAACTTCTGACCTCAGGTGATCCACCCACCTCGGCCTCCCAGAGTGTTGGGACTACAGGCGTGAGACACCTCACCGGGCCTCTTCCTTTTTTCTTTCTTTTTTTTTTTTTTGAGCCAAGGCGGGCAGATCACTTGAGGTCAGGAGTTCGAGACTAGCCTGGCCAATGTGGTGACACCCCGTCTCTACTAAAAATACAAAAATTAGCCAGGCATGATGGCGGGTGCCTGTAATCCCAGCTACAGGGAAGGCTAAGGCAGCAGAATTGCTTGAACCCGGGAGGCGGAGGCTGCAGTGAGCCGAGATCATGCCACTGCACTCCAGCCTGGGCGACAGAGTGAGACTCTGCCTGAAAAAATAATAAATAAATAAATAAATAAAACTATGATCAATGCTTGAGCCTAAGAGTTTGAGGCTGCAGTGAACTATGGTTGCGCCACTGCATTCTAGTCTGGGTGACAGAGCAAGGCCTTGTCTCAAACAAAACAAAACAAAGCAAAACTATGATCAAATACATGTGTATGCCTTTTCTCCTATTAATCACTTGTGTGGTATTCCTGCCAAAAATGCATCATCTGAATCTAATCATGAAGAAATATCAGACAAATCTGAATTAAGGGACATTCTACTGTAGGTGCCAAGGGGCCCTCTGAAGTTTCGCTGCAAAAAATCAACTTACAAAAGGCAGAGTAATAGTCAAAAATGTGTACAAATTTATGTAACATGTACATATGGGAGCCTTCAGAAGGAAGACCCAAAGATACAGGGGAAATTGTACATTTTTATGCAAATGATTGAACATAAAAGGTATGATCTAATGCTGATAGACTGAGTGGGGAGGCCCAGCAAGGCCTGTCTGTCTAGATTCTTCTTGGCCTCTTGGAACAGGCATTCCTTCCTTCTGGGTGTGGGGGAGGACCCTCTCTGGAATGGAGTCTTATGGCCTACAGTCAAACAAGCTAGGTCAGATAATTTCTTTTTGGCCAGTTTTTACACCAAAAGAAGGAGGGAAAGTTAAGAGTAATATATTTAGGGTTTTTTTTGTTTGTTTTTTGAGACAGAGTCTCACTCTGTCGCCCAGGCTGGAATGCAGTGGTGCAATCTCGGCTCACTGCAACCTCTGCCTCCCCGGTTCAAGCGATTCTCCTGCCTCAGACTCCCGAGTAGCCGGGACTACAGGCACATGGCACCTCGCTCGGCTTTTTTTGTATTTTTAGTAGAGACGGGGTTTCACCGTGTTAGCCAGGATGGTCTCGATCTCCTGACCTCGCTATCCACCTGCCTTGGCCTCCCAAAGTGCCAGGATTATAGGCGTGAGCCACCGCACCCAGCTTATATTTAGGGTTTTATGGCTGGCTTTGGGGGTAAATGACTCTGTTTTCTATGACCTGCCTTGGGGAAGAGGATTCTAACTTCTCTGGCTAGGCTCGGGGGAGAATGCACCTGAGGGAGAGGAGGACAGAAGGTAAAAAAAAAAAAAAAAACAACTTGCTTTGTGGGTTGCTTCTGAGGCCTTCATTTTGGGGTATTGTTTTCTGAGACCCAACACTACAAAACAATGGGCTTATACACTTCAAAAGTGTTAATGTCAGCCAGCCAGGCGCAGTGGCTCACGCCTGTAATCTCAGCACTTTGGAAGGCTGAGGCGAGCGGATCACATGAGGCCAGGAGTTGGAGACCAGCCTGGTCAACATAGTGAAACCCTGCCTCTAATAAAGACACAAAAATTAGCCAAGTGTGGTAGTACATTCCTGTAGTCCCAGCTACTCTGGAGGCTGAGGCATGAGAATCATTTGAACCCAGGAGGCGGAGGTTGCAGTGAGCTGAAATCATGCAACTGCACTCCAGCCTGGGTGACAGAGGAAGACATCATCTCAAAAGAAAAAAAAAAAGCGTTAAAGTCACAGAAGAAAAGTTCTTTGTTCTATTCTTGTAATTCTCGTGTAAATTTGAAATTATTTCAAAATAAAAACTCAGCAAATTTAGCTCTTCATCTAAGTCTTTTCTATTCAATGCTAAGTACACCCCTTATCATTGTTACATTAAGAGCAATTGGTTTCCTAGAATATTAGAACTAGAAGGTCAGCTGTCAAGCAGCCATTTGTTCACTCCACAAAGATTTCCTGAGCACCTTTAGCGGGGCAGGCACTGTGCCAGGTACAGAGAATAAACTAGACACCCTCTCTGCTGTTGAAGGGGCCTGAGATCAGCAGCTTAATAAGACAAATGAGGATCCTGAGGTCCTAGGGGTTAAGAGTGTGTATTATAGTTCTATTATTCAAATTATGAATGTTATGCATCTCTCGTAGTTTTACTTCTGAGAAAACCAAAGTCATAGTATTACACAGACTACAGACAGGCTAGGCGCAGCGGCTCACGCCTGTAATCCCGGCGCTTTGGGAGGCCGAGGCAGGTGGATCAACAGGTCAGGAATTCGAGACCAGCCTGGCCAACATGGCAAAATCCTGTCTCTACTAAAAATACAATTAGCTGGGTGTGGTGGCGAGCCCCTATAATCCCAGCTACTCGGGAGGCTGAGATAGGAGAATCGCTTGAACCCAGGGGGTGGAGGTTGCAATGAGCTGAGATCATACCACCACACTGCAGCCTGGGCGACAGAGCGAGACTCCGTCTCAAGAAAAAAAAAAAAAATGACTAGAGATGATTCAACAAATCCCTGAATCTCCCTTGTCTACAATCCCACTGGGCAGAACTGTTTTTGTTTTTTGTTTTTTTTCTGTAGAGACAGGGTCTCACTATGTTGCCCAGGATGGAGTGCAATGTCACAATCTTGGCTCACCGCAACCTCCACCTCCGGGGCTCAAGCCACCATCCCATCTCAGCCTTCAGAGTAGCTGGGACTACAGGCGCATGCCACTACACCCAGCTAATTTTTTGGTATTTTTTGTAGGGATGGGGTTTTGCCATGTTGCCCAGGCTGGTCTTGAACTCCTGGGCTCAAGTGATACGCCCGCCTCGTCCTCCCAAAGTGCTGGGATTCCAGGCGTGAGCCACCGCGCCCGGCCCTACACTAGGTTTTAACAGTAAGTGTGCATTTCCCACTTTGATGACGGTGATGGCGAAAGCAAAGAAGTCTGGATTCCAAGACCTCTAGTAACTGCCAGGTTGCGGGGGAAAATGTCTGGTTTCCCAGACAGAAGGCTTAGAGCAGCACCGCCCGCTTGGTCTCATTCTAAGTCCCCGTCCACCCCTTGAACAGCGCTCACAATCCCACACCCAGGGCCCCGGAACCCACGCCTCTGCCAGTAAAGACGCCATTATCTTAACAAAAGGTAACTGGAGCCTCTCCCCAAAGAGACTGGTTCCCGTCCCATTCTTCTCCAATCCGGGTGGATTTGGCAAAAGCCCAAGTGACCCTCCCTAGCAATTCCGCAAAGCCCCATCTCCCGCCCCAGACTCCAGAGTCTCCCGACCACTCTCATTTCGGAGAGGCCTAGGGGCACGGACCCGGAAGCGTGACAGAGGCCGCGGGGTAAGAGGGGGGCAAGTGCAGGCGCAATCCCTCCTCAGCCTCGTTGTCCCGCCCCCTTCCCAAGGCCCCAGCCAACCTGTTCTAGGCGTCGCCGGTCCTCGGATTTCTTCTTTCCGCCTCGCGTGGTCACGTGACGGGGGAGGGGCGGGATACAAAAAGTGCTTTATTTTCCCACTCCCCGGACGCCCAGCAGGGCAGTTTCTTGACCTTCGGAGCCCCTTTCCCGAGGATCCGCTCGGGAGCCTCCCCTGGCCAGGAGCAGGGGATTAGTCTGCCCCGCGACCGGCCCCAGCCACGACGCGGACATCGCCCCCTCTGTCTGGGCCGCTGTCACTCACGCGCCAAAGGGCCACGGAGAAAGAAGGGGCGGGCCGGGGCGGGCCGGGCGAGCGGAGGCGGGGACTTGCGCCGTCCTGAGGCTGCCTCCTAGGGTCCGGCCGGCGCTGGAGCTGCGGATTTAGATTGTCACTGCCACCTCGGTCGGTGCTTACTTCGCTGCCAGCTGGTCGTCGCCATGAACCCGGACCTGCGCAGGGAGCGGGATTCCGCCAGCTTCAACCCGGAGCTGCTTACACACATCCTGGACGGCAGCCCCGAGAAAACCCGGCGCCGCCGAGAGATCGGTGAGGGCGGCGGGCGAGACCTCCCTCCTTTCCCGAGAAAAGCTGGAGACTCCCTCGATGCGGAGTCAGGGGCGCTGTGGGGCCTAGGCCCTCTGGCCCAGCGTTAGGGGAGCCGGGACCCCCACTTCGAGGAACAGCCTGTGTCCCTGGTGGGGGGATATCGCCATTCCCCAGGTGTGTCCGCGACTCTGAAGCCTATTGTGATTCAGGGAGGGTGGAACGGAGGCCCGAGTGTCTGTCTGCCTTTTAATGCCCTTTAACCCCCTTTCAGAGAACATGATCCTGAACGACCCAGACTTCCAGCATGAGGACTTGAACTTCCTCACTCGCAGCCAGCGTTATGAGGTGGCTGTCAGGAAAAGTGCCATCATGGTGAAGAAGATGAGGGAGTTTGGCATCGCTGACCCTGATGAAATTATGTGGTTTAAAAAGTAGGTATGCCTTAGAACAGAGCAAGTGTTGTTAAGCCTAAACTTTACAGCTGCGGTCTATGGTGGCCTTTCATCACCGTGCTTGGTGTTTGAAGATGCAAACTGGCATATTTTCATGCAACTTTATAAAGTTATATGTGTGGCCGGGCGCGGTGGCTCACGCCTGTAATCCCAGCACTTTGGGAGGCCGAGGCGGGCGGATCACCAAGTCAGGAGATCGAGACCATTCTGGCTAACACGGTGAAACCCCATCTCTACTGAAAATACAAAAATTAGCCGGGCGTGGTGGCGGGCGCCTGTAGTTCCAGCTACTCGGGAGGCTGAGGCAGGAGAATAGCGTGAACTAGGGAGGCGGAGCTTGCAGTGAGCCGAGATCGCGCCACTGCACTCCAGCCTGGGCAAGAGTGCGAGACTCCATCTCAAAAAATAAATAAATAAATAAATAAATAAAGTTATATGTGTGAAAAATAATGTGATCACTTTTGTATCCAAGCCTTTTCGTGGGATGACGTGTTTGTAGAATGCTGATAATAAATGGAAATGCAGGAGTTTTTGTTCTCAAGAGTACAGTTTCAAGGATGTTGTAAAAGCATTGTTCTGCCCAAGCAACTCAAATTTGACTGATTTAAATGCAGAATCATTTTGCTCTTTGTAAGGAGGACTGCTAAAATTCTGAATCTGGGAGCATTTTTTTTTTTAGTTGCACGACCATTTAAATATTTTGGAGCAATAGCAGATTATATTATATGGTAGTGTGGACCTGGATGAAGAATGATCTGTGACGCCTCTGAATGAATAGAAAGTCTAAGAACCCAGTAGTTCTGAATCCATGACAGTGCTTGAATGGTTGTCTTGTGCATATGAGAGAGACGTCATAAAAACCTGCCTTGGTTCTAGTGTGGAAGAGAGTATATCCTTTTTTCAGACCATGTGTTTTGTTGTGTTTTTTGTTTTTGTTTTTGTTTTTTGAGACGGAGTCTCGCTCTGTCGCCCAGGCTGCAGTGCAGTGGCACGATCTCGGCTCACTCCAGCCTCCACCTCCCGGATTCAAGCGATTCTCCTGCTTCAGCCTCCTGAGTAGCTGGGATTACAGGCGCCCGCCACCACACCCGGCTAATTTTTGTATTTTTAGTAGAGATGGGGTTTCGCCATGTTGCCAGGCTGGTCTCAAACTCCTCACCTCGTGATCCACCCTGCTCCACAAGGAACGGTAAAAATAAATAAAAATAAGGACTTCGGGCCGGGCACAGTGGCTCATGCCTGTAATCTCAGCACTTTGGGAAGCCAAGGCAGGTGGATCACTTGAGGCCAGGAGCTCGAGACCAGCCTGGCCAAAATGGTGAAACTCTCTCTACTAAAAATACAAAAATTAGCCGGGCCTGGTGGTGCGCTTCTGGGGTCCCAGCTATTCAGGAGGCTGAGGCAGGAGAATCCCTTGAACCTGGGAGGCAAAGGCTGCACTGAGCCGAGATCACGCCACTGCACTCCAGACTGGGCAACAAAGAGAGACTCTGTCTCAAAAAAAAAAAAAAAAAAAAAAAAGACTTTTTTGCCTTAACCTAAACAAACACTATTACATGATCCTAGTACAAGATTATTTTGGCCTATAGCATTTTTTTCTCATTTATTCCTGGGCATTTTCTCTTTTAGGTTTCTCCATTTTAAAGGAACTCCAGTATTTTCATCGGTAAAGACTAAATCGTATGAGTGGTGTATAGACTAGAACCAAGCTAAATAGAACATGTTGCACGTTCTGCCTTTATGGTAATAATGGTCACTGCCTCTAGTGCCTTTGGTATCGATTTTCAGCTTGACTTGGGTTATTTTTGTGAAGATGAAATGGTTTACTCTGGCACTTTGGACTTTCCTCAGAGCTCCACTCAGTTTTAAACGAAAAAATTTTGTTTATTTATTTTTGGTAGTTCAAATCAGCATACTTCCAAATGGTCTGTTTTGTTTTTGAAGTTTGTAACTCATGGCTGTGGGGATATTGAGATAGAGTAACTCCTCCTAGAAGATTATGTTACTGATACCTGTGTTGTGTTTGTAAATTTGAAAAAATTAGTAAGATTTTATTCCTTCTTGAAACGTCAGGAAAAAAGTGGGTTGAGTGTGTGTGTGTGTGTTTGAATGGGTGGTGCAGTGCATTTCAAAGCTGATAGAGATGATTTCATAACCTGTGACCTGTTGATAATGTGAACCAGACTCGAGTGAGGTCACAATGAAATAGAACAAAGTCTTTTATGCGGGTTAAAGATTCATGGACACCGGGAAGTTGTTTTGTGTATCATTTTTCATGTGAAGTATTAAAGTACAAACTTTAACACACCCTTTGACACACTTCCAATGTCCTTAGGATATGACAAGGAGATCAGTTTTTAAGTAAGAGAAGGGGTTTGTAAATGAGTCCTGGAAATTATCGCATGCTATCGAGTTAAAGCCTCGGTTATATAATCTCATCGATTATAACTCACACCAGTGTTTTGTGTACCACTAAGAAAGAAAGAATGCTGCCAGTTAACCGTGACATGCTATTAATTGTGAAATACATCACCTTTCTTTCTTTTCTTTTCTTTCTTTCTTTCTTTTCTTTTCTTTCTTTTCCTTTCTTTTTCTTTCTCTTTCTCTTCCTCTTTCTTTTTCTTTCTCTCTCTTTCTTTCTCTCTCTCTCTCTCTCTCTGCATTTCCATTTATTTCCATTATCAGCAGGTGAAGAGGCATCTGCCACCTCACCCAGCTAACTTTTGTATTTTTAGTAGAAATGGGGTTTCACCATGTTGGCCAGGCTGGTCTCGAACTCCTGGCCTTGTGATCCACCCGCCCCTTCCTCCCAAAATGCTGGGATTACAGGCATAAGCCACTGCGCCTGGCTGAGAAAACATTTTTAACTGATGTTAATGAGCAGCTTCTAAACACATGATTAGGACGCAGAAGTCGTTCCCTCTGGTGGAATCTATAATGATTACATTAATTCATTTTGATTAATTAGAAATATTCGTATCTAAGAGCATCCATGTTGAGAGTTTTTTGTTTCTAAGTGGATTATGATTTATGTAAGATAGAAAAGACAATGGGACTGGGGCATGGTGGCTCACGCCTGTAATCCCAGCACTTTGGGTGGCTGAGGTGGGCAGATCACTTGAGGCCAGGCCACTTCATGACCAGCCTGGCCAACATGGCAAAACGCCTTCTCTACTAAAATACAAAATTAACCGGGCTTGGTGGCACACGCCTATAATCCCAGCTACTTGGGAGGCTGAGGCATGAGAATCACTTGAACCTAGGAGGCAGAGGTTGCCGTGAGCTGGGATCACACCACTGTACTCCAGCCTGGGCAACAGAGGGAGACTGTCTCCAAAAAAGAAAAAAAAAGAAATGGCGGGGATAACCGTGTAGTACTTATTTAGGAAATAGAAAAATAAGGGTATATTGTGTTTACTATTATTTCTTTCTTTCTTTCTTTTTTTTTTTTTTTTTTTTTTTGGAGACAGAGTCTCGCTCTGTCGCCCAGGCTGGAGTGCAGTGGTGCGATCTCGGCTCACTACAAGCTCCGCCTCCCGGGTTCACGCCATTCTCCCGCCTCAGCCTCCTGAGTAGCTGGGACTACAGGAGCCCACCACCACACCCGGCTAATTTTTTTTTTGTATTTTTCGTAGAGACGGGGTTTCACCATGTTAGCCAGGATGGTCTCGATCTGATGGTCTCGATCTCCTGACCTCGTGATCCACCCGCCTTGGCCTCCCAACGTGCTGGGATTACAGGCGTGAGCCACCGCGCCCGGCTACTATTATTTCTTTTAAGGTGGTAGTTTGGTTTCAGGGTCCCCCAGCACTGCAATGGCAGCCTATCCCTTCTGTCCTTTAGTTCATGCTCTGCTCATTGCACAGGTTAGGATAAACTGGTAGTAACATTGCTTCCTAATCATGTGTTGAGAAGTCGTGAAGATCAGTTAGATGAGATGTATTTTGTACTTTAAACTTTTTAGATACGAGCTTTGTCAAAGTACAAAATTGATCCCTATAAAATCTATGACACAGCACAGCCAAGGCCAACTACTGTGGATTCTGTTTTGTAAGAAGAGAGTTGAGGACTAAATTTCAATGTGATGTAGAGTTAATCCGTAGTAATGTTCATTGACCATTGGGGATAAATTTTTACATGCCCACATTACTTATTGTAAACCCTGAAGACCTTTAGCGATGTATGATTCTGCCCTGGAATATGTATTTACTCTTTTGGATATTTGCTTATATTATCTAGGGAAACATAGTTGAAATTATTTCTTCCTTGGAGCTCTTGTTAACAGCGCTATAAATAAGTGTTCTATGGAGTTATTTTTGCTCTTTGAAACAAACAGGTAAAACCTAAATAAAGCAAAAAAAAAAAACCACACACATTCTAAAAAATTCAACCAATCAAACCAGCAAATAACACCAACAACCTCCCCTTCCAAAAATTAGAGAAGTTTTTATGCTAAAACTTAGGTAGAATTTGCTTAGTGGATTAAATGTAAATACGAAATGAACTGTGGGAACTGTGGCCTTGAAATAATTAGAAGAAGAGAGATCATCAGGTTCTGCTGCTGGCTTTTTAGGTAGTAAAATGGTAAATCTTATATTTAATTTCATAAGAAGGGGGTTTACATTTTCCTGACCTTCTCCTTGAAGGCCAAAGCTGTTTGGCAAGAAGGGGTTGTAGGATGCAGTTTCTAAAGGAAGGCTGAGATCCTTTTCTCTTCTCTCCTGTAGACTACATTTGGTCAATTTTGTGGAACCTGTGGGCCTCAATTACTCCATGTTTATTCCTACCTTGCTGAATCAGGGCACCACTGCTCAGAAAGAGAAATGGCTGCTTTCATCCAAAGGACTCCAGATAATTGGCACCTACGCCCAGACGGAAATGGGCCACGGTTAGTCCACATTGAGGGTCTGTGGGTAACCCACCTCAGGACATCAGTTAACAGTGATTGCTGGCATTTGACTTTTTTCTGCTGCTACCTGTTTGGGATTCTATTTTTAAGTTGTTAAGTCAAAATTCAACTTCTTGTTTTCTCCTAGACATTTTCCCTGGAAACTGGTCCAGGGCTCTGGCCTATAAACGTCATTCACTGTTATTTCCTAAAGCCTTTTATTATTGAACAGCTTGAAAAGATGGGGTTTACAGTGCAGCGGGGAACCCCATTATGTTACTCTGGGTCTAATGAGTAAAGACTTTGTTGGAAATTCTTCAGAGGGTTAGTGCCTCAGCAATATCTGGAAAGCGCCTCTCTGCTCTAATGCAGTTAAAGCTGTGGATTTTAATGGGGGCAGCAGGCAGTGGCAGCTACCTGTCTCATCTCATTGCCCACTAGCAGGGTTATAAGGCAGTTTGGAAAAAAGTCCATGATTCTCTTCATCTGACTTCAGTCTTTTTAGACATTTTTTCCCCTACATGTCTGGGAACTCTTGTGTTGCCAGTAATTCTTTGTTAAATTGTTCCTAAATATCTGGCTTCCTTCAAAAAGTTTTGCTTTTGATCTTAATGTGAAATAGGTTTGTTTTCATAGACAAGGCCATTGGCAGGTTTGAGTGTTTGGAATTTGAACTGCCCAGCCTCATGTCTAATTATCAAAATGGCAGGAGTAAAGAAAGGGAAAGAAAAAGGGATGCAGATATCAGGGAAACATCATTTTGTGTTTGATTGCTGATTTCAGTGTGTGAATTGGTTTAAGGAAAATGTTATTTATTGTCATCTCCATGGGTACTGCAGCTTTCTGGTCATGGTTTGATGTTCCAGACACTTTACTAAACACTCAAGACTTCAACTTCAAGATGGTCAGTACTGAAATTATAAGCCTGAAAGAAAGGTTTGTAAAGGAAGATAAGATTCTTTTTTTTTTTTTTTTTTTTGAGACAGAGTTTTGCTTTTTTTGCCCAGGCTGGAGTGCAATGGCATGATCTCAGCTCACTGCAACCTCCGCCTCTGGGTTCAAGTGACTCTCCTGCCCGAGCCTCCCGAGTAGCTGGAATTACAGGTGCTCACCACCACGCCCGGCTGATTTTGTATTTTTAGTAGAGACGTGGTTTCTCCATGTTGGCCAGGCTGGTCTTTAACTCCTGACCTCAGGTGATCTGTCCACCTTGGCTTCCCAAAGTGCTGGGATTACAGGCTACAGGCGTGAGCCACCGCGCCTGGCTGACAGATCCTTCCTTTTTTTTTTTTTTTTTGGAGACAGAGTCTCACTCTGTCGCCCAGGCTGGAGTGCAGTTGTGCCATCTCGGCTCGGTGCAAGCTCCGCCTCCTGGGTTCACGCCATTCTCCTGCCTCAGCTCCTCAGTAGCTGGGACTACAGGTGCCCGCCACCACGCCCGGCTAATTTTTTGTATTTTAGTAGAGACGGGGTTTCACCGTGTAAGCCAGGATGGTCTTGATCTCCTGACCTCGTGATCTGCCCTCCCAAAGTCCTGGGATTACAAGGCATGAGCCACTGCACCCGGCCTGAGAGATAAGATTCTTTATGTAGTCCTCCTCGCTTGGAGTATCTGTGTGTTTGTGTACATGCATGCGTGGTGTGTGTGTGTGTTGTAATTTTGAAGTAGCTTTGTGGTACAGAACTCTGTTTCAGTATTCATCATTATAGAATTTATTCGACTTAACAGTCATGCTGTTCATAGGAGGCATAAGATGTGAAATAGTCTGAGGCTAATGGATTTGTTAAGTATACCTCTTACCTCTTGTTGGTCTAATGCTTCTGCCTCATTTATAAAGTAATATCACAAATATATATTTGCCCTAATTTTTTTTTTTTTTTTTGAGTCAGAGTCTCATCCTGTGCCCCAGGCTGAAGTGCAGTGGAGTGATCTCAGCTCACTGCAACCTCCACCTCCTGGGTTCAAGGGATTCTCCTGCCTCAGCCTCCTGAGTAGCTGGGATTACAGGCACCTGCCACCATGCCCGGCTAATTTTGTTATTTTTAGTAGAGATGGGGTTTGGCCATTTTGGCCAGGCTGGTCTCAAACTCCTTACCTCAGGTGATCCACCTGTCTCAGCCTCCCAAAGTGCTGGGATTACAGGTGTGAGTCACCACGCCCGGCCTGCCCTAATTTTTGAAAGGAGAGAGGAAGAAAGGAAGACTTGAACTATACTGGTTTGAGGCAAACAGAAGTTGGACAGAGATCCTATATGGCTGTGGGCAAGTTTGCATTTGTTAGAGTTTTCGTTCCCTTATTGCTTTTAGTTTTGGGTATTTTTTTTTTTTTTTTTGAGACAGAGTTTTGCTCTTGTTGCCCAGGCTGGAGTGCAATGGCGCGATCTCGGCTCCCCGCAACCTCCGCCTCCCAGGTTCAAGTGATTCTCCTGCCTCTCCCTCCCTAGTAGCTGGGATTAGAGGCGTGTGCCACCATGCCCGGCTAATTTTGTATTTTCAGTAGAGACGGGGTTTCTCCATGTTGGTCAGGCTGGTCTCGAACTCCCGACCTTAGGTGATCTGCCCGCCTCGGCCTCCCAAAGTGCTGGGATTATAGGCGTGAGCCATCATGCCCAGCTAGTTTTGGGTATTTTCTTGTATTTAAACCAACGTTGTCTTAATCTCTGTGGTTTAGAGAACAGTGTCCTAAGATTAGTCTTTTTTCTTGCTGGAATTTTGCTAATTCATATTGCTGTTCTTGGTTGATGACTGATCTTTTCCTTGGAAATAAGTCAGGTTGGTTAATTTGCATCACGTGACGGTTTTATCTTATATGGAATACACAAAAAGTCAACGTCCAGGAGATCGGCAATAGAGCAGCTTATATAGAATGAGATCTAACTATTTAAATTCTGAGACTTTGGAAAATGGATCAACAGTGAACAGTGATTATCTAACGCGGTCTCACAGAAGTAGCTGTAACTTTGGGTTTGGGATTCTTTCACTTCTGGGTAGCTGCTGAGAAGTGAAGGGGCTCAGAAGTATTCAGGTTCACTCCATGTTCCTTCCAAATCCTAAAATTCAGTCACCTACAGAAAGTCTCAGTCACCAGCATTATCCTTCTTTCTAGAGTGTGTCTTCTTTCCTCTAAGGACACGAAGAAACTCGGATATACACCTGCCCTGTGGGTCTGGGAGCCATAATCAAAGGCAGAGGCCTGAACCTGGGTGATAGGCTCACCTCCCTGGAGTTCTGGGATCAAAGGAACAGCCTGGGGAACTGGGTCCATGTTATCATCCTGACCATATGTTTCTTTAGGCCACAAAACAGGTCGTTTGTTTGCTCTTCACAGATATGTAATCATTTCAAGATGTGGCCATTTCTGGAGATTCTTCTTGCTTTGTTTTCCTTGTTTGCTTGCTTGCTCACTTCCTTCCTTCCTTCCTCTTTTTTTTTTTTTTTTTGAAGGAGTCTCATGTTGCCCAAGCTGGAGTGGTGCAATGGTACAATCTCGGCTCACTGCAACCTCCACCTCCCCCTGGTTGAAGTGATTCTCCTGCCTCAGCCTCCTGAGTAGCTGGGATCACAGGTGTGCACCACCATACCTGGCTAATATTTATATTTTTAGTAGAGACAGGGTTTCACCATGTTGGCCAGGCTGGTCTTGAACTCCTGACCTCAGGCGATCTGCCCACCTCGGCCTCCCAAAGTGCTGGGATTAGAAGTGTAAGCCACTGCACCCGGCCTCTTTCTCGCTCTCTTTCTGTCTTCTTCCCTTCCTCCATTCCTTTCGTTCCTTTCTTTCTTTATTCCTCACCCATGGACTGGGGTCACATTGCCTTGTTTCGTATTACCATCTATTTAGGAATATAGAGATTGTATGATACATAGTTATCCTTGAAGCTGATGCAGTATCCTGGCAAATTGCCATCATTAACACTTAAATATGAAATAATGCACCTTTCTTTGAAACTGGAAAGAGGTAGTAAACTTGATTTTTAAGTCATCAGTCTTTACCGCACTCCGTTGCCCTCTCTCCCTAGGCTTAACAGTCTCCTCTTCCCTCTGCCCAAGTGATTCTCTTCCCTGTTGGACTTCTCATGAGACTTGCTTCCCTGGGGATTTGGGCTAAATTTCACCAATATTAGTGATAATAATATAAACTTTATGAAAGCTGTGTTCTGGCCAGGCACGGTGGCTCACGCCTGTAATCCCAGCACTTTGGGAGGCCAGCGTGGGTGGATCACCTGAGGTCGGGAGTTCGAGACCAGCCTGACCAACATGGAGAAACCCCGTCCGTACTAAAAATACAAAATTACCTGGGTGTGATGGTGCGTGCCTGTAATCCCAGCTACTAGGGAGGCTGAGGCAGGAGAAGCTTTTGAACCTGGGAGGTGGAAGTTGTGGTGAGCTGAGATTGCGCCATTGCGCTCTAGCCTGGGTAACAACAGTGAGACTCCGTCTCAAAAAATAAATAAATAAATAAATAAATAAGACGCTGTATTCTTTGGGGTCATACTTCTGGAATACCTCTCAGAAATGAATTACTATATTGAGGGACATGAGCATTTTAGAGCTTTTGCTGCATAGTTTGAGGCTTTTCCTGAAACACAGAACCAGTTGACAATATATTGAGCAAGCTCTGTACCTGTATTTCCACAGCTCCATCAACGTGGTCACTTTAATTTATTTTGCTACTTTAACATATTTCTTTTTTTTTTTTTTTGAGACGGAGTTTTGCTCTTGTTGCTCAGGCTGGAGTGCAGTGGCGTGATCTCGGCTCACCGCAACTTCCGCCTCCCGCATTCAAGCGATTCTCCTCCCTCGGCCTCCTGAGTAGCTGGGATTACAGGCATGCGCCACCACGCCCGGCTACTTTTGTATTTTTAGTAGAGACGGGGTTTCTCCATGTTGGTCAGGCTGGTCTTGAACTCCTGACCTCAGGTGATCCGCCCGCTTCAGCCTCCCAAAGTGCTGGGATTACAGGCATGAGCCACTGCACATGGCCTACTTTAATATATTTCTTTTTTTTTTTTTTTTTTTCAGGCGGAGTCTCGCTTTGTCGCCCAGGCTGGAGTGCAGTGGCATGATCTCCGCTCGCTGCAAGCTCCGCCTCCTGGGTTCACGCTATTCTCCTGCCTCAGCCCCCTGAGTAGCTGGTACTACTGGCACCCTCCACCATGCCCGGCTAACTTTTTTTTTTTTTTTTTTTTGAGACGGAGTCTCGCTCTGTCGCCCAGGCTGGAGTGCAGTGGCGGGATCTCGGCTCACTGCAAGCTCCACCTCCCGGGTTCACGCCATTCTCCTGCCTCAGCCTCCCAAGTAGCTGGGACTACAGGCGCCCGCCACTACGCCCGGCTAATTTTTTGTATTTTTAGTAGAGACGGGGTTTCACCGTTTTAGCCAGGATGGTCTCGATCTCCTGACCTCGTGATCCGCCCGCCTCGGCCTCCCAAAGTGCTGGGATTACAGGCGTGAGCCACTGCACTTGGCCTACTTTAATATATTTCTAACACTTAATGTTTTAATTTCCCATTACTAGTAAGCCTGGATGTTATTACGTGTTTTGATTTACTGTTTGTGTTTTCTATGTATAAAATACGGTTTTTTGGCTGGGTGCAATGGCTCTCGCCTGTAATCCCAGCACTTTGGGAGGCCGAAGTGGGTGGATCACTTGAGATCAGGAGTTTGAGACCAGTCTGGCCAACATGGTGAAACCTGTCTGTACTAAAAATCTAAAAATTAGCTGGGAGTGGTGGCGGCACCTGTAATTCTAGCTACTCGGAAGGCTGAAGCAGGAGAATCGCTTGAACCTGGGAGGTGGAGGTTGCAGTGAGCCGAGATCGTGCCACTGCACTCCAGCCTGGGTGACAGAGTGACATGCTGTCTCAAAAAATATATATATATATACGTGTATATATATATATGTGTATATATATATGTATATATATGTATGTATATATATACGTATATATATGTATATATATGTATGTATATATATACGTATATATATGTATGTATATATATATGTATGTATATATATATATATTTCGATTTTTTAAATTATTTTCTGCTTTGCTAAACGTTTTTGCTTTATATATTTAACACATCCTTCTCTGCATAGGTATAAATTTTATCTTTTCCATAACTTGGATAGTTTTCTTCTGGGTTTTTTTTTTTGAGACATAGTCTTCCTCTGTCACCAGGCTGGAGTGCAGTGGCATCATCTTGGCTCACTGTAACCTCTGCCTCCTGGGTTCAAAGCCATTCTCCTGGCTCAGCCTCCCGAGTAGCTGGGATCACAGGTGCCCACCACCACACCCAGCTAATTTTTGTATTTTTAGTAGAGATGGGGTTTCACCATGTTGGTCAGGATGGTCTCGATCTCCTGACCTTGTGATCCACCCGCCTCGGTCTCCCAAAGTGCTAGGATTACAGGCGTGAGCCACCACGCCCGGCCTCTTCTGTTTTCTTCTAATATTTTTGTTTGGTTTCTGTTTAATGATTTGACTTGTATATGATACAGAGTGAGAATGAATCTCATGGTTTTCTAGATTTTTTTTTTTTGTACTTCTTTTTTCTTTTTTTTGAGAGACAAGAGTCTCACTCTGTCACCCAGGCTGGGGTGCAGTGGCGCAGCTTCCGAGATTTCTAATGTTCATTGTTAACTAGTGGCTTTTTCCCATTATTATCTTATTCCCATTATGTCCTTTCTGGTTTGTCTTAGAGTTTTATAATAGGTTAAATTTATTTCTGGAACCTTAAATATATTACATTGATAGGTTTATTTCTTTCTTTGTTTTTCTTCTAACATAAATTTTGACCACTGGTGCTTTATAAAATTTTTTTGAGACAGAATCTCGCACTGTCACCTGGGCTGGAGTGCAGTGGCGCAGTCATGGCTCACTGCAACCTCTGCCTCCTGGATTCAAGCGATTCTACCTCAGCCTCCCCAGTAGCTGGAATTACAGGTGCCTGCCACCACGCCCAGCTAATTTTTTGTATTTTTAGTAGAGACGAGGTTTCACCATGTTGGCCAGGCTGGTCTCAAACTCCTGACCTCGTGATTCACCCACCTCGGCCTCCCAGAATGCTGGGATTACAGGCGTGAGCCACCGTGCCCAGCCAAGACTTTTTACTCTATTTTTATTTTTATTTTTTATTTTTTTATTTTAATTTTTTATTTATTTTTAAGACGGAGTCTTGCTCTGTTGCCCAGGCTGGAGTGCAATGGTGTGATTTCAGCTGCCTGCAACCTCCGCCTCCCGGGTTCAAGCGATTCTCCTGCCTCAGCCCCCTGAGTAGCTGGGATTACAGGCGTGCACCACCATGCTCAGCTAATGTTTATATTTTTAGTAGAAACGGAGTTTCACCATGTTGGTCAGGCTGGTCTCAAACTCCTGACCCCGTGATCCACCCACCTCAGCCTCCCAAAGTGCTGGGATTACAGGCACGAGCCACCGCACCTGGCCTTTATTTTTTATTTTATTATTTTTATTTATTATTTTTTTTCTTTTTCGAGATGGAGTCTTGCTCTGTCACCCAGCCTGGAGTGCAGTGGCATGATCTCAGCTCCCTGCAACCTCTGCCTCCCAGGTTCAAGCAATTCTTCTGCCTTAGCCTCCCGAGTAGCTGGGATTACAGGCATGTGCTACCATGCCCATCTAATTTTTGTATTTTTAGTAGAGATGGGGTTTCACCATGTTGGCCAGGCTGGTCTCGAACTCTTGACCTCAGGTGATCTGCCTGCCTCAGCCTCCCGAAGTGCTGGGATTACAGGAGTGAGCCACTGGGCCTGGCATATTTTTATTTTTGAAAGACGGGTTCTTGCTCTGCTGCCCAGGCTGGAGTGCAGAGGTTTGATCATAGCTCACTGCAGCCTTGATCTCCTAGACTGAAGGGATCCTCCTGCCTCAGTCTCCCGAGTAGTTGAGAGTATGGGCTCGTGACACCGCGCCCAGTTGATTTTTTAAATTTTTAGTAGAGATAGGATCTTGCTGTGTTGCCCAGGCTTGTAAGGTATTTAAAAATCTGATAGGATAAGCCTACTGTTGTTACATTTCAAGATACGTGTATTTGGTATTTAAGCTTGCTTATTCTAGATGAATTCTGATCTGAATCTGTCAGGTTCTAAAAAAAAATTCTACAGGAATTAAATGTGTTTTTCTCCTTCTCTATCTGGAATTTTAAGTTAGTTTTATATTGAAGCCTTGTCTTTTCTTGGGAAGCTATTTCTTTCCTGTTATTTTTATCTTTTTTTCCCACCCTATTAGGTATTTATCTTTTTTCTGGGTTTTTTTTTTTTTTTTTTGAGACAGAGTCTCGCTCTGTCGCCCAGGCTGGAGTGCAGTGGGGCGATCTCGGCTCACTGCCAGCTCCGCCTCCTGGGTTCACGCCATTCTCCTGCCTCAGCCTCCCGAGTAGCTGGGACTACAGGCGCCCGCCACCACACCCGGCTAATTTTCTTGTATTTTTAGTAGAGATGGGGTTTCGCCGTGTTAGCCAGGATGGTCTCAATCTCCTGACCTCGTGATGCGCCCTCCTCGGCCTCTCAAAGTGCTGGTATTAACAGGTGTGAGCCACCACGCCTGAGTGCTGTTAATTTTTTTTCCCTTATAGCCTGCAGCTTTTCTCAATTCACTTATTGTGGTATTTTGTTGACATTATTGATTTCCTAGGATGATACTCATGCTTTCTACAGAGCTGCTTTTTATTTCTTCCTTTCTCATATATGATTAGTCTAATTGGTTTTTCCTCAGTATTGATTGTCAGCCTTTCCAGCCTTGTATCATGTGGAAAGAGAGGCTGGGGATGCCTTTTGATGTTTTGGTTTTAAAAGAGCTGACTCTAGCCCTTCACTAAGTATAATGTTGGTGCTTCGTAATTTTACGATAAATTATTTAAAAATAATATCTTTATCATGCATAAGCAGCTTTTAAAACAAATACTTGGCTTAAGTCAAAAAACTATGCAGTTCACTTTCTCCTTGTAACATTTCTAAATTTCATCCACATCTGAATAATCCTTGTCTTATTTGGAAGAAATATTTTTTTCCTGAAAACATTCTTTAGTGTCAGAACCATTTGTGATTATAGTGGTTTTACCCCTGCCCTACTGAGCGCATTTGTTGTAACCCTTAGCGTGCATCTTCACTCTGTGGTACACTCAGATGTAAATCTTCCAGAGGCTGATGGGTGCTTGATAGTGGCCTTTCCTTCACCAGGAATTGCTCTGATTTCTAGTGAAGTAAAATAACCTTCCATAAAAGCATGAAAAGTGTCTGGTCCCAGGTTTCAGTCCTAACTCAGTTTTCACCTTCCAGGTTCTAAGTGCACATTGAATTTTCTTCCTAGACAGTACTCAAAAGGCTGGGGACAGTTGACATTTCTGTTTGAGTGAAAGGCACTCTCATCCCATGAATGTGTTTTTCTTGGGATTTCCGCTATTAATTTTTTTTTTTTTTTTTTTTTGAGATGGAGTCTTGTCCCCCAGGCTAGAATGCAGTGGTGCGATCTTGGCTCACTGCAACCTCTGCCTCCCAGGTTCAAGCAATTCTCGTGCCTCACCCTCCTGAGTAGCTGGGATAACCAGCGCCTGCCACCATGCCCAGCTAATTTTTGTATTTTTAGTAGAGATGGGGTTTCACCATGTTGCCCAGGCTGGTCTCGAACTCCTGACCTCAAGTGATCCGCCCACCTTGGCCCCCCAAAGTACTGGGATTATAGGCATGAGCCACCGTGCCTGGCCTTTTTTTTTTTTTAATTTTGAAATGATTGTAGAGTCATAGGAAGTTACAAAAATAGTACCAGGAAACCCTGTGAACCCGTCACGGAGTCTCTACCAGTGGTGACACCTTGTGGGATTTCCATTTTTGAGGCTTCTAAGGACAGCCCTGGCTTTTTCAGCATGTCTTTTTAGCATCTTCATTACAGTCACAGTCTTTTTTTTTTTTTAGATAGAGTCTTGCTCTGTTGCCAGGCTGGAGTTCAGTGGCACGATCTCCGTTCACTGCAGCCTCCGCCTCCCGGGTTCAAGGATTCTTCTACCCCAGCCTCCCGAGTAGCTGGGATTAGAGGCTGGCGCTGCCACACCTGGCTAATTTTTGTATTTTTAGTAGAGAGGGGTTTCACCTTGTTGGCCAGGATGGTCTCGATCTCCTGATCTCATGATCCGCCCACCTTGGCCTCCCAAAGTGCTGGGATTACAGGTGTGAGCCACCGCGCCCGGCCTGCAGTCACAGTCTTTAGTCCATGCTATGCTTGTGCAGTAATTTCCCCAGCTAGGAGACAGGACGAGGTGACAAGGTGGTTCTTTTTTTAAAAAATAGGTTTAGGGGGTACAAGTGCCATTTCCTTACATGTATATATTATGTAATGGTGAAGTCTGGGATTTTGCAGTACCCATTGCCCAAATAGTGAACATAGTACCCAGTAGGTAACTTTTCAGGCCTCATACCCCTCCCATCCTTCCACATTCTGGAGCCTCCAGTGTCTGTTTTGTTCGTTGTTGTTTTTTGTTTTTCGAGACAGAGTCTCTGTCGCCCAGGCTGGAGTGCAGTGGTGCCATCGTGGCTCACTGCAACCTTTGCCTCCTGGGTTCAAGTGATTCTCCTGCCTCAGCCTCCCAAGTAGCTGGGATTACAGGTACCCACCACCACGCCCAGCTAGTTTTTGTATTTTTAGTAGAGATGGGGTTTCACCCTGTTGACCAGGCTGGTCTTGAACTCCAACCTCAGGTGATCCCCCTGCCTCGGCCTCCCAAAGTGCTGGGATTACAGGCGTGAGCCACCGCGCCTGGCCCCTGTGTCTGTTACTCCATTCTGCATGTCCATGTTTTACCCCTTGCTCAGCTCCCATGGTGACGAGATTCTTGTCCTTGTTTTGCCATTTTCTTTTTTCCCTGAGCAAGGCATTTAATTCATCTCAGCCTTAATTTCTCCTCTGTAAAATGAGGGATTCAGTCACACATACTTTGATTTTTCTTTTTCTAAAGTGTGATTGCTTAGCTGAAAGCCTAGCCACTAGATTGGAAGAAGTCATTGATTAGCACTTGTCTGAGCAGTGTGCCCTGGTTCTTTTCCTCCCTACCTTGCAAGGAACAAACAGCAATTTAAAAACTGAACTGTCATTTATGCTCATTTCAAAGACACATAGAATGATAAGAGCAATATGGAGTTGACGGATTTGGAGCTGGCAATTACACAGAATACCAGTAATGTGGAAAAATGCAAAGGCCTATAGAACGACTTCCTATCCCTAGCAAAAATTCACACAGAATCCTGTCCCCTGCACGTTTTAAGTGGAAAAGAATGACCCCAGAAAGTTGATTTAAAACTAATAAAGCTGTTTATTATCATTAATGATAATTTCTGTATAATTGTCACGGAGAGCTTATGCATGAATCTGTAACTTGTCGTTATTATGGTCTTCACTAGAAATTGCATGTCTTTTTTAATTTCTGAAATAAATTATTGGGATGAAGAGCACTGTCAGTTTTTGTATTAAAGTGTTTCAGTAGAGCGTGGCCGAATATTTGACATGATGAATCTGAATGAAATGATCAGAGCTATGTGAGGAATATGGTTCTACGCTGGATGTTTTGTGGACAAAACAGAAAAAAAATCCCAGCCTAGAAGCATTATTGAAATTGCATCGAGGAAAAACTATAATCTGGGGGTCATACTGTCACTCTGAGAGAACTACTATGTTCTGTCTCGCTTTCTCATCAGAGGAAATCCTTGTACCAGTACCACTCAAATTCTCTGTTCTCCGACTCCTGGCTTCAAGCGATTCTGCCTCAGCATCCCAAGTAGCTGGGATTACAGGCACATGCCACCACACCCAGCAAATTCTCCATTCTATACAACTTTTTTTTTTTTTTTTTTTTTTTGAGACAGAGTCTCGCTCTGTTGCCCAGGCTGGAGTGCAGTGGTGTGATCTCGGCTCACTGCAACCACCGCCTCCCAGGTTCTCCTGCCTCAGTCTCCCAAGTAGCTTGGATTACAGGCATGTGCCACCACACCTGGCTGATTTTGTATATTTAGTAGAGATGGGGTCTCACCATGTTGGTCAGGCTGGTCTTGAACTCCTGACCTCAGGTGATCCGCCCACCTTGGCCTCTCAAAGTGCTGGGATTACAGGCATGAGCCACGGTGCCCGGCCTTTTTTTTTTTTTTTTTTTTTTGTATTTTTAGTAGAAACGGGATTTCACTATGTTGGCCAGGCTGGTCTCAAACTCCTGACCTCAAGTGATCCGCCTGCGTCAGCCTCCCAAAGTGCTAGGATTACAGGCATGAGCCACCATGCCTGGCCCTATACAACTTTTCAAATTCTCTCTCTCTTTTTTTTTTTTTTTTTGAGATGGAGTCTCACTGTGTCGCCCAGGCTAGAATGCAGTGGTGTTATCTTAGCTCACTGCAACCTCTGCCTCCTGGGTTGGAGCAATTCTCCTGCCTCAGCCTCCTGAGTAGCTGGGATTACAGGTGTGCACCACCATGCCTGCTTAATTTTTGTATTTTTAGTAGAGACAGGGTTTCGCCATGTTGGCCAGGCTGGTCTTGAACTCCTGACCTCAGGTGATCCACCCACCTCGGCCTCTCAGAGTGCTGAGATTATAGGTGGGAGCCACTGCACCTGGCCAATTCTCTCTTATTTATTTATTTATTTTTTTTGAGACAGAGTCTCACTCTGTCACCCAGGCTGGAATGCAGTGGGCATGATCTCGGCTCACTGCAACCTCCGCCTCCTAGGTTCAAGCGATTTTCCTGCCTCAGGCTCCCAAATAGCTGGGACTACTGGCTGGCGCCACCACGTTCAGCTGATTTTTGTATTTTTAGTAGAGTCAGGGCTTTGCCATGTTGGCCAGGCTGGTCTCGAACTCCTGACTTAAGGTGATCTGACCGCCTTGGCCTCCCAAAGTGCTGAGATTGTAGGCATGATCCACTGCACTGGCCTCTCAAATTTTCTTTATTTCCTTTGATTTAATTCCTGGGCGAGGATCCTCTGCCTTGCACGTGTGGTTTTGTGCTGCATTGGCTTTGGAATCAGTAACCAATCCCTGTCCTCGTACTCCTTGCCGACTCAGGAAAAATGGAAATTAACAAGAGCTATAAAGTAATACAGAAAGGGACAGTGCTCCCATCTATGATTAAGTGCACGCAACTAATTCATACTTAAGGTTTTTTTGTCTCCTTCCCTTGCTCTATTTAAATTGCTGATTCTCTCACACCTGATGACTCTTCTCTCAAATGCCCATCCTTGATATTTCCTCGAAGTTTTGTGCACCGAGGGCGGCCTGAGCCTCTGGATCTTCACTTGGGCATGTTCCTGCCCACCTTGCTTCACCAGGCAACTGCGGAGCAGCAGGAGCGCTTCTTCATGCCCGCCTGGAACTTGGAGATCATTGGCACTTATGCCCAGACAGAGATGGGTCATGGTATGGAGTATTCAGTCTACCTTCTGGGTTGGGCGGGCCCCTGTGAGCTTACCATGTGTGGAGTGCCCACCATGTGCCATCGATGGTGTGTCGATGTTCTATGGTCTGTTTAAATGAGCTCTTTCTGCAGAGTCCAGGTTTTGGTATAAACACTGCTTTGGTGAGTGGGAATTAAAGACCATGATACTGATAAAATGATTGTCCTTTTTATACCATAGTTCCCCTTCAGAGGGTCAAGAATTGCAAATCAGGCCTTATTTACCAAGTGGTTTTTCAATGTTACTGAGGTTGTATAGAATCTGTGTGCATATACAACCCGAAGCTGTTTTTTTCTTCATTACTATCTGATTACCTTTACTACTGATACCTTAATGAGTACAAATTCCAGAAGAAATACAAATAATAGTTTGTGTACTCTTGGATTTGCTTGAGGGAAATGAGTAGCTTATAACTGACGTGTGTGACATTTTGGAGTTATTTGTACTTTGAGTCAATCAGTAGTTCTGCAAGTGACTTGGCTGGAGAGTGAAAAAACCAAGATAAGCCGAACTTGCAGGCATTTGGTTTCAGACTCTGTATCTCCACCTTTCATTGATCTTTCCACCCCCCACCTGCTTTCTTCATGCACCTGGGTGGGCTGGAGGTGGCCGCTGTTCCTCTTTGTATCTTCTCTGAATTGGGTCCGTGTTTGCCATTCATTTGCTTATGGCTTCTCTTTTTCTGCTCTGACGTTTCAGAAAAACTGGTCTAGTGTGTATTTGCCACTTGCTCCTTATTTCTATACAGCTGCTGCTTTTTATTTGGTGTTGAATAGTATTTTACAGGATTTTCATGAGACTCCAAGTGGAATACTATTTGTTTCAGTTGTGCTTTTGAAAACATTTTGTCCTTATCTGTTCTGTTTAATGTTATCTGCTTTTCTGTAAAAGCTGCTTCTTTGATGAAAGATGTCTGTGTCTGATTTGTTGACTCCCACTCGGGAAAGTTGTGGATTGCACATAAGTTGGTTATTCAACTTGGAAGCTTCTAAATGTTTCAAAGTGTGTTTAATGAGGTCTAAGCGTTATGAAAGCAGATTGGTAAAAGGTTCCCAACGTTTGCTTTAGTACAGTATTTTTGTAGAGACTGCCACCTAGAACATTTTTCTATGACTCTTTTCAAATAATTTTGATATATTTGTGTTAAGATTTAAAACATAAGATCCTGTCTATCCCAGTACACATAAGAAACTGGAAACTCTTCCTTGCCACATTAATGAACCAGCAGGACTAAGTTAGGCCTGCCATTGGAAATCTCTAGGGTCAACTGAGACCTTATTATTGGACCTTTAGGAATTTTTAAAAGTCACATTTCAGGTCATTTCCCCAATAACAGTTATACTTTTATACTTTTTTTTTTTTTTTTTTTGAGACGGAGTCGTGCTCTGTCGCCCAGGCTGGAGTGCAGTGGCGCGATCTCAGCTCACTGCAAGCTCCACCTTCCGGGTTCACGCCATTCTCCTGCCTCAGCCTCCCGAGTAGCTGGGACTACAGGCACCCACCACCATGCCCAGCTAATTTTTTGTATTTTTAGTAGAGACGGGGTTTCGCCGTGTTAACCAGGATGGTCTCGATCTCCTGACTTTGTGATCCGCCCGCCTTGGCCCCCCAAAGTGCTGGGATTACAGGCGTGAGCCACCGTGCCCAGCTTTAATTTTTTTGTTGTTTTTTTAGTAGAGACGGGGTTTCACCACTTTAGCCAGGATGGTCTCAATCTCCTGACCTCGTGATCCCCCCACCTCGGCCTCCCAAAGTGCTGGGATTACAGGCTTGAGCCACTGTGCCTGGCCTTTTTCTTTTTCTTTTTCTTTTTTTTTTTTTTTTGAGATGGAGTCTTGCTCTGCCACCCAGGCTGGAGTGCGGTGGCACAATCTTGGCTCACTGCAACCTCCACCTCCCGGGTTCAAGCAATTCTCCTGCCTCAGCCTCCTTAGTAGCTGGGACTACAGGCGCATGCCACAATGCCTGGCTAATTTTTTGTATTTTTAGTAGAGACGGGTTTCACCATGTTAGCCAGGATGGACTCGATCTCCTGACCTCGTGATCCACCCGCCTCGGCCTCCTAAAGTGCTGGGATTACAGGCATGAGCCACCACGCACAGCCATACATTTTTAATTTATACGAATTTTGGCTGAAATGTCTTCCTCTCACATGTTATCTCATTCTTCTCATTAGTACAGAATTCAAGAATGTTGAATTGGTGTGGTTAACACAATACATATGACTTGAAATTGGCATACTTGCAACTCAGAGATGGGTTTAAAAAGACAGTTAACATCCCTGTTAAATTCATATATTGTGATCTTAAAAATGTGATTCTAAGTTGCCTTTATATTTTCTTTCAGTTGCTGTAAATAAATGTAACAAATCAAATACAGAAATGGAACATGCATGACACTTAGATTTTCAACTTAATAGGAAACCATCAGATAGTGTGGGAAATTCAGTGTCTTGGTTATCAACCAGTTGTAGCTCATCTACAGGTGTTTTTTGTTAGATTTTGTTTTTCTCTGAGATATGAGAGTTTAAAGGACTGTGCAGGAAATTTTTCCTTGTGCCTATTTTTTTCCCCATCTCTTAACTGAAGTCAATGTAATTTATCTCCTTAGGAACTCACCTTCGAGGCTTGGAAACCACAGCCACGTATGACCCTGAAACCCAGGAGTTCATTCTCAACAGTCCTACTGTGACCTCCATTAAATGGTGGCCTGGTGGGCGTAAGTGAATTTTTCAGCATTTATTGGATGTTTTGAAGGTTTGTCATGAGATTTTGCTTAGAATGTAGAGCTTTTATGATAATGTCGGCCAGACTTGGTGGTGAAATCCTAACACTTTGGGAGGCTGAGGTGGGCAGATCACTTGAGGTCAGGAATTCAAGACCAGCCTGGTTAATATGCTGAAACCCCATCTCTACTAAAAATACAAAAATTAGCCGGGTGTGGTGGCGCACACCTGTAGTCCCAGCTACTTGGGAGGCTGAGGCAGGAGAATCACTTGAACCCGGGAAGGTTGCAATGAGCCAAGATTGCACCATTGCACTCCAGCCTGGGCATCACAGCAAGACTTTGTCTCAAAAACAACCCAACAAACAAATATATGTGTGTGTGGTGTGTGTACATAGAGGGGTGTGTGTGTGTGTATATAGACAGAGAGAGGTGTGTGTGTGTATATATATATATATATATATATATATATATATATATAGAGAGAGAGAGAGAGAGAGAGAGAGAGAGAGAGAGAGAGAGAGAGAGAGAGAGAGAGAGAGGAAAGCCAGGCATAGCGGCACATACCTATAGACCTATAGTCCTGGCTACTCAGGAGGCTGAGGTGGGAGGACCACTTGAGCCCAAGAGTTCAAGCCTGCAGTGAGCTACTATCTGTGATCATGCCACTGCACTCCAGCCTGGGTGACAGAGTGAAACCCTGTCTCTTAAAAAAAAAAAAGAAAAAAATTTAAATAGTTTTAACACAAACTTTTTTTTTTTTTTGAGATGGAGTCTCACTGTGTCACCCAGGTTGGAGTACAGTGGTGTGATCTCCGCTCACTGCAACCTCCACCTTCTGGGTTCAAGCGATTCTCCTGCCTCAGCCTCCTGAGTAGCTGGGACTACAGGAGCGTGCCACCACACCCAACTAATTTTTGTATTTTTAGTAGAGATGGGATTTCATCATGTTGGCCAGGCTGGTCTCAAACTCCTGACCTCTGGTCTGCCCGCCTCGGCCTCCCAAAGTGCTGGAATTACAGGCGCGAGCCACCGTGCCCGGCTGACCCGAAACTTTTATATCTTCTTATTCCATTCTGAGTTATTATCTTGGAATATATATTTCCAATACAGTTAGTGGTTGAAGGATTTTGTTATTCACATTATATATTTTATTTATTTATAATTTATATGTAAGAAGCCACATGTAGCTAGTGATTACTGTTTTGGACAGCACTGCCTTAAGGGATAACAAGGAAGTAGTTTAAATTAATATTCTTATTTTTATCCTAAAATTTTCTCTACGTAAATGTATGAGAAATAAGTAGAAAAGAAAGTAATAACTATTAGCTTAAGGGAATTTCTTTCTGAAAGCTAGGTGTGATGCTGTCAGCAGAAAGGCTTTCTGGACACATACTATTGGTTTAGTCTAGTGTTAGATTTAACATATTCTTTCTTCTTTTTTCTACCCTTTAAAAATGTATGAACGTTTGCCCACCCCTCCCTTGTTCTCTTTGATATTACAGTTGGAAAGACTTCAAATCATGCAATAGTTCTTGCCCAGCTCATCACTAAGGGGAAATGCTATGGATTACATGCCTTTATCGTACCTATTCGTGAAATCGGGACCCATAAGCCTTTGCCAGGTAAGAACTGTTCATCTGATGTTGAGATGAAAATGAAACTGAGCACTTTCTTCTGCAAAAGGTAGAATGCCCAACTGAAGAGGCGGAGCAAAAGCCAGAAATTCCAGAGCATAAACATCTCGTGACTGTCCTTTCATCTGTGGTAGGAATTACCGTTGGTGACATCGGCCCCAAATTTGGTTATGATGAGATAGACAATGGCTACCTCAAAATGGACAACCATCGTATTCCCAGAGAAAACATGCTGATGAAGTATGCCCAGGTATGTTTTGATAGAAAATAAAGCAGAGGCATCAAACAGTGGAGTTGAGTGGCTGTTACTCACAATAGGGTTAGAATGGTCTGTTCTTTTAGAAGGTAATAACAGCAGGGCACACTGGCATATTCCTGTTATCCCAGCACTTTGGGAGGCTGAGTGCGTGGATGACTTGAGCCCAGGAGCTCAAGATCAGTCTGGGCAACATAGTGAGAACCCATCTCTACAAAAAGTAAAAAAATCTAGCTGGGTATGGTGGCACACGTGTGTAGTCCCAGCTACTTGGGAGACTGGGGTGGGAGGATCACTTGAGCCTGGGAGGCCGAGGCTACAGTGAGCTGTGATTATGCCACCGTACTCCAGCCTAGATGACAGTGAGACCTTGTCTCAAAAAAAAAAAGGAGGCTGGGCGCAGTGGCTCACACCTGTAATTCCAGCACTTTTGGGAGGCTGAGGCGGGAAGATCATGAGGTCAAGAGATGGAGACCATCCTGGCCAACATGGTGAAACCCCATCTCTACTAAAAATACCAAAAAATTAGCTGGGCGTGGTGGTGCGCACCTGTAGTCCCAGCTACTCAGGAGGCTGAGGCAGGAGAATAGCTTGAACCCGGGAGGCGGAGGTTGCAGTGAGCAGAGATCATGACACTGCACTCCAGCTTGGCAACAGAGTGAGACTCCGTCTCATAAAAGGAGGGAATAAGGCTGGGCGCGGTGGCTCATGCCTGTAGTCCCAGCACTTTGGGAGGCCAAGGAGGATGGATCATAAGGTCAGGAATTCAAGACCAGCCTGACCAATATGGTGAAAACCTGTCTCTACTAAAAATACAAAGATTAGCCGGGTGTGATGGCACACGCCTGTAATCTCAGCTACTCAGGAGGCTGAGGCAGGAGAATCGCTTGAACCCAGGAGGCAGAGGTTGCAGTAAGTCGAGATCACACCACTGCACTCCAGCCTAGGCAATACAGCGAGACTCTGTCTCAAAAAAAAAAAAAAAAAAAAAGGAGCTAATAATGCATTTTTCCTTCTGATGCCCCTTTTTTTTTTTTTTGAGAGAGAGAGTCTCTGTCACCCATGCTGGAGTGCAGTGGCGTGATCTTGGCTCACTGCAACCTCCGCCTCCTGGGTTCAAGCGATTCTCCTGCCTCAGCCTCCCAAGTAGCTGGGATTACAGGCATGCGCCACCACACCCAGCTAATTGTTTTGTATTTTTAGTAGAGGTGGGGTTTCACCCTGTTGGCCAGGCTGGTCTCAAACTCCTGACCTCAGGGGACCCTCTTGCCTCGGCCTCCCAAAGTGCTAGGATTACAGGCATGAGCCACCGCACCCAGCATTTTTTGGTTTTTTTTTTTTTTTGAGACAGAGTCTTGCTCTGTCACCCAGGCTGGAGTGCAGTGGCGCAATCTCAGCTCACTGAAACCTCCGCCTCCCAGGTTCAAGCGATTCTCCTGTCTCAGCTCCTGAGTAGCTGGGATTACAGGCACGTGCCACCACACGCAGCTAATTTTTGTATTTTTAGTAGAGATGGGGTTTCACCATGTTGGTCAGGCTGGTCTCGAATTCCTGACCTCTTGATCTGTCTGCCTTGGCCTCCCAAAGTGCTGGGATTACAGGCGTGAGCCATCACGCCCACTCTGATGCTTCTTTTACTGCGACAGTGAAATCAGAAACAGTTGTCAGGGTTGAAGGACATATTTTGATTTGCTAAACCAATGATTCTCAAACTTTTGCATGCGTTAGAATCACCTGGAAGGCCAGTTAAAGCCCAGGTTGCTAGGCCCTACCCTGGAGTTTCTGATTCAGTTGGTCAGGGTGGGGACTAAGATGTAGTATTTCATGCAAGTTGCCAGGTGATGCTGATGCTGCTATTCCAGGGACCACACTTTGAGAACCACTGAACTGCCTCTTGGGCTTAAAAGAAGGAAGTATCAGTTCCACGTTCTTCTTCCAGGTGAAGCCTGATGGCACATACGTGAAACCGCTGAGTAACAAGCTGACTTACGGGACCATGGTGTTTGTCAGGTCCTTCCTTGTGGGAGAAGCTGCTCGGGCTCTGTCTAAGGCGTGCACCATTGCCATCCGATACAGCGCTGTGAGGCACCAGTCTGAAATCAAGCCAGGGTAAGGATAGGGTCCTAGATGGGCTCAGTACCAAAGGCCTAGTTTTTACCCCATTCAGATCCCAGAATTCCCAAATGTCAATACAGAAGATGCATTAGCACTGCAAAATTGGCTAGGGTGATAACTGGGCCTGTAATTTCATATCTAGGCTTCCTTTTCTTAAGAGGAAAGACAGAAATAACCACCCTTGCTATAATCAGTGACTGCCAAAAAAGAAAAAAAGAGAATACCCACCTTATTATTTTTAACTTTTTAAGAAAAATAGTAATAATATTACTTGAACTTTATAAGTGAAATGTTCAACACACTAAAGGCAGTTTGAAAGTTCTGATTACTACTAGCAACTGTAAATTGTGCATGGTGAAAGTGACATTAAATTTGTTTCCCTTTTGCATTCATAGCCACAGTTTATTCCTACAACTGCCTTTCACTGATACTCCCTGATACTCTTTTTACTCCTAAGGAATAAAGAAACTGGCCAGGTGTGGTAGCTGACACCTGTAATCCCAGCACTTTGGGAGGCTAAGGCAAGAAGATTACTTGAGCCTAGGAGTTTGAGGCCAACTTGAGCAACATAGTGAGACCCTGTCTCTATTTTCTTTTCTTTTTTTTTTTTTTTTGAGATGGATTCTCACTCTGTTGCCCAGACTGGAGTGCAGTGGCGCGATCTCAGCTTGCTGCAGTCTCTGCCACCCTGGGTTCAAGTGATTCTCCTGTCTCAGCCTCCTGAGTAGCTGGGATTACAGGTGCACGCCACCATGCCCAGCTAATTTTTGTATTTTTAGTAGAGACGGAATTTCGCCATGTTGGCCAGGCTGGTCTATTTTCAAAAAAATTAAAAGTTAATTAAATTTTAAGGCCAGGCGCAGTGGCTCACGCCTGTAATCTCAGCACTTTGGGAGGCCAAAGCGGGTGGATCACTTGAAGTCAGGAGTTCAAGACCAGCCTGGCCAACATGGAGAAACCCCACGTCTACTAAAATACAAAAATTAGCTGGGTGTGGTGGCGGGTGCCTGTAATTCCAGCTACTCGGGAGACTGAGGCAGGAGAATCACTTGAACCCAGGAAGTGGAGGTTGTAGTGAGCCGAAATCACAACACTGCACTCCATCCTGGGTGTTAGAGACTTCATCTCAAAAAATAATAATAATAATTACATTTTTAAAAAGGAATAAAGGAATTGATACAATGAGACCCTTGCTAATTCTTACACTTCAAAATATTTAACACCATCCATTGGGTCTTCTCCAAGATTGTGGTCAAAATACAATGTATTCAGCCATCTGGTGAGTAGAGCTTTTTGGCATTGCCTTCTTATTAGGTTGACTAGCGTTGGTTTTGTATGTTGCTATGAGCTACGGTTTTCTTAGTCATACTGGAAAGACTAGGACAGATATGGACTTTGCAGCCAGAAAATTCTGTCAGCCTACGCAGTACAAGGTAATTACAGCATGGTCTTAGGGAGCCAAATAGCCTAGGCACCGTGGCTCATGCCTGTAATCCCACCACTGTGGGAGGCTGAGGCAAGAGAATCGCTTGAACTTGGGAGGCGGAGCTTGCAGTGAGCCAAGATCGCACCACTGCACTAAAGCCTGGGTGACAGAGGGAGACTCCATCACAAAAAAAAAAAAAAAAAAAAAAAAGCCTCAATTTAAATCTAAGACCTGCCACATACGAGCTGTGTGACCTCAGGCAGATTCTTAACCTCTCAGTTTCCCATTTGTAAAATGGAGATAGTAATAGTAACTACCTCACAGTGCCCTTAAGAGGACTAAATAAGTTAAAATACCAAGTGCTTAGATTAGAACCTGGCATATAGAAAGTTCTGTATAAACATTTACTTACTACTTTTTTTCTTTTTCTATGTCACGTAGTGAACCAGAACCACAGATTTTGGATTTTCAAACCCAGCAGTATAAACTCTTTCCACTCCTGGCCACTGCCTATGCCTTCCAGTTTGTGGGCGCATACATGAAGGAGACCTATCACCGGATTAACGAAGGCATTGGTCAAGGGGACCTGAGTGAACTGCCTGAGGTATGAGTTTGGTCTCATTCACTCATGGGCACCCTTCTGTTTCGTGGTTGCCTGTTGGATGAGGTCCAGAGATAACTAAATGTTGGTATTTCCTGAAAAGAAGTATGTATTCTGAGAACTTCTTCTGGTTGAAAGTAGATCAGATATGAAGATCTGTGGGGTTTGTTGTTCAGTATTTTTAGTGTTATCAGAAATACTGTACCATGTTGATTATTTGTCAATCAAGGAAATGTAAGTGGTGAATGTTTAGCCAAGTAGAACAGCTTAGATGGGCATGGGTAGTGTTCTGTATTCTTCTGGCCAGTCGGACAGCTGTGCTTCTTCAGTTTGCATGTGTGGCAGCTGTGTTTTGACAGTGGCCAAGATGTTAGAGGAGGGGTGTGTTTTCTCATTGGTTCTCGGGCTCTCAGCACCACAGATGTCCTGACAGATCTGTGCTTGTCCTCTCAGCTTCATGCCCTCACCGCTGGACTGAAGGCTTTCACCTCCTGGACTGCAAACACTGGCATTGAAGCATGTCGGATGGCTTGTGGTGGGCATGGCTATTCTCATTGCAGTGGTCTTCCAAATATTTATGTCAATTTCACCCCAAGCTGTACCTTTGAGGGAGAAAACACTGTCATGATGCTCCAGACGGCTAGGTGAGAGTCAAATCCTCGATTCCTCCCATCTGTTCATAAGAATGTTCTAGTCCTTTTCCTAGGTTCTTGTTCCCATGGTTTTTCTTCACCGTATATATATATTTGTTCCTGAAAGGTATACTTTTGCCTTCCATCCTGACTCACGGTTTTTATTTCGTGGTGAGGCTAGAGAGTATGAAGCACCTGTTACATAGCTTGCAGTTGTATCAAGGATAGAGTTACTGGGCTGGGCACAGTGGCTCATGACTGTAATCCCAGCACTTTGGGAAGCTGAGGTGGGCAGATCATGAGGTAAGGAGTTCAAGACCAGCTTGATCAACATGGTGAAACCGTGTCTCTACTAAAAAAATACAAAAAAATTAGCCGGGCATGATGGCACATTGCCTGTAATCCCGGCCTACTTGGGAGGCTGAGGCAGAAGAATCGCTTGAACCTGGGAAGCGGAGGTTGCAGTGAGCCAAGATTGCGCTATTGCACTCCATCCTGGGCAACAAGAGCGAAAACTCCATCAAAAAAAAAAAGGCCAGGTGTGGTGGCTTACTCCTGTAATCCCAGCACTTTGGGACGCCAAGCCGGGTAGATCACTTGAGGTCAGGAGTTAAGAGACCAGCCTGGCCAACATGGTAAAACCCTGTCTCTACTAAAAAAACAAAATATTAAAAATTAGCCAGGAATGGTGGCAGGTGCCTGTAGTCCCAGCTACTTGGGAGGCTGAGGCAGGAGAATCATTCATTTGAACCCAAGAGGAGGAGGTTGCAGTGAGCTGAGATCTGGCCATTGCACTCCATCCAGCCTAGGCAACAAGAATGAAACTCCATCTCAAAAGAAACAAAAGAAAGTAGAGTTACTAAAAGCATGTTTACTGGTGACTTTTAGGTTCCTGATGAAAAGTTATGATCAGGTGCACTCAGGAAAGTTGGTGTGTGGCATGGTGTCCTATTTGAACGACCTGCCCAGTCAGCGCATCCAGCCACAGCAGGTAGCAGTCTGGCCAACCATGGTGGATATCAACAGCCCCGAAAGCCTAACCGAAGCATATAAACTCCGTGCAGCCAGGTGAGCTCTCCCTCAAGAGCTAGAATACGCAGCAGTGGGGCTGGGGCCCTGACAGATGGCAAGAAGGCATGAGTACTGTTGATCATTTCCTCAGACCTCCAATCTATGTCTTAACAGATTAGTAGAAATTGCTGCAAAAAACCTTCAAAAAGAAGTGATTCACAGAAAAAGCAAGGAGGTAGCTTGGAACCTAACTTCTGTTGACCTTGTTCGAGCAAGTGAGGTCAGTGGTAGTTCTCTCTTTTTCCCCTTCCCTGCCCTCAGCATCCCGCATTTTCTGGTACAGAAACCCTAGTCACTGTATATTGAATCTTTTTCCAAGGTTCTCAAACTCTGGTGTTTTCTTTTTAATCTTAGGCACATTGCCACTATGTGGTAGTTAAGCTCTTTTCAGAAAAACTCCTCAAAATTCAAGATAAAGCCATTCAAGCTGTCTTAAGGAGTTTATGTCTGCTGTATTCTCTGTATGGAATCAGTCAGAACGCGGGGGATTTCCTTCAGGTCAGTATTTTCTAAGTATAAGTCTTTTTTGTTGTTGTTTTAAGAAAAATAATTGTTGGCTGGGCACGGTGGCTCATGCCTGTAATCCCAGCACTTTGGGAGCCCAAGGCGGGTACGGTGATCACTTGAGGTCAGGAGTTCAAGACCAGCCTGGCCTGGTGAAACCCTGTCTCTACTAAAAATACAAAAATTAGCCAGGTGCAGTGGCACATGCCTGTAATCCCAGCTACTAGGGAGGCTGAGGCACGAGAATCATTTGAACCCTGGAGGCAGAGGTTGCAGTGAGCCAAGATGAAACCACTGCATTCCAGCCTGGGTGACAGAGCAATACTCTGTCTCAAAAAAAAAAAAAAAGAAAAAGAAAAATAGCCAGGCACAGTGGCTCATGCCTGTAATCCCAACACTTTGGCCAAGGCGGGCAGATCACCTGAGGTCGGGAGTTCGAGACCAGCCTGACCAACATGGAGAAACCCCATCTCTACTAAAAATACAAAATTAGCCAGGTGTGCTGGCGCATGCCTGTAATTCCAGCTATTTGGGAGGCCAAGGGAGGAGAATTGCTTGAACCTGGGAGGCGGAGATTGCGGTGAGCCAAGATCACACCATTGTACTCCAGCCTGGGCAACAAGAGTGAAACTCAGTCTCAAAAAAAAAAAAAGAAAAAAATAATTGTCATCCGCTTTATAGCTGTATATGCATATAATTATGTCTATCTATATACATATATATGTTTTATTTACTTATTTTGGTCTCTTTTAGGGGAGCATCATGACAGAGCCTCAGATTACACAAGTAAACCAGCGTGTAAAGGAGTTACTCACTCTGATTCGCTCAGATGCTGTTGCTTTGGTTGATGCATTTGATTTTCAGGATGTGACACTTGGCTCTGTGCTTGGCCGCTATGATGGGAATGTGTATGAAAACTTGTTTGAGTGGGCTAAGAACTCCCCACTGAACAAAGCAGAGGTAAAAATCCAGTGTCTCTGCACCTTTTTAAAAGTCTTCACTTAAATATTGAAGCAGGAAAGGCCTCTCGAAGGGGATTTATCTGTGAAAGCTCTGAAAGTACCATGGCCACTTCTGACAGTCACTTTATTTGAGCAACAGGTTCAGAAGGGAACTGGGTTGTTCCCACAGTAACCAGGGTCTTAATCAATTTCAATTTTTGATAACGAATTGAACATTTAAAAATATATACAGGCCGGGTGCGTTGGCTCACACCTGTAATCCCAGCACTGTGGGAGGCCGAGTGGGCAGATCACCTGAGGTCAGGAGTTCGAGACTAGCCTGGCTAAAATGGCGAAACCCAATCTCTACTAAAAATACAAAAAAAGCAGCCAGGCAGTAATGGTGCACGGCTGTAGTCCCAGCTACTCGGGAATTCTCCTGCCTCAGCTTGAACCCAGGAGAACCCAGGAGGCGGAGGTTGCAGTGAGCCACGTTCGTGCCATTGCACTCCAGCCTGGGTGACAAGAGCAAAACTCTGTCTCAAAAAAAAAAAAAAAGTATACACACACACACACACACACAAATAGAATAAAATATACAAAAAGAGAATTCCGTAGTGCTCTTTGGTACACCCTTTGTCTAGCAGCAATGACTATCAACTCGTGGCTAGTTGTGTTTCATCTGAACCTTCATCCCCCTCCTCCTGGGGACTATTTTGAAATAAATCTAAGACATCAGGGCCAGGCTCAGTGATGCACACCTGGGAGGCCGAGGCAGGTGGATCACCTGAGGTCGGGAGTTTGAGACCAGCCTGACCAACATGGAGAAACCTTGTTTCTACTAAAAATACAAAATTAGCCAGGCGTGGTGGCGCATGCCTGTAATCCCAGCTACTTGGGAGGCTGAGACAGGAGAATTGCTTGAGCCTGGGAGGCGGAGGTTGCGGTGAGCCGAGACCATGCCATTGCACTCCAGCCTGGGCAACAAGAGCGAGGCTCCGTTTCAAAAAAAAAAAAAAAACTAAGACATCAGATAATTTTATCCATAAATAATTCAATGCATAGCTCTAAAAGATAAGGACTCTTCAGAAACAACCACAGGCTGGGCACAGTGGCTCACGCCTGTAATCCTAGCACTTTGGGAGGCTGAGGTGGGTGGATCACTTGAATTGAGGAGTTCTAGACCAGCCTGGCCAACATGGTAAACCCCCATCTCTACAAAAAAATACAAATAGCAGCCAGGTGTCATGGCACACACCTGTAGTTCTAGCAACTCGGGAGGCTAAGGTGGGAAGATCGCTGGAGTCTGGGAGGCAGAGGCTGTAGTGAGCCAAGATTGTGCCACTGCACTCCAGCCTGAGCAACAGAGCAGGACTCAGTCTCAAAAAAAAAACAAAAACAAAAACAAAAAACAGTATACTATTTAACATGGCAAACTCTTTATTAGTAGTTCTTCTCTCTCCTTTCCCCACAGGTCCACGAATCTTACAAGCACCTGAAGTCACTGCAGTCCAAGCTCTGAAGTGTCACAAGGACAAGTTTAATCTGCTTCAGAAAGCGCCTGTGTGCAACTCAAATTTTGTGGAATCTTTTTCGAATTCAAATAGCTATAGAGCAAATGATAAATTGACCCCTTTTTATAAATGGAGGGAAAAAATGAACAGATTTCAGAGATTAAATGAAAAAAAGCAGATGTTTTAAGTGCAATTAACACTGAAAGAGACCTGTTAAACCATTCAGAAAAAGCTTAAGAAATGCGATATGACTTCCTTTTGTAATGCTGCTGATCCCAGTAGACTATGACTTTTGATAATTAGCAGAATTTAACTACTGAGTAGTTGATTATTTTCACATTTTAATTGCTAATCACTGGCTATATAAGTGTTTTTAAGCAAAGGTATTTTTGAAGTGGTGTAGAACCCTTCCAAGCTTTCCTGCTCAGTGTTCTACCAGACTTACCCTGGGGCCTGGCTTAAAAGCAGGATTGAAGAAAAGGGACTGGGGGAAGGAAACTTATTGGAAAACTTGATGCGAATGAGTTTCTGCTTGGCACAGTCTCTGCCTGCTTGCTCTCCTTTGCTGATGGATTGCATTTATCAAACTATTCATGCTAGCATTTTTCCAACGAGGGAACTTATTCCGCACGGGCCTACTGTAGGACCATTGTCTCGTGTAATTAGGAATTTTCCATTTGAAGGATTGCTAAATTGTCACAGTAGTAGGAAGTATAGGGAAACCTCTCAGCTGTGGCACTGTTGTAGCTTTGGAGTGCAGAGTGTAACTCTGGGACAATCAGATTTCACATATTCTGTCATCTTGGCATAAGCCATTAAAAGCTTGGAGATTACTGTATTTGGCATTAAAAAAAAATGTCACTTAGGTCAGCACTCCCAGACGTAGCACAGAAAAACCCTTTGACACAAACCATGTGTTCTGATTTTTGGTTCAGAAAATATTGAAACTGTGAGTTGTTTTTTTTTTAACAACTGGGAAAAAACAAAAACAAAAAACTATAGTTAGAAAAATGGAAGTTCCATAGGTTCTATTTCTTACTCTATGTATGGCTTTGTTTTCAGTCTATTTCTAGGAGCTTTCTCTGAATCGCTAATTGTCCTTTCAGTTGAAATCTAATTTATACAATCATTCTATACTTAAAGGTTAAATACATCTTAATTAATTTTTTCTTAAAGTCAATGTAAGTCACTTTGTTTTGTTTTTTTTTAATCTACGCCATATGCCTCATGAAACCAGCTGTTCTAGAATCAGTCCTGAGAATATGGCTTAATTCCATGGAAACATAACTCCTATCTTGGGACCTGACATAATATCTATCTATCCTGGGGAACTGGTAATATGAGACTTATAGGTTACAGCAGAAATGCTACATGTTGACAAAAGCCTTAATCGTTCCACTGGGAGAACTAATTGATAATTGTGTTAAGATTGAAGATTAACCCTGTGTTAATCTCACTTGAGTCTATCCTGACAGTAGTTCAGATTCTGGAAAATGATAAACTGACCTGCTAGATGTAGAATTGTTTCAAAATTAGTGTTGAAATACCTTGTTCACAGATGAATATCTGGGCAGGATCTGAGGGTGTTTGGAATGACACCCCCCAATCCAGTTGCATAGATGGGATGTCTTTGCAGGTTTGAGGAGATCATCGACCTGCAGAGCCCCCTTTGACCCAGTACCTCACGTTTTATTTAAAATCTAAATCTGGGGCCAGGCGTGGTGGCTCACGCCTGTAATCCAAGCACTTTGGGAGGCCGAAGCGGGTGGATCACCTGAGGTCAGGAGTTTGAGACCATCCTGGCCAACATGGTGAAACCCCGTCTCTACTGAAAAAAATACAAAAATTAGCTGGGCATGGTGGTAGCACGCGCCTGTAGTCCCAGCTACTCGGGAGGCTGAGGCAGGATAATCGCTTGAACTTGGCGGGTAGAGGTTGCAGTGAGCCAAGATGGTGCCACTACACTGCAGCCTGGGTGGCTGAGCGAGACTCCGTCTCAAAAAAAAAATCTAAATCTGACATTTGATGCTATTTTTATTAATATTGGAATGTTCTGTCTTGAACTTTATTCAATATAATCAAGAATAAAGATAGAGTAAACGTCACTGATTTGTACTATTAAGAGAGAAAAAATATGCCACACAACTAAACATAGGTTTAAATTATGAAGAAATTTAGAATAGAGGTTTATTAGATTTAGGGAACACTAAGAACAAAAAAGGAAGGAGTGATACCTGCCTGAGTGGACAGCTGTAAATCAGCTGTAATTACTGCAGTTGTACCAATAGTTGTGAGTGGCTCCAGTCACTTTAGGAGTCCTTGGAAGTACTTGGTACACATTTGTTGGCTGTACCTTAAAGGAAGTGGCAAGTCCAGTTTGTTCTCTCTACCACACTAGACTGCCACTGACAAGTTTGGGTCTGTTGGATTCAAAATTTTGTAAGCCATTTTCACAAGTACAAAGATACATTTTAACCTTGTCTTCTCCAAAATTACTGAGTAGGAATTTTATTTTTATCTTTTTGAGACAGGGTATCACTGTCACCCAGACTGGAGTGCAGTGGTGGGATCTTGGCTTACTGTGACCTCTGCCTCCCGGGTTCAAATGGTCCTCCCTCCTCAGTCTCCTGAGTAGCTGGGACGACAGGCACGTGCCACCATGCCCAGCTAATTTGTTCTATTTTTTCTGTAGAGACGGGGTTTTGCCATGTTGCCCAGGCTGGTCTCAGACTCCTGGGCTCAAGCGATCATTTCGCCTCAGCCTCCCAAAGTGCTGAGATTATAGGTGTGAGCCACAGCATCTGGCCCAGAGTGAGGAGAATTAATGAGATTTTTTGTGTGTGTTAGATAATATTGATTTAAGCCTTTTTTTAAAAAGTACTCTCAACCAAATACAAAATTGAAAATGTGAGGTTTAATAGAAATGTGTTGGCTATTTGCAATGGATTTTCTTCTTGCCCAAGTGTTTGGAGTTCTACTTTATGCTCTGTATTTAAAAATTAGTGACCTCAAAGCAGAGTTGATGACACAGGCTTTGGGGCCCTCATGTTCTTGTCTTTAGAACATATCACTACTAAGTATCAGCTTATCTTCAGAACATTACAACATTCACCGTGTTCATATGCTTTCTGAGAAGTCACCACTTGTAATTTCAGATCACATACACCTGAAGGCATTTTATAGTTCCTAAAGTTAACATGTTAGATCTTTTTTTTCCACCCCATGAGGGTCTCACTCTCACCCAGGCTGGAATGCAGTGGTGTGATTGTAGCACACTTTGGCCACCAACTCCTGGGCTCAAGTGATCCTCCTGCTTTGGCCTCCTCTGAGAAGCTGGGATTACTGGTGCACACCACCACACCTGGCTAATTTTTTATTTTTTTTTATTTTTGGAAATAGGGTATGGCTATGTTGCCTTGGGCCCGTCATGAACTCCTAGCCTCAGGTGACCCTCCCACCTCAGGCCTCCCAAAGGGTTGGGATTACAGGAGTGAGCTACTGCACTGGGCCAACATGTTAATTTTTTTTTTTTTTTTTTTGAGATGGAGTCTCCCAGGCGGGAATGCAATGGTGCGATCTCGACTTCACTGCAATCTTCACCTCCCGGGTTCGAGCGATTCTCCCACCTCAGCCTCCTGAGTAGCTGGGATTACAGGCACCTGCCATCACGCTCGGCTAATTTTTGTATTTTGAGCAGAGATGGAGTTTCACCATGTTGGCCAGGTGATCTGCACTCCCACTCCCCCCACACTTCCCAAAGTGCTGGGATTACAGGCATAAGCCACAAGCCACCTCACCCAGCCAACATGTTACATCTTAATTCTTGGATTTTCTTCACTGCAGGGCTTTGGGTGGAGAAATAAAACTCTTCAAATGCATGATCTTGGAGATCCCTGTGAATCAATAATTCTTTAGACAACTGCGGCTCAAAATCCCTCCTTTCCCTTTTCCGAGTTATTCCATCCATCTTATTAGAAAGGAAGTGAATTAGGTGTAGGTGGTCTGTAACACCTGCACATCTTTTTATACGTGTAGAGGGTATGCCTGGGATATATAGGTTGTCTTCAAGCAGTAGCTGCTACTACAGCTAGAGAGAGGAGGAGTGCCAGGAAACTGATGACCTGAGACCAAGAGTCTTGTTGATGTTCTGACTTAGATAAAGGTTTTGATCATTTTCATGAAATAATGCAGGGAAGTCATTTCTGCTGTTTCTTTACTACTCCATTCTTGGAGGATTAGAACAAGTCACACTGTAATTGACTAAAACGACTTTTTATTTTAAAATATTGATGGTGGGGTTTTGCTTTTTTTTTTTTTTTTTTTTTTGAGACGTTGTCTTGCTCTTTCACCCAGGGTAGAGTGCAGTGGCGAAATCTTGGCTCACTGCAACCTCTGCCTCCCGGGTTCAAGCAATTCTCTGCCTCAGCCTCCTGAGAAGCTGGGATTACAGCGCCTGCCACCATGCCTGTCTAGTTTTTTTGTATTTTTAGTAGAGACAGGGGTTTCACCAAGTTGGCCAGGCTGGTCTTGAACTCCTGACCTCGTGATCCACCCACCTCGGCCTCCCAAAGTGCTGGGATTACAGGCGTGAGCCACCGTGCCGGGCCAGTGTTTTTAACTGTCCACACTTACTAAATTTTCCAGTACTTCTTCCTATGGTTCATGATAGTAAACACAGAAACATATAAGGAACATTATTAGAGTTACCAGATGTTAGCTGTTGCATATGTGCACATTCCTAGATTCAAGGGTGTTTTTGCCTTAAATTTAAGTGGGTCATTGGTTGTCTTGGGAAGATCATGGAAAATTCGGGATTTTTTAGAATTCTGAACCAAAATATGTTTTGAGTGTTTCTTAGTAAATGTGTGATCTTCCACCTTCCACATTCAGACTGCGGACTACACTTCATAAATGCCTTTTTATTTCCAGTTATGGATTCAACTAAATGACTGCCTTGGGAGCACATAATTACTTTGCTACCTTTTTCCCCCTTTGCTGTTGTGGCTCGAGTTTGGTTCTCACCTGAGAAGATGCATTGAGCATATGTTGTTACCCAGCCCTGGCTTAATGGTGTCCTGTGGGGTAGGGGTGGGAGGACGAGGGGCACGGGGCCAGAGCATGTGAATGGATCATGGTTGGACAGCTGTGACCTGCCAGCACTGCGGGTAAGCAAAACTACAAACCGTTCTTTCCTCTGTGACATTGAATAAACCTTAATAAAATTCATAATTAGCACATACTAGAAAAAATGTGACTTAATCTTTTTGTGGGGCGACAGTATTGGGTTTCATTCTGGCTATACAGCTTTGATTGGATCATTAAACAGGTCAGTCACTTCCCTCAAGCTTTGGGGTGTGGAATAAACACCGGTGAATTTGTGGATTCACCCGTCAACCTCCCAATATCAACACATTTCTCACGCCTCCGCGTCGGCCACGTGTCAGCCCTCAGAAGTGGGCAGGAGGAACTTTTAAGCTTCCCGGCAGTTCCCAAGAGGGCCTTTGAGCCTGGCGCCCTCTTCCCGGAGAGGCGTTGGGGCAGCTCCTAGCAACGTGCCCGCCGCCGGCAGAAGCCCGGCCCCGCCAACTGCCGCGCGCGGCTCCCTGGGAGCTGTAGTTCTTCATGGCGTCCCCACCTCCTCTGTGAGGGCGGGTGAGTCGACCGCCGACTGCGACTCCCAGGATGCCTCGCGCCCGCCTTTCCGCGGGAGGCCAGACGGCTGAGGGTGCCGGCAGCGGCTGGAAGCGGGAGGCCAGTCCTGGCCGGGCTGGGCGACCCGAATGGAGCCAGGGCCGGCGCTGGTCCCAGCGGCCGCACCTCCGGGGGCACGGCGCGTAACAGGAGGCTTCCGGGGCTGAGAGCGTTACAGGCTGCGCTCCGGGGCCAGATAGGCCGGGCGCTCAGAAGGGTGACGCATTGAGGGGCGCGGAGTCTCGGGACGGAGGGGCGACTCCGGCTAGGGGTCTTGCTTAGGGGTGGTCTCGGGATCTGTAAAACGCCTGGCATGGAGTCGGCTGAATACATGTGGGGACGGGGTTACTCTGTAGCCCTTTGGCCTTGGCAAACCAAGCCTAGAAAATCCCCATAGTCTGAGAAGCCCGTACAGGATCGATAGGAGATGCCAGAAGTTCCTTGATGTGTTATGGGACACATTTGGACTTGTAGGTCGTGAAGTCGCCATTGCAGAGAAAAAGAAACAAGGCCGGGCACGGTGGCTCACGCCTGTAATCCCGACACTTTGGGAGGCCAAGGCGGGAGGATCACTTGAGGCCAGGCGTCTGGGACGACCCTGGGCAACATAGGGAGACCCCCGTCTCTACAAAAAAAATTTTAAAATTTGCCGCACATGGTGGCGTGTGCCTGTGGTCCCAGCTGCTAGGGAGGCTGACATTGGAGGATCGCCTGAGCCCAAGGAGGTCGAGGCTGCAGTAAGCTATGAGAGCTGTGATCGTGCCACTGCACTCCAGCCTGGGCAACAGAGCGAGACCCTGTCTGGAAAAAAAAAAAAGAAAGAAGGCCAGGCGTGGTGGCTCACACCTGTAATCCTAGCACTTTGGGAGGCCGAGACGGGCAGATCACGAGGTCAGGAGTTCGAGACCTCCTGGCCAACAGTGAAACCCCGTCTCTACTAAAAATACAAAAATTAACCGGGCATGGTGGCATGTGCCTGTATTCCCAGCTACTCGGGAGGCTGAGGCAGGAGATTCGCTTGAACCCGGGAGGCTGAGGTTGTGGTGAGCCAAGATCGCACCACTGCACTCCATCCTGGGCAACAGAGCAAGACTCCGTCTAAAAAAAGAAAAAAAAGAAAACACATGTATTCAGGGTGGGCTCTGTAGGTAAGCCCAGATAACCCTTGCATTCCAATAACAGGACAGGCCAATACTTGGGACATAAAGAGGACCCCTCTGACTCCTTTCTTCCAGGACATCCTGTAGGTGGGTTTTGGTAAAGTGGAGGAGGGGGAGGGAGACAGCTAATTCCGAGGAAAATGTTCTCAATGGGTCAGATTTACTGCCTATGTAAAGGGAAATATTTCCACTGTCAGTGAAAATCGTGTTGCTGGACGTGGTGGCTCACACCTGTAATCCCAGCACTTTGGAAGACCAACGCAGGAGGATTGCTTGAGCCCCAGAGTTCAATACCAACCTGAGTAACACAGTGAGACCCCGTCTCGAAAAAAAAAATTTTAAAAAGAAAAAGAATATCAAAGAGTAACCAGAGTTCATACCTGCTTTTGTGCTAAATGCTGCCTAGAAAGTAGTCATGGGTGTTGCCTGGGAAAGGGTTTCAGCCTTGGTGCCAGGCACCCACCTCCTTTCTGAAATGAGTACTTGCCACTTGCTGCATCGGCTTTCAGGGTAAGGGATGATGGCCACTGCCCTTTTTTCAAGTAATCTCAAAGCCTCAGAAAGCCCATTAAGTTATCCAGAGCACGTTTTTTTTTTTTTTTTTTTTTTGGAGACAGAGTCTCGCATGTTGCCCAGGCTGGAGTGCAGTGGGGCGATCTCGGCTCACTGCAACCTTCTCCTCCTAGGTTCAACCTAGTCTCCTGCCTCAGCCTCCTGAGTAGCTGAGATTACAGGCATATGCCACCATGCCCAGCTAATTTTTGTATTTTTAGTAGAAATGGGGTTTCACCATGTTGGTCAGGCTGGTCTTGAACTCCTGACCTCAAATGATCTGCCCACCTCAGCCTCCCAAAGTGCTGGGATAACAGGTGTGAGCCACCGCGCCCAGCCTGAGAGTACTTTGCTCCTCTTCTGAAGTGCATCCCCTATAAGGAATTTTTAATTTATGGAAATGGGCTTTACCTCTTGAATGGGCAAAGTGAGAGAACTTTGATAACCCTTGGATTCATGCTGTTAAACCTACATCTTTTTTTTTTTTTGAGATGGAGTCTTGCTCTGTTGCCCAGGCTAGAATGCATAGCATGATCTCAGCTCACTGCAACCTCCGTCTAGCGGGTTCAAGCGATTCTCCTGCCTCAGCCTGCCAAGTAGCTGGGATTACAGGTGCCTGCCACCACACCCAGCTAATTTTTTGTATTTTTTAGTAGAGGTGGGGTTTTACCATGTTGGCCAAGCTGGTCACGAACCCCTGACCTCAGGTAGTCCACCTGCCTCGGCCTCCCAAAGAGTTTTGGGATTACAGGCATGAGCCATCGCGCCCGGTCTCTTTTTTTTTTTTTTTTTTTTTTGAGATGGAGTCTCACTCTGTTGCCTAGGTTGGAGTGCAGTGGCGCGGTCTTGGCTCACTGCAGCTTCCACCTCCCCGGTTCAAACGAGTCTCTTGCCTCAGCCTCCTGCTGCGGGATTACAGATGTACACCACCACACCCAGCTAATTTTTGTTTTTAGTAGAGACAGGGTTTCACCATGTTGGCCAGGCTGGTCTTGAATTCCTGACCTCAGGTGATCCCCCCGCCTTGGCCTCTGAAAGTGCTGGGATTAACAGGCGTGAGCCATGGCGCCCAGCCAAAGCTACATCATTTTTAAGCAACCACTTTAATTTTCTTCATTAGGGAGTATGAGCCTGATGTGGGCAGAATCCAGATGAGCTGGCCAGTGCTGTGAAGGAGCTGAGAGCACCCCCGAGAGCCGTGAGATGGTAGGCAGAGTTCAGAGTAAGATGCATGGAAAGCGAACATGCCTCCCATCCTGCATCCCCAAAGATCTTGACTGCATGCAACACTCTGGGGGCTGGGCGGCAAGGACCAGGATGGAGACCCTGGAGAAGAGTGACAGGAGGTGGCATTGATACCAAACTTTCGACGACCAAGGTTTCTTCTGAGACTCTGAGTGTCCAGCTGGAAGCGTTTTTAAGTGTCTGTCACTGGTATTGAGGAGTCAGGGGCACGGAATAGAAGACATTTCCGGTCACATGACATCTCGGCTGGGAGGGTTTGCATGTCGTGTCTGGGAAAGGAGTGACCTGCCCGCCCATTGGCACCCATCGCTGGTTAGCAGGGCTGTTTCCACGCTCTGAATGAGTCCGTTCTCAGAAACTATAGGAACACATAAAGGACTTACATCTCTAAATGCCATTGGTGCTCTTGCCTCTGGTTACTTGGCAAAAGGCAACGCAATTCATTCTGCATTGCCAATTTCCACCTGTGTTCACTGTTTGGTTTTCTTGATGTGATTTGTTTTTCCCATTTTAGGCACCAAAAACCAAGAAAGGATGTAAAGGTGAGTGGAGAGATGGAACATTACTCTTAAGCCAAATATATATCTTTTTCCCCTTTGGTCCTGGAACAATGAGATGTGTTTATTTAAATGTTTTTGGGCCGGGCACGGTGGCTCACACCTGTAATCCCAGCGCTTTGGGAGGCCGAGGTGGGTGGATCATGAGGTCAGGAGATCGAGACCATCCTGGCTAACACGATGAAACCCCGTCTCTGCTAAAAATACAAAAAATTAGCCGGGCGTGGTGGCGGGTGCCTGTAGTCCCAGCTACTCGGGAGGCTGAGGCAGGAGAATGGTGTGAACACAGGAGGCGGAGCTTGCAGTGAGCCGAGATCTCACCACTGCACTCCAGCCTGGGCAACAGAGTGAGACTCCGTCTCAAAAAAAAAAAAAATGTTTTTGATCAGTCTTGCTGTTCTTCCCATTATTCCGTAGGCAGCCTTGGTCTTCCTTATGTTGCCTCACTGGTCCTCAGAGAAGTTCAGACGTAAATAAGATATGAGGTTTTGGAAAAAATCCTCCTCCTTGGGCTCTGTATCCAGAAATATGTGGTTGGGATTCAGGGTGGGAAAGCTGGTGTGGGGAAACGAATTCGATATTCATACTTAGGTTCCCCCACATGCCTCCATCAGAAAGTGGCCATTGATGAGGACATCCAGACCAGTTCTGGGGGGTCTTAGATGGAAGGGTACAAGGAGCCTACTTGTCTGAAAGTAGCCTCCATGTGCCTAGAAATCTTGGGCACTCTTCCCAGCGAGCTGCACTGGGCTGTGTTCAGGGTCTGGAAGACTGATCTTTGGCCAGTGTGTCATGGTAGGCAGGTAGAATATAGGTTCTGCTGAAAATCTGCACCATCATCCTTTCAGATAGTTGTGTTTTTTTGTTTTTTTTTTTAAGACGGAGTCTTGCTCTGTTGCCCGGGGTAGAGTGCAATGGCGTGATCTCAGGTCACTGCAACCTCTGCCTCCCAGTTTCAAGCAATTCTTCTGCCTCAGCCTCCCCAGTAATTGGGATTACAGGCATGTGTCACCATGCCCGGCTAATTTTTGTTTTGGTTTTGTTTGTTTGTTTGTTTTTGAGACGGCGTCTTGCTCTGTCACCCAGGCTGGAATGCAGTGGCGCGATCTCGGCTCACTGCAACCTCTGCCTCCCAGGTTCAAGCAATTCTCCTGCCTCATCCTCTCCAGTAGCTGGGATTACAAGCATGCGCCACCAGGCCCAGCTAATTTTGGGGGGGGTCTTTTTGTTGTTTTTTGAGACGGCGTATCGCTCTGTCGCCCAGGCTGGAGTGCAGTGGTGCGATCTCGGCTCACTACAAACTCTGCCACCCGGGTTCAAGTGATTCTTCTGCCTCAGCCTCCCGAGTACCTGGGACTACAGGCACATGCCACCACACCTGGCTAATTTTTTGTATTTTTAGTAGAGACAGGGTTTCACTGTGTTAGCCAGGCTGGTCTCGAACTCCTGACTTCAGGTGATCCACCCGCCTTGGCCTCCCAAAGTGCTGGGATTGCAGGTGTGAGCCACCGCGCCCAGCCATTTTTTTTGTATTTTTAGTAAAGACAGGGTTTTGCCATGTTGGTCAGGCTGGTCTCGAACTCCTGACTTCAGGTGATCCACCCGCCTCGGCCTCCCAAAGTGCTGGGATTGCAGGTGTGAGCCACTGCGCCCAGCCTGAGATAGTTATTTAAATTTCTGCCTCGGGGTATTTCAACAAGGCTTTGTGACTTGTTGCCAGAAACTTGTAAAACATCTCGTGGCCAATGAAAGGAGAGCTAAGCCTAAGTCCCAACATCTGAAAGGTCTGACGCCTTCTGGCGAGTCTCAAGCCTTGATGTTTATAAGGGCCACTCTTCTTTCCTCCTGAAGTCATGACAGTCCCTTTTCTGTTCCAGGCTCCATTGATGATTTTCTTGGTGACCTTCTAGGGGATGATAGTAAGTGTGCCTTGCCCAGAATCCCCTAATTTGGGCTGCTGCTGTTGCTTTTTTTTCTTACTATGTTGCCCAGGCTGGTCCCAAGCTTCTGGACTGAAATGATCCTCCCGCCTCCTAAACCAAAGTGCTGGGATTACAGGCATAAGCCACTACACCCGGCCTTTTTTAAAAATTGAGATATATGCGCCTGTAATCCCAGCACTCTGGGAGGAGGAGGAGGGCCAATCACAAGGTCAGGAGTTCAAGACCAGCCTGACCAACATGGCGAAACCCCATCTCTACTAAAAATACAAAAAAAAATTAGCTGGGCATAGTGGCGGGCGCCTGTAATCCCACCTACTTGGAAAGCTGAGGCAGGAGAATCACTTGAACCCAGGAGGCGGAGGTTGCAGTGAGCCAACGTTGCACCACTGCGCTCCAGCCTGTGCGACAGAGCGAGACTCCGTCTCAAAAAAAAAAAAAAAATGAGATGTAATTTATATAGCATAAAGTCCACTCCTGTAAAGTGTACAACTCAGTGGTTTTTGAATATTCAAAAGTTGTACAACCATCAACATTACCTAATTCCGGAACATTTTCCATCACCCCTTAAAGAAACCCCATGCCCATTAGTAGTCAATTTCATTCTCTCCTCCCTCCAACCTTAGGCAAGCACTTATTATTTACTCTCTGTCTCTATGGATTTGCCTATTGTGGACACTTTACATAAAATGGAATCACACAGCATCTTACCTTTTTTTTTTTTTTTTTTTGAGACAGAGTTTCACTCTTGTTGCCCAGGCTGGAGTGCAATGGCGCAATCTCGGCTCACCGCAACCTCCACCTCCCAGGTTCAAGCAATTCTCCTGCCTCAGCCTCCTGAGTAGCTGGGATTACAGGCGCTCGCCACCACGCCCAGCTAATTTTGTATTTTTAGTAGAGATGGGGGTTTCTCCACGTTGGTCAGTCTGGTCTCGAACTCCCAACCTCAGGTGATCCACCCATCTTGGCCTCCCAAAGTGCTGGGATTACAGGTATTGAGCCACCGCGCCCGGCCAGCATCTTACCTTTACATCTAGCTTTTTTTTTTTTTTTTTGAGACAGAGTCTCACTGTGTCACCCAGGCTGGAGTGCAGTGGCACCATCTCGGCTCTGCCTCTGCCTCCTGAGTTCAAGCGATTCTCGTGCCTCAGCTTCCCAAGTAGCTGGGGTTACAGGCATGCACCACCACAACCAGCTACTTTTTGTATTTTTAGTAGAGATGGGTTTTCGCCATGTTGGCCAGGCTGATCTTGAACTCCTGGCCTCAAACACCTGCCTCAGCCTCCCAAAGTGTTGGGATTACAGGCATGAGCTACCATGCCTAGCACACGTAGCTTCTCTGATGTAGCATAATATTTTCCAAGTTTATCCACACTGTGGCATGAATCAGTACTTTAACTTTTTTATGGCTAGATAATGTTCCATTGTGTAGATAAATCACATTTTGTTTAATCCCTTCATCAGTTGATGGATATCTGAGATATTTCCACATTTCGGCTGTTATGAATAATGCTGTTATGAACGTTCGTGTACTAGTTTTTGGGCGGACATGTGTTTTCAGTTCATTTGGAATTCCTGGACCATATGGTAACTGTATGTTTAACTTTTTGAGGAGACTGCTTTTCCACAGCAGCTGTGCCATTTTACATCCCACCAACAGTGTAAGATGGCTCTAGTTCCTCTACATCCTTGCTAATACTTGTTTTCCTTCTTTTTGATGATTGCCATCCTAGAGGGTGTAAAGTGGGTATCTCATTGTAGTTTTGATGTGCATTTCCCTAATGACTAATGATGTTCAGCATCTTTTCATGTGTTTATTGGCCACGTGTATATCTTTGGAGAAATGTCTGTTCAGATCCTTTGCCCCTTTTTAATTGGGTTACTTGTCTTTTTATCGTTGAGTTAAAAGAGTTCCTTGTAGATTCTGGATGCTAATCCATATTATTTGTGTTCGTGTTGGTCTATTAAGGAACCTGGCTTCATGGTCATGTAAAGCTCACCAGGGACAGAGAGACTTAGGTTTCCCCTACATGGCCCCAGAGAACCCACAAAGCTCCTGTCACCCAGGCTGGAGTGCAGTGGCGCAATTTCAGCTCACTGCAATCTCCGTCTCCCGGTTCAAGCGATTCTCCTGCCTCAGCCTACTGAGTAGCTGGGATGGATTACAGGCACCCACCACCACGCCTGGCTAATGTATTCCAGCCCATGTATTCCAGCCTACAGTTTTGGGCTGTGGAAAAGCAATTGTTCCTCATGCATTTCCTTGGGGTGCATTGAGTTGGGTTGGGTTGGGTTGGGCTCTTCATTTGGTATTTGGCATTTAGGGTTGACTTCCTCCTTGGAAATGTACCACCCTCTCTCCCATTCAGGTTTTCCAAGGGGTGACATTGGGACCTGCCTATTTGGCCAGATTTCTTCCTCCTAATACAGAGACAGCTTGGGAAGGGAGCTTGCCAGCCTTTGCATCTTGACTCCAGGTACCTTTAGTTAAATGACACGTTTTCTCTTTTCTTTTTTTCCAGTGACACTACCTGAGAAGCCTGTTAAACTAGCTTCACATACCAGAGACACCACAGGTGTATCTCAGATGTTCCCTTCTTCAAAGGCGAGAACAAAGTAAGGGCAGGGTCCGACTGGGTATCCATGACCTACTTCAGTCTAAATGCTCTCTGCCCCTCCACCCCCCACTTTCTACTTCACATTTGCTCGCCATTTTTTTTTTTTTTTTTTTTAGAGAATATTTGTTGCCGAGGCTGGAGTGCAGTGGCACCATCTCGGCTCACTGCAACCTCCACCACCCCGGTTCAAGCAATTCTCCTGTCTCAGCCTCCCAAGTAGCTGGGACTACAGGTGCCCACCACCACACCTGGCTAATTTTTGTATTTTTAGTAGAGACAAGGTTTCACCATATTGGTCAGGCTGGTCTCAAACTGACCTCAGGTGATCCGCCCACCTCGGCCTCCCAAAGTGCTGGGATTACAGGCGTGAGGCACCATGCCCGGCCCACCCGGCTAATTTTGGTATTTTTAGTGAAGACAATTTTACCACATTGCCCAGGCTGGTCTTGAACTCCTGGGCTGAAGCGATCCACTCAGTCTCCCAAAGTGCTGGGATTACAGGTGTGAGTCACTCGCACCTGGCCGTGCTCACTTCTAATGTCAGTTAATTTCCACCCACTTCCCTCAGCTCCTGGTTTTGTTTATTTATTTATTTATTTTTATTTTCTCTCTTTTTTTGAGATGGAGTCTCACTCTGTCACCCAGGCTGGAGTGCAGTGGTGCGATCGGCTCACTCTAACCTCTGCCTCCCAGGTTCCAGCAGTTCTCCTGCCTCAGCCTCCCACGCAGTTGGGATTACAGGCACACACCACCACGTCTGGCTACTTTGTTATTAGTGGAGATGGGGTTTCACCATGTTGACCAGGCTGGTCTCGAACTCCTGATCTCAGGTGATCTGCCCACCTTGGCCTCCCAAAGTGCTGTTATTACAGGCGTGCGCCACCGCGCCTGGCCAGCTCCTGGTTTTATTGAAGGAGCCTGGGGAAGTTAAAGAGAACTGCACAAAAGGTCAGCAGTCCTGGCTTCTATCCTCTATCTGTTACTTATGATATGACCTTGGGCAGTTTCTGAACTTCTCTGAGCCCTCATTTTCTTATCCTCAGAATTAAAGGATTGGCCTAGATCAGTGATTTTCAAATTGTGTTTGTTCTTCTAAGATAAGAATGAATACCCCACAGATGAGAGATAGGGAGGAATTTTCTGAGCCCTCCTCCCTCTTGTGATCTGGAGCAGTTGTTTTTCTTACTTTTTTTTTTTTACTTTATTTTTTGAGACAGAGTCTTGCTCTGTCGCCCAGGCTGGAGTGCAGTGGCGCAATGTCAGCTCATTGCAGCCTCCACCTCCCGGTTCAAGTGATTCTCCTGCCTCAGCCTCCTGAGTAGCTGGGATTACAGGTGCCCGCCACCACGCCTGGCTAATTTTTGTATTTTTAGTAGAGATGGGGTTTCACCATGTTGGCCAGGTTGGTCCCAAACTCCTGACCTCAAGTGATCCACCTGCCTCGGCCTCCCAAAGTGCTGGGATTACAGGCATGAGCCCCCACACCCAGCCCTATGGTTTTTAACAATTTGTTTTTGAAGCAGTTCTACTGCTAACAAAGTTGAAAATCACTGCATCAGGTGGCCTGTGACATTCCTTTTAGCACCTCTGTTCTCCGGAGAGACCTATCCGAGATTCCTTGGGCTTTCTAAGCTACTCCTCCCCTTTTTAGAGTCATCCAGTGCCCTGGGATGCAGGTAGGGGCTGACGCCTCCCCTTTGCAGGTCCCTCCTGGGTGATGATGTCTTCAGCACCATGGCAGGCCTGGAAGAAGCTGATGCTGAGGTGAGCCTGGCTGTTTCCCTCCACCTCCCTACTTATCCCCAGAAACACTGAGATGGGTGTTGTGGCCAAGGGGCTGCCCACGGAAGGGTTTAGAAGTCCCTGCAAAGTCACTTTGTTCTTTTTGTTTGTTTTTTGAGATGGAGTCTCCCTCTGTTGCTCAGGCTAGAGTGCAGTGGTGTGATCTCGGCTCACTGCAACCTCTGCCTCCCGGGGTCAAGCAATTCTCCTGCCTCAGCCTCCCAAGTAGCTGGGCTTACAGGTGCCTGCCACCATGACTGGCTAATTTTTGTTGTTGTTGTTTTTGTTTTGAGATGGAGTCTCCCTCTGTCGCCCAGGCTGGAATGCAGTAGTGCGATCTTGGCTCACTGCAATCTCCGCCTCCTGGTTCAAGCGATTCTCCTGCCTCAGCCTCTTGAGTAGCTGGGATTACAGGCACCCACCACCACGCCTGGCTGATTTTTGTATTTTTAGTAGAGATGGGGTTTCACCCTGTTGGTCAGGCTGGTCTCAAACTCCTAACCTCTTGATCCACCCACATCGGCCTCTCAAAGTACTGTGATTACAGGCTGACCCACCGTGCCCAGCCAAAGAAAATAATTTTTGTATTTTTAGTAGGTAATTTTGTATTTTTAGTAGAGACGGGGTTTCACCACATTGGCCAGGCTGGCCTCAAACTCCTGACCTCAAGTGATCTACCCGCCTCGGCCTCCCAAAGTGCTGGGATTACAGGCGTGAGCCACTGTAAATAATGCCCAAGGGCTGCCGAGTGGACCCAAAGCAGAATCCTCTTTCCTGTAGTAAGATGAGTGGAAAGGAGAGCTCCCTGAAACTGCTAGAGTCTTAGATGTTGCTCCTTTCCCCTTATAAACTCCATAGCTGTCCATTGGCATGGGTGGGAAGTAGCAGAATTTCAGTCCTGGATGGAAGAGTTCTCTATGGTTGGAAGGAGTAGGAATGGCAGTGCTCTCTGAGTCTCTAAAACCAGGCAGGTTTGGCTTCAAACAACTGCCAAGCCCAAGCAAGGGGAACAAAGCCACCCTCCTGTGTAAGCTCCATTGGCCAAGCTCTGCTCCTGCCGCGCCGTCTGCCCTAACAGAAGCAAGGGGCCAGGACCCTGAGTTTTATTGGGCCTTGACTAATGTGCCTCCTCATCTGTGTCCTCACCCTCATTGTGGACTTAGGTTTCAGGTATCTCAGAGGCAGACCCACAGGCTCTGCTCCAGGCCATGAAGGTAAGGAAACAGCTTGCACGATTCTTAGAACTGGGGGTGGGTGGGGTGGGGTCATGATATTTTGTACCAAAGCTTCATTCTCCTTCTAATTTCTCCCTTTACAACCTGTGTTTCTGAGCCCTTCCTCGTGCAAGCATGGAACTCGTCTGTGAGCCGTTGGCCTCCTTGCCTTTCTGAGTATCAACCAGTGTTCCTGGTATATAGAGAGTGGAGAGTGCCACAGGCCTCTGGGGAAACGGGGCCAGCTCTACTCGGAGGCCCACCTAGCTGGGTCCCCTCACCTCCACCTAGAAGACAGAGGGGGAGACTCTTTCCTCTAATGCTTGTTCTTAATCTTTCTCCATATTTCTCTCCACATCCCCTGCCAAGCCCCCTTCAATACTGCTGTCTTCTCATCAGATCAAGCCCAGCGCCAATCTTTGCAATGGATTTTTAAGGCACAGATTCTGAATAATTTGTAAGGACATAATCTCTAGCTTGGCCTAAGACACCTTGTTCTCCCTCTCCTTCCAGCCAGCAGCACCTTCCTGTCTGACCCTTGGGGTTTTGTGTCCCTTTTAGTTAACCCATTTTGCCACAGTCCCTAGGACAAAGCCGCGTTTTTGGTTACAGCCCTGTGGGGCTCTTGTTTTTGTTGTGTATTTTTGTTTTTTGGGTTTTTTTTTAGAGACACCATCGCATTCTATCACCCAGGCTGGAGTGCAGTGGTGTGATCTCATTGCAACCTTAAACTCCTGGCCTTAAGCGATTCTCTTACCTTGGCCTCCCAAAATACTGTAATTACAGGCATGAGGCACCACACCCGGTCCAGATTCAGCTTCTTTAATCTCATCTTGAAATCTTTCTCCTCAAAGGCCAGGCACCTGTAATCCCAGAACTTTGGGAGGCCGAGGCAGTAGGCTCGCTTGAGCCTAGGAGTTGGAGGCTGCAATGAGCTATGATCACACCACTGCACTACAGCCTGGGTGGTGACAGAGTGAGACTCTGTCTTCAAAAAAAAAAAAAAAGTCTGGCATGGTGGCTTACTCCTGTAATGCCAGCACTTTGGGAGGCCATGGCAGGTGGATCACTTGAGCTCAGAAGTTGGAGGCTGCAATGAGCTATGATCGCACCACTTCACTCCAGCCTGGGTGACAGAGTGAGACTCTGTCTTTATTTTATTTTATTTTTAATTTATTTTTATTTTTTTGAGACGGAGTCTTGCTCTGTTGCCTAGGCTGGAGTGCAGTGGCATGATCTCGGCTCACTGCAACCTCCACCTCCCAGGTTCAAGCGATTCTCCTACCTCAGCCTCCCAAGTAGCTGGGATTACAGGCGTGCACCACCACACCCAACTAATTTTTGTATTTTTTGTAGAGACAGGGTTTCATCATGTTGGCCAGGATGGTCTCGATTTCTTGACCTGGTGATCCACCTGCCTCGGCCCAAAGTGCTGGGATTCTAGGCATGAGCCACCGCGCCCGGCCAATATCCTGTCTAAAAAAAGAAAAAAAAGAAAGCTTTTTTCCCGAGACCAGCCACCTAGGATCCCTGGGCATAACCCACAAGTCCTCTGACTCAATTTTTGGTGCTGACTTTGAGTCTCTCATCCCAGAACCATGAGCTGGACTCCATTCCACCTCCCCCTGCTTACCTTTAGTTCCATTTTCTTTCTTCACTCACTGTTTTTCTCAACAGTTTTCTCATTTTCCTTTGTTTTCTCACAATTCTACACCTGGGGTGCCAACAGCCCATCTCTCTCAGGTGGAAGTCCTCAGCCCCTTATCAGACATAGTCCTCTGCCCTCCCTCCCTGGTTTTCTAGGACCTGGACGGCATGGATGCTGATATCTTAGGTCTGAAGAAATCTAATTCAGCCCCTAGCAAAAAAGCTGCAAAGGACCCTGGGAAAGGAGAGCTGCCCAACCACCCCAAGCCTGCAGGTGGGTCAGTAGCCAGTGAGAAAGGTGCATGGGAGACGGCTCCTCGCATCTGCTAGGGAGACTTTGAGGACGTGGAAGATGCTAGTAGGAAGCGTTCATGTCCTTGGGTTTTCTCTGCACAGGATGGAGAGGCCAAGGAGCATTTGTGCGTGTGTGTGTTTGAGTGTGTGTGGTGGGGTAAGGGGACAGCTTGAGTTTCCTCCCTTCCTCGAGCTGTTCCAGGCCCTCTGGGTCCAACATGGGCAGCTCCTGGAGAAGCTGTGTGAGTTAAAATGGAGAACTCTATGGCAGCCTGTGCCTCTCCTGAACCCATGTCTCTGGAGTGACTCATGATGAGGAAGCAGAGGTAGCTCCTACCTCGTTTCCCTGCCAGAAGCCCATGGCAGAACTGGAGACTCCTCCCTTGGCTGTGCCCATGGCCATGAGCCCCCAGCTTCCCAGGAAGAAGTGCACCCCATCCCAGGGGCCCCAGTCCATGATATGGGAGGAGGACTTTGGCCAGGAGAGACTCAGGCCCATGACCTTGTCTTCTGCTTCCTGCAGGGGGTGCCATTCCCACCAAGAAGTCACTTCCGTCTCCCAGCAGCTCTGGGCATCAGAACAGGAGGTTTTCCTCTGAAGGTACCATAGGCTCCTGTCATGCCTCTGGGACACTCTGGTTTGGGAGTGGAGCAGCCTAGGCATGCTTGCTGGCCCGAGGCCCAGCTGCTGCCTATGTCACATGGGTGCCACTGGTTTACTTCCTCGTGAATTCATGTCGGGACCAGCTATATTGTATTGGCTGAGATATTAGGGAACTTATTTGCAAAGACCTTAAAGCCAGGCATCAAACTGAAGATCTTCCCAAGTATAGGAAGGAGCCCCTTTCCCGTCATGAATGTGTGGATATTTTACTTCTCTTCTGATGCTTGAGGGACATTTCCAGAAGGCCATGCAGCCTGCAGAGTCAGAGGCCCCACCGGCAAGCCTGAGGCAGGCCCCGTAGGTCCAGGGCCGCCCTCCAACTCCCTCTCTCCTTGCCCGGCCTGTCTTTTTGTGGAGTCCCCGTTGCCCCAGGCCCCACCCTCCAGATGCCAGGGGGCTTGTTTATGTACTGGAGCAGCTAGAAGCCTTGACTCGAGCGCTGCTCCCCAGTTCAGGCTTGCTTTTCCTCAACTAAGTGCTGCAGTCTGACCTGTGCTTTCCCTTCTGCTGTGAGACTTGGAAGACCCATTGAGAGGACTTCTCTCCTATGATGAAGGAGGAATCACCAAGCAGCCGCCTGTGACACAGAGTAAAACAGCTTCTGACAAGAGCCCCAGCACAGTGAGAGATCAAGGTAGGGTGGAGTGGGCTCATTTCCCATCCTGGAGGAAGAGTTTATTGGCAACAAGCTAACCAGCCTTTCTGGTGCAGAACCAGAGGCCTCTCCCAGGTGGGGACCAGAGGTCTAAGGTCCAGTACAAAGAGATCATCAGCCTTTAGGAATAGGAAGGTAGGACGTGTGAGTCTGGGAGTAGGCTGGAGGAATTGGGTCCCGTGGACAGACCAGGCAGGTCTAAAGCCTGTCGTCCTACCCAAAGGTGCAGAGAAACCACCCCCAACCCCATTCAGATATCACAGTTGAGGGCAAGAAGGCTGCAGGCATTGGGCCTTGTTTTGTCTTTCAGGTCCCTCTATTCCTCTAACTCCTGGGGACACCCCCATCCGAAAAAAAGAAGAATTGTTGTTTGATGATGGGGATGACATCATGGCCACCTTGGGGTTTGGAGACAGCCCCAAAGCAGAGAAGAGGCAGATAGGAGACCAGTAAGGATCCCTGAGTAGGCCAGGCTGCTGCCTCAGGTTCAGGGAAAAGCTGGTGGACGGGTACTGTGGGATTCCCGAGAGCCCCTCATACCTACACGTTCCTGCCGTGTGTCCCGTCCTGCAGGGAAGGGCCTCGCCCTGCTCGCTCCACGCTGGATGAGCTGCTGGGTCGAGGCATGGCCACCAAACTCCTGGCCCGCCCGGGCACCGGGGAGCACAGGGAGTTCAAGCTAGACAAGAAGTACCAGAGGCCACAGGGTAAGGAGGCTTGCGGGGGCCGCAACAGGACGGGAGGGAGGCCTCTAGATCAGGCTTTCATCACAACCTATAATGAGAAATCAGCCTCACATCCTGATACACACATGTGATTATACACGTCTATAGCTGAGACAAAATAATACTTACCGTGAAATAATACTTACCGTGACCACTGTTCGTGCTCAGTTGTCTATGATTGAGATGCTGTTTGATTTGGAAACACACTGGCTGTGACACATTAAGCTGGTTTCTCAGCCCTCTCATGGGTAGCAGCTCGCATTTGAAAAGCACTGCTCTGGACATGTTTCTCAAAGCATCAGCCCACAAGCTGTCTGCTGAGAATCATTCTTGTGACACATGCCGCTCGCTGGACCTGACCTCGAGGGATCCTGGGGCAGGGTCTGGCTACTGCAAGGCCACTGCATCTTCCTGGCCAGTGCCTGAGGTGCTCCCTTCACAGCAGCTTCCCTCTGCTTGTCTTACACAACAAGCTACCAAATTCAGCTTTTGTTAGAATTTTGCAGCCGCAAATGAGCTTGGTTCCCCTACTCCAGATCACGGTCACAGGCTCCTTAATTCACAGACAGTGAAGATATGTGGGGTGACGAGGACTTCACCTTTGGAGCCTATCAGCCCACTGTGGTCTCCTCTGAGGGCCGGCAGTCCCGCCGGCAGTCTGTCAGGTAAGTGGGGCCTGCAGGAGGCTTGGCCTCTTGAGACAGGTCGGCCACTGGGAAGACAGGCCCCTGCAGCTGTCCCCTGTCCCACCCGAGAGTCTCATGTGGGAGGCCACAGGGTACAAGGCCCTCAGCTCTGCAGGTGCTGAAGGAAGCGGGAGATGGCCTGGTCCCGCCAGCCCAGACAGAGTGGAGGAGATGGCCCCAGTGGGAACCCCCATCCCAGACGCTGCTCAGGTTCGCCAGTGCCCCACCCAGCCTCAGAAGGAAAGGGGCAGGTGGGCCTGCCTCCACCTAAAGCCCCTGAAATCATAAAAGGCTGTGATGTCGCTCGGTCTCCCCAAGGAACATACTTCCTGATGGGTAGCAAGACCACTGGCATCTGCGGTGGCTTCTTAGACCCCGCTTCCCAGGAACTCTGCTGTCGAACCTGCCGTGACAATTCTGACAGCGTGATCCTCTCAGTTTACAAAAAAAAAAATTAAATCAGTGATAGGATTTTCTGAGTTTGGAGTTCTTTTGCCAGTATATATTTTAAACTTTGTATTTTGAAGTAATTTCAAACTTCAAAAGTCGGCTGGGTATGGTGGCTCATGCCTGTAATCTCAGCAGTTTGGGAGACCAAGGCAGGTGGATCACCTGAGGTCAGGAGTTCAAGACCAGCCTGGCCAACATGGTGAAACCCCGTCTCTGCTGAAAATACAAAAATTAGCTGGGCGTGGTGGTGGGCGCCTGTGATTCCAGCTACTCGGGAGGCTGAGGCAGGAGAATAGCTTGAATCCTAGAGGCGGAAGTTGTGGTGAGCTGAGATTGCACCACTCACTGCACTCCAGCCTGGGCAATAGAGCGAGACTCCGTCTCAAAAAAAAACTTCAGAAGTTGTAAGAACAGCACCAGGAGCCCCTCTCATCCTTTCCCAGGTTCAGCAGTTGTTCCCATTTGCCAGGTTGGCTTCTTCATCCTCTTTCTATCTGAATAGCTCTAAGCACATCGGCATTACTTCCCATACCCAGTACGTTCTTAACCCTGGGAACCTGCTGCCACTGGTCAGTGACAGATGAAGGCCACGGCCGAACAAATGAAGTAACTGTTGTTGGAAAACCTGGAAACCACTTGATCCAACTTATTATTATTTTTTTTAGACAGAGTCTCACTCTGTCGCCCAGGCTGGAGTGCAGTGGCATGATCTCGGCTTACCACAACCTCTGCCTCCCGGGTTCAAGCAATTCTCATGCCTCAGCCTCCCAAGTAGCTGGGATTACAGGCGCCCACCACCACACCTGACTAATTTTTTTGTGTTTTTAGTAGAGATGGGGTTTCACATGTTGGCCAGGCTGGTCTTGAACTCCTGGCCTTAAGCGATCTGCCCACCCTGGCCTCCCAAAGATCTGGGATTACAGACATGAGCCACCGTGCTCGGCCTGATTTTTCTTTAGACCTGTGTGCCCATGGCTGTCATTTGATCCTGTTCCTGTTCTCTGTGGGTAGAACTGTCCCTGGTTCATGTGATGGAAGTCAAGGTCTCTGTACTTCGTGGTGTTCTACAGACAGCACGTGGCCTGCCACCTGAGCCGGTCCAGGAGCCACTGCTCACTGGGCCTCAGCTGACTGTGCAGGGTCCCTGGGCATCGTGACGCCCAGCTGCAGGCTGCTAGGGGGCCACTGGGACTGGCTGTTTCCCCTGCCTGACACCCTCCTTTCTGTCTTGAAGTAGGTTCTTCGCAGACAGTGGCGCAGACCCCAAGGGAGAACCAGGCTCCAAACAGAGCCCTCCAATGGCTTCCAGCCCCATCCAGCCCAGGAAGGGAGGAGCTGACTGGTTGGGCCTCAAGGACGAGGACTTGGACCTGTTCCCTGCCTCACCCACCAGAGAGGCCCATCGGGAAAGTTCAGTGCCTGTCACGCCCTCAGTGCCTCCTCCTGCGAGCCAGCACTCCACGCCAGCTGGGCTGCCCCCCTCCAGGGCAAAGCCACCAACTGAAGGTGCAGGGTCCCCTGCCAAAGCCAGCCAGGCTTCCAAGCTGCGAGCCTCCAAGGAGGAGAAAGAGGACTGGCTGAGCCATGCCCTGTCTCGGAAGAAGTCCCAAGGCCTGGCCAGAGAGCAGCATGCTGGGACCTCTGAGGGCCTGCATTTGGCGGGGACAGCGGGCCATCCCCCTTCTGGCAGGTACTGACTTAGGCTGCTGTGGCTAGTAGGGGGAGGACTGGCTGGGGACTTGAGGAGCCCCTTTGCCCCTTCACCTGTTGCAGCCTCAGTCAGCAGTTGGGGAACAAGGCAGGGCGCCGTGGCCACAGAGGCCGCTTCTTGGCTTTGCTACTCTGCCTTTTAGGCACTGCAGAGAGAGCCTCTGGCTCCCAGGCTTGCCCCAGGGACATACCCAAGAAGGAGGGCTGTTGACATTCATGCCCTGACCGCCATGGGGACAGGTGCTAACTTGATCGAGGAGAAGACAGAGGGTCCCTGAGGTGGCAGACACACCGCTGCCCTGTCACAGCGCCCTCAGGCTGGAAGCCCCGGCATCCAAACAGCCGGTGCTTCTGCCGACTCCACTGAAGCGAGTATGGCGTGTGTGAGCTGAGATGTCCCTGTGCTCTTTGAGAGTGTTAGAGGAGACATAGTGGCCGAGAGGCGCCTCTTGGAGAAGCCCTTATCCGTGGGGCAGGATAGCGAGTGACCTCTGAAGGCAGGAAGGCACAAGGGGCCAGCAGGCTGGGGGAGTCCAGAGGAAGTGGTGAGATGTGCTGTGGCCAGAGCCCAGGGGAGTGAACTGGGCAATTTGTGACAGCCCAGGGACATCACCCTGTCCTGGGGTTGATGACAGGAGGGCAGTTTTGACTTTGACCTGAGGCCGAGGGGAAAGCTCAGGCCAAAACAGAAAAGAGCCTGTCTCTTCACTGACCCGTGAGCCGAGAAAGAGGTGGAAATAATGGGAAAGGGAGCCAGCCAGATTTGGTAGACTGAGCAGAATCCTAATCTAGAGCTGAGCCAAGTTAAGTGGACTGGAACAGGGCTCTGAACTTGAACTTGACTCCAGTGTCTATAACATTTCCGTTGTCACTGCTTGGACAGTGTCCATTCACTGCACCACTGTGGACATTGAGGCAGGAAGGGGGTACTGGAAGGGAAGAGATGCCCAGAAATCCCAGGAGCTCAGACGTGGGAGGAGAATGCCCCAAGACGGGATGGTGGAAGCAGGAGGAAGGGGGGCCACGAGCTTCACGTGTGAAGCCCGTCCTGGGCCCTGTCTTCATCCAGCCTGACCTGGGCCTTCTGTCACCTTCACCTTGAACGCTGCCTTTCCTCAGCCAACCTCTCACCAGCACACAAGGGCTTGAGCACGCAGCTGCTGGAGGGAGTTCTGGAACAACTGCACGAGAAAGACCGTGTGTCAGGCCTGGTGTCTCGGGGTAGGCCTGGGCTGCGGGCTGAGTGGGAATGAGAGCATGGTGGGCAGCACAGGCCTCTGTCCTGAGAGAGGGACACAGAGGCTGTTCACCCTGCCCCTGCCCCGTCCCCGTGTCCCACACAGAGGCTGCCCACCCTGCTCCGTCCCTGTGCCCTACACAGAGGCTGCCCACCCTGCCCCATCCCCGTGTCCCACCTAGAGGCTGCCCACCCTGCCCCGTCCCCGTGTCCCAGCAGAGGCTGCCCACCCTGCCCCATCCCCGTGTCCCACGTAGAGGCTGCCCACCCTGCCCCGTCCCCATGTCCCACCTAGAGGCTGCCCACCCTGCCCCGTCCCCGTGTCCCACACAGAGGCTGCTCACCATGCCCCATCCCTGTGTCCTCAGGTCCCCTGTGACTCAGAACCATGCCGCCTCAGCACTCCCTACAGGTTCCCCAAAGAGGGGAACAGCCCCTGGAGACCTCTCAGCCACTGGTTTGTTTTTTGTTTGCTGCTTCATTTGGGAGTTTAACCCTGGGTGAGGAAGAGGTGCTTTGAGCTTCCTTTGGGGTCCCTGGGACATGAGTTACACCAGCCCCTCCTGGACACTCGCAGGCCCAGTGCCCTGGGCCTCCTGTTCATTTCTCTGTTGTTGATGTTTCAGAGCCTGCCACGTGTTTCCCGAGCACCCAGAAACCCACAGAGCCTTCCGTGCCCGTCCAGGTAGGGGTGTGGGCAGACAGGTCTAGCTCAGGGCCTAGGGAGCAATTCTCCATGCCCAGGGGCAATACCCACAGTTTGACCTGACGACCTGCCAGGAAAAATGTGTCAAACATACCAAATGTGACGTCAGCCAGCTCCCCGGGCACCCCCCACTAGAACTTGCCTGAATTTCTAGCCTCGCTGCTCCTGGGCAGAGCTGGGTGTTAATTTGCCTACATCAGTGGGGAGTTTAAGGAGGCAGCCAGGCCGGGGAGCTGGGATGCTGCAGTCAGAAAGCAGGGCCGCAGGGTCCTGTTCTGTCAAGAAAGCCTCCTCCACCCTTGCCATCCTCCCACCACACCTCTGCCTCTGTTTCCCATGTGTGGCAGTCACCTGTGACACCTGGGCCTGGGAGGTGTGCCCCCCCCCCCCCCAGGAGTGTGTCCCTGGGAGATGGTGGGTAGGGGACAGCTCGTGGGAACCAGATTAGTGTCAACATGTGGGCTTCAGGCCTGACAGGAAAAGCCAGCATCAGCTTTTGTCATAGCGAAGACTCTGCTGGGGTTCAGCCATTTGTCTGGGAAGCCGGAGACCATGCTGGGGAGGAAGCTGTTCCGGAGGGTGGAGGGAGACATGCTCCTGACCAGATCTGCAAGGGGAGGTACACTGGGGACTGCTTAGCCGCAGTGACTGTTACTTTCCAAGGCCTTGGCCCCATCTGCAGCCACAGATCAGATGCAGGGAGGTCCAGTGAGCAGTGGGCCAGGAGGTAGCTGATCTCAGCTGGGCCCCTGTCCCCTCCCTAACTAGAAACACCTCTCTTCCTCTCCTCCAGCCCCTGCTCCCAGAGTCCCTGGCCCGGAGCCTGCTGCCGAGCACAGAATACCAGAAGCAGCTCCTGGCAGCACAGGTGCAACTTCAGTGCAGCCCCGCTGAGCTCCAGGCCGAGCTGCTGCATAGCCAGGCCCGGCTGGCAGAGCTGGAGGCCCAGGTGAGGGGCAGCGGGGCCGTTGGTGCTGGTGGCAGGGTTGCGACAGGAGGGGACACTGAGAGTGGCTGGAAGCTTCCCCAGGAGGGAGGAAGGGCTGTTGGCACAGGGCAGCGTGGAGTACAGCCACCTCCCCTCCCTGGTTGCTGGCCCTCCTGCTGTCTCCCAGGTGCGGAAGCTGGAGCTAGAACGGGCCCAGCATGAGCTGCTGCTGGGGAGTCTGCAGCAGCAGCACCAGGCAGACCTGGAGCTCATCGAGAGTGCACACAGGTACCCTGGCGCTGGCCCCAGCTCTGCCTTGGATCTCACACTGACCCCAAAGGCCACCCAGTGTGCCTGGAGAGGCCTTTAGGCGGCAGCCCTCTGCCTTCCTTGCGCCATGGCTGGGTGTTCTGTTGGCAGAAGCCGCATCAAGGTGCTAGAAACATCGTACCAGCAACGGGAGGAGCGGCTCCGGAGAGAGAACGAAGAGCTGTCAGCTCGGTATCTGTCGCAGTGCCAGGAGGCCGAACAGGCCCGTGCTGAGCTTACGGCCCAGCACCAGCGGCGCTTGGCGGCCATAGCGCAGGAGAAGGACCAGGAAATGGAGCGGCTCCGGGAGCTGCAGCGGTGAGGCCCAGGGACAGGCAGCTGGGGAGCAGGCTTGCAAGGAGTAGCCGGAAGAGAGCCATCCCCACGAGACCCTTCGCTGTGGCTCAGCAGCCTTTGGACAGGGGTTGGGTCCTTCCCTCCCAGTCCAGTGAGTGAGGACTGAGGGCTGAGCACACTGACCCATCACACCCATGGGTGGGGGTGCCACCTGCTCTTACAGAGGCAGGAGGGGGTACCCACAGGCTGTTCAGGCATGGCATGGCAGCAGCAAGCCGCCTAGGGTCTAACTAAGCACAGGGTCATCCACTCGCCTGCTCATGCAGTAGAGGCTAGAAACAAGATCCACCTGGGAAAGGCTTGCGCTGTTGTGCCTGCCATGTTTATAGGGTTGCCTTTCTAGAAGAGAAGGAAACTAAGAAAAGTTACCTAAGGGAGTCAGAGGTCGATGAAGGCAGAGGCAGCCTTTTAAGACTGCTCAGGGCCGGGTGCAGTGGCTCACACCTGTAATCCCAGCACTTTGGGAGGCCGAGGTGGGAGGATCACTTGAGGCCAGGAGTTTGAGACCAGTCTGGGCAACACAGTGAGACCTCATCTCTAAAAACAATTTTTAAATAAGCTGGCATGACAGCTACTCCTGTAGTTCCAGCTACTTGGGAAACTGAGGCAGGAGGATACCTTCAGCCCAAGAGATCAGGGCTGCAATGAGCTATGATGCCACTGCACTCCAGCCTGGACCACAGAACAAAACCCTGTCTCTAAAAACATTTAAAAAACAAAACACTTGGGAGGCCAAGGCAGGAGGATTGCTTGAGGCTAGGAGTTCAAGACCAGCCTGGGCAACATAGTGAGACCTCATCTCTAGGAAAAAAAAAAAAAAAAAGAAAGACTGCTTGGGGCCGGGCGTGGTGGCTCACACCTGTAATCCCAGTGCTTTGGGAGGCCAAGGTGGGTAGATTGCCTGAGCTCAGAAGTTCGAGACCAGCCTGGGCAACACGGTGGAAACCCCATCTCTACTAAAATATAAAAAATTAGGCGTGGTGAGCGCCTATAGTCCCAGCCACTCGGGAGGCTGAGGCAGGAGAATTGCTTGAACCCAGGAGGCAGAGGTTGCAGTGAGCCGAGATCATGCCACTGAACTCCAGCCTGGGCGACAGAGTGAGAGACTCTGGGTGACAGAGCAAAACTCCATCTCCAAAAAAAGAAAAGCTGAATAATGGGAGGAATGCCCATCTTAGTGCGTGTAGCATTGAGGCACCATGACAGATAAGACAGAGGAGCTGGGGAAACTGAGGCAGTGCCCGGCGGAGGAGAGGCCTGGGAGCAAGGGCTGCACGGAAACACACCCTTCCACAAGGAGTTACCGCATCAGGGTGATCCAGCTCAGAGTGACCGCCTTCCCCTCCCGCCTCCCCTCAGGGCGTCCATCCTAGACATGCGCAGAGACCACGAGGAGCAGCTGCAGCGGCTAAAGCTGCTGAAGGACCGAGAGGTCGATGCGGCCACCAGTGCCACCTCCCACACGCGGTATGTGCGCTGCCCCAACCATGCCCGCCTGACGTTGGGGGCCGGAAGGTCCCCGAGACCGTCAGGAGGGGGTGACCCAGTCTTCTTCCAGGTCCCTGAATAGCATCATCCACCAGATGGAGAAGTTCTCCAGCAGCCTGCACGAGTTGTCCTCCCGCGTGGAGGCCTCGCACCTCACCACCTCCCAGGAGCGGGAGCTGGGGATCCGGCAGCGTGACGAGCAGCTGCGGGGTACGCCCTCCCCTCTCAGCCACCCCGGCTCCTGGTGGGAAGGGGGAGCAGCTGCTGAGCACCCTGTGGGTTGCCCCCAGCACTGCAGGAGCGGCTGGGCCAGCAGCAGCGGGACATGGAGGAGGAGCGGAGCCGGCAACAGGAGGTCATCGGGAAGATGGAGGCACGGCTGAATGAGCAGAGCCGGCTGCTGGAGCAGGTGAGGCCCGTCCTCCTGGCCCTCCTGCCCCTCCTGCCACGGGGCCTCTTCTCCAGGGCACCCGCAAGTGTAGCGGCACTCCCGTGACCTCACTTCCTCAGGAGGTCAAGGCCCCACCTGCCGCTTCCTGCCTCTACATCTCCCTGCCCTGGCCAGGCTCTCAGCACTGCCCACCTGAGCATGCAGGGGCCGCCTGGCCAGGCCCCCCACCACGCCCTGTCCGCTCCTCAGCACCGCAAGCCCCTCGGCCACCTTGGCTGCCCTCCGCAGTCTAGCCCCCGCAACCATCAGCTGCACTTCCCACTTCCTGACACTCGAATCTGTCACATTAGCTGAGGCCTGACATTGGGACAGATGCTCTTGCCCATTAAATGTCATCCTAGCCTCTTCAGCTCTCACAGAGACATTTGAATTCCCTAGATACCTTTCATATATAAGCACATGCTTTATTTAAATAATGATGACCTTAGCCAGGCACAGTGGCCTGTGCCTATAATCCCAGCTACTTGGGGGGCTGAGGCAGCAGGATCACTTAAGGCCCAGAATTTGAGACCAGCCTAGCGAGACCATAAATAAATTTTTTTATGCCAGGCAAGTTGGCTCATGCCTGTAATTCCAGCACTTCAGGAGTCCAAGGCTGGAGGATCACTTGAGGTCAGGAGTTCGAGACCAGCCTGGCCAACATGGTGAAACTAAAAATAAAGAAATAAGAAACTAGCCAGGCGTGGTGGCGCACGCCTGTAATCCCAGCTACTAGAGAGGCTGAGGTGGGAGAATCGCTTGAATCTAGGACACAGAGGCTGCAGTGAGTGGAGATCATAACATGGCACACCAGTCTGGTTAACAGAGCGAGACTCTGTCTCAAAAAAATAAATAATAAAAACATTTAAATTTTGTTTTAATTAACTGGGTGTGGTGGTGCACACCTGCAGTCCCTGCCTTTGCTCACATCCTTTTCCTTACCTGTGGAAATCTTTCTAGGCTGAATTCAATGGTAATGAATCTTTCGATGCTACCACCTCCACAAAGCCTTCCTTGTCCTCCCACCTATCTTTTTGTCCTCAGCTAGTAGTTATCATCTTCTAAGGTTTTACAAAGCACTGTTATTTTTTAGAGACAGGGTCTTGCTCTGTTGCCCAGGCTGGAGTGCAGTGGTGTGATCATAGCTCACTGCAGCCTGACCTCCTTGGCTTAAGCCATCCTCCTGCCTCAGCTTCCTGAGTAGCTGGGACTACAGGCGCAAACCACCACACCCAGCTAATTGTGTATTTTTTACTGAGATGTGGGTCTTGCCATGTTGCCCAGGCTGGTCTTGAACTCCTGGGCTCAAGCAATCTGCCCACTTAGGCCTCCCAACATTTTGAGAGTACAGGTGGGAGCCACCATGCCTGGCCAAAAAAAAAAATTTTTTTTAGAGATGGGGTCTCACTGTCACTCAGGCTGGAGTGCAGTGGCAAGATCTCAGCCCACTGCAGCTTGAACCTCCTGGGCTCAAGCAATCTTCCCACCTCAGCTGCCAAGTAGCTGGGATCACAGGTGCATGCCACTATACCCAGCTAATTTTTTGTATTTTTTGTAGAAACGGGGGTTTGCCATGTTGCCCAGGCTGATCTCAAACTCCTGAGCTCAGACAAGCTGCCCACTTTGGCCTCCCAAAGTGCAGGGATTACAGGCGTGAGCCACCATGCCCAGCCAAAAACTTTTTTTTTTTTTTTTTTTTTTTTGAGTCAGAGTCTCGCTCTGTCACCCAGGCTGTAGTGTAGTGGCGCAATCTCAGCTCACTGCAAACTTCGCCTCCTGGGTTCAAGGGATTCTCCTGCCTCAGCCTCCTGAGCTACTGGGATTACAGGCAACTGCCACCACGCCCAGCTAATTTTTGTATTTTTAGTAGAGATGGGTTTCACCACGTTGGCCAGGCTGGTCTTGAACTCCTGACCTCAGGTGATCCACCCGTCTCAGCCTCCCAAAGTGCTGGGATTATAGGGCTGAGCCACTGTGCCCGGCCCAAAAAAATGTTTTTAAAGAAGAAAATAAAAATATCCCACTAGTCAGAGATGTCCACTGCTGACCTGATATCTATCCTGTAGCCATGTCAACGTAGATAGAGATGCTTTTATGTTGTGAAGCATTTTGATTCGCCTCTTCATTTGGTAACTGTGTTAAGCATCTGCCTGGGGTCAGGCACAGTGAAGCTCTCGCCTTGTGCTGTGTGTGGCTGGGCCCACAGCACAGCATTAAGCCACCCTGTGCTTAGCCTGCTTGGCTGATGGGTGAGGACAGGCAGAGTGCGTAGCTGGCGATTCAGCGGCAGGGATGTTGCTGCTCTTTGGCCCTCCCAAGCTGCTAGCCTTGGTGCTGTTGGAGACCTGAGGGTTGGGAGGGCACCTGCTGGGTCCTTCTCTTGGGCAGAATCGTGCGGGCTGGGCCCTGGCAGTGCCTCCCAGGCACCCCTCATTTTGTGCCTCTTTGGGAAGGACGTGTCAGTGGCATAGTGTGGGAGACACTGGTGGGTTCATGCAGCTTCTCAGGGAGTGGCCAGGCGTGATCCTCAGGGCGGGAACCACGCTCTCAGTCCTGCCCTGGGCCCTACAGGAACGCTGGCGGGTGACTGCCGAGCAGTCCAAGGCGGAGTCCATGCAGCGCGCCCTAGAGGAGCAAAGGAAGGTCACGGCCCAGCAGATGGCCATGGAAAGGGCGGAGCTGGAACGGGCCAAGGTGAGTCAAGCCACCGCACTCAGCCCCTGCCCCTGCCATTATGCCCAGGGACACTCACCCCGTGCCTTCACCCCCACATCCCAGAGCGCCTTGCTGGAGGAGCAGAAGTCTGTCATGCTCAAGTGCGGGGAGGAGCGGCGGCGCCTGGCTGCCGAGTGGGCGGAGTTCTCCGCGCAGCAAAAGCTGAGTAAGGAGCGGGCCGAGCGCGAGGCCGAGCGGGCATTGCAGGTGGACACCCAGCGGGAGGGCACCCTCATCAGCCTGGCCAAGGTAGGGCCCAGAGCCTCCGGACAGTGGAGGGCCCAGGGTTGCCTGCGCCCCTCCATCTGGACACATCCGCTTCCAGTCTTAGGAAAGGAGAGTGTAGCACTAATGTCACAAGAGCATAGGGATTAAAACAGTAATCGCATCATCATGCTAACATCTTCCTCGTATTGTCCCAGGTGCATTATACACATTTTATTTGATCCTCATGTTCCCATGACTTTGGTCATTTAGAAATGAGGAAACCGAACTTCAGAGTTGAGCCTGCCACAGTCACGTGGCTTGTGAGGGCAGCACTCCGGCTTGGCCCCAGGCTTCTCTGGCTCTCCCTGGAAGCCCCTGGCTCCACCACCTCCTCCCAGGGGCAGGGTGGGCAGAGGGGACCCTAGAGTCCTGCACAGAGTGCAGCGCAATTCCTGGGAGGAGAATGCAGCAGGGCCTCCGCTGTCTCCAGGAGCAGGCTGAGCTGAAGATCAGGGCCAGCGAGCTCCGGGCCGAGGAGAAGCAGCTGGCAGCGGAGAGAGCAGCCCTGGAGCAGGAGCGGCAGGAGCTGCGGCTGGAGAAGGAGAGGATCAACGCCACCGCCCTGCGTGTCAAGCTCCGCGCCGAGGAGGTGGAGAGCATGAGCAAGGTGCTGCTCGGGCACATGGGCGTGGGCGCATCTGAGCCCAGGCAGCCCTGACCCAGGCGGCCTCCCTGCAGGTGGCCTCCGAGAAGTACGAGGAGGGGGAGCGGGCATTGCGCGAGGCCCAGCAGGTGCAGGCAGAGCAGCAGGCCCGGTTGCAGGCGGTGCAGCAACAGCAGGAGCGGCTGCGGAAGCAGGAGCAGCACATGCACCAGGCAAGGCTCCCTGAGTGTATGGCGCCCCTGCCCCCGGCACCCCCAGCCTCCCACCTCACAGCTGAGTCCTTCTTTCTGGGGGAACGGGGACAGGAGCATCTGAGTCTGGCCCAGCAGAGGCTGCAACTGGACCGCGCACGACAGGACCTGCCCTCTAGCCTCGTGGGTCTGTTCCCCAGGGCCCAGGGCCCTGCAGCCTCCAGCCAGAGTGGTGAGTGGCTCCAGAAGGAAGGGCCGGCGGCTCAGGACTGGGCAGGGGCAGTGCTAGGAGTGGGCAGGCCCTCCTCCAGCCGCTCCAGTTAAGGCGGCCAGCTGGGTTTTATAGTCGCCTTATTTCTTTTTTACACAAATAATGTGTGTTAATTTTAGATAAATCAGAAATAGAGGAACACTATTATGAAAAATGTCACCTTTTTGTAACTCTGGACTCAGGAAAAAAAAAGGAAATAAAAAAAGTCATTGTCAGGCTGGGCGTGGTGGCTCACGCCTATAATCTCAGCACTTTCGGCAGCCGAGGCAGGCGGATCATCTGAGGTCAGGAGTTCAAGACCAGCCTGGCCAACATAATGAAACCCCGTCTCTGCTAAAAATACAAAATTAGCCGGGTGTGGTGGCAGGTGCCCGTAATCCCAGCTACTCAGGAGGCTGAGGCAGGAGAGTCACTCGAACCCGAGAAGTGGAGGTTGCAGTAAGCCGAGATTGTGCCACTGCACTCCAGCCTAGGGGACAGAGCAAGACTCCGTTTAAAAAAAAAAAAAAAAAAAAAAAGTCACCCTCAACGCCACTCCTGAGTCTTGAGAGAACCACTTTTCACTTTTAACATTTTGGTGCATAATGTTCCACTCTGGTACTTTTTTTTTCTTTTCTTTTTTGAGATGGAGTTTCACTCTTGTCACCCAGGCTGGAGTGCAGTGGCATGATCTCGGCTTAGTGCAACCTCCACCTCCTGAGTTCACGCGATTCTCTTACCTCAGCCTCCCAAGTAGCTGCGATTACAGGCATGTGCTACCATGCCTGGCTAATTCTGTATTTTTAGCAGAGATAGGGTTTTGCCATGTTGGCCGGGCTGGTCTTGAACTCCTGACCTCAGGTGATCCACCCGCCTTGGCCTCCCAAAGTGCTGGGATTACAGGCATGAGCCAACGCGCCCAGCCTGGTACATGTTTTTAAAAACAAAATTAGGATTGTATGTGTTTTTCAATAACTTTACTTTTTTTACTCAGTAATGTACACGTGGAACAGGTTTTCAGATCAGTCATTAAACATTTAGTCAATTCCCAATCAGCACAGTTTTCCACTGTGAGGCTGCTCTGTGCTGAGTGATTTGTTGTCTTAAAGAGAAAGACTACCCAGTGGACATCTTCCTACATATGTGTTTGTACCTTTGCCTGATTATTTCACTGGAATAAATTCCTATAAATGGTCTTTCCAGGTAGGAGCAGGTATGCATTTGCCAGAGGCTTCTGAGAGTTAGTGCCATTGCACCCTGAGTATATGGCCAGGGTCCACCCACTGGCGGGGGGAGCAGCTCTGCAGGAACAAGCTGTGACCGCCCGGTATTTCCACCAACACTTTGGTCCCTGACTTCCTCCTTGGCCTTTTCAGCCCTCATGCCTCCTGCTCCCACCACCCGTTGGTGCAGCCAGCCGCCAACTGGCCTGGACCCCAGCCCCTTGCACCTCCATGCCAGGCTGGCACTGCTGAGGCACATGGCAGAGCAGGTGAGTCTCTCCTGGCCTTGGGGATCCTTGTGTTCACGAGTCCTTCCAGCTCAGGGCAGAGGCAGGGAGGAGCACATGGTAGCCCTGGGGAGGGGTGACCCCAGCTCCTGGGGAGTAAAACTGCAGTTTGCTTAGTGAGCCAATGCTCAGACTTCCACACTAGGCCAGGTTCTGTGCAAAGCAATTTGCATATGTCATCTCAGTTAAACCTCATGATAACCTATAGCAATAATGATAACAGGCTGGGCACAGTGGCTCACACCTGTAATCCCAACACTTTGGGAGGTTGAAGCAGGAGGATCACTTGAGCCCAGGAGTTTGAGACCAGCCTGGGCAATATGTTGAGACACCGTCTCTACAAAATGAAAAACTAAAAAAAGAGGACCAGGTGCGTGGCTCACACCTGTAATCCCAGCACTTTGGGAGGCTATGGTGGGAGGATTACTTGAGCCCAGGAGTTCGTGGCCAGCTTGGGCAACATAGTGAGACCTCGTCTCCACAAAAAAATAGCTGAGCGTGGTGGCATACACCTGTACTCCCAGCTACTCCGGAGGCTGAGGTAAGAGGATCACTTAAGCCCGGGAGGTCGAGGCTGCAGTGAGCCACAACGGTGCCACTGCACTCCAGGCAACAGAGCGAGACTCTGTCTCAAAAAAATAAATATTAAAAATTTAAAAATTAGCTGGGCATGGTGGGGCATATCTATAGTCCCAGCTACTTGGGAGGCTGAGGTGGGAGGATTGCTTGAGCCCAGCTGGTCGAGGCTACAGGTGTGTTCACACCACTGCACTTCAGCTTGGGTGACAGAGCAAGGCACTTGTCTCAAACTAAACAAAACAAAACTATAATGATAACAGTTGTCATTATGGAGCATTTCCTGTGTGCCAACCTCAATGCCGAAGGCTTTGTTTATATTTTACTTATTTATTTATATTTAGAAATGGGGTCTCACGATGTTGCCTCGGCTGGTCTCAAAGTCCTGGGCTCAAGTGATCCTACCCCCTTGGCCTGCGGATTAGCTAGGATTACAGGCATGAGCCACTGTGCCTGGCCTGCTTTGTGTATTTTTTAAGCTTTTACCCTCACACAGCCCTGCAAGGAAGGGCTACAAGGAATGTTTACAGACAAGGAAACTGAGGCTTAGAGACATGAAGTCATGTGCTCGTAAGTTCCACAGCAAACAAGTAACCTTGCCAGGATTGAGACTGTGGTCTGTCTCACTCCATACCTGGGCTCTTTCATGGCCCCTGCTGACTCCCAGAGCCAGGCAGAGTCAGGGACGATGTGGGGAGGGGCCTCAGTGACGGCTGGCTCAGCTAGCATCCAGGGCTCCACCTCCCTCTCAGCTCAGGGAAGGTGACCGCCCATCCAAACCTGCCTTGCAGGACCGTGACTTCTTGGAGAATGAACAGTTCTTCCTGGAGACCCTGAAGAAAGGGTCCTACAATTTGACATCTCATTCAGCCTGAGTGGGACCCCAGCCGATTCCCCAACAGAGGGTTCGGACCCCAGAACTGTCCTGTTCCTCCGGCTGCCTCCATGGAGGCAGTGCCTGGGGAGGATTCTGAGATGCTTGAGGCCTGATGACAGCTCTTCCGTGGACAGGGTGCAAGTGCATCCTTTCCAAATGTGCCAGCCCGGGGCAGCCCCTGCCTCTGGGGCTCTGTGGTGTAGGCTATCTTACCATGGCTTTGGCTGCCCTGCCCCAAAGCCATTGGCTTGGATCTGAGGGTCTGAGTTGGCAGCAAGGACCCCCAGCTCTCACTGGGCTCTGTGGGCTCCCCCTGGGCTCTGTGGGCTCCCCCTGCTCCACAGGTAGACTGTTGTGGGCTCTTTTTGCCTGGGCCTCTTCTGAGGCAGGAGCTTTCTTGAGGGATGCCACAAACAGCCTTCCCTACTCCCTGCCAGAGCAGTTCCCTCCCTGATGAGCTGGAGAAGGGCCCTCTGGCCTCCTGACAGTACAGGGAGGGCACCAGCTAGATCCTCCCTTGTGGTGTGAGATGTTCCTGGAACTCAGCCAGGCCCTCCTCCTCCTGGGCTTGCCCAGAGCCCCCACCCTATTCCCAGCATTGCCCGAAGGACCAACCAGTTTGGGTGAACAGTGGCCTCCTCAGCTTCCTCCCCATCTGGGTGCCCCACCGGCGGCGGAGGGAGCTGTGGCGATGGTGGGGTGTGGGGAGGGACGAGGAGGGAAGCCTCTGTGCTGCTCACCTGCCCAAAGCCCAGCTCAGCGGGTACGCAGTGGAGGCGACAAGGAACCAATCACAACTACAGAGGTTTCTCTGATCCTCCTCCACTCCCGCTGCTTCAACTTGACTAAGCTTAAAAAAACTGCTTTTGCCATGGCTCATCGGAGTTTATACTTATTTCTTAGAAAATGTTTCCTGTTATTTGCTGGACAAGTCCCAAAGAACAGGCAGATGTTCTTATTAAAAGATCAGCCTATAAGATTGGTCAGGACCAGGCGCCTCTGGCCACGTGCCTCTCCCCTCCAGCACCTGCGGTCTGCGGTGGCACCTGGCAGCTGGACCACAGCCAGGAGAAGGGTACTATTAGCCCTGCTTCAAACATGCAGAAACTGAGGCCCGGGGAGATTAAATAACCTGCCTGAAATGACAGTGAGTAGCTGCGCCTGGATTTGAGTTCTGCTCTGGCCAATCCCCAAGCTCCACGCTGTCAGCCACCCCGCTCTCCTACCTCCCAGAGGAGCAGGCTACACTCCTGGTAGGTGCTGGTGTGGGAGGAAGATCTTTTCAGGCGCTTCTGGGGCTGGTACCAACACTGAGGAGGGAAGTATCACATGCCCCATTGGAAGCCTTGGTTAAGTCTCAAATTTGATTCTCCACAAAAGAGACTCAACCAGTCCTGAGGCAGACCTGTGCAAAGAGCTGGGGGGGTCTAAGGATGGGCACGTCGGCCCAGGGGCAGCTGGTATCTAGGCAGCCACCTGCAGGACCTGCAGGTGATCAAGCACATACATCGGGGAGGGCGGTGCTGGGAGACCCACAGGGGGAGAGCATGGCCTTCAAGACAGAGTAGGGAGAAGAGGTTAGAATGAGAGGGCTTTGCATATCTTGTTAAAGACGTGCAACTTTTCAGGGCAAATTTGTCTGAGGGCAAATTTTCAGGTCTTCACTAGAAGATTTTAAACAAGGTTGAACCATATTTGTATTTTAGAAAACCCATTGGCCAGGCACGGTGGTTCACGCCTGTAGTCCTAACACTTTGGGAGGCCAAGGTGGGTGGATCACTTGAAATCAGGAGTTCAAAACCAGCCTGGCCAACATGGTGAAACTCTGTTTCTACTAAAAATACAAAAAAACTAGCTGGGCATGGTGGTGTGTGCCTGTAATCCCAGCTACTTAGGAGGCTGAGGCAGGAGGATCGCTTGAACCCGGGAGGCACAGGTTGCAGAGAGCCGAGATTGCACCACTGCACTCCAGCCTAGGCGAGAGAGCAAGACTCCGTCTCAAAAAAAAAACAACAACAAAAGAAAACCCATTGTGTCTGCAGGGTGGGGACCGGACCAGAGGGGGCAAGAGTGGGACAGAGGATGTGTGGGAAGGCAGCTGGCAATGGTGCAGGGGAGGGACTGTGGGCAAGACTACCGGGCATGGCAGGGAGGGCCCACAGAAAAGTGGCCCTCGGGCCTAGTGCCAGTCATGGAGGATCAGAAAGGAAGACGTGTTGAGGACGCCCAGGTTCCTGGCTTGGGTGACTGGGTGGTGTCACAGATGAGTATACAGTGCCGGGGGGACAGCCAAGCAGAGACATTCCACAGGCACTCAGTTATAATGGCACTTTACTCAGTGTAAGCACTCAGCATTCCTGTCACCGCCATGAGGGTGTGGCAGGCATCCTAATTATCCCCTTCAGCCTTCTCCCAGGCCACAGACACTGGAGAGGGCTGAGTACAGAAATGAGTGTTGTGTAGCTGCAGCTCTTTTTTTCCTTCAAAATTGTAAACAAGATCATAACCCAAGTGCTTCATTCAGTTCCTTTTAGAGAGAGAAATATTGCGGCCGGGCGCGGTGGCTCACGTCTGTAATCCCAGCATTTTGGCAGGCCAAGGTGGGTGGATTACCTGAGGTCAGGAGTTCGAGACCAGCCTGACCAACGTGGTGAAACCCCGTCTCTACTGAAAATACAAAAATTAGCCGGGCGTGGTGGCGTGTGGCCTGTAGTCCCAGCTACTTGGGAGGCTGAGGCAGGAGAATCGCTTGAACCCAGGAGGGAGAGGTTGCAGTGAGCCGAGATTGTGTCACTGCCCTTCAGCCTGGGTGACAGAGTGAGATTTTGTCTAAAAAAAAAAAAAAAGAAAAAAAAGAAAAAGAAATATTGGTGGAATGTAATGGGTAAAACATACTGGTGCAGGTGCCGGGCGCAGTGGCTCACGCCTGTAATCCCAGCACTTTGGGAGGCCGAGGCGGGCGGATCACGAGGTCAGGAGATCGAGACCATCCTGGCTAACACGGTGAAACCCCGTCTCTACTAAAAATACAAAAAATTAGCCGGGCGTGGTGGCGGGCGCCTGTAGTCCCAGCTACTTGGGAGGCTGAGGCAGGAAAATGGCATGAACCTGGGAAGCGGAGCTTGCAGTGAGCCGAGATCAGGCCACTACACTCCAGCCTGGGCGACAGAGCAAGACTCTGTCTCAAAAAAAAAAAAAAAAAAAAAAAAAAAAACTGGTGCAGTGGTACACACCTGTAGCTGCTATCAGGAGGCCAAGGTGGGAGGATGGCTTGAGCCCAGGAGTTCAAGACCAGCCTGGGCAACATAGTGAGACCCCCATATATTTTTTTAAAATGGTAGAGCCACTGCTTCTAGTTTCAAGATATTCATCGTTATTTGCTTCAAGTTGGTACACGTGGGAATCCACGTGAAGCCTCTCTCAAACTGTTAATATCCAAGCAAGCGCCAATCAGGGTTCTAGGACAGCAAGAGGACAAGAATGGAGGAATGCACCGCCACCTGGGTGGCCAGCAGCTTCCACGCCAACTGCCAAGGCCCCATACATCTTCATCTGGAGAGGGCTGGGAGGGTCGTGGGGTAGAGCGGGTGGGTTTAGAGGCTGAAGAAAATGATTCAGAAACAAAAGGACAAGGTGGCCGGGTGCAGTGGCTCACACCTGTAATCCCAGCACTTTGGGAGGCCGAGGTGGGTGGGTCACCTGAGGTCAGTAGTTTGAGACCAGCTTGGCCAATATGGTGAAACCAAGTCTCTACTAAAAATACAAAAAATTAGCCAGGCGTGGTGGTGCATGCCTGTAATCCCAGCTACTCGGGAGGCTGAGGCAGGAGAATCACTTGAACCTGGGAGGCGGAAGTTGCAGTGAGTCGAGGTCGTGCCCCTACACTCCAGCCTGGGCGACAGAAACTCCATCTCAAAAAAAAAAAAAAAAAGGACAAGGTAAAACAGCCACGATGTAAACACACAATCCAGTTATGCTCCTGTACTGCATAACTGCAGTATGGAATGTCACAATAAGCAACTCCTTACGAGCAGGACTGGGTGTGACTGCCCCACGTATTCCCCTCCACACTTAGCATGTAGCAGGTGCACACTGCTGGGTGGATTAGAAATGACTGTGAAAGGTTTAGCTGTTTGGCTGCTGTTTATGAAAACCAGTGGAAGGTGTGGCCACTTCCTGCTGGATGGAGAGACCCTCATTCCATTCTCATTCCATCTCAAAGTGATTGTGAGGGTCAAGCTTCTGCTGGTGCCAGAGCCACTGGCCTGGTCACCACCAGCCCTGGCCTGGGATGTCAGAGCAGGCTTCCTGGAGAGACCCCTCTCCTGGGGCTGGGTGGTGGCCAGGCCAAGGTGGGGCAGTGAGGAGGTGAGAGGCAGAAGACACAGCGTATACAAAGGCCCCGTGGCCTGGAGGCAAAGTGCGATGGAAAAGTCTTGCCTTTTAGGGCAGGAGGGCCAGGGCTGGGGCAAAGGAGGGTCCCAGATTCCCCAGGCTACCAAGTTTTGCCATGGTAGAACTGGATCACAAGGGCAAGCCTGAGTCCTGCCAGAAACATTCACATCTGCACTTAACCAGGTCACTTCTGCCTTTGTGTGGATAATGAGAAGTTGGAGATAGTTGAGCTAACACACAAACCACTGCGAGCGCTTTCCAGAGGGTAATCTTTTCATCCTGACAGCTGTCAGGTAAGCACTAGTGTTAACCTGCTTTTTCCCAAATGAGGAAACCACAAGGAAGACAGTAAGGTCACGATCTGGTTTTTTTTTGGGGGGGGGGAGGGGCATTTTGAGACGGTGTCTCACTCTGGCACCGAGGTGGTGGCGCAATCTCGTCTCACTGCAGCTTCTGCCTCCCGGGTTCAAGTTAATTCTTGTGCCATAGCCTCCTGAGTAGCTGGGATTACAGGCGCCTGCCACCACGCCCGGCTAATTTTTGTATCATTAGTAGAGATACAAAAATTTTTGTATCTTTAGGGTTTTGCCATGTTCGTAGGGCTGGTCTCAAACTAATTACCTCAGATGATCCGCCCACCTCGGCCTCCCAAAGTGCTGGGATTACAGGTATGAGCCACCGCGCCCAGCCACAATCTGGGTTTTTATTACTATTATTTTATTATTATTATTATTATTGAAATAGAGTTTTCACTTTTGTCGCCCATGCTGGAGTGCAGTGGCGCGATCTCGGCTCACTGCAGCCTCCGCCTCTGCCTCCCAGGTTCAAGCGAGTCTCCTCCCTCAGCCTCCCGAGTAGCTGGGATTACAGGCGTATGCCACGCCCGGCTAATTTTTGTATTTTGAGTAGAGACGGGTTTTCACCGTGTTGGCCAGGATGGTCTCGATCTCCTGACTTCGTGATCCACCCGCCTTGGCCTCCCAAAGTGCTGGGATTCCCGGCGTGAGCCACCGCGCCCAGCCCTCAATCTGGGTTTTAAACCCAAGCAGAGTCCGGAATCGGAGCTCGCACCCCTTCTCCCAACCAGGCCTGCGTCCCTGGGGAAATCAGGACGCAGCGTCCAGGGGTTGGAGGAGGGCCCCGGCGGCCGACCCCGGTCTGTGCCGCCCCCTGGTGGCCAGCCATGGGCGAGCATATGACTGCTCTCGGCTCCGCCCCGCCGTCCAACGGGCACTTCCGGAGCCGGGCGTCTACAGACCGCGGCCACCTTCCACCTGCGCCCGAGGCAGACGGTGCAGGGGCCTCCGGGACAGGCGTCTGAGGCCTGCTCCGCAGCGCGGGCCCGGGGGCGGGCCTAGGGGCGGGGCCTGCTGTGGTGCGCTCAGGCACCGCGCTGGCCACCTGTGCCCGGGTCCTAGTGGCGGCCGCAGTGTCGCAGGCCGGAGGGAAGATGGCGGCGCCCTGGTGGCGAGCCGCGCTGTGCGAGTGTCGGAGATGGCGGGGCTTCAGCACCTCGGGTGAGGGGTGGGCAGCTCTGCGGGGGGGGGGGGGGGGGCTGTCGCCCGAGCTGTGGGGCGCCGGCCTTACGTCTTCTCTCTGCCCGCAGCCGTCCTGGGCCGCCGGACACCCCCGCTGGGGCCGATGCCCAACAGTGACATCGACTTGAGCAACCTGGAGCGGCTGGAGAAGTACCGGAGCTTCGACCGCTACCGGCGCCGAGCAGAGCAGGAGGCGCAGGCCCCGCACTGGTGGCGGACCTACCGAGAGTATTTCGGGGAGAAGACAGGTGCGGGGCGACTGGAGCAGGGGCTGCAGCCACCGCCCGGGGAACTCGGGACCCGCCGGCGTTTTCCCCGGGCGCTGGGCGAGCCTTGCCGGCGCCCTTGTGGATGCTGGGGACGCTGGGAGGGCCTGCCTGCAGACCTGTGTGCGCTATCGGCAGCTTAATCACCCCAGGATTTTTCACACCTTCTGCACCTCATTCTTGGAAAATTCGCTCCCCCTACTATTAGAGTTCCAGCTCCTAAAATATTTGCTCCTAAAATCTTGACCACCTGACTTTCCGGATTGGGATGCCGTTCTGTGCGCCTCAAATACTCTGTAGGTAACTCTGGCCACACTGCATTCTGACTGTGCGCTGCCTCTCCCCAGATTGTAAGCGCCCTGTTGACAGGGATCCTGCTTGTCTTGCCCTCCATTGGATCCTTGCACCCGAACAGTGCAAGGATGTACATGTGCAATACTTTGCTGAATGAAATTAAAGGCCTGGGCAGGGTGACTCAAAAAAGAACCCAACCTGGCCGGGCGCGGTGGCTCACGCCTGTAATCCCAGCACTTTGGGAGGCCTAGGCGGGCGGATCACCTGAGGTCGGGAGTTCGAGACCAGCCTGACCAACATGGAGAAACCCCGTGTCTGCTAAAAATACAAAATTAACTGGGCGTGGTGTCGCATGCCTGTAATCCCAGCTACTCGGGAGGCCTCTGAGGCAGGAGAATCGCTTGAACCCAGGAGGCAGAGGTTGCGGTGAGCCGAGATCGCGCCATTGCACACCAGCCTGGGCAACAAGAGCGAAACTCCGTCTCAAAAAGAAAAAAAAAAAAAGACCCCAACCTTTAAGGAACTTACAATTTATGGAGTATATGCTTTTCTTTTCTTTTCTTTTCTTTAGCATTTATAGAGGCAGTTTTGTGGTGGTTAAAGGCACAAGCGTGGAATCTAAATAGCCCGATTTAAATCCTAGCTCAGCCTCTCGGATAATGTCCTTGAGCTTGTTTCAACTGTAAAATAAAATAATTGTGTCTTTGCTACAAAATTGCTGTGAGGATTAAAAGAGGCAATTCATTGGCATTTTTGCCTAATGCCATCTCTGATGAGGGCTCAGTATGTTTTCGTTATTATTATTTTGTTTTGTTTTGTTTTAAGGCAGAGGCTCGCTCTGTTGCCCAGGCTGGAGTGCAGTGGTGCGATGACTCACTGCAACCTCTGCCTCCTGGGTTCAAGCGATTTTCCTGCTTCTGCCTCCAAAGTAGCTGACACTACAGGCATGCGCCACCACGCCCAGCTAATTTTTGTATTTTTAGTAGAGATGGGGTTTCACCATATTGCCCAAGCTGGTCTGAAACTCCTGACCTCAAGTGATCCCCCTGCCTCAGCCTCCCAAAGTGTTGGGATTACAGGCGTGAGCCATAGCACCTGGCCGAGAAGCACTTCTATAAGTCCTTCTAGCATCAGTCATTCACTCTACCTAGGACAGCTGGGTGTTCATAGCCACCTGTGAACAGGCTTGGAGGTGATCTCAACTATAATTGGAAGGACCATTGACTTCAGTTTCCCATGACCTAGACAAAACTGTGACCTGGTTTGGGGATCAGAAAAACACAGCCTCCAGCCTAGCCAACATGGTGAAACCCCGTCTCTACTAAAAATACAAAAAAAATTAGTCGGGCATGGTGGCAGGCGCCTGTAATCCCAGCTACTCAGAAGGCTGAGACAGGAGAATTGCTTGAACCCGGGAGGCAGAGGTTGCAGTGTGCCGAGATCGCGCCACTGCACTCCAGCCTGGGCGAGAGAGTGAGATTCTGTCTCAAAGAAAAACACAACCTCAAGTTGTATCTGATTTGCTTCCCAGTTACATCCTATTCAGGTCTGGGAAGTAGACTGCACAGTATGTTTTAATTCTGTGAATCACAGGGAAAGCTTGAGCAGCAGAGCTTGAAGCACAGAATGAGAGGACTAGGTAGGGACAGGCAGTTTAACCAAGAAGATGTGCCCGCCCCCTCACTGGGTGCAGTGGCTTGCGCCTATAATCCCAGCTACTTAGGAGGCTGAGGCAGGAGGATCACTTGAGACCAGGAGTTTTGAGACCAGCCTGAGCAACATAATGAGATCCCATCTCTCAGATTTTTTAAATTAGCTACCATGGCTGGGCGCAGTGGCTCACACTACTGTAATCCCAACACTGTGGGAGGCTGAGGCAGGCAGATCACTTGAGCCCAAGAGTTCATACCAGCCTGGGCAATGTGGCAAAACCCTGTCTCTACAAAAAATACAAAAATTAGCCAGATGAGATGGTGTACACTTGTAGCCCCAGCTACTCAGGAGACTGAGTTGGGGAGGTTAAGGCTGCAGTGAGTCATGACCCTGTTTTTCCCACACATCTTCCCACTCCAGATCCCAAAGAGAAGATTGATATTGGGCTGCCTCCACCCAAAGTCTCCCGGACCCAACAGCTACTGGAACGGAAACAGGCCATCCAGGAGCTTCGGGCCAATGTGGAAGAGGAGCGGGCTGCCCGCCTCCGCACAGGTAAGCCTTCTCAGGGGAGGGGCCATCCCAGAGTTGGGGTACAGGGTGTGTCCCTGCCCCCCCCACCCCCGTATCCCAACTGGCCTTATTCCTGTCTAGCCAGTGTCCCGCTGGATGCCGTGCGGGCCGAGTGGGAGAGGACCTGTGGCCCCTACCACAAGCAGCGTCTGGCTGAGTATTACGGCCTCTACCGAGACCTGTTCCACGGTGCCACCTTTGTGCCCCGAGTCCCCCTGCACGTGGCCTACGCTGTGGGTGAGGATGACCTGATGCCTGTGTACTGTGGCAATGAGGTGACTCCAACCGAGGTAACCACTCACTTGTGCCCCTCCTCCCTGCCCTGTGCAAACACAGACACATCCCATCTCAGTGTCACAGACACTCCTGGGTTTGGAATTTTGTTGTTCTCTGTCTCTTTGATTTCCTGGAAGACGACACCATGACAATTTCAAAGAAAATAGAACAAAATGAAGGAAAAAGAGGCTCTGTCTTAGCACATTCCTGTGACCAGCCTGCTGTCTGTGGTGTGCCCTCCTGGCCCGGCCTTGGCACATGTTCGTTTTTGTGGTTGTTGCCTGGACAGGCAACTCTGCAGGGCTGCTTCTCTACGCATCCCTTTGCCTGCCTGCCTGTGCCAGGGGTTGTCAAGGGCTTTTGGGTCAGAGTGGGCACCCCTTTCTCCAAGGCTCCCTGCAACAGCTGGCCTGTCCCTGGTGGGGCTGACAGCTTCCTTCTCACCCTGCCAGGCTGCCCAAGCGCCAGAGGTGACCTATGAGGCAGAAGAGGGCTCCTTGTGGACGTTGCTACTCACTAGCTTGGGTGGGTGTCTGGGGCTCACCAGGCCTCCTGCCCCGCTCACCTCCTATGAGCCAGGGCCCTGGGGGGCTGGGGGAGGGGCCAGGTGGAGATCTCCAGCGCTGGCTCCTAACAAGGGAGGGGGTGGCAGGGCCGTGGTCGGCTGGGCCGTGGTCAGCAGGTGTGTTTTTGTGCAGATGGGCACCTGCTGGAGCCAGATGCTGAGTACCTCCACTGGCTGCTGTGAGTACTGGAGTACTGGGGGTAGGGGGTGCTGCCCAGGCGGGAAGAGGAGCTGGGAGCCTGGACTGAGCTGCTCCTGAGTTTCATGGACTACCCATGGGACCTTGAATTCACCTGCCACCTCTGCCTCCTGAGGGTGTTAGGGGCCCTGGGATCCACGTGTCTACTTGAAGACAGCTACAGGAGACAAAGTTTGCAGTAGGCCTCGGTCAGTCCCCACAAGCCTCCTCATCTTTTCTTTTCTTTTTTTTTTTTTTTTTTGAGACAGGGTCTCACTCTGTCCCCCAGGCTGGAGTACAGTGGTGCAATCATGGCTAATTGCAGCCGCTAACTCCTGGGCTCAGGTGCTCTTCCCACCTCAGTCTCCTGAGTAGCTGGGACTACAGGTGCAAACCACTACACCCAGCTAATTTTTGTATTTTTTTATAGAGACAGGGTTTCACCATGTTGCCCAGGCTGGTCTCCTGAGCTCAAGCGATCTGCCCGCCTCCGCCTCCCAAAGTGCTAGGATTATAAGCGTGAGCCACCATGCCTGGGCCCTTCGTCTCTAAACTCATTTCTTCACCTGTAAAACTGGGATAATGGCACCACATGCCTTACTCAGCGTGAGGTGGACTGTGACAGTCACGTGGGAGAAGGAGCGGGAGAGGCCTAGCAGCTGTGGCGTCCCCCAGGTGCTCCTTGAACCACTGGGCGCTCCTTCCCTGGGCCCAGACTGGGCGGCCTTCCATCTTGGTAGCTTTTGGCTCTGAACACCAGGCCAGGGGGCAGAGGTCAGGCCAGTGACCCCAACTTTGAGCCTTCTGGTTAACTGGGGACAGTGACTGGGAGGCTGGTTTCCGTCATTTTTATTCAACTGTTACCAGCCTATGCGGCAGGACCCTCTGGGGATTTGTGCCTGAGGCGTTGGCCGCCCCTGTGCCAGGCTGGGCACACACTCCCTGACGAGGTCCTGGAGACTTCAGGACGCAGAGGGAAAAGCAGCCAAAAGTGGCCTGGCTTTCTAGCCTCAGTGACTGTGGCGGACCCACCGGCTCCCGGGGCCTGGAAGCGGCTGCATGGCCTTGCTGTCAAGCTGATGCTCTCTGGAGCCCTGTCCCCCACTCGGAGCTCCTCCAGCCCGCTTCCCGTATTTGCAGCATGTCCCGGCGTTCACAGAGCTTGGCTGCCTCCTCTGTCCCAGGAGAGAGATGCTTAGAGCTGTCCTCCCAGGGAGTCATGTCAGCCTCTAGGGTGTGCATGGAGCTGAGGGGACACTCCTGCTGCCTCCCTGGAGTGGTAATTAACCGGGACTTTCCTCCTCCCAGAACCAACATCCCGGGTAACCGGGTGGCTGAAGGACAGGTGACGTGTCCCTACCTCCCCCCCTTCCCTGCCCGAGGCTCCGGCATCCACCGTCTTGCCTTCCTGCTCTTCAAGCAGGACCAGCCGATTGACTTCTCTGAGGACGCACGCCCCTCACCCTGGTAATCTACACCACCCACACATAACCCGGCCTCAGGCCAGCTCCCCTGGAACGGTCACTCTTGCTCAGTTCTCTCTTGACCTCAGCCTTGAGACTGGCAGAAGAGCAGGATAGGGTGCTAGCAGACTCCCAGGGGCCTCTCAGGGTTACCTGTTGGGGTGGCGGGGTGAGGGGCTCTGGTGCCCCACTCCACACTCTCATACGCTCTCTATCTTCTCATAGCTATCAGCTGGCCCAGCGGACCTTCCGCACTTTTGATTTCTACAAGAAACACCAAGAAACCATGACTCCAGCCGGCTTGTCCTTCTTCCAGTGCCGCTGGGATGACTCCGTCACCTACATCTTCCACCAGCTTCTGGGTAAGGGCCATGGGGCTGGGGCACTGGGTGGGCCTGAGCTCCCAGGCCTCGCCTGCCCTGCCAGGGAGAAGCTTTGTTAGGGGAAGGCTGCGGCAGGTCCCTGGTGGGCAGGCCTCAGCCTGAGGGGGCGCAGGCCAGCAGACCACCCCGTACCCCTCACTCTTCTTGCAGACATGCGGGAGCCGGTGTTTGAGTTCGTGCGGCCGCCCCCTTACCACCCCAAGCAGAAGCGCTTCCCCCACCGGCAGCCCCTGCGCTACCTGGACCGGTACAGGGACAGTCATGAGCCCACCTATGGCATCTACTAAGGAGCCAGAGTGTGCGCATTTCAGAGCATGGGATTGATCGGCAGCAAGAGTAAAGACACAGCTCCAGAGGCCCACACTGTGGGGTCTGGGCCCTGCCTTAGGCAGCCCCCCTCTTTGGCCCCCTCCCGTCAGGCCCAGGGCTTGGAGTGAAAGTGACTCTCAGGTGGTGGGGTGGGGAATGTGAATAAACATGATTTCTTGCCGGGCTTGGTGGCTCACACCTGTAATTCCAACACTGGGAGGCTGAGAAGGGAGGGTCGCTTGAGCCCAGGAGTTCAAGACCAGCTGGCAATATAATGAGACCCTGCCTGTATTTTTTAAAAAAAGGGATTTCTGCCATAGCTGGCCTGGGTCGGTGCTCCAGGGCCAGAGGACCCCGATGGAGCTTCATGGGTGGGAAACGGGCTGCCTCCCACCCCACTAAGTGCGTCCTCACCTCCGTCTTCTGAGGGTGTCAGGGGCCCTGGGATCCGAAGCAAAAGCAGGCAGTGGGCCAAAAACAGGTGTGGCCCAGGGAAGGGAGACATCCCAATCCAGCAGGTTCCTGAAACCCAGCTCCCCGAAAAAGTGGAGCAGAGCAGCTGGGCTCAGGAAGGAGCATTTATTGAGCACTGGCTCTGTGCCTCAGGGGGGTCCCACCGGCCCCTGGAGAGAGAGTGCCTGCCCGAGCACTGACCCTCTGCACAGGCTCCAGCCCCCACCCCATGCTTGGGAGGAGAAGCCACATTAGGTAGGCAACAGCGTGTCTCAAGAGACCTGCTCAGGGTCAGAAAACCCATGGAGTCTTGCGGCTGGATGGTTAGGTGTTTTGTTTCTCCCTTACCAAAAGCAGAAGTCTGGCTAACTAGTAGGTGGAGGGTAGATCCGTGCACTTTGTCCAGAAAGAAACTTCGTCTATGGCCGCACAGAGGACGCAGTGCTTGCTGCAGCAGTGAGAGCTCGTGCCGCCTCAACATCAGCCCAGCTTGGTTAGAAAGGCCGTACTCTCCTGGGGTTCCCCCTGGCCTGATACACACTGTCAGGTAGGTGGGCGCTAGGCCCCAGACCCGCCTTGCCTGCTCAGCTTCAGGGGAAATGCTGGAGTGCCTGTAAATACTGAGGCTGCAGATCAGCTTGGACCCCAGGCAAGGAACTCTCCCCAGCGGAGGGCAGCAGGAAGAGGGGATGCTGATTGCAGATGAAAGCTGGTTTGTGTATTCATTCAGGGCCATTTGAAAAATACCAGTTAACTGGTCCCTGTCTCTTGGTGACCAGACATTTCCATCTCGCTGTTTACTTTAAAAGAACCAAAATTACGTGTAGCCCAGAGAAGGGAGACACCCCAGTCTGGCAAGTGTCCGAAACCCAGCTCCAGGAAAAAGTGCAGCAGTGCTCGGGTCTGCAGGGAGCCCGCCAGCCCGTTTCATCGCCAAGCCCCGGGGGATTGTTGGGGGTGGGGGTCTATGCTGTTAGGCGACTGGCAGATGAGTCCAGAAGAGGTTCCGCGCGGCCCGTGGTCAGAAGCCCGGAGTCCTGGCGGGGTTTTCGAGCCTCTGGTCTCCAGGACCTGGGCTGAAGGCCCAGGGGGGTGGGATGGACCCGCCAGGCTGGGACCCTAGAGAGCCGAACTCAGCTCTCAGCCGGGGTGGCGTGGACCCTAACGGAGGGAGGGGCGCAAGGCGGGAACGCGGAACCTTCGAGCGGGCCAGGCCGAGGTGGGCAGGGGTGGCCTAGGCCCCTGCGGCGGTCGCTCGTCGAGGGTGTCAGAGAAGGGCCTGCCGCCCCCCTCCGCCTTCCCGGGCGCGGATCTCGCCCCGCCCCGCCCGGATCTCGCCCCGCCCCGCGTTAGCCACGCCCAGGCGCCCTCAGCGCGCGAGGCCCGCGGTCCCTTTAAGACGCCCGGGGCCCGCCTGGCTCTCGCCGCCGCCGGGCCATGGCCGCGCAGCTGCTGGAGGAGAAGCTGACCTGCGCCATCTGCCTGGGGCTCTACCAGGACCCAGTGACGCTGCCCTGCGGCCACAACTTCTGCGGGGCCTGCATCCGGGACTGGTGGGACCGCTGCGGAAAGGCGTGCCCCGAGTGCCGGGAGCCCTTTCCCGACGGCGCCGAGCTGCGCCGCAACGTGGCCCTCAGCGGCGTGCTGGAGGTGGTGCGCGCCGGGCCCGCCCGGGATCCCGGCCCCGATCCCGGCCCCGGCCCCGACCCTGCCGCGCGCTGCCCCCGCCACGGGCGGCCGCTGGAGCTCTTCTGCCGGACCGAGGGCCGCTGTGTGTGCAGCGTGTGCACCGTGCGCGAGTGTCGCCTCCACGAGCGGGCGCTGCTGGATGCCGAGCGCCTCAAGCGCGAGGTGACGCATCCGCCGGGAGCGGGAGGGGTCCGGACCCGCCGCAGCCTGGCCACCGCCGGGTGACTCCTGCGGGCCGCGCCCTGCTCTCTCGGGCACCCGGCGGGGGCGGGGAGCCTCATCTGTAAGGGGCTTCTCCCAACCTGGGAGCTGATTATAAAAGTCGTGGGTCTGCCAGGCGCAGTGGCTCACGACTGTAATCCCAGCACTTTGGGAGGCCGAGGCGGGCGGATCACGAGGTCAGGAGATCGAGACCATCCTGGCTAACACGGTGAAACCCGGTCTCTACTAAAAATACAAAAAGTTAGCCGGGCGTGGTGGCGGGCGCCTGTAGTCCCATCTACTCGGGAGGCTGAGGCAGGAGAATGGCGTGAACCCGGGAAGTGGAGCTTGCAGTAAGCCGAGATCGTGCCACTGCACTCCAGTCTGGGCGACAGAGCGAGACTCCGTCTCAGAAAATAAACAAACAAAAAATCGTGGGTCTGTGCATCAGACTGGGATATGCAGCCCGGCCAGTGACACAGGGTGGGTCTCAGAAGCTGCTCGGTGCCCTCTGGATGAACAAAGCCTGGGCGTGAGGCAGCAGCTCCCTGCTCCGTGCCCAAGCGCTAGAGAACCGTCGTGTGTCTCCTGCGCTCCGAGAGCCTCCTTTCATTCGCTGTGCGGGGTTGTGGAGGGCGAGGGGGCTATGGGGGCTGTTGGTAAATGGATCAGACGAGCTCCCTGCCCTTAAGAGACTTAGAATCCACTTAAGAAGTCAGTGTTCCAGTAAGGCGTGAATGTATTATTACAAAATGCAGTGAGGAAAGCACATGGCATGTGATAGAGGGGTTGGGGTGACCCTGCTAAACGGGCCAGGAGGAGGAAGGGGAGGCCGCCTTCAGGCTGGCATGTGAGGATTGAGGAAGCGCAAGCCAGGAGAAAGACCTGGGGAAGAGCATTCTAGGCAGAGGAATCAGCCTGGTCCCGTCTCTGGGATGGGAAAGAACTGGGCACGCGGGGTCCCTAGTGGCAGATTTGTGCCACTGAGATCTGTGGGCCAGGCCCTGGGGGTCAGCAGGGGCAGGATCGGGCAGGGTCCTGGGGGAGTCTGGCTCTTACTGTAGGGTCATGGGGGCCATTATAGGCTTGGAAGCAGGTTGGCACATGATCAGATTTGGGCTTCATGGAGACTGATCACCTGGCTGGGGGCTGAAGGGGGCAGGATGTAAGACCCGAATCGGGTAGGAGTGCAGGGAGGCAAAGAACCAGCTGGGGATCAGGGAAGGGAGACCAAGATGGAGGAGGAGATGAGAAACGCTGAGGGGAAGTGGTACCTTGTGGAGGCGAAAGCAGGCCAGAGGGGACACGGGGGACAGCAGAGAGGGCGGCAAGGGAGACACCTGGGTTTCTGTCTTGAGCACGCAGGTGGCTGGGGTGCTATGTCCTGAGAGGCGTAGGTGGAGGGCAGAGTTTGGCCTTGGACATATAGAGGTCACAGTGGCCAGTGGGACAAACCAGGGGACGGGCCTGTGGCACCTGGGACCCTGGCCCCAGCCCTGCCGCGCGCTGACCCCGCCCCGGGCAGCTGCTGGAGCTCTTCTGCCAGACCAAGGGCTGTTGTGTTTGCAGCTTGTGCACCATGAGTGAGGGTCACCTCCTCAAGTGGGTGCTGCCGCCAGGAGCAGGAGGGGGCCGGACCCCCCGCAGCCTGGCCACCACCGGGTGCAGTGGCTCACGCCTGTAATCCCAGCACTTTGGGAGGCGGAGGCCGGTGGATCACGAGGTCAGGAGATTGAGACCATCCTGGCTAACATGGTGAAACCCTGTCTCTACTAAAAATACAAAAAATTAGCCAGGCCTGGTGGCGGGCGCCTGTAGTCCCAGCTCCTCTGGTGGCTGAGGCTGGAGAATGGCGTGAACCCGGGAGGCGGAGCTTGCTGTGAGCTCCAAAGCTCAGGAGCGGGGAGCTGGAAGTCGAGAGCTGGGAATCATTAGCGCTAGGAGGAAGAGAAGGTTCCAAGCTGGAGCTCCCAGGGAGATGGGGAAGGTCGGGGGAATGGCAGCCCTGTGTGGCACCTGGAGACAGGGGTGCCAGGAAGAGAACGGGCAGGATGCCCATGCTGATCAGAGGCTCAGTACGAGGACAGAAATGACCTTCAGCATCGGTACTGTGGAGGTGGTCCGTGCCCTTGACAAAACCCATTTCAGCAGCGAAGACAGGATGTGGAATCATTCGGGGACAGAGGAGGCCTGGGGCTAAGGCGTGGATGGAGGATGGCGCAGGGACGCTGGATGGGACAGGAAGGGAAGGGGTGGCCAGGAGGCCTGATGGGCAGGGAGGGATGGGAGAGTGCACGGCTGGGGGTCGGTGAGGTGGGAGGACTGAGACAGAGGTGGCTGGAACAGGAGAGGGCACGAAGGCAGTGGTCAGAGAAGGAAGAATCGATGCCTAGAATGGAGATTTTAGAGCTGGTGACAGGGCCAGGGTGAGTTCACAGGAGCGGCTGAGATGAGGTGAAGGAAAAGGGCTCCAGAGTGTTGCGGGACATTCCTTGTAGCTGCTGAAGCCGCCGAGGAGGATGAGACGAGATGTACTGCTCATGGGCGGGTGCAGAAGACTGAGCTAGGCACGGAAGTTTGAGTTGGAGGCCGGTAGATGAGGGCCATGTGGAGGAAGGGAGCGACAGGGGCAGCCAGTAGCACCAGGGGAGCCAGGATTTTGCAAGAGAGAGGGAAAGGGACATGGGGGTGCCTGTCCCTGGGGGAGGGTTGGGTGCCCTGGGAGAGCCTGCCCTCCGGCCTCCTGTGTTCCTGTGTGAAATGCTGGAGGCTGGGGGCCCGGAGGAGCTCTGGGCTTAGGAAGATCTGAGGACTTTGACCAAATTATCAACTTCTCTGAGCCCGTTTCCTCCTCTGTGATGTGGGGATAGTAATGGTCCCCATCTCAGTGCATTGCGGGAGGAGCAGAAACAAGGTGGTGAAGCTTTTGACCAGGTGCTGGGAATGGAGCCCCTGGGACCTGCGTGGTTTGTCCTGCTCTCATGAGAGCACGGTGTTTTGATTCCCAAGGGACTCAGGGAGCGCAACCGAATAGGGGTCCCTTCCTCCCCTCTCAGTCTCAAAACTAGGGCCAGGGACTGGCCGGATCCCCAGAAGAATCTAGTTTATCCAGCAAGTAACTGCCCACTTGTCAGACAGCTTTGGTGCTTTGGGAGGTCCCTGCAGTCAGCTTCTCAAGCCCCAGGGCCTCCTGGGCCACTGACCCCTCTGCAGTGAGACAGGGACCAACGGCTTTAGTGTTTGGGGTCCTCCCTGCGAGGCCTCCTGAGCCAGCATTATCGCTTTCCTGTATTGATGGGTGGGGGGTTAGGCCCAGAGAGGACAGGTGCTTGGCCTCAGCTTGCTCAGCATGCAAGAGGTAGAAATGGGAATGGAAGTTGGGTCCTGAGCCCAAGGCTTCCGCTCTGCTCAGGCACCACCCTGCTGCAGATTAGGAAGGACTTTGTCTGGACCCCCCCGGGGCACGGCCCCAACTCTCCCTGGGTTAGACCGAGGCCGGTGCTCTGGAGGCTGGCCTGGGGTGGCGTGGGGAGGGGCTGCCTGGTGTCTGCAGGCATGGTTGGTTGTCTGAGAAAGGACATCACAGCCAATCCTGGCCTTCTCTTGTTGCTTGTCCCGTGGGCCCGCACCACAGGCCCAGCTGAGAGCCAGCCTGGAGGTTACCCAGCAGCAGGCCACCCAGGCCGAAGGCCAGCTACTAGAGCTGCGCAAGCAAAGCAGCCAGATCCAGGTACGAGGCCTGTGCCTGCCCGCCCACCATGGCCTCACACTGCATCCTGGGGCGGCCACCAGCTGGTCCCTGGAACACCAGGCAGCAGGGAGCGGGGCTGAGCAGGGAGCTGGGCACAGGGGTCCTGGGGAGGTTCCCGGGACCCTGCCTCCCCACATCCCTGACCCTCAGCCCAGCAGGCAGCCCTGGCCCTAGCCTCCCTTGGTATGGCACAGGGCCCTGGCCACCCTGAAGCCCCTCCTGTTCCCGCCCAGAACTCGGCCTGCATCTTGGCCTCCTGGGTCTCCGGCAAGTTCAGCAGCCTGCTACAGGCCCTGGAAATACAGCACACGACAGCACTGAGGAGCATCGAGGTGGCCAAGACGCAGGCGCTGGCACAGGCTCGAGACGAGGAGCAGCGGCTGCGGGTCCATTTGGAGGCTGTGGCTCGCCATGGCTGCAGGATCCGGGAGCTCCTGGAGCAGGTGGATGAGCAGACCTTCCTGCAGGTGCGAGGGCTCAGGGCATAGGTGGCGGACTTGCTTCCCTGCCCCTCAGGCCCAGGCTTACTTGTTCTCCCTGGGGCTCAGGAATCGCAGCTCCTCCAGCCCCCAGGGCCTCTTGGGCCACTGACCCCTCTGCAGTGGGATGAAGACCAACAGCTGGGTGACCTGAAGCAGTTGCTAAGCCGGCTGTGTGGCCTCCTCTTGGAAGAGGGGAGCCACCCTGGGGCACCAGCCAAGCCTGTGGACTTAGCCCCCGTGGGTAAGACTGACCCCAGGCCTCCCCCTGCTGTCCTGGGTCCAGCTGCCCCTCCCGCTGGGGGGGTGGAGGCGGGTCAGGGCCCACACATCGTGACCTCTCCAACCATTCCCTTAACACTGCTTTGCCCCCTAGAGGCCCCAGGTCCCCTGGCACCGGTCCCAAGCACAGTTTGTCCACTGAGGAGGAAACTCTGGCAGAGTAAGGAGGCCGTTCGTGTATGTGTGCCCCTGTGTGTGCGTGTGCAAGGAAGTGCCTGTGTGTGCTGTGAGCACGTGTGTGTGTGCATGTTCGTATGCACGTGTGAGTGAGGGGGGCACTTGTTTTGACTGTCCTGCCGGGACATCTGAGCCTGGTCCCACCCGCTGCACACCTCGTGCACATCCACCCTGAAGCAGACGCAGCCAGTGTGCGTTGAAGGACAGAGTCTGGGGCACAGACCCGTAATTCTTCCACTTAACACTGAGTTAATGGCTCTCAGAGCCCCAGTTTTCTCAGCTGTGAACGGGGCTGATAGAGGATTCCGCCTGCGAGGTCGTGGCGAGGATTAAGTGCTATGGTGACGGCCGGTGCTCAGCGTGCCTGGCGGAGGTTTAGCAGCGGATAAATGGAGATCTGGTTGTGCTGTCTTCCCCCAGCCCACTGCTGTCCTCCTTTCCCCAACAGATTATCGCAATCTGACCTTTGATCCAGTCAGCGCCAACCGTCACTTCTATCTGTCGCGCCAGGACCAGCAGGTGAAGCACTGTCGTCAGTCCCGGGGCCCAGGCGGGCCCGGCAGCTTTGAGCTCTGGCAGGTGCAATGTGCCCAGAGCTTCCAGGCCGGGCACCACTACTGGGAGGTGCGCGCGTCAGACCACTCGGTGACACTGGGCGTCTCCTACCCGCAACTGCCACGGTGCAGGCTGGGGCCCCACACAGACAACATTGGCCGGGGACCCTGCTCCTGGGGGCTCTGCGTCCAGGAGGACAGCCTCCAGGCCTGGCACAACGGGGAAGCCCAGCGCCTCCCAGGGGTGTCAGGGCGGCTCCTGGGCATGGATTTGGACCTGGCCTCAGGCTGCCTCACCTTCTACAGCCTGGAGCCCCAGACCCAGCCCCTGTACACCTTCCATGCCCTCTTCAACCAGCCCCTCACCCCCGTCTTCTGGCTCCTCGAGGGTAGGACCCTGACCCTGTGCCATCAGCCAGGGGCTGTGTTCCCTCTGGGGCCCCAGGAAGAGGTGCTCAGCTGAAGAAGGCATGGGATGGAGCCCTGGCATAGCTGCCACCATGCCTATGTGCCCAAGAGCTGCCCAGCTTCAGCTTGGGGACTGGAGGACCAGCTGTTGGCCTCTCTGTTAACTCAGAAAGAGATGGGAGGTTGGGGGAGGTGAGCATAAACGCAGAGTTCACTGTTGCAGCCTTTTTGAAGGGGACACAGTCTAGGAGGGGGATAAATGGGATGCCCTTGCCCCAGAGAGAACCCAGTTCTAGGTACTGTCTGGGCCTGGGAGGCGAGAGCAGTGCCCAGGGGACTTCTGGGCTTACAGGACAGCGTGTGTGACAAAATTCAGATCTACCTGAACTTGCCTCTGGAGATGATAAGGGCCAAAGGAGCAGTCAGGGAGGGGCGGTGAGCCAGAGTAGTCCCAGGGGGAGACAGATTCCTCCCTCCTCCCCGCCTGCAGCTCTCTTTAATTTTTTGTAACATTTGGAGAGACGTCCGTCCTGTCTTGTAGTCTTTTTATTTTGTGCATCCTTATAATTGTATTCTACAAACAATTTTGTTTTCTGCATTTAAACATTTTTGTGTTTTTAGGAGATGGTCTTGCTCTGTCACTCAGGCTGGAGTACAGTGGCACAATCATGGCTCACTGCAGCCTCGAGCTCCTGAGCTCAAAGGATCCTCCCACCTCAGCCTCCAGAGTAGCTCAGATTACAGTGTTTTCTGAAGTTTCCTGACTTAACATAAGCATTTTTCACATGATTGAAAATTTTCACTGATTGCTGTAGTCATTCTAATGACTATCAAGTTTATTTATCCATTATTGGACATTTAAATTTCTTTCTTTTTAGCTATACAAACATTGATGTGTTTTTTTTGAGACAGGATCTCCATCTGTCACCCAGGCTGGTGTGCAGGGGTGCGGTCATGGGCTCATGGGATTCTCCTACCTCAGCCTCCTGAGTAGCTGGGATTACAGGTGTATGCCACCACGCCTGGCTTATGATGAATATTTCTGAGTGGGATGTTTGGCCACATTTATGGTCATGTATGTAGGCTGTTACCTCAAGTGAGTCACTCAGGGAACAATGAGCACTTGAAGATTTTTTTATACAAAAGGCCACAGTGAGGCCACCTTGAGTCAAGCCGACTAAGGCCCCTCAACCCTGTCACTAAGCAGCACGTGACACTGGCAGGACCTTCATCTCCAGCATCCCACCCCTGGGTGTGGGACTTTGGGGCAGCCGTGTGTGCAGGTGTCGGCACAGGCTAGCTCCTCCTGGTTTGGTGTGGTGTTTGCCATTGCAGAGCAAGCTGCCACGAAGACCCCTGGGCATGATTTTGCTTGTATTTCCGGAAGTGGGGTTGCTGGGTCATAGGGCAGGTGTAATTTTTTTTACTTGAAATGTTCCACTTCTTGTTCTGGGAGGTGGTTCCAAGGGTGTCTGCTTTTGGCCAGGCGCAGTGGCTCACGCTTGTAATCCCAGCACTTTGGGAGGCCGAGGCAGGCGGATCACAAGGTCAGGAGTTCGAGACCAGCCTGGCCAACAAGGCAAAACCCCGTCTCTACTAAAAATACAAAAATTAGCCGGGCATGGTGGTGTGCGCCTGTAATCCCAGCTACTGGGGAGGCTGAGGCAGAAGAATCGCTTGAACCCAGGAGGTGAGGTTGCAGTGAGCTGAGATTGCACCACTGGACTACAGCCTGGGTGACAGAGCGAGACTCTGTCTCAAAAAAAAAAAAAAAAAGGGAGGGCTGTCTGCTTTTTGTAACTTGAAAAACTGGACATCTATGTTATATGTACTCATGGATAAATATTTCACAATAAAACTTTTTAAAAGGATAATACGTGTAATATACATACCCCCAATATATATAATGTTTTTATATTTGTAAAAAAAAAAAACCTCCCACGACGACCCCACCCCGATCACTGCCGTCATTGCAGCCTCCATCTTGTGGCCCTGCTCCTAGCCTGTGGCTGTTTGTTCAAGAGCAGGGCAGGGCCTTGGATTGGCACAGCCCAGGCAAGGACTTTCCAGCAAGATCCTCAGGTGGGAGCTCCCCAGACATGGGAAGGGAATCTGACATGTGCAGCCCCACAGCCAGGAGGCGGGCAGGACCTTGCTGACCAGCTAGGGGCAATGGTGGGAGCTGAAAGCCCAGCCAGGCAGGATGTATTGGCCTGGCCAGATGGCTGTCATTGCTGTCCCCACCTCATAGTCCCTCCTAATCCAAGGCTGCAGCAGAAGCACCCAACGGGCTGAGCCGCGCTCTGAAAGGGGCAGAGAGAGGAAGAGTTGGCCCCTTTCTGCTTCTGAGGTGGGAGGTGTTTGGGGTCATTTATTATGTGAAATTCATCTTCCTATTGGGTGGTGGTTCTTTCTATATTCTGCGAGCGTGTTCTATATTATTAATAATAACCCCTTTTTCTTTCTTTCTTTTTTTTTTTTGAGACAGAGTCTTGCTCTGTCGCCCAGGCTGGAGTACAATAGCGTGATCTCAGCTCACTGCAAGCTCCGCCTCCCGGGTTCAAGCGATCTTCCTGCCTCAGCCTCCCGAGTAGCTGGGATTATAAGCGCACACCACCACACCCGACTAATATTTATTTATTTATTTATTTATTTATTTATTTATTTATATATTTTTTGAGACAGAGTCTCACTCTGTTGCCCAGGCTGGAGTGCAGTGGCTCAATCTCGGCTCACTGCAAGCTCTGCCTCCTGGGTTCACACCATTCTCCTGCCTCAGCCTCCCAAGTAGCTGGGACTACAGGCACCTGCCACCACGCCCAGCTAACTTTTTGTATTTTTTAGTAGAGACAGGGTTTCACCGTGTTAGCCAGGATGATCTCGATCTCCTGACCTTGTGATCCACCCACCTTGGCCTCTCAAAGTGCTGGGATTACAGGCGTGAGCCACCACGCCCGGCGTAATTTTTGTATTTTTAGTAGAGATGGGGTTTCACCATGTTGGTCAGATTGGTCTCAAACTCTTGACCTCGTGATCCACCCGCCTGGGCCTCCCAAAGTGCTGGGATTACAGGCGTGAGTCGCCATGTCCGGCCCCCCTCTTTTCTTCCTAATGGACAGCCTCCCAAGTCAACATAGGCTCAGAGACTCCCACCCTTTATCTTTTTTTCTTTTTTTTTTTTTTTTTTGAGACGGAGTCTCACTCTGTCACCCAGGCTAGAGTGCGGTGGTACAGTCTTGGCTCACTGCAACCTCTGCCTCCTGGGTTCATGCCATTCTCCTGTCTCAGCCCCCAGAGTAGCTAGGACTACAGGCACCCGCCACCATGCCCAGCTAATTTGTTTTGTTTTTGAGACAGGGTTGCACTCTGTTGCCCAGGCTGGAGTGCAGTGGAGCAATCTCAGCTCAGTGCAACCCCTGCCTTCCACATTCAAGTGATTCTCCTGCCTCAGCCTCCCGAGTAGCTTGGATTATAGGCGCCCACCACCACACCCAGCTAATTTTTGTATTTTTAGTAGAGTCATGGTTTCACCAGTTTGGCCAGGCTGGTCTCAAACTCCTGACCCATGTCATCTGCCTGCCTCAGCCTCCCAAAGGGATCCACACCTGGGATTGCAGGTGTGAGCCATTGCTTTTTTTTTCTTTTTGCTTTTTCTCTTCTTTTTTTTTTTTTTTTTTTTAAGAGATGGGGCCTCACTCTGTCACCCTGGCTGGAGTGCAAGGGCAGGATGCAACCTCTGCCTCCCGGGCTCAAGTGATCCTTCCTCCTCCTGCCTCAGCCTCCTGAGTAGCTGGAACTACAGTCGCATACCACCTCGCCCAGCTAATTTTTAAATTTCTTGTCAAGAATGGGGTTCTCACTGTGTTGCCCAGGCTGGTCCTGAACTCCTAGCTTCAAGTGATCCATGCCCAGCCAGCCGAACTGATTCTGATAGAACTCTCCACCGTCTCTCCAGGAAAACGCACGCTGGTATCGAGGGAAAAGGCAGCACAGAGTTGGGATGTGACATTTGGAAAGGGGACGTGTTTGATTAGCTTGTGGGTGTTTCCAGCATGTCTGGCCTACCCACCAGACCCCCTTACAGATTCTGGGCTTCAGTTGTGCACAATCAGGTGGATGGTCACCCAGAGACAGAACAAGGGCAGGAGAGGTTGTGAAAGACAGGGACCTCACAGGCCAGCTGGATTGGAGGGAGTTGGATTGGAGGCCAGAGAGGTGTATTAGTCTGTTTTTGTGCGCTAATAAAGACATACCTGAGACTGGGCAATTTATAAAGGAAAGACGTTTTTGGTTTTTTTTTTTTTTTTTTTTTGAAACGGAGTCTCGCTCTGTCACCCAGGCTAGAGTTCAGTGGCACAATCTCGGCTCACTGCAAGCTCCACCTCCTGGGTTCACGCCATTCTCCTGCCTCAGCCTCCTGAGTAGCTGGGACTACAGGTGCCCGCCACCACGCCCGGCTAGTTTTTTGTATTTTTAGTAGAGACGGGGTTTCACCACGTTAGCCAGGATGGTCTCGATCTCCTGACCTCGTGATCCGCCCGCCTCGGCCTCCCAAAGTGCTGGGATTACAGGTGTGAGCCACCGCGCCTAGCCAGGAAAGAGGTTTAATGGACTCACAGTTTCACATGCCTGGGGAGGCCTCACAATCATGGTAGAAAGCGAAGGAGGAGCAAAGGCATGTCTCATATGGTGGCAGGCAGGCAAGGAAAGCGTGTGCAGGCGAACTGCCCTTTATGAAACCATCAGATCTCGTGAGACTTATTCATTACCATGAGAACAGCATGGGAAAAACCAGCCCCCATGATTCAATTACCTCCCACCAAGTCCCTCCCACGACACGTGGGGATCATGGGAGCTGGGATTCAAGATAAGATTTGGGTGGGGACACAGCCAAACCATATCAGAGGTGAAGGGTAAAGAGAACAAGGGGATGTGCCTTTCCAGGCAGGATAGGAGCAGGACGCTGCCTGGAACTGAGGCTTTGAGTAGCATCAAGCTGGAAGGTAGAAGACAATGGAGCCAGCCCTTGAGATCCTGGGGGACTGGATTTCCATCCTAGGATTCCATGCCCAGCCAAACTGTCAGTCAGGGATGAAGCCCGAACAGAGACACTTGCAGACACGTCAGCCTCCATCCTCAGGAAGCACCCAGAGGGCAGACTTTTCAAAAATGAAGAAGTAAATCAGTGAAGGGAAAAGGGAGGTCTGGGATCCAGGAAACGGGGAATTCAACACAAAGGAGAAGTAATCAAGCATCTGCAGTCTCCAGAAACATGAGCACAAACAAGCTGGCTGGGCGCGGTGGCTCCCGCCTGCAATCGCAGCACTTCGGGAGGCTGCAAACCTCCCTAGGAAATGTGGTAACACACCTCTCTACCAAAAATACAAAAATTAGTTGGCCATGGTGGTGCACACCTGTGGTCCCAGCTACTTGGGAGGCTGAACTGGGAGGATTGCTGGAGCCCAGGATGTTAAGGCTGTAGTGAGCTGTGATCTCACCAGCCTGGGTGACAGAACAAGACCCTTTCTTTAACTAAATAAATAAATATTTAAAAATTAAAAAGTTACACAAGGCTTAGCAATGTCTTGAGTTAAAAAAGGGAACCTGGGGCTGGACACAGTGGCTCACGCCTGTAATCCCAGCACTTTGGGAGGCCGAGGCAGGTGGATCACGAGGTCAGGAGTTCGAGACCAACCTGGCCAATATGGTGAAACCCCGTCTCTACTAAAAATACAAAAATTAGCTGGGTGTGGTGGGCACCTATAGTCCCAGCTGAGGCTGAGGCAGAAGAATCGCTTTAACCCGGGAGGCAGAGGTTGCAGTGAGCCAAGATTGCACCACTGCACTCCCGCCTGGGTCACAGAGCAAGACTCTGTCTCAAAAAAAAAAAAAAAAGGAACTCAAGTGGGGCGAGGTGGCTCACACCTGTAATCCCAACACTTTGGGAGGCTGTGATGGGCGGATTACATGAGCCCAGGAGTTCAGGACCAGCGTGGTCCTGAAAACCACGTATATGGTGAAAACCCATATCTACAAAAAATACAAAAATTAGCCTGGCATGGTGGCGTGCGCCTGTGGTCCCAGCTTCCTGGGAGGCTAAGGCAGGAGGATCACCTGAGCCCGGGATGTTGAGGCTGCAGTAAGCTGTGATTGTGCCACTGAACTCCAGCCTGGGCAACAGAGTGAGACCCTGTCTCAAAAAAGAAAAACAAAAAAGGAGAGCAAGAAGGAACCTTAAACGGCTTAGAGATGTGGAGGCAGACGCTAAAAGAAATCATTACAAGACTTGAGATTGGTTGTCCATGGGGAGTCAGTGGGACACAACATTACTAGTTTTTGTTATAAGCCTTGTTAAATTGTTTACTTTTTTTTTTGAGACGGAGTTTCGCTCTTGTTGCCCAGGCTGGAGTGCAATGGCATGATCTCGGCTCACTGCAACTTCTGCCTCCTGGGTTCAAGCGATTCTCCTGCTTCAGCCTCCGGAGTAGCTGGGATTACAGGCATGTGCCACCACGCCCGGCTAATTTTTTGTATTTTTAGTACAGATGGGGTTTCTCCATGTTGGTTAGGCTGGTCCTGAACTCCCCACCTCAGGTGACCCGCCCGCCTCGGCCTCCCAAAGTGCTGGGATTACAGGCGCGAGCCACCGCGCCTGACCTAAATTGTTTACTATCTATCTATTTATTTATTTATTTTTTGAGATGGAGTCTCACTGTCACTCAGGCTGGAGTGCAGTGGCCCAATCTCGGCTCATTGCAACCTCTCCCTCCTGGGTTCAAGCAATTCTCCTGCCTCAGCCTCCTGAGTAGCTGGGACTACAGGCATGCACTACCATGCCTGGCTAATTTTTGTATTTTTAGTAGACAGAGGGATTTGCCATGTTGGCCAGGCTGGTCTCAAACTCCTCGTCACAGATGAGCCACCGCACCTGGCCTGTTTACTTTTTAAATAATATAAATATATTCATTTGACATTCATACAAACCAAATGTTTAAAAATACATAAAAAGCCAGGCGCGGTGGCTCACGCCTGTAATCCCAGCACTTTGGGAGGCCGAGGCGGGTGGATCACAAGGTCAGGAGATCAAGACCATGCTGGCTAACACGGTGAAACCCCCTCTCCACTAAAAATACAAAAAATTAGCCAGGCGTGGTGGCAGGCACCTGTAGTCCCAGCTACTCGGGAGGCTGAGGCAGGAGAATGGGATGAACCCGGGAGGTGGAGCTTGCAGTGAGCCAAGATGGCGCCACTGCACTCCAGCCTGGGCGACAGAGCGAGACTCCGTCTCAAAAAAAAAAAAAAAAAAACTTGTTCAGAGACAGTGAGAAAAAAAGACAATGAAACAAACAGAAAAACAAAAAAGCTTTTTAACCAAAAAACAAAATAAAACAAAAAAGTACATCAAAAGCATAAAGAAGGCTAGGCACCGTGGCTCTTGCCTGTAGTCCCAGCAATTTGGGAGGCCAGAGTGGGTGGCTCACCTGTGGTCAGGAGTTCAAGACCAGCCTGGTCAACATGGTGAAGCCCCCTCTCTACTAAAAATACAAAAATTAGCTGGTCGTGGTAGTGCACGCCTATAGTCCCAGCTGCTCTGGAGGCTGAGGCACGAGGATGGCTTGAACCCAGGAGGCGGCAGTTGCAGTGAGCCGAGAGTAAGCCACTGCACTCCAGCTGGGGGAAAGAGTGAGACTCTGTCTAAAAAAAAAAAAAAAAGCATAAAGAAAAGGAAGTGCTGTTAGGGACATGGTGTTTGGATCCCCTTTCAATAATTTTCAGAGACAGAAGAAAAGCTAGAAATAGCTTTTCAATTACTGTCATCACCGGATTGCTTTTTGTTTTTGTTTTTTTTTTTTCCAGAGACAGGGTCTTAATGTGTTGCCCAGGCTGGTCTCAAACTCCTGAGCTCAAGTCCTCGTGCCTTGGCTCCCAAAGTCCCAGGATTATAGGCGTGAACCACCACACCCAGCCACTTGTTTTTGTTTGATTTTTTTCCTTTTTTTCTCAAGCACTACTACTACAGCCAGACAGTCATATGTGAGATTTATAATTATTCAAGCTGCAACCTCTTGAGCTTAAATTCTGCTTCCTCTGCAGGACAAGTTATGTGACCTCTGGCAAGACATGGTACCTATCGGAATTCCAGTTGCCATCCTTTAGGATAGGGTCCTTGGACAGACAGAATGAGGGCAGGTGTGAACATGCTGAGCTCACATGGTGCCAGTTACCCTTGCCCTTGACTCTTAGACAATTCATTTTGAAGTGAACTAATACACTAGGCAAACAACTTCAAAACTCTGGAAATGGAAATGAAATAGCAAGATGCCAGGCTGGGCGCGGTGGCTCACGTCTGTAATCCCAGCACTTTGGGAGGCCGAGGCAGGCAGATCACCTGAGGTCAGGGGTTTGAGACCAGCCTGGCCAACATGGTGAAACCCCATCGCCACTAAAAAATACAAAATTTAGCCGAGCGTGGTGATGCATGCCTGTAATCCCAGCTACTGGGGAGGCTGAAGCAGGAGAATCGCTTGAACCCAGAAGGTGGAGGTTGCAGTGAGATGAGATTGCGCCACTGAACTCCAGCCTGGGCGACAGAGCGAGACTCCATTTGAAAAAAAAAGAAAAGAAGTAGCAAGATGCCACCACACTGACAAACCGCATCTCTGTGCTTTCCTCCTGGGGAGCAGATCTTTTCAAGCAGGGAGGACAGCAGGCTGTGGGTGGGGAGCAGAGGGTTGGCTGGGACCCAACCGGAAAGGCACCCCCTCCTTCCAGAACCAGGCAGGTTTGTGGCCTCACCAAACCCAGGCAGCCTGGGCACCAAAGCCACGGAGCAGGGTGGCACTGATGCCTGGGCCTCCCAACCGCTCCTGGGGCTTGGCAAACAAGTGATAGTCCTGATCAAGTGCTCTAGTGCTCTTGGTGGAAACCAATGTATGGAACTCATTACCCACCCTCCTGCCAAATCAGACACACCCAGGCCGGCTCCCTCTGCTACTCCCTCTGCCCGGAAGGTCTTTTCCCACCCCAGTCTCTGCCCGCCTGAGTCCTGGCAGTCTGTGAAAGCCCAGCTCAAATGCCACTTCCACAGTTCCCCAGCCTTTCCCATGGAGCCCCCAGGAGCAGATTGCACCGCTCTTTTGGCACTTGGAGTTGCAACAGTCTGAATGTGTGTGTACCCTCAGAATTGATGTGTTGAGATCCTGACCCCTAAGGTGATGGTCCTAGGAGGTGGGGTCTTCAGGTGGGCGGAGCCTCATTCATGGCATGAGTGCCCTTGTCCAAGGGGCCCCAAAGGCTCTCTGGCTGTCTCTTGGCCATGTGAGGACACAGTGGGAAGGCAGCCATCTACAACCCAGGAAGCAGCTCTCACTGGAACCCTGACTGTGCTGTCACCGTGATCGCAGACTTCCAGCCTCCAGAACTGTGAGGAGTGTCTGTTGTGTATAAGCCACCCAGTCTCTGGTGTTCTGGGATAGCAGCCCAGACACACTAAGACAGGGGTTCCTGAGTGCCTGGAGAGCCAGCTCCCTCCCCAAGAGGCTGGGTCCCTCCTTCTTTCTTTCTTCTTTTCTTTTCTTTTTTTTTTTTTTTTTTTTTTGAGATGGAGTCTCGCTGTGTCACCGAGGCTGGAGAGTACAGTGGCACAACCTCTGCCTCCTTGGTTCAAGCGATTCTCCTGCCTCAGACTCCCGAGTAGCTGGGAATACAAGTGTGTGCACCACCACGCCCGGCTAATTTTTTTGTATTTTTAGTAGAGATGGGGTTTCGCCATGTTAACCAGGCTGGTCTGGAACTCGTGACCTCAAGTGATCCGCCCGCCTCAGCCTCCCAAAGTCCTGGGATTCCAGGCGTGAGCCACCACACCCGGCACATTTGTGCTCTTTTGCTTGTGTTTTCTCCTCTTTAGCTCTGAACTCATGAAGTGCCTTCTGAACATTTCTAGTCTGGTCTCAGGGGACCTGAGGGTATTTTCCCACCCCCCAAGCCTAGAGAGCTGGGGAAACAGAGGCAGGAATGCAGACCCGGTGGGAGAGGTGGACAAGGGTTTGGGTGTGGGACAAGCAGCAGTGTGTGCTGAGGTTTAGGGAAGGGCCAGGGTCCTGGAACACAGAGAGGGCCAGGAACACCGGGGGACATGCATGACCTCTAGCACATTTGGGCCTGGGCCTCTCTCCAACATTTCCTTACTTATGCACTGTTATAGGTTGAATCCTGTTCCCTGAAAAAGACGTATTCGGATCCTAACCCCCAGGACCTGTGGCTGTGACCTTATTTGGAAATAGAGTATTTTCAGATGTGACTGAGTTAAGATGAGGGCATACTGGAGTAGAGCGTGCCCTAATCCAACAACTGGTGTCCTGATAAGAGGAAATGGGCACCGGGCACAGTGGCTCACGCCTGTAATCCTAGCACTTTGGGAGGCTGAGGCAGGCAGATTACTCGAGCCCAGCAGTTTGAGTGGGCAACAGAGCAAGACTCCCTAAAAAAAAAAAAAAAAAGGACATTTGAACACAGACACAGAGAAAAGGCAAATGACAACAGAGACTGATATTAGAGCGCATCTTACAGCTACAAGCCAAGGAACGCCAAGAATTGCCAGCCAGTACCAGAAGCTGGGACAGACGCCCAGGACAGAGTCTCCCTCAGATCCTGCAGAAGGAAGCCACGCTGCAGCACCTTACTGAAACACAGCATTTCTTTCTATTCCAAATGGAGAGAATACACCAGAGTGGTATGAGCAGTTACCTGTGACTTTGTCACTAACCAAAATTACAGATATCTCTGGGTGCGGTGGCTCATGTCTGTAATCCCAGCACTTTGGGAGGCCGAGGCGGGTGGATCACCTGAAGTCAGCAGTTCGAGACCAGCTTGGCCAACATGGTGAAACCCCGTCTCTACTAAAAATACAAAAATTAGCCAAATGTGGTGGCGGGCGCCTGTAATCCCAGCTACTCAAGAGTCCGAGGAGGGAGAATCGCTTGAACCCAGGAGACAGAGGTTGCAGTGAGCTGAGATTGCGCCACTGCACTCCAGCCTGGGCGACAAGAGCGAAACTCCATCTAAAAAAATAAAAATAAAAAAACATTATTTGGAATTTTCAATGCGAAATATGTCTGTTCTCCCCAGCTTGTTAATTTATTATTTATTTATATCGGCATGGACTCATAGATGTTTATTTTACACTTTGGGTTATAATCAGTGCTACTTTACTTATTTTGTTGTCATTCTGGTGTAGTGTTTTAACTTAACATTATTGAGATATAACTCATACAATAAAACGCACCACTTTAAGTGCATAATTAGATGAGCTTTAAATACTTCCAGTTGGGGAACCCCCAACCCCACCACAGGTGTCCCCAGTGTCCAGGGGCCAGAACTACATTCCTCAGACAAGGGACTTAGGGAATGACGTCAACTTCCCATTTCAGGTCTAGAAAAGTCCAAGTTCCCTACTTGGGGTAAAGAGTCGCTAAAGGAGCTGGGCGCTGTGGCTCACGCCTGTAATCCCAGCACTTTGGGAGGCCGAGGCAGGTGGATCACCTGAGGTCACGAGTTCAAGACCAGCCTGGACAAGGTGAAACTCCGTCTCTACAAAAAAATACAAAAATTTGCCTGGTGTGGTGGCAAGCGCCTATAATTCCAGCTACTTGGGAGGCTAAGGCAGGAGAATCACTTGAATCCGGGAGGCGGAGGTTGCAGTGAGCCGAGATAGCGCCCCTGCACTCCAGCCTGGGCGACAAGAGAGGAACTCTGTCTCAAAAAAAAAAAAAAAAAGAGTCGCTAAGGGGCAAAAACATATGTACATCAGCAGTTATTTTTCTCTGCAGTCAGCAGCTCAGGAACTTTGCTAAGGGTGCCAGGGAGGGGTCGAGCGCAAAGGTGCAGGCATGACACAGCTAGACGCGCCCAGCCCCTGCGGAGCGCTGGCCTGGCCCAGAAGGACCAGAGGGATGGAGGCTGAGTCCTTCCCATTCCTTCCACTGTACCTCTCGCGTTCTCCGCCCGCGCTCACTCAGTTTCACACCCTTTCAGCAGCGCCCTTCCTTAGGACCACGCGGACTCCCCTGGGGGTCGCGCGGGCTCGGAGGCCTCCCTGCGTTGTCTGGGCGGGGACTGGGAGTCCGCGGGCCCGCAGGCGGGCGGTGCTGCGGGGCGGGCCGAGCTGGGGGCGGGCGGGGGCCGGAGCCCTGGCCTAGGTCCCAGGGGGAGGTGCCGCGGCGCGAACGGCCCGGGTCCCTCCCAGGCCGGAGCACAATCGGCGGCGCCCTGGGCGGCCGCGGAGTCATGGACGGCAGTGGACCCTTCAGCTGCCCCATCTGCCTAGAGCCACTCCGGGAGCCGGTGACGCTGCCCTGCGGCCACAACTTCTGTCTCGCCTGCCTGGGCGCGCTCTGGCCGCATCGTGGCGCGAGTGGAGCCGGCGGACCCGGAGGCGCGGCCCGCTGCCCGCTGTGCCAGGAGCCCTTCCCCGACGGCCTTCAGCTCCGCAAGAACCACACGCTGTCCGAGCTGCTGCAGCTCCGCCAGGGCTCGGGCCCCGGGTCCGGCCCCGGCCCGGCCCCTGCCCTGGCCCCGGAGCCCTCGGCACCCAGCGCGCTGCCCAGTGTCCCGGAGCCGTCGGCCCCCTGCGCTCCCGAGCCGTGGCCCGCGGGCGAAGAGCCAGTGCGCTGCGACGCGTGCCCCGAGGGCGCGGCCCTGCCCGCCGCGCTGTCCTGCCTCTCCTGCCTCGCCTCCTTTTGCCCCGCGCACCTGGGCCCGCACGAGCGCAGCCCCGCCCTCCGCGGACACCGCCTGGTGCCGCCGCTGCGCCGGCTAGAGGAGAGCCTGTGCCCGCGCCACCTACGGCCGCTCGAGCGCTACTGCCGCGCGGAGCGCGTGTGTCTGTGCGAGGCCTGCGCCGCACAGGAGCACCGCGGCCACGAGCTGGTGCCGCTGGAGCAGGAGCGCGCGCTTCAGGAGGTGGGCTCCGGGGGCACACTCGGGTGAGCCGGGGCTGGTGACCGACCGCGCGCGAGCGGGCCGAGGACCTTGGACCCCCCAGTCTTCCCGGGTTGGGTCTTAATCTCCTCCTCTAACCTGAGGATCTTTGCGGTCCCTTCCAGCCTTGACAAGGTCATCTGCTGGCGGTGATGGAGATGGGAAGGGAGGAAGGAGGGACGTGAGAACAGGACAAGGACGCGAAGAGCGGGCAGGGGACCTGAAGCCGGGCCGGGGTCTATGGGGGTGTAGGCGGGAGGGAGCCGGGTTAGGCCCGCGGGGTTCCGGTAGCGTGGCTGCTGCTCCCGCCCGGAGGGTCACGCCGGTCTCAGCTCAGATTTGCCCTGGGCTGAGGCAGCAGCTTTCGATGGGTGTGGCAGGCGGCAGGAGGGCGGCAGAGGGCGACCGGGCACACAGATTCTCTGTCCAGCTGTTCCGGGGGCCAGTGGTGGGAGCATGTGAGCCGCGGCCTCTACCTCCCGCCCCCAGTTTCCTTTGGCCTCCAGCCCGGTCTTGGCGCCTCTGGCCAAGGGATTTTCCGTTTCTCCTGCCTGGAGCAGTGACTCATAAGACCTAGGGGATTTGCCCGGAATCCCCTTTTTTCCAGGCCTGGACTGTGGATGCAGGCTCTTTGGGAACAGTGATCCTCAGGACAGCTTAATGCCTCCTTGTGCAGTCACCCCTCCGCCGCCCACCTCCCAACCTAACTGGCTTACTCTCTGCCTCTTCCCCGCCGGAGGAAGTTCTCAAATTCATCTGAGCAACACTGAGACCAGCGGACGGCCCTGTACTAGGCCTCCTGTCAGAGACCCGAGGCAGACACCCAGTCAGCCTGCACGCCCCCCAGGCGTTCAGGAAAGGCACCAGCCTGGGCTGCAGGCACCTCTGGCATATTATGGGACATCGTGGCCACTCCAGTCCCACCTGATGCACAGATACCACTCCCCAGTCACCCCCTTCTCTCCCCTGGCAAGGCCTGGGACCCGAGTGTAGGGCTGTGGCCTCTGCCAGACCTCACACTCATGGAGGGTGTTGTCCACAGGCTGAGCAGTCCAAAGTCCTGAGCGCCGTGGAGGACCGCATGGACGAGCTGGGTGCTGGCATTGCACAGTCCAGGCGCACAGTGGCCCTCATCAAGGTCAAACACCCCTCCCTCAGCATGGAACAATCCACTCCAAACAAACCATGCCCATACCTACTGAGCACAAGTGTCCCCTGACCTGGCCCAGATCCAGGACAGGCTCAGTCTGGCCCCTCTGTCCCCTCAAGAGGGCCGGTGGGAAGCCGGGGTCAGGGAAGGAGGGGGGTACAGTCCGGGACGGTTCTTTGCCCTCATTGCCCCCTCTACTGTCGTCCTGTGCAGAGTGCAGCCGTAGCAGAGCGGGAGAGGGTGAGCCGGCTGTTTGCAGATGCTGCGGCCGCCCTGCAGGGCTTCCAGACCCAGGTGCTGGGCTTCATCGAGGAGGGGGAAGCTGCCATGCTAGGCCGCTCCCAGGGTGACCTGCGGCGACAGGAGGAACAGCGCAGCCGCCTGAGCCGAGCCCGCCAGAATCTCAGCCAGGTCCCTGAAGCTGACTCAGTCAGCTTCCTGCAGGTGAAGGCCGCTCTGGGGGCCACGGAAGGAACAGAAGCTGGGACAGGTGGGGTGGAGGGAGGAGGAGGCAGTGGGTGCATGACTTCCTGGCAGAGCTGCCTCCACCCCCAGCAAGGAGGAGCCATGGCCAGCAGCACTTTAATGGGCATTTGTCTGGCACAGGAGCTGCTGGCACTAAGGCTGGCCCTGGAGGATGGGTGTGGCCCTGGGCCTGGACCCCCGAGGGAGCTCAGCTTCACCAAATCATCCCAAGCTGTCCGTGCAGTGAGAGACATGCTGGCCGTGGCCTGCGTCAACCAGTGGGAGCAGCTGAGGGGGCCGGGTGGCAACGAGGATGGGCCACAGAAGCTGGACTCGGAAGGTGGGCACCGCCCCACGCCCCCCCGATGACTCACCCTCTGCCAGCCTCTCGCACAGGCCCCCAGGCCTGGCGCCCATCCAGAAGTGGAGGAGGAAAATTGTGCCTGGCACAGGGAGGAGCCCAAATCCTGCCAGTGACTAGAGCTGCCACCCTGTGGGGATCAATCAGCCCCTTGGACCTGGGGTAGAGGGGGCTTCTCCTAGCCCACCCTCTAGCTCCAGAGGGCTGTGGCCCGGGAAGCACATGGGGCAAGAGGCAGAACACAGGCAACGGGCATGTGTGTGAGCACAGCGTGCCACATCTGGGTGGTGCTTGCTCCCTGGTGGCTCTGGACTCTGGGAGGAAGTGAAGGGGGTAGGGATTGTAGTCACAGGTTCAGAGGGGGGCAGTCTGGGGGCGTTCTCACCACTGTCTCCTCTTCTACAGCTGATGCTGAGCCCCAAGACCTCGAGAGTACGAACCTCTTGGAGAGTGAAGCTCCCAGGGACTATTTCCTCAAGTGTAAGTGGACGCCCGTGCCCCCTCCACTCACACTGGGCCCTCCCAGGGCTGCTGGGCTGGTCCCAGCAGGGCCCTGGCACACAAGGGTTAGGATTCCTCTCCCCAGTTTGTGGGGAGAGCTAGGGCAGCTCCTGGGGTGGTCCCCGGCGGGGCTGGGTTGTGCCGGTTGGAAAGCAGGGGAGAGGCTGTGTTTTGGGGGGGTGGGTACTTGGGGAGGGGCCGTGCCCTCTGAGCCTGGCCCTGAGCCCTGCCTCTCTCTTCTGTCCACGGGATCAGTTGCCTATATTGTGGATTTGGACAGCGACACAGCAGACAAGTTCCTGCAGCTGTTTGGAACCAAAGGTGTCAAGAGGGTGCTGTGTCCTATCAACTACCCCTTGTCGCCCACCCGCTTCACCCATTGTGAGCAGGTGCTGGGCGAGGGTGCCCTGGACCGAGGCACCTACTACTGGGAGGTGGAGATTATCGAGGGCTGGGTCAGCATGGGGGTCATGGCCGAAGACTTCTCCCCACAAGAGCCCTACGACCGCGGCCGGCTGGGCCGCAACGCCCACTCCTGCTGCCTGCAGTGGAATGGACGCAGCTTCTCCGTCTGGTTTCATGGGCTGGAGGCTCCCCTGCCCCACCCCTTCTCGCCCACGGTTGGGGTCTGCCTGGAATACGCTGACCGTGCCTTGGCCTTCTATGCTGTACGGGACGGCAAGATGAGCCTCCTGCGGAGGCTGAAGGCCTCCCGGCCCCGCCGGGGTGGCATCCCGGCCTCCCCCATTGACCCCTTCCAGAGCCGCCTGGACAGTCACTTTGCGGGGCTCTTCACCCACAGACTCAAGCCTGCCTTCTTCCTGGAGAGTGTGGACGCCCACTTGCAGATCGGGCCCCTCAAGAAGTCCTGCATATCCGTGCTGAAGAGGAGGTGATGCCGGGCACGGGCGCTCCTGCTGCCGTCTCTGCTCCAGGAAGCTGCCTCCTCTGGGCCCTCTCCTTCGTCTGGGAAGGCACCAGCATGAGTCCCACACACCCAGCCTTCTCATTTCTAGAGGCTTCCACCTTTTTATACACTCAGCCTTCCCTCTCCCAGGCAGGAGGACCCCCAGACCCTGTTCCCCTGCAGACCTCACTTCTGGGAGACAGAGCTACAGCTGGGACAGCTCCAAGCTACCCTAACCCCTCCTTTCCCAGGTTTCTAGAATAGTGTCTGGCATGTAGTAGATGCTCAATAAACACTTGTTGAATGAATGACTCCTTTTCCATCCTCTCTACCCAAGGATTCCCAGAACCGCTCTCATTTGTAAGCTGGCTGAGTGGGCAGGCAGGAGAGGGGCCGGAGCCCCTCGTCCCAGGATTCCTGTTGAGAGGGAGCCCTGGCCTGGGAGAAGGGGGCTGGAACAGGGTACCTGCCCTTTGGGGCACCCCCACTCCCTTTTTCCCAGCACGGGCAGCCAGAGGTGGCTTCTCCAGCCCCACTGCCGTCCTGGCTGCTTGAGTGTTTACTTGGGATGGCCTGACTCCCACCAGCTATTTTTATCTTTCATGCCGCAGCCTAGTTCTGGACCTGCCTTTGCTGTTTGTACTGTTTGTGCCCAGCATTAAATGCAGGCATCACCCCTCCAGGAACAGGGCAGGACCCCTGGGCGTGGGCAAGAGAGTTTTGAGACCTGGAGCTTCCTTCACACATAGCCCTCAGCCCACAGAGCCGGCCCAGGGTGTGGCTGGAGCCCAGAACATCTACAATAAGAGAACTTATGTCCTGGCCGGGCGCGGTGGCTCATGCCTGTTATCCCAGCACTTTGGGAGGCCAAGGCAGGCAGATCACTTGAGGTCAGGAGTTCGAGACCAGCCTAGGCAACATGGTGAAACCCTCGTCTCTACTAAAAATACAAAAATTAGCCGGGCATGGTTGTGGGTGCCTGTACTCCCAGCTACTCAGGGGCCTGAGGCAGGAGAATCACTTGAACCCGGAAGGCAGAGGTTGCAGTGAGCCGAGATCAATTATACCACTGCACTCCAGCCTGGGCGACAGAGCAAGACTCCATCTCAAAAAATAAAAGGACTTATGTCCCCCTCTGGAATCTTCTTGCCCTCCATGCTGGGGACACCTGTGACCTGTGCCCCAGGAGAGCCTCTGCCTCTCTTCTGGGAGGGCCCAGTGCCCTCTGCTGCCCTAGAACCTGAGCCAGGCCTGGGGCGCCCTGAGGCTACAGTCCAGTGTGTTTCCAGGCCCAGGCCAGCTCACTCCTGCCTGGGTTCTGTGTGGCCCAGGTGCACCCCAGAGAGGGGCTGTGGCCGAGGGCAAGGGCAGACAGAGAGGCCTCTCAGACAGACGCCCAGCTCAAGGTCAGGCGGGATAATGGGTGAGTTATGCAGCCAGACAGCAAGGCCATACAAGTCCAGCCCCAGCAGCCTCAGCAGCTAAAAATAGCCCCTCCCATAGAGCCTGCCTGGGCTCTAGCAGCCAGGATGTTGTTTTTCCGGGCGGGGCCTCCTTGCCCCTGGTGCTTTGTGTTTTCAACATCGTTCCCTTGGCAGCCATGGGTCCCCAGCTCACCCGGCAGTGAAGGGGCTGGTGGAGAAGGCTGCCCCGCTGTCCCCTTGGATGCTCCTTGGACCACCTACTACAAGCCTCCTACCTTGCAGAGGACCGCTCCCACCCCTCAGGCCACCTGCTGTCTCATCTTGTCCCCCAACTTGGCACTCCCTACCCCACAGGCGCCCCTCGCCAGGGAACCTTCTGGTCTCTGACCCTGCAGGAAGTGTTGGCATGTCCTGGAATGTGAGCTAGACAGGCCTGGTGCTTTCTTGGTGGAATTCAGGCATGACTAGTCACACCTGTGGCCACAGACACAGCCACTCAGCAAGCATGCCATCTGCAGAGTGGCCTGTAGCTCCAGAGTCTTGCGTGGAAGTTTGGGAAACAAACATCTCTTTAAAAAAATATTGAGGCTGGGCATGATGGCTCACACCTGTAATCCCAGCACTTTGGGAGGCTGAGGTGGGAGGATCACTCAAGCCCAGGAGTTTGAGATCAGTATGGCCAACATGGTGAGACCTCATCGCTACAAAAAACAAAAATAAAAAAAAAATTGGGGCCAGGCGCGGTGGCTTACGCCTGTAATCCCAGCACTTTGGGAGGCCGAGGCAGGCGGATCACGAGGTCAGGAGATCGAGACCATCCTGGCTAACATGGTGAAACCCTGTCTCTACTAAAAATACAAAAAATTAGCCGGGCACTGTGGGGGGCGCCTGTAGTCCCAGCTACTCGGGAGGCTGAGGCAGGAGAATGGCGTGAACCCGGGAGGCGGAGCTTGCAGTGAGCTGAGATAGCGCCACTGCACTCCAGCCTGGGCGATAGAGTGAAACTCCGTCTCAAAAAAAAAAAAAATTGGCCAGGCGTGATAGCTCATGTCTGTAATCTCAGCACTTTGGGAGGCCAAGACGGGTGGATCACGAGGTCAGGAGTTCAAGACCAGCGTGGCCAACATGGTGAAACCGTGTCTCTACTAAAAATACAAAAAAAATTAGCTGGGCGTGGTGGCAGGCGCCTGTAATCCCAGCTACTTGCGAGGCTGAGGCAGAGAATCACTTGAACCCAGCAGGCAGAGGTTGCAGTGAGTCGAGATCGTGCCACTGCACTCCAGCCTGGGAGACAGAGTGAGACTCCGTCTCAAAAAACAAACAAAAACAAAAAGCCAGCATGGTGGTGCACGCCTGTGGTCTCAGCTACTTGGGAGGCTGAGATGGGAGGGTCCCTTGAGCCCAGGAGGTTGGGGCTGCAGTGAGCCATGTTCATGCCACTATACTCCAGCCTGGGTGACAGGGCGAGACCCTGTCTCAAAAATAAATACATAAAATAAAATACATTGGCTGGGCGCGGTGGCTCACGCCTGTAATCCCAGCACCTTGGGAGGCCGAGGCGGGCGGATCACGAGGTCAGGAGATCGAGACCACCTTGGCTAACACGGTGAAACCCTGTCTCTACTGAAAATACAAAAAATTAGCCGGGCACGGTGGTGGGCGCCTGTAGTCCCAGCTACTCGGGAGGCTGAGGCAGGAGAATGGCATGAACCTGGGAGGCGGAGCTTGCAGTGAGCCGAGATAGCGCCACTGCAGTCCGGCCTGGGCAAAACAGCGAGACTCTGTCTCAAAAAATAAATAAATAAATAAATAAAAAATATAAATAAATAAATAAAATACATTTTAAAATGTAGAGACGGGGTTCTGTACCCTGCCTGCAACAAGCATTTTAATCCCATATCCCTGTATTGCAGCTTTGCAGCTCAGAGCCAGGGATTGGCTGGCCCCTGGGTGCACAGCTAGCAAGGGGCTGGCTCTTCAGATCCCAAGTTTCAGACTCCGAAGCCTGGAGTGTTAGCTACAATCTCGCATTTCCTTTGTCACCCTGGAGTGTGAGAGTGTGTGTGTGAGTGTGTGTGTGTGGTCTGCATGCCTATGTGTTTTGTGTGTATGCGTATATGTGCGTATATCTGTATACATGTGTGTATGTCTTCGTGTGTGTCTGTGTGCTGTGTGTGAGTGTCTGCCTGGGTGAACGCCTGTGTGTGAATGCATGTTGCTCCAGCCCAGTGACTTTTCCAACAATGCTCTGAGAAGACCTAGGAGGAGGTGCACTGAGCGGGGTGGGCTGGGGAAAGGCTGGGGGAGGTCCCTCAGCACCCCTGCCAACACCTTAATCAGAGAAGCATTTGCCTATTTGATTCAAGGCTCCTTTAAAAAAAGAAACTGTGAAAAAGAAAAAAATGAGAAAACCACCGATCTAGTCTCAACGTTCCCCTCCCACTACCATTTACAGAGGAAGAAACTGAGGCACAGGGGTACTGGGGGGGCTGCCCACTGTTACCCAGTCCAGAACACTCTTTCCATACCGCCCAGCCTAGGTGTGTCTTGTGCTTAGAAATGCCTAAACAAGCCAGGCGTGGTAGCTCATGCCTGTAATCCCAGCACTTTGGGAGGCTGAGGTGGGTGGATCACTTGAGATCAGGAGTTCGAGACCAGCCCCGTCTCTACTAAAAAATACAAAAATTAGCCGGGAGTGGTGGCACGTGCCTGTAGTCCCAGCTACTCGGGAGGGTGAGGCAAAAGAATCACTTGAATCTGGGGGGCGGAGGTTGCAGTGAGCCGAGATCACACCCCTGCACTCCAGCCTGGGTAACAGAGCAAGACTCTGTCTCCAAAAAACAAGAAATGTCTAAACACACACGCACACATACACACACCTCACACTCACACACACAGAGCCCTGCTTCCCAGCGCTGCCGCCTGTGTATATGCTGCCCTCGGCTGGGTCCCAGTTCCCATGGTCACCGGAGCCTTGGCAAGGCTGCCCGAGGGTCTGTGGCCTCAGAAGCTCCCGCCAGAGCCCCCGCCAGGCCCAGACAATGGTGCAGGGTGAGGGGTTTCCGAGGCTTTGGCGCTGGTTGCTGGGCCTGGCTGCTCTGGGCCAGGCAGGGCGCCAACCTCCACTCCCGCTTTGTTTCTGTGGGAAAATGAGCTGGGGTTCCAACCAACAGCCTGAGGAAGAGCTTGGACTGCTCCCATGGCCTCCCCACACCCCAGGAGGAAACAGACCCCCAGACTTCTTTCCTCCCTTCTCCTCATCCTTGTCCTCCCCTTCCCAAGGCCCGAGGAACACTCACAGAAGTGCCTCCCTTCACCCCCTCTCCTCCCAGGCACAGCGGGTGCGGCTGGACTGTGACTCCCCGAGGCCTGGCCAGGAGGATGGGGCCGAACTGGGTGTGGCTGAGGCTGGCAGCTACTGCATCTCTCCCAGGAGGAAAGTACTCTAGTACTTCTTTATCGCGGGGGATGAGTTCCCAGAACCCCCGTGGGTGCCTGATGCTGCAATGGTACAGAATCCTATATGCACTATGGTTTTTTCTATCTGGTAAGTAACCAAGATGGCTAAAAGTAAACAATGGGCGGGCAGTCCCTACAGTGTGGATTCCCCGAACAAAGGGATGATTCTTGTCCCAGGCAGGCTAGATGAAGTGGGATGGTGTGAGATTTCATCATGCTACTCAGAACGGCATGCGATCTAAAACTTATGAGTTGTTTACTTCTGGAATCTTCCATTTAACATTTTTGGACTGCAGTAGACTGTGGGTAAGCAAAACCATGGATAACAGGGGACTACTGGAGCACTGAGCAGGGTCTGTGTCCCGTTCAACCCCAAACACCCCACACACATTTGATGCCGACATTCAAAATCTGGAAGGTGGCCAGGTGTGCTGGCTCATGCCTGTAATGCCAGCACTTTGGGAGGCCGAGGAGGGCAGATCACGAGGTCAGGAGTTCAAGACCAGCCTTACCAACATAGTGAAACCCCGTCTCTACTAAAATACAAAAATTAGCTGGGCATGGTGGTGCACACCTGTAATCCCAGCTACTCAGAAGGCTGAGGCAGGAGAATCTCCTGAACCCGGGAGGCGGAGGTTGCAGTGAGCTGAGATCGCACCACTGTACTCCAGCCTGGGCAACAGAGCAAGACTCCATCTCAAACAAACAAAATCTAGAAGGCGAGATCATTCCCCGTCCACACAGTCAGATCTGGGAGATGCATAAGAAATGAAGGAAGCCCCTGGTGGTCCTTGTGGGCCTCACTTGGGATGGAGAGCCTCCGTGTTCTCCCCACGTGCTCCTGACACCCTCAGGGGTATATGGAACCAAATAGAGATGGGGTCTTGCTATGTTGACCCGGCTGGTCTCCAACTTCCGGGCCCAAGCAATCTTCCCACTTCATCTTCCCAAAGTGCTGGGATTATAGGCATGAGCCACAATGCCCACCCCCGGCCTGTACTTTATCTTTAAATGACATTCAAACTTTGAATTTTACTCAATAGCTGGGACTACAGGCGTGCACCACCACGCCCAGCTAATTTTTGTATTTTTAGCCCAATGCTGCTTTAATATACAAGCCCAGCCCAATATTGCTTTAATATAAAAAACAGGCCAGGCATGGTGGCTCATGCCTGTAATCCTAGCATTTTGGGAGGCCGAGGCGGGCGGATCACCTGAGGTCAGGAGTTTGAGACCAGTATGGCTAACATGGTGAAACCCCGTCTCTACTAAAAATACAAAAATTAGCCAGGCATGGTGGCTAATCCCAGCTACTTGGGAGGCTGAAGCAGGATGATGGCTTGAATCCATGAGGCGGAGGTTGCAGTGAGCTGAGACGGCACCATTGCACTCCAGCCTGGGTTATAAGAAGGAGACTCCGACTGAAATAAAATAAAATAAATAAAAAACAGCTGGGCTTGGGGGCTGACACCTATAATCCCAAAACTTTGGGAGGCTGAGGTGGGAGGATCGCTTGAGCCCAGGAGTTGGAGACCAGCCTGGGCAACATAGCAAGATCCCGTCTCTACCAAAAAAAAATAAATAAACAAATAAAAAACTAGCCAGGAGTGGTGGCGTGAGCCTGTAGTCCCAGTCACTCAGAAGCCTGAGGTGGGAGTACTGGTTGTTTGAGCCCCAGAGTTCAAGGTTGCAGTGAGCTGTGATCACACTACCACACTTCAGCCTGGGTGACAGAGATCCATGGGGGATCCCAAGCATCTGTTTTTCAGGGGCTAAGATTAGCCCACACCTAAGTTTTCCAGACACTACATCTTGTTCTACCCGTTTTGATAGGAAACTTTCACTCACTCATTCAACAATAATGTATCAGGGCTGGGCACAGTGGCTTATGCCTGTAATCCCAACATCTGAGAGGCTGAGGCAAGAGGATCGCTTGAGGTGAGAAGTTCCAGACCTGCCTGGGCAACACAGTGAGACCCCATGCCTAAAATAAAAATAAAAAATTAGGCTAGGTGAGGTGGCTCATACCTGTAATCCTAGCACCTTGAGAAGCCAAGGCAAGGGGACTCTTGAGCTCAGGAGTTCAAGACTACCCTGGGCAACATAGCAAGACCTTGTCTCTGTAAAAATAAAAACAAATTAGCCGGGGTGGTGGTGCGTGCCTGCAGGCCCAGCTGTTCAGGAGGCTGAGGTGGGAGGATCACTTGAGCCCAGGAGTTCAAGACTACAGTGAGCTACCATTGCACCACTGAACTCCCGCCTGGGTGACAGAGTGAGTCCTTGTCTCTAAAACAAAACAAAACTATTGTATATATATATAAAAAATATATATATTATGTAGAGTGTCTCTCTATGTAGATACAGAGACGCCAACTCAAATATATATTATATATTATATTATACATATACAATTATCATATATTATGTATTTTATATATATAATATATATATATATTTGAGTTGGAGTCTCACTCTGTCTCTCAAGCTGGAGTGCAGTGGCACAATCTCAGCTCACTGCCACCTCTGCCTCCCGGGTTCAAGTGATTCTCCTACCTCAACCTCCCGAGTAGTTGTGATTACAGGTGTGCACCACCACACTGAGCTAATTTTTGCATTTTTAGTAGAGATGGGGTTTCTCCATGTTGTCCAGGCTGGTCTTGAACTCCTGACCTCGGGTGATCCGCCCACCTCAGCTTCCCAAAGTGCTGGGATTACAGGCGTGAGCCACCGCACATGGCCAACAAGACAATATTTAATCACTGTAGGGCACAGTGCTCAGTGCCAGGGATACAGCAGTGGGCGTCACAGAGATGCCCCTGTCCTCACAGGCACCACACAAACGGCTGTGGGATAGGTGTCACTGTACTAAGTACTATCAAAGAAAAGCACAGCAACCCCACTTCTGGATACGTATCCAAAATAACTGAAAGCAGGCCGTGTGCAGTGGCTCACACCTGTAATCCCAGCACTTTGGGAGGTCGAGGCAGGTTGATCACTTGAGGCCAGGAGTTCGAGACCAGCCTGGCCAACAGGGTGAAACCCCCATCTCTACTAAAAATACAAAATTAGCCGGGTGTGGTGGCAGGAGCCTGTAATCCCAGCTACTCTGGAGGCTGAGGCAGGAGAATCCCTTGAACCCAGGAGGTGGAGGCTACAGTGAGCCAAGATCACACCATTCCACTCCAGCCTGGGACAATCCAAGTGTCCATAGACACATGAATAAATAAGCAAAAAAAAAAATGTATATACACACACAAAGTGGACTGTTATTCATCCCTAAACAATCAAGAAGTTCTGACATATGCTACACTTTGGATAAACTTTGAAGACATTATGCCAAGTAAAATAAGCCAATCACAAAAAGACAAATACTTTATGATTCCATTTATATATGAGGTCCCTAGAATACGATGGAGGTTGCCAGGGGCTGGGCAACAGGGAATGGGGAGTTGGTGTTTAATGGGGACAGTTTCAGTGTGGAATGATGATAAAGTTCTGGAGATGGATGGTGCTGATGGCTGCACAACAACGTATTCACTTAAAGCCCCTGAAGTGTACATTTAAAAATGGTTAAAATTGGCTGGGCGTGGTGGCTCACGCCTGTAAATCCAGCACTCTGGGAGGCCGAGGTGGGTGGATCACGGGGTCAGGAGATCAAGGCCAACATGGTGAAACCCCGTCTCTACTAAAATACAAAAAGTAGCTGGGTGTGGTGGCGGGCACCTGTAGTCCCAGCTACTCAGGGGGCTGAGGCAGGAGAATCACTTGAACCCGGGAGGTGGAGCTTGCAGTGAGCCGAGACTGCGCCACTGCACTCCAGCCTGGTGACAAAGCAAGATTCCGTCTCAAAAAAAAAAAAAAAAAAAAAAAGGTTATAATGGTGAATTTTATGTTATGTATATTTTACCACGCGTCCCCCCTCCCCTGCCAAAAAAAAAAAAAAAGAAAGAAAAGGACAGTGGCCATAAGAAGGAACCCTAATGGGGCTGGCAGAAGGCCATTTCTAGGGCTCATTTCCTTGAAGAAAGGACTGCTGAGGCCTGAAAGACAAGGAGGAGTTAACAAGACAGAAAGGATGGGTGTGGGCTCGAGACCAGCCAGGGCGCTGCAGGGGACAGCAGTGCAGGGCAGAAGGGTGAGAGGCCCGAGGTGGCAGGCCAGGTCCTGCAGAGCAGAGCCTGGTAAGGATTCTGGACTTTTCCTAGGAACAATGGGAAGCCAGGGCATGGTCTCACATGGGGAAACAGTACAATCAGATTTGAAGTTTCGGCTGGGCGCCATGGCTCACGCCTGTAATCCTAGCACTTAGGGAGGCTGAGGCGGGAGGATCACGAGCTCAGGAGTTCAGGGCCAGCCTGGGCAACATGGTGAAACCCCATCTCTACCAAAAATACAAAAAAAAAAAAAAAATTAGCCAGGCATGGTGACGCACACCTGGGATCTCAGCTACTCTGAAGGCTGAGGTATGAGGATTGCTTGAGCCCAGGAGGCATAGGTTGCGGTGAGCTGAGATCACACTACTGCACTCCAGCCTGGGTGACAGAGTGAGACCTCATTTCAAAAAAAAAAAAAGGGTTTGAAGTTTCAAAATCATTCTATTATTTAGGTGAGAGATAAGCTTAAGGAGGGGAAAAAGAGGATGAAAATGACTAAAACTGCCACCTTGCATCTTGCCAGGGAAGTGGAGAAGAGCCCCCTAACTCTGGGAAGGGGGACCAGAAATATAATAGCAGGGAGGGGCCAGGCCCTTAAGCACCTCCCCTGGTCCCTCCTCTCCTCCAGCTCTCTGGTGTAGAGGGGGGTCCCTCCAGCCAAGGCTCCTCAGTACTGGGATGCGGACATCTTCAGAGGTCACACCGCCCCTTTCTGGCTTTCTGTGGTTTTGGAGGCTCAGAAGCGGAAATGCACTCGAGGTGTGTATAAACACTCTAACAGCAGGAATTGCTCAGAACAGGCCTTGCAGCTGTGTCTGGGGAAACTGAACTTGACAGAGCCAGGAGGTCCCAGCGGGAACTTCAGGGTGGGGCCCATCTCTATAGCAACCAGAAACAGCCCCAGACACGCTCTGGCCCTGCTTCTGATGAGGGAGCGGGCAATTTGTGTTCTTGAAATACCCACGGCCAAAAAGGACTCATCCAAAATAGCCCACTTCCACGTCACCAAACATCACCAACGCCTCACAGGGCATCTGCCACTCCGCAGCAGAGCAACCAACGGTGAGTGGCAGAAAGTTACCAATGACTTACCAGGAGTTTTATTTTTCTCACTGGCGTATTAGAAAGAGGACAACTGGCTGAAAGAAAAAGACTTGGTGTATCAAGCACAAATTTGTTCCCCCAAACTCAGGTAAAAGAAATGTCCATTTGAGTAGTTTCCCTAAATCAAGTAAAATGTGATTATAGGCCAGGCACGGTGGCTCACGCCTGTAATCCCAGCACTTTGGGAGGCTGAGGCGGGCGGATCACGAGGTCAGGAGATCGAGACCATCCTGGCTAACACGGTGAAACCCTGTCTCTACTAAAAATACAAAAAATTAGCCGGGCGTGGTGGCGGGCACCTATAGTCCCATCTACTCGGGAGGCTGAGGCAGGAGAATGGCGTGAACCCGGGAGGCGGAGTTTGCAGTGAGTCGAGATGGCGCCACTGCACTCCAGCCTGGGCCATATAGAGCGAGACTCCGTCTCAAAAAAAAAAAATGTGATTATAAGCTGCCCTTTGCCAAGAAAGTAAGAAATTCAACTTCAGGCATATGGGGAGGGGCATCTTCCCCCTCAGTAGAATCACTATTATTATTATTATTATTATTATTATTATTATTATTATTATTATTGAGACGGAGTCATCCAGGCTGGAGCGTACAATCTTGGCTTACTGCAACCTCTGCCTCCCAGGTTCAAGTGATTCTCCTGCCTCAGCCTCCTGAGTAGCTGGGATTACAGGCGCCCACCACCATGCCTGGCTAATTTTTGTATTTTTAGTAGGGACAGGGTTTCACCATGTTGGCCAGGCTGGTCTCAAACTCCTGACCTAAGGTGATTGGCCCACTTCGGCCTCCCAAAGTGCTGGGATTACAGGCGAGAGCCACTGCACCTGGCATTATATGGTGATTCCATGGTGCCCAGGGGATGGGAGAGCTTTCTTCCCTGCACCAACTCTGTTGCTCAGGCTGGAGTGCAGTGGCACCATCTCAGCTCACTACAACCTCTGCCTCCTGGGTTCAAGTGATTCTCCTGCCTCAGCCTCCTGTGTAGCTGGGATTACAGGCGTGCGCTACCACGCCCGGCTAATTTTTGTATTTTTAGTAGAGACAGGGTTTCACCATGTTGGCCAGGCTGGTCTCGAACTCCTTGCTTCAAGTGATCCACCCACTTTGGCCTCCCAAGTGCTGGAATTACAGGCATGAGCCACCCCACCGGGGCCTCAGATGGGAGAGCCTCCACTCTGTTCTCCACTGGGTCTGCTGCTGCTCAGATGCCGACCGTCTGAGCCCAAGTGCTTCTATTTTTTATTTTTATTTTTATTTTTGAGACAGAGTCTCACTCTGTCACCCAGGCTGGAGTGCAATGGCATGATCTCGGCTCACCGCAACCTCTGCCTCCAGGGTTCAAGCAGTTCTCTCGCCTCAGCCTCCCAAGTAGCTGTGATTACAGGCGTGCGCCACCATGCCTGGCTAATTGTATATTTTTTAGTAAAGATAAGGTTTCTCCATGTTGGTCAGGCTGGTCTTGAACTCCCAACCTCAGGTAATCCACCCGCCTCGGCCTCCCAAAGTGCTGGGATTACAGGTGTGAGCCACTGCGCCCGGCTCCAAGGGCTTCTAGCTGCAGCTGAGGCCCCACTGCCCTGGGCCAAGCACATTTTGGGGATGATGCCAAACTCTTGACTCTTAGCTCCAAACCCACTATATTAATGCGCTGGGCTGTCGTAACAAGATACCACAAACCAGGCGGCTTCAACAATCAAAATGGGCCAGGTGCGGTGGCTCACGCCTGTAATCCCAGCACTGTGGGAGGCCGAGGCGGGCACATCACGAGGTCAGGAGATCGAGACCATCCTGGCTAACACGGTGGAACCCCCCCCGTCTCTACTAAAAATACAAAAAAATTAGCTGGGCGTGGTGGCGGGCGCCTGTAGTCCCAGCTACTCGGGAGGCTGAGGCAGGAGAATGGCGTGAATCCCGGAGGCGGAGCTTGCAGTGAGCTGAGATCGCGCCAGTGCACTCCAGCCTGGGCGACAGAGTGAGACTCCGTCTCAAAACAAACAAACAAACAAAAACAATCAAAATGTATTGTCTCAGTGCTGGAGACCGAAGTCTGGAATCAAGGTACGGGCAGGGTTGACTCCTTCTGAGGCTGTGAGAGCGAATCTGTCCCCTGACGCTCTCCTTGCTTCTGGTGGTTTGTTGACAATATGTAGCAATCCGTGTAGCAATCTTGGTAGCTCTCTGCCTCCCTCTTTGCACCGCCTGCCTTCTCCCTGCGTGTGTGTCTGTGTCCAAGTTTCTCCTTCTTACAAGGGCACCAGTCACGCTGGATTTAGGGCCCACCCTAATGATCTCATCTTAACTAATGATGTCTTCAACAACCCTATTTCCAAATAAGGTCACTTTCAGAGGTACTGCAGGTCAGGACTTCAACATGTGAATTTGAAGTCGGGGGGACCGAACTCAACTCATAACACCCACCCACCCAACTCAGCTTCATGGTCTGGCTGGGACTCAGAGCCACATGTCTTTGTTTTCTTAATTTTATTTTTTATTACTACTTTTTGAGATGAAGTCTTGCCCTGTCGCCCAGGCTGGAGTGCAGTGGTGCGATCTTGGCTCACTGCAAGCTCTGCCTCCTGGATTCCAGAGATTTTCTTGCCTCAGCCTCCTGAGTAGCTGGGACTACAGGCACACGCCACCACGCCCAGATAATTTTCGTATTTTTAGTAGAGATGGGGTTTCACCGTGTTGCCCAGGCTGGCCTCGAACGCCTGCCCTCAGGTGATCCACCTGCCTGGGCCTCCCAAACTGCTATGATTACAGGCATGAGCCAATGCACCCAGAGCCACGTTTCTCCATTGCCTGCTGCTCCCTGCCAGGCTCTGCCAAGAGGGGGCGCTAGAGAGGCCTGAAGGGCTGGAGAAGGCCCCAGCCTCCCATCTGCTCACTATTTTTGCCTGTATTGTACCCAGGAAAGCTTCTTCATTGGGGCAGCTGCAGTTCTTTAGCAGCAGCTGAATCCAGTTTCTACTTTTTCCAACCCTTGCAGAACCAGCTACCCTGAGCTCCCTTCAGAGGCACGGGCACCAGCACCAGCCGGCCCAGGCCCGCTCTTCAGAGGGCTGGGTTTTAGTACCCTGGGGCTCCTCTTTCAAGCTTCTGTATTATTGTTGATTTTGGTGTTTTGTTTTGTTTTTTGAGATGGGGGTCTCACTCTGTCACCCAGGCTGGAGTGCAATGGTGCGAACTCAGCTCACTGCAGCCTCTGCCTCCTGAGCGAAGCAATCCTCCCACCTCAGCCTCCTGAGTAGCTGGGACTACAGGTGCGCTCCACCACCCCCGGCTAACTTTTTGTATTTTTAGTAGAGATGGGGGCTTCACCATGTTGGCCAGGCTGGTCTCAAACTCCTGACCTCAAGTGTCCGCCGTGAGCCACCACGCCGGCAGCACTTTTTTTTTTTTTGAGTTTCACTCTTTTTGCCCAGGCTGGAGTGCAATGGCGCCATCTCGGCTCACTGCAACCTCCGTCTTCCAGATTCCAGCTATTCTCCTGCCTCAGCCTCCCGAGTAGCTGGGATTACAGGCTTGCGCCACCATGCCCGGCTAATTTTGTAGTTTTAGTAGAGACGGGGTTTCACCATGTTGGCCAGGCTGGTCTTGAACTCCTGACTCAGGTGATCTGCCCGCCTCGGCTTCCCAAAGTGCTGGGATTAGAGGTGCGAGCCACCGAGCCCGGCCCTTTCAGCAATTTTTTTTTTTTTTTTTGAGACGGAGTCTCACTCTGTCGCCGAGACTGGAGTGCAGTGGCTCGATCTCTGCTCACTGCAAGCTCCGCCTCCTGGGTTCACGCCATTCTCCTGCCTCAGCCTCCTGAGTAGCTGGGACTACAGGTGCTCACCACCACACCCGGCTAATTTTTTTGTATTTTTTTTTTTTAGTAGAGACAGGGTTTCACCGTGTTAGCCAGGATGGTCTTGATCTCCTGACCTCGTGATCTGCCTGCCTCGGCCTCCCAAAGTGCTGGATTTACAGGCGTCAGCAACTGCGCCCGGCTGCTTGCAGCAATTTTTTAAGATGACAAAATAAAACAGAAAATTTCAGAATATATCCCACTACAAAATACAAATTAAGCAGCATGTGGTGGTGGCAGGGCCTGTACTCTCAGCTACTTGGGAGGCTGAGGCAGGACCACTGCTTGATGCCAGGAGTTCAAGACCATCCTGGGCAACATAATGGAACCCCATCTCTACCAAAAAAATTTTTTAAACTAGCCAGGCATGGTGATGTGCACTTGTAGTCCCAGCTACTTAGGAGGCTGACGTAAAAAGATTGCTTGAGCCCGGGAGGTTGAAGGTGCAGTAAGCCATGACTGCACCACTCCAGCCTGAGTGACAATGTAAGACAGGGTCTCGCTCTGTCACCCAGGCTGGTCTCAAACTCCTGGGCTCAAGCCCTATATATTTTTACTGTGGGTCAAGGTAAGGAAAAACAGCCACCGTTTGGTAAATGCTGCCAACCTTTTTTTTTTTTTTTTTTTTTAAATTTTTAGAGGGAGGGTCTCACTATGTTGCCCAGGATGGTCTTAAACTCCTGGGCTGAAGCAATCCTCCTGCCTCAGTCTTCCAAAATGCTGGGATTACAGGCATGAGCCACCTCTACGGGCCTGCCAACCTCTTTTATGTCATGGCACACACAGAAAATGATTTGTTCAGTGAAAATGGTATTTATTTGGCTCACTGGGGCAAACAGATTCATCTTATTGGGAGTCAAGAGGCGACCAGGCGGGGGCGGTGGCTCATACCTGTAATCCTAACACTTTCGGGAGTGTTAGGTGGGCGGATGACTTGAGGTCAGGAATTTGAGACCAGCTTGGCCAACATGGTGAAACCCCATCTCTACTAAAAATACAAAGATTAGCTGGGCGTGGTGGCACGATTCTGTAGTCCCAGCTACTCTGGAGGCTGAGGCATGAGAATTGCTTGAACCCGGGAGGCGGAGGCTGCAGTGAGCAGAGATCATGTCAATGCACTCCACCCCAGGAGACGGGCAAGACCCTGTATCAAAAATAAATACATAAATAATAAATAAAATTATAAACAGAAAAAACAGGTGACCAGTTCAGGGGCTCAGCTGCCCCAGACCTTGCCTGCTGGTATCTGAGGCCAACCTGCACTCCTCCTTAGCGCACCGCTAAGATGTGCTCCAGTGTGGAGAATATGAGCATCATACTGCAGTGAAAAAGAGATCTGGAGACAGGCAGACAGGAGTATGAGGCCAGAGGAGAGGTCTGAGTACTGAGACCTGGGCCCAGGGGAGCCTCCTGCTGCTCACCTGGTTCAGCAATAAACCATTGTTGAAGTCTTCGGTTTGAGTTTTGAGTTCTGGTACGTTCCAGCCCCAAAGTCATGGGAGCCGCCCAGGAAGTGTGTTCACATGGTCATATGTTTTTGTAAAACTTAGAAATTCTGGACATTGTAGCCGGAGCTGGTCAAGCTTGTTATCTCTGCACTGCAACTTCCTCTTCTTGTCATTTCCCCTCCTGTCAGGAGGCCTCACTGTAGCCACAGTATTGTGAATGAATAATTGTGGGGTTGTTTTTTTTTTTTGAGTTAGAGCTTTCCTCTCGTTGCCCAGGCTGGAGTGCAGTGGCTTGATCTCAGCTCACTGCAACCTCCGTCTCCAGGGTTCAAGCGATTCTCCTGCCTCAGCCTCCCGAGTAGCTGGGATTACAGGTGACCGCTACCACACCCAGCTAATTTTTTGTATTTTTAGTAAAGACGGGGTTTCACCACGTTGGCCAGGCTGGTCTCAAATTCCTGACCTCAGGTGATCCACCTTCCTCAGCCTCCCAAAGTGCTGGGATTACAGGCATGAGCCACTGCGCCCGGCCTGTGTATTTTATTTCTTAAAAAGAGCCTCCAGATCACTTGAGTCCAGGAGTTCCAAGGAAGCAGTGAGCTATGATCGCACCTGGGTGACAGAATGAGACCCTGTCTCAAAAAACAAAAACATAAACAACCAAGACAGCCTCCAAAATTGTATAAGCTTCAAGGCCTGGCAAAACCTGAACTTGCTCCTGTCTCCAACGTATTTGGCAAAGGGGTGGGAGAGGGGTGGGCAGGTTGTCCCCATCTTCCCATTTATGGTCCTTAGAGCAGCCAATGCTGCCTGCTCTTTGCTGGGGGGATTTTCCTTTTTTTCTTTTTCTTTTCTTTGAGACAGAATCTTCCTTTGTTGCCCAGGCTGGAGTGCACTGGGACGATCTTGGCTCACTGAAACCTTCGCCTCTCAGGTTCAAACAATTCTCATGTCTCAGCCTCCCTATTAGCTGGGATTACAGGAACCACGCCACCATGCACAACTAATTTTTGTATTTTTGCGTTTTTTTTTTTTTTTTTGGGATGGAGTTTTGCTCTTGTTGCCCAAGCTGGAGTGCAATGGCGTGATCTCGGCTCACTGCAACCTCCACCTCCCAGGTTCAAGGGATTCTCCTGCCGCAGCCTCCCGAGTAGTTGGGATTACAGGCGCGCGGATTACAGGCGCTTACAGGCGCACAACACCACACCCGGCTAGTTTTTGGTATTTTTTAGTAGAAACGGGGTTTCTCCATGTTAGCCAGCTGGTCTTGAACTCCTGACCTCAGGTAATCCGCCGACCTTGGCCTCCCAAAGTGCTGGGATTACAGGTGTGAGCCACCGCGCCCGGCCTAATTTTTGTATTTTTATAGAGATGGGATTTTGCCATGTAGTCCAGGCTGGTCTCAAACTCCTGGCCTCAAGTGATCCACCCACCTTGGCCTCCCAAAGTGCTGGGATTACAGGCACGGCACCAGGCCTGGATTTTGCTTTTCTTTTTCTTTTTTCTGAGATGGAGTCTTGCTCTGTCGCCTAGGCTGGAATGCAGTGGCATGATCTTGGCTCACTGTAACATCTGCCTCCCAGGTTCAAGCGATTCTCCTGCCTCAGCCTCCCGAGTAGCTGGGATTACAGGTGCCCGCCACCATGCCCGGCTAATTTTTGTATTTTTAGTAGAGATGGAGTTTCACCATGTTGGCCAGGCTGGTCTTGAACTCCTGACCTCAGGTGATCCACCTGCCTTGGCCTCCCAAAGTGCTGGAATTTGGCTCACGCCTTTGGCGTGAGCCACAAACCCCGGCCTGCTTTTCTTTTTTAAATTTACATATTATTTATTTATTTTTATTTTATTTTATTTTGAGATGGAGTCTCACTCTGTCACCCAGGCTGGAGTGCAGTGGCGCAATCTCAGATCACTGCAAGCTCTGCCTCCCGGGTTCACGCCATTCTCCTGCCTCAGCCTCCCAAGTAGCTGGGACTACAGCCGCCCGCCACCACGTCCGGCTAATTTTTTTTTTTTTTTTGTATTTTTAATAAGGGGTTTCACTCTGTTAGCCAGGATGGTCTCGATCTCCTGACCTCGTGATCCGCCCGCCTCGGCCTCCCAGAGTGCTGGGATTACAGGCGTGAGCCACGCGCCCGGCCTAAATTTATATTTTAAACGCACATAGGAAAAAAAAATTAAACAGTACCAAAGAGTACAATGCATACTGACATACCGAGTCACCAATCCACCCCAAATTCCTAGACCCATGTCTCAAAAATGCCACAGACATTTTCTGATGGATCTTTGCAAAAATTTTCTATCTAGATCCTATTTTTTATACAAATACAACTATATGTATACAGCATTCTGTGCTTAATAACCCTTGATGATCTTCCCATATCAGCACATAGTCTGACTTAATTCTTTTTAAAGACTGCAGAGATTGCAGGCGCCAAAATACATCTAACCATTGGGGCAGATTTCATTATGACTATCCTTAACCCACTGTACTTGTCCCGCAAGGTCCAACCTGGTATTGCACAGGACCTCACAGAACGCTGCTGTTTCCTGATCTTTTCTAGTGAGGCAGCTTTGTTTCTTCACATAGGAGACCTCCCTGGAAAGCGAAGTCAAGCAGGTGGATCTAGAGGTTGGCCACCACAGTCAGGAAAGCAGCTGTCTACTGAAAAGCAAACTCTAATTCCTTAACATTAACGAGTACCGGAACTACCACGTGGGAAGTGCAGCCCCCTCTCTCCGCCTCACGGATTCAGCTCGGAGGTGCAGGGGTTTGGTGGGGGGCGGTTAGGGAATGACAGCTGCCCCGTGGAGGACGCCCAGGGCTGGGTCACGAGCTGACAGGAGTCAGCCTTATTCTGTAAATCCTAGTTATCAGGATGCCGGTTTCGCGCCGTGCCCAGTCCCACTCAGCCTTCAGTCTTCCGGCCGGGACCCCGCTGGGCGCTAAGGGGGGAGCGGCGCCACCGCGAGGCCGGAGAGGGGGCTGCGAGGGGCGCCCGGCCGGCCTGCGAACGTGGTGGGAGCCAGGCGGGGCACACGGCCTCCCCTTCCCATGAGGGACTCTCCCCGCCCCCCGGGCTCAGCGCTGGGAGTGGTGAGATGGATGGCGGGGTGATCCGACGCCGCCAGCCCACCGCGTCCCCAAGAGCCGGGGCCTCCGGCTCAGCTAAACGCCCCAGAGTCACGCATGCGCCCCATAAACGTCTGCTGAGTGAACGAAAGCTCCCCATCCACAAGGGGACAGCTCGGCGCTCCCACGCCATGTCCAGGTCGCATTCGACCAGCAGGACTTCCCTTAACGCGCTGCCGGAGTCCCCAAGATCGCGCCCCTGCCAGGAGCGGAACTGTTTATTTCCGTCCGGCTGAAGAGGCGGGGTGGGGATGGCACAAGCCGATTGGTTACGCAAAATGTGGAACCAATTCAGGCCTATGATCCAGGAGACTACAAGTTCCAGAATGCATCCTTCCTCCAGCATAGGGACAGGCCGAGGCTGCGGGGGCGTTGCCTGCTGGGAATTGTAGTCTTCATCTTGTTTGTTGCGCAGGAGGAACTGGAAGGAGGGAGTAAACTATTACCACGTGACGTTCGGGTCAGGTGTTTGGGCCAGCCTCCGCACTCGAGCTTTGATTGGCTGACTCTAATAAGAAGACGCCACTAGGGGCGGGGCGAAGAGGGGCGCAAGCTCATTGCGTTTTGAGTCTCGGGACCCCTGTTGGAGAGACTATGGCGCTCAACAAGAATCACTCGGAGGGCGGCGGAGTGATCGTCAATAACACCGAGAGGTGAAAACACTGCGGAAGGATCCTGGAGGACCAAAGTTCGGGTGTCGAGGAAGTGGGCGGTGGGTGGTGGGTGGTGGGGAATAAGCCCCTGAAGAGGGAGCACTGATGGAGTGAGGTTGGTGGGGAACGGCTGGGGGCGGGGTTGGAGGAAGGTGGGTGGGCCGTGGGGGAGAGCCCGGGAGGTTGTGATCAGCTGGGAGGCGGGGGTGGGACGTCTGCATGGGGACCTGGTATGGGGCCCCCGGTGGGGCCTAGGGGTGATTCTTGAACCCCTTCCCAGACTTGTGATTTCAGTAGCTGGGAGGAGCCCCAAACAAAAATAATTGTCACTTATTGGATGTCTACAACGTTACTACGTGTCAGGCTCTGCGCCTTTTCTACCTTATTTAATAAATTCTGTGCAGTATAATCTACTACTGTCCACATTTCACAGGTAGGGAAAGTGGAGGGCAGAAAGGTTAAGTAACTTGCCCGAGATCGCAACTGTGTAAGTAACAGAGGTGGTAATTCCAGGAAAGGAGTCTTGACTCCAAAGTTAATAGGATTAACCACCAGCATACAGGCTTCCAGTATGTTCCAGAACTGTTCAGGTTCCCGGTAAAAAACTGAGGTCCCAGAGGTGAAATTAAACAGATGACGTTTGTCAGGTGTCTAACAGTTCCTGGCACTGTGTGGGTCCGTAGTCATTCCCTTGCCTCTCTCTTGAATGCCTGTTGGTTTGGGTCACCTCGGAAGGCAGAGCTCTCCTAATTCAAGGTTCTTTCCACTCCATCCTCCCCACCCCTTGCTCATTGCATCCTGTCTCTCCTCCAGTCTCTGCCAAGAGAAGCCTTAAATGGCCTCTGTCTCCTTTTGTTCCTTGGGTATTGAAAATCAGACCAGCCAGCCCTGGGTTGAACTATGCCGACCCTGAATTGCCTCTTGAAGGCAGAAGGAGCTTAGGAGGCACCTGAGTCCCCAAAGGAGACATCGTGGAGTCAGAGCCCTGTACCCAGCTAAGGCCAGCATCCAGCTGCCCTGTGACTTGGGAATGTTTGATGAGTCAGAGGAAAATGCCTAGAGTGACCCAGCATGCTCACTTTCCCTCTATCTTACCCGCTCAGAGTTTCATGGGCCCAGCCTGTTGCTGGTAATTCCTTCTTTTCTCTGAGCAGTACTTCTCTTCTCTTTTTTTTTTTTTTTTTTTTTTTTTTTTAGATGGAGGCTTGCTCTGTCGCCCAGGCTGGAGTGCAGTGGCACGATCTCAGCTCACTGCAACCTCCGCCTCCTGGGTTCAAGCGATTATCCTGCCTCAGCCTCCCCAGTAGTTGGCATTACAGGCACCCGCCACTACACCCAGCTAATTTTTTGTATTTTTAGTAGACATAGGGTTTCACCATGTTGGGCAGGCTGGTCTCGAACTCCTGACCTCGTGATCCACCCTCCTCGGCCTCCCAAAGTATTGGGATTACAGGAGTGAGCCACCGCGCCCAGCCATTTTCCTTTGCTTATACCAGTTGTTTCCCACTTACCCTTCCCCAGTCAGAGAAAGTTGTGATATATGGGGGGAGGCAGAAGACAAACAGAACCGTGTGAACCTTTTTATCATGTAATCAGAGACACCTCACACTGTTTTGTTGCATCTCTGTGTGTGAGTCAGTTCCCAGGCCTGGCCAGCTTTTCGTGCCATTTGGCAACATCTCTGGGGACTGTTTTTCTTTCTGTCTCTGTGGAACTTTCTGAGACAAGAATGTATCTATCCTGCTCGGCCTTCTACCTGGCTTAGGGCTCAGTCCTGCTAAGTAAGGTGTGCCTTCAGCCTGCTGTTTTAGAAAGTGCTTCAGCCTGCTGTCTGAAAAAGTTGTATCTATAACAATTGAAGTGTTAAGTCCAGTGTCCAAAATTTGATAATTAGGCTGGGCATGGTGGCTCACGCCTGTAATCCCAGCACTTTGGGAGGCTGAGGTGGGTGGATCACTTGAGGTCAGGAGTTTGAAACCCGCCTGACCAACATGGTAAAACCTCGTCTCTACTAAACACAAAAAATTAGCCAGGCGTGGTGGCGCATGCCTGTAATCCCAGCTACTTGGAAGGCTGAGACAGGAGAATCGCTTGAACGCAGGAGGTGGAGGTTGCAGTGAGCTGAGATCACGCTATGTTGCACTGCAGCCTGGGCAACAAGAGTGAAACTCCGTCTCAAAAAAATAAAAAATTATAATTAAAATAGTGAACGTTACTCTTCAAGTCGTGAACTCCTTTGACAATGATGAAAGCTGTGGACTCTCCTCCCAGAAAAATGCACATATGACATACGTGATCATCTCAAGGGCTTCATGGACTTTCCTGCAAACCCCGCTTAAGAACCCAGGTTTAAAAGAACCCCGAAGGACGTCCTATTGTGATCTGTACAGTCATCTCTTAGACATGTTTATATTTTAGGCTTGAAAAACAAACCAGCAAAAACAGAACATCTATCACAAGGACTTAAAAGAAAATAGAAGAGTTGGCCGGGCGCAGTGGCTCACGCCTGTAATCCCTGCACTTTGGGAGGCCGAGGCAGGTGGATCACGAAGTCAGGAGATCGAGACCATCCTGGCTAACACGGTGAAACCCCGTCTCTACTAAAAATACAAAAAATTAGCCAGTCGTGGTGGCGGGCGCCTGTAGTCCCAGCTACTTGGGAGACTGAGGCAGGAGAATGGCATGAACCCAGGAGGCGGAGCTTGCAGTGAGCCGAGATCACGCCACTGCACGCCAGCCTGGGTGACAGAGTGAGACTCCGTCTCAAAAAAAAAAAAAAAAAATAAAGAAAATAGAAGAGTTAAGCCAGATTATCTAACTTGCTTGAGGGATGATGGCCTCTTCAGAGCCCTGTAGCTCTGCTACCATGTTGATCATTTGGGGGCTTTATAAGCGGGGTTTGGGAAATTTTACAGAACCCCCAACCTGCTCATTTCTTCCATGGCTATATTAATGGGTTTTTTTGTTGGTTTTTAGTTTTTTTGTAGAGATGAGGTCTCACCATGTTGCCCAGGCTGGTCTCAAACTCCTAGGCTCAAGCGATTCACCCGCCTCAGCCTCCCAAAGTGCTGGGATTACAGGTGTGGGCCACTGCGCCTGGCCCTATGAATGGCTTTATTTATTTATTTGTTTTTGAGACAGAGCTTCTCTCTTGTTGCCCAGGCTGGAGTTCAGTGGCGCCATCTCAGCTCACTGCAACCTCTGCCTCCTGGGTTCAAGCGATTCTCCCGCCTCAGCCTCCTGACTAGCTGGGATTACAGGTGCCCGCCACGGTGCCTGGCTAATTTTTTTGTATTTTTAGTAGAGATGGGGTTTCACCATGTTGGCCAGGCTGGTCTCAAACTCCTGACCAGGGGTCATCCGCTCGCCTCGGCCTCCCAAAGTGCTGGGATTACGGGCGTGAGCCACCGCGCCCAGCCCTATGAATAGTTTTAATGCCGCACTATTGAGAGGTTATGAGAGCTGACGTGCCGGGCAGCTGCTTGGGAGAAAGGCCCAGTGTCTGGGTGACGTCGCGTCTCCATACTGTCTCATTGAGGCTTTTCCTCTTTTCTCATCACAGCATCCTAATGTCCTATGATCACGTGGAACTCACATTCAATGACATGAAGAACGTGCCAGAAGCCTTCAAAGGGACCAAGAAAGGCACTGTCTACCTTACCCCTTACCGGGTGAGTTGCACAGCAGGGCAGTTGGTTGAGAGGCTTGTTGCTGTTGGAGGTGACGTGAGTCTTAGTCTCAGGTCTGCCTCAGCCTCATGAGTCAGGTGGCCTCTGAATCCTGGTGAGTGTTAGTGCTTCACTCTGCCTGTTTCTCTGTCACATGCTCCTGGATTCCAGAATCACCAGGCTCTTTGTGTAACTGACCTGACCACTGGGCAGTGAACCCATGTCAATTCCAGAGCCGCTGCTGCAAAATCTCTATAGAGTTGGATGCAGCCGCTGGCATGACTTGGGCCTGGAGGCCAGACTATTATTATTAATATTTTGTTTTCTGTGAGAGTAGCCCATGAAGCCCTGTGTGTATCCAGAGTGAGAAATCCAGTAAACAGGGTACAGTTGCATGGCACGGCCTCCGGACTGGGCAGAGAGCCCGGTACCACCCCGCAGAATGACAAATGCCAGGCTGCAGAATGGGCCCTGCCTGAGAGTTACCCACGTGGACTCTGAGAGGTTGAGAAATACAAATGGATGTTCTTGGAAAAGGATTGCTGCCTGTGGCTACTCAAGATTTAGACTCAAAGACAGGCTGGTGCGGAGGCTCATGCCTGTAATCCCAGCACTCTGGGAGGCCAAGGTAGGCAGGCCACTTGAACTCAGGAGTTCGAGACCAGCCTGGGCAACATGGCAAAACCCCATCTCTACAAAAAATACAAAAATTAGCTGGGTGTGGTGGCACATGCCTCTAGTCTCAGCTACCCGAGAGGTAAGGTGGAGAATAACTGGAGCCTGGAGAGGTTGAGGCTGCAGTGAGCTGGGATCATGCCACTGGATTCTAGCCTGGGCAACAGAGTGAGACCCTGCCTAAAAAAAAAAGACTTAGACTCAAAGACAGCTGGAAGAAGAGGAGCACATTTTCAAGTTTTAATCTCCATGACTTCACAAAGACAGGAGAGTCTCAAAACCCCATCTCTGGAGGCTCAACTTGGCACCTTCAGTCACAGATAAAAGTCGTGGGTTTAAAACCCTGGCTGGGGCCGGGTGCGGTGGCTCATGCCTGTAATCCCAGCACTTTGGGAGGCCGAGGCGGGCGGATCATGAGGTCAGGAGATCGAGACCATCCTGGCTAACACGGTGAAACCCCATCTCTCCTAAAACTACAAAAAATTAGCCGGGCATGGTGGCGGGCACCTGTAGTCCCAGCTACTCAGGAGGCTGAGGCAGGAGAATGGCGTGAACCCGGGAGGCGGAGCTTGCAGCGAGCCAAGATCGCGCCACTGCACTCCAGCCCAGGCAACAGAGTAAGACTCCATCTCAAAAAAAAAAAAAGAAAAGAAAAGAAAAAATAAAACCCAAGGGTTTCTCCAGGCACAGGCTCCAGGAGAGCTCTTGTTGCTGTTTATAGCCCCCCTCAATGGGAGCTAGCGACCTACTGCACCATCATTCTCAGTTCTGGAGAGTTCAGGCTGGAGACCCCCCTCTTTCAGGAACCCATCCCTGCCTTGCCTCTGCCTGTCCTTCCCTAGCTTCGTAGGCCCCTTCACTTAGGCAACACTGCCACCACCCCACCACGTCAGTGACAAAGCAGTCTGCCCTGCTCATAGATACTATCTGTGACCAGCACGTTTTTCTCCCGTGTGCGTGAGCTTGGCCTCTCCAGGCTGCGGTGAGCCCTTTCCCTTTCCAAAGCTCTCTCCAGGAGTGTCTGGCACAGAGAGAGCCATGGGGCTGCTGGACCCTGGCACTGGGAGAGGATTCGTCACTCCCAGGAAGCAGGCGGGAAGCATGGCAGCGTGGGCTGTGCTTCTAGTACTGATGGCCTCACCCTCTCTCCCTGCAGGTCATCTTTCTGTCCAAGGGCAAGGATGCCATGCAGTCCTTCATGATGCCATTTTATCTCATGAAAGACTGTGAGATCAAGCAGCCCGTATTTGGTGCAAACTACATCAAGGGAACAGTGAAGGCGGAAGCGGGAGGTAGGTGATGGGAACTCAGGGACACGCATGGGGCCTGCAGGGAGGTGTCCTGGGAACCTCTGACTGCCGCCGTGGGGGCGTCCCCTTCAGACCCTTATCGCCCTAGCCATGACCTCTTCCCAGCTCTGGGCTGCCAGCTGGTGGGGTTTGATTGCCAAGAGGTGGGGAAAATGCTGGCATGAAAGACAGCAGCTCAGATCAGCTTTTCAGAGCGTGAAGTCTGCAGAAGCCTGCGGACTGAGTCAAGATGCTTAGTGCAACTTGGCGAGCGCATACAAATTTTAGACTCAGGAAGGAGCTGCATCAGGTTCTTGAGAGGGGCCTTTTCATGAGAGCCAGGAAGAGGCAGCTGCCTCTGGGAAGCCAGAGTCACCCTGCTTTGGGGCTGGCTTTTTGGCAGGCCCCAGAGACCTCTGCATTGAACTTGCCTTCCCCTTGACACCCAGCCAGGCCCGCCCTTGCTATTGAGACACTCTTGGTCCCCCTTTGGGCAGAAGCCAGGCTAGAGGGGCCGGAGTCTGTCCTTGGGCCCCCTTAGGACGAGAGGTCTGCTCTGAATTTTAAGGTCGGCTGTTGCTGAGTGGGCTTGTTCCTGTGAAGCTGCCGAGTGCTTGACTGGGGGCGGAGAGAAACCTTGATGTGGCCTTGGCACCCGTGTACATATTGGGCCAAGGGTGGGAGGACAGGCTTGTTCCAGGAAGGAGAGGCCATTGTTCCAAAGGGGGAAGCGAGTACAGCAGGGCCAGGCCAGGCTGCAGTGCTGGCTCCTATGCAGGCAGCAGGCTGGAAACCATGGCACCAGGAAGTCCCCATCACAGTGCAGGCCCAGCCCCCGCAGGCCTCCCGGGCGTTGGATGAAGTCCTGGAGAGGAAAACAGCCATCTCTTTGGGCATAAGTTTTCTTTTCCTGTGCTGTTTATTCACTGTCCTTCCCCTTTCAGGTGGCTGGGAAGGCTCTGCTTCCTACAAGTTGACTTTCACGGCAGGGGGCGCCATTGAGTTCGGACAGCGGATGCTCCAGGTGGCATCTCAAGGTATCCAGGCTCCGAAGATTAGGGGCTAAAGACACACTAAACATGTAGGGGTTTGGTATGAGTTTGCTTCCTTTTCGTTTTGCTTTTTCAAGAACTCAAGAGGTAAGTGTTTGGGCACCAGGCTGACCAGGCCTAGGAGTTGGGAAGGAAAGCTGTCATTGGCATCAGCTCTGTCCTGTACCTCAGAGACTGCGTTTCCCTGCCTGGGGCAGGTGGATGACGTTTTGACAAAGCTGTTTGGACTCAAGGACACTTTACTATGGCCTCATAAAACAAACACTAAACCAACCATTCGACTGCGGTTCCGCAGCCATTGAAAATGACCGAGGGATGGGCCAGCAGACATCCTCCGCCAGCTCACTCCTACCCCAGCCCTGAGCCTCCCTCCCGGCCTCTGTCCACCCTCCAGCCTTGCCCTTGACCTCCCTTGCCTTCCCCTGGCTCTGACCTCTCCCGTCCTCTCTCATCCCTGACCAAGGTGGCCCCCCGAGTATGGGTGGAGGGTGGAGTGGGATGGACAGAGGATGTCTGCGGGGCACATTCCTGAGACCCAGTAGCTCCCATCTGCAGGCAGCGGGGCTGCCCTCTCCCCGCCCCAAGGCAGGCCACGCTCATTTCTCTTTCCCCTTGTACTCGTAGCCTCCAGAGGTGAAGTCCCCAGTGGAGCCTATGGCTACTCTTACATGCCCAGCGGGGCCTATGTCTATCCCCCGCCAGTCGCCAATGGAATGTACCCCTGCCCTCCTGGCTACCCCTATCCACCGCCCCCACCTGGTGAGTGTGTCCTTTGCTGCCCCCACTCCCCTCATGAGCCCACCTACCCAGGCTCCCCCCAGGCCAGGGAGACTTTATTCCTTGAGCTGCTTCAGGACCAACGAAGGAGCTGGAGAGGCCCCCCTCACCCGGGAGGGGGCCGCAGCCGGGTGCTCACCATGTCCTTGTTACTCTCTCACCGAGCAGAGTTCTATCCAGGACCCCCCATGATGGACGGGGCCATGGGATACGTGCAGCCCCCACCACCGCCCTACCCTGGGCCCATGGAACCTCCGGTCAGCGGCCCCGATGTCCCCTCCACTCCTGCAGGTGAGGGCCCTTGGGTGCTGGCAGCCCTTCGGGACCAGCCCTCTCCTCCCCGATGTCGCACAGAGAGCCTCAGAATGGCCAGAGACTGCTGAGAGCCGCAGATGATGGATGACCCCTGGACTACCCCAGGGGCCCAGCAGGGCTGTGGCCTGGTGGAGCGGAGCTAGATTCTGGCCCCACCCCCATCCCTTAGCTATCCATGTGCCCTGGGCGGGGAAGGTCACCCTGTGTGCCTCTCGATCCTCTCATCTACACTCAGCTGGTCGGTCACAGTGGCACCTGGGGCATTGGCTCAAGGATTAGATGAGGTGAGACATGCGATGGGCCTGGAAAGGACCGTGCCAGCGCGTGGCATGTGCTCAGGAAACCTCACCTGCTGCTCTCATTGGTGGAACTGGACCCCCAGCACCAGCTGCCCCGAGCCATGGGGGCCCGGGGTCTCTTAGCTGAGCTCAGGGGGAGGAGAACTTGTCACCGACACCAGGTGTGTTTGCTCTCACAGCCGAAGCCAAGGCCGCAGAAGCAGCCGCCAGCGCCTATTACAACCCAGGCAATCCTCACAACGTCTACATGCCCACGGTGAGAGGGCTTGGCAGTGCCGGTGCAGCCCCACAGCCGCAGATGCTGGGAGCCGCAGGGGGATGACCGCACCATGTTTTAAACCTTCTAATGCAAGTCTCTCCTTTCTCCCTTCTTTAGAGCCAGCCGCCGCCACCTCCCTACTACCCACCGGAAGATAAGAAGACCCAGTAGGCCCTCCTGCCTCCCTGCCTCCCACCCTCATCTCTCTACCCTACCCCTCCCATCGGGGCTGTGCTGGGGCTTGGGGAGGGGAGGGGGCGCCTTGTTCTCCCTCCAGGTCTGATCATAAACAATTACCAGGAACTAGCATTGTGGGACATTAGGGCCCCCGGCCTCGGGAGAGGTGCCGCCCAGCTTCCCATGCCAGCCCGGAGCCCACAGTGCTGCCCAGCGTACCTCCCTCACCGTCTGGGGCTCTTCTGGGAGCACGGAGCATCCCCTGTTCCTGTTTCACTCTCAGCTTCTCCCCTCGAAGGGACTCTCTGGCCACCTCCTCCACCGCAGTCCAGCTCCCTCAGTCTGGCACCCACTGCTACACTCAGCCTCATGAGCCACTTCAGACCAGCCAGGTGTCTTCCCGGGCCCTGCCAGACCCTGCTCACATTCCCTCTGCTGGTCTGTGCTGGTCTCAGAAGGCCACCGCGCCCGCATTCCACTCAGCCAGGGTCCAGCTGCAGCCCCCGCCACCCTTCCTTCCCTTCCCTGTCCTGGGTCATGTTGTTGCCACCCTGTGTGACTTTTGAAGCTGTAAAATGAGCTTCCAGGGCTTGGGTGGCGTCGGGGCAGGGCCGCCGAGGCTGGGAGGAAGCCCTTCTGCCTTTTGCTGGTGTTTCTGGAATTTGCTTTCCCTCACCTCTCACTTCCTTCTAGAAGGAGCTTCCTGACTGGAACCAGAGAATGCATGTCTGTCCACTTGGTGGCTGCTGGGTGGGGCCGGGAACAAGGGCCCCTGACCCTGTGTGCTGGCCGGGACCTGCCACCAGCCCCCCAGCCTGCTTCTTCCCCTTAAGCTTTGTGCCCCTGGATGCGCTAACATTCACTCTTGTTTGTCCCTGGACTGGCCATGAAGTGAGGAGATGGTTATTTAAAGAGAATTCCCTATTTATTTGACAAAAAATCCAGTTAATATATTAATGTGAAATAAACCCTGTTTGCACCTCGATTTGTTTGCTGAAAATGTGAAATAGTAAAAATGAAATAACTGGACCCTTTCTGGCTCTGCGTGTGGTGACCCGGGGGTCTCTTCCGGAAGGAGAGCCGTCTGGCCGCTGAGGGCCCTGGAGACTTCTGGGACGGTTCCCTCCCATGGGAGGATCCCCATTCTCACGGCCCAGCCAGCCTGTCTGGTCCCCAAGACAGCTCTGGCCTCTGGAGCTGGTTCTTAACGGTTGTCGCTCAGCAGCTGTGTCCCTCCCCCACTGAGTCCCCAGGGCCTGGCTGGGACAGAGGTGGATGTGGCCCAGAGTTGGCCTTGAAGGGAGGAGTTGGGGCTGCCACCTTGTCCCCTGCTGGCTCCTCGAGGAATGGCAGCCCTGGCCTAAGTCCTGGTTGCTGGAGGGAGGAGGCCGAGTCAGCCCTGGAGCACGTCAGGACCTGTGACAGGGACACTGAGGTAGCCAAGCCGGCTTGCCACCACCCACGTCACGTGCCCTGCTGTGAACTTGAAGGGACAGGAGGGTGGGAAATGGCCAAAGGCCGTGACCAGGCCCACACGCCCGCAAGTCCCCCAGCCCAGCACTGGGCACAGGGTGGGCAGGCCACAGAGCTCTAGGAAAGCCCCATGCTGAGGCGCATTTTCCTGTCCCCCGGGAGCCAAGTCTGTCCTCAGGAGAGATCGGGCAGCAGCCCCTCTGCCTCCTCCTCCTGGCCAGCCTGGCCCAGAGCTCTCTGGGACTTGGCTAAGCCCCCTTCAAGGGTGTCTGAAGGGAGCACTGTCCTGACTGCCAAGGTGGGGGCAGGGGCACAGGGCTGTCCCTGCCCAGCACAGCTTGGCCCCGTCATCTCCAAGGAATGTCACCTGTGGGGCCAGGCAGGCTGAGCAACTGGCTGTCCTCCAGGGAGACGCCTCTTGGGAGCCCCCACCCTGGGCGCCACCACACCCCACCCCACCCCGCCCCGCCCCACGTCTGGACGCACTCGAGGAAGTGGGGTGAGAACCCCCCCGGGCCCAGGTCAGCTTCTCTCAGGGTTCAGCCCAGCCTGGGCACAGCACATGGATGGGGCAGGATGCTGCCCGCCTGTTCTGGGCCCCCCCGCCCCCTGCTGAGAGCGTTGTCCCCTTCCCAGGGCCTCTGTAGGAGGGTGGGGCGGGGCCAGGCCTGCCCACGGGGTCCACCTTCTGCTCCAGCCAGAGGAGGGTCCTGTAGGGATCCCAGCTGGGGAAGGTGCAGGGGGCCTGGGAGACTGCCTCTCCGAAGCGGTGAAACCCTCACCCTTCCGTCCCTCCCAGCCACCCTCCCTAAAACTTCCCCTGACAGAGGGTGGCAGCCCCAGGCTCTTTGCATAATCCTGTGGCTTCGCTGTCTTCACCCAGCACCAGCGGACAGGGAAGGGCAGAGAAGGCCACCATGGCGACACTCCTCTCCCATCCGCAGCAGCGCCCTCCCTTCTTGCGCCAGGCCATCAAGATAAGGCGCCGCAGAGTCAGAGATCTACAGGATCCCCCGCCCCAAATGGCCCCGGAGGTAGGAGTGACCTCACTGGGGAGAGAGCTGGCCTTGGGGAGCACTGTGGTCTCGGGTACGGGTGCCCTGCTGTCTGGCCCCACCTCTCGAAGGCTGGGACTGGGGACCAGCGACCCTCCCCTGCCTACTCCACCCTGGGGAGAGCCCCCTGGGCCAGCAGAGCAGGGGCTGCCAGATGGACTCTGGGCCACTGTGGGCCTCAGGCCCTGTGGTCTGAGGCTCTCAGAACCCCTCCCTCCCGGTTGGCCTGACCCCATCCCCTACTCCTCCAGCTTCAGAAGAGCCGACTCCATTAGGTGGGGGTGTCCCTGCTGTGGGGTGAGCTGTTCGGGGAGCAGCAGACCCCCAGGCCGACGTGGCACCCCCCTCACCTCCGCTGCCGAGCCTCACTTCCGCTGCTGGGTGAGGAGCAGCCGCCACTGATAAGCAGAGCTGTTTCCTCTGGGGAAGGGAGGGAGGTGGGGTGCGGGTGCGGAGGGCTCGCGCTGCTGGGCACCCATGGACCTCAGCCACGGCGGGCCCAGGGACGGACCTCCAGGAGGCCTGCTGGGGGAACAGGTGCGGGGCATCACTGGGGCTGGAGGCCGGGGTGCTGGGGCCCCCATACCCTTGGCCTGGATCAGGCCTCAGAGGAGCCATTCCTGTCCATCTGAGCCTGCTCTGGGCCTCCCGGGACACTGCCTTTCCACCTTGCTCTGCAGATCCAGCCTCCATCCCACCACTTCTCCCCCGAGCAGGTAAGAGTCAGAGTGCTGGGGTGCAGAGAGGTGGGGAGGGCGGCTGTGTGTCCTCCTGCCGGCCGACGCTGATGGCAGCAAGCAACTTGCGGTGGGGAGGGGACTCCTGGGTCTCAACTCCCTCCGCTGCACAAGCCGCCCTTGTCCTGCCCATGGCGAGAGGTGTTGGTGCCAGGGGTGGCTGGTGGGGTCCCCAAGGTGACCCCGTGTGTCTTAGCGGGCCCTGCTCTACGAGGACGCACTCTACACTGTCTTGCACCGCCTGGGTCATCCTGAGCCCAACCATGTGACGGAGGCCTCTGAGCTGCTGCGATACCTGCAGGAGGTGAGCCCGGCTCCCACCCCACCCCCCTTCCTGCAGCTGCCCTGTCTGGTGCCCCCAGCCACCCACCCGCCTGCCTCCCCACCAGGCCTTCCACGTGGAGCCCGAGGAGCACCAGCAGACACTGCAGCGGGTCAGGGAGCTTGAGGTAACCTGGGGCCAGGGTCCCCCTGGGCAAGGAGGGGCCTGGGAAGCCCAGCCCCCTCAGGGACTCAGGCCATCCCTCCTGTCCCTCCAGAAGCCAATATTTTGTCTGAAGGCAACAGTGAAACAGGCCAAGGGCATTCTGGGCAAAGATGTCAGTGGTGAGCATGGGGTGGGGTCCCCAAGGGGCTTCTTCCTGGCTCCTTCCTCTCCCATCACAGCCTGGCCCAGGACTCTTGGCGGGAGCACCCACTTCCAAGAAGCCCTGTAGCGCTGGCCCCCCATGCTGCTGGTCCCCTTCCCTCTCCCCCGGAGGAGGCTCAGCCCCGGGCGGGGGTGATGAGGGCCTCTCCCAGGGACCCAGCCGACTCCCTGGCTGCCTCGTCTTCCCCACTCCTCCACAGGGTTCAGCGACCCCTACTGCCTGCTGGGCATTGAGCAGGGGGTAGGTGTGCCAGGGGGCAGCCCCGGGTCCCGGCATCGGCAGAAGGCTGTGGTGAGGCACACCATCCCCGAGGAGGAGACCCACCGCACGCAGGTCATCACCCAGACACTCAACCCCGTCTGGGACGAGACCTTCATCCTGTACGTGGCCGTGCTCCAGCCCCCACTCTATCCAGGTCTTTCCTGGGTAGCAGGGTCTGCCCCAGACAATGAGATGAGTAGGTCGTCCTGGCTCAGGGGAGGGGGTTTGGCCCTGGGCAAAGACTAGAGGAGAAGCCCATCTCCAGGCACGTTAGGTGGACAGTAGGTCAGATGGGACAGAACAAGATCAATGCCACACGTGCTGATGGGGCAAGGAGGGTCAGGCCCTTGTGGGTGAGTCTGGGGGTGCCTGAAGCTGTACCTGAAAGGAGGCAGGGATGGGTGCAGTGGTTCCCACCTGTAATCCCAGCACTTTGGGAGGCCAGGAGACTGAGACCAGCCTGGCCAACATGGCAAAACCCCATCTCTACTAAAAATACAAAAAAGGCCGGGCGTGGTGGCTCACGCCTATAATCCCAGCATTTTGGGAGGCTGAGGAGGGCAGATCATGAGGTCAGGAGATTGAGACCATCCTGGCTAACACGGTGAAACCCCGTCTCTACTAAAATACAAAAAATTAGCCGGGCGTGGTGGCAGGCGCCTGTAGTCCCAGCTACTCGGAAGGCTGAGGCAGGGGAATCGCTTGAACCTGGGAGGCGGAGGTTGCAGTGAGCCGAGATAGCACCACTGCACTCCAGCCTGGTGACAGAGCGACACTCTGTCTCAAAAAAAAAAAAAAAAATTAGTGGGGGCCAGGCGCAGGGACTCATGCCTGTAATCCCAGCACTTTTGGGAGGCCGAGGCAGGTGGATCACCTGAGGTCAGGAGTTTGAGACCAGCCTGGCCAACACAATGAAGGCCCACCTCTCCTAAAAGTACAAAAATTAGCCGGGCGTGGAGGTGCATGCCTGTAATCCCAGCTACTTAAGAGGCTGAGGCAGGAGAATCACTTGAACCCGGGAGGCGGAGGTTGCAGTGAGCCGAGATCACGCCACTGCACTCCAGCCTGGGTGACAGAGTGAGACTCTGTCTCAAAAAAAAAAAAAAAAAGGCTGGGCGCGGTGGCTCACGCTTGTAATCCCAGCACTTTGGGAGGCCTAGGCGGGCGGATCACGAGGTCAGAAGCTCAAGACCAGTGTGGCCAACACAGTGAAACCCCGTCTCTACTAAAAATACAAAAATTAGCCAGGTGTGGTGGCGGGCACCTGTAATCCCAGCTACTTGGAAGGCTGAGGCAGGAAAATTGCTTGAACCCAGGAGGCAGAGGTTGCAGTGAGTTAGATCCTGCCACTGCACTCCTCCAGCCTGGGGGACAGAACTAGACTCCATCTCAAAAAAAAAAAAAAAAAAAAAAAAAGGGATGCGGCTGGGAGGAGGGAAGTTTGGCAGGGATAGGCTACAACTCCATGGCTCTGGGCTGTGGTCACTTACTGCTTCGTCTGGGGGCATCCACCCTCCAGGGCCCTCAACCACGCCCTTTTCTCCATACAGGGAGTTTGAGGACATCACCAATGCGAGCTTTCATCTGGACATGTGGTGAGTGACCTGGCCTGCCCCTAGGGATGGGAAGGGAAGGGATCTGGGGTGAGAGAGGCGGAACCTCCTCCTGGAAGAGGTCGTAGGCACTCTCTCTGCTTCCTTCTCAAACCTCTGTCCTGCCAGGGACCTGGACACTGTGGAGTCTGTCCGACAGAAGCTTGGGGAGCTCACGGATCTGCATGGGCTTCGCAGGTTCGTGTTGCAGGGCTCACAGGGAAGGGGTTGGGGCTCCTTTTGCCCTCCATCCCCCAACATGCACACTGGATGCTGGGGTGCAGGCTCCTTTGGGGTCCAGGTGGCTGCGGCCGGGGGTGGATTCCAGCCTAATCCCTTCCGACCCTTGCTGCGTCCCCCTTATGGGACCCTGCCTGACGCAGGATCTTTAAAGAGGCCCGGAAGGACAAAGGCCAGGACGACTTTCTGGGGAACGTGGTTCTGAGGCTGCAGGTGAGGAGGATGAGGAAAGGGGCCCAGGAGCGAGGCAGAGGGAGGGGGTTGGGAGGGGTTCTGGGGAGAGGCTCTGTGTCCTCACAAAGCTGAGCCTGGGGTCCACCTCCTGTCGCCTCCGCTGCCCCGACTCTATGAGGTTCTGACGCTCACGGGCTGGGCATCCCCGCCTGTCAGGACCTGCGCTGCCGAGAGGACCAGTGGTACCCCCTGGAACCCCGCACTGAGACCTACCCAGACCGAGGCCAGTGCCACCTCCAGTTCCAACTCATCCATAAGCGGGTAGGTCGGGTACTGGGCCAGTGGCCATGCCCAGCTCTTGCGGCGGTCTGCTGGGTTGCGGGGCTGGCTGCACCCAGTGTGAGGCCCTGTCTGCTCACAGAGGCCTCATTGCAGAGAGCCACTTCGGCCAGCCGCTCGCAGCCGAGCTACACCGTGCACCTCCACCTCCTGCAGCAGCTTGTGTCCCACGAGGTCACCCAGCACGAGGTATTGCCCTCCTGGGGCTGGGCGCAGCCGGGGCTGCCCTTCAGGTCCTGACACTCCTCCACCTGCTCCCCTCAGGCGGGAAGCACCTCCTGGGACGGGTCGCTGAGTCCCCAGGCTGCCACCGTCCTCTTTCTGCACGCCACACAGAAGGACCTATCCGACTTCCACCAGTCCATGGCGTGAGTACACAGCCCTGGGCAGAACCCCTGAGCCACCAGCCCCCCACGCCCCCTGCCCTCCTCCAAGCCGGTAGCCCAAAGTGTAATTCTCAGCAGAGTTCCCTTTGGCCCAAAATGTGTGTTTTAAGTTTTGAATCAGTTGCCAATTTTAAAAAGTCTAGAGATTCGGCTGATGCGGTGGCTCACTCCTGTAATCCCAGGACTTTGGGAGGCTGAGGCAGGAGGATCACTTGAGCCCAGGATTTCAAGGCTGCAGTGAGCTATGATCACACCAACACTCCTGCCCGGATCACAGAGTGAGACCTCATTTCCAAAAAATATTAGAAAAAGCTATCTGGAGATTTGACATACCATCCAGATCTCCAGCTTCTCATGAAACACAAGTGCTGGAACTGCAGGGTCATCATTTTGCTGCTTTTTTTTTTTTTTTTTGAAACGGAGTTTCACCCTTGTTGCCCAGGCTGGAGTGGAATGGTGCAATCTTGACTCACTGCATGCAACCTCTGCCTTCCAGGTTCAAGTGATTCTCCTGCCTCAGCCTCCCGAGTAGCTGGGATTACAGGCATGCGCCACCACGCCCAGCTAACTTTGTATTTTTAGTAGAGACGGGGTTTCTCCATGTTGGTCAAGCTGGTCTCCAACTCCCGACCTCAGGTGATCTGCCTGCCTTGGCCTCTCAAAGTGCTGAGATTATAGGCATGAGCCACTGCACCGAGCCATTTTGCTGCTTTTTTTTTTTGAGACAGAGTCTTGCTCTTTCGCCCAGGCCGGAGTGCAGTGGCACGATCTTGGCTCACTGCAGGCTCCGCCTCCTGGGTTCACGCCATTCTCCTGCCTCAGCCTCCCGAGTAGCTGGGACTACAGGCGCCAGCCACCGCGCCCGGCTAATTTTTTGTATTTTTAGTAGAGATGGGGTTTCACCGTGTTAGCCAGGATGGTCTCGATCTCCTGACCTCATGATCCGCCCGCCTTGGCCTCCCAAAGTGCTGGGATTATAGGCGCGTGCCACCGCGCCCAGCCTTTGCTGCTTTTTTGAGTGGACAGAGCGGAGCGATGTGTGTGCCTCTGCCCATCATGGCTGCCATTGGGCCCACTTCAGTTGCTTTCGTCTCCTGAGTCCTGGGCATTTGAATTTGGACCCGGTCCCTAACCCCAGCCCCGCTTCCCAATGCCATAGCCTTCAACTCAGCAAAACTACGCGCTGATAAGGACAAATCTATGTTGAGGGCAACTCACGTCAAGTCCTAGGAATGCCGGGGAGGGCACAGGGGGTCACAGCCATTCCAGTGCATGTGAGTAGGGCAGAGATGGGACATAGCCGGCCGGGCACGGTGGCTCGCGCCTGGAATCCCAGCACTTTGGGAGGCCGAGACAGGCAGATCACTTGAAGTCAGGAGTTTGAGACCAGCCTGGCCAACATGGTGAAATCCTGTCTCTACAAAATATAGAAAAATTAGTCAGGTGTGGGGGCGCATGTCTGTAATCCCAGCTACTCGGGAGGGTGAGGCACGAGAATCACTTGAACCCGGGAGGTGGAGGTTGCAGTGACCTGAGATCACACCACTGCACTCCAGCCTGGGCGACACAGCGAGGCTCTGTCTCAAAAAAAAAAAAAAAGAGATGGGACACAGCCAAGTGCTGGCCAGGGGAGGAACAGGAGCAGGATGCCGACTCAGGCCTGGGCTGTGACTTGGAGTCTGAGTGGGAGGCGGAGGGAGCCCAGGGGAGTGCATTTCTGGGCTGGGGTCAGCTTGTGTACTGCTAGGACCTCAGGCAGGTGGGTGATTCGGAGACAAGGGTGGAATGGTGGTGCGGCTGGAGACTGGAGCAGGCACCAGATGGGGAGGGACCTGGTTTGCCTGCAGGGCCCAAGCACAGTAATGCAGGTGGCTGCAGTGTCCAATAGGGACTTCGGCCTGTCCCCAGGCTGCTCCTCTCCCCCATCCTCTGCCCTCCCACGGGACCTCGTTTGTGTGATATCCCCCCAAACCATCTGAAAGGAAGTTCTCACTGATGCTTGCCACATGTGCACGAAGGCTCAGGTTCATAGATCCTATTTTTCTTTTCTTTTCTTTTTTTTTTTTGAGCTGGAGTTTCCCTCTTGTCGCCCAGGCTGGAGTGCCATGGCACAATCTCAGCTCACTGCAACTTCTGCCTCCCAGGTTCAAGTGATTCTCTTGTCTCAGCCTCCCAAGTAGCTGGGACTACAGGTGCCTGCCATCACACCTGGCTAAATTTTGTATTTTTGGTAGAGATGGGGTTTCACTATGTTGGCCAGGCTGGTCTCAAACTCCTGACCTCAGGTGATCCACCCGCCTCGGCCTCCAAAAGTCCTGGGATTACAGGTGTGAGCCACTGTGCCCAGCTAATCCAATTTTTCAAAAACAGCAAGAAATCCTGAAGTTTTAAAATCACAAAGATCTCAATCTGGGCAATTTGAAAAGCATCTATGGAAACAAAGAAAAAAAATCCTGGCTGGTCACAGTGACTCATGTCTGTAATCCCAGAACTTTGGGAGGCCGAGGCGGGTGGATCACTTGAGGTCAGGTGTTCGAGACCAGCCTGGCCAACATGGTGAAACCCCATCTCTACTAAAAATAAAAAATTTAGCTGGGCATGGTGGTACATGCCTGTAGTCCCAGCTACTTGGGAGGCTGAGGCTGGAGAATCGCTTGAACCCAGGAGGCGCAGGTTGCAGTGAGCCGAGATCACGCCACTGCACTCCAGCCTGGGTGACGGAGTGAGACTACATCTCAAAAAAAAAAACACAAAACAAAAACAATCCTGCATGTCCTGTTGAGCCACTAGTTTTCAGCCTGTACTGGTGGATGGGAGGCGATTCCCCCCACCTGAGGCCGGGTGAACAGGGGAAGGCAATTTCCTCCTCCCTGTCCAGCTGAGGGCTTCCTGTCCCCTGCAGGCAGTGGCTGGCCTACAGCCGCCTCTACCAGAGCCTGGAGTTCCCCAGCAGCTGCCTCCTGCACCCCATCACCAGCATCGAGTACCAGTGGATCCAGGGTCGGCTCAAGGCAGAACAGGTAGGCATGCAGTGGCAAGGGGCACTGAGCAGGCAGGGCTCAGGGAAGGGGCAGGGGAGCAGCAGCAGCTGTCTAGGCCCCTAAAGCATCTCCTGGCTCTTCAGCAGGAGGAGCTGGCCGCCTCATTCAGCTCCCTGCTGACCTACGGCCTCTCCCTCATCCGGAGGTTCCGCTCTGTCTTCCCCCTCTCTGTCTCGGACTCCCCAGCCCGGCTGCAGTCTCTTCTCAGGTCAGTGGCTGCCTTCCTCTTCCTCGGTGGGGTCAGGGATGAGGGAGCAGCTGGGGTGCCTGCAGGAGTGGGAGAATTGTTGGAGGAGTGAGTGCAGTGTGGGGCAGCAGGCACTTTCGACACAGCTCTTTCCATCTTGCAGGGTCCTGGTACAGATGTGCAAGATGAAGGCCTTTGGAGAACTGTGCCCCAACACCGCCCCATTGCCCCAGCTGGTGACTGAGGCCCTGCAGGTATGGTACTCGCGCTGGGGATGGGGGAGACCAGCGCCTGGGCCTGGCAGTCCCTCCCTGCTCACTGCCTCTTTGTCGACAGACTGGCACCACTGAATGGTTCCACCTGAAGCAGCAGCACCATCAACCCATGGTGCAGGTGAGGGGCTGGGCAAGGGGGAGGGCAGGGGGTCACGGGGGGTGGTGCCTGCCTCTGGCAGCCCTGCCCAGCCCACCTCTGTCTCTGCAGGGCATCCCGGAGGCAGGCAAGGCCTTGCTGGGCCTGGTACAGGATGTCATTGGCGACCTGCACCAGTGCCAGCGCACATGGGACAAGATCTTCCACAAGTGAGCAGATAGCCAGGTCGGGAGGTAGTGGGGCATTGCCTCAGAGCCGGAACCATGGGGACCCTGGTGTATGCCACTGGGTGACACCTGCTGCCTTTCCTCCAGTACCCTCAAGATCCACCTCTTCTCCATGGCTTTCCGGGAGCTGCAGTGGCTGGTGAGTCCCTCCCCCGTCTCTAGGGCATGCCCTCCAACAGAGCTGTGGGCCCCGCCCTCCACACCTTTCCTTTGCAGGTGGCCAAGCGGGTGCAGGACCACACGACGGTTGTGGGTGATGTAGTGTCCCCAGAGATGGGCGAGAGTCTGTTCCAGCTCTACATCAGCCTCAAGGAGCTCTGCCAGCTGCGCATGAGCTCCTCAGAGAGGTGGGCAGCAGGCCAATTGTGGGCGGCTGCAGGGGCACAGGGGAGGGGAGGGTGGACGAGGCCCCAGGGTCCATGGTGGCCCCAGCCTTCCCGACGCTGAGCCCCGGCAATCCCCAGGGATGGAGTCCTGGCCCTGGATAATTTCCACCGCTGGTTCCAGCCGGCCATCCCCTCCTGGCTGCAGAAGACGTACAACGAGGCCCTGGCGCGGGTGCAGCGCGCTGTGCAGATGGATGAGGTGGGGGCGTGGCCAGGGCAGGGGGCGGGGCCCCGGTTTGGGGGTGAGGCTTGGGTTCTGCCTGGACCTCCAAAGCGTAGTAAAAGCCAGTAACCCGCTCTGAACATCCCTTTTGGGTGCACTTGAGTCCAGTTTTGTGCAAAACGCTGCCTCTGGATATCCTTGGGGCTGTGGCTTCACTTTGCCTGAGATCCTGCAGCCTGGGGGTCTGGGCGGAGCCGTGCTTGTCTCTTGTGAAGCTCCCTGCCCAGCTCTGTGCCTGGTGATGGTAGCTGCTCTATGAATGAAGGAAGGAGGGAAGGGGGTGGATTTGGCAGTATCCTGAGTCCTCCTTTCTTCCCCCAGCTGGTGCCCCTGGGTGAACTGACCAAGCACAGCACATCAGCGGTGGATCTATCCACCTGCTTTGCCCAGATCAGCCACACTGCCCGGCAGCTGGACTGGCCAGACCCAGAGGAGGCCTTCATGATTACCGTCAAGTTTGTGGAGGTGCGGCATCTTCCACGTGTCCTTCCCCCTCTTTCTAGAACAGCCACACTACCACCCACCGTTTCTCCCGTGCTCTCACCCAGGCAGCCTCCCAAGGCCTGTATTCTAAATCCCCCAAGTCGCTGAAATTCCCATGCCCTCCCACCTGCCCTTCCTGGATGCCCCACCCATGGATCAGTTCCCTCTGTCCAACCCCACCCTAGGACACCTGTCGCCTGGCCCTGGTGTACTGCAGCCTTATAAAGGCCCGGGCCCGCGAGCTCTCTTCAGGCCAGAAGGACCAAGGCCAGGCAGCCAACATGGTAAGGCCAGAGCTGGGGCTGGGAGTCTAGCTGGGTGTGGGGACCAGCCTGGGCACAGTTCAGGAAGCTCTGCATCTCTGTCCCAGCTGTGTGTGGTGGTGAATGACATGGAGCAGCTGCGGCTGGTGATCGGCAAGTTGCCCGCCCAGCTGGCATGGGAGGCCCTGGAGCAGCGGGTAGGGGCCGTGCTGGAGCAGGGGCAGCTGCAGAACACGCTGCATGCCCAGCTGCAGAGCGCGCTGGCCGGGCTGGGCCATGAGATCCGCACTGGCGTCCGCACCCTGGCCGAGCAGGTACCTTGTCCGACCGCACAGTCACCCCATCCCATCCCGTCTTCAGCCTACCTGGCTCCAGCAGCACCTGGGCCAAGGTCCAACCCTGACCCCTTCGTGCGTCTAAACTCAGGCCCTAAGGAACTCTTCCATCCCCGACTCATGCCCTGACCTCCCTCCTTCTTCCGTTTTGTGTCTCCAGTTGGAGGTGGGCATCGCCAAGCACATCCAGAAACTGGTGGGCGTCAGGGAGTCTGTCCTGCCTGAGGATGTAAGTGGCCCTTCTGCCTGCTGGCCTTCACCACCCTGCCAGCTCTGTAGATCTGGGGTCATTGAAGGCCTTGGTGTCAAAGATAAGTCCCCCAGACCAGGCAAAGCATGTTCTCTCCCTGGGCCTCAGTTTCCTCCTGGGATGCTCACAGGAACGGGTTGGGTCACTCCACTGGCTGTCCCAGCACTGACAGTCAATGAGGGGGCTGCAGTTGGGGACGGCTTAGACTTTGCAGCCAAACAGGCCAGGGTGCACATCCTTCTCAGCTGCCTCCTAGCTTTGCCGTCCTGTTCACACAAGCCAGCTGACCTGTAAGTGGGGGCATATCATGATGCACACCTTCGACTGGCGGGTAGAAGGATATTCATTCATTCACCAACTATTTATTAGGTCCCCACTTTGTCCTATGCATTGATTTAAGCACTGGGGATAGGTCAGTGAACAATATGACAAAATACCTGCTTTCCTGGAGCCCACGTTCTAGTAGTGGAGGTGAAAAAAGAGCTACATAGTGAGTATCCATAACTATAGTGATAGTTATAGCTGTTAACTCTATGCACAGGCGTGTATGCGCGTGCACACACATGCAGTGTGCTAGATAATGATAAGTCTACAGAGAAAATTTAAAACAGAGAAGCGGCTGAGAAGTGTCAGAGGGTTGTATTTTTAGATGGTGGCCAGGGAAGGCCGTGACAACTGAGCGAAGACCTACGGGAAGCAAGGGGAGGAGGCATGAGAAGTTCTAGGGGAGGAGCATTCCAGGCAGAGGGAACGGCAAGGGCAGAGACCCTGAGGCAGGACCATGCCTGGAAGGTTCCAGGGCTGTAGAGGAGGCCAGTGTGGCTGGGACAGGCTGAGCAACGGAGAGGGGAAGGCAGAGAGGTGGGCAGGCCGGCCTCTTACAGACACTACAAACTGCTCTCACAGAACGGTTCCCAGCCCTGTTTCCTCCCTCCAGGTCAGGGGAAGGGGATGGGGGTGGGGCCAACATGGGCCGGAGCCACACCTGCTCCCCATCTCCCTCCCCAGGCCATTCTGCCCCTGATGAAGTTCCTGGAGGTGGAGCTTTGCTACATGAACACCAACTTGGTGCAGGAGAACTTCAGCAGGTCTGTAGCAGCCCCTGCCCTGGGCGCGCTCGCCACCTCCCCCTCTCCTCCCACGGCCCCTCCTTCCTGGGCCCCAGCATCCGTTCTGAGGGGTGTAGCAGCCCCTGCCCTGGGCGCGCTCGCCACCTCCCCCTCTCCTCCCACGGCCCCTCTTTCCTGGGCCTCAGCATCCGTTCTGAGGGGTGGAGGTGAATCCCTTTGGTGACCTCCCTTATGGGTGCAACAGGCTCTGCTAAGGCTCGCTGCAGGGACGGGGAGCTTGCCACTTCTCAGGCCTCCCCATTTCCTGCTGCCTAGCTCTGAGTGCTTTGAGTTCTTCCTTAGGCTGAGCCAAAATCTACCTGTCCTTTCTCCTTTAGTCCCAGGCCTGTCTTCAGGGCCTCCCTGCCTGCTCCTCTGCCCCCATTAGGTTACAGGTGGTCCCTGCCCACGGTGCAGGGAGAACTTCTAGCTAGGGTGTCTTATAGCAGGGACCCAGCATGCCAGGCAACAGGCGGTGGAGTCCAGCACATGGGCTCTGGACCACCTGGGTTCAGACTCCGGCTTCATCACTGCTTAGCAGCCTTGGGCAAGTTCCCGGTGCAGATGAGAGTAGTTCTGGCTTCTGTTGAGGATTAAATGGGTCATGTGAGGTGCTGAGCGTGGTGTCAGTACAAAGGAAGTGGTCAGTGACTATTAGCGGTAGTGACGATGATGATGACAGCGCCCCACCTCCCTGTGGAATCTGGGCCCTGAAGAGGCCGCAGCCCTCCTAGAGTTCTGTTCCACCCCCAGAGGTATAAGCCAGGGCCCCTCGGAGCCCGGCCGTTTTTATTTCTTAAACCATGTATATATATTTTTTATTTTTTTGAGACGGAGTCTCGCTCTGTCGCCCAGGCTGGAGTGCAGTGGCGCGATCTCAGCTCACTGCAACCTCCGCCTCCGGGTTCAAGTGATTCCCTGCCTCAGCCTGCTGAGTAACTGGGACTACAGGTGCATGCCATTATGCCTGGCTAATTGTTTTTTTGAGATGGAGTCTTGCTCTGTTGCCAGGCCAGAGTGCAGTGGTGCAATCTTGGCTCACTGCAACCTCCGCCTCCTGGGTTCAAGCGATTCTCCTGCCTCAGCCTCCCAAGTAGCTGGGACTACAGGCACGTGCCACAATGCCTGGCTAATTTTTGTATTTTTAGTAGAGACGGGGTTTCACCATGTTGGCCAGGATGGTCTCAATCTCTTGACCTCCTGATCCACCCACCTCGACCTCCCAAAGTGCTGGGATTACAGGCGTGAGCCACCACGCCCGGCCTGGTTCTGTCTTAAATCATGGTTGTCACTGGGGGCCTGGCCTCCTCCCTGTCTCCAGCCTTGTTTGTGCATTCCGTTAGTGTGCTGGGGAGGGTTCCTCACTGAGGTTGAGAGGTGTGTTGGATAGGACTGATCCCACCTGCCCCTTGCTGGTCCTGTACCCACCCTCTCCCCAGCCTCACCTGGGGTGGGAGGCGGAGGGGGAGGTTGGGGGTGGGAGGAGCTGGGGTGGGGCTGGGTCACTGAGGCCGCCCCTTTCTCAAGAGCGTCTTTGCTTCCTCCTCCGCCACCGCCCTGCCGTGCTGTGTCCGCATCCCTCCGGCCCCGCCCCAGCCTCCTGACCCTGCTCTGGACCCACACACTCACAGTGCTGGTGGAGGCGGCCGCCTCCCAGCGCAGCTCATCCCTGGCTTCCAACAGGCTGAAGATTGCCCTGCAGGTAACAGAACCGGTCACAGCAATGATAACCCTGGTGGGAGGGTGCCTGGGGTCACCTCTGATATCTCCCCCAGAACCTGGAGATCTGCTTCCACGCTGAGGGCTGTGGCCTGCCACCCAAGGCCCTGCACACTGCCACCTTCCAGGTAGGGGCTTTGGGTGAGCTTCCCCGTAGGAAGTCTGGGGAGCCTGCCTTTTGGCACTCACCTATGTCCAGGGTCGGCTACATAATTTATGGGGCCCAGTACAAAATGAAAAACTGGGCCCCTTATTCAAAAGTTATTACAAATTTTAGAACGGTGACGACAGAACCTGAAACCAAGCCTGGGTCCTCCTAAGCACAGGGGCCCTGTGTGCCCGCATGGGGGGTGGGGTCGGGGAAGCACGCCTGTGAAGCCAGCCCTGTCTGTGCCTCTCCTGCTGTCTGTCTGGCCTGAGGGTGGCCCCAGCCCGTTGTCCCATGACCCAATACTTTCCATTTCAAACGGACATGTTACCCTTGACAGTGAGCTCCTGGAGGGCAGGCCTGGGCTGTGGTTGGGCGTGCAGTCCAGGTGGATCCTCAGCTGTATGTGTTCCCAGGCTCTGCAGAGGGACCTGGAGCTGCAGGCGGCCTCCAGCCGGGAACTCATCCGGAAGTACTTCTGCAGCCGAATCCAGCAGCAGGTGAGGCCCCTCCCTCGCACTGCGCCCTCTGCAGGCCCTGGAGCACCCCGCTCCCGCTGTGACCCTGCTGACCCTGCCCCTGCTCCCCACCCCAGGCAGAAACCACCTCTGAGGAGCTGGGGGCTGTGACAGTCAAGGCCTCCTACCGCGCCTCTGAGCAGAAGCTGCGTGTGGAGCTGCTCAGCGCCTCCAGCCTGCTGCCCCTGGACTCCAATGGTGAGTGGAGGCTGCCTTTGGCCACTCTCCATGGTCCCGTCCTGGCCCTCCTGTCTCAGCGACCCTGGGGGCTTCGCTCACCCTGCAGGAGCTCTGGGTGCATTTCCTCCAGTTACCAGGAGGGGTCAGTGCCGCTGAGCAGAGCATAGCTGCTGGGGTGGGGTGCCTGGGAGACCCTCAGCTGACGCACACTCCCCGGCCACTTACCAGGCTCCAGCGACCCCTTTGTCCAGCTGACCTTGGAGCCCAGGCATGAGTTCCCTGAGCTGGCCGCCCGGGAGACCCAGAAGCACAAGAAGGACCTTCACCCATTGTTTGATGAGACCTTTGAATTGTGAGTGGGTCCCGTTCTTCTCCCAGTCCCTCCCCTCATCTCTCCCCACTGGGCTCCCTCAGGCCTGCTCCTCCTGGCTGGGGCCAAGGGGCTCCCCTGAGATGGCCACATTTGGGCCCAAGGGATGGGGCATCTGGGACAAGAGTTTGCAGCTGGATGTGGTGGCTCACACCTGTCATCACAGCACTTTGGGAGGCCGAGGCAGGCGGATCACTTGAGGTCAGGAGTTCAAGACCAGCCTGGCCAACAGTCTCTACTAAAAATACAAAATTAGCCGGGCATGATGGTGGGTACCTGTACTCTCAGCTACTCGGGAGGCTGAGGCAGGAGAATTGCTTAACCCAGGAGGCAGAGGCTGCTGAGATGGTGCCACTGCACTCCAGCCTGGGCGACAGAGTGAGACTCCATCTCAAAAAAAAAAAAAAAAAAAAAGAGGGCCAGGCGTGGTGGCTCATGCCTGTAATCTCAGCACTTTGGGAGGCCAAGGCGGGCGGATCACGAGGTCAGGAGATCAAGACCATCCTGGCTAACATGGTGAAACCCCGTCTCTACTAAAAACAAAAAATTAGCTGGGTGTGGTGGGACACGCCTGCAGTCCCAGCTACTCGGGAGGCTGAGGCAGGAGAACCACTTGAACCCGGGAGGCGGAGGTTGTAGTGAGCCAAGATGGCGCCACTGCACTCCAGCCTAGGTGACAGAGCAAGACTCCGTCTCAGAAAAAAAAGTTTGCTTCCCTTGGGGGAAGGGGTGGACTCCCAGGTGTTTAACTTAGGGACTTCCAGGGAAGGGTCCTGTCTCTGAGGTTCTCAGTAACCTGCTCCTAGTTCCTCAGCACAGGTGAACAGGGAACACAGGACCGCTGGTTTAAAGCATCAGCCCACGGTCAGAGCAGGCATTGCACCACATGGCTGAGAGGTGCCAGGCTGAGAGCTGGCTTTGCAGTCCAAACCCTGGCTGGTTCCCAACACCAAGTGGGTGAACCCATGTGCCGAGGCTGGGGTGGCTGTGCTGGGGCTGGCAGCAGAGCCCTGACTCTCCCCGCAGCCTGGTGCCTGCTGAGCCGTGCCGCAAGGCTGGGGCATGCCTCCTGCTCACCGTGCTGGACTACGACACGCTGGGGGCCGACGACCTGGAAGGCGAGGCCTTCCTGCCGCTGCGTGAGGTGCCCGGGCTGAGTGGCTCTGAGGAGCCTGGTGAGGTGCCTCAGACCCGCCTGCCCCTCACGTACCCCGCACCCAACGGTAGGCCTGAGCCCAGGGCAGGGTGGTGCGGGGACGGGAGCCTGTAAAGCTCAGGCAGGGGCCCCAGAGAGGTGATGCCAGGGTCGGAGAACAGCTTCCCTGGAGACGGGAGCCAGTGGGACAGCCACGGCCCATCTCTCGGTCTAATCAAGAGACCAGTGAACTTTAAGCTAAGTGTAACGTGACTCTCCTTGCATGGGGAAGTCACCAAGAAGTTTAACTGGGGAGAAGGGCCTGGATCTCACTCGGCGGGGCCGCTTCCCTGCAGAGCATTTTTGATACCAGCAACGGTCTGATGCTTGTGCACTTATTATGAGCAAGTGCTAAGCACTTTATGCATTCCAGCCAACGAAGCAGATATTAGCACTCTTTTACAGATGAGTAAACCGAGGCATGAAAAGGTTAACTTGCTAGCTTTAGGTTCTCGTATAAAAAGGTAATAGTCAAACCTCAGGCACATCTCAGCCCCTCGCTGCAGTCAGGACAGTGTCCCAGCAGCACTCTGTCTGTTACGCGACCCGACCGGATGCGTCTGTCAGACCACCTCCTGGGCTGGGCTGGCGCGGGTCTGTCACTTGTTTCCTTCCAGGTTGTTGGGGAGATGGAGCAGTGTTGTGTACCCCCCCACACACTCTTCTCTGCCACCACCAGGCACTGCCCTCTCCCCTGGCATCTGACCCCCAAACCCCTCTCTCCGCAGGGGACCCAATCCTGCAGCTGCTGGAGGGCCGGAAGGGTGACCGAGAAGCCCAGGTCTTTGTGAGGCTGCGGCGGCACCGGGCCAAGCAGGCCTCCCAGCATGCCTTGCGGCCGGCACCGTAGCCGTAGAGGTTTGCGGTGGGGCTGGGTCCCCGGTGGGGACTTGCAAGGGCTTTCCTGTAGGGTCTGGGGCTTCCCCGCCACATCGCGGCCCTCCAGCCTGGCCTAACACTTGGGGAGCCCCAGCATGCGGAGTGCCCAGAGTGCAGACCTCCCCTGCCTCCCATGGTGATGGGGGCTCAGCAGCGACATCTCTACTCCCGCCTCCCTGCCTCCAGCCCTGGCTGCAATGTCTCTACCACATCCCAGCACCAGGGGGAGCAAACCCTGCCCCTGCCCGCCTCTCAGAAAAGCTGCTGTGGTGGGCAGGGGATTGGGCCATCTGTCTCCTGGCCCTGGCCCATCTGCCTCCTGGCCTTCCTGTTCCAGCCACTGGGGTGGGGGCCAGGTTCACTGGGACCAGGGCTACAGGCACAGAGTCTCCTGGAAAAGGGAGAGGGGACCCTGCCAAAGATGAGGCTCCAGCTGCCCTGGGGGGAGGGTGGTGGCCATTACTAGAGGGGGCCTGGGTCCTCTCCCCAGGGGCTGCCAGCATCCAGGCCAGGAAGCCTGGAGCCAAGAACCTTCTGGCTCTGAGGGAGCAAGAGCTGGCAGGCGGCAGGGCTGGCACAGACAGACGGAAGCAGAAAGGACAGTTTGGCTGCTGTGTCTGCTGCGCACGCCCCCTCCCCGGACAGCACCTGCCACCTAGAAACTTTCTTAGCAAAAAAATTAATAAAAACAAATCCATTGTCCTCTTAAAATATGCCTTTGGCCTACAGTGGGGCCTGGAATGCGAGCCAGGCCGGGTAGCTTCCTCCCCAGCCCTCAGGGGACTTTGAGCTACCGCCACCTTGGGGTAGCTACAAAGCAGGGGGGTAGGTGTGGAAATAACTGAGGCAGAGGCAGGGCTAGGGTGATTTTTGGCCGTGGGCTTTGAATAAATTGCTTTACCAGGCATACCAGTTCCTGTGGTGACACCCAGGACAGGGACCCGTTCCTCGGGGGAGCACAGTGAGCAGGGGCCTCCCAGGGGTGCAGGTTGAGGCTGAGGGGCTGCTCTTGAGACAGTAGGGCGTAGAGGAGCTGGGTCCCTCCCCTGCCTGGGGGGTGTCAGAACCTGAGGCCTGGTCATCACGTCATCCTAGCTGTGTGACCCTGGTTCCATGTCGGAACCTCTGAGTCTGCACAAAATGAGGACAGGAGTCGAGGTTAGCTGAGATGACATCCAAGGCCCGAGACCATGCAAAGAGGATCCCACCAGGGTGTTTTCTCACCCCCCACCGCACAGCCTAGTTGAGGAGGTGGGAGGGAGGACGTACCTCTTAGGCCTCAGCCCCTCATCCCTCAGGGGCAGGGTAGGGTGAAGAAGGCAGAAGGCAGGACTTCCTCTGGGTCCTACCAGCAAATCATCCCAATGGGAAGGCACTGGGTTTTTTGTTTTTGTGATGGAGTCTCACTCTGTCGCCCAGCTGGAGTGCAATGGGGCAATCTCAGCTCACTGCAACCTCTGCGTCCCGGGTTCAAAGGATCCTCCTGCCTCAGCCTCCTGAGTAGCTGGAACTACAGGCATGTGCCACCACACCTGGCTAATTTTTGTATTTTTTTTTTTTTTAGTAGAGACGGGGTTTCACCATTTTGGCCAGGCTGGTCTCGAACTCCTGACCTCAAGTGATCTGCCCGCCTCGGCCTGTTTTTGTTTTTGAGATGGGATCTCACTCTGTCACCCAAGCTGGAGGCAGCTGTGCAATCATGGCTCACTGCCGCCTCGACCTCCTGGGCTCAAGTGATCCTCCCACCTCAGCCTCCCTAGTAGCTGGGACCACAGGCATGCGCCACCATGCCCAGTTGGGAAGACACTGTTCCTCTGAGAAACAGTTACGGGCCCTATTGCCAGTCACCGCTGACCACACAGCCCTAAAGAGTCCTAGGGCCTGGGGGGCCTCTGTGTCCAAGGCTAAGGGTCCCTGTGTCATCAACCGCTAGGCCTAGGTCGGAGAGCACTTGAACTGTCTTGGGGCCTGATGGGCCCAGGAAGTTTCCAGCCCTCTCCAGCTGCCTTACCACAGCTCAGGGGTGTGGGCAGCAGCCGTTTCCATGGCTGAGGCAAGGCTCCTGGCCCACCTCATAGTTCAGAGGCCCTCTTTTGGGACCCACTCCCCCTCACCCCCATGTAAACAAGCTACCACTGCAAGTTCATATTTTATTTCCAATAGGTTTGGAGCTTTGTTGATTTTTGCATTTTTGTAAAAAAGGAAAAAGTTTTCACTTAATTCATTGAAAGCCCTTTCGTGCTGAGCCCAAGGGGGAGCCTGGGCCAGGACCAGACCCTCTCAGCCCTCTTGTTCCTACCGCAGACACCCGGTGCTGGGGGTGCGGCTGCTCCCCTCCGCCCACTCTGCCCTCCCGCCCCTGCTGCATCTCTCTCTGTACAGAACAATTTTTAAAATGGAAGCTAAGACACAATATACACTGGACAGGCACACACACACGCACACAGGCGTCCGCCCAGAACAGGGCGGGACACCAGCTGCACTCAGAGAGCACCAAGGAATGCAAACGGAGCCCCTCCGGGTAGGAGGGCAGGGCCTGGGCCCCCTTGGTCCTCAGTCCTCAGTCCGCACTCCTCCCCGCCAATTGCCCTGCTAGCTGCCAGAGAGGGGAGGGGGCAGGGAGAGCTGGGGGCAGCTGGTTGGGGGCGGTGGTCATAGAATGAGTACCAGCCTGGTAGGCGGCCCTGGGGCCAGGGAGGCTCTTGTGGGGAGTCCGGGGAGGGGCGGCGGGGGGAAGGACTGAGGGTGGACCCTCAGGAACCTGAGGGCTGGAACTCCTGGGCCTTGCCCCTCAAGGAGCTTCAAGGGCCCAGGTGTCAGGAGTGGGGCTGGCCCTGCAGCACTGGCCTCCAGCCCTTGCTGTTCTCCCCAAGACTAAATTAACATTTGGTAAACTTAGGAGCTAAGCCAGCTGAGACCCCCAGCACTCCCCCTCGGGCCTCCCTGAGGCCCTCACAGCTGGGGGCCAGGCCTGCTCTGGGGGACCCACGTCTTCCACACTCCACCCTTGCCCTGGCAAGGAGGTAGGGGGAGCAGGGCCTGCCCTGAGGGCTTCTCCCTTCCCCTTAGTGCCTTCCAGTCCCACCCTTCCCTGCTCAGGCCCCAGGAAGAAGTTAAAAATAGTTAGTTCCTACATTAAAAAAGAGACAGAACCAGATTCTCTGCCAAAAGGCCAGTGGGAGAAGAGGGGATGTCATCTCTGCAGTGGGAAGGGCAGGGAGTGGGTAGGGGAGGACTGCAAAATAGTTTCTTCTTTTAAAAAGTGCTTGGTAAGTCTTTTAAAGTGTGTGTCTATATCTATGTACAGATATACACACAGACACTGTCCACACCACCACGCATACCTGCACACATACGGAAATGTATACATATACATACATACGGAAATGTATACATATACATAATCATATACATATACATACATACATACACATATATATATATATTCATATATATATATATACTTTAAAAAGTCCTAGGTGAGAAGATCTGGGCCAGGCTGGGCCAGGCCTGCAGGGTCACGACTGGAGGGTGTGGGCCCGGCCAGGCTGGCAGATGGGGCACTCGCTGCCCTCAGCGCAGAGCTCACACAGCGCAGCGTGTTGGCACGGCAGCACTGCCCGCTTCTGTTCCTGACACTTAAGGCATTTCACCGACTGCATGTGGAACACGGCCTGCAGGGAAAGGGGCATCGTGGTCACCATCCATGGGTCTGGCCCCAAGTTGAGCGAGGAGTTCCCTTGATCCTCACTGCAGCCCCTTGGGATGGGAAAACTGAGGTACCGAGCTCAACAGTGTGCTCCCAGACCCCTGTTGGCAGGTGAGAGAGCAGGCTGAGTCCACCTCTGCATGGGGCATGGCCAGGCTGCCACAAGACCCACCCCTCAGAGAGGCTTCGCCCAGTCTCATTTGACCTTGTAATCCCCAGATGGGGAAAATGAGGCCCAGAAAGGGCTGGGACATGCCCAGGGCCACACCCGGGGGCTTGGCTGCCCGAGAACAGAGGAAAGACAGCTCTTCCCACCATGCCACGTTGGCCCCGGGGACCCAGCAGGAGACCTGGGAAGGCAGGGGTAGCCCTGGGGTCCTGGGCCTCACTGGAAGGCCCGCTGCTCCATGGAGGGTGTACAGGAGGACGCATTTGGGGCCCAGGCATTTGTGAGAAGCTTGGTCAGGGCCGCCCTCAGGGGTGCTGGGGGTGGCACCGACACCCCTCACCCCCAGCCTTTTCACCTTCCCCAGTGCACTCTCCTCACCCATTCCCAGCAGGCCGGCCTTTTGAGTGCTGGCCCAGTGCTGGGCAGAGGCTCTCAGGAGGGTGGCCATCCCTGGAGCAGCCTGGACCAGGTCAGAGTCCAAGAGCTGGCTGAGGCCACCGTGCATCCCACCCAGTGCTCCCCGACCTGGGCTGACCTTGTCCACTTGTTCCAGGTGGGCCCGCAGTTGTTTCTGGAGGGAGTAGAGGGTGGAGAGTGAGAGCGCCTCCAGGTCGGAGAAGGCGGGCAGGGCCTGGGGCTCAGGCCCCGCGTGTAGCCGCTCCAGCTCCTCCTGGAGCTTCTTCACCTGCACCTCCAGTGCATCCCGCTGCTCCCGGGCCAGCTCGCACTCGGCGCCCGCCGCACTGGCCCGCTCACCAGCCTCCTCCGCCTCTTTCTTCCAGGCATCACAAGCCTGTGGGGCCAGCATACAGTCTCATCACAATGGCCCTGCCCTGCCCCTGTCCCCAGAGAGCATCATCTTTTGGGGGCCACTCTGGCTGCGAGGCCTGGTGGGAAGCTGGGTTGGCTCTCTGGGAGGAGGGCAAGGAGGAGGCTGATGCTGTCTGCACAGAGGTTTCAGAACCTGCAGGAGACTCTCCCCTCTGTGGCCAGGGAAAGGGACCTGGGCCTAGCACAGCAGGGACACAGGGTAGAGCTGGGATTCTGGCCAGCACCCATAGGGTAGCCGGCTGCAGCTGGACAGGGGGCCCATTTCAGAACCCAGAACCTTGGACTTGAAACCCTGGAGAGGCGAGGCTACTGGGAGGAGGCAGGTGATCCTGGGACAGACTACAAGCAGCTCACAGAGAGAATTTGAAGCCTGCAACAACAGTAACCACCCAGGGTCCTGACTGGCAAAGCGAGTCCTCCCAGGGGGAGAGCGAGCGAACAAAACTGAGTTTCTGCTCTGTTCTTCCAGCCCCCGCTTTCCCCCACCCCACGCCCACTCTGTGAAGGAAGGTCTTGGGCTGGATGCCACCTGGCACTGGGGAAGGCCGGCAGGCACGGGGCCTGGTACCTGCTTGGCCTGCTTCCAGGACTCCTCCCACTGCTTGATGGTGCTGTTGGCTTCATCCAGCTCTTGCCGAAGTCGGGCCAGCTCGGCAGCCCCTGGCCCTGATAGGAAAGCGGGGGAAGTGCCCGGGGAGAAGCTTCCAGAGGCAAAATGCTCCCAGATGCTGCTGTTCATCCCGTTCAGACCTGCCCCAAGGAGGGGAAGAACATCAGCTCCGGAGGGCTTTGGGCCCAGGCCCTGGCCAGCCCTGCCTCAGAGGTTCCAGGGACTGGCTGTCCACTGGATGGGTGTGCAAGGCTCCAGCTAGTGTCAGGCCAGAGAATTTTGCAGGGACAGGAAGGCTGTGAAGGTGCAGGTGGCGTGGGCGGAGTCAGACCTAACCTTGAGTGACACCTGCTAGTTGGTGCCACTCAACTTCCGAGGCTCAGCACCCTCATGTGGGAAATGGGACTCCCACACTGGCCTCACCGGGTAACTCAGGGGACTCAGGAAGTACTGCATGTGAGAGCAGTCCCAGGCCCCCGATAGTGGCAATTTATGATTGTGGCTTCACTTTTAGGCTAGGGCCTTTTTGCAGCCTGATGTGAGGCCCAGGAAGAGATAAAGGGGAAAAGACAGGCCAGAGCCTCATCGGATGGCAGAGCTGGGGCAGGAAGAGCTCAGGGAGCCTTGGGGCCATCCCCCTTGTTTTACAGACAAGGACCCTGGATAAAATGTTTTACCAAGAATCACACAAATTGTAAGTGGTAGGGCCAGGACACAGACAGGGAGTGTGGTTCCAAAGGCCTATGCTTTCCAGTCAACTATGCTGCGTGCACAGCCTCCCACCCACCGCCAACCCAGCTGCCCTCTGCTCACTCGCTCAACAGATGTTTACTAACATCAGGTCCCCCTGCTCTGGCCCCCAGGGCAGCCCCGGGCTTCCGAGAAGGACCCATATCCACCTCTGGCCTCACTCTGCCCATATGTACTTTCTGGTGACTTCTTCCTTGCTCCCTTTCCCACTAATCCAACCAGGATGTTCCAGAACCAGATTTAAGACGCTTTGCTCTCTGAGACACACAAGTGCACCCACAGAGGAGGGACATGGTCCTGTGCGGAGACCCTGTGGCATGCACTGTCTGAGCCATCTGCCCCATCCCAGAGGAAGACCTCAGGGTCACCCCACCCACATGAGACCAGCCCTGCAGCAAGCTCTCCTGTCCCACCCATCTCTCCTCCTCCCTTGGAGAAGCTCTCCTGACTCTGCTGTCCAGGTAGGCCCCTCTATGATTCTCAGGAGGATCCCAATGGCTGGGCACCTCTGCTTCCCACACTGGCCACAGCTGCTGGACAGCAGGGACTGTTGCACTTACACCTGTATCAATACACCTGTGCTCAATAGTCACATGGTGCAGGAAGGAGTGTGTGGCCAGTAAGTGGAGCTAAGTCTAGACGCCACCAGAAGCTGGGCATGGTGGTGCACGCCTGTGGTCCCAGCTACTCAGGAGGCTGATGTGGAAGGATTACCTGAGCTCAGGAGTTCCAGGCTGCAGTGAGCTAGGATCATGCCACTGCACTGCACTCCAGCCTGGGTGACAGACTGAGACCCTACTCGAAAAAAAAAAAACAGATCCTATCCGAATATGGGGCAAGTCCGAAAAATGCAACACCAAGCACCTAAAGCTGACAGAATCAACGTAACAGAGAACAGCCTCTTCAAACTGGAAGGCGCTGAGAAATCCATGTGCTGTTCTGGGATCAGGAATGAGATAAGGGAAGCCACCAAACCCAATCAGAACTCTGAAGGGCTCATTCCCTGGGCCCGAGCAAAATGCTGGCACTCTCGGGGAGGGAGCTCCTGGTGTCTGCAGCTGCTGGGGGAGAGTGAGAGCGGTGGTGCCATGTGCTTCCCATCCCGCCCTCAGGAACATCCCCTGACACACACAAGAGGAGATGCACAGCCGGCCCGCAGTGGCACAGGCCTCTGTGCCATTCTTCTAGCCACTAAACCTTGAAGTGCCCTCAGAAACCCCCATTCCATACCATTCTAATTCTGTGGGCAAACAGCCTTCTGGGCCAGCCCTGGGCCTCCCTGGAGCCTCTGCCCGGCAGGAAGGGCACCCGAAGCCAGGGGTTAACCTGTCTGGCTTCTCCCTTGGTCCCCTGTGAACCTGGCTGGTGCGAGCCAGCCTCTCGGAGCCTGGGGTGACTGGGCAGAACAGAACCATGCTGTGAAAGAGACCAGGCCCAGCCCTGGCAACTGAGACCCCTGCTCTCACCTGCACTGGCCTCGTGCCTAGCACTTCAGCCCCATTACTCCATTCAATGCTCACAACGTTAGGAGGTGGATGCTGCCGTTATACCCATTTCACAGCAGAGGAAACTAAGGCAGAGAGGCTCAATCACTTGTCCAGGGTCACACAGACAGGAATCTGACTCTGCCTCCTCGCCCAAGGCCTCTGCCCTAACCCCCAGCCTAGCTGATATGCCGTAGATGGGGTGGCCAGAGGCACCTCCTAAAGGCGCAGGTTCCTGCCCCAGTTCTCCTGAGTGAACCACTCCCTCTCTTACCCAAAGATCCATGTGATGCTGAGGTTCCCAAAAATGTGTTTTCCGACTGACTCAGGTGGCCCTGGGGCTGCTGCAGGAAATGCGAGGAGAGGCTGACGGGAGGGGACGGGGATGCTGAGTGGAAGGAGGCAGAGCTGCCCAAGGAGCCGGGGATGTTCACGGGTGCAGAGCTCTGCAGCAAGCTGCCGCCTGCAAGAGAGGCCCGGGGAGGACGGGCTGGGTGAGGGCAGCGGAAGCCAGGCGGGCCACACAGAGCAAGGGGCCTGAGCCAGGCAGGAACCCGAGGAGTCCTCCAGGCTGCCCTGCCCACCCACACCCAGTACCGATGGTGATGCTTCCTGGGTGGGGCACTGTGCTGTTATCGAAAGTCTTCTCCAGGGCGGCCACGCCAAACTCATTCAGGTCCAGGTCATCCAAAGCAGACTCTAGGGACAGAGAAGAGTGGGATGTGACCTCCCGAGGGACTATCTGACCCTGACCACCTCGTCTACTGCCCACGCTGCATCTTCACGCCCATGCTACGCTGGGTCCGTATTCTCCCAAGCCCCTGTGCCCTTCCTTCAGCTGCTTCCTATGCCAATCCTGACTCCTGACTTCTGACACCGTCTGCCAGTCATGTCCAACCCAAATGCCTCTCCTTTCTGAATCTTCTTTGATACTTCCAGGAGAAATCACATCCCCATCCAGGGTCCCTGCCTCGGACAAGGGTCTTGTCCCCTGATGTTACAACTCAAGGGTCTCAGCCCCGGGATCAGTGGGGGTGGGCGGGTCTCTGGGCACTCAGTGGCTGGTGTATAGCAGGTGCTTGACAAATGTCCACTGGGTGGGAAGTTTCCCTCTAGAGGGCAGGAGCAGCATGTTGTCATCTGTCTCCTCAGTGCCTGCCACAGGACCTGGCACAAAGCGGGCACCTAGAAATGAGTACTGAAAGAAAGGAGCACCAACTTCTAGCACCAGGGATTCTGAGAACGTCGTGCTGGCCATTCACTACACAAGGACACCAGTGAGATGAGTGGGGACTGAACAACACGTCTTGGGGTGAGACTGTACTCACCAAGGGGAAAAGGCACCTCTTTCTAATTTGCACAAAGGAGCTCTAAGGGTCAGTCCTGGCCCTACACCTTGGGGTCATTTCCCCTTTAGCTCAAAGGACTCAGAGTGCCCATCCCCTGATTTTCCGAAGACAGATGTCTAAGGGGTCTGGTGTGCTGATTTGAGACTCGCTTCAGAGACTGGGGGGTCTCTGACCCCAGACCCAGTCCTGGGCTTTCAAACAGAAATGGCCTAGTTACCTATGACTGACTCTACCGTGTCGCTGGTGGGGTAGAAGGGCAGAGCGTTTGCATTCATGCCGGGGACGCTGCTGGTGCCCACTGGGCTAGGGGGGGTAGCTGCCAGGCTGGAGGTGATACTAGAAGAGATGCTTGAGGTCAGGGGGCTGCCTGCGGGGAGGATGCCCAGCATGTCCTGCAACGAGAGAGGGAAGAGGAGAAGCAATGGTAGGCCTGCATACGGAGGCCAGGACGAGAGGCTGGAGAGGGGCTGGGGGCAAGGGAAATGGCCCGTGCTAGCTCTAGTCCGGGTGCCCCCATGCCCACATGGGCCCCGGCACACCCGACACCTTGTTGAGAGCATGGAGTTGGAGGTGCGGAGGCTGCCAGGCCCATTCGCCCCTACAGTCCTGTAGCAGGGAAGAGAGAAGCGAGTACAGGGCCTGGCAGAGTGCAGAGGCTCCAGGAACACCTTCTCCACTGAGTCTAGGAGGTGAGGGGCTCCAGGGCCTGACCCCCTACCCTCTCTGGATTTGTGGCTGGGACCCCACTTTAGTCCTGCCCTCAGCTTTTGGGAAAAGTGGTGCCTCCCACTCCCCGAAGCCTCCTGGGGTTCTGGGCCACTCCTGTCCACAGCAGAGGGGAGGAAGGGGGCTGAGAGCTCTATACCTGTTTGGGCTGAAGCAGAGGCTGCTCTTGACTCCTGGGCTCTAATGAGTGGGGTTTTAATTTGGCCTGAGAGAGAAAATTCAGGGAGTGGATGAATGTGGTGCTGGGGGGTCCCTGAGTCCATCTGACCCTGAGGCTGCAGGTACCAGGGGGCAGGTGGTGGCAGACATGCAACCCCTCTTCACATGCATGCACACACCCCCTTCTTCCTCCCCACCCCCTACTCCCTTCCCCTACCCTAAGCAGGGAGCTGCCCTTCTCCTCCCGGTGACACTAGGCCTCATGTAAGCCCAGAAGGTATCTCTCCAGGCCCAGTTAGGGACCCCTGTGTCCTGCTTCCCCAGGCCCTGTCTTTCCATGAAGGCAGTTCAGGGCAGCCGAAGGACCGCACCCAGGCGGGATCTGGCTCCTCTCCTAACCAGCTCTGCAGCCCAGGGGAGGCTATGCAGCCTCCCCAGCCTTCCTGTCTTCAGCTGCAAATGGGCTGACACTGCTCCCTCTGTTCAGTCCTGAAGAGGCCGAGGACAGTGGAGTCCTAGCTCCCAGTCATCCTCCCCGTAGCTGGACCAAGACACTCCTCCAAGATTCTCTTGCCCCACGCAGGAGAAGGCTAACCTCACTGCTGCCTCCCTCATCCCTTACCTGGCATTTGAAATTTTTCAGGTACTCGGCTCCCACCTGGTCTTCCCTCTCGAAGCCGGGAGCCTTCTTATAGCTGCCAGGGGCCAGGCCAGACTCCCCAGGGAAGACGATGCCCTCCAGGTTTGGGGGCTTCCTGATGGAGCCCGGTGGGGAGCCGCAGAGGTTAGACGGGCTGCCTAGGCTGCTGTTTCTACAGAGGAGCTGCGGAGAAGGAGGGGAGGGAGTGGGCCCGTGGGCACAGCGCAGGCTGGTGCGTGGCCCATCCTCCACCCTCTCCAGAGGGAGTCTTCAAGGGGCTCAGTTCCACTTTCATCTGCCAACGAGCAGCAGTGACCACTCGGGGAGCCCGAAGCTCACGAAGGAAAGGGGAGTGACCTCAGGCTTTGTCCCTGCCACCAGTCCTACAGGCTCATCAGCACAGGCTCTGGGGACTGCCCTACCCCACCCCCGGGCCTGGACTTTTGACGAAGAATGCTGAGATGGAAAAGACAGATCCCCCTGGCCTGAGGACAAATACCAGGATGGTCTCCCAAGCCCAGGCTGAAAGGGCCTAGGAGGCAAGTATTGGCTCTGTCAGGCATGGTGCCCACCCACTCCCCAGGATGGACACGTACGGCACTGAGGTCAGGGGCATGCGGGCTGGAGGGGCTCACAGGCACCGAGTCTCCGGCGGCAGATGGCATGTACAGGACAGGACCTGGCTGGGTGGGGCTGGACACAGCTGAGGAAGGCTGCAGGTCGTCACTCAGGGGTGGCTCTGCAAGAGTCAGGGGCAGGGGTCAGCAGGCCCCAGCCAGCTCTGTCCCTCCAAAAATGCTCCTGGGTCCCTTCCAAAGGAGACCACAAATCCCCCTGCACATAAAGGGAAGGTTCCTACGACATCTCTAGTAACACCATGTCTGTGCATTTACTGTGTGCCAGGCACTGTGCCAGCACTTTGCAGTAATTGTGAATCTTCATGGTGACCAGAAGATACCAGTAATATGGTCTCCATTTTATAAATAAGAAAACTGAGGCTCAGAGAGGTAAGGTAAACCCACCAAAGTGACAGAGCTAAAACACAGAGGAGCTGGGTCTTGAACGCTGATCTGTACAACTCCAAAGCCTGAATCACTTCCTTATGCCGTCTCAGCCAGGCGGTCCCAATGCCCATGGCCGGGGACCACCTCTGCATCAAGAATATGCTTCTCCCGCCCAGGGCCCTCGATTTATTTTCCATTCTCATCTCAGAGATAGGGCCTGAGCCTGGAAAGAGGTTAAGGAGACCCAGGGCAGTATCTTGGGGTGGAAAGAGGTGTTAACAGGTACAAACTGGAGCTCTGTCTCTGAGACTGGTGGCGGCCTACAGTATCATGCTGAGGATCCAGACCCACACTGTCCCACAAGGCAGCCGAAAGCCACATGTGGCTACTGAGCCCCTGAAACAGGCTGGTCTGAATGGAAATATCCCGTAGGCATTAAAATGCTATCAGATCTCATAGACTTAGTACAAAAAAAGGTGAAATGTCTTGATATTTTTGTATATTGATTATTGAAATAACCTTTTATGTTGGGCTAAATACAAATATGTTATTAAAATTAATTTAACAACATATTTTCCAATGTTTAATTCTTTTTTAATTTTTTTTTTTTTTTTTTTTTAAGACAGAGTCTCGCCCTGTTGCCCAGGCTGGAGTGCGGCGGCATGATCTCGGCTCACTGCAACCTCTGCTTCCTGGGTTCAAGTGATTCTCATGCCTCAGCCTCCCGAGTAGTTGGGATTACAGGCGTGTGCCACCATGCCCAGCTTATTTTCATATTTTGCTATTTTTGTTAACATGCTTAAATATTTTAACTTTAAAATGACATATGGGGATTGCACTATATTCTGACTGGCTAGCTCTGCTCTAGAGGCCTGAGCAGGACTCAGCAGAGAAGAGCTCCATGTTCCATTAGTGATGTCTGTCATGGGTATGACATGGGGTGGCTGGTGGGATTTGCCAAGTCAGCCATGGGAGGCACAGTGCCTCAACCCTCCCTGGAACCATGAGTGCTCAACCAGGCGGACAATCCCTGCAGTCTCTATCTCACTACTTTGGAAGCTCTAGGCCTTCAAGGCTACTTCCAGAAAGGTGGGGGAATGGAGCTTCCAGTGGGGACAAGGCCTGCTGCTGGCAGGCCAGAACTCCTGTGCAGGGCATACTGCCAGGGGCCATCCCCGGCCTAAGCCTGAGCTAGCCAGGCGAGGGAGGGGTGGGAGAGGGCACTGCCCCGGGGCAATGGGAACAGCATACGTTCTACGTGGGCAAAGGCGCAGAAGGGTCCTCGGGGACAGCTGCCCGACTGCTGCATGTCGTTGCACTTGGTGGACTTGTAGATCTGGAGGGCAGAGCACAGGCAAGTCAGGCTCAGGCCCTGAGGGAAGGCCGGGCAGGCTCCCCTTCCTCCAGCATGAGTGCGCTGGCTTAGTCATCTCTTGCCCTGTGTTCCCGGCCCCTCCCCTCCCCTCCACTATGTCTCTCCCTACCAGCTTCTTACTCAAACTCCTGAGGCAGCCCACCACCACTCCCCATTGTCACTGACAGCCTCCGTTCTGGGGCCACAGGTCCCACCAGCCCTCCCAAAGGGATCCCCCAGTGACTCTCCACTCACGGGCATGGCCAGGTCTGTGCCTCCAAGCGTGCCTCCTGGGCATTAAGGGAGCCACAATCTCAGGCAACTACCCCTGCCAATGTGAACCCTGTCAGGATACCCTGGGTTGTGACCTATATAAGTAACCTTCCACTCTGCTGTCTGCAGCTACATAAGGTAGTTTCTGTCCGCGTGTCTACCTCAGGGTGTCCTGGCTTCCATGGAACACCAAGGGCAGGGACTGCAGGTGCCTCTCTGAACCCCAGACAAGACCTAGGCACACAGATATGGCCCAGGCTACCTCTTGGGGCCAGAGGGCAAGGGAACTGTGTTAGGGAGGTTGCTGATAATCTAGGCCCTGATAGGAGACAGGGCAACAGGAAGGAGCTTACTTTTTTTCAATCCTTTTTTTTTTTTTTTTTTTTTTGATGGAGTCTCGCTCTGTCACCCAGGCTGGAGTGCAGTGGTGCGATCTTGGCTCACTGCAACTTCCGCCTCCCGGGTTCAAGCGATCCTCCCACCTCAGCCTCCCGAGTAGCTGGGGTTACAGGCGCTCACCACCAAATCTGGCTAATTTTTGTACATTTAGTAGAGATAGCATGTTGCAGGGTAGTCTCAAACTCCTGACCTCAAGTGATGCACCCACCTCGGCCTCCCAGAGTGCTGGAATTATAGGCATAAGCCACCGTGCCTGGCCCTATTTTTTCAATCCTGATGTCACTGGATTACAAGCACCATGAGTGGTGGAAAGCCCAGAGTGGCCAGGTCGCCACACTCCATCTACACCTGCCCTGTCAGGAGGCCTGGGGGACACAGAACTGGAAGCAGAGGGCTGCTTGGTGAGCGTGGGCTCAGAATAGGAGAAGATGCCAAATTCAGCATGCAGGGATCCTCTAGGCACTGCCAGGGGAGAGCTGGTGGCCACAAGTCCCTCTTCCAGGATGGCATCAGGATGGGTTCTGCCAACATCTCCACTGATCCTGCCTGCCTCTCTCCTTACTTCCCAAAGCCACCCCCCCACCCTGCTGTGGGGCCCACCTCGGGGTGGAACTGCTGCTCGGTGCGGGTGTGGCAGTACTGGCAGGCGTCTCCGTTCTCACACTTGCCAGGGTCTCCCCACTCATCCCCGTGCTTGACGTTTGGACATGGAGACGACCTGGCCAACAAGAGGGTGGGGTCAGATGGAGAAAGGAGAAGGTGAGATCGGAGCCTAGCAGGTGCCACCTGGACCCAGCCTCATAGGCATGAGCACAGAAATGGAAAAGACCAGCTGCAGAGTCAGGGCCTTGCTGGTGCCACAAGCCAAGCTCTTTCTCTGACCCAGCCTGGCCGAATCACCACAAAGGATACTGTTTGATTCCCCTCAGCCAGGCCCTCCCACTAGCCCAAGTAGGGTCAGGCTGGAGCTACAACCACACTGTCCACGCTGTGGCCTGGTCCTCATTCAACACATTCCCCTCAGGATCAGGAGCGGTGGAGCCTCAGAGACGGTCTGACCAGGGTCCTCATTCATGCAGGAGGTGAAGCTGGGCTCCTACTGTCCAGCTATCCTCACTATGCCCTCCCCTGGGCCCTGGGCTTGCGATCCTGTCATCCCCAGGACCAGCCTCCCCTCCTCCCGGAGAGCCAGTGGGAGCAGCCTCTGCCTGACCCCTTCCCTGCCACTCCTCCCTCCCGTGGCTGGCCTCCTGGGGCCTAAGGACCTGTATTTGTGCTTCCGGGGGCTCCGCCGCCGGTCCTTGCTGTTGTGGTAGTAGGGACAGGCATAGCCTTGGCGGCACAGCCGCGGGGGCTTCTTGCAAGGCTCCGTCTTATAGTTCCCCAGCACATAAGCAGTCTCTGCACAGGGGGCCAGAGGGCAGGGGTCAGGTGAGAGGAGCTGGAGCACCCCAAGACTAGCAGGACTGGAGTGGAGGGAAGGAGAAGCCACTGGGAAGGAGTTCAAGACAGGAGGCCCCTGCCAGATGTGAGTAGGGCCCCTCCTCCCAGGCCATGGGACAGCCCCAGGTGCAGCAAGGACAACAGATGCTGTCCATCAGAGAGACACTCACAGCTCACAGGGTGAAAGGGCACTCTTGCAGGGCGGAAAACATTTGCATGTGCGCTTATGTACGTGCCTGTGCACATGTGAAAGCCTGGAGGGATCTTGGGAACATGATGTGTCAGGGAAAACGCCCCTAGAGGCGCCTTTTGAATGGTGGGTGTAGGGTGGGATGCGGGCCAGGTCGGGGCCTCGGCTAGAGCAGGCAGTAGGTGGTGGTGAGCCAAATCCCCAGGGCAGCTATGAGCAGGATTATAGGGAGGGCGCGGCCGAGGTGTGGATGCCTGTACCTTGCCACCGAGGCTCCTCGCTGAGGATCTTTTCTATCATGGCATGGCTCGCAGCCCCAGCCGACTGGCCCTCTATGCTCCCCTCTACCGTGGTCTGGCCATTCTGCAAGGCCTCCATGGCCTGAAGCTCCCTGGGAGGAGAGGAAAGAACAGAGAGGGTGGAGAGGGGGCATGAGGGGGCAAGAACCAGAGTGCCAGCCCTCCACTGCAGTCTGAGGTACTCACCATCATTAGCCGCCAGGCCCCTGCCCTGGACCCCAGCCTACTGCCATCAGCCCAGCCCAGCACCCAGCCCACCTGATGTCGTAGACAGGGGAGCGGAGGTCATGGGGCCCGTGGGCAAAAGCGCAGTGCAGGCCGTTTTTGGTGCAGTTGCCTTTCGAGTCTGTCTCGTGGATGCAGATTCCAGTTTTGTAGTAACGAAGGTGGTACCTGCGCTCAGTGTCCCCTGTGGTTCTGTGCAGGAATGGGCACCTGGAACACGGTAGTGGGGGTCACTCAACTTTGCTGCCTGCAGCCTAGGCTTCCCTGCCTACCCCCTGCCCTTACCCCAACTGTTTTTGTTGTTGTTGTTGTTGTTTGTTTGTTTTGTTTTGTTTTTGAGACGGAGTCTTGCTCTGTCGCCAGGCTGGAGTGCAGCGGCGCGATCTTGGCTCACTGCAACTCTGACTCCCTGGTTCAAGTGATTCTCCTGCCTCAGCCTCCCGAGTAGCTGGGACTACAGGCACACACCACTATGCCCAGCTAATTTTTGTATTTTTAGTAGAGACGGGGTTTCACCATGTTGGCCAGGATGGTCTCGATCTCCTGACCTCATGATCTGCCCACCTCAACCTCCCAAAGTGCTAGGATTACAAGCATGAGCCACTGCGCCTGGCCTTTCCCCAACCATTGAACAGCTTTCACTATGGCCTGGAAGGTGCACTAGGAAGAAGGCAATGATGAGCCCTGCTGCGAGGTAACAGAACTGCCCTGCTGCTGCCTGCAGCCTAAATGGGGCCCAACAGGGCCTGGCATTCCAGGGCAGGACAGACATCGGAGAACAAATGCTGCCCAGGCTTGGGGGCCGTCAGAGAAGCAAATGATCTACTCAAAACTCAGGTATAGCCTTCATCCCCTGAGTGCTTCGTTAGGCTAGGGGTAGGGTCAGCAAGCCTTGGGCCTCCGTGAGAAAGAGGTGCTAGGCTGGGCCAGTAGCTCACATCTGCAATCTCAGCACTTTGGGAGGCAAGGCAAGAGGATCATTTGAGGCCAGGAATTTGAGACCAGCCTGGGCAACACAATGAAGACATCCCCTCACCCATCTCTACAAATTAAAAATGTTTTAAATCATGGCCAGGCGTGGTGGCTCACCCCTGTAAATCCCAACACTTGTGGGAGGCCGAGGCGGGTGGATCACCTGAGGTCAGGAGTTTGAGACCAGCTTGGACAACATGGCAAAACCCCGTCTCTACTAAAAATACAAAAAATTAGCAGGGCGTGGTGGCCTGCGCCTGTAATCCCAGCTACTTGGGAGGCTGAGGTAGAACTGCTTGAACCCGAGAGGTGGAGGTTGCAGTGAGCCGACATGGAAGTGCCAGTGGAAGCAGGTGCCCATTCCAGCCTCGGCAACAGAGCGGACTCCATCTCAAAAAAAAAGAAATCAACTGAAGCCGGGCATAGTGGCTCCTGCCTGTAATTCCAGCACTTTGGGAGGCCAAGGAGGGCGGATCACCTGAGGTCAGGAGGTCGAGACTAGCCTGGTCAGCATGGTGAAACCCTGTCTCTACTAAAAATGCAAAATTAGCTGGGTATTGTGGTGCACGCCTGCAGTCCCAGCTACTTGGGAGGCTGAGGCAGGAAAATCACTTGCACCCAGGAGGTGGAGGTTGCAGTGAGCCAAGATCGCACCCCTGCACTCCAGCCTGGGCAACAGAGTAGAGTTTGAGGGTGCAGCGAGGATGCTGCCACTGCACTCCAGCCTGGGGGAAAGAGGGAGACCCTGTCTAAATAAATAAATAAAATTATAAAAATTTTAAAAAAGAAAGAGGGCTGACGAAGGGAAGGCTCTATGAGACAAGCAGGGTCAGTGAATGTTCCGTCGGTGACACTCCCAGGTGTGGCACCTCCCTATGTCTGTCATTAGTGTGACACTCCCAGGTGTGGCACCTCCCTATGTCTGTCATTAGTGCGACACTCCCAGGTGTGGCACCTCCCTGTGTCTGTCAGTGCTGTGCCCTATTTCTCTACAGAGATTTGCAGTAAGATATTTAGGGTCAGCAAACCTGGGCACCAGTGAGGCGCTCTCTCTAAACAGCCAGCTTTGGTGGGAACTGCATGGGATGTGATCCCCAGGGGAGGATGAAAAAAGGCCAGGGAGCCTCCTGGGTTCAGATGTGGGCCCTTAGGCTTAGTGAAAGAAAGGCCTGTCTTAGGTTTCCTAAAAGTGGGAAAGGGAAATGGTACCTCCCCGCAGCCTACCGCCAGGGATGGTGGGGTCTGAGTCCAGGCTCGGGCCATGGGCTGGGCTGCAACCAGTCCTCTGGATGGCTTCCCAGAATCTGCCCAGCCTACCCTGAGGGCATCTGACCCAGAAGGAGACACGGGGCTCCTCTGAGGACAGGCTGGGTCACTCACTCGTCGCCCTCCGGGCAGAGGCCTGTAGCCTCGTCGTACTTGGTGCAGTAGACGTCAGGGCTGTAATTGAAGGTGCCGTCCCGACGGCGGATGGACCGGCGGCGCCGCTGGTTCACGAAGTGCCAGTGGAAGCAGGTGTAGGGCCGATGCTGCGTGCATTTGTGTTGCACAAAGAGTGGGCACTGCTCTGTGCGGAATTCTTTCAGGTACCTGCAGAGAGAGCCCCGCGTGGGGCAGGCCGGGAGCAGAGAATGAAGTCTCTTGCTTCCCAGCAAGAAGTTAGCCGCCAAGTCCCCTGAGGGCCCTGCTCTGGGGTGCTAGTTCCACTGGAACACCAGGAGAGACCCAGAGCTGTAAGGCTACACCTCAGCTCTAGGATCCAAACCAACACCCCAGTCCCACACCAGCCTGAAAGGCAGGAACCACAGACCACAGGGACCTCGGCGGTCAGCTGTCCGCTGTGTTGACCAGCTGTGGCGTTAATCAGCAGCTTGGTTCTCTGAGCCCTTTCCAAGGTTTCCCAAGCCAAACCACTAATCACAGGCAAAGGGCTGCAAATAAGAGCATGAGGCGCCTCTGCCAAACTCTACAGGCCTCTGCTACCCAGGTCCACCTGCCTGTTGTTGCAGGCCTTGCCTGTACCATGAGCTGGGGCTGTGGGCTGAGAGGAGAAATCTACAGATAAGCACTTAGGCTTTTCAGCTCTGAAGCTGAAAGCCCAGGTCACAAGGCATCCCTCGGGACTACTGACTCAGTAATTACCGTCCTGTCTGCCCGCCTCCGCCCAGAGACATTTCCTAGCACTACCTAGATCTGTGCTTGGGGAAAATCTCATACTGAAGTTCTGAAGATACCCGCCCCCCCGCCCCCGCCCCCGCCCCCGCCGCTCCAGCCTGTTCTGTCCCCAGTCGTGTCACCTCATGTGAGTACCTGCAGCAGCCGGGCTATTTATGTCCTGGGGGCATGAAGCTGTCTCCTTTTGGCCGCCTCCTCCCAACCTTCACTGGTCTCTCTCCTCTGCCCTGCATGTGTAACAGCCAAGACACTCCCAAATCTCTTCTCCCACATTCCACCCAGTGGAAGGCCCCAGACCCACTTACCCCCTTACATCTGGGTTTTTGTTTGCTACATGTGTCTAGGTTGGGGGGTCTCCTAGACTGGGCTCCCCTGCCCCTGGCCCCAGAAGGACAGGCAGTTAGTATAGTTCTCTTTAGTCTCTCGAGCCTAAAAATGCAAGCAACAAATGGCTTGGGATAGGACATCTAACGTCATCGAGAAGGATGGTGCCAGAGGCTTGGAGACTGCAGAAAGAAGCATGAAGGGAACAGAAGTCAATCCAAAAAAGGGATCCTCGACCCAGGCTGGGATGCAGGAAGGAGGAAGGGGGAAGAGGGGAGGAGAGGTACTAGTGGATGAAGAATTTGAAGGTGTTTTTGGAACAGAAACAGTATGAGCTTAGAAACAGAGTATGTCTGGTTCTAAGAGCTCCCAGTACCTTCGTGGATGTGCGTGGAATAGGAAGGGAACTGGAAAAGAGAAAAGGAGGATGAGGTGAGGTACAGGAGGCAAACTGCAAATTTCAAGGGCCTCATCTCTGGGCTCCAGGTACATCCTGAAGACCCCAGGCAGAAATCTGGAAGCCTCCCTATGGCCTGATGCTCTTCTGGTCCCTTTGGCATTTGAAGCAAAGGTTCTTCTCCTTTACTGTCTGGTTAGACAAAAAGCTGTGCCCTCCTGCTACACAAAGGTACCACGCCTGGCACTGAGCTGGGATACCCATTCCTCAAACTGGTAGGACCATCCCTCTCCTGGGAGGTACATCCTCTTCCTGACTTTTTGGACCCACAAAGAAACTACCTCAGGAGGTAACAGAAAATGGGAGAGAAGGAACTTTCCTGAAAGAGGGAAGCTGGGCCCCGAGCCAGGAACACAGAAGAGTGAGGCATGGTTAGAATGGGCAGATTAAGGAAGGAACATCCAGTTAAACTGGAATCTCATATAAGCAATGAATAATATTTTAGCCTAATTAAGTCTCAAATATTGCATGGGACATACTTATCCTAAAGAAATTATCTGCTTCTGGTCAGGCACGGTGGCTCATGCCTGTAATCCTAGCACTTTGGGAAGCTGGGGCGGGCGGATCACCTGAGGTCTGGAGTTCAAGACCAGACTGGCCAAACTGCTGAAACCCGGTCTCTACTAAAAATATAAAAAAACGGCTGGGCACGGTGGCTCATGCCTGTAATCCCAGCACTTTGGGAGGCTAAGACGGGCAGATCACAAGGTCAACAGATCGAGACCATCCTGGCCAACCTGGTGAAACCATGTCTCCACTAAAAGAATACAAAAATTAGCTGGGCGTGGTGGCGTGTGCCTGTAGTCCCAGCTACTCAGGAGGCTGAGGTAGAAGTACCTGAACCCAGGAGGCGGAGGTTGCAGTGAGCCAAGATCGTGCCATTGCACTCCAGCCAGGGCAATAAGAGCAAAACTCCATCTCAAAAATAAATAAATAAATACATAAATACATAAATTATCTGTTTCCAACGTAACTGGCATCCTGTTTTGTTTTTAAGAGACAGGGTCTTGTTATGTTGCCCAGGCTGGAGTGCAGTGGCTGTTCACAGGCTCAATCATGGCATACCACAGCCTCAAACTCTCAGCCTCAGGCAATCCTCCTGCCCCAGTCTCCAGAGTAGCTGGGATTGCAGGTATACGCCACTATTCCCAGCTGGCATCCTTTATTTTTATTTGCTAAACCTGGTAGTTCTAAGAGTGACACATGCCTGCCTGGTGTCAGTGCCTCATGAAAGCACAGGGAGGCAGGAGGAGAAACCTAGGATATGTTCAGCCTGCCTCTGGGCACAGTCTGTCCTGGAGAAGGAAAGGTCCCCGAGGACAGGGGCTAGACCTGGTGAGCCTGCTGACTTGGGGCAGACATGTCCACAGTGCCACGTGCAGATGAGACTCCACAGAGGCTCTGGCTGGCAGGGCTCTCACAGATCAGGACAGACAGTGAGCTACAGATTCCATGTTAAGCCTCTTCACTTCCATTCCCACTGCCCTGGGTCAGGGACTTAAGACCTTTTCCTAAACTGACTTCCCTGTTTCTGGCCTTTCTCTGTCCAGATGACACTGCATGGTGCTCAACCCTCTTCCTAGAGCCCGAATTTAACTCTTACTATTATTATTATTTTTTTGAGACGGAGTCTCACACTGTTGCCTGGGCTAGAGTGCAGTGGCGCAATCTCAGCTCACTGCAATCTCTGCCTCCCAGGTTCAAGCAATTCTCCTGCCTCAGCCTCCCTAGTAGCTGGGATTACAGGCACCCGCCACCACGCCCAGCTAATGTTTTCTATTTTTAGTAAAGACAGGGTTTCACCATGTTGGCCAGGCTGGTCTCGAACTCCTGACCTTGTGATTCGCCCGCCTCGGCTTCCCAAAGTGCTGGGATTACAGGCGTGAGCCACCGCGCCCGGCCCAAAATTTAACTCTTGCTTTTTTTTTTTTGAGACGGAGTCTCCCTCTGTCGCCCAGGCTAGAGTGCAGTGGTGCGATCTTGGCTCACTCACCGCAACCTCTGCCTCCCAGGTTCAAGCAATTCTCCTGCCTCAGCCTCCCAAGTAGCTGAGACTACAGGTGCATGCTACCACGCCTGGCTAATTTTTTTTTTTGTATTTTTAGTAGAGACGGGGTTTCACCATGTTAGCCAGATGGTCTTGATCTCCTGAACTTGCGATCCGCCCGCCTCGGCCTCCCAAAGTGCCGGGATTACAGGCATGAGCCCCTGTGCCCGGCCAGCAAACTCTTCTTGTAAAGGACCAGATGGTAAATATTTTAGACTTTAGATTTCTTTTTTTTTTTTTTTTTGAGACGGAGTCTCGCTTTTTTGCCCAGGATAGAGTGAAGTGGTGTGATCTCAGCTCACTGCAATCTCTGCCCCTGGGGTTCAAGCGCCTCAGTCTCCCAAAGTGCTAGGATTACAGGCGTGAGCCACCACGCCCAGCGGACTTTAGATTTCTTTTTGAGGGGATAACAATTTGCAAAGTTGGGGGATCCCTTTCATCAAAATGGATTACAAATGTTCATTGTTAATTCTGATTCTATAATACATACATATATATTATACACACACACACACACACACACACACACACACACATTTTTCTTTTTATAAGGCAGGGGCTCGCTCTGTTGCCCAGGCTGGAGTGCAGCGGCTCAAGCAGGGCTCACTGCAGCCTTAACCTCCTGAGCTCAAGTGATCCTCCCACCTCAGCCTCTGGAGTAGCTGGACTATAGGCGCGTGCCCCCATGCCCAGCTAAATTTTTTTTATTTTTAGTACAGATAAGATCTCGCTATGTTACCCGGGCTGGTCATGAACTCCTGAGCTCAAGTAATCCTCCCCTGCTTTGACCTCCCAAAGTGCTGGGATTACAGGTGTGAGCCACCACACCTGGCCTGTAATGAGATTTTTATGTATTTCATCTTTGAAAATGTCTTTTCACATACATAGGTATTGCTAAATGCTGATAACATTCCACAAGCATGTGGGCTTGTTTTTTTTTTTTTTTTCCTTTTTGAGACAGTCTCACTCTGTCACCCAGGCTGGAGTGCAGTGGCGCAATAGCTCACTGCAGCCTCAACCTCCTGGGCTCAGGCGATCCTCCCACTTCAGCCTCCCAGGTAGCTGGGACCACAGCCACCATGCCCAGCTAATTTTTGTATTTTTTGTAGAGATGGGGTTTCACTGTGTTGCCAAGGCTCAAGCATATAATATTTTTTTTTTTTTTTTGAGATGGAGTCTCGCTCTGTGCCCAGGCTGGAGTGCAGTGGCGCAATCTCAGCTCACTGCAAGCTCTGCCTCCTGGGTTCACGCCATTCTCCTGCCTCAGCCTCCCAAGTAGCTGGGATTACAGGCGCCTGCCACCACGCCCGGCTAATTTTTTGTATTGTTAGTAGAGACGGGGTTTCACTGTGGTCTCGATCTCCTGACCTCGTGATCCACCCGCCTTAGCCTCCCAAAGTGCTGGGATTACAGGCGTGAGCCACTGCACCCGGCCAAGAATATAATTTTTATTCAGGATATCCATCTCTTAGATGACAATTGTAGAATTCTACTAATTTTTTTTTTAAGACAGAGTCTCGCTCTGTTGACCAGGCTGGAGTGCAGTGGCGCAATCTCGGCTCACTGCAACCTCTGCTTCCCAGGTTCAAGCGATTCTTCCTGCCTCAGCCTCCCGAGTAGCTGGGATTACAGGTGCCCGTGACCACACCTGGCTAATTTTTGTATTTTTTAGTAGAGACAGTGTTTCACCATATTTGCCCAGGCTGGTCTTGAACTCCTGACCTCAGGTGATCCGCCCGCCTCAACCTCCCAATGTGCTGGGATTACAGGCATGAGCCACCATGCCTGGCCAGAATTCTATTAATCTTAATACTTCTCTTTTAATCTCTTCCAGTTGAAGATTTGGCATAAACTCAGTTGCGCAGATTAATGGATTTTTTATTTTTATTTTTTAGATGGAGTCTCACTCTGTCGCCCAGGCAGGAGTGCAGCAGCGTGATCTCAGCTCACTGCAACCTCTGTCTCCCACACTCAAGCGATTCCCCTGCCTCAGCCTCCTGAGTAGCTGGGATTACAGGCATGCGCTACCACACCTGGCTAATTTTTGTATTTTTTGGTAGAGATGGGGTTTCCCCATCTTGGCCAGGCTGGTCTTGAACTCCTGACCTCAAGTGATCTACCCACCTTTGCCTCCCAAAGTGCTGGGATTATAGGCATAAGCCACCACGCCCACCCAGTGGATTTCAAATTAGAGAAATTTCCTTTGTGTTCACATTGAGATGCAAAATCCCTGATAGAACTATAGCCTGCATTTGGAACATGTGTGTAGGAATGGAGAGCTTGCCTTTGTTTTCACTTTTGCCAGCACAGGAAGTATACAAGGCAGTTTAACATGACATATGATTTAAACATTTGCTGTCATCAACATGACTTCCCTGAAGCATAGGGTTTGCATAAGCACTGTTTTACTTTGGAGTTTTAGGTTGAATTCATTAACAAACATTACCTAGTCTGCAGCAAAAGCTAATTTCCAAAGCCATTCAGCATTCAATAGTGGTTGGGAGCGATTCTCCTCATTCAGAAAATTTTCAATCTCAGCCCTGAGCTCAAAAAGTTGAAAGAAAACTACCACTGCTAAGCCATCAAACTACTGCGCGGCAGGGCACATCAGAATATTCAGCTTCTATTTCTGACAAAAACTTATGGAACTGATGATGATTCACAAAACCAAGTAAAATTACTGATGCTAAGAGTTCAATAACACATGATAAATTAAGATATTTTCTGCAAAGTACCTGCTGATGAATAACACAATGAATAAACCACCTTACATTTTCACAAGTTTTGTAAATTTGTCCAATTATTCTTCCGCTGTACACATATTTTTACCACCACCAGCTGTAAAAGATACTAGCAGATTACACTTTAGGTTGTACTGAATTAGTGTTTTCTTAGCTGTGGACTCACCGACAGCCAGGAAAAACCACATGAAATCGGCCTTCTTTTTGATGATGTCTGGCTCTGTCACCAGGCTGAAATGCAGTGGCGTGATCTAGGCTCACTGCAACCTCCGCCTCCCGGGTTCAAGTGATTCTTCTGCCTCAGGCTCCCAAGTAGCTGGGACTACAGGTGCCTGCCACAATGCCCAGCTAAATTTTTTTGTATTTTTTAGTAGAGACGGGGTTTCACCGTGTTGGGAGATCGATGGTCTTGATCTCCTGACCTCATGATGTGCCCGCCTTGGCCTCCCAAAGTGCTGGGATTACAGGTGTGAGCCACCGCGTCCGGCCTGTAATTTTTGTATTTTTAGTAGAGACGAGGTTTCACCATGTTGGCCAGGGTGGTCTCAATCTCCTGACCTCGTGATCCGCCCACCTTGGCCTCTCAAAGTGCTGGGATTACAGGTGTGAGCCACCGCGTCCGGCCTGTAATTTTTGTATTTTTAGTAGAGACGAGGTTTCACCATGTTGGCCAGGGTGGTCTCAATCTCCTGACCTCGTGATCCGCCCACCTTGGCCTCTCAAAGTGCTGGGATTACAGGTGTGGGCCATGGTGCCCGGCCTTCTTTTTTAATTGACTACTGACATTGCTCCTAATGTCCTCAACATTTTGAGACACTGTTCCTGCTGAAAAGCTAACACTCTCAAACAAAAATGTGTTTTATCTGGACACACTTCTCCAGCTGCTGCAGTCAAACACAATTTAATTAACTCAACATCAGTAAATGGCTTTCCTTGCCTAGCTAACAAATGAGCCACTCAGAAACCTGCTTCAGTTGTAGCCTGCAACTGAAACTACAAAAATGTAGTTTTAATTCTTGTGAAGAAATTCTGCTGTAAGGAAATATTCCTAGCTGCATGCAGTGGCTCATCCCCGTAATCCCAGCAACACAGGAGGCGGAGGTGGGAGGATCACCTGAGCCTAGGAGTTTGAGGGCAACATAGCAAGACCCCATCACTAAAACAGTTTTAAAACATTTTTTTAAAAAACTAAGCCAGGCATGCACCTGTAGTCCCAGCTACTTGGGAGGCTGAAGTGAAAGGATCACTAAACCCAAGAGTTTGAGGTTGCAGTGAGCTACGGTTGCACCACTGCATGCCAGCCTGGGTGACAGAGCGAGACCCTGTCTCAAAAAAAAAAAAAAAAAAAAAAAAAAAAAAAAAAGACATCTGTGCTGAAAAAATCCATCAGCATTATCAGACAAAGCACTTATCACAAGATTCCCAGAAAAGCAAGCAATGGTCAGAAAAAAATTTTTAGGTCAGGCGCAGTGGCTCACTCCTGTAATCCCAGCCCTTTGGGAGGCCAAGGCGGGCAAATCACTTAGGGTCAGGAGTTTGACGCCAGCCTGGCCAACATGGAGAATCCCATCTCTACTAAAAATACAAAAAATTACCCAGGCGTGGTGGCTCACACCTATAATCCCAACTACTTGGGTGGCTGAGGCACAAGAATCACTTGAACCAGGGAAGTTGAGGTTGCAATGAGCTGAGCGCACCACTGTACTCCAGCCTGGGCATCAGAGCAAGACTCTGTCTCCAAAAAAAAAAAAAAGGCTGGGGGGAGCCGGGTGCAGTGGCTCACACCTGTAATCCCAACACTTTGCGAGGCTGAGACGGGTGGATCACAAGGTCAGTAGTTCAAGACCAACCTGGCCAATATGGTGAAACCCCGTCTCTACTAAAAATACAAATTAGCCAGGTGTGGTGGCGGGCGCCTGTAGTCCCAGCTACTCAGGAGGCTGAGGCAGGAGAATCGCTTGAGCCCAGGAGGTGGAGGCTGCAATGAGCAGAGATCATGCCACTTCACTCCAGCCTGGGCGACAGAGTGATCTCAAAAAAAAAAGGAAAAATAAATTTTAAAGGAATATTTCCTTCTTTATTTAAATAAAGAGACAGGGTCTCACTCCGTTACCAGGCTGGAGTGCAGTAGTGTAATCACAGCTCATTGCAATCTTGACTCCTGGGCTCAAGGTGTCCTCCTGCCTCGGTCTCCCAAAGTGCTGGGATTACAAGCATAAGCCACCATGCCCAGTCACAGCTATCTTTATTATTGGGTGCTTTGCCACCAAATGTGTTAACAAATAATCCACATGCCACCGAGCCTTAAAAGTAAAATACTTGAAGTGCATTTTTCTCTTCCTCTCTTCTTTTGACATAAGAGGTATGCACTGGTGATGAAGAACGTATAAAACATGGTATGCTGGCTGGGTGCAGTGGCTCACACCGGTAATCCCAGCACTTTGGGAGGTCGAGGCGGGCGGATCATGAGGTCAGGAGATCGAGACCATCCTGGCTAACATGGTGAAACCCCGTCTCTACTAAAAATACAAAAAATTAGCCGGGCGTGGTGGCTGGCGCCTGTAGTCCCAGCTACTCAGGAGGCTGAGGCAGGAGAATGGTATGAACCCGGGAGACAGAGCTTGCAGTGAGCCCAGATCACGCCACTGCACTCCAGCCTGGGCGACAGAGTGACACTCCGTCTCAAAAAAAACAAAAAATGTGGTATGCTGACACGTGCAGCAATGAGAAGCAATGAGCATCACATATAGTCAGTCTCCTGTTGCAACTACTTGAGTCTGTAGTTGAAGTGCACAAGCAGCCAAGACAACAGAGAAACGAATGAGTGCAGGTTCAAAGGAAGCGTTATTTTATTTATTTTTTATTTTTTGAGACAGAGTCTCGCTCTGTCACCCAGGCTGGAGTGCAGTGGCGCGATCTCAGCTCACTGCAAGCTCTGCCTCCTGGGTTCATGCCATTCTCCTGCCTCAGCCTCCCGAGTAGCTGGGATTACAGGCGCCCGCCACCATGCCCAGCTAATTTTTTTATTTTTAGGAGAGGCGGGGTTTCACTTTATTAGCCAGGATGGTCTCAATCTCCTGACCTCATGATCCGCCCGCCTCGGCCTCCCAAAGTGCTGGGATTACAGGCATGAGCCACCGCGCCCAGCCCAAAGGAAGCTTTATTTAGGGACTCTTTGAAATTCATACAATCGTCACATCACGAAATATCTTTTCAACCATTGAAAAAATGTGAAGGGAGGGCACAGTGGCTCATGCCTGTAATCCCAGCACTCTGAGAGGCCAAGGCGGGTGGATCGCTTGAGCTCAGGAATTGGAGACCAGCCTGGGCAATGTGGCAAAACGCTGTCTCTACCAAAAAAATACAAGAATTAGCCGGGTGTGGTGGTGCACACCTATAGTCCCAGCTACTCAGGAGGCTGAGGCAGGAGGATTCTTTGAGCCTGGGAGGTCGAGACTGCAGTGAGCCAAGATTGTGCCACTGCACTCCAGCCAGGAGGATAGACTGAGACCTGTCTCAAAAGAAAGTGAAAACAATTCTTACCTTGTGGGCCTTAAAAAAGCAGGCAGCAGGCTGGATTTGGCATGCAAGCCGGTTTGCTGACCTCTGCTCTACACTTGGGTTTTTTTGTCTTTTTTTTCCCCTTTTTGTGGAGAAAGGGGGCTCGCTGTATTGCCTGAGCAGGTCTCAAACTCCTGGGCTCTAGCTATCCTCTGGCCTCTGCTCCCTAAGTGCTGGGATTACAGGTGACCTCTGCGCTAAACAGTTGGTATGCCCCATCACATCACAGCCTTACATTTCCATACTTTTGATCATGTTGTCCCCTGGGTCTAGATCACCCTGAGGGTTCCCTGGCCCTGCCTGCCCCCGCTTCCATGTTCCTACTGCACTATGTGAATACTGCTGGTACAGCCACCACAGTGGATTCTGACTGTTTTGTACACTGCCACATCGATCATCTTTGTACCCCTGCACAGAGCTGACCCACAGCAGGTGCTTGAGATGTGGGAAGTGAAAAGAAAAGCAAAAAGCACCCCAAGTGGTAGAAACCTGGTACAAAAGCAGCTCTGCACGAACCCAGCAAAACACAGAGGAGCAACTCCAACCTCTGACTTAGATACATCTCCTGGCAATTAACTCAGTAAGCTCTCTCTTCCACATCACGTCTGCTCAGCTTTGTTCCTCACCTGAACACTAAAATTGAGATCTTCCGCCTCACACACAGAGTCGGTTGCTGGCATCTGGCTCTTTTGTCATTGGTGCTGGGAATGTGCAGAGACCATTACAGATTAACTTTTTTGAAAAAGGGTCTCATTCTGTCACCCAGGCTGAAGTGCAGTAGTGCAATTACAGGTCACTGCAGCCTCCCAGGCTCAAGCAATCCTCCCACCTCAGCCTCCCGAGTAGTTGGGACTACAGGCACCTGCCACCCCACCCAGCTAATTTTTGTATTTTTTTGTAGAGATGAGGTTTCGCCATGTTGCCCAGGCTGCTCTCAAACTCCTGACCTCCAGCAACCCTCTTTTTTTTTTTTGTTTTTGAGATGGAGTCTCGCACTATCGCCCAGACTGGAGTCCAGTGGCCCGATCTCGGCTCACTGCAAGCTCCGCCTCCTGGGTTTGCACCATTCTCCTGCCTCAGCCTCTGAGTAGCTGGGACTACAGGCGCCCGCCACCACGCCTGGCTAATTTTTTTGTATTTTTAGTAGAGACGGGGTTTCACTGTGTTAGCCAGGATGGTCTCGATCTCCTGACCTCATGATCTGCCTGCCTCAGCCTCCCAAAGTGCTGGGATTACAGGCGTGAGCCACCGTGCCCAGCAAGCAACCCTCTTTAGTCTCTCAAAGTGCTGGGATTACAGGTATGAGCCACCATGCACAGCCACTACAGATTAATTCCTGTTTCTATTTCCTCCAACAACCAATGGGTATCATGATGACTACTGACAAAAGCTGGGTATCGGCCAGGCATGGTGGCTCATGCCTGTAATCCCAGCACTTTCAGAGGCCAAGGCAGGTGGATCACCTGAGGCCAGGAGTTCGAGATCAGCCTGGTCAACATGGCAAAACCCCATCTCTACTAAAAATACAAAAATTAACCGTGGTTTGGTGTAGTGGCACATGCCTATAATCCCAGCACTTTGGGAGGCCAAGGTGGGTAGATCACCTGAGGTCAGGAGTTCAAGACCAGCCTGGCCAACAGGGCAAAACCTTATCTCTATTAAAAATGCAAAAATTAGGCCAGGCGTGGTGGCTCTTGCCTGTAATCCCAACACTTTGGGAGGCTGAGGTGGGGGGATCACCTGAGGTCAGTTCGAGACCAGCCTGGCCAACGTGGCGAAACCCCGTCTCTACTAAAAAATACAAAAATTAGCTGGGTGTGGTGGCACACACCTGTAATCCCAGCTACTCGGGAGGCTGAGGCAGGAGAATCGCTTGAACCCGGGAGGCGGAGATTGCAGTGAGCCGAAATCGTGCCATTGCACTCCAGCCTGGGTGACAAGAGCAAGACTCTGTCTTAAAAAAAAAAAAAAAAAAAAAGAGCTGTGGTCAATCTTTTTGTGGAGTGCATGTCTGCATGAATGTCCACCCTGTATGTTTTGTTTGTTTATAATCTGATTTGGACAAACCTACAGATTTGAGTACAGAGACATATAGGCAAGACAATGATGGCCTCCAGACAACTAAGACAAGCCAACAGAAAGAGATGGCGCTGCAACACCAGATTTGCTCAGGACTTCATGAATCCCGGAACATGCAGTGAACAGCAAGATGTAAGCCCAACAAAAGGGACAAGAGATTGAGCCGGTGGAATAACTCACTCTGGATGCCCCTCAGCCTTGGGTAATGGGCCATGAGTTTTCAAGATGGAGCGGCCAGTGAGGAAACACCTGTTCCTGCAGCTCCTGCTGCTCTCCTGGCCACTTAGTGTCACTACTCATGACCCTCACACAGCAGCTGGCAAAGACAGGGCAATCTGACAGATCTGCCCATATCCCTAATAAGCTACTAATGTTCATTTTATTACAGCCAGTCTTATAAAAATTGAATTTCATCTTTTTCAACAAGTATAGGCCAGGTGTGGTAGCTCATGCCTGTAATCCCAGCACTTCGGACAGCCAAGGCGGGCGGATCGCCTGAGGTCAGGAGTTCGAGACCAGCCTAGCCAACATGGGGAAACCCCATCTCTACTAAAAATACAAAAATTACCTGGGTATGGTGGCACATGCCTGTAGTCCCAGCTGCTTGGGAGGCTGAGGCAGACAACTGCTTGAGCCTGGGAGGCAGAGGTTGTAGTGAGCCGAGATTGCGCCACCGCACTCCAGCCTGGGGGACAGAGTGAAACTCCATCTCAAAAACAAAAACAAAAACAAAAAACAAATATATACAAGCTTTAACATGAATATAGGATCTTTTTAAAAAGCAAGACATAGTCCTAATCTTAAACATTCTTTATTGAAATCTAACCACAATATGATAGGATTCTGCAACTAGCACTAAAGGAAAGGAAAAACAAAAAGCCAAAAAACCTGTCATTTTTGAAGATTATTTGTAGTATCCAAAGGCTCAAATGATGCTTGTCTATAATCTCCTGCTTTCCATGTTAACCCTGCTAGCTACTTCTTTCCTTCCCCCACATATAACTCCTAAAAAGAAATGTAGTCACTGAGATCATAATTCACGGCTTATCAAAGGTTCTTTAAGTTTAAGAATAAAGTATGTTTTACCCTCAAAGAGAATATTGTAAGAGCATATGAGCCATGGGTTAAAATTCTAAATTATTTATCCAAGTATGTATATGTTTGTTACAAGCTGCTAAAAATCTTTCCTTATTTTTGCAAATCTGATAGGTAAACTATTATCAGTTCTACATTCCATATTTATAAGGATATACATACACATTCTGATACCAAACATGACCCAGAAACCATACAACTTTGTAACAGTAACCACATTGGTGGGAGTTACTAAAAATGGCTTTTAGTTTAGGCTGGGTGTGGTGTCTCAGGCCCAGCACTTTGGGGAGCAGAGGCAGGACGACTGCTTGAGGCCAGAAGTTCCAGACCAGCCTGGCAACACAGTAAGAACCTGACTTCACAAAACAAATTTAAAAATAAAAAATTAGTCGGGTATGGTGGTAAACACCTGCAGTCCCAGCTACTCAGGAGGCTGAAGTGAGAGGATCATTTGAGCCCAGGAGTTCAAGGCTGCAGTGAGCTATGATTACGTCACTGCACTCTAGCCTGGGTGACACAGTAAGACCATATCTCAAAAAAAAAAAAAAAAGCTTTAAATATTTGGATGGATCTGACACACTACACAGCTATAGAGATGTGGCTTCCAAATCTTCTAAAGTGATCCTGATTTAGAATATTCTCTCTGGCAGAAAAAGCAAGCTCAGGGAGTATTATTCAGGCAAATAAAATAAGTGTCTGGTGAATTTGTAAGTGTGTCTGAACCTTTAAGGGAGTCTTTGATCCCACACTGGCCTTTAGTCAGAGTAAATACAATATGATCTTATGGCTACTATGAAGCTCCTAGATGCGATGAAACTCCCTACCGCACCTGGGCACACACGCCCGTGCACACACACACAGCAACCCACAGTTCAAGTGCTACGGGCACTCAAGCAAGTCAGTGTTTTACAGTGGGGGAGCCAATCACTGGCAATTATTTCAGCCCACTTTTCACTGGGGCTCACTGGAACTTTCTGACACCTGTGAGCTGTCCTGGCCCCAAGAACTAACAAGAGCCAGGAAGGGTGTGCAATTAGTCCTGTGTGTCCATGGTCCCTTCTTTCTATAACTGTCCCCTTGCCCTGTGGGGCCTAGAGCTGGTGAAACTGAGGAAGATTCATATAAGGGTCACTCACGTCACTGATGTTAGAGAATATTCGAGAGTACTACAAACCCCCGTTCATCCTCCCCCAAATTATATAATACCTTGACTTTATCCAAAGTTTTTCTGGCCAGGCATGGTGGCTCACACCTGTAATCTCAGCACTTTTGAGAGGTCAAGACGGGCAGATCACTCGAGGTCAGGAGTATGAGACCAGCCTGGCCAACATAGCGAAACCCCGTCTCTACTAAAAATACAAAAATTAGCCAGGTGTGGTGGCGCGTGCCTGTAATCTCAGCTACTCAGGAGGCTGAGGCACTACAATCACTTGAACCCGGGAGGCGGAGGTTGCAGTGAGCGGAGATCACACCACTGCACTCCAGCCTGGACAACAGAGCGAGACCCTGTCTCAAAAACCAAAAACAACAACAACAACAACAACAACAAAAAGCCCACAAAGTTTTTCTGTACATAGCTAACCTGAAAAAGCTAGCCTGGAAAACCTCCAGTTTTATGACCCTTTAGTAATATGTTTAAACTAACATGTTCTTTGTACATTGTTTTCTGTACAACAACGTATTTGGCCCTAAACTGCATGGGTCAGTTTAGAACACACATCCATCATGTAAGATACAAGCAGTATGATGGAGGCGCTACAAAGACTGGAGAATGAAATAAGAATTCAAGTGGACGTGGAAGAGAGAACTGTTCTCTGAAGATGCTGCTGCCCCGTGCGTGCCCTAGGAACTGAAGGATCTATTTTAGTGTGGATGCAACTAAAGAAGGCATTCAATCAGGGCTGTTGAAGCAAGGAGCAATGCAACTGAAAGCAGTGACTAGGGCCCTGTTCAAATAATGGCGGAGAACAGTACCTACGCTGTGCTAAGTGCCAAGCACTGTTTTAAGCGCTTTACATGTATGAACTCATTTATTTCACCCTTATAACAACCCCATGAGACAGGTAATATTCCTATTCTCAGGAAACTGATACACAAAGAGGTAAGTCACTTGCCCAAGATCTCACAGCTAGTAACTGACAGAGCTGGGCCTCAAACCCAGGTGGTGTGACCCTGGAGTCAGTACTCTTAACTACCATGCTGACTATTAACTAAGCATTTTTTTTTTTTTTTGAGACGGAGTTTCACTCTTGTTGCCCAGGTTGGAGTGCAATGGCGTGATCTCGGCTCACCGCAACCTGCGCCTCCTGGGTCCTAGTGATTCTCCTGCCTCAGCCTCCCTAGTAGCTGGGATTACAGGTGCCCGCCACCACACCCAGCTAGTTTTTTGTATTTTTAGTAGAGACGGGGTTTCACTATGTTGGCCAGGCTGGTCTCGAGCTCCTGACCTCAGGCAATCCACCCGCCTCAGCCTCCCAAAATGCTGGGATTACAGGCGTGAGCCACCATGCCCGGCTAACTAAACATTTCTTAACTGAGCTAAAGGAAAAACAACAGTAGTAGCAAATAAGCCTCAGTGACTCTCTGAAAGCTGTTTAGAATATGTCAGAGAGTTTCGGACAGGCCATAACTACAATACCATAAAATAAGTTGCTGAAATAAAAACAGAAATGTTCACTTTAGCATGCTCTACTGGATATTTAATATACATTTTTGTATTCATTATAAAGTACTCTTACTTCAATAGTAAAACAGACGTTACTTTGTTTTTAATCAGGAAATACAAGTACCAGTCTCTAATTTATATTATATTTAGATGGTCTGATTCACACAAATCCTGAAGTGACAGGTCACCAGATGCCTGGCACCTCTTAACAGTAAAAGTGACATCAGAAACGTATAGTAATGTTCTTACCAAAATTAATAAATGCTTAGATATAAGAACGACTACTTAAAACTTCTAAGTCACAAAACACCATGCTAAAGGTTTTTATCAACCTCTTCTTTACAGAACATAACTACTTCTCTTATGTGGGGGTAGACTTGTGAATAGGCCAAAATTTCATAGGAAGGTGGGACATGGACCTTCCCCCTCCTTATTAAAAGTCATTTTGTCAGGACTTATGGTGGCTATATGGTGTTTCAAATGCTAACAGGAAACAAATGAGTCAACTTATGCACATGAAAAGCAAACTGTGAATAAAGAATAAGGAAGGGGAGGAAACAGTTCAATAAGTTCAGATACGACTTGATGATACTGTCACAGGCTGTCACAGGCCTCAGTATCTTCTTTATGTCCTAAAGAAATTGAGCCACCAACAGGAAAAAAGGTCACCTCACAGAGAATGCTGTGAGATTTTTAAGTTGCTAGACTCCTTTCCATCTTCTCCTTCTCCTCAGCTCTTGATACTGCTGTCAAATTCTACACACTGGCAAAGAAAAAAGGGGTGAAAGTTGAGGGATTTTATAGAGAAATAATAAAAAGTTTGTTGTGATTACTTGAACTAATATAGTATAGCCATTGATATCATTTTAAATGCCTAAAACACATGGCCTGTCCTTAAAGAAATGCCCATGTAAACCTTAAAACACTCACGATACCTGAAGAATGGACTCTATTACATTTTAGCAGGACAGCAAACTTCTCTTCCACCTCCCACCCACCCCAGGAAGTAGACATGATTCATCTTATGAAGGCATTGCTAAAAATCTGCTTGTTCCCTGGAATGGCTATCAAGTTGGAGACAAGGTAAAGTATAATTACCAGCACCTAAGAGTCTCAAACTTGTTTTCTGAATACGTATTTCTTATCTCAAAACATCTCCACAGACTTATAACATGGCGGCATTCAACTAGAATAGATACACAGGGCCTAAGCCACTGAGAAAGCTGGGAAAAGGGCACCAAGGAGCTTTGCGCAAACCACAGGCTTTCCCACACTGAACCACTGTTGCTGAGCCTTGGCAATAGGCCATGCGCTTGAAGCCCTCTCTATGGTAAGAGGGACTCATATACACTGATTTTTTAATTAACTTTTTAACAATTTGAGATATAATTCAGAGAGCACTCAAACTCACCACTTGTACATTTCAGTGGTTTTTAGTGTATTCACCCACATTATGTAACCTTCACCATATCTAATTCCAGAATATTTCCATCACTCCCAAAATCACCCTGTACCTATTATCCCATGCACTTTCTCCACAGATACCTCTGCTGCCTATGCAGGTATTTTAAGATGACTGGCTGGGGTGAATCTATAGAGTTATCTATATGGTAAGAAAACAAGAAGCTACATTGTCCAGAGGGATAGTAAACCTAAATTCTTGGCATTGTTAGCAATTAGGCTAATGTAATTTTTATATATTGGCTAAGAATGGCAGAGAAACTTACATTCAACATCCATCTTCACATAACAATTAGTGTGACCCAAATTCATCCAAGATGTTAAAAGGGAAGACAATCTACTAGGATTAGCCATAACTGTCCATAGTTGCAATCTCAAAACAGAGAAGATGCATACGGATAGTGGGAAAACCTCCTTTAGTATCAACCATAGCTGGATTAAAAAAAACAAAAACAAAAACAAAAAAACTTAATCATTAAGCAAATATTGCCCAGTGTGGGAAAATAATCACTAGACCAGTCCACTATTTAATGTAATGCAGCTTTAAATGCAACCTTACTGTCATCACTCTTGACCTGGAGTCTCTCCTAATGAGAAAAATTACCTTTAGGTAAAGGTCTGGCAGGAAAGCCTGCAGATGTGTGCTGTGCTGCTCAGGCTGTGGCAGGGCTCTAGTTACCTAAGCGTGCTCATGGCTTCTAAGACACACAGGAAAGAGACCTCACCTTCAGGCATCAGGGTGTTGAAAAGCGGGAGGACGTGTAGGTCCACGAGGGTATCTTGCTTTTGTGCACTTATCTGGGGTGCTATTTGCAGAGAAGGAGCTCCTTTATAGAGTGTGCCCAAGATGGATTTCTCTAAGTTGCTCTCAGAGTTGTCCAGCTGCCCTCACCAATAAGTCACAGTCTTTGTAGGATGATAGAAACCACCAGTCAAAGCAGATGCATATGGGTTGTGGGGAAGCCTTCTTTAGTATCTAACATAGCTGGATTAAAACAAAAAAACTTAACCATTAAGCAAATCTTGACTTTAATAATTTAGATAATAGCAAATATCAACTAGGTGTTAAGTTTAAGAATCTACCCTTAGCAAGGGCACTTAACACTTAACGGGGATTTTGTGGGATTAAATGAAGGCTACAATGAGCTCCTAATTTCTGTCCTGCAAGAAATTAGTTCTACTTGATAAACAAGTAAATAAGATCCAGAAATGTTTATTGGTAATGTAGCTCGTTCTCACTGAGGTTGCTCAGCAACGCTTCCAATGACTTCTGTTGTGCAACAAGTAGTACTCTACTAATGCATGCACGATTTTATTGTAATTTGCAATAATGACTTAAATACATGTTCATGTCCAGGATTTTCCAAAATACAATCAGATGCAATCAAGTGAAGTTAATGACATTTACGTAATACATAAACTGACAAAACTGCCTGAAAAGAGTTATCTATGGAAGTATTGCTACATTATCTTTGTTTAATTCGATGCCCAGGAAACCAGTCCTAAATTTAAATGATGCCTAGATAGATGAAGCTATAAAGTATTTATTCTCTGTCGACCTATAAGAAATCACCAAGTGGCCAGAAAACTCCTGCAAACCTTCACTAAACTAGAATTTCATTTTCCTTTAACATGAGGGCATTAAAATTAAGAAGTCTGAGAACCGACTGCAGTCACTGCAGTTGAAGGCATGAAGACATGATTAGTCTTTGAGGTATACTTCCTCTCATGGGGTCAAAACAATGAGGTCAGAAACTTGGAGAGTTTAATATTTATTTATTTATTTTTATTTTATTATTTTTTTCAAGCCAGAGTCTCGCTCTGTTGCCCAGGCTGGAGTGTAGTAGTGTGATCTCGGCTCACTGCAACCTCCGCAACCTCCGCCTCCTGGGTTCAAGCGATTCTCCTGTCTCAGCCTCCCGAGTAGCTGGGATTACAGGCATGCACCACCACGCCCAGCTAATTTTTGTATTTTTAGTAGAGATGGAGTCTTGCCGTGATGGCCAGGCTGGTCCCGAACTCCTGACCTCAAGTGATCCACTCGCCTCGGCCTCCCAAAGTGTCAAGATTACAGGCGTGAGCCACCACGCCCAGCCAATTATTTATTTATTTTTCAGATAGGGTCTTGCTCTGTCACCCAGGCTGGAGTGCAGTAACACAATCTTGGCTCACTGTAGCCTCTATCTCCTGGGCTCAGGGATCCTCCCACCTCGGCCTCCTGAGTATCCAGGACCACAGATGCACACCACCACACCAGGCTCGTTTTTTTAATTTTTAGTAGAGAGGAGGTCTTGCTATGTTGCCCATGCTGGTCTGGAACTCCTGGGCTCAAGTGATCCTCCTGCCTCAGCTTCCCAACGAGTTGGGACTATAGCTAGCATACCCAGCTGGATATTTCAGATGGTAGTTTTTCTGTGACCTTTCAAGAATAAACTTTTTTTTTCCCTTGAGATGGAGTCTGGCTCTGTTGTCCAGGCTGGAGGGCAGTGGCGAGATCTCGGCTCACTGCAACCCCCGCCTCCTGGGTTCAAGCAATTCTCCTGCCTCAGTGTGTGCCACCACACCCAGCTAATTTTTGTATTTTATTTTTTTGTTTTTGTTTGAGACGGAGTCTAGTCCTGTCACCCAGGCTGGAGTGCAATGGCGCGATCTCGGCTCACTGCAACCTCCGCCTCCCAGGTTCAAATGATTCTCCTGCCTCAGCCTCCTCAGTAGCTGGGATTACAGGCGCCCGCCACCATGCCCAGCTATTTTTTTGTATTTTTAGTAGAGACGGGGGTTTTACCACGTTGGCCAGGCTGGTCTCGAACTCCTGACCTCATGATCCGCCCACCTCAGCCTCCCAAAGTGCTGGGATTACAGATGTGAGCTACTACGCCCTGCTCAGCTATACACTTTCAATAGTATAACTGTTAATACAGCAAAAAGCCAAAAGGTAGCTAAACTTGTAGATACATTTTGAGACGTGATTGCTACAAAAGTTCTCCTCATTCTTAAACGTTTTTATAAAACTCTTCCAATATACAAGACAGTATGTTATAAACAAAGCTGAATTAAATTCATTATTTGTCAAATTAAAAGACAAACTGTCTAGTAAAAGGAGGTCACAGGCCAGGCGCAGTGGTTCATGCCTGTAATCCCAGCACTTTGGGAGGCCGAGACGGGCAGATCACGAGTTCAGGAGATCGAGACCATCCTGGCTAACACAGTGAAACCCCATCTCTACTAAAAATACAAAGAATTAGCTGGGCATGGTGGCGGGCGCCTGTACTCCCAGCTACTGGGGAGGCTGAGGCAGAAGAATGCCGTGAACCCAGGAGGCGGAGCTTGCAGTGAGCCGAGATCGCGCCACTGCACTCCAGCCAAGGGCAACAGAGCGAGACTCGGTCTCAGAAAAAAAAAAAGAGGTCATGTGGTTCTTGTATTGGAAGAATAATAATACATATACATTATCGTTTTACTAAGTGCTAAGCAAATACTTGGAGCTGTACAATAAAGGAACTTCTGACATAACTGTTTTCTAAAAGGACTGGATTCCTAAGTCCAGCACAAGTGCCTGCTACACCAATTTGCTGAAAGGATTATTCCAAAGTTTCCCTTAAAGCAAGATTATTCAAGAGTTTAGAAAAAAAAAATCAACAAAATTATCCTTTAAACTATGTTATGAATAATCCTCTTGGTTTAGGAAAAGGAGGGCTCAAACTCTAAGAACTTTAATTTCAGCACAAGAATGAAGGGCAAGAAAGGGAAACCAATGGCAACATAATTTTTTGCTTTTAGTGTATTCAACTGTGTTTGCCAAGATTACTGTTATGGTGAGTGAGACTCAATTATCACACAAGTGTCTCTGGATTATTGCAAAGACTACAGCATGTTACCTAATTTCAAATAACATCAGGTATAAAACTATACAAAATTAATTAATGTATAAGAAAGTCCAGGTGAGGTGGCTCACACCTTCTCAGGCTCACGCCTTCCCATGCCACTGTACACCAGCCTGGGTGACAGAGCAAGATCCTGTCTCTTGCTCTGTCCAACCAACCTGGGTGACAAAAATAAATTTAAAAAAAAAATTAAAAATAAAAATAAAAGTGGCTGGGCGCGGTGGCTCACACCTGTAATCCCAGCACTTTGGGAGGCCGAGGCGGGCAGATCACGAGGTCAGGAGTTCAAGACCAGCCTGACCAACATGGTGAAACCCCATCTCTACTAAAAATACAACTAAATAAATAAATAAAAGTTTAAAAAGGTAAAAAATTTGACAGGCAGACGGGAACAGTGGCTCACGCCTGTAATCCCAGCAGTTTGGGAGGCCAAGGTGGGCGGATCACGAGGTTAGGAGTTCGAGATCAGCCTGGCCAACACAGTGAAACCCTGTCTCTACTAAAAATACAAAAATTAGCCAGCCATGGTGGCGTGTGCCTGCAGTCCCAGCTACTTAGGAAGCTGAAGCAGGAGAATTGCTTAAACCCGGGAGGTGGAGGTTGCAGTAAACTGAGATCACGCCACTGCACTCCAGCTTGGGCAACAGAGTGAGACTTTGTCTCCAAAAAAAAAAAAAAGAAAAAATTGACAGGCAAAAACTTACAAATATTCAAAAGGGGTCTATCTCTGTATTCAAAATGGGATCAATTATTATCAATGATCAATTATTATTCCACTCCGTATGTCCATGTGTACCCACTGTTTACCTCCCAAGCAGCTCAAATTTTCATTTAAAATCAAAATCAAAATGCTCCCGCCCCCTAACTCCCAAGGGCAATAAATGAATTCACCTTATGGGGGTGGAGGGAAGCAGGTATGGTGGTATGTGCCTGTAGTCCCAGCTACTCAGGAGGCTAAGGCAGGACTGCTTGAGCCCAGGAATTCAAGTCCACCTGGTTAACACAGAGAGATCACGTCTCTCTTTTTTTTTTTTTTTGGACCGAGTCTCACTCTGTCACCCAGGTTGGAGTGCAGTGGCACAATCTCTGCTCACTGCAACCTCTGCCTCCTGGGTTCAAGCGATTCTCCTGCCTCAGCCTCCTGAGTAGCTGGGACTGCAGGTGTGTGCCACCAGGCCTGACTAATTTTTTGTATTTTTAGTAGAGACGGGGTTTCCATGTTGGCCAGGTTGGTCTCGAACTCCTGACCTCAAGTGATCCACCCACCTCAGGCTCCCAAAGTGCTGGGATTACAGGTGTGAGCAACCGCACCCTGCCCATGTCTCTTTTAAGAAGAGGAAAAAAAAAAAAAAAGCTGGGTGTGGTGGCCTCCCAGCACTTTGGGAGGCCAAGGCCCAACAGTAGATTGCTTGCGCCTGCTCGATCACAGGAGTTCGAGACTAGGCTGGGCAACATGGCAAAATCACGTCTCTACAAAAAATACCAAAAAAATGTATCCAGGTGTGCCTGTAGTCCCAGCTACTCAGGAGACTGAGGTGGGAGGATCACTTGAGCCAGGGAGGTCGAGGCTACAGTGAGCTGAGATGGTGACACTGCACTATAGCCTGGATGACAGAGACCCTATCTTAAAAAAAAGAAAAAGAAAAATCAGAGCCAGCAAGTGTGCTGGTTCCATCATATGTGTCCTCATGCTCCCTGCACCTCAGCCCTAGGAGGACTAGGGGATGAAGTTTTCCAGGTCATCACAGCTTCTGAATGCTAGTAAGTCTAGCAAGAAAGACCACTGATTTCTATCTCTGATTTTTGGAAATACAAATATAAAAACACACATACATATGAACAGACAAAGAGATAAGAACACCTACAACCTCCCATCAAGCTTGGCTATTTCACCTACTCCTGTTGATTTCCTAAGACACCTCAAGAGCCAGGTCCCATTACTCTATACTTACCCACAAGGAATGGAAAGGCAGGCTTTTTTTTTGTTTTTGTTTCTGTTTTTTGAGACGGAGTTTTGCTCTTGTCGCTCAGGCTGGAGTGCAGTGGCACGATCTCGGCTCACTGCCACCTCCGCCTCCCGGGTTCAAGCGATTCTCCTGCCTCAGCCTCCTGAGTAGCTGGGATTACAGGCGCCCGCCAGCACACCCAGCTAATTTTTTGTATTTTTAGTAGAGACGGGGTTTTGCCATATTGGGCAGGCTGGTCTCTTCACTCCTGACCTCATGCGATCCGCCTCGGCCTCCCAAAATGCTGTGATTACAGGCGTGAGAGCTACCACGCCCGGCAGGAAAGACAGGTTTTAAACAAATGAGCATCAAGAGGACAAAGACTCAGATACTGACATTTAATCAGCTGTTCACTTGTTTCACCTGTCAATTCCAAAATAAGAAAGCCTTTCTATTACAGATTCCATAGTATGCTCAATGACAACACAACACAGAAACACAAGTTGCTGAAGCCAAGACTCTCGTGACTCAAAATGTGTTTATTTTGCTAAAAACAGTGATCTGAGCAACCAGAGATTATAAAGAAGTTCCAATTACGTGAAGTTTCCAGATTCGAAAATCAAGACTACACCATTCAACTCATCAGTAGTCTTTGAGCTAAGAACATCTCACCAAAATCAATGGAAAGACTGCGAAAGATCTCCAGTAAGAAAGGACCAGGAAAGCAATGTCCATATCAGAAAAGGAATGGTTAACGTGAGTCAGACTGTAGTCAAGAAGCTTAAATGATTTCAGCCAACAACAAAGAATCCCACAAAGAAACCATACACTTCCTATAACCAATGTTCCCCAACCCCAGAACAGTTTCCCAAGGTCTTCTATAACAAGAGTTCCTCCTGACTGGTTTGAGTTCTTTCTACTCCAACAGATGATTCTGTTCTTCGTTCACTGAACAACTTAAGAGCTGTTCAACCCCCCAGGTTCCAAAACCTCTCGCAGCTGGGGATCCTTTTAAACATGCACATCACTCAGGAGCCCATGGGGATGAGAGGCATTCACAGAGCATCAGGGAAAATGGAAAGCAACATTTTGCTTAACAGGAGAAACCGCCCCTTATTCATCTTTCTCCCACATCACCTAACTCTAGGGAATGCTTAACGTGGCTTGAAGGAAATGAAGACAGCGACCTAAAAGCACACAGATGCAAGACTTCCAGGAAGAGGTTTTCCCATCCTGCTGGACTCCTGTAGTGTCAGTATTTGGGGCTCCCTCTAATGCTACATTTCTGCTGAGCCTGCAGACATACTTGGAACCCATCACCTTCGGGCTCCCAGACTCAGGCTCCGCACAGCCCGCGAGGGAAACGGTCATGGGCACGCACGGACACGTTTCCATCTTTGCATGTTTATCTACGTCGACTGTGAATTCAAGCAAGTGTGGCCCTCGTGGACAACCTACGAGCCTTAGGGACACAAAAGGCTTCCTGCGCAAACTGCACGGAATCTCCTGACAGGACTTCACGTTAATCATCATTCATAGGTGGGTTCTGGGGCTGGACCCCACGGAACTCCTCTTGGTTGTGTCTTGGACTTCTCACTGCCCCAAAGGAGCCTACTACTGTGGTTTTATGGTCTGAGGAACAGTTAGGCCTCGAAGGCCTGGCCTAGGGAGAGTGCACTCTGCATCCCGAGCTCCCGCCTTCCCCACTCGGCGGCCGGGACCGAGTTTCCCGCCCCACAGCCCGACCAGAGGTTGGTGGCAGTTGGAGGCAGTTGGGACCGGCCCCAGCAGGTTGGAACCGGTCTGGGCCGGGCCGGAGGAGGAAGGGGGGGAGGAAGAGGCCGCCTCGCGCTCTCCCTGCGCGCGTGACTCACGCTGGCCGCTGACGTCAGGCGTGCGCGCGCGGCGGGGGGGGGGGGGCTCTACGTACGTGTAGTGCTGCGGTTTCTCGGGCTGTGCCTGCAGCACCTGAGCGGTAGCGGCCGGGGGCGCCGAGGAAGCTGCGGAGCCGCCGGGCCCGGGGCCCTTCGACATGGTCTTGTCTTCCTGCCTCTTCGCCGCTCCCCTTTTATTATTCAGTCTGCGCGGTCCGCGCCGAGGACCCAGTGCGCCTGCGCCGCGCCACGAGAACGTGAAGACCCCCCACACGGCAGCAGGGGTTGCTGGGAGTTGTGGTTCTATGTCCGGCTGGAATTTTACCGTCGGCAGAGGGTTGCTGGCAAAGCACAGGACCACAATACCCAGGGATCCTTGCTGCTAGTGTCCCGGATGCTGAGGGCCTGCGACGGCTTCTGGGAATTGCAGTCCGGTCGCATTTCTCCTTCTTACCAGCGCGTTTTCAGTTTCATAGGGAAGCCTTTCCATGAAACTGGAGCGCCTGGAGGAGAAGGGGCCCAGAGCTAGGGAGGCCCTAGCGATTTCTGCGAAAGAGTTCCAAGTATAATTTCACTGCCAACAGTGTCATAACTACTTTGCCTTTATACTTAGTACAGCTAGGTTCGGTTCTAATGCCAGCTCAGAGCAGTGCTCCAAGCAGGGCTTAAGAATCTGTGTTGTCGGTTCTTAGTTCTGGGCCCTGTGCTGCAGGCACCTGCAATCCGCCAGCAACCCCTTCATCCCTGCGGCGGGTCTAACCTAAGAGGCATTGAGAAAGCTTTGCTAAGGAGGAGGTACACCGCACGCTACAGTTCCCGCGCCTTTGCCGAGGCGCTTCATTTACCTTTGCCAAACTCGACACCTGGAACTCCACGACTTGTGTGCTTTCTCAGCCTGACACCTGGCCTGACCAACTTGTTTCCAGTACATTAAGGGCCAAGGACGAATTTAATCTCCGCCTAGAATAGTCTCTGAGGTACACTGACAAGTTGCCAGTGTTGAGAAGCATCACAGGGTCCAGAGGAAAGGCCTGGGTTTGAGTAGGGCGTGCCCGTATTTATCCACTCTAGTTTTCTTGTCTGGACGTCAGCCTTTTTACTTGGGACATTATCTTTCCCCTCTCTGCTTCCCACCAGTCAAGCAAAGTTCTTCACTTTATAAAATAAGCCAGATGCCCCAGACCTAGGCATTTGTTTCTGTGAGTTTTAGAATGTTCTCCGTAGATATTTTAACCGTTGTCATTTAATTTGGTTTTTCATATTGAATCTATTTCAAATCCACTGGTTTTGATTTATATTTTCTTAGATGGGATTATATTAACAAATGATTATCTCATTAAAGAAACACATTCCAAATAACCTTAGGGATGAAGGGTGGTGGGGCTAATGGAAAATCGTTAATGTTTGAGTGACACATACTTATTTTATTTAGCTCCAAGTTCCCTCACATCAGAAGCCACATCACAGAGTTGAGAAACTGGTTTTTCCTAAACAGGCTAAATCGTTTAGCCACTAGGGGCGTTTGAAAATGAAAAATTACAAAAGGACAAATAAAAGTTGTAGTATATTGCTTTAATCCTATGATTAAACGCAAGTTACTTGGTTTATGTTAGCCTCACAATACTCAAGTGTGATCTGACTGAAGAAATAGAGTTCACAGCACTGGATTTTAAATAATAGATGTATATCATGAGCTTCAGAATAAGTGTGTACTGGTGGAGTTGGGAGATGATATCATCCAAACTGCTTAATTTACAAAAGAGGAAACCGAAACCCAGAGAAGCTAAGTAACTTGCACAAAGTTACTCAGCAAGTTGGTAACAAGAGGAACTAGGACAGTAGCCTACAAGACTACATCACATTCACTGTTGGGTTTTGTTTGTTTTGTTTTCTTCTGCTTTTTTTCATTGTATAAACATTTTTTATTCTTCCTCATTTCCTGTGTTGCTTTTCCTCCGTTGTACCAATCTGGAAAAAGTGAAACATACCTGCATGACTACGAAGTAAGAGAGACAGCCTTTTTTTTTTTTTTTTTTTTTTTTTTTTGAGGCAGAGTCTTGCTCTGTTGCCCAGGCTGGAGTGCAGTGGTGTGATTTCGGCTCACTGCAACCTCTGCCTCCCAGGTTCAAGCAATTCTCCTGCCTCAGCCTCCTGAGTAGCTGGGATTACAGGTGTGTGCCACCACGCCCACCTGATTTTTGTAGTTTTAGTAGAGACGTGGTTTCACCATGTTGGTCAGGCTGGTCTCGAACTCCTGACCTCACGATCCACCCTCCTCAGCCTCCCAAGAGCTGGGATTACAGGCGTGAGCCACTGCGCCCGGACTCCTGTTTCCACGAATCATACTTAAATGGATAAATGTATATCCATACCTTTTTTCTCCGGGTGGCTTTAGTTTCTAATAATCAGCAAAGCTGGAAAGAAAATGACTGTCCATCCACACAAAGGCATGGAAATGACAGGATTCTGTATAACCTAGAAAAATCGTGAAACACAGCAGGGAGTGGTGGCTGAAGCCTGTAATCCCAGCACTTTGGGAGGCCGAGGTGGGCGGATCACAAGGTCAGGAGATCGAGACCATCTTGGCTAACATGGTGAAACCCTTGTCTCTACTAAAAATACAAAAAAATTAGCCAGGCGTGGTGGCGGGCGCCTGTAGTCCCAGCTACTCAGGAGGCTGAGGCAGGAGAATGGTGTGAACCTGGGAGGCGGAGCTTGCAGTGAGCCGAGATGGCGCCACTGCACTCCAGTCTAGGCGACAGAGCAAGACTCCATCTCAAAAAAAAAAAAAAAAAAAAAAATCGTGGAACACAAAGTGGGGGACCAATTTAGAAAGCCTATTCCTCTTCTAGGCCAAAGTCAAAAAAAAAAAAAAAAAAAAGATGACAAGTTATTTTTCTGTTTGCATCCCAGAGAATTTGACAGCCTCATATGTGTGTCTAAACAGTCCCCTGTTTCTTAACTTGACACAGGTTTGAGAATAAAGCATGAGAATCCACCTAGGTTTCTCTTCTCAGCATGGCATTAATAAAATCATGTAATTTTTCCCTACCTCAAATTTTGAGTCAAAGGCAGAAATCAAAGTTGGTTATCACAGTAAATTTAGGTATATGATGATTAAATACATAATGTGCACGTTAAGATTAAGAAGGCTGGCTGAGCGCGGTGGCTCACGCCTGTAATCCCAGCACTTTGGGAGGCGAGAGGCAGGCGGACCACGAGGTCCAGAGATCGAGACCATCTTGGCCAACATGGGAAACCCTGTCTCTACTAAAATACAAAAAATTAGCCGGGCATGGTGGCGCATGCCTACAATCCCAGCTACTTGGGAGGCTGAGGCAGGGGAATCGCTTGAACCCAGGAAGTGGAGGTTGCATGGAGCTGAGATCGCGCCACTGCACTCCAGCCTGGCAGCAGAGCAAGAGTCCGTCTCAAAAAAAAAAAAAAAAAAATTAAGAAGGCTGAAATAATAACAGGAATTTGATACCAGAGATTGAGATGAAGCTGAGCTAGTTTTTCAAAGTGTGCATTTTTTTCTCATTGTTTGATACTTGACCACTGGTGTGACAAGTCAATATTGAGGTATTTGTACTTACGTACTGTAATTCTCTGAAGGTCAGGCATGGTGGCTCATGCCTGTAATCCTAGCACTTTGGGAGGCTGGGGCAGAAGGATTGCTTGAGTCCAGGAGGTCAAAACTGCAGTGAGCCGTGGTCACTGCACCACTGCACTCTAGCATGGGTGACTGGGCAAGACCCCACTTCAAAAAAAAAAAAAATTACCGGCCAGGGGCGGTGGCCCATGCCTGTAATCCCAGCACTTTGGGAGGCCAAGGCGGGTGGATCACAAGGTCAGGAGATCAAGACCATCTTGGCTAACACGGTGAAACCCCGTCTCTACTAAAAATACAAAAAAATTAGCCGGGCGTGGTGGCAGGCGCCTGTAGTCCCAGCTACTCGGAGGCTGAGTCAGGAGAATGGTGTGAACCCAGGAGGCGGAGCTTGCAGTGAGCTGAGATCGTGCCACTGCACACCAGCCTGGGCGACAGAGTCAGACTCCGTCTCAAAAAAAAAAATTAATTTAGTTGAAACCTATGCATACCTGTATCTGCTACTTTTTCTTTTAATAGTTTAGAATATTTGCTGGACCAGCATCAGAACTATAGAGTAGAATGCCCAAGGCTCTATTTCAATTTTCTGGGCTTTGCTTGGCTAGTCTTAACCTTAAGCCTGCTATGGTATTTTATATACTTGAGGCAACTGAAGAACTGACTATTACAATCTACCCAAGACATTTACTTAGGCAAAGGTAGGGATTAGCATATTTACACATTTGTCATGTTTCTTCAGAAGTAATACCTGCCAGGATATGCTATTAAACAAAAGGGCACATATCTAGTTTAGTTATCTTTTGTTTATTCTTTATGGACATGCAAATACTATAGTAGGACTATTTACTTTCTAGCTGTAGTCATTTCATTCACTTGAAGTACATAATTCAAGTAACATGTTGCTTAGTAAGTTACCTCTTGTTTAAGCATATGGAAATCAAAAAATATTTTGTGACACCTTAAAAACATACAAAACAGTTCCTCTAAAATAATTTATTAACATGTTTATTTGTATTTATTATTTACCCCTTCCCACCCCACCAAGAGACCTGCTTTTTGTTAAAAATGTATGTGCATGATATATGAAATACTTGATAATATAACATGATTTACTGAATTCTAATTCTCACACTACGCACTTAACTATCAAAATATTATGAAAGGTAAATAATCCAGGGAACACATTTTATTTTACATCGGAAAATATTTACAAAAATTTTGTTAAAGTAGCCTCTCTGGGTGCATAGCATTCGCTTGATGCCTGTGAGTTTAGACTCCTGCTCATTCTGATAGAGACCAATGCAATTCATTTGCATTGACTTTCTATTGCAGAGCTTTGGAACCAAGGGAAGGATCCAAACATAGCTCCATTTTATCCAATCAGAAGGGCCGCTTAGTGCTAAACTCTGATTCGTCCATTCCTCTTTGCATCCATCCAATCATTAGGCCACTTTAACAGCCAATCAGCGGCGTAGATATGCACCAATCATGGAACAGTGCCGAAGCACGGCCTTTGTGTCGGGGGATGTCAGCGCGTCGGCGAAAGCGCCCACCAATAGAAAAAGTCGTTGGTGTATGCAAATAAGGGTTCTATGACGCAGAGACGCAGCGTGAAGCGTGCCTATAAAAACGGAGGCGACGCGGGGGCTTGGAGCGCAGAGCGGTTTGGTCGTTCGTTGGGCGGTGCTGGTTTTTCGCTCGTCGACTGCGGCTCTTCCTCGGGCAGCGGAAGCGGCGCGGCGGTCGGAGAAGTGGCCTAAAACTTCGGCGTTGGGTAGGCGTTCGTAGGTTTACCCGCGGCTTCAGGTTCTGCCAACCGTTGGCGCCGCGCGCCGCGGCCGTTGGGAGCCGAGCGGCGGGGGCTGCTCGGGCCGCTGGCGTCGGGTCGGGTATGGGGCCGGGAGGTTTCCCCTTGGGGCTTTGTTCCGGAACTGTGTCCCCGCCTTTTCCCGGCGGTGATTCAGAGGTCCCGACGCCGGGTTCCGGGCAGTCGGGCCTCCGCCCGTCGAGGAAGGGAAGTGACTCCTCCCCGCGCTCCCCCTCCCGGGGGAGGCTGCCGCTCCTCGCAGCCTGAGTCATTAGGGGAGGGGGAGGAGGTTGGCGGCCCTCGGCCATCTGCTGCCGCGAGGTGGGGCGCGGGGAGGCGGGAGGCCCGGCGGTGGGGCCAGGATCTGTTCCTCCCCCCGCAGCCCTGGGGGGCGGCCCGGGTGAGCGCGGCGGCCTTATCTTCGGGGCGTCTTTCTTAGGTGAAAGAAAATGGCCCGAACCAAGCAGACTGCTCGTAAGTCCACCGGTGGGAAAGCCCCCCGCAAACAGCTGGCCACGAAAGCCGCCAGGAAAAGCGCTCCCTCTACCGGCGGGGTGAAGAAGCCTCATCGCTACAGGTAGGTCGGGCGGGGGAACAATGGCCCGGCGGTGGCCGGCTTTGTGCGGCAGCGTCCGCTCACTCCTCCCCTGCTCGCTGCAGGCCCGGGACCGTGGCGCTTCGAGAGATTCGTCGTTATCAGAAGTCGACCGAGCTGCTCATCCGGAAGCTGCCCTTCCAGAGGTTGGTGAGGGAGATCGCGCAGGATTTCAAAACCGACCTGAGGTTTCAGAGCGCAGCCATCGGTGCGCTGCAGGTAAGACAAAGGCCTGGAGCCGGGGGAGGGCTGGGCGGTTTCCGCTCCCCGAGTGGGATTAATAGTGCGGCTCTCGTCCTCAACAGGAGGCTAGCGAAGCGTACCTGGTGGGTCTGTTCGAAGATACCAACCTGTGTGCCATCCACGCTAAGAGAGTCACCATCATGCCCAAAGACATCCAGTTGGCTCGCCGGATACGGGGAGAGAGAGCTTAAGTGAAGGCAGTTTTTATGGCGTTTTGTAGTAAATTCTGTAAAATACTTTGGTTTAATTTGTGACTTTTTTTGTAAGAAATTGTTTATAATATGTTGCATTTGTACTTAAGTCATTCCATCTTTCACTCAGGATGAATGCGAAAAGTGACTGTTCACAGACCTCAGTGATGTGAGCACTGTTGCTCAGGAGTGACAAGTTGCTAATATGCAGAAGGGATGGGTGATACTTCTTGCTTCTCATGATGCATGTTTCTGTATGTTAATGACTTGTTGGGTAGCTATTAAGGTACTAGAGTTGATAAATGTGTACAGGGTCCTTTTGCAATAAAACTGGTTATGACTTGATCCAAGTGTTTAACAATTGGGGCTGTTAAGTCTGACCATACATCACTGTGATAGAATGTGGGCTTTTTCAAGGGTGAAGATACAAGTCTTAACCACAGTGTAACTTACAGTTTCCTTTAAAAAAAAAAAAAGTAAACCTGGCAGCTATAGAATACACTATGTGCATTTATAATAGCTATTTTATATATTGTAGTATCAACATTTTTAAATTAAATGTTTTACATTCACAAGTGGTGGGGAGTCTTGTCATTAAGGTGTGTGTAATTTAGAGTCCAGTTGGTTTTCTTCTGACTGCACTTGTTCTCATAGTAGTAAAATGCTATGCGCATTTATACCTTGCATAAGTCCTCATTCTACCACATGTTAACCCTCTAGCTGATAATGCAAACACTAACTGGGGGATTTTATTTATAAGGGCTCTAGAAAAAACGAGTTATTCACACCAGCATCATCTTAACTAACATTCTGAACTAGTTAGTGCAGCTTTTCATTGTGTTGTGTGGTTGGTCTCATAACTAGGTTGAGTTTTTCTCCTCTGCTGAGGAAACAGTACCGAAGTTCTTTTTCTTGTGGCATTTGTATTATAAAAACTTGGTGTGGGGGAGGAGCACAAAACTCCAGCCCACTGAACCTCTGCCAATTAAGATGGTGTTGGGTTAGGTTACATCTGGTTACTGTCCTGGGAAAATCATTTTTATAGAGATGGCCTTCCAAGTGGTTTTAAAATTTACTGAAGTTTTTAGGTCAATTATGTATGTTGACTAAATTTACAAATAAACTTGTTTATCCAACTAAGTGTCCAAAACCTAAATTGAATGTACTAAGTTTTCACATGTCCCATTATCTAGGTCCTTGTATACTAATGTTTTGAACTTAGATCATTTCAGGTGTTGTTTGGTGGATAAAGGAACCTTTTATTTATAAAGATACTGTAGAAAGCATGTGAACAGCTCTCTGCTTGATTAAGATGCCATAATAGTGCTGTATTTGCAGTGTGGGCTAAGACAAAGTATATTAATAAGCTTTTCAGCCCCCCCACTCCCGTTCCGTAGTGTAGAAGCCCACAGGTGTAGAACTCAGTCTTAAACTTCAGTATGAAACCAGTTTCCTTGTGCGATGATGGCCACTAAAGCATAGTACGTGGATGTCAGTGAGACAGCATGAGAGCCAGCAGTCATCAAAGCGTTCCACGTTTGAAGTTAGCAACTGCTTAAAGTTATACCCCATTAAAATTGCTTTCTCAAAAGTTTGGGTTAGTTTCAAATGTGATATTTTGGAGGGAAGGTAAAGTAGGTATCTTTCAGGTCGTGATAATGAGCTCCTATGAAAGGATGCAATATAATGACCCGCTTTTCTAGAAAGTTCATAATCAGCTCTGGAACAAGCACACTTGATTCCTCACTGTGCTTCAGAATGAGATTAAGATCAGATGTTGGAACGTGCTATGCTGTAGCGTGTCTGGAAACAAAGTACACAAACCTGGCTACGGTGATGAGTTAGCTTCTGCTTACTACCTGTGACAACCCAAGTGGGTGACACTAGTGAACCTTCTCCAGTCTGCAGGCTGGCATAGAAGGCTCTTAGATTATATTGGGCAGCTTGCAATCTGCCGAAGCAGTGACTTGCATTTCCACACTTGGCTTGAGCACTCAACCCAGAAGGCGAAGATAGCTTTTGGTTGTAGGCGGCTTCCTGTATGGGATATCCCTCGGTAAGGGTAAAGGAGCAGAGGCAAAGGAGAAAAGCAGAAGTTGCAGCTGATGCAGGTATCCTATGCCCTTGATGGATGAGACTAAAATAAAATTTTTGAAGTTAAGATTTTCTCATTTCTCAATGGTTTTCATTCAAATGATAATGTCTTTCAAAAAGTTTGGGGCAATGTCCAAAAAGCACTGACTTCTGATTCATCTGGGGCTGGGACGTGCGCATTCAATAATAAGGAAGCTCCCTATTGAGGTGACCTCAGTGACAGTTGGCCCAGGACAGTGCCAGTCTGTGCCTGCTGAAGTGGTGTATTTATTTATTTTGAGACGGAGTCTTGCTCTGTCACCAGGCTGGAGTACAGTGGCGCGATCTTGGCTCACTGCAACCCCCGCCTCTCAGGTTCCAGTGATTCTCCTGCCTCAGCCTCCTGAGTTGCTGGGACTACAGGCAAACACCACCATGCCCAGCTAATTTTTGTATTTTTAGTAGAGACGGGGTTTCACCATGTTGGCCAGGATGGTCTCCATCTCTTGACCTCGTCATCTGCCCACCTCGGCCTCCCAAAGTGCTGGGATTACAGGTGTGAGCCACTGCGCCCAGCTGGTGTATTTACTTTTTAGAGACGGGGTCTCCATATGTTGCCCAGGTTGGTCTCAAACTCGAGCTCCCAAAGTGCTAGGATTACAGGCTTGAAGTGTATTTAATAGTGCCTGTGTTTACTGTTCTCTGTCCCAATTTGGCAAATTATGCGGTCGTTCTACCTACCCATACCATGGTGATGTGAGGTGGGGACCCAGTGACTTATTTGTATAGGGACATGTCTCAGGAAAATAAGGTCAAATTGCTTACCCACCAATATTCTAATTATACCACCTTCAATCTGAAAACGGGACATAATTTGTCCCTTAAACTTCAATCATCTGATCCACATAGCAGTCAGTTTTGAGATGAAGCAGGGTTGTTTTACCCAGAACCAGGGGTCCACAGTGTAACTGCAGAATAAGGAAAAGGAAGGGTGAAGAGGAAGACGGGAGAAATGAAGGGCAACGGGTGTTCCCTCACTAAGAGTGGACCCAGCTCCTGACCTGCAACTTCATCATGAACAAGTGGTCTTCCAGCCACCTTCTTGAGGACACAGGCTAAGGGCTTCAGGACAAGTGGAGTGGCTTGGGTTTCAGAATTTCTGGGAGCCAGAGTCCTGTCAGGACCTTGGATACTTTTAGCACCTGGTCCACTGGTCCTGGCCTAGGGACCATCAGCCAAAGGGAAGGAGAAGAGGCCCTGAGCTGACTGCCTGGACTGGAAATTAACAGTTTCCAACTCATCGATTCACTGGATGATTCCCCAACAGTGGTGTCTGCTGCTCAGCTCCCCCTGCCTGGCTCCTTGCAAGCACTGTCTGGTGTCAGGTGTCAGGGTGGGGTCTTGCAGCCCTGGGAAAGCAATCCCTTTCTCCTGAATCACCTTCAGGTAGGTCAGTAGAGGGAGGAACACTGCGGAACACGGTCAGCTGTCTGCAATTCAATCAGCAGGAAACAAGGGCTTGCCCTATGGTTTCTGCAAGATGGCCCCAGCCTGTGTTCAGATTCAGAGACTGAGGCCTATGGCCAGTCTAGCCCGCCATAGAGAAGTGCCAGGTGGGTAGTTTTCACCCCTTCTGCAGTTGTCTTACAGGGGGTGCTGTGGTCCACTGGGCACGAGTTCTTTGAGCCCCTATCCTGGACATTCTCTCCTCATCCCTTGGAGCAGGAGCATTTTAATCATCTTGCCAAAGGAATCGCAGTCCACCTCTCTCAGCCCCACCCCAGGCACTGATCAGTCCCATTGAGGCTAAGCTGGCTGCACCTTGCCCGGGCCCTCACAGCCTCTTCCTTCCCTCACCCCTATGGTGCTCCTGCCTGCCCCTGTGGGCATTTCTCAGGGAGATGCCCTGATCACAAGGATGTCACCAGCCTGGACCACTCTTATCAAGCTGGGCCTGCTTCTGACCAGCAACTGCTGCATGAAAGCTGGCCTTCCAGCATCCTCCTCCAAGGTAAGGCTAGAAGAAGGGGAGAAGGGGTAGGCCCCTGTTGGGTTGCCAACCCAAATTCTACAGTACCCTCAGAAGACTAAGGATGCCCTCTTCTTGGGCCGGGTGGCTGGCCTTTTCCCTCCCTGATCCCTTTGTCAGCAGGTCTGGGGAATGAGGGAGGCTGCAGGCCGAGGTGGGTGCAGCTGAGACAGCCCTGTGTTTACGCACAGAGGAGTTTGCACAAGGCCTCTATTGCGAGGGGCTGTGGTGTGAGAAGGGGCTGGAGAATATTATCCTCCCCTTGGGGACTCCTACTCCCTGTGGTCCTGCTGACGGCCCAGCAATCCCTGGCTATCAGTGATCCCACCAGACACTGTCTCCCTCCAAGCAGAGTCACAGGATTTCTCTGGGATGCGCCCCACCATGTTCTGGTGTCTTCACCTGAGCACTATGCCCGGTGGCCAGCAGGGGCCAATCTTGCAGGTCAAGCACACCTGGGAGCAGCGCTTCTTAGCCGTCTCCCGAGCAGAGGTCTCTCCACTCGAGCCCAGCCCACCTCCTACCTCATGACCCGTCCCCCATGGAGAAAGCTAAGAGGCCCTACAGTCACCCCCCACTGGAAAAGCAAGAAGTGGGGGCTTCAGTGGGGCTGTAGCTCCTGGAGGGGCGGTAAGGCCATGCGTGATCTGGAAAAGGGTGCAGAGAGAGGGACGTGGTGAGGCAGCCAGGGTCTGGGGCCTTCTCGCTGGCAGCTGCGAGCTCTCATCAGGAAGCTGCAGTTCTGGGGATACACACAGTGGGATGGAGGGTGGGCAGAAAGGGAGAAGTTCATCTCAGACGTCACCAGTACCAGGGACAAGAGGGCTCCAGGGAAGGAGAGGGAGATGGGCTGCAGGCTTAGGGCAGGTGGCCTTTGCTGAGGGGTGTGTGAGGGATTGTGCCTGTCCTCATGGAGGTGGAACCTGGGCTCCGTTAAATCCCTATTCACGTACCACCTCCTACGTTGGCCACATTTTTCCCCATAAGCTCCTCTCTGCCAGGCACTGAGCCAGGGGGCCAAGCAGAGGGGTCAGGAGGGGCTTGGGTCCACAGCCCAGGCATCACGGCCCTCACAGGGCTCTCCCTCCCCAGCTCCGCACCTGCAGCTAGTCTCAATCCATCTGCCCACCACCAGCGGTCTGAGGCCTGGGCAGCTGCAGTGCCAGCAGCTTTCCAGCCAGTGTGAGGCGCAAGATGAGACAGCCTCGGCCCTGAGCTGTCAGCTGCATCTTGTAGGTCTGGACATGCTCCTTGGCCAGCAGCAGGGTGGTTGTCAACCTAGAGGGCAGGAACTTCAGGGACAGAGTAGGGGCAGCAAATAAAGACAAGACTTGCAGCTGGGTTATCTGAGCAGGGGCATCTGAGACCGCAGGGAGACGAGAAGCTCCTGGCGCTCCGAAGGCAGGGAATGAGTGTGTCTGCCCCTGGAATCACACCTGACACATAGCAGAAGTTCCAGGAGTGACTGCTGACCAAACCAAATGGCCCCAGCAGCCCCCAAGCACAGCTGGCTGGATCTGCTCCCAGCATGGGTGGCAAAGAATCAGTCTGGTTCCCAAAAGCTTTGGTTACTGGCCTGGCTTCCAAACCGAGAGTGTTTCACATAGGAACTGAGTCTGAGAGAGCAGCTGCCCCTCCTGTCCATCACCAAGAGGCTGAGCTTTAACTCTTGACACTTTCGTAAGCAGAGGCCAGTAGAGCAGAGGCTGCAGCAGTCCAGGAAACAGTAGTGGCTGAGAAAATGGGCTCAGGGGCCAGGAGAGGTGGCGCATGCCTGTAATCCCAACATTTTGGGAGGCTGAGGCGGGTGGATCACTTGAGGCCAGGAGTTTGAGACCAGGCTGGCCAGCATGGCAAAACCCCATCTCTACTAAAAACACAAAAATTAGCCAGGTGTGGTGGTGCATGCCTGTTATCCCAGCTACTCGGGAGGCTGAGAGAGGAGAATCGCTTGAACCCGGGAGGCGGAGGTTGAAGTGAGCCGAGATCACGCCACTGCACTCCAGCCTGGGCAACAGAGTGAGACTCCATTTCAAAAAAAAAAAAAAAAAAAAAGACGCTGGTAGTAAACAAGCTGTGCTGCCCCGCAGGTGCATCTTGGTGAGATATCAGCCCTGAGGTCTGGGCTGACCATGGGCTCAATATTATTATCAATATTCCAGACACTGTTATCATGAATATTATAGAAGGGCAAAGGGAGCCCAGATCAGGAAATAGGTTAACCCTCTAGAAGAAACAATAAAAGGAATCTCCCAGAATGGGTAAGGTAGTGAGCCATCTGCTGGGAGCAAGATGTCAGTCTCTGAAAACACCGGGAGCCACGGACCTAAGTCCATCAGGGAATCAGGCTGTGACTGCAACATAGAAGCCAGGGCTGCGTCAAGTGTATCGTCCCGTGAAACATAAACAAAGGCCAAGTTGAGCAAGGAGGGCCCAAGGATTTGGTTTTTGTGTAGAAGACAGACACGGACTCCCGTGGAGAAGAGGCATTTTGGAGTGCCTGTCCTCAGTGGTAGGTCACATCTTTCCGCGGCCTAGACAAACATTGTTAGAGCCAGGTGCAGTGGCTTTCCCATGTAATCTCAGCAACTTGGGAGGCTGAGATGGGAGGATTGCTTCAGCTCAGGAGTTGAAGGCTTCAGTGGGCTGTGATGGTGACACTGCACGCCAGCCTGGGTGACACAGCAAGACCCTGACTGAAAAAAAAACAAAAAACAAAAAAACCCACCTCTAAGCCTGTCTAGGTCACCAGACACCTGGCTGGCACGCATGGTATTCCCACCACTGGCTAGTATGTCCCAGTGGTGGATATAACCCAGAATTCTCTCCAGACGCCTCAGCCCTACGTGATAATCAGCAAGATACAAGCAAGTTTCTCAGCCAGCATAGCAGAGGACAAAGCTCAGGGTGAAGTGTTTCCATTACCATGCCACCTCCCCGCTAATCCTGAGACATCTGGCCAGGAAATGGGGGGAGGGTCAAAGGTCAAAGGAGACTTCACTCTGAACAAATTTCAGTAACACACTAGATGGGATTCAAAAAAGACAGTAAACACATTTCCCAAATAAAATCAATGTTTCAGAGTCCATCTTGAACAAACGGACATGCTTCGCCTTATGCCAACTTTTTTTTCTTTTTTGAGACGAAGTTTCACTCTGCAGCCCAGGCTGGAGTGCAGTGGTGCCATCTCGGCTCACTGCAACCTCTGCCTCCCAGATTCAAGTGATTGTTCTGCCTCGTTCTCCTGAGTAGCTGAGATTACAGGCGCACGCCACCATGCCTGGCCTATTTTTTGTATTTTTAGTAGAGATGGAGTTTCACCATGTTGGTCAGGCTGGTCTCGAACTCCTGACCTCAGGTGATCCACCTGCCTTGGCCTCCCAAAGTGCTGGCATTACAAGTGTGAGCCACTGCGCCCAGACTAATTTTGTATTTTTATTTATTTATTTATTTTGAGGTGGAGTCTCCCTGTTGCCCAGGTTGGAGTGCAGCGGCACAATCTCAGCTCACTGCAACCTCTGCCTCTGGGGTTCAAGCGATTCTCCTGCCTCAGCCTCCAGAGTAGCTGGGATTACAGGCATGCGCCACCACACCAGGCTAATTTTGTACTTTTAGTAGAGATGGGGTTTCACCATGTTAACCAGGCTGGTCTCAAATTCCTGACCTCAGGTGATCCGCCCATCTCAGCCTCTGAAAGTGCTGGGATTACAGGCATGAGCCACCTTGCCCAGCCTAAATCGAGGTTCTCCAAGAAAAACTAAAACAGGCTGGGTGTGGTACTCACGCCTGTAAGCCCAGCACTTTGGGAGGCCGAGGTGGGCGGATCACTTGATGTCAGGAGTTTGAGACCTGCCTGGCCAACAGAGCAAAACCCATCTCTACTAAAAATACAAAAAAAATTAGCCAGGCGTGGTGGCTCATACCTGTAGTCCTAGCTACTTGGGAGGCTGAGGCAGGAGATTCGCTTAAGCCCAGAAGGTGGAGGTTGCAGTGAGCTGAGATCACGCCATTGCACTCCAGCCTGGGTGACTGAGAGAGACTCTGTCTCGCAAAAAAAAAAAAAAAAAGAAAAAAAAAGAAAAACTAAAACAACACAAAGGATGAAGATGGGTCAAATGGTCATGTTGGCCAGCTGAGGTGGCTCACGCCTATAATCCTAGCACTTTGGGAGGCCAAGGCAGACGGATCACCTGAGGTCAGGAGTGTGAGACCAGCCTGGCCAACACGGTGAAACCCTGTCCCTACTAAAAATTCAAAAAATTAGCTGGGCATAGTGGCACGTGCCTGTAATCCCAGCTACTTGGGAGGCTGAAGCAGGAGAATTGCTTGAACCTGGTAGGCAGAGGTTGCAGTGAGCTGAGATTGTGCCACTACACTCCAGCCTGGCGACAGAGCGAGACTCCATCTCAAAAAAAAAAAAAAAAGTCACGTTGTCAATTAAAATGAATCAATGGAAATAAAGATAAGGGTGTGGACTTCTAACTGGTCAGAATCCCTGCTCTCTCTTCTCCTATTCAGAAAGCTCTACTCAACATTTATCGCAGACAGAGGGGGTCAGATTTGTGACTGTCTGCCTCCCAATCAGACCGTGAGAGCCTGAGGCATTTATCTTTCTGGCCAATTGCATATAGGAGAGTACCATAATGCCTGTTGAATTAATGGACAACTGATAAGAATAGCAAACATTTATTCTGTGCGTACCAAGTGCCAGCTGCTGGGCTGGGCACTTTATGAAGATGATCTCATTCAGTTCCTTTTACAACAGCATGTCTGGGAGCAATCTCTAGCCCCATTTTACACATAAGAAACTGAGGCCCAGAAAGGTCACTTCATTTACCTGAGATCATATAATAGGAAGAGTGGAGATGAGGGCTCAGCACTGTTGGGTGTCAGAGGTGAGGTGAGTAAAAGGCATGCAGAGAAGGGGCTGCTTCGCTCACCTCTGCCCTGATAGAATGGGCCCTTGTAGGGAGGTATGGTTTGTGAGTTTCATTCCATTTCAACCAGCCCAAGGGCCACTCATGGTATGATTTGTTTGGTGTTGGCTGTGCCAAAAAATGCTTTACTGAAGTGTGCTCAAAAGGAGCAGGTCATCCGATGACATCTGGAATTGCTTGGGCTGGAGTGCAGTGGCGTGATCTCGGCTCACTGCACCTTCAACCTCTGGGCTCAGGTGATCCTCCTGCCTCAGCCTCCCAAGTAGTCGGGACCACAGGCACACACCACCAAGCCTGACTAATTTTTGATTTTTTTTTTTTTTTTGAGACGGAGTCTCAGTCTGTTGTCCAGGCTGGAATGCAGTGGTGTGATCTCGGCTCACCGCAACCTCCGCCCCCTGGGTTCAAGCGATTCTCCTGCCTCAGTCTCCTGAGTAGCTGGGATTACAGGCTTGTACCACCACACCGGGCTAATTTTTCTATTTTTTAGTAAAGATGGGGTTTCACTATGTTGGCCGGGCTGGTCTTGAACTCCTGACCTCAAGTGATCCACCCGCCTCGGCCTCCCAAAGTGCTGGGATTACATGCATGAGCCACCGTGCCCGGCTAATTTTTGATTTTTTTGGAGAGATGAGGTCTCCCTTTGTTGCCCAGGCTGGTCTTGAACTCCTGGTCTCAAGCGATTTGCCCACCTCAGCCTCCCAGTGTTGGGATTACAGGCGTGAGCCACCACACCTGGGCCCCATTCTTTTCTTAACAGCTTTATTGAGATATAATACATACCATATAATTCACCCATTTAAAACATAAAATTCAACAGTTTAGGATATTCACAGGCATGTGCAACCATCACCACAGTCCATTTTAGAACATTTTCCTTACCACAGAGAAACCTGCCATCCTTTGGCTCTGACCCTGCTATTCCCTCAGGCCTAAGCAACCGCTAATTAACTTTCCATCTGTAGAGATTTGCCGATTCTGGATATACAACAGGTGGTCTTGTGTGACTGGCTTCCTTCACTCACCATAATATTTTCAAAGTTCATTCTTTTTTTTTTTTTTTTGAGACGGAGTTTTGCGCTGTCACCTGGGCTGGAGTGCAGTGGCACGATCTCTGCTCACTGCAAGCTCCGCCTCCCAGGTTCACGCCATTCTCCTGCCTCAGCCTCCCGAGTAGCTGGGACTACAGGTGCCCGCCACCACGCCCAGCTAATTTTTTTCTTGAAGGCTCCATCCATGTTGTTACACGTATCAGTACTTCATTTCTTTTTATGGATTAATATTTCTATTGTATAGATACATCACTTGTTTTTTTTTCCCGAGACCAAGTCTCACTATGTCACCTAGGCTGGAGTGCAGTGACGAGATCTCGGTTCACTGCAAACTCCACCCCCCGGGTTCAAGTGATTCTTGTGTCTCAGCCTCCCGAGTAAGCTGGCATTACACATGTGCGCCACCATGCCTGGCTAATTTTTGTGTTTTCAGTAGAGATGGGGTTTCACCATGTTGGCCAGGCTGGTCTGGTCTTGAACTCCTGCTCTCAAGTGATCCGCCTACCTCGGTCTCCCAAAGTCTGGGATCACAGGCATGAACCACCACATCTGACATTTGAGCATCTTTTCATGTGCTTATTGGCCATTTGTATTTATATTATTTGGAAAAATGTCTCTTGAAATCTTTTGCTTTTTTTTTTTCTTCTTTGACACAGGGTCTCTCACCTTCTGAGTAGCTGGGACCACAGGTGTGTGCCACCCAACCTGGCTAATTTTTTTTTTTTTTTTTGTAGCAGTGAGGTCTTCCCACGTTGCCCAAGTTGGTCTCAAACTCCAAGCCCCTGAGATATACATGATTTGCAAGTACTTTCTTCCATTCTGTGAGTTGTCTTTTCACTTTCTTGACAATGTTCTTGTCAGGCCTCTGAGCCCAAGCTAAGCCATCATAGCCCCCGTGACCTGCACGTATACATCCAGATGGCCTGAAGCAACTGAATATCCACAAAAGAAGTGAAAATAGCCTTAACTGATGACATTCCACCACTGTGATTTGTTCCTGCCCCAACCTAACTGATCAATGTACTTTGTAATCTCCCCCACCCTTAAGAAGGTTCTTTGTAATTCTCCCCACCCTTGAGAATGTACTTTGTGAGATCCATCCCTGCCCGCAAAACATTGCTCCTAACTCCACCACCTATCCCAAAACCTATAAGAACTAATGATAATCCCACCACCCTTTGCTTACTCTTTTCAGACTCAGCCCGCCTGCACCCAGGTGAAATAAACAGCCTTGTTGCTCACACAAAGCCTGTTTGGTGGTCTGTTCACACGGACACGCGTGACAGTTCTTTGTTGCAGAAAAATATTTCACTTTGATGAAGTACAGTTTATTTTTCTGTTGTCACTTGTGCTTTTGATGTCATATCTAAAAAACCATTGCCTGGCCGCATTGGCTCACACCTGTATCCCAGCACTTTGGGAGGCTGAGGCAGGCAAATCACTTGAGGTCAGGAGTTCAAGAGCAGCCTGGCCAACATGGTGAAACCCTGCTTTTACAAAAATTATCCAGGCATGGTGGAGGGTGCCTGTAATCCCAGTTACTGGGGAGGCTGAGGCAGGAGAATCGCTTGAACCTGGGAGGCGGAGGTTGCAGTGAGCCAAGATCGCGCCACTGCACTCCAGCCTGGGTAACAGAGCAAGATCTGTCTAAAATAAATAAATACGTAAATAAATAAAAATAAAAAAACATGACTAGGTGTGGTGGCTAACGCCTGTAATCCCAGCACTTTGGGAGGCCAAGGTGGGTGGATCACCTGAGGTCAGGAGTTTGAGACCAGCCTGGCTAACCTGGTGAAACCCCAGTCTCCACTAAAAATACAAAAAATTAGCCGGGCATGGTGGCACGTGCCTGTAATCCCAGCTACTCCGGAGGCTGAGGCAGGAGAATCGCTTGAACCCGGGAGGCAGAGGTTGCAGTAAGCTGAGATCACGCCATTGCACTCCAGCTTGGACAACGAGAGCGAAACTCCGTCTCAAAAACAGAAACCAAATAAACATTTCCTAACCAATGTCACAAAACTGTACCCCTATGTTTTCTTCTAAGAGTTTTCAGAATTGCCCTTGGAATGCAGTTCCCCACTCTTTGGGCACACCCCTGAGCAGGCCCCAAGCTAAATCCCTGGCCATAACTCCCCACACTACTCCCACCCTAACCCCAAGCAAGCTGCTTACATTTCAGTCTTTCAGTTTCAAGGTTCCATGTAGGGTGGGCAGCTGTGGACAGGTATCAAGGCAGCAGTTGGGGCCGGCCAGCAGGTTTAGGATGCAGGATAGCAAGAGAAGAGTGCCTGACTGGGAACAAGGCCACGCCTCTGAGACAAGGGCTTCTGGGCTGAAGTAGTGCCTGCTGGGGCCAACAGCACAACCTACCTGGACAGCTGTGGCAGGTCCTTAAGGGAGGGGCTGGGCCCACTGCTGGCCACCGCCACCCTAGTCCAATTCTCCATTGCTAGGAGCTGTTGCGTATTACCTAGAAAAGGAGCTTGTAAAATTGACTCTCTGGTCACCACCAAACTTGTCTTTTTTTTTTTTGAGACAGAGTTTTGCTCTTGTTGCCCAGGCTGGAGTGCAATGGTGTGATCTCAGCTCACCGAAACCTCCGCCTCCCAGGTTCAAGTGATTCTCCTGCCTCAGCCTCCCGAGTAGCTGGGATTACAGGCATGAGCCACCATGCCCAGCTAATTTTGTATTTTTTAGTAGAGATGGGGTTTCTCCATGTTGGTCAGGCTGGTCTCCAACTCCCGACCTCAGGTGATCTGCACACCTCGGCCTCCCAAAGTGCTGGGATTACAGGCGTGAGCCACTGCGCCCGGCCCAAACTTGTCTGTCTTTATCTCTACTTACAGTGAGTGTCAGGTCACCCTCTTGGAGACCGGTGATCAGAGGCTGATGACCTCTCACAGCTGCTGGCCCTGGGGACCTAGGGGATCCCTTTGGGAATCCCAGGTCAACCGGGTGCCAGCTCCATTGCTCTGGCTGTGTGGGTGGTGGTGGGTGGTGAGGCACATAGAAAGTCACCAGCGCCAGGGAAGGGCAGCTCAGAAATCCTGGTCATGCCAAGTGCCACTCAGGGCTATTCTCACTCTAGTGAGTGCTCATTGGTTCTTCCCGAAGTCCAGAGGGAAGGACACCATCGGGGGCGCTGTATCCCACCCGGCACCATTAGCCCCTGCCACCCACCACCCAGCAGCTGGATTCCCACGGGAGTTGCGGGTGGGGGCGGAACCGGCTGAGGTCTGGGGGCGGGGCGTCCGGGCGCGGGGCGGGGCTGGCGGGAATGTGCGCACCCCCGCGCGGGGCCCCGCCCGAGCATCCCGCGCCGACGGGGCTGTGCCGGAGCAGCTGTGCAGAGCTGCAGGCGCGCGTCATGGCTGCTTTGAGACAGCCCCAGGTCGCGGAGCTGCTGGCCGAGGCCCGGCGAGCCTTCCGGGAGGAGTTCGGGGCCGAGCCCGAGCTGGCCGTGTCAGCGCCGGGCCGCGTCAACCTCATCGGGGAACACACGGACTACAACCAGGGCCTGGTGCTGCCTATGGTGAGGGGCTGCACGGGGAGCCCCTAGCCCGCCGCCGCCTGTCCCGGCCGCCGAGGAGGGCGGGCCTCGGGGACGCTGGGGGCGAGTTCTTCCCGCGGGAGATGTGGGGCGGGCAGCTGCGCCTGGAGCACCGGTGCACGGAAGAGTCCCCGGGACAGGCTGTTCCCCACGTTGGAAGGGAGGAAGCGAGGAAGTGGCCGGGAGAGGGTGCGCGGCCGCCTCTTGGCTCAAGCCCGCCCTCTGGGGGCTGGGGCTCCTCGCCTTCAACCTGGGAGCATGTTCCCCTTAAACTGTGAGGCCCTGTGTGCCACGCAGAAGGGGACACTCCGCGCCTCCGGCCACCGTGGGGCCCCAACCGCAGACCTGGGCGAACGTAGCCTTCTGGCCCAGCCCGTTCAATTTACAGAGGAGGAAACTGAGGCCTAGAGAGGCCCAGTGAACTGCTGGAGGTCACACAGCAGGTTCTTGGCGGGGCTGCGACTTGGGAGTGAGGACTCCCAGCTTTCAGCGGGGGGCGCTTTCCGCCCCATCTGCAGCTTGGGGAGTGCACAGGTACAGGATGTCCAGAGCCACCCCAAAATGTAAAGGCTTTGGAGCTCCAGTGATCTGTTTTCCCTTTGGGCTAGCTCTCCCCCTTGCCCCACAGCTCAGGGCAGAGTCCAGGTCTGTGCTCCAGCTGCAGCCGCCCCGCCCCTGAAGACCTAAGGGGGCAGGGCTCAAGCCCCCAAGGTCAGCTGGCCCTCAGGATCTTCCCTGCGACGCTGAACCTGGAGGTTCAGAACCTGATGACTGTGGAGGCATCAGAACCTCGGCTGGAGGCAGTGTCATTGGAGAGGCTTACTCCAGCTGGCGGAAGCCTCACGTACTGCTTGTCTCTCCTGCCAGGCTCTGGAGCTCATGACGGTGCTGGTGGGCAGCCCCCGCAAGGATGGGCTGGTGTCTCTCCTCACCACCTCTGAGGGTGCCGATGAGCCCCAGCGGCTGCAGTTTCCACTGCCCACAGCCCAGCGCTCGCTGGAGCCTGGGACTCCTCGGTGGGCCAACTATGTCAAGGGAGTGATTCAGTACTACCCAGGTATGGGGCCCAGGCCTGAGCCAAGTCCTCACTGATACTAGGAGTGCCACCTCACAGCCACAGAGCCCATTCATTTGTCTGATACACTGTGGGGAAGGCTTGTAGAGTGGAGCATCCCATTGTACAGATGAGGAAACTGATGCCCCCAGAAGGTCGGGAACTTGCCCTGGGTTTCCCGTGACCTGATTGGAGGAGCCAGGATTTGAACCCCAGCCTTTTTTCCCTCCAGAGCCCTAAACCAGGAGGACAATTAGAAGTGTCCCAGCAACCTCAGAGGGTGGGAAAATGGAGGGCAGTGGGTCCCTTGGCCCAGCAGGTTGGTGGCTTCTGACAATTGAGACACACACCCTAGAAACAGCTGCTAGGCCGTTGCTGCCCTTCCCGCCAGGACACCTGCCCTTCCTGTGCCATCCTCCCAGGCAGCCCCTCTTACCATCACCTGTTCTTTCCCCTGCAGCTGCCCCCCTCCCTGGCTTCAGTGCAGTGGTGGTCAGCTCAGTGCCCCTGGGGGGTGGCCTGTCCAGCTCAGCATCCTTGGAAGTGGCCACGTACACCTTCCTCCAGCAGCTCTGTCCAGGTACCAGCTAGGCCCCAGCCCTGACCCAGCCCTCCTTCCCTGAGGTCTCCAGGTGGTCCCAGCTTCTACTATGCCTTATGGAGGGGGTGGCAGGGACTCTCCCTGGAGTGTCATTGAAGCCACTGCTGCTTCCACCAGCCCTAGCCTCCCCACCTCACCCTGTACTGCAGACTCGGGCACAATAGCTGCCCGCGCCCAGGTGTGTCAGCAGGCCGAGCACAGCTTCGCAGGGATGCCCTGTGGCATCATGGACCAGTTCATCTCACTTATGGGACAGAAAGGCCACGCGCTGCTCATTGACTGCAGGTTGGGCTCGCTCCCCTCGTCCCCTCCCGCCCTGCACTCAGCAGCTCCTGGGTGGGAGTGTGCCCACTGCCTGGCGCAGCAAGCACACGCTTGGCCTCGTCATCTCCCCCATTGTAACTCCACCCCAGGTCCTTGGAGACCAGCCTGGTGCCACTCTCGGACCCCAAGCTGGCCGTGCTCATCACCAACTCTAATGTCCGCCACTCCCTGGCCTCCAGCGAGTACCCTGTGCGGCGGCGCCAATGTGAAGAAGTGGCCCGGGCGCTGGGCAAGGAAAGCCTCCGGGAGGTACAACTGGAAGAGCTAGAGGGTGAGAACTGCCAGGGTGCTCTATCCTGGAGGCGGCTGTGCTCCCTGCTGGCGCCTCAGTGTGGCCTTGACCCTGCCTGGGACCCCGATCTCCAGGGCCTTCTGCCATGCTCTCCCCAGTCCCTTCAAACACTGCGCACCCAGGGTTCCAATCTCAGCAGGGCTGCTTGAAATCCTAAAATGGTCTTATCTAATCAGAAAAATCATGTTTCCATTGTGGAAAATGTAGAAAAGTACAAAGTAGAAAATAATAAGCTATAAGGCCACTACCCAGAGATAGCCACTGCTGACATTTTCACGTTTCCTTTCAGTATTTTTCCACATCTGTCTTCAAAGCTGAGTATATGTAATATATCATCACTTTCCCCCCCCACCCCCTTTTTTTTAAGAGGCAGGGTCTCATTCTGTTGCCCAAGCTGGAGTGTAGTGGTGTGATCATAGCTTACTGCAAACTTGAACTCTTGAGCTCAAGGGATCCTCCCAGCTCAGCCTTCCAAGTAGCTGAGATTACAGGTGTGCCACCATGCCCGGCTAATTTTTATCTTTGTAAAGACGGTCTTGCAGTGTTGCCCAGGCTGATCCTGAACTCTGGCCTCAAGTGGTCCTCCTGCCTTGGCCTCCCAAAGTGTTGGGATTATAGGCATGAGCCACTGCGCCCAGCCCATTTGCCGTGTTTTTTTTTTGGACACAGAGTTTCGGTCTTGTCACCCATGCTGGAGTGCAATGGTGCGATCTCAGCTCACTGTAACCTCTGCCTCCCGGGTTCAAGTGATTCTCCTGCCTCAGCCTCCCGAGTAGCTGGGACTACAGGCGCCCGCCACTACGCCTGGCACATTTTTTATAGTTCTAGTAGAGACTGGGGTTTCACCATGTTGGCCAGGCTGGTCTCAAACGCCTGACCTCAGGTGATCCTCCCGCCTCAGCCTTCCAAAGTGCTGGGATTACAGGCGTGAGCCATAGTGCCGGTCTCTTTTTTTTTTTTTTTTAAACTAAACATAATCTCAGAACCCAGAACCCTATCTTATCTTATGCCATGAAAGGCATATCTCGGTGTGGCTCTTTTTTTTTTTTTTTCTTTTTTTTTTGGTGAGGTGGAGGCTTGCCCTGTTGCCCAGGCTGGAGTGCAGTGGCGCAATCTCGGCTCACTGCATCCTCCACCTCCTGGGTTCAAATGATTCTCCTGCCTTAGCTTCCTGAGTAGCTGGGATTACTGGCACCCACCACCACGCCCAGCCAATTTTTATATTTTTAGTAGAGACGGGGTTTCATGTTGGCCAGGCTGGTCTCGAACTCCTGATCTCGTGATCTGCCCGCCTCAGCCTCCCAATGTGCTAGGATTACATGTGTGAGCCACTGCACCTGGCCTCCGTGTGGCTCTTTAAAGCTCCACAATATTTTAGCATTCAGGTGCTCTGTCATTTACTTAACTATTTTCTGATACACCTCACACTGTGATTAACTTTTTTTATTTATCTTTTTTATTATTTATTTATTTATTTATTTGAGACAGAGTCTTGCTCTGTCACCCAGGCTGCAGTGCAGTGGCACGATCTCGGCTCACTGCAACCTCTGCCTCCCAGGTTCAAGTGATTCTCCTGCCTCAGCCTCCTGAGTAGCTAGGATTAGAGGCATGTGCCACCACACCTGGCTAATTTTTGTATTTTTAGTAGAGATGAGGTTTTACCATGTTGGTCGGGCTGGTCGTGAACTCCTGACCTGGTGATCTGCCCACCTCAGCCTCCCAAAGTACTGGGATGACAGGCATGAACCACTGTGCCTGGCCATCTTTTTTATTTTTTAAAGAGATGGGTTCTGCTAAGTTGCCCAGGCTGGACCTGAACTCTTGGGCTCAAGTAATCTTCTCACCTAGTCTCCTGGGTAGCTGCAACCAAAGGCACCCGGTTTATCTGCATTCTCTTTTTTTTCTTTGAGACTGAGTCTTGCTCTGTAGCCCAGGCTGGAGCGCAGTGGCGTGATCTCGGCTCACTGCAACCTCCGTCTTCAGGGTTCAAGCAATTCTCCTGCCTCAGCCTCTGGAGTGGCTGGGACTACAGGCGTGTGCCACCAGAGCGAGTTAATTTTTTTTTTTTTTTGTATTTTTAGTGGACACTGGGTTTCACTATATTGGCCAGGCTGGTCTTGGACTCCTGACCTCAAGTGATCCGCCTGCCTTGGCCTCCCAAAGTGCTGGGATTACAGGCACAGGCGTGAGCCACTACACCTGGCCTATCTGCATTCTCTTAATAGTTTCTTAGAAATGGATTCTTAGGAGTAGGATTACAGAGTCAAGAGACACAAGTATTGTAGGCTGGGTGCGGTGGCTCACGTCTGTGCCTGTAATCCCAGCACTTTAGGAGGCCAAGGTGGGCAGATTCATTGAGCTCAGGAATTCGAGACCAGCCTGGGCAACATGGCAAAACCCCATCTCTAAAGAAATACAAAAATTAGCCAGGTGTGGTGGTGTGTGCCTGTAGTCCTAGCTACTTAGGAGGCTGGGGTGGGAGGATCAATTGAGCCCAGGAGGTTGAGACTGCAGTGAGCTGTGATTGCACCATGGCACTCCAGCCTGGGCCTCAAAGTGAGATCCTGTCTCCAAAACAAAAAAGATACAAGTATCCTTAAGGCTCCTGCTACACATGGCCAGGAAGGTAGTCTATTGGACAGTTTTAAGGTCATTATCAATATTAGCTCATTTAATTCCCTCCAAAACTCTGTAAAGCACATTCTGCTACCATAGTTGTCATATTTTTGATGGGGGAATCTACAGTGAGAGGCAGTGCTGGGATCTGAACCCCATCTGGACAGATTAGCTCCAGGGCCCATGCTCTTGACTGGCTGGCCGTGCTGCCCACACTGAGTTGTTCCTTCCTGGCAGTGTAGGTGTGCCTATCTCAGGGACACTAGACAGCTCCGAGGGACCTCCCTGTCCTTTTCCTTTGTGAACTGTGTCACGTTCTCCAGAGCAGTGCTCAGACCTGCCCTGCCTGCTCTGTGCAGATGCCCTTGGCCAAGGTTTTCACACTGGAACAAGTTGGTCCCTCCTCCCCACCCCAGCCTGTCCTTGCCCCTCCTCCAGGTCTCCTTCTGCATAGGAGCAGCTCACCCTGCCTCCTCCAGAGTCCTGCCCTAGAAGCGCAATCCCTCTCCTTCCATCCCCTGCCTGGCTGCCTGGCTCCTTCCCTCAGCCTCCAAGACATGCTCAGTTTTCTTCCCTCCTAAAACACCACCCACTGTCTCATTTCCATTCATTTCTTTCTTTCTTTCTTTCTTTTTTTTTGAGAGGGAGCCTCACTCTGTCACCCAGGCTGAAGTGCAGTGGCATGATCTCCACTCACTGCAACCTCCGCCTCCCAGGTTCAAGCAATTCTCCTGCCTCAGCCTCCTGAGTAGCTGCGATTACAGGCGCCTGCCACGATGCCCGGCTAACTTTTGTATTTTTAGTAGAGACGGGGTTTCGCCATGTTGGCCAGGCTGGTCTCGAGCTCCTGACCTCAGGCAATCTGCCTGCCTCAGCTTCCCAAAGTGCTGGGATTACAGGTGTGAGCCACCGCGCCCACCCATTCATTTCTCAGTCCTTTGAATCTACTTGCCCCTCCATCCCGCCATGCCACCTACCCTAACAACCTTCCCCCTTAAACCTGCGGGTTTGGCCGGGCGCAGTACACTGAGTCAGTACTGGTACTGACCCAGGTACCCCTCCAGCCTCAGCTCCAGTCAGATGGGACAGCCTGCTGGTCCCTGGCTGCTTCTGCCCCCTCTTCTGGAGCCCCAGCCCTGGAGGCTCCATGTGGCTCAGCAGAACTTCTTCTCCTCCTGCTCTGTGGTGGCCTCTTGAGGGCAGCACTCACCTTGGAAAGCATGGAGTGTTTCAACCCTCACTGCTCCCTGAAGGACCAAGGTGTCCCATTTTACAGTCGGGGGAGGAGGCACTGTGATAAAGGGGCTCTTCAGACCCACGTCTGAGAGAGCCAGGCTGCCCTGCCCCCGCGGCCTTCCACCCTTCACCGTCCAGCCAGGGCCACTGCCATCACCGCCTGCTGGTCCTCACAGGCGTCGGGGCCCCAGGCAGTGAGAAGGCGGCTGCTGACTCCTCTTTCCTCCCCAGCTGCCAGGGACCTGGTGAGCAAAGAGGGCTTCCGGCGGGCCCGGCACGTGGTGGGGGAGATTCGGCGCACGGCCCAGGCAGCGGCCGCCCTGAGACGTGGCGACTACAGAGCCTTTGGCCGCCTCATGGTGGAGAGCCACCGCTCACTCAGGTGAGGCCCTCTGGGCGCCCCGCTCCTGCCGGGCACAGGCCGGCCCAGGCCCACCCCTTCAATATCCTCTCTGCAGAGACGACTATGAGGTGAGCTGCCCAGAGCTGGACCAGCTGGTGGAGGCTGCGCTTGCTGTGCCTGGGGTTTATGGCAGCCGCATGACGGGCGGTGGCTTCGGTGGCTGCACGGTGACACTGCTGGAGGCCTCCGCTGCTCCCCACGCCATGCGGCACATCCAGGTGGGCGGGCACCAGGGCCTGGGCGGGCAGGAGCGGCAGCTTCCCGGGGCCCTGCCACTCACCCCCAGCCCGCCTCTTACAGGAGCACTACGGCGGGACTGCCACCTTCTACCTCTCTCAAGCAGCCGATGGAGCCAAGGTGCTGTGCTTGTGAGGCACCCCCAGGACAGCACACGGTGAGGGTGCGGGGCCTGCAGGCCAGTCCCACGGCTCTGTGCCCGGTGCCATCTTCCATATCCGGGTGCTCAATAAACTTGTGCCTCCAATGTGGTACCTGCCTCCTCTAGAGGTGGGTGTATGCTTGGGTGTCAGAGAATGGGGGATGTCAGAACCGCTCCCCTACCCTAGGGGAGCACCTCTCAGGCCCCAGAAGAATGGGCAAGGCAGGGCCTAGCAGTAGCAAAACCATTTATTAAGTGCAGAACAAAGGCTGGGTCCTTGTGCTGCTCCCAGCTCTTTGGTTACAAATAGGTTTGGGCCCACAGAGGACGGACCTTGCCCCCTTCATGCCTCCCAGGAGACACCTAGCCCCTGCTCTGTGCATGCGGGTGGGCTGGGCCCCCAGGGGTGCAAGGATGGAGTAGCTGAGGAGGCTCCGGGAGAGGAGTCGGGAGGACGCCTAGTGGGACGTGGCGGGGGTGGGGCAGGGTGCGGTCAAGTTTGGAAGAACTGTTGGTCCATGTGGGTGCTAAGGGTTCCGCTGGTGGTCAGTGTCCGGCTCACAAACTCCTGGGTCACATGCCGGGTGAGGGAGCCGCCTGCCTCCAGGTGCTGGGCCCCCAGGGTCAGCCCATCTGTGGAGGAGGAGGCATTAGATGACCTGGCTTGGGGTCTGCCCTTCTCCCTCTGCTAGCTCCCTGTCCCAGGAGAGCCGGGATCCCCTAGCCCTCAGTGCTCACCCACTAGGAAGGGCTCGGTGGCGCTGGTGTGGGTGGTGGTGATGCTGCTGTACTCGCTTTGCAGCGGGTGCTGGAAGAGCCCGGCACGGCTGCCCAGCTGCGGGAAGGGTCCTGGGGTGGGCAGATAGGCCAGTCAGAGGGTGGTGCCAGAAGGAGGCACGGCCCGAGGAGGGGTGGGGGTGAAGGAAAGGACAGGTGCCTACCTCCATCCTGGGACTCTATGGTGATGATGCCCTCGCGCTCTGGCCCGAAGCCCTCAGTGGTCCTGGCCTGCACCTTGAACTTGTAGGGCACGTTCTCGCTGAGGCCCGGCACGGTCAGCCGGCTCTCGGGGCTGTCTCCATCCACCCGGAATGCGGTGGCTGGCCCTGAGCAGGGAAGATGCCTTCAGCGTCTGCGGCCCCCTCTTTACCCCTCCCCTGGCCACTCCTGCCCCCGGGGTGGGCAGCACCTCCTCCTTGGGCCATCTCACAGGTCACCAGGTAGCCGACGATATCCCCATTGGGCCTCCGTGGCCGCTCCCAGCTCAGCTGCAGCGAGTCTGGGCTCAGGGCAGTGAACACCAGCGGGCCTGGGGCACTGGGAGTGCTCAAAGTGAAGGCGGAGCCTGGGGGCAGTAGAGGAAGAGCATCAGCCTGTGGGTGGGTGGTGGGCATGATGGGGGCAGCTCTGGGGCTGGGGGAGGCAACTCACCTGGCAGGGGACACAGTGGGCTCTGCGGGTGCACCTGGGATTCAATGGTGATGACACCCTCACGCTCTCGGCCCCAGCCTTCCTGGCTCTGGGCCCGCACGCGGAACACGTAGGAGTGGTTGGGCAGGAGGTCTTCCACCACCACCGAGGTCTGGGCAGGGTTGGGGATGTTGAGCCGATGCAGCTCACCTGGGGGGATCAGGTGGGGGCACACAGTAGTGCAGTGTTACTCCCACCCCTGGCCTGATCCTCCTCGTCCCTAAGCTGCCATCGAGACCTAGTTATCACCCACCCAGGACTAGCTGTGGTTTGGGTACAGGTTGGGTACAGTATGGTATGGCTGGTTGTTCAGATTGTGTACTATACAAGAGTGGAGCCTGTAATCCCACTCATGTTTAGGCAACATCCTGCATCCTGGTCATGCTGCTTTGAATGTGCCTGCCCAGGGAAGTGCCACTTCCTTGTTCCCCCAAAGGCATCTCAGGCCAGCAGAGGCCCTAGGATCCCAGCCCAAAGGGGCCTTGTTAGGCAAAACCTAGCAGAGAATGACCAGGAGAGAGGCCCAGGGAGGTGGGTGAGACCTCAGAAGAGGGGAGGCAAAGAAGTGGGGTGGAGAATGGGGTGGGAGACCCTCTCAGGCTGGATGGGGGCTTTAGCGCTCAAGGGACTTGGGTGGGTTCCTGACACAGCTGAGGTACCCTATGTGTCACACTGGGGCCAGGCCTTGCAGGGCTGCACCCCGCAGCCTGGCAGCCACCATGCCTCACCGCCGTTCAGCAGCTGGTACTCCACACTGTAGCCCTGCAGCGGCCGCTCGCACCGCGGCTCCTGCCAGCTCACTCTGAGAGATGTGGGCCCCAGGGCAGAGAACACCAGGCGGGTGGGCGTGTCGGGCACACCAGCAGTCAGGCGAGAGTCTGGGGACAGGAGGCCGCAGTCAGCCAGAGATGCAGGGGCTAGGGTCTCAGTGGGAGTCACAGTGCTGCCCCCTGACCTCCCTCCCTCAGCTGGCATGTCTACACTGACCGCTGGCTGGACAACTCACTCACCCTGCAACACCCTGTCCAGGCTGCCCAGCACCTACCGCACATCCTCCAGCAGGGTGCAGGCCCTGCTTGTGCCAAAAGAGAGTGAGCCCCGTGAGTCTGCCAGCCCCACCCCCTCAACTGCTCAGCTGGCCTGGCCCCTCTCCTGCCCCAGCCCCAGCCCCGCCCCCTGGGAGGGCAGAGGCAGAGTTAGGCATCAGCACTGATGGTAGGGCAGGTGGTTAGCGCCTGTGGGCAGGCGGGGGTCCTGTGGATGGAATGGAGGGGAAGCAGTGGGCACAGCTGGCGGCTGCTATGGTGGCTGGATGACAGATGGAGCAGGACAGCTGTGGAGACAGGATGGCCACCCCTGTACTACCTGGGCCCCAGGAGGGCGCTGCTGGCCTCCCAGCCAGGATTATAGAGTCTCGTGGGCCCCTGGAAGGGGGGAACCCTTTCATCTGAGCCCGACTCCGGGACCCCAGGGCCCAGGACAGCGGAAGCCTGCTCCTCCCGTGTTCCCAGATGGGAGGGAGGCCTAGGGCAGGACAAAACAAGAGTGAGAGGAGCAGGGAGTGTGCATGCATGTGTGTACGTGTGCGCATGCATGTCTGTGTACATGTGTGCATGCGTGTGCACGTGTGTGCGTGCATGTGTGCATGCGTGTGTGTATGTTGGAGAATGGGCGGTGGGGACAGCAGACAGAAGCCCGAGGCTCCAGGAGCTGGAAGAGAGGAAGGGTTAGTGGGAGAGGCAGGGTTGGCTGAGGTCACTCACCGTGGGAGGAGACGGAGGTGAGGGTGGAGTAGTCCCTGGGCAGTGTGGTCGAGTGTGAGTGTTCTGAGCGGGTCAGTGAGTTGTAGTCCCGTGTGAGGGTGGAGGATGTGCTTAGCACGCGGTGGGGCACGTGTGGGCTCAGGTGGGTGCCATAGGCAGCAGCACTGGTCGTGGTCATCCTGTGCAGGGAGTTGGTGCTGCCCGGGAAGGCAAAGTCCATCCGGCCATTCACCAGGTGCTCTGCAGGGGGAGAGCAGGGTCCCTTGGTCAGGCCTGCCCCAGACCCGGGCCCCGTGGGGCAGGCTGGGCCCTGCACATTCCTGGTCACCCACCCTCTGGGTGGCTTTTGCTTAAATACAACCAGTTTCCCTCAAACCACTAGGGACAGAGGCCCTCTGTCCCTGCAGGAGCCCAAGGGCCACCCAGGCTTCCACAGCCCATATCCTCTGGCCGGCCACTCTATCGGTGTGAGCACTGCTGACCCTGGCAGTGGCGGGGGTTTGCTGCGTCTGCAGTCAGCTCTGCCCTGGGGAGATCCCCAAGCCTTCCCTCCTGTCCTTTGAGGCCCCTGAGGGGTCTACTTGGGTGCCAGGGTCCGCTTCCCGGGCAGACTTCTGAATTTGCACCCCCTGGCCAGGCAGGCACCATAAGGGCCCAAGCGCCTGCCTCACGCGTCCCCTGGCACTGGGCCCTGCCTCTGAGCAGCTGTGCTCCCAGCCGCCAAGGCCCGGGCCTGGCTGAAACTGGGGCCCCCGAGGCAGCGCAGACGCCCACCCCAGGCCCTCAGGCGCGAGTGAGGCTGGGTGGGCGCGGATCGGGGGGCGGCGGGTGAGCCTGTCACCTCCGGGGGGCCCGGGTGTCGCACTGCGGGGCAGGCTGCCGCCCTTCCCGCCCGCGCCGCCGTCGTCCGGGGGCCCGTGGGGCGCCTCGGCGTCGGAGGAGCGCCCGCTGCTGGCCGACAGGCGCGGGATGAGCTCCGGGGGCAGCCGCCACGTGACGCGCCGCAGGTCCAGCTCCTCCCCCAGCAGGGGCTCGAACTTCCAGCCGCAGCCTTGGGAACAACGAAGGGCCGCGTTGGCACCGCCGGGGGGCGCCGGGCCGAGCAGGGCCAGGCGGGGGAAGGCCGTAGGCTCTGCGAGGGGAGCCCGTCTCCAGCTCCCGGGATCCCGGGGTGTGTGTTGGGGGCGGGGGTAGATGCGCACGGCCGGAGCGGGAAGGCCGCGGCAGGTGAAACCCTTGCGCGGCTGAAGCCTTTCCAGATGAGCGAGTGCAGCCTCGGCACAGCTGGGGAGGAGAGACCCCCGGACCCGCCAGAAACCTGGGGGAAGTCTGGGCTCTGTCACCAGCTGTGAGGTCTCCCTTGCTTTACTTAACCTCTCCGAGACTCAGTTTCCCGTTTGTACAATGGAGAGAGGAATCTTGCCCCTGCCCGCCTCCCAGGGACCGTTCCGCAAGCCACCGAGCGCTTCGCAGGTAGTGTTAGAAGCAGCTGAGCTGGGGTTCCAGAGTCACACCAGCTGCGCTCCACCTGAACCCCTCAAAATGGCTCCTTAAGCCCAAGCTGAGCCCCGTGGGGGCCAGTATGTGTTCACCGGGGGCAGCTTGAGGCATCGGCAGGGACAGAAGAAAATACAAAAGATATACGTGCCCCAGAGGTTTTTCCACTCATGGTACTGTGTGATTGGTATCCCATTATACAGAGCAGAAAAGTGAGGCATGGAAAGGATGAGTGATTCATCTGATGTCCCACAGGTGGAGCCACAGCTGACACTGAGCACTCAGGAGGCCCAGCTAAGGGCTCCGCAGCACTTTGTGCTGGGAATCAAGGAGGAAGGACAGAGCTGTTGGGGGTGTTCTTGTCTCCTTGGCTCCCCTACCCCTGCCAGGTGGCCGCCTGGTGGCTGCCCAGGGCTCCTGGGCCAGGCCTGCCCCTGGGGGGTGGCCTGAGTGTCCTGTGTGCATGGCACAGCTGGTGAACCTTCAACTTGTGAAGCTGTGTTTCTTCGTGGTCCCGTGGGCATGAACTCATGTGCGCTTGCACAAGGCTGTGTGTGTCTGTCCCCCAGGCACTGGTTCCTGTGCCCCATGCACAGATGTGCACTCCATTGCATTTGTCCAAGGCTGCCTTAACCTCCATGTCCTCTAGTTGCTGGCCCCTTTGCCCTCTCTGGACCCAGTGGACTCACTCTGTACCCAAGACCCCCACTGTCCTCTTGTGGGTCCCAGGTCTCCACTCACCAGTGTCATCGGAGACGCTGGGCCTCTGGCTGCCCGATGGAGAGCGTAGAACGTCATCGCTGTACATAAGGAAGCTGTCGTAGTCCTCCCCGCTCTGGGCGTCCACGATAGGGATGTCAGGGATGATGGGGACTGCAGGGCAGGGGAGTGAGCCAGGGCCCTGGCTGCTGCCCCCTGCCCCCCTGCCCGGTCTGCCCCTCACCTCCCTGCCCACCACTCACTGGACATGGGCCTCTTGGGCTGGGTGGCCAGGTTGATGATGGCCTCCCGCTCAGGCCCCCAGCCGGCCCCGTTGCGCGCCTTCACCGTGTAGCGGTAGGGCTGGGACTCCCGAAGGTTCTCAATAAGCAGCATCCGGTTCTTAGGGTTGTCAACCAGCACTTTCTTCATGGGCCCAATAGGTCCTGGGGCAGAGAGAGTGCTTCAGAGGGTCACCCAGGTCCCAGCCTGGTCCCAACACCACCCCTGACACAGCAGGACGGCCGTGCATCCCCTGGATGGCACCCAGGGGCTGGGGAAGCAAGGCAAAGCCAGCCACTGCTGAATTGCCGCCTGCGGAGCCCTGAGCGTCAGCATGACTGGCGTGGACATATGTCACCAGTCCTCCAAGGGACTCTGCTGAGTAAGTGGCAGAGCCAGGGCTGGACTCAAGTTGGCCTCGATGTCACCTCTACCCATATATCCACGGTGCCTCCACACAAGGCAAGGGCACGCATAGGGGTTGCCCACCCTGCCTCCCTTCCAGGACTGGAGAAATAACTGTTCTGCTAGGCACCTCTGATCTCGGGCTGCTAGATAAAATAATGTATAAAATAATCCTTTTTATTTATTTATTTTTAGACGGAGTCTGGCTCTGTCACCCTGTCTGGAGTGCGGTAACACGATCTCGGTTCACTGCAACCTGCGCCTTCTGGGTTCAAGTGATTCTCCTGCCTCAGCCTCCTGACTAGCTGGGACTACAGGCATGAGCCACCATGCCTGTCTAATTTTTAGTAGAAACGGTTTCACCATGTTAGCCAGGCTGGTCTTGAACTCCTGACCTCAAGCAGTCCACCTGCCTCGGCCTCTCAATGTACAAAATAATCTTTTAAAGTGCTATCTGAAATTCAGAACCTCCTGTATTTCTGTTTGCTAAATCCGGTAACTTTCCTCTCACCCTAAGAAAACCATGCACGTGTGAGCTCCCTGGTTACCTGCATGGGGAGGGGTACCCCTGGGCCTGTGACCTCACTCCACATAGGTAACCACCCACCCTGCAACCTTCTGGGTTTGGTCTTAGAATGCAACCCAGCCCAAATCTGGCCAAAACCCTAAAGATGCCTCAGGCTTATCCGCTGACCAGGATGAAGGCCTCGAGTGCCCTGCACAGCAGGTCCAGGGAGTGACCAAGAGCTCCCTCCAGCTTTGTCCCCTCCCCTTCCATGGCTGTTCTCCCTGTGGGCAGGAAAGAAGGATCTGGTTCTTACGGTTGTCATCGTTGACCAGGCCATAGCAGACCTCGTAGGCTGTGATCTCACCGTTGGTCTCAGCCGGCTCAGCCCAGCTCAGCTGGGTCACCGTGGAGGAGACGACATTGAAGGCCAGACGCCCTGGCTCGCTGGGCACTAGGGAGCGGGGAATACAGGAAGAGTGCTGTCAGTGGCAGAGGGAGGGAGGTCTGGGCATGCTGGCATCAGGGCAGCCAGGGGACAAATGGACAGACATGGCGAGGCCTCACCTTCCTGGTGGGTGCGGCAGGACACCAGGGAGCTGTAGGGTCCCTCGCCCTGAGCCCCGTAGGCGCACACCTTCATCTCATAGTCGCAATACGGGTACAGGTTGGTGAGCTCCACTGAGGGCACCTTGCTGTCGAGCAGGTGGGCTTCGGATTCGGAGTCACCCTGAATCCAGTACTTTACCTACCCCCAGGGACAGGGGTCCTGGTCAGCAGGGAGCAGCAGGCACCCAAGCTGCCTGTCCCTCCTCTGACCTCTGCCCTTACTGTCCTCTTTGCACAGATGAGGCCCGAGGGAGGGGCTGAGAGATCTGCCATGTGCACACGTCAGGACTAGGGCAGAGCAGGTGGGGGTATCTCCCATGCGGGGGTGGGAGGGGGCCCCATTCTAGGAAGGAGGGCAAATGTCTGATAAACTCAGGAATGGGTCTTCCCTCTTTCCCAGCACAGACCGGGTTTCCCTCTGACCACCTGTGCTAGGTTCCACTGTCTGCTCTCTCTCAGGGGGCCCTGGCCTTGGACGGCCCACCTCTTCTGTGAGTGCTGGTGCCAGACCGCCCATCCACCTGTCGTGACCCTCAGCCCCCCGCCTTACCCTGTACCCCATTGGCTTGCCAGAAGGGGGCAGCCAGTTGAAATGGATCTTCCTGGACCCAGCGGCCTTAGCATTGGGGTTCTGCGGGGCGCCCAGGTCGCCGTGAGGGGGTGGCTGTGATGACAACATCTGACTCGTGAAGCTCCGGTCCAGTTCATCTAACGGGTCAGGTTGGGGCCGGGCAACCACTCAGATCCCCCTTCACCACCAGGGGGCGCCAGAGACCCACTTCAACACCCAGGGCGCTCTACCCAGCGCATTCAACTCAGACCTGCCCACCCGCGTCTCTGGAGACCTGGTGGTGCCCCATTGCTGCCACATAGAGCATCCTGCCAAGCTTGGCGGAGGACCCAGGAGGGTCTCTGGAGGAACAGAAGCGGGAGGGAGTTGGTCTGCCCCTTTCTCCCTTGGCAGCTCAGGGAACATTCCACATGAGAACATTTGCTCCCCACCCCATCTCCACACTGTACCCTGAGTATCTCCCTCCTCTCCCATCTTCCTGGCAGGCTTTCTCCCAGTTGGGAGGCTGAGGGCTGATAGGAACTAACTGGCCCACTCCTTCCTTCCACAAGCATCTGCATGTTAGTTGGAATTGAGGCTGAAGCCAAAGGGCCAGGGTCTGATGGGAGAATTCCTATTGTGTGGTGACAACAGCCTCTCTAGCTGTAGGGTTGCCAGATAAAATGCAGGATGCCTAGTTACATTTGAATTTCAGATAAACAACAAGATTATTTTTTCTTGGGGGACAGGATCTCATTCCATGGCCCAGGTGCTGTGCAGTGGTGCGATCACAGCTTGCTGCGGCCCAGACCCCCTGGGCTCAAGTGATCCTCCCACCTCAGTCTCCGGAATAGCTGGGACTGCAGGTGCACACCACTATGCCAAGCTAATTTGTTTATTTTTTGTAGAGACGAGGTCTCACTATGTTGCCCAGGCTGGTCTAGAACTCCTGGGCTCAAGTGATCCTCCCACCTTGGCCTCCCAAAATGCTGGGATTACAGGTGTGAGCCAGTATACCCAGCCCATTTTGCAAAAAAAAGGATAAGTATGTTCCAAATATTGCATGGGACATACTTATCCTACCAACGTGTATGTTGTTTACCTGAAATTCAGATTTACCTGGGCGTCCTGTGTTTGGATTTGCTAAGTCTGACAGACCTAGTTGAGAGACCCCCCAGTCTTCCCTCTCCTCCTGCTTAAGCCGACCCCCAGGCTCTGCCTACCTGGGTCCCTGATGATGATGGTGGTGGAGTGGGGCTGGCCCAGGTGGGCCCCAAACTTAGGGTTGCTGAGCTGGACGTGGAAACGGCGGACCTGGCGGCCCCGCAGGAGGGAGTCAACTTCTTGCAGCTCCAGGAGCTTCACCTGCAGCTCTTTCCAGGCCTCCCCAGGCTGGAACAGCAGCTCACCCTCCACGGGGATGTAGTCCTGGGAGTGGAGGGGGTCAGGGTCAGGGTCATGGCTGGGGGCTGAGGCAAGAGTCATGGCCACACGCTCCCTCCCAACCTCATGGACACTGCAGAGACCATCCCTGCTTGCTGGGTGGAGTACTTACACGAGGTTCAGGTTTTTGTGTTTTTTTTGTTTGTTTTTTTTTTTGAGGCGTAATCTCACTCTGTCACCTAGGCTGGAGTGCAGTGGCATGATCTCGGCTTACTGCAACCTCCACCTTCCAGGTTCAAATGATTCTCACACCTCATCTTCCTGAGTAGCTGGGATTACAGGCACCTGCCACCACGCCTAGCTAATTTTTGTATTTTTAGTAGAGATGGGGTTTCACTATGTTGGCCAGGCTGGTCTCGAACTCCTGACTTCAAGTGATCCTCCCACCTTGGCCTCCCAAAGTGCTGGGATTACAGACATGAGCCACCATGCCCAGCCACGTTTCTGTTTGTTTGTTTGTTTTTGAGACAGGGTCTCACTCTGTCACCCAGGCTGGAGTGTAGGGGCACAATCACAGCTCACTGAAGCCTTGACCTCCTGGGCTCAGGCCATCCTTCCCCTCAGCCGCCTGAGTAGCTGGGACTACAGGCGTGCACCACACCTGGCTATTTTTTTTTTTTTTTTTTTTGTAGAGGCACGGTTACCCTATGTTGCCTAGGCTGGTCTTGAACTCCCGGCCTCAAGCGATCCGCCCACCTTGGCCTCCCAAAGTGCTGGGATTACAGGCGTGAGCCACCCATCTTCCTTTCAGTGCCGTGGAGCATGCCTGAGCTTTCCAGGATAAGAACTGGGAGGAAAAAGAAAATCCTTCACATAGAAGACCACTAGGTGGCACTTCAGGGCAAGATTTCAATTCCAGGCGCAGCAGCCAGGGCGATGGCTGGGGAGGCAACCTCATGCCACCCAACTCAGAAAGTGAGACCCATAGTTGTAAAACAAACAAACAAAAAACAAACCAGGGAGCTGCCTGCAAGCAACCTACATGGATACTTCAAAAACGTCAGTGTCATTAGCCCGGCATGGTGGCCGGTGCCTGTAATCCCAGCTACTCGGGAGGCTAAGGCAGGAGAATTGCTTGAACCCGGGAGGCAGAGGTTGCAGTGAGGCACTGTACTCCAGCCTGGGTGACAGAGCGAGACCTTGTCTTAACAAAAGTCAGTGTCACGGAAGACAAAGCCAGGAAACTTTTCTAGATTAAAGGAGTCAAGACACGTGACAAAAGTCAATGCCAAATCCTTGATTAGTTCCTGCATTGGGGGGAAAAACGCTATAAAGGACATTATTGGGACATCCGAACAAGGGGACATTGGAATATGGACCTATTTTATTTTATTTTATATATTTTTTGGGATGGAGTTTTGCTCTTTTGCCCAGACTGGAGTGAAGTGGCGCAATCTTGGCTCACTGCAACCTCCACCCACTGGGTTCAAATGATTCTCCTGCCTCAGCCTCCCTAGTAGCTGAGATTACAGGCGTGTGCCACCATGCCCGGCTAATTTTTGTATTTTTAGTAGAGATGGGGTTTCTCCATGTTGGTCAGGCTGGTGTCAAACTCCTGACTTCAGGTGATCCACCTGCCTCAGCCTCCCAAAGTGCTGGGATTACAGGTGTGAGCCACCACGCCTGGCTGGAATATGGACTAATTTTAGGTACTAGTATAATCAATGTGAAGATACAGATGTCCACATCTCTATTTATATTTCTATGTTGCTATCTATATAGAAAGAGAGAGAAAGCAAATATTAGCAATCGGTGAATCTATGTAAAGGGTAAATGGGTGCTAGTTTTACTGTTCCTTCCATTTTTCTGTAAGTTGAAGTTTTTAAAAATAAAAAGGTGAGAAATTAAAATGTTTTAAAAAACAAATATCAAAGCTTTTTTTTTTTTTTTTTTTTTGAGACAGGGGTTTCACTCTGTCACCCAGGCTGGAGTGCAGTGGCACTATCTCGGCTAACTGCAACCTCCACCTACTGGGCTCTACCTCAGCCTCCCGAGTAGCTGGGACCACAGGTGCACACCACAACACCCAGATAATTTTCTGTATTTTTGGTACAGACAGGGTTTCGCCATGTTGGCCAGGCTGGTCTTGAACTCCTGATCTCAAGCGATCTGCCCGCCCTGGCCTCCCAAAGTGCTGGGATTACAGGCATGAGCCACTGTACCCAGCCTCAAAGCATCTTTATACAAGTGTAACAGGGTAGCCAGAAGGCAAGGCAAAAGGATCATGTTATCCTAGGAGTTTGAGACCAGCCTGGGCAACATGGCGAAACCCTATCTCTACTAAAAATATAAAATGGCCGGGCGCGGTGGCTGATGCCTGTAATCCCAGCACTTTGGGAGGCTGAGGTGGGCGGATCACGAGGTCAGGAGTTCGAGACCAGCCTGACCAACATGGTGAAACCCCGTCTCTACTAAAAATACAAAATTTAGCTGGGTGTGGTGGTGCGCACCTGTAGTCCCTGTTACTTGGGAGGCTGAGGCAGGAGAATCGCTTGAACCCTGGAGGTGGAGGTTGCAGTAAGCTGAGATCGCGCCAGCCTGGGCAACAGAGTGAGACTCCGTCTCAAAGAAAAAAAAATACAAAATTAGCCGTGCGGTGGTGGACATCTGTAGTCCCAGCTACTTGGGAGGTTGAGGTTGAAGGACTGCTTGAGCCCAGGAGTTCAAGATTGCAGAGAGCTAGGACTGTGCCCCTGTACTCCACCCTGGACTAGAGGGAGACCTTGTCTCTTAAAAGAAAAAAATTATTCTTTGGAATTTTTATGGGGGGACATTGGAAAAATAATGAGAACAGTTCCTGTCAATAAAAAGAAGTAAATAAAATTAGGATGTGGCCAGGCAGCCCGGGCCTGCTGACTACGCGCTCCCCTATGTTTGCTGAATGGGCCTGTGGGCCCAGGGAGGCGAGACTTTATTACTTTTGAGATAATTTTTTTTTTCTTTTTTCGAGACAGAGTCTCACTCTGTCGCTCAAGCTGTAGTGCAGTGGCATGATCTCGGTTCACTGCAGCCTCCACCTCCTGGTTTCCAGCAATTCTCCTGCCTCGGCCTCCCGGGTAGCTGGGATTAGAGGCACGTGTCACCATGCCCAGCTAATTTTTGTATTTTTAGTAGAGACAGGGTTTCACCATGTTGGCCAGGCTGGTCTCGAACTCGTGACCTCAGGCGATCCACCTGCCTTGGCCTCCCACAGTGCTAGGATTACAGGCATACGCCACCTCGCCTGGCCTTTATTATTATTATTATTTTTTTAAAATAGAGACAGGGTCTTACTATGTTGCCCAAGCTGGCCTGCAACTCCTGGGCTCAAGTGATCCTCCCACTGTGCCCTCCCACAGTGTTGGGATTACATGCATGAGCTACTGCACTGAGCCAGGTTTTGTTTCTTTGTTTTTTTGTTTGATTTTTAAAAAATTAATTATTATTATTTTTTTAGACAGGGTCTTACTCTGTTGCCTAGGCTGAAGTACAGTGGCATGAACATGGCTCACTGTAGCCTCAACCTCCTGGCCTCAAGTGATCTTCCTGCCTCAGCCTTCCAAGTAGCTGGGTCCACAAGTATGCACTACCATGCCCAGCTAATGTTTAAATTATATGTATAGACATGGTCTCACCACGTTGCCTAGGCTGGTCTTGAACTCCTGGGTTTAAGTGATTCTCCCACCTTAGCCTCCCAAAGTGCTGGGATTACAGGTGTGAGCCACCATGCCCCGCCTTTGTTTTTAATTATGGATTTGTTGCCAACATTTAAAAACTAGAAAGGCCAGGTGCACTGGCTTACACCTGTAATCCCTGCACTTTGGGAAGCCGAGGTGGGCGGATCACTTGAGATCAGGAGTTTAAGACCAGCCTGGCCAACATGGCAAAACCCCATCTCTTCTAAAAATACAAAAACTAGGCCGGGCGTGGTAGCTCACTCCTGTAATCCCAGCACTTTGGGAGGCCGAGGTGGGTGGATCACTTGAGGTCAGGAGTTCAAGACCAGCTTGGGCAACATAGCAAGACCCTGTCTCCCCCAAAAATTAAGAAGCAAAAAATCCCCACACAAAACAAAAGAAACAAAACTATGAAGCCTGTAAACCCAGTCCAGCCTGTGTGCCACCTGATTTGGCTGTACCCCAGCACTGGGGCTCAGCAGTGAAGGTGATGCTGGTCCAGCCATGGCACTCCCTGCCTTGAAGGGTTGCTCCTGCTGCTTGGCAAATTGTGACAGCCCTTGGGGAGTCTGGCCTGGGGACATGGGGTCTTCGATCCCAGCTCAAGAAACCCAAAGCCCCCTGGACTGGGGCATATAGGGGGAGTTTATCTCCAAGAGGTTTGGCTACCCTGTGGATCCTGAGTTGTAGGAGGGGACAGGAATGGTCTGGGCAGGTCCCTGGCCCATGAAGGAAGAAAGAGCCCTCTTGGGCCGGGCGCGGTGGCTCACGCCTGTAATCCCAGCACTTTGGGAGGCCAAGGCGGGCGGATCACCTGAGGTCGGGAGTTCCAGACCAGCCTGACCAACATGGAGAAACCCCGTCTCTACTAAAAACACAAAATTAGACATGCGTGGTGGCACATGCCTGTAATCCCAGCTACTAGGGAGGCTGAGGCAGCAGAATCGCTTGAACCCGAGAGGTGGAGGTTGCGGTGAGCTGAGATTGTGCCATTGCACTCCAGCCTGGGCAACAAGAGCGAAACTCTGTCTCAAAAAAAAAAAAAAAAAAAAAAGAGCGAGCCCTCTTGGCCTGAGTCCCTGGCAGCAATGGAGCCTCATCCAGCGTGTCACTGGCACCCTGGGCAGGTGAGACTCCCCTGCCACAGGGTGGCAGGAGCAGGTGGACGTGTCCTTGGGAGGCCAGCCAGGGGCACGGCCAGTATCCAGGGACTCAAGCAGCTGCCATGTGCTGCTTTGTCTTGGGAACCCAATGCGGTGCCCACGCAGCCCCCCGGGCTGCACCCTCGACCCTGTGGCGCAGCCTCACCCGGTTGCCCTGCGCGGTGCCATCCTGTGTGCGGTAGGAGACCTGGGACTTCCCGCCGTCCAGGACACGCCGGATGACAGGGATGCGGGCCACCTGGTCCCCGCGGCTGACCGAGAACTCAGGCTGCTCAAAGGACACCACGTCTCTGGCTGCAAGGAGCCCGGGCATTTGTCAGAGTGTGCTGGGCCCAGTCCCTTCCCACCTCCTGCTCTCCTGTGACCCTGCCCAGCCCAGCCCAGAATCCAGGAGTCCGCTTGGTTCCCTCTATGCATTGCCCTCTGGGAAGGGCACAGGAGCGAAACGGAAAATCCTTCCAGAAAAAGATGAGGGGCCGGGCGCAGTGGCTTGTGCCTGTAATCCCAGCACTTTGGGAGGCTGAGGCAGGTGGATCACCTGAGGTCAGGAGTTCGAGACCAGCCTGGCCAACATGGCGAAACCCCATCTCTACTAAAGATAGAAAAATTAGCTGGGCGTGGTGGCGAGTGCCTGTAATCCCAGCTACTCGGGAGGCTGAGGCAGGAGAATCACTTCAACCTGGGAGGCAGCGGTTGCAGTGAGCCAAGATGGTGCCATTGCACTCCAGCCTGGGTGGCAGAGCAAGACTCTGTCCCAAGAAAAAAAAAAGTGGTTCTGGAACAAAGTGTCCAGCAGACATCCTGGAAGGGCCAGGCAGAGGAGGGAGGCCAGTCACGGGCAGGACCAGAGATGGAGCCTTCAGCCCCAGGGCTGGAGGAGAGCAGGAACAGGCCTGAGGCCTGTGGCTTCCGGCACAGGTGGGAGGAGGGGTCAGATGTCCACGGTGTGATGCCTTGGCCAACCCTTTTTCTAGATAGAGAGGAGCAAGGGGCTGGCCCTTATGAGGATGCAACAGAAGCTTCCATTTACTGAGCGCTCACCACCAGGCAGGCACTGTGGCGAGGTGAACAGCCACGCATTCCGTAAAAGAGCCCTTACCCATTTTACAGATGGAGAAACCAAGGCTTGCAGAGGTTAAGTGACTAGCCCAGGCCACGTGGCCAGGTCGCAATTCCACTTAAGCAGGAGGAACCAGTGCCCCCGAGCCCCCGTCTGCCTTCCCCACTCTCCCCACCCAGACCCACCTTGCTCCTTGATGATGGTGATGTTTACCAGGCGGCGGCCGAGGGTGGCAGTGCCTGCGGGCACGTCGATGGCCTCCACCAGCAGCTGCTTCTCGTCGTCATCCTCAGGCCGGATAAAGAGGGGCACCCGTACGTCCACCAGCTCCACGCCCTCCTGGAACTCCACCATGCCCCGGGCGTCTGGGTGGGGGTTCGGAGGTGGTCAGAGGTGGGTCACAGGGCCACACAGGCGGGAGGTGCGAGGCAGTGGCACAGCGGACCCGCCCTCCTACCCTGGTCTGCAGTGAGGGTGTAGTAGCCGGGGGCCACCTTGAGGTCGTGGAAGGCCCTCTGTTCCACCTGCTTCTCTGTAAGCTTCAGCAGGGCCGGCTTGGCCGAGCGGGGCGCCATCAGCACTGTGTCCACAATGGTGTGGTCTTGCCTGGGTCGAGGGTGGAAGGTTCAGGCAGCGGAGGGGTCAGGCTGGCACCTGCTGCCCTGTCCCTCCTGCCTGTCTTCTCCCCTTCAGGGGCCAGGATGTAAGACAGCAAGAAGTGCAGGGTCTTCAGAGGCAGGCAGTGCTCCAGGCCTATGCCAGCCCCATACCCTTTACCCTGCAGCCTCAGCCCAGCCATGGCGCCTCCCTGTCCTCAGCGTCCTCCTCTGTGAAATGGGCTTCTCTGCCCACCTCATCAAGGGCTGGACAGCAAAGATGCTAAGGGTGTGTGTGCTCAGGCCAGGCTGCCGCGGCCCTAGCCCTGGTTCTAGTTCTCGATAGCTGGGTAACCTTGGGCAAGTCACTTAACCCTTTTGAGCCTCAGCTTCCTCATCTGCAAAATGGGAACAGCAGTGATCTCTACCTCACAGGCTTGACGAGAGGGTTGGATAAGATGACCACACACGGAAAGCCCTTAGGACAATGCTTGGCCCGTAGCAGGATAAGAAATGCTGGTCAGCCATTCTTTTTTTTTTTTTTCAAGACGGATTCTCACTCAGTCGCCCAGGCTGGAGTGCAGTGGCGCAATCTCGGCTCACTGCAACCTCTGCCTCCCAGGTTCAAGGGATTCTCCTGCCTCAGCCTCCCAAGTAGCTGGGATTACAGGTGCCCACCAACACACCTGGCTAATTTTTGTATTTTTAGTAGAGGTGGGGTTTCACCATGTTGGCCTGGCTAGTCTTAAACTCCTGACCTGAGGTGATCCACCCGCCTCAGCCTCCCAAAGTGCTGGGATTACAGGTGTGAGCCACCACGCACAGCCAACGGTTCTTACTGATGGTCATGTGCTGAGATTCTAGCTCTTCTGTCCCTGCATCAAGACCCCCTCCTCACTCCCTCTCTCTCCCCATGAAGGGCCAGGACTCGATGTAGGACCTGGGAAAAAAGGTGTGTGACCTGCTGGCCCATCCTCTCGGTAACCTGCCTGGTCCCCAGAGGTGCACCCAAGATCAGGGTCTTGGACACTGGAGCGGATGGAGATGGGTACCTGCTATCGCTGGTACCGGGTGGGGGGCTGGACAGTCACCTATATGAGGGCAGGGACTGGGTTGATTTGCTTTTGCCTGCTCTAGTCCAGGGGCCACTTCATAGCAAGCACTTCACATTAGCATTTGTTGAAGAAATGGTCAAAGGAACGAATGAAGGTCCGAACCTGACGGACACATCTGACCCTCCCTTCCTATGGGATGGAGATGGAGTAGGGACGGACGAGGCAGTGGCTGGGCTGGGGACAGGCGGGCAGGAAGTGGGGGCCCTCTCACCCACGAGTCTTCTACTCACTTTTTCCCGGCATTGGGCTGCTGCCTGTGGGGACAAAGAGGGCGCTGTGAGCTAGATAGCCCTGAAGTGGAGGCCTGATCGGCCTGGGGGCTTCGGCTCCTGGAGTCCCGGTAGGAGCGGCTCCCCCACCCAACCCGGGCACCCCGGGACTCACCGGAACTTGGTCTGCTGGAGCTTGTGTACACCGGAGATCTGCCTGTAGACCTCGTTCAGCTGCCAGGCAAGGGAGGGGCGTGAGGCTGGGCCTAGGCCACCCCGTGGCAAGCCCTCAGGCTGGGGACCCAGGGAGCCAGGCAGCCTCTGTACCCAGAGATCCTCAGGGTTGGCTGGGGCATGCCCCGTGGGGCAGCATCCTGGGCCCAGGCTCTGGCCTTCTGCCCTCTGGAAACAGATCCCAGGATGCCCCCTGCCAGGCACAGGTCCAGAGAGACCCCTCTCCCCTAGTTAATGAATCTCGGTACCACGACCGCATTCGCTCTGCCCTGCCCACCTCACCCGCCCTCATACCCACATCTCCGGCCAGGCCTAGTTCCTGGGTCCTTACGTTCTCCTCCACCTCCTGGCGCAGCTGGGCGCACTCCCGAGTGTCAGGCTTCAGCAGGTTCTCGGTGCAAAGGCGGGCCAGGCGCAAGGACAGCCCGTAGGGCACTAAGGAAAGGCGGTGGGAGGGGGTGAGATGGAGGTGGTCAGCCCCCTGCATGACAGGCACCACAGAGCATCCCTCCAGCAACCATGCTAGGATCAGGGGATGCCTGGCCAGCAGGCCACGCACACCGAGGCATGAGGTTCATAGCACCATCAGCACAGGGCAAAAGGTGGCTGAGCCCTGTGCCTGCACCCCACACCCAGAGAAGAGGCATGCTGTGATCCCAGATCTGGAACAGAGGGCCCGAAGGGCACTGCCCAGAGCTGTGGCGCCCAGCCCCGCCCTCACCCAGCTCTGTGGGGTTGATGCTGGCGGCATGAGTGGCAAAGCCAGGCCGCTGCATGTTGTTGGTGACCTTCCAGCGGACCACGTCACGGCCCTTGAGGTTCCCGCTGCGCAGCATGGGCGTGTCCAAGTGGTCAGAGGCCATCAGGTTCTCCCGCAGCATGTAGTGGTCTTCCTTAAAGCCCACCATGTGACCTGCAGGATGGGGTCCTCAGCACGGCACCCCTCCCTAGACCCGCACAGCCCAACCTCTTCAGGTGGGACCCCAGAGCCTCCAGCCTCTGCCGTTCCAGGTTCAGCTTCCCTCCACCCCAGCTCAGAGAAAGAGCAGTCAGAGCCCCTGCTGCCCCTGCGATGCCAGGCCCATACCTCGGTTGCAGCACGGGAGAAGTGCCAGGCAGGCCTAGGAGACAAGGTGGGTGAGGGTGAGGCCTGAGACAGCTGCCCTGGCCCAGGTAAGCCCTTCCAGCCACCCCGCCCCATGCCAATGGTCAAGAGGGGTGACAGTGCCTCCCCAGACACCAGAATATCCAGGTGGTAGCAGGGTGTAAGCATGGCACACAAGGGCATAGAGGGGGATGGGGGCAGAGGGTTCCCAAAGTTTGCGCCGTGGAACTCTCATCCTGCCGGGTGCTCTGTAAAGGTTCTGTGGTCAGGTTCACTTGGGAAGCACTGAATTCATTCCCCATGCCCCTCTTGCAGGTTAGGCACAGGACTTTATCAAAGCCTCTGAGAAGTCCTGCAGAGAAGAAACTTGTTTCTTTTCTTTTTTTTTTTTTTGAGACAGGGTCTCGCTCTGTTGCCCAGGCTGGAATGCAGTGGCACGATCGCGGCTCACTGCAACCTCTACCTCCCAGGTTCAAGCAATTCTCCTGCCTCAGCCCCCCTAGTAACTGGGATTATAGGCATCCACCTCCATGCCCAGCTAATTTTGTATTTCTAGTAGAGATGGGGTGTCACCATATTGGCCGGGCTTGTCTCCAACTCCTGACCTCAAGTGATCCACCCGCCTTGGCCTCCCAAAGTGCTGGGGTTACAAGTGTGAGCCACTGTAACTTAAATTTAAGAAACTTGTTTCTTAAACCTTCTTTTTTTTTTTCTTTTTGAGTCTCACTCTGTCACCCAGGCTGGAGTGCAGTGGCATAATCATAGCTCACTGTAGCCTCAAACTCCCAGACTCGTGATCCTCCTGCCTCAGCTTTCTGAGTAGCTGGGACTACAGGCACGCGCAGCCGTGCCTAGCTCAAACCTATTTGATCACATAACTCCTTGCCTATGTAATGCACATTAATATCCCACAACACTGGGGGTTACTACGGAGTGTGGTCTGCCGCCTACAATCCCTACTCTGAGCTATGCCATCCTCCACGCTTTCTCTTGTCTGTTCTCCCCAGTGACCGCCAGCTGCGGGCGGGCAGGGCCCTTTCTTCCCTGTTGTGGCTCCCAGGCCTTTTGCACGTGGCTGACCCCAGAGCAGGTGCTCTCAGGGATCTGGCCACTGATGGCTGATGGAGTGGGGGTCCTGGGCGGGCACTAGAGCTGGGGAAGATGTGGGCTCAGCTTGCCTCAGCCCCTTCTGAGGACTGTGCATTTATCACCTGCCTCTCAGCCCCAATTTCTCCATCTGTCATAGGGCATGGTGACCTTGCCCCACTGACCTCATGGGGTGATGGGGGGCGGGGAAATGGAGTCACGTGGACATGCTGTGGCGACAGCACAAAGAGGAACACTGAGCTAAGCAGAGAACGGATGCTGGCAAGGGCTGAGCTGGGGGCTGGGGCTCCAGGATGACTCGGGCTAAGAGCTCATGGGTGTCATCATCATTACTGTCACTCCGGAAGCTGGATGGGGTTGGTGTGGGTCTTGCCAAGGTGGGGGTGGGGGCGATGGTGCATGCTATGGGTCAGTCCCTTCTGAACTTCACTAATTTAAGCTTCAGCTCCACTTTCTGAGGTCAATTCTATGATCTTCATTTTACAGATGAGGGAACTGAGGCATGGAGAGATTAAGTAATTTGCCCAAGGTCACAGAGCTGGGACCAGAATCCAGACAGCTGGACTCTACGGGCTGAAGCCTCTGGCTAGAAAGCTGCAGGAGTGGGGATGGTGGGTGGAGAGGCTGGGGACCCTGGTGGGGGTTGGGGACCCTGAGGAGGACCCTGATGGAGGGTGGAGACCCTGTCAGAGAGGGGACCCTGGTGAGGTGGGGACCCAGGAGGGGGTTGAGGACACTGGGGAGGTGGGGACCGTGGTGGAGGATGGGGACCCTGTTGGGATGGGGACCCTGGGGAGGTGGGGACCCAGGAAGGGGTTGGGGACCCTGGGGAGATGAGAACTCAGGCGGGGACTGGGGACCCTGGTGGAGGGTGGGGGCCCTGTTGGGGTGGGGACCCTGGGATGTGGGGCCTTGGGAGGCACCCTGGGTGCTCACCTTGCAGCAGGCACAGTACTTCCAGCATAGCAGCAGTAGCAGGGCCAGGAGCGGCAGGAGGAGGAGGAGCAGGGGGATGAGCCACCAGAAGGAGCCCGGAGGGCAGTCTGGAGAGGAGGAGGCAGGGGGAGGTGGTGCCTGTCCTCCCCACCGAGCTCTGGCCACACGCCCCCTCCCTGCGCCCGGCCCCACCAGCTCACCCTTCTTCTTGTGCACCAGGACAGTGCTGTTGGGCCCAGGGGCGCCGTCACCTTCCATGGTGTAGCTGTAGGTGCAGTCGTCATCCTCGTCCCGGAAGGAGCAGCGCACCACCACCTCCTCGGCTGTACCCACAGCCAGTCAGCAGGGCACCCCAGCCACACCCCTCCGCCCCAGAGGACCCAGGGTCTGGTGAGGGGGCCCCTACTCTGCGATCTGCCTCACCCACGGCAGGGCCTCCTGGGGAAGAGTGGAAGTCCTTGCAAAGCCGTGCTCTCACCAGGCACAGGAACGGGTGTGGTGGGGGCTCCCCTGCTCAGGAGCATCAGAGCCTAGAAACCTACCTCCCCCACTTCCCTGACCTGGACATCACCCAGGAACTCAGGGTCCAGAAAACGTATCTGATCTCGAGGAGGGGAGGCTGCGTGTCTCCACAGCGTGACCATGTACCCCTGCTGGGTGCATGCCCCTGCCCAAGTCAGGTGCCTCCCACCAAGACTCTTGGTCCCTTCCTGGGCCAGACTGTGTCCCACCGCCTGGGTTCTGTGCCTCCTGCTCAGGCTTTTACCCTTTTCTGGGATTCGGTGTCCTCTATCTGGGTTCTGTGGTCCCTCCCAGCTCTGGAGTTCCTGTCCGGACTGTGTGACCTTAGCCCAGACTGCAAGCCCCCGTCCAGGTGATGACACCCTTGCCCCGTTGGATGCCCGCTGCCTAGGCTCTCAGCAACCCCAACCCTCAGCCCCTGCCCCTACCTCTCTTAAGCTCGTCCACCATCTTGACCTTGAAGTTGCATTCCTCACACGTGCGCCCCTTCTTCTCGCCGGTGCCCCACGCCTGGCACTGCACGCAGGAGCGTAGGTCCTCGCAGAGGCCCGGGTGGATCTTGGCGGGGAAAGGCGGGGCAGACAGGCACTGTGTTGGGTGGGCCTCTGCCAGACCCCCGCTCCCCAAACCTCTTGCCCTTGGCCAGCTCCTGTGGCATCAGGCTTAGCCCCTCCTGCCCACACTGCCCTGTGCCTGCCCTGTTCCCACGCCCACACCTCGTAGGTCTTAGCCTCACCGCCGAGTAGTTGATCTCGCAGATGGTGTCCGTGTAGAGCGACTGCTGGTGGCAGTGGCAGCGGCCACACTCACAGTGGCCACGTCCATTACAGATGCCCTGGGGTAGGAGGGGGCACCAGTGAGCCAGCTGTGCCCCATCCCTGCCTGCTCCCTCTCCTCTCTCCATAGGGTTCTCTCTGGAGAGGGTGGGTGGTGCTGACAGACACTGTCTGTCTTATGCCCAGGCCTACCCCATTGCTGTCGATGCAGGTGGCATTGCTGAGGGGACAGTCACAGCTTGGGCCTGTCCAACCAGGCTCACACACACACTGGCCCATGGAGCAGCGTCCTCGGTCTGCAGAGAGGGACAAGGAAGGGAGATGAGAGCTACATCTGTGCCTGTAGTCCAGGCTGCCCACCTGGCAGGGAGGGCCTGTGGGAACAGAGCTGTGGGAGCCAGGGTGCCGCTAGCCTGGGGTAGAAGTCATCTCTTCCTCACTTTCCTGGAATCTCCTTCCCTCCATCTCTGCCTCCATCCTACCTACCTTCCACTCTGCAGCCTGAGTAATTATCTCAAAACAAATCCAATCATGTGGCTCCTGCTCCCCTGGCTAAGAACCTCTAATGGGTCCCTGCCAATGCAATAAGGTCAGAAAAAGAAATAAGATGTATAAGCATTAGAAGGTAAGAAATAAGTCCAGGCAAGGTGGCTCACGCCTGTAATCCCAGCACTTTGGGAGGCTGAGGCGGGCAGATCACAAGGTCAAGAGACTGAGACCATCCTGGCCAACATGGAGAAACCTCGTCTCTACTAAAAATACAAAAATTAGCTGGTCATGGTGGCGCATGCCTGTAGTCCCAGTTACTCAGGAGGCTGAGGCAGGAGAATCACTTGAACCCGGGAGGTAGAGGTTGCAGTGAGCCGAGATCACGCCACTGCACTCCAGCCTGGTGACAGAGCAAGACTCCGTCTCAAAAAAAAAAAAAAAAAAAGAAAAGAAAAAAGAAATAAAACTGTCAGCCGGGCGTGGTGGCTCACACCTGTAATCCCACACTTTGGGAGGCCGAGGCGGGAGGATCACTTGAGCTCAGGAGTTCAAGACCAGCCTGGCCAACATGGTGAAACTCTATTTCCACTAAAAATACAAAAATTAGCTGGGCTTGGTGGTGGGCCCCTGTAATCCCAGCTTCTTGGGAGGCTGAGGCAGGAGAATTGCTTGAACCTGGGAGGCAGAGGTTGTAGTGAGCTGAGATCATGCCACTGCACTCTAGCCTGGGTGACAGAGCAAGACTCCGTCTCAAAAATCAATCAATCAATCAATCAATAAAATTGTCTTTATTTGCAAGTGTGAGGAACATGTCACAAAGTATCCAGAAGAATCTACAGACAAATTATTAGATTTCATAAGTGCGTTTAGCAAGGTGACTAGATACAAGGTTAATATGCAAATAGTTAGAAAATGAAAGTAAAACCTCCAGTGACCCCCTTTTGTCCAAAGGATGAAGTCCTGCTCTGGACTAGAACCGAAGCCCTTTGTACTCTGGCCCTGCCTCCTTCCCCAGAGGCACCTTCCTCCCTTCCTCTCTCATACCTCCCTCTGTGCCACTTGTCTGCCTTTCTCCAGTGGTGCCCAGTTCTCTCTTCTGTTTCTCTGAGCACACTCAGGGACAGACAGTCGAAGAGAAGAAATGGTGAACAAAAGCAAGAACAGAAGAAAGAGTAGAAAAGCAGGGGCTTGGAAAGTATACAGTGAGGGCTTCATAAGTATTTGATGAGTAGATTTTCATTCATCCTCCTCCATTCAACTACCAATCCTTCCCTATGTCCCCTTGTCTGAGTTCTGTGATCCTGCCCAGCTCTGATGTTCCTGGCCAGACTGTATGCCTATGGCCTGGACCCATGGGAATACAGAGGAAGCTCCAGGCCTTCCAGGTAGAAATTTAGCATCTTTGGGCCGGGCTCAGTGGCTCACACCTGTAATCCCAGGTGTGATTACAGATGTGTACTTTGGGAGGCTGAGGCGGGCAGATCACCTGAGGTCAGGAGTTCGAGACCAGCCTGGCCAACATGGTGAAACCCTGTCTCTACTAAAAATACAAAATTAGCTGGGCATGGTGGTGCATGCCTATAGTCCCACCTACTAGGGAGGCTGAGGCAGGAGAATCGCCTGAACCCAGGAGGCAGAGGTTGCAGTGAGCCAAGATTGTGCTATTGCACTCCAGCCTGGGCGACAAGAGTGAAACTCTGTCTCAAAAAAAAAAAAAAAAAAAAAAAAAACAGCAGCAACAACAACAAAAAACCCACAGAAATTTAGCATCTTTGGAGAGAGGAAAGATCATAATGCCATATACCTGCCAGCCATTGGAGGGCTGAGCTGGGTGGCACCCACTCTAATGAGATAGGGGTGTGGAGAAGTGGGGTGGGCATAGAACTGAACTTCCAGAGAGAACCTCAGGGGAGTTGGAATCTTAAAACCAGGGGAAAGTCCTGCCAACAGTGACCTTGGGCATGGACGTTACAGATGAGGGAAGTCAGGCCCAGGTTGGGGCAGGACTCAGGGGCGGCCCTCAGGGCATCCAGAGTGGGCTGGGCCTGAACTTGGGGATTCTGATTCCAAGTCTGGCTCTCCCAACCTGGGTCCTGACGGGAAAGTCATGCTTGCTGTCCACTCCCTACCCCGCCATCAGCATTGGCCGCAGTTGTTGTGCTCACCATTGCAGAGGAACCCGGAAGTGCGGGGACACTGGAAGTTGTCATACTCGCAGAACTGACCCTCGTAGCGGCCTTCGCCGTAGCACACACAGTGCCCGCACTGGCACTCCCCACGGCCGGAGCACGGCTTGTCCTCGCCCTCCCGCAGGCAGGGCTGAATGTCACTCAGAGAGCCGGTGGAGCAGTTGCAGGTCTGGCCACTCCTGAAGGAGGAACTGGTCATTCCCCGAAACAGCCCAGGAGGAAAGCTGGGGCTTTTGCTGTCCCATTTAATTTAATTTAATTTAATTATTTTATTTTTTTTTTTGAGACGGAGTCTCGCCTTGTCGCCCAGGCTGGAGTGCAGTGGCGCGATCTTGGCTCACTGCAAGCTCTGCCTCTTGGGTTCACGCCATTCTCCTGCCTCAGCCTCCTGAGTAGCTGGGACTACAGGCACCCGCCACTACGCCCGGCTAATTTTTTGTATTTTTAGTAGACGGGGTTTCACCATGTTAGCCAGGATGGTCTCGATCTCCTGACCTTGTGATCCGCCCACCTCGGCCTCCCAAAGTGCTGAAATTACAGGCGTAAGCCACCGCGCCTGGCCTATTTTATTTTATTTTTTTTCAAGACAGAGTTTCGCTCTTCTTGCCCAGGCTGGAGTGCAGTGGCGCGATCTCAGCTCACGGCAACCTCCGCCTTCTAGGTGCAAGCAATTCTGCCTCAGCCTCCCGAGTAGCTGGGATTACAGGCATGCACCACCACGCCCAGCTACTTTTTTGTATTTTTAGTAGAGATGGGATTTCACCATGTTGGCCAGGCTGGTCTTGAACTCCTGACCTCAGGTGATCCACCCACCTCGGCCTCCCAAAGTGCTGGGATTACAGGTGTGAGCCACCTCGCCTGGCCTGCTGTCCCATTTTACAGATGAGGAAACTGAGGCTCTGAGAGGGCCGAGGCAGCTCCCAGTCATGCAGACAGAAGTGGCTGAGCTGAGACCTAAACCCCAGTGCCCTGTCATGTCACCCCTTCCAGTGTCCTTTCCCCACTGCTCTGCCTCAAGTTGTGGCAAGCTCGCCCAGTGTCCTGAAGCTAAAGCCCTTACTGCCGTGCATTTACGAGCTCTCTTCTGATCAGGCAATATGACACAGGACTCAGAATACCAAAGGCATGGAGCAAAAAGGAAGCCTCGTGTGCCTGTCCCCCAAGATCCAGACCCCAGCCCCAACAGCCAACCCCGTCTCAATCCTCACACCTCTTTCTAGAGACAGCCCATATATCTCTGTATTTCAAAGTGCTTTGACCTGGGTTTGACCAACAACTGGGTGTGCCCCGCCCTTAGCCGTTTCTTTGATTGCCGCCCCACCCCCAGCCAGGTGTACAAGGTGCACCCAGGGCCAGGCCCCTGCAGGAGCCCAGCTTTCCCATCAGGGGCCACTGGTGTCCTGGGTGCCCAACTCCCTTCCCCACTCACCAGCCCTCGCTGCACACACACTGTCCGCACACGAAGTCTCCGTTGAAGCTGCAGCGAGCTGACCGCACCTCTTTTTGCTGGAATGAGAGAGACCATGGTGGGGTGCGTCGGGGGAGCAGGACCGGGGCCACTGGACACTTCCGCTCTCCTGTGTGCCTCGGGAAACCCCACAAGGGATATGGGGCACAGGAGTCCTGCTTCATTCCTCAGGGTCCCTGGGTGCTTGGCTCAGCTCTCCCCTCCCGCCCTGCGGGGCTGCGTTGTACCAGCTCGCAGGTGCACACATCACAGATGATGCCCGCGTCCATCTTGAGGCCGTCGGAGAAGGAAGGTTTCAGATGGATGTTGCCCTTCTGGTCCTCCGGCAGCTGGCACACGTGCGTCCCATCCACGTGCTCAAGGGCCCGCAGCTGCACCTGGTATATACCCTGCAGGGGCCCCGTGGTCAGCCAAGGCAGGCCCAGCCCCAAGGACCAGGGGGCCATCGATGCCTGAAGGCCCTCGGCCCCCAAGTTCCTAGGAGATGTCTGGATCCCTGAAATGAGCTCCTGCTCACCTCCCTCAGGGCTGGAAACTCCCTCCTTCCCAGCGCAGTCACAATCATAGCGACAATGACAGTGGCCAGGGCCTCTGGGCTTCGTGACACTAACCCATTTACTGCCCCAGCAAGCCTCCGGGCTCGACGCTTGCATGCCGAGGAAACCAACAAGCAGAGGAGCAACCTAGGCTCATCCGAGCGGCTAGGCCCAGGGATCTGCACCCAGGCCTGCCTGACTCCAGGGGCCACGCTCTTGACCGCTGTTTTAAACGATTCCACTCGGTGTGGGGCGCTGTGCCTATCCCCCACCCCGCTGCCCCCACAGAGGCGTACCACTTCCCCCCGCCGGATGTGAAAGGACCCAGTCCTCGTCTTCTGGAACATCTTGGAGGTGACCTCTGTCCGAAGGCCTCGGGGGCTGTCTAGGGCCCGGATGTCCAGGTTGGAGCGGATCCGCTAAAGGAGGAAGGAGGTTGATCAGTGCTCTGTGGGGGGCCTCTGTGCTCCACCCCAACCTCCAAGTGTGGCTGGCATCATGCGGGGTATCACAGAGCCTGCAGGAGCCAGGGCCAGGCCCAGGTGGCCCCTCGGGGCCTCAGGGATAGCTAGAGACCCTTCCTCACTGGTCTGTCCCAGACCCATTTCTCCACCGTGATCCAAGACACCTCTTGCCCACCCTGCCCACTTCCTGCCCTGCCCCAGAAGGGCTCAGACTCTGGAGCCTGAGCTGCCCTCACATTGAAGGCCTCCTCCAGCAGCTCCACGATGTTGGACGAGTCCTCCTGCAGCACCCCCAGTGAGGAGACAGGGAAATAGGTGTGAAGCTTCTGCGGGAGAGAAGGCCAGGTCTCAGGCTAAGCATCTCCATGAATCTGAACAGCTCTAGGATTCTTCCCACTTTGAGGATGGGGAAACTGAGGCCTGGAACCTACTGTGGTGTCGCAGAGCCTGCCCTCTTAGCCCCCACCTGCTTGGGAGTTGGGGTGGAAGATGGGCACATGACCTCCCCTTCCCACTAGGGCCCACATTTTGGGGGGTCTAAAGGCTTTGGGAAGGGAGGAAGGAAAGGGAGGAAAAGAGGGAGGGAGGAAGGGAGGAAGGGAGGGAGGGAGGGAGGGAGGGAGGGAGAGGTGTCTGAGAAGCTCCATGGACCCCCTACCTTGACCACCTCCCACCCGTGGGACCTGGGCCCCGCACCTCGTAGTAGCTATAGGAGTAGTTGGTGACAGCAAAGATGGGGATGATGTTGTGCTTGGCGAGCAGGCGCACCAGGGTGGGCACCGACGGGTAGTCCTGTGTCCTGTACTGGGTGTAGGTGCCCGTGGTGTCCAGGTGGCACCGTTCATCGTTGCGGCTCATGATGCCAGCCAGCACGTTGGCGCCATCAGCCTCATAGTGGAAGGCTGACTCGGTGGAGAAGACCAGCAGGTGGGTGCTGTCCGGGCGCCAGCCAATGTCCCTCTGGGGAAGGCAAGGCGGGGCGTGCCCACTGAGCAGGCTGCCTGCTGACACGCATCACGGCGTCGTGTAGGACGGGGAACGCGGGTCCCAACATGGGGCTGGGCTTAAGCCACTGGATTCACAGCAAGTGCCCTCATGAAAGATGCATCTGACGGCACATGACTGAGTGACAACGCTGAGAAACAGGAGCTGGAGATGCGGCCCCCGCAAGGCGCTGGGGCCACAGGCGTGCATCACACCCAGCTAATTTTTGTGTTTTCTGTAGAGACAGGGTCTTGCCATGTTTCCCAGGCTGGTCTCAAATCCTGAATTCAAGCAATCCCCCCGCCTCGGCCTCCCAAAGTGCTGGGATTACAGGTGTGAGCCACCACGCCTTGGCTAGCTCTTTGTTTTCTAACCTAGTAATATGGGTATGTCATTTTCAGAATGAACAAATGGATGTACATATCAAAGGAAATGGCTTATTTGGATGCCCAGAACAGGTGGAGTCTGGGCAGCTGGTGGGTTCAGGGTACTAAAGATTCCAGAACGCTAAAGCCCAGGTCTGCCTTGGTAGCTGATACGAAACCAGGCTGTGACTGCTCAGGCCAGGGGACCGTGGCTCCAGGCACATCTGAACTCAGATTGTAACTGAGACCTACTCACAGAGTCTGAGCTTGTCTCAGGGTGAAGGGGTTGCAGGCTCCCAGGCTTTCCCTCAGGGCCTGTGAGCCTGGCACCAGAGCAGGCCAGGGGGCAGCTCAGGCCCTTGCCCAGAAGTGCTCACCCCTGGCCTAGGCTGGCAGCACCCTTCCCAGTGCCCACCGTGCACACAGCTGTCTGCAGGATGGCATCGAAGCCGCCCTCAGGAGCATCCAGGTTGCCTGAGATCCGCTCTCCCTGCAGTTTATTCCGGAACTCATCCACATCTTCTGTCAGGCTGATGACGTTCTTGAAGGAGAAGGGGGGGTCACTGTTGGGCCAGGGCTCCTTCAGCCTGGGCAGAGGTGGGAGGGAGAGAGAGTGTCACAGGGGGAAGACGCCGCAGACCCCAGTGCCCCTGGCTCGTTTCAACTAGAAGGAGAATTTTTTTTTTTTTTTTTGAGACCAAGTCTCGCTTTATCACCCAGGCTGGTGTGCGGTATGCACGATCTTGGCTCACTGCAACCTCTGCCTCCTGGGTTCAAGTGATTCTCCTGCCTCAGCCTCCCAAGTAGCTGGAATTACAGGCGCCCACCACCACACCTGGCTAATTTTTTTTTTTTTTTTTTTTTTGTTGAGACAGAGTCTCATTCTGTCGCCCAGGCTGGAGTGCAGTGGCGCAATCCTGGCTCATTGCAAGCTCCGCCTCCCGGGTTCACGCCATTCTCCTGCCTCAGCCTCCCGAGTAGCTGGGACTACCGGTGCCCACCATCACGCCTGGCTAATCTTTTGTATTTTTAGTAGAGACGGGGTTTCACCGTGTTAGCCAGGATGGTCTCGATCTCCTGACCTCGTGATCCACCCGCCTTGGCCTCCCAAAGTGCTAGGATTACAGGCGTGAACCACCGCGCCCAGCCAATTTTTGTATTTTTTAGTAGAGATGGGGTTTTGCCATGTTGCCCAGGCTGGTCTTGAACTTCTGACCTCAGGTGATCTGCCCGCCCTGGTCTCCCAAAGTGCTGGGATTACAGGCATGAGCCACCGTGCCCAGCCGTAGAAGGATAATTTTAAGTTGTGGGTGAAAGAGGAGTGGGGGTCACATGGCCTGGACCCTTGCCCACCTGCGGGACCCACACAGTCACTTACTTCTCAGGCCTCATGTCCGTCTGCGGGACGCTGACTTTGTCCACAAACTTGCCAAATCCAATAGTGTAGTCGCTGGTGAGCTGGCTCAGGACCCGAGCTGGATGTCAAAAGGACAGAGAGGGGATAGCTGAGCCCTGATGCCTGGCATAAACACGGGCCCCCCACCAAGGGCTGGCTCAGAAGGGAGGAAGAGGGAGGTTAACGCTTTGCATGCTGGACAAAGGTTCATGCTCACAACATTGTCTGTTCCTATTTATGGATGAGGGAAATGGGACTGGGGGTCTGGAGTTATGCGTACAGCAAGGGCAGGGTGGCTGGGAATGCAGCCCAGCTCTGAGGAGCAGAAGCTTCCCCACAGCCTCGTGGCAGGGGGTGCCCTCCTTGTCAGGGCCAGATGGCTCCACTGCCCGCCTGCCCTGGGCCTTCTCAGAAGTCCCCAGTGGTGAGTAGGGTCTGACCGAGATTCTTCCCTTGAGAATGGAAGGGAAGGTTTTTGGGGGCTCAAATGTCCAGTGTTTCCTTCTGGGTGGGTGCAGCTGTCCTGAGTCCTGGCCTCCCAAGCAGACGCCCACCTGTCCCCCTCCTGCCCTGCTGTCCTCCACTCTGGCCCTGCCGTACCCAGGTTCTGCCCCATCTTCTTGAGGTTGTCCAGATCATCGGACATGGAGTTGGAGAAGTCCATGAGGATGTACAGGTCCACGGGGCTCTCCAGTGGCTCAAACACCTCCAGCTCAAAATGCCGCTCCTCACCGGGCCGCAGACGGACCCGCAGGCCTTGGGGGGACATCTGGCTGCGCCGCAGGGTGGTGTCAATCTGGGTCTCCTGCAGCCAGTGGAAGGGGACAGCTGGCTAGAGGGTCACTCCGGAGGCCCGATGGGGGCCCAGCCCGGCCAAGGGGCACTATACACCCCCATAAATAGCCAGGCTGAGCATGGGGAGCCCCCACCCCAGTCCCCACACCAGGCACCTCTGTGATTTGGAAGCTGCTCTCCATGACCACGATGCTCTCCCGCTGGCAGCCCGCGGCCAGCAGCTCCGCCTGGGTGTTGCAGCGCCGGTCCCTGAACATCTGGCCAGAAGGACAGGGGGTCACTGGGGGCAGCACCCATTCCCTGGCTGCCCCAACCCTAGATTCATTTCCACCAGCTATTCCCGACCCTTGCCTGTTCCACACCAACCCGGGCCAGGTCCTCACCTCGTCTGTGCAGTAGGCGCAGTCCTTATCCACACGGACACACTCCGTGCAGCTCTTCACTGGGGCCTTCTTGCAGCGGTTTGCTGGGGGGACAGATGTGGGCACATGAATGGGGAGGCGCTCAGCAAAGGCAAGCACTTTCCCACCTGCACCTTCACCTGGAGAGATGGGGATTCCCTCCTTATGTTATTTATTTATTTATTTTGAGACAGAGTCTCGCTCTGTTGCCCAGGCTGGAGTGCAGTGGCGTGATCCTGGCTCACTGCAAGCTCCACCACCCGTGTTCACGCCATTCTCCCACCTCAGCCTCTGGAGTAGCTGAGACTACAGGCGCCCGCCACCACGCCCGGCTAATTTTTTGTATTTTTAGTAGAGACAGGGTTTCACCGTGTTAGCCAGGATGGTCTCGATCTCCTGACCTTGTGATCCACCCGCCTTGGCCTTCCAAAGTGCTGGGATTACAGGTGGGAGCCACCGGGCCCGGCCTTATGTATTTATTTTGGTTTGTTGTTGTTGTTGTATTTTTATTTTGTTTTACTTTATTTTTCAGACGAGTCTTGCTCTGTTGCCCAGGCTGGAGTGCAGTGGTGCGATCTCAGCTCACTTCAACCTCCGCCTCCCAGGTTCAAGTGATTCTCCTGCCTCAGCCTCCCGAGTAGCTGGGATAATGGGTGGGCACCACCATGCCTGGCTAATTTTTGTATTTTTAGTAGAGATGGGGTTCCACCATGTTGGCTAGGCTGGTCTCGAACTCCTGACCTCAAATCATCTGCCCGCCTCAGCCTCCCAAAGTGCTGGGATTACAGGCGTGAGCTACTGTGCCCAACCTGCATTTCAATTTTATTTAGTTTTGAGATACGGTCTTGCTGTGTCGCCCAGGCTGGAGTGCAGTGGCATGATCACAGCTCACTGCAGTCTCGACATCCTGGGCTCAGGCAATCCTCCCACCTCAGCCTCCCAAGTAGCCCAGCTAATTTTTTATTTTATGTAGAGACAGGGGCTCCCTATGTTGCTCAGGATGGTCTCATATTCCTGGGTTCAGGAGATCCTCCCACCTTGGCCTCCCAAAGTGCTGGGAATTATAGGCGTGAGCCACTGCACCCAGCCGTTCCCTATTTTACAGAGGCCAGGGGTATGTGATCTGCCCCAGGTAGCACAGCTAGAAACAAGCTGTGATTTCAAACCTGGGACTTCCCACTCAAGCCAGAAGGACAGAAGGTGGGGACTGAGACAGTGGCACTGGCACACTCGGTGCTGGCACACCCTGGCCACCCCCTGGCCTGCTGCCTCCTCAGGTCCAGCCAGACGGTCCTCAGCCTTCCCCATTACCTTTGATGAGCTGCACCTAGCACCCTTTTCAGGTACCTCCTCCATCACAGCTTGTGCCTCACGGCGAGACCACTGCCACATGGCCTGTCTGTCCTCTGAGCCCCTTCTAGGGTGAAGGGAATGGTGTCTTGTTTATCACGGTAGCCCTAGCACCCGGCACACCTGGCACACAGTGGGTCCTCAGTAACGAATGAAGTAAAACTCTAGATTTCCCTTTGGCTCTGCTCAGTTAAAAATCACAGTGAGGACCTACTGTGTGCACCTGGTGTACACAGTAAGAGGTCTCCTGGGCTTCAGGCAATGGTGTGCTGGTCAGTGTTTAACAATGGCTGTGGTGGCCAGTGCGATGGCTCACACCTGTAATCCCAGCACTTTGGGAAGCCGAGGTAGGAAGATTGCTTAAGCTCAGGAGTTTGAGACCAGCCTGGGTAACATAGTGAGACTGTCTCTACAAAAAAATTGTTTTTAATTAGCCAGGCATGGTGGTGCATGCCTGTGGTCCTAGCTACATGGGAGGCTAAGGTGGGAGGATTGCTTGAGCCTGGGAAGTTGAGGCTGCAGTGAGCCACGATGGCATCACTGCATTTCACCGGGACGACAGAGTGAGAGCATGTTTCTACATATACATTGAATTAAATAAAAAAATAACAACGGCTCTGGTCTCTGGTGCTTGACGTGTAGCGTTTGCCAATTTCTGTGGTGTAAACATTTCTGTCGTGGTCTATTTCAAGCCACCAGCAGGACCCCCTCTAACAGACAAAATTCAAGTGGTAGGAGCTGGCTCCAGTGATTTGTCCACTAGTGACACTCAGAGAGCAAGTGACACGTCAGCAGTGCCTCTCTTCTCCAAATTCCTATAACCCTCTTGACTACACCTCTGGGGCCTCAGTGCATCCTCTGGGTGCCTCAGTCCTGGGTGGGTGTCTCCTCTTTCCTCTAGACACAGCCTCCTTCGCTCCTATTCTCAGGCCCCGTGGTCAGGGCTCAAGCTTCTCTAGGCTGAAGAGCTTGGAGCCTCAAGTTTTCCAGCCCTGAAGGTGGGCAGTGGTCAGTTGCTGAATGGCCAAGCGTGTTTAGGTGAGACACCGTGAGATCCCCGTGCAAGGGCAATGCCTGCCCAAGGGATGATCCTGCCAGGAGGGGGCTGCAGGGCAACGTGGACTCACCCAAGGTCCCAGAGAGGCTGACGCTGATCAAGGCTGCCAGGAGCAGCCTGGCCCATGGGCTGGGGCGTGGCCCTGCCATCCTCTTCCTCCTGCAGAACAGCAACAATTGACACATGAGGCCTCCACAGCCATGGTCGGTGCCGTCAGCTTCCTCTCGCTGCACAGCTGTGGGAACTGAGGCTCTGAGCACCAACAATGTGACCAAGGGCGCCCAGCCGCCAGAGGCAGGGCCCTGGGCCTCGGACTCCTGCCTTTTCCGCTGCCCTGTTCCGTGCCATCCCTGCAGTGGCCTATGCCCTGCCCCGGGAGGCCCCCTCCAGCCCTCAAGGACTCTGGTTTGCGAGTTTGTCCCAGTGCCAGGCCTCTCAGCACTGGGCTCCCTGAGGGCAGATGTGGGTTTATTCTTCTTTGCCTTTTAGCTCCCAGTGAGCCTGGGTCAGGCTTGGCCATGACAGGGTCATCCAATGAGGGTGCCTCCCTGAGAGGGGGCCGCAGCTCTGCCTCCTGCTCCTTCTGTCCTGGCCCACTTACCCTTTGGTGAGGGTGGCACAGCCGGGAGGAGAGGGGCCCCTCCCAATATCTGGGGCCTGGGGCTGGGCCACAGCTGCCCGCAGTGGCTTACTGCACCGGGTTGGGTTCTGCAGTGACTGCCCGGCCCATCAGGGTGGGGTCTGAATCATCTGCCCTCCCCTGTACCTCTGCCTGCCCCAGAGTTAAGTTTTCTGGGCCCCTGAGCTGTTCACCCTTTCACAAGTTAGCCCAGAGTGAGACATGCACACACACTGTGGCTCCCCTCAAGGCGTCCCCAGCGGCTGTGGGTTCAGTATTAAACCATCCTAAGTCCTCAGCGGCCTTCAGGGCAGGACTGGACATCCCTGAGGCCCTCTAAGAGATGCTCAGCCTGAAGCCTGGACAAGAAAAGAGGCTGGCGGCAGAGCCATCCAGGCCTGCAAGGCCGGGGCAAAGGTGAGCACCGCGCCTCTTTCTCTAGGGCCAGGTCTCCCAGGGGCCCAAGCCTCTGCCCTGCCCACGGGCCCTCCCCATTGAATCCTGTCTCAGCCCGGCTTCTGGGGCAGTGGCCACCCCAGGGTCTGGGGGCTGGGGTCCCCGAGGTGCTGGAGAAGCCCTTCTCAGGCCAAGGGCAGGAAGGCGTAGCCTGCTTCTAAGGCGTGCAGCCTGGAGGAGGCCACAGCAGCGCCAACACATGCAGGTCAGACCTGTTGTGGCACAGGGACTGGGAGGCAGCCCTGAGCCAGCAGGGAAAGGGTGGGGACAGCAGGGTTCCTAGAGGGAAATGACTTCCTTGCAGCCTCGGGGTGTAGCCGCCACACCCACATGCTACACAATACAGGCTGCAGGCTCAGGCCTCCCAGGCATCATTACACAGGCAGGTACAGGCCTGGAGAGCTGAGCCCAGCTCTTCCTCCCACTGTCCCTGGCCACAGCCCCTCAGGCAGTGCTGATTCCCACACTGTGACTGCCATATGAGCCCAGGGCTTCACGGAGGAGATTGCTCAGCACAGGAGCCCGGCGGGAGATGATTTCATTCTGCCCGTTTCCCAGATGAGAGACCAGGCACAGAAGGCTGTGGAACTTCCCCATCCCGCGGACAGCACTGGGAGGGCCAGGACAGGGCCCTGCTCTGCAGGCCCTGCCTTTAACCTCCATGGCAGCCTCCACGCAGAAGCTACAAAATGGCAGTTAGAGGGTTGGCGAGGCACCCAAGAGTGTTTGGCTTCATTTGTTTAGAAAGTTTTAAAAGTAGGAGCCAATGTTAGAAACAACGAGATTTCCCATAAAAGTTAGGAATTTGTGTTTATCATTAGATGTATCACGATGGGCTGGGCCCAGCGCTCAGGACACCTACTCTCCAGGCGGCCCGGACCCCACCAGGCTGCCCCGACTTTATGTACCAGCAGGTCCCTGGAGTGTGTGACTGCCACCCTGAATGCCATCACACTGCAGCACAGGCAGTTTCCCCCCCACAGGGACACACACACACACACACACACACACACACACACAGGCCATGCCCACCCACCCACAGGCTCAGAGCTCCCCTGGCCCCCATCCCAACCCCTGGGGACCCCTCTGGGCACACCTGCTCCTGTCCACTATCCTCTCCCGCTGTCACATCTCCTCCCCTCAGGGACCCAGGCCCTTCCTCGCCCCAGAGAGGCAGCTGGCCAGAAGTCTGGGGACCCCAGGCCCTTGGCTGTTCTGTCTCCCTGAGAAATCAGGGTCGAGTAGACAGACATACCTCCCCTCCTGTCCCTCCTGCTGTCCTTCCCTCAGCCCCCAGGATGGAGACTCCAAGCCTTCACTGCCAGCTCTGTTTCGGACAGCAACAACCATGCCACCTGTGCCTGGTCCTTGTCCTCAGGGTGTGGCAAGGCCATGGGGGCAGAGGAGAAGCCCTGTCCCTGCTCCTGGGAGTCACCAGGAGCCCCAGAGCCCCAGTCCCAGCCAGAGGGCCACCCCAGAGGCTGAGCCATGGGAAAGAGGGCGGATGCTGCAGGAGGTGGCAGTGTTGGGCACAGCCCTGGGGCTGGTGGGTGAGGCCTGTAGAGCTTCCTGAAGGAAGGCGCCTGGGGCTGACTTTGGGAGGAAGGCAGGCCTGTGCTTGGCCAAGAGAAAAGGAAAATCAGGGACTCCCCAGCCCCAGATGGACTGTGGCACCGCATAGAGCAAGCCCTGCCTGGAGCCGGGATGGCGTCTGCCTCTCAGGGTGGCTTTTAAAAGTAGGAGCCAATGTTAGAAAGAACGAAATTTCACATAAAAGTCAGGAATGTTGGTTTATCATTAGATGCGCCATGATGGGCTGGGCCCAGCACTCAGGCTGGTGTCTACTCCACCTTCTTTGCAAACCCTGGAGGGGCCCAGCCCCAGAGGGCTACCAGCCACTGGCCTCTGCCCACTTCTCCCGCAGGCGCACCCAAGGCGCTCCTCTGGCCTGGAGGTCTGATGGGCACCACCCTTCTCTAGCTGCCCTGCCCCTTGGCTGCCAGCTGCCCCCGGCGCACCCCGGGGAGGCTGGGCACCTGTCCTGCGCAGCGTGGACAGAGGGACCGGGGCCTGTCAGCCTTCAGGGAGGGGAAGGGGAGACAAAAGCCACCGGCCCTGCCCGACCAGCTCCCCTGCGCGGCTGCCCAGCTGGGGCGGGCACTCACCCTCTCCCGGCCAGCCTCGGCTGCTGCTGTGCGCCCGTCCTGGACCTACCTCGGGGCGGACTCGCTCCCTCCGCGCCTGGGCTGCCGCTAGGAGATGGGGCTGCAGCGCGCGGGCGAGCAGGGACTGTCCGAGGGCGGGCGCGGGGGTTGGGGGGGTGGGGACGAGGCGGGCAGCGCTTTATGGGGCGGGCGCGCAGGTAGGAAGGAGGCGCTGGTGAGTCAGACCGGCTGCATTCCTTCGCGCGGCGCGCACCTGTCGGGGCAGGAGCTGGGTGCCGCCGCCGGAGCCGGGTCCGCCCCCCGGAAAGGGCTGCGGCTCCCGCGGCGCCCGCCCAGCGCCCCGATCGGCTAGCGGCGGGGGCCGGGGGAGGAGCCACCGCTCTCCCTCTCCCTCCGGTCCGGCCCTGGGCGCGGGGCCTCCCCACCCCTCCAGGCTCCGGGCTCCAGGCTCGGGTGCGCGGACTGCCCCGGGCTGGAGGCGGCCTCTTAGCCCCCGTCCGCACGGGAACCCTCCCTGCCCCGACTCTGGGCCGCTAGCCAACGCCGGGCTGTGCTGCTGCTGCTGCCCCGACGGTCGTCAGCCGCGTACCCCCCTCCCCGCTCTCCGTGCCAGCGCGAGGCATGGGCCCAGGGAGTGCCCCCGGCCCGGTCGGGAGGCCTGACTCCCCGTCCCAGCTCTGCTCTGCAGTTCACGGGGTCCTCTCAGCCTCCAACCCCTAACCTCACGTTGTATCCAGAGGGAGAGCCGAGGAAGGGTCGGGTCCTCGGTGCACCCTTCAACAAGCTACTTAAATCTCCTTACAGTGTGAACAGTGATACCCTGGAGAGGTCAGTGCCGACCTGGCATGGATTGGCACTCGATGCCTTGTTACAGTTGTTCTTAACAAGCTGGTTACAGAGCTGGCCCCTCCCTCCCGTCAGTCCTCTGAGAGCAGTCTCTCCATTGCCACTGCTTACCACGGGTGTTCAGGTCAGAGAAGGGCTTCATTTTTCTTTTTCTTTTTGTTTTCTCTCTCTTTTTTTTTTTAGATGGAGTCTCACTCTGTCGCCGAGGCTGGAGTGCAGTGGTGCAATCTTGGCTCACTGCAACCTCTGCCTCCCGGGTTCAAGCGCTTCTCCTGCCTGTTTCCCGAGTAGCTGGGATTACAGGTGCCCGCCACCACGCCCGGCTAATTTTTGTATTTTTAGTACATCATGTTGGCCAGGCTGGTCTCGAACTCCTGACCTCAGGTGATCCACCCGTCTTGGCCTTCCAAAGTGCTGGGATTATAGGCGTGAACCACCATGCCCAGCCAGGGCTCCATTTTTCTCTAGGCTTACTGGCCAGCAATGCCAAACAACACCAGACTGCTGGCACAGCACTGTCCAAACCATGCGGTTTCAAGCCACCGTGCTTTTTCAACAGGCTGGTCCCTTCCCATGACATTGAGCCCAGTTTATCCTTCTTGTCCTTGAAGACGTTGCACCAACCACGTGCTAGAGAGCCTTCCTTGACCTCTCCACACCCCAAGTTGGTTTATGTGTCCCCATAACCCTTGGGCCATGGCTTTTACATGGCATTTGCCACATTGGTTTGAAATGATGTTTAGGAATCTCGCCACACTGTTGGACTGTGACTCCAAGGGCAGCTACTCTCTAGCACCTAGCACCATGCCTGGTGCATAGCAGGTGCTCAATAAAAGGGTGGTTGAGTGAATGGGATGGTCACACAGCCTCCCTGAGCCTCCATGCTGTCATCTGTAAACAGATTCCTCCACTGCTACCTCTCAGAGTGATTGCAGGGGTGCTGGTTGCAAATGTGTGAGTCGCCACCTTTCCTGGTCATCTGAGAGCTGTTCTGCACAGAGAAAGTGTTCAGAGAGGCTTGCTCCTGGATTTGGGAACAATGTGGAAGGAGTCCCAGTTTGGTTGAAGCACTCAGATCTGTGTGTGTCAGGCCAGCACAAGTGCCCTGTGGACCTGAGTCACTCCAGCAGGTACCTATCCACCCCAAAAAACAGAAACATGGAGCAGGAGCTCAGAGAACGGCCAAAAACAGCTTGCCTGAGGGGCCTGGGTCTGCCAGCAGCACCCATTAGAGAACTAGGGGGTCATATACACCCCACTGTGGGTGGGGGCTGAGGCTTCTTCCTAGAGAAGACCCAGGTCCAGAGCTGGCGATGCCCCAGGCCACTGGGCTCAGCAGCCCCTTCCTCTCTTCATTGCAAACCCTTCTGAAAATGACTAGGGGGCCTGGAGCCCTGTAGCAGCTGAGAGGCGAGATGTCAACCCAGGGAGGTCTCACTAAGTAAGATAAGCCATGAGCTTCCTTGGCTTCTCGGAGTCCTGGGGTTCATTACCTGGAGCCCGCATGTGGACTTGGCAGTGGGGAGTCCCTGAACCATCTCAGATCTTGTGCAAACTTTGAGGAGTATCTGATTTCAGAATGTGGGTTTGCTGGGAGGGGAGCCTTAGCTTACACTGGATTCCCAAATAGGTTACTGGCCCCAGAAGTTTAAATATTGCATGTGATTTTTTTTGTTGTTGTCATTGAGATGGAGTCTTACTCTATTGCCCAGGCTAGAGTGCAGTGGTGCGATCCTGGCTCACTGCAACCCCTGCCTCCTGGGTTCAAGCGATTCTCCTGCCTCAGCCTCCCGAGTAGCTGGGATCACAGGTGCACACCACCACGCCTAGCTAATTTTGTATTATTAGCAGAGTTGGGGTTTCACCATGTTGGCCACGCTGGTTTCAAATTCTTGATGTCAAGTGATCCACCCACCTCAGCCTCCCAAAGTGCTGGGATTACAGGCGTGAGCCACTGCTCCCAGCCTGCATGTGAATTTTATAAAACTAAAATAAACCCCACTATCTCTGCAGCCTTAGGGCCAGAGTGAGGTTGGCTCATAGGGGGCTTCCTAGGCTCTGCAAGAGAGGTGAGGCCCCTGGAACAGGACCGAGCCCAAGGACCTTGGATTGTTGCTCCTCCACTCCCCTGCACTCCTCATGTGGCCTCCAGTAGGTCAGACTTGTTCATTCATTAGTTCAATTATTTATTCATTTTATGAGCAGTTAATGAGCTCCTATGCCAAATGCTGGGGATACCAAGATGAACGAGAACTACGGCCTGCTTCCTTCACTCCCAGTTCAAACCAGGGGTCTCCAAAGTAGGCTGAGTATTCTCGAGGTAGGTGCTAGCTGAGACCCTATTCTTTTTTTTTTTTTTTCTTTTGAGATGGAGTCTCACTCTGTCGTCCAGGCTGGAGTGCAGTGGTGCAATCTCGGCTCACTGCAACTCTGCCTCCTGGGTTCAAGCGATTCTCCTGCCTCAGCCTCCTGAGTAGCTGGGATTACAGGCACGCACCACCATGCCCAGCTAATTTTTGTATTTTTAGTAGACATGGGGTTTCACCATGTTGACCAGGCTGGTCTTGAACTCCTGACTTCAGGTGATCCGTCTGCCTTGTCCTCCCAAAGTGTTGGGATTACAGGCGTGAGTCATTGCGCCCAGCCCTGAGCCCCTATTCTTATACTTGAGAATGTACATTACTTATTGGTAGATTGGCACCTGTTTTATAAAAGAACAAGTTAAAGAATAAATAGACAGGGGATGTGTGGTGGAAAGAGTCCAGTGACCTGTCTGGAGAGCCCGCATCAACCACATGTTCAGACTGGGGGCAGAGGCCTCTCCGGTGCAGAATCCTGGGGTTTGTTTTCTCCTCAGAGCCAAGGGGTTGCTCAATAGGCCCCCTCTTTTTTGAGACAGGGTCTTACTCTGCTGCCTAGGCTGGAGGGCAGTGCCACGATCGAGGCTCCCTGCAGCCTCAACCTCCTGGGCTCCAGTGATCCTCCCACCTCAGCTTCCTGAGTAGCTGAGACTACAGGTGTGTGCCACAAATCCTGGATAAGTTTTTAATTTTTATTTTGTAGAGACAGAGTTTCACCATGTTGCTCAGGTTGGTCTTGAACTCCTGGGCTCAAGCAATCCTCCCGTTTCAGCCTCCCAAAGTGCAAGGATTGCAGGCGTGAGCCACCATGCCCCAAAAAGTTGAAAGAATACAAAAATCACCCGTATTTTTACCAACTAGACTCAAGAATAATATTTTGCTGTATTTATTTATATATTTGTTAAACATTTGTATATTTTTAAATTTGAAGTTGCACTTATCCTGCCATTTCATCCTAAACACTCCAGCATGTATCTCTCAAGAACAGTCCCCCACGTAACCTCAATACCCCCCTTTATTTTTTTGAGACAGAATTTTGCTCTTGTTGCCCAGGCTGGAGTACAATGGTGCAATCTCGGCTCACTGCAGCCTCTGTCTTCTGGGTTCAAGCAATTCTACCTCAGCCTCCCGAGTAGCTGGGACTACAGGTGCATGCCACCACGCCCAGCTAAATTTTTGTATTTTTTGTAGAGACGGGGTTTCGCCGTGTTGGCCAGGCTGGTCTTGAACTCCTGACCTCAGGTGATCTGCCCGCCTTGGCCTCCCAAAATGCTGGGATTACAGGTGTGAGCCACTGAGCCCGGCCCCTTTTCACACCTAAGGAAATAATGTCTCCATTAAATGATGTGTGATTCAGTCCATATTCAAATTTTCTTAGTTGACTCCAAAATGTCTATTATAAAGGTTTCCTTTTGAATTTGAGTCCAATCCATGCCACCTATTGCATTTGATTGTTTTGTCTCTTTGTCATTCTAAAATAGAACCCTCACCATCCCATCCCCTGCCCTACATTACTTTTTTTTTTTTTTTGAGACAGAGTCTCGCTCTGTCGCCCAAGCTGTAGTGCAGTGGCACGATCTCAGCTCACTGCAAGCTCCGCCTCCCAGGTTCACCCCATTCTCCTGCCTCAGCCTCCGGAGTAGCTGGGACTACAGGCACCCGCCACCACCCCTGGCAAATTTTTTTTTTTTTTGTATTTTTAGTAGAGATGGGGTTTCACCATGTTAGCCAGGATGGTCTCGATCTCCTGACCTCGTGATCCGCCTGCCTCGTCCTCCCAAAGTGCTGGGATTACAGGCATGAGCCACCGCGCCCAGCCCACGTTCACTTTTTTTTTAGCCAGTCTCACTCTGTTACCCAGGCTGGAGCGCAGTGGCGAGATCTTGGCTCACTGCAACCTCTGCCTCCTGGGCTCAAGTGATTCTCCTGCCTCAGTCCCCCGAGTAGCTGGGACCACAGGTGTGTGCCACTGCACCCAGCTAATTTTTAGTATTTTCTTTTTGGTAGAGACAGGGGTTTCGCCATATTGGCCAGGTGGGTCTTGAACTCCTGGCCTCAAGTGATCCACCCACCTCGGCCTCCCAAAGTGCTGGGATTAAAAGCATGAGCCACTGTGCCCGGCCCCCACGTTGACCTTTTAAGGAGTTGGGCCAGCTGTCCTGCAGAATGCTCCCCTTTCTTGACTTGTCTTCCTCATGGGAAGCTTCCTTCTGGAATGCTTCCTCATGGTGTCGCTGGGCCTTTCTTTCAGCCCCTTGTAAACTGAGGTATAGGGCTAAAGGTCAGATTAGAGTTAAGTTAAATATTTTTGGCAAGGATGGTCACAGGTGGTGCTGTGTGGTTTGCAGGTGGCAATTGATGCCAGGTGCCTAGTAGTGATGCTTAAGCCAATCACTTGGTTAAGGAAGTGACTGCCATCTCTCCCAACGTAAAAATACCAATTTTCACTTTGTGATTAAGAAGTAATCTACCTGTAGCCGGGTGCGGTGGCTCATGCCTGTAATCCTAGCACTTTGGGAGGCTGAGGTGGGTGGAACATGAGGTCAGGAGATCGAGACCATCCTGGCTAACATGGTGAAACCCCGTCTCTACTAAAAATACAAAAAATTAGCCGGGCGTGGTGGCGGGCGCCTGTAGTCCCAGCTACTCAGGAGGCTGAGGCAGGAGAATGGCGTGAACCCGGGAGGTGGAGCTTGCAGTGAACCGAGATCGCGCCACTGCACACCAACATGGGCGACAGAGCGAGACACTGTCTCAAAAAAAACAAAAAAAAGTAATCTACCTGTAATCCCAGCACTTTGGGAGGCCGAGGTGAGCAGATCACGAGGTCAGGAGATCAAGACCATCCTGGCTAACACAGTGAAACCCCGTCTCTACTAAAAATACAAAAAATAAGCCAGGTGTGGTGGCGGGCACCTGTAGTCCCAGCTACTCCGGAGGCTGAGGCAGGAGAATGGTGTGAACCTGGGAGGCGGGGCTTGCAGTGAGCTGAGATCGCGACACTGCACTCCAGCCTGGGCGACAGAGCGAGACTCCATCTCAAAAATAAAATAAAATAAAAAAAGAAGTAATGTACCTGTAATCCAAGCACTTTGGGAAGCTGAGGCTAGAGGATCGCTTGAGGACAGCAGTGCAAAGCTAGTCTGGGCAGCACAGGGAGGCCCCGGCTCTGCAAAAAATAAAAATAAAATTGGCTGGGTGTGGTGCCGTGCACCTGTGAGGTAAGGCAAAAGGATCCCTTGAGCCCAGGAGTTCGAGGCTGCAGTGAGCTATCAAGCCACGGCACTCTAGCCTGGCAGACAGAGTGATATCTTGTCTCTCTAAAAGAAAAAAAAATTAAATTAAACAATAAGCCGGGCACGGTGGCTCACGTCTGTAATCCCAGCACTTTGGGAGGCCAAGACAGGTGGATCACTTGAAGCCAGGAGTTCAAGACAATCCTGGTCAACATGAGGAAATCTCGTCTCTACTAAAAAAAAAAAAAGTCTCGGCGTTGTGGCTCATGACTATAATCCCAGCACTTTGGGAGGCCAAGACGGGCGGATCATGAGGTCAGGAGTTTGAGACCAGCCTGGCCAACATAGTGAAACCCCGTCTCTACTAAAAATACAAAAATTAGCCAGGCATGGCGGCATGTGCCTGTAGTCCCAGCTACTCGGGAGGCTGAGGCAGAAGAACTGCTTGAACCCGGCAGGTGGAGGTCGTGGTGAGCAAAGATCACACCACTACACTACAGCCCGGGCAACAGAGAAAGGCTCCATCTCAGAAAAAAAAAAAAAAAAAAAAAAAAAAAAGATCTGGGTGTGGTGGCGCGTACCTGTAATCCCAGTTACTTGGGAAGCTGAGGCATGAGAATTGCTTGAACCCAGGAGGCAGAGGTTGCAGTGAGCCAAGATCGCACCACTGCACTCCATCCTGGGCGACAGAGCAAGGCTCTGTCTCAAAAAAAAATTAATTAAACAATAAAAAGAAAAAAAAGGAGGTTATCTAGGGGAGGAGGATGATGCTTTGTCTCCCTGTCCGTTTCCCAACAAGCTTTCACTGAATCGTTTTAGCACTCATTGGTGACCCTGGCTTGAATCAATTAGACTGTCCCCAACCTAGATGGTTTGATTTAGAATTTTTTAACTTTAAGATGGGGTTTATTGGGATGTAACATTATCATAAGTTGAGCATTTGGACTTACAATGATTTGACTTAAGATTTTTTTTACTTTACTATGGATTTATCAGGGTATTAAATGCATCTTCCACTTACATTTTTGACCTACAATGGGTTTATCTGGACATAACCCTATTATAAGTCTAAGGGCACCTGTATCATTTTTGGGGCTGAAAAATTGCAATTTTCTGTTTCTACCTTCCTTTCTACATTTTAATTTTTTAAATATTTATTTATTTATTTATTTATTTATTTGAGATGGAGTCTTGTTCTGTCGCCCAGGCTGGAGTGCAGTGGCACAATCTCAGCTCATTGCAAGCTCCGCCTCCCGGGTTCATGCCATTCTCCTGCTTCAGCCTCCCGAGTAACTGGGACTACAGGCACGTGCCGCCACGCCCGGCTAATTTTTTGTATTTTAGTAGAGACGGGGTTTCATCGTACTAACCAGGACGGTCTCGATCTCCTGATCTCGTGATCTGCCCACCTTGGCCTCCCAAAATGCTGGGATTACAGGCGTGAGCCACTGTGCCCAGCCCTATTTTTTAAATTTTAAATTTTTTATTTTTTATTTTTATTTTTTTTTGAGACAGAGTCTCGCTCTGTTGCCCAGGCTGGAGTGCAGTGGCGTGATCTCAGCTCATTGCAAACTCCACCTCTTGGGTTCAAGTGATTCTCCTGCCTCAGCCCCCCGAGTACCTGGGAGTACAGGTGCATGCCACCACACCTGGCTAAATTTTTTTTTTTTTTTTAGTAGAGTCGGTGTTTCGACATTTGGCCAGGCTGGTCTTGAGCTCCTGATCTCAGGTGATCTTCCCATCTCAGCCTCCCAAAGTGCTGGGATTACAGGTGTGAGCCATTGTGCCCAGCTCCTTTCTACATTTAATAAGTGTCTTTCTGATTAAAAAAAAAATAGAGCTTCCTTTAATCAACTGGGAATGAACTATGTTCCCCTAAAAATGCAGGGTAAATGCTTTTTTAAATAAAGTTTTGAGTTATAGAAACTTTAAAAAATTACTATTACACAGCAACCCAAAATATTTTTTTTTAAAAAAGATGGGCCGGGTATGGTGGCTCATGCCTATAATCCCAGCACTTTGGGGGGCCGAGACAGGTGGATCACGAGATCAGGAGATGGAGATCATCCTGGCTAACACGGTGAAACCCCGTCTCTACAAAAAACACAAAAAAAAATTAGCTAGGAGTGGTGGCAGGTGCCTGAAGTCCCAGTTACTCGGGAGGCTGAGGCAGGAGAATGGCGTGAACCCAGAAGGCTGAGCTTGCAGTGAGCGGAGATCGCGCCACTGTACTCCAGCCCAGGCGACAGAGCGAGACTCCGTCTTAAAATAAATAAATAAATAAAATAAAATATAAAAAGATCCTGAAAACACGTTAAAGTTCACCATCTTTACCATTTTTTAAGTGTACAGTTCAATATATCTATTGTTGTGTAACAGATCACCAGAACTTTTCATGTGGCAAAACTAAAATCCTGTACCCATTAAGCAACTCTCCATTTCACCCTTCTGCATGCCCAGTTCCTAGCAACCACCATTCTACTTCCTGTCTGTTATGAATTTGTCTACACTGGATGTCTCATATAAATGGAATTATTCAGTATTTCTTATTGTGACTGGCTTATTGCACTTAGCATAACGTCCTTGAGGTTCATTCATGTGTTGAATGTGACAGGATTTCCTTCCTTTTTAAGGCTGAATATTTAAGTATGCGTGTATGTATATTGTATGTATATATCATTATTTGTTTATTCACTCATCTGTCAATGGACATTTGGGCACTTCCACCTCTTGGCTACTGTGAATGATGCTGCTATGAACATGGGTGTGTAACTATCTCTTTGAGACCCTGCCTTCAATTATTTTGGATATATATCCAGAAGTGGGACCACTGGGTCATATGATAGTTCTATTTTTAACTTTTGAAGGACTGGCTGGGCATGGTGGCTCATACCTATAATCCCAGCACTTTGGGAGGCTGAGGGAGGTGGATCACCTGAGGTCAGGAGTTCGAGACCACTCTGGCCAACATAGTGAAACCCTGTCTCTACCAAAAAGACAACAGTTAGTTGGGTATGGCGCCACGTGCCGTAGTCCCAGCTACTTGGGAGGCTGAAGCAGGAGAATTGCTTGAACCCAGGAGACAGAGGTTGCAGTGAGCCAAGATCGCACCACTGCATGCCAGCCTGGGTGACAGAGTGAGACTGTCTCAAAAAACAAACCAACCAACCAAAAATTAGCCGAGCATGGTGGCTCATGCCTATAGTCCCGGATACTTTGGGGGCTGAGGCAGGAGGATTGCTTGAGCCTAGGAGTAGGTTGCAGTGAACCAAGATGGCACCCCTGCACTCCAGCCTGGGCAAGAGTGAGACTGTCTTAAAAAAAAAAAAGAAACTTTTGAAGAACTGCCATACTGTTTCCACAGCAGTTGCACTTCAAAATCCCATCAATGGTGCACAATGGTTAATTCTTCTCACCTAATTATCAATTTCAGAGTAAGGAGTAGATATATTCAAGTCTAATGGTGGCAAATACATTTTTTTTTCAAATTATCACTGTGAATGAAAGAATTTTTATTTGCTCAATAGTTTACAATTCATCGTAGGCCAGGTGCAGTGGCTCACGCCTGTAATCCCAGCACTTTGGAAAACCAAGGAGGGTGGATCACCTGAGGTCAGGAGTTTTGAGGCCAGCCTGGCCAACATGGTGACACCCCGTCTCTACTAAAAATACAAAAATTAGCTGGGCGTGGTGGTGGGCATCTGTAATCCCAGCTACTCGGGAGGCTGAGGCAGGAGAACCGCTTGAACCCAGGAGGCAGAAGTTGCAGTGAACCGAGACCGTGCCACTGCACTCCAGCCTGGGCAACAGAGTGAGACGCTGTCTCAAAAAAAAAAAAAAACAAAAAACACACAATTCATTGTAATCATTCTTCCTTCATGTTCAAATGTAACCAAATTTGGCCAGTAGGAGATCCCTTCACCCTAGCTTTTTTGACATTTTGATCTGACTTCCGTGTCTTCCCTGCTTTCTAGAACTGCCCCAGTCCTACTTAGATTTCAGGATCTGCTGTTTCTCCAAGGGGCCCCGGCTTGGTTCCTTTCAGTGGGGAATGGTATTAGAGACCACGATGTGAATACTGTGTGCTGGATGCTACCAGGGTGTCTGTCATTGCTTCCAGGTTTTGTTTTTTTTTTAACTCACCATATACAAAGCAGGAGGTCCTAGCTCCTTGCAATGGACAGATAGGAAATGTATCTTTTTCTTAAATCCTGAGTTCATATTGATATCTTCATTCAAATCATTCAAATTTAATATTAGAGATTTTTCTTAATTTATTTGGTTTTATTTTTGTAGCTCCTTCTTCTATTATTATTTTTTAGAGATGGAGTCTTGCTGTGGTTCAGGCTGGAATGCAGTGGTGAAATCTTGGCTCACAGCAGCCTCCAACTCCTGGGCTCAAGGGATCCTCCCATCTCAGCCACCTGAGCAGCTGGAACTACAGGTGCATGCCCCCACGCCTGGCAATTATTATTATTATTTAAGATAAGAGTCTCGCCCTGTTGCCCAGGGTGCAGTGCAGTGGCACGATCTTGGCTCACTGCAACCTCTGCCTCCCGGGTTCAAGTGATTCTCTTGCCTCAACCTCCCAACTAGCTGGGACTACAGGTGCCCACCACCATTATCGGCTGATTTTTGTATTTTTAGTAGAGATGGGGTTTCACCACGTTGGCCAGGCTGGTCTCGAACTCCTGGCCTCAAGTGATCTGCCTGCCTCCTCCCAAAGTGTTGGGATTACAGACATGAGCCACCACGCCCAGCCAATTATTTTTTATTTGTATAGTATTTTCTCCCTTCTTATACAAGATAATTTATTACATGTACTGTTTGATACCTTTTTTCATTTAATCTCTCCTAAAGATCACTCCAAATAATCTATCCATGAAGATCTTTTTTTCAGTTTTTTTTTTTTTGAGACAGAGTCTCACTGTATTGCCCAGGCTGGAGTGCAGTGGCGCAATCTCGGCTCACTGCAATCTCTGCTGCCCGGCTTCAAGCAATTCTCCTGCCTCAGCCTCCTGAGTAGCTGGGATTATAAGCACCTGCCATCACACCAGGCTAGTTTTTGTATTTTTAGTAGACATGGGGTTTCACCATGTTGGCCAGGCTGGTCTTGAATTCCTGTCCTTGTGATCTGCCCGCCTTGGCCTCCCAAAGTCCTGGTATTAAAAGGCATGAGCCACCGCGCCCGGCTCCCTTTTTTTTTTTTTTTGAGACGGAGTTTTTGCTCTTGTTGCCCAGGCTGAAGAGCATTGGCACAATCTCAGCTCACTGCAACCTCTGCCTCCCGGGTTCAAGCTATTCTCCTGCCTCAGTCTCCCAACTAGCTGGGACTACAGGCATGCGCCACCACGACCAGCTATTTTTTTTTTTTTTTTAGTAGAGATGAGGGTTCACTATGTTGGTCAGGCTGGTCTCGAACTCCTGGCCTCATGGGATCCAGTCCCTTGGCCTCCCAAAGTGCTGGGATTACAGACGTGAATCACTGCGCCCGGCCCCTTGTTCTTTTTTGTGTGGCTTAATAGCCTTCCAACCCCCTCCGCCCCTGAGAGGGAGTTTTGCTCTTGTCGCTCAGGCTGGAGTGCAATGGCGCAATCTAGGCTCACTGCAACCTTCGCCTCCTGGGTTCAAGCGATTCTCCTGCCTCAGCCTCCCAAGTAGCTAGGATTACAGGCACCTGCCACCACGCCCGGCTTTTTTTTTTTTTTTTGAGATGGAGTCTTACTCTATCGCCCAGGCTGGAGTGCAGTGGCGCGATCTCGGTTCACTGCAAGCTCCGCCTCCTGGGTTCACGCCATTCTCCTGCCTCAGCCTCCTGAGTAGCTGGGAATACAGGCACCCACCACCACACCCAGCTAATTTTTTTTGTATTTTTAGTAGAGACGGGGTTTCGCCGTGTTAGCCAGGATGGTCTCAATCTCCTGACCTTGTGATCTGCCCGTCTTGGCCTCCCAAAGTGCTGGGATTACAGGCGTGAGCCACTGCACCAGGCTCAATAGCCCTTAAAAAATCCCTTATTATAGAGATTTCCAAATAGATACAAAATTAAAGAGAATATTGAACACTCCTGTACCTATCACTGAACCTCAATAATTGTCAATGCATCACCAATCGACAGCAGCCCTTTGGAAATCGAGCCCTAGGAGGCTTGAGTGATGCTGTGAGCACAGGGCTTGGGGGCTGGAAACTTTCATTTCAGTGACCCTAGGAGCAGAGACCACCCCTTTGGAAGATGAGCAAACTCACCTCTCCTTTCATCCCTCCATTCCCCCAACCACCTGTGTACTTATCTCATGCCAGGCACTGGAGCAGAGTGTTATTTATGCCTGCTTTGTTTCTGCTTACAAGAACTAGGAGACATGAGCTGTCTCATCCCGCTTGTGGGCAGAGATTACACGGCAGTTCAGTGTGATCCTAAAAGCAAGGGGGTGCTGTGAGTGTTGAGAAAGGAGCACCTACCTGTCCAGCAGAGTCAGGAGGGGATTATACAAACCTGAGACACATCTTGGGGTACTACATGTGCAAGGTGGGAAGCTAAATGAATCCTGATGCCCACCCAAGATCAGAGCCCTCGGGAGAGGTAGCAGGTGTGTGGGTGGGGGACAGTAGGAGCCGTGGACAGAGTTCAGTTTGGACACTGTTCTCTGGCGAGCAGACACACACTGGTTAGAAACAACTTTGGCCCCTAGTGCCTGGGCCATCCACCCACAACAGGAACTGTTCACACACCTCTGGGCCATCCTTGATGTGACTAAGGTGGGCAAGCACCATTTTATAGAAGAGTAAATGAAAGTCTAGAAGGATTAAAAACCTTGACCCAACTCACGAGGCTGGTAAGTGGGGCAGCAGTTTTGGCCTGGGGTTGCCCAACTTCTAAGCCTATGTTCATTCTCCAGGCCCCCTACCTCTGCGGCCCCGCAGGAGACAGTCATTACTGCTTTAACTGGACAGATGAATGGCAGCGCCAGGGCTGCCCAGAGGAAAGCGGGGAGGGGAAAGACCTGCCAAACCCTACCCCGCCGACAGAGCACGAGACGGGGGACAGGCCAGGAGTTTGCTTCTCTCCTTGGTCTACAACAAAAAAAAATTGGATTTAGCCAACAAAAAACACTGGCAGGAACTTTACAGTTTATAAAGCTTTTGCATAAGTCACCTCTGGTTCTTCCCAACCATCTTACGACGCTTTATTACTGTGATTTCAGAGAAGAAACAGGCTTACAGAGGTTAAGGGCTTGAGACCACTCAACTGGTTTTAAGTGGAATCCAGACCAGAGGTGCCGGCTCCACGTCTACTGCCCTTTCCACGGTGCCATGCTGCCTCCCACAAAACATCCACAGTGCCCTTGGCCAATGAGGGGCCGCCATCGGAGGTCACAGGAAGCCTTTTCACAGTCCCTCTGGGGCATGAGTGGGGAGCAGCTCTTCTCCCCAGAGCTTTAAAGCCCCATCGAGGAAGGGGTGAGAACTGACCTCCTGAAGTGCCCGAGTGTGTGTGTACGGGGAGAGTGGACTCAATTTTTATTTTTGAAACCTCATGCACAGAGTTCCTTATATTCCCCAGGTCCCACAAGAGTACCAGGTGCCATTTCAGAACCACCTTTCTAAACCTCTGCCCACCCACTGAAAGCAACACGGCCCTTCACAGCCTGGCTTCCTTCTTTTGACACACAGCCCTTCCGCTCCAGTGGAGAATCGCCAAAGATCATGAAGGGTAAATAGTCTCCTCTGAACCCCTGGTCTGGGAAACCCGTTTCAACCCCGGGGGGAGCCCAGTGGCCACTGGTGCTGCCCAGGGGCTGCTGTGGGGCAGAGATAACACACAGAGGAAGGGTGGGGTGGCAGGAGCCCTCCCAGGAGCAGGGCTTGCCTGTAAACAATGAGCTGCCGCCTCGCCAAGGCAGGAGGTGATTCATCTCCCCCGCTGCTCAGCTCCTGCTGGCTGCGCTCACCGGGCACCAAAGGACTGGGGCAGCCCTGGCCAGGCGCTGACGCCTCCCCACTCTCTGCACAGGTCAGGATCTCACCCCAGCCCTTCTGGAAACTGGCTTGACTTCAAAAGCCTTCCTGGGTGTGTCCAAAAAGTGATCTGGTCTGGGGAGTGCTCAAGTGCACTCAAGGGAGCACAGCTCCACCATCACCCGAGAACTGGCTGGGTTTTGGGATCAAGGCGGCAGATGGGGCATACGTGGGGCTCGGGGACTCCCGCCTGTCCATGCCCAGAGGCATACACGGATAACAACGGTGACTTCTTGGGTCACCCCTCTGAACAGCGTCCCAGGCCTCCATCACCCTGTTGTCAACCCTGAGGCAATAGTCCCAACCAAGACTATTGAGTCTTGGGGGACATGTGAGCTGAAGCATTTGCCTGCAAACAGAATGCAGGAGAGGCCAGTGCATCTGAGATGCCAAGAGGTAAGAATACGGCACTTTTAATAGGCGGCAGACCCCAGGTGGTGCGTGGACAGACCCTGTCCACAGCGCCTGGCTCCCGTGCTGCCTGTCCTTCCATCTGGAATGCCAAACAGAAGCTCCTCTCAGGTGGCATCTGGGGAGTAGGTCCCAGTCCTGAAATATACAAAGTGGCGCCTCCCACTGGGCAGTGGTCACTGGGCTGCACGGTCCTTTCAAGTCCTAGGGTGGCCCCTCAGGTCACTGCTTGGCCTTCTTCACAATGGTGCCCACAGCAGAGATGACGGTGGTCTTGGAGCCGCTGGCGCTGGTGGTGACCGTGACAACAGCTGGCAGGGTGGCTGTGGTGGTGAGGATGGTGGGCTGGGCTATCGTTGTCACTGGGATAGCCGAATCCCACTTGCTCTTTCTCTTCTGAGCATCTGGAGATAAAGCAGAAATCAGGATCACGATCCACCAATGAGCGGTGCCCTCTTTCCCTTCCCCCTGCAGGCCAGCGGGAGTCTAGGGAGCAGACCCCGAAGTGGCCCACCCCAGACTCCAAAGGTGCTTCTCAAAGTAGCAAGGCTGAGCCCAGGCCCAGATCCACGTGCTGTCTGTCGCCCAAACAAGCCAGGGAGACCCTGGCTCCATGTGTGTGGCAGGAGGCAGGGCAGCTCTGCAATCTACCTGCAACAGCTGTGCTGGCAGTGGTAGTGGTGGTGGACGTGGCGTTGGTCGTGGTGCCTTTTTTGGTGCCCGTCACAAACTCAATCTGGAGAGGGAGAGGGAAGAGAATAAGACCAGGCAAAGCTGGGTGTCCACAGCTTTTTGCCATCCGTCAGCTCCTGGGGGACAGGAGCTTGGCACTACACAAAAGAGGCATTGGAAATGAACTCTGCTCTGCCCATCTGGGGTAGGGCGAGATGTCTAAGAAGAACCCAAAGGGGCTTTTCACTCTTAAAAGAACTTTCCAAACAGTACTGTATCCCTCCCGGCATCACCAGGTCTCTGCACATGCCCGGCACCCCCCGCCCACCGCCCCACCTCACATGCCCAGAACCGTTTGGCCAGGCCCCTCCTCCTCACACCCAGGAGGAGGCGGTGCCCGCCCGCACAGGGGAAGGACAGCTCCGGTCCCCAGGCGCTGCAGACACGTCCCTGCAACAAGCCTGGGGTTTGGAAGGGAGAGGGAAAGAGAGAGAAGGGAGATTCAATCAAGGGTTAAGAATGAGAAACCCCAACTATCCCCTTGCACCAGCTCCCACGTTCCTGGCCCAGCAGCCAGCACCTCCAGAGGGCCACCAGCATGCCCAGGCCCCACAGCCCCTCTGCTTGGGGTGAGGGAAGCGGTCTGGAGGCCGCAGCTGCTTGAGGATGGTCAGGCCGAGCCAGAAGTGGGAGGAGCTGGTGTCCTGATGCCCGGCTCTGAGACTGGTCACAAAGGGAACAAGGCCCAGAGATAACAGTTTGGTCTCCCAGCCAAACTGATGCTCCCTGAAGAACCCAGACCACACTGCCAGGGAACAAGTGGTGCTCAGGGCCCTAACGTGGGACCTAATAGGTAGCACCCAGGCGAGCCACTGAGGGCAGCTCTGGAGGCCAAGACACTCACCGAGCAGCGCAAGCTGGGCCTGGCACTCTCTTAGGGAACTATTTCCCTCCCTTCAGGCTACAAAGGGCCCCCATGACCCAAAACGGACAAAGCCCCCCAAGGCTCTGCAATTGGCGGGGAGGAAAGGGGGGCACAATGTAGCAAACAAGTCTCCGAGGGCAAAAGCAGCAGACGAGCGCCGTGAACCCAGCAGGTCTGCTCAGCACACAGGCCCTGCTGAGAGGCTCAGAGCATCGCCGGGTGATGACACGGGGCCAGGGTTGGGGGCAGCCTGGACACCTTCTGGGCTCAGCCAGCAGGACCCATGCACTCCACATGTGCCTTTTTCATCTAGGAGGTCTGCCATCACTTACTTTTGTTCGCTCCTTTTTGGCCTTTTCCAATTTGTCCATCTCAATTTTCTGGGCCTTGGCTATGAAGACAAGAGAAGCTGTTACAAAGGTGGCCCCCGAGCAGCTCTGGGCTGAGGGAGCCTACTCTGATCCCTGCGTTCTTTTCAGCGGGCTAAAGGCCTTCATGGGCTCAGTGTTCTTTGTGCTTGGCAAAATGAAGCCAGCCCTTGGTCGGCATAGGGCAGGGGCCTTCAGCTCCAGACTGGCGGGCTGCATGCCCTGTGTGTGCCCGGAAGGGTCAGCTACTCCTGAGCTCCTGTGGACTGCCACACACGGGAATACAGGCCCAATGGGGACTACCCTCCTACTGATGGAGAGAAGCTGGAATCAGAGATTATATAAAATGTTGGCAATGAATTCAAATTAAAAGATGACAAAATTCATGAAGGCCAAACAAAGCACCTCTACAGGCCAAGATCTGGGCCATGGGCTGCAGGCTTAAGACCTATGGTCTAGGGGTTTGGGCCCTTTGACATTTCTCCCAGTGCTCCCAAACTGGTATCTTAAGAAAAAGCCATCCTCTCACTGGCCTCAGAACATTCTGCCTACACCTGCCTGGCCCCTCTGCCTCTTCAAACCTCAGCTTGAACACAGTTTTGTCAGTGAGGCCTTCCCATCCCTTTGGCCAGATTAGATGACCCTGCTTGCCAAAGCTCCCCTGTACCCAGCAACTCCGTCATCACCAACACTCATCGATGCTGGCGTTACTGGCGTGACGTTCCATCTTCTTTGCTGTGGCATAAGCCTCTTAAGGCAGGGGTGGGTCTGTCTCATTCAGGCCTGTACCCAGCCCCCTTGAACATGGCCTGACATAGAGTAGACCCTGAAATATGTGTCACCTGGATAACCAACTGACTGGATAAAGGGACAGTCGGGTGGGCGGACAAGGTATATGGGAGGAGGGACGAAAGGCTACCTAATGCCTCATAGTAGGAGTCCTCAGACCAGCCATGGGGATCAAACATATCCTGCAAAGGAAAAGGCGAATGACTCAGATGACAAATGACTCAGAAACCCAAGTTCCTGGCCCAAGTCTTCCCATAGAGCTTCTTGGTCTGGGGTCCCCTTACCCGGGGCTCGGCTGTCATCTTTGGTCTTTAGCCAAGGGGCGGCTGGCAAGTGCTGAAGAACATGGGAGCACGAAGCCCCCATCCAGCGAACCCCAGGAGCAGCAGGTCCACACATGTCCCCACCAGTCAGGGGCCAGGCACCAGGCCGGCCACCGGAATCTCTTTATTGGACTATTTCAGAACAATAGGGACTCAAACAAAAGAGACAGGGACTGTGCTTTCAACGAGCCGTGCCACCACGTGGACCTTTCTGTGGCTGCAGGTCAAATCCCATGGAACAAGCAAAGGACCCTGGGTGTCCCCATCACCCTCCAGCCCCGTGTGCCAGACGCACCTTTGGGTAGTTGGTGCCAAGCTCGTCAATGGCACAGAACTGGATCAGCTTCTCGTAGATGCTGAAAGAACAGTGCCGGCGCTGAGCAGGCACAAGTCCACGTCCCTGCATGGGACCTGAACCATCCAGCTCCTGGGGCTGACACAAAACCTTCACAACTTTTAAATCCAGCTCAGCTGCTCTAAGCAAGCTTCCTGATGGCCCTCCACTCTCCCAGGGAGATGGACCTGTTAGCTAGGGGCCGGGAGGAGCACAGGGTCAAGGTGACGGCTGAGTTTTGTCTCACTGACCTTCAGTCTGCACAGCTGGATTGGGCTTACCACACTCAGACCCACACAAGGGCCATGCTCTTTTCCCTGTATGTCACTAGCTTGAACATTCAATGGAGGAAGACCAGACATCGCTCTGGTCCTAAGACCTCTCACCTATATGCAAAAATCAGCTTTTTAGAGTTGGAAGATGAACCTACAGTAATTGTCTAGTCCAATTCCTTCCATGAGGACAGGGGACTTGAGAGGTCATGTGCTTTAGGCTCAGAGCAGGGACGAGAACTCAGCCAGGTCTCCCTCATCCCCGTCTAGGTCTCGGTATGAATTGCTTTGTGTTTTTTCTGGATCTTAAATGGCAAGCCTCTGGCTGGGTTAGCACAGTCCGCCATGTCCAGCAGGCACTCAGTGTAATGACAAGTCTGGGTGATGGTTTGGGCTCTGGGCTTTTCCTCACCACCTCCTTGGGGACGTCTTAGTCCTTAGTCCAACATTAATAACTCAATAAACTCTGCAGGCTCAAGGGAAACTTACCTAGGGTTCCGAAATTCTTTCTTCCTTTGGATAATGTAGTTCATATCCATTCCCTCCTTTATCTTTCGTTCATAAAGCTTCTGGATCTTGTCCTGTGAAGAGGAGCAGAGGGGGTGGGGGGGTGTATGACAGAAGCCCACCCCTCCACCGTCCCAGCCCCTGGTCACCAGCTACATGTGCAGCATGAACATGAGGCTCCAGTCAGGCAAAGCCCAACTTGACCTCATGTTAAAATTTAACCTATCCTCAGCCAGGCACGGTGGCTCACGCCTGTAATCCCAGAACTTTGGGAGGCTGAGGCGGGTGGATCACGAGGTCCAGAGATTGAGACCATCCTGGCCCACATGTTGAAACCCCATCTCTACTAAAAATACAAACAAAATTAGCTGGGTGTGGTGGGGCAAGCCTGTAGTCCCAGCTACTTGGGAAGCTAAGGCAGAAGAATAGCTTGAACCTGGGAGGTGGAGGTTGCAGTGAGCTGAGATCATGCCACTGCACTCCAGCCTGGTGATGCAGTGAGACTGTCTCGACAAAACAAAACAAAAAATTAATCTATTCTCTTTCTCCACCCTGCCTTTGCCCAGAACTGCACACAAGTAAGATAAACCGAGACCAGGCTGCTTTCACTGCTGAGGTTTCCTGACGCTCTCTGGATGACAGTATAGTGAGCAGTGAAAAGATCACACAGCAGAGGAGCCATAGAGAAAATAATGAACAAAGCCCCAACTGGTTAATCAGTTCCAGAATCATCCGAAGTAGGGTTTAGGGGTTGGTGTTGATACGCAGGGACTAAATCCTGGTTTTCAATTTTAACATGAGATCAAGTCCTCAGCAGAACTGTGAGCCACAGGAGACTTCGGAAGGGCTATGTCCTTTTAACGGGAGGCGGGAATAGAGTTTTTTGGATTCGGTCTTGCAAACTTTTTAGAATGTGTCTTTTATGGGGAGGCTCACAGGTGGCTGGTCCGCGCTGGTTTATCGAGGGCATCAAGGGTTAACTGCTTATCTCTCACCCAAACTCCCCCACAGGTCACTGCCCTGGCTTTCGATGGGAGAGTGGAGAACCACCTCGGGGGATCCAGGCTTACCTACTGTGGCCAGTGCCACAGGCGTCCTCAGGAAGGGGGTCCTGCCCAGCCCATGGACATGATGCCCAAAGTAGACGGCATCAGCATGACCCAGTGCCAATGAAGAGGGCCAAGACACCAGAGTGTCATGGCAGAGCCACCTCTAGAAAGAGCAGTCTTAGCAAGGAAGGCGGGCACTGGCCCAGGGCAAGATCTACCTGCAGCCTCCCCCTGCAGTGGGGGTTAAATATAGATTCTCCAGAAGGGAAACATCTGAGGCACTGTGCCGGCAAAAGCAGGTGGGCAGGCCTGGAGGGCCCACATGACAACATTTAGGACACGTCAGGAGGGGTGATCCACTCCCCTTGTTAGAGGCCAAATCTTTCTACCAAGACTGGCCAGAGCAGAGCTGAACTGCAGAGAGAGGTCTGTGACTTCAGCCGAGACTGAAGAACCTCTGTCCTCCAAGCTGTCTCCTCCAGGGTCATGGAGGGAGCCATATACAGAAGGCTTGGCAACTTGAGGAGAACCCATGTCATACAGATGACTTGGCTGTGTCTCCTGGGCCATAAGATCAGTTCTACTACTCAAGATGAACTAAAATGTTTGCTCGAATGTCATGGTTTCCACCATCAGGAGGGTCTAAAGAGGAGGCACAATTGGCACTGTATGCTGTGCGCCGTTTGTCTCTGCCTGGCGGGTTGCTGGAGTCGTCCTTACAGGCTGGAGCTTGTTGTCTGGTTGTCTGGCACGGAGGGTGACGTGATTCTGGAGGGCGGTGGTGGGGAGACGACCCAGCAATGGGAGGAGACTTCCGGGAAGGGAAGGGAATCTGTGCTGCACCCCCAGTCCTGCTCTGGCCCTCCCCTAGCTTGCTGCATTCCTTAGCCTCAGGTCCCATTAGTCATCCATCCGTTAGGGCGGTGTCACGGGCTTGCTGTGTAGCCAGAGGCACCCAGTGGGAGCTCCAGGATCAAAGGTGAAGCAGGTGGTCCAGGAGCCATGATTGTGCAGCCTTGGGTGCCTGTTCTATTGTTCATCACAAGGGAACCCACAGAGGGACAAGGAGAGCCACGGGCTGAACCCTAGCTGTCCCCCCAGGGAGTGTAACTGCACAAAAGCCTCGACTCCTTGGGATTTCAAAACCTCCAGTCAGGGCTGCACATTCTGTCAGGGAAGAAGCTACTGAATCAGCATTTTAGAAATAGATTAGGATAGAAAATGTATACATATAATGCCTGTGACTTTTTCATTTCTGTAATTTATTTTACATTCTGAGGGTTCCTCAGTTTCTTAGCAAAGCTCTTTCTGAGAAGCTACCACTGGCCCAGTAGGGCTGCACAGAAAAGGTTACGTTCTTTTCTCTGTCTCTGCTTAGGACTTCACTGAAGGCAAGACAGGGCCGCCCTGCTGGAGCAGCACCACGGGACATGGCGGTGGGTGTAGGAGCCAACTCCTGAGATGAGGCTAACAGGAGGTAAAGTGGACTGTGGGATCCTTCCCACCTGTCAGTTTCTTTTATAGAAGCCTCAGTCCCTTTCCCTGCCATGGTCTCTTAAGATTAAGACCAAACCAAACACGTAACCCAGGCTATCTAATCTATCCGACCTCAGTAGCCGAGTCTCATGCTTACTTGCAAGTGATTTGAACATCTGCCAGGGGGTTCTGGCGGGATCTTGATTTCATCAGGCGACATGTTCCGAACTCTTTCAGAAAAGGAGGCTGTTGAGAGAAGAAGGAAAAATTCTGTAGGTGGGGATTAGAACAAGGGACAGACATGGACAAAAAAACATAAGCACATAAAATGTTATCAGGTAGGGATAAACACTATGAAAACAGTACAACTGAGTGTTCGGATGTGGCCTCTCTGAGGTGTCATCTGAGCTGAGACTGAATGACCGGAAGGGGTGGGCCATGTGCCAGCTTGGGAGAAGAAAAGTTCAGGCAGAGGGAATAAATGTATACAGCAGTTAACTTTTCCGTTTTTTTTTTTTTTTTTAAAGAGACGGGGTCAGCTGGGTGCGGTGGCTCACGCCTATACTCCCAACATTTTGGGAAGCCAAGGTAGGCAGATCATTTGAGGTCAGGAGTTCTAGACCAGCTTGGCCAACATGGCGAAACCCCGTCTCTACTAAAAATACAAAAGCAACTGGCATGGTGATGCATGCCTGTAAACCCAGCTATTGAGGAACTAGAATTGCTTGAACCCGAAGGTGGTGGCTGCAGTGAGCCAAGATCACGCCACTATACTCCAGCCTGGGTGACAAAGTAAGACTCTTGTCTCAAAAAGGAAAATAAAATACATAAAATGAAATAAAAAAATAAAACAAAGAGATGGGGGTTTTACTCTGTAACCCAGGCTAGAGCGTAGTGGTACAATCATATCTCACTGCAACCTCGAACTCCTGTCTCAGCCTCCTGAGTAGCTAGGACTACAGGTGCATGCCACCATGCCTGACTAATCTTAAAAGTTTTTGTAAAGATGGGGTCTCGTTATGTTGCCCAGGCTGGTCTTGAACTGTTGGATCAAGCCATCCTCCAGCCTCAGCCTCCTAAAGTGCTGGGATTATGGGTATGAGCCACTGTGCCTGGCCCACAATGGTTAACTTTTAAGGAAAGAGTCAGCAGTGTGCTGGTAAATGTTTAATGACCAGCTGGGCGTGGGGATGGGGAAGCAGGGAGGCGCCATGATCTGTGGCATTTGCCATTTCTTGTGGTGTAAATTCTCCTGCCATGGCCAATTTCAAGCTACCAAGGTGAAGTCACTGAACTCAAGGCTGGGAAGAGATGTACACAATAGGCTCACAACATGAGCCAGCTCCAGCCACCACTGCATATGTCTGTAAACCAGCTCCAGCCACCACTGCATATGTCTGTAAACCAGCTCCAGCCACCACTGCATATGTCTGTAAACCAGCTCCAGCCACCACTGCATATGTCTGTAAACCAGCTCCAGCCACCACTGCATATGTCTGTAAACCAGCTCCAGCCACCACTGCATATGTCTCTAAAATACTTGCAAGATTTTGGAAACTCAGAGGTGCTTGGGGCCACCCGTCTCGTCTAAGGCTGACCTGCCTAGGCTACAGGAGAAACAGAATTCAGGGTTCCCTAAGTTTTGGGTCCCAAAGTAAACAAAATGGCCTTGTGTATAAATGATACTTTTTACCATTATCAGCTGAGGATCTTTTAAAAATAAACCAATCAACTCTCTCTTAGCCCACCTCATTCCTGAGAACAAAAGGCCTGATTCTGATGGGAAGAACCACAACCCCCAGGGGACAATTTCCTTAGAGATCTGCCACTGTCCGGCAGGCCTTGCTCTCTCCAGCCTCTTCCCCGCAGCCTTGGGCCACCCCGGCACTGCAGTCCTGCTTTGGATCGCTGGGACAATGCGCTATTTGTTAAGATTCTGTCTGCGCTCTTCAAAACACTCTCTCATGAAAAGGATCATACAATGAGCAAAGAGCAGCCAGGGCAGGGTGGGGCAGGATGAAGAGAAAGAATGAACAAAACACCAGTAACACTCAGCAAGCACTTACTGAGCACCTACTGTGTGCAGGCCCCAGCTAACCCACTGCTGAGCTGCCCGGCTGGCTTCGCACAGCCAGCCCCTTCTCCTCTCCCCATGCTGGGTTAATGTTTGCTTAGTAGACAAGGTGCTTTGATCTCTGCCTGGAGTTTCAGTTACTGTAAAGAACACAGTGCCAAGGAGGGCTGGGGACAAGGCTCCCAGACTCTGCCAGTCCAGCTGCTGCAGGATAAGCCTATGCCGACTGCAAATACACTGAGACAGGAGTCGAGCCTGGGGCCATCCTAAAAACATGACTTCATGTGTTGATTTTCACTGTTGTCAGTGGATTCTCACTGGAAGCGCCCCAAGAACAGAGCACTAATCTGCCATTTTAGGTGACGGCAAGAGGACAGAGACTGGGTGATACATTGATCAGAGGTCCTGCTGTGGGCCCCAGATGCCAGTGCAGCCCAAGAGCAGGAGACGAGGTGCTTCTCTTTGCCCAGCACCTTCCTTTGGTCTCCTGACTCCTCAAGCAAAGGTGAAACCCAGATATGGCTGGAATTCAAGTCTCCTCTAACTTCCTCCTTCTTCCCAGCCCTGGAATAGGTGAAAGTGCCAAGGCTGAGGTTGCAGAAGCTGGTGGAGAGTGGAATCAGCTGGGGGGAGCTGGTCCTATCTCACAAGCAGCAACAACAAAAGCAAGGAGGGCCTTGGCAGGCGCTAGGCACATAAACAAGCAGGGTTAACTTCTTCCCTGGGCTGGAGAGAACCTATCTGTGCTTGTGACAGAGAGACAAAGAGTGCCCTTTGGCATTTGCCAGGAAAGCCTTTGGAAAAACAGGGTGTGACCCTGTTGCCACAGCAACCCAGCCACACTCTGGGGCTCACATGGTGTACAGTGTAAGAGGAGGGGCCGGGCGCGGTGGCTCACACCTGTAATCCCAGCACTTTGGGAGGCCGAGGCGGGCGGATCACAAGGTCAGGAGATCGAGATCATCCTGGCTAAAACAGTGAAACCCCATCCCTACTAAAAATACAAAAATTTAGCCAAGTGTGGTGGTGGGCGCCTGTAGTCCCAGCTACTCGGGAGGCTGAGGCAGGAGAATGGTGTGAACCCAGGAGGCGGAGCTTACAGTGAGCCGAGATTGCACCACTGCACTCCAGCCCCTCCAGCCTGGGTGACAAAGCCAGACCCCGTCTCCAAAAAAAAAAAAAAAAAAAGAGGAGGGGAGCCCCTCCTCAGTCCAGGGCTTGAAACAAGATAATTCCTAGGAAGTAACTGGCAAATAAAGGAACACATTCGGGAAAACTAGATAGAAGTGTACAACACAGAGTTTGGAAGCAATCTTTCAGTGGTCCTCTCCCTTCTGAGTCCTGGAATGAATCTAATGTGGAAGACTTGAACCCCACATTTCTGTTTCTTTTCTTTTTTTTTTTTTTAATTGAGATGGAGTCTCGCTATGTCGCCCAGACTGGAGTGCAATGGTGTTATCTCGGCTCACTGCAACCTCCACCTGCCAGGTTCAAGCAGTTCTCTTGCCTCAGCCTCCCGGGTAGCTTGGACTATAGGCAAGTACCACCATGCCTGGCTAATTTTTTTTTTTTTTTTGGATTTTTAGTAGAAATGGGGTTTCACCACGCTGGCCAGGCTGCTTTTGAACTCCCAACCTCGTGATCTGCCCGCCTCAGCCTCCCCAAGTGCTGGGATGACAGGCATGAGCCACTGCGACCAGCTGAGCCCCACATTTCTTGTAAGCAGACAGAGCCTCAAGCCAGTAAAGCGATGTGTCCACAGTCTCTTGGAAGCAGCGCTGGGTCTGTGGCTGCTGCCTGGGTCTGATGGGTGTGTTCTCAGAGGCAGCCGCACTTAGGACTTGAGAAGCCAGCTGTCAGCGTGACTTGCCCTGGTGCGTGCCCAAGTCAGAAAACACCCAGAGTACCCACAGCTGCCAGGGAGGGATCTGTGCAGGAACAGCTAGTTGGACGGGCTTATGGGATGGCAGGGAGTGAGCGAGCTGGGGGGCCCCAGGGGACGGTGGAGTATCTCCAGCTCCTGAGTGACAGAGAGAACCCACGTGCACTGCCACACCAGCACCACTGCTCCAGGCTCAGCCGTGGGCATCTGCGAGGCCCTGGAGGGCACAGACAGGGTGTGCATGCTCGGCTCTGTCAAGGGGCTGCAGTGCTGCAGATGCCTGTGGTTTGGCTTCTCTGCTCTCCTGCTTGTTCTCTAAAAGCTGGGGCTGTCTACATGCATGGACACACTTCCCATACCTGGTAAGCAACCTGAGTCCTGACACCAGAGTGGACAAAAGCTTAGGTAGAGGGGCTGACAGGCACTGCATCATGAATGGAAGCCACTGTCCTTCAACTAATTACGTCTTCAGTAAGAGGAACTAAACTAGCTACTCGTCAATGAGGAATGGTGAGTAATCAAAACGATGCCGCTTAAAGATCCATTTGTGTCCTCATGGGTGAATCAGTAAACAAACTGTGGTGTATCCCTACAGTGAAATATTACTTGGCTACAAAAAGAAACTCTGGACATGCCCAACTACATGGATGAGTCTTGCAAGCACCGTGCTGAGTGAAAGAAGCCAGACAAAAACACTAGTTCCCTTTCTATCCCTGGTTCTTAACTAGGGGTGATTCTGCCCCAAGGGGACATTTGGCAATGTCTGGAGACATTGATCACTGTCACATCTGGGGAAGGGAGAGTGCCTCTGGCACGTAGTGGGTAGAGACCAAGGACACTGCTAAACACCCTGCAAAGCACAGGACAGCCCCACAACAAAGACTCATCCAGCCCTAAGTGTCAGTAGGGCCAGGGTGGGGAGATCCTGATTTATAGGAAATTCTAAAGAAAGGCAAAGCTATAGTGAGGAGAGTGTAGATCACAGCTTGCCTGAGGCTGAGGGAGGGAATCACCTGTAACACGGTCGGGGCACAAGGGAACATTTCGGAGTGATGGGTGCGTTCTGTATCACAATTGTGGTGGGGCTAACACAACTATACACATTTGTCAAAATTCATAAAATGGCACACGTAAAATTGGCAAGTCTTACTCTATGTAAATTATACCTCAATAAAGCTATTTCCAAAAAGTGGCACAGGGAGAAAAAGTGACAAGTTGGCTCTGGAAGCAACTGGGGGCTGAGATGGCTGATGCCCACACACATTCCACTGCCTGCCCAGCACTACTAGCAAGAGCAAGGGCATCTCTGCGTTGGCACGTGACAGGCTGCTCTCTGATCCCCAGCCGTGTAGTTTCTCACAGTAAACAGCAGGGTCGGCTCGGGTGATGGCGGGGATAAGAGGCCAAGGCTCCCGTCCACGCCCGACCCGTGGATCGCCCCCTTGGGCCGGCCATCGGCTTCCCAGCAGATGCACACTCTGCTTCCTCTGCCCTCAAAGCCAAATGTTGCACCCCTAAGGCGTCACTTTCTAAAGAAGAAACTCTAGGTTTTAGGAAAATCTTGGTTTTTATAGGATTTGAAAGACTGAAACTCCATCAGAGAGGCCAGGGATTAAGGCCCTCCTGCTGAGGGTCTGGGCTGCTCAGCGTTACCGTGTTCCCACCCAATCCTTCTTCAAAAGACAAATAGAATGAACGATTCCTAGCTCCTTTAGTTCTGGAAAAGGAGAACAGGCTTTGTAGCAGAACTCCCAGCAGAAAGGCCCTACTGGGAGGAAGCCTGGGTGGGAAGGACTGACTACTGGGGCAGCGCTTCCAGGTGGTCCCTGGGCTCAGAACCCCCAGGGCTGGAGTCAGTGAGCCACCGAGGCAAGACCGCAGGAGGCAGGAGCCTGTTTGTGAAGATCAGCAGGACGGACAGGAGAGCTGGTAATGGTTGCCACAGAGAGGGAGGGCCAACCCCACCAAGAGCTCTGACTCAGATGCCGGGAACTGCCCCCCGGTCGGGCTTTGGGAGCCACGTGAAAGGAGCTGGGGGGCTTTCTAAAAGGATTAAAAGGCTGGGGCTAGCACAGGACTTGGATGATGTATGCTGTTTTCCAGAAACATAGTGTCCCTGCTCCTCCCAAATCACAAAGAGCCCCAGACTCCAGGGCTGTGAGGCATGTTCCTGCCTGGGGACAGAGCAAAGTGCCAGCAGAGGCCACATGCTGACTCCCTGAGCAGCATGCATATGCCAGCGGAGAGGGGGAGGAGGGGTTGCAAAGACAGAGGACAAGCCCAGGGCACTAGGGGAAGCAGAGACCAAGACACGCTCCCAGCTGAGTGCCCTGAATTCCCTCTTGACAGCGCTGGCAACCGACCAAAGCCCATTAAAACACACCACAAATATGATTTCCAAAGAAGAACTGTTCCCTGGACGTCTCACCCGGGCATCCTAGGAAATGCCAAAGCCCTGAGAGGGAGCCAAAGGGACAACAGTGCTCACAGCAGACAGAAGCCCTGTGGGGCGGCAGGCCTGGCATGGCTGGAAGCCAGGCTGCTAGGAGCAAGGCTGAGAAACGTGCCCCCAGGATCCCCCAATACTCACCCACGAGTTCCTGGGGGTCTCGCTTTTCTGCTTCTGTATTATCCTGCAAAAGACAAACAAATACGAGGAGGTAAGACTGGGGCTCCTGAACCAGCTACTCTCTACTGAGACCACTCAGGATTTTTAAGGAAGGAGAAAAAGTAAAAGCACTGCCAGGAACACTAAGGGTAAGCTGATGCTTCAGGGGCCTCTGGCACCCCCGAGCCTCCGAACCCTCTTCTTCCCGCATCGCAGCAGCCGGATGCTCCCGAGCCCCACGCCGGTCTCTCCTCCATGCCTTTTCAGTGACCAAACCCACCATCGCTGAGGAGAACACAAGCCAGCAAGCCTGCTGCAGCCAACTGGGCAACGTATACCCTGCCTGTTGCTCTCCCCTGGGTCTGAGGAAGCTTGCCTGAATGGAGTGCAGAGCTCAAGGGCCCGGCCAGCCCAGACATCACCACCTCTACCGCTGGTACCAAGGAAGCAAGAGGTGACTGCTTTGTAACAGCAGACTCCCGAGATGAAAATGCAGACTAGCTGCTCCCAAGATACTCTTCTTATTTTTAGTTCAAAGAAGGGAGGCTTCATCATGAGGATAAAGGGGCAGCTCATGGAACCTCAGAGCAAGCATGCAGCAAACCTTTAATAAGTGGCAGAATGGGGATCCCAGAGAGGCCCCAGGCTCAAGGAAGCCTCTCTCTGGCTCTCAGCTCCCTTTACACTGGCTTTATACTCCCTCCAAAGAAAAGCTTCCTCCAATCCCTAATGCAAACAGTGTCCCATGACAGCTACATCCACATGTCCTGCAGAAACCTGAGAGCAAAGGCTTCTTAGACGTTTTCTGGATTTCACTGTTCTGTAGTAAATGTTTCATCTAAACCAAAATCAATGCTGAGAAAGCCACGGTCCAAGCCCTCCGTCACAAGTCTTCCCTTGCCTCCATTGTCTCAAGTGTAAAATGGCAAGAACACACCTGTTTCCCCCATTTCTGGGTTGCTGACACCCAGCCCCTCAAAGCCAGTTAGATCAACAATCTCAAGGGCCACACGTGCTCATCATCAAAACAGCAGAGGCAGAGTTCACAGAAAGTTGCTGGACGCCATGTCTTTTCCTGCTGATGAGTGAGGGAGGAGATGAGACAGGAAGACCCTGCAACAAGACCTTTTCGAGGACAGGTGCAGAGCTCCGCAGGCTCCACTTACACAGACATGGCACACCACGCCACGGCTCCAAAAGGAAGGTGCCAGGAAGGCCACCCAGTTCCCCACACTGAACCTAGACTCAGTCTTAGCCCCCTTTCCAGAAAGTCCCTCCTGATGCTGGGACAGGCCAAATTCCCCATTCCTCAGAACACTGCAGCTATTCATTCAACCTGGCAGGGCACCACGTCCAGGCCAGGCTGCTTAGCAACCCATCTCTTCGAGCCACTGCCCCCTGCCAATCAGGTGGGCAAAGAGGAGGCTGGGAGCAGGCAGGGAGGCGCGCCTGGAGGACTGCCACACCAACTTCAGGTTGCAGTCATAAATCAGCGGCTCTATAGAGACTGCCGCAGTCATAAATCAGCAGCCCTATAGAGACTGCCAGTCTCTCAGGGGACCAACAATCCCTTTGTAGCAGTGACTCTCAGGAAACCAGTGTTCAAGAGTGTTAGTAACAATACATGGGACTGTAAAATGCCCTCACATTTTCCCTCTAGAGAACAGCTTTCTGGGTGCTGATTGTAGGAAAACATCAGCTCCTCCCTCACCCGCCAGCTGGCTGATCATACAGGGACTGACCATTCGTTAACTCTCCCTCCAGCCCCCACTCACCCTTCCCCAAGGCTCCGCACCATACCACACCCACCCCTTCTCATGGACTCAACTGCAGAGGCCCAATCCCCACACAAGGAGTCTACCATGTCTACCCCAAAGCCACAGGAAGTTAGTCACCAAACATGCAATGGCTCTTCAAGGGGAAACACACTTGCCACTTCAGGGCCTCCTTAGGTAAAGTAAGAGGCCAGGAGCCTCCCCGTGGCTTCTTGTGGCTTTTGTGAACCTGGAGATGGAAAGGAGTGTGGGGTGTGTGTGCTGCCAGGCTCAGCTGAGGTTGTTGAGTCACGTCTCTGGAAGAAAAGAGATGATGGGGCAAAATCACAGGAAGTATTTTATCCCTTTATTTTATTTTTTTCCTTTAGGTTGGCTCTTCAGTTCCCCCTAAATTATTCCTTCTACGCCTAAGAAATAAATAAACTGGGTAGTTGGGTTCCAATTTGCCAACTAGTCTGGTCTTTGCTTTTCTACCCTCTTAGTACAAAAAAAGGGCATGGCATGCCCAGAGTACACCCTCAACTCGCAACAAGAGGACTCTCATTCAGTCCTGAACCTGAGGCCCACAAACAAGGCCCACCCAGCTTCCCAGCAGCAGAATCCAGCTCCATGAGCCTTCCCACCCTCAGTGCCTCTGAACAAAGTACTGACCAATGGACCACAGACCCAACTCCAAGTTCAAGAAGATTCTCCTGCCTTACGAGGACCCATTAAACCAAATGCATGAAGTAGCCTGGCCAGCTCAGAAGCCATATAAGCGTGCACGCTCAGGAGGAGGCCAGCGCTGCTGCACTAGGGTCTCCTAAGAAGACTGTGCTGTCTGTGTTGGTTCAGATTCCCATTGGTGTCATAGGCACCCTTGGGACCTACAAGGCTCTGGAGAATCAATCTGGGAATCTGCCTCCTGCTGGCTATACCTTATCATGTTTAGAATGTGATTCTTCTGCCCTCTGAGTCCAACAAGCTGGGCCATGAGCTTGCTGAGCCCTGGGTGCCTCTGTCACTGTGCCGAGCTTCTCCTAAAGAAGAAAGACAACAACCTAAGTTCTCTGGATCCTAAAGTGCTCGCTTGGTCAGGCGCAGTGGCTCACGCCTGTAATCCCAGCACTTTGAGAGGCTGAGGTGGGCCTGACTGCTTGAGTCCAGGAGTTTGAGACCAGCCTGTAGTCCTAGCTACTTGGGAGGCTGAGGAGAGATCACCTGAGTCTGGGAGGTCAAAGCTGCAGTGAGCTATGATCATGCCACTGCACTCCAGCCTGGGTGACACAGGGAGACCCTGAAATACCCCAGAGCTGCTTTTTAGTACCATTTACACACAACCATCCACTGAATCAAGTTTCATCCAATAAAAGTGACCTCTATTCAAACAGTAATGATATGCCTCTATAACGACCTCCACCACAGGGAGGACAGGCCTAAAGAGATGCCCTCTTACCAGTCATGTCTCAGATAGGAGGTATTTAGTATGAAAAATGGACCAAGCACCCATGACAGTTATCATGGAAGCCAGCCATGTGTCAGAAAAAACATGTGATGAACGATTTATTTTATAATTTAAAAAAAAGTATTTTATTTTAGATTTGGTGGTATATGTGCAGGTCTGTTACATGGATATATTATTGTGTAATGATAAGTAAGGTTTGGGCTCCCAGTGTACCCATCACCCAGAAAGTGAACACTGTACCCGGTAGGTAATTTTTCATTCCTCACCTCCCTCCCATTGAAATCTTTTAATTGATAGAAGTCACCTCTCGCCCACTGAAATATTTTAAATGACAGAATTAAGGAGACGGAAGAAAGGCTCGATTATTAAACTGCCAGTCGTTCAAGGCACTGGTGTTAAACCACCTGCTCTGGGGGAGATTCTCACTATGCCCTTAAAGAGGCAGGAAGCGGAAAGAAGGGCTGTGAGGATACAAGCAAAAAGCAACAAGAAAGCACTGTTCATCTCTTCCCCGCCAGCAGCGTTTTGAAATGCACAGGAAACACCTGTCTTGACTCGTATGAATCCACCCACTGGCCTTCAGGTAGAAATTCTCAGTTGGTTAAAGTAATGAGCTCATCCTGGATGTCTAGTCACCAGGCATCTGTCTACATCAGCCAGAGGGCATGGAACCCGCAGCCCAGAGACATGAGCAACAACACACAGCCAGAACAGGCTGAGGGCTTTTCACCCAGTTCCTAAGGAAGGTGAAAACAAAGCACCTCACCTAGGAAAGGAAGGCTGCTCCTGGGAGAAAAGACTAGGCCCACCTCTTCAGCCCCCTCATTCAATTCCAATCAAGACACAAGGAAAAACAGGCTGGGGGAGTTGGGAGGCTGAGGTGCGCAGATCACTTGAGGCCAGGAGTTTGGGACCAGCCTGGACAACATGGTAAAACCTCCTCTCCACTAAAAATACAAAAATTAGCCGGGCATGGTGGTGCATGCCTGTAATCCCAGCTACTTGAGAGGTGGAGGTTGCAGTGAGCCGAGATTGCGCCACTGCACTCCAGCCTGAAAGAGCAAGATTGTCTCCAAAAAAAAAAAAAAAAGATACAAGGAAAAACGAAAAGACAAAAACAAAAGCCAAGTTAGAAAACAGAAAGGAGGAAAGAGGAAGTATGGTTTAAACGCTGAGCTGGTGGAGGACACCAATCTGAGCCGAGGTCTCCTCCTCTGCCTGCACCCCTCATCCACCCAGACCCCACCTGAGACTAAAGGCCCAACAACCAGAGCAGGAGGCGGCTGCGGCACACTGGGCGCTGTCCCTGGAGAAGAATAGTGATCTCAACCTGCCAATTTGGTTTCTTAACCAACTGTGACTGAGACTTGGAAGATGCAACTGTAGGTCAGTGGCAGGGGCCTGGTTCTCAAGAATTACAGAACCTGGAATATGGTTCCTCCTGCAGAGAATACAAAAGTCCAGCCATTGATGAAGCTGACTGGAGCGCAGGAAGGAAGTAACAACAATATAGACCCACGAAACTGGACAAGCTGCCATTTGAGCTGGGAGGATTTACTCAGCAGAGAAGTACCAAGTCCTGAGTAAGAGAATGGAGGTTTATTTACAGCCAACAATGCTTCCTCAATCCTTCCTGGAACCGGCCCCACAAAGCTCCAGTGTCAAACTTGAGTTCCACAAAGGCAGCCGCCAGCATCTAGATCCCACCAAATCTAAACGTCATGTTTTCTTTCCAGCTTCGGGAGTAGCGGGCACAGAGAAAGCACTCTGAACAGGGGCACAGGGCAGCCAGCCCCGAGGCCACAGGCAAGAATGCTACAGACTGGGGGTTTCCTGTTGGGCAATGTAATCTTGCATCTTACAAGTACGTGGCAGCTAGGGAGGCAGATTAGTAAAATGACTCCTTTCAAACCTTTATTCTCTCAGACCTGGGACAGCCCATGGCCTGATGAGATCTCACTTCACGAGCACAATAGCTCCTTAAAAACAGATCCTCACTGTGGCCCACGAGCCTTGAGGATTCCCTGCTGCCCATTTCAGCCTCTTCCTCCCCTTTCTGCACCCAGGATCTTTGCAATGCCTGCTCCCTGAAATCACCTTCTCCCCACTCCTGCCTAGAAAGCCCCGTGTAGGCCTCAGCCCAGCCCAGGGAAGCCTTCCTCTACCCTCATGCTCACCTGGCCGATGAAGACAAACTACTCTACTCTGTGTACTCACAAAAATCACCAAGTCTAATAGTCAGCCTGGTCCACAGAAGGTGCTCAAGCACTGACCTCTCTCTGTCTCTCTCACACACACACACACACACACACACACACACACACACACCCCAAACACTGTCAGTTTGTCTTCTGTCAAGTTTAGGTTCCACACCTACCTTCAGCTGTTATGTTTTAACTTCAGACTCCCAGCCTGGTCAACTCCACAGTGAGTTTCATGTGTAGATTCACTAGAAATGTCAGACGGACAGGCAGCAGAAGAGCAGCTAACAAAAGGGCTAGGCTTGCAATAAAAGTCTGCCAAGGGGCAGGAGAAGGTGGGGAGGGGACACCAACGCTGAATTACAAAAAAATTTCAAACCCAATTCTTTGTTCATCTTTCTGCATCATCTTTTTTTTTTTTTTTTTCCTGAGACAGGGTCTCACTCTGTCACACAGGCTGGAGTACACTGGCGCAATCATAGCTCATTGCAGCCTTGACCTCCTGGGCTCAAGCAATTCTCTTGCCTCAGCCTCCCAAGTAGCTGGGATTACAGGCATGCACCACCATGGCTGGCTAATTTTTAAATTTTTTGTAGAGATGGGGTCTCACTATGTTGCCCAGGCTGCTCTTGAACTCGTAGGCTCAAGCAATCCTCCTGCCACAGCCTCCCAAAATGCTGGGATTACAGGTGTGAGCCACCACATCTGGCCCTGCATCCTCTTTCCGAACACTGGGCCTAATGCTCCTAAATCCTAAGACAAAAATAATTACTGTATAGTTAATTCATTTATTTTTTCCACAGATAATTTATTGAGCATGATTTATACACCAAGCAATGGGCCAAGCATTGAGGATAAAATATGAAAACTCAATCTAGGGGAATAAGTTTAGGTATTATGCTAAGCTCTTCAATTAAGAATCTCATTTTTCACAACAGTCCCATGAAACTGTGCTCTTAACCATCAGGCAATACAGCTGCTTCAGAACAACTGCTATGCCATCCTCCAGAAACCCTCTTGTGGAGGCATCAAAGTAATAGTCAAAACAAGGTTTTCTGAGATCAATGTGAGTCACTTCAGGTTGCCAAGAAAGCAACAATGCTGGATTACCTTTATAAAATACCTCCAAGTTCCAGAATAAAATGATGTTGGTTTGACAGAGACATGGTTGGGGGCTAGGAGTGAGAGCTGTCAACAGCTCAGCAAAGCCTCCAAACCCAATGCTGCATGGGAACATCCCACCCCAGAGGCCAGATGCCAGCCACCCCCACTGGAGAGCCCTGGAGAAAGCCCATTGCTAGCACATTTCCTTTAGTTGTATCCTGTCGGCCAGGACTGAGCCACTGCCGTGGGCACACTGCCTGCCTGGGAATGGAAACACTCAATTTATCAGAAAAATGGGCGGAAGTTGGTGGGGCCCTCTGGGACACGCTGGGGTTGCCTTTGCTTAGACCACTTGCTGATGGGAAGGCTCTGCTCCCAACCACAGAAGGTTTCTTTTTTTCTTTCTTTTTTTTTTTCTTTTTCCTGAGATGGAGTCCCGCTCTGTTGCCCAGGCTGGAGTGCAGTGGCGCAATCTCGGCTCACTGCAAGCTCCGCCTCCAGGGTTCACGCCATTCTCCTTCCTCAACCTCCAGAGTAGCTGGGACTATAGGCGCCCGCCACCACGCCTGGCTAATTTTTGTATTTTTAGTAGAGACGGGGTTTCACCTCGTTAGCCAGGATGGTCTCGATCTCCTGACCTCGTGATCTGCCTGCCTCAGCCTCCCAAAGTGCTGAGATTACAGGCGTGAGCCACTGCGCCCGGCCCCAACCACAGAAGGTTTCTATAGGAATGGGTGAAACAGGAGTTTGCCAAGACTTATTAAGCCGGCTATAGAATTGGCCTTGTAGACTGAAGACAAGGTAGGGAGGAGGAAGGGAAACAGTTTCTCTATTTGAAAAATCTGGCTAAATTTACAAAGCCCACGTGACTCAGCACGGCTCCTGATGTTGTTACATGGAACATGTTACAACCAACTAGACTTCAATGTAAATGCAGGGAGCTATTTCCAAGGGGGACTTTTGTTATCCGACTATTCCAAGTACAATCTACATTTGATTCAAGACACTTCAAGATTTTTGGTTTCTTGAAAGTTACAGAAGATGGTCAGAGAGGGCCATTCCCTTTTTGTCTTATCCCCAGAGTGTCAGGAACGGGTGTATCTAGGTCCAGAGTTTGCCTCACACCAAGGATCTGAGTCAAGCTCTTGGTGGTGAGGCCAGGACAGGCTTTTTCCCTTCAAGGCTTCCCACAAGAACAGTATCTCTGTGCTTTAGGTTGATATATTTGGGGGGTTGGGGGGAGCCTGGAGACAGACAAGGACAAAAGAGACAGCTTTGTGAGGTTGAGAATGCAAGTCTGGAAGGCACACAACTCTACATGGCTACCAAATTACAAAAGCATTCCATCTGAGAGGCTGGCCGACAAGCTGAGGAGTTAGTTACATCAACATCTCAGGCAAATATACTCGCAGTCCCTGAAAGTCAGGGTGACAGAAATGCAAACTGGTCATCATCGACACCGGTAGGAAGGGGACTGAGTTACTTAGAGGGCCAAAAAGAAGGCAAGCATCTTTGAAGCACAGCCCAGAAAATATTTACCTAACTCCAAAGTTAGGAATAGAAATGAGCAAAATCCTATTGAACCCAGAAATCACACAGCAGCATTTCAGGAGACATGGATGAAAATACAGAACGAAGGTCGGAAGTGCTGGATCCCTAAGGACAGGCAGTCCTCTGTATCATATAATTTCAAAGAAATGAGTCCCAGATGGGGAAGGAGGGGCCCAGCCACACCTCAGTTAGCAATCCATGGCATCTGGCCCGAAGGGAAGGAGGTATGTTGGGGCTTGCACGGCTGATGGGAGGGTGTACCAGACACGCGGTGGCTCCCTGTGGGCTGTGGAACCACAGGAGTGAGGTGGGGCTTCTGGGAGTCTCAGCTTCAGGTTACTTGGATCAACTGCCATCAAGAAGGCCCCTCTGGCAGTGCAATGGAGCCAAGGAGGGGTCAGAGGGAGAATAATGGTCATTGTTCCCCTTTGCATGAGATCACAACTTCCAACAACTACCAGCGCTTCTACCAGCAGTGTTCAGCTTATGATGTAGTGAGGCCTTCCTTGGAAGGTGGCAGGACAAAGCCAAAGCAGGCTTGGATTTCCTTCCCTTGCGACAATTGAAGAGTGACTTTCATGGCCTGCCTGCCTTTCTGACTCCTGCTCAGATCCGGTTATCACCCAGCAGGCCCCTAGAACCCCCAGAACCCTAGACCTCAGGCTGGGGTAGGTTCTTCCCAGCACAGCCACTCCACGAGCTTCTGGAAATTCCATGTCTCCCAGCTGTGCAAGGCAACCCTAGTGTTGTTGAGGAAAAGCCTAAAGAAGACCATCCATCGTGTTGAGCGCAGGGAAGTGCCGAATGCTACGTAGGCTTGGGCATTCTCAATAGTTCAAGGCCCACATTACAACTTCCAAGAGAAGGGTGGTGGATGGCTCACAAACCAGCAATGGTCAAGGGCCATTTCCTTCTCTGGTCCTGGGTGAGTCATACTGTAATTTTGTTCCCTTCTAATCAGCACTCAAAAGATTACAGGGTATGGGAGATAGAACACAGGGGCAGGTGGACTAATAAAACAGGATGGAAGGATGAAGCATATACTCTCCCACTCACATAGCACCCCACATGACACCCTAAACGTAGAACCCACTACAAGCTAACCTACACTATTCAAGTCTCACAATAACCCTATGAGGTAGACATTATTATTTCCATTTTGCACACGAGTAAACTGAGGTAAAACACAATGAAGCAGCTCACCCAATAAATGGCAATGTTGAAATTCAAGGCCAAATCTGTTTGGCTCAAAAGCCCAGTTATCCAGTTATTCCCAACTTCCCACCTTCTCCCTCTAGACTAAGAGGCTGCAAAGGGTAGCGGTTTCTAGGAAGCTGTTGGTTCAACCACTGGGTAAGCCAACAGTGAAGACCAAGAAGGAAAAGCACCCCTCCAGGAATGATTCTCTAGCAGGTCAGAGTGAAGCAGGTATTAAAACCCTGGACTTAAGGGAAGACAGCCAGAATTATTATCTTTCACCTATGACGATCAGGGGAAACAGCTCTAGAGTCCATGGGGCCCCAGTGAGTCACATCTGAGTTAACTTGTTTGAAAGGGTTGGTCCTGCAGGCTTAATCACACAAACCGTGGGTGCTACCTCCCTGTCCTTAGCCTAGAGACTTCCTGGGGACTCACAGAAAAAATGCTACCAAATCCTGAACTCTACCCAGCTCTTCTCCCTTCCTGGGGGAACAACCATGTGGACTTCCAATAAGAACACGAGCTTAAAGAACGAGTTATTCCTTCTGACCCAAGTAAAGCACATGGCCCATTTCCTGTTCACCAGAGAACTTCATTAGAGGGAAACTGCAGACATAGCATTCAATTATAAAAACCTATTCAGATTTTGCTAGTGTAACGTGCTTATTTCTGGATTTAACTTATATAGCTGAAGAAAATATGAGAATGAGGGAAATGATGTGAAAATCTGTGGGGCTAAGGACTGGTGTCACTACTAGAACAAAAGTTGGTAGATCTCAATGGGTTTTTAAAAAAATCTCCATTTGGAATATTTAAAAAATTATTATTATTATTATTATTTTTTACCAAGCACCATGGTTCATGCTTGTAATCCCAGCACTTTGGGAGGCTGAGGCAGGCAGATCATTTGAGGTCAGGAGTCCGAGACCAGCTTGGCCAACATGGTGAAATCCCAGCTCTACTAAAAAAAATACAAAAATTGGCCAGGCGTGGTGGTGTGCACCTGTAGTCCCAGCTATTGGGGAGGCTGAGGCAGAAGAATTGCTTGAACCCCAGGAGGGAGGTTGCAGTGAGCTGAGATCGCACCACTGCACTCCAGCCTGGGCGACAGAGTGAGACTCTGTCTCAAAAAAAATAAATAAATAAATAAATAAAATAAATTTTTCTTACAGCAGCTTTATTGAGATATAACTCCTATACCATACAATTCTTTTTTTTTTTTTTTTTTGAGACGAAGTCTCACCGTGTCACCAGGCTAGAGTGCAGTGGCGTGATCTCAGCTCACCGCAACCTCCGACTCCCTGCTTCAAGTGATTCTCCTGCCTCAGCCTCCTGAGTAGCTGGGATTACAGGCACGTGCCACCATGTCTGGCTAATTTTTGTATTTTTAGTAGAGATGGGGGTTTCACTATGTTGGCCAGGATGGTCTTGATATCCTGACCTCGTGATTCGCCCGCCTTGGCCTCCCAAAGTGCTGGGATTACAGGCATGAGCCACTGCGCCCAGCCTCATATGCCATACAATTCTTCAGTGTTTGTTTTTAACTGTTCATTTGTGTCATATTGCTATTATAATTATACAGTACAGCAACATTGAAAATGTTTATATATAGATAGAGACAAAGCTGGATGCAAAACATATGTTATTATAGGCAAACATAAAAGAAGAATAAAAATGGCTGTATGAGGCCGGGTGCAGTGGCTTGCACCCGTAATCCCAGCTCACGCTTGTAATCCCAGCACTTTGGGAGGCCGAGGCAGGTGTATCACCTGAGGTCAGGAGTTCAAGACCAGCCTGACCAACATGGAGAAACCCCATCTCTACTGAAAAATACAAAATTAGCCGGGTGTGGTGGTGCACACCTGTAATCCCAGCTACTCGAGAGGCTGAGGCAGGAGAATCGCTTGAACCAAGGAGGTGGAGACTGCAGTGAGCTGAGATCACGCCACTGCACTCCAGCCTGGGCAACAAGAGTGAAACTCCGTCTCAAAAAAAAAAAAATGGTCGTATGGTTAGCATCATGAGATTAGGTGATTTTTTTTCCTTTTGCAAAATACTCAATCTTGCTACAATAATTTGACAAAAATAAAAATAAACACAATATAAAAACATTTTATATTTTTATAAAAAAATAACTCTGTCCATTAAAAAAAAAGTCCAAGCTTAAGCTCTGAGAGCTCAAGTTTGCTCTTTCGTTCTGCAGAGTAATTCTCAGTTGTCAGGGCTCGCCAGCAGCGCATCAACAAAGGCACACAAACAACCTGTTTGCAATGCTGCAAAAGGACTCGGGGCTCCTATCTCATACCACATCACATACCCTCCTAAATATCCTTCAATATCAGGAGGAATGCAACCCTTTGCTGCTTGTTTATGAAAAGCCACAGCATCTTCCTTTCAGATCCCAGAGTCTTGGAAGGGCAGCGAATATACCAGGAGCCCAGATGGGAAACACTTGTGCTCTGCAGCAATCCTGCAGAAGCTGCCCGTGTTCTGGGTCTGTGTTCAATAAAAAGAATATAAGATTTCAACCTGCAGTGCTGCCTGCATGCAATTGCTGGCAGGCTCCTCAAAGTTCTTCCTATAATCAGCAGTCAACAACAAATTCCTGGGAGATTAGCCCCTTAGGCAGTTTTCAGATATTTGATTCTGGTACTTCAAAAGATCAGGAGTAATGCAAGGACAGTGGGAAGGAGTTGAGAGGAGAGTGGGTGAGGGAATTACCGAGTCAGCTCTGCCCAATACAAATCCTCATCTAGACTGTGAGTCAGTAACTCCCGTCAACTGGGAGACCTGGTCTTCTTCAGGATGGGTATGAATAGCCACTGAGGCAGAGAACCACTCACCCGGCTGGGCCTCCAGAGGAGGCTAAGTGAGGACTTGTCAAGGCCCCCACTCTGGAACTCTTAAGACAATCTACTGCCACAGTTCCCAGACTACTACCTGGGGTAACCCAGCAAACTCACAAAGGTGCCACAGGATATTTAACAAAACTGTTACAGGAAACACAGCCTTACTCCACATGTCACATACCACACACACTTACACATATTATTTTTTTAAGCAGCTACTGAATTGTGAGGACAGTAATACTTAGTGTCTGAAGCTAATGACATAAGAAACAGAACCATTCGTTAGGCATTTTTTCTTCTTTTTTTCAGACAGGGTCTTGGTTTGCTGCCCAGGCTGGAGTGCAGTGGTACAGATCTCGGCTCACAGCAACCTCTGCCTCCCAGGATCAAATGATCCTCCCATCTCAGCCTCCCAAGTACCTGGGACTACAGGCACACACTACCATGCCTGGCTAACTTTTGTAGTTTCTGTAGAGACGGGTTTCACCATGTTGCCCAGGCTGGTCTCAAACTCCTGTGCTCAAGCAATTCTCCTGCCTCGGGCATCCCCAAGTGCTGGGATTACAGGCTTGAGCTACCACACTCAGCCATTAGGCATTTCTTTTTGTTCCAGAGGTCTGTGAAAAACTATGGAGACATGAAGGGCAGTGAGCCGAGAAATCGTGGCGCCTTCTAACCTACAGGATAAGGGCGTATAATCAGACTTAGTTACACTGAAAAGGCCAAGCACTGCTAACAAGTGCATTGTATACTGCGAAAAGCACCTTCATGTACATTCTCTCACGCCGCAGTCACAACCACCTTGCAAAGGGGGTCTCACGGCCCTGACTGCCCAAATGGAGCCGAGTGAAGCTTAAGTTACAGGCCTGTGGTTCCACAGCCAGAGGGAAGCCAGGCCAGGGCACAACCCAGGTCTTCGGACCACAAGTCCACCAGACCGGCTCTAAATTGTTTGTGAGCTCCACATTTTAGTACTACTTTAGGGATCTTAGAATTTTAAAAATGTCTTCTCTTAACTGGGGTTATACACGCCTTTTTAAAAAATGCCAGAACAATTCCCCCCAACCCCCACCTGATGCCACCTCCTTGACCCAGAAGACGGAATTTTGTTTTCACAGATGTACACTCCTGGGCTGGGAGGATTCTTTTCCTAGATCAGAGCGTGAGATCTAGATCTTTTCCTAGATCAGCACCTCAGGGAGGCCGGCGATCCCAGTCCCTCCCAGTCAGCTGGCAATAGGCTGCTCCATCTTTCTTGCTCCAGGCTCTCAACCCCCATGTTTGTTTTCAAAGGAAGGGTGTGTCAGGGACAGTGAGTGAATGGAAACAGCTTCATCCACAGGAACTGTAGGAGTGGAGAAAAAAATAAACAAGGGAAACCGTCCAGAGCAAACGAGGTAAAAATGGACAAAGGAGAGTGGCGAAAGGGATGTTCGGGTGCCAAAGGTAAACAGGGGGAGGAAGCACTTCAGCCACCAGGCACTCCTTTCCCGGAGTGAGGTGCTGGCCCCAGGACTGTCACGTCTGCTCTTTTTCCAGAACAGCAGTGCCACCTCCTGTTAATTTGCTGCTTACCGAAGAGACAAGATCAGAAACTTGAAGTTAGAGACGAAAAAATAATGGAACACAGGAAACAAAGCTTGTTTCCTATGCAACGCCCAGCCTCCTTCTCCAATCTCCTGTTCGCTAGTTTGGGGCAAACTCAGCACCTGCAGAGCCCAATCCCTGCTGCCCCAACCTAAAGGACAGGACCAAGTCTCTCTGCCCAGGTGGGCCAGAGTTAGTTCTTACTCACGCTCCCAAACATGGGACTCTGTGCTCACAGGTAACCCCAAACATCAGAGCAATAAAAACCAGGGCAATTCCAGTCTGTGCATATTTTAAAGTCATCAGATAACAAAGTTAGAGAATACTCAACTTTGCTTATGTATAATGCCCAAGTCCTTTCCTAGGGGGTTCCCAGGGAACTCCCTGGAGTTTAATCCAACCTCTACCAACAGATTTTATGATGTTGATGACAAGTCGTTTCTTACAACTTGCCTGAAGGCCGGGCATGGTGGTTCACACCTGTAATCCCAGCACTTTGGGAGGCCGAGGCAGGCAGATCACGAGGTCAGGAGATCGAGACCATCCTGGCTAACATGGTGAAACCCTGTCTCTACTAAAAATACAAAAAATTAGCCAGGTGTGGTGGCGGGCGCCTGTAGTCCCAGGTACTACTCGGGAGGCTGAGGCAGGAGAATGGCGTGAACCTGGGAGGCGGAGCTTGCAGTGAGCTGAGATGGAGCCACTGCACTCCAGCCTGGGCGACAGAACGAGACTCCGTCTCAAAAAAAAAAAAAAAAAAAACTTGCCTGAAAAACCTCTAGAAACAGGGAGCTCACTACCTTATGAAACAGCTCAACCCACTTGTGGCCGGAGATCACAAAAGGTCCTTCGTTATATGAAGGTAAACTTCTGTGGAATTCTGCGCGCGGCTTCAGGTCTGCCTCAGGCTGCCTTAGCCTTTCCCTCAGCAGACCTTCAAACACCAGAGCGCAACCCCGGCTCTTCCCGAGTCTTCTGTCTTCCAGCTCTACCTTTCCCTCAGGTGATGTGCTTTTGAGTCCCCTCACCTTTATGACTGCTCTTCTGAGAGCACTCCAGTTTAAAACATGGAATCTGCTCTTCCAAAACCGGCCGACAACATGGTATGACCAGCCTGGGAAGTGTGCACAGGTGGAACTGGAAGTGATGGTCAGTTCAGCCAATGCTACTGAACAAACACACACCAGACATACTGAGTCGAGTACAGCCGGCCCTCTGGATCTGTGGTTCTGAATCCATGGCCAGAACTCACCTCCAATTGTGTGTGTGTGTGTGTGTGTGTGTGTGTGTTTTAAATTGTGTCTGTGTTGAACGTGTCAGACTTTTTTGCTTGTCATTATTCCCTAAACAACACAGTCTAACAACTAGTTACACAGCCATTTACATTGTATCAAGTATCATAAGATGATTTAAAGTATCCAGAAGGATTCCCAAGGCTAAATGCAAATGCTACACCATTTTATATCAGAACCTTGAGCATCTGAGGAGGGGGTCCTGGGATCCCCACAGATAGTGAGGGACAACTGCATTTTATTTTTACTTAGTTGAACCTTAAAATAAATGAGACAGATTTTATTATGATGATTATTTTCGCGATGAGAAAAACTGAGGTTAAAGGACTTCCCCAAGAAAACCCCAGTCTCATTCCAGAGCTTGAACTCCTCCCCACCATGCCAGGGCTGAATCATCTTACTCTGAATACTAACCCACCCTCAACATGGCTCAAGACCCCATAAGGCTAACAACTTAACGGACATTTTCAGAGCAATAAAAACAGTTCTCAAACAACTACTGAATCACTGACCCATGATTTCTGTTTTAGAATAATAGTAGTTTTTCTAAGGGGTCTGCAAAGTCAAAACCGTTTTAAGTCATTGTCTTTTTCATCGTGTTGACCTTTGCACAAGCAATGGTGGGTAAACTGCTAGCCTTTAGAACAAATTGAGGTGGCAGCACCAAACTGTAGCCGTTTGATTTAAAAAAAAAAAAAAAAAAAAAGGGCTGGGTGTAATCCCATGGGATTCCCATGCCTGTAATCCCAGCACTATGGAAGGCTGAGGTGGGTGGATCACTTGAGGTCAGGAATTTGAGACCTGCCTCACCAACATGGTGAAACCCCAACTCTACCAAAAAAAAAAAAAAAAAAATACAAAAATTAGTCAGGCACGGTGGTTCACATCTGTAATCCCAGCTACTCGGGAGGCTGAGGCAGGAGAATCGCTTGAACTGGGAGGTGAAGGCTGCAGTGAGCTGAGATTGCGCCACTGCACTCCAGCCTGGGTGACAGAGCGAGACTTCGTTTCCAAAAAAAAAAAAAAAAAGCCAGTTTCACTTAAGAATGGTCAGCCATAGGCCGGGCGTGGTGGCTCACATCTGTAATCCCAGCACTTTGGGAGGCTGAGGCGGGCAGATCACAAGGTCAGGAGTTCGAGACCAGCCTGGCCAATATGGTGAAACCCTGTCTCTACTAAAAACACAAAAATTAGCCGGCCATGGTGGCGCGTGCCTGTATCCCAGCTACTCAGGAAGCTGAGGCAGGAGAATTACTTGAACCTGGAAGGCAGAGGTTGCAGTGAGCCGAGATTGTGCCACTGCACTCCAGCTTGGGCAACAGAGTGAGTGTCTCAAAAAAAAAAAAAAAAAAAAAGTTTTCTGCCAGGACAGTAAAAATGATTAGTTTTATGACATCTTGACATTTGAATATACATCTCTTTAATATTTTGGGCAATGACATGAGAGGCATGCATAAATACTTCTGCTGCATAACAAAGTCAGACAAATGTCTCAGGGAAAAGCACACATAGCAATGCCCCCTTATCCGTGGGGTATACGTTCCAAGATTCCCAGTAGATGCCTTGAACCTCTGATAGTACTGAGACCTATACATACTATGTCTTTTTCCTATACATACATACCTATGATAAAGTTTAATTTATAAACTAGTAAGAGATTAACAACAATTAGAATTATATACTGTAATAAAAGCTATGCGAATGTGAACTCTCTCTCAAAATAGCTTACTGCATGTAATATATTCAGACTGCAGCTGACCTCAGGTTACTGAAGCCACGGAAAAGGATGGACTACCGTTTGTGATTATTTGAGTCACCAGTTGAACTGACAGTTTTCTTCAGGAAACACCATTTTTATTTGAAATAATGACAAACTAGTTATCTGGACTTGGGTATTTGGCAGACATTTTCTCAAGACCAAAGCCTGTTACTTCAAGGAAAGCTCTGATAGCACATATTGAAAATGATAAATTCATGCTTTCAAACAAAAATTATTAGAAACACATTATCTTAAAAAATGTATTGCTCCTTATTGTGGGCTTGCTAAAAGGTTTCTAACATTTAATGATTTTCTGATGAGATTAGTGATGTCACTAATAAATACTACTTTTTTGATACGACAGAACAAAATGTGTCAACATTTAGATCTGTGTAACTCAGTACATCAGCAATTTTCAAATCACCAGAGCCTGACGATATCAAATCATGTATGGGTAAAAGATCCATTCAAAGGGCAAGACAGACCAGTGGATTTTAGGGAAGCAGAATGCAGAGTTCACTGGTAAGGCTTTGCATTCCATGATGTAACTAACCTTTCAAGGAAACTATCACCTGTTGAGTTTTGATGAAGTATCAAAGAAGAATACCTATAATTACCTGAATGCAAAAGCAGTTATATGTACCCAGCCATATTCTATTAAGCCAGACATTAAAGAGATTTGTAAAGTGGTGACACAGTGCCACTCTTTGCATTAACATTTTTTTGGAAATACTTATTTTTTCTAAAAATGTTATTTATGTTAATATGTAATAGGTTTGTTTGTTTGAGACAAGGTTTCAGTCTGTCACCCAGGCTGGAGTGCAGTGACAAGATCACAGCTCACTGCAACCTCTACCTCCCAGGCTCAAGTGATTCTCCCACCTCAGCCTCTCGAGTAGCTGGGACTAGAGGCATGCGCCGCCACACCCGGCTAATTTTTGTATTTTTTTTATAGAAATGGGGTTTTATCACGTTGTCCAGGTTGGTCTCAAACTCCTGGGCTCAACCAATCTGCCCACCTCGGCCTCCCAAAGTGCTGGGATTACAGGCACAAGTCACTGTGGCCGGATCAGGTTTGTTATTTTAAAATAAGTAATTTAAAATTTTCTCAGTTTTAACTTATAAAATAGTAAACATCAATAGATAAAACCAAAATGAAAACTCTGAGATCCTCAATTTTTAATTGTGTAAAGAAACCTAAATGTTTTGAGAACTACTGAAAAAAATTAAAAGATCTTAAAAAACCATAGTAGAGGCCGGGCGAGGTGGCTCACACCTGTAATCCCAGCACTTTGGGAGGCTGAGGTGGGCAGATAACGAGGTCAGGAGATCAAGACCATCCTGGCCAACATGGTGAAACCCCGTCTCTACTAAAAATACAAAAATTAGCTGGGCGACATGGCATGTGCCTGTAATCCCAGCTACTCGGGAGGCTGAGGCAGGAGAATGGCTTGAATGCGGGAGGCAGAGGTTGCAGTGAGCTGAGATTGCGCCATTGCACTCCAGCTTGGGCAACAAGAGCGAAACTCCTACTCAAAAACAAAACAAAACAAAAAAACAACAAAAAACCAAAGTAGAAAGGAGAATGCCACCTAGTGGAGATGACAATTATGACAGTAATCTAATTGTTAAACAACACTTCTAACAAAGATCCACACTTGTAACATATTCTATTGTTAGAAACTTCCTATGTTCATGTGCACTGGGCCTGGTGGCTCACAGCTCTAATCCCAGCCCTTTGGGAAGCCAATGTGGGCAGATTACTTGAGCCCAGGAGTTCAAGACCAGCCGGGGCAATATGGCAAAACCTTTCCTCTACAAAAAAATTAAAAAAAATTGCTAGGTGTGATGCACACACCTGTAGTCCCAGCTGTTTGGGAGGCTGAGGTGGGAGGATTAATTGAGCCAGGGAGGTTGTGGCTGCAGTAAGTTATGATGGCACCACTGCACTCCAGGCGACAGAGGAGACTCCACCTCAAAAAAAAAAAAAAAAAAAAAAAAAAAACAAAAAACAAACAAAAAAACTTCATATGCTTAAAGCAGAATGTCCAAAATTAAGGGTTTTGAATATAAAAAATATTGTTACACATCAATTTAAAAAAATGTGGGCTGGGCACAGTGGCTTATGCCTGTAATCCCAGCACTTTGGGAGGCAGAGGCGGGCCTATCACTTGAGGCCATGAGTTCAAGACCAGCCTGGCCAACATGGTGAAACCCTGTCTCTATTAAAAATACAAAAAATTAGCTGGGCATGGTGGCTCACACCTGTAATCCCAGCTACTCGGGAAACTGAGACAGGAGAATCGCTTGAACCCAGGAGGCGGAGGTTGCACTGAGCCGAGATCACAGCACTGCACTCCAGCCTGAGCGACAGAGCAAGACTCTGTCTCAAAAAAATAAATAAAATAAATAAATAAAAATAAAATGTAAATGTGCCAGAAAGTTCTGGATTTGAGGTACATGTTGCTATGTGGAAGAGAGTCTGAGGCCAGCTCAAGCAGAAGGATGACAGGGCCAGGACTAAGATAAGAGTATCACAGAAGACTCATGCTGGGGATCATTTGTAGTCCTTGGAGATGCCACGAGGACTCCTAAAGGCCTGGCAGCCACTGGGGATTGCAGAACATTGAAGCTGGCAAGCTTTATCTAAACCCTTCTCCATCACCCTCCAAAAGAACTATATCAAGTGACTTTGAGGGTTGGATTTTGTGTTCTGATTTCTGAGGGCTCCTCAAGAGGAACAGAAATTATTCCATGAAAACTTTTCATTCCACAGTAAAACTTGAAATGCACATGAGTGAATGAGGAACAGCGAAGCACATCAGTCAAGGAGCAGGCAGGAATGACGAGGCTGTCAGCCGTGATGTAGGGCTGAGAAGGGGAGCCTGAGCACAAAAGGCATTTCCACAATCTTCCCAGCTTCACCTTTTTTGGGTCCCTCCCACCCCGCTCTTTAGTGACTGCTACTGGACAGCAGTAAAGTCTGTTTTGTTTTTCATGTGACCCCCACCCTGACTCACAAAGCCCTGTCATCTCCCAAGGATTTGTTGCCTGGATTACAGTATTTTAGAAGGGGTGACCGTTAAGTGTTATGTACCCTCCTCTCCAGCCAACTTCCCCAGGAAGCCTTCCAGCCCTAAGAAAAGGCTGCAACTGTACCCAGAAAGACTCTAGGACCCAGATCCTCCCTTCCCTCCACAACTGAAACCCAAACACTTAACGGCTCCCTGGGCTTGTTTTACGTGCAGGCTCCAAGTCCCACATACCCTAAATACTAGGCAGAGAAGATTATCACTACTGAGTGTTTTGTTCTGCAAGCCCGAGGAGAGCTGTGACTGACTTTGAACTATGGGGCCATGGGTCTGCCCATACCATCTTGCCAGTTCTCAGGCAGGGCGAGTTCTCAGGCCTGGGTTCCAGGTTTTTCACTCAGCATAGAAAGCAGGTTGCATTTACAGTTTTCAGGGGTTCTTTTTTTTCCCTCCTGCATGCTGGCGCCAAAACTTTCTTTCCTGGTAAAACACACTCTTATCTTTCTCACTCACAACGTCTCAAGATTTTAGTGGCTACATACAGTTCTATCCAATCACAGAATCAGCTCAAATATGGAACAGCTCACACTATATTTTCAAGAATATTACTGTTTTAGATTTTAATTGGGCATAAATTTCCTAAATTTTACTAGGTCATCTTGAAAGTTACAGCTGGTTTCCAAGCAGTTTTTTTTTGTTTTTTTTTTTGAGACAGATTCTCATTCTGTTGCCCAGGTTGGAGTGCATTGGCAGATCATGGCTCACTGCAACCTCTGCCTCCCAGGTTCAAGTAATTCCCCTGCCTCAGCTTCCCCAGTAGCTGGGATCACAGGTGTGCACCACCCACCAGTCTCACCAGTTAATTTTTGTATTTTTAGTAGAGACGGGGTTTCACCATACTGGCCAGGCTGGTCTTGAACTCCTGACCTCAAGTGATCCTCCCGCCTCAGCCTCCCAAAGTGCTGGGATTACAGGCGTGAGCTACTGCGGCTGGCCTCAAAGCAGTTTTTAACTGCAAAATGGGTCCTTATTCCCCGGGTCTAGAGTGATATAATTAAGTCTTTTTCTTTGGGGGTACAGGGGGGAAGTTTTTCCTCATAAAAAATGACTCTTCAGCAAGTACACATTTCTAATGGCCAATGCACAGCACAGCAGCTTAACCAACACAAGGGTGTCTTAACCTTCACAACAGATCATTATGGAATGTGATAGGAATTGCTACAAATTACTCTTGGCTGCTACTAGGATGACACTATGAGAATAGTTATGTTGTTCCGAAAAAGACCATTCTGTACAGCTTGCCCAAAAGTGGATGGACACACCCCCAGGAAAATGAGCATTAGACCCACCATCCCTGAGAGCTGGGGAGAGGCCTCATTTTGGTCTGACCTTCTTATAGCCTCTTGTTCACTTCTAGATGACTAAAGAGAACCCAAAGCACGCGAGGCGGCCCTTACACCTTCCTGGGTCTAGAAACAGACTAATCCACCTGCAGGGCAGTGACACTTAAAGCCCCATCTGGGATGCAGAATGCAAGTGGGTTGTTGGCCTCAGCCAGGCCTCTCGCCTTTCTAGTCAGGAGATATGGCACAATCTGAAAGGCTGGAAATCCAATGTGTCTCAGGATTTGTTCATTCCTGAGTTGTCTCCAGGTTCTTTCTTTATAAAGCTTATTTTATCCCAGAAAATGTCCACACAGTTGCACAGTTTGTCAGTGGGACAGATCTTGACCAAACATACGAACTGAGCCACAGTGTTCAAACACCTTGTTTGCATCCAGCCACCCACCACAGCCAACACCAAATACCTTTGGGTCATCAGCCTCAGGTTTTTCAGTCTCTGAATCGTCATCTTCCTACAAGACAAAGAATTTAGAGGATTAAGCTTAAAGGAGCGGGCCTGAGGAGTCTCACATGCATAACTAGGGGCCGGAGCAAACAGCCCATTTACCCAGCTGGGGTCATCCCACCAAGAATCCCTCCCCTACCATATAACTCAGAACCAGAGAAAAATAAGGGGAAAAAGAGATATTCTGGAGGGGAAAAAAACAAAAAACAAAAAAGCATCAGCAGCTCAAAGTCAAGTTACTTTAGTGGTGAGACAGTCCACATCAATGAAGATGCCCGAGTTCAAAGTCACATACATAAAAATGGAGAAAGCTTGCAATATGTTTTAGGAAAGAGTAAGATCAGGCCACACAATAAAACAGGCATCGTGTTTCCACTGAAGTATCAGTTATTTCAAATCAGGATTATGAGCCTTCTTTCCTTTTCATATACACATGTACATCAGACTCGGACCTACTCTAACAGTGTCCAACACCAAGTGCCAAGGCTTACACACAGCTGTATCGCAGCACCTCAACCGGCATTTGCACAAACATCAACACAGGAAGGCAGGCATCAAACTACCTGAGCAAGTGACCTGGGAAAGGCAGGACTAAAGGGCAATGCCCAACCTTTCAGGAGTCCCAGTTGAGTGGGCTCTGCCTCCACCTAAGTGCTCACAGAACTGCCAGTGATCCATTCTACCCAGTCCTGTTCCTTATCCAGATGAGGTCAGCCTGACACAAAGGATCACACACGGTAAGGCATTCTCCAAAGCGAGCCCGCCATTCCACTGAACGCTAACGCTGATGCTATGAAGGTCAAAGATCAGGAGCAGATGCTGGACCAGCTACCTTATTAGCTGGCTAAATCCATGTCACCTCCACTACCCAGAACACTCCCAATGCACAGAAGCCTTTAACTAAATACCCAGGAAAAAATGGTTTCATTTGAAACTACTATTTTCAACAAAGCTACATTTCAGCCCAAACATTACACAGCACTCCATATATTAATATAAATACCACTCGAGAGACTTGAACAAACTAGACTCATGATTTGGAGACTTAACTGTCCTGTAAGGTACCAGTGAGTCCAAGGCTTTAAATGCAATCTCCATAATCTCCTTAAAATGAAATCAGTCATGCCAAATAAACAGAGATGGAGCTCAGACAAATACAATCACATTTCAGAATCTCTACAACAAGATCTGATGAGAGGATTTTACTAAAATATGAAATGAAGCTTAAACATGATGAAAATTCTAAGCAAAGCAAATATGAAATAACACTTCAAAAACACATTATGCAAACGTACTAAAGAAAAGAGTTATGAATATTAAGCCAGAATGTGTGTACTTCAGAAAAGTCAGAAAACAACTTGCAAAACTTTTCTGAATAATTTCAGTCAACTCTGAATTATCAATATTAATGGATGGGGCTAAAGGCATGAAAGTATCTCCCAAAATGCATCATGTACAAAACGCATTTCTGTTTGTTGTGGAAATAATTTTTTTTTTTTTTAAGATGGAGTCTGGCTCTGTTGCCCAGGCTGGAGTGCAGTGGCGTGATCTCGGCTCACTGCAACCTCCGCCTCCCGGGTTCAAGCGATTCTCCTGCCTCAGCCTCCCGAGTAGGTGGGACTACAGGTGCGTACCACCATGCCCTGCTAATTATTGTATTTTTAGTAGAGATGGGGTTTCACCATGTTGGCCAAGATGGTCTTGATCTCCTGACCTTGTGATCCGCCCACCTCAGCCTCCCAAAGTGCTGGGATTACAGGCATGAGCCACCGTGCTTGGCTGGAAAGAATTTTAATGCTAACATTTACATACCAACATGTAACAAAAATTTCAAACAAATAATATATTTTAAGTGATTTAATTAAAACTTGCTAAGCAGTCAGATTTGACATCTAGACTCAACTCTGCCTGTCTTATGCTAAGCACCAACTTCAATTTCCTTGCGTTTTCTGCAAACTTAAATTCTGGCTCATGTTGCTCAGGTGATTATGTGTCTAAAGACTTTCTTGTTAATAATAGCACAGGTTCTCCTTTCTCCAGCACCTACTGAACTTCAGGCAAGATTTGTGATCAAGAACTAAGGGCACCATTATAAAAAGTGCCAAATAAAATGTCAAGAAAGAAGTTAAGAAGGCCAGGGATGGTGGCTCATACCTGTAATCCCAGCACTTTGGGAGGGTGAGGCAGGGGAATTGCTTGAGGCCAGAAGTTTGAAACCAGACTGGGAAACATAGTGAAACAACGTCTCTACAAAAAATTTTTTTTTAAATTTTAAAAATCGGCCAGGAGCAGTGGCTCACGCCTGTAATCCCAGCACTTTGGAAGGATGAGGCGGGTGGATCACCTGAGGTCAGGAGTTAGAGACCAGAATGGCCAACATGGTGAAACCGTCTCTGTGAAAAATACAAAAATTAGCCAGGCGTGATGGCAGGTGTCTGTAATCCCAGCTACTCAGGAGGCTGAGGGCAGGAGAATTGCTTGAACCTGGGAGGTGGAGGTTGCAGTGAGCAGAGATCGCACCACTGCACTCCAGCATGGGCGACAGAGCAAGATTCCGACAAAAAAAAATAATAATAGGTTAGCTAGGCATGGTGGCGCCCACCTGTAGTCCCAGCTACTGGGTAGGCTGAGGTGGGAGGATCACTTGCGCCCAGGAGTTCAAGACTGTAGTGAACTATCTATGATCACACCACTGCACTCCAATCTGGACAGCAGAGTGAGACCCTATCTCAAAAAAAAAAAAGAAAAGAAAAAGCAGGTGAAAACGAATTTTCCTTTCTTATCTTGTTAATAAACTGAGAAGACTTAAATGAGCCCCAACCAAGATTAAAAATAATGCAGAGTTGACTGTAGATATAAATGATACACCAGTTAGGATGAATGCCTGCTATAAATGGAGTAAATCATTTAAACAGGGAAAAATCAACATAAAACACCCATTGATATCTGGGTTAAATAAAATAATCCACTATCTTTTCCCCCAAATTTCAATTCAAAGATTAATAAAAAATGATCCATGTGAAAATACATTTTCAAACAGATCTGATATCCAATCCAGTTTCTTCCACTAATACTAAAACAAAACGGGAGAGCAAGGGATGGAGCTAACCATGAAATGGAACACTGTTGGCACAGTTCCAAAATCTGACAAATGAAATTGTGCTTTCAGTAGCTCTGGATCTGGGAGATTTACCTACCGACTGTCTACTGTTCTCATCTTCTTCTTCTTCATAACCATCTTCATCACCCCCTAGACGAGAAAAGTCATCCTCCCCATAGGCATCAGATACCAATCCGCCTTTCTCCTCTGAAAGGTTAAAAAACAAACAAACAAACAAAAAGCAAGAAAAAAAAAACAAGAGTTACAATGTAAGAAAAAATGTCCAGAGATTTGAGTGGCCAAGACTATCTCTGAAGATACAAAGGGAACCTAAATCTCATGTTAAGTTACAATAGGCCCAGATTCGGCTCTCTGAGAAGGCCAGCATTTACTGAATAAAATCATTAAAAGGTCAGGGAACAAAACCGAGTACTAAATTCTGTTTCTAATGCTATAAACACTAGATAAACACTAAAGTGTTTATAGGAAACCATCAGAGAACTTTCTGACTGGAAGAGACCACACAAAATCACAAAACATGGAAGTACCTAACCTAATCCAATCCCCTTCACTTTCCAGATGAGGAAGCTAAGGTCCTGATATGTTGTTAGGTAACTTGTTCTTTATTCTCCCAAAGGAATCTGTTTCCATTATCTAACATTGTGCTTCTCAACCTGAGGAGGAGAACATCACCGTTAGGCTTTAAAAACTCACAAAATAAGAAAAATCACCTGGGATCCTTAAAAAGTTCACAAATGCCCACATCCTACCCCAGTTCTACCGAATTAGGTTCTCTCACTTTGGGCATCAGATACGTTTGTTTTTAAAAGCTCCAAGATGTGTTTAGGGCACATTCCTAACTAAAAGTTATAAAGTTAACGAACACAATCTTTACCATCTTCCACGTATGTTTTACTTATCGCTCTCCCTCATCAAACAACGAGCCCAGGGGAAACAGGCAGTGGCTGAGCAGCCGCTCCCTCTTCGTCCATCCCTCTGTCTATCACTATAGCCGGCACGGAGTCTTTCAGTAAGTTTAGGCAAATTAATCGAAATAACGGGAAGGAGATTCTTCATTCTTAGTCCACAGTCTCTAATGCTCTATCTCACCCCGGACCCTGGACCATTCTTCGGGGTCCGGTGCTTGGAGCACAATGACCATCTTGTTCCCTCCCGCCCAGCGAGGGTACAGCATTCCGGGCAGACACCCGATTCCCCCTTCCAGCTTCGCACTTGGGCCTTACCAGCCGCGCTGCCCACCGCCTCGATTCCAGCCTCGCCATCAGACTCGGGCTCTGAATCTTCCGCGTAAACTGCGAGAGACGACAGAACATTCTTCTTCCCCGCCATCTTATTCCCACAGCCCGGGCGTGGCTCACTCCTATGACTCAAGACGCCGACTTCCGGGCGGAAAGGCAGGTTCTTTCGGATCCCAGGAGACCCCCGCGCCACACTGGAAACCAATCAAAACGGCAGTTTCCTGCGCCTGGCTCCGCCCTCATGCCAGCGCTCGCGCTACGTCATCACTGCGCGACGGATATAAGATTGCGTGGGTTCTGCCTAAAGCTGAATTCCCAGCGCTTTGGCTTCTCTGAGTTGGGGTTGTGTATAGGGGTCTTCGAACAGTTCCGGAACCAGCCAGCAGCCTTTAATTCTTGGGCGGACCACGGCCGGTTCTGATATCTTAGGGTGAAGAGAGGGAGGTGTCGGCCAGCCAAGAGAGAAAATTGCGGATCTTGGGCTCAGGAAGACGGGAGAAGGGGTTCGGGGTCCCGGGGTGGAAGAACGGTCGTCGTGGTTGCGCTTATAGAAGTAGGAGCAGGTGGTGGATCTTAGGAAAACGGTTCCCCGTTCTCCAAGCTGTTCTGAAGACATTTATGTTTCTTCTCTTGATCTGATTTCTAGCTCTGTGCTATACCGTGGCCTGGAATAGTTCAATGTTTTCATTTTCATTGAGCGTAAAAGTGGAGATGTTAATTACTGAGGAATGTATTGCTTGAGGCAGTTCACCTTCAGCTTTATTACTTAAAAATAATACATTATTTAAGTGTAATATAGCAAATTGTTACAGAAAAATAATCTGTATTTTTAATGCAAAACAGAGGGTTCTCGTGGCAACCTTTTACTACCTTTGCCTTAACCTTTGGCCACTGTTCTTGGCTAAGATGAGCAGCCACCATACCACCTTTCCTTTTGACCCTGAGCGGCGAGTCCGGAGTACGCTGAAGAAGGTCTTTGGGTTTGACTCTTTTAAGACGCCTTTACAGGAGAGTGCGACCATGGCTGTAGTAAAAGGTAACATTACCAAGCTACCTTCCTTTAAATTTATGCTGGCTATACCATAACGCTGCGGCAGAACACCCTCCTCCTCACCCTTCGTACTGCCTCACCTTTGGTCCATAACTGGATTTGGAAATCTTTAGAGTTGTCAAAGCTTGTAGTTTCGTTTATTTGTTTTAATTAGAGATGGGGTCTTGGCATGTTGCTCAGGCTGGTCTCCAAATCCTGGGCTCAGGCAATCCTCCCACCTCGGCCTCCCAAGGTGCTGGGATTACAAGCATGAGCCACCACGCCCGGCCCAAAGCTTGTAGTTTTAGTGGCAGAACCACCCAGCTGGTCTATATTTCATAGCTAGATTTACACATGGTCTTTGAAAACACTTCAGATTCTCATTATTGTTCGTTTGTACACACAAACGAACAGCAACAGTGAGGGTGGTAGGAATAACTTAACTCGGTCACTGGCCTCCTAGGTAATTCCCTTGTTGCAGGTTGAGTGGCCTTGGTCCCAGATAGAGAAGGAAAGAGTAATAATGTTATAAACCTGAGATACGGTGACAAATGGAAGTTGCCAAGAGGCGAGCAGCAATGTAATATTAATGATACATGTCTAAACAAAAGCCCTCTAAGTAATGTCCTCTCATGTCTACACAGATGTACCCACTCATCTAGCAGTACTCTGCTTTCATGGCTGTTTAGTTCAATCATCCATATCACAGCAGACTCAGACTTCTTTTTTTTTTTTTTTTTTTTTGAAACAGAGTCTTGCTCTGTCGCCCACACTGGAGTGCAGTGGCGCGATCTCGGCTCACTGCAACCTCCGCCTCCTGGGTTCAAGCAATTCTCCTGCTTCAGCCTCCTGAGTAGCTGGGATTACAGGCACGTGCCACCATGCCTGGGTAATTTTTGTATTCTTAGTAGAGACAGAGTTTCACCATGTTGGCCAGGCTGGTCTCAAACTCTTGCCCTCGTGATCTGCCTGCCTTAGCCTCCCAAAGTGCTGGGATTACAGGCGTGAGCCACTGCGCTTGACCCAGACTTTTTAAATCTTGTTTTTAACCATTACTAGAAATGGTTTGGGCATGTATCCAAGTTTCCCAGGATCCTTGCCTTTTTCATAGAAAGGACAGGAGGGGAATTAGGATTACATCGAGACCCTCCCATGTGCCAGACACTCTGCTAGGTGCTTTTCCTACATTCTCATTTAATTTTCAACAACTTCAATGAAAAGGCAGGAAGCACTGAGATATTGTTGTCTTGTATTTTTTCAGGTAACAAGGACGTCTTTGTGTGCATGCCCACAGGGGCAGGAAAATCCCTATGCTATCAGCTCCCTGCTCTGTTGGCCAAAGGCATCACCATTGTAGTCTCTCCTCTCATTGCTTTGATTCAGGTGAGGCTTAGGGCAATGAAGATGGTAGCCCAAAAAGATTCGGGGAAGGTTTTTTGAGGCTGGAAATTTCACTTCTCTATTGGTCTTTTGCCTCTTATTTTCTTTTCTTTTTCTTTTTCCTTTTTTTTTTTTTTTTTTGAGACAGAGTCTTACTCTGTCGCCTAGGCTGAAGTGCGGTGGTGCGATCTTGGCTCACTGCAGCCTCCACCTCCCGGCTTCCAGCAATTCTTGTGCCTCAGCCCCCCATATAGCTGGGATTACAGGTGTATGCCACCATACCCGGCTAATTTTTGTATTTTTAGTAGAGATGAGGTTTCACCATGTTGGCCAGGCTGGTCTCAAACTCCTGACCTCAAATGATCCGCCCACCTCGGCCTCCCAAAGTGCTGGGATTACAGGTGTGAGCCACCACACCCGCCCCTGCCTCTTATTTTCTATGATTTGCCTATCTCATTCGCTATATTGGGTTTCTGTATTTCCCCAATGTAGTGTTCTCCACTGGTGCATATCACTCTGGGAGGTTATGAATGACTCCTCTGAGGTCCCTCACCCTCCTTTGTTATTTTTTTGTTCAGAGGAGTATGAAACTGTATTTGTACACACATATACACTCAGTCTCATGTATACACACACGTGCACTCGTGATGTTGAGACAGAAGTTGCAGATGGATAGATAGCTAAGTTGATATGGGGAATCCCTGGTGTCCTGCTTATTTTGGTAAGGGCACAGTATGTGAAACAGAAAAAAAGATGAGAAACTGTCTGGGACCTTATTAACATCTGCTCTACAGGTGTTCTGACTATTTAAGGCCTGCAGATGGGCTGATAGAATCAGAATTGAGGAAGTGTGGCTGTGTGGGTAAGAGCCATCCACCATGAAGGAAGGTAGAGAGGGAACTACAGTAATAACTTGGTGAATGTTCACCAGGTCCCAGGCTTCGTGCTAAGTGCTTTACATACATTAATTTCTTTCTTTCTTTTTTTTTTTTTTTTTTTGAGATGGAGTTTCGCTCTTGTTGCCCGGGCTTGAGTGCAATGGCGTGTTCTCGGCTCACCGCAACCTCCGCCTCCCGGGTTCAAGCAGTTCTCCTGCCTCAGTCCCCCGAGTAGCTGGGATTACAGGCATGCGCCACCATGCCTGGCTAATTTTGTATTTTTAGTAGAGACAGGGTTTCACCATATTGGTCAGTCTGATCTCGAACTCCTGACCTCAGGTGATCTGCCCGCCTCAGCCTCTCAAAGCGCTGGAATTACAGGTGTGAGCCACCGCGCCCGGCTTACATACGTTAATTTCACCTCTCAGATGTAAATTTTAAGTTATACAACAATGCTATTAGATAGAATTGTATAAATCGTTCAGAGGGTAAGAAACAGCCAGCGAGCATGTGGCGATTAAGTGAGCCAGGATGAAATCTAAATCTGAAGTCTGTCTGACTTCAGAGCCTGTGCTCTAAACCACTTCACCTTCCATAGAGATTGAGCATCCCTAAAGCAAAAATCTGAAATCTGAAATGCTCCAAAATCCAAAAAATTTTAGTGCTGACGTGATTCCACAAGTGGAAAGTTCCACACCTTTCTGACCTCATGTGATGGGTTGCGGTCAAAACTCAGCCAAAACTGTTTTTTCATGCACAAAATTATTATTATTATTTTTAATATATATTTTTTATTATACTTTAAGTTCTAGGTACATGTGCACAACGTCATGTCAAAATTATTAAAAATATATAAAATTACATCTAGGCTATATGTATAAGGTATACGTGAAAGAAAAAATGAATTTCATGTTCAGACTTGGGTCTCATCTTTAAGAGATCTCATTATGTATATGCAATCTGCAAATATTCCTAAATCCAGGAATATCTGAAATCTAGAACACTTTTGGTCCCAAGCATTTGATAAAGGATATTCAACCTCTACTACTTCTATGCAAAGAGAATATATATTGGAGGGTGGGAGGAGGACAGTTTATGACTGGGAAATCCTCCAGGGACTTGCAGTGATGTTTACCTGAGTCCTGAGGGCCAGTTACAGCCTCTTTCTCTTCTCTTAGGACCAAGTGGACCACTTGCTAACCCTAAAGGTACGAGTAAGTTCCCTGAACTCGAAGCTCTCTGCACAGGAAAGGAAGGAGCTGCTTGCTGACCTGGAGCGAGAAAAGCCCCAGACCAAGATTCTGTACATCACCCCAGAGATGGCAGCTTCATCCTCCTTCCAGCCCACCCTGAACTCCCTGGTGTCCCGCCACCTGCTGTCTTACTTGGTGGTGGATGAAGCTCATTGTGTTTCCCAATGGGGGCATGACTTTCGTCCTGACTACTTGCGTCTGGGTGCCCTGCGCTCCCGCCTGGGACATGCCCCTTGTGTGGCTCTGACCGCCACAGCCACCCCACAGGTCCAAGAGGACGTGTTTGCTGCCCTGCACCTGAAGAAACCAGTTGCCATCTTCAAGACTCCCTGCTTCCGGGCCAACCTCTTCTATGATGTGCAATTCAAGGAACTGATTTCTGATCCCTATGGGAACCTGAAGGACTTCTGCCTTAAGGCTCTTGGACAGGAGGCTGATAAAGGGGTGAGGCATTGAGGTGGAGGCCAAGCAGCTGTTAGAGCAGTGGGGTGCGATGTGATGGAGATGGAGATTAGTCTAAGACCTTTGGTTTTTCTAGCTTTCTCAGCCAGGCTTCCTAAAACTTGTGCACAAAAAGAGTTGTCTCTTTGGTTTCCTGGCATTGTCCTCCTTACCAGGGTTTCCTTGTTCTGGATCCTGTGGAAGGCAAGCAGCCAGCCAGTCTGTGTGATGCCTCTGCAGACCCATGCAAAGCTCATGAAGAGGAGGCAGAGAAGTTAAACAGGTTGAGTTTTGAGCAGCTTTTGGCCTGTTTTTTTTTTGAGATGGAGTTTTGCTCTTGTTGCCCAGGCTGGAGTGCAATGGCGCAATCTTGGCTCACCGCAACCTCCGCCTCCTGGGTTCAAGCGATTCTCCTGCCTCAGCCTCCCAAGTAGCTGGGATTACAGGCATGCGCCACCACTCCCGGTTAATTTTGTATTTTTAGCAGAGACGGGGTTTCTCCGTGTTGCCCAGGCTGGTCTCTAACTCCTGGCCTCAAGTGATTCCCCCCACCTTGGCCTCCCAAAGTGCTGGGATTGCAGGCATGAACCATTGCATCCAGCCTGGTCCTGCTTTTTATAAAGTGACAGAGCCTCACTGGGTGTCCTGCCTCAGAAGAGACTGAAGCCGACGAGAGAAGGAACACAGAGCTTCTTTTAGAGCAGGGTGCATTACACTGGGCCTATTGTTCTGTTCTTGCTATGCTTATTTTCTTCCTGCATCTCCCCATTCAGTTATCTGGCTGCGGCATTGTGTACTGCAGGACTAGAGAGGCTTGTGAACAGCTGGCCATAGAGCTCAGCTGCAGGGGTGTGAACGCCAAGGCTTACCATGCAGGTAAGGGGCACCCAGGCCACTTGAGTCTCTTCACCCTCAGAGGCTTCTTAGCTGGTCTCTTGTTCTTTACAGATCCTGGTTATCAGGTGACCCACCATCTTATTGCAGATACTCAGGCAGAGCTAAAGTGATACACTTAAATCCCCTAAAAGGAGTCTAGACATGAATGAGGTCTAAAATGAGAATTGTGACTCCTGAGTTCTTCCCACTGTATGCCTACCCAGCAGCAGGTGATACGTTTTTACAAGCCAAGGTAATGGTGTTGTAGGAAGAGCACAGGCTTTGGAGGCCAACGGACTTGGGCTTGAATCATGGCCCTAACCTTTGCCAAATGCTCTGTGCCACACATGGGCTAGGGTCTTTGTGCCTGTCAGCTGAGGCTCAGTAAAGTTAAGCGCCTGATGTTAAGGTCAGACAGCTGGGAAGTGAAAGATTCAGGGTTTGTGAAGTGCCTAGCACACAGTGTCAAACCCAAAATAGGCCCCCGGTAAACCCAAGGGAAATGTGAGTTCCCTTCTCCATCTTCCCCTCCTTTACAGGGCTGAAGGCCTCTGAAAGAACGCTGGTGCAGAACGACTGGATGGAGGAGAAGGTCCCTGTAATTGTTGCAACCATTAGTTTTGGGATGGGAGTGGATAAAGCCAATGTCAGGTGAGCTTTGGTTCTTGCCCTGCCCTCCTGGTCTGGGCCTGGCTCAGGGTGGATTGCCTAGTGCTGTGCCCAAAGGACCAGGTGCATGTGCTCCTTCGAGGGCTAGAGGGGAAGGAAGCTCCAGGAGAGAGTCCTTAGAATACAGCCTGAATGCTGACAGCTCCTGTGCGGCCTGCTCCCAGGTGACTGCACGGCATGGTTCTGGCACCCCCCAGGATGGGGCAGCATGCAGTCTGTCAGGCTTGTCCTTTAACATAGTCCTGTTCACTCACATCTCAGTAGGTGGATCCTATGAGGAGGTGGGAATAAAGGAACTATAGTCATGCACCTCATGTTGATGTTTCGGTCAATGACAGACTGCATAGACTGAGATCCTGTAAGATTGTAATGGAGTTGAAAAATTCTTATGGCCTAGTGATTTGCATTACAGTTGCCTACAATATTCAGTGCAGTTAACACTCGATACATGTTTACAGCCTAGCTGTGCAGGCTGCAGTACCATCTAGATTTATGTAAAGACTATCCACCGTAATGTTTGCACAATGATGAAATTGCCTAACAAGTCATTTCTCAGAACGTATCCCTGGCCGGGCACAGTGGTCCACACCTGTAATCCCAGCACTTTGGGAAGCCAAGGCAGGTGGATCGCTTGAGTTCACGAGTTTGAGACCAGCTTGGGCAACGTGGCCAAACCTCCATCTCTACAAAAAATACATAAAAATTAGCCAGGTGTGGTGGTGCGTGCCTGTAGTCCCAGCTACTTGGGGGGCTGAGGTGGGAGGATTGCTTGAGCCCGGGAGGCGGAGGTTGCAGTGAGCTGAGATCATGCCACTGCACTTCAGGCTGGGCAACAGACCAGGACCCTGTCTTAAAAAACAAACAAAAACACCAAAAACCAAAACACAATATGTATTCCCATCATTAAGTAATGTGTGACTGTATTTTAAGCTACTCCCTGTGGAAGGTCAAAGGCAAGGCTCTTAGAACCATCATTCCTTTTTATTGCTTACTAATAGTCTAGAAGAGTCGGGGTGCATCCCAGCCTCCTAGCCCCACACTGGCAACTAATAGGAAGTCTTTTATATCTGGCCATGACCTTCAAGAGGCGTTTTGGGCTACAGCCTGAAGCCCTTTGGTCTGATTAACGACAAATAATAATACCTTGTATGATTTACGGAGCATGTTTGCATACATGGTCTTCGTGAACCTCACAGTGACCCTGAGTTAGGGACGAAATTTTATAGTGCGTTACATTTGAAAGAACACCGACTTCAGAATCAGAGTTCGAACCCTGGGTATGCTGCCAGGTGTAGTGGTTCACACCTATAATTCCAGCACTTTGGGAGGACCAGATGGGAGGATTGCTTGAGCCCAGGAGTTCGAGACCAGCCTGGGCAACATAGCAAGACTCCATCTCTATAAAATTAAAAATTAGCCAGGTATAGTGGCATGTGCCTGTAGTCCTGGATACTTGGGAAGCCGAGGTGGAAGGATTGCTTGAGGCCGGGGGTTGAGGCTGCAATGAGCTGTGATTGTGCCACTGTACTCTAGCGTGTGCAACAGAGCAAGACCCTGTCTTGAAAAATAAAAAACAAGGCCGGGCACAGTGGCTTATGCCTGTAATCCTAGCACTTTGGGAGGCCGAGGCAGGCGGATCATGAGGTCAACAGATTGAGACCATCCTGGCTAACATGGTGAAACCCCGTCTCTACTAAAAATACAAAAATTAGCTGGGCATGGTGGCGCCCACCTGTAGTCCCAGCTACTCAGGAGGCTGAGGCAGGAGAATCGCTTGAACCCGGGAGGTGGAGGTTGCAGTGAGCTGAGATCACTCCACTGCACTCCAGCCTGGTGACAGAGCAAGACTCCATCTAAAAATAAAATAAAATAAAAAACAAGCAAAATAAATAAAATGAATCCTGGGTCTGTGGTATCTTGTTAAGAGCCAGTTTTGAAGGCAGACACCCCTAGGCCCAAATTCTAGCTCTGCTGACCCTTTACTGTGTAACCTTGTACAAATTTACCTTTCTGAATCTCATATTCTGGAGAATGGGCTACCTCACATGATGGTGACTAACAATTAAATGAGACATATATAAACTGGCACATAGGAGGTATTTAATAAATATTATTCCTTTCCCTCTCCAAAGAAGTTATAAATAACTTATTCAAATTTGCATAGCTCATAAGTGGCAGAGCCTCATTTTGTTTCTTTAGGTCCAGTATTTTTTCCACTGGGCCCTGGCTGAGTTTTTTGGCCCCTCATATGTGCTGGATTTGCCCCCCCTTAACTCCTGCTGTGGCCTCTAAGCTGGGCTGCTTCTAGAAGGGAGACGTGCTGATGGGCTACAGGTGTCTTAACTATTCTAACTCTGGGACTATCCCTCTCCCTCCCTATCTGCTGGCCTCCCTGCTCTCCTAGTCATGATTACTCCTCCAAAGGACACTCAGCTTCTCCACCATCTCATGCTGCTTGTCCCTTTGGATCCTACAGGTTTGTCGCCCATTGGAATATTGCCAAGTCTATGGCTGGGTACTACCAGGAGTCTGGCCGGGCTGGCAGGGATGGGAAGCCTTCCTGGTGCCGTCTCTATTACTCCAGGAATGACCGGGACCAAGTCAGCTTCCTGATCAGGAAGGAAGTAGCAAAACTCCAGGTAAGGCTTGGGCAGTAGAAGGTCTTTCAGTCTGACCCACCACTCTCCAGTTTTGTGAAGCTGATTTCTGAACTCTGATGATGCTTGTGTAAGCTAGAGGAGGCTGCTCCCAACCTGTAAGTATAGCAAAGGGAAATGGCGTATTGGTTAGGTAGGCAGCTTACAACAAGCTAGGTTAGACTTTTTCTTTCTAAATATTTAAATATTTAAATTATCTTAATACTAGCTTTTTTTCTTTTTTCTTTTTTTTGAGACAGAGTCTCACTCCGTCGCTCAGGCTGGAGTGCAATGGCATGAACTCGGCTCACTGCAACCTCCGCCTCCCGGGTTCAAGCGATTCTTCTGCCTCAGCCTCCTGAGTAACTGGGATTACAGGTGCATGCCACCATGCCCAGCTAATTCTTGTATTTTTAGTAGAAACAGGGTTTCACCATGTTGGCCAGGATGGTCTCGATCTCATGACCTCGTGATCCGCCTGCCTCGGCCTCCCAAAGTGTTGGGGTTACAAGCATGAGCCACTGTGCCCACCTTTTTTTTTTTTTTTTTTTTTAAGAGACAAGGTCTCTCACTGTCACCCAGGCTAAAGTGCAGTAGCATAGTCATGGTTCACAGCAGCCTCTAACTCCTGGCCATAAATAATCTTCCCACCTTGAGTAGCTGGGACCACAGGTGTGTGCCACCACGCCCAGCTAATTTTTTTTTCAGTTTTTGGCAGAGATGGGGTTTCACTATGGTGCCCAGACTGGTCTCATGACTCCTGGGCTCAAGTAATCCTCCTGCCTCAAACTCCCAAACTACTGAGATTACAGGTGTGAGCTACTGCTCCCGGCCTTAATATTGTCTTTTGTGTACATGTTATTTTATGTGGTCAAGATCAGTACTGCCTTGTTTCTTTTGTTAAAGAGATGGGGTCTCTCTGTGTTGCTCAGGCTCAAGTGCAGTGGTGATTCACAGGCGTAATCATAGCACAGTATACCCTCGAACTCCTGGGCTCGAGTGATCCTCCTGCCTCTGCCTCTCAAGTCGCTGGGACCAGAGGCATGTGCCACTGCACCTGGCTTAATCTTCCCTTGTTTTTTGTTTGTTTGTTTTGTAGAGACGAGCTCTTGTTATGTTACCCAGGCTGGTCTCAAACTCCTGAGCTCAAGTGAGCCTCCCACCTTAGGCTCCCAGAGTGCTGGGATTACAGGCGTGAGCCACCGTGTCCAGCCTATAAGTACTTATTTCTAATCTCTGCCAAAATGACAATAAAGGGGCCGGGCGCGATGGCTTACGCCTGTAATCCCAGCACTTTGGGAGGCCGAGGCGGGTGGATCACGAGGTCAGGAGATCAAGACGATCCTGACTAACACGGTGAAACCCCGTCTCTACTAAAAATACAAAAAATTAGCCGGGCGTGGTGGCGGGCGCCTGTAGTCCCAGCTACTTGGGAGGTTGGGGCAGGAGAAGGGCGTGAACCCAGGAGGCAGAGCTTGCAGTGAGCCGAGATCACGCCTCTGCACTCCAGCCTGGGGGACAGAGTGAGACTCTGTCTCAAAAAAAAAAAAAAAAAAGACAATAGAAGGATAAATATACATAAATTCGCAAGGATAATGAAAGTAGGAGAGAAGACAACAGCAGGTAGAAATGACAACACATTGTGCCTAGAAACACAAAAACCCTACTAGAAATCTACTCAATCATAAGAAAATCTGGCAAACTGGTTGAATATAAGAGAAATAGTTTAAAGATCAGTAGCTTTTCTCTAGTCAGATGAGAGCCAAGGAAAAAAAAAATCAGTAGCTTTTCTCCACATTACCATAAATACCTAGAAATAGAAACAAAAAAAAAACTTAATTTACAACAATAAAACTTATAAAATACTTAGGAATAAGTGTTACAAGCTGTTAACACGAGTTTTTTTCAAAAAGCTCCCCAGTAGGCTGGGTGCGGTGGCTCACGCCTGTAATCCCAGCACTTTGGGAGGCTGAGGCGGGCAGATCACCTGAGGTCGGGAGTTTGAGACCAGCCTGACCAACATGGAGAAACCCCGTCTCTACTAAAAAAATGCAAAATTAGCCAGGTGTGGTGGCGCATGCCTGTAATCCCAGCTACTTGGAAGAGGCTGAAGCAGGAGAATGACTTGAACCCACGAGGTGGAGGTTGTGGTGAGCCGAGATCGCGCCATTGCATTCCAGCCTGGGCAACAAGAGTGAAAGTCGGTCTCAAAATAAACCAAAAAAAGCTCCCCAGTTGCTTTGAATATATGGCCAGGGTTGACAACCACTGATTTAGATGAAGAAAACTAAAATCTCACCAAGAGAAAACAAGCTCTGGGGCCAGGAGCAGTGGCTCTTGCCTGTAATCCCAGCACTTTGGGAGGCCAAGGCAGGCAGATCACCTGAGGTTAGGAGTTCAGGACCATCCGGCCCAACATAGTGAAGCCCGTCTCTAACAAAAAAAATACAAAAATTAGCCAAGCATGGTGGCACACACCTGTAGTCCCAGCTACTGGGAAGGCTGAGGTGGGAGAATCACTTGAACCTAGGAGGTTGAGGTTGCGGTAAGCTGAGATCATACCATGGAGTGGAGGACGCACTCCAGCCTGGGCGACAAAGTGAGACCCTGTCTCAAAATAAAAATAAAAATTAAAAAGGCCAGGTGCGGTGGCTCACGCCTGTAATCCCAGCACTTTGGGAGGACGAGGTGGGCAGATCACGAGGTCAGGAGATCAAGACCATCCTGGCTAACATGGTGAAACCCCATCTCTATTAAAAATACAAAAATATTAGCTGGGCGTCGTGGCGGGCGCCTGTAGTCCCAGCTACTCGGGAGGCTGAGGCAGGAGAATGGCATGAACCCGGAAGGCGGAGCTTGCAGTGAGCCCAGATTGCACCACTGCACTCCAGCCTGGGTGATAGAGCGAGACTCTGTCTCAAAAAAAAAAAGGCCAGGCGCAGGGGCTCATGCTTGTAATCCCAGCACTTTGGGAGGCCAAGGCGAGCGGATCACTTGAGGCCAGTAGTTCGAGACCAGCCGGCCAACATGGTGAAACCCCGTCTCTACTAAAAATACAAAAATTAGCCGCGCGTGGTGGCGGGCTCCTGTAATCCCAGTTACTCGGGAGGCTGAAGTAGGAAAATCGCTTGAACAAAGGATATGAAAAGCAAATAATATGAAAAGAAAGTTCCCAGAAAAATTTATCAAATGACATGTTTAAAAATGTTAGGCTGGGTGAGGTGGCTCATGCTTGTAATCCCAACACTTCGGGAGAATGACATGGGAGGATCTCTTGAGGCCAGGAGTTTGAGTAGTTTGGGCAATGTAACAAGACTTTATCTCTACAAAATATTTAAAAATTAGCTGGGTGTAGTGGTATGCACCTGTAGTTCCAGCTACGCAAGAGGCTGAGGTGGGAGGATCACTTGAGTCCAGGAGGTCAAGGCTGCAGTGAGCTGAGATCATACCATTGCACTCCAACCTGGGTAACAGAGTGAGACCCTGTTTCAAAAACTAATAATAATAAAAAAAATTAGCTGAGCATGGTGATGTGCGCCTGTAGTTCTAGCTACTCAGGATGCTGAGCTGGGAGGATTGCTTGAGCCTAGGAATTCAAGGCTGCAGTGAGTTATGATCATGCCACTGCACTCCAGACTGGGTGACAGAGCAAGACTCTGTCTCCAAAAAAATAAATAAATAAACAAATAAAAATGCAATGCTGTATGTGGAAACTTGAAGGAAAAAAAAGACATCTTCAGATAACAAAGGTTTCAAAAACTTTCCCCTGGTATGTCATGTCTCAGAAGCTATTAAAGGATGTTCTCCATTGTAGAGAGGCAGTAAACCTAGAAAGCAAAGATGGAAACTTACCCAGGAGTAAGTCTTGGCACAGGACAATATTGGAGAGTAGTCCGGAAAGACAGCTGTGTCCCAGGCCTAGGGAAAACTGGTCCAGATTGCACTAGGGGGCAGAAGACTCCAGGAAGGAAGGTTCTAAACATCAAAGTGGAAGCTGGCATCTCTGGCTCCTATCGAAATGAATTGTTCATTATGTTAGGACAGTTAGGGGTGAATTAATAACATACTGAAATCTAAGTAAATGGAGAAAAACAAAGCTATTTCAGGGGAAACACAGTTACACAAGAAAGGAAATGTGATCACAGGAAATATAAAAATGCAATCACTTCGGTTTAGCTGTGAACTCTGTTGACATAGTCATAATAAGGAAAATATGGATTTAATAAGAAATTGTGTTGTAAACATATTGGGAAGTTGGGGGTACAGAATCTGTGTGTATTTGTGTGTATTGGTGGGGATGAGTTACCTGCCCAAAGCAGAAACTCAATAGATGATGTCTCAGATATCAGTGTCTGGTTTTTGTTTTTTTGGGGTTTTTTTTTTGTTTTGTTTTGTTTTGTTTTGTTTTTCAGACAGTCTTTGTCGTGCAGGCTGGAGTGCAGTGGTGCAATCTCAGCTCACTGCATTCTCCATCTCCCAGGTTCAAGCAATTTTCATGCCTCAGCCCCCCAAGTAACTGGGATTACAGGCGCCCACCACCACGCCTGGCTAATTTTTGTATTTTTAGTAGAGACAGGTTTCACCACATTGGCCAGGCTGGTCTCGAACTCCTGACCTCAAGTGATCCACCTACCTCAGCCTCCCAAAGTTCTGGGATTACAGGCATAAGCCACCATGCCCGGGCTCTTTTTTTCCTTTTCTGTATTAAATAATTCACAGTATTTTAAAAGGATATGTTGGCAAATAGACATGTACACAAAAAAGGCCGCTGATGAATAATCACATCACTCACAAATGCTCAGTATTCTGCTAGTTGATTCAGCCACAAGTCCATAGACAGGCTTATAACAGAGTGAAGCCAGGAACGGTCTCTGAGCAGAGCTGCACCAGAGCTTCGGTCACTAAGAGGGGAATTACCTCCAGGAATGGGCAAGGAAGGAAGTTGGCTGCCATCTTTAGAGTTCCACTGCCCTGACCAGGTGTCCACATTTGAAATGTATAGTGCCCATTCCTTACCTAATAGTGGTTCCTGGCCCAAGGTGAGCCTGTACTTTGAATTGGATAAGGGTGCAGAGGTCTTCCTGGTGGGAAGGCCTGGAGCTGTTGTTGCTCAGCTGTGGGGACCACCTGCTATTGCCCTACTCCCCTCTAGTGGGAGCCAAAGGGAAGGCTGGCTGATGAGTGTCTGCGGATTGAGGATGTGGCAGGGACTGGTGCCCCCACCTCCCTCCGCCCCACCACCAAAGATGGGGCTCTGCCTGCTGTGTGCCTGTCACCAGCAACCGGCAGTCATGCCTTGGGTTTCCCAGGTGGAGAGGTGGCAGGCAACATTTTAAAAAGAAAACAGGAAACTATATTGTGTGGGGGAGGCAGGAGTGGAGATGAGAAAACAGTTTGGATTTTGTGAGAGGGGCTTTGGGGGAGTTTGGTAGTTGTTGGTAACTTAAGTGCTTTTTCTTCCTTTTAAGTTAGTTGCAGGCTTTGGTTTGGAAAGCCCCAGGGAAGTGGGGTGGGGGACAGAAACCTGAGGCTCTTGCCCCTTTATCTGCCTTCACAGTACCATCTCCTTCCCCCAGCTTTACCCTGCGCTCAGGAGCCAGGCCTCAGCGCTTCCTGCTATCCACTTCCCATAAGCCACTCCTCTGATATTAGTCCATAGCCAAAGGAGCTGTGGGTCCAGGCCTGGTGACCAGCCCAGCTCAGCCCGCTCATTCAGGGTGCTCCCTACCTGCAGGCAGGAGGCAACACCCTGTCTGCTACCATTAGCACCTTCCAGAGCCCACCTCCCCTGCCCAGCCGTACCCTGCTCTGCCCCATCTGGGATGCTGTGCTCAGGCATGAGCTGGCAGGGCCGCACACAGCCTCCCTGGTAAGTAGAGACTCAGGAAACCTTTGGGGTCCTCCTGTTTTCTGGTTGTGTGATCCAAGTGGTGCACACTGGCCCCTTGGGTGCCAACTGAAGGGCTTGGGAATCTTGCTCTCCTGGTGTAGCTGGCAGCTGCCCACCCCCACCCCACATGGGTTTCTGAGTCGGCAGGTCAAGCATTATTTTATTTTATTTTATTATTTTATTTGAGATGGAGTCTTGCTCTGTTGCCCAGGCTGGAGTGCAGTGCCACGATCTCAGCTCACTGCAGCCTCTGCCTCCCGGGTTCAAGTGATTCTCCTGCCTCAGCCTCCTGAGTACCTGGGATCACAGACATGCACCACCATGCCTGGCTAATTTTTGTATTTTTAGTAGAGATGGAGTTTCAACATGTTGGCAAGGCCGGTCTCGAACTCTTGACCCCAGGTGATCCGCCCACCTCAGTCTCCCAAAGTGCTGGGATTACAGGTTTTAAATTGTATTTTAAATTCATGTTTTAAGCTTATCAAGAAGAGTCACTTAACCTTTTAATATATCTCCCTCCAATATACACAGAAGTATATGTGTTCATATTTGTTAAGTTCACAACATTTGTGCGTGTATTTACTATTATTAAAATAGGTGATATTATATAGCGCTTCCTAAATGCCAGTCTGTGGGCCCTTTGCATGAGAACCTCCTGAGAAGCTTTTCGGAAACTCTCAAAAGCTCATCCCAGAAAATTCAGTTCAGTAGTCTGGGGGTTATGATACATAGTCAGGTTTGGGGACACTTTTGTAAATGGCTTTATTACTGTCATTTAATATTTTTCTCCCTTGTTACTTTTTTTTGTTTTTGAGACGGAGTGCAGTGGCATGATCTCAGCTTGCTGAAACCTCCACCTCCTGGGTTCAAGTGATTCTTCTGCCTCAGTCTCCCAAGTAGCTGGGACTACAGGCATGCGCTGCCACACCTGGCTAATTTTTTTGTATTTTTAGTAGAGACAGGGTTTCACCATGTAGGTCAGGCTGGTCTCGAACTCCTGACCTCAAATGATCCTCCTGGCTCAGCCTCCCAAAGTGCTGGGATTACAGCCGTGAGCCACCGCACTCGGCCTCCTCATTACTTTTTGTGGCTCTAAGGTAGTCCAATTCTATAAGACTTGCTAAGTGGTCATTTTTTGTCCCCAGGAAAAGAGAGGAAACAAAGCATCTGATAAAGCCACTATCATGGCCTTTGATGCCCTGGTGACCTTCTGTGAAGAACTGGGGTAAGTGACTTATTTTATATGTGGAGCAAAGTGTCAGTGAGATCATTTACTTCCCCGGCACGCCCTAGTTAAGCAGCTGACATAAGACAGCCCGTAGGCTACCAAGGGACACCTGCCTGCAAAGGCTGTTGTGTCGGGCAGTGTGGAAGTCAGGACCTTGCTCTTCTCTATTGGAGGCCCCGGGATCTCTCGCAGTGTGGGGATTTGCTCAGTATTCTGAGTGGTGTCCTTCCCTCCACTCCACCCTCTTCTGGGATGGCTGGCCCCACAAGCCACTCAGTTCCAAGGGATGTGACCAGCTCTGAGCCATCGGCTTTGTGGTCATCATGTGCCACCGAGCTGGGACTTCTGGCATCACTTGAGTAGTCCTCACCCTTATCCAGGACCCACACAGAAGCCTGTGGCCCCACTTACCTCGGGGAGTCATGTGCTTTGAACTCACGCATCTGTTTTACCTGCATCTGCAGGCGATGGGGCAGGGGCCACGGAAAGAGTCTGAGGGCTGCTTGGTGTAGTCAGGTTGTGTCCAGGCATGCGGAGCTGTGAGTGCCTGCAGGAGAGACACCCAGGAGGAGTTTTTACATTTTGGTCTAAAAAGCTCTTGGATTCATCTCATCTCATGGAATGATCCTGTCGGATGACGCTGACGTGATTGCTTCAGACTTAGAGGTGAATAAATTGAGGTCCAGAGAGGTCACAGTCACGAAGCTCATGGTAGACTGAGGCCACTAAACACCCGTCTCCTGATTTTCAGTGGCGTCCTCATTTGCATACACCTGGGCCATCTTGGTTTTTGCAAGAAAAAAGCGAGGAAATCAGAGAAACTCTTTGGGCTGTGTGTTTTTATTTCCACCTCCTCCTGTTGACCAGTGAGTCGGTGGCTTCTGGACTGAAGCTATTTTCTTCTCCAAACTGCTGTCTCTAATTTGGCCTCTGTGGCAAGACCACGCCCAGCAAAAGTGGTCGGCTGCAGTGCCAGGACCACCCTTGCCTGCAGCCTTTGCGACCAGAGCCCTTTTCAAGCACAATTAATATGGGAGTTGCTAAATTTGGCCTTCTTAGGCTTCTTGAGCAGAGCTCTTATTTCTGGTGAGGAATGAAAGGGCCAAGTGTTCCTGTTCATTGTGAGTCCTGTTTGCTGAAAAAAGCTCTGGGGCTGTCTGAGGCTCTGGAATGCTCTCTGGAGGGTTAACTCTGCCTGTCCCCAGGGTCTGCTCCGCCTGCCAGGCAAGGGAACAGGTCCTCCCAAGGGCCTCTGCCTTCATTTCTCCTGTCACCTTCCGGGGAGCTGGGACTTCTTAGTGCATCAGTGGCCTGGTTGCCAGGGGCTGGGGTCCAGGCATCTGTGGACTCAAGGAGTCCAGGTGACGGTGTTGCGCTGCCTCTTGAGCAGCCTCGTGCCTGTCTCCTTTGCTACATGTGATGATTCTGAAATCCAGGCAGCAGGCTGGAATAAACGCTGCTGGTATGTCTGTATTGGCTACTGTTCTTTGAATAAGTGAATGTTTCTTTATTGCATAACTGGCGTGTAGCACAAAGAAAAAGCCCCTTCTCCACCAGATATTTGCTTCCTAAGAATAGTTCTCATTGGAGGCTGAGGTCGAAGCAGCCTCCCACCAGCGATCCCTTGGGGCGGGCACCTGGCAGTGAGGGACAGAGCTAGTGGGGTGGGCTCAGCAGAAGTGGGTGCATTTCTGCAAAGGAAGCTGTAGGTTTCTTGTCAGTTTGTTGTGGGGTCTGAGGCACATGGGAGTGGGACCAGCAGAAAAGATACTCAGGTCAGTTAACTAATGAGGCGGGGCTGTGGCAGCCAGCGGTTTTCCTCTCTTCTCTATCTGTAGCTACTTTCTCTGGGCTGCAGCCTTGAAAAAGCAGTGTTTGATTATTCATAACAATGAGTGTCTTTTAGTGTCACAGGGAACAGTTATTAGGTTTGAAGCAACCTCCAGCTTGAGGCCTCGGCATCTTGAGATGGAAGAGCAGCCTTGTGTTTAGACCTGGATTGAATTGGGCCCTGTTGTTTCCTGGGATCTTGGGGCTGGGGGTGCCCAACAGCCTGGCATCTTCTTGTTTCTCTGTGTGTTTACTCATTCATTCATTTATTCAGCTGATAAATATTGACTGATGCCAGCTCTGTGCCAGGCACATTGGACATGGGGGATACACTAGTGGGCAGAAATAGCCCCGTCCCAGAGCCGGCCATGGTGGCTCATACCTGTTATACCAGCACTTTGGGAGGCTGAAGTGGGAGGATCGCTTGAGCCTGGGAGTTCAAGACCAGCCTGGGCAACATGGCAAGACCCTGTCTCTACTAAAAATACAAAAAAAAAAAACCAAAAAACACAATTAGCCAGGCATGGTGGCACATGCCTGTAGTCCCAGCTGCTCAGGAGGCTGAGATGGGAGGATCATGTAAACTCAGAAGTCGAATCTGCAGTGAGCCGAGATGGTGCCACTACAGTGCAGCCTGGGTGATGGGAGTGAGACCCCATCTCAAAAAAAAAAAAAAAAAAAGGCCGGGCGCCGTGGCTCATGCGTGTAATCCTAGCACTTTGGAGGCTGAGGCGGGTGGATCACAAGGTGAGGAGATCGAGACCATCCTGGCTAACACGGTGAAACCCCATCTCTACTAAAAATACAAAAAAATTAGCCGGTCACGGTGGTGGGAGCCTGTAGTCCCAGCTACTCGGGAGGCTGAGGCAGGAGAATGGCGTGACCCGGGAGGTGGAGTTTGCAGTGAGCCCAGATAGCGCCACCGCACTCTAGCCTGGGTGACAGAGCAAGACTCTGTCTCAAAAACAAAGAAACAACAACAACAAAGACATATAAGTCCTGTAAATGGTGTTTCGAGAGTATAAAACAAGTGGCCTTACCCTAATCCTTGAGGGTTAGGGAAGATTTACCTGAGGGAGTCAGGTTCAAACGGAGATACAAAGGATGAGGAAGGACTAACTAGGCCATAGAGTAAAGTGTGGTGTGAGGGAGAGCATCCCGGTCAATGAGAATAGCATGTGCAAAGGCCCTGTGGTGGGAGAGAACACAGCATATTCAAGAACTGAAAGACACGCTGAGAACCCAGGGGCAGGGCAGGATGGGGTGGGCAAGATGGCTGGAGACAGGCAGGCTAGAGCGTGCAGGCCCCGGTGCGGCTTTGTTCGGGAAGCTTGCTCTGGTGGCTCTATCTGGATTAAAAATGAGCTCTCACAAGTTAGCAGATTTGAAAAGGAATTTTTATTTCATTTGGTTGTGTCTTTCTCTGTCAAGGATTTGTGAAATTGCTGGCTGGGCCTGTGAGCCTGTTAGAGAACCTTGTTAGCCATAGCTCCTTCCACCTGAGGCAGTGGAGCCATCCTCTCCATGTGCTTTTAGGGTTCTGGTCGGGGAACCCTAAAAACAATAGGGTCAAGGAGCCAGAATTGGTCTCAGACCAGCCTCCCCATCTTACTAGTCTGACCAACCCTAAGCCAGATACAGTATTTTACTAGACTTTTTCCTGATGGGAAAGGAAGACACCAGGGCTTGGCCCCTGAGCCAGAGGGAACCGCGAAGGGGCCCACCACTGGAATGGGGGCAGGTCAGCTCGCCTCCCCTGCTGCCATCTCAGTCCCCAGCAAGTCAGGTCACTCCTCTTCACCCGCTTCACACTGAGTGTTTTCTGTGGAAGTGAGTAAACCAAACACGATGGCAAATAAGATGAGAAGCAGGACAGCGGTGATGAATAAGATAATCACTGCCAGGCCCCCCTGGTCCCAGGGGTTCTGCCAGAACGCATCATTCCAGATTGTCTCTTTGAATACCAGTTGGTCCATGAGAATCTGGAAAAGAGGGACAGAGGACCTGAGTGCAGGCAGCCCTCCCAGGCCCTGTCCCAGGTGCTATGCTCTGCCCGCCGACTCCAGCCTCTGTAGCAGCCTCTGTGAGCAGCCGGCCCGCCTGGCAGCCAGGGGACATGAAAGGGCTAGAGTCTTTGTGCTGGATGCCTGCAGCCAGCAGCAAATGGCATTTCCCCCGCTCTAGATACAGGAGCCAGGACTGGCGCAAGAAGTGGGGCCCTGGATTCTTCCTAGGGGATGCCCCTGGATTCTCCAGTCCTTCTTTCCTGAGTAGCAAGTGTGAGCAAGGACTCTCTCTCATCCCTGAGACCTACTTGGCTAGAATCTAAAAAGCATCATGATAGAGTCTCCCTGTTTTTCCTGCCCCAACTGCCAAACATTTGGGAGGCATTTGAGAGAGCGTATAGGAGCCGAGGAGGGGCCAACTCCAGCTGAGGCCTCGGTAGCCTCCTTGGAGCAGCTGAGAATAGAACTTAGGAGTCCTCTAGAAGCGGAGCTCCTTATCGCAGACTGCAAGCCCATAGCCAGGTGAGGGCAGCCCAGGTGGAGAAGGAGGGAGCCATTACCTGATTCTGCTGGTAGCTGTTCTGGGTCCTACAAGGGCAATTCAGGGTGGTCCTTCAGGCTCACACTTTGTGGAGGGCTGAGCTGAAGAGGCCGCCAGGTGACCAGAGCTGCACCCTGACTCAAAGAAGCAACTGTTGAGAGGAAAAGGCATGAGCGTGGCCAAGCGGCCCTGACCAGACCTTAGTTGCTGTCACCAAACAAACAAAGGTGGGCTAGGGCTGGTTGCCTGGCAACCACGGCTCCCTTTCTGCCTTTCACGTTCCCCCTTCAGCTCCTTTCTGCCCTTGTGTGATGTCATTTTGGGGGTGCTCAGGGCACGTGTTCATGAGTCCCTCCTGAGAGAAGTCAGACTTGGGGTGGACGGGGAAGAGACTGGACCGAGGGCCTTTGCCCCAGGCCATCAGGCCGCCTCACCTGTGGCTGGGCTGGGCTGTCCTCTGTCTGGGTGACGTGTGGACTGCGGACCTGCCCCGAGCTCAGGAAGCCCTGGGGCTGGGACTGGCGTAGGGCTCACTTCCTGTGTTGTGGGGTGAATGATTAACTGCAGCCCTGGCTGGCGCCTGGTGCCTCCTGGAACTGTTTCTGGGGGAAGTGTTGCTCCCCCCCTGAGGCTTCCCATTGGTGCCTTTGTCTGCTCCCTGGGCACGGCCTCAGCAACATTGTGTGGTTGGTTTCTGCCCACTGGCACAATAGGGAAGCTGGGAAGAGGGGATCAAGCCTGTGCCCTGGTGCTTGAAACCTAGTGGCCACCATATACTCCTTTAAAAGCTAGGATGTGAGGGCCCGCTATGGCCAGGAACCATGCCAGGCACTGTGTGTCCAGTTGTGAGATCAGAGAGGCGGGCCCTGCCCTCCAAGGGCTTCCCTTCTAGCCCTCGGGTGCTTATCCCAGCTGGTAAAGATCTAGGAGCTTTGAGAAATGCCCAGGCCCCACCTGGTACCACTTATATCAGTCTCTGGGGTTGCCAGGATGTCGTATTGTTTACACATCCCCAGGTGATTCTCCCCAGGTGTGGCCAGGGTTGGATGACAGATGGAGGCAGATTTAGAACAGTCGTTCTTAACTATCATGGGCGTCACTGACCCGGGTTACCTGATGTTTTCTGTTTCCTTGTGTGAAACTTACTGACTAAGGCCCTTGGCATGCTGAACGCTCACAGCAGTGGGCCAGTCTCTAGCTCACCCTTTGCGTGCAGCTCCGTCAGTTAAGTCAGATGCTTATCAAGAGTCAAGTGTTGGTTCCCAAACCTGTTCATGGCAGTTGTACTTGTAATTACATAATTGAATTTAACATCCCGGGAACCAATGAAGCAACAATAATAGCTGAAACCCCAATTTTACATGTGGGGAACGGGCACAGAGAGGTTAAATAACTTAGCCGAGGTCATCAGCTAGTAAGTAACTGAGTTGGAGTTTGAATCCAGCAGCACACAGTCTGAGCGCTGAAGCACCTGTGCTGCACCTCAGAGCGAGTGGAGAAAGAAATTCTTTCTAGAAATACCTATTGACTACTTTGGGATGACTTTGGAATCACTCAGATAATGTTCCTGTTGAAAAAGATGCAGACATGATAACTAAACATCAGGGACATTTTGTAAAAACCCAGAAGGTTTTCACACCCAGCTTCCTTTGCCTTTAAGTTCCAATGACTTTAAGTTTTTGTTCTGCTTTAAAGAAACCAAAACTAGAAAATAACAATCCAGGAGCTGTGGTTGGCAAGCCCACACTCAACCAAAACTAGAAGATAGCAATCCAGGAGCTCTGGTTGGCAAGCCCACACTCAGAGAAAAGGCCAGGAAGGCCGGCCAAGGAAAAGGTGTATGTTTCCATTTAATGTGAGATATGTAAAAAAGTAATAGATGTGTAGAGAACTTAGGTGTTCTTTAACAAAAGTTGCTTTGACCAGCTCTTTCAATTAACTGCCGGCCCCAATTGGATAATTTTTTTTTTTTTTTTTGAGGCAGAGTCTCACTCTGTAGCCCAGGCTGGAGTGCAGTGGTGTGATCTTGGCTCACTGCAACCTCTGTCTCCCGGGTTCAGGCGATTCTCCTGCCTCAGCCTCCTGAGTAGCTGGGATCACAGGCGTGTGCCACCATGCCCGGTTGGGAGGAAACTTTTATATACTCTCTGCCAAGTTTTTCTAATGAGATTCTTGTATCCGTGGCTTTATTGTCATTTTTTATTTTTATTTTATTTTTTTTGAGACAGGGTCTTGCTCTGTCACTCAGGCTGGAGTGCAGTGCCACTGTCATGCCCCAGGCAGTCCTCCTGCCTCAACCTCCACAGGAGTAGCTGGGACCACAGGTGTATGCTACCACACCTGGCTAATTTTTTTTTATATTTGTAGGGACAGGGTCTCCCCATGTTGCCCAGGCTGGTCTCAAACTCCCGAGCTCAAGGATCCTTGGCCTTCCAAAGTGCTGGGATTACATGCATGTGATATACTATGCTGGTCTGTTGTTGTTTTTTGTTTGTTTGCTTGAGACGGAATCTCACTCTGTCGCTCAGGCTGGAGTGCGGTGGCGTGATCTCAGCTCACTGCAACCTCTGCCTCCTGGGTTCAAGCAATTCTCCTGCTTCAGCCTCCCGAGTAGCTGGGACTACAGGCGTGCGCCACCACACCCGGCTAATTTTTTTGTATTTTTAGTAGAGACAGGTTTCACCATGTTGGTCAGGCTGGTCTTGAACTCCTGACTTCAAATGATCTGCCTGCCTCAGCCTCCCAAAGTGCTGGGATTACAGGCAGGAGTCACCACGCCCATCCCTATTGTAGCTTTTAATCAGGCATGATGTACAGACAGTGTGGCACGCAGGTCTTCAGAGTAGAGTGCAGCCCTTTTGAGGAGCCGAGAGCAGCCTGCCCTGTGGCGGAAGCAGAGGGCACAGCTTGGGGTGGGCATGAAGAGGCTGGCGACATGATTGTGGGGACCACTTAGGATGCTGCTGCAGTGACCACAGGTAAGCATTGATGGTGGCATGGTCCAGGATGGCACAGTGGCGGGAACAGAGAGGTGGTGACCAAGTCAGACGTCCTCTAAACCTGAAACCAGCCTGATGGCTGCCCCTTCCATGGCCCCCACCTGTCTTCAGGCCGCCCAGGTCTGCAGCATCTTTCTGTTTATTCTTTCCCACAGTGGGGCAACTGCTGCCACCTTTCCATGCCCATCTTCCCCAGGGAAGACCGGCACAAGAAGCTGCCTCTTAAAGGAGCGGGCCAGGCTGCTGTCGGAGAGCAGGTCTGGTTTGTTAATCTCAGTGGGTTTGAAGCCTGTGAAGGAGTTGGCCCGACAGCCGGGCCTGGTGTGTGCCAGTTGGCCAAGGAGCAGGGAGGAGTGAGTCCTGTGAGGGCAGGGACCGAATCCTGTGCGGACTCAGCAGTTGTTCACCGCCTGCCCTAGAGCGGCCATTCGGCCTGTCTGTGCCCAGGGCTGTCTGTGGTTCCCACCTCTCCGCAGCTGGGCTGGGGAAGCAGAATATTTTCTAACAAAGGGCCTCAGCCTCAGCCGCCCTGGAGCAGGGCTATTCTTATGCTGATGAAAACTGGCTTATGGAAAAGTCACCCAGGAATTGGGCTGCTTCCCTGTTGGCCATCTCCCAAACAGAAGGCTTCCAGGGACCCTCCAGCCATTGGTGCTGGGAATGAAAAATGCAGGGTTTCCTGTCCGTCCACTACCCTGTGTTTTTCTTCCGGGAGGGGTGCCTCATTGGGCACCACCCCAGCTCTTACCTGTTGGGTCCCACCCAGTCCTGCGAAGGTTATTTTGAGACAGAGTTTGGGGTGTGGGTGTTTTGGGTGTAGGGTTGGTCGATGGAGGATAATGGATTAGAGCCTTATCTGTACTGCAACCAGGAGGCCAAGTTCTGGGTCTCAGAGCCCTGGGTGTGGTAAGCAGAGGCTCTGGAGCCAGATAGGCTGGACTCAAGCAGGCCCTGCTCCTTTTCAGCTGGTTGAATGTAGACAAGTTACCTAACATCGCTGAGGCCCAGCTTCCTCATCTCTAAAATGGGGGTAATAGTGGTATCTTCAACATGGAGGTACTGTGATGAGTAATTGAGTTTATCTGCACCAAAATGCTGAAGACAATGCTGAGTATGTGTAACTCCTCAGTAAATTTTAGCCATCTTCATCATCATCTTCATCCTCCTCCTCATGATCATCGTCATCATTCTGAATCCTATTCTTTGGAGGGGGCTGAGAATGGACAAATTTTTGAATTTCTTTTCTTTTGTATGAAAACACTTACTCTCTGGGTCTTTAACCTAAACCTGTCAGACAAGTCCGTGGACACTAGAAAGTGAAACCAGAGGGTGAGAGCTTCCCCTCCCTGCCTGCTATTGCCAGTGTGGCCTGGACTGCCAGCTGGAAATGGCGGGGGTGTGGCAGGGGCTGGGATCCCCTCTCCATGACATGTTTCCCAGGTAGACAGGGCTCTGCTCCCAGGTGGCCAGAGCACGGGTCACGCAGGCCAAGATGATGGAAGCATGTGAAAAACACAGACTTCTTGAGGCTCTGGGGAAGCCCCGGGGAGGCACCTCGGGATGCTCTGTCTGGACCCATTGGCATTTCTGGAGCCATGTGCCTCCCCTCCCCTCACTCCTGGGTTCGTAGCTCTACCTGGAAAGTTCTCTGGAAGAAAAACTCAGCTGAAAGGAGGGGGTAAGGAAGGAAAGGTGCTGCTTCTCAGCAAGACCAGTCTTTAAAATGGGTCCCTGTTGCCCTGGTTGGTCCCATGTTTAGAGGGGCAAATAATAACGGGTCATGGTGATGGGGCTCTAAAGATATGCCCAGCACCGAGCTGAGTGCTAGACATAGGTCATCTTAGTTTATCCTCACAGCAAACCCCAGGAAGCAGTACCAGGATTTGCTCCATTTCACCAAGGGGGAGTTCGGCTTAGGGAAGTTGAGTCACGCAGCTGACAGGGTGAGGGTGTGAGCCCAGACAGCACACAAATGGGGGAGGGCCACAGGGTCAGGAGGCAGGTTACAGGTGACATTAGGGCCTTCCTCTGGCAGTTTGTGAAGACCCACTGGTCTGAGTCTGCTAGTGTGGGATGTGCAGGCCAAAGGTGCAGGCAGTTGACAGAGTAAAGTGCTGTTCCTGAGCTTAGCTCCTGCCTTTGGGCAAACACAGTCTCTGCCACTCTGCAGAGTAGTGCCTCAGCCTGGCAGAGCTCATTAGCAGCTAATGCATGACAGGAATTTCATGGCACCGTCCACTGGTCCCGTGGTGTTAACCGCCTGTGTGGCATGCTTCTCTGCGTGGTTTTCCAGCTTTCGTGGGCACAGGGAGAGCAGAGGCCTGGGAAGGACGGGCACCAGCCATACCCCCTCCCAATGTACAGAGCCCAGCCCAACCTCAGGGAGTCCGGCACCGCAGAAACACGTAACACAAAAGCTTTTACTTGGAAACTGGCAAATACTGGACTAGAATACTGACATGCTCACGCTCTGGCGGGAGCTCGGATGCAGAAGCTATTGCACAAAGCCCCTCTGATTGCCTTGCTCCTCTTTGGCATGTATCAGCAGAGCCCCAAGGGCCAATTGCCCACAGGTGGGGACTGTTCTCCATCAAGGTATGGGGACCCCTACTTCCTTGTTTTGTTAAAAAGTGCAGGTAGGCGAAGAAGCCCAGGCAGTTGACCCAGTCTTTGAAACAGCTGACTCCCCAGCACCCAGTGTCCACTGGCAGATGAGAGGTTTGCACCTATACCAGCCCTTGTTTCCTTGGTAGGGCTCAAGTTGTCAGTGTCCAGGTACCTGGGCTGGGCCAGAGCTGGGGCCAGGGGAGCCTGGTCTTGAGGGGTAAGGGCTGCAGGGCCAGGCTGATGGCCTGTGTCATGGCATTGGCCATCTCCTCTCCAGCTTCTCCTCAGCCATCGCCCGTCCGTCATGGTGGTGTCGGCTGCACCTGGACCTTCCTGCCTCTCCGCTCAGGGCAGCAGCAGTGAGTGCAGCAGCAGCTGCAGGCTATCAGCAGCAACAGCAGAACAGTAGCTGGAGGGCCGGGAGAGAGCACGGGACTCAGGTTGGGGGAGAGAAAGGATGCCCACCCTCCTCCCAGAGAAACCCACTGCCTGCCAGGGTCTTTCCCCCACAGGTTTGGTGGAGGTCAGAAAGATCCGAGAGGCTGGTGAGAGGTGCGGACGGTCCCCATGCCAGCCGCCAGGGCCAACCTCCTCCATGTTGTGTCTTCTCTTTCACTGCCCAAGCCTGGCTCCCGTCATCCCCGCGTTTGGGATCCCGGGGTACTGCTGGGCCCAGTCCCCAGCACCGCCCATCACCCAAGCAGCATATCAGAGGATGAGGGAAGTCCCTTGGCTTCCCCCAAGGGACAACTGGTTTTCCTCCTTGATCCGGCAGACACCCGCCACCTCTGCCAGCCCTCTGGCTGGCACCATGGTGTGGTCTCTCCCAGATGCCAGGGAGAGCCATGGGGTGCTGAGTGCCCCAACTAACCTGTGAAAAGGATGATGACTGAGAAGGCCACGATCTCCACGGGCTCAGCCTGGGGCAGTCTCTGCAGCTTGAGCAGCAGCCTCTCGCCCACGGCGCGCATCTCCTGCACGAAGTCGGTGGCAGCCATGCCGCGCTGGCTTCCTGTTGGGGCTCCTGCCGGGCTCTGCTGGGGCAGAGAGAACACCTGGAGCCTCCACGGCTGGCCCCACACTCGTCGCAGCACCGAGATTCCACCCTCGCACCCATCCGCAGCCCGCAGAACAAGTTTGTCAGGTCTCACACATTGCACCCCTGGTGACTTCCACCTAGTGGTGGCCCTCAGTCCCCACCCAGCTGACACAGCTCAGGGTGGAGGAAGCCGGTGAGGACAGTGAGACCAAGGGCTTGCTTCGGGGGCTGCCGGCCAAGGCGGCGGCTGGTGGTGGTTTCTGGCTTCGCTGTTCCATTCCCTTGTCTTGAGGTACCACTACTGGGTTTTGCCTGGGTGCTTGGGACTGGCACAGCTCCCTCGGGGTGGGGAGACTGGGATAGGATGCCAAGCTGGTACTCTTGCCTTCCATCAATGTGGGGACAGAAGGAGCAGGTTCTCCCGAGAGCAGGTTCATGGGGCTTCTGGCCAGGGTCAGTCAGAGGTGAAAACTGCCCCCCTGTCCCCCAGGCCCCCCAACCTCTCCCACCAGCCCAGTTTCTACACTCATGCCTGTTCTGCCAGAGGGGGAGGCCGCACCGTGTCCCTCCAGGTTTTGCCAGGGTTTCTGTCCTGTCTGTTGGGAGGGGGTCAGGAGGCCCAGGTTGCTCAAGCCAGCCCCTCCCCTGCTGGCGTCATCTGTTTCTCTAGCCTGACCAGGAAAGTCCTCTCCACTCCCACCCCTGCCCCAGGAGAGCCTCTTCCTGTCTCAGGGTGCCCAAGAGGCCCAAGGTGCCACTCCAGAAGGCTTTCCCCTTCTGCCTCTCCTGTGGGCATGAGGGAGCTGGTGCCTCTTTAGAGAGGAGCCAGAGACAACCTTGTCCCAACCCAGCCTGATCCAGTTCACCAAGGCAGTTGCTCTAATCCAGGGGTGGTGGTGGGGACAGGTGGCCAGGGGCTGGTGCCAGACCTTTGGCTGTAATTATCGTTGCCTTGTCCCAGGTCTCAGCCGGTTCTCGCTGAGATGGCTACGTCAGTGAGGCCAGTCACTCCCGGTGCCGCTGCCTTGGCAGAGCTGGTTTAGAACCACCGTGAAGGTCATCGAACGGGGCCCTCCACCCTGCAATTGGCCTGCGGCCATCCTTGAGGCCATGTGGTCTTTGCATGAGCACCCAGGATGGTGAGGAACCTCCGCCTGCTGAGGCAGCCCACCCACTGCAGAAGGTCGGACTCCCTGCTGGCCCCCAGTTAGTCCCACTTGTGGTCACTTAGACCTTGCCCCCTCTTCTGCCTCGTAGCCCTTCAGGAGCAAGATGGCAGCCGGCATGTACCTTCTGGATTTCCTTCTCTGCCAGGGGCCTGCTCTAGTGTTTTCAGCTGCTCCTCCTTGAATGCCACCTCCACTTCTTCCTTTTGTGACATGAACAGGTTGCTTCATGTCTCTGATATGGAATGAGATGCCCGTGTTTTGAGGCTATTGGGAGGACTGACCATCTAGCAGCACATTGTAGACAGCCATAGGGGGGTGCCCGGCACACGAGAATGCCCCCCCGGGACGGGTCTCACTGGCTTTGGGGGCTGTCACCCCCGTGCACCGTCACTAGCACCCCCAACACCTTTTGGGTGTCTGTCCTAGGGTGTCTGCGGTGTGTGCCCTGAAGGAAGGTAGGCAAGCTGGAGGTGGGGAGCTATGTTTTTGTTGTTGGTTTTGGTTTTCTTTGAGATGGAGTTTCTCTCTTGTTGCCCAAGCTAGAGTGCAATGGCATGATCTCAGCTCACTGCAACCTCTGCCTCCCAGATTCAAGTGATTCTCCTGCCTCAGCCTCCCGAGTAGCTGGGATCACGAGTGTGCGCCACCATGCCCGGCTAATTTTTGTATTTTTAGTAGAAACAGGATTTCACCATGTTAGCCAGACTGGTCTCGAACTCCTGACATCAGGTGATCCGCCCTCGGCCTCCCAAAGTGTTGGGATTACAGGTGTGAGCCACTGCGCCCGGCCTGGGGAGCTGTTTTTTTAAGTGATGATGAGGGTAGCAGGCAGAAGATGGCTCCGTGGAAAATTAGATGAGTTCTTGTCAAAAGCCGTGGGTTCCCTGAGTTAGATCCACCCAGCTTCTCACACCTCACCTGGAGTGAGTGCGTTTCTGTGGAGGTGAGGATCTCAGTTTTCAAATGTACTGAGAGGCATAGGGTCCTAGAATGCTATAGATCATCCGCTCCCGCCTCCTTCCTTCTATACGTGGGGAAGCTGAGACCCGAGAGAGCAAGCAACTTCTCTGAGGTTACACAGCAGGACAGGGCCCCAGCCAGCACCCCCACTGGTGCCCCACGCTGTCTCTCCATGGAGGCCTGTCTCCAGCTTAGACCAGCAAGATAGCCAGGAGCAGCCCCGCTGAGGGTACTGCCCGTGCAGTGGGCTCAGTACAGGAGCCAGGGCCCGAGAGCCCCCTGGAAGCCAGCTGGCTGTGCTCGGCCAGCCCCAGCCCACATTTGTGGATCTGAAGCTGCTTTTATCAGCATATCACCACCAGGCCGGGGCCACACCAGGCTCTTTGAGACTACCTGGAGTCCTTGTCACCACAGGTACAGGTCTTGTGAGTCTAGCCAGCCTGAGTGTAGGACTGAACCCTCTGGTCAGACTGAATGGGACATTCTCTCTGGCCAGGTGGAGCAGGCTTGCACAAGGACAGTGGTCCCCTCTTGGTTCCGGGACCTCCGTGCCATCCTCACGCCCCAGCTTTCCAGGTTCCCTCATTCTTAGAGGGACGACAATGCCGACAGTGTCCCTTACGGGACAGTTTGCGCGTGGTTCAGGAGCTGGGCTGCCTTTCTCCCCTCCCTCTCTGTCTACACTTGGTCTGGCGTTTTCAGCCTGACTGGCACTGTGCCCACACGGCCTAATGTAGCCCAGCAGAGACACTCCTTCAAAGAGGGAGCGGGCAGGGAGAGCTTTTTCGCTTGTGCCACACCCAGAGACCCAGGGAGAGATTGCAGGGGGCACTTTTCCTTGTGAGCGAGAGACCTGGGGCTGTGCTCACCAGAACAGGGAGGAGGAAGGTTGGACTGAGGCTGAATTTACTGGTGCAGGAAAAGTGGGGTTTGTTGCTGAGAAGCTCTGGCCAGCCTCCTCCAGGGGCTGCAAAGTGGGAGAGCTGCAGACTCATGCCGGGTGGACCCCGGCCTCCAGCGGGGAAAAGTGTCAGTTCCCAGCAGCAGCAGGCTGCGGCTGTGGACAGTGTCATAGCTTTGCGCCCAGGGCTTCCCTAGGGGGCTGACTGGAAGCTGAATTTGCCAGCCAGGCATGGCCAGCCTCACCCAGCCCCAGGGTCTGACCCAGGGGTACTCACGGTATCCTGTCACACAGTGAGCAGAAGTAGGACCGTTGGACGTGGCTGTTCTGCCCCCAGAGAGCTGGAGAGGAACCCCGGGACCCCCTTTGTTTTGCAGTTGATATCTTGTCATTTGGAGCGTAAACCCGCGACTGAACCTTCATGGCGCAGGTGGGGGAGCTGAGGGGTCCTGTTCTCTAAAGAGGAGGAGGCGCATTCCAGCCGGTCCCCAGGTGGTCTTCCCAGCGGGCTATTTAAAGCCAGGCCAAGGAGTGCCTGACACTTGGTGCCCAATATAACCAGCAGCCGTCAGGTGACTGTGTGGCATGTGCCCCAGCCGCTGCTCCTAAGGGAACCTTAGTGTTCCCAGCTGTGGCGAGGGGAACATGGGAGCTCTGAGGCTGGCCACCTCTCCTCCCCTTTCCCTTCCTAGGTTTGGCAGGAGGAAGGCAGGGAAGCCCAGGAGGGCTACTGATGATCCCATATTTTTCCCGTCTTTCTATCTCAGGTTCACCCAACTCCTTCCAAAACCACACTTCCCACCTGCGAACCAGGGCAACCAGTCCCTCCCAACCCCACGCTTGGTAGTGCCCACCTGCGAACCAGGGCAACCAGAGTCCCTCCCAACCCCACGCTCAGTAGTGCCTTGGTTGGAGGCTTCTCAGGGTCCTCAGGGGTTCCTGAGTGGCTGCCAGAGCAAGTGGTGGCTCCCTCTGGCCTTAAGAGGGAGTGTAGCCCAGCTGCCACCAGGCCCTCCTGCTGCCCAGGCTGCCCAGCCAGCCCTGCTTGGAGCCTTCAGAGGGTGTGCCCTGGCTGCAGTAGCGGTCAGCACAGGGGAAACACTCAGGGCAGAGAAGGCTGGCAGAGCCGGAGGGATGGGAAGCATTCCTTTATGTGGCATCTCCTGGCACACGGAGCCTTGCAACAGGCAGGCATCCCGCAGGCCAGACAGCTGCCACTTGGTCCCGAAGCTTCCCTGTTTCCTCCTCGCAGAGCTGATACTCCAACCCCAGGCGCCTCACGAGGAAGGGCTGGCAGCAGGCGGCGTGTTTGAGACTGATAAGCGAGGTGTGTTGGCAGCGCGGGGCCCCAGAGGGCTGCTTGCTCTGCCCTGTTGTTTCGTCATGGTGGGTTTTAGTCACCCTTGCCCTGTTGGGCATTATCTCGTTTGAGGTCCACCTAGAAGGAGGCATAACTGACACTTGTGGGAGATTTGCAGGGTCCTGTGCCTGAGCAGCCGGGGGGGATGCCCCTATTTGTGGCACTGAGCCTTTGGGTGACTCCCCTTTTTGCCCTGGCTCCAACTGGAAGTAGAAAGTGGTGCTTGAACCCCTGGCAGGCCCTGCTCCTGTAGCCACCCAGGGCGGGAGGAAGCGCTTTCTGCTGCTGGTGTTAGAAACAGTAGGCGCTCTTTCTGCAGCTACAGAAGCTGGCTGTTCATTCACCCTCCGTCCTGGTTCAGGGACTGTGTTGGAGAGACCCTGTCCACTCGTGTCCTGTGGATGCAGGACAGGGATCCCCACCTGCCTGCCTGGGGCGTCTTGTGAGTGACAGCCACTGGGGTCTCCAGGCTCACCGCTGTGCCCCGACCCCGACCTGGCCTGACTCTTCCCTACTGTGCGCCTCCCAACACCGCAGGAGCTTGTCTCCCCAGACACCAGCCCCAGCCGAAGCCCCCAGCCTCTGCTGAGCTGAGAACACTTGGGCTAGTCCTTGGTTTCCACATTTCCCTGGGTCATTGTTTTTGTTTCTCACTAGATGCCAGCTTGTTTGCTTTGAGGAAAACATATGGGGGGTGGTGGCTTTAACGCTGGCTTGAGGACAGGGCGGCAGGAGGAGTAGGCAGCCTCGGCTCACGGGCCCTGCCCAGGAGGGCTGCTCTCAGTGTTCCCCAAAGAACCAAACAGCCGGGTCCTGCTTCCTTAGGGGTGGTGTCATGTCAGCCTGTGCATCACGGTGGCACAGCAGAGGTCCCGGTTGCCAGCGTGGTCCCTCCCAGCCTCACTTCTGTGACCTTCTGCCCACCTGAGCCTGAGTTGAAAGTCAGTCCTCCAGGTTCCTGGTTTGGTGTTCAAGGCTCATCACCAGAGGGAGATCTAGGAGTTTATGGGGTTCTAGATGGGCCCAGGGAGGAGGACCCAGGCTGAGCCGTGAGCTGAGAACACCAGCAGTGAGTGGGCCAAGCCCCTGAAAGGACACAGATGGGCAGAGTCCTGCTGCATCCTGGGGGCGCCGCATGCTGGCTGGGCAGACCCTGCGCTGACCTCGACAGGGCTCTGCCCTAATCCTGGGAAAAAGGGAGGCTCAGCAGGCCGGCAGCCATTCTCTCCCAAGCTGGACAGCCAAATCCCTCTTTTAAGCCCCCTGAATAAAAGAGCTGAAATGAACTTGCAGAATAAGCAGGCCCTCGGGGCCCCTCTGCTGCACAGCAGGCGGAGCAGGAGGCGCTCTGAGCAGAGCCCCCAGCCCTCCCCTAGTGCAGGGTCCCAGCAGCAGGGAGAGTGCAGGTGTGTGCAGGAGGCTGGCTGACTTCCCTGCAGGGAAGCGACCCAGCATGTCCCCGAAGACCTCTCCGTGTTTATGGTAGACTGTGGCCCTTCACCCTGGGGGCAGGGGACCCTTGCTGCTCCCTCCCTGTCCCCCCTTCTTCTGTGGCCATTGCCACTCACCTGGGAGCTCAGGTGTTGGGGGCTGAGCAGCAGTGCCCCAGCGCGGAGCCTCCACGTGCTGTCCTCGTACTTCCTTCGTGGGCGCCGCTGCTCCCCTGGGCGCCTCAGCCCAGCTCCTCTGCTGACAGCCAGCTGCTGTCTCTGCCTGGCTTTTTTGTTGTTGGTCGTCCTGGAGATCCAAGTGTCAAATTACCGTCGCGAGGGGGAGCCCGAGGAAGCCCTGCTTGGGAACTTGTCCTCCAACTTCATGTCCCGGTGCCTCACCTCTGCCCTGAGAGCGCTGCTCAGGGACAAGACAAGCTCCCTCTCTCCTCCTCCTTCCTCCTCCTCTCCCTCTCCCCGACTCCCACGCCGTGGGCTGGGCCTGGGTTGGGAGCTGAAGAAAGAAGTCGGCTCTCTGCCTTCCTGGCCAGGAGGACCCTGGGGAGGCTCCACCTGAGCCTGTGGAGGGGAGTCCTGCAGCGCTCTCAGGTCTGGGGCACCCACCCTGCCCTCAGGAAGGCCACCCCTTCTGTCCCTCTGGCCACTCCCTGGCTGGTCCCTCCCTCTGGCCTCTCTCAGGAACAACAGTAAACAGTGGGGAGCTGGTGGCCCTCTCAAGCTGAGCAGGAGGCTTTGCAACCAGTCCCTGGGGAGGCCCTTGTGCCGCTCAGCATCTGAAGGCGTCTTGGGGGAGAACTTGGAATCCTGAGTGACCTGGGAGTGGCCTGCGCGCCCGGCAAGGCGCCTCATGTTCCTTGTGAGGTGAGGGCCTTCTGCTGGGGCTGTGACCGCACTCCTGGCCCAGCTGTCAGGGCAGGGCTCCAGAGTCCAGGGGCCGGGCCCTGTGACATTTGCCTGGTTGTGCCTCCCAGCAGGCTAGGCTGTGTGGAGAGAAACCGACCCCAGCCCCGCTGTCAATGGAGCTCTTTGAGTCCGAGCACAAAACCCCAGTGAGTCAGGGCCTGAGGAGGGCAGGGGGAGGAAGCCAGCCATGTGGTCACACCACTCGGATGCCAGAGCCTCCCAGAGGCTGGACAGGCGGCCGCTGTGCGGGCGCACGGACTCCTGGGGATGAACCATTTGTTGCATTTACTCATTGGAGCAGAGTGGGGGCAGGAGCGCCCTCTGGTGGCCGCCTCGGCTGTCCCAGCCCAGGTCAGGCTTCAGAGCTGCATTCACTCAGCTAAAAGAAAGTCAGCCAGGCCCTGCTTCCTTACCGGGGTGTTGCAATCAGCCTTGCATCCTTGAGCCTGCGCCTTGGGGTCGCAGCCCCTCAAAGGGCTTCTTGCAGCCGCAGCAGTGCTCACACTGGGAGGAGTTCTAGTTAGAGCAGTTAATGCCAGCTATTCTTGTCCCTGGGATGTGGCACCCCAGACAGCCCTGCCTGTGTTCCAGCATCTCCTCTTGGGCTTCCCTACCCTGTGCCACGTTCCTGGTGGCAGGAATGGCTGTTTATAAGGAGCCTGAGAGAGCTATGGCCCCTCTTGCGGCCTCTGCAGCTGCCCCAAGGGTCGACAGCCACCCCCATGCAGAGGGAACAGAGATGCGACAGAGCCTCGTGGGCCAGCCAGAGGCTGCTCCCTGCTCCCAGCATGGGCAGAGGCCGCTCACCCCAGGAGGGCTGCAGCAGGGTTGAGACAGAGGAAGACGAGAGGAGGACTCCAGGCGAGGCTGCGTCTCCCTGGCTAAAGGCCCCACCTGTGACACCCTCACGGGTTGATGATGGGACATATTACTACACAGCCGTGCCTGCCTTAGCAATGCAAATACGTTTTGAGAAATTTAACTTGTCATTGTGCGGTCACAGAGTATACTTAGGGAAATCAAACAGCAATTCCAGGGAAGAGAAGGAAAAAAATATCAAGCGGCACAGCCTCCTACACACCCAGGCCATGCGCTACAGCTTGTTGCTCCTAGACCACAAACCTGTACATCACGTTACTGTCCTGAGTACCGTATGCAGTTGTAACACAGTGGTATTCACATATCTAAGCACACATAAGCATAGAAAAAGTACAGTAGAAATACAGTGTTAGAATCGTAGGGGACCACCATTGGCTGTGCAGTCATTCCATGGGGCATGACTGTACTGTAATGCACTTCAGACATCACCTCAGCCATCTTCGCTCAGTCCGTGAGGGCTGTGCCTTTCTGCACCATCTTACTGACGGGAATGCATGGGCTTTAGGAGGTGAAGTGTGTCACCCAAAAGACACCCTTCATGGCAGAGCCAGCATCTACATCCCATTGCCAGAGGACAGAGGGGAGGAGCAGAGGAGTAACTGGACAGAGTGGGGTTCACATCCTGCTTCCCGGGAGACCCCCATGTGTTACGTGACCTTGGGAAAGTTGGTTCACCTTATCGTCCTCATCTGTGTAGTGGGGAGAGCCAAACGATGCCTGGTGCAGCTTGGATGAGATGAGGGGTGTGGGGCTCCCGGCATGGTGCCGGACGCGGCAGTGCTCGCTCAGCTAGCGATTCAGGCTCGGGTGAACAGACGCTGGCCGACTGGGCTCTCCGCCCCTCACCTCTGCGGTGCTGCCTGCTCCAGGTGCCGCCATGCCGCCATTGCCAAGTACTTCGGGGATGCGCTGCCTGCCTGCGCCAAAGGCTGCGACCACTGCCAGAACCCCACGGCCGTGCGGAGGCGGCTGGAGGCCTTGGAGCGCAGCAGCAGCTGGAGCAAGACCTGCATCGGGCCCTCCCAGGGGAACGGCTTTGACCCCGAGCTGTATGAGGGAGGCCGCAAGGGCTACGGGGACTTCAGCAGGTAAGGGGCCGAGAAGCCAGGGCTCCAACCCGCTGGAATTGCCTGGCATTCCCTTGGCGCCAGGGCCAGACCAGAGGTGGCACGATGCCGCAATCCCCCCTTGAGCTGGTAGGACATCAGGGACATTGCCGTTCTAGCAGCAGCACACATGGGGAGGGCAGAGCCCAGGCCAGGGCCACTCACGCCTGGCCTGTCCCTAGGTATGACGAAGGTTCTGGAGGCAGCGGGGATGAAGGCAGAGATGAGGCCCACAAGCGGGAGTGGAACCTCTTCTATCAGAAGCAGATGCAGCTGCGCAAGGTGAGGGGAGGCACTCAGTGGCCTGTGTGGGGCCCCTGGTGGCCCCCTGCTCGCACCTCTCAGCCCCTTCTCTGGTGCTGGATGGGACTGTCCTGCGGCAGGGCAGGACGCCTCATGGGTCCTTCATGTTGTCCTCCAGGGCAAAGACCCCAAGATAGAAGAATTTGTACCCCCAGGTCAGTACAGAAATGTTCCTGGAGGCTTGTGGGCTCTTCCCGGGGCATGGAGGGAGGATTCTCATCCGGGCTGTGGGGGACCTCAGAGCGCAGAAGGTGGAGCGAAAGGACCAAGGACCACCCCCCCCCCCCACAGATGAGAACTGTCCCCTGAAAGAGGCTTCTAGCAGGAGGATCCCCAGGCTGACTGTGAAGGTAAGAGACGGGCAGCTCCTCAGCCACCCGCCGGGGCCCTCCCCCAGCCGCGAGGCCATGCGACCAGTCTCACTGTCCTGTGCCAGGCACGGGAGCACTGCCTGCGGCTTCTGGAGGAGGCGCTGAGCAGCAACCGCCAGTCAACACGTACCGCTGATGAGTGAGTTCCACGATCACTGGGCTGAGGAGCACTCCAAGCTCTCGTTCCCTTGGAGACTGCAGGACCCTGTCAACCCTGGCCTGTTTGGGCCACCTCTCCCCAGATTGTACCTCTCCTACTCCAGGGGACTGCCCCTACAACCCCACCAGGGCCAGGCATGGCTACAACTTAGGTGCTACCAGCAGCTGCTGAGGGACAGTAAGCCACAGGGTGCTCAGAGAGCCCTAATCAGAATCCCTGTGCCCAAGGCCTACCCCACCAGGCCTGGAGTCCCGCAAGAGCTCAGCAGGGAGAAGCCCAGGCCCACCTGATACCTTGTGCCTGTTACCTTGCACCCACAGAGCTGACCTCCGGGCCAAGGCCGTGGAGCTGGAACATGAGACATTCCGGAACGCCAAGGTGGCCAACCTCTACAAGGCCAGCGTGCTGAAGAAGGTGGGCCTGGTGCAGGCGGACCCAGGGTCGTTGCAGGGGCCCCTCCATACTCTGACGCAGAAGCTGTCTGCCAGCTCTCTGGGCTCAGGCAGCCCAGAACTCACCCTCCCCAGCCCACCCCAGAGACAGTTTATGGGGGTAGAGCTCCATTCTCCACTGGCTGGACATGTTTCTAGCCAACCCTGTGAGGATGGGAGGCCTAAAACTTGCCCAGTGGTCAGTTGCCTGTGGCCACTGGCCACAGAAACCCACTTGTAGTGCCTAGTAGAAAAGGAGGGCTAGGTGGGGCATGTCAGGAGGAGCTGGCGGGTGCCACAGCCTCCCTGCCTATCCCTGCCCAGGTGGCCGATATCCACAGAGCCTCCAAGGATGGGCAGCCCTATGACATGGGAGGCAGTGCCAAGAGCTGCAGTGCCCAAGCTGAGCCCCCGGAGCCCAATGAGTATGACATTCCACCAGCCTCCCATGTGTACTCGGTGAGCTGTGGCCCAGTGGCCTCCAGACCTGTGACCAGGAAAGGCTTCACTTCCCCTCTGCCCTCAGGGGTGCACCTCTTGCCAAGGCCTGGCTCCCCACCAGGGTCCTGCCTGCCTCTTCCCTCCCACACTCCTGAGAGCCCCGTCCCAATGTGAGTTACTGCTCCAGCCAGCGGTGCCCTCAAGGGGGCCTAGTGGGCTGAACCTCCTCTCCTCCTGCTCACATTTACAGCTCAAACCCAAGCGGGTGGGAGCTGGTTTCCCCAAAGGCTCCTGCCCGTTCCAGACGGCCACGGAACTGATGGAGACAACTCGGATCAGGGAGCAAGCCCCCCAGCCCGAGCGGGGAGGCGAGCACGAGCCCCCGAGCCGGCCCTGTGGCCTCCTGGATGAGGATGGGAGTGAGCCCCTCCCTGGGCCCAGAGGGGAGGTCCCTGGAGGCAGCGCTCACTATGGGGGGCCCTCCCCTGAGAAGAAGGCAAAAAGTTCCTCTGGGGGCAGCTCCCTTGCCAAGGGCCGGGCTAGCAAGAAACAGCAGCTCCTAGCCACAGCGGCCCACAAGGATTCTCAGAGCATCGCCCGCTTCTTCTGCCGAAGGGTGGAAAGCCCAGCTCTGCTGGCATCAGCCCCAGAGGCAGAAGGTGCCTGCCCCTCCTGTGAGGGGGTTCAGGGACCCCCGATGGCCCCAGAGAAGTACACAGGGGAGGAAGATGGAGCCGGGGGACATTCGCCTGCCCCTCCCCAGACTGAGGAGTGCCTCAGGGAGAGGCCAAGGTAAGGGTACAGGTAGTCATAGAATCTTCTGGAACCTACACGGCAGCATCCCCTTTGCTCACTGGGCGTCTGAAGCTCAGAGCTCACCCCTGAGATGGGCTCTCCTAGGCCTCCTGGGATGAGGGAGCCACCAGGACCCAGTGCTGTGATGCCTGCTCTTCCCTCTACCAGCACCTGCCCGCCCAGAGACCAGGGCACCCCTGAAGTCCAGCCCACCCCTGCAAAGGACACATGGAAGGGCAAGCGGCCTCGATCCCAGCAGGTGCCGGCAGGGATGAGTCTGTTGGGGAGGAGAGAAGGGCTGTGGGCGAGGCCAGGAGCTGTTGTGCCCTGCTCAAGGGGTCAGGGAAAATCAGCTTTCTTTCCACACCTGGCAGCAGATGGGCTGGGCTGGAGAGAGGCAGCTGGTGCGGGGACCCAGTCTTCTGGAGGAGGGGAGCAGGCCAGTGGAAGGGAGCTCAGGAGTGACCCTCTGCTGTGGCCCTTCTCAGGAGAACCCAGAGAGCCAGCCTCAGAAGAGGCCACGCCCCTCAGCCAAGCCCTCCGTCGTAGCTGAGGTCAAGGGCAGCGTCTCGGCCAGCGAACAGGGCACCTTGAATCCCACGGCTCAAGACCCCTTCCAGCTCTCCGCTCCTGGCGTCTCCTTGAAGGAGGCTGCAAATGTTGTGGTCAAGTGCCTCACCCCTTTCTACAAGGAGGGCAAGTTTGCTTCCAAGGTAGGGGGAGTGAGTGGGCTCTGCCTTCTCCCATGCCTGGGGTATGTGGGTGTAGTGGGGGTGGGAGGCAGGGAGTTTGAGCCCCAGAACACAGTGGGCCTAGGGCCAGCCCCACGCCCGTCCTCCCTGGGGCCTGCCTTGCCGTTGGGTCATGGCCGTGGGTTGCTCTGGGGGTCAGGGCAGGGTCCTGCTCTCTTTTTTTTTTTTTTTTATCTCTGTCGCCCAGGCTGGAGTGCAGTGGTGCGATTTCAGCTCACTGCAACCTCCGCCTCCCGGGTTCACGCCATTCTCCTGCCTCAGCCTCCCGAGTAGCTGGGACTACAGGCACCCGCCACCACGCCTGGCTAATTTTTGGTATTTTTAGTAGAGTCAGGGTTTCACCGTGTTAGCCAGGATGGTCTCGATCTCCTGACCTCATGATCCGCCCGCCTCGGCCTCCCAAAGTGCTGGGATTACAGGCGTGAGCCACTGCGCCCGGCCACCAAGGGTCCTGCTCTCTGCTTCTCTTCTCCCTCTCCCTTCCAGGAGTTGTTTAAAGGCTTTGCCCGCCACCTCTCACACTTGCTGACTCAGAAGACCTCTCCTGGAAGGAGCGGTGAGCGCTGGCATTGCCAGGGCCAGGAGGCACTTGGGAGGGTGGTCTACAGGGAGGAGGCTAACGCTCACCTCCTCATGCCCCCACCCTGAATCTGTAGTGAAAGAAGAGGCCCAGAACCTCATCAGGCACTTCTTCCATGGCCGGGCCCGGTGCGAGAGCGAAGCTGACTGGCATGGCCTGTGTGGCCCCCAGAGATGACCAACTGCTGGCTGGGCAGGGCCCGCGTCCTCCCCCAGATTCTAGCATGGGTCATCCTGGGCCTCACCTGCTGATGCCAGGGCCATCGTCTTTTCTCAGTCCTTCTCCTTTCCAACCATACTTGGCTTTGGGGATGACCCCAGACACCCCCTGAATCCAGGTCAGAGGTCAGCCCACCTTTCTTTCTGCTTGCAAAGCCTATAGACCCTTCTCAGAGCGGTCCTCATGGCTGGGTTTTCTGGGACACATGTCGAGGACAGAAGGTGGAGGGTGGTGGAGCTGCTGCTGGAAGAAGGGGAAGGAAGAGTGGCCCCTCCCCGAGTTCTAAGTCAGGATGAGGCCCACCTGTCCAAGGTATCGGAACCTACCCAGGGGACCCTCAGATCCTCCACCCACTCCCCCATCCATTACGATGCCAGCTTCCAGCCTTGCCCAGGTCAGAGCTGTGGCAGAGGAGAGGCAGCCAGGCCCTGTTCCTGCTCAGCTCCTGCTCAGGAAGGCCAGGCCTGACAGATGTTTGGGAGAGGAATAAAGTTGTGTTGTTGTGGGGCATGCAGGCGTGCACACAGCCCTTTTCTCCAGGGAGTTTTATTTCCTCAGCAGCTGTTTCTCCCATGCCTGGGCTTGTGCTAATGTGGGGCCTGGGCGGAGCCTGGGGTCGGGTGGGCATCTCCCTCAGACTGGGCAACCTCAGGTGCCCCAGCCGAGTTCCTGCAGCCCGCTTTGGCCCCAGGCCGTCCTGGAGAGGGTCTGGCTGTTTTCTTTGCCTGCTGGTGACGTGATAGCAGCCCCTGCCTCATGGCCTGCATGTGGGCCGGCTGGGCTGTGCTGAGGCAGGTTCTAGAACAGTGATCTGATAGCATCCAAGGCAGACCATGTGGGTGAGACTTGGGCCGGGGGAGGCCTCATCCTCTTCTCTCCCCGGCCTGCACTCCTCTCAGTTGATGCTGGGCCACTCAGTGCAAGAGGCACTGCTGTCTATCAGGAAGACAGTGGTGTATAGCAGCTCCTGGGCCTGCCCAGAGAAAGGCCTGTTACAAGAGGGCTCCCCAGCCAGCCCCTCGCCTCTGCCCCGGCCCACAGCACTCCGGAGCAGTGGGCATCGGCCTGGGCCTGGGCTCCCACTGCACGCCATGCTGGGGCAAGGCCCTCACATCCACCTTCGCAAGGTGGCCAGAGGCCTGGCCACTCACCTGTGGCAGCTCAAACCAGATGGTCTGGGGGTTGTCAGCTGAGCCATAGTTGACTTCCAGGCCAGGGGGCCCCTTCTCCTCCAGAGGGCTTAGCAGGTGGAGCCGCTGCAGGCTCTTCAGGGCAATGCGGCAGTACAGGCTCTGGGGGCAGCAGAGAGCAGGGCTGGTCTCCTCTCCGGGGAGGGGTCATTGTGGGTGATGGAACAGCCCAAGGGTCCCTAGGCCAGTGCTGAGGCAAGAGCTGTGCCCACCTGGGAGCTGGGGTCCATGAGGATGAGATGCTGGCGGTTGAGCCCCAGGAGAGTGGGTCCGGACAGGGCCTGCATGCTCACTCGCAGCACCCCATAGACGGTGTAGCCGAAGAGGGGCAGCTGGCTCATGGCCTCTGCGGGTGGAGAGGGTGCAGGCAGGAAATCTGACTGCTGGGGCCCTGGAACCTGCTCTGCTTGGTCCCCCAGGTCAGCTGAGAGGGACAGGGCAGGCGCAGACCCCTCCTCGCCCCTCTACCTGCATTCCTTCCCTCTTGGCCTCCAGCCCCCACCCAGCGGTCCCCTAGTCCCAGACCCACCAATGAAGCTGATCTGTGCTTCCTGGGGGCTGTGTCCTTCCAGCCGTCTCAGCTCCTGACCCATCAGGTTCTTGATGGAGGCCGTGTTCACCTGCCGTTGCAGCTGCTTTGGCACGTAAGCTAGCAGGTCCTGCCTAGGATGTGTGACCAGGGTCAGTTTGGCCCCTGACCACCTGGTACAGGGCTGGGCATACAGCACGTGCCAAATAACCAGTGCCTATTGTGGGCAAGACTAGACATCCATACACATGAATGAGGTGAGGGTCCTGCACCAGAGGAGCTCGGGGTGGGGTGGAGAGGACAGATGTTCACAGGCCCCGCTGCTCCTGGCCAGTCCATTTAGGGCCAGGAAGGGTACCAGTCAAATGGCCTTGACCTTAGAGAAGGGGAGGGGCTTAGGGGCGGGAGGTGCCTCCACTCACCCTGAGGGGGTATTCCTGTTGGCCTTGCTGAGGTGCTGCAGGGCGGCCAGCCTGGCGAGCTGCGCGTCTGCCTTGGCGCTGACTGGCAGCTTCCCCTGAAGGTAGTCCCACAGCACCTGTGCGGGGAGCACGGTGAGGAGGGCAGCGGTGGTCCAAAGCCCCCCATCAGTTGGTGGCTCTAGAGGCTCAAGCCTCCTTTTGCCACTGTCACCCCCCAGCCACCACAGACCCACACCCTTGTGGGGAGAGGGGCTTGGAGGTCGCCCAGGCAGGAAGCCGCGCCCTCAAACTGCAGCAGCAGCTCGGAGGCAGGCAGGCTGACCTGGCTGTAGTGGGTGCTGATGTAGGTGGAGTTATCGAAGTGCAGTGGGGTCTCCCAGTGGAGCCGCCGGCTGTGCAGGCTCACGTCCTGGTCCACTACCACGCTGTTGAGGTATTCGGCGGGCTGCAGGGGCCGCACCAGCTGGCCTGCATGGGGAGCCTAGGTCCACTGCTGCTCAGACCACACACACCCGGCCCTGCCACCCCAGCAGAAACCAAACCACCTCACCCCTGGGCAGGGGAGTGGCCCCACCGTGAGGCTCCGTCCCCAAGCTTACTCTTCTCTTTGATGAGGAAGAGGGCGAATTCCTGCACTTCCTGAGGCTCCGTGATACCCATTTGCCGGCACAGCTCCTCCTGCACTTCTGCTGCTACCTGGGCATGTGGACAGACTGTGATGAGGGGGAGGGAGGCTGGGGGACCCAGAACTGATGCCCAAGGCCTCCTCCCTTGGTGGCCCCCAAGCTCACTGTGAAAGTCTGGATATTCGTCCTATAATCCACACCCCCCGGCAGGTGAATAAGAAGCAGGCGAATCGCTTGTCCTTTCTGCCAAGGCAGGTTGCAGGGTCAGTCGGCCAGTGGTCTCCTGTAGGAGACACTCCCCACCCCAGGGTGTCCCACAATGCCCATCCGCCACCCCCAGTACCAGGAAAGCCTTCATTTCACCCGGTGGGGGCATCCGCCGGCGCCCCCCATATTTGACTGTGCGCTGGAGGTGCTCCTGGCTGCTCCGGGCCAGCTCTGCAGAGAAGCCAGCCTGGGGTTATGAGATGGCCATGTCTCCCCAAGCCCACCAAGTTCCCAGTCCTAGAAACCCCTGCCTCTCCTCCATCTCCCCTTCCCACGGGCACCTTGGCTGGGGCCTGAATCCTGCAGAAACTTGGTCAGGTAGGGCATCAGCCTGGTCGACGGGGGGAAGAAGCCTGTGAGAAGGCTGAGGAAGCTCCAGCCTCGAGTGCAGTGTTCCCTGCAGGGCAGAGCGCTCGGGCTTCAGGCTGGCCAGGCCACAGTGCCCAGCTGCCCCCAGAAGCCACCCCCAGAAGCCACCGGTCCCCACTCACGGCCGGGGGTGTCCCGTGACCTGCTTGATAACCTGGCAGTAAATCTCATCCCTCAGCTTCTCCTGCTGGCACAGCTGTGGGGACAGGAAGGGCAGGTGGGGTGAGGGATGGCAGCGGTGAGCCTGGGGTCTGAAGCCCTGGAGAAACCCTGCTAGGCCATGGGCTGGGGCTGGCTCAAGATGTCTCTCTCAGCTTAAGACATCACTGCACTGGCTACTCAGTTACTTTCTTCGCTGCTCCCGTCTCCCTCTGTCACACAGGCTGGAATGCAATGGCATGATCTCAGCTCACTGCAATCTGCTTCCCAGGTTCAAGCAATTCTCCTGCCTCAGCCTCCCAAGTATTAATAGGCGCGTGCCACCACGCCCAGCTAACTTTTGTATTTTTAGCAGAGATGGGGTTTCACTACGTTGGCCAGGTTTAATCTCGAACTCCTGACCTCAGGTGATCCACCCGCCTTGGCCTCCCAAAGTGCTGGGATTACAGATGTGGGCCTCCGTGCCCGGCCTTTTCATTTATTTTTTATTTTTTTGAGACAGTCTTGCCCTGTCACCCAGGCTGGAGTGCAGTGGTGCCATCTTGGCTCACTGCAACCTCCACCCTCCTGGGTTCTAGCGATTCTCCTGCCTCAACCTTCCGAGTACTACAGGTGTGCTCCACCACGCCCAGCTAATTTTTGTGTTTTTAGTAGAGACGGGGTTTCACCATGTTGGCCGGGCTGGTCTGCAACTCCTACCTCAGGTGATCCACCTGCCTCGGCCTCCCAAAGTGCTGGGGTTACAGGCGGGAGCCGCCGCGCCCGGCCCCTGCTTCTCTGATCTCTTACTCATCTCTGCTGGCTCCACCTTAACTCCCTGACCTCTGAGCGGTGCTGTGCCCTTGAACCTCTCTCTGTCTGCCCTTCTCCCCGTGTCCTCAGCTGGTCCCATTTGATGACTCCTGGTGCCTGCCTCCAGCCTTCTCCCTTGAACCCCAGACTCCTCCACTGGGAAGTCTGGGATTTCAGACCTCACGTGTCCAAAACAGATTTCCTCCACCAGCCAAGACCTGCTCCTTGAAGACAGTAGTTGTCCTCCTTCCCGTAGCCCACATGCAATTGGTCAGCACACTCTGCTGGCTCAATCTTCTGCTTCTCCCTTGCTGCCAGCACCATCCCTCACCTGGGACCACTGCAATAACTTCCTTTTGCTTTTAAACTTAGACACCCAGAATCTCAAACAACAGCCGAGTGACCCTGTGAAATGTAAGCCGAGTCTCTCTCCAGAATCCTCTGGTGGTTTCCCATCTCTCCAAAAATCAGAGGCCAATGATGGCTACAAGGCCTGTGGTGGCCTGGACCCACCATCCGCTCCCCATCCTCATCCTCCGTTCTCCCTGCAGCTCACTAGGCTCAGCCACGCTGGTCCCGGTGCGTGATGGTGCCGAGGCTTCCCCCCACATCTGAACTGTTGCCTGCCCTTCTCTGTCACCCCGTGCTCACTCCTTCCCTCCCTGTAGGAAGGCTTCTGCCACAAAGCCTTCTCCACTGCAGCAGCCCCTTCCCTGCATTCTTACTCTCCAGTGACCTCTCACTCCCAGACACATAAGTTATCTCATTGTAAGCACTGCAGAGACTTAGCCTGTTGGCTTCACAGCCACACCCCCCTGCACGCAATGGGTGCTCAGTAAATACTTTGGAATGATTTGAAGGACAGTGACCAAGAGAAGGGGATCTCCTTCAGGCCCAGACAGGAGGACAGGCACAGGCGCTGGGGGTCGCACAGCCCAGGCTTACCTTCAGCAGTTCATAGAGCAGATCCATCTCATCCTTGCCCCGGGGCTTGGACTGGTCACCCATAAACCGCATCAGGGCTGCAGGCACGATAAGAAACAGGGCACATAGCTGGGGCTGTGCTGGGGCTGGCCCCGGCTCATGCTGTTGCTGTGCAGGGCCTTCACCTGCCATCTGATGCCTCACTCTCAAAATGCATAGATGCCAGCCAGGGCAGCTGGTTGCAGCTCGACTCATGGGGAAACTGAGGCTCCTGGGTATCCAAGGCCCCACACAGCACATAGCATCCTCTGGACCCATGGACTGCCTTCCAACCCCAGACTCCACACAACCCACAACCCTTGAGTGGGAGTAGAAGCGGGTGAGGGCCCTGGGGTCCAGGAACCACCAGTGAGCTTCCCGGAGTTGGCAGACTGGGACAGAGCCAGGCAGAGCTCAAGGAGATAAGGGGACCAGACACCCAGGTTCATGGCACTGCAGACATGGGGACCCAGGATGCCTGTGGCCACTCACCCAGGAAGCTGGCTACAGCCAGCTTGCTCACATCATCACTGAGGCTGAGGAGCGACTCCTGGATGGGAGCCTGTGGCCAAAGAGAGGAGGCCATGGGTCTGGGGGGCCGTGGGGGTCAGAGGGCAGATCTACGGGCCAGACCCCTCCCTGCCTCTCTCCCACCTTGGTGTACTGCACCAGGCTGTCCGTGTCCTTTCCTGCGGCACCTCCATCAGTCTGGCCCAGCCTGTGGGGGGCAGAGGGAGACAGCCCAGCTTGTTTGGCCCTCCTGCCTTCATCCCAGCCAGCCAGGCAGGGAGAGTGCTAAGAGCACAGCCCAGTGGCTCTGAGCAGGGTGCTCTCTCTCAGGAAGACTGAGGACAGACAGGCACAGGGGTTGGCCCAGTGCACTCACAAGGCCTGGGACCTCCGGAAGTAACGCCGGGCGAATTCCTGCATGGTGTAGCTGTGGGAGTCGGGCAGAAAGGCATAGGCCACAGAGGACAGGCTGGTGGCCTCCGAGTCGTCACTGTGTGCCTGGCTCCAAGGGTGGGCAGGGCGCTGGGATCACAAGAAACCTGGTGCCACCTGAGTGTCCAGTGCCCTGTCCCAGGGGTCCTGCCCCAGCCCCATCCCTCCCCAGCCAGACACCAAAGGAGCAAGACCAGAAGCCAGGAAAGTGAAGAGCTGTTTATTAAGCATCTGCTGGGGCAGCCTTGAACTAAGTACCACGTGGGACACAAGAGCAGCATCCAGCCCAGCCCCTGCCTGCAAGGAGTGCACAGTCTTGCTGGAGAGACAAGGCGAGCCATCAGGAGCGGGCAGAGGGGCAGCCACAGGAGACGGACAGCAGGGTGGTCCCACCGCATGGCAGCCTCGGGAGTGGTCAAACCCCTTTCCTTCCTCAGTCTCAGGCAGGCCTTGCCTCTGCTTGTCCCTCTCCCATCTTCCTCACCTCTGAGGCCCTGTCCCACCGAGCCAGCCCTGGTTCCCCGTTGGACAGCTGACCCTTGTGCCAGCCACTCCTCTGCTCCTTGGAGAAGGAAAAGTCGGGAGCGGCAGCCGGCTGCACTATGTCGGCAGGAAAGAGTCCGGAACGGCCCCCGGCAGAGCCAAACTGCCAGCCTGGAAGGCACCCAGGGATGTGGCTCACCCACTGGACCCTCTGCCCCCGGGCAGCCTCTGCCAAGTGGATGCCCTCCCTGTGTGAGCCCCTGCCGGCCTCTGGCGATACCTGGCTCCAGGGTGGCCACCGGCAGCAGCTTGATGAGGTCCCCACGGTGGAAGCTGAGGAGGCTGCAGTTGTCAGTGATGTAGCTGCGCAGGGCGATGACATAGCCGGAGTCCTGTGGGCAAGCAGGCGAGGGCCTGGAGCAGCAAGTCTGCCTGTGCCTCCCTGTCCTGCCTGCCCACCTGCTCCCCCTGCTGGCCTGCCCCTCCACCTAGCACCCCAGACTTCCAGGGATTTGGCCCAAACTCCCAGCCCCTGCCCCCACAGGGAAGACGGACAGGGAGATGCAGCATCGGTGAGGGCTGTCTGCCCGGCCTCTCAACCCGTGCCCCACACTTACCTTCTTAAGCTCATTCAGGAATAGCTCAACCAGCGCCTCGATGGCCCTTGCCCGGGCTGTGTGCAGCACCAGCTGCTCGCTCTTCAGTGACAGCTCCAGGGTGGAGCCGCCCCGGCACTCCACACCCAGCACCTCCGCAAAGCTGCGCAGGGATCGGGCATGAACTGAGGTCACCTTGCCACCTGCCCCCACCTCTAGCCCAGGGTCGTGGGCTAGCGCACCTGTATGAGCAGAGAATCTTCAGCTGGTCGGGGCGGAGGCCGGGGCCTTGGGTCACCTTGAGCAGTCGCAGCCCACGGTGGGACACGGCTAACAGCTGCACGTCGCTGCCACTCTCGCCCTACAGGAAGGTGGTGGGTCTCGGGCAGTCTCCTGGGTCCTGCTACTGCCCAAGATGCCCTGGAGCTGCCCAGGGCCAGTGGCTGGGCTTTGTCCTTCCCCTGGCGTCTGCTCCCCGGCTCTCCTGCTTGTGGTCTGTGCCCATGCACCCCAGGATCCAGGCTGGGGGCCTGGCATCCCTACTCCCTACCCCAGCGCCACTGACCGAGACAGGAAAGAAGCGGGAGAAGTAATTGGCCCAGTTGTCCCGAGCGGCCACCACGATGCGCTTCTTGACGCTGTCTTCGGTGGTGGTGAGAGAATCCAGGTCCACCTCCAAGCCTCCTGTGGGCAGGAAGGACCCAGGCTGCCCTCTGCTCACACAGAGGGGGCTCTAGAGTTTGCTCCCATGCTGCTCCCTCCTTCAGGGCAGGCGCGGCCCCCAGCACTCAAGCTCCCAACTCCATGGTCCCTGGACCCATACCCAGCAGGTCTTTCATTTTCCGCCGCTCATTCTGGGAAATCCGGATACAGGACTCGGAGAAGGTGTCCCGTAGGATCTGGGGGCAGAGCGAGGTGGTCACCACCAGGTCCTGAGACAGAGCCCACCCCCAGAGCAGCCATCCACATGCATGAAGGAAAACCTGAGGAGGCCGATGGAGGGCGCCCTGGCCCCCATGGCCTGTGTGCTCAGCAGAGGGCCTAGGTGGGGCAGGGAGGGATGGAGGGCTTGGGCCACCTCCATTCACACGTCTCACCTGTCCCCTCCCCTGCAACTGCCAGCCCTCCCTTTTCACTCACTGCCCAGAGACCCCGTGGTAACTGCCCTTGGATCAGCCCAGATACAAGATTGTTCGGGGCAGGGGGCAGGTGCTACTGCAGAATTAGGGGGAACAGAGGCTCACTCCTGGGAGCGTTCAGAGGTGGCAAAGTGACAACCATTTATTAAGTACCTACTGTGTGCTAGAGCCTGTGTTGTGCACTGTACGCACTTTGCTTTTAAACTTTATCTATAAAACTAGATGAATAATGGTCCCTACTTCTTGTTGTTGTTGAGACACAGTCTCGCTCTGTCACCCAGGCGGGAGTGCAGTGGCACAATCTCGGCTCACTACAACCTCTGCCTCCCGGGTTCAAGCAATTCTCCTGCCTCAGCCTCCCAAGTAGCTGGGGTTACAGGTGCGTGCCACCACGCCTGATTTTTGTATTTTTAATAGACATGGAGTTTCACCATGTTGGCCAGACTGGTCTCGAACTCCTGACCTCATGATCCACCTGCCTTGGCCTCCCAAAGTGCTGGGATTACAGGCATGAGCCACCGCACCTGGCCATGGTCCCTACTTCTCAGGAATGTTGTGAAGGTTCAATGAAGGCAGGTCTGGGCACACAGAAGTGCCCCCCAGTGCTGGCTGCCAACATGCCCTACGTGGTGTTAACCTGGCCCAGCCATTAGACAAAGGGCACGAAGGATGCTGTCTCTGCAGATGTCTCAGGCTGGCAGGTGGGCCAGCTCTCACCTGCTCACAGAGGAGCCTCAGGTAGTAGGGATGGCTGAAGTTCTCCCGTGGGTAGAACACCTGGAGGAGGGCACAGAAGGGCAAAGATCGGTGGGTCTGGTGCCTCTTCCCAGCAAGCCTCTGCCCTCCCAGGCCTGGAAAATCAGCCTTGAGATGGTGGGCTGTGGGGAGGGGATGCTGGGGTCCCAGGCTGGGATGCACAAAGCCTGCCGCCTCCCTGCCAGCCCAAAGAGGCCAGGCCAAGGCCCCACCCTCATGCCCACCTCCTTGCGTAGGAACAACTTCCAGGGCGTGCCGGTGTAGGAGAAGCACACGCTGCCAGAGGGCGCGAGTAGCTGGGTGGAGACCCCCTGGTCCTCCACGGGCTGTGTCAAGCCTGGCAGAGAGGAGGGGGTGAGGAGCCTCAGTGAGGGGCTGCAGAGCCAGAGTGATGGGGGCACGGGAGGGAAGACCTTCATCCCCACGAGCCTTCCAAGGGCCCGGCTCTCCCAACCTCCAGCTGCCTTACTCCTTCCATGGCACCATCTCCTGCCTCCATTTTGGGCCCTAAACTTTCCCTGGCGTCCGTGAGGCTCGTGGGTCTTCTATGACCATGTCAGCCAGGGCCACTAACTTCCTCACAGAGCTGTCGGGTATGTGTCAGGGACAACACCCTGTGTGTGACAGCCTCTCGATGACAGCCCCAAAGATGCCCAGGCCCTGCCCTGGGTGGGAACGCGGAAGCTGGGACTCCCCAGCTACGTATGGCTCCAAAGTCCAGAAGCCCGAACAGCTGGCCTCAGCCACGCAGAAATGCCTTCAGCCCTGGGCACCGAGAGTCTGTGCGAACCCTGCCTCTGCCCCAGTGAAGCCCACGGCGCAGGAGAAATGTGGTTCCTTACAACGACGCTCTGCTGAAAGGGTCCCTGGGTCCTCGGGCAGAGGCAGTGGTGGCGCTGGTGGAGGTGGGGGTGTGTGGGCAATAGGCAGCTTCTGGCCAAACAGGTCCAGAAGGGGCCCCTGCTTTTCCTTGATGGAGCTAGAGGGCCCAAGCTGTAGCGGGGCCTTGGGTCGAGGAGCCACAGCTGGCGGGGGGCCCTTTCCTGGGCTGGGGGACAGCATCTGGGGGGATACGGAGAAAGTACACGGGCTGAGTCACAGCACAAGGCCAAGTTCGCCCCAGAGAGCCTTGAGCTCCCCAGTGCAGCAGCACACACTCTGGGGGAGACAGGCTGGGGTGCTCACCGGCGGGGACGAGTGGGCACCGTTGATACCCAGCTTGGCCAGAGCCTCGTCCTTGGGGTCGATTTTCCTCAGGAAAGCTTTGGGAGGCCTCGTGGGAGAAGCAAGAGGTCACTAAGTTCATAGGGTGATTCCCCGAGGAGCGGGACAGCCCTGGCCACCTCCCCGTGGGGGCCCACCTGGATGGCTGCACGGGCACAGGCACGGGGCCCGGGCGGCTCTGGTACATGCGGATGATGTTGCCAATTTCCCTGCTGGGTTGTGGCCGCTTGGGCTTGGAGTCTGAGCTGCGCACCACAGTCCCCCTGCCTTGGGCTGGCCCTTGGCCATGGCCCTTGGCCGCTGTCTCCTTGGCTGGCTCAGCCTCAGCCTCTTTTGGAGCTTTGGCCCCACCTTGCTTCAATGGCTTCTTCACGATGGGGGGAGGAGGAGGGGACGGCACTGACCAGGAAACAGGAAAGACTGTTAACCGCGTGCAGAGCCACCGGAGCCCCAGGCCCTGCCCAGCTCCCCACAACCTGCTCTTGTTTCCACTTCTTGCTCCTCCTGCTCCTCCTCCTCCTCCTCCTCCTCCTCCTCCTCCTGCGCTTCCCCCTGGGGGATGTGGACCTTGGCCGGGGGCTTCATCGTCCTCACTGTGATCTGTGGCTGCCCTGCAAGTGTCCAGATGGCCTTCAAAGTTACCCATACTGGCCCAGCTGGGCTCCTGGATGGGCCGCACCAACTCCGGGGAGCAGAGCACACCCCACCCTCCCTGGCCCGGGCCAGGGGCACTGGCCATGTTTCTGCACGGTCCTGCCACCCCAAGTGCCCTCACCCATCCTCTGGAAATAGTTCCGTTTCTGCTGGAAGCTCTTGGGCTGATAGGGCCTGTCTTCAGCCTCCTCGGAGGTCTCCTGGCAGAAGCAGAAATGAGTGGCAGCTCAGCCAGCCTGGGTGCCACACTCGCCACACCCCTCGGGTCCCCAGTCCTGGGCCAGCAGCCTCTTCCCTGTGTCTGCCTACTCACCCTGCCCATGTCCCCTGCCCCTGCAGTCCCCACCCTCACATCCCTTCCTGAGAATATGGTCACCTCCTCACCCTCAGGCAGCCACCCTCTGATCCCAGGTCACGCTGTGGCTTCTCCGGGGGTGTGGGGGGCTTCCTGGGCTTGGAGGTGACGGCTGAGGGTGAGGCCTGGGACGCAGCCTCGGAGGCCCGAGCCTGCTGCTGCCGCTGCTGCATCTGCTGCTCCAGGGACAGGGACATGGCCTGGGCTGTCATCTGCTGGGCCTGAAGCAGGAGGAGCAGCCAGTTCAGACCCTCATCCCCGAGCCACAGACCTCTCCTCCACCAGGTGGCCCCAGGGCCCTGCCAGCGCTCACCAGGATTAGCGCCTGCTGCTGGATAAAGTTCTGCTGCTGGACGGCCAGCTGCCCTGCATCCAGGCTGGGAAGCGGTGGCTGCGGCGGCACCACCATGGCTGTGAGGGCGGCAGGCGGCCAGAGTGGTGGGCACCATGGCCAGCCTTGAAGCTCGCTGCCCACTGTGCACTCGGGACTCCTAGCAGGACCCTCCCTCCTCCAGTCCCAGAGCTGGTGGCTGCTCTCCTGAGAAGGGACTCTGGTGCCCCCAGCCCAGACTTACCTGGCATGGCAGGGACTGTGCCCATTGCTGGCATCATGGGCATGGGTGCAGGGACCATGCCTGGCTGGTATGCAGGCATCTGAATCATTCCTGGGTACACTGAGGGAACACGCCCTCCCTGTCAGTCCCTGCCTGGGCCCACATGCCACCTCCCTCCAGCCCCAGGCACAGAGAAGAGCATCGGGCACCGGGGTGCTGGCCAGGGCATCGATCGCCACTGCCAGAGGGGTCCCAGGCCATGCCTGCCATGCTGCCGGGCCCGGAGGCCCTGGGTGAGGAATCAGCCCCTCACTCACCCATGGGGTAGCCCTGCTGTGTGGGCCCAATGGCGCCCCCTCCCTTCATGCGGCTGCTCAGAGCCCAGCTTTGTTCCAGATCCTAAAGGGACAATGGTCACAGGTCAGAGTGAGAGCCCTGAGAAAAATGGAAGGGGCAGCAGAGGCCCCGGGGGGTTGGGGCAGGGGCATTTGGGGGCTGTGCCCGACTCACGCTGAGGCCGGAGGATATCACTGGCTGGAAGATCTGGTCCAGGAAGCCGTCCAGGCTCCCTGACCTCTGGACCTCCCCTGTGGGGCAGGGAGAGGGTTGGAGCCATGGCCCGGGGCGTGGGGCTTCCCATGCTCTGCCAACCTCCATGTGCCCACTCCAGCCTTACCTGTGTGGTCCCTGCTGGGCAGCGTTGGGGCTGGACCTGGAGGGGGTCCTGGGGGCAGTGAGGGGGCCTGAATGCCAGGGGCAAGGGGAATGGCCTCGGCTCTGCAGGAAACGGGATCCAGCTAAGGGGGTGGCCAAGGCTGAGGGTCACCCAGGCTGGGGCAAGAGGTAGAAGCTGCTGCGGGGGTCACCCCATGGTTGGGAGGAGGCTGGGTGGGAGGGCTGGGCCTGTGGCAGCTCCTATAAACCCCTGAGTGTGGCAGGGTGGCTGTGGGGTTCCCCGGCAGGAGCAGGCCAGGGAGAGGGGTGCTGGGTGGCACCTACGAGCCAAGAGGAGTGATGGGGTAGCTGCGGGGGCGAGCTGGGTCCCCCAGGTCCTCAGTCTGGCTGATCAGGTCCAGCACAAAGTCGCAGCCAGCCAAGTCCTGCCATGCGTCCCTGGAGTGCAGTGACACAGACCAGCCCCGGGGAGGCGCCTCCAGGCCTCTGGGTGGGAGGGGACCAGTCAGTGAGGCAGGCGGCCATCCAGAAGGGGGCAAGGACCACAGGGTGGGCCAAGGGGGCAGGGGGCTGAGGAAGGGAGGGTGGCCCTGGATCCGCCTGGTCCGGGACCCAGGTTTGCTCAGCAGTGGGGGCTGCTCCCCTCCTCACCTCACGGCCCTCCACTTCCACAAGGGCTCCAGCATGGGCATTTCTTTTCTGACCTGCTGAGTTAGAATCTGCCGTGGGAGCTCCCAAGCCCCTCATTCCTAATCTGCCCCCGGCTCCCCATCGCCATCTGCAGTCTGGCCCCTGCCCACCCCGGGGCACCTCTCCTCCCGGCCCCTGAGACTGGGCTTGGAGAAGGAGGAGGGTATAGGACAAGGGTCACTTTGGCCACACTGTCCCCCATCCCCGGTCCCCATACCTGCTCTGCAGGATCCACCCAGCCAGCTGCTCCCCGGTGGTCCAAGACTCCACCTCGGCCGAGTAGCACTCCTCTGCAGGGGCATGGGGGGCGGGGGCAAGAGTGAGGGACAGCAGAGTCCACCCTGACAGGAAGGGGCTGCTGTCCCCATGAGAGTTTCAAAAGCAGGACAGAGGGGAGGGGGATCAGGGTCACTGAGGACAGGGCAGCAGGAAGACTGGGGCAGGAAGGGGTTCCAGGGAGGGCAAAGGGGTAGGGCTGGCCCCACTTCAGGCCTGGGAGGCCTCAGCCAGAGGCAGCCCTCACCGCTGAAGGTGAACACATCCAGCGCCATGCGGCCCCGCCGCCATCCGGCCAGCCACTCCAGCTGGGTCGGGGGGTGGGCCCGAGTGGCCCCCGAGGCCAGCTGCGACTGCTCCAAGGCCCCCAGCAGCTTGTGCTGGCACAGCGCTGCCATGCCCCTGGGGGCCTGGTCAGACACGAACCTGCAGGGCGGGCACAGGCTGCAGTGGAGGCAGGGTGATCCAGCGACCCCACCTGCCAGGTCCCCACCTCCCAGGCCCCTTACTTGAGCAGTGGCTTCTGTAGGACAGGCAGTGGGGGAAAGGCGCTGAGCAAAACAGCCATGAGGGCCCAGCCACGCTGGCTCTGCTGTTCATCTGGGTTCTGCCATAGCTGGGCCACCAGCTGGCTAAAGAGCTCATTCCGCAGCCCTGGCCGGCACTGCCCCTGCCGCACCAGGTATGCGCCCATGATCTGCCTCTGCCAGGACTCCAGGGATCCGTCCCCCAGGAGCCGCAGCATCTGCCGACACAGCCGGGTAAGGACAGGACGTGCGGGGCTCCCAGGCGCCTATCCTGTCCCTTCTCCAATGTGTCACTCACCACTTTGTTGATGTCCAGGGCACGCTGAGGGTTGTCTCCATCCAGCTGGGTTAGGGGCTTCGCCAGTGGCTGCCCTGGCCTGGGCAGGGACGGTTCCTGCAAGGAAGGAGAGGGCTCAGTCCATGCTCACCAGCTATCAGACAGCCCAGGGGAGCCCCACCGGAGCAGGCACCTCGGGAGAGGCAGAGGGGCTGGACAGAAATGCATCTTAATGCCTTTTTTTTTTTTTTGAGGCAGAGTCTTGTCTGTCGCCCAGGCTGGAGTGCAGTGGCACAATCTCAGCTCACTGCAGCCTCCACCTCCCAGGTTCAAGTGATTCTCCTGTCTCAGCCTCCTGAGTAGCTGGGACTACAGGCGCATGTCTGGCTAATTTTTGTATTTTTAGTAGAGACGGGGTTTCACCATGTTGGCCAGGCCGGTCTCAAACTCCTGACCTCAGGTGATCCACCCACCTCGGCCTCCCAAAAGTGCTGGGATTACAAGCATGAGCCACCATGTCCAACCTGTATGTGCAGTTTTGAACCTGCATTTGTATTTACTGCTGAAGTCTGGACAATTTCCCTTGTCAATAAACATTCTTTAAGGTCATGACTTCAAAAGCAGGGCACTACCGCAGGTACAACAAAGGTGTGGCATCGTGGATCTAAATAACGTCTCCCATTCAATAACACCAACTGTTATCTCCAGTAACGCTCTATGGTGAGACAATTACATTCAACGGTTATTTTCAGAGCAATTCAGCGCTACTCACAGCCCCAAAGGCTGGGGAGGAAGGAGGGCAAGAGCTGACAGCGGGGAAAAAAACGCAGCATCTGTCAGGCAGGTGCTAACTCAGAGCGGTGAGGCCAGCGGGAAGAGCTTAGGCCTGGGCGCCCACCTGAAAGCCGATGGCGACGAAGCTGGAGAAAGGGAACAGGTCAATGTCTGCTGGGAGAGTCAGGCTGGGCCGGGCAGGAACCTCAGGCGGCAGGCACTCGGTGATGCTCCCAGCCAGGGCGTCCCGATGGCCTGGGAACAAGCACCGGGAGGCAGCCCAGGAGCATCCAGGTGTGGTACCTGGCCCTGGGACCACCTCCATCCCTCACCACGAGCCATCAGCCCCTGTCCACAGGGACCCAAGTGATGAGCTCAGGGGAGTCTGGAGCATCAGAGGGAGGAACCACAAGGGACAGACACACCCCACAGTAAAGGGACTGGAGAAGGAGTCCTAACAAGAGGACACCAACAAGACTCACTTTCCGCCGTCTTCAGCATGACGGCCAGCTCAGCCGGGATCTCCAAGCGCCCCAGCTCCTGGCAGAGGGGACTCATTTACCCAGGATCCACAGGAGGGGCCTAGGGACCAGTGTCCCTCCCCACACCCTCAACCCCAAGATTATAAACATCCCTTCCAAAGACCACGGATTTTTTTTTTTTTTTTTTTTTGAGGCAGGGTCTCACTCTGTCACCCAGGCTAGAGTGCAGTGGTACCATCATGGCTCACTGCAGCCTTGACTTCTGAGGCTCTAGCTCAAGCGATCCTCCCACCTCAAACCTCCTGAGTAGCTGAGACTATAGGCATGTGCTACTGTGTCCAGCTAATTTTTATTGTTTTTGTAGAGATGGGGTCTTGTCATGTTGCCCAGGCTGGTCTCAAATTCCTGGGCTCAAGCAATCCTCACACCTCGACCTCAAAGTGCTGGGATTACAGGTGTGTGCCACCACACCCAGCCAAAGACCAAGGATTCTGACCCTGGACACTCGAACAAACAGAGCCCCAAAGACCCTCTGAGGGAAACCAAGAGCCAAGAGCACCCCGGTCCTCTTCTCAGGAGGTGCAATGCATGGCCCTGAGGGACAAGACCCACGGTAGCACCCTGGCAGCCCTCTAAGCTGTCCCAGTCTCAGCAGGTTCATAGCCCCATGTAAAACCCCCCACTTTCCAGGCCACCTACCATGCTTGGCACTCTCTCCAAGGCCCTTTCGCTGCTATGCCAGCCCTGCCAACGCCCAAGCTGTTGGAAGAGATGTGGGAAGAGCTGATGCCTCCCATGTGAGTCACCTGGGGGCACCTCCCCAGCTCTGAAGTTCAGCTGTCCCCTCCTGCCCCTGGGAGGTTCTCAGCAAAGGAGTGAGAACAGATCAGGAGGGGCCAGCCACCCCTGGCCCTCCAGGGCCCTCACCAGCCTTAGCACTGTGGGCGTCTGTGCCCATCTGCCAGGGCACCGGGAAGAGGGCAGGAAGAAGGGAAGAAATGGTCCCAGGGGACAAAGTCCAGCCAGGGAGGGGCCAGAGAGGGGGTAGCACGTGGGCATTGACCTTTGAGTCGCTTTATAGACCTTAGATTTGAGTCATCATGCAAAAGAGGGGAGCGGACGGGGCCCAGGGGAGGCCTGGAGGGGATGGGAACCCCAGGCAAGAGGGAAGAGCCAGGCCCTGGGGAGAGTAGGCAGGGATGGAGGAAGACAGCACCTCCCAAGGGCCCCGGCCTACCCCGGCCGGAGGGAAAAGGGATGAGTTCAAGGAGCACTGTGTCTGAAGCCACAGCCCGTGCGAGGCCGGGCTGAGAGGGTCAACGCTGCTGGGATTTGGCCAGCTCGGCCAGCTCAGGCAGCCTGGCTTCTACCCTGAACCGCCCCACCCAAGCCCCTGCACCTGCAGTCTCTGCCGCCTCTGGAGCAGGGGCTGGGCCACCAGCAGGATGGTGTTCAGCTGTCCCAAAGCTGCCCGCCGCCGGAGGTACCGCTTCCTGGAGGCCGGGAAAGAGCGGGGGCGAAATGAAGAGTCCAAACTTATGCTTCCTGCCTGGCACTGGAATCCCTTAAGCCTGACATTCATGTAAAAACTGACTTTGGACCAGAGAAGCCCTGGATGCTTCACAGAAACGACAGGAAAAGAATAGGATACTTCAAAAGAAAAGCAAGGGTCGGGTGCGGTGGCTGATGCCTGTAATCCCAGCACTTTGGGAGGCCAAGGCGGGTGGATCACTTGAGGTCAGGAGTTCAAGACCAGCCTGGCCAACATGGTGAAACCCCGTCTACTAAAAATACAAAAATTACAGCACACCTGTAATCCCAGCTCCTCAGGAGGCTGAGGCACCAGAATCACTTGAACCTGGGAGGTGGAGATTCAAGTGAGCCGAGATCGCGCCATTGCACTCCAGCCTGGGTGACAGACCAAGACTCCATCAGGAAGGGAGGGAGGGAGGGAGGGAGGGAGGAAGGAAGGAAGGGAAGGAAGGAAAGAAAGAGAGAGAGGAGGAGGGAGGAGGGAGAGAGGGAGGAAGGGAGGAAGGAGAACGAGTAAATTGAGAGACTGTTTAGCCTGAGGGATTAAGATCTGACTCTCTGACCCTGGGCCTAGAATACCTGGGTTCAGATCAGTTCCCCATATGCACACTGACCAAAAAAAAAAAAAAAAAAAAAAAAATCATTTCCCTTAGCTTGGTACGGTAGCTCATGCCTGTAATCCCAGCACTCTAAGAGGCTGAGGAAGGAGAATTGCTTGAGACCAGGAGTTCAAGACCAGCCTGGGCAACATAGCAAGACCTCATCTCTACAAAAAAGATTTTTTAAATTAGCCAGGCATGACGGCGTGTCCTTGTAGTCCTAGCTACTTGGGAGGCTGAGGTAGGAGCTATGACTGGGTCACTGCTCTTTAGCCTGGGTGACAAAGTCAGACCCTATCTTGCAAAAAAAAAAAAAAGAGCAGCAGAACTTATTAAAAAGTAACACCACTGGTCGGGTGCAATGGCTCATACCCGTATGACACCTGTAATCCCTGTACCTTGGGAGGCTCAAGTGGGAGGATCACTAGAGACCAGGAGCTTGAGACCAGCCTGGCCAACACGGTGAATCCCCGTCTCTACTAAAAATACAAAAAAGGCCAGGCGTGGTGGCTCACGCCTATAATCCCAGCACTTTGGGAGACCGAGGCGGGCAGATCACGAGGTCAGGAGTTCAAGACCAGCCTGGCCAACATAGTGAAACTCTGTCTCTACTAAAAATACAAAAATTAGCTGAGCATGGTGGCAGGTGCCTGTAGTCCCAGCTACTTCATAGGCTGAGGCAGGAGAATCGCTTGAACCCAGGAGGCGGAGGTTGTATTGAGCTGAGACCAAGCCATTGCACTCCAGCCTGGGCAACAGAGCGAGACTCCATCTCAAAAGAAAAACAACAACAACAACAAAATTAGCCGGGCTTGGTGGCCTATGCCCGTAATCCCAGCTACTCCAGAGGCTGAGGCACGAAATCACTTGAAACCAGTAGCTGGAGGTTGCAGTGAGCTGAGATCATGCTGCTGCTGGAGTGCAATGGCGCGATCTCGGCTCACTTGAATCTCCGCCTCCCAGGTTCAAGTGATTCTCGTGCCTCAGCCTCCTGAGGAGCTGGGATTACAGGTGTGACCCAGCTGCACTCCAACTTGGATGATATAGCAAGACTCTGTCTCAAAAAAATTTTTTTAATAAAAAATAATAATTATAAAAAATAAAGGCCGGGTGCAGTGGCTCATGCCTGTAATCCCAGTACTTTGGGAGGCTGATCACCTGAGGTGGATCACCTGAGGTCAGGAGTTCGAGACCAGCCTGGCCAACATAGTAAAACCCCATCTCCACTAAAAACACAAAAATTAACTGGGCATGGTGGCAGGTGCCTGTAATCCCAGCTACTCGGGAGGCTGAGGCAGGAGAATGGCTTGAATCCAGGGGGCAGAGGTTGCAGTGAGCTGAGATGGCGCCACTGCACTCCAGCCTGGGTGACAGAGCGAGATTCTGTCTCAAAAATTAATTAATTAATTAAAAACTAAAAACGGGCAGAGGAGAAACAGACATTTCTCCAAAGGAGTGGCACTAATGTCTGAGATGCTCAACGTCATTAGTCCTAGAGAAATGCACATCAAAGCCATAATGAGATGCCACTTCACACCCACTAGCAGGGCTATGATTTTAAAAATGGAAAAGAATAAGTACTGGCAAGGATGTAGAGAAACTGGAACCCTTGTACATTGCTGGTAGAAACATAAAATGATGCAGCCACTATGGAAAGCAATTTGGCAGCTCCTCAGAAAGTTAAACATAGAATTACCATATGATAGAATTACCAGCACTTTCACTCCTTGGCCTATACCCCAAAGATTTGTAAACAGACTAGAACAGGCCGGGTGCAGTGGCTCACGCCTGTAATCCCAGCACTTTGAGAGGCTGAGGCGGGTGGATCGACTCAGAAGACAGGAGTTCAAGACCAGCCTGGCCAACATGGTGAAACCCCGTCTCTACTGAAAATATGAAAAATTAGCCGGGCGTGGTGGCGGGTGGTGGGTGCCTGTAATCCCAGTTACTCAGGAGACTGAGGCAGGAGAATTGCTTGAACCTGGCAGGCAGAGGTTGCAGTGAGCCGAGATCGAGCCACTGCATTCCAGCCTGGGCAACAGAGCAAGACTCCATCTCAAATAATAATAATAATAATAATAATAATAATAATAATTAATTATTAACCCTCAAGCCTGGAACTGAATGAATTTCTGACACATGCTACAACATGGATGAACTTTGAAACATTATGTTAAGTGAAAGAAGCCAGTCGTAAAAGGAAATATTGTATGAGTCAACTTACAGGAAGTATCTAGAATGGGCAACTTCATAGAGACTCAAGTAGACTGAAAGTTACCAGGGGCTGGGGGTCTTGGGGGCAATAGTTACTGCTTAATGGGTCCAGAGTTTCTGTTTGCGGGATGAAAACGTGTTGGAAATAGATAGTGGAGATGCCTGGCTCCCCCGATGTTCTGCACTGTCTTCACTTCATTCTCAGCCCTCGAGTTACTCTCTGGGAAGATCACTGGCTGCTCTACCATCTGAATCTGACTTCCCAACCAGCCTGGGAGGCCCCGTCTCTGGCATCCCCAGCTCTGTCACCAGCATCTGGCCCAAGGGTAGATGAGGCAGACGGTCAGCCAACAGCTGTTGGAGGAATGTGTGAAGACAGGCTGTGAGGGCGAAAAAGAGATGATTAGGTGAGAAGTGGGAGGGTGGTGTTATAGGAAAGAGAAGTCTAAAGTCACTGCAGGGTAAAAGTCTGGCCTAAATTGGGCTGGGGAGGTAGTCAGGTCCTTAACAACATGATTCATGCTTTGAAAAGATGACTGTAGCTGGGCACGGTGGCTCACACCTGTAATCCCAGCATTTTGGGAGGCTGAGGCGGGCGGATCACCTGAGGTCGGGAGTTCGAGACCAGCCTGACCAACATGGAGAAACCCCGTCTCTACTAAAAATACAAAATTAGCCAGGCGTGGTGGCATATGCCTGTAATCCCAGCTACTCAGGAGGCTGAGGCAGGAGAATCACTTGAACCTGTTAGGTGGAGGTTGCAGTGACCCGAGATCGCACCATTACACTCCAGCCTGGGCAACAAGAGTGAAACTCCATCTCAAAAAAAAATTAGCTGAGTGTGGTGGCACAAGCCTGTAATCCCAGCTACTCGGGAGGCTGAGGCAGGCGAATCACTTGAACCCAGGGGGCAGAGGTTGCAGTGAGCTGAGATCGCGCCACTGCACTCCAGCCTGGGTAACAAGAGCAAAACTCCAACTCAAAAAAAAAAACAAAGATTGTTCCCACAGTGTGGAAAACAGACCAGAAAAGAGAATGATAAAGGAGTCAGGACCACAGGTTCAGGTGGCCTCAGTAGGTAATGAGTTTCTTGTGGCCGGGGTATTCAAGCAGAGGCTGCACGGGTATGGGGGGTAATGCCGTCAAGGAGAGTCACATGCCGATGAGATGGCACTGGGGCAGGATGACTTGCCTTGAGGCCCTATGTTTCCCCAACCCTGCCCCACCACCTGGAGGACGAACCCACGGCCTCACCCCACCCACTTCAGCCCTGGCTCCAACGCCTGCAGACCTGGCCTGGAACCCACGCATGCGAGCCTGCATCCGGGGCAGGACGCGCTGGCGGGAGATGCAGGTGTGGAAGCTGCGGTGCAGGTCGACCAGGGCCTGGGAGCGCTGCTGGTCCCGGAGCTCCTCCAGCCGCTGCCAGCCCTGCTCCTGCAGCAGGACCTGTGGGTAGAGGGGTGGGCTGTAGGCAGGAGCCAGGAGCCAGCCCCTCCTGCTCTCCTCCTCTGGTCTCAGCCTCCTCCCTTCCAGCCAAACCATTTGTTCTTCTGGCCCTGCCGTCCAGCCCTTCTGTCTCCCACCACTTGGATGGATCCCCAAATCCTGGGTTTGTCCCTTTGGGCCCAGAATGCACCTCTCCTTTCCCATTCATGCTGCCCTCTGCACACAGGGATACACACACCCACCTTGGTGGCTCCAAGGTGATAGAGAGGTGATTCGGCCCCCAGCACCTGGCTCAGGACGGCACCACACTTCTCCCGGTCAGAGAGGTCTTCCTGCCCTTCTGACCCCAGGGCCTGGAAGCTGCTCCAAGGATGGAGCTGAGATCAGAATAGCCAGAACCTCCTTTTACACTTTTTTTTTTTTTTTTAAGACGGAGTCTCGCTCTTTTGCCCAGGCGGGAGTACAGTGGCGCGATCTCGGCTCACTGCAAGCTCCGCCTCCCGGGTTCAGGCCATTCCCCTGCCTCAGCCTCCCTAGTAGCTGGGACTACAGGTGCCCGCCACCGCACCCGGCTAATTTTTTGTATTTTTAGTAGAGACAGGGTTTCACCGTGTTAGCCAGGATGGTCTCGATCTCCTGACCTCGTGATCTGCCCGCCTCGGCCTCCCAAAGTGCTGGGATTACAGGCGTGAGCCACTGCGCCCGGCCTTTTTGGTTTTTTTTTTTGAGACAGAGTTTCATTCTCATTGTCCAGGCTGGAGTGCAATGGTGCAATCTCAGCTCACCACAATCTCCACCTCCCAGGTTCAAGTGATCCTCTTGCCTCAGCCTCCCGAGTAGCTGGGATTACTGGCATGCAACACCACGCCCAGCTGATTTTGTATTTTTAGTAGAGACGGGGTTTCTCTATATTGGTCAGCTGGTCTCAATCTCCTGACCTCAGGTGATCTGCCTGCCTTGGCCTCCCAAAGTGCTGGGATTACAGGCGTGAGCCACTGCACCCAAGCCCTTTCACACTTGCTGTACGACACCCTGAGCCCCTCAGTATTTATTTCATTTCTAGATCATTAAAAAATTTGGAAAGTGCCTGCTCTATGCCAGGCGCTCAGCTGGGGGCTGAGACACTGCAGTGAACTTGGGCAGGGAGGGTCTCTGCGCTGGAGCTCAGGGGGAGAACAGGTGAACATGGTGTGCGCAGGAGGCATGAGGGCTGGTTCTGGGCCACGGGAGCAACAGGAATGTGGTTCCCAAGGCCTTCGTCTCCTCGCCACCCAACACAGTAGGTCTCAAGACAAGTTTGTGGGAGGGAGGGAGGGAGGGGTGTGGAAGGGAGGGGCATGGAAGGGAGGGAGGGGCGTGGGAGGGAGGGACGTGGAAGGGAGGGAGGGGCGTGGCAGGAAGGGGTGGGTGGGGGAGTGTTGAAGGACATTTCACAGGTCCAGATGGTGGTACCAGTTTGGCTTAATGGACACTCAGTAGTTAGTCTGTACCAAGCAAGCACCGTGCAGGTTCTGGGGATGTGGGTGACAGTCTGTGGTCACGGGATGCCACAGTGCATCAGGGAATGGCACAGATCAGCAGACCTGGTCTGTGCTGGGTGGAGAGTTGTACCTGGAGGTTCCTCTCACCCAGCTTCCGGGCTCAGGGGTTCTTGTTGGAGGTGACAATTGCTGTAGCTGGTAGGTTTCCAGATGGCAGAGACAGAACGTGCCCCGCCCTGGAGCTTCTCAGGATCTGACTCAAGGCTGGGAACACCCATCCCTACTGCCTGCCTTTTGCTCAGTCCCCCAACCAGGCCATCCCCATTGCCAAGGCCATCACAGGCTAAGGAGGTCCACAGAGCCCTGGGGTGAGGCTGCTGCTCCTAGTAGCTGCCCCCTCCCTTCTGAGGCAGCCACCAGCCCAGCTCAGCTGGACATCAACGAGAAGTGACTCCACCTGCTCCCTCTGTCCCTGTGCTTGGGGTAAACTCCAGCCCTTCAGAGGATTCCCAAGATGCCATCCAGTCAATAGCCAAAGGCCAGATAGGCAAACAACAAAACGGACAATGCCACCAGCTTTTCTTGGAGGTTTCTGAACTCTGGGAACAGAGCTGCCTCTGGGGTTCCTGGCAGCTCCATGTGCCACCCCGCCCCTCCCCGCCCCTCCTGCCCTTCTGAGAGGCTCTTTTCTCACTCCGTCCCCCCTGCCATCTCACTGCTTCAGCCTGCACTCCCTGGACAGCTGCTGTGGGCACTAGACCGTGAGCCCCGCCTAGGGCAGGTACTGCTCCCACCTCATCTCTGGTGCCCAGGCATCAGCACAGGAGAGGTTTGCAGAGAGGAGAAGAAATGACGAATGCGTGGAGGGATGGTGAATGGTAGAAGAGAGTGAGATGGAGAGAGAAAGAGAGAGAGAGAGAGGATGAGAGGACGAGGAGAGAGAGGGAGGGTTGGGTGCTAGGCCCAGTCCTGGGCAGAGTGAGTCCATCTCCAATCAGAAGGACCCCCGGGGCTGCCAGTCACTCCCGGTGGCCTCCTTGTCAGTCCTGCCCCGAGGTGCTGGGCCCCACCTGGCCAGGAAGGCCTCAAAGGGCACACGCACGGGGAAGTTGGCACTGCGGGTGCCCACGGCCTCCAGTATGGCTGCCTGGTGCAGTTGCTCTGTCACATGTCCCACGTCAAAGAGGCCTGGAAGCTGTGGCCACAAGACAGAGCCAAAGACAGCTGGAGTCAAGGGGCCTAGAGCTGTGGGGAGGGAGGTGCAGGGAGGGGGAGGGCCCTGAGGCCAGTTGCTGGGGAGCTCACCTTTCCAGGGTTAGGGGTGAGGCACTGGATGAAATAGACATGGCTCCTGATGAGGGAAAGAGGGGTCACTCGGGCACAGACTGGAGCCCCATACAACTCCCTGGGGTCTGGTGTGGCGGGCGCTGTTCTTACCTGCCCAGCCGGGCTATGAGGTCCTCCAGGGCCTGCTGGAAGCGAGAGGCCAGCGTGGGTCTGCCTCGCCCTCCCCTGGACTGGGGCTCTGCCTCCTGGAACAGGCTGCCCACCAGCTGTGGGGGTGAAGGGCTGAGTCAGCTGGCCGCTGGGGCGTGCCCATCCACCCTGCAGCCCGGGAGAGCCAGAATGGACCAGCCCTCGGCATCCAGACCCTGGCAAGCTCAGCCCATGGCCCAAGGTGCCAGGGACTTGAGGGCCAACCCTTGGGCAAGAGCGCCCAGGGGGAAAAGGACAGAATTGGGGGACAGAGTATGGAGCGGGTGGGGGCCTGGAAGGGCAGATGGGCACCTGGAGCTGGCTCTGGCCAAGCATCTCCACCACAGCAGGGTCCAGCTGATCCCGGTTTCTGTTTAAAAACTTGTGAACCTGCAAGAGACCATGCAGGTGGGGAGGGAAGTGGAGAAAGGGAGGAGAACAGGAACCAAGGAGGGGAGGCTGGATATGGAGGAGAAGAATCTACCCTCTCCCCAGGTGACCTGAAAGGCTGCCTTGGTGTTTCCAGCCCTTTACCTAGCCTTGGGTCTGCCACTGGACTTTCCATTCCACCCCATGGACAGGTCCAGTCCCCAGCAAGACCACACTCTCCCCACTGGGGCTTTAACCTATGCTAGTCAATAGGTTGACTAGACAAGAATGTTGTCTGTCTCTCCATATTAAATCTATTTTGATTTACATTTTCCTAGCTTTCTTGAACTCCTTGTATTTCTTTTTTGGGGGCAACTCCTGGGTAGTTTGTAGTTTTTCTTCTCCAAGCAAAGTGTGCCATCTCCTCCAGGGAGAACTGATTCTCCCTACTGCCCTTCCCTTTATTCCAGCCCCCGCTCCCCCACCCCCAGTTCCTCTCCTCCTGGGGTAGGCACGCGTGCAGCTTCTTGGTAGGCATAGAACTCGGAAGGGGGAAGGGAAGTCCATTCAGTGAGCACCTACTATGTGCCAGGCACCTGCCAGGCCATCTCCACGTTACTACATCTCACCCTCACAGCAACGCCAGAGCTTAGGTCTCCATACCCATTTTACAGGTGAGGAAACGGAGGCTCAGAAGGCGAAGTAAACTGCCAAGGTCATCAGGTCCCATGCTTGTGCTCTGCCCACTTGTCTGGAGGGTCCCAAGGCTTCCACTCCCTGACCCCATAATTGTCACCTAGAACTCAGTAAACCGTGCTCAGAACTGGGCAGGGCCCATGGCTCAGGTAGGGACAGGTGTCCAAGCCTTGCAAGGGGCCTCCCCACACCCACTCCTCTCCGCTGTCGGGTGACTCAGCTTGGGAGGGGACACTGCCCTCGCTGATTCACCCTGGTCTGTCCCTGAGGCCAGGTACCTGGTAGGTGACAGTCCCTGCATAATGTCGCACGGTGAACACGGGCAGGGGCAGCCGGGGCTTGGCATAGCTGGGGTGGTCACCATGGTGATAGTGGCTCTTCTGGAGGAAGGTGTGGTCCGTGGCCTAGGAGAGGAGCCATGAGCTCCCTTCACGCCTCTGCACAGGCTGTCCTTCTGGATGGCGCCCTCTCCCGGTGAGCACGAGTACTGCCTACACTGACTATAAGGGTAGGTTTGGCTTTGTTCCCCAAAACAAGCGCTTTGGGAGGCCGAGGTGGTCGGATCGTTTGAGGATAGGAGTTCGAGATCAGCCTGGGCAACCTAGTGAGATCCCATCTCTACAAAAAATTTAAAAATTGGGCTGGGCGCGGTGGCTCACGCATGTAATCTCAGCACTTTGGGAGGCCGAGACAGGCAGATCACAAGGTCAGGAGTTCGAGACCAGCCTGGCCAACATAGTGAAATCCCAACTCTACTAAAAATACAAAAAATTAGCTGGGCGTGGTGGCAGGTGCCTGTAATCTCAGCTACTCAGGAGGCTGAGGCAGGAGAATCACTTGAACCCAGGAGGCGGAGGTTGCAGTGAGCCACGATGGCACCATTGCACTACAGCCTGGGTGACAGTGCGAGACTCCATCTCAAAAAAAAAAAAAAAAATTAAAAATTAGCTGGGTGGGGCTAGGCGCAGTGGCTCATGCCTGTAACCGCAGCGCTTTGAGGCCAAGGCAGGTGGATCACCTGAGGTCAGGAGTTCAAGACCAGCCTGGCCAACATAGTGAAACCCTGTCTCTACTAAAAATACAAAAAAATTAGCTGGGCATGGTGACTCATGCCTGTAATCCCAGCTACTCAGGAAGCTGAAGCAGGAGAATCATTTGAACCTGGGAGGTGGAGGTTGCAGTGAGCCGAGACCGCACCATTGCACTCCAGCCTGGGCAACAAGAACCAAACTCCGTCTCAAAAAAAAAAAAAAAGAAAAGAAAAAAGTAACATTAGCTGGGTGGAAGGACTGATTGAGACTGGGAGCTTGAGGCTGCAGTAAGCTATGATGGTGTCACTGCACTCCAGCCTGCGTGAGAGAGTGAGACCCCATTTCTAAAATAAGTAAGTACTTAAACAAAAAAAAAAAAAGAAATGGGGATGGGGCACTTTAGTACAGATTTAGCAATCATTCCTGGGAGAATGGTCCCACAATCACATGTGCTTTTAAACAGGTCTTTCAAAGATCACTCTTAGGCCGGACGCGGTGGCTCACGCCTGTAATCCCAGCACTTTGGGAGGCCGAAGCAGGTGGATCACGAGGTCAGGAGATCGAGACCATCCTGGCTAACATGGTGAAACCCCGTCTTTACTAAAAAATACAAAAAATTAGCCGGGCATGGTGGCGGGCACCTGCGGTCCCAGCTACTCGGGAGGCTGAGGCAGGAGAATGGCGTGAACCCGAGAGGCGGAGTTTGCAGCAGTGAGCTGAGATCACGCCACTGCACTCCAGCCTGGGCGACAGAGCAAGGCTCTGTCTCAAAAAAAAAAAAGAAAAAAGAAAAAAAAAGAAATAGAGATGAGGAGCTTTAGTACAGATTTAGCAACCATTCCTGGGAGAATAGTCCCAGAATCACATGCGCTTGTATTTATTTATTTCATTATTATTATTATTATTATTATTATTTTGAGACGAGTCTTGCTCTGTCACCCAGGCTGGAGTGCAGTGGCACGATCTCGGCTCACTGCAACCTCCACCTCCCGGGTTCATGCCATTCTCCTGCCTCAGCCTCCCGAGTAGCTGGGACTACAGGCACCCGCCACCACGCTCGACTCATTTTTTGTATTTTTAGTAGAGACAGGGTTTACACTGTGGTCTCGATCTCCTGACCTCGTGATCTGCCCGCCTCAGCCTCCCAAAGTTCTGGGATTACAGAGATGAGCCACCGCGCCCGGCCTACATGTGCTTTTAACCAAGTCTTTCAAAGATCACTTTCAGGCCAGGTGCGGTGGCTTGTGCCTGTAATCCCAGCACTTTGGGAGGCTGAGGTGGGTGGCTCACAAGATCAGGAGATCAACCATCCTGGCTAACATGGTGAAACCCCGTCTCTACTAAAAATACAAAAAAAAAGAAAAAAAAATTAGCCAAGCATGGTGGCGGGTGCCTGTAGTCCCAGCTACTTGGAAGGCTGAGGCAGTAGAATGGCGTCAACCCGCGAGGCGGAGCTTGCAGTGGGCCAAGATCACGCCACTGCACTCCAACCTGGGCAACAGCGAGACTCTGTCTCAAAAAAAAAAAAAAATCACTTTCAAAAAGTAACTCAGTTGGGAATGATAGTAGGAGTCAGTTAAAACACACATACACAAACACACACAGTAACTCAAGGACAGGTGCAGTAGCTCACACCTGTAATCCCAGCACTTTGAGAGGCAACGGTGGGAGGATTGCTTGAGCCCAGGAGGTTGAGACCAGCCTGGGCAACATAGGGAGACCCCATCTCTATTTTTTAAAATATAAAAATAAAACTAAAAAGTAATTTAGTTGGACGTTATTTTACTGAGCTAATGAACATAAAATAGCAAGTGCATGGGGGAACTTGCCTATATTATGTAAATGAGAACTTGGGTTTGGGGTAACAATTCCAGGCTCAGCACCCACCTCGGACTCAGAAAATGGTACATGTCACATAACATAGACCTAAGTGATATTGCTGAGCCCTGGAAATCCATGCTGGGGGATTCCAAAAGTGATCTTGGGACCTCAAAGACACTCGTGACAAGTTTTAACAAAACATTATGAAATGTGAACTGGGAGAAACAATCGTTTAGAAATTAACACTCTCTTAATTATCTAGTACAAGACTTTACATACGTATAAGTATTAATAAATGAACATTATATATCATATATTAATGTGACTTGTTATATATCAATATATAGTACATGAAGACATGTATTGCATTAATATGACAGTGATCAACGAACTATTACAATAACATTTGATGATTTTACCATTGTTTTTCACCTTTCATTTTCTTTTTTTTTTTTTTTTTTTGAGATGGAGTCTCGCTCTGTCGCCCAGGCTCACGCCATTCTCCTGCCTCAGCCTCCCCAGTAGCTGGGACTACAGGCGCCCACTATCACGCCCGGCTAATTTTTTGTATTTTTAGTAGAGACCGGGTTTCACCATGTTAGCCAGGATGGTCTCGATCTGCTGACCTCGAGATCTGTCCACCTTGGCCTCCCAAAGTGCTGGGATTACAGGCGTGAGCCACCGCGCCTGGCCCATTTTCTTTTCTTTTCTTTTCTTTTTTTTGAGACGGAGTCTTGCTCTGTCCCCAGGCTGGAGTGTAGTGGCACGATCTCGGCTCACTGCAACCTCCGCCTCCTGGGTTCAAGCGATTCTCCTGCCTCAGCCTCCCATGCCTGGCTCACCTTTCATTCTCAACCACTAATTGGGAAAATGGGGGAGGGTTGCCCCATATTCAGGATCACGTTATATTGAGCTTCCACAGAAACTCCTGCTCCACATTCCAGCCTCAGCTCCTAGAGGCTCATGACGCCCCCCAACTCTCCCTGCCCCACACGCCCACCCACGGAGCCGCACAGGGGTGATTTTGTATTTGGCTCTGCGTTTTTGGTTTGTTTTTTTATAATTAATTAGTTTGAAACAACTTCTCACTCTGTCACCCAGGCTGGAGTGCAGTGGCATGATCATGGCTCACTGCATCCTTGACGTCCTGGGCTCAAGCAATCCATCCACCTCAGCCTCCCAAGTAGCTCTAACTATAGGCTCACACCACCACACCAGGCTAATTGTTGTATTTTCTGTAGAGACAGGGTTTTTTCATGTTGGTCTCGAGCTCCTGGGCTCAAGGGATCCACCCACCTTGGCCTCCCAAAGTTCTGGGATTACAGGCGTGAGCCACTGAGCTTGGCCAAGGCCTGTTTTTTTAAATGAACATTTCTCTCCTGCTGCACTGCGGGCTGTAAGAGGGGAGAGACTGGGTCTAATTTTGTTCACCTTTTATCCTTAGCACAGTTCCTGGCACAGTTATTCATTCATTCATTATTTCCTTAACACGTGCTGCAGATAGAGCTCAAACCCTTCACACGGGCACCCGCCCTTGTGGAGCCCAGTCTGGCGCGGTAAGGAGTCAGTGAATGAATAGACGCTGTGACTGCATGTGGACGCGCGCTGAAACGGGAAACAGGGACGAGGCTGCTATTTAAGTCTGAGCAGGCAGGAGGCAGTCAGAAAGCATTTGTGGAATGGGGGACATGGTACCCTGGGGTTTGTCCCCGACCAGTCAGAGGCCTCAGTGGCCACCTAGCCACAATTGTGAGGGACCTGCAGAAGCCCTTCATGAGCCTCGTGCAGTCCCCGCCACCTTGCCCATCGGGCACTACTGTCCCCCTTCTGTGGCAGGTACGTGAGGAACCTCAGAGGCCAGATGTCATGCTCAAGATCACCCCGAGACAAGATGTGAACCCAGCTCTGCGGGAGCCCAGGGTTCTTCCCCTTCGCTGCTGCTGTCCCAGGCTGTGCTGAGGAACTGTGATCAGGGTCGCTGGATCCCATAACCTTGTCCCCTCTGGGAGGCTCTGCCAGCTACAGCCTGGACACCCAGGGCCTCCACTCCTTCCCGACACTGGGTGGGGGGTCACCATCCTGGCCCTTACCTGGGACAGCCATGTCTGGGCGTCCAGGATACTCAGGAGGCTGTGGGGCTGATCTACCAGGAGGTCTAGGCAGGACTCCCTCGGAGGCTGAGGGACAGGCACCCAGGACAGCAACTCCCGCCGACACTCCTCCTGGGAACAGCCGGCATTTGGCCATTTTGCAGGAGCAGGGATAACCCTCCCATCTTATAGAATAGTACATTGAGGCTCAGAAGACTGAGACACCTCATGGAAAGGGGCCTTCCAGGCAGAGCTCTCAGTTCCCAACTTTCCTTCACCAAGGATGGCCTCTGCCTGGGCAATGCCTGAGCGGCCCCTGCCACGTCCACGCCCAATCCTCTTACCTCCTCCTGGGCCAGCAGCATCTGGCTGGAGAAGAGCTGTAGGCGCTCGCTGGCGAGGTTGTTGCACAGTTGCTCCAGGCCATTCACCCGCAGGGCCTGGGGGCATGTGGCAGTGAGGTGGGCACATGGGGCTGTGCCCTCCCCCCACCCCAGAGGCTTCCTTCATTCTGGCCAGGGCGCAGGGATGAGTAATACCCAGGGCTGATGCTGTGTAGCCAACAGGGTCAAGTCTAAAGGATCCGGCACAGCACACGGGCTACCTCAGCCCTGCCCAGCCACAGGTCCCTCTAGCTGCCCACACCCCTGCCCTCTGCTGCAGCACTCCTGCGAGCCTTTGGGCCTCTTGTCACGGCCATCCTGTGGCTTGGAAGGCGACTTTCCCTACTAAATAGCAGGTTGGCTATCAGAGTCCCGCATCCTCATGCACAGGGCTCCAGGCTGCTGCCTCCAGGAAGCCTTCCAGCCTTCCTCCTATAGGAAGTGCTCCCTCAGCACTCTCTTAGGAAGCTTCATGCAGCTTTGTGCCCCTTGAAACACACACACAGGAGCTTGGATGCACACACAGGCCACCATCACCACCAGCCTCAGGGAGGGCACGGTCACAAGGACACACTGGATTGTGGGACAGAACAGGGGGCCATGAATAGTGCCCGTCCAGGGACTGAGGGCAGGGGCCACCTCCTCTCCCTCCAGCCCCCTCCTGGCTGTCCTGAGGCGGCAGGATCCTCTGTAAAGGGGTGCAGAGCCTCTGCCAACTGAGAGAGACTGGGGGACTCTCCCTCTTCCCTTTCCTCCTGACGTGGGGGAAGTGGGGCTACAGGCGGGCCCACCCTGGGGCCTCTGTCTTCCACTGCCTTTGAGACTCCTGCGTCTCTACAAGGCCACGGAGGACAGGCCATGCCAAAGGCAGGACCGGCCAGAGTGGGACAGAACGGCTGCCCTGGAGCACACAGCTCTCTCATGGACTATCTCCGTTAAGCCTCTGAAACTCACAAGGTAGGTCCTGCTGGGAATTCTGTTTTACAGACGGGAACGCTGGACCTCAGAAAGGTTCATCCACTTGCCCAAGGCCACACAGCTAGTGAGTGGCAGGACCACTCAGAGCCTCTGCTCTGTCTGCTGCACTAAGCAACTCCTCCCAGCAGGAGGACAGCACGGGCCAGGGCTGGGGCTTGTGGTGGGCTCCAGCCATCCCAGAGAAGCCAGGAGCACTCCCGGCCCAGGCTGCCCAGCCCAGGACCAGAAAAGGGAGCAGAGACCATGCTTGGATGAACGTGGGTGTGGGGTGAGGGGCATCGTCCTCTGGAGGTGAGTGGAAGCGAGAACTCCAAGGCGCGCAGACAGCCCTAGTCCTTGAGAGATTCTAAATCCTCAGAGGCAGCCCCACTCCTTTACCTCTCCATCCCTGCACCCCACCCCAGCAGGCTCAGCCCAGCAGATGCAGAAGGAGCCCTGAAAGCGCCCTGCCAGACAGACAAGCACCTCGCGAGTGCCCCCAGGGAGAGCTGGAGCTGTGGGGGTCCCAGAAATCCATCGGAATTATATGGGTGCCCCCTTTCCTGGGCCCCACCCCAAGGGGTGACCTCAAAGCCGTAGGCATCCACGACAGTGACGGTGCCAATGCTGCCTCCCTCCCCTGGTGGTGCCAGCCGTGCATTGGTTCTCCTCAGAAGCCGGTGGAAGAGGCGGGAATACAGTGCCTTGGCCAGGGCGTCCCTGTAGGCATGGCGGGTGGGTGAGCCACATAGAGCCGTGCCTCGGGCCCTGCTCTGACTCTCACCCGTCTCTAGGGCCACCTGGCATCAAAGGCACTTTCCACGGGCAGGGATCGCGAGACCTGGCCATAGGGCGTCTCCTGGAGGGCAGAGGAGGCACAGCTGGTGTGTCAGGCCTGCAGCCCTCATGGTGCTTACTCAGCCTGTGGGTCAGCCAGGCCAGGCCCCTCTCCCCAGGACCCTCGGGCTCACCGTGACCCTCCTGGTGACAGCCCCCTCCAGGCACTCTGGTGGTACCCGCAGCAGTCGGGCTGCTGTGTGGATCTCAGCCCAGCTAGACACAGCAGCCACCTCCTGGGACTCTCGCTACACAGAGAGGGAGGGACAGGGAGATCTCTGCTTCAGGAATGGACACACTCCCCAGGCAGGGCAGGCCGGGCTTTGCCTGGTAAGTGGCCCTGTCACCAAAGGGGAGATATGTCACATGAGGAGATCTGGGCCATTAGGAGCGAGGCTATGGTTTTCAGGGCCCTGAGTTCGAGTCCTACTTTCCCTCTTTGCTGGCGGACAGTTCTGGCCAGGCTCCTTCCTTCCTGCGCCCCACGGCCTCACTGCTAAAGGGGAAGCAGTAACCCTTCCTAGGGGGTTGTCTTGCAAACTAAATTAGAAAACAAATGCAAAGTGATTTACACAGTACCCAGGTACATAACAGCTGCTCGTTTGATTTTTTTTTTTCTTTTTTTTTTTTTTTGAGACAGGGTCTCACTCTGTTACCCAGGCCTGAATGCAGTGGCACGATCAAGGCTCACTGCAGCCTCCACCTCCCAGGATCAGGTAATTCTTCCACCTCAGCCTCCCCAGTAGCTGGGATTACAGGCACATGCCACCATGCCCAGCTAATCTTTTTTTTTTTTTTCTTCTGAGACTGAGTCTCGCTCTTGTTGCTCAGGCTGGAGTGCAATGGCATAGTCTTGGCTCACTGCAACCTCCACCTCCCAGGTTCAAGCAATTCTCCTGTCTCAGCCTCCTAAGTAGCTGGGATTATAGGCATGTGCCACCACACCTGGCTAATTTTGTATTTTTAGTAGAGACGGGGTTTCACCATATTGGTCAGGCTGGTCTCGAACTCCTGACCTCAGGTGATCCGCCCATCTAGGCCTCCCAGTGTGCTGGGATTACAGGCATGAGCCACCACGCCCAGTCTGTTTTGTTTTTTTTTTTTTTTCTGAGACGGAGTCTCGCTCTGTCACCTAGGCTGGATGGAGTACAGTGGCGCAACCTCAGGTCACTGCCACCTCCACCTCCCGGGTTCAAGCAATTCTCCTGCCTCAGCTTCTCTAAGTAGCTGGGATGTGCCACCACATCCAGGCACGTGTCACCACACCCAGCTAATTTTTGTATTTTTAGTAGAGACAGGGTTTCAGCATGTTGGCCAGGCTGGTCTCAAACTCCTGACTTCAAGTGATCTGCTCGCCTTGGCCTAATCTGTTCATATTTTTTGTAGAGACAAGATTTTGCCATGTTGCCCAGGCTGCTCTAGAATTCCTGGGCTCAAGTGATCCACCCACCTCGGCCTCCCAAAGTGCTAGGATTACAGGTGTGAGCCACCACCGCCAACCCTTTTTTTTTTTTTTTTTTTTTTTAATAGAGACGGGGTTTCTCTATGTTGCCTAGGCTGGTCTCAAACTCCTGGCTTCACACGATCCTCCTGCCTCGGCCTCCCAAAGTGCTGGGATCACAGGTGTGACCCACCATGCCTGACCATAGCTGCTCATCTAATGCCAGATGTTCTTAGGGGTGGCAGCTTAGAGGCACAGACATTGGGAGAGTGGAGAAGCTCTATGTCTCAGCTTTCTCATCTACACAGTGGGGATCTACCCACTTTTCAGGGCAGCCCAGCACTCTGTAGTCTCCTACACACCAGCATTTGGCGTCATTACCACTGCCCTGATTCTACAGACCCAGCACCCCAGATGGCCCCTGCCCACGGGGAAGCCCACCTCTGAGGAGGAGAAGCAGATGTTGCCCAGCTGCAGGATGGCGGCCAGCACAGCCCAGACGGCATTCAACTCCTCTGGGCACAAGCCGAGCCCCTGCAGTGCCTTCAGCAGCCCCTCAAAGTCCTGGGCATCCTCCTTGCCTTGCAGCCTGCAGGCCTGGCCCTGCAGAGCACAGCAGGGGTGAGGGAGCGGGGCCTGCCACCCCATAGCCTCCCTCTACTCCGGCTACTCCTCAGACCTCCGGGCCGAGATCCTCCTCTGGGCAGGCCTCCCCGCCGCACCACAAGGGCTCCCCCGACCTGGTTGAGGTAGTAGTAAGTCTCCGGTCCCTGCAGGGAGAGCCGCTCCCGCTCTATGGAGTCCAGCCCTGCCAGCAGCTTGTAAAAAACATGGAAGCTCCGCTCAGCCTGGGCCTTGGGGACAGGACTGGCTTAGGGGCTCAGTGCCCTAGGGGCTTAGAGGCCACACCCCGACAGTGACACCCTCTGCCCTTCCTACTCTGGGAACTGGGCAGGGGTGGATAGAAGGGCTGCCTTTACCTGAAACACCACCCTGGAGGTCTCAAGTAGATAATGAGACACAGAGGCTCCCACGATGACCCCTCTGTGGGCACAGAAGATGGGTGTGAGTGCCCAGGATGCAGAACACCCAGGGGCCCCGTGCAGAAGAAGCCCTACCAGGGTCTGGACCCCAGGGAAGCAGCCCAAGGACCCAGGAAGGGTAAGTGATTGTAGGTGCCCCCTGCAACCCTGCCACTCACTGCTGTAGGTAGAGGCAGAAGACCTGGCCGAAGCGGCTGGCATTGGCATTGAGGATGGTCTTGGCATGGCCAAAGCTGCTGAGTATAGGCAGCATATCCTCCACCTGTACAGGGAGGGGTGTTCAAGCATCCCTGGGCAGCAGTAGCCCCCACCAGCAGGCATCCCAGCTAGGGGCAGGTCCAGGGAGGCGTCAGTCCCATCAGAAAGGGCAGTGCCTGCAGCTGACCCCAGGAGACGCCAGAGGCCTGGAGACCACCCCTCTCCTGGCTGAAAGGAGAAAGATAGTCCCTTGGACATGGTCAGCTGTCCCCTGGAGGAAGACAGACGGCCAGCTCAACCCATGAGGTACCTCCAGCCTGGCCCTCACCTGACACTCTCGGTTCCCCGTCTGATCCTGCTCCAGGCTGCTTAGGAACTGCATGATCTTTTTGGCGGCTTCCGTCTTCCCTGAGCCACTGTGCCCACTGCAGTGGGAGGAGCTAAGGATGTGTTGGTTGGTAGGGTCTCCAGGGAGGGGCACATAGGACCACCCCAGTGAACCCAGGAAGTGGGATGTGCCACCCAGAAGTGACAGCTAGCCTGGAGAGACCCCCATAAATGTGGAAAGATAGTCCCAGGGCATGGAGAGACCCGACAGAAAAGAAAAAGTCCCCAAGATGCCACATTCCAGGGGCTCATGTGATGATTTCAGCCAGGAGCTCGGCCCTGAGGAGTCCAGAACTGTAGCCCAGCAGTGGAGCATACCAGTGGCTTCCAGTGAAGACCTCAGGCCCCGCCCCATCAACCCTCAGTGTGGCCCATGGGTTCAGCCACCCAGGAAGGCCACCACTCACCACAGGAGGATGCATGGGTCCTGCCCAGTATTCTGAGCCAGGTCATAGGCTGATGCCACGATGGCAAAGATGTGTCTGAGGGAGATGAGAAGGTTGCCAGACATGGGGACCTGGGACCCTCCGAGGTGTAGCAGAGGTGCTCACAGGCCCCGGGACCTCAGTCAAGGGGACATGCAGGGACTGGGCTGCCTGGGAGGTGAGCAGAGGGTCAGTGGGGCAGAGTCACATACGGAGTGGTGCTGAGGGCCTTCCTGGGGTGGTAGCTTGCCTGGACCTCAGGTGAAAAAAGAGGCAAGGACCGGTGGGGGTTCAGAACAAGCAAGACAGGCCCCCCAAAGGTCTGGGGAGGAAAACAAGCTCTCATCAGAGTGTGGAGGGAGCAGGGGGAATGCAAACAGAGCCCAGCCCCTCAGTCCCACTCTGCAGGGCTCCAGAGAGGGTTCACCGCCTAGCCCGGGGAGGAAGAGGAAGGAGAATCTCCAGGGGTGCCAGGGAGCCCTCTGTCCCCAGAGAAAAGGGGATCCCCGCCCACTGTCCGTCCCCGTGGCTCCCCATACATAGATACGGCCCAGGTGAAATCTCTTCTTGAGGCACAGCAGCACAGAGCTGTCACACACCAGCCTGTAGGGACAACAGGGTGGAGGCATGACAAGTTGTGGCTGCAGGAGGTTGTGGGTTAGTTCTGCCACCCACTGCAGGGACCCTGGCAAGTCATTCAACTTCCCAGAGCCTGATCCATAAAATGGGGGCTGAGCTGTCAAGTAATGCGCAGGCTACAAGGAGGGCTGGCTCTGACCCAGAAGGAAGCTTTGTACTAATTAGAAAGGCGGTCCTGGGGACGTAGCACCTGTTGCCCCTTACCTGCCCCTTCCTGCCAGGAGGGTTCAAGCCCATCCTTCTAAGGATTCAATAAGGGTCTACACGCAATTCATAAAGATGAGGGCAGGGTGGATATGAGGAGCTGTGAGCCGGGGATGGCAGCTTTGGCACCGCGCCCGCTAACCGCAACCGCGCCAGGTCCTCCATGTCTTCCAGGCCGTCTCCGAGGCTCCTGCCCTTGGCACCGGGGAAGGGTGGCGCCTCCAGGCCCGGCCGGAGGCTCAGCTCCAGGTCCCTCTCCAGCACCGCCTCGTCCTCATCCTCGGGTTCCCACAGCTCCCTCAGGGACCCACGGAGGCCCGGGTCTCCCTCCTGCTGCAGGCGGGTCTCCAAGGAGAGTCGGGGTAGCAGCACGGCGGCGCCAAGCCTAGGACCCTCGTGGGGGCCTGAGCCCTGCGCCCAGCGCACCGGGGGCTCGTCATTGAGGGTCTCCAACTCCGCCTCACTGCTGGAGCCGCTCTCGTCGAGGGAAGGCCCGTCGGGTGCAGTCGGGGCAAGGAGGGAGCCGCGACGAAGCCCGGACACCCCTTCCCCACTCGTCCTGCACCCCTCACTGTGCCCCCCCACCCCTGCACGAGGCCAACCTCGGCCTTCCCCCGTGGGGGCATCTGCGGACGCTTCTTCAGAGCTGCGGCTGCTCGACGCCCGCCCTGCCCTGTGGATCCTGGGGAACACGACCGCGAACTTGGGATCTGGAGTCTCGTCCTCCTGATCAAAAGGGTCGCCGGGGACTGGGCTTGTCGGGACCTGCGGGGAGCGGCCACCAGGGGAAGCCCTCGGCATACCCCCCAGCCCTGCTAAGCCAGCCAGGCGCAACGCTAGACGGTGCCGCAGCCCGGGCTCACGGCCCCACCCCTCGTACCCTCTCTGGTGGTCCCGGCCCTCGTCACCTCTCTCGTGACCCCGCCCCTCGTCCGCTTTCCCGCAGCCCCGCCCCTCGTACCCTCGCTCGTGGCCCCGCCCTTCGTCCGCTTTCCCGCGGCCCCGACCCTCGTCCCCTCGCTCGTGGCCCCGCCCTTCATCCGCTTTCCCGCGGCCCCGCCCCTTGCTTCCTCTCCCATGACCCCGCCCCTCGTCCGGTTTCCGGCGGCCCCACCCCTCGCTCGCCCGTGGCCCGGTACCCTGCCCCTCGCCCTCTGGCGGCCGCCGCCGCAGCCGCAGCCGCCGCCGCAGCCAGCGCAGGAGGCCCAGGGCTCGCGCTACACTCAGGAGCCGCTCCTTGAGGCCAGCGCGGCGGGGGCCCACGGCCTGGGAAGCGGCGCCTGGCGGGGGCCTCGCGAGGAGCCTGCGGACCACCAGGAGGGCCGCCAGCGGGGCTGGGTCCTCCGGCCCCGCTCCTGCTGCGGCTCCCGCTTCGCCCTCGCCTGCCGCCGCTGGCACCTGCCCCACCGCCTTTCCGACCTGGTGGCGCGGAGCCCGGGCCGTCGAGGCCTGCATTGTTTCTGGCTCGGCGCCCCGCTGCGCCCGGTTGTCGCTCGCGTCCTTGGCCGGCCCAGTGTCCCGAGGAGCCCGCGAGCTGTCCTCGAAGGTCCTGGAGGCCATAGCTGCCCGAGAGCCCCGTCCAGGTCCGGTCCCCAGCGGACTCGAGTCGGAGTCCCCGCCGGAATGCTCGCTGGCTCCCAGGGGCCCCGTCCCCGACGACCCTTCCCGGCCCCGGGTATCTGCGTGGGGCCAGTCGCTGTCCAGGCCGTCGCTGCTTGGCTCCAGCGCTGACTCCGGCCCGGTTTTTGTCCCTTCCGAGCCCATGTCCGTAGGCTCCGGCGTGGGCCGCAGCTCCCGGGCTGTGCCGCGCTGGCTGCCGCTCTCCTGGGCCTCGCGGGTTTCGCTGTCCGGACAGGAGCTGCCTCCGTCCCCACCCGACGTGTCCCCATTGAGGCTCCTGGGCGTCCGGCGGCCCCGCCGAGCCGAGGGCCCCTTATCTTTCCGCTTCCTCCTACGGCGGCCGCCCAGCTCTTCTCCTCCGGAGAGGCTTCCCTCCTCCAGGCGCCCCCCGCGGCCGCCCCTGGGCCCGCGTCCCTGACGCTGCGCGTTGCTTTGCCTCTCCTGGGCTTTCGGGGACAGCCCAGCCCCTGGGCGTCTGCAGCCGCCGTTCCCCTCTGCAGTGGGCTTCCTGCGGCCACCAGGGGTTCCCTGGCCCCCGGCGGTGGCAGGCTCGGCCGCCGGTTTCGCCCTGTCCGCCTGCCCGCGGTCGGAACGGCGTTCCCGGCTGGGCGCGCCATCCGCGCTGGCCGACCCCGACTCCTGCTCCCCTGAGGCCGGCCTCCCGGGCCTCTCCAGGCGCTGGGGCGCTTTGCGCTGGTTCCTGCCCATGGCTGGCCCAAAGGAGACGGGCTTCCCGACGCCCAGGTCCTTTCCCCTCCCCGGGGATTTGGCCTCCCGCGGTGACCTTCTGTGCAGTGCACCACCCGGCTCTGCTCTCGCAGGGGCTACAGGCTCTACTCCCCGAGGTGCCCGCCTTACAGGACCATCAATAATGCAGAAGGCGGCGGGTCCTGACCCCCTCGGCCAACAATGGAATAGAGGCGCCCAGGAAACAGGAGACGCTACAGCTGCGGACAGGGCAACAGTGCCGCCGGGAGGCGCTGCCAGCCAGGCCAGCCTCGCACCGCGCCAGACTGAGGGGGTCCATGCTCCACTCCCACCTCAGTGCTTGCCCAGCAAGGAAGGGCCCAGAGAACCTGTCTGGACTTCTTCCTTCTGAGGGTTCCAAGGGACTGGGGCCAGGCCCACCCTGGCACACGGCAGCACTCCATGAGTCGCTAGGGTTTTTGTTCTTTTCAATTGTGGAATAAATACAATTTACCGAAAAGTACATAAAACATAAATGTACATCTTGAACTGGTGTAAAACATGCCTGTCTACCTCCTTGGAGTTGTGGAACAGAACCACACCCCATACATTCCTGATTGCCCCAATGTGTGTGTTTTTAAAATATCTATTTTTAAAACAGGTAATACATTCACATAATTCAAACATCCAAACATTACAAGATAAAAGTCTCCCATTCCTGACCCTCAGCCTATGTACTCAGTGTTCCCCTGAGGTTACCCATTTCTGTATTTCCTTGCAAAATTTTCCAGGTTGGCCGGGCGCGGTGGCTCACGCCTGTAATCCCAGCACTCTGGGAGGCCAAGGAGGGCGGATCACGAGGTCAGGAGATGGAGACCATCCTGGCTAACATGGTGAAACCCCCGTCTCTACTAAAAAATACGATAAATTAGCCGGTCGTGGTGGGGGGCGCCTGTAGTCCCAGCTACTCGGGAGGCTGAGGCAAGAGAATGGCATGAACCCAGGAGGCAGGAGAGAATGGCATGAACCCAGGAGGCAGAGCTTGCAGTGAGCTGAGATCACACCACTGCACTCCAGCCTGGGTGACAGCATTTTGTTTGTCTCAAAAACAAAGAAACAACAACAAAAACTTTCCATGCAGAGAAAAGCAAATATTATATTTTTCCCCTTTAGCACAAGTGGTAGCTTATGTAGCTCCGGGGTCTCCACTTTGCCTTTTTCACTTAACAATGTAATCTGGTGATTTCATAATAATACCATAAAAAGCCAGCCTGCCTTCCTCCCTTCTCTCCTCCCTCTCTTCCTTGCAAATAAATGCACCATGGTTGAACCAATTCCTTATTGATGGGTTTCTACATCCAAAGTGGATCCTGGCCAAGTGAGGTGGCTCATGCCTGTAATCCCAGCATTTTGGGAGGCCGAAGTGGGTGGATCACCTGATGTCAGGAGTTCGAGATCTGCCTGGCCAACATGGTGAAACCCCATCTCTACTAAAAATACAAAAATTACCTAGGTGTGGTGGCACATGCCTGTAACCCCAGCTACTCGGGAGGCTGAGGCAAGAGAATCGCTTGAACCCAGGAGGCGGAGATTGCAGTGAGCTGAGATTGTTCCACCCTACTCCAGCCTAGGTGACAGAGCAAGACTCACTCTCTTAAAAAAAAAAAAAAAAAAAAAAAGGTGGATCCTTCCTTCCTCTCATCTTTTGCTTAAGTTACAGCCAATACTGGAATACAATTTCACCAGCATCTGCATAGAATCAACTATAAGTAGAATCGCTGCACCATAGGGCACTTGCATTTGTAATTTTGAGATTTCCAAATTTTTCTCCACAAAGGTTGTGCCGATTTATATTGCCACCAATAATGGGAGACCACCATTCTTTTCCAACACTCTGAAACATGACAAAATTTCAGTGCCACTTTGAGGAAATAAGATCTAGTGTTCAATAGATCAGTGGGATGACTATAGATAACATTAATTGATTGTACATTTCCAAATAGCTAGAAGAGAATTGTTGGGAGAAAAGCTGAGTGTTGGGAGAGAAGCTCAGGCAGGACTTGCATGTCTGCTAGACTTGCTGGCTCCTTGCTTCTAGCACTCCCATTATCTCAAGCAGCTGTATGTTTCTCGTTCACTTGATACACTATTTCCTTTCAACCTCCACATCCTCACCACCTCTTTGAGCACCAATAAATAGCCTGGGCTCCCAGTGCCCAGGGGCCTTCACAGCCTCCACACTCGCGATGGTCCCCTGGTCCCACTTTCTCTCTCAAACTGTCTTTTTCTCATTCCTTTGACTCTGCCGGACTTCATCACCCCCACTACCTGGTGTTGGATCTGATTACCACAACAGAGAATGATTCAAATGCTCCTAGTATTAGAAAAAGAAAAGGTGACAGATACCCCAATTACCCTGATTTGATTATATCAAATTATCACATGTACCCCCAAAATAAGTACATCTAATATGTATCAAAAAAATTTTTTTTAAATAAAATAAAAAAAAAAACTCGGTGCCTCTTTAAGTTCATTTATCTGTGAAAATAAGCAGCTCTCCTGCTCTTAGAGCCACTTTACTTCCTTTTCTGAGACCACTCTCTTCTCATCCTTCCCCATCTCTCTATTTATTGGGTGTGAGAAGGTCTGTTTCTTTTTTGAGACGGAGTCTCGCTCTGTTGCCCAGGCTGGAGTGCAGTGGCGCGATCTCGGCTCACTGCAACCTCTGCCTTCTGGATTCAAGGGATCCTCCCACCTCAGCCTGTAGCTGGGATTACAGGCGTGCACCACCATGCCCTACTAGTTTTGTATGTTTAGTAGAGATGGGGTTTCACCATGTTGCCCAGGCTGGTCTTGAACGCCTGGCCTCAAGTGATCGGCCGCCCTTGGCCTCCCAAAGTGGTGGGATTACAGGTGTGAGCCACCTCACCCGGTCAGGAGTTTCTTGATTATTAGACTGTTAAACCCAGGCAGGATTTGTGAGGCTACTTGAGGGCCCTGGGGCAAGGCAGCTGTGCTGGGGCAGGCTCAGAGGACCCACGATGGAGTCAGATGGGTCGTCCAGGTGGGGCCTGTGACGTGCCCCACAGGGACTCCCATGCCCCCACTGACCGGTTTGCTGTGGCCTTTCCTCACCAGGAGCAGCACCCAGCACAGAGCAGGGGAGGTGACATTCCAGACTGCAGCACTTTCCTTCGGAATGCCCTTGTCAGCCCACGCCTGCCTTGTGCCCATCTCTCTGCACACCTCCTAGAACCAGCCTTAGACATGGTTGCAGCTGTTGCCAGCACCCACATTGCCCGAGAGGGCTGTTCACAGCCCAGAGGCCTGGTTTGAGCAACAAGTTGACAGTGATTTGGCCTTTGCAGCCTGCATTCTCAAGGAGGCAGCCTTCTGGAGAGGGAGGCAGCTGTTAGAAGGACTACGAGCTCACAGGTAACCGCAGCCTGTAGATGTCTGCAAGCTGTACTCCCCTATCGCCAGTTGTGCTGGGGCAAAGGATGATTATAGTCTGAGCACTCGTTTCTCCTGCAAGAAGCAGAACGTGGGTGAGGTATTCACCCGGTGGATTAGTACACAGCATTGAGAACTGTCTACAGCTGTCAGCAACAATGTGGATAATCTTGCAAGCATAATGGTGAGTGAAGGAAGCCAGGCATGAAAGAGCATCCACTGCGTTCTATTTATATAAAGTACAAAAACAGGCAAAGTGATCTACAGAGTGGTCCCTCCAGGGTCAGTAGTGACTCAAAGGAGACACAAGGGAAGCTCTGAGATATGGGTGATGCGTTTGTTCAGTTTGTGGGGATTTGCTGAGTCGTTCTCCTATGACTTGTGCACTGTTGGTTTGTATCTTTTTTTTTTTTTTTGAGACGGAGTCTTGCTCTGTTGCCTAGGCTGGAGTGCAGTGGTGCGATCTCGGCTCACTGCAACCTCCACCTCCTGGGTTCAAGTGATTCTCCTACCTCAGCCTCCTGAGCAGCTGGGACTACAGGTGCACACCACCACTCCCGGCTAATTTTTGCATTTTTAGTAGAGACGGAGTTTCACCATATAGGCCAGGCTGGTCTCAAACTCCTGACCTCGTGATCCACCCACCTCGGCCTCCCAAAGTGCTGGGACTACAGGCATGAGCTACCGCACCCAGCCTGGTTTGTATCTTATAGCACAGTGGGCTGGGCATGGTGGCTCACAAATGTAATCTCAGCACTTTGAGAGGCTGAGGATTGCTTGATCCCGGAGTTCCAGACCATCCAGAGCAACACAGCAAGACCCCATCTCTACAAAAAATTTTCAAAAATTAGCTGGAGGCCAGGTGCAGTGGCTCATGTCTGTAATCCCAGCTCTTGGGAGACTGAGGTGGGCAGATCACTTGAGGTCAGGAGTTCGAGACCAGCCTGGCCAACATGGTGAAACCGTCTCTACTAAAAATACAAAAATTAGCTGGGTGTGGTGGCACATGCCTGTAATCTCAGCTAGTCAGGAGGCTGAGGCAGGAGAATCGCTTAAACCTGGGAGGCAGAGGTTGCAGTGAGCAGAGATTGCGCCACTGCACTCCAGCCTGAGTGACAGAATGAGACTCCGTCTCAAAAAAAAAAAAAAAATATTAGCTGAGCATGGTGGCACACGCCTGTAGTCCCAACTACTTGGGAGGCTGAGGTGGGAGTATTGCTTAAGTCTGGGAGATGGAGGCTGCAGAGAGCAGTGATTGTGCTACTGCACTCCAGCCTGGGCAACAGAGCAAGACCCTGTCTCAAAAACCAAAACCAAAACCACAAAAAAAATTAAAACAGCATAGAGAAAGAGCTCAGTTTTTTTTTTTTTTTTTAGACGGAGTCTTATTCTGTCACTCAGCTACTCCCGAGTAGCTGGGACTACAAGCGCATGCCACCGTGCCCAGCTAATTTTTTGTATCTTTAGTAGAGATGGGGTTTCACCACGTTAGCCAGGATGGTCTTGCCCTCCTGACCTCATGATCCGCCCGTCTCGGCCTCCCAAAGTGCTGGGATTACAGGTATGAGCCCCAATACCCGGCCAGAGAGCTCAGTTTTGCCCTGGACAAACAATAACGATAATAGTAGCAGATAGCTAGCACCTCAGGGCTTCTTATGCTCAAGGCATGCCATAAGCCCTTTTTTTTTTTTTCTGAGACGGAATCTCGCTCTGTCGCACAGGCCGGAGTCCAGTGGTGCGATCTCAGCTCACTGCAAGCTCCGCCTTTTGGGTTCACGCCATTCTCCTGCCTCAGCCTCCTGAGTAGCTGGGACTACAGGCGCCCACCAATACACCCGGCTAATTTTTTGTATTTTTAGTAGAGATGGGGTTTCACCGTGTTAGCCAGGATCTAAGCACTTTTCTGTGAATTTATTTAATCCTGAGAGCACTGTAAGAAGAAGGTGCTATGAGGATGTTCATTCTAGGGATGATACCACGGAGGCACACACCTAGGGACTGTCAGAGCGGGGATGCCAGCTCAAGCAGTCTGGCTCCAAAGGCCCAGATGGAGAATGGGTGTGGGAGAAGTATCAAAAAAAATTACAACACGTTTAGTTAAAAGATCTTCAATGGCAGGCTAGGCGCGGTGGCTCACACCTGTAATCTCAACACTTTGGGAGGCTGAGGCAGGGGGATCACCTGAGGTCGGGAGTTCAAGACCAGCCTGATAACATGGTGAAACCCCGTCTCTACTAAAAATACAAAAATGAGCCGGTTGTGGTGGTGTGCGCCTGTACTCCCCGCTACTCAGGAGACTGAGGCTGAAGAATCACTTGAACCCGGGAGGAGGTTGCAGTGAACTGATATCACACCAGTACACTGCAGCCTGGGCGACAGAGCGAGACTCCATCTAAAAAAAAAAAAAAAAAAACTTAACTGGCTTTTACTTGTGATTCTAGAATCAGGCAACACCTCATTCTATAAAATAGAATTATATAAAATTGAATGTTCTTACCAGCTGAGCAGAGGAGCCTACCTTTATAGACAGAAAAGGAGTGAGGGAAACAGACACAGAACAGAAAGCACATGGGTGTTTTTTTTGTTTTGTTGAGACAGAGTCACGCTGTGTCGCCAAACTGCAGTGCAGTGGCAAGATCTTGGCTCACTGCAATCTCCGCCTCCCAGGTTCAAGCCATTCTCTTGCCTCAGCCCCCCGAGTAGCTGGGATTACAGGCACACACCACCACAGCCAGCTAATTTTTGTATTTTTGTAGAGACAGGGTTTCACCATGTTGACCAGGCTGGTCTCGGTCTCCTGACCTCATAATCTGCCCTCCTCCGCCTCCCAAAGTGCTGGGATTACAAGTGGGAACCACTGAGCTCAGCCCAGATGGGTGGTTTTCCTTGTAAATGTTAACACAGAGGGAACTTCTGTGTCCGGAATTCGTGGGTTCTTGGTCCCACTGACTTGAATGAAGCCGCAGACCCTCACGGTGAGTGTTACAGTTCTTAAAGACAGCATGTCCGGAGTTTCTTCCTTCTGGTGGGTTCGTGGTCTCGCTGGCTCAGGAGTGAAGCTGCAGACCTTCACGGTGTTACAGCTCTTAAAGCGGCACGTCTTGAGTTGTTCGTTCTTCCTGGCGGGTTCGTGGTCTCATTGGCTTCAGCAGTGAAGCTGCAGGCCGTCGCAATGGGTGTTACGGCTCACAAAGGCAGTGCAGACCCAAAAACTGAACAGCAGCAAGCTTTATTGCAAAGAGCAAAAACAACGCAGCTTCCACAAAGCCTAGGAGATTGCCACCGTTGGCTCCGGCAGCCTGCTTTTATTCTTATCTGGCCCCGCCCACATCCTGCTGATTGGTCCATTTTACAGAGAGCTGATTGGTCCGTTTTGACAGGGTGCTGATTGGTGCGTTTACAATCCCTGAGCTAGACACTGAAAGTTCTCTACCTCCCCACTAGATTAGCTAGATACAGAGTGAGTGTCCACACAAACGTTCTCCAAGTCCCCACCAGAGTAGCTAGATACAGAGTGTCGATTGGTGCATTCACAAACCCTGAGCTAGACACAGGGTGCTGACTGGTGTATTTACAAACCTTGAGCTAGATACAGAGTGCCAATTGGTGTACTTACAATCCCTTAGCTAGACATAAAGGTTCTCCAAGTCCCCACCAGACTCAGGAGACCAGTTGGCTTCACCCAGTGGATCCAGTACCAGGGCCGCAGCTGGAGCTGCCTGCCAGTCCCGCGCCGTGCACCCGCACTCCTCAGCCCTTGGGTGGCTGTGGAGCGCGGGGTGGCGCTCGTCGGGGAGGCTCCTGCGCAGCCCCTGTCCAATCTCCTGTCCCTTTGGGTGCCCTCCTCTTCTTCTTCTTCTTCTTCTTTTTTTTTTTTTGAGTCTTGCTCTGTTGTTGCCCAAGCTGGAGTGCAGTGACACAATCTTCTCCTGCCTCAGCCTCCCAAGTAGCTGGGACTACAGGTGCGCACCACCGTGCCTGGCTAATTATTTTTTTGTTTTGTTTTTGAGATGGAGTCTCACTCTGTCAACCTAGGCTGGAGTGCAATGGCGTGATCTTGGGTCACTGCAACTTCCACCTCCCGGTTCAAGCAATTCTCCTGCCTCAGCCTCCCAAGTAGCTGGGATTATAGGTGGGCGCCACCACGTCTGGCTAATTTTTGTATTTGTAGTAGAGTCAAGGTTTTGCCATGATGACCAGGCTGGTCTTGAACTCCTGACCTCAAGTGATCCACCTGCTTCGGCCTCCCAAAGTGCTGGGATTACAGGACAGGTGTGAGCCACTGTGCCCGGCCTGGGTGCCTCTTCTTTCTGCTGACCCAGGCTGGGGCTTGTATCTTGCTCAGCTCAGTGGGTGTGGCAGGCTTACCCTCTGAGCTTCAGTTTCCTAACCAAGTACCATTTTATTTAAACCTTCTCTAACCCTAGGAATGAAATAGGATCCCATTTTACAGATGATAAAATGGCTCAGAGAGGTTAAGTAGTTTAAGGAGCCAGGTGTGTGCCTGTAATCCTAGCGCTTTAGGAGGCCAAGGCGGGAGGATCGTGAGAGGCCAGAAGTTTAAGGCTGCAGTGACCCATGATTGTGCCACTGTACTCCAGCCTGGGTAACACAGCGAGACCCTGTTTCTTAAAATAAAAATAAAAACAAAATTAAGAAGTAGTTTAAGGCCAGACGCGGTGGCTCACGCCTGTAGTCCCACCACTTTGGGAGGCTGAGGTGGGTGGATCATGGGGTCAGGAGATTGAGACCATCCTGGCTAACACCGTAAAACCCCATCTCTACTAAAAAATACAAAAAAAAAATTAGCTGGGCTTGGTGGCGGGCACCTGTAGTCCCAGCTACTTGGGAGGCTGAGGCAGGAGAATGGCGTGAATCTGGGAGATGGAGCTTGCAGTGAGCTGAGATTGCGCCACTGCACTCCAGTCTGGGTGACAGAGTGAGACTCTGTCTCAAAAAAAAAAAAAAAAAAGTAGTTTAAGCGCCAGGCGCGGTGGCTCACGACTGTAATCCTAGCACTTTGGGAGGCTGAGGCGGGCGGATCACAAGGTCAGGAGTTCGAGACCAGCCTGGCCAACATGGTAAAACCCCATCTCTACTAAAAATACAAAAATTAGCTAGGCATGGTGGCATGCACCTGTAGTCCCAGCTACTCAGAAGGCTGAGGCAGGAGAATCGCTTGAACCCGGGAGACGTAGGTGGCAGGGAGCCAAAATCACTGCCACTGCACTCCAGCCTGGGCGACAGAGCGAGACTGTCTAAAAAAAAAAACCCAGTAGCTTAAGGACACATAACCACTAAATATGGACTTGAGGACCAAGCCCAGGCCCTCTGGCCTTTAATACCCACTTTTCTGCTGAACCCACACTGTGGAGCTCCGCAGCGCTTCTGCTGGAATCAGCTTTGGAACCAGACAGCCTTGGTCCCCCATCCCAGCTGCAGTGCTCCACCCTCCTGGCTCTATGACCTTGAACAACCTTCAGGGAACAGCTTGGCTAATCTTGACATGCAGGGAGACAGGCCACACCCCCGAGCCTGGCTCTCCCCTCTGCTTCCCACTTTCCCACTGACTTCCTTTGCCTGCTTCGCTCACCAGTGTATAGTGAGCTCCTCCCTGGGGCTGTGTGCCGCGCCCTCTCTGGACTTCCTTCCACACTCCCTCCCTCTGGAGCCATCTCCTTCTCTCCTGGCCTCACCCACCATCCACAGTAACTTTCACCTCCTAGGGTTGGGTGTTTACTAGGAATCAGGTGCTGTGTGATTTTACAGGCTCTCATTTAATCCTTTACAACCCTCTGAGGTAAGTCCTATTATTATCCTTCACTTTACAGATAAGTAAACCAAGGTATGGGAGTGAGGTCATGTACCCAAGGTCACACAGCCAGTCACGTGAAAGCCAGTGTACAGGGTTGGATCTGCCTGGCCTCAAATGCTAAATGAACACCAGGTCTCCACCACTTTGAATGCCCAAGACCCTCACATCTCAATCTGCAGACTGGCAGGGTGTGGCAGCTCATGCCTATGATCCCAGCACTTTGGGAGGCTGAGGCAGGAGTATCCTTTGAGACCAGGAGTTTGAGACCAGCCTGGGGCAATATAGGGAGTCCCTGTCTCTACAAAAAATTTAAAAATAAAAAAGTAGGACAGGCGCGGTGGCTCACGCCTGTAATCCCAGCACTTTGGGAGGCCGAGGCAGGCGGATCACAAGGTCAGGAGTTTGAGTCCAGCTTGGCCAACATGGTGAAACCCTGTCTCTACTAAAAATACAAAAATGAGCTGGGCGTGGTGGCTAACGCCTGTAATCCTAGCTACTCGGGAGGCTGAGGCAGGAGAATTGCTTGAACCTAGGAGGCGGTGATTGCAGTGTGCCGAGATCATGCCACTGCACTCTGGCCTGGGCGACAGAATGAGGCTGTCTTGAAAAAAAATAATAATTAGCTGAGCATGGTGGCGCCCACCTGTGGTCCCAGCTACAAGTTTGCTCCAACCCAAGAGTTCAGGCTACAGTGAGCTATGATCACACCACTGCACTCCAGCCTGGGCAACAGAGCAAGACTCTGTCTCTAAAATAAATCAATTTCCGTGGCCAGGCTCAGTGGCTTATGACTGTAATCCTAGCACTTTGGATGACTGAGGCTGGAGGATTGCTTGAGCCTCGGAGGTCAAGGTTGCAGTGAGCCATGATCTCATGCCACTGTACTCCAGTCTAGGTGACAGAGTGACACCCTGTCTCTAAAAAACAAATAAAATAAATCTCCTGACCACAAATCCAGTTGCCTGCTGTATACCTCCCTGGCCCTTGGAGGCAACAGGTAGCCCTCACGCTCACTCATCTCCTCCCATCTGGCAGCCATCCTTGTCAACCCAACCCCTCAATGCCTCTATTTCCCTACCACCGTCGCCTTGCCCTGGATGGCTGTGGGGATCCCAGCTTCCTCCAGTTCATTTTTTTTTTTTTTTTGAGACGGAGTCTTGCTCTGTCCCCAGGCTGGAATGGAGTGGCATGATCTCGGCTCACTGCAGCCTCCGCCTCCCGGATTCAAGAGATTCTCCTGCCTCAGCCTCCCGAGTGGCTGGAATTACAGGCACACGCCACCACACCTAGCTAATTTTTGTATTTTTAGTAGAGACGGGGTTTCACCATGTTGTCCAGGCTAGTCTTGATCTCCTGACCTTGTGATCCGCCTGTCTCGGCCTCCCAAAGTGCTGGGATTACAGGCATGAGCCACCGCTCCCGGCCCCTCCAGTTCACTTTCTAGAGAGGAAGATGCCACGTCCTTCCATCTTGCACACCCATCAATACAAATTGTTGTTCATCTCACACTCCCAGTGGGAATATTTTTCTTTTTTTTTTTTTTTTTTTGAGACAGAGTCTCACTCTGTCGCCCAGGCTGGAGTGGGGTGGCATGATCTCGGCTCACTGCAAGCTCTGCCTCCTGGGTTCACCCCACTGTCCTGCCTCAGCCTCCTGAGTAGCTGGGACTACAGGCGCCCGCCACTATGCCTGGCTAATTTTTTGTATTTTTAGTAGAGATGGGGTTTCACCATGTTAGCCAGGATGGTCTCGATCTCCTGACTTCGTGATCCGCCCGCCTTGGCCTCCCAAAGTGCTGCGATTACAGGCGTGAGCCACCGTGCCCGGCCGAGAATGTTTCCTTAAACTGAAATATGCACACCGACATTAGCTAATACTTCAAAGCACAGCATACTTACAGCAAAGCTCAAAGTTCAGCACTAATCAGCAAGGAAATAAGTTCATGTTCGGAGTCTTCCTGATATTTTCAGGGCTGTGTGTTTTCGACTTCTTGTTCAATTTCATCAGCAAGACCTGTGCTGTGGCCACCAGGCTCCTCTGTGCCACAGAAGTGCAGGTTCTGCCGTTTTTTTCTGATTCACTGGTACTTGCATCATCACCATTATCTTTTTTTTTTTTGAGATGGAGTCCCGTTCTGTTGCCCGGTCTGGAGTGCAGTGGTGCGATCTTGGCTCACTGCAACCTCTGCCTCCCAGGTTTGTGATTCTCCCACCTCAGCCTCCTGAGTAGCTGGGGTTACAGATGCCCGCCACCACGCCCGGCTAATTTTTGTATTTTTAGAAGAAACAGGGTTTGACCATGTTGGCCAGGCTGGTCTCGAACTCCTGACCTCCAGTGATCTGTCTGCCTTGGCCTCCCAAAGTGCTGGGACTACAGGCGCGCGCCACCACGCCCAGCTAATTTTTGCATTTTTAGTAGAGACAGGGTTTCACCATGTTGACCAGGCTCGTTTTGAACTCCTGACTTCAAGTAATCTGCCCCACCTCAGCCTCCCAAAGTGTTGGGATTACAGGCGTGAGCCACTGCGCCCAGCCACCTTTATGGCATATGTTCTTTATGGCAGTATGGGAAGGGACTGATACAGGTGTCTCACCAGGTATCCCCCACCCCTGTGGCTGGTCTCTGCCAGGCATCATCCCTTCCCTGCTTCTTCTAGCATGGTGTTCCTCTCCCTTTGGGGAACTGCTCCCCTACATTCCTCATAGTTCTCGAGGTGCTCATCTCAGAAGTCTTTCTGCACCCTCCCCTGGGGAAACAAGGGACGGTCAAGTGGCCATCTCGAGGTGGACATGGCCAGATGGAACACCTGTACCCAGCTCCTCTGGATGGGCCTTTCCTCGCTCACGCAGAGCAGGCGCCTGTCACACCTGGCCCTCACTGGGCCTCCCTAGTCTGGCCTCACTTTCGGCCCTGCCTGCCAGCCACCTTCCGCTCTCCACTGCCTCCCACGGCAAGCGAGTTCCTGGAGTGGCGGTGAGCCCTCTTGTCCTCTGTCTGGAACAATCTGCTTGCTTACCACACTCTCTGGCAATTCCTGGTTCTCTCTCAGGTCACCCCCCAGGTGCATTTCTCACCAGTGTCAACTGTGGCAGGAACCACAGTTGTCTCAGACACCGGAGAACCCCACGCACTGGCCATACAGTAGGTGCTCAACGAAGACGAGTCAATAAAGATCCAGCCCATGTCCAATCTAAATAACCCAGCCCCTCCCCTGGGGAAGGCCTTTCTCCTTGGGTACCAGCCCCGCTTCAGCAGCACCCCACAGTCCTCCCTGGTGTCTGGAGGAAGCCATCAGGTCTGAGATATTGTGGGTGTCCTTCTTCTGACAGTAGGGAAAGGCCAGCCAGGGGCGGCCAGGACCCAGGGAAAAAGTCAGGCAGACTCAAGATGGTTCGTGCTTGCCATGTGTTCCCACAGAGGGAAGGCACCGCCGGGCTCAGACAAAACGAAGCAGTTTGATTCACACGGCTCCCCAAGTGGATTCTCCTGACACCGGCCCAGGCCAGGGCTGGAGCCTCGGGGGACAGGCAGGGTACCGGCTCCCACTTTCCATTCACATGGAAAATTTCTACACAATTAAAATATTAAAGTAGTGGACCAGTCAAGAGGTAATAGGTGTTTATTAAAAACTTTTTCACCCAGAGGCAGTTAACATTTATAACTTAAAACCCAGCCCACTACAAAAAGGGATGGGAGCAATAAAAACTGTGCAACATTGACCAAAGGACCCAGACAGACGAGGCCCGGGAAGGGCAGCCCAGGGGACTGGGGTCTCTCCTCTCCCGAGGCCCAGAGCAGCTGCATTGTGGAAGCCGGGATGCCCCCAGCCCCTGGCGGGGCCCTGTGCACCGGCCTCTCCGGTTGGGGCAGGGACCCCCGAAAGGCCATCAGTAGTAGTGTGTGCTCATCGCGCAGCCTGGACGCTCAGCCACTCACTCTGCTGAAGGACACAGAGGGACAGCTCAAGATCACCCTGGGCAGGACGGGGTGCCCCAGCCGCCCACGCTGAGCCCAGACATGGTGCTTTCCTGGTCATCAGGGCACGTGTCAGCCCCGTGGGACCCAGGGGAGTGGGGCCGGGGCTCTTCCTCCCAGCCCTTCCCAGCACGGTTGGCAGCTGCACTCAAGCCCAGAGCCCCCACCTCCGCCATTGCTGAGGCTGCACCCCACGGCGGCTCGATGTGAACGCCAGTTGCCGCTCCTGCACAGGCAAAGACAGGGGAGTCATGGCCTCAGGGACCTCCACTCTCAGCGCTCCCCTGAGCCCTCTGGCAGAGCCTCGGGCCCACCCCAGCTGGCCTGGGCGGTGCCTCACCCGCGGTCTCCCTCCAGTGTGCTCTGGATTTCCTTCAGGACTCCTGCAGGCCGGGTGGGAACAGAGGCCCACTGAGGCCCTTGGGGCGGCTAGCCACAGCCCTTCCACCCCCTTTCTCCGTGGGTGCCCATGGATCTGTACCCCGCCTCAGGGCAGTGGCCTGCCCAGCCTCCCTTGACCCTGACCCCCCTTCCCCACCCCTCCTGCCAGCCCCACCCTCTCCCACCCAACTCACTCTCATCACTGAGCAGAGCGCGCTCCATCACCAGGCCGGGCTGCTTCTCTGGAAGGTAGAGGCCGGGTCAGGGCGCCCCGCCTGGGCCCTCCTCGGCCTGGCTCTCTCTCTCCTTACTGAGGTCAGGATGTGGAAGCCCAGGGCCCAGGGCTGGAAGGAATGCCGTCTCTATTCCCAGCCCAAACACTACCTGCTCACTCGGGACCCTTCCCTCCCGTCCAGCCCCAGGTCTGGGCCGGGTGTGGCCCAGGTGTGCATGAGCCCAGGAGGCCTGTCTTACCCTCGCCATCACTCTGAGTCCCTGAGTTCCTGTGGGGGAAGAGACAGTGAGGACCAGGGCCCCCGGGCTCCCTGCCCGGCTCTGAGAGCCCTGGTCCCATGAAGAACAAGTCAATGGCGCAGCCTGTCCTGAGCCGGAGAGCCTGGGAGGTAAACTGAGTCCTGCCCTGGACTGCCAGCTTGCACAGGGGCAAGGGGCACGCAAAGAGGCAAGGAGAGCCGGAGCCTGGGAGGGTGGGCTGAGCTCGTGGGGAGGTGCCTCCAGCCAGGCAGCAGTGGGAGCCTCGGTATCTCAGAGAGGGCAGGGAGGGGCGGGAGGGGCGGGAGAGGCCTCTGGCCCTTTCACTCACCTGGCTCGGCTCGGGGCCTTCTTGGGGCCCGCACCGTTACCAGGGCGGTGGTTCTTGGTTTCTGCTGAATCCACCAGACACCGGGGCTCCACCAGCCACTTGGTGGAGAGAGAGAAGCGCTCAAACTCCGAGGGTGAGATCAGGTAGAAGCCTGGGGAGTGGGGGCAATGCTAGCGGCCTGGCCTGGCGGCTGCCAAGGCTGCCTCCCCACCTGGGGGAGTAGGGGCTAGTGCTCCCTCGCAGTTCTCCGCTTAAGGCCCATCCAGTCTGGCCGTGGCCACAACACCCCTGGCCACCCTTCCCGTCCGTGCAGTGCCCGGGGCCCCGACACCCACCCAGCCCGGCTCAAACACCTTGGCCATATTTGGTGAAGACGCAGGAGGCGATGCCACTGACGTCCTCCCGGCGGATGCAGCTGTAGCGCACCTGGGGCTTGAGCAGGGGCAGCGAGACCACCTGGATGTCGCCCAGGTTGGTAAGGACTGCCAGGTGGTGCTCCCCGTAGTCCTCGGCTCGACGACTGCCGAAGTGGGCCACGCTGACCCGCCGCACTCTTGAGCCCTCCAGGGCCGTCAGCTTCAACTTCAGCTTGGCACTCACCTTGGGCAGCGTGAACACCTGGGGGCGTGGGGTGGTTGTTCATGCCCATGGCCAAACCAGTTCTCCTGCCCTGTGCTGCTGCTGCTGGGCCCTCCCCTCCCCACATGCCTCCCGGTGTCCTGACAAACCCTTGGCTCTCAGATGCACAGACATGGCCTGGGAGGATGCCGAGGTCACCGACTTCCCTATCTGGATTTTTTTTTTTTTCCTCCGAGATGGAGTCTTGCTCTGTCGCCCAGGCTGGAGTACAGTGGTGTGATCTCGGCTCACTGCAACCTCCGCCTCAGGCAATTCTTCTGCCTCAGCCTCCCGAGTAGAGCTGGGATTACAGGCGTCCACCACCATGCTGGTTTTTTTTTTTTTTTTTGAGACGGAATCTCGCTCTGTCGCCCAGGCTGGAGGGCAGTGGCACAATCTCGGCTCACTGCAAGCTCCGCCTCCTGGGTTCACGCCATTCTCCTGCCTCAGCCTCCTGAGTAGCTGGGACTACAGGTGCCCGCCACCACGCCTAACTAATTTTTTTGCATTTGTTTGTAGAGACGGGGTTTCACCGTGTTAGCCAGGATGGTCTCGATCTCCTGACCTTGTGATCTGCCCGCCTCGGCCTCCCAAAGTGCTGGGATTACAGGCATGAGCCACCGCGCCTGGCCCATGCCGGGCTATTTTTTTTTGTATTTTTAGTAGTCAGGGTTTCACCATATTGGCCAGGCTGATCTCGAACTCCTGCCCTTGTGATCTGGCCTCCCAAAGTGCTGGCATTACAGGCATGAGTCACCGCGCCTGGCCCCCTGTCCTGCCTCAGTGTCCTCACACGAGACTCCCCCCTCACTTATTTCCTGTACTTCTGCAGCCCCTCAGACACCAACTGCAAACAAGACTGAGTCCCAGCCATCATTTTTGCCCAAGGTCCGAGCCTCCTGGATGTCCCGGGGAGTCCCAGGGAGACCCGCCGCTGCCCGTGTGGCACCTTGAACTGCTCCTCTGATACGACGAGCAGCTGGTGGCTTCCCTGCATGTCAGGGCTCTTCGACAGATCATGGGCCACTTCGAGGGGCTCGGGAAGGGGTACGCTGTGTCCGTCGAGCACCAGGATGCCCACCACCGGCGCCCGGTGCATCAGCTGGATCTCCTTGGCTAGGGGGAGGAGGTGGGTGTTGGGGCTGGTGAGGGGGTGGCAGGGCTGGAGCCACTCCCTGGACCCAGCCCAGGCAGCCCGAGCACCCTCTGCTCTCCCTGCCCAGCACTCACCCTGCTCTGCCCGCACAGGCTCATCCATTCTCCGCTCGGCGGGAGGCACACGCAGGGAGAAGGCATAGATGGTGCCCCCATTGGTGCCAGCCCACAGCGAGGGGCAGTGCCGGGAGCCTGCCGAGAAGCCATGTTTGGGTGTCTGACCCTTAGCGTGGGAGTCGGGTGGAGCTGGGCAACCAGGGTTTACTCCCAGGTTTTCCCTCCTGGGAGAGGCTGGAAGGCTCTCTGACAACCACACAGGCCCCAACATAGAAGACCCCAATCCCAGGTCAGCTCAGCCCTTGCTGTGATACAGCAGGGGAGAACCAGCCAGGGAGAGACACGTCATCTGGAGACCAGCAGGCTCTGCTGTCCCCGATCGTCACAGCTGCTCTAGGAGGAAGCTGTCACTTCCTCATTTACAGAGAAGCAAGCTGAGGCCCTGAAAGGCTAAGTGATGGGTCTGAGGCCATGCTTCTAAAGGGTGCTACGGCCTGGATATAAAGCCAAGGGAAGCTGACTCAGAGGCTGAGGCAGGGGAGGGGAGTAAGCAGGCAGGGGCTGCAGTCTGCCCCTGCTCACAAGGGGAAACCTCTTAGCTCCTACCAGCCAGGCAGGCAGCAGCCCCCGGCATGCCCCCAGGTCAGGGGGTGTCTGCTGCCCACTACCCCCTGCCCCCCAACCCCAGGCTGGCCACTCACTGTCCTTCAGGTAGGTGTCAGCAAAGTACAGGGTCCGGACGAAGCCTGTGAAGGAGTCCTCTGCCGAGCGAGCCTCGATCTTGCGCTGCACAGGCGCCAGCTCCATGTTCTGGAGGCCTGGCCGCTCAGCCTTGGCACTCCCCTCCTGTGCCTGCAAGGGGTGGGCCAGCCTAAGGGTCAGCTCTGGACTCCCCTCCCCAGGAACAGTGCTTCGCTCAGTGCTGATCCTTGCATCGGAAGGCAGGCCACAGCCATGCCAGCCACCTGCCAGGCCTGCGTCTAGAGGGACCCTTGTCCAAGAGGGAGGTGCCCTTGGGGGAGCCTGCCTGGGCCCCCAGCATGTTGTAGAGAGAAAAAGGAAATCACTAACGTTTACTGGGGATTACTTCTAGGATAAGCATTACAGTTACTGCCTTTCTGCTCAGGAAGCTGAGGCAGAGAGAAGCAGCGTGACCTGTCTGAGGTCACACAATGCGACCTGGACCCTGAATCTTGTTTGTAGCCTAGCAAGCCTGGGGAGCAGGGGCCGTGTGGCCCCCCTGCTGGCTGCTCTGAGCCGAACCTGGGTGCGTGGCCGGCCGCAGCCTCACCTCAGGCCTCACCTCTCCTGGGGGGCCAGCCGGGTGCCGCTTCCGGCTGGACACCCGGCTCCGACGCATCCGGCGGAATGACTGACGCAAGGACTTCTTGAGGGACTTGACGCGGGAGAGTGGGCCCTCCAAGGCCAGCTGGTCACTGGGGTGCAGTGTGCACCTTGGGGGGATGGCAGGCTGTCAGTGCTGCTAGGTCCTGGGAGTCCTCGCGGGCCCCACTCCCAGCCCCGGGACCCAGCCGCCCCTGCTCACTTAACAAAGACCTGCCGCCGCTGCTGGTGGTCAAAGAGGCCAAAGCCATGGCTGGTGCCGAAGGCCACGAGCCGCCACTCAGAGTGCAGGGCCAAGGAGGTGACCACAGCCGGGGGCTGACACTGCACCAACACGAAGGGCTGAAAGCCAGGCTCAAAGCGCACGGGCCCTGAGCGGGCTGCCAGGCGCTCGTGCCCCTTCCAGCGGTAGCCCTCTTGGTCCTGCAGCAGGTCGGCCTCCACCTGCTCCACAGCCTGCTCCGCTGCCTCGTCATTCAGTTCCAGTACCAGCACCTGCGCAGGGTGGCAGGTGGCTCAGCAAGCCCTCAGCAAAGGGACGGCAGGGCCGCAGGATGCTACTAGTGGGGACAGCAAAGGAGCTGGGCCCAAGGCTCAAGGAAGGACAAAGGCCTCTGTCCAACCCCAGCTCTCCTGCATTTTTTTTTTTTTTTTTTGAGACAAGTCTTGCTCTGTTGCCCAGGCTGGAGCGCAGTGGCACAATCTCGGCTCACTGCAACCTCTGCCTCCCAGGTTCAAGTGATTCTCTTGTCTCGGCCTTCCAGTAGCTGGGATTACAGGCACGAGCCACAAATGCCTGGCTAATTTTTATATTTTTAGTAGAGATGGGGTTTCACCATGTTGGCCAGGCTGGTCTCGAACTCCTGACCTCAGGTGATCCGCCTGCCTTGGTCTCCCAAAGTGCTGGGATTACAGGCATGAGCCACCGTGCCCGGCCCAGCCCTTAATTCCGATTTCTGGAGAAGAAACAACCATCCCAGGGACCTCCCGCCAAGGGGATCAAGCCACCTCCATCCACCGGAAAAGCAAAGGACACAGAATGTGCGTTAGGCAGGTGGTTGGCTCCTGTCCCTGCTGTCCCCAGTCATCGACCACTCCTCCCCAGCTCCCCCTCCCCAGCCCAGCCTGCTACCTGCCCTGCCGTGCCTGCCACAGCCAGGTAGCCGCTGTACTTGCAGAGGAAGATCTTCTGGATGCCCAGCCGGGGGTCATCACTGTAGGGGTCAAAGGAGCCCACCTGGAGAAGGGGAGGGGCCCTGTGAGCAGCCACGGGGACAGGACCCAGCTGGCCTCTGCCCTTCCTGGGTCCCAGGCTCCTGGCCTCACCTTGCGGAGTGGGGGCCACTCGTCCTCGCCCTGGGCACTGAAGTTCTCGTTGGGGTCCGTGTCGGTGAGGAACACGCGCACAGTGCTGAGTTTGTAGAGCAGCCGCAGGCAGACACCCGAGGCATCCCAGAACCGCACCGTGCCGTCCTCGTGCCTGTGGGCAGAACCCACCTGCCAGGCGTGAGAGGGATGCCAGCCGGGATGCCCAGGGGCTGGCTCGTCCACCTCAGGGCTCTGCTCCCACCCCACATATCCTACTGGGAAGAGGTGGGGTAGCATCAAAGTACCCTACCCTGTGAGCAGCAGGTCCCTCTGGGGTGGGGCTGGGGTCAGGCTGGTGCCACCATCAATTGGCCACTCCTAGAAAAAGAGACCAAGAAGTCCATGGGAGAGTTTGGCTTGCGGTGGGGCTGGGGCTGGGGCCAGGGCCAGACCTACCATGGTGGAGAAGTGTGCGTTCTGCCGGCTGCCGGCGGCAATGATCCGCTCCCACAGCTTCAGCGGGATGTTGGAGACGTGGTGAGAGCAGGTGATGGCGGAACAGTGCAGAGAAGCCAGGTAGGGCAGCTGGACCGGTGGCCAGCCTGCTGTCTGCAGGTCAATCACCACCAGCTCCTCCTCAGCCAGCACCACCAGGGCATAGGGGTCGTCAAAGGCTGGGGTACAGGGCAAGGGTCAGGGGCCGGGGCCAGGAGGAAGCAGCCCAGCTCTGTGGAATCAGAAGCTCCAGGGTTGGAGCCAGGGCATCTGCAGATCCAGAAAGCCCTGTTCTTGGCTGCTTGAGCAAAGCCTTTCCATCTCCAGGAGGGCAGCAGGTGTGGGCAGTAGCCCTGGCTCTGCATGCAAGGCTGCTGAGAGCTCCCTGGCACAGGGCTCCTGGGGGGATACACCTGGCTGGAAGGCAGGGTCCCAACCAGGATAGGCACCCCAGAGGCATGCAGCTGTGCCTGCCAACCCTCTTCCCTGGTTTCTCCTCCATGGGGCCTGCTCTCCCTGCTCAGATGCACCTGTCAAGCCTCTCCCCACAGGCAGCAGCACGCGTGGTCTTCAGCACACCAGTTGCTAGGGGTGGCATTTTCTTTACTGCACACAATCACATCACCTCACTCAGGCCTGGACCCAGCTAGTGCTCAATAAATGTGCGCTGGATGATTAAACCATTTGTCTTTTTTTTTTTTTTTCTTTTCTCGAGACAGGGTTTCACACTCTGTCGCCCAGGCTGGAGTACAGTGGTGTGATCTCGGCTCATTGCAACCTCCACCTCCAGGTTCAAGCGATCCTCCTGCCTCAGGCTCCCAAGTAGCTGGGATTACAGGTGTGAGCCACGATACCCAGCTAACTTTTGTATTTTTGGTAGAGACAGGGTTTCGCCATGTTGCTCAGGCTGGTGTTGAACTCCTGGGCTCAAGTGATCTTCCCACCTTGGCCTCCCAAAATGCTGGGATTACAGGCATGAGCCACTGTGCCCAGTCTTTTTTTTCTCTTTTTTTTTTGAGATGGAGTCTTGCTCTGTCACCCAGGCTGGAGTGTAGTGGTGCGATCTCAGCTCACTGCAACCTCCGCCTCCCGGGTTCAAGCGATTCTCCTGCCTCAGCTTCCCAAGTAGCTGGGATTACAGGCACTCACCACCACGCCTGGCTAATTTTTGTTTTTCTTTTTTATTTTTTGAGACGGAGTTTCGCTCTTGTTGCCCAGGCTGGAGTGCAATGGCATGATCTCGGCTCACTGCAACCTCTGCCTCCCGGGTTCAAGAGATTCTCCTGCCTCAGCCTCTCGAGTAGCTGGGATTACAGGCACATACCACCAATGCCTGGCTAATTTTTTATTTTTAGTAGAGACAGGGTTTCACCATGTTGGCCAGGCTAGTCTCGAACCCCTAACCTCAGGTGATCTGCCATCCTTGGCCTCCCAAAGTGCTAGGATTACAGCTGAGCCACTGCCCCTGGCTGACGCTGCCTCTTTGAAGTGCTTGTCTTCCCTGCTACTCTGGGGTCTGCTGCCCGCTGGCTGCTCCCAGGTGTTCTTTGCCAGATCCCCACCAAACTTCATGCCTCCAAGGCTTGAGGGTGCCCGGGCTCAGCTGTCCCATGGCTTCTCTTCTGTCTTCCTTACCACCTGGGCAGCCTCATCAGGGCCCCTGGTTTCACATCTCTTTTTTTCTTTAAACCTCAAAATCATTGAGCAGCCTTCACACATCTCTGCGTGGATGACTCCAAATGGACACCTTCCCGATCTCTCCTCTGAACTCCAGACCCATAAGCCCCAGTTGTCTACTCAGCATCTCCCTTATGGGTCTGGAGATCAGAGGAGACATTAAGTCCTCAGACTTGATCCCCGCCCAGCTGAGCTTGCTGCACCCTCTTGCCACTACCTTCTCCAGGATTCCTGGTGCTCCCAGCAAACCCTCACGTCATCCTTGACTGATCTCTCCTCCCCTCGTTTACCTCTCCCTAGACAAGGGGCCAAGAAATTACAGCCTGAGGACCAAATCTGGCCTCCTGCCTATTCCTGTCAATATGGCTGTCCTGGAACACGGATACGCCCCTTGTGTTGTCCATGGCTACATGTGCTCTGCAATGGCATTAGGCTGAGTAGCTGTGGGGAAGAAAGCCACCCAGCCCTTTATAGCAACAGTCTGTGAGCCCTGACCTGGCCCCTGAGCCAATGCTGAATGTTAGAAAAGACAGCGTAACCCCAGCCACCTCCTGCCAGTCCCATGGCCTGCACCGCAGCCCAAGCTGAGGTCACCTCTCCCTCGACTCTCACTGGGCTCCCGTCTTTGCTCCACTCCGTGTCCCCCACATGGCAGCCAGACAGATCCTTCTGGAGCAGAGGCTAGATCATGGCACCCCTGCTCAGGGCCCTCATCTCCCTCAAACCCCAAGTCCTTACCGTGCCTCCACGGCTCTATACGATCTGGCGCTGGCCACATCTGGACCAGCACGGGGGCCATTCTGCCCTCTCTTCGCCCCTACCTCATTGGAGCAAGCCAAGAGCCCTCCCAGCTCAGTCTGCACCCCAGGTCCCTACAGGGCAAGCCTTCCATCAGACTGCTTCCGTGTCTGCGCAAATACGTCCCCTTATCAGGGAGGCCTTGCCAACCCTTGTCTAAACCAGCACTGCTGTCCTCTGCCTGGCTTTTTTCTTACCTCTGACATTATCTGGCAACCTACTCACTCTGTCCACATACTCAGATCTAAGTTCCATGGGAACAGGGGCCTCATCTGTTTCTAGAACAGGGCCTGGCATATAGCAGTTGCTCATTAAACAGGAGAGCCTACCAAGGACAGCTGGGTCACAACCCGGCACAGCAGAACCATTACGTGAGAGCTTCAGGGTGCCCACATATCATCTGAGGGAAGCACCGCTCATCAGGCACCCACCTCCTGGCCTGCGGGACTGCGGGGAGTTGGGGACACAGAGGGACAATTGCAGGAAGGTGGCCTGTCCTAGAAAGCCCCAGCAGTCTCGAATTTGTAGCTCAGCAAGTTTCTTCCCTCCCTTCCTGACCTTTCCGCTGGGAATCAGGTAACTCAGTTAGCCCGGGGAGTGTGGCCACCATAGCCCAAGAGGCCCCCGCTCTGTGCCAACATGGCCCAAATGTTGTGGAAAGAGCAGAGCTGGGCCCTGCTCTCAGCATCCAGGGTGTGAGGAGGGAGGAGAGGCTGAGAAAGAAAGAAAAGCAGGTTTGGGGTTCCCCTGAACAGGGTAGATAGAGGCCGTGAGTACACAGACCAGGTGTCCTGAACAGCCCCGCCCCCTCACCTTTCGGCCTCAGGCCCTTTCAGGCCAGCATCATTAGGAGAGGGCCCTCCCTCCTGGAGAGCTCCTGCAGGGCTCCTCTCCAGGTTTCAACATCAGCCCTTTCTGGTCTTGCCTGTCACACAATTTACGAGGCTGACTCAGGGCTCTGCCGGTCCTGCTGGAGCTCCAGGAGGCTGCACAGCCACCTTCTGCCCTGCCCAGAAGGCGGGCTTTGCCATCTCTAAGCCAGGACCCTCTTGCCTCAGCGGGGTGGGTGTTAAATCCAACAGTACAGATCAGCCCCCTGTGGGCTAAGTCCCATTACAGTCTGGAAAGGGCAGAGAGCCCGGGGCAGACAGGAGGTGTGGCTGGGCTGGGTCTCTAGCTGGGGAGGGTGGCAGGGAGGCAGAGAAAGGAGCTGTAGGGCTTGATGACACTGCACCTTGGGGTGCAGTGAGGCTAAGGGACTCAGGACAGTGGTAGGCTTAGGAACATCTGTGCAGAGCCCTTTTTTTTTTTTTTTTTGAGACACAGTCTGGCTATGTCACCCAGGCTGAGTACAGTAGCATGATCCTGGTTCGCTGCAACCTCCACCTCCCAGGCTCAAGTGATCCTCCCACCTCAGCCTCCTGAGTAGCTAGGACTACAGGTACGTGCCACAACACCTGGCTAATTTTTTTATTTTTTGTAGAGACAAGGGTCTCCCTACGTTGTCCAGGCTGGACTTGAACTCCTGGGTTCAAGCGATCCTACCACCTTGGCCTCCCACAGCACTGGGGTTACAGGCAGGAGCCACTGCACCTGGCCCTGTCTTTACTGATGGTCCTGCCCCATGCCTCCCACACCTAACCCTGGGCACCCACTCCCGAAGCTCTCCTACTGGCTGCAGGGTCTGCCTCTGTGAGGACAGTGAAGCCGATGACACGGGAGGTGAAGTCGAAGGCCGTCTGCTGGCCATCGTGGATCACTGAGATGCAGTGGCGGTCCCCGTAGCTGGCCCGTGGCATGCCACCCTGGAAGATGGTGAAGGGCAACCTGGCAGGCACAGAGGAGCGGCAGTGGGCTGGGGCTCCTGGCACAGCCTCAACAGCCACAGGCCGGCAATCAAAGTCACCACTCAGTCAAGGTCCCCAGGAGCAGGGGAGACTGGACCCCATCTCCTTCCAACTGCTACAGCCCAGGAGGACTTGGAGGTAAGGTGAGGGCATCCAGGCTGGGGGCTCTGAGTCTCAGCAGCCACTCCTGCCTCATGCTGGGTGCCCCCACCAATTCTGTTTGAACATCACCCAGAGTGATTTTGTCTGAAGAAACAGGGCTGCCAACTAAAGGAGTTTAAGACCTGCTGCTCAGTACCGTCTCTCTGGGAAGGTGGAAGAAAGGAGCAAGAATGAACTTGGCAGGAATTGGGCCGCTGAGAGACGTGAATAGCGTCTACCCTGTCTCCCCTCCCTGGTGTCCAAGACCCCAACACGGGACCTGAGAGTGTTCACTGGCACCAACTTCCCAGGCAGAGGCCTAAGTGACCTTTCTAGCCCTCCAGGAAGGCTCTGGAGAGGAAAGAGGACCAGCATGGATACCTACCCCTGCCTAGTGGTCAGCCAGAGGATTCTGGTAATCGCTTTGCAAGGAAAGGGACCTGAAAGGAAAGGAATCGGCTTGAACGGATCCTCAAACTCTCAGACAAGTGTCAGTCCCCACAGGCACAGATCCCTCTAGCTCATGCCACATCCACATGGTAGACCTGTGCTTGGGAATCTTGCTCCGAGAAGTTCCCCAAGAAACTGGGTGAGGCGAACCCTGCTGTGTGGCTTTGGACAAAGCCTTTACCCTCTCTGGCCCTGGAGTTTGCTTCAGAATTGAGCAACCTGCACCTGAATCCAGGAGGCACTGGGGGTGGGCCCTGCCCGGCGGGTGAAACACTGACCGTAAGGCACGAGGCTGCGGAGGGGCTCTGGTTGCTGGGCTTCGCTGGACACGGGCCACTGGCAGTAGCTGCCGTCAGAGTGACAGCTGACGAGCAGGCGGCCGTCCCGCTGCCACCAGATGTTCTCCAGTTGCTATGGAGGAAGAGGAGAGGGACAGAGGGCAGCACGCTGGACCGAGGCGGCGTTCCCATCGCCTGCACCCCATGCCTCTGCACAGTGTGTATGTGCCACTTGGGGCCCTGGGAGAGCAACATGGCGCCTGCCATGTCCTGGGCACTGCCTACCTGGCTGCTGAGGAAGTGGTAGAGCACGCGGCTGCCCTGTAGGTCCCAGATGACAACGAGGCCTCGGCTGTAGCCGATCAGGATCTGGTTGGGGTCTCGAGGGTGCTCCTGCAGTGCCTCCACCATCTCGAACACACGCCGGTGGCGGGCCTCCTCTGGCAACCTGGGCGAGGGGAGTGCCGTGAGCCTCCGATGCCGTCCACCAGGGGGAATGGCCCCCAGCATGGCACAGCCATGGGGCTCCCTATGCAGAGGTGGCTGCTCCATGTGCCAGCATAGAAATATGGCTAGGGGCTGGGCGCAGTGGATGGCCGAGCGTGGTGGCTCATGCCTGTAATCCCAGCACTTTGGGAGCCCAAGGTGGGCAGGCCACTTGAGGTCAGGAGTTTGAGAGCAGCCTGGCCAACATGGCAAAACCCTGTCTCTACTAAAAATATAAAACATTAGCTGGGCGTGGTGGCACATGGCTATAACCCCAGCTACTTGGGAGGCGGAGGCGGGAGAATTGCTTGAACCCAGGAGGCGGAGGTTGCAGTGAGCCGAGATCGTGCCACTGCACTCCAGCCTGGGTGACAGAGTGAGACTCCATTTCCAAAAAAAAAGAAAGAAAGATGGCTAGGACATGTCACCAAGGGGAGAAGGGCAGCATGTAGAACAAGACAGAGACATGGACACAACCTCCAGTGATGTAAACACAGGCGGTACAATTATAAGGCAAGGCAAGGCAGTGACTTCTGGAAAAGTCAATGTGGGGGCAAGAGGGAGCCTTGACTAGGAAGGGTGCATAAGACCTCCGGAGGGCATCAAAGTTCTATTTCTATGCCCGGCAGGAAGGCTGCAAGGATGCTCTACAAGAATCTGTTAAACTGTACATTCATATTCAGTGCATTTTTGCAAAAGGGAGTGTTTAATAATAAAGAAGTTTTTTAGCCCCATAAAACAAAACTCTGTGTGAGTTGGCCTGGCCCTGGAGCCTTGACCCCTGCCCCGTCTCCAGGCCTGGAATGCTGCCGTGAGGGCTGGAGGTGTTGCAGCCAACAAAAAAACCACAAGGCAGCAGGCACAGGACCAACAGCCAACAGCAAGGATGTGGGAAGTGGACCCAGCCTGGACCCAAGCCACACTAAACCCAAGCTCTCCACATTATCTATATCTGGCACATCTACTGCTAGCACTGACCTCACTGACATTAGAATTTGAATCAAGAGTGAGAGTTGAAGGGGACTTTAATATTCAATATTTAATTTTTTTTTTTTGAGATGGGAGTCTCGCTCTGTTGCCCAGGCTGGAGTGCAGTGGTGTGACCTCGGCTCACCACAACCTCCACCTCCGGGGTTCAAGCAATTCTCCCTGCTCAGCCTCCCGAGTATCAGGGATTACAGGCACCCACAACCATGCCAGGCTAATTTTTTATACTTTTAGTAGAGACGGGGTTTCGCCATGTTGCCCAAGCTGGTCTCGAACTCCTGATCTCAGGTGATCCACCCGCCTCCGCCTCCCAAAGTGCTGGGATCACAGGCGTGAGCCACCGCGCCCGGCCTAATTTTTAATCTTTTTAGAGACAGGATCTCATTCTGTCACCCAGGCTGGAGGGTAGTGACCTGATCATGGCTCACTGCAGCCTCCAACTCCTGGGCTCAAGTGATCCTCCCACCTCCCAAGTAGCTGAGACTGCAGACGTGTGCCGCCTTGCCCAACTAATTTTTATTTTTTGTGAGGAGAGACAGGGTCTTGCTATGTTGCCCAGGCTAGTCTCAAATTCCTGGCCTCAAGCAATCCTCCTACCTCAGCCTCCCAAAGTGTGAGCAACTGTGTCCATCTAGATATTCTTAATAAATGCAAATAATGTCCTTACACAGATGAAAATTGTTAGACAATTAGAGGGCTTCCAACTTTTTGCCATTAAAAACAGCCCTACAATGATCATTCTTATCCTATATCTTTAGGACAGAGACTTCTCAGAGACAGTTATGAGACTAAAGGGTTGCACGTTTTAAAAACTTAGATAAGTGTCATCAAGAGGACGAGAATTTAAACTGCCAAAAGGGGCTGGGCCTGGTGGCTCACACCTGTAATCCCAGCACTTTGGGAGACCGAGGTGGGTGGATCACCTGAGGTCAGGAGTTCAAGACCAGCCTGGCCAACATGGTGAAACCCCGTCTCTACTAAAAATACAAAAATAAGCCGGGTGTGATGGCGTGCACCTGTAATCCCAGCTACTCGGAAGGCTGAGGCAGGAGAATCACTTGAACCCAGGAAGCAGAGGTTGCAGTGAGCTGAGATCTTGCCACTGCACTTCGGCCTGGGACAGAGTAAGACTCTCTCAAAAAAAATGTTTTTTCTTTGTTTTTTTTTTTTTTTTTTTTTTTTTTTTTTAATAAATAAACAAACTGGGCCAGGCGCTGTGGCTCATGCCTGTAATCCCAGCACTCTGGGAGGCTGAGGCGGGTCAATCACCTGAGGTCGGGAGTTCGAGACTAGTTTGACCACCATGGAGAAACCCTGTCTCTACTAAAAATACAAAATTAGCTGGGTGTGGTAGCGCATGCCTGTAATCCCAGCTACTCGGGAGGCTGAGGCAGGAGAATAGCTTGAACCCAGGAAGCAGAGGTTGCAGTGAGCCAAGATCGTGCCATTGCACTCTAGCCTGGGGAACAAGAGTGAAACTCCATCTCAAAAATGAAATAAAATATAATATAATATAATATAAATAAACTGGCAGGAGGGGCTCTCAGGGCACTTGGGCCCCCCCGCCGACTAGATTCCCGCCAGCTAACTACAGGGTGAGGCTGGGCACTGGTGTGGCCACCTGCTGGGGCGCAGGTCCCATGCCGTCCTGCCCACAGGCTGTGTCCCACTGTGGTACCTGTCATCCTGCAAAGTGTTCTGCTCTGACCTTGGACACACTGCCCCAGCCCTACCCTGCTGAACGGGAAAGGCAGAGGTCTGCACTCAGAGGGACACAGCTCCAAGTGGGAATCCTCCCAGCCCAGTCATGCCCTGCCCTGGGCAGACGGGCCCTGCTTCATCACCACCCAGGGCTGGAGAGCTGGGCTGGCCAGCTGCAGGAGTGTGTCCCAGGCCCAGTCCAAAGCCTTGCAGGGCCAGGGGCCCAGCACCCTGGCCTCCTCCTGCCCCTTGGAACCACAGATCATTCCACCATGACCGACCCGGCCCCAACATGATCTTGTCAGATGCTATCTCCTCTCTTTTTTTGGGCCCCGTCCCCTTCTCCCACCCGGACCTGATCCAACTCCCTCTCTAATGTAGTATCATCAACAAGGAGCAAAGCTTCTGAAACGATCTCAACAGACCCACATGCCTGTGGCGGTCAAGGCTTTTTAGCCACGGAGCTTGCGAGCAAATGGAACCTCAGCAAAGTACCCACCGCAAAGGGTGGCACCAGGAGCTGCCCCAGTGACACAGGGAGGTCTGGGCCCGACTTCCCCGCTGCGGAGCCCCTGGGGTTCTGAAACCCATGGCAAGTGCAAAGGACACTGGACTGACAGTCGGTGACATTACACAGTCATTTGGGGCCTTTAGACGAGGGACCCTCAAAGCCCCCTTTTTAGTGCTATGATGCTAACCTATGACAGGCCAATAGGTTCTCAGTAGGTGACAGGTAGGAAGCCAAGAGCCTCCCCTGCTATAGCCCCATGGAATTCCCAGCAGAGAAATGACAGCTCCTGACAGAGTCCTGGGACCAAGGGGAGAAGCCATGCCTAACTTGAGGGGATGGAGTTAACAGCAGCTGGGCTCTGGGCTCACCGCTGCAGCACCGCGTCCGAGCTGATGGTCCGGTCCTCCAGCGCACGAAAAGCTGGCAGCTGCACCACAAACACGTTGCCACTCTCGGTGCCCAGGTAGAGCAGCTCGCAGGAGGAATGTGGCAGGACCACGGTGATCTGTGTGGCACTGGGGGCAGCCCTGTGACAAGAACAGCTGCCCGTGAGCCGACCACTGCCCAGCAGGGGAGATGCCATGGACGGGGTCCCCTGACTCCTCGGAAAACAAGCCCATAAGGCCCTTTAATGAGGTCATAACATTTCAAGCCAGGACAAACATTGGTCACTTTCTGCCAAGACAGGAGACAGATGGCAGAGAGCCTGGGCTAGGAGGCAGGAAAGACGCCAGGGACCCTCCAGCATAACACGGGGTGCGGATGGAGGAGGCGGGGTGCAGATGGAGGAGGCGGGGTGCGGATGGAGGAGGCGGGGTGCGGATGGAGGAGGCGGGGTGCGGATGGAGGAGGTGGGGTGCGGATGGAGGAGGCGTGGTGTGGATGGAGGAGGTGGGGTGCGGATGGAGGAGGCGGGGTGCGGATGGAGGAGGTGGGGTGCGGATGGAGGAGGCGTGGTGTGGATGGAGGAGGCAGGCTGCAGCCCCGCCCACTCCACTCGGAGCACCTGAGTGTGGCGATGCATCGGGCCAAACGCATGCCAGTCACTGCCAGGGGCGCAACAGGCCTCACAAAGGGTGAGTCCACTCCAGAGCTAAGGGCAAGGGTCAGGCTGGGCTGGGAGTGGAAGGGGCTGGGGATTGAGCCCTTACCCTGGGGGTCCACGCAGTGTGAAGCTCTCATCCTCCTGCAGCTCCGATGCCCCGCCCTTGACCTTCAGGCTCCAAAGGTGCAGGCTGTTGTCATCCAGCAGGGTGACCAGCTGGCACTGGCGAGGGCACACGACGGGATCATGTGGTCTTGCTACCCAGGCAAGGCCTTTACACACTGGGGCCACGCAGCCCCAGTTGTTTAAAAGACCCCCTGGCCACTCCCAGGGTGGCCCATGAGCCCCAGCTGTGGAAAGGGAGGGGGTCCCAGGTCTTTCCATCAGCAGCAAACCCAGGGCCACCGAATGCCAGCCTCTCCACACCAGCCCTGCTGGAAGCAGTGAAGGCAAGGAGGGCATGGAAGTGGCTTCCTGTCCCACCCCAGGTCCCTCACCTGGCCGGGCAGGAGGTGGATCTGCGTCACAGCGTTGTTCTCCTGGTGCAGCCCCATGAACTCCACGCCTGGGGCTCCGTAGCTAGGAGTAGGCTCAGGAAAGCTCTGGAAGGTCGGACACCATCCCCTGCCTGCCTTGAGTGCCAGGCCCTCGGGGCCCATGTGCAATGATGCAAACACAGAGAGGGGCTGCCCTCCCCCGAGGCAGCAGGACCCATGCATGGAGCCTAGGGTGGGGAGGAGACACAGCAGCCCTGGCCCTGGGGCACCAGGCCAGTGACCTGATCCCTGGGAGATTTTTCCCAGTCAGGCCGGTGGGAGCAACTCCATAGAAAGGCGAAGCCCTACCCTGGCAACTGTCAGGCTGCCACCCTGATCCTGAGCTGCAAAAGACATGTTGGCTGTCGCTTGGTAGCACCTGTGAAAAAACACACGGCACCCCAGGGGGCCTATCACCAACAGCCTTGGCCCATTAGTCTTGGCACCAGGGATTGGTAACTAGAGTCTGGCTGTGGCCTGGCAATGATTAACCAGCCGAGGGAAGGCTGAGCCCGCAGCAAGGCCCTGGCCCCCTGTGTACACCAGCCCAGCCTGGAACTCGAGTGCTCCATACCCCTCCCCCACACCGGGCAGAGGGGAAGAGGGAGGTCAGGCTCCGCTGGAGGTGGCAGCCAAGCTATTGGAGGTGGTCCCTCATCTCTCAACTCCCTTGGGCCCTGCCCTGAGGGGAGCACAGATCAGACTGGCGGGGTGCCCAACCTGATCCGGTTTTTCATCTCTGAAAACACTGGGAGCCCCCAGTCGGCCAGAACCAGTGCTCTGGATAAAAGATGACCCAACTGGACAACATCCAGCCTCAGGCCGGGGAAGGACTGTCCCTGCCAGGCAGAGCCCTCTCCACTCTCTGCCGCCTGTGGGAGTGGGGGTGGAATTTGGAAGACAGCTGCCGAGCCCTGCTCTCCTGGCCCAAGGCCACCCCATCTCTGCTTGTGGATAGGGCCCTGGGGCCAGTCCACCTCTGATTCTTATCGAGATAGGTTAAAAAACAAAACTGCAGGCTGGGAGTGCAGTGACTCATGCCTGTAACCCTAGCATTTTGAGAGGCCAAGGCGAGAGAGTTGCTTGAGCCCAGGAGTTCAAGACCAGGCTGGGCAAGATCACAAGACCCTGTCTCCACAAAAAAAAAAAAAAAAAAAAAAAAAGTTTTTGAGACAGAGTCTCACTCTGTTGCCCAGGCTGGAGTGCAGTGGCACAATCTTGGCTCACTGCAACCTCTGCCTCCCAGGTTCAAACGATTCTCCCATCTCAGCCTCCCAAGTAGCTGGGATTACAGGCATGTGCCACCACGCCCTGATAACTTTTAAAATATTTTTAGTAGAGACAGGGTTTTACCACATTGACCAGGCTGGCCTTGAACTCCTGACCTCAAGTGATCTGCCCGCCTCAGCCTCCCAAAGTGCCGAAAAAAATTTTTTTAAATTAAAAACATCCCTAGCGACAAGAGGGGTCCCTGTAACTTGCTTTTCTGGTGGTGAGGTGGGGAGCTGAGGGAGGCAGGGGCACAGAAGGGCCTAGGCCTTGCTACTGGCGCACCAGCCAGCCACTCACTGAATGATCACTGGCTGAGACATGGGCGTCAGGTCCTTCCCTCTGGATCCACCAATACAACCCCTGCAAAACAGGTCTCTGAGCCCCCCAGCAGCCTCACCCCCTGCCCGGGACTGGGGGATTCCTGAAACCTCCAGGAATAGGTGAGAGGGGAAACTGAGTAAAGGGAGCAGACCACATGAAGGGTCCTGAAAGGACACAGGAGACAAAATAAGCCTGTATCTCCTCAGTCCATTTCAAACCTCACTGTCCTCCTGCAAAGGACAGGGTCGCATCCCACCAGGGATGCACTCATGCCCAGGTGCCTGCTCCACCATCAACCATACCTGCCCCATTTTGGAATAAAATCATGTCCAAAACTGGAAATCAGGAAAGTCCCTCATTTTATCCCAACAGCCCACGGGCAAGGAAGGAAAAGATGTCCCTCCCCAAATCTCACCCACCCCAAGGCCCTGCCCGAGTGGGAGCGAGGGGACGGAGGATACAGCTTGATGGCTCCAGAACGGGTGCCGATGGCCAGGATGCGCAGGGACGGGCTGTAGCCGAGGGCGCTGGGCTGGTGCGGGAAGCCATGCTCCACCGTCTGCAACGAGAAGCACGTGGGGTGGGCCTGCAGACCTGTCCCCTTCGCGCCACCATGGCTGCTGCAGCTGCAGCACCAGACGACCCAGCAGGAAGCAGGGCTTCGGTACCTTTCCGGTTCCTCCCAGACACCTGAGTGTTGGAGCCTAACCCATATTTACCAGGCCCCACCCCCTGTCCCTTTGTGACTCTGCCCTTGGCCTCATGGCCACCCCTGCGAGCTGATCTTCCCCGACACCATACCAGCCTCTCAATGCTTTCCAGGAACTGACTCGGTGCCTCCACCACGTGCACCCTGGGTGACGGACCCAGCCCTCCTCAGTGGCATGGGGGCCTTATGGGTGTGGGGTGGGGAAAGTAGGGGGAGTTTGGAACAATGGAGACACCGGTCTCTCGGGAGAAAATCTTGGTTGCACCGCAGCTCCGGGCTCACCCAGGGGCCTAGAGTACCGCGGAGGCCCTGCCCTGCTCTGGGCTCTTCCAGGTCCCTCCAGGCCCCAGTCAGCTGGGTCTCACAGACTCTTACTGTCACCAAATTCCAACCATCTTCCCAGAAAGGGAATTCCTGGAGTGTCGTTGCACATACGTGTTTTTTTCATTTATTACAGAATACACACACACACTGTGAAAAACCTGGGAGGTATAAAGATGTTTAAGAACAAAAACTGAGGCTGAGGCAGGAGAATGGTGCGAACCCGGCAGGCAGAGCAGCCTGGGCGACAGAGCGAGACTCCGTCTCAAAAAAAAAAAAAAAAAGAACAAAAATTACCCAAACTCCCACAACCAGAAGTAACCTTGCTAGAACCTAAGTGTACATCCTTCGAGTCTTCTGCACTTGTGAATGTTTGCAGGTCTATTTTTTTTTTTTTTGAGATGGAATCTCGCTCTGTTGCCCAGGCTGGAGTGCAGTGGTGCGATCTCGGCTCACTGCAAGCTCCGCCTCCCGGGTTCATGCCATTCTCCTGCCTCAGCCTTCCGAGTAGCTGGTACTACAGGTGCCCACCACCATGCCTGGCTAATTTTTTGTATTTTTAGTAGAGACAGGTTTCACCGTGTCTCTATCTCCTGACCTCATGATCTGTCCACCTCAGCCTCCCAAAGTGCTAGGATTACAAGCGTGAGCCACCCGCACCCAGCCAAAAATTTTTTTTTTTTTTTGAGACGGAGTCTTGCGCTGTCGCCCAGGCTGGAGTGCAGTGGTGTGATCTCAGCTCACTATAAGCTCCGCCTCCCAGGTTCACGCCATTCTCCTGCCTAAGCCTCCCAAGTAGCTGGGACTACAGGCGCCCGCCACCACGCCCGGCTAATTTTTTGTATTTTTAGTAGAGACGGGGTTTCACTGTGTTAGCCAGGATGGTCTCGATCCGCCCATCTTGGCCTCCCAAAGTGCTGGGATTACAGGCATGACAAAAATTTTTAATTTTTCTTTTTTGAGGGTCTCACTCTGTTGCCCAGGCTGGGTGCTACGGCATGATTTCGGTTCACTGTAGCCTTGGCCTCCCAGGCTCAAGTGATCCTTCCACCTCAGCCTCCCAAGTAGCTGGGACTACAGGCATGCACCACCACACCTGCCACACCCGGCTACTTTTTAATTTTTGGTAGAGACAGGTACTCGTCATGTTGTCCAGCCTGGTCTTAACCTTCTAGACTCAAGCGATCCTCCTGCCTCGGCCTCCCAAAGCGCTGGGATTACAGGCGTGAGTCACTGCAAGCTGCCTAAAATGGCTTTTTTTTTTTTTTTTTTGAGACGGAGTTTTGCTCTTGTCACCCAGCCTGGAGTGCAATGGTGCGATCTTGGCTCGCTGCAAACTCTGCCTCCCAGGTTCAAGTGATTCTCCTGCCTCAGTCTCCCCAGGAGCTAGGATTACAGGCACCCACCACCATGCCCAGCTAATTTTTGTATTTTCAGTAGAGATGGGCTTTCACCATGTTGGCCAGGCTGGTCTTGAACTCTTGACCTCAAGTGATCTGCCCGCCTTGGCCTCTCAAAGTGTTGGGATTACAGGTGTGAGCCATCATACCCGGCCTAAAATGACTTTTAAAACATCTAAAGAATATTCTTTACCTGTAGATATCCTAATTCACCAGAGGTTTATTGTTGAGTATTTACTTTGTTGCTAGAGGGTTTGCAATCCAACAACCATGTCGATGGCATTCTTGGACTCCTATCTTTGTCTGCACCACTTGAGTATTTCCTGGGGCAGATGTCCCAGGGATAGAATTGTGGGTTAAGAAAGGTATGAACATAAACCCACTACAAATTTAGAGTGATAAACCATCTTCAGGAAGGTTTTTAGTTCAGTTTCTTAATCAGTTACCCCAATCTGACCCCCGCCTCCCACCCCGGGGGATAGTGACCCTGCAGAGCTAGGTGAGAACAGCACAAAGCGATGCTATGTCAACTGATTGCTTTAAAGACTTAAAAAACAACCACAGAGACTCTGACTTGCAGAAAAAGGTCCCAACAATGAGGCAGCCTCCTTAGGCCCTGGGCTTTCCTACTTTGCAGCCCTGCCAGGCCTCAAAGCAGCAGAAAAGGAGAAGTCCCTGATGAGATCTAGCAATGATAGCTTAGCAAACCCAATTGCTACCTGCCTCCCCCATCAGTCAGTCTAGTCCAATGGCTCTCACAAGGAATCCCATGCTGGGGTCAGGCAGGGAGGAGAGCTCCAACAAGTGCCTATTTTGGGGGATGCCTGGAGACAAAAAGGTCGGGGGAGACGGGGGGTGCCTCAGGCCTGGCCTTTGCTAGGAACAGGGCCTGCCCTGCAAATGGTCATACCTAAATGGGATAGCCAGGGGGACAGATAGGGCCCAGCAGCGGCCCCCAGGCCAGCCCAGGTCCCTGTTCAGCTATGCGAAAAATGCAGAGCCTGGAGAAGCCCTGGATAGAGATAGCTGAGTGTCTGGAATGTAAACATTTCCCAGGAAAAGGGGAGTAGACAGTGGGATAGGATGTGCAGGACAAGCTCCCCCAGGGGCCCCACCAGACCTCAGCCAGCCCCAGGTTGCTGGGGCCTCAGGAAGTCAGCAGCCGGAGCCGTCTCCCAGGACAGCAGCACTTTCCCAGCAGCAGAGGCAGCTCAGGGAACAGCCTCTGGAATTTGGAGGACTCTGGTGGAAATGCCCTACAGGAGCCCAATGGCCTGGCCAGGAGCAGGCCCCATGCTCCGAGCTGCCCAGAACGGTAGCCATGAGCCCCATGGGGCCACCAAGCACTTGCAGTATGGCTCATGTCACCAATGAGGATTAAGTCAGTTCTTGGAAACCCTTCAAGTATGTCTGGAACAACTCGGGTTCTAGAAGAACAGGGGCTGGACTCAGGCAGGCCACGCTTCGAATTCCCTTTTTCCACTGTAAATCATCCAAATTCTAAATACAGATCTAGTACTTCCAAAAAAGATTTAATGTCTGAACTGAGATGTGCCGTAAGTGTAAAATACACCTAGATTTCACAAATTGAGCATTCAAAAACACAAACTGAAAAAATCTCATTAGTAGTTAATCACACGTCAAAATATTTTGCATATGTTGGATTAAAAGGAATATATAATTTTTTTTTGAGATAGGGTCACGCCTGTCACGCCTGGAGTGCAGTGGCACGATCACAGCTCACTGCAACCTCCGCCTCCCTGGTTCAAGTGATCCTCCCGCCTCAGCCTCCTGAGGAGCTGGGACTACAGGCACACACCACCACGCCCAGCTAGTTTTTGTATTTTTAGTAGAGACGGGGTTTCACCAAGTTGGCTAGGCTGGTCTCAAACTCCTGGCCTCAAGTGATCCACAGGCCTCAGCCTTCCAGAGTGCCAGAGTGCTGGGATTACAGGTATGAGCCACCTTGACCAGCTGGAATACAGGATTAAAATTAATTTCACTTGTTTAAATAATTTCATAATGCAGCTTCTAGACTTTTTTTTTAAAGACAGAGTCTCCCTCTGTCACCTAATTGGAGTGCAGTGGTGAGATCTTAGCTCGCTGCAACCTCCACCTCCCGGGTTCAAATGATTCTCCTGCCTCAGCCTCCCAAGTAGCTGGGACTACAGGCATGCACCACCACGCCCAGCTAATTTTTGCATTTTTAGTAGAGATGGGGTTTCACCATGTTGGCCAGGCTGGTCTCGAACTCCTGACTTCAAGTGATCTCCTCGCCTTGACCTCCCAAAGTTCTGGGATTACAGGCGTGAGCCACCGCACCCAGCCAGAATATATAATTAAAATTAATTTCACGTGTTTAAATAATTATACAATGCAGCTTCTAGGAAATTTTAAATCACATACATGGCTCATATTATATTCCCATTGGCCTCGACAATTCCGCACACCAGCAGGAACGTCAGGCCACAGAGAAAACAGCCTGTAACTTTTTGCTAGGCTCTCAGGCCACAAGTCAAGGGCGGGCAGTTCTTCTAACATTTCACCAGAGTCACTACTCCTGTTCGGCTCAGCATCTTTCCTCTAACTCAGAGGAAGACAAAGGGTTGGGCCCATCCTTCAACCACCCGCATTCATTCCTCATTCCCTTCAAGCCTTGGAGTTATCGTGGCCACCCCTCCCCCCCATCCCCACCTTCTTTTCCAAAGGCTGATTTAGAACAGGGACTGAGTCAGACCCACTAAGCTTTGTATCCCTTCCTGCCACGTACAAGGCATCTGGTCGTGGATGAGCTGCTGGGCCTCCCTGAGCTTCATTTCTCATCTAATAAACGGGATGGTACTGGTGACTGCACTGGGCAGAGCTGTCCTTGGATTGGAGATGATGGATCTGAGGCCACCCTGCAGCACACACAGGCCTCTGCTTCCTTCCGAGGCTCGCATTGTTCCATAGTATCACCTTGGGCACTTCTCCAAGTTGGCAACTCTGGAGGGACCAGGGCTCCCCTAAAACCAAAATAAGGGCAGTGACCTTCACAGCGACTCTACCTGGACAGGGCCAAGAGAATGGTTTCATGTGTAAATGACCTGTCTCCCAGGGGATTCCTCAGGCAGTCCTATGAGGACAGGGGCTCGGGCTGGGCAGAGAGGCAGGGGAGCCCTAGGTTAGTTATGAGAAGCCCAAGGGATCTTGTTGGGAACAGGGAAGGGATTGGGATTTGGGAACAGGACTAAGAGCAGCTAACAGAAGGGACAGGGAGAAGCTAGAAACCCAGGGCCTAGTGTCCTGAGGAAACCAGTCAGGGAAAGAACGAAGGCTCCATGGGCACCTCTGGCTGTGCCCCAGTTGCCCCCTAGTTTGTGTGTGTGTGTTTTTTTTTTTTTTTTTTTTTTTTGAGACAGGGTCTCACTCTGTTGCCCAGGCTGGAGTGCAGTGGTACGATCTCAGCTCACTGTAACCTCCTCCTCCCGGGCTCAAGTGATCCACCTGAGTCTCCCGAGTAGCTAGAACTACAGGCATGCGCCACCACAGCTGGCTAATTTTTGTATTTTTTGTAGAGATGAGGTGTCACTATGTTGCCCAGGCTGGTCTCGAACTCCTGGACTCAAGTGATCCACCTGCCTCAGCCTCCCAAAGTGCTGGGATTACAGGTGTAAGCCACCGCGCCCGGCCTGCCCCGCCCCTTACTTTGGTGCCCTTCCCACCCCCTTGGATCCCACCCCCAACTCCTACCAGCCTTGTAAGGCTTAGCTTCCCTGCTGCTGAACAAGGTCTGTATCACTTAGGTGGTGACTCCCCCCTTGTTTAGGGTTCAGGAACAGTTCCAGGTCCCTGTTAGAGGGAGTGCATATGGCCTCCCTAAAAGGAAGTACCCACCTGAGCACAGGAGGTTGGGCTCAGCCCCAGGGCTGCCTTCCTGCAAAGGTACACACAGCAACCCTGAATCGCGGCTGCACTCAGGACAGAGGGCGGGACGGGGCATAGCCCCTGGGTGGTCAAGGAATTCCAAGACCAGCCCTCCCCAGCTATTCTAGGACCCTAGCTATCTCTCCTCAGATTCAAACCAGGAGGCTGACCAAAGCTGCCTGGCAGCCACTGGGGCCTCCGAAGCGCGGCATCCAGCCTACCCGGCCCCGCCCACATCTGATACCTGGCTCAGGTGACCTCTGCCAAGGGAGGAGAGAACAATGAACTCTTTTGACAGGGGGGTTGGGAAAGGAGAGCAAAGATTTGCAGAAGCCGCCAGACTGCAACGTTAGCCTGGAGTAGGGGAGAAGGCCCGTCTCTCCTGGGCTCTGGGACTCCTTTCCAGGTCCCGGAAGGGGAGCGAGTGGGCAAAGGCTGGCTGTCAGAGACAGTGGGGCCTTCATCCTGCCTGCAGCCAGGGAGGACCCTGCCCAAGGGCTAGGACCTGAGGAGGAGTCCCTGGCACTCCTCAGGGGGTGGGAAGGAGGCAGTGGTGGGCACCAGGCCCTCAGAGGCTGCCCAGCACCTTGGGGGAGCACTCCTGCCTGGCCGGGCCACTCTGCCCGATACTGGCTGGGTGTGGCCAGCTCAGATTCCTGGCAGTGGCGGCAGCCTGGCCCTCCCTGTGTGGCTGCTGTCACCTGACACCAGGGGCCCAGCCATTCGAAAGCCAATACAGAACAACCTGGCCCTCCGCAGGGGCTGCTGGGTCAGGAACACACTGTTTGTTCAGGGCCTAAGGGGACAGAGGAGGGTGGGCACGGGCAGGGAAGGCCCAGGCAGGTGCTTCTGCGGCAGCCGGGCAAGCACAGCAGCCTGTTTGCCCTGATGGGTGTGGCTGCTTGGGGTGTGCCTGGGTTTGGCCGAGGGGAGCGAGCTGGCTGTGAGCAGTTGTCTAGGAACGGGTTTTACCTTGACTTCTCCAGCAGCACTTCCTCCCTCCCGAGGTCCCATGGTTCCTTCCCTTGGTCCTCAGTGGCCCTGTCCTGGTGCTGCAGCTGACTTGTCTGTCTGTCCATCCCTCCAATAGGCTTGACGGCCCACCATATATAGCAAACAGTTACTTCACTGGTGAAGTAACTGAGGTGTGAAGGGAGGTGAAGCCACCACTCTAAGGCCACACAGCCAGACCACAGGTGAAACCAGGACATCCTCACCCCAGCCAGTGCCCCTGCCCCGGATAAGCTCCAGCTGTGCAAGCCCTGGGGGCCTTAGTCTCCTCCCCTGCAGAATGGAAGCAACACCCATCCTGAGTTGTTGTGAGGGTGACACCACAACAAGGCAAGTCCTGGTAAGGCGTCGACCTGTGTCAGGCACCGTTTGAAGCAATTACACTCCCTTAGGGATCATTATGATGCTGTTGGAACTCAGGACATACCACCCCAAAATACCACTGTAGGAGACCAGAATGGGCTACCCCAAAGTATACTTCTTTGGCTTTTTTTTTTTTTTTGAGACAGAATCTCACTCTGTCACCCAGGCTGGAGTGCAATGGCGCGATCTTGGCTCACTGCAACCTCCGCCTCCCAGGTTCAAGTGATTCTCCTGCCTCAGCCTCTCAAGTAGCTGGGATTACAGGTGTGCGCCACCATGCCCGGCTAGGCTGATCTCGAACTCCTGACCTCAGGTGATCTACCTGCCTCAGCCTCCCAAACTGCTGGCATTGCAGGCAGGAGACACGGCGCCCGGCCACTTCTTTGGCATACTTTGAGCTGGTTATTCTCAGAAAGTGCAGACATGGGAGTAGCTCTGAAAAGCTGTCCTTTAGCCGGGCGTGGTGGCACATGCCTGTAATCCCAGCTATGTGGGAGGCTGAGGCTGGAGAATCCCTTGAACCCGGGAGGCAGAGGTTGCAGTGAGCTGAGATGGTACCATTGCACTCCAGCCCGGGCAACAAGAGCTAAACTCCGTCCAAAAAAAAAAAAAAAAGGAAAAAAAAAATTGTCCTTCTGTAAAATAAATTTACATCCACAAAGGAAAGCTACATTAGTCAAGTACAGGCGGAATATCCCTCATCTAAAATGATTGCGAATAGAGGGTTTTAGATTTCAGAATCTTTTGGGTTTCGGAATATTTGCATTATACTTACCGGTCGAGCATCCCAAATCCAAACTTTCAAAATCTGAAACGCTCCAGTGAGCATTCCCTTTCAGTGTCATGTTGGCACTTCAAAAACTCAGATTTTGGAGCATTTCGGATATCAGATTTTCTGATCATGTATGCTCAATCCATATCTGTATCAGGAAGAAGGCTGCTCCAAGGCAACTTTTATTACCCAGGACCTTCTCTGCATAACAAGACAACCTTCATTCACCTACACTTCCTCCCCTCACCTTCCTGTAACCTGGTCACATTCCACCCCAGTCCTCATTTTTTTTTTTTTTGAGACAGGGTCTCACTCTGTCACCCAGGCTAGAGTGCAGTGGCATGATCTCGGCTCACTGCAATCTCCGCCTCCAGGGTTCAACTGATTCTCTTGCCCCAGCCTCCCTAGTAGCTGAGACTACAGGCGTGTGCCACCACACCCAACTGATTTTTGTATTTTTAGTAGAGATGGGGTTTCGCCATGTTGGCCAGGCTGGTCTCTAACTTCAGACCTCAAGTGATCCACCCACCTCAGCCTCCCAAAGTGCTGGGATTACAGGCATGAGCCACTGCGCCCCGCCTCTCGTCAATTTAATTCATAGCCCAGCCAAAGAACCTAGAAGGCTGGAGGGAAGCCAGTTTTTGCTCCCCTACAATGCCCATTTTACAGATGAGGAAACTAAAGAACAGAGAGGCTAAGTAATGCGTCCACTGTGTCTTACACAGTGAGGAAGCATCAGAGCCCGCATCTAGACCCAGGTCATGTGGCTGCAAAGTCCCTGCCCCTAACCACTACCTGGCCCCTCTGATGCCTGGCACATAGCCCTCGGTGAACTGGAGTTACCGCTCTGACAGCCAGTTCCTGGCAGAGTTCAGAGACTGTTCGCAATCACAGATCCTCTGGAAGTACTGAAGCCAAAGAAACAAGACGTCTCCCTCTCAGGACCCCCGGGGCGATGTCCTTGCTCTCTTTGAGGCATCGGGCTTGGTGTGGGTATAAAGGAGTTGAGCCAAAAGGTGTTGGACAAAAAGGCCAGAACTGGTTCAGAAGCCAGTGTCTACAAGCCACCTGGGGTCGAGCTGTGATGGCGCCACTGTCCCAGCTGTCACAGTACCCAGCAGACTGGCCTTCCAGGACCACTGGAAGAGATGACCTGAGTTGCCAGCATGAACACTGTCTGGGGCCTGACCCTCGCCTACACCAACAGCCCACGTGCCGCTCCAGGCTCCAGCCCTGGGTATCCCACCGTCCGCTGGACCTGCCCTCCGCCTGTCTGCTGGACCTGCCCTCCGCCTGTCTGCTGGACCTGCCCTCCGCCTGTCTGCTGGACCTGCCCTCCGTCTGTCTGCTGGACCTGCCCTCCGCCTGTCTGCTGGACCTGCCCTCCGCCTGTCTGCTGGACCTGCCCTCCGTCTGTCTGCTGGACCTGCCCTCCGCCTGTCTGCTGGACCTGCCCTCCGCCTGTCTGCTGGACCTGCCCTCCGCCTGTCTGCTGGACCTGCCCTCCGCCTGTCTGCTGGACCTGCCCTCCGCCTGTCTGCTGGACCTGCCCTCCGCCTGTCTGCTGGGCCTGTCCCAAGGCTCCCCCAACTCAACCTCAAGCCACATGACACCCACCACAGAACGATGCTGCCGGACACTGCAGCCGCCAGCCAGACGTGGCCTTCGATTCGTGCAGGAACTCATGTAGTCCTCACACCAACTCTATGGATGGAGTGGCTCTGATTATCATTATCTCAGAGGCATGTGACCTGCTCAAGGTCACACAGCTGGCGAGCCGGGCAGTCGGCACCACTCACCTCTGGGCAAGCTGCCTCTCCAAAAATGGAGAGCACTGTTGTTGCGATTGTGTCCAAATCAAAACGATCAAAATACATTACTTTTCCTCAAATCTGTTCTTCGCCACTCCTGGCCTGGGCTCCCCCTCCCAAGGCCTGGCACCACCACCTACCCAGGTCAGAGACTTCACGGTCATCCTGCACACCCGCCTCCCCTCCCCATCCCCTCCCTCTTTACTGCCCCATCAGCAGATCTCAGCCCTGAATAGTTCTCTATTCCATGGGTCTCAAACCAGGAGCGATTTTACCCCTCAGGAAACATTCTTGGTTGTCACATCTTGACAGGCTGTGTGTGTATGTATGTGCTACTGGCATCTAGTGGGTAGGACTAGGGACACTGCTAAATAATCTACAACGCACAGGACAGCCTCCGCAGCACAGCCAGCCTCAAATATCATCTGTGAGTGCTGAAGTTGAGAAACCCTGCTCAATTCATGCCTCGTTCCCATCCCCACTGGCTGGGCTTCCAGTCCCTTCCTTCTGGGCTGTCACCTATCTTAGTCGGGGCAATGTCTCCTAACTGCTCTGAGCTTACCTGCCTTGCCCAAAGGGTAAAAACATCTCCAGGTTTATCTTTCCTACATTGTAAATGGGACCACTATTCACTCCCTTGCTCACAACCCCTGGAGCCGCAGGGTCAGATCAGGCCCAGATACCAGCAGCCTCCCTGCTTCACAGCCTGGGCTGGGGAGGGGCAGGGCAGACGGGATCCCAAATCCTCTGGGATCTGGCCTCATCCTCCAATCCCACCCTGCTGGCCCCACCACACTCCCCGAGCCGGATGAGTCTACCCCGCTCCTGAATCCCCTGGGCTCTCCCCTTCCTCCTCTCCACTTCCAAGGCCTGAAATTTCAGGCCATCAGCCTCCTCCCTCCTGCAGACTGTAAAAGTGGAGGGCAGAGGCCTAATCAGATTCCCATAGCCCTGAGCCTTGGGCTGTGGATCCAGTAAGTGCTCAATGCATGCTTCTTGCATATGAATGGAAAGAAGAAGGCAGAGCAGGAGACCCAGGAGCCTCCCTCTGCCACCCCCAGGCCTGGGAGTGGGACAATCAAGTTTGGGGATCACCCCTGGGGGATAGGGGAAAGAAGAAGGGACAACTCCTTGCCCCAGCTCCACCCTAGCCTCACTCAGCTGCACAGACAGAACTTGGTGCAAGGGGGCAGGGGTAGGGGGGTGTTCAGCCCTATTTGCTGAGCCTGTCAGGTTTCTGCCACCTTTTCAAAGCGAAAGACTGGAGGCAGATGGGGGTCACTCAGTTCCCTTCCATCTCCCGTGGACACCGAAGCTTTGAGACCCAGCACCCATAGGCTACTCCCTCCAGAGCAAGGGTAGCAGGCTGTAGGTGTCCTGAGATCTCCCATTCCCAACACCTGCACCCCCATATCCCAAGGCCCAAAAGCGAGCTGGCAGGAGGCACGTTGGGATAGGAAAGCCCTAATTCCAGAGGCAAATGTCCTCGTGGCAAAGCTCCATCAGGGACACCAACTCCTCCCACAGGCTAAGAAACACAGAGAGAAATGGCAGGGCACATTGGGAGCGCTGACCCACCTCTCCCAACGGGGAGGTCAGGGAGGTCCCTCCACCCCACGACCCACCTCTCCCAACAGGGAGGTCACGGAGATCCCCTCCAGCCCACAGCAGCAGCCAGCATTCCTGGGCCACTGTGCCTAGCACTTAAGTTACCTCACCCCACGTACGCCCTTAACAAGCCTATGGTGTGGGCGACAGGCACACGGCCATCCAGCTTCTATGTGGCAAAGTTGGGTTTGCACCTGGGCAAGCTGACTTCTACAGTTCTCAAATCAATAACAAAAATACAACCAAAGAGACTTCCTCATTCTCCACAGGGAGACATCCCTTTTCCAGACTGTCTGGTCTCACATCCACTGCTTCCTTTCGGGGGCAGGGGAGCCCAAACGGAAGCCCCCAACGAAAGCCACATGTCCTGCCCTCAGCATATTGGGAGGGTCCTGGCTCCCCGGGGGAAGAGGATCACAGTGTCCCAGTTCCTGCAGCCCACCTTCCCAGCAGAGGCGCAAAGCAGAGGTGAGAAGATCATTACCTCACAAGGCCCCACACTGCTTGGTGGCCCGGGAGCTGAAGAGCCACACTGCACGCCTCCTGCGTACAGGCCCGTCCTGACCTTCTCAGGCCCCAGACTCCTGAAGGGAAGCCCCGTGGGCCTTCTGGTACCCCGGATACAGGTTTGGGATTGGGGTAGTCCGAGGCCAACTCCGGCTCATTCTCCTGGGCACCTCTCCCCACTCACCCCGGCCGGAGCCAGAAGGAATCACGTGTTCAGCCTGCAGGGGAGCTGCATTTTCCTTCAGGGGCAATTTGAGAAGGGAGAAACAGCCATGGCCTGTGACTCCAGGGCCCCAAGGGACCTGGAACATTATCACCCCCTGAAGAGTTCATCCTTTCATCTCCCACGTCCCTAAACCTCCTTGACAACCCTGTGCCGAGGTAGACATGGCAGATCGTTTTATTCCCATGATACAGGTAGGGAAACTGAGGCTCCATGAGGTGGAGTGACTTGCAGAGGTCACACAGCCAGTGAAAGCCTTCAGATGAGAAGTCCCAACTCATGAGGGCAACCTATTCCCCTTTTCTATAAAAGCCCTTTAACCAGGCCCCATTTCCAAAGTCTGAGTCCCAAGAGGCACTGCAGGCAGTCACATAAGAGCTATACCTTAATCCAGGTAAGAGGTGCCTCAGCCCCAGCCTGAGCTGCTTGGCCGAAAACCTGGGGGTCATCTTCCCTGCTCTCCCTAACTTACCTTGTTAAACTGGAACAGGTCCCGCTTGAGCCTCTCCCGCACAGGGTCATGCCCTGGCCTCAGGAACCGCCTCATTTTGCTTAGTCTGCAGCCCCCACTGGAGACCTGGAGAAACAGAAGGAGCTGCAGGGGTCTGTCCTGGCACTCAGGTATCGATTAGGCCCGGCCCAAACAGGTGGAGCAGGGCCTCTCTCTCCAAGTCCAGTAGGCTGCCACCCCGGGGCCAGGCCAGCTTCACAGTGACCGCCCATGCACCCTGGCTTCCCCACGCTCAGATCTAGAGGCCGGCCCACCTCAGGGCTGAAGGCTGTCACCACCTGTGGCCTTATAATGGGGGTAGGAAAAGCTGGGGGAGGAAGCCATTTAGCCTGGCTTTATAAGCACAAGGAGGGCCGGCGGGCCCTGAGGTTAATTAGCTTAATTGTTAACCTGTTTTCTGAGAAACCATGAAACTCCAGCTAAGCAGAAAGGGAAACTTCGCAAGCCTCTTCCTCCAAAGTCTTGTGGAAGGTAGAAACACCAAGGCCATCCTTCCCAGATCAGAGCCCAAGTCGGGGCAGGGGAGAGGCCTGCAGTGACTCCAGGCCAGGGCACCGGGCAGATGCTTCCTCCTTCTGACCTCGGGGAAGGCTGTCCAGGGACTCTCGGCCTCAGCCTCTCCAACCAGCCACAGCCATGAGAAACTCAAGTGGGCACGGGTGGCACAGAGCACTCGGTCAGGGGGTGCTGGCCCATGCCACCGTGCCTGGGGTCTCTGCCGGTCCCCTCCCCTCTCTCTGGCTAGCCCCAGTCCAGCTTCCCTGTGCGCTCATGGGCTGTGCTCAGAAAGGTTCTCTTTCCCACGGGCCCTAGTGGAGAATAATCAGGAGGAATCTGCTCCCAATAAAGAAACCAGCTCAAGGCCCCTAAACTCTCCGCCCACCATAGAATCCATTCCCAGCCCAAGGGGAAACCATTTCTGGATTATCCTTGGGGGAAGGGGAAGGAGCCTCTGTGCTCCAGCTTCTGGCTTCCAGTAGCTCAGCCTCCTGCTGACCACAGGACAGCAAGGCCCGTCCTTGGGAAACACAGACCCTGGGCACAGCTCCGTCCACTCCCAGCAGGATGGGGGAAGGAAGCAGATCCAGGCCGCACCCTGGAGGCGCGTGCTCCAGGCAGGGACAGGTAGAGACAGGGCAGCCCAGTGTTGAGTGCTTTGACTGCAGGAGGGAGAGGGAACACCTGGCCCGAAGTGGGAGGCAGCTTAGATACCTTCGAGAAGAAGGTATCTAAGCTGAGGTTTGAAGGATTTCGCGTTCTTGGGAGGTGGCAAAAATTAACCATCAGGTCAGGACTTTGCATATGATAGGATCCCATGTAATCTGGGCAGCGTGGGAGAAGGTAGGTAACGTGCGTGGCAGAGTTGGGGGTGTCTTCGGGCAGAGGAACCGAGGGCTTGCTGTGCTGGGAGGGTGACCCGATTTTACAAAATCGCACTGTAAAAAATGGCAGTCTTGTAATCCCAGCACTTTGGGAGGCGGAGGCAGGTGGATCACCTCAGGTCAAGAGTTTGAGACCAGCCTGGCCAACATGGTGAAACCTCGTCTCTACTAAAAATACAAAAAGTTAGCCGAGTGTGGTGGCAGACGCCTGTAATCCCAGCTACTTGGAAGGCTAAGGCAGGAGAATTGCTAGAACCCAAGAGGCGGAGGTTGCAGTGAGCCAAGATCAGGCCATTGCACTCCGGCCTGGGCAACAGAGCAAAAACAGTATCTCAAAAAAAAAAAAAAAAAAAAAAAAAAAAAAAGCAGAGCCACATCCCCCTTGAGTGAAAGGATCTGCACGGTCAGTTATCTCAAAACCGAATACCAGGAACCAGCCCCCAGAGCGCTGTCACCTTCTGGGGAAACTGAAAAAGGGGGTCATTCCGGGATGTTCCTGCCTTCACATTTTGGAGGAGTCAGACCAGAGGTGGGGATCCCACTTTGCTGGGGAAGAGCAGGTGGCCGGGAAACTCCTAGGGCCCACTTGATCCAAGGTCCCAAGGGGGTTCAGAGAACAGGCACCGGCTGGGAAAGCCCCAAGGGCTTCTGGAATGGAAGTGAGGGGACACCCAGATCTGCTGGCCCAGCATTGCAGCCTGGGGGAGGGCAGCTCACACTCATAAACCAGTTGGACTCCTGGAGGGCTCACACCCCCACCCGGGGCCCAGGCCAAGGTCACTGGGTCAGAAGTCAGAGGAAGCTTGGTGGGGGCTCCCTGGAGAGTGACCACTGCCTGCAGACTCCAGGGAGGGGACAAGAGGGCACAGGGCCATCCGTGCCAAAGACTCCACACAGGCTTAAAAGTGACAAGGCAGAACTGGGGGCTGGGAGGAGGTGCCAGTAGGAAGGAGGAAGACAGGGTGTAGCAATGGCATCAGGAGGGCGTGGACACTGAGCACCACCCACCCACCCAAATGCTCCCTGGGGCACCTGCTGTGCAGTAGGGAGTGAGTGTACCAGACCCTCTGCATCCTATTCCATTTAAAACATTTTGCTCAAGTAATCTGTGCCCATTGTAGAAAAACCAAATACAGACAAGAAAATCCTCCCTAAACCCCAGCATCCAGAGAGTCACAGTCATGGGTCGCTGAATGTCCTGGCCATCTCCTTTCCTTGGCACTGTGTGAGTTTGTGAGCGTGGAGCCCCTCACACCACCCTGATCTGGGAAGCCATCTGAAAGGTAAGCAGAACGTCCCCACTAGACAGGCAAGGAAACAGACCACAGCAGCAAAACACCCTGTCAAGGTCACCAAGTAGGAAGCGGCAGAACTCGGACTGGACCCCAAGTCAGAAGGGCTGTGGGTAGCAGTGATGGATGGATAATACAGAACAAAGGATGCCCAATGACACCCTTGCAATTAAGAGGCAGGGACACGCACAGACACGCTCCCAGATGCTGGCAGCTCAGAGCCGACCCGGCAGTCTGGGGCCTGGGGACTGGCCGCTGCTGACAGGGTGCTGGCGAGGTCTGGCTGGGCAGGGCTGGTGGCCTTGTGTGGACCTGCTGCTCTTCCCACACGGGGCTGGGACCTCATGGGCATGGGGTGATGGAGCCAGGAGGACCAAGGCAGGGTGGGCATGGTATCCCCTCACTCCAATCAACCCACTGCCCAGGTCAAGGCATGGAAAAGCACCACGCTTCCTTGAAGAGGGGGCTGGTCTAGACCTGGCGGGCCTCACCTCCAGGTGGCTCCTCAGCTCCCCACCCCAGACAAGCAGGTTCTCTGCAGAGAAACTTCAGGAAGCCAGGCCTAGAGACGCCTGGTATGAACAGATCCTGCCTACTCAGCCCATTCCTGGAGGGAGCCAGGGGTTGTAAGGGAAAGAGCCCTGGGCTAGGGGCCAACAGGCCAGGGCTCACCATCACAGCACCGCATAGCTCCCCCAAGCCACATGGCCTCCAGAGACAGCTCCTCTGTAAAGGGGGATGGCACTCCCTCCCACACAGATCCTGTAGAAGGAGCAAGAGCTTGGCATGGAGCAGACACTGTCCTAGGAAAGGGATACAGCAGTGACAGGGGAGCAACAGACACTTCACAGGACACAAATCAGAAAATGGGATGATTTCCAACCAGCCGCAGTAACTCACACCTGTAATCCCAGCACTCTGGGAGGCCGAGGCGGGTGGATCACTTGAGGTCAGGAGTTCGAGACCAGCCTGGGTCAACATGGTGAAACCCCGTCTCTACTAAAAATACAAAAATTAACTGAGTCTGGTAGTGTGCTCCTGTAGTTTCAGCTACTCAGGAGGCTGAGGCAGGAGAATCACTTGAACCTGGGAGGTGGAGGTTACAGTGAGCTGAGATCGCACCACTGCACTCCAGTCTGGGTGACGGAGTGAAATTCTGTATAAAAAAAAAAAAAAAAAAGTAACCAGAAAATGGGATGATTTCTGACAGAGGTCAGGACTATCTCTGATCAAAAAAAAGAGATGGGCTGGGCACGGTGGCTCACTCCTATAATCCCAGCACTTTGGGAGGCCAAGGTGGGAGGATCACTTGAGCCTAGGAGCTGGAGACGACCAGCCTGGGCAACATAGTGAGACCCTGTCTCTAAAAAAAAAAGGAAAGGACATTTTTTCAAATTTACATGGAACAATAAAAATTTTGAAAAGAAAGGAGGGCTGGGCACAGTGGCTCATGCTTGTAATCCACTTTGGGAGGCTACGGTGGGAGGATCACTTGAGCTCAGGAGTTCAAGACCAGCCAGGGCAACATAGGGAGACCCTATCTCTAAAAATAATAAAAACAAAATTAGCTGGGCATGGTGGCATGCACCTGTGGTCCCAGCCACTCAAAAGGCTAAGGTGGAAGGATTGCTGAGCCTGGGAAGTTGAGGCTGCAGTGAGCTATGAACCCACCACTGTACTCTAGCCTAGGTGACAGAGCGAAACTCTGTCTCAAAACAAACAAAAAGGATTAGCCAGGCATGGTGTCAAGCACCTGTGGTCCCAGCTACTTGGGAGGCTGAGGCGGGAAGATCAGTGGAGCCCAGGAGTTTGAGGCTGCTGTGAGCTATGACTGTACCACTGCACTCCAGCCTGGGCCACAGAGCGAGACTCTTGTTTCTAAAAAAAAGAAAAAGAAAGAAAAAGAGGATGCGAAGATCCAGCAACTAGGCTTTGGTGGCCAACAGGTCTCAGTGACCATTCCCTTGTCAGAGCCTGTGCGTTCCCTGTTCCTACTGCCTGGGTCACTTTCCTCCAGATACCTTCACGCCCTCCCCGACCTGAAGCTGCAATCTCCTGGGATGTTCTCTCTCCCTCCCTGCACCGCTTTTCTCCTTGGACCTGGCCACGTTTGGACACACTGAATAGCTTACTTATTAATCTTGTTGATTACCTGTGGAATCCCCCACAAGCAGCAGCTTTCTTTTTCCCATTCAAGACCTTTTGTCCTTTTATTCACTGCTGTATCCGAGTGCACACAGCGAGTCCTCACTCGTTATCTGTTGAATGAATGAATGAACAGAGGAGGCGAGGTCTCCACTGAGACTGACTGGTGGGAAGGGGCCAGCCACAGACAACTTGGGGCACAGTGTGTTAGGCAGAAGGAACAACAGCTGCAAAGCCTCAAGATGAGAGAGGCTTCTATGTTTCAGGATGAAGACAAGTGGGGGGCCCAATGCAGAGATCTGTGCAGATGACATGAGAGAGATGACAAAGTGGGCCTCCTGAGCTGTCCTAGGCAGGGACCTGATGGGGCCTGCCCACCCCCCGTTCCCTCCTCCATGTCACTGGCCCTCTCTCCTTGGCCCTGTTGGCTGCTCCATCTACTCAGCCCCACCCTGGCCCCATTCACTATGGTCCCTGCCATTCTCTGTCTGAAATACCTTCTTGCCCCCTCAATCAGCCCGGCCCCCCTTCCAGGCTGGGCGAGGTGGCTCACGCCTGTAATCCCAGCAGTTTGGGAGGCCAAGGCGGGCTGATCACTTGAGGCCAGGAGTTTGAGACTAGCTTGGCCAACACAGCAAAACCTCATCTCTACTAAAAAGACAAAAAATTAGCCAGGTATGGTGACGGGCACCATGTGGTCCCAACTACTCAGGAGGCTGAGGCAGGAGAATTGCTTGAACCCAGGAGGCGGAGGCTGCAGTGAATCGAGATTGTGCCACTGTAATACAGCCGGGGCAACAGAGAGAGACTGTCTCAAAAAAAAAAAAAAAAAAAGGTCACCTTCCAAAAAGCCTTCCCATCTGAACCCATCCTGACCATTCTCCGAGTCCTAGGAGGCTGGGAGGCTGTCCCTGTCCACCATGGTTTTAAGGGATTTTTTTTTTTTGGAGATGGAGTCTCGCTCTGTCGCCCAGGCTGAAGTGCAGTGGTGTAATCTTAGCTCACTGCAACTGTGTTTCCCAGGTTCAAGCAATTCTCCTGCCTCAGCCTCCCAAGTAGCTGGAATTACAGGTGTCCACCACCATGCCTGGCTAATTTTTTTGTTATTTTTAGTAGAGCTGTGGTTTTCACCATATTGGCCAGGCTGGTCTCGAACTCCTGATCTCAAGTGATCTGCCCACCTCGGCCCCACAAAGTGCTAGGATTATAGGCGTGAGCCACCGCACCCAGCCTGGGATCATTTTATCCTAAGGGGTAAAGGGACCATTTTATCTCAGAGTCCTGAGAATGGTCAAGATGGGTTCAGATGGGGAAGAAACACACCTTAGGATAAAATGATCCATTGAAACCATGGTGGACAGGGACAGCCTCCCAGGCTCATGCATGTCTCCTGGCCTTGATGTGCTGTTTATTAAGCTGTCAGAAAAAATCAGAAGCAACCTAAATGGCCCACAACAGGGGATGGGTGAAGTGTGCTCAGGCCTATGACAAAAGGCTTCCAGTCATTAAAAGGAATAAAAGGGCCGGGCGCTGTGGCTCACGTCTGTAATCCCAACACTTTGGGAGGCCGAGGCGGGTGGATCACTTGAGGTCAGGAGTTTGCGAGCAGCCTGGCCAACATGCCAAAACCCCGTCTCTACTAAAAAAAATTAGCCGGGCATGGTGGTGGGTGCCTGTAACCCCAGCTACTTGGGAGGCTGAGGCAGGAGAACTGCTTGAACTCGGGAGGTGGAAGTTGCAGTGAGCCCAGATAGCGCCACTGCACTCCAGCCTGGGTGACAGAGAAAGACTCCATCTCAAAAAGTAAATAAATAAATAAATAAATGGAGAAAAGACCATTTCATGGCATGGGACTATATGTACAAAGAATCCAAGAGTCAGGTAGAATCTATTAAAAATCCCTATATTTGACAATGTACTCGGAAGGGTTATGGGATTAGTGGTGATTCTTTTTTCTCCTTTTTGTTTATCTGCCTCCTAGGCAGGGTGGATAAGAGGATCAAAGAGAGAAGGAAAGAGGCCCCAGGCATGGTCAGGCGGGAGGGTGGGTCCAGCCCTGTCCTGCTGGTGGAATGTTCCGGTGCTCACCAGGCGTGGGCTCCTCTCCAGCCACCGCAACCTGAGTGGGGAGAGGTACCCCCTAGAGACACGGAATAGTTAGGCCCGGAAAGGCGGGGAGACAGGCAGGTGGGACTAGCTGTGCAACCTTGGGTTTCAGGGTCCTGAGTAGAAAGGACTTTTCTATTCCATCGTCCCGAGGCTTTAAAGCAGGGCCAGGGAGCGGGCTTGGCAAACTCTCAGGTGCTGTGCACTTAAGTGACACACCTGGGAGGAATGTGGAGAAGAGACAAGTTCAGGAGCCCACAGGCTGAGGAGCCCCCCAAGTCCTCAAGTCTAACACCAGAAATGGTCACTGGGGTTGCCACCTAGCCAGAGCGCCACCTCTGAGATGAGGCTTCTCAGGAAAACCTTCTCCACCCCACTAACTTCTAAAGGCCATCCAACCTCAGTCTCCACTCCTGCCTGTCACCAGACCAGCCTCTGAGCCACCCTCCCTGTTCTGCCCTGCTCTGTTCCCTTTTGGCGGGCGCCAGGGTTTAGAGCCGGGCCGCAAAAGGCTTGCTGCCTTGTGGCTGGTTCCCATCCACTTTCTACCCAAGTCTGTGCCTTGCATGTGGAACCAGCCTGAGAGCTCCCTGTGGGCAGCTGATCGACCTGTTTCCTTCCCTCCTCACTGTTCCACTCACCCACGTCTGCACCTGGCCGGCAAAATATTTCTGGGTCTAGGACAGGTGTCCACACACCTGGACACCCACTTGGAAAGAACAGGAGAGCTCTCCACTTGGTGACAGGCCACAAAATCCACACCCTGGCCCGCCTTCCATCTCAAGAGCTCAAGAAAGAGACCAGTGGGGGCAGAGAGAGAGAATAACCACACGGGGTGGACTTGCCTTGGGCCCCCCTCGCTCTAAGTGGCAGATGCGATTGTGCCTCGGAGGAGAGGGGATCCCCAGGCCAGACTGCTTCTCCCACCCTGCCACTGTTTGGGGCACCTGGGCTAATTTGTCCCTGTGAGACCAAGGCTTGGCCAAGCCCAGCCAGCCCTCTGGCCTGGAGATGTGGGAGGGGCCAGCCCTCAAGAAACTCCCTCCATAGCTCGGGAAGTTCCATTGATCTCATTGATCTGCTGGGAGAGTCCACACCCAGCGGCAGGACTCCAGACCCAGCCGAAACCAGAGAGGGCCCCCGGGCCGCACCCAGCGCCAGCTGCCTGCTCTCAGGGCGTGCCACCTGATGTCCCATGCTCTCCTCTCCTCTTCGCTCGTGCTCCCCACAGCCCGCTGCTGATTAAGAAGCTGCCTTCCCCTCTGCGACATCCTGTGTGAGGCCTGAGTGTGGCTGTGGCCTCCTGTTTGACGGATGTGAATCCGCCCCTGCACCTCCTACTCTGATGGCACTGGTGGGCAGGGATCTAAACCACAGAGGCAGCTGCTGACCCCTGCGGCATCTGTGCCAACTCAGACGCCTGTAGCCGCTTTGCAAGTGCCCATGTCGCCCTGGGAAGCCCAGTCTCCCAGAAGCACCAGGCAGGTCCCTGGCCAGCAGCTTAGCAACCAAACCTTGGCTGAAAGGCAGTTCCATGGAGTGGGATCTAGGGGAACACAAACCAGAGGGAATGGGGGCATGACTGGAGGACTGTCGTCCCCGCTGTTGTTAATTAAGTAGTAAAAGGGATTGAGAGCTAGCTATGGCTGGATGTGACTTTAGCACTTTACATTCACCTTATTTAATTCTTACAATTACTTATGAAGTGATCGATTCAGAGTGGCCCCAAGCTCAAACAGTCAAGAGTCCAAGTCCTTTGCCAAGCTCAGTGGCTTATGCCTGTAATCCCAGCACTTTGGGAGGTCGAGGCAGGAGAATCCACTGAACCTAGGAGTTCGAGACCAGCCTGGGCAACTTAGGGAGACCTTGTCTCAGCAAAAAACTTAAAAATTAGCCAGCCATGGTGGCATACACTTGTAGTCCCAGCTACTCAGGAGGCTGAGGTGGGAAGATCACTTGAGCCCAGGAGGTTGAGGCTGCAGTGAGCTATGATGGCACCACTGTGCTCCAGCCTGGGTGACAGAGCGAGACCTTTTCTCAAAAAAAGAAAAAAAAAAATCCAAGCCCCAATTTGCATTCCAATCTGACTGCAGAATCCTCCGCTCAGGTCAGGCCTCTCTCCCAGGACAAAGGGGCTGCCTGCTCGCAGGCTGGATGGGCCCCATTTGGGGTCAGCCTCCATTCCCCCCACCATCTATCCTATGGAATCACAACCATCCCACAACCCCAAGAGGATCCTCCCGCCATGCCTAGACTCCTCCTGAAGTTTCCTTTCTGTTGCCCCTCCTGGGCCTGTGAGGATGGGGTGGAAGGTGGGAACGCACCCCCATTCTGGGGGCCTTAGCCCCCTTTCATAATCCAACACCAGACTCTCTCTCCAGGGAAGTGACTGGCAGAAAGCCAAGTCCAAGGAAAAGCAAAACCATTCTGGGGAGAAGATGGACCACCTGCCTGGGGCTGGCGTGGGCAGGCCATCCAGCCCATCCAATCAGGCCCCTTTCTAGGGCCTCCTACCTGCCCTAAAACTGGAACAGCTGTCCCAAGAAGCTTCCAGATGTCAGCTCCAGGAGGTGGGGATTGTGCTGGCCTCATCCAGGTGCCTCATGGGAGGGACTGGAATTTTATTTAAACAGCTCCCTCACTTCCTTCAAAGCTTTGCTCAAATGTCACCTTCTGGCAGAGGCCCACTCTAACCACCTGTTAAAAGTTGTAACCTGCCCCCTACCATGCGGGTTCCCAATTGTTGCTCTAGTTCTTTTTACCCTATAGCCCGTATCACCTTTTAACACAATTTATTAGTTACTTTTACTTTCTGTCAGTCAGGCTTCTCACCTTTTAGAAACAACTTTCAACGACGGCAGACATCTTTGCTTTGTTTAAGGATCACATCCAACATCTAGAACCACACAAGAGGCATCAGAAAATACTTGAACGGGCTGGGCGCGGTGGCTCATGCCTGCAATCCCAGCACTTTGGGAGGCCGAGGCGGGCAGATCATGAGGTCAGGAGATCGAGACCATCCTGGCCAACATGATGAAACCCTGTCTCTACTAAAAATACAAAAAATTAGCTGGGCATCATGGCGGGCGCCTGTAGTCCCAGCTACTCAGGAGGCTGAGGCAGGAGAATGGTGTGAACCTGGGAGGCGGAGCTTGCAGTGAGCCGAGATCGTGCCACTGCACTCCAGCCAGGGTGACAGAGTGAGACTCCATCTCAAAAAAAAAAAAAAAAAAAAAAAGGGCCAGGTGCGGTGGCTCACGCCTGTAATCCCAGCATTTTGGGAGGCTGAGGCGGGCAGATCACGAGGTCAGGAGATCAAGACCATCCTGGCTAACACGGTGAAACCTTGTCTCTACTAAAAATACAAACAATTAGCCGGGCGTGGTGGCGGGAGCCTGTAGTCCCAGCTACTCGGGAGGCTGAGGCAGGAGAATGGCGTGAACCCGGGAGGCAGAGCTTGCAGTGAGCCGAGATCGCGCCACTGCACTCCAGCCTGGGCGACAGAGCAAGACTCCTCAAAAAAAGAAAAAAAAAGTACTTGAATGAATGAACGAACAGTTAAGACTGACTAGGGATTAACTAGAAAAGGTATCTGCCAATCACTGACCCCACGAAACACTGAGGTAGGACCCCACAGGGTTCTCAGGGAACTTCCTTACCCTGTCCTCAAGTCTCCGGCCAAGGCCAGGGCCCTGTGGACGTCATGCCTGGCATCCTGTTCGGAATACCCTTGTGGACCCTGCCTTTAACCAAAGCTCCAGGACCCCCAGAGAATTCCAGAATTATATTAAATGTTAATATTATTTACTAGAGGGCTGGGCGCAGCGGCTCATGCCTGTAATCCCAGCACTTTGGGAGGCCGAGGCAGGTGGATCACATGAGGTCAGGAGTTAGAGACCAGCCTGACCAACATGGTGGAAACCCCCCCGCTACTAAAAATACAAAAATTAGCCAGGTGTGGTGGCGCATACCTGTAATCCCAGCTACTCAGGAGGCCGAGGCAGGAGAATTGCTTGAACCCGGGAGGCAGAGGTTGCAGTGAGCCAAGATCATGCCACTGCACTGCTGCCTGGGCGACAGAGCGAGACTCAGACTCAAAACAAAAAAACAAAGAAAAAAATTAGCTGGGCGTGGTGGCGGGCGCCTGTAATCCCAGCTACTCGGGAGCCTGAGTCAGGAGAATGGTGTGAACCCAGGAGGCGGAGCTTGCAGTGGGCTGAGATCGCGCCACTGTACTCCAGCCTGGGCAACAGAGCAAGTCTCCGTCTCAAAACAAACAAAAAATTAGCTGGGCATGGTAGCAGCTACTGGGGAGCTACCTGTAATCCCAGCTACTGGGGAGGCTGAGGTGGGAGAATCACTTGAACCTGGGGAGACTGCAGTGAGCCGAAATCATGCCATTGCACTCCAACCTGGGCCACAGAGTAAGACTCCGTCTCAAAAAAAAAAAAAAAAAAAAAGTGTGTGTGTGTGTGTGTGTGTATATATACATATATATAATTTATTACAGTCATATGGTCCTGTGCCCAGATGTCCCTCTCATCAAACTCTGGGAACACTAAGTCAGGTGTCTCGAGAGAAGGCTCCAGTCTCTGCCGAATTCCTGAAGGGTAGAGTCAGGTGCCTTGCAGCCTCCTCGTCCCCACGCCCAGAGCAGCCTCTCCTAGCTCAAGAATTCGCTGTGGTTCCTGGGAAGAAGAGAGGGGTGAGTATTCAAAGCCAGTTTCCTCTGAGAGGCAGGGCTGTGGGGAAGGCCACCCCAAAGGGACCTGAGCAAAGCCATGGCCACGGGCACAGTGAGCGAGGGTCTCCTTGGAATTCCTAGGGAGCCAGGGCTGGGGAGGGCAAACAGTGCTGGTGGCCCCGCTGGGGGACGCCCGTCTCCTGCCCTGTCCCCAGTTTTCTCTCTGCAAACTGCTCCTGACAGAGGAAAACAGCGTTGCCAAGCAGACCTGGCGTGCCTCGCCCCAGGAGGAACCCTGAGAACGATATCACCTAAGACAGATAAGAGGGCCTCTCAGAGTTGAGGATTGAGGACAAATGAGTCCAGGCTGCCAGTGCTGCTCAAAGCAGCCGGCCCAGGAGAAAGAACATTGGTCTCTTGGGCCTCCATTCTGGCCCCCAACTCAGAGGTCTCAACAGCTGCTTTTGACTCATCTGGAAAGACCAGGAAGGCCGAATAGCTCCCCGGGGAAACTAAACTCCTTAGATGGCTCCTGGAGGCTCTTGCCAGAGATGCGCAGATCTCCCACAGTGCGGGCAGGGGCTCATGGGCCACCTGGTCCCAGGCAGCACTTCGTCTTCCAAAGGGAGGGTCCCGGGGCCAGGAAGTCCTGGCAGGAGAGGACATCCTCTCCCCAAGCAAGGTTGAAAGGGGGCACAATGGCATTCCTAGAAAGTCTCCTAATGCCAACAGAGCAGCACAGGCCTGTGCTCTCTGCCCTGCCACCCAGCAGGGTGAGGAGGGTGTACCCAGCAAGCACTCCTCAGCTGGGGCAGAACTCACAGCAGGTTTAATCCTGCACTCTCCGACATCCCCACCACAGGAAAGACTCCCAGGCAACCGGCTCTCACTCTTGGCCCTCCCAAGGAGCAAGGGAAGCATCAAGGGCCACTGGAATGCAAGGTCCATTTAGGAGAAGCCGCGCCCTCCACTGCTGCCCTCAATTCCTGAAAAAGGTCCTCGCTGAAAAACTTCTGACCCCTAGAGACTTTTTTTCTCTTTTTGAGTTAGAGTCTCACTCTGTCACCCAGGCTGGAGTGCAGTGGCGCCATCATAGTTCACTGCAGCCTCAAACTCTTGGGCTCAAGCGATCCTCCTACGATCCCATGTAATTGGGACAACAGGTGCACACCACGATGCCCAGCTAATTTTTTTTTTTTTTTTTGAAATGGAGTCTCGCTCTGTCGCCCAGGCTGGAGTGCAGTGGCGCGATCTCGGCTCACTGCCAGCTCTGCCTCCCGGGTTCACACCATTCTCCTGCCTCAGCCTCCCGAGCAGCTGGGACTACAGGTGCCCACCACCATGCCCAGCTAATTTTTTGTATTTTTAGTAGAGACATGTTTTCACTGTGCTAGCCAGGATGGTCTCGATCTCCTGACCTCGTGATCCGCCTGCCTCGGCCTCCCAAAGTGCTGGAATTACAGGCGTGAGACACCGCGCCTGGCTGATGCCCAGCTAATTTTTTAAAAAAATTTTTGTAGAGACGCGATCTCACTGTTGCCCAGGCTGGTCTTGAACTCCTGGGTTCAAGCAATCCTCCCTCCTCCACCTCCCAAAGCACTGGGATTACAGGCATGAGCCAAAATGCCCAGCCAGAGACTTTAAAATATCACAAATTCATGAGCCGTCAGCTGATTTCCAGAGAAGACAAATTCCCTAAACCCATCAGGCACTTCCAAAAGGCCCAAGTGCCCACCCAAAGGCCTGGGACAGACGGATGCCTCTTATGCTTCATGGAAGTTGAGTCCACCCTCACTGGGTGCCTGCTGTGTGGCAGGCCACACGTGCTAGTGACCTTTCTCATCTTCTCATCTGTGAAAACAAAGCTCAGCACGGGTCAGTGACCACACTAGGGTCACACAGCAAGGACTCGGCAAAGAACGAGTCAAAACTACACCTGAAGCCTAGAAAGACACTAAAAATCTTTTTTTAAAAATTATTATTATTATTAGTTTGAGACGGAGTCTTGCTCTGTCACCAGGCTGGAGTGCAGTGGCGCGATCTCGGCTCACTGCAACCTCCGCCTCCTGGGTTCCAGCGATTCTCCTGCCTCAGCCTCCTGAGTAGCTGGGATTACAGGCACGCACCACCACGCCCAGCTAATTTTTGTATTTTTAGTAGAGATGGGGTTTCACCATCTTGGCCAGGATGGTCTCGATCTCCTGACCTCATGATCCGTCTGCCTCGGTCTCCCAAAGTGCTGGGATTACAGGCGTGAGACACAGAGCCCGGCCTAATTTTTTTTTATTTTTTGTTTTTAAAGAGATGAAGGATAGAAGGATGAAGGATGAAGATAAAAGGACTGGCAGGGGCCGGGTGCAGTGGCTCATGCCTGTAATCCCAGCACTTTGAGAGGCTGAGGCAGGCAGATCACTTGAAGTCAGGAGTTCAAGACCAGCCTGGCCAACATGATGAAACCCTGTCTCTACAAAAAATACAAAAATACAAAAATTAGCTGGGCCTGGTGGTGCCTGCCTGCAATCCCAGCTACTCAGGATGCTGAGGCAGGAGAACTGCTTGAACCTGGGAGGCAGAGGTTGCAGTGAGCTGAGATCACGCCACTGTGCTCCATCCTGGGCGACAGAGGAGACTTCGTCTCAAAGAAAAAAAAAGAAAAGGACTGTCAGGCAGGAGGGATAATTTTTTGCTCTCTTTTTTTTTGAGACAGTCTCACTCTATTGCCCAGGCTGGAGTGCAATCGCACGATCTCGGCTCACTGCAACCTCTGCCTCCTGGGTTCAAGCGATTCTCCTGCCTCAGCCTCCTGAGTAGCTGGGATTACAGGCGCTCACCACCACGCCTGGCTAATTTTGCATTTTTAAGTAGAGACCGGTTTCACTGTGTGGGCAAGGCTAGTCTCGAACTCCTGACCTTGTGATCCGCCTGCTTCCGCCTCCCAAAGTGTTGGGATTACAGGCATAAGCCACCTTGCCCGGCCTAATTTTTTGCTCTCTAATTTTACACTTTCTACAATGTTTCCTTTTTCCCACTATGGGCTCCTATTGCCTTTTCTATTTTTTAAATGAACAGCGATCACCTGGGATTATGGGCCATTTTTTGTTTGTTTGTTTGTTTTGAGATGGAGTTTTGCTCTTGTTGCTCAGGCTGGAGTGCAATGGCGTGATCTTGGCTCACCGCAACCTCCACCTCCCAGGTTCAAGCGATTCTCCTGCTTCAGCCTCCTGAGTAGCTGGGATTACAGGCATGTGCCACCATGGCCAGCTGATTTTATATGTTTAATAGAGACAGGGTATCTCCATGTTGGTGAGGCTGCTCTCAAACTCCTGACCTCAGGCGATCGGCCCAACTTGGCCTCCCAAAGTGCTGAGATTACAGGTGTAAGCCACCACGCCTGGCCTTTTTTTCTTTTAATGTTGCGGTATATTAAAAAGTTATTTAAGGCCGGGCGCGGTGGCTTACGCCTGTAATCCCAGCACTTTGGGAGGCTGAGAGGGGCAGATCACGAGGTCAGGAGATCGAGACCATCTTGGCTAACACAGTGAAACCCCATCTCTACTAAAAATACAAAAAATTAGCCGGGCGTGATGGCAGGCGCCTGTGGTCCCAGCTACTCGGGAGGCCGAGGCAGGAGAATGGCGTGAACCCAGGAGGAGGAGCTTGCAGTGAGCCGAGATCTCGCCACTGCACTCCAGCCTGGGTGACAGAGCGAGACTCTGTCTCAAAATAAATAAATAAATAAATAAAAATAATAAAAAGTTATTTATACTAACGGGTCTGGCGTGGCAGTTCATGCCTGTAATCCTAACACTTTGGGAGGCAGGAGGATCACTTGAGCCCAGGAGTTCAAGACTAGCCTGGGCAACATGGCAAAACCCCCTTTCTAAAAAAAAAATAGAAAATTAGCTGTGCATGGTGCTGCGCGCTTGTAGTCCCAGCTACTCAGAAGGCTGAGGTGGGAGGATCACTTGAGCCTGGGAGGTCGAGTCTGCAGTGAGCCTCCATCTCCCAGTGATTGCACCACTGCACTCCAGCCTGGGTGACAGAGCAAGACTCTGCCTCAAAAAAAGAAAAAAAAAAAGTTACTAACAGCTGGGCACAGTGGCTTACACCTGTAATCCCAACGCTTTGGGAGGCTGAAGTGTGAGGGTCACTTGAGTCCAGGAGTTTGAGACCAGCCTGGGCAACATATGGTGAGATCCCATCTCTACAAATTAAAAAACATATTATTAAAGAAAAAAAGAATTTGGTCAACTTAGTTTAAAAAAAAGAAAAAAAAAGAGAAAAAAGTTACTTTTTTCTATTTTATTTCTTATTTATGAATGTAGTGTCATTTTAATATAATTAAAAGCATATTAATCTGACACCAAAGGGGAAACTCCCTTGCCTCAAGGAAGAATGGGGATGCCAAATGACCCTGGACCCCGGAAACCCTGTCCAGGAGCCCCCACAAAGATGGGCCCAGTCTAACTTCAGAGGAAAGGAGTGAACTCTGATTAGAAGCTTAAGAGCTGAGTTTGAGTTCTGTCTGCCACAGCTAGCACTGTGGGAAGATCGCCTAAGAAAACTAAACCCCAAATCCCAGTTCATAAAATAAAGCTGAGACATCTCTCGCACAGTTCTCCTTGTGCCTCTGCTCACACAGACCCAGACAGTTTTCCTCAAATGCCACTTTTTTTTTTTTTTTTTGAGACAGGGTCTCACTCTGTCCCCAGGCTGGAGTGTGGTGGCGCCATCATGACTCACTGCAACCTCCACCTCCTGGGCTCAGGCAATCCTCCCACCTCAGGCTCCTGAGTAGCTGGGACTACAGGTGCACGCCACCATGCCTGGCTAACTTTTTTTATTATTTGCAGAGACGAGGTCTCACTATGTTGCCCAGGCTGGTCTCAAACTCCTGGGCTCAGGCGATCCTCCTGCCTTGGCTTCCCAAAGTGCTGGGATTACAGCTGTGAGCCAATGCACCCAGCCTCAACTGCCACTTCTGACCTTGGCTTCCCCCGGGCTGGGCCACAGCTCTTCTGTGGCAGCTCTGCTCTTCCTACCAGCGTTTCCTTGTCACCTTGACACACCCATTCCCTCCCTGCCCGCTCCCTGCTCAGAATCCTCTCTGTAGCCCCTTCAAGAGAACTCAAGGTTCTCTTGAACTACAAACTCCAGCAGGGGGTCCCTGGAGCCCAGGTTAAGGCTGCCGGCAGTCGCATACGGATCCCCAGGGGAAGGGGCGCCCTCCTCACTCAAAGCTCACCTGTTCAGGTGAGAGCCTCAAAGCGCCACTCTACAGCTCCCCTGGTTAGGTCAGTTCTCCCCACAGCCAAGGCCCAGCGTGTCCACCAATCGTCCAGCCGGAACAAACTAAGACACACTTTCTTTGGCAAGATAGAATTTTCCACTTCTCGCCAAATCCCACAGCGCAAACCCCGCCCGTCAGCATGGAGGGCAGACTGGGTCTCCGCACTGTCATGTGAAGGTGTCCAAAGCCGCCCCAGCTGGAGAAAGGCCGGAGACCGAAGTCCCTCCCGCGGGCTTCCTGCGTCCGGGGATTAGGAGGCACAAAGGGCCGGCAGGGACACAGCCCAGATGGCAGGGGCAGGGGCTAAGCCGCCGGGGCACCGCGCTCCGGCCGCCGCCCGTGGGGAGGGGGTCACCGCAGACGCGCGTCGCCAACCCCGCTGGCCTGGCGCCTGCACGTGGGCCCGGGGACTCCGTCTCTGCCCGCGGTGCCCCCCGCACCCAGCCGGCCGGGGCACCTGTTCTCCTGCTCTCCTAAGCCAACATTATTGTGCAAACCCAAGCCCAAGTTTCAGTCATCGCGCAGATCAGGCAGAGAAGTTTCCCGCAGAACTTTCTACAGGTGTCTCTCTTCCAGGCCAGCACAGCGACGCGGACAGGGGCGAGGCGCGCGGACCTGGGCGCAGCCCTCCCGCCCTGGCCCGACAGCCCAGGGGTCCTGGGCCTCCCTGGCCTCCCCGCCCCAGGTGGAAGCCCCGAGGGGGCGGGCCCGGCTGGGCGAGTCCGGCACGCATCTCACCTGGAACCCCGGGCCAGCCCCCGCCCGAGGCCTCGGCGTCCCTCGGCGCCCGCCGCCGGCCCCGCTCGCTCCGCCGCGCCTGCCCACGGGCTGCTGGGCGGCCGTCTCCTTCCTGCTCACCTCCGGCGCGGCGAGCCTGGGGCGGAGCCGCGCTATTTACATAAAGGGCGAGCCTGCCGGGGCCCAGCGCCCCGCCCCCGGCCCGCCCCCCAGCTCGGCGCCGCAGGGGCGGGGGCACCCTCGGGGGTGGGGGCTGCGCTCCTGCCAATCCGCGGCCCCGGGAAGCGCGGGGCGGGGCCTCGCGAACGGCCTCGGGGTTCCGCAGGCCCGCCCCGGCCTCACCTGCGCGCACCTGGACGCAGAACGGCGCGCCGCGCCCAGTGTCCCGCCGCCTCCCGCAAGCGGAAATAGTTCCCGGAACGCCTGCGGTCCCGGGCCGCCTCCCAGACTCCAGGGGAGCCGTCCCTCCAACTCCCGGGAGCTGCCGAGGGAGGGGCGGATCCGGGCCAGCTCCTCTGCCAGAGCCCAGCCCAGAGAGGGTGACCGGGGGACGCAGGGCCGGGTTTCCAGCCCCACGAGAGGGATGGTGTAGGGACCGGGGCGTCGCGGCGAGACGCCTTTCCTCGGGGGGGGGTGCGGGGGGGCGCCCACCTCCTCCGTGTCGGCCGGAGGGTCTGCAACAGCGGGTGGAATTTTTAGCACAAGCGAGGGAGGAGGTTGGAGCGACGAGAGGCGGGAGCGGAAAGGGCGCGGAGGCCGGGGCTGCAGCGCGCTCCACCGCCCAGCTGCAGGTGGCGCCTCTCGCCACCCGCACCCCGCTGCGCCCAGGGAAGGGCCGATGGCGCGCCGTCCTCCCTCCTCCCTTCGGGAAGCCTGCGACGTCCCATCCCCTCCGACGCAGGCCCGGGAAAGGCTCAAAAGGTTCGAGGTCGCGTTCCTGCTATCCCGCGGGCTTCTCTCACTCTTAGATCCCGCACCAGAGGAAGCGGATCTCCTTGAGTGGGCAAAGCAGGGGTGAGGGGCTGGGGGCAGTTCCACTGACAACGGGACGGGGGCGAGAGGGGTTTACCCAGTACATACAGAAACAGCAGAAAAGAAATCTATTTTTAATGGCTTTGGCTTTATAGCACGAAGCAGGCACCCTCTCGTTAAAGGCACACAGTCCTCTCTTCTGCCCCACCTCCTGGGTCCTTAAAATCGAGTCCTGAGTTCCAGAGGGGTCACTGCAAGGCAGCAGGGAAGGGAGAGGGTCACAGTTTCACTCTGTGAGTATCAGACACCCAGGGCCAAGGCCCAGACTGGCCTCTGAAGCTACAGGTTAGAGTCTGGGTACAGGAGGCAGCCGAGATGGTCCCTGAGAACAGACAGTCCCGGTCCCCCGGAGCAAGCTCCATCCTCTGCAGAGCTGTGAGGTCAGTGCCCCACATCCTGGGGCAACGTGAAGTCCCTGAAGCTGTAGAAGGAGATGTCACCATGATCCACCAGGGCAAAGATCAGAGGGACATCCCCACTCTGGTAAGACAACCGCTTGAGGCTGCAGAGGTCTGGGACAGGCTCATCAAATCTGCAGGGACAAAGGGTTAGAGTGAGACCCAGCCATAGCCCACTCCTAAGCTCTAGGGCTCCCAGAGAAGAGATTCTACGGAAGGAGTTGGGGTGCAAGAATTCTGACCCATGAGTTCTGTCTCCAAAACACAGGGCTCTGATGAAGAGCGCCCCAGAGCACTGGTTGGGGAGGTGCTAGGAAGAGCAAGGTGCTCACCACTCTTAGCCTGTAAATCCCCACAATCCACATCCCTTCTGCTGGGTGAGTCCTAGACTAAAATGGCATTGGAGAAAGACTACCCTAAAATGCCAGCAACGAGGAGCTCAGAGTAGGGCAGCACAAACTGGCTGTGTGGCCTTGTGTAGGTCACTTAGCCTCTCTGGACCTCCTGTTCCTCTCAGAGATTGGCACGCTGGCCAGGGGAGTACAGAGGAGTCCCACTTGGTTCACAGGAGAACTGGCAGCAGCTGGGGGAGGGGCAGTGCTGGCTCACTGCGTACCCACTAATGCACATCCGGGCATAGGGTTTGCCAGGGTTATTCTTTCGGAATGTGGCCACAGCGTCGGCCTGGTAAACATCAAAGATGATTTCCAAGCCCCCAGACTTCTCCAACAGCCTGACAATACAATGAGAAACGTTATGACATGAACTCTTCTCCCCAACCTTTCTTTTCCATCCCACCCTTTCCCTCCACCAGTTCCAGGAAGCAGCCTCACAGAGGTGCCACTTGAGGGTTGGGGGCTCTGAACCCTTGGGCTAACCCACTGGTTATTCTCCCTCTTCCCTAGACACACACGAACACTAGTTATTGCTCAGAGCTAGGCGTAGGGGTAGGAGTCCCTGGAACAGTCCTCTAGTTTACACCCTACTTCAGGAGCCAGTTCCTAACCACCAACTCCTGGCGGTCAAGGTACTGCAGAGACGGCACTGCTTGGAAACTTACCGGGCACCTCCATCAGGAAGGTGTGTTGTCTGCAGCACAGAGATATGCTGAAGGACCACGGCTACAAGGACACAGAAAACAAGGTACTGGGGAGGGGAGTCACATTTCTCAGTCTGCCATCTAGTTTAGGACGGCCAGATTTAGCAACTTTTTTTTTTAAACGGAGTCTCACTCTGTCACCCAGGCTGGAGTATAGTGGCGTGATCTTGGCTCACTGTGACCTCTGCCTCCCAGGTTCAAGCAATTCTCCTGTCTCAGCCTCCTGAGTAGCTGGGATTATAAGTGTGCACCACCACACCCGGCTAATTTTTGTATTTTTAGTAGAGATGGTTTCACCATGTTGCCCAGGTTGGTCTCGAACTCCTGACCTCAGGTGATCTGCCCGCCTCGGCCTCCCAAAGTGCTGGGATTACGGGTATGAGCCACCGTGTCCAGCCTAGCAACATTTTTTTTTTTTTTTTAGTATAAGCATATCCCATGCAATTTTTGGAACATATACTGAAAAATTATACTGAAAGTCAAATCAAACTGATCTGGCAACCCTATCTAGTTACCTACAATCTACCGTGTTCCCATAAAGGCTTTAAGTAATTTGGAATCCGTTAACACATTTAGCTTATTCTTTCCCCATTGGTTCCCTGGGCTTAGAGCAGACAGCAAGCCTTTCTTTCACTTGGCCAAGAAGGCACCTCCTTTTCCCATCTAACAGGTTGGGATCACAGCTAGTTGGTGGCAAAGCCATCCACATGCATGTTGTTTATCTTTTTAAGGATATGGTCATAGTTTCCACCCCTCCTTACCTCTCCTGACTCACCATCTCTAAGCCTTCCCACACAGGCCCTGCTGCAGCCGCCGGAGAACTGACCGTGCTTGTGGGTCCACTCCCTCCTCCCACATCTTCCTTAAGCCTCAATCCATCCCAGTTCATCCATGCCCTTTCCAAAGTCCTGTGATTCCTCAGCTGCCAGTGGCCCTCGAAGATGTGGCAGGCTGAGGGGGTACCTGGGGAGCTGGCCTGGCCAGGACTCAGCAGCGGGGTGACGGGCTGGCCCCACAGGTGAGGGGCCCGGCGCTGGCTCCTCTGCACCTGCCGCCGCTGCAGCAGCTCCTTGTACTCCCGCCAGCTGGAGCACCGCTGCACCTCGGGATCGGCGTTGACATCTTCCTGGAACTGCGCGGCCTCCGCGTGGTGCTCCCGTTCCCGCCTGGAGAGCTTCTCCTTGCGCTGGTTCAGCTTCTGGCACCAGGACTCAGCGTCTGTCTCCCGCCCAGCCACGTTGGCCGGGAGCAGCTCTGGGGCTGGGGCGCGCAGAAGGGTGTGGCGGCTGTCTGAAGCCATGTTGGGGAAGGAGATCTGCTCGAAGTTCCAGCGCCGCTTACCGGCTCCCGTGACTCCGTTCTCGGCTCTGCCACTCTCCCAGCTGCACCCCACCCCCTCCCTGGCCGGGCCAGGGCTGGGGCCCAGGGACCCCAGAAGCTGAAAGGGGCCCCCTGGGCCCTTCATGGGGCTTGACTCCTGGGGTTTCTCCTCTGGGCATTGGCTGGGCTGGCTGCAGGGAGGTGGGCTGGAGGCTGCCAGACTCTTGGGTTGCAGGGAGTTGTCCAGGGCCTTGGCCTTCTTATTAATGGACCTGAGGGACGTGGGGGAAAAGCAGCACATCTGCCCCTGGTTGCTAAGGTGCACACGTCCCATGGGAGCTGAAGGCAGGTCCCCTAGTGTCTCCCTGAGCCTGCATGGGAGCTGCTGGTTCTTAGAAAGCCTGTGCATTTTCCAAGGTCCCAGACACCAGCACTCCCTGGGGGGCCACCGTGATGTGGGAGTTACCGAGGGCTGGAGCTGCTCCTCTTTCTCTTGCCATCTCCATCCTCCAAGTGCTGCACGCTGGCATCCAGGTTAAGCTGCCTCTCATACGGGGACAGGACAGAGCTGTGGGGTGAGAACAGCGGGTGGGCCACTGACCCACCTCCTCAGCCTGGGGATCTGGTGGGATGTGTAAGGAAACGGGCCAAGAGGACAGTCAGTGGGCCAGGATCGGAGCCACACCCAAGTGCTAAGGCCCTAAGCAGACCCCCATGAGGGGTACAGGCCCAGCCAGGGGGCCCAGCCATGTGCCTCTGCCTAGGCAATGGCCCAGAGGAGCTAGCAAACTTGGTAAATATAGAAAAATAAAAACCTTGGATAACTATTGTTAACATCTTTCTTTCGTTTATGTACACACTAATCTCTCTCCATATATTTTTTTCTAACAAAAATGTCATTGTACTAGCATACTGCTTTGTGATCTTTTTTTTCACTCAATAATATATTGTGGACACAGCCCCGTCACTGCAGCATTCTTCCCTGCTGTGAATTTTTTCCTTTTTCTTTTTTTTTTTTTTTTGAGACACAGTCTCGTTCTCTCACCGGGCTGGAGTGCAGTGGCACAATCTTGGCTCACTGCAACCTCCATCTCCTGGGTTCAAGCGATTCTCCTGCCTCAGCATCCCGAGTAGTACCGGGACTACAGGCGCGTGCCACCATGCCCAGCTAATTTTTGTATTCTTAGTAGAGACAAGGTTTCACCATGCTGGCCGGGATGGTCTCCATCTCCTGACCTCATGATCCACCTGCCTCGGCCTCCTAAAGTGCTGGGATTACAGGTGTGAGCCACTGTGCCTGGCCTCCTGGCTGTGAATTAAGGCTTTAAGGCAATGCTGTTCAAAAAAGAGCCACTAGCGACAGGTGGCTATTTAAGTTTGCTTTTTTTTTTGAGATAGAGTTTCGCTTTTTCGCCCAGGCTGGAGTGCACTGGCAAGATCTCGGCTCACTGCAACCTCAGCTGCCCAGGTTCAAGCAATTCTCGTGCCTCAGCCTCCTGAATAGCTGGGACTATAGGCGCCTGCCACCACACCTGGCTGATTTTTTTTTTTTTTTTTTTTTGGTATTTTAGTAGAGACAGGGTTTCACCACGCTGTCCAGGCTGGTCTCGTACTCCTGAGCTCACGCGATCCGCCCGCGTCGGCCTCCCAAAATGCTGGGATTATAGGCGTGAGCCACCACACCAGCCTATTTAAGTTAGATTTAAATACATTTAAATTAAATGAAATTAAACATTCAGTCCCACAGTTGCTCTAGCCCCATGTATTAGACATCACAGACACAGAACATTTTCATCATTACAGAAAGTTCTATTGGACAGAGCTGCTCTAAGGGATAACCTCTCATTTGTGTGAGCCTGCCTCTTGTTCAACTCTTGTTTGCAAGTACACTGATTTTGCACAGTGAGTGTGTTCTGTGTGACTCCTCACTAAATGCAAGCTCTGTGAGGGCAGTGATTTTGCTCTTCTGTTCTCAGCGATGTGTACAGGGCCTGACCCCCAGCAAATAATAAATATCGTTGATCATTCTCACAGGTGAACCACTGTACACGTCCACGATTATTTCCTTAGGATAGGTTCCACTTTCAGAAAAGAAAAGATGTAGAGCTGGGCGTGGTGACTCATGCCTGTAATCCCAGCACTTTGGGAGGCTGAGGCGGGAGGATCATTTGAGGTCAGGAGTTCGAGACCAGCCTGGGCAACACAGTGAAACCCCATCTGTACTAAAAATAAAATAAAATAAAAAAATTAGCCAGGCATGGTGGCACACGCCTGTAATCCCAGCTACTTGGGAGGCTGAGGCAGGAGAACTGCTTGAACCCAGGAGGCAGAGGCTACAGTAAGCTGAGATCATGCCACTGCACTACAGCCTGGGCGACAGAGTGAGACTCCGTCTCAAAAAGAAAAGAAAAGATGTGCCTGCTTTAGAGCTTTTGTGACATACTGTAACTGCAAAAGCTGTACCCGTTTCCACTCCAAGTCTGAAGGTCTCTGCCTTTTACCAATGCTGGATTACTAAGGTGATGAAGGAAAAAACATTTAACCTGGCATGAAAAATGTGAAACCCTACTAATGGTAAATTCTTCACCCAGTCCTTCATTTAAGCATACACTCTACATACCTGCCTGCGCACCTACTAAGTGCCAGGCACTGTTCCAATCCTGCCTCTCAGTGCTCACACACACTCAGCTGCAGGCGCAGGTCATCTGAAGATGCGGCTCGAGTTCATAAACCAGAATAAAACAAAATGACCTGGATTCCTCCCAACCTGCCTCTCTCAGAACGCTTCCAGCAGGCGCCCCCAGTCTGTGCCCAAGGAACTGCACTCCAGCCAAGGGTTCCAGGTAAGGAGAGGCCATTTTCTACCTTAGACTAGTCAGCCAGGTCCCAGGACTAGAATATATGGAAGGGGAACAGGAAGGGGATTTACCTTGGTTGGAATCGTCGAACCACATAACCCAACCTCTTCAGGTGGCTGAAGACCTCAAAAGAAAAAAAAAAAATGAAAGCTCAGATGGCCACTCTGGAAAACACCAAATGGTTTCTCCAGACACAGGCCATCCCCACAGCCCTCTCTGCCCCTCCTGTACACCCCCAGATTCTAAACCCTGTGATTAAGGTTGGACCATGCTTCATTACGAACACCATCCCTAAAGATCTCAGGCTCTGAATTCCTGTCCTCCCACTTACCTTACTCGGCACAAATGACATTTAGCCAAATCCAAAAAAACTGATAGCCATGAAACCAGAAAACCACCACGCCCTGAAATACTTGAGTATTTTGATACAAAGCTCATAGGAGTGAAGCTGCCGATCACCATGTGAACAAAATGATGGCAGGTGGTGGGCATCTCTCCAGCCCCACACCTCCACAGATGCCGGTGGGAAGTTTCTGGTAGGGAGCCACATATTCAACCTTGTGTCCCTGCATTCATATCAGAGGAACATAGATAAGAATGTCCCCCATCCTGCTTGATCTCAGCAGGCTTTAGCACAGCTAACCACTTCCTCCTTGAAAGACCTTCTTTTGGCTTCTGTGATGCGACTTTGGTTTTTCTCCTGCATCACCAGACACTCCTCGGTCTGTTTCTGCTTCTTATCTGCCCCCTAACCTACACAGAGAGCCCCAGGGCTCAGACCCAGCCCTCTACTCTGATGGCACTCCCATACAGCCCAGTAGTTTAAATACCATCCATGTGCTCATGGCACCCATATTTACATCTAGCCTTGACCTCTCCTCACACTCCAGACTTGGATTCCAATTGTCTGTCTGCTTTACACTCACTTGGATGTCCAAGAAGCTCCTCAAAATTAACTTATCTGACACAGTTCTTTCGACTGGTCTTGTCCTCCCAAATCTGCTCCTCTTCATTCTTCCCACTCAGAAAATGACAGCACCTTCATCCACTGGTGCATGCCCAAATCATGGGCGGTAATCCTGGGTTCTTCTCTCTCCTTAATCCTGACATCCAATCCATTGGCAGTCCTATCCATTCTTTCTCCAAAATATTTCTGAGATTCATCTATTTTTCACTCACTGCAACTCTACCCACCCCCAACCTGCGACAAGCCCCTAGCTTCTCTCACCTGAATGAACAGCCCAGTCTCTTTGGATTCTCTTCCCCCACCTTATCTTCTGACAGCACTGGGGTCTATGTGAAGCCAACAGGCCACCACCACAATGTAAGCCTCGTGACAGCATAGCCCTCGTCTGCCCTGCAGCCCCAGCATGTGACACTGTGCCTGGCACCTTATGGGTACTTGTCAATACTCATTGATTCAGTGGATGGGTGGCTCCCGGAGGCGGGGTGGTGGCAGATACCTGGTACTGCAGGAAGGTCACAGTGTGGTCGGTCAGCAGCAGCTGGTAAGCTTCCTGGATAGACAGTGGCAGGTCTTGGTGGAAGAGGTGGATGGAGCCCTGGAAGTGGGGCCAACAGCTCAGCTTATGAGCCCTCACTACAGTGCCACAGAGGAATGGGGCAACTTCCCAGCTCTGATACCTCCCCCTCCCCCTCTCAGCAGCGCATCAAGAATGTGGCCAACCAGGAAAGTGGGGCAGCATCACTAATGTGGACTGGAATCCCTGCTCCCTGCAACGTACCACCTCCTGCTTTAGAAGTTTGGTTATCAGTTCTCTAAAGACCGGGTTGTGTGTGCTTTTTCTCCGATAAAACGTGTCCTTCCCGTTCTTTGGTCCCAACTCCTTCCCCACCTCCCGGGCCCCACTTACACACTCCAGAAGATACAAGGCCTCTTCCGGGTGAAGGCGCTGCCGGCCCTGCTCTGAGAAGCCCATGGTCTGCCAGAATTTGCCCTGTGTGGGGCCCAGAGCAAGTGTCACAAGGGAGGGAGGGCAGGGAGGGCAGGGAGGGCGGTCCCCGGTCCCCGAGCCCGCCGCTCACCGCGGGAGACTTCAACTCCACGAAGCCCTCTTCTGGCCTCCACTCGGCAGCCACCAAGCTGCCCCTGGCGAGGAGTGGGGAGGGGTCTGCGTCAGTCCATTCCGGAGACCCCGCGGCCCGCCTCGCCCCCGCTTCCCTTACCCCTGGGCCCGCCCCTCTCACAGGCGCTCCACGCGCTGCTCTGCCAGCAGCTGCCAGAGCTCTTCCCGGCACCGGCGCAGCCGCTCGGCCTGAGCTGCCGAGCCGTCGGGCAGAAAGTCCTTGGGGCCATGCGAGCGCTGGGGCAGCTTCTGCGACCGCGAGCGGGCGGCGAAGAGCTCCCGGGCGCTGGGGGAGAAGGGGACGCGGGGTCAGCGCCGCGCATCGGGGGCCGCCTGGCCGGGTCCCGGGCGCCGGTTTCCCTACCCGCGCTGGCCCCGCGCCCCCGACACCCACTCCGGCCGGGCCGCGCCGCACCTGAGCACGCGCCCCGCGGGAACCTCCACGGCCGCGGGCTCGGGCTCGGGCTCCATCCCGCCGCCGCCTGCCGCTGCGCGCGCCGCCACGCCCCGCCCACCGCCGGAGCTCCGCGCTGCCCTAGTGCCCGCCGATCCGCAATGCCGCGGCAGCCCCGCCCCCTGCACCGCCCCAGCCCGCTCTGCGCCCTCCTGATTGTCCCCGGTCCTAGCGCCCGCCCGGAAGCGCACCCCGACGCCGGGTCTGGGAGCTCAGCCCGCAGGTTGCTGGAGATGCAGAAGGCCCCTCTTTTGCCCCTAGCCCTCCTCGGGGCTTCTCTCCAGTAAAGCCTGAGGAGCCGGCGTCTGGAGTGCAGTGCGAATGGTCACACTTGTGACCGCCCCTCTGCAGCCTCGCGCTGCTTAGTCCCCACCGCCCGGGCTGGGCAAGGAGGGCAGAAGGGCTCAGGGAAGGACGAGCGGAGGGTGTGCAAATTCCGACTTTGCAGGCCGAAGGCCACCCGGGAACTGTCAGGAGCGGTCCGGGGAGGTTCGCCATTCCTTCGGTGTCTTCCGTCCGGTCCCTACGGCTGGGCTCCGAAGCCAGGTTTCGAGGGCCGGGGGCGGGAGGCGCTGTCCGGCCCACGACGGTGCTGAAGCGCCACCTCCGCCCGGCACGAGCGCCTCCTCGAGGCTGGGGTCCCCGCACTGGTGCCGTCCGCTAGGTGGTGCCATTGCCCGGCCGGCGGCTGCGGGTGGGCGACGCCGGCCGCAGACGGGGGGTACTGCAAGTGGGGTCCCGCGTCTTGGTTGCCAACCCCCTTCACATTACGTCTTCTCTCCCACCAGTCAGACCCGGGGTGTCTAGCCCTTGGGTCTAAGTCCAGAGCCCCAGGTCACCTCTGCCCCCGCGCCCCCCGCCCCTCCGTTTCACCTGGGCGCATGCGCTGATCCGGTCAGCGCCCCCGGTCCGGGCGGGCACGAGTTGGGGCGGGATCTGGCGCGGATGGGGGCGGAGCCGCCGGTGCTGACTGACAGCCTGACTGCGCGGCCGGGACGGTCCCTCCGTTCCCGATCCGGCGGGAGGGAGGGGGGAGGGGCGGGATTTCCTGCGGGAGGCGCCGAGCCGGCCTTGGAAAAGGAGAAGGAGAAAGGGGGGCAGGGGGGAGTGGGAGCCACCGTCCTGAGTGCCAGGGACCGAGCAGGGCCAGCCGGACCCCGGCGGGCGGCCGGGAGAGGTGAGGCTGCGGGGCCCGCGCTGGGGGTCAGCGCCCCTGGGGGCGGGCGCAAACTAACTTTTCTTGCGGGGTCGGCGGGCACCTCCATCTCCCCGCTCCTTCCGTCCTCCTCGCGCCCCTTTTTCCATCCTCCGCGTTTATACCTCGGGCGCTTGGCCCGCCCGGCTTCTCCCGCCGCTTTGTTCCCCGGTGGGCCTGGGCTGGGCTGGGCTGGGCTGGGGGGTTGCGAGGCGCTGGAGGGACATTCCGGGGGGCGGGGGAGCCAGCCCGACCCCAGGCACTGCCAAGGGCGCCCTCCGCCCGTGTCGGCCGCGGGCTCCGCGTGGGAGTGCCCCTGGGTTGGGCTTGGGACGTTTGGGGAGTGAGGGGTTCCCGGCCAGGGCCCCAGGCCTGCGCGGATCTCATGCCACAAGACTCTGGCAGTAAATTCGCTGCCACCGAGAAACTGACGTAAGCTTCTCTGCGGTGGAGTCCAGGGTCTGGGCTTCAGGTTCAGGCTTGGGGGGCTTGGGAGCCCCGTTTGTCAGCAGTGCCCCAGCTCTCTCTGTTCTCTGCCCAGCTGCTCCTCCACCCGACACAAGGGGCGAGGGCGGGTCAGCAACAGGTGCTGTGCAGCTTCCCTCTCTAGCAGGCAGAGCCCCCAGAAATGGGGGGCCAGAAGCACTTCATGCTCTCCGTTCACAAAGAGTCCTAGGACTAGGGCATCCAGCCATTAAAGCGAAGCCTTGAAGCCTCCGTAGGGAGGAATCTGGGGGCTGGTGCCTTTGACAGGGAGTGACCCCTGCCCGCCTGCCTGTGCCTGACCCTCCCGGCCCCACCTCCTGGCCCGCCAGTTGTCTGTGGGTGTCGGAGCCTCGGGCTGTGGAGAACAGGCTGCTGGCCCGGCCTGCCCCAGTATGTCATGCTGCCAGGGCCCCTCCTGCCCAAGGTTGAGGTACTGCCAGGTGCCCTGGGGCCCCAGTGACTCAGCCTCCCCCTCCCAGAATGCCACCTCCCCCCCACCAATACTCCTCTCATGCATAGCAGCTTCCTCCCCACTTTCAGTGGCTCAGCATCACCATCGACTCCGAGGGGAGCCAGGGTGGCTTGGGGGCTCCCTGGAGGTCTTGTCCTGCTCATCCTCTGCACTCCACTTCTGGGACCCTTGCAGGCTGTGGCCCAGCATTCGACAGAGGCCCCGTGCTTTTTCCAGAGCCCTGAGACCAGTGCACCGCTGCTGCCTGAGGCCCAAGGGAATGCTGGCTGCTCTCTGGGTGGGCACTGGTGTTCCACAGCCAAGCCGGGAAGATTGGTGTGCCCAGTCCCAGCCCATCCTGGAGCTGTCGGAAGCCACAAGCTGATATCCATCCAGATTTCCATGTAGCCTTCACCCCCTCAAAGATTAGCTTTCCTTCGTGTGGTGGCAGTTCACGGAGCACCTTTGGGAGTATCCCTCAGTACCTGACGAGGAGCCCACTGCCTGGGACACCTGACTTGCTCCCCCGGAACCGGGAGCCCTCCAAGGGGCTGTGGCATGGCGCCCTGACGCCCCAGCTTGGACCCGTTGCCTGCCTTTGCCCTGGACTCCTGAGTGTAGAGCTCAGCCCAGGAGCCAGTATGGGTCGTGAACAGGACCTGATCCTCGCCGTCAAGAATGGAGATGTGACCGGTGTGCAGAAACTGGTGGCGAAGGTCAAGGCCACAAAGACAAGTGAGTACCGGGTGGGACGAGCATCCCGCTGAGGCCGAGCGCTCAGTTCACAGAGGCTTGGTGGGTGGGGGTGGGTCACTGTGATCTGCATATTTGAGGAGGGTGGACTGTCTTGTTCTCAGTAAGAAGTGCCTCTGTGTGAGAGAGCCAGAGAGAAAGTTGGGTCCCCCTTGCTGTGTGTCCTTAGGCAAGTCACTTAACCTCTCTGGGCTGCAGTTTCCTGGCCTGCAAAATTAGAGGGTTGAAGTACGTTCATTCACATTGTTATTGAGTGCCTATAGCTTGTCACCCAGGCTGGAGTACAGTGGCAGGATCTCGGCTCACGGGAACCTCCGCCTTCTGGGTTCAAGCCATTCTCCTGCCTCAGCCTCCCTAGTAGCTGGGATTACAGGTGTGTGCCACCATGCCCGGCTAATTTTTTTTTATATTTTTGGTAGAGATGGGGGTTTCACCATGTTGACCAGACTGGTCTCGAACTCCAGACCTCAAGTGATCCACCCACCTAGGTAGGCCTCCTAGTACTAGGATTACAGGCGTGAGTCACTGTGCCTGGCTCAGGCTCTGTTCTAAGCACTGGATCATAGTAGTGAACAAAACAGACCCAAATTCCTGTCTTCGTGGAGTTGCCTTCTAGCAGATGGTCTTTCTGATGTGTTCTTTGGAGCCATGAGATTTCTGACAGTGGGTTAGAGAAGACTGAATAGATAGAACTTCATCCCTACCCCCAACCTCAAACGCACACATTTCAACCAGAGCACCTCTATGTTCGTGTCTTAAGAGGATATCTATAAGATAGCTGTTTTTTTTTTTTGAGACGGAGTCTTGCTTTCTCACCCGGCCTGGAGTGCAGTGGCATGATCTCAGCGCACTGCAGCCTCTGCCTCCCGGGTTCAAGCTATTCTTCTGCCTCAGCCTCCCGAGTAGCTGGGATTACAGGTGCCTGACACAACGCCTGGCTAATTTTTACTAGAGACGGGGTTTCACCATCTAGGTCAGGCTGGTCTCGAACTCCTGACCTCAGGTGATCCACCCGCTTCAGCCTCCCAAAGTGCTAGGATTGCAGGCATGAGCCACCGCACCAGGCCACGAGATAGCTTTTAAAAAGGGAATTCTACTGCTTAAAAAAAGTTCAACACTCTCTAACAAGTTGCTAAAGTTTCTCTTCCCCTGACATGTGTGTCCTGGTGGGGTGTGGCCAGAGCTCATTTACTGGAGATTTTCACCTAGCCTCGAGACCTGACCGGGCTGTGGGGGATCCATGCACAAGCGGCCACACCTGAGCCCCATGTCTTGGGTACCTCTGTGGTGCGACCCCCCACAGGGAGAATAGACCTCTGGGCTTCAGGGAGGGCTCTCTGGGCTGTCCCAGGAGGCCGCTGGACTTGTCACCTTGAGATCCCAGATCAGCATAGGCAGGAGGTGGTTCCTGCCACCAGACTGAGGCAGGAGGAGTTCCCTGGATGGGAAGGTCTCCTCTGGAGTTCAGGGGCTCTAGCCCCAAGATACACCTCGGTCCTGTGCACAGGAAGGAGTCCCCCAGGCTACCTGAACACCTGGGGTATGGGTGCCAGAGGAAGGGCCTTAACCTCATGCATCCACTAGCACACTGGGGCAGGAGACGCAGGGCCTGGAGAGGTGGAGCTGTGGGGTGGTCTCTGTGCCTAGGGAAGTGGACACAGGGTGGGTGCCACTGGGGAGGTGCTAAGGAGGTCCCAGGGGAGGGCCCTAAGGTCCAGCAGTGCAGCCACTCCCCTCTTCTGTCACCTCTGTGTTGTTTTTGGCAACCTGCCCAGTGGGGCCTTGGTCAAGCTGCTGCTGGCCTCACCGCTCTGGGTCCTCAAAGTGAGGCCCTCAGGAGGGCAGGCGGGAGGGGTTTGGAGGCCAGTGGCGGGAACTGCAGAGCTGGGCTCTTAGGCTCCGAGAAGTTCCCTTGTGCCCAGTGGGAAGCGTCTGTGGGGAAGGAGGTCCCTTCCCTCAGTCCCAAAGTGGAGAATTCACCCTGCGCAGGCTGTAGGCTCAGGCACAGCATGACTGGGGCCTGGGATTCCTTATGAGGCCCTGGCACTGTGCCTCCCCTCCCAGTCCTCTGAGAAGCTGGAGAGGCTGGTGACAAAAGTGAGATCACAAGGTGACATTTGCAAACCTTATAGTGTATGAAATATTATAATTTCCTCACTTGCCTGTGAGATAGGTATTTCAATATCCGTTCTGTAGATAAGGAAAGTGATGCTCAGAGAGGGTTAGTGACTTGCCTAAAGTCACACAGCCATAGCATGGCAGAGCAGAGGCAAAGCTGCACCCTGTCCCCTGTGCTCTGCACTCAGCTGCCCATCAGTATTACCTAGGGATTGTTCTGTTCTTTTCTTTTTAAAGAGATAGGGTCTCACTTTGGGAGGCCGAGGTGGGCAGATCACTTGACGTCAGGAGTTCGAGACCAGCCTGGGCAACGTGGTGAAGCCCCGTCTCTACTAAAAATACAAAAATTAGCTCAGTGTGGTGGCAAGTGCCTGTAGTCCCAGCTACTCAGGAGGATGAGGCAGGAGGATCGCTTGAACCTGGGAGGCAGAGGTTGCAGTGAGCTGAGATTGTACCACTGCACTCCAGCCTGGGCAACAGAGCAAGAGTCTGTCTCAAAAAAAAAAAAAAAAAAAGGACAGGGAAAGAGATGGGGTCTCGCTATGTTGCCCAGCCTTGAACTCCTGGGCTCTAGTGATCCTCCTGCCTCATCTTCCCACCTCAGCCTCCTGAGTGGCTGGTACTACAGGCAATGCCACCATGCTGGCCTAGGGATTGTTTCAAAAGTGCAGACTGGGCCAGCCATGATGGCACACACCTATAGTCCTGTTGGCCCTGTGCACAGGAAGGAGTCCCCCAGGACTCCTAGTTAGCCTAGGAGTTTGAGACTGGCCTGGGCAACATAGTAAGATGCCATCTCTACAAAAAAATTAAGAAATGATCTGGGCATGGTGGCACATGCCTGTAGTCCCGCCTATTCAGGAGGCTGAGGTGGGAGGATCGCTTGAGTCGGGGAGGTCAAGGCTGCAGTGAGCCGAGATCGTGCCACTACACTCCAACCTGGGCAGCAGAGCAAGACCCTGTCTCAAAAAGTAATAAATAAGTAAAAATAAAAGTGTAGACTCCTTGGACTCCCCTCAAAATCAGACTCATCACAGAGGGCCTGGGACTCTGTGTATCAGAAAGTTCTCCCCATGATTTTACTGCAGTTCTCAGAAGTGAGGCTGGGGACTCTTGCTCCATATCGTAAGAAGGCAAGGGAAACTGCTAAAAGGGAGGCGTCAGGACTCCCCTTTTTTCTTCTGGGGTTTAGCTGGCGCTTTATAGCTATCCAGAGAGAGAACAGGGAGGTGGGAGATGCTCCCTCAGCCTCCTGCATTTGATATCAGGCCAATTCCCTGCCCCCACCCGGGTCCTCTTCAGGGAGCAGGTGGCTGAGAGAAGAGGGGTACAGTTGCCCTGGCCCTGCTCCCCGCCCCTCGCCGCACCACTCCCTTTTCTGAACAATCTCCTTCTTTGGCCAGAGGAAATGGGGTGTGCTGGGGCGGCCGGCTGAGCTCACATCCTCTGCCCGGGAGCCTAAATCAGGAGCCACCCTTCCACCCCCAGCGCCAGGCCCGGGAAGAAGGTTGTACCGCAGGGGAAGTGCCTGGAGTCACTGCCAGGAACCTGGACCCTCTGCCCTCCTGCCAGGGTCCCCAGCCCGGTCACTCTGAGCCTCTTCCCCACCGCCTTTCCGGCTATTGTTCTGAAAAGAACGGAGCCACCCAGCCTGGCCCTTGCCCTGTTCCTGTCCTGCCTGTCACATTGTCCTGCTCCTCTCGGGAGGGACTGCATCCCGCCACCCAGCTGCCTCATCCCAAACTGTCCAGGCTGTTGGAAGAGGAGGGCTAATGGAAGAGTGGGCAGCTTGAAGGGTGCTCTGTGTCTCTTCCCTGCTGACCGCATTGTCTCCACTGGGGCTCAGAGAGGTACCGTGGCAGGCCAGGGTCACACAGCCAGAGTGAGCATTTGAACTGTGCACTTCCGCTTCTAGAGCCCCTCTTCTTTCTACTGCCTCAAATGGTTCTGTATGACAAGGACTTTCCAAGGGGACTGGAGGAAAATGGAGGTCTGTGTTTCTTCCCAGTGGCCACAACCCCTTTAGCGCTTTGTCCCTCCCTGGCTCTGTCTTTACCTTTGTGGCACAGTGTCCTTCAGTTTGGCCCTCAATGTAGCTGTCCCCTCCCTCCCTGTGCCATGTTCCCTACTGCCAGGTTGGTCCCTCCCCTCCCTGTTGGAATGAAGCCCTGTCTTCCCCAGGCTACTGGGGTATTCAGGGGTCCACCAGAGCCTGGGGGGCAGGCCTGGGCCAGCACACTTGGCACTCTGCCCAGCCTGGCCAAGCCAGGCCCACTCCTTCCCTGCAGGGTGGGTTCTAGCAGGAGGCAGGGGCCACCCATGACAGGCCTTCCTTCCCTCCCCAGCACTTCAAGAGCCACTCCCACCAGTTCCCTGGCTCTCGCAGGGAGCACACCTGCCTGAACCCTGCCCCGAGAGGGGGTGGCCCCAGCTCCTCTTGCCACCAACCTGCAGAGTCCTTGTCCAGGGCATGGACATCTCAGCCAAGACCCTGGAGGTGTGGAGTCAGCAGTAGCAGTGACTCCCCGGGCAGTCTGAGCACCCATGGAGATCCCAGTGGGGACAGTATGGGCCCTGTGCCAGCTCTTGTTGGAGGACCATCGCCCTAACATCGGGATGGTATTTGCCCACATGTCAGGAGGGCTAGATGTTGAGAGCTCCTGTCTTTGCATATGACAAGGTCAGGCACTGTACTCACAGCCCCCGTGAGCAGGTTCTGATCAGCTCATTTTACAGTTGAGGACACTGAGCATGGGAGGTTAAATGACTTGTCACAGTCACACAGCTGGTGCCTGGCAGAGCCAGTGTTGGGTAGAGGTCTGTCTAATGTCACCTTCCTCTGGGATGCCCCAGGACTGGGCATCGTGGCCTGCCCTTGAATACCTAGTGCCTCTTTCCTTCTCTCTCCCCACCCCTCGGCCCAGTAGGACAACATGACTCGCTGCCTGGCCCATTCAGGCAGGAATGCTAACCATGCACACCGTGGGCCTGTCCACTGAGGGCACATCGTGCCAGTCCCACCCCCCGCCCTCTTTGGCTCTATAAACAAGCGGGACTGGGGCGAGGGGAAGCCAGCCCACTGCCGCAGCAGCATCCTGCCCTCACTGCCCTCATGCTGCTGGGCCGGTGGGCCAGGGTGGGGAGCCACAGGGACGGGACAGGCGGAAGGCCATGGGGCAGGTGCTTTCCTGCACGCCAAGAGGTCAGCCGGGCTGTGACAGGTGGGGGGAGGGATGCTGAGTGAGGGCAGTCATCTGATGGCCCTGACACCTCCTATCCTGACCCCTAGAGCTCCTGGGCTCCACAAAGAGGCTCAACGTGAACTACCAGGATGCTGATGGGTGAGTGGGAGCCCCTGTCCCTCTGCAGAGCTGCTGGGTGGGGGCAGTAGAGCCCCAGGGGTGGGGCTGGAGGGAAAGATCCTGAGGCCCAGGGTCCCTTTCCCTCTCAGACTTGGCCCTGGAAGTGTATTTGCTGCGAGCTGTGGGCCCTGTCCCTGGGCTGGAGGGAGGGGGCACCCGCCCGCCCGTGGAGTTAGCCCTGAGTGAGGGGAGGGGCCCTGGTGCCTCTCCGCAGGGCCTCCTGGGGTCAGATTCCTTTGGGGCCCCCTTTTCTCCCTGGAGGGTAGGAGCCCTCAGGCTCCTGCTCCCACGGCCCCCTCCCCTGGGCCAGCTGGGAGGCGGGGGGGCGAGACAAACGGGCCTCTCAGTGCAGACACTGAGCCCTTTCATGCTGTGGCTCAGCCACTGCGCTCCCACGGCAGGGCTGCTGGGGTTGGGGGGGCCAGTAACCCATCCCTGCCAGCCCCCAGGATAGGTTCGGGTATGGAAGACCAGGATTTGGGGGTGGGGGCTGCCCACCAACACCCCTAACTTTGTGTCCTCCCACATCAGATTCTCTGCCCTCCACCACGCTGCTTTGGGGGGCAGCCTGGAGCTCATAGCCTTGCTGCTAGAGGCTCAGGCCACTGTTGACATCAAGGACAGCAATGGTGAGACCCCCATGTGCCCCCGACCCCCACCCTGGGCAGGTAGGGGCCCTACCCAGACCCTGGGACCAGAGCTTGCTCCTATGACAACGTAGCAATGCTAATAGATGCTAGCACAGCGTCTCTGGGCTTGCAAGTGGCTTTTCCCCGTTTACTCTTCACAGCCTTCTTGCATAGGCGAGTGGTACTAACATCCCATTATTCAGATGAGTAGGTTGAGGCTCAGCGAGGTGTTGTTGCTGTCCTGGGGTCATCATGATCCACAGTGGGCACAGCAGGACTCTGGCTTCAGCCCTGTCGAGCCGAACCTCTTCCTAAGCACACCTGGATAGAGCCAGCATTGCATCCCCGTGGGCTCTCTGCCCTCCCAGCTGGGCTGGCTCCGTACTCTGCTCAGTTCCTCTCCACCCCCAACGCCGTCCCAGGACCTCCCTCAGAAACCCTTTCCTCCTGCCAGGCATGCGCCCGCTGCACTACGCAGCCTGGCAGGGCCGGCTGGAGCCTGTGAGGCTGCTGCTGCGCGCCTCTGCGGCTGTCAATGCCGCCTCGCTGGACGGACAGATCCCCCTGCACCTGGCTGCACAGTATGGACATTATGAGGTGGTACGTGAGGCTGCCCACAGGGGCGTGGCGCAGGGCAGGGTGGGGTGCCGGACAGGCCAGGCCCCCTCACTCGGCTCCCCCAACCCCAGTCAGAAATGCTCCTCCAGCATCAGTCCAACCCATGCCTGGTCAACAAGGCCAAGAAGACGCCCCTGGACCTGGCCTGTGAATTTGGCCGACTCAAGGTGAGGCCTGCAGCCTTGGGGTGCTGGGTCCTGGACATCTACAGGGTCTCAGGAGGAGGCTCTAACTGGGCACTGGGTGCTGCAGGTGGCCCAGCTGCTTCTGAACAGCCACTTATGTGTGGCACTGCTGGAGGGTGAGGCCAAAGACCCGTGTGACCCCAACTACACCACGCCCCTGCACTTGGCTGCCAAGAATGGCCACAGAGAAGTCATCAGGTACCCTTGGGGTCCCCTCGCTTCCTCATCACCTGCCTGCGGGACCATCGGTGCCCCTCAGTGCTCTCCCCCACTGCCCTTTTCACCCGGGCTCTCCATCTCCCAGGCCCCCAGCAGTCAGCACCCCCTCCTACGCCACCTCCCCCGTGACTCCCCCCGTCCACTGCAGGCAGCTCCTGAGAGCTGGGATCGAGATCAACCGCCAGACCAAGACGGGTACGGCGCTCCACGAGGCCGCACTGTATGGCAAGACCGAGGTGGTGCGGCTGCTTCTGGAGGTGGGTATGGGCCCCTGCTCCCTCGCAGGTGTCCATGGAGCCTCTGCCCTGTGCCCCTGACTGGCTGGGGAGGTACGGGACGGAGGACTCCAGCGTGGTTTTTGCATGGGCGTCAGGAAAGAGGCCTGACTTCCTTCTGAATGGTGCCGAGGCGGTGCAGATGGATCGGGGGCAGACCAACCTGATTGGCACCCCAGATCTGCCTCTTACTAGCTGAGTGAACTTGAGCTTGTCCTTGACTGAGTCCCTGAGCCTCTATGTCCTCATCTGTAAAATCGGAAAATGGTAATAGTACCTATGTCCCGGGTAGCTGAGAGAATCGGGTGAGGGGTGTCAAAGTGCTTAGCGTGTGCTCATGTGACACTGTGCACCCAGGGAGGTGTGGACGTGAACATCCGGAATACGTATAACCAGACGGCGCTGGACATAGTGAATCAGTTCACCACCTCCCAGGCCAGCCGGGAAATCAAGCAGCTACTGCGGGGTGAGTGCGGGGGAGGATACCCTGCCCAGGGGGCCTGGGGCCGCTCAAGTGGTACCAGGATGTGGAGGGGGAGTGGACGTCCCTGGGGGAGGGTTGTCAAGGGCATGAGGGGTGGGAAGATGCCCTAAGGACCCTTAGATGACACCTGTCCCCCACCCCGTTTTCTTAGAGGCCTCAGGGATCCTGAAGGTCCGAGCGCTCAAGGATTTCTGGAACCTCCACGATCCCACTGCTCTCAATGTCCGGGCAGGGGATGTCATCACGGTGAGGGACCCCAAGCAGGCATTCCTTTGCAAATACAAATGATTGCTGTTACTTATTTGGGCACCTGCTATGTTACCACGTTCTGCTCTGAGGTCTCTATATGCACCCTCATTTAATTCTTCTTAAAGCCAGGGAAGGCAGTGCTGTTAGCATTTCTTCTTTACAGATGACAAAATTGAGAATTAAACAAAATAAAATCAAGAGAAATTCAAGTGACTTGCCCAAGGTCACACAGCTAGCAAGTAGTGGAGCTGTGATTTGACCACGGGCTGCCACTGGGGCTCGCCCTGGAGGCACAGGGGAGATTGAGCTGGCTGCTGGCAGCAGGGGCGGAACTTGGGCCAGTGTGGGCATCAGAGGCCAGCTCCTTAGGGGTAGGGAAAGAGCTGGACCAGGGTTGCCGGACCGCAGCTGCAGGGACAACCGTTTGCCACTTGCCTGGTGCTGGGAGTGACCGTCCCCGCCCCCCACCCCTGGCCGCAGGTGCTAGAACAGCATCCCGACGGCCGCTGGAAGGGCCACATCCACGAGAGCCAGAGGGGCACAGACCGCATAGGCTACTTCCCCCCGGGCATTGTCGAGGTGGTCAGCAAGCGGGTGGGCATCCCTGCAGCCCGCCTCCCCTCCGCACCCACCCCCCTGCGCCCAGGCTTCTCCCGGACACCGCAGCCTCCTGCCGAAGAACCCCCGCACCCTCTTACCTACAGCCAGCTTCCTCGGGTGGGCCTCAGCCCAGACAGCCCAGGTACATCCTCCCAGGGGGCAGTGCTGGGCACTGTGTGGGCGTGTGGCCTGGGCAAGCTGCCAGACAGCTGTCAGAGCGACACTTGGGACTCTGACCCCTTGGCTTCTGCCCCCCACAGCAGGTGACAGGAATAGTGTGGGCAGTGAGGGCAGCGTGGGCAGCATCCGCAGTGCCGGCAGCGGGCAGAGCTCTGAGGGCACTAATGGCCATGGCCCTGGCCTCCTGATTGAGAACGCCCAGGTAGGATGATGGGGTCACGGACCAGGTCAGGGCTCACTCCCCACTGCCAGTTCCCCAAATGCTGAGTTGGCTCCTGCCCTGTCTCCTCCAGCCACTGCCCTCTGCTGGAGAGGACCAGGTGCTGCCAGGACTCCACCCGCCGTCCCTGGCAGGTAGGAAGGGTCAGGGGACCTGGGTTGGCTAGGAGAGGTGCAAGTAAGGAGGCCGAGGGTGGGCACCCCTTCCTCCTGCCACCTTTCCATTCCATTTTTCTCTCTCCTTGAAGACAACCTGAGCCACCGCCCTCTGGCCAACTGCCGCTCTGGGGAGCAGATCTTCACCCAGGACGTGCGGCCAGAACAGCTGCTGGAGGGGAAGGTGTGACCTCCACGGGGTGCACCGTGGGCCTCGGGGGGGAAGGTGTGACCTCCACGGGGTGCACCGTGGGCCTCGGGGGGGAAGGTGTGACCTCCACGGGGTGCACTGTGGGCCTCGGGGTGGGTAGGGCAGGGTAGAGGCAAGAGCCTCTGTATGGACTGAAGCCCCGCTCAGGCAGGTCCTGAGCCCCTGGTGGGGGCTAGGGCCTTGGTCCAGCTCCTGCTAATTCTGCCCCCTTCCCCCACCCCGCAGGACGCGCAGGCCATTCATAACTGGCTAAGCGAGTTCCAGCTGGAGGGCTACACTGCCCACTTTCTGCAGGCCGGCTATGATGTGCCTACCATCAGCCGCATGACACCTGAGGTGGGTGCTGCAGCCGGGAAGCAGCACCCAGCGGGCGGGGGAGGGCCCAGCAGGCGGGGGAGGGGCCTGATGGCCAGACTTTGTGTGGCAGGACCTGACGGCCATCGGGGTGACCAAGCCTGGGCACAGGAAGAAGATCGCCTCAGAGATCGCTCAGCTCAGCATCGCCGAGTGGCTGCCCAGCTACATCCCAGTGAGCCATCAAGGGTGGCTGGGGAGTGGGGCACGTGCTGTCACCCTCAGCTGTGGCTTTGCGGTGCCTTTTCTCCTCTGGCTGGGGGCGGAGGCTGGCTGGGAGTTGTTCTGAGGACGGTGCTCTTCCAGACGGACCTGCTGGAGTGGCTGTGTGCACTGGGGCTGCCACAGTACCACAAGCAGCTGGTGAGCAGCGGCTACGACTCCATGGGGCTGGTGGCCGACCTCACCTGGGAGGAGCTGCAGGAGATTGGGGTCAACAAGCTCGGTAAGGACTGTCCTGAGGCCTGGCTGGGCCCCCACCTGCCTCCGGGGTCTCCAAGAGAAGACAGTATGGGGCCCAGCGGTGACCAGGACAACCCCAGCCCCAGCTAACCTTGCCACTTCCGTCCCCCATCTCAGGGCATCAGAAGAAGCTCATGCTGGGGGTGAAGCGGCTGGCGGAGCTTCGGCGGGGCCTGCTGCAGGGGGAGGCCCTCAGCGAAGGCGGGCGCCGGCTGGCCAAGGGTCCGGAGCTGATGGCCATCGAGGGACTGGAGAACGGAGAAGGCCCAGCTACAGCTGGCCCACGGCTCCTCACCTTCCAGGGCAGCGAACTAAGCCCAGAGCTACAGGCGGCCATGGCAGGGGGTGGCCCTGAACCACTCCCCCTCCCACCTGCCCGCTCTCCCAGCCAGGAGAGCATCGGGGCACGCTCACGGGGGTCTGGCCACTCACAGGAACAGCCTGCCCCACAGCCCAGCGGTGGAGATCCCAGCCCCCCCCAGGAGAGGAACCTCCCAGAGGGCACAGAGCGGCCCCCTAAGCTTTGTTCTTCACTTCCTGGCCAAGGACCCCCACCCTATGTTTTTATGTACCCCCAGGGCTCACCCTCTAGCCCGGCCCCAGGGCCACCTCCTGGCGCACCCTGGGCCTTCTCCTACTTGGCCGGGCCCCCTGCCACTCCCCCAGACCCGCCTCGACCTAAGCGCCGGTCCCACAGCCTAAGCCGCCCTGGCCCCACAGAGGGGGATGCTGAGGGGGAGGCCGAAGGGCCAGTGGGCAGCACCCTAGGCAGTTATGCTACCCTTACCCGGCGGCCAGGACGCAGTGCCCTTGTCCGGACCAGTCCTAGTGTGACCCCAACCCCAGCTCGGGGGACTCCTCGCAGCCAGTCCTTTGCCCTGCGGGCCCGGCGCAAAGGCCCCCCGCCCCCGCCCCCCAAGCGCCTCAGCTCCGTCTCTGGCCCCAGCCCGGAGCCACCTCCACTAGATGAGAGCCCAGGGCCCAAGGAAGGGGCCACAGGGCCCCGAAGGCGAACACTGAGTGAACCTGCTGGCCCCTCAGAGCCCCCTGGCCCACCTGCCCCGGCTGGGCCCGCGTCAGACACGGAGGAGGAGGAGCCAGGCCCTGAGGGGACGCCCCCATCTCGGGGCAGCTCTGGGGAAGGGCTGCCGTTTGCAGAGGAAGGGAACCTGACCATCAAACAGCGCCCGAAGCCCGCTGGCCCCCCGCCCCGAGAGACACCCGTGCCCCCCGGCCTCGATTTCAACCTCACGGAATCAGACACTGTTAAGCGGAGGCCCAAGTGCCGGGAGAGAGAGCCACTGCAGACCGCACTGCTGGCCTTCGGAGTGGCCAGTGCCACGCCTGGCCCCGCTGCCCCACTGCCTTCCCCAACTCCTGGCGAGTCTCCTCCAGCTTCTAGCCTTCCCCAGCCCGAGCCCAGCAGCCTTCCAGCCCAAGGAGTTCCAACCCCCCTTGCTCCCAGCCCCGCCATGCAGCCTCCAGTGCCGCCCTGCCCAGGGCCAGGTCTGGAAAGCTCAGCAGCTAGTCGGTGGAATGGGGAGACAGAACCCCCGGCCGCCCCTGCTGCCCTCCTCAAGGTGCCCGGAGCAGGTAAGAGGGGAGGCCTGTGGGAGAGTCACTGCTGGCAGGGTTGTGTCTGACCCAGCCAAGTCCCAAGCCAACCTTTTTGTCTCTGCAGGAACAGCCCCCAAGCCTGTGTCGGTGGCCTGCACCCAGCTGGCATTTTCTGGCCCTAAGCTAGCGCCCCGGCTCGGCCCCCGCCCAGTGCCTCCTCCACGGCCTGAGAGCACTGGGACTGTGGGCCCAGGCCAGGCCCAGCAGAGACTGGAGCAGACCAGCTCGTCCCTGGCAGCTGCACTGAGAGCCGCAGAGAAGAGCATTGGCACCAAGGAGCAAGAGGGGTGAGGGGGGCCGGATGGGGAGGGAGAGAAGGCTGCAGAGAAACAGTGCTCCCTGCATCCTCTGCCCAGGGATCATGGGGATGTTGGAGGGGGACATTGCAGGCACTAACGGGATAAGAGGCCAGGTGTTGAAATCACCTAGATCAGGGAATCCTGGTGGCTACCATTTAAGAGGCACAGGAGCCTGGCCGGTCCCTTGCCTCCCTGAGCCTCTGGGAGCTATGACAGCTCCCTGCCCCAGGGCCAGTGGGGTGCAGGCCACTGGCTGATCTGACCGCATCCTTCCCCTTGCTGCAGCACCCCCAGCGCCTCCACCAAGCACATTCTGGATGACATCAGCACCATGTTCGACGCCCTGGCTGACCAGCTGGACGCCATGCTGGACTGAGCCCTCCAGCAGTGCCCACTGTGACCTGCCGAAGTCCACTGCCTTTGCCCCAGCACAGAAGAGGCCCCTGCCACCCTAGGGACGGGCCAAGGGCTGGTCAGGCTGAAGTGCCCCTCCTAGCAGGGCCCCTTCCCACTCAGCCCGCGGCTGTGGGCACCACAGCTCTTGTGGGGCAGCCCACCTTAGAACCTGACTAGCGAGGGACCTCCGCTGCATCTCAGCAAAGCCCCTCCCAGGGTTTGATCGATTGAGCAGGACAGCCCTGCTCCTGGACAGGGACCCTGGTAAGAGCTCTCTCCTCAGGGAGGAAGTAGGGGTGGGGCTTTGGGGGTGCTTTCTCTGTACCCCCCAGCCCATGTCCCAAGTTGTGCCAAGGGAATGCCTCTTGCCACCCACCATCCTGCCCAGGCCCTGAGAGGCTGGAGGAGGCGTGTGTCTGGCCGGGCCCCCTCTCCGTAGGTGTACAGAGGACATGTAAATACACAGCGGTGGTGCCCAGGCAGCTCCTGCCCCCGCCTTCCCTCACTGAGGCAGGGCTAGCAGGGGTGGGAGGCAGTGGGGTTAACAGATCCCACAAGTCCTAACTTTTCAATTGTAAATGTTATTTTCTAAGCAGAGAGAAATGCATATATTTTAAATGGAATTTATTCTATCAACTGCCTGAGAGGACACAATGGGGGAGGGGCTTCGGACCACAGCAGGAGCCCCGACTGCCCACCTGAGGGCAGGGAGAGCCTGACCCCATTGGCCCAGGCCCTGGCTCTGTAACCATTAACCTCTTCCCCCAACTAACACCAATGAAAACACCATTCCACGTGACTGGGCTGTGTGTTTGCCTCTGTGACATGGGGACCCCTGACCCTAGGGGTCTCGCCTGAGCCAGACCTGAGGGACCCACCCGCGTAGATGGAGGAAGGTTTAGGCCTCCCTTTGCCAGCCACCGCCGGGGGTGGGCAGACCCTGGAGTGGCCTTACAGACCAGCCACAGGTATTTCTTAGCAATTGACACATTTTAATACAAACCAGTCTACATTCATTCCTAAAAGGCTCATTTCCAGTAAAAAATATACACCAGTAGAAACTTCTCCCAGAACTGGGGCAGAGGCTGAGGAGACCTGGGCCAGATTCCCCAAGACTGACAGGCAGCCAGCTTGAGCCAGGCACAGGAAGAGGCTCCAGGGCGAAGCGGGGGCCCTGCTCCATCTTCAGGTTCAGGCGGGAGACTCCCCCACAGAGGGAGGGAGGGGAGGCACTCGGGGCCACATCCAGGCAAGCACCACCCCCCTGCCCTCCACGGCAGCCTTGGGAGTTGGACGCGTCGGCCAAGGCTGCTGCTGTTGCTCCTCCAAAGAAGGTTGGCTTCAAGGCCGTGTCCAGGGACCCACGAGCAGAGGCACTGGGGGGCAAGGGATCTCCAAGGGGGCAAGGGATCCCTAAAGGGGGTAGCTCACAGGTGAGGGGGTTTAGGGCCCCTCTAGGGAGCGCCTGAGGCCATACATTCAAGAGTGTCCCTGGTGAGGCCCAGGGAAGAGCCAGGACTGGCCAAGGGCCCAGGCCGTCAGCTCCTCCACAGTGAGCCCCAGGGCTCAGGAAGACAGCGGGGTCTGACACGGGGAGCTGGGTTTCCAGTGCCACGGGTGCAGGAGCAAACCTGGAAACATTCATGATACAAACTCCCCTGTTCAGAAATGGGTCTGGCTTTAGCCCCAGGGACGGGGGCAACTACAGCCACCACAGCCAGTGGCTCAGAAGGGAGAGTTCATGCCCAGCTTAGTTTCAAACTGCAGCTTCTGTCGCTTCTGGTAGCGGACTCGGACCCTGGTGGGGCAGGAGATTAAAGTACAGGTTGGCAAAGATCCTTAGACCAGGGGCCGGGGCAGGACACCAGAGGAGGAGGGAGGGATGGGCAGCGGAAAGGTGGGGGAGTGTCGCCAAGGGAGTAACAGGTTTAGGGAACATGCCTGAGCCCAGAGGGAGGCGCCCTGCTGACAGCTCACCGAATCTCATGTAGCTTCACGATCTCATTGGTCACCACCACAAGGACCAGGGACAGGCAGCCCAGGAGCCATGTCAGCAGGGGCACGTCCTCCAGGCCAAAGTGGACGTGGCTGTCCCTGTGTGTCCACAGCTGCAGGTCCACAGCCGTCTGGACCACCTGACCCAGCAGCCTGCAGGAGGTGGCGGCCCCGTGTGAACCCGACACTGCTTGCTTCCTTCCCTGCTCTTCCCAGTACAACAGTTAGCTCAGGCAGGGTACAGTTAAACCACTGGCCCCGGTCCCGCCCTCCGATCCTAGCCCTGCAGAAGGCCCTCTCCTCCCCAGCCCACACTCCGCCCTCCATCCTAGCAATACTCACACCACAGGCACTGTCACGGCCCACCAGAGGTTGGTCAAGGGGCTCTTTCTCCACAGGGGCTTGGTGCGATGCACATGGGTGATGGAAATGAAGACTGGGGAAGGTGGGGCGATGTGGGGGTCAGACTTCCACAGTGGGGCTCCTCTCCCACCATCATCCACGCCCTCCCAGGGAGCCCTCTCACCAGTGTGCAGGACAATCAGGGCGGCCGTGAGCTTCTGAGCCGACAGCAGTCCATTGGCAAAGTCCTCAAACCAGGCTGGAGCCCTGTCGTCGTTGCTGCCAAAGTGAGGCATGGGCTCAGCCCCTCTAGGGCCGCAGGGAGGTAGGCTGGGGTGGGGAGGGAGGAAGCCTCGAGGCGAGGCAGGCGATGGGTGGATCTCTGGGGCTGGGACCCACCTGGGCAGCATGACGGAGGAGCAGTTGGTGAGGTTGCGGTCCCGGGAGCTGTCACAGAAGCTCTGCAGTGTGAAGCCAAAGCAGATGAGGCAGGAGCTGATGGTGAGGCTGAACTTGAGCAGGAAGCAGAGCAGGAAGTAGTGCTGGGTCTGCGGGAACAAGGCCAGTCACTCCTGGGGCGCACAGCCCCTCTGCCGGCTGCTCCTAGCTCTTCCACGTATTCAACGGGCTCTTAGTAAATGGTCAGGCCTGGGGGGATAGGGAGCTCAAGCCCCAGCAAGGGTCTTTCCCAGCTCTGTGCCACTACCTCCTCTTTGATCTGGGGGAAGACTAGGAACCAAGTGCCGGAGTTCTGCTGGAATCCCCCATCCAGAGCCTTCCAGATTAGCCCCTCTCTCCTCCCCCAATCCTCAGTCCCTTCCATGCTCACTTGCAAGGCTCACAGGGTCTGTTTTGCTTACCTTCTTGGGAATGGACTGGAGGTTTTTCCCCGTTGCCATAGACATGATGGAGCTATGGGGGGGCTTCCCCAGCAGAGAGATGCTGAAAAGCAGAGATCAGGTAGAGGGATGGTGACAATGACCCTCTGTCCCTCAATTCTCATAGAGGGAACCTCTAGGGAGTCTTGCGCGTGAGGTCGAGTCTGGTGAGGGGATGGAATAAAACAAAGGCTGGACGGCAGTGGCTCACACCTGTAATCCCAGCACTTTGGGAGGCTGAGATGGGCAGATCATTTGAGGTCAGGAGTTCAAAACCAGCCTCGCCAACATGGCAAAAACCCATCTCTACTAAAAATACAAAAATTAGCCAGGCATGATAGTGGGTGCCTGTAATCCCAGCTACTCAGGGGGCTGAGGCAGGAGAATCACTTGAGCCCGGGAGGCGGAGGTTGCAATGAGCAGAGATTGCACCATTGCACTCCAGCCTGGGTGACAGAGCGAGACTCCATCTCAAAAAAAAAAAAAAAAAAAAAAAAAAAGACAAAGGGGGTTCCCTCCATGCCTCCTGTACCAGAGGAGGTGAGACCTGAGCAGTTCCAGAACCTTGGGCTCCTGGGGCTGCACAGTGACATCCAGACACCTCCTGCTTAGGCATGGGGTGTGGGGAAGATACATGGCATCTCACCTGAGCAGAGGGTAGCAAAAGCAGGACAGCCACAGGATGTCGGTGGTACTCAGGAGTGGCGGCAGCTGGACCAGGCAAGAAAGGAACTAGACCAGGAAAGAAGCCAAGAGCCACAGTTCAATTCAGGCAAATAATAAGGGCATAGGAGCCCCCGAGCTCCCTTGCCCTGGGCCCAGATAGATGCTCACATCCTGCCAGAGGGAACAGGGGCCGGAGGGAATACTCTTCTGCCAATGAGGGTCAGCTCAAAAAGCCCAGGGGCTTCACAGAGGCTCTGGGGGGACCCCTTGACTGTACTGCTAACCCCAGCCTCCTTCCTCAGATTTTCAGCTGGCCCCTGAGTGAAGGGGTGAGTGGCACGGGGGCAATGCCTGTGCGGGCCCCACCTCACCTGGATGACCACAAGAGTCAGCTGGCACTGCAGCAGGAAGAGGAAGCACTTACGGATGCCATAGGTGGCATGCCGAGCCTAGGGACCAAGAGGGACAGATTATGGCCTGGGTCTACCTGGCCTCTCCCAGGCCCAACAGCTGACACACTTTAGCCAAGAGCCAGACGCCCAGGATGCTTCTACGAGGGGAGCAGAGGCGAATGTAACTGCCTGGGAGAGCCCGCTCGGAGGGCTGGGGAATGAGGTCCCCGGGTTCAAACAGGTCCTTTGCTGCTACTCCCACCCCAGGCGGGTCCTGTCCTGCGTCTCTCCTCCTTTGCCTGCCGAAGCACCCACCTGTTCGATAAGCCGGATGATGCTGATGGTCTCCTCCTGGCGAAAGGTCAGGGAACAGGGCAGGCTGTTGAGCTGCCCTGACAGCTGCAGGGGAGAAAGGCCATCCGAGGCCTGGGCCATGCTGATGCTGGTGGCGTAGCCAAAGGTCTCCCAGGAGCAACGGGATGGGTACAGGGGATCCAGGGCAATGCTGCTCAGGGTGGGGGACACACACACTTCAGCTGTATCTCCCACAGGACTGGGCACCCCACCCTCTTCTCCCACCATGCCCAGGTGCATTGGTCCCAGCCAGGGCGAGGTCGGCTATAGTACACACCCCCAGCCCCACGCAGGCCCATCTGATCCTCCGGTCTGGGAGGTAGAGGCTGGCCCGCAGGCTCCAGGGTCCCGCCCTGACCTGATGTCGCTCTGGAGGAAGAGGCAGCTGTTCCGCAGGTTGGCAGAGCTGCCCAGGCAGCAGGTCACCTCCCCGTACTCTTGCATGATCTTTATCATCTCACACATGGCTGAGGACAGCGTATAAGGGCACCAGAGTCAGGCAGGCAGAGCACCAAGTGGGCACTGGGCAGAGACCCATGGGACAGGAGAGCAGGAGGCGATGGGAGGTGGGCCCCTCTTTGAAACAATCCCACCCCCGGCAGCGGGATCATGTGAACATCGGCACTTCTGACTCCAACCCACAAGATTCCCCAGCTGATCCCAGCCCAGGTTCCTTTACTCCCTGCATGGGAAACCTACATCCCTCCAGAGCCCACGGGGTACGCAGGCCCAGGCAGAGCTCAGCCGACGGGACCAGGTTGCCCAAGTACCCATGGCCACAGCACTCACTCTCTGGGGTGCAGTCGGTGAAAAGGGGCACTAGCAGGGGCACGTTGTCAATGTTCTGCAGGTGGGGCCGCACTTGGTGGATACCCCGGGGCAGCTTGGCCTGGAGAAAGCAGAGATGCCAGCGGCTTCGGGATGGGGATCAGCATCCCTCCCCTCCACCGCCTGCCCACCACCTCTCTACCTCTCCCCTGGACCAGCTATGGGACCACTACAGGAACACGTGAGACAGATCCTGCCATCGTACCCGGTTGGAGTCCTCCAGGAAGCTGGGGATGTCGCTGTCCGTAGGCTGGAAGCTGATGAGGTCCGAGTGGCCCTCCTCCTCCATGAGGAGGAGCCCTTCTGCATCATCTCGGGACACTGTGGGGACAAAAGCCTCTCCCTCACCTTGGGACCAGCCTTCTGGGAACCTGTCCTTGCCCTGCAGAGAATTTTTTGCCTGTGTCCACTCCTTCCTGCTGACTACTGTTTCCCGCAGGGACATCAGAGCCATTTCCCAAGGGAATGTACTTAACTGGAGGGCTCTCCGGAGGCTCTTCCTGGCTGTGGCTCTGAGGAGGGGAATCCTCCCACCGCCACCCCGTCCCCACCCCACGCCTTTGCCCTTACCCTGATTCAGGTCATCATGCAGGGAGCCTGCGTGGCTGGGGCTGGAGGGGGGGATCTCGGAGCCAGGCATGTCACCATTGGGTGTGAGGGAGATGTGGCAGTTCCAGCCTGTCTCCAGGCCCATTTTTTCTGCAAACACCTGTGAAAGGCAGACGGCCATGAACATACGGGCCCAAAAGCCCGTGGAAACAGAGTTAGTGGTGGCAGAAGGGATGGCTCTCCCCACCTTGCTTTTGAGCTCATCCTCCAAAGAGAAGTAGACAAAGCGGATGCAGGCGTTGACAAGCCCATCAATGAGGCGCACGATGTCCAGCCGGGCCTGGTACTGGGAGGACACCATGCCCATGAAGATCTGGCCGCTCAGGGCCTGCATGCAGTCTTCCTTCTCCAGCACCTCCCCGATCCCTTCTTCAGGCAGGACACACAGGACACAGCCCGATCAGGACACCCAGGAACCAGCCCAGGGCCACACACACAGATGCCACACCCAAATCAATGAGCATATGGGCCCCAGGGGACCACACACAGCCAAGACACACGAAGGAGCCGACAGACACAGGAGAAAAGACAGTGAAAGGTATGCATCAGTCAGGTAGCCGAATCTGAGCTGGAAGCTACAACAAGGCGTGGCTTCAGCTCCTGCCCAGGGGGTACTGGCCCTACCCTCAGCAACTGTTTCAATTCACAGTCTCTTGGGTTCAAAAAACCTGGGAAGTGTGCGTGTCTGGTGGGAATGGGGTGGCGTGGTGGAGCTTCTGGGCCCCTCTGCACCAGCAGGGTGACAGACCTGATCTCCTGTCTGATCCTACTAAGCCTAATGCTCTAGGAACGCTGCTTGGTAACTTCCCAGGAAAGCATTCTGATACACGTAACCCACTTGAGCATCACAACCAACCAGTGAGGCAGGCCAAGTGAGCACCCACTGATAAGGGAGGAAACTAAGGGACTCCCCATGTCCCCGGATAGAGTGCCACACTGGCGTCCCAGCCTGGGGCTGTGGCCACTGCCCCCTTTGCTGTGGGGGGTGCCGGGGCCCTCCAGACGCCCTCCCTGCTCCTGGGCTTCGGCAGCCCAGGGGAGCCCCAGCACCAGCCCCGCTGGACAGACCCATGAGGTACCGTCAGAGCTCCAGCTGCTGCGGCGGGCGTTCTGCTTGATGGGGATGGTGCTGGGCAGCTCGCACATGGTGAAGATGCTGCTTTGGCCGGGCACCTGTACCAGCTCGATGCACTTGCCATTGAGCTGAGAGGACAGGGCGCAGTTCATGGGCTTGTAGGCGAAGGCAGAGCAATACCCAGACAGGCAGGCTCGCTGGTAGAAGTCCAGCACTTTCTTTCTGCCAGGGAAGCAGGCGGAGGTGAGGTGAGTGTTCCTGCCTGTGAAGGGCAGGTGCCCCGGCAGCGCGACTGCTCTTGCTGCTGGCATGTGCTTCCTCACCCACCTGTCAGATCCCGAGAGAGGGTAGATGTCAGCTCCGTCCCAGAAGTCTGTGCAGGCCTCTAAGACCACATCAGCGGTGCCATGGGACAGCATCTGCTCTGTGCCTGGGGGAGAGAGTTCAAACCCTGAGTGTCGCTAACCAGCCCCCTCACGCTGACCTGACAGGCAACGCACTGTCCTCCTGGAGAAGGGCGCTGAGGAGCCCCTGCCAGAGGAGGAGACTCCCTGGGACTCACGGACAGCAAGGCTCTGCAATGCCACTGGGCTTGGAATGCAGACACCATATTCCCATCCTTTGGACAATCCCGGCCTCTGCAGCCAACACCATCCCAGCCCTGGTCCCCAATTCCAGCCCTGCCAGAGTGGAACACTTGGAAGCAGTCTACTTTTCATCTGCCCAGGCCTCCCTAGCAATGGGTGGGGCTGGGCAGAGCCCCCCTGCCAAGCTCTGGAAGGTCTCGCCTGGTGCTGGCCAACGTAGCCAGGGCTCACTGGTGGTGGTGTCTTTAATGAAGAGGCTGATCATGTGGCTGAGGGGAGGCCGCCGCTTGGTGACACAGGAGAGCCGCCCCAGCGATGTCTCCTTCATTGTCTCGGCACTGGGGAGGCGGTACAGCGCCAGATGGTTCTCCTGCTTGAAAAGCTCCTTGGCCCCAGGAGTGAAGCCTGCAGGGCGGGGAACAGGAACTTAGGGCCATGCCCTGGCAATACCCTGCCAGGTCCATTAAGTCCCGTGAGGAGTTGGTACTGGGCCTCTTCTAGGAGGCGGGTCCAGCCAGCCATCCCCTGCCATGGGGACCTGTACCAATGAGGCGGGCAAGCTCGCAGAGGCCCCAGGGCACATGGACGGGCAGCACGGCGCTGTGGCTCTCTTGCAGGGCGATGTTGCACAGGTGGTCGGAGAATCGGCACAGGCGCTCGGTGACGCTGGCATCACACAGGTTCAGCAGCACATTGAGGCCCAGGGGTTTGAGGGAGGTGAGGTGCAGCTGCCAGTTGGAGTCATCAAACTGGATGCAGGAGGGGTTCTGCTGGTCCTGGGACAGGCTCAGCATCTCCAGGTGGTAGTCACACACAAAGTCCTCTGCTTCGTAGGGGTCGCTCTCCATCCCAGGCTGGGTCTGGGGGAAATGTGGAGGAGAGCCTCAGCCCGGGATAGGGTGTGGGGAAGCCAGCACTGGCTCTGCCCACCTCCCAAGGCTGGGGAGGGCTCCTGCCCCTGAAAGGCACCCTTCCCAGGAGAGAGCTGCTGCTCACCCTCTTCCACCCGCTCCCTCCTGAAATCCGCTTCCTGTCCTTCTTGGGCTCCTGTCTGCTTCTATGGACTATTAATATATCTCATGACACTGGCAGGAGCTAAAAAGAGGGGTGGCCAGACCAAAGAGGACACAGTTGAGGGATCTTCTGTGGCCAGGGAACATCTCTAAGAGGGAGCTCCGGGCTGTGTATATTTGGAAGGTTCCAGTAGGGACACCAGTGATTGCGATTACAAGAATGGAAGGGTAGGGGGAGGCTCCACCTACTTCGCAGCAGACTTGGGGAGGGCCTCAGGGACCACTGGCCTAGCCTGGAGGTGCTGGGACAGAGGGCAGAGACGCCTGCTCTTTCAGACCTTGTGAGGCCAGGCTGGCCAGGGAGGCCAGGACAGCCTGTGGCCGAGGGTGTGGCTGCCCCGTGCCACCCCCTCCCGTCACCTTGCTGGGCTCTTCTTCACCACCCTCGGTGTCCCTGCTGAAGCTCACGTTGGAGCCAGATGGGTGTTTGCTGCGGCCATGCGCTTTGTGGTGTGAATAGGGCTCGGGGGGCTTGGGAGCCTCGCCAGGCCAGTCGCCACGCTCCTGCTCATTGGAAAGGTGCAGGGTGTTGTTCAGGGAGCCAGCCAGGAGGGCGTCTCGTTCATGGGGCTGAAGAGAATGAGGAGCACAGGCTAGGACCAGTGGCTCCCATGGCCTGGGGAGGCAGGATGCTTCTAGGTCCCCTGGCTGCCTTGTCTTCACCTCACCTGCCCAGAAGCAGATCCTAATGGTGCCCAAACCCTCCTTCGCCCTCCGAAACCTCACCCTCCCTGGCCAGGCTCCAAGGCTAAACAGCCTGGCCCAGAGTCGGGCCCATGGGAGCCGGCCGTACCTCCTCCTCTACCTCGGGATGGCAGAAGGAGCGGGTGGATAGGCCATCGGTGAGGTCCTCATGGCTGCTGTGAGGGGGCTCCACCTTCCCGCTGAAGAACAGTACAGTCTCTGGGCTGGGATTTGGCCATGACAGGATCCCCTGTTTGTCCACACAGCACAGGACCTGCATGGAAAGCATTTGAGATAGGAAAGGGGCCTGGCATTAGCCTATCCTGCCCAGGGGCCACTCAAGCGGCAGGTGGGCAGCCCAGGCCCAGCCAGAGAGCAGGGCGGGCATGACAGTTGCCTCCTCCCCGCAAGGCCCACCCTCACCGTGACAGAGCCCAGGCTGTGCAGCAGGCTGGAACTGTGGCTCAGCGTTGGCGATGTCCCCCCGAGCACCCTCAGGAAGTGGCCCCAAATGCAGCGCAGCATTTCCTGGTGGGAGAGAGGAAGTCTGCAAGGCCATTTAGGGCTCAGCCTCATTTCCCTGGAGACGGCCTCTAGGGGAAAATCCAGGGGAGCACCACGAAGTTGGGGTGGAGAGGCACTTCTCTGGGACAGGGTGTGGACACGTTATGGGAACAGGTCCAGGTTATGTCCACATGTAACGGGTGGACATGGGGCTCTAAGAGCCTGGTTGGAGGCTTTAAGGCCATAAATAGGGGAGTCCCAGGGTTATGGCTCTAGGGACCTGCGAGAGAAGCCATCCCGGGTCAGTGTTGTACCTGAGAGGAGACAGCCTCCGTATAGCTGCTGAGAGTATCCTCTGAGAACTTAGCCAGCTGCACGGAGAGAGGGTGAGGTCCTCAGTGAGGAAAACGCCGCCTTCACACAGGCCTCTCCAAGCTGGCAGAGGGGGGGCCCACACCAGCGGGGCTCCCAACCCCTTTGGTAAAGGGCCCAGGCCGTTCTGACTCCCCACCTGGTGGAAGCCAGGGCAGACGCTCACTCACACCCAGGGCCTGGCCTGGAGGCCCTTCTGGAATGGAGAGGGCCCGAGGCCTGGAGAGCTGCCCAGGCTGACCAACATGCCGAGCCCAAGGTGGGGCTGGACTTCTGCCCCCGTCCTCTGGCACAGCCAGCTCCCTCTTTTTGTTCCTGTGACTTCCCCCAGACACCTTGGAAAAACCTACCAGGGAGCTGGGTGAGGCCTTGCTCATCTGGGCCAGGACACGGGCCTCTCCACAGGCAGTTGCCAGAACCCAGAGGACTGGAAAGAGCAGGGGGAGGATGGGCAGGACGCCATTCACCTGGGAAGGAGCGGACCACACAGATGGCTCCTGAGCTCCGGGCCTGGGGAGGAGGGAAGGGAAGGGCTGCCCTGGCCCCACGGCCATTCCCTGGGCAGGAAGGGCCAGCTCTCTCAGGGGCAGGAAGGGAAAGAGGTGTTCTTTTTTTTTTTTTTTGAGACGGAGTCTTGCTCCGTCGCCAGGCTGGAGGGCAGTGGCGTGATCTCGGCTCACTGCAACCTCCACCTCCCAGGTTCAAGGGATTCTCCCACCTCAGCCACCTGAATGGCTGGGACCACAGGCACGTGCCACCACGCCCAGCTAATTTTTATATTCTTAGTAGAGACGGGGTTTCACCATATTGGCCAGGATGGTCTCGATCTCTTGACCTCATGATCTGCCTGCCGTGGCCTCCCAAAGTGCTTGGATTACAGGCCTGAGTCCCCACGCCCAGCTGGAAAGAGGTGTTCTTAAGCTGAAGCGTGAGGGGACCTCTGGGCTGCAGAGAGGGAGGGACAGCCAGGGTACTAGGAGAAGAGCCAGCCCTGCGGGTCGGAGGGAAGCATGACAGAGAGGACAGGGTGGTCCTTGCCTGGAGCTGGAGGAGGGTGTACTGCCAGGAAGTGACCCCCGGGGCACTGAAGATGAAGCGCAGGGCATTGGTGATGAGGAAGCCGGCCTGTTGGGAACAGCAGAGGCACAGCCTTGACCCCGCCCCTCTAGAGGGACCCAGGCACTGCCGTTCCCCTTCCTTTGCTACTCCACAGGCTGGCTCACTCTGGGACCCTCTGCATTCACTCCCGCTCATGTGAGTGGCCCTGAGACCCCCCCGTGTCCAGCCCTCTCCTCTGCCCCATGCAGCCCCGCACAGCCCCGCCACACGCACCAGGACCACGGGCACAGCATAGTGTAGCATCACCGACTGCACTGTGAACCGCTCATTGTCCAGGGCAGTGACTGGTCGGGACAGGGCCATGTCCAGGCACCATCTGCAGAAAGAAGTGACTGTCAGTCTCACTTGGCAGAGAGGCTAGAAACCTACACCTTGGGAGGATTCTGGGCCTCTCTGCCAGATACCGCTTCTTCAAGCACCGTGAGTCCTGCAGTTCCACGCTCTGCCCTGGCCCTAGCCCGTGTTCACCTCCAGAGCTGTCCCCTCAGAGTAGAGACTGGGAGAGGGCACCACTCAGTCTAAGAATTCTCACAAGATGTTAAGGACAGGAGCCTAAGGAGATGCCTGCCCTCAAGAGAACCTCGAGATGAACGGGGCCCCTTCCTTGTCAGTCCCATTCCCCTCTTCACAGAAGACACCAGGGACAGGAGGAGGCGGGGCAGCACCCCTACCTGATGTTGTCAATCACAGGGGTCTCAAGGACACGGAAAAGCCGGTGCTGCTGGGGGCTCTGTGGCCCTCTCTCCACTTCTCCCCGGGGTGAGGGTGGAGGGGAGAAGGGGGGGAAGAGGTCTCCCGGCTCCAGGACGATGTGCTCGTCATCCTGCCGGCAGCAAGTGGGAGAGTGGGAACGAGAGGGTCCTATCAGAGGCCACTCTTCCTGGACAATTCATCTAAGTACAGACATTCGCTGGGGTTAGGAGCCATCAGTTAGCCCAGAGTCCACTGGGACAGGGCCTGTGGGACTAGACTTTTAGCGAGAATAAAGAACAGCACAGGGGGCCAGGCGTGGTGGCTCACACCTGTAATTCCAGCACTTTGGGAGGCCAAGGCAGGTGGATCACCTGAGGTCAGGAGTTCGAAACCAGCCTGGCCAACATGCCGAAACCCCATCTCTACCAAAAAATAAAAAATAAGCCAGTTGAGGTGTGGTGGCATGTGCCTGTAATCCCAGCTACTGGGGAGGCTGAGGTGGGAGAATCGCTTGAACCCAGGAGGCAGAGGCTTCAGTGAGTTGAGATCGTGCCACTGCACTCCAGCCTGGGCGACAGGGTGAGACCCTGTTTCAAAAAAAAGAACAGCAGGGTGGAGGAAGATGTTCCAGAGCCTCTGCCAAAAAGCCAGTAAGCTGGCCGGGAAGCTTCCGGATGAAGTCTGGGGACCCTCCCATCGTTGCCTGTGGATGTTCCCACCGCATTTCCAAGGGAGAAGGAAAGCCTCAAGCTACCTTGATCCCCCTCAGAGAAGCAAACGATTCCTGGCCAGGCCTCAAAGCTATGATGTCTCCTTCAACCAGCAGGCTGACTGGCAGGTTGACCAGGTGTCCGTCTCTGTAGGCCCAGTGCAAGGACCAGGATGGCGCAAAAGGCATGTGGAGGTCTGGATACATGGCACTGGGCCACTGGATCTCCCTGCCATCCCTGAGGGCATCTGAGGGGAATGGAAAGAGGGAAACAACCCTCTCAGCCACGGCCCTGCCCCCCAGTCAGATACAGCAGCACTTCCGGAAGCACTGTCTGCCCACTTCCTCTCCCAGGAGGTCTGCGTCAAACCCCTCCACTCGTTCCAACACTTCCCTGCTTTCAAGGATGCCTCCCTTATAAAGCCCTACCCGGCCACTCCAGCCCCAGAGCCTCTACCTCCTCTCAACACCTGGAGCTCTCGTTCTTTGTACCCCCATCCCATTCAGATACACTTCACAAACATTGCAGAGGGCCTGTGAGGGGTGCAAGGTGGAGACAACAACATAGCTCCTCAAGGAGCCACAACCCAGTGGGGCAGATGAGACATGTGGACAGATAACGCCAAACAAGGCAAACACGGCTAAGCATTAACAAAGATCCCTGTGCTGCAGGAGTCCAGAAGAGGGAGCAAACCGATTTGCTGGGGCGATCAGAGGTGGCTTCCTGAAAGAGGAAGCACTGGGGATGGGCCTGGAAGAATGGTTTTGTCAGCTGGAGATGAGTGAGGGAGAAGCTCACCAGCAGAGAACAGTGGAGAGAGGCACAGAGGCAGAGGCTGATACACAGTGGGCCTAGGACTGGTGAGTAGTTTCAGCATCAGAATGAGGAGGAAGAGAAGAGGCTGGAGAGGAAGGTGAGCCTGTGTTGGAGGCTCTGGGAGGCCACTCGTGCCTCTGGGATGGCTTCCATAAGCAAAAGGGAGCCACTGATGCTCCTGGGCAGGAGACTAAGCTCCGGAAAGCAGGGCCCATCTTTTGCCATCACCATTGCACTCCCAGTGCCTGGCACATGGTGGCAATTAACCATCTCAGAACGAAAGGACAAACTCACTTAGCATCTAAACGTCCACTGCCCAGGTCTGTTGGAGAAAGGTCTCATGAGTGGGTGCTGCTTCTCCCACAGCACCACATGCCCCTGGACAGCAGGAGCCACCGTCCCTCAAAAGAGCCTCAACAACCCTCAATCCGCAGCCAAGCTTCATAAACACCGCCTGAATGAAAGGCCAAGCAGAAATCCAAGCCACTCCCCTCCCTTTTGGAGCTGGGCTGCTCCATCTCAGGCTCCCGGCCCCTACCCCACCCCAATTCCTGCAGGTATGTCTGCCCACCTTCCCATGTCTCCCAGCACAGTACACCAGACAAGATGGACTTGAACGAGAAAACTTCAATCATCCTCCTGCCATGTGAGAGGACTTCCCTGTTGGTTTCCCAACGTGAGCCAGCCTGCAAGCCCACCTGCCACTGTTGGCCTTCCTGCCTGCCCAGCCCTCTGCCTGGGCACCCACCACCATCCCACAGCTCTCACTGCCCTGCTCAAAAGAGAGTGGGCATCCTTCTAACTCCCCAGATGACAAGAGCCCCTGCAATGCTGGCCACAGGCAACCCGTCTGTGCTGGGGTGCAGGAGGGGAGCCCTCAGGGCTCTGATATGTCCGGTCATCTTTTCCCACCAATATGCCTGCCCTTGACCTCACCTTGGATTTGGTCAATGATCCCTCGCAGCCTCCGCTCTACCTCCCGACGCTTCAGCCGGTCTTGCCGCCCGATGAGCACAAGGTTGAGAAGCAGTAACAGGAACAAGGCCGAGGCATTCACCAGCCCCACCCCACGGCTGGTGGGAGGAAAGAGAGGCCGCACCCACAGGGAGTGAGGGCTCGCCCACCCAGCAGCCCCCAGGCCACAGCTCCCCTTCCCACCCCAGTCCCTTGTGGAAAGACTGTCCCGTTCTGGTGCCCTGACACCAGCTAGGCCTCTGACCCCATTCAAGGGACTGAGGAGGTTCCCTTACATCCCAGGAGCAGCTTGGGGGTGACAGCCCCCAAGAGCCCTGGTCTGTCCCAGGTGCCGCGGCAGGATGGACAGCACAGCTGGAGAGGTTGGGGAGCAGCCCCTGGGCGCACACCTCCCGGCTGGCTGTCCCCCGCAGCAGCCCAGCAGCAGCAGCACGGCCAGTAGCATGAGTGAGGCCCCCGGCCAGTGGAAGCAGGAGCAGCGGTTACTGTGGTGGAGGAAGCTGCTTCTCCACACCTCCTGGGAAGTTCGGACAGGGAGGGGACAATGAGAGGCCTGTCCCACTCCAATCTGGCTGCCTCCCCCGGCACCCTTCCCAGCCCCCATGGCCGCCTTGGTCCCCTCTCTTTGACCTCGGCTGGGCTCCAGCCTGTTGGGCTCCTGCAGCAAGCAGGCTCAGGAGCCACTCTGAGGGGAACCTTGGCTTCTTTCTGATATTTCATGAGGCCTCAGTTGGGTCACACTGTCCAGGGTGACAGGGTACATCAGAGTCCTGAGAAGGGGCCTCCCACACTTCCCTGCCATCCCAGCCAGGCCCTGGTAGCCCCGAGAAGAAGCTTCACCTTCCACGTCAGACACTTCTTCCGCTCCCTGAGATGTCCTTCCAGCACTGCCTCCAGCTGCTCCTTCAGGACGCTGAGGGCCTTCCGCGTGGACAGGCCCAGGGCTGAGGGAGGCTCGCCCTGCAGGCAAGCAGGAGGCGCTGGGCGTCACTGCCAGGCCAAGGCTATGCAAGGCACGCGGGCCCCAACCCTCCCCTTCCCTGGCCCTTCATCCTTCCCCTCCTCTGGGATCCTCACATCTCTTCCCCTACCAGCTCTGGCCTCTCAAGGTGTGACCATGTCCATCTCCACCAAATTACAAACTGTTCAAGTGCACAGCCTCCTACCCTACTCTTTACAGCCAAATTAAAAAACAAAACAACTTTTTCTTTTATTCCATGTTCCCCAACTCACTTTCCCCACTGCCCCTGGCGAGCTCCCTGCCCACCCAGGCTGTGCTCACCACTGATCTCCCAATTTATTGCAAGGGGGCCAGTCTTTGATTGCATGGACAATTTTTTTTTTTTTTTTTAGATAGAGTCTTGCTTAGTCTCCTAGGCTGGAGTGCAGTGGCACGATCTCGGCTCACTGCAACCTCTGCCTCCCGGGTTCTGGTGATTCTCCCGCCTCAGCCTCCCGAGTAGCTGGGATTACAGGCACACACCACCATGTCGGGCTAATTTTTTGTACTTTTAGTGGAGACGAGGTTTCATCATGTTGGCCAGGCTGGTCTTGAACTCCTGACCTCAAGTGATCTGCCCGCCTTGGCCTCCCAAAGTGCTGGGATGACTGGCGTGAGCCACTGTGCCTGGCCTAAAATATATCTTTTTTTAAATGGAGAGAGGGAAACTAACATAGAGATGCTATCTTTTGGCCAGGCGTGGTGGCTCACACCTGTAATCCCAGCACTTTGGGAGGTGGAGGCAGGTGGATCACTCGAACCTAAGAGTTAAAGACTAGTCTGGGCAACATAGAGGAACCCCATCTGTACAAAAAATCAGAAAGAAAAAATTAGCTGGGCATAGTGGCATGCACCCAGCTACTCAGGAGGCTGAGGCAGGAGGATTGCTTGGGCTCAGGAGGTCAAGGTCGTAGTGAGCTGTGATTGTGCCACTGCACTCCAGCCTAAATGACAAAATGAGACCCTGTCTCAAAAAAACAACAACAAAAAAGAGATGCTAGCATTTCACTGTTCCTAGGAAAGACATGAAGGAAAAAAACCTTCCAGCTCTGTCAGGGAGGGAGGGAGGTTGGGAGGGAGGGAGGGAGGGACGGAAGAAAGGGGCAGGGAGGGAAAAAACCCACCATCTTCTATAACTACCATTTCATGAAAGAGAGGATATTGTAACACTGAAACATTAGGAAGGACATAACAGAAAAAAAGGCAGCTATTCCCAGGGCAGGACTGTGCAGAGGCACACTCCCATCTCACCAAGGATGAATGGGACAAGGTGTGGACAGTGTAGGCCCCGACGACGCAGGGACCAACCACATCATCTTAGGCGACCTTGTGGCCCAGCCTTTCCCTGTCAGGACTCCCCCATTCCTGGCTTCTCTCCTGTTTTCTCCGTTGACTCTGACTGTTCTTCCCCATCCGTCTACCCCATAGGCCACCTAGGACACGTTACCAACCTCTGTAGGTTTCCAGAGCAACCTCATCCACAGTCACAGAGTCACCTGCCACCAACAAGCCTACAACTCCTATTTTACTTCAAGTCTGACCGCTACCCTGAATGTGGACCCGTCTGCTGAACGGGCCTACAGCTGCTTCACAGGGACCTAGGAGTCAATGTGTCCAAAAACCTGAACTCGGGCCGAACTCACGCCTGTAATCCCAGCACTTTGGGAAGCTGAGATGGGTGCACTACTTGAGGTCAGGCATTTGAGACCAGCCTGGCCAGGCCAACATGGTGAAACCCCATCCCTACTAAAAATACAAAAATTAGCTGGGCATGGTGGTGCATGCATGTAATCCCAGCTGCTTGGGTGGCTGAGGCATGAGAATCACTTGAACCGGGAGGCAGAGGTTGCAGTGAGCCAAGATCACGCCACTGCACTCCAGCCTGGGTGACAGAGCTAGACTCTGTCTCAAAAAAAAAAAAAAAGAAAAGAAAAAAACTTGAACTTGCCACCTGGCTCTACTGCCAGAGTCACCTTTCCTCTCACAGTGACTGTCTCACCCAATCACCTCTAGAACATTCTTGACCCTGGCCTTATGCTTGCCCAAACTCCACCCCACACTGTCTCTAACTTTTCCAAACCCACTGGAACACCTTGGCCAGAGCAGGGCCTGCCTGGTTGGTCAAATGACCTATTTACCCTTAAAATCAAGTCCGATTCTTGTGTGTGCTCCTGGAGACCCTTCAGATGTGCCAGCCTCCCTGGCCTCCTTTCCTGCTCCTCCTGACACGAGCCGAGCCCCTTCAGCTCATGTTCACATACTTGATGTGTTTCCCAGCGAGAATCACGTGCCCCACCCCAGTCAACTCTTGCTTCTCCTTCAAGACTCAGCTCAAACATCACCTCCTCTGGGACATTTTCCCAAAACCCAGGGCTGCACTTCAGGGGAGGTTTACATGTCAATGGTGTCCTGGGCAACCTGGCCTGCAGCCTGCACCTTACAGAACTGTAATCACAGATTGACACAGCTGGCTCTCCCGCCAGACTGCAAATTCCTTAAAAACAGGCTCTGAATTCTTCCATTTCCACACACCCTCACCATCCAACTGCTGAGACAGTGCATGGCACACACAAGCTCAGTGAATACTTGCTGAATGAATGAATGAATAAATGAATGAATGAATGAATGCAATGATCCCAATGAAACAGCAACAGGAACAACCCGAGGCATTCCGCAGCTTAGTCAAGGCTTCACCTTAATCGGGACTGTCAGCCCAAAATCTTAGACACCACAGCTTTTAAAAATGTGGTGGATGTCTAGGCTCCACTCCGGACCTACTGAACCAAAATTTCTGGGGATGAAGGGAATTCCAGGTTATACATACATACATACATACATACATACATACATACATACATACATATATATATATTTTTAAATTGAGACAGGGTCTTGCTCTGCTGCCCAGGCTGGATGCAGTGGCGTGGGCATGGTTCGCTGCAGCTTACACCTCTCAGGCTCCAGCGATCTTCCTGCCTCAGCCTATGGAGTGGCTGGGACTACACTCAGCTAATTTTCTTTGCTTTTTTTTTTTTCTTTTTTGAGACAGAGTCTCGTTCTGTTGCCCAGGCTGGAGTGCAGTGGCGCAATCTCAGCTCACTGCAACTTCTGCCTCCTGGGTTCAAGAAATTCTCCTGCCTCAGCCTCCCGAGCAGCTGGGACTACAGGCACATGCTGCCACGCCCGGCTAATTTTTTTTTATATTTTAGTAGAGACCGAGTTTCACCATGTTGCCCAGGCTGGTCTCGAGCTCCTGAGCTCAGGCAATCTGCCCGCCTTGGCCTCCCAAAGTGTTAGGATTATAGGCCTGAGCCACTGTGCCTGGCCCTTTGCATTTTTTTGTAGAGATGGGGCCTCGATATGTTGCCCAGGCTGGTCTTAAACTCCTGACCTCAAGCAATCCTCCCTCCTCAGCCTGCTAAAGTGCTGTGATTATAGGCGTGAGCCACCACACCCCAGCTCTGAGGCCCTGGGACAAAGAAGAGCCCCATGAAAGGCAGCGCCTGAAGGAGAAGTGAGTCTTTCCAGGACCACCTGCGAAGCATCCATGTGAGCTTCCCTCTGGAAAACCTCCTGAGCAAGAGGAGTGAATCCCTAGACCTCAGGCACCAGGAAAGGGATTTGGGGCAGCCATGGAGGAGGCTCAGCCACAGGCTGTGGGGCTGGTGACCCCTGGCTGCCTCGTCTCACTGCTCTCCCCACCCTCTATGCGGCCCACAGTTCTGTCTCCCAGAGTCCTGCCCTGGCTGTGCCCTCTGGCCTTCTGGGCTTACTCCTTCCTGCCTGTCTCCACACATACCCCCTCCTCGGCAACTGAGCCTCAGCCCTGGCAGGGCACACATCCCATAAGTAAGAGTGGCTCCTGGGCCCAGGGATGCTGCCCCCTGCCACAGCCTGGCATCACAGGAGGCACTCAAGTGGAGCCCCCAGTGCTGGCCTGAGGGACGGGGCCTGGCCCCAGGATTCCCCAGCTCCCTTCCCTAAATCTCACCTAATCCCGCTCTCCACAGTGGCTTTGGGGGATTATAAAGATAAGAGCCGCCTCTTCCCAGAGGGGATAAACTGGTTATTTCAGCTCAGAAAGAAATGGCCCTCCCGGCGGGGACCTCACACCCCCACATGGGTAAATACTGTGCTCCAACGCACCCACCTCCCTTTGGCAAGGATCCTGAGGCCTCCCAAAGAGGCCATGGTCCAGGGCAAATGAATGCCTGTACCTGTCCTACTGCCTCCCGGAGCTCCTGACATGGAGGGAAGGAAAGCTTCAGGGAGGGTTGTAAGGGAGGAAGAGAAACAGGAAGAGGAGACCATAGGCCTTCTCCTGTCTGTGGGCATGGACGTCTGTTCCTCCCACCCCAGGGAAGAAGAGGATCTAGGAGACAGGCGGCTGCACACAGAGACCCCAGGCCTCCAGTGTCTTCCCCTCAGGCTCAGCCTTCTGAGCTTCCTCGCCACAGAGAGGAATGTGAGTGTTCCCAGGACAGAATGGCCCATACCTGGGCCAGGCCTCCAGACATGATCAAGTGAGAAACACACTGAAGGCAGGAAAAGCTGGCCTGCATAGGGGGAAGGCTGTCCACCCAAGAGATGGAGACTGGGAGGGAGAAAGAGAGGAAGGACCAGGCAACTGTACACAGCTGGGAAGATGCTCGGCCTAGAATGAGGACCACACTCAGGAAGGTGACAGTTTCCAGCAAGGCAGAGAAAAGGCTAAGAGGAGTAGTCAGAGAGCCAGGGAGGTGTCCCTCCTTTGGTCAGGCCTGAAGATCTTGGACATTCATTGATTCTCGTGGGCCACATGGCAGCTGTCCTGACACCTGCTGCCTCATTCCAAGCAGCCAAGACCTCCTCACCCCGCCTGGCCATCATCTGCTCTCTTGCTGTCTCTACCCCAGGAACCTTGAAGCTGCGCTCTGCTCCCCTCCAGGTGTGGGAGGTATGGGCCAGAGGGTGGCAGATACTCCCAGGCAGGGCGCCTGCAGAGCTGTCTGTGTGCATCTGCCCCCGCTTGTTATGTCTGGTCAGGGACACCAGCTCCAGACTGGTGATTAAAGACAGCACAGTAGAGGAAAAATAAGCCATTCTGTAATTACGTGCTGCCCAAAGGAAGCTCTTGCCCGCACAGGCCAGCCCTGCAGTGAGGACCCAGCGTTCTGGGCCAGTCTGCTCTTTGCAGCCTTCAGCTGAGCTTATCCAACTGCCCAGGCATTCACCTCTTCCCTCTCCAGCAGGGGGTCGAAATTAAGGGTCAAGTCACTGCTCTCTCTCGCTCTTTTTCTCTTTTTTTTTTTTTCCTTTGAGACCGGGTCTTGCTCTGTTGCCCAGGCTAGATGGAGTACAATGGCACAATCTCGGCTCCCTGCAGCCCCCACCTCTGGGGCTCAAGCAATTCTCCCACCTCAGCCTCCAAGCAGCTGAGACCACAGATGTGTACCACCAAGCCCAGATAGGGTTGTTTTTAGTGTTTTTTTGAGATGGTCTCACTCCTGTTGCCCAAGTTGGAATGTAATGGTGCCATCAGGGCTCACTGCAGCCTTGACTTCCCAGGCTCAGGTAATTCTCTCACCTCAGCCTTCCAACTAGCTAGGACTATAGGTGATGCCACGACACCCAGCTAATTTTTTGTATTTTTAGTAGAGACAGGGTTTCGCCATGTTGCCCAGGCTGGTCTTGAGCTCCTGGGCTCATGTGATCTGCCCACCTCAGCCTCCCAAAGTGTTGGGATTACAGGTGTGAGCCACTGTACCTGGCCTTTTAAAATTTTTTTGTAGGCCGGGCTCAGTGGCTCATGCCTGTAATCCCAGCACTTTGGGAGGCCGAGGCAGGGGGATCACGAGATGAGGAGTTCGAGACCAGCCTGGCCAACATAGTGAAACCCTGTCTCTATTAAAAATACAAAAATTAGCTGGGCATGGTGGCGGGCACCTGTAGTCTCACCTACTCGGGAGGCTGAGGCAGGGGAATCGCTTGAACCCAGGAGGCGGCGGTTGCAGTGAGCCGAGATTGCGCCACTGTACTCCAGCTTCGGCAACAGAGCAAGACTCCATCTCAAAAAATAATAATAATAAATGAAAAATAAATTTTTTTTTGTAGACATGAGGTCTTGCTATGTTGCCCAGGCTGGTCTCGAACTCCTGGGTTCAAGCAATCCTCCCGCCTCCCATAGGGCTGGGATTATAGGCGTGAACCACCGTGCCTGGCCTGCTTTCTTGCTCATTGTGCCTCAGCTTTGACATGTGACATAAGAGCAGAAGACCTTCATACTTTCTGAAGGAAGTTCAGAATGGGTTGGTGGGTGAGTGGGCTCTGCCAGCCTTTCCCAAAGCATGGAGTTAGGCTGGCTACCCAATGTACCTGGGCACCAATGGCAGGGCATAGCGAGGGAACAGGCGCAGTTCTTATTATCTGAGAAACAGAAATCCGGGTTGACACACACAAGCTGAGGTCGCCTTTTCTTGCCTCCTGGGGCCAAGATGACTGAGAAAAAATCTAACCTGGCCTTAAGTACCCAAGGGTGACATGAGATTCTCAGAGCTTCCCACATGCTAGAAACTCCCACCACACCAAGGGGAAGGGAGGCCCTACTTCTCAAATTACACGGATGCTTTTCAGGCAGAACAAACCCCATTCCGCTGTTTTCACTGCTCAGGCTTAACTGGAGCAAGAGGAGAAAATAACACGGCTCTAAGGAAGTCCTGACTCGGGAGAGGCAGGCAACAAACGCCCAACACAGGGCTTGCTCTCTCTGTTCTATCATCAAAGAGGGACGCTGGCAGGGCGTGGGGATTTGGAGGAAGAGCAGGGTGGTGAAAGAACTCTATCCATCAAATCAGAACCACAAGGAGTCTGCCCCTGAGCAGGCCCAGCTCTGGAGGTCTGAAGCTGAGCACCCGGATAGGCTAAGGCGCCTTCGAGAGCCGACACACCTGAGCTCTCCTGTGCCGCTTCCGTCAGGTTTCTCAGGTGACCCAGAGTCAGAAACCCTCAAGCCCCAGGCCCTGTCCCCTTTCCTTTTTTTCTTTTTCTTTTCTTTCTTTCTTTTTTTTTTTTTTTTTTTTAAGATGGAGTCTCGGCCGGGCGCGGTGGCTCACGCCTGTAATCCCAGCACTTTGGGAGGCCGAGGCGGGCGGATCACGAGGTCAGGAGATCGAGACCATCCCGGCTAAAACGGTGAAACCCCGTCTCTACTAAAAATACAAAAAAAATTAGCCGGGCGTAGTGGCGGGCGCCTGTCGTCCCAGCTACTTGGGAGGCTGAGGCAGGAGAATGGCGTGAACCCGGGAGGCGGAGCTTGCAGTGAGCCGAGATCCCGCCACTGCACTCCAGCCTGGGCGACAGAGCGAGACTCCGTCTCAAAAAAAAAAAAAAAAAAAAAAAAAAAAAAGATGGAGTCTCGCTTTGTTGCCCAGGCTGGAGTGCAGTGGTGCTATGGCTCACCACAACCTCCGTCTCTCGGGTTCAAGCGATTCTCCCGCCTCAGCCTCCAGAGTAGCTGGGACTACAGGCATGCGCCACCATGCCTGGCTAATTTTTGTATTTTTAGTACAGAGAGGGTTTCACTATGTTGGCCAGGCTGGTCTCAAACTCCTGACCTCGTGATCTGCTCGCCTCAGCCTCCCAAAGTGCTGGGAATTCAGGCGTGAACCACTGCGCCCGGCCGCCCTGTCCCCTTTCACAGCTCCTGCACGACGTTCTGGGCACAGCAGCTGCTCTCCTTCCTACTCCAGCTGTTTTAGGAACAATAGAATCAAGGTCCCCTAAGCTCAGGTAGACAGGTTATGAATTTAGACCTTGACCTTCAGCCTTGACAACAGCAGATAACTACTAATTAGAACGGCTGGCTGGGCATGGTGGCTCATGCCTGTAACCCCAGCACTTTGGGAGGCCGAGGCGGGTGGATCGCTTGAGCCCAGGAGTTCGAGACCAGCCTGGGCAACATAGTGAGACTCCATTTCAGGCCTGGCCCCCTCTCTGGGTCCCCACTGTCGTCGTCAGTGCAGGTATGGAAGCGACACAAAGCTGGACTCCACACAATGCCCGAATCACGGAAGCAGAGATTCAGCCACTATACACTCTTCTGAGTTGGGCCAGACACAGATGGACTGTCTGCAGCCAGGCAAATCAGAGCCTTGAGCAGAGCTGCTTCCTCCTTTTCCTGGCTCATGCTGACCTTAGTACTTTCACCCACATTCTTCCCCACCTCCTGTAGCCACCAGGACCTAGGAAAAAATCCTCCCCACCCTGGTGGCTCTTGTCTTAGTTCCCCACATGGTCCTTCCTTGTGCCTTCAAAGTGCCTTCATTGGCCCTGAGGAGGGATGGCATCCTGGCCCTGAGCTTCTGTCACCTGTGCATGGAAACCCAGGTCCTCACATGCCTTGGCAGGGTATCCCCTGGGAGGCTTGGGTCCAGTCCTGCTCTGGGTGACTCGGGCACCTGGCTGGCAGCTACCCAGGCACACTGGCCTTCTGGCTCTCATTCCCAATCCCCTTCCCAGGTCCCAGCTACCCATGCTCATTCAAGCAGCCTCCCATTTTGCATTGTCTTCAGGACTCTCACAGCAACCGCTAACCCGAAGACTCCCACACAAAGCAGGGAACACAGCATTTTAAAGAGAAGCGTAAAAGCCCTGCCAGCATACTCACTTTGTTGCCTTTGCCCTGATGGGGCATCCATAGCTCTGCCTGCTTAAAGAGCATGGGCCAGAGTCTGAGCCACAAGCAGTCAGCTGCAAGAACTTCCAACACCTCCCTCAAAGCGGGGAGGGTGAAAAGAGAGAGAGAGAGAAGAGGAGAGAAGAGACGGAGACAGCTGAGAGTGTGTGAGCAAGAAGCCGGGTGCTGCACAGAATCAGGCGCAGCAGAGCAGAGCTTCAATCTGCTGATTAATTCAGCCTATTTCTAGTCACGCTGCAGATTCAGGGAGGGAGGAGGAGGCAGCAGCCCTGGAAGGGCGGGAGGGAGGGGAGAAGAGGAAAGAGAAGGAGGGAGGAAACAGGAGCATTGAGAAGAGAAAGTTTGTCCAACGCGCTGCCAGATATCCAGGAGCTTGGCCTGTTCTTCAGAGGAGGCCACAGTGGGGTTAGCTGAGGGGCACCATGCAGCCAGGATATGGACAGACAGAGGGATAGATGGAGGAGAAACTGCCCCTGTCCCAGAAACCTGAAGACAACTGCCAGTATCAAGGGGAACCCTGGGACACACAAATCCCAGCTCTCTTCCCAAACTACCTGTCCTTTGTCCCCAAGTCACTGGGTGAGCCCATCATCCATGAGAAGTCCCCAAATCACACGGCAACTCCCCAGCATGGAGCCAAGCCAACAGCCCTTTCCATAGTTACAGCTGCAGGAAGGAGGGGAGAGGGGACTTGTGGGTTATTAATAGTAGCACATCCTGTGTGGAGGGGGACGGGATGGACTGGCCGCTGAGAAGATTTGAGCAGTGACTTCTAGGAAGGCAAAGCCCAAGGCCAGGCAGCTGACAGAAGGAAGGATCCAGTAGGGAGGGAAGAGCCAGCCCAAAGGGCCTCTGAAGACTCCAACACCTTCCTGCCAGGTAGCACGGAGACCCTCACAGCCATGCAGGGAAGAGCCGGGCCAGCAGCCGGTGATGCCCCAATACATTCAGACACACCGGCCCAAGTGCTGCTGGGCCCATGAGGCTGCCCGGGAATGCCCAGGCCCTGCATCCCCCAGGCAGAAAGGAGGCCAGATACCTGGGGCTCCTGCCTCAGCACATGCCAGAGCATCAGGCAGAGCCTGAGTGAGTCATGGCTCCAGAGGCATCATTCAGGGACCGCGAGTTTGACATACAGGATGCTCTCAGCACAGGCACCCTGGGTGAAGCAGGGGCCGAGGCATGGGGAGTGGATGGGACACTTCTCTGCCTAAAACCATCCTTATAATGGGGTTACACACCCCAGGGGAGAGGAAACAGCCTAACAGGTCCCAGAGCTGGAGAGTGTGAGCTGGAGCCTGAGCATGTTTCTCCAGGGCCCTCCGTTTCCTAGACGACACCATCTCAAGCTGCAGGGAAGAAGGAGCCTCAGCAGCCCAAGCCAGCCTCCCCATTCCCTTTCATGAGTGCAACTCCCTGTGCGGCCCCCAAACAGAGTGCTGAGTGAGAACAGAAGGGAGGGCCCGGGCAGTCCAGAGGTTAAGAACAGGAAGACTCCATGGAGAGAAGGAAAGGTTGGCAGTGGGGGTCAGCTTCCACGCCAGCCACTGTGAGGATGCTGCTGCTCTGCAATCTGGCTGTAGCCAAAGAGAAAGACTCCTGTCCCCTCTCTCCTGTCCCTGAGGCACTGCTCGGGTGGGAGCTACAAGTCCACAAACACTGTCCCTTCTATGTGACAGGCCCCAAAAAGAACAGCACACAGGGACTAGCCCACGTGCTGTGCAGGCCCCAGCACAGCCCTCTCTGGGCCCTGCCTCCCTTCCTACACTACCCACCTCAGCAAATGGAGAAGGGAGCCCTGCACCCAAGCAGCAGGAACCCAGGCTGTCACTGCCACAGCAGGGCCACTGTGGGCTGGAGGACCGGGGACAGGGGTGAGGGCTTTGAAGGAGAGACCGAACTGATGGATCAGAAGCAGAGAACCATCAAGAGCTAAACCGCTCCTGAGCTAAGCCAGGGGACGACAACCCTCCTACCATCAATGACCACTATGCCAGCTCCTCCAAAGCCTACTCCTCCAAGACACCTTCTGACTGTTTTTGGTTTTTTGTTTTGTTTTGTTTTGTTTTTTAGAGATTCTGCTCTGTCCCCCAGGCTGGAGTGCAGTGGTGTGACCTCAATCTCGGCTAACTGCAACCTCTGCCTCCCGAGTTCAAGAGATTCTCCTGCCCCAGCCTCCCAAATAGCTGGGATTACAGGCATGCACTATCATGCCTGGCTAATTTTTGTATTTTTAGTAGAGACAGGGTTTCACCATGTTGGCCAGGCTGTTCTTGAACTCCTGACCTTAGGTGATCTGCCCACCTTGGCCTCCCAAAGTGCTGGGATTACAGGTGTGTGCCACCACACCCAGCTAATTTTTATATTTTTAGTAGAGACAGGGTTTCACCATTTTGGTCAGGCTGGTCTCAAACTCCTGACCTCAGGTGATCCACCTGCCTCGGCCTCCCAAAGTGCTGGGATTTACAGGTGTGAGCCACTGCACCTGGCTGAGATCATCTTTATAAGTCCATTTATACAACTCATGAGTTACCTCAGCTAGAGGCCCTACCAGGTCCAATTACTTAACTGCTTGTACTATCCATTTTGTTTGTTGTTGTTTTGAGACAGTCTTGCTCTGTCGCCCAGGCTGAAGTGCAGTAGTGCAATCTGCTCACTGCAACCTCTGCCTCCCGGGTTCAAGCGATTCTCCTGCCTCAGCCTCCCAAGTAGCTGGGATTACAGGCACGCGCCACCATGCCCAGCTAATTTTTGTATTTTTAGTAGAGACGGGATTTCACCATGTCGGCCAGGCTGGTCTCGAACTCCTAGCCTCAAGTGATCTGCCTACCTCGGCCTCCCAAAGTGCTGAGATTACAGACGTGAGCCACTGTGCCCAGCCTGCTTGTACTATCAATTCCTCTACTAGACAATAAGCCTCTCTAAGCCGGGGCCACCTCCCTGGTGCCTAAAGCTCTGCCAACCCAAAGCTGCCATTCCACAATATGGTGACTGCCAAGGATGACTGACGATGCTTTCCAGGTCAGGGCTCACCTATCCAGAAAGAGGAGGAGGACAAAGAGAAACCCTCCAGGAAAAATGGCCCCTGAGAGCTATCCAGCTGGGTTCTCAAGTCTTCTTCCTCAGGCTGGAGAGAGCACCCAGCCCTTCGATACAGAACTTTGTTTCCCCCATACACTAGGCACTAGTGTTCAGTGGTTCTGGCTGGAACCAGAAGACAATACCATCCTCTGTTTTGGGGGATTCAGCCTCACCCAGGCAGGCCACCGCATTGCATAACAGCAGAGCCTCTGGGGACATACTCCTTGGAACTGAGCAGTGCAGAGCCCTTGCAGCTGTTTGCAGCAGCCTTAACTCCCAGCTAAGAGAGAGGCAAGTGTAGCTTTCCCTCTGTGCCAATCACTGCTAGGGTGGATATCTGCTGAGCACCCAGAGGTGGCTATGAACAGGAGGCCAAGCACACCTGCTTCAAGTTCAATTCCAGAAACCTATTGCACAGCTGGTCCAGAGACATAGGAAGCCTGGAGCTGAACAGAAAGCAGTCAGCCAGCCTGGTGCCAGCAGAGGCCCAGGGAGTGAACCCACAGCCCCCTCTCTAGACCTTCCCAAGATCTCCCTGGAAGGAAGATCACTATTCAGAAGTTCAGGTCAATAAATATGTACTAAGCCCTTGCTACATGCCAGGCTCGGTGCTGTGAGCTAGGGATATTGAGATGAAGTGGAAGAGATGAGTTAATTTCAATAGAATAGCGAGTACAATGGTGGAGGTACTACAAATGCTGAAAGGAAGGACCTCTGGAAGGAAGGAGGACTTAACTGGAGAAAATGATGTCAAAACTAGGTCTTGAAGGAAGAACAGAAGAAGTTTCCAGAAAAAGGGGTGGGAAGCATTTTAGAGGTAATAACTAGTGCTAAAGTCAAAGCAGGAAGGCTAGGAACACCAAATCCATGGGCAGGAGCAGGATTCTGGAGGGCTTTGTACACACTAAAGGTTAAGTAGGTGGTATGGAACCACTGACCAGTTTTGTGGCAGCCATGTGGAGGCTGATGAGCAGAGAGTGCAGTAGTGCAATCTCTGCTCACTGCAACCTCTGCCTCCTGGGTTCAAGCGATTCTCCTGCCTCAGTCTCCCAAGTAGCTGGGATTACAGAAAACAGAAAGATCTATTAGGAAGGTGTGGCAGAAGCTAGGCAAGAGACAAAAGGACTTCCTCTGGGGCAGTCTTTGTCAAGGGAGAGGAGTTTTCTGATTGACAACTCTACCTCCATCCAAAGATAGTATACATGGAGGCTGGGCCAAACCAGGCTGGGAGGAGAAGACCAATCTTATGGCTGGCCCAGGCCACCTGGCTGCTCACCACCGGCTGATTAGGCAGCTGTGTTTGAAGTCTGATTGGGGCGCTCTTCTCTAACCACAGGGAGGTGCCCAATAGCCCTCAGCATGGCTCAGCAGGTTAGGACATCGCCCTAGCAAAGGGCAAACAAACTAAATTGCACACCCCTGGGCAAGAAGTGGAAGACTGGCTTGGAGCCAGCCTAAATCAGAAACCCTGCTCCCATGCGGTTGTGTTAATAGGTCCACCTTCATCCTTTATTCATAGCTCTGTGAGTCTGTGCTTTCCAGCCAAGAGGTCACAGTCGCATCCCCCAAGACTCAGAGCCTTGCCTCCTCTCTCAACTTTTGTTTAAAGCCCCCAGTTAAGGATCTCCCAGGCAAAAACAAGTAGGAAAGAGTTCAACAGAGACACACAGACAATACCTATAAGGTAATAGGATATGGCCTACCAGGTGCTTCTCCTTCAGGTCCATGGGCCAAGAGTACTGCAGGCATGCCCAGATGAATGTGGTCACCCCTGAAAGGAAGGCTCCTCCCCAGCATGTACAAACCCCAGTGAGTCTGTCACAGTCACAACATCTGGGGAAAAAGAAGAAAGAAATCACTCAGGTTGCTGGAACAGGCAGCTACTGTGAAACACAACAGCATCATTTTTTTTTTTTTTTGAGACGGAGTCTCACTCTGTCGCCCAGGCTGGAGTGCAGTGGCGCGATCTCGGCTCACTGCAAACTCTGTCTCCTGGGTTCAAGCGATTCTCTTGCTTCCGAGTAGCTGGGATGACAGGCGTGCATCACCATGCCCAGCTAATTTTGTATTTTTCAGTAGAGACAGGGTTTTGCCATGTTAGCCAGGCTGGTCTCAAACTCCTGACCTCAAGTGATCTGCCCGCCTCAGCCACCCAACATAATAGTATCATCTAAACCACAGTATGGTACGCGGAAAAGTACTGAACTCACTGACCATCAGACAGAGTCAGCCTCATCGAGCAGCAGAGCTTCCCCCAGGCAGTCAGCTCTAGATGAATTCCACTCTCTGAATCCAGGAGGGAGAGGGCTACAGAGAGGATTCTGGAGGGGTACAAACTTTCTCTCTTTCACCCTTCATTTTCTTTCTTTCTTTCTTTCTTTTTTTTTTTTTTTTGAGACGGATTCTCACTCTGTTGCCCAGGCTGGAGTGCTATGACCCGATCTTGGCTCATTGTTGCAACCTCCACCTCCTGGGTTCCAGCAATTCCCTGCTGCAGCCTCCCAAGTAGCTGGGATCACAGGCACTTGCCACCACGCCCGGCTAATTTTTGTATTTTTAGTAAAGACGGGGTTTCACCATATTGGCCAGGCTGGTCTTGAACTCCTGACCTTGTGATCCACCCGCCTCAGCCTCCCAAAGTGTTGGGATTACAGGCGTGAGCCACCGCGCCTGACCTTCATTTTCTTTATTATTATTATTATTATTATTATTTTGAGACAGAGTCTCGCTCTGTTGCCCAGGCTGGAGTGCAGTGGCGCAACCTTTGCTTACTGCAACCTCCACTTCCTGGGCTCAAGTGATTCTCCTGTCTCAGCCCCTCAAGTAGCTGGGATTACAGGCATGCACCAGCATCCCCGGCTAATTTTTGTACTTTTAGTTGAGACAGGGTTTCACCATGTTGGTCAGGCTGGACTTTTTTTTTTTTTTGAGACAGAGTCTCGCTCTGTCGCCCAGGCTGGAGTGCAGTGGCGCGATCTCGGCTCACTGCAAGCTCCACCTCCCGGGTTCACGCCATTCTCCTGCCTCAGCCTCCTGTGTAGCTGGGACTACAGGCGCCCGCCACCACGCCCGGCTAATTTTTTGTATTTTTAGTAGAGATGGGGTTTCACCGTGTTAGCCAGGATGGTCTCGATCTCCTGACCTCATGATCCGCCTGTCTTGGCCTCCCAAAGTGCTGGGATTACAGGCGTGAGCCACCATGCTCAGCCAGGCTGGTCTTGAACTCCTGACCTCAAGTGATCCACCTGCCTCGGCCTCTCAAAGTACTGGGATTACAAGCATGAGCCACCACGCCCAGCCTATTATTATTTTTTTTAATTTTGTGTGGAGAAGGGGTCTTGCTATGTTGCCCAGGTTGGTCTTGACCTCCTGGCCTCAAGCAATCCTCCCCACCTCAGCCTCTTAAAAGTTCTGGGACTACAGGCTACAGGCGTGAATCACTGTGCCCAGCCTCAACCTTCATTTTCAAAGGCACACTGTGTTTTGTTCCATATGTACTCTGTTTATCACTGAATTACAGCATGCAGGAAAAGCCTTGGTTTATTGGCTTTTTTTGTTTGAGACGGAGTTTCACTCTTATTGCCCAGGATGGAGCACAATGGCATGATCTCGGCTCACTGCAACCTCTGCCTCCTGGGTTCAAGCGATTCTCCTGCCTCAGACTCCTGAGTAGCTGGGATTACAGGCATGTGCCACCACGCCCAGCTAATTTTTGTATTTTTACTAGAGACGGGGTTTCACCATGTTGGTCAGGCTCGTCTCAAACTCCCGACCTCAGGTGATCCACCCACCTCGGCCTCCCAAAGGATTTATTGGCATTTTTATTTATTATCACTACTTCTTTGGTAGAGATGGGGTCTTGCTATGTTGCTCAGGCTGGTCATGAGCTCCTGACCTCAAGTGATCTGCCCGCCTCGGCTTCTCAAAGTGCTGAGATTTCAGGCATGAGCCACTACACCCAGTCAGCATTTTAAAAATTTAGGGTTAAGGCCGAGCACAGTGGCTCACGCCTGCAATCCCAGCACTTTGGGAGGCCGAGGCAGGCAGATCACTTGAGGTCAGGAGTTCCAGACCAGCCTGGCCAATATGATGAAACCCCATCTCTACTAAAAATACAAAAATTAGCCAGGCGTGGTGGTGGGCGCCTGTAATCCCAGCTACTCAGGAGGCTGAGGCAGGAGAATCACTTGAGCCTGGGAGGCAGAGGTTCCAGTGAGCTGAGATTGCGCCACTGCACTCCAGTCGGGCGACAAAGTGAGACTCGGTCTCAAAAAAAAAAAAAAAAAATTTAGGGTTAAGGTTAGCCTTAACATCAAGTGAAATCTAGATATGTAAGTTGGATAATAAGGGGGCAGCTGGGACAGCAGCAGGGTGGATGTCCACTGCATCCCCAGAACGAGGCACTGACTTCTTTCCACGTGCTGGCAGTCAGACGCCACACTCACCAGCATGTGCAAGCCCGCAGCCCCTCACGTGGTTGAGTGCAGTGCTCAACAGGCACCTGAGCAGATGAACACACGATGGGCAGCCCAATCTGACAACAGGTCCGACAAAAGCGGGCTGGTTACCTGGAAAATGAGGTTTGCCCTACCTCCCCACCTACCCTCACCAGCCCTCACCCTCCCGTCCTGGCAGCCGTCACTCTAATGATCTCAGACCAGGGTGTGTTTGAGTAAAGAGTGACACTGAGCAATCTGGTTTGATGCCAAGCGACTCCTCTTGGAGAAAGCACTAACCTACTGACTAAGACAGCTCTTTTGGGGGCCAGGAGCAAGCCTTGTCAAGGGGTGCCAGGCAGAAACCCAGAACTGACCCAGAAAAAAGCTGTCAAGAAATAATAAAAGCTGTGTCCGGAGGACCCAACCAGAAGGCCCAGGTTCTGCCACCAACTCCACTCCAAAACCCCGCCCAATTCCTCTCAAGGTGGCACCCATGCTGGTGCCCTAGGCTGAGCAACCACGTCTCTTCCACCCCTGCCTTTCAAAGCTGAGCCAGCCTCGAAGGCTCAGATACAGACAGTGACGCTGGAAGTGGCCTTGCAATGCAGTGACATTCAGTCTTTGGTCGCCAACTGAAATGGGATCCTGAGGGACCAAATCCACTCCTCCCCAAGGCCACTGTCTGACTCAGGCTGCCCCAGTCCTGCTTACGACTGCAGCTCAAGGTCCCCATGACACCCCATCCCAGCAGGGGCTGGATGAGATCGTTGCCACACAGGGAAAAACACCAGGAGCCAGATGGGGACTGTGCCTGTTAACTCCTTCTGCCAACGCTGCAAAGGCAAAATCACTCTGTGGCCAGCTGGAACCACAGCAGTACAGAGAGGGCAGCCAGGAACAGGACATTTTTCTAAGAGTCTCTGTTTTCCCATCATTCCATACATGGGATTCTGGGAGACAGCCATTCTTAACTGTCTGATCTGAAACCCGTAGCAGGGTCTTTAAAGGGCCAGTTCTGCTCCTAGCCCATTGTGAAAAAAAGCACAGGATTCAAAGCCAAATATCCCCGGGTTCAAATCCTAGCTCCAGTATGTCTCAAACGCCAATGACCTTGGCAAATTATTTGTCCCTCTGAGCCTCAGTGTCTTTGTTCATAGAATGGAAATGACAATATCTATTTCACAGAGGAGCTATAGAATTATGAAAAATAGTATATGCAGGGGGTCTAGTATAATATTTGACATATAGTAGGTACTCAATAAACAACTGCCATTACTATCAGCAGCAAGCAAAAAATATGAACCAAGTGCCACTTAGGTGAAGAATAAGGACTCAAAAGCAAGGTGGAAGAAAAAGAAATGGGGCCGGGCGCGGTGGCTCACGCCTGTAATCCCAGCACTTTGGGAGGCCGAGGCGGGTGGATCACGAGGTCAGGAGATCGAGACCATCCTGGCTAACAAGGTGAAACCCCGTCTCTACTAAAAATACAAAAAATTAGCCGGGCGCGGTGGCGGGCGCCTGTAGTCCCAGCTACTCGGGAGGCTGAGGCAGGAGAATGGCGTGAACCCGGGAAGCGGAGCTTGCAGTGAGCCGAGATTGCGCCACTGCAGTCCGCAGTCCGGCCTGGGCGACAGAGCGAGACTCCGTCTCAAAAAAAAAAAAAAAAAAAAAAAGAAAAAGAAATGGATGGCATAATGATGGGAAAAAATAAGTGAAACTGTCTTATTTGCAGAAGACAAGATCAATTGTATATGGAGAAAATATTAGGGACTCTACAAATAAGATACTAAAACAAATAAAGGTGCAAAGCTGCAGGATATAGGGTCAAAATACAAAATATAAATATATTTCTATATACTATAATCAAATATCAGAAAATAAAAATTTTAATATCATTTATAATAGTATAAAAACAGCATGGCTGGGTACGGTGGCTCACACCTGTAACCCCAGCACTTTGGGAGGCTGAGGTGGGTGGATCACCTGAGGACAGGAGTTCCAGACCAACCTGGACAACATGGTGAAACCCCATCTCTACTAAAAATACAAAAATTAGCCAGGCGTGGTTTTGGGTGCCTGTAATCCCAGCTGCTTGGGAGGCTGAGGCAGGAGAATCACTTGAACCCGGGAGGCAGAGGTTGCAGTGAGCCGAGATCACATCATTGCACTCCAGCCTGGGTGACAAGAACAAAACTCAGTCTCAAAAAAAAAAAAAAACCTTTAGAAATTATTCTAATAAAAATATATGTAAGACCTGTACACTGCTGAGAAAAATTAAAGAAGACTTAAATAAATGGGGAAATATACAATGTTCATGGATTGGAAGGCTCAGTATTAAGATGGCAATTATCCCCTAATTTATAGATTTAATACAATTTTTTTTTTCCCACTCCTGTTGCCCAGGCTGGAGTGCAATGGCACAATCTCAGCTCACTGCAACCTCTGCCTCCTGGGTTCAAGTGATTCTCCTGCCTCAGCCTCCCGAACAGCTGGGATTACAGGTGTCCACCACCATGGCCGGCTAATTTTTTGCATTTTTAGTAGAGACGGGGTTTCACCATGTTGGCCAGGCTGGTCTTGAACTCCTGACCCCAGGTGATCCCACCTGCCTCGGCCTCCCAAAGTGCTGGGATTACAGGCATGAGCCACCATGCCCAGCCTCTCAATACAATGTTAATGAAAGTCCCAGCTGGGACTTCCATAGAAATTGGCAAGCTGATTCTAAAATTTGTATGGAAAGATAAAGGACCAAGAATAGGCAAAACAATTTTGAAAAGAGAAACAAATTCTGAGGACTTACACTACCTGATTTGAAGATTTAACATACAGCTACAGTAATCAAAACATGTGGTACTGATACAAGGAGAGGCATACAAATCAATGGGACAGAACAGAGAGTCTAGCACTAGATTCACACATATTGACCCTTACTTCATACCATATACAAAAATTAACTTAAAATGCATCACACATCTAAACATAAAGGTTAAAACTATAATACTTCCAGAAGAAAATATGCAGGAGGGGTGGAGGCAGGAATCTTTATAACTTGGGATAAGCAAAGATTTCTTAAAACATAAAAAACATAAACTATAAAAGACAGCAACTTTAGCCAGGTCTGGTGGAGCACGCCTGTAGTCCTAACTACTTGTGAGGCTGAGGTAGGGGAATCACATGAGCCTAGGAGTTGAAGGTTACAGTGAACTATGATTGTGCCACTTCACTCCAGTCTAGGCAACAGAGTAAGATCCTGCCTCTAAAAAACAAACAAACAAATAAAAGAAAACAACTGATAAATTGTTCCATAAAAATAAAAAAAATTTCCACTCTTCAAAATATGCCATAAAAAAATTGACGTTGGGCACAGTGGTTCATGCCTATAATCCTAGCACTTTGGGAGGCTGAGGCAGACAGATCACTAGAGGCCAAGAGTTTGAGTCTAGCCTGAGCAACATACCAAAATCACGTCTCAAAAAGCAAAAGTAGTTTTGAAGTCTTTGGGATTAAAAAAAAATATATATATATATATATATATATAAAAATTCTTATAGCTCAGTAACAAGACCAACAACCCAATTTTAAAATGAGCAAAGATTTCAGCCAGGCATGTTGGCACACACCTGCAGTCTTAGCTACTTGGGAGGCTGAGGCAGGAGGATCACTTGAGCTCAAGAGTTGGAGGTTGCAGTGAGCCATGATCTCGCCACTGCACTCCAGCCTGGGCAACAAAGTGAGAACTTGTCTTAAAATAAATAAATAAATAATAAACAGGCAGAGATTTGAACAGACATTTCACAAGATATATAAACAGTCAATATGAATATGAAAAGATGGTCAACAACATTAATTATTGGGAAACAAAAATTAAAACCACAATGAGAAGGCCAGGCATGGTGGCTCACGCCTGTAATTTCAGCACTTTGGGAGGCTGACGGGGGAGGATGACTTGAGGCCAAGAGTTGGAGACTAGCCTGGGCAACATAGCAAGACCCTGTCTTACAAAAAAATTTAAAACCACAACGAGAGACCAATACACACCCATTAGAACGACTAAAATGAAAAAGACTGAGAATATGGCTGACGCAGGAGGATCTTGAGACCAGGAGTTCAAGGCTGCAGGGAGCTATGATCACGCCACTACACTCCAGCCTGGGAAACGGAGTGAGACCCTGTCTCTAACAACAACAACAAAAAGAGCCGGGTGCAGTGGCTCATGCCTGTAATCCCAGCACTTTGGGAAGCTGAGGTGGGTGGATCACCTGAGGTCGGGAGTTCAAGACCAGCCTGACCAACATGGAGAAACCCCATCTCCACTAAAAATACAAAAATCAGCCGACTGCACCTGTAGTCCCAGCTACTTGGGAGGCTGAGGCAGGAGAATCGCATGAACTCAGGAGGCGGAGGTTGCAGTGAGCTGAGATCATGCCATCGCACTCCATCCTGGGCAACAAGAGTGAAACTCCGTCTCAAGAAAGAAAGAAAAGAGGAAAGAAAGAAAGAAAGAAAGAAAGAAAGAAGGAAGGAAGGAAGGAAGGAAGGAAGGAAGGAAGGAAGGAAGGAAGGAAGGAAGGAAAGAAAGAAAGGAAGGAAAGAAAGAAAGAAAGAAAATGAAAAAATACACAGGGATAAGGGGCCAAAATGGAGAGGCTCTGAGGAGTCACTGAAGAGTCTGGGTTTCTGAGTAGGCCCCAGGTTTGTTTGTTTGTTTGTTTGAGACAAGGCCTCACCCTATTGCCCAGCCTGGAGTACAGTGGTGCGATCACAGCTCACTGTACCTCAACTTCCCAGGCTCAAGTGATCCTCCCACCTCAGCCTCCCGAGTAGCTAGGATCACAGGTATGTGCCACTATGCCTGACAATTTTTTTTTTGGAGACAGGGTCTATGTTGCCCAGGCTGTTCTCAGTATTTTAAGAGGGTAGAAAATGGATCAGAGGGAAAAGGAAAGAAATTATAGGCAGAAGAGTTAGAAGAAAATGATGATAATCTTGGTTTGCCATGCCAAGTATCTAGACAAAGCTGGCAACAGTAGCCATGAAGACAAAGGGGTGGATGCCTCCTGCTGCCAAGCTCAGAAACAAGGTCAAAAAGAACTAAGTGGGAGCCCAAGGCTCAGGTTGAGGGCAAGATGAGGAGTTGGCTGTCCTTCTAATCCCTTCTAGCACAATCTTCATTAGCTGTGCTTGTAAGCCAGCCATGCCCAACACACCAAAAATGCGGTTAGGTGGATCTGTATTCGGTTTAATAGTTGTGCCCACAGGGTACTAATTGATAGATCTGTGTTAAGCTGGAGGGAAGTTTTTAATAGCAAGCTGTAGGATTCTATCCTTGGTGGCATTACAGTCAATATTTTTATCAATGACTTGGGTGAGGAAACAGATGGTATGCTAATCAAATTCTTGGATAGCATAAACCTGGAAAGGAGATCAAAGTCAAAATCCAAGAAGCTCTCAACAGGCTGAAGTGATGGGCCAAATCAAAGGGGTTCAGTTTAACTGGAAAAAATATTAAGTCCTGCACTTAGGTTCAAAAACTACTGTATAAAACTACCACAAATGGCTTAGTTAGATGCAATTTCAATATGAGTGTATGCTCACTCAAAGTTCATTCACATTTAGGCTGCATTAACAGATACCTGTGTCCCTAACAACAGACGAGGAAGTCTGATTTCTGTACATGTCAGAGCATACCTGGAATATCTTGTTCAGTTGCGCATCACACACTTTAAGAAGGACACTAACAAAACTGGAAGGATTTCAGAGAGCAGCAACCAGGTTGGAGAAACTAAGACGTGAGAAATGGCAGAATGAACTGAAGATGCTTAGCCAGTACCCTAAAAACACACTTTGGGTGCAAGCAGGGCTAGAAAGGTATAATGGCTACAAGCAGTGAGAAGGGCCAGGCTTACTCTGGGAGGCCCCAAAACAGGAACTAGGATGCTATAAGAAGTAGACTGAGACTTAAAATGTACAGTATCTTTCTACATAATTTAAACTGTATATATATATATATATATACACACACACACACACACATATATATACGTGTATATATATACATATATACACGTATATATATACATATATATACACACATATATATGTGTGTGTGTGTGTATATATATATATATATATATATATATATATATATATATATATTTTTTTTTTTTTTTTTTTTTTTTTTTTTTACTTTTTTTATTTTTGGAGACATGTCCTCATTCTGTTGCCCAGGCTGGAGTGCAGTGGCATGATCATGGCTAACTGCAACTGCAGTCTCAAACTCCTGGGCTCAAACAATCTTTCCACTTCAGCCACCCGAGTAGCTGGGACCACAGACACATGCCACCATGACCAGCTTTTTTTTTTTTTGTAGACACAAGGTCTTGCTATGTTGCCCAGACTGGTCTAGAACTCTGGGGCTCAAGCAAATCCTCCCACCTCAGCCTCCCAAAGTGCCGGAATTACAGATATGAGCCACTGAGTCAAGCCTAGAACTGTATATTTTTAATTTTTTTTAATAGAGATGGGGTCTCACTTATGTTGACCAGGCTGGTCTCGAACTCCTGGCCTCAAGCGATTTTCCCATCTTGGCCTCCCAAAGTGCTGGGATTACAGGTGTCAGCCACCATGCCCAGCCTTAGAACTGTATATTTTTAAAAATGGAATAGGCTGCCCTGTGAAGCAATGAGCTCCCATCACTAGAGGGAACCAAGCAGAAGCTGAGAAATTATGGAGATAATTAATACATGAGGTGGAGGGTAGGAAGACAATTCTAACCCTGAGAGAATGTGAAACCAAAAATCCAATAGCTTCTCCATATGCAAAGATGCTCAACTCTGCTTATAAAAGACATTCAGGCCAGGCGCAGTGGCTCACGCCTGTAATCCCAGCACTTTGGGAGGTCGAGGCTGACAGATCACGAGGTAAAGAGATCGAGACCGGCAGATCACGAGGTCAAGAGATCGAGACCATCCTGGCCAACATGATGAAACCCTGTCTCTACTAAAAATACAAAAAAATTAGCTGAGAGTGCTGGTGGGCGCCTGTAGTCCCAGCTACTTGGGAGACTGAGGCAGGAGAATCACTTGAACCCAGGAGGCAGAGGTTGCAGTGAGCCGAGATCGTGCCACTGCACTCCAGCCTGGGCAACAGAGCAAGAAGACTCTGCCTCAAAAAAAAAAAAAACAAAACAAAACAAAACAAAAAAAACTGTAAAATTTATATAGGAGATAGGAAAAAATCTTTGTGACTTTGGGTTACATTTCTTTTCTTTTTTTTTTTTTGAGACGGAGTCTTGCTCTGTCGTCCATGCTGGAGTGCAGTGGCACGATCTCGACTCACTGTAAGCTCCGCCTCCCGGGTTCGCGCCATTCTCCTGCCTCAGCCTCCCGAGTAGCTGGGACTGCAGGCGCCCGCCACCACGCCCAGCTAATTTTTAGTAGAGACGGGGTTTCACCATGTTAGCCAGGATGGTCTCGATCTCCTGACTTCGTGATCCGCCCACCTCGGCCTCCCAAAATGCTGGGATTACAGGCGTGAGCCACTGCGCCCGGCCTACTGTGGATTACATTTCTTAGATTCAGTACCAAAAGCATAATCCACAAAAGGAAAAATTAATAAATTGGAACTGAGTGGCTAGGGAATGGTTGGGAGCAGGAAGAATTTTTACTATATATACTTTTTAAAAAAATTCTTTTTTATACTTTTTTCTGCCCTTGAATACATATACTTTTGTGCCTTTTGATTTTCAAACCATGTGAATGTATCCAATATGTCTTTAAAAGATCAGCAACTTCAGGCTGGACACGGTGGCTCATGCCTGTAATCCCAGCACTTTGGGAGGCCGAAGCAGGCGGATCATCTGGGGTCAGGAGTTCGACATCAGCATGGCCAACATGGCGAAACCCCGGCTCTACTAAAAATACAAAAATTAGCCGGGCACGGTAGTGTGCACCTATATTCCCAGCTACTCCGGAGGCTGAGGCAGGAGAATTGCTTGAACTCGGGAGGCGGAGATTGCAGTAAGTTGAGACCACACCACTGCACTCCAGCCTTGGGCAATAGAGCAAAACTCTGTCTCAAAAAAAAAAAAAAAAAAAAAAAGCCAATCGCAAAAGGACAAATGTTGTATGATTCCTCTTATATGAGGTTTCTAGAATAGTCAAAATCACAGAGACAGAAAGTAGAAAGATGGTTGCCGGGGGTGGGAGCAGGGGGGAAATGGGGAGTTAAATGTTTAATGGTGACAGAGTTTCAGTTTGGGAAACTAAGAAAGTTCTGGAGATGGATAGTGATGAGGGTTGCACAACAATGCAAATGTACTTAATGCCACAGAACTGGTTACAATGGAAAATGTTATACTATGTATTTTTTTCCTTAATTTTAAAAATCGGCAACTTCTGGCCACCTGTAATTCCAGCACTTTGGGAGGCCGAGGCAGGCAGATCCCTTGAGCACAGGAGTTTGAGACCAGCCTGGGCAACAGGGCAAGAACCGTCTCTGTAAAAAATACAAAAATTAGCCAGGTGTGGTGGCATGTGCCTGTGGTCCCAGCTACTCAGGGGGTAAGGTGGAAGGATCACCTGAGCCCAGAAGATCAAGGCTGCCGTAAGCCGTAATCACACCACTGCACTCCAACATGGGCTACAGAGCAAGTTCTGTCTCAAAAAAAAAAAAAAAAATCAGCAGCTCCTGATTCTGATTTTGCAATAGGCTCTGCCTTATAGCTAAGCAACATTCCCTACTTGGCTTTCACGTCAACATAATGAAGGTTTACGCTCTTTCAGTACACCTGAGTCTTTGTCCAGCATACATCTTTTTTAAGTGTTTCCCAGTATTTTTCTATTCACCTCCCTACCAAGCAAGACTGGTACCATGAACCCCTTTTTCAAGAAGCCCTTGAAGTTATGAAAATTGGGTTCATTTAATTATAGTACACTAAAATTTATGGTTCCTCAAATACCACTCTAAGCCTTTCAAGGTTCTTCTCTCTGACACCCCTCACCCCTCTCCCATCACTTCTGGCCTTGGGAGCTAGAGAAACCCAAAGCAAGCAGTGTGTGGTTTGCTCCTCCTTACGCAGGCCATCAGTGTCTAAATCTGGCCCTTAACCTACTTGTCATGCCATGTGACCCATACTGTTTACTACCGTCTCAGTGGCCACAGGCAAAGCTTATTATTACACAAACCCCTGATCACCAAACCACACATTCTGGCTGGCGGGTCTGCTCGGAAGAAAAGCATTCCTGTTTCAGCCATGGCCTACCCTCTAGTTCACCTGTGCTGCTATAAACAAACCCAGGCCTGCTTGGAAACGGGCTTTAAACAATATTTTTAAATCCTATCATTTGGGTAAAGAAAGACACCATCGTAAAAACAACACTAACACAATAGTAAGATAAGAAATATTGACACATATTTACCAACCAGTGCCACGCCTGACCCAGAACCTTCTCACTTGAACACCAGGAATGGACTTAAAGGCTTTATGGCGTTCAGGCTTAGACTGCTAAGGTACGAGTTCAACCTGATTCATCAGATTAAGCTAAATACATACAGCCTTGGGTGTAGGTGGTATTTACATTAGGACTCCTCCCTCTCCTATAGAAACTGTTTCTCAAGCCCAACTTAGGGAGAGAGCAGCAGGCAGGAACAGGACGATCACAACCTTCATTTCTCATTAGTTTCTACAGGAGTTAAGGTTTCCAAAAGGCTGGTTCTCAGCACTAGGAGCTGGCACACCTAGCAACTTCTCAAAATAGAAATGCCATGGGGTTTCTCTTCCATTTCACTGTCAAGGCCTGGCTCTCCCAGTCTCATCTGATGTCAAGTCACCACAAACAAGGGGCATGGTGGTCTGGTGGTTCAAGGGCAGTTAACTCTCAATTATTTGGGGGCTGATGATGAAGAAGATGGTTTGTACTTCACCTCCCTGGTCATTGCACTACTCCACAGTATCCACCAGTTTCCCTGTTTGCAGTTTTGACAAAGAGAACCAGTGAGCAAGGAAGTTAGAGCTAACATAGCAGCTAAGACTTGCAATGTTTGAGGATTTTATCTGAACATGCTGTCTCCTGTTCTAGGGTTAACCACCATAGTCTACATTTTATTTGTTTTTGTTTTTTTTGTTTTTTTTTTTTTGAGACGGAGTCTCGCTGTGTCGCCCAGGCTGGAGTGCAGTGGCGCGATCTCGGCTCACTGCAAGCTCTGCCTCCCGGGTTCACGCCATTCTCCTGCCTCAGCCTCCCAAGTAGCTGGGACTACAGGCACCCGCCACAATACCCAGCTAATTTTTTGCATTTTTAGTAGAGATGGGGTTTCACCGTGTTAGCCAGGATGGTCTTGATCTCCTGACCTCGTGATCCGCCTGCCTCTGCCTCCCAAAGTGCTGGGATTACAGGCGTGAGCCACTGCGCCCGGCCAATAGTCTACATTTTAATGTGCTCTGATCTTTACAGTGATTTTCAAACTTTTTGATTCCATGACTCTTTTTTTTTTTTTTGGAGACAGAGTCTTGCTCTGTTGCCCAGGCTAGAGTGAGTGCAGTGGCATGATCACAGCTCACTGCAGCGTCGACCTTCTGGGCTCAAGCGATCCTCTGGCATCCACCTCCCAAGTAGCTGGGAACACAGGCACATGCCACCATGCCCAGCTAATTTTTTTGGTTTTCTTGTCAGTGTGTTGCCCAGGTTGATCTCAAACTCCTGGGCTCAAGCAGTCCTCCCACAGCAGCCTCCCAAAGTGCTGGGATTACAGGCATTACTTTGACTCTTTTGAACCTTACTAGTGCCATTGCTTTAAATTTTTTTATTTATTTGTATTCTTTTAGTTATGCCTCAGGATCTAACTTTTTTTTTAAACTACCTCTTCAGAATACCAAGATCAGCTCTTCTTTTGCCAAAAGTACTATAAAGAGATACCACAGTGCCATTTCTTCTCTCTTCAATGGCTCTCAATCTTTTTCTGCCTCCACGCTGTTCCTGTATGCAACGCGTTCCTGTTAATAACATCTCTAATGACACTGTAATGGTTCCCAAAAACCAAGGAAGAGGCATACCTTCCTCTTACTCTGCCTCTCGCTGCCCTGAGAATCACTAAAATAATTTACGCCCCCAATACAGACAGAGACTACAATGAATATTAATACAAGAAGTCTGCCAGAGAACTACCTGCTGGCTTCTTAAAATTACTGAATGCAAACCAGGTATGAAGACCCTAGTCATTGCCAGGAAGCATAGGAGGATCCTACTTTTAATGCCCATCGCTTTTAATGCCCAGAGCCACCCTGCAAGAGCTCAGGGGAGTCAGGGAACTTGATCTCCTCAGGTCACACCTAGGAAACAACTAGGTCTAGCGGATAAAGAACTCAAGCCCCTGGACTTTCGGATTCTAGTTTGGCTCTAGGTGACCCTGGCCTTGCCTCTCCGAACAATCTCCACATCTGCAAAATGAAAATGTTAAAACTGCCCCCTCCCTGCTTCCATCTTCCAAGATTACCTGCGGAATAACAACTATGTCACTAAAGCTGAGCGTCTTGGATAAATCATGAGAAAAAGATCCTTCTCTCCAATGCATACACCCACATAGCAGAAGGAAAACAGATTCCATAACGAGCTCCCTCCTTTTTTCCCTCAAGAGCCACCGAAAAACTCAGGAGAGAGGGTGGGATGTAGCAGCACGTGACCAAGGCAACGCCAAAGTTTAGCCCGCGGTGACACACCAATGAAAGAGCGGGGCTTTGCTTGCATCTGGCGCTGGGCAGCGGGCAGGGGCCGCATCGTGGCATGCTAGGAACCAGGAGACCTGGGCTCCAGGGGTGTGCGGTACAGGAACGAGGGCATTCCACAGGAGTCACTTTATCCGATGGCATGGATGGTGAGCTTCCGAGGAGCCTGAAAACGCTTCTGGAAAGGCGGAAAGAAAAAAAAGCCCGCTCCAAACTGCAAGATCAGGGATGGCTGCCAGGAGCCCCTCGGCCGGCTCCATCCAGCTGGGGACGGCCGCGCGAGGACCCCGGGCGGCTGCGGAGAGCGCGCGCAGGCGGGACAACGGTCTTTATTTAGGTCGGGGATGAGGACTCCCAGGGGCCTCGAAATAAATACTCAGGGCGTCGGCGTTGGGAGCCCTCTGGGCCAGGGCCTAGGCACGACAGACCTGGGGCAGGGATTCTTTGTTGGCGAGAGGCTTTATTTCTGGCGAGAGACCCCACAATGGACCAATCCAGGGCTGAGAGCAAGAGTCTGAAGACTCGGGGGAAGGCAATGGTCAAGAGCTGGAGACTAGAGCCAGTCCCTGGACTCCCCCTCAGGAGGCATCCCCTTAAGCCGTTCTCTGGGTGCAGACCCCAGACTCCCCTTTCCTTGGCCAAGAATCCAAAGGACGCGCAAGGCCGAGCCCCACGCCCCCTTGCTCCCCACTTTCGGGCCACGGGCCTTCTCGTACTTACCGGGGCCCCGGGGCTGGTCTTCCTCGCCCGCGTCCTCTCCCCTCCCAACCCCCTCCTCACTTCACGTCCCCTCCTCCGGGGGCCGCAGCCATGTCCGTTACTGGCAACTCTAAGGGGGCTTGCCTCCCTTCCGGGCAACAGAGGCGCCGGCCAGAGAGCTAAAGTTCAGGCCACCGATTGGTCAGGATTTGAGAATAGGGGGAATTCTGGCTTCTTATTGGCTACGCGGCGTGCTAGGCTGTAGCTGCAACCGCCCCTCTGGGAGCCTGGCGGAATTAGGTGCCGAGTGATGCGGCCGGGAGAGTGAAGAGCCACTGTCCTTTCCTGTGCGTAAAGCTCAGGCAGTTTCTAGTCCAGAAACCCTGACCAGAGGGCATGGCTTTACCTCCGATTCGTTTTCCTACAGAATTATTCTAAAAAGATAGACGGCGCGCCCCACCTTTTTTCCCTTTCTTTTTAAAATAAGCCCTTTGCAGAGCTCCCCGCCTCTCTTAAGTTCTTCTAAGCTCCCTCCTTGTTGCCTTGAACAAATGCCTAGAGGCTGCCCGCTCCGAGAGGCCTTGGAGGGACTCCCTCAGGACGAATATTGCGTCCAAACCAAATCTAGAAAATCTAAGGCAATACTGCAATTCCCCCCTCCCGCTTCCAGCTCGGCTGAAATCTAAAGGGAAAAACAAGTTAAATTTTTTTTCTAGGTAATTAGATAAATCGCCTGGGAGACCTCTCTTGGGAAAACAAAGCAAGCCTGTGTCAGTATTTACTTCTCTTTTCCCAGAGATCTAAGTCTGGAAGGCTTGTTTAAAAAAAACAAAAACAAAAAAACAAACAAAAACTTGTTTATATAATTGGGAAAGAGCTGAGGTTGGCCTTGTGAAGTAAGAGCCCCTTCCCACATTCATGAGTTTAATTACGTAATTAAAATCCCTTTCTCAGCTGGACAAGAAGATGGCATTTTAGTACCTAATCTTGTATGACCCAGTTTAGCTGTTGCCTAAAACGCCATAAGAATCATGTCACTAACCTGCACACAAAAACTGATAGTTCACCTTTGCAAATAGGTCCAAATCTTTCTGCCTGATGTTCAAAGTCCTTCATAAATTGACTCAGACATACGTTTCCAGGTCTAAGTCCCCACAGGCTAAACTATTCCTGCAGCCACATAGATTAACCACCATTCTTTAAACGTGACAGAGACCTTTCCACCTCTGCTCCTTCGTCACATGGTTGGTTCCCTACGCTTTGCTTTAAAGGTTCTTTTTTTCTTTTTTTTTTTGAGACGGAGTTTCGCTCTTGTCGCCTAGGCTGGAGGGCAATGGCTTGATCTCGGCTCACTGCAACCTTCACCTCCCGGGTTCAAGTGATTCTCTTGCCACGGCCTCCGGAGTAGCTGGGATTACAGGTGCCTGCCACCATACCCAGCTAATTTTTGTATTTTTAGTAGAGACAGGGTTTGAACATGTTGGCCAGGCTGGTCTCAAACTCCTGAGCTCAGGTGATCCACCTGCCTCGGCCTGCCAAAGTGCTGTGATTACAGGCGTGAGCCACCGCACCCAGCCTGACGGTTCTTTCTTATCAGTAAAGCCAGCATGCAAATAAATACTTAATCAACCTAAAGGCCCACCTCAAATGCTACCTTTCTTGACTTTTATTTTTTCTTGTATGTATGTACATATTTATTTATTTTTAGAGCAGGGTATCACTCTGTCACCCAGTCTGGCAAGTGCAGTGGTGCCATCATAGCTCACTGCAGCCTCGAACACCTGGGCTCAAGCAATCCTCCCACCTCAGCCTCCTGAGTAGCTAGGACTACAGGTGCGAACCACCACACCCAGCTAATTTTTTTATTTTTTATAGAGATGGGGTCTTGCTATGTTGCCCAGGTTAGTCTCAAACTCCTGGCCTCAAGCAATCCTCCTGCCTCAGCCTCCCAAAATGCTGGGATCGCAAGTGTGAGCCACCACTCCCAGCCTCTCCCTGGGTTTTAGTCATTGACTCTCTCTATATATAATGCTGGGCCTCCTTCTCTGTGTCTGCATTGCCACCTTTGCAAAAGTCTGCTTTATACAGCATTGCTCTTTTTGTAAGACCTCAAACTCCCTGCGGGCAGCTGGCTTATCTTAGCAGTTTCCACAGCACCTTACTTGCTGCCTTGTATCCATTAACATTTGTTGAATTGAGCTAGCAGGCTACCTATATATTACATCTTTCCACTTGACCCCTTAAGATCTAGTTGGCTGCCTTTGGAAGATTAACAAATGTAGCACAGTCACTTCACTTTGAACCTCTCAGCCCCCTCTGGCCACACTGGTTTTTCAGCTCCACTGGGTTTTATGAATATCACTCAATGAAATTGCACTGAATGCCTGCTAGTTTCAAGGGCTCTGCAACTCTCCATCTGCCTGACCACTTCCTCTGTCAGTCCCCTCAGCCATAAAATTTTGCTACATGAGTAAATCAAATCACTCAAGCCAGAACATGCCAATGTGCCCACTCTAAATTCACCCTGAATTAGCTTTGCAGATCTGAGGTCCCTTAACCAAGTCTTGTTGGTTGTCTAGCAACCCCAAGCAGCTATACCAATCCTTCTTCATTTTTCTGAAGCTTCCCGTGTCTTCAGATGAGTACCAAGATGAGTCTATTGAGAAGAAGACCAAGGCCTTCCCTTGGAGATTTCTCATCTACTTCATCCACTTCTCTTTCCCTTTCTATGTTCCTGCAGGAAGACAGCCTTTTCCTCCTTTTCCCCATCTGTGTTCTCAGTCCCTCCCCCTCCAGCCTTACATGCCATTTCCCTTAGCTCAGGAGTGTTCAATCTTTAGGCTTCCCTGGGCCATGTTGGAAGAAGAATTGTCTTGGGCCACACATAAACTACACTAACACTGCTGGGCACGGTGGCTCACGCCTGTAATCACAGCACTTTAGGGGGCTGAGGCGGGCAGATCATCTGAGGTCAGGAGTTCGAGACCAGCCCGGCCAATATGGTGAAACCCTGTTTCTACCAAAAAATACAAAAATTAGCAGGGCATGGTGGTGCATGCCTGTAGTCCCAGCTACTCGGGAGGCTGAGACAGGAGAATCACTTGAATCCAGGAGGCGGAGGTTGCAGTGAGCCAAGATCGCGCCACTGCACTGCAGCCTGGGTGACAGAGCAAGACTCCGTCTCACAAAAAAAAAAAAAAAAAAAAAAAGAAGAAGAAATGTGTTCAAGAGATAGTTAGCAGGTAGAACAGGCACAGTCTAGTGGCTGGACTTAAGGTTTAGGGTGAAGGAGGAAGGGATAACTCGATTTCTGCACCTCAGATCTCATATCATCTGAGTTACAATGACAGAAGCTACCTCTGCCAGCTCCAGATTACCTGGTCAAGGCCAATTTAGAGCATAGTACTGGACAAAGCATCAGCGAGAAAACACTCTTGTTTATCTATAAGATTTCCCTTCATCTAAACAGAGATATGAGAAGTGAGTCAGAAACGAGAGTGATCCAGCAGGACTCATTCAGGCTGTTGAGCCAGGAATGACGTGCAGAATCACACACAAGCAGGGCAAGGTCCTCCCACACCCTGACCTGAGCATCCTTCCTCATTGCACCTTTCTTTTTTTTTTTTTTTTTTTTGAGACTGAGTCTCGCTCTATCACCCAGGCTGGAGTGCAGTGGCGCGATCTTGGCTCACTGCAACCTCCGCCTCCAGGGTTCAAGTGATTCTCCAGCCTCAGCCTCCCCAGTAGCTGGGATTACAGGCATGTGCCACCATGCCCGGCTAATTTTTGTATTTTTAGTAAAGATGGGGTTTCACCATGTTGGTCAGGCTGGTCTTGAACTCCTGACCTCGTGATCCACCCACCTTGGCCTTCCGAAGTGATGGGATTACAGGCGTGAGCCACCGCACCTGGCAGCCATCTTTTCAACCTAGTCATTTGTTTAAAAGTAACAGGAGTAGGCTGGGTGCAGTGGCTCACTTCTGTAAGCCCAGTCCTTTGGGAGGCTGAGGTGGGTGTATCACCTGAGTTCAGGGATTCAAGACTAGCCTGGCCAACATGGTGAAACCCTGTCTGTACAAAAATACAAAAATTAGCTGGGCGTGGTGGTGGGCACCTGTAATCCCAGCTACTCCGGAGGCTGAGGTGGGAAACTCACTTGAAGCTGGGATGTGGAGGTTGCAGTGAGCCGAGATAGCTCCACTGCACTGCAGCCTGGGTGACAAAGCAAGACTCCATCTCAAAAAAAAAGAAAAGAAAAAAAGGGAGCTGGGTCCGGTGGCTCATGCCTGCATGCCTGTAATTCCAGCACTTTGGGAGGCAGAGGTGGGCAGATTGCTTGAGCCTAGGAGTTCAAGACCCACCTGGGGAACATAGCGAGATGCCTTCTCTATTAAAAAATTTTTCAAAAGAGAAAAAAGTATATAATAAAAAAGAAATAATGGGCTTCGAATCACACAGGGGAAAGGTTTGGAGGGAGATAGCAATGGATGAAGACAGAGGCTGGCATTCGGGGTCGGGACTGAGGATACTTGCAATGTGAGGCCTGGTGAAATTATCTGAGCCGTTGATTCTTGAACAGGTAGTTCCCATGTTCAGCTTGCTCCATCGGCAAGAGCCTTCTGCCTAGGCCGGGCGCGGTGGCTCCCGCCTATAATCCCAGCACTTTGGGAGGCCGAGGCGAGCGGATCACGAGGTCAGGAGATCGAGACCATCCTGGCTAACACGGTGAAACCTCGTCTCTACTAAAAATACAAAAAAAAAATTAGCCGGGCGTGGTGGCGAGTGCCTGTAGTCCCAGCTACTTGGGAGGCTGAGACAGGAGAATGGTGTCAACCCAGGAGGCGGAGCTTGCAGTGAGCTGAGGTCACGCCACTGCACTCCAGCCTGGGTGACAGAGCAAGACTCCGTCTCAGAAAAAAAAAAAAAAAAGAGCCTTTTGCCTCTAAGTTGTGAGTGATATTTTTAGGAGAAGCTGCTCCTTTAATCCCTGCATCGTGTAGTAGTGATATCTCACTGACAATAGGCTCCTCTTGGGCCCTTTGATTCAACCAAGAGGTCCCACTGAAGAACATTGTTGTAAATACTGCCAGCGAGACAATTCTGACACGTCTTTGTACCCCTAAAGAGTGGTCTGGGCCAAGCCTGTAATCCCAACACTTTAGGAGGCCAAGGTGGGAGAGTCACTTGAGCCCAGGAGTTTGAGACCAGCCAGGGAAACACAGGGAGCCTCCATTTCTACAAAAAATTTAAAAATAAAAATAATTAGCCAGGCATGGTGCACAACTGTGGTGCCAGCTACTCAGGAGACTGACGTGCAAGGATCATTTGAGCCCAGGATGTTGAGCCTGCAGTGAGCTGTGACTGTGACACTGCACTCCAGCCTGGGCGACAGAGTGAGACCTGCCTCAGAAAAACAAAAAAGGGCTGGGCGTGGTGGTTCACGCCTGTAATCCCAGCACTTTGGGAGGCCAAGACAGGCGGATCATGAGGTCAGGAGATCGAGACCATCCTGGCTAATACGGTGAAACCCCATCTCTACTAAAAATACAAAAAATTAGCCCGGCATGGTGGCGGGCACCTGTGGTCCCAGCTACTCGGGAGGCTGAGTCAGGAGAATGGCTTGAACCTGGGAGGTGGAGTTTGCAGTGAGCCGAGATCGTGCCGCTGCACTCCAGCCTGGGTGACAGAGCGAGACTCAGTCTCAAAAAAACAAAACAAAACAAAACAACAAAAAAAGTGTGGTCCAGAAATAGATGGCACAACTTTACAACACAACATGAGCACTGGCCACACTACGGTCCCCATTCCCATACTGCATTCACAGTCTGCAAAAGTTAGATCCCTAGGTAACAATAAATGGCCACCCAAAGACATTGTTCATAAGCACCCCAAATGGGAAACAAACTGAATATCCACCAGCTGGGGAACAGGTACCCAAATGGTGGTGGATCTGAACAAGGGATTACTACTCAGCCATACACATAAGTGAATGAGGCTGGACGTGGTGGCTCACTCCTGTAATCCCAGCACTTTGGGAGGCTGAGGCGGGCAGATCACCTGAGGTCAGGAGTTCAAGACCAGCCTGGTCAACATGGTGAAACTCTGTCTCTACAAAAAATACAAAGCTAGCTGGGCATGGTGGCGTGTGCCTGTAATCCCAGCTACCCAGGAGGCTCAGGCAGGAGAATTGCTTGAAACCGGGAGGCAGAGAGCCAAGATCGTACCACTGCACTCCAGCCTGGGTGACAGAGCAAGAATCTGTCTCTCAAATAAATAAATAAATACGTAAGTAAGTAAGTGAATGAGGCCACTGATACACATCCCAATCTGAAAGAATCACACAAATGGCATGAGGAAGGGAAGAAGCCAGACATAACAGGTTATGTACCCTGCAATTCCATTCATATCAACTCCTAAGATGGGAATCTGGAGGACAGGCAAGGATGGACTGCAGAAGGGCAGAAGGGAACTTTTGAGAGGTGAAGGAAATGCCCCATATCTTGATTAGGGTGAGAGTTATGTAGGTTTATACATTTATCAAAACTCGTTCAACTATGTACTTAAAATCTGTAGGTTTTAGTGTATTTAAACTATATCTCAATTTTTTAAATGTATGTGGCCGGGTGAGGTGGCCCATGCCTATAATCCCAGCACTTTGGGAGGCCAAGGCAGGCGGATCACCTGAGGTCAGGAGGTCAAGACCAGCCTGGCAAAACCTCATCTCTACTAAAATACCAAATTAGCCAGGCATGCAGGTGGGTGCCTGTAATCCCAGCTACTTGGGAGGTTGAGGGAGGAGAATCGCTTGAACCCAGGAGGCAGAGGTTTCAGTGAGCCTGGATTGCACCACTGCACTTCAGCCTGGGCAATAGAGCGAGACGCCATCTCAAAAAAAAAAAAGTACACACACACACACACACACACACACACACAGACTCTCTTTTTAATTTTTTTTTTGTAGAGATAGGGTCTCACTATGTTGCCCAGGATGGTCTCAAACTCCTGTTCTCAAGCAGCCCTCTTGCCTTGGCCTCCCAAAGTGCTAGGATTCAGCCAGTTGTGGTGGCTTACGCTTGTAATCCCAGCACTTTGGGAGGCCGAGGCGGGTGGATCACGAGGTCAGGAGATCGAGACCAGCCTGGCCAACATGGTGAAACCCCATCTCTACTAAAATACAAAAAACTAGCCGGGCATGGTGTTGGGCGCCTGTACTCCCAGCTACTCGGGAGGCTGAGGCAGGGGAATCGCTTGAACCCGGGAGGCAGAGATTGCAGCAAGCCGAGATCGCGCCACTGCACTCCAGCCTGGCGACAGAGCAAGACTCTGTCTCAAAAAAAAAAAAAAAAAGTGCTAGGATTCTGGGTGTGAGCCTATGTACACTTTCAGTTGGGGGATGATTTTGCCTCCTAGGGACATTTGGCAATGTCTGGAGACATTTTTGGTTGTCACTACAGGGGTTGGGAGAGGGCTGCTACTGGCATCTAATGTGTAGAGGCCAGGAATGTTGCTAAATATCCTACAACTTACAGTACAACCCACAACAAAGAATCATCTGGTTCAAAATGTCAATGGAGCAGTGGCTCATGCCTGTAATCCCAACACTTTGGGAGGCCGAGGTGGGCAGTTCACTTGAGGTCAGGAGTTCAAGACCAGCCTGGCCAGCATGGTGAAACCTCCTCTCTACAAAAAATACAAAAATTAGCCAGGCATGGTGGTGTGCACCTGAAATCCTAGCTACTTGGGAGGCTGAGGCAAGAGAATCACTTGAACCCGGAGGTGGAGGTTGCAGTGAGCCGAGATCATGCCATTGCACTCCAGCCTGGGTGACAGAGTAAGTGAGACTGTCTCAAAAAAAAAAAAAAAAAGCAATGGAGCAGAGGTTGCCTAGCCATAAGTTTAGCATCATGCGTGTATCATCTTACCGATCTTTGATATTCCCTGTACTGGAAGCCTCTTTTTGTTTGATTTCCAGGAATAATGAAATCAGTAGCCTTAGTCTATGCTCACAGACACCAAGGTCTTCCGTGTGCTGCAAAGCAGCCATCTTAACTTCCAGAGCAGAAGCTGTATTTCACTGCACATTCGTAGAAACTGAGACTAATCTTCGTTGCCTGTTGTGCTTGGATAGTTTGGCGTTTGGTCAGAGGGAGTGCAACAGAAGATAAAGCTAGACGAGATTGCGACTATTTTCTAAGGAGCCAGGGACGTTATGAATCACCAGAAGATAAATGCTGGAGGTGAACATTTCCTCCTCCAACATTTTTAAGTAGAGAAATGAGACAGTCAAGCTTAAGAGGAAGATGAGTTTGTAGAAGATAAGCTAGAAATAGCAGTCTTGGGTCAGGTGTATTAGCTCATGTCTGTTTAATCCCAGCACTTTGGGAGGCCAAGGCAGGAGGCTTGCGTGAGGCCAGGAGTTGGAGACCAGACTGGGCCACAAAGTGAGACCTTGTATTTACAAAAATTTTTTTAAAGATTTTAAAAAATTGGCCAGGCGTGGCGATGCATGCCTGTGGTCCCAGCTATAGTACATGGGAGGATCCGTTGAGCCCAGGAGGTCAAGGCTAGGGTCAGCTGTGTTCATGCCACTGTACTCCAGCCTGGGTGACACAGGAAGATTGTCTCAAAAGAAAGAAAAGAAAAGAAAAATAAGGGCCGGGCACGGTGGCTGATGCCTGTAATCCTAGCATTTTGGGAGGCCGAGGCGGGCAGATCACCTGAGGTCAGGAGTTCAAGACCAGCCTGGCCAACATGGTGAAACCACGTCTCTACTAAACATACAAATTAGCCAGGAGTGGTGGTGCACATCTGTAAGACCAGCTACTCGGGAGGCTGAAGCAGGAGAATCGCTTTTACCTGGCAGGCAGACGTTGCAGTGAGGCGAGATCACACCACTGCACTCCAGCCTGGTCAAGAGAGCAAGACTCTGTCTCAGAAAAAAAAAAAAAAAAAAGAAGAGAGAGAGAGAGACAGGAGCCAGTGGGGACAGGTAGCCAGCCGTGGTGGTCCAGGCACTAGCTGACGAGATACCCAGCCCTACTCCCATCCCAGAAACCTTATCTGGCACTTTATTTCCCAAATACCAATCCCAGTCATCTCTGCCTAGCATTCTTGACTATTTTTGAACGGCTTCTTAGCATTTGAGGTGTAAATATCACTTCATTCACTAAATTTTAAGCTCTTTGAGAGCAGGGATAGTGCCTTACTACTTTTTAATTTCTCTCAGATTATCAGAGGGATTGTTGACATGTACATTTGTGTCCTAACAGTGACACCAAAATTCCTCCTGGGGAGGAAACTGTCTTTGCATAGGAAAATCACTGGTAAATGTTTTAAGAAAAGATGAGACCCAGAGCCCAGGTCAGCCTGCATCAAAGCAGTAAGAGAATGAGCCCAAATGCTCTGCATTTTATTTATTTATTTTTTATTTTATTTTATTTTATTTTATTGAGGTGGAGTCTCGCTTTGTCATCTAGGTTGGAGTGCAGTGGCGCGATCTCGGCTCACTGCAACCTCCGCCTCCAAGGTTCGAGTGATTCTCCTGCCTCAGCCTCCCGAGTAGCTGGAACTACAGGTACCTGCCACCATGCCCAGCTAATTTTTGTATTTTTAGTAGAGACAGGGTTTCATTATATTGGCCAGGCTGGTCTCAAACTCCTGACCTCAAATGATCCACCCCCCTTTGCCTCCCAAAGTGCTGGGATTACAGGCATGAGCTACCATGCCTGGCCTGTTTTTATTTTATTTTATTTTATTATTTATTATTCATTTATCTATTTATTTATTTATTTTGGGATGGAGTCTCACTCTGTTTTCCAGGCTGGAGTGCAGTGGCGCAATCTCGGCTCACTGCAAGCTCTGCCTCCCGGGTTCACGCCATTCTCAGCCTCCCAAGTAGCTGGGACTACAGGCACCCGCCACCACGCCCGGCTGATTTTTTGTATTTTTAGTAGAGACAGGGTTTCACCATGTTAGCCACGATGGTCTCGATTTCTGACCTCGTGATCCGCCCGCCTCACCCTCCCAAAGTGTTGGGATTACAGGCGTGAGCCACCGCGCCTGGCCTATTTTTATTTGTTTATTTTTTGAGACGGAGTCTCACTCTGTTGCCCAGGCTAGAGTACAGTGGCATGATCTTGGCTCGCTGCAGCCTCCATGTCCCAGGTTCCAGCGATTCTCCTGCCTCGGCCTCCCGGGTATCTGGGATTCAGGCACGCGCTACCACACGTGGCTAATTTTTGTATTTTTAGTAGAGACGGGGTTTCACCATGTTGGATAGGCTGGTCTCGAACTCCTGACCTCAGGTGATCTGCCCATCTCGGCCTCCCAAAGTGCTGGCATTACAGGTGACAGCCACCATGCCCAGCCATAAATGGTTGCCAGGGGCTGGGGTGTGGGGAGAAGAATGAGGAGTGACTGCTTTTTTTTTTTTTTGAGATGGAGTTTCGCTCTTGTTGCCCAGACTGGAGTGCAATGGCACAATCTCGGCTCACTGCAACCTTTGCCTCCTGGGTTCAAGCGATTCTCCTGCCTCAGCCTCCCTAGTAGCTGGGATTACAGGTGCCCACCAGCACTCCCAGCTAATTTTTTGTATTTTTAGGAGAGACAGGGTTTCACTATGTTGCCCAGGCTGGTCTCGAACTCCTGACCTCAGGTGATCCACCCACCTCAGCCTCCCAAAGTGCTGGGATTACAGGGCGTGAGTCACCATGCCCAGCTGCTTTTTTTTTTTTTTTTTTTTAAATGGAGTCTTGCTCTGTTGCTCAGGCTGGAGTGCAGTGGTGTGATCTAGGCTCACTGCAACCTCTGCCTTCCTGGTTCAAGAAATCCTCCCACCTCAGTCTCCCAAGTAGCTGGGATCACAGGCGTGCGCCACCACACCTGGCTAATTTTGTATTTTTAGTAGAGCAAGTTCTGTGGGTTCTAACTCCAATTTGCTGTGTTGGCCAGGCTGGTCTAAAACTCCTGACCTCGAGAGATCCTCCCGCCTCGACCTCCCAAAGTGCTGGGATTACAGGCGTGAGCCACCACACCCAGCATGCATTTTAAAAATGAACCAAAAATTTAGAATTGGAAGAGAAAGAGAGGAGAGAGCAGAGAGGAAGGCTGAGCCATGTGTAAGGAAGCTGGAGCCTGAACGGTGGAAATGGCAGAGGACTTTTGGAGAAAAAACACTGACACTGAATTGAAAGCTGCTCACGTTTCTACGATGTAAATCCCTGCATCTTCCCAACTGTCCTACAGAGATCTCTACATGTATAGAAACCTTGTGTGAGCAGTTGGTTTAGTGACAAGTGGCAAGGGTATGTTTCACATCTCAGTCTGTGCTCTTGGATAAGGAACTACACCCATGGGATGGGGGGAGAGTCCCTCAAGTAAACCAGTTCATGGGAACCAGAAGCAACCATGAGAACATATGATCCTATGATCCTGCAAAGAAGTCTTCTTTTTTTTTTTTTTTTTTTTCTGAGACAGAGTCTCGCTCTGTTGCCCAGGTTGGAGTGCAATGGTGTGATCTCGGCTCACTGCAACCTCCGCCTCCCAGGTTCAAGCAATTCTCCTGCCTCAGTTTCCTGAATAGGGGGCATTACAGGCGCCTGCCACCACACCTGGCTAATTTTTGTATTTTTAGTAAAGATGGGGTTTCACCACGTTGGTCAGGCTGATCTCGAATTCCTGACCTCAGTGATCCACCCACCTTGTCCTACAAAAGTTCTGGAATTACAGGCGTGAGCCACTGCGTCCGGCCTCAAAGAAGTCTTTCGAACAGGGTTTAAGTAACAGTGTCTAGATCTATAAGGGCCAAAGAAGCCCCCTGCTGTACCTAAACAATATTTATATAGCTGCCTCTGGGGTTCTCTAAAACTGAGTTGGGGCCAGGCGAGGTGGCTCACGCCTGTAATCCCAGCACTTTGGGAGGCCGAGGCCGGAGGATCACGAGGTCAGGAGATTGAGACCATCCTGGCTAACACAGTGAAACCCCGTCTCTACTAAAAATACAAAAAAAATTGGCCGGGTGTTGTGGCGGGTGCCTGCAGTCCCAGCTACTTGGGAAGCTGAGGCAGGAGAATGGCATGAACCCGGGAGGCGGAGCTTGCAGTGAGCCAAGATCACACCACTGCACTCCAGCCTGGGCTACAGAGCAAGACTCCGTCTCAAAAAATAATAAAAAACTGAGTTGCTTCAATATGGGAGGTACGCTAATGGGAGGAGGTAGCTGGGTTCCTCCCAGTCCAGTAGAACACTGGCTCATCTACAGAGGGAGACACATTGTTTGAAACAGGATGGAGAGTATTGGAGAGGCAGTCAAACATCGCGCAGAGAAGCACTCTTTGTCAGTGAATGGTCAGGGCCTTGTAGGGTAACAAGACATGCTTCCTGAAACAGTTAGAGCTATTTTTGGCCCACCCTTCTCCATCTTAGAAATACTTTTTTCTGAGAGGCTGAGGCAGGAAGATTGCTCGAGGGCAGGAGTTGGAGGCCTCAGTGAGCTATGACAGCTTCAATACACTCTAGCCAAGACAACAGAGTAAGACACTGTCTTTAAAAATAACAAACAGCCGGGCATGGTGCCGGTAATCCCAGCCGCCTCCCCTTGGCAGGAAACGGCACCGCCGAATATCCAGTTGCTTCAGCCAAAACCTGGCATGTTTGATTTCTTCCCTTGCCTCCCTTACCATATTCATCTGTCAGCAAGTTCTGTGGGTTCTAACTCCAATTATAACCCTAATATGTCCGCTTCTGTCATTTCCAACTCTACAACCTGGGTCCCGGCCATCATCAACACCTGTTGTACTAGTTTAATAGCTCCTAACACCAGGTGTGGTGGCTCACACCTGTAATCCCAGCACTTTGGGAAGCCAAAGTGGGCGGATCACGAGGCCAAGAGATCGAGACCATCCTGGCCAACATGGTGAAACCCCGTCTCTACTAAAAATCCAAAAATTAGCTGGGCGTGGTGGCATGTGCCTGTAGTGCCAGCTACTCAGGAAGCTGAGGCAGGAGAATCACTTGAACCCGGGAGGCAGAGGTTGCAGTGAGCCAAGATCATGCCACTGCACTCCAGCCTGGGCGATAGAGGGAGACTCTGTCTCAAAATCAAAAACAAAAAAAAAAAAAACAAAGGCTGGGCTCAGTGGCTCATGTCTGTAATCCCAGCACTTTGGTAGGCCAAGGCGGGTGGATCATGAAGTTAGGAGTTCAAGACCAGCCTGGCTGAGATGGTGAAACCCCATCTCTACTAAAAATACAAAAATTAGCCAGGCGTGGTGGTGGGCGCCTGTAATCCCAGCTACTCAGGAGGCTGAGGCAGGAGAATCACTTGAACCCGGGAGCTGGAGGTTGCAGTGAGCCGAGATTGTGCCACTGCACTCCAGCCTGGGCGACAGAGCAAGACTCCATCTCAAAAAAAAAAAAAAAAAAAAAGCTCCGGCTGGGCGTGGTTGCTCACACCTGTAATCCCAGCACTTTGCGAGGCCGAGGCGGGTGGATCACGAGGTCAGGAGATGGAGACCATCCTGGCTAACATGGTGAAACCCCGTCTCTACTAAAAATACAAAAAATTAGCTGGGCGTGCTCGCAGGCGCCTGTAGTCCCAGCTACTCTGGAGGCTGAGGCAGGAGAATGGTGTGAACCCGAGAGGCAGAGTTTGCAGTGAGTCAAGATCGCGCCACTGCACTCCAGCCTGGGTGACAGAGTGAAACTCTGTCTCAAAAAAAAAGCTCCTAACTAGACCCCTGCTTCTTCTCTAGCTCCCTATTATTCAGATTCCACCCAGTAGCCAGAAGGTCTTTCCACACCAGAAGTCAGGTCATGACCCTCCTCTGCATGAACTCCTTAAATGGCATTCCATCATACTTAGACTAAAATCCCAAGTCCTTATGGTATATTGGTAGTCTATTACTGCATAATAAATTGGCCTGGAATTTGGTGCCGTAAACAATACAAATCTGGGCCAGGCGTGATGGCTCATGCCTGTAAACCCAGCACTTTGGGAGGCTGAGGCAGATGGATTATCTGAGGTCAGGAGTTCCAGACCACCTTGGCAAACATGATGAAACCCTGTCTCTACAAAAACTACAACAATTAGCTGGGCATGGTGGCACATGCCTGTAGTCCCAGCTACTTGGGAGGTTGAAGTTGGAGGATCATTTGGGCCCAGGAGGTGGAAGTTACAGTGAACCTAGATTGCGCCACTGCATTCCAGCCTGGGTGACAGAGCGAGACCCTGTCTCAAAAAAAATAAGTAAATAAATACATGTATCTTTGTTTCCTGACTTACAGGAAAAGCAAAGGAAAAAAAATTTAAAGAGAGAGAGTTTAAAAAAAACAATACACATCTATTATCTCAGACAGTTTCTGTGGGTCAGGAATCTGGGAGCAGCTCTGATGGCTAATCCTGGCTCTGGGGTCATGAGGTTAAAGTCAAGATCTCAGCCAGGGCTGCAGTCATTGGAAGGCTTGGCTGGGGCTAGGACACCCAAGGTGCCTCACTCACATGAAAAGTTAATGCTGGGTGTTGACAGGAGGCCTCAGTTCCCATGATGTGGACTCTCCACTGGGCTGTTTGAGTGTCCTCAGGACATGGCTTCTGGCTTCCCCCAGAGCAAATGATCCAAGCAAGAACAAGGAGGAGGCCTCAATGTCTCTTAGGATCTATCCCTGGAAGTCACAACCCATCATTTCTCTCTTTTTTTTTTTCTGAGACGGGGTCTCGCTCTGTCGCCCAGGCTGGAGTTCCCGGCTCACTGCAAGCTCCGCCTCCTGGGTTCATGCCATTCTCCTGCCTCAGCCTCCCGAGTAGCTGGGACTACAGGCACCCGCCACCACACCTGGACAATTTTTTTGTATTTTTAGTAGAGACGGGGTTTCACTGTTAGCCAGGATGGTCTCAATCTCCTGACCTCGTGATCTGCCCACCTGGGCCTCCCAAAGTGCTGGGATTACAGGCGTGAGCCACCATGCCCGGCCACACCCCATCATTTCTCTAATATCCTATCGGACACAGGATAGCCCTGTTCAATGTGGAGGGGGACCACACAGGGAGTTAACACCAAGAGGCAGGGATTGGCTGGACATGGTGGCTCATGCCTGTAATCCCAGCACTTTGGGAGGCCGAGGCGGGCGGATCACTTGAGATCAGGAGTTCGAGACCAGCCTGGCCAACATAGTGAAACCCCGTCTCTAATAAAAATACAAAAATTAGCTGGGTGGTAGTGTCGCGCACCTGTATTCCCAGCTACTTGGGAAGCTGAGGCAGGAGAATCGCTTGAAGCTGGGAGGCAGAGGTTGCAGTGAGCCGAGATTGCTCCACTGCACGCTAGCCTGGGTGACAGAGTGAGATTCTGTCTTCAAAAAACAAATAAATTAATAAAATAAGGCAGGGCTCACCGGAGGCCCTCGTGGAGTCAGCTGTCACATATGACCTGCAGGCTTTTCCTATGTTTTCATCCTTGCTTCCCACCACTCCTTGCCTCCAAGCTCAACACATTCCAGCCACACTGGCCTTCTCTCTTTTCCTGCCACATACCTGGTGCATTCCTTCTTCAGGACCTTTGCAGCAGCTATTCCCACAGCCAGAATGCCCTTCTCCAGGACATTTTCAGGATCAGAATGTCCCCTTCTCTGAGGGGACTCCCTCGACTCTCAACCTAACGTGCTCCCCGGTTTCCATCCTGCTTTTTGTTTTTTCGGAATATTGATCTCCGCCTGCTCCATTTTTTTGTTTGTTTATTTGTTCATTTTCAGTCTTCCTCTACTAAGATAAAAGCTTCATACGAGCAGGAAATTGTGTCTATTTTGGTCATTGTTGTTTTCCCAGCACTAAGAGCAGTGCCTGGCACATATTCATATAACTGACAGATGAGAGAATGAAGGGCTTTCCAAGGTCTGATGCAGTATCCCACAAGGACGTCCACGTACTTCTGACTTTGTGCTTTCTAAGCATTCTTTTGACTCAGCTTTTTGAGGGCCTTAAAACCAGCTAAGGGGTGTCCTAGGAGACACATATCAGTAATGATAATAATATCAGTAATAGTTAACCATTATGTAGGGCTTACTATGTACTACACACTGTTCTAAGTGCTTTATATAATAACTATCATCTCCATTTCAGAGATGAAAAAACTGAGGCCAGAGTCTTTTTTTTTAACCCTTTTCCTGTTTAGTAGAAAAAAGTGCAGCTCGCTGCCAGCCCTGATTTAATTCTACATAAACATGCTCTTTGAGGCTGAAGGAAATCTGATTGATTTTTTTTTTTTTTTTTTTGAGATGGAGTCTAGCTCTGTCACCCAGGCTGGAGTGCAGTGGCGCAATCTCGGCTCACTGCAACCTCCGCCTGCCAGGTTCAAGCGATTTTCCTGCCTCAGCCTCCCGAGTAGCTGGGATTACAGGCACCCGCCACCATGCCCAGCTGATTTTTGTATTTTTAGTAGAGAGGGAGTTTCACTACGTTGGCCAGGCTGTTCTTGAACTCCTGAACTTGTGATCTGCCTGCCTCGGCCTCCCAAAGTGCTGGGATTACAAGCGTGAGCCACCGTGCCCAGCCATCTGATTGATTTTCAATGTGAAAATAAAATATAAAAACTGTTCTTGGATTTATTTCTAAACAGAACTAATATCAGAACTGTCTGAATCATCCAAATCATCTATTTCAGAAAAATCAAATTCATCAAATGAATCTTTGGCCAACAACTGTTTGAGAACATGTTAACATCACTTGTAGGAATGCTATGTTTTCTAGGATTTGACATTTTCAGCGATCGAGGATTACTTTTTTTTTTTTTGAGATGGAGTTTCGCTCTTGTTGCCCGGGCTGGAGTGCAATGGTGCAATCTCAGCTTACCGCAACCTCCGCCTCCCAGGTTCAAGCGATTCTCCTGCCTCAGCCTCCCAAGTAGCTGGGATTACAGGCATGTGCCACCACGCCAGGCTAATTTTGTATTTTTAGTAGAGATGGGTTTTTTCCATGTTGGTCAGGCTGGTCTCGAACTCCCGACCTCAGGTGATCCGCCCACCTCAGCCTCCCAAAGTGCTGGGATTACAGGCATGAGCCACCGCGCCCGGCCAAGGATTACTATATTTTGTAGATGGAAATACCACTACTAAAACTAGAATGCTGTAAATAGAATGATGTCTTTTGTTTCTAATGTCAATATACTAGAGTGATATGAAAATAATAATAAAAATGAGATATTTCATTGCAACATTATCTCAGGGTAAACACTACAGCCGCAAGCATCAACAAGTATTCTCTGGGCAAACAGGAAAAGGGTTAAACAGCTTTGTTGAAATACAATCCACATACCATACAACTCACCCATTTAAAGTGTGCCAGTCTGGCCAGGTGCAGTGGCTCACATCTGTAATCCTAGCACTTTAGTAGGCCAAGGTGGGTGGATCGCATGAACTCAGGGGTTCAAGACCAGCCTGAGCAACATGGCAAAACCCCATCTCTACCAAAAATACCAAAAAACTAGCCAGGCATTGTGGTACACGCCTGAAGTCCCGGCTATTGGGAGGCTGAGGTGGGAGGATCGCTTGAGCCTGGGAGGCACAGGTGGCAGTGAGCCAAGGTTGTGCCACTGCACCCCGTCTCAAATAAAATAAAATAAAGTATACCAGTCAATGACACTTAGAATATTCACAAAATTGGGTAACCATCACCACAACCAATTTTAGAATGTTTGTGTCACCTCAAAAAAGAAACCCTGCACCCCTGAGCAGTCATTTCTATTTCCCCGTCACTGCCTCCCCCAGCCCAGGCCATCACTAGTCTACTTTCTGTCTTTGTGGATGTTTCTATTTATTTATTTATTTTTTTTTTTGAGACGGAGTTTCGTTCTTCTTGCCCATGCTGGAGTGCAATGGCGCAATCTCGGCTCACTGCAACCTCTGCCTCCCAGGTTCAAGCAATCCTCCTGCCTCAGCCTCCCAAGTAGCTGAGATTACAGGCATCCGCCACCATGCCTGGCTAATTTTTTGTATTTAGTAGAGACAGGGTTTTGCCATGTTGGTGAGGCTGGTCTCGAACTCCTGACCTCAGGTGATTCGCCTACCTCGGCCTCCCAAAGTGCTGGGATTACAGGCGTGAGATACCGTGCCCGGCCATGGATTTTTCTATTTAGGACATTTCATATAAATGGAATCATATACTATGTGGACTTTTGCACCTGGCTTCTGTCACTTAGCATGATGCTTTCAAGGTTCATCCATGTCATAACATGTATCAGCATTCCATTCCTCTTTAGGGCTGAATACTATTCTAGTATATGGATATATCACACTTGTTTTCCTGTTCATCAGTTAGTTGATGAACATTTAGATTGTTTCCTTTTTTTTTTTTTTTTTTTTTGGCTATTATGAGTAATGTTGCTATGAACATTCATGTAAGAGTTTTTGTGTGGACGTGTATTTTCCATTTTCCTGGGTAGATGCCTAGGAGTGGCACTGCTGGGTCATGTGGGTAAAGAGGTAGGTTCTTAACTGCTTCGCTATACCTCCTCCTGTAGTGAGGGAATTCGTCATCTATTCGGTTCATACATCAGTATTTATTTATTTATTTTATTTATTGAGAGGCAGTCTCGTTCTGTTGCCCAGGCTGGAGTGCAATGGCACAATCTCTGCCCACTGCAACCTCCGCCTCCCAGGTTCAAGCAATTCTCCTGTCTCAGCCTCCCGAGCAGCTGGGATTACAGGCAAATGCCACAACGCCCGGCTAATTTTTGTATTTTTAGTAGAGACGGGGTTTCGCCATGTTGGCCAGGCTGGTCTCGAACTCCTGACCCCAGGCGATTTGCCCACCTCAGCCTCCCTAGTAGCTGGGATTACAGGCGCCCGCCACCACTCCCAGCTAATTTTTGTATTTTTAGTGGAGACAGGGTTTCACCATGTTGGCCAGGCTGGTCTTGAATTCCTGACCTCAGGTGATTTGCCTGCCTTGGCCTCCCAAAGTGGTGGGATTACAGGAGTGAGCCTCCGCACCCGGCCTTTTTAATTTTTTTAGAGACAGAGTTTTGCTCTGTGGCTCAGGCCAGAATGCAGTGGCACAATTGTGGCTCCAATGTGTTCATACATTGGTCTTTATTTATTTATTTAGAGACGGACTCTCGCTGTGTCACCCAGACTGGAATGCAGGAGCACAATCTCGGCTCACTGCAATCTCCACCTCCTGGTTCAAATGATCCTCCCGCCTCAGCTTCCCAAGTAGCTGGGATTACAAGTGTGCACCACCACGTCCAGCTAATTTTTGTATTTTTAGTAGAGATGGGGGTTTCACCATGTTGACCAGGCTGGCTTGAACTCCTGACCTCAAGTGATCTGCCCTCCTCGGCCTCCCAAAGTGCTGGGATTAGAGGCATGAACTACCATGCCTGACATATTTTTGTTGTATTTTGTTTCGTTTTTGAGACAGGGTTTTGGCTCTGTCACTCAGGCTGGAGTGTAGTGACACAATTGCAGCTCCACGGCAGCCTCCAGCTCCTGGGCTCAAGCAATCCTCCCACCTCAGCCTCCCCAGTAACTGGGACTACAGGCAGGTGCCACTACACCTAGCTAATTTTTTTTATTCTTTTATTATTTATTTATTTTGAGACAAGGTCTTGCTCTGTTGCCCAGGCTGGAGTGCAGTGGCACAATTATGGCTCACTGCAGACTCAACTTTCCAGGCTCAAGTGATCCTCCTACCTCAGCCTCCCAAGTAGCTGGGATTACAGGTGCAAGCCACCACACTTGACTAACTCTTTTTTTAGTTTTTGTAAGAGGTGGGGTTTCGCCACATTGCCCAGGCTGGTCTCAAACTCCTGGCCTCAAGCCATATGCCCTCAGCCTCCCGAAGTGCTGGGATTACAGGCATGAGCCCTCGTGCCCAGCCTCATGCATCAGTCTTAAGATTCCTGGTTAGCACAGTTAGCACCTGCCTGACCCAATGGCCTGATCACTTCTGAGTATACTCAAATCTGAGAGGTGATGAGTTGCCCCGAGAAGGAAGATGCCCCCAGAGGAATAACTGTTGCCTGTTGCACTTCCTTATGGAAGGTCATTTCCCCATATGGTTATTCCTCCTTGTGTAAGGGGAGTGATGTGTTTGTATCAGCTCACGTGCAACTTTTTGCCCAGGATCCTTTCCTCAGCCTCCCCAGTAGCTGGGACTACAGGTGCCCATCACCGTGCCTGGCTAATTTTTGTATTTTCAGTAGAGATGGGATTTCGCCATTTTGGCCAGGTTGGTCTCCAATTCCTGATCTCAGGTGATCCGCCCACCTTAGCCTCACAAAGTGTTGGGATTACAGATGTGAGCCACCACACCTGGCCTCTGCTTAGCGTTTGACAGTCCCTTGCCAGGTTGGTGGTGTCAGATGTCCAAGTTGTCACTATTCCTTTTTGCCACTTTCTCCAGGTGAGGGGATGGGGTCAGGGGTGAGTTGGCACAGCAATGACTGTAAGCGATGTCAGCTAATAAATGGAGATGCTCTCTCTCTGGGAAAGCAGTCCTCTTGTGCTCAGGAAGAGATACCCTGTGGCTGAGCAGTTTGTCTAGGAAGAGAAGGCTGAGGGACACAAGTTGTTGCCTTGGTTTTGTTTTGATTTTATCATGGGGTGTGGTTAGCGTGTGGTTTAGAAACGAATGAACTTTATAACTCCTTGGGGCCAGGCGTGGTGGCTTACAGGCTGGGCACAGCGGCTCATGCCTGTAATCCCAAGACTTTGGGTGGCCAAGGTGGGCGGATCATCTGAGGTCAGGAGTTCGAGACCAGCCTGGCCAACATGGTGAAAACCCATCTCTACTAAAAAAAATACAAACATTATCCGGGCGTGGTGGCACACGCCTGTAATCCTGGCTACTCAGAAGGCTGAGGCAGGAGAATCGCTTGAACCTGGGAAGTGGAGGTTGCAGGGAGCTGAGATCGCACCACTGTACTCCAGCCTGGGCGACAGTGTGAGACTCAGTCTCAAAAAAAAAAAAGTAAATAAAGCTGGGCTCAGTGGCTCACGCCTGTAACCCCAGCACTTTGGGAGGCTTAGGTGGGCAGATCACAAGGTCAGGAGTTCAAGACCAGACTGACCAACATGGTGAAACTCCCCCCCATCTCTACTAAAAATACAAAAATTAGCCAGGCTTGGTGGCAGGCACCTGTGATCCCAGCTACTTGGGAGGCTGAGGCAGGAGAACTGCTTGAACCTGGGAGGTGGAGGTTGCAGTGAGCCGAGATCACGCCACTACACTCCAGCCTGGGCAACAGAATGAGAGTCCGTTTCAAAGAAAAAACAAAAACAAAAACAAAAAAAAGAAAAAATAGAACTCCTTGGATGTCTTTATTAGACTGAAGTTCAGATCTATTTGCCTTTCTAGTACTAAACCCTTGAATTCCCACACATTTTTTTTGAGTACTCACAGGGCTTTCTACCACTGACCTCTCTTCCTATTAAGACATCCCTGCAGATGTATCAACACCGTATCCATGTTCTGGAAGGCAGAAATGTGGGACAACCAGGATAAGTAGTTTTATTCAGTATCACACAATAAATGGACTGTGAGTGGACACTGAAAATAAACCCTAAGCTTGTCATTCATCACACCCTTTCCACAGTGGGAGACATTAGGCTGATTTCCATTGCTGTCTGAGTTTGCAAGAGGATAGGGCACATTATTTAGGGAGCAGATGCTTGCTTCACACACCCCTGGTGACCCCAGCCAATGTGAACATGCCATTCCAGCTTCCAGACCAAAAGGGAAAATTCGAGCTTAACTTGAAGGTACAGTATGCAACCTTGTTTTCTTTGTCCTTAATAAGCAACCTAGTTAGCCAGGCGTGGTAGCTCACGCCTATAATCCCAGCACTTTGGGAGGCTGAGGCGGGTGGATCATGAGGTCAGGAGTTCAAGACCAGCCTGGAAGACGGTGAAATCCCATCTCTACTAAAAATACATAAATTAGCCGGGCATGGTGGTGGGCACCTGTAATCCCAGCTACTCTGGAGGCTGAGGCAGAGAATTGCTTGAACCTGGGAGGCGGAGGTTGCAGTGAGCTGAGATTGCGCCACTGCACTCCAGCCTGGGTGACAGAGCAAGACTCCATCTCAAATAAATAAATACAACCAGGCTATTCAAGGTTGCAGAGGAACAACTTGGTCAAAGATGTTTTAAAATCTGTGGTCCACAAATGAGGGTAATGGTGACTCAGTGTCGGCGCTGAAACAAAATGTCAGAGAGATTTCTCCCGCCCTGCTCTTTAAAATTTTCATTCATCATGCTCTTGAAATGAGCCAGGCACAAGCATGAGCATCCAACAGATGATAAAGACCAAATTTATCTAGTTCGAAAAAAAACCCAAATTTTTAAAATATAAAAACATACACAACAGGCTTTTCTTCCTTCTTAGCATTGTAATACCAGCTGAACCTAGGAAAAAAATTATATTCCTAAAAAATAAACATTTGGCCGGGTGCAGTGGCTCATGCCTATAATTCCAGCATTTTGAGAGGCTGAGGCAGGAGGATCGCTGGAGCCCAGGAGTTGGACGTCTCTATTTATTTTAAAAATAAGGCCAGGTGCGGTGGCTTATGCCTGTAATCCCAGAACTTTGGGAAGCTGAGGTGGGTGGATCACGAGGTCAACAGATTGAGACCATCCTGGCCAACATGGTGAAACCCTGTCTCTACTAAAAATACAAAAATTAGCTGTGCGTGGCGACACATGCCTGTAATCCCAGCTATTCTGGAGGCTGAGGCACGAGAATCGCTTGAACCCCGGAGGCGGAGGTTGCAGTGAGCTAAGATTGCGCCACTACACTGTAGCCCAGACAGCAGAGTGAAACTCCATATCAAAAAAAAAAAAAAAAGGGCATCATGGATGCAAACTTTGAAGGTGGGAGAAATCTCTCCTACATTTTGTTCTAGTGCCAACACTGAATCACCATGACCCTCATTGTTTGAAATCAAGTCTATCTCCCCAGATGTTCTACCCTGGTCAGAGCCTGCAGACTTGGAACCCTGCTTGCTGCTGCCTTCCAGGGGCTGCTATTCCAAGGCAGCCCACCTCACTTGGTTATTTGTTGGGGCATGTAGAGAGAGAGGGTATTGGATACCAGCACTAGAGGAAGACAGGACGCTTGCTCACTCAGATGAAATCATGCACGTGGAGATACTTTTGAACTGCAAAGACTATCAAGAATACGCTTATAAAGCCTCCTCTAACAGCAGGAATGAGCTCCGTAAGGAAGGCAGCTTTATTTAAACATGATTTCCAGATCCCTGCCTTGATTTTCACCACAAAAAGTTGGAGTAATTGATGGCTGTTTGTAAAACCCCTGTTCTATCTTTGGATGACAGAAGCTTTGTGCAAGTGTGTGATATATTATCAGCTGTTATTCCACCTGGCCTTCTGCAGCCTCCTCTTGAATTGCGGGCTGCTTGGTTAGTTTTCATTGCAATCCTGTCCTTTCTTCTTGTGTCCATAGAAACTACTAGTAATGCAGGGGTTTGTCCTTTCATGGGGCTTCTAAGATTCTCACAGCTCTTTTTTTTTTTTTTTTAGATGGAGTTTCGCTCTTGTTGTCCAGGCTGGAGTGCAGTGGTGCAATCTCAGCTTATTGCAACCTCCGCCTCCCAGGTTCAGGCAATTCTCCTGCCTCAGCCTCCCAAGTAGCTGGGATTACAGGCACCCTCCACCATGCCTGGCTAGTTTTGTATTTTTAGTAGAAATGGGGTTTCACCATGTTGGTCAGGCTGGTCTTGAACTCCTGACCTCAGGTGATCCGCCTGCCTTGGCCTCCCAAAGTGGCATAATAAGCCACTGCCCCTAGCCAAGGTTTCCCTTTCCGTTTGAATGCTGTTTACGATGTGTCCCACTAAGAGGGACCTTGCTCAGGATTTGGTTGTAGGGGACCAGAGACCTCATACTTTGGTAAACTGGCTGGCCAGTAATCCTGCAGAAATAGTTTGTCTCCAACATGAAAAGACATGTACTGAAAACCCAGCTTTGCTGTCAAAGAGCATGCATTAAATGTGCTTCTTTAGTGTCTTTTATTTTTTATTTATTTATATTTATTTATTTATTTGAGATGGAGTCTCGCTCTGTTGCCCAGGCTGGAGTGCGGTGGCGCTATCTCAGCTCACCGCAAGCTCCTCCTCCCGGGTTCACACTATTCTCCTGCCTCAGCCTCCCAAGTAGCTAAGACTACAGGTGCCCGCCACCACGCCTGGCTAATTTTTTGTATTTTTAGTAGAGATGAGATTTCACCATGTTAGCTAGGATGGTCTCGATCTCCTGACCTCTTGATCCGCCTGCCTCGGCCTCCCAAAGTGCTGGGATTATAGGCGTGAGCCACTGCGCCCGGCCACTTTAGTGTGTTTTAGAGTTGTATTGTATCATATCGTATGGTATCGTATTGTTGAGACGGAGTCTTGCTCTTGTTGCCCAGGCTGGAGTGCAGTGGTGCGATCTCGGCTCACTGCAACCTTGGCCTCCTGGGTTCAAGCTTTTCCTGCCACAGCCTCCTGAGTAGCTGGGATTACAGGCACATGCCACAATGCCCGGCTAATTTTTGTACTTTTAGTAGAGGTGGGGTTTTGCCATGTTGGCCACGCTGGTCTCAAACTCCTGACCTTAGGTGATCTGTCCGCCTCGGCCTCCCAAAGTGCTGGGATTACCGGCGTGAGCCACCACGCCCAGCCTATTTATTTATTTTTAAAGGCTAGTCAAGTGAAGCAGTGGGATTGGAGAAGGAACATAAAAATCTCTGATTGTGATCAACTAGCTGTAAACACCACTGCACTGGGACCAGCCAGGAAATTGGTTGAAACGTGTTAGAAAGTTGTTTTTTTTTTTTTTTTTTTTTAGACGGAGTCTCGCTCTGTCGCCCAGGCTGGAGTGCAGTGGCGCCATCGCGGCTCACTACAAGCTCCGCCTCCCGGGTTCCCGCCATTCTCCTGCCTCAGCCTCCAGAGTAGCTGGGATTACAGGCACCCACCACTATGCCCGGCTAATTTTTTGTATTTTTAGTAGAGACGGGGTTTCACCATGTTTGCCAGGACAGTCTCGATCTCCTGACTTTGTGATCCGCCCACCTCGGCCTCCCAAAGTGCTGGGATTACAGGCGTGAGCCACCGCGCCCGGCCGAGAAAGTTTCTAATGTGTTTGATGCAGTTTAATACTTCAGTGTTCTTACAGCTACTGAGGCAGTAGGTGTGGGGGTTACAAGCTGTGGCTAGTCAGACAGACCCAAGTTTGAATTCTAGATCTGATACTTAACTGACAAAGGGACTTCTTTCTAAGCCTCAGTTTCCTTGTCTGTAGAATTTGAATAATAATGGAACTTTCTCGTTGGCTTGTTAAATGAGATAATGAACAGAAGATGTGGAGGAAGTGGTCAGCAAAAGGTAGATGAGGTTGTTGTGATGATTAGTTAAATCCAGAGCTAAAAAAGACAGGGAAATGGCCGGGCGCGGTGGCTCACGCCTGTAATCCCAGCACTTTGGGAGGCTAAAGTGGGTGGATCACGAGGTCAGGAATTTTGAGACCAGCCTGGCCAACATGGTGAAACCCCGTCTCTACAAAAATACAAAAATTAGCGAGGCATGGTGGTGGCCGCCTGTAATCCCAGCTACTAGGGAGGCTGAGGCAGGAGAATGCGGGAGGCAGAGGTTGCAGTGAGCTGAGATAGCGCCACTGCACTCCAGCCTGGATGACAAAGCAAGACTCCATCTCAAAAAAAAAAAAAAAAAAGACATAAAGAGGTATACAGTGAAAAATATGTCACTCTCCCACCCCTGTCCCCTACCTCTTAGGTTTCCTACTCTGAGGCAACTAATATATGAGTATCCTCCCAGAAATTCTCTTTAACTTAAAAAACTACCTCCAAGGGAAATTCATGTTGAAGAGCACCGCGATGGGAGCATTCTCACAAATATTTTGCTAAGTATTAGGCAGAACAGTGTGATAATAAAGACAGCTGCCTGTGTGGTCTTGTTGGACCCTGAGTTTAGGGAGTATTTTGACAACATATTTAGTTCTCTGCAGCCTGAGCCAGACTGGATGAAATCTTTCTAGCTATATTAAGACACATGGGCTCAGAAAAGCAATATGATTCAGAAGCAGAATTTACAGCTTCCAAAGCAGAGAGCCCCTCTCCAGGAGCCGCCTCGCTTCATTTTCATGAAGGATATCAGGGCGGGGCGAGCCACACTGGGCTATCTGAACCGTGGACTGTGGTCTCATTCCCGGCATTCCCCATTTGCCAAGCCCACATTGCCGACATTCCCCTAGGGTTTAGATGCTTTTCTTCCCTCCTGGACAGACATACTTGGGGTCACATAGCTTTGCCTTCAGCTGCTAGAGAGTCCCAAGGACAGTGTGGAAGAGACAATGATCAGAGGCTATGTGAAAAGAGCAAGGATTCCTTCCTGCATTCTCCCCCTGGCTGCTGGAGTCCAGCTTCTGTTCTGTAAAATGTACAGATCTTATATTTATCTATGATCGACTTGACAAATTTAAACTTGTTGAAGTCCTAGGCACACCTGTTTATTGGATAAACAGGGCTATTTGTGCCACACTGTTAATAGGGTAACTATGTTTATTTATTTATTTATTTTTCGAGACAGGGTCTCACTTTGTCACCCAGGCTGGAGTCCAGTGACATGATCTCGGCTCGCTGAAACCTCCGCCTCCCGGGCTCAAATGATCCTCCTACTTTAGCCTCCCAAGTAGCTAGGACCACAGGCACCACCATGCCTGGCTAATTTTTCTACTTTTTGTAGAGACAGGGTTTCGCCATGTTGCCCAGGCTGGTCTCAAACTCCTGGGCTCAAGCGATCCTCCTACCTCAGCCTCCCAAAGTGCTGGGATTACAGGCATGAGCCACCACATCTGGCCACTATGTATTATTATAGATTTACAGAGCTTAGATATAATATATTAAATATATTTAGAGAGCTTAGAGAGTTCACTGCCTTGCCTCCGACCTTATGCCAAAAAAACAGGTACCTAATCACCGCAACTGAAAGATATTCTGCAGCCTCAGTAACACATTCCAGTATTTAACTCACGTCAAAAAGGTCCCACTTGATCTAACCTGAATTTGCTAAGCTAGAATTTGTCTGGTTTCCAATAAATAGGGAAAGCAACAGTGGTTGTCTTTCATCACAGTTTGTACTTTAAGATGTTCACTAAGCCTTTGTCCCTTTAAAACTAAATGAAAGCACGTTCAAATTCTTTCATCTTCTATTTGTGTTTAATTTCTTTCTTTCTTTCTTTTTTTTTTTTTTTTTTTTTTTGAGACGGAGTCTCACTGTGTCACCCAGGCTGGAGTGCAGTGGCATGGTCTCAGCTCACTGCAAACTCCGCCTCCCGGGTCCAAGCAATTCTCATGCCTCAGCCTCCCAAGTAGCTGGGATTACACACGCGCACCACCACACCTGGCTAATTTTCGTATTTTTAGTAGATACAGGGTTTCGCCATGTTGGCCAGGCTGATCTCAAACTCCTGGCCTCAAGTGATCCGCCCACCTCAGCCTCCAAAAGTGCTGGGATTACAGGCGTGAGCCACTGTGCCCGGCCTCTATTTGTGTTCAATTTCTAACTCCTCAGTTACACGGAGGCCTGTGGTTCAGGCCCCTCCTTTCATGGCCTCCAAACCAGGACGGAATCTGGTGAAGAATTTTCTCTGCACAGAATATCAGGAAGGATCCCTCCTGTCTTTCACTCTATTTTCACTTCCCTTGCATTTGGAGCGGCTTCCCTGATTCATCTTCAGCCTGGGTGTACGTAAGCGCAGCTATATAAAGCAAAAGGTTTTCCCCATCTGACACAGCTAAATATCAGAGAGAATGAGTAATCCGTTCTGGTTGCTAGGCAGTTCTGGTATTTATATTGATCTTAGCTCAGGATACTTATAGAGATTTAATTTTCCTAAAGACCAAATGCTCATGTTAATTTGGGAGAGGATGGAGATTTGATTTCTTGAGCAGGGCCAAAGATTCAGGAACGGGTTGATTGTTAGCCCCAGAGAAGCTGCCAGCAGAACTTGGAAGCAAGTTGCTTGATTTCTTTGGAGCTCAGAACAGAGGCAGTATTGGTAAACTTCCGGGGGCTTTGTGACTGAGTGAAGTCTCATAAAACACTCAGCTAGGCCAAAAAAGAGAAAGGATTGGAAAAGCAGAAGCATTAGAATTGATATGCAAGCACTCCTATCCTGTTTGCAAATGAAACAAGCCTCTAGAAAGCAGGAAAATGGACATTATCAATTATTTCTCACACACCTTACATTATTATAGATGAGGACTCTGAGGTTTGCAGAAGTTAGTTGAGAAATTATGCCAAGTGTCCAGCACAGGGCCCGAAAACATAGTCAGTATTCTGTACGAGTTAGTTCTCCTCCTAATTTAATTGCTTGTAATAAGAAGGGTTAAAGACAGGCTTAATAGAGTGGACATTCTAGTTGCCAATTAAAACCCAGGCCGGGCACGGTGGCTCACGCCTGTAAATCCCAGCACTTTGGGAGGCCGAGGCGGGTGGATGACGAGCTCAGGAGATGAAGACCATCCTGGCTAACACGGTGAAACCCCGTCTCTACTAAAAATACAAAAAATTAGCCGGGCGTGGTGGCAGGTGCCTGTAGTCCCAGCTATTCGGGAGGCTGAGGCAGGAGAATGGCGTGAACCTGGGAGGCGGAGCTTGCAGTGAGCTGAGATTGCGCCATTGCACTCCAGCCTGGGCGACACAGCGAGACTCCATCTCAAAAAAAAAAAAAAAAAAAAAAACCCTTAGCTGTATTGTCATATAAAACACAGCCAGTAAACAGTGTCTGTTACCACCAAAACTATTGGTTTTCATTATGCCACGTTACTTCACCTTCTCCTGTGGTCAGATTGCTCGGAGAGGGGGTTGTTCCCGGTGACAGCCTGGTTCAGGGTGCCCAGATGCCTTGGGGGTGGGGGCTTGGGGCAGGCTTGCATCCTTGCAACCAATCTTGTTCCTCTAGGTTCTAACTGGCAATTATCTTACTGTCATGATCCAGACATACAATAATAATAGCAGTAGTAGTAGTAGCTTACTTTTTTTTCATTTGAGACTGAGTCTCGCTCTGTTGCCCAGGCTGTAGTGCAACGGTGCAATCTCGGCTCACTGCAATCTCCACCTTCCGGGTTCAAGCAATTCTCCTGCCTCAGCCTCCCAAGTAGCTGGGATTACAGGTGCCTGCCACCACGCATGGCTAATTTTTGTATTTTTAGTAGAGACAGGGTTTCATCATGTTGGCCAGGCTGGTCTCGAACTCCTGCCCTCAAGTGATCCGCCCACCTCGGCCTCCTCCCAAAGTGCTGGGATTACAGGCATGAGCCACTGTGCCCAGCTGTAGCTTACATTTAAGAGCTTGCTGAGGGTTAGACTCTGAGCTAAACACACTGTGTGCATTATTTCATTTTTGCTCCTAAGACAAAATGTCCATACATTCAGGATCCTAACCAGAGAGGAAGACATCAGACTTTGCCACTGAGCAATCTAAGTCTGAAAATGTTTTAGAAGTGAAAAGAGAATAAATTCCACAACTTTCTGCCCTTGAGCCATAAAACCAAAAAAGAGTCTAGTAGAAAGGGAAGATATGTTTCATAGAAGGCAGAGAAAATGCAGCTTCTGAGTTTATTAAGTAAATGGGAAAACATTATTTCTGTTCTTTTGTAACCACAAAGAATTGAAACTTGTGGTTGGCCGGGCGCAGTGGCTCACGCATGTAATCCCAGCACTTTGGGAGGCCAAGGCCGGCGGATCACGAGGTCAGGAGATCAAGACCATCCTGGCTACAACGGTGAAACCCCGTCTCTACTAAAAATACAAAAAAATTAGCCGGGCGTGGTGGTGGGCGCCTGTAATCCCAGCTACTCGGGAGGCTGAGGCAGGAGAATGGCTTGAACCCAGGAGGCGGAGCTTACGGTGAGCCAAGATCGCGCCACTGCACTCCAGCCTGGGTGACAGAGCGAGACTCGGTCTCAAAAAAAAAAGAAAGAAAAGAAACTTGTGGTTAACAAAGATTTAGGGGTTGGCGGGGGAGGGAGAGAGCAGTCTTGTTGGGTCGTGAATTCTGTTTTGGTTCCAGGGAAATAGGGTTTCCATTACATATGGTGCAACAGGATATTTCCTCCACGCTCCATCAAACAACGTTTCCTGGCACTTCTAGTGCGGCGAGTCCGGGCAGCAAGGTCGAATCCATTTTTGGAGCCAAAGGACTGCATTCCTTTACAGTTAGTTAGTTCTACAACCACCTCTGAGGAAATGCCTGCCTGTCTCGAGTGACATCTAATGGCAACCAAGGGAAGTACCCGATTTTCCAGCCTAGGTAAGGATCACCTACAAATGCTGCACTCTTTGTCACAACAGAAGCCGCTTGATCCTTTCCCTCACTAATTACCCTGTGGTTGATGGCAACACGTAGGGCTGACAACATGAGCAAGTAGAAGTTATTCCACTTGCTAATTAAAACCGTGAAGTATGCTTTCATGTAAAATGTGAAACCACCGAGTTACATTTGAATGTTCCCAAATCCTGGCCTCGGCAGTGATCGTCCTGGGTAAGTCACTTGTCCACCAGGGGTACACCTGCTTAGCTACAGGCTGGAGTGGCATGTTTTCTCTGTAAAGGGGCCCTAAGACATTTTTTTTCTTTCTTTCTTTCTTTTTTTTTAAGACGGAGTCTCACTGCGTTGCCCAGGCTGGAGTGCAGTGGTGCGATCTCGGCTCACTGCAGCTCCTCCTCCCAGGTTCAAGTGATTCTCCTGCCTCAGCCTCCCGAGTAGCAGGGATTACAGGGGCCTGCCACCATATCCAGCTAATTTTTGTATTTTTAGTAGAGACGGGGTTTTACCATGTTGATCAGGCTGATCTCGAACTCCTGATCTTGTGATCTGCCCACTTCGGCCTCCCAAAGTGCTAGGATTACAGGTGTGAGCCACCGCTCCGGACCATTATTTTTTCTTTTCTTTTCTTTTCTTTTTTTGTGAGACAGAGTTTCATTCTTGTTGCCCAGGCTGGAGTGCAGTGGCGCCATCTCGGCTTACCGCAACCTCCGCATCCCGGGTTCAAGTGATTCTCCTGCTTCAGCCTCCCGAGTAGCTGGGATTACAGGCATGTGCCACCACACCCGGCTAATTTTGTATTTTTAGTAGAGACGGGGTTTCTCCACATTGGCGAGGCTGGTCTCGAACTCCTGACCTCAGGTGACCTGCCTGCCTTGGCCTCCCAAAGTGCTGGGATTACAGGTGTGAGCCACTGTGCCCGGCCTGCCATTATTTTTTCTATAAAGCTTTAAGGCACTGGGCACAGTGGCTCACACCTGTAATCTCAACACTTTGGGAAGCCAAGGTGGGCAGATCCCTTGAGCCCAGGAGTTCAAGACCAGTCTGGGCAACATGGAGAAACCCAGTCTCTACTAAAAATACAAAAATTAGCAGGGTGTGGTGTGGTGGTGCCCACCTGTAGTCCCAGCTACTAAGGAGGGTAAGGCAGGTGACAGAGGGAGACCCTGTCTCAAAAAAAAAATAAGAAGAATAAAATAAATAATGGTCGTAATCTACAAAGCGTTTTGAGATCATTGGGTGACTGGCAATACAGGTATGCTCAGGAGAGAACAGCTAAAAGATACAGTCTGAGAAGCTTTTAATAACTATGACAACGGTGGATCCAAGTGGAATTGTTAAGACGAAGAAAGGGAAAATTGAGAGGAGAATGTCTAAAAGGTAAAAATTAAGAAAAAAAAATTTTTTTTTTGAGATGGAGTTTCGCTCTTGTTGCCCAGGCTGGGGTGCAATGGTGCAATCTCAGCTCACCGCAACCTCCACCTCCCGGCTTCAACTGACTCTCCTGCCTCAGCCTCCCAAGTAGCTGGGATTACAGGCGTGTGCCACCATGCCTGGCTAATTTTGTATTTTTAGTTGAGACGGGGTTTCTCCATATTGGTCAAGCTGGTCTTGAACTCCCAAACTCAGATGATCTGCAGGTTTCAGCCTCCCAAAGTGCTGGGATTACAGGTGTGAGCCACCACGCCCAGTCAATTAAGAAACATTTTACAACACTTGGCCGGGTGCTGTGGCTCACGCCTATATTCCCAGCACTTTGGGAGGCCGAGGCGGGCGGATCACGAGGTCAGGAGATCGAGACCATCCTGGCTAACATGGTGAAACCCCGTCTCTACTAAAAATACAAAAAAATTAGCCAGGCGTTTTGGCGGGCGCCTGTAGTCCCAGCTACTCAGGAGGCTGAGGCAGGAGAATGGCGTGAACCTGGGAGGCGGAGCTCGCAGTGAGCCAAGATTGCACCATTGCACTCCAGCCTGGGAGACAGGGCGAGACTCCGTCTCCAAAAAAAAAAAAAAAAGGAAAAGAAAAAGAAATAATCTTTTTTTTTTTTTTTTAAGAGAAACGGGATCTCATTGTGTTGCCCAGACTGGTGTCAAATTTCTGGGCTCAAGAGATCCTCCTGCTTTGACCTCCCAAAGTGCTGGGATTACAGGTGTGAGCCACCACACCCAGCCAATACGCATTGTCTTATTTTGTTTCATTTTCATGTCAACTCTGTTTTGAGATATATTATTATTATTACTATTTTGAGATGAAGTCTCACTCTGTTGCCTAGGCTGGAGTGCATTGGCATGATCTCAGCCCACTGCAACCTCCGCCTCCTAGGTTCAAGGGATTCTCCTGCCTCAACCTCCCAAGTAGCTGAAATTACAGGCGCCGACCACCACGCCTGGCTAATTTTTTTGTATTTGTAGTAGAGACGGGGTTGCACCATGTTGGCACCATGTTGGCCAGGCTGGTGTCAAACTCCTGACCTCAAGTGATCCACCCTCCTCAGCCTCCCAAAGTGCTGGGATTACAAGCATGAGACACCGTGCCCGGCCTGTTTTGAGATATATTATTATCAACACTTTTCCAGATGAAGAAATTAAGTCACAAACAAGTGACAAGACATGTCACAGATTCCTCACTCAGCACTGGGAACCGGCTGGTTGGCACTGGAACCGTCTCTCCTACATTAAATCCTGTTCTTATTTCACTGTGTCTCTCGGGTTGGTCCTCTAGTGCTCAAGCTGTAAACCTGGATGTCGTCCTGCTTCTCACTCTCACTCACCTCTCATTTCCAACCCTGCCACCTGTGTTTTCTCCCTACAGTAATATCTCAAGTCCACCCATCCCACGGCATCTCCAATGCCTCCAACGGAGATCAAGGTGGATCTCTAATCCCCCTTCTTGGTTCAAGTCCACTTAGATAGTTGAAACAGGCTTCTAAATTTGTAATTAGGCCAAGCGCGGTGGCTCACCCTTGTAATCCCAGCACTTTGGGAGGCCGTGGTGGGTGGATCACCTGAAGTCAGGAGTTCGAGACCAGCCTGGCCAAGCTGGTGAGACCCCCGTCTGTACTAAAAATACAAAAATTAGCTGGGTATGGTGACGGGTGCCTGTAGTCCCAGCTACTCAGGAGGCTGAGGCAGGAGAATCACTTGAACCCAGGAGGCGGAGGTTGCAGTGAGCTGAGATTGTGCCATTGCACTGCAGCCTGGGCCACACAGCAAGACTCCATCTCAAAAAAAAATCGTAATTAAATCATATTTGTTTACTGGCTTGTTGCTTGTTGCTCACCTTTCCTCATGTGATTGTAAGCTCCAAGAGGGCAGGAACCCTGTCCTTTTATTTATTTATTTATTAGACAGGGTCTTACTCTGTTGCCCAGGCTGGAGTGCAGTGGTACAATTTTGGCTCACTGCAGCCTTGACTTCCAGGGCTCAGGCAGTCCTCCTACCTTGGCCTCCTGAGTAGCTGCAACTACAGGTACGCACCACCATACTTGGCTAATTTTTGTAATTTTAGTAGAGATGGGGTTTCACCATGTTGCCCAGGCTGGTCCCAAACTCTTGAGCTCAAGGGATCCACCCGCCTCGGCCTCCCAAAGTGCTGAGATTACAGGCGTGAGTCACTGCGCCCTGGCCCAACCCTGTCCTTTTTAATTCACTCATGCATCCCTAGTGCCTGGTGGTGTGCCTGGCTCATAATGCACATTCAGTATGTGTTTGTTGAATGAATGAGTGAAAGAAAATGTACTAATTCAGCAATTCCATAGTCTATTAAAATACTGATGTTGAGGGTGTGGTAGCTCATGCCTGTAATTCCAGCTACACAGGAAGCTGAGATGGGAGGATTGCAAGACCAGCCTGAGCGACATAGTAAGACCCTGTTTCTAAAAATAAAAAAAAAATGAATTAGTTGGGTGTGATGGTGCATTCTTGTAGTCCTAGCTACTCGGGAGGTTAAGGTGGGAGGATCATTTGAGCCCAGGAGTTCGAGGCTTCAGTGAGCTATGATTACACCACTGCACTCCAGCTTGGGCTACAGAGTGAGACATTGTCTCCAAAAATAAAAAATAAAATACTGATGTTTAGGCTCCAACCCCAGAGATTCTGATTTATCTGAGATGGGGCCAGATATCAATATTTTTTTAAATTTTAATATTGGCTGGTCGTGGTGCCTCACACCTGGAATCCCAGCACTTTGGGAGGCCAAGGCGGGTGTATGGCTTGAGCTCAGGAGTTCAAGACCAGCCTGGGCAATATGGCAAAACCTCATTTCTACAAAAAATACAAAATGATGAGCAAACCACGATGGCGTGACCCTGTAGTCCCAGCTACTTAGAAGCCTAAAATGGGAGGATCGCCTGAGCCCAGGAGTTCCAGGCTGCAGTGAGCCATGATTGTAGCACTAAACTCCAGCACATGCAATAGAATGAGGCCCTGTCTCAAAAACAATTCTTGGGGTTTTTTTTGGTTTTGTTTTTGAGACAGAGTTTTGCTCTTGTTGCCCAGGCTGGAGTGCAGTGATGCAATCTCGGCTCACTGCAACCTCCACCTCCTTCATTCAAGCGATTCTCCTGCCTCAGCCTCCCAAGTAGCTGGGATTATGTCACCCGCCACCATGCCCAGCTAATTTTTTGTATTTTTAGTAGAGACAGGGTTTCATCATGTTGGCCAAGCTGGTCTTGAACTCTTAACCTCAGGTGATCCACCTGCTTTGGCCTCCCAAAGTGCTGAGATTACAGGCGTTAGCCACTGCACCTGGCCATCAAAAACAAATTTTTTTTAATTTTAATATTTTTGGGATTTTTTTTTTTTTTGAGACAGAGTCTTGCTCTGTCACCCAGGCTGGAGTGCAGTGGCGCAATCTCATCTCACTGCAAGCTCCGCCTCCCAGGTTCACGCCATTCTCCTGCCTTAGCACCCCTAGCAGTTGGGACTACAGGTGCCCGCCACCATGCCCGGCTAATTTTTTGTATTTTTAGTAGAGATGAGGTTTCACCGTGTTAGCCAGGATGGTCTCGATCTCCTGACCTTGTGATCCACCCGCCTCGGCCTCCCAAAGTGCTGGGATTACAGTCTTGAGCCACCACACCCGGCCTATTTTTGGGATTTTTTTGAGACAGAGCCTTGCTGTGTCACCCAGGCCGAGTGCAGTGACACGATCTCCACTCACTGCAAACGCTGCCTCCTGGGTTCAGGAGATTCTCCTGCCTCAGCCTCCTGAGTAGCTGGGATTACAGGCATGCGCCACCATGCCTGGATATTTTTTGTATTTTTAGTAGAGATGGGGTTTCACTACATTGGCCAGGCTGGTCTCAAACTCCTGGGCTGAAGTGATCTGCCCACCTTGGCCTCCCAAAGTGCTGAGATTACAGGCACGAATCACTGTGCCTAACCAATTTTAATATTTGAAAAACTTATTATGGTATAATGTACATAAAATTTGCCATTTTAACCTTTTTAAGTATACAATTAACTGACATTAATTTAATGTCAGTTAACTTCACATCATTATGCAACCATCACCATTGTCCATCTCCAGAACTTTTTCATCATCTCACATTGAAACTCCATAGCCATTAAACGTGCCCAAATCCTCCCTTTCTGTTTTTCATTGGGCTTGGGTTTCATGCTCCAGCGCTGTACCTGCTGCCTTGCACACACATCCTCAACACTCTGAGCCCTCTCTCCTCGGGTGATATCAAGTTGGCAAAACCCTAACCTGGTTAAACCAGAATCTATGCCTGCTCCGTGTCTGCAACCAGGCCACTGAATTTGACTGGTTAAGAACAAAGGCCGGGCGTGGTGGCTCATGCTTGTAATCTCAGCACTTTGGGAGGCCAAGGCGGGGGGGATTGCCTGAGCTCAGGAGTTCGAGACCAGCCTGGGCAACGTGGTAAAACCCTGTCCCTACTAAAATACAAAAAAAAATTTAGCCGGGCGTGGTGGCATGTGCCTGTAGTCCCAGCTACTCGGGAGGCTAAGGCAGGAGAATTGCTTGAACCCGGGAGGCAGAGGTTGCAGTGAACTGAGATAGTGCTACTGCACTCCAGCCTGGCAACAGGGTGAGACTGCATCTCCCTCCTACCAAAAAAATAAAAATAAATAAAATAAAATAAAAAAGGAGAATACAACTAGGTCAGGCACAGTGGCTCATGCCTGTAATCCCAACACTTTGGGAGCCCGAGGTGGGAGGGTGACCTGAGGTCAGGAATTCGAGACCAGCCTGGCCAACATGGCGAAACCCTGTCTCTACTAGAAATACAAAAATTAGCCTGGCGTGGTGGCAGGCGTCTGTAATCGCATCTACTCAGGAGGCTGAGGCAGGAGAATTGCTTGAACCCAGGAGGCAGAGGTTGCAGTGAGCTGAGATCATGCCCCTGCACTCCAGCCTGGGCAACAGAGCAAGACCTCGTCTCAAAAAATCAAAACAAAACAAAACAAAAAAACTACAAAAAAAAAACACATACACAACTAGTTGTTGTTGTAGACATCAGGTAAAATAAAACAGAAAAAAAAAAAAAAAACCAACTAGGTTAAAAACACACTCAACTGGCCGGGCGCAGTGGCTCATGCGTGTAATCCCAGCATGTTGGGAGGCTGAGGCAGGAGAATGGCGTAAACATGGGAGGCAGAGCTTGCAATGAACCGAGATTGCACCACTGCACTCCAGTCTGGGCGACAGAGCAAGACTCCGTCTTAAAAAAATAAAAAAACCACACTCAACTAGGCTGAGCAGCCTTTTGAAATTTACAACCACCGAGGCCAGGCGCAGTGGCTCACGCCTGTAATCCCAGAACTTTGGGAGGCCGAGGCGGGTGGATCACGAGGTCAGGAGATCAAGACCATCCTGGCTAACAAGGTGAAACCCCGTCTCTACTAAAAATACAAAAATTAGCCGGGCGTGGTGGCGGGCGCCTGTAGTCCCAGCTACTCGGGAGGCTGAGGCAGGAGAATGGCATGAACCCAGGAGGCGGAGCTTGCAGTGAGCCAAGATTGTGCCACTGCACTCCAGCCTGGGCAACAGAGCAAGCCTCCGTCTCGGAAAAAAAAAAAGAAATTTACAACCATAAGTCTGAGTTGGACCTTAGCACTGCCTGCAATGTCTCCTGAATCTATTGCTCCCCCACTGTCCAAAAGGATAGTTTCAAGCCTCCTGGTCTTTTCACACCTCCTCCAGGCTTTGCCATCCCCACCACAGGTGTTCTCATTAATTCAGCTGAGAGAATGGAAGCCGTCAGAACAGAAATATCTAGAAAGATTACATCTTCCTGCCACCACTGCTACCCACCAACCTAGCTCTGTTCTCAGAAATGCTTCCTTTTTTTTTTTCTTTTTTGAGACAGGGTCTCATTCTGTTGCCCAAGCTGGAGTATAGTGGCATGATGTCAGCTCACTGCAGCCTCAAACTCCTGGGCTCAAGCAATCCTCCCACCTCAGCCTCCCAAGTAACTGGGACCACAGGTGCATGCCACCATGGCTGGCTAATTTTTTTTTTACATTTTATAGAGATGGGGTCTCACAATGTTGCCCAGGCTGGTCTTGAACTCCTGGGCTCAAGCCATCCTTCCGCCTCAGACTCCCAAAGTGCTGAGATTACAGGCATGAGCCCCAGTGCCTGGCCTGAGATGCTACTTCTTGTCCATGGAAATGTAGGAAGTGCAAACATTTTGTTCCTCAATTCTCTCCTCTCTCTCATAGCTGAGTTTCTCCTCTTCTAGATATTCCCTTCGGCACACAAAACATGCTGTAGTTGGCCCCATATTTAAAATCCCTTCCTTAGCCCTCCAACTCCCACTCTTTGCTCTGCTCTGTTTTATAGCAAAACTCTGAAAAAGAATAGCTTATCCTCGCTGCTCATTGTTCCTCTTTCTCCCATGCTTTCGTTTTTTTTTCGGAGATGGAGTCTTGCTCTGTCACCCAGGCTGGAGTGCAATGGCATGATCTCAGCTCACTGCAACCTCCGCCTCCCAGGTTCAACTGATTCTCCTGCCTCAGCCTCCCAAGTAGCTGGGATTACAGGCATGCGCCACCATGCCCGGCTAATTTTGTATTTTTAGTAGAGACAGAGTTTCTCTATGTTGGTCAGCCTGGTCTCAAACTCCTGACCTCAGGTGGTCTGCCTGCCTCCACCTCCCAAAGTGCTGGGATTACAGGTGTGAGCCACCACGCCTGGCCTGAATTTTTTTTTTTAGCGGGAGATGTTAAGGAGAAGAAAAGGGAGAATCTCATAGGGATAATATTTTGCTATTTTAAAATAAACAAGTTCTGGGGATCTAATGTACAGCGTAGGTGGTGGTGAATGTGTTAATTTGTGATAATCATTACACGACTTATACATAGATCATCACAATGTACACCTTGAATATATACAAACTTTGTCAGTGAAATATTTTTATTTTGCATTAGTTTTTAAACTTGGTGTAGAGATGGAGTCTTGTTATGTTACCCAGGCTGGAGTGCAATGGTTGTTCACAGGCATGATCATAGCACACTGCAGCCTTGAACTCCTGGACTCAAGTGATCCTCCCACTTCAGCCTCCTGAGTAGCTGGGACTACAGGCATGTGCCACCATGCATGGCTACTGAAATTTTTATTTATTTATTTATTTATTTATTTTTGAGACAGGGTCTTGATCTGTCACCCAGGCAGTGCCATGATCACAGTTCACTGCAGCCTTAACCTCCCAGGCTTAAGCAATACTCCCACCTCAGTCTCCTGAGTAGCTGGGACCACAGGTGCATGCCACCATACCCGGCTAATTTTTTTGAATTTTTGTAGAGACAAGGGCCTTGCTAGGTTGCCTAGGTTGGTCTGGAACTCTTGGCCTCAAGCAATCCTCCCACTTCAGCCTCCCAAATTGCTGGGATTACAGGCGTGAGCCACCGCTTCTGGCCTGAAATATTTTTAATTTTATAAAAACCAACGTTGGAGAGACTTCCTAGTATTAAGTTGCTAAAGTTGCTAATGCTTCTTTCTTGTAGGCGTAGGAACACAGAGGAAATTTCCACCCTTTGGATGCATCACTTGCATTTTAGCTCATGGCCAAAATGGAACTGACTTCATCTCCTTAACGGGCAGAGTGTGTGCTAAGGAAAAAGAGATGTGGAAACTGAAACACAAGGAAAGGAGAAAGGCCAGGCTCCTCTGAACTGACCCTGGCATCGCTACAGGGAGCTGTCAGGACCAGAGTCCATTTGCTTATCTGAAGTTTTTTTTTTTTCTATTTTGAGACAGAGTCTCCTTCTGTTGCCCAGGATGGAGTGTAATGGCACGATCTCAGCTCACTGCAACCTCTGACTCCCGGGTTCAAGCAATTCTCCTGCCTCAGCTTCCTGAGTAGCTGGGATTACAGGCACCTGCCACCACGCTGGGCTAATTATTTTATTTGTAGTAGAGACAGGGTTTCACCACGCTGGCCAGGCTGATCTTGAACTCCCAACCTCAGGCAATCCGCCCACCTGGGCCTCCCAAACTGCTGGAATTACAGGTGAGAGCCACCATGCCTGGCCTCTTTTTTTCTTTATTTTATTTAATTAATTTATTTATTTTGAGGTAGAGTCTCCCTCTACCGCCCAGGCTGGAGTGCAGTGGCGCGATCTTGGCTCACTGCTGCAACCTCCGCCTGCTGGGTTCAAGTGATTCTCCTGCCTCAGCCTCCTGAGTAGCTGGGATTATAGGCATGTACCACTATGCCTGGCTAATTTTTTTTGTAATTTTAGTAGAGACAGGGTTTTATCATGTTGGCCGGCTGGTCACAAACTTCTGACTTCAGGTCATCCTCCCACCTTGGCCTCCCAAAGTGCTGGGATTACAGGCGTGAGCCACCATGCCTGGCCCCCTTTGAACCATTTTCATCTCCTCTGTCTCTCTCTCACCTTTCTTTCTTTCTTTCCTTCCTTCCCTTCCTGCTTTCTTCCTTCCTTCCTTTTTTTTTTTTTTTTTTTGAGATGGAGTCTCGCTCTTTTTGCCCATGCTGGAGTGCAGTGGTGCGATCTCGGCTCACTGAAACCTCTGCCTCCGGGGTTCAAGAAATTCTCCTGCCTCAGCCTCCCCAGTAGCTGGGATTACAGCCATGTGCCACCACCCCTGGATAATTTTTGTATTTTTAGTAGGGATGGGGTTTCATCATGTCGGTCAGGCTGGTCTCCAACTCCTGATCTCAGGTGATCCACCTGCCTCGGTCTCCTAAAGTGCTGGGATTATAGGCGTGAGCCACCGTGCCCGGCCCCTTCTTTCTTTCAGCCAGAGTCTCACTTTGTTACCCAGGCTATAGTGTAGTGGTGCGATCATGGCTCACTTATCCCCAACCTCCCAGACTCAGGCAATTCTCCCACCTCAACCCCCCGAGTAGCTGGTACTACAGACACGCAACACCACACCTGGCTCATTTTTGTATTTTTTGTAGAGACGAGGTCTTGCTGTATTGCCCAGGCTGGTCTCAAAACTCCAAGGCTCAAGTGATCCACTCACCCCAGCCTCCCAAAGTGCTGGGCTTAAAGGCGTAATCGCCACACCTGGCCCGTTTACTTTTCTTCATGGTTCCTTCTGTCCTCCTGCCATGCCTAAGCCATCCAGTCATTTGGTTTTTATTGGAGTGTGCTCTTGCCAGGCGTTAGGCTAGATGTGGCGAGCCAAGAAAAACAAGACATGGTCCCTGTGCTTGAGGAGCTCATAGTCTAAAGGGGAGAGGGGCAAGTGAGTAGATGGTAGTTTCCTAGGGCTGCCATAACAAAATTCACAATTTTGAGCGTTTTAAAATCTTTAAAATCAAGTCCAAGATGAAGATGTTCGCAGGTTTGGTTTCTTCTTCTTCTCCTTCTTCTCCTTCTTCCTCTTTTTTTTTTTTTTCAAGACAGTCTTGCTCTGTTGCCCAAGCTGGAGTGCAGTGGCACGATCTTGACTCACTGCAACCTCTGCCTCCCGGGTTCAAGTGATTCTCCTGCCTCAGCCTCCTGAGTAGCTGGAACTACAGGCGCCCGCCACCGTGCCCAGATAATTTTTTGTATTTTTTTTTAGTAGAGATGGGATTTCACCATGTTAGCCAGGATGGTCTTGATCTCCTGACCTCATGATTCGCCCACCTCGGCCTCCCAAAGTGCTGGGATTACAGGCTTGAGCCACCGCCCCCGGCCCCAATCTCTTCTTCTTAAGTGGACACCAGTCAGATTGGGTTAGGATTCAGCCTAACAGCCTTTCTTTTTCTTTTCTTTCTTTCTTTTCCTTTTCTTTTTTTTTCTTTTTTTTTTTTTTTTTTTTTGAGATGGAGTCTGTCTTGTTGCCCAGACTGGAGTGCAGTGGCATGATCTCAGCTTACTGCAACCTCCACCTCTGGGGTCAAACGATTCTCCTGCCTCAGCCTCTCAAGTAGCTGAGACTACAGGCGCCTGCCACCATACCTGGCTGATTTTTTTGTATTTTTAGTGGAGACGGGGTTTCACCGGGTTAGCCAGGATGGCCTCGATCTCCTGACCTTGTGATCTGCCCACCTCAGCCTCCCAAAGTGCTGGGATTACAGGCGTGAGCCACCGTGCCCGGCCTCAATAGCCTTCTTTTAATTCAGTCACCTCTTTAAAGGTCCTAACCTCAAATACAGTCACATTCTTAGGTACTGGGGGTGGGGCTTCAACATATGGATTTTGGGGAAAAGGATACAATTCAGCCATAATACCAACATATACTGCTATGAAAAGAGCAAAGATGGAGTGTTACCAGAATACACTGGAGGAACCAGATCTTCTGGGAAGGCTTCCTGTAGGAGGTGGCTCCTGAGTTAAGTGGTGAAGGACAGACAGGAGCCAGCTAAAGATTGGGAAGGCAAGGAAAGGAGGCATTTGAGCCCAAAGGAGTAGCCTGCACAAGGTAAAAGAGTTATGGAGCTATTCGAGAAACTGTAAATAGTTCAAAAGAGTGGGGACAAAAAATTCAAAAGGAGGTTAGGCTAAGAGTTGAGGCCATTTGTAGAAGATATTTACAACTTTTTAAAAAAGGAGTTAAGGCTGGAGTTTTCATCAGGGGCCAGCCATGGAGGGACATATGGGGCATGCTGAGGAATTTGGGACCTTATCTGTGATCCGTACCCCCATTCTATTTGTGTTTTAGGAAGTCCACTCTGGTTCCAATATAGATAATGTCTTGGAGGGGACCAGTATGATTAGTTAGCAGGTTAAAGCAGCCACCCAGGAAGGATGGTGGCATGGGTCAGGTCAGGTGACAGAAATGGGGCCAGGAGGCCAGGCACAGTGGCTCCTGTAATCCCAGCACTTTGGGAGCCTGAGGTGGGAAGACTGCTTGAGCCCAGGAATTCAAGACCAACCTGGGAAACCCCATCTCTACAAAAAATACAAAAATTAGCCAGGTGTGGTGGTACACACCTGTAGTCCCAGCTATTCTCGGGGGCTTAGGTGGGAGGATCACCTGAGCCCAGGGAAGGTTGAGACTGCAGTGAGGCAAGATTGTGCCACTGCAATCCTGCCTGGGAAACAGAGTGAGACCATGAGAAAAGAAAGAAGAGAAGGAAAGAAAGAAAGAAAGAGAGAGAGAGAGGGAGGGACGGAGGGAGGGAGGAAGGAAGGAAGGAGAAAGAAAAAAGAAGGAAGGAAGAAGGGGGAAGGGAAGGAAGGAAGGAAAAGAAAGAAGGGAGGGAAGGAGGGAGGGAGGGAAGGGAGGAAGGAAGGAAGGAAGGAAAAGAAAGAGAGAAAGAAAGAAAGAGAAAGAAGAAAAAAGAAAAGAAAAAAGAGGAAGAAAGAAGGCCAGGTGCGGTGGCTCACGCCTGTAATCCCAGCACTTTGGGAGGCCGAGGCAGGTGGATCACCTGAGGTCAGGAGTTCGAGACCAGCCTGGCCAACATGGTGAAGCCCCACCTCCACTAAAAATACACAGATTAGCTGGGTGTGATGGCGGGCGCCTGTAATCCCAGCTACTTGGGAGGCTGAGGCAGGAGAATCACTTGAACCGAGGAGGCAGAGGTTATAGTGAGTCAAGATTGTGCCACTGTACTCCAGCCTGGGCAACAGAGCAGGACTCTGTCTAAAAGAGAGAGAGAGAAAGAGAGAAAGAGGGAGAGAGAAAGAGAGAAAGAGGGAGAGATAAAGAGAAAGAGAGGAAAGAAAGAAGGTAAAGAAAGGAAGAGAGAAAGAGAGAGAAAGAAAGAAAATGAAGAAAGAAAGAGAAAAAAAGAAAATGAAAGGAAAAAGAAAGGAAAGAAAGAAAAAAGAAAGAAGGAAGGAAGGAAAGAAAGAGGGAGGGAGGGAAGGCAGGAAGGAAGGAAAGAAGGAAGGAAGGAAGGAAAAGGTGGCCAGGATGTTGGAGAGGGGTCACAGCACTTGGTCTCATTGCTAAACTCAGCATCAGAGGGAACACTGGAAGCCTGAGAGGAGTACACAGCCTTGGATCACAACTTAAGTGAAGGAAATTCTAGATGAGAACTTCCAAGATCAATTGGGCAAGGGAGCATAGAATTTCAAATGCCCAATTTTAGGCTGTCACTGGCTGTTACTGGGTATCTAGTGCTTTCCCCCTAAAGAGAAGCTTGGAAATATGGGCTCAGGATGACCCTGAGAGGGTCTTGAGCCAGGTGCTAAGGGAAAGAGGCTCACTGTCAGGCCGGGTTTGTATCCAAGGTTCGGTCAATTTCAGGGCAATGTCCAGATTTTACCTGCAGGTGGCAGCCCCGTAACTCACAGAAAACAAAGCCTGAAGCCCTTTCCGACGACTAAAAACCCCCAAGGAAAACAGAGACTTTTTTGGTGATTTTGTGCATTGTGAAGCTACTGATGGAGCCGGTCTGTAATTAGCAAGTTTCGCTACAGTGACAACAGGTTTTCATACCAGGGTGTGACTTTTACTTCACAACTTGCCTCTTGTTCCAATTTCTTTCCATTATTTAACACTAGCCATGCACCTATTCAAAACACTGCTGCCTCTAATGTGTTTTTTTCTCAGTGTGGAATGATCTTGGGCAACGTTGTCTCAAGTTTCTGAGTCTGTGTCTGTGAGAAAAAAAAATTTATCAAAAAGGCAATATAACAAATGTTGACTTAAAAAAAAGTCACCCACGAGCCTACCATTTTAACACATATTATTTTTACTTTTAAATGTTCCCTTCCAAATCTGGTTCCCATGCATATACTTTTACATGAACATACTCAATGTCTGTTTTTATCAATGGTGTATTTTAAAAGGAAATACTTAACTTTTTTTTTCCTGTTCTCTTAGGCATCTACTCTTTTCTGAGATCTCACCCACTTCCTTAGCTTTAAATACCACCACAGCACAGAAAAGCAGCTACATTTCAGTCTCTGGTCAGCCTTTATTATTCATCCGTCCATCCATCCATCCATTTATTCACTGCATGCACTGTGCTGGGTACTGGGAATACAAATGTGAAAAGGTGACCCTGTCTGTTTGGGAGCTTGTAGACCACCGAGCGGGGAGGGCTGGGGGACAATGAGTGAATGATTCATGATGCAATGAGATTGGAGGTATGGTGGGAATTTTTTTTTTTTTTTTTTTGAGACAGGGTCTTGCTCTGTTGCCCAGGCTGAATGCAGTGACACGATCATGCCTCACTGTAGCCTCCATCTCCCGGGCTCAGATGATCCTACTACCTCAGCCTCCTGAGTAGCTCCCAACTAGAGGTGTTTGCCACCCTGCCCAGCTAATTTTTGCATTTTTAGTAGAGGTGGGGTTTTACCATGTTGCCCAGGTTGGTCTTGAACTCCTGGACTCAACTGATCCACCCACCTCCACCTCCTAAAGTGAGATGTGAGCCACTGTGCCTGACCTACCATGGAAATTTTGAAGAAGAAAACTGACTTGGGGACCTAGTGGAAGGGTAGAAAGCCAACTGAACAGAGGAAATTGCATGTGTAAAGATATGGACACTCAAAGGATCATGACACCTTCCGGAAACCACAAGTGGGTTAGTATTGGTGGAGTATGTGTTACTGGAGACTGAGAAGGTGGCACTGGCTGGAAGGGCCAGATCTTTAAGAGCCTTGTAAGGGACTTGAGACAGTAGATGATGAATGTCTTAGTTCCAATTGGTTTTCTACTCTGCAGCCAGAGTGACAAAATATTTGGAAGATAAAAATTTGACCATGGCCCACTCCTACTTCAGTATTCCACAGAGTCAAGTCTCAAGTCTTTAGCAATAATGAAAAAGTGGGTGCAGTGGCTCATGCCTGTAACCCCAGCACTTTAGGATGCTGAGGTGGGAGGATCAAGAGTTCAAGACCAGGCTAGCAACAAAGTCAGACTCCTCTTCTCTACAAAAAATAAAAAAATTAGTCTGGGTGCAGTGGCCTATGCCTGTAATCCCAGCACTTTGGGAGGCCGAGGTGTGTGGATCATCTGAGGTCAGGAGTTCGAGAGCAGCCTGGCCAACATGGTGATACCCCCATCTCTACTAAAAATACGAAAATTACCCAGGCGTGGTGGTGCGTGCCTGTAGTCCCAGCTATTGGGGAGGCTGAGGCAGGAGAATTGCTTCAACCTGGGAGGCAGAGGTTGCAGTGAGCCAAGATGGTGCCACTTCACTCCAGCCTGGGTGACAGAGCAAGACTCTGTCTCAAAAAAAAAAAAAAAAAAATTAGTCAGGCATGGTGATGGCGCATGCCTATGATCCCAGCTATGTGGCAGGAGGATTGTTTGAGTTCAGGAGGTTGAGGCTGCAGTGAGTTGTGATCACACCACTGTACTTCAGCCTGGGCAATACAGCAAGACCCTATCTCAAAAAAAGAGAGAGAGAGAGAGAGAGAAAAGCAAAGGCCCTTCACGAGCCTCTTCAGCTGCTTTACCCACATGCCACACATCCTTCCTTGTCCCAGCTATTGGCTTCCTTACATCCTTGCTTACTGTCTGGCCTTCACACTTGCTGTATCATTTCTTCCTCTCAGGCTAACCAGGGTCTCAGCTTAAAGCCCACTTCCTCTGCCTTCCCTCATAGTGGATGAGGTCAGGTCCCCTGCTGTATGCTTCCAAAGCCACCAGCACTATCCTGGTCAAATTCTCAGAGACATGTCTTCCCCTTCAGGCTGCAGACTCTGTGGAGGGTTGTCCTCCTCTCTAGAGAGTAGATGCTCTAGGCTGGGCGTGGTGGCTCACGCTTGTAATCTTAGCACTTTGGGAGGCCAAGGCGGGCAGATTGCCTGAGCCCAGGAGTTTGAGACCAACCTAACCAACATGATGATACCCATCTCTACTAAAAACACAAAAATTTAGCCAAGCGTGGTGGTGCATGACTGTTGTCCCAGGTACTGGGGGGCTGAGGCAGGAGGATCTCTTGCCCAGGAGGTTGAGGCTGCAGTGAGCCCTGATCGTGCCACTGCACTCCAGCCTGGGCAACAGAGTGAGACCCTGTCTCAATACATACATACATACATACATACGTACATACATACATACTTACATAACACAAAAAATTAGCTGGGCATGGCGGCATGTGCCTGTAGTTCTGGCTACTTGGGAGACTCAGATGGGAGAATTACCTGAGCCTGGGAAGTCAAGGCTGCAGTGAGCTGAGGTTGCGCCACTGCACTCCAGCCTGGGTGACAAGAGTGAGACCCTGTCTCAAAAACAAAAAAAAACAAACAAAGAGAATAGATGCTTAGTTAATGTTGGCAAAGAGAATGAATGAGTACATTAAGCTTTTCTTTTATTTATTTATTTATTTTTTTTTTTGAGATGGAGTCTGGTTCTGTCACCCAGGTTGGAGTGCAGTGGCATGATCTTTGCTTACTGCAACCTCCGCCTCCTGGGTTCAAGCAATTCTCCTGCCTCAGCCTCCCGAGTAGCTGGGGTTACAAGCATGTGCCACCACGCCCGGCTAATTTTTGCATTTTTAGTAGAGATGAGGTTTCACCATGTTGGCTAGGCTGGTCTCAAACTCCTGACTTCAAGTGATCCACCTGCCTCAGCCTCCCAAAGTGCTGGGATTATGGGAGAGAACGCTGCGTCCAGCTTGTCAAGCTTTTCAACAGCATACTGAATATTTCCACCTGCATGTCTCCTGGAATGCTGAATTCTGCATTTCCAAAAATGAGTCATCATCATGTTGGGGCTCAGAGAATGATACCCCAAAGTATGCTCCTCTGGCATTCTGAGCACTTTTGAATGAAAGGAAATTGGAAGGACTTACAAGCTGCCTCAGAACCAAGGACTTTTTAAAGTCTTGTTTCACCACCCCACATGCATGCAGGGGCTGTCTGAAAGTTCCCTTAGCTGACTGAGAAACCAAAAGAAATTCAATTGTGTACTTGCTTTGGCAGCACATATACTAAAATTGGAATGATACAGAGATTAGCATAGCCCCTGAGCAAGAAGACATGCAAATCTGTGAAGGGATCCATTAAAAAAGAAAGAAAGAAAAAGAGCAGGTGTGGTGGCTCACGCCTGTGATCCCAGCACTTTGGGAGGCCAAGGCGGGCGGATCACCTGAGGTCGGGAGTTCGAGACCAGCCTGACCAACAGGGAAAAGCCCCATCTCTGCTAAACATACAAAATTAGCCGGGCGTGGTGGTGCATGCCTGTAATGCCAGCTACTCTGGAGGCTGAGGCAGGAGCATCACTTGAACCTGGGAGGTGGAGGTTTCGGTGAGCTGAGATCACGCCATTGCACTCCAGCCTGGACAACAAGAGTGAAACTACATCTCAAAAAAAAAAAAAAGAAAAGAAAAGAAAAAAAATAGATGCGACTGTCTTAAAATTTCCTCCCTAGGACTCTCGTCAAATAACCAGGAAATATTAACTACCAGAGAAGAGAAAAGACTAAAAGTTGTCACCACATCCAAACAGACTTTTCATCTATTCTCCTGAGGACAGCTGAGATTATTTAGGAGACTTTATCTGCATAATAAGACAACCTTTATTTACAGTGAAGTCCTGCACCTCACCTTCCTGAAATTTGTCACAACCTCCAGCTCCCAGAGCTCAGAGGAACTTTGTCCCAGGCATTGTTTGGGCTCATTCCTTTTCCCTAAAAATAGTTGACTACCTTTCAGTATTGCTGACCTCCGCTCATCTCCCTCTCCTCTGCAAAGATGGTGCTCTTTAAGCTTCAGCCACCTGGCTCTTCTCTGAGTCTCATATTCTGTATGGTAACCATGCACACTGCATGTCAGTAAATTTGTATGTGCTTTCTCCTGTTAATCTATTGCCAGTTTATTTCAGCAGACTCAAACTGTCAGAGTGGAAGGGAAAAATTCCCTTCACCCTTACAATCATCTCCTCACCTGCCCTTCCCTGTTCTCTGTGCCTGCCCCCTCCAGTCAGCTATGCCTCTTGACTGGCAAATTTCTGTGTTCTCCCTGTTATCCAGGCCCACTCAAAACAAAAAACTGCAATTCTTCCCTCATGTCTTCCTCTCTGCTTAGCAGCTAAGTCCCTCCCTTCCATTTCTATTTTTTTCTGACTGCTATTTTAGAACAAAGTGGCATAGTGCGGGAAAAAAATGAGGATTTTAGAACAAGACAGGCCTTAGTCCAAATCTTAGGTCTACTATATTTTGGCTTCCTTGGGTAAATTACTAACCTCTCTAAGGCTTAGTTTCCAAGTCTGTAAAATGGGGATATTACCCACCCTGTGGAGGCGCTATGACTTAAGTATGCATCAAGTGGTAAATAGAGGGTCCTTTTCTTATTTTCACCTCATATCAGACACCTCCTGCTCAGAAACCTTCAGAGGTTGCCCATCACTTGACTATGACACCTAAGCCATGCATTTTGCATTTTGGCCCCTCTCTCTCATCACTCTTCCCCCCAATTACTGGGGCTTGGACTAATCAAAAACATTGGTTGATGGCCAGGAGTGTTGGCTCACATCTGTAATCCCAGCACTTTGAGAGGCTGAGGCAGGTGGATCACCTGAGGTCAGGAGTTCGAGACCAGCCTGGCCAACATGGCGAAACCCTGTCTCTATTAAAAATACAAAAATTAGCTGGGTGTGGTGGCAGGCTGCTGTAATCTCAGCTACTTGAGAGGCTGAGGTGAGAGAATGCTTGAACCCAGGAGGCGGAAGTTGCAGTGAGCCAAAATCATGCCACTGCACTCCACTCCAGCCTGGGCAACAGTGCAAGTCTCAAAAAAAAAAAAAAAACCAAAAAAACAGGCATGGTGGCTCACGCCTGTAATCCCAGCACTTTGGGAGGCCAAGGTGGGCGGATCACCTGAGGTCAGGAGTTTGAGACCAGCCTGACCAACATGGAGAAACCCCATCTCTACTAGAAATACAAAATTAGCTGGGTGTGGTGGCACATGCCTGTAATCCCAGCTACTCGGGAGGCTGAGGCAGGAGAATCCCTTGAACCCGGGAGGCGGAGCTTGCGGTGAGCCAAGATCGCGCACCATTGCACTCCAGCCTGGGCAACAAGAGCAAAACTCCGTCTCAAAAAAAAAAAAAAAAAAAAAAAACAAAAGGCTGATTCCATTACTCTTTCCTCTTTCCTCCCTGCTTTCACTTTGCCGTTCAAACCAAATCCTTCTTGATTAGCTCAGCACCAAGTACTGGCTCCCTCCTCAGCCATCCCTATGTGTAGTTCAGTGGCACTTGGGGCCAACTGCTTGTCTTACAGATTAGGCAACTCTAGATTACAAAGCACTGAAAGCAGGGGCTTCATCTGGTTGGTCTTTGACCCTGCAGAGCCCCTTGCACACAGGTGATGCTCAATAAATACTTGGTGAAAGCACAATTCATTTTCTGTGTTTCAATGGGCTTCTTTTCTCTATAGAATCAGATGCTTGGTTATTCTCACCTCAGCGCTATTTTGTTGGCTTCCAGAAGGCACAGTAACGCTAGGTGTGTTGTGTTCTATCCTTTAATTGGAAGAGCTTTGGGAACTGAAAAATAAGAATTATTTCTCCAAGCCTCATCTTCTGCCACTCCCCCGTACTCACCGGCCTCATACAGGAATTGAACTACTTAGCACTGCACAGAACACGACTTTCTCTCTCACGCCTCCGTTCCTCTGTACTTAGCCTCTGTACTTACGTGCCATTCCCTTTCCCTGAAATGCCCTTACTCTGGCTTCTCTGCCTGGCAAATTCCTACTCATCCTCCAAGACTCAGATCAGACATCGCCGCATCACATCTGTGAAGGCTCTTCTGCAATGGGCAGTGTAGCAGTACCCCCTCCATTTTTTTAGCTTCCTCAGCAAACTCCAAATAATTATAACAGTACTTATGGCATTATTTGTTTATTTTTCTTCTACTTCCTAGACCGTGAATTCCTTAAGGGCCAAGATTTCTGTTCTATCCCCAGCACAGTGTTCGGCCTATATTGGAGAATCCGGTCCGTACAAACTCTGCAGTGATTCAATCAATGAGCAAACAAACTCACCAATCATTCAACACAGCAGAGTTTGTACGGACCGGATTCTCAAATATTTTAAGACCTGGTCCTCTATTTGGAGTGCTTCATTCTGGAAGATCTCTTCCTCCCCCAAGCCCCTACCCATCCAACTGCCTAGGTTTGGTAGAAGAGGAAAATAAAGTGATTAGACGGGGGAAGAGTCCTTCAGGGCTAAGCTGTCATTTACCCGCTCTGGCACCGAGAGGGTTACGGCGACCCGGGGGCGGAGCCGTGCGGAGGCCACCTGCTGCGGGGAGGTCTGGCGCATGCGCCCTGACACCTAGCTGGTTCCCTACCCGCAGGGGCCCGGCTGAGGAGGAGCGCTTGCGCTCTGGGCCTTTTCCGCCGGGGGAAGTCTCGCGGGGGCGGGGCGGGGCCTCGTGGAGAAGTTCTCGCGGGACACCGACGGGGAGCGGAAGCCAGGAGGTATTGCTGCTTCGGCGACCGGGCGGCGGCAGCGGCGGCGGCGGCTGTGGCAGAGTCTGTGCCTGTGGCGGTGACGGCGGCGGGAGCAAGCGCTGCCCTCGCAGAGCAGCCTTGGGGTCGCCGGCCGCTCGCAGCGTTGTGGAGGGGCGGGCCGGACGCTGAGCGGAGCAGCTGCGCCACGGTGAGTACGGGAGGCTGCGCTCGGCGCCTCTCTCGTGCCTTTTCCTCTTGGCTCTACAGCGGGAGTGGGCCCCGGGGGAACCGGGACCGGCCCCGGGGTTCGCGTCGGGGCGGCGAGGCTTGGGACGTGGAGCGCAATCCCCGGGGCTCCGGACTCTACGTTTCCCCTTTTGGGGCGCTTCCTTCCTGGGGACCGTCCTCCTCCGGCTCTTGGCTCTGGGCAGTCCGGGGGAAGAGGTCGGGGTTCTCTGGCGAGGTCCCCTGCCTTCATCGGGAGGGTTTGCACGGAAGGGGCCCGGGAAGCCCAGGCGGGCCGAACGCCGACCGAGTCAGTCTACCCGAGCCTGGCGGCGGGGGACTGGTGTGGGCTGCAGCTGTGGTGATTGATGTGCCTTCGACCTGCACGGCAACCACGTCACCATCTCCTGGCGTCTTTGGGCTTAATTTTGTGCGGGAATCCACTTTGGGGTGGAACGTTTGCTGCTGGAGCCGGGGGAGATACCTTTATTCTGACACTTAAAAAAAAAAACTATTTGAAAAATATTTGTCAAGAAAAATTCAGCAGTAGCAGGTTGGACTGCACCGAGGAAGGATTGCGGCGAGAGCGGGCGCTGGTAATTTTCATTTGCAGCGCGCCCTCTCTATGATTGTAAGCCACACATGAGTTATGGCTTGTTTAGAAAGTTTTTCAAGGCTGGCTTCAAACGCTGTGAAAGTGCAGTTTGCAGGGGACTGAAGTGCACTTGAGGTCTGTCTCTTTTTGATGCTGTTGACTTTCCGAAATGTCAGACACATGAGAGAAATTAGCATTAGTCTATTTTGGCTTTCTTACTCCTCTTTCTCCAGTTATTTCCTTCCTTCTCTATCTGCTTCTGTCCTTTCCACTAGGGACACGAAATGCTTGTGTAATGCAAGTCATTTGCCCCTTCCTCCCCCCACCCCCCCCTTTTTTTCTAATGTACTTCCCCTTCCTCCTTGTAGTCCCCACTCTGGCGTAATTTTTCGAGGTTTCTTCCCTTTCGTGCTGTTCGTTTTCTCTCATTTCAAGATTCCGTCTTTTTCCTCGGGAAGAGACTCTCTTTCCTTGCTTTCGTTCCTTTACTTTTGCGCGTCCCCTGCGTTCCCTGCAGTCAGCCAGAAGGGTTGCTAGAGAGCCGTGGGAGGCTGAAGTCCCCTCTCTGAGAACGGGGAGGCTCAAAAGATTGAATTCATCCCTAAGAAATCAGTCCTGCCACTAGGTCGCAAGTGTGGTTTGCTTGTATTATTTTTGTCTTTTACTCTTTTTCTTTTAAGATTATGCTTCTGTGCCTGCTTATGTTTTCTTCTAGTATGTCTTTATAATAGGAAGATTGGGTCAGCTCAGTGACTTTTTTTTTTTAGGCAGAGTTTTGCTCTTTTTGCCCAGGCTGGAGTGCAATGGTGCTATATGGGCTCACTGCAACTCTGCCTCCTGGGTTCAAGCGATTCTCCTGCCTCAGCCTCCCGAGTAGCTGGGATCACAGGCGCCCACCACCATGTCCAGCGAATTTTGTATTTTTAGTAGAGATGGGGTTTCACTGTGTTGCCCAGGTTGGTCTTGAACTCTTGACCTCAGGTAATCCACCCGCCTTGGCCTCCCAAAGTGTTGGGATTACAGGCGTGAGCCACCGCGCCCGGCCAGAGTTAATTCTTATAATCAGCTTTCTTCTACTAAACACAAGCATTTATTTATTTATTTTATTTTTTTGAGACGGAGTCTCGCTCTGTCGCCCAGGCTGGAGTGCAGTGGTGCGATCTCGGCTCACTGCAGCTTCCACCTCCTGGGTTTAAGCGATTCTCCTGCCTCGCACTCCCGAGTAGCTGGGATTACAGGTGCTCACCACCACACCTGGCTAATTTTTGTATTTTTGTAAAGACAGAGTTTCACCATGTTGGCCAGGCTGGTCTCGAATTCCTGACCTCAAGTGATCTGCCCATCTCAGCCTTGGGATTACAGACATGAGCCACTGCGCCCGGCCTGAACTCAAACGTTTAAATGTTTGAGGCACTTTACTTCGTCAGCAAGTTATTCAGATTTGAGAGGCTTGCTGGGTTTTAAATACTACTGGTTGATGGTACTTAGAGATTCTTCTCAGTAATTGCTGTTATCATGTTGCATGTTGTCCATCAGAGTTCTAATTGTTACACATACAACAGAAGAGGAATGGATTTTGGAGAAATGAAGTAATACAGAATAGAGAGTCACCATGCCCTCCGGAGAGAAATTAATACTTGCTTAATTCAGAGGAACTCTCCACCATTACTGAATGGCTTTTGAGAGTCTGTATATATATATATATTTATATATATATATATTTTTTTTGGTCAAAGTTGCCTTTTTCCTAGTTGTGCCAAGTGAATACGCATTATTTTCTTTTTCCTTTTTTTTTTTTTTTGAGACAGATTCTCGCTCTTGTTGCCCAGGCTAGAGTGCAGTGGCACGATCTCAGGTCACCACAACTTCCACCTCCTGGGTTCGGGCAATTCTTCTGCCTCAGCCTCGCTAGTAGCTGGGATCACAGGCATGCACCACCACGCCTGGCTAATTGTGTATTTTTAGTAGAGACAGGGTTTCTCCATGTTGGTCAGGCTGGTCTGGAACTCCCGACTTCAGGTGATCCACTCACCTCAGCCTCCCAAAGTGCTGGGATTACAGGCGTGAGCCACCGCGCCCGGCCAATATGCATTATTTTCATTTCATGCAAGGACATTGTAGTGCATTATCTGGAATGCAAATTTTAAAATCTGGTTAAGGCATCCTTATGGTATAGCAGTTATTTAAAATTTAGTATCCATAAAAATCACTGGGAGATCTTTTTAAAATTAGGTTCTGGTAGAACTCCAGGATGTACCCCACAGTGAATCAGTCTCTGAATGGGTGGATTTTGATACAGATGGTCTAAGGATCAAAACTGTTGTTACCAAATGCAGCCATAAATAATAAGACTGCTGTGTGGCTTTAAGTAATTCAACTTAAAATTACATTTTTCTGTGTATACACAAAGTCAGTATTTAGAATAGCCTAATGGAATGAGTGACTATAAGCATGATTCATTTTTACATGTGTAAATTTTTTAGCATTCTTAATACTGTGATGTGGAGTGATTTAACTTGAAATTTATACTTAATAGGGTCATTAATTTGCCTACCAGAGAATTCTTCTGAGTCTGTAGACTCAGACGAAAGATTTTTCAGCTTTACAGTGGTGTGAAAGCAATAGCGCTCAGTAAAAACTATACTTCCAGTACCCATATAACTGTTTTGTTTTTCACTCTCAGTACCATAGTCAGTAAATTACAGGAGATATTCATCACTTTGTTATAAAATGGGCTTTGTGTTAGATGATTTTGCTTAACTGTAGGCTAATGTGTTTGGAGCACATTTAAGGTAAGGTAGGCTAGGCTAAGCTGTGGTGTTTGGTAGGTTAGGTGTATTAAAATGCATTTCCATGTAACAATATTTTCAACTGATGATGGTTTCATCAGGATATCTGCCTATGCAGATGGAAGCTCCACATTTACTCTTAGAACATGTAGGCTAGTATTTGAAAAGAGACTGAAAATACTAGTTAAGGTCTCTGGCTTATACTACATTATAATAATAAAATCATCACAGCCCACACTATAGTGGATAATTAGTTAGCTCAGTCTTTTGGAGAGAGCCAGAGACTTCTGCCAAGCATTTTACAACCATTATCTCTTTTAATTATCAAAATGACTTTATAAGGTAGTTGGCTGTTATTATTCCCATTTTCCAGTTAAGGGATACTAGGGATTACAGAGTATAAGTTACTTCTCCAGTGTCCCCTCATTAGTAAGTGGAAAGTGACATTTGAATCCAAGTCTAACTCCAGAGCGTCAGTAAGCTTTTTGGTTTGTGTTGTAACTACAAAAGTAACACATGCCTATTGTAAAAATAATGAAAATACAATTGAGGTGTATCATGCAGAAAGTAAAAGTGTTCTGTGATCTCGCTAGCAGAGATAACCATTGTTAGCCTTTTTTTTTTTTTTTTTTTTTTGAGACGGAGTCTCGCTCTGTCGCCCAGGCCGGACTGCGGACTGCAGTGGCGCAATCTCGGCTCACTGCAAGCTCCGCTTCCCGGGTTCACGCCATTCTCCTGCCTCAGCCTCCCGAGTAGCTGGGACTACAGGCGCCCGCCACCGCGCCCGGCTAATTTTTTGTATTTTTAGTAGAGACGGGGTTTCACCTTGTTAGCCAGGATGGTCTCGATCTCCTGACCTCGTGATCCACCCGCCTCGGCCTCCCAAAGTGCTGGGATTACAGGCGTGAGCCACTGCGCCCGGCCTAGCCTTTTTTTTTAAGCACATACTGATGTATTATTTTGCCTTACAGAAATAGGATAAACTATAATTTTTCTGCAGCTTTAAAAATTTGAGGAGAATGGCTTGAACCCGGGAGGTGGAGGTTGCTTTGAGCAGAGATCATACCACTGCACTCTAGCCTGGGCGACAGAGCAAGACTCCGTCTCAAAAAAAAAAAAAAATTGATATATCCTGGTATTTATGTAGATACTCCATACACAAGCTCATGGATATTGATCAAGGGTGTGGGTGTATATGTGTATGTTGCACATTGTATTTTGTCTCATTGTTTCAGTGAGATAAATCTGGGAAGTGGAATTGCTTGGTCAAGAGTATGTATTGGTCAGGCACAGTAGCTCACGCCTGTCACCCTGGAACTTTGGGAGGCCGAGGTGGGCGGATCACTTGAGGTTGGAGACCAGCCTGGCCAACATGGTGAAACCTCGTCTTTATTTGAAAATACAAACATTAAAAACACACACAAACACACAAAAAAAGAAAATTCAAAAATTAGGTGGTGGTGACACGCCTGGAATCCCAGCTACTTGGGAGGCTGAGGCAAGGAGAATCGCTTGAACGCAGGAGGTGGAGGTTACAGTGAGATGAGATCACACCACTGCATTCCAGCCTGGGCAACAGAGCGAGACTCTGTCTCAGAAAGAAAAAAGGAGCATGAGGCTGGGTATGGTGGTATGCATGTAATCCCAGCACTTTGGGAGGCCAAGGCTGGTGGATTGCCTGAAGTCAGGAGTTTGAGACCAGCCTGGCCAACCTAGTGAAAGCCCATCTCTACTAACAGTACAAAAATTAGCCAGGCATGGTGGTGCACGCCTATAGTCCCAGTTACTTGGGAGGCTGAGGCAGGGGAATTGCTGGAACTCAGGAGGCGGAGATTGCAGTGAGCTGAGATCGTGCCATTGCACTTCAGCCTGGGTGACAGAGCAAGACTCCATCTCAAAAAAAGGAGTATGTATTTACAAAAATTAGCCAGGTGTGGTGGCACACACCTGTAGTCCCAGCTACTTGGGAAGCTGAGGCGGGAGGATGGCCTGAGCCTGGGAGGTCAAGGCTGCAGTGAGCCAAGATGGCACCCACTGCACTCCAGACTGGGTGACAGAGCAAGACCCTGTCTCAAAAAAAAAAAGAGTATGTATTAATATTTCAAAATTGTCGGTCAGGGCCGGGCACGGTGGCTCATGCCTGTAATCCCAGCACTTTGGGAGGCTGAGGCAGGCGGATCACGAGGTCAGGAGATCGAGACCATCCTGGCTAACATGGTGAAACCATGTCTCTACTAAAAATACAAAAAAATAAGCCGGGTGTGGTGGTGGGCACCTATAGTCCCAGCCACTCGGGAGGCTGAGGCAGGAGAATGGCATGAACCTGGGAGACGGAGCTTGCAGCGAGCCAAGATTGCGTCACTACACCAGCCTGGGCGACAGAGCGAGACTCTGTCTCAAAAAAATAAATAAATAATTGTTGGTCGGGCGCGGTGGCTCACGGCCTGTAATCCCAGCACTTTGGGAGGCCAAGGCGGGTGGATCACGAGGTCAGGAGTTCAAGACCAGCCTGACCAACATGGTGAAACCCTGCCTCTACTAAAAATACAAAAGTTAGTCAGTCGTGGTGGTGGGGGCATGTAATCCCAGCTACTTGGGAGGCTGAGGCAGGAGAATGGCTTGAATCCAGGAGACAGAGGTTGTGGTGAGCCAAGATCGTGCCACTGCATTCCAGCCTGGGTGACAAAGCGAGACTCCATCTCAAAAAAAAAAAAAAAAAAGAAAAGATTGTCAAGGCCAGGTGTGGTGGCTCACCCCTGTAATCCCAGCACTTGGAAAGGCTGAGATGGGGAGGATCACGTGAGTCCAGGAGTTTGAGATCAGCTTGGGCAACATGGTGAGTCCTGGTCACCACACACACACACACACAAAAATTAGCCAGGCATGGTGGTGTGCACCTGTAGTCCCAGCTACTTGGGAGGCTAAGGCAGGAGGATGGCTTGAGCCAAGGAGTTTGAGGCTGAAGTGAACCATGATTGCTCCACTGCACTTCAGCCTGGGCAATAGAGCGAGACTCTGTCTCAAATAATAAAAGTAAATAGGCTGGGCGCAGTGGCTCACGCCTGTAATCCCAGCACTTTGGGAGGGCAAAGTGGGCGGATCACCTGAGGTCGGGAGTTCAAGACCATCCTGGGCAACATGGCGAAATCCTGTCTCTATTAAAAATAGAAAAATCAGCTGGTCATGGTTACAGGCACCTGTAATCCCAGCTACTTGGGAGGCTGAGGCAGGAGAATCGCTTGAACCCAGGAGGTGGAGGTTGCAGTGAGCGGAGATCACGCCACTGCACTCCAGCCTGAGGGATAGAGCAAGACTCTGTCTCCAAAAAATAAATAAAAATAAATAAAAGTTGTCAATAGATTACCAAAGAACTCACCAAAAAGATTGAGCTGAGCTCATTAATTCCTTGCTGTAGTGTGGGTTCTGTGGTGATTTTATTATTATAATGTAACACCAAGCCACATTGTCAGTTAGTAACTTCTCAAAATGTTGAGTCAGTGGACACCGGGTAGGGTAAAAAGTCTTTGTGCCTGGTGCGGTGGCTCATACCTGTAATCCCAGCACTTTGGGAGGCCAAGGCAGGCAGATCTGTTGAGCTTAGGAGTTTGAGACCAGCCTGGGCAGCATAGGGAGACCCCATCTCTACAAAAAAAAATGAGTAGGCTATGGTGGCTGGTGCCTGTAGTCCCCACTAAGGAGGCTGAGGTGAGAGGATCCCTTGAGCCCAGGAGGCGGAGGTTGCAGTAAACCAAGATCACGCCACTGCCCTCCAGCCTTTGCTACAGAGTGAGACCCTTTCTGAAAAATAAATAAATAAATAAAAGTGTGTTTACTCAAAGTATTGCAGATTGGATTTTATAAATATTTTTAAAATTTGCCAATTAGTATATGAAAACTCTGATTGTTTTAATTTGCATTTCTTTTCATATGTTTTAAATAGAGTAACATTTAAAATTTCTTTTGAAGGCTGGGTGCAGTGGCTCATGCCTGTAATCCCAGCACTTTGGGAGGCTGAGGTGGGAGTTTGAGACCAGCCTGGCCAACATGGCGAAACCCCATCTCTACTAAAAATGCAAAAGTTAGCCAGGCTTGGTGGCGCGCACCTGTAGTCCCAGCTACTTGGGAGGTCGAGGCAGGAGAATTGCTTGATCCTAGGAGGCGGAGGTTGCAGTGACCTGAGATCGTGACACTGCAGTCCAGCCTGGGCGACAGAGCTAGATGCTGTCTCAAAAAATAAATAAATAAATAAATAAATAAATAAATAAATAAATTTTGAGTGATTATTACATGTCGGGCTCTATCCAGAGCACTTAATGTATGTTATATATGTTGTCTAATTTAATCCTCAGTGGATCTTATAAGGTAGATATTCTCATTTTACAGATGAGAAAACTGGAGCTTGTTTCACAACTTTGCCCACAACTGTAGCTGTAAGTGTGAGGGGCCTGCCTCTAGAGACCATGAAGATTCAACACTAAGCTATACTGGACTGTTGTCATGTATTTTATTTTCTGTGAATTTTGGGAAGAAGAGAGTTAAATGGAAGAAAGAAAAAAAATCTTGCAAATACCTTTAGGATAGTAGTTTTTTTGGATACAGTAGACATTGTTTGAAATGAATGATTAAAGCTGTACTTACCTTTCTTAAAATTCACTGCTTGGGATGGGCTGGTAACAGTTTCGAGGTTACTCTCATTAGGCTTCAGTGTTAAGTACACTATACCCCATTTTCTTGGGAAGTGAACAGCAACATCTACTCTGTTAAAATCATTATACATTGTGTCTGCTTTCAGATTTCTTCCTTTTAGTAATTAGTGTTGTGTATGTGTTAGATTTTTTTTTGTCTTTACTGAAACACACCCTTTGGAATTCCTTTAGCGAATATGCTCTTTTGGGTGGATAACCTAATAAGCTTTCCTCTTTGAGTTTTCTGTTTTTTTACTCAGCACAGCCATGGAAGTAGGGATTTAATTTTCTGTCAAACTCTGCATCTCACAAAGCAATAGTTACTCAAAACACGACTTTCAAGAAGGTTATTCTTTTTAAGCTTTCAGCAGATGAGCTGAGTAGCAGCAGGAAAGCAGGTATTGAGAACTGTCTTGGTTTTTGTACTGCTGTTGAGTAGTAACATTGCAGCTGTCTTAAATCCTGAATGACACAGAAGCTTATGGCTGGTCGTACTACATAGCACCTTGAAAGTGACAGGGCTTTTCATTTCTATCTGATTTCTGTTTTTCAAAAATAAAACTCCTTATTCTTTTCCTATCATTGTAAATATTCTTCAGCTTCCTATCACTAATACATAGTCTCGGCATTAGAGACCAGTTAAAATAAATAGGCTGAGGAAAATCTTGATAGTAGGAGAGATTTTGGAGCATTCATTAAAAGTAAAAATAGGGCTGGGCGTGGTGGCTCACTCTCCCCTGTATTCCTAGCACTTTGGGAGGCCGAGGCAGGCAGATTGCTTGAGGCCAGGAGTTTGAGACCAGCCTGGGTCTTAAAAGGTAGATATTATTCTCATTTTACAGATGACGAAACTGGAGCTTGTTTGAAAAGTTTGCCCAAAATTGTAGCAGTTAGCGTGAGGGGCCTGCCTCTAGAGACCATGCAAATTCAACACTAAGCTATACTGGACTGGTCTCACATAGTGAGACCCTGTCTCTACAAAAAATAGAAAAAGTAGCCGGGCATAGTGGCCCACACCTGTAGTTCCAGCTACTTGGGAAGCTGAGGCATGAGGATTACTTGAGCCAAGGAGATCAAGGATGCAGTAAGCCATGACCATGCCACTGCACTCGTGCCTGGACAACAGTGCAAGACCCTGTCTCAAAAAAAAAGAGAAAAGAAAAAGTAAAAGTAGATACACAGGGAACTAGGCAAGTAAAAAATAGAACATTAAGCAGTTGCTAATGCTGGGAAAAATCTAAGGATTGTACAAAAAAGTATGATTGGGTCAGGCACAGCGGCCGATGCCTGTAATCCCAGCACTTGGGGAGGCCAAAGTGGGCGGATCACTTGAGGCCAGGAGTTCAAGACCAGCCTGGCCAACATGGTGAAATCCCGTCTCTACTAAAAATATAAAAAGTAGCCAGGCTTGTTGGCACATGCCTGTAGTCCCAGCTACAGGCCGAGGTAGGAGGATCGCTTGAACCTGGGAGGTGGAGGTTGCAATGAGCCGAGATCATGCCACTGCACTCTAGCCTGGGCAATCTTAGAGAACTCTATCTCAAAAAAGAAAAAAAAAAAAACACAAAAAGTATGATTGGTTTTAGTGCATTATTTAAATTATCAGTGAGTAGTATTTCATAACATACTACTGATTAAACCAGAATATGTGATATTACTGGTATAGGTCGGGGGAAACTAAATCTTCACCTTTCAGGCAATAGATAATGGCTGGAATAAACTGAGAAAGCAGTAAAAGCACATTCTTTAGAAATACTCTATCCATTTTGTGCATTGACCACAAGATTTAAAAAAAGAAAAATAAGTAAATACAAAGAGAAAGCAAAAAACAAAATCGAGAGTGATCGCCTGTGGGTGTTGGTAGGGAGCTGCTCTTTTTCATAAGCCTTTTAATACTCTGACTTTTAAAATTATGTACACGGATTAGTTTGATCAAAGTAACTACAGAGAGTGTAAGTGAAGGGCATTTAAGGATACACAAGTATAAATATTCGCAGATCAACCTCTGTATTTTTTAATATTTGCTGGGACTCTTTCTTTACTTTCCCTGTTACAGCCAGCGCCACATGGAATATCTTAGGTATGGCCTGAAGGAATAAACATTGGTTTGGTTTATTAGTTACCTGCAGCAGAATGTTTGGCTTTCAGAATTTGACTGAAGGACTCATTGTCAGACGATTTATTTTCTTTTTGATAATACTTATCTTGGTCTAATCTTAATATTCCCCACTGCTTTACTACTTGGTCCATTTGCAGCTATGCTTGATTAGTGCCCCAATTGTCAACTTTAGAACAAAGGAATAATAATCACTTGTGCCCCTCAAATGAGCTGCTGGGTTGTAATTATCCAAGAAAGGTGTCACTATAAATAATCTGTCCCAGTTCTGTTGTTTTCTGCTTTTGTTTAGCAAGTATGAAAACAGTGACCGAGCTAACCAGAACGGGGCTTTATTTTTATTTAGTTATCCACAGATCTAGGTTGTGTCCTATATTCATGGCTGGAGACGCTTCACTACACCGTTCATTGTACTACTGCCAGTTCCTCATCGTCTGATACAGTATCTCAGGGTTCTCACAGAATCTTTTACCTGCAAAATGCAGTTTGCATCAGTTTTATACTCTGCTTGCTCTAAGAAGCTGTGCACAGGGTGACTGTGAGAGAGACTTCTCTTTGACCTTCTGCGGGCACCATCTCCCTGCACTTTCTTTCCCAAACAAGATACTTGGCAGCTCAGATTCTGAAAAAGGGATTCCTTTCAAGTGTAGATTAGGACTTCAGCTCTGCTCCTTAGGTTAGTTAGAAATAATGTGGAGCTATTTCTGGAGTGCTGAGCCTTGGTCATTTATTTCATTCCTGGTGGGGACCCCAGAGTCTTGGGGATCTGCCGGGGAAAGGGAGCCTTATGCAAGAGCGTCATCCCCACCATTTCCACTGGTACACAGCTTGGAGCTGTGATCTTTCTCTGGTTACCTGAGCTTGCCGATCACAACATGGAAGTGCAGGGGGAAAGCCGCCGGTGCTTGTAGCAGTAAATGGATTGAAAAAGCAGTTCCTACATTTACTTTCTCCTGCTCTCCTGGGAGCAGATCATGGTTTAGTTTCGAGAAGAGTGCAGCAGCTCGAGACCAAAGAGTTTTGCTTTGCTTGCTCTTGACTGTGCAGTAGGGAAGCCAGCATTCTCAGAAGACCAGAAAGGATGGCGGTGGGGAAGGGAGGGAGACAGGCCTGTTTAACCGAGAAGAGACAGGTGCCATCCCCAGGGTGAGGCCTTCCTTTCAGTGGACCGTATTTGGTGCTGGAGAAGAGCCTGTGAGGAGTAAAGGAGGAAAGGCGGAGACTGAGTGGGACTCCAGCCGGTTCCTGCACGCAGTGCACACCCAGCGGGAAGGAAGAGGAAGTGTGTTCAGGAATAGCTCAGGCAGCTGTGCCATTGGCCGGCAGGCCTGTCAGTCGCCTGGGGGCCGAGGCTGAAAAGAGGAAGAAGTCGGCGGGGGGGGGCTGTTGCCTGGAAGGGAGGGAGGAGGGCTGAGCCAGGCCGAGCCAGGGGGCGTGGGGGCTGGGACAGCAGGCCGATTGGCAGGGCGGGGTTGCCTTCAATCCTGGCCACTGCTCTTAATCGTCCCTCTCCTGCTTCAGGGTGGCATTGTGTGTCCCAGAGTGCCGGAGCGAGTCCCAGAAGAGAGGCGAGGCTAAGCCCAGAGCGCTGGGTTGCTTCAGCAGGGAAGACTCCCTTCCCCCTGCTTCAGGCTGCTGAGCACTGAGCAGCGCTCAGAATGGAAGCCATCGCCAAATATGACTTCAAAGCTACTGCAGACGACGAGCTGAGCTTCAAAAGGGGGGACATCCTCAAGGTAAGTGCTGATGCCGAGCACAATGCTGAGATCGCTCTCCCTGTGCTCACCCACCTTCTTTCGCCCTGATTACACACAAAGAAGCTGTGTTTTTCATTGTACACTTTTAACATTTACCATCATATTTGTTCTGGAGAGCTTTAGATGCTGAGTAGAATATTAAATATGACTTAAGTGAGTTGGTGTGATGTGTGGTGTTTAACTGCCTTTGTGTGAATGCCTCATTTGTCTGTTGATACTGGTAATATTTCAAGTAAAGTCAAAGTAATGTGATTGTAGAAAGGAAGTATATGAGTAGATTGATTTGCCCTGTAGAGTTTTATTTTAAAAATAGCATTTTTTAAAAAGACCCAGACCTGAAGTATTTATGTAAAAGCATTCAGTTAGTCTTACTTTGTATAGCCAAAGGATTTTGCGTTCTGGAATATGATTTTGGTAGGTTAGAAATTAATTTTCCCAGTTTAGAGAGGTTGTTAGAAGTACATACCAAAACTCATTAAAGAACTTCAGTGTATTTTTATTCTTTGTGAAAAAACAAATGGAGTTCTAAATAATAAGGTGCAACCTGCTATTGTACAAGTCAGATTTCGACTTTCTTAAAAGAAACTTGAGGAGCAATTACCCCATATTAAACTCTAATTGCACGAAAAGAAACCTGCTGACAGTTTAAAAATCAGCTTCTATACCATGTGCAGCTTATTTTGAGCCCCACTATTTATGTGAGGATTCGCTCTCCCCCAGCACATGTTAATTATGTTGTTTACCCAATTGACTGTAGCAGTTTGCTCTTTTGGATGTGTAATTTATTTTAACGAGGATGAGTGTTATCAAAGAGTATGTTAACTTTAAAGGAGGAAAGGCTGAAGCTTCATGTTTGAGTGTTCCCTGTGTCTCAAGTTTTGACATTTTTCCTTCTGAGCCTTAGACTGATTGTTGGAATTTGCTACCTCATTTGTTTACTACCCCTGAATGAAATTCTTAGAATTTTATGAAGAGAAAGCAAGTGGAGATGTAGAAATATGGTTCTTTATAAAAGGACGTGCAGTCTTTTTACTTTTAAGTTATGTGGACTTATTGATAGTCTTTATTTTGCCCTCATTGCCCAAGGCGTAGAGTTCTACTCTGAAGTTAACTGCCCAGTAATTTCTTAATGTTAGAAATGTAGGTTGAGCCTCATAGAAGATGATGCTGCAGAGCCCTTTAAAGAGAAGAAAACTTTGTGTCTGTGTGTTCATTTCAAAGCTGTGTTTGTGACACCACACTTTTCGAGGGTATTCTCAAAGTCAACACTAAATTGTCAGAAAGCAGACGGAACCATTTTCTAGAAACTAGGTTTCTATTTTCTTGAACTAGAGAAAATATGCCCAGCTAGAGATCAGGGCAAAGTTAACTTAGACTACAAAATTCCTCAGTTTTCATTGGTGTATGGGAGAGGTAATTTGATGTTTCTGTAGGTGATTACTGTTTTCTGTAGATAACCCACTTGTGATGGTATAAGATGGGCTACTCAAATGCCCACATCTATAGCCTGTACAAAAGCCCTTTTGGGCTAGTATTTTTTGTTTTTGATACAAACTTAGATTTTTTCATAAGTTTATCTTAGAAACTTGAACCTAGAAGGCTGGTGGTTCATATTTTTCTCTAAATCTGTCCCATTGCACATTAAGCACTGAAGCAACAAATTAAAACAAAACTAGGGGCATGCGGTCTCTTTTTAAGAATTTTTTTTTTTTTTTTTTTTTTGAGATGGAGTCTCGCTCTGTCACCCAGGCTGGAGTGCGGTGGTACAATCTGGGCTCACCGCAAGCTCCACCTCCCAGGTTCATGCCATTCTCCTGCCTCAGCCTCCCGAGTAGCCGGGACTACAGGCGCCCGCCACCACGCCCGGCTAATTTTTTGAATTTTTAGTGGAGATGGGATTTCACCATGTTAGCCAGGATGATCTCAATCTCCTGACCTCGTGATCTGCCCACCTCGGCCTCCCAAAGTGCTGGGATTACAGGCGTGAGCTACTGCACCCAGCCTTTTTTTAAAATTTTTAAACAAGAACTTTCCCTGATTTCTGTCTTTGAAGTTTGTCCTAGACCTAGACCATGAACATTTTATAAATTCTTTAACTTAAATTAGTAAATTCTGGAGCAAGTGTAAAAACCTTCTTTCCCATCCTATTATTAGGGAAGAAGATCCTGTTTAACAGTCCCTCAGAAATTTTTATTATGGAGGAGAAAGTAAATCAGAATACTCACATTCACTTTTAGATTTTCTTTGAGGAGAGAGAAAAATACATATATGTGGTTCTTTTCAATTTGGTAGATAACTGAGATATGAAGTCATAATGCCATTATTGCTTTTGAACGGTGGCCATTAGCTGTTTGTTGGTAATGTTGTGGCTTTACTCCAAAAGAAAAAAAAAAGAGTGACGATACAGTAGTTGCCCTTTGTCTCATAACTGTGTGAAATGGCTGGGTGAAGAGGAGGAACATGCTTTCTTAAAAGCTGTTAGTTAAAAAAACGGAGTTTTCCTCATTTGATTCTTCAAGAAGTAAACTGGCTTCATTTGAATTGCTTTGATTTGGGACGTCTTGAGGGTATTAGTTGTAAGCCAAAACATGTTTTAAAAGTTGCTGGAATAGCATTGAACAATTTAACTTTCATTGAAATAGGCATATATATGCCTTCTCTTGATAAAGGAGACGTGCATATGGATATTGAATAAGTTTCATTTCAAGATAATGAAATAGGCACTTAGCCTTCATCCTCTGTCTATAGTTCAGAAGGATCACATCTTCTCCTGTCTTGGAGTTCCTGGTTAACTTTTAGTTAAAAATGGTGACTCCTCTCCTCCAGCAGACCCCTTCCCTACTTTCTGTCTACACATTGACCTGTTACTGTCCAGAGAAAAAGAGGAAAAAATAAAAGCATTTTACTGGAAGCCTAAAATAGAGTTGAATGGTTCAATATGTCTGCCTTTGTTTCTCTCTCTTATAAAAGCTTGTGTTTTTCTTGGCTCGGGGAGGGAGAGGACACTGGGATGTAAAATAGAAGGAATTGCCCTTCCACTGCAGGTTTCAGGCCTGGTGTGGTTGGAATACATCAGAATTCCTCCCACCATTGTAGGGCAGGCTTGAGACAGTCCCAGAGGTTCTCCACTGACAAGACCCCTAAATAGTCTACACTAGAGCACATAAAACTTACCTAGGAGTTGCAACTGCCATTTAGGGGCTTATGTATACATACTTCAAACTGTGCTTATAGGAATTAAGAGACCCATTTTGAGCTCTCAGATCTGTGCTCATTCCATTCTAGAGCCAGCCTCTTGCTTTCTTCAGCTCTAGTGGAGAGCCAGCCTGGATCATCTAGGTGTATTCTACCCTCTCTGGCACTAACTACCTTTACCAGTTTCTTAAACTACTTTAAAAACAGGTCTTGAGTTCACATTGAGATCTTCAAAGCATTCTGTCTCAGCACTGCCTGGCCTATTTCAGTGTCACACTGACTGAGCATCTCTTGAGCCAGATACTGGGATAAGTTGCTTTGAGAGTTGGGAGAGAAATATAAGATGTACTTTCTCCCTTCAGAAGCTCCAAAATCTCAAGTAAGAGAATTGAGATTAATATGTGAAACAGTACAAGATGGTATATAAAAATTTTTTTAGAACAGGAAAAGATCTTTTAAAATTTATTTTTATTTATTTTTTTATTTTTTTGAGATGGAGTCTCGCTCTGTCACCCAGGCTGGAGTGCAGTGGCGCGATCTCGGCTCACTGCAAGCTCTGCCTCCCGGGTTCACGCCATTCTCCTGCCTCAGCCTCCCAGTAGCTGGGACTACAGGCACCCACCAGCACGCCCGGCTAATTTTTTGTATTTTTAGTAGAGACGGGGTTTCACCATGTTAGCCAGGATGGTCTCGATCTCCTGACCTGGTGATCCGCCCGTCTCGGCCTCCCAAAGTGCTGGGATTACAGGCGTGAGCCACCGCGCCCGGCAAGATCTTTTAAAATTTCTTAAGTTAGACTTACTCTTTTACAGATGAGGAAATGGTGGCCCATATAGGTTAAATGATCTATCCAAGATCACACAACTATCATTCTTGGTAGTGATTTGTAGTAGTGATTCTTAGTAGTATTTGATGGTATACTTGAGTCGGGTTGCACACTGTAACTGCTAGAGTCGTTCAGGAAGGATGAAACTGGCAAGCGCTGACATCAGTCAGGTGTGTGCAGAGTTGTGACTTGAACCTTGTAGGAGAACAGGACGTGTAGGTTAAGAGAAGGAGGACATTTCAAGGGAGACGAAACTTGTGCTTGTTGTGTTTGAGATAGGAAGGCTGGAATAAGAATCTAGACTGACATAGTGGAAAATAAGGTAGAGTTGGAGCGAGGTGAGAAAAGCCCAGTAAGAGTTTGATCTGGTCCTTAAGAAGCCTCGGAAGGTTTTTAGCGATGAAGAGCATTGTGTGTGTGTGTATAAAGAATTGCAAGGGGGCAAGGCTGGGGCCCCAAGCCTGGATGGTGGCAAGTAATCGGGTTGTGTGTCAAGTGTCTGTATCAACCTGGGATACTAGAAATGAAGGAGGGGAGTGGTTTGAAAGATACTGAAAGCAAGAATCATGGGATTTCTGCCTGTCAGATAGGGGCATTTTAATAAGTCTCCTAAGAAAGGAATGCCCTTTGATTATGATCCTCAATGGAGAAGATCAGTGGAGAGCCAATCCCTAGTTTGGTTGGTTAGAGTTTTCACAAGTTATAAGTCCTGAGTTTCAGTGCACAAGTCCCATTTCAGGGGTTCAAATTACCTAATCTAAATAAAAAGCCAGGCATGCTCGTGCAAGCCTGAAGGCCCCACCTGCTCATGAAGCTGAGAGAGGAAGATTGCTTGAGCCCAGGAGTTGGAGCCCAACCTGGGCAACAAAGCGAGACCCCATCTCCAAATTAAAAAAAAAAAAAAGTGTTTTTCTTCCCCCCCCCCACTATTTTAAAGTCCTAGTATCAGTATACTCTGTAGAACCATTTATTTTTTCCTCCCAAAGTGCTGGGATTACAGGTGTGAGCCATTGCACCCAGCCTTTGCCTTTTGGTAAGAATTCTTATCAATCTTGTTGACTAAACCAGAATATTGCATTTAATCTTTAAGAAGGAGGTTAGTTTGTGGTCAGGCGTGGTGGCTCACGCCTGAATCCCAACACTTTGGGGAGGCCGAGGCGCATGGATCATTTGAGGTCAGGAGTTCGAGACCAGCCTGGCCAACATGGTGAAACCCCATCTCTACTAAAAATACAAAAAACAGCCGGGCCCGGTGGTGCGCGTGCGTACCTGTAATCCCAGCTACTCGGGAGGCTGAGGGAGGAGAATCGCTTGAACCCGGGATGTGGAGGTTCCAGTGAGCCAAGATTGTGCCATTCCACTCCAGCCTGGGCAACCGAGAGAGACTCCATCTCAAAAAAACAAAAACAAAAAAGGAAGGGAGCAGTTTGTTGTTTGAGTGCTCTTAAAGCAAATAATCTGCTTGCTTTTTATTATATTCATTTTGTCAGCTGAATGGACTATTTCCAAATAGGTGCTGAGAATGAACTTTCATTTCCTATAAAAGATTCTTTTTGGGAGACTGGCTGAAGATGATTCTTCCTCCTGTTTGGAGAAAGAAATGAGTAAGGAAATGTAGTATTCCTTCAGAATCTTTCAGTTTCACCTCTAAACCATATGGTAGAATTGCTTCTAAGTTGTTGGGTTTGTTTTTTTGTTTTGTTTTTTTTTTTAGGCGAAGTCTCACTCTGTCGCCCAGGCTGGAGTGCAATCGCACGATCTTGGCTTGCTGCAACCTCCACCTCCTGAGTTCAAGTGATCGTCCTGTCTCAGCCTCCCGAGTAGATGGGATTATAGGCGCCCGCCACCACACCTGGCTAATTTTTTGTATTTTTAATAGAGATGTGGTTTTATCATGTTGGCCAGGCTGGTCTTAAACTCCTGACCTCAAATGATCCACCTGCCTCGGCCTCCCAAAGTGCTGGGATTACAGGTGTGAGCCACCATGCCCAGCCTACTAAATTATAGATCATTTCTAATCTTGAATGCTGAAATATTGACTTTTTTTTTTTTTTTTTAAGACAGAGTCTCCCCCTGTCACCAAGGCTGGAATGCAGAGGTGCCATCATAGCTCACTGCAACCTCTGCCTCCCAGGCTCAAACGATCCTCCCACCTCAGCCTATAGCTGGGACTACAGGCACGTGCTACCACACCCTGCTAATTTTTGTACTTTTAGTAGAGGTGAGTTTCACCATGTTGGCCAGGTTAGTCTCGAACTCCTGGCCTCAAAATATCTACCCACCTTGGCTAGGATTACAGGCTTGAGCCACCGTCCTGGGCAAGATTGGCACTCTTTTTTTTTTTGAGATGGAGTCTCGCTCTGTCCCTCAGGCTGGATGGAGTGCAGTGGTGGGATCTCAGCTCACTGCAAGCTCCGCCTCCTGGGTTCATGCCATTCTCCTACCTCAGCCTCCCGATTAGTTGGGACTACAGGCACCCGCCACCACACCCAGCTAATTTTTGTGTGTGTGTGTTTTTAGTTAGCCAGGATGGTCTCTATCCTCTGACCTCGTGATCTGCCCCTCTCAGCCTCCCAAAGTGCTGGGGTTACAGGCGTGAGCCACCGCGCCTGGCCAAGATCGGCATTCTTAACCCCATTTTATGGGTGCAGAAACAGGCTCAAAGCTTAAGAAACTTGCTCAGATTCACACATCTAGCAAGTGACAGAGGTGAAGTTTGATCTTAGGTCTTGCTGTGGTGTACTGGGTGTACCCATCACAATACATGGATACCCCTCTTAACTGTCCAGGTATGAGTAGACCAGAAATGTTAGGGTATCAGTAGTCTTGCTTTGTTCAGCTGCCTGGCATTGCTTCCATGAGTGATTTATTGGACTTCCTGTCTAGAGTAAGTTTGTCATTTTGTATGTCAGATTACCAAAGATAACAAAGATTGACCCCATCCTTTGCTGGCTACAGTGTGAAGAAATGGTTACCACTTTCCCATGTCTCTGGAGATTTTTACCAATATTGTCTTTCTCACTGGTGGCTTGGTAATAGGTATCAGAACATAAAATGATCCAGCAAGTAACATTTTAAGAATTTGTTCTAAGGCCAAGCGCAGTGGCTCATGCCTATAATCCCAGCACTTTGGGAGGCCAAAGCGGGTAGATCACTTGAGGTCAGAGTTTGCGACCAGCCCGGCCAACATGGTGAAATCCCGTTTCTACTAAAAATACACAAATTAGCTGGGCGTGGTGGTGTGTGCCTCTAGTCCCAGCTACTCAGGAGGCTGAGGCATGAGAATCGCTTGAACTCGGGAGGCAGAGGTTGCAGTGAGCCGAGATCATGCCACTGCACTCCAGCCTGGGCGACAGAGTGAGACTCCGTCTCCAAAAAAAAAAAGAATTTATTCTAAGAAACTCATAAACAAGTTTTTTAAAGATGTAGACATAAGGATGTTTATTTCAATTATGTATATACCACCTAGAAAAATTTTTTTCTGCCAATACTGTCAATTGTAAGATGCATTTTAGAGATGTTAAAACACATAAAAGTGGCATGCACCTTCCAGTTCATGAAATTGCCATACAAGCCAAAAAGCAAAACCAATTAGTGGGGTTTACAGAGGTAGATTATGGCACCTATTAAGTGGCAATGAAGGTGTTAACGTTGATCTGTATCAACACAGAATAATGCCTACACTTGCACAGAGAAACGTTTAAATGGATCCTGTTTTAATAAGTAATAATATAACTAACATATTAAATACTTAGCATGCCTTTGCTCTAAGCTAAGTATTCAACTTCCCTTCTCTTTTAATCTCACGCAAATCTTGTAAAGGCAGATGCTGTTATCCCCATTTTACTGACAAAAAATCTGAGGCTTAATTTGCCCAAATTCACAAGTTAGGATTCAGATCCAATCTGGTTTAGTCCTGATTTTATGTTCTTTTGTTCTTTTCCCTTTTTTTATTTTTATTTTTTATTTTCGAGATGGAGTTTCACTCTTGTTGCTCAGGCTGGAGTGCAATGGCACAATCTCAGCTCACTGCAACCTCCACTTCCGTGGTTCAAGTGATTCTCCTGCCTCAGCCTCCTGAGTAGCTGGGATTACAAGCATCTACCACCATGCCCAGCTAATTTTTGTATTTTTAGTAGAGACAGTGTTTCACCATGTTGGCCGGGCTGGTCTCAAAATCCTGAACGCAGGTAATATGCCTGCCTCAGCCTCCCAAAGTGTTGGGATTATAGAAGTGAGCCACCACGGTCAGCCTTATTTTCATTTTTGAAACAGGGTCTTGCTCTGTCACCCAGGCTGGGATGCGGTGGCATGATCTTGACTCATTGCAACCTTGACCTCTCAGTCTCAAGGAATCCTCCTACTTCAGCCTCCTGAATAGGTGGGACTACAGCTGTGCACTACCACACCTGGATAATTTAAGGGTTTTTTTGTTTGTTTGTTTGTTTGCTTTTTTTTTTTTTTTTTTTTTTTTTTTTTGGTAGAGCCAGGAGGTCTCACTGTTGCCCACGCTGGTCTCGAACTCCTGGGCTCAAGCGATCCGCCTGCCTCCCAAAGTGCTGGGATTACCGACATGAGCTACCGCGCCCGGCCTCTGTAAATAAAGCCTTTCTATACACAAATGAGGTCAAACTAGAGAGAGAGGCCATTTAGGAAAAATTGCTGTCTTTTCCTCTTTTTTTATCATATACATAGATCTCTTTCTGAATGGTCTCCCAAGGAGTAATTGTTGTCTCCAAGTAACTGAATTTCAGGTGACTTTTACTCTTCATACTCTTGAATTAGTTACCATATGTATCAGTTTTATTATTTATTTTATTTTATGTTATGTTATGTTATTTTGAGACAAGAGTCTCTGTTGCCCAGGCTGGAGTACAGTGGTGTGATCTCACCTCACTGCAACCTCCACCTCCCGGGTTCAAGCGATTCTCCTGCCTTAGCCTCTTGAGTAGCTGGGATTATAGGCATGTGCCACCACGCCCGGCTTATTTTTTGTATTTTTAGTAGAGACAGGGTTTCACCATGTCGGCCAGGCTGGTCTCAAACTCCCGACCTCAGGCGATCCACCCGCCTTGGCCTCCCAAAGTGCTGGGATTACAGGGGTGAGCCACCATGCCCAGCTATCAGTTTTATTAAAAGAAAAAAGTTACATTCAGATAGTAAGCAGTTTACATTCTGCATCTAGTTTACCTTGAAGGATATTCTAGGAAGGTGAAGTGCTCTGCTGAGGAGTGGTTTTGTTTCTTAAGCGTTGAGATTTAACCTGATTTTAAATCTTAGGCTGAAGTTCACTGTGACTGTGCTCAGGATCATAAAACTTTGAGACATTTGAAAAACTGACCCAAAATGACTTTTTGAGGAAAACCTTCGTCCTTTTGGCAGCTACTCCCTTAATTTTACCTCCTTCTGGATGTGGAATGAGAGACATCTGAAGTATTGTAAAGAATACTGGCTCTAGGCGAGACCTGCCTGCTTGGAATCCTAGCTCTGTCACAGACAGATCGGGCATTGCGATCTTGGGCAATTTACGGGATGGCTTTGTGTTTTGGTTCTGACATCTGTAAAATGGGAACAATAGTTTCCTACCTTCCTGGGGTCATAGTGAAGACTAAAAGAGCCAATATGTTGGTGTTTTTTGTTGTTGTTGTTTTCTTTTTGGGAAGGAGTCTCGCTCTGTCACCCAGGCTGTAGTGCAGTGTAGTGTAGTGGTGCTGTCTTGGCTGACTGCAACCTCTGCCTCCTGGGTTCAAGCGAATCTTCTGCCTCAGCCTCTTGAGTAGCTGGGACTACAGGAGCGTGCCACCACACCCAGCTAATTTTTGTATTTTTAGTAGAGACGGGCTTTCACCATATTGGCCGGGCTGGTCTCGAACTCCTGACCTTGTGATCCGCCTGCCTCAGCCTCCCAAAATGCTGGGATTACAGGCGTGAGCCACCCGCCCAGCCTATGTTGGTGTTTTTAAAGCAGTAACTAGCATAAAGTAGACAGTAATTGCTAGCTTTTAGTTTTATTAATGCTATTCAGTACACAGCATTGATAAGAGGTGATTAGTCCAGATCCCGGGTTCAGGAAACTATTGAGTCACATGACTCTACGCATAAAAGTGGCCAAAGGTTATCTGCTGTTACCTCAGACTCAGAACTGTTCCAGCCCTGTCCCAGAGCTCAGCTGAAAGCACAGTATTGATGGAGAGTTTTTCTCCATTCTTACACATCTATAGCAAATAGATGGATACCTATGCTGTGTCCTACTGGGGGCCTCTTTTGTAAGTTTCTGTAGTTTACCGAAGCTTTGGGATTGTGCAATTGGCTAACAGTAAGGAATGTTTGAAAAAACAGCCTTGGGAAAAACTCATAGTATTTACTTTAAGGATATTAAGGTCGATTTCAGTATCTCTAACTGCCCTCAGTGAGAAGCCATGGGTAAACATTCTCTCTAGTCTCAATAATGAGAATAGGCGTGTTTTTCCCAAACAACTTTTAAAAATCTTAAGGATGCCGGCTGGGCGCAGTGGCTCACGCCTGTAATCCCAGCACTTTGGGAGGCCGAGGCAGGCGGATCACGAGGTCAGGAGATCGAGACCATCCTGGCTAACATGGTGATAACCCCGTCTCTACTAAAAATACAAAAAATTAGCTGGGCGTGGTGGCAGGCGCCTGTAGTCCCAGCTACTCAGGAGGCTGAGGCAGGAGAATGGCGTGAACCCGGAAGGCTGAGCTTGCAGTGATCCCAGATAGTGCCACCGCACTCTAGCCTGGGCAACAGCACAAGACTCCGTCTAAAATAAATAAATAAATAAATAAAAATCTTAGGATGCCATAGATAATGCTTAGTATTTCCTTCTTTACTAGAAAGTTTAGCCCACCTTGGTCTGGTTTCTAGCAGTAGTTCTTTTACTTTCTGTCCTAACATTTTTATCAAAAGAACTACATATTGAGTATCCCTAATCCAAAGATCTGAAATCTGAAACTTTTTTGAGCGCCAGCATGGCACTCAAAGGAAGTGCCTGTTGGAGCATTTTGGATTTTGAGATTTAGGGATGCTGAACCTATATAAATGCAAATATTCCAAAATCCAGAAACCTTGAAATGCCTCTGGTCGCTTATTCAGTTAAGGGATATACAACCTGTATTAATTATTAGCAGTAACATAGTGAAAGTTTTTTTCTTCGTTTTAACAGTGGCTTTTATTTTCAACTAATTTATTCTTTAGTTTAATAGTGGACTTTTTATTCCTTTTTTTTTGAGACAAGGTCTCGATACATTACCCAGGACTTTTTTTTTTTGGAGACGGAGTCTTGCTCTGTCATCAGGCTGGAGTACAGTGGCGCGATCTCGGCTCACCACAACCTCTGCCTCCCGAGTTCAAGTGATTTTTCTGCCTCAGCCTTCCAAATAGCTGGGACTACAGGCACGTGCCTCCACGCCCAGCTTATTTTTATATTTTTAGTAGAGACGAGGTTTCACCATGTTGGCCAGGGTGATCTCGATCTCTTGACCCTGTGATCCACCCGCCTCAGCCTCCCAAAGTGCTGGGATTACAGGAACCCAGGACTTTTAAAATCTAGGTTTAACAAAATGGCAAAAGCCCTTGGTAACATTTTTCTTTTGAAAAATGCAAGAGCTTTTAGTTTAGTTATAAAGTGAGAAAAAATGTATTTTGGACCCTGAAACTGTAGGATTCACTGAGAACAAGAAAGGGGTATGTGTTTTTGGGAAGTGTTGATCATTTCATGTCATTATTTCATATATCTTTATTTTCTTTTTTTTTTTCTTTTTTTTTTTTTTGAGACGGAGTCTTGCACCATCACCCAGGCTGGAGTGCAGTGGCGTGATCTCAGCTCATTGCAACCTCTGCCTCCCGGGTTCAAGCAATTCTCCTGCCTCAGCCTCCTGAGTAGCTGGGATTACAGGTGCCCGCCACCATGCCTGGCTAATTTTTTTTTTATTTTTAGTAGAGACGAGGGTTTCACTATGTTGGCCAGGCTGGTCTCGAACTCCTGACCTCATGATCTGCCCGCCTCAGCCTCTCAAAGTGCTGGGATGAGCCACTGTACCCAGCCGTATCTTTATTTTCATACATAACTATGAAAAGGAGTTTGAAAAGGAATGCTGGGGAAAAAGAATAGATTATTTTATTAGCAGTATTTCCACTTCACTGTAACATTTAAATTACTTTAGCTTACATTAATAGATAGGAAAGTCAATAAGTCCCTCTATTCCAGTATTTTTACTATTTCAGATCTCTCTTAAGCATTGTCATTATGTATACATTTTTATAATCCTGTAATTGTAGTGAATTTAAAATGTTACCATTTTCCATATTAGTTTTACTAATTATTTTCAGTGGTTGTATAACATATCAAGTTAATGTTCTGTAATTGACTTAATTATTTCCCTATTGCTGTATATTTCACTTGTTTCTGTTAATAATTTAGTTCGTAATCTCAAGGGAGGTTTTGATATATGTATTGTCCTATTGTCTGAATGGCTGAACAAATGGTTACCTACTTAAGATGACCTTAAGTGAGAATGGCCCATAATCCCTAACCAGAATACATAATAATAGCACAGCTAATGTTTGCTTCATTCTCTAGTCTCCTTTAACAATAGAACATTATTTCAAAGTTTGACAGTGTTTTATAGGACTATGTTAACCAGATTTCTGAGATGATTAAACATCCTTCCCTCAGCATGTAAGATGCTTGACACAGTTTTTCCGCCGCACATTTTATTTTGTGCTATTTTTTAAGTGGTTAATTTCCTTTTTTTATAGCTTTGTCAGGTTAAATTAATAAGTGATTATGATAGAGAAATATGGCATGTATTCATAATTTAATTTGTCTTTGAGCTAAATGAATATTTTCTAGAGGAAGACCATCCATCTTAACTCATGCTTGGAACAAGATGGGAAGACAGACAAACCAGTCTTTGTTTAGTTTATGCTGCAAATGTTTAGCTTTAAGCCAGGAGGCTCTGCTGAGAGCTTTTGAGAAACAAGTATTGTAACTTAATGAAACATCCTTACTCACATATACTGCAATATAAAGAAAAAAGAAGAGTGTGATGTTGGGTAACAGTTGGTTTTCTCTGGATGTAGGGATTATGGAGAACTTTAACTTTCTATATGGTGCATTTCTATAATAGTTTTTTTTTTTTTTTACTACAAGCTATTAGTTTTGTAATCAGAAAAAGCAGTAAAAAACAAAAACACTACAGTAGTTTTCCAGATGTCAGTTTGCAGGTCAACAAATATTTTAGGGCCGTCTTGCTGTCTAATAAGGAAAGAAAAAATCACTGTGCACAGCTTCATGGAGCAAATTTGTTTCCTATTAAAACTCTTCTTGGTGTAGGCAGTACATCATCTTCCACCTGTATAAGGCTATTACATAGAAATTTTGTAGAATCTAATAAGATAAACTAGAAACATGACATGTTCAGCTGTTTTCTCTACGAATAAACAAATTGGCGCTAAAACTGGTCTTGCTATCTAGATTTCTAGTTATATCTCAGTTATCTTTTCCCCACATGGGATGTGAAAGTAATGTTATATGCTTTCTTATGTACGTACTTTTGACTTAGGTCAGTCTCCACACTGCATTAAAATTACTAATGAGACAAATTGCAGTTTTCCAGAGGTTCATGTTTCCATTTCTCCTTCCTTGGCTTTCCTGCATTTTTAGCTCCAGTCAAAATTCTATTTATTATGTATCAACTTTTATAAAATGCTTGGCTTTGAAAAGTATAATTAAAAGACAAAGATCTGAAATTAATAGTGGGTTTTTAGCTATCTATCATGCATTAAGAAATCAAGTGACCAGGTGTGGTGGCCTGTAATCCTAGCACTTTGGGAGGCTGAAGTGGGAGGACCACTTGAGCTCAGGAGTTCAAGACCAGCCTGGGCAACATAGCAAGACCCTGTCTCTACTAAAAATAAAAAAAATTAACCAGGTGTGGTGGTGCATGCCTGTAGTTCCAGCTACTTGGGACGCTAAGGTGGGAAGACTGCTTGAGCCCAGGAGGTGGAGACTACAATGAGCTATGTTTGCCCCACTGTACTCCAGCCTGGGTGACAGTGTGTGACCCTGTCTTTCTTTTTTTTTTTTTTAAGAAATCAAGTGTCTTCTTTATTTAATTCTTTTAAAATTTTTATTAGAATCATTTAATAGAAAAAGCATAAAATAAATTAGGTCATAATTCCCTCCTGATGCCCAGATAACAATTTTGAAATTAAATAAGCAAATAAATAAATGTCTCACTCATCATTAGAAAATTTATATGACAAACCTTCCCAAAGAAAATCACTATTCAGGTTTTCTATAACCTTTCAGAAAAAACGTTTAATGCATATAGCCATAGTTACTTTTATTGCAGTTCCTGGGTACCATAAAACATAACAATGAAACCATATTCAAAATTTTATAATGAAAGTAAGCAGGTACTTCATCTTTGGAGAGAAGAATGGCATTTCTGTTAAAGTGTACCTCTTTAGAAAGTGGCAGTAGCTCAGAGGATTTCTGTGCCAGGCTCTTAGAAAAGATACAATGATTAAGACTTTTCTCAAAATCATATTAAAGCTAATCAGAATAGATTGTGAACCGAAATTTGTGTGAATTTTCCAAAACATTGTGCTGAAGTAGTCCACGTCATATATCCCAGTGAATTTGTAACTAATGGCCTCATTTAATGCTAGAAGTGAGAACTGGTAGACCGTACAAGCCTTCCCTTAATTAATTGGTTCGTCTCCTTCTATACTTAGGTTACCAGTACAGAAGAACTAATACTGTAGTTGTTCGTAAACTTGGAGAAAGTCACACTGTATCTGCTCAGAGGCCTGTCCAATCTGCCATGTTTAAGCTTGTACTAGAACTACACCCACCTGAACAGTTGTTACCTTTAAAGTTCTTAGTAGTAATTTTCATATTTAGCTATGAGTTTGTTAGTGTTGTACGTTCATGTGTGAAATTTCTATATGTTTTTCTCTCACTTCATCCCTTCCCTGTTAGATATTAAAGGCCTGGCAAAAAGGACATGCCTCTCACCCGCATATCCTCAGGTGACCACATGAAAAATTATTCTTGTGTAACTTGCTTTTGGGTTTGGGTGTTTGTTTGTTTGTTTGTTTTTTGAGACAGTCTCACTCTGTTGCCCAGGCTGAAATGCGGTGGCGAGATCTCAGCTCACTACAACCTCCGCCCTCCTGTGATTCTCCTGCCTCAGCCTCCCAAGTAGCTAGGATTACAGCTGCCCACCACCACGCTCAGCTCATTTTTGTATTTTTAGTAGAGACGGTGTTTCACCATGTTGGTCAGGCTGGTCTCGAACTCCTGACTGCAGGTGATCCTCCCCCCCACCTCGGCCTCCCAAAGTGCTGGAATTACAGGCGTGAGCCACTGCACCTGGCCTGGGTTTGGGATTTATATTGTCAACTGAAACTAAGACTATTGAGGCAGAAATGATTTCATAAAGGTTTATTGGAAGGCCTGGCAAATGAGAATCGACCTGGGAAGACACACCAGCAGACTTGGGGGTTGTTCTGAAGTCTGTCACAAGGTGAAAGATGTTTTTGTTTTGCTGTTTGTTTCTTCGTGGGTTGTTTTCTTTTTTAGAGTCTTACTCTCTTGCCCAGGCTAGAGTGTAGTGTCATGATCTTGGCTCACTGCAACCTCTGCCTCCCGGGTTCAAGCAGTTCTACCACCTCAGCCTCCCTAGTAGCTGGGACTACAGGCGTGTGCCACCATACCCGGCTAATTTTTGTACTTTTAGTAGAGACAGGGTTTTGCCATGTTGGCCAGGCTGGTCTCTAACTCTTGACCTGAAGTGATCCACCTGCCTCAGCCTCCCAAAGTACTGGGATTACAGGCGTGAACTACCACACCCAGCCTTTTTTTTTTTTTTTTTTTTTTTTTTTCTGAGACAGGGTCTCGCTCTGTTGCCTGGGCTGGAGTGCAGCCTCAACTTCCTAGGCTCAAGCACTTCATCCACTTCAGCCTCCCGAGTAGCTGGGACAGCAGGTGAGCACCACCATGCCCAGCTAACTTTTTGTATTTTGTAGAAACAAGATCCCGCCATGTTGCCCAGGCTGATCTCGAACTCATGGCCTCAAGCAGTCCTCCTGCCTTGACCTCCCAAAGTGTTGGGATTACAGGCATGAACCACTCTGCCTGGCCACTTTTTGTTTGCAATAAACATGGGGTCTCATTCTGTCACCCCAGGCTGGAGTACGGTGGCCCCACCATAGTTCATTGCAGCCTCGAACTCCTGGGCTCAAGTGATCATCTCACCTCAGTCTCCTCAGTAGCTGGGACTACAGATGCGCACCACCACACCCTGTATTATATTTAAAAATGTAACTTTTAATATTTTTTTTTTGTAGCGGGGGGTCACTATGTTGCCCAGGCTGGTCTCGAGTGATCCTCCCATCTCAGCCTCCCAAGTAGCTCGGATTATAGATGTGAGTCACTGGGCCCAGCTATGAAGGTCTGTCTTTATGTTTTTGAGACAGGGTCTGGCTCTCTTACCCAGGCTGGAGTGCAGAGGTACAATCATGGCTCAGTACAGCCCCAACATTCCAGGCTCAGTTGATCCTCCCACCCTAGTCTCTGGAACTACAGGTATCCACCACCATGCCCAACTAGTTTTTGTTTGTTTGTTTGTTTTGTTTTGTTTTGTAGGGATGGAGTCTCATTATGTTGCCCAGGCTTGTCTCAAACTTCTGGGATTAAGGGATCCTCTCACCTTGGCCTCCCAAAGTGCTGGGATTACAGATTACAGGTGTAAGCCACCTTGCCTGGCCTGTGAAAGGTTTTTAGGAAAGTTTAAAAGAAGGAAGGGTACTCCTCCTCATACCAGAGTTGTCTTTTCATTGGATGGTACAATATGTAAGTTATAATCGTTGGTTACAAATTATGTTATACAGGCTAAAAATGTCTATGTGCAAGACAATCAGTAGAAGTTCATGCTTCACTAATCTTTTTTTTTTTTTTTTGAAACAGAGTCTCCCTCTGTTGCCCAGGCTGAAATGCAGCAGTGCAGTCTCAGCTCACTGCAGCCTCCACCTCCCGCATTCAAGAGATTTTCTTGCCTCAGCCTCCTGAGTAGCTGGGATTACAGGAGCATGCCACCAGGTCGGGTTAAAAAATTTTTTTTTTTTTTTTTTTTTTTGAGACAGAGTCTCTGTCTGTCACCCAGGCTGGAGTGCAGTGGCACAATCTCGGCTCACTGCAACGTCTGCCTCCCAGGTTCAAGCAATTCTCCTGCCTCAGCCTCCCAAGTAGCTGGGACTATATAGGCGCATGCCGACACGCCTGGCTGATTTCTTGTATTTCAATAGAGATGGGGTTTAACCGTGTTGCCTAGGCTGGTCTCAAACTCCTGAGCTCAGCCAATCCGCCTGCCTTGGCCTCCCAAAGTGCTGGGATTACAGGCGTGAGCCACTGCGCTCATGCAGGCCCCGGTAATTTTTTTTTTTTTTTTTTTTTTCTGAGACGGAGTCTTGCTCTGTCGCCCAGGCTGGAGTGCAGTGGCGCAATCTTGGCTCACTGCAACCTCTGCCTCCTGGGTTCACGCCATTCTCCTGCCTCAGCCTCCCGAGTAGCTGGGACTACAGGCGCCCACCACCACGCCCGGCTAAATTTTTGTATTTTTAGTAGATACAGGGTTTCACCGTGTTAGCCAGGATGGTCTCGATCTCCTGACCTCGTGATCCACCTGCCTCTGCCTCCCAAAGTGTTGGGATTACAGGCTTGAGCCACTGCGCCCGGCCAGTCCCCAGTACTTTTTGTATATTTGTAGAGACGAGGTTTCACCATATTTGCCAAGATGGTCTCAAACTCCTAGCCTCAGTTAATCTGCCTGCCTCGGCCTCCCAAAGTGTTGGGATTACAGGTGTGAGCCACTGTGCCCGGCTGATTTCTATTTTCATTGTAGTTGTAGAACATACTTTGTATGATTTTAATACTTTCAGATTTATTGGGGCTTGTTTTATGGCCTACCATCTGGTTTGTCCTGAGAATGTTCTCCTGTGCGCTTGAGATAGATTTTTATTCTGCTGTTGTTGGGTAGAGTCTTCTATAGATGTTGTTAGATCTATTGGTTAATTACTTTCTCTCTTTTTTTTTTCCTGAAGATTGTGTTCAAATGGATTTAACTACCATGAAATTCATCATAATTCATAATCAGCAATTACAGGAAAGAATAATGTGAGCTTTTGTGGATTTGTATCCAGTTGAGAACATGAAAGATCAGCCATAGAATGTGATGTGATGATTGGCATAAGAAGTATAGTGATAGAATTATGTAGATCAGGCTAGCTGGCTCACATCTGTATTCCCAGCACTTTGGGAGGCTGAGGCAGGAATAGCCCTTAAAGCCAGCAGTTTGAGACCAGCCTGGGCAACACAGTGAGACCCCCCCGTCTACAAAAAAAAAACCAAAAATGTTTAAATTAGCCAATCGTGGTGGCACACATCTGCAGTCCCAGCTACTCAGGAGGCTCAGGCAGGAGGATGACTTGAGTTCAGGAGTTTGAGGATGCAGTGAGCCATGATCTCGCTACTGTACTATAAACCTGAGCGACTGAATGAGACCCCTTATCTCAAGAAAAAGAAACAGAATTATTTAAATGCATGAATCTGAATGCCGTGCAGAGAGTATATGCCATATAGAGTTATATGAGAATGTCATGATAGTAGTAGCTTTTTTTTTCTTCTTTTCTTGAGACAGAGTCTTGTTCTGTTGGCCAGGTTGGGAGTGCAGTGGCGTGATTGATCATGGCTCATTGCAGCCTCAATCTCCTGGGCTCCAGCGATCTTCCCACATCAGCTTCCCGAGTAGCTGGGACTACAGGCATGTGCCACCACACTCGGCTAGAGTGTGTGTGTTTGTGTGTGTGTGTGTGTGTGACTACAGGCATGTGCCACCACACTCGGCTAGTGTGTGTGTGTGTCAATAGGATTTTTCCATGTTGCCAGGCTAATCTCAAACTCCTGAGCTAAAGTGATCCACCCACCTTGGCCTCCCAAAATGCTGGGATTACAGGTGTCAGCTACTGTGCCCAGCCAAATGTAGCATTTTGAGGAATTCTTTTTTTTTTTTTTTTTTTTTGATATGGAGTCTTACTCTGTCTCCCAGGCTGGGGTGCAGTGGTGCGATCTCAGCTCACTGCAACCTCCGCCTCCCGGGTTCCAGCGATTCTCTTGCCTCAGCCTCCTGACTAGCTGGAATTATAGGCGCCCGCCACTACGTCTGGCTAATTTTTGTATTTTTAGTAGAGACGGTTTAACCATAATGGCCAGGCTGGTCTCAAACTCCTGACCTCAGATGATCCGCCTGCCTCGGCCTCCCAAAGTGCTAGGATTACAAGCATGAGCCTCTGCGCCTGGCCTTGATAAATTCTTAAGAATATCAGTACCTGGCAGGGCACGGTGGCTCACTCCTGTAATCCCAGCACTTTGGGAGGCTGAGGTGGGCGGATCGTGAGGTCAGGAGATTGAGACCATCCTGGCTAACACGGTGAAACCCTGTCTCTACTAAAAATGCAAAAAAAATTAGCCGGGCATGGTGGCGGGCGCCTGTAGTCCCAGCTACTCGGGAGGCTGAGGCAGGAGAATGGCATGAGCCTGGGAAGCGGAGCTTGCAGTGAGCCGAGATTGTGCCTGGGCGATAGAGCGAGACTCTGTCTCAAAAAAAAAAAAAAAAAAAAAAAAAAATACCAGTACCTTGATGAATTATAGCAACAAATTATTGAGTATCTCCTAAGCAAAGGGTACTGTGTTTAGTGCTAAGGTTGATACTAAGCAGAATTAAAGATGTGAAATTTAATAAATACCCTGTTTTAAGAGCTTTGCTAAAGATGTGTATGGAATGTTCTGAATGAAACAGACTTAGTAAGACATGAGTGTTGAAAAGTTTTCTCAGTTAATTTAGCAGCACTCAGGACTGCTTTGTCCATGCAGATACGGCTGACTTACTGGGGACTTTTGTTTCTAACATTAGCCAAGCTTACTGTCAACTCTGAAGAGATGTTGGAGTTGTCCTAGAACACTTAAACTTGGAAGTTAAATTGTCTTTCAATGTGTTTGGCAGAGTTATAAAAGTAGACATGAGCCATATTGATAGCGGCACGGCATATGAAGAGCTTCAGAATACTTATGACACTTCTTTGACGTTCTGTGAAAGGCTATAGATAAGTACCTCCAAACATCATGCCTCCAGCCTCACTCTTGCTTAAGGAAATACTCTGAAAGTAGATTTTCTTTCTTTTTTGAGACAGTCTCTCTGTCTCCCAGGCTGGAGTGCAGTGGCATGATCTTGGTTCACTGCAGCCTCCACCTCCTGGGTTCAACCGATTCTCCTTCTTCAGCCTCCCGAGTAGCTGGGATTACAGGTGCCCACCACCACGCCTGGCTAATTTTTGTTCTTTTAGTAGAGACGGGGATTTGGTTGTGCCATGTTGGCCAGGCTGGTCTCAAACTCCTGACCGCAAGTGATCCGCCCACCTCGGCCTCCCAAAGTGCTGGGATTACGGGCATGAGTTACTGCGCCCAGCCAAATATCTGTTCTTTTAGCTCTTTGATAGTTCCTTTGTAGTGACAAATTATTTTTTAAAAGCTTATAAATTGGTGTTTCTGTGGAAGATGTTATTTCTCATCGAATGCGTATTGATAGTGTTTTAAGTTTAGACCACAAAGTATTTGTCTTCCATGTGCCTGATATTTACATAGTACTCTAAGCTGCACTGTTGAGTACTGTAGCATCTAGCTTATATGGCTATTTAAATTTATATTAGGCTAAAAATTCACCAGTGCAGCCATATTTCAAGTTTTCAGTGGCTGTGAGTGGCCAATGGCTCTGTTGTATTGGACAGTACAGATATAGGACATATGCAGAAATTATCATTGGACAACCCTGCTGTAGAATGTCACCAGTGTTTCTGGAATCACTGTTTTCGTGCTTGAAGTATTTTGTGCTCCACTTTGAAATGCTAGGAAATCGTGTCTTCCCTTCACATTGTAAACTCTTGGTGATTATTGTGGTCTTTGGAGGTGAAGCCCTTGGGCAGAATTGGGATGGGAGTGGAAAGTAAACTGCTTTGCTGTGGACTAGAAGTAGAATTGGGATGAGGTGTTCCCGTTCTCATGAGTCCCTTCCCTGTCTGCACTGTTCCCTTTCCTTGTGAACCTTTATTTCCCAAACCCCTTCTTCACCTTTTCCACCTCCAGCCTGTGCAGAGGCAGATAGATACTGGGGACCTGTTGTACTTTGTTCTGCATCTTCACTAGTGGAAATAAGAGTTCTCTTAGGCTCACTGCTCGGGGGTGGCCTGTAAGATGTTCTTGAGTCTAGTGCTTTCTCTTTTAATTTGGGTGCCTTGTGTCATTGGATGTGTAATGTGGTCTCGAGCTAAATGTGCAGACAGCAGCATCTGAGACATATCCAGAGAGCAGAGGCAGCATTTCTTTGAATTCAGCAAAACCATAATTATTGTGTTTTCTTTTCAGAACTGTGTTTTACGCAAATAATCTTCGGCAAAGTCTTACTCTTATTGTAGATACTCATTTTAATTCTGTGTGTTAACTTGCACCACAGTTTTGCATAATTTACTATCCTCCTCCAGAAAGCTCTACAGTGTTCCATTGGTCAACGCTTTTGCCAGTAATGTCAGAAATAATGGGTTGGGTGATCTTACTTTCTATATTTAAACAAAATTTTGTCAATTTTCAGTTAGTTGCTTGTTTTCCCTGACCACTGGGCTATCTCGTATTTCTGGTCTTCAGTCATGTTGTTCCTTTTGTGTGGTGTAACCTTTAGCATTTACGTGCCTTGGCCACCTCTCGTTGCTTAGAACAGACCCAATCTCCAGAAGGTTTTCTGGGTGTTCTTCTTTTCCCTCGGGTTCCCCTTTGCTGCCCCGAGCACCATTGTGTACCTCTTGCCACAGTGTGCTTTTGTTACTCCATTTCACAGTAGGTTCCTCTATCAGCATCTTGCACAGTTGCCTAGCAACATAGTTTAATGTGTTGGAGGCAAGAAGGGAGGAAATTCACACCATGTTCATCCTACTCAGTGTGAACTGAGTCTATAGTTGATATCCTCTTTGTGTCACTCAATGTTGTCCTGCCTGAGTTCAGGCTTGGTTCTTACGTTGCGGCAGCTCTTTTGCCTTTATTTAGGCAACAGACCAGAAATAGAAACCCTTGAATTTTTTTTTTTTTATTCCTTTATTTTCCTTGCCAGCACCTTGGTTAGATTTCTTAACTACTTTTTTCTTGAGTCTTTGTAAAGTATAATTACACTTTACTGTGCTTACGATCTAAAGAATACTTAATCAGTGTTATTTTTTATTTTTATGTTTTATTTTTGTATTGATTAGGTCTTGCCATGTTGCCCAGACTGGTCTCGGACTCCTGGACTCAAGCAGTCCTCCCACCTTGGCCTCCCAAAGTGCTGGGATTACAGGCATGGGCCACCACACTTGGCCTCACTTTTATTTCTTAAAGTCACTGCCCAATAAACATTCCAAGTTTCCACTAGTTTTTGTTTTTGGACATTTGTTCCATCCAACATCGTGGTGGCATTATATTTTAGTAGATTGTCCAAACATGGGTAAGAAAGATCAACTATGAAAGGAGGTGTCGAACACATTGGCTTTCCCACCTGAATTTGTTCTTTATTCTTTGGATGTATAAAAAACAAGAATAAAACTCACAGGGAGAGTTTGAAGGAACTGTGAAGATTCGTTCTAATTTACATAGTTTACACAACCCATAGCCCTAGGGAAAGTGCCAAAGAACAGCTTTGCAGAGGACTGAAGTCCTCCTGGGAAGAAGAGTCCCTTCGCATCAGATGGCTCTCTTGAGTTTACTTTGCTGCTAAAAAAGTGAGCTGGATTGAGGGGAAGGTTTTCTATTTTTCAAGCTTTGCCAGAACACTTGGCTTAACAAACAGCTGTTTGAAGTCTTAATTGTGTCTCTGTATTTCCAGGGACGCGTTCTGACCTCTTATTAGCAACACAGCTAGGGCTGGCTGGCATGCTTTGTGGTGCCAAACATAGCTGTACCAGCCTGGAAGGTATCCAAACCGAACAAGATATTGAAGTCAGAAGGAACAAGTGGTACAAATTCTCTCTTAGTCAGAGTTTGGAAAGCCTTCGTATTGAAATTCATGCGGACAGATTTGACACACTTCTGAAAATTTTTTTCATCAACTGACATTTCAGTTCTTCCAGGCCTGGAATAGTGGGTTTCAGTCAACAAGGCACCAATATCTTTTTAAATTTGCCCATAGTAGCCAGCTTTTGGGGTGTATGAATATTAGTGGCAGCCTTGGAGCTTGAACGTTGCATCAATGACCTCTGTTAACAGCTAACCATATGATATCCACAAAATAATGAATTTACATTTCTCATGGGCCCTGGCTTTAGCCATTACCTCGAGAGTCAGTCTGAGCATCACTTTTAAGCATTCATTCATTGAGTGTCCCTGTCTCTTAGTACTGTGATGGTCCATGTTTTGAGTAAGTAATGCCATCCTTCAAGCAAAGGAACATATATATGCTTTGAGTTGTTTTTCTGGTAGTGGTAGGTACATTTGCATCAGAGTCAGTAAGTTCTTAAATACCATCAGCCATAGTCAAAAACAGTTTTTTTTTTTTGAGACGGAGTCTCTGTTGCCCAGGCTGGAGTGCAGTGGCACGATCTTGGCTCACTGCAGCCTCTGCCTCTCTGGTTCAAGCAATTATCCTGTCTCGGCCTCCTGAGTAGCTGGGGACTACAGGCATGCACCCCCACACCCGGCTAATTTTTTTTTTTTTTTTTTTGGTGGAGACGGTTTCACCATGTTGCCCAGACTGGTCTTGAACCCCTGACCTCAAGTGATCAGCCCGCCTCGGCCTCCCAAAGTGCTGGGATTACAGGTGTAAGCTACTGCGCCTGGCCCAGAAACAGTTTTTAACCAGTGCAACTCATACCCATCCATCCAGAGTCCTTGTCTCAGTCTCACATTCTGATCTAACAGCTGAGCTCAGAGCAGCAAAGGAATAAATGGGAGTTTTTCTCAATATAAGGTTGACTATGCCTTCTTATATTTTGCCTTCTTAAATTTTCATATCTTTGGCTCATGGACTGTGGTGTAAAGAAACCTTCAATTTTCCTATAACATTGTGCTGCTACTCCTGTTCCAGCTTAAAATCATTTAAATACGTTACTTTTGATATGTCGCATTGTGAACTCCTAGGTTAGGAATGTCTAGGGGTAAGTTGATGCAAAATGAGGATAATCATTAATTATTAAATTTCTAAGATGTTCTTTTTATATACCAAAGCTGTGTTTTAGAAGGATGACTTTGAGTAGTGTGGATTGAAGTAGGGGAGAGGCCAGATACAGAGGACCTAGGCTGGAGCCAGCTTATCTGGGTTCAAACTTTGGCTGTGCCATTTGCCATGATCATGATGTTGGGCAAGTTTTGTTCTTTTTTTAAACTTCTTTGTGTCACAATTTCCTCACTGGAAAAATGGGGATAATAATGGTCCTTGACTCATTAGATATTGTGAGGATTAAACTAACTGAAATATGGAAGCACTTAAAACAGCAAGTATATGAGAAGCAGTTTTGTTTCAGGCAAGCTGATGGAGTATGTTAGTGGAAATGGAAAAGAGTCATATTTATCTGGGTGCAGTGGCTCACACCTATAATCCCAGCACTTTGGGAGACCGAGGCAGGAGAATCATTTGAGCCGAGTTCAAGACCAGCCTGGGCAACACAGTGAGACTCCGTTTCTACAAAATAAAAATAAAAAAATGAGCCGGGCATGGTTGCATGTGCCCGTAGTCCCTGCTACTCAGGAGGCTTAGGTGGGAGGATCTGGGAGGATCATTTGAGCCGGGAGGTTGAGACTGCAGTGAGCTATGATCTCACCACTGCACTCCAGCCTGAGTAACAGAGCAAGATCCTATCTTTAAAAAAAAAAACAACAAAAAAAAAAACAAACGCCTGACGCAGTGGGTCACGCCTATAATCCCAGCACTTTGGAGGCTGAGGCGGATGGATCACGAGGTCAAGAGTTTGAGATCAGCCTGGCCAAGCTGGTGAAACCCCATCTCTGCTTAGAACACTCACACAAACAAAAATTAGCTGAGCACGGTGGGGGGCGCCTGTAATCCCACCTACTCAGGAGGCTGAGGCAGGATAATCGCTTGACCATGGGAGGCGGAGTTTGCAGTGAGCCAAGATCGCATCACTGCACTCTAGCCTGGGTGACAGAGTGAGAGACTCTGTCTCAAAAAAAAAAAAAAAACAGCTGAGCACAGTGCCTCTTATCTTTAATCCCAGCACTTTGGGAGGCCAAGGCGAGTGGATCACTTGAGGTCAGGGGTTCGAGACCAGCCTGGCCAACATGGCAAAACTCCGTCTCTACAAAAAGTACAAAAATTAGCCAGGCGTGGTGGCGAGTGCCTGTAATCCCAGCTGCTCCAGAGGCTGAGGCATGAGAATCGTTTGAACCTGGGAGGCTGAGGCATGAGAATCGCTTGAACTTGGGAGGCAGGGGTTGCAGTGAGCCGACATCGTGCCACTGCACTCCAGCCTCAGTTACAGAGTGAGACTCCATCTCAAAAAAAAAACCAAAACAACGAAAAAAATCTAAAGAGTATTTTAAGAGAAGAAATAACAGGATTTAATGATTAGATGAGACATTCTGTTTAGCCAGAGGATTCCAGGGCTTTGAGGCCGAGGAAATATTGGTGTCATTAACAGAAATGAGTAAATTAGGAATTATCTAATTGGAGAAAGGAAGATACTGAATGCTAAAACCATAGGAAAAAGTTTGACTAAAAGTACTGTGGATAGTTTAGAATCTTTGCCCACTGCTGTATCAAGTAAAGAATAAAGGGCTGAACTCATTTCTCACAAGGTAACTTCTTTATGCATATTTCCCAGCAAGAAGCAGCCTTAACCTTGAGAAACATGAGTCACTTCTGAGGCTTTACTGCTCTAGGCAGTTTCTACCTCATGATCTCCCTTAAAAAGAGGGTAACGGCCCAGCTCAGTGGCTCATGCCTCTAATCCCACCACTTTGGGAGGCTGAGATGGGAGGATCACTTGAGCCCAGGAGTTCAAGACCAGCCTGAGCAACACAGCAAAACTCTTACCTCTACAAAAAGTTTTTTTAAAAAATTAGCTGGGTGTGGTGGTGCACACCTGTAGTCTCAACTACTCCAGAGGCTGAGGTGGGAGGATCGCTTCAGTCTGGGAGGTCGCGGCTGCAGTGAGCCATAATCACGCTACAGCACTTTAGCCTGGGTGACAGAGTAAGACCCTGTCCTGAATAGGGGGAAAAAAAGAGCAGTGGGTCTGATTATAACCTTTGTGACAACACTAGATCCCATTACCATAGACTTTCTGAATTGGTTATAGTAAGCCTTAATTTTATTTGTGCCTCGTAAGAATAGTGTGGCCCTATAAATGATAGATTTGAGTGAGAATTCCCACATCTAAATTGTAAGACCCTCATGTACTGAAGCCTCACGTATTTTTCCTTTTTTTTCTTTTTTGAGTTTTTGTTAGTATATATCACAGGAAATTTTACCTGGGAACCTTAAGCTTATTGGTGATCTAGTTATTAGAGATTTAAGAAGTATTTTTCGTTTTCATTGGCTTATTTCAGGGAAAAAAAATTTGTTGGATTACTTTCTTGTTTTTTGAGCCAGGGTCTCACTCTGACACCCAGGCTGGAGTGCAGTGATGGGATCATGGCTCACTGCAACCTCCACCTCCTGGGCTCAGAGGTGATCCTCCCACGTCAGCCTCCCAAGTAGCTGAAACTACAGGCATGCACTACCACACCCGGCTAATTTTTGTTTGTTTTTTTGTGGAGATGGGGTTTTGCCATGTTGCCCAGGTGCCCAGGCTGGCTTTGAATTCCTGGGCTCAAGTGATCCGCCCGCCTCAGCCTCCCAAAGTGCTGAGATTACAGTGTGAGCCACGGCAGCTGGCCGTTTTTTTTTTTTTTTTGGAAGCTGATCTCAAACTCCTGTGTTCAAGGGTTCAAATGATTGCCTGTGCCAGCCTCCCAAAGTGCTGGGATTACAGGTGTGAACCACTATTCCTGTCCTGGGCATTTTAAAAGTAGAGACCATACTGTATATAACTTGCCTTTTAGAAAAATAAACATTTTCCCATTGTGTTAAGCCACTGTTATTTGCAGTTAACAGAATGTGTTATACTAGCCTACACAGTCGAGTTATGTGTGTATTGGCTCACATAATCGAAACGTTGAAAGGTAGTATAGAGATCAGATAAGATTTGATCAGGGCTGAAGCTCAGCATCTCCATGATTTTTTTTTTCCAAGTTCTGCTCTGAAATTTGTAACGGCTGCAAGGTATTTCATTATATGAATGCACTATAAATAAATATTTAACTGTTCTACTACTGGACATTGTAGGGTGTTTCCTTTCTGCCTCCCGCTATTAAAATAATGCTTAGGTAAACATCCTTGTTATGTTTACATGTGTTTTAAAGGAAGAGTAAGACTTGATATGTGATTAGGTACGACTATGAAAGAGAGGAAAGAGGAGAAATAGTGTGAAAAATGGTATTTCTACAGGTAGAAATGGGCAATTTCAATAGAAGGGAGACATGGGCAGCTGATGGGTTGGGTTGGGCATGCTGAGTGTGAGTCCATTCCTCTAGCCATTCTGTTCATCTTTTTGGTGCTCCTGAGCAACCCCTGGGCACCCACTGGTTATTAATTGTTTCTAACCACTTCTATTTTATCTTTTAATGACTCATTGTACTGGCGGTTTTTTTTCTTTCACTCATTTTCTTTCTATCCCCCATAGTTCCATTGTACTTTCTTTTTTCTTTGTTGTACTTTAATTTGAACTTTTTCGCTTTGGTATAGATTGTACCAGATGTTCCTTTTCAAGTTAAACCAAGCAATCCATTACTACCACAGTTGTATAAGGTGAACCTTTTAAGTCATCTTCTCACCAGAATAACCTGTCCCCATCTAGTCTTCTGTGTTTCACTTTTATTAAAAATGCAAAACTGATTTATTCTGAGTAAAAGAATAGCTGACTTTTCTGTACCATTATTTATAGCAAAGTAGAATTCATTAAAGTAGGATTTAGAATTTCTTGGATATAAAGTTCTGTCCAGGAAGATTTAAATGGTTCTAATTTAGAGGTTTCGGGGTTTTGTTTTTTGTTTGTTTTGTTTTGAGAAAGTTAACCGTAGGAGATCTAGCGTAAGATGAGCCATTCGTTTCTGCCCCCTTGATGGACTTTTCCCACTGTAAACATAAGCCTCTGGGTGGGCAGCAGATGGAGCTGCAGTGGGGTTGGTGTCGGACACCTGCCAGCTTGTGGAGCTCACATATTCTCATTATAGCAATCATTTGATACTAGAACTGCCAGAGAATGTCCTAAAAATAAAGGTGGCCAGTACAAGATTCGTTTGATTTTACTCTTCATGGTCTGCCATTAGAAGTTTGGGTGTTAGGCTCAAAACTACCAAATAAAAACAATTTCGATGTTTTCAGACTGCTCTGTCTTCTGAAAAATGAGAGATGCTTTTTCCCTGTGAGAATTGACCTAAGTAAATAAGTAGTTAGTAGATTTTTTTCCTAAATGGACCTCAAAACACTGCCTTTTTCTGCTTGGCTGGGTTTTTATGTTTGGATAGAATGGAGAGATTAGATTGGGTACTAGATACTTGTCTGTGAAGCAGTTTAGAGTAATCCTGTTATTCTGAGTTCATTGTCCATAATAGTCTTAAATCTGAAATACCTCCATCCCCTACAGCTGCAGAAAATAGACAACCCTAATAGAAACCTGTCAGATGACTGATTACAGGACGTACTGGTCAGAAATAGTATGGACGATGATCTTTGGGGGTCCATTAAAGATGGTATAAAACAACACAGGGAGGGAAGTTTACATAGTGGTTACAGACATGGACTCTGGAATTGGTCAGACCTGGGTTCCGATCCTGCCTCTTCCACTTGTAAGCTCTGTCTCCTTGGGCAAGGTATCTGGTTTTTCTGGGTGGACCTTAGATTCTTCATCTGTAAAATGGTTATAGTACCTATACACCTTACAGAGTTGTGAAGATGAAATGGCCTAATTTGTCATGAATTCTGGTACATAATAAATCTTTACTAAATGTAAGCTGCTGTTTGCTAAAGGAGAGACTAACTCATTTCTCAAACATGTTGAGTGTCTACATAGGTATGTAATAAAACCACAGCCACTACTGTGAAGGATATGGGCTGGCGATTTAAGCCCAGTTGGTTTGAGTTCACTAGTAGAGGCAATGTACAAGGCAGCTTGGTGGCTATGCGTACTATTAATTGGGCAAGGTAATATGGGAGATAGAATATTTTTTGGAACATACTGAGTTCCATTTGGTTATGGTTAAGTTTGTGGTTCTTGTGAGACATAGAGGGAAAGAGATGTATTGGGCTGTTAGATATGCTGGTTTAGGCTGCAGAGATTTGGGCATATCCAAATAGAATACAGGCAGCAATGAAGTTTGTGCAGAGGTTGGCTCTTTCTAAAGTGAAACTGTAGAGTTAGAACAATATCAAAAAGCAAACCTTGAGGAATGCCAAACTTTTTTTTTTTTTTTTTTTTTTTTTTTTTTTTTTTTTTTGAGACGGAGTCTTGCTCTGTCGCCCAGGCTGGAGTGCAGTGGGGCGATCTCCGCTTGCTGCAATCTCCACCTCCCGGGTTCACGCCATTCTCCTGCCTCAGCCTCCCGAGTAGCTGGGACTACAGGCACCTGCTACCATGCCCGGCTAATTTTTTTGTATTTTTAGTAGAGATGGGGTTTCGCCATGTTGGCCAGGATGGTCTCGATCTCTTGACTTGGTGATCCACCCTCCTCGGCCTCCCAAAGTGCTGGGATTACAGGCGTGAGCCACCATGCCCGGCCCGCTAGTTTGCTCTTAAGCTCAGCAAAAATTCAGAGTTGTGATTTAATAAGCGTGAGACTTAGTAAAGCATTTTGTAAATAGAGTATAACATTCCTTGCATTTGTTGTACTTTTGGTTTCCTGAAATAATAGACAGTGTATCTATCACTCTCCTCACCACAATCCACATAGCTTTCCAGAGTAGAAAAGATACTCCATGGAGAAAGTTTAGAAGCAGAAAATGAAATGAGACTGTGTGGAAGTAAAAGTAGCCTATCCTCTGTAACTGATTTTAGAGGTGACCTGTGACCTGGCAGTTCCTTATTTATGAGTGGGTACAGGGCACACATTGACCAAAGAAGATAGTTTAGGTGAGGTGCTACCCTATCTTTGAGAATGGGACTCTTGGCTCTTAAAATTAGAAACCAGGAGATCTATGGGATGGAAAATAGCCTTCCCTTTCCCCCAAATCAAACAGATACACATACTTTGTGACAGGAATAGATTATGAAATATGGTGTCCAGAACAAACTGTCTGCTGGGCTTTTAAAAGGGTTTTATACTTTCTGCTGGGCACCTAGAGCACTTACTCTCCCTTCTGTCTCCTTTTATTACCCACCTCAAGCAGTCATAATTTTTTTCCTTTCCATTCCCTAGGCTTAGCCCTCTTCCTTCCTCTACCCCCAAAATGGGAAAGCCTTTAGTATTTAACTGTAGTACTTTATTTGGCTGTCAGTATTTGTCATATTAGTAATTGGGTGAGCTTGGCTGGAGGTGGGGGGCTGTTCTGCCCTTTTTAAGATTGGCCCACACACCATTGTACTTAGGTACCCACACAGGAGCAGAGCAAGTTGGCTAGATTTTGAATACAAAAGCATGATATTGTGGGTGGGAGCATGTATAGTTTTAGAATTTTTAAAGTAAGGCAAAAACCATGTACCTAATGAGGCCAGTGGAATAAACTTTACAACAGATAGAACTTCTGTTTCTGTTTAACACCCAGCAATAAAAATGCTAAGAACAGGGATAAAGTGAAAATTATTAAGCCCTTGTATCTATTGCTGACTGGTAAAACCAACACATCAAAAAATATCTTTTGGCTCCCAACTTGTTAATAGTTTCTGACTTACGTGTGTTCTGAGTGATTTGGTGGAGTGAATGAGCTAGGTCTTGATTTTTCCCTCAAAGGATTGAAATTTGGTTCTTGGAGGGTGAAAAAACAAAACTCAACTCTTCATGCATAAAGCACAGATAAACAGTACAGTACATAAATATATGTGTATTTTCATCTGTGGTATCAGAATTTCATGAGAAGTGGTAATTAAGGAAAAAATGTCTACAAAGACATGGCGGAGGTGATGATGATTAATAAAAAGACTGAGATATGGGGCTCTCCCCTTTGAGGACCTGTAGGACCTACGTATCTGTGTCCTGGAGAGGCTAGTGGCCCTTCTTTATTTTTCTCATCTCTAAAACTGGGCCTGAGGGTGATGAATGGTGTCACTAGCTGAAGTGCTTCAGGAATGCCAGTGGGTACTCTTAGGATTATTATGGCACAATGTATGTGGTTCTGACACTTAACCAGGAATACAAGCAGTGCTTTACATACTTTCCTTGTATTGGAGAGCCTAGTGGTTGCATTAAACATGAGGGAAAAAATCTGAAAAAATACCAAGTATGACAAGAAATGAATATTATTTTAATAATCCCTTTTTTTTTTTTAATAAAGACACAGACTGGTCTCGAACTCCTGGCCTCAAGCAATCCTCTCATCTCTCATTTTAATAGAGTTGCTCAGTTAGTAATGGACATGTAATGAGCGTAATATATTTTGCTCATGAAATCCTAATGTTTTCAGGGATATTAAAACTTAGTAAATTGGGAAGCTTTTTCCCCCTAGTTTGGTGGGGAGTTTAATGCCCTGCATGCATCACCGTCTCCCCACTCCATAATTTTTAAGGATGGCTCCTCAGACTCTGTGTATGAGTATTTCCCTCATACCATATTTGGTATTTTTGCAAGTAGATAACTTGGTACCTTTGTAATATGATAAGTCTAGATAGATGAAGGAAGTAGTGTTTCCTGATAAATTACGCAGTTAGTTGGTAAGGAGACGATAGGATTTATGATGACATTTTTAGGAGTCAAGTGTTTAGACCCATTTTTCTGAGGATTTCCCTGTCTTTCCCACAGCATAGGAGACCATCTTGTCCTATTTTTCTGTCCTTATACTGCCTGAAGGAAAGATGTGCATTTGGATCTTTGCCACTCTGTAGTTTAGTTTGTTCCCTTGTCCTCGTTTAAGACAGGTTCGCAAAATGTTTTTGAGAACAACACAGACTGGAATTTGAATTGAATTGCACTTTTTCTTTTTATTAGCTGTTTGTGGTCAAGACATCTGACCTCTTTGAGCTCTGGTTTGTTCATCTGTAAAATAAAAGTACTATCTCTGGGAAGGGTTGCCTTTAATACAGGAAGGAAGTGTAACAGGTACACAATATATTGTACCTTTTAAAAGTTTGACTTTAGGTCAGGCATAGTGGCTGATGCCTGAAATCCCAGCACTTGGGAGGCTAAGGTGGGAGGATCGCTTGAGGCCAGGAGTTTGAGACCAGCCCTGTTCAATAGAGCAAGACCCCATCTCTACCAAAAAAAAAATTAAAATTAGCTGGGCGTGGCAGCACATGCCTGTAGTCCTGACTGCTCCAGAAGCTGAGGTGGGAGTTCAAGGCTGTAGTGAGCTGTGTTCACGCCACTGCACTCCAGCCTGGGTGAAAGAGCAAGAACCCTGTCTCAGAAAAAATTGAAAAAAGTTTAAAGTGAAAAAGAACATAGCATCATAGGACTCTTATTTTATAAGGGGATTTATCTGAGGCCCAGAGAAGCCAAGTGGGCAGAGAGCAAGGTGAGCAGGAGCAGCTGGGCCCATGCCACAAGGTCCCTGTGTGTCCTTTTTGCCCCACAAACCTTGCTTTTGTATTAGGTCACTCCTTACTGTACAGACACAAGTGGTAATGATGGTGTTTTGCTGTCCTGTGTGAACTAGTGTTGAGTTTGACCTCAGTTGAATCAGTAGGGGATTACATTTCTGTGAATTCTGTGGAAGCCTTCTAAAATCAGATAATTACCTTGCTTGTATTTGTGACTTCAGTTACTAGGCTTTATGATAGGAATATGGATTGGAAAATACTCTAAAATCCCATCTGGTCCTTTGATTTTTGTGTGTGAAGGGCTTAAAATTACCAGGAATTGTTCCAGACACAGAAAACTAGTTCCTGTTGTCCAGAATTATGTTTCTAAGATAGTAATGGGAGGACTAAACTTGTAATCTGTTGAAAACATATTTTTGAGATTTAAGTTATTGATGCATTTGTTTATTGTGAATAAAAATAAAACAGAGTAAAAAATCATAATCACATTTCCTTGTTTACATTTGGGAGATCGTTTATGATTTCTTTTTAATTTGACTGTTTAAGTATATTAGAGACAAGGTCTCGCCATGTTGCCCAGGCTGGTCTCTAACCCCTGGCCTCAAGCAATCCTCCCACCTCAGCCTTCTAAATTTCTGAGATTACAGGCATGAGCCACCATGCCCAGTCTGTCTTTTTTTTTTTTTTTTTAAGACAGAAAGAACTTTGTAACACACCACTTTTTCCAACAACATTTATCTTTCCAAGACAAGTCAAACACTTATTGAATGCCCTTGAGTATATACCAAGATTAATAGCCGAGGCTACTACCCACAAGTAGTTCAATTTAGTAGAGAAAAGAGTATATTGAGACAGGTATACATGGTTCAGTGGTGGGAAGAAAGTGATTCTTAAATTAGGTCTTGAGTTTGCCATTTTAGGCAGAGAGAACAACATATACAAGTGTGAAAATCATAAAACATTCTGGCAGTTGGGAAACCGCAGGTAGCTTTAGTGTTGTTGAAACTTGGAGTTCAAGGCAGGAAGGCAGGAGATGACAGGGACTGGCAGGTGGAGATTGGGGAGTTAGGCAAGGTCTGGGCCATGGAGAGCTTTGTGTTCAGTGCTGTGCTTACTCACACCAATCTGAAATTATTATTATTATTTATTATTATTATTATTTTGAGACAATGCCTCACTCTGTCACCCAGGCTGGAGTGCAGTGGCATGATCATAGCTCGCTGCAACCTCGAACTCCTGGACTCAGGTGATCCTCCTGCCTCAGCCTCCCAAGTAGCTAGGATTATGGGCATGTGTCACCGTGCCTGGCTGATTTTTGTATTTTTTGTAGACATGGGTCTCACTTTTGTTGCCTAGGCTGGTCTTGAGCCCTTGGCTTCAAGCAGTCCTCCTGCCTTGGCCTCCCAATGTGCTAGATCACATGTATGAGCCATCAGCTATTTGGAGACAATTTAACCAAAGTTGTATTGTCTATTATTCCTCTTTTTTTTTTTTTTTTTTTTTTTTGAGATGTAGTCTCAAACCCTCCTGGGTTTAAGGGATTCTCCTGCCTCAGCCTCCCAAGTAGCTGGGATTACAGGCGTGTGCCACCACACCGAGCTAATTTTTGCGTTTTTTAAATAGAGACAGAATTTCACTATGTTGGTGAAGCTGGTCTTGAATTCCTGACCTCAGGTAATACACCCACCTCAGCCTCCCAAAGTGCTGGGATTACAGGTGTGGGCCACTGGCCTATTTTATATATATATATATTTATATATATATATATAATTTTTTTTTTTTTTTTGAGACAGAGTCTTGCCCTGTCGCCATGCTGGAGTGCAGTGGCACAATCTCAGCTCACTGCAACCTCTGCCTCCTGGGTTCAGGTGATTCTCATGCCTCAGCCTCCTGAGTAGCTGGGATTTACAGGTATGTGCCACCATACCCAGCTAATTTTTTGTTTTTTTTTTTTTTTTTTTTTTTTTTAGTAGAGATGGGATTTCGCCATGTTGGCCAGGATGGTCTTGATCTCCTGACCTCGTGATCCGCCTGCCTCAGCCTCCCAAAGTGCTGGGATTACAGGCATGCCCAACCGCGGCTGGCCCTGTCTGTTACTCTTAATGATCTTAATGACAGCTCTGTCAGTGTTAACATGTTTCTCCGTTTTAGGATAATGCCATGAATATACAGAGCTAACCACTCAGCAAACACTCAAAGGTAATGGGGAATGAGCATGCCACAGATAAATAATGGAAAGAGGCTAGAATGCAACTTAAATTGGAATTTAAAACAGACAAAAACACACTCCACCCATAGTGTAGGAGATATTTAGTAACATGAATTGGAGTTTTAAAACTCTAGTCAAAATGTTAAATATTTGAATTCTTTTCTAACAATTTAGGTAAAATGCAATTTGGAATAATTTTAACAGGGCTTGTGGCCACATTTTTGGTTTAAATATTTATTTACTTAGCTATTTTCTTCCTCTATACTTGTGTGGGCAGTGAACCTAATAATTAGGTTAAAGGATTAAAAAAATCAATTCCAGAGAGCTCACCTTTGACTAACATAGCAAAGACCATCATTTAGATTACATCAATGGTAATTTCAGGCTAGACATGGTGGTTGGTGGCTCATGCATGTCGTCTGCAACCTCCACCTCCCGGGTTCAAGCGATTGTCTTGCCTCAGCCTCCTGAGTAGCTGGGACTACAGGCACGCGCCACCACGCCCAGCTAATTTTTGTTTTTTGTTTTTTGTTTTTTTTGAGACAAAGTCTCACTGTGTCGCCTAGGCAGGAGTGCAGTGGCGCGATCTTGGCTCTCTACAACCTCTGCTGCCCAGATTCAAGCGGTTCTCCTGCCTCAGCCTCCCCAGTAGCTGGGATTACAGGCGCCTGCCACCACGCCCAGCTAATTTTTGTATTTTTAGTAGAGACAAAGTTTCACCATGTTGGCCACGCTGGTCTCGAACTTGTGACGTCAGGTGATTTACTCTCCTCGGCCTCCCAAAGTGCTAGGATTACAGACGTGCACCACTGCTCCTGGCCTGCCTCAGTTTTAAGCATGAATAGACCGTCAGGGAGCACCAGATGTTTGAGGAATGGAATATTTGGGCCATTGAAGGATTTTAAGCCAAATGACCTGACAGTCCAACTTTAAAAGAAGACAACTTTATTTTTTCAAAGAACAATTTTAGATTGATAGAGAAGTTGTACAAAGAGTTATCATATGCCCCACATTCACTTTCACCTATTACTAACATTATTATGGCGTATTTACTATTAATGAGCCAATATTGATACGTTATTATTAACTAAAGTTCATACTTGATTCAGTATTTCCTTAGTTTTTCCCAGTGTCCTTCTCTGTTCTACGGTCCCATCCAGGACACCACATTATACCTAGTCATCATATCTCTCTAGACTCCTCTTGGCTGTGACATTTCTGACTTAACTACATCAGTGTAGAGTGAGAAATAAAAATTAAAAAGAAAAACCCTCAAACATTTCTGCCTTACATTTTAATGATGCTAATTCTGGTTGCAGGATTCAGAAGATTCTGATGGTGGCAAAGTGAAAGCAGTGAGACGGATTAGGAAGCCACTGCAGTAATCCAAGGCAGAGATAATGATAGGGCTGGATCAGAATGATGGTGGTAAAAGTGAAAAGTGTTCCATTTGGGGATGTTATAAAAGCCATTAGCCTGGATGGGGAAACTAAAGGAATGAGTGTAGATGGAGAAGAAAAGAGTTCCAGGGATGGAGCCCTTGGGGCACCTGAATGTTTAAAAGTTAGTGAGATAAGAAACTAGCAAAGGAGACCCAACAGGAAGTGGCCAGTTACGTAGGAAGAAAAGCTGGGAAATGATGTGTCTTGGAAGCCAAGAAAGTGCTTCAAGGTGAAGGAAATGATCACTTCTGTTTTGCCCTGCTTATAGGCCAAGTCAGATGAGGGCAGGGAATTGACCTTTGGATTCAGCAACAGGAGCTGATTGGTGACCTTGAGTAGTTTCAGTAGAGTGGTACGAGCGGAATCGTGCTTGGAAGCTGGTTCAGAGAGGATGGGTATGCACAGGGAAAGCTGCACAAGGAAACTTGCTGTGGTGATAGATGTGTTCTTTATCTCAAAGGTAGCAGATATGTAAATTATACATGCAAACTAATATTTATGAAAGAACGAATGATAGGGTCTTGCCCTGTCACTTAGGCTGCGGTACAGTGGTGTGATCATGGCTCATTGCAGCCTCGACCTCCTGGGCTCAAGCGATCCTCCTGCCTCAGCCTCCCAAGTAGCTGGGACCACAGGTACACACCACCACACCTAACTAATTTTTAGAGAACAGGGTTTCACAACATGTTGCCTAGGCTGGTCTTGGCTCCTGGGCTCCAGCGAACCTCTTGCCTCAGCTTCCCAAAGTGTTGGAATTACAGGCATGAACCACTGTACCTGGCCCAAATATTTAAATATAGGTAATAATATGTATATTGAAGTATTTAGGGGGAAATGTACTCATATCTGTAACTTTGAAATGCATTAAAAATTAAGATAGATAGGGCCAGGTGCGGTGGCTCATGCCTGTAATCTTAGCACTTTGGGAGGCCAAGGCGGGTGGATTACCTGAGCTCAGGAGTTCGACACCAGCCTGGGCAACATGGTGACACCCTGATTCTACTAAAGTACAAAAAAAAATTAGCCGGGCATGGCAGCGTGCGTCTGTAGTCCCAGCTACTCGAGAGGCTGAGACAGGAGAATTGCTTGAACTCGGGAGGCGAAGGTTGCAGTAAGCCGAGATCACGCCACTGTACTCCACACTCCAACCTAGGCGACAGAGCAAGACTCTGTCTCTTTAAAAAAAAAAAAAAAAAAAAAAGAAGAAAGGAAAATTAAGATACATCAATAGGAGAGAGGGATGTATATAGATGGATAGATATGTGACAGAGCAAATAACTTAGGTCAAACTTGTCCAGCCCCACAGCCCGCAGGCCACATGTGGCCCAGGATGGCTTTGAAGGCGGCCCAACACAAATTTGTGCTTTCTTAAAACATTATGAGATTTTTTTGCTTTTTTTTTTTTTTTTAAGCTCATCAGCTATCATTAGTGTTAGTGTATTTTATGTGTGGCTTAAGACCTTTTTTTTTTTCCAGTATGGCCCAGGGAAGCCAAAAGATTGGACATCCCCGATTTATGTGATGGATAAATGTATTCACTGTAAAATTCTTTTCACTTTGCTTTATGCTTGAAAGCTTTTATAACAAGATGTTTGGGGAGGAGGAGAGAACTGGGACAGAGAGTATAGACAACTGTTCCAGAAAGTTTTGATTTAAAGGGGAACAGAGAGATGAGGCAGTAGAGTCAAAAGAAGTCTGCTTTCACCCCACTCCCAGAGATGAGAGAAATGACAGCATTTTTATTTGTTGATTAGAAAAATCCAGTAGAGATTTTAATTAAAATTGATGATGCAGAAGAAAGGAAAATAACTGAGTTAATGTCCTTGAGCAGGCAAGAAGAGATGGGATTCAGCACCTTCGTAGAATTTTGTTTTGCTAGGAACAGGGACAAAAGTACGAGTACAGGTCCTGGCCAGGCGCGGTGGCTCACGCCTGTAATCCCAGCACTTTGGGAGGCCAAGGCAGGTGGATCACCTGAGGTCAGGAGTTCGAGACCAACCTGGCCTACATGGTGAAACCCCGTCTCTACTAAAAATACAAAAATTAGCCAGGCATGTTGGCATGTGCCTGTAATCCCAACTACTTGGGAGACTCCCGAAGTGCTGAGATTACAAGCATGAACTGTGCCCGGCCATAGATCTGTTTTTATTCACTATGGCTGGGTTCTCAGTGCGCCCTTCCTATCTGAAAATTCATATTCATCAGCTATGAGAAGTTAAGTTTTTCCTTTTTAAAAAACATTTCGTAGTGTCTTTTCTTCTATTTTCACTGTTCTCTTTCTGGAAGTTTGAATAATAGCTGTCACATCTTTTGGAAGACTGCAGTGGGCTCTTCCAGCAATTCTTGAATCCAGCAGTCCCCAACCTTTTTGCTACCAGGGACTGGTTTCATGGAAGACAATTTTTCCATGGAAGTGGGGGGTCGAGATGGTTCAGGATGACTGTTCAACCTCAGATCATCAGGCATTAGATTCTTACAAGGAGCGGGCAACCTAGATCCCTCGCGTGAGCAGTTTACAGTAGGGTTTGTGTTCCTACGAGAAGCACTGGCAATGTGGTGAAACCCCATCTCTACTAAAAATAGAAAAATTAGCCGGTTGTGGTGGCAGGCACCTGTAATCCCAGCTACTCAGGAGGCTGAGGCAGGAGAATCGCTTGAACATGGGAAGTGGAGGTTGTTGCAGTGAGCAGAGATCGCACCATTGCACTGCAGCCTGGGAGACAAGAGTGAAACTCCATCTCCCCCCCCCCCCCAAAAAAAAAGACCATGAATAAACTTTGCTTGTACAACTCTGAATACCAGAAAACAATGTCTCTTCCAAGTTCTGAGGGAAAATGCTGTTCAGCCCAGGATTCTGTTGAAATCTATACCCAGCCGAAATAGCCTTCAAGTATAAACATAGAATCAAGACATTTCCAGACATGCAAGGACTCAAAACATTTGCCCCTCACGCACCCTTTCGTTTTTGTTTTTTTTTTGAGACAGAGTCTCGCTCTGTCACCCAGGCTGGAGTACAGTGGTGTGATCTCGGCTCACTGCAACCTCCGCCTCCCGGGTCCAAGCAATTCTCCTGCCTCAGCCTCCCAAGTAGCTGGGATTACAGGCATGCACCACCATGCTTGGCTAATTTTTTGTATTTTTAGTAGAGACGGAGTTTCTCCATGTTGGCCAGGCTGGTCTTGAACTCCTGACCTCAGATGATCCGCCTGCCTCGGCCTCCCAAAGTGCTGGGATTACAGGCATGAGCCACTGTACCTGGCCAGAATTTTTTTTGTTGTTGCCCAGGCTGGAGTGCAGTGGCGCAGTCTCGGCTCACTGCAACCTCTGCCTCCCAGGTTCAAGCGATTCTCCTGCCTCAGCCTCCTGAGTAGCTGGGATTACAGGCATGTGCCACCACACCTGGCGAATTTTTGTGTTTTTAGTAGAGGCGGGGTTTCACCGTGTTGTCAGGCTGGTCTTGAACCCCTGACCTCATGATCTGCCTGCCTTGGCCTCCCAAAGTGCTGGAATTACAGGTGTGAGCCACCGCGCCCGGTAAAAATGGTTTTTTTTTTAAGGGCATAGAAACTCGAGGAAATACAGAAGCCCAACCAGTAAAGGAAGTACAGTTGACCCTTGAGCAACAGAGGTTTGAGCTGCATGGTTCCGCTTATACACGGATTTTTTTCAGTCTACATGTGTGTCAAAAAGACAGTATTCACAGGATGCACAGCCCACTTACGCAGAGGGCCAACTGTGGGACTTGAGTATGCACAGATTTGGGTATATGCAGGGGTCCTGGAACCAGTCCCCCATGAATACAAGGTACAACTGTGTCTTTTTTTTTTTTTTTTGAGACGGAGTCTTGCTCTGTCGCCCAGGCTGAAGTGCAGTGGCGCGATCTCGGCTCACTGCAAGCTCCGCCTCCCGGGTTCACGCCATTCTCCTGCCTCAGCCTCCCGAGTAGCTGGGACTACAGGTGCCCGCCAGCACGCCCAGCTAATTTTTTGTATTTTTAGTAGAGACAGGGTTTCACTATGTTAGCCAGGATGGTCTCGATCTCCTGACCTTCTGATCCACCCACCTCGGCCTCCCAAAGTGCTGGGATTACAGGCGTGAGCCACTGTGCCTGGCCAACTATGTCTTTTAAAAAAAAAAAAAAAACAAGTTAACTTTTTCTCCCAGAGAACGGTCTTGTGAGCTTGATGATGAAAATTCAACTAGAGAAAACTGGAAATTTTGGTGCTAGTCAGTTCAGAGTTGATAGCCTTAATCATTATTGATTTATTATACATAGACATCCGTGACATTAAAACACTTTTACTGCATAGAGGGGATCATAAAGGCTGAGTGATACCAGGCTGTAGCTGCAAACAGTAGGGATATCTTAGTTGTCACATAATATGTCTGATCGCTTTTCTCCTTTGGGAAACTACTTGTCATTGTGAGCAGGAGAATGAACCGTTTATGCCTGGTCACCCTTCCATTTCCAGGGAGCGTGGATGTTCTGTTGGTACTGGGGCCTGACCCAGAATCATGGGATTGTACACACATTTCTCCTTTAAGCACAACATGAAATCAGGAAGTTGTTCTTGTAACTTGGAGTTGCGGGTCTGACAAGCCTGTTGTTTGCGTTAATACATCCTATCATTTAGCCGTCTTAGTCCCTCTCTTCTCTGCAGGTTGTGACAGTTCTGTGGGACAAAAGTGCTGATTTTTCACATGGAGCAGCGTGTAGGTGCTTAGAGAAAGAACTAGAGGCGGAGCAAGGCTGAGCTTGTCTCTTCATGATGGTGCCTGCCAAGAGCAGGGGCTGTGCTGCGGCTGCCCTGCCCCCCAGCCCTCCCAGTGAACCTGAACCTGCTCCTCCTGAGCTGTGTAGCTGCCTGAAGGAGGCCAGGACCTGGGTAATTAATTACTAGAGAAGCCTCTGGTCTAGCAGCAAAAGGAGGTAGTTAATTTAGCCTGCCTGTTAACAATAGTTATATTTGTCTCCGATTCCATTAGAGATGCTTAGGAAAAGGTTTTTATATCCTGAACCCTGATGTCCATTTTCTTAATGCAAAGGCCTGTACTTGGGGTCTTGTAAGCCCCCTAATGTCACTCTTTGAAGTGAAGTAACTATACGTGATAAGTGAATAAAATGTGTCAGAGTGTACTACTTAGAATTTTCATAGATTGTAAAGATTTTCTATATATTTATTTGAATTGGTAATTGGTTATGAGCAGTTTGGTGTAGCTGTTTTTAATTGTACAACAATTAAGATATCACCTATATTCTCGAAGAATGGGATCATTCCTTCTAGGTGAGGGATTATCCCTTTAATATATTTTCTTTCTCTTTGTCTTTGTTTATGGTGGAGAATAATTAAACTTTTTTTTTTTTGGAGGTAGGTCTTGCTCTGTCACCCAGATTGGGGTGCAGTGGCATGATCATAACTTACTGCAGCCTCAGCCTTCCAGGCTCAACTGATCCTCCCACTGTAGTCTCAGAGTAGCTGGGACTACAGCCGCACACCACTATACCCAGCTAACTTTTTTGTTCTATTTTTTGTAGAGACAGGTCTTGGCTATATCCCTCAGCCTAGTCTTGATCTCCTGGGTTCAAGTGATTCTTCCGCCTCAGCCTCTCAAAGTGCTAGATTACAGGTGTCAGCCACCAGCACTTGGCCGTCTTCCTCTAATTTTTAATTTTTTCACTTTGAGAAGCCTATGATATGACATGGAATTTGATGTCTCATCCTGTGTGGTCCTGTGCACCCTGTTCCTACAGAAGTACAGAGGGAATCTTTTGAGAGGGAGGGATAAACTTAGATTCTTAAAAATAATGCATGTGGGTTTTTCAGTGTTCATTTTAGATTCTCTTCAAAACAGTCAGAAGCCCCCTACCCTAATCTCAATTCCTGTCTGCTCCCTCCTGGCTCCCTGCAGTAACCCCTTCTCCACCTGATCTTCCTGCTGCTGCTCTTTGTCCCCTCAGAGCCGTGTGCCACACACAAGCCAGAACCATCATCCTAATGAGCAAATTCCCCAAGTCCTTATTCTGCCCTGCACAGTCGGGCTCAGTTCTCTGTCCCTGGTCTCCCCTAGACTATGCCACATCCCTTCCTGCCTGAGAACTTTTGCACCTGCGCATTCCTCTGCCTGGAATGTTTCTTGCTCTCATTTGTGTCCTCAATGCCCGTCCCCAAGCCTCACTACAGCCTACTTACACTGAGGGTTTCCATTCAAATATTACCACCCAAGTGGCCAGGCACGGTGCTTCACGCCTGTAATCCCAGCACTTTGGGAGGCCAAGGTGGGCGGATCACGAGGTCAGGAGATCGAGACCATCCTGGCTAACACGGTGAAACCCTGTCTCTACTGAAAATACAAAAAAATTAGCTGCGCGTGGTGACGGGTGCCTGTAGTTCCAGCTATTTGGGAGGTTGAGGCAGGAGAATGGTGTGAACCCAGGAGGCGGAGCTTGCAGTGAGCCGAGATCGCGCCACTGCACTCCAGCCTGTGCAACAGAGCGAGACTCCGTCTCAAAAAAAATAAAAATAAATAAATAAATGTTACCGCCCAAGTGAGCTTTCCTTGCATTGATTAGATTCGGTCTCCCCAAGATGTGCTTTCATACAGAGCACTCTGGACTCATAGAACTTACACCTGAAGTTGTAGTGAACTTGGCTTCCCCTGCTGTCAGCTCTTTGAAAGTAAGGCTCATTTTTAAAATTGTATCCCCAGGACCTAGCATAGCTCCTAACTCAAAATAGGCACTCACTCATACTTGTTTACTCAGTCTTTTTTTTTTTTTTTTTCCCCTCAGAGATGAGATCTTGCTATATTGCCTGGGCCAGAGTGCAGTGGCTATTCACAGGTGCAATCATAGCACACTATAGCCTTAAACTGCTGGGCTTAAGGGATCTTTCCCAGGTAGCTGGGACTGCAGGCATATGCCACTGTGCCCAGCTGCTCCCTTAGTCTTGACTATGTATTTTTTTTTTTTTGGTTGTTTTATTAGGATAGAGTCCTAAGAATGGCATTACTGGGTTAATAGGTATGAACATTAGATCTTTAATACATACAGTCGAATTACTTTTCATAAAGCCATATACCTTTTTATATTCCCACCGATACTATCCCTATCACTAAGTATTAACTTATTTTCATCTTTGCCAATATGATCATCCAAAGTGAGGCAGTGGGTGGCCATCAGATGTCTGAGTCAGCAGGGTGTGGTGGCTCACGCCTGTAATCCCAGGATTACAAATTTTGGGAGGCTGAGGCGGGTGGATCACCTGAGGTCAGGAGTTCAAGACCAGCTTGGCCAAAATGGTCAAACCTCGTCTCAACTTAAAATACAAAAATTAGCCAGGCGTGGTGGTGGGCGCCTGCAATCCTAGCTACTTGGGAGGCTGATGCAGGAGAATCACTTGAACCCAGGAGGCAGAGGGTGCGGGGGTTGCAGTGGGCCAAGATCGCATCACTGCAGTCCAGCCTGGGCAACAGAGTAAGACTCTGTCTCAAAAAAAAAAAAAAAAAAAAGTCTGAGTTATGAAAACAGAAGGCTCGAACCAGCCCCTTGATCTAGTTATTCTGGGCAAGCCTACATGTGTCCTCGAAGGTTTCTGGGCTCTCAGGTTTTACAGCCTTAGCAGGCTAAAGGCAACAGGGAGGACAGCTTGTCTTATCTGTTAGGCAGTAGTTTTAGTAACATGGCCAGCATGGTTACCTGTAAGAGAGGACCCTGCTTGATTGAGCCACATCCAGCTGTCCAAATGTATGTAATTACCATTTATCATTGAAACATATGACAGCTCCATCAAAAGAGAGCAATGTGTAGTCTGGCAGAGGACAGTAGGATTAAACAAGAATGGCTTCTTTTATTTAAACTCAATGAAAATACAAGAGGGAAAATTACTTTGCTTACTATACCCTCTCACCTGTTATAAGCTGTTCTACCTTTAGGTTCTTGCCCTATTCCTAGACTATTTGAAGTTGTCCTTTTTTCTAGAACGTCCACACATGAGTTGAATTTTCCATGTCAGCCATGCAGCTAATTTAGAAACATGTTGCTGGGTTGGGCGCAGTGGCTCATGCCTGAAATCCCAGCATTTTGGGAGGCTGAGGTGGGCGGATTGCTTGAACTCAGGAGTTCGAAACCAGCCTGGACAACATGGGAAAACCGCATCTCTACAAAAAATACAAAAATTATCCAGGCGTGGCGGCGTGCACCTGTAGTCCCAGCTACTCAGGAGACTGAGGTGGGAAGTTCACTTGGCCTAGGAGGCAGAGGCTGCAGTGAGCAGAGATTGTGCCACTGCATTGTCTAGCCTGGGTAACAGAGTAAGACCCTGTCTCTAAAACTGAAAAGTAAATAGAAACATGTAGCGGTGAATTCTGTGTCCAGCTCAAAATCAGCAATTTCCCTTATCTCACTTTTTTACTTATTTCCTCTTTATTTACACACATAGCTCCCTTAGCTCATAAACACTTCTGAGGGCAGGGACCATGCCTTTTATTCTTATTCCCTTTTCAGCTTCCTAACACAATGCTTTCAGTGTAGTAGACACTTGAACAATATCTAAAGTGCAATTCAAAGGGGCAGCTACTGCAAGTCATTATGCCAGTCTAGTAATGGTCAGATTACAAATCTGAGGTTTTTATACCTTCACCCCCTTTCTCAACTTTTAATAGTAAACAGAATAGGGCTGGGCATTATGGCTCATGCCTATAGCCCAGCACTTTGGGAGGCTGAGATGGGAGGATACCTTGAGACCAGGAGTTCCAGACCAGCCTTGGCAACATGGTGAGACCCTGCCTCCACAAAAAAATTTTAAAAGTAGCCAGCTGTAGTGGCTGGCATCTGTAGTCCGAGCTATTTGTGGGAAGATCTGAGACGGGAGGATCACTTGAGCCCGGGAGGCTGAGGCTGCATTGAGCTGTGATTGTGCCTCTGCACTCCAGCCTGGGCCACAGAGCAAGACCCCTGTCTCAAATTTTGAAAAAGCGGTTAACAGAACAGAATTGTTTGGCTCTTTTATAGTTTTCTTCTTCCAAGTAGTTGGTAGAATTTGGATACTTTCTGCCCCATAACAAATGTCACTTTATATAAAGGAGCATGTCCTTAATGCATTCCAAAAGACATATACAACTGATTTTAGGCTAATTTCAGTCTGAGTCCTGGTAGAGAACACCTGACACACTTAAATTGAGAGGATTTTAATAATGAGACTATTTGCAAGGTGTTGACTCCAGCTGGGGACCTCCACACTCAGCCCACTCAGGCTAAGTCTTGGTTGCGCACCAGCTCAGCTCATGGCTGGGCTGGGTATGCCCCAGCTCACCTGTGTTATGGCTTGTTCCCAGGTTCAGCAGTTCCCAAGGTCTTGTCCTGTGTCTGAGAAGAATGAGGTTACACTGGCAATTTAAGGGTGAGGAGGGTGGAGAAGAATTTTATTGAGCGGTGAACAGCTTTCAGGAGCGGAGGAGGTAGTGGTTCCCCACCCCTGAAGTCTGGTGGTTTCTCTCCCAGTGTGGCTGGGTGGGGGCTTTTATGGGCTCAGAACAGGGGCATGCATGCTGAATGGTTTGTGGGCATGCAAAGAAAGGCTAAAGCAAAGGCACCACTCAAAGATGGGCATGGCAGTGTAGAAAATCAATTCGGAAAGGGTAGGTAGATGTAAAATAGGTGAAGAGTGGGGATCAATCAGAGGAAAGCCTACCAAATGGGAAGATGGGTTCTCAGTCCGGTCCATGGATTTGACCTGTAGTGTGGCTTTCAGGCTTTCAGTTGTCTTTGGCTTAGAGGTGGGGTTTCACTGGAGACCCGCCCCTGTGAGGCATTTGTCTGCCTCCTGCCGCTATCAGTGTGGGCGAAGTTTCTCTAGAAACCACAGGGATAATGCAGTGTCCACAGCTGGTAATCAGGTTACCACCATGAGGCCTACGACAGGGAGAAGGAAGGGGGAGGAGTTGCCCAAACCTGGAGAAGGAAAGGACTTACTTTCAATTGAGAGTCCAAGACTGTCCACAGACACTCTCAGGGTGGGAGCTGGGAGAATGAATGCCCTGACCTGACCCTCCCTTCGTCTGACCTTCTGCAGGCCTCCCCATTGATTAATAGCACTGGGAGCCAGAGAGTGAGGGAGCCTGTTGATGTGGTTCTTACAGAGCCAAAAAGTCAGAGCAGGCTGGGCACAGTGGCTCATGCCTGTAATCCCAGCACTTTGAGAGGCCAAGGTGACTTGAGGTTAGGAGTTTGAGACTAGCCTGGCCAACATGATGAAACCCCGTCTCTACTAAAAAATACAAAAATTAGCCAGGTGTGGTAATCCCAGCTGCTTGGGAGGCTGAGGCAGGGGAATCATTTGAACCCGGGCGGTGGAGGTTGCAGTGAGCCAGGATTGCACCACTGCACTCCTGCCTGTGCAAAGAGTGTGACTCTGTCTCAAAAAAAAAAAAAAAAAAAAAAAGGCAAGAAAAGCAAGGTGTAACTGGATCTGGAGAGACAGATGGAGGATACCAGCATAAGATTGATACCTGTCTTTGTTTTTTGGAGACGGAGTCTCACTCTATTGCCCAGGCTGGAATGCAGTGGCGCAGTCTCGGCTCCCTGCAACTTCTGCCTCCCAGGTTCAAGCGATTCTCCTGCCTCAGCCCCCCGAGTAGCTGGGACTACAGGCGCCCGCCACCGTGCCCAGATAATTTTTTGTATTTTGTAGTAGAGACAGGGTTTTACCATGTTGGCCAGGCGGGTCTTGAACTCCTGACCTCAAGTGATCCGCCTGCCTTGGCATCCCAAAGTGCTGGGATTACAGGCATCAGCCACTGTGCCCAGCCAATATAGCAGTTTTTCTAAAGCAGTTTTCAGAAAAAAAAAAAAAAAAAATCAGTGGCCGAGAGGAAGACCACTGAGCAGCATCTCATCACCAAGTCCTTTTGATTCTACCTCCAGAAATACCTCGACTCTCTCCTCTCTACCGCACTGCCCCACCCACCTGCACCTCCTTGCAGTTCATCTCACAGTCAGCCAGAGGAGCTTTTGAAAAATGCAAACCTGAATGTCACTCTCAGCGACTTCTGATGATTGTAACATATAAGCTTGAGCTTCTTAATTTGCATACTGTGGTCTTCTGCCAGACCACCCACAGGAGAGCCTTTGATCTCCCTTCAAATGTCACTGGCTTGGGGAGGCTTTCTCAGGCAGCCCCCACCCCGAGACTAGTTTAGGTCCCTGTGTTTTCTGCTCCCTGACCCTGTCCACTAGCTTGAATCCACATTTGCAGTTTGTATTGTCATTACCTGTTGAACTCTCTGCATTCGCCTCCACCCTGGGGGTGGGGGTGGGGGTGGGGGTAGGGACTTGCCACTCTACCCCAGTTCCTCTTCCTCTGTCATGTGATTATAACAAGCCTTTCCCGATTTGGAACTAGATTAACTGCTTCAGAAGTAGAAAATGCATTTGGAACTAGCTTTTTGAGTTGGAAATTAACGGTGTCCTGGTGGGAGGACCCCAGCCTTGAGTTTTTCAGTCCTGTATCCTTATGCACACGTTGGTGAATAGTTCTGTGACCAACATTGCTTTTTCTTCTTTCAATAACATCCTCTGAGGTGGCTCTTGGGTCACAGAACGACTGAAAATCGATCAGTCCTTTCATTGACCCCTTGAATCATAGTCTTACGTGGAATTAAATAAACTCTGTTGTCGGGCGGGGTGCGGTGGTTCACGCCTGTAATCCCACAACTTTGGGAGGCTGAGGTTGGCGGATCACGAGGTCAGGAGATCGAGACCATCCTGGCTAACACGGTGAAACCCCGTCTCTACTAAAAATACAAAAAAAATTAGCCAGGCGTGGTGGCGGGCGCCTGTAGTCCCAGCTACTCAGGAGGCTGAGGCAGGAGAATGGGATGAACCCAGGAGCGGAGGTTGCAGTGAGCCGAGATTGCGCCACTGCACTCCAGCCTGGGGGACAGAGCAAGACTCCATCTCAAAAATAATAATAATAAATAAAATTTAAAAAAAAACCTCTGTTGTCATTAATTTTCAGGGTAGAGGTTTGAGCTCCTGTTTTCTGCTTTATGCTGAGGCAGTGGGAAGTGAGTGGAGACCTTAGAGGGTGGAACTGACACACAGGAGCGGGTTTGCCTGTTAGCATCACAAAACATGAGTAACAGCTGCTCCCCCAGGCGGGGGGGTTGGGAGGGGGTGTGGGGGGTTGGGGAGGCTTTGTGTTTTATTTTTTGAAGAGAGGAGTGTAGGATTTCATGTAAGATTAAAAGCCTCCTTCTGTTAGTGAAAGGATGAAAAGGACAGTTGCTAAATATGTGTCATTAAAGTAAAGAATTAGCTACAGTTGAGGCCGAGCGCGGTGGCTCAACACCTGTAAATCCTGGCACTTTGGGAGGCCGAGGCGGGCAGATCACTTGAACTCAGGAGTTCAACACCAGCCTGGCCAACTTGATGAAACCCTGTCTGTACTGAAAATATAGAAATTAGCCAGCTTGGTGGCAGGCACCTGTAATCCCAGCTACTCAGGAGGTTGAGGCAGGAGAATCGCTTGAACCCGGGAGGTGGAGGTTGCAGTGAGCTGAGATCACGCCATTGCACTCCAGCCTGGGCAACAAAAGCAAGACTCTGTCTGAAAAAAAAAAAAAAAAATTAGCTACAGTTGAGGTTATTTAGGTTATTTCCAGTTAGAAGTTCTGATACCATTAATAAATATTTTACCTTTAAGCTAAAAGAAGCTTAACCAGTGTTTTAGTTAATAGCAGCCAAACAACAATCTGTCTACTTGCAGAGTCTGCCATGTTCCTTCTACTCACAGTCCACACAGACTAAGCAGAGCTAAAGATGCAGACAGGGAATAACCAAGTTCACACTTCATCTAGGATGTTTTCCTGATACCCCCTAACCTGGAGTTAAGTCATCGTCTTTGGTGTTTGGAAGTCAGATGTTTTCTATTGAATTGATGCCTACATAGTACCCATAACTCCCCACTCCTGACATTCGTCACACTGTGATGCACCTGGCAGCTTTCTAGTCCCCTAAGCTCCTTGGGAAGGGTATCCATTTTATCCTCAGTTCACCTAGCCCAGGGCTTGGTGTTTGTCTAGTACAGGTCATCATATGATTGTTGAATTTTTCAAATACACAGATTTTTCTTGAAACCTCTTGATCTCTGTGTTGGTCTCTTCCTGCCCCCTCCCTTCCTCTCCTTTCTTCTCCCTGCTCGTGCAGTTGAAATTCTGACATTCCAAGAGCATTTCAGCTCCACCAAATAGGACTTCCACATGTCACAAAACGCAAGACAGTTATTTTGAATGGAAACTTTTTGTACCCCTTTGGTAGAAGTTTATTTTGGGGTTTGTCTATGCATTTAGGTTTCACTGCCTCCAGATTTATCTGGGTGGAGTAATATCACATAAGTGTGAACTACCTTCCTGTTTTGTTAAAAATATCAAGAGCAATTTCTCTTGATGATAAGAGGTCAACTGAAGAGGTTGATGAGCATATCCTAGTTATCTTTTGAACTAAAATATTTCTCAGAGAAAGAAATATCCTGTAATTTGGTTAGTCGTCTTAATTGTTCATCTTCTAACATGTATGAACATTATAAAGAAACTTTTTTAATACATGAATAGTCCTGGTCTCTTAATGTGATCATTTTTCTCCATCAGCCTAGTTGCTGGTCAGTGGGTGAATCAAAAAATCCAAGGTCTTGCAGACTGTTCCATAAAAATTTTGCTGGCAGAGTTGTAGCTATTAAAATTAGCACCCTGCAAAAGTCTGTCACAAGTCAGACAGGCAGACCGAATCAGAATTAGACATCACATTGCCAGGAAGCGCTCCATCCTGAGAGGGATTAATAGGACATGTGTAGAAACAGACTTACACCTCCTCTCTCCCTGGTCCAGCCCCCTTTATCCCTGTCATACTGAAAGTTCCCTGCTCTACCCACCCACCCCCACTCCTTCCCAATCTTATACCTTTTTTTTTTTTTTGAGACAAGGTTTCTCTCTGTCACCCAGGCCGGAGTGCAATGGTGCAATCACAGGTCACTGCAGGCCTCGACCTCCCAGGCTCAAGCAATCCTCCCACCTCAGCCTCCTGAGTAGTTGGGACTGTATGTGCACACCACCATGCCAGGCTAATTGTTGAATATTTTGTAGAGACAGGGTCTCCCTGTACCCTCTAGGCTGGACTCAAACTCCAAGGCTCAAGGCATCCTCCCGCCTTGGCTTCCTGGAGTGCTGAAATTTTACAGGCGTGAGCCACTGCACCCAGCCTACTTAGACAAAGAAGTAGGTGGCCTTGTGGAAAGGTACTCCACATGGCCTTTAGGCAGGGTGCTTACGTTACAGGAAGACTGATTGTTTAATTCTCTTACCTCCTTTACCTCTCCTTGCTTGGATCAACAAACTCATGGCAGTCTTTCTAGGATCTATTTAAGAGGTTCTTGTTTATCACCAAGAATGTATAAATTGACGGTGCGGTGGCTCATGCCTGTATTCCCAGCACTTTGGGAGGCTGAGGTGGGAGGATCGCTTGAGCCTAGGAATTGGAGAACAGCCGGGGCATCATATGAAGACCCTCGTCTCAATTTTTTATTAAAAAAGAAGAGAGAGAATGTATAAATTGTTGTAGACCCAGCTTGCTCTAGGGCACTAAATGTATTACTTAGAACACTTAGAACAAAGCCCCCACATATAAGTCAGTTCCCCAAAATATGCTAGATACCATACTAAGAGCTGTGAGGAAGACAAATGAGAACTGGGTATGGAGCCAGCTTCATTGCTTGCGGGTTAGTTTGGGAGGGGGCCAAGACATAGCAGCACATGGTCCAAGTAGTGATAGACCAGATACCATAAGGGATTATATTATTGACAGTAATCCTCCATTAAATACTATAAGATTGAAGCAGAGGGAAAGGTGACCAGGGTGGTTGTAAGCTCTGAACTGAATTTTGAAAGATTTCAGTAGACAAGGAAAAGTACAGACAAGCGGTGGGGAGGAGTACAGTGTGTTTAGAGGTCGGTGAGTTGACTAGCTGACTGCACGGCAGGGCTCATTTGGAGAAGCAATGGGAGATCAGAGCAGAGAGTCGATGATGGCCAAATTATGAAAACTGGAATGCCAGACTATATTTGCACTTGTAGAAGGATACTTACGGCTTTTTAACAGAAAAATTATGGTGGTTAACTTTGGAGCACTTAAGCGTTGTTGCCTGGACATTTGGTGGGTCCCCATCTCCTGACTCACCAATGTTTCCCTGTCACACTGATCCCCACTTTGAGCAGCTACTTTTCAGAAAGGTTGCAGTTGGAAAGAAAGCAGTATTCATGGGGCACAACTCCTTCCTTCATAGGCAGAGGGAAGTATAAAGTAATGAATGATTTTTACCGTGGAAAGTTGGAGTTTGGGGACTTTGTCCTCCTCCCTGTCTTTCCTTCCTCCTTCCCTTTTTTTTCTTCTTTTCCTTTAAAAATGTTTAAAAGGTGCTAAGTCAGAACCTCTCACCATTCCATCACCAGGGGTCAGGAGGTATACCTGACTAACAAATACCCTTTGTTTTTCTTTTGTGTTTTTTTTTTTTTTTTTTTTTTAATGGAGTCACTCTGTCACCCAGGCTAGAGTGCAATGGCGTGATCTCGGCTCACTGCAACCTCTGCCTCCTGGTTTCAAGCGATTCTCCTGCCTCCAAGCGATTCTCCTGCCTCAGCCTCCTGAGTAGCTGGGATTACAGGCACGCACCACCAAGCCCAGCTAATTTTTTATATTTTTAGTAGAGACAGGGTTTCACCATGTTGACCAGGCTGGTCTCGAACTCCTGACCTCAGGTGATCCACTCACCTCAGCATGCCAAAGTGCTGGGATTACAGGCGTGAGGCACTGCGCCCAGCCAGGAGAGTTTTAAAACTTCATAAATGCATTTCATTTCTTCTCAACTTTCTGGTTGTTAAAAGCCAAGTACGTATCACCTGGCCTGGTTGGCGAAGATGCTTTTCAGATTTTTATTGAGCCGTGGCCTTGCTGTAGTTGCGGTCATTCCAAATGGAGACTGATCTGCTCGGCATATGTGAGAACTGTTCTCTCTGTGTTCCTGGGTGAGCAATTCAAGCTTTCTGTGGGACCAGAAACCTTAATTATTGAACTACCTTTGCTGGTTATCTCATCACTAAAATTGTTAATCGTTTATCTACACTGTGGGTGTTTTTCATGATTTGGCACACAGCATAGCAGGCAGCATTGCCAAGATGTTTTTCATGTTGCAGAAAAACTGTAACAGATGGAGGTGGTGATTGTGAAGCACTTATTTAAAGTGTTAGTAATGAATCACTATAGCTTGAAACTGAGTCAGTTATCCATACTAAGGGAAGTTGAAGAACATTCTAATAGCTTCTAATAAAATACGTAATCAGGCACCTGAAGAGAACTGACTTTGAGTGGCTCTCCCATTACTGTTACCCTAGCCAGGGCCCTTAGAATTTATTCTTAGGGGCTAAAGTCTTTTAAAAGCATGCATGCATGTGTGTTTTCTCTTTTCTAGGAACTTGAAATTATGTAGTAGATGTCACTAGAATTCTTGAAATTTGTCTTCAAGTCATGGCAGTATTTCAGTATCGCTCCTTTGGGATTGCCTGAGTGATACTCAAGAGTTAGACTAGTTTTATCTGGGTTCTTTGAAGAACTGGGGACACCTCACTGGCTTATGTTGAATTTCTGCACTGCAGGGACCAACTATAAATGGTGTTTTTGGTTTTTTACGTGTTAAGAGCTTTAAAATGTAATTCTTCCTATCATTCATGCACAAATGTTCTCACACAAATTGCTTCACAGATTGATAAAACTTTGAATAATTTTTCCCTGAAGAAATGTTGAACTTTTCTGCAAGCTGTTGGAATTGGAGCGCGTGTTGAAAGGCTTGATGGGACCATAACTGTACAGCCTATTTCTTTTAAAAAAAATTATGATTTCTATTTTTTATTCATTTACAGATGACTGAATATGTTCAGGCCAGAAAATATCCCCTTATTTCAAAATGCAGCAATCTATAAACAAAATACTTGCCATTTTTCTAAATGACACCTTTTTCTATAATTTGTATAGAAAATTAAGTGCAAGGGCCAGGTGCCGTGGCTAACGCCTGTAATCCCAGCACTTTGGGAGGCCAAGGCGGGTGGATCGCCTGAGGTCAGTAGTTCAAGACCACCCTGGCCAACATGGCGAAACTCCATCTCTACTAAAAATACAAAACAATTAGCCAGGTGTGGTGGCAGACGCCTGTAATCCCAGCTACTTGGGAGGCTGAGGCATGAGAATCACTTGAACCCAGGAGGCAGAGGTGGCAGTGAGCTGAGATGGCGCCATTGCACTCCAGCCTGGGTAACAAGAGTGAAAACTGAAGCTGTCTCAAAAAAAAAAAAAAAGAAAGAAAGAAAAAGGAAAATGTATATATCATTATAGGTCAGTGAACTTTCACAAACAGAACACACCCAGGTCAGGAAATGTGAGATAAACAGCACCTCTAGAGTTCCTTCATGTCCCCTTCCATTGACTTGTACATATATATATATATTTTGAAGTAAACATAAACTCTTGGGAGGCCGAGGTGGGTGGATCAGGGGGTCAAGTGATCGAGACCATCCTGGCCAACATAGTGAAACCCCCTCTCTACTAAAAATACAAAAAAATAGCCGGGCGTGGTGGCGGGCGCCTGTAGTCCCAGCTACTCAGGAGGCTGAGGCAGGAGAATGGCGTGAACCCAGGAGGCGGAGCTTGCAGTGAGCCGAGATCGTGCCACTGCACTCCAGCCTGGGCAACAGAGCAAGACTCTGTCTCAAAAAAAAAAAAAAAACATAAACTCAGGATTTTATTGTCTTCATAATAAAACAAAAGATGACACTTAGAACTGGATCACTTGGCCCTTTCTCTTCTTATCTCCTCCCAGTTCAAAATGCTTGCATCTTTTAATAGCCAGCATTCTCTTAGATCTGCAGTTGGGCTCAACGCACTCAAGCCTTAGCACAGTCTTCTTTGTGGTTTCAGCCTTTTTCCGGAAAATCGACTTAGTCTGCCCACCATAGCCACTCTGCTTCCTGTCATAACGCCGCTTTCCCTGGGCATACAGAGAATCCTTTCCCTTCTTGTACTGTGTCACTTTGTGGGGTTGATGCTTGCCACACTTCTTAGAGAAAGTCCAGTGAATTTTAGGAAAGTTGACCATTTGCGTGAGTGCTATCAGCACAGAAAGGACTTGTATATTTTTAATTCTTCTGTGTAAAGCTCACCTCATTCCTCATCTCTTAAATTTCTTCCTGATTTGGGCTCTTAACATTATTTTCAGTCTCTTTGCAAAAAAAAACCAAAAAACAAAAAGAACTGTCTTCACTGAAACTTGTCTCTTCCTCCTCTTATAATCTCATCTCTTGATCAATCTGCTTCCGTTAAACCAAAGTGTCGTGTGGCTACAAAGTCATAACTCGAGGGAATATGGGGGTTGGAATAGAAAATGCAGCTGTGGGGTAATAGCTAAAAACATTCCTTGGAGATTTTAAAGCTGAAGGAAACTTTTTGTGAGCTCACCCGTGGATTTGTGCAGAGGGAGTGAATAAGCAAGTGAAGACACAGTGATGGGAGCAGCTTGCTCATGCTCAGGAGTCTGACTAGGCCTTTAAAAATTATTTGTGGCCGGGCACGGTGGCTCATGCCTGTAATCCCAGCACTTTGGGAGGCCAAGGTGGGCAGATCACCTGAGGCCAGGAGTTCGAGACCAGCCTGGCCAACATGGTGAAACCCCGTCTCTATGAAAAATACAAAAATTAGCTGAGCATGGTGACAGGCGCCTGTAATCCTAGCTACTCAGGAGGCCAAGGCAGGCAAATCACCTGAGGTCAGAGGTTCAAGACCAGCCTGACCAATATGGTGAAACCCCATCTCTGCTAAAAATACAAAAATTAGCCAGGCGTGGTGGCGGGTGCCTGTAATCCCAGCTACTCGAGAGGCTGAGGCAGAGAATCACTTGAACCTGGGAGGCGGAGGTTGCAGTGAGCCGAGATTGTGCCACTGCACTCCAGCCTGGGCAACAGAGTGAGACTCTGTCTCAATAAATAATAATAATAATAATAATAATAATAATAATAATAATAATAGTAGTAGTAGTAGTAGTAGTAGTAGTAGTAATAGTAGGCCGGGCGCAGTGGCTCACGCCTATAATCCCAGCACTTTTGGAGGCCGAGGCAGGCGGATCACGAGGTCAGATCAAGACCGTCCTGGCTAACACAGTGAAACCCGTCTCTACTAAAAATATAAAAAATTAGCTGGGCGTGGTTGCAGACGCCTGTAGTCCCAGCTACTCGGGAGGCTGAGGCAGGAGAATGGCCTGAACCTAGGAGGCGGACCTTGCAGTGAGCCGAGATTGTGCCACTGCACTCCAGCCTGGGCGACAGAGCGAGACTCCATCTCAAAAAAAAAAAAAAAATAGTAACAGTAATAAAATAAAAATTATTTGTGAAGGATGTGAGCTTTCACCTAAAGCCACAGCAAATGAAACAATCTTTGTAGGTGCAGCCTCATCCTCAGATGCTTCTGGTCTCTGCCACCTCGAGCTCTTCAACATTCATTTGTGTTCTTTGCTGTTTTGTTTTCTTTTTCTTTCTTTTTTTTTTTTAACCCGACACTTCAGTAGCTGTTTTGTATACTTAAACATTTGAATAAAACTTAATTTTTAAGCATCTAATTACATCACTCCAGTTTCAGGGCTTGTGTGTGCAAGCTCCCAGTGCAGGTGGAGCAGTTGGGTTGAAAGGCCTGGTCTCTGGCTCAGGGTTGCAGCTGCATTGTTCATCCTGTGTTTTGCCTCCGGCAGAACCAAGCTTTTTCTGAAATTCTAGAGTGAAGAGGTTTAGAGGTATGTGCAGCAATACCTGGGCTATCTGATAACGTGATATTCTGGATACTAGAATTTTCCAGATAACCAAAATCGTAACCATTCATGTACTCAAATGTTACATTTTTGGCCAGCATGATGGCTCACGCCTATAATCCCAGCACTTTGAGAGGCCAAGGTAGGTGGATTGCTTGAGGCCAGGAATATGAGACCAGCCTAGCCAACATGGTGAAATCCCGTGTCTGCTAAAAGTACAAAAATCAGCTGGGTATAGTGGCGCATGCCTGTAATCCCAGCTACTTGGGAGGCCGAGGCACTTGAATCACTTGAACCCGGGAAGTGGAGGTTGCAGTGAGCCGAGATCATGCCACTCCACTGCAGCCTGGGTGACAGAGCAACAGAGCAAGACTCTCTCAAAAAAAAAAATTACATTTTTAAAAGCATTAATTCCATATTTTCCTTCTTTCTGGGGGAGAAAAACATACTAAACACCAAGTAATAATTTTTGTTCTGTAGACAGCCATAGTTCTAAGTTGATGTCAAATCTAGGAGTTGCCCTGGAGTTGTGTTTGTTGGGGGAGGGGACACTTTTTAGAGGGATTTGCCTCTGTCTTGGTAAAGGTGACAAGAAGAGAGTGTAGCTCTATGAACTCCTGGCAGGTAAATAGAGTTATCTTTTTCTGCAAAGTTATTGGTCACAAATCAAAAGTGTCCCTTTCTAATGATTACTTTGTTCTGTTTTGATGCACAAATAGGTTACAAGCAGCTCTTTGTCAGTCTGACTCTCTGTCTTCCAAGAACAAGTGTATACAGTAAAAGTAGACACACCTCACCATTTCAGGAGTTAAGACATTTTCAAAAACTCTTCATAGCTGGTATGGGTGCACGCACCTGTAGTCCCAGCTACTCCAGCCTGAGCAACGTAGACTCTGTCTCTGAAATAAAATAATAAATATTGTTTATAAGCCTGTGGGGTTTTTATTATTACTATAGGATGATGCTTTATAAGGTCATTATTAGACCACATTTTCCTTCTAGACCTTATTTTTGGTAGATAACAGAATCCTGGCCTTAAATAACTTTTAAAGTAGCTCCTTTTCTCAAAGGCTATTCAGAGTTTTCTGTGCTGCCAGTACAGGGGCAGGTGGTGGTGGCCCGGCAGGGTTCAAGCGCACTTTCCCTCCTCAAACTTGTCCTTGGTGTGTGCTTTATAATTGTCTATCAATACAGCACCATTGCTGGCTGCAGCACAATGCAGTGTTTTTAAAATGAAGACTTAAAAATTATGAGTGTACCTTGCATATATTGTTTTATCTCATTCCAGTCTTTGATGTGATTTTTTTACGAGAAACAAAATGATGACTAGAAGAAAGTTTTCATCAATACTCTATCAATATTTATGTGACTCTTGGAAACTTTGAATACACTGGGATTTACCACTAGCTAATTTTTTTTGAGAGTTTGCTACACATATTTATTAGCTCTTTCAGGATTTATCACCTTATCCTAAGCATTGAAACCCAGTGTCTGGCACCTGCAGTCAGAGTGTGGTAAGCATAGCAGATAAGCACCAGCATTGCAAAGCTCTGCAGGGCATACCCTCTGTTAAGAAAGCGTAGTCATTAATGCAGCCTGGCTAGTTGTCGATCATCTGTCATTCTTATCTACCCTTTCTATTGCATCTCACTTTGAATGGCAGTACACAGACAGCACTCACTTTAGAGCAATCCAGCTTCTGATTGGCTACGAGTACAGCATTGTTCAACATCTTGAATAAATCATTTTGTAAAGAATGTTACCAGTTTCCTCTCAGAACTTTGTTATGCAGTGTAGATTACCACTGTACTAGCCAACATTTTCCTGGGCCCACCATTTTGGGGTTGTATTCACATTTTTGTTTTATCTTTTACCAACTTTATGCCTTCTGCCCTTTGCCTTTTGTTGTAAGTCTAGAATTCATAGGGTGGCTTTCACGCTGTACCTGATTCTGTTCTGCTCCGTATATACTAGTCCCCCCTTACCTGCGGCCAGTTGCAATCCAACATATAAATAACATATTTTGGCCAATCGCAGTGGCTCACACCTGTAATCTCAACACTTAGGTAAGCTGAGGCAGGAGGATACTTGAGCGCAGGAGTTCAAGACCAGCCTGGGCAACATGGCAAGTGCCTATAGTCCCAGGTACTCAGGAGGCTGAAATGGGAGGATAGCTTGAACCCAGGAAGTTGAGATGCCATGAGCCGTGATGGTGTCACTGTACTCCAGACTGGGCAGCAGAGCAAGACCCTGACTCAAAAAAAAAAAAAAAAGATATTTTGAGAGATAACACATTCACATAAATTTTTATTACAGTATATTGTTATAACTTTTCTTTTACACTTTTTAAATATAAAGACAGGGTCTCACTATGTTGCCCAGGCTGGTCCTAAACTCCTGGGCTAAAGCAGTCTTCCCACCTTAGCCTTCCAAACTGCCAGGATTACAGGTTTGAGCCAGCACACCTGGCCTGTTAAAACTTTTCTATTTTACTACTAGTCATCATTAATCTCTTACTGTGCCTAATTTACAAATTAAACTTATAGGTAGGACTGGCATGGTGGCTCACACCTGTAATCTCAGCACTTTGGGAGGCTGAGGCAGGAGAATCCCTTGAGTCCAGGAGTTCAAGACTAGCCTGGGCAAAATAAATAAATCGGCTGGGCACGGTGGCTCGTGCCTGTAATCCCAGCACTTTGGGAGGCCGAGTCGGGTGGATCACAAGGTCAGGAGATCGAGACCATCCTGGCTAACATGGTGAAACCCCGTCTCTACTAAAAAATACAAAAAATTAGCCGGGCGTGGTGGCAGGCGCCTGTAGTCCCAGCCACTCGGGAGGCTGAGGCAAGAGAATGGCGTGAACCCGGGAGGCAGAGCTTGCAGTGAGCCGAGATCGCGCCACTGCACTCCAGCCTGGGCGACAGAGCGAGACTCTGTCTCAAAAAAAAATAAATAAATAAATCTAAAAAAAAATAAAACGTATAGGTATGTGTATAGTGTAGGAAAAAGCATAGCATATCTAGAGTCCTGTACTATCCACGGTTTCAGGCACCCACTGGAGGTCTTGAAACGTATCCATCATGATAAGGAGGACTACTGTATTACTCTACACATTACAGCGTCATGGCCTAGCCTATGCATGGCCTGGTACATGCAATTCAAGAGGCAGCATTGGAGAGAACGGTCATTGGAAATATGAAAGTCTGGGCATGATGTTAGCTCTGTGGGGTCACTACCTCGTAACCTGGGTTGACCATTGATCTTGTTTTTTTACATCTGTAGAATGCAGTGGTTCAGTTCCAGGATTTCCAAGGCATCTGCCTGAATTCTGCTGGTTGATATGCTTTCAGCACTATCTAACTTTAATACAATGTGGCATTTGGGTTATTGAACTGAGTAGGATTTGCCATGCTTTTTCCTGAAAATAGTTTTCCCATACGAGGGCATATGGTTGTCCTCACAAGCAGCAGTGTTCTGGAGCTGTTTGGTGGGTGACCCGTACTTGCGGTAACCCAGAGAAGCCATGAGGGGATCCAGGACTGTATCACTGTAGATTCTGGAGGTCGGTTGGAAGATCTCTAGAGGAGTCTAATAAAAGGTTCTGTTGCTGCTTAGTTCTGCTGTGACACCTCTCTCTCCCAGAAAGTAGACTTTGTCTTCGTCAGGCTCCCTTATTCTCCTATGTGTTTGCCATTTTCCAGAACCTCTTCTCCAGGTTTCTCTCTTAGAAAAACCAAACCAAACAAAAAAACTGGCCGGGCACAGTGGCTCACACCTATAATCCCAGCAATTTGAGAGGCCAAGGTGGGCAGATCACCTGAGGCCAGGAGTTCAAGACCAGCCTGGCCAACATGGTGAAACCCCATCTCTACTAAAAATACAAAAATTAGCTGGGCAACGTGGCATGCGCCTGTAATCCCAGCTACTCGGGAGGCTGTGGCAGGAGAATCGCCTGAACCCAGGAGGTGGAGGTTGCAGTGAGCCAAGATCGCGCCACTGCACTTCAGCCTGGGCGACAGAGCAAGACTCCGTCTTAAAAAAAAAAAACAACTAATACTTGCCATTCTTCTTTCTCCTTCCTTACTGAGGGTTTCATTCCAGATGTTTGGGAGCCTGAATTTTCATTTTCAGAGATAATTTCTGTTTCATTTTAACAGAGTTTAACATAATGCTGGTTGTTTGAAGTTAAAAGGAGTCTTATATCCGTATAACTGATAATACTTCGAGTGAAACCGTTCACAGACCTAAAAGATAGCATAATTGTCTTGTAACTATCTTTTTAAAGGGAAAAGGAAATGATTGGGTTTTTTTGTTGTCTTATTTCTTTTCAGGTTTTGAACGAAGAATGTGATCAGAACTGGTACAAGGCAGAGCTTAATGGAAAAGACGGCTTCATTCCCAAGAACTACATAGAAATGAAACCACATCCGTAAGTTAAGCTCCATTAGTCTTGGAAGGGTTGGACCCACCTCCTTGTTTCAAACACTCTTTTTAAAATTGAGATCACTGGGATGGATGTCATACTTTTTATTCACGTTTCTAGGGAATTAACAAAGGATATTGATTGTGCATGTTAATAGTATATAATAATATATCATAGTCAATAATATTATATGTTTTAGATTGATAATAACTGTCAGTGATCTTCAAAAATAAAACGATAGTTGGTGCAGGTCCGTAATTCTTTTTCTGTTAAATATGTCTTAGAGCCAGATGTGTTTTATAATTCTGCATTTTTTTTGAGTTTTAGAAAAGGTACTTAGATGATTTTGTGTTTATATGTGCTAATGCTGTGGGACGGTATCTTAATATCTTTGTATCCCCAGAGTACGGTGCTTGGCATCTAATAGTTCTCAATAAATGTTTATCCCTCCATCTTAGTGTTCCTACTTACAAGAGAACAAAATATGCTGTCCTCCAGGCTGCTGGGAGCAGTGAATATTTTTAATTTTTTTTCAGAAGCTACCCTTGTCACGATTTTATTAATAACGCAACATAGTGGACCCCTGAGAGCCCCTGCAGACCACTGTCCTCCCGTTCTCACCCACCCCTCATTCACAGGCCCTGCTCCTAGCACAGAAGCAGTTGCTGGCTTGCCTTACAAGTGTGTCAGGGGAGCTGAGGCTTTCCACGCTCAGACTAGAATGCCCTTGGACATTGTCCACTTGCTTTCACAGCAGCTGGTGGCGGAGACTTTCAGGTGGCTTGTCGCATCTTGAGTGGGAGGGGCCTGTTGGATCACAGCACATCCTCCCCAGGTCCCATATAAGCCACATAATTTGTGTACTTCTGTTTCCTTCAGTCGTCCTCAAAAGAAACTGTAGGTCAAGGGTTGGCTAAACTTTTTCTGTGAAGAGCCAGATAGCAAGTAATTTCGACTTTGTGGGCTGCATACAATCCTGTCAAATATTCCTTGTAAAAATTTTCTTTTAACAATCGAGTAGAAATTTAAAAAACAGTCTTAGGTTGTGGGCAGATTTGGGCAGAAGGCCATTATTGTTTGCTGGCTCCTTCATTAGATCCAAACACAACATCGACTTCAGTTCCCTTTTGTTTTCATATTTTCAGATTGAAAGGGAATTCAACAGAACATCATACTACACTTCTTATATGACATGCCTGTGGCTCGAAATTCTTATTTTTCTTCAGTGTTTCGGGTGACACAGGCATTTAAATCTGACTGTTGAGGAAAGATAGGAAAGGCTACCTTCCTTGGAAAGTTGTAGTTACTGCCAGGCTGACTGGGACAGTCACTCCCTTGCCTTGACCTTTTGTCCCCACTATGAAGAACTTTAGAAGAATTGATGGAGAAGCACCCAGCACAGGCTCAGCTGTGTTGTTATTTGCAGACTCTGCCCAAAGGGTGGGCAGTGCTCAGCCACTCTGAGCTCTGAAAAGGCAACTAGCAACTTAAAAACCCTTATTTATTCAGGTCTACCATATTGCTAACAAAGACCATGCTTGTGCCTATGTAGGTGTTTGGCCTTGCAGACGTAGTTGCTGTTGTATAGGGCTGCTCTGTGGCTGGATGTTCATGAGTATAGGGTCAGGGTCAGTACCAGGCCTTCTCCTCCACATCCTACCACCTCCTGTTTTTTTGTTTGTTTGTTTGTTTGTTTGTGGGGGTGGGGAGCAGGGGTTATGGAGGAAGAGGGAAGCATAAAATGTAGCACCATGTCAGCTAATGCAGCATTCAAGTTAACAAATTAGACTACAAAATGATTGTTGGCATTAGTGCTGCAGCATGAGTTGTATATGCTTGAGGGGTGGATCCAAATATGTGCTTTTCACACTAAATGCATATGGATGGGAGCCTACGGGATGTAGTAAAGAATTATATTGGAAAATTAGCCTTCTCCCCTCACCCCCTTAGCTCTCGCCCTTGCTATTTCTGTTGTATAAGCCCACCTTTTTTTTTTTTGTTTTTTGTTTGTTGTTGTTCTTGTTGTTTTTATGAGACGGAATCCTGCTCTGTTGCCCAGGCTGGAGTGCAGTGGTGCTATCTCAGCTCACTGCAACCTCCGCCTGCTGGGTTCAAGCGATTCTTGTGCCTCAGCCTGCCGAGTAGCTGGGACTACAGGCGCGTGCCTCCACTCCCGTCGAATTGTTGTATTTTTAGTAGAGATGGGGTTTCACTGTGTTGGCCAAGCTGATCTCGAGCTCTTGGCCTAAAGTGCTGGGATTACAGGTGTAAGCCACCGCACCCTGCCAAAGCCCATCTTTTGTTTGTTTGTTTGTTTGTTTGTTTGAGATGGAGTCTCGCTCTGTCGCCAGGCTAGAGTGCTGTGGCGCGATCTCGGCTCACTGCAACCCCCAACTCCCTGGTTCAAGGGATTCTCCTGCCTCCACCTCCTGAGTAGCTGGGATTACAGGCATGTGCCACCATGCCTGGCTAATTTTTGTATTTTTAGTAGAGATGGGGTTTCACTGTGTTGGTCAGGATGGTCTCAATCTCCTGACCTCCTGATCCGCCCGCCTCGGCCTCCCAAAGTGCTGGGATTACAGGTGTGAGCCACCACACCCGGCCCAAAGCCCATCTTTTTAAAGACTTTCAAAACATTTGCCTGTTAGAGCTTGCAGCAAGCCAAGATCACGCCACTGCACTCCAGCCTATTCAACAAAGCAAGACTCTGTCTCAAAAAATAAAAAATAAAAAAAATTCACCCGTAAGCATGTAGTCACATGTACATATCATCATTTTAAAAAGTCAAATTTATAAATGATATAAAATGCTATAGAAATGTAGAATGGTGGTATTTCAGTGTTTTAGTAGTGACAGCTATTCACAGGGTCTTGCTCTGTCATCCAGGTTGGGCTCAAGTTATCCTCCCACCTTAGTCTCCTAAGTTGCTGCGTCTACAGCTGTGCACCACTATGCCTGGCTAATTTTTTATTTTTCGTAGAGACAGGGTCTCACTGTGTTGCCCGGGCTGGTCTTGATCTACTGGGCTTAAGCAATCCTCCCACCTTAGCCTCCCAAAGTGCTGGAATTAACAGGCGTGAGCAACTGCACCTGGTGCCAGATTTTTTATTTCTTGATCTGGGTGCTTATAACAGAGTTGTGGTTTTTTTGGTTTTTGGTTTTAATTCCAGTTAGAGTACTTTTTAAACATTATAATTTGTACTTCACTACAATTTATTTTTTTTAATTGAAAATAAAATTGCGTTAATTTTAAGCTGGGGGCAAGAAAACACAGCAGCCATGTCTATGTGACACCAGACAGAAAGGTCTGGAAACCTAAGTGTTAGAACCGCCAACACGTGCTGCCTCTGGGGAGTTTGAGGGAAGCATCTTACTTTTTATGTTTGCTTCATGTACATCTAGGCTATTTCAGTTTATATTCATTATTTTATACCTACAAATGGGAAAAAACCTCCCTAGTGGAGAGATCTTGGGGGCCTAGGAGGAAAGAGAGCCTTGCTGATTGAGAATCTTCACCCTCACCATTGCTATTGGAAGTGGCAGTGGTGGGGAGTGTGGGGCAGTGTGGGGAGAGCCAGCCGAGGCCATGTGTGGATTTTCACTGCTGTACCCAGTCAGATGCATGCTGCATACACTTATATTAGAAACCCAGGGCCCCCCGATATGAGAAGGTTTAAATACCGTTGATTGGGGCCCCCCGATTGAGAAGGTCTCAATACCGTTAAGTGTCCTTATTTATTTATTTATTTATTTATTTATTTATTTTTTGAAAGCGAGTCTCGCTTTGTCGCCCAGGCTAGAGTGCAGTGGCGCGATCTCGGCTCACTGCAAGCTCCGCCTCCCAGGTTCACTCCATTCTCCTGCCTCAGCCTCCTGAGTAACTGGGACTACAGGCACCTGCCACCACGCCTGGCTAATTTTTTGTATTTTTAGTAAAGACAGGGTTTCACCGTGTTAGCCAGGTTGGTCTCGATCTCCTGACTTTGTGACCCGCCCGCCTCGGCCTCCCAAAGTGCTGGGATTACAGGCGTGAGCCACCACACCCGGCCTATTTAATTTTTTTGAGATGGAGTTTCACTCTTGTTGCCCAGGCTGGAGTGCAATGGCACGATCTCGGCTCACCGCAACCTCTGCCTCCCGGAGATTCAAGCGATTCTCCTGCCTCAGCCTCCCGAGTAGCTGGGATTACAGGCATGCGCCACCGCGCCTTGCTAATTTTGTATTTTTAGTAGAGATGGAGTTTCTCCATGTTGGCCAGGCTGGTCTCGAACTCCTGACCTCAGATGATCCGCCCACCTCGGCCTCCCAAAGTGCTGCGATTACAGGCATTGAGCCACCGCACCCAGCCTCCTTTTTTATTTTATTTATTTATATATTTTTTTGAGACAGAGTCTCACTCTTTCGCCCAGGCTGGAGTGCGGTGGCACAGTCTCGGCTCACTACAACCTCTGCCTCCCAGGTTCAAGTGATTCTCCTGCCTCAGCCTCCCGAGTAGCTGGGATTACAGGTGCCCACCACTGTGCCCATCTAATTTTTGTATTTTTGGTAGAGAGTGGGTTTCACCACGTTGGCCAGGCTGGTCTCAAACTCCTGACCTCAAGTGATTCACCCCACCTCAGCCTCCCAAAGTGCTGCAATTACAGGCATGAGGTACCGGGCCCAGCCTGTCCTTTTATATTTAGAGAGCATTCTATTCTAGTGATATGTGATTTCTCTTGTGTGGCCTGATTTCCAGGCACTGCAGGCCCTAGCCTTGAGTTATTTGTAGAAGCAGGAGGATCTATTGTCCCAGCTCCTCAGCATCCTGGCAGTAGAGTATGCAAAATGAGAAAGACTCCAAGCAGGTAGATGTCAGACTATTCAGAGTTACTAAGAGTCCCTAGAGGCTGACACACACACACAAGGACAAAGTTACTAAGGGCAGCTTCTAAGTGTATCCTTCCTAGCAGATCACATCTTTCTGTTTGAATTTGAGTATAGTATATTATTTTAGGTACATCTTCCAATATGGTTGCTTATAAGTAAGATATGTAAATTAGCCGGGCGTGGTGGCTCGCGACTTTAATCCCAGCACTTTGGGAGGCTGAGGCGGGCAGATCTCGAGGTCGGGAGTTCAAGACCAGCCTGGCCAATATGGTGAAACCCCGTCTCTATTAAAAATACAAAAATTAGCTGGGCGTGGTGGTGGCCGCCTGTAATCCCAGCTACTAGGGAAGCTGAGGCAGGAGAATTGCTTGAACCCAGGAGGCGAAGGTTGCAGTGAGCCGAGATCGTGCCACTGCACTCCAGCCTTGATGACAGAGTGAGACTCTATCTAAAAAAAAAAGGGCCGGGCGTAGTGGCTCATGCCTGTAATCCCAGCACTTTGGGAGGCCAAGGCAGGCGGATCAACAAGGTCAGGAGATCGAGACCATCCTGGCTAACACGGTGAAACCCCATCTTTACTAAAAATACAAAATATTAGCCGGGCATGGTGGCGGGCGCCTATGTATAGTCCCAGCTGCTCAGCTACTTGGGAGGCTGAGGCAGGAGAATGGCGTGAACCCGGGAGGCAGAGCTTGCAGTGAGCGAGATCGTGCCACTGCACTCCAGCCTGGGTGACAGAGCTAGACTCCTCAAAAAAAAAAAAAAAGAAAAGATATGTAAGTTAGATTTACAACTTTAATGGACTATTTGGTCCATTAAAAGGACTTTTGATATTATAATTAGCATATTAAATGAATGCCAGTTTCCATGTTTATAGGTCTTTATTTGCTATAACTTTTGCTTTTAAAAATGATAACTAAAGACAATTTTGAGAAGAGAACATGGTTTTCACAGTTTCTTCTTCCTAATTATAGTTTTCATTTGAAATAGTGAGGCAGCTTGACTTGAAGCTCTTGTAGAAGTGTTCCTCTCCTCTTCCTCTTGATAAGCCACAGCCAGTTGCTTCACAGTTTTTCATGAATTTAGCCACTTTTTCTTCTGGCCAAGGTGAATCAGCAATTGGGAGCAGAAGAGTCTGCAACTTGCCTCAAAAATCTGAATTTTGCAGCTAGCTGCTGAGCATATGGTAAATTACAATATTCCTGGTGGCTTCTGAAAGCTGAACTCTGAGCAGTGGCCCCAGAGGCAGGCCTTGAGAGGAATGCTGACCTTAGTTACTGGTAGAGGCACCCTCATACTATCTGAACCTTTTGCCTTTGGGCTGTTAGCAAAAGTAACCCTGCCTCCAGCTCCTGGCCGTCCAGGTTTCCTCCCCACTTTCCCTTAGTCCCACTGTGGTGAAGCTGTGATCTTATCACATGGCTGCAGGAAGGGGCCAGTCTCTCCTTGGCAGTTCATCCCGTACACCAAGCCCAAAGGCCTGAGCTTTTCCCCAGGCGCCTTTGTCATGAGTCAGTAGGGAGTCCAGTGGGCTTTGGCCTGGGGGGCCCATTTTCAAATGTCTCCCTCTATAGAAAGAGTGACCCACGGTTAGTGCCTTGGTGAGTCGCTTTCTGGGAAATGGAGTAGGCTAAAGACCTTTGAAGGTCCATCTCTGGGGACCCAACCCAGTGTCGATCTTGGGCACTGTGAGGCTGGAGGATGAGGAGGGAGGCCCCTTCCTCTGGCAAGGAGTGTTGTGTTACTCACATTTTGAAGGCTGGATATCCCGTTTCTTTGTGGGGAAGCAGATGTTGACCAGCTTGCCTTCCTTCCTTAGGTGGTTTTTTGGCAAAATCCCCAGAGCCAAGGCAGAAGAAATGCTTAGCAAACAGCGGCACGATGGGGCCTTTCTTATCCGAGAGAGTGAGAGCGCTCCTGGGGACTTCTCCCTCTCTGTCAAGTAAGTATTTCCTGCTGCAGTTGCCTGGAATCCTGTCTCTGACTGATCCAAATTGTGAAGCCGTTGGTCAGGTGCCTGGCTACACACAAAATGGTGGAGGCTTAGCCTAAACAGTTTCTTCATTTCACATTAAAATCCTAATTTCTGGCTCCTCTCAAAATGAGTTCTAGAAGCACTGGATGTAGATTCCCATGTGGACACAGCCTTCAGGAGGTGAGCAGCAGCTCCCTGCAGCCAGCTGGAGCCTGCCAGTTTTCCCTAGTGCCCAGCACTCCTGAGCTTCTGCCCTCCAAGGGATTCCCGCAGCTCTCTCTAATGGGATAGTGGAGCGCCTGTCGGCTGCCTTGGCTTGCCTTGCTCAGGTCCACTGACTTAAATCAACCAGCCCCATCCTAGGCCCTCACAGTCACTTAAGAAGGCTGCTGCAGGGGATGTGGGGCTTGCATTTCCCCGGTGGAAAGTTCAGGTGTGAAAGGGAGCGGGTAAGCAGGGAATGGAGAAGACAGGAAGTTCTGCCGCCATGGAGAGTGTGGAGAATAGAAACCAGCACTTGAAGATTCTAAACAATTCACACCTCAGCTGTGAAGTCGGGATTTTGAATTAAATTGTTATTTCCATGTTTTTTACTTTCAGTTATTTTCTAGTTAATGTATTATCATAGGACCCTCCCCAGGAGTCCGGCAGATCACTTCATCAGTTATATATAAAGAAGTAATTAGATTCAACACTCAGATCACTACTTAGTTTAGATTACATTAAGATTGTTTTGTTTTTGAATGGGGGATAGAAAACCATTTTCCTTTTATTTTATTTACTTATTTTTGAGACAGAGTCTCGCTCTGTCCCCCAGGCTGGAGTCCAATGGCATGCCTCAGCTCACTGCAACCTCCACCTCCCAGGTTCAAGCAGTTCTCCCTGCCCCACCCTCCGAGTACCTGGGATTACAGGTGCCTGACACCACGCCCGGCTTATTTTTGTATTTTTAGTAGAGATGGGGTTTTGCCATATTGGCCAGGCTGGTCTTGAACTCCTGACCTCAGGTGATCCACCCACCTCGACCTCCCAAAGTGCTGGGATTACAGGCTGGAGCCACTGCTTCCAGCCACCATTTCCCATTTATAACTGATGTAAAGCGTGAGACTTTTCCATTTCAAAAATGAACTGACCAGCCTGGCCAACATGGTGAAACCCTGTTTCTGCTAAAAATAGAAAATAACCCAGGCATAGTGGCACACACCTGTAGTCCCAGCTACTTGGGAGGCTGAGGCCAGAGAATCATTTGAATCCAGGAGGCGGAGGTTGTAGTGAGGCGAGATGGCGCCATTGCACTTTAGCCTGGGCGAAGAGCAAAACTCTGTCTCCAAAAAAAAAAAAAAAAAAAAAAAAAAAACTGGGTGCGGTGGCTCACACCTGTAATCCCAGCACTTTGGGAGGCCGAGGCAGGCAGATCACCTGAGGTCAGAAGTTCGAGACCAGCCTGGCGAACATGGTAAAACCCTGTCTCTACTAAAAAAAAAAAAAAAAAAAAAAATACAAAAATGGCCTCGGCGTGGTGGCGTGTGCCTGTAATCCCAGCTACTCAGGAGGCTGAGAGAGAAGAATCACTTGAACCCGAGAGGCAGATGAGCCAAGATCGTGCCACTACACTCCAGCCTGAGTGACAGAGTAAGACTGTGTCTCCCAAAACAAACAAACAAACTGAATATCTTATTTGGTTTTAGAACCACTTAATGTGTGATTAAAATGTAGATTTTTTTTTTGAAACGTAGATTTTAAATTTATAGTTGTGGCCCGGCATGGTGGCTCATGCCTGTAATCCCAGCCCTTTAGGAGGCTGAGGCGGGCCGATCATGAGGTCAGGAGTTTGAGACCAGCCTGACCAATATGGTGAAACACTGTCCCTACTAAAAAAATACAAAAATTAGCCAGGCGTGGTGGCACATGCCTGTATTCCCAGCTACTCCGGAGGCTGAAGCAGGAGAATCACTTGAACCTAGGAGGCAGAGGTTGCAGTGAGCCGAGACTGAGCCATTGCATTCCAGCCTGGGTGAAAGAGCAAGACTCCATCCATCTTTAAAAAAAAAAAAAAAAGAAAAGAAAAACATGTGTGACACCTGTCTTTCTTTAGTTTTATACTGACCCAAGTGTAACTGAAACCTTATAAGATGAGGGGAACAAGCAGTAAATCACTGGGTGGTGGCCAAAACCACGGGGGCAGCCACGTGCTCGGCTGGACGCTGCCTGTTTGCTCAGCAGAAACTCTCAAACTTCCATTTTCTCAAGTAGAATCTTTTAAGGATTTAATGCATTTATTGTTTTAGAAGCAAAGCAGGTGTCATGACTCTCTTTAACAACACACACACCTCTGCAAAAAAGGTTCAAGAATCAACAGTTGTCAGATGTTTCTTAGTTTTAGGATGTTTTGAGCCTGTGATTTGAAACACTGCTCATTATTGGGGCCCTGGGCTCTTAGAAACCACCTGCATTGCATGGGTGGAAGTGGGCCTCTGTGGGGCCAGAAGTGCCGTGGAATATACCCTTGCTAATGAAGCTTTCTCACCTTCCACATTTTGTCTTAACATGTAAAGCAGTATTTTTTCCAAATGCGAGGCATCTTGTGCTGAGTGGCTTCCTTGAGGCTCAGTGCTGCCACCTGCCGGATTGATTTTCTGAAGCCTTTGGTTTCCATCAGCTGAAAGACTGAAGGAGAGGAGGGACTCATTCATTCATTGAACAAGCACTCTCAGAGAATGCCTTTTTTTTTTTTTTTTTTTTTAATGAGATGGAGTGTCACTCTGTCGCACAGGCTGGAGTACAGTGGCCCAATCTCGGCTCACTGCAAGCTCCTCCTCCCGGGTTCACACCATTCTCCTGCCTCAGCCTCCCGAGTAGCTGTGACTACAGGCATCTGCCACCACACCTGGCTAATTTTTTGTATTTTTAGTAGAGACGGGGTTTCACTGTGTTAGCCATGGTGGTCTCGATATCCTGACCTTATGATCCGCCCACCTCGGCCTCCCAAAGTGCTGGGATTACAGGCATGAGCCACCGCATCCGGCCGAGAATGCCGAGAGTGCCCGGCCAGGTGAACAGGACAGGCAGAAGCGCCCTCGCTAGGCTGGTGTTTTAGCCAAATATCCTGTGACAGACCCTGTGAGCTAGTACCAGCCAGCCACGCTGTTGCCGGTTTTGCTTGCCAGTATAAAAGGGTGTGATCTAGTGATGGAGAAGCTTTTGGGTTTTGAAGTCTGGGCCTCTTTTATTGTCCCAGTACGTCCTTTTGTTCAGAGACCTTTTCCCCATGAGTGGAGCTAAAATTCCTGAATGGAAAACATTACTTTGAACTATTCCCAGTTACGAGAGAATTGTTGAAAGTATTTCCAGCCCTCCTCACCTTCTTCCTGCATATAAGATTTTAATTATTTTTTTATTCAAAGGATGTTAAGTCACACTCCTTTGTCTTAAGTACGGCTGTTTTTATTTGGTAGGGTTCAGGGCACATGGACTCTTTTTTTTTTTTTTTTTGAGACAGAGTTTCACTCTTGTTACCCAGGTTGGAGTGCAATGGCGCGATCTCAGCTCACCACAACCTCGGCCTCCCAGGTTCAAGTGATTCTCCTGCCTCAGCCTCCCGAGTAGCTGGGATTACAGGCATGCACCATCATGCCCAGCTACTTTTGTATTTTTAGTAGAGATGGGATTTCTCCATGTTGGCCAGGCTGGTCTCGAACTCCCGACCTCAGGTGATCTGCCCACCACGGCCTCCAAAGTGTTGGGATTACAGGTGTGAGCCACCGCACCCGGCCTGGACTCTTTATCTTACAAACATCTTCAGAATGAGAATGACTGATGGCCTGTCCCTCTCTGGTTTCTGGATGTTGTCCTGGTGCCCATCATTCATAGGGAGAGGTCCGTCCCAGGGACACCCAGTGAGGAAACTTGTTGCTCTGCAGTCCCTGAGGAGTGCTGCTGGGACAGTGGTTCTCTCGAGATAGCTCCTATATGGAAATACCCTCGATTTGCCAAGTTAGAGCCTTTAGCCGGTCACATGTGCTTTCTGTCCCTCCCAGGTTTGGAAACGATGTGCAGCACTTCAAGGTGCTCCGAGATGGAGCCGGGAAGTACTTCCTCTGGGTGGTGAAGTTCAATTCTTTGAATGAGCTGGTGGATTATCACAGATCTACATCTGTCTCCAGAAACCAGCAGATATTCCTGCGGGACATAGAACAGGTGCCACAGGTAAGCCTCATCAGGGTGAGATGGGATCATTTTTAGTTAAGAATAGCTCCTCAGTGTGCATTCCTGTAGGAAAGGGGAGGCGCCCCTCAACATGCGGGCGCCCTTCAGGGATTGCCGCTGGGGCTTCTGTGCTCCTTACTGAAAATGTTACCCTCCATTCACACTAAAGAGTTCTTTTTTCTGGCCCAGCATAGTAGCTCACACCTATAATCCCAGCACTTTGGGAGGCCGAGGCAGGCAGATCTCTTGAGGTCAGGTGTTTGAGACTAGCCTGGCCAACATGGTGAAACCCTGTCGCTACTAAAAATACAAAAATTAGCTGGATGTGGTGGCGCACACCTGCAGTCCCAGCTACTCGGGAAGCTGAGATGGAAAAATTGCTTGAACCCAGGAGGTGGAGATTGTAGTGAGCTGAGATTGCACCACTGCACTCCAACCTGGGCGACAGAGGGAGACTTCATTTCAAAAAAAAAAAAAAAAAAAAAAAAAGATTTGTTGTTTCAAATACAAGGTTTTTGCTTTTCCAGAGGCAGTGTGTAGCCAGCTTGCCAGCCTCTCTAGGGAGATGGTCTTTAACACACCCACCCAAAGATCCTGTCCCTGGAAGCAAATTATGAGGAAAACTATGCTTGTGAGGGAATGGGGTCGGCACCCGTTCCTGTCCCTCGAGCCCTGGTCGTAAGTTACGGTTAGAGCCCCTTATGTTATTCGAGCTCCAGAACTTTAGGCTTTAATACCTTAAGGGTGTCGTAGAAGGGATTTGCGATTCTGGGCCCACGGCCTAAACACAGATGGCTGTTTCTGAAGAACTTTCTCCTCCAAGCACTGCCTGCCCTCTACTTGATAATACGGCACAGTTGGCCACCCTCCTCTGGGAGACATACTCTAATATTTTCTGAGCACTGGGAAATATCACACTAAACCCGCTTGGCCTGTAAACTTAGAATAGGTAAGAATAAACGGGGGGTTGGGAGATGGGAGGTGAGTTTAAGAAACATGGAGAATTTGGCACGCATTCGTTTCCCCCTGGAACCCATCTGGCCTCGGAGGTGGCCAGTCACAGACCAGGAATGCAATGTGGGTTTTTCCTGCTCCTGTTTTGCAGCAGCCGACATACGTCCAGGCCCTCTTTGACTTTGATCCCCAGGAGGATGGAGAGCTGGGCTTCCGCCGGGGAGATTTTATCCATGTCATGGATAACTCAGACCCCAACTGGTGGAAAGGAGCTTGCCACGGGCAGACCGGCATGTTTCCCCGCAATTATGTCACCCCCGTGAACCGGAACGTCTAAGAGTCAAGAAGCAATTATTTAAAGAAAGTGAAAAATGTAAAACACATACAAAAGAATTAAACCCACAAGCTGCCTCTGACAGCAGCCTGTGAGGGAGTGCAGAACACCTGGCCGGGTCACCCTGTGACCCTCTCACTTTGGTTGGAACTTTAGGGGGTGGGAGGGGGCGTTGGATTTAAAAATGCCAAAACTTACCTATAAATTAAGAAGAGTTTTTATTACAAATTTTCACTGCTGCTCCTCTTTCCCCTCCTTTGTCTTTTTTTTCATCCTTTTTTCTCTTCTGTCCATCAGTGCATGACGTTTAAGGCCACGTATAGTCCTAGCTGACGCCAATAATAAAAAACAAGAAACCAAGTGGGCTGGTATTCTCTCTATGCAAAATGTCTGTTTTAGTTGGAATGACTGAAAGAAGAACAGCTGTTCCTGTGTTCTTCGTATATACACACAAAAAGGAGCGGGCAGGGCCGCTCGATGCCTTTGCTGTTTAGCTTCCTCCAGAGGAGGGGACTTGTAGGAATCTGCCTTCCAGCCCAGACCCCCAGTGTATTTTGTCCAAGTTCACAGTAGAGTAGGGTAGAAGGAAAGCATGTCTCTGCTTCCATGGCTTCCTGAGAAAGCCCACCTGGGCTGGGCGCGGTGGCTCACGCCTGTAATCCCAGCACTTTGGGAGGCCAAGGTGGGCGGATCACAAGGTCAGGAGTTCGAGACCAACCTAGCCAACATGGTGAAACCCCGTCTCTACTAAAAATAAGAAATTAGCCGGGTGTGGCACGCACCTGTAGTCCCAGCTACTTGGGAGCCTGAGGCAGGAGAATCGCTTGAACCTGGGAAGTGGAGGTTGAGTGAGCCGGGACCGTGCCATTGTACTCCAGCCTGGGTGACAGAGCGAGATTCCGTCTCAAAAAAAAAAAAAAAAAGCCCACCTGAAAGCCTGTCTCTTTCCACTTTGTTGGCCCTTCCAGTGGGATTATCGAGCATGTTGTTTTTTCATAGTGCCTTTTTCCTTATTTCAAGGGTTGCTTCTGAGTGGTGTTTTTTTTTTTTTTTTAATTTGTTTTGTTTTAAAATAAGTTAAAGGCAGTCCAGAGCTTTTCAGCCAATTTGTCTCCTACTCTGTGTAAATATTTTTCCCTCCGGGCAGGGGAGCCAGGGTAGAGCAAAGGAGACAAAGCAGGAGTGGAAGGTGAGGCGTTCTCCTGCTTGTACTAAGCCAGGAGGCTTTAAGCTCCAGCTTTAAGGGTTGTGAGCCCCTTGGGGGTTCAGGGAACTGCTTGCCCAGGGTGCAGTGTGAGTGTGATGGGCCACCGGGGCAAGAGGGAAGGTGACCGCCCAGCTCTCCCACATCCCACTGGATCTGGCTTACAGGGGGGTCGGAAGCCTGTCCTCACCGTCTCGGGGGTTGTGGCCCCCGCCCCCTCCCTATATGCACCCCTGGAACCAGCAAGTCCCAGACAAGGAGAGCGGAGGAGGAAGTCATGGGAACGCAGCCTCCAGTTGTAGCAGGTTTCACTATTCCTATGCTGGGGTACACAGTGAGAGTACTCACTTTTCACTTGTCTTGCTCTTAGATTGGGCCATGGCTTTCATCCTGTGTCCCCTGACCTGTCCAGGTGAGTGTGAGGGCAGCACTGGGAAGCTGGAGTGCTGCTTGTGCCTCCCTTCCCAGTGGGCTGTGTTGACTGCTGCTCCCCACCCCTACCGATGGTCCCAGGAAGCAGGGAGAGTTGGGGAAGGCAAGATTGGAAAGACAGGAAGACCAAGGCCTCGGCAGAACTCTCTGTCTTCTCTCCACTTCTGGTCCCCTGTGGTGATGTGCCTGTAATCTTTTTCTCCACCCAAACCCCTTCCCACGACAAAAACAAGACTGCCTCCCTCTCTTCCGGGAGCTGGTGACAGCCTTGGGCCTTTCAGTCCCAAAGCGGCCGATGGGAGTCTCCCTCCGACTCCAGATATGAACAGGGCCCAGGCCTGGAGCGTTTGCTGTGCCAGGAGGCGGCAGCTCTTCTGGGCAGAGCCTGTCCCCGCCTTCCCTCACTCTTCCTCATCCTGCTTCTCTTTTCCTCGCAGATGATAAAAGGAATCTGGCATTCTACACCTGGACCATTTGATTGTTTTATTTTGGAATTGGTGTATATCATGAAGCCTTGCTGAACTAAGTTTTGTGTGTATATATTTAAAAAAAAAATCAGTGTTTAAATAAAGACCTATGTACTTAATCCTTTAACTCTGCGGATAGCATTTGGTAGGTAGTGATTAACTGTGAATAATAAATACACAATGAATTCTTCACTTGGTATCTTTTTTTCCCCTTGCCTGCCTTAAAAATTTAAAAACCGCATCGGGGAGTCAGGAATCTTGGGTCCTTATTTCAGACGTGATCACCCAGCTTACATCCCCCTAGGGGAGCATGTGGGGCTCACAGGCCTTCCTGGGAGCGATGCCTGCAGTTGGCTGTCAGGAACTCCTGGGGAGCCTGTTAACAATACAGAATCGCAAACCCCGCCCCACATCCTCGGACATTGCCTTTGAGGACACAGACACGCCCGCTGTTTCTGATGTAGAGAAACCACTGACCACGCTTTGGGAACTCTGGTCTAGACCAAGGGCTTTGGGAAGATAAAGAGCTTGGCTTATTTGGTTCTCCTGTTTTCTGTGTTAAACAAGAAGAAGGACAGAAACACCTGTGAAGAAACGGTTTTAATATGCTGAGTAACTGAAATATACTTGTTTGCTCAATAGGCTGCTTTTAGGGTGAGACTAGGCATATTTACACACACGTTGGCTACAGAGGCAAAGAAGACTGAACAAAAAAGAAATGAGGTCTGGCCATGGTAGCTCATGCCTGTAATCCCAGCACTTTGAGAGGCCAAGGTGGGGGATCACTTGAGCCCAGGAGTTTTGAGGCCAGTCTGGGCAGCATAGGGAGACTCCCTGCCTCTCTACAAAAAGCAAATTAGCCAGATGCAGTGGCGCACGCCTGTAGTGAGGATTACTTGGGAGGCTGAGGTGGATCACTTGAGCCCAGGAGGTCAAGACTACAGTGAGCTGTGGTTGCACCACTGCACTCCAGCCTGGGCAACAGGGTGAGACCTTGTCTCGAAAAAGTAATAAAAAGGGGACAGGCAGGGTGGCTCACACCTGTAATCCCAGCACTTTGGGAGACTGAAGCGGGTGAATCACAAGGTCAGGAGTTCAAGACCAGCCTGGCCAACATGGTGAAACCCCATCTCTACTAAAAATACAAAAATTAGCCAGCTGTGGTGGCAGGTGTCTGTAGTCCCAGCTACTCGGGAGGCTGAGGCAGGAGAATCGCTTGAACCCGGGAGGTGGAGGTTACAGTGAGCCGAGATTGCACCACTGCACTCCAGCCTGGGTGACAGAGCTAGGTTCCCTCTCAAAAAAATAAAATAAAATAAAAAATAAAGGTAATAAGGGCCAGGCTCAGTGGCTTACGCCTGTAATCCTAACACTTTGAGAGGCTGAGGCGGGTGGATTGCTTGAGCTCAAGAATGCCACACCAGCCTGGGCAACATAGTGAAACCCATCTCTACCAAAAATTAGCTGAGTGTGGTGATGCACACCTGTGGTCCCAGCTACTCAGGAGGCTGAAGTGGAGGTTGCAGTGAGCTGTCATGCCACTATACTCCAGCCTGAGAGACAGACCTCTCTCAAAAAAAAAAAAAAAATACCCAAGAAATCTCGACTTGAATTCTTCTTGGTGTAGCCACACTGAGCAGGGGAGGCTTGTGGGTTGTTTTGTTTTGTGACAGGGTCTTTATCTGCCACCCAGGCTGGAGTGCTACGGTGCAATCATAGCTCACTGCAGACTCAATCCCCTGGGCTCAAGTGATCACCTCAGCCTCCCAAGTAGCTGGGACTGTAGGCATACACTACTGCACCCAAGTAGCTGGGACTACAGGCATACGCTACTGCACCCAAGTAGCTGGGACTACAGGCATACGCTACTGCACCTGGCTAATTTCATTTTTTTTTGTACAGTGGGGTCTGTGTTTCCCAGGCTGGTCTCAGACTCCTGGGCTCAAGAGATCCCCCCACCCTTGGCCTTTCAAAGTGCTGGAAATCCAGGCGTGAGCTGTGCCTGGCCTGGGACGTTTTTGACCTTCCCCTGCAGCAGTCATGTGTGGGAAGGATCTTGACCCAGCAAGAGTCAAGACTGCTAGTCCTGTGGTCCACTTGGGCTGGCCTCCTTGAAGCTGAGCAGAAGTTTACAAAATGGAGCTATGTAATTGAAAAGGCCGGGCGTGGTGACTCATTTAGCCTCATTTGAGGCTTTTTGCTCAATTTGTCCCCTCCCTCGCGTTTGACTGACTGTTTCAGAATTAATGGGAAAATCACTCCTTTTCTGTGATCAGCAGTTTGGTCACAGATTTCTTAGTGATGGTATCTCCCTCCTCAGGGATCCGGGATTCCTGGGAAGACATCTGGGCGGGGTGCCTTGGGAAGCCTCCCAGCATCTTACAGGAGCCCTGTGGCCGGCGTGCAGCCGGGAGTCGCTCAGTGTGTCAGGGGAAAAGCTGGAGGTAGGCGCATGGCCTCGCTCTTCAGGGCACGCCCCCCCCACCCCTCCCTGACACGCTTCCCTCCACCCAGTGAGCTGGGAGCCCCTGACAGGCTCACCTTCAGACTTGAGTGTGGAGGAGATGGTGACCCACAGCGCGGGGCTGCTTAGGTGGCCTCTGAGCCAAAGGCCATGATGGCGCAGGCTGCCTGCCTTCCCTGGGCACTAGTTCCACCTGACTGTTCATGGGGTGGGTGACCTTCAGCCCAAAACGTTCGCTTTATGGAAGTTCCTGGATAACTGGAAAAAATGACAGTGGACCTGTTTTATGCGTCTTGGAAATACTTTTTTTTTCTTTTTTTTTTTTTTGAGACAGAGTCTCCGTCTGTCCCCTAGGCTGGAATGCAGTGGCACGATCTTGGCTCACTGCAACCTCCACCTCCCGGGTTCAAGTGATTCTCCTGCCTCACCCTCCTAAGTAGCTGGGATAACCAGCTCCTGCCACCACGCCCAGCTAATTTTTGTACCTGGGGTCAGGAGTTCAAGACCAGCCTGGCCAACGTGGTGAAACCCTGTCTCTACTAAAAATACAAAAATTAGGTGGGCGTGGTGGCGGGCACCTGTAATCACAGCTACTCGGCAGGCTGAGTCAGGAGAATCGCTTGAACCCGGGAGGCAGAGGTTGCAGTGAGCCGAGATCGCGCCATCACACTCCAGCCTGGGCGACAGAGTGAGACTCCGTCTCAAAAAAAAAAGAGTACAATTCTGTGTGCCAACAGCACTGATAGATCAATATTACATGTTAGTGATATTGATTAAGCCACTTACTGCTTAGTGCATTCCAAACACTACTTTTAAAACTAACACTAAAAGCCATACTATACCCCGTCCAAAAAAGAAATCACTAAGACGTATTTTAAGTCTCAACTCTGGCCCACCCAAGAGCAACACTGGTCTTAGGTCTCCAAGGACAGCCTTCTTTTTTTCTTTTTTCTTTTTTTTTTTTCAGTTGGAGTCTGGCTCTGTTGCTGGAGTACAGTGGCGCCATCTCAGCTCATTGCAACCTCCGCTTCCTGGGTGCAAGCGATTCTGCTGCCTCAGCTTCCCGAATAGCTCGGACTACAGGCGCCCGCCACCACACCCAGCTAATTTTTGTATTTTTAGTAGAGATGGGGTTTCACCATGTTGGCCACGATGGTCTTGATCTCCTGACCTCGTGATCTGCCCACCTTGGCCTCTAAAGTGCTGGGATTACAGGCGTGAGCCACCAGGCCCTGCCCCAGCCTTTTTTTTTTTTAACATTCCTGGATTCGGGTTGAGAAAGCACAGCTATTGCAGCCATTCTCTGAGTGTGAGTCGTGGCGTCAGCAGTGTTGGCCTCCAAAATAGCAGCTGCCAGGTCCTGAGGGCTCGCCTCGTGCTGCAGGCCTGTGCAAGGGCCCGAGCCTGGGGTGAAAGGGTGGATGTTTGCCTCCTGCTGTAACCCCACCCCTCATCCTGCGCTGTGCTAGGGAAGCAAGGGGCGAGGGTGTACCCTTTTTCATTTACTCTGTTACACATGTGTTGCCCACACCTGTAGGGATTGATGGTGAACGTCATTCCTGGGGCGTGTGGAATTGGAGGCAATTATCTCCCCTCTAACTGGAGGCTGAGGAGGGCCCCCGTGTCTTCTCACACCATCAACCACCGCTTTCCATTCCTGCACGGTGGCATTGCTGCCCTGAGTCACCCTGAAACTGGAAACTGCCCCACTGGAGCCTTCTGTCCTTGACACAGACGCACTCTTCAGTCCTGATCCTTGTATTATGCAAGCCCTTGCATGAGAGAGACTCAAAGAGGAAATGTAGACAGCACAGGCTCAAAGGGAGGCTTGGAGGCAGATGGGACTTGCCCTGGGGATTGGGTGAAATGAGTTTGGACAGTTACTAATAGGACAGTAGACACCCAGAGCAGGTGGTCTAGTAGAGGCGTGGCGGTGTTAGCGAGCACCTGCCTGGACATGGCTTGAGGGAGCCTGAGTAGCCTCCTGCAACGAGGAAGAAAGAGCCCAGGTGGGGTTTGTGGGGGACTCGAATGCAGGCTGAGCGATGCCCATTCTGCCTGTTGACACAGGAGGCTTCTGTAGCTTTTTTTTTTTTTTTTTTTTTTAAACAGAGTCTCACTCACCCAGGCTGGAGTGCCGTGGCACGATCTCAGCTCACTGCAACCTCTGCCTCTTGGGCTCAAGCAATTCTCCTTCCTCAGCCTCTCCAGTAGCTGGGATTACAGGTGTGCACCACCATGCCCAGCTAATTTTTGTATTTTTAGTAGAGATGGGGTTTTGCCATGTTGGCCAGGCTGATCTCAAACTCCCGACCTCAGGTGATCCACCCGCCCCAGCCTCCCAAAGTGCTGGGATTACAGGTGTGAGCCACCATGCCTGGCTGCTTCTGTAGCTCTTATAGATCAGCGGTACGATGAAAGATAAGTTTTAGGAACATCTGACTTGCAGTGGTGCGGAGACCAGAATCCGGATAGCCTGGAAGAGGCTAGGGTCGTGTTAGCTGAGTGAAGTCAGGCTCTGCAGCAGAGTGTGCGCAGTGCTCACCTGGCTCTCTCCCGACCAGTTGTCTGGACCATGTGCCCAACCTCCCTGCAGTTCCAAGCAGCCATGTGCTCCAGTCCTGACGTGTGTGGTGTGTTTGGGGCCTTGTGGCCTCCCCACTTTGTTGCTTCTCTTGCCTGTGGGTGGATGCAGGAGAGCCAGCAGAAGACCCAGAGCACCTGCTAGATTTGGAACATGTCTGGGGCGGGGCACAGTGGCTCATGCCTGTAATCCCAGCACTTTGGGAGGATCACTTTAGCCCAAGAGATTGAGAACAGTCTGGCAATATAGTGAGACCCTGTCTCTACAAAAAATTAGACAGACTCAGTGGTGTGCTCCTGTAGTCCCAGCTACTCAAAGAGGCTGAGGCAGGAGGATTGCCTGAGTCTGGAAGGTCGAGGCTACAGTGAGCCATGATTCTGCCACTGCACTCCAGCCTGGGCAGCAGAGACCGAGACCTCGTCTCAAAAAAATGAAACAAATATCAGCTGTGTTGCATCACTGACGGGGGGAGGAGGGTTGTCTGTTACAGCAGCCACACTGCCTATCCAGGGACAATGCTGGGGATAGGACCTGGGGAGAAACTTGAGAGGCCCAGCAAAAAATAGGAGGTTTTGGCCGGGCACGGTGGCTCACGCCTGTAATCCCAGCACTTTGGGAGGCCGAGGCGGACAGATCACCTGAGGTTGGGAGTTTGAAACTAGCCTGACCAACATGGAGAAACCCCATCTCTACTAAAAATACAAAATTAGCTGGGCATGGTGGTGCATGCCTGTAATCCCAGCTACTCAGGAGGCTGAGGCAGGAGAATCACTTGAACTCAGGAGGTGGAGGTTGCGGTGAGCCAAGATCATGCCATTGCACTCCAGCCTGGGCAACAAGAGTGAAGCTCTGTCTCAAAAAAAAAAAAAAGAAAAGAAAAAAATATGAGGTTTTGGAAAAGGAAGTAGAATTGCTTGTCATCTAAAATAGAAGGAAGCAGCAGTGACAGCTTTCGTAAGACCAGCATCTGCGCCATCTCCTTACAGATGGGGCTGGCTCTTCGGCACGAACCCCACTCTCCAGACCTAGCTGCATAGGACAAGCCAATTTCTCTCTGAATGTCTTTTTTTTTTTTTTTTTTTTTTTTTTTTTGAGACGAAGTCTTGCTTTGTCTCAGGCTGGAGTGCAGTGGCATGATCATAGCTCACTGCTTGCTTGAAGTCCTGTGCTCAAGTGATCCTCCCGCCTCAACCTCCCGAGTAGCTGGACGTGCGCACCACCATGCCCAGCTAATTAAAAAAAATTTCACAGAGATGGGGTCTCACTATATTGCCCAGACTAGTCTTGAACTCCTGCACTCAAGGGATCCTCCCGCCTCAGCCTCCCAAAGTGTTGGGATTAAAGGCATAAGCCACCACACTTGGCCTTTTTTTTTTTTTTTTTTTTTTTTCTGAGACAGAGTCTTACTCTGGAGTGCAGTGGCACGATCTCTGCTCACTCCAACCTCCGCCTCCTGGGTTCAAGTGATTCTCCTGCCTCAGCCTCTTGAGTAGATGGGACTATAGGCACCCGCCACCTTGCCTAATTTTTTTTTTTTTTTTTTTGAGATGGAGTCTCACTCTGTCGCCCAAGCTGGAGTGCAGTGGCACAATCTCGGCTCACTGTAACCTCTGCCTGCCGGGTTCAAGGAATTCTTCAGCCTCAGCCTCCCGAGTAGCTGGGACAACAGGCATGCCACCATGCCCAGCTAATTTTTTTGTAGTTTTAGTACAGATGGGGTTTCACCATGCTGGCCAGGCTGGTCTTGAACTCTTGACCTCGTGATCCACCTGCCTTGGCCTCTCAAAGGGCTGGGATTACAAGAGTGAGCCACCGTGCCTGGCCCGTGGCCTAATTTTTGTATTTTTAGTAGAGACGGGGTTTCACCAATTTGGCCAGGCTGGTCTCGAACTCCTGACCTCAAGTGATCTGCCTGCCTCGGCCTCCCAAAATGCTGGGATTACAGGCATGAGCTACTGTGCTCAGCCTTTTTTTTTTTTTTTTTTTTTTTTTTGAGACGGAGTTTTGCTCTTGTTGCCCAGGCTGGAGTGCAATGGTGCAATCTCGGCTCACCACAACCTCCAGCTCCTGGGTTCAAGCGATTCTTCTGCCTCAGCCTCCCGAGTAACTGGGATTATAGGCATGAGCCATCACACTTGGCTAATTTTGTATTTTTAGTAGAGACGGGGGTTTCTCCATGTTGATCAGGCTGGTCTCGAACTCCCAGCCTCAGGTGATCCACTCTCCTCGGCCTCCTAAAGTGCTGGGATTACAGGCATGAGCCACCGCACCCAGCCAATTTTTTTTTTTTTTTTTAAGAGACAAGAGTCTTGCTCCATGGCCCAGCCTGGAGTGCAGTGGTGTGATCATAGCTCACTGCAGCCTCAAACTCCTGGGCTCAAGCCATCCTCCCACCTCAATCTCCCAAGGAACTGGGACTACAGGTGGTACCACCACACCTAGCGAATTTTAAAATTTTTTGAAGATTTTAGGCCGAGCATGGTGACTCATGCCTGTAATCCCAGCACTTTTGGAGGCCGAGGGGGCCAGATCACCTGAGGTCAGGAGTTCACAACCAGCCTGGCCAACCTGGTGAAACCCAGTCTCTACTAAAAATACAAAAATTAGCCGGGCATGGTGGCCCACGCCTGTAATTCCAGCTGCACAGGAGGCTAAAGCAGGAGAATCACTTGAACCTGGGAGGCAGAGGTTGCAGCAAGCCGAGATGGCGTCACTGCACTCCAGCCTGGGCGACAGAGCGAGACTCTGTCTCAAAAAAAAAAAAAAAAAAAAGTTTTATGGAGATATGATCAATGTAACATTTTTAAGTGACCCATCTAAAGTATATTATTCAATGTTTTTTAGTATTCACAGTTATGCAATCATCACCACAATCCATTTTATTTTATGTTTTTTAGTAGAGACAGGGTCTCACTATGTTGCTCAGGCTGGTCTCAAACTCCTGTCCTCAAGCGACCCTCCCACCTTGGCCTCCCAAAGTGCTGGGATTACAGACATGATCCACTGTGCCAGCCACCACAATCCATTTTAGAACACTGTCATACCCCAAAAGAAACCATATACCCCAGCCTGGGCAACATGGCAAAACCTTGCCCCTACAAGAAATAACAAAAATTAGCCAGCTGTGTAATCCCAGCACTTTGGGAGGCCGAGGTGGGTGGATCACCAGAGGTCAGGAGTTTGAGACTAGCCGGGCCAATATGGTGAAACCTTGTCTCTACTAAAAATACAAAAATTAGCCAGGCGTGGTTGCGTGTGCCTGTAGTCCCAGCTACTCAGGAGGCTGAGGCAGGAGAATCACTTGAACCCGGGAGGCGGAGGTTGCAGTGAGCCAAGATCACACCATTGCACTCCAGCCTGGGCAACAGAGTGAGACTCCGTCTAAAAAAAATAAAGAAACTGCTGATGTTGTCCCAGTGAAGGGAGTGGCAGAGGGCCAAGGGCGTTGAGCTGTATTTAGGAGGAGCTGGGAAGACCTGGGGTGGAGGGAAAGGCAGGTCCAGATGGCTGCAGGGCAGTGGGGGGATCTGTGGCTTTTGTTTGTTGAGATGGGGAACTAGGGGAAGAGGGGCAGGGTGGGGTGAAGCAGAGAGAAAGGCTGGAGGGTTGGATTTGAGGTGCCTGAGGACAATCATCTAGAAAGCAGCAGGGTGTGTTCACCTGGAGCTCAGGAGACAGATCTGACAGGAGATCGAGATCCAGGTGTTGTCAGTGTGGAGGTGGCCCTGAAACCATGGCCACGGGTGAGGCCTCACATACTCCAGTCCCCATAAGGAAGCACAGCCCTGAGGGCTGGGCGAGGGGAAGGCAGGAAGCACACAGGAGAGAGGCCAGAGCGGCAGGAGGTGAGCCAAGAGTCCACAGCACCAGGGACGCCACAGGGCTCCAGGGACAGGGCTGCAGGGAAATGCTCCCTGGTACCATCCTGGTCCCGGCCCTTCGTCCCCCTCTCCCCACTGCCACAAAACCTCCTCCTGTCTCTCCACCCTGCCTCTTTCCCCAGCCTGTCCAAAGAGGGCAAAGTCCAGGCTCCTGCCCCTCAGGAGCAGTGTGATGTAGGACAAAGAGCATGAGATCGCAGGCCTGAGGCCAGGGCCTTTATTCCTCGCTGTGTGACCAGGGCCCCCTTTTTCTCCTTTTTTCTTCCTTTTTTTTTTTTTTTTTTTTTTTGAAACAGAGCAAGACTCTATCGCCCAAGCTGGAGTGCAGTGATGCAATCCCAGCTCACTGCAACCTCCGCCTCCCGGGTTCAAGCGATTCTCCCACCTCAGCTTCCCGAGTTAGGATTACAGGCACGTTCCACCATGTCTGGCTGGTTGTTTGTATTTTTAATAGAAACGGGGTTTCGCTGTGTTGCCCAGGCTGATCTTGAACTCTTGGCCTCAAGTGATCCACCCACCTCAGCCTCCCAAATTGCTGGGATTACTGGCGTGAGCCATGGCGCCTGGCCACGACCAGGGCCCTTAACCTCTCACCCCCATTCCTTCATCTGTTTAAAAATCAAACCAAGGAAAATGTCCCTAGGTTGCTCTGAGGATCCAACGTGATTATGTACACGGGTGTTTTGCAACTGCAACGATTAAGTACATCGTGACAGGTGCTGATTAGGATCTTGGCATTCAAGATCTCATACAGTCTGCACCTGGTCCAATTCTCCAAGCCTTTGGCCAACCAAATCCCTTCTGAGTCTTTGCCTTTGGTCAGCATCTACCTTTCTCCCAGATCACAGGCAAAACCTCAGCTCACTGCAACCTCCACCTCCTGGGCTCAACCAATCCTACCACGTCAGCCTCCCAAGTAGCTGGGACCACAGACACACACCACCATGTCCGGCTAAATTTTTGTATTTTTAGTAGTGATAGGGTTTCACCATGTTGCCCAGGCTGGTCTCCAACTCCTGAGCTCAATCGATCCCCCTGCACTGGCCCTCCAAAGTGCTGGGATTACAGGCGTGAGCCGCTGTGCCTGGCCTGTTTAAATCTTTGATCCATTTAAAGGTATCCTGATATCGGTGTGAGAGATGGATTCAGCTCTCCTTTTTTCCAGATGGCTATACGCTTGTCCAGATAGTATTTACTCACAGGCCACCTCTGCCCCAGCCGCTGTCCTCTCCTCTCTAACTAACCTTCAGCTCCTCCTCTCTGCTCTCTGCTTATCCCCAGCCTGTCATAAGAACTAGATCTACAGACCCCACATCTCCTGAGAACCCCTTCCTGATCAGCTCCCAGGGGGCTCTTGCTCCCCTGCAGTCTCGAAATCCCAACTGCCTGCCCCCTTCCTCCATCCTCCCTTCCTCCATCCTCCCTTCCTCCATCCTCCTGCGGGCACAGTGGCTCAATTCTGTAATCCCAGCACTTTGGGAGGCCTAGGTGGGTGGATCACTTGAGGTCAGTTTAAGACCAGCCTATTCAACATGGTAAAACCCCGTCTCTACTAAAAACACAAAAATTGGCCGGGCGCAGTGGTTCACACCTGTAATCCCAGCACTTTGGGAGGCCGAGGCAGGCGGATCACTTGAGGTCAGGAGTTCGAGACCAGCCTGGCCAACATGGTGAAACCACGTCTCTACTAAAAATACAAAAATTAGCCAGGCATGGTGGCAGGTGCCTGTAATCCCAGCTACTTGGGAGGCTGAGGCAGGAGAATTGCTTGAAGCTGGGAGGCGGAGGTTGCAGTGAGCCAAGATTGCACCATTGCACTCCAGTCTGGGTGACAGAGAGAGACTGCCTGTCAAAAAAAGCCACAAAAATTAGCCGGGTGTGGTGGAACATGCAGTAATAATCCCAGCTATTTGGGAGGCTGAGGCAAGAATCACTTGAACCCAGAAGGCAGAGGTTGCGGTGAGCTGAGTTTGCGCCACTGCACTCCAGCCTGGGCGACAGAGCAAGACTCCATCTCAAAAAAAAAAAAAAAAAAAAATTTAGGCTGAGTGTGGGTTATAAGATTACACAGGATAAGGTGTATTAAGTAACTAGCACAAGATGGGTTAATCTATGCTAGTGCCCACATCTGGTAAATCATTTTGAGTTCAGCCAGCTTCTGGTCAGCCCTGTGCCTATCCATGATTCTTATTCTGTTCTTACCGAGTGCAAAATAATTCATAGATTTTTGTTTTTTGGTTTTACAGTTTTTTTTTTTTTTGAGACAGGCTGTCACTCTGTCATCCAGGCTGCAGTGCAGTGACACAACTACAGCTCTTGTAACCTCAACTTCCCAGGCTCAAGCCATCCTCCCACCTCAGCCTCCCAAGTAGCTGACTCCAGGAACACACCACCACACCCAGCTAATTTTTATATTTTTTGTAGAGATGAGGTCTCACTATGTTACCCAGGCTGGTCTCAAACTCCTAGGCTCCAAGTGATCTCTCACCTCAGCCTCCCAAAGTGTTGGGATTACAACCACACCCATCTGTATTTTCTTTTCTTTCTTTTTTTTTTTAAGACGGATCTCGCTCTGTTGCTCAGGCTGGAGGGGCAATGGCACGATCTCAGCTCACTGCAACCTCCACCTCCTGGGTTCAAGTGATTCTCCTGCCTCAGCCTCCCGAGTAGCTGGGACTACAGACATGCACCACCACGCCTGGCTGATTTTTGTATTTTTTAGTAGAGACAGGGTTTCATCATGTTGCCCAGGCTGGTCTTGAACTCCTGACCTCCAGTGATCCACCCACCTAGGCCTCCCAAGTGCTAGGATTATAGGTGTGAGCCACTGCGCCTGGCCTGTTTAAATCTTTGATCCGTTTAAAGGTATCCTGATATCAGTGTGAGAGATGGATTCAGCTCTCCTTTTTTCCAGATGACTACACGCTTGTCCAGATAGTATTTACTCACAGGTCCATCGGCAGCCCCCTGCGAGCAGGTGCGTTCTGTATAATGAGTGTCCATGTCCTCTGTATACTGGGGTCCTGTTTCTGGGCCTCTGTTACTCTGCAGTCTGCCCGTGGGCTAGTGCGGCACACTAAGTTTCTGATGTCAGATCGGCCATTCTTTTCCCATTGCTCTTCTCAGTATGTCCTGGCTCTTCTTGTTTATCTTTTATTTTCTTTCTTTTTTTTTTGGAGACGGAATCTCGCTTTGTTGCCCAGGCTAGGGTGCAATGGCGTGATCTCGGCTCACTGCAACCTCTGACTTCCTAGTTCAAGAAATTCTCCTGCCTCAGCCTCCCGAGTAGCTGGGATTACAGGCACCCGCTACCACACCTGGCTAATTTTTGTATTTTTGTAGAGACGGGGTTCACCAGCCGGCATGGTGGCTCACACCTGTAATCTCAACATTTTGGGAGGCCAAGGCGGGCAGATCACTTGAGGTCAGGAGTTCGAGCCTGGCCAACATGGTGAAACTCTGTCTCTACTAAAAATCCAAAAATTAGCCAGGTGTGATGGCACACGCCTATAGTCCCAGCTACTCAGGAGGCTGAGGCAGGAGAATCGCTTGAACCCAGGAAGCAGAGATTGCAGTGAGCTGAGATTACGCCATGGCACTCCAGCCTGGGCAACAAAGCACGCCTCTGTCTCAAAAAAAAAAAAAAAAACGGCCAGGCGCGGTGGCTTATGCCTGTAATCCCAGCACTTTGGGAGGCTGAGGCGGGCGGATCACCAAGTCAGGAGATCGAGACCATCCTGGCTAACACAGTGAAACCCCATCTCTACTAAAAATACAAAAAATTAGCTGGGCGTGGTAGTGGGCGCCTATTGTCCTAGCTACTTGGGAGGCTGAGGCAGGAGAATGGCGTGAACCCAGGAGGCAGAGGCTGAAGTGAGCCGAGATCGCACCACTGCACTCCAGCCTGAGCAACAGAGCGAGACGCCGTCTCAAAAAAAAAAAAAAAGAGAGAGAGGAGATGAAGTTTCACCATGTTGGCCAAGCTGGTCTTGAACTCCTGACGACGTCATGATCCGCCTGCCTCAGCCTCCCAAAGTACTGGGATTACAGGCATGAGCCACCACGCCCGGCCTTGTTTATATTTTCAATGTAAACTTTAGCATCAGCTTGTTTCCTTCCAGAAAAAAGGCTCTTGGTGTTTTTATTTGGATCATGTTAAATTTGTAAACTAAGAAGAACTGGCGTTTTGTGATGTTGAGTCTCCCTATCCGAGGACTTGCCATGTCTTTCCAGTTTCATGTCCTTTGGGAACATTTTCCTTATGGAGATTTTGCATGTTTCTTGTGACATTTGTTCCCAGATATTTTATCATCTTTGTTGATATTTTAAAGCAGACCTTATCTTCTTCCATCTTTTTTTTTTTTTTTGAGATAAGGTCTTGCTCTGTCACCCAGGCTGGAGTGCAGTGGTGTGATCATGGCTCACTGAAACCTCCACCTCCTGGGCTCAAGTGATCCTTCCACCTCAGCCTTCCATGTAGCTAGGACTACAGACATGTGCCACTGCACCCAGCTAATTTATTTATTTTTGTTTTTAAATTTATATCTATCTATTTATTTATTTATTGAGTCATGGTCTCATTTTGTTACCCAGGCTAGAGTACAGTGGTGTGAACACAGCTCATCCCAGCCTCGACCCTCTGGGTTCAAGCAATCCTCCTACCTCAGCCTCCTGAGTAGCTGGGACTATAGGCAAGTACCACCATGCCCACCTAATTTTTGTACTTTTTGTAGAGATGGGGTTTCGCCATGTTGCCCAGGCTGGTCTTGAATTCCTGAGCTCAAGTGATCTGCCCACCTCAGCCTCCCAAAGTGCTGGGATTACAGGCAGGAGCCACTATGCCCGGCCTCCCATTTTCTAGCTAGCTGTCATTTGTCTATGGGAAGGTATTGATTTCTCTGTACAAATGTTGATCTCACTTCCCTACTGAATTACTTGTCTGTGTGCAGTGGTTTGGCATTTGATCTCATACAGACAAAATTGTGTCTTTTTTTTTTCTTTTTTTAGAGACAGGGTCTTGCTATGTTGGCCAGGTTCATCTTGAACTCTTGGCCTCAAGCAATTCTCCTGCCTCAGCCTCCCAAAGTGCTAGGACTACAGGTGAAAGCCCCCACACCTGGCCTCAAGAAATCATGTCTAAATGGCACATTTAAACCGATGGCCAGGTGAGCTCCAAGGCTCTTCCACTGCCTGCTCTGCTTGTCCTGAGACCACTAGTGAAGACGAAAGTTCATTAAAGGAGCAAATAGGCCAGGCGCAGTGGCTCACACCAGTAATCCCAGCACTTTGGGAGGCTGAGGCAGGTGTATCACTTAAGATCTGGAGTTCAAGACCAGCCTGGCCAACATGTAGAAACTTCATCCCCACTAGAAATACAAAAAATTAGCTGGGTGTGGTGGCAGGCACCTGTAGTCCCAGCTACTCAGGAGGCTGAGACTGGAGAATTGCTTGAACCCAGGAGGCGGAGGTTGCAGTGAGCCGAGATCGCACCACTGCACTCCAGCCTGGGTGACACCGTGAGACTCCGTCTCAAAAAAACAAATAAAAACTATTTTGTTGTGAGTAAGGAATATAAGTTGTTTTTCAAATGCCTTCTGACCATAAGGCTGCTCTTCCAAACACTTTTGCAGCCTGAGAAAAGTAATCCATGGGAAGAAGACCTCTCCCCCTCAGCTGTAGAACTCAAAGTGCAGATGGGTGAGGAGCATGATCTCAAAACACAGGGCAGCCAGGCCAGCACCGTGGGAGGCCGAGGCGGGGAGATGACTTGAGGTCATGAGTTTGAGACTAGCCTGGCCAACATGGTGAAACCCCATCTCTACTAAAAATACAAAAATTAGCCAGGCGTGGTGGCAGGCGCCTGTAATCCCAGCTACTTGGGAGGCTGAGGTGGGAGTATCGCTTGAGCCTGGGAGGCAGAGGTTGCAGTGAGCCAACATCATGCCACTGCACTCCAGCCTGGGCGACAGAGACCGTGTCAAAAAAAAAAAAAAAAAAAAAAAAAAAGCATATAGCACCTCTCCCTTCGCTCTCTTTCTCCTGCTCTGGCAGTGTAAGATGTCCCTTCCCCATCACCTTCCACCATGATTGTAAGTTTCCTGAGGCCTCCCCAGCCATGTTTCCTGTACATCCTGCAGAACCATGAGCCAATTAAACCTCTTTCCTTTATAAACTACCAAGTCTCAGGTATTTTATAGCAGGGAGAACAAACTGATAACACCATTGCATTGTGGGGTTAGGGCCTCAAAGTATGAATTTGGCAGTGGGGGAGGTGCACAAAAAATCCCACAGAACTGGGTTCTTGGTCCTAGCTCCAGATCCTGCTGGTTATGTGACCTTGGGCGAGGTGGCTGATGCCTCTGAGCTTGTTTCCTCAGCAGTATGATGGAATGTGATGTTGGCCTCCTAGGGTTTTTGGGAGACATGGCTAATGTATATAATATCCAGCCTGGACAGGCACGGTGGCTCACACCTGTAATCCCAGGACTTTAGGAGGCTGAGGCAGGTTGATCACTTGAGGTCAGGAGTTTGAGACCAGCCTGACCAACATGGTGAAACCCCATCTCTACTAAAAGTACAAAAAATTAGCCAGGCCTGGTGGCCCATGCTTGTAATCCCAGCTACTCAGGAGGCTGAGGCAGCAGAATCGCTTGAATCCAGGAGGCGGAGGTTGCAGTGACCCGAATCGCATCATTGCACTCCAGCCTGGGCGACAAGAGCGAAACTCCATCTGGAAAAATAAAATAAAATAAAATATCCAGCCTAATGCCAGAGGAATCATATACTTCCTCAATAGATGTTTCTCTTCATCTATCCATCTGGGCAGACATGTTTTCTGCCACCTTCCCCCCTCTTCTTCCATAGTAGGAAAATGCCCAATTATTATTATTATTGACAAGGTCTCACTCTTTCATCCAGGCTGGAGTGCAGTGGCACAATCTTGGCTCACTGCAACCTCCGCCTCCCGGGTTCAAGCAATTCTCTTGCCTCAGCCTCCCAGGTAGCTGGGATTACAGGCACCCACCGCCACGCCCAGCCAATTTTTGTATTTTTAGTAGAGACGGGGTTTCACCGTATTGGCCAAGGTAGTCTTGAACTCCTGACCTTAAGTGATCCACCCACCTCGGCCTCCCAAAGTGCTGGGATTACAGGTGTGAGCCACCATGCCCAGCCAGAGAATACCCAATTTTTAGCTTGCATATGACTACCCAGAGTAAAGACCACCTGTCCCAGCTACTGACATTTAGGTGCAGCCATGTGACTCAGCTCTGGCCAATAGGATTCAAGTAAAATTTTCATATGACGGCCCCAGATAACCTTCCTGGAACCCCTTTCTCTTGCAATCATGTCTCCATCCTGTTGCTTCACTACCCATGTGATGTCTGGAGCTCTGGCTGCTGACACTGATGGCCACACCCTAGGGCAGCGGTCCCCAACCTTTTTGTCACCGGTTGCATGGAAAACAATTTCCCACGGTGGAGGGGGAACGGTTTTGGGATGAAACTGTTCCACCTCAGATCATCAGGTATTAGATTCTCATAAGGAGCGTGGAACCTAGATCCCTCGCGTACGCAGTTCACGTAGGGTTCGTGCTCCTGTGAGAATCTAGTGCCGCCGCTGATCTGACAGGAGGCGGTAATGCTTGCTCGCCCGCCATCATCTCCTGCTGTGGGGCCCAGCTCCTTACAGGCCACAGACCCGTACTGGGTTGGGTCCTTCTGCCCTAAGGGTTGTGGCATGGTGGGCTGGAAGGGGCCAGTGCTCTGCTCCTGGGAAGTTGATGGAGACAGTGGCTGAACCAGCCCTGGTGAGCTTACTGTGGACTTTGATGAATTCAAGCCACTATTGTGGGGCTCTGTCACTTTCAGGGCAGCTGAATCTAGTCCTGATACCCCATCATTCATGTCTGCCTACCAAGCAGCCAATCCCCACAGTCCCTGACATCTCCAGAATCCCCACCGCAAAGGGGAGCAAAGAAAAGACGTCTGTGGACATTTCCCATCTTTCTCTACTCAACCCTGCTACGTACGTAGTTCTCCACTCCCACGATTCCCTGTCTATAAATACTTTCATGGGGTGGAGGCAGATGAGGATGTGGAAGGGGGAAATCACTTCACTCTGAGCCATGCTGGGTGGTGTGTCATCTCCATCCCTGCACTCTAGTGTCTACTGAGCCGTCGAACACAGGCCCAGGTGCTGGAGACAGAGATGCATAAGAAAGTTACCAAACACCAGCCCTCAGGAAGCCGGAGATACCGTGGCAGATACTGAGCAGTAATCCATCCCAGAAGGCAGCGGGGCAAGGAGAGCAGAGGGGAGGCCGACTTGGATGGGGTCAGGAGAGACTTCAGAGAGACGGTGACTCCAGAACTGAGGCGTGGGGAAAGGAGGGAAAAAGGCTCATGCAGAAGCATGTGAGCATCCACCAAAGAAAAAACATCGAGTGTCAGCGGGGATGGCGAGAAACTGGAACCGCAGACCTCGCTGGTGGGAATGTATTAATAAGATGGTGCTGGCCAGGTGCAGTGGTTCACACCTGTAATCCCAGCACTTGGGGAGGCCGAGGCGGGTGGATCACTTGAGGTCAGGAGTTCGAGACTGGCCTGGCCAACAGGGTGAAACCCTGTCTCTACCAAAAATCTGAAAATTAGCTTCATGTGGTGGCGGGTGCCTGTAATCCCTCCCCACCCTCGGGAGGCAGGGGCAGGAGAATTGCTTGAAGCTGGGAGGCGGAGGTTGCAGCGAGCCAAGATGGTACCACTGCACTCCAGCCTGGGCAACAAGAGCAAAACTCTGTCTCAAAAAAAAAAAAAAAAAAAGCTCTGGAATTGGATAGCGGTGATGATTGCACAATATACTAAACAAACCCCACGAAGCTGTATATTTTTAAACATACAGTTTTTTGATGTTTTTTAATGTTATGTGAATTATATCTTAATACAAATAAGCTTTAAAAATCATTATGAGCCAGGTGCAGTGGCTCATGCCTGTAATCCAAGCAGTTTGGAAGGCTGAGACGGGAGGATTGCTTGATCCCAGGAGTTGGAGACCAACCTGGACAACATAGGAAAACCTCATCTCTACAAATAATAAAATAAAAATTAGCCAGGCATGGTGGTACACACCTGTGGTCCCAGTTATTCAGGAAGCTGAGGTGGGAGAATTGCATGAGTCTGGGCCGTCAAGGCTGCAATAAATCGTGATCATGCCACTGCACTGCCACTGGGCAACAGAGGAGGATCTCATCTCAAAAAAGAAAAAAAAGATTGTGATACAACCAACAAAAGTTATACTTTATGAAAAACTTAAAAAACATGGAAAACATCATCATAGTACAATGTTAAATGAAAGCGCATAATCTTACATGTACAGTAGGATTATAATTGTGTTAAAAACAAAAACACATCACTTAAATACAGGAAAAGCCCAGTGGAAAGAAATGTATCAATACTGGGACAGGAGAAAATCTGTTTCTGTCTTGGGAGTAATGACATGACCACCCTGCCTGATTTGCTATGGATTTGAGGAGGCTTTAGGCCCATTTTCTCATAGCCTGCTTCTTAGATTTGGAGCTCCCAAAAGTAGTCAACTTTTTTTTTTTTTTTTTTTTTCAGATGGAGTCTCACTCTGTCATCCAGGCTGGAGTGCAGCGGTGCGATCTCAGCTCACTGCAAGCTCCACCTCCCGGGTTCACACCATTCTCCTGCCTCAGCCTCCCAAGTAGCTGGGACTACAGGTGCCCTCCACCACGCCCAGCTAATTTTTTGTATTTTTAGTAGAGACGGGGTTTCACCATGTTAGCCAGGATGGTCTTGATCTCCTGACCTCATGATCCTCCTGCCTCGGCCTCCCAAAGTGCCGGGATTACAGGCGTGAGCCACCTCGCCCGGCCCATTTTTTGTTTTTGAGACGGGGTCCTGCACTCCCAGGCTGGAGTGCAGTGGCATGATTTTGGCTCACTGTAGCCTTGACCTCCCAGGCTCAAGAGAACCTTCCACCTCAGCCTCCCAAGGAGCTAGGACTACAGGCGCGTGCCACACATCCAGCGGTTTTTTTTTTTTTTTTTTTTTGGTAGAAACAAAGTCTCACTATTGTTGCCCAGGCTGGTCTTGAACTCCTGGGCTCAAGTAATCCTCCTGCCTCAGCCTTCCAAAGTGCTGGGAGAGGTAGTCATCCTTGAGTCAGGAACCGTAAATTGTCACGGAAGAAGACGTGGTCTGTGGCTAGGCGCGGTGGTTCACGCCTGGAATCCCAGCACTTTGGGAGGCCGAGGAAGGCAGATCACCTGAGGTTAGGAGTTCGAGACCAGCCTTGCCAACATGGTGAAACTCTGTCTCTACTAATAATAAAAAATTAGCTGGGTGTGGTGGCGCGTGCCTGTAATCCCAGCTACTCAGGAGGCTGAGGCAGGAGAACTGCTGAAACTTTGGAGACAGAGGTTGCAGTGAGCCAAAACCGCTGCCACTACATTCCAGCCTGGGCTACAGAGCGAGACTCTGTCTCAAAAAATAAAAAATAAAAGAAGACATGGTTTGCGGTGGATGTGGGACATGTCAACCCTTCCACACACAGACACCTCTACCTTCACGACAGGGCTGCACTCTGTTCTCTGTGTGCATTTGATGGCAGGCAGGGTGAAGATGGGCTTCCCACAGACACAGCAAAAATTCCTTTTATTTTATTTTTTGAGACAGATTTTCGCTCTTGTTGCCCAGGCTCGAGTGCAGTGGCGTGATCTTGGCTCACTGCAACCTCTGCCTCCCAGGTTCAAGCGATTCTCCTGCCTCAGCCTCCCGAGTAGCTGGGATTATAGGCACCTTCCACCACGCCTGGCTAATTTTTGTTGTATATTTAGTAGAGAAGGGGTTTCACCATGTTGGCCAGGCTGGTCTTGAACTCCTGACCTCAGTTGATCCACCCACCTCGGCCTCCCAAAGTGCTGGGATTACAGGAGTGAGCCACCGCGCCCAGCCAGAAAATTCTTTCTCACAGAAGCTCAGAAACAGGTGATGAGTGAGGAGGCGTGGTCACCCACAACAGTTGATGATCTGGTCAAAGAGAACCAAATGCCGAAAACCACAAAGCTGGAAGCCTTGAGACCCTCCAGCAAACTTGGGAACCCTTCTTCTCTGGCCTGGTATTGACATTTCCTGTAGCCTCTTTTTGGAATTTCCTGTAGCGAAACAACGGAGTTTCGCTCCTGTTGCCTAGGCTGGAGTGCAATGGCGCGATCTCAGCTCACAGCAACCTCCGCCTCCCGGATTCAAGCCATTCTCCTGCCTCAGCCTCCAGAGTAGCTGGGATTACAGGCAGGTGCCACCACGCCCAGATAATTTTTATAGTTTTAGTAGAGACGGGGTTTCACCATGTTGGCAAGGCTGGTTTCAAACTCCTAACCTCAAGTGATCTGCCTGCCTCGGCCTCCCAAAGTGCTGGGATTACAGGCATGAGCCACCTCACCCAGCTAGTTTTTTATTATTAGTAGAGACAGGGTTTCACCACGTTGGCCAGGCTGGTCTCAAACTCCTGACGTCAGATGATCCGCCCGCCTCGACCTCCTGAAGTGCCGGCATTACAGACGTGAGCCACCGCACCCGGCGCCCTGTAGCCTCTTGATGTTTGACTCCCCTGAGAAGAGCAACAGAAGAAAGTCAAAATGGGTAAGAAATCAGCTATTGAAAGTTACTGGACAGTGAATCCTCTCTTTCTTTCTTTCTTTTTTTTTTTTATTTTAGTTTACTGGTGTTTGAGTCATTTGCTGAGTAAATCTGAAAGAACAAAGAAAAAAAGGAACTGTTGCCAAGGTGCCCCTATCTTTGGGGCTTGCAGCCTATCAGAACTTCCTCCAGAATCCTCCATCAGTGGTTGGCTTCTCATTATTTCCTCAGCCCTTTAGCTCTATTAAGTTTTAAAAAATAAAATGAAGGCCGGCCATAGTGGCTCATGCCTGTAATCTCAGCACTTTGGAAGGCCAAGGTGGGTGGATTGCTTGAGGTCAGGAGTTCAAGACCAGCCTGGGCACACCCCGTCTCATTTAAAAATAAAATAAAATAAAATAAAATGATGGAGATTTATATCCATGCAAAAACCTGCACATGAAGGCTTATGGCAACTTTATTCATAAATGCTAAAGCTTGGAAGCAACTAAGATGTCCTGTTTTTTTGGGTTTTTTGAGACGGAGTCTCGCACTGTCACCTGTGCTGGAGTACAATGGCATGATCTCAGCTCACTGCAACCTCCGCCTCCCAGGTTCAATCAATTCTCCTGCCTTAGCCTCCTAAGTAGCTGGGATTACAGGCGCCTACCACCACGTCCAGCTAATTTTTTGTATTTTTAGTAGAGACGGGGGTTTCACTATGTTGGCCAGGCTGGTCTCGAACTCCTAACCTCGTGATCTGCCCACCTCGGCCTCCCAAAGTGCTGGGATTACAGGCATGAGCCACTGTGCCCAGCTAAGACATCCTTTAATAGGTGAATGGATAAGCAAACTGTGTGCTGGAACCGCACAATGAAATGTTATTCCACACCAAAAAGAAACACACTATCAGGCCAGGAGAAATTGTGGAAAAACCTTAGCTGCATATTGCTGAGTGAAAGAAAGCCTGATCCAAGAGGGCAAGAATTCTGATTGATTCACTGCTGAATCTCCAACATCTAAAACAGTGTCTGGCCAAAACAGGCCCTCAATATTTGATGAGTTGTTGTTTTTTTTAAGTCCAGGCATATGGTGGCTCAAACCCTTGATCCCAGCACTTTGGGAGGCTGAAGCGAGGTGATTGCTTAAGGCCAGGAGCTCGAGACCAGCCTGGACAACATAGTGAGACTCCATCTCCATTAAAAAAAAAAAAAAAAAAAAAAAAGGCCGGGCACAGTGGCTCACGCCTGTAATCCCAGCACTTTGGGAGGCTGAGGCAGGTGGATCACGAGGTCAAGAGATCGAGACCATCATGGCTAACACGGTGAAACCCCGTCTCTACTAAAAATACAAAAAATTAGCTGGGCGTGGTGGCAGGTGCCCGTAGTCGCAGCTACTCGGGAGGCTGAGGCAGAATGGCTTGAGCCCGGGAGGCAGAGCTTGCAGTGAGCCGAGATTGCGCCACTGCACTCCAGCCTGGGCAACAGAGCGAGGCTCCGTCTCAAAAAAAAAAAAAAATGCAGATTATATTTTAGAACTGTGGAGGTGCAGAGGCAGCAAGGCTTGACCTACCCTGTAGTCCAACTCCATCTGAACAGATGAAGGAACTGCAGCCCAGAGAAGGAAAGTTACTTGCCAGAGACACACAGCAAGTTGCCTTCTGACTTTCAGGCCTCTTACAGAGAGCTGACCAACTCAGTTAGATGTTAAGAGACTCATTTGCCTCAGAAGCATCAGCTCAAGCAGCTGCTAAATACCAACTCTATTTGGTCAAGGCCAAGGAGATATTTACTCCTTCTTAGGAGGCGGGGGAAGTCCAAAGGAGCTTTTTATAGGCCTCTTTAGGGTAAGTGTTGGTGAAGTCACAGAAGGATTCACTTCCCCAAGCTGACGGGAACCGTTACTTTCTGGTTTCTCTTTTCAGATTTACTAAACATATTTAACTTAAAATGAAATGGCCAAATTTGAAATATATAAAAACTACAATCCGGGTCAGCCCAGGAAAACTAGCATCTACCTCCAGTCTCATCTCATCCCAGCCACCAATTTGCCACCTGACCTTGAGGGACTGCAGGCACATCTCCTAGTCCTTCTGGGCCCCGGCCAGATGAAATGACCTCCATGAATCTTTCCAGTTCTGACCATCTGTGGTGCCCTGGGTCTAAGTCACCCTACAATTAGCCTGTAGTCAAAGGTCCTTCCTGGCTTATCTGCTGATTGGCCTTTGAAGAGGCCCATTCTAAAATGTGGGTTTGCTCTAGTTCAGGAAAACAAAGTAGGGCCAAAGATCTCCTTAGCCAAAGAGATGATCTGGAAAGAGGTTAGCAATCAGTTCACAAACTGACCTGGACAACAGAGATAAAACATGAGGGCTGCACTTGCATGGGGAAATAAGGCAATCCCTAAGCAAGGAGACAGAGGGAGTGAGGGAGGACAGTGCAGCCCGGAAGACCACAGTGAGGGACGCTTTCGACTAGAACAGGAAGTCAAATTTCTTTTTTAGGTTCTGCCCATTATGGGCCAACTTAACATCTTTATTTTTATTTATTTATTTATTTTTGTTTATTTTTGAGATGGAGTCTTGCTGTGTTGTCCAGGCTGGAGTGGAGTGATCTCGGCTCACTGCAACCTCCTCCTCCCAGGTTCAAGTGATTCTCCTGCCTCAGCCTCCTGAGTAGCTGGGATTACAGGTGCCCACCACCACGCCCAGATAATTTTTGTATTTTTAGTAGAGACGGGGTTTCACCATGTTGGCCAGGCTGGTCTCGAACTCCTCACTTCAAGTGATCCACCTGTCTCGGCCTCGCAAAGTGCTGGGATTACAGGCATGAGTCACTGCACCAAGCCCACCTTAACATCTTTTTTTTTTTTGAGATGGAGTCTCACTCTTGCCACCCAGGCTGGAGTGCAGTAGTGTGATCTCAGCTCACTGCAACCTCCGCCTCCTGGGTTCAAGTGATTCTCCTGCTTCAGCCTCCTGAGTAGCTGGGATAACAGACACCTGCCACCATGCCCAGCTAATTTTTGTACTTTTAGTAGAGACGGGGTTTCACCATGTTGGCCAGGTTGGTCTTGAACTTCTGACCTTAGGTGACCCATTCACCTCGGCCTCCCAAAGTGCTGGTATTACAGGCGTGAGCCATCGTGCCCGGCAACACCTTTAACTATCTTTTTCCTGTGTGGACAATGCTTATCATTACTTGCATTGAGTGAAAAAAGAAAAAAGGTCATCATTTTGTGTACACATGAACTGATTTTCAACAAACATGAACAGAGCAGTTTAGTGGAGAAAGAATAGACTTTTCAACAAAAACAGAGTTCCATGTACTAGAACAATTAAATATCCAAGTACAAGAAAAAAACCTTCAATATCTCATACCAAACAAAAAATAACTAAAAATGGATCAGAGACCTAGATGTAAAACCTAAAACTATAAAATTTCTATTAGAAAACATAGGAGAAAATCTTTATAACCTTTGACTAGGCAAAGATTTCTTTGGTAAAGGCCAGGCATGGTGGCTTACACCTGTAATCCCAGGACTTTGGGAGGCCCAGGAGTTTAAGACCAGCCTGAGCAGCATAGGGAGATCCTATGCTGTCTCTACCAAAAATTAAGGCCAGGCACGGTGGCTCATGCCTGTAATCCTAGCACTTTGGGAGGCTGAAGCAGGCAAATCACTTGAGGTCAGGGGTTTCACAATGTTGGCCAGGCTGGTCTCAAACTCCTGACCTCAAGATGACCAACCCAGCTTGGCCTCCCAAAGTGCTGGTACAGGTGTGGGCCACCGCATCTGGCCAGGAACCAATTCTTTTTTGAGACACGATGGCTGCAAACATCACAAAATGACAGACAAGCAGGCATTATGGTGTTCCTCATGGAAATACACAACACCATGTAAGTAGTCTCATTTAAAAAAAAAAAAAAAAAAAAAAAAAACGTTGGCCGGGCGCCGTGGCTCATGCCTGTAATCCTAGCACTTTGGGAGGCTGAGGCAGGTGGATCACCTGAGGTCAGGAGTTCGAGACCAGCCTGACCAACATGGTGAAATCCCATCTCTACTAAAAATACAAAAATTAGCCGGGCATGGTGGAGGGCATCTGTAATCCCAGCTACTCAGGAGGCTGAGGCAAGAGAATTGCTTGAACCCAGGAGGCAGAGGTTGCAGTGAACCAAGATTGTGCCACTGCACTCCAGCCTGGGCAACAGAGCGAGACTGTCTTTACAAAAAAAAAAATCAGGCCAGGCACAGTGGCTCATGCCTGTAATCCCAGCACTTTGGAAGGGCAAAGTGGGCAGATCACTTGAGGTCAGGAGTTTGAGACAAGCCTGGCCAATGTGGTGAAACGTCATCTCCACTAAAAGTACAAAAATTAGCCAGGTTTGGTGGCATGTGCCTGTAGTACCAGCTACTCAGGAGGCTGAGGCAGGAGAGTCGCTTGAACCCTGGAGGCGGAGGTTGCAGTGAGCCAAGATCACACTACTGTATGACTGTACTCCAGCCTGGACAACACAGCAAGATTCTGTCTAAAAAAAAAAAAAAAAAAAGGCTGGGCGCAGTGGCTCACGTCTGTAATCCCAGCACTTCGGGAGGCCAAGGCGGGCAGATCATGAGGTCAGGAATTTGAGACCAGCCCAACCAACATGGTGAAACAACCCCGTCTCTACTAAAAATACGAAAATTAGCTGGGCGAGGTGGCACATGCCTGTAATCACGACTACTCAGGAGGCTGAAGCAGGAGAATCGCTTGAACTCAGGAGGCGGAGTTTGCAGCGAGCTGCGATTGCGCCACTGCACTCCAGCCTGGAGGACAGAGTGAGACTCTGTCTCAAAAAATAAAGAAATAAATTTTAAAAATCAGGCCAGGTTCAGTGGCTGACACCTGTAATCCTAGCACTTTGGGAGGCTGAAGCAGACAGATTGCCTGAGCTCAGGAGTTCAAGACTGCCATGGGCAACATGGCAAAACCCCGTCTCTACAAAAAATACAAAAAATTAGCTGGGTGTGGTGGCGCGTGCCTGTAGTCCCAGCTACTAGGGGCTGAGGCAGAAGGATAGCTTGACCCCAAGAGGTAGAGGCTGCAGTGAGCTGAGATCGTGTCACTGCACTCTAGCCTGGGAGACAAAGTGAGACCTTATCTAAAAAAAAAAAAAGTCAAACCCAGTCTAATCAAACCTTTTAGATCTAATTACCAATTAGCAGAGAACACAAGGGACATAGGGGCCAGGTGTGGTGGCTCACGCCTGTAATCCCAGCACTTCGGGAGGCCAAAGCAGGCAGATCAGCTGAGGTCAGGAGTTCGAGACCAGCCTGGCCAACATGGTGAAACCTCATCTCTACTAAAAATACAAAAATTAGCTGGACATGATGGCGGGTGCCTGTAATCCCAGCTACTTGGGAGGCTGAGGCTGGAGAATCCCTTGAACCCAGGAGGCACAGGTTGCAGTGAGCCGAGATTGCACCATTGCACCACAGCCTGGACAACTGAGTGAGACTTTGTCTCAAAAACAGCAACAACAACAACAAACAAACAAACAAAAAACACAAGGGACACAGGAAGATGTGGAAACAACTCCATGGGGATGCGATCAGCAAAATCCAGACTAGGGAAAATGCCACAGCATAAACCACTTAATTTCTTTCTTTTAAAAAATGTATTATTTAGTTTTTGTAGAGATGGAGTGTCGCTATGTTTCCCAGGCTGGAGCACAGTGGCTATTCACAGGCACTATTTTTGCACACTACAGCTTTGAACTTCTGGGCTCAAGGGATCCTCCTCCCTCAGTCTCCCTAATATTGGGAATACAGGTGTGCACCCCCAGCCTGGCTCTATCTAGTTTCTTAAAAAAAAACAAATATAATAAAATAGAGAAAGAAAGGAAAATGAAAGGAAATGAAAGAAAACAAATTTCAAGTAAAAAAAAAGTAAAGTGGAGAAAAACAATAGATTTTTAAAAGGACTTCCAGTTGCAATGTTCAGTTCAGATCTCAACTCTTTTTCTTTTCTTTGAGACGGAGTCTCACTCTGTTGCCCAGGCTGGAGTGCAGTGGCACGATCTCGGCTCACTGTAACCTCTCCCTCCCAGGTTCAAGTGATCCTCCTGCCTCAGCCTCCCAAGTAGCTGGAATTACAAGCGCCTACCACCATGCCTGGCTAATTTTTGTATTTTTAGTAGAGACGCGGTTTCACATGTTGGTCAGGCTGGTCTTGAACTCCTGACCTCAAGCAATCCACCCACCTCAGCCTCCCAGTGCTGGGATTACAGGTGTGAGCCACTGCACCCAACCAAGATCTCAATTCAGACAAACATTTTTGTTTGTTTTCTGAGCTCTGTCACTTAGAAAAGCAAACTTGTGGCTGGGTATGGTGGCTGACGCTTGTAATCCCAGCACTTTGGGAGGCCGAGGCGGGCAGATCACGAGGTCAGGAGATCGAGACCACGGTGAAACCCCATCTCTACTAAAAATACAAAAAATTAGCCGGGCGTGGTGGCGGGCGCCTGTAGTCCCAGCTACTTGGAGAGGCTGAGGCAGGAGAATGGCGTGAACCCGGGAGGCGGAGCTTGCAGTGAGCCAAGATCGCGCCACTGCACTCCAGCCTGGGGGACAGAGCTAGACTCCGTCTCAAAAAAAAAAGAAAGAAAAGCAAACAACTTGTTTTAAGAAGGACATTTCAGCCAGGCACGGTGGCTCACACCTGTAATCCCAGAACCTTGGGAGGCCGAGCTGGGTGGATCACTTGAGGTCAGGAGTTCAAAACTAGCCTGGCCAACATGGTGAAACCCCGTTTCTACTAAAACTACAAAAATTAGCTGGGTATGGTGGTGCAGGCCTGTAGTCCCAGCTACTCAGGAGGCTGAAGCAGGAGAATCACCTGAACCCGGGAGGTGGAGGTTGCACCGAGCCGAGATCGTGCCACTGCATTCCAGCCTGGGTGACAGAGTGAGACTCTTGTCTCAAAAAAAAAAAAAAAGTTTGAGACCAGACTGACCAACATGGCAAAACCCCATCTCTACTAAAGATACAAAAAATTAGCTGGGCATAGTGGTGCACGCGTGTAATCCCAGCTACTCGGGAGGCTGAGGCAGGAGAATCGTGTGAACCCCAGAGGCAAAGGTTGCAGTGAGCTGAAATAGCACCATTGCACTCCAGCCTGGGCGACAAGAGCAAAACTGTCTCAAAAAAAAAAAAAAAAAAAAAAAAAAAAAAAAAAAAAAAAAAAGAAGAACATTTCTTTCTTTCAGAAAAGTGTAAACACTAATTCATATTTGATATTAAAAGTTTTTTTGGGGGGTCGGAGTGACAGTTTTGTGTGTGTGTGAAGCATAATGTATACGTATTAAAAAGGGAATGCTTGTCCTTTAAAGACACATACTGAAATATTTACTGGTGAAAACACGTGATGGTATTTACTTCAGAATAACGCTGGGCAGCGCGTGCGAGGTAGGTGCAGAAATAGAGGAAACAAGATTGCCCCATGAGTCGCGTAACTGCTGAGGTCGGAGAGCGACTCTACGCGGCTTCATCGGGTTATTCCACTTCTGTGTATCTTGAAATTTTCTACAATAAAAATGTCTTAAAATTGTGCGTCAAAATGATAACACGAATATAAAAATGCAATTAAAAAGTCAGGAGGCAATACTGTCGCGCAAAACCGTGACGCTAGTTGTGTGCGGGCGGTAGGATGAGTCATTTCCTCCTTCCTTTCTATATTTTCTGTCTATATACTTTTAATATTACTTTTATAATGAGAAATACTAAAACTCGGGGTGAGAGGGGGGGACACTCGTGTTTTTGCCTTCCCCGTCCCCGAGGGGACTGTTCTCATCTATTCTCTTCCCGACGTCCTCCAGCTTTTTGCTAGGCTTCCTGCCATCTTTACCAAGTTGAGATTATCCGGGTTCTGGCATTAACAGAGTTTGAGGAAAGCGGGTCAAGTCTACCGCGCCCTAACCTTGGACCCCGCCTGCAGGCTGACTTTCGAGTCACACGCCAGAGCACGGCGACCCCTAAGGTCGCAGCCCGGCTTCGCAAGGCACCTCCTTCTAACGCGTCGGTCGAACTCGCGCGCCCGCGAGCAGCCGGACTACATCTCCCAGGAAGCTGTGCGCCGTCCAGCTGTCCTGCCCTTGGTCGCGAAGGACTACATTACCCGGTGATATCTTGCGGGAGGCGGTTGCCAGACCTCAAGCGCACAACCATTGGTCCAGCGTCTGGCGGGGAGCTGCACGGTGATTGGCCCAGGAGCCCGCCAGTTTCGTCCGAGCTCAGTAGAGTTTTGCTGTTAAGACTGCGCGAGGAGCTAGAGAGAGCGGAGAGCGCTGAGCCGGGCCGCACCCGCCGAGCCGTGTGAGTAACCTCTACCTCCGTCCTTCTCGCCGCCCTCTCGGGGACCAGCACCCTCGCTCCTCAGGGTGGTCGGGAGGGAGCACACGCACCCGGGCGCTCACGAGAGGGCGGGGACTGTGTACACACGTGTCACACCAGACCAGAGAAGCATCTCCAGGGACACCGGCGGCCGAGCCCCGCGCACGCCCTTGAGCACCTGAGCTCCAGGGCGTCCCCTCGGACTCAAGGAGAAAAAACACACCCCGAGGCACACGTGGACACCTAGGTACCCACACGGGGACCTCTGCAGATTTGCTCAGCTGAGCCCTTGGGCACATGGGCACCCGAACACCAGGAAGAGCCTGGTATGCTCCGGTCTCCTGACAGCGATCCAGGACACCTGCCACTCGGGCTTGCTCCTCCTTTCTGCCCAGATGGGCGGGAAACACGCTGCTCAGTGTGACCTGAGCGGTCCCTGGGTAACCCCTGGAGAGGTTTTGCCTCTCAGTCGCTTGCCGCGTGTTTAAACTTCCTCATGGGCGCCTGGGGAGGAGTTCCAGGGTGGGTGAGAGGAGAAAAGGAATTGATGTCTGGGGTGGAGGCTGCCATCCTGTAGGTAGTATCTCCCCTCCTCCCCCACCCCCACCCCCACTACTACAAGTATTCAAGAACTAGGGTAATTCTGAAGGCTAGTTTTAGGGATTTTTTTTTTTTTTTTTTGCCATAACAAATTCAAACAGTATAGAATTATCGACAGGTCTACCTTCCTTTTTCCCTTCTCAGCCCTTCTCCCTGTGATCAGTTACCAACTACCTGTTGATGTGTGTGGTTACAGACTTCTTTCTATGCTTTGTACAACTCTACAGACCGTATGTAGGTATTACTGTTTTTGTTTTTTGTTTTTACAAAAAAGGAAAAAAGTACATCTCCTGGAAGGGATGCTTTTTAGCTGAGCTCTGGTGGATGAGAGGAGCTAGCCTTGAAAAAGTGAGTAGGGGCTGAGAGTGGGGCTGTATTTCAGACGTAGGGAACTGGAGGAGTAGAGGCAAGGCAATTGATAGGAGTGCTCCCCGAGTTTTCCAGGAACTGGGCAGAAGCAGTCAGACCACTCTGGTTAAATGAGGGAAGGGGAAGAGTGGTCCAGAGTGAGGCTGAAGAGGTCAGTAGGTCTGAGTCAGGGGAGCCCAGGAGCGTCATTTTCTTTTTTGTTTTGTTTTGTTTTTTTGTTTTTGAGACGGAGTCTCACTCTGTAGCCCAGGCTGGAGTGCAATGGCGTGATTTCAGCTCACTGCAACCTCTGCCTCCCAGGCTCACGTGATTCTCCCTCCTCAGCCTCCCAAGTAACTGGGATTACAGGCGCCCACCACGACACCCAGATAATTTTTGTATTTTTATTAGAGACAGGGTTTCACCATGTTGGCCAGACTGGTCTTGAACTCCTGACCTCAGGCGATCCACCCGCCTCGGCCTCCCAAAGTGCTGGGATTACAGGCGTGAGCCACGGTGCCTGGCCAGGAGCATCATTTGCTAGCGTAGCATGGCCCCACTGTGCCGGGGTGGTCTGAGGTGTGTGCAGGAGGGGAAAGGGAAAGGTGAAGGGGCTCAGGGCCTCAGGGCTCTTCCTTTGGACAGTGGGGGATTGTTAAAGAATCCCAATCCCTGTTCTCCAGCCCTGCACGTCCTTCAGTCCCTCAGCGTTACACTTGAGTGGGCTCACTCAGTGAGCAGGAGTTTGCTATAAAGTTGCCAGATGTCTTGGAAAACCAGTTGATCTCTGGGACCAACAATTGCCTATCAAGCCTGTTCATTCGATTCTCAAATATTATTAAGCACTTACCATGATGGGCTCTATTCCAGGAACCGGAAATTTACGAGTGAACAAATGAGACCAAGGTCGTGTTTCCACGGGCTTACATTCTAGTCAGGGAGAGAGACAAGAAACAAATGTACTGTATAAATAACCCATGGCGTGCCGGGCGCTGTGGCTCATGCATGTAATCTCAGCAATTCAGGAGGCTGAGGCAGGAGAATCACTTGAGGCCAGGAGTTCGAGACCAGCCAGGGCAACATTGAGACCTTATCTCTACAAAAATAAAAAACTTAGCCAGGCCTGCACCTGTTAAGTGACAGCTAATTGGGAGGCTGAGGCAAGAGAATCACTTGAGCCCAGGAGTTCAAGGCTATGGTGAGTTATGATGGCACCACTGCATTCCAGCCTGGGCAACAGAGTGAGACCCTGTCTCTAAAAAAGTAAACAAATATGCCATAGTAATAAGTACTGTAAAGAGGAATAAAACAAGTGCTATTTTATTTTATTTTTAAATTTTTGTATTTTTTGTAGAGTTGGGGTTTTGCAGTGTTGCCCAGGCTGGTCTTGAACTCCTGAGCTCAAGCAATCCACCCACCTCGGCCTCCGAAAGTGCTGGGATACAGGCATGAACCGCTGCGCCCAGTCCAAAAGTGAGTGCTATTTTAGACAGTCTAGTCAGGGAGGGCTGCTCTGAGGAGGTGATATTTGAGCAGAGACCATAAGAAACTTGCCTGGTGTTTATTCCGTATCTCTTGCATTTAGCTTGATACTGATGGACATTGTGTGGGCCAGAGGCAGGGATGGTTGGCTATGACCCCAAACCAGATGGCAGGAATAACACCAAGTTCCAGGTGGCAGTGGCTGGGTCTGTGTCTGGACTTGTTACTCGGGCGCTGATCAGTCCCTTCGACGTCATCAAGATCCGTTTCCAGGTACTCTTCCCCTTTTTCCATGCAATGGACTGGAGGACAAGTTCAGTCTTTCTTGCAAAAGCAGTTCCTAAAACTTGGAATTCTATCCAGATGAAGGGCTTGCCTTTTCTGAAAGTTCCCCTTCACATTCCAGCCCACCCCACTGTCCTGACCTTTTTTATTTTGATTCCTAGCTTCAGCATGAGCGCCTGTCTCGCAGTGACCCCAGCGCAAAGTACCATGGCATCCTCCAGGCCTCTAGGCAGATTCTGCAGGAGGAGGGTCCGACAGCTTTCTGGAAAGGACACGTCCCAGCTCAGATTCTCTCCATAGGCTATGGAGCTGTCCAAGTAGGTGGCAAGGGACCTGGCCAGACCTCTGGGGTCACGTTGCTCAGTGGAGGAGCAGAGGGAGGGTGAGGCAAGCAGGAATGCCGCGCAGGGCAGGACGGAAGAGGCAGGCCCCACGCTTCCCACCTGCCTCACCCGGGAGCCTTCCTGACCAGCAGTACCGTAGGCATTGCCCTCCGCCATGTCCCTGCGTCTATCCTGTGTGACTTAGGTGTTGCATCTTGGAGACCGATTTGATGTCATGCCTTCTGTGAGGCTTGGCGAAGGACAGCACTAATGCATTTCAGTTTTTGAAATACCACCTTCACATATGTGGTTCATCTGAACTTCACCACACCGTCATGAGGAGGGCAGGGTAGCTGTCATGTGGATCTCAGGGAGGAGAAGTCAGCTGTCCGAGGCCACACAGCCTGCACATGGCGGGGCTAGGGTTAGAACTCATGCTTCGTTCAGTGGAGCACTAGTATAGTCATAGTGCACAGCATGTGATTTTATGCAGTAGATGTGTTTAAGAACCAGCCCTGTACAGTGCAAACCATGGGCCAGGCCCCTGTTGGAAGCACTTCACATACACTCTGTCACAGCAGTCCTTAAGGTAGGGGCTGTTGTCCCTCCCATGTCATGCATGAGAAGACTGAGGTGGACAGAGCTTACATAATTAACCCAACCAAAGCCACTGGCTAGAAAATGGCAGAGCCACGACCCCCACCTAGGCAGCTAGTGCCAGAGATGTCCCTTCCTACTCTTCCTGTGACATCACAGTGACCGCCCAAGTCAGGTGCTTACTGGCTGGGCATGCCCTGCGATCCTGTCTCTGCACTTGTCTGCAAACAGATATTGCAGCATGACGAATAAATACAGCAACAGGATAGTCTCAAGAAGCCAGGCGTGGGCTGGACTCAGTGGCTCACACCTGTAATCCCAGCATCTGAGCCCGGGAGGCGGAGGCTGCAGTGAGCCACGATCATGCCACTGCACTTCAGCCTGGGCAACACAGCCAGACCCTGTCTCAAAAAAAGAAAAGAAGCCAGGCCATCTTCAGTTGGCTGAAGGAAGATCTGAGCATAGCCCTGGTATAGTGGCTCACACCTGTAATCCCATCACTTTGGGAGGCTGAGGTGGGAGGATGGCTTGAGCTCAGGAGTTTGAGACCAGCCTGGGCAACATTAGGGAGACCTCCTCTCTACTAAAAATAAAAAATAAATTAGCCAGATATGGTGGTACACACCTGTCGTCCCAGCTATTCCAGAGGCAGGAGAATAATTTGAGCTAGAGAAGTCAAGGCTGCTGTGAACTGTGATCGAGCCACTGCACTCCAGCCTGGGCAACTGAGCACGACCTTGCCTCAAAAAGCAAAACAGGGCCAAGCTCGGTGGCTCATGTGTGTAATCTCAGCCCTTTGGGAGCCCAAGGCGGGCAGATTGCTTGAGCTCAGGAGTTTGAGACCAGCCTTGGCAACATAGTGAAACCCTGGTTCTACAAAAAATACCAAAATTAGCTGGACATGGTGGCATGCGCCTGTAATCCCAGCTACTTGAGGAGCTGAGGTGAGAGGATCACTGGAGCCCAGGAGGTTGAGGCTGCAGTGAGCCGTGTTTGTGCCACTGTACTCCAGCCTGGGTGACAGAGAGACACTCTTGTCCCTAAAAAAAAAAAAAAAAAAAAAAAAAGAAAGATCTGAATGTAAGGGGGTCACCCTGTGGAACATGCTCCCAAAAGAATCTGCCCCAGAAAAGAATGATTCTCGAACAGTGCCGCCACCAGGTGCCGCCGCCAGCTGCACTGAAGGGGTCCCTGCAGGAATCAGAGCATGGCCGTCTTCCCCAGTTCTCAGAAAACTAAGTTAGCCAGTGACATTTTCTGATATACATTGTTCTCATGTATCTTTTTTATTTTTTCTTGAGACAGAGTCTCACTCTGTTGCCCAGGCTGGAGTGCAGTGGCGCAATCTCAGCTCACTGCAACCTCCGCCTCCTGGGTTCAGGCGATTCTTCTGCCTCAGCCTCCCAAGTAGCTGGGGTTACAGGCCCACGCCACCATGCCTGGCTAATTTTTGTATTTTTAGTAGAGACAGGGTTCCACCATATTGGCCAGGCTGGTCTCCAACTCCTGACCTCATGATCTGCCCACCTCGGCCTTCCAAAGTGCTGGGATTACAGGCGTGGGCCACTGCACCCAGTCTTTTTTTTGAGACCGAGTCTTGCTCTGTCGCCCGGGCTGGAGAGCGCAGTGGCATGATCTTGGCTCAGTGCAGCTCTGCCTCCCGGGTTCAAGTGATTCTCCTGCCTCAGCCCCCCAAGTACCTGGGACTACAGGTGCCCGCCACCATGCCTGACTAATTTTTGTATTTTTAGTAAAGACAGGGTTTCACTATGTTGACCCGGCTGGTCTCGAACTTGTGACCTCGTGATCTGCCCGCCTCGGCCCCCCAGAGTGCTGGGATTACAAGTGTGAGCCACTGCACCTGGCCCCCATATATCTTCTTAACCCTTTGAGTGTCTGACTCTACTCAAGTATCAAATGGCATCCGAGTTTTGCGTAGAATGTTGTATTTATCATATGCTGTCACTGCTCAAGAAGAACATTTCCTGACCTTTTCCTCGCCCCTCCACCTGGGCCCCAGCCGGGTCACGGGTGATGTATTTGGGGAGTATTTGGTCCTCACCCTCATCCTTTGGGCTGTCGGTGACTTCTTCACTTACTCTTGCAGTTCTTGTCATTTGAAATGCTGACGGAGCTGGTCCACAGAGGCAGCGTGTATGACGCCCGGGAATTCTCAGTGCACTTTGTATGTGGTGGCCTGGCTGCCTGTATGGCCACCCTCACTGTGCACCCCGTGGATGTTCTGCGCACCCGCTTTGCAGCTCAGGGTGAGCCCAAGGTGAGTGGCCAGGAGCCAGACCGGGGAAGCCCAAATAAGGAAGGTGTTGTCACAGGGGTAGCATTCTTTATTTTTTATTTATTTATTTATTTATTTTTGTTTTGTTCTGTTTTGTTTTGTTTGAGACAGAATCTCGCTCTGTCATGCAGGCTGGAGTGCAGTGGTGCGATCTTGGCTTACTGCAAGCTCCACCTCCCGAGTTCAAGCGATTCTCCTGCCTCAGCCTCCCGAGTAGCTGGGATTACAGGCACCCGCCACCACGCCTGGCTAATTTTTTTTGTATTTTTAGTAGAGACGGGGTTTCACCATGTTAGCCAGGATGGTCTCGATCTCCTGACCTCACGATCCGCCCGCCTCGGCCTCCCAAAGTGCTAGGATTACAGGCATGAGCCACTGCGCCCGGCCTATTTTTTATTTATTTATTTATTTATTTTGAGACAGAGTCTCGCTCTGTTGCCAGGCTGGAGTGCAGTGGTGCGATCTATTTTTTTCTTTTATTTGATAAGCATGTTTTTTTTAAATATATGATTTTTATTTTTATTTTTATTTTTAGTTATTTATTTATTTTTTTTGAGACAGAGTCTCACTCTGTCGCCCGGGCTGGAGTGCAGTGGCACAGTCTCGGCTACTGCAAGCTCCGCCTCCTGGGTTCACGCCATTCTCCCTCCTCAGCCTCCCGAGTAGCTGGGACTACAGGTGCCCGCCACCACGCCCAGCTAATTTTTTGTATTTTTAGTAGAGACAGGGTTTCACCAGTCACAGGATGGTCTCGATCTCCTGACCTCGTGATCCGCCTGCCTCGGCCTCCCAAAGTACTGGGATTACAGGCGTGAGCCACCGTGCCCGACCTATTTTTATTTTTATTTTTTTCAAGAGACGGAGTCTCGCTCTTATTGCCCAGGCTGGAATGCAATGGCCAGATCTCGGCTCACTGCAACCTCTGCCTCCTGATTTCAAGCAGTTCTCCTGCCTCCGCCTCCCAGTAGCTGGGATTACAGGCGCCTGCCATCATGCCCAGCTATTTTTTGTACTTTTAGTAGAGACAGAGTTTCGCCATGTTAGCAGGCTGGTCTTGAACTCCTGATCTCAGGTGATCCACCCGCCTCGGCCTCCCAAAGTGCTAGGATTACAGGCGTGAGCCACCGCACCTGGCCTATATATATATTTTTTGAGACAGTGTCTTGTTTTGTTGCCTAGGCTGCAGTGCAGTGGCATGATCACTGCTCACTGAAGCCTCGACCTCCTGGGATCAAGTGATCCTTCTGCCTCAGCCTCCCCGGTAGCTGAGACTACACCTGGCTGAGTTTTGTATTTTTTTAGAGACGGGGTTTCGTCATGTTGCCCAGTCTGGTCTTGAACTCTTGAGCTCAAGCCGTCTGCCCGCCTCGGCCTCCCAAAATGCTGGGATTACAGGCATGAGCCACCGCACTCGGCAGAGGTTGAGTTCTTGTCCTTGCAGAAAGCAAAGCTGGGAGAGGTTCGGGTTTTCAGTTTGTCTGGCAGTCAGTTTGTAAAACCCATGACTGTGGGCAGCACTGTGCGGGGTGCTCTATGTCCCTGCCTCAAAGGAGCTCACAGCCTCCCTGGAAGACAGAACCTACTGCTATGAAACAGAACAAATAATTACCCAGCAGTGGGCTGGATCAAGGACTGCCCACTTGAGAATTTATTGCTGGATTATTATGAGAGCGTCTTTGTTTTTTTGTTTGTTTGGTTGGTTGGTTTTTTGAGACAGTCTCACTTTGTTGCTCAGGCTAGAGTGCAGTGGCGCAATCTCAGCTCACTGTAACCTCTGCCTCCTGGGTTCAAGCGATTCTCCTGTCTCAGCCTCCTGAGTAGCTGGGATTACAGGCACGTGATGCCATGTCCGGCTAATTTTTATATTTTTCGTAGAGACAGGGTTTCACCATGTCGGCCAGGCTGGTCTCAAACTCTTGACTTCAGGTGATCCCCTGGCCTCTGTCTCCCAAAGTGCTGGGATTCCAGGCATGAGCCACCACGCCCGGCCAATTGCGAGTGTCTTTGGTTTCCACAAAGAATGGGCTGGTGGAAATGGGATAGACTCGAGGAAGAATTTACTGAGTGAAAACAAGGGATTAAATCCTGAAATAGACCTCCCCACCATGATCTCTGTTTCCTGGACATATTTAAGAATAGCATCATATGTATGTGTGTCTGTGTGTTCTCAACCAAGAAAGAATAATTTTATTGTTATTATTTATATATATTTTTTGAGACAGGGTCTTGATCTGTCACCCAGGCTGGAGTACAATGGCTGCAATAGCTTGCTGCAGCTTCGAACTCCTGGGCTCAAGCAATCTTCCTGCCTCAACCTCTCAAGTAGCTAAGACCACAGGTGTGTGCCATCACACCTGACTAATTTTTTATTTTTTTATTTTTTGTAGGGGCAGGGTCTCATTATGTTGCTCAGGCTCAGGCTGGTCTTGAACTCCTGGTTTTTTTTTTTTTTTTTGGTTGTTGTTTGTTTGTTTTTGAGACGGAGTATGGCTCTGTCGCCCAGTCTGGAGGCACAATCTCAGCTCACTGTGACCGCCTCCCAGATTCAAGTGATTCTCATGCCTCAGCCTCCCAAGCAGCTGGGACTACAGGTCCGCTACCATGCCCAGCTAATTTTTTTTTCAGATGAAGTCTCACTCTGTCGCTGAGGCTGCAAGCTCCACCCCCAGTTTTAAGTGATTCTCCCGCCTCAGCCTCCCAAGTAGTTGGGATTACAGGCGCCCACCACCGCGCCTGGCTAATTTTTGTATTTTTAGTAGAGACGGGGTTTTGCCATGTTGGCCAGGCTGGTCTTGAACTCCTGACCTTGTGATCCACCCATCTCTGCCTCCCAAAGTGCTAAGATTACAGGCGTGAGCCACCGCGCCTGGCCATGCCTGGCTAATTTTTATATTTTTAGTAGAGATGGGATTTTGACATGTTGGCCAGGCTGGTCTGGAACTGCTGGCCTCAAGTGATCCGCCCACCTGAGCCTCCCAAAGTGCTGGGATTACAGGCATGAGTCACCATGCCTGGGCTTTTTTTCTTTATTTTTAAGGCAGAGTCTCACTCTGTCATCCAGGCTGAAGTATAGGGGTATGATTACAGCTCACTGCAGCCTCCACCTCCTGGGGTCAAGCAATCCTCCCACCTCAGCCTCCCAAGTAGCTGGGACCATAGGCACTTGGTACCACACCTGGCTAATTTTTGTATTTTTTGTAGAGATGGAGTTTCATTCACCATGTTGCCCAGGCTGTTCTCGAACTCCTAGGCTCAAGTGATCCTCCTGCCTTGGCTTCCCAAAGTGCTGTGATTACAAGGCTGAGCCACCAGACCTGGCTTATAAACAATAATTTTTCCACTGTCTCAACTCTGCTTTAGGATACTGTTAGTGGGAAAGGAAGGATAATTTGTTTAAGAGTTTGATGTGGGCAACATGGCTCTCTACAAAATACAAAAAAATTAGCCAGGCATGGTGGTGTGCACCTGTAGTCCCAGCTACTTGGAAGATTGAGTTGAGAGGATTGCTTGAGCCTGGAGAGTGAGCCATGATTGCACCATTGCACTCCAGCCCAAACAACAAAGTGAGATATCCTGTCTCAAAAAAAACAAAGAATTGGGCTGGGCGCGATGGCTCTCGCCTGTAATCCCAGCACTTTGGGAGGCCAAGGCGGGCGGATCACAAGGTCAGGAGATCGAGATCATCCTGGCCAACATGATGAAACCCCGTCTCTACTAAAAATACAAAAATTAGTTGGGCGTGGTGTCAGGTGCCTATAATCACAGCTACTCGGGGGTCTGAGGCAGGACAATCGCTTGAACCTGGGAGGTGGGGGCTGCAGTGAGCCAAGATTGTGCCTAGGCAACTCCAGCCTAGGCAACATAGCAAGACTTCGTCTCAAAAAAAAAAAAAAAAAAAGATAATAGCATATTACCTCTAGCTTCAACTATTGACATGTTGGATTTTAGATTCTAGAATGATCAGAGAATATCTGGTCATGAAAGTGAGGGGAAGAGATGTGGTTAAAACCTACAAGACTCTCCACCTGCCTTAAGACTAGTCACAACCATATTATAAACATGATCTTGAACGATAAAAAATTTTACAACATATAAGATGTATCAAGGTTACAAAGACAGTTCTTCATGAATTATAATTTTAAAAAATACCCAGCCGCTCCCTGATTCCGATCCCCAGAGGCGACTACTTTTACTACTTATAGTTGTTTCTTTGATTATTTCCTTCCATAATTCTAAGTAACATGCTTGGCCGGGTGCAGTGGCTCATGCCTGTAATCCCAGCACTTTGGGAGGCCAAGGAGGAAGGATCACTTGAGGTCAGGAGTTCGAGACCAGTTTGGGCAACATAGCAAGACCTCCTCTCTACTTTATTTTTATTATTTATTTATTTATTTATTTATTTATTTATTTATTTATGTTTTTGAGACAGAGTCTCCGCCTGTCACCCAGGTTGGAGTGCCGTGGTACAATCTCAGCTCACTGCAACCTCCGCCTCCCAGGTTCAAGCAATTCTTGTGCCTCAGCCTCCCAAGAAGCTGGGATTACAGGCATGAGCCACCACCCCCAGCTAATTTTTGTATTTTTAGTAGAGATGGGCTTTCGCCATGTTGGCCAGGCTGGTCTCAAACTCCTGGCCTCAAGTGATCTGCCTGCCTCAGCCTCCCCAAAGTGCTGGGATTACAGGCGTGAGCCACCGCGCCTGGCCTCACCTTCCTGTTTTAACAGCTGCACTATTCTCTCGTGAGCTGGTGTCCCATAATTCACGTAACCAGCACCCACAGATGGACATCGCGTCTTTAGCTCTTCCCCAGGACGCTGCAGTGACTCCTGGACACATACTTTTGTGCACACCTGTGGATATAACAGTGGTATACATGTGTAGAAGGGGGAGTTTCTGGAAAATGCCATCCTTCGAATCTCTGTCCAGCGTTTCCCTTGACTGTCTTCCTGGCAGGAGGAGTTTCGCTCCTGGTAGCTGGTATTTTAGGCGAGGGGACAGAGCTATGATGGGCTGTTCCAGGGCTAAAACCACTTCACTGAGCTCATTCAAAGTGCGTGTGTGTGTCCAGGTCTATAATACGCTGCGCCACGCCGTGGGGACCATGTATAGGAGCGAAGGCCCCCAGGTTTTCTACAAAGGCTTGGCTCCCACCTTGATCGCCATCTTCCCCTACGCCGGGCTGCAGTTCTCTTGCTACAGCTCCTTGAAGCACCTGTACAAGTGGGCCATACCAGCCGAAGGAAAGAAAAATGGTGAGGCAGCCCTCACACGAGAGGGAGCCCTCCCACCCCAGCCACCAGAACACCCCCTTCCAAATCACAAAGGAGCTAAAGTTCTCCTGTCCGAATCAAAGACCGCGGGTCTCTGTACCTGGCTCTGTAATGTGGCAAACAAAACAACTGCAGCTGCTTGGAGAGGACTTGATTTCTTCCAGCTCCTGCCACACCCATCACTGGCATTACTGAAATTTACTTCCAGTGATTGGTCATGGTTTTCATTTTTGTCAGAAGTCCAAATTGCAAATTGCTTGTTTTTTGGTTGAGGTTCTTCAGTTGCTTTTTCCAGGCAGGGGGAGTGGGAGATGGGGGCAGGGGGAGGCTGGGGAGGGGTGGGGCATCCTGGTCCTCTCCAGCCCTGAACTGAGTCATGCTGCAGAGCCTGAGGCCCATGTTGCCTCCAGCTGGGGGACTGCGGCCTCCAACCCTTCCAGCCCGGATCACTCCACCAGAAGTGGCCGTGTCTGGCTCTTCTCCCCCTAGATTACATTCCTTTTTGGAATGGGAGGACCAGTGGAGGTCAGATAGAAGTGCGCTTGTGGGGTTTGGTTTGTGGTGGAGGATTAGCCCTGACGCCTTTTAAGTTGTCACCCATAGACTGCATTTCTCTCATCCATTCTCCCAATCCCACTTCTCTGGTTCAGAGAACCTCCAAAACCTGCTTTGTGGCAGTGGAGCTGGTGTCATCAGCAAGACCCTGACATATCCGCTGGACCTCTTCAAGAAGCGGCTACAGGTTGGAGGGTTTGAGCATGCCAGAGCTGCCTTTGGCCAGGTGAGCCGTTCACTCCCAGGCAGACAGCTCTGACCCTTGCCATCACTGGGCACATGAGGGAACCAGTAGTCACCTCCTACCCATTGGGCAACATCACCCCTGGCCATGGCCCCTTCACCTGCGTCCATTCCTTGAGATCCCTAAGCATGTGGGAAAGCTGCATGCAAGCCCTGGGTCCTGAGCACTGTGGAAGGATCTGGGCCAAGGACATACAGTGTCTGCTCTTTTTTTTTTTCTTTAAAATAGAGGCAGGGTCTCACTCTGTTTCCCAGGCTGGTCTTGAACCCTCCTGACTCCACCTCCCAAAGTGCTGGGATTACAGGTGTGAGCCACTGCACCTAGCACAATTTCTGCTCTTAAAACATATCCTGGCCGGGCGTGGTGGCTCACACCTGTAATCCCAGCACTTTGGGAGGCCAAGGTGGGTGGATCACGAGGTCAGGAGATCGAGACCATCCTGGATAACACGGTGAAAGCCCATCTCTACTAAAAAAAAAAAAAAACAAAAAAATTAGCCGGGCGTGGTGGTGGGCACGTGTAGTCCCAGCTACTCGGGAGGCTGAGGCAGGAGAATGGTGTGAACCCGGGAGGTGGAGTTTGCAGTGAGCTGAGATTGCGCCACTGCACTCCAGCCTGGGCAACAGAGCAAGACTCCATCTCAAAAAAAAATATGTCCAGAGGCTGGGCGTGGACGTGGTGGCTCACTCCTGTAATCCCAACATTTTGGGAGGCCGAGACGAGTGGATCACCTGAGGTCAGGAGTTCTAGACCAGCCTGATCAACATGGTGAAACCCCGTTTCTACTAAAAATATAAAAATTAGCTGGGTATGGTGGTGGGCGCCTGTAGTCCCAGCTACTCGGGAGGCTGAAACAGGAGAATCGCTTGAACGTGAGAGGTGGATGTTACAGGGAGCCACGATTGCACCACTGCATTGCAGCCTGGGCAACAGAGCAAGGAAGGTCCCCAAATATTAAAGCACACAGAAAAGGGGTTTTGCTGTAGCTGTTCTGGAATTGGGTGAATTTGAGCAACTAGGTTATATATATATGTATTTTTTTGTTTTTGTTTTTGTTTTGAAACGGAGTTTTGCTCTTGTTGCCCAGCCTGGAGTGCAATGGCACGATCTCGGCTCACTGCAACCTCTGCCTCCCGGGTTCAAGCAATTCTCCTGCCTCAGCCTCCCAAGTAGCTGGGATTACAAGCGCGTGCCACCACGCCCAGCTAATTTTTTGTATTTTTAGTAGAGACGGGGTTTCACCATGTTGGCCAGGCTGGTCTCGAACTCCTGACCTCAGGTGATCCACCTGCCTCGGCCTCCCAAAGTGCTGGGATTACAGGCATGAGCCACTGTGCCCAGCCATATATATATATATATTTTTTGAGACGGAGTCTCGCTCTTTTGCCCAGGCTGGAGTGCAGTGGCGTGATCTTGGCTCACTGCAGCCTGCGCCTCCCTGGTTCAAGCGATTCTCCTGCCTTGGCCTCCAAGCAGCTGGGATTACAGGCGCCCGCCACCATGTCCTAATTTTTGTATTTTTAGAAGAGACGGGGTTTCACCATATGAGACAGGGTTTCACCACATTGGCCAAGGTGGTCTTGAACTCCTGACCTCAGTTGATCCGTCCGCCTCAGCCTCTCAAAGTGCTGGGATTACAGGCATGAGCCGCCACACCTGGGCCTAAGTTGTATTTTATGTGCACTAGGAGAGTTGGCCATTAAGAGAAGCCCCGTGCTAAGTCATGTTGTAGTCTCAGTAGTCACTCCTCAGTTGCTCAGATTTTTACATACTCCCTTTCTTTTGGTCAGTGGGTAGGGTTAGGGGTAGGCTAAGGATGGGCAATTCCAGGCCTTTCCCCTCTGTATCCTGGGAACCTGAGATGCGGAGGTGTGAAAAAATATGCCTGACAATGTCAGAGGAGAGGGATGGCATGGAATGGGAGGCAAGGTAGGGAGAGAGCATTCCTTCCTTGGGGGAAGAGAAAGAGCTGGGTTTATAGTTATAATGCATTTTCTTTGTAGGAAACTTTAGAAAATTTAAGATAGATGAAAGAAAGACCAAGCCAGCTGCAGTGGATCACGCCTGTGATCCCAGCACTTTGGGAGGCCAAAATGGGAAAATCAGTTGAGGCCAGGAGCTTGAAACCAGCCTGGTCAACATAGCAAGACCCCGTCTCTACAAAATAAAAATTAAAAAATTAGCTGGGCATGGTGGTGTGTGCCTGTAGTTCCAGCTACTAGAGAGGCTGAGGCAGGAGAATTGCTTAAGCCCAGGAGTTCGAGGCTGCAGTGAGCTATGATCACACTACTGCACACCATCTTGGGCGACAGAGTGAGACTCTGTCTCAAAAAAAAAAAAAAAAAAAAAAAAAAAAAAAAAGACCAAAATCCCTTGTAATTTCACTACCACAGATAACCACATGGAACCTTTCAGTGTAGTTTTATTTCTTTTCATAAATACACATGTACATTTTAACAAAAATACGGATACACTGTATACAAGGTTTGTAACCTCCCTTTTCCACTTACCAACTTGTCCTGAAGGGAGAGTTTGTTTTCTTTTCTTTCTTTCTTTTTTTAAATGGGATATCGCTCTGTTGCCTGGGCTGGTCTCGAACTCCTGGGCTCAAGCGATCCTCCCCTCTCAGCCTCCCAAGTAGCTGGGACTGCAGGCATGCACCACTGCACCCAGCATGAAGGGACAGTTTGAATTTGGACAGGGAGCCGATGGTGAGAGCCCAGGATGGCAGAGGGAGGCCTTACTGCTAACAAAGACTAGTGTAATCCAGTTTGGCCAGAGGTGGGAAGGGCACGTGGGAGGACCAGTGGAGGTCAGATCAGGGAGGGAAATCAAGGCCAAATGGTGCAGTGCCTTAAACGGCAGATCTTGGGGTTTGGACTTGATTTCTCATGATGTCGTCACTAGGAGTTACTGCAGCTTTTGGAGGGAAGCCAGGCTTGAGGAGGGTTGTGCCTGGGGATGAATGTCTGGCAGCAGTGTGTGAGGTCAGCTGGAGAGGGTGAGGCTGGAGGCAGGGAGGCCCGGCTGAGAGCTACTGAGGGCCAGGTTCAGATCTGCTGCCCAAGGGGGATCAGGTGGGATGGGATGAAGGGTCAGAGATGCCTCTGGGAAGAGGTTCTGGAGCCATTGCTGGATCCTTTGGAGCCACAGGCAGCCGTTCTTCCTGGGCAGGAAGGAGCGCTGTCCAGCTTCTGATTTCTAGGCCTGTCATCTGTTCAGTCTTAACCCAATTACAGTAGAAAGAATGAAATTAATTTATTTGCTATTTTGAGCTGGGCATGGTTGTCCATGCCTGTAATCCCAGCACATTGGGAGGCTGAAGCAGGTGGATCACCTGAGGTCAGGAGTTCAAGACCAGCCTGGCCAACATGGCGAAACTGCATCTCTACTAAAAATACAAAAAATTAGCCAGGCGTGGTGTTGTGTGCCTGTAATCCCAGCTACTCAGGAGGCTGAGGCAGGAGAATCACTTGAACCTGGGAGGCAGAGGCTGCAGTGAGCCAAGATTGTGCCACTGCATTCCAGCCTGGGCAACAGAGTGAGACTCTGCCTCAACGAAAAAATAAAATAATTTGCTATTTTGCATTCATTTCTTTGTCCAGCAAGTACTTCTTAAGATCTGTGATGTGCCAGGGGCTGTGTTGATGGGAGCAGAGCGGGCATCCATATTTTCATCCCTTTCCTCTCCCCAGGTACGGAGATACAAGGGCCTCATGGACTGTGCCAAGCAGGTGCTGCAAAAGGAAGGCGCCCTGGGCTTCTTCAAGGGCCTGTCCCCCAGCTTGCTGAAGGCTGCCCTCTCCACAGGCTTCATGTTCTTCTCGTATGAATTCTTCTGTAATGTCTTCCACTGCATGAACAGGACAGCCAGCCAGCGCTGAGTGCAGGAAGGACCCCAGGTCTTCCCTGGAGGCAGCCTCCTGAAGGAAGGAAGATTCAGTCTCCACTGAGAGGTGCCGTCTGGCCCTTCCCTGCAGGCCAGCTGCCCCAAGCGGGGTAGCAGCCTTGAACCCACCCAGCTGGGACACCACCAGAAGGTCCAGGGCTCTCCCCATGAGAGAATCAGAGGGAATGCAGGACGTGGTCTATGGTGAGCCAACGACACAGTGAGAAGGAGCAGGAAGTTGCTGTTTCTCCTCTGACCAGCCCACACTCCAAAGGAAACAGACGCCATCCTACACCTATCAGCCCTGCCTGCCAGGAGAACAGAACACACTCCTGGTCTGGATGGGGCTGCTGCTTGAGTGCAGAGGGCTGCGGTAGGCCCTTTGCAGGAGTCAGGTCCCTACACTTGGCCTGTTTTTCCAACCTATTTAATAGACATTAAAGCTAAACACACATTCCTTATCTTACTCCATCTCCCCTGGCACATCTGCCTACTCACAAAGTATGAGGGAAAGGACTCCTGCCTTCCTCAAATCCCATGTTCTCCATAGCGGCAGCCCTTGGCAGCTCTGCTTCTAGTGCTGGGGGAGACTCCAGGCTGAGCCAGTCACTTTCTGGGCCCCGTGCCCAGACCTTCGTGTCTGCAGACACACCACCACCCAGGCTGTCCTCTCCCAGGACCGGGCTGGTCATGGCCGTGGGGCTCCATGGAAAGCAGATCCCAGCGCCCGTGCAGGAAGTGGATGGGCCATGCTGTGGGCAGGCGTGGGTGAAGGTGCAGCCTCTCCCCAGTCTACCTCACTGACTCCTCTTTCACCCAGAGCTGGGTCAGCCTTGCTGGGTGAGGAGCTATCAGCAGGACAGGTGGCATCAGCGCCCACTGCCTGCTCCTCAGTGCAGAGCATGCTGCGGGTGCATCCTCCCCTGTAGCCCCAGAAGGGCCGTGGCTCTGAAGCAGCCCACTGATGGGGATGGCAGAAGGAAGGGGCGGGCACGTAGCCTGGTGAGGGCACAGCTGGTGCCTGGGGTGTTACCAGAGCAGAGGGACACCCACAGGCGGAGAGGCAGAGGAGAAACCAGTTCCAGGCTGAGGGGAGGTCTCCAGAACATGACCTCCACCCTTCCCTCCATCTGCCCGGCCTGTAGGGTTGCTCCGACCTGGGAAGCCCTCCATTCTGCCTCCCTCTCCAGCCTTGGAAAGAGGCACCCACTGGGAGCCGGCGCTGGCCCTGGCCCTGGCGTGTGGGTCCTGGGCTCCTCCTCGCACCATCCTTCCCTGCCTCTGGTCTGGGATTTTGGGGTCTGTCTGGGCCCTGAATGCTGGGGCTTCCTGGCTCTGGGCTGCTGGTTCCCAAGGTCCAGGCTGCGGCGGGGGCCACGAGGATGCAGCTGCCTGAATGCATTTTTTATGAAATTCCGTTAAAGTTTCTTCTCTTCATCTTTCCTGCCCATTGGTTTCTTTTGCTGCAGCTGAGCGTTCTCTTCCTCCTCCGTTTTCGGTGACCACTTTGGCGGTTCTTTTAAAAGGAGGCGAGAACGCGGGCAGCGCCGGCAGCGCTCCTCCCGGTCGCGCGGCAGGAGCGGCGGCAGTTCTTCCCCCACTTCTAGGTGCCCTCCTGTCACCCAGGGCAGACGCCGGGCGGTGGGGTCCGCGCCACTTCAGGGGCATTCGCAACAACCGACGGCCGCGAGTTGCCAATGGGGCCCCTTTCTCGGGGCTGCCCCTATGACCTGAAACTCGCTTCGCCCATGTCCTCCTTGGAGCGGGAGAGGGTTGTGGCTGGCCCCGGCCCTGCAGCCCCTGCCTTCTCTACCTGGGTTGGGGGAGCGGGGAAAGTGGTGCGACCAGGGCTGATGCTGTTCCTCCTGCCACCAGGTCCCCACCACGCGCTCTGCAGGCTCTTCCCACGCCGCGCAGCCCAGCGGTGTCTCCCGGCCCAGTGCACCTGAGCTCCGGGGAGGGCTGGGTGCGGGGCCACGCGCAAGATCGAGGTGCCGGCGGGTCCGGCGTGGGCCCGGACACGGCCCAGGCGCACCGGGTGAAGGGGTGACGAGCCAAGCGAGTTCCGCTTGCGGCTGGGTGGCAGCGTCGCAGGGTCCCACGCAGGCGGCGCGGCTTCCGGGGCGGCCTGGAGGCCAGGGCAGTGCCCCGGGGGCCCGGCAGGTGGCGCGGGCGAGCCGACCCTTCCCCGGCGCCGCGCGAGGAGATGAGCTCACGGCGGGCCCCGCAGCGCCGGACGCTGGTTGCGCGCTCCCAGGCGCCGAGCGGCCCCGGGCACGCGCGCGCGCCACCGGCCCGGCAGGTGGGTCCCGGCTCCCACGCCGCCTCTCCCGCCCGCGGGACCCTGGGCCGTGGGCTCCGCAGCCCGCCCTGTGCCTCCGGGAGGGGCGTTCCGGGCGCGGGGGGAACGGCCGAGGGCTGGAGACCCTAAAGGCGCCTCCTACGGCCAGAGGGGAGCCTCCGGCGGGAGCCACCTCTCCGGGGCGCATCATCCTGCCCCCCAGTAAGAGGAAGGCTCCAGAATGGAGCTCAGGAATTAGGAGTCTCGAGTGCGTAGGGCCGGGTTACTGCCACTCGGGAGCCGATCCGACCAGCCTGTCCCAGGGAGAAGCTGGCACGGGTCTGGGGAGTTCAGGCTGCTCCCGGCAGGGGCGGCGGACAGGGCGCCTGCGTCCCCACCCACGCAGGCCGGCCCCATCCGGGGGATGCAGCGGCGGGTGTTGAGACCGAAGGACTCGGCGAAAGCCAGAAAGAGAGGGTTGGGGAGAGGGGCTCGGAGACCTGCTGGGGACAGAGTCGCACCGCTTGGAGTTCCCAGCCTGGCCCTCACCCGGCATCTTCCTGGGCCAGCAACGTCAGGCCGGTTTATTTAAGCAACTGTAACGTCCGCCCGCACACACCCTGCCCCAGTCTACTCCTGCCTCCTGCTGGGACTGGAGGGTGGGCGCTTTCCTGCTTCAGCTTCTCGCTCTTGTGTAATCCCACAAGCGAGGGATTTCTAAACTGAGCAGCAGGTGCCTGGCTGATGCCCAGTCCCCACCAGAAGCCAAGCCTGGTGGGCCTTCAGCCAACCACCGCACGCCACGGACCGCCCAGGAGTCCCTGTCCCGAGCGCGCCGTCAGCCCCGTCCAGGGCCTGCAGGACGGAACCCGCCCTGCGCTCCACACCTGAGGCCGCTCCCTTCGCCTCTTCTCCTCAGGTGCTGTCCTTATTCCCAGCCCAGTCAAGAGCTACCGGGGCTGGCTAGTCATGGGGGAGCCCAGTAGAGAGGAGTATAAAATCCAGTCCTTTGATGCAGAGACCCAGCAGCTGCTGAAGACAGCACTCAAAGGTGAGCACGGGACCCCTCCTGAGCTGGGGTCAGGAGCTACAGAGAAGGGCCCCTGTGGGCAGCACCAGAGGCTGAGCCTGGTGAATGCCTCCACCCCTCCCCTCATTCTCTGACGATAGGAGTCGGCAACGTAATTCTTGAACTGGAAGACAAGCTACATTGAGGCCATTATTTTGGAGTATGAATCACAGTCACCTCTCAGACTGTAAAGACTGTTTTAAAAGTTTAACCATAGGGCTAGGCGCAGTGGCTCATGTCTGTAGTTCCAGCACTTTGGAAAGCCAAGGTGGGCAGATTGCTTGAGTCCAGGAGTTCAAGACCAGTCCCGGAAACATGGTGTAAACCCCATCTCTACAAAAAAAAAAAAAAAAAGAAAGAAAAGAAAAATTAGCCGGGCATAGTGGCAGGCACCTGTGGTCCCAGCTACTTAAGATGCTGAGGTGGGAGGATTGATTGAGCCTGGGAGGGTGAGGGTGCCATGAGCCATGATCCTGCCACTGCACTCCAGCCTGGCTACAGAGCGAGACCCTGTCTCAAAAAAAAAAAAAAAAAAAAAAAAAAAAAAGTTTAACCATAAAAAAAAGAACACGGCTCCTGCCCTTGAAGCGCTTACATTTGAATTGCTGGTTTCTGTGCTGCCATAGCCCCGTCTCTTGAATGCACAGTTGCCTGCTTTGAGACAGAAGATGGAGAATATTCCGTTTGCCAGAGGAGCTATAGTAATTGCTCTCGCCTGATGCCTTCCCGCTGTAACACGCAGTACAGAGGTTTGTCTTCAACTAATAATTAGCAACACCCATCATGTGTCAAGCCGAGCCTGTTGGGAGGCCCTATGTGGCCCTCTCTTGTTGGGGGTTTGCATGTGTGTAGTATAAGAACACTTTTTCTTGTGAAATTGCTGTTGGAGGCATGTCCTGGTCAGTATTCCTTCCTCAACCTAGTGCCAGGAAAAGATGTGTTTCCTGAGAAACTACATTCTTACTTTGATTGGTCCCTACTAGCCACATAACCCTCCCCATTTTCTCTGACTGGGCAACCAGAAGACAAGACAGCTAAAGCTGTTTGTATGGTTACTGTCCTCTGTACGGTTTCTTTTCCCTTTTTTTTTTTTGAGACAGTTTCGCTCTTCTTGCCCAAGCTGGAGTGCAATGGCACGATCTTGGCTCACTGCAACCTCCGCCTCCCAGGTTCAAGCAATTTTCCTGCCTCAGCCTCCCAAGTAGCTGGGGTTACAGGGGCCCGCCACCGTGCCCAGCTTATTTTTTGTATTTTTGTAGAGACGGGGTTTCATCATGTTGGCCAGGCTGGTCTTGACCTCCTGATCCTGACCTCAGGTGATCCACCCGCCTCAGCCTCTCAAAGTGCTGGGATTACAGGCATGAGCCACCACACCAGGCCCTCTGTATGATTTCTTTTATTTTTTTCTTTTTTTTTTTTTTTTTGAGACGGAGTCTTGCTTTGTCGCCCAGGCTGGAGTGCAATAGCATGATCTCGGCTCACTGCAACCTCCGCCTCCCAGGTCCAAGCGATTCTCCTGCCCTAGCCTCCCAAGTAGCTTGGATGACATGAGATGACGCACGAGCCACCACACCTGGCTAATTTTTGTATTTTTGGTAGAGATGGGGTTTCACCATGTTAGCCAGGCTGGTCTCAAACTCCTGACCCCAGGTGATCCAACCACCTCGGTCTCCCAAAGCGTTGGGATTACAGGCATGAGCCACTGCGCCCGGCCATGATTTCTTATAAGTACCATGCGCTAACCAATTGCACCACTGGAGCCACTGTCCTCTGTATGATTTCTGATCTCTTTCACTTCAAGCATATGAGTGCTCTACTGTAAATATCTCAAATTCTTAGAAGCGGGTGGACACAAATGTGATAAAGCAGCAGCTCTAGACTCCCCTCCTATCTCTACCCCTAGATCCGGGTGCTGTGGACTTGGAGAAAGTGGCCAATGTGATTGTGGACCATTCTCTGCAGGACTGTGTGTTCAGCAAGGAAGCAGGACGCATGTGCTACGCCATCATTCAGGTTGGGGGTTGGGAGAGGAAAGGAAGCTGCTTTGAGGAAGGTGCTTCAGGAGTGGGCAGAAGGCCTGGCCTGCAGGACAGAGATGCACAGGGTCTAGCTCAAAGAGAGAGAGAGGCATAGGATGGGTGGGGTTACAGGGGCACCGCCCCCCACCCTTCACCTTCCTCTCCCTGGCTCACAGGCAGAGAGTAAACAAGCAGGCCAGAGTGTCTTCCGACGTGGACTCCTCAACCGGCTGCAGCAGGAGTACCAGGCTCGGGAGCAGCTGCGAGCACGCTCCCTGCAGGGCTGGGTCTGCTATGTCACCTTTATCTGCAACATCTTTGACTACCTGAGGGTGAGGCCCCGGCAGCCACCCTGGGAGGCAGACATGGCCTGTTTCCTGAGGCCCAGGTTGGACTGCTCCCCTTGGCCACTAAGCCTGGTGCTCTGACCCCTCCTCTTCCTCACAGGTGAACAACATGCCCATGATGGCCCTGGTGAACCCTGTCTATGACTGCCTCTTCCGGCTGGCCCAGCCAGACAGTTTGAGCAAGGAGGAGGAGGTGGGTGGCCCCAGCCCTGGCACAAGCACAGAAGGCTGCAGGATGGACAGTCCAGCTCAGCCGTGTGTCAGCCCACTGCTCACGGAGGTCTCTGAGGACTGTGTCACTTCTGGGGCAGGACTGTGGGGGTGTTTAAGGCCTGTCAGTTATAGGACAAGCTGCCAGGTCTGGAGTTTATCCAATAGAGAGCAGCCAAAACCTACTGGCTCAGTAGCTTCCTTCTCAGTCAGAAAGCCAACGTATGATGGCAGCTGTGCAAGCCATGGCTAGCTGTGGGTACAGACGGCCCCAAAGCCAAACCAGGGTCAGGCAGTGTGTGGGAGGCAGGAGAGTGGGATGAAGAAGTGGTTTGGAGACAGGCTTGAGTGGAGCCTGGCCAGATGAGGGACCTCAGGCAAGTCCCGGAACTCATTTCTTTCTGTGTAAGATGTGGAAGTACCCACTGGATGGTAAGGAGGGAGCAAGGGAATGAGTGTAAAGGCAAAGCACAGCACCTGGCACTTGGCAAATGCTGTGTGAGAGGCTGGCACTGCCCCAGTTCACTTGTGTTACCCACACTGTCGCCTGCAGGTGGACTGTTTGGTGCTGCAGCTGCACCGGGTTGGGGAGCAGCTGGAGAAAATGAATGGGCAGCGCATGGATGAGCTCTTTGTGCTGATCCGGGATGGCTTCCTGCTCCCAACTGGCCTCAGCTCCCTGGCCCAGCTGCTGCTGCTGGAGATCATTGAGTTCCGGGCGGCCGGCTGGAAGACAACGCCAGCTGCCCACAAGTATTACTACAGCGAAGTCTCCGACTAGGCCTCCAGATCAGGGCTTCCTCACCAGCACTGGCCTTTCTTCTACCCACCTCTAAAGCTGGCAGTGGAGTCTCTGCCTCACCCAAAGACTTTTCCCTTCCAGACTTTGAGTGTCTTCCCTTCTAGACTTTCCCATCTCCTGGTGAGATGTTTCCCACTTATGCCGTGGTCCTGCCCTGAGCCCCTTTCCCCACCACAACCCACCACGGCCAGGCAGAGAAGGGCAACTCCCAAGAGCCACTGCACTGTGTAACCATTAGTGCAACTACTACCTTGGTGCCTCAGTTTACCCATCTGTAAAATGGGTAAGCATAGCCACTGGTGGGATATTTTGGGATGTCAAGGGGTGGAGGCAGAGCACAAGTCACACCAGAAACTGCTTTTTATACATTTTGTATAAGGACAACTCTGGAAACAAGCCTATTTCCTCCAGCCAGTTTCACTGAATGCTGCACCACATGCTACACCAGTTCAGCGTGAGAATTTTCTAATAAATCTTTTCTGATACTAAAACTGCTTCCTTTATATATCCAAAGGTCCGCCCCAACCTAAGGGAAGAGAAAACAGCCCTGAGTTTCCTGGAGGAAATTCCCAAGTCAATGTGCTCCCTCTTTACAAGGAAATAGGGGCAGAGAGAGCAAGTTCCAGCCTCAAAGAAAGAAGGATTAACGGATAGTGAATATGCTGCTACATCTTTCTTACGAGGCCTGCCCACCCTTACAAAGGAACTACATCCTTAACCCACAGGTAGTTTTCAGCGTGGCAGTAGCTCACACTGTTTCTTGCGGCAGAGGGCCCTGGGCTCCTCCTGGAGACTCTACCACCAGCGGTAGTGGGCCAGGGCACGGTTGGCCTCTGCCATCTTGTGCAAGTCATGCTTCCTCTTGATCACGGGGCCCTGGTTATGGAAAGCCTCCAGCAGCTTGTGTGACAGCTTCTCCGGCATCAGTGTCCGCTGGTGCTTTTTATCCCGGCACTCAGTGATCATCCACTTCATGGCTAGGAAGCGGCGACGCCGGTCGGGTAGGGGTACAGGGACCTGGGTGAGACAGGACATAGGCAAGTTGGTCCAAGAGTCTGCCAGGGTTTGGGGCCTCCTGCCTCCCTGAATTCTAAGGAGTAGCCACATGTTCCCTCTGGACCAGCCCTGGTCAGGCCTGGGGAGAAGGGCCTGTCTTTTCTTCGAGCTTCCCTCACCTTCAGGTGACCCCAGTGTAGCAGACATAAGAGGCGTTCATTCAGCAAATACTAATTAAGCACTGGCCTCTCCCGGCACTGTGGTTCACACCTGTAATCCCAGCACTTTGGGAGGCTGAGGCAGGAGGATCGCTTGAGCCCAGGAGTTCAAGACCAGCCTCGTCAATATAACAAGACCCTGTCTCCATATATTAAAAAAAAAAGAAGGCCAGGCACGATGGTTCACGCCTGTAATTCCAGCACTTTGGGAGGCTGAGGCAGGTGGATTACCTGAGGTCAGGATTTCGACACCAGCCTGGCCAATGTGGTGAAACCTCGTCTCTACTAAAATGCAAAAATTAGCTGGGCGTGGTGGCAGGCGCCTGTAATCCCAGCTACTTGGGAGGCTGAGGTAGAAATGCTTGAACCCAGGAGACGGAGGTTGCAGTGAGCCAAGAATGCACCACTGCACTCCAGCCTGGGCAACAGAGCGAGACTTCGTCTCAAAAAAAAAGAAAAAGAAAAAGAAGAAAAGCACTGGCCATTTTCCCTCCTAAATGGTAGTCCTACCAAGTTGTTATAAGAACCAAATAGGAAAAGCCCCATTAGCTGGGGTGACTAATCCACCTCAGACCATAGGTACCTAAAAACAAGACCCCTTCAGTCTTCAGACACAGCAAAACCCTGTCTCTACTAAAAATACAAAAAAATTAGCTGGGCATGGTGGCGGCCACCTGTAATCCCAGCTACTTGGGGTGGGCAGGGACTGAGACAGGAGAATCTCTTGAACCCGGGAGGCGGAGGCTGCAGTGAGCCGAGAGCTGAGATTACAGCACTGCACTCCAGTCTGGGCAACAAAAGCGAAACTCCATCTCAAAAAAAAAAAAAAAAGTTAAAAACAAAAAGACCCTATACAAACAGTTAAAGAAAACCAAAAACAAGACCCCGTGTCCAAAAATCATTTGTCAGGCCCTCACTATGCGTCAGTACCATGCCAGACACGAGAGTGCAGACAATAATGAAGTCCCTACCCCATGGAGTTGATATTGAAAAAGGAGAACACAAGAAAACTCAGGACAATAAAATATAATTAAATGCTATGAAAGAGATACCTAGTACTGTTCAGCAAACACTGATGAAGCATCAGTTATCGGTCAAGCACTATGCCAAACACTGGCATACAAAGACAGGATATGAATAGTCCCTCGCCATGAGAATTTTACAGGTTAGGACACACAGGATGCTTGACAGAAGAAGGCGAAGGGAGGTGGGCTCCCAGATGTCACTTAGATACTTCTTCACTCTCTTCCACCTTCTGCCTATAATTTTTACGCTACAGGACTCAGATGAGTGGACCGTAACAGTCTCAATTCTTTTTTTTTTTTTTTTTTTGAGATGGCGTCTTGCTCTGTTGCCAGGCTGGAGTGCGGTGGTGTGCTCTCGGCTCACTGCAACCTCTGCATCCTGGGTTCAAGCGATTCTCCTGCTTCAGCCTCCCAAGTAGCTGGGACTACTGGTATGTGCCACCACACCTGGCTAATTTTGTATTGTTAGTAGAAACAGGGTTTCTCCTTGTTGATCTCGAACTCCCCACCTCAGGTAATCCATCCACCTCGGCCTCCCAAAGTGCTGGGATTACAGGTGTGAGCCACCGTGCCCAGCCGTTTTTTTTTTTTTTTTTTCTGAGACAAGGTTTCTCTCTCTTGCCCAGGCTGGAATGCAGGGGCGTAATCATAACTCACTGCAGCCTTGACCTCCTGGACTCAAGTGATCCTCCTACCTCAGCCTCCTGAGTAGTTGGGAGCACAGATGCACACCACCACACCTGGCTAATTTTTTTGTTTTTTTTGTAGAGACGGGATCTCCCTATGTTGCCCTGCTGTCTCTTAACTCCTGAGCTCAAGCTATCCTGCATTAGGCTCCCAAAGTGCTGAGATTACAGGTGCAATCCCACTGCACCAGCTAGAAAGCTATCAATCTTGACCCAACTCCCAAGCACCACCTATCTTGTTTCACATGTGGAGGGCCCTGCTTTCTTGCCCTGGCCATTCATTCACCTGGTAGAAACGGCCTCCCTTGAGGATGGGTACCAGCCCAATCATAGGCTCACAGTTTTTCAGTGCTTGATGGAAGATGGTGTAGGGGTTGCGTTCGATGGTTGCCTGTTCCTCTGCAGAAGCGGCATGGTACTTCTCAAACTGCTTCCTTTTCACAGCTTCCAGAGTCTGCAAAAGAATATGGTGGAAGAGGCTGCCCCAGGCTCCCTAAAGGGTTTACCCAGCCAAGCTAGTACCTTGCCCTTTACTCCCATCCTCTGGTTCTGCGCTGGCAATGCAGCTCCTCTCACAGCACATCCAAAACAAAGTTTTTAAGTGCCTCCCCCTTTGCTAGACTAGGACAGAAAGAGTGGATTGAGATTTGTGGCATGGAGGGGGTGGGGGGTGAGGTGGGGAATGGCAGTTGTTTTATTTTTTATTTGTTCCTTTTTTTTTAATTGTGTGTTTACTTCCGAAACACCAAGGAATGGCAGTTGCTGACTCTTACAGGGCTTCATTAAAGCCCGTACACATGCAGGGAAGTTAATCTGAATAATAGATACATGAATCCATTTGCTCTTAAGCTACACTGAAAGTACCAAGTACAAGGCTACGGGGTAGGGGGGCAAGAAAGATGACTGAGGAGGGAAGTGCTGTTTACCTGAATCATGAGGGATCTGGCCAGTACTTTGTTTCCTCCTATCATCATCATGTTGGTGAATTTACTTCAAAGAGAAAAGCAACACGTTTAGCTCTCCAAGGCTGTATCACAGAATCCTCACCAGAAACCCTCCCTGGGATAGTCCCAGTCCATGTAACAAGTGTTTGTTTCCATCTAACCTGATGACTGGGTCTTCAAACACAGAACTTGTTTTCCCTGCTGGAGCAGCTTTGATGAGCTGAGTCTTCTTGAGCTCCCGAACATATTTCTCCTCCTCAGTTAGCTCCTCCACTGGCTTGCGATAATATTCCTTGTCAATCAAGGGATCCTTGAATTCAGGACTATAGCGGCTCCATCTCACCTGAGTTAGCCTGGGAGGGGGGGAAAGGAGGAGGCAGGCAAAAGCTGACTCCACAAGCGAGTAGGTTTGACTTAACAATAGGCATGACTGCCAACGCGCCGACGAGGGGGAGCGGCGCGGAGACCGCGAGCTAAACCTGAGCCACAACAATTCAGGCCCTTGTCCCAAGTAGGAGGACATTCCCCAAGCAGGCGGGTAAAGTCTCCTCCTGGTCAAGTGCTAACGGTAAGGATGGGCTTGGCGCCTACACACCCATCCCAATTCACAGGCGATCCCAGATCTGAGCTCTTTAGCTGAACCGCACTTTCAGCTCCGCGTTAGAACCCTAGATCAGCCAGACTCCTTAGGCGAGAGGTAGTCACTAAACCTTCGGATTGGCGCAGGGTCACGCAGCTAACTTAGAAGCTTGAATCCAGATACTCCGGCCCCCAGGGCAATGCTCTCTCTAGGGGCCCACGCGGCCTGCCTGTGGCCCCCTTCCTTCCTCGCAGCGCCCCCCCGCCGCTGCTCGCCACCCTCTCACCCTGGAAGCTGCAAGACAGCCCGCCGCACGCCCAACGCCAGGCCCGACCATCCTCGGGCAACCTTCACTGCGGGGGCAGCCATCTTGGCTGGCCACGAGGACCCCACAAGGACTGCCCTCGGCGCGCCTGAGCGAGTGACGGGAAACGGGTGAAAAAGACTCCTCAGGGTCCTAAATCTGCGTTTCTCTCCACTGATCTGGACGTTAGAGTTTTTCACTCCGGGGTCCAAAGGGGAGCGCCAAAAGGAAACCCTTGCCCTCCCTGTATCCGTCGCAGTCTGGCGCGGCCCTCGGTGACGGCACTCACTCCTCTCAGGACCCCATGCAGGCCCCGCCCCGTCTCAGCTCGTGCAGACTCTCGCGAGTTTTGAAGCCGCGGGGCCGGGCGGCTGCAATATGGCGGAGGCGGAAGGGGAAAGCCTGGAGTCCTGGCTCAGTGAGTAGCCGCGGCCGTTTCTGCCTGCCCTCGAGCCGCTGGGCTGCCCCTGTCTTCACCCCCACGTCCCCTCCCCGGGCTCCACGGCGTCGCCTCTTGGCAGCCCACGCCCGGTCTCGCCCTCGCCGCGAGCAGCCTGCGATCACGCCCCTTCCCTATCAGGGCGCCGGGCCCCAGTCCGGCCCCCGCTTCCCTCGCTGCGGCGCGTCCTCTTGCTCTGGCGCGCGGCGGCGTGAACTCGGGCTCCTGTCGGGCACCGCAGGCTCGGGGAAAGGCGACAGCCAAGATCTTCGGGCTGACATGCTTCGGCGCTTTGGGGAGATTGTGGTGGGGTCGCCGCCCGGCGGTGACACCAGGAACCCAGCGCCCCAATCCCTGACTAAGGGAGAAGCTTCGGATTGGGGCTGAGTCTCCGGTAGTGGTGGGTGCTGCCGACTGCGTTCAGTCGCCTGGCAGCTTCAGAATTGTGACCATGTGTTGGAGAAGTGACGGCTTCGCTCAGGCAGAATGCTTGAAGTGAGAATAATATTCCAAAGAGAGCGATGATAGAGAACAGAGAGCTCTACCTTTTTCCTGCAGTGACCACAGAAGCATGGTGAAATCGGTGTCGGGAATTCCCCCCCCACACACATACATATACCCCCTTGAATATCCTAACGAGTCAGTGTTGATAGCCTATTCTGAGTAAGGCTGAGGAGCACAGTCTGAAGCTGTAGTTATAGAAGCGTATTGCTGTCATTGCACTGTGAATTACAGTGCTACGAAGGAAATGTGTGTTAACCTGGTTAGCAGGTAGTACTCTGCCTGAGGGTTAATAAGTGAACTTTCCTGTAGGCTAGACCTGGAAGCCTCCTTTAAGTGGAGAGAGAAATTGGACTGGTAATGGGATAGGTGAGATACCTAGTATTGCCTTGTTCTGAGGTCTCTTATTTAGTACTGCTTCCGGGATCTTGGAGGTGATAGCTATTTCCTCAAATTGTCTGATTTTTCCTAGTAAGAAACCCCCTTCAGGAGGTTGAGCTTCAGTTTAAAGGGGAGCATATCCCAAAAGAGAGAAAAAGTAAGATCACGTTTGCAAAATCTGCAGTTGCAGGCAGGTCATAAGGCTTCTTTATATATGGAAGTGTTCTCCAAGGAGCTCAAAGTACTTTACAGATATTCATTAAATTAGTTTACCAAGTATTCTAGCAAAGCAGGCACTACTGCCATAATTTCACAAAAAGAGGACATCCTGACTCCAGTCAAACCACTTGCCCAGAAATGCCCAACTTGCTATAACCAGAGTGGAATTAGTTTGCTTTGAAGGTATTAATATGGGTATTGAATAATTTAAATGACCTAAGCTGAGTTTAATAGGCTACATTTAGAGTTACATTTTGTTTTTGTTACTTGTTTTTGAGACAGAGTCTCGCGCGCTGTTGTCTAGGCTGGAGTGCAGGGGTGCGATCATAGCTCACTGCAGCCTTGAACCCCTGTGCTCAAATAAGTCTTCTACCTCAGCCTCCTGAGTAGCTGGGACTATAGGCACACGCCACCATGCTTGGCTAATTCTTTTGATTTTTAGTAGAGATGAGGTCTTGCTGTGTTGCCCAGGATGGTCTCAAACTCGAGTTCAAGTGATCCTCCCACCTTTCCCTTACAAAGCGCTGGGATTACACACGTGAGCTACCGCACCCAGCCTAGAGTCACATTATGAAATGAGAGGGACACACTTGGTGGGGGGGAGTCACATGGTATCTGTAGAGACATAAGCTTCACAGTTGTTACGACTTAATGTGAACTGTACCAGTTGAACAAACCAGCAGTTGGGGTTCAGCATCGTCTCAGTCAGCGTCCTTGTCACCCCACGTTTGCCTGAATTGTTGCAGAAGCCTCTGCTTGGCCCAGAGACCCAGGTCTCTCCCGTCCTCACCTCTCCTCAGTCCATTCTGCTCCCAGAAGCGCACTTGTGTTGAATCAAATCATTCCACTGTTGCCTGTAATCTGGCCTTGGTTGTTCCAGGCCTTTTTCTCTGTGGCTTCTACGTTTTCCTGCTCTACTCAGTCTGATGTTCTTGGTTTACCAATACACGTTGCTCTCCTTACCTGGAAGCCCTGCTCCCGTTTCCTCAACTAAATGCTTGAAAACCCATCTCAGATTCTCTTTTCTCACAAACCATCTCTTGATGACTTCAGTCTTCTTTCAAGTCCCACCATGATCAATCAATCAATGTTTAATGAGTACCTGCTACGTGGGGTGTTATAGGAGTTAGGAAGTTTAAGAAGATTTTGCCTTTAGTTGGATGGAGGTGATGCTGGAGTGGATGAAGAACTCTCCTGTAATCCCAGCACGTTGGGAGGCCGAGGCGGGTGGATCACGAGGTCAGGAGATCGAGACCATCCTGGCTAACACAGTGAAACCCCGTCTCTACTAAAAAATACAAAAAAATAGCCAGGCGTAGTGGCGGGCGCCTGTAGTCCCAGCTACACGGGAGGCTGAGGCAGGAGAATGGTGTGAACCCGAGAGGTGGAGCTTGCAGTGAGCTGGGATTGTGCCACTGCACTCCAGCCTCGGTGACAGAGCGAGACTCCGTCTCCAAAAAAAAAAAAAAAAAAGATACAAGGCAGTGCTAAAACGCCGGCATTCTCTTTAGGGAACTGGGGATGGGGGAAGAGATGATTCATTGAGGATACTCCATTTGAGCTAGCCATTAAATAATGGGAAAAGTTGGAAAAAAAAAAACACTAGATGGTGATGTGGAGAGAGCAAACCTGTTTGGGGCACACAGTAACAGAGGTGTTTGGGAATGAGGGAAGATAAGGCTGGGAAGTTAAGACCAGATTCTACCAAGTCTCCAATTTCCAGCCCAAGAAGTTTATTTTATTTATTTATTTATTTGAGACAGAGTCTTGCACTGTCACCCAGGCTGGAATGCAGTGGCACAATCTCGGCTCACTGCAACTTCCGTTGCTTAGGTGCAAGCAATTCTCCATCCTCAGCCTCCCAAGTAGCTGGGACTACTGGTATGTGCCACTACACCTGGCTCATTTTTGTATTTTTAGTAGAGATGGGGTTTCACCATGTTGGCCAGGCTGTTGTCAAACTCTTGACCTCAAGTGAGCCACCTGCCTCAGCTCCCTCCAAAGTGTTGGGATTACAGGCTTGAGCTACCACGCCCAGCCCAGCCGAAGAAGTTTAAATTTCTGCAGTTATCAGGCCCTCATTCCTTCTGTACTAGGTGAAATCGGTGTTTTGGTGTCTTAAGAGGCTTGATTTGATATAGGTTTCATGCGCGTCCGTGTGAAGAGACTACCAAACAGGCTTTGTGTGAGCAACATGGCTGTTTATTTCACCTGGATGCAGGCAGGCTGAGTCCGAAAAGAGAGTCAGCAAAGGGTGGTGGATTATCATTAGTTCTTACAGGTTTTGGGATAGGCGGTGAAGTTAAGAGCAATGTTTTGCGGGCAGGGATGGATCTCACAAAGTACATTCTCAAGGGTGGGGAGAATTACGAAGAACCTTCTTAAGGGTGGGGGAGATTACAAAGTACATTGATCAGTTAGGGTGGGGCAGAAACAAATCACAATGGTGGAATGTCATCAGTTAAGGCTATTTTTACTTCTTTTGTGGATCTTCAGTTACGTCAGGCCATCTGGATGTGTACGTGCAAGTCATAGGGGATGCGATGGCTTGGCTTGGGCTCAGGCCTGACATTCCTGCCTTCTTATATTAATAAGAAAAATAAAACAAAATAGTGTTGAAGTGTTGGGGCAGCGAAAATTTTTGTGGGGTGGTATGGAGAGAGAATGGGCGATGTTTCTCAGGGCTGCTTCAAGTGGGATTAGGGGCGGCGTGGGAACCTAGAGTGGGAGAGATTAAGCCGAAGGGAGATCTTGTGGGGATGTTAGAAGAAACATTTGTCGTATAGAATGATTGGTGATGGCCTGGATATGGTTTTGTATGAATTGAAAAACTAAGTGGAATAAGAGAAGGAGAAAAACAGGTATAAAAGGTCTAAGAATTGGGAGGACCTAGGACATCTGATTAGAGAGTGCCTAAGGAGATTCAGCATAGTCCTGCCAGCAAAGATTATTTATTTACTTCAAGAGTTAAGAGTGGCAGTTTGGGGATAGCACGAGGAGATATCACCTGTGATGGCTTGGAGAAACAGTGTAAACCAGCAGTGTAAACAAGAGCAGGGCATGTATGAGTAGTTGAGAACGTTGAATAGGAGTATGACTAGACAGAAGATAGTAGGGATGATGACAGGTTTTTTTTGGGGGGGGGGGCACAGTCTAAGTTGGTCTGGTGTCTGGAATGAGACTGGGGCCTAATAAAAAGGAGCATCTATACAGGAGCTTAAATGGGCTGTACCTTGTAGCATTCTGAGGACAGGTCTGACTTCTGAGAAGGGAAAGTGGTAAAAGTATTGTCCAGTCCTTTTTAAGTTGGTGGCTGAGCTTGGTGAAGTGTTTTTAAAAGACCTTTAGTCCGTTCTGCTTTTCTTGAAGACGGAGGACCGTAAGGGATATAAAGGTTTCACTGAATACTAAGAGCCTGAGAAACTGCTTGGCTGATTTGACTAATAAGGGCTGGTCTGTTAGACTGTATAGAGGTGGGAAGGCTAAACTGAGGAATTGTGTCTGACCGAAGGGAAGAAATGACTGCGGTGGCCTTCTCAGACCCTGTAGGAAAGGCCTCTACTTACCTAGTGAAAGTGTCTACTTAGACTAAGAGGTATTTTAGTTATCTGACTCGGGGCATGTTGAGTAAAGCTAATTTGCCAGTCCTGGGTGGGGGCAAATCTTCAAGCTTGATGTGTAGGGAAGGGAGGGGGCCTGAATAATCCCTGAGGAGTAGTAGAATAGCAGATGGAACACTGAGAAGTTATTTCCTTGAGGATAGATTTCCACAATGGAAAGGAAATGAGGTTCTAAGAGGCGGGCTAGTGGCTTGTACTATAGCATAGCCTGCCTTTGCTGCTGTGTGGCGATTAGGCCTGCTGGAACTGCCATCAATAAATCAAGCGTGATCAGGGTGAGGAACAGGAAAGAAGGAAATATGGGGAAATGGGGTGAATGTCAGGTGGATCAGAGAGATACAGTCATGGGGGTCAGGTGTGGTATCAGGAATAATGTGGGAGGCCAGATTGAGGTCCGGGCCAGGAACAGTGGTAATTGTGGGACTTAACAAAGAGTGAGTACAGCTGAAGGAGCCGGGGAGCAGAAAGTATATGCATCAGGTATGAGGAAGAAAATAATATTGGAAGTTATGAGAAATGTAGAGAGTGAGTTGAGCATAGTTTGTTATTTTTAGGGCCTCTAAAAGTATTAAAGCAGCGGCAGCCACTGCAAGCAGACATGAGGGCTAGGCTAAAACAGTAAGGTCAAGTTGTTTGGGCAGAAAGACTACAGGGTGCGGTCCTGGCTCTTGTGTAAGAATTCTGACACACTAACCATGCCTAGGAAGGAAAGGAGTTGTTGTTTTGTAAGGGATTGAGGTTTGGGAGATTAATCGGACACGATCAGCAGGGAGAGCACGTGTGTTTTCATGAGAATTATGCCGAGATAGGTAACAGATGAGGATGAAATTTGGGCTTGACTGAAGTAATGGGGGCTGTCTGTGAAGCCTTGCAGCAGTACAGCCCAGGTAATTTGCTGAGCCTAATGGATGTCAGGGTCAGTCCAAGTGAAAGCAAAGAGAGGCTGGGATGACGGGTGCAAAGGAATTGTAAAGAAAGCATGTTTGAGATCCAGAACAGAATAATGGATTGTGGAGGGAGGTATTGAGGATAGGAGAGTATATGGTTTGGTACCATGGGGTGGATAGGCAAAACAATTTGGTTGATAAGGCATAGATCCTGAACTAACTTGTAAGGCTTGTCTGGTTTTAGGACAGGTAAAATGGGGGAATTGTAAGGAGAGTTTATAGGCTTTAAAAGGCCATGCTGTAGCAGGCATGTGATAACAGGCTTTACTCCTTTCAAAGCATACTGTGGGATGGGATATTGGCATTGAGCGGGGTAAGGGTGATTAGGTTTTAATGAGATGGTAAGGGGTGCATGATCGGTCGCCAAGGAGGGAGTAGAGGTATCTTATACTTGTGGGTTAAGGTGGGGGGGAATACAAGAGGAGGACGCAAAGGAGGCTTTGGATTGGAAAGGGCAGCAATGAGATGTAGCTGTAACCCAGGAATAGTCAGGGAAGCAGATAATTTAGTTAAAGTGTCTCGGCCTAATAAGGGAACTGGGCAGGTGGGGATAACTAAAAACGAGTGCTTAAAAGAGTATTGTCTAAGTTGGCACCAGAGTTGGGGAGTTTTAAGAGGTTTAGAAGCCTGGCTGTCAATACCCACAACAGTTATGGAGGCAAGGGAAACAGGCCCTTGAAAAGAAGGTAATGTGGAGTGGGTAGCCTCCGTATTGATTAAGAAGAGGACGGACTTACTCTCCACTGTGAGAGTTACCTAAAGCTCGGCATCTGTGATGGTCTATGGGGCTTCCGAGGCGATCGGGCAGCGTCAGTCTTCAGCCGTTAAGCCGAGAAGATCTGGGAAGGAGTCAGAGAGCCTTGGGCCAGAGTTCCAGGGGCTCTGGGAGTGGCTGTCAGGTGAGTTGAACAGTCCAATTTTCAGTGGGGTCCCACACAGATGGGACTCGCTTAGGAGGAATCCCGGGCTGCGGGCATTCCTTGGCTCGGTGGCCAGATTTCTGGCACTTGTAGCAAGCTCCTGGGGGAGGCAGTTATGGAGGAATGCCTGGCCACTGCGGTTTAGGCGTTTGGAAGTTCTTGTGTGCTGGAGATGTAGCTGGGGTTTGTCTCACAGTGGAGGTAAGGAATTGCAACTCAGAAATATGTTGTTACTTGGCTGCCTCTACTCTATTATTGTACACCTTGAAGGCGAGGTTAATTAAGTCCTGTTGTGGGGTTTGAGGGCCGGAATTTAATTTTTGGAGTTTTATTTAATGTCGGGAGCAGATTGGGTAATAAAACGTATATTGAGAATAAGACGGCCCTTTGACCTCTTAGGGTCTAGGGCTGTAAAGCGTCTCAGGGTTGCTGCCGAACGAGCCATGAACTGGGCTGGATTTTTATATTTGATGAAAAAGAGCCTAAACGCTTCTGATTTGGGATAAAGAAAAAGGAGCATTAACCTTGACTATGCCTTTAGCTCCAGCCACCTTTTTAAGAGTAAATTGCTGGGCAGGTGGGGGAGGGCCAGTCACTGAACGAAACTGTAAGCTGGACCAGGTGTGAGGAGGGGAGGTGATAAAAGGATTCTAGGGTGGAGGAGCAGAGGCTGAGGAAGAATTGGGACCTAGATGGCCTGGCGACGAGCAGCCTGAGGAGAAGGGGAAAGGTCAGATGGGTCTGTAGAAAAGACTGGAAAGACCCAGCGACACTTGGGGTTGGGACTGAGGGGACAGGCGGGAGGGAAAGAAGGAGGATTTGGGAGGAATCGCATTGGGAACAGAGACTTGAGAGGGAACGAAGTGTGAAAAATGCCTGGATGTGAGGCACCTCAGACCATTTGCCCATTTTTTGACAAAAATTATTTAGGTCTTATAGGATGGAGAAATCGAAAGTGCCGTTTTCTGGCCATTTAGAGCCATTGTCAAGTTTGTACTGGGGCCAAGCGGTGTTGCAGAAGAAAATAAGGCATTTAGGTTTTAGGTCAGGTGCGAGTTGACGAGGTTTTAAGTTCTTGAGAACACAGGCTAAGGGAGAAGGAGGAATGGAGGCTGGAAGGTTGCCCATAGTAAAGGAGGCAAGCCCAGAGAAAAGAGAGAGTAGAGACACGGAGGGAAGGGGTTCGAGGGTTCTTACCCTCCAGAAAAGCAGGAAAGGGGTCAGGGTGTGGAAATAAGGGATTGGGGCACACAGATAAGAGGTCGGGGTGCGGAAATAAGGGATTGGGGGTTCTTGCCCCCTAGAAAAGCGGGACTTACCGCTAAGGGTGAAGGAGAAGGGGTTGAGGGGTACTTGCCCCTCCCCCAGAAATGCAGAGAAGGGGTAGAGACACGGAGAGAAGGGGTTGTGGTACTTGCCCCTCCCCCAGAAAAGCAGGACTTGCCGCTAAGGGTGAAGGACCAAGGCAGGCGTCCCTGAGTGGTCTGACACCTTTGAAACGTGAGTGAATAATCAGAGAGGTGTCCCTGCAATGATTAAACACCAAGGAAAGGCTGCCTTCCCAGTCTGTGACCAGCGCCAGAGTTTTGGGTCCACGGATAAAACGTGTCTCGTTTGTCTCTACCAGAAAATGAAAGGAATTGAAATTAAGAGAAGGGAGAGATTGAAGAGTGGAAAGGAGAAAGTGGTTGAGGGATAGTGAGAGAGGTTGGAGAAGAGAGTAAGAAGAGGCCGCCTACCTGATTTAAAATTGGTGAGATGTTCCTTGGGCTGGTGGGTCTGAGGACCTGAGGTCGTAGGTGGATCTTTTTCACGGAGCAAAGAACAGGAGGACAGGGGATTGATCTCCCAAGGGAGGTCCCGCGATCCGAGTCATGGCACCAAATTTCATGCGCGTCCATGTGAAGAGACCACCAAACAGGCTTTGTGTGAGCAACATGGCTGTTTATTTCACCTGGATGCAGGCGGGCTGAGTCCGAAAAGAGAGTCAGCAAATGGTGTGGTGGATTATCATTAGTTCTTATAGGTTTTGGGATAGGCGGTGAAGTTAAGAGCAATGTTTTGCGGGCAGGGATGGATCTCACAAAGTACATTCTCAAGGGTGGGGAGAATTACGAAGAACCTTCTTAAGGGTGGGGGAGATTACAAAGTACATTGATCAGTTAGGGTGGGGCAGAAACAAATCACAATGCTGGAATGTCATCAGGTAAGGCTATTTTTACATCTTTTGTGGATCTTCAGTTACTTCAGGCCATCTGGATGTATACGTGCAAGTCATAGGGGATGCCATGGCTTGGCTTGGGCTCAGAGGCCTGACAATAGGGACTTTACATAGGATTAGGATGGATTAGAACAGAAGTTCTAGAAGCAGGTGAGAAGGAGTGGAGGGTAGGGATAAGGAAGGAAGGGATTTAAGAAGACATTGAGAAGGAAAGGACCACAAGACTGAGAGGAATGGATGAGGAGAGAGGGAAGAAGGAGTCAAAAAAGAGGTGGGGGAATAGGGGACTTTTGGAAGGTGCAGCATTTATAGGAATAGTGACTTAATAGACCACATGCAGTGGCTCATTCCTGTGGTCCCAGCTACTCAGGAGGCTGAGGTGGGAGCATCGCCTGAGCCCAGGAGTTGGAGGCTACAGTGAGCCATGATCGCCTACTGCAGCCCGGGGCAATAGAGTGAGACCCCCATCTCTAAAAAAAGAACAAGCACACGCCTGTGGGTGGTCCCAGCTACTCAGGAGGTTGAGGTGGGAGGATCACTTGAGCCTGGGAGGCAGAGACTGCAGTGAGCTGTAAGAGCCACTGCACTCCAACCTGGGTGACAGAGTGAGACCCCGTCTCAAACAACAAAAAAGAAAAAAAAAAACGAAAGACGCCAGGCACTGGGACTCACACCTGTAATCCTAGCACCTTGGGAGTTAAAGGCAGGCAGATTGCTTGAGCCTAGGAGTTCAAGACCAGCCTGAGCAACATGGCAAAATTCTGTCTCTACCAAAAGTACAAAAAATTAGCTAGGTGTGATGTGAGTGTCTGTGGTCCCAGCTAGGCTGAGGTAGAAGAATCATCTGAGCCTGGGAAGTTGAGGCTACAGTGAAGCCATGATCGCACCACTGCACTCTTGCCTGAGTGACAGAGTGAGACCCTGTCTCAAAAAAGAAAAAAAAAGGAAGAAGAAAAAGAAATGGGGAAGTCAGGAAAAAGAAGTGATGCTTTTTTTTTTTTTTTTTTTTTTGAGAAGGAGTCTCACTCTAGTCGCCCAGGCTAGAGTGCAGTGGCACAATCTCAGCTCATTGCAACCTCTGCCGCCTGGGTTAAAGCGATTCTCCTGCCTCAGCCTCCCAAGTAGCTGGGATTACAGGCGCCTGCCACTTCGCCTGGCTAATTTTTGTAGTTTTAGTAGAGACAGGGTTTCACTATCTTAGCCAGGCTGGTCTTGAACTCCTGACCTCGCGATCCACCCACCTCAGCCTCTCAAAATGCTGGGATTGCGGGTGTGAGCCACCGTGCCTGGGCCATACATTTGTTTTTACACTCATTTCTGTACCAAATTAGCCCAATTATCTACTGTCTTGTTTTTTGAACTGATTTTTTTTTTTTTTCATGTATTGAACCAGGAGAGCACAGCCTCCTTGAGGGTAAAATCTGTGTCTGGAACTTTTTCTGTAGTCCCTCCAGGGTCTGGCATGCTGACATGCTGTTTACTTCATTGTCTGCGGGTGCTTAACAAAGACTTGGTGATTGACTAAGTTTGTGTTTCCATTCAGGACCCTAGTGAAGGTTGACCTTTATTCCCTTTCCAGCCCATGTTCTTGCTTCTGCTTGTTTGTAAGTCATTTGTTACGTAGATTTTTCTTTTTGGAGATGGAGCCTCACTCTGTGGCCCAGGCTGGAGTGCAATGGCCTGATCTCAGCTCACTGCAGCCTCTGCCTCCTGGGTTCAAGTGGTTCTCCTGCCTTAGCCTCCTGAGTAGCTGGGATCACAGGTGCGCGGAACCATGCCCAGCTAATTTTGTGTTTTTAGTAGAGATGGGGTTTCACCATGTTGGTCAGGCTGGTCTCGAACTCCTAACCTCACGCAGGTGATCCGCCTGCCTCGGCCTCCCAAAGTGCTGGGATTACAGGCGTGAGCCACCGTGCCCAGACCATATGTATATAATTTTTTTTTTTTTTTTTTTTGGAGATGGAGTCTCACTCTGTTGCCCAGGCTGGAGTGCAGTGGTACAATCATGGCTCACTGCAACCTCTGCCTCCTGGGTTCAAGCAGTTCTCCAGCCTCAGCCTTCAAGTAGCTGAGATTACAGGTGTGTGCTACCGTGCCTAGCTAATTTTAGTATTTTTAGTAGAGACAGGATTTCACCATGTTGAACAGGCTGGTCTTGAACTCCTGACCTCAAATGATCCACCTGCCTTGGCCTCCCAAAGTGCTGAGATTACGGGCGTGAGCCACCGCATCCAGCCTGCTATGTAGATCTTGTTTTCTCTGGAATGTTTGAGCCGTGCTGGAATGGGGTACCCAATGCTGCTGTTTCCATCCCCACATGACGTTTTAAGTCCCACGAGAGTAGGCTAGCGATGGAGTGAAGCTGAAAAATGAAAGCAGGAAATCCAGAGACACAGAAACAGATGAGGCTTTCAACAGAGACTCGAAAATAGACAGAAACCATGAGTCAGAGCAGAGCCCGGAGGGGCGGTTCGGGAAGGCAAGGTCTATAGGGGAAGCTCGGGTGTCACCTCTATGCCAGGTGAAGGAAATGTTGAGTGGGTGGGAGGCTGTGTGCATCTGCTGGGGAGGCAGTAGGCAGATGGAAAGATCAAGTCACCCAGAATTATCCCCAGAGGTTCCTTCCCGTTCCTGTGGGCGGGTGAGCTCTGCTTTCTGAGCTGCCCAGAGAGCTGGAGGAGATAGACATGGAACTGACCATTGCAGAAACTAGGGCTTTTTGTGCCCGTGAGTAGGCAAAGAGCTCCCTGTGGATTTGCCATAAAAAGGTCTATCAAGGTGGAAGAAAGTGAGATTCTAGAGAAATTAATACAAGTGAAAAGTGGGCAGGAGTGTTCTTGGAAGTAGAAATGCTGTTGGAAGTCTAATAGACTTGGGAAGAAGATAACGTATGGTGAATACCAGTTGCTTCGGGGGTTGGGGGGATCCACATTTTACTCTGTACTCAGAAGATGCTTTTCCCCGTGCAAAAAGTGAAAGTGAGTGGGCCAGTTTTTCTTCTGTCACAAGGTGTATGACTGTTCCCAAAATAATAGCCCTGGGGGATGGGGATTGCTTCTCAGACCATTCAATTTTTGTACCCTGTAGACTTTTGGTGTTATGTGAGAACTTTAAGCACCTGATAGGAATTAGTAACAGAGCTACGCTAATGCCTGAGGAAATTTCAGACAATTGGTGGGAGAGACTTGGCATTTGGAATGTGATAGCTGGTAGGCTACCATACAGTAATGCAGGATTGCCAGACATTTCTTTCCAAATGGCTACCCTTGATTACATTTAACTCCCCTCCTTTCAAGCTCCAGATTTTGAAGGACCTGTTAATTCTCTTTCAAGATTGAAGACAGACACCTTCTTTTTCTTCTAAAGAGGAACCTAGGCGGGGTGCGGTGGCTCCCGCCTGTAATCCCAGCACTTTGGGAGGCCAGGGCTGGTCTTGACCTCCTTACCTGAGGTCAGGAGGCCTGGCCACCATGGCGAAACCCCATCTCTACTAAAAATACAAAAAGTAGCCAGGCATAGTGGCGCATGCCTATAATCCCAGCTACTCGGGAGGCTGAGGCAGGAGAATAGCTCGAACCTGGGAGGTGGAGGTTGCAGTGAGCCTAGATCGCGCCACTGCACTCCAGCCTGGGTGACACAGCGAGACTCAATCTCAAAATAAATAAATAAATAAATATGAACCTAAACCATCAGAATCTTCCCCTTGCAGCCACAACAGAAACACTGCCGGGGAGGCCGAGCCCCGACCTGGGAAGCAGGGTGATACACTGGGTGCCACGGGCCTTCCCTCTGCCTGGCAGCTGTCGCTACTCAGATCCCTGCAGCCCTGTTGCCAGTGAAGGAGCTGGAGTCTCTGTTATGATGTGTTCATCCAGCTGGTGAGTTTTTTTTTTTTTGTTTTGTTTTTTTTGTTTTTGTTTTTGTTTTTTTTTTAGACAGAGTTTTCACTTGTTGCCCAGGCTGGAGTGCAATGGCACGATCTCGGCTCAAGGCAACCTCTGCCTCCCAGGTTCAAGCGATTTTCCTGCCTCAGCCTCCTGAGTAGCTGGGACTACAGGCATGTGCCACCATGCCCAGCTAATTCTGTATTTTTAGTAGTGATGGGGTTTCTCCATGTTGGTCAGGCTGGTCTTGAACTCCTGACCTCAGGTGATCCGCCTGCCTCGGCCTCCCAAAGTGTTGGGATTACAGGCGTGAGCCACTGCACCCGGCCCAGCTGGTGATTTTTTTTTTTTTTTTTTTTTTTTTTGAGACGGAGTCTCGCTGTCGCCCAGGCTGGAATGCAGTGGTGCGATCTCAGCTCACTGCAGACTCCACCCCCCGGGTTCGCGCCATTCTCCTGCCTCAGCCTACCGAGTAGCTGGGACTACAGGCGCCCGCCACCTTGCCCAGCTAACTTTTTGTATTTTTAGTAGAGAGGGGGTTTCACCGTGTTAACCAGGATGGTCTCGATCTCCTGACCTCGTGATCCGCCCGCCTCGGCCTCCCAAAGTGCTGGGATTACAGGCGTGAGCCACCACGCCCGGCCCCGTAGCTGGTGATTTTTAAAGTTAACAAAATACAATTATGAGAAATCAGAATTCAGAAAGTAATGACAGAGAGGGCCTTGTCGGGAGGGGCTCTGACACCCTGCTTTGGGCCCTCATAGAGATCTGGGGAGGGAGCAGGAGTGTTTTAAGGGGTGTGCGTCTTCAGCCTTCCATTTGTCTTCAGAACCCAAAGCCCTAAATTTAGCAAACAGCTGGAGAGTGCTTTCTGAAGAGGGAGGCTCTGGACCTGAATCAGAGATGGGAACCCATGTAACCACCCTCAGCTGGGCTCTTCAGTGTAATCACAGGTTTGGGAAGGTAACTGAGGAGAGCCCATGCCAAATATCAGAACTTTGCATTTGGTGCCTGGATTTTAAATCCCAGGGGCCCTCTGAGAACTCTAGTACTTGTGTTTGTGCTTGACCATGGAAGGCCATTAGAGCCTGGGGGTGCTAGATACTCAAGCTGCAATCCCAGGCAAGTTGCACGGTGACCAGGGCTTAGTAGGGGCTAAGTAAATGTTGTTGGCTTGACAATGATGAGCATTATGTGCAATTTCAAAAACACTTAAAGCATTATGGAAGGCTAGGTCTGGAAAAACCTTTTGACAGGTATGTGGAAAATATTCGCTGGGCGCGGTGACTCACGCCTGTAATCCCAGCACTTTGGGAGGCCAAGGCGGGCCGATCACCTGAGGTCGGGAGTTTGAGACCAGCCTGACCAACATGGAGAAACCCCGTCTCTACCAAAAATACAAAATTAGTTGGGCATGGTGGTATGCACCTGTAGTCCCAGCTACTTGGGAGGCTGAGGCAGGAGAATCACTTGAACCCGGGAGGCAGAGGCTGCAATGAGCCGAGATCGTGCCACTGTACTACAGCCTGGGCAACAAGAGCGAGACTCCATGTCAAAAAAAAAAAAAAAATTTGTGGTTACAAATATGTATTTTTTTATCTAGTTCAGTCTGATTTCAGTTTCCCCAAAAACCCTTCTTGACCATCTCCACTTGCTTAACACTGAGCTCATTTTTATATAGCTGGAGTTCCCTTTATTATCTTTACATGTTTCATGTAGGCATTTTTTTGGGAATATTTTAATTATTTGTGTTTGTCCTTTTGACCTTGATTCCACTCTAAGCTTCATGAGACAGAATTTGTTTTCTCTTTTATTTGTGACTTTCAAAATACTGGACAGAAAGCAGTATTTGTATTTGCTCTCCGACTGAATTTTTTTTTTTTCTGTCTCCTTGCTACTGACTGTTCTACTGAGGCTTCTCTATTAGAGAGTAAAGTTGAAAGCAAACTCTTAGTGCTTAAAACTTGCGAAGAAAACCTTCCATTGCATCCTCATTGCTCTTCCTAACACTTGTCCTCTTCTTTGTTGTGTTGCAAGATAAAGCCACCAATCCTTCCAACCGCCAGGAGGACTGGGAATACATAATTGGCTTCTGTGATCAGATCAACAAGGAGCTGGAAGGGTGAGTCTCAGCACTGTGGGGGCAGCTGAGAGGGAGCGGACTGGGAAGGGGAACAACCATGGCCAAGGAGGGCCAGCCAGGTAGCCCCAGGCTTAGTGCACTGGAGTGTGTTCTGCTTGTCCCCCAGGCCACAGATCGCCGTCCGACTGCTGGCCCACAAGATCCAGTCCCCACAGGAATGGGAGGCGCTCCAGGCCCTGACGGTAGGTCCTTCACTCTCCGGAGGTGGAAACCGCAGCCCTTCACCTGCCCACGCCATTCCTCGTGTCCCCATAGCGGTTCTTAGGGCTCCTGCCAAAAGCCAACAGAAAGTCCTTGATACAGACTAGATAGATCTCGAATCTGTTCAGCCAGCTGTTCCACAAATCTGTGTGCATTGTGCCAGGCCCTGAGGCCTCAGAGGTGACTGCAGTGCCGTCCCTGCCAGCATGGCCACATGGTTAGTGTGTGAGGCAGAGGGGCTAAGGAAAGCAGCCCAGAGTCAGGGCCCTGAGCCCCATGTGGCGCAAGAGAAGGCTTGGTGAAGAGATGCTGACAGGGCTGTGTTGATAGTTCAGAGCTGGCCAGCTGAAGAAAAGAGGGGTCGGTCCAGTTCATTCTGTAGTTAAACAATGCCAGTCACTAGCGAAGGTGTCGCACTGATGGCTGAGGCCCCTAGGGCAGATCCTGGTGTCTGTTCAGACTGAGGGAATTTAAGGTGTGGAATGGTGCCTGGCCCTCAGTGCCTCCACATGCTCCGAAAACAAAGAGCAGCCGAGATCTGAGGAATCCGGGGCTCTAGCCTGACTGCATTCAGGTCCTGGAAAGCGAAAAGAGGAAATATCATCTGGTTCACATGCACCCCTCAGTCATATTTGCTGTAGAACGAATTCCTTAAAACAGTGATTCTCAGCAGGGCACGGTGGCTTGTACCTATAGTCCCAGCACCCTGTGGGGCCTAGGCCGGGAGGATCGCTTAAGGGAATTCAAGACCAGCCTAGGCAACGTAGTGAGACATTGTCTCTACAAAAAATAAAAAAATCAGCCAGGCACGGTGGCACACACCTGTGGTCCCAGCTCCTCGGGAGGCTGAGGTTGAAGGATGGCTTGAGCCTGGGAAGTTGAGGCGAAAGTGAGTGGTGATCACACCGTTGCACTCTAGCCTGACCAACATAGCGAGATTCTGTGTCAAAAAACAAAAAAAAAACGTAACAAAACCCAGTGATTCTCAACAGGGCCCTCCAGGGAACATTTGGCAGTGTCTGGAAACATTTTTAGTTGTCACACATCGGGGTGGGGGTCCTCCTGGCATCAAGTAGGCAGAGGCCAGGGATGCTGTTCGACACCCTATAAAGTGCAGAGTGGCCCCCCACAACGAAGAATGACCAGCCCAAAATGTCAGCCAGGCCTCACCTGAGAAACCTTGCTTTAAAATGCAGAAGCCAAGAAAGAGAGCCTGGACAGTGCACTCCCCCTTAGAAACCGCAGTGCCAGGGACCACAGGCAGCACAGGAAAGCCAAAGCGTGAGTTAGGGAGATAAGCGGAGGGAGGAGAAATATCCTGTCATCTTTCTCACAGATAATAGGATTTAAACATCCCTCCCATTCCCTGCACAATTGTTGGTGAGCTTGTGGAAAAAACCCAGGACACCAAGTCAGAGAAACTTTGTCCCTGGACCTCACCTCCCTCATTGTAAAACACGAGGCCAGAATCTTTAAGGAAGGCACCTTCCAGGACTGGCATCCAGGCCTTCTTGGGGTCGGGGTCTCGGGGTTTCTTGCTTTAGTCCCTGCCCAGCTTCCCCAGCAGAGGTTTGCAGTTGGAGGGACATGGTCTGTGAGTGATCTCGTTGCTTAATTACACTGTCCCCGGGCAGTGCACACTGCTTTTCGTGATGAGCTCCTTCCTGTGGGCGTGTTTATTCAGTACTCTCTGGGTGCCAGGGATCTTGCCAGTGCCAGGTTCCAGCCCCGAGCACGCCCTCACTGAGCGCCTCTCCTCTGTGCGGCTACAGGTGCTGGAGGCATGCATGAAGAACTGTGGGAGGAGATTTCATAACGAAGTGGGGAAGTTCCGCTTTTTGAATGAGTTAATCAAAGTCGTCTCTCCAAAGGTCAGTCAGCGGCAGATTCCTCGCTTTTAGGGACTTCTTTTGTGTTCATTCCCATCTCCCATCATACTGGCTTTCACTGCCCATCCAACATCTCCAGGGAGCTGAGATTATTTGTGTCTTGTCCTTAGAGAGCTAGGCCCTGGAGGTAACGGGATGACCAAACAGGCCACAGGGACCGGCAGCTTTTTCTGAAGCGCCCTCAGCCCAAATCTGACAGGTGATGTGGTAGTGGCTGTGTGTTTGTCCAGGGTGAGGGCCCATGTAGTGTGGGACTCTAGGCACCTGGCACATGGCAGTTGTGGGTTTTGTGGGTTTTCTTGGCCTGTGTCACGTGGATACGGGGAGCTGGCCTCCGTCATTGCTCCGATGCTCAGCTGGCCGTGTTCTGTTGCACGCTGGTGTGGCGCAGCTCTGGGCCCCCACTTAAAGCAGAGGGAATACTTTACCATGCTAAAGACATTCTCATGGACACCCCCAAGATAAAATGCAGTTGTGTTTCTGGCAACTTGTGCGTGAAAATGCACTTTCCTCAGAACTCAAAATATCCACCCAACCATGGCCTGCACCACATGGGCATCAGGGTCACAAGGAAGCCTCTCTGTCTTGATGTCCCCAAGGTAGTAAGGAAAGGCAGAGAGCAGGGGTGAGCACCGAGGGCATGGTCTCTGGTGTCAGACTCAGGTTTCCATCCGGCCCTTACACCCTGGGCAAGTTAGATGATCCCAGGCGGCAAATGGGGACGCCACCCCTACTGACGTGGCTGCTGTGCAGATGAGTAAGGTCATGAATACACTTACAGGACACTTCCTGGACAGGAGGTGATGACCTCCTGGCCCCCTGCCTATCCACAGACTGTATCCAGATGGACACAGCCACACCACAGGGAGTCGTTCCCCTCCCCACGCTGTCTCACACACACTTGGACACCTGCAGATTTTGAGTAGGACCATAGCTGCTGAGCAGCCACGCCATTGCTGTGGAGGGAGCCTTACACTTTCTCTGCCTCCGAACTGCACTTACTAGGTCCTCATTTTCTTTTGCCATGTAGTACCTGGGGGACAGGGTGTCTGAGAAAGTGAAGACCAAGGTTATTGAGCTGCTGTACAGCTGGACCATGGCCCTGCCAGAAGAAGCAAAGATCAAAGACGCCTACCACATGCTGAAGAGACAGGGTACGTGTCTGCCTGCCCGCAGCCTCCAGGCAGCCCTCGAAGGCTGGCCCAGGCAAGGAGAGAAGGGAAGGTTTGGGATCCCCAGAGTCCCTCCTGAAGAGAACAGCATTTGTCCCCAGGCAAGGCTGAGTCGGAGTTGGATGGGATAAGGTGTAGCAGCCTGCCCTCCACCCTGCTACCCTTTGCAGGTCTTGATCACAGGGACGTGGCCCTTGGTGTATGAGGAGGGGTGACAAGGCAACCACAGCCTGAGTGCACGTGCTGCCATGTCCCCTTTCAGGCATAGTGCAGTCTGACCCACCAATTCCTGTGGATAGGACGCTGATCCCCTCTCCACCACCTCGTCCCAAAAACCCTGTTTTTGATGATGAGGAGAAGTCCAAGGTAAAGGACACCCTGGGCCTGGGATTTTCTCATACGAGAGTGGGTGGCAGCAGGGGAATGTGGTTTGCACTGTGCTGCGGGGAGCCTCTGGGGTTTCCCTGGGGTACGGGTGCTGCCTCTTCCCTTCACCTCTGATTTCCTCCTCTCTCAGCTTTTAGCCAAGCTGCTGAAAAGCAAAAACCCAGATGACCTGCAGGAGGCCAACAAGCTCATCAAGTCCATGGTGAAGGAAGTGAGTGGGCCCCGGTCCTTCAGGCACGGGGTGGAGGAGCCCATGGCCACACAGCAGAAGCCGCTTTGCCCCGGACACGGGCCTGTTTTGTTCTCCCCTGCTGCCAGCTGCCCTACCTGTGCCCCGGTGGCTGAGAGTGGGAGGAGGAGCACAATAGCTTCCGCGGGAGCACGGAAGAGAGGAGTGGGTTGGGAGCAGTGTTGTGAAAGCAGAAGTATAGACTGGGCCCCAGGCACCCCACACTGAAAGGAGCTTCCGAGCGTCTGTACTTGTGTTGTGGGGTAAGGTGTGACCTGGTGGAAGTGGAAAGACAGTCAAGTGACGCTCTCTTTCTCTTGAACTTCTTCACTGGGGCAGGACGAGGCACGGATCCAGAAGGTGACCAAGCGTCTGCACACGTTAGAGGAAGTTAACAACAACGTGAGACTGCTCAGTGAGATGCTGCTTCATTACAGCCAGGAGGACTCTTCGGACGGGGACAGAGAGCTGATGAAGGTGGGACCGCCGACGGCAAAGGCTGCCTCCCGGGGCTGCGCTGCCCTTCAGGAGCTCAGCCAGCATTTGCTGAGCACGTGCCTTGTCAGAGACACGGGCTGTGCACTTGGCAGTGTATTCATGACCTTACTCATCTGCACAGCAGCCACGTCAGTAGAGGGTGGCGTCCCCATTTGCCTCCTGGGATCAGCTGACTTGTCCAGGGTGTAAGGGCCAGATGGAAACCTGAGTCTGACTCCAGAGACCACACTCTCGGTGCTCACCCCTGCTCTCTCCCTTTCCTTACTACCTTGGGGACATCAAGACAGAGAGGCTTCCTTGTAACCCTGATGCCCATGTGGTGCAGGCCATGGTTGGGTGGATATTTTGAGTTCTGAGGAACATGCCAGCCTGGAAGGCAGGAGGGGACTGACTTCCCCTGACCCATCCTGGTGACTGCTACCTAGACAAACATCCTGGGTGATGTGGTGTGGTGGTGGTGGCTGGTGGCAAGAAGACGTGCGCTGTGATCCCAGCTTTGCTGGTAATTGACCGTGGCAATTGGCATATCCCGGTCATTTTCTGGGCATGAACCCTGAATGAATCAGATGATCTCTAAGGGCCTTTGTGGTTTGATTTTTATGTCCGAGTCTCTTTCAGGAGCTGTTTGATCAGTGTGAGAACAAGAGGCGGACTTTATTTAAACTCGCCAGTGAGACTGAGGACAATGATAACAGTTTGGGTGAGTGAAAGAGCGACGGTCAGGGATAAGCCAGGCATTTGGATATGTGGGTGGGAACTGTCACAACAGGAGTGAGAAGTCTCTCTTTCCTGCTCCAGGGGACATCCTGCAAGCCAGTGACAACCTCTCCCGGGTCATCAACTCTTACAAAACAATTATTGAAGGGCAGGTCATCAATGGCGAGGTGGCTACCTTAACCCTGCCTGACTCGGAAGGTGAGATGCTCTGGTCCCCAACTCTAGGCTCCTCCAGACCAGCCTCAGGCCCCTATCATGAAGCTGCGGGTGTAGGCTGGCCAGCGTGGTGGTGTTGCACAAGGCCCAAGGGAGTTCTTTGCCATTCCAAGCAATCCTCCGGCTTCCCGGAGGCCTGGAGATGTGGGTAGGAATTTCCCCACCTGCTTTCTCGGGCTTGCTTTGCAGCATCCCCTGGCAGAGATGCCGTTGGATTAGGCCAGAGGCTGTAGCAGTGACCTCTGTGCCTAGGGTGCTGCCTCCTGCCACACAGCCACTAGAAGACCCCTAATTATTCCTGTTCTGCTCTGTTGACCCATCCAGGAAACAGTCAGTGCAGTAACCAAGGCACGCTCATCGACCTTGCGGAGCTGGACACGACCAACAGTTTGTCCTCCGTGTTGGCCCCAGCACCTACTCCACCCTCCTCAGGCATCCCAATCCTCCCTCCACCACCCCAGGCCTCAGGACCTCCACGGAGCCGCTCCTCTAGCCAGGCCGAGGCCACCCTGGGGCCCAGCAGCACAAGCAACGCCCTCTCCTGGCTGGACGAGGAGCTACTCTGCTTGGGTGCGGCCCACAGGGGGCGTCAGGGGCATCCCCTGACAGGGCTCTGGGAGGAAGGGTGTGTGGAATTAGGAGCCCTGAGCGGGGCCCCAGTGTGACTGTTGGGGTGGGCAAAGAACCCTGAGTTGGAGGTACTCAGTGAAGTTCAGCGACCCTGAGGGCCCCAGGGCCATCCTCCCGGTGGACTCTGCCTCCTGCCCTGCACCCCGCCCCACAGGCCCCCCGCTTCTGCATCATGGACTGGAGCGCTCCATTCCCCTCTGGAGGCTGCCTGCAGAACAGCTTCTCCCGGCGCCTTCACCCATTGATGTCACTTGTCACCTGACCCCTCCTCAGGCAAGGCGGGGCTAGGGCTGCCTAGCTCAGAGCCTCTTCTCATCCTGTTTTCTTCTCTATTGTCAGGCCTCGCCGACCCAGCCCCTAATGTTCCTCCCAAAGAGTCAGCTGGGAACAGCCAGTGGCACCTGCTCCAGGTAGGGGCACAGGATCGGTGACAGCACTACTGTGCCAAGGACCTCCACTTTCCAGCGTCATGTCTCCTGGGCTGCAGTTAGCTGTCCTTCCCTCCAGAGCGTGCCAGCTGCAGCGGGGAACAATGAGTGCCTCCGGGGCTGTCTTCCGTGCAGTCCTTGGAGGGCTGCGCCCCGTTCCAGCGGCAGGCCCTCCCCACCCGCCCTCGGCTCACCACCCTTTCTGTTGTTCATAGAGGGAACAGTCCGACCTGGACTTCTTCAGCCCCAGGCCGGGGACCGCTGCCTGTGGCGCCTCCGATGCTCCTCTGCTCCAGCCCTCAGCCCCCTCCTCAAGCAGCTCCCAAGCTCCACTGCCGCCTCCCTTCCCAGCTCCTGTGGTCCCAGCCAGTGTTCCTGCCCCCAGTGCGGGCTCCTCCTTGTTTTCTACTGGAGTGGCCCCAGCCTTGGCCCCAAAAGTTGAGCCCGCAGTCCCTGGGCACCATGGCTTGGCGTTGGGCAACAGCGCGCTGCACCACCTGGATGCCCTCGATCAGCTTCTAGAAGAGGCCAAAGTGTAATGAGTGGGAGGAGATGTGGGGTTGCTGAGGGTTGGGCCTGAATGTGTCAGAACCAGAGCTAACTTTGAAGGGGTGGGGGTGCCTTGTAGTCCCATCAGTCAGGCTGGAAGGCAAGGGGTGGGCCTGGGTAAGAGCATGGTCAGGGGCCTTGGGTGAGAGTCCTGCAGCTCTGGCTGGCTCTCTGACGTGCTTTCCATCCTTCCCACCTCCCAGGACCTCGGGCTTGGTGAAACCCACTACCTCCCCTCTCATCCCCACCACCACCCCAGCCAGGCCCCTCCTGCCCTTCTCCACGGGGCCCGGCAGCCCGCTCTTCCAGCCACTGAGTTTCCAGTCCCAGGGCAGCCCCCCGAAGGGGCCTGAGCTCTCCCTGGCCAGCATCCACGTGCCCCTGGAATCGATCAAGCCTAGTAGGTGTTGGAGGATTGAGGTGGGTGGGGCGGTGGGGCCTATAGCCACGGAGCTGTAGGACATGCGACAGGGATGGATCCAGGCACTCTTTGCAGGGGGTCCCTTAAAGCCAGGCAGGCCTCCCTGCCTGCATTCTCAGTCTTAAGCTCCTCACTGAGCGCCTCTCCCAGATTCCGTTAGGAAGCACTGGACTCATCATGACCACGGAGTAGCCCTTTTCTCCTCACCGCCGGGGCTCTGTTGGGTGTCTCTGGTGCTGCTCCTCCCACACTCACGTCACGTTCTTACAGGCAGTGCCCTTCCTGTGACAGCCTACGATAAAAACGGCTTCCGCATCCTCTTCCACTTTGCCAAGGAGTGTCCCCCAGGACGACCTGACGTGCTGGTGGTGGTGGTGTCCATGCTGAACACGGCTCCCTTACCTGTCAAGAGCATCGTGCTGCAGGCTGCAGTGCCCAAGGTACCAGTGTCTCCCTGGGGCCAAAACGGCCTTATCTTGACCCTGTTGTGTAGAGGCCTTTGCAGCCAGCAGGTGGCAGTGTGTGTGTGCACTGCAGGTTCCATCTGGGGGCACCTACCAGTTCTCTTCAAAGGAGTTTCTCTCTCTTTAGTCAATGAAAGTGAAGTTGCAGCCACCTTCTGGGACAGAACTCTCTCCATTTAGCCCCATCCAGCCACCTGCAGCCATCACCCAGGTCATGTTGCTGGCCAATCCACTGAAGGTGAGCAGCAAAGAACCCAGGGGTCCCAGCCTGAGGCCCCAGCTGCCCCAGATTAGGACGTCAGGCCCACCACCTCCCAGCTGGAAGTGTTTTGACTGTAGGATTGACACATCCCTTTGCTGCCTTAGGTTAAGTGTCTGAGCATGGTTGGGGGTTGCGGGGAAAAGGGACCATTCCTCTAGCACAGAGAGGGTAGCAGAATAGAGGGCGTCCTGCCAAGGGGCCGCCTGGGCTGGATCTCACTTGCTGCCCTCTGTCACAGGAGAAGGTGCGGCTTCGGTATAAGCTGACCTTCGCCCTGGGGGAGCAGCTGAGCACAGAGGTGGGCGAGGTGGACCAGTTCCCTCCTGTGGAACAGTGGGGGAACCTATGACCCCAGAGGACGCTGTGATCTCCACCTTGAAGCCAGGCAGGCTGCCCTGAGACGAGGAGGGCTCTGGTCCCGTCACTCTCCATGCCCTGACAACAGTGCTTGTAGCTTTGATGTGGAACAGGGGCCCTGGGCATTTCTGCTGAGAACCAAACTGCTGCTGTGATAACCTCTCCTTTGGCCCCTAAAAGGACCTGTTTTTATCTACCTGTGTGACTTGAAGTGGCCATATGCTGTCAGGGGTGCGGAGTGGCCCCTGACTTCACTGCTGTCCCGGGAACATGGACCCCCAGGCTTGGCGTAGGTGTTTGCTTCCTTCTACTGGCATTCACTGAAGCCACTGGGGTGGGGGGTGGGGGGTGGGAGTCTCTAAAGAGAGACTGTCATGGGTCATTCCCCACAAGAGCCACATCCTCACACCTGACAGATGCACGGCCCAAGGGGCTGCAGCCCTGTTGCAATTCCATGCTTCCCCCGCCAACCAGCTCCTGCTGCCATCCCCAGGGAGGTGGCCCAGGAAGGTGCCTGGCCCAGAATAAGGAACTGGCATACTGCAAAGTCCCCAGCCCTGCCTCTGGTGGACAGCATCGTCCTGGAATGGCCACGGAGTGATGAGTTGTGTGCTTGTCCCTGGCAGTGGCAGGCTGTGTCCTATGGACATCTTGGCAGGACATGGAATTTGGCCTCATGACAGGCCCAACTAGGGATAGGAAGGAAAATGAAGAGAGCCAGTATTTCCCCTTCTCCAGAAGCAGGTACTCAGCTTTCTGGGAAAAGCGTGCCTCCAGCCGTGGGGACAGGCCATCCTACTGACTACCTCTTGCTTGGCATGAAATAAACTGCTATCCTCCCCTTGGAATCTACCGCCACTCTACATCCTACTGCTTTGGCCTCCCTCTCCTCTCACCAGATGGCATGTGGTGTGGCACCTGTGGCTGGACACAGGAGGCCTCAGGATCACAAATGTTACACTAGACATATGTCCTAATGTGCTGCCCAGAAACCTCAACTGTTCCCCAGCTACTGAGGGGCACTGTCAGCGAGATGTTGGGTCTGGAGGTGATGAGATCGGGCCACACTTGAGCTGAGTCACCAGACCCTATTGCTTCAACAGTGCTTGGCCCCCGCCAGCTTGTCCCAGCCACTCTAGCTGCTGGATGTGATCCTGGGACATGTACTCCAAGCCTCCGTCACAAAAAAAAAATCACCAGCTGCCATAGACACGGGGGAAGCTTGCGGAGCCCAGGTGAACAAGCTCAGCAATCGGACATCTCTGGGGAAAGGAAGGTGGCACAGACCATGTTCCCTGGTTCCTCCCTGCCCCTTGCCAGGCTTCCTTATTCCTTACTATGGGAAGAGGTCATATCCCTTCCCTGCCCCTCGCTGTCTTTAGCAAGCAGGTTTCACTGCTTCATTAGAAGAGGACAAGTCAAAAGTGAATCATTTTTCACTACTTAAGGAATAAATCCAAGAGCTTTCCAGAGACTGGCTGCTGCAGCCCTGGGAATGTCTGTGGAATTACTATGTGGAAATGGAACTTTGTGTTATGCTCTAGACATTACAGTTATTTGAGTGTTACTCGTTACTGTTGAGGTCAGTGCTTCGTGGCAAATGGCTGTACTGGATATCCCAGCTCTGCTGCCCTTGTTTTGCTGCATGTTAAATAAAACCATTTTCACTGTACTTGGAATCTTCCTAGTATAGACGCCATTCACCCTGATGGAGGAAAAGGTACCACCTATGAATTCTAGATATACATGAGGACAGCCTATGATAGAACTGCCCAAGGTTTTTGTTAAAAGTGCGGGTTCCTGTACGCTTATATTTTAAGGGAACTAAATAACCAAAATGTTAAGTGTTCCAGAAGAGGTGAGGCAAGATTTCAGAAGCACAAGTATACCACCAAGCGTTCTTGTTCAGACTTCCAAGACACTGCAGTCACCACAACTTTGGGGTTTTTTTTTTTTTTTTTTTTAAACAGAGATGGAGTCTCCCTATGTTGCCCAGGTTGGTCTCAAACTCCTGGGGTTGAGGGATCCTCCCAAAGTGCTGGGATTACAGGACGTGAGCCACTGCACCCGACCTGGGGGGTGATTTCTTATCTAAGGAGGCACAGGAAGACAGTTGCGTATCAGAACATAAAACAAGGCCGGGTGTGGTGGTTCACGCCTGTAATCCCAGCACTGTGAGAGGCCAAGGCGGGCAGATCACAAGGTCAGGAGTTTGAGATCAGTCTGGCCAACACAGTGAAACCCCATCTCTACTAAAAATACAAAAAAATTAGCTGGGTATGGTGTGCACTTATAATCCCAGCTACTTGGGAGGCTGAGGCAGGAGAATCACGTGAACCCTGGAGGCGGAGGTTGCAGTGAGCTGAGATCGTGCCATTGCACTCCAGGCCAGGCAACAGTGCAAGACTCCGTCTCAAAAAAAAAAGAACATAAAACAAGCATTTTTTAATCTCTTACCACCTCAGGTTCAGACTAGACAGATAAAAAATTCCCTGGGTGGACTCTAAGAACCTACATTTGCAAAACAACATTTATTCTTTTAAAAAAATCTATATACATTGCCATACAAAGATACCACATTGAAGCAGTTCTCAGGAACCTTCCAGTGAGCCTTCTCTTATAATTGCCCGAGCAAGATTTCGTGCCAGAGAAAGTCTCAGCATTTCCACCTTGGTGGTCTCTATGTCATCATCCTGCAAAGCAGAGAGCGCCAGCATGAGCTAAGAGCAGGAAGGAGCCCTTTCACACTCCCGAAGGGTCTAGCTAATCCAAAGGTAGAGGGCACTTAACATTCATAGTAGCTTCCAGCAAATTATCGATGTAAAAGAAAGCAATACCAAAGGGCCATACTGGAAATGATGAACAGCAAAGAACAAAATGTAGAGATGAGAACACTAGAATCCCTGATTTTCTCCTAAAAGAAGGTGGTGTGTGAATTACACAGGTTAAGGGGAACAGAGGCACATGTGTCCATAGGAGCCAGTGTTTCTGGAGGGAAGGGGAAGCCTGAGATAGAGGGAGCCTTTTCCCACCTCCATGTGGAACCATCAACCCAAAAGTGAAAATGACCTGGAGCTGCTCGGTATCAGATTCTCCATGCACAGGTCTTCTTGACGTCAAGTCCTCCAGACACCGCATCAACTCATAAGTCTGTTCTGCTGAGAAAATCACCTAGGGAAGAGAGCCTGCCTTGCTTGGCTGCCCCCAGCCCTGGCCTGCATTGGTTGGGGCAGGGGCCCATGTTCGGACGTTCTTCCTTTCATACCCTTCGCAATAGTGTGCTTTGTATACGAATACCTCATTTCAAATCAAGCAGTGTTTGTTTCCTGTGTGAGTCTGGAATCCCAGAGAGGGCGCTAAGGGGAATACACGCGCACAGGCAGAACGACAAAGGAGGAAACACGCACATCGGCAACAGCTATACAACTAAGCTCTAGCAGGGACTGACAAGCAAAGAAAACCACTGCTGCTGCAACCTTCACCTGTTTCTGTTCCAAAAGGGGCAAGGCGTCTGTCAGCAGAGTCATCCAGAAAGACCGAGGGGCAATCCGAGACGTCATCAAGGACAGAAGGAGAGAAGCTGCGTCGGCAAAACGCTTCTCCCCGTACATACGGTGGAACTCGCGATACTTTCCTATGGCGAAACAAGAGCACTGAGTAACCTGCATATTCCCCCAAATTGCCCAAGTGACACCTACAAAAGTCACCCTGGCCCTAAACAGGAGAAGAAAAACCTCAGACCAGCCACTCCACAAAGCAGGAGATTTTTTTCTGTCTCCAAACTCATAGGTCCCAATGAGATGCAGACCAAGAGCATTCAAAACAGACTTGGAAGAACTCCGAAGAGCCAAATCTGGGGAAACATCAGAGTCAAAATACATAACAAGAGTCATGGATTAAAAGAGATTGACTAGGCCAGGCGTGGTGGCTCATGCCTATGCCTGTAACCCCAGCACTTTGGGAGGCCGAGTCAGGTGGATCACCTGAGGTCAGGAGTTTGAGACCAACCTGGCCAACATGGTGAAACCCCATTTCTACTAAAAATACAAAAATTAGCCGGGTATGGTGGCATGCACCTGTAGTCCCAGCTACTCAGGAGGCTGAGGAGGAAGAATGGCTTGAACCCGGGAGGTGGAGGTTGCAGTGAGCCAAGATTGTACCACTGCACTCCAGCGTGGGCGACAGAGTGAGACTCCGTCTCAAAAAAAAAAAAAAAAAGAAGAAACATGGAGGCACTGGCCAGGCACAGTAGCTCACACCTGTAATCCCAGCACTTTGGGAGGCCGAGGCGGGCGGATCACTTGAGGTCAGGAGTTCCAGACCAGCCTGACCAACATGGTGAAACCCCATCTCTACTAAAAATACAAAAATTAGGCGGGGCGCAGTGGCTCACGCCTGTAATCCCAGCACTTTGGGAGGCCGAGGCAGGCGGATCACAAGGTCAGGAGATCAAGACCATCCTGGCTAACACGGTGAAACCCCATCTCTACTAAAAATACAAAAAATTAGCTGGGTGTGGTGGCGTGCGCCTGTAGTCCCAGCTACTTGGGAGGCTGAGGCAGGAGAATTGCTTGGACCCGGGAGGCGGGGGTTGCAGTGAGCCGAGATCACGCCACTGCACTCCAGCCCGGGTGACAGAGTGAGACTCTGTCCCCAAAAAATAAATAAATAAAATACAAAAATTAGCCAGGTGTGGTTCCGCGTGCCTGTAATCCCAGCTACTTGGGAGGCTGAGGCACGAGAATTGCTTGAAGTCAGGAGGTGGAGGTTGCAGTGAGCCTGGCAGCCTGGGCCACAGAGCGAGTAAGATTCTGTCTCAAAAAAAAAAAAAAAGAAAAAATAAAAGAAAAGAAGAAAGAAAGAAAGAGAAAGAGAAAGAGAAAGAAAGAGAGAAAGAAAGAAAAACAAACAAACAAACAAACAAACATGGAGGCACTAAGGAGATGTGACAGCCAAACTCATGATCCTGGACATGACGGAGGATGTTTCTGGGACCACTGATGCAATGGGAATACATGAAGGAAGCGCTGGGAGAAGTCTGACGTGATCCCTCCAACCTCCCCAACTACCCACTTGTGCCCAAAGCACAGGGCACAAAACCCAGAGACTCACCCAGGAATGTCAGTCGGTCACTGAGCATCATGGCTGGCCCCAGGTTGTCAATGAGATCCAAATCAGAAAAGCAGCCTCGCTCACAGTAATCCCTGAGGAACCTGCAGGGCCCGGCCCAGAGATCAGAGCAGCAGTCTCAGGCCCACCTCAACCACCCAGTCCCTGGGAAGCCAACACTAGCGGCACCCACCTGTCTGACACGAGCGTGGCAAAGGCGGCATCCTTAGCACGGATGCTCCAAGAGAGGGCAGAACCCAGGCGATTGTTGCGGACGGCTTTCATGGCTAAGATCTTACAAATGCTGCGAACTTTGCAGGGGAAAAGAAAAGGTAAACGGCTTTCACTCCACAAATCACTCCATTCCTGAGCCCTGTGGGGACCGGAGTGGCCTCACAGCCTCACTCCACCGCAGAGCCACTCTTTGGGCTCTAAATGCAGCTGGATCGGCAGAGCTGGAAACTCGGCTGATTAACAGTGTCTGGGATCTGCTAAGAGTGTAAGTGCCCATCACGGCAAGACTGGCTCTATGAGTGTGTGTGGCTTCAAGGGGAGCAAAACGTTGCTCCCTACATGTCAGCTCTTCTATTTTTTTTCTCCCTACGTGTTTCTCCCTACGTGTCAGCTCTTCTATTACCTCTCCAGATGCCTCAAATCACATCTTCCTGTGGATCGTGAATACCATATGCTTTCAGAAATGGTCGTGAACATGCAACTGCCTCTCTGCAGGGTAATAACTCATGTTTACATTACTCAACAGTGAGGGGAGAAATGAAGGGGCAGACTTGGTCATCCTCATTCCACTCTCTCTGCTTTTCTGGAGCCACCTCCAGCACTGCTTCCCCATTGAGCCAGGCTGAGCTAGCAATAGCAACCCACCTGGACAGGGAAACAGCGCCAACCCCAGCCCTGACCTCGTGGAATCAAGTGTGTGAGAAAAGGGGCGGCTCAGGCCTTTCCAGATGGCGTGTAGATTTTGTCTGGGTTCCAGTGGATCCCTAGCTTTCCTGTCCCTCCCAAGTAATTATCCCATCTCTTAGTTTACCTCTTGGCGTCCACAGCCCCACGTCTCCAGTGTGGCTCGTGAGGAGGAGGATGGCTGGGGTAGGCATAAAGTGTGACCTCAGGATCCCCTGACTCCTGCGTCCCACAGACAGTAGGCTGGGAGCAGGGCCAGCTCACCTTGTTCAGTCATCTGCCGCTGCTCACAGATCCGCAGCACCTTCAGGGCTTTCTGCTCGGTGTTCAGAGGTATCCGCTCAATGTGCAGCTCCAGGGAGACTCGGCCCAGCTCGGGGCAGTAATCAAAGTAATCGACCCCCAGCTGCCACAGGCTGCAAAGGTTCGAGGAGGACAGACATGAGGTGCTGCCTCATGGCTCCGAGGACTGGCACCTACAGCTCCCTTTCACTGACCCTTCCGAAGCCTTCAAGGAGCCAACTGGGAGAGAACAGTCCAAGCTCCAATGGCACCCGCATGCTGAAGAGCACCCGCATAGCCCACACCCATGGGGTCCTTCCTACCTGGGATGAGCAAACAGTCCCGAGGCGTACTCCAGCAGGAGGAACTCTCTCATGTTGGAACCGAAACTGGAATAAAACATAACAAAAGACCAAGACTCCTGGCCTGCCCTGTTCAGGGCCCCCTTAGCCCAACCTCCCTTTCAGGCATTCAGTTCACACCACCCTCGGGGGCCTGGTGGTAAGAAGAGGAGGATCGGTGCCTCCCGGCCACTTACTAGAGGTTGTGTGACTGGAGGAGCTTGCAGTGGTCCAGCAGGTCTGTCAGGTGGGCCACAAACCACCAGTTGCTCAGGGCGATGCTGCAGATTCAGACACCAAGGCAAGAAGGAAAATCAGGGCACAGGCCGCGTCCCACAAGAGTGGGGGTGAGCAAGAAACCCCACATGTCCTGTCCCTCAAAGAGATGGGGCCGGGCGTGATGATAGCTCATGCCCGTGATCCCAGTACTTTGGGAGGCCAAGGCAGGCAGATCACCTGAGTCCAGGAATTTAAGACCAGCCTGGGCAACATGGCAAAACCCCATCTCTACAAATACAAAAATTAGCCAGGCATGGTGGCACACACCTGTAATCCCAGCTACTCGAGAAGCTGGGGTGGGAGTATTGCTTGAGCCTGGGAAGCAGAGGCTGCAATCGGCCGAGATCACGCCACCGCACTCCAACTTGGGTGAGAGAGCACAACCATATCTCAAAAAAAAAAAAATCGCTCAGAAAGTAGTTGAGGTGGAGTCTTGCTCTGTCACCCAGACGGGAGTGCACTGGTGAGATCTCGACTCACTGCAACCTCTGCCTCCCAGGTTCAAGCAATTCTCATGCCTCAGCCTCTTCAGTAGCTGAGATTACAGGCATGCGCTACCACACCCAGCTAGAAAGTAGCTTTTGAATGTTCTCACCACACGCACACCAAAAGGGTCACTATGTGAGGTGACAGATGTCACTAGCTTAATTTCACAATGTATACATCTATCAAAACATGTTGTTGGCCGGGCGCGGTAGCTCACACCTGTAATCCCAGCACTTTGGGAGGCCGAGGTGGGAGGATCATGAGGTCAGGAAATCAAGACCATCTTCGCTAACACGGTGAAACCCCATCTCTACAAAAAGTACAAAAAATTAGCCGGATGTTGTGGCGGACACCTGTAGTCCCAGCTACTCTGGAGGCTGAGGCAGGAGAATGGCGTGAACCTAGGAGGCGGGGCTTGCAGTGAGACGAGATCGCGCCATTGTACTCCGGCCTGGGCGACAAAGTGAGACTCCATCTCAAAAAAAAAAAAAAACAAAAAACATGTTGTACACCTTGGCCGGGTGCAGTGGCTCATTCCTGTAATCCCAACACTGAAAGGCCGAGGCGGGTGGATCACTTGAGCTCAGGAGTTCAAGACCAGCCTGGCCAAAATGGCAAAACCCCATCTCCACCAAAAATACAAAAGTTAGCTGGGCGTGGTGGCGTGTGCCTGTGGTCCCAGCTACTCGGAAGGCTGAGGCAGAAGATCGCTTGAGCCCAGGAGGCAGAGGCTGCAGTGAGCTGAGATCGTGCCACTGCACTCCAGCCTGAGTGACAGGGCAAGACTCTGTCTCCAAAAAAAAAAAAAAAATTTTGTACACCTTAAATACATACTACTTTGTTAATCACACCTCAATAAAGCTGGGGAAAAAAATGGGAGGGAGTGGGCTGGGCCAGGGGAAAGGACACCTCAGCTTCCCAAAACAGCTGTTGCTACCCAGATTTCTAGCTGATGGTTATGTCGAAACCATTGGAGAAGCCAGTGAAAAGGCTATAGGGGACCCAGGCTAAGGGAGCCAAAGCCTTAGCCTGCACGAAAGCCACCAACAACTGGAAGGAAGGGCTGAGACAGTGCCCGGTGTCTTCCCAAAGGATCCAGCAGCCTCCAAGGCTGGAAGGCAGCAAGCACTGAGAGCAGAGAACTAACAACACAACTCAAGTGACGGAGACCAGACATAGTGCTGCACAAAGCCACCACGGTCTCTCTACAGGGCCCAGCAGGCCTGAACCACACAGTTAGGTCTTAGATCACACACGCACACACTCCCACTCTCACTCTGTCTCTCTCTCACTCTGAAGGATTCTGAGTGAGCAGCCGAGACACAGAGCAGGTGGGCATCCTTAACATTCAAGGCAAGAAAGGCCTAATTATCAGCTCCAAAGTAGCCCTCTGCTGAAAACGAGAGAACGCTGCGGAGTTGGGAAGACCAGCTACGGTGAAGGTGACCCCTCTAAGCAACTGTAGCCCCAAATGAGCTGTTTGTCCTGTACTAAGGTCACTGTCAACTCCTTACCCAGGCCCCATCTTGCTTGTTGGGGGCTCTGGAGTAATCAAAGCTCCAGTGCCTCTACCTGCTATTCTGGAAATGGGGTGTGAGGTTTGTAAACACTGCTGCACCCTGCATCCAAGATTGTGGGCTGGGCCAAAATACAAGTCAGAAGATTCTAGATTCAGCAGACATTAAGCTGGAACTCTTCTTGGTTATTGAAGGAAGACTTGTCACCTTTTAGCTCGATACTTTTGGAGGACTTGAAGGGCACCAGGAAACTGCCGACATCTTGCCCAACTCCCAGTGAAGTGCACCCCAGCTGTTTCCTCTTGCCAGACAGCAAGGAACTGGCCCGTCTTCAGAGGAAGCTGTAAGCCAGGAGGGAAGAAGGGACCCTGTGGAGGACTCCTGCCATCTCCTTTCAGCTAAGGGGTTAGCAGTCAAGCATGCCCACCCAGGCACTGAGAGACAAACCCCTGGCCCTTTAGCAGGGCTGACGAACTACAGCCTCTGAGTCAGGATCCCCTGGCTGCCTTTTCTGCCCCTTAGGGTCTGGCACGATTATTGACATAGGAGTAAATCAGGGGCCCACTTAGAAACCTCCCTTCTCCATGTTCATATGAAGGTGGTGTGAACAGGAAAGGAAAAAAAAGAAAGAAACCTTTTTTCTAATGCCTTTAAAAAGGCATGCCAACAGCTCACTGGCTCAAGTCCAGAAAGAGACACACTTCCCTGCCGCCCAGAACTGTGCATGGGTCTGACTGATACATCCCATGAGAAAACAAGTGCCCACAAGACCCCAATTCAACCTTTCCCCAGAGCCAGGAGGGCACACTTCCTAAAACTGCTACTGCCTCTGAAGACATTGCAGCCCATTTCACAATTCCTGGGACAAGCTCTGCTTTTCTGTTCCTCTTTCAAAACAGGATAGGAGGTAGCCTCGTGATCAGAGAAATGCAAACTCCAAGATTTCCCACTAACAGAGCTCAGATCCCTTCCTGCTTGTGAGAGTGGAGAGAGGCTGAGACTGGGGGACTGCAAGCCTAATCATTCCTTGTCTGTGTCCGGCACGAGAGTGATGTTGTTCACCCCTCTTCATGGTACTTCTCTTTCTCTTCTGCCACTGGAAACAGCAGGATGCTTTCCCCTTTTATACTCCCTGCATCCAACAGACTTCTTCTGCTCAAATCTGTTTTATTCCTAAAAATCCAGATACAGGGCTTATAAATTAGGAAGCCCTGGTGAAACTCACTCACTGTTATAACACAGGAAATTTAGAATACTCAACTATGGGCAGAGACACCAACAAAGCCAAACGATGGTGTGTTTGTGTGTTTTTAAGTTATTCTCACTAATTCTTCCATGCAGGGACTTCTCACAATGTTTACAGGCCTGTGAAAATATTGACACAAAACTTGACTTTCAGGCCGGGCATGGTGGCTTACGCCTGTAATCCTAGCACTGTGGGAGGCCAAGACAGGCAGATCGCTTGAGCTCACAAGTTCAAGAACAGCTTGGGCAACATAGTGAAACCTCATCTCTCCAAAAAAAAAAATAATAATTAGCCAGGCATGGTGGCGCACACTTGTAGTCCTAGCTACCTGGAAGGCTGAGGCAAGAGGATCACTTGAACCCAGGAGGTCAAGGCTGCAGTGAGCTGAGATCACTCCACTGCACTCCAGCCCGGGTGACAAAGTGAGACCCTGTTTCAAAAAAAAAAAACTTGGCAGGGCGCGGTGGCTCACGCCTGTAATCCCAGCACTTTGGGAGGCCGAGATGGGCAGATGACCTGAGGTCAGGAGTTCCAGACCAGCCTGCCTAGGCAACATGGTGAAACCCTGTCTCTATTGAAAAACACAAAAATTTGCTGGGCGTGGTGACGGACACCTGTAATCCCAGCTACTTGGGAGACTGAGGCAGTAGAATTGCTGGAACCCAGTAGGTGGAGGTTGCAGTGAGCCAAGATCACGCCACTGCACTCCAGTCTGGGTGACAAGAGCAAAACTCTGTCTCAAAAAAAAAAAAAAAAAAAAAAAAAACCCAGAAACAAACACACAAAAAACTTGTTTTTCATTCCCCAAATCTAGTATCATTTTCTTGAAGCCCTGGCATTCTTTTGGCCAAAACAAGAAAAGCAGGTAGGGCGAAGGAAACTCTTCCCATGCCCAGATCTACAAACAGCCAGTTGAGGTCAGTGAATCTGACACCTGATCAAGGCCATCTTCTGCCATTACCCACTTCCTCCCTTCCCAGCACGTCTTCAGTGCAATGCCCACCATCCAGGGTGCACAACAAGGAAGGGGACCTTCTTTCTGACTTACCATATATGGAGAGTTCTGGAAAGGTTTACCTTTGATTGATTATGTTTGGCACTCCCTTTCCTGCCTTGCTAAAGATTCAGTGCAATCATAGAACACCCTCTTTTGGATAGAGGGCTGGAAATTCTGAATAATACCCAGCCTGAAGCCCAGTGGTTCGGTAGCTCACGTCACTGGAGTGAGACTCTTGGAACACGCCATCCCATAAGGTGTCCATTAGGTGCCAAGAAACAGGCTTGCTGGCTTTTTCTAGATTTTAAATGTCAAAGTAGTTTCCCGCGATGTTATTTTAAATGAACATCCCTGAAATGGAAACAGTTATGTATATGGTAGCCCTCAAGCCTCCAGGAAGTCCCTAAGCTCACCCAGAGAAAAGCCATTATCTACCTGTGGCAAGTCAAGCAGGGGAGCAGATGCTATGGTTTGAAGGGATCCCCTCTAAAACCCCAGTTTTGCCAATGTGATAGTATTAAGAGGTAGGGCCTCTAAGAGGTGATTAGGCCAGGAGGTGATTAGGCCACATCCTCCCTCATGAATGTGATTGGGTGCCCTTATAAAGCGACTTGATGAAGGGAGTTTGTCCTTCTTGCCCTTCCACCACATGAGAACACAGTGTTCAAGGTGCCATGTTGGAAGCAGAGAGCAGCCCTCACCAGCAACATTGCCAGTGCCCTGATCCTGGACTTCCTAGCCTCCAGAACGGTGAGAAAATAATCTTTTTCTTTATAAATTATCTGGTCTCAGGTATTCTGTAATATCAGCGTGAGATGGACTAAGATAGCAGGTCTGAGGGAAGAAGGGTAAGGAAGGAACAGGCCACTCTAGAAACGCAAGGTGGTGATATTTGTACACCTAAAAATGGTTACAGTGGGGGGTGGGAGAGATCCTACCTGCACTCTTTGATTACTTGATGGATGTCAAACTCAAAGGCTGCCAACAAGATGTTGTCCAGGGGTTCTGGGCTGCTCTCACCTCCCAGAAACAGGTCCAGGCTGGACTGTGGAAAGGTGATGAGACACTCAATCCTGAGGACGGAAGCAGAGACTCGGGGCAGGCAGGGCTGCTGTATAACGAACCCCAGAGAAGGTGCCTTGTTCTTTCACTAAGGGCCAAAGGAAAGGGTCTTCCTGTTCCTCAGGGAGGAATTCAAAGAGAATGACCCATCAGGGCGCCCCCAGGACTCCTACCCCCACCCTTGCCCACCCCGAGCTCACTCACCTGGGCATAGTAGTGCAGATCAATGGGTTTTACTGTGGGATTGGAGTACAAGAGCCGAGTCACTAGGAAATGATACCAATTACTCAGAAGTTCCTTCTGCTCTAACAAGGCAGCTTCGTCTCCCAGCATAATCTGAGGAGAGACATTTGTGCTGAACTCTGTCCTCCTCTCAGGGGTACCTTCTCCATAATGCTCCTGCTCTCAGCTAAGGGCACCGGATTTCAACTAGTCTGAAAGCTCTCGCCATCACGGCAGAGCGACAGACAGCCCTATCCAAGGAGGACCAAGCTCCTGCCACTGCTGCACTGGATGCCACAGCCCCCATAGGAAGCCAACATGGATGCAATCTGAACTGCTTCCCAGACCTTCAAGAGAGACTCCAGGTGAGGGCTGGTGGCGAATGTGCTGTCCTGGAGGTACCGCTCACATTCCTCGTGCCAGTGCTGCCACTTCAGCTCCAGCTCTGTCAGTGTCTGGGTGTTCCCGGGCTAAGGGAGAGACCAGCCATGAGACGTCATCCCATCCACACCCTTTATATTTAGTGAATCACGCATCTCCTGTGACCCAGCAGAGCAAAGCTACCCCCACGTACACTAAGAATGGGCATTGTCCTCATCAGGTCCCCCATGATTCGGCATATGCCTGCAGAGGCGGGGCTGGCATCGGCTTCCTTGGAGAGCATCTGTCGGGCCTCATCCAGCCGGCCCTGCAGCACCAAGATGGTCACCTGGGAGGAGATCCGGGCCCATAAGCATTGGCAGGAGGCCTGGCCCTGCCGAGGCGTGAGGAGGCCAGTCCCCTCACCCCACACTTTGGCTTTTTAACTCTTCACACACAGGCTTCTTTCTGCACCTGAGTCTGCCCTGGGAAGAATGATGGCTCTTTCCCTCCAGAAGTAATCTATCACATCCAATCTCATGGCTTTGTCACCTCCACTATGTTTTTCAAACAGCCAGCTGTAGTCCATTATAGCCTGTGACCACCTTTTTTTTTTTTTTTTCCAGAGTTCCCCTCTTGTTGCCCAGGCTGGAGTGCAATGGCATAATCTCGGCTCACTGCAACCTCCACTTCCCGGGTTCAAGCGATTCTCCTGTCTCAACCTCCCGAGTAGCTGAGATTACAGGCGCATGCCATCACGCCCAGCTAATTTTTGTGTTTTTAGTAAAGATGGGGTTTCACCATATTGGCCAGGCTGGTCTCGAACTCCTGACCTCAAGTGATTCCCCGCCTCGGCCTCCCAAAGTGTTGGGATTACAGGCGTGAGCCACCACGCTCAGCCCCAGCTTTTCAAAAATGAAAGAAACAGAAAAACATGTTCCTCTACCTGCTTCCCCCCACCCCTTCTCCACCATCATGGTGTGTGCTGTTGATTATTTCTCCCACCATCTTCTCACAAAATGTCCAGGATCATGCAATTCCTGGCCAAGAAACAAAAGCAAAATCGTCCCATTCACCAGTGGATTCAGATTAAAACTGGTAATACAGGGCTGGGCGTGGTGGCTCACAGCTGTAATCCCAGCACTTTGGGAGGCCAAGACGGGCAGATCACAAAGTCAGAAGATCGAGACCATCCTGGTTAACATGGTGAAACCCCATCTCTACTAAAAATACAAAAAATTAGCCAGGCGTGGTGGCAGGCGCCTGTAGTCCCAGCTACTTGGGAGGCTAAGGCAGGAGAATCGCTTGAATCTGGGCGGCGGAGGTTGCAGTGAGCTGAGATTGTGCCACTGCACTCCAGCCTGGATGACAGAGTGAGACTCCATCTCAAAAAAACAAAACAAAACAAAATAAAACAAAATTGCTAATACAGTTAGCTACAACCCCAAGAGGAGGGACTGGAGAAGAACCAAGCTGGGTCTGCCAGGAATTACACATGAGATGAGTCTACACGTAAGACTATCATCTTATCACATCAAGCTGAAACTGTCACCACTATCTGGAAAGGTGGACATACTTTGTTGAGAAAATGGTTTTTCTCTGATTATAAGCTCTACAATAGTAGGTTGGTTCAATAATAAATATGTGAGAAGTTTTGTTTGGAAAAAAATTAAAATGAAATAATATAAAATATCAGAATGCATTAAATAAAATGGTTCATAAAAGTTTCAGTTCAAATATAAATATGTAAAATAAATACACTCAGGCCAGGCGTGGTGGCTCACGTCTGTAATTCCAGCACTTTGGGAGGCCGAGACGGGTGGATCACCTGAGGTCAGGAGTTCAAGACCAGCCTGGTCAACATGGTGAAACCCTGTTTCTACTAAAAATACAAAAATTAGCCGGGCGTGATGGTGCATGCCTGTAGTCCCAGCTACTCGGGAGGCTGAGGAACAAGAATCATTTGAACCCGGGAGGCAGAGGTTGCAGTGAGCCAAGATCACGCCACTGCACCCCAGCCTGGGTGACAGAGTGAGACTCCATCTCAAAAATAACATAACATAACATAAAATATACACTCAATGCAAATAGTCTTCACTGTTCAGTCTTTATCTGTGAATCTGCCTACTCACTAAAATTTATCTGTAACCCCCAAATCAGTATTTGTGGTACTTTCAAATCAAAATTAAGAGTGGCAAGAATATTGAGTTGCTTGACACACACTAAACAAGGCTTTCTCGTGATGCAGTTAGTGCCACATTTTTTTCATTTTTGTACATTTTCTTGGGTCCCCACGTGTAGTACTGAAGTGCTTTCTAGTGTTGCTAAGTGCAAGAACTATGGGAGGTGTTAGATAAGCTTCATTCAGACACGAATTATAGTGCTGTTGGCCCTGAGTTTTTTTTTTTTTTTTTTTTTTGAGACAGAGTCTTGCTGTCGCCCAGGCTGGAGTGCAGTGGCGCGATCTCGGCTCACTGCAAGCTCCACTTCCCAGGTTCACGCCATTCTCCTGCCTCAGCCTCCCGAGTAGCTGGGACTACAGGCGCCTGCCACCATGCCTGGCTAATTTTTTGTATTTTTAGTAGAGACGGGGTTTCACTGTGTTAGCCAGGATGGTCTTGATCTCCTGACTTCATGATCCGCCCGCCTCGGCCTCCCAAAGTGCTGGGATTACAGGCGTGAGCCACTGCGCCTGGCTGACTTCACTGTTAATGATTCAACAATATTATGTCAAGTAAGTTGTCTCCAAACAGATACACACATAAAACAAGTGATCGGTTATATATTGATTGGTTGAACAAAATATGACCAGAGGCTTGCAGGAACCTAACCCTGTATTTCCCCTAGGAGCAATGGTTCAATATTCACTAATTCAGTATTCAAGGCACTGCACTCCAGCCTGGGCAACAAGAGCAAAACTCTATCTCAAAAAAAAAAAAAAAAAAAAAAAAAAAAATCACAAATATATAAACATATACATACTGATAACTCCCAACTTTTCCTCTCTAGCCCAAACTTCCTTGTCTGAATTCCAGCTTTGTATATCCAAGTGCCTAGTCAACATCTCCACTTAGATCTTGAATAGGCATCTTAAAACGTAACATGTCGGACAGGCATGGTGCCTCACGCCTGTAATCCCAACACTTTGGGAAGCCAAGGAGGGTGGATTGCTTGGGCCCAGGAGTTTGAGACCAGCCTGGACAACATGGCAAAACCCCGTCTCCACTACAAATACAAAAATTAGTTGGACATGGTGGCACGCCTTTGTAGTCCTGGCTACTTGGGAGGCTTAGGAGGGGAGGATCACCTGAGCTTAGGCGGTCAAGGCTGCAGTGAGCTGTAATCTGACCACTGCACTCCAACATGGGCAACAGAGACTTTGTCTCAAAACAAACAAACAAACAAACAAAACAAAACACACACACACACGAGAGAAACATGTCTAAAATTAAATACCAGTTTGCCTCCAATTCACCAACCTTATCCTCCCACATTCTTCTATTTCTTGCATGCCCACATCAAATCAATCCATCAGCAAACCCCATCAACTCTCTTCAAACATATCTAGCCTACACCACCACCATCTTTTACCTGGCTTAGTACAGCAGAATCCAGACTGGCCTGTTTCCATCCTTGCTGTAGTCTCAACATGGCAGCCAGGACAGCCTTTGGGAACCTAAGTAAGATCTCAGGCTTCCTCTGCTCAGCTCTCCAATGCCCCCTCACCCCATATGGCTTAGAAGTAAAAGACTAGCTTTTACTGTGCATCAACCGTGTCAACTACTTCACCCACATTTATGTCCTTTAACTAATTTAATGATCACAACAGCCCCATGGGACAGGTATTATTATCTCCACTGGACAGATGAGGACCCTTAAGGCCGTTAAGTAGCTCACTCAAGATCTCACACCTAGTGACCGGGCACAGTGGCTCACACCTGTAATCCCAATACTTTGGGAGGCCAAGGCAACAGGACTGCTTGAGGCCAGGAGTTCAAAAAATAAAAAAATTTGGCTGGGCATGGTGGCTCAAGCCTGTAATCCCAGCACTTTGGGAGGCTGAGGCAGGCGGATCACTTGAGGTCAGGAGTTCGAGACCAGCCTGGCCAAAACAGCAAAACCCCATCTCTACTAAAAATAAAAAAATGAGCCAGGCAGGATGGCGAGAGCCTATAATCCCAGCTGAGATCGCCCCACTGCACTCTGGCCTGGGCAACAGAGTGAGACTCTGCCTCAAAAAATAAATAAATAAAAATAAAAAATAATTGGGTTAGCCGGGCGTGGCGGCTCACGCCTGTAAACCCACCACTTTGGGAGGCCAAGGCAGGCAGATCACAAGGTCAGATCGAGACCATCCTGGCTAACATGGTGAAATCCCGTCTCTACTAAACAAAATTAAAAAATTAGCCAGGCGTGGTGGCAGGCGCCCGTGGTCCCAGCTACTCGGGAGGCTGAGGCAGGAGAATGGCATGAACCCGGGAGGCGGAGCTTGCAGCGAGCCGAGATCGTGCCACTGCACTCCAGCCTGGGCAATAGAGCGAGACTCCAGCTAAAAAAAAAAAAAAAAAAAAAATTGGGATGGTGGGATGGAGGGAGGCAGGCAAATCACTTGAGGTCAGGAGTTCAAGACCAGCCTGACCAACATGATGAAACCCCATCTCTACTAAAAATACAAAAAACAAAACAAAACAAAACAAAAACCAGCTGGGCATCATGGCGTATACCTATAATCCCAGCTACTTGGTAGACTGAGACAGAACTGCTTGAACCAGGGAGGCAGAGGTTGCAGTGAACTGAGATAGCGCCACTGCACTCCAGCCTGGGCAACAGAGAAAGACGCCATCTCAAAAAATAAATAAATAAATAAAAACTTTAGCTGGTGGTGGTAACACATGTCTGTGGTCCCAGCTACTTGGGAGGCTAAAGTAGGAGGACCACTGGAGACCTGGAGGCCAAGGCTACAGTGACTGGTGATTGTGCACTGCAGCCTGGGGAACACAGTGAAACTGTATTTAAAAAAAAAAAAAAAGGCCAGGCATGGTGGCTCATGCTGGTAATCCCAGCACTTTGGGAGGCCAAGGTGGGTGAATCACAAGGTCAGGAGTTTGAGACCAGCCTGGCCAATATGGTAAAACCCCATCCCTACTAAAAATACAAAAATTAGCTGGGCATGGTGACGCGCGCCTGTAGTCCCAGCTACTCAGGAGGCTGAGGCAGAAGAATCACTTGAACCCCGGAGGCAGAGGTCGCAGTGAGCTGAGATGGCGCCACTGCACTCCAGCCTAGGTGACAGAGAGAGACTCTGTCTCAAAAAAGGAAAAAAACCCACCTCACAGCTAGTAAAAGGCAGAGCTGGAATGCTAACCCAGGCAGTGTGGCACCACAGACCATGTTGTTAGTCACCCTGCTATGTAGGCTGCAAAAAGCTAAAGTCTCAGTGACAGCCCAGGGGGCTGTCTCAGACCTGGCCTGGTATCGCTCTGTCTTTATCTCCCCAGCTCATCCCTCCCACCTACCCCTACATAGCACAGCCCCTCCTGCCCCACCCTGGCTCTAGAACACAGCATCTACAGGCCCTGCTATCTGGAATGCTTTCTTCAGCCTAGCTCTCCTCACCTCCTTCAGGTCTCACCTCCAATCTCTCATGAGGGAGGCCTTCTTCGATGCCCCTCCAGCACTTGCAGCCTCCCTCCCTTCTTGGCACCTTGGCAGAGCATTTCACTATGTGCCAGGATACATGGTACTAGCCTATGTGTTGCTGTTCTTTCTCCACACACAGGATATAAACTCCATAAAGGCAGGAATCTTTGCCTGTTTTAGTCATGGTGTCTCCTTGGTGCCTTGCAAATAGTAGGGACTCAATAAATACTCAGTGAATGACCAGGAATGGTGGCTCACACTTGCAGTTCCAACACTTTGGGAGGCCAAGGTGGAAGGATTGCTTGAGCCCAGGAGTTCAAGACCAGCCTGGGTAATACAGTGAAACCTCACCTCTACAAAAAATAAAACTAGCCAGGCGTAGTGGTGTGCGCCTGTAGTCCCAGCCACTCAGGAGGCTGAGGTGGGAGGATTGCTTGAGCCCAGGAAATCAAAGGTGCATTGTGCCATGATCGCATCACTGCACTCCCGCCCAGGCCGCAAAGCGAAACCCTGTCTCTAAACGACAACAACAAACCTTAGCGAATCAATCAGAGACTCAAACATTTGGCCCACTACTTCCTGTGAGCCACCGTGCCGGGCCGAATTCCAGGTTTTCTTTTCTTTTCTTTTTTTTTGTCCTCACAATCTGTTCCCAATTTCAGGCTTTATAAGTTTAGTTGACTTTCCATTAGCCCAGTCAACTAGCGATCTCCTCCCTGCCACCTCCCAATTGGGTCAGTCAGCAGAGGTGAATGGAAATACCTAACACATAGAAAATACATCCATATACACATATACGACATGCTGACTTCGAAACTGATGATCCAAAGTAATGTGCAAGCTCATTTACATCCAACCCTGTATGCACCCCAGCCCCTGTCAATTGGTTTTATATCATTACCCAGGCATGGTGGTTGGCACTTGTGGTCCCAGCTACTTGAGAGGCTGAGGTGGTAGGACCGCACAGGAGGCGGAGGTTGCAGTGAGCAAGATCAGGCCACTGCACAACAGCCTGGGGAACAGAGTCGGACTATCTTTTCTCTTTTATATTTTTATTTATTAATTTGTTTTGAGATGGAGGGTCTCACTTTGTTGCCCAGGCTAATCTCAAACTCCTGGGCTCAAGAGATTCCTGACTTGGCCTCCCAAAGTGCTGGCTGGAATTACAGGCATGAGCCACCGCACCCAGCCGAGACCCTGTCTCAAAAAAAAAAAAAAAAAAACGGTTTTGTATTCCTTTTTGTGTCTTCTCTTCCTTAGATCCACAAAGAAATCAAATTTCCTTTTACCCTGGAAAAGTCTTCAAAGCATTATTTTTCTTACATGGTACCTCGGTTTTAGACTCTCCCATAGAGCAGGGAAGAAAAGATCCAAAAGAGTCTCCATAGTAACAGACTCCAAAAGCCAGCCTACTGCTGGAGGCTCAGTGGGTGTCCTCAGACCCACCCGGCAGCACCAGGGACAGTAGGACACATGGTGGGAGGTGGGGGCCCGGCCTGTCTTACCAAGTTCCAGAAGCTGTCATGTTTGCTTGGATTCTCACTGCCCAGAACATCTGCCGACAAACTGTCCACCTCGCACACATGGAGCCGGACCCAGTCAAGGAGATGGAGGAGGAGAGGGCCAGCTGGGAGGAGAGACTCTCATCACACACAAAAGCCTCAGCTTCATCTGCAGCAAGTTCCTTTATCCAAGGAACAGAGAACTTTAAGGCAGACAAGCTGACTACATAGGTTTATCCCTTTTAAGCAGTCACACACATGGTCCTGAATGACAGACTGTGCTAGGAAAAAGCAAATGCACTTTCACCAAATATTACTTCTGTGCCAGGCAGCTCCATCTTTAACTGACCCCAGAAAGGGGTGAACATGGAATGCAGACCTCACTACCCCACACTCCAGATTCTTCACAAATACTTAATAGCTACATAAGTAATGGCCGTTTAGGAACCAACAATGACTAGATAGCAAGCAGCCAGGTATGCAATGATGATAAAAACATAGGGCCAGGGGGCTGGTGGTGCACACCTGGAATCCCAGCACTTTCGGAGGCTAAGGCAGGTGGATCATCTAAGCTCAGGAGTTCAAGACCAGCCTGGACAACATGGTGAAACCCTGTCTCTACTAAAAATACAAAAATTAGCCGGGCGTGGTGGCGCATGCCTGTAATTCCAGCTACTCAGGTGGCTAAGGCAGAATTGCTTGAACCCAGGAGGCAGAGGTTGCAGTGAGCCAAGATCGCACAACTGCACTCCAGCCTGGGTGACGGAGTGAGACTCTGTCTCAAAAAACAAAACAAAACAAAACATATGGCCGGGCATGGTAGTTCATGTCTGTAATCCCAGCACTTTGGGAGGCTGAGGCAGGCAGATCGCTTGAGCCCAGGAGTTTGACACTAGGCTGGGCAACATAGGGAGACCCCATCTCTACAAAAAAAAATAAAAAATTAGCCGAGCCAGGAATGGTGGCTCACGCCTATAATCCCAGCATTTTGCGAGGCCAAGATGGGCAGACTGCTTGAGCCCAAGAGTTCAAGAACAGCCCGGGCAACATAGCGAAATTTCCTCTCCACAAAAAATACAAAAATTAGCCGGGCGTGGTGGTGCAGGCCTGTGGTCCCAGCTACTTGGGAGGCTGGGCAGGAGGATTGCTTGAGCCCAGGAAGTCGAGGCTTCTGAGCTGTGATCACGCCACTGTACTCCAGCATGGGTGACAGAGCAAGACCCTGTCTCCCCTCCCCCAGCATATACACACAAAAAATTAGCCTAGCATGGTGGCACGTGCCTGTAGTCCCAGCTACTCAGGAGGCTGAGACAGGAGGATCGCTTGAGCCTGGGAGGTCCAGACTGCAATAGCTGTGATTGTACCACCACACTCCAGCCTAAGTGACAGAGTGAGAACTTGTCTCAATCAATCAATAAAAATAAAATGAAATAAAATGGCAGAGTACAGCCAGCACTCCGTATCCATGATGTAGAACCTGCAGATACAAAGAGCCAACTGTAACCTCCTCAAAAATCCACTGGAGAAGGGAGGCCTCTGAACAACCAACTCTAATTTCAAGTTCCTCACTTCTTTAGTGAGAGTATGAATAAAATGCTAGGGCTACACAGAGGTTACTACTCATTTATGGAAAATAGCAAACATAAATCCTTAAAAGAAATGCAAAAAAGCTGCAGCAGATCCACAGAGAGCTCATACAGGCCATGACACTATACTGACCACAGTTTAATTCAAGATCAACAGAAGGCTGGGCACGGTGGCTCACACCTGGAATCCCTGCACTTTGGGAGACCGAGGCAGGCAGATTACCTGAGGTTGGGAGTTCGAGACCAGCCTGACCAACATGGAGAAACCTCATCTCCACTAAAAATACAAAATTAGCCAGGCGTGGCAGCGCATGTCTGTAATCCCAGCTACTCAGGAGGTTGAGGCAGGAGAATCGCTTGAACCCAGGAGGTGGAGGTTGCGGTGAGCTGAGATCACGCCATTGCACTCCAGCCTGGGCAACAAGAGTGAAACTCTGTCTCAAAAAAAAAAAAAGATCAACAGAAAAATTCCCATTGGCAGAGTTCATACCCATTGGCAGAGTTAACACACAGAGTTGCCCTGTCCCAATGATTCATGACAGAATTCCCAATGTGACTTTGCCTCTCACCACCTAATCCTACCCCACATTCATAAAACTTTCTTAAGCTTGGCCAGTCCATGATGTTAACACTGACACCCCCTTTCACACACTAGTTTAATATTTCTCAGTACTTGTCAGGGTTTAGGTTTCTTGGAGGCACTCTGCATGATTCTTTTTGCAGCACCTGACAAAACGGTCAGGTTTCTTTGGGTGTTTTCTAACGACTTCCCGTGGTTATAATGATGGAAAGAACATTCTCAGGAATAAAACACTCATCACCATGCACAGGAAAGATGAGGAAAGAGCAGAAGATGGAAGGGGACACCTATGAGATTATGGTGAGATATTCCATGCCTACCTGGGGCCACTTCAATAAAAAGAATCTCACACAGGTTCCAGATGAGCTCCATTGCTGACAAAATGGAGACCTAAGGAAGAAATGGGGACAGGTTTCACCTGAAATGATTCCTGAGCTTTGCTCTCAGAGCCAAGGGATAAAGCAGACTTTGACTCATATGACAGTCATTCCTTAACCCAAAGGTTACTGCAATCCTACTGGAGGATTTCCCACAGGGGAGCCAGCGTGAGGATGTTAGGTGGTGGGATGGAGACCAACACTATTTTGTTTTAGTGGTTGTGATTTTATTTTACTGTGCATTACAAAAATAACTTGGCCAGGTGCAGTGGCTCATTCCTGTAATCCCAGCACTTTGGGAGGCCAAGGCAGGTGGAATGCTTGAGTCTAGGAGTTTGAGACCAGCTTGAGCAACATGGCAAGATCCTGTCTCAACAAAAAATATAAAAATTGGCCAAGTGTAGTGACATATCCCCGCAGTCTCAGCTACTCAGGAGGCTGAGGTGGGAGCATCACTTGAGCCCAGGAAGTTGAGTCTGAGTGAGCCATAATCGTGCCACTATTCCAGCCTGGGCAAGAGCGAGACCTTGTCTCAAAATTTAAAAAAAGAAAAAATATAACTTGCATGTCACCAGTTATTATTTATTTATCTTTTGAGATGGAGTTTGGCTCTTGCTGCCCAAGCTAGAGTGCAGTGGCATAATCTTGGCTCACTGCAACTTCCGCCTCCCGGGTTCAAGTGATTCTCCTGCCTCAGCCTCCCCAGTAGCTGGGATTACAGGCGCCTGCCACCATGCCCAGCTAATTTTTTGTATTTTTAGTAGAGACGAGGTTTCACCTTGTTAGCCAGGAAGGTCTCGATCTCCTGACCTCGTGATACACCTGCCTCGGCCTCCCAAAGTGCTGGGATTACAGGCTTGAGCCACCGTGCCCTGCCAACACTCAGTTTTTGTTTTTTGTTTTTTTTTTTGAGACAGAGTCTCACTCTGTCAGTCAGGCTGGAGTGCAGTGGCATGATCTCGGCTCACTGCAACCTCTGCCTCCAGGGTTCAAGCAATTCTCCTGCCTCAGCCTCCCAAGTGGCTGGGATTACAGGCGCACACCACCACGCCTAGCTAAATATTGTATTTTTAGTAGAGATGGAGTTTCCGTGTTGGCCAGGCTAGTTTCGAACTCCTAACCTCAAGAGATCCACCCACCTCGGCCTCTCAAAGTGCTGGGATTACAGGCGTGAGCCACTGCGCCCAGCCTATCTTGATGAACTGATGCTTTAGCAAGGTGCTTCATTTGAGTAAAAAGAAGAGACAATATTTAGAAGAATATTCAGTAGATGACATGAAACACGTAGACAGAGCAAGAATTGTGAAGCTGGTATTCAAAGGACTGAAGTTTAGGGGAACAGTCTATTAACGGGAAAGCCCAATATAAGACCCCGAAATAAATCAGACCTGGACCTTGCCCTTAGGAATACGCAGGCTTCCCTTCCTCACCATCCTTCAGTCCACAGACACCATGATGACTTGTTCATAAGGGTACTTCAGAGACAGTGAATTACTACCTAGTCACTACTGACTTTGAAAAGTATCTAATATGAAGCATCTACTGAGGAAAAAGATACTGTAAGTCATCTTCCAGCTCCAAGTAAAGTAGAGCCACTTGCAACTCAGTAAAAATGTTGAGTTTAGCCGGGCGCAGTGGCTCACACTTGTAATCCCAGCACTTTGGGAGGCTGAGGCAGGCAGATCACGAGGTCAGGAGATCGAGAGCATCCTGGCTAACACGGTGAAACCCCCTCTCTACTAAAAATACAAAAAATTAGCCCAGCTACTCGGGAGGCTGAGGCAGGAGAATGGCATGAACCTGGGAGGCGGAGCTTGCAGTGAGCCGAGATCGCGCCACTGCATTCCAGCCTGGGCGACAGAGAGAGACTCCGTCTCAAAAAAAAAAAAAAAAAAAAAAAAAAACTTGAGTTTTGCCAGGTGTGGCAGCTCACACCTATAATCCCAGCACTTTGGGAGGCCAAGGCAGGAGGATCACTTGAGCCCAAGAGTTCGAGACCAGCTTTGACAACACAGAGAGACCCTGTCTTTCAAAAAAAAAATGTTGAGTTCAAGAAGTGAGGAGTGTTTATGAGACCGAGCAGTGATCTCACAAGATTACTTCTCCATTTCAGGTGACAACCCCTCAACACAATTTGGTCAGGACATATATGTTCCATAAGAACGGAACATTCAGGGCCAGCACGGTGGCTTACACCTGTAATCCCACCACTTTGGGAGGTCGAGGCGGGTGGATCACTTGAGGTCAAAAGTTCAAGACCAGCCTGGCCAACATGGTGAAACCCCATCTCTACTAAAAATGCAAAAAGTAGCTGGGCTTGGTGTGGCATGCACCTATAATCCCAGCTACTCGGGAGGCTGAGACAGGAGAAATGCTTGAACCCAGGGCACTCCAGCCTGGGTGACAGAGCAAGACTCCATCTCAAAAAAAAAAAAAAGGAACCGAACATTCACTCAAGTATTTAACAAGCACTTCCTTGTGAGCTACACCTTGAAGGGGGCAAGACAATCACTGTCACCCAAAGGAGCTGCCTATCTACCTGAAAAGAAGAGACTTCTGCCATAACAGGAACTGCAAAGCCACCCCAGGTGGGTGCCCAGGACACAGGACACAGTGGTGCTAAAACAATAAAGGTGACTCCCCTTACCTGGCTGCTGAACTGGCGGCCATTGGCTGGATCTTTAGCAGCAACTAACAAAACACAAAACATTTTAAGTGAGCAATGGAACTCTTAGGCTTATTGTCATAGCTGAATATTCCAGGGTCTATGGCTTGAGCCTCTGTTTATTTTAATGAGAAAAATTAAAAGACATTATAATCTCTTTTAATTATGGATTTTTTTGTTGCTGTTAATGCTTCATATCCCTTCAATTCTCAAACCAAAAGCCCTCAAGTTACAAAATGGCACTTTCAACTGCAACACAGCTACCATAAAGGTCTCTGACATGCCAAGCACAGTGGCTCACACCTGTAATCCCGACACTTTGGGAGGCTGATGTCAAAGGACTGCTTGAGCCCAGGAGTTCAAGAACAGCCTGGAAAAATTAGGGAGACCCCGTTTCTACAAATAATTTAAAAATTATCAGAACAAAGTTCTCTGAGGAAAACTGGACAAAAACTGTTTAAATTAGCTGGGCATGGTAGTACACACCTGCAGTCCCAACTACTTGGAAGGATGAGGTAGGAAGATCACTTGAGCCCAGGCGGTGAGCTCATGACTGCAGTGAGCCATAATGTTTCTTTGCACTCCAGCCTGGGCAACCTTGTCTCAAAAAAAAAAAAAAAAAAAAAAAAAAACTCCAGGCACAGTGGCTGACTCCTGTAATCCCAGAACTCTGGGCTTGGTGGTGTACAACTGTAGTCCCAGCTACTCAGGAGGCTGAGGCTAGAGAATCGTTTGAACCTGGGAGGTGGAGGTTGCAGTGACCTGAGTTCATGCCACAGCACCTCAGCCTGGGCGACAGAGCAACACTCGGTCTCAAAAAAAAAAAAAAAAAAAAAAAAAAAAAAAAAAAAAAACAACAACAAAAAAAAAAACCTCTAAATGATTACCAAAAAAGTAAGGATTATGAAAGATGGAAAAATAAGTTTTGGACTGGAATATCAATCAAACTTTACCTCACAGTATTTATGCATAGATAAATACTCAAAATACCCACACACACACACACACACACACGCGCGCACGCGCACACAGTCCTTACTTGCAACCTGGTGCATTTCCTCCATACATGCTCTGATGACTGATCGGTAGTTTTTACTCACTCGAACCAATCTACAAAAAATGAAATAACACACAAGATGAGCCTGGAACATCTTGTAGTGCCACAAAGGAAGGAAACACTCAAATAAATGCAGAAATTTGCTGAAAGAAAGAGGAGAGCCGTTGTGAAGGAGCTCCTAACCTTCTGAAGCTGGAACAACTTGGACAACAAAATAAAACGCCACAAAACAACCCATGGGCTAAAGTTAATATCCACAAACCCATACTGCCATTAATTGTTGCAGATGAAATCTACTGGTCAGACCTTGTCTCAAAAAAATAAAAAAGATACATAAATGTATTTACTGGCCAGGCCCGGTGGCTCAGGCGTGTAATCCCAGCACTTTGGGAGGTGAAAGTGGGCAGATCACCTGAGGTCAGGTGTTTGAGACCAGCCTGGCCAACCTGGTGAAACCCTGTCTCTACTAAAAATACAAAAATCCCAGCTACTCAGGAGGCTGAGGCAGGAGAATCTCTTGAACCCGGCAGGCGGAGGTTGCAGTGAGCCAAGATCATGCCATTGCACTCCAGCCTGGGCGACAGAGTGAGACTCCATCTGAAAAAAAAAAAAAAAGAATAAGACAGGGTCCCCTGCCAGCAAGGAATTACAGGACTTTTGACATGTTTTTTTCCTAGAAGTGACAATAGATTTCTCAAACTCACCAATATTCTCCACTAGAGTCCCTTAAATCCAATAATCAGGCCAGGTGCAGTGGCTCACTCCTATAATCCCAGCACTTTGGGACGCTGAGGTGGGCAGATCACTTGAGGTCAGGAGTTCAAGACCAGCCCAGCCAAAATGATGAAACCCCATCTCTACTAAAAATGCAAAAATTAGCCAGGCGTGGTGGCACGCACCTGTAATCCCAGCTACTCAGGAGGCTGAGGCAGGAGAATGGCTTCAACCCAGGAGGCAGAGGCTGCAGTGGGCCAAGATTGCGCCACTGCACTCCAGCCTGGGTGACAGAGTGAAACTCTGTCTCAAAAAAAAAAAAAAAAACAGGGCCAGGCACAGTGGCTCACGTCTGTAATCCCAGCACTTTGGGAGGCCGAAGCAGGTGGATCACGAGGTCACGAGATCGAGACCATCCTGGCTAACACGGTGAAACCCCGTCTCTACTAAAAATACAAAAAATTAGCCGGATGTGGTGGCAGGCGCCTGTAGTCCCAGCTACTCGGGAGGCTGAGGCAGGAGAATGGCGTGAATCCAGGAGGCAGAGCTTACAGTGAGCGGAGAACGCGTCACTGCACTCCAGCCTGGGTGACAGAGCGAAACTCTGCCTCGAAAAAAAACAGAAAAACAACCAATAATCACTCTTGCACACACTCACACAGAAGCTGACCTGAGTCTTGTCCAGAATGATTCATTTGTGAAAAGCTTATCAAAGAAGTAACATACCAACACTGCCCATTCCCTAGCCATCCATGTGAAGGGACGCTGACAAAAATCTAACACAGGAGTTCTTAAACTTCAGTGTGCTGGAGATTTTAAGATCCAACCACGGAGATTTTGATTTTGATGATCTGAGGTGGGTCCCAAAAGTCTACAATTAACAAGTACCACTCTGATAATGATGAAGTTATGAACTACAATTCAAGAAAATCCTAATCTATAAATAGTACGAGAGTTTTCTGGTCTGTTGTCAAATAACGTCTGAACCATAATTTTTTAGAGACAAAACTGTTAGGTTTATATTAATTTTCAAATCTCCCAACAATGTGACCTCATTCAACGACTCTCACATGCTTGTGTGGCCTAAATTTTCTTCTTTAGAGGCTAAGTAAAATATGAATATAAATAAAGCTTGTCAAGCCAGCCCATCAATAGCATTTGCATATTCCCGCTAAGTCTTCCCATCACTGCTAATGTACACTGTCCAGTACTCATGCCTCAACTAGAACCAGGAGTCTCTTATTTCTTTACGCAACCCATAAAACACACAAAAAGACAACAATGTACTTCATTTGGCTTTCCACAGTGTAGTGTGGGCTTCAACACCAAACAGCAACCAACTTACTGAGATTTTCTGGATTTTCCAGTCAACTCTTCGTCAATTCTCTGGAGGCCCAGAAAGATTCCATGGGATTCATTGAAGAGTTTTCTCAAGATTTGAGAGTAAACATCTACATCCTTACGGATGATATAGATAAAGGGGCAACTTGGCACCATCTCTGATTTTTCTGAAACCAAACAGAAAAAAAAAATTTAACATCTATTATGATCATCTCCAAAAGTGAATCTACTCTAAAAAAATTTTCTGTGGCCGGGCATGGTGGCTCTTGCCTATAATCCCAGCACTTTGGGAGGCCAAGGCAGGCAGATCACGAGGTCAGGAATTCGAGACCAGGCTGGCCAACATAGCAAAACCCTGTCTCTACTAAAAATACAAAAATTAGCTGGGCGTGGTGGCACATGCCTTCATTCCCAGCTACTCAGGAGACTGAGGCAGGAGAATTGCTTCAAACCGGGAGGCGGAGGTGGCAGTGAGCCGAGATCACACCACTGCATTCCAGCCTGGACAGAGCGAGACTCCGTCTCAAAAAAAAAAAAAAAAAAAGAAAGCAAATCAAATGTCAAGATTCCAGTTTTATCCTTCTACTGGAAGGAGACTGTATCACTGTATCAGGAAAAGAAAAAGATTCACATCCTATCCAATAGCTGATGGAACTCAGGAAAATCAAGCCAAGGACAAGCTATGTCACTCTCCAGCTCCATCTGTGCCTTGGATGCTACGGCTCAGCTCAGCCTACAGAACTATTATTCAGCTGAATCCATGCTGTGGACACAAAAGTGACGGCCAAGCATCTGCAAGGTTCACAATAAGGGAGCTACTGATAGGAATTTGGTCACTTTGGACAAAGAAAAAGGGATAAAAAGCTTGACATTTTAAATATGAAGAAAATTTTTCATGAAAACTATTAATTTTTTTCCGGGATTCAACATCTTCAAGATCTCAAAAATCAATGAAAATCTAAAATAGCTAACATTTCAAAAATAAAAATGCCAAAATGCAACAGGATCGCTTGAGGCCAGGAGTGCGAGACCAGCCTAGGCAACAAAATGAGACTCCCATCTCTACAAAGAAAAAAAAATTAGCTGGGCGTGGTGGCATGGTGACCTGTAGTCTCAGCTACTAGGAAGACTGAGGCAGAGGATCACTTGAGCCCAAGAGGTAGAGGCTGCAGTGAGCCATGATCACACTGTACTCCAGCCCAGGTGACACAACAAAACCCTGTTGTATCTTGAAAACAAAATAGAGAAAATTAAAATAGTACAAAATAAATTCAACTGTTTCAGTCCACAACTAGTAAAATCTGAGGTAATAAACAGAAAAACAACCAAATGTGCCAAGATGGATAATTTGGAAGAAAAAAAACCCTACCTTTTTTGTTGAAGGAGGTTTCACATACCAGCATCTCCCCTGGACCCCAGTCAAAATACATTTGGTTCTTCTTGGAATTCACGCCTGGAATCAACTAGTAAAATAAGGCATAGAAATCTAAAATGAAAAATGTTCTTCTTACTGAAGTTGTTCCATTCTTTTTTTTTTTTTTTTTTTTTTGAGACAAAGACTCACTCTAACAGGCTGGTGTACAGTGGTGTAATCTCAGCTTGCTCCAATCGCCGCCTCCTGGGTTCAAAGGCTTCTCCTGCCTCAACCTCCTGAGTAGCTGGGACTACAGGTGTGTGCAACCACACCCGGCTATTTTTTTTTTTTTTTTCATTTTTAGTAGAGATAGAGTTTCACCATATTGCCCAGGCTGGTCACAAACTCCTGAGTTCAGGTGATCCGTCCGCCTCAGCCTCCCAAAGTGCTAGGACTACAGGCGCGAGCCACCGTGCCCGCCCTGCTGAAAAACACTTTAAGTGAAGAGCACAGCTGGTCCTCTAATAACACTGTATCCTTCAATAACATTTCCTTATAACACTGGTAAGAAAAATTCATTTTGGGCCGGCAGCGGGGTGGCTCCTGCCAGCACTTTGGGAGGCTAAGGCGGGCAGATCATCTGAGGTCAGGAGTTCGAACTCTTGTTGCCCAGGCTGGACTGCAGTGACGCAATCTCGACTCACTGCAACCTCTGCCTGCTGGGTTCAAGTGATTCTCCTGCCTCAGCTTCTTGAGTAGGTGGGATTACAGGCACGCGCCACCAAACCAGGCTAATTTTTGTATTTTTTTAGTAGAGATGGGGTTTCACCATGTTGGCCAGGTTGATCTCGAACTCCTAGCCAAGCGCGGTGGCTCATGCCTGTAATCCCAGCACTTTGGGAGGCCGAGGCAGGCTGATCACGAGGTCAGGCTTTGGAGACCAGCCTGACCAAGATGGTGAAACCCCATCTCTACCAAAAATACAAAAATTAGCTGGGTGTGGTGGCACGCACCTGTAATCTCAGCTACTCAGGAGACTGAGGCAGAAGAATCGCTTGAACCCAGGAGCCAGAGGTTGCAGTGAGCTGAGATCACGCCACTGCACTCCACTCTGGGTGACAGAGTGAGAATCCGTCTCAAAAAAAGAATGAGGCCAGGCGCAGTGGCTCACACTTGTAATCCCAGCACTTTGGGAGACTGAGGCCGGCAGATCACCTGAGGTCAGGAGTTCCAGACCAGCCTGACCAACATGGAGAAACCTCGTCTCTACTAAAAAAATACAAAATTAGCCGGGCATGGTGGCACATGCCTGCAATCCCAGCTACTCAGGAGGCTGAGGCAGGAGAATTGCTTGAACCTGGGAGGCGGAGGTTGCAGAGAGCCGAGACCGCACCACTGCACTCTAGCCTGGGCGACAAGAGGGAAACTCCGCCTCAAGAGAAAAAAAAAAGAAGGCCACATATCTCCCCAGAGAGCTTCCCTCACAAATTGCTCACAAGGAAATTCCTTGTGAGCCTCTAAAATTTTCAGGATACACATCGCCCCTATAAACTAGTCCTAAAATCAAGATCTGTTGATTCTGACAATGTCAACTACCAGCTTATCTTCACAAGTAAAAGACCAGAAATCGGCCGGGTGCGGTGGCTCACGCCTGTAATCCCAGCACTTTGGGAGGCCGAGGTGGGCGGATCACGAGGTCAGGAGATTGAGACCATCCTGGCCAACACGGTGAAACCCCGTCTCTACTAAAAATACAAAAAAGTACAAAAAATTAGCCGGGCGTGGTGGCGGGCACCTGTAGTCCCAGCTACTCAGGAGGCTGAGGCAGGAGAATGGTGTGAACCCGGGAGGCGGAGGTTACAGTGAGCCGAGACCGCGCCACTGCACTCCAGCCTGGGAGACAGAGCGAGACTCCGTCTAAAAAATAACAGTAATAATAACCATAATCCCTCTACCTACCCTGAGATGAATGCATACATAAAATTTTCCTCTGCTCCCTCTTTTCACAGGTAAAATGCAGATTTACTGAGGCTAATCACCGACTCACAAGAATGTAATCATTTGCCTCCTCACTGCCTAACCTCCCTTTTTTGCCCCTCCTGCTAGCTCCTTCCTCTTTAACTAGTGATGTTCCCAAAACCATCTTTGGAAAAAGCACAGGTCTCAGATCCTCCTGTGACCTGTGCTTTTTCCCGGTTGGATCCTCAACCTTAGCTAATTAAACCTTTATCGGTTGAGACCTGCCTCAGTCACTTCTGGTTAACAAGAGGGAAAACAAGAGCAATCCAACTAGCAGAAACGGTAGGTATCTCGTACATAAAGCGCGTGAATTTTTTTTATACACATCACAGATCATCCACAGTTGACATACTGTCTTCAAAGTTCAAATGGAATTGAATGCACAGCGATAAAACAGGAATAGTCTCCTGAGATAATACGTTGAATAAACCTTAGGCCACACAGGCAGAAGCTCAATGTGCCGCGATGCAGAGCTTAATACGGCTGGAATAAAAATATAAATTCCTCTGCTTGGGCTGAACCCACTCTAATGCCCAAGAGGAAAAGCAAGGGAAGTAAAAAGGCCAGGAACACAAAGGAAGGAAAGGGACGGAGTGGGACCTTCGAGGCCGGGGTTTGTGACTGGTGGCAGAAACCCCGCGACCACTGCGACCCTAGGGCGGGCACCTCGTTAACACTGCGACCTCCGGAAAAGTGGCAACTGAGTCGAGGGAAGGGGACGAGCGCCTCGCGACCACTAGGGAAGCAGACAAGCCTGAAGTAACTAAGCAGACGCAGTTCTCAACCCGCAAGGACGAGCAAGCCTGTTCGGGGTACCCTTACAGTGACTGTTGGCTCGCCATCGAGCTCCTCCATAGCGCCGAACCCCAGGCTCCTAGAAGTCGCTCGGACGCCAATGCTTCCCGCTCAGGCCTCCCGCTCAGAGCTGGCTGCGAGACAAGACTCCGCCTGGGCGTCTCCTGCAGCGCCTGCAAGCCCAAACCCTCAGTGCTGCGGCGCTGTCTCCTCTCAGCCACGGCCACCCCTCTGCGGTCCTCTGCACGCGTCCTTCCTTCCTGGCGTCGACAGCAAATCAGGGAAAACAGCGCCGAGGACTGACTGCACTCAGAGTACCGCGCTAACAGGATCAGGCGGCGCCGGGGACACCCTGGTGCCGAGCGGAGAAAAGGCCCCCGGAGACGGCGGGAGGGGCAGGAGGACCCCGGGGCTGGAGACGGTGCGAATGCGCGTGCGTAGGCTGGGGCGGCGGCACTTGGGTGGGAACTCGTGCGGGATTTAGGTCCCAGTAAGCGTACAACGTCTCCCAACTCTGGGAGTCCTCGCTACATCCCGGTCTCCACCTTAGTGTCGTCGCAGCCACTTGTCCAAACCCCGACAGTCAAACGGGCTTGTGCTGGAAAGCAATCGCCTCCACTTCCACACTAGAACACACACAAGAGGCACGGGAACAAAATCGATACCCCTGAAGGCCCGGCGCTGTGGCTCAAGCCTCTAATCCCAACACTTTGGCAGCCCAAGGTGGGTGGATCACTGGAGTTCAGGAGTTCAAGACCAGTCTGGCCAATATGATGAAACCTCGTCTCTACTAAAAATATAAAAAATTAGACGGGCGTGGTGGCGGACACCTGTAATTCCAGCTACTCGGAAGGCTGAGGCAAGAGAATTGTTCCAACCCGGGAGGTGGAGGTTGCATTGAGCCAAGATCGCACCACTGCACTCCAGCCTGGGAGACAGAGCGAGACTCCGTCTCAAAAAAAAAAAAAAAAATTAGCTGTGCTTGGTAGCGCGCGCCTGTAATCCCAGCACTCCGGGACGCCGAGGTGGTTGGATCACCTGAGGTCAGGAGTTCAAGACCAGCCTGGACAACATGGCGAAACCCCGTCTCTACTGAAAATACAAAAATTAGCCGGGAGTGGTGGCGGACACCTGTAATCCCAGCTACTCGTAAGGCTGAGGCAGGAGAATTGTTCCAACCCGGGAGGCGGAGGTTGCAGTGAGCCAAGATCGCGCCACTGCACTCCATCCTGGGCGACAGACGGAGACTCCGTCTCAAAAAAAAAAAAATTATTTTGCTGAGTCTCAAAAAAAAATTATTTTGCTCTTTTTCTCTTAATAAGTTTCCGTTATACCTCAAGTTGGAGTTATCGCCTGTGTAATTGAAAACTTTTCCAGAGTTAAATACAGTTTGAGAGTTAACCACTCTAGAGAGAGGAAGGGGAAAAGAGAGGGGAAGGAGCCACACTCTTTTAGAGAGAGGGGAGGAGAGGAAAGAGAAAAATAAGTTGTAAGATAATTGTTTCATTTTTCCAACCGTTTTCCATTAGGATTAACTGAAAAAGAAGGATACATAAACTACTTCATCAAAACCTTATTCTTAGAAATCTATAGAAAGGTTGAGGAAGGAAAAGGTCCATATATAGTATGCGTAATCAGTATATAGAACAAGGATAGGCCGGGCGCGGTGGCTCACGCCTGTAATCTCAGCGCTTTGGGAGGCCGAGGCGGGTGGATCACCAGGTCAGGAGAGAGAGACCATCCTGGCTAACACGGTGAAACCCCATCTCTACTAAAAATACAAAAAAAAAAAAAAAAAAAAAAAAAAATCAGCCGGGCGTGGTGGCGGGTGCCTGTAGTCCCAGCTCCTCGGGAGGCTGAGACAGGAGAATGGCGTGAACCGGGGAGGCGGAGCTTGCAGTGAACCGAGATTGCACCGCTGCACTCCAGCCTGGGCGACAGAGCGAGACTCCGTCTCAAAAAAAAAAAAGAACAAGGATAGCACTATTAGCTGTAGTTTTCCTTTTTCGCCCTTGTATTACTAAGCCTATTTGAATGATTGGGTAAAATGGTTGGTATATAGCAGTATTAGACCAAAGAATATTGCCAATACTTTTTCCTCAATGTTATCTAGCTCTTGGTCAGGCAATTTAACTACTTTTATTATCTTAAATGGCATTTTGTCAGCCTTAAAATAAAAATAATCAAGGAAATATAGCACTAAGATCTAACAAGCTCTCTCTCTCTTTTTTTTTTCTTTGTCTTTTTTTTTTTTTTTTTTTTTTTGTCTTTTTGAGACAGAGTCTTGCTCTGTCGCCAGGCTGGAGTGGAGTGGCACGATCTCGGCTTACTGCAACCTCCGTCTCCCGGGTTCAAGCGATTCTGCTGCCTAAGCCTCCCGAGCAGCTGGGACTACAGGCACACGCCACTACGCCGGGCTAATTTTTTATTTTTTAGTAGAGACGGGGTTTCGCCATATTGGTCAGGCTGGACTCGAACGCCTGACCTCAGGTGATCCACCCGCCTCAGACTCCCAAAGTGCTAGGGTTACAGGCATGAGCCACCGCACCCAGCCTGGTAAAGTCTTAAGTGGATACATTTCATGCAGCCTAATAAAACTAATGCTCCTGAACCGGGCACAGTGTACATTATTTAACAAAATCTCTGGCCTCAGCCTGGGCAACAGGGCAAGAGCAAGATGCTGTCTCAAAAAATAAAAAATAAAAAAAGGCCGGGCGCGGTGGCTCACGCCTATAATCCCAACACTTCGGGAGGCCGAGGCGGGCGGATTACCTGAGCTCAGGAGTTCAAGACCAGCCTGGGCAACAAGATGAAACCCCGTCTCCACTAAAATACAAAAAATTATTTGGTCATGGCGGTTGTGCGCCTGTAGTCCCAGCTACTGAGGCTGAGGCAGGAGAATCGTTTGAACCCTGGAGGCGGAGGTTGCAGTGAGCCAAGATCATACCACTGCACTCCAGCCCGGACGACAGTGTAAGACTCCCTCTCAAAAAAAAAAAAAAAAAAAAAAAAAAAAAAAAAAAAAAAAACTCTAGCTGGAACTAGTGGCACATACCTGTAGCCCTAGCTACAGCAAGAGGAAGGAGACTGAGGCCAGAGGATTTCTTGAGCCCAGGAGTTCAAGTCAAGGCTGCAGTGAACTACGATTGTTATAGCACTATACTCCAGCAAGACCCTGTTTCAAAAGCAACAATATGGCCAGGCGCAGTGGCTCACGCCTGTTATCCCAGCACTTTGGGAGGCCGAGGTGGGCGGATCACGAGGTCAGCAGTTCGAGACCAGCCTGGCCAATATGGTGAAACCCCGTCTCTACTAAAACTACAAAAATTAGGCATGGTGGCAGGCACCCGTAATCCCAGCTACTCCGGAGGCTGAGGCAGGAGAATCACTTGAACCCGGGAGGCGGAGGTTGCAGTGAGCCAAAACCATGCCATTGCATTCCAGCCTGGGTGACAGAGGGAGACTCCGTCTCAGAAAGAAAAAAAAAAAACAAAAACAAAAAAACAGGCTGGGTGCGGTGGCTCACACCTGTAATCCCAGTAGTTTGGGAGGCTGAGGTGGGCAGATCACCTGAGGTCAGGAGTTCGAAACCAGCCTGGACCAACATGGTGAAACACAGTCTCTACTAAAAATACAAAAATCAGCTGGGCTTCATGGCATCCGCCTGTAATCCCAGCTACTAGGGAGACTGAGGCAAGAGAATCGCTTGAACCCAGGAGGCAGAGGTTGTGGTGAGATGAGATCACGTCATTGCACTCCAGCCTGGGCAACAAGAGCAAAACTCCAACTCAAAAAAACAAAACAAAACAAAACAAAACAACACCCCACCAAGAACAAGAACTCCAACTTCTGACCTTTACCCACTAGATGCCAATAACATCCCACAATTGTGAAAACTGAAAATATCTGCATATATTCCCAGTGTCCTCTAGGGGGCAAAATCACCTCTGTTAAGAGCTGCTGGTATATATGTTCAACCGTAGAAGTTAGCTAAATAAATTATATCAGTGAGATGTTACTTTACTCACCTGTTTAAAATAACTATGAAGACTGACAGGACATGAAAAATTATTTCAAAAAGTTTGAAAATGTTCATCTTTTTGTCCTCATAATTACACTTCCAAGAAATAATCAAGAGAGATGTGTTTTATATAAGCACCAAAAAGGAGATTTAAATGAATAAAAGAAGTGCCTCACAAATAATTTTTATGCAGAATTCTTATTAAAAGGTTATTTGGGGCTGGGCACGGTGGCTCATGCTTGTAATCCCAGCACTTTGGGAAGCCAAGGCTGGCAGATCACCTGAGGTAAGGAGTTCAAGACCAGCGTGACCAATATGGTGAAACCCTGTCTCTACTAAAAATACAAAAAATAGCCAGGCATGGTGACCCATGCCTGTAGTCCCAGCTACTCAGGAGGCTGAGGCAGGAGAATCGCTTGAACCCGGGAGGCAAAGGTTGCAGTGAGCTGAGATCATGCCACTGCACTCCAGCCTGGGCGGCAGAGCACGACTCCATTTCAAAAAAAAAAAAAAATGCCAGGCACGGTGGCTCACACCTGTAATCCCAGCACTTTGGGAGGCTGAGGCGGACAGATCACCTGAGATCGGGAGTTCAAGACCAGCCTGACCAACGTGGAGAAACCCAGTCTCTATGAAAACTACAAAAATTAGCCAGGCGTGGTGGCGCACACCTATAGTCCCAGCTACTCAGGAGGCTGAGGCAAGAGAATCACTTGAACCTGAGAGGTGGAGGTTGCAATAAGCCGAGGTCATGCCACTGCACTCCAGCTTAGGCGACAGAGGGAGACTCTGTCTCAAAAAACAAACAAACAAACAACAACAACAACAAAAAATGCTGTAGAGACAAGATCTCATTATGTTGCCCAGGGTGATCTCTAACTCCTGCCCTCAATCGATTCTCCAACCTTGGCCTCCCAAAGTGCTAGGGTTACAGTCAAGAACCACCTTGCCTGGCCTATTTAGAGACAGAGACTTGCTCTGCTGCCCAGGATGGAGTTCAGTGGCTCAATCATAGTTCACTGCAGCCTCATACTCCTGGATAGAGTGTATGTAATCAATTATTGAGAGAAGATAGAAGAGTACAGATAATATCTATATTCACACAAATCTGCAAAATATAGCTTTATTCATATTGTTTCTGTTCATTTTATGAAACAAACAGCTTCAAGTCATTGGGCCTCATTTCAGTGCCCTATGTGAATCCACTAATGTACAGAGAGGTAGGATTTGAGCATTAATCGGCCTAGAACTTGAAATTGTCATATCAGTGTTGAAGCTGTGTAACTGACAGGCATTTGGGAGACCCTGTTTAAGCATTTTTGGCCTTCTCATAAAAAGTACTGGCTGGGTGCGGTGGCTCACACCTGTAATGCCAGAACTTTGGGAGGCCAAGGCGGGCAGATCACTCGAGGTCAGGAGTTTGAGACCAGCTGGCCTACATGGTAAAACCCTGTCTCTACTAAAAATACAAAAAATTAGCTTGATGTGGTGGCAGGTGCCTGTAATCTCAGCTACTAGAGAGGCTGAGGCAGGAGAATCACTTGAACCTGGGAGGCGGAGGTTGCAGTGAGACAAGATGGTGCCACTGCACTCTAGCCTGGGTGACAGAGTCACTAGACTCTTGTCTCAAAAAAAAGAAAAGTACTACACAAAGTTATTGCTGCATCAATAAGTCAATGAACACTTATTGATTACTGGCTCTCAGGACTTTGCTATTTGCTGAGACTACAAAGATGAAAGGCAATGATACCTGCACACAAAAAGCTTACAGGACTGTTCTCTTAAGTTATGTTTGTACAATATGTATATCAATAGGCAGTGAATATAAAGTATTGTGTATGTCAGTATTCAGTGAATGTATAATATTGTGAAATGTGACACTATTTCCCTGCATTCAATATCCCAACTGACGTATTAGAAGGACTGTATATATATAATGAGACCTCATCACTATAGAAAACAGCAAAATTATCCAGGTGTGGTAGCACATGCTATAGTTCCAGCTACCCAGGAGGCTGAGGTTGGGGTGATCGCTTGAGCTCAAGAGGCAGAGGTTGCAGTCAGCCGAGATCCTGGCACTCCGATGACAAAGTGAGACCCTGTTTCAAAGAACAAAAAAAGAAGAGAGAGAGAGAGAGACAGAAAAGAAAGCAAGAAAGGAAGGAGGGAGGGAGGGAAGGAAAGAGAAAGAAAGCAAAGGTGGACTGGGTGCTGTGGCTCATGCCTGTAATCCCAGCACTTTGGGAGACTGAGGTGGGAGGATCGCTTGAGCCCAGGAGCGTGAGACCAGTCTAGGCAACGTAGTGAGACTGTCTCTACCAAAAATAACAAAATTAAGAAAAAAAAAAAAAAAAAGAGCTGGGCACGGTGGCTCACGCCTGTAATCCCAGCACTTTGGGAGGCCGAGGCGGGCGGATCACGAGGTCAGGAGATCGAGACCATCCTGGCTAAAATGGTGAAACCCCGTCTCTACTAAAAATACAAAAAAAAATTAGCCGGGCGTGGTGGTGGGCGCCTGTAGTCCCAGCTACTCCGGAGGCTGAGGCAGGAGAATGGCATGAACTCGGGAGGCGGAGCTTGCAGTGAGCCGAGATTGCGCCACTGCACTCCAGCCTGGGCGACAGAGCGAGACTCCGTCTCAAAAAAAAAAAAAAAATGGCCAGGAGCGGTGGCTCATGCCTGTAATCCCAGCACTTTGGGAGGCCGAGGCGGGTGGATCACGAGGTCAGGAGATCAAGACCATCCTGGCTAACACAGTGAAACTCTGTCTCTACTAAAAATACAAAAAAAAAAAAAAATTAGCTGGGCGTGGTGGCAGGCACCTGTAGTCCCAGCTACTCAGGAGGCTGAGGCAGGAGAATGGCATGCACCTGGGAGGCGGAGCGTGCAGTGAGCCGAGATCTCACCACTGCACTCCAGCCTGGGCAACAGAGCGAGACTGTCTCAAAAAAAAAATTTTAAAAAGTAAAAAAAAATTTTAAAAATTAAAAAATTAGCCGAGCATGGTGGCACATGCTTGTGGTCCCAGCTACTTGGGAGGCTGAGGTGGGAGAATCGCTTGAGCCCAGGAGGTTGAGGCTGCAGTGAGCCATGCTGGTGTCACTACATTCCAGCCTGGGCCAAAGAGCGAGACACTGTCTCAATACAAAATAAAATAAAATTTAATTATAAAAAAAAAAAGGCCAGACACGGTGGCTCACACCTATAATCCTAGTACCTTGGGAGGCCAAGAGTTCAAGTCCAACCTGGCCAATATGGTGAAACCCCGTCTCTACTAAAAATACGAAAATTAGCTGGGCATGGTGGCACGTGCCTGTAGTCCCAGCTACTCGGGAGGCTGAGGCAGGAGGATCATTTGAATCCAGGAGGCGGAGGTTGCAGTGAGCCGAGATCATGCCACTGCATCCCAGCCTAGGCGACAGAGCGAGACTCCATCTCAAAGAAAGAAAGAAAGAGGCCAGGCGTGGTGGCTCACACCTGTAATCCCAGCACTTTGGGAGGCCGAGGCAGGTGGATCATCTGAGGTCAGGAGTTCAAGACCAGCCTGACCAACATGGTGAAACCCTGTCTCTACTAAAAATACAAAAAATTAGCCGGGAGTGGTGGCAGGCGCCTATAATCCCAGCTACTCAGGAGGCTGAGGCAGGAGAATCTCTTGAACCCAGGAGGCAGAGGTTGCAGTGAGGTGAGATTGCGGCATTGTACTCTAGCCTAGGCGACAAGAGCAAAACTCTGTCTCAAAAAAGAAAGAAAGAAAGAAAGCCAAGGTATCAAGTGTGGAATTTTCCACTTGTGGCATCATGTTGGTACTCAAGAAGTTTTGGAATTTGGAATATTTCCCATTTCAGATTTTCATATTAGAGATACTCAGCCTGTACTAAGTTCTTGGCATTCACTATGAGTACAATCTTGGGTCCCATCATTTTTGCCATGACACGGGTAGAAAGGGTTTCTTTCCTTTTTTTTTTTTTTAATTACTTTATTTATTTTTTGAGATGGAATCTTGCATTGTTGCCCAGGCTGGAGTGCAGTGGCAGGATCTCAGCTCACTGCAGCCTCTTCTTCCCATTTTCAAGCAATTCTCCTGCCTCAGCCTCCTGAGTAGCTGGGACTACAGGCACACATCACCATGTCCAGCTAATGTTTGTGTTTTTAGTAGAGACGAGATTTCACCATGTTGGCCAGGCCAATCTCGAACTCCTGACTTCAAGTGATCTGCCCACCTCGGCCTCCCGAGGATTACAGGCGTGAGCCCTGAAGCCCAGCCGATAGGGTTTCTACAATATCATCACCATTCTGCCTCCAGGCTTCCTGCAGTATTGAGAAATTCATGATTTTTTTTGTTTTTGAGACAGGGTCTCTCTCTGTCACCCAGACTGGAGTGCAGTGGCAGGATCTCAGCTCACCACAACCGCTGCCTCCCAGGCTCAAATGATTCTCCTGCCTCAGCCTCCTGAGTAACTGAGATTACAGGCACACGTCACTATCACCTAGCTAATTTTCATATTTTTAGTAGAGATGGCATTTGGTCATGTTGGCTAGGATGGTTTCGAACTCTTGACCTCAAGTGATCTGCCTGTCTCAGCCTCCCAAAGTGCTGGGATTACAGGTGTGAGCCACCGCACCCGGCCAGAATTCAGTATTTACATTCATACAGTATTCACAAACAGCTGAAGTACTCAACTAAACTATGTTATAGAATGAAGGAAATTTGACGGTATAAAGTACACAAGTTTAGTCACCTGTATTATAAATTTGGTATGTGTTTAGGGGTTCTGGCAGGGACTTAAAGCTCTAAACGAACTCTGTGATTCTTGTTCTCCTACCCCTTTTAGATTTTATTTTGTTTATTTTTATTTTATTTTCTTTGAGACAGAGTCTCACTCTCTCACCCGGGCTGGAGTACAGTGGCATGATCTCGGCTCAATGCAACCTCCACCTCCTGGCTTCCAGCAGTTCTCTTGGCTCAGCCTTTCCAGTAGCTGGGACTACAGGTGTGTGCCACCATGCCTGGCTAATGTTTTTTTTTTTTTTTTTTTTTTTTAGATGGAGTCTCGCTCTGTCGCCCAGGCCAGAGTGCAATGGCACGATCTCGGCTCACTGCAACCTCCGCCTCCTGGGTTCAAGCGAGTCTCCTGCCTCAGCCTCCTGAGTGGCTGGGATTATAGGCATGGGCCACCACACCCGGCTAGTTTTTGTATTTTTAACAGAGACGGGATTTCACCGTGTTGGTGAGACTGATCTCAAACTCCTGACCTTGTGGTTCTCCTGCTTTGGCCTCCCAAAGTGCTGGGATTACAGGCATGTGTCACCATGCCCGGCCCTCTTACCCCTTTTAGGAATGATGTATTTTTTTTTTAATTTTATTATTATTATACTTTAAGTTTTAGGGTACATGTGCACAACGTGCAGGTTTGTTACATATGTATACATGTGCCATGTTGGTGTGCTGCACCCATGAACTCGTCATTTAGCATTAGGTATATCTCCTAATGCTATCCCTCCCCCCTCCCCCCAAGAATGATGTATTTTTCTTTGGCAGCTGATCCTGCGGAATTCTGGCTCGTTCACCCCCCCCTTTGTGTGTGTGTGTGTGTGTGTGTGTGTGTGTGTGTGTGTGTTTGATGGGGTTTCACTCTGTCACCCAGGCTGGAGTGAAGTGGTGCAATCTTGGCTCACTGCTCATTTTTTTTTTTTTTTGTAACATAAATGGGGTTTTGCTATGTTGCCCAGGCTCGTTTTGAACTCCTTAGCTCAAGAGATTCTCCTGCCTTGGTCTCTCAAAATCCTGGGATTACAGGCATGAGCCACTGCACCCTGACAGTTCATTCTATTCTTACTCTGTATTTCTTTTTCCTTTTTTTTTTTTCTGAGACAAAGTGTCACTCTGTTGCCCAGGCTGGAGTGCAGTGGTGCCATCTCCGCTCACTGTATCCTCTGCCTCCCAGGTTCAAGTGATTTTCCTGCCTCAGCCTCCCAAGTAACTGGGATTACAGGCATATGCCAACATGCCAGGCTAATTTTTATATTTTTAGTAGAGACAGGGTTTCATCATGTTGCCCAGGCTGGTCTTGAACTCCTGACCTCAAGTGATCTGCCTGCCTCAGCCTTGCAAAGTGCTGGGATTACAAGCGTGAGCCTCCATGCCTGGCCCTTACTCTTTTTTTTTTTTTTTTTCTGAGACGGAGTTTTGCTCTTGTTGCCCAGGCTGGAGTACAATGGCGCGATCTCGGCTCACCACAACCTCCACCTCCTGGGTTCAAGCGATTCTCCTGCCTCAGCCTCCCGAGTAGCTGGGATTACAGGCATGCGCCACCATGCCTGGCTAATTTTGTATATTTAGTAGAGATGGGGGTTTCTCCATGTTGGTCAGGCTGGTCTCGAACCCCCAACCTCAGATGATCTGACCACCTTGGCCTCCCAAAGTGCTGGGATTACACGCGTGAGCCACCGCACTGGGCCTCTTACCAGAGTTTCTAGTTAACCGTTAATGGTACAAACTGCTCACTGCACAACTCTCTCCCCATTAATTCTTTTATTTACCTAGTAGGACCCAGAAACTGCTTGCTGCTGGAAATAAAAGTGTGGTAACACAGACAGACCTCTGCTTCTGTGCAACTTCTGTTCCAGTGGAGGAGACAAAATACACACACACACACACACACACACACACACACAAATTTAGGTCACAACAACTTGACTGGTGCTCCTGGTACTATTCTAGGAATTTTTTTTCCTTCCTTCGGTATGTTTTCTCTCCGTGGCTTTCCACAGCAGCGGTTCTACAATAATTAAGCACTGGGCTCTGAGTCAGAAGATCTAAATTCCATACTGGCTCTGCCACTTCAAGCGAGGTGACCAATTTAACCATCCTCTCTCTATCTCACTTTTTTTTTTTTTTTTTTTTTTTTTGAGACGGAGTCTCGCTCTGTCGCCCAGGCCGGACTGCGGACTGCAGTGGCGCAATCTCGGCTCACTGCAAGCTCCGCTTCCCGGGTTCACGCCATTCTCCTGCCTCAGCCTCCCGAGTAGCTGGGACTACAGGCGCCCGCCACCGCGCCCGGCTAATTTTTTGTATTTTTAGTAGAGACGGGGTTTCACCTTGTTAGCCAGGATGGTCTCGATCTCCTGACCTCATGATCCACCCGCCTCGGCCTCCCAAAGTGCTGGGATTACAGGCGTGAGCCACCGCGCCCGGCCTTATCTCACTTTTTTCATCTGTAAAATGGGGATAATTATAACAGAGGCTTTGGGCCGGGCGCGATGGCTCACGCCTGTAATCCCAGCACTTTGGGAGGCTGAGGCAGGCAAAGCACAAGGTCAGGATTTCCAGCCTGACCAACACGGTGAAACCCCGTCTCTACTAAAAATACAAAAAAAATTTAGCCAGACATGGTGGCGCTCGCCTGTAATCCCAGCAACTCAGGAAGCTGAGGCAGGAGAATCGCTTGAACCCAGGAGGCAAGGTTGCAGTGAGCAGAGATCACGCCACTGCACTCCAGCCTGGGCAACAGAGGGAGACTCTGTCTCAAAAAAATAGATAAAATTACTCGGGCTGCGCACAGTGGCTCACGCCTGTAATCCCAGCACTTTGGGAGGCTAAGGCAGGTGGATCATCTGAGGTTGAGAGTTCGAGACCCCAGCCTGACCAACATGGAGAAACCCCATCTCTACTAAAAACACAAAATTAGCCAGGCGTGGTGGCACATGTCTGTAGTCCTAGCTACTCAGGAGGCTGAGGCAGGAGAATCGCTCGAACCAGGGAGGCAGAGGTTGTGGTGAGCCGACATCGCGCTATTGCACTCCAGCCTGGGCAACAAGAGCGAAACTCTGTCTCAAAAAAAAGAAAAAAAAAAAAAATAAGATAAAATTACTCAATTAATATCTGCTTTTTTTTTTTTTCCATGTATGCCTCTCCTTTTCCAACCTGGTCTTGAACTCCTGGCCTCAAGTAATCCTCCTGCCTCAGCCTCTCAAACTTTTGGGATTACAGGTGTAAGCTATCTTCCTTGTTCTTTTCCTTACAAAAAAAGTTTTGGCCATGCACAGTTGTGGTGAGGCAGAGGTTGTGGTGAGCCGAGATCACACTGTTGCACTCCAGCCTGGGCAACAAGAGCGAAACTCCGTCTCAAAAAATAAAAATAAAATTACTCAATTAATATCTGCCATTGTTATTTTTTTCCATGTATACCTCTCCTTGCCCAACCTGGTCTTGAACTCCTGGCCTCAAGTAATCCTCCTGCCTCAGCCTCTCAAAGTTTTGGGATTACAGGTGTAAGCTATCTTTCTTGTACTTTATTTTCCTTAAAAAAAAAAATTTTTTTTTTTTTGGCCATGCACAGTTGCTCACGCCTGTAATCCCAGCACTTTGGGAGGCCAAGGTGGGCGGATCATTTAAGGTGAGGAGTTCAAGACCAGCCTGGCTGACATGGTGAAGCCCCGTCTCTACTAAAAATACGAAAATTAGCCGGGCACGGTGGCACACATCTGTAATCTCAGCACTTTTGGAGGCCAAGGTGGGTGGATCACCTGAGGTTGGGAGTTTGAGACCAGCCCAGCCAACATGGTGAAACCCCATCTCTACTAAAAATACAAAAAATTAGCCAGGTGTGGTGGCGTGCACCTGTAATCCCAGCTACTCGGAGGCTGAGGCTGGGGAATTGCTTGAACTCAGGAAGTGGACGTTGCAGTGAGTTGAGATCGCACCATTGCACTCCAGCCTGGGCAACAAGAGTGAAACTCTGTAAAAAAAAAGAAGGTCAGGCGTGGTGGCTCACGCCTGTAATCCTAGCACTTTGGGAGGCCGAGGCGGGCGGATCATGAGGTCAGGAGATTAAGACCATCCTGGCTAACGTGGTGAAACCCCGTCTCTACTAAAAATACAAAAACAAAATTAGCCAGGCGTGGTGGTGGGCACCTGCAGCCCCAGCTACTCGGGAGGCTGAGGCAGGAGAATGGCGTGAACCTGGGAGGCGGAGCTTGCACTGAGCCGAGATCACGCCACTGCACTCCAGCCTGGGCGACAGAGCGAGACTCCATCTAAAAAGAAAAAAAAAAAGGCCAGGCAAGGTGACTCACGCCTGTAATCCCAACACTTTGGGAGGCCGAGGCAGGGAGATTGCGAGGTCAGGAGTTCGAGACCAGCCTGGCCAACATGGTAAAACCCCATCTGTACTAAAAATACAAAAATTATCCGGGCATGGGCCTGGCGCAGTGGCTCACATCTGTAACCCCAGCACTTTGGGAGGCCGAGGTGGGTGGATCACAAGGTCAGGAGATGGAGACCATCCTGGCTAACACGGTGAAACCCCATCTCTACTAAAAATACAAAAAAAGAAAAAAAATTAGCTGGGCATGGTGGTGCGTGCCTGTAGTCCCAGCTACTCGGGGAGGCTGAGGCAGGAGAATGCCGTGAACCCGGGAGGTGGAGCTTGCAGTGAGCCAAGACTGTACCACTGCACTCCAGCCTGGGCGACAGAGCGAGACTCCGTCTCAAAAATAATTAAATAAATAAAATTATTCCGGTGTGGTGACACACGCCTGTAATCCCAGCTACTCAGGAGGCTGAGGCAGGAGAATTGCTTGAACCTGAGAGATTGCAGTGAGCTGAGATTGTCCAGCCTGGGCAACAGTGAAAGACGCTGTCTCTAAAAATAATAATAATACAAAAATTAACCAGTCATGGTGGCATAGCCTGTAATCCCAGCTACTCAGGAGGCTGAGGTGAGAGAATCACCTGAACCCAGGAAGTGGAGGTTGCAGTGAGCCAAGAGCCCACCATTACACTCCAGCCTGGGTGACAGAGCGAGACTCCGTGTCAAAAAAAAATTTTTTATTCTTATTTTTATTGATTTTATTTTTTATTTATTAGAGACAAAGGTCTTGCTATGTTGCCCAGGCTGGTCTTGAACTCTTGGCCTCAAGTGATCCTTGTGCCTTGGCCTCCCAAGGTGCTGGGATTACTGATATGAGCATATGAGCCACCGTCTCCTAGTCCACTTTCTTTTTCTTTTCCTTTTTTTTTTTTTTTGAGATGGGGCCTCATTACGTCATCCAGGCTGGAGAGCAGTAGTGTGATCACAGCTCACAGCTCACTGCAGCCTTTGCTTCCTGGGCTCAAGTGATCCTCCCATCTCAGCTTCTTGAGTAGCTCCGACCACAGGCAAGCACCACTATGCCTGGCTGATTTTTGGTATTTTTGATAGAGACGAGTTTTCACCCTGTTGCCTAGGCTGGTCTCGAACCACCCAACTCAGCCTGCCAGGCCTGCCAAAGTGCTGGGAATTCAAGGGTGAGCCAGTGTGCCCAGACCCACTTTCTTTTTCCAAAGCATCCTTTTTCAGTGCACAGCTATCCGTTTCCTCCCACCCCTATAAAAATGATGGAAGGAGAGGTGCAGTGGCTCACGCCTGTAATCCCAGCACTTTGGGTGGCTGAGGTGGGCGGATCACAGGGTCAAGAGATCGAGACCATACTGGCCAACATGGTGAAACCCCATCTCTACTAAAAATAAAAAATTAGCTGAGCGTGGTGGCTCGCTCCTGTGGTCCCAGCTACTCGGGAGGCTGAGGCAGGAGAATCGCTTGAACCTGGGAGGTGGAGGTTGCAGTGAGGCGAAATCACGCCACTGCACTCCAGCCTGGCTACAGAGCAAGACTCCATCTCAAAAAAAAAAAAAAAAAAAAAGATGGAGGGAGAATATTAATAGGAAATTTCTATCTCTTCACAATTTTTTCCTGGAAATTGCAAAAGGATTTTCAGAATATAATTTCAGTACATTGCCTAGACCCAGCTCCCAGAATTTCAATGTGCCCTTGGAATACATATTGCTCAGACATTTGAACATGTATTTTTTTTTTTTTTTGAGACGAAGTTTTTCTCTTGTTGCCCAGGCTGGAGGGCAGTGGAGTGATCTCAGCTCACTGCAACCTCTGCCTCCCAAGTTCAAATGATTCTGCTGCCTCAGCCTCCCAAGTAGCTGGGATCACAGGCGCCCACCACCACACCCAGCTAGTTTTTGTATATTTAATAGAGACGAGGTTTCACCATGTTGACAAGGTTGGTCTTGAAGTCCTTACCTCAGGTGATCCACCTGCCTCGGCCTCCCAAAGTTCTGGGATTACAGGCGTGAGCCACTGTGCCCAGCTATTGTTTTTCTTATTTTTTTAGATGAAGTTTCGCTCTTGTTGCCCAGGCAGGAGTGCAATGGTGTGATCGCAGCTCACTGCATCCTTCATCTCCCAGGTTCAAGCAATTCTCCTGCCTCAGCCTCCTGAGCAGCTGGGATTATAGGCGTGCGCCACCACGCCCGGATAATTTTTGTATTTTTAGTAGAGATGGGGTTTCACTATATTGTCCAGGCTGGTCTCGAACTCCTGACCTCAGGTGATCCACCTGCCTCAGCCTCCCAAAGTGCTGGGATTACAGAAGTGAGTCACTGAGCCCGGCCTTGAACATGCAGCATTATTATTATTATTATTATTATTATTATTATTATTATTTTGAGATGGAGTCTCACTCTGTCGCCCAGGCTGGAGTGCAGTGCAGGATCACAGCTCACCACAACCTCCGCCTCCTGGGTTCAAGTGATTTTCCTGCCTCAGCCTCCCAAGTAGCTGGGATTACAGGCGCCTGCCACCGCGCCCACCTAATTTTTTGTATTTTTGGTAGAGATGGGGTTTCACCATGTTGGCCAGACTGGTCTCGAACTCCTGACCTCGTGATTCTCCCACCTTGGCCTCCCAAAGTGCTGGGATTACAGGCGTGAGCCACCGCCCCCGGCCGAACAAGCATCTTATACAAATTCCTCCTTTGCCTGAAGGTGATTTTGTAATTTAGTGTAATAGGTTGTCAGGTAGTTTTTTTTGGGTTTTTTTTTCTTTTGAGACAGAGTCTTGCTCCTCTCGCCCAGGCTGGAGTGCAGTGGTGCAATCTCGGCTCACAGCAACCTCTGCCTCCCAGGTTCAAGTGATTGTCCTGCCTCAGCCTCCCGAGTAGCTGGGATTACAGGCGCCTGCTGCCACGCCCAGCTGTTTTTTGTATTTTTAGTAGAGACCGGGTTTCACCATGTTGGCCAGGCTGGTCTTGAACTCCTGACCTCAGGTGATCTGCCTGTCTCAGCCTCCCAAAGTGCTGGGATTACAGGTATGAGCCACTGTGCCCGGCCAGTATCTCTTTGTCTTTTCCCTAGCACACAGCAGGAGCTCAGTTAACACTACTTTCTAGCTATGTGATAGCATGTTTACTTAACCCCTTTGAGAGTAGCAAATAACTACTACACCTGCTTGCAATCATTTGTGTAAGAGGAAAATGAGCTAACATTAGTAATGTCCCACTTAGTGCTTGATAGGTGGCAGGTACTCAACAATTGTTGGTTCTCTTTCTCTTTCACTTCTTGTGTATTTCCTCCTCCCCCAATCATAAGTTATATGAGTCAGAGATTTTGTCTCCCCTTCTTGGTATCTCCAGTGTCATAGTATCTTACACATAGTAATGGGGTTTTTTTGTTTTGTTTTGTTTTGTTTTTGAGACAGGGTCTTGCTCTGTCACCTAGGCTGGAGTGCAGTGGCACAATCTCGGCTCACTGCAACCTCCACCTCCCGAGTTCAAGCGATTCTCCTGTCTCAGCCTCCCAAGTAGCTGGAATTACAGGCATGCACCGCCATGCCCAGCTAATTTTTGTATTTTTAGTAGAGACAGGGTTTTGCCTGTTGGCCAGGCTGATCTTGGAACTCCTGGCCTCAGGTGATCCACCCTCCTCGCCATCCCAAAGTGCTGGGATTACAGGCGTGAGCCATCGCACCTGGCCCAGTAATAGGTTATTTTTGTTGTTTTTTGAGGTAGGGTCTCACTCTGTCACCCAGGCTGGAGTGCAGGGGCACAATCATAGCTTATTGCAGCCATAATCTCCTGGGCTCAAGTAATCCTCTCACCTTGTCCTCCCAAAGTGCTGGAATTACAGACATGAGCCACTGCAACCAGCTGATAGTTTCAATTCATTCATTCATTCATTCATTCAGTGAATCCTCGAACGCCTACAACGTACAAAAGCTTGGAGTTGAGAGAGAACATTTAGGAACCCCAAGTGATTGAATATGACCAAAGCAGAGGCTTCAGGATGAGAAACAAGGCTATAGAGTGGTTAATTTGGATTAGTTCTCAAAGGGCGCATAGGTCATATCCTGTGAAGCAGATGATTAGTGAGGAACCAGGGAGTATCAGAAACTTCTTTTGGTTTATTTTTTATTTTATTTTATATTTTTTGAGACAGAGTCTTGCACTGTCGCCCAGGCTGGAGTGCAATGGCACAATCTTGGCTCACTGCAACCTCTGCCTCCCGGGTTCAAGCGATTTTCCTGCCTCAGCCTCCTGAGTAGCTGGGACTACAGGTAGCCGCCATGATGCCCAGCTAATTTTTGTATTTTTATTTATTTATTTACTTACTTACTTATTCTGAGACAGAGTCTCGCTGTGTTGTCACCCAGGCTGGAGTTCAGTGGCACCATTTCGGCTCACTGCAACCTCTGCCTCCCGGGTTCAAGTGATTCCCCTGCCTCAGCCTCCCGAGTAGCTGGGATTACAGGCGCCTGCTACCATGCCCAGCTAATTTTTATCTTTTTAATAGAGACGGGATTTCACCAGGTTGGCCAGGCTGGTCTTGAACTCCTGACCTCAGGTGATCTGCCTGCCTTGGTCTCCCAAAAGGCTGGGATTCCAGGCGTGAGCCACAGTGCCTGACCCTTTTGATTTATATTTATTTTATAATGGCTTGTGTTTCTCAAACTTTATTATTTATTACTTTTTTTTTTTTTTTGAGGCAGGGTCACACTCTGTCACCCAGGCTGGAATGCAATGCTGCAGTCTCAGCTCATGGCAACCTCTGCCTCCTGGTTTCTAGCAATTCTCCTGTCTCAGCCTCTGGAGTAGCTGGGTACGCCACCATGCCCGGCTAATTTTTGTATTTTTAGTAGAGACGGGATTTCACCATGTTGCCCAGGCTGGTCTTGAATTCCTGAGCTCAGGTGATCCCCTCACCTCGGCCTCCCAAAGTGCTGGGACTACAGGCATGAGCTACCGTGCCCGGCCTCAAACTTTAGTGTGTTTAAGAATTACCAGGGCTGGGCATAGTGGCTCCCACCTATAATCCTATCACTTTGGGAAGCTGAGGTGAGGGGATCTCTTGAGCTCAGGGGTTTGAGACCAGTCTGAGGAACATAGTGAGAGCCCCATCTGTACAAAAAATTTTAAAAAAATTAGCCTTGTGTGGTGGCATGCACCTGTAGTTGAAGCTACTTGGGAGTCTGAGGCAGGAGGATCCCTTGAGCCCAAGAGGCAGAGGTTGCAGTGAGTTGAGATCACACCAATGCACTCTAGCCTGGGCAACAGAGTGAGACCTTCCCCAAAAAGAGAACAAAACAGGCAGATTTGGCAGGGTACAGTGGCTCATGCCTGTAATCCCAGCGTTTTGAGAGGCTGAGGCTAAGGCTGGAGGATCACTTGAGCCCAGGATGCCATTTCTTTCTTTCTTTCTTTTTTTTTTTTTTTGAGATGGAGTTTCATTCTTGTTGCCCAGGCTGGAGTGCAGTGGCGCGATCTTGGCTCACTGCAACCTCTGTCTCCCGGGTTCAAGTGATTCTTGCTGGGATTACAGGCATGAGCCACCACGCCCGGCCAGGAGATGCTATTTCTATAAAAAATAAAAAGCCACCACGCCCGGCCAGGAGATGCTATTTCTATAAAAAATAAAAATAAATTAGGTGGGCGTGGTGGTGCCTGTCTGTAGTCCTAGCTACTCAAGAGGCTGAGGCGAGAGGATGGTTTAAGCCCAGGAGTTCGAGGCTGCAGTGAGCTATGATTTGCGGTACTGCACTCTATCCTGGGTGGAAAGCAGACCTTTCTTAAAAAAGAAAAAAAAAAATTAGGTGAATTCCAGAGCCAACCTTCCAAGGGGCCCAAAAATTTGTATTTAAACCAGCCCTTTAGATGATTCTGACTCATTTAAAAATCCATGAATAATGGAGGTACTATTTATTTTTTTTTGAGACGGAGTCTCGCTCTGTCGCCCAGACTGGAGTGCAGTGGCGTGATCTTGGCTCACTGCAAGCTCCGCCTCCCAGGTTCATGCCATTCTCCTGCCTCAACCTCCTGAGTAGCTGGGACTACAGGCACCCGCCACCACGTCCGGCTAATTTTTTGTATTTTTAGTAGAGATGGGGTTTCACTGTGTTAGCCAGGGTGGTCTCGATCTCCTGACCTCGTGATCTGCCCGCCTCGGCCTCCCAAAGTGCTGGGATTACAGGCGTGAGCCACCGCACCCGGCCTGGAGGTACTTTAAAACAGATGGGTTAGGCTGGGCGCGGTGGCTCACGTCTGTAATCCCAGCACTTTGGGAGGCCAAAGTGGGCAGATCACCTGAAGTCGGGAGTTCGAGACCAGTGTGACCAACATGGAGAAACCCCGTCTCTATTAAAAATACAAAATTAGCCAGGCACGGTGGTGCATGGCATGCCTGTAATCTCAGCTACTCAGGAGGCTGAGGCAGGAGAATCGCTTGAACCTGGCAGGCGGAGTTTGCAGTGAGCTGAGATCTTGCCATTGCACTCCAGCCTGGGCCACAAGAGCAAAATTCTGTCTGAAAAAAACAAACAAACAAATAAACAGCCGGGCGTGGTGGCTCACGCCTGTAATCCCAGCACTTTGGGGGGCCGAGACGGGCACATCACGAGGTCAGGAGATCAAGACCATCCTGGCTAACACGGTGAAACCCCATCTCTACTAGAAATACAAAAAATTAGCCGGGCGTGGTGGCATGTGCCTGTAGTTCCAGCTACTCAGGAGGCTGAGGCAGAAGAATCGCTTGAACCCGGGGGGCAGAAGTTGCAGTGAGCCGAGATCGTGCCACTCCAGCCTGGGCGACAGAGCGAGACTCCGTCTAAAACAAAACAAACAACAACAACAACAAAAAAAAACAGATGAGTTAGGAGGGTATTTCCATATTGCAGTATCTTTGTGTTTTTTTGTTTTTTTGTTTTTTTTTTTGAGACGAAGTCTTGCTCTGTTGCCCAGGCTAGAGTGCAGTGAGTGGTGTGATCTTGGCTCACTGCAACTTCTACTTACTGGGTTCAAGCGATTCTCCTGCCTCAGCCCCCTGAGTAGCTGGGAATACAGGCGCCTGCCACCATGCCTGGCTAATTTTTGTATTTTTAGTAGAGACACTGGGTTTCACCATGTTAGCCAGGCTAGTCTCAAACTCCTGACCTCAGGCAATCCATCTGCCTTGGCCTCCCAAAGTGCTGGGATTACAGGCGTGAGCCACCAGAGGGTTTCACCATGTTAGCCAGGCTGGTCTCAAACTCCTGACCTCAGGCAATCCATCCGCCTCGGCCTCCCAAAGTGCTGGGATTACAGGCGTGAGCCACCAGAGGGTTTCACCATGTTGGCTAGTCTGGTCTCAAACTCCTGACCTCAGGTGATTTGCCCGCCTCGGCCTCCCAAAGTGTTGGGATTACAGGCATGAGCCACCGTGCCCGGCTGATATTGCAGTATCTCTTGAGAGTGTTTTTTTTTTTTTTTTTTTTTAATGGAGTTTCGCTCTTGTTGCCCAGGCTGGAGTGCAATGGTGAGATCTCAGCTCACCACAACCTCCTCCTCCCGGGTTCAAGCGATTCTTCCGCCTCAGCCTCCCGAGTAGCTGGGATTACAGGCATGCGCCACCACACCCAGCTAATTTTGTATTTTCAGTAGAGACAGGGTTTCTCCATGTTGGTCAGGCTGATCTCGAACTCCTGACCTCAGGTGATCCTCCCACCTCGGCCTCCCAAAGTGCTGGGATTACAGGCATGAGCCACCATGCCCGGCCTCTTTTGAGAGTGTTGATCTGAACTAGATGGTCTTCCTGCTTTGGCCTATCACACATCTAAGGTCTTAAGCCTCTTCCTCCCCAAAGAGAACCTACAGAAGGCCAGCAAATGCAGCTCCATCCAGAGGCCAAAGAAATTAGATTTGGTAAGAAGGTGGAATAGACAAGATTTGGCCAAGATTGATTGGATGAGGAGTGTGTGAAGGAGAAGAAGTCAGGAATGTTGCTGGCCTTTCCAGCTTGGGGCAGCTGTTGTAGTGGTGTGTCACTCAGTTTAAGAGTGACAGGTCAGGAAGAAGGACCCATGTGGAAGGTAAAGTGAGGAGTTTTAGTTGAGAGTTGCTGGGTCTGAGGTGCCTCTGGGATATCCAAGTGGAGATGTTCAGAAATCAACTGGAAACTCAGAAGAAAGACGTGGACTAGAAATAATGGATTTGAGGATCATTAGCAAAGAGATGGTAATGAAAATCGGTGAAATCATCCTCGGAGAGGGAATGGAGTGATAAAAGGATCTTGAAGAAAACCCTAAGGAACAGTTAAGGGAAGGAGTGAGTAAGAAAAAAAATTGCAGAGAGAACAAAGGACAGGCTAGAGATGAGAGGAAAACCTACCTCCTGCAAAGTTCAAGAGGAGTGACAAACTGAGAAGCATACTGGATTCAGCAAAGAAGTCTGCGGTGACCTTGTGGAGAGCAGTTTTAGTGGAACTTTGGGGACAGCACCAGATTGCAGTGGGTTGAGGAGTGAGTGGGAGGGGAGGGGTTGGAGACAGCTGGCGGGGACATTTTTTCGAGCTGTTTGGCCAAGAATGGAGAGAGATAGGATGGTAACTTCATAGAATTGGGAGCTTTTTTTTTTTTTTCTATACTAACGGAGGAGAGGAAGAAAATTCAGGGACAAAAGGAAATAATAAAGCCCCGGGGGAAGAAGCGAGATGGAATCCAGTGCACACACATCGGATTGTTCTTCAGACAGGAGGGACGCATGTGTATGTTTTAACTGGATGCAACGAGGAAAGGATTAAATTGGCTGGAAGCTTGATTGTTGGGTAGTTCTCGCTTATGGATACTGTTTCCTCTTGGAAGACAGGCGATGAGTAAGGATCTCGTTGAATGAATACATGAATATTTTCCCGTAGCTAGTCAAAGTCTAGGGTTACCAGCAGGACAGAAGAAGACACTGTAGGCCGGGCGCGGTGGCTCACGCCTGTAATCCCAGCACTTTGGGAGGCCGAGGCGGGCGGATCACGAGGTCAGGAGATCGAGACCATCCTGGCTAACACGGTGAAACCCCGTCTCTACGAAAAATTAGCCGGGCGTTGTGGCGGGTACCTGTAGTCTCAGCTACTCGGGAGGCTGAGGCAGGAGAATCACTTGAACCCGGGAGGCAGAGGTTGCTGTGAGCCGAGATCGTGCCACTGCACTCCAGCCTGGGCGACTGAGCGAGACTCCGTCTCAAAAAAAAGAAGAAGAAGAAGAAGAAGAAGACACTGCATTTTAGGCAAGAGTCCGGTGGGAAGCAGGTTGAGATTGACTGAGAGGAAGTAACCATGGGAGGGCTGCTGGTCCACTGAATGAGAGAGATTTTTCCAGAACCTCATGCTGGGGCTTTGATTTAGGAATCCCCTTCCTCCTCTAGTAAGTCTGCCTTCCCTGGCCTATGGCTTACGTCTAAAGCCTCGAGCCTCATCGTTCCCACCGAGGACCAGCTGGAAGCCATTTTGATTATGCTCCACCACGAAGGAGGACAATACAGCCCCGCCCAGAGCCAGGCGCGCCCCCGCGGCGGGCCGGGTGCGCGTGTCCGCGCCTCTTCCCGCCGGCCGGGCGGGCGCCTGGCCCAGGACGCGGTGGCGTGGGACGGGGGGTGGGGGTGGTTATGTAAGCGTTGCGCGCTCCCGCGAGGCGCCAGCCAATGGGAGGCTTCGGCTACTCGTGCTCGCGCACGCAGGGTGGGGGGAGGGAGCGCACGACGTGCGCGCACCCTCTCCCCTCGTCCACCGCTGCCGCCTCCTTCTTCTGCCGCTCCTGGTGCTGCTTGTGTGCTCGTTTGGTGCGGACCTGGTACCTCTTTTGTGAAGCGGCAGCTGAGGAGACTCCGGCGCTCGCCATGGCCGACGAAAAGCCCAAGGTGAGCTCGCCGCCGGCCCCTTCGCCTCGCCGCGCGGTGGGGGTCATGGCGCGGGCCGGGGTCCGGCCAGAGCCCGCCGCTGGCTCCCAGCGCTTTCCCGGGCCCCCCACGGGGCCGGCCGCGGCTCAGGCCCGGGCGCTCCGCGCCATTTTCCTCCCTCCCTCTCTTCCTCCCTCCCGCGCCGAAGGAGGCCCCGCCGCTCTCTCCCGCCCCCGGCGGCCTCCGAGTGCGCGCCGGGCGCGAGTTGGGCGGGCAGAAAGCGGACGCCCGCGGACCCACCAGCCCCGAACGGGGATTCTTGGCCCAGCCGGCCGGCGCGCGTGAGGAGGGGCGTTAGGGCGCGCGGGGTCTCCACCTTCTGTCGACCCCGCGTCGGGTGTTGCAGTCTCCGAGGCGGCGAGGAGTCCTCTGGGCTCGGGCTTCACCTCTCGGGTAGGAACCGCGGGCATCTGGGGACCCCTGCCTGGGGCCGCGGCGGCGGGGCGAGGGTTCGGGGCGAATCAATGGGCTGCGGACGGGCAGGAACCTGGATGCCCGCGGGCCGCCGTCCTGGGCCTGGGGGTAGGGGGATTCCCGTGGAGTATTTCCCACTTTAATAGCCTCAGGGGCCCGAAGGGGGAGGGGCAGCGGCTTTTCCCTGGGTGCCAACGAACCCCTAATCCGCGAACACCATGTGGTTTCATGAAGTTGGAGGCACAGGTACGAGCAGAGAGACTTTGTGCGGCTTAACTTTTGAACGCGGCTTTTGAGGCACCCGGAGACTTCCCGGGAGGACTTGGGGACACCCATCATCGGGGCACACGGGACTTGCTGCTTTTAGTTTGGTGGCACCCCCCGCCTCCCGCGCCTTTACTTTCTGGAGCGTTTTAGGGCTACAGAATTGCTTCTGCACTCGATTTTGGACAACTTTAGGTTGGGTCGAAATCTACAAGAAACAAATCAGGATAAAACTGTGTATTTGACCCATGACAACAAAGGGGGGGAGGGGAGAATAAGTGCTCTTAACCGAAAATAAAAATGAAGCTGCTAATAGAGGAGAACGTTAACTGTGGTCCTGACTGAGTATTACCGCTGTTCCGGGGGGAATCGGGATATTCTTCGATTGTTTTTTTTGTTTGTGTGTTTCCTTTAATGGAGATTGGATTTAGGTTATTAAACTGAGTTTGGTAACTTTTTAATGACAACGGTAATGAGTTTTGAATGGCAGGCTGTAGATTTATTGTTTTGTTTCTTGCAGTTGTACTTAAAGTGCTTAGAAAAGAGAAGGGACTCTATTTTTAACTTTTTTGGGGGGTAAAGTATTTTGGGAGTGATATATGTCATTTTAGGAAGTTTAACTTCAAGAGAACGTTGCAATACACTGAATAGGACCCAACTTTAAACATATTGTTGCTACTGATAGTATTGCATGTAGGCTTTTCCGTATCTGACAGCTATCTAATACTGTTACTGCAGGATTTTTCCGCTTTCACATTGATTTCAGCAGCTGAAAACAGCAGTATGCCGTTTTAGCATACAGTATGAGAAACCTGTTGATTTTTGAAGCAACTAGGGCTGCTGCTGCTTTATAAAACGTGTTCGTTGATCACATTTCCCAAATTATACTTTTATTTTTCTTTTAACAGGAAGGAGTCAAGACTGAGAACAACGATCATATTAATTTGAAGGTGGCGGGGCAGGATGGTTCTGTGGTGCAGTTTAAGATTAAGAGGCATACACCACTTAGTAAACTAATGAAAGCCTATTGTGAACGACAGGTGAGGAATTCATATGTGTACTTCCACTGAATAAAACTATTTTTAAAAATCTTATTTTCATGGGAACAAAAACTAGACTAGCACATTACAGTGACTTTTTGATGGGATGAATATGCACTTGGCACGTCAGTTTTGTCGTGCACTTGGTATATTGATAGCTCGTGAAAACCCTTAGGATGATTTGGTTAGTATTATATGTGGTTCCAGTCCTGTGCCAGAAATCCATCAAATTATATTTACAATAATTTTTTTTTACCAAGGAAATGTAATTTTATGTTTATAAGAAAATAAGAGTGAACTTGGTAAAATTACTTATAAGTCTTTTATTATTTTATTTTATTTTTTTGAGATGGAGTTTCATTCTTGTTGCCCAAGCTGAAGTACAGTGGCCTGAGCTCAGCTCACTGCAACCTCCACTTCAAGCGATTTTCCTGCCTCAGTCTCCTGAGTATCTGGGATTACAGGTGCCCACTACCAGGCCTGGCCAATTTTTTTTTTGTATTTTTAGTAGAGATGGGGTTTCACCGTATTGGCTAGGCTGGTTCCAAACTCCTGACCTCAGGTGATCCGCCCGCCTCGGCCTTCCAAAGTGCTGGGATTACAAGCATGAGCCACCGCGCCAAACCAAGAAGTCGTTTTTTTTTTTTTTTTTTTTTTTTTTTTTAAGCTGGGAGTCTCACTCTATTTCTTTTAAGCTAGAACTTATCTACCTTGTAAATTGTGTTTTATTTTTGTTTTTGTTTTTGATGGAGTCTTGCTCTGTTGCCCAGGCTGGAGTGCAGTGGTGCAATCTTGGCTCACTGCAACCTCTGCCTCCTGAGTTGAGGCTATTCTTATGCCTCAGCCTCCTGAGTACCTGGGATTTCAGGCGTGCGCCACCACGCCCGGCTAATTTTGTATTTTTAGTAGACCTGACCTCAACTCCTGACCTCAAGTGATCCGCCCACCTTGGCCTCTCAGAGTGCTGGGATTACAAGCATGGGCCACTGTGCCTGGCCCCTTCAGATTGTTCTAAATAGGCTCAAAATAGAATAAGGCTTAAACCTATGTAAGTTGGGAAATTGAGTTTGAGTTTATACTTGAAAGATCAGTGAAGATAAAAACTTCCTTTAGGCCTGATGCAGTGGCTCATATCTGTAATCCCAGCACTTTGGGAGACTGAGGCAGGTGGCAGTTGACATCAGCCTGGCCACCATGGCAAAATCCCATTTCTACTAAAAATCCAAAAAAATTAGCTGGGCGTGGTGTTACACGCGCATAATCCCACCTACTCCGGAGGCTGAGGCTGAGAATCCCTTGAACCTGGGAGGTGGAGGCTGCAGTGAGCCAAGATCACACCACTGCACTCTAGCCTGGGTGACAGAGCGAGAGCATTTCAAAGGAAAAAAAAAAAAAAACTTTAGAATGTTTGAAGTATTTTTATGCCTAGTGTATTTACAATGTAATAAGAAAATACTGTGCTCATAATTGATATGTAAACCTTCTTGTATGTAGTTCCTTATAAAGATACCTTTTTTTTTTTTTTTTTTGAGACAGAGTCTCGCTCTGTTGTCCAGGATGGAGTGCAGTAGTGCAATCTCGACTCACTGCAACTTCTGCCTCCCGAGACCAAGCGATTCTCCTGTCTCAGTCTCCCGAGTAGGTGGGACTACGGGCGCACGCCACCACGCCCAGCTAATTTTTGTATTGTCAGCAAGATGGGGTTTCACCATATTGGTCAGACTGGTCTTGAGCTCCTGACCTCAGGTGATCCACCTGCCTCATCCTCCCAAAGTGCTGGGATTACAGGCGTGAGCCACTGTGCCCAGCAAGATACCATATACTCTTATTTGAAGAATTTTGCTGAAATCACCCTACATGAACTTATGAATTGTGTTAAATAATTTATAAACTGGCATCTTCTATATTTGAACACTAGTGCCCCTTCAGGATACAGGGGAATTTTAAAAGGTAATCCTTTTGGAGAACTTCTTTAGCAAAACTGCATACAAAATAGAAAATCATAGGCTGGGCGTGGTAATCCAGCACTTTGGGAGGCCAAGGCTGGAAGACCAGTCTGGACAACATAGTAAGACCTCATCTGGTTTTTTTGTTTTGTTTTGAGGTGGAGTTTTGCTCTTATTGCCCAGGCTAGAGTGCAGTGGCGCAATCTCGGCTCACTGCATCCTCCGCCTTCCAGTTTTAAGCGATTCTTCTGCCTCAGCCTCCCAAGTCACTGGGATTACAGGACCTCGTGAACCACCCGCCTCAGCCTCCCAAAGTGCTGGGTTTACAGGCATGAGCCACTGCGCCTGGCCCAGACCTCATCTCTTAAAAAAAAATTAGGTGGTTGTGGTGGCACATACCTGTAGTCCAGGCTATTTCAGTGACAGAGGTGGGAGGATTGCTTGAGCTTGGCAGGTCTAGGCTGCAGTGAGCCATGATCTCATCGCTGCACTCCAGTGTGGGTGACAGAATGAGACCCTGTCTCAAAACCACAAACAAACAGAATCATGCTTCAGTTTGGTGGTTTTGAACAGTATTCTTTTCTTTTTTTTTTTTTTTTTTGAGAGTCTCGCACTGTTGCCCAGGCTGGAGTGCAGTGGCACCATCTCGGCTCACTGCAACCTCTGCCTCCTGGGTTCAAGCGATTCTCCTGCCTCAGCCTCCCAAGTAGCTGGGACTACAGGTGCGTGCCACCGTGCCCAGCCAATTTTTGTATTTTTTGTAGAGACGGGGTTTCACAATATTGGCCAGGATGATCTCGATCTCTTGACCTCGTGATCCGCCTGCTTCGGCCTCCCAAAGTGCTGGGATTACAGGTGTGAGCCACTGGTGCCTGGCCTTGAACACTATTCTTATGCATATCTTATTTAACTTTTCTGCAATTGCAAAATTTTGCCTTTTTTTTTTTGAGACAGGCTTTTGCCCTGTTGCCCATGCTGAAGTGCAGTGGGAGGATTATGATCATGGCTCACTGCATCCTCTGCCTCCCAGGCTCAAGCAGTCCTCCCACCTCAGGCTCCCAGGTAGTTGGGACTATAGGCTTGTGCCACTGGGCGATTCTTTTTTTTTTTTTTTTTTTTTTTGAGACGGAGTCTCGCTTTGTCGGTCAGACTGGAGTGTAGTGACATAATCTCGGCTCACTGCAACCTCCACCTCCCGGGTTCAAGCAATTCTCCTGCCTCAGCCTCCTGAGTAGGTGGGATTATAGGCACCTACCACCGTGCTCGGCTAATTTATTTTTCGTAGAAACGGGGTTTTACCACGTTGGCCAGGCTGGTCTTGAACTCCTGAGCTCAGGTGACCCACCCGTCTCGCCACCTCGGCCTCCCAAAGTGCTGGGATTACAGGCATGAAGCACTACGCCTGGCTTTTCTTTTCTTTTTTTTTTTTAAGATGGAGTTTTCCTCTTGTTACTGAGGCTGAATGCAATGGCGCAATCTAGGCTTACTGGAACCTCCGCCTCCCAGGTTCCAGTGATTCTCCTGCCTCAGCCTCACAAGTAGCTGGGATTACAGGCATGCACCACCACGCCTGGCTAATTTTGTATTTTTAGTAGAGACGGGGCTTCACCATGTTGATCAGGTTGGCTGCTCTGAAACTCCTGACCTCAGGTAATCCACCTGCCTTGGCCTTCCAAAATGTTGGGATTATAGGCGTGAGCCACTGCACCTGGCCACCATGCAAATTTTTTAATTTCTTTTTTTTTGAGATGGAGTCTTGCTCTGTTGCCCAGGCTGGAGTGCAGTGGCATGATCTCAGCTCACTGCAACCTCTGCTCCTGGGTTCAAGCAATTCTCCTGCCTCAGCCTCTTGAATAACTGGGATTACAGCGCCTGCCACCTAGCCTGGCTAATTTTTTGTATTTTTATTTATTTAATTAATTAATTTTTTTTTTTTTTTGAGACAAGAGTCTCGCTCTTGCAATGGCACGATCTCGGCTCATTGCAACCTCCACCTCCCGGGTTCATGCAATTTTCCCCCCTCAACCTCCGGCTGGAGTAGCTGGGACTACAGGTGTGTGCCATTGTGCTCAGCCAATTTTTGTGTTTTTAGTAGAGACGGGGTTTCACCATGTTGGACAGGCTGGTCTCGAACTCCTGACCTCAGGTGATCTTCCACCTCAGTCTCCCAAGGTGCTAGGATTACAGGCGTGAGCCACAATACTTGGCCTTTGTTTTTAAGTAGATGATGGTTATATACTGTTTTTCATCCCTTTTATGCCACTGATACTTACTGAGCAGCACCTACTATGTGCAAGGGATAGACTGTGTAACTAAAACAGTCTAGGTTCCTATATCTCCTGAAGTGTGTTTTTTAGTAAGACAGTAAGTAATTACAGATTTGGGTAAGTATTAAAGGAAATTAAAAAGCGGTGCTTTTTTAAAGCTATTCCAGGAAGTTCAAGGGTGTAGGTTGGGGCATTTTAGGTCGGTTTTGTTGTTGTTGTTGTTGTTTTTGATATTGAATCTGGTCTGTCACCCAGGCTGGAGTGCTAGGGCACGATCTTGGCTCACTGCAAACTCCGCCTCCCAGGTTCAAGCGATCCTCCTGCCTCAGCCTCCCGAATAGCTGGGATTACAGGCGGATGCCACCACACTCGGCTAATTTTTGTATTTTCAGTAGAGGCGGGGTTTCACCATATTGGCCAGGCTGATCTTGAACTCCAGACCTCAGATGATCTGCCTTGGTCTCCTAAAGTGTTGGAATTACAGTGTGAGCCCCCGAGCTCAGACTGGAGTCTTTAAATGGGCATTTTTTTCCTTTAAATTTCCTGTTAGTGGCCAGCCAGGCGGATCACGAGGTCAGGAAATTGAGACCATCCTGGCTAACACGGTGAAACCCCATCTCTACTAAAATACAAAAAATTAGCCCAGCATGGTGGCATGAGCCTGTAGTCCCAGCTACTGAGGAGGCTGAGGCAGGAAAGTCACTTGAACTCCGGTGGTGGAGGTTGCGTTGAACTGAGATTGTTCCACTCACTCCAGCCTGGGCGACAGAGCGAGACTCCATTTAAAAAAAAAAAATTTCATTTCCTTGTCTAACTCATTTAAATGCATATTTGTCTCAAGGTATGTTCTATTTAACATTATAGTAGCTGTGTCTGAAAAGCAGTAAAGCTTTCTAAAAGAATGACTTACTGGCTGGGCGCAGTGGCTCACACCTGTAATCCCAGCGTTTTGTGAGGCTGAGGTGAGTGGATCACTTGAGGTCAGGAGTTCGAGATCAGTCTGGCCAACATGGTGAAACCCTGTCTCTACTAAAAACACAAAAATTAGCTGGGCATGATGGCAAGCGCCTGTAATCCCAGCTACTCGGGAGGCTGAGGCAGGAGAACCACTCGAACCCAGGAGGCGGAGGTTGCAGTGAGCCAAGATCGCACCACTGCACTCCAGCCTGGGCGACATAGCAAAACTCTGTCTTAACAAACAAACAAAAACAACAACAACAAACAGGCCGGGCACAGTGTCTTATGCCTGTAATCCCAGCACTTTGGGAGGCTGAGGTGGTCAGATCATCTGAGGTCAGGAGTTCGAGACCAGCCTGGCCAACATGGCGAAACCCTGTTTCTACTAAAAAATACAAAAATTAGCCAGGCATGGTGGCGCCTGCCTAGTCCCAGCTAATCAGGAGGCTGAGGCAGGAAAATTGCTTGAACCCAAAAGGTGGAGGTTGCAGTGAGCCGAGATCGCGACACTGCCCTCCAGCCTGAGTGACAGAGCAAGACTCTGTCTCAAAAAAAAAAGAAAAGGAAAAAAAATACTACATCTTACTGTTCACTGAAAATGAGAGGCTGGGCACCATGGCTCACTCCTGTAATCCCAGCACTTTGGGAGGCTGAGGCGGACGGAGCACCTGAGGTTAGGAGTTCGAGACCAGCCTGGCCAACCTGATGAAACCCAGTCTCTACTAAAACTACAAAAATTAGCCGGTTGTTGTGGCGGGGGACCGTAGTCCCAGCTACTCTTGGGAGGCTAAGGCAGAAGAATCGCTTGAACCAGGAGGTGTAGGTTGCCTTGAGCTGAGATCACGCCACTGCACTTCAGCCTTGACAACAGATCAAAACTGTCTCAAAAAAAAGAAAATGAAAATCACCCCAAATCTTTTTACCTATAGGGTATGTTAACATGTTGGCAATTGTTTATTTAGGTATTTCTTTAATATATTCATGGTTAAATATGCATGTACTTTTATGTAAATAGAATTCTGTTTCTCTTAATGCTGTTTATTGCTTTTAAATTCTCGTTCAGGGATTGTCAATGAGGCAGATCAGATTCCGATTTGACGGGCAACCAATCAATGAAACAGACACACCTGCACAGGTAAAAAAATCTCTCCTAATTAGAAAAATTACCATTTGTAATTCTTTGAACAGCTGTGTTTATGAATTTGAACGTTTAGACACTGGAGTATAAGTTCTTGTAGAGTTCAGAGCTTTGGGAAGTATGACCAGAGGGGAACAGAAAGGAAAATAGGAATAGGCTCAGGAAATGCCAATGGTTTTTATTCATTTATTTTTAATTTTCATTTTAATTATTTTTTTAGGGACAGGGCCTCTCTGTTGCCCGGGTTGAAGTGTAGTGGCCTCATTATAGCTCACTGCAGCCTTGGCCTCCCAAAGTGATGGGATTATAGGCACGAATCAATGTGCCCAACCCCACCAGTGGTTTGTGTTTGTTTTTTGTGACGGAATCTCACTCCATCGCCCAGGCTTGAGTACAGTGTCACGATCTTGGGTCATGGCAGCCCTCGCCTGCCATGCTTAAGCAATTCTCCTGCCTCAGCCTCCCAGAGTAGCTGGGATTACAGGCATGCACCACCATGCCTGGCTAATTTTTGTATTTTTGGTAGGGATGGGGTTTCACCATGTTGGCCAGGCTGGTCTTGAACTGCTGACCACAAGTAATCCGCCCGCCTTGGCCTCCCAAAGTGTTGGGATTGACAGGTGTGAGCCACCGCACCCAGCCAAATCCTCACCATTTTAGTTCTACATGCTGAATTGAAATTCTCTTTTACGTGTCTTCATGAACAAAAAGGAACTAATAGCCCTAATTGCCACGTCCCATAGCTTTGTTTGACAGGGAGAGCCCCTGATAATAGGAGATTTTCCAGATCCTTACTACAAAACGTGATGCTCTCTGATCCTTTAACTCTTTATGTACCACTTCATTTTGTTCTGTCACTTTCTGTAGGATCAGCTGGATTGTCTTCTGTGGCAGAAGCTCTTTGTTTCTTTTTACCCTTTCAAAGTTCCATTAAATACTTCCAGTTTTGTCCTAGCAGGGTGGCTCATGAGAGCCATTTTCAAGATTACAAAGTGCTTGTAATGCCAGCACTGTGACGCCAAGGTGGGCGGAGCACTTGAGTCCAGGATTTCAAGACCAGCCTGGGCAACATGGCAAAACCCTCTCTTTACAAAAAAATACAAAAATTAGCCAGGGAGCAGTGGTACGTGCCTGTAGTACCAGCTACTTCTTAGGGTGAGGTGGAAGGATTGCTTGAGCCCAGGAAGTGGAGGCTGCCGTCACCCAAGATGGTACCACTGCACACCAGCCTGGGTGACAAAGTGAGGCCCTCTCTCAAAAAAAAAAAAAAATGACTTCCAGTCTTGTCCTGACTTGGTGGCTCACACCTGTAGTCCTATCACTTTAGGAAACTGACACTGGCAGGAGGGTTGCTTGAGGCCAGGAGTTTAAGACCAGTCTGGGCAATATAGCAAGACCTGGTCTCTACAGGAAAGAAAAAGAGCTGGGCATGGTAGCATGTGTCTGTAGTCCCAGCTTCTTGGGAAGTTTAGTGGGAGGGGTGCTTGAGTCCAGGAGTTTCAGGCCGCAGTGAGTTATGATCATACTACTGCACTCCAGCCTGGGCGATAGAGCAAAACTCTGTCTCAAAAATAGAAGACTTACAGTTTCTGAAACATATTTTACAATGTTGTGATAGTAGAAATTTAAATTGGATCCCATGTACTTTTGAATTTCAACTTTATCACCCAGTAAAAACTAGAAAGTGATAAATGTGGCATGAAGCAGCACATCCAGATTGTAGTTTTGTTGATAATCTTTGAAAATTGGAAAAGCCCCTGAGTTGTACTGAAAAGAAGAATATTTTGAAGACATTTCAACTGGTGACAGTCTCTCAAAAGGAATTACGGGCCAGGTGCACTTGTTCACACCTGTCATCCTAGCACTTCAGGAGGCTGAGGCAGGCAGATTGCTTGAGGTCAGGAGTTTGAGACCAGCCTGGACAATATGGTGAAACCCCGTGTCTGCCAAAAAATACAAAAATTAGCCAGGCATCGCCGGGCGCAGTGGCTCATGCCTGTGATCCCAGCACTTTGGGAGGCCGAGGTGGGCGGATCACCTGAGGTTGGGAGTTTGAGACCACTCCGACCAACATGGAGAAACCCCGTCTCTACTAAAAATACAAAATTAGCTGGGTGTGGTGGCCTGTAATCCCAGCTGCTCGGGAGGCTGAGGCAGGAGAATCGCTTGAACCCAGGAGGCAGAGGTTGCAGTGAGCCGGAGATCACGCCATTGCACTCGAGCATGGGTAACGAGCGAAACTCAAAAAAAAAAAAAAAAAATTTAGCCAGGCATGATGGTGCACGCCTGTAGTCCCAGCTACTCAGGAGGCTGAGGCAGGAGAATCACCTGAACCCGAGAGGCGGAGATTAAAGTCAGCAGAGATAGTGCCACTGCACTCCAGCCTGGGTAACAGCCCCTGTCTCAAAAAAAAAAAAAAAAAAGTCTGGGTACAGTAGCTCACGACTGTAATCCTAGCACTTTGGGAGGCCAAGGCAAGTTGATCACCTGAGGTCAGCAGTTCAAGACCAGCCTGGCCAACATGGCGAAACTACCCCGTCTCTACTAAAAATACAAAAATTAGCCGGGCATGGTGGTGCTCACCTGTAATCCCATCCCAGCTACTCGGGAGATTGAGCCAGGAGAATCTGGGCGGGGGAAAGGTGTCAGACAGTCGAGGTTGCAGTGAGCGCGGAGGTCATGCCACTTCACTCTAGCTTGGGTGAAAGAGTGAAACCCTGTCAAAAAAAAAAAAAAAGGCGCAATTATGGTATGTAGCCACAAGGAGGAGCTAAATTCTATTGATAAATGAGGCTGGTACAGGAACCTCATTTTTTAAAGGCATTTACAGTTTCACTGTAAAACTTCACATTTGGATAATTTTGTTTTAGTAGATAGATGACAGGCTTGTTTGGTTTTAAAAGAAATAGTAAAAAGTATCTATTGTGCTGTACTCTCAGTTATTAGAATGTATTTCCTGTCTTTAAGCCCTCCTTACCCACCACTAAAACGGGATTATCTGCTATAGTAGTTACAAATATTAAACAAGGAGTTATTTGTTTGGATCCGTGACCTTGAGGCATTTTAAAATCTTCAGGTTGAATTTGCAATTCATTTTACTTCATTTTGAAGAATTTGGAATTGATTCGTTTTAGAATTATTCTCCCAATATTTGTTAGATAGCAGGATTGTGATAAATTAAAACATCTTAGCAGGCCTCCTGCCTCCCCAGCTTTTTTTTATTTTTTTATTTTTCGAGACGGAGTTTTGCCCTGTCTCCCAGACTGGAGTGCAGTGGCGTGATCTCAGCTCACTGCAACCTCTGCTTCCTGGGTTCAAGCGATTCTCCTGCCTCAGCTTCCCGAGTAGCTGGGATTACAGGCGCCCACCATGATGCCTGGCTAATTTTGTTTTTATTTTATTTGTTTATGTTGTTTTTATTTTATTTTCTGTATTGACGGAGTCAGTACAAAATTAGCTGGGCATGATGGCGCATGCCTGTAATCCCAGCTACTTGGGAGGCTGAGGCAGGAGAATTGCTTGACCCGGGAGGCAGAGGTTGCAGTGAGCCAAGATTGCGCCATTGCACTCCACCCTGGGCAACAACAGCGAAACTCCATCGCAAGAAAAAATAGAAAAACACAAATGTAGTCATACAATAAGCTGCTTTGCTCCTTGGGGTGTACTTTTTTTTTTTTTTAACTGCCCCTTACAGAGCATGGCTAACTTATATAGTCAGTGCACCGAGTTGGCTGCTGCTTAGTTTTAAAATTGTGTTTTTAGCCTAACACTGTATCTACTGTATCTTAAAGATATTTTCATTTCTGTACATGAAAATCTTATTTTTTAACGGCTATATGGTATTTAATATCTGAGCATACTATGTTTTATTAATTTGGGTTTTTTTTTTTTTTTTTTGAGACCTGGAGTCTCGCACTGTCACCCAGGCTGGAGTGCAGTGGCGTGATCTCAGCTCACTATAACCTCCACCTCCCAGGTTCAAGTGATTCTCCTGCCTCAGCCTCCTGAGTGGCTGGGATTACAGGCACCTGCCACCATGCCCAGCTAATTTTTTGTATTTTTAGTAGAGACGGGGTTTCACTATGTTGGCCAGGCTGGTCTCGAATGACTGACCTTGTGAGCCACCACGCCTGCCGTGGGTTTTTTGTTTTGGTGTTTTTTGTTTTTGTTTTTGTTTTTTGAGACAGAGTCTTGCTCTGTTGCCAGGCTGGAGTGCAGTGGGGCAATCACAGCTCACTGTAACCTCCACTTCACGGGTTCAAGTGATTCTCCTGCCTCAGCCTCCCGAGTAGCTGGGACTACAGGCGTGCGCAACCACACCCAGCTAATTTTTGTATTTTTGGTAGAAACAGGGTTTCACCATGTTGGCCAGGATGGGTTTGACCTGTTGACCTGGTGATCCGCCCACCTTGGCCTCCCAAAGTGTTGGGATTATAGGCGTGAGCCCCGGCGCCCAGCCTAATTTGGGTTTTTATTGAGATTTGTTTTCAGTCTTTGCTAAGCAGTGCAGCGAGATTCTTTAAACATATCACCCTTCTGTGGGCCCTCGACACAGACATATTCAGCTTTCATTTATTTAATTTTTTTGAGACAGTTTCTTGTCACATGCAATGGCATGATCTTGGCTCACTGCAACCTCCACCTCCTGGGTTCAAGTGATTCTCCTGCCTCAGCCTCCCAAGTAGCTGGGATTACAGGCGTGCAGGCGTGCGCCACCACGCCCAGCTAATTTTTTTGTTTTGTTTTTTGTATTTTTAGTAGAGACTGGGTTTCACCATTTTGGCCAGGCTGGTCTTGAACTCCCGACCTCAGGTGATCTGCCTGCCTCGGCCTCCCAAAGTGTTGAGATTACAGGTGTGAGCTGCCACACCCGCCCCCCCCCACCTTTTTTTTTTTTTTTGAGACCAAGTCTCACTCTGTCACCGGTGTTGGAGTCCAGTGGCACAATCTTGGCTCACCACAACCTCTGCTTCCTGGGTTCAAGCGATTCTCCTGCCTCAGCCTCCCGAATAGCTGGGATTACGGGCACATGCCACCATGCCCGGCTAATTTAAAAAATATTTTTAGGCCGGGTGCAGTGGTTCACGCCTATAATCCCAGCATTTTGGGAGGCCGAGGAGGGTGGATCATGAGGTCAGGAGATCTAGACTGTCCTGGCTAACACGGTGAAACCCCGTCTCTACTAAAAATACAAAAAATTAGCCAGGCGTTGTGGCGGGCACCTGTAGTCCCAGCTACTCGGGAGGCTGAGGCAGGAGAATGGCGTGAACCCAGGAGGCGGAGCTTGCAGTGAGCTGAGATCCTGCCACTGGACTCCAGCCTGGGCGACACAGGGAGACTCCGTCTCAAAAAAAAAAAAAAAATTTTTTTTTAATAGGGATGGGGTGTCACCAGGTTGGCCAGGCTGGTCTTGAACTCCTGACCTCAGGTGACCCGCCCACTTCAGCCTCCCAAAGTGTTGAGATTACAGGAGTGAGCCATTGTGCGTGGCCCTAGCCTTTTTTTCTCTTTTTTTGATACAGGATCTTTTGCTTTGTCACTCAGGCTGGAGTGAGCTGGTGTGGTCTCAGTTCACTGCAGCCTTGATCTTATGGGCTCAATTGATCCTCCCACCTCGGCTTCCTGAGTAGCTGGGAGTATGGACATGTGTCACCATGGCTGGCTAATTTTTTTTTTTTTTCCTTTTTTTTTTTGTAGAGATGTTGTCTCCCTATGTTGCCCAGGTGGTCTCGGTCTCTTGGGCTCAAGCAATCCTCCAATGTTGGCCTCCAGTAGTACTGGGATTACAGGCATGAGCCACCGCACCTGGCTAATATTCTGCTTTTTACTCAAAAACTAAGTTTTGGCTGGGCGCAGTGGCTCACACCTGTAATCCCAGCACTTTGGGAGGCCGAGGCAGGCAGATCACTTGAGCTCAGGAGTTTGAGACCAGCCTGGCCAACATGACGAAACCCCATCTCTACTAAAAATACAAAAAAATTAGCTGGGCATGGTGGCGGATGCCTGTAATCTCAGCTACTTGGGAGACTGAGGCAGGAGAATTGCTTGAACCTGAGGGGTGGACGTTGCAGTGAGCTGAGATCACGCCACTGCAGTCCAGCCTGGGTGACAGAAATCCTGTCTCAAAAAAAAAACAAAAAAGTTTTATCTAATAGTCATAAAAAAGGAAGCCAAGTGAAAAATTACTTAAACCAAGTGTGTTGATACATTAAGCTATGAGACATCTAAAATAATGAAACTTGGAACTTAGTGGAACATGTACATGTTTTCAGCATACTTAAACCCAAAAATCATTAATTTTCAGAACTTAATCAGTGCTTTTACATTTGTTTTTTCTTTTATGCTAGTTGGAAATGGAGGATGAAGATACAATTGATGTGTTCCAACAGCAGACGGGAGGTGTCTACTGAAAAGGGAACCTGCTTCTTTACTCCAGAACTCTGTTCTTTAAAGACCAAGATTACATTCTCAATTAGAAAACTGCAATTTGGTTCCACCACATCCTGACTACTACCGTATAGTTTTCTCTATTCTTTCATTTCCCCCTTCCCCATTCCTTTATTGTACATAAAGTAACTGGTATATGTGCACAAGCATATTGCATTTTTTTTTTTTTTAACTAAACAGCCAATGGTATGTTTTGATTGACATCAAGTGGAGACGGGATGGGGAAAAATACTGATTCTGTGAAAATACCCCCTTTCTCCATTAGTGGCATGCTCATTCAGCTCTTATCTTTATATTCCAGTAAGTTATTTTGCTCTCACTGTTTTAACAAAAAAAAAAAACAACAACATAAAAATCCTTGCATACCTTGTTCAATTGGAGAATTTTAATGTTTTTCATTTATCATTGTAAAACCAAGGACAATTTTATAACTTTTTTGTACGTAGCTGTTACATGTAGGGCAATCTGTCTTTAAGTAGGGATAAATTACTCTAAAACAAAAAAGAATCCTAGATAGTTTTCCCTTCAAGTCAAGCGTCTTGTTGTTTAAATAAACTTCTTGTTTAAAATGAGCTGTTTTCTTTATTCTGAGAAATATTAAATAGAAAATTGAGGCTTAGAAAAAACATAAATAGGCCTGCTTAGAAGTAACATTTCAAGAAGGAAATAAAGCTACTTGGTGTTTCTGACAGACTGATACTGATGCCAAACAAAGAATAACAGTTTTATAAATATCACCTTGTTCCAAAAGTTTCTCTAGGTCCCATGTTAATATGCAAGTATACTAGCAGAAAAATTGGGCCATAGTATCGTGGATTTCCAGGTATTTTCTGTATATTAAGTGAGGCACGGAGCATAGGGTATAGGGTAGCACATGTGGCAAGGAAAAAGTTCTGATTTTGCCTTTGTTGCTGATAAAACACTGAACCATTCTAGCCTGCACTTATCATAAGTAAATACTCCCTAACCTAAAATAAAGTTTTCGTTCCTTATTCAAGGATTTTTTTTTTGAGACGGAGTTTTCCTCTTGTTGCCCAGGCTGGAGTGTAGTGGTGCAATTTCAGCTCACTGCAACCTCAGCCTCCTGAGTAGCTGGGGGGTCATAGGTGCATGCCACCACGCCCAGCTAATTTTTTTTCTATTTTTAGTCGAGACAGGGTTTTATCACGTATGCCAGGCTGGTCTCGAACTCCTGACCTTAGGTGATCCACCCGCCTCAGCCTCCCAAAGTGCAGGGATTACGGCATGAGCCACCACGCCTGGCCTATTCAAGAATATTGAGGGACAGAAAATATCTATATATATCCATCCTCAGAACCTTAAATATACAGGTCACTACAGTCTTTATTATTTTAATTTTTGTTTCTTAGGGTTTCTTTTGGTGGTGGTTTTTTGAGATGGAGCATCATTCCGTCTCCCAGGCTGTAGTGCAGTGGCACAATCTTGGCTCACTGCAAGCTCCGCCTCCCGGGTTCACGCCATTCTCCTGCCTCAGCCTCCCGTCTTAGGTCTTTTTGAAAGAGGTTATGCCTCTGTTGCCTAGTCTGGAGTGGTGCAATGGTGTGATCTTGGCTCACTGCAACCTCCACCTCCAGGTCTTAAGAGATCCTCCCTGCTCAGCCTCGTGAGTAGCTAGAACCGCAGGTGCATGCCACCACAGCTAATTCTTGTATTTTTTATAGAGAGTGTTTCGCCATATTGTCCAGGCCGGGCTCAAACCCCTGATCTTAAGTGATCTATCTGCCTTAGCCTCCCAATGTGCTGGGTTTACAGGCGTGAGCCACTATGCCCAGCCCCTTTTTAATTTTTTAAAAATGTTTATTTTTGAGATGGAGTTTCGCTCTTGTTGCCCCAACTGGAGACCAATGACATGATCTCAGCTCACTGCAACCTCCGCCTCCCGGGTTCAACTGATTCTCCTCCCTCAGCCTCCGGAAAAGCTGGGATTACAAGCATCTACCATCATACCTGGCTAATTCTGTATTTTTAGTAGAGAAGGGGTTTCTCTATGTTGGTCAGGCTGGTCTCCACCTCCCGACCTCAGGTGATCTGCCTGCCTTGGCCTCCCAAAGTGCTGAGATTACAGGCTTGAGCCACTGTGCCCGGCCAAATTTTTATTATTTTTAAATTAGAGGTGGGGTCTCACCATGTTGACCAGTTTGGTCTCGAACTTCTGGCCTCAGTCCCTTGTCTTGGCCTCCCAAAGTGTTGGGGTTTCAGGTGTTAGACCCCATGCCCAACCACTACAGTTTTTGTTTTTGTTTTTGTTTTTTTTTCAGACGGAGTCTTGCTCTGTCGCCCAGGCTGGAGTGCAGTGGCGCAATCTTGGCTCACGGCAAGCTCCACCTCCCGGGTTCACGCCATTCTCCTGCCTCAGCCTCCCCAGTAGCTGGGACTAAAGGTGCCCGCCACCATGCCCGGCTAATTTTTTTGTATTTTTAGTAGAGACAGGGCTTCACCATGTTAGCCAGGCTGGTCTCAAACTCCTGACCTCAGTTCATCCACCCGCCTTGGCCTTCCAAAGTGCTGGGATTACAGGCATGATCCACTGCGCCCGGCCTCACTGCCATTTTATAGATGAGAAAGCCAAGTTCCAGAAAAGTTGTGAAATAGACGGTGACTATAAAACTGGGACTAGAGATAGTATCCTAATGCTTGTTGATTGTTTTTGTCCATACTGATTGTCAACCTACCAATATAATCTACCATCAAGTCACCATGTAGTATTATGTGTTATTTCTCTTAATCTGCTGTACCTTTGTTTTTTGTTTTTTTGAGACGGAGTCTTGCTCTGTTGCCCAGGCTGGAGTGCAGTAGCGCGATCTCGGCTCACTGCAAGCTGCCTCCCGAGTTCACGCCATTCTCCTGCCTCAGCCTCCTGAGTAGCTGGGAGTACAGGCACCCACCACCATGCCCGGCTAATTTTTTGTATTTTTAGTAGAGACGGGGTTTCACCGTGTTAGCCAGGATGGTCTCGATCTCCTGACCTCATGAGCTGCCCGCCTCAGCCTCCCAAAGTGGTGGGATTACAGGCGTGAGTCACCGCGCCCGGCTGCTGTACCTTTGTTTTGATACACTCTTTACATTCCCTGTTTCTATAGCAAATGAGCATTGCCAGTGACAACAGGAATGCAGTAGATTTTTCTTTATGTTTGTATATGTATGAATTTTACTCTTGAATCAGCTAGACTAATTTTCCTATATGTACAGTGCCACCAGCTTGTTTTTTTAAAATTTGTGGGGTTTTTTTGTTTGTTTGGTTTTGGAGACAGAGCCTCCCAAGTAGCTGGAATTACAGGCGCCCACCACTATGCCTGGCTGATTTTTTTGTATTTGTAGTAGAGACGGGGTTTCACTGTGTTGGCCAGGCTGGTCTCAAACTCCTGACCTCAGGTGATGCGCCTACCTTGGCCTCCCAAAGTGCTAGGATTACAGGCGGGAGCCACCGCGCCCTGTTTATTTTACTTTTTTTTTTGAGATGGAGTCTCACTCTGTTGCCCAGGCTGGAGTTCAGTGGCGCAATCTTGACTCACTGCAAGCTATGCCTCCCGGGTTCACGCCATTCTTCTGCATCAGCCTCCCGAGTAGCTGGGACTACAGGCACGCGCCACCATGCCCGGCTAGTTTTTTGTATTTTTTAGTAGAGACGGGGTTTCACTGTGTTAGCCAGTATGGTCTTGATCTCCTGACCTCGTGATCCGCCTGCCTCGGCCTCCCAAAGTGCTGGGATTACAGGCGTGAGCCACTGTGCCCGGCCTACTTTTTTTTTTTTTTTTTTTTTTTTTAATGGAGTCTTGTTCTGTCCCCCAGGCTGGAGTGCAGTGGCAGGATCTCAGCTCACTGCAACTTCCGCCTCCTGGGTTCAAGTGATTCTCCTGCCTCAGCCTCCCGAGTAGATGGGATTACAGGCGTGTGCCATCACACCTGGCTAATTTTTTATATTTTTGGTAGAGATGGGGTTTTACCATGTTGGCCAGGCTGGACTCGAACTCCTGACCTCAAGTGACCCACCCGCCTCAGCCACTCAAAGTGCTGGGATTACAGGAATGAGCCACCGTGCCCAGGCAATGTGTGTTTGAGATGCCTAGCATGGTGTCTCCCACATGTAAGTTGTCTTTTGTTTTTATCTTTTTTTTTTTCTTTTTCTGAGACAGAGTCTCACTGTCTCTTTGGTACCCTAAGAAGCAAAGCATCCATCTACAGGATGAGTTAGAGTTCTGATTATCTAAATGGTGACTTGAAAGTTACTGCTGGTTGTGGTAGGAAATAGAGGCATACCTCACAGGGACTACGGGCTTGGTCCCAGACTGCAGCACTACAATAAAGAAGTCATCTCAATAAAACGAGTCACACAAATTTTTTGGTTTTTCAGTGCATATAAAAGTTATGTTCAGCCCTGGCAATATAGTGAGACCCTGTTTCTACAAAAAATAAAAGCCAGGTGCAGTGGTGCATGCCTGTAGTTCCAGCTACTCTGAAGGCTGAGGTGAGAAGATTGCCTGAGCTCGGGGGGAGGCCGAGGCTGCAATGAGCTGTGATCGCGCCACAGCAGTCCAGCTATGTTGACGGGGTAAGACCCTGTCTTGGAAAAAAAAAAGTTTATATTGTAGTCAGGTATTCGGTAGCATTATGTCTTAAAAAAAAATACATACTTTAATTTTTATTTTCTGGGAGTGGGGTGACAGGATCTTATTTTCTGTGTTGCCCAGGCTAGAGTGCAGTGGTGCAGTTATAGCTTACTGCAGCCTCGAACTCCTGGACTCGAGCAATACTCCCGCCTCAGCCTCCCAAGGTGTTGGGAATAATGAGCCACTGTGCCATACTTTAAAGTACTTTTTTGTTTGTTTTGGAGACAGGATCTTGCTTTGTCCACCGAGCCTGGAGTGCAGGGGTGTAATCACAGTTCAGTGCAGCATAGACATCCCGGATGCCTGTAATCCCAGCTAGTTGGGAGGCTCAGGCAGAGAATTGCTTGAACTCAGGAGGCCGAGGTTGCAGCGAACTGAGATTGCGCTACTGCACTCCAGCCTGGGCAACAGAGTGAGACTCCATCTCAAAAAAACCAAAAAACACAGTATCTGCAAAGTGCAATAAAATGAGGCATGCCTGTATGCATGTTTTATAATGAGACTTTGGTTTTTATAGTGGTTAGCTAATTTAAAAAGTTCCTTGAGGTAAAACATAATTAGAACAGAGTATATAAACTAGTTTGAAATTAATCTGTTGTTTGGATTGTAGATTGTTATTTCTCTGTAAGCAGTGCTGTGACTATATGAGGCAGTTTTAGGATTTCTTTTCTTTTCTTTTTCTTTTTTTTTTTTTTTTTTTTTTGAGATGGAGTCCCACTCTGTTGCCCAGGCTGGAATGCAGTGGCGTGATCTTGGCTCACTGCAAGCTCCACCTCCCGGGTTCACACCATTCTCCTGCCTCAGCCTCCCAAGTAGCTGGGACTACAGGCGTCCGCCACCACGCCCAGCTAATTTTTTGCATTTTTAGTAGAGATGGGGTTTCACCGTGTTAGCCAGGATGATCTTGATCTCTTGACCTCAAGATCCGCCTCCCAAAGTGCTGAGATTACAGGAGTGAGCCACCACACCCGGCCTCACTTTTAGGATTTCTTGTACCCTGAGGGCTTTGTGAAACACTTTAAAGTCCAAGAATTATCACCTAATATTTGTTTTCTTGGCCGGGCGCAGTGGCTCACGCCTGTAATCCCAGCACTTTGGGAGGCCGAGGTGGGTGGATCACAAGGTCAGGAGATCAAGACCATCCTGGCTAACACGGTGAAACCCCGTCTCTACTAAAAATAAAAAAAATTAGCTGGGTGTAGTGGCGGGCGCCTGTAGTCCCAGCTACTTGGGAGGCTGAGGCAGGAGAATGACGTGAACCAGGGAGGTGGAGCTTGCAGTGAGCCGAGATTTCGCTGCTGCACTCCAGCTTGGGTGACAGAGGGAGACTCCGTCTCAAAAACTATATACATTATATATATATATATATATATATATATATATATATATATATATGTATTTTTACCGTTCATATTTTAAAGGCATATTATGTGGCTAAATTTGCCACAAGTTACAGAATTTAGAATGTTAAGGGAAGAATTTTTCCACATTTTTTCTGGGGATACCCTTTGAAGTTATGTATTTATAATTTTAACAAATATCTTTGCGAAGGAGGCTAAATTCTTCTCTAGGAGAACAGGACAGATGGGTAATGGGTTTTTTTTTGGTTTTTTATTTTTTTGAAACAGGGTCTTGCTCTGTCACCCAGGCTGGAGTGCAGTGGCATGATCATGGTTCACTGCAGCCTAAACCTTTGGGCTCAAGCAATCCTCCTGCCTCAGCCTCTTGAGTAGTTTGGACCACAGGCACACACCACCATACATACAAAAATACAAAAAATTGTAGGCCGGGCACGGTGGCTTACGCCTGTAATCCCAACACTTTGGGAGGCTGAGGCAGGTGGATCACTTGAGGTCAGGAGTTCAAGGCCAGCCTGGCTAACACGGTGAAACCCCGTCTCTACTAAAAATACAAAAATTATCCGGGCGTGTTGGTGGGTGCCTGTAATCCCAGCTACTTGGGAGGTTGAGGCAAGACAATTGCTTGAACCTGGGAGGTGGAGGTTTCAGTGAATGGAGATCACGCCACTGCACTCCAATCTGGGCAACAGAGCAAGACCGTGTCTCTAAATAAACAAACAAACAAACAAACAAAAAATTGGCCGGGCACGGTAGCTCACACCTGTAACCCCAGTACTTTGGGAGGCTGAGGCAGGCAGATCACCTGAGGTTGGAAGTTTGAGACAAGCCTGGCCAACATGGCGAAACCCCATCTCTACTAAAACTACAAAAATTAGCCAGGCACTGGTGGTGGGCGCATGTAATCTCAGCTACTTGGGAGGCTGAGGCAAGAGAATCTCATGAAACCGGGAGGCAGAGGCTGCAGTGAGCCGAGATTCGGCCATTGAACTCCAGCCTGGGCAACAGAGGGAGATTCCATCTCAAAAAAAAGAGAAAGTTTGTCTGGGGGTGGTGGCTCACGCCAGTAATCCCAGCACTTGGGGAGGCCGAGGTGGGTGGATCACGAGGTCAGGAGTTCAAGACCAGCCTGGCCAGTGTGGTGAAACCCCATCTCTACTAAAAATACAAAAATTAGCCAGGCATGTTGGTATGCACCTGTAGTCCCGCTGCTCGGGAGGCTGAGGCAGAAGGATCGCTTGAACCTAGGAGGCAGAGGTTGCAGCGAGCCGAGATCATGCCACTGCACTCCAGCCTGGGAGACAGAGCTAGACTCTGTCTAAAAAAAAAAAAAGTTTTTGTATTTTTTTTTTGTAGAGATGGGATCTTGCCACATTGCCCAGGCTGGTCTTGAACTCCTGGGCTCAAGCAGTTCTTTTGCTTTCGCTTCCCAAAGTGCTGGGATTCTGCTTGTTTTTAAAAGAGAAATAGCAGTATAGTATTGGGGTAAACAGGACAAACTTAAACCACATAATTTTATTCAGTCCTTACTCTGAGGAGGAGGAAATATGAATTTCCTCTTGAGGAGGACAATTTAGGAATCATGCTCTTCATATCTACACTTTAGAGCAGTTAAAAAGGACCCAAGAGGGGCATGTCAGACCTTAGTAGAGTGTGTGTGCCATTCTGTTAACCTTAACTTGAAATAAAGGGAGCACATAAACTTGACAAAGCCATTTTCCACATTTGAGAACTCTCGGCTTATTTGTTTAATGGCAAATGAGTTTTAAAAGGAAATAAACTCCTTGAGCTGTCTTTTCCAGTATATTGATCTGTCTTTTTTTGTGAGGATACAGCTAAGAAAAGAATGGACAGATGCATACTAAATTTGGCCTTCGGAGTAATGGATGCAGAATGTGTCTGTGAAGATGTGGTCAAGTCACAAGTGATACGCTTAAGGGACGCCCTGAGATGTTGGGATTGAGAAGTAAAGTTTGGGGGAAATACTTGTCCCTGGACGATTTTGTTAGTTCAATCACTTAACCAAGTTCAAAAGCACATGACTAGCAATTTTTTTTTCTTTCTTTTTTTTTGAGACAGAGATTTTGCTCTTGTTTTCCAGGCTAGAGTGCAATGGCATGATCTTGGCTCACTGCAACCTCCACCTCCTGGGTTCAAGCAGTTCTCCTGTCTCAGCCTCCCAAGTAGCTGGGATTATAGGCATGTGCCACCACGCACAGGTAATTTTGTATTTTTAGTAGAGACAGTGTTTCTCCATGTTGGTCAGGCTGGTCTCAAACTCCTGACCTCAGGTGATCCATCTGCCTCAGCCTCCCAAAGTGTTGGGATTACAGGTGTGAGCCCACACGCGCCTGGCCAGCAGTGGTTTTAAAATGAAATCTTAAGGAAACCTGGTATTGTTTTAGGAGGACAGTCAAGAAAAAGGTGACAAAGGACATAGGGAGAGAGGGCCAGGATCTGGGACCCTCTGCCCAGTTGTAATCACAGCTGCTTTGCTGTTAATCTATTTTATATATATGGGTTTTGCTTTCATAGAAGTTCAAGAGGCTGGGCACAGTGACTCATGTCTGTAATCTCAGCACATTGGGAGGCAGAGGTGGGAAAATCCTTTCGAGCCAGTTTGAGAGCAGCCTGAGTAACATAGCAAGCCTCTGTCTCAACAACAAAAAAAGCCAGGTGTGGTGGCATGTGCCTGTAGGCCCAGCTACTCAGGAGGCTGATGTGGGAGGATTCCTTGAGTCCAGGAAGTGGAGGCTGCAGAGAGCTGAGATTGTGCCACTGCACTCTAACCTGGGTTATTTAGAGCAAGACGCTGTTAAAAAAAAAAAATGAAGTTTAAGAAACACTGCTATAGGTCATGAAGAAGCTGTTAGACCATTCCTTGTCATCAGGATTAATCTTTCTTCTGTTTCCTTTGATTTTTTGGTTACCTTGAGAACTTAAACAAATATGCTAAACAGGCCAACAGCCTTACTCACTTGTTTGTTTTACATACATTTGCTCTGATTCATAAATCAGATCAGATTAAAAGGGTTCTCCTGGGACTGATTCCTTACCTTTGTAGCAAAGGTTCTCAGCTCAAGCTGTAAATGAGAATTACCTGTTTAACATTTTAAAGATATCCATGACTAAACCCTCACCCCAGAAACTGCAATTTAGTAGATCTTGGGTGGAGACCTGGCATTCATTTATATTCTTCAAAAATCTCATAGGTGATTCTGATGTGCAGCCAGGATGGGGCACTTCTAATAGAAAGTTTTCTGGATTTTTTGAGATGGAGTCTTGCCCTGTCGACCAGGCTAGAATGCAGTGGCATGATCTGGTCTCACTGCAACCTGCGCCACCCAGGTTCAAGTGATTCTTGTGCCTCAGCCTCCTGAGCAGCTGCGACTACAGGGGCATGCCACCACGCCCAGCTAATTTTTGTATTTTTAGTAGAGATGGGGTTTCACCATATTGGCCAGGCTGGTCTCGAACTCCTGACTTAGTGATCCACCCGCCTCGGCCTCCCAAAGTGCTTGGATTACAGGCGTGAGCCACCTTGCCTGGCCAGCATGTACATTCTTATATTTATCTCATTCCAGCCCTCACAACTCAGAACAGGTGTCAGAGACGTTTGAACCAGAGCAACTCCATCTTGAATAAGTTCTGGGTAAAATAAGGCCGAGACCTAATGGGCTGCATTCCCAGACGATTACGCATTCTAAGTCACAGGATGAGATAGGAAGTCAGCACAAGATACAGGTCATAAAGACCTTGCTGATAAAAGAGTTTTCAGTAAAGAAGTTGGCCAAAACTCACCAATACCAAGATGGCAATGAGAGTCATCCTAAAAATTAGCCGGGCGTGGTTGCGGGTGCCTGTAGTCCCAGCTACTCGGGAGGCTGAGGCAGGAGAATGGCGTGAACCTGGGAGGCACAGCTTGCAGTGAGCTGAGATTGTGCCACTGCACTCCATCCTGGGCAACAGAGCAAGACTCTCTTTCAAAAAAAAAAAAAAAAAAAAAAACCATAAAAATGGACAACCAGCAGCCTTCCTGGCTGCTCTACCTGTGGAGTAACTATTCTTTTGTTTCTTTACTTTCTGCTCTGTCACCCAGGCTAGAGTGCAGTGGCGAAATCTTGGCTCACTGCCAGCTCCGCCTCCCGGGGTCATGCCATTCTCCTGCCTCAGCCTCCCGAGTAGCTGGGACTACAGGCGCCCACCACCACGCCCGACTGATTTTTTGTATTTTTAGTAGAGATGGAGTTTCACCATGTTAGCCAGGATGGTCTCGATCTCCTGACCTCGTGATCCACCCACCTCGGCCTCCCAAAGCGCTGGGATTACAGGCCGGAGCCACCGCGCCCAGCGTGTTTTTTACTTTCTTAATAAACTTGCTTTCACTTTATGGACTTGCTCTGAACTCTTCTTCATAATATCCAAGAAACCTCTCTTGGGGTCTGGACTGGGACACCTTTCCAGTAACACAAGTGCTATTAATCCCTTTTTTGTTTTTTTGAGAAGCAGTTTCACTCGTTTTGTCCAGGCTGGAGTGCAATGGCGCGATCTTGGTTTACTGCAACCTCTGCCTTCTGGGTTCAAGCGATTCTCCTGCCTCAGCCTTGTGAGTAGCTGGGTTACAGGCGTATCACCACGCCCAGCTAATTTTTATATTTTTGGTAGAGATGGGGTTTCCCCATGTTAGTGAGGCTGGTGTCAAACTCCTGACCTTCTGATCCGCCCACCTCTGCCTCCCAAAGTGCTGGGATTACAGGCGTGAGCCACCGTGCCAGCCTGCAATCCCATTTTATAGATAAGAAAATTGAGGCTCAAGGGCATAAATGATGTACCAGTGTCTTATATTGGGAAAAGGCAAAACCAGAACTTAGGTCTTTTGACTTCTAGTCTATTGTAGCATTGCCTCACCAAGCTATCTTCTATTAGACTGCAAGGAAATAAGTACAACCTGAAAATGTAAGCCAAAAGACCATGCGAGTCAAGTCCAAACCCCTCATTTAACATACAAGTATGTGATTGCTTTCTAAATAAGTCTGATAATAAAATGGACTATCACTTTGATGACTTGTATATTGAGCCAAGCCGTTTACATCCATGAGGTCACTTAGTCCCCAAAACTCCACAGACCCCCAGGTACTATTGTGTGTTTATTTCAGAAAGGTGAAAACTAGTGCTTAGAAAAGGTAAGGGTCGAGATTCCAATCCAAATTTATCCCATGAGAGTCTGAGCTAGCAACCACTATACTCCACTACCTCCTAGTTGATAATTATATGGTTTCTGAGGAGGGCGTGCTCACTGGCTAGATTGGTCTGATTTTTTTTTCTTTTAAGATTTTGGAAATATAGGCTCAGCCTTTAAGAGTGGGAAGATTGGGCCGGGCGCAGTGGCTCACGCCTGTAATCCTAGCACTTTGGGAGGCCGAGGTGGGCGGATCACGAGGTCAGGAGATCGAGACCATCCTGGCTAACATGGTGAAACCCCGTCTCTACTAAAAAAAATACAAAAAAATTAGCCGGGCGTGGTGGCAGGCGCCTGTAGTCCCAGCTACTCAGGAGGCTGAGGCATGGGAATGGCATGAACGTGGGAGGTGGAGCTTGCAGTGAGCCGAGATTGTGCCACTGCACTCCAGCCTGGGCGACAGAGCGAGACTCTATCTCAAAAAAAAAAAAAAAAAAAAAAAAAAAGAATGGGAAGATTGGCCAGGTGCGGTGGCTCATGCTGTAATCCCAGCACTTTGGTAGGCCGAGGTGGGCGGATCACGAGGTCAGGAGATCTAGACCATCCTGGCTAACACGGTGAAACCCCATCTCTACTAAAAATACAAAAATTAGCCAGGCATGGTGGTGGGCGCCTGTAGTCCCAGCTACTTGGGAGGCTGAGGCAGGAGAATGGCGTGAACCCGGGAGGCGGAGCTTGCAGTGAACCGAGATTATGCCACCGCACTCCAGCCTGGGCGACAGAGCGAGACTCTGTCTCAAAAAAACGAAAACAACAACAACAAAAAAAGAAAGAATGGGAAGATTGGCTGGGCGTGCGGTGGTTCACACCTGTAATCCCAGCACTTTGGGAAGCCAAGGTGGGTGGATCACGAGGTCAGGAGATTGAGACCATGCTGGCTAACATGGTGAAACTCCATCTCTACTAATAAACTACAAAAAATTAGCCGGGCATGATGGCACGCACCTGTAGTCCTAGCTACTCGGGAGGCTGAGGCAGGAGAATCGCTTGAACCCGGGAGGTGGAGGCTGCAAGTGAGCAGAGATCGCGCCACCACTGCACTCCAGCCTGGGCGACAGAGCAAGACTCTGTCTCAAAAAAAAAAAAAAAAAGCTAAGATTTTGGCTAGATGCGGTGGCTTACACCTGTAATCCCAGCACTTTGGGAGGCCAAGGAGCATGGATCACCTGAGGTCAGGAGTTTGAGACCAGCCTGGCCAATATGGTGAAACGCCGTCTCTACTAAAAATACAAAAATTAGTCAGGGGTGGTGGCGCACGCCTGTAGTTCCAGCTATTACGGAGGCTGAGGCAGGAGAATCGCTTGAACCTGGGAGGTGGAGGTTGCATTGAGCGCCATTGCACTCTAGCCTGGGTGACAAGAGCGAAACTCCACTTCAAAAACAAAAAAAAAAAAGAAAGGAAAAAAAGAAGGGAAGATTCTAACACAAACAAGTGGTGCGCTTCGTGCTGTTGTGGTAAGCACATAAATGCATCATCCGTGCTTTCTAGAACAGAACTTCTCACTGGCTTTTCATGAAAGCCCGGGGGGGGAGGGTGGTTAACCTAGACTGCCCAGAATACAAACTTCCAACTACCTGAAAGGTGGCTTTGCAAAGAGGAATGTGGTTCAATTATTATGGAAATATTGAGACAAGCAAAGACATCTGCCTTGAGGAAATATGCAAGACATGAGAAGGGCCTGCCCTCTTTTGCCCAAGGCTTTCCTATTATGATCTTGTAAACCATCATTCCTGAATCCTCCAAGTGTGTCTGCATTTGTCGCATGGATAGATTTACCCAGACAGGTGGAAGAGTCATGACTTAAGGGTTATAAACAGCTGCAGAGGCCTGAGCTGCTTCCATAGTCTTGGTAGCAGGGAATGAGTCCATTCCTGGTGCCAGGCATTAACCAGCCTTAGAATAGGCCCCCAAATAGGAGCGACTGTAATTTTGGTCCAGTACATGCACCACCCATTACAACTAAACAGTAACATTAAAATGTAAGGAATTTCCAGTCCTTTTAAAAGGGATCATCTTGGTGCGCTCTCTGTTGCTGACTCATTGTGCGGCTGCTTTGAGACTATTAGGTTTCTAAATGGGACACACAGTAGGTATTCAACAGATAAATGTCAACTTGTTGCAGTACTTTTCATCCTTTAAGGAGGATGCCCTTACTATCCCACCATCAGTAAAGCAAATGAGAGAACAGTAACAGTGACAAATCTCCCTTCTGCTTGCCGAGGTTGTAACTCCCCAAGAAAGAGCTTCCCCCTCTGTCAGGTAACGTTTTACAGTGACAGCCAGCACGACTTCCACCCAGCGCGAGGTAGATTCGCCTTCCGTCCAATCATCGCCGAGATTTTGGGGTGGGGGAGGGGAGAGAGTCCCAAGGCCTTCCCAGTCCAGGAAGGGGGCGGGCTTAGGCTGAGCCGTGGCCGCCACAGCCCATCGTAATGCCGCATGGTGCTTGGCACTCCAGAGAGCCAATAGGAATGAAAGAATTCATTTGAATCGGCCAATGCCGGCGGGTTAGGGGGCGGGGGTTGAAAACCCTATAAAGGCGTCGATCGGCCGGACAGGCGGCAGCGGCGGCTCCTGCAGCGGTGGTCGGCTGTTGGGTGTGGAGTTTCCCAGCGCCCCTCGGGTCCGACCCTTTGAGCGTTCTGCTCCGGCGCCAGCCTACCTCGCTCCTCGGCGCCATGACCACAACCACCACCTTCAAGGGAGTCGACCCCAACAGCAGGAATAGCTCCCGGTGAGGCGACCGGGTCGCGCCCGAGCCGCGCGGGGCTGAGGGGCTGGGAGGGCCGCTGCCGGCGGGGCCTCGCGCCGGTCGTTGCGGGTAACGAGCCCCGTGCGCTGTGCTCGCGCCGGGGCGGGTGGCGGGGTTCTGCCGTCGGCGCCGCCTTTGTGCCGCCTGGCGAGCCCTGCGCGCCGGCCCCACCCGGGTCCCTGCTGCTCTCCATTCATTCCTTCCACGGAGTCAGGGGCTGAGGAGGCCGGGGCTGGTCGCCCCTCGGAGCACGGCCGGTTTTCGTTAATCGGAACCTTCGGGGAGGGCTTCGCTTTCTCCTGTGTGCATCCCGGCTGGTGCATCCCCAGGGTGGTGGGCTTGGCCCCCCAGGTGCCCGGGGATCCTTTAGGGCCCCATGCATGGTCAGGTCCTATTGTCCCATTGATGGGCCACGCGCTCCTGTCTCTCCCCCGTGGCATGCGGTTGGTCTCGCTCTCGCGCGCAGCCATTGGATCCGGAGACCGGATCGATCAGGTCCGGCGGGCTCCTTACCCTCGCCGTGCCCCCACTCCTTATTCGGACCTACCTGACAGGTGCATGTGTGGTCGAGCGGGGCTGGTCATCGCGACCCTTCACCCCCCATTGAGGACCCAATCGTTCTTCCCCTCTTCGAAGTGCCTCCCCTCTTCCAAGTGTCTCCCCTTCCTAACAAAGGAAAGACCCCTTCTCCCCATCCCTGCGCTCATTTCTAAGGCGGGGGGCGGGGGCGGGCGCGGGGAACGAGCCAACCCGAGTGGGTTTTCTGCGCTTAAACCTTCGGACCGTGGCCTTTGCATCCTACCTTCGCTTCCTCCTTTGACGTTTGCCCAGTGAGTTCATCCCTGGCCCTGGTTCCCTTGCAGGAGGAGGTTTCTTGTTCTTGGGCGGGGCCGGAGACATCCATTGTCTCTAACGTGGTAGCGCTACCTGGGAAGCGGGGGATTTTTCTTGCCCTTCTTCCCACTGCTTTTTGGGCTTGGGGCACTGGGTACAGTGTTTGGACAGGAACCCTTTTCCAAGTCCTTGCTTAACTTACTTGGTGGAAGGGTTTGGATTCTGTGGAAGGTGTCCACATTGTCTCAGCTAATTGCACACTGTTCTTTAAGGTGGGTTACAGTTATGTCTGGGATCCTCTTCAAGGCTTGGAAGAAGCTTAAATCACTTTTTTGAGCATGTATTTTACATCGATTATGACCTGCATTCATGTGTGGCTACCCTCGGGGTCCTGGCCAAGTGGCACAAAGGGAGCCATTTTGTGGGGCTAAGAAGACACGTGAAATAGCCATATCTCACAGGGGTTAGAGAACTTGGGAACAAAAAGCACGCCTCACTCAGCAATTGAGCCTTAGGAGGAAAGCATGGGAAATGACATTCCTTTACAACTCAATACTTTCAGGTTTACAAGGTCAAAAAGACTAGGTAAGATTAAAAAAATAAATTGGTGATTACTGGGAGGATGGGGTACTTAAGTAGCACAGACCTAGGAAACTGGTCGCTCCCTTTCTGTTTTCTTTCCAATGAGATGATTTCTTCAGAGAACAGGAAGAGATTGAGCCTTGGTTTTTCATTTTGTGTTACGAGGCCAACTTTCTGCCGGTTAGACTTCAGTCGTCGGAATGATAATGTGTAATCTGGGGTTTTATTCTTTGGGGTTGAGTTGATATTAGTGTTTTGTAAAGAATTTCAGTAATTAGGTCAAATGAATCCTCACACTTAGTTTTTCATGTGTACATTTGAAATGTGAGACAAATGAGTTCTGATCCTGTGAAATGAATGTTTAATTCACCTTTCGTCATCAATTTCCCTCCAATATTATGCTCTAGGGACTGTAGTAGCATTGTCATTTTATTGTCTCTCTACCTTCCCTTTTTCTATATTCTCACCTAATTCTCATAAACTTAATTTTGTCCAGTAATGTTCTCCTGGCCCCATAAACTCGTTATAAATTTAGTCTGGTAGGGAATGATCTGCAAAGATATACAGAAACTTCAGGATTTTAAGAGAGAAGAAAGAAAAGGAGCAATTTTTTAAAAATTGCTATTTACAGTACATGGACACATTTTTGTTCAGTCTTAAATATATAATCCTGATTTAGTTGTCGTGTATGATTCTGAAAGAATAGTAGGATCCTAAAACATTGAGATACTTTCTGCCTTATGATCTACATCCTTTGTTTGGGGATATCTCACTATTACAAATGGTCTCTACAACACTGACGTCATCCGAGTTGGTTACTACCTGCTATTGCAGGAGGAACAGAGACCTTTAAAAAGTGGGACTGGTTAGAGTTTTGACTTGCTCTTAAGCTGGTGTTCGGGTACTAGTGTCTTTTTCTTGATTTTTTTTTTTTTTTTGAGACGCAGTTTTGCTCTTTTTGCCCGAGCTGGAGTGCAGTGGCACAATCTCTGCTCACCGCAACCTCTGCTTTCCAGGTTCAAGCGATTCTCCTGCCTCAGCCTCCCGACTAGCCGAGATTACAGGCATGTGCCAAAACGCCTGGCTAATTTTATATTTTTAGTAGAGACGGGTTTTCTCTATGTTGGTCCAGCTGGTCTCGAACTCCTGACCTCAGGTGATCCGCCCGCCTCGGCCTCCCAAAGTGCTGGGATTACAGGCGTGAGCCACTGCGCCCTGCCTTATTTTTTTTAATTAATTTATTTTTTTGAGACAGTCTCACTGTGTTGCCAGGCTGGAGTGCAGTGGCATGATCTCTGGCTCACTGCAACCTCTGCCTCCCGGGTTCAAGCGATTCTTCTGCCTCTGCCTCAGCCTCCTGAATAGTCGGGACTACAGGCATGTGCCACCACGCCCAGCTAATTTTTGTACATTTGTAGTACAGACAGTTTCACCATGTTGGCCAGGATGGTCTTGATCTCTTGACCTTGTGATCTGCCTGCCTTGGCTTCTCAAAGTGCTAGGATTACAGGCATGAGCCACCGCTCCTGACCTTAATTTTATTATTATTATTATTATTATCATTATTATTTTGAGACGGAGTCTCACTCTTTTGCCCAGGCTAGAGTGCAGTGGTGTGATCTTAGCTTACTGTAGGCTCCGCCTCCTACAGGGTTCAAGCGATTCTCCTACCTCAGCCTCCGGAGTAGCTGGGATTACAGGTTCACATCACCACGCCCAGATAGAAGTGCTAAATATTCTTAGAAAAATGTTTCTTGGCCGGGCGCGGTGGCTCACGCCTGTAATCCCAGCACTTTGGGAGGCCGAGGCGGGCAGATCATGAGGTCAGGAGATGGAGACCATCCTGGCTAACACGGTGAAACCCCGTCTCTACTAAAAATAAAAGAGTTAGCCGGGCGTTCCGGCGGGCGCCTGTAGTCCCAGCTTCTCGAGAGGCTAAGGCAGGAGAAAGGTGTAAACCTGGGAGGCGGAGCTTGCAGTGAGCCGAGATCGCACCATTGCAGTCCAGCCTGGGCAACAGAGCAGGATTCTGTCTCAAAAAAAAAAAAAAAAAAAAAAAAGAAAGAAAAATGTTGCTTATTCAAACTGCCTTATGAAGAAACAAAACCAGACCACTCATATCACCAGTAAAGGAATTGAATCAGTAGTTAGAAAGTCTTTCCATATTCTGCAATTACACAGGCAGTAAGAAAACAAAAAAAAGAAGTTAAAAAAAAAGTTGGCTGGGCTGGGTAGCTCATGCCTGTAATCCCAGCACTTTGGGAGGCTGAGGCAGGCGGATCACCTGAGGTCAGGAGTTCAAGACCAGCCTGACCAACATGGTGAAACCCTGTCTTTACTAAAAATACAACAATTAGGCCAGGTGCAGTGGCTCACGCCTGTAATCCCAGCACTTTGGGAGGCCAGGCGGGTGGATCACCTGAGGTCAGGAGTTCGAGACCAGCCTGGCCAACATGGCGAAACCCCGTCTCTACTGAAAATACAAAAATTAGCTGTTTGTGGTGGTGGGCACCTGTAATCCCAGCTACTCAGGGGCTGAGGCAGGAGAATCGCTTGAACCCGGGAGGCGGAGGTTGCAGTGAGCCGAGATTGCACCACTGCACTCTAGCCTGGGCGACAAGAGCGAGATTGTGCCTCAAAAAAAAAAAAGAAAAGAAAAAAAAGTATTTCTATAAAACCACCTGCATTTTCTGTTTTGAGAGGTGGCAAGAGGAGTTAAATTGAGTTTTTCCAAGGAGGAGACAAATTGGTCAACCTATGGCAGAAAGATTTGGAAATGTTAAAAAATATATTACCATGTTGAACAGAAAGCTACAGATGATATTCAAAGGAACACTGATATAGACCATGTCATGGAATCTTATACTTAATTGCTCATACTGACTTTGCCCTCATGGGTAGTTACTTATGTTTATTGTGAGAATAGTGAGGTACAAGTATGTAAATGGCTTTTTAGTGAGGTTGAGATAGAAGAGACTATTATCAGCTCTTCTTGGGCTTCTAAATTGGTCAAGCTGACTTAAGTGTGTGTGTGTGTGTGTGTGTAAGTGTGTAAGTGATTAGAGATGGGGATCTCACTATGTTGCCTAGGCTGGCCTTGAACTCCTGGGCTCAAGCAATCCTCCTGCCTCAGCTTCCAGAATGGCTGGGACTATAGGGGCCTGCTACTGATCGTGCCCAAGTTATTTATCTAGTTGAAAATAAGAAGGAAGTGATTTTTTAAAATTTATTTACTTTTTTTGGCTGGGCGTGGTGGCTCATGCCTGTAATCCTAGCACTTTGGGAGGCCGAGGTGAGTGGATCATGAGGTCAGGAGATCAAGAGCATCCTGGCTAACACGGTGAAACCCCGTCTCTACTAAAAATACAAAAAATTAGCTGGGCGTGGTGGCGGGCGCCTGTAGTCCCAGCTATCCGGGAGGCTGAGGCAGGTGAATGGCGTGAACCCGGGAGGTGGAGCTTGCAGTGAGCTGAGATCGCGCCACTGCACTCCAGCCTGGGCGACAGAGGGAGACTCCGTCTCAAAAAAAAAATTTATTTACTTTTTACATTTTGAGACAGAGTCTTGCTCTGTCACACAGGCTGGAGTTCAGCGGTGTGAACACAGCTCACTGCAGCCTTGACCTCCCGGCCGAAACGATCCTTCTGTCTCAGAGTCCAGTGTAGCTGGGACCACAGGCATGCGCCACTACGCTTGGCTAATTTTTAATTTTTTTTTTATAGAGACACGGGGTCTTGCCATGTTGCCCAGGCTGGTCTTGAACTCCTAGGCTCAAGTGATGATCCTGCCTTGGCCTCCTAGGGTGCTGGGATTACAGGTGTGTGCCACTGTGCCTGGAAATGATTTTTAAATGAATAATAACAAGAAATACTTCTAAACTTCTTTGAAAGTATATTCAGCCAAGCCCAGTAGAGTAAGGTCCATTAGATCTTTTGCCATTTCTGAAAAGGGGACACCAACCAGGCTGTTATTTATGATGAGTTCCATGCTGTTTCAGCTGCCTTGTGTGATCGATGACCTTATTACAAGTATTATAAAGCAGTATTTAGTATCTTAACATCCAGCACTGAATGTAGACACTGATGGAGTTGATTCTTTTTTCCTGTTAGCAGCTATCTGTTGTAGGGGTGAGGGAGATGAATGGGTGAGGAAAGTGAAATGAAAGTTGTCTGAAAAGATTTATGCCAAGAAATGTTTCAGTATGATCTGAAGTTGATGTTTTGCCATTATTTGCAGAGTTTTGCGGCCTCCAGGTGGTGGATCCAATTTTTCATTAGGTTTTGATGAACCAACAGAACAACCTGTGAGGAAGAACAAAATGGCCTCTAATATCTTTGGGACACCTGAAGAAAATCAAGCTTCTTGGGCCAAGTCAGCAGGTACTCTTGTTATCTGTGCTCACTGTTCAAAGGGATGGGCCCAGCATCAACAGCCACAGATGCAGCTTGGGCACCAGCATGTGCCCCCGTGTCTAAAAAACAAAACAAAACAAAAATTAGCTGGTGGTAGTGGCAGTGTGCATTTAGTCCCTGATACTCCGGAGGCCGAGGTGGGAGGATTGCTGAGCCTGGGAGGTGGAGGCTGCAGTGAGCTGTGATTGAGCCACTGCCCTCCAGCCTAGGTGACAGAGTGAAACCCTGTGTCAAAAACAAACAAAAGAAAAACCAACTACAGCTGGTTTTGAACTAATAACAAAATCTAGCTTACAACAGTTTAGACTTAGCCTGAGAGGAAAGAAATGGGAAATACTGAGAGGCTGTGTGATGGATCAGAGTAAGGACTGAAGTCAGACTGGGTTAATGTTTAAGTGATCAGCTTAACTTCCTTAAGACTGTTTCCTCATTTCATAATGTGAGACTAACACATAACGTCAATTGCTGAAGTTTTTTGTTTTTGTTTTTGAGATAAGAGTCTCATTCTGTTGCCCAGGCTGGAGTACAGAGTGCAGTGGTGCCATCTTGGCACACCACAACCTCCACCTCCCGAGTTCAAGTGATTCTTCTGCCTCAGCCTCCCGAGTAGCTAGGATTACAAGCATGCACCATGACGTCCAGCCAATTTTTATATTTTTAGTAGAGACAGGGTTTTACCATGTTGGCCAGGCTGGTCTTGAACTCCTGACCTCAGGTGATCTGCCCGCCTCGGCCTCCTAAAGCACTGAGATTACAGGCATGAGCCACCGTGCCCAGCCTGAAGTGTTTTGCTTTAGGTTTTTTCTATTGTATTTCTGAAGAAAGTATATTTTGATTTTTAGGTGCCAAGTCTAGTGGTGGCAGGGAAGACTTGGAGTCATCTGGACTGCAGAGAAGGAACTCCTCTGAAGCAAGCTCCGGAGACTTCTTAGATCTGAAGGTCAGTGTGACAGCATGAGGCCAGAAAGGCTTTCAGGTCAATATGATTCTGAAATTTGTACTAAGAGTTTCAGTTCACCCACTGGAATTTTACATTGAGGTAGTTAGGAAAGGGACTGGGCCATATTGATAATGGAAGATTGATAGTAAAATCATAGAAGTGTGTTAACATGGTCTCAGTCTGTTTCTGTATCTCTTTTACCATTAGGATTTGTTTTATCTCCCCTATTGATTTTTGGAACTTGTGGATCTTTCTCACTTCCTGTGTGTCTCATATATAGAAGCATTTCTGAGTTCAGAACTGCTTTGCGTTGAACTCCAGGAGACTAGTGCTGGCATTACCATTGGTTGTGTCTGCAGTTGAATACTGCCACCAAGCCCCCCAGGGGGTGTGCTGCGAAGTGGAAAGACCCCGCCCGACTAAGCACTAAAGCCCTCAGAGCACAGTGAGGCATCACCTGTCTGAGTGGGGAGAGAACTGGAGAAGGGCTTTGGAACTGATAGGGGTCCTTCCATAACTATTATCTAGTTTCCCCTTATCGGGGAAAGGAGAGAGAAATGAAAGGAGAGATTTACCAGTTTTCCATTCTAATAAAAGATCTCTGAAGTGCTAATTGGTGTTAGGTCCTCAGAGGAAATGTTGGGGTTTGTTGTAGACGTGGTACTAGCACTAGAGCAATTTATCATGCAGAATTTTTGCATAGCATTGTCCTGAGTTGGATAGAGGTAGCAGACTGACCCTGTGCTTGATTGCAACACAATGAAATGTCACATTCGGTTTCAAGTAGATGTTAGCTGCTATGAACTATGACTGTTTTGCGTGTTCCAAAATTAAAATAGGAAGTAAATTTTTGAATTTTTTTCTTTTCTAGGGAGAAGGTGATATTCATGGTAAGTACTTCTGAAGACCAAATTTCTGGCTCTGTCCATGGTTTTAGGACAGATCTGAATCTTGATTTAAATCATGTCTTGGGGAAAGAGACTGGGGAGTGAAACCTGGCCATGCCCCAAGTGCCGCCATACTCTAATCTGCCAGTAACGCGATCAATGCTAGAAACATAATAGAAGGGAAAAAACAGAGAATCCTTTAAAATTACATATATTGGCTGGGCATGGTGGCTCACGCCTGTAATCTCAACACTTTGGGAGGCTGAGGCAGGCAGATTGCTTGAGCCCAGGAGTTCAAGACCAGCCTGGAAACATGGTGAAACCCTGTCTCTATAAAAAAGTACAAAAATTAGCCTAGCATGGCGGCACATGCCTGTAGTCCAGCTACTCGGGAGGCTCAGGTGGGAGGATTGCTTGAGCTCAGGACGTGGAGGTTGCAGTGAGCAGAGATCACACCGTTATACTCCAGTCTGGGTGACAGAGTGAGACCTTGCCTGAAAAAAATAAACTAAACCAAAATATATCTAAACACACACACATACATATTAATCAGGTCAGTATTTGTTACACTTAATGAGAGCTTTTTTTTTTGAGACCAGGTGTCTCTCTGTTGCCAAGGCTGGAGTGCAGTAGGCAATCACAGCTTACTGTGGCCTCAACCTCCTTGGGCTTAGGTGATCCTCCCACCTCAGCCTCCCTAGTAACTGGGACTACAGGGGTACAACACCACACCTCGCTAATTTGTTTTTATTTTTAGTAGAGATGAGGTCTCACTATGTTGCCCAGGCTGGTCTCGAACCCCTGAGCTTAAGTGATCCTCCCACCTCAGCCTCCCCAAGTGCTGCTATTACTGGCAAGAGCCCCAGCACCCAGCTGAGAGCTTTTTGTATTTATGTAGCTATTTATCACAGACTAGCCAAGTGCAGTATTGAGAAGAGGGGAAAGAGTAAAACAAGGAGGTTGATCTGTAACTATGAACAAGATAACTCACTACCAGCCAGAGAGAGCTTTTTAATATAACCATTTCAAGCTCAGCTCACAGCATCCACTTTACAAAGTTCATTTGTTTTTATAGGGAGATGCTTATTCAGCAAGACATTGGTTACCTGCTTGGTGATTTTGTAAATGATGATTTAGGGGGCAGATGTAAATTTTCAGCTAACCAACCATATTACGAATTATAGGTGGAAATGAGCTGTAATCATTGACTTAATTATCTTAAATCTTGGAGGTATTTATTGGCATTTCTGTAACAAGTGCTAAAGACTTGCCGATGAGTGCAAGGTTTGTAAGTGTCAGGCAGTAGCAGTCAGTGAAGTGCAGCAGTCACAAGGCCCTCTGGTCTAGACAGAAGCAGCAGCTTCCTCTTAAGGCCTTTTCCTACCCTTATGTTTTGTGGTGTGCTTACAAGGACACACGGAAAGGTTGAAGAAGCAGATTCCTCTCCTGCCTTCTCACACAGTGTTCTGTTTTTTTGGTTGTGTTTTTTTTTTTTTTTTTTTTTTGAGATGGAGTCTGGCTCTGTCATCCAGGCTGGAGTGCAGTGGCAGGATCTCAGCTCACTTCAACCTCTGCCTCCCGGGTTCAAGCACTTCTCCTGGCTCAGCCTCCTGAATAGCTGGGATTACAGGCACGCGGCACCATGCCCGGCATGAGCCACTGCGCCCGGCCTCACAGTGTTTCTTGGTGGGCTTAGAGGAGAAGCTCCTGAGCCTTTGGGAGCATTGCCTGGGTTCTTCCTTATAGGACCTGTTTAGGGGGAAAACACTCAAACGTGTTTTTCCTCTTTTTTTCACACCACAACAATCATCAACACAGAAGACGACACCTGTGACCAAATATGGGGGGTTTCTCCCCACACGCCAATCAGTGGACACCAGTTGGGAGTCCTCCAATCCAGTTTCCACACCCTCTGCCTGAAGATAACCTCAGATTCAGCAGGTTGAGGGTCAGTCCCACAAGACTGCCCCTTCCTTCCCACCAGTTGTAAGTCTGGGCCTCTGGAACTTCTGACCGACTGGCTTCAAATTGGGGTTCCTGTGACCCCTTCTATGGTTTTGATTAATTTGCTAGAGAGGTTCACAGAAAGAACTCAGGGAAACACTTATGTTTACAGGTTCATTATGAATATATGATACATTTTTTTTTATTTTTTTCTAAACTGAATCTTGCTCTGTTGTCCAGACTGGAGTGCAGTGTCACCCTCACAGCTCACTGCAACTTCAAACTCCTGAGCTGAAGCAATCCTCCTGCCTCAGCCTCCTGAGTAGCTGGGATACAGGTGTATGCCACCATGCCTGGCTAATTTTTTTTCTTTTTTTGTAGAGATGTGGTCTCACTATGTTATGTTACACAGGCCAGTCATGTGATCCTCCCACCTCAGCCTCCAAAAGTATTGAGATTACAGGCATGAGCCACTGTACCTGGGTTGTTACGAAGGATATTTGAAAGGATACAAATAAACAGCCCAGTGAGGAGATACTTGGGGCCTGGTATGGAAAGGTCCCAAGTACAGGAGCTCCTGTACCTTGGAGTTGGGGTGTGCCACCCTCCTGGCACATGGATGAGTTGTTGCACCTTCCTGTCAGCTTCCACATGTTCAGTTATCCAGAAGTCCTCAGAATCCATCCTTCTGGGTGTTTTTTTAAGACTGGGTTTTGGTCTTAACCAGGCTAGAGTGCAGTGGCACAATCTCATTGCTCACTATAGCCTCAACCTCCTGGACTCAAGCAGTCTTCCTACCTTTGCCTCCCAAAGTGAGCCACTGTGCCCAGCCCCTTTTGGGTTTTTCTTTTTTTTCTCGAGATGGAGATTCGCTCTTTTTTTTTTCTGAGATGGAGTCTCACTCTCTGTCACCCAGGCTGGAGTGCAGTGGTGCCATCTCAGCTCACTGCATCCTCTGCCTCCCAGGTTCAAGCGATTCTCCTTCCTCAGCCTCCTGAGTAGCTGAGATTACAGGCATGCACCACCATGCCCAGGTAATTTTTTAATTTTTAGTGGAGACAGGGTTTCGCCATGTTGGCCAGGCTGGTCTTGATCTCCTGACCTCAGGTGATCCACCCTCCTCAGCCTCCCAAAGTGCTAAGATTATGGGTGTAAGCCACCATGCCTGGCCAAGTTTCACACTTTTTGCCCAGGCTGGAGTGCAATGGCATGATCTTGGCTCACTGCAACCTCTGCCTCCTGGGTTCAAGCAATTCTCCTGCCTCAGCCTCCTGAGTAGCTGAGATTACAGGTGCACGCTACTATACCTGGCTAATTTTGTATTTTTAGTAGAGACGAGGTTTCACCATGTTGGCCGGGCTGATACTGAACTCCTGACCTCCAGTAATCCACCTGCTTTGGCTTTCCAAAGTGCTGGGATTACAGGCATGAGCCGCTACACCTGGCCCCTTTTGGTTTTTTATGGAGGCTTCATTACATAAGCATGATTGACAACTGTACAGAAATACGATTAGACAAAAAAGGTTTGATTTCATACCAATGGACTGAACAAGGGAACTCAGAAGGCCCGTCTGTTAGATTCTTCTTGGCCTCTCCATGTAGCATTCCCTCCTCCAGGGTATGGAGCAGGACCCTCTGGATTAAGGGTCTTTTGACCTGCCATCAGATTACAGTCCTGCCCTGGGCAGGTAAAAGGAGGACAGGAGGTCACAAAGAGATTCTGTTTCCTGAGGGCTGCTCCTGAGGCTTAATGCACCCCATTCAAAAGACTTTTAAGGGCTATGGGAGTTACCAGCCAGTAGCTGTGGACAAAAACAGATTTTGTGTGTGTGTGTGTGTATTTTCATATACGTATGTATATCATAATATCACAGGACCAGTTACTTTTGCATTGGACCGAAGATGTATGTATTAATTACTGTTTGTGTTCTATTTGTACTGTTCTGGAAAGACTTCTGGAGGTAAAATCTAGGTTTTTTGATTCCACTTCTTGCTTCCTTCCTTCTTCCCTCCTCTCCCTTCCCCTCCCCTCCCTTCTCATCCCTTCCCGTTCCCTTCCTCCCCCTTCCCTCCATCCCCCCCTCCCCTCCCTCCCCTCCCTCCCCTCCTCTCTCCCCCTTCCCCTCCCTCCCTCCCTCTCCCTCCCTCTCCCCTCCCCTCCCCCCTTGACGGAGTTTAGCTCTTGTTGTCCAGGCTGGAGTGTAGTGGCACGATCACGGCTCACTGCAACTCCACCTACCGGTTTCAAGTGATTCTCCTGCCTCAGCCTCCCTGCGTAGCTGGGATTACAAGGGCTGCCACCACGCCCGGCTAATTTTTTTTTTATTAGTAGAGACAGAGTTTCAACATGTTGGCCAGACTGGTCTTGAACTCCTGACCTCAGGTGATCCACCTGCCTTGGCCTCCCAAAATGCTAGGATTACAGGCGTGAGCCACCAGGCCCGGCCGGTTCTACTGCTTTCTATATTCTGAATACTTTCACTGTCAGACCTTATTTAACAAGAATCAGCTAATCTTTATTCAATTATTTTGGTCAGTTAATACAACTAGAAGTTAGGGGAACTTGGAGAAGTATGTCAACAATGTGTCAATAGTCCTACCACATAATTAATAATTCTGTTCCCTTTTCAGTCCCCTTCACAGTTTTTGTTTTTTCGAGACAGAGCCTTGCTCTGTCACCCAGGCTGGAGTGCAGTGGTATGATCTCAGCTCAAGGCAACCTCCGCCTCCCAGGTTCAAGCGATTCTCCCGCCTTAGCCTCCTGAGTATCTGGGACTACAGGTGTGCGCCACTACAGCTGGCTATTTTTTTTACTTTTAGTAGAGACGGAGTTTCACCATATTCACCAGGCTGGTCTCGAACTCCTGACCTCAAGCGATCTACCCACCTTGGCCTCCCAAAGCGCTGGGAGGCATGAGCCACTGCGCCCAGCCTCGCTCAACTAATTTTTTTTATTTTTAGCAGACACGGAGTTTTCGCCATGTTGGCCAGGCTGGTCGCAAACTCCTAAGTCCTTTCTTTTTCCCCCCAGTGGTTATCTGGTTACCTGTTGTTGTTTTTTCCTTTTTGTTTTTTTTGAGAGTCTCACTCTGTCGCCAGGCTGGAGTGCAGTGGCATAATCTCGGCTCACTGCAACCTCCGCCTCCCGGGTTCAAGTGATTCTCCTGCCTCAGCCTCCCGAGTAGCTGGGACTACAGGCATGCACCACCATGCCTAGCTAATTTTTGTATTTTTAGTAGAGACAGTATTTCACCATGTTGGCCAGGCTGGTCTCAAACTCCTGACCTCAGGTGATCCCCCTGCCTTGGCCTCCCAAAGTGCTGGGATTACAGGTGTAAGCTATTGTGCCCGGCCTTTTTAAGTTTCTGATCTGATATATTCTGTGTGGCTGACTGCTGCAACTTTAGTTCATCTGTCTTAAAATGAAAAGGGGCACAATAATATTTTTTTCTTTACTGAGACAGGTTCTCACTGTTGCCTGAACCACGAGTGCAGTGGCACAATCACCACTCACTGCAGCCTTGACTTCCGGGTTCAAGCCATCCTCTCACCTCAGCTTCCTGAGTAGTTGGGACTACAGTTGCATGCCACCATGCCTGGCTAATTTTTGTGGTTTTGTTTTTGTTTTGTTTTTGAGATGGAGTCTTGCTCTGTTGCCCAGGCTAGAAATGCAGTGGCATGATCTTGGCTCACTGCAGCCTCCACCTCTTTGATTCAAGCAATTCTCCTGCCTCAGCCTCCCGAGTAGCTGGGATTACAGGTGCCCGCCACTGTGTCCAGCTAATTTTTGTGTTTTCAGTAGAGACAGGATTTCACCATCTTGCCCAGGCCGGTCTCGAACTCCTTACCTCGTGATCCACCTGCCTTGGCCTCCCAAAGTGTCGGGATTACAGGCGTGAGCCACCGTGCTTGGCCAATTTTTGTAGTTTCTGTAGAGACAGGGTTTTGCTATGTTTCCCCCGGCTGGTCCTGGGTTCATGTTGATCTTCCTGCCTTGGCCTCCCAAAATTCTGGGATTACAGGTGTGAGCCGCTGTGCCTGGCTGAGGTACAGTAATAAGATACATCTGGAGGATTAAAGGTCAACCCCAATTCAGTTTAAATAAGATAGATTCCCTTTGGATATACGGGAAATTTATTTTACCTCTTGGGCAATTAAACGCAGGAATGGCTACAGGAATGACTTTGGAGTTTCCATCTTGAGAAATCTAAGAGGGAGAAGGTCCAGGAAGTTCAGGCAGAGAAGTCTCCCTGACTGCGGGCAAGTTAGATGGTCGGCTACATTTCTTCCAGTTCTGATTCTTTGATGCTTACAATGAATCATTTTCTATTCAGATAGAGATGTCTTTGTTCAGTTATCTTATTGATGTGCCAAAGAAAAGAGACCAGGAGTGTCTAAAATGTATATTTTGGTAGAAATAATTTCATTTAAAGCCCTTTTTTTTTTTAAATTATCTTCAGCAGACAAAAGCTTTCTGTGTCAAATTGGCATAAAAGTTTCTAAACATTTGGCTGGGCGCGGTGGCTCATGCCTGTAATCCCAGCCCTTCGGGAGGCTGAGGTGTGCGGATCATGAGGTCAAGAGATCAAGACCATCCTGGCCAACATGGTGAAAGCCCGTCTCTACTAAAAATACAAAAATTAGCCAGGCGTGGTGGCACGCGCCTGTAATCCCAGCTACTTGGGAGGCTGAGGCAGGAGAATCGCTTGAACCTGGGAGGTGGAGATAGATTGCGCCACTGCACTCCAGCCTGGCAAGAGAGAGAGACTCCATCTGAAAAAATAAATCAAAGTTTCTGAACACTTACTCTCAATTCCTGTACTTATCTCATTATGGGCTGGAAACAAACAAACCTCCCTCCTCTGTGGGTGGAGTACTTCTGACTGGACAGACATTTATTTATTTTTGAGACGGAGTCTTACTCTGTCGCCCAGGCTGGAGTGCTGTGGCACGATCTTGGCTCACTTCAAACTCCGCCTCCCGGGTTCAAGTGATTCTCTTGCCTCAGCCTCCCGAGTATCTGTGAATACAGGCGCGCACACACGCCCAGCTAATTTTTGTACTTTTGTAGACACGGGGTTTCACCATGTTGGCCAAGCTGGTCTCAAACTCCTGACCTCAGGTTATTCAGCTGCCTTGGCCTCCCAAAGTGCTGGGATTACAGGTGTGAGCCACTGCACCTGGCCTGGACAGACATTTAAAGTAAGGCCTACTGCTGCTTGTTTAGTCTCCATAGGTGCTTTTTTATTTTTTTCTTCTTCTTTATTAGTATGTTATGTATTTGTGAAAAACAAAACAGTTCTAGTAATAATGTAAGACAAATATAAGATTAGTAGTATTGAGCTTGATTCATCTGAAGAGGATTTTATGAAAATAAACCACTATGGCAGGACTGCAAGATAATTTTTTGTTCTTCAGAATGTTCATTAACTGCTGGATTCAGAGAGAGAATGAAGACTTCAGTAGATCCTGTATGTATAGCAGGAGGCCATGTCCCACCAGCAGAAATGAAACTGCTTGAACTAACAAGTTGTCTCAGTCCGAATTCTCTTTATCTTGAATATTTTAAATGTGGAGTTTTGTTTTTCTTTTATATTTACAATTATATTTAGGTTATTTCAGGGACACTTATTGTAGGACTTGTGTGTCTGATCCAGTGCATTTGATCTTGCTTCTTTTACAATGGATGTAACCAAGGAAACTAATGGGTGACCCTCTCTGAGTTTTAGTTCATAATTGTGACAGTTGTCATTCTGAAAAGCTTCATACTCTATTTTTGCTTGTAGTTAAATAGTATAGAACATTTTATGTTACTCCCATAGAATGTTCCAGAAATTCATGAAATGTTAAAAGCAGCAGTAGTATGTTAACATTAACAAAGCATGAAAAATAAATAAATAAAATAAATGTCTGTCCAATGAGAAATACTGCAGCCACAGAAGAGGGAGGTTTGTTTGCTTCTAGCCTATCATGAGATAAGTACATGAATTGAGAGTAAGTGTTAAAGACCTCTTCTTGGCCGGGCATGGTGGCTCACGCCTGTAATCTGAGTACTTTGGGCAGCTGAGGTGGGTGGATCACTTGCGGTCAGGAGGTTGAGACAAGCCTGGCCAACATGGTGAAACCTGGTCTCTACAAAAATACAAAAAATTAGCTGGGCATGGTGGCGGGCGCCTATAACCCCAGCTATTGGGAGGCTGAGGCAGGAGAATCGCTTGAGCCTGGGAGGCGGAGGTTGTGGTGGGCCAGGATCACGCTACTTTACTCCAGTCTGGGCGATGGAATGAGACACAGTCTCAAAAAAAAAAAAAAAATCCATTAATATAGGAGCATTATTAACTGCCCTTACTGCCTTTTCAGGCAAAAGGGATTCTATGAAATATTTTTACGAATATCTTAGAATATGCAACTGAATTTGATTGGTTAACACTGAAATAAACTTGCTATTAAAAAGAAAACTAAGGCCCAGTATGGAGGCTCACGCCTGTAATCCCAGCACCTTGGGAGGCCAAGGCAGGTTGGATCACCTGAGGTCAGGAGTTTAAGACCAGCCAGGCCAACATGGTGAAACCCTGTCTCTACTAAAAATACAAAAAATTAGTCGGGCGTTGTAGCGGGCACCTATAATCCCAGCTACTTACTTGGGATGCTGAGGCAGGAGAATTGCTTGAACCCGGGAGGCACAGGTTGCAGTGAGCCGAAATTGCACTGTTGCACTCTAGCCTGGACAACATGTGTGAAACTCCATCTCAACTAAAGAAAAAAAAGGAAAACTAGGCCGGGTGCAGTGGCTTAATGCCTGTAATCCCAGCACTTTGGGAGGCCAAGGTAGGTGGCTCACTTGAGGCCAGGAGTTTGAGACCAGCCTGGCCAACATGGCGAAACCCCGTCTCTACTAAAAATACAAAAATTAATCAGGCATGGTGGTGCATGCCTGTAATTCCAGCTACTCGGGAGGCTGAGGCAGGAGAATTGCTTGAACCCAGGAGGCAGAGGTTAAAGACCCTGTCTCAAAAAAAAAAAAAAAAAAAAAAAAAAAGGAAAACTAGGCTGTGTGAAGGGTGAAGGTGGCTCATGCCTGTGATCCCAGCACTTAGGGAGGGTGAGATGGGAGGATCACTTGAGTCCAGGAATTTGAGACCAGCCTGGGTAACATAAGGAGACCCCATCTTTTAAAAATAAAAAAAAAAAAAAAACAAAAATAGCCAGTTGTGGTGGTGCGCGCCTGTAGTCCCAGCTATTTGGGAGACTGATATAGGAGGATTGCTTGAGCCCAGGAGTTTGAGGCTACAGTGGGCTGTGATTGAGGTACTGCACTCCAGCCTGGGCCACAGAGTGAGACCCTGTCTCAATATCCTCCACCTGCCACCCCACCCCTCCACAAAAAACAAACAAACAAAAAAACTAAAAATATGTATACTATTAAGCTCTTAGTAAAAGTTTCCTTTCATAGAAAATATAGAATTTTTGCATTCACTTTGCACTTTGAATCAGTTTTTTCCCGGTTTAGAAACAACCCTAATGAGAGACAATTCATTTGGAAAATTGGATGGGTTCCAGTTTTTTTGCTGTCAGAGAATTGGATAAATAGCCTATATCATGTGATAATTACTATAAAGCAATGAAGCTTGACAGTGAGGTGAGGGATTTGAAAACATACAGTTAATAAGCAAGGCGAATTACTACCCTGTTTGTAAATATGGATACATTTCCAAGAGTGAAAAAAAGAAGTTGATACCATTTATGTTAAATATAACCAAAACATGTTACATGTTATCTGGCTACATGTAAATATACATAAAACAAGTGGACTAGAAGGCTGCACAGGACTTGCAGTGGGACCTCTGGGAATAGGGGGAGCAGGATCCACCCGGAGCTGGAAGGGGCCGTAGAGCTAGAGTTCCCTGTTCTTATTTAAAAATCTTCATGTCCTTGGGCCAGGCGCGGTGGCTCACGCCTGTAATCCCAGCACTTTGGGAGGCCGAGGCAGGTGGATCACAAGGTCATGAATTCAAGACCAGCTTGGCCAGGATGGTGAAACCCCATCTGTACTAAAAATACAAGAATTAGCCGGGCATGGCGGCAGGCGCCTGTAATCCCAGCTACTAGAGAGGCTGAGGCAGGAGAATTGCTTGAACCTGGGAAGTGGAGGTTGCAGTGAGCCAAGACTGCACCATTGCACTCCAGCCTGGGCAACAGCGAGACTCCGTCAAAAAACAAAACAAAACAAAAAAAAACTTCATGTCCTTATATATTTGTGTAATTTAGAAAAGAACATAAACAACAAATATGGGAAAAGATGAACAATGGTTAATTCTGTGGAGTGGGAGCATGGTGGGTGATTATTTTGTTTATGCTTTTAGGTATGTTTCCAACCATCAAACCAAAAAAAAAAGAAAAAGAGAAACAGATCCTTGATCTTAACAGGAAATGGCTGTCATTATGAGTATTATTTCTATTCCCTGTTTTCATAGAAAATGTGGACACAGACTTGCCAGGCAGCCTGGGGCAGAGTGAAGAGAAGCCCGTGCCTGCTGCGCCTGTGCCCAGCCCGGTGGCCCCGGCCCCAGTGCCATCCAGAAGAAATCCCCCTGGCGGCAAGTCCAGCCTCGTCTTGGGTTAGCTCTGACTGTCCTGAACGCTGTCGTTCTGTCTGTTTCCTCCATGCTTGTGAACTGCACAACTTGAGCCTGACTGTACATCTCTTGGATTTGTTTCATTAAAAAGAAGCACTTTATGTACTGCTGTCTTTTTTTTTTTTCTTTTGAAGAACAGGTTTCTCTCTGTCCTTGACTCTTGGGTCTGTGGGCCATGGCATGAGTGTTTTCTAGTAGTAGATTGGAGGGAAAGCTTTGTGACACTTAGTACTGTGTTTTTAAGAAGAAATAATTTGGTTCCAGATGTGTTAGAGGATCTTTTGTACTGAGGTTTTTAACACTTTACTTGGGTTTACCAAGCCTCAACTGGACAGACCATAAACAGTCCACAGGCACCGTTCCTGCCAGGCCCCAACCCACAGGGAGTCTCTCCGCAGAGCCTTCTTGGTGTTGCCCTAACTTGCCAGTGGCCTTTGCTCAGAGCCTCCTCCTGTGACATGTGAACAATGAAGAGGCCTGCGCCTCCTGCCTTGCCGCCTGCAAAGCAAAGAAACTGCCTTTTATTTTTTAACCTTAAAAAGTAGCCAGATAGTAACAAGACTGGCTGGCTGATGAGCAAAGCCTTTGCTCTCACGCAGAGGAAGGCTTGGATGTACAATGAAACTGCCTGGAACTAAAAGCAGTGAAGCAAGGGAGGCAATCACACTGAAGCGGGTCTTCCTCCAGGAACGGGGTCCCACAGGCGTGTTGTTTTAAATAACCTGATGCTGTGTGCATGATGCTGGTGCTTGACCATGAAAGGAAAGTCTCATCCTTAAAATGTGTTGTACTTCACAATCCTGGACTGTTGCTTCAAGTAAACAATATCCACATTTTGAAACACTGTGTACTGTGTCTTCTTTTTGAGATGGTTTCAGTGTTCTCCCTGGTTAGATGCTTTTCTCTTTGTCACTATAAATCCTGCCTACTGATTGGAGGAGTCATTTGAAGTTAAATAGCCAGATGTGCCTGTAATTAGCTACTTGGGAAGCCAAGGCAAGAGGATGCTTGAGCCCAGGAGTTTGAGACTATCCTGGGCAACATAGCGAGACCTCCTTAAAAAACAAAATCTTAAAACAGATGAAGACCCAGAGAGGAGTGGGTTTCTTTCTGAAGAAGGCTCTAAAGATGAGCAGGTTAGACTCTTCTACCTCCCCTTTGTTCTGGGCAGTAACATTTTAAAGTGTTCTCCAAGACTGGGCAACATGGTGAAACCTCGTCTCTACCAAAAATAGCCAGGTGTGATGGCACACGCCTGTAGTCGGGAGGCTGAGGCAGGAGGATTGCTTCACCCTGTGAGATCAAGGCTGCAGTGAGCCATGATCGCACCACTGTACTCCAGCCTGGGTGACAGCAAGACCCTGTCTCAAAAAAAGTTCTCCAACTTTAAATATGCGGGGATTTCTCCCCACCAGCAAGCAAGCAAGCAAGCAATTCTGCAGTGGATACCAGCTAGGTGTCCTCCAATTTTTTTTTTTTTTTAAGACAGTGTCTCAGTCTGTCGCCCAGGCTGAAGTGCAGTGGCACAATCTGCTCACTGCAACCTCTGCCTTCTGGGTTCCAGCGATTCTCCTGCCTCACCCTCCCGAGTAGCTGGGACTACAGGCATGTGCCACCACACCCAGCTAATTTTTGTATTTTTAGTAGAGACAGGGTTTATGCCATGTTGCCCAGGCTGGTGTCGAACTCCTGACCTCAAGTAATCTGCCCACCTCGACTTCCCAAAGTGCTGGGATTATAGGCATGAGCCACCTCACCTGGCCCTCCAATTCAATTCTGACAATCAGTTACCTGGAGATAGCTTTGATTCCACAAGTTGAGGGCTCAGCCCCCAAGACTGCTTCCCCTTGAGATAACTCGCAAGTCTGGGCCTCCAAAATGTCTGCGTATCTATGAGTCATATGCATGTTGACTTGAGCCCCTCTTAGACTGGTTTGTCAGGCTTTTTTTTTTTCTGAGATGGAGTCTGGCTCTGTCACCCAGGCTGGACTGCAGTGGCATGATCTTGGCTCACTGCAACGTCTGTCTCCCGGGTTCAAGCAATTCTCCTGCCTTGGCCTCCTGAGTAGCTGGGATTTGTAGGCATGTCCCACCATGCCCGGCTAGTTTTTGTATTTTTAGTAGAGATGGGGTTTCACCATGTTGGTCAGGCTGGTCTCGAACTCCTGACTTTGTGATCCACCTGCCTCGGCCTCCCAAAATGCTGGGATTACAGGCGTGAGCCACTGCACCCGGCCCTGTCAGGTTTTTTTGTGTGTGTGATGCTTCTATTACATGTTTTGTTTGTTTGTTTGTTTGAGACGGAGTCTCGCTGTGGCCCAGGCTGGAGTGCAGTGGCGTGGTCTTGGCTCACTGTAATCTCTGCCTCCCGGGTTCATGCCATTCTCCTACCTCAGCCTCCTGAGTAGCTGGGACTACAGTCACCCGCCACCATGCCCAGCTAATTTTTTTTTTTTTTTTGTATTTTTAGTAGAGACAGGGTTTCACCGTGTTAGCCAGGATGGTCCTGATCTCCTGACCTCATGATCCGCCCGCCTCAGCCTCCCAAAGTGCTGGGATTACAGGCGTGAGCTACCGTGCCCAGCCTCTGTTACATATATTTGGAAGCAGTGGGTTCATCAGATGGGGAACAATGGCGAGATGGGCCACTTAAATCTGTGTTTATAATTTTGGCTCTCCCCTCCCCCAACAGGGACTCCCTCTGTCACCCAGGCTGGAGTGCAGTGGCAGGATGAAGGCTGTGTAGCCTCAATTTCCTGGGCTCAAGGGTTCCTCCCACCTAAGGCTCATGAGTAGCTAGGACCACAGGCATGCGCCACCATACCCAGCTTATTGATTTGTTTATTGTAGAGACAGGGTCTCCCTGTGTTGCTCAGGCTGGTCTTGAACTCCTGGGCTCAAGCTGTCTCCCACCTGGGCCTCCCAAAGTGCTGGGATTACCAGCCTGAGCCACGGCGCCTGGCTTTATAGTTTGTAGGCAAATAGATTTGAGTGGAGTCAGGAAGTTTCATGACATCCACAAAAAGAAGAGTCAACAAAATGTATCACAGTTCAGCATGTTCTTTTTTTTTTTTTTTTTTTTTGAGAAGGAGTTTTGTTCTTGCTGCCCAGGCTGGAGGGCAATGGCATGATCTCGGCTCACCGCAACCTCTGCCTCCTGGATTCAAGAGATTCTCCTGCCTCAGCCTCCCGGGTAGCTGGGATTACAAGCATGTGCCACCACGCTAATTTTGTATTTTTAGTAGCGACAGGATTTCTCCATGTTGGTCAGGCTGGTCTTGAACTCCCGACCTCAGATGATCCGCCCGCCACGGCCTCCCAAAGTGCTGGGATTATAGGCGTGAGCCACCGCACCTGGCCCTGTTCAGCATTTTCTAGACGGGAGTAGGTAAGCGATGTCAGTTCCACATAAAGTCCTGAGGACAGTCCTGATTACCTGTGCTTGATCAAAATCATCTTTCCGGGGGAAACCACACTTGAAGCTCCCATGTTTCAAGCCAACTCTAGTGTGAATTAGTCTCTTAACGAGCTAGACTTACACAAACCAGTTAACAGATTCATTTCACTTTGTAGTCCTCGAGGGATTGTTCCTGCTCCACTGCACAGACGAAAGCAATCCACTGAGACCACGGTACTGCGGTAATAAGACTTTGGCCAGGTGCGGTGGCTCAAGCCTATAATCCCAACACTTTGGGAGGCCAAGGCAGGCAGATCACTTGAGGTCAGGAGTTTGAAACCAGCCTGACCAACATGGCGAAACCCCGTCTCTACTAAAACTACAAAAATTAGCCAGGCGTGGTGGCGGGTGCCTGTAATCCCAGCTACTCGGGAGGCTGAAGCAAGAGAATCGGTTGAACCCGGGAAGCGGAGGCTGCAGTGAGCCGAGATCGCGCCGCCACTGCGCCGCAGCCTGGGCGACAGAGCCAGACTCCGTCTCAAAATAAAAAAAAAAAAAAAGAAAAAAAGAAAAAAAATGTGGAGCTAGCCCCACGGGTTTAGGACCCTTGACTCCTCGTTAGATGCTTCCCAGTATTTCAGAGCATCCCTTTGTTGGGCCCCCGGAAGGTCGGTCCCCTACTAGTAACGTGGGGTGAACGGGGGTACGTCTGCCGTAAAGTGGGAGGCGGCTGATGGGGACAAAGGCTGGGTCCCGAAGAAGCGCAGGGTCAGAAAAGTGCCCCCCAAAGCCGTCCCTGCACCCGAACCCTAGGATGGCCTCGCGCAACCGCAGGGCCGTCGGCACTGGTTTACGACCTGGGCGGGGCGGCCCGGACACTCTATGCAAATCAGCCCGGCGGACTCCGGAAGCAGCGCTCCCTCCGCTTCCGGCCGAGCCCGCGCCCCCCAGACCCCGAGAGCTCGCAGCTCCGGCCCGGCGGCGATGGCGCGGAGCGTGCGCGTGCTGGTGGACATGGACGGCGTCCTGGCCGACTTCGAGGCCGGCCTCCTGCGGGGCTTCCGCCGCCGCTTCCCTGAGGAGCCGCACGTGCCGCTGGAGCAACGCCGCGGCTTCCTGGCCCGCGAGCAGTACCGCGCCCTGCGGCCCGACCTGGCGGTAGGGGGCGCAGGGTCCCCACCCGGGCAGGGCCCGCTCGCTCCGTTCCGGGGGTCTCCCCCTTCTCTGTGAAGGGCGCAGAGCTCTCACCCTGGAACCCGCGGGCAGCGCACCCTGGGGAGGAGCCTTTGGGCGCGTGCCCCTGACCGACGCCCCCTCCGCCCCTCTGAGCTCGGGCCCGGAGCCCCCAGGAGCCTCCCTGCGGGTCCTCGCGGGAACGGGAAGCCGGGACCCAGAACTCTTGTCTTTCAGGATAAAGTGGCCAGTGTGTACGAAGCCCCGGGCTTTTTCCTGGACCTGGAGCCCATCCCGGGAGCCTTGGACGCTGTGCGGGAGATGAACGACCTACCGGAGTAAGGAGAGAGGGGGGCGGGCGGAGTCCTGGGCGGGCTCCTGGCTCCCGGCGGTAACCGCGTCCTTCTCCGCAGCACGCAGGTCTTCATCTGCACCAGCCCCCTGCTGAAGTACCACCACTGTGTGGGTGAGAAGGTGTGGCTGCCCCGCCCCTACTCCGCACGTGGAGCTGCCTAAATCCTGATTTTAAAAAGAAACCACCAGAAACCCAGAAGGTGGGGGTGGGGGGCTCTCAAGGGCTTAGAGCCAAGTCCCTATCCCTGAATTCCGGCTTCCATCAGGCCCTACTCACAGACTGTGTTTTCTACACAGTACCGCTGGGTGGAGCAGCACCTGGGGCCCCAGTTCGTAGAACGAATTATCCTGACAAGGGACAAGACGGTGGTCTTGGGGGACCTGCTCATTGATGACAAGGACACAGTTCGAGGTTGGACCCGTTATCCTTGGCAGCCTCCAGGCCTCTGGCCTGCCCGGATTAGGGAGAGGGAGTAATAATACCCATGACAGATGGCAGCGCGCTGTCTTTCACTGTCCTAGGCCAGGAGGAGACCCCAAGCTGGGAGCACATCTTGTTCACCTGCTGCCACAATCGGCACCTGGTCCTGCCCCCGACAAGGAGACGGCTGCTCTCCTGGAGTGACAACTGGAGGGAGATCTTAGATAGCAAGCGCGGAGCTGCGCAGCGGGAATGAGCGGGGATGCCGCGGGCAGCAGCTGGAGCTAAAGGAAGGGCAGGCCCACAGGGGCCACCGCAGAGCCGAGTCGGGGCGGCATCGTGCTGGTGCCTCTGGCCCCGTGGAGTGGAGCAGGCAGATACCGTTAAGCGCTGTGCTACCGGGCCCCAGGCCCAGCCACCCGGTACCTCCCGAGAGGCTGTCCCTGGACCCTGGCTGGCATGGAAATACAGTGGGAAAACCAGTCGGGACCTTTAATAAAAGACCTTGGCTTTCTAGTCTTCTAGGACCCTTTATTTGGGAACATAAAGGGACAGGCTCCCTGAGCGGGTGCTGATGAGCCCTTCCCTCCCCTCTGAGTCCAGTGGTCCCCTAATCTGCCCCATTTCCATGCCCACGTGGGTACCATTTTTGTAGCACCTGCCATTCCTGGGCCATCTAAGGGGTCAGCCTTGAGGGGGTACACGAGAGGCAAGGACCCCCATTTTCCCTGAGCTCCACCTTTCCATCGGATCCCACGCTCCTTATGTTGACCAGGGGGCACCATGGACATGGAGCCACATCCTTTACGTTGCCGTCTCTTCCTGACTCCCTTGAGCAACACTCACTGCGTCCCTGATGCCCTCGTGGGATACACTTCTGGGGTAGGGCTCCCCATCATTGAGTGACAGCAGAGGAGGGCCGAAGCTTTCAGCCGGGGCCATGGGGTGGCAAGGGGAGAAGATGCAGTTACCAGGGCTGGTGCCTCTATTCCGACGTATCATCACCTGCATGGCCTTGTGCTTGATGCCCGATGGCCACATTAAGTCCCTGGGCTGTCACTCAAGGGCAGGGACCACATCTTCATCTTGGAGTCATGGTGCCTAACAGCAAGGCTGGGTGGACAGTCAATGCTGGGCCACAGGTTATCCAGGTTGGCATCCACCAGGCCCAAATGCCCAGCTTGGAGAGCCCCTGGGGGAGGCATCCATCCTCCAGAGCCCTGGAGGGGGCACCACATCTTCCCAGGGTGAGATCCTTTCACCACGAGGCATCTCATTCCTATACCTGAAAACTACTCCAGACACTTCTGTTAAGGGATAATCCCTGATTTCCTGCAGCGAAGGCAGCTCTCCTAAGCCTCAGGCCCAGCTCCTGAGAACACTGTCCTGCAAAGCCTCTGGGTCCAGGCACTTGGCCGCTTCTTACACCAGGGCCTGAGTCTGGTGGTGGTGGCACCTGATGTAGGATTGAGAGTGCCAGCCTATGAACGCAGCTCCAGTTTGATCTTCTCCGTGTCTCTGGAGTCTGGCTTCCTCACTCCCAGTGGCGTTTCATCAGTGTAAATGCCTGTCCTGCTGAAAGAACCCGCCTTTCAGATGGCTGAAAAGGCACCAATGGGGCAGTATGTGCTCCCCGTTCCCTGCGTCCACATCAGGACTGTGGTCTCCAGCAGTAGGGGTGCCACGGTCTCGCAGTCTCCATGGATCAGCGCTGCCGTGGGGCCACGCTCCTCGGCAGTGGGATACCCAGGGCAGAGTGCGCCTGCCGGCTGCGGGCCTCGGCCACCTGGCGGGGGGAGCAGAAGTCCTCCAGGAAGATCTGTGCCAGGTTCCGGAGCCTGGCGCTGGCCGAGAGGGAGAAGCGAAGCATGCACTGCACCACGGGCGTGGCGGTCAGCTCTGGGAGAAAGCTGCGGCCCGGCGGGCTCAGGTGCATGAGCGTGGTGATGGCAGACAGCACCGTCTCCTCATTGGGGCTGGATAGGCAGTTGATGATGAGTGGGACACCTCCTGCGTGCAGGATGTGCTCCTTGTTGGCCCTGTCTGGGCACAGGTTGCACAGGCCTCCTGTGGGAGAGCAAGGAAGAGTCTGGATGCTGTAGCCCCGGGCCTCCTCCCACCTCCCCTGCCCGTGAGCCCCAGGTAGGGGCCCAGGCTGTTGAGAAGCTGGCCCCAGCACAAGGCATCCAAAGCCCATTCCGGCTCCTGCCTTCTCAAGTTTCCAGAAAGGCCTGCCTGCCTGCTCCAGCCTGCCACAGCCCACCCTTCCAGAAGTGGGCACAAATCCCTTTCCCTCTCAGTTCAGCAAGTTCAATGGCTGATACGCTTTTTTTTTCCCCTTTCTTAAATGTAAAAACCTAAAACAAGGCCGGCCCGGGCACGGTGGTTCACGCCTGTAATCCCAGCACTTTGGAAGGCTGAAGTGAGTGGATCACCTGAGGTCACGAGTCCGAGACCAGCCTGGCCAACATGGTGAAACTGTCTCTACTAAAAATACAAAAATTAGCCGGGTGTGGTGGCAGGTGCCTGTAATCCCAGCTACTTGTGAGGCTGAGGCAGGAGAATTGCTTGAACCTGGGACTCGGAGGTTGCAGTGAGCCGAGATTGCATCACTGCACTCCAGCCTGGGCAACAGAGCTAGACTCTGTCTCAGAAATAAATAAATAAATAAAAAACTAAAACCCTGTAATGTATCATCACCTTAGAACAGTTTATAAAAGTTATAAAAATATAAGATGATGGTTTCATGGGTATATACTTATGCCAAAATTTATCAAATTGTACCCTTTAAATATGTACAGTTTATTATGTCCATCATATAGCAATAAAACTGTTAAAATACTAGAATGGGCTGGGCACAGTGGCTCACACCTGTAATTCCAGTGCTTTGGCAGGCCAAGGCAGGAGGATCCCTTGAGCCCAGGAATTCGAGACCAGCCTTGGCGACATGGCAAAACTCTGTCGCTACCAAAACACACACAATTAGCCAGGCATGATGGTACACGCCTGTAGTCTCAGCTACTTGAGAGGCTGAGGTGGGAGGACTGCTTGGGCCCACGAAGTGGAGCTGCAGTAAGCCATGAACGCACCACTGCACTCCAGCCTGGGCGACAGAGTGAGACCCTGTCTCAAAAACAAACAAATGGCTGGGAGCGGTGGCTCACGCCTATAATCCCAGCACTTTGGGAGGCCGAGGTGGGTGGATCACCCTGAGGTCAGGAGTTCCAGACCAGCCTGGCCAACATGGTGAAACCCCGTCTCTACTAAAAACACAAAAATTAGCTGGGCCTGTGGCACATGCTTGTAATCCCAGCTACTTGGGAGGCTGAGGCAGAATAGCTTGAACCCGGTAGGTGGAGGTTGCCGAGATGGCACCACTGCATTCCAGCCTGGGCAACAGAGCAAATACTACGTCTCAATGTTAGGCGGCTGACCTAACATTTGTTTTTCATTCTACAATTTGAAATATGTGAATATATGTAAGTATTTAGTAAAAATGGGATACTCTGCTTGCTGCTTGGTCAGTTTTCTGAGATGGGGTGGGATCTCCCTATGTTGTCCAGTCTGGTCTTGAACTTCCGGCTTTAAGCCATCCTTCTGCCTCAGCCTCCCTGGGAGTTAAGACTGACTCCAGGCATGCACCACTGTGCATGGCTTACGCCAGCTTTTTTTTTTTTTTTTTTTGAGACAGTTTTGCCCTGTTGCCCAGGCTAGAGTGCAGTGGCATGATCGCGGCTCATTGCAACCTCCGCCTCCCGGGTTCAAGTGATTCTCCTGCCTCAGCCTCCCAAGTAGCTGGGATAACCGGCATGTGCCACCATGCCCGGCTAAATTTTTGTATTTTTAGTAGAGACGGGGTTTCACCATGTTGGCCAGGCTGGTCTCGAACTCCTGACCTCAGGTGTTCCACCCGCCTCGGCCTCCCAAAGTGCTGGGATTACAGGCATGAGCCACTGTGCCCCGCCCAGCTTTTTTCATTTACCAATATATTGTGATTAGCGGGGCATGGTTGAGCACACCTATAGTCCCAGCTACTAGGGAGGCTTAGGCAGGAGAGTTGCTTGAACCCAGGAGGCTGAGGTTGCAATGAGCTGAGATTGCGCCATTGCACTCCAGCCTGAGCAAACGAGTGAAACTCCATCTCAAAAAAAAAAAACAAAAACAAAAAAACAATGTATTGTGAACATCTTTCCATGCCAATAAATTCACATTCATGGCTATGCAGTGATTGTAGATTAATGGTAAGGAGTGTACCATTTGACAGATATAGTGTAATTAAGAGAATAGAGCATTTTAATGTTATTTCCATGTCACCGTTACTAGGATTCTGGGGGAAAACAGAAAAGGCAACAGTGACAGATCAGTGGTTCTGGATCAAAGAACTCACGTGCTCAGGTAATGTGGCTGGAATCCCACTCCCATTCCCTCAAGTCAGGCCCCCTCAATGTAATGACCTCTTAGCCTTGGGGACAGATGCTACCTTGTTTTGGAGGTCACTCTGCTCAGCACTGGCTGCTCCCTGCGGGAAGATGACTTCCTGTGCATCCTGAGCTTCCTGTCATCACGGTACCCCTCCCTTTGGTTCCTGCTCAGTGGAGGAAGCCACCTCTCAGCTCATTTGCAAAACATGCCCAGTGTCCTGAGTGACCAATCAGTGAAGGCCACAGCTCTACCCACTTCCCCTGTTTTTCTGGAAACTAACAAAGAGAAGACTTACCTGAACCTGAAACCCAACTAAGACATCTTCCCCAGCCAGAGGGACAGGTGCCCATGGTGCCCCCGCCAAGGACCCTCCTCCACTGACTGGGGCAGGAGTCTGCCAAGGTTTCACTCTGCTGCCTGCTCCCAAGCAGCACCTGGGTCAGGCTGGTCCTGCTTTGAGGGAACCTTTTTTATTTTTGAGATGGAGTTTCACTCTTTCACCCAGGCTGGAGTGAAGTGGCGCGATCTCGGCTCACTGCAACCTCCGCCCCACCAGGTTCAAGTGATTCTCTTGCCTCAGCCTCCCAAGTAGCTGGGATTACAGGTACATGCCACCACACCTGGCTAATTTTTTTTTTGTATTTTTAGTAGAGACAGGGTTTCGCCATGTTAGCCAGGCTGGTCTTAAACTCTTGACCTCAGGTGATCCACCCATCTTGGCCTCCCAAAGTGCTAGGATTACGGGTGTGAGCCACCGTGCCCAGCTGGGGGAACATTATTAAAGGATCCCACTGCATGTGGAGTAAATTCCAGATGTCCGTGTGCTCCTTACCCCTGAGCCGTCCTGTCTGTTCTTCCCTCTCCCTGGCACTCATTGCAGTCTCCAACCTCAGTCCATCCCTGAGACCTTTCAGCCCCCAGTTGTCACACACTGACACCCTCTTGCTGGTAACAAGCCCTCCACTGCTCTCCTTGCAAGTGGCGTCTTCCTGGGATACCCGACTAGGTGCTCTACCATGTCAGGGCAGCCCTTCATCACCTGATCCTTTAAGCACTGACCCGGGGGGGAAAGGGTTCAAAGAACCGCAGATGGTCAGGGGGCTGGACAGTGTGGCTCCCTGACATCCTGCCCACCCTGGACTTCTGTAGTTCTTAGATCTGGGCTGCAGCTCACAGGCAGGACACATCTGAGGGAGGGAAGGAGCTCTTTGGCCTCTCTGGAGTCCTGAGAAAGAGTAGCAGCAGCAGAGGGCAAGCAGGCCCTGACTGAGCGCCTCTCCCCATGGGGCCCTTGGAGCCTCCCTTGCCAGTCCCACTTCAGCACTTGCTAAAGCACAGGGTGGCCCCTAGCGTGGCTGTGGCATTCTGTAGGCTGCCTTTTGTCCTTGCTCTGTCCCTTCCACCAGGAGCTATAAGGCAGGGCTCAAGTTCCTAGAACCGTGGACACTTCACTGAGCACGCACTGGACACATGACTGAACCCTAGAAACAAGTGCTAACATCACCCCCATTTCCATGGGAGAAGTCAAGGCTATGAGAGACTGAGTGAGCTGCCCAAAACGCTAAAGAGATGGGAGCCTTCTGCCCCTCGGCCCTCCCATGGGAAATGGCGGCCCTCCCATGGGAAATGGCGGGGCCCTCTGGAAGCAGTAAGGACAACGAATCCAGCCTTGGGCAGATGCCAGGCTCAGTCTGGAGCAGGGGCAGTGGAAGTGCTGTGGTCGGACTCTTCTGCTCAGACACACCCGCGGCATGTCTCCCGAGCTGACGGGAGCGGCCTTCCTGTGCACACTGGACTGCGGGTGGGGTGATGGGATTTCTCTCTGTGTAAAGTGTGATAAGATGAAGCCTGAGTCACTGCCTGGCAGCTGAGTCATCACCACACCCAGGTGCGCCTGGGCAGGGCACTGCCACCCAGACTGCGGAAAACCAGAGGGTGGGGGCAGGAGGAGGCCTCAGGAGAGCCACCCTCTCCCTCCCTCCCCACACAGAGGCCTAGGAGTCTCCAAGGATGGACCGGGTGCCTGCCAGAGCTCACCAGCTGCTTGGACCCTCTCCGCAGTGGCAGGGAACTCCTGAAGCTCCTCTGCCTAGCGGGTAGTGTCCCTTAGAGATGAAGAAGGCGGTGAGGGCCAGAAAAGAAAAGGGCACAGAGTTTCAGGGCAGGAAGTCTGAGCTGGAGCAGAAAGATGAGCCAAGATGGCGCCAGAGGACCCACAAGAGGCCACAGCAACAGCTGCTTTGAGCTTCTCCCTGGGTCTACCTGTGTGAACCTGCCCTGAAGAACTGAGAAGGGCCATGGAAAAAGAGCAACGTGGAAACTGGGAGCTTCCTAGAATGCTTGGTAATAGCCAGATGGCTAAATTATGGTACATGCATATGATGAAACAGTATACAGTACTTTTTTTTTTGAGTATGAGCCTCGCTCTTGTCGCCCACGCTGGAGTGCAGTAGCACGATCTCGGCTCACTGCAACCTCCGCCTCCCGGGTTCAAGCAATTCTCCTGCCTCAGCCTCCCAAGTAGCTGGGATTACAGGCATGCACCACCACGCCCAGCTAATTTTGTATTTTTAGTAGAGATGGGGGTTTCACCATGTTGGCCAGGCTAATCTCGAACTCCTAACCTCATGCCTTGGCCTCCCAAAGTACTGGGATGAAAGGCGTGAGCCATTGTGTCTGGCAATATTTACAGTTCTTAAAAATAATGTCTTCAGGCTGGGCGCGGTGGATCACAAAATTAGGAGATCAAGACCGTCCTGGCTAACACGGTGAAACTCCCTCTCTACTAAAAATACAAAAAATTAGCCGGGCACGGTGGTGGGCACCTGTAGTCCCAGCTACTCAGGAGGCTGAGGCAGGAGAATGGCCTGAACCCGGGAGGTGGAGCTTGCAGTGAGCAGAGATCGCACTGCTGCACTCTAGCCTGGGCGACAGAGCGAAACTCGGTCTCAAAAAAAAAAAAAAAGTCTTCAAAGGCCAGGTGTGGTGGCTCATGCCTGTCATCCCAGCACTTTGGGAGGCCGAGGCGGGTGGATCACAAGGTCAGGAGTTCAAGATCAGCCTAGCCAACATAGTGAAACCCCGTCTCTACTAAGTAAAAAAAAAAAAAAAAAAAATTAGCTGGGCCTGATGGTGTGTCCCTGTAGTCCCAGCTACTTGGGAGGCTGAGGCAAGAGAATTGCTTGAACTCAGGAGGTGGAGGTTGCAGTGAGCTGAGATCGTGCCACTGCAATCCAGCTTGGGCGACAGAGTGAGACTTCACCTCAAAAATTAAAAAAAAAAAAAAAAAGTGTCCAAAGAATAATTCATGTTAGAAAATGCCTGTAATTTAAGATGAAGGAGGGAAGAAGGACACCAGATTGTACATACAATAAGATAGGCCCGCTAAGACGCCACCTCCTCTAAGAGCTTTCTGTGAGCACCTAACCTGCCCCCCCACCACGCCCCCCTCACCAGGCTTTGCTTCTTTCCTTCACACTTACTGACATTACAGTAGTTATTTGTCAAAATATTGGCTGTTGCTCCACTAAACTATAAACTCCGTGAGAATGGGGACTCTGCCTTGTCTCATTCTCTATCAGCAGCCTCGCATTAGCAGGTGTTTAATAAATAGGAAAACGTTATCTCTACAGATATTCTTTTAAAAATTAAAAAAGCCAGGGCCAGGCACAGTGGCTCACTCCTGTAATCCCAGCACTTTGGGTGGTGAGGCAGGAGGATCACCTGAGGTCAGGAGTTCAAGACTAGCCTTGCCAACATGGTGAAACCCCATCTCTACTAAAAATACAAAAAATTAGCTGGGCGTGGTGGCACACGCCCGTAGTCCCAGCTACTCGAGAAGCTGAGGCAGGAGAATCGCTTGAACCCAGGAGGCGGAGGTTGCGGTGAGCCGAGATCACTCCACTGCACTCCAGCCTGGGCAACAAGAGTGAAACCCCGTCAAAAATAATAATAATAATAATTTTAAAAGATATTATTCTTTTTTGTTTTTGTTTTGAGACGGAGTTTTGCTCTGTCGCCCAGGCTGGAGTGCAGTGGCGCAATCTCGGCTCACTGCATCCTCCACCTCCGGGGTTCTCTGCCTCAGCCTCCCGAGTAGCTGGGATTACAGGCGCCCGTCAACATGCCCGACTAATTTCCTTTTGTATTTTTAGTAGAGATGGGGTTTCACCATCTTGGCCTGGCTTATCTTGAACTCCTGACCCTGTGATCCACCTGCCTCGCCCTCCCAAAGTGCTGGGATTATAGGCGTGAGCCACCACACCTGGCCAGATGTTATTCTTTTTTAAAAGCTGAATTTCACTGAGATAGGAGAATAACTCATCAAACGACACCATTAACACAGTAAAAAGGCAAAAGGAGAAAACATTCACTGACTATCCATCTGACAGAACGCTGGTATCCAGAACACATCAAGAACTCCTGCATATCAATAAAAGATGAACAACCCAATTTTGAAAATGAGCAAAAAGACTTAAACAAAGTCTTCTTTGCAAAAGGGCCAAAACATATGGAACTGTGCTCATTACGTATCAGAGAAATAAAAAGTATAACCACAAGAACATGCCACTACACACTCAACATAATAGCAAAAATAAAAAACACTGCTGCTGCGTGCAGTGGCTCACACCTGTAATCCCAGCACTTTGGGAGGCCGAGGAGGGTGGATCACTTGAGGTCAGGAGTTCCAGACCAGCCTGGCCAACATGGCGAAAACCTGTCTCTACTAAAAATACAAAAATTAGCTAGGCATGGTGGCCTACACATGCAACCTCAGCTACTCCGGAGGCTGAGGTGGGAGAATTGCTTGAACCCAGGAGGCGGAGGTTGCAGCAAGACGAGATTGTGCCAACTGTGCTCCAGCGTAGGCGACAGAGCGAGACTCCATCTCAAAAACAAACAAAAAAAGGCCAATACTAAGTGTTGGCAAGGAAGTGGAGCATATAGCATAACCTGGTGTAACTACGTGGAAAGTGATTTGGCAGCTTCTCATGACGTTAAACGCACATCTACCCTAGGACTGAGCAACTCCACTCCTAGGTGAGAGAAATGAGTACATATTTGTATGAACATGATCCTAACAGCTTCATTCATAAAGCTTCTAAACTAGAAACAATTCAAATCTCCGTCTACAGGCAGATGCATGAACAAATTGTGGCACATCCAAAGGAATGGATGATACTGCAATAATTTGGATGAATCTGAAAAACATAATGTTGAGTGAAAGAAATCAGATACGAGAGTAGATCCTGCATGGTTCTGTTTGTATGAAGTTCAAGAACAGGCAAAGCAAATCCACAGGATAGAGGTTAGAATAGTGGTTGCCTTGGAGTGGGAGATACTGACCCAGCGTGGGTGTGAAGGGAGTTTCTACGTCTTGGTTTAGGAGCTGCTTACATGGATGTACACATAGCTCAATGAATTTCAAAATTCACCAAACTGACACTTAAGATATGTGCATTTTATTCTGTTGATCATACTGCAATCTTTTTTTTTTTTTTTTTTTTTGAGACCGAGTCTTGCTCTGTCGCCCAGGCTGGAGTGCAGTGGTGCGATCTCAGCTCACTGCAATCTCCGCCTCCCAGGTTCAAGTGATTCTCCTGCCTCAGCCTCCTGAGTAGCTGGGACTACAGGTGCCCGCCACCATGCCCAGCTAATTTTTTGTATTTTTAGTAGAGATGGGGTTTCACCGTATTAGCCAGGATGGTCTTGATCTCCTGACCTCGTGATCCGCCCGCCTCGGCCTCCCAAAGTGCTGGGATTACAGGCCTGAGCCACCGTGCCCAGCCACCATACTGCAGTCTTAAAAATCGTTATAAAACAGAAAGGAGAACAAGTTCCGACTTCCTGATGAACATGCTCTGCACAAGACAGAGAGAAAACAAGAAGCAAGGGCAGGGCCTTCCAGACATCAGGACACACAGGAACTCTACACGAGAACCCTGGAGAGGCAAAAGAGGAAACCCCACATGAAAGCAAGATGAGAAAGCCGGAGACTCAGGGAGGTCAGGTGGGTGACCTCAGCTCACACGCCATGTTGGGCACTGGTGCAGGGAGGGACAACCTGGACCATGAAGGGAAGGTTGAAGGATGGTCCCAGGGATTAAATGAGGTGATGCTGGCCGGGCGTGGGGGCTCATGCCTGTAATCCCAGCACTTTGGGAGGCCGAGGGTGGATCACCTGAGGTCAGGAGTTCAAGACCACCCTGGCCAACATGGCAAAACTCCATCTCTACTAAAAATACAAAAATTAGCTGGGCATGGTGGCACTCACCTGTAGTCCCAGCTACTTGGGAGGCTGAGGCAGGAGAATGGCTTGAACTTGGGAGGCGGAGGTTGCAATGAGCCCAGATCATGCCACTGCACTCCAGCCTGGTCAACAGGGCGAGACTCCATCTCAAAAACAAAACAAAACGAGGTGATGCTTCTGACAAGTGCTTAGCTGGCACCTGGCACCTGGTGGCTGGGCAGGCCCTCGGCAAGGGCAGCTCAAAATACAGCTACATCTGGGGACTCGCCCATGCTGAGCTGAAGCAGCCCAGGGTCAAAGTCTTCACAGCAGGCTGGGCGTGGTGGCTCACGCCTGTAATCCTAGCACTTTGAGAGGGCCGAGGCAGGCGGATCACAAGGTCAGGAAATCGAGACCATCCTGGCTAACACGGTGAAACCCTGTCTCTACTAAAAAAAAAAAAAAATACAAAAAAAATTAGCTGGGCGTGGTAGCGGGTGCCTGTAGTCCCAGCTGCTGGGAAGGCTGAGGCAGGAGAATGGCGTGAACCCGGGAGGCGGAGCTTGCAGTGAGTCGAGATCGCGCCACTGCACTCCAGCCTGGGCGACAGAGCGAAACTCCGTCTCAAAAAAAAAAAAAGAAAAAACTGTATCACAGGGTATTTTCAGAAGTCTCACCACCATTCTGGTCCCTTCTACCTTGTTCCCTGCCTCGTACTAACCCATTTCCTTATTACACTTTTGTGTCTTGCCAGCGTGAGTGCATACACAGAGGTGTGTTCATCTCCACCCTGCCTTCTCACACAAAGGGTAGCTTACTCTATGTACTGTCTGTCCTTCAGACTTGAAATTGAAGGAGCCATTTTCAAGACACTGAAGGAAAACCCAAGAACAAATAATCCCCTGTGAATAGTCCAGTGTACCAGTCCAGTGTACCAGTGTACCAGTGTACAGTCCAGTGTACCAGTGTCATAGAGGAACTGCCACTGGGGCTGGGTGCAGTGGCTCATGCCTGTAATCCTAGCACTTTGGGAGGCTGGGGTCGGAGGATCACTTGAGCCCAGGAGTTTGAGGCCAGAACAAGGGACTAGAGTCTGAGCCTGGTGCCAGCTGGGTTCCCAGGGCACAGAATTTGGATCCTGGATGACAGGGGCGAAGTCCTGGCTCCAGTTATCACTAACAGCGGGAGCCCCAGGCAGTGGACTTGCCCTCACTTGGTGGTGGGGGTTCCCGATATGTACAAAGGGGTTAGAACCATCGGCCTTGCCGTTCATGACCGATTCAGAGGCCTTGTGGACAGGCTGGTTCAGGTGGGCGTGTGGCGAGCACATGGTGTGCACTGGGCGGGCATCCAGGAGAGGCAGCTTTTATCCCAACAGCACCCAAACAGGAGCCCTGGACCCTGGGCAGAAAAGGCAGCCAGAAGCACAGAAAGGGTCAATAAACTAGTTCTACAATTGCTCTAAATGGGCAGATCCACAAGAGGCCACAAAAGAGGCCAGAGACTTGAAAACCCGTGCGTGTTCTCCGCGGTCGCTGTAGCCGGATCCTTCCTCATGGCTGTGGCGGTGCCGACGGCGGGCAACTGAGAGGAAGCCACAGGAGAAAGAGACCGCCACACAGAGACGACGGTGAGTGAGGCCAGGCCCCTGTTGGCAAGTGGTTGCTGCCACTGTAGTTCCACTGCCACCGCTGATGGGAACACTTGAGGCCAGACTGAAGCCCTGGCTGACATGGAGAGAGAGCAGGGGCTTCTCTAGGGGCCTGCAGGCCCCCAAGCATGGAAATAAAGGAAAATCTTGAGTCCCTTCATGAAATTCCAGGCACCTAGCTAGCCCTGAGAAGCAAGTGAGCAACTCGATAAGCAAGAAGGTAATAGTTAGCTTAAAACAATAGCCAAGGAAGTCAGAATCAGGGGATGTCTGGTTTCCCCATAGAAACTAAAGATAACTTTGTTTTTTTTTTTTTTTTGAGACAGTCTTGCTTTGTCGCCCATGCTGGAGTGCAGTGGCACGATCTTGGCTCACTGTAACCTCTGCCTGCCTCCTGGGTTCAAGCGATTCTCCTGCCTCAGCTTCCAGAGTAGCTGGGATTACAGGCTCCTGCCACCACACCCAGCTAGATTTTGTATTTTTAGTAGAGACGGGGTTTCACCATGTTGGCCAGGCTGGTCTTGAACTCCTGAGCTCAAGTGATCCACCCGCCTCAGCCTCCCAAAGTGCTGGGATTACAGGTGTGAGCCACCACACCCGGCCTAAAGATAACATCTTAATATCTGTCCTTGAGTTGCTTTTCAGAAATCTGGACCCTCAACAAACAATTCCCCTGGCACTGAGACCTCAGATAAGGGGAACTGAAAACTACACTCTGACCACTCTTTAGACTCCCTGAGGGGCCTGGAGGACATGCCCACAGGTTATAGCTAACATTCTTTTTTGCTGATGCCAAATTTGTAGACAAAGCTTCACCTCCTTAACCACTCACAAATCAGAAAATCTTTGAAGCCACCTATGATCTGTGCCCCATCCCTTGGAGACATCCTGCCTTCTTAGGCCAAACCAATATATAGCCTCCTGGTGTTGATTTAAAACTTTGTCTGTAACCTCTGCCTCCTGCCTTTGAACACCCTTAACCATAAGCCATCTGGGAATTTGGGTCTTAAGCATGAGCTGCCGGATTCTTCTTGCTTGTCGCCCCACAATAAAGGCCTCACTTTTGGCTGGGCACAGTGGCTCACGCCTGTAATCCCAGCACTTTGGGAGGCCGAGGCGGGCGGATCACCTGAGGTGAGGAGTTCGAGATCAGCCTGGCCAACATGTCGAAACCCCGTCTCTACTAAACATACAAAAATTAGCTGGGTGTGGTGGCGGGTGCTTGTAATCCCAGCTACTCAGGAGGCTGAGGCAGGAGAATTGCTTGAACCAGGTAGGCGGAGGTTGCAGTGAGACGAGATTGCACCATTGCACTCCAACCTGGGCAACGGAGTGAGAATCTGTCTCAAAAAAACCAAAACCAAAAACAAAAACAAAGCCTCACTTTCTCACTGCGATTTTTGTCAGTAATTGGCCTTAGTGTGCAGGGTGAGCGAATCCATTTGTTTGGATAGCATCCAGCTTCCAGCCCTCAGAGAGGAGGCAGAAGTGCTGGGCCAAAGAGCAGACCTCACTCAGAGCTGCCACAGCAAAGCCAGCATGGAAGGGTACCTGTGAGTGTGGTGGCTGCAGGGACAGACGGAAGGAAGCCTGCATTCTCATCCTGGCCTGCGACAGCCAGACGAGGGGCAGCTGTCTGCACCGCAGCTTCCTTATTGATAAAATGAGCAATTTGGAGTAAACTCCTTTCTCGCTTTCGCTCCACAATCCTAGGAATTGGAACTCCTCTAAGGGCAGGAAAAGGGCCAAGGGACTAGCTTGTAGACTCTGACTGCTCTGGGTTTAAGTCTCAGGTCTGGTACTCTTTATTTATTTTGAGACGGAGTTTCACTCTTGTTGCCCAGGCTGGAGTGCAATGGCGTGATCTTGGCTCACCTCAACCTCCACCTCCTCGGTTCAAGCGATTCTCCTGCCTCAGCCTCCTGAGTAGCTGGGATTACAGGCGCGTGCCACCGCACCCAGCTAATTGTATTTTTAGTAGAGATGGGGTTTCTCCATGTTGGTCAGGCTGGTCTCGAACTCCCGACCTCCGGTGATCTGCCCACTTCGGCCTCCCAAAGTGCTGGGATTACAAGCGTCAGCCACCATGCCCGGCCTAGGTCTGGTACTCTTTAAACCTTTGGCCAGCCCACAGAACCTCTCTAAGCCTCAGAGTCCTGATTGGAAAGAAGGCGGTGTAAGCACATCTACTTTAGTACTATGTCCAATGCACAAGATGCAAGCGCCTGGCATGCAGTGGGTGCTCCCCAAGTGTGAGCTAATGCCATCCGTGATGGGGGCACAACAGCACCGGGCCTGCAGCCAGGCTCTCCCCACCTGACATTGCCTGGGCACCCTCTGGGAGGCTGAGGATCGGTGTTCCTGTCATTCCGTGATGTTTTTCCAGAAGGTAAGAATTCCTGGAGCAGATGAGTGATTCCCTTGATAGGACGTTATCCCATCCCGCACCTCACCTCTCTGGGACAAGGGGCGACAGCTCACCCTCAAAGGGTTTTGGGTATTTGTCTTTGGATGGCAACCAAGGGAATCCTATCTATGGCTGCAGACACTAACCCTAAAAGAGCACTGTGGTGTTTCATTTAATTCTCTCAACTGATGTGAAGCAGCTACTGGCACTGTCCCCATCTGACAGATGATTGGAGGAGAGAGAGCCCACACCCAGATGCCTGCCTGACCCCAGGGCCCAGCTCTCATCCAACTCACTGTGCTGCCTGCCAACAAGCAGATACTTGTTTTGTTTGTTTTTGTAGGGACAGGGTTTTGCTATGTTGCCCAGGCTGCTCTTGACCTCCTGGGGGCTCAAGCAATCCTCTTGCTTCAGCCTCCCAGAATGCTGGGATTACAGGTATGAACCACCCTGCTCAACCAAGCAGACAATGGTTTTGGTTCCTTTTTTTTTTTATGGAGACAGAGTCTTGCTCTGTCACCCAGGCTGGAGTGCAGTGGCGTGATCTTGGCTCACTGCAACCTCTGTCTCCTGGTTCAAGCAACTCTTCTGCCTCAGCCTCCGAGTAGCTGGGACTACAGGTGTGCGCCACCACACCCAACTAATTTTTGTATTTTTAGTAGAGACGGGGTTTTGCCATGTTGGCCAGGCTGGTCTCGAACTCCTGACCTCAAGTGATCCACCCCCCTCGGCCTCCCAAATGGGATTACAGGTGTGAGCCACCATACCCAGCTTGGTTTTGGTTCTGCGAGCCACAGCCATGGGCAATCTGACTCAGCTCTCCACTGTGCCAGTCCTTCCAGAACCAACCCTGCTCAGGGGTGTTGCACCAAGTCATGGCCAGGACTCCACACCTATTAAGTGAAGATCTCCTGCCTTTTCTTCCCCTTCTTTCCTCCTCCCTAGGCCAAAAGGCCTAAGCACTCAAACCATGCAGACAGAAGTAAGGCTGGCTCTGGCTCAGGGAGATCACAATCTCAGGGCTGCCACATCGGATAAAAGACTCAAAGCTCCAAAGCGCAGCACAGAGCCTTCTCCAGAAACAGCAGAATAAGTGCCTGTCGGGGATCCCCAAGCAGAGACACTAAGAGAAAGGGAAACGACGGCAGTAAGAAAATACGCGGGGGCTCTCCTTCTCAGTCATGCATAATAAACACAAGAGAAATTTCGAGAAATTTCATTTGCATGTTGAAATTTCATTGCAACATGGTCCCACGGAGGGATTCGACGCTGAGAAAGCTACTGTGCTTGGGGCGGGGGGGTCTTGCTGTGGCAGAAGAAGGAAGAGAAAAAAAGGAGGAAAAAAATGGTTGGGAAAAGTAAAGCTGGTGATAATGATCCTAACAATTCTAAAATACCTGCACAGAGACACAGATGCACAGACACACTTCTGCTCCCACAACTGCTTGCGACGCAGGCAAGGCGGGAGAGGAAACCACGCTCGGAGAAGGGACGGGACTCAGCTTCTAGGAATCAGCTGAGAAGTGGAGACGCTGGGACCGCGGACTCCAGGACCCGGGCTCAGTCACCCACGCCGGGAAGCTGCCCAGGATGGCAAGAACCCAGCCCAGGCCCACGCCGCCCCCATAGCTCAGTGGACCCGGACCTCAGGGTGCCCCTGTCCTGGGAAAGTTGCTTCCTGACCCTGAGGAAACGCCAGCAGGAAAGACTCCACTTGGTAAACACTTTTGGTGGGGACTGCTCTGTGACTTCCGCCAATTTTTCTCCAGGGGCAGCAGCTTGATTTGGAGGAGCTCTATCGCCCCCTGGTGGAGATTTAGCCACATGCTTCTGCAGGGGCCACCGTCACCGTTCAGACTGCAGCAGCTGTGGGGGCAGAGGCACGAAAAGGGACGGGACGGAGGACGTTTTAGAGACCAACTTTTTAGAATATTTGTTTGGCATAATAATCTTCTAGAGGAGCTGGCATCACTCGGGGACCTGGGCAACTGGGGCTCCTGCCCTGGCTTGGCTTTAGCAGGCCCCACTCTGGTCCTCTGTGGGGCAGTAAGTCCAGGGAGCTCACCCAAAGCCCACAGCCGTCCTTCCCCTGCACCTGGAGCTCCAGGCCCTAAACCTGCTCCCACGGCTGCATGGGCCTCTCTCTTGGATCCTGACTCCCAGGAGTGAATGCCACTGTTGGTGTGTGCACTTCCAAACCCAGGGAGTGGCCAAGGGGCAGCTGTCTGTGGGGGTGTGAATCCGCACACACATGTGCTGGAGCCCCCTCATGGAGAGAAGACCCTCATTTGTAGTCTGGCCCCAGGAATCTCCTCTCCTCTTTAGAGGAGACCTGGATGGTCTTTGAAAAATTTGAATCACACTTATCATAATGTATTTTTGCCGGGCGCGGTGGCTCACGCCTGTAATCCCAGCACTTTGGGAGGCCGAGGCGGGCAGATCACGAGGTCAGGAGATTGAGCCCATCCTGGCTAACACGGTGAAACCCCGTCTCTACTAAAAGTACAAAAAATTAGCCGGGCCTGGTGGGGGGGCGCCTGTAATCCCAGCTACTTGGGAGGCTGAGGCAGGAGAATGGCGTGAACCCGGGAGGCGGAGCTTGCAGTGAGCCGAGATCGCGCCACTGCACTCCAGCCTGGGCGACAGAGCAAGACTCCATCTCAAAAAAAAAAATAAATAAATAAAAAGTATTTTTAAAAATGTGTTAGTTGGGCCAGGTGTGGTGGCTCACGACTGTAACCCCAGCACTTTGGGAGGCTGAGGCGGGCGGATCACCTGAGGTCAGGAGTTTGAGACCAGCCTGGCCAACACGGTGAAACCCCGTCTCTACTAAAAACACAAAAATTAGCCGGGCGTGGTGGCGGGCGCCTATAATCCCATACCCGGGAGGCTGAAGCAGGAGAACTGTCTGAACCCAGGAGGCAGAGGTTGCAGTGAGCTGAGATTGCACCACCGCATTCCAGCCTGGGCGACAGAGCAAGACTCCATCTCAAAAAATAAAATAAAATAAAATAAAATAAAATAAAAAATGTGTTATTTGATCCTATCAAGACATTCAACCCAATTTCTGGATTATAGGAAATAAAGGGGATAAAGAAACCACAAAGAGGCAATGAGACAAACCGGAAGGGGGAACATTTGCATTCCTGGTTGGGGCCTTCGAGAATCAGTGTTATGAAATGAGGGTCTGTTTAGGGTTACAAGGGATTTATTTCTTGGGGCCAGGAGTTCGAGACCAGTCTGGGCAACACAGTGAGATCCTGTCACAACAAAAAATTAAAAAAAAAAAAAATTAGCTGGGCATGGTGGTGCACACCTGTAGTCACAGCTACTCGGGAGGCTAAGGCAGGAAGACTGCTTGAGCCCAGGAGTTCAAGTTTATGGTGAGCTATGATCACACCACTGCACTCCAGCCTAAGTGACAGAGTGAGACCCTATCTCAAAAAAAAAAAAAAAAAAAAGAAAAAGAGAATAAAAAGAGAGATTTAAGATAATTTATGTAGTGACTTCCTTCCAATGGGTATCATACGTAAAGAGGGGAAAGAAAGAGTAATTTTACAGTGGAGAAGCCTGACAAGACTTCAGCCAGGTGACTACGCGCGTGTTGGCCAGGCTGCAGTGCAGTGGCTATTCACAGGTGCAATCGTGCAATCACAGCACACGACAGCCTCAAATTCCTGGGCTCAAGCGATCCTCTTGAGTATCTGGGACTACAGGTGGGCACTGCATTGCTTGAAAAAGGAATTTTTGTTTGTTCTCAAAATTTTGTTTGCTTCAAACTATTTCCCACGGCCTAGATCTAAACTCCTGCAAGCTCTGGTGCCACTGAACTCTCTAAACTCTTTTTGTGCCATTCTCCACTTCACTGCAACGATCCTCCCACATCAGCCTTCCGTCTGGCTCCTTCCTGTTTTAAGGCCTTTGCCCATGCTGTGTCCCGGCTAAAATGCCTTTCTCATGATGGCCAAAACTGAAGTAACCCCCACCTTCCACTGCTGTCTCTCATCACCCCATTTACTTCCTTCTGAGCATCATCTTTTTTGTTTGCTAACCACCTGTCCCCCCTACTAGAATGTAAGCTCCTGAGGGGCAAAGACCTTTCCCTAAGCTGTTCACCATACTCCAGCATTTAGAGCAGTAGCTTGCATATACGGTACACGCGCAATAAATATCTACCCAGTGAATAACTCAATAGGTCTTAAGATCATAACAACTACAGAAGCCATAAGTTACAGACTGCAAGCCATCTCTGCTTCTCTTGATATGAAAACACTAAATATGAGTTATTTTTGTTTTTGAGACAGATTCTCGTTTTGTCACCCAGGCTGGAGTACAGTGGCCCAATCCCAGCTCACTGCAGCCTTGACCTCCCAGGCTTAAGCAATCCTCCCACCTCAGCCTCCTGAGTAGCTGGGACACCACGCCAGACTAATTTTTTTTTTTTTTTTTTTAAAGCAGAGATGGGGTTTTGTCATGTTGCCCAGGCTGGTCTTGAACTCCGGAACTCAAGTGATCTCCCTGCTTCGGCCTCACAAAGTGCTGAGATTAAAGGTGTGAGCCACCTCACCCGCCTGAAATTGCTTTTTTTTTTGAGACAGAGTCTCACTGTTGCCCAGGCTGGGGTGCGGTGGTGCCATCTTGGCTCACTACAACCTCTGCCTACCGGGTTCAAGCGATTCTCCTGCCTCAGCCTCCCAAGTAGCTGGGATTACAGGCGCCCACCACCATGCCCGGCTAATTTTTGTATTTTTAGTTAGAGATGGGGTTTCACCATGTTGGCCAGGCTGATCTTGAACTCCTGACCTCAGGTGATCCGCCCACCTCAGCCTCCCAAAGTGCTGGTGCTGGTATTACAGGTGTGTGCCACCGCGCCCGGCTACAAAACTGCTCTTTTTAAAACATATTTTTTTGAGACATGGTCTCACTCTGTCGCCCAGGCTGGAGTGCAGTAGCACAATCTCAGCTCACTTCGGCCTCTGCCTCCCAGACTCAAGCAATACCTCCTGCTTCAGTCTCCAGAGTAGCTGGGCCTACAGGTGCACACCACTGTGTGCGGCTTTTTTTTTTTTTTTTTTTTTTTTGAGACGGGGTCTCACTCTTGTCCCCGAGGCTGTGGTGCAGTGGCACGATCTCAGCTCACTGCAACATTTGCCTCCTGGGTTCAAGCTTCTCCTGCCTCAGGCTCACTAGTAGCTGGGATTACAGGCACTCTCCACCACGTCTAGCTAATTTTTGTACGAGACGGGGTTTCGCCATGTGGGCCAGGCTGGTCTCGAACTCATGACCTCAGGTGATCCGCCCGCCTTAGCTTCCCAAACTGCTGGGATTACAGGTGTGAGCCACCACGCCCGGCCCCAAGGACTCACTTCTAATTCACTTATCTCACCCTGGCCCATTTAGGCATCTAGGGAACGGGCCCCGCCCTTACCAATAGCAAACTCCACCAGGGTCTCATTCTCCTCCGACAGCGAATCGAGAAATAAATCCAGGACCTGCAGCTGCCGCAGATACTCGTAGTTGCTGGGGTCATAAGCGAAGTTGGCGAGGTTGGCGAGGACTTGCTCCTTGGCGTCTGCAACGGGAAAGCGGCACTGAAGCCAGGTCCGGGCGGCGGTCACAGCGGACCCTGCCACCTGATCCCACCGTGGCTCTCACCTTGGCTTTGGGTCTCCTGGAATTCCGTGACCAGCGCCTGCAGGTATCCCAGCCGCCCGACGTGGGGGTCCACCTTCGGCTTCTGGGCCATGGCCGCGGTGACGGAGGACCCCCAGGGACGGGCGGGAGGGTGGGAAAGGTGCAGGGGGAAAGCCGAGCGAGACCCTCACCCGCTCTCCACCTGTCTGGAGAGGGAAGAGGGGGTCGGCAAATGGGTTTCTTTCCTGGGTTCAGATTCTGCAGTAATTTGCAGCTGGAAATGGGATATGGGAGATGGGACGGGGTCTCAGAATCCTGTAGGAGTTGCGTTTGAAAATCGAAATTGGGGCGCGGGAGACAGGGAACCGTCTACTGGTTGGGGCTCGCGGAGGGGGCACTGGCGCACCGTCCCCGGCTCCTGGGCTCGGTTCCGGGCTCCCGGCGGAAGCCGCGCTGTCCCTACCCCCGAAGGGGCGGGGCCGTCGCCGAACTCCTTGGCGCGCGTGCGCGGCGCGCTTCTGGTTTTCTGGATGCCGAAGCTCTTTAGCCTGTGCTGGAACCAGCGGCGAGCGGCTTCGCTGAGGCAGGTGCAGGCGTGGGTGGGTGTACTGCGAGGAGCAGCCTGGCCTCCCGTATCCCATGTCCAGATGCAAATTACTGCAAAATCTGAACGCAAGAAAGAAACCCACTTGCCGCCCCCGCCAACAGATGGGCGAGTGAGGGCCTCGCTCGGCTTTCCCGCCCCACCTTTCCCACTCTCCCGCCGGTCCCCCGGGGTCCTCCGCCGTCCCGACATGGCCCAGAAGCCGAAAATGAGACACCCATGTCGGGTGGCTGGAATTCCGCCAGGAGCAACTCAGGAGCGCAGCAGAGTCTGGCAGCACCCATGTTGGAGGACGTCGAGGCAGAAGCACCTCCAGGGTCCCCACGGCTGGCGGGGGCGCGGCCCATCCTCCTTGACCAGGACGCCCCTTTGGAGCGCGGGCGTCAGCTCCTTACGCCCCCCATCAGTCCTTTGCCCCTTTTGCAAAAAGCCTAGCGACCCCGACCCGCCCTCCATCCCAGCCCCGAGGTGGGTCCGCCACCTCTGGACAGAAATCAAAGGGTACTGGGTCATGTCCTGGTGCTTTTTGTCAGCCGGGTGGATGGCGCGCGCCCGGGGCAGCACGGGGGAGCCCGAGGAGGAGCCTTGATTGTGGCGCTTTCGGGGCTTTCTGGATGCTGAAGCCCTTCGGCCGATTCCTTCTCGGAGATTATCAGGAAGCGGGTGTGTGATAGATTGCTCGTGGTTACAGGAAACAAAGCACCAGGGAAGGAGGTGGTCTAGCCACACTCCCATCGCATTTGACAACGTAGGGGTAGAGGTGGCTTAGGCTGTGAGTGTCCTGAGAGTGCAAAAGTTGTTAATCTAAATGGAGTCACTTGTGTTAAAAAACAGAACAAAAAAACCCGGACACAGCCCAAGAAACCCATGACAAGAGGGTTCTCGTGCATAAATACCTGATAATGAAAACTATCACAAAGACTCTGCAAAAACCACAACCTTGCACAAAGGGCGTCACAACCTTGCACAAAACATACTTTTGAATGGCCATCTGCCCAGCAACCGCTTGTCCAACCTTGAGCGGTCACCCTTGTTATTAATCCTTCTACCTAAGGATAAATATTTCAAAACAATTATGTAATCCTATTTTTTCCCTTAAAGCCTGTCTTCCTTTACCTCCCTGAATACCCATATAGTTTACTATGGCATGGATACTACCATTGCAATGCCCTATGCCCAAATAGATATCATTTTCTTTGAGAGAGCCTCTCTGTTATTTAGGCTGACAAAGGCAAGGACCATTATCTTAAGCCCTGGGCCCGGATGAAGGCAGAGTGGCCGTCACACTCCAGCCAGCTGCAGCCCCATTGGAAGCAGGCCTCACCTCTGAGGTTTCAGGTCCTTGTGGTCAGCCCCTGCCCTATGTACACCCTCTGAGGCAGGAGTTTCTAACTTAGTCTGGGTACCTAGGCCCCAGGACCCTCACCAAAGCCCTTTGGCTTCTCTTGGGAGCCTCTGCAGCCTGGGAAGTGCATCTTACCCCTAGGTGCCCAAGGGGTTTCTCTGCCTCTTGCTGGACAGAGCAGCAAATAGGAGCCCAGAAACAGGGAGGATGGAAGTAAGCTCCATCCCTCCCTGCCCAGGAACTGCCCCAGACCTTCTCTAGAGGTTCGCAGGCAATCAGCTAGATGGGGATTGCTGAATCAGATGGGCCACCCCATCTTCCCTCATTGGTCTTCTCCCTTTTTTTCTTTTTGAGATGGAGTCTCGCTCTGTCGCCAGGCTGGAGTACAGTGGTGCGATCTCGGCTCACTACAACCTCCGCCTCAGATTCAAGTGATTCTCCTGCCTCAGCCTCCCGAGTAGCTGGGATTACAGGCACGCACCACTGCACCCAGCTAATTTTTGTATTTTTTTTCTGAGACAGTGTCTCGCTCTGTCACCCGGGTTGGAGTGCAGTGGTGCGATCTCAGCTCACTGGAAGCTCCGCCTCCCAGGTTCACGCCATTCTCCTGCCTCAGCCTCCTGAATAGCTGGGACTACAGGCACCCGCCACGACGCCCGGCTAATGTTTGTATTTTTAATAGAGACGAGGTTTCACCGTGTTAGCCAGGATGGTCTCGATCTCCTGACCTCGTGATCCACCCGCCTTGGCCTCCCAAAGTGCTGGGATTACAGGCGTGAGCCACTGCGCCCGGCCTAATTTTTGTATTTTTAGCAGAGATGGGGTTTCACCTTGTTGGCCAGGATGGTCTCGATATCTTGACCTCGTGATCCACCTGTCTCAGCCTCCCAAAGTGCTGGGATTACAGGCATGAGCCACCGCACCCAGCCAGTCTTCTCCCTTCTTAAGGCCTCAGGGAGGGGCCCTCCTTGGGGTGGAATTCTCAGCCCTTGGTAGGTCTTACCTCTGCCCAGTCTCTGGCACACAGTAGATACTCAGTAAATATTTATTGAAGGAATTCTGCCCAGAGATGATTGCTATTCTTGCCTAGGAGCAGGTGAGATGAAAGTTTCCTATGCAGAACATTCATTGATACCTTTTTTTTTTTTGGGAAGGGGGGACAAGGTCTCTGTCACCCAGGCTGGAGTGCAGTGGTGTGATCACAGCTTACTGCAACCTTGAGCTTCTTGGCTCAAGGGATCCTCCCACCTCTGCCTCCTGAGTGGCTTGGACTACAGGCCTGTGCCACCATGTCCAGCTAAGTTTTAAATTTTTTGTAGAGATGGAGGTCTCCTTATGTGGCCCAGGGTGGCCTCTCAAGTGATTCTCCCATCTTGGCCTTCCAAAGTGTTGGGATTACAGGCATGATCCACCACACTTGGCTTTTTTTTTTTCCCTTTCCTTAATTTTTCTGTAGAGACAGGGTCTCTATGTTGCCCAGGCTGGTCTTGAAGTCCTGGTCTCAAGCGATCCTCCTGCTCTGACCTCCCAAAGTGTTTTTTTTGTTTGTTTGTTTTTTGAGACGAGTCTCATTCCATCACCCAGGCTGTAGTGCAGTGGCGTGATCCCAGCTCACCACAACCTCTTCCTCTCCAGTTCAAGCAAATTTCCTGCCTCAGCCTCCCAAGTAGCTGGGATTACAGGCGACTGCTACCACGCCTGGCTAATTTTTGTATTTTTAGTAGAGCTGGGGTTTTGCCATGTTGGCCAGGCTGGTCTTGAACTCCTGACCTCTAGTGACCCACCCATCTTGGCCTCTCAAAGTGCTGGGATTACAGGCGTGAGCCACCACACCCAGCCTTTTTTTTTTTTTTTTTTTTAAAAAAAAGACAGGGTCTTGCTGTGTTGCCCAGGCTGGCCTCAAACTCCCAGGTTTGAGTGATCCTCCCACCTCAACCTCCCGAGTAGCTGGGATTACATGTGCGCACTGCCATCTCCAGCTGATATCTTTTTTCTTTAAATGTTTTCAGGAAGTGGGCTCATTACGGGATGCACACAAAACCTGGTGGATACTAGCACCAAAAGCACCTATCTACCAGCCCCACCTCCCTCCTTTTCCATTCAACTGAGATGGAGCAGACAGGATTTGGCAAAGTCCATGCAAGCACTCTCCCTTCAGAGCATGTGGTATTGATGGCAGCCAAGTGTAAGACTGGGTGGGGAGCCAGAAGGAAATGGAGTCGTCAGGATGCTCACCGAGTCAGACTTTTCAACCGGAAGAGACTAGCTCATCCAAACCAACCTCCTACGTTTTCTTTTTTAAAATTAAATTTTATTATTTTGCTCTAACAAAGTAACCTCCTACTTTTTCAAGGCTCAGAGGTGGTCAACAATTTGCCCAACTCACATGGCAGATAGTGGCGGAGTCAAACAGGGCACTCAGGTAGGGCTATTCCAGCCCAGAGCCGTTTGCTTGGCCTGCAGTACCGCCTTTGGCCATAAGAGCCACTCATGGCTGGTCCTGGAGGAGGCAGGACATCCCCAAAGATGCTTATTGACGCCAGCTGGACGTGGCTGGCGGGAAGACTGGCACCTGTTCATGAAAATAAAATCTCCTGATAAGGTTTTCTTGCGGAGCCTGGTTGAGCCTGAATCAACAAACAACATCCTGAACCTGAGCACCCCTTGCTGAGCTAGGAGGAAAGGAAGGGTGAGGGGAAACGTACTCCAGCTCTGTTTGTCAGCTTCATTAGTTCACAGAGTTTATGACCTGCTGCAGGGAACATTTTTGTGTGTAATTCAAACACATTCTGTTTTATCATTCCCTCGGTACCCTGCTGGGACAAGAATGGGCTGATGACAGCCAGCCCCTGGGTGGTGACTTCAGGGAAAGGCACCAGCAAGATGTGTGTGTGGGGAGCTTGGACCGCCAGTCACAGGCACAGGTGTACGGGGAGCAGGGGTGAGTCCAGCCAGCCACTTACCCCAGGGTTGACACCAATAACACGGCAGGGAAAAGGGGGGCCTCTGGAGGACAGGAATGGGGAGTAAAAGAGCTTCCCTTGCAAAAGCAGCCCCATTTTCACAACAGTCTTCGGGCTGCCTGGCAAGCCTTCCTCTCCCGTCAGTCAAATGTCTGGCTTCCCCCACCTGGCACTAATCCTCCCCGCCAAGGAGACAGGGTGGGGAAAGGAAGGAGGAAGCCCCTTGATAGAGCAGGTCCTGCTGAGACTGCAGGGGGGCCCTCAGACTTCACCGATTCTAGGATCCAAGCCAGGGGCCCCCCTCCCGTTCTCTGCACAGGCGCCAGGATGGGCGCGCCACTCAACTCCTCAGCCTGGACCTCTGCACTGCCCAGTGCGAGGCCCAATGACCTTCACTGGGGGCAGCTGCACCACCAGCCTTGGCTGCCCTACAGGTGAGGGCTGGGTCACTTGGGAAGAGCAGGGCAGGAGGAACCTAGAGGAAGGTGAGCTCTTCAGAACGGTATGGAGGCCAGAGAAAGACAAAGAGAAATGATAGAGGCATCCAGGCTGGACGAGAAGGTCCAGTGCATTGAGCTGTAGGAGCAGCAACACACAGCCAGCTGCGCTGAGCCGGCTGGGACAAACCTGAGCAGGGCTCAGACCCAGGTTCCTGGGCCCCGAGTACCCTGGTACCCAAGGAAAAAAGTCCGGAGGGCCTGCTCCTGGATTCCGCTAGTTGTTAGAAAAGGGTTCCTCTGGCTGGGCACGGTGGCTCACGCCTGTAATCCCAGCACTTTGGGAGGCTGAGGTGGGCAGATCACCTGAGGTCGGAAGTTGGAGACCAGCCTGACCAACATAGAGAAACCCCATCTCTACTAAAAGACAAAATTAGCCGGGAGTGGTGGCGCATGCCTGTAATCTCAGCTACTTGGGGGGCAGAGGCAGGAGAATCGCTTGAACTTGGGGGGCAGAGGCAGGAGAATCCCTTGAACTTGGGAGGCAGAGGTTGCAGTGAGCCGAGATGGTGCCACTGCACTCCAGCCTGGGCAACAAGAGTGAAACTCCGCCTCAAAAAAAAAAAAAAAAAAAAAGAGTTTCTCAGGGCATCTTCAGAGGCCAGCCTCCAAAGTCCCAGCTCCTGGCAGAGTCCCAGCTTGCAGAGCCTGGACAGCCCGGGCTTCCTGGGCTACTCTTCACCCAAGCCCCTGGTGAAGGAGCTAGAGGTCCCCCTCCTGGGCTGGGCTGAGACAGTGTTCACTCAGTGATCCCAGGACTCAGACACTGGTCACACAGATGAACCCTGGGTCTTAGACGCTGGTTACATACATGATCTCAGGGGACCGTTGCTTCCCAGGACCGTCTTTGGCTTCCAAGAAAAGATCCCGCTCCAGGGCATCCGCCGCGACAGCCTGCTTGCCTTGCTCCTTCTTCTGCAGGGCGTAGAAGCTGCCACCCATGAAGAGGGCAGCTGAGATGAGGAAGAAGCTGGACATGTAGAAAACATAGCTAAAGTTGTTGGTGGCGTCCAGGAGCAACCCTGGGGAACAGAGATCAAGTTAGGCCAGTGCTACCAGGCCTCCCCCCAACTCAGCTGTGTGTTCCCTGACAGCAGGTATTTTATTTTTGTCTCTGCTGTACTAGGAATTGTGGCTGACACCCAGTAGACACTCAACAGATACTTGAAGAATGAAAGGAGGGGAAGAAACACAACCTCCTCTGGCCTGGGCAGGAAGAGTCCTCAGGCTGCAAGAGAACTTAAGGGCATGTGGTGGTAGGGAACTAGTGGAGTCTGGGATATTTGCTCACCCACCCTCCAGGTCTCACCTATGCCTCCTTCTGAAGAGCTCTCCCCACTTGTTTGCTTAAAGAATTCCCTTGGGGCCTGACACGGTGGCTCACGCCTGTAATCCCAGCACTTTGGGAGGCTGAGGTGGGTAGATCACAAGGTCAGGAGTTCAAGACCAGCCTGGCCAAGATGGTGAAACCCTGTTCCTACCAAAACTACAAAAATTAGACAGGTGTGGGGGCAGGTACCTGTAATCCCAGCTACTTGAGAGGCTGAGGTAGGAGAATCACTTGAACCTGGATGGCAGAGGTTGCAGTGAACCAAGATCGTACCACTGCACTCCAGTCTGGGCAACAGAGTGAGACTCCATTAAAAAAAAAAAAAAAAGAATTCCCTTGGATGGGCACAGTGGCTCACGCCTGTAATCCCAGCACTTTAGGAGGCTGAGGCAGGTGGATCACGAGGTCAGGAGTTCGAGACCAGCCTGGCCAACATGGTGAAACCCTGTCTCCACTAAAAATACAAAAACTAAGGCAGGGAGCGGTGGCTCACACCTGTAATCCCAGCACTCTGGGAGGCCGAGGCCGGCAGATCACGAGGTCAGGAGTTCGAGAACAGCCTGGCCAATACAGTGAAACCCCATCTCTACTAAAAATACAAAAATTAGCCGAGTGTGGTGGCACGCACCTGTAGTCCCAGCTACTCTGGAGGCTGAGGCAGGAGGATTGCTTGAACCCAGGAGGCAGAGGTTGCAGTGAGCTGAGATCACGCCACTGCACTCCAGCCTGGCAATAGAGCGAGACTCTGTCTCAAAAAAAAAAATTAGCCGGGCGTGTGGCGCGTGCCTGTAATCCCAGCTACTAGGGAAGAGGAGGCAGGAAAATTGCTTGAACCTGGGAGGCAGAGGTTGTAGTGAGCTGAGATCACACCATTGCACTCCAGCCTGGATGACAGAGCGAGACTCTGCCTCAAAAAAAAAAAAAGAAAAAAGAATTCCCTTGGAAACTGGGCCTTCCAACGCCACACTTGGACGGAGTCCCCATTGGGCTGAACTCAACCTCCCGGATCTACTCTAATAACCGCCGCCTTGTGTTGTCTGACTGCTCCCCGGTACCGAGGGCTTTACAAACCTGCCCTCATTTGCTCAGAATCTCACACTCTCAGCTGCCTCTCACGTGCACCTCTACTTCCCTATTTGGTTTCCCTCGCATCATAAATCACCAGGATGGTTGCTGATGTGTCTCTTTGTTTTCACTCCTGACTCCTGCCCTAGAAGGTAATCCCCCAGGGGATGGGGACCTTTTATTTTTTTCGAGTTGGAGTTTCACTCTGTCGCCCAGGCTGGAGTGCAGTGGTGTGATCTTGGTTCACTGTAACCTCCACCTCCCGGGTTTAAGCAATTCTCCTGCCTCAGCCTCCCAAGTAACTGGGATTATAGACGCACACCACCACACCCGGCTAATTTTTTGTATTTTTAGTAGAGATGGGGTTTCACCATGTTGGTCAGGCTGGGAATGGAGACCTTTTGATCCCCATGCACACCCAGAGGCTGGCAGAGGTGAATAAATGATTAGGGCAGGTGCTCTCGTCTGCATTTTGCAGATGGCACTGTGGCTCAAAAAGGGAAAAAGACTTGCCTGGGTCCCACAGGCAGGAAGCAGGAGAACTGGGATGATCATTACAGGAAACTCTGCAGGATGCTGACTGCACACCAGACTCTCTCCTAAGCTCTTTCCTTGGAGGTAGATTCTATTTATCCCCACTTTACTGATAGGAAAAAGGAAGTGGCCAGGCGCAATGGCTCACACCTGTAATCCCAGCACTTTGGGAGGCTGAGGGAGGCAGATCACTTGAGCCTAGGGGTTTGAGAGCAGCCTGAGCAACATGGTGAAACCCCATTTCTATAAAAAATATAAAAATTAGCTGGGTGTGGTGGCATGTGCCTGCAGTCCCAGCTACTTGGGGGGCTGAGGTGGGAAGATCACTTGAGTCTGGCAGGTTGAGGCTGCAGTGAGCTGTGATTGCACCACTGCACTCCAGCCTGGGTGACAGAGCAAGACCTTGTCTCAACAAAAAGGAAAAAGGAGGTACAGGGAGGATGATGGAGGACTGAGGTTTGGTACACAAACCCATGCTTTTTTTTTTTTTTTTTTTTTTTTCAGATGGAGTCTCACTCTGTCACCCAGGCTGGAGTGCAGTGGCGTGATCTCAGCTCACTGCAACCTCTGCCTCCTGGGTTCAAACGATTCTCTGGTGTCAGCCTCCCAAGTAGCTGGGATTTACAGGTGCCCGCCACCACACCCAGCTAATTTTTTTGTATTTTTAGTAGAGATGGGGTTTCACCACGTTAGCCATGTTGGTCTCGATCTCCTGACCTCGTGATCCACCCGCCTCAGCCTCCCAAAGTGCTGGGATTACAGGCGTGAGCCACCGCACCTGGTCACAAACCCATGCTTTTTTTTTTTTCTTTTTGAGGCGGAGTCTCGCTTTGTTGCCCAGCCTGGAGTGCAGTGGCGCAATCTCAGCTCACTGCAAGCTCTGCCTCCTGTGTTCATGCCATTCTCCTGCCTCAGCCTCCCGAGTAGCTGGGACTACAGGCGCCCATCACAACGCCCAACTAATTTTTTTGTATTTTTAGTAGAGACGGGGTTTCACCATGTTGGCCAGGATGGTCTCGATCTCCTGACCTCATGATCTGCCCGCCCCGGCCTCCCAAAGTGCTGGGATTACAGGCATGAGCCACCGCGCCGGGCCAAACCCATGTTTTTAACTGTTCATACTCTGAGTGCCAGGTTGGAAACCAGCTGTAGCACAACCTCTGGAGATGCTGGACTGGGCCCAGATCTGTCTAAACTGTTCCCCTTTTACCACACTATCTGGCTGCCCTCCCTCCCAGCTCCTCACCGGCCAGTGGTGGGGAGATGAGGAAAGCAAGGCCGTCCAGGACAGTGAAGAGTCCCAGGGCTCTGGGGAACTGATCCATGGGGACGATGTCCATGAGAACCTGGAAGATGAGGGCGCCGATGCCACTCATGGACACGCTGTACGCCAGGCAGTAGCCCACGAGCACCCAGAAGTCACCTGATGCCGCACACACCAGGTTAGTGAGCCCATTGAGCAGGAGTGCCAGGCTGAACAGGTACTTGCGGTGGCTAGCAAAGGCCGGCCGTCCTGCCATCAGCCCGGCTAGGGGCCTCAGGAAGATGTTGCTGAAGCCGATGATGGAGATGAGGAGGGCTGCCTGCTGCTCGTCCACGCTGTGCCACATGGCATATGGCACCAGGAAGACTTGTGGCAGTGGGAAGCCCAGGACGGACCACATCACACCCAGTATGTACACGCAGTAGCCTGTGTTGTGCCGCAGGATGTCGAAGGCCAGGTGGCGCTGGATGGTCCGGCCGCATGCAGCCAGGCAGCCAAGTGCAGGTGTCTCGGGAGGTGGCGGGGGACATTCTTTGGTCTCAGGGGCCACACTGGTGGCCACAGGCCTTATGATGGCCCCGCAGATGCAGCAGTGGAGAAAGATCCCGCCGAAGACAAGGAAGGTACCCCTCCAGCCCAGGTTCTCCAGAAGGTAGCGGGAGAGCAGCGGCCAGAGGGTGATGCCCAGGGAGACGCCCATCGAGGCCAGCGCGTTGGCCAGCACCCGCCGGCGGACAAAGTAGAAGCCCAGCACCGTGATGCTTGACTGGAAGCTGAAGCACATGCCCAGGCCTGCGGGGCAAGAGGGGAAACCAGCCTGGAGGCGCACTGGGGCCTTCCACCTGCACCCAGGGGTGGGGTCAGTGGTCATTTCACACACCTGCCCTCCTCTGGTTCTAGTCCATACCCAGCTCCAAGTCCCTGGGGACTGACCATGGAATCAGCTGGCCTCGCCACCTCCCTGTAGGCACCCCACCCCAGATCTGCCCTCCCAAGGCTGCCAGGGCATCCCTGTTCCCCTAGGTGTAGCACGAGAGTTATCTTTTAAAAACCCAAATTGGGCCGAGCGCGGTGGCTCACGCCTGTAATCCCAGCACTTTGGGAGGCCAAGGTTGGCGGATCACTTGAGGTCAGGAGTTCGAGACCAACATGGTGAAACCCCATCTCTACTAAAAATACAAAAAAATTAGCCAGGCTTAGTGGCAGGCGCCTGTAGTCTGTAATAGCTACCTAGGAGGCTGAGTCAGGAGAATCACTTGAACCCGGGAAGTGGAGGTTGCAGTGAGCTGAGGTTGTGGAGGTTGCAGTGAGCTGAGATTGTGCCACTGCACTCCAGCCTGGGCAACAGAGTGAGACTCTGTCTCAAAAACAAACAAACCCCAAATTGGATTAAGTCTCTCTTGGCTTAACACCTTCCAAAGACTTCCCATCACACTTGACAAAAAATCCACAGTCTCCACAATGCCCTGGAAGGCTCTCTGTGGTCCGGCTCCAGCCCGCCTCTCAGATGCCATCTCAGGCTGCTCCCTGTCACTCATTAGGATCAAGACACAGGAACTTCTTTCTCTGCCTCTGGACATGAAGCTGCCCCTACCTCGGGTTATTTGTAGCTGCTGTTCCTTCTTGGAATCTGCTTCCTCCAGACTTTCCACTCTCCTCTCAGTTCAGACGCCACCTCTCCAGAGGGGCCTTCCCCGCTCCCCACCCACTCAGTGTCTGCACCTGCACACCTGAGCATGCTGGAGAAAAAGTTCTCAATCATGTGTGACCGTGGCCTCAGGCGGGCCCTCAGGCTGCCTGTGACGCCACTACAGCTCCCTCAATCATGCCTTGCCTGCCCTGCTAGGTGACTACCGGTGTCTTCCTCTGTGCCCCCCAACACCTCCTCCCTATCCTTATGCTCAGCTGCCCACATGCCTGCTAGCCAGTGACAATGGCTTGCCCATTCCCCCAGTGGCTGTCCCTCCCTTCTGCCCTGCATCCTCTCCACTCAGAGGCACCCCTCTAGCAAGTCCCCTCTCTCCTGCATCATCCTTTTTCTCTTCTTTCCTAGATCCTTCTCCTTCGTTATTTCTCCCATTAAAAACAAACAAACAAACAAACAAAAAAAGCCTGTCTTGACCTCATAACCACTTCTGGGTATAGTCTGTTCCTCCAGTCCCCTTAAAACAAAATGCCGTGAAAGGGCTGGGCATGATGGGCTCACACCTGTAATCCCAGCACTTTGTTTTTTGTGTTTTTGAGATGGGGTCTTGCTCTGTTGCCCAGGCTGGAGTACAGTGGTGCGATCTTGGCTCACTGCAACCTCCACTTCCCGGGCGATTCTCCTGCCTCAGCCTCGAGTAGCTGGGACTACAGGGGCCCGCCACCAAGCCTGGCTAATTTTTGTATTTTTTTTAGTATAGACAGGGTTTCACCATGTTGGCCGGGCTAGTCTCGAACCCCTGACCTCAGGTGATCTGCCCGCCTCAGCCTCCCAAAGTGCTGGGATAACAGGTGTGAGCCACCGCACCCAGCCAGCAGTTCCAGAAGATTAAGAGGCCTGCCTGCCCTGTCCACTTGTGCCTGGCACTTTCTAGCAGGTGCCTATAAATTCTGGAGATGAAGTGATAGTCACCTGTGATGAATCCTGCTGTGAAGTAGAGCTGGCTGAGGTTGTGAGAGAAGGAGCTGGCCACCATGCCCAGGCTGGCCAGCACGCCCCCCAGCATCACGGTCACTCGGCAGCCGAAGCGTCCCACCAGGATGCTGCACAGGGGCCCTGTGGGAGAAGACAGCCAGCAGGTAGCAGCTGAATGAGGAGGTGGCGGGAGAGGAGGAGAGTGGCTGGAGAGGGCAGTTCCAGCTGGAACTAGCCAGGTGGTTTCAAGGGCACGAGCAGGCCTGGATTCTGATACCCACCTGCCATGGACTGGCCATGTGGCCTGAGCAAAGCCTGATCCCTCTCCGTGCCTCAATTTTTTCCCCTACAAAGTGAGGATTCAGAATGGGCGATGTTTGACCCTGATGAGGATTCCCTGAAAGGTGGAGCAAGACCCTGAACTACACAGACCTGAGGCTGCTCATTCTATCCGGGTGAAACAGGATTGGTTCATGAGTTTACCTCCCCCACTTCGCTGGGGGTCTGTTGGTGGGAGGAGTCGGGGCAGTGTTCCAGGACATCTAGACTACAGTGTGCACCTTCAGATCCTGTTTTACCTGCCCCATCCCCACACCCAACATCCTCAGGAAGACTGGCTAGATCCCTCCCACCCTCCCACCACCTTCCCAGCCCTACAGCTGAGGGGAACCCTGGGCCCCTCTGCGCCTCCTTGCACTGGCCTCTGCAGACAATCAGGCAGGGTAGGTTCTCCCCTCCCACACCACCTCCAGCACCACCAAAGTCTGCACCTAGAGGTTTGGCTCAATGTGGAGGGGGGCCTGTTCCTTGCCTGGCTCCCAGCTGCTTTCTCACCAATCCACACCCCAAAAAAATAGAAAAGAGCTGCAGACTGCTCCTTGGCACCTCACAGGGGCCCCATTCACCCAAGCACATGTGGAGCTTCTCTAACTTACTCTCCGAGAGTGCAACTAAAGGGACAGGGAAGTGTGTGCGCATGAGATGCTTGTGTGTGTCTGCGGTGGAGGGGGGATGTGTGGTGTGAGCCAGTGTGAGTATAAAAGTGACAGAGTAGGCTGGGTGTGGTGGCTCACGCCTGTAATCCCAGTACTTTGGGAGGCCGAGGTGGGTGGATCACTTAAGGTCAGGAGTTCGAGACCAGCCTGACCAACATGGTGAAACCCCATCTCTACTAAAAATACAAAAATTAGCCAGGCATGGTGGTGCGTGCCTGTAATCCCAGCTACTTGGGAGGCTGAGGCAGGAGAATCGCTTGAACCTGGGAGGCAGAACCCGATGCGCTCCATCCTGGGCGACAGAGTGAAACTACATCTCAAAAAAAAAAAAAAAAAAAAAAAGTGATGGAGTGGCCATGCGTGGTGGCTCACGCCTGTAATCCCAGCACTTTGGGAGGCCGAGGCAGGTGGATCGCCTGAAGTCAGGAGTTCGAGACCAGCCTGGCTAACATGGTAAAACCCCATCTCTACTAAAAATACAAAAATTAGCCAGGTGTGGTGGCGCATGCCTGTAATTCCAAGCTACTAGGGAGGCTGAGGCAGGAGAATCGCTTGAACCCGGGAGGTGGAGGTTGCAGTGAGCCGAGACTGTGCCACTACACTCCAGCCTGGGTGAGAGAGGGAGGCTCCATCTCCGAAAAAAAAAAAAAAGAAAAAAGCAAGTGACAGACTAAGTGAGCAGCCCGTCGCAGACATAATCAAGCAGAGGCTGGTGGCCCGGCGTCTCTGCCCCTGTAGAGGGGGAGGTGGCTCTGGAGAGGACTGACCCACAGAGCTTCCTCACGCCAGAGACTCTGGCCTGACTTAGGGAAGTTGACATTGGGGAAAGCCCTTAGTCACAGGGGTGGGGGTGGGGACTGGGCTGCAGGCCAGAGCTGCATAGCTGAGGGTGGTGTGGCCGGGCGGGACACAGGGTGTTTCCTCTGCCGTGAACTCACTCTTCAGCCTTGGGCAGGTCTTGTGTTCTGTGCCTGCTTGCTTTCCTTACCTCTAAAAGGCGTAGGTAGGGGCAGGGGCACTTGAAAGGATCAGTGAAAGTATCCATGATTCATCGTGTTTAAAAATTTCTACAATACTGTGGTCAGGTGCCGTGGCTCATGTCTGTAATCCCAGCATTTTGAGAGGCCCAGGCAGGTAGATCACTTGAGCCCAGGAGTTTGAGACCAGCCTGAGCAACATAGTGAGACCCCGTCTCTACAAAAAGTAAAAAAATTAGCTGGGTATGGTCTGGGCGTGGTGGCTCACACCTGTAATCCCAGCACTTTGGGAGGCCAAGGCCAGCAGATCATGAGGTCAGGAGATCGAGACCATCCTGGCTAACACGGTGAAACCCCGTCTCTACTAAAAATACAAAAAATTAGCCAGGCATGGTGGTGCGCACCTGTAGTCCCAGCTACTCAGGAGGCTGAGGCAGGAGAATCGCTTGAACCTGGAAGGCGGAGGTTACAGCGAGCTGAGATTGCACCACTGCACTCCAGCCTGGGCAACAGAGCGAGACTCCATCTAAAAAAAAAAAAAATTAGCTGGGTGTGGTGGTGCACACCTGTGGTCCCAGCTACTCGGGAGGCTGAGGTGGCAGGATCGCTTGAGCTTGAGAGGTTAAGGCTGCAATAGGCTGTGATCATGCCACTGCACTCCAGCCCAGGTGACAGAGTGAGACTCTGTCTCAAAAATAAGCAAATAAATAAATAAACATAAAATAAAATGTCTACAGTACTCTGAATGAGCACGGGCTCATACACGTGTATGTGTACATGAGAGAGATGGCCAGCCAGGAATCCCATGCTGATGGAGATGCTGAGATGCCTGCTGGGGGTGGTGAGCCGCAAGTCAGCTGGGGAGTAGGTTCCCCGCCGGGTGCCCGGTTCCTAGCCCCTGGCCCAGGAACCCTGCTCTGCCTGTGTGAGAAGCAGCCCTCTGGGATTCCCACTCCCTGCCCCAACCCTGCAGGCCAGAGGCCATGTGGCAGATTCAGAGCTCACCCAGGAGGGTGGCGCTTTCTCCGAGCCTCACCTCCCTCCCAGTTTGAGGGCAGGACCTGGAATAATAGGCAGGCTGCTGGTGGCAAGTGGAGGGAGTAGCCAGGAGGTAGCCGGGGAGATGGGCAGCTGCGGCCAGCAGACACACGCCTGCAGAGGCCTGTGGGCCATCAGCTCGGGCTGCTGTCCACCGGGCCCCTCCGAGGCCGGGGTCTCTGCAGTCTCCCTGGAGAGCTCCCAGGAGCTGAGGGCAGGTCCCTGTGTCCACGGCGACTGCAGAGAACCCTCCCTCTGCCCTGCTCCCAACGCTGGGGTCAGGGTGAGGCAGTCACACTCCTGGAAAAGCCAGCCAGGAACATGGGCCTCTGAGGCCTATGGTGACAGAGCCAGGAGAAGGGGCAGACAGGGGCTGCCTTCCTCCCTCACCCCCACTTAGCAACCTCCTCTCTGCAGGGAGTCCCGGGAGAGCTGGGGCTCCTGCCTTGTCCCCCTCTTGTTCCTGGTGTCTTTTTTTTTTTTTGAGACAGTTTCACTCTTGTTGCCCAGGCTGGAGTGCAATGGCACCATCTCAGCTCACCGCAACCTCTGCCTCCTGGGTTCAAGAGATTCTCCTGCCTCAGCCTCCTGAGTAGCTGGGATTACAGGCACCCGCCACCACGCCCAGCTAATTTTGTATTTTCAGTAGAGACAGGGTTTCTCCATGTTGGTCAGGCTGGTCTCAAACTCCCGACCTCAGGTGATCTGACCGCCTCGGCCTCCCAAAGTGCTGGGATTACAGGCGTAAGCCATCGCGCCCGGCCATTCCTGGTGTCTTCCTTGCGTCCCCTTTCCTATCCTGAAGCCACTCCCTGCCCTAGTGAGGGTCTCCAAAATATTAATAATTCACAGCCGCATACATTTCCCAGCTCCCAGCACCTCCAGGGAAGACAGTGGTCTTCCCTGCTATTCCATGTGGGAGCTGGGCAGGATGCCGGGCATCACCCTCAGATTGCAGAGGAAGCAACCGAGGTTCAGAGAGACCAGCCAGCTGGAAAGCAGGAGAGTCTTGGTGGGCTGGCCCCAGCGCTCTTCCCAGCCTGGCACTGAGCGCCCCAGCACACCTACGCCTGTGTCGGAATGGATCCCACAGAAAGGACGCAAGGCTCCGCCTGGCTTTGCAACCCAGGCACCTCCCCACTCTCTCCCCGGCTCCAGCCCAGTCCAGCTGGATTCCAGCCAGGGGCCCCTGGTGAAATCTGGTGAAACCTTAGGAATTCACCCAGGAGGCAAAGCCTGTGGCCTCAGAGAGAGGGAATCAGAAGGCCAGGGAGGTTGTGGCTTCCCCGCAACCCCTAGGACTTTCTCATCGGCCCCTCCCTAGGCCGCTCACCTGCCATGTGGAGCACAGCCGTGAGGATGGAGGGGAACCAAGAGGTCTCGCTGTTGCTGGCCTGGAACTCCCATTGCAATTCAGTGAAGAAGATGCCGATACACGTGGGGAAGCCCAGGGTGAGGCCCTGGGTCACCATGGTGGCCAGCAGCACCACCCAGGCCCAGCTGCCATCTGCACGCTCCAGGGCCTGGGGCATCCTCTGCTGCCGACGCTGCCACGGCCTCACTGCCAATGTGGCTGCTGCCTGGGGAGGGGACAGAATGGAGCCTGGTGGTCAGCAGGCTGTCCGTCTCTCCTGGCCCACCTGCCACCTTCTCTGGGCAGCTAAGCCATCCCTTCCTCATACCCAAGTACCAGGTGTCACAGAGGGGCACCACCCCTGGGAGGTGGCCAGAGGCCCACGCGTTGGCCTTGGCATCTCCTTTCACCCACTTCCCAGAGCCAGCCTGGCAGGAGGTGGCAGGAAGGACAGGAGGGACAGGAGGGATAGGAGGGACAGGACGGGGCAGGGCAGGTGGCACCAGGCAATGGGGTACAATTGTCTCTAATTGTTACATCACTTAGAAGTCAACAGGGGGACCTCCTAGCCCACTCAGTCACTACTTGTAGAATGCAGCAGACCTCTGGGGTCAGTGTAGTCCCAACGCCCCCCAAATGCACCCAAGGATACACCCTCCTGCCCAGGGTTCCTGCATACAAACACAGACTTTCGCAATGCCTCAGAAGCAGCAAAGTTACTATTGGTGCTGTTGTGAAGGCCTGAGTGAGCAGGCCGGTGCTAGGAGCAGCCACAGAGCATACACAAAGGAGTTTAACAAGCACCCAACCAGCAGCTTTGGAGAAAGCATGGGCCTCATCCACCCCCACACCCCCAGGCCTTTCCCATCGGCCCCTTTGCAGTTACCCTGCAACACTCCTTTCAAACAGAGCTCAAGGCCAAGACTCAAGTTCCGCAATCACACTGAATAATAAACACACACACACACACACACACACACACACACACACACGCAGTGGCACACAGACACAGACACATACCCAGTCACACACAAACACAGTCACAGCGCACACTCACACAGACAAGCACAGAAACATACAGACACACGCACACACACAGAGACACACACTTGGATAGTCACACACACAGAGATCCACTGACCCACACAAAGACCACACGGGCACACAAACTCATATAAAGACACACACTTGGCCGGGCACGATGGCTCAAGCCTGTAATCCCAGCACTTTGGGAGGCCGAGGCAGGCAGATCATGAGGTCAGAAGATCGAGACCATCCTGGCCAACGTGGTGAAACCCCGTCTCTACTAAACATACAAAAATCCCAGCTACTCGGGAGGCTGAGGCAGGAGAATCGCTTGAACCCAGGAGGCGGAGGTTGCAGTGAGCTGAGATCGTGCCACTGCACTCCAGCCTAGTGACATAGCAAGACTCTGTCTCAAAAAAAAAAAAAAAGACACACACTTAGACACTCAAAAAAGTCCAGAGACACGAAGAGACACTGACAGACACATACTACACAGATGCGTAGACACTCACACGAACACAGAGATATGTACCGTCACACACAATGCAAACATACGAACTCACACACAGAGGCATACAAGCAGGTACACAAGACACACTAGCAGACACACACACAGTTACACACAAACACAGAGAGACACACGCATATGTACACACATGCATACATGCTCAGAGTCACACATGCTACACAGACATACGGACACACACAGTGCAGACATGCACATCTGCGCATGCGTGCACACACACACACACACACACACCCCCCTCACATCTTTGGCTTAGCAAGGTGCAGCCAGTCCTATCTTAGTTCAACACCACCCAGGCCACTCCCCTCATCACAGAAGCTGCCATAACCAGGCCTCCAAAGTCCCAAGGTCCCCTCACCAAGTTTGGACCCCTTTTTCAACCCCCTCCTATCCTGCCTCCTGCGCCCTGGCCCCCCAACCCCCTCAGACCTCACCGCCTGGGGGCTCTAGGCTGCAGCAGGCACTGCGAGGGAGCAGCCTCCACCTCAGTGAAGCCCACGCATCCCGGAGCTGCTGTTCCCACAGCCTCCCTCCCTTTCACCCCAGGTCCTGGGAAGCTCTGGGGAAACTCGGACATCTACCAGAAATATGAAACCCCCTCTTCCTGCCAAGCCCAGCACCCCACTGCTTCCCTCCAGGCCTAGGAGTTTTAAAGCAGCACCTAAGCCGGCTCCACTCTGAACTGCCTCCTTTGCTGTCTCCAATCCTCCGCCCTCCCAGAGGACCCTGGGAGCCCCACCAAGGTGACCGTCCCATTCATCGCAGCCTCAGGGTGTGAGGGTGTGTGACCCATGTGCAAGGCGGAGCACTGCTTGCCCTCCTGCCCTCTGCATGCGACCTCTGGCTAGAGATCCTCCCAGCCTGGCCCTCCTCCTGGCCCAGCTCCAGGCCAGGCAATATCGCAGATGGGGCTTCTCCAGCAAACTAGCCCTGGCCTCTCCCAAGATTTCTGTTCCCTCAGCAAACGGAAAGGCCACAGGCGCCACCTGATCCTCTGTGTTGCCCCGATGTCAAGGTTCCAGCCCTGCTCCATAGCTCGCCTCTCCTCCCCAGCTCTTCCGCTCTCCCACTTGATACTCTCACCTCTTCCTCCCGGAAAGGCCACAGCCTTCCTGGCTTCCTCCTGCCTTTGCCTGTTCCCTGCCACCTAGCCCTGGCACTCCCAGGCCCCGAGGCCCTGGTAGCATTTGGGAGGCCTGGAGGCTGGACCCCAGCCCTGCTCCCTCTCCCCACTGCCTGGCTCTGGTCCCTTCTTGCTCTGCCAGGAAGAAGTCTATGGAGAAGTCTCTTTCTATGAGAAGAGCTCTTCTCAGCATCCACTTTTTGGGGCAGTGTTTTTGGGGACTTTGCCCAGGCTCCTGTGACCTTCACTCTGAATCCCACCTTCCCTCCGGAACCTTTCAGTGGAGCTGGCTGTTCCTGACCATCTCCTCTCTCCAGGCCCCAGGCCAATCCGAGCCCAGGAACCCTTATGCACCTTTGCACACTAGAAGCTCTGCTGCCAGGCCGGGTGCGGTGGCTCACACCTGTAATCCCAGCACTTTGGGAGACTGAGGCAGGCGGATCACGAGGTCAGGAGTTCGAGACCAGCCTGGCCAACATAGTGAAACCCCGTCTCTACTAAAAATACAATAATTAGCCGGGCGTGGTGGGGCTCGCCTGTAGTCGCAGCTACTCGGGAGGTTGAGGCAGGAGAATCGCTTGAACCCGGGAGGCGGAGGTTATGGTGAGCCAAGATCGCATCACTACACTCCAGCCTGGGCAACAGAGTGAGACTTCCGTCTCAAAAAAAAAAAAAAAGAAAAGAAAAGAAAAGAAACTCTGCCACCAAGGTCTGAGGACCCCCTTCCCCCGCCTCTCTGGGACCCCCACTGCAGACATGGCCTTCCCTGTCTCCTCTCCCACTCCCAGTAAGTCCCAGGTCACATACACGGTATGGATGCCCAGTCGGCTCTCCAGCCTCCCCTCCCATCGAGCGGTTTCTCCAGTCAACTGGTCTTTCAAAATTCAGCCCTGCCAGACACGGTGGCTCACACCTGTAATCCCAGCATTTTGGGAGGCCGAGGCAGGCGGCTCACCTGGGGTCAGGAGTTCAAGACTAGCCTGGCCAACATGGTGACACCCTGTCTCTACTACAAATAAAAAACTAGGCTGAGGCAGGAGAATCCCTTGAACCCAGGAGGCGGAGTTTGCACTGAGCCGAGATCACGTCACTGCACTCCAGCCTGGGTGACGGTGAGACTCTGTCTCAAAAAAGAAAAAGAAAAAAAGAAAAAATTCACCCCTTAGGCGGGTGCAAAGGTAGTGAGTAATTTCAGTTAATTGTTCACAGGCAGGTACAGATCGATCTCCTTGTTCTACTCTTTCCCTCCTTCTTACTACCGCTCCTGAGTAGTCTTAAAAGAAGATTCAGCCCTAGCAGCATCCTGGGAGCTAACCTGACTCCCACCCCAGGCTGGGCTGCACCTCCTTCCTGTTTTCTCGCCTTTTTTTTTTTTTTTTTTTTTCTGAGATGAAGTTTCGCTCTGTCTCCCAGGCTAGAGTGCAGTGGTACAATCTCAGCTCACTGCAATCTCTGCCTCCCGGGTTCAAGCAATTCTCCTGCCTCAGCCTCCGAAGTAGCTGGGATTACAGGCACACGCCACTATGCCTGGCTAATTTTTGTATTTTTAGTAGAGACGGGGTTTCACCATATCGGCCAGGTGGTCTTGAACTCTTGACCTCAAGTGATCCGCCTGCCTCAGCCTCCCAAAGTGCTGGGATTACAGGTGTGAGACACCGCACCTGGCCTGTTTTCTCACCTTAATAGTGGTCCTCACACCACACTGGAGTGGATCACCCCCTTCTTTATTGTCACCCCCCACCCTGCTACCCCTTCCACACTATAAGCAAGAACCTGTTCATGAACCCTCACCCAGCCTCTGGCTGAGCACAAAAGAGGAGATGAATGTGACCCACCTGTGTTCCCCAGGGGGCAGGCAGGCCCAGGACCAAGGGCAATGCAGCTTCCAGGCAGGGAGGTCCATTCCAGACTCAAGCAGGGCAGAGAGGTGATGGGGCCAGGGCTCTGGCTTGGCCTCTGCCCCAGCAGGGAAGTGCTCTTTTCTTTGTACTGGGAACCATGAGTCATGGTCACTGCCTGGTGTGTGCTTTGGGCAAGGAGGTAGACAGGGCAAGATGCTTCGCTCTCACTTGCTGGGACTAGGGGTGAGGTTGGGCCCCAGGGGCTGCCAAGCTCAGCTCTCAAAGACCCCTAGGCCCAATGAGACCAGCTTTGTAGCACAGTGCCATGAAGCTGGATGTGTGGGCAGGGAGAAGTTTAGACGATACTTCTGGTCTTTCTCCCATCTCACACAAGCCCAGCCTATGTTTTCAGGGCGCCTCATCTGATAACAGGGGCCTCACTAGGCCCTGGGAATCCTTTCCCTGCCCCTGGAGCTCGAACGCCTGGTCACGGGAGAGCGGATGCTCTCATCCAGGGGTCTCGTGTTAGGGGCCTGGTGTCCAGAGTCGAGGGGGCCTCCTCTTCTTCTTCCCAGCTCTTCTCCCATGGTGGGAGAGCCCCGGGCTGGAAATGAGGCAGGCCCTGGGGACCCCTCCCTCCTTCCCATATCAAGTAGGCTCCTGGGCTGGAGCCCTGGACCCAGGCAGGCAGCAGAAGGGCTCCCGTCCAGCAGAGAGCAGCAAGGGCAGGCTTGAGCTTGGGGCTGAGGAACCCTCAACCCTGTGGTTGGCCTAGGGAGGAGGGAGGCAGCCCCAGAGGTGGGGTGGCTGGGGCAAATCACTCTCTCCCTTCCCCTTATCCCCCCATATTCACTGCAAAACCAGCAAGGGTTTGGGACAGGCAACTGGGACCTCATGCCGTACTCTCGCCCTGCCCATCCCCGCAGTGCTGCCCCGGAATCTGGTTTCCACTCCGCTGTCCCTCCCTCCCCGGGGCAGAGCTCCTCCGAGTTGGGGCTGCTGGGATCCCGGGCTGTGTCCGCCCTGGAATTTCGGGCCAGGAGTCCGAGCGCCCTTGGGCTTGCGGGTCATCACCCCAGGCCCCGGGGCAGCCCAGAACCAGGACAGGAAGACTTTTCTAGATCCTCACCGCCACTGAGCCCGCCCAGGCGGGAGGAGACCTGGGGCCCTGGCAGGAGGTCTGCGACAGCGCTAGAGGGGACTGGGCGAGGAGGGGACGCGTCCGAGGCAGTGGGGCCCGGGGGGCCCGCTCACCCGCTCGCACGGGCCTGGCGGAGAGGTGGCTCAGCTCCCCCGAGCGCGGCGTCCTGCGGCCCGGGCCGGTCGCGACGAGGACCGCGGGACTGGGCCAAGCGCCGCGGCCAGGCAGGGCGGGCCCAGGGCGGTGTGGGCGGGGACCCACCTTCCAGCCTCCCCGGGATTCCGTCGGGTGGGGAAGGGGCCAGGATGCGGGAGGGGCGGCGGGCGTGGCCGGGGACAGTCCAGCAGCAGGGCCGGGCTCCGGACGCAGGCGCCACGGGATATCCGTGTGTCTGAAATTTGCACAACCCGGATGCCCTCTTTCTAGCTTCTGGTTTTCCCGGCTCAGGGTCTAGGGCCCCGGGCTTGGGGCGGAGATAACATGCCATAAAGAGACCACACCTCCCAGGAAGTGGGGTGGGGAAGGCGCAGAGCCCGAGGTTGAGGATCCCTTCTTTCTGCGTTTTCCCTGCCCAGGAGCCCTTCCAATGAAAGCCTCGAGCTTTGAGGGCTGCGCCTGCCGGTGGGAGTCCAGGCAGTCCCTTGTAGGGGAGCAGGCAGACCCCTCAGCCCTGGGAGCAGGTGAGAGGACACCCACCACTTCTGCATGTGGCCCTCAGAACTACAGGCCCTTTTCAGGTTTTTCCCTCTTCCCCTACCTGGGTAGTCCTTGATGTGCATTAGTTGAAATGTACTCAGTTGGCCGGGAGTCTCGCTCTGTTGCCCACGCTGGAGTGCAGCGGCGCGACCTCAGCTCACTGCAGCCTCCGCCTTCTGGGTTCAAGCAATTCTCCTGCCTCAGCCTCCTGAGTAGCTAGGATTGCAAGTGCACGCCACGGCACCCGGGTAATTTTTGTATTTTTAGTAGAGATGGGGTTTCACCATGTTGGCCAGGCTGGTCTTGAACTCCTGACCTCAGGTGATCCACCCGCCTCGGCTTCTCAAAGTGCTGGGATTACAGGCATGAGCACCGCACCCGGCCTTGTTTATTTTTGATCTGTGGACGATGGAGTTTCACAGCCTCAGACCTTCACCCTCCCTCTTCTCACTCCACATGGTGACTCCAACCACACCCTGTATACTCAGGATCCGGTGCCTTTTATGTCCAGTCCAGATATTCAACCTGGAACCTATCCTTGTGTGCCTCAAAGGCCTTTAAAACTCAACACTGACCGGAACTTGCCATTGACACTGTCCTCTGCCGCCCCCTGCTAAACCTGGGATACCTTATGTGCTCCATGCTTGAGCAAATTACAGCACCACATCTACTTAGGTGCCTGGGCCAAATCCCATGAGTCTCTTTGACCTTTGCCTCTTTCACAACCAATCCACAACGACGTCCCACTCACTTTACCCCCTTACTGTTTCTCAAACCTGACCATTTACCCTCATCTCCATCCCCACACCATCCACCGCCACCCGTTGTCCAGCTCAGACCTCAGATTCCTTTTCAACACTGTAGGTGACTGATCTTTCGGATCCATTAAGCCTGATCTTGCCCTACTGCCAACCCTGCTTAAAACCCTGCAGGCCTTGGCCAGGCGCGGTGGCTCATGCCTGTAATCTCAGCACTTTGGGAGGCTGAGGCGGGAGGGGCGTCTGAGGTCAGAAGTTCGAGACCAGCCTGGCTAACATGGTGAAACTCGGTCTCTACCAAAAATACAAAAATTAGCCGGGTGTGGTGGCGCATGCCTGTAATCCCAGCTACTTGGGAGACTGAGGCAAGAGAATCACTTGAACCCAGGAGGTGGAGGTTGCAGTGAGCTGAGATCGTGCCATTGCACTCCAGCCTGGGTGATGAGAGTGAAACTTGGTCTCAAAAAAAAAACAACAAAAAAACAAAAAACTGAAACCCTGCAGGCCTTGGAGATGAAGGTGAGCCCCTGGGGTGGCTACAGGGCCCTTCCAAGCCTGGCGCTTACCCACCTTTCTGGCCTCAAATCATTCTTCCTCACTCACTGACCTCAGCCACTGTAACCACCCAGTGGGTTCACCTTGCCCGCTGCCTAGACAAACCCGATTTATCAAAACGGGGGATTGCAATAGAGAAAGACTAATTCATGCAGAGCTGGCTGCGTGGAAGACGGGAGTTTTATTACTACTCAAATCAGTCTCCCTGAGTATTTGGGGATCAGAGTTTTTAAAGATAATTTGGTGGGTAGGTGCTGGGGAAGTGGGGAGTGCTGATTGGTCAGGTTGGAGATGGACTCATAAGGGGTTGAAGTGAGGTTTTCTTGCTGTCCTCTGTTCCTGGGTTGGATGGCAGAAGTGGCTGAGTCAGATTACCAGTCTGGGTGGTGTCAGCTGATCCATGGAGTTCAGAGTCTACAAAATATCTCAAGCACTGATCTTAGATTTTGCAATAATGATGTTATCCCCAGGAGCAATCTGGGAAGATTCAGACTCCTGCAGCCAGGGGCTGCATGACCCCTAAACCGCAATTTCTTTCTTTCTTTTTTTTTTTTTTTTGAGACAGAGTCTCACTCTGTCACTCAGGCTGGAGTGCCGTGGCACAATCTCAGCTCACTGCAACCTTCGTGTCCCAGGTTCAAGCGATTCTCCTGCCTCAGCCTCCTGAGTAGCTGGGATTACAGGCTCATGCCACCATGCCCGGCTAATTTTTGTATTTTTAGTAGAGACAGGGTTTCACCGTGTTGGCCAGGCTGATCTTGAACTGCTGACCTCAAGTGATCCACCGACCTCAGCCTCCCAAAGTGCTGGGATTACAGGTGTGAGCCACTGCGCCCAACCAATTTTTTTTTTTTTTTTTTTTTTGAGATGGAGTCCTGCTCCGTCACCAGGCTGGAGTGCAGTGGCACAATCTCAGCTCACTGCAACCTCTGCCTCCAAGGTTCAAGCGATTCTCCTGCCTCAGCCTCCTGAGTAGCTGGGACTACAGGTGCGTGCCACCATGCCCAGCTAATGTTTGTATTTTTAGTAGAGACAGGGTTTCACCATGTTGGCCAGGATGGTCTCGATCTCTTGACCTCATGATCCGCCTGCCTTGGCCTCCCAGAGTGCTGGGATTACAGGTGTGAGCCACGGCACCAGCACAATTATCTTAACAGTATCTTTTGAAGAGCAAAAGTTTTTAGTTTTGATGAAGTCCAGTTTATATATTTTTTTCCTACAGTTCATTCTTTTTGTGTCCTATCTTTGTTTACTTTAAGGATGGAAATATATATATATATATATTTTTTGAGATGGAGTCTCGGTCAGTCGCCCAGGCTGGAGTGGAACCACACGATCTCAGCTCACTGCAACCTCTACCTCCCAGGTTCAAGCAATTCTCCTGCCTCAGCCTCCCAAGTAGCTGGAATTACAGGCGCCCGCCTCCACACCTGGCTAATTTTTGTATTTTTAGTAGAGACAGGGTTTCACCATGTTGGTCAGTCTGGTCTCGAACTCCTGGCCTCAAGTGATCCGCCTGCCTCGGCCTCCCAAAGTGCTGAGATTGCAGGTGTGAGCCACCACGCCCAGCCCTGAAAAGCCTTTATCTCAGTGTGTAGCTTAGTGTGGGCACCACTGTGACCAACCTTAGGGTCTGTTCCCCCAAACCCCTGAGCTGCGGTGGGGGCAGGGAATGGATCTACGTTGCTCCCCACCGCACCCACCCTGCGGAGCCTTGTGCCTGGCCCACAGGAGCCACTCACGGGACACTTACAGAGCACTGAAGCAAACCGGGCAGAAATTGAACCATCTCCAGCTGTGTGGTTCGCTGTGTGAAACTCAAAGGCAACAAGGCCTTTGACCTCCAGACAGGAAATGTCAACGAGAAAGATGCAGCTTCCAGAAACACTTGGCAAGGACCCAAAAGCCTTCTAACCAGTGCCCCTGACACTGACTTCTGACACTTTGATTCTAATTTACTTTGGCAAGAGTGAGCAACTGGCTCCAGGAATGTTATTTCACTTTTCATCACTTTTCACGCAGTGTTGCTATACCAACACATTACCAACAACAGGGGCGCTATCTGTGTTGGGGGCAGGACTTGAGCATTGCAGAACATTTGGCATCCCTGACACCCCCTCCTTGTCTGTGACATCCCCTGCTAGGATGAGGTGACTGAGCCACTCACCTCCGGCTCAGAATATTAGGGGACACCAAAAAAGCTCAGTAATTAAGACAAAAAGTTAATGCAATATTGTTAGAAAATCCCATCAGCAATCCATGGGCCTTGGGGCAGTTACCTGGCTTTGTGAATAAAATTTCATTGGAACCAGCGAGTGAATTCCTTTGAGAGGAGTTTGGCAGGGAGTGCCAGGTCAGGTCAGATCTGTTCTTTTTTTTTTTTTGAGACAGATTCTCGCTCTGTTGCCCAGGCTGGAGTGCAGTGGTGCGATCTCCGTTCACTGCAAGCTCCGCCTCCCAGGTTCACGCCATTCTCCTGCCTCAGCCTCCCGAGTAGCTGGGACTACAAGCGCCTGCCACCACGCCCGGCTAATTTTTTGTATTTTTTAGTAGAGACGGGGTTTCAGTGTGTTAGCCAGGATGGTCTCGATCTCCTGACCTTGTGATCCACCCGCCTCAGCCTCCCAAAGTGCTGGGATTACAGGCGTGAGCCACTGCGCCCAGCGATCTGTTCTTATTTTATTTTATTTTATTTTTTTTTTTATTTATGTTTTTGAGACCGAGTTTTGCTCCGTTGCCCTGGCTGGAGTGAAGTGGCACGATCTTGGCTCACTGCAACCTCCACCTCCTGGATTCAAGCAATTCTCCTGTCTCAAACTCCCCAGTAGCTGGAATTACAGGCATGCGCCACCACATCTGGCTAATTTTTTCTTTTTTTTTTTTAGAGGGAGTTTCACTCCTGTTGCCCAGGCTGGAGTGCAATGACGTGATCTTGGCTCACTGCAACCTCTGCCTTCCAGGTTCAAGTGAGTCTCCTGTCTCAGCCTCCCTAATTTTTGTATTTTTAGTAAAGACAGGGTTTCACCATGTTGGCCAGGCTGGTCTCAAACTCCTGACCTCAGGAGATCTGCCTGCCTCGGCCTCCCAAAGTGCTAGGATTACAGGCATGAGCCACCACGCCTGGCCAATATTATTTAATTTATCTTGATTGCTAAGTTTTTGATGCCTTCCCTTAAATGTTGCACTCCAGGTGACTGTCTCACTTTCCTCACTCTGGTCACTGCCCCGCTCACAACGCCTGTGTTTCCCAACCCCCTAGTCATCTGAGAAGCCCTGGAGTCATATAAGCCTCAGTCAATATGAATGGCATCCCTATGCATGCCGTTTTACACATCAGGCAACAGGCTGGGAGAGGCACGTGTCTCTCCCCTGACCCACCTGCTCAGGAGGGTCCTCAGGCTCAAGAATCTTCAGGCTACAGGGAGGTCAAAATGGACACAGAAGGAGACAGGCAGTTTCTTTGTCCTGCCTAGATGCAGTGGGTACATGGACTCAGCTTCAGAAGGGACGAAGGGGATGGCACGAGAGGGGAAGGAAGGAGGGAAGCAAGCATGCCTGGGCCATCCACACCCAGCCTGGCCCAGGAAGGGATCTGCAGTGGTCCCCAACCTCCAACCTCTGGAAGGGTTCCTTAGTTCTCGGGTCCACTACTATTAAGCATCTGCTGTGTGTCAGGCACGCGTGAAGCATTGGAGTCATAGGCATGACATACCCAGCTGACCCCTGAGTCTGATGGTGAATTCACACATGAAACAGGACAACGTGGGTGGCAGGGGGCACATGTGCAAAGGGTATTATGGAGCAGATGCGAGGCAAACCCGCCTGGCTTGGAGAGTGGAGACTGAGACTTCCTGGAACACTTAGCTGAGTCTTAGGGAATGAGTGGGAATAACACAAGCAGGGGGTGGGTGTGAAGGGTGCTTCAGGCAGAGAGGACGGCATGAGCAAAAAGGCCAGGAGGTGGGATGCTTTGGGGGTGGAATGGAGTGGGGTAAGAGTGGGGATGAAGGGGGCTGGTGATGAAGACAATGGGAGTTATGGAGACAGGTGTTCATGGTAGGGAGCTGGAAAGAAATGGGGGAAGGACTGGGCTGGCAGGGCGGGCTGAAGACGGCCCACCTCTCCTTAGCTGGTGGAGCCTGGTCCGGGTTGCCATCAGCTGCCTTCCATCCCAGGAAAAGTGCAGAGGTGAGCTTATGTTCTCTTGGGAAAGATGCTCCTGACAGTCATCGGGTACCCATGGTATGCCAGGCAGGGCCTCTGTTGAGGTTCCCACAGACACCCTCTCCCTTCCAGCCCAGCCCTGAGCACACTGCCCTTGGGAGGAAAGGGTTAAAGGCTCCTTCCCCAGTCTCCTGCCATCTGGTCTTGCTCCCTGCTTCCTCCCGCCTGTGAAAATGGGATGATGGGATGCCTCCAGGTTCTTTGGCTCTACTTGGACCCTCCCGAGGAGTCTGGGTCAAACTTGGAGTAACATCCAGGAAGCAACATATATGGCTTTGACTGGGTTGCCTCTTGTCACCCACTTGTAGTGGGAACCAGGGAAGAGATTAAGGACAAAACAAAGCTATTGGACAGATTTGTAGGATGTATTAATAATATGCTGCCAGTGAACAAGCCCGTTTTTGTCTCATGATTAAAATAAACAAGCCCTTTTTCTATTTTGACAGTAATTTGGGAAAATATGCACAGTATGGATACTGGTGAAAATGTACCATATGGTGTGGTGGCTCAGGCTGGGTATGGTGGCTCATGCCTGTAATCCTAGTACTTAGGGAGGCTGAGGTGGATCACTTGAGCTCAGGAGTTCGAGACCAGCCTAGGCAACATAGTGAGACTTCATCTCTTTAAAAAAAAAAAAGTACCATATGACCTGTTACTCTGTCTTCTAGCTTCCTACATTTGCAGCTGTTACATTGCTCTGTCTATTATAGACTGGAAGGAAATACTGCAGGAGAGGCTATCTTTTGGGGGTAGGATTATGAGTGTTTTTTTTTTCTTTTTTGAGATGGGAGTCTCACTCTGTTGCGCAAGCTGGAGTGCAGTGATGTAATCTCTGCTCACTGCAACCTCTGCCTTCTGGGTTGACGCCATTCTCCTGCCTCAGCCTCCTGAGTAGCTGGGACTACAGGTGCACGCCACCACACCCAGCTAATTTTTTGTATTTTTAGTAGAGATGGGGTTTTGCCATGTTGGCCAGGATGGTCTTGAACTCCTGGCGTCAAGTGATCCACTTGCCTCGGCCTCCCAAAGTGCTGGGGTCACAGGCATGAGCCACCATGCCCAGCAGGTTTTATTTTATGTGTTTCTATGTTGTGTAGATTTTCTACAATGTATGCATTATAAGAGAAGTGGTGTAGTACAGTGATTAAAAAAGCAGACTGCCTGGGTTTGAATCCTGGCTTCCTAACTTGCATACCTTCATGACCTCGGGCAAGTCCTTTATCCTCTCATCCCTCAGTTTCCTCAACCATACAAATGGGGATAATTAATGATACATATTTGTAGGGTTATGAGAATTGAATGAGTTCGTACTTTTTTTTTTTTTTTTTTTTTGAGCTGGAGTCTCCCTCTGTCCCCAGGCTGGAGTACAGTGGTGTGATCTTGGCTCACTGCAACCTCCACCTCCTGGGTTCAAGTGATTCTCCTACCTCAGCCTCCCAAGTAGCTGGAATTACAGGCGCACACCACCATGCCCGGGTAATTTTTGTATTTTTAGTAGGGATATGGTTTCACCATGTTGGCCAGGGTGGTCTTGAACTCCTGACCTCAGGTGATCTGCCCGCCTTGGCCTCCCAAAGTGCTGGGATTATAGGCGTGAACCACCTTGCCTGGCAAGTTCATACTTATTAACATTCTATTTGCTATGAACGGTGGCTGGCACATTGTAGGCACTATGGAAGTACATTACATAAATGCAGAATTACTTTTATAGTCAGAAAGTGTAGACCAGCCTGGGTAACATAGTGATACCCCATCTCTACAACAAATGAAAAATTAGCCTGGCATGGTGACCTGCACCTGTGGTCCCAGCTACTCAGGAGGCTGAGGCGGGAGGATCGCTTGAGCCCAGGAGGTTGAGACTGCAGTGAGCTGTAATCATGCCACTGCACTCCAGCCTGGGTGACAGAGGGAGAACCTGCTTAAAAAAAAAAAAAAAAATCACAGAAGGGCTCTTTGGGGGCAGCAAGTTCAGCCAGTGCTCATGAATAACCCACATCAGTGGACCCTGCCCCTCCCTTTTCCCCCACTGTGGGGCCCAGGGCAGGGACTGTCCCTGAATGCCACCCACTCACTCTTCCGGTCCTGCTTTAGCACTCAGGCTAAATCCAAACAGGCTGTAAACAAATCTGCCTCCAAGGATTATTTGAAAAACATTTCCGGCCGGGTGCGGTGGCTTACACCTGTAATCCCAGCACTTTGGGAGGCCGAGGCGGGTGGATCACGAGGTCAGGAGTTCAAGACCAGCCTGGCCTGGTCACAGATGTGTGACCACACCCAGCTAATTGCCCAGGCTGGTCTGGAACTCCTAGGCTCAAGTGATCCTCTTGCTTCAGCTTCCCAAAATGCTGAGATTAGAGGCATGCGCCACCACGCCTGCCCGCCCTGTGATGTTTTCCCCCATGAAGCACAGGCTGAAACCTGGGTCACTAATTTCTCCAGGAACAGGCCAGGCAGAGACCAGACACCCTGACATTCGGTTTGCTAACCTGCCTCCTTGAAAGCACAGGCCTGCTTGCCATCTGGCTCGTGGAAATACTGAAAAGAGTTTCAGGACCCTCAGGACCACCATTGCGGACCTATGGGGGCCCAGGACTCCCCCAAATAAGGAACAGCTGTTTGAGAGCAAGTATCATCCCCGGGACATTTGGATGTGTGCCTGAGGGTGTCACGCACCATCCTGCCACCAAGTGTCTTTCAGAGCGGGGAGGACTTGGCGAGGAAGCCCCTGTCCTTGCCAGCCCCGTGATGTGGGAAGACTCTGAGATGTATGCGGCTGCTGCTACCCACTTGGGTCATGCACTCACCTTTTCAGCATTTCCTGACCTGAGCGCTCCTCTGCAGAAGCCTGTGGCCACTGGTGCCAGGAGGAAGACTGTGGGGTGGGGAGGCAAGATGTGGATTTTGGGTAAAAGGTCTTTTAATAAGGGGCAAAGAATTCGAGCTCATTCCTTACTTCACAGGGGCAGCAGCCTGTGGGGAATGAGTCACTGGGCTCAGAGCTGAGCGAAGGCTCCAGGGAGAAAGGCTACCACGAGGCTGTAGCCAGGGCTTCCTCAGAGGAGCCCCCCCGCCCCCACCAACCTTCAGAGAACACTCTGCTCCCCCTGTGCCCTCCTGGCTCCAAAATGACCACCTTGAAGGAAAAACCGGGTCACTAATTTTTCCCGGAACAGGCCAGGTGGAGACGGAATTCAGGAACACCCCTGGGGCACCGCGTGGGCTGGTTCTGGAATTCGTTGCCCTTGGGATTTTTTTCTTCAGTGATTTGTATCAGTTCCTCTTCAGAGCCAATCATTAACCTCGCTGAGAACCCTTGCTTGAGAAGCCACAGGAACAAGTGGCTGGTTGAGGCTGGAAATGTGGAGGTGGCTCCATGGTGCACCCAAATCTTCCGCTTCCCCAGACAGAGGAGCTGAGTTCTCAGTCATGGCCTGGCCAGGGTCCCCTGGCAGGGTCTCGGCCTGGATTCAGCCTCTGGTCGCATGGCAGAGGCCTGGATATGGACGTAGCCCCTCTGCTGTGAGCAGTGCTACCTTCTGGGAGCTGAGTGGGTTGGTGATGGCTGGGGATGGGGGAGCAGCTTTCAGCAGCACTCAGCAGGGTGGAGGGGGTTTAAGGTTTACTCACCCGCGATAGTGTCACACCCCCTCTGGGCTGTAAAACACCAGCTGAGTGAGCAGCTCTGCTCTGGGCAGCAGCCCCACCCCTGCCTGGGCTTGGGTCCCCAGCCCAACATTTTTGGATCTGAGGTAGGCCTGGGCTCCTCCAGTTTAACCTCTCAGGCGACAATGAAGCCACTCAGACAGCCCACCCGTACCCCAATCCAGCTGGCGCCACCTCTCAGTCTGACCACCTGGCCCAAACCTTGCCCCCTCTCAGACGACAAGGCCTTTGGCACAGGCCCCAGTGCCAAGCGGCCAAGACCAGCCTGGAGAACCAAGGCCAGAGGACGCTGCTGGGATGGGGTTTGGGAGTGGGCTGTGCACCGCAGTCAGGAATCCCCCACCCACAAGGCCACGGGACTGTCCCCAGTGCCTGGGGGAACTCTAGCCGGATTAGAGCCCTCCTGTGGCTGTGGCGAGAAAGGGTCGCCTGCGTTTTGGGAGGTGGGATGGCGCAGGGCCGGGAACCGTCCTGGCGCGCCAGCCAGCGCTTAGATAAGTCCAGGTTTATTTATGGGGTGCTGTCACGGGCGGCGCGGGCTCCGGGCGCCGCTTGAGCGTGGCCGAGGCGCCGCTGCTGACCATGACCGCGGGGTAGAGCGGCTCGAGGAAGGCTGCCAGGAAGCGGTAGAAGAGGCTGGCGCCACCCGCCAGGCCGTAGAAGGACAAGCCGCCGGCGTCGCAGTCGAGCGCCACGCCCAGCGTGCGGTGGTAGGCGCCGTGCAGCACGGTCTGCGCGTTGTCGTCCCACTCCAGGCACCACGAGAAGGGGTTGCGGCCCAGCAGGTAGACCACGCTGCGGCTCGGGCGGCCGCCGAGCGGGGAGCTGCGGGGGTAGGTGACGCCCAGGCACACCCACGAGTTGGACACCTCCACCTCCCGTCCTAGTGGCGGCCCTCGGACAGGCCGCGCGAGCACAGCATCTGCGGTCACTGCTTGAAGCCCGGGAAGGGGCCGCCCCCTGTCAGGGGCTCCAGGAGGATCCCCAGGTTCAGCACCCAGCGGGTCTCCTAGAGCTGGAACAGCTCGTCGCCGGCGGTGGCGGGGTCAAAGTTCAGGTTGCAGTAACCTGGCGGGTGGAGGTGGGGAAGCAGGGTCAGCAGCCTCCAGGGCAGGACGCTGGCTTGCAAGGCATTTGCATACAAGTCAGGGGATGCTTCCACCCACGCTCCTGTCCCCAAACTCAGCCCGCTGCTCAGACACAGCCTGGAGGGTGAGTGGGTGCTGCCCCAGGTCGCCCTCCTCCCCCGCCATCAGACCCTAACATCGTCTCCCTTTGTATTTGTTCAGGCACACAAGACTGAGTGGGGGCCCAGCGAGGTGGCTCACGCCTGTAATCCCAGCACTTTGGGAGGCCAAGGCGGACGGATCACTTGAGGTCATGAATTCAAGACCAGCCTGACCAACATGGTGAAACTCCATCTCTAATAAAAATACAAAAAAATTGGCAAGACATGGTGGCAGGCACCTGTAGTCCCAGCTACTCGGGAGGCTGAGGCAGGAGAATCACTTGTACCCAGGAGGGGGAGGTTGCAGTGAGCCGAGATGGCGCCATTCCACTCCAGCCTGGGAGACAGAGCGAGAGTCTGTCTCAAAAAAAAAAAAAAAAAAAAAAGGCCAGGCGCGGTGGCTCACGCCTGTAATCCTGTAATCCCAGAACTTTGAGAGCTGGTTAAAGAAGCTGAGGCCCATGTCCAGCAGCCGCATCCAGAGCTCAGCCAGGGTCTCTGGCAGCTGGGGGAAGCTCTGCGTTTCCTCACAGTTGATGCCCATCAGGGGTTCCATGCAGGCTGAGAACTGCTTCAGTCGGAGGAACCCCTGGATGCAGGGAGGGGCCAGAGGTACCACCTGTTAGCCAGGACCTAGGCCGATGCCACAGGCCCAGAGGCCTCCAGAACCATGGGCCGGTGGAGCAGAAGCTTCCCCTTTCCAAACCTGGGCATCTCCTTTCCCTCCTCCTAGCTATTTGGACATCAGAGGTCAGGGCTTTGCCAAGGGCTTGGCCACTGTGGCCTAGTGTGCATTAGGCAAAGGGGATTTTCAGAAAATGATGGGAGGATTTTTGTTGTGCCTTGAACTGCTTAGTAAAAGCCATTGCCAAATGCTTCCCATTGTGCACAGGGGACAAAGTGAGCAGTTGCCCTAGATGTCTGCCCAGGGTGTGATGGCAGCTTAAAGGAAGCTGGAGTTCCCAAGCACAGGGTTTGGGCAACTCCAGGCACCGTCCAGAAAAGGCTGCTGCTTGGCCCCACCCGCTACTTACAGCAGCATCAGTCCAGGCTTCAGGGCCAGGCCAGGATTGGGGAAGGAAAAGGGATTTCACGATTCTTTTTTTTTTTCTTTTTTTGAGACAGAGTCTTAGTTTGTTGCCCAGGCTGGAGTGCAATGGTGCAGTCTTGGGTCACTGCAACCTCCACCTCCTGGGCTGGAAAAGGGATTTCAATCCAGGCTATACAGATTGTTCTGGTCTCACTCTCAGCCATGATCCAGGGAAGTCTGGAGAAACTTAGGCTGTGCTAGATGCCTGGAATCCCATGTGTTCCAGGAAAACCAAGGCAGGAAAGTTAGGGTAAGGCTGAGCTCTGAAGTGGAGAAAGCCAAGGGTGTTCGTGCAAGCTCAAGACAGAAGACCTGGAATGGGGAGGCTCCCTGAGGCAGGGGAATGGACACAGTGATGCACCCTAAAGGCTGATCTGTGTGTGTGTGTGTGTGTGTGTGTGTGTGTGTGTGTGTTTTTGAGACGGAGTTTCGCTCTTGTTGCCTAGGCTGGAGTGCAGTGGCGCAATCTCCGGCTCACCGCAACCTCCGCCTCCTGGGTTCAAGCAATTCTCCTGCCTCAGCCTCCTGAGCAGTCAGGATTACAGGCATGTGCCACCACACCCAGCTAATTTTTGTATTTTTAGTAGAGACGGGGTTTCTCCATGTTTGGTCAGGGTGGTCTCGAACTGCCAACCTCGGGTGATCTGTCCGCCTCGGCCTCCCAAAGTGCTGGGATTACAGGCGTGAGCCACCGCACCCGGCTGTGTGTGTGTGTGTGTGTGTGTTTTGTGGTTTTTTTTTTTTGAGATGGAGTTGTGCTCTTGTTGCCCAGGCTGGAGTGCAATGCATGATCTCAGCTCACTGCAACCTCCGTCTCCCAGGTTCAAGTGATTCTCCTGCCTCAGCCTCCCGAGTAGATGGGATTACAGGCGCCTGCCACCAAGCCTGGCTAATTTTTGTATTTTTAGTAGAGGTGGGATTTCACCATGTTGGTCAGGCTGGTCTCCAACTCCTGACCTCAGGTGATCCGCCTGCCTCGGCCTCTCACAATGCTGGGATTACAGGCATGAGCCACCACTCCCGACCGAGATCTGATGTGTTTGTGGGTGGAGGGAGAGTGGAAGCTGCGATGGGGCCTGAGCCAGAGGCAGAGGGCTGGGACCTTGCCTGCAGACGTTGCTGGTCACTCTGGTTGATGAGCAGGGTGTGGAGCCAGACGCTGTCTCCTTCCAGCTTCAGGAGCCGGTTGTGGCTCTGCTGGATGGAGCTGCTCAGCATCCCCAGGGCGGCTGCTTCCTCTTTCTCCACGAAATCCAAGATCTGCATCTGCAGCTGTTTGACCTCCTGATGATCTCCGAGAAGTGGGTGTTCGCCTCACCTCGCATTGTCTGGATCAGTTCCTGGAGGTTGTGGGGTGTGTAGAGAGGCGTCCGTGAGCTCCACTCCAGCACCACCACTGTCACAGCCCGGAGCCCACCTAGGCATCCTGTCCCTGACTGCCTGGTCCCATGCCATCCACTCAGAGTCCTGGGAGGTCCCTGCAGCCTGATGCAGGGCACTGGGGAAGCCTGGGCCTGGGGTGGGGTGGGCCAACCTTACTGAGAGAAAGGCCACCCGACCCTGGTGCTTTTGGCCGTCAGCAGCGATGATCAGCATCTGCTTCCCCACAGTGTCCTGGACCTTTTGAACCTCGACCTGGGGTAAGGTGTTGGGGGAGAGGAGGAGGGGCCCCTGATTCAGAGAGGTGGCCTCAGAGAAGCCCTACTGCAAACAGGCCCATGTCCGAGCCCAGAAGAGACATCCCTCATTCATTCTTCTGCTCAGCTTAATGAGAATGAGGGTGCAGTGCTGGATGGCCCACGGCCTAGCCCTCTGCTTGGAGGGCTGCTCCCACTCCCTGAGAGCCTGTCTCTAATTCGAAGGAATCAGGTTATTTGCTCCTAACAGTGATGATCATAGGGTTTCAGGCCACAGGAAAGGGCCTTGGAGAGCTCAGGAGGCAGCAGGGCCAGAAGGGGCATAGCAGGTATACAGCCGTGTGGGCGCCCTGCGGCAGTGCTGCCAGGCCCAAGTCCCACATAAGCCTTTAGTCTCCACCTATCCCAGCAACGGGGATTTTCATTGTTATATTACACAACAGTGCAATTCCAAGTGCTGTCCATGAACCACTGCTGGCTCTTAGCAACATAAGAAGCTCATGCCAGGTTGTAAATCAATGTAGTCCTTCCTTCACTGACAAAGTCTTTTTTTTTTTTTTAAGGCAGTGTCTCGCTTTGTCCCCCAGGCTGGAGCACAGTGGTGCAATCTCAGCTCACTGCAACCTCTGTCTGCCTCCCTGGCTGAAGCCATATTCCCAGCTTAAGCCATCTTCCCACCTCAGCCTCCTGAGTAGCTGAGGCTACAAAATCTTGCAATGAAAAAAGTGTCAGCCGGGTGAGGTGGCTCACGCCTGTAAATCCCAGCACTTTGAGAGGCCCAGGGGGGCAGATCACTTGAGGTCAGGAGATCGAGACCATCCTGGCCAACACGGTGAAACCCCGTCTCTACTAAAAATACAAAAATTAGCTGGGTGTGGTGGCGCGCGCCTGTAATCCCAGGTACTCAGGAGGCTGAGGCAGGAGAATAGCTTGAACCTGGGAGGCAGAGGTTGCAGTGAGCCAAGATCACCCCATTGCACACCAGCCTGGGCGACAGAGCAAGACTCCATCTCAAAAAAAAAAAAGTATATATATATATAGGCCGGGCGTGGTGGTGCATGCTTGTAATCCCAGCTAATTGGGAGGCTGAGGCAGGAGGATTGCTTGAACCTGACAGGTGGAGGTTACAGTGAGCTGAGACTGAGTTACTGCCATCCAGAGACTCAAAATAAATAAATAAATAAATAAATAAATAAATAAATAAATAAATATGTATATATATATATATACAGTATATTAAACACAATTTGGTTTTTTTTTTTTTGAGACAGAGTCTCACTCTGTTGCCCAGGCTGGAGTGCAGTGGTGCAGTCTTGGCTCACTTCAACCTCTGCCTCCCGGATCAAGCGATTCTTGATTCTCATGCCTCAGCTACTTGAGTAGCTGTGATTACAAGCGTGCGGCACCACGTCTGGCTAATTTTATTTTTTTTGGTATATTTTAGTAGAGACGGGGTTTCACCATGTTGGCCAGACTCGTCTTGAACTCCTGGCCTCGAATGATCTGCCTGCCTCGGCCTTCCAAAATGCTGGGATTACGGGTGTGAATCACGGCTCCCAGCCTTAAACACAATTTGAAAATGGAGGCGACCTGGCACCAGTGCTCACGCCTGTAATCCCAGCACTTTGGGAGGCTGAGGCAGGCAGATCACCTGAGGTCAGGAGTTCAAAATTAGCCTGGCCAACATGGTGAAACCCCGTCTCTACAAAAAATACAAAAATTAGCTGGGCGAAGTGGCAGGTGCCTGTAATCCCAGCTACTTGGGAAGTTGAGGCAGGAGAATTGCTTGAACCCAGGAGGCAGAGGTTGCAATGAGTTGAGGTCGTGCCATTACACTCCAGATTGGGCGACAAGAGAGAAACTCCATCTCAAAAAAAAAAGAAAGGAAAATGGAGGAAAGGGGGAGAGTCACACAACCTAAAGTGATGCGCTTGGATTTTGATATGTTGATAGAGGTTTCATACATACAATTCTGAATCCTTATTTAACTCACTAGTACTTTTTATGCCACAACATGACCCTGGTGACCATGACTTTAATAGCTGCTTAATTTTCTTCCAAGGAAATGTGAACAAAATAATGTCTTCATTTAGAAATATGACTGATGGGGGCTTGGCAGGGATTACTAGGCTCCGGAAGAGGCTGTGTTATCTTCCAGCCCAACTGTCCACATTTAGAAGTGACAACATTCATGAACTAAGTCAACATCCACCAAAAATAACATAAGATAAAGCTCACCGTTTTGGAACATGAAAATGACACACACAGACCTCACCCACCAATCTCTAAGCTGGGACAACAAACGCTTGCATTTAAACTTCTCTAAAATGTCAAATTAGCATATTCTTTCCCTCCATGTAAAGTTTCAATAAACTTGACTCAATCTGCCTTTATTTTAAAAACCTTACAAAAGATGTATTTAAATCCTTGAAAAAATTAACTTTAGGCTGGATGCGATGGCTCAGGCCTGTAATCCCAGCACGTTGGGAGGCCAAGGTGGGCGATCACATGAGGTTAGGTGTTCGAGACCAGCCTGACCAACATGGTGAAACCCTGTCTCTACTAAAAATACAAAATTAGGCAGGCATGGTGGCACATGTCTGTATCCAAGGTACTCAGGAGGCTGAGGCAGGAGAATCACTTGAACCCAGGATGTGGAGGTTGCAGTGAGCCGAGATAGTGCCATTGCACTCCAGCCTGGGCAACAAGTGTGAAACTCTGTCTCAAAAAAAAAGAAAAATTAACTTTATACTGTGTGCACAAATAAATTTCTCTTATACAGCTAAATATGGTTACATACTTTGTTTAAAAAAATTTTTTTTCCACTAATGACACTTCACATGTATTTCTACATAAACTATCTTTCTATTCTTCTGGGAATGTGTCCTAAGAGCTGACAGACGGACGGTTGAAAATACCCTCACACGGCTGGGCACAGTGGCTCAGGCCTGTAATCCCAGCACTTTGGGAAGCCGAGGCAGGTGGATCACCTAAGGTCAGGAGTTTGAGACCAGCCTGGCCCACATGGCAAAAACCCGTCTCTACTAAAAATACAAAAATTAGCCGGGTGTGGTGGCGGGCGCTTGTAATCCCAGCTACCTCGGGAGGCTGAGGCAGGGGAATCGCTTGAACCTTGGAGGTGGAGGTTGCAATGGGCCAAGATGGTGCCACTGCACTCCAGCCTGGGCAACAGAGCAAGACTCCATCAAAAAAAAAAGAGAGAAAGAGAGAGAAGGAAAGAAAGAAAGAGAGAAAGAAAGAAAGAGAAAGAAAGAAAGAAAGAAACAGAAAGAAAGAAAGGAAGGAAGAAAGAAGAAAGAAAGAAAGAAAGAAAGAAAGAAAGAAAGAAAGAAAGGCCTCAACCACCCAGGCTCAAGCAATCCTTTTACCTCAGCCTCGAAAGAAAGAAAGAAGGAAGGCAGGCAGGCAGGCAGGCAGGCAAGCAAGCAAGCAAGCAAGCAAGCCTTGACCTTCCAGGCTCAAGCAATCCTTTCACCTCAGCCTCCCAAGTACCTGGGTTTATAGGTATGAGCCACCTCTCCTGGCCAAGCATATATTTTTTTCTTTTTTTGAGACAGGGTTTCTCACTCTGTTGCCCAGGCTGGAGTACAGTGGCACAATCATAGCTCCCTGCAGCCTCGAATACGATCCACCTGCCCCGGCCTCCCAAAGGGCTGGGATTACACAAATGAGCTACCACATCTGGCCGATATTTTATTTTTATTTATTTATTTGTTTTTGAGACAGAGTCTCACTCTGTTGCCCAGGTTGGAGTGCAGTGGCGTGATCTTGGCTCACTACAACCTCCACCTCCCGGGTTCAAGTGATTCTCCTGCCTCTGCCTCCTGAGTAGCTGGAATTACAGGCACCTGCCGCCATGCCTGGCTCATTTTTGTATTTTAGTAGAGACGGGGTTTCACCATATTGGCTGGGCTTGTCTCGAACTCCTGACCTCAGGTGATCTGCCCACCTTGCCTTCCCAAAGTGCTGGGATTACAGGCGTGAGCCACCACGCCCGGCCCCAGTCTTTTTTTTTTTTTAATTGGGCAGTCCTCTGAATCAGAGTAAGTTCAGAAAGATTCTAGGAAAACCATGATCTTAATGAAAGTATTTAAGTAAAAATTAAAATGAAAATATAAAACTTAGAAGCAATTTAATTGCCCTGTATAGAAAATTGATCAAGGAATTAATCTGGCTTCATGGAGTAACAGTTTACTCCAGGGGAAAGCTTTACTGATGAAAATCTTTCTGTGTGGTATGACTCTTATTAAAAATTTAGCTCTGTGCTGCCACCTGGGCTTTATGGCTGGGGAGATCCAGTGATACTGAAATTATCTCCTGCCAGTACAGATGCTGTATCAGAGCCTCCTGCAAGTCCCAACTGGACTGTGGCCATGCAGAACTCCAGGGTTCTGGGCAGGTCCATGTCCTCTTTTGCAAGTAACTATTTCACTGGGCCCTGACCGAGATGGAACACCTAGTTCATGGGACATCAAGTGACCCTGTGGCCTGAGCTGCCCGTCACCAACTAGGTGTTGTGTATTACACCAACCGAATTAGGAGTAATTAACAAAAATTTTTTTCTTTTGTAGAGACAGGTCTTGCTATGTTGCCCAAGATGGTCTTGAACTCCTGGCCTCAAGCAATCCTCTCACCTCAGCCTCCCAAAGTGCTGGGATTACAGGTGTGGGCCATGGTAACTGGCCAATTTTTTTTTTTTTTTTTAAGAGACAGGTTCTGGCTGGGCATAGTGGCTCACGCCTGTAATCCCAGCACTTTGGGAGGCCGAGCCGGGTGGATCACGAGGTCAGGAGATCAAACCATCCTGGCCAACATGGTAAAACATTGTCTCTACTAAAAATACAAAAATTAGCTGGATGTGGTGGCACACGCCTGTAATCCCAGCTACTCGGGAGGCTGAGGCAGGAGAATCGCTTGAACCTGGGAGGCGGAGGTTGCAGTGAGCCTAGATGATACCATTGCACTCCAGCCTGGGCAACAAGAGTGAAACTCCGTCTCAAAAAAAAAAAAAGAGAGACAGTGTCTCACTCTGTCTCTCAGGCTAGAGGGCACAGCTCACTGCAGCTTTGAAATCCTTGGCTCAAGTGATCCTCCCACCTCAGCCTCCTGAGTAGCTGGAACTACAGGCATGTGTCACCACGCCTGGCTAATTAAAAAAAAAATTTTATAGATGGGGCCTATGTTGCCCATCCTGGTCTTGAACTCCTGGCCTCAAGCAGTCCTCCCACTTCAGCTTCCCAAAGTACTGGGATTCCAGGTGTGAGCCTGGCAATTAGGAGCAATTAACATAGCTCAGAAATAGTGACTGTCTCTGAGACAGGGATACAATGACTTGGCACTTCGTGTTTATTTTGGAGGGAAGGAGAGATTATTTTTGCTTGTAGAAGGGTAGTTGTATCTTGTTCCATGGAGGCATGAAGTTGTTTTTTCACCACGTTTTTTTTTCTTTTTTTCCGAGTCGGAGTTTCGCTCTTGTTGCCCAGGATGGAGCGCAATGGCATGATCTCGGCTTACTGCAACCTCTGTCTCCTGAGTTCAAGCGATTTTCCTGCCTCAGCCTCCAGAGTACCTGGGATTACAGGCACCCGCCACCACGCATAGCTAATTTTTTTTTTTTTTTTTTTTTGAGACGGAGTCTCGCTCTGTCGCCCAGGCTGGAGTGCAGTGGCGCGATCTTGGCTCACTGCAAGCTCCACCTCCCGAGTTCACGCCATTCCCCTGCCTCAGCCTCCCGAGTAGCTGGGACTACAGGTGCCCACCACTACGCCCAGCTAATTTTTTGTATTTTTAGTAGAGACAGGGTTTCACCGTGTTAGCCAGGATGGTCTCCATCTCCTGACCTCGTGATCCACCCGCCTTGGCCTCCCAAAGTGCTGGGATTACAGGCGTGAGCCACCGCGCCCAGCCTAATTCTTTGTATTTTTAGTAGAGACGGGGTTTCATCATGTTGGCCAGGCTGGTCTCAAACTCCTGACCTCAAGTGATCCACCTGCCTTGGCCTCCCAAAGTGCTGGGATTATAGGCATGAGCCACCACACCCAGCATTTTTCACCATCCTATGCAAGTTCAAGTATGTGCAGAAGCATGTACATGTGAGGGGAACCAAACAGGTGGACTGAGCCAGTCACCACATTGTTGTCTCTCAGCCCCAAACCCACCCTCTGAACTCTGCTCCGAGCCACATTTTCCCCCTCCTAGCTCAACCTGGTAGGACAGGCTGAGGGAGACTGCAAGACGAGAGAAAAAAAGGAGGGACGATGTATTTCCTGTTGTGAGCCAAACCACAGAACACTGCTGTGTGCTGGCATAGCTGATTCCAGGAGTGGTGCTGGTTTCTTGGTGGTTTCTCTACCCTCTGAGAGGCAGCAGCTGCCACTGGCCAGCACGTCCTTCTCCATTGGTCCCCTCCTCTTGAATCTCCATTTTATTTTGAGACACAATCTCTGTCACCCAGGTTGGAGTGCAGTGGTGTGATCTCAGCCCACTGCAACCTCCACCTCCCGGGTTCAAGCAATTCTCGTGCCTCAGCCACCCAAGTAGCTGGGATTACAAGCATGTGCCACCATGCCCGGCTAATTTTTGTATTTTTAGTAGAAACAGGGTTTCACCATGTTGGCCAGGCTGGTCTCAAACATCTGACTTCAAGTGATCTGCCTGCCTCGGCCTCCCAAAGTGCTGGGATTACAGGTGTGAGCCACCACACTTGGCCTTATTTTATTTTTAGATTTAATTTTACATAGAGACAGAGTCTCACCACGATGCCCAGGCTGATCTCACACTCCTGGGCTCAAGCAATCCTCCCAGCTTGGGCCTCCCAAAGTGCAGGTGAATCTTTTTTTTTTTTTTTTTTTTTTGAGACTGAGTCTCGCTCTGTCACCAGGTTGGAGTGCAGTGGCGTGATCTCTGCTCATTGCAACCTCTGCCTCCCGGGTTCAAGCCATTCTCCTGCCTCAGCCTCCCGAGTAGAGTAGCTGGGATTACAGGCACCTGCCACCATGCCCAGCTAATTTTTATATTTTTAGTAGAGACGGGGTTTCACCATGTTGGCCAGGATAGTCTAGATCTCCTGACCTCGTGATCCGCTCGCCTCGGCGTCCCAAAGTGCTGGGATTACAGGCGTGAGCCACTGCGCCCAGCCCTTTTATTTTTTTGAGGCGGAGTTTTGCTCTTGTTGCCCAGGCTGGAGTGCAATGGCGTGCTCTCGGCTCACCACAACCTCCACCTCTCAGGTTCAAGTGATTCTCCTGCCTCAGCCTCCCGAGTAGCTGGTCCGGCTAATTTTGTATTTTTTAGTAGAGATGGGGTTTCTCCACGTTAGTCAGGCTGGTTTCGAACTCCTGACCTCAGGTGATCCGCCTGCCTTGGCCTCCCAAAGAGCTGAGATTACAGGTGTGAGCCACCGCGCCCGGCCAAATCTCCACTTTAATAATCCCAATGTCTTCCCACTGTTCTCAGGTCCCAGGAGTGAGGACTGCACCCTGCAATCCCTACATTGTGATGCCTCAGTGTCCACTCCTGCCCTTTCCTTTCTCCACTACCAGTTAACAACTGCTGTGGTCTCAATTGGACCCTGACGGATGCACCCACGCATCCTGTTCACTAAGCTGTATGAGTCCATTTTGTCTCCCTACCTGAAAGTGCTGTCTGGAAGGGACTAACACCTTCTGAGTTTCCCATGCCCCGCCTGATGCTGAAGTGATCAATACTTGTTTGTTGGTTGTCACCAAACGTTCCTCACTCATCCTCTTCCTTGTACCTAGTCACTCACTCTCTTCCAGAAAGACTTGTCCCTTAAAAACCATCTCACGGCCGGGGATGGTGGCTCATGCCTGTAACCCCAGCACTTTGGGGGGCTGAGGCGGGAGGATCACCTGAGGTCGGAGTTCGAGACCAGCCTGGCCAACACAGCAAAATACTGTCTCTACTAAAAATACAAAAATTAGCCAGGCGCGCAGGCAGGCGCCTGTAATCCCAGCTACTCAGGAAGCCGAGGGAGAATTGCTTGAACATGGGAGGCAGAGGTTGCAGTGAGCCGAGATTGCACCACTACACTCTAGCCTGGGTGACAGAGCGAGACTCCATCTCGGGGAAAAAAAAAAAAAAAAAAAATCTCACACTCCTCCCCTTGTCTCTTTCCAGCTCTCTGGTGGGCAGCCCATCCGTCCCACCTTCTGTTTCTCTGCATTCTCTGGGTCTTTTCAGATTCAGTAAAATGAAAGGGAGGAGGGAGAAGGCCCAACACCCCCTTTGGTGGTTTCAGTAGCAGGAGAAAAGGACTTAGTCAGCTGTCCTGGTAGGAAAGGTAGTTAAGTCATCTCCTGAAACCCATGTGAGAACCATCGACAGGAAGTGACAGTGGGAACCAGGAGACTGCAGTAATGGAAAACACACCACAGTTCTTGAGATTCAGAAGTTTCATATCTTTATTCACACAAAAAAAGTCACAGCATTTCAGACTATTCAAACACACAAACAGGAACAGAGGGTGCCCACCAGTGACAGCCTCGTCCCTAAGTCTGGATCAAAGGCCACGCTGGAGGGTGGGGTGTCCTCTCGGGCCTCCTCTCTCAGCATCCCGTGGCTCCCTGCTCCCAGCCTCACTGACATCCCCAAGAGCAGTTACAACTGTGCAGAAACAAAGTCACTTTAGAGGAGGCTGGGCCCCACCTCATTGCCATGGAAAAAGGCCAGATTCTGAGGAAAAGACAGAATCAGTGCTACTGTGTCATCAGTTGGGGGATGCTGGGCACTCCTGGGCCTGGCTGGCATCACCTGCGTCCCAGACCTGGGGCAGAGAAAAAGGCAGGACCCTCCCCACTTGGCAGTACTGGGCAGCAGAGAGTGTGGGTCACTGGTCACGTGACAGCCCCAAACTGCCACGCAGACCTCTCTGATGTGATCAGCCAGACACTCAGAGGGCACAACGCTTTCAAGCAAGAACACCAGCCTGGTTCCTAAAGGGGGTGGGTGAACAACGCTCCCAGAAATCTTAAGAACCCAGAGTCCTGGAGCGCTGGAACAATACAGGTGTCATTGGGTTGCAGCGAGGAGGGAAACTTGGTGAACACCAGCCCTCCGAGAGGGCGGAAATACCACTCCTGTCTATTTCCCAGAGCACGTGCCTGTGCCTTGGGGCTCAAGAGCAGTCTTTTCATGGCGGCAACTATGGAATCTAAGAGGAATGAAGGAAACGGCGCCCTCAGGAGGTGCTCAACATTGGTGTCTGACCCCCAGGCCTCCTTGCTGAACCTGGTGAGAAAGCTGGGGTTGGTCTAGGAGCTCCAGCCCACGCTGATCAGGCATGCCCCAGGAAAGCAGACAGGGACAAGCGCCTCAACGAGACTGGGCACAAGGCCGCAAACCAAGCTGCTTTTCCTCTGTCAGTCTGATGTTACTCATTGGACCTGGCCAAGGAGCGCCTCTTCCAAAGTCCTCCATCCTACCCGGCTCAGAGCAGTCCTTCCCGTGATCACTACTTTCCTTGGCTACATCTAACTTTTTTTTTCTCTGAAAGATACGACTGGATGGATGCCTGTGACTCTTGAAGGGGTGGCTGCTTTTACTGAGGACGGCAGTTCATCTAACACTTTACAGCTGTAAAATGTGGCGCATAGGTGTGTAGACGTTGATGTGTCAGCAGAAACCCCTGTATACCGGGTTCTATGCTATGCTACAGATACAGAGAAACAAGGAGACTGAGGGTCCTAGGGAAAAGTTATGCCATCTGGGCATGGTCAGGTCAGAAGCTCAAAAGACATTTGGCACAGTCTGCAGTCATTTCCAGAAACTACTACCCAGACGTACCTTGGCAAGCAGGTGAGCTGTGGAGCACACAGGACATCACTTCTGAAGGTGCCCAGGAGCACCTGGCTCGAGGAGGCTTTCATAGAAGGAGAAGTCCCCAGAGCCCCTTCCCTTTCTCTGTGCCATCTGCCATACTACTGAAAGTTATTCGGGGCAGACAGGGTCCCCTGGCTCTACCGCATTCCATGACTGCTCAGCGAGACCCACATGCTCGGAGAGAAAGTGTGGACACAAACTCTGTGGATGCAGCCCGAAAGAGGGTGCTGCCGCATCCGGATCCTCGCCAGCATGGCACTCCAGAAAAGAAAGTAATGGCGGGGGTCAGGGGGGTGGTCAGAGACACAGGGGGTCCCCAGACTGCCTAGCACATACATACATACCACTGGGGACAGTACAGAGGGGAGCAGGTCCGCCAAGGTTAGAAACCAAGAGACACAAATATTGCACATTCAGTCAAGGCATTTCCAAGAGAGTCACAGAAATAACTCTCTCTGAGACACAACATAACACATTTGGCAACTTTCAAAGAAACAGCCTTCCCCACTCCAAGCCATCAAAGGGTCCATAAGTGCCTTCATCTTTGGTCCAGTTGAAAAAGCCAGGGAAGGAAGACAGGGTCAATGGGGAGTAAGAAGAGGCTGCAGGTGCAGTTCCTACAGCTCCCACTTGTCTGACTCAGTGCAGGATGCCGCCTGTCTCAAACCTCTTCTTGGAGGGAAAACAAGCTCTCCAGAGGGTCCCGGCTGCTGGAGAAAGGTGAGGCAAAGCTGCATGTGGTGGCAGCCGGGAGCCCCAAATCCAGAGCAATGATCACCAACCTCCAACCACAACAAAGGACACCCCATCCTCCCTTTCCTTGGAGGCTCTATTCATGGGAATGCGGGGTACTCTGGCAACTCTATGCTTTACCTAAAACCTCAATTCGACAAACTGCAGCTAGAACCCTTTGCATCTGCTGCACGTCTTGGAGGGTGCATAGGAGGGACGGTGTTCCGAAGCAGCTGCTAACGTCCATTGTGGCACACATAGGGTGAAACCATGGCACGGCACGGGAACAATCCTCTTGGCTCCAGCGTCCTTAAAGTACAGGCCATTTCCAAGGAGCTAGGCCTTCCGCCCTCATCCCCCAGATCCCCGAAAGGCTCCGACTGGGAACCCAGCCCAGCTGCTGTTGTAAAGATCTGTTCTAATACTGGCTAAGCAAATGAAAGCAGGTTTCTGAAAAGGTATTCTGCAGCCAGAAGTCGCACTGTCTTCGGAGTCCTGCAGGTGGGGAGGGAGTTCCTTTAGTTTTGACCAGAACACTTCTTCACAGGGGGCCAGGATCAGCTGTGCTTTGCAGTGGCTCGGTCACTGGACAGGAGTGAGGTTTCACTTCACAGAGGGGCTCTGCTGACTGCTCTCCTGAAGGTCTGGAGTTTTCGGGGTCTTAGTTTACATCCGCGATCCTCTCTCCTGAAGAATCTGAAAGTTGGAGATGGGGGAGAGGCTGAGGCTGCTGAGGGAAAGACAGAGATGTCGGGGGATGCTTTCCACTGGACCCGATGAGTGGCATGATGGTCCTGTCATCCCAGGAAGCAAGCAGGGGTGCAGCCGCAGCCTCACCCGCAGTGCTTCTGGTGCGAAACACTCTCTTGCTGGGCACAGCTGGGTCTAAAGCTTATATGCTGTTGGACCAAAGCTTTGCCAACTGAAAGGAAGTGGTTCCAGCTTACCTGGTATCCACGATTTAGAAGCTGTGTGTGTGTGTGTGTGTGTGTGTGTGTGTGTGTGTGTGTGTGTTGGGGGTGAGGGGGGTGCACAGTGGAGGGAAAAGAAACAGTTTTCCAGGAACTTAAGGGAGGTAAAGGTCACCAAGGTAAGAAAACACCCTTTTCTCCTGAGGCAGTGAAAAAAGCACAGTTTTAAAGAATAAATCAAAATACCTTCCAAGTCTGAGTTCAGAAATCCTACCCTGTAGTAATTAGTGGCAACCAGCTTTTCTTTTTCATTGATTTGGCAGAGGATGGAGAAAGTCTACCCTTTTTAGGTTCATATTTTCTAACTAAAAACACCTGTCAGTGCTCCGTAAATCCCAATTAAATTACAACAGTCAAAAATAACAAAACGAGGGGAAAATGCAACGCTGGCTCTAGAAGGCCAGGGAAGAAGTGAGGAGCAAGAGTTCAGGAAAAGCCCACGGAGGGGGTGCGAACAAGCAAGCCAGAGGCAACTGCCCAGGGAAGGGGCTCCTTACCTTCGCCTTTTCGCTCGGCTCTATGACGATGCCATTGGTAGAATTATTTAGTTCTCTGGAGACAACACAGAGGAATTCTGCCTGATCCTCATTGCCGTAGTTATAGGAAGATCCGATGCTGATGAGCTGATGAACCAAGAATACAGTGAACATTCATGTGGCAATCTTAACATACTTTCGAAAGTGCTACACAAATCACCCCTCTTCCGACTGAACTTTTAAGTTATCAAAGGTTTAACTCTTTATATGAGTTCTCTGTGACTACCAAAGCCCCCGGGGAGAAATGGGCCTGTTCTTCATCAGGGCATCATTGGTGAGGCCTCCCCAGGAGGAAGAGTATGAGCTCCACTGTCCCCTCACCCAAGCTCTGAAGTCCCCCCCCGTCAGCGGCAGGATTAACATGCCCACGCCCCGTCGAGCACAGCAAGGGAAGACAGAACGCATCTGCCAACAAAATGGACATTTGCCTCAGTCACACACACAGCTGGCTCCTCTATCAGCAGAAGCCCTAGACTGGGGACAGGAGGCTCTGGAAAGCACCGAGCCAATCACTGATCAGCTACTGGAAGTCATATGCTGCTGGTACTTTTTATTTCCAGACAGGGTCTAGCTCTGTCACCCAAGCTGGAGTGCAGTGGTGCAATCACAGCTCACTGTAGCCTCCACCTCCTGGTCTCAAGTGATCCTCCCACGTCAGCCTCCTGAGTAGCTGGGACTACAGGGACTACAGCCACCATGCCTGGCTAATTCTTTTATTTTTGATAGAGAAGGGGGGTCTCGCTATGTTGCCCAGGCTGGTCTCCGAACTCCAGGACTCAAGCAATCCTCCCACCGTGGCCTCCCAAAGTGCCGAGATTACAGGTGTGAACCACCGTGCCCAGCATGCTGGTACTTTTAACCTTTTTGGATAATAGAATTCAGAATTTAATTCTAAAGAGGAAATACACACGCAGGGGAGCAGCTCAGGCAGAGGGTGAGGGCATCCCAGTGAGCAGGCGAGGCCTCACATGGGCGGCATGGCTGACTGTGGTAGGATGGGGCTGGGGGCGCCTCCGCCTGTCTGAAACAAACTTCCTCATCCAGAAGGGAGGCAATAGGAACACCCTCCGTCTTCCCACGGGACAGTAATAAGATGAGAAATTAACAAGAAATTATTCATTTTAGTTTCACAAAGAATACATTAAAAAAATCCTTTGCTTAAGAGCTCATATTAGGAAAAATACTTCTGGAGTGGAGGGCATTAAACTCTTGGCGACGTTTTACAACCCATGCCCAGTAAGAACCAGGATGACAGACACAGGCAGAGTGGATTCCGTGGTGGAAGCTAAGTGTGAGAAATAATCACCGCTGGCTCTGAAGGCAGAGACAGCTTTGCACTTGATCTGTGAGATAACAGCATTAATGCAAAGTGTGAGTTTTCTTTTAGAAGGTAAGCATCTGGTGAGACAGCTGTTGACCTGTTAAAACTCTACACATAAGTAGGCATAATCCGTATAAAATCATATTTACTCAGGCGGTTGATCCCAGGGTGGCGAGTGGCGGCGACCGAGACCCTGAGTGCAGCCTGACCCGCCCTCGCACGCGCGCCCTCCCTGGCCGGGCCCACTCGCCACGCGCCCAGCCATGAACCTGGCGAGCCAGAGCGGGGAGGCCGGCGCCGGCCAGCTGCTCTTTGCCAACTTCAACCAGGACAACACAGAAGTGAAAAGGGCATCAAGAGCAGCTGGTCTTGGCTGTCGCGCTGTTGTCTGGTTAGTTCCAACCCTGGTTTCTGAAAGTATCACCTTGGAAGGCTTATGTTAGAGGACTTTTTTGGCTTTTTGAAATTGAAGTGAACCAGTTAATAAGTGGCAGAGGATCACTTGAATGTGAAATAGAAATATCAAGGACTACATTTTTCCAGTGGACACCACAGCTTGTGGGAAGTTAGTGATGTAGCAATGTCTGTTTTAAATGCCATGTCTAAAAGGGATGGAATGAAGAAAGGGATTTGACTTTCCAAAAAAAAAAAAAATTGTATTTACTCTATTCGCTCTGGCCTTCCTATGTTTTGAAGGCAACAGAATTTAACAAGTCTGCCATCTAATGGAGGAGAACAGTGAAGCTCCAACTGTCATAGCTTTGTTTTGATAGCTCAGTCGTAAGCACGAGGCGGAGAGAAGTAGGGGAAACGGCCGCACCACACTTCCCATGGCGCCTGATCCTTCCTAGCACAGCTGTTCACCAAGCTCTTCACGGTGGATTACATAAGACATTCAGAACCAAAAAGTTCTGACCCTGGGAAAAGAAATGGAAGGATTGTTGTCGAATCCCAGTCTCCTTTAGGGACTCATTCTACGATCCCTGTGAGGGAACAAAAACCAAAGGCTTTGAGGCACTTCAAGCCTAAACTGCTCGTTGGCTCCCCTGGAAAGTCTGCGTGTGAAGCTAAGACATGATGCTCCTCTGTTTCCCCAACTCCTCACGCACCACTAGGCCAGCAGTGCCCACCAAATGGCTCTTTGCCCATGTTTTGGAATAGGATCCCACCTGGCCGTAGCCGTCTCCCGTGGTTATTAATTGGCCATCCACACTGATTGTTTGAAGAGCTGCAGACCCCTTGAACGGGGCCTGGGATTGCTGCTCTGTTAAGAGATGTACCTGTTCGAATTTCCAGCCGTCGGACATCGTGGACACCATCTGCGTGAGCTCTTCTTCCTGACACTGCAGGACTCTGTACACGTGCTTCACGGGGCCCTGCAATGACCAGGCGCAGACTGAGAACAGCACCAAGGACACCACAGTTTGCAGCTGCCCCAAGGAGGCTCTTCAAATGAATAAACACTGAAAAGGAGTTTGCTTGGAAATCTTTTCTTGGCAGCCACCCACTATCCCCTTTTACAAATAGTACTGTGGCGTTTCTTTTTTTCCCTTCTCTTTAAAAAATGTTTTTCTTTTTAAGTGACCACAAGCCAGCATACTGTGGCTTTTCAATAAAAACATATCCAAAGAGTGAAAGAATAAAAAAGGTAAAATAATTCTGAACTTCAGAGGGATGAATGCTTGAGCAACTATGCCAACAAACTTAGATTTAATCCATTTCCCCAAGTCAAAAATAAGGTAAAATTATTATTATTTATTATTATTATAATTTTATTTATTTATTTTTGAGACGGAGTCTCGCTCTGTCGCCCAGGCTGGAGTGCAATGGTGCAATCTTGGCTCACTGCAGGCTCTGCCTCCCAGGTTCACGCCATTCTCCTGCCTCAGCCTCCCAAGTAGCTGGGACTACAGGCACCCGCCACCACGCCCGGCTAATTTTTTGTATTTTTTAGTAGAGACGGGGTTTCACTGTGTTAGCCAGGATGGTCTCGATCTCCTGACCTCGTGATCCACCCGCCTCGGCCTCCCAAAGTGCTGGGATTACAGGCATGAGCCACCGCGCCCGGCCTATTTATTATTATTTTTTAAGACACAGTCTCACTCTGTCGCCCAGGCTGGAGTACAGTGGCGCGATCTCAGCTCACTGCAACTCCGCCTCCCCGGTTCAAGCGATTCTCCCGCCTCAGCCTCCCGAATAGCTGGGATTACAGGCGCCTGCCGCTAAGCCTGGCTAATTTTTGTATTTTTAGTAGAGAAGGGGATTCACCATGTTGGCCAGGCTTGGTCTTGAACTCCTGACCTCATGATCCACCTGCCCTGGTCTCCCAAAGTGCTGGGATTACAGGCATGAGCCACCGCACCCAGCCTTATTATTATTTTTGAGATGGAGTCTCGCTCTGTTGCCCAGTCTGGAGTGCAGTGGGGTGATCTTGGCTCACTGCAACCTCCACCTCCCTGGTTCAAGCGATTCTCCTGCCTCAGCCTCCCGAGTAGCTGGGATTACAGGCATGTGCCACTACGCCCAGCTAATTTTTTATTTTTTTTTCCTTTTTTTTTTTTGAGAGAGTCTCGCTCTGTCGCCCAGGCTGGAGTGCAATGGCACCATCTCAGCTCACTGCAATCTCCGCCTCCCGAGTTCAAGCGATTCTCCTGCTTCAGCAGCCTCTTGAATAGCTGGGATTACAGCCGCCCACCACCACGCTTGGCTAAGTTTTGTATTTTTAGTAGAGACGAAGTCTCACCATGTTGGCCAGGCTGGTCTCAAACTCCTGACCTCAGGTGATCCGCCCGCCTTGGGCCCCCAAAGTGCTGGGATTACAGGCATGAGCCACTGTGCCCAGCCAATTTTTTTGGATTTTTAGTGGAGACGGGATTTCGCCATGTTGGCCAGGCTGGTCTTGACCTGAGGCGATCCACCCACCTAGGCCTCCCAAAGTGCTGGGATTACAGGCATGAGCCACTGTGTCCGGCCGACAATGCTGTATTTTTTCTTCTATGTTTTCTTCCAAAAGAGGTATAACGATCGCCGGGTGCAGTGACTCACGCCTATAATCCCAGCACTTTGGGAGACCGAGGTGGGCGGATCATCTGAGGTTGGGAGTTCAAGACCAGCCTGGCCAACATGGTGAAACCCCATCTCTACTAAAAACACAAAAAATTAGCCAGGTGAGGTGGCACGTGCCTGTAATCCCAGCTACTCGGGAGGCTGAGGCGGGAGAACTGCTTGAACCCCGGAGGCAGAAGTTGCAGCGAGCTGAGATCGCGCCATTGCACTCCAGCCTGGGCGACAGAGTAAGACTCTGCCTCGAGGAAAAAAAAAAAAAAAAAAGAGGTATAGCTATCATTAACCAAAGTACTAAGGATTTCAAAGATTTCCTTCCATATTACATATAGTACAAATCCTCTGAAGATTTTAATTGGTTGTAACCACTTATTTTGGAAACCAATTGTATAAGTACAAAATTCAGAGTATCACAAAAGATCTGTGATGTTGGCCACAGCTGTCAAAGTCCCAGGTATTTAAGATGCCATTATACTGCCTCTTTTTTCTCCCTTCCAAAGTAAACCACTTGTGCTCTCAAATGCACCAGGATCAATCACCTACAAAAAATACTATTCTAAGAAATAGGAGTCTGGGTATGGTTGCTCACGCCTGTAATCCCAGCACTTTGGGAGGCTGAGGTTGGTGGCTCGCCTAAGATCAAGAGTTTGAGGCCAGTGTGGCCAACATGGGGATACCCTGTCTCTACTAAAAATACAAAAATTAGCCGGGCGTGGTGGTGCACACCTGTAATCTAGCTACTCGGGAAGCTGAGGCAGGTGAATCGCTGGAACCCAGGAGGCAGAGGTTGCAGTGAGCTGAGATCGCATCACTGCACTCCAGCCTGGTCAACACAGCGAGACTCTGTCTCCAAAAAAAAAAAAAAAAAAAGAAAAAAGAAAAAAAAAGAAACAGAGGAAAGTAGTTAGGTGGCAGCCACTAAGAGCTAAGAGGTCATGAAACCGAAGGTAGGGTTGAGGCCCACATCTTGGGCTTGGCTTGAATCCTGCATGTGTGAGGGGCTACAGGTAAGTTCAAGGAGGTAACATGTTTGAAAATCCACACACAAAAAAATAAAGAAAAATACAAAATGAAACAAAACGAAAATCCACACACAGCCAACTTCATCTTAGAGCCACATACAACAAGTATAAAAGAGGGTGTCTTTGAATAACATCAAATCCATTTTTCAGTTTCACTACATAAAAAGGACAGATGGAAAGATAGTTAACATCAAAAAGGTCTTGACATTCCTAGAACAAAAAAGCTTCCAAAGGGGTATAAATCCACAAGCCTTCAGAATCTAGAAGACTAATTAATTTAATTGCGGTCATCAAACAGAAATCTTATAATGCTCTCCAGGAATTAGCTAATGACGAAGAAGGGAGAATGTTCAGGTACCATGACTTGAATCATTTCAAATTACATAATTCATGGTACTTTAAAATCTATAGTAAGCAATCATTTTTTTAGAATGTGGGAAACTGAGGATAAGGCTAGATTACCAAAATGTCTAAACTATTAAATATCTACAATAGTGAAAGATACCACGTAAAGGTAAGATAGCAAAGAGACTGGTGACACTGGATCACATTCCAAGTGGTAATCTGCAAACCAACTACAAAGCCACCTTTGAACATCAAAAAGGAGCCTTTGAGCTGTCAGCTAGATGGAAGAAAACTAAATGAATAAGCCCTTCTCTTCACTTTTGCAAACTGCTGGAGATAAAGTGGATAAAAGAGTTAATTTTTCATCATTAGTGTCAGTTATTCATCCAAATATTCCAGTTAGAGCCAGAAAACTTTTTTTTTTTGAGATGGAGTCTCACTCTGTTGCCCAGGCTGGGGTGCAGTGGTGCCATCTCAGCTCACTGCAACCTCTGCTATCTTAGTTCAAGCGATTCTCCTGCCTCAGCCTCCCAAGTAGCTGGGATTATAGGCGCCCGCTACCACACTCAGACAATTTTCGTATTTTTAGTAGACAGGGTTTCTTTCTTTCTTTTTTTTTTTTTAGATGGGAGTTTCGCTCCTGTTGCCCAGGCTGGAGTGCAATGGCGTGATCTCGGCTCACCACAACCTCCTCCTCCCGGGTTCAAGCCATTCTCCTGCCTCAGCCTCCCAAGTAGCTGGGATTACAGGCATGTGCCACCACCCCAGCTACTTTTGTATTTTTAGTAGAGACAGGGTTTCTCCATGTTAGTCAGGCTCGTCTTGAACTCCTGACCTCAGGTGATCCACCTGCCTCGGCCTCCCAAAGTGCTGGGATTACAGGCATGAGCCACCACGCCCGGCCAGTAGACAGGGTTTCACCATGTTGGCCAGGCTGGTCTTGAACTCCTGACCTCAAGTGATCTGCCCTCCTCAGCCTCCCAGAGTGCTGGGATTACAGGCGTGAGCCACCATACCTGGCCTAGAGCCAGAAAACTTTGATATATGAAATCTAACATAGAAAGACCAAGGCATTATTTTTTACTTTTAAAAGTAAACTTATGCCAGGCATGGTGCCTCATGCCTGTAATCCCAGCACTTTGGGAGGCTGAGGCAAGTGGATCACTTGAGGCCTGAAGTTCAAGACCAGCCTGGTCAATATGGCGAAACACCATCTCTACTAAAAATACAAAAATTAGCCAGGCATTGTGGCACACACCTGTAATCACAGCTACTCAGGTGGCTGAGACATGAGAATCGCTTGAACCTGGGAGGCAGAGGTTGCAGTAAGCCGAGATCATGCCACTGCACTCCTGCCTGGGTGACAGAGGAAAACTCTGCCTCAAAAAAAGAAGAAAAAAGAATAATTTTCCTGCCTTCTTAATGGCAGGAAAATTCTGTGCTGCAATAGATTATACCTAAAGCATCTACTACCAGTATCTGATGGGAAAAGAGGCAATTATGCTACAACACAGGTAGTCATGGTGGAGCACGACTCTGCCTTCTTACTGTTAACTCTGTAGTTGCAGTTTCTTAAAACAGTCTAATCGCATGAAAGAGAGGGTCTATTTTCCTGGCTATACTTCAAGCTTCTTTTTTTTTTTTTTGAGATGGAGTCTCCCTCTGTCGCCCAGGCTGGAGTGGTGCAGTGGTGCGATCTTGGCTCACTACAAGCTCCGCCTCCTGGGTTCACACCATTCTCCTGCTTCAGCCTCCCGAGCAGCTGGGACTACAGGCACCCATCACCATGCCTGGCTAATTTTTTTTGTATTTTTAGTAGAGACGGGGTTTCACCGTGTTAGCCAGGATGGTCTCGATCTCCTGACCTCATGATCTGCCCGTCTCGGCCTCCCAAAGTGCTGGGATTACAGGCGTGAGCCACCGCGCCCGGCCGACTTCAAGCTTCTTGAGGGCAAGGACTTTCAATTACTTACAGAATCCCAAGGGCCAAATAGAAGCTATTATGGCCATTCAAACACACGACAAACATATGACGAATGGCAGGATGTGAAATAGATGTGCCGTAACATCTTTCTTTCCTCTAACTAGGTGGGCAAATTCCCTTTCGCTCTTGTTACTGTATCTGAGTTAATATCAAAATCAAGGCCAGGTGCGGTAGCTCACACCTGTAATTCCAGAACTTTGGGAGGATGAGGTGGGCGGGTTGCTTGAGTTCAGGAGTTTGAGACCAGCCTGGCCAACAAGGCTCGTTTCTACCCAAAATACAAAAAATTAGCCAGGTGTGGTAGCTTGCAGCTGTAGTCCCAGCTACTCGGTAGGCTGAGGTAGGAAAATCACCTGAGCCTGGGAAGCCAAGGCTGCAGTGAGCTGTGATCACGCCACTGCACTCCAACCTGGGCAACGGGAGTGAGACCTTGTCCTCCCTCTCCCCGCCAAAATCAAGACACCATCATAAAGAGCAGCTTGATATTATGTTCTTAGAAGCATGGTTCAGGCTGGGTGTGGTGGCTCACTCCTGTAATCCTAGCACTTTGGGAGGCCAGCCTGGGGGAGAGAGTGAGACTCTGTCTCAAAAAAAAAAAAAAAAAAAAAAAAAAGCATGGTTCACAAGCAGCTGCTGAAGCGTACCCCATGAGACTGGTTTCAAGTGGCTCACAGGAGCTGCATGTGACTCGATCACATGCTAAAGGCTCATCTCCATAAAGAGTGGCCAAGCTGGGCGCAGTGCCTCACGCCTGTAATCCCAGCACTTTGGGAGGCTGAGGCGGGCAGATCACCTGAGGTCGGGAGTTCGAGACCAGCCTGACCAACATGGTGAAACCCCATCTCTACTAAAAAAATACAAAAATTAGTCAGGCGTGGTGGCACACACCTGTAGTCCCAGCTACACGGGAGGCTGAGGCAGGAGAATTACTTGAACCTGGGAGGCAGAGGTTGCAGTGAGCCGAGATTGCACCACTGCACTCCGGCCTGGGCGACAGGGCGAGACTCCATCTCATAAAAAAAAAAAGAGCGGCCAACGGGTGCAACCAAGACCTCTATGGTCTTTAGGAGGGAGACATACTCGGGCAGAGAACAGGTTTTAGACCTAAAGTGCCCTGGGCGCCTCCTCCCGCCATCTGGTAAGCAGCGACAATCTTCTCATTCTATTGGGACATAGGCCTATTCTGTTTTCTTTGTGGTTTCTTCTTTTCTCCTGTGCAGTTTGGCTGAGTGTGCATTCCCTGCACTGCAAACGGTGTTCCACACACACCTCCAGCTCTAAGGGTAAAGGCATCCTTTTCAAATCACAGACCGACCGACAGAAGCCCACTTGAAACAACCCTCCTTAACAGTTCCAAATACATTACTTGTGAAGTTCTGTTCTCATTGTCCCGTATCCTTTCCTTAACCAGCCGCACAAGGGACGCGATGTTGTAAAACTCCGCTTCCTCCAGCACACCTGGAACAAGGACAAAACTGCAGTCAGATAGGTGCGAGGGTTTGCCAGAAAAACACCAAGGAGAGGATGAAGGTTACATGCTTGCTAAAAACTGCTTATTTATTTATTTACTTATTTTTTGAGACGGAGTCTTACTCTGTCGCCCAGGCTGGAGTTCAGTGGTGCGATCTTGGCTCACGGCAACCTCCGCCTCCTGCGTTCAAATGATTCTCTTGCCTCAGTCTCCCAAGTAGCTGGGACTACAGGCACATACCACCACACCCGGCTGTTTCTATTTTTTCCCCCCGCCCGAAACAGAGTTTCATTCTTGTTGCCCAGGTTGGAGTGCAATGGCATGATCTTGGCTCACTGCAAACTCCGCCTGCTGGGTTCAAGAGATTCTGCTGCCTCAGCCTTCCAAGTAGCTGGGATTACAGGCGCTTGCCACCACGCCTGGCTAATTTTTTGTATTTTTAGTAGAGACAGGGTTTCATCATGTTGGTCAGGCTGGTCTTGAACTCCTGACCTCAGGTGATCCATCTGCCTTGGCCTCCCAAAGTTCTGGGATTACAGGCGTAAAGCCACCGCACCCAGCCAATTTTTGTATTTTTCGCAGAGACGGGGTTTTGCCATGTTGGCCAGGCTGGTCTCAAACTCCTAACCTCAAGTGATCCGCCCACCTTGGCCTTCCAAGTGTTGGGATTACAGGCATGAGCCACAGCTCCTGGCCTAAAAACTGCATTATTTAAATGCAAATCCAATCTCTCTCCTTCTGCTAGGAAATATCTCTTTGCTATTTTCGGTAAACCCATGACCTTTTCTCCAACATAAATTAGTCAAACGCCAGGGTATGTTCTGCTCACTCCATTTCAACCCTCCTTTCCCTACCTGGCACCTGCCCATTAGCTGCAGGACACTTTTCCCATATGTCACTTAGTTCCTGGAACTAGTCATGTTGGACACCTCCTGAACTTGATATTTTTGTCCAATCTGCCCTCAAAAGGACTGGGGGTGGGGGTGGAGGTGTGTGTACAAATTTATGTGGGCCAAACTTAATAGGATGCTAATCATTTGAACAATATAAAAGGCAACCATTTAAAGACTTGCATGCTAAATGAACTCAAAGGCCTTAGGGCAACTATGAGACGTGTGATCCTATAGGAATAAATTTGCTATAAAGGCCATTATTAGGACAACTGACAAAACTGCAATATAAGCTGTAGATAAAAGCATCAGTATTAAATTTCCTGAGTTTGATAACTGTACTGTCTGTGGTTACATAAAACAGTATCCTTGTTCTTGGGAAATATATACAAATATTAAGGGGTGAAATCTGCAATCTATTCTCAAATAGTTCAGAAATAACTGTGGTGGGAGAGGCAAGAGGATGGGGGTAGGGAGGGGGAAATAGAGAATGAAGGACAATGCAAATATGATTTAAAAAAAAAAAAGGTCGGGCATGGTGGCTCACGCCTGTAATCGCAGCATTTCGGGAGGCCAAGGCGGGTGGATCACGAGGTCAGGAGTTCAAGACCAGCCTGACCAACATGGTGAAACCCCCGTCTCTACCAAAAATAAAAAAATTAGCCAGGCGTGGTGGCATGCACCTGTAATCCCAGGTACTCAGGAGGCTGAGGCAGGAAAATCGCTTGAACCCGGGAGGTGGATGTCGCAGTGAGCTGTGATAGTGCCATTGCACTCCAGCCTGGGCAACAGAGGGAGACTCTGTCGCCAAAAAAAAAAAAAAAAAAAAAAAAGGTCGGGCGCGGTGGCTCATGTCTGTAATCCCAGTACTTTGGGAGGCTGAGGCAGGCAGATCACAAGGTCAGGAGATCGAGATGAGACCATCCTGGCTAATATGGTGAAACCCTGTCTCTACTAAAAATACAAAAAATTAACTGGGTGTGGTGGTGGGCGCCTATAGTCCCAGCTACTCGGGAGGCTGAGGCAGGAGAATGACGTGAACCTGGGAGGTGGAGCTTGCAGTGAGCCGAGATTGCGCCACTGCACTCCAGCCTGGGCAACAGAGCAAGACTCCGTCTCAAAAAAAAAAAAAAAGCTGGGCATGATGGCTCATGCCTATAATCGCAGCTACTCAGGAGGCTGAGGCAGGAGGAGCATGTGAGGCCAGACATTTGAGACCAGCCTGGGCAAGATAAGATAGACTCTGACTCTTAAAAAAACAACAAAAAGATCTCCCCATACCCCAAATATGACAAAAATAACATTGAAAATTGGTTAATCTGGGATATAGGGAGTTCTCTGTGTTATTCTTGCTCTTTTCTTGCTTATTTTGAAGTTTTAAATTACTTCAAAATAAAGTTTTTTTAATTAAAGGCATTAGAAAAGATACTTAACTAAAAGAGGGTAATTGAATTTTTGTATCACAAAGGATAAATGCTTGAGGGGATGGATACCCCATTCTCCATGATGTGCTTATTTCACACTGCATGCCTATATCCAAACATCTCAGGTCGGGCGCGGAGGCTCAGGCCTGTAATCCCAGCACTCTGGGAGGCTGAGGCAGGTGGATCACTTGAGGTTAGGAGTTCAAGACCAGCCTGGTCAACATGGTGAAACCCTGTCTCTACTAAAAATACAAAAAATTAGTCAAGCATGGTGGTGCACGCCTGTAATCCCAGCTACTTGGGAGGCTGAGGCAGGAGAATCGCTTGAACCCAGGAGGCTGAGGTTGCAGTGAGTCAAGATTGTGCCAGTGCACTCCAGCCTGAGCGAAGAAAAAAAAAAGAAAAATCTCATGTACCCCATAAATATATACACCTACTAGGTACTTACAAAAATTAAAAAAGAAAAATAAATAAGATTAAGATCACCCATGAGTTGGTAATTGTTGAAGCTGGATAGTGGATGCAAGGAATTCACTGTATGTACTATTCCCATTACTTCTGTATGCGTTTGAAATATTGTTTAAAAAGGGACATTTAAAAAAAGAGAGAGAGAGCAATTCCTCTTTCTACTAGCTGAAACAGAGTTGTTTCACAGTCACTTCATTAACTAGTACAGCCATTACAAGCTTTCTTACTCAGAGCCAAAGCTCCCAGATCAGGGTGCCCTGGATTTAGGGACAGTCCCCTTTACAACTGAATGCCTTCAGTGGGACCATGCCAAGCCTTGTAGAAAGTGGACTAGACCCACTTATAGTCCCAATGCCCTACAAACCACAAAGATGAGGCAAGTAATGATACACCTGACAATGAACTAGAGAATGAATTAGGTCAGCTGCAAACATTTACAGGGAAGCATGAGGCCAGAGTCTTAAAAGAAATGAGGCCAAGCCTTTATTATTTTTGTACAACTGTGAGTTCAAACCAAAATTAAAACTATAAATAATTGAATGTCAGAGATGTCTTGCTTCTTCAGACTACAGACACTCACTGCTAGCACACAAACAAATGTAAAAAAAGGATCGTGACAATTCTGGAGATTCGGAAAGAACTCCTGAAGTTATCTGCAAAGCGGAGCTACCTATCTTCCTTCTCACCCAGGAAGCTGAACAAAGCCTAAGGAGGCTTCCTTAATCATGACTCCCTCAGACAAGACTGGTAGTTTCTGCTCTGTTTCATAAACCTGAAACTATACCTGCACATGCGCCTGATGAAAATGTCAAACAAAATTGAAATCTGTAAAACAACTTTAAAGATTCTACTTGCATTTTGAAAATCCCCAATGCAAACAGTGCGCTTACCTTCTTCTGCCAACTCCTTAGTGATGATGAGTTTCCCGTGGCGGAGGTAGTTGAGGATAGGACCAAAGTAGGTGGGGTCCCTGTCAATCAGATAGGCTCCTGTCTCATCCTGCCAACCAAACACAAGGGTATCATTGTGGACCTTTGAGGAGTATTTTAAACAAAGGCAGGGCAGGATTTCACCATCTTTGTCAGCGCCCCAAGACAACAATTCATTCCATCAGCTAAAAAAGACTTTAGTGATGGCAAATTTTGTTACACATTTGTCACAAACTATTGGTAAGAAAGCTATAGCTTTATGTATCTTGTACATTAAGATCATCTTAGGTAGGGTGTTACAGACAGTCATACTCATTTAGGCGTTTACTTACTGGCTGGAATTTGCAATCTTTGCCTGGACAATAATTACAGTGACAAACATTCTTCTGTAGCGTGTTTGTTATTAAGAAAGGGAGAAAATGCCGTAGCTGTGTAACTGAAATCTTTGCTTGAGATGGACATTCTGACTTTTCCACTGCCTCTGAACTGCATTCCTAATTCCAAGAAAACCTCTGTGTAGTTGGCAATGCTCCTGAGCTCAAGGCCAACATCAGTGGGAGTTTGCACTGCCAGCTGTAATCTCACACACCCCAGCTCTGTGCCCAGAGGAAGCTCGGTACTGCCAGGACTTGGCTCTGAGCAGCTTTAATCCTACTCATCTTTACAGTAAAAGGAACAAGAAGAAACTGGCTTCTATTACCACAAGGAGGATATAGAGTAGATAAAAATAATTCCTTTATAAGCAAGGGTTTTGAAATCTCTTTAAAGTTAGGGCAGGATAGGTTTCCATCAATCTGAGATTTCTTAGAGAAGAGGAATAAACGAAAACAACAAATGTTTACGCAACTCCAGCTCTGTTTTGAGGTCACCAGCTGAGTGCTATATGGGATATAAGATGGTGTGAGTTATGGTCAGTGCCTTTAAGTTGAGAACTTAAAGGTGAATACGTAAAGTTAAAAAGAAATTGACACAGTTCAAACTGGAAATGGTTTAAGTGTCTTGTCACCTCTCAACCCTTTGGTTAGCAGCCATGCATCCTGCCCAAAATTTTCCCGGGAAAATTTTCATTTTCCTTCTGTCTTAGCCTAGATTTGCAGCGGCAAACAGTAACCTCTTTCCAAAAAACGCATTTGATCTAAATATGGACCTAAACCAGTGACTGTTAACAGATAAAAGTTCTGCGACCAGGACTATAGAAAAGCAGTGTGATATCACAAGGAGCGCTTCCTGCAGCTGTGGAAGCCCAACTTGGCAGAGGGGTCCGAGAGGGAGTCTGAGAAAGCTACAAGGATGCCTGAGCTAACCCTGACCCAGTTCTGGATGCATCTGGCACCGGCAGTGGGGGGACTGAAGAGGAGCCAGGGAAAACTCATGCAGATCTCAGTGGGATGTCAGGGGCAGAGAATATGGAGAAGGGGTGTGGAGTGCGTTCTCGTGGGTGCAGGTGGGCGCAGTGTGGGAAGGAGTCTCAGAGAACGAAGGGCGGGGTCGGGGAGAAAGCCAGAGTATGCCTCAGCATGGAAGAAGGGGAGTGGGAGGTCCCTCTGAGGCCCCTGCGAGTAGTGTGGGAGGGAGGGGGAGGATGGGGTCCCGGCCTGAGGGGGCTGCCTGTGAGGAGCGTGTCTCAGGACTCTGGGGACCGATCTACGAGAAACCAGGGGGTTCGAAGGCCCGGGGGCGCGCCCGAGGGCGGGGCACACCTTGTCTGAGTCCAGCTCCGGGTCCTCCTGGCAGCAGAGGCGGCAGAGAAATGACTTGGGCTCCCGGCCTAAGGTCTGTCTGGTGGTCACGAAGTAGGTGCCTCCCACGTTCAGCCTGACCCAGCGGGCCGCGCCGCCGCCCCCTGCCCGCTCGGGTGGTCCGGGACCCGGCTCCAGCGGCTGCGCGACGGCGGCAGCCGGGCGGCCGTGCCCGCGGGGCGTGGGGCCAGCCGGGCGTGGGCTGGGGGGCCCGCGGACTGGGCCACCCCCGTCGCCCACCCCACTCCCGCCGCCCCCTCCCAGCCCCGCCATCGCCGGGTCCAGCTGCAGTTCCGCCATCTTGGACCGCCGCCGCCACCGCTGCTGCCCGCGCGCAGCCGGGCCGGCCCATTTCTCGGCAGGGAGAGCCGGGCCGGCCCATCGGCGGGGGTGGGGCAGAGGGGAGAGGGACGGGAGCGCCCCCAACCAGCGCCCGGGGACCCGCGCGGGGGAGGCGCTGTGCCCGCCCCCGGGAAGATACTTCCGGAACCAGCCCTCATCTCTATTGGCTGATCTGCGAAGCAAGGCCCACCCCCTTGGCTTTGGGGTTGGCTGAGGAAAGATCTTCCCGTGACCCACTTCCGTTACTTGCTGCGGAGGACCGTGGGCAGCCAGGGTCGGTGAAGGTGAGTGGGGCTTGGGGCATTGGATCCGATCCCTGGAGGGCTCCTCTGCTCTGCCCTCTCCAAACCTCACGCCGACCCTTGTCACGCCCCCGTCAAGGACGCTGGGCCCTCGGCTTGCCCCGCTGGCAGAGTGTCCCTTGTGTAGCTGCCGCTCCTCGCCCCGCGATCCCTTCCTCAGCCCTCCTTGGCGCGCGGGGTCAGGGGGGCCCGGCTGTGTCCCAGGCGCCGCTGATGTAGGCGCTGCCACAAGCCGTGTCTCGTGCAGTCCGCTCCCAGCGCGGCAGACTTCAATAGTTTGGTGGGGGGACTGGGGAAACATTACGCAGACAGTGTTAACCTGCCGAGGGACGCTCAGCTGGCTGCGGGGCTGCGCCCTTCCCCTTCGGCAGCTTCCAGGATTCGAACGTATAGAGCGTTCAGGGCTCCTCGGGTGCAGAGTTCGGTTACTCATTCAAGAAAGATTCATTGAGCACCTCCTATGCGCATGATCTGTTCTAGGCGCTGGGGATTAAGCAATAGATTTTTAAGAATTAAAAAAAATTTCGCCGGGCGCGGTGGCTCACGCCTGTAATCCCAGAATTTTAGGAGGCCAAGGCGGGCGAATCGCGAGGTCAGGAGTTCGAGACCAGCCTGGCCAACGTAGTGAAACCCCGCCTCTACTAAAAATACAAAAAATTAGCTGGGCGTGGTGGAAGGCCCCTATAATCCCAGCTGCTCGGGAGGCTGAGGCAGGAGAATCGCTTGAACCCGGGAGGCGGAGGTTGCAGTGAGCCGAGACCACGCCACTACACTCCAGCCCAGGCGACAGTGCGAGACTCCGTCTCACTCACACACACACACAAAGTTATTTGTGACTTCCATTTTCCACTGATGTTGCGGGAAATCAGGGACCCCAAACAGAGAGACCGGCTGAAACCATGGCAGAAGAACGTGGATTGTGAAGATTTTATGGACATTTATTAGTTCCCCAAATTAATACTTTTGTAATTTCTTATGCCTGTCTTTACTGCAATCTCTAAACATAAATTGTAGAGATTTCATGGACACTTATCACTTCCCCAGTCAATACTCTTCTGATTTCCTATGCCTGTCTTGTCTTTAATCTCTTAATCCTGTCAGTTGAGGATGTATATCGTTCCAGGACCCTGTAATAATTGTGTTAACTACAAAAATTGTACAGCATGTGTGTTTGAGCAATATGAAATGTGGGCACCCTGAAAAAAGAACAGGATAACAGCAATTGTTCAGGGAACAAGAGAGAACCTTAAACTCTGACCGCCGGTGAGCCGGGCAGAACAGAGCCATATTTCTCTTCCTTCAAAAGCAAATGGGAGAAATATCGCTGAATTCTTTTTCTCAGCATGGGATATCCCTGAGAAAGAGAATGCGCACCTAGGGGTAGGTCTCTGAACTGGCCCCCCTGGGGCGTACCTGTCTCTTATGGTTGAGACTGCAGGGGTGAAATAAACTCCAGTCTCCCATAGCGATCCCAGGCTTATTAGGAAAAGGAAATTCCCACCTAATAAATTTTGGTCAGACCGGTTGATCTGAAAACCCTGTCTCCTGATAAGATGTTATCAATGACAATGGTGCCCAAAACTTCATTAGCAATTTTAATTTCGCTCTGGTCCTGTGGTCTTGTGATCTCACCCTGCCTCCACTTGCCTTGTGATATTCTATTACCCTGTTAAGTACTTGATGTCTGTCACCCACACCTATTCGTATACTCCCTCCCCTTTTGAAACTCCCTAATAAAAACTTGCTGGTTTTTGTGGCTTGTGGGGCATCACGGATCCTACCAACGTGTGATGTCTCCCCCGGACGCCCAGCTTTAAAATTTCTCTCTTTTGTACTCTGTCAAGCCAGTCGACGCTTAGGAAAATAGAAAAGAACCTATGTGACTATCGGGGCAAGTTCCCCGATACACTGATGTTTGGGAAAGTCTGTAAGGGTGCTTGGTTCCCTGGTAACTTTAAAATCACATGCCAATTGCCTTAACACCTCCCCTCCACAACAGGAAACAGGCTGTCCTGAGAAAGAAAGGAAGGACAGGACAGGTGTTTGACAACTTTCTTGAAGATCCTGAGAAAGACTGCTTCCGCCTCCCTTGCATTCCACTCCAAGCTTATAGAGATTTTTGACTTTGCAGTCTTTTAATATCTGACCCTGATCTTACTTAAAGAGGACTATTTTCCTATATTCTGACTTTTTTTTTAAGTGGCTGTAGTCGTTTTCTGTATTTTTCTCACATTTTCACATGTGTTGAATACCTCTTAAAATGCAGGCCGGGCGCGGTGGCTCATGCCTGTAATTCCAGCACTTTGCAAGGCTGAGGTGGGTGGATCACCTGAGGTCTGGAGTTTCAGCCCATCCTGGCCAACGTGGAGAAACCCTGTCTCTACTAAAAATACAAAAATTAGGGCCGGGCGCGGTGGCTCACGCCTATAATCCCAGCACTTTGGGAGGCCGAGGCGGGTGGATCATGAGGTCAGGAGATCGAGACCATCCTGGCTAACAAGGTGAAACCCCGTCTCTACTAAAAATACAAAAAATTAGCCGGGCGCGGTGGCGGGCGCCTGTAGTCCCAGCTACTCGGGAGGCTGAGGCAGGAGAATGGCGTGAACCCGGGAAGCGGAGTTTGCAGTGAGCCGAGATTGCGCCACTGCAGTCCGCAGTCCGGCCTGGGCGACAGAGCGAGACTCCGTCTCAAAAAAAAAAAAAAAAATACAAAAATTAGCTGGGTGTGGTGGTGGGTGCCTGTAATCCCAGCTACTCCGGAGGCTGAGGCAGGAGAATCGCTTGAGCCTGGGAGGTGGAGGTTGCAGTGAGCCAAGATGATGCCACTGCACTCCAGCCCGGGGGACAGAGTGAAACTCCATCTCAAAAAAAAAAAAAAAAAAAGTGCACAACGTGTGCTGGTGCTGCTAGGGTATAATCCGATGTGAATAAGAAGGTGCAGGTGTATTACCAATCTAGTTGGAAGGGGATAGCCCTTTTAAGTTTGTAAAACTCTGGAGCAAGTTGCTGTGCACAATTTCATGTGACACTTTTAGCAGCCCTCTGGGGCAAGCAGGACTGATAATGCCCATTGTACACATAAGTAAATTTTAGCCTAGAGAGTGCTCTATTTAAGGCTTGTTGAAACTTAGGTGTGTGTCAGTTTCTGTCTACTGGAGAATCAGTGAATAAAACACAATCTGGGTGGAAATGTCTTTATTAACTTTTATGCAATAAGAGTGTTATTTTTAGTAATTTTTCCAGAGGCACATGGAGGGGATAAAGAGAGCTGGGGTTTGTTTTTTTTTTTTTTTTTGAGACAGAGTCTCACTCTGTGTCCAGGCTGGAGTGCAATGGCGCTATCTCAGCTCACTGCAACCTCCGCCGCCCAGGTTCAAGTGATTGTCCTGTCTAAGCCTCTTGAGTACCTGGGACTACAGGTGCATGCCATCACGCCCGGCTAATTTTTGTATTTTTTAGTAGAGGCAGGGTTTCACCCTATTGCTCAGGCTGGTCTTGAACTCCTGACCTCAAGTGATCCACCCACCTCAGCCTCCCAAAGTGCTGGGATTACAGAAATGAGCCACTGCGCCCGGCCAAGAGAGCTGGGCTTTTAAGGCTAAATAGGAGTTGGGAGAGAATGTATTTGTATGCCACATTGCACACTTTGAATTTGAAAAGCTACACTGTCCTTTCCTTTTCTTTTTGAGACGGACTCTTGCTGTGTTGCCCAGGCTAGGGTGCACTGATGCCATCTCAGCTCATTACAACCTCTGCCTCCTGGGTTCAAGTGATTCTTATGCCTCAGCCTCTGGAGTAGCTGGGATTATGGCGCGGGCCACCACGGCTGGCTAATTATTGTATTTTTAATAGAGATGGGGTTTTGCCATGTTGGCCATGCTGGTCTCGAACTCCTGACCTCAGGTGATCCAACCGTCTTGGCCTCCCAAAGTGCTGGGATTACAGGCGTGAGCCCACTGCGCCTGGCCGCACACCTTGAATTACCTTGAATTTGAAAAGCTACACTGTCTTTTTTTCTTTTTTTTTGAGTTGGAGTCTTGCTGTGTCTCCCAGGCTGGAGTGCAGTGATGCAGTCTCGACTCACTGCAACCTCCACCTCCTGGGTTCAAGTGATTCTTGTGAAGACTTGCATGTTTCTAAGATTTAAAGGATTCTCTCTAAGAGCTCTTATTTTGTTATTTATCATTTTTCCCAACTGAAAATTCACCTCATAAAAAAGCCTTGTTTTTATTTGACTTATTTTTCAGGATCCCAAAATGGCTGGGCGAAAACTTGCTCTAAAAACCATTGACTGGGTAGCTTTTGCAGAGATCATACCCCAGAACCAAAAGGCCATTGCTAGTTCCCTGAAATCCTGGAATGAGACCCTCACCTCCAGGTCAGTATGTTTCTGAGAGGGAACCCCATACTTGCCACTGAATCTAGAAACAAAACAGTATTAAGGAATTACATATGAATTCTTGATGCCCTTATGACAACATATAAAGAAATCCTTGCATTTTCATGATGATCTTAGGAGAGGAAAGTGTGGTGACCCTCCAGGCCATAGGAAGAAGGGATAGGAAAATTACCATGTGAATTTTCTACTGCTTATGAACAATCCTAACTTTTGCCTTTCCTTGTGGGCAGGTTGGCTGCTTTACCTGAGAATCCACCAGCTATCGACTGGGCTTACTACAAGGCCAATGTGGCCAAGGCTGGCTTGGTGGATGACTTTGAGAAGAAGGTGAGACTTCACACCTCTAAAGCACTGAGCTTGTAACATGCCTGTGGGTAGGGAGCAGGAACAGGGATAATTACATACACAGCATGACAGCCAGATCCCTAAGGAAGCTTAGGAAGGATGCGTATGGCCAAAGGCCTTGTGGTCGATTGAACTGTAAATAGGTGCAGGAATTTAGGCTCTGTTCATTCAGCAGTAGAGTGTAGCCTTAATCTGGGAGCCAGAGGGCTTTCTGATCAGCACAGGAGTTTTGACCTGCTCTGTTTCTGACCTGGGCCGGTTCACCCCTTCTTAGGCAACCTGGTGGTCCCCCGCTCCTGGGAGGTCACCATATTGATGCTGAACTTGGTGAAGACACCCGATCGGCATAACGCGCTACAGCCCAGAACTCTTGGGCTCAAGCAATCCACGTGCCTCAGCCAGGCATGCGCCACCACGCCCCAGGGGGCTTTCAAGTTAAATGTTTGCCCACCTCCTGGGTTCCTTTTAGCTTCCTTCCTGTCTCCCTTTGGAACAAACTGACTTTTTTTCTACTCTTTTCCTGTCCTTTTTCTTTTGAGACGGAGTTTTGCTCTGTCACCCAGGGTGGAGTGCAGTGGCGCAATCTCAGCTTACTGCAGCCTCTGCCTCCCAAGCTCAAGCCATCCTTCTGTCTTAGCCTCCTGAGTAGCTGGGACTACAGGTGCATGCCACCACCACACCTGATAAATTTTCGTTTTGTTTTTTTTTTTTTTTTGGTAGAGACAGGTTTTTGTCATATTGCTCAGGCTGGTCTCAAACTCTGGGCTCAGGCAATCCACCTCTCTGCTCTTCTTTTTTTTTTTTTTTTGAGTTGGAGTCTCACTCTGTCACTCAGGTTGGAGTGCAGTGGCGCCATCTCAGCTCACTGCAACCTCTTTCTCCCGGGCTCAAGCCTTCCTCCCACCTCATCCCCCCGAGTAACTGGGACCACAGCACCACCATGCCTGGCTAATTTTTTGTATTTTTGGTAGAGACGGGGTTTCGCCATGTTGCCCAGACTGGTCTCGAACTCCTGAGCTCAGGTGATCCACCCTCCTTGGCCTCCCAAAGTGCTGGGAGTACAGGTGTGAGCCACCATGCCCAGCCTCTGCTTTTTTTAACTGTCCCTTATAGCTGTAATTTCTCATCCATCTATCCTCCTCTGATATTTACACAAGTCTCAATATCCAGAGTTCATTTGCTTATTCATTCAAAGATGTGTATGGAGGGCCTACTCTGTGCCAGGTAGTGTTAAGTGCTGGAGCCATAACACTAAGCAGTCTTTTTTTTTTTTTTTTGAGACGGAGTCTTGCTCTGTCGCCCAGGCTGGAGTGCAGTGGGGCCATCTCAGCTCACTGCAATCTCCGCCTCCCAGGTTCAAGCAGTTCTCTTGCCTCAGCCTCCCATGTAGCTGGGACTACAGGTGCTGGCCACCTTGCACAGCTAATTTTTGTATTTTTAGTAGAGACGGGGTTTCACCATGTTGGTCAGGCTGGTCTCGAACTCCCGACCTTAGGTGATCCGCCCGCCTCAGCCTCCCAAAGTGCTGGGATTACAGGCATGAGCCACCGCACCCGGCTAACACTAAGCAGTCTTCTAAGGAGACCATTCATTACGCAGTGCTCCTTCCACCAGTCAGCTCCCTAGGGTTCCATGCAGAAGAGAAATCAGAATTTCTTTACAATTCAAGGTGCTAAGAGGCCATTTTTTGGTCATCAAGTCCAGCTGTCCTTTTCAGATGAAGAAAATGAAGCTTATCATCATAAAGAATTGTCCAGGGTTCCGAGTTAGTGATAGGGCTGAGAAGACCCTTGAGCTCCTGTTCCCAGTCTAATATTCTTTCTACTCCAGTATTGAGATGCGTATTCGTTTCCGCTTGGGACACAGAATGTCTTTCAGTATGACCTTTAAGGATTCGTAGCTTCCAGCCCTTTGAGCTCCTGGGTGTATTGGCGACGACTCACTGTCCTTGTGTTTGTAGTTTAATGCGCTGAAGGTTCCCGTGCCCTTGTGTTTGTAGTTTAATGCGCTGAAGGTTCCCGTGCCAGAGGATAAATATACTGCCCAGGTGGATGCCGAAGAAAAAGAAGATGTAAGTAGTTGAGGCTCCTGCTTATTCTAAAATTCTCTTGATCTTGACAGCTCTCTATTATAGCTAAGTTAAGTTAGAGTGAATTAAATGGAAGAGTTAACAGCCATATAAAGGAATGACTTGTCAATAAATGCAACAACATGGACGAATTTCAAAATAATTATGCGGAGTGAAAGAAGCCAACAAGAAAAAGAAGAGTATAGCATATGATTCCATCTTTGTAAGACTCTAGAAAATGTAGTTTGTCTACAGTGGCTGCCTGGGGATGGTTGAGAGGGGACTGCTGGTTTCACAGGTGGATACCTATATCAAAACTTATCAAATGGTGTTCTTTAAATATGTGCATTTTATCATATTTCAGATATACCTCAACAAAGCTGTTAGAAACAAGGAGTTGGAATTAGAAAAATTACCCAAGTAGTATTCAAATACCTAATTATTTGCTTGAAAGCACTGAAGGCCAACTATGGAACTCAGTGGCTCCACCAGAGAGAAGTCTGGCTAGGTGCTCAGGTGGCGTGTCCTGACCATTCAGTGGCTGAGCCCTGTGAAAACAGGCATTCTGTAGGTCTTCGGATGAGGAACTTGCAGAAGCAGCCGGGTGCTGCCATCCTAAGCTGGTTTTCCATATGGGCTTCTCTGTGAGTGTTAAGAAAAGCTGTGGTTTGCCTGTCAGAGTGAGCGCCCCCACTCAGGGTAACCACAGTTTCTCCATAGAGCAATAGGACAGCAGGAGTGGGCTGGGACGACTCCTACCTTAGCAGCTGCTGGGGTAGAATGCAGCCTGGTTTCAGAACTGAATTTCTCTTTCTTCTTAAAGGTGAAATCTTGTGCTGAGTGGGTGTCTCTCTCAAAGGCCAGGATTGTAGAATATGAGAAAGAGGTAAGGATGATGGGTAGCCGTTGCCTATAATATGGGTTCTCTCTTTCATGACCACACATCTTTCACCTGGTGGCAGGAACCTGCCTTGGATATTCTGCTTTCCGTCTCTGTTTACATTAACTAAACACATTCCCCCTCTTTCCAGATGGAGAAGATGAAGAACTTAATTCCATTTGATCAGATGACCATTGAGGACTTGAATGAAGCTTTCCCAGAAACCAAATTAGACAAGAAAAAGTATCCCTATTGGCCTCACCAACCAATTGAGAATTTATAAAATTGAGTCCAGGAGGAAGCTCTGGCCCTTGTATTACACATTCTGGACATTAAAAATAATAATTATACAGTTCTGGGTGTGCTTCTTCTCTGTGGTTGAGATAATTAAGCCTCTCTTCTGAGCTGGCCTCACTGGCAGCGGGGTTTTTGTTTAAATGGAAAGGTGAGCCTCGACAGGTTTGTTGGGCTGGTTGTCTGACGGGCTGTGTAGGCGCCACTTACTGAGGCCCCAGGACTGCTGAAATGGCAACAAATAACACTAGGGGCTATGGCAGTGTATTTCACTGTGATGTAGTAAAGAATTGTTATCTGCTGATTCTCTTCAACTTCCTCTTTGGTTTCAAACCCCTGGTTCCAAGGGAGTGCTCCTGCTTGTCCATTAGTAAGTCACAAGAACAGCTGGTCCAAATGGCTAGGTGTAACAGCAGGGATTTACTTCTCTGTGCTTCAGCTTTTGAGCACAAAAGTGGTATTAGAAAAGGAAACTTTGGGCTGGGCATGGTGGCTCACGCCTGTAATCCCAGCATTTTGGGAGGCCCAGGCGGGTGGATCACCTGAGGTCAGGAGTTTGAGACCAGCCTGGCCAAGATGGTGAAACCCCATCTCTACTAAAAATGCAGAAATTAGCCAGGCGTGGTGGTGGGGCGGGGGGCGCCTGTAATCCCAGCTACTTGGGAGGCTGAGGCATCTTGGCCTCAGCTTGAGGCTTGATTGAACCTGGGAGGCAGAGGTTGCAGTGAGCCAAGATCGTGCCACTGCACTCCAGCCTGAGTGACAGAGCGAGACTTTGCCTCTAAAAAAAAAGGGAAACTTATGTTGCACAGTTAACTTACAGCTTTTTGCATTTGAACATGGAAAATTATTTTATTTTATTATTATTTTTTAAGATGGAGTCTCACTCTGTCGCCCAGGCTGGAGTGCAGTGGGACGATCTCGGCTCACTGCAACCTTTACCTCATGGGTTCATGCCATTCTCCTGCCTTAGCCTCCTGAGTAGCTCGGACTACAGGTGCCCGCCATCACGCCCGGCTAATTTGTTTTATTTTTAGTAGAGACGGGGTTTCACCATGTTAGCCAGGATGGTCTCGATCTCCTGACCTTGTGATCCGCCCGCCTCAGCCTCCCAAAGTGCTGGGATTACAGGCGTGGGCCACTGCATCCAGCCTGAACATGGAGAATTATTTTAACTTAATTTTTAAAATCCCCACTATTTACTATGGTTAGCAGACCTGAGCAACGTCAGGCAATAGAGATGGTTTAAAGCAAGGTAGTAGATCATAGAGTAATGCAAGTATTTAAAGAAAAAAGTATGGTGGTAGAAAGAATTGTCCTTAAAGTCAGAGGACCTGTTATGCCTACAACCCAATTGCTGATTTTAGATTGTTTACTGTCTTGAGAATTTAATTTTCTCATTTACAAATATCAGGATTGTAATGAGAATTAAATGAGATAACCTGGGAAGTTTCTAGGTAAGAAAGTAAGCAAAGGCTGACTTGATGTGGCTTAAATCCTGTAGGAAAAGTCTGCATGGTCTACGCAGGGGAGACTTGTGACATTTCTGCCATTTCTTTTTTTTTTTTTTTTTTTCTGATATGGAATCTTGCTTTGTCGCCCAGGCTGGAGTGCAGTGGCACGATTTCTGCTCATTGCAACCTTTGCCTCCCGGGTTCACACCATTCTCCTGCCTCAGCCTCCAGAGTAGCTGGGAGTACAGGCGCCCGCCACCACGCCCCGCTCATTTTTTGTATTTTTAGTAGAGACGGGGTTTCATCGTGTTAGGCAGGACGGTCTCGATCTCCTGACCTCGTGATCTGCCCGCCTTGGCCTCCCAAAGTGCTGGGGTTTCAGGCGTGAGCCACCGCACCTGGCCCATTTTTGCAGGCGGAGTATATTGGAGAAGAGCAACAATGCCTGACAACCCTCGAGAAATCAGCGTAGTCTTAACATAAGCAGAGGAGAGCCTGGGTGCATGGCTCCTGATTGGTAGGAGTAAGGCCGGGTTGAAGATGAAAGGCAGCGGAGGGGCGGAGTCTACTCCCCCCAAAACTGCTTGAGTCAACAAGAAGACTGGGCAGAGATGAGGAGCGGTAGCTGTGCAAGGCCTTTAATGTGCGTAACAGAAGTACCACACCCTTCCCCTGCGAGACTGCAGTCACTGAACTGGCACTCAGCCATCCCGCTGAGGATCTGAGGATGCAGACGACAGCCAAGTGAAAGCGCAGGGATGTGAGAAAAAATGCAGTTTACTTGGAGCATAGTTAGAGCTCGCGCTGTTCAAGGAGAGCACCGCTGAGCCCCGTGAAGGTGTTGGGATGTGAAGGGGGCAACCCCAGCATTAGGGGGAGCCCTTTGGGAGATTCCCTGTGCTAAATAACAGTGAACAAACAACTGGGAACAGGCTCAGCTAAAGGCACGTGGGTGGGAAGGGGGTACTTTTATTTTTTATGCCCTCTTGGATTGTTCAGCATTTTTGCGTTGTACATGCATTAATTTTACATTAAAAAGGTAATTGGGCAGGGCGCGGTGGCTCACGCCTGTAATCACAACACTTCGGGAGGCCGAGGTGAGCGGATCACTAGGTCAGGAAATTGAGACCATCCTGGCTAACACGGTGAAACCCCGTCTATACTAAAAATACAAAAAATTAGCCAGTGTGGTGGCGGGCGCCTGTAGCCCCAGCTTGTTTGTCTGCTGCAGACAAAACTCCATTCCCTGGCCGGGCCCAGTGGCTCACGCCTGTAATCTCAACACTTTGGGAGGATGAGGCAGGAGAATGGCGTGAACCCAGGAGGTGGAGCTTGAAGTGAGCCGAGATCACGCTACTGCACTCCACCCTGGGTGACAGAGCGAGACTCCGTCTCAGGGAAGAAGAAAAAGAAAAAAAAAATTAGCATTTATTCTCCCCTATGTCCAAGTACACTTGCACACACATGCATCCTGACACCCTCTTCCTCCAAGCACAGAGTAGTGGGGTGGTGGGTGCCGTGTGAGTGTGGACAGAGCCCACTAGCAGGACTGAGGCCACAGAGTTGGGCAGCACCCCCACTGCCCTTGAGGCTAGGGACTGGAGTTTTTTGTTTGTTTGTTTGTTTGTTTGTTTTGAGACGGCTTTCGCTCTGTTGCCCAGGCTGGAGTGCAGTGGCGCGATCACGGCTCACTGCAACCTCGGCCTCCTGGATTCAAGCGATTCTCCTGCTGCCTCCGCCTCCTGAGTAGCTGGGTTTACAGGCGCGTGCCACCACGATTGGCCGGCTAATTTTTGTATTTTTGTATTTTTAGTAGAGACGGGGTTTCACCATGTTGGTCAGGCGGGTCTCGAACTTTGACCTCGTGATCCGCCCGCCTCAGCCTCCCAAAGTGTTGGGATTACAGGCGTGAGCCATTGGGCCCGGCCAGAGACTGGAGTTTTGTCTGCTGTTTAACTTCATAACGATAGACTGAAACATAACCCGCTCCGTGTCATTTGCTTGTGGGATTGTAGCTTGTAGAGCACGTTTACGAGGCGAATGTTTGGATGTTGAACTCGTTCCAGGTACCAGCTCAAGAGAGACAACAAGAAATGGGGCCCTACTTACCCTGGCTGCATAATGACGCCATAACCGGAAGCGTCCCGGGATGCAAAGCCTGATTGGACAGAAGCAGCTCCCCAGCTTCGGATCCCGGGAGCCGCGGTGTGGAGGGATTGGGAGGCGTTTCTGGGTCTAAAACAAGGGAGGGAAGATTATAGTTGCAGGGATTAAAACGTTCCGACCACGAAGGGACTCGAACCCTCAATCTTCTGATCCGAAGTCAGACGCCTTATCCATTAGGCCACGCGGTCTCCGGCTGCAGCTACCTCCTAGAGAGGCCAATTTGATGGCCATTAAACGCTCCGGCGTGCCGCAGCTTCACTGCTCGCACCCTGGCCGCCTGTTGAGCGAAGCGCTCACCCTTCCTCTGGCCCCAGCCGCCCGCCTAGTCACCCCCGAGCGGAGCGGCACCTGGACTAGTCTCTGAGCCTCCCTGGGAATTGCGACCGCGTGGCCTAAGGGATGAGGCGTCTGACGTCAGATCATAAGATTGAGGGTTCCTTTGTGGTCGGGCTCTTTTGGAGCGAGCAGCCCTTGCCCGAATCCCAGCATAGTTTGAGGGTTTGTTCTTCCCTCCGCCCTCGTCCATCCCTATTCCTCCCAGCTATGCTCCACCGGCCTCTGCGCTCGCCGAGCACTTCTTCTCGGGGTTACAGGGCACCGCGGGCTCCTGGTCCCCGCGCGTCGTCACCGCATGGAGCTCTTGTGTAGCCCGGTGGGGACGCCGCGCCCAGCCAGCGGTTCATCCTGTCGTCCCCATGGCTTCTCAGGCTTGGAGCGCGGTGACCCACAGCAGGGCCGTGTTTGGGCACTATGGTTGAACACCTATCAAGGAGCACGTGGGTTTAGCGTCTTACCGCGCCCCAGTGGCCTAATGGATAAGGCACTGGCCTCCTAAGCCAGGGATTGTGGGTTCGAGTCCCACCTGGGGTGTCGAGAGGGGCTGTGCTCGCAAGGTTTCTTTTGGTGCCGGCAGCCAGAGACCTCAGAATCCACCACCACCTGCCCGCTACCTGCTTGCCTCTGCCCTGTTTGCGCCCCTCGCCTTCTCTTGCAGGACCCTCTGTTTGCAGTCGCGGTGGTCATTTACCTCTGGTTCTCCGGGGCTGCCCCGCCAGGTGGAGCTGGGGTGTCCTGGGAACCCTTTGGGCAACTTTATTCTTACGAGTTTCCCCAGCTTCGAAATTGTGGGGCCCTACCCGGACGAAAGCTGTTCATTCAAGGGCTTGGCAAGACCCGAGCTTACCGGCTTTAGGCGCTTGGAGGAGGTGGCTCCTCCTCAACACGTTGCACGGGAGTCGAACTAGAGACCAAGGTCGATTCCAGCATCCCTGAGAAGGGAAGAGAAAAGAAATAAAAAATTCCGTAAAAGGAACTTTCACCTCTACCCCAGGTGGGACTCGAACCCACAATCCCTGGCTTAGGAGGCCAGTGCCTTATCCATTAGGCCACTGGGGCTTGGGGCACGTGGCCGTGCCATCCCTTCCCCTCATAAGCGAGTGTCCCCTTTTCCTAGAGAAGGCCTGACAGAGGCGCGATCCATGGAGTGGGTCCGTCCCTGCCGCGCGCACTTTTGGTGAGCGGGCGGGAAGATACCGCGGTGCGCAGGGACCTGCCCCCATCCTTACTTAGCGAGCACCAGCCCCCAGCCCCCGGCACTGGGACGCCCCATGGAGCCCCGAGGGTCCGCTTGGTGGTTGCCTGGACACCCGGACCATGGGGTATGAAGACTGAGGTTTGGAGGAGTTTCCTTCCTACCGCCCTGAGCCTTGCTGTCCGCCTCTACAGAACTGATAAAAAATCCAGGAATTTTAGGAAAAAGTAGCGTAGGAAGTGAAGGAGAACAGACAAGTATTAATCATGAATATTGAAACATAAACACTGAAAATCTTGCTTATCATGAGGGAATGTACAACCAGGGGGAACAAGTTCTTCCAGTTGTAATAGTAGAAATATATATATACTAGATACTACAAGTATAGATAGAAAGGAAAATCAGCCAAGTAGATATTTCACCCTAATTCTAACAAAGAATAAGCACATTTTAAAATGTTACACACATTTAAAATCCATTATTAAAGGCTACAGACCGGGTGCGGTGGCTCACGCCTGTAATCCCAGCATCCCAGCACTTTGGGAGGGTGAGGTGGGGGGATTGCTTGAGCCCAGGAGTTCAAAACCAGCCTGGGCAACATAGCGAGATGCAGTCTCATTTGAAAAAAAGAAAAAAAAGAAAAAAAATTATTAAATAAAAGTCTACTCACATCCGAAGGATTTAACAGAAGAAGTTCAGCCAAGGGCAGCGTCGGTTACCATTGTGCTTCTCTTGGGACCTTGCCAATCTGCCCCAGCATCGCAGGGCAAAGGAGACTTGGGGACATTCTTTTCTGTTTCTCTCCAAAATGTAGAGTCTGCAGAAACCTGTCTCCTCCCCTTAATAGCAGCAAGAAGGATTTAACCCACTTGGCTCCAGTTTACTGCCTTGAGGATGCCCCCCTTTAAGTTAACTAACTTGTCCGTTGCTGGGATCCAGCACTCTGCCCCAGGGCCAACCTGCAGGGATGCCTTCTCTGCTTTCCTGCTGCCGCCCTCTAGCTAGGCATGTTCCCCCAACCCGCCCGCCCGGGGCTCAGCCTTGCCTTGCTCAGCTGTTCCTATTCGTCCCCAGGGTCCTCTTGTCTCCCTGGGTCTTGGATCTTACAGCTCTAACCTCACTCCCAGCTCCAGGTTTCCATTCCCTCTCCTGGGCATCACCACTGGGCACCCCTCCTCGAAGGCAAAACCACACTGATCAGCTGTCCTCCCAAGGCCACTCCCCTTCATGACGTTGCTGTGTGAGTGCACAGCATCATCCATGTCACACCCCCACTCCCACACTACCCAGGCCAATTTTCTGTCCTCATAATCCTCCAGCATCCAGTATTTCCTCCCCATCCCTGCTGCCGCCGCCCTAGTTCCAGAACGTGTCCCTGACTGCTCACAGGGGGTCAGTTGCCAGCCATGCACACTTTCCTACAGTCTCCTCGTTCTGTCGTGGGCAGAGCAGTCTTCCTGCCACAGCCTCTGTAGGGGAAAGACTAAATGTCTTAGCTGTCACTTTTAAGTCCTTTCTTAAGGATCCCAGTCAATGTGGCAGACTCATCTTGCACAGCTCCTTGCCCTCTGGGTTCCAGCCAAATTGGGCTACAAATCATGGCTGACATTCCCCAAGTACTAGCTCAGTGCCACTAACCACGTATTTATTCACTGAAATCCCACAATAACCCTATGAGGAAGGCGCTAATAACATAACCTCTGGTTTAGGCTGAATGCAGTAGCTCACACCTGTAATCCCAGCACTTTGTGAGGTTGAGGCAGACTGATCACTTGAGGTCAGGAGTTTGAGACCAGCTTGGCCAACATAGTGAAACCCCATCTCTACTAAAAATACAAAAATTAGCTGGGTGTGGCGGGCACCTGAGTTCCCAGCTACTTGGGAGGCTGAGGCAGGAGAATCGCTTGAACCCAGGAGGCGGAGGTTGCAGTGACCCGAGATTGCGCCATTGCACTCCAGCCTGGGTGGCAGTGAGACTCTGTCTCAAAAAAACAAACAAACAAAACAAAAAAACCCCCCTAGTTTATAGGTGGGGAAACTAAGGTTCAGAGAGGTTAGATAGCAGCTGGGGGAGGTGGACGGATGGGAGCTGACCCTGAGCAGTTTGCTTCAGAGCCCATTCTCTCAATCACAAGTTTCCTGTCCAGACGCAGGCAGGCCTCGGAGTTGCCATTTTCCTAGCCTTTGCTGTTGGCCACCACTGGAGCCTCCAAGTGACATGCTGTTACCCTGCCAGTTCTCCCCTCCCTTCAGGCCCATCTCAAGCACATCTTCTCCAACCCTCCAGCTAGAACTAGTCACTCCTCTGCCTCCAGCAATCTACTGAGACCTTTCTTATGTCATTCATCGTGCTTCAGGTCCTGCTACTGTAAGAGGAATCAATTTTTCCTCTCAGCTTTTGTTATCACCTGATCAAATGTCAATTATCTGGAAGAATATTGCTTTGTTCACTTCTGACTCCTCCCCACCCCACGCTGTGAGTGCCTGGCATTCACTTAGCATTTGCTGAATTACTGAATGAACTAGGAAATTTTGTACGTCCTGCATATGAGCCTCAGCCCCCTCCTAGGCTCTGAGTCCCTTGAGGACAGGGACCACGTCTTTACTTTAAAGGAGCCATGCTAATCTTCTCTGTATCATTCCAATTTTATTTTATTTTATTTTTGAGACGGAGTCTCACTGTGTCACCCAGGCTGGCTGGAGTGTGGTGGTGCGATCTCGGCTCACTGCAAGCTCTGCCTCCTGGGTTCACACCATTCTCCCACCTCAGCCTCCCAAGTAGCTGGGACTACAGGCGCCCACCACCACGCCTGGCTAATTGTATTTTTGTATTGTTAGTAGAGATGGGGTTTCACCATGTTAGCCAGGATGGTCTCGATCTCCTGACCACGTGATCTGCCTGCCTCAGCCTCCCAAAGTGCTGGGATTACAGGCATGAGCCACCGTGCCTGGCATTCCAGTTTTAGTATGCATGCTGCTGAAGTGAGCAAATTTTTGTAGTTTGTAAGTCATTTATAGATGAATTTCCCCTTGTTTAGACTCATGTACTCATATAAAATAGATCAAAATCATATAGAACAGTTTAAGAAATTTATACATGCCAGAGCAATCTACTACTGCAATGCTAGCCTGAGACGACTGCAAAAATCTCCTTCCAGTTCCAACTTACTGTTCGTGCCTCTAAAATCCACTGCCTAATGCAGCACCTAACACACAATACTTTTTCTCACTCAAGATACCCAGTGGTTTTGTTGGGGTGATCAGACCCAACACCAGGTCATGGGGGCGACAAAGTCTGGCGGAGTCAAAGGAATGAGAAAAAGATAGTTTGAGAGAGAAAGTGGGACCAGGGGGCCATCGCGAGTGTGGAGGCTATGAAGGCCCCGAGCGCCAGGAGCCCACGCTATTTACTGGTGCTCAAACAAGGAAACAAGTGGTGAGGATGTGGGGGTTGAAAGGAAACAGTGTATCAAGTGAATAAGAAACATATGGCTGCTTGAGAGAATGGGAGTGCTAGAAGCAAGGAGCCAGTAAGTCTGGCGGACATGCAAGCCCTGCCTGAGCTTCTCTCCCAACACTCAGCTTTTCTCCTAACATGCCCCCCTTCTCTTTTTTGTAAAACTGCCACAGCTATCATTGTTACTAGCATAAGGTGGCCTCTTTTTTAAATTAATTGAGCAAGGCAATTTCAGGCTGTGCAGCTCTTAATTGCTGGTTGGTGATCCAGCTTCATTTTTCTTAGGCCTTTTTCAAAATGGAATTGCTCTGGTTTGGATGCTTCCCACATATCTCCCCTTTCCCTTTTACGAGAGGACCGTTAATCCTAGGGGTTGCAGAAGGATGAAGGTCCGTTTTCTGTAACTTCTTCATGCTGAATGGGGTGATGATATTCCTGCCTCCCTATTAGGGTCTCTTCTATTCAGGGTAGAGAGGAGTTCAGTCAGAAAGCATTGGTCCGTTAAGCATCTATAGGTAAAATCCTGGTGTTCCAGCAGTTTCTCAGCATGGCTCGTACTGGGGGAACCCGGTCCATGATTGGGATCCATGGCTCCTTCCAGTCTCCTGTTCATGGTCATACACATTTTGAGGGCACCTACACGGTTTGCTCATCTCCTGCAAAAACACAAGCATACCCTCACCCCCATGTTAGTAAATCTACTGAAACAGAAGCAAAAACTTTTGTGGCTGCAGCTGGGAGGCAGGCCATTGCTGAAGCATTTGTAACTCAGCTTCTGCCTCTTTGGTTAATTACCACGGGGTAAAACTTACCTTGATAACGAGAAGCAGGCCCCTTCTAACAGAAGGCACAGAGAAAGCAAATTGAAGCTTAAAAGCAATCCATAGGCCGGGCGCAGTGGCTCATGCCTGTAATCCCAGCACTTTGGGAGGCTGAGGTGGGAGGATCACCTGAGGTTGGGAGTTCGAGACCAGCCTGACCAACATGGAGAAACCCCATCTCTACTAAAAATACACACACACACACAAATTAGCCAGGCATGGTGGCGCATGCCTGTAATTCCAGCTACTCGGGAGGCTGAGGCAGTAGAATCGCTTGAACCCGGGAGGCAGAGGTTGCAGTGAGCCAAGATCGTGCCATTGCACTCCAGCCTGGGCATCAAGAGTGAAACTCCGTCTCAAAATAAATAAATAAAAGCAATCCTTAAACCTTCAATTTGCACTGTACAGGTGGGTCCACTAGATGCTGTGGCTCATGATAGATCTTCAGATGTTTGGTGGGCACCCACACAGGCACCTGATTGTCACCTGGAGAGACACAAGCAAATCCTCTTCCCCATAAATTATCTTTCGTTTTTCCCAGCTCTTTGTATGTGCATCCCTCCACCATATATATTGTCCAGCCTTTTTATTTTCCTTTTGTCCTGCCAGGTGTTGTTCAGCTGCAGTCACGGGTTGATCTTTTTGTAAATTAAAAAAATTTAATGTTAATAAAGCTAAATGCAATTGCATATGTGGTGTCTTATATTCCTGGTCCCCTCCCTTTTGCTTTTATATTTGAGTTTCTAAAGTATGGTTAGCTCTTTCCAGTAATGCTTGTCCTTCTGAGTTATATGTAATACCTGTAGTATGGGTAATATTCCATTGTTGAAAAAATGTAGCCATGGCTTTACTACAGTATCCTGGGCCGTTACCAGTTTTGATTTTTTTCTGGGATTCCCATAACTGAAAAGGAAGATAAAAGATGTCTTTTAACATGAGCTGTAGCTTCCCCTGTTTGACATGTGGCCCAAGTAAAATGTGAATAGGTATCTACTGAAACATGAACAAAGGAGAATTTTCTTTTCTTTTCTTTTTTTTTTTTTGAGACAGTCTCGCTCTGTTGCCCAGGCTGGAGTGCAGTGGCACGATCTCTGCTCACTGCAAGCTCCGCCTCCTGGGTTCATGCCATTCTCCTGCCTCAGCCTCCCAAGTAGCTGGGACTACAGGCGCCTGCCACCACGCCCAGCTAATTTTTTGTATTTTTAGTAGAGATGGGGTTTCACCATGTTAGCCAGGATGGTCTCGATCTCCTGACCTTGTGATCCGCCTGCCTCGGCCTCCCAAAGTGCTGGGATTACAGGCGTGAGCCACCGTGCCTGGCCCCGAAAGTACAGTTTTCTAAAAGCAGGAATACGTGTTACATCCATCTGCCAGATGGAATTTGGAGATAAACCTCTAGGGTTAACTCCTGTTCTTTTATGTGGCAGATGCAGGACTTGGCAGGCAGAACAGTGTTGCACAATTTCTTTAGCTTATTTCCATGATAGACCATATCTTCTTCTAAGGCCTGAGGCATTAAGATGGGTTGAAGAATGAAATGTTTGTGCATCAGCAAAGGCTGCAGACACCAATGCATCCGCCCTTTTATTAAGTTTAGTTAAAGGACCAGGGAGGTTAGTACGTGCTCTCATATGAGTGGTATAGAAAGGGGAATGCCTTTATTGCACTGCTTTCTGTAAAGAATGAAATAAAAGATTAAGTTGTTCCATCAGTCACATTTCGAATTAAGGCACATTCAATATTTTGCATGGCTTGCACTACATAGGCTGAATCAGAAACAATGTTTACTGGCTGTTTAAAAGTTTTTAACACTATTATCACAGCCATAAGTTCAGTCCTTTGAGCAGAAAGAAGCAGTCTGTTTGAAAAACTTGCTGTTGAGGTCTTGCAAATGAGGCTTTTCCATTATTAGATCCATCAATAAAAACAGTAATGGCTCCTTCAATAGGGGCTTTTTGAGTAATAGAAGGCAATATCCAGGATGTTAATTTCAGAAACTGGAAGATTTTAGACTTAGGATAATGATTATCAAGAATGCCAACAAAACTGGCCAAATTAACCTGCCATTCTTGGGAATTAATATAGGCTTGTTGAATTTGTTGTTTAGTTAATGGAACTATAATCTGATTTGGATCATATCCCATTAGATTTGTTGTGCGCAGCCTCGCTTGCCCTACTAGCACAGCAATTTGATCTAAGTACAGAGTGAGTGTTTTGGTTGTATTGTGAGGTAGAAAAAGCCATTCAACCAGATCATCTGCTGGTTTTTTTATTATTTATGGCAGGAACAGTAAAAGCAAATTTTTCATAATCTTGGGCAGCTAAAGGAATGGTAAAAAAGCAATCCTTTAGATCTATCACTATGAGAGGCCAGTATTTTGGGATCATTGTTGGGGAGGTCAGCCATGGTTGTAGCGCACCCATGGCTTGAATCACAGCATTAACAGCTTTTAAATCTGTTAACATTCTCCATTTCCCTGATTTTTTCTTAATGACAAATACAGGATAATTCTAAGGGGAGAAAGTAGGCTCTATATGTCCCTTTTGCAATTGTTCCTGCACCAGTTCTTTTAAAGCCTCCAGTTTTTCCTGTTTCAGCAGCCATTGCTCCACCCAAACTGGTTTGGCAGTTAGCCACACAAGAATGGGAACTGGAGGCTCAACAATGGCTGCTCCTAAAAATGACACCCCAATCCGGTCCGATCTGTTTGTCCTTCTAAAGGTTCTGATTGGCCATTTTTATTTTTTCCTAGTTCTTTTCCTGGGTGATATCCCACATTTTTCATTATTTGTCTACTATTATTACTATATTGATCCACAGGAATAGATATTTCAGCATCCCATTATTGCAATAAGTCTCTACCCCATAAATTGACAGGAATAGGTATAATGATAGGCTGAATTGTCCCTTCCTGACCATCAGGCCCTTGAGATGGTAAAATCAAAGAACTCTGAAAAACTTCTGAGGCAGCTCCTACTCCAGCAATACCAATGGATGCCTTTTGTTTAGGCCAGTGCAGGGGCCATTGCTTTATAGCAATAATAGAGACATCAGCTCCAGTATCTGCTAGTCCTTCAAAATCTTTTCCCTGAATGGTTACTGTGCAAACAGGTCTTTCGTCAGACACTTGATTAACCCAATATACAGCCTTTCCTGCTGGATTACTATTACCAAAGCCTCCTGTTCTTTTCACTGTGCTGCTGCCTAGTTTTATGTAAGGTAACAGCAACAAATCAGCAATTCTTTCTCCTGGGGAGGCAGACCACAGAGTCAAGGAACTAATAACAAATTGAATTTCTCCAGTATAATCAGAGTCAATTATTCCTGTATGTATAGTAACACCTTTTAATTTTTTTTGTTGAGATGGAGTCTCACTCTGTCACTCAGGCTGGAGTGCAGTGGCACGATCTTGGCTCACTGCAAGCTCCGCCTCCCGGGTTCATGCCATTCTCTTGTCTCAACCTCCCAAGTAGCTGGGATTATAGGCGCCCACCACAACACCTGGCTATTAGTTTTTGTATTTTTTAGTAGAGACGAGGTTTCACCATATTAGCCAGGATGGTCTCAATCTCCTGACCTCATGATCTGCCTGCCTTGGCCTCCCAGAGTGCTGGGATTACAGTCGTGAGCTACCACACCTGGCACACCTTTTAAATTTAGACTAGACCTTCCAAGTAATAGACCGACTGTTCCTGAGGATAAGGGTCTCCTAACTCCCATGGGGACCTTCTTTGGTGGCTCCCCAGGAAGTGTGTCCGGAATTGGTTCCTTCTGGTGGGTTCTTGGTCTTGCTGACTTCAAGAATGAAGCCGCGGACCCTCATGGTAAGTGTTATAGCTCTTAAAGATGGTGTGTCCGGAGTTTGTTCCTTCAGATGTTCAGATGTGTCTGGAGTTTCTTCCTTCCGGTGGGTTTGTGGTCTCGCTTGACTTCAGGAGTGAAGCCACAGAACTTTGCAGTGTTACAGCTCTTAAAGGGGCACGTCTGGAGTTGTTGGTTCCTCCTGATGGGTTCGTGGCCTTGCTGACTTCAGGAATGAAGCCACAGACCCTCACGGTGAGTGTTACAGCTCATAAAGGTAGTGCAGACCCAGAGGAAGCAGCAGCAAAATTTATTGTGAAGAGCAAAAGAACAAAGCTTCCACAGCATGAAACAGCACCCCAGCGGATTGCCACTGCGGCTTGGGTGGCCAGCTTTTATTCCCTTACTTGGCCCCACCCACATCCTGCTGATTGGTCCATTTTACAGAGAGGTGATTGGTCCGTTTTTACACAGTGCTGATTGGTGCGTTTACAAACCTTTAGCTAGACAGAGTGCTGATTGATGTGTTTACAATCCTTAGGTAGACAGAAAAGTTACCCAAGTCCCCACCCGACCCAGAAGCCCAGTCGGCTTCACCTCTCCTAAGGAGATGGTAATTGTGCTGTAGAGGTCTATGGCAGCACTGCCTGCTGAAGTGGGGGACAATTGTTGCACGTTTGTAAGGGCATGGCTGTGCCTTGGTTTGTTGAGGGGCTCGAGGCAGGCCTCTCTTCCCGTTTCCTGAAAGAGGTTGTCCATCCTTGTTAAATTTAGAATGACACTGACTTGCCCAGTGTTTGCTTTTCTTACACTGGAGACATATACCGGGACTTTTCTGTTGACTGATGGTAGTAATGTTTGCCTTTTGATTTCCTTTTCTACATTCCTTTCTTGGGTGTCCAAATTGACCACAATTAAAGCAAGGGCCTGAGAAATGGGGTATATTCTTTCCTACTCTTAATCCAGCCATAGCCTGAGCTAAAAGAGTTGCCTTATGTAAGTTACCTCCAATGCCATCGCAATCCTTAATATATTTAGCTAAATGAGCCGTCCCTCTCAGGGGTCTAATAGCAGTTTGACACTGCACTAGCATTTTCGTATGCAGGAAGCTGTATTACAACATCCTGAGCCGTTTTATTAGTAATGGCTTTATACACAGCCTCTTGGAGCTGAGCAATAAAATCAATATATGGTTCTTTAGGTCCTTGACGGATAGAACTGACAGAAGGATGTTTTTCGCCTGTAACATTTATCCTTTCCCATGCCCATAAGCACACAAAGCGCAGCTGAACAATGGCAGCATCCTCCATTACTGCTTGATTTCTCTAATCAACCCCAGTTAGGGCCAACTCCCATTAACTGTTCAAAGGAAACAGGCACAGGTGGCTGTGCTTGTATGTTTTCCCCTGCCTGAGTTTGAGCTTCATCAGCCCACCAGGTTTTAAACTGCAAATACTGAGATAGGGTGAGAACAGATTTTGTCAAAGTATCCCAGCCACATGGTATTAATCTATTATCAAGAGCCATATTTTTTAATAGAGTTTGCACAAAAGGAGAGTTCGGTCCGTATTGACTAATGGCTTGCTTAAATTCCTTTAGTAACTTAAAAGGAAAAGTGGCCAATTAGCTGTATTCTGTCTTCTCTGCTGGATGATAGTAACAGGAAATTGCCATGCTTCAAGGTCTCCCTCGGCTCTAGCTTTATGAATAGAATTTTCTATAGCATCACCAATTGCTCCAGGTTTTAATATTGCAACTATAGGAGTAGTAAGTTTTTCAGCTAATTCATCTTCTCACCCATTAAGAGGAGAGAGAGGAGGTGGCCATTCACTTAATTTAGCAGGGGGCGCCGACGGGCTAGTAAAACATACTTTTTTTAGTTTTCCTTTCTTTAATCTCCTCCGGTAGCTGTTCCTCACACTCAGAATCTGAAGTTAGTTTTTTACACTCATCCTCCTCTTCCTCATCTCAATCTGCCTCATCATCTGTTTGAAATGGCTCAAGAGCTGCCTTTATTAGCGCCCACATGACCAAATAGAAACTGGAATATCTGCTCCCTCTTTATACGCCTTTTAAAAATCTCTGCCGATTCTCTCCCATTCATCCAACTCCATAGTCGCTTGTTCCGGAAGCCATGGGCAAAACTGCTTTACTGTACTAAAGAGTGATAACAAATTCTGAGTACTAACTTTCACTCCCCCTCTTCATAATAAATGCCAACAAATTCTGAGTACTTTCACTCCCCCTCTTCGTAATAAATGCCTTAAGAAATTTAAATAAGGCCGGGCGCGGTGGCTCACACCTGTAATCCCAGCACTTTGGGAGGCCGAGGCGGGCGGATCACGAGGTCAGGAGATCGAGACCGTCCTGGCTAACACGGTGAAACCTCGTCTCTACTAAAAAAAAAAAATACAAAAAATTAGCCGGGCGCGGTGGCGGGTGCCTGTAGTCCCAGCTACTCGGGAGGCTGAGGCAGGAGAATGGCCTGAACCCAGGAGGCAGAGCTTGCAGTGAGCCGAGATCGCGCCGCTGCACTCCAGCCTGGGCGACAGAGCAAGACTCCTCTCAAAAAAAAAAAAATAATAAAATAAATTTAAATAAGCAAAATGTCTTTCACTTTATCCCATTGTTACCCTGGTTCTTCCGAGCGCTCAGCTTTCCTGCCGAGCTTCTTTTAGACGCCTTTGGGTGTCCTTTGACGATGTGTTCTCCGCTTTCACACGCTCTAGCGTTCCTTCACCAGGGTCTTTGTCACCCCACGTTGGGCAGCCAGGAATGTTGAGGTGATCAGACCCAACACCAGGTCATGGGGGCAACAAAGTCCGGCGGAGTCAAAGGAATTAGAAAAAGACAGTTTGAGAGAGAAAGTAGCACCAGGAAGCCATCGCCAGTGTTGAGGCTGTGAAGACCCCCAGCTCTGGGAGCCCACGGTATTTATTGGTGCTCAAAGAAACAGGTGGTGAGGATGTGGGGGTTGAAAAGAAAGTGTATCAAGTGAAGGAGAAACATACGGCTGCTTGAGAGAATGGGAGTGCTAGAAGCAAGGAGCCAGCAAGTCTAGCAGACATGCAAGCCCTGCCTCAGCTTCTCTCCCAACACTCAGCTTTTCTCCCAACGCTCAGCTTTTCTCCCAACAGCTTTCTGTTACCCACATCTCTTAAAACCTTTGCCGGGTGCAGTGGCTCACGCCTGTGATACCAGCACTTTGGGAGGCCGAAGTGGGCGGATCACCTGAGGTCAGGAGTTCAAGAGCAGCCCAGCCAACATGGTGAAACCCCATCTCTACAAAAATACAAAAATTAGCTGTGCATGGTGGCATGCACCTGTAACCCCAGCTACTGGGGAAGCTGAGGCAGGAGAATCGCTTTAACCTGGGCGAAGGAGGTTGCAGTGAGCCAAGATCACGCTATTGCACTCCAGCCTGGATGGCAGAGTGAGACTCCATCTCAAAAATAAAAGAACCTAAACTCCTTAACTTGAATTCAAGGCTCTCCACATCAAGCCGGTCTCTCTCTGGGTTCACCTCCCGCTGCAATGGTGGATCACCCTGCACGAATCCACCATTCAGTGCCTTTGCCTTCTTTGTCACCCCCTCCACCTCAGCCTCTTTTGTCTCTTGTGTTCATTGTTCCCTTCAAATGGCATGTCCGCCTCCCGTCTACTGATGAAAGTCCCATGCCTTTTCCATAGCCCGGCTCAAATGCCCACTTACCTGTCTCAGCCCTCCTACCTGGTTGTGTGTGTAGTTTCTTTTTGTTTTGTTTTTGAGACGGAGTCTGGCTCTGTTGCCCAGGCTGGAGTGCAGTGGTGTGATTTTGGCTTACTGCAACGTCACCCTCCTGGGTTCAAGCAATTCTCCTGCCTCGGCCCGAGTAGCTGGGATTACAGGTGCCCACCACCTATTTTAGTAGAGATAGGGTTTCACCACGTTGGCCAGGCTGGTCACCTCAGCCTCCCAAAGTGCTGGGATTACAGGTGTGAGCCACCACGCCCGGTGGTTTTTTTTTTTTTTTGAGACACGGTCTTGCTCTGTCACTCAGGCTGCAGTGGTGCAATTATGGTTCACTGCAACCTTGAACTCCTGGGGGGCTCAAGTGATCCTCCTGCCTCAGCCTCCCAAGTTGCTGGGACTATGGACATGTATCACCACACCTGGCTAATTTTTGTAGTTCTTGTAGAGATGAGATCTTGCTATGTTGCTCAGGCTGGTTTTGACCTCCTGACCTCGTGTGATCCTCCTGCCTTGGCTTCCAAAGTGTTTGGATTACAGGCGTGAGCCACCACGCCTGGCCTGTGTGTTCTTTCACAGCAGACACCAGAACCCTTTCCTGTTCCCCAGTGCTGTGTCGATAACTGTGCGGCTGATTTAACTGAGAGAAAAGGTAGGAATTGTTTTCTGAAGCATTCTGAATGAGAAGGGAAGCCTAATGAGTTCTGATTTTTATTGTGACTAATACATGAGGTGCATTATTAAGGTTTGACAACATGGTGACTGCCTATAAAGACGTCTGCAACCAGTGCCTGCAGCCTTCATTCCAAATGAACATTCTTGTGATGGCTCCAATGTTATAGACAAGCATTAACAGCCAAAAAGAAAAACAGAAATCTCCTTATGGTGTGAAAGTCCTCTCAGCTGCAGCTGCCCGGACGCCCAGAAGAGCCCTCCCAGCTGCAGAGGGTGATTTCAGTCCATGTCGACCCTCCTGCTTGTCTTTACAGCAGAATGAATTCTCTTTTGTCTCAGCCTTTCCCGATTCATGTTTTCTATCCTGAAAACAAAAAGACTGCAATTAGCCCCAGATGCCCAATCAGTGCTTTTCAAAGTGGTGAGAGGAGTTGGGAGCTCAACGGGAAGCCGAGCAGTTACACCAGCAGGCACTAGCCCGCAGGCCTCGGTCCCAGGTCAGCATCCTCTCCTCTTCCTAGAGTTTCTCCCAAGGCCGGCCTTGGACTCTCCCCTGCCCCTTCCTTACCTGTGTAGACTCTTGTCCACACAAATCAGTTTATAGCATCTTAGGGCATTTCCTGGTACCTGATTCTATGAAGTTTAACATCTTCTTTTGTTGGCTCCTTCGGTGTCTGGCTGGCCTCAGTGATCATGTCTCGAATTTTCTGCAGGCAATCTGCCAGATTCCGGAACTGATAGCGGCTGCTCTCAGAGGTGAGGATCAACTCTCCTAACCTGTTGATCTTGTTTTTATGCTGCAGAGAACAAATGAAAAACTGGAGTCCTACAGAGTAAAGGTTTAAAAGCCACTGAGGGATTTCTAGGGAAAGAAAGGGATGGTGGTTACCGTGATGGCTATCTTCTGCCGCACGGGCTCCGCGATCCACTCGGCAGTTGCCAAATGGAACCTGACTTCTGCCTTGGAATTCACTGTGGAGGAAAGGGAGAAGGGAGCATGGGTGCCTGAGACTTCCAGGAAGGATCAACCCCTGGGTGACCAGTGACCATTCTGAAATAAAGGGAGGCCAGACACCTAACCATGTACATTGTAGCCTATGTCCAAGTTGGCTATGAACAAGCCCGCAAAGACAGTGAGGCACTTTTGGGCAAAAATAGACTTCCAGTAACTAAGCACCCAGTCCTTCTCTTACAGTTTTACTGGGTTCAAAAAAAAAAAAAAAAAAAATGGAGGGAATGGGTTGCACCAGAATGAAAGAAACCTGTTCTTGGAGCTGGCTGCCACCTCACAACTGTGATTTCTCTTTGTTTAGACTCACAAGCCGATCCTAGTCCTAGCAACCCACAGCTGAATGTCTGAGAATCAGACCACATTCAAAAGAATAAAGAGGATTATTATAAGCTGGCAGTATTAAAGCTTCTGCTGAAAAATCCCTTTATTCCATATGAACACAAACACAGAGCTCCTCAAGCCCATCTCCCAGCTACATTTTAAAGCAAAAGAAAGCAACAAGGCACCCCGTACCTTTGTTCACATTCTGCCCCCCAGGACCACTACTCCGACAATAAGATATTGTCAAGCGATCTGTAAAACAGAAGAAAGTACACACACAAAACTGATTACCTCATGGCATGAAAAGCAGTCTTGTTGTGTCTGAGGAATGTAGGGAAGGTATTATATTGGGAAAATTTCAAAAACTGCAAGAAGTTTGGGTGGCAAGGAACTGTGGCACCACGGTGGCAGAGAGCTGGTCCCAGTGAGCAGTAGTGACTCATCTTGGGACTGCTTTTAAGAGGATTTCCTCCTTTGGAAAAATCAAATTAAATCCACTTTCTGACTAGGTAACAAGTACACGTGCCACTGCAGGGGAACAGTTCTGCCATGGTGATTGCTGGCAACCTTGCACATGGCCAAAGCTTGAGCTGCAGCTGACCAAAGTCTTCATAGGAATGGAACGCTTCGGGATCCATGAGAGTGTGGGAGGCTGGTGAGGAGCTACTACCGAGCTACTGCCCACTTGCCTGCCTGTCTCCCCCTAGGAGGCTGTCACAAGACACTTCTCTTCGCCTCCAGTTCTGATGAGATAGGAGGCTTTCTGCCTCCTCCCCTACACACATGCACCCCTTAGGGCACAGCTTCATTTTTTTTTTTTTTGAGACAGGGTCTCACTCTGGCACCCAGGCTGGAGTCCAGTGGCACAATGACGGCTCACTGCAGCCTCAACATCCCAGGCTGAAGCGAACATCCCGGGCTCAAGGGATCCTTCCACCTCAGCCTCTCAAGTAGCTGAGACTACAGGCGGGCACAGCTTCAAGCTACAAAACTGCTTCACTGCAGCATGGTATTCGCTCCTCAGCCACAGGGTGTCCTGTCCCTTGGGTTGTGGTCATCTGGCCTCTGTTTGAGTCATCTTGAGCAAGGGCCACAGGGAGCCAGCATCTTTGGCTGCTCTTCCTCGCACTGTCTATGGAAGTCATACACTCTCCGAATCTAAAAAAGGCTCATTGTTTCTTTACAGGCTGTAACTGTTAGGCCTTGCTTATGCTTGACAGGTAAAAAATTTTACAGTTATGTAAATGGTTTATTTACATGGAAATGTCTTTCACTCTTGTCTCTCAGCCACCAAGTTTGTCTTATCTCTCTATTCCTCCAGGCAGTCACTGTATCCAGGGTGTTCCTTTCAGATATAGATATCTCTCTACACAGATAGGGATATAAATATAGATACAGATATTCAGAAATAGATATTTCAGGCTGGGCACGGTGGCTCACACCTGTAATCCCAGCACTTTGGGAGGCTGAGGTGTGCAGATCATGAGGTCAGGAGATCGAGACCATCCTGGCTAACATGGTGAAACCCCGTCTCTACTAAAAAATACAAAAAATTAGCCGGGCGTGGTGGTGGGAACCTGTAGTCCCAGCTACTCGGGAGGCTGAGGCAGGAGAATGGTGTGAACCTGGGAGGCGGAACTTGCAGTGAGCCGAGATCGGGCCACTGCACTCCAGCCTGGGTGACAGAGCGAGACTCCATCTCAAAGAAAAAAAAAAAAGATATTTCAGAGATATAGATATGTAAAAAACAAATGGTAGCTTATAAACTCTCCTGTGTCTTCCTCTTTCAATTCATCTATTGTAAAGAGTGCTCCACGTCATGAGAATGTCAAGAGCTCTACACTCACGTGGCACACGGCACAGTACGATGCGACTGGCCACACCATCATTTATTTGCTATTCTAAATAATGCTGCAAAGATTCTACTTCTGCACACCCGAGATAGTCTCTTTACTTTAATTGGGCTGGAGAGATCTGGAAGGAATGTGTGAAGGATTAGAGAAATGACTGATTTTTTTTTTTTCGTCTGAGACAGAGTCTCGCTGTGTCGCCCAGGCTGGAGTGCAGTGGTGCGATCTCAACTCACCACAACCTCTGCTTCCCAGGCTCAAGTGATTCTTGTGCCTCAGCCTTCCGAGTAGCTGGGATCACAGGCGCCCACCACCACACCCGGCTAATTTTTGTATTTTTATTTATTTATTTTTGAGACAGAGTCTTACTCTGTTGCCCAGGCTGGAGTGCAATGGCAGGATCTCAGCTCACTGCAACCTCTGCCTTCCGGGTTCAAGCAATTCTTCTGCCTCAGCCTCCCAAGTAGCTGGGATTACAGGCCCTCGCCACCACACCCGGCTAATTTTGTATTTTTAGTAGAGATGGGGCTTTGCCATGTTGGCCAGGCTAGTCTTGAACTCCTGACCTCGGATGATCCAGCTGCCTTGGCCTCCCAAAATGTTGGAATTATAGGCGTGAGCCACTGCGCCTGGCCTAATTTTTGTATTTTTAGTAGAGATGGGGTTTCACCATGTTGGCCATGCTGGTCTCAAACTCCTGGCCTCAAGTGATCTACCCACCTTGGCCTCCCATATTGTTGGGATTACAGGTATGAGACACCATGCCCGGCCAACAGGCATGATTTTTTTTTTTTAATTTTTAATTTTTTCCAGATAGAGTTTTGCTCTCGTTGCCCAGGCTGGAGTGCAATGGCACAAACTCGGCCCACTGCAACCTCCACCTCCTGGGTTCAAGCGATTCTCCTGCCTCAGCCTCCCAAGTAACTGGGATTACAGGCACATGCCACCACGCAGCCAACTGATTTTTAAGAAAACAAAATTACTTACCTAGAGGGATGTCACTGTCGGCTTGCTTTGCACCATTCTGTAATGTAATGTACACAGTGTCAAATAAATATTACCTGCTGGGTGACTCCTAACTGGTTCAAGGCAACAAAGAAATGATGTAAAGCCACAACACAAACATTGTACATTAGTATTTTCAGGTCCCCTGCAAAATGATATCACGATGACAGAAAAAGCATCCTCAGACTCCAGAGGTACCACCTCAGAAACACTCCTCTACGAAAATGGATCTGATGTCTCCAGCCTTCCCTGCCCTAGCCTTAGCTAGTGTCAGGCACCATCAGAGGCCTGGCTCCAGCGGGAGGGGGAGCCACAGTGCACATGCATCAGGGAACCTCCAAAAGCAACACCCTCTGTCAACCTGGAGCAACAAGCCTGGTGGGCCACCCTGTTCTTTCCGGGGCCACAGGAGACTCCCACACAAGGCAGTCCACCTTGGACAGTGACTATAATTGCACCCTGAGGGTTTCTGTCAAACTAACTACTCACTCCAGGACTTCTCACCTCCATGTCTCTCTCTCTCTTGCTGTTCCTCAAGCAGCAACGCCCTTCAGCCTTAAATCTTTGTATCCACAAGGCCCAGTGCAAACGCCACCCACTCCGAGGCTTTTCTGGCCCTCCAGGCTCAAAGCATCAGTATCCTCAGGTGCACTCCCGACTGCCTTCATTTCTTTTTTTTTTGAGATGGAGTCTCGCTCTGTAGCCCAGGCTGGAGTACAATAGTGCGATCTCAGCTCACTGCAACCTCCGCCTCTTGGGTTCAAGTGATTCTCCTGCCTCAGCCTCCTGAGTAGCTGGGATTACAGGCGCATGCCACCATGCCTAGCTATTGTTGTTTTTTTTTTTTGTATTTTTAGTAGAGATGGGGTTTCACCATGTTGGCCAGACTGGTTTCGAGCTCCTGACCTCAAGAGAGCTGCCCGCCTTGGCCTCCCAAAGTGCTAAGATTACAGGCGTGAGCCACCACGCCCAGCCTGTCTTCATTTCTTTTATCTTAGAATTATTTGGGAGTTGGCCGGGTGCAGTGGCTCACGCCGTAATCCCAGCACTTTGGGAGGCCGAGACGGGTGGATCACTTCAAGTCAGGAGTTGGAGACCAGCCTGGACAACATGGTGAAACCTCCCCTCTACTAAAAATACAAAATTAGCTAGGCATGGTGGCACACACCTGTAATCCTAGCTACTGGGGGAGGCTGAGGCAGGATTGCTTGAACCCAGGAGATGGAGGTTGCAGTGAGCTGAGATCAGGACACTGCACTCCTGCCTGGGACACTGCACTCCAGCCTGGGTGACAGCTAACGAGACTTTGTCTCAGAAAAAAAGAAAAAAGAAAAAGAAAAAGAATTATTTGGGGATGAAACCCTTATCCTACTCCACCTGTCTGCAGCACTGAAGATCATGGGCCACACCCTCCTTCCTGAAGCATGTTCCTTCTGTTCCTTCTGAAATTTTCCTCTTACCTTCCTAGGACTCTTTCTCACTCTCCTTTGCTAGCTCTTAGCAACTTTTAAACACTGACATGCCCTTGAAATACTTCTCTCTCTCTCCTCTTTCTTTCTCTAGAATACTTCATCTATGCTGATGAAAATAGCCAGTTTTTCGTTTTTGTTTTGAGATGGAGTCTTAAGGTTGTCGCCCAGGTTGGAGTGCAGTGGTGCAATCTCGGCTCACTGCAACCTCTGCCTCCTGGGTTCAAGCGATTCTCCTGCCTCAGCCTCCTGAGTAGCTGGGACTACAGGCGTGTGCCACCACGCCCGACTAATTTTTGTATTTTTAGTAGAGACGGGGTTTTGCCATGTTGGCCAGGCTGGTCTCGAACTCCTGACCTCAAGTGATCTACCCTTGGCCTCTCAAAGTGCTGGGATTATAGGCATGAGCCACTGCGCCTGGCCAGAAAATAGCCTGTTTTTGACACCCAACTTTCTGGCTCAAACTCAAACCTTTCTTCTCAACTCCACACCCATATACCCAACTGCTACTCAACGTCTCTTCTCAGATGTCTAATGGACCCAAACCTTAAGCCGCCTCAGAGGACTTCCCTTACTAATAATCTGAGGTAGCCTCAGCACTTTGTTGCAGCACCCTGGCCTATTCATTACACTACTTCTCACTACCTGATATTTTCCCTATTTGTTTACTGTCTGCTCCTTCCATTAGAATTAAGCTCCATGAAGGAGAGAGATCCTGTATTTTGTTTATCATGGCTGTATATGCTAGACTCAAGTAGTAGTAGACACAGTAGATATACAATAAACATTTTATTGAATGAATGAACAAATGAATGCTATTGCCACTCTCTCATCTCAGTTAATAGCAACTCAATCCTTTCACTGCTCAAGGCCCCAGACTTGGCTGGGCATGGTGGCTCACGCCTGTAATCCCAGCACTTTGGGAGGCTGAGGCGAGCAGATCATTTGAGGTCAGGAGTTTGAGACTAGCCTGGCCAACATGGTGAAAACCCTGTCTCTACTAAAAATGCAAAAATATGAGTCGGGCATGGTGGTGCATGCCTGTAATCCCAGCTACTCGGGAGGCTGAGGCACAAGAATCACTTGAACCCAGGAGGCGGAGGTTGCAGTGGGCTGAGATCACGCCACTGCACTCCAGCCTGGATGACAGAGTAAGACCCTGTCTCAAAAAAAAAAAAAAAAAAAAGCCTGGCGCGGTGGCTCACGCCCGTGATCAAGACCAACCTGGCTAATACGGTGAAACCCCCTCTCTACTAAAAAAAAAAAAAAAAAAAATTAGCCGGTTGTAGTGGTGGGCGCCTGTAGTCCCAGCTACTCAGGAGACTGAGGCAGGAGAATGGCGTGAACCCGGGAGGCGGAGCTTGCAGTGAACAGAGATTGCATCACTGCACTCCAGCCTGGGCGACAGAGTGAGACTCCGTCTCAAAAAAAAAAAAAAAAAAAAAAAAGGCCCCAGACTTCAATTCCTCTTTTATTCTCACTTCTCACATCCAATCAATTAGCAAATCTTGCAGGCTTTCTTTCCAAAATACGTCTAGGATCTGACCAATTCTCATGACTCCTACTGCTTCCACCCTGCTTATCATCTCTTGCCCTACATTGCAATCTCCTTACTTGTCTCCCTGATCTTGGCATCCTCTATCTGTTCTCTGTAAGGCTCTCTGAGTGATCCTTGTAAAACTAAGATAATTCCATTCTGCTTCAAGCTCTCCAATAGGTCTCCCTTGCGTTCAGAGGAAAGGCTGGAGGCCATTAAGTCCTAGTAACAGGCCTTTCCCCAGCCATCCCTCTCTTTGGCTTTGTCTCCTGACCCCTGCTGAGCCACACCTGGGGATTGCTACTGCCTTCAGGTTATTGCACTTTCTCTTCCCTCTGCCTAGGATGCTCATCCGCCCCCTATTCTCATGACTTGCTGTCTGGCTTCTTCCAGGTCGTTATTCAAATGCCACCTCATTGACAGCGTTCCTAGACAATCCTACTTAAAATTGCAACCCTACTTCCTACCTCTGGCACTACTTCTTCCTTCTTGGCTTTATTTTCTGCAAAGTACTACCTCACACATTCTATATTAGTCATTTACTTACTGCTTGTCTCCCTCCACTAGAACATAAGCTCCACAAGCTTTAGAATTTCAATTTTGTTTGCTACTCCATCCCCTAGCCTAGCACAGCTTTTGTTGAGTGAGTGAGTGAATTAATGAACAAATGAATGGATATTCTTTTCCAGTCCTGTAAGTGGAAGCTCAATGGGTTTGGGTGGGTCTTATCTCTCTTGCTCCGGGGCTTGATTCAATGCCTGCACACAGCTGGCTAAATAAATGCATCCTGAAGGAACGACAGAGAAGCTGTTTTATTCGCGCGTCCTGGGGTTACTAGAGACAATGGACACTGTAACGTCCCAAAGGGTAGCAAACAACTTGGCAGCCTCTTGCCTTTATTGTCCGCCTTGGAGGGCCAGAATGCCCGTATTTCCCCTTGGGACTGGAATTTGGTCTTGAGGGCCAAGGACACGAACGTAGAAAAGCTGGCAGCCTTGAAAGAAGCATACCCAGCCGGCCTTCCGGGCTCCTGCACATCTCGCGCTACAGCGAGCACCCCACTCCCGGCCAGGTTAGCGCAGACAGCCAGCCCCCTCCCGCGGCGACCATCACGTAGCCCCCCGACGTAGCTCCACATCCGGCCAATGGGCCTGGGGTTCCTAACGTCACCCAGCAGCCTGACAAAACGCCCCTTCCGTCCAGTCCTTCCCGGCTCACCGGGACCCTCCAGGCGGTGTCCGAGCCCTGAGATTCGGGGTAGAGCTTGTCCAGGCTGTAGATGCTCTTGAACTCAGTGCCGTCTTTCTGCTTGTGCAGCGCCCGGCGTGGGCACCGTGCGGGCGGTGGGAGCAGCCAGACTCCGGCTCGGCTCAGGCCCCAGCGCAGGCACCTGGTGGCCGCCATGCTCAGGTCTTGCGACTGCTTCCGGCGGGCGCTTCCTCCCCGCGGTCCGCAAACTCGAGCCGCCCTCGAGCTTTGGTTCCGCGCAGTTTCTAGGTCCCGCCGAGGGGAGGCGGCAAACTGGGGTCCCGCCGATGCTTTCTGGCCGGCCGCCTCCGGGAGGCCTGGTTGGCTGGGGAAGACGGTGGCCAGAGAGCGAGCTGCTACCGGAAGAGTGCCCCGATCTTGTGGCCCCCAGAAACACCACTTCTCTCCTTTCAGAGTCCGTGCCCTCCGCCTGGACCGCCCACTGCCCAATTCAAACAGCAGCGAGGCCTGCCCGGCCAGCCTGGGGCATCTCCCGCCCCGCGCTTCCCAGCCCCTTTACTCTGCTCTAATTTATCTTTTTTCTCTTCCTTTACAAAAATCACTCAGTCCTAATTGTCTAATTGCTGTCTCCTAGCCGGAATGTGAGCTCCAGGAGGGCACCGGCTCACTGGTATATCCCCAGCACCCAGAACATGGCACATCGTGGGCACCCCATGAGTACTGATAAAATGAATTCTGTAGGAATGTACTTTTGAAAGTTGGGTTCTGGTAGAGCTGAGTTTTAGGAACGCCAGGCTCTTTTTACAAGGCAGCCTATGAGCAAATTCCCCGCTGAGCACGTGTGTGTACTGGCTTATACCCAGCAGCTCTGCAGGACAAATACCAGATGGGAGGAGAAGGCAGGCCACCGAAAGAAATGTTTGCAAAACCTGGAACATCGTCCCCCGCCCTTCAGCTTTATGGAGCAAGATGATGCTTTCTTCCAGCCAGGAGAGAGGGGGTCCCTCGGGAGGTAGGGAGAGAATTCAGAGAACTGCCAGCTAACTAGAACCCTTTCATAGCGCTGGTAAGGGATGAACTACAGACAAGTTCCAATTCTGAAAAAGGTTCACAGTAGAGCAAGCAGTGTTTGAAAACAGCTAAACCTTAGTTAAGTTACTGTGTTGAGAGGCTATGTGGTAAATGGAAACAAAGCTAAATAAATGTTCATAATTATTAGTAATGCTAGCGATTGTTTCTTAATGAAGAGTTCTATTTTTAGGAACAAGCATAATTATCTAGAAAAATGTGCCCCCGGGGATGCTGGCTGATTGAAACAGGAGATTGTCATCACACCAAGCTTTTACCATCTCCGCATTATGGCTACAGCAAATCTTTAAGAAGGAATAAACCACTTTCTAAGCACTGGCTTTATAAGCTCAGACTAGAAAGGGGTGACAATTGACATATCTCGGGCTCTATCTCGGGTTGGGAGGAGAGTCTCCTGGGTCCCGCGCTGTTTGACTTAGTCCCAAGACCTCAAAGGGAATAGACGCATCTCTATGGCAACTGGAATAAGCTGCTCAGAGGAGCAAAACCAGGCATTCACTCAGGTCGGGGGCTAAGGGGTTATGAGTAATAAAGTCAGAACCTTTCCATGACATCATTGCTCTGAGGCTGGGCTCCAGCTCTGCACCTGACCCAAGGCAATAGGAAAAGGAAGCTGCAGGTTTCCATGGCCCCAAATAAACACAGCCTGCTTGGGCCATCTGGTGGCCTGGATTCTGGGAGAGGAGGTGGGTAGAGGAGAGAATGAGGCAAGCCGCCCTGGGGTGGAGAGAGGAGCAGCTGGCAAGCTCCTCTTACCTGCTGCTGCCGTGAACTATCCAGAATGGGGGCCCTGGGAGAAAGGCCAGAAAGGGGCCACCTGTTCTCCCAAAAAGATGGGCACTAAAGGCTGAGGCCAGTCTTCCCTTTCTCCTCCTTGGTTTTCTATAGGCCGAGATGGTGCTTCAGGGAGGGGACATTCATGGGAGAAGAGAGGAAAGAGGTCATTTCTGGCAGCTGAGGAGCTTGCAGACACAAGCCTTTCTATAGGGCCTATGAGTTGGGGTACTATTCCTATGTAGGGGGTCCTACATAGGACCTACATAGGACCCCTTTCTTCTTCTCTGTACCGCCCTGGGTCAGAAGACCTCCTTTTTTTTTTTTTTTTTGAGATTGACTCTCGCTCTGTTGCCGAGGCTGGAGTGCAATGGCACGATTTCAGCTCACTGCAACCTCTGCCTCCTGGGTTCAAGTAATTCTCCTGCTTCAGCCTCCCGAGTAGCTGGGACTACAGGCGTGCACCACCATGCCCGACTAATTTTTGTATTTTTAGTAGAGACGGGGTTTCACCATGCTGGCCCGGCTGGTCTCGAACTCCTGATCTCGTGATCCGCCTGGCTCACTCGGCCTCCCAAAGTGCTGGGATTACAGGCATGAGCCACCATGCCCCACCAGATGGCCTCTTAAAACTCATCATTGACCAGGTGTGGTGGCTCTCACCTGTAATCTCAGCACTCTGGGAGGCCAGGGTGGGTGGATCACCTGAGGTCAGGGGTTCAAGATCAGCCTGGCTAACATGGCAAAACCTCATCTCTACTAAAAAAATGCAAAAATTAGCTGGGCATGGTGGCATGCACCTGTAATCCCAGCTACTCGGGAGATTGAGGCTGGAGAATCGCTTGAACCCAGGAGGTGGAGGTTGCAGTGAGCTGAGATTGTGCCACTGCACTCCAGCCTGGGTGACAGAGCAGGACTCCGTCAAAAAACAAAACAAAACAAAACAAAACAAAACTCATCATTATGTGTAGATAGGGAATGTGCAATGAGGCATGGTGGATTGGTCAGGACTAAGTTTAAATATTTATTTTTTTATTAAAAAAATAGAAAAATGTGTCCATGTCCTAACTGCTGGTAACTGTGACTATGACTTCATTTTAAAATTGTATTATTATTATTTTTTGAGACAAGGTCTCGCTCTGTCACTCAGGCTGGAGTGCTGGTATGATCACGGCTCACTGCAACCTCGGCCTCCCCGGCTCAAGCTATCCTCCCACCTCAGCCTCCCAAGTAGCTGGGATTACTGGCATGTGCTGGATAATTTGTGTATTTTTGTAGAGACAAGGTTTCTTGTCTCTACCAGCCCAGGCTGGTCTTGAACTCCTGGGCTCAAGCAATCCACTTACCTTGGCCTCCCAAAGTGCTGGGATAATAAGCATGAGCCACTATGCCCAGCCGAGTTTGAATATTTCTATGTGACCTTGAATTACTAACCTGACCTCTAAGTTTTTGTATCCTCATCAGTAAAATGGAGATTTTATAGTCATCTCATAAAGTTCCTGAGGATAGTAAACACATATAAAACACTTAACACAGTGCTTGGCATGAAGTCAGCAGGCAACAAAAATTAGCTGCTGCTAAGGGATGCTATGTGCATGCAGGTTCCTTAAGGGACACTTTTCTTTCAGACACCTGATTACTGTTGTCTTTTTTCCTCTGTAGCCCTGGAGTGGGAAATCCAGTCTGACGAGCTGTATTCCAACCCTCTTTCCTTCTTCCCTGAGGGGATGGGCAGCACAGAGCTGCCCACCTCTCCCTGGAAAGTACTTCCTTCATTGCTACCCCTTATCTGCCTGGTCCCCTAAAACTGAGGCCACCCCCCAGCTCTCAGCTCAGGATCCCCAGGGAGGGCAGAGGCAGGTCTGTTTGGCTAGCTGCCCTCCCTAAGTGGGGTGGTGGGTTTGGCCCTGGGAGAGGAGAAGGGTGCCAGTTCAGGGGAGGAGAGAATGGGGCAGGGGCCGGGGGGCGGGGAGGAGCTCCCTGCAGCAGGGAGTATCTGTCCACAGAGCAAGGACAAAGTGGTGATCAGGAGGGAAGAAGGGAAAGAAAGGAGGGAAGAAGGGAAAGAAATGCATCCAGAGGGCGGTTTAGAAAGCTGAGGGAGGCCAGGCATGGTGGCTTACTCCTGTAATCCCGGCACTTTGGGAGGCCAATGTGGGAGGATCATTTGAGCCCAGGAGTTCAAGACCAGCCTGGACAATATAGCAAGACCTGGTCCCTACAAAAAATTAAAAAAAAAAAAATTAGCCAGCATAGTCCCAGCTACTGGAGAGGCTGAAGAGAGAGGATCACTTTAGCCCAGGAGCTGGAGGCCGAGTAAGCTACAGTTGTGCCACTGCACTCCAACCTGGGCAACAGAGCAAGACCCTGTCTAAAAAAAAAAAAAAAAAGGCTGAGGGAGAAAAGGGTGGCTGGATTCACGCCACGGCTTCCTTCGTCTCTCAGGTGTGACTGCTCCATGTGGTCACCACCACCTGCTCCCCATCCTGGTGACGACAGGTGACAACAGGATGGGAAAACCCAACAGCCACTTGCACGCTGCCCTTGTAAAAGCCCCATGCTGTTCAGTTGATGTACTAAGCACAGCAGTTTGGGGCCCAGCCTTGGGCTTGCCACACCACACTTTTTTTTTTTTTTTTTTGAGACTGAGTCTCACTCTGTCGCCAGGCTGGAGTGCAGTGGTGTGGTCTAGGCTCACTGTAACCTCAGCCTCCTGAGTTCAAGCAACTCTTGTACCTCAGCCTCCGGAGTAGCTGGGATTACAGGTACACACCATCATGCCTGGCTAATTTTTGTGTTTTTAGTAGAGATGGGGTTTTGCCATGTTGGCCAGGCTGGTCTCCAACTCCTGGGCTCAAGTGATCCTCCTGCCTCCGCCTCCCAAATTGCTGGGATTACAGGCATGAGCCACCATGCCCAGCCCCACACCACACTTTCCTCCCCTCCTGAGTTCAAGGGAAGTTGTTCCCCATCAGGACATTTGGGGAAGGAGTTTTGGGGAGAAGCCTGCATTTCCCCCCAGTTCCAGCTGGCCCCTGAGTCTACCTCCCTTAGAAGACTTTGGAAGCTTTTCCACAGACTCAGGTTGTGTGGGCTGGTGGAACTGGAGTCCACAGAGCTGCCTTTTTTTGTCTGGAGACGAGAGAGTGAAGCTAGCAAGAAACCCCTCAAAGATTCAGGAGCATTTTCCTCTCTGGTTTTGGAAGTCCCCCATCGGAAAGGTCCACCCAGGCTGCTGGTGCGAGAAGGGGTGGGTAGCGTTGGCAGTGTGAGGCGAAGGAAGATACCCTAGAGGTGCCCCCTTTGATCAGGATCCACAGTCCTGTTTCTAGGCTTCCAGTATCTGAGCTTGGACAGCAATTCTTTTTTGAGACGGAGTCTCACTCTGTCGCCCAGGCTGGAGTGCAGTGGCGCGATCTAAGCTCACTGCAAGCTCCGCCTCCCAGGTTCACACCATTCTCCTGCCTCAGCCTCCCGAGTAGCTGGGACTAAAGGCGGCCACCGCCATGCCTGGCTAATTTTTTCTTGGACAGCAATTCTTAAGTTCAGGATGGACATTACTAAATCTGGAGAGGGCTGAGTGGAGCATGGGAAGTTTGAAAAACCGCTATCATTTTGCTTTTTTTTTTTTTTTGACGGAGTCTTGCTCTGTCACCCAGGTTGGAGGGCAGTGGTGCGATCTCGGCTCACTGCAACCTCTTCTTCCCGGTTCAAGTGATCCTCCCACCTCAACCTCCTAAGTAGCTAGGATTTTTGTATTTTTAGTAGAGACAGGGTTTTACCATGTTGGCCAGGCTGGTCTCGAACTCTTGATGTCACATGATCTGCCTGCCTCAGCCCCCCAAAGTGCTGGGATTACAGGCATGAGCCACCTCGCCCGGCCTATCATTTTGCATTGAGGAAAACAGAAAACCCAACGGATTGACGGCACTTCCAGAACAAGAGGGAGGCTGGTGTAATCTTGGTGATGGGGACCCCTCCAGAAGATGAACCCCTCTATGTACCGTCCTCTGTATAACATGGGGAGGAGACAGATATCTGAGGAAGAATGGGAGTGGTGAGGTTTTTCATGTATATGGAAGAGAGATATGGGGTTTATCAGCTTGAAAAACACCAGGAGATGGCCCTCTTGTCATTCCTGTGACTGTCCTGTGTCATCAATGGGTGGCTCACCAAGGGCAGGTCAACTTCCCCATCCCTCATGGTCCTTCAGGGCATCAGTCTGGCCCTGGACTTCCTGCCGTGGCGTCTCATTGCACTTAGGAGGCCCGAGCTCCCCTGAACCTTCCGGGCTCTTAGGAGCCTGGCCTCCACCCTCTGTTCTGGCCACCCCCCACTGCCCCAGCTGCTCCCTGGGCCTCCACTTATCTTCCCGTTGGTTCCTCCTCAGCCTTCTGGTTTCAGCTTCATCATCACCTCTCCAGAGGTGCCCTGACCACCCTCGCTTAGCATTTCTCAATCTTTTTTTTCCATGATCGCTCCCCCTTCCTACCTCAAAGAGCCTATTTAGACATTTTCTCCGAATTGCTCCCCCAGGAATTTTAGTAACACTGTATATCTCTTCATGTGCTGTATTTATATATCTAGATATGATTTTTTGAGACAGGGTCTCGCTCTGTTGCCCAGGCTGGAGTGCAGTGGTATGATCATAGTTCACTTCAGCTTTGACCTCCCAGGCTCGTGATCCTCCCACCTCAGCCTCCTGAGTAGCTGGGACTACAAATGCACACCACCATGCTCTGCTAATTTTCAAAAAATGTTTTGTAGAAAGGGGGTCTTGCTATGTTGCCCAGGCTGGTCTCAAACTTCTGGGCTCTAGCAATCCACTTTGGCCTTCCAAAGGGCTGGGATTACAGGCATGAGCCACCGCGCCAGGCCGATTTTTTTTTTTTTTTTAACTTGGTTCACCCTGTTGGGCCCACGTGCTCTAGCTGAGGTAGCACTACCCTCTTGCCCCGATTTTTCCATCATGCCGTATCTTTTGTTTGTTTATTTTGGGTGGATCTCCCCACACCAGAATATAAACTCCAAGGGAAGAGGGGCCCTGCTGGCTTGTTCACCATGTATCCCTAGCTGGCCCTCAATAAATATAGAAACTTCTGCCAGAGCCTGCTATTTGGAGCTGTTCAGTCTCAGGGAAGTGGGACACAGGATGTTACCCTCTCCCATGGCTGGGCGTGACGCGAGGCAGGTGTGTGAGATGCACAGAGATGGGCCATTTTTGCTTTTAGAATACTGGTGCATTTTTTATTAAAGAAGAGAATAAAGCATTTGTAAATATATTTCTCTCACGTATACTTCAAAGGTGACGCTGGTCTGCCACTACAGAGCTGGGGAGCAGACAGGCTGGAGCTCTTCCCCCAACCCTTCCACACTCCTCTCCCCCAGATAACAGACACACACGGAGGGCAGGGAGCTGCCTAGCCTCAAAGGACAAAAGTTTCCCAGTTGCACGTACAGAAGGACTCAGTCGCCACCAGCTCCCATCACAGTGCCGCCCGGAAAGCAGGTGGTGTCTCCAGGAGGTCAGGGATGCTTGGTAAGAAAACCCCTTTACCCATTAGAAATAAATAAGGCATGAAGGTTCCCACTGGGATCCCGGTGCAGAGGCCAGGGCCCCCCCGCCTTCCACTGACTGTATGGCTCTTCTGGTTTCTAAGGTCTCAGGAAGGGCGGCAGAAGGAACCAGAAGCCCTGAAGGGCTGCTCAGGGCAAGCTGGGGACCTGGGTGTCTCTTAGCTGAACTTGACTTTCTGACATCTTGAAGCAAAACTCCTGACGCAGCTGGGTCCTCAAAAGCCCCCCACAAAGGTGGGAGGTGAAGAGCAGGCATTTTATGGGAGGGAGGGAGGGAGCATGTTCCTCAGCCCCATCCCAATACAACACGATGCAGCATGGGGCGAAAACCCCAGTCCCCAGTGAAGGGGAGGCAGGGGTGGACATTGGGACCACCGGCTGGTGGTGCATGTCCAGAACATTCTGGGGGCTGCAGACATGACCTGTGCCAGGGTTGGCCTGTGGGGAGCGTGGAGTGACTGAGACATCATGGTCCCTGAGATGGGGGCAAGCACAGAGACGGGAGTCAGAGGCCAAGCTTGGTTAGTTGGTGGCGGTGTGAAGGGATGGGGGCTCCCCACTGCCCCGGCCCCTGGAAAGCTTAAGGCCCAGCAGGCATTTCTGGGGTTGGAAGCCAAGGAGACAAGCTCTGAGCGAAACTGCACCACTCTGCTGAGGGGCTCCTTCTCCTCCTCCTCTGACTGGCTACAGATCTGCGGTGGGCCAAGAGTATCCAGGGAGAAACCTGTCCCTGGCAGGGCTGGAGCAGGGACACTCCAGGCCCAGCTGAGGCTTCCTGCTCTGCATGGCAGGGGACATCTCTGACCTGGTCAGGACCCTGGAGGTGGGACAGCTGGTGCTAAGGGAATGTCAGCGCATCAGGGTTGGGGAGAAGCAGTGGGTGGTCCAGGAAACCCCTGAAACAGCTGGCCCTGGGGTCCCCTTTCAAGTGTTTCCAGTTGTGGCAAGGGGTCAAGGAGACCTTGCATTGCAAATCTCTTAGAAAAAACAAACTTAACCAAAAAAAAAAAAAAAGCCAACTGATCCAGAATGGCTTTCAGAAGCCTGGTCACCAGTCTGAGGGTGAGGCGCAGGGTCAGGAAGCCAGGGGCTGGGGGAGCTGGGGGATCCCTGGGGTAGTGGGGACATTTGGCTTTGAACTCAGAGCTGCGCCTTTGGGCTGGCGCGAGGTGGCCAAGGGCTCCTGGGAGGCAGGACAGGTGGGCTGCCTCCGCTCAGCAGGGAACATGCTGCGTGCTTCCGGATCAGGAGGCCGCGTGCTGTGGTGGCAGGCCGCTAAAGGGCGCTCGCTCTCTGGAAGCTGCACCGCCCAGGCCTGAGGGACCCCACGGCTTCCACCCTGGGGGAGGCTGCAGGCCGGAGAAGGGTCACTTGCTGCTGTGCGTCTTGACTTTGGTGGCGTTGATGTCAGCCTTGGTCTTCTGGATCCTGGAGAAGATCTCTTTGAAGAGCGCCTTGTACTCGGGCTGGCTCTGTTCCAGCCGCTTGTCCACGGCCTCCACGTGCTGGCTCAGGCTCTTCTCTCCTGCCTTGACCTCACCCTGGCCCTCCTCACCCCCGCGCAGGTCCCTCCACGAGCTGTCCCGGGAGATGGGGCGCGAGGTCTGCACGCCGGCGTGCCGCACTCCGGCCCCGTGCTGCCGGCACTTGCTCAGCAGCTCCTCGTACTTCTCCAGCAGCGCGTGGTACTGCTCGTCCACCTCCCGCAGGATGGACATGCCCCGCTTGCGCACGCTGTTGGCGTGCAGTGTGAGGTTGCCCGCGTGCCGGCTGGCTGGGTCTTTGGCCACGATGGCGTTGAGCGCAGTGTCGCTGCAGCTCTTGCGCACCACGTGGCCTGGAGAGGCTGCCGGTGAGGAGACCCCGTCCTGGGCGCCCAAGTCGTCCCCGCGGCCGGGCTGGGGATCGTCGGCCTCAGGGGCCTGCGTGAGGGGTGCGAGCAGGGCCTCGGCCAGGTGGTCGTCCGGACCCAGTAGGTAGGTCTTGGCCTGCTTCATCTGCTGCAGCTCCAGCAGCTCGGCCTCCAGCTCCTGCACACGCAGGCGACAGGCCTCCATCTCGCACAGCTGGCGCTCCAGCTCCGAGTACTCCTGCAGCACCGCGGTGTACTCGCGCTCCGCCCGCTCCTTGCGCTGCCGCTCCTGGCTCACCTGGGAGCGCAGCGCCCCCACCAGGGTCTGCAGCCGCTCGTTCTCCTGCTCCAGGGGCCGCGGGCCCAGCTCCAGGGAGGAACTGTGTAGGCGGAAAGCATCCTTGCACCTGGCGGGTAGTGAGAGTCGCAGCGGGGTGGGGGCGGAGGAGAGGGCAGTGGTCACGGGCACGGCCAAGGCCGAGCAGCCCAGCCAGGGCGCTTACATCTCTCTTGTTCTCTGGGCTGAAATTGTTTGCCCCTCTCCGTTGGCTCTCCACCCTCCTCCACCCTTCTCCCCCTGCTCTCTGCCCCCGGAGGCTGACCACTACGGACCGCCTCTGTCAGGTTGCCTGGTTCTCTCCTGAGCTTGGCCCATGAGAGGCACTGGCTAGAGGTCCGAGGGGGGAGCAGAGGCCGTGGGGTGTGTCTTCTTTGGGCTCTCCATGGTTAATGGTGACCAGGCAGCCTTCTCCATACCTTCCAGGTGCCGGTAACCTCCCTTCCCCCTTGCGCTTTGAGGCCTAGGGCTGGTGGCAGCTCCTCTCTGCTGCAACCCTGGGGCACTATAGTGTCCCTGTGGTTTCCCTACCCCCTGCCCACACCTCTTCTTCATTTAACTTCTCCATTACTCTGTGTAAGAGACTGTTTCCTGCCAGGACCCTTATTGAAACACCCACTACATATGACACATGTATTTTTCCATTATTAAGTGGTTGTCTAGTGTTAGATTTAATGGGAACTGAAAAGCACAGTGGGTTACCCCTCCTGGGTTAGCATGCTGGCTGAGCCTCTTACTAAACAGGTGACCTTGGATAAGACACACAACCTCTGGGCTTCAGTTTTATCATCTGGAGAGTAGGCATAATAAAACACCCCCAACAGTGTTGCAATAAGAATTATATCAGCATAGTGGCAGCACACAGCCAGGGCTCAGTAAACGCCAGCTGCTGTGACTGTCATTAGCAACAGGACCAGTCTCTCTGATGGCCTGGATGATGCACCAACTGCACCCTGCTGCCTGCTGCCTCTCCTTCCTCCCATGGCTGGCAATCCCAGAGACACCAAGCAGTGCTCTCACCTACCGGGGGCTGGTGCACAGCTCCTTGAGGCAGGGGAAGGTGTGGATGGTACGCCTGCGTTCCCGCTTCTCCCGGAGCACTCGCAGCTGTTCCAGGCCTCTCAGTTGCTCCACCTGGGCCTGCAGCTCCTCCACCTGAGCCTGGAGGCGCTCAATGGTCTCCGTCAGCCTGGGGGCGGGGTGGTGGACACACAGGGACTTTAAGGGGATGGGGCCAGTTTGCCTCACGGCAGCCCTGGCTCCCTGAAGATGGAGGGACGTTGGGTAGGAGGCAGACAGGTACCCTTGAGCCGCTGTCTGGTCCTGAGGTAGGATGGGGAATTCTATGCATGCCCAAGGACCCGCCCTTCTTTTGTACCTCTCAGGCGAGCTGATCGCTTCTCCTCTGTGCCACCTCAGTTCCTTGTCACTCCTCTATCACTTATTGTCCTGCACTGCCATAAAATATTTACATGCCTGCCTTCTCTTCCAGGCTGTGAGGTATTAGAGGGCAGGACAATGTCTTTGTTTCCCCATCGTTGCATCCCCAGTGTCTAAAGAAGAGCCTGGTGCATAGTTGGTGCTTAAAGCAAGGTTGCGGCCTGAATGTTAAACCACACAAAATCGACAAGGACAAGCTCACTCCCATCCCCGGTTCCTAGGGAGACGTGCACAAGTCACACCCATCAGTCCATGGGCCCCTGTGTACACTCAGCCCTGGGGCTCTCCCTCGCCCGCCCCCCAGCCCTCAGCCGGGCCCTCACCCATGGATCTTCTGCTGGGCAGCCTTACTCTCCAGCACCAGCCTGTGGTTGGTCAGCTCCAGGTCCCGGGCTGTCAGGTCCAGCTGCTCATAGACTTTGGCGTGCTGCTCGTTCACGTGCCGCAGCGTGTCCAGCTGCTTGGTTAGGTACTGGGGGTGGAAGGACATTGAGTAACTTTTTAGAATTGGGCAGGGGCAAATGTCTCTGCCTAGACCCTCCTACTTCTTTTTTTGTCTTTTTTCTTTTCTTTTCTTTTGATACAGAGTCTCACTGTGTTGCCCAGGCTGAAGTGCAGTGGCATGATTTCGGCTTACTGCAACCTCTGCCTCCTGGGTTCAAGTGATTTTCATGCTTCAGCCTCCTGAGTAGCTGGAACTATAGGTGCCTGCCACCATGCCTGGCTAATTTTGGTATTTTTAGTAGAGACAGGGTTTCACTATATTGGCCAGGTTGGTCTTGAACTCCTGACCTCAAGTGATCTGCCTACCTCTGCCTCCCAAAGGGCTGGGATTATAGGCATGCACCACCACGCCAGCCTCTTTTTTTTTTAAATTAATTAATTTATTTTTTTTGAGACGGAGTCTTGCTCTCTCGCCCAGGCTGGAGTGCAGTGGCGCGACATCGGCTCACTGCAAGCTCCACCTCTTGGGTTCACGCCAACCATTCTCCTGCCTCAGCCTCCTGAGTAGCTGGGACTACTGGTGCCCACCACCATGCCTGGCTAATTTTTTGCATTTTTAGTAGAGATGGGGTTTCACCGTGTTAGCCAGGATGGTCTCGATCTCCTGACCTCGTGATCTGCCCGCCTTGGCCTCTCAAAGTGCTAGGATTACAGGTGTGAGCCACTGTGCCCGGCCTTTTTTTTTTTTTTTAACTTCTAAAATCTTTTTTATGCCCGGCGTGATGGCTCACACCTGTAATCTCAGCACTTTGGGAGGCTGAGGCGGGCAGATCACGAGGTCAGGAGATGGAGACCATCCTGGCTAACACAGTGAAACCTCGTCTCTACTAAAAATACAAAAAAAATTAACCGGGTGCGGTGGTGGGCGCCTGTAGTCCCAGCTACTCAGGAGGCTGAGGCAGGAGAATGGCGTGAACCCGGGAGGCAGAGCTGCAGTGAGCCCAGATCGCGCCACTGCACTCCAGCCTGGGTGACAGAGTGAGACTCCATTTCAAAAAAGAAATAAATCTTATTTATTTTATTTATTTATTTTTAAGACAGGGTCTCGCTCTGTTGCCTAGGCTGGAGTGCAGTGGCACAATCACGGCTCACTGCAGCCTCAACCTCCAGGCTCAAGCAATCCTCTCACTTCATCCTCTTGAGTAGCTGGGACCACAGGCTTATGCCACCATAGCCAGCTAATTTTTGTATTTTTTATAGAGACAAGGTTTCGCCATGTTGCCTGGGCTCAAGTATTTCACCCACCTTGGCCTCCCAAAGTGCTGGGATTACAAGCATGAGCCAGCAGCCCCTTCTCCCCTTCTAAGGACAAGTTTGCTTTGATGTATTTGTCTTCAGCTGAGTGGGGCTTAAAAATGGTGGTTCAGGCTGGGCCTGGTGGCTCATGCCTGTAATCCTAGCACTTTAGGACGCTGAGGTGGGAGGATCACTTGAGCTCAGGAGTTAGAGACCAGCCTGGGCAACATGGTGAGACTTGGTGTCTATTTAAAAAAAAAAAAAATCTAGTTGTGCAATAGGGCTGCCTGAGATAGCTGTGCTATCCTTGTACAGGATAGCACAGTTGTGAACTGTACCAGGCTATTGGGCTAAGGCTGTGTCCGATAAGCTGGCACCTTATTCTAAGTTGCATAAAGGCACACACAGGCCAAGGGGCCCTCGAGGGGTGTGGGCAAGCACATGCAGGGCCCTCACCTCGATCTCCTGCACCTGTTCCTCATTGGTGGAGTACATCTGCTGCAGGGACCCCTCCAGCTCCTTGTTCCTCTCCAGCAGAGTCTTCCCCAGCTCCGCAGCTAGGTGCAAGTCTAGGATAGGAGAAACACGAGCATGAGAACAAAGGCAGAGGACGCCCATTCATGTTCCGAGCATCTACTCTAGGTGACCCCAATGTAACCAAGACACTGGGAGCCTCCAGGCCTGGGAGGAGAGGTAAGCCAGGAGCTAAGCCTTTGCACTGTTATTTCTGCCTGGAATGTTCTTTTTGTGTGTGTCTGTGTGTGTGTGTGTGTGTGTGTGTGTGCAAGATGTAATAAAAAACAAACAAAAATAGGAATGGTTGCTTTCAACATTTTCCAGGTTGTGAAAGTTTTGCCACGATTCTCAGGGGTGTGGTTCTAAGCTGCATCAGTGGAACAAATACAAAATGCTGTCCTCCTCCTAGGCTGGAAGGCAGTGCACCTTCTCCTCTTAACAGCCAGACTAGCGGGTGAGGAGTCAGTGCTGTGCCCAGGCCAAGCTGGAGTGTCCGCATGGCTTCTTCTCTGACCAGTGGGGATTCCATCTACCTTGAGGCATGCTGGCTGGGCCCTGTTTCCACACCAGCGCATGGTGAGACAGCGTAGCTTATCAACAGGCTGCTGGGCCTTAATACTGACAGTGAGTGTGGCGGATCACAGCCAGGAAGGGACTAACACAGATGCCCTCCCAGCCCCACTGCTGGCCTAATTTTAGAATACCACGGAAAAAAGCTTTGATGAAGACAACAGGAAGTCAACACAGCAGAGAGTGGTGTGGACAACCCAGAAGCCAGCCTCACGCACGGAATATTCTTTCCTGATACTTCCAGGACTTGTTCCCTCTTCTCCTTCAAGTCTGTGCCTGTCAACTTCTCTAGATCTTTCCCCAATCACTTGATTCAAAGTCACACTGTTCCCTGCCCTGCAGTCTCTCCCCCGCTTCATCTTTCTCCTTAGCACTTAGCACCATCTAATTTCCCAAGCAAGTTACTCCTTTATCTTTTTCAGCTCCCCCAACTAACTGTGAGCTCATGGGGCAGTTTTTTTTTTCTTTTAAGGGATGGGACCCAGGCTGGGGTGCAGTGAGTATTCACAGGTGTGATCATATGTGCTGCAGCCTTGAACTCCTGGGCTCAACGATCTTCCTCCCTCAGCCTCCCAGGGCAACATAGTGAGACCTCATCTCTATTAAAAAAAAAAGAAAGGTGGTGCAATACGGCTGCCTGGGATAGGATCCCTTGAGCCCAGGAACTCAAGGCTACAGTGTATATGATCATGCCTGTGAATAGGCGTGGGACTATAATATCGGTTGCTGGGACTACAGGAATAGTACAATGTTTTTTTTTTGAGACGGAGTTTTGCTCTTTTTGCTCAGGCTGGAGTGCAGTGGCGCGATCTTGGCTCACTGCAACCTCCGCCTCCCAGGTTCACGCTAACCATTCTCCTGCCTCAGCCTCCCAGGTAGCTGAGACTACAGGCGCCCGCCACCATGCCTGGCTAATTTTTTTTTATTTTTAGTAGAGACGGGGTTTCACCGTGTTAGCCAGGATGGTCTCAATCTCCTGACCTCGTGATCCACCCGCCTCGGCCTCCCAAAGTGCTGGGATTACAGGCGTGAGCCACCGTGCCCGGTACTTTTTTTTTTTTTTTTTTAACTTCTAAAATCTTTTTTATGCCGGGATTACAGGCACCCACTACCACGCCCGGCTAATTTTTTGTATTTTTAGTAGAGAGGGGGTCTCACCATGTCGGCCAGGCTGGTCTTGAACTCCTGATCTCAGGCCTCCCAAAATGCTGGGATTACAGGCATAAGCCACCACACCTGGGCTAAAATTCTTAAATTTTTTTTGTAGAGACAGGGTCTTGTTATATTGCCCAGGCTAGTATTGAACTCCTGGCCTCAAGCGACCCTCCTACCTTGGCCTCAAAATGCTGGTATTACAGGCGTGAGCCACCGCACCTGGCAGGGCAGGGATTTTTATGTTTTGCTCATGAATATCCCCAGGACCCAGGACAGTATCTAGGACAGAATCAGTGCATAATTTGTCTTTTTGGAAGATTAAGTGAGTGATAAGAGCATGGACGGACATAGGGGCAAGGTGCCGTGGGGTGATGGGCAAGGGAGAGCTTCACTCTCCCCGGGAGGCTCAGGCAAATGGACAGCTTTCGAGTTGGACTTTGAAGGGTGGATAGGAGGCTGGGTGCGGTGGCTCACGCCGTAATCCCAGCACTTTGGGAGGCCAAAGTGGGAAGATCACTTGAGGTCAGGAGTTTGAGACCAGCCAGGCCAACATGGTGAAATCCTATCTCCACTAAAAATATAAAAATTAGCTGGGTGTGGTGGCGCAAGCCTGTAATCCCAGCTACTTGGGAGGCTGAGGCAGAAGAATCGCTTGAACCTGGGAGGCAGAGGTTGCAGTGAGCCGAGATCGTGCCACTGCACTCCAGCCTGAGTAACAGAGCGAGACTCAGTCTCAAAAAAAAAAAAGAAAGAAAGAAAGAAAGAAAGAAAGAAAGAAAGAAAGAAAGAAAGAAAGAAAAGGGTGAATAGGAGCTTGCTGAGAGGCAGAGAGAGCAGAAGGGCTTGCTGAATATTAAAACTGGAAGATGATTCAGAACTTCTTGGCCCAACTTCTTGATTTTATGGATAATGAGCAGGACAGCAGAGTGACTTGCCCATGGTCACCCAGCTGGTTTATGTCCACGCTAGGGGGAGAATTCAGGTATCGGGCTCCTGGTTGGGTACCATTTGACCCTAGTGACATGTGCCCAGCTCTCAAACCTTCTTTCCCTGAGGAGCAGAAACATCCTCTTCCCCCAACAGCCCTGGTGCTTGTACCCTGTAGGATTGGAACCTTCCCTCCCTGACCCCAGTCCAAGGGAAATGAGGACCCATCAGATAGGCTAGGAGGGAATCTGTCTGTTTTTAGGGGGATGTTGTGGGGGATGGGCGGGTAGAGAGAAGGAGTTAGAAGGAAACGGCAGGTACTAAAATCCCTAAAAATTCTCTTGGTGGGTCTGAGTTGTGTGATGATAGCTAGACATTTGGAGTGGATACAATCCTCCCAACAACACACATATGTATATTAAATATATTTATTATTTTTTGTTTCTTTTTTTTTTTTTTTTGAGACGGAGTCTCGCTTTGTCTCCCAGGCTGGAGAGCAGTGGGGCAATCTCGGCTCACTGCAACCTCCGCCTCCCGGGTTCAAGCTATTTTCCTGCCTCAGCCTCCCAAGTAGCTGGAATTGCAGTCGCCTACAACCACATCCAGCTAATTTTTGTATTTTTAATAGAGATGGGGTTTCACCATGTTGGTCAGGCTGGTCTCAAACTCCTGACCTCAAACAATCCACCCACCTCGGCCTCCCAAAGTGCTGGAATTACAGGTGTGAGTCACTGTGCCTGGCCTGTTTTTTGTTTCTAAAACGAGGCAGGGTGATAAAAATATTCTAAAATTGATTGTGGTGATGGTTGCATAACTTTGTGAATATAATAAAAACTGTTGAGTTGCACACTTTAAATGAGTGAATTGTATTGTGTGTTAATTAAATCTCAATAAATCTGTCAAAAAAAAAAAAGATTTAGGCAGCTTAATCCAGAGACGGAGAAGGGTGGGAGAGAGCGGGTCCTCAAAGAGGTCGTTAGAGCAGGCTGAGGCTGAGTTTCACAAGGCTGTTTTCTTTTTAAAATAGCTTTAATGTTTTTCATAAGGCATGATTGGTGTAAAAAAATCAAACAGTACAGAAAGGTTAAAAACTGGTGATTTAGGCCGGGTGCAGTGGCTCATGCCTATAATCCCAGCACTTTGAGAGGCCGAGGAGGGTGGATCACTTGAAGTCAGGAGTTCGAGACCAGCCTGGCCAACATGGTAAAACCCTGTCTCTACTAAAAACAAAAATTAGCCAGGCGTGGTGGCATGTGCCTGTGGTCCCAGCTACTTGGGAAGTTGAGGCAGGAGGATCACTTGAACCTGGGAAACAGGTTGCAGTGAGCCGAGATTGTGCCACTGCACTCCAGCCTGGGTGACAGAGAGAGACCCTGTCTCAAAAAAACAAAACAAACAAACAAACAACAACAACAAACTGGTGATTTAAAAATTAGAGGCCAGGCCGGGTATGGTGGCTCACGCCTGTAATCCCAGCACTTTGGGAGGCCGAGGTGGGAGGATTGCTTTAGTAAAGGAGTTCAAGACCAGCCTGGGCAATATAATGAGACCCTGTCTTTACAAAAAATAAGAACATTAGTGGGGTGTGGTGGCATACACCTGTAGTCCCAGCTACTTGGTGAGCTGTGATTGTGCCACTGGACTCCAGCTTGGGTGACAGAGTGAGACATTGTCAAAAAGAAAAAAAAAAAAAAGAAAGTGTAGACTGGGCACAGTGGCTCATGCTTGTAATCCCAGTGCTTTGGAAGGCTGAGGTGAGAGGATAGCTTGAGGCCAAAAGTTAGAGACTAGCCTGGGAAACACAGTGAGACCCCATCTCTTTTTTTTTTTTTTTTGAGACTGAGTCTCACTCTGTCGCCAGGCTGGAGTGCAGTGATGAGATCTTGGCTCACTCTGCAACCTCTGCCTCCCAAGTTCAAGCAATTCTCCTGTCTCACCCTCCCGAGTAGCTGGGACTACAGGCGCGTGCTACCACGCCCAGCTAATTTTTGTATTTTTAGTAGAGACGGGGTTTCACCATGTTGGCCAGGATGGTCTCGATCTCTTGACCTCGTGATCCGCCCACTTCAGCCTCCCAAGGTGTTGGGATCGCGCCCTACCCGAGACCCCATCTCTACAAAAAAATTGTAAAATTAGCCGGGCATGGTGGTGCATGTCTGTGGTCGCAGCTACTAGAGAAGTTGATGTGGGAGGACTGCTTGAGTCCAGGAGTTTCAGATTAGAGTCATCTATGATTGCAACACTGCATTCCAGTGAGACAAAGCAAGACCCTATCTCTGAAAAAAAAAGAATGAAACTAATTAACTTTGTTGTACAAAACGTTTTGTGCAAATCACCGCCCAATTCCTTAGGACACAGAATTCCTTGAACAAAGGGTAAGCCTAGGTACCTGGAACAAAAGGTAGGCCTAGATACAGAATTCCTAGAAATACAATTCCTGGGACAAAAGGTAGGCCTTCTTGAGGCATTCTGTCAAAAGACTGTCCAGGAAAGCACTGGTCTGTTTCATTTTATGAGGCTGCTTCTTAAAACAGCTCTCAATCTAGGCTGACGATGTAAATCAGATCAAGATGCATAAAGGCAACTCTACTGGGGCCAATATGATGTGGTTCAGGGATCCAGTTCTCTACTGCTTTCCCTTTTTAGACATAGTGATAGTTCTAGGGTCTCTGGAGGACGGATAGGCTCTATACTCCCGGACAGAAAGTTTCCTAGATACGGTTGTTTCGGCTGAGCCCTTGCTATGCATTGGACAGAGGCCTGAGAAATAATAGCTGGGGAGCCCAAGGGATGTCTTTGAAAAGAAACCTAGACCTGGGGTGGAAGTTTTCCTTTGGGATGAGCCCAGGCAAGCAGTGACTCTTGGTGGGCAGCTGAGGGCAGAGCCTTGGGCCTTCAGCCAAGCTGGGGGCAGAACTGACATTGCCTTGTGAGAGGCAGAGGGGCCAGACCAGCCACTGGGCCTGGACATAAAGGCTGAACTGCCCCACAGGAACAAATCCGGAGTCTGATCCTGTGCACAGAGGTGAGGTTTTGAAACAGCCAAAGTGGAGCCTCCAGGGCTGGGTTTTAGCCAAAGGAGGGCCCTGTGTCATCTGGAGAAGGAGTGCAAAGCTGCTATCCTAGAGCAAGGCTGCAGTAACTTAGCCTGAAAAAACAAAGGCAGCTTTCCCAAACATCTTCCTCAGCCATTGAAAACAACAACAACAACAAAGAAACCAAATCATGTAAATCATAGGTAAGAACTTTTAGCCTTGAGCAATTAACCTTCTGATGAGGATGCCAAGAAAAAACTAGTTACATAACATAAACCTAGTAAGGGAATGCGGATATATGCTGTATGAATTTATGACCTGTCAGTTGGGCAAAAGTCTGGAGGTATCTACAAATTGTAAAGTTTGATGTAAAGATCATTGCACTGGGCAACATAGTGAGACCCCTGTCTCTACAAAAAAATTAATTAGCTGGGCGTGCTGGTGCTTACCTGTAATCTCAGCTACTCAGAAGGCTGAGGCAGGAGAATTGCCTGAACCTGGGAGGCGGAGGTTGCAGTGAGCCAAGATTGTGCCACTGAACTCCAGCCTGGGCGATGGACCAAGACTCTGTCTTGAAAAAAAAAAAAGATTGAACTACAGCCCTGTACTATATTGTGCGCATGGCAGTAACTCAGGACTCAGGAGCCGGGCAAGATCACCTTCAGTTTGTGATGAGACAGCCATGCTATCTTCCTGTTTTCCATAGTGGGACTCAAATTTAGCTCATCCTGAACAGTATCCAGCAGTTCAGATATACATGAAAGAGATCAGAGGGCTACTCTCCTAAATGTTTTCCCCCTTGGAAACTGTTACATGGTCTGCAAAGAGGCCATTGCTACTGATTCTACCTCCTGCCGTGGGTGTCGGAGGACATGCTCCAAGTAAGTGGCCTTCATGGAGCCCCTGCAGCTTAACTAGAGTGCAAAGCCACTGCATCAGAGGTGAGTGAAGAAAGGCCAAGTGCAGTGCAACATCATACCCCCCACTTCCAGGTTAGTGTCTGGGCTGTGTGTAGATTTCTAATGCTGGCAGGCCAGGGTGGTATACCACCCTATAAACCAGAGACATCAAAGGTTGCCCTTTGAAGGCAGTGAATCGACTTGGGCCACCTAGTGATTCAGGGACAGGTAGAAAGAGAAACACAATAGAAGCTGTTTGGGGGCAGAGAGGCAGGTCTCAGATCATTTTAGGGAAACTGGATCACAGCGCAAGCTAAGCTGGTCAAAGCTGCCAGGAGGGATCAGGGAATAGTCTAGAAGTTGCAGAGCAGGGAACTGAGTGGAGCCAAGTACTAGGGAGAAGACACCAGCTACCAGAGGGTGGGTGATGGCTCCAGGCTCAGAGGAGAGAGGCCTGGGAACGGGAGAATGGGGGAGCTGGCTAGACAGGAAGTGAAAGTGGAGTAACAACCTGTCACAGCTGGATGAATGGGACACACCGGACCAAGCTGAGGGAAGGTACTAAGTCTGGGCTATGGGTTTGAACTGTGCAGGTCAAAAGAAAAAAAAAAAACAACATTAAGTCTGGGTTGGCACCTCCCCTGCCTGGACCCCAGGGTTTTCTGGGGTCTCCTTCAGGAGGTTTTAGTGGTTTTACATGAAGCAATGCCCCAGAGGCCTGAGGAGGAATGTCTGGGGAACCCAGGGCCTGTCTTTGAAAAGAAACTTAGAAATCCCACTGTCCCTCACTGGCTCGGGCACCACAGATTCCAGAGCAGAGACTCAGCAAAGGGAGAGGGGACATTTTCAGGGAGGACAAAGGTAGGGGTGTGGGCTCCAGGCTGTGGACACAAGTACCACCTGGCAGGGCTGTGAGGTCCTGTTCTCAGCTCCAGGGCACGACTGTCAGCCACTCTGGGTCCACAGAATCAGGGTCAGGTCACCTTTGGGGTAACCAGGGTGGAGGCAGGACCTCCCTCCCGTTGCCAGGTCAGAGCTCTCCTGAGGCTGAGGACTCAAGGTCAGCTAGGCAGGCGGGGACAGCACGGGTACCAAGGACTTCAAATCTGTGACTCAGCAGCTGCCTCTCAGCCTGGAAAGAGGAACGCACAGGGCCTGCCACGCCTGGTCCAAGGTAGGGGAGGAATGTGGGCCGAAAGAGGGAGTGCCAGTGCTTAATAATTAATGGCTTTTTCTTTCTTTTTTTCTTTTTTTGAGACAGAGTCTCACTCTGTCGCCCAGGCTGGAGTGCAGTGGCGCGATCTTGGCTCACTGCAAGCTCTGCCTCCCGGGTTCACACCATTCTCCTGCATCAGCCTCCCGAGTAGCTGGGACTACAGGCGCCCGCCACCGCGCCCGGCTAATTTTTTGTATTTTTAGTAGAGACGGGGTTTCACTGTGTTAGCCAGGATGGTTTCGATCTCCTGATGTTGTGATCCATCCGCCTCGGCCTCCCAAAGTGCTGGGATTACAGGCGTGAGCCACCGTGCCCGGCTCTTTCTAGGCTTTTTTTTTTTTTTTTTTTAAAGACAGAGTTTGCTCTTGTTGCCCAGGCTGGAGTGCAATGGCGCTAGCTATCTCAGCTCACTGCAACCTCTGCCTCCTGGGTTCAAGAGATTCTCCTGGCTCAGCCTCCTGAGTAGCTGGGATTACAGGCATGTGCCACCACGCCTGGCTAATTTTGTATTTTTAGTAGAGACGGGGTTTCTCCATGTTGGTCAGGCTAGTCTCGAACTCCCGACCTCAGGTGATCCGCCCGCCTTGGCCTCCCAAAGTGCTGGGATTACAGGTGTGAGCTGCTGTGCCCAGCTGGCTTTTTCTATTTTTATAAATGCTCGTGGCAGTGGGCAGAGGGAACACAGCGAGAATCTAGGACCTCACTTGTCCCACGGCTGCTTTCCACCAGGACAGAGCATCAAAGCCAAACAGGATCTCTACAGTCAAGCTTCTGGAAAGTGGAATCAGGGCCTGCCCTTTGGGCAGGAGGAAACAGACAGGAGGGAAGACCAGGTGGCTGGCTGAGAAAACCATTTCTGGGCCACTCACAGGCAACCAGGGAGCAGCTGGGTGGAAGAGAATTTGTGGGTTGGGAGATGCAACAGGCCTTTGACACCCAATATGGCTGGCCTTTGGCCCGTGCTCCGTCCCACCATCCAGCTCTCCATGCCTGGCCCCTGGGGCACAGGGCGGGCAGGGCCCACGGGAATGCCCCACAGAACCCGTGTCTGATGCTTCCTTCAGCCCCTCCCTCCCTATTTTCCAGCCTTCTCATGTCGCTCCATGACTTGGTACAAGCATCGCTTCCCCCTGGAATGCCTTCTTCCCTCCCTCTCCTGGGGAGCCTCCAGCTCAAAAGGGCCTTGGCATAAACCTTTCTAAGTCTCTGCTGTCCCCGTTGCTGGGCCTACAGCTGCAGAACCCCTCACTCTGACGCCATTGTGAGTTTGGTCCTATTTCTGTCTTCTCTAATGTAACGTGGAGTCCTCTGAGGGCAGAGATTATGTCCTCAGGCTCAGCACAGTACCTGGCCCACAGTAAGCAGACATCCAGCTTTTGGCAGGAAGCTCCAGTTTATTCTGTCTCATTTCTGCTTTCCCTCCTGGTTCCTGGCCTTTGGCTACCATTGGAGCTGCCAGGCCAGGCCAACAGCTGCAGACCAGCAGGGCCAGAGAAGCAGAGGCCTGCCGGGCCCATCCCTCCCGGCAGCCCAGAGCACGGCCACCCAGCGCAGCTGGAGTCTCAGATCCTTCTCTCTCTCAAGAAGCTGCACATCTCTGCGCATCTCCCACCTCTATGCCCTGGCTCCTTTCCCATTTCTGGGCCAGGAACAGTGCCAAAGCCTTCATTAGGGGTGCAGGAATTAAGTGAGACAGCAACAATATTGGCATCGGCCTCCCTGAAAACCATCTTCTCAAGAACTCAGTTTCTGATCTTTCTTTCTAAGCCTGGCTCTTCCAGGAAGCCCTCCCCACTGCCCATAATACTGTGCCACCAGCCGGGCGTGGTGGCTCACGCCTGTAATCCCAGCACTTCGGGAGGCCAAGGCGGGTGGATCATCTGAGGTCAGGAGTTTGAGAGCAGCCTGGCCAACATGGTGAAACCCTGTCTCTACTAAAAATACAAAAATTAGCCAGGTGTGGTCCCAGCTACTCAGGAGGCTGAGGCAGGAGAATCACTTGAACCCGGGAGATGGAGGTTGCAGTGAGCTGAGATCGCACCATTACACTCCAACCTGGGTGACAGAGGGAGACTCTGTCTGAAAATAAATAAATAAATAAATAAAAAGAAAAAAGAAAAAAATACTGTGCCACCTACACTTAGTTACAAGCCTGCCTCCTTCACCTGCCAGGGTATACCTTCAGGGTCAGGGCTGTGACTATTCCTAGCTCCCAGGATGGTGTCTGGTACTTAAGGGGAGCCTAATAGGTGTTCATGGAAAAATTTACTGCCCAGGATGGGAGAGGGGGTTGTCACAATGTGTGGATGTGTGTGTGTGTGTGTGTGTGTGTGTGTGTGTGTGTTTGAGAGGAGCTGTATCTCATTTCAGCCAAGGAGGCTGAGGCCAGAGTCCAGGGCACAGACCATGGCAGGGCCTAGTCCAGCATCCCCAGTCCCACCCTGGTCCCCCTGAGGCTATGATTAACCCTTGTCCTCAGCACAAGGACAGAGCCTCATCTGCCAGCCAGTCTTGGCCATGTGGGGAAGTAGGTCAGGGGCTTCAGAATCCGGATAGCTGCTGCACATCAGGGCAAAGCCAGCCCTCTGGAGCCTTGTGGATGGAGACCAGGGTGTGGGCACACCACAGCAGGCCACAATGGCACAAACTGCAGCAGACTTATGTCCACACCCCCCAGCTTGCTGGAGGCCATGGGAAGGTCACTTCTCCCTGGACATGTTTCCTCGCCCCTTCCAGCTCTCACCATCCAAGAAGGAGGCATCTTAGGGGAGGAGAGGATAGAACTGACTCCACTCCAGCAGGCCTCCTCTTCCTTTCTGTCCCAACAGCCCCACCCCCCACTCCCAGTGATGTCATTTCGGCCACCTCATCACCAGCTTCTAACCCCCTTCCAGTCGCCCTTTCTGTCCTCAGATGGCAACTGGGGGCAGCGGAGATGTATCCCTCTTTATTCGGTCTCTCGCCTGGCACACTGGCCGGGATTCCCGAACCTGACCCCCTCCAAACCATGAGCCATTTGCAAGGGGACCGGGCAGGGGAGGGCTAAGCGACTCCTGACTCTCGAAGGCAGATGGGAGACTTGACTTTCTGCTTCTTCACCAGCAAAGACGCGGTACCACTTCTCCCTGAGTAGGAAGCGAGTTAGGGAAACTTTCTAGGAGTCTTAGAGCTCATAATTCCTGTCAGGGACGGGTGCTGCTGGATTTGGCGTGAGATAACTTCCCTCTACACACAAGCCACCCTCCCAGCAAAACATGACGAAGGAGCCGCCTCCCGGCCTCAGAAGACTCCTAGCTAGCGCTCAGGCCCCGTAACAATACCAGGGGCGGCCGAGCAGTTGCTGCCTCCAGGACGGGGTGGGCGAGCTGGATGACGGATGCCCGGTCGTCTGGGAAAATAGGAAGACCGCCCCCCGCCCCCCACTTTTGCAGGTCTCCGCCCGTCCGGTCCGCGTCTTCTCCGGCAGCGCCCCCTCTCTCCACGTCCCGGTTCTCCAGACGCGTCCCTCCTCCGAGTCGGGCGCGCCCGGTCCAGCCCAGCCCCTCCCGGGGTGATAGCGCCCAACAATGGAGAAGCGGACAGGGGTCACCGGGCGCTCCCCGCCTTCCTGTCCCGGTCGCCCCCGCGCTCACCCTGCTCCAGGTCCTGCTGGTCGTACCAGGACTCCTCTTCCTCCGCGGAGAAGTCCTCCATCCCGGCGGCTCTCCGCATGGCCCCGCGGGCGGCGGGCGGGTGCTGCGGCGGCGCAGCTCAGGGCCGGTGCGCGCGGCCCGGGACAATGCGGCTGAGGCGGGCCGGGCCTCCAGCGTCGGGAACTCGGGCTACAGAGCCCGCGCCGCGCCCCCTCGCCATCAACCGCTCGCCGGGAGCCCACGCGGGGCCTGGCGCTTTGCCAGGGTCCGGCCCGGCCGGGGTCCCGCAGAGCCGGGGGCACCGGGCTGCGGCGACACAAAGGGTGGAGTGGCAGGGACGGCGGGTGGGACAGTGGCAAGGAGGATCCGGGCCCGCAGGCGGGTCTGGGGCGCTAGGAGCGCGCGGGTGCCGTGGCGGGCGCCCCCTGCCCGGCTCGGGTCCGCGCTGCTCCTGGCCCGCCCGGCGACAACCGGAGCCGCCGCTGCATCTTGGCGGAGCCCGCCTGCAGCTTGCGGAGCTCGGCTCCGCGGGGTGGGGCCTGCCGCCGCCGACCAATCAGGAGATGTATGCAAAGCTGGAGGCGGGGCCGAGGGCGGGACCCTCCTGGTGTCTTGGTCTGGGAATTGCTTGATCAACCCTTTCGTCCTACTTCCCCCTACGACCTATTCAGTTTATGTCTCATGTCTAAAATTATGCTATTTTAGAAGTTGTCGTCTCTCCTAGATCTCCTGGAAGCAAGAATATTGTTTCTCTTTCACAGCTGGCTACTCACTTCCTAGAACAGGCTGCTCACCAGTCGGGCGCGATGCCTGACTCCTGTAATTCCAGCACCTTGGGAGGCCAAGGCGGGCAGATCGCCTGAGGTCAGGGGTTTCGAGACCAGCCTGGCCAACATGGCGAAACCCCGTCTCCATTAAAAATACAAAAATTAGCTGGGCATGGTGGCGCATGCCTACTCGGGAGGCTGAGGCAGGAGAATCGCTTGAACCCTGGAGGCAGAGGTTGCAGTGAGCCAAGATAGCGCCACTGCACTCCAGCCTGGGCGACAGAGGGAGACTCTGCCTCAAAAAACAAACAAACAAAAAACAAACAACATGCTGGTCATTGATACCTTCCATCGACATTCTTTGAATGAATGAATACTAATTTACAGTTGCCTTTGGGAACTGCGTGTTTAAGTGCTTGTGGCTAGAAACCACAGGCTGAAAGTGGCAAAGTTTGAGGGTGTGTTACCTGCATTCAAGGTTCTGTTTTCCTTTCCTTGGGACCCATATCCTATATCCAATTATACCCATTAAAACTATACACACTTGCATCTGTCCAAGCATTCTTTCCTTAGAAGAGTGTTCGGACTCAAGCATTCACGTAACTCATTTTTATTGGGACCCTAATGTGCTGGTGCCGTTGAGAATCTCTGAATAATGTTGTGATATACCCAACGAATGACTTGTATCCAGAATACAGAAAGAACATCTGCATAGTCATAAGAAAAAGGCACGCAACCCAGTAGAAAAGTGGGTAAAAGATTTGACCAGGTAATTCACAAAAAAGGATACACAAATAACTGAATAAATATGCAACAAGGTACTGAACTTCTTTAGCCATCAGAAAAATGCAAATGAAAACCACAATGAGGTATCACTACCCAATCACCAGAGTGGCTTTAGGGAAAAAAAAAAAAAAAAAAAAGGCCAGGCGTGGTGGTTCATGCCTATAATCCCAGAACTCTGGGGAGGCCGAGGTTGGGAGGATCACTTGAGCCTGGAGTTCAAGAGCAGCCTGGGCAACATAGCAAGATCCTATTTCTATAAAAAAATTTAAAAATAAAAATTAGGTGGGCATAATGACACACGGCTGTAGTCCCAGATACTTTGGGAGGCTGAGGTGGGAGAATTGCTTGAGTCTAGGAGGTTGAGGCTGTAGGGAGCTGTGGTCATGCCACTGCACTCCAGCCTGGGTGACAGAGCAAGATCCTGTCTCAAAAAAAAAAAAAAAAAAAAAAAAAAAAAGACAAAAAATACCTAGTATTGGCAAGAATGTTGAGCAACTGGAACTCTCTCACCCTGCTGGAGGGAATACATAGGACGACAACCACTTTAGAAAACTGCCCGGGCGTGGTGGCTCATGCCTGTAATTCCCAACGCTTTGGAAGGCCAAGGAGGGTGGATCGCTTGAGGTCAGGAGTTCAAGACCAGCCTGGGAAACATGGTGAAACCCTGTCTCTACTAAAAATACAAAATTAGCTGGGCATGGTGGCACATGCCTGTAGTCCTAGCTACTTGGGAGGCTGAGGCAGGAGAATTGCTTGAACCTGGGAGGCGGAAGTTGCAGTGAGCTGAGATTGCGCCACTGCACCCAGCCTGGGCGATAGAGCAAGACTGCGTCTTGGAAAAAAAAAAAAAAAAGACTGCTTGATAACCATGAAAGCTGAATAACGTAAGCTGTTGTAGGTTGTGTTCCCAGGCAGCTGATCCTGAGATGGAGATTAGCATGCAGGAAGTTGATTAGGGATATCAATCATATTGGATTAGAGGGAGAAAAAAGAAAGAAAGTTGACTAGGGAGTGCTCTCATGATCAACACCTGCAGGAAAGGGAGGGAAGCAGGGTTGGTGGGGGAGAAGCTGGGTTGGTATGTAGCCTCTGCAAAAGCCTCCTCTGATCCCTGAAGAACTTTGAATCCAGGGTGACCCTTCAAAGCTATTCCAGGTATCATTGGGGGAGGGGGCCTTTATATCCCCCACCCTTACATATCAACCAGTCATTGAATGACACAGGTCGTTCCTAGGAGGCATGTGTGACCTTGGCCAAATAAGTTCTTTTCAGCTGAGACTAGTTTGCACAGAGCCCTGGCAGCTGGGACTGCCAGCCAGGGGTCCTCCCAGCAGCTAAGGGAATAGGTCCTTTCGTTCTGAAAGAGTTGGGGATACATCACAGCAGCCACTATACATGCATACCCTATAACCCAGAAATTCTATTCCTATATATGTGCAAGAGAAATATGCACATACCTTATCCCAAAGACATGTACAAGAAAGTTCATAGCCACAGTATTCATAAGCGCCCACACTGGAAACAACACAAATGTCCATCAACAGTTGACGAAGAATATGTGGCATGTTCATGTAATGGAATGTTATATAGTACAAATACAATGATCTACTGTCATGGGCTTGGGCTAAAAAAAAAAAGTTGAGTGAAAGATGCCAGACACAAAGAGTAAATACCTGTATTTGTCTCTTATTGCTTCTGTAACAAATGACCCCAAATTTAATGGGCTTGAAACAACACAAATTTATTATTTTATAATTCTGTAGAAGTCTGACAAGGATCACTGGCTAAAGTCAAAGCATTGGTAGAAGCTGTGTTCCTTCTGGAGGTTCCAGGGGAGTATCTGTTTCCTTGTCTTTTGCACCTTCTAGAGGCCACCCCATAGTCCTTGGCTCATGGCCTCTTTGTCAATCTTCAAAGTCAGCAACAGAAGGTGGAGTCTTTTTCACATCCCATCACTCTTACCTTTTCCACCTCCCTCTTATAAAGGACTCTTCTGCTTAAACTGGGCACACTGAATAATACAGCATAATCTCCCTGTCTCAATGTCTTTAACTAAATCACATCTGCAAAGTCCCTTATGTTGGGCAAGGTAACATATTCAGAGATTCTGGGGGTTAGGATGTGGATATCTTTAGTGGTTATGATTCTATCACAGCACTGCATGATTCCATTTTATATAAAGTTCATGGCCAGGTGCAGTGGCTCACGCCTGTAATCCCAGCACTTTGGGAGGCCGAGGCAGGCAGATCACGAGGTCAGGAGATCGAGACCATTCTGGCTAACACGGTGAAACCCCGACTCTACTAAAAAAATAAAAAATAAATTAGCTGGGCGTGGTGGCAGGCACCTGTAGTCCCAGCTACTCAGGAGGCTGAGGCAGGCGAATGGCGTGAACTGGGTAGGTGGAGCTTGCAGTGAGCCGAGATTGCGCCACTGCACTCCAGTCTGGGTGACAGAGCGAGACTCTGTCTCAAAAAATAAAAATAAAAATAAAGTTCATGTGTCTGGAATCCCAGCTACTCGGAAGGGTGAGGCAAGAGGATCACTAGAGGCCATGAGTTTGAGACGAGCCTGGGCATCACAGCCACCCTCTGTCTCTATAAAATATAAATAATAATAAAGTTAAAAACTGGCAAAATGAATCAAGATAGTGTTTGGCTTTGGGAAGGCATGTGGAGAATTCTAAGTGGCTGGGAATCTTTTTCTAAAATTTTTTAAACTTATTTTTGAGATGGGATCCCAGGCTGGGGTGTAGTGTCATAATCATAGTTCACTGTAACCTCAAAGTCCTGGGCTCAAGTGATCCTCCTGCTTTAGCCTCCTAAATGGCTGGGACTGCAGGCTTGTGCCACCACACCCAGCTGATCTTTTTTCTTTTTTTTTTTTTACGATTGTGGTGAAACACACATAAGATTTACCATTTACCATTTTTGAGTGTACAGTTTAGTGGTATTCAATACATTTATAACGTACAACTATCACCACCATCCATCTCCGTAGCTATTTTCATCTTGTAAAACTGAAACTCTGTACCATTAAACACTAACTCCCATTCAGGAGAATTCTATCTCCTGAGCTGGGTGCTGGTTACACAGGTGTGTTCACTTTGTGAAAATTCACCCAACTGTACACTTAAGATGTGTGCACTATTCTGAAGATATATTATACTTTGATAAAATAGTTTATTTACTAAAGAAGAAGCCAGGCACAGTGGGTCACGCCTGTAATCCTAGCACTTTGGGAGGCCGAGGCGGGCGGATCACTTGAGCTCAGGAGTTCTAGATCAGCCTTGCCAACACGGCGAAACCCCATCTCTACCAAAAATACAAAAATTAGACAGACATGGTGGTGCACGCCTGTAATCCCACCTACTCAGGAGGCTGAGGCAGGAGAATCATTTGAACCCGGGAGGCAGAGGTTGCAGTGAGCTGAGATGGCCCCACTGCACTCCAGCCTGGGCAACAGAGTGAGACTCTGTCTCTAAAATAAAATAAAATAGCATAACATAACATAACATAACATAACATAACATAACATAACATAACATAACATAACATAAAATAAATAGAAGAAAAACACCCTATGACTGGCCTAAACTCTTCCGTGAGGAGGAAAATCAGGTCTGCCTTCAAGGAGGAAATTCTTCAGCCTCCATGAGCTACAGGTCAACAAGCCCCGGATCCATTTCCAGCCTTTTCCTGTGATGTAGTCAAGCAGGGTAGAGAGCCGACCCAGGGGTGGCAAGTACAGACCACCTGACCTGACCTTGGTAACCCAGGACCTGGCACCTCACCTGAGTGTCAGGAAACCTATTTCGTGGTGTTCCTTGCCGCGGGCATCAAAACACGGCGCTGATGGCAAAGATTCCCCGGTGGGCTCGATGTCCACCAAGCCTTGGGCACTGTGAAGCCCTGGAGTCTTGTGACCCCGGCGGCCGAGAGCACTTCCCTGCGTGCAGCCCAGGCTCCCAGAGCTCCCTAGCACCTCCAGCCCAGGTTCTGGATGGGGGAACGGGGCACAGGCAGGGGACCCCGGGAGCGCCCGGCCACCGCGCGAAGATGGCCAGGCCCTCCCAGCGAGCGCCGCTTAGGCGCGGGGCGGGGCTGAGGACGCCGATGCGACAGCCGATGGCACCGTCGCTGCTGCTCACCCCCAGCCTGCATCCCCTACCTCCGCGCGCAGCCCGGCTCGGCCCAGCCCACAGGAAGTGACGGCTCGCGGGCTGCGCTGGCGGCAGAGGGACCGCACCGCCCCCAACCGCACAGCGGCGTTGCGGGAGGCGAAGGGCGTCGACCGACCTCGCGCGCTGCACATCTCGGGTTGAGGTTAAAGGATAGGGCGACATCTGGAAACCTTCCTCGAGTCCCCACACCCCTGCAAGCGGCGCCTCCCTCCCTGTCCCCGGACATGTTCGCTCCAGCGCTGGGCGCACACTGTACTGAATGATCTCGCCCCATCTGTCCCCTCCACCAGTCTGAGGTCAGCGCCTGGCGGGGTAAGGCGCTCAGGACATTGGAGTGAGGTCATCTGCTGCCCATCCCCCTCTCCCCCATGCACCGTCTGAGTTTGTTCCAGACAATCGTGTGCTCTGAAGGGTACATTATTTCAGATTCTCAAGGTTCTTGCGGTCGGGAAATGCCTCCATATGTCTACCTCAAATCTCTGCAGTGTGAACCCTCCAGGCCTGTCATCAGTGGGGTGACCTTTAGGAGACTTGTGCTGATGATATCCAACCTTACTCCTCTGATACCTCCTGGGCTGGTTGGGAGGGTGCGATGAGTTCATACACGCCAGCGCTTAGATCAGCGCTGGGGTCTGCCGAGCACGGTCAGTGACTATTAGGGCCTTATTATCGGTTTTCACCTGGAGGAACTATTCCTTGCCCCTCACTACCCCATCTCTGGCAGGGCTCCTAAGGCAGGCTGGGGATGCCAGTGCAGGGACTTTACCTTTCTGGCTGGGGAGGCAGGTGGAGCCTGCAGTCAAGGCTCAGCCTTGGGAGAAGAGACCTGGGGAGAAGCCCCAGGTGCATTTGCCCGCTGAGGGCTGCCTGGGCTCCCCCGCCTCTAGCACAGCCGCGTCACAGCATGGAGGCTCTCTGCGTGGGACCCTTCTGCTTCCCGGCAGACTGAGAACTCCTTGAGGGCAGGGACTCTGGCTGGCACATGGCAGGTCTCCCAATGAATGAAGAAATGTTCTAAGCCATTTTTCTTGGCCTTCCTTCTTCGGCCTTCTTCCCAATGACCCCCTAACTCCACAATTCACAGCGTTCCTTATCCCTTTGCCCCAGGTCAGATCCACCTGCCCTGCCTGAAAAACTCCTAAAACTAATCAAAGATGAATCTGCCAGGCGCGGTGGCTCACGCCTGTATTCCCAACATTTGGAGAGGCCAAGGAAGGTGGATCACGAGGTCAGGAGTTCGAGATCAGCCGGGCCAACATGGTGAAATCCCATCTCTACTAAAAATACAAAAATTAGCTGGGCATGGTGGCGAGCACTTGTAATCCCACCTACCAGGGAGGTTGAGGCAGGACAATCGCTTGAACCCAGGAAGCAGAGGTTGCAGTGAGCCGAGATTGTGCCATTGCACTCCAGCCTGGGCGACAGACTCCATCTCAAAAAAAAAAAAAAAAAAAAAAAAAAAGATAAATCTGAGAAAGAGTTGGCCAAAATGTGTCATTCCTATTGACTAAAGTGGGTGATCAACTGGCTCCTCCTCCTGTAATCACCCAAGCTGGAAGCCCAGGAGTTATTGTCATTCATTTGTCCAATAAATATTTATGATGTGTTAGACATGGTGCTGAGTGCTGAGGATACAGAGAACAAAACGGACTCAGTCCTTGCTCACGGGAAGCTTGAATTTCAGTAGAAGAGACAGATGTCAAACAATTAAAAAGACAAAAATAGGCTGGACACGATGGCCCATGCCTGTAATCCCAGCACTTTGGGAGGCCGAGGCGGGCAGATCACGAGGTCAGGAGATCCAGACCATCCTGGCTAACACGGTGAAACCCCGTCTCTACTAAAAATACAAAAAAAATTAGCCGGGCATGGTGGCGGGCGCCTGTAGTCCCAGCTACTCGGGAAGCTGAGGCAGGAGAATGGTGTGAACCCGGGAGGCGGAGCTTGCAGTGAGCCGAGATGGCGCCACTGGACTCCAGCCTGGGCGACAGAGCGAGACTCTGTCTCAAAAAAAAAAAAAAAAGCAAAAATATTTACAATAGTGTTAAGAACATGGGGGACTGAAGTAACAATGGTGGAGCTGGGAAATCTCTCAGGGAAAGAGACTTTTTTTTTTTTTTTTCGAGGCAGAGTCTCACTCTGTCACCAAGGCTGGAGTGCAGTGACACGATCTTGGCTCACTGCAAGCTCCGCATCCCAGGTTCAAGTGATTCTCCTGCCTCAGCCTCCTAAGTAGCTGAATGATCTCGCCCCAACCCGAGTAGCTGGGATTACAGGCACCTGCCACCGCAACCGGCTAATTTTTGTATTTTTAGTTGAGATGGGTTTCACCATCTTGGCCAGGCTGGTCTTGAACTCCTGACCTCGTGATCCAACCCCCACCCCCCTCGGGCTCCCAAAGTGCTGGGATTACAGGCGTGGGCCACTGCGCCCGGCCGGAAAGAGACTTTTAAGATAAGACCCTGGAGGACGAAAAGGGGACAGTCACATGAGGAGTGGGAGGAGGGATGTCCCAGGCAGAAGGAACAAACTATACAAAGATCCTGGGCAGAAAGACTTAGAGTGGTTGAGAAAAATGAAGGAAGACCCACGTGGGTGGAACCCAGGGACTGAAGGGAGGAGAAGCAGGCTCAGACTTTGCGGGGCCTTGGAGGTTGCTCCTGACGCAGTGCTCAGAGGAGTCTTCATGGGGGAGTGATGTGAGCTCCATGTTCAAATTACTTGGGCTGTTCTGCAGAGAGTAGGTGGGAGAGGGGATGAGTGGAGGCTGCTACAGGTGGGAGGTTATGGGACCCTGGCAAAGGTGAGGGCGGGGGAGATGAAGGGCCGTAGGATGATACAATATATATGTTTGATGGATAACACCATAGGACTTGGTGATGAATTGGTTGGGGTTGGTGGGGGGTTGGTAGCAGGAAGAGAGGCACCAAGGGTGACATGGGCCAGGCGTGGTGGCTCATGCCTGTAATACCAGAACTTTGGGAGGCTGAGGCACGCGGCAGATCACTTGAGGTCAGTAGTTCGAGACCAGCCTGGCCAACATGGCGAAACCTCGTCTTTGCTAAAAATACAAAAATTAGCGGGGTGTGGTGGTGCACACCTGTAGTCCCAGCTATTCGGGAGGCTGAGGCAGGAGAATCACTTGAACCCAGGAGGCGGAGGTTGCAGTGAGCTGAGATCGCGCCGCTGCGCTCCAGCTTGGGTGACAAGAGCAGAACTCCATCTCAAAAAATAAATAAAAATAAAAATAAAAATAAAAATAAAATATGGTACCAAATTCTCTGACACTCTTTCCATGGAGAGGTGGGGTAGAGGTCCTCTCCCTTGGAATCTGGTGACCTTGTGACTATTTTGACCAATAGAGTGTGGTGAAAGTGACTTTCTATGTTACTTCCCTCCCAGACTGGATGCTGAACAGATATGCAACTTCCCCCTTGTTCTCTTGAACACCCTCTTTCCTTTTCTTTCTCTCTCTCTCTTTTTTTTTTTTTCTTGAGACAGGGTCTCGCTCTGTCACCCAGGCTGAGTGCAGTGGTGAGATCATAGCTCATTGCATTCTCAACCTCTCAGGCTCAAGCGATCCTCCTGCCTCAGCCTTCTGAGTAGCTGAGACTACAGGTAATTGCCACCACACCTGGCTAGTATTTTTTTCTTATTTTTTATAGAAATGGAGTCTTGTTATGTTGCCCAGGCTGGTCTCGAACTCCTGGGCTCAAGCGATCCTCCGGCCTTGGCCTTCCAAAGTGCTGGGATCACAGGTGTGAGCCACTGTGTCCACTTCCTATTTTCATATGCATCTTTTGGGTGTTCCCTCACAGAGCCCAGTGTCCTTGCTGAGAGAGGCCCAAGCCACATGGAGAGGTCACACGTTGGTGTGTCTGTCTTCAGCCCCAGCTGAACCCAGTCTTTGGGTCCTGCCAGCTCAGGCATCAGATGTATGAGTAAAGCCACCTGGTAATTTCAGCCCCCCAGCTGTTCCAAGTTAACCCCAGCACCAGCCATTCTGGTCTTCTCAGCTGAGACCGCAGACATTGTGAAGCACAGACCAGCCACCGCAGCTGAGTCCTGTCTGAATTCCTGACCCATGGAATTTGTGAACATAATAAAATGGTTATAGTTTTACACCAAGTTTGGTGGAAAGGTTGTTATGCAGCAATGGTACCTAGAACACATATGAGATAGAAAACCAAGTTCCAAGACTCCACCTTGTCAATACCACCTGCCTGCTTCCTCTCCATCTATCTGTGACTGCTTTGGTTGAGCCCTCATCAGCTCTCACCTCCCAGCTGGATTCCCCATGTTCAGGTCATTTCTCTCTCCTGCTGCAGCCAGGATGGCTTCATTAAGATCTAATGACATCTCATGACATCACTCCCCTGCTTCTCAGGCTCTTTGTTGCTCATGGAATAAGATTAATGCCTTTTATCAGGATGTATGCAGCCCTTTATGGTCTGCTCCTGGTCCACTTCAAGCGTATCTCCTGTCTCTCTACATTTCACTCAAATCAGGTGTCTGTCTTCCTCCCTCCCTCCTCTCTCTTTTTTTGATTTTTAAAAATATTATAATAGTCTGGGCGCGGTGGCTTACGCCTGTAATCCCAGCACTTTGGGAGGCCGAGGCGGGCGGATCACAAGGTCAGGAGATCGAGACCATCCTGGCTAACATGGTGAAACCCTGTTTCTACTAAAAAAAATACAAAAAATTAGCCGGGTGTGGTGGTGGGCGCCTGTAGTCCCAGCTACTCGGGAGGCTGAGGCAGAAGAATGGCATAAACTCGGGAGGCAGAGCTTGCAGTGAGCCAGGACAGCACCACTGCACTCCAGCCTGGGCGACAGAGAGAGACTCTGTCTCACACACACACAAAAAATTATAATAGAGGCCGGGGGTGGTGGCTCATGCCTATAATCCCATCTCTTTGGGAGGCCAAGGTGGGTGGATCACCTGAGGTCAGGAGTTGGAGACCAGCCTGGCCAGCAAGGTGAAACCCCATCTCTACTAAAAATACAAAAATTAGCCTGTTGTGGTGGCGCGTATCTGTAATCCCAGCTACTCAGGAGGTTGAGGCTGGAGAATCACTTGAACCTGGGAGGCAGAGGTTGCAGTGGGCCAAGATCACGCCACTGCACTCCAGCCTGGGTGACAGAGAGAGACTCTATCTCAAAATAAAAAATTAAATAAATAAATAAAATAAAAATATTATTATTTTTATATGCCCAGCTAAATTTTTGTATTTTTAGTAGAGACAGGGTTTCACCATGTTGGCCAGGCTGGTCTCAAACTTGGGACCTCAGGTGATCCACCTGCCTCAGCCTCCCAAAGTGCTGGGATTACAGGCGTGACCCACTGCTCTTGGCCTCAGTAAGTGTTTGTTGGATGATTGACGGTTGAACTCAGAAAAAGGGTGCCAGGGAGGGCCATGACAGCCATAGACCTGCGAGTCTTCCTTTTATGGTGGGCATAAAGGAGAACAGGACATGGTTTCTATATGCAGACATCACAGTGAAGAACCTACCAGGGAACCCTCAAATTGATCAGGGATACGTAATTAAAAAAATTTTTTAAAAGCTCTGTTTTATTTTGTTTTATTTAGTAAGTGTGTGTGTGTGTGTATATATATATATATATATATATATATATATATATATTTTTTTTTTTTTTTTTTTTTTTTTTTTGAGACAGAGTCTCACTCTGTCGCCCAGGCTGGAGTACAGTGGTGCGATCTCAGCTCACTGCAAGCTCCACCTCCTGGGTTCTCGCCATTCTGCTGCCTCAGCCTCCTGAGTAGCTGGGACTACAGGCGCCCACCACCATGCCCAGCTAATTTTTTTTATGTTTTATTTTTTAGTAGAGATGGGGTTTCACCATGTTAGCCAGGATGGTCTTGATCTCCTGACCTCGTGATCCGCCCGCCTCGGCCTCCCAAAGTGCTGGGATTACAGGCGTGAGCCACCGCGCCCGGCCGAGAATATTCTTTCTTCATACATCCAGACTTATTTCTTAAAATGTTTACTATAAAAGTTTTCACACACACACAAAAGTAGACAGAATGGTGGAACGAACTGTTTTTCTTTGCTGCAGTAGATTTAAAAGCAAATGCCCAGTCACTACAGATATCAATATGCATCACTGGAAAACAACTGACAGCATTTTAAAAACATAATTACTGGTGGAACTAGAGAGGATGTTAAGCTTAACTTAGAGAATGTAAATAACGGTCAGGGATGAATGGGTATTTTTCCACTTAGATATGTTAGTGGTCAAGTTCCTCAGGACAATGTTATGTTTTTTTCCATGCCGTGGTGGGGTGAATGCACAGAGACTTTGTAAGATTTCCTGGCATTAAGATGATCTAAGGGCCGGGTGTGGTGGCTCACACCTATAATCCCAGCACTTTGGGAGGCTGAGGGGGGTGGATCAGAAGGTCAGGAGATTGAGACCATCCTGGCTAACACGGTGAAACTCCGTCTCTACTAAAAATACAAAAAAATTAGCCGGGCATGGTGGCATGTGCCTGTAGTCCCAGCCACTTGGGAAGCCGAGGCAGGATAATTGCTTGAACCTGGGTGGTGGAGGTTGCAGTGAGCCGAGGTTGCACCATTGCACTCCAGGCTGGGTGACAGAACGAGACTCCGTCTCGGAAAAAAAAAAAAAAAAAAAAAAAAGATGATCTATGGAGGAGAATGCCCATCTGAGTGGTAGAAGAGCCCCTGAGGCTAGGTGAGGGTGGACTCAATTAAATCCAGTAATATTTCCATGTCACTTGGGAGTTCCTGGTTGCAAGCCACAGAAATGGCTCTGAGTGATGGGCAAGACCAAAGGGGTCAAAATTTCACCCGGAGTGGCTGGTTAGCAAGAGTTCTCAATTCTTTTCTTCTCCTTCTTCTCCTCCTCCTTCTTCATACCTTCACTTGCCTTTATTATTTTTTCTTCTTTTTGAAGGCTGAGCACGGTGGCTCCTGCTTGTAATCCCGATGCTTTGGGAGGCCCAGGCAGGAGGGTCGCTTGAGCTCAGGAGTTTGAGACCGCCTGGGCCACATGGCAAAACCCCATCCGTATAAAAAATACAAAATTAGCCGGGCGTCATGGTGTGCACCTGTAATGCCAGCTACTTGGGAGGCTGAGGTGGGAGGATTGCTTGAGCCTTGGAGGTAGAGGGTGCAATGAGCTGTGATCATGCCACTGCACAGTCTGAATGACAGAGGGAGACCCTGTCTCAAAAAACTAAAAATAAATAAAGAAATAAACTGTTAGCATGTTGCCAGCTTTTGAAAGTCATTGTGCTAGCCATGTAGTGTTATCTTACTGTGGTTTCAATTTGCATTTCCCTAATGATTATGATTGAGAGTTTTTAATGTCACTCTGGCCTGGAATGCGGTTGAGTGATTTGTAGAATAGACTGGATTTTTTTTAATGCCAAATAAAGGAACTATTCATTCATTATCTTGGAATGATTAGAAAAGCCATGAAACCTGCCAAGGATTTTGCCCAGGGCGGGGAAAACCCACCTCCGGAGAAAGGCTAGAGCTACCCTATCATTGCCCTGTGGAGTTTGTTTGTTCCGTGAAATGGCGACACCCTTCGCACTCCTCTTTCCCTCCACACCCGCTCCACCCTGCCACACTTTTGCTCCCAGATGGCGTGCCCCTCATTTTTCACCTGTAGAATTCCTCTTTAAGTGAATGTCACATCCTTTTGAAGCATCTAGGGGCCAGGCATGGTGGCTTACATCTGTAATCCCAGCACTTCGGGAGGCTGAGGTGGGAGGATCCCTTGAGGCCAGGAGTTGGGGATTAGCTTGGGCAATGTAGCAAGATCCTGTCTATACAAAAAATGAAAAAAAAAATTAGCTGGGCATGGTGGTGTGCACCTGTAGTCCTAACTACTCAGCAGGCTGAGGCAGGAGGATTGCTTGAGTCCCAGCATTCGAGGCTGCAATGAGCTATGATTGCACCACTGCACTCCAGCATGGGCAACAGAGTGAAACCTCGTCTGCAAAATGCATGCATGCATGCATGAATGAATGAATGAATAAATAAATAAATAATAGGGCTGGGCATGGTGGCTCACACCTGTAATCCCAGCACTTTGGGAGGCTGAGGCAGGCGGATCATTTGAGGTCAGGAGTTCAAGACCAGCCTGGACAACATGGTGAAACTCTATCTCTACTAAAAACAAAAAAAAATTAGCTGGGGGTGGTGGCGGGCCCCTGTAGACCCAGCTACTCGGGCGGCTGAGGCAAGAGAATTGCTTGAACCCAGGAGGTGGAGTTTGCAGTGAGCTGAGATTGTGCCACTGCACTCCAGCCTGGGTGGGCGACAGAGCGAAACTCCATCTCAAAAAATAAAAAATAAAAAAGCATCCAAGATTTCCAGAAGCTTCCAGACATAGCTTGCAAAATGATGTTGTGGAAAAAGCGCAGCCTCATTTGGATGAGCTCCTTACTACCTGTGTGGCTTTGGGCAAGTAATTGCTTTAAGCCTCATTTTCCCCAAGTGTAAAATGGGGATAAAATAATACCTCAGAGGTAGCTATTAGAGATATCGTCATTGTCGTCTTGTTTTGATTCCCCCCCCCCCCCCGAGATGGAGTCTTGCTCTGTCGCCCAGGCTGGAGTGCAGTGGCGTGATCTCGGCTCACTGCAACCTTTGCCTCCCAGGTTTAAGCAATTCTGCTACTTCAGCCTCCAGAGTAGCTGGGATTACAGGCGTGCGCCACTAAGCCCAGCTAATTTTTGTATTTTTAGTAGAGACGGGGTTTCACCATGTTGGCCAGGCTGGTCTCGAACTCCTGACCTCGTGATCCGCCTGCCTCGGCCTCCCAAAGTGTTGGGATTACAGGCGTTAGCCACCGCACCCGGCCTTGTTTTGATGATTAATCTGCCTCTATTACAGGCTTATTTGGCTGTACCCTGGCCGCTTCTTTCCTTATCCCTCTCCCTAGCTGCTCGCCATAAAGAGCAGGCTGTACTACTTATGTCCGCTGTGTCCGTCCATGACACAGAGTTGGCAAATACCAGACCCTCAGCACATTTGTTGAAATGGATGAATCTCAAAGGATTCTCTGGGAATCTGGTGGCTAGAGAGGGGTCGGGACCGCGAGGGACTCTCGCGCTCAGCAAGGCGAGGAGCTGCTTTCCTGGAGTATGGAAACTGAGTCAGCGCCTCCCTCCCTCATAACCAAGGGCCTGCGGGACTGTCTGAACACGTGGGTTTGACAGGTCAGAAAAAGGGAGAACCAAGAGAGTGGATGCTCAGAAAACATGAATGGGAAAGACAGACTGAGAAGGAGGAAAGTGGGATGGAGAGGGCCAGCTGAGACGTGGGCCAGGAGCCGGAGCGGAGATGAAGGGTGAGGACCGGGGCGGGGGACGAGCTGCGAGGAGGGTTTTGGGCCCTGGGGACTGCGTGGTAGCAGCGGAGGCGGGTACAATGCTCCGACGCAGAAGGAAGAGCGTCGAGGCTCCGGGTGGGACCTGAGAAGGCACCCGGCGTGCGGCGGCGCTGGGTTGGAACCGCCGACTCCGCGGGTCTTCGGCGGCGGGCGCTGCAGGTGCAGGAGGCGGAGCCACGCGGGGGCGGGGCCTGTCGGGGCGGGGCCGACGAGGGCCGGGGGCGGGGCGCGCCGCTTGTCTCCTGCGAGAGCCGCGGGGGCCGCGGAGCTGGAGCCGGAGCTGAAGCCGGAGCCGGGTTGGAGTCTGGGCGGGGGCCGGGCCGGAGCGGGCTCCAGAGACATGGGGTCGACCGACTCCAAGCTGAACTTCCGGAAGGCGGTGATCCAGCTCACCACCAAGACGCAGGTGCGCCACGGGGGCCCCGGCGTCCCCATCCACCTGCCGGGCTGGGGGCTGGGCAGGGCCGGGGGTACGCGAACTTGGCTCGTCGGGAGATGGGGGGACGGGCGGGCCCCGAGCGTAACGCCAAGGCCAGCGCCGGAACGGGACCCCGCGGCCTGTACCTGGAAGCTCCATCCCCTGGCCCTAGTCCCCCACCCTCAGCCTCCTCTCCTGGGAACACCCCTCTCCCCGAAGCCGCTGCTGCCACCTTAGGCTGACGTGTGCCTACTCCCCGAGCCGGCGACACAGCTGTCCGCCCCCTGTCCCGCCCCGCGGCGTCCCCAGCTTCGCATCTCCAGCCTCCCGCCGCCCCCACCCACCCATCCACCGTCCGCTCCCCTCCCTGCCCCTCATTGCCCGCGGGTCCCGGACGCACAGTCCCTGTTGACTCAATGCAAACAAAGCCTGGCTGGCGTCCGCCCGGGTCGGAGAAACAGCTGGTGTGCGCGGCAGCGGCCTCGCTGGGCCCTGGTCGATGCCCGTGGGCAGGGAAGGCCCAGGTCTTCCTGGGAACACGCAAAGAGTGGCGGGCAGCGAGGCAGCCTGGTGGGGGGCCCTGTCCCCAGGCCTACTGAGCACAGCCTCCCAGCTGGGGACCTCTCCAGGGGCCTTCCCCGAGGCCCTGCAAGGGAAAGGCTGTTAGCCTGTGTGCTCTGTTCTCTGGCTCAGGGATGGGGACCCGCAGGATGGCCCTCAGTCAGCTGGTGAGGGGCCTAAGGACCCTCCAGCCTAGTCCATGCTCATAACTCTCCTGTGAGTCCACAAGTGGCCCAATAGCCACCTCCTTATACCACCTGGCCCCAGCAAGACTGCTTCTCTGCCCACCCCTTCTCTCCTGGCTTTTTGAATCAGGCCACCGTGGCCACAGAGATGCTCGGCCCTGACTCCCCATGTCCCCCATTTTCAGGGGACACAGGACCTGCTGCCATCTGGGATCTTCCTCTTTCCTGGCCCCCCCACCTCCTGCTCTCCAGGGCTCTCTCTTGCTGCTGGAGGTTAGAGTGGGATGGAGGAAGCCAGCTCCCACAGCCAGCTGGTCACAGCTCCAGGGGCCAGACCTTGCTCCCTCACCCCTTTCCCCACCCTGGAAGGGTCAAATGTGCAGCAAATGCCCAGGGCCTCTGGAGAGTCCAACCCCGGCTGAAAGGCTCTTGATAGAAACCAGACCGCACTTCTCTCCATTCCCTACGGCTCCTGGGTCGTTCTGGAGCTTGGCTTTTTTAGGATGGGGTTTTCGTTCTGTGGGTGGCAGGGAAGGTGGCAAGTGGGCTAGCCCCTCAGTGTAGGGCTGCAGGGAGAGGAGTGGGGAGGCAGGGAGGAAGGGAGGCTCCCATGTTTACCTGCCTGGGGAAGAAACTCCTTGTTGGAGGATTGCACTGTGGGCTCGGCAGCTGGGGTCCTTTGCCAGGCCAGTGGGGCCAGCTCAGCAGAGTACCAAAGGCTCTGGAGTGGCCTAGATTCCTACCTGCTCAGGCCTTTTCCCCAAAATACTGTGTCCCTCTGTCTTTCCCTGGCTACAGCCCTATGATGGGCCACTTGAGATGGTGCTGTTCTGTTTCCCAGCTGAGTAGGCTTGGAATAGAACCTGGATAGGCTGGAGATCAGACCAGCCTTCTGGAGAGCACTGGGTCCTGTAGGCGGACGGGGGCCTGGGCTGCCCGGGGGGAGAGGCCTTCAGAGGCTGAAGCCTTGGACTCTGTGTAAGTGACCTGACTTGGGTAGCTTGGGTGTGAGGATCAGAACCCAGATGATCATCACTGACCTTACCACTTGGAGTCCCCAAGGAGATTCAGGCCAGTTGTCCATAGGATGATATGTGGTTCCAGGCTCTTACAGGGTGTGGCTTGGGCAGTAGACAGGCAGAACTAGCCCCTTTTCCTGTGGCCTGGGCCTGTATCCCTGCTGCTCCACCTTCCTCGCCTTCCTGCCCTGCATCCTGTTTTCTTCCTGCCCCATGGTCCAGTCCTGGGTCAGGCCTGACCCTGGTCCTAAGAGCCAGCCGCTTTGGCTGTGTTTCCTGGTGCTTCCTCATAGTAGGTGGGGCTCTGGAGGGAGACAGTCCCAGACCTGGAACCCTCTCCCAGATCCTGCCTGTTTGGAATTCTCTGCTGCAGGCCAGATGAACCTGGCGGGTGCATATTTACATGTGTATACATGTATGTGCATGGGAATGCATGGTGACACAGTCCTCTAGAGCAGGCTTAGCAGGCTTGAGGACTAGGGGACCTTCCCCCTGCACACCCTGAGAGTCAAAAGATACAACTGCTCCCCCAGGTCTGAGTGGGGGTCTAGTCCGAGCAGGGGCCTGGAAAAGCTGGGTTAAGAATATCTGATTTTGGGCCGGGTGTGGTGGCTCATGCCTGTAATCCCAGCACTTTGGGAGGCTGAGGTGGGAGGATCACCTGAGGTCAGGAGTTCGAGACCAGCCTGAGCGACATGGAGAAACCTCGTCTCTACTAAAAATACAAAAATTAGCCAGGCGTGGTGGAACATGCCTGTATTCCCAGCTACTCGGGAGGCTGAGGCAGTAGAATCGCTTGACCCCAGGATGCAGAGGTTGCGGTGAGCTGAGATCATGCTTCTAGCTTGGGCAACAAGAGCGAAACTCTGCCTCAAAAAAAAAAAAAAAAAAGAAAAAAGAAAAATCTGATTTTGGCCAGGCGTGGTGGCTCATGGCTGTAATCCCAGCACTTTGGGAGGTGGAGGCAGGAGGATCGCTTGAGCCCAGGAGTTTGAGACCAGCCTGGGCAACACAGCAAGACCCTATCTCTAAAAAATAAAAAAAATTAGCTGGGCTGGGTGGGGTGCGCCTGTAGTCCCAGCCACTCAGGAGGCTGAGGCAGGAAGATCACTTGAGCCCAGGAGTTCAAGGTTACGGTGAGCTATGATTGTGCCACTGCACTCCAGTCTGGGCAACGGAGCAAGACCCTGACTCAAAAACAAACAAAAGAAAAAGAATAAGGGGAGAAGAATACCTGGATTTTTACCAGGGTAGCTCAGTTTCTGTGGCCCTAGCAGCAGGGGCCTGCCTACCTCCAGCAAAAACACTTCCTTCAAAGATCAGATATTGGCTAGGTGCGGTGGCTCATGCCTGTAATCCCAGCACTTTGGGAGGCTGAGGCGGGTGGATCACGAGGTCAGGAGATCGAGACCGTCCCGGCTAACATGGTGAAACCCCATCTCTACTAAAAATACAAAAAAATTAGCCGGGCGTCGTGGCAGGCGCCTGTAATCCCGGGGGCTGAGGCAGGAGAATGGCGTGAACCCGGGAGGCACAGCTTGCAGTAAGCCGAGATTGCACCACTGCACTCCAGCCTGGGCCACAGAGCAAGACTCGGTCTCAAAAAAGAAAAAAAAAGATCAGATATTAGAAGCTTCCTTGGGCGGGCTGGGTGGAGGCCAACTGGGGTCATTGAGGCAGGCGCTGAGCCACGTTTCTCCCATTAGAAGCCTAAGGGGCCTCAGTGACCCTGACTAATGCCTGTAGCATCAGCTTGGCCTGGGCAGGTGGTCACCAAATCCGAATGTCCAAGCCACAGTGGGACCAGGAGAGGAGGCCCAAGCTGAGGAAACAGGGAGGCAAAGTCCTGTTCCTAAAGTTCAAGGCTGAGATCTGTCATGGCTGGGATCTCTCCTCTGCTTCCAGAATGGGCTAGTAAGTCTCTTTCTTCATTTTGGATTTAGTCCCCCGGTGACACTGCCTGATGAACTAGGTCAGAGGTCATGCCTGCTTGTGCTTAGTTTCTGCCCTTTGAAGGGGGTAGTAGCTACCTGGGAGGTGGGAAAAGTGTCAGGGATGGCGGCTTCCCAGAGGCACTCCCAGATGGCTCTGTGGGTTTCCTGGGATGTCCTTCCTTACCCCATCCTGGCTCCAGGCCACCCAGACTGGGGTGCCATGTCCCTGCGCTCCAGGGAGTGCCAGAGGGCTGTCCTGGCTGAGGGCCCAAGGGCCAGCAAACCCCAGCCCCAGGGCCCTCCTTTAGCCTTTGTTCCTCTCCCCCAGTGAAGAACTCGCTCTACCAGTTCTGGGACTGAGAGTCATGGCCACATGTTACCCTGCAGCTCCCTGGGGTGGGGTGGGGGTGTTTGCTCTGGGAGTGGGCTGGGGTATGCCTGGACCTTGGTGAGGCATGCGACCCCAACTCTGAGTTTGGAGAGTTCCACGGGTGCTCAGCCCTGCTCTGTGGCCAGGCTGAAGGGGTCCCCAGGACTGAGCGCAGCTTCAGTGGAACAAATATTGGCTGAATATCTGCCATATGCCTTACTGGCAAGGTCAGGGACTGATGGGGCTTCAAGGCACGTGCACCCAGACTGTGGAGGCAGGAACAACGCAGGGTGGGGGTGGGGTGGGGCCGGAGGTTCCCAGGTGGGAGCAAGCAAGCCTGGGGCTCTGGGAGGCTTCTTAGAAGAAGTAGCTTCAGAGACCAGAATTATTATTATTAAATATTTAGAGACAGGGTCTCACTCAGTCATGCACGCTGGAGTACAGTGGCACAATCACAGCTCACTGCAGCCTTGAACTCCTGGGCTCAAGTGATCTTCCTGCCTCAGCCTCCTGAGTGGCTGGGACTACAGGTGCGTGCCACTACACGTGGCTAATTTTTTCTTTTTTTTTTTGTAGAGATAGTCTCACTATGTTACCCAGGCTGGTCTTCAACTTCTGGGCTCAAGTGATCCTCCTGCTTCAGCCTCCCAAAGCTCTGGGATTACAGGTGTGAACCACTCTGTCACCGAGGCTGAAGTGCCATGGTACGATCCTGGTTCACTGCAGCTTCCTGGGCTTAGGCAGTCCTCCCACCTCAGCCTCCCAAGTAGCTGAGATGACAGGTGTGTGCCACCATGCCCAGCTAATTTTTTTGATTTTTTTTGTAGAGATGGTATTTCGTCATGTTGTTCAGGCTGGTCTCAAACTCCTGGGCTCAAGCAATCCATCTGCCTCAGCCTCCCAAAGTGTTGGGATCACAGGTGTGAGCCACTGTGCCCAGCCATTATTATTATTATATTTTTTATTTTTTTGAGACGGAGTCTCACTCTGTCGCCCAGGCTGGAGTGCAGTGGTGCGATCTTGGCTCACTGCAACCTCCGCCTCCTGGGTTCAAGTGATTCTCCTGCCTCAGCCTCCCCCAGTAGCTGGGATTACAGGCATGTGCCACCATGCCTGGCTAATTTTTGTATTTTTAGTAAAGAGGGGTTTCACCATATTGGCCAGGCTGGTCTCAAACTCCTGACCTCGTGAGCCACCCACCTCAGCCTCCCAAAGTGCTGGAATTACAGGCGTGAGCCACCGCGCCTGGCCTATTATTATTATTATTATTTTTGAAATGGAGTCTCACTCTGTCACCCAGGCTGGAGTGTAGTGGCACGATCTTGGCTCACTGCAACCTTCAACTCCCGAGTTCAAGCGATTTCTGCCTCAGCCTCCTGAGTAGCTGGGACTACAGGCATGCACCACCACACCCAGCTAATTTTTGTATTTTTAGTAGAGACGGGGTTTCACCACATTGGCCAGGGTGGTCTCGAACTCCTGACCTTGTGATCCATCTGCCTTGGCCTCCCTAACTGCTGGGATTACAGGTGTGAGCCACCTCACCTGGCCATTATTACTTTTTTGAGACAGAGTCTTGCTCTGTTGCCCAGGCTTGAGTGCAGTGGTGCCATCACAGCTTACTGCAGCCTTGACCTTCTGGGCTTATGGGATCCTCCCACCTTAGCCTCCTTAGAGGTTGGGCAGGCCCACCTGGTGAATTTGTTTTTATTTTTTGTAGAGATAGGGTCTCTACAAAAGCCATGTTGCCCAGGCTGGTCTTGAACTCCTGGGCTCAAGCAATTCTCCCACCTTGGCCTCCCAAAGTGCTGGGATTACAGACATGAGCCACCACGCCCGGCCCCAGAATTATTTTTAAATAAGATATATATTTTTTTCTGATGATAAGAGTAACATGTATGAAGTGCAGGCTTGTGGTGGTAGCAGGGACCTCAGGTTTTATTGGCTGTAGGATTTCAGAGAAGGAAAAAAGCTGTGTTGGAGAAAGCAGGAAGGTGTCTTGCAGGAAGTGACACTCAGAAGGAGCCATAAAGGGATGGGCCCGAGGAGGTGCGCGTGCCTTGGACACTCTGGTCCCTTAACAGATGAACATTCAAAAGGAAAAAAATAGTAACATGTGCTCTTACAGAAAAACATAAAGAAAAATATAAAACCACCCAGAGAGAGAGTTGCTACTAACATTCTGGTTCATTTTCTTCTAGTCTTTTTTTTTTTTTTTTTTTTTTTGAGACAGAGTCTTGCTCTGTCACCCAGGCTGGAATGCAGTGGCGCGATCTCGGCTCACTGCGACCTCTGCCTCCTGGGTTCAAGCAATTCTCTGCCTCAGCCTCCTGAGTAGCTGGGATTACAGGCACCCGTCACCATGCCCAGCTAATTTTAGTGTTTTTAGTAGAGACGGGGTTTCACCATCTTGGCCAGGCTGGTCTTGAACTCCTGACCTTGTGATCCACCCGCCTCAGTCTCCCAAAGTGTTGGGATTACAGGCGTGAGCCACCTCACCCAGCCTCTTCTAGTCTTTTATTCATGTATAATTTAACATGAATTGTGAGCATCCTAGACGAAGTTTTATATCTTGTGTACTTTTTTTTTTTTGAGATGGGGTTTTGCTCTTGTTGCCCAGGCTGGAGTGCAGTGGCATGATCTTGGCTCACTGCAACCTCTGCCTCCTGGGTTCAAGTGATTCTCCAGCCTCAGCTTCCCGAGTAGCTGGGATTACAGGCGCCTGCCACCACGCCTGGCTAATTTTTGTATTTTTAGTAGAGACAGAGTTTCACCATGTTGGCCAGGCTGGTCTCGAACTCCTGATCAGGTGATCCACCCACCTCAGCCTCCCAAAGTGCTGGGATTACAGGCATGAGCCACTGTGCCTGGCTGGGCATGTGTGTTTTTAAGGCCTGTTGCCTCCGTGGGAATGGATTTTGGAATGCATTGTTGTGGGGAAAAGGGGAAGGGGGAAGAGAGAACAGCTTGGGTGAAGGTCAAGAGAAGAGATGGCAGGGTGGAGTCCTGGAGTAGTAAATGCAGGTGTATGTGTGTATGACACGTGTGTACGCATGTGTGTCTGTGTGCACGTGTGTAAGGCATGTTTCTGTGAGATCTTGGCTGAGTGCTGGGCTGAGGTTTGGACTTGTCCCAGCAGGCAGTGGGGAGCCCCTGAAGGGCTCTGGGTGAGGAAGCAGTGCCTGTGGCAGCGGTGCCGTGGTGCATGCAGGATGCCACCTCGGTGCATGCGTTGGCAGCAGCATAGAGGCAGGGTTGAAAGAGGTGGATTTGAAGTTGGCAGCCCTGGCAAGGGCAGCCTGAGCTGCAGCGCTGGAGGTGGGCGCTGAGAGGGGCGTGTTGGGGTCAGAGAGCCACAGAGGTGAATTCACCAGATGTGGCAGCTGTTTTGGGTGTGCTGTGAGAGGGCAGAGCCGGAGGCCTGTGGCGGGCATCCTGGGTGACTGGAAACGGAGTACAAGTCACCTTTGTCTTCTTCCCATGGAGAGAGGGCATGGTCTTGACCTGGATCCCTGAGCATTTGACCTAATGGTGTGGCCTGGGGCTGTGCCCAGGTGGGGAGGTCAGCCTGCTTTGCCAGGGGAGGATGGTGACTTAACCAGGGTCACACACCTCCTCAGGGGTGGCGTTGGGCTTTGGCTGACTCTGTGCCTAGCTGACCCCTGACCATGCATGCCTGGTGTCTCCAGCCTGACTGTGCTGTCCAGGGGTTGTGGTGGCTGAAGTATGTCCCCCACCCATGTGGGATGGCTCTGGGACCCCAGCAGGTAGGGGGACTCTGGCTTCCCTCTCAGGGTCTCTCCTGGCCACAAGTTGGGCAAAGTGTAGGCCCTCTGGCCAGGAGTTGTGTAACTCTGGACCCTTGGTCCCCCCACAGCCCGTGGAAGCCACCGATGATGCCTTTTGGGACCAGTTCTGGGCAGACACAGCCACCTCGGTGCAGGATGTGTTTGCACTGGTGCCGGCAGCAGAGATCCGGGCCGTGCGGGAAGAGTCACCCTCCAACTTGGCCACCCTGTGCTACAAGGTGAGGGCTGCCCAGTCCCTCCTGCTACTCTTCCACCCTCCCAGCCCACAGCAGGAGAAGGCAGGCGCATCCAGGGCCTCCCGCCCCACAGGGGCAGGCAGCCCTGTGGCCTCACTCAGCTCTTCCACTTCTCTGTGGTTCTCTTTGCTGGGCGTTGGGACCACGGCAGCCGTCATTTATGGGGGAGTCCTCCAGGCCACATCTGACTGAGCACCTTCCACAGATCAGTTCATTTAGCTCCCTCTGTGGGGTGGGTACTGCCAGGGTCGCCAGTTTACAGATAGGGAAACTGAGGCTGGGAGACTCACTTAGCAAGGCCTCAGCCATCCAGTGGCTAGCTGGGCCCTGGCTGTCCTGATGCTCCAAGCTGCTCTGGCCTGTGTCCCAGTCCCCCAAGGCTGGCCGACCCCAACTCCAGGTGGCTCCTCTGCCTGTGGCCCCACTGTCTCTCCTCTGCAGCCTGGGTGCCCCCCCTGACCCTCCTCTGCAGCCTGGGTGCCCACCCTGACCCCAAGTGCCAGGGTCCTTTCCCCACCTTCCAGCCTGCCCTCTGCTCCTGCCTGCCCCCACAGGCCGTTGAGAAGCTGGTGCAGGGAGCTGAGAGTGGCTGCCACTCGGAGAAGGAGAAGCAGATCGTCCTGAACTGCAGCCGGCTGCTCACCCGCGTGCTGCCCTACATCTTTGAGGACCCCGACTGGAGGGGCTTCTTCTGGTCCACAGTGCCCGGGGCAGGGCGAGGAGGGGTCTGTGGGCCTGGCCAGGGCTGGGTGGGAGGCAGAGTTGGCGTCACAGGGAGAGCGCCCTTTAGGGCCGGCCATGCTCCTCCAAGCCTCTTCTGGGATTTGGGAAGTACAGGGGTGGGGCCAGTGGGTGCTGCTGAGGGATGGTGTTCAATGCCACCTCCTTGGGCCCTCAGTTCCCCTCCCATGGGGGTTTCTGTGCCCACAGTCTGGAGGAAGTAGGGTATGGAGAGAAGCTGAGAGCCAGGGGTCACTGGGCAGAGGTGGAGGCAGAGGAGCTGGGCCCTCTGAGGGCCGGAGAGGGACCACACTGTCCTCTCTCCCCCACACCACCTGCCCTGGGTTTATGTCCAGGTGAGGTGCTGAGGGATGCAACACAGTGATTCCTAGCAGGGCTGAGACTCTTGATGTTGGGGTCACCGCCCGGCCCCCTCCAGTCAGTAGGGGAGGTTCCCTCGCTGTTCCCGGCCCGGCTCCCTGCTGTGCCCCACTTCTGCCTTGGGAGGTTTGGGGCAACCAGGAGTCCACTTCCTGTCCCTTCATTCCTCTGCCCATGGGTGCCCGCCTGGGCTCAGCCCCTGTCCTCCACCACCCCCAAGCCCTGGGCCACCTCTTCCTGGCCAGCTATCACTGAGGCAGCCTGTGGGTGCTGTGTCCCCAGCAGGGAGAAGAGGATGATGAGCATGCCAGGCCCCTGGCCGAGTCCCTGCTCCTGGCCATTGCTGACCTGCTCTTCTGCCCGGACTTCACGGTTCAGAGCCACCGGAGGAGCACTGTGGTGAGTGTCCCCCAGCCCCCCACCCCCAGGCGGAGTAGGCTCTGGTCCTGGGTTGGGGCCGGGCCAGTTGAAGTTCCCTTGGGCGGATTGCACTGGGGGCCGGGGGGCTCCAGGAGAGCTGAGCTGCCTGGCACATGTAGGCCTGGGTGGCAGCTGGTACAGCTGAGGGAAGCCAGCTGGGGCTGGCCCTGCCCGCTGCGTTCGGATGGCTGGGCACAGACACCCATTGTCTTTGCTTGCCCAGGGGTGTGGGGCTCAGACACAGGAGGGCTGGCCCTCTTGCTTCCTGTGGTGGCATGGACTTCACCTTGAGTCTTCTCTGCCCACCCCCAAACCCGGGGCACCCAATCCCCTGCCCCTCCCTCCCTTTCTCCCTGTCCCAAACTGGACTGAGCAAGTGAAAGAACCAGTCTGAGATGGAAGAAAAATGAGCTTTCAAGAGGCCTAAGAATATTCACTCCTGCTCTTGTGCATGAGGGCCAGGCCATTTTGAGGACCTGTCTTTAGGAGAACTGGCGGTCTCTGCCCCTGGGACTGTGTGAGGCTCGAGGTGGCCAGGTTCTGACCCAGGCTGCTGTTCACCTCTCGACCCCCTAACCCGGCTTCTTCCTGGCCTGTCCCCAGGACTCGGCAGAGGACGTCCACTCCCTGGACAGCTGTGAATACATCTGGGAGGCTGGTGTGGGCTTCGCTCACTCCCCCCAGCCTAACTACATCCACGATATGAACCGGTGAGCTTCGCCCAGGCCCGGAGCCCTCAATGCAGCTGGACCCCGGGCCGGGCCCCCGCACAGCTCAGAAAGCCCATGGGGTCTTCCCAGAAGACCGTCCTCACCTATGACCCGACCTTGACCTTACAGGGGTCAACGGGAGTAACTTCCTTCCATGGACCTGGGCTGGGGCGCTGGGCTGGGTGGGCAGAACCTCCAAGAGGGGACTGGGATCCTAAGGTGCCCTCCCCCTTCCTCCTACAAGGATGGAGCTGCTGAAACTGCTGCTGACATGCTTCTCCGAGGCCATGTACCTGCCCCCAGCTCCGGAAAGTGGCAGCACCAACCCATGGGTTCAGTTCTTTTGTTCCACGGAGAACAGGTGAAGGGCCCTTGGCCTTTCTGCGCTCTCTTCCCTCTTATTCCAGGCAATCCAGAGCTGAGTCCATTCGCCAGCTCTGGGTCTCGTTTGAGGGGAGGTGCTGCCCCCTGGTGGTGATGAACTTTAACTTACCAGCCACACCTCACACTAGCCCCGTCTCTCCTTGGAGTCCTCGACAGGACAGAATCTGGGGGCCCCTCAGTAATCCGTCCCTGGGTCCTCCATCAAGAGCCGCCTGTCCAGTAGAAATAGAATGCAAACCACGAGTGCAATTTTAAAATTAAAAAAGTTAAAAAGTAAAATTGGGCCAGGCGCGGTGGCTCACACCTGTAATCCCAGCACTTTGGGAGGCCAACGTGGGCAGATTACCTGAGGTCAGGAGTTTCAGACCAGCCTGGCCAACATGGTGAAACCGTATCTCTACTAAAAATACAAAAATTAGCCAGGCTTGGTGGCGGGTGCCTGTAATCCCAGCTACTCGGGAGGCTGAGGCACGAGAATCGCTTGAACCCGGGAGGCGGAGGTTGCAGTGAGCCGAGATTGCGCCACTGCGCTCCAGCCTGGGTGACAGAGTGAGACTCTGTTTCCAAAAAAAAAAATAAATAAATACAATAATTAATAATATATTTCATATAACCCAATATACCCCAAACTTTAGCATTTAACATGGAATCAGTATACAACATTACTGAGCTGTTTGACATCCCCCTTTTCATACTAAGTTTTCAAAATCCAGTGTGTATTTGTCTTGGTTCCGATCAGCCACATTCCAAGGGCTCGACAGCTCCTTGTGGCTTGAGGCTGCTGTGTGGGACTCTGCAGCTTAGAGACCGGGTCGGGGAGTGTGTGACAAATACCTCGAAGGGCAGGGAGGCCCAGCCCACATGGGGCACTCATGGACTGTGGGGGACACGTGAGCACGGGGTGGGGGGAGGGTGTCACACGTGCCACGTGGCAGAGTTGAGTATTTGAGCAGGTAGCTCCCACTGGGAGCTGTGTTGGCTGCATAGGGTCTGTGCCCGGCAGGTGGCGGTCGACCTCCGCCTTCCAGACTCTGGTCCCTACATGACACGCCTTATTCTTCAGGTTTCCTAGCCTTCTGTTCAACCTTCCACCCTACTCCAGAAGAGAAGGGAGCCAGGCGACCCCCTCCACCAGCCACAGTCCGAGGCTGGCCAGAGTTTTCTTTCTCACCAGCCTTATCAGGCAAACTGCCACCCTTTGTCCCTCACTTAACCTCTCTGGGTCTCAGCTTCCTCATCTGTAAGCTGAGCAGCTTGAACCCTGACATCTCTTGAGTCTGAGTGGAGTCATTCTGTGGCTTGGGAGCTGGTTGGCTGAGCGTGGGCTCTGCTCCCTGAGGGGAAGCCCACCTTCTCCACAGGCCTCCATTCCCATCTCTGAGGACCCAAGGGAGGGTATCTGCCCCTTAAGACCCTAAGGGGTATGAATGTGTCCTAATCATGGCTCTGGGCTTCCCACACCCACTCTTTCCAAGCCACTCCCTGACGTGGTGCTAAAATGCTTGTTGAATGAGGCTGACCTTCCCACGTGGCCAGAGAGGTGTGGCCAGGGGGCTGGGCCCCAGTGCAGCCTCTGCAGCCTTGTCCCTCTCCTGCTGCAGACATGCCCTGCCCCTCTTCACCTCCCTCCTCAACACCGTGTGTGCCTATGACCCTGTGGGCTACGGGATCCCCTACAACCACCTGCTCTTCTCTGACTACCGGGAACCCCTGGTGGAGGAGGCTGCCCAGGTGCTCATTGTCACTTTGGACCACGACAGTGCCAGCAGTGCCAGCCCCACTGTGGACGGCACCACCACTGGCACCGCCATGGATGATGCCGATGTAAGGATGGGAGCATGGAAGGGACAGCTGCCGGGGCCACGGGTTGTGGGGAGGACGCCTGCTCACCAGGGGCTTCTCCTCTTGGCAGCCTCCAGGCCCTGAGAACCTGTTTGTGAACTACCTGTCCCGCATCCATCGTGAGGAGGCAAGTCCAGTCCCCACAGTGGCTTTGCAGGGTGCAGGGGGATGCAAGTGAGACAGGGATATGGGGGATCCTGACCCCTCCATGAAGGAACCATGCTCTCTGTGGGCTGGGGCCACCCTAGGTGAAATAGTGGCAGGACTGTGAGGGTTTCAAGATGCAGGAAGGGCTGATGGCCTCACCTGGGTAGAGGTAACTGGGAAGGCCTCTAGGAGGAGGTGGCTGATGTCATTTCAGAGGTGGTGGGGACAAAAGGGGAATGACAGTGGACAAGGGCTTCAGGCCAAGCAGTCCCAGTTCATGTGTCTTGTGATCTTGGTGGGAAGGTGCTTGAACTCCCAGAGTTCTAACTTCTGCAGCTAAAACACAGGACCCTAGCTGCCTTCTCACCCCAGCTAGTGGCAGGCCTCAGTAAATGACAGAACAGTGGAATGCTCCTCGAGTTGTGATGGGGTGATGGGGGAGTATTTTGGGGAGGGGTAGAAGGATGGAACCTGCCAACCATGAGTCCAAGGTGGGCAGGGACAAGGTTGAGGGTGTGCATGTGTGGGAGTTCACTGAGAGCAGCAGCCTTGCTCAAGGGGCGCACAGCCCAAGGACAGAGAGTCTGCAGTCTAGTGGAGGGGCCAGGGCTGTCCACAGCTATGAGGGACTCCGCTTCCTGAGGCATCGCCCCAGGACAGCTATGGGTGATAGCATCTGGGCCCTCTGGCTCTGGAGGTGGGATCTGGCTCTGGGGGATGGAGGGGGGGATTTGTTGGGGGCCTGGGCTGGGAAACTGGAGCTGCAGGGATTGGGCTGGACAGGCCCCCTGCTCTGCCCTCGCCCCCAGGACTTCCAGTTCATCCTCAAGGGTATAGCCCGGCTGCTGTCCAACCCCCTGCTCCAGACCTACCTGCCTAACTCCACCAAGAAGATCCAGTTCCACCAGGAGCTGCTAGTTCTCTTCTGGAAGCTCTGCGACTTCAACAAGGTGGGCCAGCCTCGAGGGGCCCTGCAGGGAGATGGAGAGCAGCTGCCCCAATAACCCGGGGGCAGGGACAGTGTCAGACTGAGGGGGGTGGGGCAGAGCTGCCCCTCCCTTGAACTCAGCCCACTTGGCCCCTCCCCGCACCCCTAGAAATTCCTCTTCTTCGTGCTGAAGAGCAGCGACGTCCTAGACATCCTTGTCCCCATCCTCTTCTTCCTCAACGATGCCCGGGCCGATCAGTGTAAGACCAGGGTGGGGGTGGGATGCTGGGGGCTTTCCTGGCGGCGAGGTGGAGGGCTGGCTATCTGCCCTGACTCCCAGGAGCTCAGGCCTGGCACTCTGACCTCCTAGGAGGGAGGCCTCCAAAATGGTCACTGCCTGGGCCCCTCCTTCCCCCTCCCACCCGAGTGACCCCTCCCACGCCACCTGCCGCAGCTCGGGTGGGCCTGATGCACATTGGTGTCTTCATCTTGCTGCTTCTGAGCGGGGAGCGGAACTTCGGGGTGCGGCTGAACAAACCCTACTCAATCCGCGTGCCCATGGACATCCCAGTCTTCACAGGGACCCACGCCGACCTGCTCATTGTGGTGAGGGGGCTCGTGCGGCCGGGCCCAGGAGGTGCAGGGGTGGTGTCCTCTTGGCTGAGTCTGGAGGCAGCGGGGACCCCACGGTGCCTCTGTCCCTCCTGGCACAGGTGTTCCACAAGATCATCACCAGCGGGCACCAGCGGTTGCAGCCCCTCTTCGACTGCCTGCTCACCATCGTGGTCAACGGTAGGGGCCCGGAGCTTGCACTCCCCGCGCTCACCACCAGGTGGTGTCAGGCCACAGGCCAACCTGCCACTTGCTCCAGGTTTCAAGCCCCTCCAGCCCACAGAAAGAACGCAAGCTTGTGTACCCTTCATAGTAGCCACATTAAAAAAAAAGGGTGACAACAATTGAATAATATGTTTTATCTATCATCATCTCAACATGTAGCCAATATGAAAATTACTAATGAGATATTTAATATTCCCTTCTCACACTCAGTCTTGTCGCCCAGGCTGGAGTGCAGTGGCACCATCTCAGCTCACTGCAACCTCCGCCCCTTGGGTTCAAGCAATTCTCATGCCTCAGCCTCCTGAGTAGGTGGGATTACAGGCGTGTGCCACCACACCTGGCTAATTTTTGTATCTTTAGTAGAGACGGGGTTTTGCCATGTTGTCCAGGCTGGTCTCGAACTCCTGACCTCAGATGATATGCCCACCTCAGCCTCCCAAAGTGCTGGGATTACAGGCATGAGCCACTGCATCTGGCCTTTTTTTAAAAAAAAAAAATTTAACAATTTTTTTTGACATCTGAAGGAGGTTAGCCCAGTTTATGGGAGCCACTGGTAGTCCGATAACATTTTTACTTTATTTATTTATTTATTTTATTTTATTTTATTTTTTATTTTTAAGACAGAGTCTCACTCTCTGTTGCTCAGGCTAGAGTGCAGTGGCACAATCTCCATTCACTGCAACCTCCCAGGTTAAGTGATCCTCATGCCTCAGCCTCCCAAGTAGCTGGGATCACAGCATGTGCCACCACAACTGGCTAATTTTTTTTTTTTTTTTGTATTTTTAGTAGAGACAGAGTTTTGCCATGTTGGCCAGGCTGGTCTTGAAGTCCTGGCCTCAAGCAATCTGCCTGCCTTGGCCTCCCAAAGCGCTGGGGTTACAGGTGTGAACCACCACACCCGGCCATATTTCATTTTATTTCTAATTATAGTGACGGGATCTCACTATGTTTCCCAGGCTTGTCCTGAACTCCTGAGCTCAAATGATCCTCCTGCCTCAGCCTCCCAAAGTGCTGGGATTATACAGGCGTGAGCCACTGTGTCTGGCCTCTTGTGTGTTTCATATGTGCAGCACACGTGTTAGGACTAGCTGTGTTTCAAGCACGAAATGGCCACACGTGGCTGATGTCCACTGTGTTGGGCAGTGCAGGTTTGGACATTTGGAGTCACAGTGTATGGGGATGTGGAGGCCCCACCCTTTCTGCCTTTGTCCTCCCTGTCCAGCCCCTACCCCCACCCAGCAAGGACTGCACACAGCTGCTGGGGAGAGGAAGCAGAAGGAGCCAGGCTCCCTGGGGTTCAGGACCTAGCAAGGCAGGTGGCCATGGGCTGGGGCAAAATGCCTTCAGTGTGAACATCTTTTGGAGAGGATGGTTGTGGCTAGGGGTGGCTGGTCTGTCTGTGTTCTGGTTTAGACTGCAGGGTGGGTAGTGTGCGGTGGTAGAGGCCTCTAGCTGGGCTGTGAGCTTTGGGGTCAGGACTGTCCCTTCCCCTCCTGGTTCACTCTCTGGCTCCATCTCACAAATCTTAACTGAGCTGGTTCCGAGAACACACTTGTGACCAAGACAGCCCTGGTCCCTGCCCTGTGGAGCCCTCAGCCTAGTGAGGGAAAATGACACAAGACAAGGAAGTGTTCAGATCAGCATGGAACTTCAGTCTGGGTGTGCCCCCAGGGTTGGGTCCCAAAATACACCTCTAGTGACATGGCAGCTTGACGTTCTAGAAAGATTTAAAGTCTTGAGTTTGTATCCCTGCCCGATCATTTCATTACTGGGGAACTTGGGCCAAGTTTACAACCTTCTCTGAGCCTCAGTTTCCATGTCTGTAAAATGGGGATGATCTTGTCTGTGTCCTGCCTCCCTCGTGGTATGGGGGGGACTGGCATGGGTGGGATGTGTATGGCTTTATAAGCAGGACAGCTGTCTTCATGGTCGAGGGGTGAGGGTGGGGCCTAACTGCCTCCCAGGACTCTGCACACAGTATGGCCAGTGTGGACTCAGCCTCTTAGGGCCTTGGTCGTCCTGGCTCTGCAGGGGGCAGGGAGGGATTGAGAGCAGGAGCCTGTTGTTCCACCCCGGCCCAGGATGTGCAGGGATGGCTTGGCTGAGGGGCCCAGGAGTGAGCTGACCCCTCCCTTACAGTGTCCCCCTACCTCAAGAGCCTGTCCATGGTGACTGCCAACAAGTTGCTGCACCTGCTGGAGGCCTTCTCCACCACCTGGTTCCTCTTCTCTGCCGCCCAGAACCACCACCTGGTCTTCTTCCTCCTGGAGGTCTTCAACAACATCATCCAGTACCAGTTTGATGGTGAGGCACCAGCCTGAGGCCCTGGTGGTCAGGGTGGCCAGCGGGCCTACTTCCTACATAAGGGGGGCACAGCCCAGGAGGTGGCCTCTGGGAGGTGCTGGCCTGCTTGCCTTCTGCCCCCAGTTCATTCATTCAGTGTACATTTATTGAGCATCTACAGTGTACCTGGGTGCAGGGGATGCAGTGGGGAACAAAGCTTTGCTTCTTGCCCTGTGGAGCTCATAGCTGGGGATGGAGGCAGGGAAGGAGGCTTCAAACAGATGATGGACATCTGAAATTTTTTTTTTTTTCCCGACGGCGTCTCACTCTGTCGCCCAGGCTGGAGTGCAGTGGCGCGATCTTGGCTCGCTGCAACCTCCGTCTCCCAGGTTCATGCAATTCTACTGCCTCGGCCTCCCAAGTAGCTGGGATTACAGGCGCCCCCCACCATACCTAGCTAATTTTTTGTATTTTTAATAGAGACAAGCAATCTGCCTGCCTCGGCCTCCCAAACTGCTGGGATAACAGGCATGAGCCGCCACATCTGGCCTGAAATGTGATAAAAGGGAAGTACAGAGTAGTAAGTCCCTGATGGGTATCTTAGCAGCCCGTCTGCCCAGTGTCACAGACATCCGGCTGCCTGCTGTCACTTCAAGCCTTGCCACTCGTTAGCCCTGTGACCAGGGCACGTCACTTGACCTCTCTGATCCTCAGTTCCCTCATCTGTAAGGTGCTCATAACAATGGTTCTAAGGGTCCTGGTCTCAGAAGGTGTTGGGAAGATGGGGCAAAATAACCCCCAGAAGGCACTTAGCACAGTGCCTGGCAACTTAAAAATGATCAGTTTCTATTATTGCTATTTCCAAAGTCGGGCAAATTTGCAGTGATCTCTGAGGGAGAAATAGGGGTAAGGTGGGGCAAGAGACAGCACATGCAAAGGCCCTGGGGTGGGATGTTGGAACTGAAAGTGAAGAGTATGGCATAAGGCAGGACCAGAGATGGGGACTGGGGCCTGAGAGCCAGGAGAAGTCAGCGTTGGGGGATGGACGGATCCTCTGTGACTTCTCCTGGCCACCTTGCTCGAGGGGAGGTGGGAAGAGAGTCAGAATATTTAACAGCTGGCCTGACGTGGATGCTGCCATGCTGGGGCCTGTACTTTTTGCCAGGTGTTAGCTGTTTAGTGCTGGGTTGTGGCGGGAACTCAAAGGCACTGGGGCGGGGGTGTTGTGAGGTGCTCAGGCCTGACATTCTGGGATAGCCATAGTGGGCACACACAGCCAGTGCCAGCCCTGCCCCAGCACCCTCTCTTGGGCTCCCTGTACCATCTCCAACCCCTTGGGCAGACACCCTCCTGTCCTCCAAACTCCCCCTTCCAGGAAGCCCACCCAGATTGGACGGGGGGAGCTGGAGGGGGCCTCCCTGAGGCGAGGCATGCTCCCTGCCCACAGGCAACTCCAACCTGGTCTACGCCATCATCCGCAAGCGCAGCATCTTCCACCAGCTGGCCAACCTGCCCACGGACCCGCCCACCATTCACAAGGCCCTGCAGCGGCGCCGGCGGACACCTGAGCCCTTGTCTCGCACCGGCTCCCAGGAGGGCACCTCCATGGAGGGCTCCCGCCCCGCTGCCCCTGCAGAGCCAGGCACCCTCAAGACCAGTCTGGTGGCTACTCCAGGTCTGGTGCTAGTGGATGGGACAGGAGTGTGGATACTGGTGTGGCTGGGGGAGGGACATGGTCTCGGGGTGTCACCCCCATCTCTGGCAAAGAGCATGGCTTATGTATGGAAGCCGAGGGGATGGGGCTGGGCAACAGGGATGGGGGGAGGGTACTGGATGGGCTTAGCATATGTAGCTTGGTGTTGGGGGCAAAGCCTCAGGGCGAGTGTAGACTCTGGAGGGATGGGCACAGGGATGGGGGAGGGTACTGGATGGGCTTAGCATGTGTAGCTTGGTGTTGGGGGCAGAGCCTCAGGGCGAGTGTAGACTCTGGAGGGATGGGCGCAGGAGAGGGCGTTACAGTGATCAGACACTGCCTCTAGAGCCGGTGGAGGTTCCAGAGGGAAGCAGGAGTAAAACAAATAAAAATAAAAAAGTGGGTGGAGGAAGGGCTAGAAGGGTCACTGTGGCAGGGAGTCCTCACTCCCACCTGTGCCCTGCCCAGGCATTGACAAGCTGACCGAGAAGTCCCAGGTGTCAGAGGATGGCACCTTGCGGTCCCTGGAACCTGAGCCCCAGCAGAGCTTGGAGGATGGCAGCCCGGCTAAGGGGGTGGGTGACGGGGACTCCTGGAGCCGGGCGTGGCTGGCCCTTCCCTTCCTCCCTGGTCTCTGCAGTAGGGGCTGGGCCGGGGCACTCTGGGGTCACCTGCAGCAGAGGGGCAGTTACCCAGTGCCCAGGGCATTAGGGTCAGCGCTGCTGACTCCCTTGGGGGTGGGGGCCTTTCACAGACCCCTCCCTTGTTTACTGGTTCCGGTGAAGCCCTTGGCCTTCAGACTTCTCATCCCTCCGCCTTATCTGAGCTGGCCTTTACCCGGCCTGCCCTGTCAGCTGCTGGCCTTAAACCTGTCACTAGGTTGGGCTGGGCCTAGGGCCTGGGGCAAAGGCTGCTGGGCTGGGCCTTCCCCTTTGTGGGATTTCCAGCTGCCAGTGGAGAGGGCTCATTGCCCCCCACTCCACCCCTCACCCACCGCCACCATCCCTCACCCCTGTTCCTTTCTGGGGGCCAGGAGCCCAGCCAGGCATGGAGGGAGCAGCGGCGACCGTCCACCTCATCAGCCAGTGGGCAGTGGAGCCCAACGCCAGAGTGGGTGAGGAGGGACCCTGTGCCAGGCGAGCGGGGGCTGGGGTTTGGGCAGATGGTACTGAGGCGGGAGCTGGGTTGGGGCTCCTTGGCCCAGGGAAGCTCAGTGAAGATGGCAAGATGTCCGAATCAAAGGACCCTAGCATAGAAGCCTGACTCTGGGTCGGTCCTTCCGGCTGGTGACATCCCATGTGTTCAGCCTCTCTGGCTCGGTTGCTTCCTCTGTCTACACTGTTGCCAGAGTCCCCAGCAGGATTAAGCTCCAGGTGCCCACAGTGCTCTCTTCCTTAATAAATCACTCTTTCCGACTTCCTCCCCTGAATCTCATCCCCACGCCCTGTGTCTCCTGAGATCACGCCAGTTGCGCTGGGACAGGGATAATTACCGTCCCTGCCTGACCACGCTGTTGTGAGGGCTAAAGGCCACAGTCTCCCGAGAGGCACGTGGCACAGCTCTGGCTTAACGCGGGGCCATGGCGCTTGCCATCAATAAGGATTAACTCTTCCCGGGTCCTGCTTGGTGCCAGGCTCATGCTGCAAGGAGCAGGGGTACTTTCTGCCTTGGGGAGCCTGTGGTTCTGGGTCAGGGTCAGGCTTGCCCCGCAGCCTCCGGGGGCTGCTTTCTCAGCCCCAGGAACCCCGTCCCTCGCCAGGTCCTCTCCTGGAAGTCGAAGCTGCCGCTGCAGACCATCATGAGGCTGCTGCAGGTGCTGGTTCCGCAGGTGGAGAAGATCTGCATTGACAAGTGAGTCGGGCGCCGGCAGGGCCGGGGGTTGTGGGCGGGGCCGGGGTTGTGGGCGGGGCCGGTGGTGTGGGCAGGTGGGCTCTGGGCGGGGCCAGCCTAGGCTTAGGTAGGCGTGTGATGGGAAACATGGGTCTTGGGTGGCCAGGGTGAGCCCCGTGCTCCCCTGGACCACGTGAGTGTGCTGGAGATACCCCTCTCCCCGCAGGGGCCTGACGGATGAGTCTGAGATCCTGCGGTTCCTGCAGCATGGCACCCTGGTGGGGCTGCTGCCCGTGCCCCACCCCATCCTCATCCGCAAGTACCAGGCCAACTCGGGCACTGCCATGTGGTTCCGCACCTACATGTGGGGCGTCATCTATCTGAGGTGGGCCCCGGGGAGTGGGGTGGTGTCCACCTGAGAGCCTGCCCAGCAGGGCTCAACAGGGACCTCAGCTCTGGGCCCCACCACCTATGGTGGACTTCATGTCAAGACAGTCAACTAAGGCGGCCTTGCCTGGTTGACGGTGGCACCCGCTGCCCAGGGTGGGACATCGGGATGGAAAGGGTTGGCTTGGCCATTCCTGCTGCCCAGCTCCTCCTGGTGCCTTGTCTGCAAGGTGCCCCAGCACCTGGGTAACCCCCCATTTCCTCCACAGGAATGTGGACCCCCCTGTCTGGTACGACACCGACGTGAAGCTGTTTGAGATACAGCGGGTGTGAGGATGAAGCCGACGAGGGGCTCAGTCTAGGGGAAGGCAGGGCCTTGGTCCCTGAGGCTTCCCCCATCCACCATTCTGAGCTTTAAATTACCACGATCAGGGCCTGGAACAGGCAGAGTGGCCCTGAGTGTCATGCCCTAGAGACCCCTGTGGCCAGGACAATGTGAACTGGCTCAGATCCCCCTCAACCCCTAGGCTGGACTCACAGGAGCCCCATCTCTGGGGCTATGCCCCCACCAGAGACCACTGCCCCCAACACTCGGACTCCCTCTTTAAGACCTGGCTCAGTGCTGGCCCCTCAGTGCCCACCCACTCCTGTGCTACCCAGCCCCAGAGGCAGAAGCCAATGGGTCACTGTGCCCTAAGGGGTTTGACCAGGGAACCACGGGCTGTCCCTTGAGGTGCCTGGACAGGGTAAGGGGGTGCTTCCAGCCTCCTAACCCAAAGCCAGCTGTTCCAGGCTCCAGGGGAAAAAGGTGTGGCCAGGCTGCTCCTCGAGGAGGCTGGGAGCTGGCCGACTGCAAAAGCCAGACTGGGGCACCTCCCGTATCCTTGGGGCATGGTGTGGGGTGGTGAGGGTCTCCTGCTATATTCTCCTGGATCCATGGAAATAGCCTGGCTCCCTCTTACCCAGTAATGAGGGGCAGGGAAGGGAACTGGGAGGCAGCCGTTTAGTCCTCCCTGCCCTGCCCACTGCCTGGATGGGGCGATGCCACCCCTCATCCTTCACCCAGCTCTGGCCTCTGGGTCCCACCACCCAGCCCCCCGTGTCAGAACAATCTTTGCTCTGTACAATCGGCCTCTTTACAATAAAACCTCCTGCTCCACATTCTGACTCTGTGGTTGAGGCGAGGGGCCAGGTGTGGCTCTTGTCTTCAGGGGAGCTGGGGACTCTGCACCCCAGAGGGCCCCCAGTGCATGACTGGGAACCAGCATTTGTTATTTTCTTGGGTGGGAAAGCAGGATCAGACCCTGTCACCTAGGGTTTGGGCCCCTGGGCTGTTGCTGCCCAGAGAAAGAGCCCACAGGAGAGGCCATGGGGCCTCACCAGGCAGCCACTGAGACAGCGCTGGGAGGGCTATGCTTGCTAGTGACTCACTTCGGTGGGGGTGGGTGAGGAGGAGGGCAGAGCCTCACCTGCAGGGCCAGGGCTGCCCTCTCTGGCCTCGTCCCAGGCAGAGCCCACTGTTTGCACTGGGCTCAGGGAGACGGATGGCCTGCCACACCTGCCCTTTCTCTTCCGTTCCTGCCCTACCTGATGGCTCAGGAGATGAGCCAGGCCTGGGACCGGCAGCCAGGGGCCACAGCCTGCATGGTGAGCCCGCTGCAGAATGTCACCGGGGGCTCTGTCCTAGAGAGAGGGTGTGCTGGGGAGGGGTGGGGGTGGAGAGACACGAGCCCGGACTTGTCTCTCCCACCTCTTCCCCCGGATCAGACCAAGGAAGAACTGGGTTAGACCCCTCCTGGCCCGGAAGCAGGACTGTCCCAGCCCCACAGCCCTACTCAAAAGGACCATTCCTTCCCACCATGTCCGGAGGAGCAGTTCTGTCCCTGGGAACAAATGCCATGAGCCTGAATGCAATCCATTAAACAAATAGGGTTTATGCGGCAGGAGAGAGCTGTTGAACCCTGCCTGGCAGCCAATGAATGAGCTCATTAGGAGACAGGTGTGTGGGGAGAGGAGCTGGCCTCCTAGCTCGGAGCTCTGAGCTCTGAGGATGTCCAGAGCCACACTTGGACCAGGTGCTCTTCTCGCAGCAGGGGGCAGACCTCTGAGTCCTGGCTGGAGAGGGGTGCCCCTCGCCAAGCTCCCCAGACTCGGTCATGTAGGTCTGACCCTCCCACAGAGTAGCCGTGAGGGGGCCCCTGCCAGCCTCCTGGGGTGCACCCTTGGCTTGCGGATCGTGGTGGGAAGGCAGGGGGCAGGCATGTGCCCAGGCCTGGCCGTGGGCATCAGAAGCTCAGTGTCCAGGCCCCTGCTGTTGGCCTCTGGCTCTAGGCAGTGCCCTCCCCTTCAGTGAGGCTCTGGGGAGCAGGAGGCCTTGAGAGCCTCAGGCTGGTCTCGGCACCTCAGAATGAGGCATCTGCTCAGAGACTCTGGGCTACCATCTTCCCCACCTTGGCACTTCGAGGTTCTGCCGGGGGTGGGCAGCCTCAGGCCCCCAGGTAGACCTCCACCAGGCCTCCCACAGAGTGCATGCGGTAGAAGACCCCCAGAGGCAGGCCGAAGTTGACGATGGCGAACCATATCTGGTAGCCGTAGAAATCCTTTTCTAGCCCGTTCTCAAACTCCGGGTGTATGCCAAATGCAGGCATCATCCACAGCTGGGGAAGAGGATGTGCTGAGTTAGGGAAGGGCTCTCCTGTGCCCCAAGGCACTCAGTTCAGGGGAGGCAGCCCCCAAACCTGCAGCCCCTCCAGTGCCACCCCCACCTCCCGCTCAGTCTTCTTCTAACCCTTGGGCTTTCAGCGTGAGCTCTTCTTTCCCCCAGATCTTTCTCGCCCTACTGCAGAAGGCCTTAGCTATCCCCAGCCATCTCTGTGAGCTTGCCTGTGGCCAGCCTGAACTTCAGATGGGTCAGGAGACCCCAGGCTGCCGCCACGTGTGGGGAGAAGCAGGAATTCCCAGCGCGCCACCTGCTCTGTCAAGCTGGGCACCCCCACCCTGTACCCTGAGCTCGGGCTTCACTCCTCGGCTAGCTACTTTTTATTTTTATTATTTATTTATTTTTTTGAGACAGGTCTCACTCTGTCACTCAGGCTGGAGTGCAGTGGCAGGATCACAGCTCACTGCAGCCTCAACCTCCCGGGCTCAAGTGATCCTCCCACCTCAGCCTCCCAAGTAGCTGGGACTACAGGCATGCACCATCATGCCTGGCTAATTTTTATTTTTATTATTACTATTTTTTAAGATACAGAGTCTCACTCTGTCACCCAGGCTGGAGTGCAGTGGCACGATCTCAGCTCACTGAAACCTCTGCCTCCTGGGTTTGAGCAATTCTCGTGCCTCAGCCTCCCGAGTAGCTGGAATTACAGGTGTGCACCACCATGCCTGGCTAATTTTTGTATTTTTAGTAGAGATGGGGTTTACCATGTTGCCCAGGCTGGTCTCCAACTCCTGGCCTCAAATGATCCACTCACCTCAGTCTCCCGAAGTGCTGGGCTTACAGGCGTGAGCCACCGTGCCCAGACTAATTTAAAATTTTTTTTGTAGAGACAGGGTCTCCCTGTGTTGCCCAGGTTGGTCTTAAACTCCTGGGCTCAAGGGATCCTCCTCCCTCGGCCTCCCAAAGTGCTGGGATTACAGGTGTGAGCCACTGTGCCCTGTCATTTCTGCTAGTTATGACCCCCTGCCCCCTCCTACCTTCCTGTCCAAATTCTACCCCTTCCTCAAGGCTCAGATCAAAACTTCATGAAGCCTTCCTTGGCTATGCAGGCCCACAGTTCCTTTGCTGAGCTCCTAATGCACTTTAGAGCCAATTTATTCTCTGCCTGGACCAGAGGTTTCATTTCTCAGGTATGTTTTCAGTGCATTGATTGCTTGGAGTCAAACACAACCCTGAGTTGTCCCAGCCCTGCCACTTACAGGCTGTGGGTACTTGGGCAGGTACAATAACCTAAGCCTTAGTTTCCTCCTCTGTGAAAAGGGACAGCAATAGTGTCTGTTGCATGGAGTTACTGTCATGATTCAATGAAGCGTAGAGACATTGCATGGAAAGGTGTACCTGGGACTTCCGCCAGAAGCTGGGCAGCCATTATCAACATCTTCCTCTAGGAGTGTCTTAGAAAATCAGGTACTTCCTGATCTCTTCCTTTGACTGAACCCAGGGATGATGAATTCAGTGGTGTCTTCCCAACTAGACAGGAAGTTTCTGGAGGGTGGATGTCTTACATATTTGTTTGTGAAGAGCACTTAGCCAAGTGCTTGGCACATTCATTTGTGCCAGGCACCCTGTAGGGAACTGGGGGGACACTCTCAAGCAGCATCAAGCTAGTTGGAAAAAGATGTGTCCTTGATCCATCCCTTCCTGAGTGAGGCTTTCTGGGTCTGCCTGGCCACCTCTACCCTCCAGGCCCCTTAGCCCAGCCACTTACTGTGATATTGCAGAGGATGAGGAAGAGTGAGATCTCCTTGAGTGCCCTCCGCTTCCAGTTGAGGTGGCTGTAGGAGTGGATGTAGGCCAGTGAGGCCCGCTGCAGGCCCTGGCCCAGCTCCAGCAAGGAGCCTCTGCGGGGAGGCTCAGCCTCCTGCTTTCCTGCCAGGCCCTCGGGAACTGTCTCCCAGAGTGGGCGCCGGTGCAGGCCCTCGATGATGAAGAGGTTCTGAGCGATGTGCTGCAGGATGAGCAGCAGCGAGTAGGCCAGGATGAGGCGGTTGAGCAGCTCATGCGGGCGCTTGGCCACAATGGCCACGATGGAGAAATAGGCGATGCCCATCTGGCCCAGTGCAGCACCCATTAGCAGCACCACATCCAGGCTGCGGGTAGGGTTCTTGACCGTGTCCAGCTCTCTCTCCTCCAGCCCGTGTATGGCTGTGCCCGCCAGGCACGCCAGACTCATGGTGGGCAGCACAGCCACATAGAAGGCATAGTAGAGGGTGAAGTACTGGCAAGCAATGGCAGGGCCACTGGCCTCGATTTGGAAGAGCACAAAGACGCACACACCTGCCAGCAGCACCAGCAGGCCCAGCAGCGGCCCGAAGATGGCCCCGTGCAGGTGGAAGGGTGCGGTGGCAGGGTGGGCACCCATGTGGGGTGCCACGTGGCGGCCCACGTTCTTCCACATGACAAACAGCACAGCACAGCAGATGAGGCAGTACTCAGTGCTGAAGGGGTAGAGCATCAGGAAGCCTCTCCGGAAAGCTTCACACGCGGTGGCATTGAGGCACAGACAGGTGTTGGTCTCATTGCCTGGGAGGGAGGCAGGGTGGGAGGGACAGACATTCAGGCAGGCTCTGCTCTGAGGAAACTGGCTACACAGATACCTCCCATTCCCTGGAATACACTAGAGCTGAAAGCGACCCAGCCGCTCATTTTACCAATGTGGAAACTGAGGCCCAGGCAAAGAGATCACAAATCCCACAGAATGGTCATTCTTTTTCAAAGGAATTGAAGACTTCAGATGCCAAACTTACGTAAAGCATTAAAAACATGATGCCAGCCAGGCGCAGTGGCTCATGCCTGTAATCCCAGCACTTTGAGAGGCCAAGGCAGGAAGACTGCTTGAGCTCAGGAGTTCAAGATCGACTTGGGTAACATGGTGAGACCTCGTCTCTACTAAAAATAAAAAACATGGCCAGGTGCGGTGGTTCATGCCTGTAATCCCAACACTTTGGGAGGCTGAGGCAGGTGGATCACCTGAGGTCAGGAGTTCAAGACCAGCTTGGGCAACATGGTGAAACCCCGTCTCTACTAAAAATACAAAAATTAGCTGGGCATGGTGGCACGTGCCTGTAATCCCAGCTACTCGGGAGGCTGAGGCAGAAGAATGGCTTGAGACCGGGAGGCAGAGGTTGCAGTGAGCCAAGATTGTGCCATTGCACTCCAGCCTGGGCGACAGAGCAAAACTCCATCTCAAAAAAAAAAACCACAAAAAACAAAAAACAAAAACTAACAAAAAACATTAGCCGGATGGCACACATCTGTAGTCCCAGCTATTTGGGAGGCTGAGGTGGGAGGATCACTTGAGCCTGGAAGGTTGAGGCTGCAGTGAGCCGTGTTCCCATGACTGTATTCCACTTTGGGTGACAGAGTGAGAGTGTGTCTCAAATAAACCAAAAACCGAAACCCCAAGAACCCTCACATGATGTCTCTGGTGTCAAATGTCACCTCCACAGATTACTTCCTGGGCTCAAGGGAAAACCCGTGGCTGTGACAGCGGAACCCAGCCATCGGCCTTAGCAGCACTCAGGGTCAGGTCATCAGTCATTAGTACCTTGCCATCCCTGTCCCTCAGAGCACACAGCATCACCTGGAAGAAGCTGGGGCCGAAAATATCTAACCTGAATCTAATCAAGATTTTGTCTATACTTCCCGTTCCAAGGAAAAGTAGGGGAGAGGGATGTGAGTTAAACACTGCCAGGAGGAAGCAACCTGACAAGTCTCAAGGTCAGTGGGAAAACACCAATTTAGACTTAACCAAATGCATTGCATGTTTGAACAAACCGTCTGTAAAAGACATTTCTGGGGCTAACTGGAGAAAGTGGGATATAGATTGATTTAGAGGACAGAATGAAGCTAAAGGATTTTGTTAACAATTGTAATAGCATTGTGGTCATGTGGGGGAATACATCTCTTTCTAAAGAGATGTACACTGGGTCCGGCATGGTGGCTCATGCCTATAATCCCAGCACTTTGGGAAGCTGAGGAGGGAGGATCACTTGAACCCAGTAGTTTGAGATGAGTCTGGGCTCAGAAATTTTTTTGTGAGACTCCATCTTTACAAAAATTTTAAAAATTAGCTGGGTGTGCTGGCATGTGCCTGTAGTCCCAGCTACTCAGGAGGCTGAGGTGGGAGGATCGCTTGAGCCCAGAAGTTTGAAACTGTAGTGAGCTATGATTTCACCACTGCACTCCAGCCTGGGTGACAGAGCGACACCCTGTCTCAAAAAGAAAAAAAAAGAAAGAAAGAAGAAAAAAAGATGCATGCTGAAATATTTTGAGATATAATGTCATGATTTCTGTAATTTAAGTACTTCAGCAAAAATTAAAAATAAATAAATATGGCCAAATATTAATAATTATTATGCCTAGATGATGGGTATGTCTTGTTCTTCTACTCATTTGTAATGCTTGAATCTTATTTTATTTTGTTTTATGACAGTTTCACTCTTGTCACACAGGCTGGAGTGCAATGGTGCGATCTCGGCTTACCGCAACCTCCGCCTCCCGGGTTCAAGCGATTCTCATGCCTCAGCCTCCTGAGTAGCTGGGATTACAGGCACCCACAACCATGCCTGGGTAATTTTTGTATTTTTAGTAGAGACGGGGTTTCGCCATGTTCGCTAGGCTGGTTTCAAACTCCTGACCTCAGGTGATCTGCCTGCCTCGGCCTCCCAAAGCGCTGGGATTATAGGCGTGAGCCACTGTGCCCAGCCCTGAATTATTTTATAATTTCAAAATCCATGATGTCACTTGGCAAAAATTCTCTCTTTGCACAGCTTTTCTGAGAAATGCAAGCAGAGTATATAGAATGCTCACAGTACACAGGCGTGTCGTGACTGATGCAGCGGGTATGTGAATGTGTGGATGTGCTGGGAGGGCTGGGCTGCAGGGCGTGATGGTGATGCCACCCGGGGCGGGGTGGGGCATGTACATACAGGTGTGGCTCAATCCCACAGAGCAGTGTTCCCATGTAGGGTATGGGATGCAGCCTCTAGGATAGGAGGTGAGGCATATGGGACAATCTTGGGAGTTTTTTTCTGTCCAGATATCTTCCGTCCCACCTGATTGATGAGGCCAGGCACCTAAAATTGTGTTAGGAAGATATTCCTTTCAGCCGGGAGGCTGTTGAGTTGCTTGCAAGTAAAATGCAAATGCCACGGGCGGGGTGCATACCTGAAGGACTTAGTGGCTCTCTCAGCCAGGATCAGTGGCTGGCTTGCTGATGGCTAGCTGGACACCTGGAGTTGGGTGCAGGGCGTCAGCACCTGATGGGGTGGGATGGGGACCACTGGCAAACTTCAGTTTTCTGTTGATTCCTAATCTGGCCTCTAGAGTTTGCTCCCAACTCTATAGACCTACTGAGCCTCACCTGTTTTAGAGAGTGTAGCGTTTATGTGTGTGTGTGTGTGTGTGTGTGTGTGTGTGTGTTTCAGGGCAAGGAAGACCTGGTCTCCTTTCCATACCTGTGGATTTTTCCATGAGGATGCCAAGCTCAGCTTCGATCTCTCGGTGCATGGAGTCATTGGTAACGGCCAGAACCCACAGCAGCAGGTTTGTGGCCAGGGTCAGCATCAGGCCACACCTGGGGGAAATGCCACACTCTTCTCACACACCCTGGCCGGCTCCCCAGGTGCCAAACCCTCACCATCCACTGTTGTTGGGGCAACCACTCACTCCCAACCACTCACTCCCTAGTGTCACACTGGCACTAGGACACAAGAGGCAGCCCTGGGGCCACCTAGGACACATCCCAGACTAACCTATAGCCCCGCGGCCACCCTGACCAGGGAAGTGGTGGGGAGGACAGAGAGGCCAGAGGGTTTGGGAGGGAGAGAAGTCTTACCTAGTGAAGTTGGTCTGGACCCGAACACAGTCTTTGCAGTGTTTCCAGAGCACCCAGGTCTGAAAGAGACAGGGCCTTGAGCCCAGGGGCTGGTGGAGGTGGTGGGACCACAGTGTGAGTTCCTGGGGCGCATGCGTGTATTTACAGTGAAAGACACAGGGAGAAAGACTGGGTCGGAATCTTGGCTCTACTGCTTCTTGCTGTGTGGTATTGAATCAGTGGCAAACCATCTCTGAGCCTTAGTTGCCTCAGCTGGGAAAAGGGACCAAAAAGCCCACCCTTTGGGGAAGTGCTTTCTTGTTGGGGGAAATAAGACTGCGGGAACGAAGCACCCAACACAATGCCTGGTGACAAGAGAAACCTAAGAGGAAGCTGGAGATTGTATTCTTTTCTTTTTTGTTTTTTGGAGTCTCGCTCTGTCGCCCAGGCTGGAGTGCAGTGGCGCAATCTCGGCTCACTGCAAGATCTGCCTTTCGGGTTCACACCATTCTCCTGCCTCAGCCTCCTGAGTAGCTGGGACTACAGGCGCCTGCCACCACGCCCAGCTAATTTTGTTTTTGTATTTTTGGTAGAGACAGGGTTTCACTGTGTTAGCCAGGATGGTCTCAGCTAGTCTCGATCCCCTGACCTTGTGATCCACCCACCTCGGCCTCCCAAAGTGCTGGGATTACAGGTGTGAGCCACCGCGCCTGGCCGATTGTATTCTTTTTTTTTGAGACAGAGTCTCACTCTGTCGCCCAGGCTGGAGCTCAGTGGCATGATCTTGGCTCACTGCAACCTCTGCCTCCTGGGTTCAAGCGATTCTTGTGCCTCAGCCTCCCGAGTAGCTGGGACTACAGGCGTGCGCCACCACACCCGGCTAATTTTTGTATTTTCAGTAGAGACAGGGTTTTACCATGTTGGCCAGGCTGGTTTCAAACTCCTGACCTCAGGTGATCTGCCTGCCTCGGCCTCCCAAAGTGCTGGGATTACAGGCGTGAGCCACTGCGCCCTGCCGAGATTGTATTCTTAAGAGAAGGTTTATACATGTAGGGAGTGTATATCCAGGGATATGCCTACATACGCATAGACAGCTGGACTTCTAAGTGTCTACATTCGGTGACACGGTGTGTGTGTTGATGCAGGAACCCGTGGGTATGTGTGGACGTGGACACTTGTGTGAGGGGTGTGGTGTGTGTGCAAAGACCCTGGGACATTAGGTATTTGCCTGTGTGGCTGTTCCTAGGCATAGGTAGTGGGAGGTGTGTGCATGGCATGGGTAGATAGGGTATGTCCTCGGTGATGTGGGGACGTGAGAAGCCTGTCACCTGGACGCCGATGAAGACCATCTCGATGACAGAGAAGACAAGGTCCAGCTGTGACTTGCAGCGGATGTGGCTCACATCGTAGCCCACTCGGAAGATGTTGAGGCAGAAGGTGCAGCTGCCGAAGAGCACTAGGGAACCTGGCCGGACATGTGGGCGGGCGTTGGCACCTGCGCGGAACCGGCTCTCCCTCCCCACCCCTGCCCAGCCCCCCAGCAACCTGACACTCACCCCGCACCCAGAGGGGCCCCGCGTGGGGATCTTGGTAGAGCACGGCGTGTGGTCGGCGGGTGGTGCTTGCCACATAGTAGAGAAGCCAAAGCAGGGAGAGGACCTTCAGCGTGGCCAGCAGGATCCACACGTCACCCAGAGTGACGGCCACCTTGTTGAAGATCATGCTGCAGATGAAGGCGCCACCCAGGAACACCACATTCAGGGCCAGGAGCCCCGAGAAGAGTTGTCCAGCCTTCTGGGCCTGCCGGTCCCGCCGCAGCAGCAGAGAGAAATGCCTCACCAGCCAGGACTTCTGCCGGGGCCGGGTGGCGGCCGCTCTCTCCTCGGCCCCCACATCCACTCGGTTCTCCTTCTCCGGGGCTGCTTCAGTCTCCTGTGCTTCTGAAGAAGGCATGGGTGTAGCCTCAGCAGGGGCTGGAGATGGAGAAAGGGTCCTGGGTTAACTGCCAGGCTGTCCTGGGTTCAAGTCCACGCTGCCCCTAACCGCTGTGTGACCCAGGGTCAGCTATGCGGCCTCTCTGGTTGGGTGGTTGGGACATTGGAACTAATAGCAGCTGCCCCATCTATCTTACAGGACCTGAGGAGGTTCAAACAGACCAGGAGACCCTACGGAAACCTCTCGTGCTGCACATAAACATGGGGAATTAGTTTGACTGGCGTGAGGATCATGTCCTCCCTCTCAACCCCACTTCCTGACTTGTGCCTGATCCTAAAGTCAGCGTCTGCCTAGTGCCTGGTCAGTTTCTAGGGCTGTGACTTTTTGCCATGAAAAGGCAGCGGTGTCCTTCCGCCTTCTGGTAGGACTTTCACTTCTGACACCAGGGAGGGCAAATTGGTGGCCTTTCTTATTCTGACCCTGATTGGTTGGGAAATGATTGCCTAAAATGTCTTGTAGAGAAGCATCCTGAGGCTGTGTCTGGGCTTGGTAGGGAAGAATGGTGTGATCTGAAACAATACTGTATTATGGGAACATACAAGCACCTATATGATTACTTTTAAAAGGTCTAGACCAGCAGTCCCCTCCCCAACTTTTTTGGCACCAGGGAGCAGTTTCGTGGAAGACAATTTTTCCATGGATGGAGGGTGGAGGGATGGTTTCGGGATGAAACTGTTCCACTTCAGATCATTGGGTATTAGATTCTCATGAGGAGTGGGCAACCCCTAGATCCCTCACATGTGCAGTTCACGATAGGGCTTGTGCTCCTATGAGAATCTGTTGCCACTGCTGATCTGACAGGAGGCAGAGCTCAGGCTGTCATGCTCCCTCCCCATCACTTACCTCCTGCTATGCGGCCTGGTTCCTAACAGGCCATGGACTGGTACTGGTCCGCAGCCTGGGGACTGGGGACTGCTGGTCTAGATTATACCCATCAGTTTCACAATAGGAGTTTCTTCTGGGATGAGAGTACTGGGATTGGGAGTAGCAGACTTTTTAGCTTTACTGTTCTAGTTTTTTAAAAAAAAATTAGCACAGTACTTATGTAATTAAGAGTAATTTTAGGCTGAGCATGGTGGCTGATGCCTGTAATCTCAGCACTTTGGGAGCCTCAGGTGGGAGGATTGCTTGAGCCCAGGCATTCAAGACCAGCCTGGCTAACATAGGAAGACACCATCTCTTCAAAAAAAAAAAAAAACAAAAAAGCCGAAAAAAACCCCATATATGTATATATGTATGTGTGTGTGTGTGTGTGTGTGTGTGTGTGTGTGTGTGTGTGTGTATAATATATATATTAGCCAGGTATGATGGTTTAATGCCTATAGTCCCAACTACTCAGGAGGCTGAGGCAGGAGGATGGCTTGAGCCCAGGAAATCAAGGTTGCAGTGAGCTATGATTGGACCACTGCACTCCAAGCTGAGTGACAGAGCAAGACCCTGAGTTTAAACATAAATACATAAATAAAATAATTTTAAAGTACATTAAAGGTTTAGGGAAAAGTTTCTGGGGTTGATTCACAATGTCTTCTGAGAGCATGGGACAGGCCTGGATCAGCATCGCTGCCACGCCCTTGACTTTGAAGGTTGACTTTGAAGGAACTGGCTTCTATTTCTGTGCCCCTCCCCCCACTCCCGGAAGTCCCACGAGTGCCTGGCATAACGTAGGAAACACGATCGTTACCCTCCTCTTTTCCTGAATGTCTCCTGCCATTTCCTCACCTCTCCCAAGCATTCACACAGGCCAACCACTTTGTCACCACTTGCTAAGACCAGATTTTGGGCCATCCAATGCCTGCAGCTCTGAGTCCAGCATGCTCTCCCCACCGGACACTCCTTCTTCCTGGTGGGACTGAGGTGCTGTTGAGAGTGGGGATGGTTCTGCTGCTTCTGGGTGCTCTCCTGGTGGGGAGGCTGAGCTGACCCAGAAGGCTCCCTAGAGACCCCCTGTTCCACCCAGGCTCTTCCTTGGTCCTGCTGCTGCCCTTGTGCTCTGAGCTCAGGGTTCTAGGTGCTCATTGCTCCCATTCTCTTGCTTCCTAATGTCACAATCTCAGAGTGACATCTCCATCTCCCCACCTCCTAGCAGAGAACTGGGTGTCCTTTTTGCCTCTCCCCTCATCCCTTGCATTCTCTTAGGCCCCAGGCTTGTTCATTCCAGCTCACAAGTTGCTCTTAGATTTTTATTTGTCTATTTTTAGAGCTAGGGTCTCGCTCTGTCACCCAGCCTGGAGTGCAGTGGCACCATCATAGCTCACTGCAATCTTGAACTCCTGGGCTCAAGTGATCCTCCCGATTCAGCCTCATGAGTAGTTGGGACTACAGGCATGTGCCACCACCCTTGGCTAATTTTAATTTTTTTTTTTTTTGCAGAGACAGGGTCACGTTATGTTGCCTAAGCTGGTCTTGAACTCCTCGCCTCGAGTGATCCTCCTGTCTCAGGTTCCCAAAGTGCTGGGATTACAGGTGTAAGCCACCATGCCTGGCCCTGATTTTTCTTGACCTCAACCACTACCTAGTCTGGGCCCCCTTCCTTGCTCTCTTGGACTGGTCTTCTTGCCCAGAGTGCCTCTCCCCTACTTAAAGTCCTGCAAAGGCAACTAATTGCCCTCAGTATAAAGTCCAAATTACTGACACAGCCTGCATGGCCTCTCAAAATGAGAGGTGTATGATTAGTATGGGCCTGGACAAGGTTCCAGGTTCTCTGCCCAAGGCAGAGTAGCTGCTGCTGCTTCCTGGTCTGGCTTCAACTTACCCCTCTAGCATTGTCTTTGACCCTACTCCCCTCTCCTTGGGCTATACCATCTTGCTGCACTTCCTGGAACGCCCCCAGTCTTTGCCCACACCCTATTCTTTGCCTTTAATGCCTACCCCTTTTGCCCCTTGGGTAACTCTAGCTTGTCCTTCAGGACTCGGCAGAGACCCTGCCTCCTCTCTGCGGCCTTCCCTCGTCAGCATTCCCACCTCACCCCACGCTGACCACCCATCGTCCTCTGCTTCCATTAGCTGTGCTTTGCTCTGTCTCTCCCTTGAGACCCCAGGCTTCAGGAGCTTCAGACGTGCCCTCTATGCAACACCAGAAGACTCTCACCATATCTGGCTTGAAAATGCAACCTCTCCGGGCTCCCATTCTCCCCTTGTCATATTCTCCCATTCTCCACCTGCTCCATATTTATACCTTCTGCTGTTCTCTTCTGGGGCAGATGGAGCACTAAAACTTAAGCCTCTTTTCAAGATTCTATAAATGATTTTCTCCCCTTTCCCACTCCACTCTGTCATCCTTGCCTAAGTTCTGTCTCCTCCCTGTCCCACCACCCCTGCCGTACTCAAGGCACCTGCCTCCCACACCAACCCAGGCCCAGGTAGAAAGTTCTGCGTTTCTCCCATGGTCTCCTGCCTCCTGCCATCCCTCCTGGACACTGCTCTTCTTTCTGCCTCCCCCACCACTCGCCCATCCTCCCCACCCACCTGGAAAGCCTTCCTCTCTGCCTAAGCCTTCTGGTGCTACTTTGCTGGGGCCACTCCCCTCTATTGAGAGGTGTGCCCTGTTTGGTGTGCTGTGGGTGTGGCTGGCTCCCATTAAGTCCTGAAACTCCTCCAGGACAGAGACCGGGTCCTGCTTAACTTGGACCCCCCAAACCTAGTGCAGATGTGACATTCACCCAGTGATTGCCCACTGACTCTGGCATCTTTTGGGAAATTTTCAGCACCAGAGCTGTGGACAGAGACCCTTCCCATTAAACTCTTTCCGGGCTGGCTGGGGAGGAGACTCCCGATGATCTTTATCTTTCCCTCCTAAGCTCCCCCACCCAAATTGAGCAAGGCTGGGGCTCACCGGGATGTCTCCCTGCTCCATATATCCCAACTGTAACTGCTCTACTTCACCTTCCCCAAAACCTGCACCCTCTCCTCCAGCCCCCAAGCAGGGTAGATTAATGATCAAGTGCTCAGATTCCAGCACTTATTACCTCTGTCATCTTAGACTACTGAGACTACTACAGAGAGCTACTTAGACTCTGTGCCTGAGTGTTGTCATCTGCAAAACTGATATACAACTATGGAATAGTAGCTGGTGCATAGTAGATGCTCAATAAAGACTTCCGGAACGAGGCTGGCTGCAGTGGCTCACGCCTGTAATTCCAGCACTTTGGGAGGCTGAGGTGAGCGGATCCCTTGAGCCCAGGAGTTGGAGACCAGCCTGGGGAACATGGCAAAACCCTGTCTCTACAAAAAATACCAAACAATTAGCCAGGTGTAGTGGCATGCACCTGTAGTCCCAGCTACTCGGGAGGCTGATGTGGGAGGATTGCTTCAGCCTGGGAGGCTGAGGCTGCAGTGAGCTGTGATCGCCACAGTGAACTCCAGCCTGAGGGACAGAGTTAGACCCTGTCTCAAAAAAAAAAAAAAAAAAAGGGTGGGGGGGTGATGAATGCCGAATAGGGGCTTTGTCAGAATGACATGATTTAATACATGCACGAAGCACGGGCAGAGAGTAATGCCGGCAATGCCTGGCACCTGGAAAACTCAGTGTTGGCTATCTCTGCATTTCCTTCCAGTTCTTTTGAGGTCCTGGAGAGCTGGGAAGGGTCGGGATTACTGGTGAAATTTCAAGGGTGAATTTTATTCAGACTGGAGGCCTGGAGGGGACACTGGGGGACAAGGTTCCAGGTTCCCTTCCTCTGGGGTCTTTGCCCTGACAGTATCCCCCGTCTCCCACCCTGAAGTCCAGCCCTCCAAAGGCCGCTGGCGTGAGCCTTCAAAGGAGCGAATTTGGTCCCGGGCTGGGCAGGGGGCAGGAGTGGGCATTTAGGGGTCTCGGGCAGAAGGCTGGGGCAAGGGCACCTGGAACTGACAAGCAGTACTCTGCCGCCCCCTGGCACGCCCCTGGGCGCGACGCCAGTCCAAGGGAGGGCCGGGACACTGGACTGGTTTGTGGGTCTCGGCTGGATTGGCGATGAAAGCCGCGGAGCCGTCGGGCCCGGCGCCCGGCCCAGCAGCGCAGGGCCGGCTCCGAGGAGGCTGCTGAGTGCGGGCGCCCTCGGGATTTCCTTCCGAGCCATTTTAGGGACTGCGGGGCCGGGGCAGCCGCTTCCTGCGTGCCCCAGACCGGGCGTCCAGACAGCCCCAACCAACCTCACACCCCAGGCCTCCGCGCTTTCTGCTGTGTGGACCCGGCCGGGAGGAGTCGCGCCCTGAGGCCCTCTGTGCTCCCCGGGTCCACGGAAAGGAGTAGGGGCGCGGAGCGCGGGTTGCGGGGCGGGTGGAGGGGCCGGCCTCAGATTAAAGGGAGTTCACCTCTCCACAGTCACCCCGCTTTCCCGTTCCAATCCCTGCAGCCCCTACTTGTGAACCCCCCTTTTGGGGGGGTGGGTAGTATGTGCCAGTGTCTGGGGTGCGCAAGCTGGGAAAGTTCCGCCGGCGCTCCGGGCTTACCTGAGGCCGGGAGAGGCATCGCCGTGGGCTAACCACCGACTGCGGGCGCTGAGCGGATCGTCCGTCCAGGTGAGACCGATGCCCGCGACGCCCTCCCCCAGCGGGACTGCGCAGCCGCCGCTCGGGCTCCGCGGCCCATCGATTTTTCTGTTGACTTTGGAAATCTCATTAATCCCTCGTTAATTACCCTCCCGGGGGCTCGGACCCAGAGGGTGCAGCCAATTGCGAGGCAGCTGGACAAGCGGGCGGGGCTGAGGGCTGTGCAGGCGCGGGCCTGCAGGGTCTCCAACTCGCAGCCCGCCCTCGGATGGGGTGGAGAGGGGTGCAGTGTTCTTAGGTCCGCAGTAAAGAGCTTGCGGAATTCAGGCCTCGTTTTCCTTTGGTGATCAAGCTGGGAATGGACGCCCTCCCTCCAGGCCTGGAGTCGCTTTTTCCTGTACCCTACCTAGCCCCAGGCCTGGAGGCCGCCTAGCAGGACCCTGTGTTTCCCTTAAGTCAAACCTGAACTTGGTGGGGAGAGTTGGAGCACAGCCCCATTCTGACAGGGGAGGAGGCCTCCTCAGCTCCACCTGCGGCCTCTGAGAACTACTCACCTCCTTCTGCTGACAGGGTCCAGGCACACTTTCCTCAAAGTCCCCTGAGCTCCCAGTGCTGCTGTTCCCATGATCTCCCCCAAATGCCATCTGCTCCATGGGTCCCGCCCAGCCCTCCCTCTCCCAGCCCTTCCCCTCCCTCTGCCTCTGCATGCTCACCACCACCTTTCACTCTTCTAACTGTGGAGCCTCCTTCCCATCTCTCTGCTGTCTTCCCTCCTAAGCATCTCTATACCCTTTGTAGAGTAGAAACCCTAGGGCTTAGGGGAAACTCCTCGGGGACCTCCTGGGGCAGGGGGAAGTCAAGTGGTGAGGATCTGAGACTCCCAACTCCTTTTAAATTAGAACTGCCTTGTTTATATCTTTTTTGTTTGTTTGTTTTTGTTTTTGTTTTAGACAGGCTGGAGTGCAGTGGCATGATCTCGGCTCACTGCAACCTTTGCCTCCTGGGTTCAAGTGATTCTCCTGCCTCAGCCTCCTGAGTAGCTGGGATTACAGGCGCACGCCACCATGCCCGGCTACTTTTTGTATTTTTTAGTAGAAACAGAGTTTCGCCATGTTGGCCAGGCTGGTCTCGAACTCCTGACCTCAAGTGATCTGCCTGCCTCGGCCTCCCAAAGTGCTGGGATTACAAGCGTGAGGCACTGCACACAGCCTATATCTATGTTATAAACTTGTGTTCCTGTAATATTTTATTTGAAGGGAAAAATGTTCTGCTTGAAAACAAAGTTTGAAAATTATTGTTCTTAGCAGAAAGGCTCTGGATTTTTTGCAGGTGTGTGACCTTGGGCAAGTCACTTTACCTCTCTGGGCCTCAGCTTCCTTCTTTGTAAAATGCAGACATTAGACTAGGTCACTGCTTCCTAAACTTTCTTCTGTCATGGGACACACACAAAGAAAATGATTAGGTTGAGTGCTGTGGCTCATGCCTGTAATCCCAGCACTTTGGGAGGCTGAGGGGGGAGGATCACTTGAGCCCAGGAGTTCAAGACCAGACTGGGCAACACAATGAGACCCTCATCTCCACACACACACACACACACACACACACACACACAATTTAGCCAGGCGTGGTGGCAGTAGTAGCTGTAGTTCCAGCTACTCAGGAGGCTGAAGTGGGGGGGTCTCTTGAGTCCAGGAGGTTAAGGTTGCAGTGATCTATCTGCACTCCAGCCTGGGCAAAAAGGTGAGACACTCTCTCAAAAAAAAAAAAAAAAAAAGATTATATGTATATGCCACCTGGAGATAAAGGGAAGAGGAAGATGGCAGTTTGGGAACTCCAGTTACCCACCCTGTAGCTAGTCTGTCATTTGGATTTTGCTCACACACTGCAAAACTTGAGACCTGAAAATCTCCAGGGGCCCTTCCCGCTCTGACTCCCAAGATCCTCTCCTGTGACCACCTCAGACGGGACAACAGAGACAAACAGTGGGGATGGGGGCAAATCACAGGTTTATTGGTTTCCAGCTCCGGGCAGTACACTGGCCAGGCCACAGCAGGGGATTAGAGATGGAACCAGAGCCGGCACCTCCAGATCTTGTTGGGTCCTAGAAATGCTGCCAGGAGAGGTCTCCCTTCCCCAGTCACCTCATGCCCCACGGTCATACTGGGGTGGATGGGCCTGTCCTGACTGTGATTTAAAAATTGAACCTGGAAAAATAACTTTTGTGAAAATTCCACTCTGGGACCAGAAGGAAATGGGCTGTCATATGGCACCAGCTGGGATTCATTCCCAGAGGGTGTCTGAGTGGGCACATGAGCTGAGCCCCCTCTTCCTGCCCCCCATGCCTCTGTTGGAGGCCTCAGGACAGCACGTAGACCTCCAGCAGGCTGGACACAGCGTGCATGCGGTAGAAGATGCCGAAAGGGAGGCAGATGTTGACGATGACCGCCCAGAGGGAGTAGCCGTAGAAATCCACCTCCACTGTGTTGCTGAAATGAGGGCGGGCCCCGAAGGCAGGCATGATCCACAGCTGTGTGGAGAGAGGAGCATTTCAGGAGCTGGCCTGGATGGATGCCTGTGGGTCATTTCTGTGGGTTTTGCTGGGCCGTGGCTAGATGGCGGCCCATCCTTCTAGCTTGGTGGACACGGAGGGCTGGGTGTCAGTGAATGGGCAGCTCTAGCATTTTGGACAGGACCTAGCACACTCTAAGGGGCTCAGGAAGTGAGCCCAACTGAATTCGCCATCCCTAGGCTAGCCCACCTCATGGACACCTGTGATCACCTCTCCCAAAATCTTAGCAGGGCCTCAATGTGGGATTGGGGAGGGGAGAAGAGGTTTCTCTAGAAGAAGAGGTACAAACAGTGAAATCAGCAGCTCTGTCCTGGGGGGTTTTGTGCACAGGGGTGGGGGTGGCAGAATCAGATAGGCTCAAGGCAGGGGTTTGGGGTTCAGACAGAAGGCCACCCCACCCCAGCCCTCCTTGAGCTCTGCCCTCCAGCTCTCCCCTCATCCCCTTCTCCCTTTCCAGGAGTGGGAGGAAGTGGAAGTTGGAATCCTGCTTCCTCTCTGGCTAGGAGCTCAGAAGATTCAGGTGTGGGTAAGAAGCAAAGAACAAAGGTTTCTAGGCTAGCTCCACCCCTACCCCTGATTAACTTCATCCTTGGGCACATTGCAGTCCCCTCTAAGCCTGTTCTGTCCTATAAAATGAAGGAGATGGAGAAGATGCTACTGGAGGTGATTTAGGCTCAGATGCCTGGAGCAAGAATAGCCTCCCAGAAGGTGGCCCCTAGCCTATAAGCCAGGCCTGGGTGGAAGGTGGAGGTGGGGCCAGAGGGCAGGGGGCCAGGTACCAAAGACGTTCCAAGACATGCTGAGGTCTGGACCTTAATGATTCTGCTGGTAGGGTCAGAGATTGATGACCACATTTTTTTTAAGTGAAATTGATTGTGTTGGAAGGCTCCTGCGTGGCATCATCCCACATCTATGGGGACCATGACCTGGTGGATGGCCCTTCACAGTGGGACCTCACTAAGAATGACTCTTAGTTAGGGCCACTGGTGTACCTCATGCAGGTAGGATTTCATGGGGTAGAATTCACTCTGGGGCTCTTGCTCTGTCCTGGGATATACCCACATTAAGTAATTTTCTATATTAGGGATATTTTTCTATTGGAGGTTCTAGCTGGAAGGATTGTTTTTCTATTGAGTGAAACTTCATTAGAATTGTTTTTTTCTCTTTGAGATGTACCCACATAGGTACATGTTTCTATATCAGAGGTAATAATAAGCCCCCACTGGGCCATTTCTGTCTTGGGTTGTACTAGAAACACCAGGAGTGTTTTCCTATTGGTATGCACTTTCATTACCAGTGTTTCTGCCCTGGGGTACTTCTATACAGAGAATATATTTGTATTGGGTGAAGTCTATTGCTTTTTTTTTTTTTTTTTTTTTGACAGAGTGTCACTCTGTTGCACAGGCTGGAGTGCAATGGTGCAATCTCAGCTCACTGCAACCTCCGCCTCCTGGGTTCAAACAATTCCCTTGCCTCAACCTCCCAAGTAGCTGAGATTATAGGGTGCGCACACTACCACGCCTGGCTAATTTTTGTATTTTTAGTGGAGACAGGGTTTCACCCTGTTGGCCAGGCTGGTCTCGAACTCCTGACCTTGTGATCTGCCTGCCTCGGCCTCCCAAAGTGCTGGGATTACAGGCGTGAGCCACTGCACCCGGCCAAGTCTGTTGTTCTTAATCTTTGCTGAGTCACTAGGGAGGGGGTGGCTGTTGTAGATGCCCTCCTTCCCAGTTCACTCTGCTAACAGACCGCTCACACTTAACACTGGTCTCCGCTACTTCCTGACACTGTTCCAATTATTCTGAGAAGCAGGCAGATCACAAGTTCCCAGGAGCAGTCACACCTCCCACTGGGGGGTGAGGACCCCGCCTTCCACATCAGCTCTCAGCTCCCTCTCACCTCTGCCCAGCCCCTGTGTCAACCTTCCCTGGGACCCTTCCAGCTCCATCTGCTGCTTAGATGCCAGAACGCTAGGATTTCATTTTCTCTGTGTGCCCTGAGATGCCATTTGCCCCAAAGCTACAGCTGGCCCCCTCTGAACCTGCTCCTTTCCTAGAGAGCTGTAAGATTCTCAGGCGGGCTGGGGGCAAGACAGAGAAGGCTAAGGGCTTAAGCCTGCAAGAGCATCCTTCCTCAGTCTCTTCTCCCAAGCCCACCCTTTCTCCCCCCAGCTACTCACAATGACATTGCAGAGTAGGAGAAACAGAGAAATGTCTTTTAGGCACTGGCGTCTCCACTGGCTTCTGGGGGTTGAGACGATGGCCACTGCTTCCCGCTGGTCTGAAGGGCTGGGGCTAACCAGCCCGGGGTTGGGTGGGCAGGCGGACAACGTGTGGAGGGCATCCAGGTTGGTGAAGGTGAGGTCTTGGCAGGGCTCCTTGGGGTGGGTACTGTGAGGCTCAGCCCCGGGCGGTCCTCGGTGAAGGCTCTCGATGATAAACATGTTCTGGAAGGTGTGCTGGGCGATCATGAGCAGTGCATGGGTGAGGTTGAGCCCTGCCAGCAGGTCCTGGGGTGTGCCCGCCACCACAGCCACGATGGAGTAGTAAGAGATGGCGTACTGACCCAGGGCGGCACCCATCAGCAGGGCCACGTCCAGAGTGCGCGTGGGGTTCTTATGGTGGTCCATGGCCCGGCGGTCAAAACGGTAGATGATGGAGCCGCTCAGGCTGACCAAGGTGGTGAGTCCCAAGCAGACAATGTTGAAGCTGTAGTAGATGACCAGGGCCTGCCTGGTGCGGCTCCCGTCCCCGCTCACTTGAACCTCGTAGATGATGAAGACAGCCAGCCCCACCACGAAGAGCAGCAGGCCCAGAACCGGGCCAGCAAAAAAGGTCTCCCGGAAGAGGCTGACAGGGGTTGGGGTGTGGCTGTGGCCAGGGGTGGAGGCCAGGAATCTACCCACATTCTTCCACATGACATACAGCATGGTGGAGGCGAAGAGGCTGTACTCGATGTTGAAGGGATATAGGTAGAAGTACCCCTGCTGGAAGATCTGGCAGACGGCCGTGCTGCAGAGGCAGGAGTCTCCTCCGACCGGGTTGTCTGCATGCTCTGTTGTGGAGAGAGACACAGGGCTGGACAGCCCTCCTGCCTTCCTAGAGAGGTCTCACCCCTAGCCTGTGACCTTTTTTTTTTTGTTTTGTTTTGAGACGGAGTTTCACTCTTGATGCTCAGGCTGGAGTGCAATGGTGTGATCTTGGCTCACTGCAAGCTTCACCTCCCGGATTCAAGCCATTCTCCTGCCTCAGCCTCCCAAGTAGCTGGGATTACAGGCACCTGTCATCACACCTGGCTAATTTTTATATTTTTAGTAGAGACAGGGTTTCGCCATGTTGGCCAGGCTGGTCTTGAACTCCTGACCTCAGGTGATCTGCTTGCCTCGGCCTCCCAAAATGCTGGGATTACAGGCGTGAGCCACCACGCCCAGCCTAGCTTGTGACCTTTGTTAAGGGCAGGCTCCCTGTCTGTCATGACTGCTATATTCACCACGGTATCCCTCATGCCTTTACAGGGCGTGGCACACTCCTTCACTTCACAAATATTTCTTGAGCACCTACTGTGTGCCAGAGACTGGGACACATCAGTGCTCAGTAAGAACAGTCCAGGCCAGGTGCAGTGGCTCACACCTGTAATCCCAACACTTTGGGAGGCCAAGGTGGGTGGATCACCTGAGGTCAGGAGTTTGAGGCCAGCCTGGCCAACACGGTGAAATCCTGTCTCTACTAAAAATACAAAAATTAGCTGGGCTTGGTGGCATGCACCTGTAGTCCCAGCTACACGGGAGGTTGAGGCAGGAGAATTGCTTGAACCCAGGAGGCAGAGGTTGCAGTGAGCCGAGATCGCGCCACTGCACTCCAGCCTGGGTGACAGAGCAAGACTCTGTCTCAAACAAACAAACAAACAAACAAACAAAAAAACAAAACAGTTTGAACCACAGGACTGCTCACTTCACCCCACTCCATTCCTTCCATCCCTTTCTGCCCTGGCTCCCTGAGATAGAAAGTGGCTCTCTTGGGAACCTCTAAAGTTCAGGCTTCCTCACAGCTCTCCCTACCATCTGATTCAGCCCAGAAAGCCAGCTGCTGTGCCCAAGTCTCCACCATGACCTCCCGTTACTTCTGTTTGTACCACATGGAAAGGAGTCTTGACTTGATTCCAGAATGTGTTTGTAGGATACTCTGGGCCTTGGCAAACGTCTCTTTTCATCCTAAGAACTAGCCCAGCTGGTTTTGCAGATGAAGAAACTGAGGCTTAACGTGGTGATGTGACTTGTAAGGGCAGAGTCAACGCCAACTGCCTGACTTCTGACCCCGGGACAGGTACTTCTCTGACAGGCCTCTCTCCAGCCTGCAGGCCCCCATGTGAAGTCCATCACCTCCCTGGTTTGGTTTTGCACCCTCAGGAGTCCTCTCTGTGCAGGGTGGTTCTTTGTAAGGCTTGCTGGGCTGGGGTCTCCCTGAGGGCAGGGGCCATGCTTTCTGTTGCCGGACCCTCCCATGCTAGGAGCGTGCATGTCTTAGTTATCTTGTCTGGTCCTGGCTATTGGGGGACCCTAGAGAAGTCCAGAGAATGAGGACTGGAGACTGGATCCCGTTCCTCCTTAGTTTAGCATATTGTTTAAAAACAAAGATGCATATGAATGCTAGTGCTAGATCTTGGGTGAGCTACTTAAGCTCTCTCTGCCTTAGTTTCTGCACCTATGCATGGGAATGGGGAGAGTACCTATTTCACAGGGAAGTGTTGAGGGTTAAATGGAGTGTTTAAGACACTCAGCACAGTGCCTGACATACAGACCTCAGTAAATTGCCACCCTTACCATTGTGATGCCATGATTATTTCTCACCTTCTCCTCCTTCCCGGGCTCTCCCATCTGATCCATGCTTGCACCACAGAACCACTCTGCCTCCCTTCTCCTTTTCCCAGCTTGATCACTCTTGCCCTTTCTTCCTGGATTCTGGGTCTGGGTCTCTTTTTTTTTAATTTTTGAAACAGGGTCTCACTCTGTCACCGAGGTTGGAGTGCAATGGTGCAATCACAGCTCACTGCAGTCTCGACCTCCCAGGCTCAAGCAATCCTCCCTCCTCAGCCTCCCATAGTAGCTGGGACCACAGGCATGCACCACCACAATGGGCTATTTTTTTGTATTTTTTGTAGAGACGGGGTTTCATCATTTGGCCTAGGGTGGTCTTGAACTCCTGAGCTCAAGCAATTGGTCTGCCTTAGCCTTCCAAAGTGCTAGGATTACAAGCATGAGCCACTGCACCTGGTCCTGGGTCCCTTCTTGGTGGGATGGAGACTGGACAGGGGGGCCTGGGCTGCAGCCTCAAGGATAAAAGGGTACCCCTGATACTTCCCTTCTGGGGTCACCTACACCTATACTGCAGAGGTAGATCCTGCAACAGGAGGAGGACCCTGGCTCTGTCCTTTGCCTCTATGCCCTCATGAGGGCACAGGAGACTGACGTTATAAATTCACAAAGCACCCGGCCCAAGGCCTGGTAGCCACAGGGCCAGCATTAAGAGGAAACTCACGGTCAGAGATGAGACGGGCGTGGCTGGCGTTGCTGTGAGAACTGCTGTAGGAGTGGGATTGGTGCACAGATTCATCCACCACGGCCGCCATCCAGATGGCCAGGTTGGTGGTGAGTGTGAACATGAGACCACACCTGTTTGGGGTCAGGGGTGGGGACAAAGAGGCCTGTGACCCTTTGGCAGGTTGGGGAGCAATACTGAGAGCTGGTGTTGAGAAATGATAAAGCAGCCAGGCCCTGTGTGAACAGGGAAGCTGATTTTGGTAGGAACACAGCCTGGCTGGTATGCCACCAAAGAGAGGGCTAGGAGGTTTTCCCGGGGGCCACCACCACTCCCTCCCCTGGGAGAAAGGGCCCCACAAGGTAGTGGAAGTCAGCCTGACAAAGCAAGGAGGGCTTGGCTGCAACCCCACCCAGGGGACATAAAGAGAGGCCCTGCCCCAGGGTGGAAAGCCTGAATCTCTCCTGCAAGGTGAACACCAGCACGCTGGGTACAGGCATCGAGCTGCAGTTCTCACCAGGTCAGATCCAGGTGGACGTGAACGCAGTCTTTAGCAGAGACCCAGAGAAAGTAGGTCTGTATGGAGAGACATTGGTGAGAGTCATTTACTCCATAGATGGACAAAACTCCAGCGCACCCAAGTCCATGCCATCTTGTTCTCTCCGCCTGAGGAACCCTTACACTGAGTTATCAGGTTCATTTTAGCTTCACAAAATGAGGTGGAGGCTGGGTGCAGTGGCTCACGCCTGTAATCCCAGCACTTTGGGAGGCTGAGGCAGGTGGATCACTTGAGGTCAAGAGCTTGAGACCAGCCTGGCCAACATGGTAAAACCCCATCTCTATTAAACCCCATCTGTACTAAAAACGCACAAAAAATTATCTGGGCATGGTGGCATGCACCTGTAATCCCAGCTACTTGGGAGGCTGAGGCAGGAGAATCGCTTGAACCCAGGAGGCAGAGGTTGCAGCCGAGATCGTGCCACTGCACTCCAGCCTGGGCGATAGAGTGAGACTCCATCTCGAAAAAAAAAAAAGGAAAAGAAAAGAAAAAAGAAAAAAAAATTAGGTGGGGAGCACTGTCTTTTTCTATTCTGACACAGTTTGTATAAAATAGTGGTTCTCCATTCTTTAAAGGTTTGCAAAACGTCACATGTAAAACCCTGCTCGTGGTGGGGTTTACTTTGTGTGGAGATGGGGGTCAAGTAGATTTTTGACTATCTAGTTTTTTTTTTTTTCTGGGAGCAAGGCCAGCCTCAGGTTAGGTCTTGCTCAGGGTGGAAGGAGTCTCTGTGGACTTCTCACCTTCATTTGACAACATCCCCTGCTCATCCTCTTCCTCTGTCACCGTACCAGGCCTTGCTACCATCTGGCTGCCTGTGAATCCCTGCTATGGCATTTGGTGATGTGGGGATATCTATATTTTCATTTTACCTGAGTATTCTTCAAACCCATAAAATACGAAAGACTAAAACTACATAAATGCCACAGCCACATGTGTGCTGAACTGTGAAAACCTGGGCAGCAGGAGTGATGTTTCTGGGGAGGGCATCATCCATGGTGCCATTTTGGTCATGATAGAGGGCTGGGGGCTGTTCTGATCCCATCTAAGCCCAGTCCTGTCTCAGCTCAATCAGAAGATCTTTCAAAGTATTGTTTATGCAACAACAACTACAAAGTGAATGTTTGAGAAATCCCAGTTACAGGCTACCCTACTTTCCAAACAAATACAGCACAGAGGGACCAAGCTGGCAGGAGCCTGGGCTGACACAGAAGCCCCCTACGGGCACCCAAGAAGGGCAGGCCAGGTTCTAGGAGACAGGGCTGGCTGGCACAACTCACACCTCCTAGGTGTTAACTACTGGCACTGCTTAGGTTGAAATAACATTGCAGAGCTCCAAGTGGGAGCTCACGTTGGGATGTTACTTCATTATGAGGCGTTTCCACATTGATGGACTCCTGTGATGCTCTCTACAGCCCTGTCCCTGGTTTACTTAATAGCTCAGGATACGAGGCGGATGGAGCTCAGGTCTCCGACCCCTTGTTGGGTCCTTCCCAATGGCCAAGTGTTAGCTCCTTTCTTCCACACAGCGACACTCCTCCACCCACCTGGATGATGACAAACACAGCCTGGATGAGGGGGTGCAGGATCTTGATGGCTGACTGGCACTCAAAGAAACTGGAGTAGTAGCCGGTCTTGAAGACATCCATGATGAGGGTGCAGATTCCAAACAGCACCAGCCCACCTGGAAACCAGGGGTGGGTGGGTGGTGGTGGTGGATCAAAGAGGCAGGAGAGAAGGCCTGCCGAGCTGAGGACAGGCCCTGAGGATGGGAGGCTAGATGGGTGGGTGGATGGGTGAGTGAGTGCACTGTTGGATGGATCAATGGGGAGGGTGGGAGGACAGGTGGATAGGTGGATAGACAGACTGAAAGGTGAATGGGTGGATGGAAGGGTGAGTGTATGACTGAGTGGGTGGATGGATGGACCTGCTACCAAGCCCCCCTCTCTTTGGGGCTGTGTGGATACCGCAAAGGGCCCTGGCTGAGCTCTTTCAGTGGCTGCCATCTTCTGGTTCCTGCTCTCCATCAAAGGCCCTCCCTCAGCCAGCCTTCTCTAATCTTCAGACCGGGGGCAAAGAGGTCCCCTTCCATCCCTCTATTCATCCCTCCCCCAGGACCCCTTACCTTCCTCTTTTTCCCTAACTGCAGCCCACTTCACCCTCCGGTCCTCCTGGTCCTCCCTAGGGAGCCTCTCGCCCTCGTATGTCAATCTGCACTCTGCAACTCCTGCGAGAGCCCTAGCCTGCAGCTCCCTGTTGTGCCCACCCTACCTCGCCCCCACCTCCCCTGGCACCTCGGAGCCAGATGGGGCCAGCGTGCGCGTCCCGGTAGGGTACCGCGCAGGGGCAGCGCACGGTTCGGAGGAGGTAGAAGAGGATCCAGAGCGTTGCCAGCAGCATCATCGCAGTGAGCAGCGCGAACACGTCGGTGTCGTACACGGCCACCTTGTTGAAGGCTCCGCCGCTGATGAGCGTGCAGGCGAGGAGCAGCACGTTCACCGCCAGCAGCACCGACAGCAGGCGGCCACCCTTCTTCCACACCTCCCTGGGGCCCGCACGCGGCGCCGGGGGGCTCTCCTTGGGGCCCTGGGCCAGCTCCTCGGACATGGCGGAGGCGACTGGAGAAGGCTAGAGGGATCACTGTAGGGGAGGAGCGGACAAAACTCCAGGTCAACCCTGACGGCTCTCCTTCCCCCATCTCATCCCTAGACTTGGGGACTAGGGAGTTCCTGACCCGCAGGGTTGGGGCTTCGGGTGCTGGAGGAAGCGCTGGGAAAGGGGAAGAGAAAATGCGGAACCTGCCCCTCTCGCTGGATGGGAAGAAAGGAGAAGCGGCAGCACCCGGTTGGACCCCTCCAAGGTCCCCACTCCCCAAGTCCGACTGCCCTCCGGCCCGGGGCACCCACCTGGCTGGGCTTGGAGCCGGCGCTGAGCTGGGGGTCAGGGGACGGCGAGCGTCTCCTCTCTCCCACGCCGAGATGGACAGGCGCTTTATACCCAGGAGGACAGGGTGATTTACAGCTGCGGGAGTTTGGCTCCATAAAGCTCTCAGTCCCGCTCACATGATCCATCTTTCTCCAAGGTGAATTTAGGGAAGAGCCCGCTGGAGCCAGATAAGGCAAGATTCATATTTACCCTTTGAGAGGCGACCCCACTCCGTCACCCCGGTGCGGCCAGGCTCGGGCGCGGCCCCGCACTGCGGCACCTAGAGGGCACCCCGCCCCTGGTGCCCACCGCGCCCTGGCGCGCAGCATTCCAGGCGCCCAGAGCCCCGAGAGCTAAGCTCAAGAGACGTCCAAAAAGCCTGCGGGCACCCTGACGCCCTCCAGCCGCGGCGCACCCTGAATCCTGTGCTCCTGTGCTCCTGCCTGGGATGGCAACCCCAGTTCCCCTCTCCCCCACGGTCCTCGCAGTGATCCAAGCTCCCCTTTCCTCTATCCCACCGCCCTGCCCGCCCCCGCCGCCGGCCCGCGCTCCGTTGGACTCCGGGGCTTGGGTGCGAAGTTCCACGCGGCACGCGGAGCCGCTGCCAGTCCTCCAGCGCCCCCTGCTGGAGTGCGGTCGAGGGACTCCGTTCAGGCGGCGGCGGCCTGGCCCGTCCCACTCGCTGACCGAACCGCGGTCGGTCACGGTGCCCCTTCTTAGGTCCACTGTCCTGGGGCTCAGGACGGCTCCCCCACCCCGCCCTCCGGCACCCCTCCCCAGCTCTCGGTTCGTTCCACTGACAGGTGGAGAAATACGGAGCCACAGCGCCCCAGGCTCTAGTGAGGACAGATCTCTGACTGTCCCCGGACTGGGCGTCACAGTGCGCGGCCCCGGGGTGGGCACTTTTGAAGAGGAGGACAGGGCCTTGCGTGGGTCACCCTCGTGTATTGAGGTGCATGCAGGGTGTTTAGGACCCAGGGGAAGACCGGGGGCGGCTCCCTGGACAGCGGGAGATTTCGTCCCCCGCCCCCTCCGCCCCCGCCCCCGGGTGAGCGTTTCAGATGTCTTGGTAGTCGCGGCTCTGGCGCTCCGCACCCTCCGTCTGCGGCAGCGGGGGCTGGCGGCCCCGGCCCCTGCCCGGCCCCGTCCTCCAACCTCATGCCTCAGCCCTAATACCGCCGCCCTCCCCTGCGGGGGGCCTTTCTCCGTGTCCCCCGCCCGCCCCGTCCACTTCGGGCGCCATGAACGACCAGTACCACCGGGCAGCCCGGGATGGCTACCTGGAGCTCCTCAAGGAGGCCACCCGAAAGGAGCTGAATGCCCCCGACGAGGATGGCATGACCCCCACTCTCTGGGCTGCCTACCATGGCAACCTCGAGTCGCTGCGTCTCATTGTGAGCCGCGGGTGAGTACGCCCCACCCAGTGCCCTTGAGGCCCCTGAGACCACCCCAAACTTCCTCGTCCACCACTCCTCTGAGCTGCCTCCTTCCCCTGCAGACAGGCGGACCCTTAGACCCTGGCGTTTGTGGGAGAGACACATGTTGAGGGGACCCAAGCGGAGGCATCTGACACTTGTTAACACTTGTGACCTGGATCTGGGGCTAGGAGGGGAGAAACCGGGATTTGGGGGTTCCTGATTATGGGGGGTTGCTGCAGAGTGAGGGGAAGGTGGGAGAGATCCCCTGGCTGGGGTCCCCCTGGAAGCAAGAGTGAGGGGATAGTGAGACTCGGAGAGAAGGTTAGGAAGTCTCGAGGGGCCAGCAGTGGGGGCTAGAAAGGGAGGGGTCTCCACTGCCCACTCTCCAGCCTTGATCCAAAGGGCTCTGCCAGCCAGCACCCACGTTCTCCGGCAGGCTGGTGTCACACAGCGCTTGCCCTCAACCTGCTCATTTTGGGGATTTATGGACACTGTCCAGGGCGCCAAATGTCACTGATTCAGCCACTCCATTAACTCTCTCCAAGTCCCTCCCCCACAGCCGGGCACAGCTAAGCAATGGTGGAGGCTGTGATGTGGTCACCCTGAAGGGGCTTCTCTTCCCTCCCCCTCCCTTTGGAGTTGTCCTGGGTGGGGGGGTGGGCATACAGTGCAGGTGTCAGTGCCAGGGAAGGGGCCTGGAGGTGGCAGTTGAGCCACCTCCAGGACCAGAGCCACTGATATGGGTTCCTTGGGGCTAAAGTCAAATGACTGTGACCAACTCCCTCAGCCCCAGTGGCTTTATAAAGAGAAGTCAGGTTGGTCTGGGCATCAGGGCAGCCTGGACAGGACACCCCAGGAAGGTTGATATGAAGTCTCAGGTCATGGGAGAGAGGGCCAGGGGCTTAGCTGGCCCCGGTACCAGGTACTGGCCAGTGCCTGAACATGTAGTAGGTGCTGGAGACCCCTCCTTCTTGCCCTCTCCTTGGGCTGCTCCTTGGGCCCAGCATCAGGTGGGAGCAGCCTTGAAGCCTGGGCAGCTGAACCATGTCCCGTGAGGCCAAGGCTGGCTGGCCCTTCCCCACCCCAGGAGGGCACACAGTGACACTGTCCCTGCCATCCCTTCAGAGAGGCTCATGAGAGGAGGGGAAGAGGGCTCCCCTTGGGTACACCAAGCCCCAACTCCTCCAGAGACCAGGATTGGTGTTTGATGGGTTGTGGGTTGGGTGCTGGCAGGTCCTTCCCACACTGGCCTGCAGGACTTGGCGGCCAGGAGGGGAGGCCCAGGAAGGGGTGTGTGGGGAGCTGTTGAGACAAGGGAGTGATTCTTCCCCCAGCCCTGGGGGTTGGCCTTGTGGCCTCATTAGTGCAGGGCAGGGGTGCTGTGCTGGGCCCCCAAGGGAGGGAGAGCTCCGGAGGAGTCTTGGGAGCTTGCCCTGGGGGACACCCGTCTGGTGTGAAGGGTGCTTGTGGGGGCTGTCGGGGGTCCCTGGACAGGCTCAAGTGAGCCAGCCTTGCAGGGATACCAAAGAGGGGGCAACCTAGGGAAGGGAGGGCTTCGGAGCACGGGCAGCTGATTTCCCTCCTCCTCCCCTCCAGTCCTGGCTGCCCCCACACTCCCCTCCCCGCCCAGGCCAAGGCCCGACACCTCCTCTCACACTCGGGCTTGCCAGGGCTGGCCCTGCTCCCTGCAGACAGGGCCCTGCCTGCTGACATGCAAGCCCACACTTCACACACGCTCACCCGGGGCTGGGGCCCGGCACACACCACCCACTGGTCTGTTCTCTTTTACGGTCACTCGGCACACGCAGCCACACTCACCACCACGCCTGCCTAGAGACCCAGACGCGGCCCTGGCCCACCAGCGCTCTGGGCCAGCTCTGTGCTGGGCCCCATCAATAATTTACTCCCTTCTCTCAGGGCATCAAATATTCATCCCCTGAGATTCCCAGCCCTCAGTTAGCTTGGGGAAGGCCCCGCCCCAGTCCCGCCTTCTCTGTCACCCCACCCCCTGCATGCCTGAGGCCATTTTCCCCTGGGCTCACCCCTGGGCTCACCTGTTGGGTGGCTCAGGCCTGCAGGTCTCCTGGAGTGGGAGAGATCTCAGGCCCACGGTCCCTTTGGGGGTTGCTGTGACAGTGGGGAAGCTCCCCTCCCCCCTCCACTCCCTCCACCTCCATCCCCAGCCAGGACTCGTCACTCGTCCCTCCTGAATGCTTTCCCTGCAGGGGTGACCCGGACAAGTGTGACATCTGGGGCAACACACCCCTGCATCTGGCAGCTTCCAATGGCCACTTGCACTGCCTGTCCTTCCTGGTGTCCTTCGGAGCCAACATCTGGTGCCTAGACAACGACTACCACACGCCGCTGGACATGGCTGCCATGAAGGGCCACATGGAATGCGTGCGCTACCTGGACTCCATCGCGGCCAAGCAGAGCAGCCTCAACCCCAAGCTGGTGGGTAAGCTGAAGGACAAGGCCTTCCGCGAGGCGGAGCGGCGCATCCGCGAGTGCGCCAAGCTGCAGCGGAGGCACCACGAACGCATGGAGCGGCGATACCGGCGCGAGCTGGCCGAGCGTTCCGACACCCTCAGCTTCTCCAGCCTCACGTCCAGCACCCTGAGCCGCCGGCTGCAGCATCTGGCGCTGGGCAGCCACCTGCCGTACTCTCAGGCCACGCTGCACGGCACGGCCAGGGGCAAGACCAAGATGCAGAAGAAGCTGGAGCGGCGCAAGCAGGGCGGCGAAGGCACCTTCAAGGTCTCCGAGGATGGGCGCAAGAGCGCCCGCTCGCTCTCGGGCCTGCAGCTGGGCAGCGACGTGATGTTCGTGCGCCAGGGCACCTACGCCAATCCCAAGGAGTGGGGCCGAGCCCCGCTCCGGGACATGTTCCTCTCGGACGAGGACAGCGTCTCCCGTGCCACGCTGGCGGCCGAGCCTGCCCACTCGGAGGTCAGCACCGACTCAGGCCACGACTCCCTGTTTACCCGCCCCGGCCTGGGCACCATGGTGTTCCGCAGAAATTACTTGAGCAGTGGGCTGCACGGACTGGGCCGCGAGGATGGGGGTCTGGATGGGGTGGGAGCGCCGCGGGGTCGGCTGCAGAGCTCCCCCAGCCTGGACGATGACAGCCTGGGCAGTGCCAACAGCCTGCAGGACCGCAGCTGTGGGGAGGAGCTGCCCTGGGATGAGCTCGATTTAGGCTTGGACGAGGACCTGGAGCCCGAGACTAGCCCGCTGGAGACCTTCCTGGCCTCTCTGCACATGGAGGACTTTGCCGCCCTCCTGCGGCAGGAGAAGATCGACCTCGAGGCTTTGATGCTGTGCTCTGACCTCGACCTCCGCAGCATCAGCGTCCCACTGGGGCCCCGAAAGAAGATCTTGGGGGCCGTGAGGAGGCGGCGGCAGGCGATGGAGCGCCCGCCGGCCCTGGAGGACACAGAGCTGTGAGTGTCCAGCCTGGCGGGGGGGATGGAGGAGCAGGAGTTGGAAGGCCCCTGGGGAGGGGGTACAGATCTGCCTATTCAGGAGTAGGGGGTGGGGGATACTGTATTTCATAAAATCGAAATGAGGCCATCGATGATAAAAGGCACCCTTATTTTATTTACCACCAGCTCAGAAAAAGAAGTGGCCAATTTAATGATGACCCGAGGCATTCTTATCACAGTGAAAGTGCACCTCGATTCTGGGGACATCGACAAGTGGGGAAATGGGCCTCTTAATGTCAATGAATTTCAACAGTCACAGGAATCACAGCTGGGGTGTTTTTGAGCCCTCCCACCTCCTAGGTGCTGGGTTGTGCCCTTGAACAAGTCCTCTTGCTTAATCCCTCTAAAAGCCTGTGTGCGCTGGACTATATTGGTGGATTATATCGTTCCCATTTTACAGCCAATGAGCAAGTGGAGGCTCAGACAGTTAGAATAGCTCACCTCAAGGTCCTGCTGCTGCTCAGCATGGAGCTAGGCTTGATCCCTGGTCTGCATGGCTTTAGAGCCTGGGGTCAAGGTGGCTGCCATGGGATGCAGGGCGTGCAGTCAGCAGGGCCTCTCAATTGCCCAAGACCTCAGGCAGATTTTTTTTTTTTTTTTTTTGAGACAGTTTCCCTCTTGTCATCCAGGCTGGAGTGCAGTGGCACAATCACTGTAACCTCCACCTCCCGGGTTCAAGCGATTCTCCTGCCTCAGCCTCCTGAGTAGCTGGGATTACAGGAGTGCACCACCATGCCCAGCTAATTTCTGTATTTTTAGTAGAGATGGGGTTTTGCCATGTTGGCCAGGCTGGTCTCGAACTCCTGACCTCAAGTGATCTGCCCACTCTGGCCTCCCAAAGTGCTGGGATTACAGGCGTGAGCCACCGCGCCTGGCCTTAGGGAGATGTTTTACCTACTGTTCCTGAACTTTGCAATCAGGAACGTGGGCAAATGCTCCCAAGAGGGTCAGCAGCAGCCCTGGAGGCAGAGTTCATGTTCCAAAGGCCGTCATAGTTGCCCAAGGCTGCCACCACAATGGTCATGCTGTGGCCAGCCCCTGCCCTGGCCCCTCCCCAATGGCATCCCACAGGCCCAACAAACTTTGTCCTCATTTCCTCTTAGGTATCTATGGCCGTTATCCTGAATGGCTGGGGCAGGGATGGGTGTGGGGAGGCAGGCTGGTTCAGAGTTTTGGGGATGGGGAGGTCACCCATAGGCTGGCGTCCCCCATCCCTGACAATTGGCCTGCCGAGAGATGGGGAGGCTAAGTTGTCCAGATGGCTGCCCTGGGTGAAAATGATGCCTCTGGAGGGCCTCATGTGAGATCTGTTTCTTTCTGTCTCTTCCTCCACAGATAACCGGGGGCTCCTCTCCCCAGACCAAAATGAATTGCAAGTTGCCACAACCTATGGTGGGGTCTCGAGGTCCTCACAGTTGCCAGCCCTGCAGCCCCCTTCCCCAGGAGCAAGGACCAGTTGGGGCGACTCCTTTGAAAGTCTGTCTGCACCTTGAAGCTGAGGGTGTGGCCTGGAGGCACCAGAGGGGCAAGAGAATGTTCCGGAACTCCAGTTCTGAGGGGTCTTGAAGGCCCTGAGCCACCCATTCTGAGCAGCCGTAAAGGACATGTAGACTTGGGGGAGGCCTGCCCCAGAGGGAGGGCAGGGGCATCGGAACTGGATGAGAGTGTGGGAGGTGGATGCGGGAGGGTGCACCTGTCCCGGGCGCCGTGGCCTCTCCCACCCCTCCCCTGATGGTCTTGTTCTCTTGTGCTCAGGCCAGAGACTTGCTCACTTCCTGCATTGTTGTGAAGGGAAGAGTTTGGGCTGCCTCCCCTCCTCCCGTCCACCCCAGAGGGGAAGTTCCTCAGCCAGACTCTTCAGCCAAATGCCCCAACTTTCAGTCTGTACCCCATCCCAAGCATAGCCAGCTCCCCCTCCTTCACCTAGTGGTCAAGGCCCGGAGCTGGAAAGCCGGGTTGGGGTGGGGTGGGGGTACTGACGCCCTTCCCAGCTCATCCAGGGGTGGAGCCTGGCCTGTCTTCCTCCAACCTCCCCCTTTTTCGTTGTGCAGCCTGGCCCCCCAGGGACCCCAGAGGGCCAGGGCGCTAGATGCAAGGTGCTAGACCAATGGGCTGCAGTATTATAGCCCCCAGGCCTGGCAGGCATGCGCTGGGCTAGAGAAAGGTGTCCGCCAACCTCCTCAGTCTCCCAGGCCTGGGACAGGCAGAACAGGGTGTGGCTGGGTGTCAGGCCTGGGGTGGGTAAGTCCTGCGATGTGGACACTGGAGAAAGTGGATCCTCTAAACTGCAGATTGTCCCCAGGTCACCAGGGCTGTGTGCGTGTGCATGTTTGTGTGCATGTATGCGTGTGTGCATGCATGTGTGTGTAAGTATGTGGTATGTGTGAGCACGGGTGTGTGCTTGGGTGTGTGTGTTCTTGCATACATGTGTGCGTGTGTGTGCACGTGAACGCGTGCGTGTTTGTGTGTGTGCATGCATGTGTGTGCATGTGTGTGTGTGCATGCATGTGTGTGTGTGTGCATGTGTGCGTGTGTGCACACTCACGTTGGGTGGTGTTTGGTAGGTTTCCCTCCAGGTCTGGTAGGGACTGGGCTGTTGCGTGATTCTGCGTGGATCGGGGGTAAGAGAGCTCACCTGTGTCCCAGCCCTCTGATGGTGGTGAGACCAGGGGAAAGGCCAGCTCAGAGGGTGGTCACAGCATGTGTCCTCTGACGTATGCCCCCAAAGCTCTCCAGCCAGACTGAGGTCACAGATGTGGGAGAGTCCCTGATGAGCCCGCTGACACGTGTGCGCCCCTTTGCACCCCATGCAGAGGTGCTCTCCTCCTTTCTCAGCCATGGCCCCCCATCCCTGACCTCAGCTTGGGAAGCAGCTCCTGCTGGGAGCATGGCCTCAGCCCCCAGCATCTCCTGGGGCCCCCATGGCTGGGGCAGGGGAAAGAGAGCCCTCAAAGGCCTCTTTCTGGTCTGTCTGGGGGTTCCCATTCCCACACATGTGCCCAGAGTAGGGGGCATGGAGGAGATGGTCCCTGTCCTACTGCAGGACACTGAGGGCTTGGCTGCCTGCCACCGCCATCTGGAGCCCACCACAGCTCTTCTCCCTGTTCTCTGGGCCTGAGCCTGGGGCCACCCCCAAGTGCCGACTTGTTTCTCCCAGAGCCCCAGGTGCTGCCCCTTCTCTCCTGTTCCTCGTCCGTTTACTGCCGCAGCCCCTCCTGGTTCTTCTGGTGCTGGGGTGGAGCAGGCTCTGTGCTCCCACCACTGTACCCCGAATCCCTCCTGCAGGCTCATTGCCACTTTTGTAGAGAATGTTCTCTATCAGTATCGTACCTGTCTTGTCCTTTAATGCTTTGGGGATAGAGTGAAGAGTGGAAGGGTGGGGGTGGGGGCGGGAGGGGGTCTGCTCTGCGCTTGTGAGGACTGGGTCCTATTCTCTGGAGTGTCTTCGAGACCCCATGCTGTGCATCTTTGCAGGGATCCCTAGGCCTTTACCTGCTCTCCTAGCTCAGCCCAGAATTAGGAGCTGGTGGAGAGGCAGGGCTGAGAACTAGGGCAGGAGAGTCCCCCTGAGCAAGGAGGATGGCTGAGCCTCCAGGCTTGTTGCCAGGGCCTGCAGCTACGGAGGGCAGGAGGATGCATGTTCTCTCTTCCCACCAGTGCCTACCTGGGTTTTTCCAGAGATGGGCAGAAACATACTCCAGGAGGCTGCTGCCTGTCACCTGGGCTCTGGGCCTCTGGAGGGGTCTCCATGAGGGCCCTCCAGAGGCCCAGAGGGGTCTCCATGTCCCTCATCACCGCAGGCAGCTCGTGGGCAGCCTGATTTGAAGCCCTGCTTTCTCCCAGGGGTGAGTCTCCTCCATAAGCTGGTGCCTAGTGGGCTCTGTTTTCTCAGTCAGGTCTGAGGAAGGGCCCTGGAGTCATCTTGCTCCATTGCCTAAGCTGCTGGGCCAGTTTCTTCTGCCAAAGGGAGTTCAAGACAGTTCCCTTCCCTCAGCATCAATCAGAAAGGTCCCCAGGATGTTGGTGCAGGAAGGTTGCCTAGCAACCATCCAGGGGTTCCAAGCCACCTCCCTCCACTTTACAGATGGAAAAACTGAGGCCCACAGAGGGGAAGAGTCAGACCCAGAACGCGGGTCTCTGGCTGCTGCCATGCTCTCCTCACACTCAGGCTGCCAAGGGCGCTAACACAACAGGATTCCACCAGCCATGCCCTGGGGGCGCACCTCCCTGCGGCTTCTTTGGCCATCCTGGTCACTGCACCCACCTCAGGAAAGACTCACTGGTCCTTGCCGCGATGGTCCAGAAGAGGACACGGGTGAGGAATGACAAGACAGAGAGCCGAGGGGCACTTTGGCATCCCAGCAGAGATGAACCAGAGGCAGCAGGATGAGGGGCTCCATGGGTCAGTGTGGCTCCAGGGCAGAAGCCTGGGGTGCCAGGAGCAGGAGCTGCTCCAGGGAGCCTGTGGGGATGTTCAACACAAGCAAAGAGGAGAAAATATTACATGGTAGGGGCTCAACTTTCATGACTCATTTCCCTAAAGATTTAGATCAAGAATAGGGACATTTACGAGGTCAGGAGATCGAAACCATCCTGGCTAACATGGTGAAACTCTGTCTCTACTAAAAATACAAAAAATTAGCCTGACGTGGTGGTGGGCGCCTGTAGTCCCAGCTACTTGGGAGGCTGAGGCAGGAGAATGGTGTGAACCCGGGAGGCAGAGCTTGCAGTGAGCCGAGATTGCGCCACTGCACTCCAGCCTGGGCGACAGAGCGAGACTCCGTCTCAAAAAAAAAAAAAAAAAAAAAAAGGGACGTTTTAGCACTTTGGGAGGTAGAGGTGAGTGGATTGTTTGAACCCAGAAGTTCCAGACCAGCCTGGGCAACGTGGCAAGACCCTATCTCTACAAAACATTTAAAAATTAACCTGGTTGGTGGTGTGCACTTGTGGTCCCAGTGTATGCGAAATTGGTGGGTTCTTGGTCTCACTGACTTAAAGAACGAAGCTGCAGACCCTCACGGTAAGTGTTACAATTCTTAAAGGCAGCATGTCCGGAGTTTGTTCCTTCTGATGTTCGGATGTGTTTGGAGTTTCTTCCTTCTGGTGGGTTCGTGGTCTCGCTGGCTTCAGGAGTGAAGCTGCAGACCTTCGCGGTGAGTGTTACAGCTCTTAAGGTGGTGCATCTGGAGTTGTTTTTTCCTCCCGTCCAGAGTCGTTCATTCCTCCCGGTGGGTTCATGGTCTCGCTGGCCTCAGGAGTGAAGCTGCAGACCTTCGCAGTGAGTGTTACAGCTCATAAAGGCGGTGCAGACCCAAAGAGTGAGAAGCAGCAAGATTTATTGCAAATAGTGAAAGAACAAAGCTTCCACAGTGTGGAAGGGGACCCCAGCGGGTTACCAGTGCTGCTTGGACAGCCTGCTTTTATTCCTTTATCTGGCCCCACCCACATCCTGCTGATTGGTCCATTTCACAGAGAGCTGATTGGGCTGTTTTACAGAGGGCTGATTGGTCTGTTTTGACAGGGTGCTGATTGGTGTGTTTACAATCCCTGAGCTAGACACAGAAGTTCTCCAACTCCCCACTAGATTAGCTAGACGAAAAGCACTGATTGGTGTATTTACAAACCTTGAGCTAGACACAGAGTGCTGGTTGGTGTATTTACAATCCCTTAGCTAGACATAAAGCTTCTCCAAGTCCCCTCCAGATTAGCCAGATACAGAGTGCTGATTGGTGCATTCACAAACCTTGAGTTAGACACAGAGTGCTGATTGGTGCATTTACAAACCTTGAGCTAGACACAGAGTGCTGATTGGTGTATCTACAATCCCTTAGCTAGACGTAAAGTTTCTCCAAGTCCGCACACATTTATTCTTTTTCCCCTTTCCCAGTTCTAAGGCTCAGGTAAGTGCCACTAGTTCTGCTAACTGGGCCCTGGTCCCTGGGGGAAGAGGCTTACTTTCAAGTATGGTTACCTCACTATGGCGTAACCTGCCCTTCATATCCCATTCTCCACAAATGAACTTCCATTGGTATATAGGTTAAGGTCAGGATTAGCTAAGGGGACTTCTAAGGGATCATCTCGGGTGGCATAAGTCTGGACCATAAAAGTCATGCTCGATTGGTTCCCCATCCTCTGGGAGAAAAGTGGCAGGGTTGAGGGCCACGCATGTGCATATTTGAAGCACCAGTCCCTCAAGGAGTAGCTCCTGGTATCTAAGTAGGCAGTTGTCTGATAGCCATAAACTTCCTTTGGCACATAGTATGCCATTTACATCATGAGTAGTCCATACAGTGAGATCTTTTCCTTGTATTATTTTGATGGCCTCTGACACTAAGATGGCCACTGCTGCAACTACCGTTAAACAGTGAGGCCAGCCTTTTGCTACTACATCAATTTCCTTACTTAGGTATGCCACTGGTTGTGGGGTTGTCCCACGAGTCTGAGTAAGGACTCCAAGAGCTATCCCTGCTCTGTGACGTATAAAGAGAAATTTTGTCCTGTTGGAAGGCTTAAAGCTGGAGCTTGTGCTAGGGCCTGCTTTAAGGTTTTGAAGGATGTTTCTGCCTCTGGTTCCCATTCTACTAGATGAGTATTTGCCTTCTGGGTTTCCTTGATTAGAGTATAGAGGGACCTGGCTATCTTGCTGTATCTGGGGATCCATAGTCAGCAAAAGCCGGTAATTCCAAGGAACTCCCTTAATTGTTTTAATGTCTTAGGGTGAAGATAAGCCAGTATAGGCTGTATTGGTTCCTTGCTGAGGGCCCTGGTGCCTCTGGCTAAGATTAGGCCTAGATATTTGACCTGCTGTAGGCAAGGCTGGGCCTTCGACCTAGACACCTTGTACCCTTGATTAGCTAGAAAGTTCAAGAGATCTAGAGTAGCCTGCTGGCATGAGGCTTCCGAACTGGTAGCCAAAAGTAAATCATCCACATATTGAAGGACCAGAGTGCCTGGACTTGAGAGATGGCCTAGATCTTGGGCCAGTGCCTGACCAAGCAGATGAGGGCTATCCCTAAACCCATGGGGCAATACCGTCCATGTAAGTTGGGATGTGTGGTCTGTGGGATCCTCAAAGGCAAAGAGAAACTGGGAGTCAGAGTGCAGGGGAATACAGAAGAAGGCATCCTTGAGGTCCAGAACCATGAACCATTCTGCTTCCTCTGGTATTTGAGAGAGCAGGGTATAGGGGTTGGGTACAACTGGATATAGAGGAATTACTGCCTCATTGATGGGTCTAAGATCTTGCACTAGTCTCCACTGACCTTTCAGTTTTTGTACTCCTAGAATTGGGGTGTTGCAGGGACTGCTGCATTTCCTTACTAAGCCTTGAGCCTTTAAACGTTTAACAATATTCTGTAATCCTTTATGGGCTTCAGGCCTTAAGGGATATTGTCTTTGATAAGGAAAAGTGGTGGGATCTTTTAACCTGATTTGGACTGGGCAGGCATTTTTTTGCCCTTCCAAGTTGTCCTTCCAGTGCCCAGACTTCAGGGTTGATTCCCTCCTCAAGTAGGGGACAACAAATGGGTAACTTGTTCCCCATATTCATGTAGATAATAGCTCCAGCCTTGGACAATATATCCCTCCCTAATAAGGGTGTGGGACTTTCAGGCATAACAAGAAAGGCATGTGAAAAGAGCAAAGTCTCCCAATTACGACTGAGGAGGTGGGAGAACTACCTGGTTACAGGCTGTCCCAGGATTCCTCAGATGGTAATGGACCTTGAGGACAGTCATCCAGGACAGGAGATTAACGATTAACACTGAGAAGGCCACGCCAGTGTCCAGGAGGAAGTCAATTTCCTGGCCCTCAATGGTTAAACGTACCCGGGGCTCAGTGAGGGTGATGACATGAGCTGGTGCTTGCCCCGGGCACCCTCAGTCCTGCTGTTAGATCATCTGGTTGGGGGCTTCTGACCCAGATAACCTTCATCCTCTGGGGCAGTGCACCTTCCAGTGATTGCCTCGGCATAGTGGACATGGACGAGGGGGCAGCTTGTTTCTCATTGGACAATCTTTTTTAAAGTGTCCTAGTAAACCACACTGATAAAAAGCCCTACCGGGTTATTGGCCTGCTCCATTTTCTGTCCTCTCTGAGCCACCAAGGTTTGTTTGTCTGAGGGCCATGACTAAGGCTGCGGCCTTTCTCTGATCTTGCTTTTCCTTTCGGGCCTGTTCCTCTTGGTCCCTATTATAGAACACTGAGGTTGCCAGGTTTAATACTGCCTCCAAATTTTGTTCAGGGCCCAGGGCTTGCTTTTGGAGCTTTCTCCTGATATCTGCAGCTGATTGGGTAATAAACTTATCTTTTTGAATCAGTTGACCCTCGAGTGATTAGAGTGACAGGGGAGAATATTTTCTTAAGGCCTCCCGTAGCTGCTTGAGGAAGGCAGAAGGATTTTATTCCTTTCCCTGAGTTACGGTGGACATCATTGAATAATTCATGGGCTTTTTTCCTAATTCTTCTTAGTCCTTCTAGAGCACAGGTCAACAGATGTTTATGACTCCAGTCCCCATGATCTGAGTCAAGGTCCCAGTGGGGATCCATACTGGGGATGGCTTGCTGACCAGTAGGGAATTTGTCCCTTTCTTCGGCTGTCATTCTATCATTTACTTGACTAAGATACCAAGTATCTCCAAACTCTTGGGCTGCAGCTAAAGCCACATTCTTTTCATTAAAGGCCAGGGTTTGATCTAACAGCAGCATGACATCTCTCCAAGCGAGGTCGAAGGTTTGCCCTAGACATTGTAGGACATATATGTACCTATCAGGATCATCTGAAACTTCCCCAGGTCTGCCTTGATCTGCTTTAAGTCAGAGAGGGAGAAAGGGACATGTACCCAGGTTGGGCCAAATTCCCCTCCCCCTACAGCTTGAAGGGGACATAACTGATAGCCCAGGGGTTTTTGTGGTCCTTTGGAGATTTCTTTGCTTATTTCCTTCTGGGCAGGGGAGATTAGCGGAGGATTATCATTCATAGGAAGGGGAGCTATAGGGAGGCTAGGATATGGGGGTAAGCTGAGAGGTCCTCCTGTGGGATGTAAATTGCAAGCTTTGCATAGTTGTGTATTCTCCCTCAATGAAAAGAAAGCTTGGACATAAGGTATTCCACTCCATTTGCCTTCCCTCTTACAGAAAAGGTCAAGCTGCAGGATAGTATCGTAATTCGTACTTCCCTTAGGTGGCCATTTTTCCCCATCAGGGAGAGGCTATTGGGGCCAAGCCGTAGTGCAGAAAAAAATAAGCCGCCTCTTTTTCAGGGTTTGTGGGTCAAATTGGTCCCAATGGCTTAGGATGCATTTCAAGGGTGAGCCTGTTGATGCCTGAGTGTTTCCCATCTGAAAGACAAAACCGCCCGTGGTTTTGGTTTTTGTTTCTCCCCCTGCCCAAGAACCTGCAACGGTCCCTGAACCCTGCTGATCAGAATAGTTGTGCTCACTGACGCGGCAGCAGAAACACTAGCTTTCCTCCCAGACCACATGGAGGACCGAGGAAGGTTGGATTTAGTGGCCCTTACCTATGCATTCTCGAAAACCTGCACCCTTCCCTGTCCTCCTAGACCACAAGGAGGACTGAGAAAAATAGGATTTAGTGGCCCTTACTGACGCATTCTCAAAAACATGTTAGAGTCCCAAGCATTCTCCTGTTAGTATTGGGACCTTACCCATGTCCTATAAAGATGTTATGCCCCAAAAATGAAGTGGAGGGCCATACCCTGAGGGAGGGAAGGGATCTCCAGGGTTGGAAGAGTGACACCTTTTGCCCTCACTTATATGAACAGGAAGGATACAATTTCTGAGGCTCCCCATATCCTAGCTTCAGGAATAGATTTTGTTAGGCCTGTTTGTCTGAGAAGGGATCCTAAATTTCCAGGTAGTCCCACTATGATGGGGCTTTGGGCAAAAATTATGTCTTTCTGATTGGTGAGCCTGGGTGCCTAAAGAAGGTAACAGAGTTTATACTAGAAGTCATTCTTATAGGAGAAACTAGAAAAGCACCAGAGACAGGTAGTGATTTTTAGAAGCAGGACTAACCTTGGAGAAGATAGGTGAGAGGAAGTTTGTCTGGCAAGCATTAGGACCCAGGGGACAAGGGTCAGGATAGATAGGATAGATGGGCGAGTCTTGCTTGGGCAACATGCCTTTGAGAGTTCTGCTCATGGCCACAGGGTCAACCAACTTGTTGTTGGGACCCCAGAGCTGCATGGCTTTCCTCTCTGTCAACGCTTGGCTCAGCCCAGAAGTACAGGAAAAGTGGAAGCTGGTTCTAGGCAAACCAACGCTCCCAACTCCGAAGAGTAGGGGATTGTTAGAGAGCCCTTTCCCAGAAAGCCTGACATCCGTGTCTTTAGTCCGGTGGCCATGCTAGTGGATTTTAACTGGCCGACAGGTGCCCGGTATTTAGCTCCCAAATTCTAAGGAAAAATAGGACAGAATAGCAAGTGAAAGGGGTCCGATGGTACTCACTGCTTGGCGATAGGTGATAGTCCCTTCACTCAGTGATACACAATGGTCTCACCGCTTGGTGATAGGTGATAGTCCCTTCAAGGTTGCCAAAATGTGTCAGGAATTGGTGGGTTCTTGGTCTCACTGACTTCAAGAATGAAGCCGTGGACCCTCGCGGTGAGTGTTACAGTTCTTAAAGGCAGCATGTCTGGAGGAGAGAGGAGAACAGCAGCATAAGCAGCTGGCAGAGGCAGCAGAAAGGAAAGAGAGAAAGAGACAGGAAGTCAGAGAAAGAGAGAGGAAGAAACAGAGACAAAAAGAAGGAAAGAGAGGAAGAGACAAAGGGGGAGTCAGAGAGAAAGAGAGAAAGAGAGAGACAAAGAAGAAGTCGAAGAGAGAAAGAGAGAGATAGAAATAGTAAAGAAAAAACAGTGTACCCTATTCCTTTAAAAGCCAGGTAAAGTTCTGCCTACCCAGCCAAGGCATATTCTTCTTATGTGGAACATCGACCTATATCTGCCTCCCCACTAACTGGACCGGCACTGGCACCTTAGTCTTTCTAAGTCCCAACATTAACATTGCCCCAGGAAATCAGACTTTTATCAGTACCCCTCAAAGCTCAAGTCCGTCAGTGCAGAGCCATACAACTAATACCCCTAATTATAGGGTTAGGAATGGCTACTGCTACAGGAACTGGAATAGCTGGTTTATCTACTTCATTATCCTACTACCACACACTCTCAAAGGATTTCTCAGACAGTTTGCAAGAAATAACGAAATCTATTCTTACTCTACAATTCCAAATAGACTCTTTGGCAGCAGTGACTCTCCAAAACCACCGAGGCCTAGACCTCCTCACTGCTGAGAAAGGAGGACTCTGCACCTTCTTAGGGGAAGAGTGTTGGTTTTACACTAACCAGTCAGGGATAGTAAGAGATGCCACCTGGCGTTTACAGGAAAAGGCTTCTGAAATCAGGCAATGCCTTTCAAATTCTTATACCAACCTCTGGAGTTGGGCAACATGGCTTCTCTCCTTGTAGGTCCCATGGCAGCCATCTTGCTGTTACTTGCCTTTGGGCCCTGTATTTTTAACCTTCTTGTCAAATTTGTTTCCTCTAGAATCGAGGCCATCAAGCTACAGATGGTCTTACAAATGGAACCCCAAATGAGTTCAACTAACAACTTCTACTGAGGACCCCTGGACTGACCCGCTGGCACTTTTACTGGCCTAGAGAGCACCCCTCTGGAGGACACTGCAGCTGCAGGGCCCCTTCATCACCCCTATCCAGCAGGAAGTAGCTAGAACGGTCATTGGCCAAATTCCCAACAGCAGTTGGGGTGTCCTGTTTACAGGGGGGATTGAGAGGTGACAGCGTGCTGGCAGCCCTTGCAGCCCTCGCTTGCTCTAGGTGCCTTCTCGGCCTTGGCGCCCACTCTGGCCACACTTGAGGAGCCCTTCAGCCCACCGCTGCACTGTGGGAGCCCCTTTCTGGGCTGGCCGAGGCCGGAGCTGGCTCCCTCAGCTTGCAGGGAGGTCTGGAGGGAGAGGTGCGGGCGGGAACTGGGGCTGCACACGGCGCTTGTGGGCCAGCGCGAGTTCCAGGTGGGCGTGGGCTTGGCGGGCCCCGCACTCGGAGCGGTCACCAGCGCCGCCGGGCCCCCGGCAGTGAGGGGCTTAACACCTGGGCCAGCAGCTGCGGAGGGTGTGCCGAGTCCCCCAGCAGTGCCGGCCCACCAGCGCTGCACTCAAATTCTCGCCGGGCCTCAGCTGCCTCCCTGAGGGGCAGGGCCCGGGACCTGCAGCCTGCCATGCCTGAGCCTCCCCTCTGCCGTGGGCTCCTGTGCGGCCCGAGCCTCCCCGACGAGCGCTGTCGCCTGCTCCATGGCGCCCGGTCCCATCGACCGCCCAAGGGCTGAGGAGTGCAGGCGCATTGCGCAGGACTGGCAGGCAGCTCCACCTGCGGCCCCGGTGCAGGATCCACTAGGTGAAGCCAGCTGGGCTCCTGAGTCTAGTGGGGACTTGGAGAAACTTTATGTCTAGCTAAGGGATTGTAGATGCACCAATCAGCACTCTGTGTCTAGCTAGAGGTTTGTAAATGCAAACATAAACTAACTCAAAGTTTGTGAATGCACCAATCAGAACTCTGTATCTGGCTAATCTGGTGGGGACTTGGAGAACCTTTATGTCTAGCTAAGGGATTGTGGATACACCAATCAGCACTCTGTGTCTAGCTCAAGGTTTGTAAACACACCAATCGGCACTCTGTATCTGGCTAATCTAGTGGGGACTTGGAGAATCTTTATGTCTAGCTAAGGGATTGTAAATATACCAATCAGCACTCTGTGTCTAGCTCAAGGTTTGTAAATACACCAATCAGCACCCTGTGTCTAGCTCGAGGTTTGTAAATGCACCAATCAGTGCTCTGTGTCTAGCTAATCTAGTGGGGACTTGGAGAACTTTTGTGTCTAGCTCAGGGATTGTAAATGCACCCATCAGCACCCTGTCAAAACGGACCAATCAGCTCTCTGTAAAACAGACCAATCAGCTTTCTGTAAAATGGAACAAGCAGCAGGATGTGGGTGGGGCCAGATAAAGGAATAAAAGCAGGCTGCCAAGCCAGCAGTGTCAACCCATTCGGGTCCCCTTCCACACTGTGGAAGCTTTCTTCTTTTGCCCTTTGCAATAAATCTTGCTGCTTCTCACTCTTTGGGTCCGCACTGCCTTTATGAGCTGTAACACTCACCGCAAAGGTCTGTAGCTTCTCTCCTGAGGCCAGTGAGACCATGAACCCACCGGGAGGAATGAACAATTCCGGACATGCCACCTTAAGAGCTGTAACACTCACTGCGAAGGTCTGCAGCTTCACTCCTGAAGCCAATGAGACCACAAACCCACCAGAAAGAAGAAACTCCAAACACATCCGAGCATCAGAAGGAACAAACTCTGGACACGCCGCCTTTAAGAACTGTAACGCTCACCGTGAGGGTCCGCGGCTTCATTCTTGAAGTCAGTGAGACCAAGAACCCACCAATTCCGAAGACACCAGCTACTCAAGAGGCTGAGGTGGGAGGATTGCTTGAGCTGGGGATGTCAAGGCTGCAGTGAGCTATGATCACACCATTGCACTCCAATCTGGGTGACAGAGTGAGACCATGTCTCAAAAAAAAAAAAAAAAAAAAAAAAGTCCAGGCGTGGTGGCTTATGCCTGTAATCCTAACACTTTGGGAGGCCAAGGCAGGTGGATCACTTGAGGTCAGGAGTTCAAGACCAGCCTGACCAACATGGTGAAACTCCGTCTCTACTAAAAATACAAAAATTAGCCAGGTGTGGTGGCAGGCGCCTGTAATGCCAGCTACTTGGAAGGCTGAGGAACGAGAATCGCATAAACCTGGGAGGCGGAGGCTGCAGTGAGCCGAGATCGCGCCACTGCACTCCGGCATGGATGATAGAGCAAGACTCAGTCTCAAAAACAAAAAATAAGTAAAATAAAATAAAATAAAAAGATGAGAGAAACTTTGAAAGTTTAGAATAATTAATGGTTCTCAGCCTTTTGGGATTAGACTCTGGTGAAAATATGGACGTTTTTCCTAGAAAAATGCAAATTGTGCACACACACTCATGTGCAATTTTGCTCATACCCCAGGTAGTTCATGGAGAGGTGCGGGAACCTCATTGGTTAAGAAGCCTTGGTTAGACAGCTGTGAAATGAACACATCCTACATGAGATGACTGACTTACTGGAGGTGGGGGTGGTGGAGTGAATCAGAGGCAGAGAGGGCCTCCAGGGGACATGGCCCAATCCTCTCATTTTACAGATGAGGTGACTGAGACCCAGAGGGGAAGGGGCTGGCCAAAGGTCGCTGAGTCACCAAGTGGGCAAGGCAGCACTAGGTCTCCTGACGGTGCCCGCTGCCTTCTGTCCCCATGTTATGACCAGTCCCCAACAGCATGGCACCCCTGTCCCTCCAGTGTGTGCTATGTCTGTGACCTTCTCTGAGATTGGCCCAGGTTGTATGGGAGGTGGCAAGGACTCAGGGGACAGCCAGGTTTGGGCAGCAAAACTGGCTCCACCCCTTTCCAGCTGTGTGGCCTTGGGTAAGTTACCCAGCCTCTCTGAGTCTGTTTAATCATATGTAAAAATAGGTATTATAATAACAGCATTAACCCCATAAGTTATTAGGAGGGTGAAATGATGATGCATAGAAAGCACCCAGCACACTCCCTGGTATTTAGCACGCACGAGTTAATAATGGTCATGGTTGTTGTTGGTCTGAGACTGGCCATGGGGTGTTCGTTGCATTTGTGGTTGGCCGAGCTGCTCAGCAGGTGGGTCCTAGGCAGTTCCAGGGAGCAGTTCTTCCAACCCCCATATGAAAATGCATTCCCCACTCCTGGCCCCCAACACCACTCTGGCTGGAGCATTTCCCTACTCTGGAAATGCACATCCTGGGGCAGTTTCTCCGCTGGACCCCAAACAATAACTGGTGGGTTCCTTGGCGGGTGGGGGAGGGGTGTTCTCATGGAGGAGAGGGGATGGGGGAAAACGCAGCTGCCAGTGATTCCCCGGCCCCCAACATCACTGCCCCATGGGGCTCTCTCTCCCCCACAGGACCAAACCACCCCTCACAGTGTCATTTTTTTGAGCCTCACAACAGTCGTCTGAGATAGACCAGGCAGAAGGCATCATTGACTAGCCCCATTTTATACATGCAGCAACTGAGGTTCAGGTGGGGGATGGCAAATGACCCACTAGGAAGTCCATCAGCTGGGATGTATAGTCTGGTCCATTTACATTGCTGCAGTCTGCTAGATGCCTTCTCAAAACATGTATCTAACACCTTCTACATACCAGGTACGGCAAACGCATGAGAATGGTCTCATTGACCTGCCTCTCTGACAAGGAAACTGCACTCAGGCAGGTTAAGTCATTTCTCTGAACCTTGGAGTGCAGAATATCGGGACTGTGGGATTTGAACCTTAAACTCTGGCTGTTTCCACGGCAGTCCAAGCCTTCTTCCACCCCATTCACCAAACCATCTCTCCAGGCTCTCACCTGGCACAGGGGCTGCCAGGAACAGACCAGGAACACAGGCTCAACTGGTGGGACATGGGGAGGTGGGGTGGGAAACCGGCAGGACTCACTGCCTCTCCTCTCCCTCTGTCCCTGGGCGCCTCCCTCCTCTGGATACACCACTGCATCTGTATGCTTGTGTGTGCACATGTGTGCCTGTGCAGCCTGTGTGTGTGTGTGTGTGTGGCATGGGTGAGGACACGCGCATCTCTGTGAGCATGGGGTGGGTGTAGTGGGTTAGAGCTTTCCTGGAGGTTGTGTTTATTTTTTATTTTGAGACAAAGTCTGGCTCTGTCATCCAGGCTGGAGTGCAGTGGTGCCATCTCGGCTCACTGCAACCTCCACCTCCCAGGTTCAAGTGATTCTCCTACCTCAGCCTCTCGAGTAGCTGGGATTACAGGTGCCCCCGCCACCATGCCCGGCTAACTTTTTGTATTTTTTTAATAGAGATGAGGTTTCACCATGTTGGCCAGGCTGGTCTTGAACTCCTGACCTCAAGCAATCCGCCTGCCTAGGCCTCCCAAAATGCAGGGATTACAGGCGTGAGCCACCATGCAGGCTGGTGGTGTTTATTTGTGAGCTGAGTGTGTGTCTGTGATTTTGCTCATTTGTCTTTGATTCAGTGCCTCCAAGTTTCTCAGAAGAGAGGTGTGTGTGTGTGTGTGTGTGTGTGTGCGTGCATGTGTGTGTGTGCATGTGTGTGTGGGTGCGCGCCCACAGAGGGCTCCATCGCTTTCAGCTGGATTCTATTTTTATTTTTTTTAATTTTTAATTTTTAATTTTTTTTGAGATGGAGTTTTGCTCTTGTTGCCCAGGCTGGAGTGCAATGGTGCGATCTCGGCTCACCGCAAGCTCCACCTCTCAGATTCATGCGATTCTCCTGCCTCAGCCTTCCCAAGTAGCTGGGATTATAGGCATGTGCCACCAAGCCTGGCTATTTTTGTATTTTTAGTAGAGATGGGGTTTCTCCGTGTGGGTCAGGCTGGTCTCCAACTCCCGACCTCAGGTGATCCGCCCACCTGGGCCTCCCAAAGTGCTGGGATTACAGGCGTGAGCCACCGCGCCTGGCTGGAGTCTATTTTTAGACTCTTCCTCTGCCCTGGTATCTATTTTTAGGGCCCCAGTTCCTTTAGACTGGAAGATTGAAGCTCCTGGACACCCCACCTTCCCTTGCCCCACCCTCACCCTGAACTGGGGGTTTCTACAGAGAGAGTCCCCCACTCTCTCTCTGGGTGACTGGCTTGTTGGGGGTCCCAGGCCTGGGGGATAGGGTGGGCTGTAGTGGGAGAAGAACTGATGGGATGGGGTGGAGGCAAGTCTACCTCTTGGGGCACCTAGGGTGCTGAGGGGCCTGGGTGGGCTCTCCTCCTGGGCAGGGGTGTCCAGTTTGAGTGCATAGCTCTGCTACTTCCTAGAAAGGCCAGCTCAGCTTTCCAAGCCTCAGTGTTTCCATCTGTGAGTGGGGATGATTGAATGCCACCCCCCCGCCCATTGTAGGGCAGTTGTGAGCATGAACGTAAAGCACTTAGCTCAGGACTCAATGCCCAGTGGGTGGAGGAGCAGCCCAGGGACCTGGCGGATGGGAATCTGGGGATAGGGAGGGCTCAGTGGGCATCAGCCAGGCCTGGGCAGCCCTGAGCTGGTGTCAGAGAGAACTGATAGGCTGGGTTGCTCCCAAACCCCCCTTTCCGTGCCCACCACAGCCTTTGCACAGCCTGTTCAGTATTACAGAGCGGGGCTAGGAGGGAACACCACTCCCTTGGCCCCCAGCCCTCGAGGGAAGACATGGGCGAAGAGGAGAGGAAATAGAGCGTGTGCATGTTCAGGTTCCTTTCCTGCTGGAAACCAAAACCATTTTTCATTGTCATTATCAGTAGCAATATATGCTAGATTTAAATTAAACAACTCAGTATCACAATCATGTTATATTTACGATAACACAAGGAAAGGTGTTTGTGGTAGCGATATCTACCACGAGCACGTGCCCTGCTGTGGCCCATGATATCCACAGTACAGAAATGATGTCATTGCTCTCCCCAGAGATCCAATGAGGTGGGTAGCATCACCCTCATTCACTCCAAATCACCCTCTCAGAAAACCGAGGCTCAGGGAGGTTAAACAACTCACCTAAGTAACGGCAAGAACTAGAACCTGGGTGTGTCTGATCCAGAGTCCTGCTCTAGACTCTGTTTTGGGTGCCTCCGCACTTTGTAGGAATCACAGCCCTCACTCCCCTCCCAGCTCTGGCACTGGTCCCACCAGGCCCAAAACACATCCTTTAGGCTAATCTACACCCCAGAGCCACTCACTCAAGGGACCGTGGTGCTGATCTGACGCAGAGGAGAGACCAAGTGGAACAGTGTCTGCGCTGCTCACAGCCCCAGCTCTGGGTTGCCAAGGACCTAACTTGCTATGCAGCTCGGAGAGTAATCCTGGGGCTCAGTCCTCAGTTTCCCTTCTTGCAAGGTGAGGAGAGGCCAACAGCCCTTGGAGCCTCAGCAGAGCCCCTGCCAGCTAGAGGCTGGCTCTCTCCATCCCTCCCGTCCCTCCCCTGCCCTGCCTCTCTGGGCCATCACTAACCTGGCGTCGTCCCCACAGGAAAGCAGCTGCCTGGGAACACCAGTTGCAGGCTTTGGGGTAGCCGCAGAAGGCCAAGGGTAGGGTTCTGAGAGGTGTGGCTGATGCTGAGATGCTGCAGATGTAGCCCTGCCCTGCTGGAGCCAGGGTATCTCAGGGTGCCAGTCCCACCCCCAGCTGGCCGGGATCTGAGCCACAGGCCAGGCCACTTCTCCCGCAGCTTGCCCAGCCCCACCCCTGTGAATAATGCCAGTTGCTTTATGGAGCTGGGCCTCACTCAGGCTTTGACTATTTGGAGGGTGGCATGAATGGAAGAGGTACAAGGAAGGGTTAAAGACTCAGCCACCTAGGCTCAGGGCATAGAGACAGTTAAATTGCTGGCAGAAGGCGCCTTCTTAAGCCATCCAGTGCCATCCCTGAGCCCTGGTACCAGCCCTCCAGGTCTCCAGACTCATCTGACTCTTGGGATTCCCCTCCAGGCCCTGGACCAGGGTGGGGCCCTTCCCACCACCCTACACAACCACAACAATAATTAACCCCAGTGAACCCCAACAAATAAAGATCCGAATCACAGAAGGGAGGGATCATCACTGCCCCAGGATGGGGAACCCCAGAGGGCCCAGGAAGGCTAAGCCCTGGCTCATCTGACACACCCTGCCCCACTGTTGTGGCCTGAGTAGGCCCAGATGCCCCCAGTCTGTTGGGGCTGGGGTGGAGGGCACCACCTCCCCATCCAGGTGAAGTTTGGGAAGGTATTGTTTGTCTCGGCTTTGGACTCGAGTCTTTTCCACCATTGAATATTTTTTCAAACCTTTTACCACCTCCTTCATTCTCTTGAGCCTGTTTTCTCATCATTCCATGCATCTGTCTATTCATATAGTCAGCAAACGCTTACTGAGCACCTACTATGTTCCAAGCACAGCGTGAGGTCCGGGAAGCCGTGTCGTCCAAAGAACAGGAAGGACCTGTCTCTCCACCAAGCCCTATGTGCTTCTCCTTCAGCCAACCTGTTTCAACTCACACTAGTCTATCCATTAGCTGGTAAACACTGAGCACCGGCTGGGTACAGGGCAGTGTGCTGGGCATGATGGGTGGGTGATATGCACTGGTAGGCAGGCCGGTTGGAAGTTATGGAGGAGATTCAGGGAAACATCAGGAAGGCGTGGGAAGGATCCTTGCCTTTTGGAAGCTCACAGTGCAGTTGGCTACAGGGGAGAGGTTGGCTATACAGTCCTTTATGCAACTTCTTCGTCCTGGGTACACAGAAAGGCCACAGTTCCAAGCCAGCCTGTGGCTGGGGCTATATGCCTGGATTCTGGCCAGTGGAGCGTGGATGGAAGTGATGTGTGCCACCTCCAGACCTGGACCTAAAACTACCTTCCCATGTTCTCCCTTCCAATCCCCTGGCAATCCTGGGGCAGCCCTGTGTTGGAGGAGGCATCACAGATGCAAGGAACCTGAAATTGGACTGTGATGGGAGCAAGAATAAACCTGTATTGTGTTTGGCCACTGAGATGTTGGGGTTGTTTGTTACAACAGCTAGTGTTTATCCTGACTGATACAGGCAGACGATGCAGACAGGGGAACAGCTTGAATCCTGTGGCTGGATCACAGTGTCCAGGAGTGCTCATTGCGAGGTAATGTGTGACGTCTAATGCTAGCTGGTAGTGGGTATGAGGTCAGAGGAGGGGAAGGATGAACGGTGAAAGGTGGAGTGCCTGGTACATAGTAGGTGCTCAATAACATAGGATGAATGAAATACACGAAAACATTAGAAGAGCTTTGCGGTGGCGGGTGAAGTTGCCAGAAACCCAGAGGAAGAGTGGGGCTTGGTTGGGGGATAGGAGTAGAGACAGTTAACCTGGGAAGAAAGGCTTGGAGGGGAGAAAAGGCAACACTTATCCGTGAGTCAGAGATCGGTGAGCTTCACTCCAGCCCAAGCAGGAGGGTATCCGGAGATGGAGCTGGTACTTGGAGGCCTTCAAATGCCAAGCTAAGCAATTTAGACCTTAGGCTGCAGACTACTTTACTTTTACAGCCTAAGATCTAAAAGACCTTATGTTTGTCAGAAGTTTGGAGTGGTCTCCAGCGTGGGTGTGCACATTAATCCACTGGGGCACAGGAAGAAAATGGTAAACTCCCATTCATATTTATCTCACTTCTTTTTTATTTATTTTTTTTGAGATGGAGTCTTGCTCTGTTGCCCAGGCTGGAGTGCAGTGGCGCAATCTCAGCTCACTGCAACCTCCGCCTCCCAGTTTCAAGCAATTCTCCTGCCTCAGCCTCCCGAGTAGCTGGGATTACAGGCGCATGCCACCACGCCCAGCTAATTTTTTTGTTGTTGTTGTATTTTTAGTAGAGACGGGGTTTCACCATGTTGGCCAGGCTGGTCTCGAATTCCTGACCTCGTGATCTGCCCACCTCGGCCTCCCAAAGTTCTGGGATTACAGGCATGAGCCCCCATGCCCGGCCTATCTCACTTCTTTAAATGTCTGTTTTTTAGTGTCTGTGAAGCTACCAAGGCTCAGAGAGGTTGAGTAACTCGTGCAAGGTCACACAGCTACTAAGTGTGCCTGACTCCAAAACCCCGCTGTGCTCTTCACTTATGCTGAGTCTTGTGCAAACAGATGAGGGCTTGGGTGGGGGCAGAGGCAAGTCTAGGGGAGGGTGGCTGGGAGAGTAGGCAGCCCCTGGCTGTTTCTGCCACTGTGGAAAGAGGTTAAGGAGCCTGCCCAGGCCTGCTTACTAGGCCTCTAGGGCCTGTTGGGAAACACGGAAGCAGGGAGCCCCGGTGAGTGCAGGCCTGCCATCCAAAGCGCTTCGTCCCAGGCTTGACAATTCAGCCTCACTTTGTGAGCAGGATCCCGAGGCAGGGATGGGGAGGACCAGTGGCTGAGAGGTCAAGGCAAGATGACAGAGAGGGATAGGGAGGAGTTGAGGGGTGTCACTCAGACTCTGGGGGCAGCTGGCAGGGGTAGGTTGGCCGCTCTACCACCCACCCACACTCATGCCGACCCCATGGCCAAGGGAACCCACAGGCCAGCCCCGCCCTGCCTTCCCCCGCTCCACTGTCCTGGGTTTAGGGGTGATTTTACCTTCTGATTTATACCTCTACAAAAACCAATTACCAACTGGGCAAGGTAGCTCACGCCTGTAATCTCAGCACTTTGGGAGGCCGAGGTGGGCAAATCATTTGAGGTCAGGAGTTTGAGGCCAGCCTGGCCATCATGGTGAAATCCCATCTCTAATAGAAATACAAAAAAGTTAGCTGGGTGTGGTGGCACATGCCTGTAATCCCAGCTGCTGAGGGAGGCTGAGGCAGGAGAATCACTTGAACCTGGGAGATGGAGGTTGCAGTGAGCCGAGATTGCACCACTGCACTCCAGCCTGGGTGACAGAATGAGCCTCCATCTCAAAATAAATAAAGAAAATAAAGAAAAGTGATTACCATTTGAAAATATAAAATTGTTGTAATTAAAATATAACACCTAGACAGGAAAATGCACATACTCTAACAGTATAGCATGATGAAGTGTTACAAACTGAACACTCAAGGGTAACTAGAACCCAGTTTAAGAAACAAAACATTTATCAGCCTCTGGAGAACCCCCTCATGCCCCCTTCTAGTCACTATCCCTAATCAGTTAAAGCCATCCTAACTTCTAATGCCATAGATTCATTTTGTCTGTTTTTGAACTTTATACACATGGGATCATCTGATCGGTGTTTTGTGTCTGGTTTCCATTTGTTCGGCATTGGATTTGGGCTGTGTGGTAATCCCCCCATCGCCGTTTATTGATTTATTCCACTGCTGGCAGAAAATTGCATTGTGCCCAGTTGTTATCTTTTGAGTAGTGCTGCTATGAATATTTGTGTATGTTTCTTTGCTTTTCTGTTGAGTATATATCTAGGATATGCATGTGTTCAACTTAAATAAAACTCTTTTCTTTTTTCTTTTCTTTTTTTTTTTTTTTGAAACGGAGTCTCACTCTGGCACCCAGGCTGGAGTACAGTGGTGCGATCTCAGCTCACTGCAACCTCCACCTCCCGGGTTCAAGCGATTCTCCTGCCTCAGCCTCCAGAGTAGCCGGGATTACAGGCACATGCCACCATACCCAGCTAATTTTTGTATTGTTAGTAGAGATGGGGTTTCCCCATGTTGGCCAGGTTGGTCTTGAACTCCTGACCTCAGGTGATCTGCTTGCCTCGGCCTCCCAAAGTGCTGGGATTACGGGCGTGAGCCACCATGCCCAGCCTTCCTTGTCTATTTAATTTTGGCCATTCTAGTGGGTCTGCAGGGTTATCTTATTGGTGTTCAAATTAGCATTTCCCTAAAAACTAATGATGGGGAGCATCTTTTCACATGCTTCTTGGCCATTTGCATATCTTCTTTGGTAAACTGTCTATTCAATTCTTCCTTATTTTGTTACCCCCATCATCATTTCCACAGTCCCTCCCTCTGCTATCTGCACCCTTAGCACCTTTATGTTTGGGGGACTGGAACGTCTCTAAACTGGTCCCCCTCACTCCGGTCCCCCTCACTCCAGTGGCTACTCCATTGTGCCAGACAAACCTTCCTGAACACAGCATTGCACAAGTCACTCCACTGCCCTGAAACTTCCTATGGCTCCCATGCCTGTGAGGACAAACCTCAGCTTCTCAGTCTGCCTTTGTGGCACTCCAGCCCGTGGTCCCAGCCTTTCTTTCCTGCCTTCCCTTGCCTTTCCCACCAATCTCTCAAACTCTACTCCTGGCCCATGCCTTGAGGACCCAGAATACTTGGTTCTCTTCCTTCTCTCTGAGGTTTAAGTAGTCTGTTTGCTGTTATTGTCATTGTTGTTTTAAGACAAGGTCTTGCTCTGTCGTGCAGGCTGGAATGCAATCATCGCTCACTGCAGCCTCCAACTCCTGGGCTCAAGCGATCCTTGAACCTCAGCCTTCCAGAGTGTTGGGATTATAGTTGTGAGCCACCATGCTAAGTCTGTTCTAAATCAAGTCTGCCTCTCTCTTGGGAGGCTACCAGCCAGCCCTACCCCACAGGGATCCCTGTTCCTCTGAGCTCCTCTGAAACATGTTCTTTCCTCTGGCGCTCAGCATTTACCTCTGTCCAGTACCACTTGGATGTCCAGGAGGGAGCCAGGGCCTGGAGAGGAGCTTCTTGGTGCCAGGAAGTTCCTGGCATATATGATAAAAATGATAACATCTCCTTATAAGCTTAAAATATGGGATATTAATATCACATATGCTTTTACAAATTATACATATCCCCTCCTTGAAAATTGTAGTATGCTAGAGAGGGAGGGATTTGACGGTAGAGTGGGAAAGGGAGGGAGGAGGGCGACTCTTCCTTATCTGTCTTAAGAATCTCTTAAGATGGTGGCTCATGCCTATAATCTCAGCACTTTGGGAAGCCGAGGCGGGTGGATCACGAGGTCAGGATATTGAGACCATCCTGGCTGACATAGTGAAACCCTGTCTCTACTAAAAATACAAAAATTAGCTGGGTGTGGTGGTGCGTGCCTGTAATCCCAGCTACTCGGGAGGCTGAGGCAGGAGAATCACTTGAACCAGGGAGTTGGAGGTTGCAGTGAGTGGAGATCGCGCCACTGCACTCCAGCCTAGTGATAGAGCGAGGCTCTGTCTCAAAAAAAAAAAAAAAAGAAAATCTCTCATGGAAACCATTGCATTTGGAGAAGCTCCTGGATTCAGCTCTAATTCTGCCATTTACTAACTGTGGAGTGCTGGGCGGATCAGTTCATCTCTTGGGGCCTCCGTTGATTAAATGAAGATGAGGCCATCCTATTTTTTTTTTTTTTTTTGTAGATGGAGTTTTGCTCTTGTCCCCCAAGCTGGAGTGCAATGGTGCGAACTTGGCTCACTGCAACCTCTGCCTCCTGGTTTCAAGCGAGTCTTCTGCCTCAGTCTCCCGAATAGCTTGTATTACAGGCTCCTGCCACCACGTCCAGCTAATTTTTGTATTTTCAGTAGAGCCGGGGTTTCACCATGTTGGCCAGGCAGGTCTCGAACTCCTGACCTCAAGTGATCTGCCTGTCTTGGCCTCCCAAAGTGCTGGGATTACAGGTGTGAGCCACCGCGCCTGGCCTTAGATGATGCCATCCTTGAGGGATGTGGGGAATCCACAAAACCTCATCAGTATGTGAAAGTCAATGATAACCTGCGGGGCAGGTATATGCGCACGTGCACTTGGTGAGAATTGGTTTATTAAATTGTCAGTCCCTTAGAATACTGAGCTGGTAAATAAATCTTATTCTTTGATAAAGAATTAAAGGAATAAGCTCATACGAATTCATGATTAGCCAGGCTTAGTGGTCCCCGTGTGTGCCTGTAGTCCCAAGCTACTCAGGAGGCTGAGGGGGAGGATCACTTGAGCCTAGGAAATCGAGGCTGCAGTGAGCTGTGATTGTGCCACTGCACTCCAGCCTGAGTGATAGAGCGAGACCCTGTTTCTAAACAAAGAGAGAAAAAAAAGAATTCCTGAAGGAAAACACCAGGAAGGAGTCAAAAGGAATCAATGTCATTAGGATCCCTGACTGTCTCTCCCTTACCCCACCCACCCAACTTCTCTTTCCTAGGGGTCTCCTGCTAAAGATGCCACTGTCCTCACCATACCAGATCCCTTAAGTCATGAAACTGGGAGTAAGTAAAACAAAAAAGAAAAGAGAAAGGGTATTCAGAAGCAGGGAAGAGGAGTTTGTAGAGGACAGAGGCTTATCCCCTGAGGACCAAGGCCATCTCCAGCAGTGCGGGGTGGGGGCCTGGGCTGATGGGAAGGGGATGTGACAGGTGTGGCTCCCACATCTCAGAGGGCTTGGCTGAGGCCCTGGCCCTGGGTTCAGGCCTGGGCGCTCTTGAGGGAGTGGAATGGCAGCGGGACCCGGCTGGTCTGCCTGCCCACCCAGAATGATGACCTCCGGATGTGTATTCCCTGTAGCTACCCGTCTCACCCAAAACATTATTGGGCTGAAGAGCCAGCTCCCCTGGGTCACCTCTGCTGAAGCCATACTCAGAGGGGACCTCTCACTCCTTGACCCACGGGGAGGGGGAGTGGGGAGTCCTTGAACTTTCTGCCCTAGGAATTCCCAGATGTTTCTGTGCCAAGCATTGCCCTAGGTACTGAAGACAGAGCTTGGGCAAAACGAGGACGTCTCTACGGCACTGAGGGTCCGTCTGTTGGCAGAGACAGACGACAGCATGTGTCATGTGTGTCACGTACGAGGGGAGCTGCTCAGTGCCACTACGAATAGTCAGGGTCGAGGGAAGAGAATGCTCGGACAGATCTCAGGGACCGAGGGAACTCAGGGAGTTATTTGAGGTCGGAGGTCAGGGAAGGCCCTCGGGGCGGGGCGGGGGTGGGGGGTGTCTCCACTGGGGTCTCCGTGCCCCTGACGCCTCCGTCCCTACTACCTGGGCTGGGTCTCACCGCAGGGTCGCCTCCCCGCCTAGCCACTCTCAGCTCATCGGCCTGGCTCCTCCCTCCGCGGCGGTTCTGATGCCGCCTGCCAGGGTCGCGCGCCTGAGCCGGGCCTGGGTCGCCAGCGCCCGCAGCAGAGGAGCCAGGGTGTCTCGCACCTTGACCCCGGGGGCGGGTGTCCCCAGGCGGCGCGTGACTCCGCCCCGGCCCGCCCCGCCTCGCCTGCACCGCAGACACACGCCCCAGTCCTCCAGTCCTCCGTGCGCGTCGGGCCCGAGCCCACAGAGTCCATGGAACCCACGGAGCCGATGGAACCTACGGAGCCCATGGAACCTACGGAGCCCATGGAACCTACGGAGCCCATGGAACCTACGGAGCCCATGGAACCGGCGCGGAGCGCGCACCGTGGGGGCGAGGCGCTGCTGCGGGAGCTGGAGGTGCTGGTGCAGGACGTGGTGAGGACGAGCTCCTGGTGGGAGCGCCACGGCGTGGACTGCGCCATCCTCGCGCTCAGCCTCTTCGCCTTGCCGGCAGGTGAGGAACGCGGGGACCCGGCGTCCCGGCCGGGCTGCGGGTGGGGGCGGGGTGCGGCGGAGGTGGCGGCGCGGGGTCTGCAACAGCAGCCGTGGGAGTGCAGCCTGCGGAGTGGACTGGCGGCGGCAGGGAGGCGGAGGTGGTCGGGGCCCCGCACCCAAGGATGGAGGGTCACACCCCGAACCTGAGAGTCTGGACTGGGGTGTTCTGCCCTGTGTACCCTAGGAGGGGGCGCAGGAGGGTGGTGGAAGGGAAAGTTGAGAGGAGCGGGGGAGTGGCCGGGAGTGATGAGGTGCCCCCCCACCCCCGGGAAGGGAGACGGTGTTCTTTGGGGACCTAGGTGAGTGGGGAGGGGGTGGGAGTTTCCCCTGGACCCTTCCTGGTCTGGAACACCCATGGTACCTGAGGCCCCAACATTGCTTTGGCTGGGGGCCCAGGACCACGCACTGGAGAGTCAGGACCAGGCACGGGAGAGTCAGGACCGCTGGAGGGGCAGTCCTGGTTCCCCTCAGGCCACAGTGGGACCTGCCTCACTCCGGCCAGTGGCAGCCCCCAGAGCCTAGCCCACTTTAGCCTGGGCTCCCAGGGTAAGGGTTGAGGTATTTGGGCCCAGATCACCCAGAGCTAGAGAAAGACCCGTCTTCTTCCTCCTCTCCACGCAGGCTTCCTGTGCCTGCGCTGGGAGAATGCCCTGGTCTTTGCATCCGGCATCACCATCTTGGGTGTGTGCCACTACACACTCACTGTCAAGGGCAGCCACCTGGCCACTCATGGGGCCCTCACCGAGTCCAAACGCTGGAGCAAGATCTGGCTGCTTTTCTTTGTGGAGGTGAGCCTGGGAGAAGGAGGATGCAGGCAGCTGCTGGGACCGTGTGGCAGCCTCATTCTTCTGTTCGAGCATGCGGGTGTGTCCAGCTGTGCATGTGCCCACGGGGGCAGGCCGCTGCAGCTGATGGTATGCCGGTCCACTGGTGCAGTATGCACTACAGCGTGTCTGAGGACTTCTCCAAGCCCTTGAGCGGGTCTTTGCACCCCATGGGTAGAGAGTTGTAGGATGAGTATGCCGCTGTCTTGGCCCACAGTTACAACCAGTGGGGCCTCCAGATTTTGCAGTCAGGGTTTAAAATGTGACCCACAGACAGAAAGGGAGGGGGAGGAGGGGCCCAGTGTCCACAAGGGGCAGCGTCCTTACTCCGGATGATGCTCCTCTGATGCCTGGCCATGGCCTAGCCTTCCTGAGAAGCCCCCTGCTCCCCGGGGTCAGCTCCAGGAAGTACCCACCTCACCTGACCCTTGCCCTCCCTTCTTCCACCCCTTCCCAGTTCGACCTTGGCCTTCTTACCTTCGGGCACGCCCAGGAAGGCAAAAGTTTCGACCAGCTTGTCTTTCTCTCTTGACTGGTCTCCAGGCCTCCCCAGTTCCTCTGCTGAACTTGCTCCCTCCTCCTTTCCAGGGGGACCGTCGCCTGGTCACCCAGGTGATGGTTCCCCTAAATAAATGAATGGCCACACCTTATGAATAAATAGGAAAGCTGGGACCAGAAACAGTTCTTTTCTGGAAGGACTGGTCGTTGTGACCAATTAACTCAATTATTAAGTTTTTATAAAGTTATATAACTTTATATAACTGTCTACACACACATATATCATCACTATCCACTCAGCTGAGTGGATGAAGCATTTCTCACCTAGCACTATCCCCTGCTTCTTCCCCTCCCCTGCCCCTCTCACCAGCACACACATCAAAGTGCTGAAGACAAGAGGAACTGACAGGCTTCTGATCCTCAGGGTCAATTTCAAGACAATTCCTTTCCCACGGAGCCCTGAGCATTAGTCCCGGCCAGACTCTAAGACACGGGCCAGGCTCTGGAGTCTGGGTCAGCTGCCCGCCAAGTTTGTAATCCACAGAGAGGCAAGGGAGACATTGGGCTGTGCTGGTGACATGGACTGTGTCATAATGCTGGGTCACAGGGGCAGAATGAGCTATGTTTGGATTTTTAAAAAAGCTGTACTGAGGCTGCGCGCGGTGGCTCACACCTGTAATCCCAGCACTTTGGGAGGCCGAGGCAGGTGGATCGCCTGAGGTCAGGAGTTTGAGACCAGCATGACCAACGTGGTGAAACCTGATCTCTACTAAAAGTACAAAAATTAGCCGGGCATGGTGGCACGCACCTGTAATCCCAGCTACTCAGGAGGCTGAGACAGATCAAGACTCTGTCTCAAAAAAAAAAAAAAAAAAATCAAAAAGAAAAAAGCTGTACTGAGTACCAGGAGCCTAGAGGCAGCTGAGGATGAGGAGCAGGTACTGAGGCTTTGGGACTGCTTGGCTGCAAGGCATTTATTGCACAGAGGTAACCTAGTGGTTCTCAAACTTCGGTGTGTAGCAGAATGATCTGGAGGCCCAGGCTTGCTGGAGAAGAGGACTCGGGCCACTGTGTTTTTACCAAGTTCCACAGGTGAATCTGATACCCACCAAAGTGTTACACCCACACCATAGCTATCATGTGTGCCAAATGAATGCAGGAGGCCAAGGACGCCTCCTCTGAGAAGCCTTCCTGGGCTTCTCTACTGGAGCGCTCCACCGGAAACCCAGCACGCTTGAGATACCCAGATAGCCTCAGTGCTGCATTCTGCTTGTGAATGCTGTCTTGTCCCCGTAAGCCCAGTGGCTTCATCTTTGCCTCTTTGACTCTTCAGCTCCTGGCACAGACTTGAGCTCTTGGCAATATTCTTCCATCAATATTTGCTGACGATGACCCTGCAGTTGTCTAGGGAACCAGGTTCAGGCCTGCAAGCCCCCTCGAAGCTGGGGAGGAAAGGCTTGGCTCCCGCTTCATGTCGTGACACCTGCCTGGTGGACTGCAGTGGGCTGAGGAACAGGGCCCGAGTAGTTTATTACTCAAGCCTCCGACTGACCTACGTGGGATGCGTCTTGATTTTTTCATCCCACAGGTGCCCTCCAGCTACCCTCTGGGGAGGGTCCAGTTCCAAGTGTGGGGGAAGGGGCAGACCAGTCTCCCCAGTCTGGCTGACATTGGTGAGGCAAGTGCACTGCTGGAGGAGGGTGCTGGTCTTGTCTGCCACACAGGGTGGCGGCGAGGACAGTGGGGCTCACGCCTGTAATCCCAGCACTTTGGGAGGCCGAGGTGGAAGGATCACTTGAAGTCAGGAGTTCAAGACCAGCCTTTGAAGCCATGGTTGAACTCCCAGCCCCACTGGCTGCCCTGACCTTGAGCAAGTTACTTAATTCAACATCTAAGTGTCACTTTCCTCACCTAATAAACAGGAGAAATAACACGACCTCCCTCATGAGGCCAGCATGTGGATAAAATGAAACAGTGCAGACCTTAATGGAGGGCCTGGTCCTGACACCCTCCACCAGTATGATCTTCACTTTCTTTCTCTGGAGTTAATGTGGTCAGCTGCAAGGAAAGGGTTAGCAGTTGTTTGCTTTGTCTTTTTTTTTTTTTTTTTTTTTTTTTGAGACTGAGTCTCACTCTGTTGCCCAGGCTTCAGTGCAATGATGCAGTCTCGGCTCACTGCAACCTTCACCTCCAGGGTTCAAGTGATTCTCCCGCCTCAGCCTCCCTAATAGCTGGGATTATAGGCACCCGCCACCATGTCCAGCTAATTTTTTTTTTTGTATTTTTGTAGAGACAGGGTTTCACCATGTTGGCCAGGCTGGTCTTGAACTCCTGAGCTCAGGTGAGCCACCCACCTCGGCCTCCCAAAGTGCTGGGATTACAGGCGTGAGCCACTGTACCCGGCCTTTTTTTTTTTTTGGTTTGTTTGTTTGTTTTGTTTTTGTTGTTTTTTTAACTGCAAGTTTGCAAAGCTCAACAGGGCTGTGTATATGTTGGGGCGTTGGGTGCTGTGTCATCTGGGCCTCTGCAGGGTGCAGAGGACACGTTCTTGATGCCTAGGACCTCAGAGGATGCCCCAAGACCCTTCCTGGATTTCTGACTCTCCTCCCATGTCTTGGTGCCTTCTCTCTTAGGATCCTTCCTTGTGGGATATCTGTGCTTTTCCCAAACCTTGACGCTCAGGAGACATCTTCATTGCAGAATAATGCAGCCATAGGCCCTGGGCTCCTTTTGGTGTTTGGCAAATGCTGCAGCCTCAGGCATTAACTGAGTATCATTGGCGGTCCCAGGTGCCCAGCTTTTGCTGGGATTGTCTCAGGGTTTACCAGCTCCAAGCTGGGCCATTGGATCTGGGGGAGGGGCAAACAGGTTGGAGGGGGAGGCTTCCACTCCAGGCTGTTGTTTCTCTCCTAAAGTATCCAACCTCCGAAGACCCATTTGTGTTCCACATAGGAAAGTTCTATCCCTCCTGGTAGCCTAACCCTGACCTTCTCTCCTGCCACTGATAACCTTGGTCTTACCCAGCGAGAGTACCTGCCCAGCCCTGTCCTGGGTCACCATGGGGACTGCCAGGCGTATTCTCAGGGACTGCCAATGAAGGGCACTGTACCATGCTCAGATGGCCACGGGAAGGTTGGGGGCAGTGTGGGATGGGCAGGCCCCCGTAATTTAAGCCCCGAAGCTTGGGAAAGATTAACTCCTGAAAGGACTCTCCTGCATGTCACTCACAATCCAAGATGCTCCCCTGAGTGGGAGGGAACAGGCCCTGCCAGTTCCGAAGCTCTGGTGTCTCCGCTTCAAATCCTCCATGTGAAGTCGGCTTTGTGCTGCAGGCTTGGAGCCACAGCTGCTGGACCGGAGCTCTGCCCTGGGGGAAGGGCACCTTGTAGGAGAATGTCATCGGCTTCCTTCAGGGCTCTTGTGGGGGTGGAAACAGGGCCAGGAACCCCCGCCTAAGTCGTGATCCTGGAACGTTCTCTCCTCACAGGCGTTCAGTGTGACCATTACCCTCCAGGCCGTCTCTCCAACCTTCTCTCTGCCTGTTCCCACGCAAACCTCGAGAGCTGTTGCCTAAGTTCAACTACAACTTCTTATTTTTTTAATTTTTAGTATTTATTTGGAGAGAAAACTCAGATTTGCAGTACAAAATATACTTTTGTAAAAGCTTTTTTATTTTTAAAATAATTATAGATTCACAGGCCTTGCAAAAATAGGACAGAGAGGTCTGGTGTAGCCTTCATCCAATTTCACGCAATAGTTACATTTATCTAAGTGTCATTCAATATCAAAACCAAGGAAACGGACATTGGTACTCTGCGCGCGCGCGCGCGCGCGTGTGTGTGTGTGTGTGTGTGTGTGTGTGGTGTCTCAGCTCCACCTACACCATGCTCCAGTAGATGCTGGGGACATAACTGTGAATAAGACCCCGTTCCACTTCCCCAGGGACTCAGAGTCAAGTGCAAAAAAGACACATACAAATGACATCAAAATAATAAAAAACCCTGGCTGGGCGCAGTGGCTCACGCCTGTAATCCCAGCACTTTGGGAGGCCGAGGAGGGTGGATCACGAGGTCAGGAGATAGAGACCATCCTGGCCAACATGGTGAAACCCCGTCTGTACTAAAATATGAAAAAAGGTAGCCGGGCGTGGTGGCACACGCCTGTAGTCCCAGCTACTCAGGAGGCTGAGGCAGGGGAATTGCTTGAACCCGGGAGGCGGAGGTTGTGGTGAGCTGAGATTGTGCCACTGCACTCCAGCCTGGTGAGAGAGCAAGACTCCATCTTAAAAATAATTAATAATAAATCCTGATCACACTAGCTAAGGCTTACTGGCTGCTTCCTGCATCCTTTTTGTAAATCACCTCATTTCAGAGTCGCACCTCCCTATGGGGGTTAAGCTACTGTTACCCTCACTTTGTAGATGAGAAAACACTGATCTGGGAGTTTAAGCCACTTGTGCAATGCCACGCCAGCTGGTAGGTGACTGGGGCAGGCAGAATGTGATGAGGGCATTGACCAGGGTGGAGTGAAAGCTCTGAGAGCTCAGGGTGGGAAGAGCAGGGCAGGGACATTGGACAGTGTCTGGAGATATTTTTGGCTATCAAGATGGGGGTGTGGGCCAGGCCCAGTGGTTCCCACCACCTTGGGAGGCCAAGGCAGGAGGATCGCTTGAGCCCAGGAGTTTGAGACCAGCCTGGGCAACACAGCGAGAGCCTGTCTCTACAAAACAAAACTAAAATTAGCTGGATGTGGCGGTGTGCACCTGTAGTCCAAGCTACTTGGGAGGCTGGATGCTGAGGCAGGAGGATTGCTTGAGCCTGGGAGTTCAAGCCTTCTGTGAGCCAAGATTTTATCACTATACTCCATATACTCCATACTCCAGCCTGGGCAACAGAGTAAAAGTCTGTCTCAAAAAAAAAAAAAAAAAAAGACTGGAGTGTGTGTGCGTGTGCATGCTACTGGCATCTAGTGTGTAGAGGCCAGGGACATTGCTAAATGTCGTACAGTGCACAGGACAGTCCCTGACACAAAAAGTGCCCGAGTCCCAAATGTGAATCATGCAGGGCTGAGAAACTCCAGGGACGGTTTCCAGGGGAGATGCTATCAGGACAGAGTTGGCCAAACTAAGGAGCAGGAAGGTGGCTTCAGACAGAACAAATGTATGGACAAAGGCTGTGGGAAGCAGTACAGTGCATGAGGGACCCTCAGGAATCAGGGGTCACCAGAATCCAATGGGGACCCTGGAGAGGGGAAAGGGGGCGTATGGCAGGCAGAGGACCTGGAACTTGGTCTTGTGGCCAAAGGTGGTAATCTAAGTTGGTAGTTTTCAAAACTAACTTATTTTTCAAATAGGTAATGTGTTTACATGATTCAGAATTCAAAAAGCATCGGGAGAGGTCTTTGTCCTACCCCTTTCTGCAGATGTCCCATTTCCTCCTGGAAGATGATGGCTGGAGGTTATCAGTCTCTTCTTCTATGTTCTTCTCTAATATTTTCCTCTTTTAGTTTTTTTTTTTTTTTTTTTTTTTTTAGACAGGATTTCACTGTATTGCCCAGGCTGGAGTGCAGTGGCACAATCTCGGCTCACTGCAGCCTCCACCTCGTGGGTTTCAGTGATTCTCTTACCTCAGCCTCCCAAGTAGCTGGGAGTACAGGCGTGCACCACCACGCTCTGCTAATTTTTGTATTTTTAGTAGGGGTTTCCCCATGTTGGCCAGGCTGGTCTTGAACTCTTTTTTTTTTTTTTTTTTGAGATGGAATCTCGCTCTGTTGCCCAGGCTGGAGTGCAGTGGCGGGATCTCCGCTCACTGCAAGCTCCACCTCCCAGGTTCATGACATTCTCCTGCCTCAGCCTCCCAAGTAGCTGGGACTACAGGCGCCCGCCACCACGCCCAGCTAATTTTTTGTATTTTTAGTAGAAACGGGGTTTCACTGTGTTAGCCAGGATGGTCTCGATCTCCTGATCTCGTGATCCGCCCGCCTCGGCCTCCCAAAGTGCTGAGATTACAGGCGTGAGCCACTGCGCCTGGCTGGTCTTGAACTCTTGACCTCAAGTGATCTGCCTGCCTTGGCCACCTAAAGTGCTGGGATTACAGGCATAAGCTACCACGCCTGGCCCCTCATTTAGTTTTTAAACAAACAGTACACTACAGGATTAAGACCATAATTATGAAATTATGATGCAGTTTTGGGTTTTAACTGTGTCACTCTACTGGATTTGAGGCAGACAAGGCAGAAGATGGGACGAAGGTGTTGGCATGGGCAGGCTGAGAGATGGTAAGGACAGACGGGCAGGGATGGGGTTCAAGGAGGAGGGTGTAGGTGGTGGTTGTCTGGGTGGTATCTGTGGGGAGAAGGAAGAGGTGCAGGAGTGGTGGGCAGCAGGAATGACCAGGATGAGAAAGAGGGATTGAGGGTCGTCAGAGGGGCAGCGTTGGTCTGGCAGGAGGGCTTCCGGGCTGGATCTGCGTAGCTTCCGTTCCTCTCTCCAGACTCTTGCTGGCTCCCACAGCATGAGCAGCCCCTTCACATCTGGCTTCAGAATGCTGGGGGCTTCTGGGGCTCCATGGACCTCAGTAGTAGGTTTTCTAGGTAAAATACAAAAAGTCCAGTGATATGATTTTGATGTTTGTCCCACCTAAATCTCAGGATGAAATGTAATATTTATTTATTTATTTTTTTTTTTTGTGGTTTTCTTAAAAAAATGCCTTTGAGTTGCAGATCAGGTGAGTTGGTTTTGGAAGTACTGGTAGTTCTGTTGGTGTGAGAGAGACTTGTCTACAGGCAGATAAACCCAAGTTTGCCAACAAAGGCAGTAACCCCAGTGGCCAGCTGCTGCTGCTACTGCACAGTGAGGAGGAGGTGGGGCCTGGTGGGAGGTGACTGGATCATGGAGGGGTTTCTCATGAATGGTTTGGCAGTATCCCCTTGGTGTTGTCTTGGTGAGAGTGACGGTGAGTTCTCAAAAGATCTGGTCATTTAGGCTGGGCGCAGTGGCTCACGCTGTATTCCCAGCATTTTGGGAGGCCGAGGCGGGTGGATAACTTGAGTTCAGGAGTTCGAGACCAGTCTGGCCAACGTGGCGAAACTCCGTCTCTACTAAAAATATAAAAAGTTAGCTGGGTGTGGTGGCGTGTGACTATAATCCCAGCTACTCAGGAGGCTGAGGCAGGAGAATCGCTTGAACCCGGGAGGTGGAGGTTGCAGTGAGCCGAGATCGCACCATTGCACTCCAGCCTGGGCAAGAGAGCAAGACTCGGAAAAAAAAAGAAAAAGGATCTGGTCATTGAAAAGTGTGTGGCACCCCTATCCCCGTCTCGCTGCTCCTGCTTTCATCATGTCACTGCCTGCTCCCTCTTCCCCTTCCCTGTGGACTTCTGCCACGGTTGTCACGATTGTGATCTGCCATGATTGCAAGCGTCCTGAGGCCTCCCTACCAAGCTTCCTGTGCAGCCTGCAGAACGCTGAGCCCGTGAAACCTCTATTCTTTACAAACTACCCAGCCTCAGGTATTTCTTTAGCAATGCAAGAATGGCCTAACACACATTGATGAATTTGAATTTCAGACAACCAATATTTTTGTATAAGTATATCCCAAATATTCCACGTATTTTTTGTTTATCTGAAATTCAGAATTAAGAGGGCATCCTGTATTTTCATTTGCTACACCTGTCAGTCTTGCTCAGGGAGCGTACAAGTCTCCAGGTGCAAGTCCTCAGGGAACTCTTCGGGCTGGCTCTGGGGCAGGATCTGTGTGAATGCAGCCATGTTTTAGACACCTTTGGGATGAGAGAGGGACCCTGGTGAGGGCCACAGCAAGAATAGTCCTCGAGAGCACCTTATCCTGATGGGAGTGGGTCCCGTACAGTCGGCAATGAGCCCATCAAATGGGGCTGATGGCATTCTCTTCCTTTTCCCAGGGACAAGGCCCTGGGAACCCCACAGGCCTAGCATGGTGCTGGGCACCACTGGGGGTCCGACAATGCTTATGTGAACAAACAACTGCATGAAAGAACAAATGGGGCTGGGCGCAGTGGCTCACACCTGTGTTCCTAGCACTTTGGGAGGCCGAGGTGGGTGGATCACATGAAGCCAGGAGTTCGAGACTAGCCTGGCCAACATGGTGAAACCCTGTCTCTACTAAAAATACAAAAATTAGCCAGGCATGGTGGTGGGCATCTGTAATCCCAGCTACTCGGGAGGCTGGGGCAGGAGAACCCAGGAGGCGGAGGTTGCAATGAACCAAGAACCCATGAGGCAGAGGTTCACCACTGCACTCAAGCCTGGGCAACAGAGCGAGACTCCATCTCAAAACAGAATAAAAATAAAATAAATAATCTTTTTCAGCAGGACCATCCATTTTCCAACTAACTCAGCAGCATGTGGTCATCCGCCACCGCCCTCAGGAAGTGTGCGAGTGAAGGGCGCTGAGCCTGGTGCAGTGAGCCCTCTGCGGGGGTGTTCCGCTGTCCTTTCCTGGCTTGCAGTGACTGGTATTGGGAAACTTTTCACGTCGTTCCAGAAACAGGCAGCATCTTCAATAAAATTAGCCACATCTTCTGTCCTAGATAAAATATCGGAAGAGGCTTACATCTGCATACCATTTGCATGTATCTGCTTAAGAAACACCTTAGCGTGGCTTTTGCATTCCAGACTGACTACTCTCCTAGGAGTCAGAGCGCACGTGCTGCTGCTCAGAGCGGCTTCCGAGAATCCCACTGGGGATCCATACTGCAGAAGAGTCACCTCTAGGGAGAAGCTCTTGGCCCCCACCAGGGCACCGCCCCCACCTTGTGGACTGGTCAGGGGATGGTGTCCCTGCTCTCTCAGACCACTCCTGTAGCCCCTCCTGGCTGCTGCTCCGGGCTGAGAGTGCTCAGTGTTATTAACGAGCAGATGCTTCTAAGAGAAACACACACAAAATCATTGCATTGGATGCCGGGGTCATCACCTGCAGTGCCTCCAATCACGACAGACTCTGAGACTCATTGCCTGGGCAGTCACTGGCAGATTGGCACTCCAGGGGTCCAGCCTCCCACCCCCAAATGCTTTGCAGAGCCTCGTCAAACGGACACGATTGTATTGACTGGCTGCCACTCCGTGGTCATAGATACCTGAGAGTTGATGGTCAAAGCGGATTAGCTGGGGCTGTAAGGCAGGACGGCCCTGGACATGCAGGGTTTGAGGAGGTGGGGGTGTTCTCCGGGCTCTCAAAGGTCCTGCATTGCTCAACTGTGCCTGACAGGGACCCCAGTGTCATTTCTGGTTCCCTCCTCTAGGTGTGCACAGCCTTCACTGCAGAGCACGCCACGCATGGGCACGTCAAGATGCACCATGCCTACACCAACGTGGTGGGCCTGGGGGACTCCAGCACGTGGAGGCTGCCTTGCCTCAACCGCTATGTCTACATGTTCCTTGCTCCTTTCCTCCTCCCCATCGCCACTCCACTGGTGGCTGTCGGTGAGTGCCATGAGAGCCCGGTCCGCAGTGTCCTGCATGGACCTAGTTCCCCTGCTCTCCTCCCCTGCGTGGCTTCATGGAGGCTGCTTATAGAGGAAGGCCCGATAGATACGTGCTGAGACAGCATGGCAAGGTAGAAAGAGCCTCAGACCTGGAGCTGAGTCTGGCTCTGCCGCTTACTAGCTGGGGACTATGGGCAGATAACTTAACTTGTCTGAGCCTCGGGTCCTGTACCTCCTCCTCAAGTATGGTGTGAAAGAAAATGAGGTCCTAAGTATAAAAATGTTTTGCAGGGTCTGCGTGTGGTGGCTGACACCTGTAATCCTAGCACTTTGGGAGGCTGAGGCAGGTGGATTGCTTGAGCTTAGGAGTTTGAGACCACCCTGGGCAACATGGTGAAACCCCATCTCCACTAAAATACAAAAAATTAGCTGGGCGTGGTGGTGGGCGCCTGTAGTCCCAGCTACCTGGCAGGCTGAGGCAGGAGAATCACTTGAACCCAGGAGGCGGAGGTTGCAGTGAGCCGAGATCTCACCATTGCACTCCAGCTTGGGCTACAGAGGAGCCTCTGTCTCAAAAAAAAAAAAAATGCTTTGCAGATGCCTTGCACAAATAATACTTCATGTTATCAGCTTTGATATCAGGAGAGCTATGTCATATGGTGGAGGGAGGCAGGGGTGATGGGGCAGCTAGACCTGGGTTCAAATCCCAGGGCTTGACCTTGGTCAGATTGCTTAATGTTTCTGTTTCTTTCTTTGTTTCTTTTTCTTTTCTTTTCTTTCTTTTTTTTTTTTTTTCAGAGTCTTGCTCTGTTGCCCAGGCTGGAGAGTGCAGTGGCACAATCTCAACTTACTGTAGGTGGCACACAACTGTAGTCCCAACTACTCAGGGGGCTGAAGTGGAAGGATCACCCGAGCTTGGGAGGCCAGGCTCCTCCTGAGTAGCTGGGACCACAGGTGTGCGCCACGACGCCCAGCAAATTTTGTGTATTTTTGATAGAGATGGGGTTTCACCATGTTTCCCAGGCTGGTCTCGAACTCCTAGGCTCAAGCGATCTGCTTGCCGTGGCCTCCCAAAGTGCTGGGTTTATAGGCTTGAGCCATCGAGCCTGGCCTCTGTTTCTTCATCCACACAATGGGGTGCCCTGCTTTTCAGGGCTGTTGTGGGTATGAATTGAACACGCCTGGCCTCCGCCACTGCTTTAGCACGCTTGAGCCAGCAGGGAGCCCCTCCTGATGGATCTGAGCCTTGCCTGTCCCCTCCCTCTATGGCAGAGCGGCTGAGGAAGGTGGAGCTCGGGACAGCCCTGCGGACGCTGGCCCTGATTTCTCTGGGCCTTTATTCTCACTACTGGCTGCTCCTGAACGTGTCAGGCTTCAAGAACCCCAGCTCAGCCCTGGGCTGCATGTTCCTCACCAGATCCCTGTTGGCCCACCCCTACCTCCACGTCAACATCTTCCAGGTGAGGCCACCCCAACCTGGGGCGCTGGGCAGCTAAGGGGAGCATTCTCCAGGGGCCCTGATCACAGGCTGGACTCTAGGTTGAGGAGAGAGGGGCCACCTGAAGGATGAGGCATCCTCCCTCTCGCTCTCATCACACTGTGCCCTCGCCTCGTCCTGGAGAGACCCTGCCTGCCCTCTCAGCAGTCAAGATCCTACTCATCATTCATGGTCAAGTTTGACAGGTAGTGTCAAGTGCTTCCTCTGCCAGGCACTATGCTAGGTCTAGGAAATCAGGGGTGAACAGGAGCTTCGGGTTGGTGCAGGACAGGACACAATTATGGGATTAAGTAATTAACAGCAGTTGTGGTAAGTGGTCCCCTCCCGACCACCCCCTGCTCTGAGGATCATTCGAGTTTTGGTTTCAGGGAAGAAGCAGGCTTCTCAGCTGGGTGCGGTGGTTCACTCCTGTAATCCCAACACTTTGGGAGACTGAGGTGGGTGGATCACCTGAGGTCAGGAGCCTGGCCAACATGGTAAAACCCTGTCTCTATTAAAAACACAAAAATTAGCTGGGCATAGTGGCGAGCACCAGTAATCCCAGCTACCTGGGAGGCTGAAGCGGGAGAATCGCTTGAACCCGGGAGGCAGAGGTTGCAGTGAGCCGAGATTGCGCCACTGAACTCCAGCCTGGGGGACACAGTGAGACTCCAGCTAAAAAAAAAGAAATAATAATAATAATAATGAAGTGAGCTTCTCCTCAACATAGTCAGCATGCCTTCCTCCATGCGCGGATGCCAAGCAGTAGGAGATAAAGGCCCCTAGTGCCTGCCCCGAGAAAGATGGAGGAACTGGAGACGGAATTCCTCACGGGAGGCCAGGGCTCAGCATTCAGCTCCAGCGTCATTTCCAGAGGGACGTCTCCCTGCTCCCTGCCCAGGGAAGGCCTCAGAGTAGAGCTTCCTGTACTTCCTTGTCCAGCACTTACCACAACTGCTGTTAACTACTTAATTACTTAATCCCATAATTGAGTTCTGTCCTGAAACCACCGAAGCTCCTGGTCATGTCTGAGTTCCTGACCTCTGAGTTCCTGAGCACCTGGCAGAGGAAGCACTTGACACTGCCTATTAAACTTGACCTTGAATGATGAGTAGGATCTTGACTGGTGAACAGAGCAGGAAGGGTCTCTCCAGAATGAGGCAAGGGCACGGTGTGATGAGACTGAGTGGTAGGCAGTTGAGAGCATTAGGGAACCATGGGACCTGAGAGGTGTGCAGGCTAAGCCCCTCACTGTTCAGATGGGGAGGGAGGCCCAGAGATGGATGAGAGTCAGTGCAGAAAACAGACAGGGTCATCATCGGAGCTGGGCCAGGAGCCCCTCTACCAGGTCCCCCCACATGGGAGGTGGGTGACACAAGAACCCTCTGGGTAGCATGAGGTCCCAGGACACCTGGAGTGGGGTGGGGAGGTCCAGGCTGCCCGGCGTGACCCACGTGTCTGTCACAGCACATCGGACTGCCCATGTTCTCCCGGGACAACAAGCCCCGTCGGATTCACATGATGAGCCTGGGGGTGCTTAACCTGGCCCGGCTGCCCGTGCTGGACTGGGCGTTCGGCCACTCGATCATCAGCTGCCATGTGGAACACCATCTATTCCCCAGGCTCTCTGATAACATGTGCCTGAAGGTAGTCGAGGGCTGGGCTGGGGGCGCTGGAATAAAGGGACTGTTAGAGGATGGAAAGGAAGATTCTTCGGCCTGGGGGCGTTGCTCACACTATAATCCTGGCACTTGCGGAGGCTGAGGTGGGCAGATTGCTTGAGCCCAGGAGTTTGAGAGCAGCCTGGGCAACATGGTGAAACCCCATCTCTACAAAAAATTCAAAAATTAGCGGGGTGTGGTGGCACATGCTTGTGGTCCCAGCTGCTTGGAAGCTGAGGTGAGGACCACCTGAGTCTGCAGAGGTTGAGGCTGCAATGAACCATAATCGTGCCACTGCACTCCAGCCTGGTGACAGAGTAAGACCCTGTCTCAAAAAAAAAAAAAAAAAAAGGTGGTGAGGGGAGGGAGGAAACTTCAGGGTTCACCTGAACTCCAAGTCCCCCAACTGGCCTGGTCAGAGGTCACCCAGGAAGGGCAGCCCAGTGTATCCACAGCAGCATGGGTTTTAGATCAGAGATACCCAGGTTTCTTACTAGCAGGGCGACTGGACAAGTGAACTGAATGCCTCTAGGCCTCAGCTTTCTCTTCTGTAAAATGGGAGTAGAAGGGCTTCTGTTGACAGGCTTTGAGGATGAAATGGAGAAATATATCTGAAATGTTTGGCACATGGTAGGTGCTTGGTAAAAGGGAGCTCTGGTTTTTATCCCCCTGTGCCAAGGAGGGCTGTCATGCAGTCAGGATCCCTGGATGTCGGAGAGAAGCCACTCCTTTCTTCTGCAGGGTTAGGGACAAGAATTCTCTGACTTAAGCCCTTCTGCTCCTCCGGAGAATCTTGGAACAAGGCCGATAGGAACTGGGGGTGGGAAGATGATGTCCCTCCCTCCCCTGACGGGATGATGGGCCTGCCCACAGCCCCTGCTCATAGGCCCTCTCCTGCCCATCTTCCACCAGGTGAAGCCCGTGGTGTCCCAGTTCCTACGTGAGAAGCAGCTACCGTACAACGAGGACTCATACCTGGCTCGCTTCCAGCTGTTTCTCCGTCGCTATGAGGAATTCATGGTGCAGGCCCCACCCATCACTGAGCTTGTGGGGCTGTAATGAGGCCGGGCCGGTGCAGCCACCCTGCCCCTCCCTGGCCTGGCCCTGGCCCTCCTGCTGCTGCTGGTCCAGGGGGTGTGGCTCAGTGGCTGGTGGTGGACCTGGAGAGTGGAGGCACCGGCCAGGCAGGGGGGCAGGGGAGCTCAGGCCTGGGGTCTGGGGGCCACCTGCCTTGCGTGCTTTTCTGGGTTTTGAGGGGTGTCTGGGTGAAGCGGTAATGGTGGCTGTGCATTCTGGTCAGTCTGGACCTCAGCAACTTCATCTCAGGACTAAAGAGCTGGGTCCTTCCCCCTGCTCCATCTGAGCCTTGGTAGGGTTAAAGGGAGGTGACAGGGTGAAGAGGGATCCTGTGCAGGGGCCACCTGGGAGATAGCAGGGGGCACAGAGAGAACAGGGTCAGCTCCCTCGGCTGGGACCTCCCTGGCATTGGGAGAGCCCCACACGGCCTTGGCTATTGCTTCCTTCAGGCTCTGCCCACCAAGGTGCCCTCTCCCCGGGGACCTTAGGGTGAGCTTGCTTTTGGCAGGCCTTCCTCGATCCTCAGCCAAAGGAACCTGTGCAAGACACTGGCTCAGCAGTTCCCCAGGCCACAGTATCAGCAAGATAAAAGTGAGTGTGTTTTGTCGGGAGGGAACTCCAGGGGAAGTGAGGGGAGAAGGTTCCCCAGGGACAGAGTTAGGGAAAGAGTATAAATAGCCAGCCAGGGGCGGTGGCTCATGCCTGTAATCCCAGCACTTTGGGAGGCCAAGGCGGGTGGATCGCGAGATCAGGAGCTCGAGACCACCCTGGCCAACATGGTGAAACCCCGTCTCTACTAAAAATACAAAAAATTAGCTGGATGTGGTGGCATACACTTGTAGTCCCAGCTACTTGGCAGGCTGAGGCAGAAGAATCACCTGAACCCGGGAGGTGGAGGTTGCAGTGAGCCAAGATTGCACCATTGCATTCCAGCCTGGGTGACAGAGCGAGACTCCATCTCAAAAAAATAAAAAAATAAAAAATAAGACTCCCGTTCAAAAAAAAAAAAAAGAATAAATAACTTTGAATGTGACCTTGGCTAGTTCAAACAGTTTGTTCTGTGATGTTTAGAAGTGAACCTGGGGATCATCTACTGGGAGAGAGAAGAATTTGTAGGAGGGGGCTGGGGCTGGAGGGGGTACTGGGAACAGGGTCCGGAGGACGGATGACCTCAGAGAGGAATGGGAGGAGGGTGGGGTGCAGATAGAAGAGCCTGAAGTCAGGGCTGGGCAGGGCTGTGGAAGGATGGTCTGCAGCCTGGGAGTGAGGTGGGAATATAAGGGAACTACCAATGCCAGGCAGAGGAAGAGACCAAGGTGCTGGGGGACACCACTGAGATTCAGCCCACAGTGGGTAGTATTGAGAGAGGGCTGGGAGCTGCCCCAGCTGGGGGCTGGACTGGGAGGGTGCTAGGAAGTGCCCAGGTGGAGGCTGAGGGAGAGACAGAGAAGGAGGCCAGACCCATTAGTTGAAAACAGGGTCTCTCACCTTGGCACTATTGACTTTTTTTTTTATGGAGATGGAGTCTCGCTCTGTCGCCCAGGCTGGAGTGCAGTGGCATGATCTCAGCTCACTGCAACTTCTGCCTCCCAGGTTCAAGCGATTCTCCTGCTTCAGCCTCCCGAGTAGCTGGGACTACAGGAGCCTGCCACCATGCCTGGCTAATTTTTTGTATTTTAGTAGAGACGGAGTTTCACCATGTTGCCCAAGCTGGTCTCGAACTCCTGAGCCCAGGCAATCCACCCACCTTGGCCTCCCAAAGTGCTAGGATTACAGGTGTGAGCCACCATGCCCAGTCACTACTGACATTTTATCTGGCCAATTCTGTGTTGTTGGGGGCTGTCCTGTGCATTGTTGGATGTTTAGCAGCGTCACTGGCTTCTACCTACTAGATGCTGGGAGCTCAAGTTGTGACAATCAAAAATGTCTCCAGACATTGCTGAGTTGACCCAGTTGAGAACATGCAAGTCATTCTCTGAGCGTGTAATTGCCTTGTTTTTCAGTGAAGGCCTTGGATAGAGTGAAAGGCCTCCTGACCCTGCTGATAGGGAGACAAACTGCCGGCAAATGGGAGCCTGGGGGATGGGCAGAGGGGTCTGGCTACAGGCACAGGCATTCCCTGAGCCTTGTTCCGTTGGAGAGCCCCTCTGTGGTGTGGCCTTAGGCAGCTGCACAGAGGCCACTGGTTCTTTTATGTGCACTCTCCATTCATCTCCACCACACCTTCCTTTACCAAAGACCGCAGTTCCTTTAGACACCCTTTTCCATAGCTACAGACTCTCACTAGTTCTGAAACAGCTCCCTCCAGGCTTGCGGTGGTAGTGGTTTCCAGCTGTTGCTAGCCTGGGGTGCTTCTCCATTCCCTTCACCCTGCTCACACCTCTGTATACAAACTCCTTCATTAAACTGTCCTCAATCACGCCTTTTGAGTGTGCCATCTGTTTCTTGCTAGAAGGTTGACTGATAGAGTGGAGTTTTGGATCCAGGCAGCCCTCTTGGCACGAGGCAGGCTTGGCGGCTCCCCAGCCCACTGCTTTGCTATATGTTATTGCTGCTCCTTGGAAATGCATTAGCAGCTTAGAAATGGCCTTGAGATCTAGGGGTGTAATTAATCAAACTGCTAATTCTCCATTTGAGAAACGCAGTGGCAGAAAAGGCCCCAGTTGCACAGTCCTGGCTCATGATTAAAACCATCCAAATACATAACCAATGACTCATTGTTATTGATCTGGACCTGACTGGGGTATGGGCAGCAGCTGAAGGCACTGGTGCCAGATCTGGCTGTACCATGGGTATCATGGGAACAAGTCACTCGATTGCTTTGAGGCTCCATTTTCTGTTTCACTTAGGATGTGGGCTGGGAATTTCTGAGGCCTGAGAGGTGAGGGAGGTGACAGGAGTGAATGAAGTATATCCAGATCTCTGCAGAGACTTAAGGTCTAATCTACAGAGACATATGGGAGGTCATAATACATATGGATGATGATAATAATAGCTAATGTTTATCTAGCATTTATGGAAGTTGTCTTGACCTCATCATCTGATTTTAATGTCTACAACAAATTGCCACTATTCATATTTCCCCCAAATGTTACAGACAGTGAAAAAAAGTCCTGGAGAGATTAAATTTCTCAATGTCATATAGCTAGTAAGTGGAGGAAGAGGGATTCAGACCCAATGTTGTCTGACTCTAGAATCCATCCTCCACCACCAGATATACTGCCTCTAGATGGGGAGCCCTACAGAACTTTTTCGATTGTACGAACTTCCATTATGTGCTAGCCAGTGTGTGAAGCCCTGGGGGTATAAGAGCTGAGACTGGGTCCCCATCCTCATGGAGCTTATAATGTAGTGCAGGGGTGGTCAAACTCTGTAAAGGACCAGATAGTAAATATCTGGGGCTTTGCGAACCATATGATCTCTGTTACAACTACTCAATTGTGCCATCAAAGCACAAATATAGCCATAGACAATATGTAAAGAAGTAAGCATGGATGTCTTCCAATAAAGTTTTATTCAAACTGAAGTCTGAATTTCATGTAATTTTTACGTGTCACAAAATGTTGTTTTTTACCATTAAAAATATAAAAACAAGCTGGGTGTGGTGGCTCACTCCTGTAATCCTGGCACTTTGGAAGGCCGAGGTGGGAGGATCGCTTTGAGTTCAGGAGTTCGAGACCAGCCTGGGTGACATGGCAAAACCCCATCTCCACAAAAAATGCAAAAATGAACCAGGCGTGGTGGCAGGCACCTGTGGTCCCAGCTACTCCGGAGGCTGAGGCCTGAGGCTCGCTTGAGCCAAGCCAGGAAGCAGAGGTTGCAGTGAGCACCACTGCACTCCAGCCTGGGTGACAGAGCAGGACCCTGTCTCAAAAAACAAAATCAAAACCAAAAACAAAAACCCCAAAACCTCCAAAAAAACAAAAACAGTAAAAGCCATTCTTGTTGGTCATCCAAAACATGCTGGTGGACAGTATTTGGCCTGCAAGCTATAGTTTGCCTACTCCTGGTCTAGTGGGACAGGCATAAAACACAGTGACCTATTAGAAAGCAGACAGCATTTACTTACCAGTGGGAGGGAGGGGAAGTGACCAGTAAGGGCACAGAGGACTCCTGGGATACTGGCCATGTTTTATTTCTTGATCTGGGTGGTGGTTATATGGTTACACCTTGTGATATATTGTCAAGTTGTACACTCATGATTTGTGCACTTTTCTGTATGTTATTATTGAATTTAAAATCTCATTAAAAACGACAACCAGTGTAGTAAGTCATGATGGGATAAGGTCAGATGCTGTGGAATGAGAGGCCTTTAACTCCTTGGAACTTGGGAGGGGACGGGTCAGAGAAAAGGCTTCTCCAAGGAAGTAATATTTGACAAGAGGGCCCATGGGGAAAAGGAAGAGGGGTTAGGCTTATTGGGTCAGCTGTGACTACGGATCCTGTCCTTATTTTTAAAAACATTTTGATCATAGACTTTTTGCATTACTTTTGACCTTTTAAAACGTTGCAGTATTATATTTATCTTGATTACTGAGTGTTTTGGAGCCCCCTTAAATTCTGAACCCGAGGGGAGTACCTCAACTCTGGTCCCGGCTCGGCTGCACGGGGGTCGGACGCTCTGTCCTTAGTACCATACGTAAGCCACTGCCCCGCCCCGCTTTTCTTCACCTATGTAATGGGAAAGGAGGTGAGGTGGGACGAGCTTTCCAGGGTTTAATATTCTCCCTGGCCCGGCAAAGACGGGGATTTGAGGGGTTACATCGGCACAACACCCGGGGTCGAAGAAGGAGGCTGCTGGGCTCCGGGAAGGAGCTCCCTCGCCCCAGACTTCCGCACTCTGGTTATTTCCCAACGGCGGGAAGGCTCGCTTGGAGCCGGACTCGTGATTGGCTAGGACGAAGTCACGTGGGAGGATTCGCAATCAAATGGCAAGGGCGTCTGCGTCATCAGTGAGCGACGAGAGCCTCCCGAGAGGGGCGCGGCTAAGTAAAATAAGCTCCTTTCTTAGTGGCTGTTTCCTTGGGGAGGGACTGAAACAGCGATGGGGATTCGCTCTCTTCCAACCCTAGGCTTCCGGGATTTGGAGGGAAGGTGAGGCCTGGGGAGAAATGTATTAAATCGCGTATACCCCGGATGCTCCGAGGGGCGGGGCTTCGACGGTGGGGCGTAGTTAAGGGCGGGTCTCTCTTTTGGGGGCGGGATTCTCTCGGGAGTCGGGGTGGAGCCGCAAGGCTCCGCTTTCCCGGAGCGCAGGGGGCGGGGTTTGGGGCGGGGCCTCGCTTGTGGGCGGGCCCGGGCAGGAGCGGGCTTGCCCTGCGGAGCAGTAGCTAGGAACAGATCCACTTGCAGGTTGCTGCTCCCAGCCATGGCTTCGCGCTGCTGGCGCTGGTGGGGCTGGTCGGCGTGGCCTCGGACCCGGCTGCCTCCCGCCGGGAGCACCCCGAGTAGGAGCAGGGCGCCTTTGGGGCTGGATGGGAGCGCGGGGAGGCCTGCGAGCGCTGAGTAGGGGTCGGAGCAGAGCTGGGGCAGGGCTGGAGAAGGGTGAGACTGAAGGGGTGTCTTCCTGCTGGCGAGATCCCGGTGGTGTACGGGGGTGGGCGGAGATCTGTGCGTGAGATGTGAGGCTTCTAGGGTTAGAGACGGAGGTCAACAAAGGTGAAAAGGAGAGACTTTGAGATCTACAGGTGTGAGACGGGGTGAATGGAGGATGATACGGAGGTCTGTGGGGCGAGAGGAAAGTCTGAGTCGAAACAGGGATCTGTAGGAATAAGACGGGTCTATATGGGCAATATAGCGTTTTGTGGAGAGAGAGAGGGGTTAGAGGAGGGACACCGTGGGGAGACCCACGGGGGCGAGATTGGGATGATATGGAGGCCGTTGGAAGGATGTGGGATTCTAGCCGATTGGATAGGGAATGAAGTGTTGTTGGGCAGGCCATTGGCAGTGGTGTAGTAGGTTCATGGGTGAGATGTGGGCTCTGGATGAACCCACAGCCTTTGGGGGTTCAGATGAAGTAAGAGACCCTGCAAATGCCAAAGCCTTGAGGAACAAGAGAAGGAGGATGCAGGTGAGGGTGAAGCTTGGGAAGTTCCAGCTTCTGTTGGATATTCAGGTTGGTTTGGGACTGGGGAGAGAAGTTAATTTTGACCTTTTCCCTCTCCTCTGCCTGGCCCCAGGCTTCTGCCACCATTTCTCCACACAGGAGAAGACCCCCCAGATCTGTGTGGTGGGCAGTGGCCCAGCTGGCTTCTACACGGCCCAACACCTGCTAAAGGTAAGCCACTTACTCATAGTCCATCATTCACCTGCTGCTCCAGTCCTAAGGGCAAGCCTCACCCGCTTTGGGTTTTAAGAGCACTCCTGGTTGCCTTATGGGGAAGGGGCTCCCAGCCATCTGGCCTGGACACTTCCCACTTGCTTCCTCACCTACACCTGAGGCTCCCCTCCCCTCCCGTCCTCAGTGTGACAGGGGTGTAAAACGCACATTGGTGGTGAGTGGTCAGTGGCAGGTGGTCAGCTTTGCCTCCCTGGCCAAGCACTCCAGGGGGCTTATGTAGACCTGCAAAATGACTTTGTCCTCCTTCATCTTCCCTCCTCTCTCGTCTATCTTCACTCTATCCCAAACATCCTACATCTCGAGGCTACCCACCTCCTCCGCTTTCTGTAACTTTACCTGCCTTGCCATGCCCTCCTCACCCATAGCTCCAGTCCTCCGTGCCATTCTGTTCTTTCAGCCTGCCCTCTGCCCCTCCCCCTTCCCCTGTGAAGGCCAGGATCTCAAGGCTTTCAGTGTCTGCCTCGGCAGGAAGGGCCCCAAGCCAAGGCTACAGGTTCTACTTGAGACTCCACATCAGACTTTGGGACAGAGTAGAGAGGGGATACCCAGGTTAACTGAGACGTGAGACAGTTGCCTAGCTTTGGAGAGGCTTGGAGTGTCCGTGGAGAGACAAGAGAAAGGATGAATATCTTAATTATACACACACACACAGATGCTTGAAATGTAGGGTGACCAACTGGCCTGGACTGCCCAGGACAAGGGGCTTCAGCGCTAAGCTGGAAGTTCTTGGGAAACTGGGATGAGTTGATCACTCTGCTGAAAAGTGACCCGTGCATGCTTCCCAGGCAACACGGGTGAAAGAGCTAATTACAATAATGTGGGCAGCGTGAGCCGAGGCAGGTGGGGTCAATCAGAAACTGTTTCCTGGGCCGGAAGCCCAGGTGGCTCATGTCTGTAATCCCAGCACTTTGGGAGGCCAAGGCAGGTGGATCACTTGAAGTCAGGAGTTTGAGACCAGCCTGGCCAACGTGGTGAAACCCCATCTCTACTAAAAATAGAAAAATCAGCCACGTGTGGTGGCACAGGTCTGTAGTCCCAGGTACTTGGGAGGCTGAGTCGGGAGGATCGCTTGAACCCAGGAGGTGGAGGTAGCACTGAGCCAAGATCAAATCACTGTACTCCAGCCTGGGCGACAGAGTGAGACCCTGTCTCAAAAAAAAAAAAAAAAAAAAAAAGAGAGACAGTGCATTTGAGCTGCCTTGAAGCAGACCAAGGGCTTTGGTGAGGGCCTCCCACATGTGGGGAGTCATCCTGGAATGCAAGGCCTTGGGCACGCTGCCATGTGGGAGGGAGGACAGCCTGGGCTCTGGGATGGAGATCAGGGAGCACATGGGGGCTGGAGAGGCCCTGAAGGGCTTTGTATAAGGGACAGTTTTTTTTTAGCTGATCCTGACATTTTGGAAGGGAGGAGAGTAAGCTTTCCAGGCAGTGTTCTTTTTTTTTTTTTTTTTTTTTTGAGATGGAGTCTGGCTCTGTCGCCCAGGCTGGAGTGCAGTGGCACAGTCTCAGCTCACTTCAACCTCCATCTCCCAAGTTCAAGCGATTCTCCTGCCTCAGCCTCCTGAGTAACTGGGATTACAGGCGCACTCCACCACATGCAGCTAATTTTTGTATTTTTGGTTGAGACAGGGTTTCACCATGTTGATCAGGCTGGTTTTGAACTCCTGACCTCAAGTGATCTGCCCACCTCGGCCTCCCAAAGTCCTGGGATTACAGGCGTGAGCCCCCGCGCCCGGCCAGGCAGTGTTCTTAGCACGACTGTATTCAGCTGGCAGACACGTGCACATGCTTTCCTTGTGGAATGGGATGGGGAGGGGCTCAGGCCAGGTACAATCCTTGTTCTGATCCTTGGGCTGATCTTTGCCCACAGGGAGCTCCAAGCTACTGGCTGTGCTCCTAAGACAGGACCACATGCAGCACGTTTGGGACAGTGGCCCTTAGCTTGAGTCAGGCACTGAGCACAGCATCTCGTAGCATCCTCATGACAACCTGCAAAGCAGGTGTCGTGCCTCTTGCTTCACAGGTAAGGATGCTAGGGCCAAGTGAGGTTGTCCAAGCTTCCACCGTGGAGCAGGGATGGCACTGGGATCTGAGCGAAGGCAGCTCCATGTGAGGCCATCCATGTTAATCCATTCAGTAATCATTTACTGGACGTAACATGTTCTGGGCGCAGGCTTTACTGGGAACATGGGGGTGAACAGGACAGACGTGGTCCCTGTGCTCGAGGACCTGACATTCGAATGTGGAGGGGACAGGTGGATAATTTACAAGGTATTTTAGGGCTCTGACGGCTATAAGCACAGAGACTGGGGTGCGGGGAGGGGGTCCATGCCCAGTCTGGAGGGAGAGATGTCCCAATTGCAGTCTGAAGGACAGTAGATGTCAGGTTGGGGGACAATAGCAGGAGTGTCCCAGGCACAGAGAACTGCGTGAACAAAGAGGAAGAGAATGGCTCTCTGGGGAAAGGGCAAGTTCTGGAAGGTGCCTGTGTGCAGTAAGGCGTGAGGAGGTGAGAGCCGAGGCTGAGAGGTAGGTAGGACCCAGATCCTGGGGGGCTTGGAAGCCATTGACCAGGCTCTGGAGGCAGGTTTCGCTGGGAGGTGTCCACAGCTGCCTCCTCTTCCCTGATCAGAGTCTCCCGGGGCATCTTATCAAAATGCACATTCCTGGGCCTAACTTGGACCTAATCAAACTCTGTGGCTGGGCCCAAGAGTCAGCAATGTTAAACACCCCGAAGGATTCTTGTGCCCACAGCTGTAGATGGTTGGCTTCACTGGAGAGTTTTCGGGCTGCTGTTTTCCTTCAGGATGCCCCCTCTGCCTGCAGCGTAGGTCCAGGCAGGGCTGGTGGCCAGATAGCAGTGGGGAGCTGCTGGGGTTGTAGTGAGGAAGAGGACTGGGAGGATGGGGGATTGATGGGATCAGGTCGGGGGTCAGGGAGGAGCCCCAGGTTCCAGCTTGGGCTCTGAGTGGATGGGGTCGAGGGAACAGGAGCAGAAGTGGGGAGCGGTTTGGGGCAAGGGGACTTGGCTTGAAACTGGATGGATTTGAGATGTCTGGGGTGGGACATCCAAGGGTCTCAGGTTTGGAGCTTGGGGAGATGTCTGGGCAGGAGAGAGAGAGTAGAAAGTCATCAGCAAGTTCAGGGGAATTTGGGGTCGCAGGAGGGAGTGGGTTAAATCCTCAGGGAGGAGGGAGGGGGGCCAATCGGAAGAACCTCAGAGAATGTCCTTGTTAGCGGGGAGCAGCTAGAGGGACAGGAGGGAGGGAAGGAAGGAAGGAGGAAACCTGGAAGATGAGGTCAGCCACGAGAGATAAGGGGTAAGAACATCCGGCAGACTTAGCGTTCCGGAGGTGGCCCTGGAGAGGACATCGTGACCCAGAGTGAAGGATCTGTCGCAGGAAAGAATGGAAGATAAGGACAGAGAGGTTGGTTGGGTGAGGTGTTGACCTCTAGGCCGAGCAGTTTGAACTTTATGCTGTGGCACTGGGCCCCAGCGAAGATTTTTGAGCAAGGCAGTGACATACAACAACAGAATAGTAATGATAGCTCTCTTCTTGATTGAACACTCAGAGTAGGTTGCACCCCGGGCTGCCTGATTACTCATTTAACCTTGAGCAGGACACCACAGGGCTCTTCTTTTGGACAGAGAAGAAACTTTCCCCAGTGCACAGAGCCAGCTAGTGCTAGAGCTGGGACTGGCATCCAAGGCTACCTGTTTGACTCCAAGCCCAGAGCGCTTTGTGGGTACAACATCGTGGGGCTTGAGGGAGGTGGTTTGGGTAGCCCCCTGTGGCTGGCCTGGGATGGAGAGAGGCAGGAGGTGGGGGAGGGTGGACTTGGGTGCAGGCAGGGGAGTGGAGGGGAAGGGGGGATTTGGGCAAAGGCGAAGAGGTGGGTGGGAGCCTTTGTTGGGGGTAGGGAGACTGATGGGCAGGGGCTTCTTTGCCTTGAGTCCCAGTGAAGCTGGAGGTGTCATAGCGGGGACCTAAGATAGGATGGGGGGCTGGGCGTGTCAGCTGTGGGACCCCTGACTGCTTTACTGCTAACCGGCCTGTGGCCCAGAGTCTCACCATCCTGACCTCCTGGTGCTTTCCAGCAGCCATGAGAGAGAGCTGTCATCCATCCTAGTGTGCAGAGGGGGAGACTGAGACTTGGGGAGGCCCTGGGACTTGCTGGGATCATGTGGCTGGTTGGTGGCAGAGCCATACCAGACTTGCCTGCTGGACCCCCGACCCTGTGCCTTTCACACGGCCTCTCAAGGTGCCCTGGGAAGGCGGTCATGCAGAACCAGTGCCTGAGACTGTCTTTCTAAGAGTGGGAGCAGGCCCATTTCCACCTCTCTTTCCCGTGAATTCCCAGCCGTGCCCCCTCCCTGTCCTGCTGCTCCCCTTTCCCCAGAGCATGGTCCTGGGCACTAGAGCTAAGGCACCTGTGAATTCAGAGGGTGGCCCTCAGGTCCTCAGACTGGCTGGGACCTGAGGGTCCCAAGTGTCGAAGGGTTGGAGGCCAGGGCTGTGGGTTGTGCTTGACCTGAGAAGATAAAGAAGCCGCCCTGATATAATTCCAGTCGGGGGAAGCCACGGCCTTGTCAGCTGGCCACATTTCTCCCCATCTCTGAGGGCCGGCCGTCGTCGTCTTTTTTTTTTTTTTTTTTTTTTTTTTTGAGACAGAGTCTTGCTCTGTCACCCAGGCTGGAGTGCAATGGCGCGATCTTCGCTCACTGCAACCTCTGCCTCCTGGGTTCAAGCGGTTCTCCTGCCTCAGCCTCCCAAGTAGCTGGGATTGCAGGTGCCTACCACCACGCTCAGCTAATCTTTGTATTTTTAGTAGAGACAGGGTTTCACCATGTTGGTCAGGCTGGTCTCGAACTCCTGACCTCAGGTTATCCACCTGCCTCAGCCTCCCAAAGTGCTGGGCTGACAGGCGCGAGCCACCCAAGGAGTGAGTGCTCTTTTTCCTTGCAGAGGGTGGAAGCCTTGTGTTCTCAGCCCAGGGTCCTGAACTCTCCTGCTCTGTCTGGGGAAGGGGAGGACCTGGGGGCGTCCCAGCCTCTCTCTCTCGGCCCCACCAGCTGCCACCCTGTTCCCCAGCAGCACCCCCAGGCCCACGTGGACATCTACGAGAAACAGCCTGTGCCCTTTGGCCTGGTGCGCTTTGGTGTGGCGCCTGATCACCCCGAGGTGAAGGTGGGTGTCTCTGGGCCTGGAGGCTGGGGTTTGGAGACTTTGGTCAAGATGAGGAGGGCAGGGAGGCTCCCTGGCTGGATGACAGGACTTCATGCCGTCTGTGCCCATGCCACCCAGCTTCCCTCCTGGGGACACAGAGTGGTGAGGGTGGTGCAGACTTGGTCCCTGGAGCTGCCTTACCCTCTAACCCCTCCCATTCCCGGGGGACCTGGCAGAATGTCATCAACACATTTACCCAGACGGCCCATTCTGGCCGCTGTGCCTTCTGGGGCAACGTGGAGGTGGGCAGGGACGTGACGGTGCCGGAGCTGCAGGAGGCCTACCACGCTGTGGTGCTGGTGAGTGCAGCTAGGCCCTGGCTTGGGGAGGCAGGGGCTGCAGAAGGAGGCCGGTGGCTCGGGGTGGAAGGCAGCAGGGGTGAGGCCAGGATGCAAGCTGCTGAGAAGCTGGAAGGAGGCCGCTGGGAGCCTGGGGGGCTGCCCGGCCTATCAGTGCTGGTGCTGAAGGCTGTGGGTCTCGGGCCTGCCATCTTTCATCAGAGCTACGGGGCAGAGGACCATCGGGCCCTGGAAATTCCTGGTGAGGAGCTGCCAGGTGTGTGCTCCGCCCGGGCCTTCGTGGGCTGGTACAACGGGCTTCCTGAGAACCAGGAGGTGAGTATGGGGAGCACGCCCGCTGCCTCTTCCTCCCCGCCCCTCAGCCCTTGGATGCCAGACCTGGGGGAAGAGGGAGCTGCCATCCAGTGGCGAGCTGTGACATTGTGCTGACTGAGGCGGGAGGCCAGCTGTGGAGGGCCTCGGGGGAGAGCTGGGTCCAGGTGGGGGAGGAGGGACCAGAGTTGTGGACTTTCCCGGTGTGGGGAAGCCCCAGGGCACAGTGGGGACCAGGCATGAGGCACCTGCAGACTGAGATGAACTGAGTGGAGCGAGGCTGGGGGACCCTATCAAGACCTTTCCCCTCCAGCTGGAGCCAGACCTGAGCTGTGACACAGCCGTGATTCTGGGGCAGGGGAACGTGGCTCTGGACGTGGCCCGCATCCTACTGACCCCACCTGAGCACCTGGAGGTGAGTGGTAGGTCAGGGCTGGCGGGGTTGGAGGTGGGGTCACCCTGAGGAGAGAGTGCCCTTGTCTGCAGGGTTCAGGCCTTACCTCTCCAAGCTGGGCTCAGTGCCTCTGTTTCCCCGTGGTGCCCAGGCAGAGGCTCTCTGAAGGGCAGTGCCATGAGCTTCCTCTTCTACCATTTTCCCTTCACTTTCTGCACTCCAGCTAAGTGGCGTTTTTCTCTTACTCTTCAGTAAGCCACATCCCCTGCTTGGATCATCCCCACTCACCTCCCACCAGTTAACAGTTAAAGTTCATCTTTGAGATCTTGGCTCGGTTGTCCCTTCCTCCAGGACTTCCCTGAATTGGTCCACTCCCCCATCGTGCCTCCTCCCATAGACCTGTCTACTTCTGTTTCACCGCATATCATCGCCACAGCAATTTTACACACATTGATGAGTATTTGATGAGTATTTCTCTCCCCAGCAGATCACAAGCTCTGAGAGGGCCTGCTCCTTGTCTCTTTTCCTCACCATTGACCACCCCGCCCCTCCAAGCTCTTTGCATGGGGGTGAGCACATGGTAGAGGCCCACTACATACTTGTTGAATGAAAGTGTGGGCCTGGTGTGCTATTAGTTGGAGCCATTTGCAGAGTTGGCAGCAATGCTCCATCTGGCCACCAGGGGGGAGCAGTGGCGCAATTTTGAGCCGCCAGCCTTCTCCAGGCCCACGGTGGGGACATGACCAAATGGAGAGTCCCCTTTCCTCGGTCAGTGTCTGATGACTCCAAGGCCCTCCTTTTGTGCCAGAGAACGGACATCACGAAGGCAGCCCTGGGTGTACTGAGGCAGAGTCGAGTGAAGACAGTGTGGCTAGTGGGCCGGCGTGGACCCCTGCAAGTGGCCTTCACCATTAAGGTGCTGGGGCCAGAGTGGGAGGAGCCAGGGTTCCAGGTGGAGGGGGCCTCTCCTTAAGGGGTTGGGGTGGGGCAGAGCCCCTGGGAGTAGCTGCTGCCTGGGATGGAAGAAGGGGAGCAGTCAGGGCCCCGGGGGCCCTGTGCCTTTGGGGAGGAGGCGGGTGGTGGTCTCTCCTGCCTGGGCTGGACCCTGGGGTGGGCTCAGGTGGACTGTGTTCTGGGCCTGACCTCCTCCCCCATTCCCTGCTCCCACCTTCAAGGAGCTTCGGGAGATGATTCAGTTACCGGGAGCCCGGCCCATTTTGGATCCTGTGGATTTCTTGGGTCTCCAGGACAAGATCAAGGGTGAGGGGCCCTGGCCTGGCCCCCCAACTACTAGGGAGAGGGTGGCCTAGGTCAGAGAGGGATTGGGGAAGGGCATGCAGGGAGAGGGCCGGGGCCCAGGGACAGCCTGGAGACATTCTACGTTGCTGACAGAGGTCCCCCGCCCGAGGAAGCGGCTGACGGAACTGCTGCTTCGAACGGCCACAGAGAAGCCAGGGCCGGCGGAAGCTGCCCGCCAGGCATCGGCCTCCCGTGCCTGGGGCCTCCGCTTTTTCCGAAGCCCCCAGCAGGTGCTGCCCTCACCAGATGGGCGGCGGGCAGCAGGTGTCCGCCTAGCAGTCACTAGACTGGAGGTGAGTCTCATGTTTCCCAAAGACACCCCCTTCCCAGGCCTCTGCCACCCGCCTGGTGTTGCCCACACTCTCCCCAACAGGGTGTCGATGAGGCCACCCGTGCAGTGCCCACGGGAGACATGGAAGACCTCCCTTGTGGGCTGGTGCTCAGCAGCATTGGGTATAAGAGCCGCCCTGTCGACCCAAGCGTGCCCTTTGACTCCAAGCTTGGGGTCATCCCCAATGTGGAGGGCCGGGTTATGGATGTGCCAGGTGAGAGGGTGTGAGGAGGCTGGGTGCTGAATTATGGTGAGAGGCCGAGAAGCTGGTATCTCCTGGGGCCATGCGTTCATTCATCTAGCAACATGTACTGAGAAGCTTCTGCAGGGCAGGCCCTCTCTAGGACCCAGTGCCGCCCTCCTCTTGGCCCTGAGAGAAGTTCCAGTCTGGCTAGGACATATGTGACATACGTCGGGTCATTAAGTCATTCAACAAACGTTTACTGAGGTCTTTTCTGGGTTAGGCCCTGTGCTTAGTGCTGGGATTGGAGATTAATAAGGCAGCCTGTGTCCTCAGGGAGCTTCCAGTTTTACTAAGTGCCCACATACCTATCTAGTGATTAATTCACTTGGTAAACATTTACCAAGGGCCTACTGAAACTGCAGGGGAGCAAGCCTCAGCTCCTAAGCTTAGGGATCCCCTCATCTACAGGGAAACTGAGGTGTAAGGGGGTCGGCCTGGTAAAAACAGGGAGAGAAGAATCCAGGGCAGTGGACCAGCGGCCACAGCAGGCTCAGCCGACAGTCTGCCAAGAGGCGTGGGGTGTCTGTGTGCGTGCACGTGGGTGTAGATTGTGGGCACAGGATGGCCAGGGTGGTATCCAGCCACCTCCCTCCCTTCCCCTTTTGTTACCCCCTCTCAGGCCTCTACTGCAGCGGCTGGGTGAAGAGAGGACCTACAGGTGTCATAGCCACAACCATGACTGACAGCTTCCTCACCGGCCAGATGCTGCTGCAGGACCTGAAGGCTGGGTTGCTCCCCTCTGGCCCCAGGCCTGGCTACGCAGCCATCCAGGCCCTGCTCAGCAGCCGAGGTCTGGGCCCCGATGCTGAGGTCCTGGGAGGTGGGGTGGGTGGTCCTTCTCTGGGCCTCACTCTTTGGGAGGGGGCTGTTCTGGGAGGGGTGAAGGAGGAGGTGTTGACAATCTCCCCTCTGCTTCAGGGGTCCGGCCAGTCTCTTTCTCAGACTGGGAGAAGCTGGATGCCGAGGAGGTGGCCCGGGGCCAGGGCACGGGGAAGCCCAGGGAGAAGCTGGTGGATCCTCAGGAGATGCTGCGCCTCCTGGGCCACTGAGCCCAGCCCCAGCCCCGGCCCCCAGCAGGGAAGGGATGAGTGTTGGGAGGGGAAGGGCTGGGTCCGTCTGAGTGGGACTTTGCACCTCTGCTGATCCCGGCCGGCCCTGGCTTGGAGGCTTGGCTGCTCTTCCAGCGTCTCTCCTCCCTCCTGGGGAAGGTCGCCCTTGCGCGCAAGGTTTTAGCTTTCAGCAACTGAGGTAACCTTAGGGACAGGTGGAGGTGTGGGCCGATCTAACCCCTTACCCATCTCTCTACTGCTGGACTGTGGAGGGTCACCAGGTTGGGAACATGCTGGAAATAAAACAGCTGCAACCAAGAGCCATGGTTGATGGGGGACTTTTTTTGGAAGGGTTGGGGTCGGGGGTCACCTTCTGGCCGTAGCTCCCCTACCATCACCAGGTGGCGCTGCAGAGACGGCTCCCTGCTCAGGGGCCTCATTGGGGGCTTGATGGGGCTCGGCAGCCAGGCCTGGCATAGCCACCCTTCCTTTCTCCGCTCGGCCCTGCTGTGGCTGCGGGTTGCCTGTCTTCTGTCCACACTAGGGCTGCCCGGGACCGGGACCGGGACCACCCCTCCCTGGGGAGCCCTCAGTACAATCAAAACAGAAAAGAAATGGGAGCGGGGGACTGAGAAGCAGCTTGTCCCCTGTACCTCTGGGTGCCCCAGGCGAGTCTAGCCTGGGGCCCATTCTTTGGCTCTCAAAGCCTTCCTGCTTCCGTTTCCAGTCAGACACACTGGCCTTTAAAAATAGTGCCTCAGTCTCCCTAGGGCTTTGCAGTGTCCAGAGAGTGGTCACTCCCTTTTATGGCAGCCCTCAAGATGCTGCCTCGCTGTATAACCTGAGGGGTCCTCGAAATTGGCCCAAGGTCACACACTCGTGAGCTGCGGGCTCAAACCCAGGCTCCGGGCAGGCTGGTGTGTCCTCCGAGGCGCACTTGCCCCGAGTGTCAGGTCTGGGGACGCGGTTCCGGAGAGGGGAGAGGGGCCCGGGAATGCGGCGGGAGGGGCCTCGAGGGGCAGCGGGCCGGGCCGGGCCGGGGCGGAGGTGGCGGGCCCCGGCGGGGCGGGCCCTCGCGGGCGGCGGTGAGAGCTCCCGCACAGTCGGCTGCGAGCTCTGGGAGCAGGAGGCGCGGTGCGCAGCCCAGCCCGGGACGGAGCCGGGCGCCGTGCGAGCTTCGGGAGGGTCGCGGGGCGCAGGGGCGGGTCGGGGCCAGCGGACCAGGCCGCGCCACCCGCCCCCGCCCCCGCCCCGCCGCGCCCGGGCTCCGGCGCCCGCGGAGCTGAGACTGAGCGCGCCAGCCCTCCGGGGCCGAGGCTCTGGGACAGACACCGCGAGGGAGGCGGCCGGCGCGGGCTCTCGTCGCGGGCGCAGCGCCCCTTCCCCTCGGTAAGTGGCGAGCGGCGGGCGAGGGGCACCAACTTCGCCGCCAACTTGGGGCTGGGTTCCCGCGGCGCGCGAGCAAGGACGGCGGAGACAGAGGCGGGACACCCGGGGGGTTGGACCCACGCAGGACTCTCGGGGCTCAAGGAGGGGGCGGCTGGAGGACCCGGACCCTCAAGAACCTGGCCTTGGGTTTTGACCCGGGCGGCCGGAGAGAAGGCGAAGAAGAGGCCGAGCAGACAGGCGCGCGGCGGACGCGAGAGAAGGACGCGGGCGAAGCGTCCAAGACGTTCGTCCCCAGGGTCGCCGAGCCCTCCTCCTCCTTCGCTTGGCGCGGCAGCACCGCGGGACCAGGGGAGTCTGGGCTGCCGCGGACCCAAACTGTTGCTGCTGGAAGCCGCCGGGGCGGAGAGCGGGGAACAGGGCCGGGAGTGGGGGCCGGGGCTGGGATCCACCAGAGCGAGGGGTTGGAAAGGAGTCGAGAAGGTGAAAGGGGGCTGTGCGGCTCCCCAGCCCAGTGCCCCAGTTTCCCTAGGTCTGCTGGGCACCTGCTGCGCACTCGCCTCGGCGCCCAGACCCCTTCCCCCGCCGCGAGTCCCGCTTCTTCCCCTTCCAGCTCTGCCCCATCTCCTTTGCCCCAGCCTAGCTCTCTCCTTCCTGCGACCTGGGAGAATCGGAGTGGGCTTCCAGAGTAGTGGCATCTTGCAGATGCTGGCCCGTGCCCGGCTCCCGGGCTTCCAGAGCGCAAAGGGAAGGGTAGGCAGAGAGGGCACTGGGCGAGCAAGACCTGGCGCTGGGCCCTGGCTGCGCACCAGCCGCCTGCGCCGGTCTCTGGGGGCTTCGCCCAGGATCCCCGACGGCGGGGAGGGGAAGCCCCGAGTCTCCTGTTTCCTGCCTACGCGGGCAGGGCGGGGACACGCGGAGCAAAGGCACCCGGCAACCTGAACCCCCAGGTGCGTCCCGCGACCCTGCAAGGAGCTGCTGGGTGAGCAAGACGGGAATTCCCGCCAGGCCCTGATGCCCACCCCATTCGTCCACTCGGTTTCCCAGCCCTGGTCGTCCAAGGGGACTTCTGGCTCGGTCCCCCAGCCCTCGGATGGTGGCGTTATCTTAGTTCAGTCCCTGACCCCGGGCCACAGGAAAATCGAGGAAAGACACTTATTTGGGGAGGGTACCATTCCGCTGGCTGTATTTCAGAGCCCGTCCAGGTCTTGGCGGTGCTAGTGACTTTGAGCCTGTTTCTAAACTCCCGAAGAATAAGAGCGTGCCAGGGGCAGGTAGGCAGGTCCGGGACACCTGGGTTCGCCCAGGGCCCCCGGGCGGGCCTGGGATGGTACTGGGGCCGCCTGCCAGGCTGGCTTGGTCCCCCCACTGCGGGACTCGGGGTCACGACCCAGCTTGGGGGAGTGGGGGTGGGGGCCCCGGAGCCGCGGACGCCGGCGGGGGGCAGCGTGGGGCGGGGGGCGCCGGGTGCGTGGTGCTCAGCTTGGCCGCCAGGAGGCGTGGCGCGGGTCCCCGCCCGGAGCCGCCGCCGCCGCCGCCGCCGCCGCATCGCGAGTGTCCTTGAGCCGCGGGTGACGGTGGCTCTCGCTGCTCGCGCCCCCTCCTCCCGCGGGGGGAGCCTGATGCCACGTTCCCTATGAATTATTTATCGCCGGCCTAAAAATACCCCGAACTTCACAGCCCGAGTGTAAGAGATTGCTGCGGAGGGGAGGGGGCGGGGCGTCCCGGTGGCCAGGGGGAGTCCGGGCGGGGTCCGCGGAGACGGGGGCCGTAGCCTTGGAGGAGCAAGAACTCCGTGCCCCCAGCAGTGGGGCAAGCTAGAACGGCGGTCCTCTCCCCTGGCGCCTGGGTTCGGGTTTTGGCTGGGCAAAAGGGAGGGAGGGAAACCCGACGGCAAAGGAGGGGCGGCTCACCGGAAGGGCAGGGGGTCCGGGGGTTCTGCTGGTGGGTGGGGAGGACTCCTGCGACAGAGTTTCCTAGCCTGGGAGAGGGAGAGCCATCGGTATCTCAGATGTGAGCGGGTATGAGTGCGGGAGTGTGCATGTGTGTGCAGGTCCGTGCCAGGGGGTCTGGCTGAGCTGTGAGGACCCGGGAAGGAGAAGGCCCCCAGCCTGGGAAGGTGCTCAGACCCTTCTAGATGCTGCTGTGTCCTGCAGGACTGACCACTGCCATCCTCTCTGGGGCTCTTTGGGGATCTCTGTGTTTGTCAAACATTAGTTTAAGGGCTGTTTGTGGAAGGGGTGAGACCCTGAGTGGGTGGGTGGGCAGAGGTCTCTGAGACAATGTGTCTGCCCTCAAGGAGCCCGCAGTCCAGTGTGGGGCAGGGTGTTAATGAGTGCACACACACCTGCCGCAGGGCAGAATGGAGGGGTGGAGGGGACCACTACACAGAGCTCCCCACCCAGGAGGGGAAGCCAGGGCAGGGGGAAGAAGGGCAGGTGCCCCAGCCTGGCCGCAGTCCCTGCGCCTAGAGCCTGAGGCATCAAGGCAGGTGCCTGTGGGAGAGGGATTTCAGCTGGGCCCTGAAGGAGAGTAGACTTCTGTTGGGATGAGGACATTCCAGCCTGGGGGATGCTGGAACGAGGCCTGGAGATGAGGGCAGAATGGGGCTGTTTGGCCAGCAGACTGGCAGAGCTGTGGGTTCCAGGGATGGGAGGACGGTTGGTTGCGGTCAGGGTGCAGAGGGCTCTGTCTATGGGACTAAGCTGTCTGGACTTCATTTGTGGGCACCAGGGTGTAGCTGTCCTGTGTGAGGAGGGAGCAGTGGCTGGAGGAAGGCTTCAGCAGTGCAGTGGGGCTGGCGGGGGTGGGTAGGTGGGAGGTGGGGAGGGGGAGGCAAGGGAGGAGATTGTGGCGGGGGAAAGTGGAGTTTGTCCCTCCTACCTCTGTAGGGTGGCTGGGTTAGACGGGGTGATGAGACAGAATTCGGAAGCTCCTTGAGTCTGCCCCTTGCTATTTGGAGCCCAGGGACTTACCTAGTTTTGGCCCCTGGCTCTGGAGGTATTCTGGGATCCCTCCCCCATTTTAGGCCCCTTGATTAGAGGTACAACCTGCCTCAACTCCCCCACCCCCCGACCCCCAACCCCCAACCCAGCAGGACACCTTCCCTTTGGAGAGAGTCTCTGGTGTCCCCAGCCCATGAGGATGTCTTCCTATTGGAGAGAGTGGGAATGAGAACATTTTCAGCTATTACCAGACCCTTATTCCTTCATGTGAATGAGCTCTAGGTCCTTGGCTAAGAAAAGGTCTTGACTGGGGAGGGTGGAAGCTTGAGGGGAGTAGGGAGTTGGAAAGAGAAATACATTTAGAAAAAGGAGGTTGGAGATGCTAATGGCAGACTGCTTATTCTGCCCCTTTGCAGTTGAGGGAGAGCCTGGGCCCTTCATCCAGGGTCACACTGTCCAAAGAAATAAAATGGGAGCCACAAGTACAATTTAAAATTTTCTAGTAACCACATTAAAACAAATAGAAACAGGTGACGTTAATTTTAATAGTATATTTTCTTTGACTAAACATACCCCAAATGTTATTATTTCAACATGTAATCAAGATACAAGTGTTTACGAGATTTTTTACATTCTTTTTCCCTGTTGTCTTCAATGTGCAGTGTGGCATGAAATTTTACACTGATAGCAAACTCCGTTTGGGTGAGAGATGTTTCTGGTACCCAATAGTCGTGTATGACTGGCGGCTCCTATACTGGGCAGCACAGATCTAGAGCTCATTACTGGGAGGCAGGGGTAGTAGGAGGTTTGGGGCTCCCCAGAGGGCAAGGAACCTCTAGGACCTGGAGGTGTGGGCAGAGGTGAGCAGACAGAGGCCGTGCAAGGGGAGCGACAAGCATGTCAGTGTCCTTTGTGGTTGAGATCTGACATCCCTGATTGGTGGTGGCAGCTGAGGCATGGCATGGCATGGCTAGGATCGATCCCTTGCCAGACTCAAACATGTCTCTGGGCTGTCAGTTCTGTCACTTCTGTCACTTCTGTGTCACTGTACTAGGGAACCGTACACATGGGAAGATTTCAAGGGCGCCACCATGAGAGCAATATTCCCTTCCTTGCCAAAACTCTTGTCTTCTTGGCCTGAAATTCTACCACCTGGCACTTTAGCTTAAGGCTCTGATTGTGGTTAAACTACATCTCTCTTGGGAATGAGAACCCTTTCAGCTATGATCAGTCCCTCATACCTTCCTGTGAATGAGCTCTAGATGCTTAGCTAAGAGAAGATCTTGACGGGGAGGCTGGGGAGTTTGAGGGAAGTAGGGAGAGAAGGTTGGAAAGAGAAATATATTTAGAAAAAAGGAGGTTGGAGGTGCTAACAGCAGCATGCTCATTCTGCAGATTTGACTCTAAGTTCCTGGAGGGCAGGGACCATGTCTCACCCATAGGGACATTCCACCATCCAGCGCCTGCTGCAGGGAAGGGGCTCAGCACACACGGGCCAATTGATGTTTCTACACTAAAGTTGGTTTAGTGGGTTCCCTGGAGGGATCCTTTCAGTGCCACCCTGGGGAGAAGAGGAACTTTCCTGAATGTTCCTGGTAGCCTCTTGCACTTCCCCGCTCTCTGGATTCCTTAGAGAGAACTAGAGATACAAGAAGGCCCATATGTCTGTAAGACATTAGGCTTTGGATTAAAAAAAAAGAGAGAGATAGCTGGGTGTGGTGGCTGACGCCTGTAATCCCAGCACTTTGGGAGGCCGAGGTGGGCAGATCATGAGGTCAGGAGATCGAGACCATCCTGGCTAACACGGTGAAACCCTATCTGTACTAAAAAATACAAAAAATTAGCCGGGCATGGTGGTGGGCGCCTGTAGTCCCAGCTACTTGGGAGGCCGAGGCAGGAGGATGGCATGAACCCGGGAGGTGGAGCTTGCAGTGAGCCGAGATCGCACCACTGCACTCCAGTCTGGGTGACAGAGCAAGACTCTGTCTCAAAAAAAAAAAAAAAGAGAGAGAGAGAAATTTGGTGGCAGGCAAAAGGAAGGCCCTGTGAGAAAGCTGGAGCCTGCCCAGCAGTTGTCTCGGGCCCCATCCCTGAAGGGCATCTGTCTTTCGGAGGCGTGGTTTCTGGCAACTGCTTGATTTTCGTGAGCATTTCTGTAGCAGAGATGTGCAGATCCTGGGGGAGGCGGGAGGGCTGGAGTGGCAGGCTCACCCTGTCCACCCTTTAGCTCTTCCCTGCTCAGAAGTTTTGCTGGGGATGTGATGAAGATGGGAGAGATGGCAGTGCCATGGCCGATGGCCAGCTGGGAGGGAGAGTGACATCCGTGGGCACCACTCCACTCAGGCTTTGTGTTACCCTCACTGCTGTGGCTCTTGGTCCCAATCCAAAATAATGACATTTAGCAAGGATACGTGTCAGGCCCCTGGGTTGGGTTCAAAAGATCCTGCACGCCAGTGATGGCCCGAGAGGCCAGCTCACCAGCTCATGTGTAACAAGACCAAACCCCAGCTCACCAGCTTGGGTTTTCCGGTACCCCTGAGCTCTGAACAAGTCAGTGCTGTTGCACCCTGCTGCGGAAGAGCTGCTACTAGCTGAGGCCACAGAAGGAAGGGCTGTAGTGACGTCCAGTGCCCAGGAGGAGGGGGCTCTGTGCCAGGCAGAACCATGCAGAGGAGGGCCCTTGGGGCTGGCCCCATGGCAAGCAGGGCACACTGACCAGTAGCACAGGCCCTGGTGAGAGACAGATGGAAGATCCGGTTTAGACTATGAGGAGGACTGGCCGGTGGGGGTGGGGGTTGGGGGTGATGCAAGAGCTGTCTTCCTTCACCTGGCTGGGGGCCTGTCACCTGCGGGATGAGGTCACTAATCCCAGCAAATAGCCTGTTAGCTCATCTAAGTCCTCACACTGCTGTGATTATTTCAGGCAAGAAAACATGGCTCAGAGAGGCTAAGTGACTTCCCTAAGATCACACAGCCAGTTAGTGGCAGAACTGGGACACGAACTCAGATCTGTCTGACTCAAATCCATGCACTTGAACCCCAGACTAGCATTTTCAGTATGACTTCCTAGGGCAGAACCCACTGGCTGAGTTTTGGAAGGCATCAGTAGACTGGAGGGCTGGGTCCCGGTCATGGCTCCTGTTCTTCCCCAGCCCTTGCTCTTCTGGGATGCCCTTGGGATGCTCAACTAACCTCTGTCTCTTTCTCTTTGTCCGTGTCTGTCTGTCTCCCTCTCTCTCCGCCTCTCTTCGGGGAGGGAGGTTTTCCCCTCTTCTCTTTCATCTTCCGTATGTGTGTCCCTCTGTCCCTCCTGTCTGTCCATCTGCCTCTCTCCAAACCTCTGTCTCTCTCCCTGTGCTTGTTCTGGTCTCTCCGCAGGACCCTCCGGTGGACATGGGTGGGGCCCTGGGGCCGGCCCTGTTGCTCACCTCGCTCTTCGGTGCCTGGGCAGGGCTGGGTCCGGGGCAGGGCGAGCAGGGCATGACGGTGGCCGTGGTGTTTAGCAGCTCAGGGCCGCCCCAGGCCCAGTTCCGTGCCCGCCTCACCCCCCAGAGCTTCCTGGACCTACCCCTGGAGATCCAGCCGCTCACAGTTGGGGTCAACACCACCAACCCCAGCAGCCTCCTCACCCAGATCTGCGGCCTCCTGGGTGCTGCCCACGTCCACGGCATTGTCTTTGAGGACAACGTGGACACCGAGGCGGTGGCCCAGATCCTTGACTTCATCTCCTCCCAGACCCATGTGCCCATCCTCAGCATCAGCGGAGGCTCTGCTGTGGTCCTCACCCCCAAGGTGCATGTCCAAACTCATGTCCCCTCGTGCCTCAGGCCTGGAACCAGGCTGGGGTCGGGGGTGCTTTGGTTCTGGGAAGCTGGGATTAGACGGGATGGGCAGGGAGGTGGGGGCTGAGGGCATGATGTGGGTGATGGGGAGATGGTTATGGGAATGACATCCCATGTTCTAGAGGAGAGATATTCTGGGCTGACCTCACATTGTGTCTGGATGAGGGGTGGGCAGGGTGCAGGCCCACCCTCTGGCTGTGGGGCTCAGGCCCCAGCCCTCCTCCTCTCTGCTTCCCTCAGCTTCCTAGGTCAGGGTGAAGACCCAGAGGGCCAGCCGGGCATGGAGGTGGTGCCATGCCCTCTGGGCAGTGGTAGTTGACCTGTAGGGTGAGCACCAGGGAACCCTGGGAGCCCTGGGGGAGGCAGAAACGGCCCTGCCCTTGCAGGGCTCAGGGGAGAACGTTCCAAACACACATTCATCAGCAGTTACAACTAGGACAAGCGTTCTGAAGGAAAGACACAGGATGCTGTGAGGGAGCTCACTCATGGCTCATGCATAGGGTGTTGGCCAGGGAAAGTCTCTGGAGAAATGATGTCTAGGCTGAGGGCCTAAGGGCGAGCCGGTGGGGAGGGGGAGAGGCCCAGGCAGAGAAGCAGGTGGGATGAAGGCCCCAAGGCGAGGAAGGAGCTCAGAGCTTTGGAGGAATAGAGGGAAAAGCCTGGAGAAGGAGGCGGGGGCCTGGCCACCTGGGAAGACATTTGGGCTTTTCCCTAAGCAAGTGAGCAGACAGGGCAGCGCAAGCCGGCTGTGACAGTGGCCGTGGTCTGTGCCTGCCTTAGCCCTGTGAGCTTCCTGGCCCTGCCCCTGTTGATCTAGCCACTCAGGGAAGAGCGGAGGAGAGTTGAGGGAAGAGACTGATCTGATTCGCCTTTGTTTCATTAATTTTTATATGAAGAATTTTGAGTATACATTAAAAAGTATAAGGAAGACTCATATATCCCCCATTCGCCCTGGCCATCCACCCCAGCCTCACCAGCACCCCCTTCCCCTTCTTCTGTGTTAATTTGAATCAAAGCCCAGGCATCCTCTTATTCCATCCATAAATATTTCAGTATGTATCCCTGGCAGATAAGGGCTTAAGAACGTAAAACCACCATACATTATCACGTCTAAAAAATAATAAAAACTCCTTCAAATATCCAGGCAGTGTTCAAATTTCCCCATTGTTTCATAACTGTCATAAGTGTTTATTTTGCAGCCTGTTTGCTCGAATTAAGAGCCAAATCGGGTCCACACGTGCCGGTTGGTTGGTGTGGCTTCTGAGTTTCTCTCAACCTCTGGGCCCCTCCTCTGTCTGTCTCTCTTTTTTCCTTGCAATTTGTTTATTGAAGAAACTGCGTTGCTTGGCCTCTGAATTTTCCCTTATTTGCTTTTTTAAAAGATTGGGACAGTGGCAGCAGTGAGACCAGTTACGAGGGGACTGCGCTGGCCCCGGTGCCAGCCGGCAGTGCCTTGGGTTTTTGTGGTGGCAGAGGGGTGGAGAGGAGGAGCTTTCCCACCCTCAGGGCTTCAACCAGGGTGGCGTTTCCCCGTCCTCTTGGGGCCCCGGCATAAGATCTCAGGACATTGGCTCTCAACCCTCATCGTGCTCTTAGGAAATACAGACGCCTGGCTTTGCACCTCTGGAATTCAGATTCAGTTGGTCTGGGGCAGCGCTTCTCAGTCTAGCGGGCTCAAGGATCGGCTGAAGAGCTTGTGAGAATACAGATGCCAGGCGGCATACCCAGCGACTCCGATCCAGTCGGTGTGGGGTGCGACCTGAGAATCTGCATTTCTGACAAACTCCCCAGTGGTGCTGATGCTGCGGGTCTGCGGGCCAGCGTGGTGGGCTGGGGGCCGGGCATGACCATGCTACTAGGCAGCGGGGAACCACATTGGGGCGGGAGGGAGGCGCAGGCCAGAGGGCTCCCGGAATGCGGAGCATCCGCCGGCGCAAGGGCGCCTGGGAGCTGATGGAGGGGCCGAGGTCGGGGAAGGGGCGGGAGGAGGGGCTCGGCCCTCCCGCCCCGCTCAGGCCCCGCCCGCCCCCAGGAGCCGGGCTCCGCCTTCCTGCAGCTGGGCGTGTCCCTGGAGCAGCAGCTGCAGGTGCTGTTCAAGGTGCTGGAAGAGTACGACTGGAGCGCCTTCGCCGTCATCACCAGCCTGCACCCGGGCCACGCGCTCTTCCTGGAGGGCGTGCGCGCCGTCGCCGACGCCAGCCACGTGAGTTGGCGGCTGCTGGACGTGGTCACGCTGGAGCTGGGCCCGGGAGGGCCGCGCGCGCGCACGCAGCGCCTGCTGCGCCAGCTCGACGCGCCCGTGTTTGTGGCCTACTGCTCGCGCGAGGAGGCCGAGGTGCTCTTCGCCGAGGCGGCGCAGGCCGGTCTGGTGGGGCCCGGCCACGTGTGGCTGGTGCCCAACCTGGCGCTGGGCAGCACCGATGCGCCCCCCGCCACCTTCCCCGTGGGCCTCATCAGCGTCGTCACCGAGAGCTGGCGCCTCAGCCTGCGCCAGAAGGTGCGCGACGGCGTGGCCATTCTGGCCCTGGGCGCCCACAGCTACTGGCGCCAGCATGGAACCCTGCCAGCCCCGGCCGGGGACTGCCGTGTTCACCCTGGGCCCGTCAGCCCTGCCCGGGAGGCCTTCTACAGGTGGGCACCTGCCCGGGGCATAGGGGTAGGGAGGTGGGGAGCGCTTCGGGGGAGCTGGCTGGCAGTGAGTTTGGGCTGGCCAGCCACACCTCCCACTAGCTGCGTGCCTGGGGCCACATTACCCCACCTGTCTGGGCCTTAGTGTCCTCATCTGAACAAACAGCAGGTGTCAGGGTGTGGCAAGGATCGTGGGGCCAATATAGGGAAGCACTTTGAACAATAAACACAATCAATGCCACCTGCTGTCGGTGGCGGCGGTGAGGCAGAGGCAGGGGGTGCCTGGTCCTTGGCAGGGCTGCAGGCATCTCTCCCCTCTGGCAGGCACCTACTGAATGTCACCTGGGAGGGCCGAGACTTCTCCTTCAGCCCTGGTGGGTACCTGGTCCAGCCCACCATGGTGGTGATCGCCCTCAACCGGCACCGCCTCTGGGAGATGGTGAGAAGGGGGTGAGCCCAGGGGCCCTCAGTGTCCTCTTATTTTGTCCCCGCCTCCTCTTGTGCCCACAGCTGAGCAGAGAGTCCCTCTGTCCCTTATCCAACCCCTCATCTTCCAGGTCTCAGCTGAAACAAACATCTCCTCCACTGGGAAGCCTCCAGGTGCCCCGGGGTGGGTGAGGTGCCCTGCTCTGGGCTCCCATAACACCCCGGCTTCCCTCTACTATAGAACATTTCAAGCGCTCCTATCTCCTGGTCCTGCCCCTGCAGGAGTAACCCATGACCATGCTGGCCAGACAGGCTTGTAAACAATATGCAGGGACAAGTGCTTGAGTAGACGTGTGCAAAAGATTGTGGGATTGGAGATGAGGAACAGGAATTAGTTCTGCCTTCAAAGGAGGAAACTGGGAAAGAGGTCCCAGAAGATGGGATATTTGAGCTGGGCTGTGGAGGTTTGAGTAGGAGCCCACCAGGAAGAGGTGCTAGCCTGGAAGAGACAGAGGGGCAGAAGGGTTTGGAGCATGAAGGGCCTTGAGTGCTCAGCTAAGGACGTTCTGTCAAAGTCAGGGGGGACCAGTACAGTGAGTGAGACAGGGTCAGGTCTGGGCTTTAGGAAGATGCTGTGGGTCAGTGTGGAGCTGTATGAACACAGGGACCCGAGGCTGGGGGAGGCTGTTGGGAGCAGCCCTACTCTGACCTGCCCCAGCATCCCTAGGTGAGAGAGGGAGATTCTTGGCCCTGGCAGGCTCCACCTAGAGGGTGGGGGCTGTAGGGCTGGAGGCCCCAGGCTGAGGCTGTCACCCTCCACAGGTGGGGCGCTGGGAGCATGGCGTCCTATACATGAAGTACCCCGTGTGGCCTCGCTACAGTGCCTCTCTGCAGCCTGTGGTGGACAGTCGGCACCTGACGGTGGCCACGCTGGAAGAGCGGCCCTTTGTCATCGTGGAGAGCCCTGACCCTGGCACAGGAGGCTGTGTCCCCAACACCGTGCCCTGCCGCAGGCAGAGCAACCACACCTTCAGGTCTGTGGAGGGCCCTGGGAGGCTAGTGTGAGCTGGGTGCTGCCGTGTGATGGTCAGGTGTCGTGTATGTCCCATGCTTGGGTGTGGGGCAGGGGTCCACGTGCCAGGCTGGAGGAGTGGCTGGGGCGGGGCTGGGCCACGACATACTCTGACTCCCGGTGGTCTCATGGCGGCATGGCTGCAGCAGCGGGGACGTGGCCCCCTACACCAAGCTCTGCTGTAAGGGATTCTGCATCGACATCCTCAAGAAGCTGGCCAGAGTGGTCAAATTCTCCTACGACCTGTACCTGGTGACCAACGGCAAGCATGGCAAGCGGGTGCGCGGCGTATGGAACGGCATGATTGGGGAGGTAGGCCCCACCCCACTCCCTCCTCACCTGCCCTGCCTGCCCACCTGCTGCCCAGGCCCCATGTGGCTCTCAGATGCCCTCTAGAGGGGGGCATGGGCTGTCACCAATGATGACTCCTGGGGTGGTCAGTACTGAAAGCTGAGCTCTGAGGGCCCCAGAGGGAATGATTGACTCAGCTGGTGGGTGCTAGAAGGGGTGTCTGGAGGTGCCTGTGCAGCGTGTCCACCCCACGGGAGCCCCTTTTTCAAACCTCCGTGGCGTCCGGCCCCCAGGTGTACTACAAGCGGGCAGACATGGCCATCGGCTCCCTCACCATCAATGAGGAACGCTCCGAGATCGTAGACTTCTCTGTACCCTTTGTGGAGACGGGCATCAGTGTGATGGTGGCTCGCAGCAATGGCACCGTCTCCCCCTCGGCCTTCTTGGGTGAGGCCCAGGGTGGGCAGAGACGGCTCCGGGGGCAGAGGGGCCCACGAGGAGGGTGTGTACAGCTTGGGTGGGGATGGGGAGTTGGGTGGGCTCTCACAGGCCAAGCACAGCAGCCTTGGGTCTTGGAGGTTGGCTGGAGGTGAGTGGAAAGGAGACAGGAGAAGTGAAGTCAGTGTTCGGTTCTAGGTATGGCTGCCAGGTGAGGGTGGGGTTGGGGGTGTGGGATGGGTCGTGGTGCCACTGTGAGTGGCAGGAAAATCCAGCAGGCAGGCTCGCCTCAGGATGGGCCATGGCCCAGGACTGTGGAACGAGTGGGGGAGGCCCGTGGGGAGTTGAGGAGCGAGTGTAGTGTGCGAAGAGGTGTGTTGCTTCCTGGGTGAGGAGTCCGGCATTGGTTGGGCAGCCAGGTCCCATGCTGGGTGCTGGGGCTACAGCGTAGTCTTTGCCTTCCCAAAGTTCCCTGTCAGAGGCCACGTGGGACATGAAGTGTGAGGTGGCAGAGAGCTGTGAAGACAGGCGAGGGGCAGGGGAAGAGCTGAGGCTGGCCAGACAGGAGTGGAAACCCCGGCTCTGCCCTGTCCTGCTGTGTGGCCTCGGGCAAGTCACAGAACCTCTCTGAGCAGGCTCCTCAGCCACGGAAGAGAGGAAAAAAAAAACCACTTCATAGCATAGCAAGTGCTCATGGCAGGATTGATTTCCCTCCCTCCCTCCCTCTCTCCTTCCCACTCTTCCTTTCTTCTTTCCTTCCTTTTTTTTTTTGAGACAGGGTGTTCCTCTGTCACCCAGGCTGGACTGCAGTGGTGCCATCTTGGCTCACTACAGCCTGGAAACTCCTGGGCTCAAGTGATCCTCCCACCTCAGCCTCTTGAGTAGCTGGGACCACAGGTGCATGCCGCCACACCTGGCTAATTTTTGTATTTTGTGTAGAGACAGGTTTTCACTATGTTGCCCAGGCTGGTCTCCAAACTCCTGGACTCAAGCAGTCCACCTGCCTCAGCCGCCCAAAATGCTGGGATTACAGGTGTGAGCTACTGCACCTGGCCAATAGTAGTGATTTCTTTTCTTTCCTTTTTTTTTGAGAATGAGTCTTGCTCTGTCATCCAGGCTGGAGTGCAGTGGTGCGCTCTCAGCTCACTGCAACTGCCGCCTCCTGGGTTCAACTGATTCTCTTGCCTCAGGCTCCTGAGTAGCTGGGACTACAGGCATGTGTCACCATGCCTGGCTAATTTTTGTATTTTTAGTAGAGACAGGGTTTCGCCATGTTGGCCAGGCTGGTCTCGAACGATCCGCCCGTCTCGTCCTCCCAAAGTGCTGGGATTACAGGCGAGAGCCACCAAGCCCAGCCAGCAGTAGTGATTTCTTACTCTAGGAGACAGAAACAGTCTTGTCTGAGGCCTGGGGTGGATGTCTCCAGTTCCCTGGGTGTGGGTTTCCATGTTGGTAGGATGAGGAGTAAGACTTGGCCTCAGGGGCTCTGATTCCAGGCAGAACCACCAGATCATCCACGTGGGGCCAGGCAGGGGTTGTGAAGTCAAAGGAACGTTTCTTGGGGTGGGTGACTTGTACCTGTCCCAGGGAAGTGGGGGGCGGGGGGAGACCAAGGATGCTGGAGAGCCTGACCTCTTTTGGGGGCCTCTCCTGGGGCTCTGCTGCTCTGAGTCAGAGGCCCCCTTGGCTGGGTCCGCAGAGCTGGTGGGCCCCTACTTTGATCACGTGGACCTACCTGTCTCCACCCAGTGCTTCTGGGCCTGGGGCAGGGAACATGCCGAGGCCTCTGAGCTGCCTCCCTCTGTCCCCAGAGCCATATAGCCCTGCAGTGTGGGTGATGATGTTTGTCATGTGCCTCACTGTGGTGGCCATCACCGTCTTCATGTTCGAGTACTTCAGCCCTGTCAGCTACAACCAGAACCTCACCAGAGGCAAGAGTAAGCCTTGCCTGGGCCCGGCAGGAGGGGTGGGCCTGGGCACCCTGAGGGCTGGGCTCAGGGGCAACGGGTCCTTCAGAGAATACCTTTGGGAGGTCCCTTGCTTTTGGATGGCACATGCTGGGGGCCAGTCAGATGACACACACACACAGAAACACACACGTGAGCTCACTTCACCTGGCGAGGGAATGGCCAGGACGCGTCCCCCCCAAGGCCAGGCTGAGACCGGAGCTGTGCAGTCGGGTGGGCTGAGCCCTGAGCCCTTTCATGGTGGGCAGGAGGAGCTCCAGCATCCCCCCGCCTCTTGCCCCCAGAGTCCGGGGGCCCAGCTTTCACTATCGGCAAGTCCGTGTGGCTGCTGTGGGCGCTGGTCTTCAACAACTCAGTGCCCATCGAGAACCCGCGGGGCACCACCAGCAAGATCATGGTTCTGGTCTGGGCCTTCTTTGCTGTCATCTTCCTCGCCAGCTACACGGCCAACCTGGCCGCCTTCATGATCCAAGAGCAATACATCGACACTGTGTCGGGCCTCAGTGACAAGAAGGTTGTGGGGCCATAGCTGCTGGGGGTGGGGGGGGGCACTGAGGGTGGGGACAGGCCGTGAGTGGGCAGGCCCTGGACAGTCGAGTCTGGGGAATTTGACCTGGAGGCTGGGGCAGGAAGAAGCTTCAGGGCCTGCTGAGAAGGGGTTGGGGGCTGGGGCAAGAGATGGCTCAGGGCCACCGGCTGAGAGGCCTTGGGTAAGTCTCTCCCTGTCTTGGGCCTCAGAGTCTCCATTTGGAAAACACAGGAGTGGCCTGGACAGCCTTTAAGACCTTCTGCTCTGACTATGCAAGTCCACACTGGGGCTGGGCTCTGGGGTGGGTTTGGGGCTTTGGTGCCTGGAAGGCTGGAGGAAGGGTTGTGACTGGCTGCTGCCCTCCGCCTGCAGTTTCAGCGGCCTCAAGATCAGTACCCACCTTTCCGCTTCGGCACGGTGCCCAACGGCAGCACGGAGCGGAACATCCGCAGTAACTACCGTGACATGCACACCCACATGGTCAAGTTCAACCAGCGCTCGGTGGAGGACGCGCTCACCAGCCTCAAGATGGGGTGGGTCCCCAGCCCTGCACCCGCTGTCTTCATCCGTGTGTCTCCCCAGTGACCAGCCTTAGCTCTCAATGTGGGGACAGTGGGACTGGGCTGTCCTGCAGGACTCCTGTGGGGTGGAGGGAAGAGGTCTTGGGGCAGAGTGGAGCTTGAGGCAAAAATGGAAGGCCACCATGTGTCTCAGAACACAGCTGTGGTGCCAATCAAAGTTCAGCCTCAGCCTGAGGTGGTGGTTGGGACCTTCTCTGAGTCTTAGGAGCACGGAGAGGGTGGGCAGAAAGGGTGGTGTGTCTTCTGGGAACAGACAGTCCCCTGGCCACTCTGCAGAGGAGGGTGGGAGGGGTCCTCACCCCATCCAGGACCCAAGAGAACCAGACAAGTCTCTGCCCATTGGTCCCTCCCGGGGGTGCCCAGCAGGCTCATGTGGTTTAGACCCCTGTCACGCCCCAGTTTCGGTGTCCCCTCCCCTCCCATATGGTCCCTAGCTCTGAGGCTCAGCCTGTCCCCAGGAAGCTGGATGCCTTCATCTATGATGCTGCTGTCCTCAACTACATGGCAGGCAAGGACGAGGGCTGCAAGCTGGTCACCATTGGGTCTGGCAAGGTCTTTGCTACCACTGGCTACGGCATCGCCATGCAGAAGGACTCCCACTGGAAGCGGGCCATAGACCTGGCGCTCTTGCAGTTCCTGGGGGACGGTGGGTACTGCCATTGCTGGGATGCCCAGGGTGGGCTGTGGAGCCCAAGGTTGTCAGCATTTCCACCACCACTCAAGTTCCCAAGGCCTGTGAGCAGGGAGAGGTCTCTGGGGGGTGAGAGGTTGGGGCAGCTGAGGTGGGCAGGTACTAGGAGCAACTGGAGAGAGACTTGAGGAAGGGATAGGTGTGCAGGGCGGGAGCAGGAACTGGGCTAGAGAGTCCCTGAAGGGCAGGAAGACAGGAAGGGGCTCAGGCCTCATGGTGGGGGTGGGGATGGGTGGAGTGGCTGAACTCCTTTCTTCTTCCCTAAGACCCCTCCCAAGATCTCTCCCAGATGAGCACCTCCTTTGCTCAGTATAGTATCTCCATGGCCATCTTGAGATTACGGATCTGCCCAGTCCCACATGTGTGAGTGGTCCAGCCCAGCCTGCCCCCAAACCCAGAGAGAGCTTTGTGTTTGGAGGAGTTCCATTCTTGTTAGATAAGACATGGTCTAGACTGGGTGTGGTGGCTCATGGCTATAACCCCAGCACTTTGGGAGGCTGAGGTGGGAGGATCACTTGAAGTCAAGAGTTTGAGACCAGCCTGGGCAACACAGCAAGATCCTGTCTCTATAAATAAAGTTTTTAAAAAATTAGCCAGGCATGGTGGCACACACCTATAATCCCAGCTACTTGGGAGGCTGAGGCAGGAGGATCCCTTGAGTCCAGGAGTTTGAGGCTGCAGTGAGCCATGATTGTGCCACTGCACTCCAGCCTGGGTGACAGAGTGAGACCCTGTCTCAAAAAAAAAAAAAAAAAAAAATCTGATTTCTCAAACCATATAATAATGAGAGCGGCCAGGTGAGGTGGCTCATACCTGTAATCCCAGCACTTTGGGAGGCCAAGGTGTGAGGATTGCTTAAGTCTAGGAGATCGGGATCAGCTTGGACAACATGGGGATACCCTATCTCTACAAAAGATACAAAAATTAGCCAGGTGTGGTGGTGTGCCTGTAGTCCCAGCTACTCAGGGGGCTGAGGTGGAAGGATCGCTTGAACCTAGGAGATCCAGGCTGCAGTGAGCCATGATCACACCACTGCACCCCAGCCTGGGTGACAGAGCACGACTGTCTCAATATAATAATAATAACAATAATAATAATAAGAGCAATCACAATGTGTGTCTCTTAGGAGCCTAGGCCTTTTGTCTCTGTGTGCCCAGCTCCGTGAGTGGCATGTAGATGGTTAATAAGTATATGAAGAGGAGTGAATGAATGAATGCTAACATTTACCCAATCACAAGCCTTTACTGGGGGTGCACAGGGGGAGGACCCAAAGGCCAGCATTGCCCACTCCAGCCTCCACCCTGCTTTCCTATTTCCTTGCTCACTGACCCTCCACTCCCCGCCCCACCATCCTGCTCCAGCCAGGCTGGATCCCCATGTGGTCTGCTTGAGGAAGAAGTGGGTGGCACCCTGCCCCAGATCCCTTCTTACTCCAGGTTTGTGGTGAGCTTTGTGAGGGGGTTGCTTATAGGGGGGTTTCCTGAGCCAGATGTGTACACCCCCCAACTCCAGGAGAGACACAGAAACTGGAGACAGTGTGGCTCTCAGGGATCTGCCAGAATGAGAAGAACGAGGTGATGAGCAGCAAGCTGGACATCGACAACATGGCAGGCGTCTTCTACATGCTGCTGGTGGCCATGGGGCTGGCCCTGCTGGTCTTCGCCTGGGAGCACCTGGTCTACTGGAAGCTGCGCCACTCGGTGCCCAACTCATCCCAGCTGGACTTCCTGCTGGCTTTCAGCAGGGTGGGTGCCCACCCCTCCCCACACAGGCCAAAGTTTTAAGGGCACCTACCCAGATAAGTCCGGGCTGGCCATGGCCCATTTCCAGAGGTAAAACCAAGGTTCTGGCCCGGCTCATGGCTCACACCTGTAATCTCAACACTTTGAGAGGCTTAGGCCAGTGGATCCCTTGAGTCCAGAAGTTTGAGACCAGCCTGGGCAACATGGCGAAAACCCATCTCTACAGAAAATAAAAGAATTAGCTGGGCGTGGTGGTGCGCGCCTGCAGTCCCAGCTACTCAGGAGGCTGAATTGGGAGGATCGCTTGAGCCAAGAAGGCAGAGGTTGCAGTGAGCCGAGATGGCACCACTGCACTCCAGCCTGGGCAGCAGAGTGAGATCCTGTTTCTAAAAAAAAAAAAAAAAGCCAACGTCCTGAGAAGTGGCATGGCTCACCAGGGTGGCAGGGTTGAAGAGGGTCAGAGTCCCCCCCACAGGTGTGCCCAGGTTGGAACCTTCATGTGCCAGGTGCTAGCTAGAGTGATTAGGAGAATGAGTCAACCTGGGCGCTCAGACCACTCATTCATCTGCAAAGCACAGTGCCTGGCGCATGGGAGATGCTTCACAGTTAGCTACTTCCTGAGACTTATAGAAGACTGATGATGCCTTGGGACCAGGCAGGGACAATCGTGGCGGGTCCCTGAGCGGAGGGCGCTGCTTACGGCCTGTCGTCTCCCTACTGCCCAGGGCATCTACAGCTGCTTCAGCGGGGTGCAGAGCCTCGCCAGCCCACCGCGGCAGGCCAGCCCGGACCTCACGGCCAGCTCGGCCCAGGCCAGCGTGCTCAAGATGCTGCAGGCAGCCCGCGACATGGTGACCACGGCGGGCGTAAGCAGCTCCCTGGACCGCGCCACTCGCACCATCGAGAATTGGGGTGGCGGCCGCCGTGCGCCCCCACCGTCCCCCTGCCCGACCCCGCGGTCTGGCCCCAGCCCATGCCTGCCCACCCCCGACCCGCCCCCAGAGCCGAGCCCCACGGGCTGGGGACCGCCAGACGGGGGTCGCGCGGCGCTTGTGCGCAGGGCTCCGCAGCCCCCGGGCCGCCCCCCGACGCCGGGGCCGCCCCTGTCCGACGTCTCCCGAGTGTCGCGCCGCCCAGCCTGGGAGGCGCGGTGGCCGGTGCGGACCGGGCACTGCGGGAGGCACCTCTCGGCCTCCGAGCGGCCCCTGTCGCCCGCGCGCTGTCACTACAGCTCCTTTCCTCGAGCCGACCGATCCGGCCGCCCCTTCCTCCCGCTCTTCCCGGAGCTGGAGGACCTGCCGCTGCTCGGTCCGGAGCAGCTGGCCCGGCGGGAGGCCCTGCTGCACGCGGCCTGGGCCCGGGGCTCGCGCCCGCGTCACGCTTCCCTGCCCAGCTCCGTGGCCGAGGCCTTCGCTCGGCCCAGCTCGCTGCCCGCTGGGTGCACCGGCCCCGCCTGCGCCCGCCCCGACGGCCACTCGGCCTGCAGGCGCTTGGCGCAGGCGCAGTCGATGTGCTTGCCGATCTACCGGGAGGCCTGCCAGGAGGGCGAGCAGGCAGGGGCCCCCGCCTGGCAGCACAGACAGCACGTCTGCCTGCACGCCCACGCCCACCTGCCATTTTGCTGGGGGGCTGTCTGTCCTCACCTTCCACCCTGTGCCAGCCACGGCTCCTGGCTCTCCGGGGCCTGGGGGCCTCTGGGGCACAGGGGCAGGACTCTGGGGCTGGGCACAGGCTACAGAGACAGTGGGGGACTGGACGAGATCAGCAGGGTAGCCCGTGGGACGCAAGGCTTCCCGGGACCCTGCACCTGGAGACGGATCTCCAGTCTGGAGTCAGAAGTGTGAGTTATCAGCCACTCAGGCTCCGAGCCAGCTGGATTCTCTGCCTGCCACTGTCAGGGTTAAGCGGCAGGCAGGATTGGGCTTTTCTGGCTTCTGCCATGAAATCCTGGCCATGGGACCCCAGTGACAGATGATGTCTTCCATGGTCATCAGTGACCTCAGTAGCCTCAAATCATGGTGAGGGCTGGGCTTTTGCTGTCCTCTTCTCACGCAGAGTTCTGCCAGGAGGGTGTGCTGTGGGGGTCAGACTCCTGAGGCTCTCCCTTCCCTGGGGCTAGCCAGTTACTGGTCATGGCTGCTGTGGGCATGGAGGCTGGAACTTGTGGTTGAGGCAGGGCCATCCCGATCCTTGCTCTACCTGGCTAGAGTTTCTTCTCATCAGAGCACTGGGACATTAAACCAACCTTTTACAACACACTGGTCCTGGCTGCTTCATTCTGCATTCTGGAAGGGGCACAGCACAGGCCATAGACAACAGGGCATCATGAGAGTATCCCAGGTGGGATGTTTGCCTAAAGCAGGTAGGCAGGTCCCTCTTGGGGAGGCGGAGCCTTGGGAGTGTCTGGGAGGGATGTGGGAAGGAGGTGAGGCTGAGAGGGGGCTCTGGGCAGCAGAAGCCACTTGGTATTCAGGGCCAGCTCCCACCCATCCTGGCACTGGATGTAACACGTGTGCTCAGCACGGGGGCTCTGGTGATGATGGATGGCGTTCATCCCTCAGTCTCCTTGAAAAGGGAGGCTTGTGCCAGGGGTAGTGGCTGTCCTGTCCTGCCCTGCCAGGGACGCCCTGGGGAGCCTGACAGTGCCATGGTGGCAGAGGCAGAGGCAGAGAAAGGTGTGGAGCTTGTAGGCTTGCTAAACCCTGGCTGGCCGCATTCTCTCCGTGGCTGACACACGAGGCTCGGAACTGCCTGGGCTCTGGAATCCTGGGGCAGGTGGCTGCCAGGGTCAGGCACAGCTTGGCCTCGCTGGTGCCAGGACTCCTGTGGTGGGAGAATCTGCCTGCGGTCTCATCCTCTTCTCCCTCTGGGGCTTCTAGCCCACTTCCTTTTTCTATCACACATCTTTGCCTCTGGCCCATCTGAAAAGATGGCTTGTGCTTACCATTTTCAATGTTTTCACATCTGCAATCACACTTATCCCCCCTACAATGACTGTGGAGCAAGCAGGCATTCCTTCTATCCGTTCCACAAACAGTGAGCACTATTGATTCTGTCAGACCCTTTTCTAACGGCTGAAGATGTAAAGGCCAAGCCCTGGCTGTCCTGACAAGTTGGGTGGAGGCAGGCCAGAGGCTAATTCCACGTGACAGAGAGGAAGCTGCGAGGGGCGGTGCTGGCTGTCTCTGCCAGTGCCCTCCCCCGTAGCTCCTTGCTGGTTCCCAGGAAGCCAGGCTGCCTCTTTAGTCTCTGAAGACCCCACTGTTTGGGTTGGGGCCATGAGAACTGGACTTTTTTTGGGTTAGTTTTAGGGGTGAAGGCAGCTGAAACGGTAGGGGGAGATACACCTCCATTCTTGGTAGGAGAGTACCCCAAGAGTGGGTGGCCCTGTCCACACAATTTCACGCTCTCTACCCTATGGGTTTTTATGGGCTGGATCCAGGTTCAGGACAGCAGGCTGGGAGTGTGTCTAGGTGAGTGCTGGAGGCCAGCACTCTGGAAGGGAGCTTGACCTTGGTTGCAGCCACTAGTAGTGAGAGGGTTAACTGTTGGCCACCAGCCCCTGGAACCGAGCCCCTCCTCCTCCCAGAGTCAGGGTCTGCCTTTGGCCCTGGGAGGAAGGCTGTGGCAGGTGAGGCATCCTGGAGGAGCTGTGAGGACAGGGCTGCTCTGCTCTCTGCCCAAGATCATTAATAACCAAGAACTGGAAAGATCATTAAGAGCTGAGCCTCCAATGTGAAGCCGAGCCTGCTGCTGGCTCTGAGGAGGGCCGCTCCTGCTCCTGGGCCAGGCACTGGCTGCCTTGTTCCTTCTCTAGGCATATATTTGTGGCCGGGGGGGGGGGGGGGGGGGCAGGAGGATATGAGTCCTGGGGGACAGGTAGCAGGAAGGCTGCATCCTGAGTTCAGAACTAGCTTGGCCTGGCTTCCTGCACCACCAAGGGAAGGAAAGAAAGCGTGGCAGGGGAGAGGAGAGAGAAGTAAGGCTATAGATGTGAAAGCATCATAAACAAGGGCCTGGCGACCCACATGCTCAAATACCATTGTTTTTCTTTGGGTGAGGTACAGAAAGAGGGAGGCCCTTGTGGCTGGCCTCAGAGCAGGAAAATCTTACTAACTGGGGTCCCTTCTGTTGCTGCTGTAGCTGTTTTTCCTTGTGTCTAGCTGAGCGGCTTGTGGTCCAAGCCAGCTTTCTGCAGGGAGCCAGGTGTGTGTGGGGGAGGAGGGCAGAGCTTGCAAAAGGGCAGGCTGATGTCTTCAGCCAGGACCCTCCAGCCTAGCCTGTCCTGCTCTTTGAAAGGGGAGGACTGTCCTCAAGTTTCCTAAGGGACTGGGGAACCAGAGTCAACCCCTATCCCCAAAGCCCTCTAGACTCCAGAGAATTCAGACCAATTTTCTGTTTCTGAATTGCAACCCGGCGACAACTCATTAGAAGGCTATGAAACCAGGTAGGTGTCTTGAGTCCTAATGAGTCAGGGGTCCCTGGCTACAAGTAGTTATGGCTGGTGAGTGATGTGGGAAACAGGTATCACTGAATAGCTTTATTGAGCATTTTGGGCTGGGCACTAAGCTCAGCACTTTAATCCCCACAACTGGCCAGTGACATAGCTGTTACCCCACTTTACAAATGAGGGAGGACAGGTCACGGAGGCTCGCTGCCTCAAATGGCAGGCCCGGCTGCCTGGTCCCAATGCAGAAAGTACCCAATGCCATGCCTGGCACATAATGACCCTCAGCGGAGGTTACCCCTCCAGTCTGCAATCAACACCATTGGCCCCAGGTGGAAGGGATCCCAAGCTCTCTCCAGCTTTCCAGTGGCCCTTAACCATGGGTCACCCTTGCTTGGGAATCTGCCCCCAGACAGGACGCTTCCACTTCCCCCAGGCCTGGCACTGCCAGCCACTGCCCCTCTGCAGTGGCTTTCCAGGAGCGGGGCAGCAGCCCCTGTCCTCCCCACCACTCTGACTCTGGCCTTTGCCTGTTGCCGAGGCTGCTCCCTGCCCCGTAGTGAGGACAGCTGTGTGGCTAGGGGCCCGTCATGGTGCCACTGCCCACCTCCACCACCCAGCAGTGCTTCCCAGTCTATCACCTGCCATCCGCCCCATCTATAAGCTGGCAGCTGCTGCTCTAGCCTCAGGTGAGGAACAGCCAGGAGCTGCTGGCATGAGGCTCTGGGGCTCAGGTGGGTCTGGTGCTTCTGTGGGGAGGGAGGCAAAGAAAGTTTACTCCCACCTTGACCTGGCCTGCACCGGGGGCATCTGGGGCCATGCAGGTGGCAGATGTTGGGTAGAGGCTGTTGAGTTTAAGCTTTCCTCCACAACGACACCTGCTCCTGGGCCAGGCTGGGCTGGCATCCTCTTCTGCTCTTCCCATCACTGACCCCGGGGGCCCATCTGCAAAATGGAAACCACAAGCTGAGCTTGCCTACTTTGCCAAGTTGATGATGGCTGCAGTGAAACGTGCCGGATGCACGTGGAGAGCCAGCATCACCTGGGGCTCTCTTGCTGTTGGGGTTCTCTGCCCCTGGCCCCAAGCCCCATTGGCCGTCAGCGGCAGAAGCCTGGCATCGATGGAGAGGAAGGTGACCTCATCTGACTTACAGCAGGAGGACACTGAGGAGCAAAGCAGCTAGACAACGGCAGTGGTGAGGGTCCCCACTTGGCATCAGCGATGTGGTCACTGCTGGCCAGTTCCCTCCAGGGCAGGGAACACGGCCACCGACTCCATGGCTGGGCGGTTCCAGACTGTCACATAAATCAACCTGGGCTTTATGAAGCTAATGAATTTGCGTCCAAGATTTGGTTTGGAGCCTCGGGTGGCAGGATGATTTAATTAGCTTTGTCTTTAAGCAAGAGGGAACGTAATTGGAGAAGGGTAGTTCCAGATGTTTTGAGTTTTCAGCCACAGTGGGGCAGCCAGGTCTTCCTTGCTCTTGGCCTGACCACTGCAGGCCCCTGCTCTACCCAACCTGAGAGGCCTCCTGGGAGGAAGTCGCAATGATAGATGGAGAAGGGGCATTTGTTTTTCCCGTGGATGGAAAGTGACACGTGGGGACAAGCTATGAGAAACACTGAGGTGCGACGGCACAGAGAAAGCGGGCTGAGGCCAATTACACCACGCAGGGACTCTCCCAGGCTTCAGCTGCCAGGGCAGAGGTGGCGCAGCCCGTGGGCTCCCCGAGTTCCCTGCAAATCCCACCCCTGACCCTGAGACCACCTTGGGCCCCGGGAGACCCTACATCGTCGCTCTGTCAGAGGTCTGAAGACGCTGAGATACAGGGGAGGGGCTGAGCAAGGCACTGAACTCAAAAGAGGGAGGGGTGGGGCCTGAGACCCACCCCAGAGAGGTAGCTCCAGGCCAGGGGCTCTGGGCTCCAGGACAGGTGGGGCCAGGCCCAGGGCTGGGGGCAAGCCAGTGAGGGTCAGGGGGACCCCCAGGTCCTGAAGCAGTAGAAGGCACGTTGAAAATGCAGAGTTCATTCGAGTCACCTGTGTTTCCCAGGAGGCCAGCCCAGCAAGTGCGTGCATGGCTGAGTGGGAGGTGGCTGGGGACCTGGCCTCCTTCCATGGGAATGGAAGTGGGGGCCCCATCCAACCCCACATTGCCCAAGGGATATAGCGTGAACACTGAGCACCCACGCTCAGCCCCTAAGGGAGCCGCTTTTAGTGTTGGAGTGGGAGCACGGGCAGCCTGACCATTGTCAGGGTGGGAACCTCAGAGCCCTCCCACTGCCATGTCACTGCCAAGCCGCTGAGGTGCCAGGTGGGGATGGCTTCCCTCTAGTAGGACCACCTGCACTGTAGGAGGCCCTGAGGGCTCCAGTGGGGCAGCGAGGGCAGCAGACGGTCCCTTTCAGAGACAAGCTCCAGACTTTAGGCCCAGCTGGCAGGCGGCTGTGTCCCTGTAGAAGGGATGCTCCATCCAGCCTGCTACTCCGGAGCTCGCGCCCACAGCGAGGGCCCTCGCAGCTCTATCTGGGGACTCTGGTACCAGTTAGCACTTCTTGTTCTTGTCATGGGGCCAGCCAGGCCCTCTCTGAGGTGGCACCTACCGCCTCCCAGGCCTGGTGGGAGGGTGGGCCCTGCCGTCACAGGCAGACCTGGCTAGGATACTTCCAGCCTGGGATTCGCCTCTGAAGAGGCAGCAGCTGCTAGTGGAGGTTTCTTAGACAAGGACGCAGGATGGGGCAGGAGAGGGGAGGGGCATGGGTCTGGGACAAATGATGGCAGTGCCAGCACTGCATCTCCCATTGTGCAGGGAGTAGCCCGCCCTGGAAGTAGGGTTGGGGGTGAAGCGTGTTGGAAGATGTGGGAGAGGTGTGATTCCAGTAATGAGTCTTAGAACTTGGGAGCAGCCACGCGTCACCCAGGCAGAAGGACCTGGTGGGAGAGCTGCCCGGGGGAGTGAGGACAGGTGCAGACTGGGTGGAAGGTGGGTGGGGAGAACAACCCCAGCTGGACAGGGGGTTTCCCCTAGAGCCACAGTCCCACCTGCCCCATGAAGACCTGGGAGCAACTAAATCTGGGCTCTGCGGGCGAGGGGTGGGGCTGGGGCCCCTATGCCTCCTGTCACTAGACCTGCCTGTCCTGCCATCAGAGCTTGGTCTCGCTGAGGATGATATTGGCCGTGACGAAAATGAAGCAGGAGAAAGCCCAGAGCAGCACGAAGCCCACCCAGAAGGTGTGGCGGAAAGGGGACCTGTGCTTGTTGCTGACCCCACAGCCAAAGGCCAGCTGGGTGTCCCTGCGGCAGTGGTACACCAGGAAGGCGGGGATGACGTACTGGATGCCGGTGCCCGCGTAGGCCCCTGTGATGCCCACCAGGGACTCCAGGTCGTGGGTGCAGAAGGCCACCAGCACAGGCGGCACCAGGGTGATGGTGGGAAACACGACGCGGTCCACCACCCACGGGTACGTGCCGCCCTCGCGGTGGAAGAGTGTCTTCCAGTTGTTGCGCAGGGTCACGGCAATGATGGGGAAGTTGGTGCTGATGGTGAAGACGGGGAAGAGGCCCAGGAAAAAGCGCACAGCGGCCAGGCCCACGACGTCACAGCGCGCGAAGTTGAGGGTGTACATGTCCATGAGGCTGTCGCCGCGGAAGCAGAAGATGGCGGTGAAGGAGAGGAGGCCGTAGAAGGCCAGGATCAGCACGTAGTCCAGGAACACCAGCCTTGTGAGGTGGCGCTTGGAGGAGACGGGGGTAATGAGGGATGGCAGAGAGTGCTGGCACATGAAGGAGTAGACGCACACCCCAAACAGGTTCCGGACCCCCGAGAAGTCAGCCAGGGGCGGGTGCCCCTCCCCTTGTCCGTGCCCGATGCGGATCAGGGCCAGCACAATCATGACGGCGAAAGCTGGGAAACGAGAGAGAGGAGTCACCTGGTGGGGACAGGCACGGCCCTACCTTGAGTTTCTGGTCTGGGGGGCGCCTTTGCGGGGACTAGAGCCCTGTGAGAAAGAGTCATTAAATGCATGTTCATGCAGCCCTGTTCTTGGGTGGCTCAACAGTGGCTGCTCATCAGAGGAAGGTCCCGCATCCCTCTCTGTCCTGTTCTCCCCTCTCCCTGCTGAGCAGGGGGCCTGGGTATGTGGGGACAGGGCTGCAGTGGGGCCAGTGGCAGGGTGGTCCGGCTTTGCAGAGGTAGCAACTCTGTCTTCTTAGAGGAGGGCCAGTCCTGGGCAGGCACTGCCTGGCTCCCTCATCAGACCCCCAGGGCTCTCAGGGGCTCTGCCAGCTTCCTCGCAGGGAGCAGGCTGGGTCAGGACACAGGGTCACCCTCTCTCCCTTGGTTTAAGGAATGTGAGGCTGGAGTGCTGGGGGGTAGACGAAGAAGGGCATGGAGTGTTTGGGAGGAGGTGTCCTCCTGGGCCGAGGGCATCTGCTAGACACAGCTGAGGCCGACAGGCAGGAGTGCTGGGAGCCCTGGGCAGACAGGTGAGTGCCTAGGGGCCAAGGGCAGGCAGGAAGTTGCCAGTGGTCACGCCAGGGCAGAAATAGCATCAAGGACCAAGGCTGCGGACTGCCGAGTCCTGAGCTGCTGACACCGAGGCTGGAGGCAGGTGGCATGTGGCTCTGTTTTCCTGGGCCTGGCAGCACAGCTAGGGGACAGGGGACCCTCTGTGGAAGTGGAAGGGGGCCTGTGGCCCCATCTGTTCAGAGCAAACAGCTTGCGTTGCTGATGGAGACCAGGCTGGCTTCAGTTCGCAGCCCTTTACGGTGACCCTCCTCCTGGGCTGCCACTGGAGACAGGCTCACAGCACGCCCTCCAGGCTGAGTTCCCCAGAGGCAGCCTGCGCACCGCAGGGACAAGGGGCTGTGTTCCCAGTGCTCTGAGGAGATGGCACTCTTAGATCTTTCTGTGTCTCCCGCTTCTGCTCTCCGGGCTACCCAGAACCGTGGTTAGCTACTCACACACGGAGACCACCAGTGTCCGTGTCTGTTCTGAAGCTGACCAAGCCCTGCTCTCTCTGTTCAGAACATATCTGACAGCCTCTCTAGCCTGTGCCCTCACCCCTCAGGTGAAGCCCACGGGGACACGTGACATTTCCTGGTGAGCAGCACAGGCAAGTGTGAAGGGGCAGTGGCCAAAGAGGCCAGCTCACAGCTCGGTGGCTCCTGTCTGGGGCCCCCCGCAGAGCCCCAGGGCTCTTTTGCAGGTGGGAGGCTGGGTATCCTATGGTCCCCTTTGGGCCAGGCCCACTCCCTGACTCCTGGAAGGAAGAGGTGGTTCTGATGGGACCCACAGGAAACCAGGCAATGTCTTCCCACAATGACACTGGGAGTGAGATGGAATCTTCATCTATTACTTTTAATCAGAACTGCCTGACACTGTCGGGGACAGGAGGGGAGGAGGGGAGCGTGGAAACCGGCCTGAGAAAATTGCCGGTAAAGAAGATGATTTGTTTCTGCCTCTCACCGCCCGCTCCAGTCCCCGCCACTCCTGACTCTGAGGGCCTGGGGACTCCTCCTCCCCCGACATCACAAATCGTCCCAACCCTGGTCAGTCAAGCGGAAGCGGCGACCTAGTTCCTCCTTCCAGTCTCAGCCCAGGGAGCTGCCTCCAGCTTCACCCACTGGGGGTGGATGGCACAGGACACCTGTGGGACAGCCCAGGACCCTGAGCAATCTGCTTGCCCCAGAGATTTCTGCGGGTGGGTAGAGGGGGGTGTGCACAGCTGTGCCTATGTGAGAGATCCACCCCACAGGAGTTGTGTCAGGGCAGGATGTGCAGGAGGGGTACCGGGGAGAGAGCAGACAGGCTGGAGGCGGAGTCCCTGTGAGCCAGAAAGGGCTACAGAGCAGAGCTGAGCAGGATGGGGTGGGGGTACAGAGGCCAGACTGGGCCCGGGGCACCTGGTGATTTGTTATTCAGGAGGCTGCAGCAGACTGTTCTGCCACCATAAGTGGGGCACAAGGGTCAGGGCAATGGGGGCAGCTGCTGTAGGGCAAGATTCAAATCCTGCACTGCCACTGCCATCTCGAGGTACCACCTTGAGACCTGGCACTTGGCCCTGCCCAAGGCTGGCATGAACTTAGAAAAAGGCAAGTGGAGAATTCCTCTAGCTGTCTGTCACTCGGCCCTGGGCCCTGGGTCTGGTGAGCAAGCAGGCAAGAAGGCAGGAAGAGGTCAGCTGTCTGGACGTGAGCATCCCTGCCACTGCTCTCTCCTGCCCTGGACACAGCTCGTGCTTCTCTGCTCCTCTAACTCCCCAGCCTCACATCTCCAAAGAAAGGCAGCTAGCTCTCCTTACAGCCCTGACTGTGGGATTTCCTCATGGTAAATAAACCAATTTATAAAGTAGGTTTCCAAAGAAATGAGACGGCTGTACACACACACATACACCCCTGAAACATACACCTTCTAACTGGCGTCCTCCAGAGCAGCTGTCTTGGGAAGAGGCACCTTTGACACCAACAATGATGTAGAACAACTTCTAGAACCTTCAGCTAGAACAAAGCCATGGCGGCTGGGCACAGTGGCTCACGCCTGTAATCCCAGCACCTTGGGAGGCCGAGGCAGGCAGATCACCTGAGGTCAGGAGTTTGAGACCAGCCTGGCAACATGGTGAAACCCTGTCTCTCCTAAAAATTAGCTGGGCTTGGTGACGCGCACCTGCAATCCCAGCTACTCGGGAGGCTGAGGCAGGAGAATCACTTGAACCTGGGAGGCAGAGGTTGCAGTGAGCTGAGATTGTGCCACTGCACTTCAGCCTGGGCAACAGGGCAAGACTCCACCATCAAAACAAACAAACAAACAAACAAGCCACGGATATGGGTGATTAAAAAAGGATTTCATGATCTTCTAGCCATAATTAGTTTCACCTCGTAATGCCACTACCTAGATTACCTAGATTAGTCACCCATTTCATTCTTTTGATTGTCTTAAACAAGTCTATTTGCAAAAACCAAGTCTACCTTCGTGGGCTGGATGTTTGCTGCCGCCTACGAGTCAGAAGCAGATGCTAGAAGCTCTTGGGAGGTGATTCCAGAGTGTTAGAAAGTGGGATAAACACCTGACGGGGCAGGCGCAGCTGCAGGGCCATGTGGGCTTTCGTGAACTCCCCTTGGTCACACCCTGCACTGCTGTCAAAAGCTCACCCAGCTGTGTGGCAGCTCGGCTGCATGGAGATGCCACCAGCTCTGGGGCTGAGCAGACCGAGTGTGCACCCAGCAGAGGTGGGTCATTCACCCATGAATCCTGACCTGCACTCAGGGCGCTCACACACCAGGAGGGGGAGAGGCCGCCATGGTGAGGAGCATATCCGGGAAGGACAGGTGGTTCTAGAAGAGCCACGCCCCCAAAACAGGGGTGAGGACCAGCTTCCCAGTGGAAATGGCCCCAGTTGAGGCAGAAGGTGAACCCAGCTACCTGGGGAGGGGGCAGGGCCCTCCAGTTCGGCACCACCATGAGGATATGAAGGCGGGTGCTGGGATCTGTCCCCTGGGAGTGGAGAGTGAAGGGAACTGTTCCAGCCTGGTCTCCAAACCAGCAAATTCAAAAGAAACTAGCACCATCTAGAAGCTCGTTTCCCTGGGAGATGGAGGAAAGGGAGGGAAGGGAGAAAAGGAAGGAAAGGAGGAAGGAAGGGAGGAAGGGAGGGACAGAGGGGAGGTCAGGGCCCTGACCTTGCAGAGTCCTGGGACCATGGCCCGAGGCTTAACCCCCACTGCCCACCTGGCGAGGCTCCTGTGGCCCCACCCCCTTGTCTGGCCCCTCCCTGCCTCCCCTGGCTGCGGGAGGAGCAAAGTTCAACAGCCATCTCCTAGATTGATCGCCACATCCCTGGGAGACAGCTGCTCCAAAAACTCATTAGGTCTGATCATAAATCAAGATGAAACGAGGATGACAGGTTATGGAGACCCTGCCAGGATGCGCGATGGGGAGCAGGGCTCCAAGAGCCACACCGACGCCCGGGGCTCAGCCACAGCCGCCAAGACAGCCTGCGCCCACCTCGTGGAGGCTGCGTGGGAAGCCAGACGGGTGTGGAGGCGGGACAGAGCAGAAAGTGCTCCCCAGACATGCTAAGGACCAGACACCCAGGACTTCACAGTCAGATGTGCAGGGGGGTCGGCCCCCAGCAGGGCCTGCAGTTCCCCAAGAGCCTATCACAGGCAGTGCCCAGAACATCCGCATCCACATCCACCCACAATTGCACACTGGGAGTCCCGCTCTGAGTGGTGGAGAGCAGCAGTGAGAAGCTGGGAGGAGGCAGAGGGGAGGACAGAGGAGGAGGCTGACACAGGTCACACGAGCGGCTGCTGGGCCTCGGAAGGCTCAGCTACAAAATGACAAGGGGAGGCAGAAGACTTCTCTCTTAATATCTGAGTAAAAGCCAACGCAAAAGCCACCGCATTTGTCTTGTGTCACCCATGGGCCCAACTGGACTGTTCATTCCTTCATTCAACAACAATGGACTGAGTTTCCCCTGGGTGCTGGGCACTATGCTGGCCATCTGGGGACAGCACACTGAGACAGGGGTCCTGTCCTTCTGGAGCCCAGAGTCCAGGGTACCAGAGTCCAGGTGGAAGGTACAGGGGACAAATTATAACCAAAGAACGGGCTGGTTATCAGGCACACTAGCTGTGGGGTACATGATGAGATCCCCGTCGCGGGAGGCGGCCAAGCCTGAGGGAAGGAGGCACGTGGTGGGGGTCCCAGAGGGGAAGCAGGTGTCAGACGGGACGTGGAGGACCTTTCGGAGCCGTTCCGACCCTATAGGTCTGTGGCTGCTGTGACTCCTCATGCTTTAGGAGCAGCTCAATGCGGGGTAGAGACGAGGAGGGGGGCCCCCGAGGACACCCATAGGCAGAGCCTCACTGAGGCCCCGCGAGGTCGCCTGCCAAGGCTGCTGGCTGCTCACAGGCTCATCCTGATAGTGGATCTCAGCTCCACACGCAGGCCTCGCCACACTGATTCACCTGGGCCACAGCCACTCCCCTCCCTCGCACACTGACACCTGGGGAGGGAGTGAGGAAGACAGAGCGAAGGCACAGGAAGTCATTGTCTTGGAGCTGAGATAAAACAGGCACGAGTCCTGAGCTGCCAGAGGCCAGTCAGAGAAGGTGCCTGCCTTCCCTTTCTGAGGAGGCTAGAAGTAAAATTTACACAAGGACTGAGCTGCCAGGAGGCACATCCAGTGTACGGGCATCTGGACAAGCCAAGGTTCTTGTTAATATCGGCTTTACCGCAACCTCAAGCGTGGCGGTCAGGGAGCAATTTCACATCAAGATATGTTCTTATAACATCCGAGTCCTCAGGCTCCTAAAGCAGTCAGAAGAGAAGCGAAGAGAAGCAGCCTTTCCCCAGACAGCCTCAGCCTGGCAACAGCCAGATAAGAAGTCCCTGCAGGCACTGCCTCCACATCTGTCCTCACGGCCTCTCTCCTTGGCAGGGAGGAGGACAGGTGAGCCCACCCACTCTGAACACCTGCCAAACGGCAAAGGTGGCGCTGGTTTATAAGGGGATGAAAGTCAACATCTCTCCCTCCCTTCCAGAATATCCCTGCCCTCCTGGAACCTCACCCTGGGGGCCTGGGGAAAGAAGGGGGCCTTATTGGAGGGATGAAGCCGTGACTGGGCCAAGCCCTTGTAGCAGCTGAAGGTGACTTGTTCTTGGGGCCAGATGGGGATGAGTAGGTGTCTGGAGTTGGGGCCCAGGGCCCTGATGCTCATGTTCGGGGAGTCCTACCAGCACCCCCAGCTCACCTCTCTTCGGTCTCTGTGGGCAGGGACAGAAAGATCAGAGTGGTCAGTAGCGAGCCCCTTCCTTCCAGCGCTGAACACACACCCTTGGGCATCAACATAAGGGCTGGCTGAGCTGCAGGTACGGAGAGGGACGAGCTCCTTCCAGGTCCTCCCAGGCAGTGCTGCCTTGGTCTCTGAGCCATGTGAGGCCTGGGCAGGACTCCGCCTTCCTTACAGAATGCTGGGGTCTGTGTGGGGCTGGAGAGAGTTGGGTGACCTTCCCAGGCACCACTGGAGTTGGGGCACAGGGGCCAGAGCTCTCCAGGCCTGGGCGGGGAGGGGTGGAGCAGAAAGAGCCATCCCAGGAGCCCCTACCTCCGCTCTGGGGGCACACATGAAGCTTTCCCCATGAGCATGCGATGCTGAGGCACTGAGTCCGTCTTGGTGGCTTTCCTGTTTTCCTCATCCCCATGACTGGCTCTGGAATTAAGCAAGGGCTACTTCTGGGCAGCCTGAATGCCGCCCACGCTCTCCCTGAAGGTGGCAACAAACCCATTGGGCTCTGACAGAGAAGCACCGAGAAGCATCTAGAGCCGTGCTGACCACCAGGGCCACACGAGGCCGAGGCTCCTGAGCACTGGAACATGGCTGGCTCAAACTGAAGTGTGCTCAGGTGTAAAACACACTGGATTTCAAAGACTTGGTGTGTGGCCCAGCACTGAGGTGGGCGGATTACTTGAGCCCAGGAGTTTGAGACCAGCCTGGCCAAAATGGCAAAACCCCGTCCTTACTAAAAATACAAAAATTAGCCGGACATGGTGGCGGGCGCCTGTAGTCCCAGCTACTAGGGAGGCTGAGGCAGGAGAATTGCTTGAACCCAGGAGGCAGAAGTTGCAGTGAGCTGAGATCGCGCCACTGCACTCCAGCCTGGGTGACAGAGCGAGACTCTGTCTCAAAAAAGAAAAAAAAGACTTAGCGTGGAAAAGGAACGTAAAGTATCCCACTTGTCATTTTTTTCATTACATGTTGAAAGATATTTTTGATATGTTAAGTATTTTATCAAAATGAACTGAATTTCAAGATGTCACTACTAAAAATTAAAAACTTCCCCAGGTGGCTGGCATTGTATTTCTATGGGTGTCTCAGTGGGGTTTCCTGTGCTGGGGGTCTATGGGCTGTGTGGATGTGTGCGTACCTGGGAAGCACCTGAGATGCTAAGGATTTGAAAGATTTCCCCCTCCTGCCACCAACCTTGGTCCAGGACTCCTCACTCTAACCCTGTCATCTGCCCTGATTTGCATGGGGACGCTGAAGACCTAGGGTGGAGCTGAGACGCTGCACCAATCCTTCTCGAAAAGCCCAAGGACAAATGGGCTCTGAGTACCCCCGGGCTGTGACCCCCAGGGCAGCCTGATCTGGTGAGGGAGGCACTGGCTGGGTCTGGGGTGCTATGGAACTGGCCTGTGGTCCTGGGCCACCATCAGAGGGACATCTCCATAAGGATGTGAGCTGGAACAGAGGCTCTTGGGAGCCATAGAGGGCCCTGCCCAACGGTCCCTGCCCAGAAGCCCCCTCCCCCAGCCCGCTCATCCCCTTCTACAGGGCCTGGAAGGGATGAGGAGTATGAGGACATGCATCCACTAGGGCCAGACCGCACGCGGCACACTCCTCCTCCCTAATCCCTTTGGGTGTCCGAGTTGTGCACACACACTCAGAGCCATGACCCTGAGGGCCAAGGGTGAAGGGTCTTCCTCCAGGCATGGGCCCCCAGGCCTTTTCCACACGCCAGTGCTGAGCTGTGCCTTGGCAGGGCTGCTTCCTGGAGAGCTGCTCCCACAACTCTCTGACCTCTGAACCTGGCTCCAGATGTCCCTGAGGTCAGGGCGCCCCAAGCCCCGTGCCATTCCCTGCTCCCCATGTGTGGCTCTGGCTCTGACACTGTGAGGTGGAGGCCATCCGTCACGGTGGCTGTCTGGGAGCGGCACTCTCTTTTCCAAGCAGAGAATCAACATGCCAGGGCTAATGATAACAAATGGCCGGCAGTGTGCCCATCACCAGCTCAGGCACCGGCACTCCAGGCGGGGAACAGGACTAGGGGAGGACTTGGCGCCAGCTCCCTCCTTCACCACCACTTAGCCCTTGGAAGGTGCCGGGCTGCAGGGCTCTCTTGGCTTTAGCTGGGCCTCGGAAGGGGTGGGTGCGTAATACCAGCCTGAGCAGAGAACCACTGGAGACCAGCCTCTTGGCCCTAAAACAGGGGGAGGTGATTGGGCATTTGTTCCTTAAATAATGGGACTGACCTCGGCAGAAGGAGACCCACATTTGCAGGCTGGAGGTGGAAGAAGAGCCCAAGGATCCTGCAGCCTAGAGGTGTGAGCGACACTAGGACACAGTCCTGGCTTGGAAACGGCCAAGTTACACTGGGCACAGCTCCTGAATCTGCCACTTAACTGTGTAATCTTGGGGCAAACTGTTTTATCACCTTTAAAAATGCAGATGCGGCCGGGCACGGTGGTTCATGCCTGTAATCCCACCACTTTGGGAGGCCGAGGTGGGTGGATCACTTGAGGTCAGGAGTTCGAGACCAGCCTGGCCAACATGGAGAAAACCCATCTCTACTAAAAATACAAAAATTAGCTGGGCGTGGTGGCCCATGCTTGTAATCCCAGCTACTTGGAAAGCTGAGGCAGGAGAATCACTTGAGCCTAGGAGGTGGAGGTTGGAGTGAGCCGAGATTGTGCTGCTGCACTCCAGTGTGGGCGACAGAGCGAGACTCTGTCTAAAAAAAAAAAAAAAAGGAGATGACTGTAGGGACGCTGAAGGGTTGGAGTGAGACAGGGCAGTGCCGTGCTGGTAAAACCTGGCTCACAGCAATCGCTCAGGAAGCTGCACATGCCTTCTATCATTGCAGAAACCCATTGCCCCTGCTGAAAGCCCAGTTCCCAGGCAAGCAGAAAAAACTGTGTCAGTGCTGAGTTCTCATCTAGCTCCCCTTGTGCTCCAACGAGGGGGACTGGATGATACTAGTGATCCTGCCTTCCTGGCCAGGTCAAGCTGCTGTCAGAACAGTTCCCAGGAACACCTTATCACTGGCCTCAGCAAACCTTTGGGGCTCTGGGGGTCAGGGATGGGGAGGAGGGCAAGTAGGACCCCAACAGGCTGCTCACCCCTGCTCTGCCAACCAGAGTGACCCTCAGTTCCTCCTCTTACGCCCCCGCCTACCCCCACCACCGCCAGCATCTTTTAAGGCCCCTCAAGGCCAGGCAATCCCCACTACCCCACCTCTGGGGCCTCCAGGTGTGTGCCCTCTCTGGGAGGGGCTAAAGGAGACAGGGTCTTTGGAGCCTGAGCTGGCCCATCCTTCCTGGGGTGGCACCTGCCTACACTTGGGCTGTGGTGTGGGTGAGGGCTCTGCCTGGGAGGAGCTCCCTTTGGGGACTACAGGAGGCCCCCACAGGGATGTGCCAGGCACCAAAAGCATCTTGGCCCTGGGTCTGGTTTTCATTCCAGACCTGTAGGGCATCCAGCATATGCCAGCTTTGCCTAGCAACTCACCCACCATGCACTTGGGTTTCTGCTGAAAGGAGGGAATCTAAAGCCAACTGATCTTCCCATGTGGGCCAGCTTCTGTGCTTTCTGGAGGATTCTAGCTTCGTTCACTCCTCACCCCGGGAGAAGAGGAGAGTGCTGAAACAAGCAGCTTTATAGGACGAGGTTCTATCCTGTGGCTAAATTATTTAGCCCAAAGGACTGAGAGCAGAGTCCCCCTCTCCCCAGGGTGGCAGGAGGTGGCAGCAGCCTGGTGAAGGGCAAGTGTCTGAGCCTCTGGAGCAATCAAGCCTTCCGTCAGAAATCACGGGCTCTGGCCTTTCATCCTTCCACTTCCCCACACCCTCGGAGCCTGGCAGGTGGCGCCTGGGAGGGCAGGGTCTCAATTTTTCATTCTTAAGTTGTCAGAGCAAGCTCAGTGTGCAATCATTGGGAAGGCAGGGCCTCTGGCTGCTGGCTGACTAATCTCCTTCCTGGAGATTGGAAACATAAAATTTCAGGCGCTGTCACCTTTCCTGCAGGCTGCTCAGCCCTTTCCTCTCCAGCAGCCAGCTAGATGCAGAGAGAGACGGGAAGGAGAGAGTGAGGAAGATGAAAGGTGGCACCGAGCAAGGATGGGTGGCCCCTCCTGGGTCTGAACGTAACTCTGGAGCTCCAGGGTTGCTGTGGGCCGTGGCAGCCCTGCAGATGTATATGACGGCCTGACTTGCTGCAAGGTTAAGACTCACCCTCCCACGTGAAGCCCAGTTCTGCACAGAGGCCATGACCATCACCATCGTCGGGTCAGACTCGACCCACAACCACGAGTGATCTGGGACTTAGTTTCCTTGCCTTGTCAGTGCCCGGACAGCTGGGCCACCGACCTCCTGGGCACTGCAGGAGTCTTTGTCTGGTAGCTGGATCTGCCCATCTCGGCCGTACACAGATCAGAGCTGATAACAAAGGCTGCTAGAGGAGAGGTACGGCTGCAAGGGCAACACCCTTTGCTCGGGCCAAGTGAACTCTCAGGTCAGTCCTGACTGATGCTAAGGAAGGGAGTCATTTGGCGGCACATGGCTGGCTGTTTGCCAGCAAGCGTTCATTACCTGCCCACTTTACCTTAAAACAGAAACACTGGGTTCCTCTCCTATAAATGGGCCTCTGTGCATTTGCAAAAAGAACTTCTAGAAAACCAAGAATAAAATTAAGACCAAAATGAAACATATACAAAAGGTTTTTCAAGATTCCCTCCACTGGGAGTGTAACCAGTCATGACTGGACACGGAACAGCCCAGGAGAGCCCTGGACAGTGGCCCAGTTGGAGGGTGGGCAGGGCTGCCGCAGAGACCTGGGCCGTGCAGGGCTGCTGACAGCAGGGTGGCGTGGTGCTGGCACATGAGGCTGTCTGGATGGAGGCACAGGGGGCATTTTGGGGGGTCCTTCTGGGACCTCTGAGAGGCACTAGTTGAGTGGTTGGAGGAATTCCAACACCAAGCTGGCAGCAGTGGGCACCAGATGGCCCAGACACGAGACCCCTGGCTGCCGGTGGTGATGGATCAGCGCAGTCCCACTGGGAGGCTGTCTGCAGGGATCAGTCATGGGTTTGGAGACAGGTAAACACCAGAAAGCCTCATGTCCCCAGGTGATGGCTTCCTCTTGGGGGCCTCACCTGCCACCACCACCATGTCCCACCTCTCCCTGTCGGCTTGGAAAACAAATCTGGGGCAGTTGCTGAGGGAGGTGGAGAGAGTGGGGCCGAGAACTTCATGAGGCAGGCTCAAGTTCATCCACAAACGCCTGAAGAGGACGGTGTCTGACCCACTTTGAGGGGAACACAGATGCAAAAAGAGCGTGTGCAGCGTCTGCTCCGCATACACAATCAGAGGGAAGGGAACCCTGCGGTCCTCGGCAGCCCAGGCCCGAGGAGGGCTGTGGCACTCCAGAGCAGCCTTTGTTAAAAAGAATCCGGATTTTAATAACCCCAAATGGGGCGCCCCGCACCAAGCCAGCTGTTCATGGGAGGCGCCTGCAGGCATCTGTCGGTGAAAGTTGGTAATGGGACTGAAGTAATGAAGCTGCCAATACTTCAGCCCGAGAGCTCCCTGCGGCGGGGCAGGGGCAGCCTCCCGCCATCGGCTTAGGTGCTCAGATTTGGGATCTGAAGTCCCTGCGCTGGGCCTGTGAGCACAAAGAACATCCTCTGTGCTGCGTCTCCCCTCAGCATCCCTGGTCTACCTGTGGCTGGCAGAGGCTAGAGCCCCTGCCCCTCTGTGAGATGAGCCTGCCTTTCATTCTCCCAGCTCAGAGCTTCCTCAAAGTGGGTGGGAGTAGATGCTGGGGGCGGCGGAGCAGAGAGGCCTCCTCTCCACGCACCACAGCTGGGATGTGGCAACAGAGAGGCTGCCCAGAGCAAACCTGGGTGCTCCTAGATCTCACCGTGACACCAGTGTGGACACCCAGGGCCTGCTCTCTTGAGGTAGCTGAGGTCATGTCCCCAGTCTCATGGCCAGCCCCCAGAGAGGCTCATCTTGAGGCCACTCTTGGGATGTGGCAGCTGACCAAGATGATGCTGAAGACGGTCATGCTCACCGTGGCCCCCTCTGCACACTGTGCAGGTGCTGCGCTAACAACACGGCCCCATTCAAGGCCTCGCTGCCACCGCACAGACAAGGAACTTGGCGGAGAAGCCTCGATCCAACTGTGCACCTTGGGAGTAAATGCCGCCTGTCCCACACGGGGGGAACAAGGCAAGGAGGTCCGGCGTGACCTCCAGTAGGTGCGCCACCTGGCACAGAGCAGCCACCGGAGACCTGATTGCTCAGGAATCTGCGGTGGCCACCTGGGGGTGAGCCAGCCATGTCTGCCAGGGCCTGAACAACAGCCTCACTGCTGGGGACAGCACACCAAGACCTTCCTTCCCCATGTGGATTCAGAGGTATCTGCCACCCAGGCATCCCACACTGACCAGCCCAGTCTCCCCAGAACTTATTTGGGGAGCACAAGAAATCAACAGACACTGTCACATGTCATCCATGCTTTGAGTTTTCCTGGACAAGTGGCTATTTACAAAGGCCATTTAACCCTTTCAGTGCCATTCTGGCAGAACGATGGGGCTTCCGAGGCTACTAAAGGGAATGAGGGCAGAGCAGAGGCCCTTGGAGGAGCTGGCCCGAAGGCTCCTCAGCACAGCTCCAGGGCCTGCAGTCTCCTCCGGCCTCATTTCAACAGATGGCAGAACTAATTCCTAATTAAGCCCAAGAAAGTTTCCGGCTCAGCACATTTATTTATGATTTTCCGGTCCCTTTGGTGCTTATTCTTCCCCTTTGTCTTCCTGGAACCCAAGCCAGCTTATTTCCAACCCCGAGCTCCCCACTTGGTTATTGGGAAAGCATGGCCTCATCTGGGGAGAGGGGAGAGGAAGGGGTGCGGCGCGAGTGTGGGAAGGAGGGTGGGGTGTGTGGGACTCGGTCACACAGCTGCTTTTAAGACAGAATGAAAAGGGAGTTTGTGGCGAACTGACAACTTGGCACAGACTTGAGAGGACAAATAGGCTTTTGAGGTCACTGCCTTTAGGGTGGTTCTCGAAAAACTGCCTGGGGTGAGCTTGGCCCAGAGGCGAGAAACCCTCGTGGGGTCCCTCCCCCAAAAGGGGCTGCCAGTTTTGTTTTGTTTGGTGGCTCCAGGGGGACCTCCATCCCCTTCGTCCCCTCCTGAGCCACGCTGCTGCCCGGGGCTGGGAGGGGGACACACCTTCCGCCAGCACTGGGAAGAAAAATACCCCGCTGGTTCCAGTGCTGGCTGCTGGGGAATGGAACCCTAGACCCAGCTGCGCTTCAGAGTTTACTTAACTGGGTAATTTTTCTTCTGGCGAGAGGGCTGTGCCACAGAAAGGTTTGCTTTTTAATCCCAGAGGTCTGAGTCTCTCATGGAGAAAAAATCACTGCCTTTGCTGTCGCCCCCAGCAGCATTCTGGAGAAAAGGTTCGCCTGAGAGGCTCCTGACATTTGATTATCTCTTGGATCAAAAGGAAAAGAGGCAGATGACTTGCTAAGACAACAATGTCACCACCAAAAAAACAAGTGCTGTCGACCTTCCCGAGCTGGTCTCCACCTCCGGCTCCTGATGCTGCCAAAAGCCTCTCTCGAGGCCACTGTCACCTGCTCCGCAGCACTGCAGGGCCCCGGGAGCCTCAGGGTGGGAGACCTGGGGGTGGGAAGGGGCTGGGGGAAACAGGAGTTGATTTTCTAAAGCCAAGTCTACGGTGAGCCTGACTCTGGGGAAGCAGGGTCTCCAACAGCAGAATGGCAAGGGGCCCGGGCTGTCCCCAGACGCCTTCCAGGACCCCGGGGCCCTGCTGGCCACAGAATTTGGCTTCTCCTCTGACTGATGCAGGGATACAGCTGGTCTCCTGCTCTGAGACAATCGCTCTTTATTTGCCCTCAGCCTCCTCTTCTCCTTTTTACAATCTTTTCCCTTTCAACAAATGTATTGCTCCCCAGACACGGGGAGGAATCTGTCACCCTAAACAAGTGCAGGGGTCTTCGGAAGCCATTAACTGTCACTATCCTGGGTGTCATCCCCATGCCGGCTAAAGCAGGAACGTCCCCCTCCACCTCTCCCCAGCCTGTTCCTGTCCTCCTGGATGAGGGGAAGGGACGGGAATCAGCTCAGCTTTCTCCATGCCAGTGCCCACGGGGCCCTTTCCCCCTCCCCAGTGCTGAGGGGCGGGTCAAGTGCAGCCAGTCCCACACAGGGTAGGGGCCAGACTTTGGGGCTACAGATGTGGCTGCAGGGAGCCACAGGAGCTGGAGCACCAGACTTAGGCCAGGAAGGCAAGGAGGGAGAACGGTTTTCTCTAAATCCTGCTTTACTGAGAAAACTCCTTCTTCTGAGACCACCAGGTCTTACCCACTCGGCCTTACCCAGAGCTCTCAAATACTTCATATAAGCAGAGAAATAGGAAGGGTGGACGGCTGAGCCCTGGTGTTTCTGATCCCTGCTGACTCTGACTTCTGGACACAATCCCTCCTGGCACCCAGGGAGGCTCCATTCTAAATCCATTCCTTGGAGCTGGTGGGATCCCCAGGTTCTAAGTAACAACTCCCATCTTCCCCCAGGTAGTCACGTTAATTTAACCTGGGGCTTTGGAACTTGTGAGTGCAATTTGGGAACGGCACTCACTGGTGAGTATGTGACCACACAGACTGAATGGGGCAGATGCAGACTTCCGCCCTGTCTAGGGATGGACAGGTGTCCTCCCGCTCCCTCGTGTCAGCTTGATGCCCAAGGACGGGCTAGGCCCAGATGATGTGCCCCTGTGGGGGCCTCACAACTCATCTCCATCCTGCTCTCATCTCCTTGCAAGGACAAACCAAGAGGGCAAAGAAGTTACAGGCTGGTGAGCATGGCTCAAGGCAAGGAAAAACTTTCCAGCACTGACATACAACCCCTCAGAGTGGAGTGGGAGCCTCATCCAGTCGTGAGCTCTGGGCCCCGGAGGCCACCCTGTCCCCTGTGCTGTACAGCCTGCTCCCAGAGGGGCGAGGCGGGGCTACCTGACTGCTGTGGCCCCTTCCAACTAAAGATGCCAAGACTGCCGTGTACAGAGGCTCCTTAGACTGACATCTCATAATCCTGAGACTGGGGAACCAGGGGAATTGCAGATGTCAAGCTGCTGGAAGTCATTTAGATCAGAAAGTGTCCTCGGCGACCATGACCCGCTGCTGAGTCCTGGCATGGAATCAGGATCAGCGTGCACCCCCAGAGTCTGGATGAGGGTAGAATGGGCGAGCACAGTGGGAAACGGGGCTGGGGAAGGTGGTCAGGAAGGAGGAGCCCCAGCCTTGGCTCCTCTAGAGCCAAGTGCTTCTGTGCTGAGAGGCAGGCAAGCTCCTGGAGCCTGGACACACCCACTCTGTCCAGGCCCCTCTCTCAGAACAGCAACAGCCTTCTTTGTTTTTAGATTGAGCAGAAGAGGGGTCCAACAGACGCCCAAAGCCGTGCTGGCCACAGAGGGCCCCACCCGCTCCTGTCCTCCGTCCAGGTGGATCGGCAGCTGGCCCTTTCCCAGAGGTGGCTGGCAGGATGGTGTGGCGGAAGTAGACCAGCCCCCAACCACCAACCTGTTTGGGGGAACAGACGCCCAGACCGCAGCTGAGGACAATGGCACTCATGCTCAGCACAGTGTCCGTTGGTTAGAAGATGCTGTGGAGGGAGTGTCTTTTCATGCCCTGGTGGCCAGAGACCCAGAGGCAGAGAGTGGCTGCTGCCATGGCCCGCTGGCTTTTATGGTTATGCCACATAGCACACTCATGAGAACGCAGAGCCGCGCCGCTCTCGTGCCCTGCAGGGCACAGCCCAACCCAGGCCTTTGGGAGCCCCCCTGCCAGCCTCTGGGTCAGTGGGCACCCAGCATGGTTGTATGAGAAAGAAGCTGGTCCTAGAATGAACAATCCTGGGCTCTAGCCCCAGCTCCATCCACACTATGTGACCTCGAAACAATCATCTTGTTTTGGTGTTAAATTTCCCCAGCAGTAAAAGGCAAGCTGAGTATTCAGCCCCCTCCTTATCCTTTGGAAAGGTGGGAGGACCAGACAGGCCTGAGTCAATGGAAACCACCACCACACTCCAGCTACGGCTGGGGGCCCTGCACGGCCTCTCATGAAAGGAGAGGGAAGGGACGAGAGGAGAAAGCGCAGAGACTCGAGCTGTTTCTCAGACTCACCGATCCATCTCATCAGAGAGGTCAGGATCTGCAGGTACTTGGTCTTCTGGACGTCAAAGAAGGTGAACGGTCCGAGGAGGAGAGTGAAGATCGCCTGGGGGATGGAAACAAGAGTGAGGAGGGTGCAGGCCGCACCAGCAGACTGTCTGCACACGGAAGACGCTGCTGCTCACGTGGCCTCCGCCCATAGCTAAGGCCGGGCCTGACTTGGGCACACCTGGACTGGCAGAGGCTCCCTGGGGTCACCTTGGGTAAGTGCCAGTGCCAGGGGTGGAACAAAAGCTCCAGAGCCATGCTTCCCTGCTGCTGCTCACATGTACTGTTCCGACAATGCTGAGCCTCCTAGGCAAGGCCCAGGTGTCATTCCAGGGACCCCATGCGTCCTGCTCTCTTCAGCAAACACAGATTGAAGATCCATGATGTGCCCACCCTCGAACTGCCCATGAGCATGGGCTAGAGACATAATGGCAAAAAGGATCCAAAAGAAGCACCAGCCATGTCTCTGACTCTTAGTTTACTGCGAAGAAAGGACACAGTGGGGAGGGACCCCAGGAGCCCTGACGAAGCCTCGCAGGAGAGGACACCTCTTCTGACGGGCTTGGAGAGGAGTGATCGGGATGTGCATGGGCCACGTTTTTGACTTCGAGAGGAGAAGCCTGGAGAACGAGAGCCCCTGGCTTCCAGGGCAGGCCCCTCGGAAGTACCCGGGATGACCAAGGAAAGGAGCTGCATCTAGGAAAACCAGGGCAAAGAAGTTCTGGGCTGAGGATGGGACCCAGGCAGAGAAGCGGGTGCTGGTCAGCATGGGTCCTCTCATTTCTCTTTGGAGAACAGGGGAAAGTGTTGACTCAAAAAACAAAAGTCAAACTCTGTCTCAGAAAACTGGTCTGTGGGAAATGGGAACCTTCTTTGCAAAGGAAAATGGGGGTAAATGTGACAGAGCAGAGACTGGAGTGTGGGGAAGGTTAGGATTTCCATGCCAAATTGGTTGCTCAGGGAGTAGAGGAATTAAGAGCTGCTCATTGCAGTTAAGATGATGGTACCATTTCCAATCTGCCACTCGGAAGCAGTGTGAGGCATCAGACCTTATTAACATTTACACAGTGCCATTTTATCACGTTAATGCTAATGACGCTCACCAGAGATGCGGCAGGCGGCTCGGAAGCCTGAACGAATGTGGGGAGCGGGCCCACTTGGGGAGTCGGGCTCTGGCCTGTCATCTGGGTGAATCCATCACAGCTGCTCAGCCCTCGGCCAGCCCCTGTGACTGACAGGTAGGAGCCCCGCAGAAGGAGGAGCTGAGCCTGTCCCGCCCCCCGCCCCCCACCTCTGGCCATAAGGAGGGCAGGATGTGGGAGAAGCTGTGACCTCTTATCCAAGTCCATTATCACTGTAAGGATGAGTGATGCGGAGGACTGAAGTGCCGCTTAAGGAAAGGCTCTAATTAGCTGGGCTAGAGAAGGCGACCTGGCAGCCACCAGGCATGGAGGGCTTTGGAAAGAGCAGCTTTCTGCTGGGGGCCTCAGAACTGGCCCTGCTTCCACTCAGGAGAGGGGAAAGAAGTCTTTCTTTCTATCAGGCTTGGGGGATGGGGCTGGGCAGGGGAAGGCAGAGGAAAGGGCTCTCCTTACAAAAGCAGTGGACAGCCTCCGCCGTCCCCTCAGCCCAGGGAGAGGAGCTGGGGACACGGTAGCGCATGCAGAACGTTGACTCTGGCGGAGCAGGTCTGTACGCAGCACCATCAGTAAGTCATTTAGGAAAATTACCACTTCAGGGAAACTTTCCACTGATGAATTTCTCTTTTGAAGGATGAAGAGGGAGATGTCAGGTAGAAGAATGCATAAACACAGAGCCACCTGCCACAAATGTTTCCAAGTAACTGTGGTCTGCTGGAAACTGGACTCCTGGTGTGCCCGGGTGTTTGGGTAGTTCGCCTCTGACTTCCCGCTGAAATTATGGTCCTCCAGCTGTGGGGGCTGGAGATCTTGGGGGTGGCTTATGTGGGAGGTCAGATCTCATCTCAGAGACCTAAAGACTGGTTTTTAGAAGGTTTTACACCATAAAAATAGACGGACAGCAGAACCACCCCCAGGGGCAGGCAGGGAATGCTCCTGCAGGCTGCCTGGGTCCTGTCCTCCAGGGGCCCTGTCCATCTCTGTTCCTGTCCTCGGCAGATGCTTGTCAAGATCCTAGGACACAGAAGGCTCCATTCTGTAAAACCCTGTATGGATGAATCCCAGCCCACTGACAGCATCCCTCTATTTAATCAGATGTACCTCTGAAAGGTATTGTAAGTGGTATGTGTGAGGTGCCACTTGAGTGACCAGGAATATGAATCTAGAGGAGTCGAAACGAGGGTTCATATCCGCTTAGTGTTCTCAGACCCAGTTCTGGGGACAGCAGGTCTGTACTCAGCATGGGAACTGGCAATGAAGGACTCTTCTGGAAGATCTGGCCAATGGCTGCAACGTCCATAGATGGATGATGGTTGGAATGTGGCTTCTTTTTCGTTTCATGCTCAGGAGTACAGACCGACCATAACGCTTGGGAAGGCTCAGGGCCCACTTAGTCACAGCAAACACGCACAGACTGCCAAACAGCAGCCCTTCCATAGGACTGCGAGCTCACACATCAGAGAGCACCCAGATGAAGACACAGACTGCGAGCTGGGGCTAATTAAGGAACAGGTGTCCTCTGCAAATTAGTTAGAGCCAGAACTCAGCAACTGCAGGAGCAGGCATCCGGAGTGACAAAGGATGAGGACAGAGGCAATGGCATGCGCTGCCACGCCACGGTGTGGCCGCTGAGGTCTTGGGGAGGGACGGGGGCGGGAGAAGGAACAGCCCCTGTCTCCAGATGGTCTAGCAGGGGCAGTGTCCATCTCTGAATGCTCAACAGCCAAGCGTGGCACTTTGTGTTTTCTTTCCTTTTTAAAAAAAGGAGAGATAAAAAGCCAAAAGAGACAGCCTACTCTCTTGGGTCTTCCAGTCTAGCCCATATGACATTATAAATTAGCTGGCTCCTGAGCAATTTTCCAACCCCCAAATGCCATTGATCAGTTCAAACTCAGTCTCTGCTCAAGGACTCTTGTAGCCCAACTCATTACAGGAGGCAGAGACACGAGTCGCTGCAGCCAAGCACATTTCTAAAAAAAAACAAAAAAAAACGAAAAAAGAAAACTCTGATTTCTAATAACATCTTCAAACTGGTCATGGGGAATAAAGTCCGGGACGGACCCAGGAGAGTACAAATGGGTCTGTTCAGATCCTCTTTCTTTTTGGGTCAGTGAGTTTAGATAACACCAGGGGCCCCACAGCAGCCTTGCTGAAGTCTTGATGGAGACAAGGAGGCTAACATTCCCAGGGCACTGCAGGCAATGCTCAGCCACAGCTCTTTTAGAACGTTCTGCAGTCTACAGCTCAACAGGGCTGCCTGTCCTCCTGTGTCCCTTACATGCGCTGCCCACCTCCAGTTGCCCAGGCTCCAGACTTCCAGCAATCTCTGACTCTTTCCTTGCTCTCTACATGAGGTTCCTGGGGCTGCTATCACAGATGACCACAAACTGGGGGGCTTCAAACCACAGATGTGTGTTCTCTCCCAGGCCAGAAGTGCCCTCTTGCAAGGCAAGGCTCCCAATAGCACCCCCAACAGGACAGAGCCCAGTCCTACGCATGCATTAAGGATGGGGCTGACAGGGAGGAGCCGTTTCTCTAGATGCCACCAGAAATGAGATTTAAGCACAGTAGGGAGTAAAGAGAGTGCCTAATCTCAAGCCCAGCCTTCTGTCCTCTGGACAGGAAGGAAATCTACTCTTCAGAATCAGTGACTCGAAGATGTGGGGAAGGGACCCTGCAGCCTCACGGGGGCCTGTTGTGGGCTGTGCCTGGAGATTTCCTGGACAGGACGTGGCTTTGCTGAGGACCCGGAAGTACTGACACTTGTGCCTGTTTGAGCAGCCTGGCATCTGGGTACCAAGGGCTCAGTCACTAACTGGAGCCTCCACTTTCCTCTTGGAGTGGTTTGGAACAGACTGAAGAGTCAGCTGCCCAGCCATGGAATGGGAGAAACAAATGCTGTGCTACTTCCGAGAATGGATCTTTAAACCAAGAACGCTCAACTCACGCCTGCTGAGGCTGTGCCGTGTCCACCACCTGCCTCCCTCCTCTCCAGTTCTAACCCTACAGCACATGGCACTTACAGAAGAAAGGCTCCGACTCTGCGTGCTTCTGTGTCATATGCAAAAGGAGCCCAGGACTGGCAATGTGTTATGTCCTTTAACCGCACCACGGAGCGTGTGAGTGAGGGCGTCAACATTAGAGCACAAAAGTAAAGCGGGTAGATACTTATCTCCCCATCCCCAAATTTCTCTGCACATTTAGCTGGTCAGAGAAACAAAATGAAATTTTAAACTTGGTGCCAATCTCAAATTAAATACCCTGTTTAACACCTTGTACAGTCTCCGGGTCCCACCCTCTGCCTGCAGATCTGTCACAGCCAATCCCAAGGCCGCATTGTCCCAGCCACTGGTCCTTTGATCCGCCCTGCCCTGTGCTATCAAAACTGCCCTGTGATAACATCACTGCCCAAGCTGCAGCCCCTCCACACTCTGCCAAGCGCTAACACACATGGTTTCATTTCATGCTCATGGCCCGCTGCAAGGTCACTGGTGCAGGTGACGATGCCCTCATCTTACTGATGAGGAAACTGGGGGGCTGGAGAGGTTCAGTGACACAGCCAGAAAGCGGCAGAGGGAGAAGGTCCCCCTCTCTGACACCCCGTCCTCAAATTTTCAACCTCATGCCTTCACCCTCCTGCTGGCAAAGAATCTTCCCCTGTGACCTTCTGAGCCCTGCTCAAGTGCCAATCTCCTCTACAAGTTATTTTAATCCTCCCTGGGGGCTCTTGACTGAATTACCAACACACAGTTGATACCACCTGACTTCATTCCAGTAGGCTCTGAACCGCTGCTTTCTCTTGGGTTGATTTTGTGTCCCCAGCAGAGTGTAACCCCCTTGAGGGCAAGGACTGCATCCTTGTTTGTCGCAGCACCTAGGAAGGCTCTCAAACGTGGGATGCTCACAAAAGCTTTGTAGGATGCACTGCATTTGGTGGGGGGAGTGCCTGCTAGAGTGGGTGAAGGGGCAGCCCCAGTCTTGCCAACCTGCCTTGTACACGTTTTCCATGCCTCCTGCGGGGGGCAGTGCCTGACTTGGCAAAGCCAGCAGCATGTGGGCAAGAGTCACCTGCTCTGCCTAAAAACAGCACATAGTCAGGGAATAACTCTTCCCAACGCAGCTGAGGAATTGACATGTTATGATTTTAGGAAACACACATCAAATCAAAACAGCATGGCTCTGAGTTTACCCACTGGCTTCAGGGAGAATGATATTCCTCCCTCCATGAAGAAGAGAGTGCACCCGGGAAGAGCCTGGGGTGCCCGACTCCCCACTATCACCAGCATCTCCAAGATCCCCACAGGAAGGGGGCCTGGGGTGCCCGGCTCCCCACCATCATCGGCATCTCCAAGATCCCCACAGGAAGGGGGCCTGGGGTGCCTGGCTCCCCAGCATCTCCAAGATCCCCACAGGAAGGGGGCCTGGGATGCCCGGCTTCCCGCCATCACCAGCATCTCCAAGGTCCCCACAAAGAAGGGGATCAGACTCTGGTGAACTGTGACCACTCTCAGTCTGCTTGGCTCCCAGAGGGGTGGTGTCTTAGAAGACATCTTCACCTAAAGTGAAGAAGCTCAAGGTCTTGAAAGGAGTGATCCTTTTCATCCCTACTTTCTGGAGACAGTGGAGTCAGTGTCCCTAATAGTCACCCACCGCCACCCACCAAAATGCTTACAAGACAAAACTAAAAACCCAAGTGCTGCTGGTCGTCATCCTTCCTCTGGCTGGAAGGAGACGGAGCGGACTGCAGCTTCCAACTGGAACTAAGACTTTGATGAAATTCAACAACACTCATAGTTCCATCTCAGTTCCCTCAAAAAAGGGGAAGGAAGACAGAGGGGCTACTTCCCTGGTAGAAAGGGGAGACAGGAGGCCAGGCATGGTGGCTCACACCTGTAATCCCAGCACTTTGGGAGGCCAAGGCGGGCAGATCACCTGAGGTCAGGAGTTCAAGACTAGCCTGGCCAACATGGCAAAACCCCGTCTCTACTAAAAATACAAAAATTAGCCAGGCGTGGTGGCGGGTGCCTGTAATCCCAGCTACTGAGGAGGCTGAGGCAGGAGAACGGCTTGAACCCGGGAGGCAGAGGTTGTAGTGAGGTTGTGGTAAGCTGAGATTGCGCCATTGCATTCCAGCCTGGGTGACAGAGCGAGACCCTGTCTCAAAAAAACAAAACAAAACAAAACAAAAAACCCACAAGAAAGGGGAGACAGGAGAATGAGGGGCTGAAGTGAGGGCTGCAACAAAGGACAAGTCCTAAGAACTTTCTGTGCAACTCCACGCCAAAACTAACCCATGGGACAAAGAGTGACACACAATTACCCTTTGCACCAAGTGACAGAGAAAACACTTGGAAGGGCAGCTGTCAGCTGACTGGTGATGCCCAGGGGAGGGTCCCTCCCAGCCCTGCCTCCTGACTGAGACTTGAAAAGCGGGCAATGTCCCATGGAGACAAATGCCAGTGGCCAAAGCGGCCAGCAGTGACCAGGGAAGCACGCAGGCGACGCTTTTGTTCTCATCCTGGAGTGGCAAGAAGGCTTGGAACTGAAGTGGGGCGGGGCAGGGGAGTGACACTGTGACCCGCTGGCTCCCATGAACACTACTGAGGCAGTGGACTGGTTGGTTACTATGTGGGCAGTTCTCTAAGTGTGTGCTTATTTCTTTCCCTCTAAAAATATGAAGCTTTTTTGGTTTTGGCTTCCACGCTGTAGTGAGATGGAGTTTCTAGAGCCAAGAATTCAGGCACCAGCAGCCTTCTCTTCACTCCAGCTGTCAGCTCCCGGAGTTTCAACACGGGAGGCCAGCAGGTCCACTCTGAGCCTTCTCACTCCAGGGCTGGGGGCTGATGGGGATTTCTCTGTTAAGGTAGCAGGGGTGACAGAGGCACTTCTCGTACAGCAGCAAGCCTTGAAAGGTTGAATAGGGCTACCTTAAACGCACAGAGACCTGTGGGAGCTGACCACGGAGCACTCGGGCTTGGAGTGAGGAGGGCGCAGGGGGGCTCATCTGGGTGGAGGCGGAGCGCACAAATCGCACAGCCGAGCTCCCTGATCCTGGAGGTTATTTCAAGCGATAAAAGAAAGGATCCCCCAGACTCCAGGGCTGCTCTTGGTGGGCACAAGGGGTTAAGAGTTAATTGGGGTTAATGGCAACTCAGCATGAGCCCGTCCCTAAATGGGAAGTGAACTTTCAACACGTCCTTGAAGTGTAGTGAAGAAACGTTCAAGGATTCTATTTTTATTTCTCAAGTGGCTGTGAACGTTTTGGTTTGGAAGTTTTTATTTTCTCAACTTGAATTACAGTATCTGGGGATTCACCCACACGAAGGTGAGTTCTGAGGCAGTGTGGGTCAGCTGAAGGACCACAGGCTTCAGGGTCACGTGGCTAGGGCAGGATTTGCATCCTGATGTCCCTTCTAACTGCGAGAGCTTTCAAGTTCCTGAACCCCTCAAAGCATGCTGCGTGTGCACAGAAGACACTCAACAGACATGAGCGTGGCTTCCTGACCCCCTGTGTCAGCACACACCAAGTCATCACTCCTGTCCAAACATCTCGGTGGGGGAACGCAGCACTCCTGAAGCCAAGCAAGGAGCTCCAACCAAAGAATGTTAAGTCAATGCTATTTTTTTTTTTTTGAGGCACTGTCACCCAGGCTGGAGTGCAGTGGTGCGATCATAGCTCACTGCAGCCCCGAACTCCTAGGCTCAAGCGATCTGCCCGCCTAAGCCTCCTGAGTAGCTACGACTACAAATGCATGCCACCACATTCTGCTAATTAATTATTATTATTATTATTTTTTTTGCAGAGATGGGGGTCTCACTATATTGTCCAGGCTGGTCTCAAACTCCTGGCCTCAAGTGATCCTCCTGCCTTGGCCTCCCAAAGTGCTAGGATTACAGGCGTGAGCCACCATGCCTAGCCCCAATACTATTCTTTTCTTTTTTCTTTTTTTGAGATAGTCTCACTCTGCTGCCCAGGCTAAAGTGCAGTGGTGTGATCTTGGCTCGCGGCAACCTCCACCTCCCAGGCTCAAGTGATTGTCCTGCCTCAGCCTCCCAGGTAGCTGGGGCTACAGGCATATGCCACCACGCTTTGCTAATTTTTGTATTTTTAGTAGAGATGAGATTTCACCATGTTGGCCAGGCTGGTCATGAACTCCTGACCTCAAGTGATCTGCCTGCCTTGGCCTCCCAAAATGCTGGAATTACAGGCCTGAGCCACCATGCCTGGCCAGCCTGGCCCCCAGTACTATTCTACTATTCTTATTTGACTTCCATGAGGTCCACCCAAGTTCAACTATGGTCCAAATGCATTTTTTTGTTTGTTTTTTTTTGGTTTCTTCAGACAAGGTCTCGCTCTGTTGCCCAGGCTGGAGTGCAGTAGTGTGATCATGATTCACTGCAGCCTTGACCTCCCAGGCTCAAGCAATCCTCCCACCTCAGCCTCTTGAATAGCTGAGACTACAGGCGTGTGCCACCACGCCTCGCTAATTTTTGTATTTTTTGTAGAGACAGGGTCTTACCATATTGCCCAGGCTGGTTTCAAACTCCTGAGCTCAAGCAATCTGCCTTCCTTGGCCTCCCAAAGTGCTAGGATTCCAGGCGTAAGCCACGGTGCCCAGCCCCAGTACTATTCTTATTTGACTTCCATGACCTCCACTCAAGTTCAACTACAGTACAAATGCTCTTTAAGACAGTCCAAGTTCTTCCCGACCAAACACAAAGGATCATTCACCATGCGGAAGACGTCTGCCAGAGAAAGAGAGCAGGAGCCGTGTCAGAAACCATGCCGGCAGCCTGTGTGCACCAAATCCCATGAACCACTGTCACAGCTTATTTGCCAAAACTCTGTGATGAGAGGCACCATGCCATCTAGAGGAGGTCGTCCGAATTCTGCGGATGATTGCACTTTCACAAGGAACTATATAAGGATGAGCTTCCTAAAATGTTCTCGACAGGGCAGAGGGTGAGCAGCGCCCCTCCTGAAGACCAGCCCAGGAATGGGCTGACCCAGAGACTGGGAGGGGATGGGATTTGTGCCAGGACAGGCTGTCGGGTTCTAGACACCAACGCAAGCATGACAGACAGTGCCAATCTTGCCCCCACCAATTCTCAAATACTGTGTACCTGGTGCAGAGTGAGAGATGAGGACAGGCGGAGGCTGGCTGCCTCCCTCAGTGCACGTCCCTCTCTGCAGCAGTGATTAGTGTTAGCCCAACACCTGCCATAACGCACTTTTTGAACAAGTTAGCATGGCCCTTTGTCCTTGGCTCCCCCTGATCTTCCCAAACCCCTCAACTAGAAGGTCCTTGGGAGATGCCTACTGAATAGACTCCAAGTTTGAAAGATTCACATGATGACCGAAGACAGAACTGACGGTTGATGCCTAGATGACTCTAAAGAAGTGGGTGCCCCCTGTGCATTAGAGGCCAGCTCTATGCACCTTGTCACTAGGTCACCATTATCTTCAGTAAAAAACCATGGCTGCTCACGCCAAGCTGGCAGCCTCGTTCTGAATGCGTGAGTGGAGAGACGGAAGATCTACAGCTCTTCTCAAAGACGGGAGGACACTGAGCCTCCAGGCAGAGGCAATCATGAGCCAAAAGTGAAGGTCCCAGCAGCGTGTTCCAAAGCGGCCACCAAGCTAGAAAGCAGAGGAAAGAAACCAAATCCTCGCAGCAGGAGCTCAGCAACCAGGGGCTGGTCGGGAGGAAAGACCCGTCCCTTCGCCCAGCTAGCGGAGATAAAGATGAACTCTGGGCACATTCTCGGTACAGGTACAGACTGGCCAACAGTGGGGCACCTGCGCTACCTCTGCTCAGATACTTGTGAAAATGTTATTCGACTCTGATGCTGGGGAACCTGGAAGAATGATTTCAGGGAGAAAGAAACCAGGGGAAAGGTGGATGGATGCTCTCTTTTATGCAACGTTGCCCCCTTGGACCTGGGGGGCCAGGGCTCTCAAGCAGCCCTGGTCCACCGCCTGCCTGAGCTATTGCAGGTCCAGAACACCACCTCCCAGGATGCGATGTTAGCCTGTGGCTGGGAAAGAGGCGGCATGAAGGGGCTGCGTGAGAGCTTCCCGCACAGAACCGAAGCAGCACCCGCTCCAGGAGTCTGGCCATCCCATGGCAGCTGTGACGCAGGCTGCATGGGACGAGAGCTGCCTGGACTCCCCTGTGCGGGCTCCGAGAAAGACAGGGAGAGCTGGACAGCACGGGAGGGACAGTCCAGAGCCACTGTGGCACCGCTCACGACTCCTGAGGAGCCTGGGGGAGGCTGCTCTGAGGCTCAGCCCTGTCAGTGAGGAGACAACCAGAGGCGTCTGGAAGGCAGTTCTTGGGTTTGCTGTTACTCCCCAAACACTGGCTGAAGGACCGTCTTTGAATGTTTGACAGCCGAAAACCTCCCCAGGTCCCTTCCTCAAACCTCTGCTTCCCCCTTTTCAAGGCAAGTGGAAACAGAGCCAAGAAAAACCCATATACTTCCTTTTCTGAACCACCTCCTCTGAATACCCCGTACCCCTACGTAAATGACATGCTCAATTTCTTAGTTAGGGACCTGAGGTTTGTAACCTATCTTTACCGGAGCTCTGGGAGGCAACAAAATGAGCATCTTCTCCCTAACCCCTTGATGGTGAAAAAGGAACGTCAGAAACTTCCTATCAGGCAGAGTGCGGCTCATAGGAGCCCGTGCGTGGGAGGCATGTGGGGGAAGGTGCCACCTGGGAGGGAACCTAATGCCATGACCCACTGGGGGCTCCTGCAGCACCGGATGCGCAGCCTGGCTTTGACCTGCCAGAAAACTGTCCATGCACTGTGGCCGCTGCAGGAGGGAGCCTGTGTCTGCCCAGAACACACGCTGTGGCCCCCAGGCAGCAAACTCCACCCACCTTTGGAACCAGGATGAGTCCACACACCTGGTAATACCCCGCCTGTTGTCTCCAAGCTTCTAGCTGGGAGCTGGTATTAAGCTCACACTGAGGGGATGCTGGTGGCAAGAGCTCAGCCCCTGAACATGACACCCTTCTCTACCTGGAGCCCTTCCCAAGCTCTCCAAGCTTCCCGAGACACCTGAGACTGATGTCTGTCATTCCAGAGAAGGCTCTGCCCCGGGGCAGGGAAGACGAGGCTCAGAACCAGCAAGTGGACTGGCACTGCCAGGCACTACCAGAGTGCCCAGGCAGGATGGCATCTTCCAAGGAGAGCTCCTCCCTGCAGACACCTGCACCTTGGTGACTGTCTCCACTTGGTAGGAAACAGGTTGAGAGGGATTCATTTGTCCCAAACCTCACACTGCTTAGATGTGGCAGGGATTCGAAACAGGTCATCTTCAGTCAAAGCCCAGTCCCTCTTTAGAGCACCCAGTTCCTCTTTAGAGCACTCAACTGTCTCCTTTGCTTACATCCTGATGGAAGGGCTGTCTCCTCTGCCATCCACTCTGTGGCCCCCTCAAGGCTGGCGCCTTCAGGGCAGGACTGGGCTGGCCCAGTGGCCTTGGCCTGGCCTCTCATTGGAGGACAAGCTGCCTGCCTGTGTGGGCTCTTTCTCGGCTGAAAAGCCAGATGGTACCCGATGGTGGGCAGAGTTCCAAGTATTTGATGCCAGAGCTGCAACCCTTGTGGTTTAGGGGGAAGGGGAAGATAAATATTGTGGAAAACCCACACAGTCATTTGCCTAATGATTATGAGCCATCAGGGTTTATAGAGGACAGCCCGGCTCTTCACAAGCCTGACGGAGGACCACGGAATCTAGCACCTGCACATCCAGGTGAAAAGACCATGGGTTCTGACCTTGACCTAGGAGAGCTTTACGGATGTTACGTGAGGAGCTGGGGTGGGGCAGAGGGCATGTGTGCGCAAAGCTGTGGGACGTGAGGAACAGACCTGTCTGTGGAGCTGGCGCCTACTCTAATCCGTCACTGTCCGAATTTCAGATGCAAATTGGTGGTGCTGGAGAAAGAGACGGGTGACGAGCTGTCTGTGACTTCACGGCAGTGGACGGATTCCAGCTGCTCCCTTCTACTTCTGCCCCCCAAAGACAGAAGTGCTCTGGCACTTGCGGAGGGGAAGCTTGTCCTGGCAGCGAGGACCAGAGGATGACCCGCCCACTGGGAAAGGAGGGGCTGGCTGTGCATGGAGTCTGTCTTGCAGAAGCAGCAGCCACTAGCTGTGGTGGGCTCTGGCCATCAGCAGGCTAAGGCCCAGGGGAGGGTTGTGTGCCAAAGCCCCGCCACAGGCCCAGCAGTGGCGTCCACCTGTAAGCAGTTTCCCTCATTGCAACCTTCAGGGAGCAACCACGCTGCGATGGGCCATGCTGGCTCTAGACGGAAAGGTGAACGAGACGCAGCCCGTGCCCTGAAGGAGCTCACAATGAGGTCAAGGAACGGAATAATCATAAAAGCCCAATTAATGCCATGGCAGGGGGTGAGGGAAGAGGGGTCCTGAGCTCAGTGTGGACTAGACGAACGCTCCTCTGACTCCAAAGCAAGGCACAGGCACGTGGTGGGCCAGGCCGTGACAGCACTCGACGTCTGGGGATGACACTGGCGGGGTGGGGTGGGGGGGTGTCTGGGGGAGAGAGAAGGCTCCAGGAGACTGGGGCAGACCATGCCACGTGAGGGAGTTTAGACTTTGCTTTCTGGAGAGGAGCTTCTGTGGGGTTTTAAGCAGGGAGATGGCAATCAGACTGCCCTAAAATCAGGGTTGACACAGAAAACCTTCATGACCCTGGGGCAGTTCTGCTGTGAGGCGCTGGGTGTGCACACCAGGGAGGGGGCTGTGACAGGCTGTCCCTCGTCATGGAGCCGTGGGGCGGGACACTCCTAACATGATGAGGTTTTTAAAAGGGACTTTGATCCTTTGAACTAGGAGTATAGACAGGGGTAGGGGGAGATCAGGGAATTTCATTCCCATCCTATCGGACAGAGGAGGGAAAAGGCCATCCTAGGCCCTCCTGGGGAACCTGATGGGAGACAGAGCGAGGAATGCCCACTTTCTAGGGCAGGCTCTAGAGAAGCCTTTCTTCCCCACGGCAGGAAGAAAATAGGGACTGTGAGGAAAGGCAGGGCTCTTATAGAGGGTTTGGCAGCTCTGAAGAGCATGAAAACCTCTTTTCCCGGCTCTCCTCGGCCGAGTTAACAGATCCAAGGACCAAAACTCCTCTGGGCACTACAGGCGTGGCTTACTGGCTCTCATGTTTTAGTTTTTGAGATCTCTCTACAAAAACAGCTCTTTTAGTATTTATGCTGGATGTCAAGGAGGAGGGAGGGGATGGGTGCACGGCATTATTCTCCCCGACGGCTGTGCCTGGAGAGGCTGGGTCTGGGTTAGCCGGGGTCACAGTATACCACTATCTTATACCAGTGAGAAGGCCGGGGCATGTCTTGCTTGGCCACATAACTGCTGGGGGCTGGGCTACCACTGTTGGGGCCAGGCTAGGGGTCAACTTGATCCTCACAGGTCCTAAGAACAAGAGAGCGTGAGAGGAACAGGTGGGCTGTGTCGCAAGTGACAGAGGATGGGGGACCCTCTGAGCCATCAATCTAGCCCCTCAGCTCCCTTGGGAAAAAACACCCACACCTCCAACCACCTGATTCTGCCAGGAATTGAACTGCTCAGAACATTCATTGGTGGTGATGTGTGTGCCCATGGGCCTCGGAACCCATGAGGCCGCTTGCGTCTCCAGTAACCAGCTGGCATCTGATGGCTTTTGGTGCCCAGAGTCTAGCTGTCAATCCCCCGCCCTGCCCTGGGAACAGGAGGAGGCAGTGCCATCGCCCTCTGTTGCCCGGAGCTTGTGCGTCACTCAAGGAGAGGTGCCAGGCGATCACTTGAGATGCTCTCGGCATCTTCCCTTCCTCGGTCCATGCTCTCGGCGCAGGAAGAGCAATGGCAGTGGGAACGCTCCAGCAGGAGCTGGAGGAAGCAAGGGAGGGAAGTCAGGTGCCCAGAACACGGGTGCCCTGCAGAGAGGGCTGCACAGGCCCAGCTGGCTCCACCCCTTTTCTGCTGACGTCTGGCCTTGAAATAGACCGGGAACTGAGTAACCTTGGAGGCGGGACGGAGGGGAGATGGCATATCAAGCTGGCTGATTAATGAGCTCTCTTGAAGCGGGTTTGAGAAGTGACATCAGCAAGCCCCCAGCTTCCTCCCTAGTCGGGGGTCAGAGTGAGATGCCCTCTCCGGGGAGCTGGCACGCTGCGGGGTCTAGAGCCCCCAACCAGCAGCTTCAGAGGAAGCTACAGGGGAAGCCTAGAGCACCACCCGCTAGGGACATGGGAGGTACCCGTCAGCCGCAAGTGACAAAGCAGCCTCCAGCCAGTGGGCACGCACAGCCCCTCTTCTCTCTGGCAGTGCCTTAGGTGTGGACTCCAGGATGTGGCAGCACCTGTAGGTTGCCCAGCCCCTCTCCTTTCCCTGCAAAAGGCAGGCACGGGAAGCCCTTGACAGCTGCCTCCACCATGGTGCTGTGGGAAGCAGTTCCTGAAGGAAGACCAGAGTAGGCCTCTCCCCGGGAGACCTTTTACTACCTCGACAGATCTGCGCCAGCAGGATTTCTCAAAGGGAAAAGCACACAGAATTCTCCTCAGAACTGGTTGAAAATGCGGATTCCTGGGCCCTGTGGCCTTCGAATATACTGCATCAGGCCTGGCGCAGGACCCAAGCATCTACATTTTTATTAAGAGCCCGAAGGCACTCTTGTGCCAGTGGTCAGGCAACCAGATCTTGAGAAACACTTTCCTGATCCAGGGGAAAGGGACCAGCTGGGAAGTGTTCCCAGAGACTGTTCACCTGCCTCTCAGGTGAAGCACAGCCTCCCTGCAGTAGTGTGGGAGAAGGCGCCAGAACTGGACATTACAGACCGCAGGGGCCTCCCGGCCTCAGCCAGTGCCCAACACCCAATACCAGTCCCTGCATTCTCTTCCCATCAAGGTGTTCAGAAAATGTCTCAATCCATGGTTGAAGGAAGTTCTTGCCATTGCCAAACTACACATGCCCTGCGGTGGCTCAAGACCCTTCTAGAGTCACACTCACATGGGGTATCTGCTGCCACACCCCCAGTGCCTCCTTTTGTGCCTGAGGCTTATGAAAATGTTCCTTGGTCCACTGTCAGCGAATCCACAAGACATCCGGGCTTATGCTAATTCATCCGATATCATCATTAATGTGCACCCTAATCGTTCAGCTCTGTGTAAGGGCCATCATAGCCGAGTCCCTCGCACCTCTCTGCTGGCTGTAAACCCTCTGGGGTTCTGTGGCTCCTCTCCTCAGGGCCAGGGTGCACTGCACAGCGCACACTCAGCTATTTCTTCTCTGCACACAGGTGCTGCTTTTGAGCCAGTGTGCAGGGCCAGCACCGCTGGCTGGGACACTGGCCACACGAAGGATCACGGCTATTACTTTTGAGTGAGTGCTTTATTTAATTAAACAATTACTGCTAGGGCCCTGGGGCGCTATATAGAAAGACATCAGGCTCTGCTTATGATACACACCCTGTAACAGAGCAAGCATCATTCAGGGAATAGCACAGCCTCACAAAACTTGGCAGGGCCACCACAAATGCCACAGACTGATCTACAGGATAAAAGGAGCAGCCAGACACGGAGCAGAAGACAAACAGTTTGGCATATACAGTTTTCATTTTAGTTAGCACAAAATATTGAAGAACATTCCATGTTACTCTCAAACTACTGGGAGGTTGCTAGATTCCACAGACTATGGAGTTTTTTGACACTTTTATTTTGTGAAATGAAGAAAAAAATAAAAAATAAAAAAGGTGGCAGGGAGAGATCTGAAATCAACAACTGGGATGTACTCTTAACAGATATAATAAAAACTATTTTTAGTTCTTTGCCCAGAAATGGGAGTTCTGGAAGCAGCGGGGTGCACAGTGTGGGATGGACTGGGCTGTTGAGCTTTGGGAGTCTGCCCGGGGCTCAGCTTCTCGAGGGGAATGACTGGAAATGCATGTGCACGCACAGGTCAGTGGCCAGGATCAGCCCAGGTGGCTTGGGAAGTGAGGCACACCGGGTTTTTATCCCTGACTGCACCACTCACAAACAAGGAGGGCTTAGGCCTCGGGCTCGGGGTCTGACTGGGATCAGGATGAGACCTGCAAAGAAACGGTCCTGAAAAAGCTCAGCGCAGAAGGTCCCCAGCAGGGATGGATACTCCCCCACTGAGCCCTGCCTGGAAGCTTCCCAACCAAATTGGCCTGTGCACAGGTGTGGGGCTCGGGTATATACTTATCAAGCTCCGCGGAGCTCTCCCAGCTCAGGGATGTGGATGGGGAGAGGGGAAGGGGAATCGCTGGTTACTGCTTTCAGGTGGGCTGCCTATGATGTCCACCCCAAGCCCTGCCTGCCTGTTTCTCCAGCAACATCAACCGGGCTTTGGGGTTCTGCACCTTTGCCTATGAATACACGGATATCTCCCTTTACACAAGAGAAGGGCTCCTGAAGTTCTTTTACAAATGCTTAATTTTCACAGAACAACATTTAAATACACTAGGGAAACTGAGTACTTAAGAGAAATCTGAAGCAAATCCTTCTGTAAAGTAAGGAATCACTTTGTAACAAGTAACTACCCTCCCAATTTATTTCATACCTTTGGATTTTCATATAATGGGGTTCCTAGGAGTTAAGAATGCTGGGTGTGTGTGGGTCAAGGTCATGGCAACAGATCATTTCCCATCTCCATTCACTTCCTGGGGGAATTGGTGAATGGGGGTGGGGTGAGGGATGAGCAACCAGGTAAGTTACACTGCCGTTTTCCCCACGTGCCCGGGAGTAAACCTGGCTTGCTGCGGGTAGGAAGTCTTTGCAAGGCTATACTCATTATTTTACAGACAATGGAGATGGGGTAAAGAAATATGGTTTAGGCTAAGCACCCCAAATCCAAAATTCCAACACCTGAAATGCTCCAAAATCTGAAACTTTTTGAGCACTGACACGATCCTCAAAGGAAATGCTCACTGGAATATTTTGGATTTTTGAATTTAAGATGCTCTACTGTGAGTATAATGCAGATATTCTAAAAATCTGAAGAAAATCTGAAATCAGAAACGCTTCTGGTCCCAAATATTTTGGGGAAGGGATACCCAACCTGCACATTCTACCAGGGCCAGAGACACCCAACTGTCATGCTGTGAAGGGGGCTATGTCGGTCACCAGCTTAGAAGCAAGAACATAAGACCCTGTCACCCCTCAGGACCTTGACAGAGGCCCATGAGCAGCTTCCGAGCTGGGTAAGGGAGTGGTAGGGAGAAGAAGCCACTGCCTGCTGCTTTGTGACACTGAGTCCCCCAGTCTGGCACCTGTACTGAGACCATAGAGGCGGTGGCACGGGGGACTAGGCATCATCCTCTCAACTGGCGCATAGGTATTGGCCAAGGTGGGGACAGGTCATAGGTCGTGGGGCATGATGGATGGTGGGCATAATGCCAGTCAACCGAACCCACGTCCCTGAGAGTGACATTAAAAACAAAAACAGCAACCCTCTCCCTGAGCAGGAGGAGAAAGCATGGGCACTGGGGATGAGGGTGGAGGAGGCAGTCACAGGGTGACTCAGGGAGGCGTCACCCAGGTGTCCTCAGCAAGGTGAAGGGACAGGCTGGAGCAACTCCGGGAAGAAAGGAGGGACAGGGGCCGTGCTCAGACAGGAGCAGCAGTGGCGGAGGAATGGGTGGGGTGGTGGGGGTTCACGCTGTCCCTGGCTAGGAGCTAGAGAGACAAGCTGCAGTGTGGGAGTGAGTGACAGGCAACCTGAATTTCATTTAGGGAGGGCTGGGGTAGGGGGATGGAAAGCACACGGAAGACAAGAAGCCATTCCTGGTCTAAGATATATAGACAGCTCCTAGGGAAAAAAAGCAAGCAAGCAAGAACAACACAGGCCTGTCCCTGTATTATTGATTTCCTTGAAAAAGAAAGAGACAAGCTAATCCTTTGAGGTCACCATTTCAGCCTGAGCGCAGTCGCTGTCTGAAGTTAGAGTTCACCCAGGTTAGACTCCCAGCTCTGCTTGGGTGGCGGGTACGGGCACGCACATTTTTGGGGTGCGGGGAAGAAACACATTCTTCCTTGACACCCAGTCTCACGGGATGACTGCAGAAGGCTCAGCATGTGTGGGACAAACAGGACCTGGCACATGCATCTCAGGGGCTCACAACCCCACACCAAAGCTGGCTGAAGACACCTCAAAGGCTCAGCATATGTGGGACAAACAGCACCCGGGACATGCATCTCAGGGGCTCACAACCCCACACCAAAGCTGGCTGAAGACACCTCGAAGCCTCACCGAGTCCAGCTCCTGGTGGTGGTGGGCACGGGTTAGAACGACTGCACGCAGTGCACCTGCGGTGCCACCAGGTGTGACGGACATCTCTCCATAGGCGAGAGGGGAGGAAAAGGTGAAAGGCAAAACAAACCCGACCTTTCTAGAGTCTCCAGAACTGAATGAGGAGGAACTGACAAGAGGTGCGTTGGGAGGGAGAAGAAAAGGAAAGGAGAGAAGATGGGCTTCCCGGGTCACCCCAGTGAGCCCCTACATGGTCGCCATCCTATAAAGGAGGCACTTGGATGTCCCCGACCCTGGAAGCAACACCCTTCCCCCTCCAGGCGTCCTGGAGTCTCCTCCTGACTCGTCTTGGTTTGGTGTGAGGCTGAGTCCTAACTCACGTGAACCACATGAGAGGGTGGATGTTGCCCAGGAAGGGACACTCTTGACAGGCTGTCTGCTTTCTGGGCTGAGGGTCCTGCATTCCGTTTCTAGACGGGCCAACCCACTAGACTCCTAAACAGAGACAGCTTGCTTATCCTGTCCACTTTCTTGCCAGGCCCTCCCCAGGCCACCTTTCCTGTTTGACTGCACTTCACTCAATCCCGGGCTGGACGCTGCATAAACTCGGGGGCAGTGTTCACTGTGTTCTACTGGAGTTGTGCCCTGGGGGCACCACTGACGTTGAAAGCAACAAGAGTGGTGCCTGGGAGGCAGGCGGCACAGTGTCCCCAGAGTCTCCAAGTCCAGTGAAGTCACTGCTGCTCCTCAAACTTGTTGCTTCACTAATTTTCCTTCCTCACTGGTCCTGAAGGCCTCTAAGCCACCTCCTGCCCCAGCACTGGCAAGAATAAATATTCAAGTGAAGGCAGCGTTGACCCACTTATTAACAGATGCCACAGCCCCAGGGCACAGTGGCTGACGCTAGAAGAACAGAGACCATGGCAGGGGAAGGAAGTGTCCTTGGGAAGAGGCACTTAATTCTAACACTACTTGAGTGCCCAGGAAAAGCTGGCCTTGCTATCTAGGAGTGAGGGGCACCAGGGCAGACAGGGCATCAATCAAGTCGGTGACAATGATGGGCAGACGTGCAAAGGCGCTCACTCACCAGGGAACATGCTCAGCCGGGTCACCCCACCAACTTGAAAATGTCAGGCTTCCAGGGCTGAGAAGAGGTGCTCCATGCCCCAGCCTGCACATGGCAGTGGGGGCCACCGCCAAGGCAGGGCCTATGGAACTGAGTCTTGGGCAAGTGGAGCAAGCCTGTGTCACCAGGGCAGGACAGAGCTGAGAGGCCAAAGAGCTGAGCTGTTGTCTGTCTGCTTCAGCTCCGGGATCCCAGGAAGCCCCCGTCTCTCAGTCAGTTTTCCCTGCTGTGAAATGGGATGACGCTGTGTACTTTACTGTGTGGGTGGGAGTCAAAAGTCACTGGTATGTGCTACACCGATGCAAGGTAAACCGTGGGAGGGCGGGGCACTCACAGCACGCATGGCACTGCCAGGTGGGCACATCACTCCCTCTGCACCCTCATGAAAAGGATATTTTCTCCTTGAGTGGTACTATTTTAGGAGGAAAGCATTTGGTTTTGAAATGGGGACTGCACACCATTTTAAGTGTTGCAAATGGACAAAGGCCAGTGTTGCCATGTGAGAGGGAGGCCAAGATGGAATCCTGGCAGAGCGAGAAAAAACAGGGCTGTCGCAAACAGGGCTGGAAGGACCCTTGACCCTTCCGGTGTCAACCTGAGCCTGAATCTGAGACTGACCCGGCCCTCTAGGAAGAGAGGCCAGCAGACAGAAATCCCCCTGGCCCTCCACTTCTTCAAGGGGGTGTCCGGAGGGAGCTTGGGAAGACTCTCTCTGTCACAAGGGGTGGCAGGGCACTGGCCAGGCACTTGCAGGCTGTATCCCTCTCCTGAGTCACCTGTGCCCCGGAGGTGGATCTCACAGCTCCTGTGTTCAAGGCAGGAGAGCAGGCCAGGGCGACCTTGTCCTGTCCCAGGGCAGCCCACGAAGGGCCCTCTGCTCAACAGGGCAGTTTGCGGCCGGGTCTCCAGCCAGGATAAGCTCCGCTCTGCCATCTGCGTTCCCGGCTCTGTTCGGCCGGGGCCTGCCGGGCCACCTGCGACCCAGCAGCATCTGTCCACCTGTGAGCGGTAGATGCCGCTTGCTCTTCCTAATGGTGAGAGGCTTTCAGAGGCTTTCAGCACTTGGGAGTCCCCACTGTCCCCTCTGACACTGCTTCCCTCTGACTCTCTCTAGGAGGAGGGATGGGTCCAGACAGGGGACAGGAATATTGGCTGGGAGGTGATGCAGGAATAAGGAAGTGCAACAAAGGTGCTGGGCAGTGCCCTTGATCCCAGGGGGAGAGTGACACACGCCTGCATCCCAGACACTTGGGACAGTCTGAGTCCCAAACAGAACTGGTTCATACGCAATCCTATCACCTCACCAGGGGTCCCTGGCTCCTTCATGCTGTAGAGGAAGGAATGAAATGCCAACTTCTGACTGTGTTGCCTACCAAAGCCGGAGAAACTGCAGAAAGAATCCTGAGATGTTCCCTAGCCTGGAGGCAAGGTTACCCGTTTGAAAGAGCTGGAGCATCTCACACATTCCCATTTGATTTTTCAAAAGAGCAGGAGGGATGGGTGGGTGGGGGGCCTGAGAATCCAAGGTCAGCTGATAGCAGATCCTGATGATAATCTCCATGGGCCCTAATAACAGGGCTGAGGTCACCGCTGGCTCCAGCTGCAGTGGCCTGCTGGGACACCCCAGAGAGCCCACTGAAGCAGCAAGTGACTCAGGGGACCTCCACCCCCCAGCACCCTGCTCTGTGGCTCCTCCAGGGAAGGAAAGGGGGAAAGTGACTCATATCAGCCGCGCCGGGAAGCACAGGATATGGACAAGGGTCGTCAGGCACAAGGAGTGGGGTTGGAATTTTCCACTGGTGAAGGTCAAGGGCTTTGGGAGGCCACTGGGAGCTGCTGGTAGAAGCATCTCCCTTTTTGTAAGTAATCATGATGCTACACACAGGCCAGCCCTGGAGACAGTTACTGTAGCAAGGATTCTCACCGTGTGTGTGCGTCTCAGGAGCATTCCTGGGAAGACACAGAAGAAATCGCTTCCAGATGACTTTCTGAAAGTTAGACCACAATATAAAAGTCTGTATCTCTGTCCCCCAGAACTACTGTTGCAGAATGGCAATGAAGAAGAGATTATTAGCAGGCCCTTTTAAAAATGCAGCCTGGGTAGGGGCACCATCTACCTGAGACAAACAAGGTCTGTGTGCAGGGTAGGGAGGTGCTTTCAATTCTCCTCCGACCTGCTCGCTGCCTTGCTGAACACTGAGTGAAATCTGGCTGGCAGCAAAATCAGAAACAGCTGGTGGTGAGAGGCAGTGTGGCATCCCTAGAAGGGATGGACAATCTTCTGAAACAGAATGACCAGGGGGCAGCGGGGAAGGACAGCCCTCCTCCTCTGGGGCCCAAGGGGCCACTTGATGGAATCTAGCTCTCCTGACCTTTACAAAGACGCACAGGGATAAGACCTGCAGGCCAGACTTGGGAGGGGAAGATGCCGTCATCACTTGCAGAAGAGCTCAGGACTGAGGGAGGAAACCCACATCTTTGCCAACCCCCCTTCCTCCAGTCACTCTGCCCCTTCCAACTCACCAAGGGAGGGGAAGGGGCTGCAGAGCAATGAAAGCACCAGGGTCTGGGGTCAAGGGAACAGCAGGCTACTGTTCTGCAGAACCTCACACCCTGGGAGCCACATGCAAAACTGTGAAGTGACTTCTGAGACAATGCCAAGGCCCATCTGCCTTGATTTCTCCAAACTGGGTAGAAGAGCCCATGCAAACCAAAAGCCTCTGAGCAAACAGAAGCCCCCAGCAGGGGACTGGGCTATGGGGGAAGGATACTGTCACTGGCCCAGAAAGAAAAGGCTCTCGTGGGCAGCCAGGGTCTCCACTCCTGTTCTGCAGCCTCTGCTTCCTGTTTTCGTGGCTTTTGCAGGCTCTGATGACAATTAGCTCTATGAGTTATAAATGCAGTATCTGGGAGATGAAGGCAGTAATTAATGCCCGTCTGCTTTCCTGAAGGGTTCCTTCTGTTCGGTCAGAGAGTTATTGAGATCCAGGGAGGGAGGCTTCCATCATGTGGAAGGTTTATAGGAATAAGTGAGGGAACCATTTAACAAGGCAAGAATAACGCTTCTAAATAATTTATCAGGCAAATGGCAGCAGCCAATATTCCCAGCGCTCAGTATCCGTTTTGCTGGTGGGCGGGGAGTGTGCCTGGCAGGGTCTTTAGATTCCAGCAGCCTCCCCAGCAAAGACCCACCAAACTGGCTCTGCTGTGGCTGCTCTGCCCTGAACATGCCACCATGTCTGTGCGAGCCGCTCAAATCCTGTCCTTCATCCCCTCCTTCTGCCCATCTACCCTGCTAGAGATCCAGATGGGCCCTTTCCCTTACTAATACCTCTGCTAATTTTGTCAGTCATGGTTTGTTGAGAGCTAAGAGGCTAATGAGCCTCAGCTGTGCTGCTAGTGCCTGGGCTCACCCCTCCGGCTGCCATGCCAGTACCTTTTCCCGCCCCAAGGCTGGGGAAGGTGGAGAAGGGTGCCAGACAATTAACCCGCTACCAAATTCCCACCAGACCTGCAACGGAGGAATCAGGGATGCAGCCTACTAAACTGCTAGCCACAGATGAATGTGCAGGAGAAGACACACTGACCATTAGCTGACTGCTCCAGAGAGGCAGAGAGGAAAACCAACCTCTCCATGGCCCAGGCCACAGGGCTCCTACAGCACGGCTGCAGAGTGGGACTAGGAGGGCAAGAAAAGCCCTTCAGTGGCCCCTTGGGGTTAAGAAATCCAGCCCCAAATAGCCTGCAGGGCCTGTGGAAACCTTTCCTCAGATAGGGATAATGAAGCCGGGAGGCCAGCTCCCTGAAAAGCCTGGCTCTCTCTTGGTCCCTGCCTCCCTGCTCCAAATCAGCCAAGTGGCCACGTGTCAAACTGTGTGTCACCTAGCACACCTAAATTTATGTCAGGGCTGAGGAGGACCAAGAGGAAGCAGAGAATATTAACAGATACTGCAACAGTTAAAGAAAAACATTTCTGAGTCCCGCCCCCAAAGTAGGCAAAGATAAATAACTGTCTCTGATTTTGTATCTTATTATCCAGGACCTGTCTGGCATATTATTCAGCTCCCTGCCCCCCACCAACGGCACAAAGCAATCAAGAACGAGCCTGGAGATTCATCGTCTTCTCTTGTCCACTGGGAGGATGAGAGGAGGGAAGATAGGAAGAGAGCTGGGCTGACCCTTCCCTAACTGGAGAGGATGCTTACGGCCAGACCCAGCATCGAACCATATGCTCTTGGGCTGGCCAGGAGTAAGGTCAAAATATGGAAAGTTTCGGAAAAAATGAGACGTGTCACTCTTGGAGAACTCTGCTGAGGTCGGCCCTAGAATCTGAGCTAAGTTTACAACAGTCACGGTCCTGAATCTGGCTATGACCTGAGTGCCTACTCCAAACCACGCTTGACTTTGAGGCCTGCTGCCAGGAACCTTGGGGGCTAGACTCTTAGTGACACGATCCATTTCTGCCTGGGGCCAAGGCCCCAGTGCTTAGCCAGAGTGTGGAGAAGAGTAGATCCTCCTCTCTGGGGAAAGGATTCTACCTGGAAGTAAAGGCACTTCAAATGCCCTCAGCTGTGCAGGCTGGGCTGGGGCAGGCGGCACAGAGGCACAGACACTCACCAAGTAGATGCGGTAGGCGTCCACTCGGCGCAGGGGCCCCCAGCACCGGTCAGTGTCATTGTATTTGGTGTCTGCTTCCACACCGCAGGAGTCATTGCCAGTGGCGCTGCTGATAAAGAGAATGACAGCAGGCCCAGGCTCAGCGAGGCCGCCTGGCTGGGCTGGGGGAGACAGAAGCCACTCCCTGCACAGCTGCCTGAGCGCCAACAATCAGACTTTTCACAAACCACTTTGCGGGATGCATCTCTGAGGATGCACCCTCCTTGTTCCTGCAGCACCATTTCCCAATGACTCAGGAGCCCTTGGTGGGAACCTAGTGGGGCAGGGAAGGGGACAGTGACATGAGCTAAGGACAGACAGCATGGCTGGCTGTGGTCTGTGCAGAAAAGGGCCTGGGCATCTGCATTCCCTAGATGCAATGAACTCACTTGGCATGGTGCTTCTCCCCTGGACACTCTGCCCTGACTTGCTGAGGAAGCCCCTTTGGCTACCGCCAACCTGGGGGCCAGGAGGGTACTCACCAGGTCACCTGCATGAGGGAGAAGGGCACGGCAGCAGCATAGATGGCGAGGTCTCCATACAGGTAAACGATGATGCAGAAATAGAACAAGTTGACCCCCACTGAAAGGAACACAGCCATCAGTCAGGGAGCCACAAAGAGATGTCTGCATGTTTTTTTTTTTTTCTTCTTCTTTTTGACTAAATCTCTACCTCTCCCATAGCTTTCAGTTCTCTGAGCTGTTTACTTTCTACAAAAAGTGGGAAAATGACCCCAAAGTCCTATTTCTTTTTCTGGCTGGCTACACTGTGATGCTGACAAGAGACAGATCGGCTCATGACTTTCACCTGAGAGGACTCAACGAGGCTGGGAGGATCAGAGAGATTTTGAAGCCAGACAGGTGCACGGTGAGTGTGAGTCTTGGCATGGCTGGGGTGGGAGGAGGGAGGAGAGATGTCCCGAGTCAGGAGCCTGAACCCCAGGTGCGTCTGGGCTGGGGCCCCCTCTGGTGTCAGCCAACACCGGGCTCTAAGACAAGAGATTGCTACTAAAGAGTTGAAGCAAAGAGAAGTTGATGGAAAATAGCCCAGCTCTCTGAAGCTGGGATCCAAAGGGTAAAAAGCCCTGGATTTCCAAAGGCCAACTGTCTCATTCTGAATCTGACTGATCCCAAGCACACGGTGGCCTGGTGTGCTGGGGAGATGGTGCTCAAGACAGGCCCCCTTTCCTTCTTACGGGAAGCACTCCCAAGGGACAATGCTGACTCTGGATGGTGTGTGATACTGACACTTCTGCTGCAGAGGTGACGTTTGTCCCCTCTCACTCCAGCAGGAGGCTGAACGAGAAGTTGGGAACACAGGGCTCTAGTCCTAATTCCATCAGACTTGTTTCAGGACCCCAGTAAGTCCATGAACGTCTCCAAACCCGTAAGGGTGAGAAGAATTCCACCTGGGCCATCTTCCATAAATGATTCCAGCTAGAAAGGCCAGGTGCAAGGGCTCTGAAAAGAGTGGCAGGGCCCTATGACCTAAGGGTTACTGCTCAGACAACCAGTCTCCACCCTTGCTCAGACTGAGGCTCACGTTTTTGATGTCACTGGTCTCAAGCTGCTGGCTTCTCTGAGAACATAAAGAAAAATGAAGTGACAGTTCCCTTTTAATCCTGGTGGCTCAGAAGAGCCTGCAGGGTACCCAACGGAAAGCCTAGGACATGTTATTCCTGGGCCATGTGAGGTCAGCTCTGTTCCTAGGAGCCTGGGGGGGAAAAGACTAAGAAAACGTGATCCTCAAGGGGACCCAAGAGGCCTCGGCACTCACTTTTTGAATATGGCATGTCCTTCCCTGACATGTCAGAGATAGCCTGACGTCCAAGCTTAGTGGCCTCTGGGGTTGGCCTGTCACTCAGGCCCAGGCTCCAGGTACAGCCTGCACTCCAGCTTGTTTTCTGCTCTGAGGGGACGCATTGTCCCCCGCCCCACTCCCAGCCTTTCCTCCACCTGCCAATGGTCTCTGGCATCAGCTCTGTTTATAAACTGCCATTGGCCCTCCCTGGTCAATAAACTTCATTACTAGACACAAAATAAGGGATCAATGAACTTCCTGAGAAGACATCAATGGCTAGGCCCGCATTTCTGATTATAAGAAATGAGCTGGGACCCTAAGGGAGCCTCCTATAGAGGAGGCAGCCCCACCAAGGGTGAAGATGACAATCTGGCAGTCTGTGAATCAGGAATGGAGCACAGCGGAGGTTTTCAGCTGGGGTGATTTTGCCTCCCAGACCCTGCTGGGAACATGTGACAATGTCTGAGGACAGTTTTGACTGTCATAAGTAGGAGGTGCTACTGGCAACCAGCAGGCAGAGGCTAGGGATGCTGCTCAGCACCCTACCACACACAGAACAGGCCCACAAGGAGGAATTCCCCAGCCCAAACATCAACAGGACTGAGCTTGAGAAACTCCAGGGTAGAGGAGACTCCCTTTAAGTGTGAGGCTGGTCTCAGACAATGTCTTTATTTTCCATTAGATTTGGGCAAATTAAGAGTCTAGTCTGTAGTGGGGGGCAAAAAAGGCAAAACTGCTGTTTGCTAGAATTCTTAAAGAAATCAGGGCAGACTGCACAACATGAAAATGAGAAAGGAGGTTTAAAAGCATGCGTCTTCCTTCCAATGTGCACTTTATTTTAAAGCTTGCATTTGGAAGGGGACTTTGCGTTGCTGCCAGGAGGAAACGCTTATGCTTGCTCAGGCTGGTGAGACGGGAGGGATGGAAATGGAACAAAGGAGAAGCACAGATGCGGGCTGAACCTGACCAGTTGGTTTTGCTGAATTCTGAAATCCCTCTGTGAGGCCGGTCCAGCAGGGAGGGTGAACCAGGCCCTAGGGCGGCCTTTGGCTGATAATCACATCGCCCTGCCTAAATGCTTAACGTCCTAAAAAGCAGTCAAAGAGATTCTAGTTCCTACAGTCCCCCCGGCTCTAAGTTAAGTGCAGCCACATTTAAGACTAGAAAGAACTGGTAGGGCAGCCCACTCGACAAACGGGGCTTTGACAAAGGGGCAGAAAATCTTCGAAGACAGTTGCAAGGGGAAGGATGAACTGAGAATGTGACTGACTCTCAATGAAATGGAAATAAACAGGTCTGGGCATTAAAAACTAAACTCTTTTTTCTGGTTTTCTTTTTTTTTTGAGACAAGGTCCTACTCTGCAGCCCAGACTGGAGGGCAGTGGTGTGATCTCGGCTCACTGCAACCTCCGCCTCCCAGGTTCAAGTGATTCTTGTGCTTCAGCCTCTGGAGTAGCTGGGACCACAGGTGTGCACCACCACGCCCAGCTAATTTTCATATTTTTACTTGAGATGGGGTTTCACCATGTTGGCCAGGCTGGTCTCCAACTCCTGGTCTCAAGTGATCCGCCTGCCTCGGCCTCCCAAAGTGCTGGGATTATAGGCATAAGCCACCATGCCTGGCCATTAAATTCTTTTTTTTTTTTTTGAGACGGAGTCTCGCTCTGTAGCCCAGGCTGGAGTGCAGTGGCGCGATCTTGGCTCACTGCAAGCTCCGCCTCCAGGATTCATGCCATTCTCCTGCCTCAGCCTCCCGAGTAGCTGGGACTACAGGCGCCTGCCACCATGCCCGGCTAATTTTTTGTATTTTTAGTAGAGACAGGGTTTCACCGTGTTAGCCAGGATGGTCTCGATCTCCTCACCTCGTGAGCCGCCTGCCTCGGCCTCCCAAAGTGCTGGGATTACAGGAGTTAGCCACCGTGCCCGGCCCACTAAACTCTTAAATAGCTCATCTTCCAAAAGAACCAGATTTGCCATGGAGATATAAGATGTCGCTGGCACACCCAACAACTCAACCCCAGAGTTGGGTGGCTCCCTTATGGTTGCAGCCAGATCCCAGGAAGGAGCAGGTTCACCAGCACACTTCAGGGCTCCGGTCTCACTCAGCAAGCCTGGGTGTGGGCTCCTAGCGCCCTCTGCCGGCCACTGGGAAGCCACGCCCAGGCGTGCGCATAGCAGATTCTAGCGCTGTCAGAAGGTGTTATTCTAGACAGAATCGGCCAGAAGAGGGCAAGGTCAGAGGCAATCAAGCAGGAGGTGCAAAACCATCAACCGGCCTCCATCAACTTCCTTTGCAGGAAAAGGAAAAAGCTTATTTTGTAGCTGCCTCAGGTTCCTGACCTCCACTGGAGTAGCTGCCTGGGGTTCCTGACCCTCACTGGAGTAGCTGCCTGGGGTTCCTGAACCTCACTGGAGTAGCTGCCTGGGGTTCCTGACCTCCGCTGGAGTAGCTGCCTGGGGTTCCTGACCCTCACTGGAGTAGCTGCCTGGGGTTCCTGACCCTGGCTGGAGTAGCTGCCTGGGGTTCCTGACTTCCGCTAGAGAAGCGGCCTCTTTGTTTTTAATGCCCGCAGACAGGGAGGAATCCAGGAAAACAGGTCAGCAAGGTGGCTTCTCAGGTGCTGAGGGAGCAGCTCTACCACCTGCTCTGCCCCATGGTCTGGCTGTCAGGGTGGAGCCCTCATTACAAGGGTGCAGGCCTGCAGGGAAGCACCAGCTCCCCGTTTCCCCACACCCCACCCCCAAAAGAACTTCTACCTTTATTGAAGAACATGGAGGCCATTTGTCCCATTTCCACCCGGTCTGTGATTTCAAACGGGTTGGGAGATCCACGTCTCTCTGCAGAGCCAAAAGAACAAGGAAGAGGAAGTGGTTCTTCACGTGGAGAGCTTCAGAGGGTGGTGAGGACCTCACTGAATTATCTAAACCATGAAATCCCCAAGTGTCCAAACTCGAGAAAACTTTTCCTAATGTTTCCTGCTTGACATGGTTTAACACAGTCTTTTTTTTTTTTTTTTTTTTAAGGGAATTCAGAGATGCTCCTGCTGGGGTGAAAGGGAGAGCAGGCGTCAGAGCCTAACCCAGCCGACCAGGGAGGAGACAGCAAGGCAGGGGCATGTATGAACATGAGGGCACAAGGCAGGAGGAAGAAGAGATGCCACAGAACGACATCTACTTGAGCTTCCAGGGTGCACCAGGCAAGGAACCAGGCATTTAATCATCTCAGTAACAGGAAGGGGTATGGGGGGAAACTGAGGTGCACAGGTCAAGGAACTTACCAAGCTGCAAATCTGAGTAGTGGCCAAGCCAGCAGGGGCCAGGCCTGTGCCCAGGACTGAAACCCTGTGCTCTTTTGAGTCTACCACAGGGCCTGCCTCAGAACCCAGGGGCAGGAAATGCCAGAATCTGCGGGGAGCCTCTCCAGGGCCCTCTCCATGAAGAAAGGGAACCCTGTGGCCCGGAGGGAAGTGCGGGCCCGCGAGAACCCCAAGACTTACGCACAGACAGGATGGGCCGCTTCTCTGCCCGCTCGTAGTTGTCCCGGATGAGAACATCGCTGTCTGAGGCTGTGGAGGAGTCGTCATCTTCCTCCTCCTGGGAGCCAGTAGGATGGACGAGGAGGAGGGAGGAAAACAAGGGAAAAGAAAGGAGCACATCAAAAAAGTACAGAATGTTAGCCAGGTGTGGTGTCATGTGCCTGTAGTCCTAGCTACCTGGGAGGCTGAGATGGGAGGATCACCTGAGCCCAGGAGATCGAGGCTGCAGTGAGCCGTGATTGCAACACTGCACTCCAGCCTGGGTGACAGAGCGAAGACCCTGTCTCAAAAAAACAAAAAAACAAAAAAACAAAAAAGAAAGAGAGAAAGGAAAAAAAAAGAGCATGGAACTCTACAGAAAAGCCCTAGGACAATGGCAAACCTGCTTCCTTTTTTTTTTTTTTTTTTTTTTGAGACGAAGTTTTGCTCTTGTTGCCTGGGCTGGAGTGCAATGGTGTGATCTCAACTCACTGCAACCTCTGCCTCCCAGGTTCAAGTGATTCTCCTGCCTCAGCCTCCCGAGTAGCTGAGATTACAGGCACTTGCCACCACGGCCGGCTAATTTTGTATTTTTAGTAGAGATGGGGTTTCACCATGTTAGTCAGGCTGGTCTTGAACTCCTGACCTCAGGTGATCCACCCACCTCGGCCTCCCAAAGTGCTGGGATTGCAGGCATGAGCCACTGTGCCCGGCCTCTTTTTTTTTTTTTTTTTTGAAATGCTTGCCACTTCATGTTATCTCAGTCTGTTGCCCAGGATGGAGTGCAGTGGCACAATCTCAGCTCACTGCAACCTTCACCTCCCCGATTCACGCAATTCTTGTGCCTCAGCCTCCTGAGTAGCTGCGATTACAGGCACACATCATCATGCCAGGCTAATTTTTGCATTTTTAGTAGAGATGAGGTTTCACCATGTTGGCCAGGCTGATCTTGAACTCCTGACTTCAAGTGATCTGCCCGCCTTGGCCTCCCAAAGTGCTGGGATTACAGGTGTGAGCCCCCCCACCGGCCCCTGTGTTCTTTCCTTCTGCAGGGTATCTGTATCTTTAGGAAGCTCTCAGCACAGCTATGCTGCCCCATTAGAGGTGGCAGAGACGCACTCGGGAAGAAGTGACAACACAGTTCCTGGGTACAAAGATTTCAAACAGCTGAGCTGGGTGCGGGTGTGGGTAGGAGGGCCTGAGGCTGAGACGGGAAAGTGGCAGAGGCTCCATTTGTGCTTTAAGATTTAGGTGGCTATTAAGCTTCAGCTCTGGGACTGGGGTCCAGGAGCAGTGCCGTGGACAGAGCCCGCCATGCACTGAGAGGAAAAGAATGGGCTGCTGAGACCGCCTGCTGGGTACCTGACGGAACAGAGGCATGGCCCGGAGACGAGGGCAACACACACACCTTGAGGTTCTCCATCCTCTTCCAGTGGAGCTGCGCGTTGGCTGCAGCCATGGCCTCTATCACAAAGGTGGTGGTCACGAAGCTGAGGGGGCCGAGTGCCCAGCGCCAAAGGCGGACAGGTTGGAGGAGACAGAGAGAGAAGGAAAACACCATTGTAAGAACCGACCAGACCCACCAGCCCAGACCATTCTCTTTTCTGAGAGCTGTTCCCTAGAGATGGGCTTTACTTGGTAAAAAGGTGTGCATGCTTTGACGTTGCTGTCTATAGTGAGAACGTATTTCCGGTGCACGAGAGAGAGAGGTGTGAACTAAGTGATGGGAGGGAAAATAACCAAAGGAGAGAGGGAGCTGGGGGCAGACGTGATACTGGGACAAGCCGTGCTCACACCCAGGAGGGGCTGTTGGGGGCAGACATCAGAGGACGCTCTCAGTGAGGGGAGGCTGGTTCACAAAGGGCCCCCCAGCCTCTGGAAGGACAGCAGGCAGCTTTCACGTCAACCTTGCAAGGACACAGGCGAGTGGTCACCTCCCAATTACATACACTCACGGAAGGAGCGCAGGCATGGATAATTGGAAATGGGTACTTGGCTCCGGAATCCATCCCTTTTTTCTTTGGCAGTACTTTTTACTTTCCAAATAATCTGGCTAATATTAAAATAAGTTTGCACTTCTACGGACCAATTCAAAAGGGAGATTGGGAGGTGGCATTAGACGCTTGCCAAGAAGTCAGACTAGATTGGAAAAATCATCTTTTCTTTTCCTCTTAAAGAAACTTGAGGCCAGGGGCGGTGGCTCATGCCTGTAAACCCAGCACTTTGGGAGGTTGAGGTGGGTGGATCACAAGGTCAGGAGTTCAAGACCAGCCTGGCCAAAATGGTGAAACTTCGTCTGTACTAAAAATACAAAAAAATTAGCTGGGCATGGTGGCACATGCCTGTAATCCCAGCTACTTGGGAGGCTGAGGCAGGAGAATTGCTTGAATCCGGGAGGCAGAAGTTGCAGTGAGCCGAGATCGTGCCACTGCACTCCAGCCTGGGTGACAGAGCGAGATTCTGTCTCAAAAAAAAAAAAAAGGATACTTGAGAGACCTAGATGACAGCTGGAATGCATGAATGCTTTTGTTAACGGAGGATACAGAAGTGGGCTGCCTTCCTGCTAATAAAACCTGAGGTATGAATCCATCTCTGCCGTGGAACAGCATGGGACGAACATTCATCTCCTGCTTTCTTTTTTTTTTTTTTTGAGACGGAGTCTCGCTCTGTCGCCCAGGCCGGACTGCGGACTGCAGTGGCGCAATCTCGGCTCACTGCAAGCTCCGCTTCCCGGGTTCACGCCATTCTCCTGCCTCAGCCTCCCGAGTAGCTGGGACTACAGGCACCCGCCACCGCGCCCGGCTAATTTTTTGTATTTTTAGTAGAGACGGGGTTTCACCTTGTTAGCCAGGATGGTCTCGATCTCCTGACCTCATGATCCACCTGCCTCGGCCTCCCAAAGTGCTGGGATTACAGGTGTGAGCCACCGCGCCCGGCCCATCTCCTGCTTTCTTGAGGCCAGGACAACTCTGCCAGCAGACTCACCCCTGCCTCTCCCTGAGTGTTGACAAGGGTTGGGGGGCTGACTGCTCACCCTGACGTCAGGTGGCAGGAGGCAGAGGGGTCACTTGGCCCCACACCAGTTAAACCCACACTCACTCCCACTCTGGGGGAGCAGCCAGCTCTGAAACCCCCATTCCAATCGCCTCAGCACCTCCTAGAAAGGTTTCTCATTATCTTGCCTAAGTGACCATTTTAAGGGCTTTGGATTTACCCTTCTTTTTGGACGTGAAATTAAAATCAATCTTAATTAAGGCATAAAGAGACTTTTCATGGTTGCGCAAGGCCAACTCATCGATCACGTTCAAACACAAATGGGTTGAGCAAGGAGCGGGGTGTGGTACCCCCTGCCTGGGAGCCCAGAATGATCACTTCCCATTAGATGGCTGCCTGTGCTGAAGGTCCTTTAAAGGGGACAGCGGAGTCATGTAAGGACAAGGACTTCTAGAGCTCTTGGCTGCCAGGGCTCACTGTAGATAATGAACCAATAGTGCCCCAAGATTCACCCTCAAAACTCCCCAAAAGAAATGCATGAAGAAACTGAAAACCATGGGCGTTTTCCTATCCCATTCAGCTTCCTGTACGTCTTAGTTTGCTCCAACTACTAAGCTCCGTCTCATCCTTCCGCCCGCACCCACTCCCTCCCCCTTCAGATCCTTGCTTAGATGCAGCCCTCCCTGACCCTGCTTCAGCCGGCATCCTAGTCCCCTCGCCCTGTTACGCCTTCCTCTTTCCACAGCACTCACTGCCTTCCGGCTCACTCTTCCATTTACCCATTTATTATCTTCACTGCTCGCTGTCACTTCTCCCCACAACATAAAGTCAAGTCTGCACAGGCAGGGATCTTTGTGGTGAGGCCCCCTCAGTACCCAGAAGGGTGCTTGGTGCACAGATGGGGCAGGGTCACCTCTCAGGGGAGGTGTTTCCAGGTGCTCCTTCCCATCTCTTTTTTGCAGCTTGTGGATTCCTACCCGGTTGAGAGAATGGAAATGCCTAGTCCTAAACCCCTTCCTGGCCTGGGGCACTTGCTGACAACTTCAGACTAGTCCCTACGTGTGTGGGAATCCCCGAGAAGAGCCTCAGGTGGAACCCACCCTCCCTGAAGCACCGGCTGGTGAGGCCCACACACCTGGCTCAAGGAGTAGGCGTCCCTGAAGACCTGGGGAGGTACACAGCAGGCGAGTGCCACACTTGATCGTGCACCCAGGCGTGTGTTTATCACCTACTTCGTGAATTACCTTAAGTAAATTCTAAATTCCAAACTGATTTCCCATGTCACCTTAAATGTTTGTTAGATCTTTTTTCTGTGGCTGGGTGGTATTTTCTCAGACAGCAAAACTTGATGGTAATGTTAATAAAGCATACATTTAATAGCAGGGAGGTAAACCTGCCAGGGAAGAAATAGGCCAGCATCACGTGAAACATTCCAAAGCCTAGTGGATGTCCAGGTTTTTATCTGATCAGGGCTGTGCAACCGCTCCACAAAGACAAGCCACCAGGAGGCCTCTGTGACCACTTTCCCCTCTCTGAATACCCTGGCAAGGACTCACTGAGCTCGATACGGGGTAGACAGGTGTCTTCCCACCCCCTCAGTGCCCTCATGTTCGGGCTTCCTGGGCTGACTCCCTCCTGCTCCACTCCTGGCCCCTGTGGGGAAGTCCCCGCTGCCTCTCACCTCATGAAGCCCAGGAACACCAGCAGGACGAGGCTGACAAGCCACCCGGCAGTGGCGAATGCCTTGGGCATGGTGAGTGCGCCCGTGCCCACGATGAGGTTAAACATGTACACCAGCCCAACCTGGAACCGACAGAGGCAACATTCAAGCCCGGAACTTAATCAACTTCTCCCCTTAACAGCTCCCAAGGAACGACCCTGGTGATGGCACCACTGTGGAGGCCAGAAGGCCACACTGTAGACAGGGAAGGAGGCAGGACAGGAGAATTACACCTGGGGCCTAAGGAGCCAGGCTTGCAACCACAGAGCCTGTTAACCAAACATGAACACATGGATGACTCAAGCCCTGGGGTTCAGTTTCAGTCTCTGCTCCTGCTGTCATCATTGCCGTCCCCTCCTAAAGCTGCATCGCAGATGCTAGCGCTCTACTCAACCAGGCTGTAGGCTTCCCGGGGACAGAGCATCATAGGCGGGGTACCTGGCACAAAGGTGAGCGCATAATGCTGACCTCAAAGAAACACCCACTTTTCCAAGATCACTGAGCATGTGACTCAAGGTCCTCGCCATTGTCCTTTGGGACACGGATATTCATGCTTCTCTTTCTCCACCCCTCTCCCCATACCAACTTCAGGGTTTTTAAAAAAAAAGTTGAGGCATAATTCACATACCATAAAATCCACCCATTTAAAGTACACACATCAGTGGGTTTTAGTAATATTCACAAGGTTGTGTGACCAGTGCCACCAGCTAATTCCATTTTATCACCCCCCAAAAAGCCCATTTCCATTAGCGGCCACTCCCCATTCTTCCCTCCCCGCTTGCCCACCCAACTTCAGGGTGATTTCTCAGGTCACTGACTTCAGGTTTTAAACAACCCACAGTTTACAATGATTCCCTTTCTAAGATCTCAACCATGAATTTCCTGTCTGACCTGAGTTCCTCCCCTTCTGTGATGCTCTCCAGTCCCCCAGCCTCCTCCCCTGCCAATCCTCCCTCCCAGAAGCCCACCCCTATTTTGGCATCATCTGCTTCCTTTCTTGGTGCAATCGGCAGGCTCCACCAAGCACACGCCTCCTTTCCTGGTGTATTTCTCTTAGTATCAACCTTTCTGCAGACCTCAAGTCCAGCTGCCTGCTAGTCACCTACACCTAGACATCCATCCCATCAGTGGCCCCATCCTCCTTCCTTCCCCTCCAGATCACAGTTCTAGTGATTTTATTTCTGGAGCTTCTTTAGTGGCTAACTCTGGCTCCTATCCTTATTTACAATTCAAATGAGTCTTTCCGGCCTGGACTGGTGCAGTAGACTCCTAACTGGTCTTCCTGTACTCTGCTAAATTGGGTGACATACCGTATGCTTTACCACCTGTTTCTGATCATTAAAAAAGACAAACACCTCATCTCTGGGAATGCTTACCCATTTCTCATTTTCACTCCTGTTCTTAGAAAGATGCACTTTTCTCTATTTTAAAGCTTTTCTGAGATAGCCACATGCTGAATTTGTGATAGAAACACAAAAATTGGTGCCCATTCTCCCAGACTCCATCAATTTTGTTTTTTTTTTTTTAAAGCATGAAGAGGACGGATGCAGTGGCTCATGCCTGTAATCCTGGCACTTTGGGAGGCTGAGGTGGGTGGAACACGAGGTCAGGAGTTTGAGACCAGCCTGTCCAACATGGTGAAACCCTGTCTCTACTAAAAATGCAAAAATTAGCTGGGGGGTGGCGTGTGCCTGTAATCCCAGCTACTCAGGAGGCTGAGGCAGGGGGATCGCTTGAACCCGGGAGGTGGAGGTTGCAGTGAGCCAAGATTGCGCCACTGCACTCCAGGCTGGGCAACAGAGCGAGACTCCGTCTCAAAAAAAAAAAAAAAAAAAAAAAAAAAGAAAAAGCATGAAGAAATAGAGATTGCCAACTCCTGCCTTGGAGCTATTGGCTGGGAGAAGGAGGGGCTGGGCAGTGGTTAGAGAAGACAGGCTTCCCAGCAGGTGCTAACTGGATATTTGAGAGCAGGACAAAAGGGAGGCCACCCTGTGGAGAGGAAAGTGCTCTGCCTGCAGTACCTGAATACCTGACACAGGACCAAAGCCCTCTTGTGCCACCTCCCCAGCCCCTCCAACTCCTACCCAGCCTTCAGGGCCCATTCCAATGCAACTTCTACCACAAAGTCCTTCCCAGGCTCCCAAAGTTGTCCTGCCTCCCGCCTTTGAATCCTTGTGGCAACAAAACTTCTTATGCCCTCTCTTGGGTTTTAGATATTGGCATATTTCTCTTTTCCCTGTTACTAAATATGAAGCTCACTGTGGCCGTGGGCTGCGTCTCACTTCTCTCTGCATTTCTCAGGGTGTCTGGCACACAGGCTGGAGATGGGAACACCCAGCTGATTGCACTGGACCCTGCTTATCTCTGACGTGAGTCTGAGAGTCTTCACCATCCAGTTTTGGATGTCACAATCTCAATTTTTATTTTTATTTTTTGAGACGGAGTCTCGCTCTGTTGCCCAAGTTGGAGTGCAGTGGCGTGCTCTTGGCTCACTGCAACCTTGCCTCCTGGATTCAAGTGATTCTCCTGCCTCAGCCTCTGGAGTAGCTGGGATTACAGGCACCCACCATCATGCCTGGCTTAATTTTGTAGTTTTAGTAGAGACAGCGTTTCACCATGTTGGTCAGGCTGGGTCTCGAACCCCTGACCTCAGATGATCCACCCTCCTCGACCTTTCAAAGTGCTGGGATTACAGGAGTGAGCCAACACGCCCAGCCCTCAATCTCAATTTGATCCCACAGACAAATCCCAGAATGATGAAAACAAGTTTGAATCATCTTCCTATGCTTTGGTTGGATCACATCATCATCGTGATATGATTCCCCTTTGGGAGTCCTGGCTCAGAGTGGTGCTGCTAGAATAATTTTGAGGGCAGCAGTTGGGTGAGACAGGGGACACACAGCCCATTGCTGGTCTTCTGAATGGGAAGTTCTGGCTTTTCACAGTGACTGTGAATGTCTATAACTAACTCATGTTTACTTTTGCTGGTACTTTCATGCTCATGTGTACAAGGGTGGGAAGGGGTCATCTAGCTAGCTCAGTTCTGCTCATTTATTCAAAAACCAACAAGAGCCTTCTACAGACCGGGCCCTGTGCTTGGAGCTGAGGATACAATGATAAACCAGACAGATACGGCCCTTGAACTCACGGGGCTACGTTCTAAGGAGGAGGAAACAGACAACAAGAAAACAACTACAGGCCGGGTGTGGTGGCTCATACCTGTAATCCTAGCACTTTGAGAGGCTGAGGTGGGTGTATTGCCTGAGCTGAGGAGTTCGAGACTAGCCTGGGCAACATAGTAAAACTCCATCTCTACTAAAATACAAAAAATTAGCCGGGCATGATGGTGCACGCCTGTAATCCCAGCTACTCGGGAGGCTGAGGCATGAGAATCACTTGAACCCGGGAGGCAGAGGTTGCAGTGAGCCGAGATCATGCCACTGCGCTCCAGCCTGGGAAGAAAACAACTACGGTTACAGCTTGAGAGAGGCGTTATGAAGCAAACAATCAGGGCACTGTGAGAAGACACAATGGGAAAGCATTGGAAACAGTGGATACCCCAGGAAGGGAGCTGGAGGATGAGAAGGTGCTACCCAGGCAATAGACGAGGGAGAGACTTCCCGGCCCAGAGGCCTACAGTGGGAAAGAGGCAGGTAGGCTCGAGGAGCTTTCAGAAGGCCTGTGTGGCTGAAGCACAGCAAGCCGGGCAGGGGTGGGGCTGGAAGAGGCTGCAGTCAGACTGCGAAGAGCCCTTTTGGATGGCACAGGGGGTTGGATGTTTTGGAGCATTTTAAGCAGGGCACTAACAGAACAGACCCCAGCGGAAAACCTAACATCTGCCCTCCCTGCAGCTCTGTTCTCTGCTTATCGCTTCTGTAGGCAGTAATACTTATGAAGGGAAAAAAACCTTATTTCTTTATGGAGAATGATGTTCCCATAATGGAAGTAAAGAGAAAGCAAAGAGGCATAAGAAAGTGACAGTTCTAGGCTAGGTATGGTGGCTCATGCCTGTGATCCCAGAACTCCTGAGGTGGGAGGATGGCTTGAGTCCAGCAGTTTGAGACTAGCCTAGGCAATGTAGCAAGACTCTATCTCTACAAAAAAATAAAAATATTAGCCGGGGACGGTGGCAAGTGCCTGTAGTCCCAGCTACTTGGAAGACTGAGATGGGAAAATCGCCTGAGCCCAGGAAGTCAAGGCTGCAGTGAGCTGTAATTGCTCACTGGGTGACACAGTGAGACCCTGTCTTAAGAAAAAAAAAAGAAAGTAATGGTTCTTAGGCAAAAGTTTTATGGGGAAACTAAACAGTATAAGAGGCATTTGTAAATTCAGGGATGCTTGAAGGTCTTGGGATGTAAAAGTCAAAGGTCTCTTGTGGATCAGGGTTTCTCAGCTTGGGCACTATGGAAATTTGGGGGCCAGGTCTTTTTTCATGATGGGGACCTGTCCTGTGCATTGTGGGATGTTTAGTGGCATCCCCGGCCTTTGCCCACTAGGTGCCGGTAACAACCTCTCTCCAACCAGTACTGTCCTGACAATCAAAAATGTCTCTAGACACTGCCTACTGTCCTCTGGGGGGCAGGATCACCGCTAGTTGACAACCACTGCTGTAGAGAGAGGTATAATGAAATAAGCATGCTCCCAAAAGAAACTTAGGAACCTTTAAGAACTTTACAAAGAAATGAATGAAGAGAGAAACTATTGGCAGTTGGGAGCAGAAATGGGTAATTGCAGTTGTCTTGCTTTGTTGCAATTTTTTCAGTTCCAAAGCAAGCCCTGTGTGTTTAGTGGGGGCTCAGGGAATCCTGCAGGGTAACGTAGGACTTCTCTGCCTTCTCAGGACTGTGGCACTCCTGGCGAGCATTCAGTCCTCTTCACCTTCTGTAAAGGTAATCAGTGATGGCCAATCACAATGAACAGACATAGAGGCAGGAAGCAAATCTGGGCTGAGCCACAGGTTGGGTCAGGAGGGGTTGTGGGGAAGGAAGAGAAAGGAGACGTTCTCTTCTGCTGGTCGTGGGACAGTTCTGTGGGCCAGACTCCTGGGAAGCAGTGGCAGAAAGCTGAGGAATAGGCTCTACTGCAGTCTTGATAATGAAGACCAATGCATGCATTCTAAACTGAGTTATCTCCAATTCTCACCTCTTCCTCTGTGGCTGCACTGGAGGAGGCACAGGCACTGCTCCCTGGGACGGCTGGCCTGCTCTCCTATGCCCTAGAGAGCTCAGTGCAGCATCCCACATGCCTCGTCTCCACCCAGCAGCCTCACTCATGACCTGCATGGGGCAGATGTCACCAGTATCTTTCAACAGCTTCCCCTCTGACAATTGTCAAAGGAAACAGAAGGCAGCAAAGATGCGGAAGCAATGACTAGGATTTCAGGGTGTGAAACAAGCCTCTCTCCTTCGAAAGCAACCGCAACAATCTTCAGCAGGAACCAGCAGGCAGAGGCACCCTCAGCGGCCGACCCTTCTGTCGGGCGTGACCTACAGCATCCTGTATTTTGATCACACAACAACCACTTCAGTTCTGTGTCACTCTCGGTCCTCATAAATGGGGAAACAGACATGCCTATCCTGAGATCCCTTAAGGGGACATGTACCTCTCTGAACCACGTTCCCGTGTTCAGCACTACCCTTGAGAGGGTGTGACATCTGAGCCACCTAGGAGGTTCGTCTGCTTGTTACAAATATTTTAGGCAGAATAATTCAAGCTAAAGCGAACATCCTTGGAACTCCTGAAGGGGAAAAGAACTCAAAATGAATGGGGCAATAGAGAGCTAAGGAGAGGCTTTGTCTTGTAAATGCGCGTGGGCTGAAGCACACGTATGAATGACCTGCCCCGTGTCTTGGTTTCCCAAGGCAGCCAGGGCAGAGCTCTGCCCACGTTGTCTTGAGCTGGGGCCTGCAGGGGAACTCAGAGCAGCCAGCATCAGCAGTGAGTTAGTTCCACAGCTTATCTGGGTTCAGTGACAACCAACTCTTCTGGTCTTACAGAGGACCAAGAATTGTTCCAGGACGGGGGAGTTAAGGAACCCTTAGGAAGAAGGTGTCTTCTCCCCTCAGAACACTGACCACTACACCTCCTGTTTGATGTCACATCATCCCCTCCCCATCCCACCCCATCTCCTCCCTACATCTCTCTTCACCAGTAGGATAAAACAACACAAGCACTTGTTTATGGCCAATGCCCAGAGCTGGCCCTCTGGGCAACAAAGACCCTGAACGAAATAAAACACAGAGGAGATGGAGAACAAAAACGGGCAGAGCGCACTGAAGCTTGCAGGCCTAACTGCCTCATTTCCTGTGGGCACATGCTGACATGTGAGAGGACCCCTTAAACAACCGGAGATACAAGAAATGGGGACATATCCAAGTGTTTTCCTTACAAAACTTAGTTACAGGGATGACTCATCTCCTTATCTCTAAATTTACAGATGTTGTAAGAAAAAGCAGGAGCCGTGGTGACTTTTACATTAATAGACAGCATAGAGATTTCATCACTGACAGCAGGAGGCTAGGAGCTGTTACATAATTCCACAAATGAGAGGGACACTATTTATTCCATTCCAGGGTTCATGAAAGACTTCACCTGAGAGGCTGGGTGCAGTGGCTCACGGCTGTAATCCCAGCACTTTGGGAGGCTGAGGCGGGTGGATCACCTGAGGTCAGGAGTTCAAGACCAGCATGACCAACATGGTGAAACCCTGTCTCTACTAAATACAAAAAATTAGCTGGGCAGGGTGGTGCATGCCTGTAGTCCCAGCTACTTGGGAGGGTGGGGCAGGAGAATTGCTTGAACCTGGGAGGCAGAGGTTGAACCTGGGAGGCAGAGGTTGCAGTGAGCCGAGATTGCACCATTGCACTCCAGCCTGGGCAACAAGAGTGGAACTCTGTCTCAAAAAAAAAAAAAAAAAAAAAAAAAAGACTTCCCCTGAGAAATTACACAGGTGATGGGTGAAGAAGGCTCCTTTATTGCCACACATGAATGGCACAGGCCCAATAGGAAGACTCTGGAATCAGGAAGGCTTTCTTCCAGCTGTGAAGGAAATGTCTTGGAGACACTTCCTTGTCCATCACACCACAATGCTAGTCTGTGAAGCTAGCAGAAACAGACCAGAGATCCCCAGGCTAGGAAGCTATGTACAAGGCAGGGCAGCTGTTGAAGGCAGGTCAAGTTCTAGAAAACTCTTGCTACTTAGGGCAGTGCTGCTTTTGCCTGGGAGGGTTGGTAGCAACCTGAGTCAACCATCTGATTATTCCAACCCTCTGGCTACTTATCCAGGCAAGAGGGCCCTGTGATGTAACAACTATGACCAATCATACGTTACATAGAGAAGATAAACTGCGTGTGTGTTGGGGGCAGCCAGAGGTAACACAGACCTAAGACAGTGAGAATCAATCATTCTAATTGTTCTAATTGCAGAGTCCACCAAACTGTAATTAGAAGTCTCTGTATGCTTTCGCTGCTTCTTACGCCATCCAAGACTATAAAAGTTGTGCAATTTAAAATTCAGTAAAGACCAAAGCGGTTTCCAACTGCTGAGATGAGCAAAACCCAGAGTCAACAGCTGTCAATCACTGTTCATCTGAAGGGCAGCACTGCAGGCAAGTGTGGTAGCCTGGAGATGAACATTATTTCTTTATTTTTGAGACAGAGTTTCGCTCTTTTTGCCCAGGCTGGAGTGCAACGGCTCGATCTCAGCTCACTGCAACGTCCGCCTCCCGGGTTCAAGCGATTCTCCTGCCTCAGCCTCCCGAGTAGCTGGGATTACAGTGCCACCATGCCCGGCTAATTTTGTATTTTTAGTAGAGACAGGGTTTTACCATGTTGGCCAGGCTGGTCTTGAACTCCTGACCTCAGGTGATCTGCCCGCTTCAGCCTCCCAAAGTGCTGGGATTACAGGCGTGAGCCACCGTGCCCAGCCCGGGATTAACATTATAAACAGCATGGCGATTTTGTTTGGCTTGACCACTCTGACAAACACCTTAAAAAGAGAATAAATCTGACTTACATTCTGAGCCACCACAGCAGCACTGTAGTCGCTGCCCCATGGAACTCCCCCATCCTGCTTCCACTATGGTCTGCTCAAGCAGCAGCACTCACTAGTCCCATCTCCAGCAAGCAATGTGCTTTTCTAGAAGCCAGGAACACTTAAGTGAGCAAAAGGTTCTATAAGTCACACTCACGTAGGAAGAGTAGAGTTCCCCGGTCTCTGTAATTTCACCCGCCATTTCCAAAAGTGAGGAAGGGCTGGCAGCAGAGGTTCCTTAGGTGCAAGGACGGCGGCTGCCGCAGCTCCTTAAAACAAAAGAGCAGGCTTCACCTATCTGATGGACTGAGACAGGGGTGGGAGGAGGCTTGCAGACTTCCCCTGCCACCTCTGGTTCTTTTATCACAGACACTTAGGGCCTCAGTATCTGTCACAAGACTCACCCCCGAGGGAGGGGTCACCCTGGATGACAGAAATCTGGACGGTTTCTTCTAACATTTCCCTTGCTGTGCAGGGCACTGCTCTGTGCCCAGCACGGATGTTTTCAATGCTGCTCGGGGTGCAAGTGATTTAAGGGGCCTCTAAAACCACTAAGTCTCACCCACCACAAGAGCCCCCTTTCCACGCTCTGGGGTGGTTATCCTCGTTTAGTTCCAGGAACCAGGAGCTCACTACCACACATGGGAGCCCAAGGAACTGTCTGCCGCCTCTGCCTAGGGCAGGGAGCTGGGGGCTTTCCTACATTGCCCTTCCAACTCCACTCTTGGCACTAAGGCCTCCTTTTTTTAATGGGGCCTCCACTCCCTGGCCCCACCTACTCTCTTAGGGTTCCCCACCCTCAAAGCTCCCTCTTTTCTCAAGAACCCCACTCCCAGCCTCTCCCTCTCTCTCCCTCCTGGAGGAGTCCCGAGTCTAGTGCCGCCCCGCCCCGCCCCAACCTATCCCGACCCGTCTCGTCCTCTCCCGCCCGTCCCGACCCGACCCGACCCAACACCTGCAGCACAGCCAGCTCCCAAGCCGCCGTCTCCCGCCGGTCCGCTGCTGCCGGCGCCAGCTGTCCAGCACCAGCTTCCGCAGCGCGCATGCGCCGGCCCCACAGCCCACCTTTTTCGCGCGCGCTGATTGGGCGCCTCGCGGGGGCGGGACCGGGATTGGGGCCTGGCGGCTGCCGTCAGCATGGCGGAAGTGGGCGGGGCGCGTTCTCACGCGCATGCGGAAGGGGCGGTAGCCGGCCGGGCCTGGGAACGTGGCTGGTTGGAGGAGGTAGATCACCCTTTCTGCGGGGGACGATTTCGTCGGTGGTAGGTGGGTGTGAGCTTGGCAGTACCCGGGTCCGCGTGGTTGGAGGGTCGAAGAGAGTGGTCTAGAACGCCACTCAAAGGGGAGGGCCTAAGACTAAGCCCGCCTTGCCCTGAAGTGGTCGGGGGCGGGGAGGGAGTGGCTAGAGCCCCGTGGGGTGGTCGCCGGGGTAAGAGGTTGGAAGTAGGTTTAAGGCAGGGCTGAAAGTTGATTCTGGGTTGGAATCCCTGGACTGGGGCAAGTAATGGGAGCTCTGGGGATACTTTGGTACTTGGTACTTGGTGCTTGGGTTTGAGGAATCGAAGTTCTGGGGAGTGGACGGAAGGAACCGGCAGAAACGGAGCCCAGGCTTGGCCTCTTGGAGTGGGAGTCAAGGATTGTTTAATTATCCTTAACCAGCCTGGTTCTCTTTCTTGCAAGAATTTTGGAGTCTGTATTCTTTGAAGTGTCTAGACGGAACTAATGACGGAAGTCAACTTAGCCCCAGCAGGAAAGCTGGAGCGCCTACCCAAAGTTGGAGGAAATTCAGGGTCCTGAAGTCTTTGCTCTCCCCATCTGCATGCAGGCTGCTACCATGAGGTTGAATCAGAACACCTTGCTGCTGGGGAAGAAGGTGGTCCTTGTACCCTACACCTCGGAGCATGTGCCCAGGTATCTTTCCCGCTTGACATGGGGTGCGTATCAGCACCCAGAGCTGTGTAAGGTACAGCCCCAGTCTCAGGGCTATTTCCCCTAAGAAGAAACATTGGTTGTGAGAAATAATTATATATGAGGGGGGAAAAAAGGCTGGGTGCCGTGGCTCACGCCTGTAATTCCAGGACTTTGGGAGGCTGTGGCAGGAGGATTGCTTGAGCCCAGCAGTTCGAGACCAGCTTGGGTAACGTAGCGAGACCTTGTCTCTACAAAAAAATACAAAAATTAGCCAGGCATGGTGGTGCACAGCTGCAGTCCCAGCTACTAGGGAGGCTGAGGTGGGAGGATTGCCTGAGCCCAGGAGATGAAGACTGCTGTGAGCTGTGATTGTACCACTGTACTCCAGCCTGGGTGACAGAGCAAGAACCTGTCTCAAAAAAAAACAAAAAAAACAAAAAAACAAAAACAAACAAAAACAAAAAAACGGCCGGGTGCGGTGGCTCACGCCTGTAATCCCAGCACTTTGGGAGGCTGAGGCGGGTGGATCATGAGGTCAGTAGTTCAAGACCAGCCTGGCCAACATGATAAAACGCCATCTCTACTAAAAACACAAAAAATTAGCTGGGCTTGTTGCCCGGCACCTGTAATTCCAGCTACTTGGGAGGCTGAGGCAGGAGAATCACTTGAACCAGGGAGGTGGAGGTTGTGGTGAGCCGAGATCACACCACTGTACTCCAGCCTGGGCAACAGAGTGAGACTTTGTCTCAAAAATAAAATAAAATAAAATAAAGGCTGGGCGCAGTGGCTCACGCCTGTAATCCCAGCACTTTGGGAGACCGAGGCAGGCGGATCACAAGCTCAGGAGAGCGAGACCATCCTGGCTAACATGGTGAAACCCCGTCTCTACTAAAAATACAAAAAAATTAGCCGGATGTGGTGGCGGGCGCCTGTAGTCCCAGCTACTCGGGAGGCTGAGGCAGGAGAATGTGTGAACCCGGGAGGCGGAGCTTACAGTGAGCCGAGATCGCGCCACTGCACTCCAGCCTGGGTGACAGATCGAGACTCCGTCTCAAAAAAAAAAAAAAAAAGAGACCAGCCTGATCAACGTGGAGAAACCCCGTCTCTAATAAAAATACAAAAAAAATAGCTGGGCATGGTGGCACATGCCTGTAATTCCAGCCTGGGCAACAAGAGTAAAACTCTGTCTCAAAAAAAAAAAAAAAAAAAATAGCAGAACCTGGGGACTGTGACTTCCTTGGGAGGAGCTGCCCATCCTCTTCCCTTTCATTCTCTCAGCTTTTTGGCCTTTCAGCAAGGAATTGCTTTATGTAAACTAAACGTGGAAGAAAAAGAAATTGTCTTCTCACCTAATTGTAAATTAGTGATGTTTCCCTGGTGCCAGTGAGTATGTTCAGTTCTTGGAGACTTAATGTTAGCTTGTCCTTGAACTCTGAGCTGATGAGTTGTGATATCTACCATTCAAAAGGCCAGGACTGAGTCATGATGGGATTCCTGTGGGGGCAGTTGGCACATGTCTGGTAGATTGGGATAGTGGTGCTGTAGATGGGTATTCTCTACTTGTAGTTTTCCGTTTGAGGGTTCCTGGTGCCCTAACTTCGTGGGATCTGTCCAGCCGCCTTTGTTGAGGTTGGCTTGCCATATACATCCCCTTCTGGAATTTGAAGAATGTTTGGTTTCAGACTGCTCCTCCGCACTGACCCGAGACAGGATAGGAAATTGGACAGATAGAACTGACTCGTCCTGCTGTTCTTGTGTAAGACTAGCTTGCTTCTGGGTCTTGTGTCTGTGGCCCCTGCCTTAGGAGCAATCATAACCCTTTGGGTCTTCTTTGAGCCCTATGTTAGCCCTGTCTGGTTCTGGACCCTCATAAGGTGTCAGACGTATGCCTCTGAATGAGTCCTCCATGTCTAAAGCCACCCCTCTGTCCCAGCAGGTACCACGAGTGGATGAAATCAGAGGAGCTGCAGCGTTTGACAGCCTCGGAGCCGCTGACCCTGGAGCAGGAGTATGCCATGCAGTGCAGCTGGCAGGAAGATGCAGACAGTGAGGAGTGCCCCCCCACTTCCCCTAGCCCTGGTACTGGGAGGGCTGACTCCACAGTCAGTCTCCAGGTTCCTTCCCTTTCCCAGCCCCGGCCATAGAAGCTTTGTGAAAAGCCTGGAAGGTGCTGGAACTCCTGTATTCTCATGGCCCTGAAGCCAGTCCCTGTGGCTGACCCTTCTGTCCTCTTCCCCACCCACTGCATCGGGCTTGGAAGGATTTGGAGAAAGTAGAGCATTTGGGGCTCTGGCTGTAAATTGAGGCCCTGCCCCTCATGTCCCTCACCACAGCCTAGTGTGGTGACTGCCCTCCTCTGTGTTCCCTGCTCTCTGAGAATTTGGTTGCTGGTTGGAGAGGCTTTTTCTGTATGAGGCAGATTTGGAATTTTGTAATGAGCTGAAGGAAGCTCTGGGACCCCCTCTTCTCCTGGCAGACTCAGAGATGCTGGTGTTCTGCAGTGCTCTGGCTTGGGTAGGAGTACCATCCTCTCTTCTCTCCTCTGGGGAGTGTGTGTGATAGCCCTGTCACCTCCTCCTCAGAGTGTACCTTCATTGTGCTGGATGCCGAGAAGTGGCAGGCCCAGCCAGGCGCCACCGAAGAGAGCTGCATGGTGGGAGATGTGAACCTCTTCCTCACAGATCTAGAAGACCTCACCTTGGGGGAGATCGAGGTCATGATTGCAGGTTTGTTTCACCTAGCCCTGCCTTCCGCTGACTCCCGGCTCTCAGATCTGCTGACTGAGCCTGCCGAGGCTGCAAAGGGTGGGCACTCACAGGGTTCACTGGGAGGCTCCATGTGGTGAGTCCAGGGCCTGGCTGGGCAGCCTGCCCACCTAGCCCCCTCAGCCTGGTGGTACACCCTCAGCCTCATCACTTTAGTCCTTATGCTTAGGCGTGAACTTAACCCTTGGTTTGGGGTAGATTCAAGTATGGTTAGTCCCATAGTTGGGGTGGGCTGGGGACCCTCAGAAAAAGGTCTCTGGAGCATGTTGTCATATTACAGGAGGAGGCCCTCCTGTTTCTGCTCCTTCATGGTCCTCAGTTTCCCCCAAGTGGCTACTGACTATCCCCATGAGGCAGCATACTGACTCCATGAGGTAAAGAGGTCAGCTTTGAAGTCAGGTTGCTGGGTTGCAAGCTGTGAGGCCTTTCACACTTCTTTGTGCCTGTTTCCTCGTCTGCAGAATGGTAATGATAGTAGCAACTTCAGAGTTGTTGAGAATTAAATGAGATGGTGTCTGCCAAGTGCCCGCACTGGAGCCTGGCACACGGCGTCAGCGCCGCTCCTGTTGTCTCTCCTAGAGCCCAGCTGCAGGGGTAAGGGCCTTGGCACTGAGGCCGTTCTCGCGATGCTGTCTTACGGTAAGAAAGTGTGAGCAGACAATGCGGGAAGTGGGCAGGCCCCAGGTGAACTTTGTTCAGGTGTGAGGGTTGGGGGCAGGTGAAGGTTCCTCCTCTGCAGCTTGGGACAGGAGGGTGGGGGCAGGCGCCTCCTTACTTGCCCCTGTCTCATCTCCTCTGCGAGGAGTGACCACGCTAGGTCTGACCAAGTTTGAGGCTAAAATTGGGCAAGGAAATGAACCAAGCATCCGGATGTTCCAGAAACTTCACTTTGAGCAGGTAAGGATGTCCTGGGGCAGAGTGGGGCTTAGACCTGGGTGGTGGGCCTGGTGGTGGTAATACTGTAACTTAGCAGGCTTTGTTCTCTCTGGCTCACGTAGGTGGCTACGAGCAGTGTTTTTCAGGAGGTGACCCTCAGACTGACAGTGAGTGAGTCCGAGCATCAGTGGCTTCTGGAGCAGACCAGCCACGTGGAAGAGAAGCCTTACAGAGATGGGTCGGCAGAGCCCTGCTGATGGCTGGGCCTTGTGGGCAGCCACTCTGTGTGAGCAGGGTGTTGGGCCCATACACTTCAAAGACCAGAGCCCTGCACTGGGAGAGTGCTCCTGGCCCAGGCTGGGAATCACCTTTCGAGGCCCTTCAGACTCTGGCGGGGCTTGCTGTGGCCTCCCTCCAGCTAGTGGTGTGGCTGAGCAGACTCCAGGGCCAGGGCCAGTTCCCTTCTCCCCTCCCGGCCAAACCCAGACCCAGACTCTAGGAAGCTGGAATGGAGGGCAGGGATCCATGGGAGATGTCGGGATGAAGGTGGGAGCTGGAGGTGCAGGGGGACCTGGAACATGGATGGGAGTGGACAGGCCTTTCTCCTTAGAGGCCAGAGGTGCTGCCCTGGCTGGGAGTGAAGCTCCAGGCACTACCAGCTTTCCTGATTTTCCCGTTTGGTCCATGTGAAGAGCTACCACGAGCCCCAGCCTCACAGTGTCCACTCAAGGGCAGCTTGGTCCTCTTGTCCTGCAGAGGCAGGCTGGTGTGACCCTGGGAACTTGACCCGGGAACAACAGGTGGTCCAGAGTGAGTGTGGCCTGGCCCCTCAACCTAGTGTCCGTCCTCCTCTCTCCTGGAGCCAGTCTTGAGTTTAAAGGCATTAGTGTTAGATACAGCTCCTTGTGGCTGGAAAACACCCCTCTGCTGATAAAGCTCAGGGGGCACTGAGGAAGCAGAGGCCCCTTGGGGGTGCCCTCCTGAAGAGAGCGTCAGGCCATCAGCTCTGTCCCTCTGGTGCTCCCACGTCTGTTCCTCACCCTCCATCTCTGGGAGCAGCTGCACCTGACTGGCCACGCGGGGGCAGTGGAGGCACAGGCTCAGGGTGGCCGGGCTACCTGGCACCCTATGGCTTACAAAGTAGAGTTGGCCCAGTTTCCTTCCACCTGAGGGGAGCACTCTGACTCCTAACAGTCTTCCTTGCCCTGCCATCATCTGGGGTGGCTGGCTGTCAAGAAAGGCCGGGCATGCTTTCTAAACACAGCCACAGGAGGCTTGTAGGGCATCTTCCAGGTGGGGAAACAGTCTTAGATAAGTAAGGTGACTTGCCTAAGGCCTCCCAGCACCCTTGATCTTGGAGTCTCACAGCAGACTGCATGTGAACAACTGGAACCGAAAACATGCCTCAGTATAAAACAAACATTATAAAACGAACGCGTTGCTTGCCGTGGCTCCCTTCGTACCATGTGTACCTCAGCAATGAGAGTTCCCTTGGGGCCACCCATTCCTTCCACCAGTCTTCAGGTTAATGAAGAGTCAAAGGTCCCCCAGGGCTTCCCCACCCAGCAGGTGAGATAGGGAGGGGCCCTCCACGACCCCTGTGGAGGGGAATCTGTCAGGGGCCAAAGGGTAGAAGCAAGGGTGGGGTGGGGGCAGGTCAGCTGAGCAGGGCACTGCTGTGGTAAGGGTTTTGGATGGTTCCTCTGACAAGGAGCAGGAGATGGCCAGATAGTGACTGGCCTGGGGGACACTGTCCACTCCCTGATTCCAGATCTACCTGCTTTACTCATTCCCCTCAGCCCAGGAGCCTATTTTCTGAGAGGTGTCCCTTTGGGTTGGGTGGAGACTAGCCTGGGGGCACCTTCCTCCTGAGCACCTGCCCGGAACCTCCCGGCTCTGCAGCCTAGCTCTTGCAAGCCACCTTCCTGGACCTCCAGATCAGGCTTCAGGTGCCAAAGGTATCAGGGACCTGGGTCTTTTGTTGGGGGCAGGGCACCTTGCCCTTGAACAGTCCCTTCCACCCCAGCTAGCCACACAGCATGTCCCCGGGCTCAGTGGACCGGTTTGTTTTCCCCTGGCACTGGACACTTGCCCTCCAATCAGGTCACAATGGCCAGATAAGATAGAGGATCTGGCACCAGCCCAGCCTGCCCCTGGGAATTCTGCACCCCACTGGCTATAGGCAGAAAGAGTAAAGCCAAGTCCTCACATTCCAAACCCAGCTCCATCCTGGGACACACTTTCCACGCTTCTGGAATTAAAGGAACCTCCCAGAGTCCTCTGAGAACGTTGGTCTGAGCTCCCACTTCCCCTTGTAAATATCCCCGTTAGACAAGGGGTCCCCAGCCCACAATCGGTGCTTGCAGCCCAGCACACAGGCACACTGACCACACCAAGCTGAATACCCGGCTGGGTGCATGCATCTTCCTTCCTACAGGACTGCAGCTAGGCCCTCTAGCTAAAGCTACCCAGGCTTGGGGTCACAGGGAGCCCTTGATGGCCCTCCCTCCAGTGTACCCCACCCTCCCAGCCAAAGACCACCTTGGCTTACCATTTCTCAATTTCTACCTATAAGGGGTCCAAGGCCAGAGGACAAAACTTCCAAGGAACACACGGAGGCTGAAGGGTTTGGAGGAACCAGCTGAATTTCTGAAAGTGTTTCCTTACAATGGTGGTACCTGGCTCAGGGATGGGCAGGGGTAGCCAAACCCTCCCCGTGCTGCCCAGTTCGCTGAGGGTGGGAGTAGGAACAAAAGTTTAAGGCTGAGGCCACTGCCATGCCCTGGATGTAACAACCAGGAAAATCATGTTAATCAAGGAAACAAAAATTCCTCTAGACTCTGCAATACTGCACTCTTAACAAAAATCAAATGAAAACAAGACGTGTCTGCCACAGGTCTCAGGGTAACAGATGCCCTGTCCACTGAGAGCGGCAGTTCTGCAGTCAGAGTTCTTTGATCAGCCCTGGACCCATTTATCACATGGGGGAGGAAGGGAGGGTGCCCTCTCGCCTGGTCCCATGATCCTGGCATGGTGCAGGTTCCAGCGATGTCCCAGGCAGGGTGGCAAAGGGACACCCGGTAGGATGAGGCACTCAGTGAGGAGGAGGGAGGCAGAGTCTCCTTTCTGACTGCGGGAGGACGGGAACACATTCACCTTCCCTAAAGTCAGGGAAGAACATAGTTCTCTAGAAAAATCATTTGTCAAGAAAGGGGATGTGGGTGCTGATTTGTACATTGATTCAGGGGAGTAATTGGGGAGAAGGAAAAAGGTGGGGTGGAATGCTGGCTCGGCCCTGCCAGTCACTGGGTGGCAGCAGGGCGCTCAGAGGTTGCTGAAGAGTTCGTTTTTCTTGCTCCAGTCCATCTGCGGGGCCCGTTTGCTGCTGCGTTTCTGGTGGGCCCTCTCTTTGGCCATGGCCAGGGAGATGTTGAAGTCTAGGATGGGGTCGGAGGAGGAGGTAGACGAGGGCGCTGTGGAGTCCTGTTTTGGGGGGCTGTCTTGGGAATTCAGCTGTAAAGAGAAGTGGGGGCAGGAAGTTGGGAGTCAGTCCCTCATTAGGCTCCCTGGTCCTCAGCCTTGGTGAGGTGGCTCCGTTGGGGCCGTGCCCAGGGAAGCCAGGTCACAAGAACAGAATGCGGCTCAGCATGTGACCTCAAAGGCAGGCTGGTGTGCCAGGAACAAGTGGGGCCTGGGAATCGGCTTCCTGTAACCCAGTTGCCACCCCCCGCATGGCTGGCCTACCTCCTCGCTGGTGTCACTGGAGGCGGATCTCACCAGGGCTGGCCTGGGGCTCTCCAAGGCTGCCTCTGCCAGGGCTTCACGACTGTTCTCCTGGCAGAGAGGAGAGGGTTGTGGGTTGTCAGAGGATGGGGTGAGGGGGTCCTGAGGAGGGAGGGAGCTCCTGGGGAAGTAGGGGCCTCAGACTGAGAAGAGGTAGCACTGATGCCCTGGCCACCCACCCCTGGTTCCCACCTCCTGAGCCTGCTGGGGCTCCTTTTTACATTCCTTTGGGGATCAGAGGGCAGGCTGGTTCTACTGCTCAGGCTGGAGGGATGGGATGGGAACAGACCATCATGGGATTAGCTGAACCGCTCCCTCTCCCTGGGCCACTCCAATGTGGCTTTTAGGTACTGGCTTGCCTTTTGGGCCAGTGACCAGGGAGGGGCTTCTTGGAATGTGGGGACACATGGGGGCATGGGGAGCCCATGTGGTGCTCCCTGAATCTCATGTGGTCCACCTGACTGTTTGCCAGGATTTGACCCCAGGAATCCTGAAACCCTAACCCTGAAGCAGCAAAGGAGGGCCTTGAAAGAAGAAGGTGGATGGAAAGTTCTAGATCCAAAGATGAGGTGAAAGAAGGTTGAGGGCTGGGTCCAAGGGCCCTCCCCCTTGCCAAGTACCCTGGCAGGAGCTCCTAGGGAAGGGGAACCTTTAAGCAGACCCTGCAGAGTTCCTGCTCTGTGGCCTGACTGAGTCGGCCTGTCCCAGAGCGAAGGCTTTGGCTGGGGCGTCAGCTTGGCACCCAGCCCCTTCCTGGGTTCCTCCATGGCTTCAGCTGGCGCCCAGCCCCACCATCTCTTCCCCGGGCCTCACCCCCTTTCCCTTCTGCCCAGGGAAGGGGGGAGGAGGGGCTTTGTTCTTCCAACCCAGACTAGAAGTAGCAGGGGCCCGGCTGCCCGTGGCCAGACACTGAAGCTCTGTTCTTGGGGGGAAGAATGGCCCCTTCTGTATGGTGGGGAGTTGGAGGCGGGGGCTTGTCACCCAGGATGGCGGGCTGCAGAGGGGCCCAGCCAGCCCGCTCCCTCCTGACAGCTTTGGCCCCAGGCAGAGGCCAAGAGGGTTCTGGCAGTTCTATAGCTTGGAGCTGAAGAAGGAGCTGGAACTGGGGACCCTGGGGTTTTGGCCTTAGTCAGATGGCTATCCTACCAACCACAGCACCTTCTGATCTGTCTCATGCACCCCAAGGATTGAAATCCAAAGAGACAGGGGACCCGCCCTTACCTTCTGTATCTCCCCATTGGTGAAGGGCACAGGCAGGGGACCTAGGCAAAGGACAGAGCAGAGGTGAGTCCAGAACGGGGATGGAATAGAGCGTGGAGAGGAGGTAGGAGTTGGGTTTGGGCAGATTATTAGATCTTGTTCCCTGGGTCAACATCTCAAACTTTTTTGACTACCACCCACCATGAATACATTTGCCTTATTTATTTAAAAAAAATTTTTTTTTTATAGAGATGGGGCCTTGCCATGTCATGCAGGATGGTCTCAAACTCCTAGCCCCAAGCAATCCTTCCACCTTGGCCTCCCAAAGTGTTGGGATTACAGGTGTGAGCAAATGTCTGGCCTACGTTTGCCATTTTGATGACTCAGCACACACAAAGATTTTGTGTGATAAAAGTTTCACAAAGCAACACCCTTACTACAGTGTTCTTTGATATTTTTAATTTCATTTCATTAAAAAAAACAAAAAAATGTCTGGGCCAGGCATAGTGGCTCACACCAGTAATCCCAGCACTTTGGGAGGCCGAGGCACCTGGATCACTTGAGGTTAGGAGTTTGAGACCAGCCTGGCCAACATGGTGAAACCCCGTCTCTACTAAAAAAGACAAAAAGAAAATTAGCTGGGCATGGTGGCACACGCCTGTAATCCTAGCTACTTGGGAGGCTGAGGTGGGAAAATTGTTTGAACCCAGAAGGTGGAGGTTGCAGTGAGCCGAGATCACGCCACTACACTCCAGCCTGGGCAACACAGCAAGACTCTGGCAAAACAAAACAAAACAAAACAAAACAAAAAAAACAAACCAAAAAACCTGCTGGTCTCTATCTACTAAATTGATCTTATGAGGCACTGATGGGTCACAAGGTGTTTAAAAAATGTATTGTCTCAGATGGGGATGAAATTCGAGGATGGCTGCCTAATTCCTACCTGGGAATTCCTACCTGGGAACTCCTACGTGGGAAGCTTGTTAAAGTACAGATTCCTGGACCTTGGCAGCACAGATTCTGGTTTAGTGGGCAGGCCTAAGAATCAACATTTTCCAAACGCTTCCCAGGTGATGATGATGACACCAAAATTGGAACCACACCCCAGACTATAGTTAGTACCTGCCTCAACTGAAAGAGAAAATAGTCTGGGCTCGGTGGCTCATGACTGGGACCCCAGCACTTTGGGAGACTGTGGCAGGCGGATCACCTGAGGTCAGGAGTTCAAGACCAGCCTGGCCAACATGGCGAAACCCTATCCCTACTAAAAATACAAAAATTAGCCGGGCATGGTGGCAGGCGCCTGTAATCCCAGCTACTCAGGAGGCTGAGGCAGGAGAATTGCTTGAACCCAGGAGGTGGAGGTTGCAGTGAGCCAAGATTGTGCCATTGCACTCTAGCCTGGGTGACAGAGACTGTGTCCGGAAAAAAAAAAAAAAAGGCCAGGCGCGGTGGCTCACACTTGTAATCGCAGTACTTTGGGAGGCCGAGGTGGGCGGATCACAAGGTCAAGAGATCGAGACCATCCTGGCCAACATAGTGAAACCCCATCTCTACTAAAAATATAAAAATTTGCTGGGCGTGGTGGCGCATGGCTGTAGTCCCGGCTACTCAGGAGACTGAGGCAGAAGAATCACTTGAATCTAGGGGCAGATGTTGCTGTGAGCCGAGATCGCACCACTGCACTCCAGCCTGGGTGACAGAGCAGGACTCCATCTCAAAAAAAAGAAAAAGAAAAAGAAAAAAAGAGAAAATAATCCCAACTCCTATTTGCCAATCAGGAAATGAGGGGGGACGAGAAGGCTCAAGGGGTGTGTCCTGGGTATCCCCTCCCCCAGCCAGTGGGAAACCTGGAGGGGTCAGAGGGAGAGAAGACAGGTCTGGGGTCACCTTCACTGGGCTCACTCAGGGTAGGGGTCCCACATGGCTTCAGGGGTGGCTGTTCCATCTCCAGGGACTGGTCAGTGTAGGGCTTCTTCTGAACTCTTAGCTTAAAATTCCTGGTTATCTTTTCCCTGTCCCCAGTCCAGGACACAGCCAGAGATACCTGACTCTCATCTTCTCCTCCCTTTTGACACCCACAGCCTTCCCCGGGCAAGGACAGGCTGCTGGGACACAGGGTCACTCACTGTCCCCTCCCCATCAGCTCACAGTGGTCAGGGTGAAACCCTGGCAGCCGGAGAGGGGGGCATTCCTCCCTATGGAAAGGGTGAGGATGCCATCCTGGAGGGACTGCGGGGAGGGGACTGTCCCCAGGCCTCTCCCTCTTCAGGTCCTTTGGCCAGAGGCTGCAGCCCCTCTAGCCCGAGAGACAGGCAGAAGAGGGAGGAATGTCTGAGGGGGCCAATTACCTGCAGGGTGAAGGGGTGGGGGAAGCAGGGGACAGTATCCCAGGAGCTGAGTGGAATCCAGATTCCAGCTGTGTCTTCCTCGTATCAGATCCCTAGGAGGAAGGCTGGGGCTTCTCTGGGCCTTAGTCTCCCCCTCAGTGGAGAAGGGGATTATCTGAGTTACCTGGTTTCCATGAACTTGGGAGATAAGGGTAAGGCGGTACCCCACCTCCCATGCCCAGAGCCAGCTAGGGACTTCCAGGGGCCATCCCCTCTTCTAGGAGCCTCAGGCCTTGGATTGCGCCAGAAGGGGACAGGGCCTCCCCAGTGGGCCCTTGCAGCTGGCGATGGGAGTCGCAGGACCTTTGTGTGAATCTCCTTTTACACATACAACCTTGAGTCTCCAGGAGGCCCCACCCACTGCAAAGTCCCAAGAGGTTCCACCCTCAGTATGGCCCAGTGAGCACCCCTGCCCGCTCCAGGGAGCCATCTTCCCAGGGAGAAAGTCCAGACCAAGGAGCAGAGCATGCTTAACCCCTCCCTGCCCCGGTGCAGCAGCCCTGCCCTGTTTGGCTCGGGCCTGGGCAGGGGGAGGCGCCAGGCTTGGCAGGGTGATGGTGGGGGATGGGGAGGGCAGGGGCCCAGGGATTGAAGGGGGACCCACTACTCTCTAGAGCCAGCAAGGCTGAGTTTCCAAGACAACCTGAGAGGAGGGAGGGGGAGGCACCGGCCCCCGTCACTGGACTCTGATCTGACCAAGCAAAGGCTGGAGGCCTCCCCGGAGTTAACCCTTTCCTCACATTGACACTGCCCTGAAAGTCTGCTGGTGGGGACAGGACTGGGGGCTTGGGCCTCCTTTGGGGCTGCAGCTTTGGCCGGGAATAAGAAGATCTGTCCATCTCTCTCACCGACCTCATGCCAGCTGACCCCATCACAAGCCGTCCTCAGAAACCCACTGCCACTCCCTACACTAGGCCCCCGCTCCCCCAGCCCACACCTCTGGGCCTCCCATGAAGGAGGAGGAGGGAGCACCCATGCCGGGAAGCTGCCCACCCCTCGCCTGGGACCCAGCAGTCTTAGCCCTGGCTCACATCCCTGACTTGGGGGGCTCCAGCCCCAGGACGGCCAGTGGCCCCACCTGGCTTACCATTCAGGTGCTCCTGAGATGGGATCACTCTGCATTTCTTGAAGAACTCGTCAGTTTCCCTGTCCACCACCAGCAGCTTGGTCTCGTCCCCGCCAGCCCTGATGGCGGACACCACGTCCCCATGCTGCTTCCCCTCCATGCAGACCCCGTTCACCTGCAGGGCAGGGTCGGGGAGGCGTTACGGACACAGGCCTTGGTTCTGGGGCAGGTAAGTGGAGGGGGGTTGGGGGCAGGGGTGACCACCTTGGTTCTCAGCCAGTTTGCAGTTCACAACCTGGGGATACTGACCCCCGCCATTTCTGCAGAGTCCTGAACTAGGCTGGGGGTCCTCCCATTGACAGTCAGCTGGGGAGGCAGGATACATGGGAAGGGCCAACGAAAATATCCAGACGAGACTAAACAAACACAGCTGGGAGAGATGGGATGGGAGCGAGCTGGGAGGCCGGGGTGGGGCCCAGCCTGGGTAAGGACTTGCTGTCCGACTTCCTTCTCTGGGCCTTGGTTTTCTCACGTGTAAAATGAGAAGTCTTGGGAGAGCTGATCTCTAGCTCTAAGGTTCTAAGACTGTGATTCTGGGACCTGCCTGAGCATTTGGTTCACGTTTCCTCTCCCAGGAGCACAGCACCAGAGCCCTGAATGCACGAGTCTAAAAGCCTAACTCGGGGCCGGGTGAGGTGGCTCACGCCTGGAATCCCAGCACTTTGGGAGGCCGAGGCGGGCAGATCACTTGAGGTCAGGAGTTTGAGACCAGCCTGGCCAACATGGTGAAATCCTGTCTCTACTAAAAATGCAAACATTAGCCAGGCGTGGTGGTGGGCACCTGTAATCCCAGCTACTCAGGAGGCTGAGGCAGGAGAATCGCTTGAACCCAGGAGGCGGAGGTTGCAGTGAGCTGGGATTGTGCCACTGCACTCCCCCAGCCTGGGCAACAAAGCGAGACTCCATTTAAAAAAAAAAAAACTAAATAAATAAAGGCCTAACTCAGGAGAGGGGTTTTGTTACTGCCACCCCACTCTGTGTGCCTGGCAGCAGGGAAGCTCTGGAGATGGCCCCAGACATCTCCCTGATCGATGGGTGAATCACAGGCTGCCCACTGTATCTGCTTGGCAAGGAGGAGTCCAGGGGAGTGGAGGTAAGAGAAGAGTCCATCAGTCAGTCCATCTGTCCTTCCGTCTATCCATCCACCACCCTTCCCTCCCTCCCTCCCATCCACCCATCCATCCAGCAGCTCCAGGTTGGCTATGCCCGTGGGCTAATCAAGCCCATGATGGTATGATGGCTGCCCCAGGTGCTGCTGATCTGCAGGGGGTGGGGGCAGTCAGATAGGAAGAGAGCGAGAAGCATCACCTCCACAATGCGATCCTGGGCCCGGAGCCCTGAAGCCTCAGCCGGGGAGTCTGGGTCCACTGACCGGATGAACTGGCCTGGCTTGGACTTGTCGCTGTGCAGGTTGAAGCCATAGCCACTGGGGCCCTTCTTCATGGTACAGAGCCGAGGCCGAAGCTCGCGCTGCAGGGACAGGGGAGGGTCCATGGCTATTCCACAGTGCCCCAGGTTCTGCCTTCCCTGTCCTCTGCCTGTCCCCATCTCCCCAACCAAGGAAGGTTTGGGAGGATGCAAATTTGCCTAGATCCCTACACAGCAATTTGAGAGGGTTCTGGCCCAGGACTCAAAAGACTTGTGTGGATACCCAGCACCGCAGCTAACTGCTTAGGTGATGTGGATAAAACACTGCTCTGTCCAAGCCTCAGTTTCCTCTTCTGCCAAATGAGGGGTAGGACCAGGTTAGCTCTCACATGCCTGTCCCTTCTGACAGTCTAAGGTGAATCACATGCTGTGTTGATCGGGCCTCTATCCCTCCCCATTGGTGGCTCAGTCTGGCCCTCCTGGAGAGGGGGCAGAGTGTGGCACCCGTCAGCCTGGCTGGGGACCTGGGGCATATGACTGAGGACCCCCAGCCCCTTTGTACCCCGTTCTCTGCAGCAGGGGAGGAAGAGGCAGGTGTTTACTGAAAGCTGGTCAGTGTGTTTACAGTAAAGCCTTCCTCCATATACTCGAACTCTCTCTCACCCCCACCAAGCCGAATGGCCCAGCCAAAAGGGAGCCAGAAGGAGCAGATAACCAAAAACTTATTGTTCAGCACAGCAAGGGGACCTGGACAAGACGGGGCCATCCTCAGGCGTTCCAGGACCTCCTCCCCCGACACCGCTGCCCAAGGGCAGAGGTGGCAACGGAAGCACAGAGACCCCAGAAACAGAGGAGCCTGAATGGGGAGGGGACTGGGAAAAGCAGGGCTGGGCTAAAGGGAGCCCAGTGTGGCTGTGGCCTGGAGGGTGTGACCTACTAAAAGGGCACACGCAGATTTCGAGTGCTTGGACTCAGCTGAAAACAGTTTCCAACATGCTTGGTCCAAAGTAAGCAGCTCAGCTTAGAAGCTGCAGGCCTGGACACACAGTATGATGGAGGGAATATGGGTGTAGGCAGCCGAAGCCTGTGCCCAAGGACTACGCCTGAGTCCCTGTCCCTCTCCCCCTCCTCCAGGCCTGGTGCAGGGCCACTGGCTGCTGTCCAGCCTGCTGGCCCTGTGTTATCACTCAGCACATCAGACAATGAGCAGTGGATAGTCAAGGCTCCCAGCCAGGTTCCAGCTCCCCTGTTTAGGAGCTGTGTGACCTGGGGCAGGTCATTTATGGATCATTCTGACTGCCATCTGCCTCCCAGGGTTGCTGAGGCCCAGTGAGGTCATTGACTTAAACACTTTCTAACTGTAAAAAATCCCTGTGCACACCCAGACTTTCCCATTGTTGTGAATACTAATGAATAGTCATAGGAAGCTGGGAGTGAGATTCTGGTGGGGTGGGGGTGTGTGTGCCAGGCTGCTCTGAAACCCAAATCCCCAGCTGGGAGTGGAGAGGGCCGAGAGGGGTGGGAAGGCGCGCCCAGGAGGGCTTATGGGCCTCTGTCCCAACTTGCCAGCCCCAGGAGGCCGCCACCATCTGCAGGAGACTCAATCCCCAGCCTTTCGATCTCTGGGGGTGGCTAGAGGATGACTTTGCATTCCTTTAAAGGCTTGGGCAGGTCTTTCTTGCCTGGGTTTTCATACCCAAATCCAGGCTCGAGGACCCCTCACCCCAACAACAAAGACGGTTAAGTGAGTGGTAAAAACGTGAGTGGCTCACAAAGGCTCAGGAACCCTGAATGAAGCTCCTCTTGCCTTGTTCTCCCTGGCCCACCCCCTGCCTCACTGCAGGGCCCACTCCCAGCTAGTTCGGCTGTCACCTGCCCCAGGCTCACCCCCCGGCACTCCCACAGCCCTGTGGGATCTTGTTCCGGGAGTAAGTGAGGCTCTTCTCCCCTAGAGCTAATCCCTCCACAAAGCTCCCAGCCAGGCCCTCCCCCGGGCCGCCTAGGTGAGCAGAAACAAGTCTGACCAGTCGCCGTCACCAGGACAGGCGCAGCTTTCTGCTTCAGCCAGACACCCTGAGAAAGTGGGGAGGGTGAAATCTCAGGACAGGCAGGGGGCAGCTCTAGTGACCTCCTCCAACCTCCCTCCACCGTCCCTGCGCTCCCAAAAACCTTCCCATAACAACCTGACTGGGGCTTGTCAGCTGTTTTTGAGATGGGGAAACTGAGGCTCAGAGATGTGGAGCCCACTGCCTGACATCACACAGCCAGAACTCCAACCCTGGTCTCTGACTTGGAACCTGTCCTCCTTCCACCACACTGCAGGGTGCTCCTTAAGGATCCAAGTCCAGAATGGGGCAACCCATTGGGAGGTGAGGACCCAACAGGAGTCAGGCAGCAGAGGGCAGACAGGGGCTCTCTCCAGGGCATCGGCTGCAGCCTCTGCTGGAGGTAGGCTGGGAGCTGAAGAAACCACAACCTACCACAGCCTTCCTTCCGGGCGCTCAGGGCCTCTCGCAGCTGGAGCTGCAGCCTGAGCTGGGGGATGAAGCCTGGTGTGGGTGACAGGGCAGGGGCATGGCTGGACTGGGGGCAGGTGGCTCTGGGCGCCCCCCCCGGCTGGCAGGGCAGGGCTGTGCTAGCTGCCTTTGGGATGCCCATCCTCTGGCCCTGGTCTCTGTGCTGTGGGCTTCCCTTACTGATCTTCAGCCCAGTGCCCCTCGCCTAGTGACATATGGTGCCAAAGCTCCAGGGCCTGCTTTGAGCCTTGCTCCGCTCTGCCAGCACCAAGTCGTGCAGTTCAAGGGGAAACAGGGTACCCAGCCTGAGGGGCTCAGGTGCCCTCTGTTTCCTTCCCCTGCACTGGGACCTGCTCCACTGTTCTGTCTAGATGTGGCTCTGTGGCGGCTCCAGGACCTGAGGGGGTGGCTGGACAAGGAGATGGGAAGCCCCCGGTAGACCCCACCAGCATTTAGACAGCTCCGATGCACCTGCAGAGCCTCCTTCCCAAGTCCCTAGAGACTTCCTCCCCTCACATGGGAAGGGGGGTTCCCACTCTTCAAGGGAGACCAGCCTTGTTCCTCCTCACCCCTCCCTAGCAGGAGCCTCCCAGCTGTCTCCAGGAGGTGTCAGTGCCAGTTGCTGAGTCAGCCCATCAAGCCAGCCCATCCCAGCCTGGGTGGAGGCTGGGGCTGGCAGGGGAGTCCCTTGGGGCAGCCCCCCTGGGGATCTGTGGGGCCTGGCCTGTGGTCTCCAGGCCCAGCACTGAGAGGAGAAGATGGGGAGGTGTGGGGTACCTGGCCGAGCTCAGCCACCATTGCTCTTGGACCCTCACCGCCAAGCTGGGGCAGGGCTGGGTTCTGCCTCTGGGGAAAGGGGATAAATGGGAGTGACGTCCAGGCATGTTGGGCTTGGTGTGTGGCCCCCAGGATCTTAGGAGGAGCCAGCTACAGAGGGGTCCGAAGCATGGTGGGAGGAGGAGACTCAAAAGGAACATAGCCCCAGTGAGTTCCGGAGGGCAAAGTGGGACCTCCAGTGACGACGACAGCCTGGGAGACCCAAGTTCAAGACAAAATCAGGATCTGCTCAGAGAGGAGACTGGCAGAGAGCCAGAATCAACAGGAGGGAACATGAGGCCATGCAGCCGATGGGCAGCGCAGCTGGGCCGGGGTGACCCAGGGCTGGACAGGCTGGAGACTCTCACTTTCACAAAATGCTGGCTGGCTTTCCAGAAAAGACCCTGCCCGGAGAGCTGCCCCCACACCCTTCTCCCGGGGCCTCCTCCACCCTCAGGCTTCCTCCCTTCATCTGTCCTTTCCCCCAGGGAGCTTCACCGCGCCCTAAGTGGCCGCCCCATCACCTCCACCCACGCAGTCCAGGGAGCGGATGGCGGGCACGGAATTCAATAGGCGCCACCAGCAGTCACCTGGAAAGCTGGGGAAAGTCGATACCCTAATCCCAGTGACCGTCTCTGGGGAACAGGCCCAGGGCCGCTCCCTGCTCCTCCTTCCTCCCTTCAGGGAAGGCTGTGGGAGCCTGGGGGCCAACGCCCCATTGGGCCCAGCCCCTCCCTGGCTGATGCCATGGTGATGGGCCCTACAGAAACAGCCCAGCCCGCTTCCTTCGAGCCAGCTAGCTCAGGACCCCAGAGGAAAGGGGCTGGAGGAGTAGGAAGACCACTTGGGTGTCCAGGGGAACAACAGAGGTAACCCCACCTCTCAAGACTGCCCCTCCCCCAGCCCAGGGCTCTTGTTTATGCAAAGAAGACCAGTGCCCCATGCCCAATACAGGAAAATCAGCCCCAACAAGAGGATGGAAGGGGGCAGGACGGCGGGGGCAGGAAGGAACCCTGGCTGTTCTCAGGGGCTGGGGTGTGTGTGTCAGGAGTATGTTGGGTGTAAGAGCCATATTTGCTCTGGGAGACAGCTCAGTTTGTTCCCCAGATTCTGGAGACAGGGCTGGGCCTGGTGCCAGCTCTTCAAGGAAGCCAGGATGGAGACAGCTGGCCCTGCCTGGAGTGCTGTGTGACGGGCAGCCTGGGGGCACTGGGAAGTGACCAGGGGCTCCAGGCACTCAGCCAGTGTCCACACCTCTAGGCAGAAGGTGTCTTCTCCTTACCCTAGGTGAGGTACAGGGGGCTTGGCTGTCACTGGCCCCCTGCGTAGTGGCCCTGATGTCACCTCATTTTACTCTATGGGACCCCCTTCCACCCTCCACATCCCTCCAGGTCTGTGCGGGCGGCAGGGGAATGTTGGATGTGTCCATTTTAAAAAAAGTCACTCACTGCTCCTAGCCCTTGATCTCTTCCTTCCTATTTCTCAGTGGGAAGAGCTTTCCCTGGAGTCTGGTAGGGTGGGAACCAGGAGGGAGACACAAACTAAAGTGAGGTCTGCTGGTCTGACAGACACCCCCAGGACTCAGAGGTCTGAAACAGGTTCTCCTTCTGGCTAGTAACCTCTTCTCCCTGTGCCAGCCATGGAGACCCACGGGGGCAAGAGGGGGCAGAGTCTGGCTCAGGTCTCTGCAGGGCTGGGCAAGCCTGGGATGGAGCAGGCTGGTACCTGGGCTGCAGCCCGGCTGGACACCATCCAGGGCTGGCCGCCCCATGCCTTCCCTGCTGCATCCTTCCTCATCCCTCACCCTCCTCCCAGAAGTCTCTAGATTTAACCCCCAGGGGTTGTCCCAAGGGGCTATTAAGAACCTTCAAGGAGCTTGTGAAATTGGGGCTCAACACTGAAGTAACAAATAGCAGCTGCTATTTACTGAACACCTACTATGTGTTAGGCACCGAGCTCTTTACATGTGTTTTCTTCTTAAGAGCCAATTATAGTCCTAAAAGGAAAGTATTATTGCCAGCATTTCACAGAAAAGGAAACCCAGCTTCAAAAAGCTGGAGTCAGTTGCTCAAGTACACATGGCTGACGGGCAAAGGCAGGATTTGAGCTCAGATCCAGAGCAGCACTGTCCAGTAGATATATAATGCCAGCCATGTGTGGAATGTAAGATTTTCTAGTCATCACATTTGAAAAAGGAAAAATAGGCCGGGTGCAGTGGCTCACACTTGTAATCCCAGCATTTTGGGAGGCCAAGGCAGGTGGATCACCTGAGGTCGGGAGTTCAAGACCAGCATGGCCAACATGGTGAAACCCTGTCTCAACTAAAAATATGAAAATTAGACATATGTGGTGGTGCACACCTGTGGTCCCAGCTACTCCAGAGGCTGAGGCACGAGAACCGCTTGAACCCAGGAGGCGGAGGTTGCAGTGAGCCGAGATCACGCCACTGCACTCCAGCCTGGGTGATAGAGCAAGGCTCCGTCTCAAAAAAAAAAAAAAAAAAAAAAAGAAAGAAAGAAAGAAAAGAAAAATAGGCCAGGTGTGGTGGCTCATGCCTGTAATCCCAGCATTTTGGGAGGACGAGGCAAGTGGATCACTTGAGCACAGGAGTTTGAGACCAGCCTGGTCAACATGGTGAAACCCTATCTCTACTAAAAAAGAAAAATACAAAAATCAGCTGGGCGTGGTGGTGCACAGCTACTTGGGAGGCTGAGGCAGGAGAATCGCTTGAACCTGGGAGGTGGAGCTTGCAGTGAGCCGAGATCGCACCACTGCACTCCAGCCTGGGCAACAGAGCGAGACTCTGCCTCCAAAAAAAAAAAAAACAGGAAAAATAGTAGAATTGAATATTTTATTTAACATAATGTACCCAAAATATTATCATTTCAATGTGTAATCCATTTTTAACAATTGAGCTATTGTACATCCTTTTATTTGTACAATGGCTTCAAAATCTGGTGTGCATTTTGCACACACAGCACGTCTGCATGTGGACCAGCACATCTCGAGTGCCCGGGAGCCTCGCGAAGCTGGTGGCTGCTGCCCGGACAGCACAGACCTGTGCTGCCTGAGACTGCCCCAAACACACTCCTCTAAATACCCCTGGCCATTGCTGTTCCCCTGACCTTAGCACAGGGAGAGGCTGCAGCCTGTCTCGGAGAATTCAGAGCTCTCAGCACCCAGCAGTGAGTGGGACTTGAACCTGGCCAGCATTCTCTGTGTGTTCCCACACCACCCCGAGGTGACCTGGACCTCAGGGAATCTGTAACTCTTGTCCTTTTCTAGGGCCTAGGGACCTAAACATTGCCTAGGAGTCTGGGGACATGGTGAGTTGTCCTACCATGAGGGGAAGGCTTCGGTCAACAGTGAAGACCACCCTTGAGGGGGGCTCTCTGTGCAGGTTCTGGGGAGTGAGGGCGGGGGTAGATACTTGGTTACCAGATTCCAGATTGACCTATCACATCACGTGAGAAGGGATGGGGACAGGAGCCTGCCACTTATGGGCTGAGGCACTGCAAGGATGCCCTGCTAGGGACAGGAGCACCTGGAAGCCCTGGATCCTTACAGGAAGCCAGTTCAAGCAGCCTGAATTTATACCACTGTGATGGTCCAGCTGTGGCTCAGAATATGATGGGCAGAAACACCTGGCAGAGTCAGGCTTCAAGCACAGCCTACTCATGTGGCCAAATGGCTGTGCAGGCACTAGAGTCAGAGGGTTGGGTTCCAAGACACACCCCTGCGCTGTGTGGGAGGAGTCGCTAGCTCAGAGTCCTGGGACCCGCCATGGCCACCTTAACTGATCAAGCCTCAGCCTCCATAGGCAGAGAATGGGGCCAATATCTGCCTCACTGGTGGTCATGTGGATTAAATGAGACAGGCAAGGTTAGTACTTAGCACAGTGCTAGACACAAATAGTAGCTATCATGTATTGAACACTTACTGTCAACCTACAAAATAGAGAAAACAATAGCTAATTTGTCTGGGGGACAATGAAATGCATATTGGCTGGGTGTGGTGGCTCATGCCTATAATCCCAGCACTTTGGGAGACCGAGGCAGGTGGATTACCTGAGGTCAGGAGTTTGAAACCAGCCTGGCCAATGTGGTGAAACCCCATCTCTACTAAAAATACAAAAATTAGCAGGGTGTTGTGACAGGTGCCACCCAGCCTGGCCACCGTGGTGAAACTCCGTCTCTACTAAAAATACAAAAATTAGCAGGGTGTGGTGGCGGGTGTTTGTAATCCTAGCTACATGGAAGGCTGAGGCAGGACAATTGCTTGAACTTGAGAGACGGAGGTTGCAGTGAGCCGAGATCACACCACTGCACTCCAGCCTGGGCAACAGAGCAAGACTGTCTCAGGAAAAAAAAAAAAAAAAAAAAGAAAGAAAGAAAGAAAGAAAGAAAGAAATGCATGTCAACATCTTTATGTCATAGGTAGAGTGCCTAAAGGCACTGTACAAACCTGTTTCCTTCCAGGTAGGGCCACTCTATCTTAGAGCAACGAAAACAGAGGAACATTTGTTATTGGGGTCTAGAGCTCTGGTTTCTCCCTGTAAAGAGTCCTGCAGCACCAACAAGACCTCGGCTGAGCTTCTTCTTTCTTTTTTTTTTATTTTGGAGATGAGTCTCACTCTGCTGCTCGGGCTGGAGTGCAGTGGCGCGATCTCGGCTCACTGAAACCTCCACCTCCCAGGTTCAAGCCATTCTCCTGCCTCAGACTCCCGAGTAGCTGGGATTACAGGCACCTGCCACCACGCCTCGCTAATTTTTGTATTTTTAGTAGAGATGGGTTTTTACCATGTTGGCCAGGCTGGTCTTGAACTCCTGACCTCAACTCCTGACCTCAACTGATCCACCCGCCTCGGCCTCCCAAAGTGCTGGGATTACAGGCGTGAGCCACCGTGCCTGGCCTGAGTTTCTTATTAATTTCCCACCCCACTTTCCCAGGGACCATTGAGATGGGACATCTGGGAAAGGGGAGAAGGACCCCATCTAGACATATGGAGTTCCTTGAGAAGGAAGCCCCCATTCACCCCCCTCCCCCTGTTTTTTTGGTAGAGACGAGGTCTCACTATGTTGCCCAGGCTGGTCTCAAACTCCTGGGCTTAAGCGATCCTCCCGCCTCAGCCTCCCGAAGTGATGGGATTACAGGCACAAGTCACTGCGCCCGGCCAGGAAGCCCCCATCTATCTCCAAGAGAATCATCTCCAGAATTACTGAGTTAACAGGAGCTTGAAGGTAAGAACCAGGGGCTACACTGTTTTGCCAGCAAAGAAAGAGATCCCAACACACAAACAATCACATACCCTGTCCATTTCAAATCCAAACACCCAGCAGCTCAAGCTCTGTTCTGCCCTACCAGAGCTCCAACTTGGTTGGTGTAAAATGGCCCGCCCGCCCTGGGAAAGAGGTTGATGGCCCTCCAGCTAACTGTGCCCCACCACCCACCTTGCTCCCTGGGGTGCCTGCACTCTGACTCTGGGATCAGGGTCAGGGCTGGCAGGAAACACCCCAAACTAGCACTTTCATTTACAAACCTGTCATGCCACCAAATCTTCCCAATAACCCTGCAGGCAGTGCCTTTCACAGAGGTGGAGGCTGAGGGTTGCAGGGAAAAATGAACTCCCAGGATCCCAGAACCAGCACACGGCAGAGCTGGGATTCAAACACTGATCTGGCTGACCCCAAAGCCTGGACTTTTGGCTTTCTAGTTTTCAAATAGAAGCTGCTAGCAGGCAAGAAAGAAGAGTGGGTAGGTTCTATCTGGAATTCCAATCTCTGGGCGGGGCGGGATGAGCTGAATGAGGACAAAGGTCCCTGACTGTTGTTATATATTCATTCATTAATTCAAAAACTGTTTTTGAGAGCCTCCCTACCATGTGCCAAGGACAGCGCTGGGGATAGAAACACAAATAGGCCACAGTTGATGCCCTTGGGCTTACCACGTAGTGGAGAAAAAGGTCACAAACAGATGATTAAAATATTGTGTGTTTAGAGCGATAAAAGATGTAAGGACAAAGAGGAGGCGGAGGCCGAGGCTGGCAGATCACCTCAGCCCAGGAGTTCAAGACCAGCCTGGGCAACACGGTGAAACTCCATCTCTACAAAGAATTTAAAAATTAGCTGGGAATAGTGGTGCATGCCTGTAGTCCCAGCTACTAGGGAGAATGAGGTGGGAGGATCGATTGAGCCCTGGAGGTCGAGGCTGCAGCGAGGCGAGGTTGCGACACCACTCCAGCCTGGGTGGAATCTGTCTCAAAAAAAACAAAAACAAAAACAAAAACAAAAAAAGTGAAGGAAAGGAAATGCTAACTCTGCCTACTGGATTAAGGACAGGCTCCCTGGGAGGGGACAGAAGTGTCAGGGTGTGAAGGCTTAGAGGCTAGAGGGGAATTCGGACCCTGGGTGTGGTTTTGGGGGTAGGGAGGCAGTGGTGAGAACAGGCTGCCAGATGGAGAAGGGCCATGGAACAGCATATAACTCTTAAAAAAAAAAAAGAAAAAATTTAATAGAGACAGGGTCTTGTCATGTTGCCTAGGCTGGTCTCAAACTCCTGGGCTCAGGCGATCCTCCCACTTTGGCCTCCCAAAGTGCTGGGATTACAGGTGTGAGCCACCACACCTGGCCACAACGTATCATTCTTAACCCACAGTGACCATCGATCAGGCACTGACTGTGTGCCAGGCTTGGCCACAGTGGCATTTGCCCAACTAGGCAGGCTGACCCAGCGCTAGCTGCCCCATGATAGGTGTGCAATGATCACTATGAAATATGTATTCATTCCAATACCAACTGCAAAGGCTGGCTGAGCCTGGACTCAGTGCCAGGCACTGAGCTACGTGCTTTACACACAGCCTCATGCAATTCCGAGGTAGCTGCCATAACCCCCAACTTACACAAGAGGAAATGGAGGCTTACAGAGGTGAGGTAACTTGGCTTCGCACAGCCTGGCTAGTACAGCTGAGCTGGCTCGGCTCTGCCCGGCCGGCACTCTGAACCCAGACTCAAGGGTTTAGGCCTCATCCTGTGACTGGTGGTGAATGGGGGGAGGAGGGCTTTAAGCAGGGGAACAGCAGGGCGGGTCTTGCTGCTCCTCTCTCCCCACGGGGCAGGCGGGGAAGGCCATCCACAAAGCAAAGCCGGTGGGCAGAGCTGGAGAGCCACTTCCACCTCCTTAGGCCTAGACTCCCCAGCGGGGATGGCCAGTGTTACAGGCACCCCTCAGCCTCTGCCCTGAGTGGTTCTGGACACAGCTGGTCTTCCCAGCCAGAGGCCACCCAGCCAACCACTCTCTGCGCCACACTTTTCCACTGATATCATCACTTAGTAAGTGGAGGGCTAATGAAGACAAGGGAACAGCCCCACCTTGCACACAAATTCAGACTAAAACGAATTGGCAAACCTCCATTTGATGCTTTATGTAGGAAACGGGTGTGTTTTAGAAAAACGAACTCTTACAATGTCTGTTAACATTTTTTCTAATAACCACATGGGTGTCTGTATGCTCAACACACAGGATTGAGAGGAGAGGATTTTCTGCTAGAAGGACTCAATGGTGTTGACTAGGAGTCAGTTTAGAGGAGCTGGGATTCAAACGCCAGGCATGAAGGAGTGCAGTTCAGCATTTAGTAAGGGGCTCAAGTGCTTCACGTCATTTCTATAATTCTAGAGAAGGCAGGCATCACATCGCCCAATGCCTCCATCTCACAGATGGGAGAACCAGAACTCAGAAGTCCTGGGACTTGGCTGGTGATGGTGTCCCCAGGATTTGCTGGTGGCTCTCCTCTCATCTCCTGGCCTAACAAAGTACACACAAATGTAGGTGTCCCTCCAAAACATGCAGGAATCTGAGTCTGTGCTCACCCAGGAAGCTCAAAGCTGCTGCCTTTGCGCACGTGTGCTATGCCAGGCCTCCACGTTCGCCTCCCAGGCCCTCTGGCACCCAGCAGCATAACCAAAAGGGCAAAGGGAGGAGCTGAACGAGACTGCAACTTGTGGGGGGTGGGGGTGGGTGGGTATTTGTGTGGGTGCCAAAGTCCAAAAAAAAAAAAAAAAAAGAATGTCAAATCGATCGATGGACTCAGCACAAAGTTCACACTGGATTTCTGCCTGGGACTGGAGATCATCGGCCCCAACTCCCTGGCATCAACCTCCTTGCTCCGGGTGCTCAGATCCCTTCCCCCTCCCCTTGCCAATGCCAGCTTGGCAGGGGCAGGAAGTGGGAGCCTGGTGGCCCTGGCATTCCCAGCACCCAGCTCTGGCTGGACAGGGCTTCTGGTGACCTCACTTCCACCAAACCAGTTGATCCTCTAGGGCTTTGCCTTCTACCTTAATGCCGAACTGTGCCCTTTCTCTGTCCAGGAGGCTCCTCGTAGCCCCACGGACACTCCCATCAGACACTGCCACCAGGGAGAGCTGGTGGTGCAAGCTGAAGGGGTCCTGGGAGGCTCACGCCCTGCCCTACACAATGCACCACTCCACTCTCTGGGGACAGGAGGCTCAGCACAACTCCTATTTTGCCAGCTGCCCCTCTTGCAGCTGATCCAAACTGGGATCCCATGGGCAAACACCAAACATGGGCAAAAAGCAACCGGCCTGCTGGCTGTGTGGGCACCAGAGTGACCATGGCAAGGCCAGGGCAAGACCACCGGCTCACCGTGAGCTCCGCTGGCGCACACAGGGCCGTGAGCCCCAGGAGCTCTCTCTCCTCCCCATGGCCATCTTTTTCTTCTTCCAAGGTCTTTCCCCTTCCCTCCCAGATACAGTTCTAGGCGCTTACTCTTCACATTCCTGAGAATCGTAAATCCTCTGAGGTGGCAGAACCACCACTCCGAGATGCCTTGGCTCCTCCTCCCTGCCAGGCAACCCCCACACCGCCCTGAGATGGTGGGGCTTCCTCTCCCTTAGAAGTCACACAGGACTCCGGGAGGATGAAGTCCAGCAGGACTGAAGTTCAGGACACACACCGGCGGGCTGCGGAGAGGGCCTCCTCGCGCCGGGGCTCCACACAGGAGGAGTAATGCTATTCCTCTAGCTTTTGAAGTAGGAGTGGCGGGCGAAGCTGGCACCTCTGGGGCGGAGAGCCCTTTCTCCCCGGCCCATCTGCGGACTGGGGTGAACGAGGAGAGGGCACCAGGGAAGGAGCAGGATTGGGGGATTCCGAGGAACGGGAGCAGACACCCACAGACCCGAGGGAAGGGGGCTGGGTTCCCCTGCGCCGCCCTCCCAAAGGCCAGGGAACAAGAGGTGCAGGCGGCAAAGGCGCTCAAGCTCCCAGCACAGCCTGGGAAGGAGAGGAGGTCGCGGGACGCAGCCCCAGGCCTGCCTAGGATGTGTCAGGGCGCCTGGTCGGCGGGCGGAAGCGGTCTCCCCCTCGCAGCTCGAGTTTCAGAAAAACGACGGCGGGCGCGGGGCTGGACGGCCGGGGCACCTGGGTCTCTCCGGATCCTCCTCCCACTCCATGCCAGCCTGCGCGGCTTGGGCCCCGCTTACCTGCTCCGGGTGGCTCTTGTCGGCCTCGCGAGGCTCATTTTCGTTGCCAGCCCCCTGCACCTCGGCGGCGGCCGGCGGCTCGGCCTGCCCCGGCGCTTCCTGGGCGCGCAGCAGCTCCTCTCGGACCTGGACGCCGAGCTTCTGCAGCTGCTCGTCCGTCTCGGGGTCGACCACCAGCAGGCGCACGGCGTTGAGTGCGGCGCGGATGCGGCTCACCACCTGCTGGTGGGTCTCCTTCTCCACGTTTTCGCCGTTCACCTCCACCAGCCGGTCCCCCGCCAGCAGCCCCGCCTTCTCGGCCGGCGAGCCGGGCTCCACCAGCCGGATGTACTGGCCCAACTTGCCCTTCTCCCCGTGCAGGTGGAAGCCGTAGCCGTTCGGACCCTTCTCCAGGCAGCAGAGCCGGGGCAGGGGCGCCCCGGCCGCTGCGTCCGCGCTCATCTCGCCCTGCGACGGGTCAGCGGCGCGACTTGGGGTTCCGATGGGGACGGGACGGGACGGCCCAGCCCTTCTTCCCGTCCAGCGAACCGGGAGCGCAGCAGAGAAGCCCTGAGCCGCCGGACGGGCCAAGCAAGCAGGTGTCCCAGGAACCGTCGGCCGCCGCGAGCCGCGAGGAGCCGAGAGAGGACCACAGACCAATCCCCGCCCCGCGCGGCGTCTGAGCGTCCCAGAGTCCGCCCCGGCTCCTTACCCCGGGGGCGGGGCCGCGCTGAGGGTGGGGACCTCCGCGGGCCAATAGGGGGCTGCAGGCCTGGGCGCTCCGGCCGGGTGAACGGCGCCGGCCATTGGGAACGCGCGGGGCGGGGCCTGCGCTCGGCGCGGCGCCCCGCGGCGGGCGAAGACTAGCGCTCAGGAAGTGGAAGTGTTTGTTACCGAGCGGCCGGCGCTGGGGTGGCAGGGGCGGGGCTCGCCGAATTCCCGGTTCTGGGCGGGTGGGCCCGCCGGCTCCGGCCTGGTTTCCCCTACCTGTGGCGGGGAGTGAGGAAAGCCGGCCCTCGGGTAAAGGACCCTAACTTTTTTTTTTTTTTTTGAGACGGAGTCTCGCTCTGTCGCCCAGGCTGGACTGCCGTGGCGCGATCTCGGATCACTGCAACCTCCGCCTCCCGGGTTCAAGCGATTCCCCTGCCTCAGCCTCCCGAGCAGCTGGGGTTACAGGCGCGCACCACCACGCCCCGCTAATTTTTGTATTTTTAGTAGAGACGAAATTTCGCCATGTTGGCCAGGATGGTTTCAAACTCCTGACCTCAGGTGATCCGCCCTGGGATTACAGACGTGAGCCACCGCACCTGGCCAACGTTTTAACAGCCTTTAGCCAAAGCCTGGGTGCAGCTCCAGTTGAGAGGGAGCGGCTGTTGCCGGGGCAACTGCTCCCGCTCGGGGCAGCGAGGGCCGGTCAGTCTCGAGAATTAAGACGGAGGGCCTCCTCGGACCCTACAGAGTTGTTTGAATAACATTTTTCCGTTTGTGGGAACCCTAACCCTAATCCACTTTGTGCTGTCCCAGGACTCGCATAGAGGAGTGCAGGTTCTGATCCCTGCTGGGAAGGTGAGGGCTCCGCGGAGAGCCTGGGACCTCGAGGGGCAGCCCGCTGAAGACAGGCCATCTAGGGCAATAGCGTGGGCTTTGGCAGCAGCGTTTGGCTAGGGAGGTGGGGTGGGGAGAGGCAGGACAGACTCAGGTAATCAACCTCTGGGTACACGCCACAGGGAAAGGAGCCTTGGTTTTTTTTTTTTTTTTCCAACAGAAAAATGATTAGGACTGTAAAGCCTTCTAGCTCCCTCTTGCCAAAGAGAGGCTGGTCACAGAGGCGGGAGACAGTCTGTTGAGCGGGGAGCTGACCATCTGAGGACAGACACTGAGGAAGGAGGATGGAATGATTTTGGCAGTGAATGACAATTCCTTCAACAAGACCCCCCCCCCCCACTCACTTCAAAGAAACAGTGGACAGGATGTGCTTTCCAAAATACTGCAGTTTAATTCTGAAAAACTCAAATGCAAGAGGCCCAGAGCTGTCTATGGGATTGGATCTCCTGCAACCTGCCTTGGGCCCCAGAAGAGACTGGCAATGTCAGCCTCCTCCCTGCTCTGCCTGAGGGAGGCCACGGAGAACTTCCTTATCGGGCCCAAACTGGAGCCGCTGACTGCTCAGAGCAAGATTTCTGCCTTGAAAGCAAATGCAGTAGCCTCAGAAATGTGCAGCGCATACTTCTTCCTCCCCCTCTCCCCCTCCAGGCCGGCAGAGCTGCAGTAAAGATGCCTGCAGGTCATGACCTCATGTTTCCTGTCCACTTCCCATGGCAGGGATCGGAGCTTTGGGAGATATGTGACCAAGGAGGACACATGAACTTGCTACCCCTCTCTCTACCCCAGACATACCCACATGACTTTGTTTTACTCATATTGCATTGGTTTAACTCGGAAATGGGTGACCTCCCACCACCTAACCTGACTCAGTAGGAGGGGAGGTAAAGCAGTTTAGGCCCTGGTATCTGTTTGAGAAGTTAAAGGAAAGGGCATGGGTGGTCAGGGAGGAGGCAGAGCTTGGGGTCAAAGGGATACATGTCAGGGGAGGTTTGCTTAATCTTGTCTCCCACCAGCTCCAGGAGCCAGGGATTTCTCTTTTTTTTCACAACACATTCCAAACCTAGGAAAGGGATTTCTCCTTATCTGGCTCTTAACCCAGGAGGGCTAAACACTTCAGCTGCTTGAAGAAATCGCCTGTGGAGCTGCATGCCTGCCAAAGGATTGGGATAAGACACATCTAGCCTGGGCATGGTGCCTTCTGCGTGTAATCCCAGTACTTTGGGAGGCCGAGGCCGGCAGGTTGCTTGAGCTCAGGAATTCAAGACCAGCCTGGGCAACATGGCGAAACCCTGTGTCTACAAAAAATACAAAAATTAGCCAGGTGTGATGGTACACACCTATAGTCCCAGCTACTTCGGCGGCTGAGGTGGGAGGATCGCTTGAGCCCCAGGGAGTGGAGGTTGTAGTGAGCGGAGATTGCACTACTGCACCTCAGCCTGGGCGACAGAACGAGACTCCATTTCAAAAAAATAAAAACAAAACTCTTTTCCTAGTTCTGACCTGAGGTTTTTAGGTGCACAGGCAGGAAGGTAGCTAAGCCAGGGATTCAGGGGGGGGAGGGGCTCCCCCAGGATCTGAAGTCCAGAGAACAGGAGCCTGGAACCAATATTTCCAGGTGCCCCAATGTGCTTGTGTGCTGGAGAAAAGGGGCATGCCTCCAGGGGGGTGTTAGTAAGGCCAGAGATAGCCAGCTAGACCCTACTCTCTGCCCCTTGTCCTCCCCCTCCCATCTCCATATCTCTTATCTTCCCTGAGGCTTTGGTCTTCCTCACAGCACAAGGGCCCACTTATTTGGGAGATGGGGCGAAGATAAGCTCCTGGAGAGCGGGAGACAGTGAAGGCTGGGGTCACCTGAGCCTCTGTCCAGCTGAACTGAGGGTGCGATGGAGTCATTACCTGCCCTCACCCCCAAAGTGCATCTGTGTCCCCTGGGGCTGAGCTGGAGCAACACCACCTTTGTTATGCTTAGGAGGGAGGGCCGGCCCCCCAAGTCCTAGAAAGCAAAAGGGCCACTAGCTCCCAGCCTCGGTTTTTTGGGGATCCAGGCGCCTTTTTTGGTATTAAATTATGTACTATTAAAATAAAAGCTAAGTGTTTTACCCTCCCTGTGGATGCGGGGAGACCGCAGGAACTCAAGTAGGAGTTGGAGTATAGCTCCCTGCTAGGAAGCGGCTGTGCAGTGAGTCCTCCATCTTTCTCCCCATTGGCTCAGCCTCTTGGAATAAGCCAGGCCTGGGAGGGGGAAGGCTGCATCCTGTGTGCCTCCAGAGCCTCCTCTCTGCCCCCTGGGATTCACATGAAGGAGCAGCAGCTGGAGCGCTTCTTCTGGGACTCTACATAGTCTCGGATCTGGAAGCTGGGCTCATCCGCCTGATGCCCGGCCCGGTATTTCAGTTCCCTTGAAGAAGAGACAATGGGCTGGGCTGGGCTGGGCTGGGCTGGGGTGAGGAGCTGAGCCGCCCCCTCCCCTCTCCCAGTGGCCCAGTGCTCCCAGAGCAAATGGACCTCAGCCTGCAGAATGCAGGTGTGTCCAGGGGCTGGGCCAGGGGCCGGGCCCTACTGGATTCCTGGAGTGTGCCGCCCTGCCCCGCACACTTCCCTTCCCTGCCCAGCTCTCACTTGGCGATGGCCAGAAAGGCTAACTCCACATTCATGCCAGTCTTGGCGCTGGTCTCCAGGAAGGGAACACCGTACTCCTGCCCGGGAGAGAGTGTCCTCAGGGCCAGCGTCGGGTTGCCCCCACCCTTCACCCTGTCCCACAGACAATCACTTACCCTGGCCAAGGTCTCTCCGTCTTCGGAACGGATCACTCTTTCGCTGCTCATATCCGCCTGTCAAGCCCAAATGGGTCACTCTGGGGAAGGAGGCCTCCGCCCCAGCGGGCCCATATTTTGCCCCAGAAGCAGGCGTTGCCTGCCCTCTGCTGGTGGCCCAAGGGACTGCAGGCAGGTGTGATTGGCCTGGGGCCAGGGTTTCTGCCCAGTGTAGCTCCCAGCTCTGGGATCTCACCTTTGGTAAAGGGTCTTGGAATAGGACAGCAGTTGGGGCTAACCCTTTGCACTCTTAGCCCCTGACCTGGGACCCTGTTCACTCTGCTCTAATGGGGGCTGAGAACTGGGCACCCCTTGATTTCTCAGGCAACAACTTGGACTTTCCCTGGAAGGGGCAGATGGGATGGGCAGAAGCCTCCAGATATGTCTGACCCCTGAGCTGGAGGCTGCAGAGTCCTTTTCAGGAAGGATGCCTAGATAACTGTTCTTGGGTGGTTATGGGGCCGGCTAGGGCTGAGGAAGTGCAGGGCTGGGCTGACCCTGCCCCGGAGCCACTCACCTTGTTGCCTAGCAGCATGATCACCACGTCCCTCTGGGCATACTCATGAATCTCAGTGAGCCAGGCCTGTGGGAGAGGGCGTGCGAGACTGGCATTCTCTTCCTCCTGCTGCCCCTTTCTTCTTCTGCTCCGTTTGACTATCCTCAGTTACTCACTACCTTGAACACGATACCCTGTGCGTTCTCTCATCTGTACCTTTGTTCTGGCCCATCCAGGCCTGGATGGCCTTCCTTGGTGGCTCAACCCACAATGGCCCCACCCTCACCATTTTATGCTGTGCAACTATCAGTTCTATGGAAGATCCAGATGCATGGAGACCTTATCTCACAAATCAGTTGGCTGTCAGCAGTGATTTCTTGGAGTGTCCTGTTAAAGATTCTAAGACCACATAAGGGTTTCAGTGATCAAAAGTACTGTGATTGATTAGTGATGTCTGCCATGAGCATGGGGTTGGAGGTAGGAGTATGAGTGCCATGGATTTTCCTCTTTCTATATAAACGTTTTATTCTCCTAGTTTGCTTATCAGCAAACTGTCCTTGAGGTCAGGGGATTCATGAAACCTATACAATGTCGTGAACAAAATTGGTGCTTGAATTTATCAAATTTTTGTCTCTATAATAGTTTGGTTGTGAGGATACAACCACTCACTCTGTCTGACTGAGTCACTTTCTTGCAACTTGCCCTGGATGTATGTGTGGACTTTTCTGGTTGTGTTTTTCCCTTGGTCTCTGTGGATAATTATCCAGGGTGGAGTGGGGGCTGTTCTGAACACTTTGTCACGAAACACACTCGTGAATCACAGTGAGGGCTATGCAGGTGGCACAGGGTCACAACAGCCTGCTTGGCCTTCATGCCCACATGGCCACCAAATACAAAGCAGCAGATATGACTTCTGAGTCACAAGTAGGTGTTTTTCAGAAGGCAGGAGGACTCCACGCTCCACCCGCTTTCCACAGGGCAGGAAGCAACCCCAGCCTGCATAGACCTTGCCTTGGCTGCTTATGGGTGGGAGTCAGGGGAAGGGAGGACCTACCCTGATGTTGTCGAAAGAAGATTTGTTGGTGATGTCATACAGCAGAAGCAAGGCTGGAGGGGAGAGGATCACAGAGGGGACTTAGGCAGCAGCACGGATGCTACCAAGGGGCTGGGGTAGGGGTTGGAGGGTGCGAGGGACTCACCCTGAGCATCTCTGTAATAAGCATGGGTGACGCTTCGGAACCGTTCCTGCCCAGCGGTGTCCCAGATCTGGGAAGGGATGGGATGGAGAAATGGTCAGAAGGAGGCAGGTGCAAGGAATGTGCTGGGTGGAGCAGGCCTGCTTTGTTGTATGAGATATCTGTGGGAAGGTGGGGCTGTTTTCTTCTTTAGGTTCTCATGAGCCCCTGAGCATCCAATGACCTGGACAGTAGCAGTTACTGATTTCTCAAGCTCGTTCAAAATCATCTCCTCAGCCGAGCGCGGTGGCTTACACCTGTAATCCCAGCACTTTGGGAGGCCGAGGCAGGCGGATCACGAGGTCAGGAGATCCAGACCATCCTGGCTAACACAGTGAAACCCCGTCTCTACTAAAAATACAAAAAATTAGCCAGGTGTGGTGGCATGCACCTGTAGTCTCAGCTACTCAGGAGGCTGAGGCAGGAGAATCTCTTAAACCTGGGAGGCAGAGGTTGCAGTGAGCCGAGATTGTGCCACTGCACTCCAGCCTGGGCGACAGAGCGAGACTCCATCTCAAAAAAAAAAAGAAAAGAAAAGAAAAAAAAAGAATCTTCTCCTCTCCCCTAGCTCAGGGGTTGGGGATGTCCAATCTCCTAAGAGCAGATAAAGCCCTGGCAACTGGGGAGGAGATGGATGGAGGCTAAGCTTGTCTGAAGGCATTTGGAGCTGCTGTTCATAGATGAGAGGGTGCCTGGGAACTGCTTTTTCTGCAGATGTCAAATAAACAAAAGCCATTTCCTCCCGTGGGCCCCACAGGAAATTGCCCCAGGCGGAGGGCAGGGCTGCAGGCCTCCTGTGGTTCAGGGTGAGAAGGAAGGGCAGGTCCTCCATCCTCCCTCCCCAACTCCAGCCTCTGGTCTCACCTGCAGCTTCACTCTCACGCCATCCACAGTCACCACCTTGTTCTGAAAGAGAAAAAGGCAGAGGATGGGAGGGCAGGAGTCATGTGGCTCCTCAGCTCTGCAGACGTCCTGTCTTGTTCCCTCTCCAGGCCTAGAGTGGGTGCAGTGAGCCCCAGAACCGTCTCCAGCCAGATCATACCATCAGGGCAGCAGGAACCCCATACCCAGACACCTCCACTGTGGAGTCGTCCCTTCTGAGGACTGTAACTGCCTTCTCACAACAGCAGGGCAAGAGGAGCCTGAGAAACATCCTGGCTCTCTCCAGGGATCAGGCAGCCCAGGGCTGGAGGGCTGGTTGCTGCTGGAGGCCCTGCCCTTTTCCCACTTCGGTCTCCCTCTCCTGGAGCCTAGCCTTGGGACTGTGACCGAGCCCCTGGAGATGGGGTGTTTGCCTGCATCCTGGGGACCTGAGGCTACATCTGCAGCAGCACCTTTTCTTTAGCTGCCCACTAATTCTCTAGTGAAGGAAGTGTTCGCTTTCTGCCTGCTTGAAGCTGTAGAGCCCCACCTGCCAGGGTGAGACCTTTTCTCTATTGAACACTTCAGGTGTGCAGCGTCTAGCATCCCTGATGCAGATTTGTAAGATGGAGTCGTCAAGGTGAGAGGGAGGGTCCCTGGTGAGCTGCTGTCTCCCAACATGGCCAGCCCAGCTCTTTTTTTTTTTTTTTTCTGAGACGCAGTCTCACTTTGTTGCCCAGGCTGGAGTGCAGTGGCGCGATCTCAGCTCACTGCAACCTCCACCACCCGGATTTGAGCGATTCTCCTGCCTCAGCCTCCCGAGTAGCTGGGACTGCAGGAGCGTGCCACTACACCTGGCTAATTTTTGTATTTTTAGTAGAGACGGGGTTTCACCATGTTGGCCAGGCTGGTCTCAAACTCCTGACCTTGTGATCTGACCGCTTCGGCCTCCCAAAGTGCTGGGAATACAGGCAAGAGCCACCATGCCCGGCCCAAGCCCAGCTCTTAAACCCAGTGCAGGGCTGTGCTTTCTGGGAACTCCAGAAAGACTGATTGACCTTTGAGGCCTTTCCAAAGGGGCCCAGGTAGGAGAGCAATGAGCAGGGGCTCTGTGGGCCAAGATATTCAGCTTATGCCGTGCCTGCGGCTGCTCTGCTTGGGAGAAGTCCCCCAGGAATGGAGCTGGAATCGAAGACTCAGTCTCATTTTTTTGCATCCTATAGTTGGGCAAGGAGCCAACCTTGCCCAGTCTCCTTTGACCCGGCCACCTCTGTGGTCTTGGGGGAGCGGGTTGTGTGCCCTCCAGGCATGAGCCTCGGGAGTCCCTGGGAGCCAGGGTGAGCAAGGTGGGGGCAACCCCCCCATGCCTGAGCCACAGCCCTGGCTCTCTGCTGGAAGCAAGTGCCTGCAGCCACCTCACCCTGAAGTCTATGCCGACGGTGGCTATGAAGGTTCCGGACAGGAAGGCCCCGTCTTTGAATTGGATCAGGAAACATGTTTTGCCGACGCCTGTGTCTCCCAGAAGCATCACCTAGGGGGTAGGGGCAGAGGCAGTTAATGGGGAGTCAGGGGCAGCTTCTGGGATTCCAGGAGAGAGACACATGGAGAGGATCAGAGAAGAGGGGGCTGGCACGAATGCTGACCGCACCAAAGGCCACCTGCTTCCAGAAAGCCAGCCGCCATCTTCACCCTGTCTCTCCTCTCCACGCTCCTTGGCTCAGCCTCCTAGGCTCTCCCTCTGACCCTCCTGTCCTCATTCAAGTTCCTAGAGGCCGGAGTTGAGACCTCACCATGAACAGGTCCCCAAGTGTGCTCTGTGGCCCCAGAGAACCACCACATTTGCACAATCTAGACAGTGGCCACATTTGCCCATAGCCACACCATGCAGGGATTCCGTCCCTCTGTGTACTTGTGTCATCCATCGTCCGCTCGTGAGTACACGCATGGGCTGGGCTATACTGACAGGAAAGGGAAGTGTCAATATATTGGACAAGGATTCCCACCCAAGGGAGTCTATCAGAATCTGCTGGGGGTGGGGCATGGTCATTTGCATACTCTATAATGAATATTGTTTGGGTTTTTTTTTTTGTGTCACAACATTTATTTGGAAGTTTCTTTCTTTCTTTCTTTCTTTTTTTTTTTGAGATGGAGTTTTGCTCTTGTTGCCCAGGCTGGAGTGCAATGGCGAGATCTTGGCTCACCACAACCTCCACCTCCCAGGTTTAAATGATTCTCCTGCCTCAGCCTCCTGAGTAGCTGGGATTATAGGCATGCACCACCTCGCCTGGCTAATTTTTTATTTTTAGTAGAGACGGGGTTTCTCCATGTTGGCCAGGCTGGTCTTGAACTCCCGACCTCAGGTGATCCGCCCGCCTCAGCCTCCCAAAGTGCTGGGATTACGGGCGTGAGCCACCGCGCCTGACTGGAAGTTTCTAATGACATTTTATGTTTATTAAAAGGTTGCATGAGGCCGGGTGCAGTAGCTCATGTGTGTAATCCTAGCATTTTGGGTGCCCAAGGTGGACGGATCACCTGAGGTTGGGAGTTTGAGACCAGCCTGACCAACAAGGTGAAACCCCATCTCTACTAAAAATACAAAAAACTAGCCAGGAGTGGTGGCACACGCCTGTAGTCCCAGTTACTTGGGAGGCGGAGACAGGAGAATAGCTTGAACCCAGGAGGTAGAGGTTGCAGTGAGCCGAGATTGCATCACTGAACTCCAGCCTCGGTGACAGAGCGACACTCTGTCTCAAAAAAAAAAAAAAAAAAAAAAGGTTGCATGAATTAGGGAAGGTTGAAATTTATACTGAAGTGGGGAGATGTGTAGTTGGAAGTTCTTTCAGCAGAAACCTCCCACATGGGACATGTGGCTGCAGATCGGCATCCCGGGGTTGCTGTGGGTAGTGCGGGCAGGAGTACCAAGGAGGTAACCTGTGGAGGGGGCGTGGCCCTCTCCTTTACTGTCTGGCTCTGCTCTGCTCATCTTCCCCAGGGACACGCAGGAATGGTGGAGAGGAGCACTTTGTCCCACTGTTCTCCAATCTTGGATAACAGGGGTCTAGATCCAATGCTGGAATTTCCCAGCTGCTGGTTAGGTGGCTTAATGGGTTAAGCAGGGACTAGGTTTGAATTATTTTTGAGGCTCTGAAATTGACAGTGGAGCCCAAAGGCATTCCTGTTGTGGGCATGGGGTACTGGCATTAGTTAACTCTGGTGGAGAGGCAGGGGTGGCTGAGCAGAAGGGGTATGAAGGATGGGTCTTGATTTGTAAATGGCCTACTGTGTGACTTTAGGAAGATTCCTTAACCTTTCTGTGGCATGGTTTCCATAGTGGGTAGAAGGAGGAGGGATAATGTCTTTGAGGTATTTCTAGAGTCTGTTAATGGCTAGGGCCCATCATCGTGGTGAATCACCTAAGACCCAGGGAAGAGTGGCCCAGGGTGGGAACTGTCTGCCTGTGGGCCACATCACCCCTAGTCTGGTCCAAGGAGCTCCTGCCAGGCTTTCTCAGAGGGTCCTGGACTCACTCCCCTGGGGCAGGCCCGGGGAGGCTGGGGACCAACTCTCCGGCCAATGCCGCTTGGCCAGGGAACAGATGAAGGGGTGGGGGATAGGAGCTTTCTGGAGCCTGCACTCCTCCCTGGCTCCTGGGTCCCAGCCCTGGAGCAGGAAGGAGGGAGGGAGGGCCAGTCTTTGTGTACTTTACAGATCACAGCTGCCTTGAGCAAACGATGCCAGCTACCCACCCAGCTCGGTGATTCCACCAAACACAAACAGCTGCCTAGCCTGGCCACCTCCTAGGCAAACAACCCAGCTGGTTTGCAGGGCAACAAGGTCAGGCAGTCCCCCTCAGCCTGGGGCCTGGCCAACAGCAGCTCCTCCTCTCCGAGGGTGCAGGGGCCCATTTCCTGCCACAAGCCCACACAGGACGCCTATCTCAACGGCTCTGGGCGGATGACTTGCAGGGTGGCTTCCCCCGAAACACTGGGGTGGAGGCTGAGGCTCCCAGCAAGGGTGAGCCCTGGTGTCGGGGAGGAAACCGAGGCCCAGAGAGAGGCAGGTCTCCTTCAAGGCCATGCAGCGGAATCCAGGACAGCCCTCACTCCATCCCCAACCCTGCAGAGGAAGAGTGGAAGCTCTAGGCTCCCTCAGCAGTTCTTTCAGTTTCTGGTACCCGCTCACTCCAAGGACACAGATGGAAGGCGACAGACCAGTCCACTGCTGTCCCTACCTGTTTCCATACAGGACACCCCTGTAGAGGGAGCAAGCCCCAGAGAGCAGCCCTGGAGCTCTCTCAAGTGCGGGATGCGAAAGACCAACCACTGAAATCTTTCTCAGGTTCGAAAAATTCCCAAGTGACCTGCAGGCCGGCTGGCAACATCCTTCTGGGAGGAGCGGCTTCCGACTGCAGGGAGGAAGGTGGGAGGCAGTGCCTCCAGCGGGTGGAATGGGAGGGGAGCAGCTGGGGGACATCAGGCCTTAAACCTGGATGTCAGATCTCAACTAAGAGCTTAGCTCGGAAAATGGCATTAACGCCAGTTCCTCTGCCAGCAGGGGACGTCCTCTCCGAGTCTCCGTTCGGTCCCCATCTCCCAGCCCTTCCCAGCCTGAGCCCCGAGAGTTGCGCGCTTAACCCTCACCAAGAAGCATGGGCTCCCGGGGGCTCATATTTGCCAGAGTGTGGCAGAAGAGAACTGAGTTGGGGCCGGCGGGGGGATCACTCAGTTTTTGCGATCTTCCGCGACCCGCCCCCACCAAGCCAGCAGAGACACCTAGAGCTTGGGACGGCCCCAGAGGCTGTGTCCTGACCCTCTCTCCCTCCCTCCTCTGGGAGACGCAGCTGCCTGGGGGAAGGGCTGAGTCCAACCCAGACGCAGCCAGGAAGGGGCTAGCGCCGAGGAGGGCGGGGGTCTCACGGAAGAGGCCCACCCACCTTGCCCGTGAGGTCGTAGCTCGGACTGCAGGGCGGGGAGCGCTCGGGGGCCTCGCCATCCCGGGTGGCAACGGCGCCTGGCGTGCCCGTCATGTCCCTGGACGAGAGGTGAGCAGTGCCGGCCCGCAGGCGAAGGAGAGCGCAGGAACGGCCCCACCCCCGCCCCGCCCACTCCTCCCCTCCCTCGACCGGGACCCCTCAGGCTCCTCCCTCCGTCCCGTCGCCCCCTCGACGACACCGGCTCGGACCTTGCTGTTCCCTGAGGGCACGCAGAGCCGCAGGGTCTGCGTGAAGGGGCGGGCAGCCTCCCTGAGCAACACCGGCTCGGCTCCGTGCGCTTCGGACATGAGCCACATCCAGCCCCGGGACCGGTCCCCTGTGGTCGCTTGCTTGCCCCTGGGGGAGCGGGCCGCGGGGACCCCGTCTGCTGCGGAAGAGTTCCCGTAGTCGCTGCGCACCGCGACAGCAGGCGGCGCCCGAGCCCCGGGCCGTGGGCTGTCCCCAGGTGGCGAGGCGGGGAGCTGGGGACCCCTGGGCTGCGCCTCCGCCGATGGCCCCGAGACACTTCCTCATCTGTTAAGTCACCCGGCCCGAGCTCATCTGAATATAGTTTTGTTTACCAACCCGTACTCGCCTTGCAGCACATGTACGCTGCGGTGTTTTGGGGCCTCTGCCTGGTGCGGGGACTTTGACCCTTTAGTATGGATCACCTCTCATTTCCCCCGGCCTGTTGGTTGTGCCCAGAATGTCCCACCAGGGGAGAGCTTTCGCAAGAGGGCTGCGCAGCACACATCTCCCAGTGGACCGCTCCTGAAGGCGGGGCCGGCCTTATTAACCCATGACACTCACCCTGGCCCCGAGGAGGAGCCAAATAAATTCATGAAGTCGTAGATCATTTTGAGCAGAGCTGCCAGGATATCCCAGGCACCCGGCAGCTCCTGGTGACAGAGAGTGGGGAGTGCAGCTGGGGTTGCCGGTAGCAGAGCTCAGGGGCTCTGTGGCCTGGGCCGACCTTTCAATTACCCCCATCTCCACATTCTATAAGCAGCTTCAAGTTACCAAGGAACAGGGCGGGTGCATTACAGCGGGACGGTTTGAGGGATGTGTAGGGAGGGGAGAGCTGGAGAGGGGTACCTGCACTTTTTTTTTTTTTCAGACAGAGTCTCACTCTGTCGCCCAGCCTGGAGTGCAGTGGTGCGATCTCGCCTCACTGCAACCTTTGCTTCCCGGGTTCAAGCTATACTCCCGCCTCAGTCTCCCGGAGTAGCTGGGATTACAGGTGCGCGACATCAGGCCCGGCTATTTTTTCTTTTTGTATTTTTAGTAGAGACGGGGTTTTGCCATGTTGGCCAAGCTGGTCTCAAATTCCTGACCTCAGGCGGTCCGCCCACCTCAGCCTCCCAAAGTGCTGGGATTACAGGCGTGAGCCACTGCGCCCGGCCTGCAATTCTTAACTTAGGTGTGGAGGTGAGGAGCAGGGGTAGACGTGGCTTATGGGCCACCATAGGCCTGTGGGGACTGACTTTGTACGCCAGCCTCCAGCCCTGTATTTTCTGACATCAGCTGGAGGTATTTTCTGTCAGCTGGGAGAAGCGCCCAGAGTGGGGACAGAGGTGATCTCCAGTAGAGTAAAGAGCTTGGGTTACCTCTTCTGGAGGTGAGCGTGCTATAACCTCAGCTGGGCATAGGGCGGGACTCAAACAGGGAGCCTCAGACTGGAGTGTGGAGGCTGCGCAGCACACTACAGAGGCGTGGTGTTGGTTGCTATTTGGATGCCAGAGGCTCTTGCTGCAAATAATGCCGAGGTTTGCTCAATGCCGTGGGCTCCCGGAGACGGAGTCTCACTCTGTCGCCCAGGCTGGAGTGCAGTGGCGGGATCTTGGCGCATTGCAGCCTCTGCCTCCCAGGTTCAAGCAATTCTCCTGCCTCAGCCTCTGGAGCAGCTGGGACTACAGGTGCACGCCACCACGCCTGGCTAATTTTTGTATTCTTAGTAGAGAACTTCACCATGTTGGACAGGCTGGTTTGGAACTGCTGACCTCAGGCGATACGCCTGCCTTGGCCTTCCAAATTGCTGGGATTACAAGCGTGAGCCACCGCACCTGGCCTGGTATGCGGTCTTTTCTCTCCCCTTCCCTCCCCTCCCCTCTCCTCCCTTCCTCCCTCCCTTCCTTCCTTCCTCCCTCCCTCCCTTCCTTCCTTCTTTCCTTCTTTCCTTTCTCTCTCTCTCTCTTCTTTCTTTCTTTGCCTGCCTGCCTTCCTTCCTTCCCCTCTCTTTTCCTTCCTTCTTTTCCCTTTCTTTCTCTTTCTTTCTTTCTTTCTTTCTTTCTTTCTTTCTTTCTTTCTTCCTTCCTTCCTTTCTTTTTCTTTCTTCCTTTCTTTTTCTTTCTTTCTTTTTCTTTCTTTCTTCTTTCTCTCTTTCTTTCTTTCTCTTTCTTTCTCTCCTTCCTTCCTTCCTTCCTCTCTCTCTTTCCCTTTCTTTCTCTCTGTCTCTCTTTCTTTCTTTCTTTTTGTTTCTTTCTTGAGGTGGAGCTCTGTCATCCAGGCTGGAGTAAGTGGCACGATCTTGGCTCACTGCAACCTCCGCCTCCCGGGCTGTTCAAGCCATTCTCCTCCTGCCTCAGCCTCCCAAGTAGCTGGGATAACAGGTGCCCATCATCATGCCTGGCTAATTTTTGTATTTTTGTAGAGACAGGGTTTCACCATGTTGGCCAGGCTGGTCTTGAACTCCTGACCTTAGGTGATCCGCCTGCCTTAGCCTCCCAAAGTATTGGGATTACAGGTGTGAACCACTGTGCCCAGCCAGGATGCGGGTTTTCATTGCAGGAGGGAAATGGTGGAGGAAGAATGAGAGAGGGGACAGGGCATGCCTCATGCTCACCTTCTACTGTAAACCATGCTGTTATGGGTTGAATTCTGTCCCCCAAAGACAGGTTGAGGTCTGAACCACCAGTACCTCAGATCATGCCCTTACTTGGAAATGTGGTCATTGCAGATATCACTCATTAAGATGAGGTTATACTAATATAGGGCAGGCCATTAATCCAGTATGACCGGTGTCATAAGAAGAAAGAGACACAGGGAAAAGACATCCAGGTGAAGACAGAGGCAAGATGGGAGGAGTGTGGCTGCAAGCCAAGGAATGCCAAGGACTCCTGGGAGCCACCAAGGCCATGGAAGAGGAAGGAATGACCCTTCTCTGGAGCCTTCAGAGGGAGCGTGGCCCTGCTGGTACTTTGAGTTCAGATTTCTAGCCTCCAGCTGTGGTTCACGTTGTTGGCTCCAAGGCCCTCTTTGTCCTATGGTGGGTTTGGAATACAGAAGGTTGAACATTAGCACGAATCATCCAGAAGGAGCAGTGGCCTGAAGCACTTCCCTGCTGCGTTGCTGCACTAGTCTGGATGGAGGAATCTGACCTAGGGAAGAAGTCTTTGAACATGGGGAGAGGGGCTGCAGGCCTGCTGGGTCTGTGGTATGTGGGTAATGTCATACTTGGAGGGTGCGTACACTGTCCCCAGGGCCACTGTAATGTCCTGTAGGGTGTTCAAGGGCAGCCTCGGGTGAGTCAGAAGTGGGTTAGGGTCTAAGACATTCAGAACAGGGAACAGGGGCTGTGCAGAATAGGGACTCACTAAGGGATCCGTGTGGTCTCTGGGGAGGAAACCTGGGCCTCCTAACGTTCACTCTGAGGCTGTGTATGCGCTGTGGTAGCCTGTGTCTCTCCCCAGACACACACCACAGACACTCACACGTGTGCACCCACCCACAACACACCACAGACACACACACCTCACCACACACACACACCTCAGACCATACACACCTCACCCCTCAAATCACACCACACACCTCACCACACACACCTCAAATCACACCACACACCTCACACCACACACATCCCTCAAATCACACACACCTCACATCACACACATACACTCTCAAATCACACCACAAATATACACACACACCCTACATCATACCACACACATCTGCCTCACATCATACCATAAATACACATGCCTCACACCCTACATTATACCACAAACACACACTTCATAACATGTCCCACACACAACTTTGTATTATGCCACAAATGTGCACCTCATACTATAAACAAACACACCTACCATCATACCACATACATACACATCTTACATGACCCTCAAACACACATACCTCATTTCACTCCAAACACACACTCCTGTCACCACAGTGCAGCTCCAGGCACAGTTTATTTCACACCATCAACACCTGTGCCACATCACTGTGCAAACACCTGCCTCTCCAATGGACCCCATGCCTCACACCATCACCAAATGTGTATATCACCCTATAAATGACCCCCAACACCTCTTATTGCCTCCAGATCTGAGACGCACACCCCCACAATACCCCCAAATAGACACCCCTACCCTCCTGATCACAGATCACACTGTCATTGTCATGCAGCCCTGCTGATAGTGGAGGTACCAAGTGTCAGTGAGACAGACCCTCATGCGTGTTGAAAGATGGGGGGGCTCTTGTGTACACCTGAAACCACACACACACACCTCAAATCACGCCACACACACCTCACACCACACACACCTCACCCCTCAAATCACACCACACACCTCATCACACACACCTCAAATCACACCACACACGTCACACCACACACCCCTCAAATCACACCATACACATCTCACGCCACATACACACACATCAAATCACACCACATACACCTCACACCACACACACTTCAAATCACACCCCAGACACACACACCTCACCATACACACACACTCACACCACACACACCTAACCCCTCAAATCACACCACACACCTCACCACGCACCTCAAATCACACCACACACCTGCCACACCCCTCAAATCACCTCACCACACACACCTCAAATCACACCTGCAGAGATGGGGGCAGGGGACTCCCTGCTATCCAGGTCGATGGCAGAAAACTTCAGAGCTGGGGAACAGCACAGCCCAAAGAGCACAGGGTCGGGATGTGGGAAGGAGACCCGGGCAGAGACTGGAGGGACAAGGCCTCAACTCATGTTTTGCAAAATGTGGCGCATGGACCCCCTGGGTCAGAACCCCCAGATTCTGGGCCCCCCACGTGGTTTTACTGAAGCAGCATGTGTATGAGGGAGCTTAGAATTTGCATTTCAGATGAGCTTCCCCCTGGAGGCTTTTATGTGCGCTGAAGGAGTGTTCGAAAACCACTGGTCTAAACTGTGCAACAGCTTGACCAACAGATGAGAGATTCAGACTTTATTTGGAAGGTAATAGTGAACCGTGAATGTTCAGGTGGGGGATGAGCAGAGTGAGGTGTTTTTTTTTTTTTGTTGTTGTTGTTTTGAGATGGAGTCTCACTCTGTTGCCCAGGCTGTAGCGCAATGGCATGATATTGGCTCGCCGCAACCTCCGCCTCCCAGGTTCAAGTGATTCTCTTGCCTCAGCCTCCCAAGTAGCTGGGATTACAGGCGTGTGCCACCACGCCTGGCAAACGTTTTTGTATTTTTAGTAGAGAAGGGGTTTTGCCATGTTGGCCAGGCTGGTCTTGAACTCCTGGCCTCAAGTGATCCGCCCGCCTCGGCCTCCCAAAGTGCTGGGATTACAGGTGTGAGCCACCACGCCTGGCCTGAGTGAAGGTTTTGAAAGAGGAATTTTGCATCAGTGTTTAGGCAAGACTAGGGAATTTGGGGGAAACTGAGGAGAGAGGTAACAAGGAGGACCTGAACTGTGGTGGACTGGAAAGACCCCTGTGTGAACCCCATCGACATCAGTGTGCCATAACCCCATCAGCACGACCCCCACAGCCAGTTTGATGGGGCTGGTAGTGGAGAATTTAGGGAAGGTCTTGACTGAGAGGCATCTACACAGGACCTGGGCAGGTCCCACTTCCAGAAGGCGATGGGCCTGGTAGTTTATGGGTGAAGGCATGCCCGAGGTAGTCACCCTGCTCACCTCTGGCTCCTCCAAAGTGGGAGACCAGGGGCTCTGTCCCTCCCCTGCCACCTGGGCGGCACTCAGCCTCCTGAGCGGAGCCTGTGGCAGCACCTGCCTCCCTTCCCATCATGCAGGAGTTGCAGGCTACAGCCTGGCCAGCGGCAGGGCCCTTATCCATGCCATATCTCAAATCTCCGTGAGAAGGACAGATGGGTAAACAAGTGTCTTGTAGCCTGGCTCTCCGGGGACCCCCAGACCGCTGATATCTGGAGGAGACCCCGATGTCCACCAGTTCTTTGCTCAGGTGTCCCCAGGCTGAGTTTCTGGCCAGGGGCTCAGGTCCTCACTCAGCGTAAGCAGGCAACAGGTTTGTCCTGAGATGCACCAGAACATCGGGTGCTGGCTGGTACCAAGCAGGCAGCCCAGGCTCTAGGAGGCCCACCCTGAGGTCAGTGGGAAAGCCCAGTGTGTCTCATCTCAGGCTAGACAAACAGTTTGACCACACACTTTCTTTTTCCTTCACAGGAAATCGGCCTCAATTTTCTTGCCAAGCTAGCGGCAAAATTTGGAGATCTCACCTCTGTGGTCTGTGGAACGTGAGTCAGACTTTGCATGTCCACAGCCACATCCACCCCACTCTCTTCCTTCCTCACCAGACAGGCAGAAGGGTGGGTGAGGAGATGCGGGTGTGACCCTGAGGGCAGGGTGTGCCCTGGCTGCTGAGAGCAGACTGGGCCTGGGCTGGGGTGGGTGACGCCTGGCACCAGGTCATCCTGGTTTGCTTCATGGCAGCCTGGTCCCAGACCTCAGGGATTGCCAGGTAGCCTTGGCCTCCTGGGTCTCAGCCCTTCCCTATTCAGCACTACCAGAGCCCAGCCGGTCCCAGTCTGGGGAGAGCCCTGGGAACTGGTGTTTCAGGGCCGATTCTAGGCCCCAGAACACACCCGAACCAGGCACTCACTTCCGCTTTGCCTCCTGGAAGGTCATGCAGAAGCCATGTTCATTCTGAACCCCTGCCTTCCTGGCTGTGACCCAGTGGGCAAGCCCATTTTTCTGAGTTTTCCTCTCTCTCTTCCCATCAGTGTGGCACTGCTGCGTCCTGACCCTGAGCGTGATCTCACAGGCCCTGTGCTCTGGTCTCAGAGGTTCCCAAACATCCGCGTTGTCCAAGAAGAGATGTTTGCTCTTCCCCATCTTGAGATGCTAGGATTCTGGAGTCCCAAGGGAAGGCCCTGCTCTTCCTGCCACAGCCCGAGAGAGGAGTGGAACCCTCTCCCAAGGTCTTCCCAGGAATTCAAGGGCAGCTGCAGCCGCAGGCACGGGACAACGCGGGGAGATGGGATGTGTGGTAAAGGAGGGATCCCTTGTCTCGCAGAGGGGCTGCGGGCAGAAAAAGCCGAGGGCACTGGGCTTCCTTAACCCGAGCTGCCCTTTTACCATTTTACCGAGGACTAAACACGGAACTGTAACCTGGGCCTGCCAGCTCCCTGAGACCCGTGTGACTGCTAAGTTTGGACTGTGCTGAAAACTTTGTCGTCCCTTTGTCCCTCCAGATCTTCTTGCCTTGGAGGGCTGACCTGAGCTATCCCATATTAAAATATTTTTTGCTTTCTGGCTTCCACTTGCGTTCATCCAATGTGGAGCCCCAGAAGGAGATGGGGAGCAGGAGGAGAGCAAGGTGGGACAGGGGATTGTTCTCCTGGCTGCCTCCCTGGGGGGCTCCCATGGGCTGCTGTGTCCCTCCACTGAAAGTCCCACGCAGCTCCTGCCAGGCAGCTCACCCAGCAGCCTGCTTTGTCCCTGGGTTCTGGTGAGGGTGCCTTCCCTTCCTGCTTGAGGCTAGAGGTGGGCGGAGTTCCTGGACTACCCAGGGGCAGTATACCCTCCCTCCTGGTCACCCAACACCCTCCTACACCTTGGGGAACAGTCTTCTCCTTAATCCTCCTTGAATGATCCAATGCGAGTGTCCACCTGTTTCCTGCTGGCACTCAACAGAAACACGCTGGGGTCCTGAGCCCAGGCCCAGAGCTGGCAGTGCCGGCCAGTGCTTACCGTGAATCCGATGCCCACAGTGGCCGAGAAGGAGCCGGGGATGAACTTGCCCTGATCGAACTGAACCAGCAGAGACGTCTTTCCCACACCACTGTCACCCACCAGGATGGTCTGGAAGGGAACAATAGAGAGAGAGCTGAGGGCCTGTGATGTGAGTTGGCCTCAGAGGTGTCCTTGTGGCTGTGGGAGTGGATTCTTTCTAAGCACGCATGTGCACAACATGCACACACACACACAGAAACACACACACACAAGACACTGACACACACATACAGACATAGAAAAACATGTACACACATACACAGAACACCCATGCACACACAAACATATATGCACACACAGAACACACATACACACAGAAACATACACACAGAAGCACACACATACACGTACACACATGTACAACACATACACACAGAACACACACGACACAGAAACATACATGCACAAGACACGTACAGACACAGAAAAACACATGTACACACATACACACAGAACACACATGGCACAGAAACATACATGCACAAGACACATACAGACACAGAAAAACACATGTACACATGTATGCACAGAACACACATGACACAGAAACATACATGCACAAGACACATACAGACACAGAAAAACACATGTACACATATATGCACAGAACACACATGCACACACATGCACAGAACACACATGCACACACAAACATATGCATACACAGAGCACACATATACATACAGAAACAGATGCATACAGAGGCACACACACATAAACATACACACATACAACACATATGCACAGAACACACATGATGCAGAAACATAGGCACACACACAAACACATGCACACACAGAGAAACACACATGCACACACAGACACAAAAACGTGTACACACAGAAACACACGTATACAGACACAGACACACTTGTACAACACAAACACACAAAACATACATGCACACATAGAAAGAACACACACATGCACACAGATACACATACACACAAAAACATCTACACACACAAACACAAATACACATAGTACACATAAAACACACATGTACACACAAACACACACATACACACAGAACACACACATGCACACAGACATGTGGAAACACATGTACACCAACATGTATCCTCATATACAGACACAAGCACACATGCAAACACACAGAAACACACATTCGCACAGACATGCATATACACAGACATAGACACATGTGCACACAAACACATGCACACAGAAACATATACAAAGACATGCACACAGACACACATGCACACACACAGAAACTCAGAAACACACAGACATGCATATACAGACATGCATACACAGAGACATGTATAACACAAACACATATATATATACACATACATATGCACATTCACACAGACACACAGACACATATACACAGGCACCGACACACAGACACACACATTCACAGACATGCAGCATACACGCAAACATGCACACATGCACAGATATACACACAAACATAAACACAAACACAGACACAGACACACACACATAAAAACACATACACATGCACACAGATACCCACACATACACCCAGACACACAAACACACTAAAGTCTCGATTTTCTATTGAAGTCACTGAAAGGGGCATGAAGGCACAGAGGAGATCTCCCTCCAAGTTAATGAGCATCTGAAGTGACCATGAGAATGTGTCTCTCAGACTTCCATCCACAGGGGCATCCATGACCGATGGTCCCCACTGCCGTGCTCTGAAAGCCATCATTGTCATGTTTGCACCAAGGTCATGCTTCCTACAGGCAATTACCAGCCAAAGGCGGAGCACAGCAGGGACACTGAGGCAGGCCTGTTCCTGGGAGACACAGGACCCCTCTAACGGTTGAGTTAGCTCAAGGGCTCCCTCATGGCCTTGCACAACCCTCCAGATACTGCAAGGTGGTCTGGGATGCTTCCATGCAACCTTTCTGCCCTCTTTCCTTCACGGGGATCCAACCTGCATCATGGTCTGAAGGCTCCCCTGGCCTCCCTGGCACCTACTCTATTTCTCTCACAGGCATTTCCCTCAGTAAAACCCTTGCACATTTGATTCCCTCTTCACATCTCCTCTTCGGAAGACCGGGACTAACACAATGTCCATAGATCTCCTGTGTGGGAGAGCCCCAAAAATCCAGTCTATAGAATAAAACAAAATCAGATAGCTGGTATGTGCCTTGCACACTTGGACTTAGAACAAGGAGAAGACAAGATTTCAAAGAGAAGCAGATTCTGGGAAAAGAGGGGGAAGGCCGCCTTCCTCTGGGAGGTCTGAACTGGGAGGGAGAAGGGGCGATAATTAGCTTGGAAGTTCAGATGAAATGTTTGAAAGAAAATCATAAACAACAGAGAAGAACTCTACATGCACCCAGAGGCTGGTACCCTCAATGAATGGATGAATGAATGGGTGAGTGGATAAATGCCTTAGTGTAAAGTGGACAGTGGCCTCTTTCCAAAGACAAGAATTCAAGACTGTGTGAAAGGACTAGGAGGTGCAAACTTTAGCTGGACTTGTAAAAACATAAAGACATAAAAACAACTAAACCGTAAAAGCATAGAGATTGGCTGGGCCTCTTTGGGTCGGGCCCAGCCACTGTTCAACTCTGGCAGTGACATGGAAGGGAATGCATATCAGCGTCTGCTTACCATGAGGTTGTCCATGGCATTGACTTTGGATGTCCCATGACTGTGCCCCCACCCACCTCCTGAACCTCTCCAGCTTTTATTTCCTCCTGGTTAGAGAACTCATTTGTTTGTTATGTGCAGTGGTTTTAATAATTTACATCTAGAATCTAACTTCCTCAGGCTTTAAGAAGTGCTTCCTAGAGAGAATATTCCAGAATGTGAGGGGTAGTCCATCCACGTTCCCCTCATTCGTGTCTTAAAGAATGTGACAGATTCTAATTCTTTTCACTTTTATCCTTTTCCTTTCCAGGGTGAGGAGTTTCCATCAATTTTCATCATAGGAAACAGTCCTGTCTTCTCGGGACATTTTCCAGCTCACTGAGGTCCGGGGGTGCACATAGGGTTCAGCATTTCAGATTCAGCTGAACCTTGGCTCGGGGTGGGGCAGGATGATCCTCTCATATTGGTCATGGTCTTTTTTTTTTTTTTTTTTAGGCAGAGTCTCTCTCTGTCGCCCAGGCTGGAATGCGGTGTCACAATCTCGGCTCACAATAACCTTTGCCTCCCGAGTTCAAGCTATTCTTCTGCCTCAGCCTCCCAAGTAGCTGGGACTACAGGCGCCCGCCACCACACCTGGCTAATTTTTGTATTTTTAGTAGAGACAGGGTTTCACTGTGTTAGCCAGGATGGTCTCGATCTCCTGACCTCGTGATCCACCTGCCTCGGCCTCCCAAAGTGCTGGGATTACAGGTGTAAGCCACAATGCCCTGCTAGGTCTTTTTTTTATCAGCATTAGAAATCTATTGACAATGGCCAGGTGCGGTGGCTCAAGCCTGTAATCCCAGCACTTTGGGAGGCCAAGATGGGCAGATCACCTGAAGTCAGGAGTTTGAAGTCAGCCTGGCCAACATGCTGTCTCTACTAAAAATACAAAAATTAGCCAGGCGTGATGGCAGGCACCTGTAATCCCAGCTACTTGGGAGGCTGAGGCAGGAGAATCCCTTGAACCCGGGTGGTGGAGGTTGCGGTGAGCCAAGATCATGCCACTGCACTCTAGCCTGGGTGACAGAGCAAAACTCCGTCTCAAAAAAAAAAAAATCTACTGATAATGACTCTAAGAGCTTTTTACCTAGGCCATCGTGGAGAGCTCAGCGCTGGTCTATTTACAAGCATTGTTGAATGATCTCTTCCTAAACCTAGGACCTCCCTTAGGCCTGCTCCTTCTCTGTGCTCCTCCCCATGAAGCGAGGTGTCCACATGGCCAAAGGCTCCTATTCCTCCTGTAGACTGACTGCACTTTTCCCCAAGGTTGCTCTTATGGTGGCATCCCTAGGTCTGTGGTGTGGCCAAGGGGTGACGATTTGCAGGGGCTGTGGACAGAGCTTGGATGTGGAGCCTCATGCATTCTTCTGACCAAACCAAAAGCACTTGTTACATGTCTTCTCTCGCCACTCAACAGCTGCTGAAAATTCCTTTGGGGTTGGGGTGCCCAAGGGTGGGAGGAGAAGGAGAGGAGCTTGTGGGTGGGGGGCTGGGGACAGGAGGTTGTTTGTCCCTAGGCTGCCACATTTTAGTGTGGAACTTCTGAGAATCCTACATGCTAACCTGGCTTCCAGGTTGGTAAGAAGGTATTTTGTTCAGGAGGGAAGATTAGACACACTTGATTTTGTAGCTTTTTGAGCTTGCTTTAGAATGTTAAGATACTGAGACACATGGTATGTGGGCCTCCATTTGTATTCTAGCCCTGGCCCCCAAATGTTAGGGATGGAGCTGCCTAAATCCATTACCTTAGATATTGTCAGGCCTTTGAGCCCAAGCTAAGCCATCATATCCCCTGTGACCTGCACGTATACATCCAGATGGCCTGAAGCAACTGAAGAGCCACAAAAGATGTGAAAATAGCCTTAACTGATCACATTCCACCATTGTGATTTGTTTCTGCCCCACCCTAACTGGTCAATGTACTTTGTCATCTCCCCTACCCTTAAGAAGGTTCTTTTCTATTCTCCCCACCCTTGAGAATGTACTTTGTGAGATCCATCCCTGCCCGCAAAACATTGCTCCTAACTCCACTGCCTATCCCCAAACCTGTAAGAACCAATGATAATCCCACTGCTCTTTGCTGACTCTCTTTTCGGATTCAGCCTGCCTGCACCCAGGTGAAATAAACAGCCACGTTGCTCACACAAAGCCTGTTTGGTGGTCTCTTCACACGGACACATGAGACAGATATGTGAAAGGAAAATATCTTAGGCCCCCAAAATCACTAAGGAAAGCTCAAGCTGCAAACTGCTTAGGGCAAACCTACCTCCCATCTATTCATCTAAGTCACCCATCTGCTCACTGAGATAGATGCATATCTGATTGCCTCCTTTGGAAAGGCTCATTGGAAACTCAAAAGAATGCAACTATCTGTGATCTGGAAGCTCCCTCCATGTTTCCAGTCTTCTGCCTTTGCTTCTGAGTTGTCCCGCCTTTCCAGACCAAACCAATGCACTTCTTAACATATCTTGATTGATGTCTCATGTCTCCCTAAAATGTGTAAAGCCTAGCTGTGCCCTGACCACCTTGGCCACATGTCGTCAGGACTTCCTGAGGCTGTGTCATGGGCACGTCCTGAACCTTGGCAAAATAAACTTTCTAAATTAACTGAGACTTGTCTCAGATTTTCTGGTTTCACAGATAACCCAGCAGAGCTTCTCTCGCCACCCAACAGCTGCTGAAAATTCCTTAAATTTCTCCAAGTTGGTTCCCAGTTTCACTGCTTGGAGAAGCTGAATGTCAACTTTGGGTCCAGATTTGTCACCATGCCTTCCCTCTTTGTGTTTCTCTTCGCATTTATGAAAATGTTACGGCCGGGTGCGGTGGCTCATGCCTGTAATCCCAGCATTTTGAGAGGCCAAGGCAAGTGGATCACGAGGTCAGGAGTTTGAGACCAGCCTGCCAACATAGTGAAACCCCGTCTCTACTAAAAATACAAAAATTAGCCAGGCAAAAATGCGCGCCTGTAGTCCCAGCTACTCAGGAGGCTGAGGCACGAGAATCACTTGAATCCAGGAGGCAGAGGTTGTGGTGAGCCGAGACCACGCCACTGCACTCCAGCCTGGGCGACAGAGTGAGACTCCGTCTCAAAAAAAAAAAAAAAAAAAAAGTTAGTTAATTGTGGTTCAGACAGAAACCTCTGGGTCAACTTTGCCACCATTCAGACAAGCGTCTTTGTTCTTTCTTGAGTCATTTTGTTTATATCTGTATTTGTGCCTCATTCACTTCCAATGGGGACAGGTGGTTTCAAACAAACCCACAAGTACGAGAAGGCAGTTCAAGAAATTGCCTGAAAAAATATACAAAGAATAGGGGTGTGTGTGTAGGGGTGGGGTGGGCTGGGGCAAATCTTCCATCCCAGAGTGAGGTTAGGTTGTTACTGCGTTTGAGCATTGTGTTTGGTTATAGGTTTCCTGACAATCAAGGCAAAGGGGAAAACCAGGTGGGGTGTATGGTACTTGTCTGACATTGTATGCCTGAGTCCTTTCCATCGAGTATTTTCTCCTGTTATACACTGCTATAATCTGTTAAGTGGATCCTTCTGCAAGGGGCCTTGAATAACAAAATGGGCAATTGCAACTTTGCGGAAGACGCAAAGCTTTTTCTAAAGCTGTTGTATCGACCCTTGATAAATGCAGGGCATAACATTAAATCCTACTTTATCCAGGCCTCTCAATGGGAGCCAGGCTAATGCTGTCTAAGTACACTATTGCTGCTTTTCTGTGACTTTATTATTCAGGGACAGCTTTTAGAAAACCTGATAAATGGGATGGTTACCATGGCTCCTAAAGTGGCTCTGAGTGACCTTCTTAACAAGACAGGAAATTCAGATGCCATAAAGAAAAGATCGATAGATTTGCTGCAATAAAAATGTTTTGGTTGACAGAAGATTCCACAAACAAAGTCGAATGAGAAATGGTACAGGGAAGATATTTTCGAGACATATGACATATGGTAATATCCCTCATATAAGGAGAGCTCTCAGAAGAAAACTTCAATAGAAAAGTGAACAAAGGATGTGAATAGGTTGATATATTTTTGTGTACATGTGGTTAGTTTTATGTGTCAACTTGGCTGGACTATAGTCCTACTTATTCAATTAAACACTAATCTAGATGTTGCTGTGAAGGTACTTTGTTGATGTTGTTAACATCTCCAAGCAGCTGACTTTAAGTCTTCAGTAATCTGGGTGAGTGTCCTCTGATTAATTGAAAGAGTTTAAGAGCAAAACTGAGGTTTCCCTGAGGAAGCAGAAATTCTGCCTCGTGTTTGTAGCATCAACTCTCGCCTGAAAATTTACAGCCTTTGGGCTGGCCCTACAGAGTTTGGACTTGCCAGCCCCCAGTCATGTAAGCCAATTTCTCGGACAAATCTCTCTCTCTTTCTTTTTTTTTTTTTTTTTGAGACAGAGTCTCGCTCTGTCGCCCAGGCCAGGGTGCAGGGGCACGATCTTGACTCACTGCAAGCTCTGCCTCCCGGGTTCACGCCATTCTCCTGCCTCAGCCTCCCAAGTATCTGGGACTACAGGCGCCCGCCACCACGCCCGGCTAATTTTTTGTATTTTTGGTAGAGATGGGGTTTCACTGTGGTCTCGATCTCCTGACCTCGTGATCCACCGTCCTCAGCCTCCCAAAGTGCTGGGATTACAGGCGTGAGCCACTGTGCCTGGCTGACAAATCTCTCTTTCTTTCCATATATATAGCTTACCGTTTCTGTTTCTCTGGAGAACCCTAACCGATACAATGACAATATAATGTATAGCGGCTTGATAAAAGTTTGGTAATGGTCAGTACTGGCTTAGATTTGGGGAAACAGGCACTCATACATACACTATTAGTGGGAGTATACATTGAGCAACCATTTTGGATAGCAACTGACAATATCTATCAAGGTTTCAAGTGCAAATTCCTTTGACTCAGCAACTCTATGGCTTTCCTTGCAAAAATAAACCAAGAGGACCAGGCGTGGTGGCTCATGCCTGTAATCCCAGCACTTTGGGAGGCCGAGGCGGATCACCTGAGGTTGGGAGTTTGAGACCAGCCTGACCAACATAGGGAAACCCTGTCTCTACTGAAAATACAAAAATTAGCAGGGCATGGTGACGTGCACCTGTAATGCCAGCTACTCGGGAAGCTGAGGCAGGAGAATCACTTGAACCTGGGAGGTGGAGGTTACAGTCAGCCAAGATCACACCATTACACTACAGCCTGGGTGACAGAACAAGACTCCATCTCAAAAAAAAAAAAAAAAAGTAAACCAAGATATGTGTATAAGGATGCTCATTGTAGTGTTTGTAAGAACAAATAATTCAGCAGTAGAGACTAGTGAAGTAAACTCTAGAATATACATACAATGCAGTACTGTGAAAACAGTAAAAGGATGAGGAAGATCTGTATGTACTGTATGTCCCTGTTGCAGCAGGGAAATACTGGGTAAAAGAGGGCGAGGTCCTGGCGATGGCTCCACCCTCAAGCCTGGACCTGCGGCCCTAAATGAGAACATGCATTCCTGTTTTCCTGCCTGAATGTTGCCTTTTCCAAAACCACCCTGGCCCACCATGTCCCCAGCCCTGTACCCATAAAAAGCTCTTGGCAGACGAGCAGAGTGGTGTAGCTGAGAAGGAGAGAAGAGACAAGCAGCTGAACGTCAAGAGTGGAAGCAACTGAGCATCGGAGCATACGGATAGACACGGCTTAACTTCAGATGGCACGGCTTCAGAGAGGAGCCCGGTTATCTCCAGCCAGGCTTCAGGGAAAGATCACCTTCTTCCCACACCATCCCTTTTCCAGCTCCCCTTCCACTGAGAGCCACTTCCACCGCTTAATAAAATCTCCGCATTCATCATCCTTCAAGTCTATGTGACCTGATTCTTCCTGGACACCTGACAAGAACCCGGGTACCAAGAGAGCAGGGTGTAAAAGGCTGTCACCCTGGCTCTCCACTGAGCTGGTTAACACTTAACTCTGTACCAAGAGGGCAGGGTGTAAAAAGGCTGTCACCTTGACTCTCCGCTGAGCTGGCTAACACTTAGCCATCTGTGGATGGCAACTGCTAAAAGAGCATTAATTGTGTTTTTCTTTTCTTTTATTTTTTTGAGACAGAGGCTCAGTCTGTCACACAGGCTGGAGTGTAATGGTGGGATCTTGGCTCACTGCAACCTCCACCTCCTGGGTTCAAGCAATTCTCCTGCCTCAGCCTCCCAAGTAGCTGGGATTATAGGCACCCGCCACCACACCCTGCCAAATTTTGGGTTTTTTTTTTCAGTAGAGATGGGGTTTCGCCATGTTGGCCACGTTGGTCTTGAACTCCTGGCCTCAGGTGATCCACCCACCTCGGCCTCCCAAAGTGCTGGCATTACAGTCGTGAGCCACCATGCCTGGCCTAAAAGAACCTTAATTGTAACACACCCCTTCATGCTGCCGTGGGGCCAGAGCCCAAAAGTACTCGTCCCAGCCCTAGCACCCACTTGCCTGTGTGCTCCCTCTCACGAGGGGCTGAACCCAGTGGGTTCGAGCAAGTAAAGTTCGTCCCTGCTGGTGCCTAAATGGCCGACTGGACCCAGAGCTGGTGCCCTCCAGTTCCTACCTGCAAAAGGGTCAAAGGAACTCTCCTGTCTCACTGTTTGGGAGAAAGTTCATTATTAAGCAAAAGAAGCAGGGGGCAGAGTGATGTATATAGTATGATGAATGTGTATATGTTACTTAGGTTTATCTGCTGGAGTATGATTAACTTTTCTCAGGGAGGCAATAGAGGCCAAGAGGATTGCCTTTGAGGTTCTGGGGCTGGTAGGTGGGAAATGGAGATAAGACTTTTACTTTTCATTTAATCTTTTTCTATGTTTTAAAAAATTTATTTAAATAATTTGCTTGGCCAGGTACAGTGGCTCACACTTGTAATTCCAGTGCTTGGGGAGGCCAAAGGCAGGAGGATCACTTGAGCCCAGGAGTTCGAGACCAGCTTGAAAACATAGGAAGACCCTATTCTACAATAAATAAAACAATAAGCTGGGCTTGGTGGTGCATGCCTGTATTCCCAGCTATTGGGGAGGCTGAGGCAGGAGGATTACTTGAGTCCAGGAGATTTTCCAGAATTACAGCTGCATTGAGCTATAATTGCACCACTGTACTCTAGCCTTGGTGACACAGTGAGAACCCATCTCAAAAGAAAAAAAAGGAAAAGAAAAAGAAAGGTAATTGTGAGCAAATTATTTTATTTTATTTATTTATTTTTTTGAGATGAGTTCTTGCTGTGTTGCCCAGTCTGGAGTGCTGTGGCTCATGATGACGAGTCACTGCAGCCTCGACCTCTCTGGGCTCGGGTGATCCTCCCACTTCAGCCTCCCAAGTAACTGGGACTACAGGCACATGCCACTGTGCCCAGCTAATTTTTTTGTATTTTTTGCAGAGTTGGGGTTTCACCATGTTTCCCAGGCTGGTCTCGATCTCCTGGGCTCAAGTAATCCACCCATCTTGGCCTCCCAAAGTGCTGAGATTAAAGGTGTGAGCCACCAAACTTGGCCTGCATTTTACCTTTTTAAAGAAAGTATTAACTGGAGGTATTTCAGAGCTGGTATTTTCGGCCATGTCTCTCTTTTTTATAAAATAGGATTTAATTTTTAGAGAATTTCTAGGTTCACATTAACACTGGGCAGAAGATACAGGGATTTTTCCACAGACCCTTTTCCCCCACAGATGTATAACCTTCCCCATTATCAACACCCTCCACTGCCATACTTTTTATGTTTTTCCTGTATTAAAATGCCCTAATAAAGGTAGTAGTCCAGTTGGTAAAGCAAACTCATACATGAGTGATCCTTCATGTAACCTGAAATAAATTGCTTTTCTACAGAAGAACAAAAGATTGGTAATAGATACACACACATATATTTAACAGCAGTTATTTCTGTGTGGCAGGATTCGGAGTGACTTAAGATGCATTCTTTGTGTTCATCTGTATTTCACTGTTTTTCTCTAACAAACACACATTACTTTTGTAGTGGGAAAAAGTCTGTGTGTGTGTTGAGGAGGTGCATTGCACTGGGGAATCTGATGAAAGCTAAGGGGATGCCCAAGTTTAGCCTACCTGTTGCTGAACAAACGCTTGTTTTTTTTTCCAAATACATCTAGCCAATTAATAGGTGCTTAAAAACAAGATCAAATTTTCTAGGCAGGGGGAGCCTCAATTGCAGCTCTTCCACTTTGTCAAGGAGCAGGTAGCAAAGATGACAGGTGCTCTATTCTGAAAATCAAAGAGCCCTTTTTTTTTCTCTAACCCACTATCTTAGTCCCGGCTGCTATAACAAAATACCATAGACTGGGTGGATATGATATGATATGATATGATATGATATGATATGATATGATATGATGTATGATATGATATGATGTTTTAGAGACAGTGTCTCACTCTGTCACCTAGGCTGGAGTGCAATGGCACGATCTTGGCTCACTGCAACCTCCGTCTCCTGGGCTCAGGTGATTCCCCTGCCTCAGCCTCCGAAGTAGCTGGGACTACAGGGTCGTGCCACCATGCCCAGCTAATTGTATCTTTTGGTAGAGACGGAGTTTCACCATGTTGGCCAGGCTGGTCTGGAGCTCCTGATCTCAAGGGATCTGCCTGCCTTGGCCTCCCAAAGTGCTGGGATTACAGGTGTGGGCCACTATGCCCTGCTGATTGTGTGGTTTATAAACAGAAATGTATTTCTCACAGTTTTGGAGCCTGGAGAGTCCAAGGTCAAGGCACTGGTAGGCTCAGGATCTGGTGAGGACCCACTCCTCAGGGAGGACTCCTTCTTGCTGTGTCCTCACATGGTAGAAGGGGCAAGGCAGCTCTCTGGCACCTTTCTTTTTCTTTTCTGTTTTTTTTTTTTTTTTTTTAGATGGAGTTTCGCTCTTGCTGCCCAGGCTGGAGTGCAATGGTACGATCTTGGCTCACCACAACCTCTGCCTCCCAGGTTCAAGCAATTCTTCTGCCTCAGCCTCCTGAGTAGCTGGGATTACAGGCATGCACCACATCTGGCTAATTTCGTATTTTCAGTAGAGACGGGGTTTCTCTATGTTGGTTAGGCTGGTCTTGAACTCCCTCCCGACCTCAGGTGATCTGCCTGCCTCGGCCTCCCTAAGTGCTGGGGTTACAGGCATGAGCCACCGCGCCCAGCCCTCTGGGGCCTTTCTTATAAGGGCACTAATCCCATTCAGGAGACCTAGTTACTCTCCTGACCTAGTTACTCTCCAAAGGCTCAACCTCGTAATGCCATCACATTGAAGGTTAAGTTTCAACGTATGAAATTCGAGAGACACAAACTTTCAGACTCACTCTTTGGAGACGCCTATTTTTCTCAGAAATAAGCTTTGCCTGTGCCTGAATTCCTGGACAAGAACTTGGGTAAGGCCCAGATTCCCATTCCATACACTGCAGAAGAGGGGCATGAGATCTGGAAAATGTTCAAGGCTGGTGGTATCAGTTACCTGCTTAATAAGTCAGTTTTCAGTGCATGATAAAACATTCTTTCATTCTGAAATTTGTTTTATTTCATTTTATTTTATTTTTGAGACAGAGTTTCGCTCTCGTTGCCCAGGCTGGAATGCAATGGTGCGATCTCAGCTCACTGCAACCTCTGCCTCCCAGGTTCAAGTGATTCTCCTGCCTCAGCCTCCTGAGCAGCTGGGACTACAGGTACCTATCACCATGCCAAGCTAATTTTTTGTATTTTTAGTAGAGACAGGGTTTCACCATGTTGGTCAGGCTGGTCTTGAACTCCTGACCTCAGGTGATCCGCCTACCTTGCCCTCCCAAAGGGCTGGGATTACAGGCGTGAGCCACTGCACCCGGCCAGGAAATTTGTTTAAAAAACAACCTTGGAGTGGACGCCCTGGTGACAACCAGCTCCGGGATTCTCTGCTTTATCAATTCTTCATTGTCAGCACTGAGCAGGATCTAAGGGCTGTTTTCTCTCTCTCTCTCTCTCTCTCTTTCTCTGCCCCCTCCCTGACCCTGACACAAGGCAGCATGGCTTATATGAACCAGGCCTGGGTTTGAATCTTGGCTCTGCCACTTACTAGCTATGTGACCTTGGACACGTCACTTGCTCTCTGCGTCTCAATTTCTTTGAAAAATGAGAAACGCATCACCTTTCCTCTAGATTTATAGTGAGGATTCAATGTAATAATGATGGAAAATATGAAACATAGCACAAGTGGTTGGGAAAGATAAAGTGCAATTGGAAGTGAGGGGAACTAAAAGGGCTCAGGAATGGTTTCTGAGAAGAATTATGATTTATAAAAACAGAGACTGGTTCTTAGGTGCTAGACAGAGTCCCCTAGCAGAGCACACAAGGCCAGGGCAGAATGACAGGTTCAACCATTCACGTACATACATGCACACACACACATACATACATACATAGGTGCGTTAGAGCAGGGAGAATCTCAGATGACCTGTCTAATCCCTGCTTTCACATATGGGGACAGGGAAGCCCAGGGATATAACTGGCTTGTGTATAGGTCAATGGTCAAACCAGGATTACAGGTTCAAATGAGTTTTTGAGGACGCAAGGCCTGCAGAAGAGCCGATTCCCCTGTATTCCCCATAGGCACTTGGTTAGAGGAGCAGCTACTCAGAACCACTTGGCGAATTCTCTGCTTTTTCTTTTTGAGACAGTGTGTTGCTCAGTTACCCAGGCTGGAGGAGTGCAGTGTTGTGACCTCGGCTTACTGCAACCTCTGCCTCCCGGGTTCAAGCAATTCTCTTGCCTCAGCCTCCTTAGTAGCTAGAATTACAGACATCCACCACCATGCCCGGCTAATTTTTTGTATTTTTTAGTAGAGATGGGGTTTCGACATGTTGGCCAGGCTGGTCCTGAACTCCTGACCTCAGGTGATCCGCCTGCCTCAGCCTCCCAAAGAGTTGAGATCACAGGTGTAAGCCACCGTGCCCGGCCTGAATTCTCTGTTCTTGTTTCAAAGGGGAATCCTTCTTGGGGAGGCCAGGTCTGGGAGAGGCCACGATCAGAGGGTCTGGCCACAGGCAGTTCTAACAGACAGTGCTGTTCCCTCCTTGTTGCTCATGCCCAGGAGAAGAAAGCTTACCCCACCACCCTCGATGCATCTGCCCCTTGTTTTTCAGGGCAGCCCCCATTCCTGGTCCTTTTTCCTGGAAGCCAATGGCTTCCCTACTGCAGAGGGCTGATTGCTCTCTGAGTATCTGCATGGTGCCCTGGGCAGAGGACCTATTGACATGCAGCAGGGACCAAAGGGCTGGCCAAGCCCTCACCCCGGATTCTTGACCTACTTTATGGTCTGCAGATATGTAAAGCGAGAAGCCATCTCTGGCCACGTCCTGGAAAAGCCATGGCTTATCAGCTGCTGTGGTTTTCTGTGCAAATAACCCTCTGCACACCCACTCATTCCTGATTAGGGTGTGAGGGGGTTGCGTCCCTCTTTGAGACTCACTCCCTTGTCAAGATGTCACAGGGTGTATGTGACACATGGCAAAAGTGGCTCCAGGTGCAGAAGGTGAGAAAGGTCTAATCCTTTTATTTATTTTTATTTATTTATTTATTTTGAGATGGAGTTTCACTCTTGTTGCCCAGGCTGTAGTGCAATGGTGCGATCTCAGCTCACTGCAATCTCCACCTCCTGTGTTCAAGTTATTCTCCTGCTTCAGCCTCCTGAGTAGCTGGGATTATAAGCACCCACCACCACACCCGGCTAAGTTTTGTATTTTTAGTAGAGACGGGGTTTTGCCATGTTGGCCAGGCTGATCTCGAACTCCTGACCTCAGGTGATCCACCTGCCTTGGCCTCCCAAAATGCTGGGATTACAAGTGTGAGCCACTGAGTCTGGCCCTTCCTAATCCTTTTATATCCCCAGTCCCGACCCTAGGGACTTGCTGGGGTCTTGATGGGAAAGGAGAGATGGGGGATGGACATGATTGTCAGAAGGAGGAGAGTGAGGGGCAAAACTGGTCCTTCCTTTCTTCCTTCCTTCCTTCAACAAATAGTTATAAGGTGAGGGGTGGAGCGAGGGGATAATAGTCCTGAGCAATGAACTGGTTTCCTCAGGTAGACCCCCTGGTACAATGGACAGGTTTCTGGAAGATTCCAGATGTAGGTATCCCTGGGATCTCACCTGGTGGGCTGGGGTACAGCAGTAGGAGCTTCCTTCGTGTTCTCAGGACAAAGCGCCTCTTGTCAGTGGGCCAGTAGTTCCCTGCTTGCATCTCCCTTCTCTCTGAACCTCTCTGTGCGTGCGTGTGTGTGTGTGTGTGTGTGTGTGTGTGTGTGTGTGTTTAAAGAGACAGCGTCTGCTCTGTTGCCCAGGCTGGAGTACAGTGAACAGTGGCTCAATCATAGCTCACTGCAGTTTCGACCTCTTGGGCTCAGGTAATCCTCAGGCCTTAGCTTCCCAGATTGCTTGGACTACAGGCATGCATGACTCTGCAGAACTAATTATTATTATTATTGTTATTATTTTTGAGACAGAGTCTTGCTCTGTTGCCTAGGTTGGAGTTCAGTGGTGCGATCTGGGTTCACTGCAACCTCTGCCGCCTGGGTTCAAGTGATTCTCCTACCTCGGCCTCCCGAGTCACTGGGATTACAGGTGAATGCTACCACGCCCAGCTAATTTTTGTATTTTTTAGTAGAGATGGGGTTTCACCATTTTGGCCAGGCCGGTCTCTAACTCCTGACCTGGAGTGATCTGCCTACCTTGGCCTCCCAAAGTGTTGGGATTACAGGCATGAGCCACCATGCCTGACTTTTTTTTTTTTTTTTTTTTTTTTTTTTTGTGGAGATGAAGCCTTGCCATGTTGCCCAGGCTGGTCTTGAACTCCTGGCCTCAAGTGATCTTCCTGCCTCAGCCTCCTAAAGTGCTGAGATTACAGGTGTGAGCCACCGTACCTGGCCTTGTAGTCTGGGGTTGGATACCCAATCTCCTCATAGCTGCCTTCCAACCTTTGGTCTGGAATCTCTCCTCTGGCTTTCTGACTTTGGCCACAAGTGCCCCTCAATCCTCTTGAACTTCTGGCCTTCTGGGCTCCCAAGCATCTGGCTACACCTGAAGCTCCAGGTTTAGGACATCGTGTCTATCAGCCGTGGCTCTCCAGGACCCCTCTGGTGGAGCCGCGTGCCCCTGCCCCCAGCCAACCCACCAGGTTTGGAGGATTGGATAAGGGCTGGCCAGACCCAGTGGATCTGTCTGCAGGTTTCCACATGACAGAGGAGCCACGAAGTTCTCTTTTTAGAGAACCCACGGTGGCTGTGTACAGAGAGGTACTTCTCAGAAGCTGATGATTCCTGTGACCCCTTGCATTGTCAACTGCCTCGAAATTTCACCCTTTCCACCTCCTTCCTCTTTTTTTTTTTTTTTTTGTTTTTGTTTGAGACAGAGTCTTGTTCTGTCACCCAGGCTGGAGTGCAAGTGGCACGATCTCGGCTCACTACAACCTCCGCCTACTAGGTTCAAGCGATTCTTCTGTCTCAGCCTCCTGAGTAGCTGGGACTACAGGTGTGCGCCACCACGCCTGGCTAATTTTTGTATTTCTAGTAGAGACGGGGTTTCACTATGTTGGCCAGGCTGATCTTGAACTCCTGATCTCGTGATCCGCCCGCCTTGGCCTCCCAAAGTGCCAGGATTACAGGCCTGAGCCACGGTGCCCAACCAACCACCTCCTTCCTCTTTTAGTCTCTTTCACCCATGGGAAGTGACTGAAGGAGGAAGTTCAAGGGCGAGAGTGAGTACCAGCAGAAGGCTGGGAGTCTGTAGTTTGTTCCTGCTGCCAGGCTCCACTGAGGGGAACGGGGACCTGTCTGAAGAGAAGATGCCCCTGCTGACACTCTACCTGCTCCTCTTCTGGCTCTCAGGTGAGCGGGCCTGGGTCTGTCTTCTTGGGGAAGCTTAGCAAGCAGGAGGAGGTGGCTGAGAGAGGGAAGAAGGGACCCGGCCAGAAGGTGTCCTTAATGGCATGAGCCTTGTGCGTTTCATCCACATACCCACCATTCACCTAGCATTTCCGTTGCCAAGGCAGGAATACAGGGCATGACCTTCATAATGAAGCCAGTGCAAGGCAGAATTCCTGACCCCCAGGGGCTGATCATGTGAAATGGACAGACTGTAGGCCCCGCCGGCCAGGGAAAAGCAGAGGAGGAACATGGGCTGCTCAGGAGAGCAGGCGACTGCCTGATCCTGGACTGGGTGATCTGTCACCTGCGTGGAGGTGTTCTGAGCAAGGGCAGGCGTCAGGGAAGAGGTGAGGCTGGAGGACTTTGAAAGGAGGGAAGAGGGAGTTTGCTGGGCAGAGAGGGAGTGGTGGTTCTAGGCATTTGGGGCAGAAGGAAATAGTAGAAGTTGCTGAGGGACGGAAAGGTCAAGAGGAGATAAGACTGGCAGGGACGTAGAGGAAAGGAGGGACTGAGATGTGGGCAGAGCCAGAGGGCAGGAGACACCTTAAGTTGGTGCATACAATTTTTATTAAAAATGAAGGGAGGCCAGGGAAAGAGGCTCATTCCTGTAATCCCAGCACTTTGGGAGGCTGATTGCTTGAGCTCAGGGATTCGAGACCAGCTTGGGTAACATGTGGAAACCCTGTCTCTACAAAAAGTACAAAAATTAGCCAGGTATGGTGGCATGTGCCTATGGTCCCAGCTACTTGGGAGGCTGGAGGCTGAGGCATGAGGATCACTTGAGCCCAGGAGTTGGAGGCTGCAGTGACCTGTAATCACACTACTGCCTTCCAGCATGGGTGACAGAGCGAGACTCTGTTTCAAAAAAAAAAAAAAAAGAAAAAAGAAAAAAGAAAAAAAAAGAAAGAAAACAAAAAAATAATTTCAAGAAGTGAGAAGTGATAAGTACTGTGAGGAAAACAGAACAAGATGATATGTTACAGTGGGACCCAGGTAGGGGGATGCTGTAAGTCAGGTGGGCTGAAACAACCCCCCTGAAGAGGGTCCCAGATGCCTGTCCGAGCCGAGACCTAGGAAAAGGATCAGACACAGGATCGGGACCAGCTTTCCAGGCACAGGGAACAGTAGATACGAGGGCTCTTGTGTAGGAATGAGCTTGGACTGGGCACGTCTGAGGAAGAGGGAGGTCAGCACGGCTTTGCCTCATGCTTCAGAAGATCCTGGTGGGACAGATTGGAGAAAAGGTCTTGGGGAAGAAAGTGACTTGTCCAGGACTGCTAGGCTGGTACAGGAAGAGCAGGGAGTGGCTCATGGACACTTGGCCCCGAGTTTCAGCATGTAAGTGGAGAAGGCAGACTTTGGGTGAGATGTTATGAAATGCATTGGCACAGTGAGACCAGGACAGGTATGGCTGCTTTTTTTCTGACACCTGGAAATGAGAGAATTTGGTAGTGAGCAGATGTGAGAGTCGTGTTGGGAGTGGGAGTGGTTTGGGACCTCTGTCTGAAGTGGGCAGAAAAGCCAGCAGGCACAGCTATGGGCGCCAACATGGAGCCCGGATACCACTGTGAACCTGCATGCATCAGCTCTTGCCAGCCTCTCCTGCAGAACTTCCACCCACAAGCAGCAAGTGTGCTTACCCTGTTTCCCTCTTCTAAATAATTTATCGTTTTAAAACACCCAAGAAAAAAAATACCCATCCGGAAGTTTGTTTTCTGTGAGAAAGGAAGGTTTTTTATTTTTTTTGAGTTGGGGTCTCAGTCTGTTGCCTAGGCTGGAGTGTGGTGGCATGATCATAGCTCACTGCAGCCTCAACTCCTGGGCTCAAGTGATCCTCCTGCCTTGGCCGTCTGAGTTGCTGGGATTAAAAGCATGAGCCACCGTGCCTGGCAAGAACAGATTTTTTGTTTTTTTTTTTGAGACAGAGTCTCGCTCTGTCACTCAGGCTGGAGTGCAGTGGCGCGATCTTGGCTCACTGCAACCTCTGCCTCCCAGATTCAAGTGATTCTTCTGCCTCAGCCTCCCAAGTAGCTGGGATTACAGGTGTGCCAGCATGCCTGGCTATTTTTTTTTTTTTTTCGTATTTTTAGTAGAGATGGGGTTTTACCATGTTGGTTAGGCTGGTCTCGAACTCCTGACCTCAAGTGATCCACCCGCCTTGGCCTCCCAAAGTGTTGGGATTACAGGCGTGAGCCACCGCGCCCAGCCTCACTGTGCTTTTTTTCCATAAGTCTTTATTGTTTCTGTTAAAGTTATTCCTAGGAATTTAATACACTTTTATTGCTAATGTAAATGAGCACTTTTCTACTTTACTTTCCAACTATTTATTAGCAGTTTATAGGAAAGCCATTGATTTTTACATGTTTATTATTTAGCCACTCTATTAAATTCAATTATGAATTAAAATACTTTTTCATTTAAAATTAAAAAATTTTCTCTAACTTTTTTCCCTTTTGATAATTATACATTTTATGTTTTTCCTTATCTTCCTATATTGATTAGAATTTCCAGGCTGGGCACAGTGGCTCACGCCTGTAATCCCAGCACTTTGGGAGGCCAAGGCAGGCGGATCACAAGGTCAGGAGATCGAGACCATCCTGGCTACGGTGAAACCCCATCTCTACCAAAAGTACAAAAAATTAGCTGGGCGTGGTGGTGGGCGCCTGTAGTCCCAGCTACTCAGGAGGCTGAGGCAGGAGAATGGCGTGAACCCGGGAGGCGGAACTTGCAGTGAGCCGAGATTGAGCCACTGCACTCCAGCCTGGGCGACAGAGCCTGACTCCATCTCAAAAAAACAAACAAACAAAAAAGAACTTCCAGAATCATGTTATTATATATATTGGGAATTCATGTTTTGTTTATGATGTCAATAGGAATGCCTATAGTATTTCACTGTTAAGAATAATTTGGCTGGTGATGCATGATGGCTCAAGCCTGTAATCCCAGCACTTTGTGAGGCTAAGGCAGGCAGATCGGTTGAGTCCAGGAGTTTGAGACCAGCTTGGGCAACAAAGTGAGACCTTGTCTCTCCAAAAAAAAAAATACTAGCCTGGTATGGTGGTGCATGCCTGTGGTCCTGTCGTCCCAGCTACATAAGAGGTTACAGCAAAAGGATCACTTGAGCCCAGGACTTGAGGCTGCAGTGACCCATGTTCGTACCAGTGCACTCCGGCCTGGGTGACAGGCGACCAAGCAAGACTCCATCTCAAAAAAAAAAGAATAATTTGGCTCTTGGTTTATGGTGTCCTAAAAGTCTTTTTAATTGTGGAAAATAAAATGTACAAAAAAGTGCATAAAACTTCAACATCCATGTTAACAAATTATTATAAAGTACATATGAATGTCTCGCACTAAGTGTGGTGCTTGCTGAGGTTTTTGATAGACAATCTTTATCAGATAAAGGCAGTTCTCTTAGTTTGCTAAGAGTTTTTAAAAAATCATGAATGAGCGTTGATTCCTATCACTACTTCTCTCTGCACCTAAGATGATCACAAGATTTTTCTCCTTGACTCTGTTAATATGGCATATTACCCTTATTGATTTTCTTTTTTCCTTTTTTTTTTTGAGTCAGTCTTGCTCTGTCTCCAGGCTGGAGTGCAGTGGTGTGATCTTGGCTCACTGCAACCTCCGCCTCCTGGGTTTAAGCGATTCTCCTGCCTCAGCCTCCCGAGCAGCTGGGACTACAGGCGCCCGCCACCACGCCCAGCTAATTTTTTGAATTTTTAGTAGAGACGGGGTTTCACCATGTTGGCCAGGATTGTCTCGATCTCTTGGCCTCGTGATCTGCCTGACTCGGACTCCCAAAGTGCTGGGATTGCAGGTGTAAACCACCGTGCCTGGCCTCCTTATTGATTTTCCTTTTTTTTTTTGAGACGGAGTCTTGCTCTGTCGCCCAGGCTGGAGTGCAGTGGCGCGATCTCGGCTCACTGCAAGCTCCGCCCCCCCGGGTTCACGTCATTCTCCTGCCTCAGCCTCCGAGTAGCTGGGACTACAGGCGCCCGCCACCACGCCTGGCTAATTTTTTGTATTTTTAGTAGAGACAGGGTTTCACCGTGTTAGCCAGGATGGTCTCGATCTCCTCACCTCCTGATCCGCCCGCCTTGGCCTCCCAAAATGCTGGGATTACCGGTGTAAGCCACCGCGTCCAGCCTCCTTATTGATTTTTTAATGTTAAAAACCATTTTGGGTGTTTGGCATAAACCCAACTTGGTGATAATGTTTTATCCTGTTTATGTATCACCAGATTCCGTATGCTGATCTTTTGTTTCAGGTTTTTGCATTTATGTTAATGAGTGATATTTGCCTACAATACTTTCTTGCTTTGCCCTTGTCAGGTTTTGGCATCAAGATTATGTTAATCTCGTGAAATGGATTTGGGATTTCATCTTCTTTTTCTATGCTCTGGAAAATTATCTATAAAATAGACATTATTTCTTCTTTACGTGTTTGGTAAATATTTCCATTGAAGCTGTATGGGTCTGGAGTTTTATTCTGGCGGAAGTTTTAAACAAGGGATTTGATTTATTTAAATATAATAGCTGTGGAATGATTCAGGTTTTCTATTTATTTTGTGCTGATTTTAGCATATTGTATTTTTTTTCTTTTCTTTCTTTTTCTTTTTTCTTTTTTTTTTTTTTGAGATGGAGTCTTGTTCTGTTGTTCAGCCTGGAGTGCAGTGATGTGATCTCGGCTCACTGAAACTTCCACCTCCTGGGTTCAAGCGATTCTCCTGTCTCAGTCTCCCAAGTGGCTGGGGCTACAGGTGTGTGCCACCACGCCAGGCTAATTTTTGTATTTTTAGTAGAGATGGGGTTTCACCATGTTGGCCAGGCTGGTCTTGAACTCCTGACTTCAGGTGATCCACCTGCCTCGGCCTCTCACAGTGCCTGGCCTGTATAATTTTTTTCTAGGAATTTGTTTATTCCATCTCAAATTGTAAATTCATTGGCATAACATTGTTTAAATATCCTTTTATTATTATATCCTTTTATCTTATTCATGGTTTATTAACTTTTTAATATGTGCAGGATATACAGTCATATACCACTTTTAATTTTTTTTTTTTTTTCTGAGATGGAGTCTCACTCTGTTGCTCGGGCTGGAATGCAGTGGCACGATCTTGGCTCACTGCAACCTCCGCCTCCCAGGTTCAGACGATTCTCCCACCTCAGCCTCCCAAGTAGCTGGGATTACAGGTGCACTCCACCACACCTGGTTAATTTTTGTATTTTTAGTAGAGACAAGATTTCACCATGTTGCCTAGGCTGGTCTCAAACTCCTGACTTCAGATGATCCACCCAATGTGGCCTCCCAAAGTGCTGGAATTACAAGTGTGAATACTGTGCCTGACCCTCTTTTGGTTTTAATTTGCATTTTTCTGGTGATCAGAGATGTTGAGCATTTAAAAATAGATCTGTTGCCCATTTATAGCTCCTCTTTTGAGAAATATCTGGTCAGATTCCTTGCCCAGTTTTTAATTAGATTATTTGTTTTCTTGTTACTGATTTGTTTGAGTTCCTTATGTATTTTGGATATCAGCTCTTTGTCAGATTTATGGTTTGCAAATATTTTCTCTCACTCTGTAGGTTGTCGCTTCATTCTCTTGGTTGTTTCCTTTGCTGTGCAGAAGCTCTTTGGTTTTGTGAGTCCCATTTGTCTAGTTTTGCTTTTGTTGCCTGTGCTTTTGGCGTCCTCTCCAAGACATCATCGCCAAGACCAATGTTGTGGAGCTTTTCCATTAGGTTTTCTTCTGAGAGATTTAAGTTTCAGGTCTTACATTTACATCTTCTCTATTGTGAGTTGATTTTTGTATATGTTGTGAGATAAAGGTCCGGCTTCATTCTTCTGGACGTGGATGTCGAGTTTTCCCAGCACTGTTTATTGAAGAGACTGTCCTTTCCCCATTGTGTGTTCTTGTCACAGGGCCCGCTTCTTTCCCCAGGACCCGGGCTGGAGTGGAAGGAGGGCTGTGCCTTCGCATGGATACCCTGCTCTCCAATCCAGGCTGCCGTGGTCCTCACCCCTTCCCAGGGTCTCTCTGACACTGAGGCCCTCTGTCCGCGCCGTTGGTTGTTGTGCTTGAACTGCTGGTTTTTGTTTTGTTTTGTTTTGTTTTTGAGATGGAGTTTTGCTCTTGTTGCCCAGGCTGGAGTGCTATGGCGCCATCTTGGCTCATTGCAACCTCTGCCTCCCGGGTTCAAGCGATTCTCTTGCCTCAGCCTCCCGAGTAGCTGGGATTACAGGCATGTGCCATCATGCCAGGCTAATTTTTCTATGTTTAGTAGAGATGGCGTTTCTCCATGTTGGTCAGGCTGATCTCGAACTCCCAACCTCATGTTGGGAATTTATATATATATGTTCTTTTTATTCTTTCTCTCATATTCTCACCTTTGAAAGATTCCGGATACAGGGAAATATTTCTTTACTTAAAAAAAAAAAAAAGGCCAGGCACAGTTGCTCACACCTATAATCGCAGCACTTTGGGATATATATATATATATATTTTTTTTTTCCTTTAAAATGTTTTTTATTTTTAGAGTCAGTGGGTACCTGTGCAGGTTTGTTACATGGATATATTGCATGATGCTGAGGTTTGAGCCTCAATCAAACCTGTCACCCAGATAGTGAACATGGTACCCAATTGGTAGTTTTTTCAGTGCTTGCTCCCTTCCCTCCTCTGTTTTGTTCTTGCCCCTTTCCCTCCTCTGCCTGTTGTTCCCATCTTTATGTCCATGCATAACCAATGTTTAGCTCCCACTTATAAGTGAGAACATGCGGTATTTGGTTTTCTGTTTCTGCGTTAATTCACTTAGGATAATGGCCTCCAGCCACATCCATGTTGCTGCAAAGGACATGATTTTGAAGGAAAACATGTATTTTAAGAAAATACAGGCCAGGCGTTGTGGGGCCCGCCTGTAATCCCAACACTTTGTGAGGCTGAGGTGGGTGGATCGCTTGAGCCCGGGAGTTTGAGACCAGCTTGGACAACATGGCAAAATCCTGTTTCTACTAAAACTACAAAAATTAGCCAGGCGTGGAGGCATGTGCCTGTAGTCCCAGCTACTTGGGAGGCTGAAGTGGGAGGATCAATTAAGCCTGGGAGGTGAAGGCTTCAGTGAGCCATGATTGAGCCATGATTGTGCCACTGTGTTCCAGCCTGGGCGACAGAGTGAGAGCCTGTTTCAAAAGAAAAAAAGAGAAAAAGAAAAAAAAAAGTAAATACTGCCTTACTGTCTATAATACCTGCTTTTCTACAAGGTGATAGTAATCAGGAGAATGTAGGATTGGCAGAAAGGTGGACAAATAGATCAATGGAACAGAATGGGAAATCCACAAATTTGCAATTTGACAAAGGGGTCAAAGCAATTCATTAAAGAAAGTGGGATCTGTGTTGTATGGATCCTATAGCACATGGAGACCAGTTGCCGTTGCTGTTTTGATCAACTTCAAAGGCATTCATCCAGGGTGGTTTATTCCAGAACCACTAGAAATCATTAGGACCACCAGGACAGCCTCTCCACAGCCATCTGATGTGGCTGCCTCAGCTCGACCTCATGAGGGTCATCAGTGCTAAGAGTCAAGGTAAGACCCTGTGGAAAGGGGTCTCCTGGTATTTCCTCCCCACCACACTGGACTAACACAAAGATGGCTGCAAAAGGACATTCCTTGAAATATACAGATTACCTTGGCCGTAGGGTGGAGAGAGGGGTGAACTGCAGGAAGTTATTATTGCTTATGCCAATATTTTTATTTTTGGGGGGATCCGTTGTTGTGCTCTTCAGTGATTTTCCTGGTGGCTTTGACCCAGTGGAAAGCTGAAGGACAAAAGTTTTGTCTGCGGAAGGTGTATTTCTTCCTTGACTGTTATTTAACCTGTGAAACTTGGATTTGGGAGCTATTCCCTAAACAGAAAGCTGTGGCCCTGCCCTTGGGGTGGGAGGTGACAGCACATGAATTTGTGTTTTCCAGGCTACTCCATTGTCACTCAAATCACCGGTCCAACAACAGTGAATGGCTTGGAGCGGGGCTCCTTGACCGTGCAGTGTGTTTACAGATCAGGCTGGGAGACCTACTTGAAGTGGTGGTGTCGAGGAGCTATTTGGCGTGACTGCAAGATCCTTGTTAAAACCAGTGGGTCAGAGCAGGAGGTGAAGAGGGACCGGGTGTCCATCAAGGACAATCAGAAAAACCGCACGTTCACTGTGACCATGGAGGATCTCATGAAAACTGATGCTGACACTTACTGGTGTGGAATTGAGAAAACTGGAAATGACCTTGGGGTCACAGTTCAAGTGACCATTGACCCAGGTAAGAGGGAGTGTATATATGTGTGTGTCTCTCAGGGCCTGCTCTGTCCTGGTCTCTGAGGTCCTACTCAAGTGATTTAATTGTCACTGAGTGATCTATCACTTGAGTCCCGAGTCTCATAGAACCCTGACTGACCACCTGGGACTGGGGGAGCAGGGCCTCTCTTCAATGCCCCCATGGCTCCCAGGGCTCCCTCCACGACGGGATTAAGCCTTTCTAGGCACATTTTTTACCTCTGCACAGCTCAGTGCCTGAGGACAAGGTGATGGTCCCAGTTTCAGCCCATGGGCCAAAGGGATGCCTTCCCATGGTACCCAGAGACCCCAGTCCTTGCCATTGCTTTTTGGAGACCTCTGGTGCCCAGGTGTGTCCTGCTTTTGGTGGAGTTCTGGGCTGGGGCTTCATAGCTGCTGTTCCCATCTCCCATTCCATATCTAACCTGGGGGAAAAAGAGGCTCAGCATAGTCGGGGTGCTGGGGTCTAATTCCCAAGTCCAGAAAGGTCTTCACAGTCAAACGGCTGCATTCCTGGTCCCTGACATCCCACCATGAGCCATTTGTGTGTGTGGACTTAATGATATTTCTTCCTATGTCCTTCTAGAATGCAGACACTCCTGGGAGCGTTAGCTCAGGGGTCCCAGTGCCTCGGTTTGCATGGGTTTATTTGTTGGGCTTGTTCTGCTGTCCCTCAGAAGATAAGCAGGATGGCTCGAGGGCCCTTGTGGCATGGAAGGAGCACCACAGTCCTTGGGGCCCCAGGTTGCACCCGGAGCCTCTGGGGCATATTCTAGTTTGCAAAGTGCTGAACGTGCATTGTCTCAATGGGTCCTCACAATACCCCTGAGAAGGGGGCATCCCCATCATTGAAGTTTTGTAACTTGCCCAAAGTCAAAGTTCTTCCTGAATATGATGATTTCATTCAGGGCTGGTCCTGACCTTTGATGTCACAGATCTAGGGTCACTGTGCAAGTTCCCACTCTGCTCCTGTTTTTGCTGGATAAATAGGGCTGGGGGTGGAGATTGACCAAGGCACTGTCATAAGCAGCAGGTTGCTCAAGTTCAGCTGGTCTCCAGCTGCCCTTAGGCTCTTCCCAGCCCCCTCTAACCCTCCCAGGGCCAGCTCAGCGTCCTCCCTGGACCCTGCCCAGCCCCACCTGCCTATGAGGCTCTGGAGTCTCCTAGAGACCAGGGAGACATGAGTGGTCCAGGCTGCAGCCCCTTCCCATAGTAGCAGTCCAGACCCCCGCCCAGGCTCAGAGCTGTGTGCAGGGCTGCGGGTGGGCTCATGGGCAGGGGCATCTGTGATCTGGTTTATACACCAAGCATCAACTACAGCGTCGACTCCTGCCCCCACCACGCCTACCTCCACTACGTTTACAGCACCAGTCACCCAAGAAGAAACTAGCAGCTCCCCAACTCTGACCGGCCACCACTTGGACAACAGGTAAGCCAGCTCTGGTTCCACTGTGGCCTACTTGGCCCAAACTCCTCCAATGGAGAACTCTTTGAAGTCCCATTTTCCAGCCTGAGCTTTGTCTGGGACCTGCATGCTCCTTGGTGAGGATGAGGAAGCTGGGAGCCCTTCCCACTTGCTGTCAGGCCACATGGTGTCCTTTCAGTCTCCACAGATCCTTCATTCTGCAGCTCAGTGCTGTTTGTAGGTTCATTCATTCGTTCGCCCCACTTTTACTGTGTTATAATAACTTCTACATGGCTGCACCGTGCTGAGCTCTGGGGACACAGACATGGACTGTCCCCGTGGAGCTCAGTGTGGGAGACCGATGAGTTGGCAGTCAGTGAGGACAGTGTGTCTCATGTGAGTGTGGGCGTGGGGTCATGGAGCCGCAGGGATGACTCTTGGTTCAACTTCTGGGAGGACAAGGAAAGGAGGGCTTGGGGAAGTCCTGTTTCCCTTAATTTTCCTCTGATTACTATTATGGCAAGAACAGTGATGCCTATAGTTTCTCACATCTCTAGAGCAACTGACAGCTCACAAAAGGCTTTCCTGTGCATTATTTTGTTTTCTTTGACCTTTCCTACAACCACCCCATGTGGAAGAATGGGCAGATACAAATGTTCCCATTTTACAGAAGAAGAAACTGAGCCTCAGTCCCTTCCTCAGTGAAGGGTGGTGCTGGAGCTTGGATGGAAGTCTCTGGGCTCTACACCATAGCTCAGGTCATGCCTCTTAGTGCCCTGCCCAACCATCTGCAGTCAGCTGGGCTTTCTAGAAGAGGAACGTCCCCTTTAATTTCTTCCTTTCACTCTCCTTGGCCCTCTTGACTTTGTTTTTAGATCTGCCAAGTGCCAAGTTCTCCTTTTGCTGGGACCTTGCCACAAAATCCCTATGGGAGGTCCCCGGTATTCTAACCACCTGAGACCCTTCTACTCCCCCTCTCCCATTTGCCTTCTGTTTTTTTTTTAAATTAAACTTTTTAAAGTTTTCTTTTTTTTTATTTTTAGACAGTCTTGCTCTGTAGCTCAGACTTGAGTGCATGGTGCCATCTTGGCTCACTGCAACCTCTGCCTCTCATGTTCAAGCAATTCTCATGCCTCAGTCTCCTGAGTAGCTGGGGGAACTATAGTCGCCCACCACCACACCCAGCTAATTGTTTTTTTTTTTTTTTTTTTGACGGATTCTCACTCTGTTGCCCAGGTTGGAGTGCAGTAGTATAATCTCAGCTCACTGCAACTTCCACCTCCCAGGTTCATGTGATTCTCATACCTCAGCTTCTCGAGTAGCTGCAACTACAGGCGTAAGCCACCATGCCCGGCCAATTTTTAGTAGCGATGGGGTTTTGTTATGTTGGCCAAGCTGGTCTCCAACTCCTGTCCTCAAGTGATTTGCCCACCTCAGCCTCCCAAAGTGCTGAGATTAAAAGCATAAGCCACCTTGCTTTGTCCCTATTTTTCTTTTTCCTAAGCAAATCAATACAGGATACCCTCTGATTTGAAAGTTTATTTTCTACCAAACTGCTTTGAATAAGTAATAGTTAAGGTTATTTATTTATTTATTATTTTATGAATCGAAGCCTTATGTAAGTGCCCGATTAGGGCCTTTGATTAGCATGAGATGGTTTGTTCACTCATTTATTTAACACATAACTCTTGAGCACTCACTCTAGCCTGTCACTGTTTAAGGGAATTAAAAAGGGTACAAGAATGGACCAAATAATCAAAATGCCTGCCCTCGAGGTACTTACAATCTAGAGCTAATTAGTGTAACCAAATAGGGTTGACACAATTAATTGACTGATGAATTTCTTTCTCAAATTTCTGCACATCCAGTGATGAAGGAGATAATCCTTATATTAGTTTGCTTGGGTTGCCCCTAACAAAATACCTCAGAATGGGGGCTTAAATCACAAAAATTTATTTTCTCACAATTCTGGAGGCTAAAAGTCTGAGATCAAGTGGTCCACAAGGTTGGTTTCTTCTGAGTCTTCTCAGCTTGTAGATGGCTATCTTTTTCCTATGTGTTCACGTGGTCGTCCCTCTGCGTGTGTCTGTGTCCTGATCTCTTCTAATGACACCAGTCATAATGGATTAGGGCCTGCCCCAGTGACCTCACTTAACCTCAATCACCTCTTTAAAGATCCTATCTTCAAATACAATCACATTCTGAGATACTAAAGGGTGGGACTTCAACATATGGATTGGGGTGGGGGGGTGGTGGTGTACAATCCAGCCCAGCCCACAACAGTTTTTTTTGTTGTTTGTTTGTTTTGAGACGGAGTGTTGCTCTGTCACCCATGCTGGAGTGCAGTGGCAGGATCTCGGCTCACTGCAACCTACGCCTCCCAGGTTCAAGCGATTCTCCTGCCTCAGCCTCCCAAGCAGCTGGGAGTAGCCAGGATTACAGGAATGCACCACCACACCCGGCTGTTATTTTGTATTTTTAGTAGAGATGGGGTTTTGCCATGTTGGCCAGGCTGGTCTCGAACTCCCGACCTCATGTGATCAGCCTGCCTCGGCCTCCCAAAGTGCTGGGATTACAGGTGTAAGCCACCGCGCTCAGTCGAGTGATTCTTGAGCAAAGACTGGAAGAGGTGAGAAAGTGAGCCACACAGAGCTCTGGAGGGAGCATGTTCCTGGAGAAAAATGCAACTGGAATAAGGTCCGTAATGTGGGGATGTGCCTGGAATATTTGAGGAGCAGCAGGAAGTGAGGCTGGAGTGAAGCAGGCAGGGGTGAGTCGTAGGCAGGAGTGGAGGCCATTGTCAGCCCTGGCCATTTTCATGGGCTGAAATGGGGCTGTTACGGGATTTATTTATTTATTTATTTTATTTTGATTGTTTGTTTGTTTGTTTATTTATTTATTTATTTATTTATTTATTGAGACAGGGTCTTGCTCTGTCGACCAGGCTGGAGTGCAGTGGCGCGATCTCAGCTCACTGCAACCTCCGCCTCCTGGGTTCAAGCAATTCTCCCACCTCAGCTTCCCAAGTAGCTGGGATTACAGACACACGCCACCCCACCCAGCTAATTTTTGTATTTTTTGGTAGAGACGGAGTTTCACCATGTTGGTCAGGCTGGTCTTGAACTCCTGACCTCAAGTGACCTGCCTACTTCAGCCTCCCAAGTTGCTGGGATTACAGGTATGAGCCACTGTGCCTGGCCTGTTGCAGAATTTTGAGAAAGAGAGGGGTGTGCTTTGACGTTTGGTTCACAGGCCCCCCGGCTGCTGTGGCAATGATCCACTACAGTAGGGCCTGTCAGTGTCCTGTGGCCGCCGTTACGAGTGGCTCAAAGCAAAAGAAATACGTTCTCTCACAGCTAAGGAGGCCAGGAATTGGAAATCAAGGTGTCACCAGGGCTGTTGCCACCCTGGGGGCTCAAAGGGAGAGTCTGTCTCATGCCTCTGTTCCAGCTGCTGGTGGGCGCCTGCGATCCTTTGTGTTCCCGGTCTTGTGGCGGCATCACTCTGATCCCTGTCTCTGTCGTCTCATGGTCTTCTTCCTGTGTGTGTTTATGTGTCCAAATTTCCCTCTTGTAAGGACACCAGTCGCTGGATCAGGGCCCATGCTAATCAACTATGACCTCATCTTAACTTGATTACATCCACAAATAGGTCACATTCACGGGTCTGAGTGGATGTGAATTCGAGGGGAAGAGGACGCTATTCAACCCAGTAGAGAGGGCAGGTGTAGAGGCAGGAGGTGTTTTAGGAGTCTGCTGCCCTACAATTTCTGTTAGGCTTCTAGACACATTAAAACCACCTCATGGAACCCTTTTCTCCTTTTAAAAACTATCTTTTGTTAAGGCCGGGCGCTGTGGCTCACGCCTGTAATCCCAGCACTTTGGGAGGCTGAGGTGGGCGGATCATGAGGTTAGGAGTTCGAGACCAGCCTGGCTTACATGGCAAAATCCTGTCTCTACTAAAAATACAAAAATTAGCTAGGTGTGGTGGTGGGTGCCTGTAATCCCCGCTACTTGGGAGGCTGAGGCAGAAGAATCTCTTGAACCTGGGAGGTGGAGGTTGCAGTGAGCCGAGATCATGCCACTGTACTCCAGCCTGGGTGACAGAGCAAGACTCTGTGTCAAAAAAATGAAAAACAAAGAAAACCAAAAACAACTATCTTTTGTTAAAATTCTTAAATTTTAAAAACTTTTATTTTAGCTTCAGGGGTACACGTACAGATTTGTTATATCGGTAAATTGCACGTCACCGGGGTTTTGTGTACAGATTATTTTGTCACCCAGGTAATAGGTATAGTACCCAATAGGTAGTTTGTAGTTTTTTGATTCTTTGCTTCCTCCCACCCTCCATCCTCAAGTAGGCCCTGGTGTCTCTTGTTCCATTCCCTTCTTTGTGTCTATGTGTACTCATTGTAAACCCATCTTTGAGGATCCCCAGGAGTGAGGGTTCCCAGGCTGCAAACTACAGACCTGCAGCTCATCAGGTGTGTGGCCCTCCCCTGCTGCTGGGTGGGTGGGATTGGGCTGAGAGGCAGGTGGTGAGCCTGGGATGCAGGGGACGCTTGCCATTGTTTCTAGGCACAAGCTCCTGAAGCTCAGTGTCCTCCTGCCCCTCATCTTCACCATATTGCTGCTGCTTTTGGTGGCCGCCTCACTCTTGGCTTGGAGGATGATGAAGTACCAGCAGAAAGGTGAGAGGACCTGGGTGAGGCTGGGCTGAGACTGGGCCGGGTGGCTGGGGATGTGGCATCTGGGAGCTATCTGGTCCAAGGGATTACCCACACAATCAGGAAATGGCACAGTCCCAAAGGCCCTCAGCAGCTGGCAGTGCCAGGGGACCGGGGGGCGCCCTGGAGCTTGCAGGGGAGCCCCAGGAGGTTTTGGCATTCGCCGCCTGCCCTGCACCTCCGTCCTTCCCCTTCTCTTCTCTCTGATCCACCTCCCTGTCTCTTTCCTGGATTGACTCTTGATGGCATAGGTGGCAATGGTCTTAGGTGGGTGGTCCAGTCTGGGGTGTCTAGACTAGACGCTAGAGTTGGGTCTATGTGGTTGTCAAGGAGGTACTGAGCTGACATGGAATGGGGAGGGAGAAACAGACACAAACACACCAGTGGATGCACACACACATGCGCGATCATGGGCACACACACTGCATGGATCCCACAGTGCATGTGCACTCATCACATTACACAAGCATGCACACACACACACAGCCCTCCAAGTCTGATCAGGAAATTGGAATGGCCTTTCCTTCTGTCCCTCCCTTGCCCACTGGACTTTCCCAGGCTGACCTACTTGCCCTTTGTGAACTAGCTCTTCAGGGAGGAGCCTCTTGGCGCAGGAGTCTACACTCACAGATCATGAGGCCTGGCCTCAACAAAACCCCAGTTGTGTGAGAATGTGGCTTCACTTCCACATTCTCACACAATTGTACCTCTTTCTCTTCTAGAACAGCTGGGTCCTAACTCTCACAGGGTTCCCTCCAACACTTCTCCCTCCCCACAGCCTGGGAAATCTTTCGCCTGGGAAGAGGGGAGCCTGACTCTCTGTTAGTTTGTTTTCTGTGATGCTTTTTCAAAATTAGAGCCTGACTTTTATTCATCGCTTTTTCTCCCAAATGTATTGCCCACGGCCTAAGGTCTAAGTGCTTTCTGTGTTCTCCAGCATCTAGACTTTTGAAACCAGGGGAAAACCCCCCATTTCTTTGTTGTCCCTAGGGCAGGGATGTGGGGCTGGTGGCTGGGGAGGGGAGAAAGAAGACAGGGACCAGCAACCACCTGAAAATCGGTCCCAGTGGAAAAACAATCCAATCCAATCTCTGGGTGTCGTGGCTCATGCCTATAATCTCCGCACTTAGGGAGGTTGAGGCGGGTGGATCACTTGAGGTCAGGAGTTCGAGACCAGCCTGGCCAACATGGTGAAACCCCTTCTCTACTAAAAATGCAAAAAAATTAGCTGGATATGGTGGCACACATCTGTAGTTCCAGCTACTCAGGAGGCTAAGGCAGGAGAATCGCTTGAACCCAGGAGGTGGAGGTTGCAGTGAGCCAAGATGGTGCCATTGCCCTCCGGCATGGGTGACAAGAGAGAAACTCCATCTCAAAACCAAACCAAACCAAACCAAACCAAACCAAACCAAACCAAACCAAACCAAACAAAATCGGTCCCTACTGTGCCGACCCAGCTTGCACATTCTACTCGGGGTTGGGGGACAGCTTGGTGCATTCCTGTCTCTGCAGACAACTTTTACTGATGGAGCACCACCTGCTCAGCACAGCCAAGCACCCAGGTTGTAAGGAAGGGACAGGCCCAGCCACCCTGCAGCTTACAGCCCACCTGAGGACTAACTAGAATTCAGTAGGACGAAGATGATGAGACAGACATAGAGCAAGTGCCCCCCGGGGGCCCGGGAGGGGGATTAGACAGCCTGGGTAGCTGCAGAAGGCAGGCATGACTTTGAATTGACCCCTGAAGGATGAATCAGGTAGAGAGACATGGTGGAATTCCAGGCCGAGTTGGGATTCTGCAGAAGCAAACTTACTCCCAGGGGAGCCGATGGCTGGCAGGGCCACCCGATCAGCTGAGTGCACAGTTCTATGATGTGGGGAGCAGGGGGCTGGGGTGTCCCTCTTTTCCTGGTGGAGAAGTGAAAGGTCAGAGAGGTGACATGACGAATGTCACAGACTGTGTCATCTGAGGAATCAGAATTAGAACCAGGTCCCTGTCTCTGAGCCTGGACCCAATTCACCTCTTTTCTTCCATATTTCTCTTCCCTAGACCTGGGGGTTCTTGTGAGTCTGGGGAATGGGCTTTCTAATTCTGAATTGTTGTTTGTCTTTTAGCAGCCGGGATGTCCCCAGAGCAGGTAAGATAGCCCCCAAGGTCGGACCAGAGAGACCAGGCAGCTTCTTTCCCCTTCCTCATTTTCCATCTCTCAGAAGGTCCAAAATATCAGAGAAGTCCTGTGCCAAAGTATCCTGTCCTCATGGCACCCTGCAGGGCCTGGGGGCTGAGGGCCTGGAAACAGCCAGGGGGACAAGGGCTGAGGGGTACAGGAGCCTGAGAAGTGGAGGACACGGAGGGAAATGGGAGAGGGGCACCTGGGGAAGTGGAGAGGCTCTCGTCCCGTCCCACCGTGGAAAAGGAACCTGTGTCCACAGACAGATCTTGTGACTCCCCAGCCTGTGTTCCCTGTCCCAGGTACTGCAGCCCCTGGAGGGCGACCTCTGCTATGCAGACCTGACCCTGCAGCTGGCCGGAACCTCCCCGCAAAAGGCTACCACGAAGCTTTCCTCTGCCCAGGTTGACCAGGTGGAAGTGGAATATGTCACCATGGTGCGTCCTCCATGGGGGCTGCTGTGAGGCTGGGGCAGGGGGACACAGGCCTGCCGTTGCACCCCGTTGGAGGGTGGGCTTTCTCCTGCTCATGTGGGCATAGAGGAGGCAGGTGTGGGGCAAAGCCATAGTCACTGCAGGACTCGCCTAGGAGCTCCCACAGGCAAGTCTCAGTCCTGGGGACACAGGGACTGGCAAACACAGTCCCCACGTGGGCAGCAGAGTCCCAGACAGGCTGAGTGACTTGGGATTCCACAGGAAATGTGCTGCACTGGTGCAGGGTTGGGGGAGAATCTGTTCTGTTGTGGTTGAAGCTCAGGGTGCTTGGCAGAGTGAAGGGGGAAGCTGGAGGGCTTGAGTGGGATTAGAAGCCCTGAATGGTCCATCCCCACTATCCTCCTCCGAGGGCTCCTCTGCCCCGTGACCGTCACTTCCTGCCGTCCTCTCTGACCTGGAGCCCGCCTTTGCTGCAGGCTTCCTTGCCGAAGGAGGACATTTCCTATGCATCTCTGACCTTGGGTGCTGAGGATCAGGAACCGACCTACTGCAACATGGGCCACCTCAGTAGCCACCTCCCCGGCAGGGGCCCTGAGGAGCCCACGGAATACAGCACCATCAGCAGGCCTTAGCCTGCACTCCAGGCTCCTTCTTGGACCCCAGGCTGTGAGCACACTCCTGCCTCATCGACCGTCTGCCCCCTGCTCCCCTCATCAGGACCAACCCGGGGACTGGTGCCTCTGCCTGATCAGCCAGCATTGCCCCTAGCTCTGGGTTGGGCTTGGGGCCAAGTCTCAGGGGGCTTCTAGGAGTTGGGGTTTTCTAAACGTCCCCTCCTCTCCTACATAGTTGAGGAGGGGGCTAGGGATATGCTCTGGGGCTTTCATGGGAATGATGAAGATGATAATGAGAAAAATGTTATCATTATTATCATGAAGTACCATTATCGTAATACAATGAACCTTTATTTATTGCCTACCACATGTTATGGGCTGAATAATGGCCCCCAAAGATATCTGTGTCCTAATCCTCAGAACCTGTGACTGTTACCTTCTGTGGCAGAAAGGGACAGTGCAGATGTATGTAAGTTAAGGACTTTGAGATAGAGAGGTTATTCTTGCTGATTCAGGTGGGCCCAAAATATCACCACAAGGGTCCTCATAAGAAAGAGGCCAGAAGGTCAAAGAGGTAGAGACAAAGTGATGATGGAAGTGGACGTGGGTGTGACGTGAGCAGGGGCCATGAATGCCGCAGCCTTCAGATGCCAGAAAGGGAAAGGAATGGATTCCCCTGCCTGGAGCCTCCAAAAGAAACCAGCCCTGCCCACGCCTTGACTTGAGCCCATTGAAACTGATCTTGAGCTCCTGGCCTCCAGAATTGCAGGAGAATAAATTTGTGTTGTTTTTAATGAGCCACGAAATTGGTGCTAATTTGTTACAGCAGCAACAGGAAACTCATACGGTATGTGGCAGTTGCCCTTCCTTAGATGCTTCCCATGTAGTAACTAATTTAATCCTCATGACAACCATGAGGCACTTCTATTACTGTCCCCTTTTTACAGACAGAGAACCCTAGGGATGGAGAGGTTCAGTGACTTGAACCAAGTTTAATGGCAAGTAAGCAGATGAGTTGGAATTTGAACACATTTGACTCCAGAGCCTGGAGTCTGCACTGTTTGTATAAGGAGGATAGTGTGTATGTGCATGTGTCTGCATGTGTGTGTGTGTGTATACACATACACTGCTGCTCACACAGGGATCATGCTCATTTACAGATGCTGGACTATCTTTTTTTTTTTTGAGAAAGAGTCTCACTCTGTTCCCCAGGCTGGAGTGCAGTGGTGAGATCTCGGCTCACTGCAACCTCTGATTCCCGGGTTCAAGCAATTCTCTTGCCTCAGTCTCCCAAGTAGCTGAAACTACAGGTGCCTGCCACCATGCCTGGCTAATTTTCATGTTTTTAGTAGAGATGGGATTTTACCTTGTTGGCCAGGCTGGTCTCGAACTCCTGGCCTCAAGTGATCTGCCTATCTCGACCTCCCAAAGTGCTGGGATTATAGGTGTGAGCCACCACACCCAGACAGAGTTATTATCTTTATTTTAGCAATCTGACAGCCTTCCTTCCAGAAAGTACCCTGAACCCCACCACGTCTCATCATCTCTGTGGTTACCAAGCCCACAATGATTGCTAGTCCAAGCAACCATTCCCTGCCTGGTCTTCCTCTTTCATTCTCTGCCATGGAGTCCATTCTCGTCCCAGCAACCAGAGTGATCTTTTCCAAGCACAGACCTGATTACTCCCTGCTTATAGCCTTCTGATGGTTTCTCTCCCAGCCTGCAAGTTCTCAGGGGATCCATGGGCTGCTGGCTGCCCCTTCACCCCCAACTCCATCCACCCTCCCTCTCAAAGGCTCTGCTCCATGCACACCAGCTTTTCTTCTGTCCTTCTAACAAGATAAGGCTTGCTCCCTTCTTAGGGCCTTGGCATTTGCTATTCCTCCTTTCCAGAATGCTCTTCCCGCAGACTGGTGAATAGTTAGCTCCTTTTTATCATCACATTTCAGCTTAAATGTTACCTCTTAGAAGAGGCCTTCCTTGGCCACTTAGGGGGCAGTGGCCCCTGCAGCCCACCTCCAATTTCTCTCTGTCTTGTTGCTCCGCTTTATTTCCTTTGGTGAAATGACTTATGTAGTGGGGTCTGTGTTTGTCATTTTCCCCATCTCCACTAGGCTGTGTGGTGCCTTAAGTGGGGACTTTGTCTCATTCACTCCCATATCCCCCGTGCCTAGTTACTGTCTGGCACATGATGGGTTCTCAAATGTTTATTGGTTGACTCAATGAATAAGCAGTGTATTTGGAGTAGAAGGCATCTCTCAGAGCACAGGCAGCGGTGTTCACTATTCTGGCAGGGCAGTCCTGGGCCAAACAACCTAAGGAATTTCAGGATTGACTGCCCAGAAGCATGACGTGGACAGACTCCTTTTTCCTCTCCTGAAAATTGAGGAGAGATGAGGGGCTACGATGTCCTCTGGCTGGAGGACAAAGGTCTATCACTTCATCTAGGTTGATTTTTGTTGGATGGGGGGATTGTAGGGAGGGGCTGGGGATAAAGTGTCAGGGAAAGGCATCATGGCTTGGGAAGAGATGACGAGCTATCCCTGAGCACCACAGGCCGGTGACCCAGCAGGTAGGAGGCTGTAGGCATGTTTAGCAGTCCATATCAATGTGTCCTGGGGTTTGCCTGACTTCTCACAGCTATGGACACCCCAAGGGCATCTGGCATTGGTGACCTTGGTGGAGAGATCCTGCTCCCATGACCTCAAAGATCATTCCCTAGAATTTCAAGGGCTTTTCCGCTCTGGGGGACTTCATGGAGCCCAAGCAAGCTTGACTATTCTTGAGCTAGTCATCTAAGCTGGTCAGGTCAGAGTGAGACTGTTTTTGACACAGACTGTTTTAAATTTACAGAGCAAGAAGCGCCCACAGAGAGATCTTAAAATGGAAAAGTTCAAAGCAGAGCCAAATTAGAATGAGTCAAGGTATAAGAATAAAAGTCATAACATGGCCGGGTGCGGTGGCTCATGCCTGTAATCCCAGCACTTTGGGAGGCCGAGGTGGGCGGATCACAAGGTCAGGAGATCGAGACCATCCTGGCTAACATGGTGAAACCCCGTCTCTACTAAAAATACAAAAAAATTAACTGGGTGTGGTGGCGGGTGCCTGTAGTCCTAGCTACTTGGGAGGCCGAGGTAGGAGAATGGCATGAACCCAGAAGGCGGAGCTTGCAGTGAGCTGAGATCGCGCCACTGCACTCCAGCCTGGGTGACAGAGCAAGACTCCGTCTCAAAAAAAAAAAAAAAAATGGCATAACATAAGGCCTTAGATCAGAGCGTAACTGTGCCATTTCAACTATTGTGCATAAAGTGGATTTATTTCAGAGTTTATTTCAAGCAGCCAGCACTACCCAGAATGTATAAGTATATGCTTATGTTGGATAGAAACGGATTCATCTTTTCTGGTAATATAAAATCATAGATCCCAGTGAAGATTATTGCCATGAAACTTCTGACATTAAGCTAGACGCACAGGGAAGACTAGAATTTAGCTCAATTTGGCTTGGCTGGAGGAATTGGGCTGCTTCTACCTTCATCTGGATGGTGGACATGGGCTGCTGAAGAGCAGTGAAACAGCATGGGAAGACCGATCCATTCTGATCCCTTTTGGTTGCCTTAGTCAAACTTTGAAAAAAGGTGTCTACAGGCCGGGCATGGTGGCTCACGTTTGTAATCCCAGTGCTTTGGAAGGCTTAGCCAGGAGGATCACTTGAGTCCAGGTGTTTGAGACAAGCCTGGGCAACGTGATAAACCCATCTAAGGTTACTGGGGTTTCCCTCCCTTGGTTTTTGAATTATTAATTCTTAACGATTCTGGGCTAGGCATGGTGGCTTACAACTCTAATCCCAGCACTTTGGGAGGCCAAGGCAGGTGATTGATTGAGCCCAGGAGTTCGAGAGCAGCCTGGGCAACACAGGGAGACCTACAATAATTAATTAATTAGCTGGGTGTGGTGGCGCACGCCTGCAGTCCCAGCTACTCCAGAGGCTGAGGTAGGAGGATTGCTTGAGGATTGCTATCTCTACAAAAAAATTAAAAAAATTAGCCAGGCGTCTGTGGTCCCAGCTACTTGGGAGGCTGAGGCAGGAGGATCAGTTGAGCCCTGGAGTTCTAGGCAGCAGTGAGCTGTGATCATGCCACTGCACTCCAGCTTCGGTGACAGAACGAGACCCTGTCTCAAAAAAACGAGGAAGTGTCTACAAGAGAGAACAGATTACTGGATATACTGTTTTTATCTAAAATTCTAGCCCTCTGAATTGGTGGCAGTCTGAAAGGGACCTTTTTATGTTCTCAGAAATAGGTTGACAGTCATGAGCCAGTCCAGTCAATTCCAGAGCTGGACAGAGCAGATCTCTGCCTTGTGGTCCTGATAGGAAGTGTCTGGGTTCTCTCTGTGCAGTGCTATGACTGTAGGAGTCAGCTGCTAATCCAGCCCGGTTTGCTCAAGCCTGAGCTAGAGTTTAGAGTGCTAGAGAAGTAGCTGGGGCGAGAGGAGGGAGGCAGATATACGCAAGAGGCAGGAAAGGAAATTGTTTCATAATGTCTATAGATTTGTATCTGGGTGTCATCTCAGCCGTATCCCCGCACCCCATCATGACTTTGCTAAGGCAGAATTTGGGTGGCTGGCCAGCACGTTTATTGCAAGAGGAACCATCTTAAATATGGTTCCTCAGGTCTGAGTGAGGGTAGCATTTACTATCTTGTTATATGATTTCCAGGAAAGCACATTGTGTTAAAACAAACTCCAAGATTTCTAAGCACTCAATCCTGATTGAGTGCCTAATTATTTATAGCCATCTAAAGTTGCTGGGGCTTCCCTTCTTGGTTTTTGAATTATTAATATTTAAAGATTCCAGGCCAGGCATCGTGGTTCATGCCTCTAATCTCAGCACTTTGGGAAGCCAAGGTGGGTGATCGATTGAGCCCAGGAGTTTGAGACCAGCCTGAGCAACATAGGGAGGCCTACAAAAAGGATATCTCCACCAAAAATAAAAAATCAGCTGGGTGTGGTTGTGCACGACTGTAGACCCAGCTACTCCAGAGGCTGAGGGGGTAGGATCGCTTGAACGTAGGAAGTTGAGGCTGCAGTGAGCCGAGATGGTACCACTGCACACCAGCCTCAGGGACAGAGTGAGGCCTCATGTCAAAAAAGATTCCACTTGATAAGCCTGTAAGCTTTGGACAGCCTCCTTTTGAGAACTATGTGCATATCATTGGCTTTCAGAAGATAGTACTGTTTGAGAGTAGTTGAGGGAGAAAAAAAAACTACTGAGTTGGCAACCTCCAAAATCCATGAGTAAGATAAATTTGCACTCAAGTGAGGTGAAAGGCTACCTTTGCTTGACATCTTGAAAAATAGAGCTCAAAGCTGCTTAGCCTTGGAAAGGGGAGACTGCTGGAATCGGTTGATTTCATGTACCAATAAATTTTTTAGATTGGCAAGGACAGATACAGTGATCAGCCTTTTATTCTACCAAGTAGGCACATTTTTTTTAGCTTTTCAGTTTTCTTTGCCAAAGTCAAATATGTCTGAACCAAGTAGGTAAATTCTTATTCAATTTCACAGGAATTGGTAATTGGTCAGTTCATTGAAAAAGTTTGTTAAACCCGGAACTCATAAAAGAGATATACTGTATTTTTTCTTTTCTTTCTTTCTTTTTTCTTTTTTTTTCCAGACAGAGTCTTGCTCTGTCACCCGGGCTGGAGTGCAGTGGCGCAATCTTGGCTCACCACAACCTCTGCCTCCCGACTTCAAGCGATTCTCTTGCCTCGGCCTCCCAAGTAGCTGGGATTACAGGCATGTGCCACCATGCCTGGCTAATTTTTGTATTTTTAGTAGAAACGGGGCTTCACCATGTTGGTCAGGCTGGTCTTGAACTTCTGACCTCAGGTGATCTGCCCACCTCGACCTCCCAAAGTGCTGGGATTACAGGTGTCAGCTACCACACTCGCCCACACCTGGTTAATTTTGTATTTTTAGTAGAGACAGGGTTTCACCATGTTGGCCAGGCTGGTCTTGAACTGACTTCAAGTAATCCATCTGCCTCAGCCTTCCAAAGTGCTGAGATTACGGGTTTGAGCCACTGCGCCAAGGCTATTTTTCCTCTACATGTTTTATTTTGACTTAAAATATCTAAATGTGTAGTTATTAGCAAGTATTTTGATGTAGACCTAAAGCCTTTGCTTTGCTTACAAGTCTGCTGAAAAGTGGGGCCCATTGCCTTTCCTGAAGCACAAACCACACACACATGATCCTGGGGTTTCAGTTCCAGTTTCTTTAACATGAAGCAAGAAATTCTAGAAACTTATGAAGCCACCTGATTGCAAAATCTTTCTTCATTTTTATGCATTTCTTTCCGATATTTTACAGTTCTCTCATTCATTCCTAATTTGATAGCATTTTAAAAAGTGACAGGCTTTTATAGTGTCTTTCCAAAGCAGTTTAGTTTTTGTAGAGATAACCGTTCTCTTTTTTTTTACACTCTTATTTTATTGGTCAATAGTCTTTCTGTTTAAATTCCTTTGTATTTTCTTTTTCTTTTCTTTTCTTTTTTTTTTTTTTGAGGTGCAGTCTTTCTCTGTCACCCAGGCTGGAGTGCCGTGGCGTGATCTCAGCTCACTGCAACCTCAGCCTCCCAGGTTCAAGCAATTCTCCTGCCTCAGCCTCCCAAGTAGCTGGGATTACAGGCACCTGCCACCATGCCTGGCTAATTTTTTTGTATTTTTTAGTAGAGACAGGGTTTCACCATGTTGGCCAGGCTGGTCTCGAACTCCTGACCTCAGGTAATCCCCCTGCCTTGGCCTCCCAAAGTGCTGGGATTACAGACGTGAGCCACCACGCCCGGCCAATTCCTTTGTTTACAGGTGAATTGATTCAAGTACATCATTCTAGTTAACACGTATGACCAGCATAAGCAAGTATGGGCCCAAATGCATTCTTGTTAACCAGGTACCACAACTGTGAGAGCAGAGAAGAGCCTGCCAGCTGTGAGCACTCTGTGCCTCAGGCTTAGTCAGTGTGCTCCAGTAAGAGACTGAAGGGTATTGGTTGACCTAATAAGTTGGTTAAGTGAGGGGTTGCTTAACAAAGTTTCTATTCAACAATCCATTGTCACCATAATTTCATAAAAGAAAGGAGCTTTGAGCACCCCAAGTCTCAGGATAATAGACAGTATTTCCTAAGAAAGGACAGTTGGTAACTTTATGCCAACATCTACTGATGTGTGTGTATCGTTTCCTACACATCAGTTGGTACTTGTCAGGGGCTGGTACTTAGGTATGGACTGAGAATTGGCAGCCATGGATCCGGTTCACACTGTTCTCCAGGCATGGACCCGCTCCATCACATCTCCGCTGGTGTAGTGAGGCTTCCCCTGAGGGCCTCTAGTGACCCTCTTTGTTTGGAGGCTGATGAAGGTTGTCACTAATGAGAGCTGTGGAGCTCTCCAGTAGTTGTGAAAGGGACCCTTGAAGCAATCAGATTCCCCCTGCCCCAGCACAAGCCCCTTCCCCAAAGTAGTCCACTGTGACCATATCCTCACATGGCTCTGTCCTGAGGGTCTGCAACTCTTGCATCAAGAAAGGGTGACTTGGCTGGGTGTGGTGGCTCACGCCTGTAATCCCAGCACTTTGGGAGGCCGAGGCAGGTGGATCACCTGAGGTCAGGAGTTTGAGACCAGCTTGGCCAACATGGTGAAACCCCATCTCTATTAAAAATACAAAAATTAGCTGGGTGTGGTGGCGGGCCCCTGTAATCCCAGCTACTTGGGAGGCCGAGAAAGGAGAATTGCTTGAACCTGGGAGATGGAGGTTGCAGTGAGCCAAGATCGTGCCATTGCACTCCAGCCTGGGAGATAGAGCAAGACTCCATCTCAAATAAATAAATAAATAAATAAATAAAAATAAAATAAATAAATAAAATAAACTGAATAAATAAAAAGAAAAGGTGACTGACTCATTTGTTTTTCTGAAGGTACCTCTGAGGAGGGGCTCAGAATTAAGGGAGGGGAAAGACTGTCCCCCAAGGTCAGAAATACAGGAGGGACATTCTGCACCCTTGTGTAGTAGAAATCTGCTATGAGCAGAGCAGAGCACTGGCACTTGTTGGCATTTACATGCAGAATGCTGCCCTCTATCAATGACGCAGAGGGTTTCCACGACAAAGAAGCAACAGGTCACAGGCCCTGATCTCAGCTATACTGCCCGGTGCCTTCCCTCAGTTCAGTGGAAAGAGTTGTGAAATTCAGACGGTGCACTTATTTCAAACTTCACACAGCCTCTGCAAAATTAATAATAAGCAAAGAAGGACTGCGACCCAGAGACCTTGCATCCTTGCACTGTAACATCCAGCTGTCTGGCAGGTGGCAAGGGAAAGAACCAGTGGAGATGTAGGTACAGTAAGTCAGCTTAAAATACTAGAAGAGGCTGGTTGTATGGCTCATGCCTGTAATCCCAGCACTTTGGGAGGGCTAGATGGGTGGATCATTTGAGGTCAGGAGTTAGAGACCAGCCTGGCTAACATGGCAAAACCTCGTATCTACTAAAAAAAATACAAAAACTAGCTAGGTGTAGTGGTGTACGCCTGTAATCCCAGCTACTCGGGAGGCTGAGGCAGGAGAATCACTCGAACCCAGGAGGTAGAGGTTGCAGTGAGCTGAGATGGTGCCACTGTACTCCAGCCTGGGCAACAGAGCGAGACTCCATCTCAAAAATAATAATAATAGGCCGGGCTTGGTGGCTCACGTCTGTAATCCCAGCACTTTTGGAGGCTGAGGCGTGTGGGTTGCCTGAGCTCAGGAGTTTGACACCAGCCTGGCCAACATGGTGAAACCCCGTCTGTACTAAAAATACAAAAAATTAGCCAGGCATGGTGGCGTGTGCCTGTAACCCCAGCTACCTGGGATGCTGAGGTAGGAGAATTGCTTGAACCTGGAAGCAGAGGTTACGGTAAGCCGAAATGGCACTACTGCACTCCAGCCTGGGTGACAGAGTGAGACTCTATCTCAAGAAAAAAAAAATATAACAAGATATGAGGGCAAATGGGAGAGAACGTGGAGATAGAGTGAAGGAGAGTCTGCCCAGGGGCAGTGCTGGTGCTTGCAAAGCTTGGCTTGCTTTCCTGGGCTTCTTACCCTGCACTTGGGTTGATGGAGGCAAATCCCCAGGGGATGCTGTTGTTTGCTCCTCCACTCCTGAGACCCAATTAACGGTGACTAACTGCATTTGGGCCTGCTTCATCTGAGCAGCTCTGCACGCAGGGTCTTGAATCCACTTTGTGAATGAATATCTCCCACTGGCATTGATTTTGCTTTGGTGTTTATCCTGGGCCAGGCTGAGATTGTCACCTGGGCTTCACTAGCATTTCTGGAGGTCAGTGATAAAGGGGTTTGGGGGAGCTTCCAGTCCAAGCCTTCCCTTTCCTAAGGACCTTGGGAATCTAGGGAGGGATAAGGAGAAGAGTTAGGGTCTGGAGTTGAAGCTTGGATTGGGGTTTCTCTTTTATTCCCTGCTGAGTGCCCTTGAACAACCACTGAATGTCTCTCAGATCTCTTTTCTCTTCTACGAAATGGAGTGTAACTAAAAGTGCCGCAGACCCATCAGGCTGTGATTTCAAAGTAACCAAACTAGGGCTTGGAGCAGTGGTTCACGCCTGTAATCTCAGAACTTTGGGAGGCCAAGGCAGGCAGATCACTTGAGGTCATGAGATCGAGACCAGCCTGGTCAACATGGTGAAACCCTGTCTCTACTAAAAACACACAAAAAATTAGCTGGGTGTGATGGTGCACACTTGTAATCCCAGCTACTTGGGAGGCTGAGGTGGGAGAATCGCTTGAACCCAGAAGGCAGAGGTTGCAGTGAGCCGAGATCGCGCCACTGCACTCTAGCCTGGGTGACAGAGCAAGACTCCATATCAAAACAAAAACAAAGTAACCCAATTAACCTTCTATCCCATGGCTATCTTGCAAAGTGGATCCCAGCTACCTATAGGAGCCTTCTTTTTTTTTTTTTTTAAGGCAAAATGTTAGCATTTAGTAAATATAGATGGTAGGTACATGTGTCATTTTCTTTTTGTTCTTCTAGTTTTTGTACCTTTCTATGAGTTTCAAAATTTCAGAATAAACCATGAATTTTCACTTATCTATACAATGGAATTCTATGTAGTGATTAAAAAGAATGAAGGTAAAAATGTGTATAACAAAATTCCTATGATGGATCTATCTATCTATCTATCTATCTATCTATCTATCTATCTATCTATCTCACACATATGTATAAATAAACACATGCATGTATTTTTACATGGCAATTTCATCTTCTTTTTTTCTAAGGCAGAACCTTGCTCTGTCACCCAGGCTCGAGTGCAGTGGCACAATCTTGGCTCACTGCAACCTCTGCCTCCCAGGTTCAAGTGATTCTCCTGCCTCAGCCTCCTGAGTAGTTGGGGTTACAGGGACCCGCCACCATGCGCGACTAACTTTTTTGTATTTTTAGTAGAGACAGGGTTTCGTCATGTTGGTCAGGCTGTTCTCAAACTCCTGACCTCAAGTGATCCAGCTACCTCGGCCTCCGAAAGTGCTGGGATTATAGGCGTAAGCCACCGTGCGCAGTCCATTTTTATTTTTAAGATATGTATTTTGAAACACTGGCATCACAGGAAATTTTTTCTTTGTTTTTCATTTTTCAAATTTTGCAATTAAATATATTAATAATAATGGCTCTCTTGGCTGGGTGTGGTGGCTCACGCCTATAATCCCAGCACTTTGGGAGACTGAGGCAGGTGGATCACTTGAGGTCTGGAGTTCATGACCAGCCTGGCCAATACCATCTTTACTAAAAAAAAAAAAAAAAATTAACAGGGCTTCATGGCACACATCTGTAATCCTAGCTGCTCAGGAGGCTGAAGTAGGAGGATCACTTGAACCTGGGAGGCAGAGGTTGCAGTGAGGAGGCAGAGGAGGCAGAGTGCATGCCACTGCAGTCCAGGGTGACAGAGAGAGACTCGTCTCAATAAATAAATAAATAAATAAAATAATGACTCTCATTATTCACTAATAGCCACCAATATGAACTTATTGTTTTTTCAGCACAATGCTCAGATCACAAACATGATCCCTGTCTACTTCTTCCCCTGCCTCTGTCACAGCCACTTACCCCTGAGGACTTGCCCACCCACCCACCTTCGGACTGTCTGATCTGCCTTCCAGGCCACACTTCCTGCTGCCCGTGACCCTCGCAGATGCTGTCCTGGGGACGCAACCACCCCTCGACAGTGAATGCCACTGTGGTGCTGCCCACTCCTTTGCCATCTGGCCCAAAGCATAAGATGACTCTTCCCTGGTTACTCGAGGCACATCCAAAACCAGGCGTGGTGTGAGGCCATCAGAAGGCAGAGGTGCCCCAGGGAATAGCTCAAAACTACCCCACAGAGCCAGGCTCAGACCTTGCAGGGGTTTTTATCTGGCAGCAAGAATGGCTATATAAAATAAAAATACAGGGGTCCTTGTACAAACATTATTAAGACTTTAAAGATGGCGAATGCAAAGTGTTAAACCAAATGCAGGGCCCTTCTAAGTGCAGGGCGTTATGTGACTTTGTAGGTGGCATACTCATAAAGTTGGCCTTGTTTGGTGCTTTTCTGCCTCACTTCTCATCTGTGTTCATGTAGCCCTGGGCTGACACGCCCTACACAGCAATGGAAAAATTCAGGCGTCTCCATAGCAGCTAACCATGGTCCTTAAGAGAGGCGGAAGAGCTTCCCCTCATTCCTGTCTGAGCTCCGTCAGCTTCCTGAATCCTCATTCCCTGCTCCAATCAACCTCTTCCCTGGATGGTCCACAGTTGGATCATCTATTTCCTTCAGAGAAAATTCTACTCCCACCCATAGAGGGAGGTCTGGCTCTGCAGCCCCAATAAGCCTATCGCTTCATAGGGTGACAGCAGTTTGTTTCCCAAGTCCAGTCATTAATAACCCAAATCCAGTTATTTAGTCTTAAATGACACTATGTGTGAGGCACCAAGAGGCCAGTTCAGGTGGGACTGTGACAAGTTCTCTTCATTTCTTTTCAGGCACTTCTCATTAAAGATTTGAAAATGCTGGGACTCAGCCTTGCCCTGGATTACCATGGGACATCTGTTGTTTTTGCATGGCTAGCCTCCAGATGACACCATCCCATTTTCCCTGGAAACCATTGTCTTCCACTCTTTTTTTTTGAGACGGAGTTTCGCTCTTATTGCCCAGGCTGGAGTGCAATGGTGCAATCTCGGCTCACCGCAACCTCCGCCTCCCGGGTTCAAGTGATTCTCCTGCCTCAGCTTCCTGAGTAGCTGGGATTGCAGGCATGCACCACCACAACCGGCTAATTTTGTATTTTTAGCAGAGAAGGGGTTTCCCCATGTTGGTCAGGCTGTTCTTGAACTCCCGACCTCGGGTGATCCACCCGCCTTGACCTCCCAAAGTGCTGGGATTACAAGCATGATCCACCACGCCCGGCCCATTTTCTTCCACTCTTGATCTACAGGGCTTGGGTGGGATTGACTCCACCTTCGGGGTGGACATGTGACCCGAGCTTAAGCCGTCCATCATGTTCTACCCTCTGGCTATAGTATTGGTTCAGGGGTGGGCATGTGGCAATTTCAGTCTCCAGTGAGTATTGGGTCTAGGACTTTGTTTGGAATTGGGAGCTGTGAGGATGTGATCCTGGGGCTGCTGTCAATAATGGGGCCCCACGGGGAGAAGCCTGCCTGTGAATGGAGCCAAGCCAGAGAGAAAAATGAGAGAGAGAGAGAGACAGAGAGTGAGGCCGAAGTCACTGAGAGTCCCTGGGACCAGCTGAGCTCGATGTCAGCTGCACTCCCTAGGCTTCTCTGGTACAGGAACCAATGAGTTCTCTTTTCGGCTTAAGCCAATTTGAGTTGGGTTTTGTCACTGGAAATCGAGAGTCCTGATCACAAGATTTCCCCTTTTGCAGTCAAGAATAATGCCTGTTCTCTTTACACACAGTGCTGGGGAATTCAACCGAAATGATTTATATGCAAGTTTTCTGCAAGTTGGAAAGTGCTGTTGGAATGGAATGACCTAGAATGTACAGCTGGCTAACAGCAGAGACAGGGATAAAGCTTGGTTCTTTGGTACTCAAAGCCCAGTTCTCTTTCTCTGCTAATGAGCTGCCTCCTACTCTAAGAAAATCAGTGAGCAGGGCAGAAGGTGGTCAGGACAGGTGGTGGACAGGGCAGGTAGTGAACAGGATGAGGGTGAAGAGGGAAGGCAGTAGACAAGACAGGTGGTGGACAGAACAAGTGATGGATGGGGCAGGTGGTGGATGGAACCAGTGGTGAACAGGACAGGTGGTAGACAGCACAGGTGGTGGTCAGGACAGGTGATGGTCAGGGCCTATGCTATGCTGGTTCTCATGTGCCTGCTGTCTGGAGGAGACCTGGTTTCAGGGAAAGGAGAGTGAGGGTCCTGGAGGACATGCCTGCAGAGCTCACGTGGCGTGCCCCTCTGTTTTCCCAAGCCTCTCTTTGTGTGCCACACTGTCATCCCAAGGGCTGGGATCCTGGTGTTTTGGGTTTGGTTGAGTGTTTTTCAGCCCATGTCTTTGGAGATGGTCATGGAAGGGATCCAGCTTAGTTTCTATGTGTTGGACTCTGCCACAATTGGACAGGGGTCTTTGCACTGGGCACTTCTCAGAAGTGCAACAGGAGTCTCTTCCTTTCTTGGACATGGGCTTGAAGGGATCCCTGTGTTGAGGGGCTCAGAGCCCTCTGACCTTCAGAGGTGGGGCCCCATCCTGGGACTTTGGGCTTTATAACCCCTCAGATCCGTCAATCAGCCAGGAGCCAGAAGTTGGCAGCCTCGAGAGCTGCAAGCTTTTGACCTGGTCCCCAAGGGCTCAGCTTCCCACTATATGGGACTAGAGGTCTTTGACCTTCATGGGCACCAAGGTCCACGTGGCACACTGAGCTGCAGTCAGATGTGGCCTGAGCCATCTCTGCCTGTGCCATCCCTCTGATCCACCCAGCCTGCTGGACGCAGCTCCTTGGGGAATGAAGAGTGGGTTTTGTTCCTGGGGACTGGCATGTGGTGCGCAGTAAATATTTGCTGAATTGATTCTCAGGATTCTCAGGCAGAAATATCAGATTTCAAGGGGAGCATGTGAACAGGGGTGGTGGTGGGGTATAAGGAAATGTCCCCAATCACCTTTCTACTCTTCCATGGTTCTTGCCCCTGAAATCCAAGTCCCTAAGGCTCTGACACAGGCCTTGAGTGAGATGGAGGAAGAAGTATGAAATGACAACTCTGGCGATGATGAACGGAACATCCCTTCCCTTTCCCTCCCCATAACCAGGTCAAGTCCAGGGAATTCTCAAGCTCAAAGGCAAGGAGTTCTTAAAGGATTGCAGGAAATACAGACCTGGAGAGAATAGAATGACTGTCCGGCCCAAGGCAGTTAAATATATACAGCTGAGGGAGGCAGAGGTGGGGCAAGGGGTAGGGGAGAGGACCTAAGGGTAGAAGGGGCCAGTGGGGTCGTAGATTGAGGCTGTGCCTATAGTGTAGCCAGCTACCAACTCATGTCAGCCTGATAGCATTAAACATTTGAATCCTCCAAGTTCCATTTTTTCCCCTGGATTTCATGCTTAGCGAACAAAAAAATCTCCTGATTATAATGTGGCTTGGCATCTAGGGCAATACATGTCTTGTGAGTCTGATTAACATCAGCCTGACTGGAGAGATGGAGCCACTCTTGAGTGAGTGAGCAAAACCAGCTCTACAGAGCTGAAGGCCACACAATGGACTGCTGTCAATGCCCTAAAGTAGTGACCATCTGTGACCCTCTTGGTGAAGCCCCTTGTCCTCTCCTGACTCTATCCCTCTGCCTGTCTACCTTGCTTGGATTTGACTATAGGCAAATTTCTTAATGTCTCCATGCCTCAGTTTACTCATCTGTAAAATGAGATTAAAATAGGTTTGTTGTAGGATTAAGTGAGTTAAGAGATGCTAAGTGCTTAGAATATTACATGGCATGCAAGTGCTATCTAAGGGTCTGCTGTAATGATTCAGGCTTCCACAATGCTGGCTATGACCTTGAGCAAGTCAGTTTTTTCTTTCTTTCTTTCTTTTTTTTTTTTTTTTTGAGACAGAGCCTTGCTGTGTCACCCAGGCTGGAGTGCAGTGTCGCAATCTCAGCTCACTGCAACCTCCGCCTCCTGGGTTCAAGCAATTCTCCTGCCTCAGCCTCCTGAGTAGCTGGGATTACAGGTGCCCGCCACCACACCCAGCTAATTTTTGTGTTTTTAGTAGAGACAGGGTTTCACCATGTTGGCCAGGCTGGTCTCAAACTACTGACCTCATGATCTGCCCATCTCAGCCTCTCAAAGTGCTGGGATTACAGGCATGAAGCACCATGCCCAGCCATCTGGCCTTTGTTTCCCTGTCCTATTAATATGGACATTAATTAGTTTAATAGTAACATCTTCTGGAAAAAGCATATGTTAAGTATAAAATGTCTTGGCATATATTAAAGTGTTTCGCAAACTGTAAAGTGCTGCAGAAATAAACCATATGCTTATTTGGATAATGTATTGGGAACAATTATTAGTCTTACTGGGTCCCTTTGGATTATAGTGCAGAGATGATTTTTAATATTTCTTACCTGATAACCAAATGAAACCTGAGGTGGGACCCAGAGAAGGAGGAAGGATCTGGGTAAAGGCATGGGGGAGGCGAGGAGGGAGACTCCAGGGGCTGAAAGGGGGTGTCTGCCTCATCTGGACTGTGTACCAGACTTTATTCCCTTCCAAAGCTTACACTGCTTCTCACTGTGAGCTTGGGGAAGGTGTTACCAGTTCCTGACTCTCCCCTAGGGGTACTGCTCTAATAAATGACAGTTCCGATTTTTAATAAACAGAGTTGCTGGGAGAGGGTATGAATGCAAAATTCAAACAGGCGAGGGAGGAAGAAGAGGAGGAGAAATGTTTACTTTGCCTTTTTTTTTTTTTTTGAGACAGAGTCTTGCTTTGTTGCCCAGGCTGGAGTGCAGTGGTGCGATCTCGGCTCACTGCAACCTCAGCCTTCCGGGTTCAAGTGATTCTCCTGCCTCAGCCTCCCAAGTAGCTGGGGTTACAGGCGCCTGCCACCACGCCCAGCTAATTTTTGTATTTTTACTAGAGACAGAGTTTCCTCATGCTGGCCAGGCTGATCTTGAACTCCTGACCTCAGGTGATCTGCCTGCCTTGGACTCCCAAAGTGCTGGGATTACAGGACTAAGCCACTGCACCCAGCCTGCTTTGCTTTTAAAAGGCTCATAACAAAAGCTAAGGGGAGACAGAGAACAAAAACGGATGATCACTGGCCCTGCCCACAGCTCATGAGAGGAAGGGTGCGTATGTGTGCATGTGCAGGCATGTGTGTGTGTGTGTGTGTGTGTGTCTGTGTGTCTGTGTGTGTGGTGGCCAGGGGCAGAAGGCTAGCAAGTAAGAGAAAATTTGAACTTAAGCACAGCTTGGTTTCAGATACCTAAAAGCATGTGCATTTGCAAAAGCACAAATGATTAAATAGCATCCTCATGTTGATGGGTAGAAACTGTCTGCTAATAAGCAAATGAGAAGGTGCTAATAAGCAAATGAAAAGGCGCTGATAAGCAAATGAGAAGGGAGGGAGCTGACTTAGAAATCAAGGTCAGGAACCATGTGCTGGGAGAATTCTTGAGCCCTGCACGTCTCAAGTTATTTTCACTGCACCACTCAAGGCCTTGCTCCCTTTAGGAGCAGGGTGAGGCCTGGTGTCATCAGTTAGGGGTTAATATTTTCCAGATCTGTTTGCTTGGAGCTGTCTCTCTTGGCCCCAGAAAACCTCCTCTGGTTAAGAGATAGGAGGATGTCCAGGGCCACTCCCAGCTGGGAACTACATTGCCTGAGTGAGTTAACAAGGAGCTGTGATCTCCATTCGCACTCGCAGTCTCTACAGACTGTTTCTCTTGCCTGAGAAGAGGAGGAAGGAAGCAAGAAGGGTATTGGGATAAATTTAGAGCCACTTCAAATGCCCACTTCAACAATTCTCCAGCCTGGTGCTCACCTCTGGCTGTTTACTTCCACCCAGTAAGGCGGAGTTTCCTGCCCTGAAACTGAAGGACGTCCCTCCCTAGAACAGCTTATAAGAGGAAACATTAGGGCAGCAACACAAGTGAGTCTCAGACATTTTCTCACAAAAGGCCCCAGGGACCACAAATTAAAGGAAAGGATGCTTAGGAGAGGAAAGCCTGGAGAGTTTGGAAAACGACTTTGAGGCGCTGGACTGAGTCACCATCATTTCCTGCTGAGGTTATCCTAAGAGAACTAGCAGGCACCACCACTCCCCACACCAGCTGCCTGCTCTGGGATCTGGGCAGGACCGACCTATCAGCCAAAGGAGTCCCAGACGGCACCAGATTGCCAGTGATGTAATATACACTTCATTTGTTTATCTGTAAGCCTTCAGAGCAAGCAAGAGAGGAAAACAAGCCAGTGGAAATATTATACAGGGAGCAGCTAGCTTTTCTTGGCTTTCTTGTTTGTTCCTGAGCTGACAATAGAAATCTTTGAGAATTGGAACTAGTGCGCTTTGAAAACAAAACTCTCTTCACTTACAGGGCATGGATTTTTCTGCTAATTTGGATTCTTTTGAGGACAAATTTGCATACCATTATCATTATCATTGTTTCATCGAAAAAAAAATAAAAGAAGCACCTGTGGGATAGAGAATGAGAGAGGAACACAGAATGGCGAGTATGGTCTTTTGCTGTTTTATTTGTCTTTCTCTTGTACAATTTTCTGGCAGGGAAGGAGAACACTGTTGTATCCAGACCTTTCCCTAGGATTAATAGGTGACAGTCCCATGGGGAGGGAGCTAGCTGATGTGTGGAACTCTGTCTCTCATGGATGTTAACTTTATTTTTTATTTTTTAATTTTAATTTTTTTTGTGGGGGGACAGAGTCTCACTCTGTCACCCAGGCTGGAGTGCAATGGTGTGATCTCAGCTCACTGCAACTTCTGCTTCCTGGGTTCAAGCGATTCTCCTGCCTCTGCCTCCTGAGTAGCTGGGATTTCAGGCGTGCACCACCACGGCTGACTAATTTTTGTATTTTTAGTAGAGACGAGTTTCACCATGTTGGCCAAGCTGGTCTCGAATTCCTGACCTCATGATCCACCTGCCTCAGCCTCCCAAAGTGCTGGGATTACAGGTGTGAGCCACCGTGCCAAGCCTGGAGGTTAACTTTAATCAGAAGCCATAAGTGAGAGAGGACATTTCAAATTCAGTCAGACATGACCTTTTCTTCCTGGGTCACTCCCTTGCAGCTACCCGTATCTTTCTTAGGACACTTCTGGAATTATATAAAAGTATAGCCATTTGTGTGCATGCCTTCTAGGCCACAGGCTTAGTGAAGGTGGGAATCATTTGCGTCTATATTCTCGACAATGACCAGCCTAGTTCTTTACGCTTTGGAAATGTCCAATGCATGTTTGCTGAATGAATCGATGAGGCATGCGGACTTTTGAGGGACACAGAAATTACAAGATGGGTAATAGAAGAAGGAAGTGAAGAATAAGTGCAGGAGATGGGGGAGAGTGGCAGATATTACCTGCTTGCCTTTTCCTTTCACCCAGAAGAGGTGTTAGAGCAGTCGGAGGAAATGGACATACTTTGGAAGACAGAGACCTGGTAATCCCTTTTCACCCAAGAAGAACCAAGCCCTGGATGAATGGATGAGCAGCTCACGTTTTTCTGCCCCCCACCCCCAGTCTTTCTGAGACTGACTTTGTCCTAGGAATTGTTCGTCCCTCTGGAAGCTAGTCTGGTATGTGGATGTTCCTTAGAGCCCTGGTGATAGGGAATTAGGAAGTAAGTGCTTGAACTGAAGCCCTTTTGTCCTAATTCACTGGTATCTGGGGCAAAAGCTTGCCCTCTCTGTGAAAATGAAATGAAAATCTTTTCATTTTCTGGGAGCTCAAGGTCAGACCCTGGCACAGTAGGGACCCAATCCGTGGGCTGTTCCTGAACCCCTACCCCAGACCATTGCCCTGGATGGCTCTTGAAGCTGGTGGCAAGAGAGAACTGAGAGTTCTCTAAGGAAAAGAGCAGCCAGGTTGCTCCTTTGTTTTAAATTATTTAGCTGCACCAAATTTTCAGATTTGTGGCAACAACAACTCTATTTAAAAACTCCAGGCACATGATGGATGAGCTCAATGTTTTCAGTCAGTTCCCAGCTTCCAGCCCACCCTACGGGAATCTTCTAAGAGTTACTTGGGCTTGCCTGGGTCAGCCTCCAACTATTGGGACCAGCTAAAGTGCAAGAGCTACACAATGCCTATCATGATATTTGGCGTATGTTTTTCATATAAATGAATTTCATCAAGTCCCATACACCACCTCCAAGAGAAAAAAGATACTCAACTTAGGAAGTCAGAACTGGGATGTTTGCATAGAAGTCACGCTTTTTGTATAGATGGGTTGTGTGAGTTTATTTCCATGGACTTCTGCCTGTGAAATAGGTAGTGTGTGTGTTTCTGAGATTCTCTTGTATGAAGCTGCTGCTCTTCTCACAAAGCTCATCATTTTAGGTGAGACTGAATGTGACACCCATTGAAGCTGCTTTGGAGCCCAAGATGCATGCCCTAATACAACCACTTTTTTTTTTTTTTCGGATGGAGTCTCACTCTGTCACCAGGCTGAAGTGCAGTGGTGTGATCTTGGTTCACTGCAACCTCTGCCTCCCAGGTTAAAGCGATTCTCCTGCCTCAGCCTCCTGAGTAGCTGGGACTGCAGGTGCATGCCACCACCCCCGGCTAATTTTTGTATTTTTAGTAGAAATGGGGTTTCACCATGTTGGCCAGGATGGTCTCGATCTCCTGACCTCATGATTCATCCTCCTTGGCCTCCCAAAGTGCTGGGAGCCACTGCGCCCAGCCAATACAACCACTTTTATTGAATGCTTCCTATATTCCAGAGATTTTATATATACGCGTTACATTATATTCGCTAACATCCTTGCTCAAAAATAATAAGGCAGGTATTATCATTCCTATTTTATAGCTAAGAAAATTAAGACTCACAGATGTTGCTCAAAGTCACATCAAGGTTTGGCTTATTCCAAGCCTGGAGTTTCGTTTCATCATACGACAATATCTCTTCTCTGGCAAGTTTCTAGGACTACCCTACATAACATCTGCTGTGCTGTCAAAACACAAGATGATGCTTCTTCCTCTATAATGACAATCTCTGGGGGAGGGTGTTTGGCAAGTGGAATGTGGGAGGGGGCCTCTTGGGAAGCTGACAAGGTTCTATTTCTTTCTCTTGATAGTGATTGCACAGGTATGTTCACTTTGTGATAATTCACCAAGGTAGACACATAAGATTCAGGATTTTTTGGTGTTTGTCATATTTCTTTTTGTTTTTTTGAGATGGAGTCTTGCTCTGTTGCTGAAGCTGGAGTGCAGTGGTGTGATCTTGGCTCACTGCAGTCTCCACCTCCTCGGTTCAAGTGATTCTCCTGTCTCAGCCTCCCTAGTAGCTGAGATTATAGGAGTGTGTTACCACGCCTAGCTGATTTTTGTATTTTTAGTAGAGACAAAGTTTCGCCATGTTGGCCAGGCTGGTCTTGAACTCCTGACCTCAAGAGATCTGCCCGCCTCAGCTTCCCAAAGTGGTGTTTGTTATGTGTCAATAACAAGTCTATTTAAAAAATCATTTCCCCACGCTGGGCATGGTGGCTCATACATATAATGCCAGCACTTTGGGAGGCCGAGCGGGTGGATCTCTTGAGGCCAGGAGTTCAAGACCAGCCTGGCCAACATGGTGAAACTCTGTCTCTACAAAACAACAACTGCCAAAAAATTAGCCAGGCATGGTGGCACATGCCTGCAGTTCCAGTTACTGGGGAGGCTGAGGTGGGAGAATCACTTGCCTGGGAGGCAGAGGTTGCAGTGAGCTGAGATCACACCACTGCATTCCAGCCTGGGTGACAGACTGAGACCCCACTTCAAAAAAAGAATTTATCCTAGCAATTAATGTTGGAGGGGAGCCCTGCTTCTCATGGACAATAGACACTAATCAATCAATGGGAACTCCTTGGACTCTACTACATAGTAATTTTTAATATAATACAAATAAGTTGATGCCCTACCCCTTTACAAAAAGAGTTTTAAGTGGATCACAATAAAACATCATGCACAATCATAAAGTAGTATTAGGAGGAGGTTGTCAGCACTATATAAGAAGGAAAACTTTCCTTACATACATATGTCACTCTGCTGGGCACCACAGAAGGTTTAAGGCTGGCTCCTGCTCTCAGGGTGCTCACACAGCCAAGCTGATGACATTGAGCCTTTACTAGTAGTAAATAGATACTTGCCTTTAAATATGTTGGAACTTGTTGGAATGGGTTCCCACTCTCAATTTGGTGATCAATAAACTCAAAGGAAGTAACAGTCTTCATGGACTACATCCTACATCTCGTGTGTGGGTAATTGAAATGGAAAATACCACATCTGATCAATATTTTGAACAATCTGAGCTCCCAATCTTAAAGCTTTCAAAATGAGTATTTATACCTTTATAGGATGGTATAAACTTGGAGAGACCCACATATCTAGTTGCCAGGAAAATTTTGTAATTGATTTGTAATTATGTTCCTCTGCTTGCATAAACTTTTTTTTTCTTTTTTTTTTTGAGACAAGGTCTTGCTTTGTTGCCCAGGCTAGAGTGGAGTGCAGTGGTGTGATTTCGGTTCACTGCAGTCTCTGCCTCCCAGGCTCAAGCAATTCTCCTGCCTCAGCCTCCTGAGTAGCTGGGATCACAGGCGCACACCACCATGCCCAGCGAATTTTTGTATTTTTAGTAGAGACAGATTTTACCATGTTGGCCAGGCTGGTCTTGAACCCTTGACCTCAAGCGGTCCACCGCCTCGGCCTCCCAAAGTGCTGAGATTACAGGTGTGAGCCACCATGCCTGGCCTTGCATGCAGTTTTTACTGGGCTAAATTGACAACATCAAATAGCACAGAATTTCTTCTAGTTTACTTCAAACTGTGATGGCTTTAAAATTTCTAGACTGGGATAGTTGTTATACATTTTTTCTCCTTCTCTATATCCTAGGAATTCAGAGACCTGGAGGGAGAAGACACATGGACTGTCAGATCTAGAGACCTGCTTCCTTCAATAGCTGATTTTCTTTCATTTGTGTCAGAAACAGGCAGCATGGCACAGAGCCATGCACCTAAAACTTTATTGTGCATATTTATTCCTAGAGATCTTGTTAAAATGCAGATTCAGATTCAGCCAATCTAGGGTCAGGGCTTTCTATTGTAATAAGTTCCAAGGTAATGCCAATGCTGCTGGTCCATGGACTGCACACTTTGATGAGAAGTTTAGTAAGGATATAGAGGAAAGAATACTACACGTGTAGTAGTAATTTCTGGCTTTTAGTATCAGCTCTGCCATTTACCAGCTTGCTTTCTTGGACAAGTCATTTTTCCTCTCTGGATTTTAGTTTCCTCAAATATAAGCTGGGTGATAGAGGAGGAGGTTGGGTTAGGTTATTTCAAAGCTTGCATTCATAGACTCTTCAAAGTGATGTTTTGATTAAAAAACTCCACCTATAGGATCACGTACAGCTTTTCAAAGGACTAGCAGGTGAACTGGCATTATCAAAGCAGAAAATATAGGGGCTGGAGCAGGAAGGCATGGCAAAGTCAGAGAAAAGGAAGGTGAGCCATAATAACTTCTTATGGCAAATATAACACTTTGATTATTTCAGAGTGATGGATTTTGAATTAAAACTGTTATCCTGAGAGAGGCTACTATTTTTCCCAACAACTATCTTAGGGGGAGACCTGCATTACTGAAAACTGAGTTGCATAAGAAACTTGAGTGAAGGAAGCAATGGATATGTTAGTGCTTTGAAATAAGCAAATGCTTACAGGGGCTGTGAGGGAATCATGGCTGGAGGGAAGCTTTCTGGAGCCATGAGGGAGTCTGATTTGAAAACAGCAGTTCATCTCTGCTGCAGACCATTTATCTAATTTCAGACAAATTGGCCAGAAATTCAGGTATTTGGCCACTGCTAGCAGATGTAACAGGGAGAAATGCAGTCTCCTACAAGGGTTAGGAGAGCAAGGTGCCAGGGGTCACCCAGGGGCATAAATAGGCAAGGAGAAGGAGGGGGTGAAAAAGGAACACAGATGATGTAAGTGAATGAATGAAGCTTCTGACCATCTGAGCCTCTGGCGGCAGCCCTTCCCCAAGAGCTCACGCATCTCTGTTTTGAGCAGGAAACAGGATCAGACAGAAAGGGCTCCCCAGACTCACAGATACAAGCTAGTTTCTCATTAAGTCCCAAAGCAAAGTCAGGGGAGTGGAGAAAACTCCTGGTGCTGGCGCCTCTTCCAACGTTAGGTTGAGGAATACAGGAGATGTTTACCTTATGCAGGACGTGGTCGTTGAAGTCAGGGCCAGCTCCTCCCTGGTAGGAATCGGGTCTCTGCAGGTCCATGCCAGGCTTGGAGCTCGCCGCTCCGGCTCTCCCTGCGCTCTGCGTCAGCGCTTCCAGGAGCTCGGTTCGAGCTCCGCTGGGTGCGGCAGGCTTGGGTCTGAGCTCTGCGGGCCGGGCCGCATCCGTTTTCAGCACTGGACAGTTCCCCGCAGCGGCCGCGGCGCGGTACCAGGCGGGCAGGCGGCCACGTTCTTCCAGGACTGAGCGTTTCAGCACCAGGAACAGCGACTCCGCCGTTGTGCGCCCGGGACCAGAGTTCTGAGATCCTGTCCGCTCCAATCCCTGCCTCTTAGGACTCCAGGATGCTGGCAGGGACGCAAGATTTGGGTCCGGCTGGTGATCCCTGCGTATTTCATTCAGCTACCGGACTCCGGAGGCTCAGCACCCGGCTGCGTTCTCAGGGCATTGCGGTCCCAGGAGCTCACCGTTCCTGATCCCGAGCGAACGGGCATCTCCGTCACCACGCAGCTCAGCGCAGCGCAGCTCTCCTCACACGTTTGCAGAGGCGAAGTCCTGCGGCGCTGGCGGCGCTTCTGTTTTTGTCCCTGGACAATTCTCTCCAGGATGTATGAGATAAATAGAGCTTCTAAGTCTGAGGTCGACAGTAGATGGGTCTTAGGTGTCCCCAAAGTCCCTGAAATATGCAAAATTCTGTTTACCTGCGTTTTCCTAGGGAGAAGGTCCAGGGCTTTGATCACATTCTCTCCAGCACACATGACCGCAAGAAGTTAAGGACAATGGGCTCAGGAGAGGCAGATGGTGGTTTGGTTAGGAGCACAGGCTCCAGGATTCAAATCTCGATTCTGAAAATTATTAGTCGTGCAAACTCGGGCAAATTAATCTTTCCTAAGTGTCCACAAAATGGAGATAATATTATAATAGTACCTGCCTCATGGTTTTGTTCTGAGTATTTAATGAGTTAATTCATGTAAAAAGCCTAGAACAGTGCCCAGCGTGTACTAAGAACTCAATAAATGTGAGCTACTATGCTCTCCTGGCAGGGGATGAAGAGCTCTGGCTACTTCTCCTATACGTCAGGGGAGTCCTGCTGCTGCGACCTTTGATTGGCAAAATTGCATCATCACATGGAATATGAGAGCGTGAGGCTGACCACCATGGGAACTGGAGGCTGAGACTGTGGCCCCTGGGATTATTATCAGATTACTAAGGACAAGTCCTAGTACCAGCCACGGGCCCTTGGAGTCAATATCAACATGGAAGGAAAGAGCCAGGCTTAGGGTTAAAAGAGTGCGTTTTACTGCTGGGTTTCACTCCTTTTTGGCTGAGTTGTGTGAACCAGATCACTCGTGTTCCCTGGGATTACTTATGTTTTCTCATCTGCAAAATAGGTAGAGTAATCTATGCCCACTTTATTGGGTTTGGGGGAAGAGTGAGACAATGTACATGAAAAGTCTTTATTTTCTTTTAAATTGTAAAGTAAATTTCATTTATAAGGTGTTATTATTGCTGGAATCACTATACTGTAGATACTCAATGAACATTGATTAAATGAACAAAGCTAGGGAACCAATGTGTTTGTTTTATGAGATTCTCACTGGGCTGATTTTTTTTGTTTTTGTTTTTGTTTGTTTGTTTGTTTGTTTTCAGCCTGTGACAAATACATAACATCCAATGGTTGGGGTTCTTAATGTGAGGTGGATAAATGGATGTTAGGGGAACTTTGCAACATTGATAACATTACACAAAATTTTGCTTCTGTGACTTTTTCTGGGGGAGAGGCAATCTCCAGAAGAAGAAATGAATCCCATAGATTTTATTAAGTTCTCAAAGTTGTCTATACTCAAAAAAAGTACAGAACGGATAGCTTAGACTCGCTCATCTTAACTTTCTCCTGAGCTTCCTCACCAACCCTGACTATTATAGATAAGAAGATTCTAGAGGCTTTGCCTGGAACCTCACATTCCTTGGAAGGGTCACTCCTCAGAGTCTTGTTTGGAGTTCTGAAGCTTCAGAAACATGATTCTGTTTGTTCAGGTTTATAGAGCAAATAGCAGAGGATCTGAACCAATCCAGAATTGATGATGGAAGACTTTCATGAGAAATGATGTTTAAGCTGAGATCTGAAGGAAAAGTGGGCATTAGTCGAAGAGGGTGGTGGTGGTGGAGTGATTCCAGGCAAAGCGATCGATACATGCAGAGGCTTTAAGGTGTGAAGAGCTGAGAAAAGACCAGTGTGGCTAGAGTCCTGAGAAAGATGGGAGAAGGGTAACGGGAGACCAATCTAGAGATAGATAAGGACCAGATCATGTGGATCATGTTAAGAGTTTTGAACTTCATTCTAAGGGCAATGTGAAGCCATTGAAGGACTTCAAGCAGGGAAATGGCATGGCTAGATCTGGGTTTTAAAGATACTACTTTGGCTACTGTATAGAGAATGAGTTAAGTCAAGAATGAATGTGCTCTTTTATTGATTTATAAAATCAATTTTTATATTATGGGCATTAATCCTTTATGTCATAAATATTGCATTATTTTCCATAGATTTCTTTTCTTTTCTTTCTTGTTTTTTTGAGACATGGTCTCACTCTGTCACCCGAGCTAGAGTGCAGTGGCTCAATTAAAGCTCACTGCAGTCTTGACCTCCCAGGCTCAAGCAATCCTCCTGCCTGAACCCTCTGACTAGCCGGGACAACATGTGTGTGCCACCATGCCTGGCTAATTTTTGTATCTTTTTTAGAGACGGGTTTTCCATATTGCCCAGGCTTGAACTCCTGGGCTTAAACAATCTGCCTGCCTCAGCCTCCCAAAATGCTGGGATTACAGGCGTGAGCCACTGCACCTGGCTGTGGATTACTTTTCAATGATTAACTTTGTTTATGCTTTTATTATACTGTATTAAAGTTTTTAATCTTTAAGTTTGGGCTGAGCATGAGCAGGCATTAGCTAGGCAGAAGAGATCATCAGAAGGCGTATTGTTTAGTGTGAACCCCAAATATCTGAGACAGCTCTCAGTCAATTTAGGAAGTTTATTTTGCCAAAGTTAGGGACACACACCATGACACAGCCTCAGGAGGTCCTGATAGCATGCTCAAAGTGGTCGGGGGGCAGCTTGGTTTATGTATTTTAGGGAGATATGAGACATCAATCAATATATGTAAGATGTACACTGGTTTGGTCCAGAAAAGCAGGACAACTCCAAGTGGCAGGGCGGGGGGGGGGGTGTGGGGGGGGGGGCGGCGGAGCTTCTTGGTCAAAGGTAGATAAGAGAAAAATGTTTGCATTCTTTTGAGTTTCTGATTAGTCTTTCCAAAGGAAGCAATCAGATATGTATCTATCTCAGTGAGCAGAGGGATGACTTTGAATAGAATGGGAGGCAAGTTTGCCCTAAGCAGTTCCTAGCCTGACTTTTCCCTTTAGCTTAGTGATTTTGGGGTCCCAAGATTCATTTTTCCTTTCACATGAGCAAATAATAAAAGTAAAGGAAAGTAGGTATTCTTTAGAGAATGTGCCCGTTATATAACAATACTATTAATTTAGAATTACATACGTTGTGTCTTCCTATTCTTTTAAATTTGTTAAGATGTGTTTTGAGGTCTTATCTTGGTGAGCATTCTAGGTGAGGTTGAGAAGAATGTGTGTTTTGTTATTGTTGGATAGAGTATTCTATAAATGCCAATCAGATCGAATTGATTGATAGTGTTCTTCAAGTCAACTATATCCTTTATGTATTGTATTCCTGCTAGATCTATCACTTACTGACAGAGGGTTTTGAATTCTCCATCTCTACAGTGGGTTTGTCTTTTTCTCTTTGCATTTCTATTCGTTTTTGCCTCGTGTATTTTGACACTCTGTAATCAGGTGCATGCACATTTCTTGGAGAACTAATTCCCTTTGTCATTAGGTAGGTTTCCCGTTTACTCCTAACAATTTTCCCTGTTCTAAGTCTTCTTTGTCTGGTATTAACATCGCTACTTCAGTTTTCTTTTGATCAGTGTGTTGTCTAACTTTTTCCATCCCTTTATTTTTAAACTTTGGAGTCTTTATATTTAAAGTATATTTCTGGTAGGCAGCATAAAATTGGATCTTCCTCTTTTATGATAACCCTCTGACAGTCTCTGTCCTTTAATTAGTGTATTAAGCCATTCATATTTAAAGTGATTGTTACTATATTTGGATTAATATTGACCATGTTTGTAACGGCTTTTTATTCATCTACAGATGCTACTGCTTCTGCACTCTCTGAGCAATTTATATGATTTTTAAAAATTTTATCTTCTCTCAGAATATCAGTAAAAAATTCTTCTTAAAAAATTTTAGGCTAGGTGCAGCAGCTCACACCTGTAATCCCAGCACTTTGGGAGGCCGAGGTGGGTAGATCACCTGAGGTCAGGAGTTTGAGACCAGCCTGGCCAACATAGTGAAACCCTGTCTCTACTAAAAAAAAAAAAAAAAAAAAAATTAGCCAGGTGTGGTGGTGTGTGCCTGTAATCCCAGCTACTCAGGAGGCTGAGGCAGGAGAATCACTTGAACCTGGGAGGCAGAGTTTGCTGTGAGCCAATATCACTTCATTGCACTCCAGCCTGGGCAACAAGAGTGAAACTCCATCTGAAAAAAAAATTTAAGCAGTTCTCTTTAGAGTTTACAGTATATTCTTAAAACTAAACTAAATCTACCTTCAAACAGCACTATTTCTTCTTCATGTGTAGTGCAGGTGCCTTAAAAACAGTATTCCTGAGTCCTCCCTTCCAGCCTTCTGACATTGCTATCATTTATGTCATTTATCCACATGCTATAATCATTAAATACTGATTACTATTGTTACTTTAAACAGTTATCTTTTAGATCAATTAAGAATAGGAAAAATAAGATTTTTATGTGAACTTCATTTACACCTTCTCTGACACCCTTCTTTGCTTCATATAGATCCAAGTTTCTGATATGTGTCACTGTCCTGCTTGAAAAAAAATTTTTTTAACGTTTCTTGTAAGGGAAGTCAGCTGGTGACAAATTCCTCAGTTGTTTGTCTGATAGTATCTATTTCTTCCTCATTTTTTAAAGAAATGGGATCTTGCTATGTTGTCCAGGCTGGAGTGAAGTGGCTATTCACAAGTAGGATTATAGTACACTGCAGCCCCAAATTTCTGGGCTCAAGCAATCCTTCTGCCTCAGCTTCCCAAGTAGCTGGAACTACCAGTGCATAGTACCATGCCCAGATAATCTTTTAATTTTTTTGTAGAGATGAGGTCTTGCTATGTTGCCTAGACTGGTCTCGAGCTTCTGGCCTCAAAGGATCCTCCTACCTCAGCTTCCCAAAGGGCTAACACTACAGGCACACACCACCATGCCCGGTGCTTCTTCATTTTTGAAGGATAATTTCCCTGGATATAGAATCCTAGGTTGGTGATTTTCCCCTCTAACACTTTAAATATTTTATACTACTGTCTTTTTGCTTGCATACTTTCTTTTTTAAATTATTTTTTTCTAATTTTTAATTTTTGTGAATACATACTAGTTGTACGTATTCATGGGGTACATGTTATATTTTTATGTAAGTGTACAATGTGAATGAGCAAATCAGGGTAGTTGGGATATCCATCACCGTAAACATTTATGATTTCTTTGTGTTAGGAACATTCCAAATTCACTTCTGTAGTTATCTTGAAATATACATTCAATTATTGTTAACTATAGTCATCCTGTTTTCCTACCAATGCTTGCATACTTTCTGAGGAGAAGTTTACTATATATATATTTTTTAATTTGAGACAGAGTTTCATTCTTGTTGCCCAGGCTGGAGTGCAAGGCACAATCTTGGCTCACTGGAACCTCTGCCTCCCAGGTTCAAGCGATTCTCCTCCTCAGCCTCCTGAGTAGCTGAGATTACAGGCATGTGCCACCATGCCCGGCTAATTTTGTATTTTTAGTAGAGACGGGGTTTCTCCATGTTGGTCAGGCTGGTCTCAAACTCCCGACCTCAGGTGATCTGCCCACCTCGGCCTCTCAAAGTCCTGGGATTACAGGTGTGAGCCACCATGCCTGGCAATTTACTATAATTTTTATTCTAGCTCCTCTGCAGGAAGCCTACTTTTTCCTCCTTAGGGTTCTTTCAAGATTTTTCTCTTTGTCTTTGGTTTTCCCAGTCATCACCATGAGAACCTGGTGGGGTTCCTGGAGATAAAGTCCATGAAAATGTGGGTGCCCACCTAAGACTGACCCCCAGGAGCTTCTCACTTTCAAATTAGTCCACACTTAGCCTCCAACGGTTCCTCAAAATTACTGTGTAAGTGTTCCTACCAGCTCATGGTTCCGGTGGCTTCTGCTCCAGGTAAGCAGATGTCAGCTGTGACTTTCTGGATGCACTTGTCTCTCCAGATTTCAGAGGAGCAGGTTTCCCTGCAAACTCAGTTCTCTGATGGTCCAAGAAAAGTCATTGATTTTGAGCTTGTTCAGCTTTTTCCTATTGTAAGGGTGGGGATGATGACCTCTTACTCTTCACCTGTCAAAGCTAAAACTAAAAGTCCATTTAGATTAGAGTATTATCTTTCCTGGGGAAAATACCAAAAAATTTTCAAGCTCTAATCATTTTTTTTTAGCTTCATGCCCTTTGGACCTTTTTTGTGACATTCTAAATTAACACAATAATTTAAAAAGTCAAGTTATTCTCATAGTAATTACATTTTGGATTGATATCTCTCTGAGATTTGGGGCCATTCAAGTGTCATTGGTAAGTACATTTGCAGACCATCTCTCAGGATGGGTGGCTCATTCTGCAGGGCTTCTGATTTAAAAGTTTTAGAAGAGACATTTTCTAATCCCGTCTCCATGTGCTAGGGAGGTCATTTGTATGGATAAGGACTGTCTCATGCATGTTTCCCCAAACAGGGAGGAACAGCTTTCTTGCCAGCTGTTAACTCCCCTCTCCCGTAGCTGCCTGTTGCCTCAGCTACCTCTGCCTGGGAAATGTTTCTGGCATATGGAGTCTTAAGGTGTGTCTCTAAGTTTCCTCTTCTAGTCCTAGCTATCAGGGTGTGAATATTGACTTTTCTGTGTTCAATTCCTCTTCTTTGTTTGTTTTTTGAGACAGTCTCGCACTGTCGCCTGGGCTGGAGTGCAGTGGCATGATCTTGGCTCACTGCAACCTCCGCCTCCCGGATTCAAGTGATTTCTCCTGCCTCAGTCCCCCGAGTAGCTGGGATTACAGGTGCCCACCACCAATCCCAGCTAATTTTTTGTATTTTTAGTAGAGGCGGGGTTTCATTATGTTGGCCAGGCTGGTCTCAAACTCCTGACCTCGTGATTCGCCTGCCTCGGCCTCCCAAAGTGCTGGGATTACAGGCGTGAGCCATCGCACCTGCCAAGAGTGCTCCTTTACATGTTAATACAGAAGCTTTCAGCCCTTTGTTTGAGAATTGTAATCACTATGATGGATTCTGTTTCCGTATCTGTCATGATGTGAACTGGATAGGTACAATTTTTTGTTTGTTTCATTTTGAAAATTTTAATCAAAGTAACAAATGCATATGCAAAAATTTAAATGGTATGGAAGGGCTTAGACGTCTCTCTTATCCCTACCCAGAGTCCTTCTCCTCCAAGGTAACTTCCCCCTGCCCCCGCTCCTTTTTTTTTTTTTTTTTTTTTTTTTTTTTAGCTCTGTCTGTTTTTAGTTCCTTTAATGCCTTTTTTTTTGGTCTAACAGTTACAAACATCTGTTGACTAGTACCCTTATATTTCCTCTGCACAGTCTTTTCAATATAGTTATGCCCCCATTTTCTGTTTTTCCACCAGTCAACTCTGCAATTTCACACAGCAGACTCCAACCTCCATTCCTTGCTTTGTGAACCGTAGATTGTATTTTTGGAGTTGCCAAGGTCTAAGATGAATCATTAGCATTCCTATCCTTCTTTTCACTTCTTTCCCCTGTCATTTCCCAACCTCTTTCAGATATACTTTTTTAAAAAACCAAGTTTTGTTTCATTTTGTTTATTTATTTATTTATTTTTGAGACAATGTCTCACTCTTGTCGCCCAGGCTGGAGTACAGTGGCGCAATCTCAGCTCACTACCACCTCCACCTCCCGGGTTCAAACGATTCTCCTGCCTCAGCCTCCCGAGTAGCTGGGATTACAGGCACCCACCACCACACCCGGCTAATTTTTGTAGTTTTAGTAGAGACAGAGTTTCACCATGTTGGCCAGGCTGGTCTTGAACTCCTGAACTCGGGTGATCTGCCTATCTTGGCCTCCCAAAGTGCTGGGATTACAGGCATGAGCCACTGTGCCCGGCTTTTTAATTTTTTTTTTTTAATTTTAGAATTATTTTGTTTGTAGAAGAGTTGCAAAGTTAGTACAGAGAGCTCCTGTGTATCCCACACCCAGTTTCTCCTGCTAGGAACAGCTTACATTATTATGGTGTCTTTGTCACAGCTATGAACCAATACTGATACACTATTATGGAAGGCCATTTTTCACTTGCATTTCCTAAGTTTTTACCCAATTTCCTAATTCTGATCCAGGATCTAATTTAAGGTATGACATTATGCTCACTCTTTTTAATAATACACCCATTGCTCAAAATCATGGCACAGTTTTAATCTGTGCTTTGTCTTTTTATATACTTATTGTTTTCTCTTAAGTTTATGATTGCCTCTATTTTTGCTTGTTGAGAAAGAAAATGCATGTCTTCTTCATTATGTTCCTCATATCTTCCAGTTTTCCACTCTTTGGTATGCATTCCATTCTCTTCTTGAATCTCAGTGACTTTGTGTTCTGATATGGATTGGCTTCTTTGTATTAGATAATGACTTTGTTTTACTTCTTCCCCCTGAGTTTCTAATTTACTTTTTAAATTTTTATTTTTTGAGACAAGGTCTCACCTTGTCATCAAGGCTGGAGTACAATGGCGCGAACATGGCTCACTGCACCCTTGACTTCCCAGGCTCAACTGATCCTCCCACCTCAGCCTCCTGAATATCTGGGACCACAGGCATGAGCCACCATGCCCGGCTAATTTTTTGCAGAAATGGAGTTTCACCATGTTCCCCAGGCTGGTCTTGAACTCTTGAGCTCAAGCAATCCTCTTGCTTTGGCCTCCCAAAGTGCTGAGATTACAGGCATGAGCCACTGTTCCTGGCTCTAATTTGTTTTTAAACATTGAATTCAGGGACTTCAACAGATGCTCAAGGCTCATTTTCTAAGCTCTCATCTACGTCATCTCACAAACCTCTCTGACACAGTGTTCTATCTGTTTATTCCAAGAACTGGTTGTCTCTGGGCCTGCTGCGTAGCTATAGCTCTGACATTTTCCTTTAGTTCTATTCTTACACGGATTCAGTATTTCTGTGGCTCATTTATTCTGCTTTCTTGGTCTACTCTCTCATGAACTTGGTTTACTTTTCTTGCTTTATTCCTCATGAATAAGTATTCAAAGAAGTGACTTAAGAATTTACTTAAATAATTGCTTAAGAAAGAGAGCATGGGAGGTGAACTTCCTGAGTCTTTACATATCTGAAAATGTATTTGTTCTGCTCCTACTCAATTTGGGCTGGATTTGGAATTCCAGGTTGAAGGCTCTTTCTCGGGGGTTTGAAGACATCATTGCATTGTCTTCCTGGATACTCTTAGGAGTTAATATTGCTAATTGAAGTGCTGCTCATAGAAAGTCTTTTGCCAGACTAATTCCTCTGCCTTTGGGGATGGCCTGTTTTAGTATTTAGTATGTATTTTTTTGCTTTGGAAGCCTTTCTTTTCTATTCTTCTCTCTCTCTCTTTCTTTCTTTCTTTCTTCTTTCTTTCTCTCTTTCTCTTTCCTTCCCTTCCTTCCTTCCCTCCCTCCCTCCCTCCCTCCCTCCTTCCTTCCTTCCTTCATTTCTTCCCTCCTTCCTCCCTCCCTCTCTCCCTCCCCCTCTCTCTCTTTCTTTCTTCTCTGTCTTTGCCGGAGTGCAGTGGTGTGACCTCGGCTCACTGCAACTTCTGCCTCCCAGGTTCAAGCGATTCTCCTGCCTCAGCCTCCCAAGTACCTGGGATTACAGACACATGCCACTGCGCCCGGCTAATTTTTATATTTTTAGTAGAGACGGGGTTTCATCCTGTTAGCCAGGATGGTCTGTCTTGAACTCCTGACCTCAGGTGATCCATCTACCTCAGCCTCCCAAAGTCCTGGGATTACAGGCATGAGCCACTGTGCCCGCCCTCTAAAATCTTTTCTTAATCTATGGGTTTCTGATATTCTGCATGAATTTATATAACCATATGCCTATTTATATCTATTGTGCTGGGTACTCAGTCTACCCTTTCAATTTGAAGATGTGTGTCTCCTTTCCTCTCTGGGAAATTCTCTTGATTTAATTTTTTTCTCCCCTTAATTGTTACTGTATTTTCTGAAGTTCCCAAGTAGTCAGATATGATCATTTTCCATCTCTTTGTCTTTTCTGCTCTATGAACTAGGATATTTCCCTACTGTCATCTTTAAAATACTTACAATGCATTACTTTTTAGCAAAATTCTTTTCAGTTTCCAAGAATTATATTTTTGTTGCCCAGGTGTGGTGGCTCATGCCTAATCCCAGCACTTTGGGAGGCTGAGGCGGGTGGATCCCTTGAGGTCAGGAGTTCGAGACCAGCCTGGCCAACATGGTGAAACCCTGTCCCTACTAAAAACACAAAAATTAACCGAGTGTGGTGGCATGTGCCTGTAATTACAACTACTTGGGAGGCTGGGGCAGGAGAATTGCTTGAACCTGGGAGGTGGAGGTTGCAGTGAGCCGAGGTCATGCCACTGCACTCTAGCCTGGGAGACAGAGAGACTCTGTCTCAAAACAACAACAACAACAACTATATATATATATATATATATATATATATATATATATATATATATATATATATATATTTGTTCTCTTTTAAATTTTTTAAAATTGTGGTAAAATATACGTAATAAAAAATATACCATTTTAACCATTTTTAAGTGTACAGTTCAGTAGTGTTAAGTGCATTTACATTGTCTTACAACTCATCTCCAGAACTCTTTTTGTTTTGTGAAACTAATGCTCTATACCCATGAAACAACAACTCCTCATTCCCCTTCCACCCAGCCTCTGGCAACCACTTTTCTACTCTCTGTGTCTATATGCATTTGGCTAATATAGGTATCTCATAAGAGTGGAATCACACAGCATTTTTCTTCTCGTGACTAGCTAATTTCACTTAGCTTAATGTTCTCAAGGTTCATCCATGTTGTAGCATGTGTCAGAATTTAATTTCTTTCTAAGGCTGAACAATATTGTATTTGAGAATAAGATATTATATATTAATAAATAATATTATATAGGATGGCTTCTTTGTATTTAGATAACTTTCTTTTTCTTACAGTATATAATATTTATTCTTAGATACAATATATTAAATACAATATATTACATTGTAATCTTAGAAAGAATACAATATAATACAATAATATTGTCGTCTTTCTTTTTTCTTTTTTTGAGACAGAGTCTTGCTTGGTTGCCCATGCAGTGGCGCAATCTCGGTTCACTGCAACGTTTCTCCCATGACTAAGCTCTGGGCTGTTGGAATGGGTGAGGGGTGCACTGCAGGGAAGGGGCAGCCTCCATATGCAGCCACCTATCCCCTCCCCCTCTGGCATGCTTGGATGGGAATGGAGGTTTTGAGTTGTATTGACCTAGGAGGAACAATGGTGCTGTCTCCTTCCTTGGGGCTTTGGAGAAGATCTGTTCATTTATTCTTCCTTCCTTTCATTCATTCTTAGCCAGGTACTGTGCTAGGCACTCAGGATAAATAGACAAAAGAGCTACAGTTCCTGACTCTAAACAGCCGACAGTCTACCGCTTGTGACTAACAGGTGCAGAAAGATCATATCATGGGATAAGGGTCATGATGGTGCATGAGGGAGGCATTGTAGTGCAGTGGCTGAAAGCTCAAGCTTGGACCCAGCAGACCCGGGTCTGCATCCTGACTCCACTGTGTGTTATCTGTGCAGCTTTGTCTATTATTTCATGTTGCTAATCTTCACTTTCCTCTTTCAAAGTGTCATTATGAGGATTAAATGAAAGAATGCGGCCGGGCCTGGGTGGCTCAAGCCTGTAATCCCAGCACCTTGGGAGGCCAAGGCAGGTGGATCACTTGAGGTCCAGGGTTCGAGACCAGCCTGGCCAACATGGTGAAACCTCGTCTCTCCTAAAAATACAAAAATGAGCCGGGTGTGGTGGTGAGCATTTGTCATCCCAGCTACTTGGGTGGCTAAGGCATGAGAATCGCCTCAGCCGGGAGGCAGGGGCTTCAGTGAGCCGAGATTGCTCTATTGCACTCCAGCCTGGGCGACAGAGCAAGACCCTGTCTCAAAAAAAAAAAAAAAAAGAAAAAAGAAAAAAAAAAGAAAGAAAGAAAGAATGCATGGTAAGTGCTAAGCCCAGTGCCTGGTATATACTGAGTGCTCAATATGGGAGCTGTCATTGTGAATAACATGAGCGTGCCAGAAGTCTGGAGGAGAGGATGACCGCTTGCTCTGCCTGGAGGTGAGGAGGAAGGTGGGACTCGGGGAGGGCTTCACCCAGGAAGTGGCCACTAGGCACAAACGTTTCCTTCCCTAGAAAAGTCCCCCAGTGATAACTTCTCCTGTCCCAGCATCCCAAGGAGCCACCTTTTTGACCATTGAGAAGCAGCCTCTAATAAGAGAGAGCCTCTGTAAGGCCGCCCAGGCCCTGCCCATGATGCCAGACTTCTGCTGCCATGTCGTTTGCCTTCTCCATTGGGTGCTTTCCGGGAGATACAAGGATGCATGATGAACAAGTGAACCTTTATTGTGACACCAATGTGTCGCATGATGTCATCGACTCTTTTGCATGTATTATCTACTTAATCTTATCCAATACTCCCCTGGAGGAGGCTATAATTCTTCCCATTTTATAGATGATGAAAGTGAGAGTCTGGGACATTAAGTTCATCACCAGGATCCTGCAGACGGCAGACAGAACCAAGATTCAGTCCCTAGTGGTCTGGCCCCACGTTGATACGCTTTCCGCCATCCTGCAGCTGCCTTCTGCTTATAGAATCATCAGCCGAGAACTGTGGCTCAGGAAGGGACTGTGGAGGTTTGTTTGGTGCTTTTAGCTCCATAGTTGGAAAAACTCTCTGGCACACTGAACTTTCTTGACGCTAAGTTCCAACCTATCCTGCCACTCAGTCAGGATCAGGAGGAGGAGACGCCAAGGGGGTCTGCCTCTCCAGAAGTGTACAGAAAGTGCTCAGTGACATCGCCATATCTGCCCCAACACCCTCATTCCTGGGACATACAATAGCCACTCTTACCTGGAACCTGTGGCATTAAGACCACCCCCATGGAGCCGGTCGCGGTGACTCATGCCTGTAATCCCAGCACTTTGGGAGGCTGAGGTGGGCAGATCACCTGAGGTCAGGAGTTCAAGACCAGCCTGGCCATCATGGTGAAACCCCGTCTCTACTAAAAATACAAAAAATTAGCGAGGCATAGTGGTGGGCACCTGTAATTCCAGCTACTCGGGAGGCTGAGGCAGGAGAATTGCTTGAGCCTGGGAGGTGGAGGTTGCAGTGAGCTGAGATCGTGCCATTGCACTCCAGCCTGGGTGACAGAGCGAGACTCGATCTCAAAAAAAAAAAAAAGGAAAAAGAAAAAAGACAGAGAGAAAGAGAAAGAGACTATCCGACTATCCCCATGGGCTAGGACTCCGGGAGTTTGTGGTCCTTCTTGGTTTTTGTTTTTGTTTTTTTGAGATTGAGTCTCTGTTGCTCAGGCTGGTGTGCAGTGGAGTGATCACAGCTCACTGCAGCCTCGACATCTTAGGCTCAAGTGATCCTCCCACCTCAGCCTCCCAAGTAGCTGGGACTTCAGCGTGTGGTCCTTCTAATGGTCATCAGCGCGGTAGTGCTCTCCTGTAGCACAGAGAACAGCAGCTGCAGGCTGTGGGAGAAGCTGCGTCTAGGCAGGCTCCTTCACTGAGTGCCAGGCTCTTTGCAGCTCGCTGCCTCCTCCTTGTGGACATTTGTCTCCAGCAGGGTCTCAGAACTTGGTGACTGTGTCATCAGAGAATTGACAAGCTCAACAGCCCCAGGGAGGAGGAAATTCTATTGCCCAGTCTTCAGGGAGGGCCAGTCGAATTATAAAAAGCCAGCAAAATTTACCTGGACTTCTCTCAGCCACTCTTTCTGCTCTATTTCCTCTCTCTCATGTGGCATAGCCCTTTTTCCATGTGAGAAATATACTTTTAGGAGAGAAGATATGTCATTTGCATCATACTGTGATTTTAAATGCACATGTCACCTTTGCAGAAGCATTTGCTCTTCAGGTTTTCTCCTGGACTGTGGGTGTTACAGGTGTTTTTCTTCCATAGCAGCGGCTGGTGTGTGCGCATGCACACATGTGTGCTCTCTGTGTGGGAGGCATCATAGTTTTGAGAGCGTTTGCTGAAGTCACACTTCACTTGGCCATGGAATCCCCTCTTAAACAACCTGCCCTGCTCGCAGTGATCAGTGGGTTCAAGTTCACGTATTCTCTCTGGGCTCTTTTGTGCTGTCGTTCGTGATTGTTTTCCTCAAGGCACATAGCTGAGGATCAAAACTAGGAAGAAAATTCAATCCCTCCTTCCAAGAGCTGATAATGCATCATGCCAAATCATTTCTTCATCGGTTAACCTAGCTTTTCTTTAAATTGGACCTCAGGGTGCTCAGAATTGGGTCAATCATCATAATGGAATTCTGAGACACTCATCATTCACCCGTGGACAGTCCACTTTCATTCATTGGTTTATTCCAATGTAATAAGGCTCTGTAAACCCAAAGCAAAAGCTAGGGCCTTGGCAATAACCTACATTTAACCATATACTCATCCCACTTCACTCCCCAAATTGAGAATCATCCTGATTCCTCTGTCCATCAATCCTTTGCTTTCATTTTTAGGTAGTTTTATTGCATCTATATGCATTCCTAAAGATGCATTTAAAAAATGTTAGTTTTTTTTTTTTCTTTTTGAGATGGAGTCTCACTTTGCTGTCCAGGCTGGAGTGCAGTGGTACAATCTCAGCTCACTGCAACCTCTGCCACCCAGGTTCAAGCGATGCTCCTGCCTCAGCCTCCTGAGAAGCTGGAACTACAGGCATGTGCCACCATGCCTGGCTAATTTTTATGTTTTTAGTAGAGATGAGGTTTCACCATATTGGCCATGCTGGTCTTGAACTCCTGACCTCAGGTGATCCACCTGCCTTGGCCTCCCAAAGTGCTAGGATTACAGGCATGAGCCACTACACCGGGCCTTTTCTTTCTTTTTGTAGAGATGGGGTCTTGCTATGTTGTCCAGGATGGTCTCGAACCCCTGGGCTCAAGCAATCCTCCTGCCTCTGCCTCCCTAAATGCTGGGATTACAGGTGTGAGCCAATGTGCCTGGCTGGTTGCTTTTTTGATTTAAGATTACGTTGCTTAGATTCTTCTGTATTGTGGCATGTCTGTTGTTTTGGCTGCTGCATAACGTTCTGCTGAGTGAATAGCCCACATTTCTTTCATCTATTCTTCCACTGAAGGGCATGTGTGCTGTGCCTGGTTTTTATCTGCTGTGACCAGCACTGCAGGGAACTTTCACATACATGTCTCCTGTTGTCTGTGTGCAAGAGTTTCTCTTCATCTTCCCATGTGAGAAGCGGTAGTTAATTTATTTATTTAGAGACAGAGTCTCGCTCCGTCGCCCAGGCTGGAGTGCAGTGGCGTGATCTCAGCTCATTGCAACAACCACCACCTCCTGGGTTCAAGCAATCCTCCCACCTCAGCCTCCCAAGTAGCTGGGACTACAGGTGTGCACCACCACACCCAGCCAATTTTTTTTTTTTGTATTTTTAGTAGAGTCGGGGTTTTGCCACTTTGCCCAGGCTCGTCTCAAACTGCCGAGCTCAGGCAATTCGCTCGCCTCTGCCTCCCATAGTGCTAGGATTACAGGTGTGAGCCACCGCATCCGGCCAGAAGCATTTATTTAAGGTCAGCTGCATGTGTTGCCTATGCTGAGGTCACATATGGTTGGGTCGTGAGGCTGCGGGGCTCTGCAGGAAAGCCGTGTGACTTATGGAGAGGAAACTGGGATTTTGGCTCAGACAAATGTGTTTCAAGGTCTACCTGAGCCACTTGTAAGTTATTTGACTTGGACCACTTTCTTGACTTCTTTGAGTTGCAGTTTTCATATTTTAAAAATGGAGGCCAGTGCGGCGGCTCACGCCTGTAATCCCAACACTTTGGGAGGCCAAGACAGGCAGATCACTTGAGGCCAGGAGTTCGAGACCAGCCTGGCCACCATGGTGAAACCCTGTCTCTACTAAAAATACAAAAATTAGCCAGGCATGGTGGCAGGCACCTGTAGTCCCAGCTACTCAGGAGGCTGAGGTAGGAGAATCGCTTGAGCCCGGGAGGTGAAGGTTGTAGTGAGCTGAGATTGCACCACTGCACCCCAGCCTGGTAGACAGAGTGAGACTTTGTCGAAAAAAAAAAAAAAAGGAATAATGTATAAGAAATGAGGAGAGGTCAAAGCACGGCTGGGAGGAGGTGCTGCAGCCCAGGAGCAGGACTGCACGGCAGGTGATCATGCTCACTTTGAAGTCAGCACACCAGGCCCACATGCACCAGAGCACTTCACTTACTAGCTTATGACCTGAGGCACACACTTAACGTTTGGAGTCTGTTTCCCTGTGGTTGGGGGTAATTGCACTGAGCCCTGAGGGATTTTGGGTGGATTTGATGAGATCATCCATCCATCCTTGTCCCGGTGCCTGGGATACTCAGTCAATGTGAGCTGCTGTTGCAGACCTGGGACTAGTGTGAGCACTGTACAAAGGCTGAGTGTCACCAGGGTGGGACACTGCAGAGGAGATTCAATATCAGATTCAGCATATTAATATTAATTGAACATAATAATGAATATACTACTATTTTCCTTTACAGACTTCAAATATCAGGGATCAAAAATACAGATTTCCCCAAACTTTCTTTTTTTCTTTGAGACAGAGTCTCGCTCTGTCGCCCAGGCTGGAGTGCAGTGGCATGATCTTAGCTCACTGCAACCTCCACCTCCCAGGTTCAAGTCATCCTCCTGCCTCAGCCTCCCGAGTAGTTGGGACTACAGGCACCTGCCACCACACCCAGCTAAGTTTTTGTATTTTTAGTAGAGATGGGGTTTCACCATGTTGGCCAGGATGGTCTCCATCTCTTGACCTCGTGATCCACCCGCCTCAGCCTCCCAAAGTGCTGGGATTACAGGTGTGAGCCACTGAGCCGAGCCCAGACTTTCTTATTCAGAGTATCCTGGGGTGAGGCTTGGGGGTTTGCATTATTATAAGGTTCTAAGGGTGACTCTGACATGAAGACAAGTTCAGGAACTCCTGAACTGATGGCATCAATCAACGTGCCCTGGAAAACCATTCAGAAAGGGCTTTAGTTTCCCAAATGAGATGAAGAAGAACTTTAGTTGCGCAGGAGGAGAGCACTGGACAGAATTAAGAAGAGAGTCTAGACTTATTAGGGGAGGAGGAAGGACATGACCTAGACCGCCACATTGCACGTTCATGTAGAAGATGGTGTTAATGACCCCAGTGTCACCTCCAGAGCACAGCATGGTGCCATCTGCCATGGGGTCTCCTAAAACTGTGCAACATATTCCAGTGCTACCACCAGGAATAACATCTATTTATATTGTTTACAGTGTTTCCCTCTAGAGCCAGACGACTTAGGTTTGAATCTAGATTCATCCCTTACTGGCTCTGTCACTGCAACTTCTCTGTGTCAATTACCTCATCCGTAAAATAGAGATAATAATAATGTATATCTCAGGTTGTTGTAAGGGTAAAGTGGGTTAATATGGAGGGCTTCATAAAAAGGCTTAGAATAATAGCATCCGCACTTAGACAGTGATATGTAGGTGTCGACTGTTGCCTTCATCTTTGTCTTTGTCTTCGTCATCATCATCATCAACATCGTCACTATTCTGCCATAAATTCCACTTATTATACAAGTGCATGTAAATGCACTTCATCTAAAATGCAAGCAGCACTATTAAGAAAAAGAATAGGAGAGGGATAGCTATTGTTTTCCTCTCCCTAATATTTCGAGTAAGAAAAGATGCAATTTCTCAGTACGATAAAACATGGAAAATATTTCTAGTTATCCTCCAACTCTCCCCTTTTCAGTAACAGAATTTTTGGCTGGGCACAAAATTTAAAAACATTTCTCAGCCTCCTTTGCAGGGAGGTGTGGCGACATAACTGAATTCTGGCCAACGGGATGTGAGAGCAGAAGTCAAGCCCAGAGAGAGATTGGAGCAAACCCTCCTCTTCCTCTCTTCCCTTCCTCTGGGTGGGATGTAGGGGTGGTGGTGGGTGCTGGAGCAGCCATCTGATGCTGAGATGGAAGCCCAGTGCTGGATGGTAGAGCCATGGGCTGGAAGAACCCTGAGGCTGTGGAACTGCCATATCAGCCTTGAACTGCTTACCCCTGAATGTTGGAGGAAAAATAAATAGATTTCTATCTTGTGTATGCCCTACATAAGTTGGCTTTCAATACAGTAGCTGAATGAGTATTCTAGATAATATAGTTGTTACATGTATAAGGAATAAACATTCTACCAGGTGACCAAAAGAGCAAAGGAATAGGGAGAGATGGAAGACAAATCCTTATTTGAATGATGTAAAGTAAGAGACATAGGGAAGGAAAAGGGCTGGATCTAGGGCGAGGTGACAAAGGTGTCTACGGACAGTCACTCTCAGGGTCATGCCTGCACCTCGGGAAGACTCCTTAGATTTTGTGCCCTACGTGCCTTTTTTGCCTTGCTGTGGTCTGGACCATGGAAAGGAGAGAAGATGGGTAATAGAGGGAACTGAAGAAGAGGGATGGGGGTAATGTGGAGAGAGAGGAGAGGCTGGGGATGGATTTCAGTAAAAAGGAATCAAAGGAGAAGAAAAGAAGAGGGGAAAGGGGAAAGAAAAAAGTAAAGAGTAACTTTCAAGTTAGTGGTTCAACGTGGAAAGTTTTTAATTCAGAGAGAATATTTCTTTACACCTAATATTTTAGAAGTGGGAACAGATGGAAGGTCTTATTTTCATCTTCCTGCCCTAAAAATTAGGCCATAGGCAGGAAGAAAAATATTGCACCAGCAGGAAGAATATGACAAAGGACAGCGACTTATGATAGTCAGGTGTGTGTCAGCAGCCCCAGTGCAGCACAGCCAGGTTTGAAGTGAGGTCACCAGCAGTGGTTGTGGCTGAACCAGAGGGGAACCTACTTTTAAGACAAGTTATGAGAATGGGCTTTTGGTCCCATTTCCAGAAGGCCACATTGCGGGTGTCCTAGCTGCCTTGTGCTGTTCTATCAGCTATGGCATCAGGATCTGCCCGGCAATTAGTGGCTGTGGGACACACTAAATAAAGCCAGCCTTGAATAGTCTCCTGGAGTCTAGCACTGTCTGCCTTTTATACGCCCAGGCATTTCATAACCTCATTGTCAGTTCTGCAGTTTCCTACAGCATGAAGCAGAGAAGGGGAGATTTGGACTCCAGAGAGGGGCCATTGGGTAGGGGGCAGACACCCTGAACATTGCAATTATCTAGAATTGCTGTTTTGTCCAAAACTAATGGTTGTGCCTCCACACATAACTCAGACAGGGCTTTATTTCTCCTTCAGAGAGCTGGGAGAGAGTGTTGGTAGAATGGAGGTAGATGTTTGGTAGAAATAGAAGGAGAGAGCACTCATTTTTCTTAGGGGAAGGCTGTAAGTCTGGGAGGAGCTGGCCTCTGTTGCTCTATCATCTCCCTCTAGACAAATTACCCCATTACTGGCCAGGCACAGTGGCTCATCCTTGTAATCCCAGCCCTTTGGGAAGCCGAGGTGGGCAGATCACAAGGTCGGGAGTTCGAGACCAGCCTGGCAAAGAGACAAGCCTGACCAATACAGTGAAACCCCATCTCTACTAAAAATACCAAAGGTAGCTGGGCATGGTGGCAGGCGCCTGTAATCCTAGCTACTTGGGAGGGTGAGACAGGAGAATTGCTTGAACTCGGGAGGCAGAGGTTGCAGTGAGCTGAAGATCGTGCCATTGCACTCTAGCCTGGGCAACAGAGCGAGACTCCGACTCAAAAAAAAAAAAATGTACTCCTTTACTTTAGTGGACCAGTGGGGAAGGAGCAGAAAGAATAGGTGAGAACGTGAGCTTGAGTCAGGCCTCTGTGATTTATTATAAGTATTAGCTATTATTATTAGAAATACTTTCTTATAGTGTATAGCATGGACATTTAATGTGACATTGGATTGAATAACAGGGGATTGCATGCAAAGGGTTTGGTGTCAAGGGAGGTCTGATCTATAAACCCATGTGGTTAAGGTGGAAGGGACTGTCTCCTCTGCCTCTCCCGCTTCCTATTCCACCTTTCCCACCTTCCCTAACTATTTTCCTCAAGAACTACCCTCAGGTTGTATTTGCTGGTCTTCACCTGGCTTCCACTCCCACCCTCCACGGAAATGGCATTTGCAGAGATCACCAGTGCCCCTCCTGCTTCCAGACCCCAGGGCCATTCTCCTTTGCATGTTTTCCTGGACTTCCATGCTGGTGGGTACTCCGTCCTCCTCCAAACTCCAGCCTTCTTGGCTCCTGTGGCTCTGTGCTGTCTGGATTTTCCACCTATTTGCTTTTTTTTATAGCCATTTTCACTTTTCTTCCTGGATTCCTTGTCTTCTTTCCATTCTTTAAATTGTGTTTACGCCCAGTGTTCTGCCCTGCTTTCTTCTTTTCCTTCTATACACTCACTGGGTGATTTGCAGCCACTTTCATGATTTCAACTCCTGCTTAGGATCAGCGACTGCTCTTAGGCTCAGATATCCCCTAACTGCATGGCTGCAATTCAGTGGGGTGTGCTGCCACTTTCAGTGACCCTGGACACAATGGAATGGTCCAGGATTGGGCACTTGATGAAAGTCAGGCCAATCTCAGTTCTTCCCAGGCAGGGTTTCTTTTTACTTTTAACTGAGGCTAAGGAAGGAAGTAAGGCTTTCTCTGGGAATAAAACTCCTAAGATGGAAAACGTGAGAGGTGTCAGTGGCCATTTTCCCTCCTCCTGGAGAAAGCTGTCTCTAGGGTGAGAGAATAGAGCCCAGAGAGGACAAGGAAGAGAGAACCCAGGGGCTGTTTGATTGCCCGGTTCCAGTTGACCCCGACACCCAACAGGATCCTTGCCTTTCCCATGGATTTTCTTTGAATGATGGGTGATAGCCTCGTATTCCTCTAATGTATGTCCCCTTTTGCCTGAGTGTGTTCTAGGTAGGTTTATAGAACCGTGCCTTATCCTCTGGATAAATGATGACTGAACAGGCACAACGATGAGATACAGGCACGCAGTGTGTACTGAGAATCTATCACAGGCCCCGGTGCTTGGCTTGGAGCTGCAGGGAAGCCTTCTAAGGCATTTTTTTTTAATCCTGAAAGCACTGGCTTTCATTTTCCTTCTTATCTCCAGAGATGCCTCATGCTTTCAGCCTCATGAGACACAAACATCAATCAACATTAATCCTGAGATACCGCTCTGGGCGAGATATGACAGGATGCACTTTATCAACCTCTTAATGTAGTGTATGTTTCAGGTAGAAGCCAGACAGGACAGATTTTCCCCAATCTGTCAATTCCTACTACTGCTTCTTTTTGGAAAATCAACTCTGAATCCCACTCCCACAAAAAATCCGGGGGTTTTTAACTTGAAATCTTGGAGGTGAAAGGGTGCCAAGAAATTAGCTGATCCAAGGAAGATGGCCATGATGGAAAAAAGGGGACAATTTGCACCATAGGATCTCAATTTCAGAAAAAAGATACACACCCAGGATAAACAGGAAAGAATTGTCACCAGAATGTTTGCAAAAAGATAATGAAGTTGTGGTGATACTTGTTTTCTCTCTTCCGGATCTTGCAAAATTTCTATAGTCAATATATGTTACATTTGAATCAGGAAACAAAAAATAAATAAAAAAATTAAAGTTATTCTCTTTCTTAAGCTGGGTGGGGGCACATAGGTGTGCATTTTATTATTCTTTATAACTTACAGGTCGTATATACTCTTTGTAGAAAATATTTAATACTCTAATTTTTTTGGTTGCAGAAACTCTTGTTGAAATAAAACGTAATCTGGAGGCCAGGCACAGTGGCTCACGCCTGTAATCCCAGCACTTTGGGAGGCTGAGGTGTGTGTTTCACTTGAGGCCAGGAGTTCAAAACTAGCCTGGCCAACATGGTGAAGCCCCGTCTCTACTAAAAATAAAATGTAATCTGGAAGCTGCATTAAGTGATGCAGGGGTGGTCCTGGGGGCCGGCTCCCTGGTTCTCCCCTCCAATGCCCAGAGACAACCCTATGCACAACCAGGACCTCAGGTGAGAACAGTGACGTCTGGTGCCCCAGGTGAGTGGTGAACTGGGACTAGAATCCGGTCCTTCTAACATCTTGCCCAGCTTTTCCCCCATTCGTTGCCTCTCTTCACTCAAGTTTCCTTCTTGATTTTTCCTTCTTTAAACTCATCAATGCTCAAGGCCTAAGGGATAAAACTAATGCTACATTCCTCTTCCCTGATGTTCTGTATTCACTCATTTTCTAGGATTTGTCCTTAAAATTTGAGTTTTTATTTTGATAGATGGCGAATGGCAGGAAAGGAGGAGGAAGAGGGTGACGGAGAGGTGAGGAGAGAGGGCTAGGGGCTGCCTGCAACTTCAGCCTGGTGGCTTGGTTGCCTGGTGGCCCCAACGGTGGGTTCTTGGATCAAGTGTGGTGATGTTTTCTGGCTGCTGCTGGGTCAGATGGGAGCCAACTGTTCCCAGAGGCTAAAACCACAAACAGGACAGTCCATGGAGGCTCCGTGCCCCTTAGGGACCTAGAATCCTGACGGGTCTAGCTGAGGGCTCTTGGCATGGCTGGCCAGGAAGAGGGAACTTGTTTCTGATTCTCAGCAGGCAGAATCCTGTGGATGAAGTTATTCTGTCTCTATCGATATGAGCTCTGGAGCAGCTCAGCTCTGGAGCTGTGAAAGCCTGGCACACGCACACCCACCCTCGCTTCCCTCTCTCATCAGCCATCACTCTTCACTCAGTACTCAGTGGCTGTGATAGCCCAGGAGGCCCAAGCTCAGCCCCATCCTTCTCAACTCACTTTTCCAGGCACACCTCCAACTGATTGGAGGGGACAAAAGTACATTTTTCCATCCCTGGGAAATGCAACGTGCCAGGCACTATCACCCACTGGATGCTAGGTTTCAGCTTCAGGCGAGGCAGTGAGAACCCTCCTCAGCTGCTACCCTCCCCTGCCCTCCCCTCTCCCTCCTTCCCCATGGGATCTGTAGGGCCCGCAGCTCTGCATTGGCTTTGCTCAGACACACCAGCCTCAGGGTGCAGCTGCTATGCACTGGGGGACTGCACTGCCTCTCCTGTCACTGTGAGTCCTGGCATCTTAGTTCTCAAACATGCAGTTGAGTCAAGAAGAATGATGGCCATTCCTTCATCTCCTGACTTTTAGGATCTGGGCTAAGCTAGGACACAAACCAGGCTCAGAAATGAGGCTTTGGCTCCTGGCACCCACAGCTCTGGATTTGCAGGACAGATAAGACACGGAGCCTGCCCCGGAGCTCTTTCAGCCAGCTTCCCCACAGACAGCAGTTGGAGCTGCTGGGCCAGGCTTTGCTGGGTCCATTTAGCTTGGGGCATCTGAGAGGGGACGGTGGTGTCCTTTATCTCCAGGACTCCCACAGAGCCAGTGGACTCTGCAGCTGGGCTCTGGGTGCCTTGTGGCCGTCCTTGGGAGGTTGCCACTTGACCAAGGGAAGGAGATGGAGAGACAGCCTGAGATTTGGGGTGTGTAGAAGCTTCTCCCTCTGATTGCCCTGAATTTAGGTGAGATTTCAGTGGCATTGGAAATCTAAACTTAGGTTTGGAAAGGAGTTTCAGGCCAGGTGCGGTGGCTCATGCCTGTAACCCCAGCACTTTGGGAGGCCAAGGCAGGCTGATCACCTGAGGTCAGGAATTCGAGATCAGCTTGGCCAACATGGCAAAACTCCATCTCTACTAAACACACACACACACACACACACACACACACACACACATCAACTGGGCATGGTTGTGGGCACCTGTAATCCCAGCTACTTGGGAGGCTGAGGCAGGAGAATCGCTTGAACCTGGGAGGTGAAGATCGCAGTGAGCTGAGATTGCACCACTGCACTCCAGCCTGGGCGACAGAGTGAGACTCCGTCTCTGAAAAATAGAAAAGACTGGAGTTTCAGAGTGTGGTGGCCCTCCTGGGAGGACCCAGGGATGTGTGATTGTGCCATACAGTTTATGCATCTGGATAATAATAATAATACCTACTTTGTTTGACTTGCACGGGATTTAAGCAAAGTAATAACAGAAAGCATCTAAAGTGGTCTCTGAAACAAAGTAAACTCAGTAATTCTTAGCAATTATTATGTCTCTGGCCATGGCTGGCAGACCCTGGACCTGAACCTGGGTAGCAAATGTCACACTGCCCTGCTCTTGTTCTTTTTCTTTTTCTTTTGTGACAGAGTCTCTCTCTGTTGCTCAGGCTGGAGTGCAGTGGTGTGATCTTGGCTCACTGCAACTGCCACCTCACAGGTTCACGCGATTCTCCTGCCTCAGTCTCCTGAGTAGCTGGGACTACAGGTGCCTGCCACCATGCCCAGCTAATTTTTGTATTTTTAGTAGAGACAGGGTTTCACATATTGGCCAGGCTGGTCTCAAACTCCCGACCTTGTGATCCACCCACCTCGGCCTCCCAAAGTGCTGGGATTACAGGGGTGAGCCACTGCACCTGGCCCCTGCACTTCTTTAATATTGTGCCTGGAAGGTGCTGGGCATGGAGTGGATGTTGCATGACTGCTTCTTGCAGAGCCTCAAGAGAGCAGGGAAGGCTGGGCTTCCCAAGTAGACTTAAAGGATTGTGTGTTTGTGCTTTTGTTTTTGGGGTATTTGTTCATTCATTCATTCATTCATTCAAGAAAACTATATAGAGCATATATTGTGGGCACTGGATGTTGGAAATGCAATGGTGAGCAAAGAAGACCCATTTCTTGCCTTCTTGAGGCTTATAGCCCAGTAGGGGGAGACAGACATTAATCAAATGTGCACCAATAAATGTCCCATTACAACCACCATAGAAGAAGGAGGTGCTCTGGGAACTTCCATTAGGGGCATTGATTCAACTGGGCTCCAGCGATGTCTCACCCCATCCACTTCCCCCACATGGCCTAGCCCACCGTTGTCTCACACCTGGAAGGCTACAATTGCTTATTCATGTCTCCCAGTTTCCTGCCTTACCTCTGTCAATTGTTTTTTCCTCGCAGCAGCCCGTGTGATCCTTTTAAAGTAAGCCAGGTCACGTAATTCTCCAATGGCTCCCTGCATCATTCAGAGTCAAATCCAACTCCCTATTAAGGCCTATGGGCCCTTAAATGATGACTCTGTTTCCTTTCTGATCTCGTCTCATTCCACTCTTGCCCTCATTCCCTCTTCCTGAGCCATGGTGGCCTCTGCTCCCACCCCAGGACTTTTGCACAGCAGCCCCCTCTACCTTGCACTCTTTTTTTTTTTTGAGATGGTGTCTCCTGTCACCCAGGCTGGAGTGCAGTGGCGCGATCTCGGCTCACTGCAGGCTCCGCCCCCTGGGGTTCACACCATTCTCTTGCCTCAGCCTCCCGAGTAGGTGGGACTACAGACGCCTGCCACCTTGCCCAGCTAATTTTTTGTATTTTTAGTAGAGACGGGGTTTCACCGTGTTAGCCAGGATGGTCTCGATCTCCTGACCTCGTGATCCGCCCACCTTGGCCTCCCAAAATGCTGGGATTACAGGCGTGAGCCACCGCACCCGGCCTACCTTGCACTCTTCACCTGCAGCTGTCAGTGTGGCTCCCACCCTTCTTTCAGGTCTCTGTTAAAATAAGATAACACTTTATCATAGATACCTTCTCTATAGATATTAATACAATAGCATTTGCCTCCCCTCACTCCCTCTACCCTTTTTGTCTTCGGGGCACTTATGACCACCTGGTACATTTTATATGTGTTTATTTTCTCCTCTCCCCCTCCCCCTAGGAGAATGTAAGCTTCCTGAGGACAGAAGCTTGATTTGTTTGTTGCTGCATTCCAGCACCTAGCACGGTATTTGGCATGTAGTAGGTGTCCAGTAAATATTTGTTGAGTTGAATGAATGATAATTTATTTGAGATTTGGAGGAAGAGTATGAGTTAACCAAGCAAAGAGAGGAAAGGAGCATTTTAGGCCCAGGAAACAGTGTGTGAACAGTCACTGTAATCAAGGGAATGTGTTCTGTCTGAGGAACCAAAATCTTTGTGGTTGCCCCTTGGGGATTAAGTGGGAGGTTATTATGGCTTGAGGCTTGGGAGGTCAGCAGGGGCCAAACTGAGGTCCAGTAGAGGAGTTGTAAGAGCCCTGGGAGGCTGTTAATGTTTCTTACAGGGGGAGTGGCAAGATCAGATTTGTTTGCAAAAATACCATTCTGGCTGCACAGTGGCGAAAAACTAAGAGTGAACGTGGGCAGACCACCTGGGAGGCTATTGACAGACGATGGTAGCTTGGGCTAGGTTGGCAGAGAAGGAGATAGAGAGATGGACAAATCTGAGAGCTTTAACAGGAGGCAACATTGAATGGGCTCCAGGCAGGACAGAGTGTGGGGATGAAGACACAGAGGGGTCAGGGATGAAAACTAGGAAACAGTGTAAGGTGATGGGACTCCTTTCTGGAGGGCATAATTGTGAGTTTACTTTGGACTTGTTGAGTTGGATGCATCTTTGAGACGGCTCAAGTGCAGATATCAAGGAGAGGGATGGCAAGGAGGTCTGAGGTTAGAAGAATGTTTGGACTGGAGATTGAGTTTTCCAGGAATCTGCTCAAAATGGTTTTTAGACCCAGGCTCTGACTGACTTTGAGGATAGTTATCTTGGGATCTGTAGCTTTATGTCTTGCTGAAACTGGGAAAATTTTAGCCGTTATGTTTTCAAATACCTTTTTGCAACTCTGCTTTCTTTCTTTTCTTCTTCTGGAACTTCAATGACATGAATGTTTGCTCTTTTATTACAGTCCCACAGCTACCTAAGGCTCTGTTCATCTTTTAAAGTCTATTTTCTCTCTTTTGCTCAGATCAGACAATTTCTATTGTTCTGTGTTCAAGTTCACCGATTCTTTCCTCTGTCCTCTCCCTCCTGATGTTGAGCCCATTAGCTGAATTTAAAAAATTTAGTTATCATATTTTTCATTTGTAAAATGTCCACTTGCTACTTCTTTGTGTCTATTTCCTTGCTGAGATTTTCTATCTTTTCATATATTTCAAGCATGTTGAGGAGATTGCCATAGCATTGTGTTTGAACACTTGCTTGTCAAGTAGTTGCTGCTTATCATCTCAGTTTCTTTCTTAAAAGAAAAAAAAAAGCAGTAGAATAAACAATGATTGCAGGTGTGAATGGAGACCACCATAAGAAGAGATAGGGAGGCACCAAAGCAGAAGGCAGAGCATGCAGCACTTGCTCTCTGTAGCATGGTCAGCCCAGAGTCTAGGAGGACTGGGCTGTATAGAGGGGAGAGCAGAGCTCAGTAGGCAGAACCATGAAGCTGCTTTTCACCACCTTCCTTCTCTCTCTTCTAGTTGCCTGGGGCAGAAGTGTTGATGGAGAAGTGGGTTAACATAGTAAGTATGTGGGGGACAGTTGAAATGGCAAAGACTTTCTGCTTATTTCTGGAGCCATGCATATGTGCTTAGTACAGGAATTGAGAAAATCATGTGTGTTATTCCAGAGATTAATTCCAACCTTTCTTACCTGCATATAGCATCAAAACCTCCTTCTTTATTTTGAAATAATTTTAGATAATTTAGTATCTTATAGTTTGTAAGAATCTTTCTTTCTTTCTTTCTTCTTTCTTTCTTTCTTTCTTCTTTCTTTCTTTCTTTCTTTCTTTCTTTCTTTCTTTCTTTCTTTCTTCTTTCTTTTTCTTTTTTTTTGGAGACAGAGTCTTGCTCTGTCACCCAGGTTGGAGTAGAGTGGCGCAATCTTGGCTCACTGCAACCTCCATCTCCTGGGTTCAAGCCTCCTGAGTAGCTGGGATTACAGGCACGCACCACCACACCTGGCTAATTTTTGGGTTTTTAGTAGAGACAGGGTTTCACCATATTGGCCAGGTTGGTCTCAAACTCCTGGTCTCAAGTGATCCACTCGCCTTGGCCTCCCAAAATGTTAGGATTACAGACATGAGCAACCACACCTGGCTGCAAGGTTGCTGAGTGGACGGACATTCACTCATTCATCTCTTCACACAGCATGCATTTACTGAGCACCCGCGGTGAGCTGGTCACTGTACTTACTGCTGGGATATGAAGATGAGTCAGACACCGCACCTGCTCTGGAGTGGGGGTTTCTATTCTTATTGGAGAGGGGAACATAGATAACCTCACTCTGGCTTCTGGTTGGGCTCAGGTTGTCAATGGAGGAAAATGACTGAGGCAAGTCTCAATCATTTTAGGAAGTTTATTTGCCAAAGTTAAGGAAACGCGCCTGGGAGACAGGTCTATACCTTTCTCTGAAGATGATTTTGGGGGCTTCAATATTTAAAAGGGAAAGGGTGGGATATTGAGAAATACACAATTTTCTTGTGAGAGGGGAGGTGGGGAAAATAGCCATTCAGGCCTTTGTCTGGCTCAGTGAATCTGCATTTTTACCTAAGATAACGTAAACAACAGGGCAGAGGAAACAGTCAGATATGCGTTTGTCTCAGGTGGGCAGAGGAATGACTTTGAGTTCTGTCCTGTGTCTCGCACCTGTGAAGATAAGCTATCAGTTTACATTGGCATGGGGAAATTTAACAGAAACGCTTTAAAGACCACAATGTGAGGGAGGTTGGTAGCCTGTCATCCTTGTCACCATCTCATTTAGGAACCAACATGGGAGGTAGGTTTGCATGACCCAGTTCCCTGCTTGACTTTTTCCTTTGGCTTAGTGAGTTTGGGGTCCCAAGATTTATTTTCTTTCCAAGGAATGGCAATGGGTGGTGCCAGCAGGAGAAAGGAAGGTGAGAGTTTCTCCTGCCCAGGTGCCACCCTGCTGGGCTGGAGTGTCCGTTTTCCTACTTTGAGGTCACAGCCCCTGTGGCATGGTCCTGTCCTACAGTTCCTGTGGGTTCTGGTTATTTCTGACACCTCTCCCTGTGTTAGAGGTGTCGTGGCCCTACTGCTGTTGCTAGTCCTGTTTTTTCTCCATCTCTTGTTGATTTCACTTAACTCTTTCCTTCTCTTTGTAAATTTCCCCTGCATTAGATTATTCTGTTATACCAACTGAGCCTGCCATTGGCCCACTCCCAGGATCCTGACAGAATCATGATCTCTCCTTCTTCTTTGTATACACAGCGCCTTTACTTAGTAGACGCTCATTAAGTGACTGTCCAATTAATAATAATGTAACATGTTAGGGGCTGTGTCAGCAATTTTTGGGTAAGATTTGCCCTCTGAACATCCAACTCCCTGTTTTGATGTCAGATAAATCTGCTGGATTAGTATATTTGAAGACACAATGATACATAAAAATGTGACTTAACTTGTCTGTTTTTGGAAGTTGTAGGCTCTTGAGAAACTGGGTGGGTGCCCTGTGATGCTAATTATTATGAGAATTAAAGCCACAAAGTTTCTGTTGTGATTAGTAGTTTTCCTGTCTCCAGCTTCTGCTTTTTCTGAACAGCTCTACGTATAAACATTGATGCAATGGGAAAACAACAAAACTGAGGTGTAGAAAAGAGAGACGCAAGGGAGTAGTAAGAAACATGAAAGCCAGTTTCAGTCCAGCTGACAGAAGCTCCCCAAATGTTGGCAGATGAGGCAGAGAGAGCAAAGAGACACAGTGACACATCTGCCCCTCCTGGACATCCTGGGTCCGGGGAGTGGGGTGGGGGAGGCTGGTGGGAGCATGAGGAACAGCAGGCCTAGTGGCTGGGGAAGGGGAGGTGGGTGGGGCTGGGGTGCACTGGGGAGAGGATGAGGGAATCAGAGGGATGACTAGAGTTTCAGGCTCCAGCCTCAGATGGGTGGGCTCTGCTGATAACAAACAGAGGCCCAAGGAAAGCGACTAAGCCAGGCCTGGTAGTCCAGAGGGCACAGAGGCAACCCAGGGTGTAGTGGGGAGCCCCTCCAGGGCCAGGCGAAGTCTTGCTCAGCATGAGGTCTGCAGCTGCAAACACAAAGTAGGACTCACACTTAGCAGGGCCTCCATATGCGGCAGCAGAATGCACAAATGGATTTGAGTTGTTCTGAACATTAGAGAAGCCCAGTGGGGAAAGGAATGCAGGGTCTGGGTCAGGTGCGGTGGCTCACGCCTGTAATCCCAGAGCTTTGGGAGGCTGAGGTGGGTGGACCACCTGAGGTCAGGAGAGGAGCGCCGTGTACCATCAAGACAGCCCTGGCAAATGCTTTTTCACAGTGGTCACAAAGAACCCCAGCAAGGAAGATGTGGCTGTGTGCTGGTGTGCAAAGAGAGATGTTTTTATGCACCCAGGGGACATGGGATGATTGCTGTTTTGTCACATGGGAGTGTCCTGTAACCCCCACCCTCCTTCCCAAAGAGCACAGACTGTGTCTGACAGCTGGTATGTGTGTGCACGTGCGCACATGTGTGCTTGCACACCTTCTGCAGGCTCCTCCTCTGTTCTAGCATCAGAGTCATATCTCTCTCATCTGTTTCTTTTTTCTTTTTCTTTTTTTTGAGTTGGAGTTTTGCTCTTGTCACCCAGGCTGGAGTGCAATGGCACGATCTTGGCTCACTGCAACTTCCTCCTCTCGGGTTCAAGGGATTCTCCTGCCTCAGCCTCCCAAGTAGCTGGGATTACAGGTACCCACCACCAATGCCCAGCTAACTTTTGTATTTTTAGTAGAGACAGGGTTTCACCATGTTGACCAGGCTGGTCTCCAACTCTTGGCCTCATGTGATCCACCCGCCTTGGCCTCCCAAAGTGCTGGGATTACAGGTGTGAGCCACCGCGCCCTGCCAGGGTGGGGGGTCCTAGCTAGGAATACATAGAAAGACTCTGGAGATTCTTTTAATAGGATATGCGAAACTCAGTGTATGTGTGTGTTTTCCTAGGGCATGGGTGTATAGCTTTTGTTACAATCTCAAGTGTATCTGTGACCTCAGCTCCCCGAAGTTAAGAACACAGGGGACTCTCTCTCGCCTTGAATCCTCCAGAATTCGCTCACCAGCCCTGTCTGGTGTGGATATGAAGGTGAAGGAGAGGCCTCGGAGGCTTAGGGCGGGACCCATGGGCTCCTAACAGTGGCATTGCTCATCTCTAATGTTCCAGGTCTTTTCTGGAGAGCCCTCTCTCCTATTCTAGGCTCTGCTTAGCACCGTCAACGTTGCATCCCTTAGTAGCCTGAAATAAAGGGGAGAGAAGCAAATGAAAAAGGAGACCCATGGGGAAGTTATTTGCACAGACGAAGGCAAGTGAGTCAGCTGTGCAGGGTGGGTCTCGGAGGAAGATGCAGGAGTCATGGGCGTGGTGAGGTGGGGGGCACTGGGGCTCGAAGCCCAGCAGTCGCTCACTTTGGGGCTTTTGTCCCTCTGCATAGGTGCTTCTAACGCTGCCAGCTCCTGATGCCAGCACTCCTTTCTCAGCCTGCTCTCTGCTCAAATTGAGTATTAAAAAAAGAAATAAAAGCCACAAATGGGCTGATGTGAGCAGATGGTTTCGGTCATAACCACAAAAACCTTCTTGTTTCCCGTTCCTGATCGACACTGCTCTTGCATAACGCCAAGTCCATGACACTGATGAAGAAAATGCTGGCATTATCTGCCTGTTCCAGGGATGATGGACTGAAAGTTTGTGTCCCCCTTCTTCCCCCACCAAAGATTCATATGTTGAAATCCTGACCATGAAGCTGATGGTATTGGGGGTTTGGGAAGCGATTAGGTCTTGAAACTGGAGCCCTCATAAATGGGATGAGTGCCCTCATAAAAGAGACTCCAGAGAGCTTTGTAGACCTCCCTCTCTGCCATGTGAAGATGGAAAGAGAAGGCAGTCATCTGCAACCCAGAAGAGGCCTTCGCCAGAGCCTGACCAGGCTGACACCCTGATCTTGGATGTCCAGCATCTATAACTGTAAGAAATAAATGACTGCTTAAGCTGCCCACTTTGTAGTATTTCAGTTACAGCAGGCTGAATGGAGCAAGACATAGGGTTGGCCACTGCAGGGCCCCCTCTTTTTTTCTGGACCAGAACGTGCTCGATGGAGTTTCTGGGCACCAAGAGACAGAGGGTGGTGGGAGAGTTCCCTTGTTCTTTATTCTGGATTGAAGTAAAATGCTCACACATAATTGATGTCATGAATTTTTTTTTTAAGTCGGCGTCTCAGTCTGTCACCCAGACTGGAGTATGGTAGCGTGTTCTCGGCTCACTGCAACCTCCACCTCCCGGGTTTAAGGACTCTTATGCCTCAGCCTTCCGAGTAGCTGGGATTACAGGCACGTGCTACCACGCCCTACTAATTTTGTATTTTTAGTAGAGATGGGGTTTCACCATGTTGGCCAGGCTGGTCTCAAACTCCTGACTTCAGGTGATCCAACTGCCTTGGCCTCCCAAAGTGCTGGGATTACAGGCGTGAGCCACCTCACTCGGCCCATGTCGTGACTTTTAGTATTTTTTGACCATGACTCACAGTGAGAAAGTTAGTTACTTGGCAATACTTGTATACGCATACAGAAAAAAAAAATAAAATCTCAGTGTTTATCATTATAACCTGAGATGTGCTCTGATTGATCCTGACATACCCTGTTACAGACCAAAACATGACTGAGGCAGGTCTCAGTGCATTAGAGGTTTGTTTAGCCAAGGTTGTCCAGGAAAAAAAAAACAAAACAAAACAGATCACAGATGCATTTTCCAAAGGAGGTTTTAGGAACTTTTTTTTTGTTTTTTGAGACGGAGTCCTGCTCTGTCACCCAGGCTGGAATGCAATGGCATGATCTCGGCTCACTGCAACCTCCGCCTCCCGGGTTCAAGCCATTCTCTTGCCTCAGTTTCCCGAGTAGCTGGGATTACAGGCACATACCACCATGCCCGGCTAATGTTTTTGTATTTTCAGTTGAGATGGGGTTTCACCATGTTGGCCAGGCTGGTCTGAAACTCCTGACCTCAGGTGATCTGCCCGCCTCAGCCTCCCAAGGTGCTGGGATTACAAGTGTGAGCCACTGTGCCCGACCGGGAACTTCAGTCTTTGAAGGAGGAAGAGAAAGCAGGAGGGAAAAAAGGGAGGGAGGGGAGGCAGGGAAGCAAATGGTTACATTCCCGTGAGGCTCTGATTAGCTTTGGTAAAACTACATTTTACACCTGGAAAGAGGAAGTGGAGGGAAAAGTCAATGATGTCTTGTGTGCAGCTCAGTTAATCTGCATTTGACTTAAGATAAAGTAAACATGTGAAGAGCGGGAGTACAGGGTTGTGCCATTGCAGCCATCTGTTTGGGAACAAGAGGAAGACAGCATTGGTGACCCAGTTCCTAAGCTTCTCTTCCCCTTTGGCATAGTGAGTTTGGGAATCTGAGATTCCATTGGTCTCTCACACTACTTGTAAGAAAAAAATCTGCTTAAGACCCACAACCAGGTTGCAACCCTCAGTTTGGACAACACTAGTCTCATCGTTTTTGCTTCCTGCCAGAAAGAGCAAATCTTCTGTGATAACAGTGTCTGGAGCCCCAGAACGGGTCACGCTCCCCTGGTAGCTGAGAAGGGGACAGGAATGACAGAGGATTTCTGCCTTCAGCCTGTCTCAGAGCCTTGATCCAGCAGGGGAAAGGAGCATTCTGACCTTTCTCCTTTTTTTTATATTAATCATTTTTTTTTCTGGTGTAGGGAATCATAGGACTCAAATGCAACTTCCACCCATGGGGAGGTCTAATGATAACGTTGGTCTCATCTCACAAGGAGGCAAGTTTCTCTCATCTAATTGTGGAGGAAGGGCTGTCCAACAAAAGCAAGTCAGAAGGAATTCCTAATCGAGGGACGTTATGCTGGGGCCTGTACGGGTACTTCCTCTCTCTCGGCACAGACTGTGGTCTCTCACAGGACACTTGAGGTGACCTAGTTCTTCCCTGCTTCAGACCAGTGGCTGCCAGTTTGAGCGCGGTGGCTCAGGCCTATAATCTCAGCACTTTGGGAGGCCGAGGCAGGCGGATCACCTGAGGTCGGGAGTTCAAGACCAGCCTGGCCAATATGGTAAAACCCCGACTCTACTAAAAATCCAAAAAAAAAAAAAAAAACTAGCTGGGCATGGTGGTGGGTGCCTGTAATCCCAGCTACTCGGGAGGCTGAGGCAGGATAATCGCTTGAACCTGGGAGGCTGAGGTTGCGGTGAGCAGAGATTGCACCACTGCACTTCAGCCTGGGTGACAGAGCGAGACCCCATCTAAAAAAAATCCAACAACAACAACAAAAAAGACCAGTGGCTGCCACCCAAGTCCTGTCTGTGTTTGGAGAAGGTATTACTCCATTTGGCTGTAGTTGGCAGGTCAGGCCTTGCTTGGGATTTTCCAATCGTCCCTATCCCTTGGCCTCATTGGAAGCACCACATCTGCTGTCACTTACACACTCCCCCATTGATGGCATGCAGTGATTTAGTTTTCCTGTGCTTATTTCCTGAGAGCGAGGCAGCGGGGGTGAGGGTGGGTGTCTCAGATTTCTTTGAATAATGTGAGGTGTTGTGTAAGAAACGCAGCCACATATACACGGATTTTATTTTATTTTCTTTTAGACAAAGTCTCACTCTGTCGACCAGGCTGGAGTGCAGTGGCGGGATCTCACCTCACTGCAACCTCTGCCTCAGCCTCGTGAGTAGCTGGGATTACAGGCGCATACCACCACACCTGGCTAATTTTTGTATTTTTTTTTTTTTTTTTAGTACAGACGGGGTTTTGCCATGTTGGCCAGGCTGGTCTCAAATTCCTGACCTCAAGTGATCTGCCTGCCTTGGCCTCCCAAAGTGCTGGGATTACAGGAGTAAGCCACTGCACCCAGCCACCAATATCCAGACAAGGATATTGGTGAGTACAATAACCTGGTTTCCTGGTGGAAATGTAGAGGGGACCATGGGAATATACAGAAGGGTGGCGTAGCCCAGCGTTGAGACGGGCTTGCAAGTGGGGCTTCATGGACCCCAGTGGGTGAGGATGTGAATTCCGGCTTCTACTGGGCCTCCATTGATGTGCCCCTGGCCAAGAGGGGTCAAAAGACCTACAGGAAGAAGCTGAGGCACAAAATACAATTTTAAAGAGTTAATTTCAGTTGAAGTGAGGACAGCTGTCGGAGACGCACTTCCAAGTTGCCTTTGGGAGTGGTCTGCTTGGCTTTTGTTACAAGCAGGTTTTTTTTTTTTTTTTGGAGACAGAATCTTGCTCTATCGCCCAGGCTGGAGTACAGTGGTGTGGACTCGGCTCACCGCAACCTCTGCCTCCCAGATTCAAGTGATTCTCCTGCTTCAGTCTCCTGAGTAGCTGGGATTACAGGTGTGCACCACCACGCCCAGCTAATTATTGTATTTTTGGTAGAGACAGGGTTTCACCATGATGGGCAGGCTGGTATTGAATTCCTGCCCTCAAATTATTACCCACCTCAGCCTCCCAAAGTGCTGGGATTCCAGGCGTAAGCCACCGCTCCTGGCCTACAAGCAAGTTTTGAAAGGCAAAAGGAAGCAAGGAGGGGGCTGACAGTCTGGAGTTGTCTGATGTGAATTCTTACTAGTTCACAGAAATCACATCGGTCGGTGACTGGCAGTGCATTGTTGAGCTCAGGTGTGAGTTATGGCGTCCAGTGCGTGGTGTTTACGGTGTTCATGGCTATGTGGTGTCCGTTCGTCTAGGGCCTGCATCGCAGGTGGCTTCCAGAGACAATTATTTCGCTCAAGTGGGGAGTGAGACGTGACTGCTGTCACATCTGAATGCCTCTCTGAGTCTGCCCATTTAAAAGGGCTCGCATTCCTCAGATAAAAAGTCCCTTTTCTTTCTCACTACTCCCCATGTGGCCTGGTTGAGGCCACCCCCGCGGGAGGGAGTTGGGCTTCTCACTGCTGAGTGGGGGTGGAAGTCCAGGTTCCCTACCCAGCCTTCCCTGACAGCACCTGGCAGGGGGATTGGGTGCCTGGTTACAGCTGGGTGGAGGTGGATGTCTAAGCTCCCACTCTGCCTTTGCTGGCCTGGGCGGTGGGGCCATCATTTTTTCTGGGGTGTTCTGTAGGGTAGAGGAGTCATTGTCTAAGTTCTTCTCTATTGCTGGGTTGCTCGTTCCCTGTTTTTTTTTTTTTTTTCTAGAGAGAGAGGGACAGCTTTTGTTGTTGTTTTTCTGTGCCTGTTATTGTTTCTGCATTGGTGGCCTCTCCATCAGGGCTGTCTCCAAGTCTGGGATACATAAAGGAAAGAGAAAACCCAGATAACTCATTGCTACATTGTTCCGTGGACCCTACTGTCTGTCCACCTTTCAGTCCCTTCTCATGCTTGTTTTATTTTTATTTTTTATTTTTCGAGATGGAGTCTTGCTCCATCACCCAGGCTGGAATGCAATGGTGAGATCTTGGCTCACTGCAACCTCCACCTCCCAGGTTCAAGCAATTCTCCTGCCTCAGCCTCCCAAATAGCTGGGATTACAGGTGCCCGCCACTATGCATACCCAGCTAATTTTTTGTATTTTTAGTAGAGACAGGGTTTTGCCATGTTGACCAGGCTGGTCTCGAACTCCTGACCTCAGGTGATCCACCCGCCTCGGCCTCCCAAAGTGCTGGGATTACAGGTGTGAGCTACCATGCCTGGCCCTCATGCTTGTTTTATACCCAAGATCAGGGCTTAGTTCTACTTGGTGGGAGGGATAGGGAAAAGTCTGTCTACTTCATCTTCGTGGAAACGTTAAGTGCATGGGATGGTTTTAAGGGCCAGGCATACAAGGGCTCACATTGTTTCTGTGACGTCCCACCAGACAGCCTCAGTGTCTGGTTCCCCTGGATGTGGTGGAAGTCTGGTACCCAACTCTGGGCCTGGCCTTAGATACCTGTGCAATTTCTTACATGCTCCATGGTGACCATAGAAACCAGCATGAAGGTGATGACGCTGATGGAAGGGCCCAGGTCCTCCAGTTGCCACCTAGAGATCTGCCTGACTTTCCTTTGTCTATGATCTGACTGAGAAATACACCTTTATTGTGTTAAGCTACTGAGATGTTAGGGTTGCTTGTCACAGCACTATCTATCCAGACCCTATATTGTTTAAGATCTCTTCTTTTTTTTTTTTTTTTTCTTAGACACAGTCTCACTCTGGGCCCAGGCTGGAGTGCAGTGGCATGATCTTGACTCACTGCAACCTCTGCCTCCTGAGTTCAAGCAATTCTCACACCTCAGTCTCCTGAGTAGCTGGGACTACAGGCCTCTGCCATCACGCCCAGCTAATTTTTTGTATTTTTGGTAGAGATGGGGTTTCATCATGTTGGCTGGGGTGATCTCGAACTCCTGACCTCAGGTGATCCACCCTCCTCGGCCTCCCAAAGTGCTGGGATTACAGGCATGAGCCACCGCGTCCGGCCGCAAAATACTTTAAGTGAAGAGCGCAGCTGGTCCTCAAAAGGAGCTATTGCAGGAAGAAGCCTGGAGTCTGAATTGGGGGTGGCTGGGAGTCCTCAGGGCCCCTTCTCCCCCACAACCGTCAGTGTTGTGTTGACAGCAAGAAGTCATTGCTGGCCACGCAGTGGAATGTGGGGAAGATGGCTCCAGCTCTTGCTGTTGAGTCAAACCGAGGATCCTGGCTTGGCCTTAATCTGGACTCAAGGGTTTAGACTGGGGACTCTCAGGAAGGCCCGAGGACTTACTGCATTTTCACCTGACCCAACACACTCATGCCAGGATCAAAGGGAGACTGCACTTCGGGAGCAGTTTGCGAAAAGCCTGCTCTGCTTCATGAAACAGGTTGTGATTGTAGGCTCTGGTCACGAAAGAACGCTCACAAGCCAAGCGTGGCCTTTTTGGAGAGAAATCTGTCAGGCTAAGTGTGTGTTTACCTTGGGACTCAGCAATCCTGCTGAGGCAGGCAGAGCCCAGAAAAACTCTCATGCAGGCCCTCAGAGGCCAGGCTAGAGCATGCTCAGTGCTGTGCTGTCTGGGGAGCAGGGAGCTGGGGGCAGCCCAGGTGTGCAACATGGGGGAGGGGCCGACAAGTAAACCCGGCACCTCCTGTAGTATACAAGCTCCAGTTCTAGTCAACAAACTCTACGGCCCCATGGTAACGTGGATGGGGCTTAAAAACCCAGTGCTGAGGCCTGGCATAATGGCTTACACCTGTAATCCCAGCACTTTGGGAAGCTGAGGCGGATGGATCACCTGAGGTCAGAAGTTTGAGACCAGCCTGACTAATATGGTGAAACCTAGTCTCTACTAAAAATACAAAAATTGACTGGGCATGGTGGTGTGCACCTGTAGTCCCAGCTACTTGGGAGGCTGAGACAGCAGAATTGCTTGAATCTGGGAGGCAGAGGCTGCAGTGAGCTGAGATCGCACCATTTCACTCCAGCCTGGGCCACAGGACGAGATAACGTCAAAAAAAAAAAAAAAAAAAAAAAAATCCAGTGCTGAGTGAAAAAGCTAAAACCAGAATGAGATCGATGGCATAAAGCTGGTTACATAAATTCTTTTTGCCCAGGCTGAAACGCAGTGGTGCAATCATGGCTCACTCCATCCTCAAACTCCTGGGCCTGAGCAATCCTTCTGCCTCAGCCTCCTGAGTAGCTGGGAACATGGGCGTGTGCCACTATGCGTGGCTAATTTTTAAATTTTTTTTGTAGAGATCGGGTCTCACTATGTTGCCCAGGCTGGTCTTGAACTCCTGGAATCAAGGGATCCTCCCTCCTCAGCCTCTGTGAGCCACTGCGCCCAGCCAGTTATGTAAACTTAAACACACTCCTACGAAGCCAGCATGTATACCTGACAATCACACAAGTGTACGGATGCCGGGGATTGGAAATGGGAAATGAGATAGAAAGGACTAAACAGAGAAATGATATGAGACAGGACTTTGCTTGGGCACATTAACTCAACCCACCGCACCTGTGGTGCCCTACACAAAGCAACAGTGAAGGCAGATTCACCCGGAAAAGAATGCTGGGAGAGGGGCGTAAGACAGAATGATGCAACCCAGGTACTGTGCCGCACAGAGGCAGCAGCTCGACTCTGCCAGAGCTGGCTTTGCAGGGAAGCTTTATCGGCATTTTGAAGGATGTGTAGGGGCTCCAGGTATCAAGGAAGGCAGGTGGGAGGCTGGAAGGGCTTTGACAAACACCATATATGCAGGCGTGCTGGCTCGAGGGAGCAGCTGCTATTTGGGAAATTAGAAATACTGTGCTTTGGAATGGCTGGAGCAAAAGTGTGAGCCGGGAGGATGGAAGGAGGCTGGGTCCTGCAGGGCTGTGTGAATCATGCTGGGGTCTGGATTTGATCACAGCTAAGAGGAGACAGTGAAGATTTTACAGCAGGAAGCCACTGAATCACATTTCAAAGCTTCCTCATTTTCTTTCAGCCATACCACCAACTTCTGCAATCTCCCCACACGAGTGCCTGGATTTCAGAATCTCTCTCAGTTTCTGTTTTTCTGGCAGTTGCTTCTTAAAGCTTGCTTGTGTTTTTTCAAGCGCTACGCTGGACCTGGGAAAATTCTCTCCTTGGTCATCGCATTCTCAAAGATTTCACTCACATTATTCTTCATCTCTAATGTTTTAGTCAAATCCCACCTATTTCTCTCATTTTTCAAAATGCAACTTTTCATCTGGTAATTTCAGTTTGTAGAACTTTATCTTGATTGTCTCTCAAGAGGGTTTTTTATTTTTATTTTATTTTATTTTATTTTATTTTATTTTATTTTATTTTATTTTATTTTATTTTATTTTTTGGCAGAGTCTCGCTGTGTCTTCCAGGCTGGAGTGCAGTGGCACGATCTCAGCTCACTAAAACCTCCATTTCCTGGATTCCAGTGATTCTCCTGCCTCAGCCTCCCAAGTAGCTGGGATGACAGGTGTGTGCCACCACACCAGGCTGATATTTTTAGTAGAGATAGGGTTTTGCCATGTTGGCCAGGCTGGTCTCGAACTCCTGGTCCCAAGCAGTCCACCCACTTTGGCCTCCCAAAGTGCTGGGATTATAGGTTTGAGCCACTGCGCCCGGCCCAATAGTTAGATAGTTTCTTTTTGTTGGATAATTACGGTCTCTTAAATTTTTTACTACTATGTGTTCACATTTTCATTTTTTTTTTCTTAGAATAGAATATGAAAAGTGGAATTACTGGGCGAAGAGAAAGCCCATTTTTAGAGTTCTTGTCACTTACTGCTAAATTGCTTTGCAGAATTAGAGCACTACATCACCTATAGACAGCATACGGATTCCACCACTCTGTTGCCTGCCTTTACTGAGCATTACCTTAGAAAACCTCTTGGCTAATCTGGAAAAATTTATAATTTTGTTGTTTTAGTATATCCATGTGGTTGATTTTCAGTGAGATTAAGTGCTTTTTCTTCTGAATGTCAGCCATCTGTATTTCTTCTTTTGAGAATTGTAGGTTGATGGTGTTTGCCAATTTTTCTTTTAGTTTGAATATTTTTCATTTTGATCTGTGTAAGCTCTTGATGTTTTTGGTAATTTTGTTTCAGTTTTTTCAGTGTTGTTGTCTTTTTTTTCCACACCCGAGTAATTTTAGTTTGTTGTAATTAACTCCATCTTTGTGCTTGGATTTCAAGTTCTGTGAGCACACAATGATGTCCTGGAGATATCTGCCCATCAACCAGGACAGGTTTTCCAGAAGATCTGCCTACTCACCTCTCAGCATACTGGAGGACTTTGATTAAACAAACGCTCCCCTTTGTCCCCAGCCCTCTCCAGCTGTTGTTTCCTCTCTCTCCACTTTCCTTCTCAGAGCCTCTTATAAAACAGTGTCTGTACTTTCTTTTTTCTTCTTTTCTTTTTTCTTTCTTTCTTTCTTTTTTTTTTTCTAATACACGGTTTCGCTCTCTAACCTGGACTGGAGTAAAGTGGCGTGATCTTGGCTCACTGCAAACCTCCACCTCCCAGGCTCGCGTGATTCTCCTCCTCAGTCTCCTGAGTAGTTGAGATTACAGGCACACGCCACTACCGCCCAGGGAATTTTTGTATTTTTAGTAGAGACGGGGTTTCGCCATGTTGGCCAGGTTGGTCTCGAACTCCTGACCTCAAGTGATCCACCCGACTTGGCCTCCCAAAGTGCTGGGATTCCAGGCATGAGCCACCGCGCCCGGCCACCATCTGCATTTTCTGACTCTGTTTCCTCATCTGTCATTTACTCTGTAGTCAAGCCCACCTGTCTTCTCTGCTCACCACTCTACAGACATGCCCTTGACGAGGGAACCAACAACCTTACTGTCAGTCAAATCCAAATGCATCTTCTCTTTCTGCATCTTACTTGACCTCAGCAGCCCTTGACTCGGCTGAGCACTTCTTCCTCCCTTCTTTCTCCTTTCTTTGCTTTCAGACTATCTCAGTCAGCTCAGGCTGCTATAACAAAGATACCACAGATTGGGTGGCTCACACAAAAGAAATTCATTTCTCCCAGTTCTGGTGGCTGGAAGTTCAAGATCAAGATGCTGGCTGAATCAGTTCCTGGTAAGGGCTGTCTTCCTGGCTTATAGATGGCTGCCTTCTTTCTTTATCTACACATGGCAGAGAAAGGGAGAGAGAAAGCAAGCTCTCCTGTATCTCTTCTATGATTCTATGATTTTTTTTAATTAAAAAAAAATTTAAGAGACAGGCTTCACTATGCTGCCTAGGCTGAAGTGTGGTGATTATTAACAGGCACTATCATAGCACACTGCAGCCTCAAACGCCTGGCCTCTAGTGATCCTCCCCGCTCAGTCTCCTGAGTAGCTGAGACTACAGGCTTGCACCACTGCACCTGGCTTGTGTCTCTTCTTATAAGGGCACTAATTTTATTCATGCGAGCCCCACCCTTATGGCCTAATCATATCCCAAAGGCCCCAACTCCAAATACCGCCACCTTGGGGATTAGGGTTTCAATGTATGAAACTGGGGGGACATAAGCATTCAGTCTACAGCCCAGACTCTCCTGGTTTTCCTCCTGCATCACTAGGTGCTCCTGATTTCACTCTCCTGACTACTACTACCTTCCTTCTTCCCCTCCCCTCCCCCTCCCCTCCCCCCTCCCCCTCCCCACCACTTCTTCTTCTCCTCGTCCTTCTTCTTCCTCCTCTTCTTCTTCTTCTTCTTCTTCTTCTTCTTCTTCTTCTTCTTCTTCCTCTTCCTCTTCCTCTCCTTCTCCTTCTTCTTCAACAGAGTCTCACTCTGTCGCTCATGCTGGAGTACAGTGGTGTGATCTTGGCTCACTGCAACCTTGGCCTCCCAGGTTCAAGCAATTCTCCTGCTTCAGCCTCCCTAGTAGCTGGGATTACAGGCGTGTGCTACCACCAGGCTAAATTTTGTATTTTTAGTAGAGATGGGGTTTCACCATGTTGGCCAGGCTGGTCTCAAACCCCTAACCTCAGGTGATCTGCCTGCCTCAGCCTCCCAAAGTGCTGGGATTATAGGTGGGAGCCACCATGCCCGGCCTTGCCTCCTCTTCTTTTGCATCTGGTGCACTCTTCTGAATGCCAGCACAGTCTCATTCTGAACGTCACCTTCTCAGAGGCTTCTCAGACCGTCCTGGGTGGTTCTTGGCCATATCACTCTGTTTAATTCTCTCAGAGCAACCATCATGACCTCTTGTGCCTTGTTTCTGCATTAATTTACTACAAGCAGCTGGGTAGTGGGAGATAAGGACACAGATCCTGGAGCCAGGCAACCTGGGCCCTCCAATCCTAGCTTCATATGAACGCCATCATAGAGTGGCTCACCACTAATGGGTCATAAGGCCTTCAGCAGGTTGATTGGCCCCTCTGTGCCTCAGTTTCCTCCTCTGAAACATGGGGATAATAGAAGTTCTACCTCACAGGGTTGTTTAAAGGATTAGAATTGCATGAGTATGTGTTTAATAATTAAGACAGTGCTAAGAAGGTTCCTGAAGGGTGCAGCCTCCTCCAGCTTATGTCCTTGAGAAACAGAAGACTTTTCCCATTCTTGGCAGAAATATACTCTGTCTTTATAAATTGATTAATTTAGGAGCATCTTTTCTATATACATTAATATAGCACATCGCTGCCCTCTTTCTTTATGAACTTCTCCCTTTTATAATCCTCTACTATTCTAATCATATCAGAAGTAACCTTAAAGCTAGTAAGAATCATCTTTTAATTTGCTCACTTCTCTTATCTATGGAGGAGGAAATTTCCTGAGCTCTGTGCAGTTCCACGGGCAGCAGCTTTAGTGACAGCCTGAAGAGCAGGAGGTGAATGTTCTGGGCTGGGGCAGTCCGGGGAGTCAAGGAAGAGAAGCACGTTGCTGTTGTTCTAGTAGTTGTTGGGGAGGTCAGCGAGAGAGAAGGGTTAGATGTTCATCAGGCTGAGTTTGAGGTGTCGGTGGAGTCAGGGTGGAGGTGTTTTGAGGGGATGGGGCACAGCAGGATTAAAGCAGGGGCAGGGAATGGAGTTGTCTTGTAGGAAATCCCATGTGTGGCTGGAGGAGCAGGTAGGAACTGCTGCTTAGAGGGCCAGGGGAAGTCCTCAGGTGAAAGCTACCTGCTTCTTCTGGGGTCCTATGGGGCTGCACTAAGTGGAAAGCAGAAGAGTGCCAACTTGTGGGGCTGCCAAATGAGGCAGATGGGGCCAGGCGGGAGCATCTGTATCTTCACCAGGGCTGAGCTAGACTCTACCTGGACCCTCCATCTGGCCTAAGATCACTCTCTAGGTTGTCTCTGCCCTGGTAAATCCTCACACCACCTAAAGTAGCTTCTGTTACCCTCAAGAAGACTAGCCCAAGAGTGCTCTGCTTTCAGGATTCTGCTTCCAATTGCCAGTGGGAACGATTGCTGGTTGCAAGTGGGGAGGGGTCCATCGTCAACGCCAGAGAATGGCAAACTCCTTTTGCCAGGGCCAGCCAGTACAGATTTTAGGTTTTTTGGGCTCTGCGGTCTCTGTCACAACTACTCAACTTGGAATTGTTCCTATAAATTTTATAAAATTAATCAGGGAAGAAGGGAAGGGGAGAAATGAAAATAAACCAAGCTTGCAGCACATTTGGCATTAATCATGAGGTCAGCCTGCTCTCTGTCCTGCTTCTTCATATTTGCTGCCTATTCCCCCAGAATCACACAGACCCGGTTGTAAGACTATAGTCCCCCTTAATTGTACCATAGGTAACATCTTAAGCATTGTGAGACATTAAGTTTTCCATTTGAGATATTTTTACCAGGTCTTGTATACCAGTGAAACTACTGATGCCAGCTGGTCTAGAGGAATCCAAGAGAAGCTGATTCACCAAAGAAGGCTGTTTCCAGATCATGATGATTTCATCCATCCTACCTTGACCAATCAATGATCCCAATTTTCCAGTTACTTGCCCTCTACAATCCCCTTAAAAGTCCCAGCCCAGAACTTCTCAGGGAGATGGATTTGAGGGTCCCTCCCAACTCCTTGCTTGGTTACCCTGTGATCATTAAACTCTTTCTCTGCTGCAAACCCTGTTGTCTTGGTGTATTGGTTTGTTCCAGTGCAATGGGCATATGAACTCGTTGGTCCTGTAACAAACTCTGCTGTTGTAGCATGAAAGCTGCCATAGATAATACATAAATGAACATGTGTAGCTGTATTCCAGTAAAACTTATTTATGTACACTGAAATTTTAGTTTCAGACAATTTTCATGTGTCATGAATTAAAAAAAAAATTCCCACCATTAATAATGTGAAAATGATCATTAGCTCATGGGGTGTATAAAAACACAAGGTGAACTGGAGGTGTGGTTTTGGTGTGTGTTCATCTCTTCCATGGCCCTACAAGTCTCATCATTTGCCAACCTGTTTTATATTGACGTCCTTGTCCACACTCCCACACGATGGGAAGTTGTACTTTGGATCTCACACCCCTGTGTAGTGCAACTTAGGTGCTTGTTCTCATGGAAGGTAACTCCTTATAACTACAGGGAGTGGAGATGCCTTGATACTCCCATGAGCCCATCAATGGGGTCTCCCCTCATCCTGTTCCATGGGCGTAATGACCATTCATGGATCCTAGCTTTTGGCAGGGGGCTCTGCTCCCACTCCCTGTCTTGTGTAGACCTGAGACATTGTCTTCTGTCCCTGAGTGGCTATTTAAACAGCAGCCCCTCTCCTCCTAAGGCCCAAATTCATTTTGACTGGTCCCCATTAGCCTCTTGGTATCAGATCCTGCTCACAGACCTGGCTTTTAGTTCCCTTTACATTTCTAATACCTGGAATTTCCTTTTATTGGATTTGACTTCAGTTTGGAACCAGATGATAGCTTCTGTGTCAACTCGGTCTTACTAGGTGGTCGGAGTTTGGATTTTCTAATTGGATTATAATGAAATGTGCCTATATTAGACATGGTGAGTTTATAGTTTTTCAACCATCAACACATGCCTTTGCTTATTCCCATTTCTTTTATTTTATAAACAACTGTAGGGATAAGATTTTCAAAAAAGGAACCAGAAGAAAACATTATAAAAGCAGAACCAAGAAGGCTGAAGATTTGTTTGGTCCTCTTGGTGGAAAGAACTGAAGCCTGCAACTGTTGTCTCTGCTGAATAAATGGCACAAGGGTTGCTATGGTTTGAATGTTCCCTCAGAAACTCGTGTTGAAACTTAACTGTCAATGTAATGGCATTGGGATGTGAGGTCTTTAAGAGGTGATTAGGCCATGAGAGCTCAGTCCTCCGAGTGGATTAATGCTGTTATCTCCGGAGTGGGTTAGTTATTGTGAGAGTGGTTTCCTGAGAGGCTGAGTTCAGTCCCCTTTTTCTCTCTGTCTAGGAGGCTTGCCTGCTGTCTTGTCTTCTGCCATGGAATGACGCTTGTCAGATGCCACTACGATGCTCTTGGACTTCTCATCTTCAGAAAGCTAGGAAGGTGAACAAATTTGTTCTTTTTTATTATTATTATTTGAGACAGAGTTTCTCTCTGTCGCCCAGGCTGAAATGCAGTGGCGTGATCTTGGCTCACTGCAACTTTCGTCTCCTGGGTTCAAGCAATTCTCCCACCTCAGCCTCCTGAGTAGCTGGGACTACAGGCTCATACCACCATGCAGGGCTAATTTCTGTATTTTTGTTAGAGACAGGGTTTTGCTATGTTGGCCAGGCTGGTCTGAAACTCCTGACCTCAAGTGATCTACGTGCCTCGGCCTCCCAAAGTGCTAGGATTACAGGCATGAGCCACTGCACCTGCCAACTTTTGTTCTTTATAAATTAGCTAGCCTGTAGTATTCTGTTATAGTAGAAGAAAATGGACTAAGACACAATGTTGTGGCTACTGTCAGCTCTGCTCATTCTGGATCCCTCAAGTGTGTGGCTCATGTCACACATGGGACCAGGGTCCTGGTGTTTTATTGTTCCATCCAGGGCTCTATTCTATATATAATCTATCTATCTTTCTTTCTTTCTTTTTCTTTCTTTCTTTCATCTTTCTTTCTTTTTTTTTTAGATGGAGTCTCTCTCTGTTGCCAGGCTGGAGTGCAATGGTGTGATCTTGGCTCATTGCTTTGCAACCTCCACCTCCTGGGTTCAAGTGATTCTCCTGCCTTGGCCTCCCAAGTAGCTGGGATTACAGGCACGTGCCACCATGCCTGGCTATATAATACTTCATCAGATATGGTGGTACAGAAAAGATAAGAAGTTGTGCTCTTACAACAAAAGTTTGAAATATCAGATGATCCAGTAGAGTTCTAAAAGATAGTAAAGATTAGAGGCTGTGGGTATCAAAGATGGGTATCTCTGGGGAAAGAGAAGGAAAGAAATTATATTTTCAGATAGCTATGTCTTAGAGAAGAGTATCTTCTGATGTGCAAGTTGGATTAGAGAGAATGTATAGCTAGTGGAGGGACCAGATGAGAAGCTATTTCAATGGTCCAGGACTATTCTAAAGGTATTTAATATTAACTGGGCAGTTACTATGTTCCAGGCACTGTATCAAGCACTTTACTTACATTAACTCATTTATTTCCTGTGGCAACCCTTTGAGAAAGAATTGTCATGAGTACTCTATTTTACAGATGAGGAGACTGAGGAGGAGAGTGATTTGGCAACATGCCCAAGGTCAGATGATTAATAAATGATGGAGATGAGATTTGAGTTTGTGTGACTTCAGAATCTATGCTGTTGACCATGACCCATATACTGAACTAGGTTAACAGTGTATAACCAGGTGGAGCTTCCCTATAGGAAGTTAGAAAGTAGGATCTGGAGCCCAGGAGAGATATTGGGATATTGGGTTAGAGGAAGAGGTGTGAAGTCATCCGCATGGAGATAACGGTTGAGAAAGACATGGGGAGTGATCACCACAGCTCCTTAAGTAGAGGGTGTTTTATGATTCAAAAGTAGGCAGCCATAGAGAAGGGAAGCTCCTTAGATCGATGAAGTAATCCCAGATAGGAAGAAGAGTGAAAGAGGCAGGGAACAGAGTTTTCTCTGTTGGAGAGGTTTCGTAAACTGGGACTGACTTTCATGAAATTCCGAGTCATGAAATCTCAGGGGGTGACTCAAACATTACGTTCACATTAAATGAAGGCCAACAGATTTTCCTGTTTGTGCTTGGTCCATTCTCAGAAACGTCTCTTGCCACCCTTTCTCTTCTGCTAAGTAAGGCTTAAAATTAGGAAGCATTCTTTAAAAGGCAAAAGAGGAAATAGATGAGTGAGAACACAAAGGAAACTTGGACAAGTAGAAAGTGGATGACCCAGGCTCCGTTACATATACTTGGATTCCAGCTGGGACCTAGATTTGCTGAGGACGGAAGCCAAGGAGACAGGAACATGTGGCTGCTCCCAGCTCTACTCCTTCTCTGCCTCTCAGGTGAGTGGGGCTGTGGCTTTGGGGACTTGGTTTTGCAGGGGGCAGGACAGTAGGTAGAAGAGCTGTCCTGGGTTCAAACCAGAGGTGAAGTGTCCACAGAAAAGGGAAAGATACATCCGTTCATTCACCTGTGCATCCTTCTATACATTCAATCATTCATCCACGGATCCTACAAACACTTACTGAGCACCAGATATGTGCCAGGACTGTTCTGGGTGCTGTAATTAAGAGTAACTTCTGAACTGAGGGAGTCAACTAACTACAATACAATGTGGAAATTACTGTTGTAGAGACTCATTCATGTGGTGATGAGAGTATGCAACAGGAACCCCTCACTTTGCTCTTGGAAGGGTGGGAGATGTCACTGAGGCTTCATTGGAAGTCCATCCTGCAGGATGAATGAGTTGGCTGAGTGGGAAAGGAATAGCTTATGTGCAAGTGTGAGGACATTAAAGACCATGGAGAGTTCAAGAATTAACAATAGTTCTGTTTTGACGAAGCTTAGTGTAAAGGGGTTGGAATGGTTTGTGAGAAATAATTAATGGGCTGGGCGTGGTGGCTCACGCCTGTAATCCCATCACTTTGGGAGGCCAAGGTGGGTGGATCACCTGAGGTCAGGAGTTTGAGACCAGCCTGGCCAACATGGTGAAACCCTGTCTCTACTAAAAATACAAAAATTAGCTGGGCGTGGTGATGCATGCCTGTAGTCCCAGCTACTAGGGAGGCTGAGGCAGGAGGATCGCTTGAACTTGGGAGGCGGAGGTTGCAGTGAGCCGAGATTGCACCACTGCAGCAGTCTGGCCTGGGTGATAGAGTTGAGATCCTGTCTGAAAAAAAAAAATGCCATCCTCAACATCTACCTTAAATCCTTCCCGGAACAAGGTGTGGTGTAAACAAGTAAATGAAACTGTCCTGCAAAGGTTGGACTTCAGAAGAGAAACTCTTATTAATAGACATTCAAAATACAAAACTGCAGGAAAACACATTTGTCTCTGGGGAAATAAATTTAGGCTAAAAATTAGAGGACATTCTTCATGTTTGCAGAATGAATTTTATGGTTGAGTTCCCTCACAAAACATAGAAATTGCCCAATGTAATGACAAGATTCTTTCTAGAAGGGTGAGTGAAAATGACAGCGATTTAAAGGAAGAAGACCAGGTAGGTGACATGGACCCAAACTCGTGGGCTCAAGCAATCCTCCTCTCTTGACCTCCCAAAGCACTGGGATTACAGGCATGAGCCACTGCACTCAACCAATGTTTGCTCATTTTGTATTTGAATTTGCTTCCTTTTTCTTTGCCCTTTCCATCTCTCTTTCCACCCCTATCTCATTCCCCATCCTCAGACTCGCAATGTGACCTGCGCAGGTCCCTCTGAAAATCTTAACTGGGAAAGAGAGATGGAAAGGGCAATTCTAGCAGGGAGGGGAAATGACAAAGAGGAAGGAAGCAAATTCAAATACAAAATAAGCAAACGTTGGTTGAGTGAGGTGGCTCACACCTGTAATCCCAGTGCTTTGGGAGGTCAAAGCAGGAGGAATGCTTCAGCCCAGGAGTTTGAGATCAGCCTGGGCAACATAGCAAGACCCCATTTCTACAAAAAAAGAAAAGTAAAAAATTTAAAAAGAGCAAAACTAGAATTCTATTTATTACACATTTTTATAACCTATAAACACTTCCAAATAGATGATAGAATTTAACCCTCTGAGCAGTTTTGTGACCCAGGCAGGGCAAATAGCATTGACTCCACTTTATAAATAAGATGATGAAGGGAGATCTGATGACATAAGAACTAAGTAGACAAGCTGGAAATGAAGTCCAGATCTGTGTCCTCCACAGAGCTCTTTCCATTGGCCATGGAGGTGTCAAGAATAAGGCTAACCTAGTAATAGTGACAAAATAGCTGACCTCTCTGCCACATCATCTGGTATTTCCATTCTGAACTGATTGCTGTCCAATATTTAGTAGCTCCCATTAACCTCAAGCAACCAGCAAGCACATGTTTCAACAAATGCACCGACGCATTTATATAATTCCATCAATTATTTCCAGGAACATGCTGGATTTCCTTGAGAAATGCTAATCTTGCATTCAGGTAACACTCTAGCAGGACAGAGGAAAGTATCTTGGAATTAGCATAACCTTCTTTTTCCTTAACTTCAGGTGCCCAGAATTAGATCATGGGTCATGGAACACTCTCTCATCACTGGTCCATTCAAGACCCTCTTTTATTTTAATTATATGTAACTTAACAAACATCTGTGAGCTCACTGGCCAATCCATGAACTAGAATGTTATCAACAGCATGGATCTACCCACTCCTTCCCAATCCAGTCCTGGTTCTTCTTTCAAACAACAGTAATTTGGTGTCATCTGCCAATACTTTGCATGAAAATTTGCTTTTGTTATATTTTTACATTAAGTAGAAAATTGGGCTAAGCAACCATAAGCCATGCTCTACATCTGAGGGTCTGTGATTTAATCAGCCACACCCCTTATCTCATCTTTTTCTTTCCTCTTCTTCTTCTTCTTTTTTTTTCGAGAGGGAGTCTGGCTCTGTCACCCAGGCTGGAGTGCAGTGGGGTGATCTTGGCTCACTGCAACCTCCGCCAATCAGGTTCAAGCAATTCTCGTGCCTCGGCCTCCCGAGTAGCTGGGGTTACAGGCGTATGCCACCACACCTGGCTAATTTTTGTATTTTTAGTAGAGACAAGATTTCACCATGTTAGCCAGGCTGGTCTCACCTCCAGTGATCCGCTCACCTTGGCCTTTATCTTTTTCTTTAAGCTCACCTATCCAGGCTCTCCCCTCTGCAAGTTGCCTTGCTTTACCTCCATTTTGGAGGTGGCTTTGCTTACTGGGCTTTAGATAGTACTCTTATCCACACTGCTGCCCTACCTCTGAAATATAAGTCTTTACAAGTGACTTCCTTTTTTTTTTTTGGCCGGAGTCTCGCTTTGTTGCCAGGCTGGAGTGCAATGGCACGATCTTGGCTCACTGAAACCTCTGCCTCCCAGGTTCAAGTGATTCTCCTGCCTCAGCCTCCTGAGTAGCTGGGACTACAGGTGCACACCACCATGCTCGGCTAATTTTTGTATTATGATTATTATTTTTAAATGGAGTCTCTCTCTGTTGCCCAGCCTAGAGTGCATGGCGTGATCTAGGTTCACTGCAACCTCCGCCTCCCAGGTCCAAGTGATTCTCACCTTCAGCCTCCCAAGCAGCTGGGATTATAGGCCCCCGCCACTATGCCTGGCTAATTTTTGTATTTTTAATATAGACGGGGTTTCACCATGCTAGCCAGGCTGGTTTCGAACTCCTGACCTCTGGTGATCCGCCCGCCTCGGCCTCCCAAAGTGCTGGGATTACAGGCTTGAGGCACCACACCCGGCCAATTTTTGTATTTTTAGTAGAGACAGGATTTCACCATGTTGGCCAGGAAGGTCTCGATCTCTTGACCTTGTGATCCGCCTGCCTCGGCCTCCCAAAGTGCTGGGATTACAGGCGTGGGCCACTGCGCCCAGCTGTGATTTCCACATTTTAAGAACCATCTTCTGTCTTTTCAGAAGATTAATTTGAATTGGTTTCATTTCAATGAGAAGGTTGCCTACTGGAGAGAATAGCCATCATGAATGCAGAAGGCCCTTTCTTTTCTAGGGTGACCTTCCAGATTTGCTAGGTTTGGGGTTCCCAATAGCACTTTTAGGCTTTTCAGGATGAGATTCTGCCTCTTCAAAGGGACTGATGTTTGCTTGGCTTAGAATGGCTTGAAAAGTTGTAAAGTTTGTGAACCAGAAAGACCCCCCAAACCTGGAGATTTACCCAATAGAGACCTGGGGAAGGAAACAGCTCAGTCCAGAGGGAGCTAAAAGTAAGTGGCTCTGGGCTCTGGAAGGGACAAAATGGTCCCATGGTTTCCTCCCTCAGCTGTGCTCTCCCCAGTGTGTGTGTGTGTGTATGTGTGTGTGTGTGTGATTGAGAGGAGGAGTGAAACATTTGCTTCCTAGCAGGGCTGAAGGAGCCCAGGTTGTAATCAGGAGAGTGGAGGACAGATTCCAGAGGAGAAAGCCTCTTTCCAGAGGCCAGGGGCAGAAGGCCAGGCCAGCTCTTACGCAATTGAGGAATTAAAGACTTTTTGGGCTGGAAGGAGCCTGGAAAGCTCTCTTGAGTCTGACTTCCTATCTGCTGCTGGCATCTTCTTGATTGGAGTGGCAGGAATTCTAGGACACATTCAGCTCTGAAGGGACTGGCTCTGATCCTAGCAGAAGAAGAACAACCCCAAGCTCTCCAGCAAGGATCCCTTTAGGAAGCAGCACAAGCAGGCCCCGGCTCCATCACCAGACTCTTGGCTGTGACAAGCCCTTTGTACCCTGCCAAGCTCCCACTGTGGGAAATGCAGTCCTGAGCTCTGTCCAGAACCTAGAAGGAGGTGCTGCTGGGATGTGCCACCTCCAGGAGGAAGCTGGGGGCAGGTGGAAGGGAGGAGGTGAGGACCAGCTCTCAAATCTCAGGAGGGGTGTGCAGCTGCGGGGCAACAGGTTCTTGGGGGAGAACGTAGGTGGGGAGCAGGGATTTGGGAATGGGAAGATTCCTGAGGGCACAGCATCCAGAGCGAGGAAGGTTCTTACGAGAATTAGGACAGCAGAGAAATGGGGAGTGCTCAGAAGGTGCGGGGTCAGGAGCCACTTTGCTGTGGTCAAGGGAGCACAGAGCGGGAAAACACAGGTTTGGAGCAGGGTTTGGGGTAGGGGCTGGGAAGGGGTCAGGGTGGGGGTGACAGGTGCTACTGAGTGTGGAAGGGACCAGGAGGGTGGGAAGAGATAGTGACAGTGAGATTGTCTCAGGCCAAGCATGGTTGGTGGGGTGAGGAAGGTGTGCGTGGTGGCAGCTCACACATCTGCCAAGGCATATGACAGACAGAGCCAGCTGCAGACAGAGTGGGGAGGAAAGGCAGATGGTGGGAGGAGGGGAGGGAAATGAATGAAAGCCAGAAGTCAGGGGCTCCTCCATCCTCAATCACCTCAGATCTAGATGTAGTTAGCTCAGGAGCCCAGATAGTCATAGGACCCACAGATGCCAGGGGCTCTTTCACAATTTCTGCTCATTCTAACGGCTTAAGCTTCCGTGGCCCCTGCGCGTATTCATCCTCTTATTGTGAACTCAGGTTACTCTGAGGGGGTGCAAAGCTCAGCCTCATCACTGTTTCTCTTTCTCTCCCTCTCTCTCACACCCACACACACGTGCACATGCACATACACTCAAGTTCAAACAAAGCCTCTTGTCAGTTTTTCAGCACTTGCTTAAGATATTGGGGGGCTCTGCTGAGCATCACATCCCATAATGCCTGAACTTCTGCCTACCTACAGCCTTTCTTGTCCCTTCTCTTTGCTTCCGTATCAACTTCTCACACTTTGCCTCCCAGATTCTAAACCCCACTTTCCTCCCAGGACCCAAATCACCTCACTTGGTTACAGAGAGCAGCTTCCCTCTTTCCTCTGAATGCATGGTGACCTCTGACTCCCAAGACCTGGGGACTATTGTCGGGGGGGTCATCTTGTGTCCCAAATTCAGGTAAAGAAGCTTATCAGGGCTTCCTTTGGGGACAACCCCTCTTCCCAGTGCCATGTTGATTCTTTCTGGAGAGTGGTTAAGATCAGAGCCGGAGAGTATTTTTCCTCCCACAAGAACACTCTGAAAGTGGAGGAAACCGCAAGTTGTGCTTTTAAAGAATAAGCCTGAGATTCAGAAGACCCCAGAATATATGGGTCTCACTCCAAAGGGAAGTGATCTTGTATATGACCAAATCTCATGCCTGGCAGAGGCTGCAGGGCCCAGGACGAGGTGGGATGACCAGCTCCTCTCTGCTCCTGCCTCCAGCTTTGGTCTCCAGGTGCTGGGGCCCCTGTGCTGTGACTTGGTGTCCCTGCTCTCACAGGGGACAGGTTTCTGCTCTCACAGGGACTCTTTGGCTTAGGTCCTAAGCTCAAGTATTCCTCCAGGTTCCCCTCCCAGGAAACACCCAGGTCTCCCTGGCAATCTTCCCCTTAAGCTTCAGACAGACGGCTGCTGATGGGGCCATCTGGATGGAGACTTGGGACTCGGGCTTGTGTTTTCCAGGCTGTTTGTCTCTGAAGGGCCCCGGCTCTGTGACTGGCACTGCGGGGGACTCTCTGACAGTGTGGTGTCAGTATGAGAGCATGTACAAGGGATATAACAAGTACTGGTGCCGAGGACAGTACGACACGTCATGTGAGAGCATTGTGGAGACCAAGGGAGAAGAGAAGGTGGAGAGGAATGGCCGCGTGTCCATCAGAGACCACCCGGAGGCTCTCGCCTTCACTGTGACCATGCAGAACCTCAATGAAGATGATGCTGGATCTTACTGGTGCAAAATTCAGACAGTGTGGGTCCTGGATTCATGGTCACGCGATCCCTCGGACCTGGTTAGGGTGTATGTTTCCCCAGGTAAGAGCTCCCCTCACTTTGGCAGCAGGGTTTGGGGTGCGACTGGACAAGGGAACAAGGGTGGGCGGCACACTGAAGTGTGCGTCCAAGTCTTGTCTTGTCCTCAGTCACAGTGGTGTTGGGAGGAGCCTATGGCATGGGCATGGAGAGAGGCGGCTGATCCTTCAGCCTTGGGTGGGCTGGGGGGTGCACAGCTCAGGCGCCATCACTCCCATAGGGCCTGGGCCTCACCCCATTATCCAGCGTGGAGGAGGCCCCTTCATGCTGAGCCAAAGCTGTTTCCACCGTGCCCTTTGGGAAGCCTGTACCAAAGAAGAAACACTCCTGTACATTTGCAGCCTCCTCACAGAACATCCCCCTACCATGTTGTTTTGAAATATGTCTTGCTTGGGAAGACCTTCCTGTTTAGTAGCTTCTTGAGTGGAAGCTACTCTTTCTCTTACTCCCCCTATGCTAGAGGGCCATGGAGCCGTGTCCCAATTCTTCCTGCCCACATCACAACTTCCGCCCTATGACTTTCCACCTGCTTCCTTTAAATGCTGTGCCAGATGGCCATGCCCACCCTCTACCTGTGCTTGACAAGGCCGACCATCAGCTTCCAGGCTGCTCCCCCTCATTCAACGGAGTCCTGCCAGTGCCTCCACTCCAACCTCTGCCATTATCTTGGCAGGCTTTAATGAATAACTTGGCAATCTTGCCTTGGGTTCCTTGACATTCTCAACCTTGGTGTCCTTTATTTTCTACTCTCTTCAGAATTGCACCCCATGGAAACACCTCAGAGCTTGTCATCACCCGACCTGGTCGCTGCCCAGAGTCTTAAACTCAGACATTCTATTTTCTGACAACTTTTCATCAATCAGCTCTCCCCCATCCTCATGCCATTGTCCCTATTCTCAACCTCACAGTGACCTTCTGTCTTCTGATCCCTCCATTTCCGCCAATTTATTGCCCCCATCACTCCCGTTCTGACCTCACTTCCTTCCTAGACCACTTTGAGCCCCTGCAATAGATCACATTTTCTTTTTTCTTTTATTGAGACATGGTCTCACTCTGTTGCCCAGGCTGGAGTGCCGTGGAGCGATCTCGGCTTACTGCAACCTCCGCCTCCTGGGCTCGTGATCCTCCCACCTCAGCCCCCTGAGTAGCTGGTACTTCAGGTGTGCACTACCATGCCTGGCTAATTTTGTATTTTTTAGTAGAGACAGCATCTTCCCGCGTTGCCCAGACAGGTCTCAAACTCCTGACCTCAAGTCATCCACCCGCTTTGGCCTCCCAAGGTGCTGGGACTATAGGAGTGAGACACCATGCCCAGCCTGACATTTTCTTCTCTTAGCAGCACTCATAACTCCCATATTCCATTTCCTTATCTACCTGACAAAACCCTCATCCCTGGATCAATCCTAAAATAAAGGTCACTAATCATCCCAGTTTGCCCAGGACTAAGGGGTTTCCCAAATGTGGGATTTTCAGTGCTAAGGCTAGAAAAGTCCTGGGAAAGTTGGTCGCCCTGTCTAAAATCCACCTGCTCTAGCGCTGCTGGGGAAAAAAAGTGAGAAAATGGTGCCTGTGGCTGCCAGTAGAAGTTAAGAGTTTCCAACATTACTCTCCCATACATCTACCTTCCTGAGAACACACAGGACATCAGTTTCTTTCCTTCTCCACTTGCAAACTTTCATGCAATCTACACTCATTCTTCCCCTTTCCCTTTCGGGTTGAGGACAGGCTTCCCCATCCTGCCCAAGGGTGATCCTCCTGGGGCTGGCTCCTTGTCCTGTGGTTTTCTGCCTCCCCATCCCTCTTGAACCAAATTCCCCTGCCCCCTGCCCCTTAGCTATCCACACCATCTCCTGTCCTCAGACTCACACTCTATCATGTCTCTCACTTCCCAAAAGCATCCCATGGTCCGGCATTCGCCTCTGCTAGGTGCCGCCCATGTTTTCCTCACTGCTGGCCTGGGGGTGGATTAGGCTTCTCCCCTGTGCTCCCATTGCACCTGCTGGGGCTCCTTCCCAGGGCTGCTTCCAGCGGAAGTGAGTCCGTCTGTTTATGTGTCTCTGCCCCTCCAACGGGGTGGGGCTCATGCCACGTCCATCAACGAATCTCCAGCAACAGAGAGGTTGAACGCGGCTTATCGGATCACACTGAGCCTGTGTCGGGCACCGGTGAAGGGCTGAGCCTCCAGGACAACTGCTTTAGGGAGATCATGAGCTGGGAGTCCAGTGGCAATGAGGGAGTAGACTATGTCAATAGTCTGGTGGTCACCTGAAGTCCTTAGGAGGAGCCGAGTGTCAACCTATCCCCTCCCTAGGGGTGGCCTACAGTGGCCTTTCCACATGGGCCGGGCGCGGTGGCTCACGCCTGTAATCCCAGCACTTTGGGAGGCCAAGGAGGGCAGATCACCTGAGGCCAGGAGTTCGAGACCAGCCTGATCAACATGGAGAAACCCCATCTCAACTAAAAATACAAAATTAGCCAAACGTGGTGGCATATGCCTGTAATCCCAGCTACTTGGGTGGCTGAGGCAGGAGAATCGCTTGAACCCGGGAGGTGGAGGTTGTGGTGAGCTGAGATTGTGCCATTGCACTCCAACCAACCTGGGCAACAAGAGTGAAACTCCATCTCAAAAAAAAAAAAAAAAAAAAGAGTGTCCACATGAAGGGTGCTCAGAGCCCCCTCTCATGGTCTCTACGAGGCTTCTTGGGCCACAGGCTGAGCCATCTTCCTTTAGACTCCTCCTTCCCCTCCTCCTCCTGGAACTCCACATCTGGCTGCGGAAGCCCAGAGAGACCCCTGCCCTCACCCCAGGCAGAGTGGGATGAGGGCAGAGTGGGCAGAGTGGTAAGAGTCTTTCTCTGAGATGCAGAGAAAGACCTGGCACTTATTGGAGGGGACTCTCATGGCTGGTTCTGGTAAGGGCTCTTTTTGTCCCTGAGGGGTTTCACCCAGGAGGTGCCCTGGATCTGGCTTCAGAAGATCTTTCCAGCCTCTTCTGTGAGTGGGTGATTCTGTATGACATCCATACGGGTGTTCTGTGCATGGCTGGGAGCCCAGGCACGGCTGATGCATCATTTTCATCTCCAACAGCAATTACAACCCCAAGGAGGACCACACATCCAGCCACACCTCCCATCTTCCTGGTGGTGAACCCTGGGCGAAACCTCAGCACCGGGGAGGTGTTGACCCAAAATTCAGGGTAAGCACGCAGGGCCTGGAGGCCATGGAGGGAGCAACCCTGGGGTGGAAGCTGGGGGGTGGGGGTGGCGCACCGTGACCTGAGATCGTCACTGTCTGCTGTTTCTCTCCATCTCTGGTCCTGATTCTCATACTCTCTGAGGCTGCATGTGGATGCTGAGTGGGAAATATCACTTGTGCTGTGAACGCCTTTCCCTATGGGGCAGCTACTGGGACTCAGGTCGAAGGTTGAGTTCAGGTGGACGTGCAGCCCCTCCTCCCTTCCCCACTCCTTCCTGTCTCCTTCCCCATCCAGCTCCGGACTTGGGGTCCCAGTTCTGTGGCCCTTTTCAAAGGTCTTTGCTCAGCTGGGGATTTTGCCACCAGGAGCTGTCTGTGGGGTCTGTGGGGAGATGGGCCAGCTCCAGGCTGGGGTTTGAATCAGTTCTCTCTCCTCTCCCAAAGATATCCAGAAAGGGCTGTGATATTGCTGCTAGACCCTGAGGGGAGGGAACAAGGAGCTGGAGTGGAACAGTGAGAGTGGTGGCCGGGTGTGGTGGCTCACGCCTGCAATCCCAACAGTTTGGGAGGCCGAGGCGGTGGATCACTTGAGTCCAGGAGATTGAGACCAGCCTGGGCAACATGGTGAAACCCTGTCTCTACTACGAAATACAAAATTAGCCAGGTGTGGTGGTGCGCCTGTAGTCCCAGCTACTCAGGAGGCTGAGGTGGGAGAATCACTTGAGCCCAGGAAGTCAAGGCTGCAGTGAGCCATGATTGCACCACTGCACTCCAGCCTGGGTGACAGAGTGAGACTCTGTCTCAGAAAATAAAAAAAGCGAGAGTGGGGACTGGTTTTAAGAAGTCAGTTGATAAAGTGGAGGCTGTGAGTGGGACAGGGACAGAGAGGGTGCTGTGGAGCGCACTCCTGGAAGTGGGTCCCTCTTCTGTCTTCACTCCATCACCTCTCCTTGATGAGACCCCCCGGGCAGTCCTTGATGGAGGGAGAAGGAGGGATGGGGGCCACAGAAGGGGCTGCCCTGGCATAGGTCCTTTCCCTGGCTGCTCCTGGGTTATTTGGGCTCCAGAGTCAGAGCATGGGGAGAGGTGGGGAGAGAAGGGTCCTGGGGGTTCTCCCGGGGAAGTGACTCATTTTCACCGTGTCCACCACAGGTTCCGGCTCAGCAGCCCTCACTTCCTGCTCGTGGTCCTTCTGAAGCTGCCCCTGCTCCTGAGCATGCTGGGTGCTGTCTTCTGGGTGAACAGGCCTCAGTGGGCTCCTCCTGGAAGATAGAGCCAGGCTGACCCGAAGCCCTGCAGAGCCCCATCCCCAGGAGTGCCCCGTGCAGGGAGTCAACCTTTCAGACTGGATGCGAGAGACCTGTGGACTCTGGAGGGATTTATTGTTCCTGTGCCTCAAAGGAGGGTCCTGGCTCTTAGAGGACACTCCTCTGGAGTCCTCAATGTGCAGCTTGGGGGTCCTCCTTTCTCCTCCCCAGTCCCCTGCCTCCCTGCCCTCATGCCCACTTCCCAAGGGCAAGAATTCCCTGGAAGTTGGCCGGGCACCATAGCGAGTGCCTATAATCCCAGCTCAGGAGGCTGAGGCAGGAGGATCGGCTGAACGTAAGAGTTCCAGGCCAGCCTGGGCAACATAGAGAGCCCTGTCTCAGAGAGAGAGAGAGAGAGAGAGAGAGAGAGACAGAGAGAGAGAGAGAGAGAGAGCGAGAGAGAGAGAGAGAGAGAGAAAAGGACGGAGGAAGGGAGGGAAAAAATTTTCTGGAGGAGCCTGGCCCTTCATTCTTCTTGGCACAAATGCTTCTCAGGCCAGTTTCCCCCAGGGCAATAACTACCTCCTTCCTGCAGACAGGAGTCTCCCTGAGGACACACCCCTCACAGCCCCAGCCTTTAGGCTCACAGAGCTCCATCTCTTCTCTGGGACAACCCCAAGGGAGCTTGGTCCCGGCAGAGCTTGCTCATGCAGTTGCCCAGTGTCCCACATGCTCAGGGCTCCTCTCGTCTTCTGACGCCCCTTGGGTCTCCCTGGCTTTAAGGCCCCTTCTCTCCCTGTAACCAGGCAGTGTGTGGCTGGGCTCAGAACATCTCTGCCTGGGTGGGCCGTGGATGAGCTGCTCCAGGTTAAAGTTCTGGGGCGAGTTGAAACAGTAAAGGGAGAAGGAGCTGGTGGGTGCCCCTGATATCACTCCTGGAATTCCCCCACCTGGAGGTGTCCAATGCACAAGGTCAACAGAGTCAGTTCTGTCCACTTTAGAAGTCTGGCTGAGACCACCTGTTAGCAATTAACCTTTTCCACAGGCAGAGCAGATATCGTTTTTCAAAGACAGGATGGAGGGCACAGAGGTGAAGGATACTTGTCCACACTTGAAGTGCACAGTGCTATCACCACTACTGGTGACCCCTGGCTCGGGAATGAGCTCAGTTGGTTTTCTGAATGTTTGTCAATTACTCTGTTTCCCTAAAGTTTGTGGGGAGGACTCCCACAGTCTGCCACAAGCAAGCATCACCATCTCCACTTGCTACCTACATCTGGACCAGTGCTCCCCCTCTGCCCCCAGGCCTGAGCTCATCCTGAGCTAGTGATGCCAGTGTCCAGAGCACATGGAGTGACCCTCTGAGTGCCGAGTGCTTAGGCAGAGCTGCCGTGCTCTGAACTTGAGCTCTGGTGGGGCTCCCAGCTCCATCATGCATGGTGACTAGGGGAAAGATGGGGCTGGCCCAGGACTCATGCTGAAAGAGAAATTCAATCTAACAAGGCCCATATTAATTATATTAACCCGGGAAATATGATGATGAGCAAGAAAGGAGCTTATGATTCATTTTATGAGAAGGATAAGCTCCCAAGTCATTACAGCATAGGAAGAACTCTAGAGCCACAAGAGATGCTTCCTGATGTCAGGGGGTTGGTGAGGAGAATATCATGCCAAGCTGGCCAGGTCAGGGAAAGAAGGTGACATTCATGTTGATGTTGAAGGAGGTATAGGATTTCAGCGGAGCAGGGATGGAGCAACAGGGAGAGAGAGAGGACAGAGAAACAGCATAAGTGAAAGCAGAGAGGCGGGAAATAATCTTCATAACAATAGTCACTTATAGAAGACCTATCAGCAAATGGACTGTACTGTTCACATACAGATGCTCATGGTAGGATGTGTCTAAGATTCCAATGGAGTGAAATTTTCCTGTGGCAGGCCAGATGGAACTAATCTAGAAGAACTCAGGTGGTGGCAGGTTCAGGAGGCTTAGGACTCAACTCTTACTTAAACTTTGATTAGCTATGGTGGGATGGATTTGAGCAGAACAAGATGGGATTGCAGATGTGCTTTAGGAGGACTTGCCTAGCAGATGTAGCAAAGTCTGAAAGGAAGAATCTGGGAGTCCGGAGTCTTAAGCCTGGAAAACCAGAGGAATCGGGCATCATTGACAGAAGTAGGAAAGTCAAGAGCAGGCTTGGATGATGCAGAGCTTAGTTTTCTGTGTGTTTGGAATCATCAGGCAGAGAGGTCTAGCAGATAGCTAGAGATGTGGGTTAGCAGAGTGTTGAGGGCTGGAGAGGAATGTGTGTAGAGAGATTAACTGGAACCCAGCAAGAAGTGAAAACATGGAGGGAAGAGTTCAGAACCAAGGACAGAGCCCTCGGGGCACCTGCATTTAAAGACAAAGGGTAGGAGGAAGACATTGATCAAGGTGCTGGAGCAGAATCAAACAGGTGGAAGATGAGAAGTCAAGAGCCATGAATGTTTCAAGGAGGAGAGCAGAGCTAGAGAGGTGGAGGAGGACCGGGATTGAGAGGAGGCTATTGAACTTATCATTCACAAGGTCACTAATGAAGTTCAGAAGAGCAGATCAACAGAGCAATGACAGCAGAAGCCAGAAGAGAAGAGTTAAGAAAGAGTAGACAGATGGCAGACAGCAGGTGCAGGAGAAACAAACAGTGGCTTCTCCATGCTTTGAATTTTCCCTTCTCCCTTACTCCCTTTTTTTCCCCTATTCTTCCTTTCTTTTTTCCCTTTATTTACTCATTCATTCAATAAACTTTTATTGTGTGTCTATGGTGCATTGTTCTGGGCATTACAGATAAGGACTTAAACTATGCAGAGTCCCTACTCCTTTAGAAGGGAAGTCTAAGATGTAGACTAACAATAGCGATGCGGTGTGTTAGAATTTGTGTCAGGGTTCTGCACAGTGCTCTGTGGGGGCACAGAAGGGAGGCACTCCCATGAGGGCCAAGCGGAGAAGGAAAATTGAGGGCTTGAGTTATAAAAATAGGGCAGAAGACTGGGGGATGATTGTCCCAGACAATGGTAGGGAAGAGTCATAGAGCATGGTGGATACCAGGACCTTCAGGAGCTACGTTACCATTACCATGTGTGCAGAGTGCATGTGAGGGAGGAGTGAGATATGGGGCTGGAGCCTCAGTCTGAAAGGGCTTCATGGCAGACCAAGAAGTTTGAATTGTGTTCTGGAGGCCATAGGGAGCCCCTGGAGGTTTTAATTTTTGAAACTTTTATTTTGAAATGATTATAGGCTTAACATTGCAAATATAACATAGAGTCCTGTGAATCCTTCATCTAGTGTCTTTCAATGGTGATGTATTATATAACTGTAGGACAAGACCCAAACCAGGAAACCAGCATTGTTACAATACTGTTAGCTAGACTGCAGACTTTGTTCAGTTTTCACCGTTTTTAACATACATTGGTTTATGGATATGTTTGTGTAGAGTTCCATGCAATTTTACAGATCCAGGTAACTACCACCCCCGTCAAAATACAGAACCAATCCATCATCACAAGGATCTCCCTCATGCTGTCCCTTGTATTTGCACCCTTATCCCATTCCTGTCCCCTGGAAACCACTAATCTGTTCTCCATCTCTACAGTGTCATCCTTTTGAGGACAAATGAAATTATGCAGTATGTAATATTTTGAGATTGACTTTTTAATTCACTGAGCCTTGAGATCCATACAAGTGGTTGCACTTACCACAACCAATAGCTGATTCCTTCCTATTGCTCAGCAGGATTTCATTGCATGGGTGTAAAATAATTTGTTTAACCATTCACCCACTGAACCCAAACAAGACATGTCTGTGCAAGTAATGGCTGCTGGACTGTGACCTCTGAGTAAAGGATAGGTGTTTCAGGGCCTCATTTTTATTCTTGGGACCATATGGTGCCCCCAGCAGGCTTGGGAAGTGACCTTCTAAAGTGCACAGATGGGCCTGCAGGGATGCTGTGTGGGCCAGCTCCAGGCTGCCATTCAGAGGCAGAATCAACTCTGCTCTCTGGCCTTGTGACTGGGGACCAGGTGGCTTCACCCCTTCACGTCCCGCTATTCTTATATGTGACATGAAGGCGCTACATTATGATTCTTCCACAAGGCAGTTTAAAAACATGGCTGCAAATTTCTTGATACTCCTTCCATGAAGAGTTGTGGCTTAGGTCCCCTCCCCTTGGGTCTGGCTGGGTTGTGACTGTTTCAACTTGTGGACTAGAACAGTGTTTCTCAACATTTTTTCATTGTTATCCTAAGATAACAATGAATATCCCTAAAAAAAGAATATCCCTAAATATCTCCCCTCATGAAATGTTAATACCAAAGATGTATTGTACATCCATCCATTCACCTGTCTATCTATCTATCTATCTATCTATCTATCTATCTATCTATCTACCTACCTACCTATCTATCTATCTACCTATCTATCTATCTATCCATCCATCCATCTATATCTCTGTTTTGTATCTAGAAAGAGTAAAAATATTTTTCCACCCTGCAAGAACCAATATTTGCCCCCATGGGGAATGCAAGAGGGCCTCCGTATGGCTTCCAAGGCTAAGTCAGAAGAAACCCTGCAGCTCCCTCTTCAGTCTATTGAAACGCTTGCCCTCTGGAAGGTCTGCAGATATTCCCTTTTAGAACCCAGCTGTCACAGAGAGGCCACATGTAGGGTCTCTGGGCAACAGTCCCAGCAGAGCTGTCTTGGATCACCCCAGCCCATGCTCCAGACTCGTGGGTGAAGAAGCCTCCAGATGACAATAGCAACCAGCCTGTGTGACCATGGTTCACATTGCAACAACACAGGCTGTTCTCTTATGCTTAGCAGCATGCAGGCTGCTGGAGCCTGAGGTCTTGCCCTTTCTCAACACATGAACCATATGGACACAGGTAGTCAAGATGTGGCAAGTGGTGAGTGTTCCCGAAAACAAACTTTCCACTGTGTCAATAGCCCTCCATGCTCTGCCCTCCATGGCTCTGCCTTCCACGGTCTGCCCTCCACATTGCCCTCCACCCTCTGCCCTCCATGGCTCTGCCTTCCACACTCTGCCCTCCATGCTCTGCCCTCCATGGCTCTGCCTCCATGGCTCCTGACACTACTCTTGGCCAATCTTCAACCTCATTCAGAGAAAAGTTATAAAGCACACCAGCACCTGTTCACAGCTGATGAGATCAAGGAGAAGAAATGAACACTAGCAAATGGCAGTTGAAGAACCCGTCTCAGGAGAGGAAGTGCTCAAGGCAATAGAGGAAGAGTTCAGATGGAAAATTCCCCTCCTTCTTAGAGAAGTTAAGACAACAAGATCTCTCCAAAAAAAGGAGCTAAGAAAAGAAATATAGTAATTCAAAAAAAAGTATTTAAAGTAAAATATGGAAGAAAAAAGAGCAGGCAGAGTTCAGGAAGAATGTAAGTGGAAGAGAAAAATAATCCTAACAACTTTATTGAGGGGAAATATATACACCTTTGAAAATTAGAAAAAGAGGTGTGTTGTTATTTAATTACAAGTGAATTGAGGGGACTGACACATGAGGGCTGAGCATCCTGCATTTGTTGTTGCACAGCTCGAGAGGTGGAAAGGGCGAAGCTTGGGTTGAATCAGGAGTGGTTGGTGGTGGCTGTGCCAGTTCTGAGCCGGGTGGGGGATGGAGAGGGTCACAGGCACAAAGGGGATAGAGCCGAGCCCCTCTTGGGATGGAAAAGTCCAGACAGGCCCTGGGGCCTCTGCAACTGAACGATAGTCCAGTATCTCTGACAGGGTCATCCTGGAGCCACAAGGAAAGGAGGCCTGAGGGAGGATCCATGAAGGTGAGATGCAGATGCCTCCAAGGAATCAGTGTGCAAGGGGGATGTCCTTTCTTTTATCTGCTCCTGAGGCAGAGGTGGCAGAAGGCAGAGAGGCCCCGTCAGCATCCCTGTGCTGTGCAGAGCCAGCTGGGAGTGGGATTGCCTTCCTGAGGCCAGGATGAGGGATATTTCATCTCTGCAGGGACCCTTGTCTCCTGGGGAACTGCAATTGCTGCTTATTACCTGATAGGAGGCCAGAGGTTCTGCTTGCCCCCTCCGAGGGTGTTGATGGTGTGGGAGCTGCGGTTCCCCGGCTCAGGCTGTGACTTTATTTCCCCCTGGAGGCCCCCTTAGCACTGCTCACTTGCAGCACAGTGCAGAGCAGGCCCACGAGCAGCAGCCCCTTCAGGGAGATCGGGAGCAGGAAGTGGATGTTGCAGAGCAGGATCCTGGACAAAGGGGTCAAGATGCCAAGAGTGAGCAGCCTCTTCCCTGAGCCAACACCTGCCACCCTGGTCAGCTGCCTGGTCCCCAACCAGGGAAGCCCCATGCAAGGGGCAAAGTCATGCCACCCGGAGGCTGAGCTTCCAGTGGCCTTCCCACAGGCTCAGTCTGGGGCCCGGCCCCTTCGCTGCCCTTGGCCGTGACTGCCCAGCCTTTAACATTATTTGCCGAGATGGCGTCTCGCTATATACCCCAGGCTGATTTTGAACTACTGAGCTCAAGCCATCCTCCTGCCTTGGCCTCCCAAAGTGCTGAGATGACAGGCGTGAGCCACTGCACCCAGCCAGGCCTGCCTTTGGTCTTCTTTCCCACAGTCCCTGCTACTCACCTGTGTCCCGCCAAGCTCGAGGGTCTGCTGTGTCCTGTATTCCTGCTTCTGCTCCTCTCTCTGCCTTGTGTCTCCCTTTGTCACTTCTGCCCATCTTTCAAGCTCAAATCTAATTATTATTACCTCTTTGAAGCACAGGAAGATTCCCCCACTTCTAACAACCTGGCTATTTATCTATTTGGTTCTCCTGGGAGGGGTCTCCTCCTGCTTGGACCCACTTTATGACAGCAGATCTGAGACCTGCTGCCTCATATCACCCACATGTTTAATATTTGGTCTAGCTAAACGAGTGGGTTCTGGGGAGTCCCCATCAGCGTGTAAGAGTCTGATTCCCCAGTCTTATTCCTCATCCACTCCCCTACACCCAGTGCCAGGGCCCTTTCCCTCAGGCCATCCCTGTTCTCTCCCCGAAGCTGGCCTCCAGCCCAGGGCATGGAAGCAGTGATGAGTCATGTGAATTTAACTCAGAGTTTTCTTGAGTGAGAGCAGGCCTGCCATATTGCACATCCTAAAAATACCCTTTAAACCACTGTGTTCTTCTTGCAAGTTCCACTCCCCGTGGAGCCGCCGCACCCTTGGTCTCTTCCCGCCAAGTTTCCCCTTGTGCCTCTCCCGTCTCGCTAGAAGTCCTGGCACTGCCATCCCCACTCAGCAGAACAACCGCTCTGCAAACAGTGGAGCGAGACGAAGGCCAGGTCAGGAAGCATCCCCAGTGCCTCGCCTCTTCCGGACTCCTAGGGAACACAGGATCGGTGCTGGCAGGCTCCAGGGAACAAGACCCTTTGAAAGGAACGGAGTTGGGCTGGAGAAGGGAGCCGGTGGAGCAGGGAAGGCAGGATCCAGGGAGAGAATGGGCCTTGACCCTGGACTTTGAGGGATCCTGAAGCACCAGGCTGTGATGGGGTTAAACAGGGGCAGCCGCATTTGCGCGGTGATGAGACATCCTATTGATCCCTCGAAAGGAGGTGGGCTTCGGATTGATGTCCACACCCATCTACCATGCTGGGAATGTGAAAGAAAAGCAAGAGGCCCAGCTTCCCGCTCTCCCGCCCTGCCCTTCCCTAGCCTTGGCTGGAGAGTTGGAGCGATGGGCACACCCCTGCCTGTGACTGTGGTAGGCAGAATAGTGAACCCCACCCACGATGTCATAACCCCAAAGCCTGTGAATATGTTTTATTACATGCAAGGGGGAATTAAGGCAGTGGGTGGATTTGAGACTGCTCGTCAGGTGACCCAGGGTGGATTATCCTGGATCATCTGGCTGAGCCCAGTGGAATCACCAGCGTCCTTATAAATGAAAGAGGGAGGCAGGAGAGACAGTGGAGCGATGCTCTGTGGGAGACTCCACCGACCTTTGCTGGCTTTGGGTAGGAGGGGGCCATGAGCCAAGGAACACGGGTGGCCTCCAGAAGCTGGAAAAGGCAAGGGAACAGGCCCTCCGCTGGAGCCTCTAGAAGGAACCAGCCCTGTTAACACCTTGATTTCAGCCCAGTGAGACCCATTTCAGACTTCTGGTCTCCACAGCTGTATGATCATGAGACTGTGTTGTTTTAAGCCACAAAGTTTGTAACGATCAGTTACAGCAGCCACAGGAAAGCCACCCAGACAGCTGCCCTTCCAGAGCACCCAAAGCTTCACCTCGCTTTTGCCTCCTGGGGCTTGAGGGACTCGGTGAAGCATGGAGCCCAGAGCCTGCTCTCTGGAGCTCAGCCTGTTGCAGCTCATCAGGGAGAATCTCCTGCAGTGCTCAGGTGTAGACAGGGAGGGGAAGGCCCACTACAGACTTCACTGTTTCTCCCCTGACGAGCGCCACATGAGGGTCCCTGGTGAGAGCATCTGAAGGAGCAGTCATGGGGCAGCCTAGGGAAAGGTCTGTGGGAGCCCAGCTCTGCTCACCTGGTGAGGGGGCTGGTAAGAGCCGTGGGCTGGGTGCTGTTGGTGCTCTGGGTGAGAGAAGGCCAGGAGGCCAGAACTGTTGGAGTGGTTGTTCTCATAGGTTCTGCTGTGTCTGCTGTCCCAGGTGAAGCTGGGTCTGCTGTTCCAGGCACAGCTGTGTTCCTTTTCCCAGGCACAGCTGTTTCTGCTTTTCTAGGTACAGCTGTGTCCATTGTCCCAGGCCCAGCTGTGTCTGCTGTCCCAGGTGCAGCTGCGTCTGTTGTCTTAGGTTCAGATTGTTTTCTTGGAGTTGCTGTGGGACATGCAAAGGATAGTTTTGAGGGTGACCTAGGTGGCTTCCCCGTGGCTCACGTCACCTCTTACCCCTCCAAGGATCGTGAAGCATTTAGTCTTAGCACTACAGTTGTTTTGTTTTGTATCTTTTTGGTATCTTACCTAAAATGTAATATTATTTCACTTACAAACAAACATCACTGCACCACCTGGGAAGGACTTGTGGCGAGAAGCTATGCAGGCAATTTACAAATATTCAACTTAGTCCCAGAGTCCTGCGTTGCACAGCTGAGCGTTGAGAACCACACTCTGCTTCCCTGAAGTTCTACATCAGAGCCAGCCAGCCCTTCTCTTGAGTCTCAGCCTGGGCTCCAGCAGGCTGTTTGTTGCCTGCTGTGTAGCAAAGTGACCCTCAGAGCCAGCTGCCCCTCCCTGGGCCCTGCCTGGGGACTCAGGACTCCTCTCCCCTGCAGCTGGGCAGAGCATCTGTTTCCAGCTGAAGTTTTCCTGCCTCCCCAAAGCTTCCTTATTTCACTAGGCTTGGAGGGTTGCAGCCTCCGACTCTCCCCCAGCTCCTCCTTTCCTTCCACTCATGCCTTTGTTCTCTTTTTAAGTCAATTTCTGAAACATTCTAAAACCAGACTTCCCCACTGCACACACACACAGGCACACCACATCCGCATATACTAAGCTGAAAAGGACTTTTCCCTGCCTTGTAAATGGGCCCACAAGTAACAGATATATGATTGAGCTGCAGCATCTATGCATGTGCATGGGGAGCTGACAGTTTCTCTGGTGCCCACGGCGGAGATGACACTGATGGCTCTGGGGGCTGGGCTGTGGAGTGAGGATGACAGCCGGACTCTCTTTCTAGGAGCCCCCTGTTGTGAGTTCTCAGTATCCTCAAAGGCTCGGGGCAGCCAGGGGAGGCCTGTGGGAGGGCTCTGCACTATGCCGGGTTCTGTTTTTCCCTCTTTCAGGAATGGGTCAGAGTCTCCCATGCCTTCCTTTGTCCATATGTCACCAGAGGTGGGAGAGGACGAGAGAGAGGTGGCTCCAAGGAGAGGGTCACCAATGGGCTCTTGGTCACTACATGCTTGTCCTGGAGCTGAGACTTCTGGGATTGCGATTTTCTTGCATTCCCCTCCCTGTACACCTGACAAGTCCTCCCGTCAGGCTGGGGCTGCTCTGAGGGGGCACGGGTTGCCCCAAGTGACTTGCAGAAGAGAACCTGCCTTCTTTCTTACCCTGCACTGTGCCTGCCCAAGCTGACCCAGTTCTGCTTGGCTCCCTCTGATAATAGCAGATAGAGACATACAGAGATACTGAGGCTTGCTCTGTCTTCCAGTCTTTCCAGAATCTTGGTGTAACCCCTCCCCCCAAACACACACACATGCACATGCACACACATAGGCCCACAAACACAGACATGTACACACAGACACACACGGGCCCATTCGTACACATACATCTATGCACAGCACACATATAGACACGGGCAAGCCCAGGCACACATACACAGGCACACACAAGCACACACAAGCCCATGCACACACGTAGTCCCAGGACAATGTCAAGACAGCATCACTGAATCCTCTCGGGTCAGCACCAGAGTTTGGTACAGGAGGGAGCTGCTCCGACCTGGGTAAATGGTCACTTCAACTTGGACCCCAAGGTCAGTGCCTGTCCTCTCAATCCCACACCAGTAGGTGTCAGTGTCGGACCTCCAGAGCATCTTCATGGTTATGGTGAACACACGGTTTTTCTTTTCTTTTCTTTTTTTAAATTTTATTATTATTATACTTTAAGTTTTAGGGTATATGTTTCTGATCGTCCCTGATGGACACTCGGTCTCTCTCCGCTGTCTGCTCTGATCCTGTGATTGTAATGAGGATTTTGCAGGACTGCCAGTCCTTCCCGTGGCACCACTACTTGCTGTAGGTCTCCCAGCCTTGGTCATAATGACACTGCACTGTCAGTGAGTCCCATTCTGTGCCCCACACAGCTCTAGGACCATAGATGGAGAAATACTCTGGAAGACAGAACCCAACGTCCAGATCTTCCCTCCCTGGGCACTGCCCAGGGCTTCCGGCACCTCCCTGGGGACCAACCAGGAGCCTTTATCCTCAGCCCCCAAATTGTCAAATTCTCACATCCATTTGTTCCTTAATTCCCCGGCAGTATTTCTTTTGTTGTCACCCCTCTGACAAAGTTCTCCTGAGGGCTCCAACTGCCCAACACAGTGGTCTGTTCATGCGCCATCCTAGCGACCACTGAACACCCTCTCATTTTGGAAACCTTCCCTCCTTTGCCCTGAGGTGACACCCACTTCCCCACCAATCCCTGGCTCTCACTGCAGCCACCAGTTTATTTTATTTATTTATGTATTTATGTATTTATTTGGAGACGGAGTTTTGCTCTTGTTGCCCAGGCTGGAGTGCAATGGTGCGATCTCGGCTCACCGCAACCTCCGCCTTCTGGGTTCAAGCAATCCTCCTGCCTCAGCCTCCCGAGTAGCTGGGATTACAGGCATGCGCCACCACGCCCGACTAATTTTGTATTTTTAGTAGAGACAGGGTTTCTCCATGTTGGTCAGGCTGATCTTGAACTCCCGACCTCAGGTGATCTGCCCTCCTCGGCCTCCCAAAGTGCTGGGATTACAGGTATGAGCCACCGCGCCCGGCCAGCCACCGATTTATTTTAAAATCCCAGAGCTGAACAGGTAGACATCCTGGCTTCCCCCAACTCCTCCGCCCACTGGCACTGCACCCCACACCCCTAAAAACCCTCTCCTGTGAGTCTGCACATGTGATAAAGTTTCATGGAACCAAACACACCCACACCCCCACACACACACACACCCCCAACACTCACACACCTGTGCACACACTCAGTGCACAGTTGTTTTTCTTTGCCTAAGCACCATGCTATTTTTGTCTCCATACCTTTGCACAAGTTGCTCCCTTTGCCCAGGAAGTTGTCTCTTCCTTGCTTGATGGACTTAAGCCCTTATTCCCCTCCCTGAAGGGTTGGTTCAGCCCCGCCCTGGTGCCACCAGACCACTTTGTATCTGTCTCAGTTGTTGTACTTACAACCTTGAACAATGGTCTGGTCTTTGGCTCGTCCAGAGCAGAAGCTCAAGCAGGCTGATGTGTGGGGTTGACTTACATTCCAGAGAGCGATGACATCCTTGCCTTATTGCCTGTCTTCCTCCCTGTAACTCTGAGCTGCTCCATTTTAGCTACAACTCATGACAAGCTGTGGAGGCTTCTAAACTAGCCAGATGTCTGAACCCCGCCACGACTGCGTGGGTCTGAGCTGGAACCTGAGTATTTGTGCTCTTTTAAAGTTCCTCAGGGATTCATGCATTTAAGTTTGGGTATATGTGTATATGTGCAAGTATATAAGTATGTATGTATCTACCTATTTATCTGTTCTTTCATCTATCTGTCCACCTGTCCATGCATCTATCTGTCTCTCGTCTATCATCCATCCATTTACTTCTCTCTCATCTATCTATCTATCTATCTATCTATCTATCTATCTATCTATCTATCTATCTATCATCTATCTATCATCTATCATCTATCTGTCTGTCTATCAATTATCTATCTATCTATCTATCTATCTATCTATCTATCTATCTATCTATCATCTGCCAGGGTTGAGAAGAATCAGAATCCTAGAAACCTGACACCATTTATGTTTTTTGTTTCTTTCCCCAACACCTAACCTAGTAACTGTCAGATAACAAAACATTCCTCCCTTTTTTTCTCTTTTCCTTCCTTCCTGCTTTCTTATATGTAAGTGCATGGATGAGTGCATTTTCCCCAGCTTGTCTCCTTCCCTCCAGCACAGACCCTCTCTGTTTCCTGCCCAGCCTTTTGGGTTCCAGTTCCTTAATCCCCAGGCCCACTTACCTGGAAGGATGAGAAGGAACAGGACCAGTGAGCACTACATGCCCCTGCCTGTCTGTGCTCTCTCCCTGGTGATGAGTTAATACCAGCTGCCCTCCAGCAACTTGTAACTGAACCCAGAGGCAAACTGCTTCCTACTTGTCTAAATCATTTTTTTTGTTTGTTTTCTCAACTGCTTCCTTTTTTTTTCTTTAGTTACTTCCTAAATTCATGAATTAAGAGAAACGTGGTGCTGTCTTTTTGGAGTGTGTGTGGTGTGATGATACGTCTTCAATGAACTGGGGAAGTAAATGGTCCAGGCCTGGCCTGGGCTCCATCTGCAGCTGTCTGTGATTTAGGAGCATCTGCCAACAACACAGGGCAGGGAGTACAGTAAGGCTCAGAGCGTGGACGGAAGGGATTGATGGAGGCACGCTGGCTTTGCCTCAGAGCGTAGAGGGAAGGGATTGATGGAGGCGCCCTGGCTTTGTCTCAGAGCGTGGAGGGAAGGGATTGATCGAGGCGCGCTGGCTTTGCACTTTGGGAAGAACACAGCACAGTGCTCCCATCCAGCCTCGCTGGAGAAACAGCCTGTGCCCCAGGCTCTTTCCAGGCAGCCCCACGGCAGGGCATCTCAAACCACCCTTCCAGCCCTGGGCTGTTATCTCTTCTGGAGCCTGACTCAGTGCTCCTCTCTAGGAAAGCTTCCTCTGGGGTCCTGAGTCACTCCAAACTGGAGGCTTGTGGTAGGTAGTTGGGGAAGGGGAAGTTGCCTTTTTTCTCTAGCCCCACTTTGCCCTGGTTCCTTCCTCCCCATCTCTGCACATTTTCCCTGCAGTTGGCTTTTGGCCAATCTCACTGCACCGAAACTGCTTGCTCTGTTGATCCCCAAAGTGACTTTCCCAGACTCCCCCCTCTTCCTTTAGATGGTCCCCTCCCTCCTCTGTCACCTGCTCCCTCTTCCTCTCCTCCTTCTTTGCTGAAGCCCCTCCTTGCTCTCACTGCCTAATCCATTCCTGCCCCCACCACCCTGCATCTGCAGGAGCCTGTCCTGATGCTCTCCTCTGGAGCCCTTCTCTCCAGGGAGTGTCCTCACCTGCACTCTAAAGTCACCTCTATGCACAAGACTGTCAAAAGCAGTTTGTCACCTGATTTCCTGCCTCAGTGCTTGGCTGTCATTTCCAGTGCCTATTGGTTGTTTCATAGAGATACCCACTTTGTTAACAGCTCAGATGTGCTCAAAATTAAATTCCGTGTCCTCTTCACTCTAAGATTGGTCTATTACTGTGCCTGGTCCATGGCCCTGGGGCTTCCCGACTCCCTGCTGTGTTCCCTCCTTAACCCCCTGTCAGTTTAGCCTTCCTAAGACAAAGCCCATCATATCTTCACCTGCAAAGGGCTTTGCAGGGGTGGGGGATTAGAGGCAGAGCAGCAGAAAGCTTTGCCAGTGGGAGCAGAGGAGGGCGTGGTGGGTCAGTTCTTGGGGAGGAAGTGGAGGAGGCCCCTGAGCAATATCTGTTTATGTTTGTTTATTTATTTATTTTTGAGACAGAGTCTTGCTCTATCACCCAGGCTGGAGTGCAGTGGTGTGATCTTGGCTCACTGTAACTTCCGCCTCCTGGGTTCAAGCAATTCTCCTGCCTCAGCCTCCCGAGTAGCTGGGACTACAGGCATGTGCCACCACACCAGACTAATTTTTGTATGTTTAGTAGAGACGGGGTTTTGCCATGTTGGCCAGGCTGGTCTTGAACTCCTGGACTCAAGTGATCTGCCTGCCTTGGCCTCCCAAAGTGCTGGGATTACAGGTGTGATCCGGGCCTTCTGTTTATGTTTGAAGCTGCACCTTCTCTTGGGATTTTGGAGTGTCTTGGTGAGCCCTGGTGCTGCTGCCTAGAGCCAAGAACGCATGGGAGGGGGCAGGACTTCAGGGACCATAGACAGACTTTCTTTCTTCCTTCTTTCCTTCCTTCCTTCCTTCCTTCCTTCCTTCCTTCCTTCCTTCCTTCCTTCCTTCCCAGTTTTATTAAGGTATAATTGGGATAAAATAAACTGCACATATTTAAAGTGCACAATTTGAAACACTTTTCTTGTTGTTTTTATGATTTTTTCAAATGTATTATTTATGGGCATTCAGCTAGTTTCAAGTTCAGGGCCATGATGCATAGTGTGCTGTGAACATTTTAGACCATGCCTTTGGCGGGCTTCTGGTACCCTCCTTAGCAGCTTTTGAAGGGATCCCCATTCCCTCTATCTGGAGAAAAAATTGTGCCGTAGATCAGGCTGATATGGTTTGGCTGTGTCCCCACCCAAATCTCATTTGAATTGTAGCTCCCATAATCCCCACCAGGAGGGACCCAGTGGGAGGTAATTGAATAATGGGTGCGGGGTTTTCCATACTGTTCTTGCAATAGTGAATAAGCCTCATGAGTTCTGATGGTTTTATAAAGGGGAGTTCCCCTGCACAAGCTCTCTTGCCTGCTGCCATTTAAGACGTGACTTTGCTCCTCATTTGCCTTCTGCCATGATTGTGAGGCCTCTCCAGCCATGTGGAACTGTGAGTCCATTAAACCTCTTTCATTTATAAATTACCCAGCCTCGGGTATGTCTCTTTTGGCAACATAAGAACGGACTAATACACAGGCCAAGACCTAAGTTTAAGAGAAGTGAAATTTCAGTGAAAACTCAATCCTTAGCCTCAACAAGTCAGGCTCCTGTAGGGAAAAGTAGGAACCTGAAGATGGGACATTTGACAATTCATTTGAGCCCTCGAGCCTCCCACTGCAGAGCGGCCTGATGCTTGTTAGAAGGTAACAGCTCCCCTGTTGAAGTTGATGCTGAGGTCTCCAATGAAGCAGATGCCTCACCAGACATTGCTGCCCCCTAAGGATCTACTTGAGGAATCTGCCCTCATTTCTCTTCCTGACCGATAACCAACGTTGAGTGTCAGCCTGGCCCACCTAGGGACACGCTGGGCTGCTAAGGGAAAAGGAGAACTAATATACGCTGGCATGAACCAGTTAGAAGAGTGTGTGTGAGAGTGGATCCCAGGGCAGTGGACTATAGTGCTGAGCCAGGAAGGGTTTTTCAACATAGAGGTACTCATCCATGCAATGTAGGAGGACTCACCACTTGCAAAGCTGGGAGACTGGTCCTAGTACACTGCTGGGATGGCCCTGAGAAGCTTAGAAGCAACAAAACCCCACATTCAATGATGTAAAGATGTCATGGAAGGGTGGAAGAAGGGATCAAAAGGCTCAAGGAAACACAGAGCATCTTCAAGGCAGTGAACCTACTCTATAGGATGCTCTCATCATCCATTTGTCCAAACCCATAGAATATGCAACACTAAGATTGAACCCTAATGCAAACATGGACTTCAAATGGTCATGGTGTGTCAATATAGATTCCCCAATTGTAACAGATGTCCCACTCTGGTGGGGGATGTTGATAATGGGGGAGGCTGTGCCTGTGTGAGGGTAGGAGGTACATGGGAAATCTCTGTACTTCCTGCTCAATTTTGCTGTGAGCCTAAAACTGCTATAAAAAAACAAGGTTGTTTTTAAAAAGACTCACATGAAATTATTTGATTGTGTTTTTAGGTAAAATATGCTAGTTTCACTAAATTAGTATTTAATGAGTGTTATCCTTGGGATGCCCTGGAGGATACTCCAATACCAGGGAAATAAGAACTATGTTGGTGATGGGGCATTAGCATTATGGAGAAGCTCAGCAGTGGCTGTCTCTGTAGGCCAGGCTCACGGGAGGAGATGCCATTACATAACTGAGCTCCATAGGAGCAATGGGGCTGAGAGAATTCCAGAAGGGAAGAGGGCAGGTGGAGTCACTGGGCAGTCTGAGACAAGCTGAGCACTTGGACCAGGCAGCGAGTCCTGAGTAGAACCAGAGGCAAAATCAAGATCCTAGAGATGAGAGAGGCATCCCAGTGGTTCTTGCCCTGATTTTTAGAAATGATAGAAGTGGATACACTTAGCAACCAGTGCATATGAATACTGACTCTCTGGTCTGTGTGGTAAAAGTGATCAGACTGGGGAAGGCCAAGGGGAAGCCGCTGAGGCTGTCCCTCTGCTGTGGCCAAGATAGTAAATCCCAAACAATATCACATTCTGCCAGGAACACAGAGATCAGTGCCACCCCCCAAGACAAAGAAAACAAGGCATGGTCCCACTAGATCTGCCTTTAATTTACCAAGGTCAATGGGCTAGGGAAAACTAAACCAAGAGCCTGGGCATGGTGGCTCACACCTGTAATCCCAGCACTTTGCAAGGCTGAGGCAGGAGGATCACTTGAGCCCAGGAGATTGAGGCTAGCCTAGGCAACAGAGCAAGATCCTTTCTTTACCGAAAAGTGTTTTAAAAAATTAGCCAGTGCAATGTTGCACAACTGTAGTGTCAGCTACTCGGCTGAGGCAAGAGGATCACTGAAGCTCAGGAGTTGGAGGCTGCAGTGAGCTAGCTATGATTGTGCCACTGCACTCCAGCTTGGGCAACAGAGTGAGACCCTGTCTCCAAAACAAAACAAAACAAAACAAAACAAAACAAAACAAAACAAAACAAAACAACAACAAACCCACCACCATATTAAAGGAATAGCCAAATTTCCAGCTTCTGTGCCAACAGTGACAGGTTTACTAGAATAGATGAGCATAACCTGGTGTGTTGTGTGTGACTGTTGATCTGGCAAAAGCATCCTTTCCGCCACCATCAGGAAGGAGGAACAGAGGCAGGCGCATTCGCTTGGCATGGACAACAGTATACTTTCACAGTCTTGTTCCAGGACTGTGTTAATTTTCTTCTCCTTGTAGTATTGTTCTAAGAAACCTGAATCGTCCAGCCATTGCCCAGAACATAAAGGTAGTCCCCTGTGTTTATGACATCATGCTAATTGCACCTGATAACAAGAAGAGGCTAGCAACTGGATGTGCTCCAGAGGCTGGGAGATAAACCCTACACTGGTTTAGGGGCCTGCCGTGTCAAAAGATTAGGGGTATGGTGGTCTGGGGCATATTGGGTGTACCCTCAGAGTAAAGGGCAGATAAAATAAATTGCATTTTGCAACTCCTACTTCTAATTGACCCACCTGATAAAACTCAGGGGAGGCTTTGAACTCAGAGCCAGCAGGTGTGATGAAGAGTGTGGGTCAGAAGTGGGAATGGAGACTGGGGACCCAATTGGAGCTTTGTTCATGGAGCAGTTCCACAAACATGTTTTTGTTTTGTTTTGTTTTGTTTTTGAGATGGAGTCTCACTCTGTCACCCCGGCTGAAGTGCAATGGTGTGATCTCGGCTCACTGCAACATCCGCCTCCCAGGTTCAAGTGATTCTCCTGCCTCAGCCTCCCAAGTAGCTGGAATTACAGGCGTGCGCTGCCATGCTGGGCTAATTTTTGTATTTTTTGGTAGAGACGGGGTTTCACTATGTTGGCCAGGCTGGTCTTGAACTCCTGACCTCAGGTGATCCACGCGCCTCGACCCCCCAAAGTGCTGGGATTATAGATGTGAGCCACTGTGCCCGGCCAAACATGTACATCTTTACATATACCCCAAATGCCTGGAGGCAGGCACTGACCCCCAGGCAAAAGAGCAGGAATTCTTTATTTTAATGTAATATCTGGGAAGCCATGGCAGTGAGAATGCTGGAGCTCAACTTCAATCCTCTTCAGTCTAGAGTTTAGAAGACCGCTCTCTGCCCACGCCCCTTAAAGTGTAGCTTGTAAGTCAAGAAAGAATCAAGGGTTCAAACAATTTGGCATGATAAATTGGAACTATTTTCTTTTCTTTCTCTTTCTTTTTATATTTTATTTTATTTCAATAGTTTTTGGGGAGCAGATGGCTTTTGGTTACAAGGATAAGGTCTTTAGCAGTGACTTCTGAGATTTTGGTGCACCCTTCACTGGAGCAGTGTACACTGTACCCAATGTATGGTTTTTTATCCCTCATCCCCTGCATCCTTTCCCCTAAGTCCCCAAAATCCATTGTATCATTCTTGTGCCTTTGTATCTTCATAGCGCAGCTCCCACTTATAAGTGAGGATGTACAATATTTGGTTCTCCATTCCTGAGTTATTTCACTTAGAATAATGATCTCCAACTCCATCCAGGTTGCTGTGAATGCCATTATTTTGTTCCTTTTTGTGGCTGAATAGTATTCCATGGTGTATATGTACACCGCATTGTCTTTATCCACTCATTGCTTGATGGGCATTTAGGCTGGTTCCCTATGTTTTCAATCGCAAATTGTGCTGCTATAAACATGCGTGTACAAGTGTCTTTTTTGGAACTAGTTTTTTTGCCCAGGCTAGAGAGCAGTGGTGCAATCTGGGCTCACTGCAATCTCCACCTCCCAGGTTCAGGCGATTCTCCTGCCTCAGCCTCCTGAGTAGCTGGGATTACAGGCGTGTGCCACCACCTGGCTAATTTTTGTATTTTTAGTAGAGATGGGGTTTCTCCATGTTGGCCAGGCTGGTTTCGAACTCCTGACCTCAGGTGGTCTGTCCGCCTTGGCCTCCCAAAGTGCTGGATTACAGGCATGAGCCACCAGAGCTATTTTATATACTATTTACTCCTACATACTCTGAGGTCTCAGTTAGCTACACTTTATCTTGTTCTCAACTATGATTGGATAACCAAGAATCAGCAGACACTTGAGGAAGGCTCATAATATAGAAGAAGCAGACAACAAAACAAAGATGTGACCACTGAGTGGAGGGATATAGTTCAAGGAACAGAAGAGAGTTTGAAAACATCAGTAATCAAAGAACCAAAAAAACTTTTCGAAATAAAAATACAGTCTCTAAAATCAATATTTGATCCAAGGATTGGAAGGGAAAGTACAAGCATGAAATAAACAATATAAAAAGCTCCCCAAATGTAGAACAAAGCCCACAGATATGGAAAATATAAAACAGGAGAGAAAAAATGAATCGATTCAGGAGGGAAAGGGAGAGAAAGAGGGAAGGGACCATCTAAAGAAAGTGGGGAGAGACCGGGAAAGAAGTCAGTTCGGGCGTCAGCAGAACAAGTAGATTACAACAGCAGCCAGGGGAAAGTGTGCAGGGATAGGGAGGATGAAATCAGGGCAAGAGGAGGCTAACGAGAAAAGGCAATTTCTCCATTCCTGACCTTCCCCACTGAGCCCAGCTTTGGCTTCAGAGTGATTTCAGAGTGGCTTCAGAGTGACTCATGATCCCAGTGGAAGTGTTCCTGGGGGAAGGGGCAGTGGGTCAGACAGCCCAGGGCAGGAAGAGGCAATGAGATGTCTTACAGTGGGGCTGCCTGGAAGAAGCCTGGGGCATGGGCTTTCTCCAGCAAGGCTGGGTGTGAGTCCTGTGCACTGTGGTCTTCCCAAAGTGCTCCTCTCCCTGCACTCCTCATGGCTGGCCTTGTCCGTCCTCTCCTCCAGGCAGTAGATCCCGCAGCTCCTCAATGCTTGGGTTCCTCCTGGCTCCTCCTGCTCCTTGGCTCCTACGTGCACTCCCGTGCAAACCTGACCAGTCCCGGACACATTTTCTTTTCCACATGCACAAAAGTTTGGGCACACCTTGCAACATACACTGTACCTTAGTCTTTTCAAAGAATGACACCTCTTTTCTCCTAATATGTAAAAAGAGAAGTAGCTACAGATGTAACAGGAAGTGAGCAAGAGACTTGAAGGAGATTCGAGTAGGTTTGCGGTGTTGACTTCCGAGCTTGGATTCAAGTCCCTGAAGGGCACCAGACACCTGTGATCACCAAGGAGAGGAGAGGAGACAGGACCATGTGGCTGTCCCCATCTCTGCTGCTTCTCATCCTCCCAGGTGAGTGTGGCTGGAGCTTTAAGGCACTGGAATGACAGCGGCTGGCTTGGAGACAGAGACGCTCTGTTCTCAGGAAGGAGACATGTCAGGGAAAATGACAGCGCCAATTCATCCATCCATGCCCATATTCATTAAATAGCAATCAAGTTTTTGTTATCTGACAGGTTCTGTGTTAGATGCTGCAGAAACAAACACACACAAAACAAAACAAGTATAGCTTCTTGTTGGAACAGTGGTTCTCAACCCTGACTGTTCCATATAAACAGATGAATGAACAGATATCAATGAAGGAAGGAACTAATGAGTGAGTCCATTCTTGAAGAACTTTTTTTTTTTTTTTTTTTTGAGCTGGTGTCTCGCTCTGTCACCCAGGCTGGAGTGCTTCTTTCACTTAGCATGATGTTTCAAGGTTACTTTGTGTTGTAGCACAAATCAAAGCTTCATTCTTTTTCATGGCTGCATAGTATTTCACAGTGGATATACCACATTTGGTTTCTCCAGTCATTTGTCAATGAACCTTAGGGTTGTTTCTACCTTTTAAAAATTGTTAGTAATAATGTTATGAACTTTCATAGCACAGTTTTGTATGGAGATATGTTTTCAGTTCTCTTGGGTATATATCTAGGGGTAAAATGGCTGAATCCTATGTTAATTCTATGTTTAACTTTTTGAGGAAGCATCAAACCTTTTTCCCAAGGATTTATATTTGAGTACAGCTTTGGCTGTCATGTCAACAAATTTTGATACGTAGTGTTTTCATTTCTGTTAAAATGTAACAAATCTATGTGCTTCTCATATTATCTATACTCAGATCAAGCTTTGTAAGAAAATTTTTCCTTCCAATCTCAAATTTATTTTCTTTTAAAATAGATTATTATTATTATTATTATTATTTTTATTTTTTTTTTTTTTGTAGAGATGAGGACTCACTTTCATGCCCAGGCTGGTCTCAAACTCCTGGGCTCAAGTGATCCTCCCACTTTGGCCTCCCAAAGTGCTGGGATTATAGGTGTGAGCCACCATGCCTGGCTTCAAATTTATATTCTGTAAACAATTTTCAGATATATTCTCCTTCCTTTCCTTCCTTCTGAGACAGGGTGTGCTCTGTCACCCAATCTGGAGTACAGTGCTGGGATCAGGGTTCACTGCAGCCTTGACCTCCCAGGCTCAAGCCATCCTCCCACCTCAGCCTCCTGAGTGAGTAGCTGGGACTACAGGCATGTGGTGCGACACCCAGCTAATATTTATTTATTTATTTAGTCTCGCTATGTTGCCAGGGCTGCTCTCAAGCTCCAGGGCTCACGCGATTCTCCTGCCTCAGCCTCCCAAAGTTGTTATATTACAAGTGTGAGCTACCACACCCAGCTCTTATTTCTTATAAATAACTTCCAGATGTAGTTTTTCTTTAAATATTTACCTTAATTGTTGTCTTTCCATTCTGATGTAGAACTTTTTTCAGAGTGAACAAATGAAGCCCCTATACCCATCTTTCCCCAGGAGGTCGTGTGTAGTTTCTTAGTTCCCTTCAGATGCCATAGAAAGCAGATTTGGGCATGGAGTCCAATTTCTGTTCCAGGAATTCCTTGGGTTGTGGAGCTCTGCCTGTTTATGGTGAAATTGTCTTCCGCTCCCACCATGGTGACCCTGGTTTTTCAAGACATTCCAATGAAGTCTAAAGTTTTCATTCATCCAGGGGTAATAATAATAATAATAATAATAACAAACATAATATAGTAACATAGAGGTAGATGCCATTACTATTCCCACTTATAGAAAACGAAGTCACAGTGTATTAGTCCATTTTCACGCTGCTGATAAGGACATACCCGAGACTGAGTAAATTACACAGAAAAAGAGGTTTAATGGACTCACAGTTCCACATGACTGGGGAGGCCTCACAATCATGGTGGAAGGTGAAAGGCATGTATTATATGGCAGCAGGCAAGAGAGAGAATGAGAGCCAAGTGAAAGAGGTTTCCCATTATAAAACCATCAGCTCTCATGAGACTTATTCACTACCACGAGAACAATGTGGGGGAAACCGCCCCATGATTCAATTAACTCCCAACTGGTGCCCCCCACAACATGTGGAAATTATGGGAGCTACAATTCAAGATGAGATTTGGGTGAGGACACAGACAAACCGTATCACACAGAGAGGTTAATTTGCCCAGGTTCACAAAACTTATCAGTGGTAGAGCCAGGATTCAAACCCAAGCACTCTGGCACAGCCTGAGCTCTTACCCACGACCTTGGGTGTCTCTTGGCGTTTCAGAGACAACCTCTCTCCTGCCACAGGAATTGCCCCCAGGGCTTCTTCAAGTGCTCCAATGTGCTTCTAGTTCCATCTCAAGTTTATGCTGCACTAATCACAGCTATGGTTTATTGCCAGTGCATAAATCATCAAAATCAATCGTTTCTTTAGATGGGTCTCCCTTTAGGTCAGTTGAATTTAAAGAATTTCTGGCAAAGCTCTCACTTAAGGTATTTCCACTGTTTTGAATTGTTTTCAAGTGAAAGATTAGGCTGACAAGTTCATGGAGACTAGTCTTGTCCTGGATCAAATTGTTTGAAAAGTGGAGCTAATTAGGTATGCCCGTTCCTCACCCTTTAACTGACTTGAATCATGTCCATTATGTTTAGAGAAGAACTTATAAGATGCAGAAGGGTGTTGAATGGGTGCTGCTCTGTTTATACCTAACCTTTACTTGTGTTTATCTTAAAAGTTAGCTTTTCCTAGGAATTTTGGAAGTGGAATTTATAACACTGTATGGCGAAATGGAGATCTGTGTGATGTGGATCCCATAGCAGATAGAGACCAGTTGGCATCACTATTTGGTTGATTTCAAAGGGATTCATTCAGGGTGATTAACTACAGCAGAGCCACCAGAAACCATTAGAACCACTAGGAACAGCCAAGCATCAAGGCAGCAATCATTCTTCTGGAAAAGGGCCTTCTGCCATTTCCTCCCCATCAGACCAGTATAACACAAAGATGGTTGCCAAAGAGCATTCCTTGGAATATAAAGATTTGCTGGCCATAGGGAAAGAGAGAGGGGTGAACTGCAGGAAGCTATTATTGCTCAATGCCAACATTTGTGTTTCTTTGGGGATCTGCAGTTGTGCTCTTCAGTGATTTTCCTGGTGACTTTGACCCAGTGGAATTTTGAAGGACAAAGATTTGTCTTGAGGAAAATGTATTGCTTCCTTGACTGTTATAAGGCAGTTGGATTTGGCTGCTACTCCCAATGCACGAGGCTGTGGCCCTGCCCTTGGGGTGGGAGGTGACGACACATGAATTTGCGTTTTCCAGGTTACTCCATTGCCGCTAAAATCACTGGTCCAACAACAGTGAATGGCTCGGAGCAGGGCTCATTGACTGTGCAGTGTGCTTATGGCTCAGGCTGGGAGACCTACTTGAAGTGGCGGTGTCAAGGAGCTGATTGGAATTACTGTAACATCCTTGTTAAAACAAATGGATCAGAGCAGGAGGTAAAGAAGAATCGAGTTTCCATCAGGGACAATCAGAAAAACCACGTGTTCACCGTGACCATGGAGAATCTCAAAAGAGATGATGCTGACAGTTATTGGTGTGGGACTGAGAGACCTGGAATTGATCTTGGGGTCAAAGTTCAAGTGACCATTAACCCAGGTAAGAGGGAGTGTATATACGTGTGTGTCTCTCAGGTCCTGCTCTGTCCTGGTCCCTGAGGTCCCACTTGAGTAAATTAACTGTCACTCAGAGTGACCTGTGACAGAGGGTGTCTGAGTCCTGAGGTCTTGCTATGGTTTGAATATTTGTCCCTCCAAAACTCGTGTTGAAACTTAATCCCCAATGTGGCAGTATTGAGAGACAAGGCCTTTAAAAGGTGACTGGGTCATGGGGGCAGAGTTCCCATGAATGAATTAATCCATTCGTGGATTAAAGGATGAATGGGTTATCATGGGAATGGAACTGCTTTATAAGAAAAGGCAGACAGACCTGACTTAGCATACTCAGTTCCGCCACCACGAGGTGCCTGGAGCCACCTTGGGACTCTGCAGAGAGTCCCTGCCATCAAGAAGGCCCTCACAAGATGTGGCTCCTCAACCTCGGACATCTTAGCCTCCATAACTGTAAGAAACAAATTCCTTTTCCTTATAAATGACTCAATTCCAGATATTCTGTTATAAGCAAGAAAAAGTAGACTAAGACAGGTCTCATAGGACCCTGAAGGACCGCTTGGGATTGAGGGGATCTCTTAATGACCCCATGGCTCCCAGGGCTCCCTCCAGGATGGGATTAAGTCTTTCTAGGCACATTTTTTTTTTCTCTGCACAGCTCAGTGCCTGAGTCTGTTGCCCACAGATGACAGGGTGATGGTTCCAGTTTCAGCCCACAGGCCAAAGGGACCCCCTTCCCTGGTAACCAGAGACCCCAATCCCTGCCAGTGCCTTCTTGGAACTTCTTTATAGCACTAAGTCCCTGTATCAGAAAAGGAGAAGGGCCTCAAGTCAATGGCCTTAGCTCAAGATACTAGGGAAAAAAAAGATCAAAGTAAACTCAAAGCAAACATCAGAACACAGATAATATTAAGACCACAATGAAAAATTAATGAAATCGAAAACAAAAGTAATAGGGAAAAATCAATGAAATGAGATATGTTTTCTGTGAAAACATCAGAAACACTGTTAAACCTCTACCTAGACTGATCAGGAAAAAGATATAAATTACTAACATCAGAAATGAGAGAGGTAACATTACAACAGATTTTATAGCTACTAAAAGAATAATAAGGGAATATGTGTCGTAAACAACTTTTATGCCAATATATTCAACAAGTTAAATGAAATGGAAAAACATCCTTGAAAGGCACAAACTACCAGTCACAAGAAGAAATAGATAACTGGAATAGCTCTATATCTTTTAATGAAATAGAATTTGTCATTTGCCATCTTCTCACGAAGAAAATTTCAGGCTCAGATGGCCCTTTGGTGAGTTCAGGACCGGATAATATCAATTTTTTTTTTTTTGAGATGGAGTTTCGCTCTTGTTGCCTGGGCTGGAGTGCAATGGCACGATCTCGGCTCACCACAACCTCCACCTCCTGGGTTCCAGAGATTCTCTTGCCTTAGCCTCCCGAGTAGCTGGGATTACAGGCATGCACCACCATGCCCAGCTAATTTTGTATTTTTAGTAGAGACAGGGTTTCTCCATGTTGGTCAGGCTGGTCTCGAACTCCCAACCTCCGTAAAGAAGGGTGTAACTGGCAGGTAATAAGCAGTAGCTGAGCAATATATTCTCCTGGTTCAAAAACCCAAAGACCTTGTGACATTACCACTACTTGAATTTCTCCTTCATAATCAGAATCAATAACTCCTGGGACTAAGGTAATGCTCTGTAAATTAAGACAGCTTTTACCCAAAATTAATCCCATATATCCTGTTGGCAAAGGTCCCCAAATACCAGTGGGAATCTTGGTGGGTTTGTCTCCTCCCACTAACGTTACCTGTTCTCTGACTGGGAGATCGAATCCTGAGCTTCCAGGTGTTCCTGGGGAGAGGGAATCAATGTGCCTCCGGGAACCTATCCCTGAGATGGGGCTGTGGGCTGGACAGGGAATGCCTCCATTGTTTATAGGGCCCGGGTCCAGGCCCCCTTCTCGTTTCCCGACAGGGGGGTGCCATTCTGATGAAATTTTGAGTGGCATTGACTAGCCCAGTTATTTCCTATATTGCAATGAGGGCAAAGTCCTGGCATTTTTTCTGGGGTGGGGGGCTGCATTATAAGATCCCTTCTGCCCAAAGGTCTGACGGTATTCTTTTTTGAAGTGTCCGATTTTTCCACAATTATAACATTTTCCCATTTTAGGATTTGCTCCTTGGCCGTTTTTAGATTTGTCCACTACTAAATTAGCCATTGCTTGAGCCAACATTGTAGAGCAATGAAGTTCAGTTCCCACATCTTGACAAGCTTTGAGAAAATTTCCCGAGTTTTTTGTACATCTCACAGATGCCAGTGCACATTTACAATCTGCATTTGCATTCTCAAAAGCTAGAGTTAAGGTTAGCATTTCTGTAGCCGCAGTATGAGGAATCTGATGCTTCACCGCCTCTTGTAATCTTGCAAGAAAATGTGCATTGGCCACCCTTACATGATATGTAAAAAAGATTGTACTGGGACCCCTTCCTCAGGAATTGTGGCCCAGGCATGTTTAGCAGCCAAGGCACACTGCTTATAAGCAGTGTCTGGGAGTGCCATGTGATGTTCCAGGTCTGAATAAGGACGATTACCTAACAGCATATCCTCTGTAATGTCTCCGTGTCCAGCAGCATGATTCTGTCTAGCCTGGTCTGCACACAGTTCTTGCCAATTTAAATTCCATGTCAGGTATGCACTAGCAGACAAACAAGTGCAAGCCAAATGCTTTACATCAAAGGGTGGAAGGCGCATAGCACCAAATATAGATTCTAGCAATCCTAAAGTAAATGGGCTTTGTACTCCATTATTAACTACACTCGCTTTCAATTCCTTCAGCAACTTAAACTGTAGTGGGGTGTGTTCATGAATAAACTGCTGAGGATTATTTGGATCGGGCCTTATGGAAATAGGAAAAGCGCAAGGTCCTAAGGGCTTTCCAGCTATAGCAGCAGAGCATAAAATTCTTTGTATTGGGGTCTCTATTTCTGCTACTGAAGGAGGCAGTACAGACGTTTCTGCTACTGGAGGGGGTGACACAGGCCAGTTTTCATCCTCCTTCTCCTGTTTATTATTTTTAATTGGTACTGTGGGTGGGACAAAATATTTTTTCAGATTTTTAGACTTGGAATATGATTCCTGCTGTCTAGCAGAATAAGAAGAAGATAATGGCAGGAGGACAGCACGGACTAAACTCCAAGCAGAAAAAACAAAAAGATCAAATTTAAGACCTTTTTGGTGAGCCCGTTTTAATCCTGGTCCTACTCTGTCCCAAATTTCTACATCAAGACTGCCTGTCTGTGGAAACCACGGGTTATGTATAGTGACCTTCTTCAGCATCTTAATTAATGTTTGAGAACTAACCTGAGCACCAGTTTGTTTAAGTAAAACTTTAAGCAAATGCACATAATGTTGCACCTCAATAGACAAATTCTGCCCCATGTTACCCTTATTCAGAAAACTTCCCATTCCCAGTACCTCTCTAGGGCACTGACCTGATATCCCAGTACCTCTTTAGGGCACTGATCTTGTATCTGCTGCCGCTCCCAGTACCTCTTTAGGGCACTGACCTTTTATTGGCTGCCGGCAGACTTGTTCCAGGGTTTCTCGTTCGTCTTGTCAGTTTCTCTTTCTCTGCTCCAGCAGACCTTCTTTGCTCACGTTCCTGTCCCGGCCACCACTTGTCGCTGTTGGTTGCTAGGGGATTGAACAAAGGGGGGACGAATGCAGAAATGAAGACAAAGACAAAGAGATCTGTTTTGAAAGAAGGGGTCAGGGAGCTCCTTGCTTCTAGTGAACAAGGGCCCTGAGCTTCTACAGCCCTTCGTATTTATTAGGTAGAAAGAGAAGGGAGGGAGAGGTAATGGTTGGTCAGCTGCTTGATTTATTACAGGTACACACAATAGCTTTCTTTGTACAACAGGCTTCAGATGTTCCTATAGATAATCACAAGGAACACAGCACTTGGGGTGTGACTGCCCTCAGCACCCCTTCGGGCAGCAGACACCGTTGCCAGTTTTCCAACATCCTGCTTTCATGAGAACAGTTTTCTGTTCGCTCATATAGCCTCCAGTGCTATACTGTGTTGGTCATGACTCTCATTCTTTCGGCCTGTAACAAAAGTTAACATTACTGACCTTGACACCAAGTGTTGGAAACACTCTCGAGTACCTGGAGCCCTCATACCCTGCAGGTGGGAATGCACATGATGCAACCACCTGGGAAAAGAGTTTGCAGTTTCTTCAGACATGAAATGTATGCCCGCCAGAGATGATCCAGCCCCTCAGCACTTCCATATTTAGTCAAAATAATAGAAAGTTTTATGTTCACACAGAGACCTGTATGTGAATGTTCATAGCAGCTTTATTTGTAATAGCAAAAAACTGGAAACAATTCAAGTGAGTGGATTTTTTTAAAAATGTGAAATACAGGCTGGGCGTGGTGGTTCACGCCTGTAATCCCAGCACTTTGTTAAGGCTGAGGCAGGTGGATCACTTGAGGCTAGGAGTTTGAGACCAGCCTAGCCAACATGACAAAACCCCATCTCTACTAAAAATAAAAAAAAATTAGCTGGCTATGGTGGCACTAACCTGTAGTCCCAGATGCTTGGGAGGGTGAGGCAGAGAATTGCTTGAACCTGGGAGGCAGTGGTTGCAGTGAGCCAAGATCATGCCACTGCACTGCAACCTGAGTGACAGAGAGAGACTCTGTCTCAAAAAAAAAAAAAAAAAAAAAGTGAAATACTCATGCAATGGAATACAACTTGCAATAAAAGGGAATGTTCTACTGATATACCAATGATAAAATAGTTATGCTGAGTGAAAGAAACCAGCTCAAAAGCTGATTTACACTGTATGATTCCATTTATATTAGATTCTGGAAAATGCCAACTCATAGATAGTAAGAGAAAATGGATCATCCCTTAGCTAAGGCTGTCACAACAAAATACCACAGACTGGGTGGCGTAAACAACAGAAACGTATTTCTCATAGTTCTGGAGGCTGGAAGTCCGAGATCAAGGTGTTGGCAGGTTCAGTTGAGCCTGAGGCCTCCCTCCCTGGCTTGCAGGTGGCTGCCTTCTTGCTACCCCTTCTTGCGGTTGCCCCTCTGTGCTCGCATGCCTTGGTGTCTCCCTGTGTGTCCTCATCTCCTCTTCAGAGAACGATACCAGTCAGATGGCATTAGGACTTACCCTAACAAACTCATTTTAACTTAATTGCCTCTTGAAAGGTCCTATCTCCAAATATAGTCACATTTTGAGGTACTGGGGACTAGCATATCAACATATAATTTTTAGGGGTCCACAGTTCAGTCCCTAACACCTGGGGACAGAGTAAGGGGGAGGGCGGGCATGGGGATTATGAATGTGTTGACTGTCCTGATCATGGTGGTGGTGTTACCGGGTATACACATACATCAGAGTTTAACATATTGTTCTCTTTAAATATTTACAGTTTATTATGTGTCAGTTATACCTTGATTTAATCCCAGAAAAATGATATAAAAAGACAAATATGATGCTGTGATCTCTTATTATTAGATTGCTCCTGAAGCAAACTTTGAATATCAAAACTCACTACACACACCGTCAGCGTGAGTAGGGTGTGGTCCAGCAGGAATTGGCACACAGCAGAGGCTGGGATGCATCAGACATAGCCAGACTTCAACAGGGGTAGGGAGGGTGAGATTGGGAAGCTGCTGGAAGACAGGAAACGGCCAGAGAGGGAAGAGCGGAGGTGGAGGGCGCTGGGCCTGGCTGCAGAGAGCCAGGAATCCGGGGCTCTCCAGAAGTGGCTCAGCGAGGGGGCCACCAGCTCAGCCGCCGAATCACTCCAGAACAGGCGGTAAGGAGTTCACCTCGGCTGTGGCCGAGACTCAGAAAAGAGCTAGCCTAGCCCGAGGAGAGCGGAATGCTATCGAGTGTGCTAAGCTGTGCCATGCAACTGATGATTGCAAATTCCCTCCTTAGTCTGCTCCTCAGAATTTCTCACATGGTAATAATTCAGTAACTTCTCTTTAGAAGATAATTCATGTAATATTTTGGATGCTGACCAGACAGTCTTGGACCCCAAGGCAGAGGCTCCTTAATTCCTAGGTGGAGAAGCCTTAGGGCCACAGCCAGAGCTGGGCCATCCATGGAAGGGGTGAACCGTGTTCTGCTTTGTATGTTTAGGCACACAAACTGCAGTCTCAGAATGGACAACCACAACAGCAAGCCTGGCTTTCACAGCTGCAGCCACCCAGAAGACCAGCAGCCCCCTCACCAGGTAGGTGGAGCCAGGTCCCACCACTTTCGCACAGGCCTGGCCCCATGGCCTCTCCTCTAACAGGGGTTGCCAGATACAACAATAGCATGCCCAGTTACACTGCAATTTCAGACAAACAACAAAACATTTTTTAGCATAAGTATATCCCAACTATTTCATGGGCTATACTTATACTAAAAAAGCATATGTTGTTTATCTGAACTTCAAATTTAACTGAGCATTCTATGCTTTTATTTGTTAACTCTGATAGCCCTGTTTTCTGGGGGTACTCAGGCTGGGACCCCCATAGGCCCCTGCTGTTTCGTCTTTGTATCAGTAAAGTCACTGCAAACCTCCGATGGCCTGCCCCAATCTCAGTTTACCTTTGAGGAAAATAAGATTTCCCATCTAAGTGTTGGCTACATGAAGGCAAACTCTGCAGCACAGACATGAGCCACCACATGACTGAAGGTGGCAGGAGAGGGGCCTGAACATGCCCTCCCCACCTCCTGGGGTCAAGAGGGCATATCGAGGTTTGGCCTTTAGTGGGTTAGGAGAGACACCTCTCTCATCTGCTCCTAGTTTCTGCCCAAGAACAAATATTGTTCCAGCCTCTCTCTCCCAAGACACCAGAGTAGGGGAATGGAAAATGCTAGAGGGAAAGGGGGAAGCTGGAAGTTTGGCGTTCTCACCCTCCCAAGCTGGCAGAGGGGTCTGGAGGATTAGTCTGATGCTCACCAGCCCTGGAGGTGTCCAGAGGAGTCCCCAGAGGTCGGCACCTGATAGCTAGCCGTTGGGTTCCATCACGGCCTGCTGTGGTCAAGCCCCCCAGGTCAAGGCCAGAGCCCAAACCACAGACCGTCCTGCTCCTGCTAGAGCCCAGCGCAGAGGCCCGTGTCTCTGGCTCAGTCCTCCTGGAACTACTCCTCAAGGTCTGCCAGTTCCCTCTGCAGTTCAACTCTGTTTTTTTTTTTTTATTCACTCGATCTTGAGTTCTGAGAATGCATCTGCAGAGCTCCACCCACGGAGCTGGCTTTAGGACTCCTCGACTGTTTTTTTTTTGTTTGTTTTTTTCCTCCTCCATGCTTTTGTGCAAACTGATGGGACTTTAGCTGTCAGGGGACAGAGGGCAAAGGACTCCAGAGGTGTAGCAGGAGAGCCCCAAGAGTGAAGATGCTGGGAAGGACCTTTGGGGGCATTTTGACCCGTGGCCTGCTGTATAGCCCCTCCTCCATCTCCCCCAAATACCCTCAGTCCCATCATCTGAGGGCTCATCCGGCATTCTGGAGTTGGATATAATTTTGAATTTTCTTTTCTGTCTTTTTTTTTTTTTTTTTTAGAGATGGGGCCTCAATATGTTGCCCAGGCTGGTCTTGAACTCTTGGGCTCAAGCAATCCACCTGCCTTGGCCTCCCAAAGTGCTGGGATTACACGTGCGAACCACCACGCCTGGCCTGATTTTTAAAATTTATCCGTGAGCTGAGAGTGGCTTCAAGTTGCGCTGAGGTGAAAGAAACAACGAAGGCCCAAGTTGGGAGGTCGAGACCCTGGGAAGTGGGTGGAGGATGGTGAGGGGGTGGAATTGATGGTCAATAAGGTTCTGGGCCTTACACATCCATAGAAAGTAACAGGGAACATAAGGAACCCCAGGGCCAGGTGCTGGTCCACAGGAAGAGGGTCAGAGCAAGGTCAGCCTCCAAGGCCTTCAAGAATATGATGTCAGATCTGATACCTGAAAGGTGGGTAGCGTTTGCACAGGCAGCGATGAGGGCGGAGAGGCCCTCTGGGTGCAGAATGCAGCAGAAGCCGAGGTAAGTAGAGACAGGGAATGCTAAACCCCTTCAAGATAGGTGAGGAGGAGTTATGGGAGACCAGCCAAAAAGGCCGGATGGGAGTTGGCAGACGGGACCTTGAATGCCAGGCTGAGTTTACTGGAGGTGTAGGGAGGACTGGGAGCCTCGCTGGTGAGCAGTGTGACTGTGCCCCACCAAAGGGGCTGGCCTGTCTGGGGTTCCAGGCTTACCCTCACATAGACATTGGAAGCCAGGATCTGGGCATAGAGCTGAGAAGACCTGAGACCTCTGACCCAGGAGGCAGCTCATTTCCTGTCACCGTGTTCCCACAGGTCCCCGCTCAAGAGCACCCACTTCCTGTTCCTGTTCCTCCTGGAGCTGCCTCTGCTCCTGAGCATGCTGGGGACCGTCCTCTGGGTAAACAGACCACAAAGAAGGTCTTGAAGGAGGAGGAGTCAGCCCGATGATGAGAGTCCCAATGCCCATTGACGTCCTGTCCAGGGCGAAAGGCCCTCCCACAGAAGAAAAAACATTTTCTTTTCTCTTCTTTTTTTCTTTCTAGAGATAGAGTCTTGCTCTGTCACCCAGGCTGGAATGCAATGGTGTAATCTCTGCTCACTGCAACTTTCCCCTCCCAGGCTCAAGCGATCCTCCTGCCTCAACCTCCAGAGTAGCTGGGGCTACAGGCACATGCCACCACCCCCAGCTAATTTTTAAATTTTTTTGTAGAGATGGGCTTCCACCACGTTGCCCAGGCTGGTCTCGAACTCTTGACCTCAAGAGATCCTCCCGCTTCGCCTCCCAAAGTGGTGGGATTACAGGTGTGAGCCACCGCACCTGGCAGAAAAACAACATTTCTATGGGGAATTGACTGTGGTTCTAGAGGCAGTGCTGGCCCCAGCTTCAGGGAACAGCCTCCTAGTCCCCTATCTCCTGCAGCCGTGCCACCTGGGGCTATTCCCTTCTCTGCACAGTCCCTGGGGCCTGACAGAGCCCTTCTTCCTTCTGAGGTCTCCAATGCAGTAGAAAACATGAGAAGAATGTGTTTCCCCCGAGAGGCACCTATGCCGTAGTGGACATTCGTGATCTCAGGTCTGTGAGCCACATGCAATGTTAACGGACCTGTCTTTGCATTCCGTGGGGTTCAAGTCTCCAGTCAATAATGGGTTTCAAAATCCTAAACCCATGAAAACAGAAAAACGGAACCAAACTCTGGTAATGGGCCAACTTAAGGGAAGATGAGTACAGAAGAGAGCAGAGGTTTCCGGGCTGCCGTGCCAGCTGCTCTCCTGCCACTTGTGGGGAAGGGAAGTCAGGAGATTCCTGGATGAGTACGATTGAAGATGATGGGAAAACACAGCCTCCTTTCGTCACTGTAAGACTTTTCTATTAGTGTTGATTGTTACATTTTCTTACCTCTTTTAAGAGTATTGCAGTTGGCTGCTACTCTCAATTTGGGGTATATGGGGAGATCACCCATACATTTTGGGGACTGTGACATAATCCATAAACTGGATGCCAGAGCTAGAACTGTGAGCTGGGGATGGCTGGGTCCTCAGTACCGCCTGCCTGGGTCCCCAGGGTGGTGCTCAGTCTTGGACTCTAATGACTGAGCCCCCTGCCCAGTGGGATCATCTGGTGGTTAAGACAGAGGCTAAATAACAGAAATTCCCTTCTGGGAACATGAACCAGGATCACCCAACTGCCCTCTGTCAGGTCAATCTCTGTACCCAGGTGAGACCCTTATTCACTCCCCACCATCATTCATTCCAAAATGCTGGGCGCAGTGGCTCACTCCTGTAATCCCAGAACTTTGGGAGGCCGAGGTGGGTAGATCACTTGAGGCCAGGACTTTGAGACCATCCTGGCCAACATGGTGAAACCCCATCTCTACTAAAAGTACAAAACTTAGCTGGGTATGGTGGCGCACACCTATAATCCCAGCTACTTGGGAGGCTGAGACATGAGAATCTCTTGAGCCTGGGAGGTGGAGGTTGCAGTAAGTCCAGATTGCACCACTGCACTCCAGCCTGGGTGATTGAGGGAGACTCTGTCACAAAAAATACATAAATAAAAATAAAAAATAAGCGAAAACATTTACTAAGCATCCACTAAGTATCAGGCACTGTTCAAGTACAACTATCACCGAAATAAAGAAAAAGACCTGGGTAAGTGCCGTGAAGGCAGTCTACAGGCTCAAAGATAAAGGATCACTCAGCTAGAAAATGATGAAATCATGGTTATTATCCAGACTCCCCCACCCCCAGCCTCACCCTTCATGAGCTCTGCCGCCCCTCTCTGGGCTGACCCATGTCCTGTCTGCTGCCCAGGCTCTGACCAGCGCTGCTCCCAGCCCCCACCCAGTGTGGACACCCCACCAACTCATAACACTCTCTGAGCTCCCACGTTCTCATCTTGTTTTTAACAACATTATTGAATCTTTCTATTGACTCTCTGCAGCAAAAGATGAGGACTTCTGTATCTTCCTCTTTTCCCACCATCCTCTTCCCCGTACTAATATTGTCAGTATGGTGGTTTTTGTATTGATGATATTCATTGTTGGTTTTTTTGTTTGCTTGTTTTTTTTTTTTTTGAGACGGAGCCTCGTTCTGTCACCCAGGCGGGAGTGCAGTGGCGCGATCTTGGCTCACTGCAACCTCTGCATCCTGGCTTCAAGCAATTCTCCTGCTTCAGCTTCCCGAGTAGCTGGGAATACAGGCACATGCCACCACGCCCAGTTAATTTTTGTATTTTTAGCAGAGACGGGGTTTCAACATATTGATCAGGCTGGTCTCAAACTCCTGACCTCAGGTGATCCACCCGCCCCGCCTCTGGTAACTGTTTTTAAAAGTGCAATCTAGCCACAGTGAATAGGGACAAGAGTCAGACTGGGGAGCTCTTGTGCCTGTTCAAGAGGGAAGGCCCTGTGGTAATCAGGGAGAAAGAGGGGGGTGGGAGGGCAATGGAGAAAAGTGGACAGATCTGAGGGTCTTGGGTTAACACAATGGCTGGGGCACGAGCAAAAGATGAGCCAAGGATGTTGCCCAGGTGACTGGAGTTTGGTCTGAGAAAAAGGGGACCATGGGTGTAATTTACTGTGATGAGAAGAGGATCAGGCTGGGGAGTTTGCAGGAGGTCAAATCAAGAGTTTCCTTTTGGGGGCCGGGCGCGGTGGCTCACGCCTGTAATCCCAGCACTTTGGGAGGCCGAGGCGGGCGGGTCACGAGGTCAGGAGATCAAGACCATCCTGGCTAACACGGTGAAACCCCGTCTCTACTAAAAATACAAAAAATTAGCAGGACGTGGTGGCGGGCGCCTGTAGTCCCAGCTACTTGGGAGGCTGAGGCAGGAGAATGGCGTGAACCCGGGAGGCAGAGCTTGCAGTGAGCCAAGATGGCGCCACTGCACTCTAGCCTGACTCCGTCTCAAAAACCAACAAACAAACAAAAAAACAGAGATGTAATCCTTGCCCTTAGAGAATCACAGTTTGGCAGATACACGTGTTCTACCTCCACTCAAGGTGATTTTGCCCGCCAGGATGAAGGCACAAGCAGCAAGCTGCCTAGATTACTTCAAACTCCCTTCCCAGAGCACCAGGAGAGAAAGCATCTGCTTTATCCCAGCCTCAAGTTCCTGGTTTCTGGTGTCTCCTTCTAAGCAACAAGGTCTAAGTGGCAAGGTCTAAGCAGCTTGGCAAGACAATCGGGACATTTAGCCTCATGACTTCTCAGCTTCAGACTCCAATCACAGCCGCCGGGGAGCCATAGGTCACCAAAACCAGCAGCTCAACGTGACTGTGCTTTACTTGTCTTATTCTTCCCCTTCACGACCTCAATCTTTGTCTTTCCAATTCCTCCCCAGATCTACTAGCAAGAGGCAGTTAACCAGATCAACATCCTCATTCTTATGGTTGAAAGAATGCAAATCGATTCTCATTCTGCCATTTTCCTTTCTTATTTTGTCGAATATCTCAAAGTTTCTCTTTCCTGTCAAGACTAGCTAATTTGCACAATTGCGTCTAAATTTACTGATTTAATTCTTTCTATAAGCTAACTTCTCTGTTCTTGCTACCCATATAAGAGATTCTTTCTCTAGTCAATACTCAATAATCAATAACATTCATAGACATGTAGTGGGAATATATTTGAATAAACACTGTGGTATTGATGGATAAAGGGTCTAATGTAGCAGAAACTAATTACAAAAATGATAGCAAACAAATAAAGCAAAATCGAATATCCATGACAAATCCAAAAGCAATTTCCTTGGAAAGATGTTGACAAGTCTAATGAAATGAAAGATATATGATGTTGATCTCTGTAACTGAATTAACTTGGACATCTTCCCAACAAGATCACTATTTGAGTAGAATTTCTTTTCTTTTTCTTTTTCTTTTTCTTTTTTTTTTTTCTTTGAGACAGAGTCTCAATCTGTCGCCCAGGCTGGAGTGTAGCGGCATGATCTCGGCTCATTGCAACCTCCAACTCCCGGGTTCAAGCGGTTCTCCTGCCTCAGCCTCCCGAGTAGCTGGGATTACAGATGTGCACCACCACGCTCAGCTAATTTTTTGTATTTTTAGTAGAGATGGGGTTTCATCATGTTGGCAAGGCTGGTCTCGAACTCCTGACCTCAGGTGATTGGCCTGCCTTGGCCTCCCAAAGTGCAATGATTACAGGCATGAGCCACTGTGCCTGGCCACTATTTGAGTAGAATTTCTCACCTCATTTGCCGTACTCCCTCCTGTACCTGTGGGACCTAGTACTCCTGGGTAAACACTCTTTTTCACTGGAAGCTAGCTTGATGGTACCTTACCCCGCTTCCCTATCATCACAACAGGTGGCTCTCCCCTCTGTTATCATATTGCACTAAAATTCAGTCAAACTTTCCATCTCTTATTGGGGGTACCCAATACCACTCCCAGGTTTAATGATTCACTAGCATAACCATGAAAAGGAGGTCTAGAATAACAAACTCCATTTTGCTCCTGACCACACCCCTACCCTGCAATATCTTTAGCATATAACCCAAACTAACTGTGGGAGGAATTTAGTGTATAGTTTAACTTTTTTTCTTTTCTTTCTTTCTTTCTTTTTTTTTTTTGAGATAGAGTCTCGCTCTGTTGCTCAGGCTGGAGTGCAGTGGCGCGATCTCGGCTCACTGCAACCTCTGCCTCCTGAGTTCAAGCAATTCTCCTGCCTCAGCCTCCTGACTAGGTGGGACTACAGGTGTGCACCACCACACCCGGCTAACTTTTGTATTTTTAGTAGAGACAAGGTTTCACCCTGTTGGCCAGGCTGGTCTCGAACTCCTGACCTCAGGTGATCTGCCTGCCTTGGCCTCCCAAATTGCTGGGATTACAGGCATGAGCCATCACACCTGGCTATAGTTTCACTTTAAAGCAAGGATGATAATAGTCCCTTTGCAACACCCCTGAAGCAATAAGGAAGACATACACACAGTAACAATGTTATGCTAACGATTTATAGGAGCATTGTGACCTGACCAAGAACAAAGAAGTTAATGCAACCTCCTCAGCTGACACCCAGATGTCTGTGGTCACCTGTCACTACCCGGCTCAACCTCCTCCTTGTTCTGCCTTCCCCAATATAAAAAGAAGCTTGAGGTTCATGCCTTTTATGATTGCTCTTTAGGACATGAGTCCACCATCTCTTTGGTTTGCTGCCTTGTAAAGCCATCTTCCTTGCCCCAACAGCTTGTCTCTCGACTTACTGGCTGTTGCTTGGCAAGCAGTTTGAGCTTTGGACTCGGCTACACTAGAAGGACTCAGAACTCAGAAAAGCTGTTATATGCATGGTTATGGTTTATTACACTGAAAGGATATGGATTAAAACCAGTAAAGGTAAAAAGTGCGTGGTGCAAGCTGCCAGCTGTCCTCTCCCAGTGGGATTTTGCAGACAGTGTTTAATTCTCCCATCCTAGCAACAATGTGTGACAACACACACAAAGTGCTCCATCCAGGGATGCTCACCCAAGCCTTGGTATCCAGAGAGTTCACTGGGGTCAGTCACATAGTCATGGAACACCTGTAGAACTGACCTCAGTGCCTAAGTCGCCAGAGATCAAATTAAAACTACATAGCTCAAAGTTCCCCCTACCCACCCATGAATTACATTGATAGCATCAACCATCTAGCATGGCTAGAAGCCCCCACCATAATCACATGGTTAACATGAGCTATCCAGCATGGCATCAAAGCCCCCAGATAAAAAAAGACAATCTAACCAGGCAGGATATTCCAAGGGTTTAGAGCTTATCTCCTAGAAGCAAAGCAAGGGCTAAACTTTTTTCGGGAAGGTGCAGGCTTTGGACAACCTAAGCCTGCTGAGTTAATATTTTTCCTGCATACATCCCTGCAATTGTAGCAGAACTGAGTTTCAAGCAAATGGGTTTCAAGGAATGACCAAAATGCAGCAGTGTTCTACCATTGACTATAATGCATTGCTGCTGGATTTTGGTCATTACTGAGAACCTCAGCCATTAGTTATTACTGAGAACCACAGCCATTAGTTATTACTGAGAACCACAGCCATTAGTTATTATTGAGAACCACAACCATTAGTTATTACTGAGAACCACAACCATTAGTTATTATTGAGAACCACAGCCATTAGTTATTACTAAGAACCACAGCCATTAGTTATTACTGAGAACCTCAGCCATTAGTTATTACTGAGAACCACAGCCATTAGTTATTACTGAGAACCACAGCCATTAGTTATTACTGAGAACCACAGCCATTAGTTATTACTGAGAACCACAGCCATTAGTTATTACTGAGAACCACAGCCATTAGTTATTATTGAGAACCACAGCCATTAGTTATTATTGAGAACAACAGCCATTAGTTATTACTGAGAACCACAGCCCTTATGGAGTAACAGAGAGCTCCTCTGATTTCCTGGTCCGTCTACTAAAAAGACAACTGTGCTGAAGTGTTCATCCTCCTCATATTGGAACCAGAGCCTCTAGTACCCATCAGGACCCTGCAGGGCCTCAGTCTTGTTCACCAGTGTAGATAGCAGTGCCTGGCACAAGTCACCTGCTGGATGGAATGAGAACACATGGCATGCGGTTCTAAGATGACTCTCCTGCCTGCCCGCTCTCCCTTGACCCAGAGACAGGAGGAGCTGTATAATGTGGGTTTCCTTTATCTTAGTTAATAACAACCTTATTGCTGGGATTGGATCCTTCCAAGAGTATGTATCCACTCAGGTCTAGTGCCCATTCTAGGTGGGCACTAGAAGGTATGCAGAGAATTAGGTGCTTATAATATTGTGGAAAGGGCCGAAGAAGCAGCTCCTAAGCTTGTCCCTCCCTCCTCCCTCACATCCAGAACAGCCTGCTTTTGAGGCCCCTAGGGTCAAACAGGGAGCATGAAGTCTTGGTATCTGCCAAGCAACTGCCTTCCACATCCAGGAAGCTAGAGAATAATTTTATGAAGCTGCAATCCAAGGAATCTTCCTAATGGAAGTCAGATGAAGAAGTTGTCACTGCCCTCACTGCTTCTTGTCACCCAGGAAGCTAGAAAACATATCCTGGAACTCTGCTTCATGAAAGTCTCCTGTTTCTTCTAATCCTTGTTTGCCAACAGCAGTGGCTAAGAGCTGTGGAAGATAACCTCTGTCTAACTGGGCCTTTCAAATGGCCTCAGAGACACCTCAGTTGGTGGAATCCAGTTGTCATCCAAATCCCTGATTTCCAAATGAGGAAAGTGACAAGAAGCCTCACTGTTTCTGCAAAGGTCTTGCCCCAGACAGGGCTCCTCCAGGGAGAAGGAGCACAGGTGACTCATGCTGAAAAGCCAGAACGGTGAAGCATTGGGACAGACACCAGGACGTTGTCTCAGTCAGCTCAGGCTGCTGTAACAAAATACCATAAACCGAGTGGTTTATAAACAAGGGACCTTTATTTATTATAGTTCTGAAGGCTGGGAAGTCAAGATCAAGATGTTGGTAGATTTGGTGTTTGGTGAGGACTCTCTTCTTGACTTGCAGATGGCTGCCATCTTTCTGTATCCTCGTATGGCAGAGAGAGTGCTATGGTCTGAGTGTTTGTGTTTCTCCAGAATTCATGTGTTGAAACTTATTCCCAGTGTGTTGGTATTAGGAGGTGGATCCTTGGGGATAATTCAGTTGTGGGGGTGTAACCCTTATGAACAGGATTAGTACCCTTGTAAAAGAGACCCCAGAGAGCTGTCTTGCCCCTTCCACCATGTGAAGACACAGCAAAAAAAAGTACTCTTTATGAACCAGAAGGTGAGTGCGCAACAGACACTGAATCTGCTAGCACTTTGATCTTGGACTTTCCAGCCTCCACAACTGTGAGTAATGCATTTCTGTTGTTCATAACCCACCCAGTCTATGGTATTTTAAAATAGCAGCCTAAATGGACTAAGAAAGAAAGTGAGATCTCTCTTCTTCTTCTGATAAGGGCACTAATCCCACAATGAAGGCCTGATCCTCATGACCTCATCTAACCCTAATTACCTCCCACAGGCTCATTTCCTAATATCACCACATTACGGGTTAGGGCTTCCACATATGAATTTTTGGGGGAACTCATCAATCCATAGCAGACACCCAGAAGCAGACTTTGTTGTGTTGTTAATTTCCCCTGAAGATACTTCCTGCTATTCTGCAAACAGATATTGAATGAAATAAGACTTGGAGGCCTCTTCCACTTGCCATCTCTCAACCCATCTCACCCCTGCCTGAGTGTTGCAATCCGTACCTTGCATCATGAGAGCCAGAGGTGGGACCCCACCGAAGACCTGGGTTCAAATCCTGACCTCCCCACTTCCCATCATGACAGTTTAGTTCGTCTTTCCAGCTCCAGTCATCTTATTTAAAAGTGACCTGGCAGGGGTGTTGGGATGGGTATGCAGGATTTAAATATACAGAGTGCATGGTACGTAGAAGATCAAAAGAGGAAAGTTTCCCAGAGGGATGCCACCACCTTCAAATGCCTTTGCTCAACTCCTGGGACTGAGCAGGGTGAATATTTTTATTCCTATTTCACAGATGAGGAGACTGATGCTAAGAGACTTTTGCTGATTTGCCTAAAGTCATATAACTAGTGAACAGCAGACCTTAAAATCTGAGCCAGGGCTCCCAGCTTATGGCCAGAACCTTCCTCACTGTGCTACATGGCCCACATCATCAGAGTCAGGTAGAGACCCTCTCTGAGCCGGGCTCCCTATAGCACCCCAGCCCCCATGTTGGGAAGACCCTCCCCACACCCTGCTCCCTAGAGAGCCCTGTATTTGTAACAAGATCCCAAAGAGGCATCCATTGCCCAGAGCCGGTCAGGAGGCTGCCCTCTTGGTGACGTCTCCCTTGAGTGCCAGTGGGGAGGGAAGAAAGTGGGCAGTGGGGTCCACCATCCTTGGGCACTTGCCCATTCTCACCATGATGCACAAGATACTGAGAACTACTCCCCAAATGGATTGACGTCGGGTAGTAGAGGTGAGAGAAGAGAGGCCCAATGCCTTAATACATTCCTGATCCCCTCCCCTGGAAAATATGGAAGGATCGGAGCTCTCACCCTCCAATTCAGCTCACAAGGCTGGGGCCGAGCTCTGTCTGCGTCTCCGGGTGCCCAGATTGGTCCTGCCTTTGTGGAGGCTACAGCCTCACCTGGAAATGGATGCCATGCAACAGGACAATGACAGCACAGGGACATGAGATTAAATACAGAAATAAGCATTGCAGGTAACAGGAACCCCAGAGGGAGGGGTCTGGAAGGCCTGGAGCAGGCAGGGATGCCTTCCAGGAGAGGTGTGGTCTGAGCTCATCCTGGGAGAGTGAGAAGGGAGGATGACGGTTTTCGAGGAAGCAGAAAGACAAGCACAGCCCCGAAAGGCAGAGAGAAATGTGTGGGCTACTCACACTGTCCTACACATCACATGCCCCGAGTTTGCCCTAAGAACGCACCCCTCACTGATGAGATCTTAACTTTCTGGAAGCCCCAAGAGCTGTCCCTCAAGGGCAGCGATGGTGGGGGTCTCAGTGTGGTGCAGTGCCAGGCAGGGCCCCGGGCTCCCCGCCCTCCTGTGCCTCATGGCCAGTGTTCATTATTCTCAGTCCTCCCCTAGCTCTGCCCTCCTGGAGCGGACAGCATTTTCCAGGACAGGTTTCAGAGACAGAAGGACAAGGGCCTGCTGGGGAAGGGACAGCGGCTCCAGATGCTGGCCTTGACATGGAAAAAGCCTGGATGTCCCAGATGTGGGTCATCTCTTCAAGGAATTTGTCATCTCCTGGGGGACTCCAGGGCCCAGAGTACATCTGCTTCAAAGGTGGGTTCCCTGTGGCATTGCCATGTCCTTTGCATTTGGCAAACTGTCTGGTCCTAGCTAAAAAAATGAAACACACACAGGCTGTTTCTAAGCAGACCCTGCAGCCTCTCCCTGCCCCGACCTTGGATGAGCGAGAAGCACGGAGTCGGTGTGCTGCGGGGCACCCTTCCAGCCCGGTTAGGGAACCTCCAGTAGTGGGTTCTGTGGTTGTGGTCAGTGACTTGCCGCCTTGTCCTGTAAGAGGACTGTGCTTCTCCTTCCCACTGACTTCAGGCTTGACCCTATGACGATGAACGGTGAGCAGGAGCCGCATGTGCGCCTTCTGAGCAGAGGCTCAGAGAGCCACCCGGTGCCTTCCCTCTCCTCTAGCGGACTGGGCTCCGCAGCCTGGTGCCCAAGCAATGCTGACTCACCGCTTGCGTATAGACGAGCGAGAAACAAGCTTCTGTGGTTACAGCATGCTGGGATTAGGAGTTTTGCTATGGCAATGTGAGCCAGAAAGAGCTGACTAATACAACCCTGTGCACCCGGTGGTTTGTCCAGACAAGGATGGCGAGAATGTTTTCTGGAAAAGTCTGCAGCTGTGCGTCATCTCCTTCACAGACTCAGATCCCTTCTTCCCAAGAAAGGCACGTTGAGCAGCCCTTGACGCAGAGTCAGGGAGGGCCAGGCAAGCCTTTCCTTAGCGCCCAGAGCTAGGCACAGAGGGCGGGGCTCGCAACCGGCTCTGCAGGCTGCAAGGGGAGACATCTTTATCACTCCCAGCTCCTGCTTCCCCTCCACACACATGCACGCACCAACCCACACACCACACATATACACCACATGTACACACACACACACCCATACACCTCCCCACGCCCACACATGCACACACCACCCCACACACCACACACATACGCCACATGTAGACACACACCACCCACACCCCCCACACATGCACACACATACACACACCACACACATACACCACATGTACACACACACCACCCACACCCTCCACGCCCACACATGCACACACATACATACACTACACACATCACCCCACATACCACACACATACACCACACACCACCCCACATACCACACACGTACACCACACATGGACACGCACACACCACATACACTCCCACACATGCACACATATACACACTACACACACCACCCAACACACCACACACACGTACACACATACACACTACACACATCTCATCTCATACACACCACTCACATCACACACACCACACACACATTACACACACCCTACCCCACATACTGTACATATACACCACATGTACACACATCTCACACCACACACGTGCACACACATACACACTACACACACACCACCTGTGCACACACACCACACACACATGCAAACACACACACTACATGCACCCCACCCCACACATCACACACATACACCACATGTACACACATACACACACTACACACATCCCACCCACACCACACACACCACTCACACCACACACACGACCCCAAACACCACACACATACACACACACTACACACATCTCACACACACCACTCACACCACACATACACACACACTACACACACACCATCCCACACACCATGCACATACATCACATGTACCTACATACACACATACCACACATACTACACACACTACCCACACCACACACACTACACATATATCCCTCATACCACACCCATATACACACATGTGAACACACACAGAAATATGAGGACTCCACATGCAGCAAAAAATGAACAAGCAGGAAACACATTTACTGAAACACCAAGGAGGAGACATTTGATAACAGAATGCCAGGAATTTGGAGTCTCCTAGTTCCAGAAATCTAAGTCCCTGAGTGAGGCCTTCTGAAGCTGTGCTTGCATTTATAAATCCTCCACAGCCATTCTGTGTATATCAGGCACACTTCTGGCCAGGTTCCCCCGAGTTAGCTCTTGATATATTGAAACTCTTATATGTGGTCATCTTGGGCGACAGGAAGAGCCACACAGGTCAAAAGCAAGGCTTATAGATGGTCCACCAAGCTCTGCGTGGTGCCAGGTCTGTGGAAACAGTCAGGCACGTGGCCAAGACAGGGACCTCTGGGGTCTGCTGAGGTCAGAGCAAGAGTGAGGGGTTAAGAGGTCAGAGCCTCTGAGGTTGCACCCAGCCTATCTGTACCACCAAGGATCAGAGATAGACCAGCGGGCATCGTGGGTGTGCCCCTACCCTGTGCAGTCTCGCAGGCCCGGCTCTTAGAAGGGTCCCACGTTTCATGCTTGGCTGTCACCATCTTGAAATTCTTAATAATTTTGGAAACCTAGGTTTGATTTTACACTGGGCTCTGCAAATAGCCAGTCTCATCCATCCAGTGAAGGCTGAGCCATACCCTGGGGCGGCTCATGCTGGCCACAGAAAACTGGCCATTCACAGAGGGGAGGACCTGCCCAGAAAATCCAGATGGCAGCTGGCCCAGTCTCACTGGTCCTGGGCCATGCTGTGATTTGGAGAAGGGCAGGCCTGTCAGCTGTGGGTAATGGGAGGGACATTGTCTTTACTGGGAACAGAAAGAGGAACAGCAAATGCAAACATGTTTTATTAGGAAGAACTTCAGCAAGTTCTCAAAATTGTTTCACCTGACCACATAGTGCCCCATGGCCCCAGCTTCCTCCATACTCTCACCAGCTCTGAGAACCAAACCCAGAAGAGGCCAGAGAAGGAAACGAGAGATGTGAGAAGGAAAAAGAGCCTCAGACCCTGCTGCCACAAGGGACTTCCATGCTGGTGAGATGACCCAGAGGGCTGGGGCTGCCATGCTGCCTTCAGCTCTGCTCCTTCTCTGTGTCCCAGATGAGCAGGGCAGGTCCTGGGTGCAGGGAGGTCTGCTCTGGCGGGTCAGGGTGAGGCAGGCATGAGAAAAGGCTGGCGAGGGGCAAGAGGAAGAAATGATATCAAGAAAGAGGGAGTGAGGTGTGCATAGAAGCTTCTCAAATCTCCTTATCGGGATAGGGTGGGGATTAAACGGTAAACTGCTTCCCACACAGTAAGCCCTAAGTAGATTTGGCAACTTTAATCATTATTACCGTCATTATTAAGATCAGGAATGCCACCACGATCCATCAGAGAGAAGGGGGAATAGGGGACAGAAAACCAGTACTTACTAGGCTAATCACTGTAATACATATCTTGTTTCCCACTATCTCATTTAATTCTTATTGCAATCCTGATGAAAACAAGAGACCGAAGCTCGCTCTTAGAGGTGCAAATAATTTAGATTAAACAGTTTATAAAAGGCACAGTCAAGGTCCAAACCTAAATACTTTTATTTCCAAGATCATTGCTCCTTCTCTAATTCAATGTCAATGTCTGCTGCGCCTCCTTGTAAAGCTTCACTTACATATCTGGAGGCATATGCTGCATCCCCACGTGGGAACCCTGGGTGTCCCCACAGGTCTGGGCTGGCCCCAGGGCTGCTACTTAATGGGCCCCCAGAAGGGTGAGACAGCTGGGAACCTGTGGTCAGCCCTGGTCCGAGAGTTTCCGTAAATGATGGTGGAGGGAGAAAGTCAGTTTCTTTGCAAGGCTGGGTAGGCGGGAAGCTCCGTAAAAGATGGTGGGGGTGGAGGTGGAGGAGGCTGCCCATGTTGGCTCAGAGTCAGGGTCTGGACTGAATATCCAAGGAGAGGGAGGCTCTGTGGTGGGATTCAGTGTGTGCCCCACAATGTTTTTGCTCCTTGTGGAATTAGCCCCAAATCATTAAGAGAGAAGTTTAAGGACCTGAAAGAGCAGGCTAACAGCGCCCCCAGAGCCTGAGCTGAGAGCAGCAGCGATTTCAGGAGAGGACTGGGTGTGCCCACCCCTTCCTTGCTCCTAAGCCTGTGCCTGGCAGGCAGTTAGCTCCCTGGGAAAGCTCGTGGACCTCAACACTGTGGACATTTGGGGCTGCGTTATTCTGTGTGTTGGGGGCTGTCCTGTGCATTGTAAGATGTTTAGAAGCATCCCTGGCCTCTACCCACCAGATGCCAGCAGCAATTCCCCACCCTAAGTTGGGACAACCAAAAATATCTGTAGTCATTACCAAATGTTCTCCCGCCCGCCCCCCTGCCCCCCCGCCCCCTCCCCGCCCCCCTGCCCCCCAGGTGAGAATCACTGCTTCAGAGAGGCAGACAGCTTTCTAATGCAGAATAGGTCAGTGGGCCACTCGAGCCTGCTTTCTGGGAAATAAAGTGAGAAAACGTGAGATAAGAAAATGAAGATGCAAAAGATAAAGTTTTCCTGTTTTTTTTTTGAGACAGAGTCTCACTCTGTCGCCCAGGCTGGAGTGCAGTGGTGCGATCTCGGCTCACTGCAACCTCCACCTCCTGGGTTCAAGTGATTCTCCTCCCTCAGCCTCCTGAGTAGCTGGATTACAGGCACCCACCACCACGCCCGGCTAATTTTTTGTATTTTCGATAGGGACAGGGTTTCATCGTGTTGGTTAGGCTGGTCTCAAACTCCTGACCTCAGGTGATCCACCTGCCTCGGCCTCCCAAAGTGCTGGGATTATCGGCATGAGCCACCACACCTGGCCAGATTTTTCTTTTAATTCACAATAAAAATATAGCAAAGCCTCTCCATCAGTGGATGGCAATATATTACCTAGATGGATGGGTGGGTAGATGAAAGATGGATGGATGGATAGATAGTAGATAGATAGATAGATAGATAGATAGATAGATAGATAGATAGTTGATAGGTAGACAGATTACATCCACAATTCCTTTTCAGGAGCTTGGTATTTTGCCAAAACCATTTCTCAATAGCCGTTTTGTCCTGAGTTAACCACCTCCCTGTCAAGAGCAGATGAGACAGCAGCTGTTTAGGACTGGTGAGGCCCCCGAGGCAGGAAGCAGAGAGTTGATGGGGCTGGGTCCCAATCATTTGGACCCGGAGCCTGCAGAGTGGGTGGAGGAATGAGAGAGGGGACTCGAAGAGGGAGAGTAATGTCGAAATATTGGAGGGGGCAGAGGACCTGGAGAAGAGGCCCAGGACATGCCAAGGCGGGTGGGTGCTGCAGAGAATTGGGGGTGGGAAGGAAGCTCTGATGGGTGTCCCTGTGGAGCGGAGCCCTGCAGATGTTAGGCAATGGCGAGTGTTGCTGCAGGATTCTGTCCCGGGGGAAAATTCCAGGCGTAAATGTCCTTGAATCACAAGAACAACTCCTTTCTACATGGCCCCTTGATATCCCCATGGGCAGCCCCCATATTCTCTGTGACCCAGACCTGGGAGCAGGAGGCCTCATCTATATGGGCAGGGATGGCAAGTATGAGGCCCACAGATGATTTGGGAAAGGGGCAGAACCAGAAGCCCCAGGCTTCCTCCTTGCCCTCCATACTGGGCTGCTTCTGGTTTTTCCTGGTTCTCAATATTATTTCCTTTCCTATTTCATCCATCCGTCCATCCATCCATCCATCCATCCATCCATCCATCCATCTATCTCTCCAGCCATCCATTTATTCAGAGTGTACTTAGTGGCTTCATTCAATCATTGGTGTTCGATGAGGACAGGTGTTTCTTCTCAGGACTGACACTTCTGGGGGACCCAGAACCTGTCTGAGGCCACCGAGGTCAAGCCTCTCCCCCTGATATTATAAGATGGCTGAGCACACCCAGGCTGGCATGGCCTCTGGAGTCTCAGGATCCCACACCGGGCATCTCCTTGGGTCTCCCCCTGCAAATAGCCCATAGCTCCCTGGTTCCCGACTCCTCCCTCCTCCAGCCTCAGGCAACACTGGGCGTGCAGAGGACCTGACACTCAAGGTTCCACTGGTCCAGACTCTTCCAGGTGAAGACGGGGAAACGGACTTGTGTTTTCCAGGCTGTCTGACTGTGAGTGGCCCCAGCACCGTGATGGGCGCCGTGGGGGAATCCCTGAGTGTTCAGTGTCGGTATGAAGAGAAATACAAGACGTTTAACAAATACTGGTGCAGACAACCATGCTTGCCAATTTGGCATGAAATGGTGGAGACCGGAGGGTCTGAGGGAGTGGTGAGGAGTGACCAAGTGATCATCACGGACCATCCTGGAGACCTCACCTTCACCGTGACCTTGGAGAACCTCACGGCAGACGATGCAGGAAAATACCGATGTGGGATTGCAACAATACTGCAGGAAGATGGCCTGTCTGGTTTCCTGCCCGATCCCTTCTTCCAGGTTCAAGTGCTGGTCTCATCGGGTAAGAGCCTCTTTTCTCAGGCATCTGAGGCCATCTCTGCAGAGCAGCCACAGAAATTTTGGCCCAGGAGAGAAGAACTGGGCCTAGTGTGGTGCATCAGAGACTCAGGACAGAGTATGTTGTGTGAATGTGTGTGGGAAATACATGTGTGTTTGAATGAGTGGGACAGTGTAAGTGTGTTTCAGTGTGTGACTGTGAGTTGTGTGCAAACATGTGAGAGTGAGTGCAGGTGTGAAGGTGTGTGTGAAAGCAGGTGTGTGTGAATGTGTGAGAGAGCAGGTGTGTGTGAGTGTGTGTGAGTGTGTGAGGGAGCAAGTGTGTGTGAGTGTGAGTGTGTGAGAGCAGGTGTGAGTGAGTGTGGGAGTGTGTGTGAGAGCAGGTGTGTGAGTGTGTGAGTGTGTGTGAGAGCAAGTGTGTGAGTGTGTGCAAGAGCTGGTGTGTGGGTGTGTGTGAGAGCAGGTGTGTGTGAGTGTGTGTGAGAGCAGGTGTGTGTGTGAGAGCAGGTGTGTGAGTGTGCATGTGAGAGTGTGTGTGAGAGCAGGCGTGTGTGAGTGAGTGGGCGTGTGAGTGTATTTGTGAAGTTGCGTGAGTGCACATGTGAGAGTGTGTGTGCAGGTGTGAGAGTGTGTGTGAGACAGAGAGTGTGTGCTGGAGGGTAGTGGTGGTGTGTGGATACACTGGCAAGGATGGGGGTTTTGGAACCTAAGCCTAACCTTCGGCATGTTGATTTTCAGCGAGATGGGGGACACCAACATGGGAGAAGGTGGTCATCCTCTGGTCTGGGTTTATAAAATGCCCACCCGGCCCCAGAGCAGGGCATCCATTGGGATGGGGTTGGGGGGATGCTCTGTTACTCCAGTCAGGCTTTGGTCTGCCTATTGGAAGACGATGGTCCTAGAACATCTGTCCAGCTGCCTCCTTGAGCGTCCTCTGCTTTATGAAGTCAGAACCATGCAGGTACCAGGTACTCAGCTGGGAAGAGTCAGGCGTAGGGCACTGAACCTCTGTTCTTTATCCTCAGCCTCCAGTACTGAGAACTCTGTGAAGACACCTGCATCTCCCACCAGGCCCAGCCAATGCCAAGGGTAAAATGCACGTGTCCCAGTGTCTTTTGCCATGTGTGCAGCTTCTTTCCTAGGGTGGGGCTTCCTAGACACAGGTTTCCTTGATTATTCACCCACTCAACATTTATTTATTTATTTATTTTTTGAGACAGAGTCTAGCTCTATCGCCGAGGCTGGACTGCAGTGGCACGATCTCGGCTCACTGCAAACTCCGCCTCCCGGGTTCACGCCATTCTCCTGCCTCAGCCTCCTGAGTAGCTGGGACTACAGGCGCCCGCCACTAGGCCCGGCTAATTTTTTTTTTTGTATTTTTAGTAGAGACGGGGGTTTCACCATGTTAGCCAGGATGGTCTCGATCTCCTGACCTCGTGATCTGCCCGCCTCGGCCTCCCAAAGTGCTGGGATTACAGGTGTGAGCCACCGTGCTCGGCCAACAGGTGTTTATTTGTTATGCGCCAGAAACTGATGGAGATTCTAGAGATGCAACAGTGAACAAAGGGGCAAGATTGTGCTCTTGAGGAAGTTGCAAATAGGTAGATTCAGGCAATGGCCAGATGGATAGATAGATAGACAGACAGACAGGTGGACAGACAGATAGATGGATAGATAGATAGATAGATAGATAGATAGATAGGTGGATAGATAGATAAACAGACAGATGATAGATATGATATGAAAGATGATAGAGATGGCTGGCTGGCTGACTGGAAAGACAGATGGAGATGATAGCTGGCAGAGAGAGATATGTAATAGAGACAGAGAGACGATAGATCAAGGAAATATGTCAACGAATGATAATTACTGTGGAGGAAAATAAAGCAGGTGTAAAGAGATAGGGTGCCAGAGTGTGTGGGAAGCTGGTGGGGCATGATTTGGGCTATCAAGGAAATACAAGATGTTCCACAGAAACAAAGAACAAAGGGACTGTCTTAGTTTGGGTTTCCCCCAAATCAGGTCCTGAGACAAGGACTTAGGAGCAATTTGTTTATTGAGAGGTAATCTCAAGAAGTACATTGAGAGAGCAGAAAGTGAGACCAGGAAAGGGGAAGGGCGGTGAAATGTGCTGTAATGAAGGGGTTATCCCCGTAGTAACTGGAGTCACTGGAGATTAACCCCTCTGGGCACCCTATGAGAGACTGTGTAGAACGTTCCTCAGAACTGGAGACAGAGTCTTCCAGGCAGCAGGCACTCCTGGGGGCATGAATTCTGTGGCCCATCTGGCCTGCTCTGCACAGGAAAATGTGTGCACTCTTGTAGATAACCTCAGGCAGAGATGGGGAGCTTGAGCTGGGAAATCCTTGGTGGGGCCAAGACTGCCTGCAGCTGCCAGGAGCTCAAGTGGGCAAAGGTGATATGGGGCAGGGCGCCAACAGGGTTTGTTACAGGGACTCGTCTTAGAGAGGATCAGGGAGGGCATCAGACAAGCCCTGCAGGTAGAGGGCTGGGAAGGTGGAGAGATGGCACAGCGGCCCATTTTGGGGAGAGAATGCAGCATCTGAGGAGTTGGAATGGGAGCAGTGTAGTGGGACCCACGGAGCGAGACGACTGGCCATGGGCTGAGCTTGGAGAGTTCACTCCTTGGGGTTGAGATTGTTAAGCCGTTTAAGCAAAAGAGCTGTTCTTGTGATCATATTTAATTTGAGTGAAGATGGTTGTAAAGGAGTATTTCATCCTTGAGGTTGTTCCCAGCAAGAGCTGAGTTCCTGCGGGCATCAGTGGCTGAGGGATCTGTTCAGGAAGTTGTTTCTGGGAGCCAGTTCCTGCCTGGGTTAACATATCTCTCTTCTTCTCTATCCCTCACCTCCGGCATCTGTTGGGTCTTGACACTCAAGGTTAATTCTGAGCTGAATGAAGGTCAGGAGCCTGTGACCCTCAGCATGGGGCTGCCTGACCCTGGTACCCACCAGGCTTGATGCTGACATTGGGTTTGAGGGCACAGGACGAGACCTCGAGGGAAGGCGGGGGAGAGGCAGAGCCTGGGACTCCCCGGAGAAGGCAGCTTACTACTAGTCACTCTCTCCGTCTCACAGGTCCCTGCCCAGCAGCACCTGCTTCCTGCTTCTCCCACTCCTGAAGGTGCCTCTGCTCCTGAGCATACTCGGTGCTATCCTCTGGGTGAACAGGCCTTGGAGGACTCCTTGGACAGAGTCATGAACAGGAGAACTTGCAACACCCCATGCCCATTGGAACCCTGTCCAGAGACACAGCCCCTCTGACTGCAAAAAGGACTTCTGACCCTGACCCTCATATTTCTTTCCATCTTATCACCGGATACTTTTTAAAAGTTAAAAAAAAATGTAGGCCGGGTGCGGTGGCTTACACCTGCAATCCCAGCACTTTGGGAGGCCAAGGCAGGTGGATCACTTGAGTCCAGGAGTTTGAGAGCAGCCTGGGCAGCATGGTCAGACCTCATCTCTACAAAAAAATACAAAAATTAGCAGGGTGTGGTGGTGTATGCCTGTGATCCCAGCTACTTGGGAAGCTGAGACAGGAGGATCGCTTGAGCCCCGGAGGTGGAGGTTGCATTGAGTCGAGATTGTGCCACTGCACTCCAGCCTGGGTGACAGAGGGAGACCCTGTCTCAGATAAACAAATAAATAAATAAAATACATCCCATACACAAGAGTATGTATATGAGGTATCTATACAGTTCAAGGACTAAAAATAAACATGTGTACCCACCATTCAGCCTAGGAAATCAATCATTATTAAGATGTTTGAAGCCCCCCATATGCCTCTCCCTGACCTCATAACTGTCTTTCCCCTACTGTCAGGGTTAAATACTATCTGAATATTTCTTGGAGTAATCACTCCCTTGCTTTAGTGTGCTGAGCAAGGACATGGTTGTTTTTGAATCCTGCACAGAGGAAATCATACTGTTGCAAGTTCTTCTGCTCATAAACCATATTGGATTTTTTTCCTTTCCTGACAGTAGATTGTAGGGAACTCCCTACAAACAAACAAAAACAAAACAAAACTGTGATTGGGCCATCAACTGGTTCAGTTTAAGTTGGTTTACTGTTATATGATGGGACCCCTCTGAGTTTTTCAGGGACCAGGTTAATGTATTGAGGACATGTTTAAAAATGTACCTGAGGCTGGGCATGGTGGCTCCCATCTCTAATGCCAACACTTTGGGAGGCTGAGACGGGATGATTGCTTGAACTCAGCCTGGGCAACATAGCAAGACTTCATGCCTACTTAAAAAAAAAATTTAGCCAGGCATGGTGGCACGCACCTGTAGTCCCAGCTTCTCAGAAGGCTGAGGCAGGAGGAATGCTTGAGCCTGGGAGATGGAGGCTGCAGTGAGCTATGATCATACCACTACACTGTGGCCTGGGTGACACAGTGAGACCCTGTCTCAAAACAAAACAAAAAAATGTACCAGGATTTGTTTTAACCAGATATGGTAAGGCATGCAGATACGGAAATGACTGTCATAAAGAAATAAGTTTCTACTCAAAGACCCCTAGAAGCAGGAGGTGCAGTGTGCCATGTAGGGCCACACGGGGAAGCACGAGGGCGGGTGAAGGGGCAGAGAGAGAGAGAGAGGAAATGTATGTGGGAGCCTTTATCATGGTTTTCAGAGGAAGTGATAGGCAAGGTAAGGTAAGCAAACAGCAGGCTTCGGAGTGTGTAGTTTGAATTATTCTGATGGGCTAGGATACAAGAGTGGTCTCTAGTTGTCTGGTACCTGGCCCTGGGGTGATTTAGGGCAGGGGAAAGAAAATATCCCAGACTGCAGGAGCCTGCTGAAAGGAAGCAGGTGGGGGCATGGAATAGGGAATGGTTTGGTTTGCATATCAAAGGCAGACTTGCAGGCCAGTTGTTTACTTTCTCTAGGAATTAGCCCTGGGAGAGAGTTATTTGGATGGATATATTTGCCTATCTGAGTGGCTAAAATAAAAAAATAGTGACTATGTAGCAGGAAGAGCCACAGACAAAACTCCTCAGACACCGAGTTAAAGAAGGAAGGGGTTTATTCGGCTGGGAGCATCGGCAAGACTCCTGTCTCAAGAGCTGAGCTACCTGAGTGAGCAGTTCCTGTCCTGTTAAGGGCTCACAACTCTAAGGGGGTCTGCATGAGAGGGTCCTGACTGATTGAGCAAGCAGGGGGTACGTGACTAGGGGACGCATACACTGTTAATTAGAACGGAACAGAACAGGACAGGGATCTTCACAGTGCTTTTTTATGCAAATAACCGATTAGGTCAGGGGTCTATCTTTACCAGGCCCAGGGTGTGGTGCTGGGCTGTCTGCTTGTGGATTTCATTTCTGCCTTTTAGTTTTTACTTCTTCTTTCTTTGGAGGCAGAAATTGGGCATAAGACAATATGAGGAGTGGCCTCCTCCCTTAACAACACCAAATGCTGAAGGATGTGGTGAAACTGGATCACTCCTATGTGGCTGGCAGGAATGTAAAATGGTGCAAACACTCTGGAAAATAGTTTGTCAGTTTCTTACAAAACCAACCATGCAAGGACCATATGATCCAGTGAACGCATTCTTAGGTATTTATCTCAGAGAATGGAAACTTATGTTCACCCAAAAACCTGTGCATGAAAATTCACAGCAGCTTTATTCATAATAGTCCTGAACTGGAAGCAAGCCAGACATCCTTTCAGGGGTGAACGGTTCAACAAATTGCAGTTCATTCCTACCACAGAATGCCACTCCAGCACTAGAGAGGAGCAAGCTATTGATGTACGCAACAATTTGGATGAATCTCGAGGAGGTTATGCTGAGTGAAAAGCTCCAATCTGCAGTTTACGTACCGTATTGCTCCATTTCTATAACACCCTCAAAATGACAAAAGTACAGAAATAGATGACAAATGAGCAGTTCCCAGGGCTTAGCGATGGGGGATGTGGAAAAAGAGGGATGTGGATATGAAAAGGCCACTGCTTGGACAATGTTTAGTTTCAGCTTAAAAACTCTCATCTCACCCTCTACAACTGCCTCTCCCCTCCAGCCTCCTCTAACATGTCCTCTGGCTCATGTCTAAGTGGATTTGTCACACGTGTTTGGGAAGTCATTACCCAGGAAAAGGCTCCTCTCTTGACCAATCTAACCCAGCCCTCTTCACATCTCTCTTATTTCCTTTAAACACCCTTTGCAGGCAACGTCAAAAACATGCTGTCTTTTGAAAACATAAACTTCTTGCTCTCTGAGAGCTGGAAGTCTGGGCAGAGATGAAGTGTACCTTGTTCAGACCCTTCTCCTGTGCCTAAGCCACCTGTCAGCCAGGAAGCTTGCTGGTGGTGGTAGCTCTGGCCCAGACCCTTACGATGAAGAGTTGACTACAGCAGGTGAGATGGGCACTAACAAGGAGAAAGGGGTGCAGGGGCAGGAAGGGGGTGTTTCTTATCCCCACAGCTGCCTTCCCTCAGACCTTTCCTGGCACTGATTGTAGTTAGTGCTTCAAAGAGCTGCTTCCCTTGTTCACAGATAGTAAAAGGCATTGAAGATTGTCACCAAACCAAGTTCCAGCCTAGGTGAACATGTTCAGTAGGGACACTGGGTGTCTCTTCCTCTCCCAAAAGTAAGGTATTAGACATACCTGAGGCCGGGCGCAGTGGCTCATGACTGTAATCCCAGTACTTTGGGAGGCTGAGGCAGGTGGATCACCTGAGGTCAGGAGTTCGAGACCAGCCTGGTCAGTATGGCAAAACCCTGTCTCTACTAAAAGTACAAAAATTAGCCAGACATGGTAGCAGGTGCCTGTAATCCCAGCTACTCAGGAGGCTGAGGCAGGAGAATTGCTTGAACCTGGGAGATGGAGATTGCAGTGAGCTGAGATTGTGCCACTGCACTATAGCCTGGGTGACAAGAGCAAGACTCCGTCCCCACCCCCCCAAAAAAAAGACATAACTGAGACTAATTTATAAAGGAAAGAGGTTTAATTGACTCATAGTTCCACTTGACTGGGGAGGCCTCACAATCATGGTGGAAGGCAAAGGAGGAGCAATGTCACATCTTACACGGTGGCAGGCAAGAGAGAGAGCATGTGCAGGGGAATGCCTCTTTATAAAACCATCAGATCTTGTGAGACTTATTCACTATCATGAGAACAACATAAGACCTGCCACCATGATTTATTTACCTCCCACCAGGTCCCTCCCATGGCACATGGGTATTATGAGAGCTGTAATTTGAGATTGGAGGGAGGACACAGCCAAACCATAGCACCCACTCTCCTTGCTTGGCCTACTTGGTCTGAGGGGACCCAGCCACTCGTTTGTTCTTCCTTTTCATCATGTTGCCCTGTCCCCATGTGGTCTTTATGTTCTAGCCACAGTGTGCATCCCTCCCCAGGGCCTTAACACCTGCTGTTCCTCCCCCTGAATCCCTTCCCCCAGATCTTCTTACCTCTGGCTCTTTCTTATCCTTTTGGTTTCACCTCTGATGTTGCCTCCTCTGAAATGCCTCTGATCACCCTTTGCAGGGATCACCCCAATTGTCTTGATTATGGGTCCCTGTTTATTTTCTCCACAGTTTGCCAAATGCTGTTAATGTGTTTCCTTCGGGTGGTTTCTATCCATCTCCCTTTATATCACAGCAGCATTTGGGCCAGCTTCATTCACCACGAATGCCCCAGCATCCAGCTACAGAGTGTGGTGACAAATGTTGGCATTAAAGAAAATACTTGCTGAGTGAATAAATGAATAAGGATTGGATGTGGCTGCAGAGACTGGCTCTGGGCAAGTGTGGCCCAACTATATTAGATATCTGTTGATAAATAACAAATTCCCCCATGACTTCACGGCTGAAAACAGCAAATGTTCATTATCTCATGATTTTGAGAGCCGTGAATCTGGGAGTTGCTTAGCTGGGTGTTGCTGGCTCAGGATCTCTCTTTCATCAAGTTCTAGTCAAGATGTTGGCTGGGGCTGCAGTCATCTGAAGACTGGACCAGGGCTGGAGGATCTGCTTCCAACATCGCACATTCACGTGGCTGCTGGTGGGAGGCCTCAGCTCCTTGCTCAAAAGAGCTGCTTGTGAGTCTTCAAGACACAGCCACCAGCTTTCCCTGGAGATAGTGATCCAAGAGAGAGCAAGGCACAGTACCATTGATGGTTTATTCTTGGAAGTCATAGCCCGTGGCTCATATCTATGGATCACAGAGGCCCACCCAAATACCATATGGAAGGAGACTCCTCAAGGGCGTGGGTGTCTGATCTGGGTGGCTGTTAGACACGGGTAGTCATTTCCTCAAATTTTGCTGAGCCGACATTTACGATTTGTATTATTTTGTTTGTATGTTACACTTCCATCAAAGAATTTAAAAACCAAAACATGAGATTATACTTCTGAAAGTTTGCTTGACTTTCTTTTTTGGTTACAGTTTATTCATCTTTTTTTCCACCAAAGAAAGAGTTAATCTCTCCTCCTTCCAGCTATCTTGCCAACAGCTCTGAGAGAGTAAAGAATCTGACCGAAAGCATACAGTATAAGTGATCGTGTCAGCATTTCTCCGGCACTAATGCCCTAGAGTCTCTTCACTGGACCAGGACACTGAAGAGGACAGAGTGGCCCAGGGATGGCAAAAGGGAAAAGCAGAATCCTCAGACTCAGGAAACAGAATGAGAAGGGTGCTTTAGGCGGAGGGGGCCAAGGCGACCCAAACTGAGAAACTCCAGGGAGTCATTGTTTTCGAAGTCCTTCCACCCATCACTCTCCCTCTCCTCTCACTCCTCCAGTGCCTTTTGCTTTTCAGGAAACAGTTCGAAACTGAAAGCAGTCTGTGCTGGTCCCTGGCTGTGCTGACAGGTTGAAATTTTCAACAGGGAACCAGTGCAAAGACAATGGTGATTTGAGAGTGGACATTGGGCTTTAGGTTTGAGTACGTGTGTATGTGACCCTGTGGGGATTTCTTTCTTTTCTTTTTTTTTGAGATAGACTTGCTCTGTCTCCCAGACTGGAGTGCAGTGGCTCGATCCCAGCTCACTGCAACCTCCGCCACCCGGGTTCAAGCGATTCTTGTGCCTCAGCCTCCCGAGTATCTGGGACTACAGGCGCATGCCACCACGCCAGCTAATTTTTGTATTTTTTGGTAGAGACAGGGTTTTGCCATGTTGGCCAGGCTGGTCTCGAATTTCTGGCCTCAAGTTATCCACCCGCTTCGGCCTCTCAAAGTGCTAGGATTACAGGCATGAGCCACTGTGCTCAGCTAATTTTTGTATTTTTAGTAGAGATGGAGTTTCACAGTGTTGGCCAGGCTGGTCTCAAACTTCTGGCCTCAAGTGATCCGCTTGCCTCAGCCTCCCAAAGTGCCGGGATTACAGGCGTGAGCCACCGCACCCTGTGGGAATTTCTTTCTTCAACTCTCAAGCCTGCACATAAGGACCTGATTCAGGAAGATCCACACAGAAACTCAGGAAGACTCTGGCTGGGGAGGTCCCCCTCTCACATGCAGAGTGACCTCTCCATAGACATTGCCCGGAGTTGATTAATTGTTTGGTTTTCAAGGCCTGCCATAGAGAAACTTAGAATACAACGCCTAAGGAGTCGACAAGCTGCACATCCAATATCATAGAGCCACCCACTGAGGAAATTGAGTCTCTTTCTCTTTTGCAAAGGAAAAAATAATTAAGCAAAGATTAAAGCCCAAAGTGAATGTCTTTCCTTGGACTGGAATCAGACATATCTGCTTTATTCCTCTCTGGCCTTCAGGGCCTCCCTAAGGTCCAGAGGGGCCTGGGCCACTTCTATTTTTGAGAGAGAGAGAGAGAGAGAGAGAGAGATGAAAAAACAAGGTTACAAAATTGCGGTATATTTTAAATGAGGGAAGTTCACAGATCAATTTCTTGGTACACAAAAAGCAATAAAGTATAATTAATTGAGCTCTAAAAAGAAGATTGTGGCTGGATGCAGTGGCTCACGCCTATAATCCCAACGGTTTGGGAGGCTGAGGTGGGAAGATTGCTTGAGTCCAGGAATTTGAGGCTGCAGGGAGCTATGATTGTGCCACTGAACTCCAGCCTGGGCAGCAAAGCAAGACACTGTCTGCAAGGGGGCAGATAATAAAAGGATACGTATAAATGTATGGGTTCAATACTTCTGCCAACCAGCCCTGAAGTTTGTGGAAGGAAAATAAATCTCCAGACCCCACAACCACCAAGCCAAAGGGAACAGCCAAGCTGGGAACTGTTTAGAGCAAACCTGCCTCCCGTTCTATTGCTAAAAAAGATAGCTACTAAGATTTAAAAAAAAAAAGCTACATACCTCCCTCACAATTCGTTCACAAAGAAATTCCTTACGGACAAAGGACAGATGTAACTCAATGTCATCCCTTTACTCTCTGAGATAAATGTATATCTGATTGCTTCCCTTGGAAAGGCTAATCAGAAACTCAAAAAAATGCAACTGTTTGTCTCTTATCTACCTGTGACCTGGAAGCCCCCTCCCACTTTGAGTTGTTTTGCCTTTCTAGACCGAACCAACGTACATCTTACATATTAGGTTGGTGCAAAAGTAATTGTGATTTTTGCCATTAAAACTAATGTTGCCCAGGCTGGAGTGCATTAAAAGTAATGGCAAAACTGCAATTACTTTTGTACCAATCTAATATACTGATTGATGTCTTATGTATCCTTAAAATGTATAAAGCCAAGCTGTGCCCTGACCACCTCATGTTGTGAGGACCTCCTGAGGCTGTCATGGATGTACTTTTAACCTTGGCAAAATAAACTTCCAAAATTAATTGCGACTTGTCTCAGATACACTTTGGTTCACAAGTTATATAGATAATCTAACTTAGGTCTGGCATTGGTTATAGTTAGTGCTTCAAAGACTGCTTCCCTTGTTCACAAATAAGAAGCATTGAAGATTGTCACCAAACCAAGTTCCAGCCTAGGTGAACATGTTCAGTAGGGACATTGGGTGTCTCTTCCTCTCCCAGAAGTGAGAAGTTCAACGTGCAGTGTGTGTGCTGCTTCTCAATATAGCGGAAGCCATGGGCCAGAATCAGATGTGTCCTCCTCTTTCCTGCCTGGATGCCCCCTGCCCTGGGCACTTGTCTTTAGGGATGAAACTTGCTCTGGTTGGAACTGCCCATTGAGCTTCAGATCCTGGTTGCACCTTGGCCCCTGGTCCCTGGCCCCTTGAGTCTAGGCGTGCCTGCACCGGCCCAGGGAGCTTCTCTCCTGAGCTTTCTGCAATCTCCCATCTCCAGCCTCAGACTTGAGACAGGGCTGGACAAGGAAGCAGATAGGGAAAGAAAGCAGAAGTGGGGCTCAGACCCTGGGAGAGGGGACTCCACCTTGTCCTACCAGAGCCTGATGCAGTGACAAGTGACATCTGAGAAGAGGCCACCAGGGATCGGGCTGCTCGGCTACTGGCAGCTCTGTTCCTCCTGAATGTCTCAGGTGGGTGGGCCCTGGACATGGAAGTAGGGACATGGAGAGAGGGCAGGAGGACAGAGGAGCATCAAGGAGCTGTCAGCAGCTGCCTCACTAGCTGAGTGCCAGGCTCCAGGGCACAGCGCAGGTGAGTCATGTTCCACTGCATCCTCGACAGAGAAGGCCCTGGGGGAGAGGTGCCTGTGATTGTCATTGCCACAGTTATCCAATCCGAAATGCCATCTTGATGAACCACACATACAATCATAGATGCATGCACGTGCACACACAGGCATGCACACGCACAGTGTTTTCCCAGTCCATGCCCTTCCTGTCTCCATGGAAACCCCCCTCCCCGTTCCCACCTCTGCAGGGAGGGAGCTACTCACCCCTCAGTTCAGATTCCTGGGTGGACAAGGGCTGTCTGCCTGCCACTGTCTCCTCTACAACCCCAGGGTCCGAGAGGCCCTGACCCCAGAACATCCCTGACCCAGGCCCATCTGAGGAGAAGCTGGGACTTTGGCTTGTATTTTCCAGGCTGTTTTGCTGTGGGCGGCCCCAGCACCATGACAGACACCGCAGTGGGGATCCCTGAATGTGCAGTGTCAGTATGAGGAGGAATACAGGACTTTCAACAAATACTGGTGCAGACAACCACTTTTTCTACTATGTGACAAGACTGTAAAGGCTGGAGAGTCAGCAGGAGTGAGTAATGGCTGAGTGTCCATCAGGGACCATCCTGCAAACCTCAGCTTCACAGTGACCCTGGAGAGCCTCACAGAGGAGGATGCAGGTGGATATTTGTGTGGGGTCAATAGACTATTGCTCCAAGAATTTCAAGATCTTGTCTTCCAAGACCTTGTCTTCCAGGTGGAGGTGTCGGTGTTCCCAGGGGAGCCCCCTTCACTCAGCACCAGGCCTGTCTGAGTCTAGGGCTGGTCATTCTGTCCCTGAAGTGAGAAATGGGACAGGAGTGTGTGAGGTTGCAGGCAGTGACTTAGGACACAGTGTCTGTGTGTGCATGCATGGGTTTGCTGTGTGTGTATGCACAGGTGTGTGTGTGCGCACGCATGCACAGGTGTGAGTTGTGTTTGTGGTGTGTGTGTGTGCGTGCGCAGGTGTGGTGTGTGTGTGCTTGCACAATTGTGTGGTGTGTTTGTGTGTGTGCACCCGTGTGTGTGTGTGCTGACATGCACAAAAGCACATTTGCACCTGTTGTTGGAGACTCCTCTGTGTGCCCCACCCTGAAAGTGTCTGGCCTTGTGGGGCCACCAGCCTGGCTGACATTTGGGGTTGAGTGGACTCGGGTCCCATCATTCAGGGAGGGCCCCACTGACTTCCTGTCCTTACTTCCAGTTCACTCCAGCCACTGCCATGCCCAGGGCCCTGGCTCCGCAGTCACTCTAGGTCACGCTTCACAGAGTGAATGTCACCCCTCCCTCCTTGGCTGGGATGGGGTCTGCAGCCAGGTCTTCTTTCCACAGACTCTCACGTTCCCCTAGAGAGCAGGTTGACTCTTGCCTCTGAAAGTGCTCATCTGGCTATGAAGTACTTGGGGATAAGACTAGGGAGGGGCCCAGGGCCCTGGTCCGGCCTGCGTGTGGCCGTGGAACGTGTTGGACTCAGGGCATCTGTCCAGCATGTACTGAGTGATCGTGTCTGTGGAAATCAGAGCTGAACAGGTGATGATGAGTGGGAGACTCAGGCGAGGTCGCCGAGACTGACCTGTGATGCCCCTGCAGCCCTGACAGCGGCCTCCAGTCTCAGAGCTCCACGGGCACCTCGGGTCCTCCCGTTACGTCCCAGCGTGCACCTGGCCCAGCTCTACCAGACAGGACAGCCCTGATCCCAGCCCACACCCAGGGTAAGGTTCGTGCCCCCAGGACTGCCACCTGGGCAGCCTTTCCTGTAGGCTGGGGAGAGATGGGATGGTTGTGTCTCTCTTCTTCTGGTCCCTTCTTTGCTCACGCCTCCCACACCTAATGTGAAGGTCCTACTAAGTGCCAGGTGCTCCTGTCAGGATAGGGTCACAGCAGGGAACCACTCAGCCACAGTCCTGCTCTGGTGGAGTTTGGGTTCTACCAGGTGGATTCACACAGTGAACAGGTCAGCACAGTGGCTGACAGACAAATACAGCGAAGTTTGATGACTGCTGGGAAGAGATATTTGTGCCTTGGGTTTGGGGAGCATGTGTGTGGGTGTTGGAGTCGCTATTTCACTGACAATGATCAGAAGAGGGTTTGTGGATTAGAGGACATGAGCGTGGAGACCTGCAGGATTTGGGAGCAGGGCGCTCTGGGGTCTGGGGGAAGAGGGGTCCAGGCAGAGGGAGGAGTGAGGCAAATGTCCTGCAAGGGAGTCCTGGGACCCGGCCAGGCCAGGGCAGGGGGCAGATGTTTTGGTGCCCGGTGACCCCGGCCCTCTCCCCTGGCCTCCCTTGCAGCCCTGGCCCGAGTCTCATCCTGTTTGATGAGCCCAGTCCTCTGAGGAGCTGAGAGCTGAGCTGGGCCATTCATTCATTCCTTCCATTCCTTCAACAACCATGAATTTTACAGGCTGATATTTGCAACCAGAGGGCAGGTACCAGTTACTTGTGAATAACATGAATAGTCCTCACCTTCTCGGGAAATGATGGCCATACAGGCATCAAACTACATGACTGATTCCATGCGCCAGTGAATAACCCCGGGATGTAGAGATCTTGTGGGTGTGGTTCTCACCTGGATCCCTCCCTGTCCTCATGCACCATTTTCACGGCCACGTGCTTCCTTATAGGCAGTCCTGAGACTCCAGGGACTCTCAGGCTGAAGGTCAGGGTCTAATGATCTCTTTAGAGGAGTTGTCATATACAGAGTTTGTCCTCACAGGGATTTGTGTGGCCACAGGACCTGGGTTCACAGACAGGCAGAAGGTGGAGGGCACCTGGGCTTCCCCTGGGGAGATGACTCACTGCCATCACCGTGTCCCCACAGCTCCCTGTTCAGCAGCCCCTACGTCCTGCTCCTGGTCCTGGAGCTGCCCCTGCTCCTGAGCATGCTGGGTGCCGTCGTCTGGGTGAACGGACCTCAGAGAAGCTCTGGAAGCAGGCAGAGTTGGCCAGAGGGTGAGAACCAGTAGCATCTACTGTCCATCAAGGCCCTGCACTGCGACAGAACCCCTTTGCGGGACTGGAATGACCTCCTGACCACTCCCTCCCGGGCTGCTCTCTCCACATCTCCTGGAATTCTCTGTGAGCCTCCTTCAGCCTTTTCCCTGTGCCTGATCCATGAATCACACGTGAACCTGATGGACACAGACGCCCTGAGCTGTGACTCCATGTCTCATGTGCACGCCCTGGCCAGCTGAACCTCGAGCTGTCACCAACACCTCTAAGTGCCTGATGCCCTCTCTGCACCTTTCCATTTCTCCAGGAGCTTGGCATTGCTTCCTTCAACGTTTTCACAGGGAGGAGCAGGTCCAGGACTCCCCTGCACCTTTGCCACCATAATGGCCCACACTCCCCGGGTCCAGGAGTGCAGAATATGTGGCTGCTTCCATTTGCTGAGTGTGTCAATTCAATGATGCTTTCGAACTTTAAGAAATGACAATACATAGATTCTGGACCTATCATGCCCACTAAGTCAGACCTGGGTGAAAACTCCATTGTTCCCTGATCTCCACAGGCCTTTGCTCAGAATAGTGGACTAAGCCCCAGGCTGGGCCTCTCAGGACTGGGGTCCCTGCAGAAGAGGATCCAGGATTCCCCCCAAAACCTGACAATTCCGTTCCTTATGTAGACACATCCTGGCCAGTGTCTTCTGGTCCCTGCGGGAGGGCTGGTAGAAGATTATCAGTGTGAGTTGTGGCATGGTAGCCAGGCCTTTCCTTCCTCCTTCCTCAAGGGGACCTGACCTCCCCTTCATTCCAGGGCTGTGGCTTTTAACTGACTCAAATATGGAAATTGGTTGAGGGCCGTGACTTCTTAATGTGGTAGTTAACTGAGTCTTTTGCTTACTAGTGCAGACCATGTCTGCTTATCCAGACAAAGGAAGACGTTATCAGCTGACCATCGTTTCGGTTCCAGGGATGCCACACCCAAGACCCCTGTGAGGCAGATGATCCCCATGAGTCCACCAGGTCAAGGAGGGACACGCCTGGGGGTCCTCACCTATTTTTACATTCAGCAGATACTTATGGGAGCTTCTGGTGTATCAGACACTGACCTGGCATTGGAGTCCAGCCGTGAACACCCAGGCAAGGAGCTCTGTTTTCATTGAGCTCATATTCCAGGCGGGGGATAGAAATGATAAACAGATGCAAAAATACGTGCATAAATTCCAGAAGAAATATAAAAGTCAGAGATGAAAAGAGTCACGGAATGAAATAAGAGAAGTGGGGTGACTGCTGTGCAGGAGCTGAGGGGGACTGTGGTGAAGCCCCTCTAATAGGCGCTGAGCAAGCAGGGATCAGGAGAAAGGAGGGGGTGAGCGCCAGGATCCCTGGAGGAGGAGCCCTGAGGCAGAGAGAGGAGCAGGTGCACATGTCCTGCCAGGGGCAGATGCCTCCCTGGGTCAGGTGGCTTCAGGGCCTCCAGACAGCATTTCCTGTCTCCTCCCCAGCCTGGGCAGGAAATGGTGCACCAACTTTGGATGACTAAGTCCTCTGAGGCAGTGGGACATCAGGATGTCATGTATCCATTCACCCATTCATCCTTTCAACAGCCAGTTTGTTAAACTGCACTTGGCAGACTCTGGAATGATAACGGGCACAGCTGTGAATGAGACAAGAGGCTGCACCTGCTCTCAAGGGGCGGCCACCCTAGATGGGAGCAGACATTGACTCGCCAACAGAAAGACTGAGGAAGACGAGAGGGAAGTGTGAAATGGGTCATGAGGACCCCTAAAAAGCGAGCCACCATAACCCGGGAAGGTCAAGGAACACGCAGGCAACCCTGTCGGCTGGAGCCAGGCAGAGGAGTGGGAGGTTGAGGGTCTGGACAAAGGCCCGAGTGGGGAGGGTGGCAGCACCAGTGTGAACCTGGATCCAGGAGGCTGGAGACACCTACCAGGTGCTGGGGCCTGCCAGGACCTGTGTGCAGAGGCCAGGTCAGGTGGGTGCCATCCTGTGACAGCAGGAGCCATTGGGAGTTCAGCAGCGCCTCCCCAGGGCCATGTGTGTGTGTCAGGGATCACATTGCTGATTCTGTGGAGAATGAAAGGGGTGGGTATGAGCAGAAGGGGAGACCAGGTCAGCCCATGAAAGAGCCGGGATACTTCAAAGCCAGGCCCAGGCCAGACCTGAGCACTGGGCTAATTGGAGGCCCTGGGATTGCACTGGGCTAGAGATAGTCCCATGATGTGAGTCTGGGGGCATCAACACCAATGACCCCAGTGCATGCTGTGTCCCTGAGAGTGTAAATGGAGGGAGGACAGGGCAGGTCGAGGGTGCAGAGACCCCTTCATGGTGCCAGGTTTGCCCAGACTCCCATCACTCTCCACTCAACCTCATGGCTGTGTGCACATACTGGTGCTATTGACTCTGATAGGAAGAAAGGAACAGAAATCTGTAGGAGGGTTGGGAGAGTCAAGGAATATGCTTAAGGCATGAGAAGGTGGAGAAGGGGTGATGCCCTCCAGGACAGACAGGAGGTAAATCCTGTGTCTGACTAGCCTCCTTGCCCTTTCCAGGGTAAAGACACCCTGAGCCCATCACGTCAGGAGAACCAGCCATGCCGAGTGTGGATAGACCTGGGTTCCCGCCTCCTGGGAAGGCCTGTCTGCCATGTCTGCTCCCTGCGGAGGCCCCTGGCCATCACAGTGGACCCAGGATAGACACCAGCAGCCGCTGCTCATGACAAACTGTCCTCTCAGTCACCAAACACCCCTCCGTGTGCCCTGGGGTGTGTGCTGGCTCAGTCGCAGCCTCACATCCTCCACAAAGTCCCACTTCAGCATCTTCACATGTCTGAACTCTCTCTCTATTCTCAGTTCTCTGCCCTGATTCCCACTGGGGCATGGATTTTGGCAAGAAGACAAGATGGAAAAGGAGGGTCTCGGGTGGGTGATGCCGCTGTGTGTGTAGGTCTGGGGGCAGGGGCACAAGAGGAAAACTCCCCAAGCCTGTGGGATTTTAACCTGGTTGGGGACTCAGCACCAAAAAGGGACATGCAGATGGTGTCTGGGTTCATAGCGCTAACTTCTGAGGCCAGAAGAAGAGCTGGGGGTCTTAGGGGCAGAGGTCTCTGCGGGGACCTAGCTGAAGATTAAGGGACACAACCTCTCTCTGGTCACCTCCAAGGCTAAAGAAGGTGGCAGATTTAGCCTCCAACCACAAGATTGTCCATCCTGACCAGGAAGTGACATGTCACAGAGGGTGGAGCAGCCCATGTGGTAGGAAATGGCCCAGCTTGGCTCTGCCTTCTGCAGTGTGAGTAACACACTGAAGCCAGAAGCTGTGGGCTGTGGGGAAGTGGCTGCATCGCCACCCAAGGGACCCTGGACTTTGCCAGACGTCAGGGTTGAGAGGAGCCACTAGCACCATCCCAGAGCTGTCAGCACCGGCCTCAGCCCAGGCGGCTCTCTCCCTGAGCTTCCTGTACCCTGACCCTCTCCAGCCTCAGACCTGAGACAGGGCTGGACAAGGAAGCAGAGAGCAGAAGAAAAGCAGAAGCGAAGCTCAGATCTGCTGGGAGGAGATTACATTTTGTCCCCTCCTGGGGTCTTGCACAGTGGCAGGTGACATTCGTGTTACAGGAATGACTGCCAGGGCCTGGGCCTCGTGGCGGTCTTCAGCTCTGCTCCTCCTGCTTGTCCCAGGTGAGTGGGCCGACCCTGGACTTGGGGAGCTCTGTCCTGAGTGGGAGAGGGCAGGGAGGGGTGCAGGCGCTGGAGTAGCGGTCATAGAGGGGAGTGGGGCAGGGAGAGGGGAGGAGGGCAAAGGAGCACCCAGGAGCGGTCAGCAGCTGCCTCACCAGGGGACAGCAGGCGGCAGGGCACAGCACGGGGGAGGCCTATTCCTCTGTGCCCGAGACAGGAAGCCCTGGTGGGAGGTGATGCTGTGACTGTCATTGCCAAAGTTATCCAATCACAAATTTTATCTGGGACGATCACACACACAGTCACACTCACACGCACACACGGTCACACTCACACAGTCTCACACACATGCACACACAGTCACACTCACACAGTCTCACACACACATGCACACAGTCACACATGCACACACAGTCACACTCACATGCACACACAGTCACACATGCACACACAGTCACACACAGTCACACTCACACAGACAGTCACACTCACACAGTCACACACACAGAGTCACACTCACATGCACACACAGGCCCGCACACACCCAGTGTTTCCCTAGCCTTGCCTTTCCAGTCTCCATGGAAACTTCCCATGCCCTTCCCACCTCTGCACAGAGGGAGCCTCCCACCCTCAGTCCCTGTTCCTGGGTGGACAAAGGCTGCCTGCCTGCCATTGCCTTCTCCACACGCCCAGGGTCCATGAGGGGCTGACACTGCGGCACCCCTGACCAGGCCCCTCTGGTAAGGAGACAGGATTTTGGCTTGTATTTTTCAGGCTATTTTCCTCTGAGCCACCCCATGACCGTGGCGGGCCCCGTGGGGGGATCCCTGAGTGTGCAGTGTCGCTATGAGAAGGAACACAGGACCCTCAACAAATTCTGGTGCAGACCACCACAGATTCTCCGATGTGACAAGATTGTGGAGACCAAAGGGTCAGCAGGGAAAAGGAATGGCCGAGTGTCCATCAGGGACAGTCCTGCAAACCTCAGCTTCACAGTGACCCTGGAGAATCTCACAGAGGAGGACGCAGGCACCTACTGGTGTGGGGTGGATACACCGTGGCTCCGAGACTTTCATGATCCCATTGTCGAGGTTGAGGTGTCCGTGTTCCCGGGTGAGCCCCTCCTTTTCTCAGCACCAGGCCTGCCTGAGCCTAGGGCTGGTCATTCTGTCCCTGAAGAAAGAAGTGGAACAGGAGGGTGTGAGCCTGGGGGTTGGTGAGTCAGGACACTGTGTGCCGCTGTGTGTGGATGAGTGTGAGTGCGTCTTTGTGTATGCGTGCCTGCATAGGAGTTGTGGTGTGGTTTGTGTGTGTGTGCACCTGCATGTGTGTGTTGGGAGGGTGGGCGCCCACAAAAGCACCCTGGCCCTGTGGCTGGAGACCCCCCGCTGTGGGCCCTCCCTCACGGCCTCAGGCCTGAAACTTTCCTGGGTGGGGTCTGTGAGGCCACCCCTGACTCTGGGGTCCTTGCTACCTCCCTGTATTGACAAGGGCCGGATCCATACTGAAGGGTGCCCACTGTCCCGCCTGGGTCTAACTCGCTCTTCCCCACGGGGAATTGGACCCCCCCATCATTGGCTCCTCTCACTCAAGGCTGCCCCTGCCCTGGGGCCTGCATGGATGCCGCCCTGTCTGGAGGGTCCTGAGGCCGCAGCCTCACAGCCCTGTCCTGGGAGCTCCTGCAGCAGCCACTGGAGGACACAGGAAGGAGCCCCAGAGCCCTGGGTGGGGTTCTCATGCTCCTGGGAACCACATCCTGCCCCTGAGGCTGACCTGTGTGTCCCCCTTATTCTCTGGCACCTTTTACCACAGGAGGGAACCCCAGAAATTGCCCCCTCAGGCAAAGGGACCTGTGGATGGAAATGAGCTGAGACTGGCACGGACCTGAGGGCCCTTTCCCGTGCCGAAGATCATTCTTCCCTCAAAGGCCCCCTCCTGTCTCACAAGACACAAACCCAGTGGCCTCAGTGTGGTTGCTTTTCCATCGTTTTCTTCTGACAATGTCCCAGGTTCCTCGGAGCATCTTCTTGTTCTCCATTTCCCCGGGGGCGACGTGTCCCTCCTGCGCCCTTTGTGCCTTCCTATCTAGGAGTGAGGAGCTAAGATCCCACCTGAGGGCGCCAGGGAGAGGAGGAAAGGGCCCTTATCCAGCTGTATTCACCACGGGCCGCCGCCCAGGCTTCACCGGGCATCCCCTCTCTAGATCTTTCTTCCTGGGCATTCCCTCCTGCTGAGAGGATGGTCCAATGGCCTTGTGGGGCCGCAGCATGGCTGCCATTTGGGGCTGAGTGGACTCGGGTCCCATCGTTCAGGGAGGACCCCACTGACTTCCTGTCCTCACTTCCAGCCTCTCTCCAGCCACTGCTGTGCCCAGGGCCCTGGCTTCGCAGTCACTCTGGGTCACCCTTCGCAGAGTAAACATCACCCCATTCCCCCAGGTCACCCTGTCCCTCCCTGGCTGGGGTGAAACCTGGAGACCCGTACCTTTGCCACAGGTGAGCAGGGCAGCTCTCACATCTGAAATGGTGTCCTGGCTCTGCAGTACCTAGGGATGGGACAAGGAGAGGCCCAGGACCCTGGTCAGGCCTGGGTGTGGCCGTGGGGCATGATGGATGCAGGGCATCTGTCCAGCACATCATTGGTGACCTTGTCTGTGAAAATTGGAGCAGAACAGGTGAGAGTAAGTGGGAGACCCATGTGATGTCATCAAGGTTGACCTGTGTTTCACCCACAGCCGGGACGACCACAGCCTCCAGCCCCCAGAGCTCCATGGGCACCTCAGGTCCTCCCACGAAGCTGCCCGTGCACACCTGGCCCAGCGTGACCAGAAAGGACAGCCCCGAACCCAGCCCACACCCTGGGTAAGGTGCCTGCGCATAGGACTGGGCCACGCTGGCGGCCTCCCCACTGCGTGTGATGTTTAGGGGACTCGGATGTCCCTTCTTCCAGTCCCTTCTTTGTTCGCACCTCCCACACCAAACGTGAAGGTTCTATTAAGTGTCAGGCGCTCCTTTTGGGATTGGGTCACAGCAGGGAACCACACAGCCACTGTCCTGCCCTGGTGGAAGTTGAGTTCTACTGCGTGGATTCACGCATTGAGCAAGTCAGCACAGAGGCTGATGTACAAATACAGCAAAGGGTAATGAATGCTGGGATGAGATGTTTGACTCTTGGGTTTGGGGAGAGCGTGTGCAGGTGTTGGAGTTGCTATTTCACTGACGATGATCAGAAGAGGGTTTGAGAATTAGAGGACATGAGCACAGAGACCTCAAGGGTTGGGGGCTGGGCACTCTGGGGTCTGGAGGAAGAAGGGTCCAGGTGGAGGGAGGAGTGAGGCAAATGTCCTGCGAGGAGCCTTGGGACCTGGCCAGGCCAGGGAAGGGGGCAGATGCTCTGGGGTCCGGTGGCCCTGGTCCTCTCCCCTGCCTCTCTCGCAGCCCTGGCCAGAGTTTCATCCTGTTTGATAAGCCCAGTCCTCTGAGGAGCTGAGAGCTGAGCTGTCCATTCATTAATTCCTTCAACAACCACTGAAGTTGTAGGGCAGATTATTGGAGACTCCGGGTAGGCAGCAGGTACTCACTGTGAATGAAACAAATGGTCCCTGCCCTCCTGGAAACGCTGTGTACAGGAGAGTTGACACCAAACAAATAACCCTTTGTGAATTCCGGGACCCCAGCTGGGTAACCCTCCATGGGGAGCACAGAGGTAGACAGCTGCGTCCTGGACACAGACCCTGCCTGGATCCCTGGCGTGACCTCACGTCCTCTCATGGTCCTGCCCTTCCTGTGTCACAGTCCTCAGGTCAAGGGTAAATCCGAGGCTGAGGGTTAGGGGCCGTGATGCTGAGACGGGATGGACTGTCCAGGGGGGTGCTTATGTGGTTGGCTGTGGTCACAGGATTGGGACACAAGGGTCAGGGGATGGTGGAGGGCACCTGGGCCTCCCCTGGGGAGGTGACTCACTGCCTGTCACCGTGTCCCCACAGCTCCCTGTTCAGCAATGTCCGCTTCCTGCTCCTGGTCCTCTTGGAGCTGCCCCTGCTCCTGAGCATGCTGGGTGCCGTCCTCTGGGTGAACAGACCTCAGAGAAGCTCTAGAAGCAGGCAGAATTGGCCCAAGGGTGAGAACCAGTAGCATCTGCTGTCCATCAAGGCCCTGTGCTGCAACAGAGCCCCTCTGGGGGACTGGAATGACCTCCTGACCACTCCCTCCCGGGCTGCTCTCTCCACATCTCCTGGAATCCTTTGTGAGCCTCCTTCAGCCTTTTCCCTGTGCCCGATCCTCATGTGTCACATGTGAACCTGACGGACATGGACGCCCTGAGCTGTGAGTCCACGTCTCATGTGCACGCCCCGGCCAGCTAAGCCTCGGGCCGTCAGCAATACCTCTGAGTGCCCGGATGCCCTCCCTGCACCCTTCCATTTCTCCAGGAGCCTGGCACTGCTTCCTCCACCGTTTTCACAGGGAGAAGCAGGTCTAGGACTCCCCTGCACCTTTGCCACCATAATGGCCCACACTCCCTGGGTCCAGGAGTGTAGAATATGCGGCTGCTTCCATTTGCTGAGTGTGTCGATTCAATGATGCTTTCAAACTTTAATAAATGACAATGTGTAGGTTTGGGATGTATCAGGCCCACTCAGTCAGACCTGAGTGAGAAATCCATTGTTCCCTGATTTCCACAGGCCTTTGCTGAGAATAGTGGACCAAGCCCCATGTTAGGCCTCTCGGAATGGGGGTCCCTGCAGAAAAGGATCCAGAATTTCCCCCAAAGCCTGACTATTCCCTCCTTCAGGTAGACACATCCTGGCCAGTGTCTTTAGGTCCCTCTGGGAGAGCTGGTAGAAGATTCTCAGTGTGAACTGTGGTAGCATAACCAGGCCTACCCTTCCTCCTTCTTCAAGGGGACCTGACCTCTCCTTCATTCCAGGGCTGTGGGTTTTAACTGGTGCAAATTTGGAAACGGATGGAGGGCTATGACTCCTTGATGTGGTAGTTAAGTGAGTCTTTTGCTCAGTAGTGTAGACCATGTCTGTCTATACAGACGAAAGATGTTATCATTTGCCCACCATTTCAGTTCCAGGGTCGCCATGATGACCTGGCCAACACCCAAGACCCCTGTGAGGCAGATGATTCCCATGAGTCCTCCTGGTCAAGGAGGGCCTCGCCTGGGGGGTTCTTAACCCTTTTTTCCATTCGGCAGATGCTTATGGGAGCTTTTGGTGTATCAGACACTGACCTGGCATTGGAGTCCAGCCGTGAACACCCAGGCAAGGAGCTCTGTTTACACTGAGCCCATATTCCAGGTGGGGGATAGAAATGATAAACAAATGCAAAAATACATGAATATGTTCCAGAGGTAATGTAAAAGACAGAGGTGAAAAGAGCCACGGAGTAAAATAAGAGAAGTGGGGTGACTGCTTTGCAGGAGTGGAGGGGTCTGTGATGAAGCCCCTCTAATAGGCGCTGAGCAAGCAGGGATCAGGAGAAAGGAGGGGGGTGAGCGCCAGGATCCCTGGAGGAGGAGCCCTGAGGCAGAGAGAGCAGCAGGTGCATGTGTCCTGCCAGGGGGGCATCTTAGACTTGGATCTGGAAAACACAGGAAGCAGATCCCTCTCTGGATCCAGTGGCTCCAGGGCCTGCAGATAGCATTCTCTGTCTCCTCCCCAGCCTGAGCTGGATATGGCACACCAGCATCAGACAATTAAGTTTTCTGAAGGCAGGTAAGACTCGAGAGAGTCATGCATTCATTCATTCATTCAACAAGCAATTTGTTGACTTGCCCTTGGCAGACCCCAGGATGACAGCAAGTCACAGCTGTGATCAGGACAAGATACTGCCCTGGTTCTCCATGAGCTACCAGTCCAGACGAAACCCACCAACAAAACAGTGATAAACACAAGAGGGAAATGTGAAATGGGTCATGAGGACCCCTAAAAAGGAAGCCACCATAACCCAGGAAGGTCAAGGAACACGCAGGCAAACCTGTCAGCTGGAGGCAGGCAGAGGAGTGGGAGGTTGAGGGTCTGGACAAAGACCCGAGTCGGGAGGGTGGCAGCACCGAGGTGAACCTGGAGCCAGGAGGTTGGAGCCACTTGCCGGGTGATAGGGGCTGCCAGGACCTGTGTGCAGAGGCCAGGTCAGGTGGGTGCCATCCTGTGACAGCAGGAGCCATTGGGAGTTCAGCAGTGCCTCCCCAGGGCCGTGTGTGTGTGTCAGGGGTCACATTGCTCATTGTGGGGAGAATGAAAGGGATGAGTAAGAGCAGAAGGGGAGACCAGGTCAGGTCCCCGTGGCAGGGCCAGCTACTGCCAAGCTGGGTCAAGGTCAGACCTGAACACTGGGCAGGTGGGAAGGCCCGGGATTGCATTGGGCTGGCGACAGTCCCATGATGTGAGTCGGGGGCATCAGCACCAATGACTGCAGTGCACACTGTCCCTGAGAGTGTAAATGAAGGGAGGGCTGGGCAGGACAAGGGTGCAGTGACCCCTTCATGGTGCCAGGTCCACCAAGATTCCCCTGTCACTCTCCGCTCGGCCTCTGGTGCTATTGGGCATGATAGGAAGAAAGGAACGGAAATCTGTAAGAGGGTTGGGAGAGTCAAGGAATATGCTTAAGGCATGAGAAGGTGGAGAAGGGGTGATGCCCTCCGGGACAGACAGGAGGCAAATCCTGTATCTGACTAGCCTCCTTGCCCTTTCCAGGGTAAAGACACCCTGAGCCCATCATGTCAGGAGAACCAGCCATTCTGAGTGTGGACAGACCTGGGTTCCCGCCTCCTGGGAAGGCCTGTCCAACATGTCTGTTCCCTGGGAGGCACCTGGCCATCACAGTGGACCCAGGACAGACACTAGCAGCCGCCGCTCAACAACCATAAATTTTACAGATAGATGTTTGCAGCCACAGGGCAGGTGCCAGTTTATCTGTGAAGAGGACTAGACAGGGCTCCTGCCTTTGTGGGAAATGCCATCTGGAGAGGAGCAGGCATTCGACAGATATCCAGGTTATTGATTCCTGCACCTCTGAAGAGTCTGCTCCTGCACACAAAGGGCTTTGGTAGAGATTCTTGTGGATTCAGGTCCTACCAGGTCCCTGGGTGTCCCCTCACATTGCTGCTATCGCCCTGCCCTGCCTCAGCCCACAGCCCTGAATCTCAAGGCAATTCTTAGGGTGATAATTAGAGGCCATTGGTCTTATGTATCTGGCTGCTATGTCCAGGTTAGTTCTTGATTTTTGTGCCCACAGTACCTTGGCACTGGAGATAGGGGCAAGGTGGAGGGCACCAGGTCTTCCCCTGGGGAGGTAACTCACTGCCTGTCACCGTGTCCCCACAGGTCCCTCCTCAGCAGTCTCCACATCCTGCTCCTGATCCTCCTGGAGCTTCCCCTGCTCCTAAACAAGCTGGGGGCTGTCCTGTGGGTGAACAGGGCTCAGAGAAGCTCGGTGGGGAGGCAGAGTCAGCTGGATTGTGAGAAACAGTAACTCTGATGCCCATCAATACCGCGCCAAGCAACATACTCCCTCTTACATATGGGAATGGCCTTCTGACCAACAAATCCATGTTTCTATCAGAAGATTTGGAGGCTTTTTTCTTGTGATGTATCAGACACACAAAAGAATACATGCACTTTACACCAAGAATACTCTTTAACCTGTGTGTGCCCACCATCCAGTTTAAGTAATAGAACATCATTCATACTCATGAAGCCCCAAACCGCTTGCTGATCTTATGCAATTTCTTTTCTATCCTTCTCTCAGAAAACCACATCCTACATTTTATTTTATTGTATCTTTTTTTATAGAGATGGGTCTTACTATGTTACCCAGGCTGGATTTGAACTCCTGGGCTCAAGCCTTGGTCCTGTCTCAGCCTCTGGAGCAGCTGGGACTACAGGCATGCACCACAGCACCTGGCTCACATTCCGATTGTTATGTTCATCATCATCTTGTTTTAAGGGATTTGCCACATACATGCATATGGATTTCCAAAGGGTATGTTGTTTAGCTTTGTTTATTTTTGAACTTTCTGTGAATAGTATTAGGCATTTTTATTTCTAAGCAATCAGACTTTATCTTTCAACACTTTTTTTTTTTTTTGAGATGGAGTCTCACTCTTTCACCCAGGCTGGAGTGCAGTGGTGCGATCTCGGCTCACTGTAACCTCTGCCTCCCAGGTTCAAGCGATTCTCCCACCTCTGCCTCCTGAGTAGCTGGGACTACAGGCATGTGCCACCATGTCCGGCTAAATTTTTGTATTTTTAGTAGAGAGGGGTTTTACCATCTCCTGACCTCGTGATCCATCCGCCTCAGCCTCCGAAAGTGCTGGGATTACAGGTGTGAGCCACAGTGCCTGGACCATTCAACACTTTATTTTTGAGATTCATCCATGTTGATGTGTTGACGCACTGATGTGTCACTTCTTTGTATTGGTCTACATTCTGTTGTATGAGCATACCATAACTCGCACATCCCTCTTTCTTAAACAGGCATTTAGGTTGTTTCTTTTCTTTCTCTTTTTTGTGCTCTTCTTATTTTCCTCCTTCTCTTTCTCTATCCTTTCTCTCTCGTCTTCCCCTTCCTCTTCCTCCTCCTCTTGTCCCTCCTTTCTCCTCTTTCTACTCTTTTCTGCCTACTCTTCTGCCTACTTCTCCTCCTCCTCCTCCTTTTCTTCTTTTTTCTTTTCCTCCCTCTTTTTTTCCTCCTCTTCCTCCTGCTCTTCCTACCTCTTGGTCCTCCTCCTCTTCTTTTTTCTCTTCCTCCTCCTCCTTTTCTTCCTTCTCTTCTTTTTGTGTTGCCATTACTTATAACGTTATTATGAACATATATCCTAATTTTGTCTGTCCAAAAGTGTCTCCTAGAGTAGAGTTCTAAGGGAATAATTGCTAGGTTTTGCTGCATGTGTGTAATCAGCTCTACTAGGCAAGCGCAAATTATTTTCCAAAGTAACTGCACCAATTTTTGCTTCTTATCAGCAGTGCTCCTGCTTGAATCTTATCAGACTTTCTAAATTTGTTCAAGTTAATGGGTATGAAATGGTATCTCATTGTTTTAATTTGAATTTCTCTGCTTACTAATGTTAAACTCATGCTCATGTGTTTTTTGGTTATCTGAATTTTCTCTTTTGAGAAATGCCTCTTCTAATCTTCATCTACTTTCTGTTGTTTGTCTGTGTTCTTTTTTTTTTTTTTTTTTTGAGACGGAGTCTCGCTCTGTTGCCCAGGCTGGAGTGCAGTGGCGTGATCTCGGCTCACTGCAAGCTCCGCCTCCTGGGTTCATGCCATTCTCCTGCCTCAGCCTCCCGAGTAGCTGGGATTATAGGCGCCCACCACCACGTCCTGCTAATTTTTTGAATTTTTAGTAGAGACGGGGTTTCACCATGTTAGCCAGGATGGTCTCGATCTCCTGACCTCATGATCCAATTGGTAGAAGTTCTTTGCAAGTCTTTTGTTAGTTACTGGTGCTCCACATATACTTTCCTGGGCTATTGGCTTTATGATATCTTTTGAGAAACAGGATTTTCACTTTAATGTACAAATTATTCATTTTCCTTAATGGTTTATACTTTCATCTTGCTTAACCAATTATGGATACTCCCAAATTAAAAAAAAATTATCCTATATCTTCTTCTAAAATTTTTTAAATATTCCCTTTCACAGGTAAGTCCTTGACCCATTTCTAAATGATTTTGTTTCTAGGCTGAGATAATAATCCATTTTTCTGTCTTCCATTTGGATAAGCATTATCCACATTTTCCCAGCAATCTGCAATGCAACCCCTGGCAGGTGTTTATTTCTATGTCTGCTTGGACCTTTTTCTAACCACTCTATTATGTTGAATTTGCCTAATTGCTTATTTTGGAACCAAGACAACATTGTTTTAATTACTATAGCTGTATTTAAATGTCTTGTTATCTGGTAAGTCATGTCACTATACATTGTTCTTTGATATTGGGAATGTCTTTGCAAATATTGGCCATTTCCTCTTCTGCAGAAATTTTAGAATTAACCAGTCAACGTACTAAAAAAGAAAAAAAATTATGTTGAGACTTTAAATGTAAATGTATGAAATTTATCTTTATAATAATTTCTCTGTCTATGAACATGGTATGTAATTCTAATTATTTATGAGCTTTTAAAATGTCTTTTAATAACATTCTATTATTTTCTCCTTGATATTTGCTCATATATTTGTTAAGTGTAATTCTGGATATTTTATGTTTTTATTCTTATTTTGTGGCTTTTTTTTTTTTTTTTTTTGAGACAGAGTTTTGCTCTTATTGCCCAGGCTAGAGTGCAGTGGTGCAATCTCGGCTCACTGCAACCTCCGCCTTCTGGTTTCAAGTGATTCTCCTGCCTCAGCCTCCCAAGTTGCTGGGATTACAGGTGCCTGCCACCATGCCCAGTTAATTTTTTTGTATTTTTAGTGAAGACGGGGTTTCACCATGTTGGTCAGGCTGGTCTTGAACTGATGACCTCGTGATCCATCTGCCTCAGCCTCCCAAAGTGCTGGGATTACAGGCATGAGCCACCGCGCCCCGCCCCATTTTGTGGCATCTTTTATTGCATTTTCAAGTTATTCATTGCATGCATGTAGATAAACAATTGATCCTTACTGATTATATATATTTAGCAACTCTGCAAAAAATCTTAGTAATTGTTTTCAGTTTTATATGTAGATAATCAATTAATCTAGAATAATTTAGAGCTTTGTTTTTCTTTCTAATTCTCATGTCTTTTGTTTCTCTTTCTTGTTGTATTGTGCAGGCTAATCAAAGTGTTGAATCAAAGTAGTGATTTTGAGCAATCTTGTCCTCTTCCTGATTCTAAAGGAAAGATTTTGCCATGGGTTGTAATGGGTTGCTTATAGGCACCTTTTAATTCCTAGTTTATCATGAAAAGTAATGGATTTCAGATAGTGGTTTTTGTGCGTTTACATGATTATGTGGGTTTTCTTCTTTATTCTATTAATGTGATTCATTATATTAATTTTTTTAGATGAAGCCTCATTCTGTCACCCAGGTTGGAGTGCAGAGAAGACGATCTGTTACCCATCTAGAAAGAGAAGTGAGAATAAAAGCATTATTTTAGTCTCCTTCCTTTCAGTATGTGATCCAGGATGGAGAACACAGTAGGGGGCGTTCCCCCAACTATTTTCTTTCCCTGGTTCCTGGATCCTGGCACCCATTTAAATGTGCTGGCCATGACTGCAGGCGTGACCCTCCAAGCCATGGCACCAGAGAAACTAGACTTCTGGGCCCACTTACACTTCCACAAGCACCTTAGTCTTTTATTTCTTTTTGACCTCCTGTGTGACCTGTGTGCTTCCCTAAAAAACAAAACAAAAAAACAACGATTTTAAGAAAAACTACGGGCCAGGTGTGGTGACTTATGTCTGTAATTCTAGCACTTTGGGAGGGCAAGGTGGGTGGATCACCTGAGGTCAGGAGTTCAAGACCAGCCTGGCCAACATGGTGAAACCCTGTCTCCACTAAAAATACAAAAATTAGCCACACATGGTAGCGGGCACCTGTAATTCCAGCAACTTGGGAGGATGAGGCAGGAGAATCACTTGAACCCGGGAGGTGGAGGTTGCAGTGAGCTGAGATCATACCACTGCAATCCAGCCTGGGTGGCAAGAGCAAGACTCCATCTCAAAAAAAAAAAAAAAAAAAAAAAAAAGGAAAGAAAAGAAAAGAAAAAAAAAGAAAAACTACATAATTGGGCAAAGCCTCTTTAAGGGAGGGGGCGTGCTAGATTGAACTTTATATCTTGCTATTATTATGGCCTGTGCTAAAGCATTTACCCTTAGAAAAATGGTTCTGGTTAACTTCTGGACTTAAAAATCCCCTTACTAATTAAGTACCATCTTAATCGGAGACAGAATAGGTGCCTTAAAGGAATGTAGGAACCGAATGGCCATTTTCCTGCCAATGGGACAATATTGAGACTAAAATTTGGCTATGGAAGACTTCTTAACTCCTAACTGCTAAAGGCAGAACTTTCCCATTTCAAGAAGAGGCCTAGAGCCTGATTTCTTTTTCTTTTTTCTTTTCTTGTTCTTTCTTTCTCTCTCTCTCTCTCTTTCCTTTTCTTTTCTTTTCTTTTTTTTGAGACCGAGTCTTGCTCTGTTGCCCAGGCTGGAGTGCAGTGGCGCGATCTCGGCTCACTGCAAGCTCTGCCTGCCGGGTTCACGCCATTCTCCTGCCTCAGCCTCCCGAGTAGCTGGGACTACAGGCGCCCGCCACCACGCCTGGCTAATTTTTTTTTGTATTTTTAGTAGAGACGGGGTTTCACTGTGTTAGCCAGGATGGTCTCGATCTCCCGACCTCATGATCTGCCCGCCTCGGCCTCCCAAAGTGCTGGGATTACAGGCATGAGCCACCGCGCCTGGCCGAGCCTGATTTCTAATCATGCAAAAAGAAGCTGCGGTTTGCCATGAAAAAATATGCTTTATGTAGAGGATTTCTATTTCTACTAGGTGGCACTGTTGGCTTAGAAATACTATGTGCTCACTAGAGACGTGGTAGTGAGTAACCTCACGGTGGGAGAAAGGGGAGAACTCTGTTCCTAGAAGATTGCAAGGGCATCTTCCTGATTTTGCCTAACAGGATTACTTTCCTAGGCTGTAAAACTCGCTACACATTTCACACAAAGAAAGTGTAAGAGACCGCAGATAGAGAAGGAAGGAGAGTTTTGTGACAAGATAGTTGAGGATTCTTTGCCAACACCCAGAATGGGCCGCCAGAGGCTGGGTCCAGTCCAGGGGCCTTTGAATCATGCCAGGGTGTGCTCTGGCCAGAAATTGTTAGTTGCCTTAGAACTTTTCCCAGCCTTGCACAATGGCGAGGTCTTCCCGTGAAAAGAAGCTGATTTAAAACATGGCCAACATTCCCAATGACCCAGGGGTGTTGGGGGGTTCTCCGTGTTCTCAGCAGCAAGCCTCACATTCGAGTCTTCAGTATGGCAGCCAACACTAAGTGTATGTACCCGGCTGACGGATGCCCATTGACTTATTTTATTTTAAAATAGAGGCTAAGAGTGCCTCGGAATGATAGAAGAGATTTTAAGCTCACTCCCATACTTACCACTCCGATGAGTGTCGTACCTTGGATTCCCGGCCAATGCAACAAAATGGTATGGCTCTGATGACTGGAGGAACACTAGGGTCCTTGGTCTCCCACTGGTTTGAATAAAACAACATGGGCACACGTGGAGTGGTTTTAAGGAGTGGAGAATTTAATAGACAAGAAAGAAGGAAGGAAGAGGCTCCCCCTGTTCTGAGACTGAGGGAGGCGGGCTCCAAGCTGAAAGAGGGAACCTCGAGTACGGTGGAAAACAGCCAGTTATATGAGGAGGCTGGAGGAGGCGGTACCTGATTTGCATAGGGCCCAGGGGATTGGTTTGACCAGGTATGTCATTCAAGTAGCCCACGAAAAAACTAGCCTTCCTACCCTAGCCTTTTAATATGCAAATACAGGCGCCATGATGTTCTACACACATGGGTGTATGTAGGGGCGGCCATGTTGCCAGGAACGTGGGGAAAAGAAGAAGAGGCGGGAGTCTCCATGTTTGGGTGGACGCAGTTTCTAATGGCCTGTATTTGCATATCAAAGCTTGCCTGCCCAGCTCTAAGAGCCAGGGCTTTTCTTCTAGACAAGAAACATTTATGGAGCTGCTTTAAAAGAAAAAAAAATCTTCCCAAGCACCCCTTTTCCTATCTACCTAAAATAATTTCTTAATAACTCCTATAACAACAACAAACATTATGAGCCCAGTTAATAGATACAATAACTGAGGCACAGAGATGTTGATTGCATTGTCCACAGTCACGCAGCTTGTAGGTGGTGCTCGTGGGGTTAGAGCCAGGTCTGTCTGACCCAACAGTCTGCATGTTTATGCACTTGGCTATAACACCTGAACAAATGCATGTTCAGGTGTGCCCAGCATGACCCATCCGACATCTGAGTTGGGTGTTCACTGTGGTATAGAACAGCTCTGAAATTGACTCCCAGAGTGTTATACCCCTTGGACCCAAGGCCTGCTAGGCCAGACGCCCCCCACCCCACCCCTTCTGCAGACGTATCTCCCCCTACCCTAAAGACCCTGCACAGTCCCCTCCCTCCTCTTTTTTACATAGTGACGATGCTTAAGCCCTGTGGCGCAGCCCTGCCAAAAAATGACACCTCTTTCGTTTAATAATTAAAAGCAGGAACTACCCACTCTATAAAAGGAAGTGAATGAGTAAGAAAGTCAAAGGCGGTCTAGATGTGCAGAAGGTGCAAGCCAGAGCTCAGGCAGAACTTCCAGAGTGCATCTGGGATCTGCATTTGCCACTGGTTGCAGATCAGGCGGACGAGGAGCCGGGAAGGCAGAGCCATGTGGCTGCCCCCTGCTCTGCTCCTTCTCAGCCTCTCAGGTGAGTGGGGCTGGGGCCTTGGGCGCTTGGTATGACAGGGGCAGGGCAGGAGGCAGAGGGCATTTGTCCTTCCACATCCAGGGAAATGAGAGGTGGCTTTGTGAAGTCATTCGACAAAGGTGCACTGGGGACTGACATCGTGTGCTTCGGGGCCTGAGGACATCAAGAAAAAAGAGGAGGAGAACTGGCCATTAAAGAAGACTCCAGGCTTGAGGCCATGGCTCACACCTATAATCCTAACACTTTGGGAGGCCAAGGTGGGAGGATTGCTTGAGTCCAGGCGTTTAAGACCAGTTTGGGCAACATGGTGAGACCTCGTCTCTATATAAAATGAACAAAAATTAGCTGGGCGTGGTGACCGTGCCTGTAGTCCCAGCTACTTGGGAGGCTGAAGCTGGAGGATCCTTTGAGCTCAGGTATTCAATTCTGCAGAGTTATGATCGCACCACAGCACTCCAGCCTGGGTGATACAGTGGGACCTTGTCTCAAAAAAAAAATAAAGTAAAAAGACTCCAGATGGCTTAGTGGGTGAGACATACACATAAACAATGAGCAATTGCAGGACACAATAAGGCATTGGTGGAGGCGTGTGCGGAGGATGAAGCAGTTCTCTCTGGTGACTAGAGAAAGACTCACGAAGCTGTGCACTTGATGTGCCTTGTAGAAGGAAGGTCAGTCTCTGGAGCAGAGCTGAGAGGAGAACACTCTAGAGAGTTGGGTGTGTGTGTGTGTGTGTGTGTGTGTGTGTGTGTGTGTGTGTTGGGGGACCTGGGCAGAGAGATGGAGGCTTAGAAAGAATGGTGGATTCATGCAGAGGGAGCTGTCAGTGTGCAGGATGTCTTGGAGGTGGCGAGTTGGATATGAGGTTGGAAACACAAAAGACAAGATTATGAAGGCCATCCACGCCAGGCTCAGGAGCTGAGACTTTCAAAGAAAAAACTTCTCAAGAACCCAGGTGGAAAGTGGGAAGGGCTAGATGATCTTCTCCATGGCAAACCTTGGTGGACACCTAGAGGGCATTAGGGGACAATCTAGAATTTTACGCAGGGTGTGCAATGTGTGTGGGCCACACAGTTTTCTGCTGGTGCCTAGGGACTGACCATCTGGCACAGATAGAGCAGTCCACGGAGGGACAACAGGAAAGAGCATGGCTGGGGAGTTCTGAGACCCGACTCCAGTCCTGGCTGGACTTCCACCCTTCAGCCCGTTCAACGGGGCTCTGCTCCAAGCTGACGGCTGCCCTGTCATTTCCATCTCTATCGTTCCTCATACCAACTCTTGACAACATATAGAAGCCTGATTAATAGTTCCAGCCATCATATTCTGTGGTTAGAGAAACCCCCAAATATTTTTTTAAACGGGACTAATTACATCGTGAGCCATTTACAGTTTGAATGACTGAAGCTGGGATTGATGACACTTTGTTCAATGCAGCAGCATCTCTTTTCTGCTGTTAGTGATTGCTGACAAATCCAATTTATGTTTTTGGGTATTTTGTTTTTGTTTTTGTTTTTTGTTTTTGAGACGGAGTTTCACTCTGTCACCCAGGTTGGAGTGCAGTGGTGCAACCTTGGCTCACTGCAACCTCCGCCTCCCAGGTTCGAGTGATTCTTCTGCCTCAGTCTCCCAAGAAGCTGGGATTAAGGTGCCTGCCACCATGCCTGGCTAATTTTTGTAATTTTAGTAGAGACAGGATTTCACCATGTTGGTGAGGTTGGTCTTGAACTCCTGACCTCAGGTGATCCACCCACCTTGGCCTCCCAAAGTGCGGGAATACAGGCATGAGCCACCGTGCCCGGCCCCGAAAAGACTTTTAGATGCTCAGGGCAAGTGCAGCTGATGAGGAGGAGGAGACAGTCTCAGTACCCAACTCAGGCAGCAGTATGGAGAGGAAAGCTGAGGGAGCTGTCAGTGTGCAGGACATCTTGGGGGTGGCGAGTTGGATATGAGGTTGGAAACACAAAAGACAAGATTATGAAGGCCATAATCCTCAGGAGAGGAGAGTTGGGGAGGATGCTGCTGGGGCTGGGAAGACCTCTCCAGATGCCACTGCCATGATCCAGGCACAGATGAAGTTCTGACCTGTTGATGAGCTGTCACTGACAGAGCAAACCCCAAATGTCTGGCGTTGGACATACATCCAAGTCTTCTTTTAAATTTAAAAATAAATAATTTTTTGAAGACAGTGTCTCACTCTGTCACCCAGGCTGAAGTGCAGTGGTGGGCGATTATAACTCACTGCAGCCTTGAACTCTCAGGCTCAGGCGATCCTCCCACCTCAGCCCCCCAAGCAGTGGGGACCACAGGCATGCACCACCACTCCTGGCTAATCTTTTGCATTTGCAGACACAGGGTTTCACCATGTTGCCCAGGTTAGTCTGGAACTCCTGGGCTCAAGCGATCCTCCTGCCTCAGCCTCCCACAGCTTTGGAATTACAGGCATGAGCCACCTTGCCCAGCCTACACACATCCAAGTCCTATTACCACCTTCAAAGTAGAGCGTAGCATGACTGTCTTATGAATAAGGAAGCGATACTTGCAGAGGTTAAGCAACTCTGCCAGGGTTTCCCAACTAGTTCAGTGTCAAGTCTTTCTGCATCAAAGCTCACACTCTCTCTGATGTCATGCTGTCCTTGTGGCCTGCGATGGCAGAGACTGAAAGAAGAAAAAAAAAAACTGAGGAGCATCTCTAGGATAGAGCTGACTAAACTGGCTACCAATCAGCTCGGGGGCTGAAGGAGAGGACAGCATGAAAGAAGATGCCAAGCTCTTCCTGAAGGCTGGGTGGTGGAGCTGCTGGTTTGAAGAGAATCAAGTTGGTTCTGCTGATTGAATGCCATGTGAATTTCCAGTGGCTGCTGTAACAAATTAACATGAACTCTATGGCTTAGAACTGCACAATTTCATCATCTCATTGATGCTTCTGAAGACCAGAGCCTGGCGTGGTCTTACTGGTTAAAATTGAGGTGCAAGTAGGGTTGGGTTTCTTTAGAGCAGTGGTCCCCAACCTTTTTGGCACCAGGATCCGGTTTTGTGGAAGACAATTTTTCCACATCAGGAGTGGGGTGAGGATGGTTTGGGATGATTCAAACGCATTACACTTATTGTATACTTTATATTACTATTATATTATAATATATAATGAAATGATTATACACTGCACCATAATGTAGAATCAGTGGGAGCCCTAAGCTTGTTTACCTGCAACTAGATGATCCCATCTGGGGGTGATGGGAGACAGTGACACATCATCAGGCATTAGAGTCTCATAAAGTGTGTGCAATCTAGATCCCTCACACACGAAGTTCACAATAGGGTTCTCACTTCTATGAGAATCTAATGCGGCCGCTGGTCTGATGGGAGGCGGAGATCAGGTGGTAGTTTGAACAACGGGGAGTGGCTGTAAATACAGATGAAGCTTCGCTTGCTTGCCCACCGCTCACCTCCTGCTGTAAGGTCCGGTTCCTAACAGGCCATGGGCTGTTACTAGTCTGTTGTCCTGGGGTTGGGAACCCCTATTCTAGGGGAGAATCTGTTTCCCTGCATTTTCCAGCTTCTAGAAGCCATCTGCTTTCCTTGGCCGGTGGCCTCTTCTTCCACTTCAAAGCAGCAACAGACCATCTTCCAATTGGACTCTCCCTCAACCCTCTTTCACTTAGAATATCCATGGAGATTATTCGGGATATTCTTCCTGTCTCAAGGTCCTTAACTTCATCACATCGGCAGAGTCCCTCTGGCCATGTCAGGGGACATATTCGCAGGTTCTGTGTATGAGGATGCCAACAGCTATGGGGGACATTATTCTACCAACCACGAATGCAAAGTTCAAGAAAACTAACACAGCTTCAAGGAGAAGGCCCAAGCTGTGAGGAGGCGGCATCTGCCTGGAGAAATAGACCTGGCTTTCTCCACCCTGCAGAGACCCCTGGCCTGGGCCTGAAGCTCTGAGGCCAAGAGACAGTCAAGAGAGGCTTCCCCTGTGATTCTCTGCCTGTTTATCCACTTCTGCGTGATCAAGAAACCCGTGTCATTGCCAAGGAAAGAGCCTATCTACACACAGCCTAACTGGAGTCAATCAGCGGAGGCACGGACTGCCATTTGATTATGCTCACCTCTAACCTGTTCAGCTTTCACCAGGCCTTTGTTACTCTTGCCACATCCAATTGCTCCACTAGAAAAAAATACTGAAGAAGAGTAGTTCAGGGTGGGAGAGGAAGTGCATTCAATTCTGCAACGAAGGAATCTGGGGTGGAGACATCCAGTGTGTCTTTGTAAATGGTGGGCTAGCTAAGGGGAGTCTGAGCTGCAAATATGGATTTGGGAATCATCAGGAAACAGGTAATCATTAAAGCCATGGAAATGGAGAGACTCCCTCCATGGAGGCTTGTCAGGTGAGACAAGATGAAGGCTGGAGAGGGAACCCTGGGTACCCCCGCAGTGTGCTGGGGCTGGCTCACAGGAGCTGGCTTGGGACATCTTTTCCCAGCTCTGTGTCCAGTGACATCACATGGATTACCTGACATCTGCCACCGTGGGAGTATTTACACTATGGAATTTGGCAAATATTAAAACCAGATTTTTTTTCTTTTTCTTTTTCTAGACAAGAGTCTCACTCTGTTGCCTAGGCTGGAGTGCAGTGGTGCGATCTCAGCTCACTGCAACCTCCGCCTCCCGGGTTCAAGCAATTTTCATGCTTCAGCCTCCCGCATAGCTGAGACTACAGGTGACTGCCACCACGCCCAGCTAATTTTTGTATTTTTAGTAAAGACTGGGTTTCACCATGTTGGCCATGCAGGTCTCGAACTCCTGACCTCAGGTGATCTGCCCACCTTGGCTTCCCAAAGTGCTGGGATTACAAGTGTGAGCCACCGTGCCCAGCTCCTAAACCAGAGATTTTTTCCCCCAGAGGGCTGGTTGTTAAATATTTGGCTCCGATGAAAACAGCATTGAGAGGACAAGGAAAGAAGGTGGTAGGAGACCATGGTGTCACATGCTAAGCAGGTCTAGAAGCTGGTGGGGGAATGGACTGAGAGGGAGATGGGGATGAGGAATCGGGTGTGCTAGAGACACACTCGGGACTCTTAAACACCAAACTGGCTCAGGCAACAGGAGCTGTATCTTGGGATTTTGTTTTCCAGGCTGTTTCTCCATCCAAGGCCCAGAGTCCGTGAGAGCCCCAGAGCAGGGGTTCGTGCCGGTGCAATGAGCTGTATCTTGGGATTCTGTTTTCCAGGCTGTTTCTCCATCCAAGGCCCAGAGTCTGTGAGAGCCCCAGAGCAGGGGTCCCTGACGGTTCAATGCCACTATAAGCAAGGATGGGAGACCTACATTAAGTGGTGGTGCCGAGGGGTGCGCTGGGATACATGCAAGATCCTCATTGAAACCAGAGGGTCGGAGCAAGGAGAGAAGAGTGACCGTGTGTCCATCAAGGACAATCAGAAAGACCGCACGTTCACTGTGACCATGGAGGGGCTCAGGCGAGATGACGCAGATGTTTACTGGTGTGGGATTGAAAGAAGAGGACCTGACCTTGGGACTCAAGTGAAAGTGATCGTTGACCCAGGTAAGAACTTTCTCATCTACACAAGGAGGCCCTGGAGCTCAGGGCTGGGAAAGTCAGTGCTCTTACCTGCTCCCCTCCAAGGCTGAAAGGGAATGATGGTGAGCCTAAGAGAGAGAGAGAGAGAGACAGACAGACAGACAGGCAGACAAACTGACTGGGAAGGAGGTGACAGAAACTAAGGGAGAGTGGTGGCCAGCATCGCTCTGCTATCTCAGTCCCTGAGGTCTCTCCAAGGAATCCAGGTGGGGCTTGGGATGGGGGTGGGAATGGGGACCTCAGCTTTGGTGACTGGTGGCCCAGCCCTGCTCATGACATGGCAGAGAAGGAACCTAGAGCTGCCCAGGGGGTCCTAGTATTGAGTCCCACTAACTGCACCAACCCAGAGTAGCTCTGGGTGTCTTACAACACCCTCCTCTCTAGGTCCCCAGCCACCTGCTCCGCTACTTTATCTGGCTGTGTAAGATGAGCACGGGGTAAGAAAGCCCCAGGGAGGTGCATGGGTGACAGTGGACGCTTTAAAGCAAAAGGATGGCTTCCATCACGGGCAACGTCAGGGACCACTCTGGGTGCCCTGGCTTCTCCTCCATGCCTTGGACTCTACTGATAGACTCTGGGGTCATCCTGCTGCTGTTGCTGGAGTCTGGGAAGCAGCCCCCAACCCCCACTTCCACCCGCACACCCCTACTCAGTACTTCATCAGCTCAGTGTCCACTCGGGTCCATTTGGTGGTGATGTGGAAATAGACAATGCCGGCTTTAGAACAAGCCTGTGTACTGTTGGGGTTGGGACCAAAGAGGCACATGGACACAGTGGCTGCAGCTGAGTAAAGAGGAGTCCAGAAAGGGTCAAGCAAGACTTCCCCAGGGCTGCCAAGTAGGGGAAACCCAGAATATCTATGGGGGCAGAGAGGGGATTGAGCAAGACATGCAGGCGGTACAAAGAGACAAAAAACAGTGGCCAGTGTGGAGCTTTAGGGAGAGAGATGTTCCGGAGTCTTGGGTGGGGGATCTACAGGGGTACCAGCCTGTAAAACGATCAGGGGCTCCATAGGAACTGTTGTGATTGGAATTACCTGCAGCTCAGACAGGAGCCCACCTAGTGTGGCCAAAGCCTGGGACTTTTTTGTTTTGTTTTGTTTTATTTTGTTTTGTTTGTTTTTTGAGACAGGGTTTCAGTCTGTAGCCCAGGCTGGAGTGCAGTGGGGTGAACTTGACTCACTGCAGCCTCGACCTCCTGGGCTCAATCAATCCTTCCACTTCAGCTTCCTGAGTAGCTGGGACTACAGGGGCACATGACCACGCCTGGTTCATTTTGTATTTTTTGTAGAGATGGGATTTCACCATGTTGCCCAGGCTGGTTTCAAACTCCTGGCCTCAAGCGATCTGCCTCCCTTGGTCTTCCAAAGTGCTGGGATTACAGGCGTGAACCACCGTGCCTGGACAGCCTGGGACCTTTGAGAAAAATTTGCTGGGGCCGAGGACTGAAATAAAAGATCACTGTTGGGTCATGGATACTCAGTGCTGGGCTGGGCTCAGGGCCCCCCTGACCAGACTGCCCCCAACAAATTGCCTATATGGTTGCTCCTAAAAATGTTCCGTTTCTCATAGTCGATGTTCTCTAGTTAACTGGAGTGTGCCCTTTTCTTCATGAGCCTTCTGGAGTCCCCTTTCCCTTTTTCTGGACTACCCCAATTTCTGGACAGCCCATTTCCAGAATCTTCTCTCCTTAAGCCCTGCTCAGGCACCACTCCAGTGGAAAAGACCAGAAATTTATTTCCCCATCCAATAGTCCCACTTGCAGGATAGGTGGAAAGAAAGTATGAAAAAACCTCTCTCTCCCAGAATAAACTACAGTGTTTACTCCTGTTTAATTTTTAATTTTTCTTGCCACATCTGAACATGATGAGGAAAAATGTCTGTGTGTTGAGATTGAAGTGACTCAGTAGAAGCATGAGGGGCTGTAGCAGGAGAGAAAAATCCTCCTACTCCAGGGAAAAGGGTCTTCTGGTGAGGGCTGGCAGGGTCGCGTGGCTTTGTGACCCATGCATGAGCTCCCAACTGTGCTAATAACCCATGGCTGACTTTGCCTGTGTCTAGAGGGAGCGGCTTCCACAACAGCAAGCTCACCTACCAACAGCAATATGGCAGTGTTCATCGGCTCCCACAAGAGGTGAGTCATGTGGTTCTTTCTCCTGCCCCTACCTGGGGTCCCTCCTAAGGGGAAGCCAAGCCTGGGAACTCCTGCCTGTCACCAAATGCCAGCACCTGTTCTAGCCAGAGTCAAGGCCCCAAGCCCACCCTCCATCTCTCTCCTGCCCCCATCACTGCAATCCACCATCTCCCCACTCTAGCTCTCACCAGAAAACCGCTCTGCAGAACTCTTCTCAGTGAGCATCATTCTCCCAGTCAATCAGTCAACCTTGCATTGGTGGCCTAATGGGTGCCAGGGGGAGATAAGATACCACCCTCTGTGGTGCAAGACATCAAGGGACACAGAACAGGAAGGGTGATTTACCAGCCTGGAGCTAGCATTAGCAGGAACAGAGGCAGGAAACACAACCTGTATTTGGTGACCTCTGGCGCTTCTGTTGAGCTGAGATGTACTTTGGGCAAAGAGGGTCCCAGAAGGTGATGTTAGAAAGGAAGATGGGCCCCGTGCAAAACCAGCCAAGGTGACTGTTGGAGGACCCCTTGAGGTTGAACCAAGGAGGAGGTTTACAGGAATCTTCAGAGTGGGGCTGCCCGGCCCAGGGTCACAGGCTTTGGCTGGTGGCTCACAGGGTCAGGGGATGGGAGTGACATGGCCTGGGGATGCCCAGGGCTCTGACCACTGCATCCCCTTCCCCAGGAACCACTACATGCTCCTGGTATTTGTGAAGGTGCCCATCTTGCTCATCTTGGTCACTGCCATCCTCTGGTTGAAGGGGTCTCAGAGGGTCCCTGAGGAGCCAGGGGAACAGCCTATCTACATGAACTTCTCCGAACCTCTGACTAAAGACATGGCCACTTAGAGAGATGGATCTGCAGAGCCTTCCTGCCCTGGCCACGTTTCCAGAAGAGACTCGGGCTGTGGAAGGAACATCTACGAGTCCTCGGGATGCAGTGACTGAGATAGGGGCCCTGGGCCTCCGCCCTGGCCTTGGAGCTGGTGGGCACCTCCCTGTTCTGCACAGCTCAGGGACTTAGCCAGGTCCTCTCCTGAGCCACCATCACCTCCTGGGGTGCCAGCACCTGTTCTCTTGGTCAGGAGCTGTAGAGATGGAGCTCAAGCACTGGACGACTCTGTCCCCACTGCTGGAATAACTCGGGCACAGAGCATGGGACCAAAGTACAGAAAGAGGTTGGGGGAGACCCCCCCAGCCCTAGACTTCCATCATTCCGGAGACCAACTCAACACCGTCTTTGCCTGAGAACCTGATATATCCGTGTTTTTAAATTTTTTTTTTTCTAGCAAAGTTGGGTTTTAATGACTTATGTTCATAGGAAACCTCTCTGATCCCACACACAAGGAGGGTGATTCTGGGATGAGTTCCTGGTTCTAGGGCATGAGGGGCTGGATGGACCCTGTCCCCAGGGAGGACATGGCTCTGAGTCCACAGGGCTGAGGAGGCAATGGGAACCTCCCTGGCCCGGCCCGGTGCTTGTCCTCCCCCTCCCACCTCTTCCTCCTCCTAGCTCCCCAAGCTCCCTGCCTATTCCCCCACCTCCGAGGGGCTGCAGCTTGGGAGCCTCCTCAGCATGACAGCTTGGGTCTCCTCCCCAAAAGAGCCTGTCAGGCCTCAAGAACCACCTCCAGGTGGGGAGGGCAGTAACGAAAACCATCGCAGGAAATGGCACCCTCCCTTTTCGGTGATGTTGAAATCATGTTACTAATGAAAACTGTCCTAGGGAAGTGGTTCTGTCTCCTCACAGGCTTCACCCACGGCGATGAGGCCCTTGAATGTGGTCACTTTGTGCTGTATGGTTGAGGGACCCTCACACCAAAGGGACCTTCCCATGTGAGATGTGCTCCCGCCCCCACCTGCCCACAAGCAAACACACCACACATGTTCGGCATGTTGCCCTTTGAACACCCATGAGGACGCCTCCAACCTGCTCTTGGTTCTAATAGGGAGTACTGACTGTCAGCAGTGGATAAAGGAGAGGGGACCCTCTGGTCCCTAGCATGGCACCCAGAGCCTCCCCTCTTCTTGTCCTTCAGCCAAAGAGAAACTTTCTCTGACTTTGAACTGAATTTAGGTCTCTGGCCAATGATGGGCCTGAAAATTCCATAATGGCCAGAGAGGAGAGTTCGAGCCCGGCTAAGATCCCCTGAGTCATTCTGTGAGGGACCAAGACCCACAGTCCACCAGCCCCAGGGCCCTACCTCCTGGAATGCTTTCCTGGATCCAGCTTCCCGAAGATCCGACCAGACCCAGGGAGGACGGCACCGCTCCGCGGGAGGGAAAGCCAAAGCATGGTGCTTCACCAGCTGGACTCAGGGGCGAGGGGACATGGGCGCTTGTCAACGTGATGTCATTCTTTTCCCACCGTTTCTTCCTGTTGATATTCAATGAATCCGTCAATCTCTCTGGAGCTAGTGTGGCTGGGTTGTTATTCTCGTGGCTCTGTTAAGGAGAATCCACTGGAGTAAAGTAGGCATCTATTGTCTGTCTGCCCAACTACCACCCACCGCGCACGCCCTTACACCACCACCCCTTGTACACATCTCTAGGAATACCCCTTGGGGTTCCAACACAAGCTGACAAGCAAGGCTTGCCTAATACGCCCATTCTCTGGGGTAGGGAGAAAGACGGAAGTCAATAAATGAGTCACTAGTGCTGGCATTGCATTTTCCAGCAAATATGTTTCCATTGGGAGCTTGGAGCCAAAGCCGTCATGCCCTTAAATAGCCACAGACCATGAGGATTCGGCATATGCTGATTTTCACACTTAATGGAACCAAAAGTTAGTGAGGCCGGGCATGGTGGCTCCCGCCTGTAATCCCAGACCTTTGGGAGGCTGAGGCAGGTGGATCACCTGAGGTCAGGAGTTCAAGACCAGCCTGGCCAACATGGCAAAACTGCTGTCTCTACTAAAAATACAGCAATTAGCTGGGTGTGGTGGTGTACACCTGTAGTCCCAGCTACTCAGGAGGCTGAGGCAGGAGGATCACTTGAACCCGGGAAGTGGAGGTTGCAGTGAGACGAGATGGTGCCATTGCACTTCAGCCTGGGTGACAGAGGACAGAGCGAAACTCTGTCTCAAAAAAAAAAAAAAAGTTAGTGGGCAGGTGTGGATCTTGCTCTTTTAAGAAAAAAGCACAGCTTTTCCTTCCCCATGAGGCCCTTCCCACAGGCCTTTACTTCTGAACAACTGCATAGCCACAGAGGAAGTTCAGAGCCGAGGGCAGCTGGCTAGGGGCAGTAAAGAGATAGCAGCGGGAAGGGCCCTCACCAGAGAGGCAGACATGGGTTCCTTCTTCTTCCCCTTTTTAAAAATTGTGGTAAAAAATGAACAAACAAAAAACACCTAACATGAAATCTGCCCTCTTAACAAACTCTTAGGTGTGTGGTAAAATATGATTAATTATATGCACATTGTTGTACAGCAGAGTTCTAGAACTTTCTCACCTTGCATGACTAAATCATGCCCATTGAGTAGCAACTCTCCCTCCCACTCCTCCACCAGCCCCCGGCTGCCACTATTTTACTTTTTGCTTCTATGAGTGTGACTAGTTTAGTTACCTCATGTAACCAGAACCATGCAGCCTTTAACCTGTGACTGTCTTATTTTAGTTAGCATAATGTCCTCAAGATGCATCCATGTTGTTGAATACGGCAGGATTTCCTTCTTTGTTAAGGCTGAATAAAATTATATTCCATTGTAAGATAAAGAATACGTGGCACATATACATAATGGAATACTGTTTAGATGTAAGAAAGAACAAAATTCGACTGGGCGCGGTGGCTCACGCCTGTAATCCCAGCACTTTGGGAGGCCGAGGCAGGCGGATCACGAGATCAAGAGATCAAGACCATCCTGGCCAACATGGTGAAACCCTGTCTCTACTAAAAATGCAAAAATTAGCTGGGCCTGTTAGTGTGTGCCTGTAGTCCCAGCTACTCAGGAGGCTGAGGCAGGAGAATCGCTTGAACCCAGGAGGTGGAGGTTGCAGTGAGCCAAGATCCTGCCACTGCACTTCAGCCTGGCGACAGAGCAAGACACCGTTTAAAAAAAAAAAAAAGAACAAAATTCTATCATTTGTGGCAACATGGATGAGCTTGGAGGACGTTATGTGAATGAAATAAGTCAGGCCCAGAAAGAGAAATACTGCATGTTCTCAAGTTGATCTCAAGACATAGAGAATAGAACAGTGGTTATTAGAGGTGGGGCAGTGTGTTGGGGGTTAGGGGATAGCCAGAGATTTGTTAACAGATACAAAAGTACAGCTGCATAGGCAGAATAAATCCTCGTGTGCTATAGCACTAGGGGATGTCTATAATTGTCAACAACTTATTGTATATTTTCAAATAGCTAGAAGAGTAGATTTTGAATGTTTCCAACACAAAAGTGAGGTGATGGATATGCTGATTACCCTTATTTGATCATTACACATTATATACATGTATCAAAATATCACAATGTGCCCCATAAATGTCTGATTATGTGTCAATTAAAAATAGTAATAATTTTTAAAAGAAAATAAATAGAAGAAAAAACTGTGTTCTCAGCCTACTTTCAAGCACACTATAAAATATTTTGTTCTCATCCCCCACTAAAATATTATTCCATTGTGTATTAGCCTGTTTTCACACTGCCGATAAACACATACCCAAGACTGGGCAATTTACAAAAGAAAGAGGTTTATTGGACTTACAGTTCCACATGGCTGGGGAGGCCTTACAATCATGGTGGAAGGCAAGGAGGAGCAAGTCACATCTTACATGGATGGCAGCAGGCAAAGAGAGAGAGCTTCTGCAGGGAGACTCCCGTTTATAAAACCATCAGATCTCATGAGACCCATTCACTACCACCAGAACAGCACGGGGAAGCCCTGCCCTCATGATTCAGTCATCTCCCACCAGGTCCCTCCTACAACATGTGGGAATTATGGGAGCTACACGATGAGATTTGGGTGGGGACACAGAGCCAAACCGCATCACATTGTATGTACATATCACACTTTCTTTATCCATTCATCCATTGATGGACGTTTAGGCTGTTTCCATCTCTTGGTTATTGTGAATAATGCTGCTTCCAATGAACATAGGCATGCAGATAGCACTTTGCAATCCTGTTTTCAGTTTTTCTGGATAAATACCCAGAAGTGGGACTTCTGGATCATATGATAGTTCTATTTTTAATTTTTTGAGTAACCTCAATACTATTTCCCATAATAGCAGCTACACCATTTTACCTCCCCACCAATAGTGCACAAGGGTTCTAGTGTCTCCACATTCTCACCAGCATTTGTTGTTTTCTGTTGTTTTATACATGTTGTTTCTATACATATATATATACACATTCTCACCAGCATTTGTTGTTTCTGTTGTTTTATACATGTTTTTATACACACATATATACACACACACAATGGCTATTCTAACAGGTGTGAAGTGATATCCCATTGTGGTTTTGATTTGCATTTTCCTGATAATGAGTGGTGTTGAGCATCTTTTCATGTATTTATTGGCTATTTGTAGATTTCTTCTGGAGAAATGTCAAGTCCTTTGCCCATTTAATCGGGCCTTTTTTTTTTTTATTGTTTTAGGAGTTCTGTCTATATTTGGGATATAATTCCTTATCAGATATGTAATTTGCAAATATTTTATCCCATTGTGTGAGTTGCCTTTTTACTCTGTTGATATTGTCATTTGGTGCACAAATTTTGAAATTTTAGCCAGACATGGTGGTTTGCACCTGTAATCCTGGCTACTCAGGAGGCAGAGGTGAGAGGATCACTTGGACTCAGGAGTTTGAGGCTGTGGTGCGCCATGATCATGCCAGTAAATAGCCACTGCATTTCAGCCTGGGCAGCATAGCAAAACCCCCATCTCTTAAAAAAAAAAAGATATGAGTCAAAAACACATAATTTAAATTTTCATGAAGTTCCATTTGTCTGTGTTGTTGTTGTTGTTGCCTGTCCCCTCAGCATCATGTCTATGAAATCACTGGCAAATCCAATGCTGTGAAACTTTTGCCTTGTGTTTTCTTCTAAGAGTTTTATGGTTTTAGATCCTACATTTAGGTCTTTGATCCATTTGAGTTAATTTTTGTCTATGTTATTAGGGAAGGCTCCAGTGTCATTCTTTTGCATATGAATTTCCAGTTTTTCAATTATTACTATTTTTTTAAAAAATCATTTCCCTTACTCGCAAGTAGGTAGTTTCTAGTCCAAGATTTTATCTGGGAGGTAGTGCCTTTGAGTATTCTGATCGTTAAGTGGAGTCTCAGACACAGCGCCCATTTTGGGTGGTCTAAGCCTATTGCTCCCCCAAGCCCTGCAGTTCATCCCCTAAATACTAGCCTCTCTGTAAGGTCAGCCACTGATCATGGCAGCCACTGCTTCCTCTCTTGTTTCACTGTTAATTGCTGATTTGGGGCTTTTGGTTTGTTTGTTTGGCCTTGGTGGTGTCCTTGGAATTGGTTGATACAAGTTCCTTCTTGCTCTGTGGTCATGGCCTCAGAACTGTCTTCATCCTAAGGCAGCAGAGAGAGATCTCTGAAGTAGGCAGCAGAGAGAGATCAGCCCAGACACCAGACACAAGGACTTCTGAGGAAGAAAACCAGACCACTGATCCCAGAAGTTTCCCAGAGTCCCCACCCCCATCACATCCCCTCAATGTCTCATTGGCTGCTTCAGACTCTGGTGACCACCCCTAGCTTAATTACTGACAAGGTGATTGGGACCAGCTTCCAGCTGGGACTATCCTCCCCTGATTCACATTTGGAAGGGTGGATGGCCAGACCTGGTGATGGCTCCATCCTGGAGTGGAGTTGGGTAGGAGGAGACAAAAACGCCTGTTGCAGAAGTCTTGCTGGACCCCGCTCCATTCTGAGCCTCCTCCTGGGTCTTTCTAGACCACTGTGCCTCCATCTTTGTGAACACAACAAGCTCCTGCCCTCACACCCTCTCCTGAGGCAGGTTGGAGGGGTCTCTGTGGGCTGCAGCATCAGGAACTTGACCCTTTCTCCCCCTCCTCAGCTTCTCAGCTCCATCTCCTCCAGGGCCATGGCAACTTTCTTTCTGCAAACAGAAGCCTCCGCGAGGACACAGGCTCCTCACAGCTGAAGTCCTGTGCAAGCCAGCATCCCCCACCATCATCCTTTTGTCTCAGTACTAACCCAGGCAACTGTACCACTGGCCAAAAAAAAAAAAAGTACTTTGATGGTTAATACTGAATGTCAACTTGATCAGATTGAAGGATGCAAAGTATTGTTCCTGGGTGTGTCTGTGAGGGTATTGTCAAAGGAGATTAACGTTTGAGTCAGTGGAATGGGAAAGGCAGACCCACCCTCAATCCGGGTGGGCACCATCCAATCAGCTGCCAGTGTGGCCAGAATAAAAGTAGGCAGAAGAACATGAAAGACTAGATTGGCTAAGTCTTCCAGCCTCCACCTTTCTCCCATGGTAAATGCTTCCTGCCCTTGAACATCGGACTCCAAGTTCTTCAGCTTCTGGACTCTTGGACTTACACCAGTGATTTGCCAGGGGCTCTTGGGCTTTCAGCTACAGACTGAAGGTTGCTCTGTCAGCTTCCGTACCTTTGAGGTTTTGGTACTTGGACTGGCTTCCTGGCTCCTCAGCTTGCAAACAGCCTATTGTGGGACTTTACCTTGTGATTGTGTGAGTTCATTTTCCTAATAAACTCCCCTTCATATATATATATATATCTCCTATTAGTTCTGTCCCTCTAGAGAACCCTGAGTAATACAAGTACTAAACTTTATTTAGCTGCCAATTTCTGTTCTAAATCTATGTTTGTCAGGGAACAACTGGTCTGCAAATGCTAATGGCTTTACCTTGGCTCTCCTTCCTTACTTACTCACAAGCAGGTAGTTTCTGGTCCACCATTTTACCTGGGAGATAACGCCTTTGAGTATTCTGGCCGTAAGTGGAGTCTCAGACACAGCTCCCCACTTTGGGTGGCCTCAAGAACACACCCACGGAGGGAGTGTTCTAACCTCAGGGCATCCTTGGGGGCATCAATCAAGGAGAGATGGGGCCACAGGCCTGAGAGCAGGAAGCTGCAGAATTCTCCAAGGCACTGCTCAGGGTCCCCAGTCCAGAGGTCTCCTGTGTGTGGATATAGAATCTAGTGTGACCCTTTGACAGAGACGCCTCGTTGAGCCTTTGTGTCAGAGACACCACTTTTCATCCATTAATGATCGGCCATTTATCATGATGCAAGAGGAGAAAGAGAAAACAGGGGGTTCCAGCAAGGCCAGAGCAGCCAGAGATGGTGAACGATGTCACCCAACATCTGGCTCCCAAGTTTATGGAGGAAGAAGGGGATGTTTTGTGTCTTCTGGGGTTTCCTTTGGTAATGTGTCCCTGTGGTGGCCCTTGGTGTGCTATGATGAGCCACCTGCAGCAGTCAGCACTAGGAAGCCCCAGTAGAGATTGTGTTACCAGCGTGGCAGAGAACTCACAGCCTCTCCCCTGCTTGGTGAACAGGTGCTCCCCCTGGAATCATATGACATCAATCACCCATCACATGATCACCCATGATGTGACATCACCCATCACATGATTGCCCATCACGTGATGTCGCCCATCACGTGATATTGCCCATCACATGACATCACCCATCATATGATCGCCCATCACGTGATGTCGCCCATCATGTGATATCACCCATCACGTGACATCACCCATCACATGATCACCCATCACATGACATCACCTATCACATGACCACCCCCGCATGACATCACCCATTACATGATATCACCCATCACATGACCACCCATCACATGACATCACCTGTCACATGATCACCATCACATCACCCATCACATGATTGCCCATCACATCACCCATCACATGACATCACCCATCACATGACCACCCATTACATGACAGCACCCATCACATGATCACCCATCACATGACATCCCTGTCACATGACATCACTCATCACATGATCACCTATCACATGACATCACCCATCACATGACATCACTCATCACATGATCACCCATCACATGACATCACCTGTCACATGACCACATGTCACATGGCATCACCCATCACATGACATCACCCATCACATGATCACCTGTCACATGATCACCTGTCACATGACATCACCCATGATATGACATCACCCATCACATGATCACTTGTCACATGATCACCCATCACATGACATCACCCATCACATGACATCACCCATCACATGATCGTCGATCACATGACATCACCTATCACATGACCACCCCCACATGACATCACCCATTACATATCACCCATCACATGACCACCCATCACATGACATCACCTGTCACATGATCACCCATCACATGACATCGCCCATCCCATCACCCATCACATGACATCACCCATCACATGACCACTCATCACAGGATCACCTTGTCACATGACCACCTGTCACATGGCATCACCCATCACATGACATAACCCATCACATGGCATCACCCATCACATGACATCACCCATCACATGACATCATGCATCACATGACATCACCCATCACATGACATCACACATCACATGACATCACCCATCACATGACATCACCCATCACATGACATCACCCATCACATGACATCAATGTCCCATAGATAAGCAGAACACTAAATTGATTCTGTAGAGTGAATATGGGATGGAAAAATCCAACTCTAATCATACCCTACTCACCAAGCAGGAAAGACATGCATAAGCTTCACCTGAAAGTCTTATTTTAGGGCATTGTTGTGTAATCCCAGCATTTTGGGAGGCTGAGGCAGGATGTTTGCTTGAGCCCAGGAATTTGAGACCAGCCTGTACTGGCAAGACCCCCCATCTCTATAAAACATTTAAAATAATAAATAAATAAATAAATAAATAAATAAATAAAAACAAAGGCTGTGATTCCAGGAGCAGAATATTTGGTAATGGAACATAAAGAAAGACAAAGGCCAGGCAGGCCATTCGAGGCATCAGTTCAAGTCCATGCCCATGAGCTGCCTCCTGCCTGCTCAGGCAACCTCCCAGGCAGCTGAAATCAGAAAAACAGATGAGGGTCACAAGCATTCAGCTTCCTGGAAAGGAGTGTCCCCAAAATAAATCACTTGAGTTATTGTAGGGTCTCAGTCTCTCTTCTTGTCTGGATGGTGGTCGGGTTCTAGATTTGCAGGAATGAGGACCAGACCCAGGTAAATTCACCAAAGTCGTATCCCAAGAGGAGATCTCCCAACCATGGCCTTTGCATCGTTTAACTCATCAACCTCAGAAGCACTGGGGGGATTGACCCAACCACATGAAACCAGGTTTCCATGGCCCATTTTAGAAGGTAGAATCATCCCCAGGGGCACAGGTAACATATGTCCATCTGCTGGGCCCCAAGCCCAGCACATTCTCCTTAACTCCCACCTCAATGTCACCACTTCATGTCCTCATTAAATCCCACAAGAGGGAGGTCAGAAAGAAGTTCTGAACTTTTTCTGACCTCCCTGCAGTGGGATGAATTTGAGACTCAACACAGGCAGTCGGGGGAGGGAAGAGGAACTTATATCATGAGTTGATAACAGCACTGCGTGACTTGTGCACTCGCCGCATTTTAAAGGCTGGCAGTACCCCATTTTCACAATGTCCATCTCATCTGTCCTCCCTGACAGCTCAGGGTGGTAGGCCAGGCTATTCTTGAGTCCACACTGGACAAGGCTGTAAATAGACTTGAGTCACCTTATTTGAGCTGAGTTCCTTTACCCGTGAAGTACCCTTTGAGTCATCCTTCGGGTACACCCCCTCACCAACCTAAACCTTAGTTTTTATAGCTGCAAGACGGATGGTGCATGACCTCTTCTTCCCCTTTCAGCCCCAACTTTCCATGACTCTGAGTCAGTTTCCATGACTCCCAGTTCAGGCCATTCTAGTCACCAACCAGGCTGGGCTGCCTCAGCCAGCACAAAATTTGAAGCTGGGGGGACTTGCTGCTTCAAAATATCTATAGAGAGTGGCTTTTTCTAAAGTCAACCTCTAAATCTCTGTCCCCAGGAGGAAGGATGTTCGCATTGACAAAGGGTGGAGGCAAGTATTGGGCCCAGTACTAGGGCCCCAGTGATAGGTCCACATTTGAGATAACAGGGAGGCCGGAAGCTCTGCCCTTAGCACACCTTCCTTGCCAGGTGGAAGCTCCCAATGTAGGCTTTGGAGGTCTGTTCCCTCAGGCACGTGGACTCAGGCTGTGCTTCATGCATTGGTCTGGAGCCTTGGAGCAGGCCTGGAAGAGGCTGTATCTCAGATTTGTGTTCTTCAGGATGTTTCTTACCCAGCATTTTGGACACTGAGCATCTGATTGTGAGGATGGAGTCCACACACTGAATGCGTGTGATTCTCTGGTGAGCAGTGTAACTTGAACTCCAGTGGAAGACTGCCAGGCCATGGAGGTGTTGGCAGCAGCCTGGGACTTCAGCTGAAATGTGACTCAGGCCACAGGGCCAGTCAGACAATTCAGGAAAACATGTCCTCAGCAAACAACCAAATAAGGCACCAGGGACCAATCCTGGAGAAACAGGGACCTTTCAGACAGAGAATTCAAAATAGCTGTTTTGAGGAAGCTCAGTGAAATCCAAGATAACTCAGAGAAGGAATTCAGAATCCTATCACATAAATTTAATGAAGAGATCAAAATAATAAAAAAGAATTAAGCAGAAATTCCAGAGCTGAAAAATGAAATAGACACACCAAAGAATGCATCAGAATCTCCTAACAGCAGAATTGACCAAGCCAAAGAAAGAATTACTGAGCTTGAAGACAGGTTATTTGAAAATACAGAGTCAGAGGAGACAAAAGAAAAAGAATGAGAAAGAATGAAACATGCCTATAAGATCTAGAAAATAGTCTCAAAAGGGCAAATCTAAGCGTTACTGGCCTTAAGAGAAGGTAGAGACAGATCAGGATAGAAAGTTTTATCAACGGGATAATTACAGAGAACTTCCCAAACCTAGATAAAGATATCAGTGTTCAAATACCAGAAGGTTCCAGAAACCAAGCAGATTTAACCCAAATAAGACTATCTCAAGACACTTAATAAAAAAACTCCCAAAAGTCAAGGATAAAAAAAAGGGTCCTAAAAACAGAAAGAGAAGAGAAATAAGTAACATAAAAGGGAGCTCCAAAACTTCTGGCAGTAGGCTTCTTGAGGGAAATCTTACAGGCTGGGAGAGAGTGGTATTTAAGTGTTGAAGGAAAAAACTTTTATCGTAGAATAGTATATCTAGTGAAAATACCCTTCAAACATGAAGGAGAAATACTTTCTCAGACAAACAAAAGTTGAGCAATTTTATCAACACTAGACCTGTCCTATAAGAAATGCTAAAGGGACTTGAGGTCAGGAGTTTGAGACCAACCTGGACAACATGGTGAAACCTGTCTCCACTAAAAATACAACAATTAGCAGGGCATGGTGGTGCATGACTGTAATCCCAGCTACTTGGGAGGCTGAGGCTCGAGAATCACTTGAACCCGGGAGGCAGAGTTTGCAGTGAGCTGAGATTGTGCCATGCACTCCAGCCTGGGTGACAGAGTGAGACTCTCCATCTTAAAACAAATAAATAAATAAAAATAAAAAAAGAAAGAAGTGCTAAAGGCTAAAGGGAGTTCTTCAATCTTAAAGAAAAGGATGTTAATGAGCAGTAAGAAATCATCTGAAGGTACAAATCTCACTATTAATAGTAAGTACACAGAAAAACAGATTCTAACCCCTGAAATTGTGTGTAAATCACTTATATCTTGAGTAGAAAGACTAAAAGAAGAACCTATAAAATATATAAAAAATAATAACTATGCTTTTTTTTTTTGAGATGGGGTCTTACTTTGTTGTCCAGGCCTGGAGTGTAGTGACATGACCTTGGCTCACTGCAACTTCTGCCTCCCTGGCTCAAGTGATCCTCCCACCTCAGCCTCCTGAGTAGCTGGGACTACAGGTGCACACCACTACACCCGGCTATTTTTTGTATTTTTAGGAGGGACAAGTTTTTGCCATGTTGCCCAGGCTGGTCTTGAACTCTTGGGCTCCAGTGATCTGCCCACCTTGGCTTCCAAAAGTGCTGAGATTACTGGTGTGAGCCACCGCACCCAGCCTAAAGCAACATTTAAGACATTGAGAGTATAATAAGGTATCAATAGAAACAACAAAAAATTAAAAAGTGGGGGGATGAAGTTCAAGTGTAGAGTTTTTTTCTATTAGCCTTATATTTGCTTGTTTGTTAGCTTGTTATTACAATCAGTGTTAAGTTGTCATCAGCTTAAAATAATGAGTTATAAGATATTATTTCCAAGCCTCATGGTAATATCAACTCAAAAACATACACATACAACAGATACACAAAAAATAAAAAGTAAGAAATTAATACATATCACCAGACAAAATCAGCTTCAGTAAAAAGAAGACAAGAAGAAAAGAAAGAAGGAAGGAAGAGAAGGCCAGAAAACAACCAGTAAACAAGTAACAAAAGGGCAGGAGTAGTCTTTAGTTATCAATAATAACATTGAATGTAAATGGACTAAACACTTCAGTCAAAAGACATGGAGCAGCTGAATGGATTAAAAAGAAAAACTAGACCCAAGATCTGTTGCCTACAAGAAACACACTTCACCTATAAAGACATAAATAGGTGAATTAAAGGAATCGAAAAAGATATTTCATGCAAATGGAAACCAAAAAAGAGTATGAATAGCTATACTTATATCACATTACATAGATTTTAAGACAAAACTATAAAAAGAGACAAAGAAGAACATTATATAATAATAAAGAAATCAATTCAACAAGAGGATATAGCAATTGTAAGTATATATGCACCCAACAGTGGAGCACTCAGATATATATTGCAAATATCTTTATAGCTAAAATAATATATCCTCAATACAATAATTGCTGGAGACTTCTACACTACACTTTCAGCATTGGACAGTGCATCCAGACAGAAAATCAACAAAGAAACGTTGGACTTAATCTGTACTATAGACCAAATGGACCTAATAGATATTTAAAAGAACATTTCATTCAGCAGCTGCAGATACACAGTCTTCTCCTCAGCACATGGATCATTCTCAAGGATAGACCATATGTTAGGCCACAAAACAGGTCTTGAAATATTCAAAATAATTGAAATCATATCAAGTGTCTTCAGTGACCACAAAGAATAAAACTAGAAATCAATAACAAGAAGAATTTTGAAAACTATACAAAACATGGAAATTAAACAATATGCCCCTGAATAACTAGTGGGTTAATGAAAAAAAGTAAGAAGGAAATTTAAAAATTTCTTGAAACAAATGAAAATGGAAACACAACACAATAAAATCTATGGGATACAGTGAAAGCAGTATTGAGTATCTACATCAAAAAAAGTAGAAAAACCTCAAATAAACAACCTAATGATGCATCTTAAAGAACTAGAAATGCAAGAGTGAAGCAAACCCAAAATTAGTAGAAATAAAGAAATAATAAAGATCAGGGCAGAAATAAATGAAATTGAAATGAAGAAAATGCAAATGCAAAAGATCAATGAAACTAAAATAAATGAAATGGAAATGAAGGAAATACAAAAGATCAATGAAACTAAAAGTCATTTTGTTGAAAAGATAAACAAAATTGGCAAGTCTTTAGCCTGACTAAAAAAGAAAAAAATAGAGAAGACCCAAATAAATAAAGTCAGAGATGAAAAAGGAGACATTACAATTGATATCAACAAATTAAAAGGATCATTAGAGGCTACTATGAGCAGCTATATGCCAATAAATTGGAAAACCTAGAAGTGGATACATTCCTAAACACATACAATCTACCAAGATTGAACCATGAAGAAATCCAAAACCTTAATAGACCAGTAACAAGTAACAGGATGCCATGACAAAAAGTCTCTGAGCAAAGAAAAGCCTGGGACTCAATGGCTTCCCTGTTGAATTTTACCAAACATTTAAAGAACTAATACCAATCCTACTCAAACTATTCTGGAAAATAGAGGATGAGGGAATACTTCCAAACTCATTCAACAAGGCCAGTATTACCCTGACACCCAAACCAGACAAAGTCATATCAAAAAAAAAAAAAAAAAAAAAAAAAACCAAAAGTACAGGCCAACATCTGTGATGAATACTGATGCAAAAATTCTCAGCAAAATGTTAGCAAAACAAATTCAACAACACATTGAAAACATCATTTATCATAACCAAGTGGGATTTATCCCAAGGATGCAAGTATGATTCAGCATATGCAAATCAGTGTGATACATCATATCAACAGAGTGAAGGACAAAAGCCACACAATCATTTCCATTGATGCTGAAGAGGTATTTGATAAAATTCCACATCCCTTCATGATTTAGAAAAACCCTCAAAAAACTGGGTATAGAAGGAAGATACCTCAACATAATAAAAGCCATATATGACAGACCCACAGTTAGTATCATACAGAATGGGCAAAAATTGAAATCCTTTACTCTAAGATCTGGAACAAGACAAGGATGCTCACTTTTACCACTGTTATTCAACATAGTACTGGAAGTCCTAGCTAGAGCAATTGGACAAGATAAATAAATAAAGGCATCTGAATTGGAAAGGAAGACGTCAAATTATCCTTGTTTGCAGATATGATCTTATATTTGGAAAAACCTAAAACTCCACCAAAAAGCTATTAGAACTGATCAACACATTCAGTAAAGTTGCAGGACACAAAATCAACACACAAAAATCATTTGCATTTCTGTATGCCAACAATGAACAACCTGAAAAAGAAATCAAGAAAGTAATCTCATTTACAATAGCTATAAATAAAATAAAATACCTAGGAATAAATGTGAAGAAGTGAACGATCTCTACAATGAAAACTCTAAAGCACTGATGCAAGAAATTGAAGAGGATACAAAAAAATGGAAAGATATTCCATGTTAATGCATTGAAAGAACCAACATCGCTAAAATGTCCATACTACCCAAAGTAATCTACAGATTCAATGCAATTCCTATAAAAATATTAGACATTTTTCACAGAAATAGAATAAATAATTCTAATGTTTATATGGAACCACAAAATACCCAGAATAGCAAAAGTCAACCAGAGCAAAAAGAACAAAACTGGAGAAATCACATTACCTGACTTCAAATTATACTACAGAGATATGGTAACCACAACAGCATGGTACTGGCATGAAAACACACATAGAACAATGGAACAGAATGAAGAACCCAAGAATAAATCTACATATCTACACTAAGCTCATTTTTGACAAAAGTGCCAAGAACATTCACTGGGGAAAGGACAGTCTCCTCAGTAAATCATGCTGGGAAAATGGTATATCCATATGCAGAAGAATGAAACCAGACCCTTCTGTTTTTCACCATATACAAAATGGATTAAAGAGGCCGGGTGTGGTGGCTCATGCCTGTAATCCCAACACTTTAGGAGGCCAAGGCAGGCAGATCACCTGAACTCATGAGTTCAAGGCCAGCCTGGACAACATGGCAAAACCCCATCTAAAACAAACAAACAAAAAAAACCCCAAAAAACAGCTGGGCATGGTGTATGTGCCTGTAGTCCCAGGAACTGGGGAGACTGAGGTGGGAGGATGGCTTGAGCCTGGGAGATAGAGGTTGCAGTGAACTGAGATCATGGTACTGTACTGCAGACAGGGCGATAAAGCCAGACCTTGTCTCACAAAAAAAAGGGGGTGGGGATTAAATACTTAAATCTAAGATCTCAAACTGTGAAACTACTAAAAGAAAATACTGAGGAAATTCTCCAGAACATTGGACTTGGAAAATATTTCTTGAGTAATACTCCACAAGCACAGGCAACCTAAGCAAAAATGGGCAAATGGGATCACATCAAGTTAAAAAGCTTCTGTACAGCAAAAGAAACAATCACCAAAATGAAGCAACAATCCACAGAATGGGAGAAAATATTTGCAAACACCCATTTGACAAGGGATTAATAACCAGAATATGTAAGGAGCCCAAATAACACAGTAGGAAAAAATATAATAATCTAATTAAAAAATGGGCAAAAGATCTGATAGACATCTTTCAAAGAAGATCTACAAAAGGCAAACAGGTATATGAAAACGTGCTCAACATCATTGATCATCAGAGAAATGCAACTCAAAACTCAATGAGATTGTCACACACGTCCATGTGAAGAGACCACCAAACAGGCTTTGTGTGAGCAACAAGGTTGTTTATTTCATCTGGATGCAGGCAGGCTGAGTCCAAAAAATGAGTCAGCAAAGGGTGGTGGGATTATCATTAGTTCTTACAGGTTTGGGATAGGCATAAAAAGTACATTCTCAAGGGCGGGGAGAATATTACAAAGTACCTTCTTAAGGGCAGGGGAGAATATAGCGTATCAGTTAGGGTGGGGCAGGAACAAATCACAATGGTGGAATGTCATCAGTTAAGGCTATTTTCACTTCTTTTGTGGATCTTCAGTTGCTTCAGGCCATCTGGATGTATATGTGCAGGTCACAGGGGACATGATGGCTTAGCTTGGGCTCAGAGGCCTGACATTCCTGTCTTCTTATATTAATAAGAAAAACAAAACAAAATAGTGGTGAAGTGTTGGGGTGGCGAAAATTTTGGGGGGTAGTATGGAGAGATAATGGGCGATGTTTCTCAGGGATGCTTAGAGTGGGATTAGGGGCAGCATGGGAACCTAGAGTGGGAGAGATTAAACTGAAGAAAGATTTTGGGGTAAGGGGTGATATTGTGGGGTTGTTAGAAGTAGGATTTGTTGCACAGAATGATTGGTGATGGACTGTATGTGTTTTGTATGAATTGAGAAGCTAAATGGAAGACACAAGGTCCGAATAAAAGAAGGAGAAAAATAGGTATTAAAGAACTAAGAATTGGGAGTACCCAGGACATCCAATTAGACAGTGTCCAAGGGGGATCAACGCAATTATTTGCTTGGTTAGTGAGTTTTTGGGCTCTATCCTTGAGTTTTTTTATGTTGTCATATACCAGGCCAGACTGATTTAGGTAAAAACAACACTGTTCATTTAAAAATATACAGAGTCCCCCTTTTTTTAGCAGTGAGTAAGTCGGGGCCTCATTGATTTTGGAGGAAAGAGAAATGTAAAGCCAGCAATTGTTTGTTAAAGAAGGATTAGAAACAGCTAGGAGAGAGTGAGTGAGATTGATAGTGTGGTGGAGATAGCTGCGAAGAGGTAGAGAGGGTGGCATAAGAACGGGAACAAGAATAAGAGTGAGTATAAAAGTAAAGAACAGGACTTCATAAGGGTGAGAGTATTGGAGTGTGTCCTGTCAGCAAAGATCATCTACCCACTCCAAGAGGGAGTCAAGAGTGGTGGATTGGGGATAGATTTTCACAATGGAAAGGAAATGAGAGTTTTTAAGAGGCGGGCTAATGGCTTGTAACCTACATGGAAGAGGTTATGAAATGACGACAGGAATAGAATGGGCTAGTGAGGCTTGAAGGAGATTTTTTTTTTGTCTAAAAACCATCTGCCTTGAGTGGAGAGGGATTGATAGGTGGAAACTTCAGTGGGACAGTAAATAGGAGTGACCAATGAGGAGAAAAACTGGCCATCAGGGACAGAAGTTGGAAAACTAGCTGCCTCTTTAGCTACCTTATCAGCATAAGAGTTGCCCTGAGCAATGGGATCTGATGCCTTTTGATGGCCCTTGCAGCGAATGACTCCAGCTTCCTTTGAAAGTAAAGCAGCTTTAAGAAGAGGTTTTATTAAGGACACATTAATAATGGAGGACTCTTGTGTAGTGAGGAAATTTCTTTCTGCCCATGTAACAGCATGGTGGTGCAGGATATGGAAGGCATATTTAGAGTCAGTATAAATATTGACGCGTAGTCCCTTTGCAAGAGTGAGGGCCTGAGTTAAGGCAATGAGTTCGCCTTGCTGAGAGGGAGTGGAGCAGGGCAGAGCAGTAGCCTCAATGATAGATGTGGAAGATACTATAGCATAGCCTGCCTTTGCTGATGAGTGGTGATTAGGCCTGGTGGAACTGCCATCAATAAACCAAGTGTGATCAGGGTGAGGAATAGGAAAGAAGGAAAGATGGGGAAATGGAATAAATGTCAGGTGGATCAGAGAGATAGAGTCATGGGGGTCAGGTGTGGTATCCAGAATAATGTGGGAGGCTGGATTGAAGTCTGGGCCAGGAACAATGGTAACTGTGGGAGACTCAACAAAGAGTGAGTATAGCCAAAGGAGCCGGAGGGCAGAAAGTATATGCATCAGGTGGGAGGAAGAAAATAGATTTTGGAAGTTATGAGAACTGTACGGAGTGAGTTGAGCATAGTTTGTGATTTTGAGGGCCTCTAAAATATTAAAGCAGTGGCAGCCGCTGCACGCAGACATGAGGGCTAGGCTAAAACAGTAAGGTCAAGTTGTTTGGACAGAAAGACTACAGGGCGTGGTTCCAGCTCTTGTGTAAGAATTCCGACCACACAGTCCTGTACTTCAGCTGTGTGTAATGAAAAGGGTTGGGATGAGTTTTTTAAGGAATGGAAAGAGGAGTGGGGAAAGGATTTAGGATCTATGGGGTCAGCTACATTTATCTAGAACAGAATAATGGGTTGTGGAGGGAGGTATTGAGGATAGGAGAGTATATGGGTTTGGCATCACGGTGTGGATAGGCAAGACAATTTGGTTGATAAGGTGCAGATCCTGAACTAACCTGTAAGACTTTTCCGGGTTTTGGACAGGTAAAATGGAGGAATTGCAAGGAGAGTTTATAGGCTTTAGAAGGCCATGCTGTAGCAGGCCAGTGATAACAGGCTTTAATCCTTTTAAAGTGTGCTGTGGGATGGGATACTGGTGTTGAGCGGGGTAAGGGTGATTAGGTTTTAATGGAATGGTAAGGGGTGCATGATCGGTCACCAAGGAGGGAGTAGAGGTGTCCTATACTTGTGGATTAAGGTAGGGAGACACAAGGGGATGATGCGAAGGAGGATTTAAACTGGGGAAAAGGGCAGCAATGAGGTGTGGCTATAGCCCAGGAATAGTCAGGGAAGCAGACAATTTAGTTAAAATGCCTCACCTAATAAGGGAACTGGGCAGGTGGGGATAACTAAAAAGGAGTGCATAAAAGAATGTTGTCCAAGTTGGCACCAGAGTTGGGGAGCTTTAAGAGGTTTAGAAGCCTGGTCGTCAATAGCCACAACAGTTATGGAGGCAAGGGAAACAGGCCCTCGAAAAGAAGGTAATGTGGAGTGGGTAGCCTCCGTATTGATTAAGAAGGGGATGGGCTTACCCTCCAATGTAAGAGTTACCCAAAGCGTCTGTGATGGTCCAGAATGCTCCCGAGGCACCTCATAAATATATACACCTACTATGACCCAGAAAAACTAAAAATAAAAAAAGCTAAAAAAATCAAGGGTCTCACTAACAGGCTCATTTTAACTAAAAGGGGGCAGCAAGGTGGACTTTTGAGCTAAGCAGTGTTGTGGTCAAATACTGAGTGAGTCACTTAACCTTCTCCCTTCGCTTCTGATCCAGCACAGTGGCGCCTAGGACTATGCATGGGACACGAGGGGTTACTCAATCAGTGATGTAGAGACAGCTGGCTAAGTCTTATACAAACTCAAGTTCTGTTCATACCGCACTCTGTAAGCCAAAATAGTTTCAAATGGATCAAAGATTTAAATACGAAGAAACTACACAAGTTTTAGAATAAACTGAAATCTTTCTAAAGTCTTAGACTATTTAAAAGTTTTAGAATAAACTGAAAACTGCAAGTTTTAGAATAAACTGAAAATATAAAATGAAATTTACAAAAGTTTTAGAATAATGGGTGAATTTATTAGACTCTTGAAATGGAGCATCCTAAGGAAAACTCAAACTTTATAAAGCAAATGATTGAGAAATCTGACCTCAGAAAAAAGATGAAACATCACTGGGTGAAAACACCTTTGAAAGTTTTTTAAAAAATGACAAGCTATGAAGGAAATGTTGCAGGCAATTTGACAGAGAGCTTATTTTCTTAATTTACAAAGCACTCGGAGGAACTCAGTAAGATAGATTAAAAGCTCAATGGCAAAATGGGCAAATGGATAGTTCACAGGAAAAAAACTAAAATGGCAAATAAAGGAATGCAAATTCTGAAAATTATAAGATATTATTTTCTTCTATCAGATTGAAAAGAAAATAGAGTGTGAAAATATCCAATACTGGCGAGAGTGTAGGGAAAGGGACATCGTTGAGTGTTCTTGATGGGAAGGTAAGTGGGTGTAAGGTACATGGATGTGCTTTGGTCAAGAATAGGTTAGCCAGGTGCGGTGGCTCACGCCTGCAATCCTAACACTTTGGGAGGCTGAGGCGGGTGGATCACCAGAGGTCAGGTGTTTGAGACCAGCCTGGCCAACATGGTGAAACCCCATCTCTACTATAAATACAAAAAAAAAAAAAAAATAGCTGGGTGTGGTGGCTCGGGAGGCTGAGGCAGGAGAATCGCTTGAACCTGGGAGGCGGAGGTTACAGTAAGCCGAGATTGCACCATTGCACTCCAGCCTGGGCGACAGAGCGAAACTCCGTCTCAAAAAACAAAAACAAAAACAAAAACAAAACAGGCAGAGGCAAACATCAGGGCCAGCGTGACTCAGGGAGTCTGGCGCGCAGGCGCATAACTCCACTTGTTATGTAATCTGTTTGTGTAAGTGGCTCAGAGCCACTATTGTCTGTAAAAGGTATAACTGCCCTGCTGACGCTGTACATGTGGTTCGGCATGGCTTGTGCCCAGAGGCAGAGAGTAAAACTGCTGACCCCATAAGGGAGAGCCAGGCTTGTAGGCCAGGGAATGCAGCTGTAAGCCTGGGAATGGCAAGAGCCGCAAAGCTGGAGCAGGCAGCCGAGATAAAGGTGAATTGTATGAGAAAGCTTCTGATGAAACTATCACAAGGACAGAAAACCAAACACCGAATGTTCTCACTCATAGGTAGGAATCGAACAATGAGAACACTTGGACACAGGGTGGGGAACATCACACACCGGGGCCTGTCAAGGGGTGGGGGGCTGGGGGAGGGATAGCATTAGGAGAAATACCTAGTGTAAATGACGAGCTGATGGGTGCAGCAAACCAACATGGCACATATATACCTATGTAACAAACCTGCACATTGTACACATGTACCCTAGAACTTAAAGTATATAAAAAAAACTGCTGATGAAAAAGCTGCTGAATAAAACCATATTTTACCTGCCTACAGCCCCCTAAATATTCCTTCCGCTATTCGCCACCCATCCACCCACTCCCCTCAGACCTCAACATGGGCTGGAACCTGACGCTTGGCATGACAGTGGGCAAGAGCTTTTTGAAGGAAAATTTGTCAAGATCTATTAAAAAAAAGTCAATTCATGGACCTTTTGACTAATGCTCCACTATTGGAAATTTCTCCTAAAGATATACTCAGATAGGCCAGGCGTGGTGGCTCACGCCTGTAATCCCAGCACTTTGGGAGGCTGAAGTGGGCAGATCACGAGGTCAGGAGATCGAGACCAGCCTGGCCAACACGGTGAAACCCCATCTCTACTAAAAATACAAAAATTAGCTGGGTGTGGTGGTGCACGCCTGTAGTCCCAGCTACTTGGGAGGCTGAGGCAGAAGAATCGCTTGAACCCGGGAGACAGAGGTTGCAGTGAGCCAAGATCACACCACTGCACTCCAGCCTGGGCAACAGAGCAAGACTCTGTCTCAAAAAAAAAAAAAAAAAAAAAAAAAAAAGATATACTCAGATATATACCAAGATACAGGTACAAAAATACAAAAACATGGTCTGGGATGACATAACAATGTGTGCATCTGTGCATGTGTATACACACGCAGTCATACATGGGGCCTTGTATGACACACAGATACATCGGCATGCATTGTGCACCTACAGCTCCAGTCCCTCCCCCAGCGCCTGACTCATACAGCCAATAGGGGGCTTGTCATCTTTATTTGAGCATCTGTACGCCCAACAGAGTCCCTGTTTCCTCTCCCCAATTCCACCCCAAAACTGCTGCTCTCTTAGTCTTTCCATTTCCGTAAAGGGACCCACCTTTACTGCCCTCCCAATTGCTCAAGTGAAAACCGTAGAAGTCACCTGCAATTTTTATTCCTTTCTTTTCACTCCCTCCCACATCCAATCCTTCAGCCTGTTGGGTTGGCTCTACGGCCAGAATGCATTCTGAGCTTGTCCACCTTCTCCAATGGCCACATCCACCACCCCATTCCAAGGTGCCATTGTGTGACTCCCTTGCTTGAAATTTTTCAGAGTTTCCACTTAGGACAAAATCCACACATTTGCGTATTAACCCTTCCCTGATCTGACCACTGCCTGCCTCTGCCTTTCTGCGTCTGCCTCCCACCAAGCTCCCCACATTGTCTACTCTGTACTCATCTGGCCGGCACCCTAAGCCTGGGACACACTAGCCTTGTTCCCCCTTAGAGCCTTTGCCTGAGCTGTTTCCTCTGCCAGGAATGCTCTCACTCTATATTATTGTGTGGCTGGCTCCTTCTCAAGTCTCAGCTCAAATGTCAGGAAGTCCCTCCATGACCTCCCTATGCAAGCAGCCCTTCCTGCCTCTCATCACTCTCAGCTGTACACAATTCAGATCTTCACACAGCAGTTCTGTGATGATCTGAACGAAGCTTGCTTTTGTTTTGTTTGTTCTGTCTACTGCCCACTAAGATACAAGGACCAGACAGAAGGGGCCTCATTTATCTTCTTCACTGCTATGTCTCTGCTGTATAGCTCCATGGTATATAGTAGGTATTCAATAAAAGTCATCAAGTAAATGAGTAAATAACGGAATGAATTAAAACTGTGGAATCACATATAAAAGAATGAGGTAGATTTGTGTGTACTTGTATAACAAGGTCTCTAGGACATATGCAAAAGTGAGGTATGAAGAATTATGAGCCCCTCCCCCCACTTTTTTTGGAGATGGAGTCTTGCTGTGTCGCCCATGCTGGAGTGCAGTGGCGCGATCTTGACTCGCTGCAACCTCTGCCTCCTGAGCTCAAGCGATTCTCCTTCCTCAGCCTCCCAAGTAGCTGGGATTACAGGTGTGTGTCACCACACTTGGCTAATTTTGTATTTTTAGTAGAGACAGGGTTTCACCAAGTTGGCCAGGCTGGTCTTGAACTCCTGACCTCAGGTGATCCGCCTGCCTCGGCCTCCCAAAGTGCTGGGATTACAAATGTGAACCACTGCGCCTGGATTAGCCCTTTTGAAAATAATTTTGAAATAATAATAAGTTTTCTGAAAGCTGTGTAAGAAATGGCTAACAGTAGTCACTTTTGTGGAATGGTACTAGGGGTAGGGTAGGAGGAAGGAGACTTTTTTGTTAATTTTATAACTTCCTGTACTGTTTTAATTTTCTGTCCATTGCACATGGGTTTAAAATTTTTTTTTTTTTTTGTCCTGAGATGGAGTCTTGCTCTGTCACCCAGGTTGGAGTGCAATGGCGCGATCTCGGCTCACTGCAACCTCTGCCTCCCAGGTGCAAGCAATTCTCCTGCCTCAGCCTCCCCAGTAGCTGGGATTATGGGAGCTTGCCACCGCGCCTGGCTAATTAAATAATTTTTACTTTTCTTTTTGTGTGTGTGTTAAGAGACATCATCTGGATATGGAACGATACACACTTTTCTGAATTAATGTTATTCTTTTTGTTGTTATTGTTGATTGTTTGTTTTTGAGATGGAGTCTCGCTCTGTCACCCAGGCTGGAGTGCAGCGGCATGATCTTGGCTCACTGCAACCTCCGCCTCCTGGGCTCAAGCGATTCTCCTGCCTCAGCCTCACGAGTAGCTGGGATTACAGGCATGCACCACCATGCCTGGCTAACTTTTTGTATTTTTAGTAGAGACGGGGTTTCACCATGTTGTCCAGGCTGGTCTCAAACTCCTGGCCTCAAGTGATCTGCCTGCCTTGGCCTCTCAAAGTGCCAGGATTACAGACGTGAGCCACAGAACCCGGCCAGAATTAATGGTATTTATTTAAAAGCAATGAGAACTATTTATTTGTAATTGGCAGAAGTTTAAATCATTTTTTTAAAGGCACCATTCCCAATGTTGGCCATGGGATATGCTGAAGGATATTTCCATACCAGGCTGATAGGAGAATAAATTGCACCCAAATCCTATCGAATATACTACCCCTGGGCCGAGACATTTCTAAGAGTGTATCCTAAAGAAATAATTATGTGCAAGAATGGTCACATAATTGGTTATAATAGCAAGAAACTAGAAACATCCTAAATCCCCAACAGTAAAGATATGGTTAAATAAATTACATTACATCCATAAAAGGAACATGATACAAATTTTAAGAGTATATGTTATTTGAACCCATATTTTATAAGGAAAAAATGTAGATATATGAACATTGTTATTTTCTTCTTTTTGTCTGTATTTTCTAACTTTTTTTTTTACAACAAATAGATCTTTTTTCTGTAGTTAATATAAAAAAAATTTTTTTTTTTTTTTTGAGATCGAGTCCAGTGTGTCACCCAGGCTGGAGTGCAGTGGTGTGATCTTGGCTCACTGCAACCTCCGTCTCCTGGGTTCAAACAATTCTCCTGCCTCAGCCTCCTGAGTAGCTGGGATTATAGGCATGCGCCACCACGCCTGGCTAATTTTTGTATTCTTAGTAGAGGCAGGGTTTCACCACGTTGGCCAGGCTGGTCTCGAACTCCGGACCTCAGGTGATCTGCCTGCCTCAGACTCCCAAAGTGCTGGGATTATAGGCGTGAGCCACCACGCCTGGCCTAAAAAAAAACTTTTAATGGCTTCTAAATTGTTTGCAAAATGAAATTGAAGCCTGTCAGTGAAGCTGATGTTCTGTGAGCTGGCCTCTCCCTCCGCCCTCACTTCCCACCACTCGAGGCCTCCCCTTTCTGCTCCAACAGGAAGGAGTGGCCAGCTCTTCCTCCCCAGGCCCTGCCTCATCCAAACCTCTTGCCATGCACTTTGCTTTAGAGGCACCCGGCTTGCTTATCTTGTAAGACTCCATCCACCATCCAAGAGCCATTTTCAGGAAGCTACACAGGTGCCTACTTGCCCTCCACCACAGTGGGATGTGCCTGTCCTGCCTGCTCCCAGGACTCCTTGACTTTCTCTATCATTGTAACTCAGGACATTTTGTAGTAACATTTTGACACTTAATGTTATCAGGCTCCCCAACTGGTCTCCAAGCTCCTTCTAGACTGTGTCCCCATATAGGAAAAATATCATACATATTCGTTACTGGATGGATGGATGGATGGATGAATGGATGACTTGGTTCTTCTTCTAACCACTATTCCTGGTCCTGGCTTCCTGATAGTAACCACATGATTAGTTGGGTCCACGTACCTCTGATTCAAAATGTCTAAATAGGTTATTTATTCATAAATTTTTAAAAAATCAGAATGGGGTCAGGTGCAGTGACTCACACCTGTAATCCCAGCAATTTGGGAGGCTGAGGTGGGAGTTACTTAAACCCAAGAGATCAAGACCAGCCTGGGCAACATAGTGAGACCCTGTCTCTACAAAACAAAACAAAACAAAACAAAACAAAACAAAACAAAACCACACATACATACACAAAGCAAAAGCAAAAAAATTAGCTGGGCATGGTGGTATGTGCCTGTAGTCCCAGCTACTTGGGAGGCTGAGGTGGGAGAATTGCTTGAGCCTAGGAGGTTGTGGTTGCAGTGAGCTATGATTGCACCACTACACTCAAGCTTGAGCAAGAGAGTGAAAACCTGTCTCAAAAAATAAAAATAAAAATTTTTAAGTTGAAAAAAATCAGAATGGGAATTAGTTGAGAAGATTCAAAGCAACATTCTACATAAATTCCATATAAGACTGCCAAATAAAGAGGTAGACATTAGATTCTCCTAAGGGAAATGTGAAATCCAGAGGCTAAGGAGAAAGTTCCAGTTGACACCGTGTTGATTATGGAGTTTCAGCTCTCTCGTCATGAAGCTCCCCCTCCTCCCCTCACACTCCAAGGTTTTCCTGAGGCTCTGAGAGGCCAGCTACAGTCTCAGTGGGGATGAAGCTGCTTCTACTTCGTTTGTGATGGGAGTGAAAATGGCCCCAAAATCCCATTTCCCAGAGCTCTTTCTCTGACACTTGTAGAGAATCTTATGCAGAACTTTCTCCTGACCCCATGTCCTTTGGGTCAGCTGATGGCCTGTGAGATTGATAATCTAGCAAGTTTGGACATTCGTGACACTCTTGCTAACCCAGGTACGGAATGCTTAGAGAGGGAGTTTTCTGATCCTGTTCTGCTTCTGTGGAAGGCAGAGCAGCTTAGCCCATTGATATTCTGCAGGTGACTTTGATCTTGAATTCAGTTAATTGTGTGTCAGGTGATTACCCACACCTGTCAGTCAAAGCGCCCTGCTCCTTCCTCATAACCCATCATCCCTTTTGTTTCCTGGCATTCCAGATTCTTCCACTGCACACATTAACTCACAGACAGATGCCAGCATCGTGCTTCACCATATATATATATATATATATTTTTTTTTTCCTGAGATAGAGTCTCACTCTGTTGCCCAGGCTGGAGTGCAATGGTGCAATCTCAGCTCACTAAAACCTCTGCCTCCCAGGTTCACACGATTCTCCTGCCTCAGCCTCCCAAGTAGCTGGGATTATAGGCACGCACCACCCCAGCTAATTTTTGTATTTTCAGTAGAGACAGGGTTTCGCATATTGGCTGGGCTGGTCTTGAACTCCTGACCTCAAGTGATCCACCCACATTGGCCTCCCAAAGTGCTGGGATTACAGGCATGAGCCACTGCATCTGGGTGGTACGGCTGCCACCCTTACAGATTGTTCTATTATGTTATTACTGAACACTTGCCACCACAGCTTGCATAGGCGGCTGAGGTCACTCGGTCACCTGGTCAACAGCAGGCACATCTGCTGTTGGGTTTTACTAGGAAAAGAGTGGCTAGTTATGCTTTAATAATTTATTAAGAAGGTCATTGTGCTTTATAGAATGGCTTAACAAGCCAGGCGCGGTGGCTCACACCTGTAATCCCAGCGCTTTGGGAGGCCGAGGTGGGCGGATCACAAGGTCAGGAGATCAAGACCATCCTGGCTAACACGATGAAACCCCGTCTCTACTAAAAATACAAAAATTAGCCGGGTGTGGTGGCGGGCGCCTGTAGTCCCAGCTACTCGGGAGGCTGAGGCAGGAGAATGGCGTGAACCGGGGAGGCAGAGTGCAGTGAGCCGAGACCGTGCCACTGCACTCTAGCCTGGGTGACAGAGCGAGACTCCATCTCAAAAAAAAAAAAAAAAAAAAAAAAGAATGGCTTAACAATTACGGAGAAGAGAGAAAAAAAGAAGACAGGAAAGAAAGAGGAAGGGAGGAAGAAAGGGAGGTAATTCATATACAGAGAGAATACTTTGGGATCAAGGACTCTACTCAATTCTTTCCTGTAACTCTCAACACTCCTGGAAGGTAGAACCTGCTGTTCCCATTTCCCACTTTCCTTACCAGACACATAGGAACCCAGAGCTTGCCCTCAGCCTGGGCTTCAGGAGTAGGTCCCGGGCTCCAATGCACCATGTGGCCAGATTTGCAGAATGTAGGTCAAAGGGGAGAGTCCAAAGGTCAAATTCAAAGGACCCGAGAACAGGAGCAAAGGAAAGAATCGACAGCAAAGAAATTTTGGACAATGAGGATGCAGGTCAGGGGTGCTTAGAAAGAGTCCCAGAGGTGACGAAACAGCATGAGGATGCCCAGGGAGAGAATGGCAGGGCCTTTTGTTAAGGGCTTGCATCAGCTGGGTGTAGTGGGTCACACTGCGGTCCCAGCCAGTCAGGAGGCTGAGGAGGGAGATTTGCTTGAGACCAGGAGGTTAAGCCCAACTGGGACCACATGGTGAGACCCTGTCTGTATAAATAAATAAGAGTGGCCAGGTGCGGTGGCTTACATCTGTAATCCCAGCACTTTGGGAGGCCCAGGTGAGTGAATCACCTGAGGTCAGGGGATTGAGACCAGCCTGGGCAACATGGCGAAACCCCATCTTTACTAAAATACAAAAATTAGCCAGGTGTGGTGGCAGGTGCCTGTAATCCCAGCTACTTGGGAGGCTGAGGCAGGAGAATCATTTGAACCCGGGAGGCAGAGGTTGCAGTGAGCCTAGATCGCACCACTGCACTCCAACCTCAGTGACTGAGACTCCCTCTCAAAATAGAAATAAATAAATAAGAGCTTGCTTCAGAGCCTGGTGAGGGTGAACGCACTGGAGGGGCACTGGACCATTGCTGGAACAAATGAAGAAACTGAGACCCAGATGGCCTTGAATGGCAGCCCCAGACCATGTAGGTCACAAGGGCAGAGGTGGGATTTAAGGCCTGTTCTATCTGACCCCAAACCCATGACACCAACCACAGGTGGGGTGGCTGCCCTTGCCTTTGACACACTGCAGTCGGGGTGGGAAAATCTAGGAATTGGGAAGGGACAATTGGATATGAAATAAAGAAACTCAAAGTTAGAGAGGAGTTGAGTTTTCTTGTTTTGTTTGTTTGTTTGTTTTTTGAGACAGAGTCTTGCTCTGTCACCTAGGCTGGGGTGCAATGGCGCGATCTTGGCTCACTGCAACCTCCGCCTCCCAGGTTCAAGCGATTCTCCTGCCTCAGCCTCCCAAGTAGCTGGGATTACAGGTGTCCGCCACCACACCCGGCTAATTTTTGTATTTTTAGTAGAGACGGGGTTTCGCCATGTTGGCCAGGCTGCTCTTGAACTCCTGACCTCAAGTGATCCGCCTGCCTTGGCCTCCCAAAATGCTGGGATAACAGACGTGAGCCACCGTGCCCGGCCAAGGAGTTGAGTTTTCTTTCGGCACAAAACATCCAAGGACTGGGCGTGCAGAGGGGCTGGAAAGCCATGCAGGAGTTTTCTGTCTGTTCCCCTGTTTCAAGCCCTCCCGCTTCTCAGCTGCATTGACCCAGAAAGTACAGAATTCCTTTGGCGTTGACAGACCAACCCCAACGAATTCAACAGGCTTGGGAATCCAGGCATGTGTGATTCCCCGCATGGCCACAGGGTGGAGATACGTGGCTATCAAATCTCTATGTTTGGTTCCCAGGCAGAGTCAGGTCTACAAACCAGGGCTGGTGTTTGCCCAAACAGTAAACTTTAAAAACAAAGAAACATAATTGTGAGGTCATTTTCTAAACTGTGGATAATTCAGCCCTGAGTCATCTTTCTAAAAGGCTTGGGCTAATTAGAAAATGTCTTTCACCTCCTTGGACCAATTGTGAACATATTGATGATTAACCTAACATTATTTAATCCTCCGAATATCTATCATGTTGGCATTGGACATGCCAAGTGAGGCGCTGTATTTTGAAGGTGAACTTGGATTGTAAAACAAAGACAAGGCACAACTACGGGAAGGCTTCACCAGCTACTTTCAGAAAACACCGGAGTGGCACCTTTGTGTACCCGGCACATGCAGACAAAGACAGTGTCAGCAACCTGTTCTCAGATGGTTCTGGGGAAAAACGCATAGATAGAAACAGAGTAACAAAAAAGTGGCAAATTAAAAAAAAAAAAGGGTAAATCTGGGAAAATGACATACGGGAGGTCTTTGTACCTTTTCCACAATTTTTCCTTAAGTTTGAAATTGTTTCAAAATACAAGGTTTTTTTTTTCATTGTTGTTGTTTTTAATGCTAAGATCCAGAATTCCTAGATTCAAGGTTCAGATATTATCACCCAATGGAGTGGCATTTGTCATTTCAAGTAGCCTCTCTGGCCCGTGGCTCTTCTGTAAAATAAAGAAGGTGGCCAGGCATGGTGGCTCATGCCTATAATCCCAGCACTTTGGGAGATCGAGGCAAGAGGATCACTTGAGGCCAGAAGTTCGAGACCAGCCTGGCCAACATGGCGAAACCCTGTCTCTACTAAAAGTACAAAAAAATTAGCCGGGCATGGTGGCATGTACCTGTAATCCCAGTTACTGGAGAGGCTGAGGCAGAAGAATCACTTGAACCTGGGAAGCAGAGATTGTAGTGAGCCAAGATTGCACCACTGGACTCCAGCCTGGGTGACAGAGCAAGACCCTGTCTCAAATAAAATAAAATGAAATAAAATAAAAAAAGGCAATCTGTTGTCACTGCTGCAAAGCATTCTGTTGTGTGAATAAACCCCTCAGCTCACCCATTCCCTGAAAAAAACAAAAAGAATAAAGTGGAATGTTCTCTCTGCATGTGAATTACCTTCCTTTCTTCCTCTCTGTCTTTCTTTCCTTCTTTCTTTCTTCTCAGTAATTGTTAAGCTGTTCTATAAAGCACCATGGCCTTTTAAATAAATTATAAGAGGAGGCTGGGAGTGGCGGTTCATGCCTGTAATCCCAGCACTTTGGGAGGCTGAGGCGGGTGGGTCACCTGAGGTCAGCAGTTTGAGGCCAGCCTGGCCAACATGGTGAAACCTTGTCTCTACTAAAAATACAAAAATTAGTTGGGCATGGAGGCATGTGCCTGTAATCTCAGCTACTCTGGAGGCTGAGATGGGAGAATCGCTTGAACCCAGGAGGCAGAGGCTGCAGTGAGCCGAGATCGTGTCATTGTACTCTAGCCTGGGTGGCAGAGCAAGACTCCATCTCAAAAAAAAAAAAATTAAAATTAAAAAAGAGAAGCATAACTAGTCACTCTTTTCCTGGTAAAACCCAACAGCTCATGTGGCTGATCACAGAATGTTGAGGTGACCGAGTGACCTCAGCTGCCTATGCAAGCTGTTGTGGCAAGTGTTTAGTAATAACATATTAGAACCATCTGTAAAACACTGGAGTGGCCCCTTTCTGTACCCGGCTCATGCAGACAGAGACAGTCTGGCTGTACCAACCAGACTCGTAACTGTTTAACAGGTAAAGCACGACGCTGGCATCTGTCTGTTAGTTAATGTGTGTGGTGAATGAGTCTAGAATGCCAGTGAATAGAAAGGAGCAGGGAGCTTGGATTTACAGGGGTCCGTAATCTCCTAAGGCTCAATTAACTGAATTCAAGATCAAAGTCACCTTTGATATTTGAATAATCAATAATCAATTTGATTAAATATTACATAATCAATTTGGATAACTGATATTTGAAATAATATTTTTATTTATTCACCCCAATATTTATTTACCCCCAAAATATTATCAGGCTGGGTGCAGTGGCTCATGCCTGTAATCTTAACCTGTTGGGAAGCCGAGAGGGGAGGATGTCTTGAGCCCAGTAGTTTGACCAGTGTGGGCAAAAAAGTGAGAGTCCATCTCTAGAAAAAATCAAAAAAATTAGCCAGGCCTGGTGGCATGCGCCTGTGGTCCCAGCTACTTGGGAGGCTGAGGCAGACGGATCACATAAGTCTAGGAGTTTGAAGGGGCAGTGAGCCATGATCATGCTGCTGCACTCCTCCCTGGGACTATGTCTCAAAAAAAAAATGTATATGCACACACACACACACACACACACACACACACAAAGTCCTTCAGTCCAATAGGTACTCATTGTGTTATCAATGAGATAGTTGACATCCTGTCGTTTGCAGTAAGTCGTAGATTCAAAGCCCATTTCAGTTTGGACTGGCCGGTCCCGAGGGCTCCATGCTCACCTGTGGTTGCTGTACTGGGCAGCAGTGTCTCCTGCAGATTCTCTTGGCAACTCCAGGTCGGCCCAGCCCTGGGTCCCACCAGCTCGCGCTCTCTCCCCTCCCCATCTCCGCTTCAGGCCACCCCTTTTCTAGTCTGAGACGGGACAGTTTCCTCTGGCTCCTCATTATTTCCTCAAATCTATGGCTACTCAGGAGGCTGAGGTGGAAGGATCTATTGAGCTTGGGAGGCAGAGGTTGCACATGCCTGTGATCCCAGCTACTAGGGAGGCTGAGGCAGGAAAATCGCTTGAACCCAGGAGGTGGAGGTTGTAGTGGGCTGAGATCGTGCCATTGCACTCCAGCCTGGGTAAAAAGAGTGAAACTCCATCTCAAAAAAAAAATCAATACATTCAATACACTCCTAATAAAAAGGAATTTTTTTGAGGAACATAATAAGCTTATTTTAAAATGCATTCAATGGAATAAAGGTCTACAAATAGCTAATTCAACCTTTCTAAACTTTTACACTCTGCTTCCCTTATAAAACTGATGCCTTTAACAGTGCCCAAATCATCTCTTGAATGCTTTGCTGCTTAGAAGTTTCTTCCGCCGGATACCCTAAATCATCTCTCTCAAGTTCAAAGCTCCACAAATCTCTAGGGCAGGGGCAAAATGCCACCAGTCTCTTTGCTAAAACATAACAACAGTCACCTTTACTACAGTTCCCAACAAGCTAATTCAGCCCGGCTATTTTGTATTTTTAGTAGAGATGGGGTTTCTCTATGTTGGTCAGGCTGGTCTTGAACTCCCTACCTCAGGTGATCCGCCCATCTCGACCTCCCAAAGTGCTGGGATTACAGGTGTGAGCCACCGCACCCGGTCAAATATATTGATTAATTTGGGAAGACTCGACATCTTGGTGTCATTAAGTCACCTGAAGTAAGAGCCTAAAAGATCTCTCCATTTATTCAGATCATCTTCTGTAACCTTTATTGGAATTTTATTGTTCTCTCCATAGAGGTCTTATATAGTCTTGGTGATATGGTTTGGCTCTGTGTCCCCACCCAAATCTCACCTTGTGGCTCCCATAATTCCCATGTGTTGTGGGAGGGACCCAGTGGGAGATGACTGAATCCTGGGGGCGGGTCTTTCCCATGCTGTTCTTGTGATAGTGAATGGGTCTCATGAGATCTGATGGTTTTAAAAATAGGAGTTTCTCTGCACAAGCTCTCTCTTTGCCTGCTGCCATCCACACAAGATGTGACTTGCTCCTGCTTTGCCTTCTGCCATGATTGTCAGGCCTCCCCAGCCACGTGGAACTGTAAGTCTGTTAAACCTCTTTCTTTTGTAAATTGCCCAGTTTCAGGTATGTCTTTATCAGCATCGTGACAATGGACCAATGTAGTAAATTGGTACCAGTAGAGTGGGGTGCTGCTGTAGATACCTGAAAATGTGGAAGTGACTTTGGAACTGGGTAACAGGCAGGGGTTGGAACAGTTTGGAGGGCTCAGAAGAAGACAGGAAAATATGGGTAAGTTTGGAACTTGCTAGAGACTTGTTGAATGGCTTTGATCAAAATGCTGATAATGATATGGACAATGAAATCCAGGCTGAGGTGGACTCAGATTGAGATGAAGAACTTGTTGGGAACTGTAGTAAAGGTGACTGTTGTTATGTTTTAGCAAAGAGACTGGTGGCATTTTGCCCCTGCCCTAGAGATTTGTGGAGCTTTGAACTTGAGAGAGATGATTTAGGGTATCCGGCGGAAGAAACTTCTAAGCAGCAAAGCATTCAAGAGATGATTTGGGCACTGTTAAAGGCATTCAGTTTTATAAGGGAAGCAGAGTGTAAAAGTTTAGAAAATTTATGGCCTGACAATGTGATAGAAAAGAAAATCCCATTTTCTGAGGAGAAATTCAAGCTGGCTGCAGAAATTTGCCTAAGTAACGAGGAGCCAAATGTGAATCCCCAAGACAATGGGGAAAATGTCTCCAGGGCATGTCAGACGTCTTCATGGCAGCCCCTCCCATCACAGGCTTGGAGGCCTAGGAGGAAAAAGTGGTTTTGTGGGCCAGGCCCAGGGTTCCCCTGCTCTGTGCAGCCTAGGGACTTGGTGCCCTGCATCCCAGCCGCTCCAGCCATGGCTAAAAGGGGCCAACATAGAGCTTGGGCTGTGGCTTCAGAGGGTGCAAGCTCCAAGCCTTGGCAGCTTCCATGTGGTGTTGAGCCTGCAAGTGCACAGAAGTCAAGAATTGGGGTTTGGGAACCTCCACCTGGATTTCAGAGGATGTATGGAAATGCCTGGATGTCCAGGCAGAAGGTTGCTGCAGGGGTAGGGCCCTCATGGAGAACCTCCGCTAGGGCAGTGTGGAAGGGAAATGTGGGGTTAGAGACCCCACACAGGGTCCCTACTGGGGCACTGCCTAGTAGAGCTGTGAGTAGAGGGCCACCATCCTCCAGACCCCAGAATGGTAAATCCACTGACAGCCAGCACTGTGCACCTGGAAAAGCTGCAGACACTCAACGCCAGCCCATGAAAGCAGCTGGGAGGGAGGCTGTACGCTGCAAAGCTACAGGGGCAGAGCTGTCCAAGACCATGGGAACCCATCTCTTGCATCAGCGTGACCTGATATGAGACATGGAGTCAAAGGAGATCATTTTGGAAATTTAAGATTTGACTGTCCTACTGGATTTTAGACTTCCATCAGACCTGTAGGCCCTTTGTTTTGGCCAATGTATCCCATTTGGAATGGCTGTGTTCACCGAATGGCTGTGTTCACCTAATGCCTATACCCCCATTGTATCTAGGAAGTAACTAAACTTCTTTTGATTTTACAAGCTCATAGGTGAAAGGGACTTGCCTAGTCTCAGATGAGATGTTGGACTGTGGACTTTTGAGTTAATACTGAAATGAGTTAAGACTTTGGGCGACTGTTGGGAAGGCATGATTGGTTTTGAAACGTGAAGATAGGAGATTTGGGAGAGGTCAGGAGTGAAATGATATGGTTTGGCTCTGTGTCCACACCCAAATCTCATCTTGTAGCTCCCATAATTCCAACTTGTTTTGGGAGATGACTGAATCACAGGGGCAGGTCTTTCCCATGCTGTTCTTCTGATAGTGAATGGGTCTTATGAGATCTGATGGTTTTAAAAATGGAAGTTTCTCTGCAGAAGCTCTCTCTTTGCCTGCCACCATTGATGTAAGATGTGACTTGCTCCTCCTTGCCTTCTGCCATGATTTTGAGGCCTCCCCAGCCAGGTGGAACTGTGAGTCCAGTTAAACATCTTTCTTTTGTAAATTGCCCAGTCTTGGGTATGTCTTTATCAGCAGCATGAAAACAAACTAATACACTTGGTAAAAATTAATACGTCAGTTTTGGGTGTAGAGGGATAACTAGTAAGGTGGAAATTAAAGATTGCTATTTCAAGCTGGGCATGGTGGCTCACACCTGTAATCCCCACACTTTGGGAGGCTGAGGCAGGAGGATCACTTGAGTGCAGGAGTTCAAGACCAACTGGGCAACCTAGTGAGACCTCATCTCTACAGAAAAAAATAAACAAAGTTAGCCGGGCATGGTGGCCTGAGCCTGTAGTCCTAGCTACTCCAGAGGCTGAGGTGGGAGAATTGCTTCAGCCTAGGAGGTGGAGGCTGCAGTGAGCTGTAACCAAGCCACTGCACTCTCAGTGCACTCTGCCTGAGTGACAGAGCAAGATCTGTCTCAAAAAATAAATACATAAATAAAAAGATTGCTATTTCTTTTTTTTTCCTTTTTATTTATTTATTTTTGAGATGGGGTCTTGCTCTGTTGCCCAGGCTGGAATGCAATGGCATGATCTCGGCTCACTGCCACCTCCACCTCCCAGGTTCAAGCAATTCTCCTGCTTCAGCCTCCCAAGTAGCTGAGATTACAGGTGCATGCCACTGCGCCCAGCTAATTTTTGTATTTTTAGTAGAGATGGGGTTTCACCATGTTGGCCAGGCTGGTGTCAAACTCTTGACCTCGAATGACCCACCCACCTCAGCTTCCCAAAGTGCTGGGATTCAGCGTGAGCAACCATGCCTGGCCAAAGATTGCTATTTAAAGTTGCCATATGCTTGGCAATATCTATCAAAATTACAAGTGCACGGACTTTGAATTTCTCCAACTTTACCCTTCAGCTGTCTATGAAAATGTGCAAAATGGCATGTGTATGTCATGGTACAAACAATGGAATGTTATGGGATGTTCTGCAGCATTTATAGAAGAAGGTAAAATAATCTCCAAGATGGTTGTGACATGAAAATACTACTGTGCAGGAATGGTGGGAATGGGGAGGATATCCCCACATATGGGAATGGGGAGGAGCATATACATATAGGCCGTATATACATGGATATATGTGCAAATGATTAACTATCTCAGGGGAGAAACACAAGAAACTATTAACCTTGTTTATCTCTGGATGCCTGGTGACAGAAATAAAGGGACCAACTTTTCACTGTATATTCTCCTGTAAATTTTGAGTGTGGGCAGGGCATGGTAGCTCATGCCTATAATCCCAGCACTTTCGGAGGCTGAAGTGGGTGGATTGCTTGAACTCAGGAGTTCAAGAGCAGCCTGGGCCACATGATGAAACCCTGTCTCTACAAAAAATTAGCCAGGTGTGGTGGCGCATGCCTGTAGTTCCAGCTACTCAGGAGGCTGAGGCAGGAGAACTGCCTGAACCCAGGAGTTCGAGGCTGCAGTGAGCAATAATTGTGCCATTGTACTCTAGCCTGGGCAACAGATGAAGACCCTGTCTCTGGTTTGACAAAGATGGTTCTTCCCAGTGTCCTTTGGTATGCAGAGCATCCTGGAAGGGAGTTGGACAGTAAGACTTCCAGAAGACTATTGCAAGCCAGCCCGCTCCCTCCTGCTATGAGGCCTCCTTGGAGAATGGGGGTGGTCCCAACTGAGACTCTCTGGCAAGGAAATGACATGAAGGACTCCCAAGGGGCTGCCACCTTCCACAGGGCAAATGGTTTATACCGGGGAACTTATTCCACCACCAAGCCTTAGAGATTGACGGGGCAGGGGGCTGGGGCCAGCGTGTGGCTGTGGCTGCAATACCCTCCTGCCCCAGCCTCACCCCGCCACTCCACCCAGTTTTATTGTGGAGGTTGTGGTAGTTATAGCAGCCGGCATTGACAACCAACTGATAGCCTAGACATTTGCATTTTACAGAGGACTTACTTCTAATTGATAGAAATTTAGACCGAATTAAAGAGAAAATACTATTTCAGAGAATTAAAGTTCACTCCCATTGAGGAGAAGGGGTCCTTCGAACAATCCCCTGAGTCTTAGAGTCAGTCTGGTGCCACGAACCTCTGTGTTTTAAACCACCCTGTGGAATTCTGTCTCTGGAAACAGGAACCTGAGAAGGGTTACTGCAGATCAGGACTGAAACGTGACCGGGCTCAATTCAAGTGAAGTCAACAACTATTTCTGGGTTCCCCTCCGTACCAGGCACATGTCTAAGCCCCGACCCACATTATAGGCTTCATGGCAGCCTCACCTTTCAGATCCAGGAGTCCACATTGCACAACTCCAGGAGTTCAAGGCTGAGCAACACAGAGAGACCCTGCCTCTAAAAAAGAAAAATTAAAATGAAAAAATAAAAACATAAAGCTGTTGGCAGCTGCCACAGACTCAAGACAGCCTGGACAACTCTTTGCATTAAATTTCAAATCTCCCGACAAGAAAACTGCTGTGTTTTCCATCATGCAAACTGCCAGGCATGGTGACTCATGCTGTAATCCTAGCACTCAGGGAGGCCAAGGCAAAAGGATCGCTTGAGCCCAAGAGTTCAAGACCAGCCTGGGCAACATGGCGAGACCCCATCTTTACAAAAAAAAAAAATTCAGGCATGGTGGCATGTGTTTGTAGTCCCAGCTACTCAGGAGGGTGAGGCAGGAGGATCACTTGAGCCCAAGAATTCCAGGCTGCAGTGAGCTGTGATCGTATCACTGCACTCCAGCCTGGGGGACAGAGCGAGGCCCCATCTCAAAAAACACACAAGCAAACAGACATCATGGCAAGAAGCAGCTGTGACCCACCTTCTCCCACTCAGTGAGGACTTCTCTTAGGATGTCCCCAACCCACTGCACCCACAAGGCTTCTCTGCACTCATCTGGTATCAAAGCTGGGAGCTTTCTTTTGCAGAGGATTGCAGACACATAGCAGGCATTGTTTAAATAAGTTTTTACTTCTCCCTCAATAAGATATTTGAAACTGTTTTTATATTTCATATTAAAAATAAACCTAAGAGTCCAGAGAAACTTGCCACCAGTTCTGGAGCCATGAGCAATTCTCTCCTCCCTCTGGCCTCAGTTTCCTTGTCTGTGAGATGGGGAGAATCTTTGATCTTGATCTTTAGTGGGTCCCCCCTCCATGGCCCCCAGGTGAACAGATCTCCGCTTTGGCACTCTCTTCACTCTTCTTGACAGTTCTCCCCAACTCCCAAGCAATTCCAGACGTTCCTATGGGGCTGTGATTGACAAAGCTATTGGCAGGTGCCACCTACGTGAGCCACATCTTTTCCTGGAGCCACGCAGGAAGAAGCTTTGTCCTCCACACACAGAGCTGGGATGAAGCAGGGGCAAAGGGGAAAGAGGTGACAGGCACTGGTGGCTGGGAGTGCTTCCTGCTGCTCTCCGGAGCCCCCAGCCCTGCTGGCCCTCGGGGAAGCCAATCAAGCTGATGGCAACAGAGGGATGGCCTGGGAAACCCAGCTGCCTGTCTGTTGGTCACTGTTGTCGAGGGCAGGCTGAGAAGGACGTGGGCCAGGTATAAGGGAGCTGTCCCTGGACTTCCTGGGGCCCATGAGAGCTCCGATGGCGAGGCAGGACAAAAGCCTATGTCTTCCTTATCACACTGTAATCTGAATCTGGTTCCTCCTCCCGAGGCCTCTGAGCAGCTATCCTGTTGGTGTTAGAATCAAACACCACCGAGGCATAGTGAAGTTCTTCCCTGGGGGAGGCCTGCAGAGAGAAACCAAGAAACTGAAGACTTGGGAGAGGCAAGGGAAGAAAGGACCCCCAACATAGGATGGAGGAGGGAGGACACCTGAGGGGCTTTGGGGAGGCCTCACTGTAGAGGCTCCACTGTCCTGGCCTCTTTTTCTCTATGATCCTGTCCACCCAGCTGCTCCTCCCCAACTGGGCAAGCAGCAGCACAACATCCCCAGCATCAGAGGCAGGAGGCTCCGGGGGCTCCTCAGGGCTGACCCAGCCTGGTCCATTCTACAGGGAAGAAACTGAGGCCCTGAGACCTGGCTGGGCTCCCCCAAGACACCTCTGTGCTTCTCTTAATGAAATATTCTTGAGGCCAGGCACAGTGGCTCACGCCCTTAATCCCAGCACTTTGGGAGGCCAAGGCGGGTGGATCACTTGATGTCAGGAGTTTGAGACCAGCCTGGGTAACATAGTGAAACCCAGTATCTACTAAAAATACAAAAACTAGCTGGGCGTGGTGGTGGACACCTGTAATCCCAGCTACTTGGGAGGCTGAGGCAGGAGGATCGCTTGAACCGGGGAGGCGGAGGTTGCAATGGCCAAGATTGCACCACTGCTCTCCAGCCTGGCGACAGAGTGGGACTCTGTCTCAAAAAAAAAAAAGAAAAAAAGAAAAGAAAAGAAAAAAAAAGGAAAGTTCTCACAACGAAGCAGCCATGGATCCCTTTCTGCAGAGGACCCCTCGTTCTCTAGGTGGAGTTGAAGCCAGTACAGGGGTACTGCGTTGGCCCTGCAGCTCTGATTAACTTGCTGTACTGTGGGCATGAGTCCCAACTTGTACCAAGGGGGCTGGGAGAAGAGTAAGACCATGTGCCATCCACTTTAAATCATGAGACAACAAGTTAGAACAAGGCTGTTGCTGGTCCCAGGCCATGCAGCTTCGTGGACACAAGATCATGTCATGCAAGGAAGGAGTCAGGCTTGAGTGCAGGGGCGCTCAGAAACTTGGCCAGGAGCTGGCCGGGTGTGGTGGCTCAGTACTGTAATCCCAGCACTTTGGGAAGTCAGGGCAGGCGGATCACTTGAGGTCAGGAGTCCGAGACCAGCCTGGCCAACATGGTGAAGCCCCGTCTCTACTAAAAATACAAAAATCAGCCAGTGTAGTGGCAGGTGTCTGTAGTCCCAGCTACTCTGGAGGCTGAGGCAGGAGAATTGCTTGAACCTGGGAGGCAGAGATTGCAGTGAGCCAAGACTGTGCCACTGCATTCCAGCCTGGGGGATAGAGCGAGATTCCAAAGAAAGAAAGAAAGAAAGAAAGAAAGAAAGAAAGGAAGGAAGGAAGGAAGGAACTTGGCCAGGAGCCATCCAGGACCCTGGGCCCCCAGACCACCCTCATCCTCATGCAGACAGCTGGCGGGAGGTTGGGGAACGGTGCGGCTATCAGGGGACCCGGAAGTGGCAGGTCTGGATCCCCTCTTCTCCTGTCAGGTGCAAAACGGCGGCCTGGGGAGAACGGTACCAGGCTGGAGATATCCCAGGGAGTTGGGCCACTTTTCCAGGCAGACCAGCAACAATGTCCCCTGTCACCCTGGTGCCAGCCCTCCATGGCACCACACGACTTGTCTGAGGGGCCTCTTCAGCTCCCAGGCCTGGGGGCACTTTAAGCTTCCCTGCTGATGCTTACATCCCTCCCGATCCTCTCTGCCAAGTGACCCCCAGCTTCTGCTTGAACTCTCCCACTAGCAGGTGGGTCACGACCCAGGGAGGCAGCCCCCATCCCATCATCCCAGTTGAAGGTGGCTGCGCCCAAGGGTTGACCCACAGCGGGTCACAGACAAAAACCCGAAAGCAGAATTGATGTCAAAGAGATGATGAGACCAAAACAGTGAGAAGTCACAGGTTCTCAGCTTGGCTCACGATACACAGCAGGTGCTTAACCCATGCTGGACTTCACGGACTGTCAGAGCCATAGCTGCTGGCCACCCCCAAAAACCCCCCACCACAATGACACCAAGCCCTCCTAAGGACCTCTGCTCTGGCAAAATCTACACTTGCTCCATCTCCATGTGGCCCTGTCCCTGACAGGCACAAGATCACCAAGCCGACCCCTTCCTTCCCCTTCTGCCCACCCTCCCAGGGGTGCCCTGGCACAGCCCAGGGGCCGCATGCCCAAAAGCCGGGCTCCTGCACTTACCACAGTGCTGTATTCCACCTCCACCTCCCTTGGTGGTGCTGGCTTTTCCTGCAGAGGCCACATCAGCAGCTCCAGATTTGCGTAGTGCAGCTCACTCTGCGTGGCAGCCTGGGTGGGCAGGAGGTCCCAGGTGGGTGTCCACGGAGCCCTGCAGCCTCTGTCCCTGCGTCTCTGCATGTGTCTCCCCTTCCTCTATGCTCTGAGCACCTCAGCCCCCACCTTCCCCTTCCTGCCTCCACCCCACTCCGTCCAGTAGTTTAATGTTCCCCAGGTCAGCTTGGCTGGGAGGGCCTCCCTTCATTCCATTTGCCTTGGTGGGGAGGGGACAGGCTGGCCAGGACTCAGAACAAGACCTAGTGACCACATCTCCCAGCATCATTCGTCCTGCTCTGGGTGAGCTCCCCGCTCCATCCAACCTCCGTTGGCCGATGGGACTGTCCAACTCCCCAGCAGCCTCTGTACCCTCCGCCCAGCCACCTGATACACCTCCTGCTAAAGCCCCCTTACCTGCTTGGGGTTCTGGGACAGCTCTGAATGGTCACCAGCTAGAGACAAGAGGAGAGGAAGGAGGTTGAATCCCGGAACAATGGCCAGGATGGAGGACCTTACAAGCCTTCTGGGAAAAGGCCTTTCCCTAGAGACCTCAGCCCTGGGGACCTATCCCTTCAGGCCTGAAGCATGGTAGGAACTCAAGGGTTTGTTGAGTGAGTGAATTAGTGACTTAGTAAATGAATGAACGAGCACAGGATGAGTGAATAAATGGAGAAATAGAAAGATTCCAGCTGGGCCGGGTGCGGTGGCTCACGCCTGTAATCCCAGTGCTTTGGGAAGCCGAGGAGGGCAGATCACTTGAGGTCAGGAGTTCGAGACCAGCCGGGCCAATAGGGTGAAACCCTGTCTCTACTAAAAATACAAATATTAGCTGGGCATGGTGGCACACGCCCTGTAGTCCCAGCTACTTGGGAGGCTGAGACAGGAGAATCGCTTGAACCTGGGAGACGGAGGTTGCAGTGAGCTGAGATCATGCCACTGCACTCCAGCCTGGGCAACAGAGCAAGACTCTGTCTCAAAAACGAAAAAAAGAAAGAAAGAAAGGAAAGAAAGCTCCCAGCTGGAGGAGAGGGACCAAAACAAGCTCTCAACACGGGATCTCACACAAATGTTTCCAGGGGAGGAAGGATGCCACTGAAAAGCCCTGTGCATCTGGGGCTTAGGGCTGCATCAGACTGTGGGAAGTTGCTGGGGCCTCTGCTCCCATCCCCGTGCCTGAGGTCTGCCCTCCCAGACAGCCCACCTGCCTGCTGCCCCAGGCCGTAGGGAAGGAGGCCTGTCAGCCCCAGGGACGCCAGCTCAGGCTCACACAGCCCTTGGCTGCTGGCACCTGCTCTATAAGGGTGCTGCCTATGAGCACAGCCCTGTACACCCTAACCCTTTCACCCCAGGAGCCCGGACCACGTGGGCAGCGGGTGACACACACGCTGCTGATGCCCTTGGTTAGGTCCACAGCCAGGCAACCCCAGAGCCCACTGCACTGGATGCTGTGGGGATCTGTGGGCTCCTCCCCCAGAATTAAAGGGGAGGAGCCCACGGTTGGGAGACACAAGACCACGTATAGTGACGGGCTTGCTGAGCCACAGCTGACCTAATGGAGTGCGCAGCCGGGTACTCTGGGGTGCGAAGTGCCCTGCTTCCAAGTGCTGTGCGCAGGCACCACACTGCCCTCCCTGTCCCCACCTGGGACAAGTGTTCTGATGGGAAGGAGAAAAAGAGCTGGTGGGGAAGAGACAGGAGTTCAACGCCCGGGAAGGAGGGTGGTAGTGAGAAGGTTTGGGGGAGCCAGCGGTAGGGGAAGCTCACTGAAGGTAAGACCCAGTCTACCCCAGTCACAATGTTGTCCCCAGGGCCCAGCACAGGCCTGGCACACAGTAGGTGCTCAGGACAGCTTTGTTGTACGAATGAATGAACGACAAATGTGGGCTGGGGGAAAGAGTGGGGAGTAGGTGTGATGAGGCAGGTGTCAGGCTCCAGGCAGGGCAAGGGGAAGTCAGCCCCAGCCACACAGTCAGGGGATGGGGCACGGACTTGCAAAGCAGGGGACAGAGAGTCAAAAATGTTTGAATAGAAAGCCTTTATCTTGTTACTGAGGATGGGTTACAGGAAGCTTAAGACACCAGTAAACTCTGCGTCTGTGATTTTTAGAACATTTACTAGCTGGGAACATGGTACCATATGTTAAGTGCAAAAATGTAGGTTTAAAAGAGAATGAGTGGTATGAGGCCAATTTGTTAAGACATCGCAGATGCATGACTGGGTGTGGTGGCTCACATCTGTAATCCCAGCACTCTGGGCTTGAGCTCAGGAGTTCAAGACCAGGCTGGGCAACATAGTGAAACCCCATCTCTTAAAAAAAAAAATTTAACCATTAGCCAGACGTGGTGGTGAGCACCTGTAGTCCCAGCTATTTGGGAGGCTAAGGCAGGAGGATCACTGGAGCCCCGGGCAGTGGGGGGTCGAGGCTGGAGTGAGCCAAGATCATGCCACTGCACGCCAGCCTGGGTGACAGAGTGAGACTCTGTCTCAAAAAAGAGAAAAAAAAAGAAATCATAGATGCATTTACATAGGCATAGAAAAAAAGACTGGAAGGATATACCTCAGGGGCCAGTGGCTGGTTTTCTCTAGGTGGTGGGGTTTTTAGTTATCATCGATGATGGGGGATTTATTTCCTTCTTTGTGCTTTTGCTCATTTTTCAAACTTCCTACAATAATCACATACATCCTTTTCAAGGGGGGAGGAGGCTCTTTGAGGAGCCAGAGACTTTCTGGGTGAAAGGGCACAAAGGAAACCGAAAGGGGCTCAGAACTGAGACAACCCAGTGGCATCCACGTGGGTGCTGAAGTTTAGGATGGGATTACCAGAAAATGACACACACAAAGCAGATGGGAAAGAGGAAGTGGTTTTCTTCCCATACACCCTGCACAGATCTACTGAGGCTGATTTCTCCGCCAAAAGCCTGGGCGCCACAGGAGGCACTGGGGATATGTGTGAGCAGTGCCCCCCACCAAGCATGCAGCAGCTTATCCTGCAGCTATGGGACAGGATAACCCCATCTCTTCCCACCCCAGTCTCACTGCAGTCTTGGAAGGCTTTGGACAAAGATTCCCCTGAGAATCTTCTGCCTGTGGAATCTTCAACTCTCCGAACAGGGAGGAAGCTTCAGGCTTACACTTGACCTCGGCCAGGGATCTGCAATCTAGAGGACTGGTGGCCACACCTCCACTTGTTCCTCTGTTCCTGTGCTTATTCAATTTGCCTATCAGCTATTTATTGAGCATCTACTTACTGAGTGCCAAGAGTTCCTGTTCTCTCTTTTAATCTGAGCTCAGAGGAGGGCAGCTGGACTAGAGATTGCCTGGAGGCCCCTGGGGTGCCCGTTGCAGCTGGAGATACTGAATAACACATTAATTTGACAAATATTGGTTCTGTACCTCCTTGAAGCACATGCCTGTGGGAAGGCAGATGAGGACACCAGCAATGACAGTCTGGTTCCCAAAAGGCTGTGACAGCAGAGGTATAGCCAGGAGGGGCCCCAAGCCACTCTTTGGAGTCAAAGAAAAGGTCCCAGAGAAAAGAAAGTCTGAGGACCACTGTTGGAGTCCACTGGGAGTGAGCTGGGGAGAGGGGGCAGGGGAGGCCCTCCAGCCCAGAGCAAACCCAGAAGGAGAGGAGAGGCTGAGGTTGAGGCTGTCATTAAAGGAGATACAAGAAGTTGGTTTCCAGGGTGCGCGGATGGGGAGAGGGAGGTGGGTAGAGCCAGATCGTGGAGGGCAGTGACTCCTGTAGATACCTGGACTTTTTATGGTGGGGGAGACCATGCAAGGGTTTATTTTATCTTATAGACACGGGAGCCTTGTTGTGTTGCGCAGGCTGGTCTTGAATTCCTGGGATCAAGCAATCCTCCCATCTCAGCCTCCTGAGTAGCTGGAACTACAGATGCACACCACTGCACCCAGCACACCATGCCAGGGTTTTAAACAGAAGAGGGTCATTGCTTCATGGGGCAACCACCCTTGGCCTGGAAGTGGGAAAGCCTCCTGCTTGGGAGCCACCTCTCACAGCCTGTAACCACCACGCACAAGGATGCCTCCCATGGGACCTGCCCTGTAGGATCACCTAGGATGTGTGGTCTGGGTGTCACATGTCATAGCAATACTGTGGGACGTGGACATAGCTTTGAAGATGAGCGTCTGTGGTCAGGGTCTGACCACCCCAGGTGGGGCAGAGGGGTGTGGGGAGCCAACTCACCTTTGATCCATTTCTGAAACATCCTCCAGGCTAGCAGGGAGGCCCCCACCAACAGAAGCAGCAACAATGCCAGCAGGGAGAGGAGCAGCGGGAGCCTGGAGGAGGCACAGGATGGTAAGGGCGGGGCCAACTTGCCTTCTCCAACTTACTTTTTTATTTTTATTTTTTATTTTTATTTTTTGAGACAGGATCTGGCTCTGTTACCCAGGCTGGAGTGCAGTGGTGATCATGGCTCACTGCAGCCTTGAACCCCTGGGCTCAAGTGATCCTCCTGCCTCAGCCTCCAGCTACAGGCACAGGCCACCACGGCTAATTTTTAAATTTTTCGTAGAGACTCAATCTTGCTATATTGCCCAGGATGGTCTCAGACTCCTGAGCTCAAGCCACCCTCCTGCCTCAGCCTCCCAAAATGCTGGGATGACAGGCATGAGCCAATATACCTGGTCTCCTTCTCTAACTTTTTAAGTAGATAGATAAGGTCAATTAAAAAAAATAGACAGTATAAAGCCCCCTTTCTACACACCCCCCATTTACACATTCCCCAATTTCCCCACATACACACACGTGCTGTTCTTAAGAACCTTCCAGAGTTTCTTTATGTGTATACAAGCAAATACGAATGTACGGGATCTCCTTTCTCTTTCACACAAAGGAGGCCTCGTCTAACACTATTCTGGTTTTACTTAGCAATACATCTTAGAGGTCTTTCCACGTCAGTACATAAAGAAGTCCCTCACTCTTTCCTATAGCTGCAGGGTATTCCAACACATGGATAGACTGTGATTTATTTAAATGTTCCCACTGAATGGGCATTTCCCCAGTCCTTTGCAATGGTAAACGTTGCTTATAAATCGCCTTGCAGCTCCACCTTTTCACACCTGACCACGCAGCAGCAGATTGACCAGGAGGCTGATGCAGCCCAGCTTCAGGTCCCTCCATTGCTTGGGCCCTTTCCTTCATGCCTACGTTTGCATTCATAATTTTCTCATCTTTTTCTTAGATTACCCACCCACCAACCCACCCCGCAAACTGCACAACCTTCAGGCCCCACAGAACTCAGCGCTGCCACCTATGTGTATCTACAGGCTAAACTTCTGGAAGTGGCATGTTCAAGCCTGAATTTTGCCTTGTCTTATATGTTGGCAGAAGCCTGTGGAGGGGTTTATGGATGTTGTCCAGTAAAGAATCTGGCTGGCCTTTGTCCCTAGCTCTTAGGAGGGAGGCTCTAAATCCTTGGAATGTCCCAAAAATTAGGAGTGTCTTTGTTGTTCATGAATCACACCTGGACTTTGGTAAGAGATGAGACAATAGGATGGGGCTGGTCACCAGAAAGACCAACTACGTAATTAGAGATTTGGAGCCCTGAGCCAGCCCAACCTCCCAAAGAGGGACTGGAGGTGGAGACAGTTCAATCACATCATGCCTATGTAATGAAACCCCAATAAAAACTCTGGACACCAAAGCTTGGAGGAGCTTCCTGGTTGATAAATATATTGAGGTGCCGCAGGGAGGGTGCAGGTGATGCTCCCTGATTCCACCTGGAGAGGGCACAGAAACTGTTTGGGAATCCTCCCAAGCCTTGTCCTATGTGTCTCTGCATTGGCTGGTCCTAATCTTTATCCTTTATCCTTATGATAAAACTGTAATTGTAAGTATAATGCTTTCCAGAGTTCTGAGTCTAACAAATTATTGAACCTGGGGGGGTCCTGGGAACCCCCAAATTTGCATCCAGTTGGTCAGAAGTGTGGTGGCCTGGGGATCCCCAAAGTTCGACTGGCATCTAAATCAGGGCGGTCTTGTGGGATCTGATTTAGATGTGGAAGCTCTTCACCTGTGGGGTCTGCACTAACTCTGGGTGGATAGTGCCAGGATGGAATTGTGGGGTTTTGTGCTAGAATAGGGAGTCCGTGAATCCCAGAAAAGGTTTGTGACTGCATGTGTTTTTCTGGGGAGAGTGTCCATAGATGTCAGATTCTATGTGGGGTTGGTGAACCCGAAAAAGGTTAAGAACCACTATTTAGAGAGGAGAACTCAAGGCTCTGGAGTCACATAAACCAGAATTGGAAGCTTAGCCTTAGCCTCTTGTAGCTACTTGACTGGGCAAATTGCTTCACCTCGCTGAGTCTCAGTTTACTCATCTGTAAAATGGGGATTGATGTGGGTTGGCTGGGTCCCCACCCAAATCTCATCTTGAATTGTAGCTCCCATATAATTCCCACGTGTTGTGGGAGGGACCCAGTGGGAGATAACTGAATCATGGGGGTGGTTTGCTCCATACTGTTCTTGTGGTAGTGAATAAGTCTCACGAGGTCTGATGGCTTTATAAGAGGAAACCCCTTTTGCTTGGTTCTCATTCTCTGTCTTGCCTGCTGCCATGTAAGACATGCCTTTTGCCTTCTGCCTTGATTGTGAGGCCTCCTCAGCCATGTGGAACTGTGAGTACATTAAAACCTCTTTCTCATTATAATTTATCCAGTCTCGGGTATGTCTTTATCAACGGTGCGAAAACAGACTAATACACGGAATGACAACAGTACAGGGCTGCAGTGAAAGGCAAGTGAGAATACTCATGTGAAGCATCTAACACGGGCCTCGTAGGATGTTACCAGCTGTCAGTAACTATCACTTTCCTTCCATCTGCCCCCCAACTTCCCCCCTACCTGAGCCCCCTTCCAAAGCCAAGGGCAGGTCCAAGCCGGGGTGTTCAGACTATGGCTTCCAACCTGGGCCTGGGGCAAAGGGAGCGATGCACACCTCCAGCTGGCCCACATGGCCAAGGTCCCCGCCCTGGGCTCCTCCTCTTAGCACAGGGCCCCCTCCATGTCTCAGGGGCTAGGGTGCTTACTGTGAGTTCACCACCTCCTCAGTTTCCTCCTGGATGCTGGCACTGTGGGTGGCACCCACTGCAAACAGGGTAGTGGATGATACAGGTGGAAATGCAGTTGTGATTGTTGAGGTCTTGGCCGCAGTGATACTTGCAGGTGTCATTGACGTTGATGCTGGTGGCAAAACCACAAGTCAGACCCAGGGAGCTGTCCTCTGGCTCTCCCACCACTCAGGATGCCTTTTTGGTTTGATTTCACACAAACTGCCCACTAAGGAAGGGGGCAGGATGCAGGACCCTGGGGCTAGAGTCTCTCCAGGACCCTCCTGGGCCAACTGGGCATTTCTGAACAGGACACGGGTGCCACTCCCAGTGGTCCTGATTTTCCATCCTGCTGATGAGGGTCCAGGTGCTCCTGCGAAACTCCATGCTGCAGAGGAGTCTGTCTACACTGCAAATCTGACCTGTCATGTGGTAAGGCTCCCCCTGAGGACAGCAGCTTCCCATCTGGCCCCCCAGCCTCTCTGTTCAGCCCCACCCCTCCCCCACTCAGCTGCACTTCCGTTGGGGCTGAGCCACAGGTGCGCTCCTGGCTCCTTCACAGGCAACGCTCTCTCAGCCTCCCTGTCACTGGACCCTTCCCTTCTTCAATACTGGGCAGACATGTCAGCTGCTCCAGGAGAGACCCCCTGACTGTGTTCCCCTGGCCCCCACCTCTCTCTCTCTTACGCACACACACACACACACTGTCTGCTTCACGTCTCTGATCTGATTCCTGCCCCAACAATTCCAACCTGAGCCTATTTAGGCGCTGAGGGAAGGAGGGGCTCACCCGGGAACACGGACACCTCAACCTCGACAACGGGATCATGAAAGTCTCGGAGCCATGGTGTATCCACCCCACACCAGTAGGTGCCTGCATCCTCCTCTGTGAGATTCTCCAGGGTCACTGTGAAGCTGAGGTTTGCAGGACTGTCCCTGATGGACACTCGGCCGTTCCTTTTTCCTGCTGACCCTTTGGTCTCCACAATCTTGTCACATAGGAAAATCTGTGGTGGTCTGCACCAGTATTTGTTGAGGGTCCTGTGTTCCTTCTCATAGGGACACTGCACACTCAGGGATCCCCCCACGGGGCCCGCCACGGTCCTGCATTTGCTCAGAGCAAAACATCCTGGAAAACACAAGCCAGAGTCCCAGCTCCTCCTCAGATGAGCCTGGTCAGGGGTGCCCTGGGGTCAGGGCCGCATGGACCCTGGGGGTGTGGAGGAGGCAGCGGCAGGCAGAGAGGCCTTGTCCACCCAGGAGCGGGGACTGAGGATGAGAGGCTACCTCCGCACACAGGTGGGAATGGGGCAGAGGCTTTCCATGGAGACCGGAAGAGCTCAGGCTGGGTGCCCTGGAGTCACCTCCTCCAAAGATTCCCCGACTCCACATCAGCACCCCCAGCCCTCAGCCCCTGACTCCTTCACCTCATATCAGCCCCATCAGCCAGATCACAGCTTGAGTATTCTCTTTTCTGCTCTACCACCCTCAAGATTTTGCTCATAGTAGCCCCTTTCTCCAGCCCCCTGCCTCCTTTCCCTTACCCTTCCCACCCCTCTCACCCACCAGGGGCCTCCTGCTTCCAAACCTGCCAGGAGCATGAGAACTCACCCCTAAGCACCTGCACTCCCGGGAGGGCCACCCCAGCCCTGGGCAACCCTGCAAGAGGAAGACCGGCCCACACACTGATCTGGTCCCACCAAGGGGCAAACCCGGGCAGTAATAGGGTTGTCAAGCCATTTTGACAAGAATACTGGCTGGGTACAGTGGGTTATGCCTGTAATCCCAGCACTTTGGGAGGCTAAGGTGGGTGGATCACTTGAGGCCAGGAGTTCGAGACTAGCCTGGCCGACATGGTGAAACCCTGTCTCTACTAAAAATACAAAAATTAGCTGGGCGTGGTGGCATGCGCCTGTAATTGCAGCTACTGGGGAGGCTGAGGCACAAGAATCGCTTCAACCCTGGAGGCGGAGGTTATGTTGAGCTGAGATGGCACCACTGCACTCCAGCCTGAGTGACAGGGTGAGACTCTGTCTCAAAAAAAAAAAAAAAGAGTCACAAACGCAGAAGGCTTGCTGACGAAAACTTTCATCCTGTGTCTTACCTTAGTTTGCCCAGCTCTCCTAGACTTAAATCTCGGAAATAAATGAACTTCCTTGAAAATTATGTCTGACATTTTCCCAAATAATTATCAGATGCAAAGCAAGGAGAGTAAGGTGATGGCTCGAAGCTAGTGTTGGCTGCCAAGCAGAGGACACATGGCCCCTGCCCCAGGCAGATGGGCACAGGCCTGCTGGGCAGTTGTGTGTGCAGTGTCTCAATGCCCTTGTAATTCTGTGATTAGGCCCCATATTGTTCAAGGATGGTGGGGATGGGGGCTTGCTCTTCTTTCCTTGGGTTAGAACTCTTTGATTTTTTTTTTTTTTTGAGATGGAGTCTTGCTCTGTTGCCCAGGCTGGAGTGCAGTGGCGGGATCTCGGCTCATTGCAACCTCTGCCTCCCGGGTTCAAGCGATTCTCCTGCCTCAGCCTACCGAGTAGCTAGGATTACAGGCGTCCACCACACCCGGATAATTTTTGTGTTTTTAGTAGAGACAGGGTTTCACCATGTTGGCCTGGCTGGTCTCGAACTCCTGACCTCAGGTGATCCACCTGCCTCGGCCTCCCAAAGTGCTGGGATTACAGGCATGAGCTACTGCGCCTGGCCAGAACTCTTTAATTTTACTTACTGTTTCAGATGCTAAATCTCCTCACACATGAGACTTTGGTAGGGGTCTCCTTCTTATACCTTCAACGTCTACAGGTGCCTTGCACCTGTAGGCCCTCTACAAAAACTTCAGTGCAAGCTTCTCCTGGACCCCACTAGCTCCACACCCAGCCCACGGCTGCCCAAAGATAAGCTCCTCTGTGCCTCTCCCAGAGTCCCACCCAAACCTCTCCACGCCTGGATGTACACATCCCCCTGCAGAGAAGGCCTTTCTAAGCTTGTCACAGGTGTGATGCTTCCTGAGGCTCTCAGCAGCAATTGCCAGGACAAAGCAGAAAGATCCTCAGAACCATCTGCGTTTACATCTCTACCCTATTACGTATCAGCTGTGTGTTCTGGGGCAAGTTAGTTAACCTCTCTGAGCTTCAGACACCTTGTCTATAGAGTGGTGACAATTGTCCCTGACTCATATGGCCTTTGAGGGTGTTAAATGAGATCACAGGTATAAAATGCCTGGTAAATAACATTAGGTTGAATCACATGAAATGGCTGATATTAAACTTTTTGACCAAGACAACAGGGTTTCACATGACTCCAGCTAATAAAAATAGATAACCTCTGGGCTGACTAAATAAGACATGACAAGAGAAAAGGACCATAGATGAAGAAAGAATGAAGAGTCAAGATATTTTGCAGAAATTCTCTACATAAAATTCATAAACTTAGATGAAAGTTATTTTCTAGAAAAACACAAATCACTAAAATTGACACATATTAAGTACTTAATAAGTAAATGGAGCCTGGGCAACATAGTGAGATTCCATCTCTACAAAAAAATACAAAAATTAGCCAGGTGTGCTGGTGCACACGTGTGGTCCCAGCTACTCAGGAGGCTGAGGTGGGAGGATCATTTTAGCCCAGGAGGTTGTGGCTGCAGTGAGCTATGATCGCATCACTGCACTTCAGCCTGGGTGACAGAGTGAGACCCTGACTCAAATAAATAAATAGGCCAGGTGCAGTGGCTCATGCCTGTAATCCTAGCACTTTGGGAGGCCAAAGTGGGAGGATTGCTTGAGCCTTAGGCATTTGAGGCCAGCCTGGGCAATGTGGTGAGACCCCCATCTCTACCAAAAACACAAAAAATTAGCCAGGCATGGTGGCACGTGCCTGTATTCCCAGCTACTCAGGAGGCTGAGGCGGGAGGATCACTTGAGTCCAGGAGGTGGAGGTTGCAGTGAGCTGTGATCACACCACTGCACTCCAGCCTGGGCGACAGAGTGAGACTCTATCTCAAAAAAAATAAATAAAAACTGTCAGTTCCCAGCCCTCCTTCACCCAAGACACTGTTCCTGCTCCCTGTCCTGACCCGATTCCCTGCCTCTCCTGGGCTGCGAATCGTCATCTTTCTTTGTCCATGTTTTGGCTTCTCTCCTGACCTCAGTGACCCCACCACCTCTGCCCACTGCACCCAATCCTGTCTCTCGTCCTACCTCCAGTGTCTGACTTCCCTTCGGATTTAGTTTCTTTCTCCCTCTCTCTCTCTCCCTCTAGCTCTCTCTCTTTCTCTCTCTCCTGATTAACTTCTCTTCTCTGAAATCTTGGATAAAAAACTGTCACCCAATCATCTCCCCAAAGCTCTGTTCCACCTGTGAGGGTGTCATTATAATTTAGAGATTGCGAAGTGTCAGAAAACCCTCCATTTACTTCCCCACTTACCTGGAACGATCACATGGATCCCCAGTGCTCCCAGGCTTGTGTTTCTGCGCTTTCTCTCTTCCAACCTGAATCACCACCCCAAACCCCTCTAATCATAAACAGGAGACTGGGGACCACCTTGGGGCCAGGGTCCTCTACCAGGATATTCCTCTGTCGTCTTAACGTTTTCCTTGAAGATCACAGAATCTTGACCCATTAACTCTCAGGTAAATGACTGAATTGTCCAACTCAAGAGGTCAGAAGAGGAACACACACACCCACACACAACACAGAAAGAACCAGGTCATCTTTCACGAACTGGTGAATTCACAGAAATCAGTGAATTAAGAAACAGAAAAACAGTGGAGTTAGTATATACATTAATAAATGGATTTTTTTGTAAGGGGTAAATGATTAATTATTTTATTTCATTTTTTTGAGACAGAGTTTCGCTCTTGTCGCCCAGGCCAGAGCTCAGTGGCATGATCTCGGCTCACTGCAACCTCCGCCTCCTGGGTTCAAGTGACTCTCATGTCTCAGCCTCCCGAGTGGCTGGGACTACAGGGTGCACACTACCATGCCTGGCTAATTTTGTGTTTTTAGGAGACACGGGGTTTCACCATGTTGGCCAGGCTGGTCTCAAACTCCTGACCTCAAGTGATCCACCCGCCTTGGCCTCCCAAAGTGCTGGGATTACAGGCGTGAGCCAACGTGCCTGGCCTCAAACAATTAATTAGACTAGTAGGTAGTCAGACCAAAAATAAAGAAGACGCAGATATAAAATTCAAAAGAAAAATTTGCAAATCTCTGCAAATAAGTCTGCAAACCTGGGCGACACTGATGATTTTTTAGGAAAATATAAATCATCAATGTAGGCCAAGAATAGACTTTTTTTTTTTTTAAGAGACGGGGTCTTGCTTGCTATACTGCCCAGGCCAGTCTCGGACTCCTGGGCTTAAGCTATCCTCCCACCTCAACCTCCTAAAATTCTGGGATTACAGGTGTGAGCCACTGCACCCAGCTAGATTTTTTTTAATGTAGACCAAAAATGATGAGTGTTATTAAGAAATTCTTTCCCTTCCATCAAAAAAAAAGAAGCAAAACTCAGACAGTTTTACAAGCTAGTTCTCTAAAAACTTCAAGGAACAAATAATTTCAATTTTATGTAAACATTTGCAGAGAACACGGAAACAGGGAGATCTCCCTAATTCTTTCCATGAAGCCAGCATAATAAATCAAGACAAACATCTGACCAGATCTCCTAATGTAGTTCACCTCCTTCATAGCTGAAAGGATAATAATAATAATAATTTCTATAAATAATAAAAATGGTATTTTGTGGGGGCCGGAGGCCAAGGCTGGCAGATTGCCTGAGCTCAGGAGTTCGAGACCACCTTGGGCAACATGGTGAAACCCCGTCTCTACTAAAATACAAAAAAATTAGCCAGCAGTGGTGGTGGGTGCCTGTAAGCCCAGTTATTCAAGAGGCTGAGGCAGGAGAATCACTTGAACCCGGGAGGCGGAGGTTGCAGTGAGCTGAGATCAAGCCACTGCACTCCAGCCCTGGGTGATAGAGTGAGATTCTGTCTCCAAAAAAATAAATAAAAATAAAATAAAAAATGTTTTGTAGGGGCCAGGTGTGGTGGTTCATGCCTGTAATCCCTGCATTTTGGGAGGACAAGATGGGAGGATCCCTTGATCCCAGGAGGTGGAGGCCAGCCTGGGCAACATGGTAAGACCCTGTCCCTAAAAAAAATTAAGAATCCAGCTGGGTGTGGTGGCACACACCTGTAGTCTCAGCTACTGGGGAGGTTGAGGTGGGAGGATCACTTGAGCCCGGGAGGTGGAGGCTACAGTGAACCGTGATTGCACCACCGCACTCCAGTTTGGGTGACGGAGGGAGACCCTGTCTCAAAAAAATAAAAATGTTGGCCAGGCTTGGTGGCTCACGCCTGCAATCCCAGCACTTTGGGAGGCCAAGGTGAGTGGATCACCTGAGGTTGGGAGTTTGAGACCAGCCTGACCAACATGGAGAAAGCCCATCTCTACTAAAAATACAAAATTAACCAGGCATGGTGGTACATGCCTGTAATCTCAGCTACTCGGGAGGCTGAGGCAGGAGAATCACTTGAACCTGGGAGGCGTAGGTTGCAGTGAGCCAAGATCGCGCCACTGCACTCCAGCCTGGGCAACAAGAGCAAAACTCCATCTCAAAAAATAAATAAATAAATAAATAAATAAATAAATAAATAAAAGTAAAAATGCTTTGTGAATAGTCATTGGTGGATCCCTTCTTCCTAATAATGAGAAGCTCTGGTCCTTTTTCCCTGAGTCAGCAACAAGGCAGGGACAACCACTACCACTATGTCCGCTGGGCCTCACTCCGGCTGTACCAGCCAATGAGTCAATGGGAGAAAGAGAAACAGATATTAGACAGGAACTGAAACCTTCCCATGCACACCGACCCTATGAAACAGAAGAACACCCAAGAGAATCGCAGGAGCACCTGTTATGGGAGGATGACCCGTTTCCAAGTCAAGACACCAAAAGTAATAACCTTCCCACAGACAAGTAGTTAGCAAATATAATTGCAGAAAACCTCCGATCTGTAAGGAAAGCAACCACAAAGACGTACAATACCCTAGGACTAGGCCTGAGGAGTCTGCACAGGAGCTGTCTGAGGAGAGCGGTGGACGTGACTGAAGGCACAGCAGGTGACTCTGCGGGAGGAATCCCTGCGCTTGGACAGGGAAGACTCAACTCCACGCTTCTCCCTAAAGAAGATCTCAGCGCTTCTCTGCCCGATCTTTTCCCTCCTCGCCCTCCCCACCACCTTTTCTGTCCCCTCTGTCCCATATCCCCTTCTTGGAGAGGACTGACCCCTGGTTCTCAGGCCCATGCAGGGGCTAACCCCAGCCAAGGCTGCCTCGGGACTTCCCCCTGCTCAGGCCCCAGCCGCTGGGCTGCCCTGGTTAAATCTCCGCATTCCAGAGACTATCGATCTGCTCCCCACCCCGACCCTATCTCCCTCACCGCCCCACCCCCTCCTCCGTACCCTGCACCTAGTGAGGCCGGCATCTCCCCCACCCTCCCCACACCCCCCTCCTCCATACCCTGCACCCAGTGAGCCCGGCATCTCCCCCACCCTCACCACATGCCCCTCGCAGTCAGTGGCTGCCACTCTCCACCCACCCTGACACATCCTGCCTCTCGTCCCCCTTCCTGTAAGAATTCAACTGAAAACCTAAAAGGTCCCTTTTCTGCACCCACCCCTTATCACTTGCCCCGCTGTGGTTCAGCCAAGGTACGTGGGTGCAGAGCCGGGAGAGGCCCTGGCTCCTTCCTCTCCCAGGGGTGTGGACCTTCATCTGTCCATCTTATGTGGTAGACAGAGCGCACCGCATTCTGCGTTCTGCACGGAGTCCAGACTCGGGGCGTCTCGTGTGATACCTGCCCTGCGGCCCTGCCCCTCGCACCCTCCCTCCCTGCCGCAGACTTTCCCGGGAAGGGAAACTCTCACCTGGGACCCAGAGAAGCAACAGAGCCCAAGGCAGCCACATGGTCCCTTCCCCAGCACAGGCGGCACTTGCAGCAGCTCCAGGCCCTACCTGGACCCGAGGGGAAAGTCACGCCTCCAAGGCCCCGACTTCTGCTTTTCTTGGTGCCGCGCTGCTTCCTTGTTCAGCTTCTTTTGGTTCTATTCCTGGAGCCGGTCAGAAAATGCAGGAAGCTGGTGAGCCCCGACTAAGACTCCCTAGAAACGGCACGTCCTCCTTAACGCTGGTTGAGGCTGCAGGTTCTTCGGCTATTTCTAGTGATGAGACCTCTCCCTGTAGTGACTCCGTAGCTTGCAGGACTGATCCCCGACTCTCACTTCCCCGGGTCTCCTCCTAGTGGAAGGCCCAATAACTCCTCCCTCCTTTCCTTGTGGTCAAGGTGGGCAACCCTGGGGGTGGGACCCGCTGAGCTGGCTCCTCTCACCCTCGGTGGTGCCCACGAGGAGGCTGCCAGGGGGAACTCCCCTTTCCTGAGTCCCTTCCCTGAGTCCCTTGGAGGTCCAGGCCTGGGCTTCGGGGCTGAGGGAAGGGGAGTTGTCATCGTGACTCCAGAGTCCCTGAATGGTTCCTAGTCTTGGAAATGTGTCCTCAACTTGACACAGAGGTCCTCCGGCCATGCCTTCCTTTCTATATAGCCCCATTGGAGCCAACTCGGGGCTGGGCACAGAGCAGGGACTCAGCGAGCCTGCAAGGACCCCTTTCCTGATCCACACAGAGTGCAGACTCTAAACACACACACGCTCACACTCACATACACACTCACACCCACACACACTCACCCACACACATTCACAAACACACACTCACATACACACACTCACACTCACCCACACACATTCACAAACACACACTCACATACACACTCACACAAACACACTCACCCACACACATTCACAAACACACTCACATACACACTCACACAAACACTCACCCACACACATTCACAAACACACACAAACACACTCAGCCACACACATTCACAAACACACAAACACACCCACACATTCACAAACACACTCGCATACACACAAACACACATTCACACACCCACACACATTCACAAACACACACTCACATACACACTCACATGCACACATATTCACACACACCCACACATTCACACTCACACATACACACAAACACATTCACAAACAAACACGTTCATGCACATACACTCACATATACACACTCACACACACATTCACAAACACTTTCACAAACACATACACACACGTACACACAAACACATACACACATTCACAAACACGTTCATGCACATACACACACACACACAAACATTCACACACCCACACACAAACACACACAAACACACTCACACTCTCACATACACACACACTCACCCAAACACACTCACATACACACACATTCACACACACCCACACACATACACTCACACAAACACATTCACACACCCACACACATTCACAAACACACACATACGCACACATTCACAAACACACGTTCATGCACACACACATATACACACACACAAACACACAGGCACTCTCACCCACACACATTCACAAACTCACATTCACACACAAACACAAATTCACACACACTGATACAAACACACATACACATTCACACATTGAAACACTCAAATTCACACAACGCACTTACATATACAACTGAAATACACTCACACATTCACACACAAACTCACACACTGACACATTCACACACAGTGACATACACTCACACACACACAGTCTCACACACGTGCCTTGAGTAGGTGCCCCAGCTTGCACAGAATGACCAGGTGGGCACAGGAAATGCCACTCCTAATGTGTAATGCGTCACCTGGGAGCTTGCAGTCCCCAAGCTCAGAGTGTCCACCCACATGGAGCCCTGTGCCAGCTATGGGATCCCAAGAATATCCTTCCCTCTGGCCCTTTTTGGAATTTGTCACTTTCCTCTTCCTTCTGAACACAGGGGCGCCTTGCCCACGAAGGTGTCAGGAAGCCAAGGAGACCTATGGGCTCTGCTGCTGGAAGATTCAATGACAAAGCCTGGTGGACATTGTGGAAATTTTCATGATGATGCAGTCATAGATTAACTAAACCTCATTAAGATCCAAGACACTTCGGGCCGGGCGCGGTGGCTCACTCCTGTAATCCCAGCACTTTGGGAGGCCGAGGCAGGCGGATCACGAGGTCAGGAGTTCGAGACCAGCCGGGCCAACGTGGCAAAACCCTGTCTCTACTAAAAATAAAAAAAATGTGGCGGGCACCTGCAATCCCAGCTACTCGGGAGGCTGAGGCAGGAGAATCGCTTGAACTCGAGAGGCAAAGGTTGCGGTGAGCCAAGATCGTGCCATTGCACCCCAGCCTGGGTGACAAGAGCAAGACTCCGTCTCAAAAAAAAAAAGATCCAAGACACTTTGGATCATGACACTGTTGAGCTGAACATAAAAATGCAGGAGATGTGTCATATTCGGTGGCTTATGTGGCCTGATCATTGCAAAGTTTCTCAAAAATTATTTTTTGATTCAACCATGACCAAAAAGGCGCTGCTGCAATCTTGAACGTCCAGGCCAGACAGAGAAGCAGAAGGCTAAGTTCTGGCGTGGCTTGTCCACTTACCACCGAATGAACTTGAGCAAAGCCTGTGGCTTCTGTAAAACGTCAATAATGACAGCTCCTCTGTGGGAATAAATATTATTATGATTATACAAATACTGAAATGTCAGTGTTCCTTAACATCCTCAGGTCAGTTTTTTCTGAGGGAATATATCTCTACTTTTGATGAAAGGTAATAGGAAAATTGGATTCCACAGGAAGTGCGCTTTACACTTTAATCTATGGGATGCAATTCTCCTTAGGCACATAGAGAAACACCTGACTTACTGCAAAGGAGAAGGGATCAGGGGACTTAGACCCTGCCACGCCCATCCTGCTCACCCCATCCTGTCCACAAACCCAAAGGAAGAAACAAAATGGTGCAAAATAACCACAAAACATGAGAGTTTTTTGCCGGAAGTTGCACATTCCGGCTGTGTCCCGATAACCATCAGGTGACATGACTCAGGGGGAGGAGGAGATGAGGCCACAGGGCTGAGGCCCATTTCCCAGGGGTGAGGGTGAGAAGTGGTCCCACAGCAGCCACAAAACTTCTGATCAGCTCTGGAGTCTCTTCCTGGTGTGGACACACGTGCTCAGAGGCCAATGAGGGGTGCTTTCTGGGAAGACCTGCAGCAGCAGCATTGAGTCCTGTGAACCACCCAGTCCTCAGAAAAGATGTGGGGAGTGGATGGGCTGTAGTTTCTCAGCAGAACTTCCCTTTTGAAAGCAGCCCAATCTCTAGAGCCACCCTCCCGCCAGGGCAGCCTGGGCTGTTCCCCATCCACTCTGTTCCTTCCTCCCCCTGAGCTTGAAGCAAGGAGGGCCTTGGCCCCATGGGTGCCACTCAAGGGCAGCCCAGAGGCTGGGCACGCAGAGCTGAGAGGCGGGATCAGGGCGGCGTGACTGTGGCCCCCTCATTGGGATGAACAGCTTGTCAGCTGCTGAGCACAGGATGGAGAGTGGGGGTAGGCTGACCTCTGGGGGGAACTTACTGCCTCTTGGTACTCTTGCTGTGTGTACTTTGAGTTGTGTACTCAGGGTCTGAATGAGATTTGCAGGGGGAGGGGCATTAGGAAAGGACAGAGGTTTGGGACTAGGAAGATCTCGCTTCCTTTCCCCAGGAGCCTGGGTGAGACCAGCTGCAAGAGCCTGACGCTGCCTGGGGACTGACCATGCCCTGGCCTCCTGCCCATCTCTGGGGAAGCTTCCCCACTCCTCCTGCACCCCCCAGAGGCTGAGGCAGCTTCAGCACCCCATGCCCCAGCATGTCCCACGGTCCCCGGGCCATACACAGTCCACACCAGCTGGTCACGATGACTGGTTACCTGCTCTCCTGCTTGGTCCTGGGTGTACCGTGGTCAAGAGGAAGAGAAAGAGGAAGCTGTAGGCAGATGTGTGGTGGTCACAGTCAGAGGCCTGGGAGCCTCAGCGTCCCCCAGGGTTTCCTGTCCACGGTGCCACTGCTCCATGCAGGCCCCAAACCCAATCACAGGGGCCTGGCCTGGAAATAACTTCTCTGCTTTGGAGAGAGGAGCCTGGCACGGGACCTGGCTCAATAGCCGGGGGCCTGTGGAGCTCAGCAAGGCACCAGAAGCGCTTAAGATTTGTGCATTTCAACAAAGTTACAACTCAACAAAAAACAGATTCAACGAGAGGCCAGTGGTCTGCATACCTGGAAAAAGAATCAGGCTGGGCGTGGTGGCTCACGCCTGTAATCCCAGCACTTTGGGAGGCTGAGGCGGGTAGATCACCTGAGGTCAGGAGTTCGAGACCAGCCTGGCCAACATGGTGAAACCCCCGTCTCTACTAAAAATACAAAAATTAGCTGGGCACGGTGGCAGCTGCCTGTAATCCCAGCTACTCGGGAGGCTGAGGCAGGAGAATCGCTTGAACCGGGAGGTGGAGGTTGCGGTGAGCCGAGATCACACGACAGCACTGCAGCCTGGGCAACAACAGCGAGACTCCATCTCAAAAAAAAAAAAAAGAAAGAAAAGAAAGGAAAAATAAAAAAATCAGTACAGCATCAAGCCACTTCTCAACCTCACCCCACGCCCATCTCCAGGGATGTATAGAGGTGGTGGTGGGAAGAGGGCGGCCTCTGTCTGGCACTGCCCTTTGGTGTCTCCGATGAATCCCAGGTAATTATCAGGGATAGCATCATGGATCAGGATGGGGTGGGAGGCGGGTAAAGGGTGCCTGCCTCAGGGAAGCCCCACGACCATGACAATGGTGCCGCACGGCGGGGAAGGTCAGAGCCCTGAGCTGCAGGTGCGTCCTTGCTTGGAGCCAGTTTCCTGGCCGTGAAATGGGAACACAGCGCTCCAGCCTGCCCTGTACTCCTCAGGCTGCTGGGAGGCCTAAAATGAGATCAGAGATGTGAATGCACCTGTGCAACCTTCAGGGCTGTTTGAAGGTGTTTGTTGAACTCCCACCATGTACACACGTGAATCTATATGCCTCACAGCTCAGAGAGATGAGGTCACTTGCCTGTAAGAACCCACATTTGTCCACCATATTGAACCCCAAACTCCAGCCCACTGTGCAGTAACTCCCTAGGGGGGGACCTCTGCTAGCCTTTCCCCTTGTTTTTTTTTTTTCTGTCACCTCCGCTGCCAGACCCCCTTAGACCCTTCCTGGCACTAATTAGTTGTTAGTTTTTCAAAGAGCTAACTCCCTCCTTCTTGCAAAGTGAGAGGAAACAGGGAAGCTTGTCAACTAACCAAGTACCAAAGTAGAAACTCCCAACAGAAGGAATGGGGCTTCCTACCTCTCTGGGGTTGAGGAATTGAGTGCTGTGTGTAGGTGCTGCATGTCAACACAGCTGAAGGCAAGGTCTACTGGCCAGTACCGGCCTAGCCTGGACCCAGGTGTGCCCAATAGATTCCTATCTGGCTCCAGGGCACCCCAAACCCCAGCATCTTCTCTCTGCTCCAACTCCTGATGGCTCACCTGGCTTCAGAACCCTGGCTCCAGGGCCAGGCCGGAGGCCCACGCCTGTAATCTCAGCACTTTGGGAGGCCGAGGTGGGCAGATCACCTGAGGTCAGGAGTTCGAGAGCAGCCTGGCCAACATAGGGAAAACCCGTCTCTACTAAAAATACAAAAAATTAGCCTGGCGTGGTGGTGCACGCCTGTAGTCCCAGCTACTCAGGAGGCTAAGGCAGGAGAATCACTTGAACCTAGAAGGCAGAGGTTGCAGTGAGCCGAGATCGCACCACTGCACTCCAGCCTGGGGCGACAGAGTGAGACTCCGTTTCAAAAAAAAAAAAAAAAAAAAAGAAACCTCACTCCACCTTGGCTCTGTCCCCACCCCCTACCCATCCCTGGTTGTCTGTCCCATAACTGGTTGGCCCCAAGTGGACACATTGTGGCCCTAAAAACTTAGGGTGGCAGGGAGGGGAGTGAGCAGAAGCTGGACAGAATGGAGCTGGGGTGAGCCAGATGGTGAAACTTAGCCCTGGAGCAGGCGGGTTGTGGGGAGGTGCTTGAGGGGGGTCCCACAGTCCTGTTCCTAACTCCCAAAGTGGCTGGAGCCAGGGGATGCAAATCAGGCAGTGGGACCCAGCAGCCAGCAAGGGGTGCAGTCGGCAGCCCCCTAAAGAAGCTGCTCTCCTTGGAACCCAGGCAAAGTCTAAACTGGCTAATCACAAGCAGCCCCTGTTGCCATCTGATGTTGGCTGCTAGAACTGCCTGCTTTCTTGGACAGGCAAATCTGTTCCTATCTCTGCATGTCTAGAAGTGGAGAGGCATCTGTATGCGGATCCTTCCAGATCCCCCAGCCAGTAGACCAGGAACAGGGGAAGCCTCCAGCCCCTTTGGAAGATTATCTGAAGGCTCCAGAGGGTGAAGCCCTCCAAGGGAGAGGAAGAGTGGATGAAAGGAGAGAGAGAGGCAGAAGTCACAGGGGAGGGCTGGGCGCAGTGGCTCAAGCCTGTAATGCCAACACTCTGGGAGACGGAGGCAAGAGATCGCTTGAGCCCGGGAGGTGGAGGCTGCAGACAGCTATGATTGTGCCCCTGCACTCCAGCCTGGGAGACAGAGAGAAACCCTGTCTCTAAAAAAATTATAAAAATGTTTAAAAAGATGTCACAGAGGAGGAAATGGCACAGAGCCCAGCCTTCAGACCAGGCCACCCAGGAGGGACCAAGGGTGCCACGGCTTGGCCTCTGTGGTCTCTTGGGCTCCTGGTTGGCAGTCGAGGAGACCCAGGGGGCTCTCAATGCCCAAGAAGGCCTGTAGCCCTGAGGCTGACCTGGGACTGTCCAGCTGCGGCATTAGCGTAAGCAGGCTGCAGCACCGTGACTCCACTGCCTGCCTCCGCTGGACTGTTCCAGGAGAGGGGAGGGGCTAGGGTGCAGGTGGGGAGTTGGGGAACGCCTGCCTTGCCTCTAGGACTGAGAGGACAAAGACAGGAACCTGGGTTTCAAGCCTCCCTCCCCTGCCCTGAGTAAGGTTACATGCTTTACCTTAAGGCTCTGGGTTCAAGGGACACTGCCCCAGGGCTACCAGCTGGCAGTGACCCCTTTGTGAACATGTGTTTTGGCCATGGGTGCAGGAACCCAAGGTTGCAACCTTAAATACTGCTGAGTGGCCGGGCGCGGTGGCTCACACCTGTAATCCTAGTACTTTGGGAGGCTGAGGCGGGTGGATCACTTGAGGTCAGGAGTTTGAAACCAGCCTGGACAACATGGTGAAACCCTGTCTTTATTTAAAATACCAAAAAATTATCCGGGCATGTTGGCAGGCACCTGTAATCCCAGCTACTTGGGAGACTGAGGCAGGAGAATTGCTTGAACCCAGGAGGCAGAGGTTGCAGTGAGCCTAGATCGTGCCACTGCACTCTAGCCTGGGTGACAGAGCAAGACTCCATCTCAAACAATAAAAAATAAATAAATACTGCTCAGATCTCTAGCTTCTAGAGAATAGGAGAGTCAACTTTTATCATGGGTAGTTTTGGGGGTGTATTAGTCAGGGTTATCTAGAGGGACAGAACTAACATAGATGTAGATATAAAGGAGAGTTTATTAAGGAGTATTGACTCACGCGATCACAAGGTGAGGTCCCACAACAGGCCATCTGCAAGCACAGGCGCCAGGAAGCCAGTCCAAGTTCCAAAACCTCAAAAGCAGGGAAGCTGACAGTGCAGCCTTCAGTCTGTGGCCAAAGGCCCAACAGCCCCTGGCAAACTACTGGTGCAGGTCCAAGAACCAAAAGCTGAAGAACTTGGAGTTCAATGTTTGAGGGCAGGAAACATCCAGCACAGCAGAAAGATGGAGGCTGGAAGACTCAGCCAGTCTGCTCTTTACATACCTGCTTTTATGGTGCCCTCCCAGATTGAGGCTGGGTCTGCCTTTCCCAGTCCACTGACCCAAATGTTAATCTCCTTTGGCAACACCCTCATAGACACACCCAGGAACAATACTTTGCATCCTTCCATCCAATCCAGTTGACACTCAATATCAACCATCGCAGGAGGTCAGAGTGTATATGTTGGGGTGGGGACTCAGGGTGTAGCAAAAACAGCAGCGACCTGGAGAGAGCTCTGTGGGGTGAAGCAGAAAGAGACATAACTCCGATGCAGTTTCCCGGTCCCGCTGACCACATTTGCTTACACAGATTCTGGCAGAAGTCTCAAGCCTGGGTGCACATGAAAATTCTTCGGGGGCCTTTGGGGGCAGGCATGGTGGCCCACACCTGCAATCCCAGCCAGTCAGGAGGCAGAAGCAGGATGATGGTTTGAGCCCAGGAGTCCTAGACTGGCCGGGCAACACATGGAGACCCTGTCTCTAAAGAAGAATAATAAAAACATCCATGCCTGAGTCCATGAGTGGAGCCCTGGCAGAGATTCCACGCCCTGAGGAAGAGGGAGGGTGGGAGGGCACTGCAGTGGGAGAAAAGAGGTTTCAGACACCAGACCGTGCATAGGACGGGGTGGAGGAAGTGCAGAAGTCGGCTGGCCATTCCACTTCAGGGAGATAGATATTCTCCAACCCCGGACTACCTAAGCTCTCTGCAGACAAGGAGGGAGTCCCTTCAGGGAGGACTCAGCATGACAAGTCCCAGCCTCCTGCTGAATCCTGCCCATAAAGTTGGTTCTGAAAGTGAATAAATGAATGAATGAATAGATGGTTGAATAGACCTCTTCTTTCTCCATCCCGAGCGTCCATGGCTTCCTTTCCCACCTGCCCCTTGTTATCCTGAGAGAGTCACAGCTTTCAAAGGCCCACCCCTCGCCTCCCCACCAGACCTTGTTCAGGGACCCCTACCCCACCCCTACATGACCTCACACTTGGACGGGCCGCCCCAAACCAGGGGACCAGGACGCGTCCCCCTAGGTCCGCCGCTCCAACTGATATCTAAGCACCACCATGCCCGCTAACGCCGCCAGGTGGCGCTCAGTGCCCAGGCACTGCCAATTTGTTCAACAAATATTAATGGCTGCCCCCATTGAGCCAGGCACTGGGTCCAAAGATAGGGACATGAAGATAAAAATACCGCAATATGTCCTTTTCAGGAGCTCATGGTTTCATGGGAAACATGTAAACAAAGACGGGAAAACAAAGGATTGCCTTAAAAGGTGAGAGGCAGAAATCCCAGGGGCCTGGGTAGGAAGGGGCCCCTTCTATCAGACGCAGGGAAACGGCCGGAGACAGTGGCCCGGGGATCCTGGACACCAGCCCCGTGCCTCCTTCTCAGCCCACTTGCTCACCCTCCCCCTTGAGGAATTCGGGAAGGAGAGTGAACAGAACCCTTGAAAAATACAGAAAAACGTCCAGCCTGTCCTCAAATGGGTCCTCAGTCATGGGGGAAGCTGGGGGACCACAGCCTTAGATCTCTTGACTCTTCTCTCTCCTACCCCAACCCTGCACCACAGTCCCTACACAAGCTCCCACCTCCACCACTGAAAAGGTGAGAAGGTGATGACTTGAAAGGCCTCCTGGTCACTCAATCACCCAGCTCCTTCTCCCGACTCCCCCAGGCAGTGGTGGAGGCAGCATTAACCCATCTCAGCCTCCCCTACAGTAGTGGGGCCCAAGTTTGACTGATGTAACAAACACCTTGGGTACTGGCTGAGAATGCAGATTCTGGGGCCTGCCTCGGACCAGCTGAATAAGGCGTCTCTCCAGTTGGGGACTGGGAATCTGTCATTTTAACAAATGCATTCAGATGATTTCTAGAATCAGACAAGTTTACGAACTGGAGTGCACGGGGGTTATGAGAACACCTGGCACTTCACGGGTGCCCAGGAGAGCACCCTCTTAACCTTTCTGACTATGACCAAAGGAGAGAGTCCCCCACCGCAACCCAGGCCGGCCATCTCCCTGGCCTACTTTCTTTCCTTTTTTTTTTTTTTTTTTTGAGACAGAGTCTCAATGTGTCACCCAGGTTGGAGTGCAGTGACACAATCTCTGCCCACTGCAAACTCCACCTCCTGGGTTCAAGCGATTCTCCTGCCTCAGCCTCCCAAGTAGCTGGGATTACAGGTGAGCACCACCAACCCCGGCTAATTTTTGTATTTTCAGTAGAGACAGGGTTTCACCATGTTGGCCAGGCTGGTCGCAAACTCCTGGCCTCAATCAATTCCCCCGCCTTGGCCTTGCCAAGTGCTGGGATTACAGGTGTGAGCCATGATGCATGGCCAACCAGCCTCACTTTCAAAGCCAGGACACAGCTGTCCCCAGGTGACCAAAGTTCCCATCAGTGAACCATCATCCCCATCACAGGGACATGAACACAGATGCAGGGATGGGGGTGACTTTGCCCTTGCAGACCTCAGAGCAGGTCACTATCTACAGACACCGTCAAGTAGCTGAGGAACTGGCACACACAGTAAGAGATTCCCCTCAGAGACCCAGGACACCGGGCTGCAGTGAGTTGTGGAGATGGAAGCCTCAGATTGGAGGAGGTGACAGAATTGTGTGCCAGACAGACTTGGATACTAGGAGAGAGATCAGTGTGGGAATTGATGTTAATTAGAATGATGGCACGGAGCAGCCTTTGATAAATATGGATGAAAACCTGATGAATGAATGAATTAATGAGCCAAATGCTATTCCCATGTCTGTTGCTGTCTGCCCCATGGGACACAGCATGTTTTATAATGATGAGCTACACGCTGAGAAACAGCACACCAATCTGCTCCACGGATGTAAATCTAATTCAGCCTTCGAAGAATCATTCAGCAAGGCTGGGTGGAGGGTGGGTGCCCCATGCCACATACATGCAATGAACACACACTCCCCGCCCCAGCCTCCTTGAAAACCCTCCCAAGGAGAGAATGAGTTGAAAATCTAGGCAGGCTAAAAGTTGGCCCATCTTTCTCAGGGGGAGAGATGAGGAAAGGGAGTGTGGCCGAGGGTAGCTCAGTCTGGTCTTTGTGAAGGCTGGGGCAGGGACGTCGCAGGCCACTGCAGCTGCTGGTGGGGGGCCACTGCTACCTTTGGCCCCTTTTCTTTCTTTCAGAAGAATTTTTTTTTAAAAATATGTAATTTATTTTTATGGAAAAGAGAGAAAGGAAGGAGAGAAAGAAAAAGCAAAACGAGACAGAAAAAATCTTCTTGTCCCTCATCTGCTTGGTACCAGGGGATTCCCACCCCCACATCCGACCCCCTTTCCCCCCACGCCCCCGGCCAACTCCCCCAATGGTCCACTTTAACATCTGCTATGGTGCCTTTTGTCTCTTTCCAGATTTCCTATGCAAATACAGTCAATTGTGAATACACAGGGGGAGGGGGAGCTACTAAAACCTCCCCCGTTAAGTCTGCAATTGGATTCTTCTGAAAATTCTGCTTTGCATGGCAGGGTGGCACGCAGTGGGGGTTGGGGCCAACAGTGCCCTGCCCCAGCCCTCTCACCACCTTCCTGGCTCTGATGACCGCTCCCAAATGGGCCTGGTGAAGGGACAGGGCGGGATCCTCCCCAGCTGGGACCGACTCCTTTTGTCTTTCCCACGCCCCACCCAGTGTGTGCGTGTGTGTGTGTGTGTGTGTGTGTGTGTGCGCGTAAGGGGTGGACCCTGTGGGCCAGGATGCCCCCTGACCTTCAGCCCGGACAGCCCCTGGGCTCACACGGCGGCCTCAGCCCAGCTTCTCTTGGGAACCTCAGGCTGCCCATGGACACCCAGTGCCTGAGTCTCTTTCCGGTGCCCCAGCTGGCCTGACTGCTAGTGATGGGCTTGTCCCCAGCATCCCCTGTGCCAGCACCCACATCAGGGTGGGGGCACCCTACGGTGAGAAAGCCTGGCAGGTCACATGCTGCCGAAATACTGTCAGGCCAAGGGTCACAGTTCCCAGGCCAGCCTGAAGCAGCTGGCAGCGCCGGGGAGAAGGGGAGGCCAGCACCAGCTTCCTGGCTGCAGGGACCTCGAGCTCCAGGCCCCCAGCCCGTGTGGCTGCCTCAAATGCCCACCGAAAAACCCTCGGGGAGTGGGTTTCCACCCGGAGAGTTTGCCCCCAGGGGACGTTTGGCCGTGTCCAGAGACATTTGTGGTTGTAGGGTTAGGGGGCTGGCTGTGCTCCTGGCATCCAGTGGAGGGGGTCAGGGATGCCGCTCAATATCCTGCAGTTCCCGGGCCAGCTCCACTACACAGCGATCCGGCCACAAATGTCGCTGGTGGAGCCGAGGAACCCCGGCCTAGAGCCAGACGTAAGGCAGCGACAGGGCTCCCCGTGCCCTTGGCCTCACTACCTCCACCCGCGGAAACTCCATGGCCCGGCGGGCCTCCGGAAGGGGATTCTTCCCTTGGGAAAAGGGGCCTGCTTCCCTGGCGTCACCCACCCCACCCCCGTCTCTGCGGGGCCTGAGAGACACAGGGATAAATGCGGCCCCCGCAATCCCTAGCGGCTGCGAGGCCCAGCTCTGAGGGCGGGGATGGGCGGAGCGCGGCGGCCCGGCCCCCAGGCTACAGCAGGAGCTGGGACAGCTGGCTTCGGCCGCCGCCCCGCGGCGAGGATCGGGTTGCAGGGGCCGGGGCGGGGCTTGGGGTGGGGCACGAGAGGCGGCCTCGGGTTGGCTGGAGCTGGGGTGGCCGGGCCCTCGCGGGAGAGGCACGTGGGCGCGCCGGCTGCTCGGGCCCACCCCCACCTCCCCCCACCTTCACTGCCCCCCACCGCCCCCCACCTCCCCCAACCCAGGTGCGTGCGGGGGAGTGGGCTGTCTGCGGGTGGGGTTCCGGGGCCCCGCCCCCTCTCCCAGCCGGGTCAGGTTAGGACGCTGGGTTAAGGACGGAGCGTAAAACCTTCCCTGGGCCCGGGCCCCCGCGGACCCTCTCCTGCCGTCGGTGGAGTTGGGGGTGAGGCAAGCCACCGTTGCCTTTAGGTGAATCAGAAGGAGCCACTTCCAGGCCCCTGGCTTGGAGGAGTCTGCGGAGGTGAGGGGTCGGCGGATGGGGCGGACAACCGGTCTGGGACCGGCCCCATTCACCCCCACGGGACCCAACTTCTCTCTCCAAAGCACAGCCAGGCGGTCACCCTGTGTCTGCCCAGTTCTGCTCCAGACTTTGAGTCGGAACCCCTGGGGGTGCATCTGCGGCAGAGCCCTGGGGCTTTAGGTCCCCTCTCCACTGCTGGGGACACCAACTCCAGGGCTTAGACAGAGCTGGAGACATCGGGGTGTATTTTACAGATGAGGAAACCCTTGCGGGGGCGAGGGGTCAAGGGAGCTGTCCAAGGCCACAGAGCTAGCTGGAGCCAGGCCCTGGTCCGAGATGCCCTGCCTGCCACGAAGGTGCCGCTTGGGAAGGGGATACCCGGGGAAGCTTGCTGAAGGCACCTGCGTGCTTAATCCCAAAACGCATTTGCTGGGACTCACATGGCCACTCCCACTTCAGCCCTCAGGCCTGACCTGGCAAAGGAGGGCAGAGACCAGATCGCTCTCATCTCCACTCCCTCCCGTCCACCCAGTAGACAGTGGACATTTGCTGGCAGAAAGCAGCTCCGTCCCAGATCTTCAGCCTAGCTTCTTAGGCTTCCTGTGCACCTGGCGACCCTCCTAACGCCTCTGCTAGCCCTTCTCCCCTGCCAGTCAGGGCGCGGGCACTGCCAAGGGTCTCTCTCCTTAGCATCCTCTTCCAATCGTGGCAACCTGCCAAGCCACCCACTCTGGGGACCCAGGGCATGAGGCAGCATAGAGGGAAGGGAAGATGTGGCACCAGGAGGTGCCAAACTGAAATCTGGCCAGAAGACCTGCTTGTCTGGGCAGGAAACACTGGGCAGATGGTGCCTGGACGCTCTGCCTTGACTGTGACTTTCGTGGGGGTTATCTGGAGGGGACAGAACACCAAACACAAACTCAGGGGGCTGGTACCCCCATTTTTCAGATGAGAAGACTGAGGAAGGACCAAGGGAGCTGCTGAAGGTCACAGAACTACTAACAGCCAGGATGTGAACCCGCAGCCTCTGATTCCAAAGTCATATTTTCTGCGTGCTGCAGAATTGCCTCCTGCGACAAGGGCATGGGTCGCTGCTCCCCACCTCCTTCTCTGAGGGTACTGGTGTCTCCCTTTTAATCACCCGCACCCCAGAGGGACGCACCGCTCCAGCCTCTGCCTATCAACAACCTTTTTTCAAGGAGGATGAGGTCAGAACCGCACCCTGAGCCCAAGGAGGATGAGGTCAGAGCACTCCCGGTCTGGTGCAGATGCTAAATAATTCATGCAGCTGCTGTGAACAGGGGCTGCAGCTTCCTGGAGGGCCCAGAGTGGAGACGGCAGACAGGAAACAAATCCTGGTTCCTGGCACCTGTGCCTGACCTTGGCGCATCCTCCGGGGGCTAGTGAAAATGCTGCCCTTGGCGAGAATGGCTTGGAGGGCCAACAGACCCTTCCAAGCAGCACCCCCACAGGGCAGGCACTTAGCCTCTGTTGCTTGCTCTCTTCTATGAGCTGTGGGGGGCTGACGAACAAGTGCAGGGCCATGAGTAAACTGGAAAGCCAGGAAAGGCACTCGGCAGGCAGGTCTTCATGGCCCAGGGGATTTACCAGCCATCCCTGGTTCTGTGCACTGAGAATTTCACCCAATGGGTATCCTGGCTGCCTCTTCCAGCCATGCCAGGCAGCAACAGGGATACTTTTGGGGTCGCCTCCCTCCCCACCCACATCTTGTGTAGGTGTTAGAGTTCTCTGGCCTTGACGGGTTGAGAGCTCAGTGGTTTTTGGAGGCCTGGTTTTCCCCTTAAAATAAATCCCCAACAGAGAAAAAGGTTAGTTGGAATCAAACAGCATTTGTTGGTGTAAAAAGCAAGAGGTCTAGCAGGGAAATACACATGAAAAAAATCCCAGAGGCAGGGTCGGGGGTGGGGGAGCAGGCACCTGGAATCCCAGCTACATGGAAGGCTGAGATGAGAGAATCGCTTGAGGCCAGGAGTTCGAGACCAGCCTGGGCAACGTAGCAAGACCCTGTCTCTAAAAATAATTAAAAAAAAAAAAAAAAAACTAGTAACTCCCAGAATTTATGAACACACAGGAATTCAATGGCAGTAAGCCCTCACCCATGGAAGGTAAGGTCGTTTAATTCTGAGCAGTTATTAAGTCCAAAGTCCTCGGTTTGACAGTGGTGGGTGTGAGATTTCCCATAGTGTTGGCTGGATGATGGTGAACCTGTGACAGGCTCTGCCTCTTCTAGTCTTTTTCCATTCAACGCTTGTTTGTGATGCCACTCGACCACCTCAAAGAAGCTGCCTCTCTCCTCCTAAGAACTCATCTAACTTCTTCTCCACTTGGCCCGGGCGGGAGTAAGCAGGGCCAGTGGGTACTCCTGAATACAGGCAGGCCTGCATCTTTTAGGATCCCATCCCTCCCTGAGCCTCACGCGCAGACCCCCAGAGGACTCAGGCTATACACACACCCACGTCCACTGGAGACTGCAGCCTCTGGGTATCAGGCCCTGCCGGGGACTCCTTTGAAATTATCACATAGGAAAGCAACACAGCGCCTTGATTCACTAAGGGATCTTGGGGCCGCTAAGCTAGACCAAGGGCAGCGTGAGGTCCACAGAGCTCCCTGCTTCCCTTCCACTGGAGGGAAATAACATTCTGTTCATGGACTTCGACAGGCAACACAGAGAGGTCGGGGGCCACAGTCAGAGCTGCAATCCTACTCTGCAGGGATTGCTCGCCCAATTTAGCTCTGGAAAAGTATGCCAGTGACAAAGGCACAGGCTGCTGGGGACGGGGGTAGCACCAGAGAGCTGTGGGACTGACTACAGGGCACCTCTCCAGAGAGCTGCTCTGGTCGTCATCCTCCACCCCGGCACCCAGAGGTGCTGCTGGGCTGGGGACTGAGCTTTAGGGCCCACCTTGGATAAGGGCAGGAAAAACCTCAGGAAGACAATGTTATAGAGAGCTCATTTTCACGAGCCTGGAGCTGTGCCCATCTCTGTCTTTGGTGCCAGCACCATGGAGGTACCCCCTCTTTGCTGGGTGACCGTCAGGACCCTCTGGAGCATGTCCGAGGGCTCAAAATACAAGAGGCTCCTCCAGTGATGAACCAGCGCCAGCATATCCAGGTGCTGCCCAAGATGAGGTAGAAACAACACATCTGCCCATCAGGAAATAGCACAGTCTTTAGTTCTGGATCCCGCTTACCTGAGGATCCCACTTACCTACTTACATATCTGCCCATTAGGAAACAGCATAATCTTTAGTCCTGGATCTCACAGGCCTCCCACGTCCCACAAGTCCCAGTCACGAGAGAGGCCTAGACTCCAGTTCATCTGGTCCAGGGCTCTCCACTGGTCCCTGAGAATGCAGTCCTGACCCCAACCCCATGTGTCCTAAGGTACTTCCAGGCCCTGACCAGAGATGTTGGAATAGCCACAGCAGGCCCCTATTGCATTCCCAGAACCTGTGAGATCCAGGTAATCAGGGTCATGGACACCTGTTCCTGCCACAGGAGCCACCTTGAACCCCAGATGCCAGCGTGGCCTGCCATTCCTAACTCCTTAGTGAGCACTCCATGAGGTACTGCTGGATGGAGAGAGCTGCCCTCATCTCAGCAGGCTCATCCTCATCCCAGACGTTGAGGGGCACTGCGGGCAGAGTGCAGGCAGGGCTGGCCCTGGCTTGCTTGTGGAAACTGCTTTGTGGAAGATGGGGACGGCTCAGTGGCTCTTGAGTGAAACACCCCAAGGGCTCAGATCCAGGACCCACAGGCCGTGGAGAGAAGCAGTGTGCCCAAGCCTCGGGCTGAGCTCTGCCCCCATCTCAGTGGCCTTCCACAGTCCAGGTGGTGGCAGGAGGCCCTGGTGAGAAGGGCAAGGGCCAACTTCTGCCCTGGCTTGGCTCCAAAGACTCATGGAGGAGATCCATCTAGGCAGAGGGTGGGACAAGCCAGTGCCAGACACCAAGATGGCAGGGCCAGGAAGGTCCAGAGTCAAGACGGGGCACTGAGGCCTGTTGTTCACAGAGGGGAAGAAGGCAATCTGAACCACAGCTTGGGGACACAGGGACTATGATTTGGGGGGAGGGGGGCGTGTCAAGAGGGGAGTTGGAGGCAGCCTGGGGGCCCGCGGACAGCTCCTTGTAGCTGCAGCCACCTGGGGACCAGGAAGATGGGCTGGGCAGGAAAGGGAGGTGGCCCTAGGCGCTCCAGTCACACACTCAGGGCTTCACGGGGGCCCACTCGGTCCACTGCTTCAGGTTGGTGGCCTCCGGCCCCTCCCAGCTCCAATGACAAGGATGGGAAAGGTGCTGGGCCCGGTCCAGCCTGGGTACAGAGGAATGAGGATCAGGATGCCGTGCAGTCCCGGGAAGAGGGCTTCTACCATCTCGTTTTACTTTGTGGGGACTGAGCCTAAAGTGACCAGAAAGAACAAGAGTCAAAGGGGACTCTACTGCGTGGGGCCCAAGAACTGGTTTTTACTTAAAAATAGTGTTTCAGTCCCCAGGAGGCTAATGCAATCTGAGCATAGAAGGAGAATTTTGGGAGAAGTTTATTTTTTCTTCCCAGCAAACTTTCTCTCCCCTTCAAGTTTATTTTTTTTTTCCCAGCAACCTTTCTCTCCCTTTCAACAAAAACATTTTTTCCCCTACAACCGGTATCAGAAAATAGCTTCTGACTAGCTGGGGAGAAACATTCCCAAGCCTGGGAGGAGCAGGCTCCCCGGGGCCGGCCTGGCAGCCCCCTGGCAAAGTCTTGAGCCAGCGTCCAAAGGTCAGGACCCTGCTGTCTCAACCACATGGCTGGAAGTGCCACCCACTGGACTGGCTTACCCAGGGTGGGCCACGGAGAGAGGCTGCTGGACGTCAGAGTCTTAGGAAAACCTGGTTGGTGTTGGCCTGGCCTCTCTGGGTCAGTTCGCTTACCTGTAAAAGGGGGCGGTAGAACTACTCTGAGGCCCTGTCTCACCCCAAAATGGTACAGTTCTGGGATTTTGAATCTGGAAAAGGGATAGAATACTAGTCCTTCCCACCTTCCAGGGCAGCCTTGGGGATTAAAATGAGCTGATGGGCCGAGAGTGGTGGATCATGCCTGTAACCCTAGTACTCCAGGAGGCTGAGGTGGGCAGATCACTTGAGGCCAGGAGTTCAAGACCAGTCTGGGCAACATGGTGAAACCCTGTCTCTACTAAAAATACAAAAAGTTAGCCAGGTGTGGTGGCACATGTCTATAATCCCAGCTACTCAAGAGGCTGAGGCAGGAGAATTGCTTGAACCTGGGAGGCGGAGGTTGCAGTGAGCCGAGATTGTGCCACTGCACCCTAGCCTGGGCAACAGACCAAGACTCTGTCTCAAAAAAAAAATTAAATTAAATTAAATTAAAAAATGAGCTGCTGAGGAAAGGCTTTTGCTTAGTATAAGTACCGAACAAACTGACTTTCTTTTTTTGAGACAGAGTCTCGCTCTGTTGCCCAGGCAGTAGTGTAATGGTGCAATCAAAGCTCACTGCAGCCTCGACCTCCTGGGCTTAAGAGATCCTCCCACCTCACCCCCTTGAGTAGCTAGGACTAATGTCTGGCTAATTAAAAAAAAATTTTTTTTTTGTAGAAACAAGGTCTCACTATGTTACCCAGGCTAGTCTGGAACTCCTGGGCTCAAGCAATCCTCCCACCTTGGCCTCCCAAAGTGCTGGAATTACAGGCATGAGCCATCGCACCCCGCATAAATGGACATTTTAATGACCGCTCGGGAACGAAACCAACCAGGACCTGGCCCAACCCTTTGCACTTTTGTCAACCCATTTGTAAACAATTCCTGACCCTCTCTAGGCCATTCCTTTGCACGTATCACACGGTGTGATCTCAAAGCATGGAGCAGAATGAGTCTCCACTTTGTCCGCTATGGGATCTTCACTGTCATTCATCCCAGGAGAAGCTGAAATGAGTTCATCTTCCCTTACACACAGAGCCACCTGGCTCAAGGCTCACCTTCCCAGTCCTATCCCCACAGCCACTGGAGGGGGGTTCCCAGAGGAAAGCTGCCTGGCCTCAGACAAGCCCAGGTGCGGGACTGCATCCTAGGCACGCACTGAGCCTGGGTGTTCATTCTGATCGCACACAATACAGACAGAGGACCTGCTAAAGAACCACTCACTGGGGAGAGGCATCAGCTACTTAACTGCACAGGAAAAATCTGCAGCAGCTTTAAATGTGAGCTGGATTTGGAGGGAAGAAAGAGAAGTCACCCACAGGCCATGGTGGAGGAGACGTTCATCAGAAACCAGGAGGCCAGGTCAGAAACCACAATCCCAGAGCAAGAGTTAATAAAGCAGAAATGTATTTATTAGGCACCCTTGTTCCTCACAGAGGAGCAAGATCCAGGCCTGAGCGCCTGGGAAGTCTCTTGAGGTTGCAGGAATCTCCAGAGAAACATAGGCGCTGCCCAGCCACCACCCCGAGAACACTATTTGGCTGGAGTGTGACCGCCGAGGTGATCCTGGCAGGAGGCTGGGGTTGGCTCCTCGACTCCACAAACACTGAGGAGTGGGTGGGGACACCCATGACACCCACCCAAACACTGGCAGAGAGGGAGGCCCTTCCAGATCTGGGGCACATGTTGCTGGGCCTGCCAGGGGGAGGAGGAGCCTGGAGAGTCCCTTGCCCGGGGCCAGGTCCTCAGGGCCCTCCCCAAATCCGCCCGCCTCTCCTCGCCACCGCTGACTCAGTCCCACACGTAGGGGTTTCTAAAGACCTGAGAGTTCTTGCCGTCTTTCGGCGGTGTGGCCGCCTGGTGGCTCTGGGCCGAGTACATGTCTTCAGCCCGCAGGGTCGAGTTGGCACTGCCCATCACCTGGCTGTTGGCGGTGGCCCGTGGGAGGATGATGTCGTAAGCTCCTTCGGACTGGAAGGAAGAACAGGCGGTCTCACAGTCGGGGATTGGGAGCCAGGTTCCGCCGGGGCGGATGCACAAACACTTCCTGCAGGGCTGGGACTGCCAGATCCCCCCCAACTCCCCCCTCGGCTCCTCTGCCCCCTCTGGCTGGGCCCCAGGAGCAGCCTGGGACAGCCAGACCTGAGCCCCTTATCTCACCCTGCCTCTGGGCATGGGAACGAGGCCCCTGCTGACCTTGGATGGTGCTGGGGCTTCACAGAGGGGGATCCCCTTCTCAAGACCCTCCTACTTCCAATTGTTTAGGGAAATGCTAGGGCCAGTGGAGAGTCAGCCACACAGAGCTGCTACTACCTGTCTGACATAGCTCCCAGGCCCCCTTCCTCCAAGAATCTTTTTTTTTTTTTTTGAGACGGAGTCTCGCTCTGTCGCCCAGGCTGGAGTGCAGTGGCGTGATCTCGGCCAACTGCAAACTCTGCCTCCCGGGTTCACGCCATTCTCCTGCCTCAGCCTCCCGAGTAGCTGGGACTACAGGAGCCCGCCACCGTGCCCGGCTAATTTTTTGTATTTTTATTAGAGACGGTGTTTCATCATGTTAGCCAGGATGGTCTCAATCTCCTGACCTCGTGATCCACCCGCCTCGGCTTCCCAAAGTGCCGGGATTATAGGTGTGAGCCACCATGCCCGGCTCCTCCAAGAATATTACCCCGAGTCGACCGCCTGTCACTACCATACCCCCAGCATCACAGTTGCTGGCTTCCCTGGCGGAGGACATGGCTCTGGGTGTGCCCACACATCTCTCTAGGCATCTAGTCTGGCCGGTCTGATTTGGAGTCTTTTTTTTTTTTTTGTAGAGATGGTGGGCGGGGGGGGGGGGTCTCACTACGTTGCCAGGGCTGCTCTCGAACCCTCGGCCTCAAGCAGTTCTCCCATGTCAGTCTCCCAGAGCACTGGGATTAAAGGCATGAGCCACTGCAACCAGCCCTGATTTGGAGTCTTGAAACCTGAATTCTCTGCCTGGCGCTGGGTCTTGCTCCCATGTGGGTGAGAGACACCAGCTGTGGGGTGAAGAGGGTCCTGAGGTACCTGTTCCGGCTCCTATGCTGGAGGAAAGGTGTATTCCTGGCCCCATCTGTCTTAGCCCTATGGGAAAGAGCTGCCACCAAATCTCTGTAGCTCCCAGACCCCAAACTAGCCTTCAAGTCAATCAGGCCCAGGAGGTCCTCAGGCCTGTCTGCAATGGCCCCTGTCCATGTGGTCCCTGGAACATCTACATCTGTGGTCCAAAACCACAGATGAGTGTGCATTGGAATCACCTGCACTGCTTGTTAAGCCTCACCAACTCATAGCTGGACCCTACACAGTCCCCACGCAGACTCCACCAACTCATAGCTGGACCCTACACAGTCCCCACCCAACACAGCTGGCCCCATGCAGCTGGCAACAGCTGGGGCTGGGGGAGGGAGTGCTGAATGCTGGGCTTGCAGATCTGCGCTGGATAGTGCCCCCATGGTGCCGACGCCCTGAACGGATGCTAACAGTCAGCTCCATCCCAGCTCTGGCCCCGCCCCATCTGCACTTTTTTTTTTTTTTCTTATTTATTTATTTTTGGAGACAGAGTCTCACTCTGTTGTCCAGGCTGGAGTGCAGTGGTACAGTCTGTGCTCACTGCAACCTCCACCTCCCGGGTTCAAGGGATCCTCTGGCTAAGGCCTTCCTAGTAGCTGGGACTACAGGCATGTGCCACTATGCCTGGCTGATTTTTGTGTTTTTAGTAGAGATGAGGTTTCAGCATGTTGGCCAGGCTGGTCTCAAACTCCTGACCTCAGGTGATCCACCTGCCTCAGCCTCTCAAAGTACTGGGATTACAGGTGTGAGCCATTGTGCCTGGCCCCCATTTGCACTTTGAGCAGGCTCCCAGGTGAGGCTAGTGCTGGTGGTCCGGGTACCATGTTTTGAGAACCGGTCAGATAAAATATCCCTGTTAATCCAGATCATCCCCCAGGAAGCAGACTCCAAACGCGCTGGGGAGTGAGGTGCAGCAACAGTGAAGGAAGCTATTCAGCAAAGGCTTCTGTGGCTGCCCACTCCCCGCCAGAGCTGACAGCCCGCAGCCTCCACTCCTGGTGCTCCGGAAGCTCTCCTCTGCCCAGGCTCAGGTTCAGGCTCAGGGAGAGGGGAGGCGCTGGGATTGGAAGCTTCAGCCACACTCACCTCCCCCTGCCCCGCGGCTCTCACAGAGAGGGCGGGGAGGGGGATGAGAACGCCACCCAGCTGACCTCCTTGTTTCCTGTTCCCAGTGTCCTGCCAAGACGGGTCACTGACCTCTCCCCACAGCCTCTGCCAGCCGGGAGGAGGAACACATATAGGAGTGAGTAGAATCCAACCCACCGTCTTCCTGCTCCCTCCCCCTCCCCTGGCTAACGATGCTTCTAGTTTCCAGAACCCAGGGGGAGGTGTAAGGTCGAGACTTGCTGCCTGCCAGAGAGGGAGGAGAGTGTGGGCCCCCTTGGCACAGCTGTGGTTGAGAAGTAAACACCTATCCAGACCTGTGACATTTGGACCCCTGTCTATTTTGGGAGCACCTGGCTGAGACCCTCCTTTGTCCCTCCCCAAGCCCTCCAGGGTAAAGCTGGCAGCTCCCACCAGGGAGAGCTCACCCAGCATTCCCTATAGCATCCCGACACAACCTGTGTGCAATGCCCCAGTGACACAGGGCGGGTCCCACTGCAGTGCAGCTGAAGGTGGTGGGTACACTGACTCCAGGACAAGGAATTTAAGAACTGGGGCTCTGGATTCCCCAGGTAAAAGCACCAGATGGAGAAGCTTGCCTTCCCCTTACCACCTCCACCCAACCCAGCTCTGGCCACATGGCCTTCTCCCACTGGCCTGCTGAGGCTGGTCTCTGTAGCCCAGACGTGTCACGGGGACCTGGGGAACCCACTTACCGGAACTTTGTGCATCAGGGCCATCTCAGTGGGCTGGTACACACTGGTCAGCAGCTGCCCATTGTACCCGCTGTATGGTGACACCGGCCTCTTAGCTACAAGGAAAAGCAGGAACAGTTTGAAGATCCCAGGGCTCTCAGCTCCCTTCCCCACCTCCCACAAACCAAGCAAGGCTCTCTGGGGGCAGGGAAGAGGTAAAGGGGGCAGGCCAACCCTGGCATAGTCTCTAACCCAGGAGTGGCCAACTTGGGGGTGAGGTTGTGAACACGGGGGCCCCCTCCCAAGCCTAGCACCCCTTTGTACAGATGCATGGGAGTGAACAACACTGCTGAGCTTCCCTGCACTGTAGACACCCCAGCCCCTGACCCAACAGCTCAGAAAATGCTCTGTCAGCAACTTCCACATCCCCATCCGCCCTCCGGGGCCAGAGGCCAAGAGGACACATGGGCCTTCGGCCGCCTTCCAAGATGGCCAGCCTCCAGCTCTGCCTGTCACCACGGGCCAGCTGCCAGGCACAGAGGTAAATACATCTGAGAGCCCTCGGCCTAAGCCTGTTCATGTCCTCCCAGGGCCGACCTGGGCGCCCCTTCCCCACTACACCAACCCAGAGCCTGGCCAGGGAGCCTTAACGCACGTCCCAGCCTGTGGCCCCCTGGCAAGTTTCCAGAACTATTTTTAGCTCCAGGGATACTTCCTTGTGCCTTTGGGGTGTTGGTTTCCCGGTGTGTTCCGCCCTGCTGGGCACTCCCAGGGTGTTTGAGGAGGGCTGCTGACGCACCCCGGGGCCTCGGAGCAGGCCTTGCTGTGAGGACGGCACAGCGGACGTCTGGCTCCGGCAAGGCTGACGGCCCTGCAGTTCTGAGGGACCGCAACCTATATAGAGTTTCCTAAGTGCTGGGGCTGGGCTCACTCTATTGATTTTTCCATTTAGAAAAAAAAAAAGGAAGTAAAAACTCAGCCCCAAGGTTGAGAACCATTTGGCCCCGACCGGCATTCAGTGTGGGGGCGGGGCCTGAGGCTCCTCCCAGCACTTGTCTGTAAGCCCCACCTCTCTGGTGGGTTTTGCCAATTCCACCCCCGCCATGCACACCGTGCGTGTGACAGGGGCCACCCAGGGGTGAGGCCAGCACCTCAGCCCAGGTGGGCAGATCAAAGATCAAGTGCCCGGCAGGACAAGGGTCATCTCTTTCTCCAAAGCAGGGATTATGAGGATTTCACAGTGTGTAGAAGAGAAAGGAATGTCTCTGATTCTGGAACTTCCACTGCCTGACTCTGACCTCCCAGCAGAGACCCCAGAGCCGGTGCTTGTTAACCGGGCAGTTAAGAAAGTCTGAAGCCCCCAGGCCTCCAGATCAGCACAGTCTGGGGGCAGGGTCAGGACTTTGAGATGGCACCCCCAAATTTCCAGGTCATGTCAGATGAGGGGCTGCAGCCAGCAGGCTGAGGAAGAGCAGGTGGGATGCGTGCAATGGGCCACATCGGTAAGGGGATTAGCACAGGGGCTGGCACAGAGCAGGTGCTGAGGAAATGCTAGTGGGCTGTACAGCTAACAAGGGCGCTGCTGAGACCACTACACGGCACCCCAAATACTTTTATTAAAAAGAGAAAAAGGCCAGGTGCAGTGGCTCACACCTGTAATCCCAGCACTTTGGGATGCCGAGGCAGGCGGATCACTTGAGGTTAGCAGTTCGAGACCAGCCTGGCCAACATAGTGAAATCCCGTCTCTATTAAAAATACAAAAATTAGCCAGGTGTGGTGGCACGTGCCTGTAATCCCAGCTACTTGGGAGGCTGAGGCAGGAGAATCTCTTGAGCCCGGGAGGCGGAGGTTGCAGTGAGCCAAGATCACACCACTGTACTCCAGCCTGGGTGACAGAGCGAGACTCCGTCTCAAAAAATAAAAAAAGAGAAAAAAATTACCTGAAAAATACTTCCTTTTAAAGAAAACTAAGGTGATTATGGATACATACATAATAGAAAAACAAGTTCTGGAAGGATAGTATTAGTAAAATATGTAAAATAATAGACACGCACACACAGCAAATAGCTAATTCTTCAAGAGTGCTTTTCATGGGCCGGGCACTAAGTAATTTTTTTTTTTTTTGAGATCATCCAGGCTGGAATGTGGTGGTGCAATCACGGCTCACTGAAGCCTCAACCTCCTGGGCTCAGGCAATCCTCCTGCCTCAGCCTCCTGAGGAGCTGGGACCATAGGCATGCACTACCACACCTGGCTAATTTTTGAAATTATTTGTAGAGACGGGGCCTCACTATGTTGTCCAGGCCGGTCTCAAACTCCTAGGCTCAAGCTCCACTCACCTCAGCCTCCCAAAGTGCTGGGATTACAGGTGTGAGCCATGGCGCCCAGCCGGCACTAATTAATTCAATCCTCACAAGAACCCTATGAAATAGGTACTGACATTATCCCCATTTTACAAATGGAGAAACAAAGGCACATAGATATTATATCAGTCAATAGTGGTCACTTCTGGGGATGGAACAGGATGGGACGGGTAGGACTGGGGAGGCAGCTGGGGAAAATTTCATTTTATCTGTAATGTTTGAAATTTTACAGTGAGAATGTATGCATGAATTATATGAATATAGAAAAAAAATCTTATTTATTTATTTATTTTGAGATGGAGTCTTGCTCTGTCACCCAGGCTGGAGTGTAGTGGCTCGATTTTGGCTCACTGCAACCTCCGCCTCCCAGGTTCAAGTGATTCTCCCGCCTCAGCCTCCCGAGTAGCTGAGATCACAGGCATGAGCCAGCACACCCAGCTAATTTTTTTGGATTTCTAGTAGAGACGGGGTTTCACCATGTGGATCAGGCTGGTCTCGAACTCCTCGTCTCAAGTGATCCACCCGCCTTGGCCTCCCAAAGTGCTAGGATTACAGGCATGATCTACCATGCCCAACTGAAAAAAAAAAATCTTTAAATTAAATGGAATTTAGAGACACTTAGGCAGAAAACTACAGAAAACCTCAAAAACTTTCCATTTTGCTCAAGAGACTGGCTCCCTGTCCTGCAGTAAAAGACATGGGATGGAGAAAGGGGCCACTGGGGGCATCCACAGAGACCCACCTGCAACCGGCTCATCCATGGAAAAGGCCTTGTTCTCCACGAACATGCTCTGACCCTTCTGCTCTTTCAGGATGGTCTCATAGCCCACGCCCCGGGTGGGGTACATGTCCCCCTGGTAGCTTTGCTCTGGGCTGGACTTGGTCACCTGGGAGACCTCGGGGATGACGTAGAAGAGGACGAAGGCCCAGGCATTGGCGGCGAGGGCGATGGCCAGCGTGGGGTCATCCCAGGTGGGACTGTTGTGCTGCTTGTTGCCGTAAGTATACATGACGATCCACACCACCCATATGGCAACGGAGGTGGCTGTGGTGAGGAGCACAAAGACCCCATGCTTACGCCAGCGCTTGTAGCGGCCACACAGGGCGGGCCAGGCCCCCAGGAAGGCACCCAGCAGCAGCAGCATGACGTAGATGAGTGCCATGACAAAGTCCATGTTGGCGATGGCACAGGGGGAGGCCACGGCCCAGCCTGCGCTGCTGTTGCCCTGAGGGCCGCCCTCGCCACTGCCCCGAACCAGGGTGATGATCAGCCACTCTGTATTGATGATGACCTCTACCAGGGTCAGCAGCAGAGCCACAGTGAAGATCACCCAGCCCCGGGGCCCGTGGTTCTTCCGGGCCAGGAAGTTGAGGGCAAAGACGTGAGCCGCCAGACAAGAGAAGCAGATGGCGAACAGAACCCCAAAGAGGAAGCGCCGAGAGGCACAGGTGGAGAAGTCGGGCTTCACCACACAGGCAAACACGAGGCAGAAGAGGCCCAGGGTCCCCAGAAGGAAGAATACCTGGGTCCCCAGCAGGCTCCGTTTCTTGGTGTCCTGCACAAAGGGGAGGCTGGCCACCAGGATGATGGTGAGCACAAACGTGGTGACAATGCCCGCCCCAGCCACGGCCTCCAGGACGATGCCCCACGCCCCAGAGCGGTCACACAGGTTGTAGTACAGGGGGTTGAGGCCTTGGCTGCAGCCGGGTGGGACATGGCCCTGGGCCCAGGCCCCTGGGAACAGGAAGAGAGGCAGTCCCAGGCACATCACCAAGGCTTTGTGGATGGCCATCCTGGCTCCCAGGCCAGGCTCTGGTTGGGTCCCTAGAGACAGAAGGAAAAGGGACAAAATTAGTCCTCCAAGATCAGACTCCAATATACATGGTGCTGCTTCCCCCAACCTAAACCCAGGCAGATAGTGCTAGCTGCTGACCGTGAGGCTCTCTGGACCTCAGAATCCTTCTTAACATAGAACCCCTGAGAGGCATTTCAACTGGCCACAGAGGCAAATGAGATGAAGCCCATTTGTCAGCCCTATTCCTAGCCATGGCAAAAGAAAAACCTGTCATTGAATTTTCAGTTCCCTCCCTTCCACCAAACATAACCTGGGTTCAGATATTCCCTGAGCTCTGGCGGCCACGGTGGAGGATGAAGGGGCTTGTGAACAAGTCAAGACCAAGCATACCACCCACCCAGTACCTCCTCTCTGCCCTGGGACTTTCAGGCTTCAGGAGGTCAGCTGCTATGCCCCTAAACTCCATTCCTGTGAGGCCTAAATCCACAGCCAGTCAGCTATGTGTTCATTCATTCATTCAATAGACTTAACAAGCAGCTGCAGCAGGCATAACCAACAGCCAGGAAAAATGAAGAGACAGTCATTTTCCCACTTTTAGTGCCAAGTCTCCAGTTCAGAATCCTCCATTTTTTGCCTAGCTCGGAAGCGGAAGTCAAGGGTGAAATAAACGAAGTCCCCAGCTAAGGAGTTAATGACTTAATGCAAAAATTTTCCTTCGGAGCATTAACATTTTAAAAGTAAGAACCAGGCAAGGGCAATGCAAAACCCAAAGGAATTAATCTTTAATAGAAGACTTTAAGACGTTGTAGCTAGAAGGCAAGAAAATTAGCTTTTATTAACACCAGCAAGGTAATTTTCACTCCATCTACTGACTGCCGCTCTACCAAATGCCACAGATCTGTGCCAGAGAAGAAAACCAAACTCCTGCTCCCAATACCAATTGGATTTTCCCACGTGAAGTGGAGGTAATGGATTTAACAGGTTAAGAAATATTAAAGACCAAATCAATGAGTTTTTTTCCAATCAAAAGTTTTAAATGTACTTGGAGGAAACCTAACACTGAAAATTTAAATGCTGCTGGGCACGGTGGTTCATGCCTATAATCCCAGCACTTTGGGAGGTCAAGGTGAACAGATTGCTAGAGTCCAGGAGTTTGAGACCAGCCTGGGCAACATGGTGAAACCCCGTCTCTATAAAAAACACAAAAATTAGCAGCTGGGTGCAGTGGCTCACGCCTGTAATCCCAGCACTTTGGGAGGCCAAGACTGGTGGATCACTTGAGGTCAGGAGTTCGAGACCAGCCCGGCCAAAATGGTGAAACCCCGTCTCTACTAAAAATACAAAAATTAGCCGGGCGTGGAGGTGCACGCCTATAATACCAGCTATTCAGGAGGCTGAGGCAGGAGAATTGCTTGAGCCCGGGAGGTGGAAGTTGCAGTGAGCCAAGACTGCGCCACTGCACTCCAACCTGATCAATAGAGTGAGACTCTGTATGAAAACAAACAACAACAACAACAACAAATATATATATATATATATATATATATATATATATATATATATATATGAATTAGCAGAGAGTGTGGTGGCATGCACCTGTAGTCTGAGCTACTTGGGAGGCTGAGGTTAGAGGATCATCTGAGCCCAGGGGATCGAGGCTGCAGTGAGCTGCGATTGCACCACTGCACTGCAGCCTGGGCAACAGAGCGAGACTGTTTCCAAAAAAAAGAAAGAAAAGAAAAGAAAAGAAAAAGAAAATTTAAATGCTTAAAGAAACAGGTTATACGTTTCAAAATTCTATGAATGCAGGTAGTCCACATTTAAGTCACCCCACGTGTTCAAATAACTAGTTGTAACCCAGCTTCATCAGGAACTCTCTGGGAAAACAGCAACCAAGCTTTCCTGGTCTGACAGTGACCACTAGTGGCTGGCAGGGGAATGGCATTATCTAACTCTCTTCTGTGAGGCTGCCACCCTTTTTCCTTTTTTAGGGGGATTGTGAGGTTGTTTATACATGGTTTACCTCCTTACTGTTTTCTACCATTCCTGGCTACTTAATTTCTAATAGGCAAACAAAAGCCCTAAATCCCACAGTTGATAGAAATTGTCCCTCTTTTCAACACAGAAGCAAAAAAAAAAAAAAATTCTGTCCATAATTGTTATGTGAAAGAACACTTACTAAATCAGGGGCAATGCAACTCATAAAATTAAGTGAAATGGACACAATAAAGAGGATCCATTTTCAAAGTCCCTTCAAATAGTCTCCATGCCACTTGAAAATATTTAGGTCGTCTTAGCCATCTCAGCTACCTCATCTTTCAATTAAGCTTGCTTAAGATTAACTCTTAAAATTAACTATCTCATGTAAATGTACTGTTGTTTTCCTAAATAACTGGCGTTCTAATGGCTAGTTTCTCTTTACTTCTAATGCAGGACTTAAATAAGCTTCTGTAGGGGACTTTGTAAATCAATAAAGCACCAACTGCATTTTATTTACAAGTGCTGGAAAGAGGAGTAAGAGAGGGCTAAGAGGTAAGGAGTAGGCTGGGTGCGGTGGCTCATGCTGTAATCCCAGCACTTTTGGCGGGCAGATCACGAGGTCAGGAGTTCCAGACCAGCCTGACCAACATGCTGAAACCACGTCTCTACTAAAAATACAAAAATTAGCCAGGTGTGGTGGCGTGCGCCTGTAATCCCAGCTACTCAGGAGGCTGAGGCAGAAGAATCCCTTGAACCTGGGAGGCAGAAGATTGCAGTGAGCCGAGATTGCGCCACTGCACTCCAGCCTGGGTGACGGAGCGAGACTCCATCTCAAAAACCAAAAACAACAACGACAACAACAACAACAACAAAAAAGGGAAGGCGTAATATGGACCCACTCCTGGGAGATAATTTATGGATAACAACAAGCTGTGGGATCCTAAATGTTCAACTTCATCTTGGGCTCCACAGCCAAACCAGCCAGAACTTGGGCTTGAAGCTGGACGTAGGGAAGAGAACCCTCAGAACTGCCACTTAGACTCCGGACACCTGCACTTTCAAGGGCTTTTCACCCCACCTCCCTCGGCCAGGGCCCAGTTTAGAACAGGCAATTACTCCAAATCAGCAAATATTGACTGTGCGCCTGGGAAGGAAAGGCCCTGTTGTTCCCAGAGCTGTGGAAAATACAAACATGAACAAACGTAGTCCCTGACTTGATGGCATTTAAAATCTATCAAGAGAGATAAGGTAGGTACTCACAAAAATTACACAAGGAAGAATATGATTAAGGGCCACACAACGGAATTTACCTGCAGGAGAGAGACAGGGGCTACAGGAACACAGAAGAGAAACAGGCAGAGTAGAGAAAGACTGTTCCGCAGAGTTTTACTCAGAATCTAATAAAAAAACATACCAGGTCCCAGACACTGCCAAGAGACAGGGACACCCAAAAGCTAAGCCCTGAAGAATGTGAGGAAGGACTGAGCAGGTGAAGGGAACAAGGAGAGGGACGTGCAAGGCAGAAAAGATGGTGTGAATCAAAGCCCTTTGAGCCCAAGTCCAGAGCAAGTTAAAAAAGAATTCAGTTTGCCAAGTATCAGCTGAGTCTGCAAAGGGAGGCTGCAGCTGCTGGCTGACACATTGGAAATGCTACAGGGGTGGGGCTGGGGGCATTATCCTAAAGGCAACAGGCAGCCACTGAAGGCTGCTTTTAGCATCATGGGGGCATAGCCAGGGTTGCGCTTTTAGGAAAAGAGTCTGGCAAAAATGCACAGGCAATCGATTTGTTGGGGGGCACATTCATTCCAGTTTAAAGGTCAAGGCCAAAGGTAAAGCCATAATGGCCAGCTCTGAAAGATCCTTTCCAAAAAACAATCGAAGGACTGGTTGGATGGCGGAGGTGGGGGAAAAGGATACTAAAGCCCATACTACAAGTTCAAATCTAACAGGCATGTCATTACAGAAAACCAAGCCAGGGACCAATGTCACTCATTCTTCTTGATCCATCTTGCCCTAGAAATACTTGCCTGTACCCTGCTGGCTCCAAGAAGCCCACAGGCACTTGGGCTAGGGTCAGGAAAGCTTCACAGCTCTCTGTCCCTAAGCCCCCACCTCCAGTTTCCCCCTGATTTTGTGGTTGGTGACCAGCAACTTCCTTCTGCACCTGACCCTTCAAGTCTTGCTTCTCCTGCCAACCCCCTCAATATAGAAACTTTCAAGGAATGAGAGAGGAGCCTGTACCTGCCCCTCACCGCATCCAGGTACCATGCTGCTGCCCAGCAGCCAGGCTGCTGCTTTTAGTAAGTTGCTGAGTAACTTAACAGCCTCAGAGGAAACAACCTGGTCCCATCCTGAAATATCTTATTTCTCTGGTTCCCCCAGAAATGGAAGGGCAGGTGGGAAGACAGAAATACATGGACTCAGGTGGGAAACCTGGGCTTTCTGGGCGTGGCTCTCATCCACTGCCTAGGACAGGGACCCTCAGAGAGTTAAAGAGAAGCTCAGAAGAGCACAGCTCCAGCCCTCTGATGCCGGGAGTGCACATTCAGCCAATGCCTTTTTTTTTTCTTTTTTTGAGACGGAGTCTCGCTCTGTCGCCCAGGCTGGAGCGCAGTGGCGTGATCTCGGCTCACTGCAAGCTCCGCCTCCCAGGTTCATGCCATTCTCCTGCCTCAGCCTCCCGAGTAGCTGGGACTACAGGCGCCCGCCACCACGCCCGGCTAATTTTTTCTATTTTTAGTAGAGACGGGGTTTCACCGTGTTAGCTAGGATGGTCTCAATCTCCTGACCTCGTGATCCGCCCGCTTCGGCCTCCCAAAGTGCTGGGATTACAGGCGTGAGCCACTGCGCCCAGCCTTTTTTTTTTTCTTGAGACGAAGCTTCACTCTTGTTGCCCAGACTGGAGTGCAATGGCATGATCTCGGCTCACTGCAACCTCCAACTCCCAGGTTCAAGCAATTCTCCTGCCTCAGCCTCCCGAGTAGCTGGGATTACAGGTGCCCACCACCATGCCCAACTAATTTTTGTATTTTTAGTAGAGACAGGGTTTCACTATGTTGGCCAGGCTGGTCTCAAACTCCTGACCTAAGGTGATCCACCTACCTCAGCCTCTCAAAGTGCTGGGATTACAAGTGTGAGCCACCGTTCCCGGCCCAATGCCACCTTTTAAGATGGTGGCTAAGGGACTGACAAGATGGACTCAGCTCTGGTCAGAGGCTTTTCCTCAGGACCCTGGAGGAAACTTCTGCCTCCTGTGGGTCCCCAGACCCTGCACTAAGACTGAGCCTTCTGATCCCTGAACGTTCAAATCATGTCCGTGTCTCCCCTCCAGGGCTGTAAGGTCTTTGAAGCTGGTGAACAAGACTTCTAGAATCCACTGCCACAGCTGGTGCTGTGCCTGAACACAGTGGGCATTTGGAAGTCACCTCTGGATGGTCCCAGGTGCATTTCTCCACACCCAGGGTTGTCCCCTCCATGTTGGAGTTGCATCTTCTGCTTAAAGATTCTCAGAGGGTTCAAGGAGGGGGGTAGGAGGGGAACCTCCTTCCGCCCTGAGTCTCCCCCACCCCACAGCTGAAGCCCAGCTCCAGCCTCAGATTATTTTCTGGACAAAAGGGCCTTTTGCTTCACTTCCCTGGAATCAGTTGTACAAATATTTTTAATCGCCTCCGAAATCGGCCTTTCCCCAGGCTCAGCCACCCTGCCCCCAGCTCTCCTGTGAGTCAGTGCAGTCCAGTTGCTGAACCTCCCTCCTCCCTCCTTCTCTCTCCAGGGGGCGCAGAGGCCTGGTGGGCTCAGAGGCTCAGAGGCCCAGAGGCCCAAGCAGCCCTGACTGGTTTCCCCCAGCAACAAGTGGCTTCATCCAGCAACCGGGGAGACAGCCAGGCCTTCTCACTTCTCCAGAGCAAAACTCCCTTCCTCGCTCCAGCATCATCCACACACAAGCCTGAGACCCCCTCCACCCACCAGGGCCAAGGATACCGCACTGGAAAGAGAGCTCCAGCGCGTCACAGGGCCAACCAAACTCAACACTGACCCATGGCCAATGGCTGTCTTCAAGGGTGCTGTGACCAGGGCACTCTTCAGGGAGGTTCCCCCAGGGATACCACAGAGCACTTGCCTTCCTCCCATCCCACACACTCAAGAGCCTATAGGGAAAGACGATGGCCCGACTGACAGCCTTCCTGCCTCCACTCCTATCGGTCTCTCCCAGTCCCTGGTTAGGTCCCACTGTCTCACCCCTCTGTGCAGGGCGCTCAGGCGTTTACCCCATCGATAAGAAGGCGCACAGGAGACGCCTGTGCCTGGAAGGAGCGGCCTCAGTGTGTAGGTTGGTGGGGGGTGGGTTGGGGTTCCTCGAACCTCAGCCTAGACACCCCACCCCTATCCCCCTGCCCCTGCCCCGCACCAAGACCAGGCATTTGGGCCAAAATGCCCTGAGCTCTCTGAGACTTGGAAATCTTCAAGGGTCTGCTCTGGAATGTCACTCTGGAATGCGCCCCACCCCCCAATGCACTCCCTCCCCCAGTCCAGTTGAAGGCACAGGGGTGGGGGGCCGGCGGGGAGAGGAAGCTCCAGGAGCACAAAACCCTACTTCCAACAGTCTCCTCTCCCGGGCTTTAGGATCTTGATCGTGGAGTTTGTAAGTGATTGGGTCTTCCAGCGTGTAACACTGCGGGCCTGGGGATGGAGGTGCAAAGGACGCTGGAAAAGCCAGCCGGGAGTGGGGGTTCGGGATCTAGGGGCCAGGCTACCAGAAGGGGAGGCGCTTTGATAGTCTGAATTTCCAAACTTCCCTCAGGGGGATTCTGAACCCTCTCGTCCCTACTTGGGTCGACGGTACTGGGGTCTACACCTGCGCTCCCTGGGTGGCTGGAATGGGGAGCAAGGGAACCAGTCACTCTCTCCCATTTTTAGGGCCACAGAAACCTGCCCTCCACATCCACAGTAGCAGGCGGCAGAGAGGACGCCACCCACGAGAGAGAGTGACCGCGGACTCCCACCGAGAGGCAGGCGGTGGAGGGGCTCCTCTTGGAGACCCCGATTATGGAGTGGTTTCCCCTCCCTCCAGCCCGAGCCGCAGCGCCGGGCTCCCCCACCCCCCCAGTCCCCAGCCGGCTCGGGTTTGAAAACTTTCAGCGACCGAGCGGAGTTGGCGCGGCGTCCCCAGCCCGCAGGATGTCCAGTCCCCCCGCCTCTGCCCTCGCCCACTCCCCGCCGTCCCGACCCGACTCTTCCGGGCGGCGGAGCGGGAAGGCAGCAGCCCTTACCTGGGACTCGCCGCCGGCCCCGCTCCAGCGCAGCGTTTGGGGCCAACTCCAGCCCCAGGCGGGGGGCGGGCGGGGGTGGGAGGGACGCGGCGCGGGGCGCTGGGCCAGGCCCGGTCCTGGCTGGGATGGCGGGGCCCGGGCCGGGACGCAGGGCCTGCCTCTCCCTGGGACCGAGGCTGAGCCAGGCGCGCTGGGTTGCTCGCTCTCGCGCGGGCCTGTCCCCAGGCAGGGCTCCTTGCTTTCGGCGAGGGTGGGCTGGAGCCTGCATCACCGTTACATCACCTCCATTCAGGGCGCTAATCGGGCGCCCGCCGCGCTCCAGGTACGTGCGCTCCGTTTACACAGGAACAAAGCCTGCCCGGCCCTCCCCGCCCCGACTCACCTCCAGGCTGAGCCGACTCGTACTTTCCGGCTGGTGAGGGAGATGGGAGTTTCTGGCCCTGCCGGCGTGTGGGTTGTTGCTGTTGACTGCCACGCCCCCGCATGCGGGCGCGCGCACACTCACGCGCACTCACTTTCTGGGCTCGGCCTTCGCCGGGGCAATTGGTGTGAGGGTGCAGCCCTGCGCACCCCCCACCGCGTCTTCCAGAGAGCGCGCCTACGGACACGCGCGGGGCTACCTTGGCGCGTCTCCGTGGGGGACACCTAGCCTTTGTCACCTTCGTCCTGGCCCTCCCGTGAGACACACTTCAGGCACAGTTCGCTGGGAGCGGGCCGGAGCGAGGCGCACACTCAAGACAGAGTCCGTCTTTGTCACGCCTTCTGCGCCCCCTCCCCTCCCCAGCTTGCACACGTGGACACACCGCACACCGAGGTTCGCCTTTTGCACGCACGGTCCTTCTCTGGGACCTCCACCAGTCACCAAGCGTACGTGGGATCGTCACCAAGCGCTCCTCTCACGCGTGGGCCGAGTCCAGACCACTCTGGACCGTGGGCAAAGGTCCCCCTCGGCCCGACTACCCCGCGCCCGGGTTTCCTGTGACCGTTCCAGGTTCTGCCCAACTCGGAGCGCGCTCTCCCCTCCCGGCGTCCCCGTTCCCTGCTCCGACTTGTCCTAATTAGCCTTCACGGTTTTGTTCCCCGAGGTACAGTGTTTAGCGCGACCCCCTGGGCCTCTGCGCTCCGGGACACGTTGGCTCTGACTCCGAGTCCGTCCTTTCCAGGAGGTCAGGTTCCCACCAGCCCCACCCCCCACTCCCTGTTCCGGGGTGGATCTGTGGGTTGCCACCCTTTCCCCTCCGGCCCCAGGAATCTGCTGAAGCTGGACCGCAGAAATTGGGAAGCGAATCCAGGCTGGTACTTATCCAGCCCGATAAACAAGAGATTTTCCGGCCGCCTTCCCCCGGGGCTGCTGGCCTCGCGGGGGGTGGGGTGCGCAGTCCTGGGGGCCCGCAGCGAGGCCTAGTTAGCCCGCGCCAGAGGCCCGTAGGGGCTGAGGCGCACAGAGGAGGGAGAGGTTGTTGGGCCTGGCCAGGGCCCTGGAGACGCGGAGGGAGGGCAGGGCGCCGAGTCTCGGGGTGCCGGTTCTCATGACGCCGAATTGCCTGGGGGATCGCCAGCGGTGCGCCGGTCGGAGCCAGCTGGTGGCGGGGCGGGCGGCCCGGAGTGTTTGCTCAACCCTGAGCGCCCGCGAGGGGGAGGGGAGGCAGCTGGTCACGGGCTAGGGGGTAGCAAGGTGGAGGAGCGGGGGCTGGGAAAGGGGAGGGTATCTCCCGGGCTGCTTGTTTGCGTGCCTGCCGCGGTCTACGACAACCGGGAGTCTAAACTCTATGAATCACCCGGAGTTGCTGGAGCGATAAACCTCAGGCTGGTTCCTCCCCTCGCACACCGGCTTCTCGGACTCCTGGAGGGAATGTTTGCTTAGCGGCCGGAGCTGGCGGTGAGGCCCTGGTTCTCTAGAACCCTGTATCCCTTCCTGGCCTTGCCCTCACGGGCTGGTCTGGGGTGGCGAAGACTGAATTGTTTCAAGTCTCTTCAATATTAAGAAGAGGGGCGCAGTGCTGCTGCTGATCTGTTGCTCACTCCTGGGCTCCCTTCCGTAGCTCCACCTCCCACCCTAAGATTCAGAGGCCCCCATGCCAGGGAGGCAAACGCTTGTAGGGTCCAAGCAGTTGAGTGCCAACGCTAGAAAGGCAAACGGCGGGTCAGACCTAGGCGAGGGGCATCCGTGACTGTGGGCTGGGACTAGTTCTCGTGAAGCAGGCAACTGGTGCTGAACACAGTGTGCTGGGAGGGGCCGCTCATTAGCATATGTGAAAAGCCAGCTAAGAGCTAGAGGAAGGTGGAATGGAAATAGTCCCCGAGACTGCTTGTGACCTTAAGAAGCCAAAGATGAATTGTGGATCTGGCAGATCTGTTTCAATTTATTTTCAAGCTTTGGGAATCTCTTTTCCCTACCTAGATTCTCCAAAAAGGCAACTCTTTACCACTCCCTCCCGACCCAGGCGGGGGAAAGGCTGGGGCATCTGAGGCCTGGACGGAGCAGCGGAGCCCTGCCCACTGCCAGCCCTGCATGGTAGATGGCGGCGGATATGTAGGGAGGTTTCCTGAGAGCTGTTTGCTCTTTTTGTGTTCACTCCGTCTCACTTCCTGGGCAGGATTTGCCTTTAAAGGACAAAGCAAGTCCTTTGGGGCCGATGACATGGGCTTCAGCCTTCAGGGTCCCTGTTGGTCTCTGCTCTAGTCCCGGGGGCCTGTGCTGGTCCAGAGTGGGGAGGCAAGAGTTGGAGAAGGCATGAGACCCCTCCACCATGAGTCAGACCCTGGTGGGGGCTGCTGGACCCAGCGAGCCTGTGATGCTGGAAGGGAAGTTCTGTGGGAGGTGGCGCTGCTTTCCGAGACTCCAGCCACAGGGTCCTCTGTGCCCCCAAATGTCCTTCACTTTGATTTAATACCCCAGTAGGCGTAGAACCCATTGCAAACTCTGTTTTCACCAAAAAACTACACTCTGAGAAGTGTTCAAAGAGTGCTACTGTTCAAAGAGATCTTGAGGCCCAGCACAGTGACTCACGCCTATAATCCCAGCATTTTGGGAGTCCTAGGTGGGAGGATCGCATGAGCCCAGGAGTTGGAGACCAGCCTGGGCAACATAGACTTCATCTCTATTGAAACAAACGAAAAAGAAAATAGATATGGGGTCTCACTGTGTTGCTCTGGCTGGTCTTGAACTCTTGAGCTCCAGCGATCTTTCCGCCTCGGCCTCCCAAAGTGCTGGGATTCCAGGTATGAACCACTGCGCTCAGCCTATTTATTTTATTTTTTTTAATATATGAAATAAAAAGGAAAAAAAAAGATTCTGGATTGCGGAGAAGCATGTCTGTGTCCACCACCCAACTACCTCCACCCCCACCTGAGTTGGATTCCTACTGGCAGAGTGAGAAACCCTTTGTTCGTTGGAAAGCCTCCTTCAGAGATGTCTGAGGTCTTGACAAGGCCCAAAGGTGGGAACACCTGTGCCACCTGCCGGCTGTGTGACTTGGATGAGTTGCTTCATCTCTCTGAGCCCTGCTTTCCTCAACTGTAAAACTGGATGATAACATCACCCCCAGAATGAAGCTGTGTCTGGAATGTTCCTCACACAAGCCTGGTGCTTACAGGGAGCCAGCGATCAGCCTCCCCTTTCCTGGCATGATTGTCATTCCCTCTAAGCCTTGACAGGTCTGACAGTTTTTATTTATAATTTAAATTTAAATTAATCAATTATTTTTGAAACAGGATCTCACTCTGTCACCCCAGCTGGAGTGCGGTGCTGCGATCTCGGCTCAGTGCAGCCTCAACTTCCCAGGCTCAAGCAACCCTCCTGCCTCAGCCTCTCGAGTAGCTGGGACTATAGGAGTGCATCATCATGCATGGCTAATTTTTGCATTTTTTTGTAGAGATGGGGTCTCACTATGTTGCCCAGGCTGGTCTGGAACTCCTAGGCTCAAGCAATCCTCCCTCCTTGTCCTCCCAAAGTGCTGGGATTACAGGCATGAGCCACCGTGCTTGGCCTAATGGTTTTTAACCCAAACTCTTGCAGAAGCTGGCATTCTTTCAGTTCTGTTTCACCATGATTGGAATAGCTTTGCCATGCCATGCTCTGTGTGATGTTCCTTCCACCTCGAACATTTTATGCCTCTTACCATCCTTTTTCTTTGTGACCAAAAAGTTTTAAAAAATCTGCCCTGCCCCAAAGCTCAGCTCCAATGTTCCTTCCTCTGTGAAGCGATCCTCACCTTCCCACGAAAGACCCATTGTGAGTTGCCCTATTTACCCACAGCCTGTTACACATTCATTTATTTATCATTTATCCTAGTGTATCATAATTAGCCTTCTAAATTGTTTTTTCTCCAATTACACTGTGCCCTTCTAGAGAGCCAGGGACATGTCTCACTCATCTTGTTTTCCCTGGCATCTGGCACTCAGACGGGTGTGGGTAAATGTTTTCAGTAAATGCTTGTGGAATATCCGTTATTCTGTGGCTGGCCACGGCCGATCTTCCCCCTCACACCAGCAGCCTTGCAAACAGCACCACCCCTGCCCTGCCTCCCGTACCCCACTTTCTGAGAAGCAGGCAAGCCCCAGTGCCTACTGGAGAAGTCACCTGCCATGGGGCTGCAATGCCCTGCATCAGAGATGAGGGCAGGAGGCCCTGGCACCCCGGCTTTGGGCATGGAGAGGCCTACCCAGGGAGAGCCAGAGGTCAGTTGTGTTGTTTAGAGGGACTTCCCAGTTTGCCTGGGCAGCAGGAGTTCTGGATTGCAGTCTCACCCTGCAGAATCTCCAACAGGAGCCATTTCCTCCTCCACAGAGTAGAAGGCCTGCTCCCTCTACCTGGGGAGTGGAGAGCCCTAGGTCTTGCAGCCAGGCCCCAGATGGGGAGGAATAGTCCCTCACTGAGCTGAGGGTGGGGCTCCTGCTTCCTGACAAGTTGGGGCCTGGAATCCTGTGCTAGGTGGCTGGGTGCCCTGCAACCCACAGCCGGCTGCTGGTAAACAGCATTTCACCTCTCCTTGCTCCCAGGCTCATATTAACTGGTTCCTGCCCTGGCTGCAGTGTCTGGCCAAATCTCTTTTTCTCTTAGGCTCATAGGACTTTCTGCTTGGAGCAGCGGGAACTGCCTAGTTTTTTGAAAGGACTCGGGTCCCATCGTGGCCCCTTAAGAAGGAGGAAGCCAGGGCCAGGGAGCAGGCGAGTGAAACCCTCATTCACCACAACTGGCTGCCCATGGGTGATCGCTCTGGAAGTGTACCCGGAAGCAGGCCTTGGGCAGAGTCCACTGGAATGTCACCTGATGCTGAACCCTCCCCCATGGCTGCAAAATCTGCTCCTCCCTCATCCCCCTCCCTGCCCAGGGCTCAGTGGCCGCTAACCAACTCCCTGTGGAAGGAGAGAACGGGGTCCCCTGAGCTGCTCTGATCTGGTCAGCCTCCATCCACAGACTGCGCAAATCCTGAGAACCAGACATCAAGGCCAAGGGTCCAGGGATCCAGGCCACTCAGTCAGCCTGCCTCTATCAAAATCAAAATGGAAACGTGTAGCCCTCACTGCAATTTGTTCCCCTACCTTCAGGAAGCGTCTCACCCCAATCTGTGAGCATTTCGGGGGGAGCATTCCTTCTACCTTGCTGCAGTGGCTACACCAGCCCCCAGAGTGATGGCCCCTGGTGGCAGTCTTCTCCAGTCACCCTGCAAACCCCCATCCGGGGCAGGACCTTCACTGACTTCACCCCAACACCTTTCATTCCTAACACCTTCACTGGCTCCTGGTGCCTTTATGTGAAAGTCCAGGCTCCCTTGCCTGGCATTCAAGGCCTCTGCAACCTGTACCTAGCCTTGACTCCAGCCTCTTCTCCTTCCTGTTCCCCCACAGGAAATGGTCACTCCAGCCTGAGAAGCCTGCTCTGAGTCTGCCTCGCCCCCGCACTTGCCTTCCTGTGAGTTCGCTCACATGTCCCGTATTCTCAATCCAGGATGCCTCTCTCCTCCTCTCGACCTCTTGATTCCATCCCCCTTTAAAGCCCTTGGCTCCTCCCAGAGGCTTTTGCTGGTACCCCCCACCCTGTAGTCCTCTTCCTCCCTCTGCTCTCCTGGGATCCCACCTCTGGCATGCATTTGCTACTCTTACATGGCTCTGCCTTAGATGTATCTTTTTCGTTTTTTTTTGAGACGGATTCTTACTCTGTTGCCCAGGCTGGAGCACAGTGGTGCAATCTTGGCTCACTGCAACCTCTGCCTCCTGGGTTCAAGCGATTCTCCTGCCTCAGCCTCCCAAGTAACTGGGATTACAGGCGCCCACCACCACACCCAGCTAGTTTTTTTTTTTTTGTATTTTTAGTAGAGACAGGGTTTCACTATGTTGGCCAGGCTCGTCTCAAACTCCTCACCTCTGCTGATCCGCCCATGTTGGCCTCCCAAAGTGCTGGGATTATAGGCATGAGCCACCGTGCCCGGCCAGGTGTATCTTATAAACAGAGATCTTGCCTCCCTGGCTCATGATAGGTCTGTAGGGAATGGACTCTGGATTTCATGCCTCTCCACGCCCATGGTCCCTAGCACAGTGCTTTATACATCCAAAAAATGGGCACTACATATCTGTGGATCAATTGGATTGATTGGCCAAGAGCTGAGAGAGGCTGTCAGCCTTCTATAAGGGGAAAGGAGGCCTCAGGGTCTAGACTTTGCTTTGCTGCTGACAAGAACCCAGTACTCAGATCCTGGGCTCCCTGTGGCTCCCAGAATTCCAGGCGGAGAAGTTCAGAGAGATGCTGGCTAGTTGGATAATACGATACCCATAATAGCTTACCTCTGTATATTGCTGTACAATTTCAAGCACCTTTTATATATATTTGATGCTTACAACCCTATAAGCCTCCATAAGGCAGATGTTATTGTCTCCATCTTATATATTTAAAGACTGAGGTTCATAGAGACTCAGTGGCTAGCTGTAGATTAGAACTATCTTCCTTTAGCCTGCTGGACTTGCACCTCACTGTACCGTGCTCCCCAGTACACTTCTCTTATCTCTTATATAGCCCTGACATTTTCTGCCTTATCGATGGTTATTTCTGTCATGCTTTATGTCCCCAGCCAAGGTATAAGCTCTTGGGAAGGGAAGATGTGTGCCTGACCCATCTTTGTGTTTCCCCTGGGGCCCTGCCTCAATTAATACTTGTAAGGGAATAAATGAATGAAGGAGGATACTGGAAAACACATAACTGTTGTCAAGCTGGAAACGGGCTTGGCCACCCTCCCTTCTTCCAACAATCCCTTCACCTTCAGACGCCAGCTTCAAGACCGCACTGCACGGGGCAATTGCCTGGCCTGTGGCAGGGCTGTGTCTCCCTGCCCGCCCATCTTCATTTCCCATCCCTATTCTGCTGGTGGCCACTGGCCTCCTAAAGTCACATCCGCCTGGCACACACTGCAGCCTCCCCTACCTGCAGGGCCATTCAGCCCTTTAACACCTTCTCCAGCCACTGCCACCAAAGACTTCAGGAGACCCACTCACTGATGCCACCCTCTTGCCTGGGATTTGAGGCCACCCCTGACTCAGCTGGGGCCCCAGGTAATGGTGGGAGAGCCGCAGGGGAGTCAGACATGCCCCCACTCACCAGAGATGGTGCCTCCAGCAGGGCAGGGCAGGGCCAGCCAGCTGGCTTCTGGGTGGTGTCCAGTCCCAGCTGTCCCCGGCAGTGCTTGAGGCTTGACTCGTCTCGCTCTCCGGAAGCCCAGCTGCGGCGCAGCCCGAGGCTGCCGGGAACCTAGCCGCGCTATTCTGGGAGTGTGATGGAGCCCCAGAAGGCTTGGCAGGGGCTGAGATTTCAGCCCTTTGGTTTCCACGCCGTTCTCCTCCCCTCTGATGATACGGCAGAGTTCAATCATTATGCAAAATTCAGAACCACTGATGGTGCGTTTGAGGGTCTTAATAGCAGCCGTGGTTATGCTAAAGTGGGACCTGGGTCTATACTTCAGGCCTCGGATGCAATAGCCTTCATTCTTGCTGTCACTCACATGGCCTTTCGGCATTTTCCTTTGGTTTTATAATTTGTCCTCATGCCCACCCTGATACATTAACCCATTCACAGGCACGAGACAATCCCTCCCAGTTAAACCCAGTGACCAATTTCCTCTGAGGGTCTATTTTCCTATTAAAAAAATTTGGTTTTTTTTTTAACCACTGGACTATGTGGGATCTCTTTTTTTAATTGAGACTGGATGATTCTGCAGTGTAAGCAATAAAAGAAAGTTGACTTTGGGGGACAAATGATTAGAGCTGTAATCAAACTCAACTTCCAACAAAGCAAAGCGCCCCAGGGTTGGCCTCTGAGAAGCTGCACCCCCCAGACGATGGGGCTGACTTCGTTATCCTTACGGGGAAGCTGGAGGCCAGGGTGAGAGGAGCCTACCAAGGTCACGTGGTGACGGGCATAAAGCTTAAGCCTGGGTTTTTGTTTGTTTGCTTGTTTGTTTGTTTGTTTTGAGACGGAGTCTTGCTTTGTTGCCCAGGCTGGAGTGCAGTGGTGCCATCTCAGCTCACTGCAGCCTCCGCCTCCTGGGCTCAAGCGATTCTCCTGCCTCAGCCTCCCGAGTAGCTGGAATTACAGGTGCCCGCCATCACGCCCAGCTAATTTTTGTATTTTTAGTAGAGATGGGGTTTCACCATATTGGCCAGGCTAGTCTCGAACTCCTGACCTCAGGTGATCCACCCGCCTCTGCCTCCCAAAGTGCTGGGATTACAGGTGTGAGCCACTGTGCCCGGGCTTAAGCCTGGGTTTTGACTTCCCCACATGGAATCACAGTTTTAGAGCTAGAGGGGCAGTAGAGGAGCCCAAAGAGCACAGAACTTGCCTATCTATAAAATGGGGCAATGGGCAGGGCACAGTGGCTCACGCCTGTAATCCCAGTACCTTGGGAGGCTGAGGCGGGTGGATTGCTTGAGGTCAGGAGTTCAAGACCAGCCTGACCAACATGGTGAAACCCTGTCACTACTAAAAATACAAAAAATTAGCTGGGCCTGGTGGTGGGTGCCTGTAATCCTAGCTACTCCGGAGGCTGAGGTAGAAGAATGGCTTGAACCTGGGAGTCGGAGGTTGCAGTGAGCAGAGATTGTGCCATTGCACTCCAGTCTGGGCAACAGAGCAAGACTCTGTCTCAAAACAACAACAACAACAACAACAACAACAACAAAGGCGGGGCAATGACCCCTGCCTCTGGGGCTTGCTGTGGAGCTTAAATGAAACCACAGATCCCAGAGCCTCTGGTAGCGGACCTTAGTGATTGGGTGCTGCTAGCTCCAGGCTCATCATCCTCTGTTCCGCAATTCTGTCGTGGGGAAAGCAGCTGGCAAAAACGGTGATGAAGCCGGCCCCTCGACTTCCTCCAGCATCAGTGCACAGCTTCAGAACCAGTTACATTGTTTGTTTAGAAAGCGGATTCCTGGGCCCCTTTCTGAACTGTTGAATCGGAATCTCTAGCCGACGAGCCTCCAAGCCTGTTTCACATCCACATCACCCAAATGTGGTTAGTGATTGATATGGTTTGGCTGTGTCCCTACCCAAATCTCATCTTGAATTCCCAGGTGTTGCTGGAGGGAACTGGAGGGAGGTAATTGAATCATAGGGGCAGGTTTTTCCTGTGCTGTTCTCATGATAGTGAGTAAGTCTCATGAGATCTGATGGCTTTATAAGTCAGAGTTTCCCTGCACAAGCTCTCTCTCTTTGCCTGCTCCCATCCATGTAAGGTGTGACTTGCTCCTCCTTGCCTTCCACCATGATTGTGAGGTCTCCCCAGCCGTGTGGAACTCTAAGTCCATTAAACTTCTTTCTTTTGTAAATTGCCCAGTCTCGGATATGTCTTTATCAGCAGCATGAAAACGGACTAATGCAGTGATGCACACTGGCCTTGGGAACCAGGGAGGCAAGTTTAAGAATTGTGGATGTTAACTATGAGGAATGAAAGGAGAAACAGCCACAATACAAACAGTGTGGATGCCCCATGAAGGATTCAGGTTGGCTGCTTCTTGGAGAAACAGGGATCAGCGTAGGGTAGGGCCAAGGTGAGGTGGCACAGAGGGGTCCACAATGAAACCTTCTAGAAAATTAGAGCCTTGGCCGGGTGTGGTGGCTCACGCCTGTAATCCCAGCACTTTGGGAGGCCAAGGAGGGTGAATCACCTGAGGTCAGGAGTTAGAGACCAGCCTGACCAACATGGAGAAACCCCATCTCTGCTAAAAATACAAATTAGGCGGGTATGGTGGCACATGCCTGTAATCCCAGCTACTCAGGAGGCTGAGGCAGGAGAATTGCTTGAACCTGGGAGGTGGAGGTTGTGGTACGCTGAGGTCGCACCATTGCACTGCAGCCTGGGCAACGGAGCGAAACTCCATCTCAAAAAAAAGAAAATTCGAGCCTTGGCCAGGCGTGGTGGCTCACGTTTGTAATACCAGAACTTTGGGAGGCTGAGGCAGGTGGATTGCTTGAGGCCAGGAGTTCAAGACCAGCCTGGTGAACATGGTGAAACCCCATCTCTACTAAAAATACAAAAATTAGCTGGGCGTAGTGGCAGGCAACTGTAATCCCAGCTACTCAGGAGGCTGAGGCAGGAGAATCGCTTGAATCCAGCAGGCAGAGGTGGCAGTGAGCCAAGATCATGCCACTACACTCCAGCCTGGGTGAGTGAGTGGGACTCCATCTCAAAAAAAAAAAAAAAAAAGAAAGAAAGAAAGAAAAGAAAAGAAAACGAGAGCCTTACATTTCTTTTTCTCTATTCTTCCCTGTTTTTTGCCTTACCACTATTGAAAAGATAATTAAAGGATTAGGCATCGCCTCCTTTCTTGTGCCCTCTTTCCCCCTTCCCAAAATACTTCCCATGCCTGTCTGAAGTCATCCCTATGAAAACATGGTTCCTGGGAGTTCTAGATTCACCTTCTTCGCAATCTCCTGTAAGCTTTATTAAGACCATAACCTGGCCCAGTGTGGTGGCTCATGCCTATAATCCCAGCACTTTGGGAGGCCAAGGCAGGAGGATTGCTTGAGCCGAGGAGTTTGAGAACAGACTCAGTGACATAGCAAGACCCCGTTTCTTAAAAAAATACAAAAATAAGCTGGATATAATGGTGCATGCCTGTGTTTCCAGCCACTTGGGAGACCGAGAGAGGAGGATCGCCTGAGCCCGGGAGGTCAAGGTTGCAATGAGCCGAAATCCTGCCACTGCACTCCAGCCTGGGTCACAAAGTGAGACCTTGTCTCAAAAAAACGAAAAATGAATGAATTTTAAAAAGACTATTACCCACTGTATAAAACACCCTTAATATAAGTAACTCCACCTTAGAAAAACATTTCATTTTATATTTCATAGAGTACTTTCCCAACGAGAATAAGATGTTTTGCTTGGCCAGGTGCCGTGTCTCATGCCTGTACTTCCAGCAATTTGAGAGGCCTTGGAGGATGGATTGCTTGAGCCCAGGAGTTTGAGACCAGCCTGGGCAACATGGCAAAACCCCGTCTCTACCAAAATACAAAAATTAGCTGGGTGTGGTGGCGTGCACCTGTAGTCCCAGCTACTCAGGAGGCTGATGCAGGAGGATCGCTTTAGCCCAGTAGGCAGAGGTTACAATGAACCAAGATCGCACCACTGCTCTCCAGCCTGGGCAACAGAGTGAGACCCTGTCCCTTGACCCCCAGAAAAGTTTTGCTTAATAAATCAACAAACAAAGACTGCATCCAACCAGATAAGGATGGACAAAGAAGCACACTCTCACGATCAGTTCTCACCAAAGGATTCTGTAACCATTAAAAGAGCAGGCCTTCGGCCAGGCGCGGTGGCTCACGCTTGTAATCCCAGCAGTTTGGGAGGCTGAGGCGGGTGGGTCACCTGAGGTCAGGAGTTCGAGACCAGTCTGACCAACATGGAGAAACTCCATCTCTACTAAGAATACAAAAACTAGCTGGGTGTGGTGGCGCATGCCTGTAATCCCGGCTCCTCAGGAGGCTAAGGCAGGAGAATCGCTTGAACTCAGGAGGCGGAGGTTGCAGTGAGCCGAGATTGTGCCATTGCACTCCAGCCTGGGCAACAAGAGTGAAACCTCAGTTTCAGGGAAAAAAAAAGAGCAGGCCTTCTTCTAGTGGTCCTAGCACAGCCTTGCACTGCCTCCTGATAACAACCCAGTCTCTGCCTTCGAAGCCTCTACCACATCAAAGACTCTTCCTTGCAGGACTGAAGAGCAGGGCCCAGACCAGGACTCCTTTTGTCTTCTTTGCTCCTGCTGGACTGGTTTGTTAACTCTTTCTCCTATCTCTCTCCTCTCGATGTTAAATGCTACTTTGTTTGTTGTGGAATGGTTAATGTATAACGTGTATATATTGCTTAAGTGTATTATTATGTATGGTTTGCAGTATTGATGGACCCATATGTGCGGCTCTAAGTACAGGCGAACGGGAAGTACTAAGGAGAATTGCCTCCTTGGGAACTCCATGTAGCTCATGGCTTTTGTGATTGAAATGCGTCAGTAAAAGCCTGACATTGTGGAAAGACACAAGCACGCGTGCGCTTGGTTATCTCTAACCTTGCACTGTTCTTGACACTCACCCAAACCTGTCTATCAGAATTTTTATTTTATCAAAGTGCTCCAGGTGACTGTTACGTCTAATAAAGTTTGAGAGCCAATGAAATACAAATCCATTTTCTTTTCTTTTCTTTCTTTCTTTCTTTCTTTTTTTTTTTTTTGAGTTGGAGTTTTGCTCTTGTTGCCCAGGCTGGAGTGCAATAGCGTGATCTCGGCTCACCGCAACCTCCGCCCCCTGGGTTCAAGCGATTCTCCTGCCTCAGCCTCCCGAGTAGCTGGGACTACGGGCGTGCGCCACCACGCCCGGCTAATTTTGTATTTTTAGTAGACATGGGGTTTCTCCATGTTGGTCAGGCTGATCTCGAACTCCCGACCTCAGGTGATCCACCCACCTCGGCCTCCCAAAAGTGCTGGGATTACAGGCATGAGCCACCGCACCTGGCCCAAATCCATGTTCAAAACAAGCAAATGCTTCCCAGGAGGGTTAAAGTGGAGTCTGGGGGCTGAGGAGCCGTAGCTGTGATCGGATTGTGTGTGGTAGGATGGCAATACGATTAAACCAACTCCTGGGAAAGGAGGTTTGATGGGGAGAGAAGCAGTGAGAGTCAGAGAGCATGGAATCCTTTTTTTTTTTTTTTTTTTTTTTTGAGACGGAGTCTCGCTCTGTTGCCCAGGCTGGAGTGCAGTGGCGGGATCTCGGCTCACTGCAAGCTCCGCCTCCCGGGTTCACGCCATTCTCCTGCCTCAGCCTCCCCAGTAGCTGGGACTACAGGCGCCCGCCACTACGCCCGGCTAATTTTTTGTATTTTTAGTAGAGACGGGGTTTCACCGTTTTAGCCGGGATGGTCTCGATCTCCTGACCTCGTGATCCGCCCGCCTCGGCCTCCCAAAGTGCTGGGATTACAGGCGTGAGCCACCGCGCCCGGCCTGAGTATGGAATCCTTGGTGGGGAGGCTTGCTGTGAGAAGCCTTGGTTAGCTGCACACAAAGCGAAGCCCTAGGGAGGGAGGGGCAGAGAGCACAGAGAAAATGAGCCAACCCCAAAGGCAAGATCTTATCAAGATATTTTGGGAGCTGACTCTTTGCACGTTGTCTCTTCCGGGACATCAAAGGCAATTATCATGGAATGATTATCTGCTGTTGTCTGGTCTTGCCCCATCACTCCTAACTTCCTCTTTCTAGAAAATGGTAAGGCTCCGGAGAAAAAGTAAATCAGCCGAAAGGATCGGAGCTCCTCGTTATGGGGTATTTTAGGTCCTGATGGCAATTTCAGAGAAACCACACTCAGTAACCTTCCTTGATGTTTTCCGTTAAGGAAAACCTAGCCATGAGGAGTCTTTAGAAAGCTACAAGCACACCTGGAGGTTCTTTGCATCCAATTTTCATAGAGAATATTGCCCATTCAAAGGTGAATTGCACAGGCCACTAGCTTGTCTTGTTTCTGCTCTTTTTTCTTTGCATCACTCTGGCCATTCACTGCTTTTTGTTCTCAGATGTGGGGCAGAAGCCACAGACTTAGAAGAAAGAAGGGAGTAGACCTTCCAGGGGAACTGTGGCTCCCGGGCCTCCGCTTGTCATAAGTCATTTTGGGGTTTTTGGTTTTTGAGATGAAGTCTCGCTCTGTCGCCCAGGCTGGAGTGCAGTGGTGGGATCTCAGTTCACTACAACCTCCGCCTCCCAGGTTCAAGTGATTCTCCTGCCTCAGCCTCCCAAGTAGCTAGAATTCCAGGTGCCCGCCACCACGGGCAGCTAATTTTGATATTTTTAGTAGAGATGGGGTTTCGCCATGCTAGCCAGGCTGGTCTCGAACTCCTGACCTCAGGTGATCCACCCACATCGGCCTCCCAAAGTGCTGGGATTACAGGCATGAGCACCCACGCCTGGCCTGTCCTAGGTCATTTTGGTCGGCTTAAACTAAAGCAGCCTGTGCAGCAGGGATTTATTCCCAGCAGCCCTTTTGCCCTAATGTCATATTGCCTTTCAAAACAGTTGTCCTGCTCTCCTGGCCATTTCCTAACCAGGGCTACAAGCAGCAGCTCGGTGCCTTCCCTGTCCTTGGAGCTGCTCTGGCAATGAAATGTGATCCAGAAAAGCCCCTCTCAGACGCTATGCAGTCTGCTGTCTGCCTGCCCTAGCGCACCTTCCTAACACCCCTCCTGCAGGGACCAAGGGCTCTCTCTTCTCAGGGTCAGGCACAGAGCCACAGTCTGACCCAACTGGCTGCCCTCCCCACCCCAGCACAGGTGCATAGCCAGCTGTTGACAGTGCATGGCTGCGTCTACAGCCATACCACCCTGAACGCACCCGATCTCGTCTCATCTAGGAAGCTAAGCAGGGTTGGGCCTGATTAGTACTTGGATGGGAGACAGTGCACGGCTGCTGAAACAGCCTGCCACACAGGAGGGAATAACAGAAGTTACAGTCACACAGAGCATCGGATTTCACTGGCCATTCTAGTTCCAGGTTTCAGTTGAACCATGAGCACTGTGCAGGGAGCCAGGAGACCCAGGTTCAGGACTCAGCCTGACCAATGAGTCACGGGCTGTGTTGCCCTGGAGTTGTCTTTTCGCCTCTTTTGAGCTTCTTAGTCACCCATGCAAATTATAATGACTCACATTTACTATGCCACAGGGACCATTAGAAGTTAAATATTAACTCCTTTGGTCCTCCCAGCAGTCTTTTTGTTGTTGTTTTTTTGAGATAGAGTCTCACTGTGTTGCCCAGGCTGGAGTGCAGCGGCTCACTCAACCTCTGTCTCCTGGGTTCAAGTGATTCTCTTGCCTTAGCCTCCCAAGTAGCTGGACTACAGGTGTGAGCCACCAGGCCTGGCTAATTTTTGTATTTTTATTAGAGACAGGGTTTCGCCATGTTGGCCAAGCTGATCTCCAACTCCCTGCCTCAAGCGATCCACCCACCTCGGCCTCCCAAAGTGCCGGAATTACAGGGATAAGCTGCCATACCCAGCCTTCCGGCACTTTTATAAGACAGATACAGTTATCCTTTCACAAGAGGAGACTCAGAGAAGGCTGAAGCAACTTACTCAAGGTCAATAGCTAGTAAGTGATGTTGATTTTTCTTTTGTAGAAATGGGATTTCACTGTATTGCCCAGCCTGCTCTTGAACTCCTGGCTTCCAGTGATCCTCCTGCCTCAGCAACCCAAAGTGCTGGGATTACTGGTGTCTGCCATGCCCAGCCAATATTTGAGACAGGGTTTTGCTCTGTCACCCAGGCTGGAGCTCAGTGGTGCAAACATGGCTCACTGCAGCCTCGACCTCCTGGGCTCAGGAGATCCTCCTGAGTAGCTGGAACCACAGGCACGCCATGCCTGGCTAAATTTTTTATTTTTAATTTTTTTTATAGAGATAGGTTCTTGCCATGTTGCCCAGGCTGGTCTTGAACTCCTGGCCTTCAGCGATCCTCCTGCCTCTCAGTCTCCCAAAGTGCTGAGATTACAGACATGAGCCACTGTATCCAGCCAATAGTTGACTTTGTTTTTTTTTTGAGACAGAGTTTTGCTCTTGTTGCCCAAGCTGTAGTGCAATGGGGCGATCTCAGCTCACTGCAACCTCCTCCTCCCGGGTTCAAGCAGTTCTCCTGCCTCAGCCTCCCGAGGAGCTGGGACTACAGGCGCGTGCCACCACACCTGGCTAATTTTTTGTATTTTTAGTAGAGATGGGGTTTCACCATGTTAGCCAGGCTGGTCTCAGGTCAACTCCTGACCTCAGGTGATCCACCTGCCTTGGCCTCTGATTACAGGCGTGAGCCACCGCGCCTGGCCAATAGTTGACTTTTAACCACTATGCATGCTGTCTCTGATGGGATAGGATAAAGGTATTAGCTATCTACCACAAAGTGTAGTGGTGTAAAGCAATAAACATGTAGGATAACATGCAATTTCTGTGGATCAAGAATGAGGGAGTGGCTTAAGTGAGGGTTCTGGATGAAGGTGTCATGAAGTTGTAGTCAAGATGTCAACTTGCTAGGTGCGGTGGCTCACACCTGTCAGCAGCTCAGGAGCTCAAGACTAGCCTGGGCAACATGGTGAGACCCTGCCTCTGCTAAAAATAGGAAAATTAGCCAGGCATGATGTGCCTGTGGTTCCAGCTACTTGGGAGAGTCACCTGAACCTAGGAGGTCAAGGCTGCAGTGAGCCATGTTTGTACCACCGCACTCCAGCCTGGGCGACAGAGCAAGACTCCGCCTCAAAAAAATAAATAAAAAGGAAACACAGAAGTCAACTATTGGCCGGGCATGGTGGCTCACCCCAGTAATCAAAGTGTCAGCAAAGCCATGTTCCCTCTGAAGTCTCTCGGGAAGAATCCTTCCTTGTCCCTTCCAGCTTGTGGTGGCCGCAGGCAATTGTTGGCACTTCTTGGCTTGCAGTAGCATCACCCCAGTCTCTTTTTTGTTGTTGTTGCTGTTGTTTTTTTTGTTTTGTTTTGTTTTGTTTTTTTGAGATGGAGTCTCACTCTGTCGCCCAGGCTGGAGTGCAGTGGCGCCATCTCAGCTCACTGCAAGCTCCGCCTCCCGGGTTCACGCCATTCTCCTGCCTCAGCCTCCCGAGGAGCTGGGACTACAGGCGCTCGCCACCATGCCCAGCTAATTTTTTGTATTTTTAGTAGAGACGGGGTTTCACCGTGTTAGCCAGGATGGTCTTCATCTCCTGACCTCATGATCTGCCCGCCTCAGCCTCCCAAAGTGCTGGGATTATAGGCGTGAGCCACCGTGCCCGGCCTGCTGTTGTTGTTTTTTTGGAAACAGAGTCTTGCCCTGTTGCTCAGGCTGGAGTGCAGTGGTGTAATCATAGCTCACTGCAGCCTCAGGCTCCTGCCTCAAGTGATCCTCCTGCCTCAGCCTTCCGAGTGGCTAGTACCATAGGCACATACCACCACACCCAGCTGCTTTATGTATTTTTCATAGAGATGAGATTTTGCCATGTTGTCCAGGCTGCTCTCGAACTCCTGGGCTAAAGCGATCCTCTTGCCTCAGCCTCCCGAAGTGCTGGGATTACAGGCGTGAGCCTCCGTGCTTGCTTGCTTCTGTTGTTACATGGCCTCCCTATGTTCTGTGTCTCCTCACTTCCAGTCCTATAGGATTAGGTCCACCCTAATCAACTATGACCTCATTGTCACTTGATTTTATCTGCAAAGACCCTATTTCCAAACAAGGTAACATTCACAGTTTCAGGGGATTAGAACTTCCCCATTCACAGTTTCAGGAGGTTAGAACTTCAGATATCTTTGGGCAGGGGCGGTGAGGGGCACAATTTAAACGACAACCCAGGCTTCATGATGTGAAAAGCCCTGTGTACATATGAGTCAGTGTCACCTTCATTACTGAGGTGCTGGGAGAAATCATGATCATGGAAGCTGAGGAAAGAGTGATGATTAGACTGACCTGCCTTGTCAATGACATCATCAGCAGATAGCAGCATAGGCGGGCAATTCTTTTAAGTCACTTTGTGTATTTATTTATTTGTTTTTATTTTATTTTATTTTATTTTATTTTATTTTTTTGAGATAGAGTCTCACTCTGTCACCAAGGCTGGAGTGCAGCGGTGCGACCTTGGCCCACCGCAACCTCTGCCTCCTGAGTTCAAGCGATTCTCGTGCCTCAGCCTCCTGAGTAGATGGGATTACAGTCGCCTGCCACCACACCTGGCTAATTTTTGTATTTTTAGTAGAAACGAGGTTTCACCATGTTGGCTGGGCTGGTCTCAAACTCCTGACTTCAAATGACCCACCCGCCTTGGCCTCCCAAAGTGTTGGGTTTACAGGCCCGGCCTTTATTTTTATTTTTTTGAGACAGGGTGTCACTTTGTCACACAGGCTGGAGTGCAATGGCATGATCATAGCTCACTGCAGACTTGAACTCCTGGGCTCAGGTGATCCTCCCGCTTCAGCCTCCTGAGTAGCTGGGACCATAGGCACATACCAGCCACCACACCCAGCTCCTTAAGTCACTTCGAAAGCCCTTGATACCTAGGCCATTTTTCCAAGCTGTGGATGCCCTCTCTCACTGGAGGGTCCTCATGGCTTTCAGTGGATTCTGGATTCTGCCGACAGAATTTGTCTCCATTGATTTCTTCCTTGGATGTTTTATCCTCCTAAGGCCGATTTGGCTCCAGAACTTTCCCACCTGACTATCCCAAACATCTCTATGCCCCGTGTCTTCCTCTATGTTTCAGAAGCCACCATTTCTCTGAAAGCTCTGTTTCTAGGCAGAGTCCTGGCACCCCTCCAAGAAACACCACCCAGCCCCTCATTCCGGGTGCTCACTGACTCCTCCGCCAAACCAGGCACTTGGACGTGCATGCCAGGAAAAGACTGCATTGGGAATTGGTTGCTAGTCCCAGCTCTGCCTCCAGTGAGCGAGGTGAGCTCAGGTAAGTCCCTTTGGCCCTTCATACTGTAGCTTCCCGATGTGTCAGGCCCATTTCTACAGATACTTAATGAATACTTCCAGCAAGCCAGGCAAAAGTTACAAGGGAAACTGAGTCACCACCTCTGCCCCCTAGACACTCATCTAATCACGGAGACAGAAATGTCAACCAGTCATTAAGATACATACAGGATTGTAGTTTCAGGGGAAGAACAGATGCTCCTCTACTCACATAGCGGTTACAGCCCAATAAAGCCATCATAAGTTGAAAATATCTTTAAGTCAAAAATGTATTTATGGTGGCTCACGCCTATAGCCCAGCACTTTGGGAGGCCAAGGCAGGAGGATCACCTGAGGTCAGGATTTTGAGACCAGCCTGAGCAAGATAGAGACACCTAGCCGGGCACGGTGGCTCATGCCTGTAATCCCAGCACTTTGGGAGGCCGAGGCGGGCAGATCACTTGAGGCCAGGAGTTCGAGACCAGCCTGGTCAACATGATGAAATCCTCTCTCTACCAAAAATAGAAAAATGTTAGCCAGATGTGGTGGTGTGCTCCTGTAATCCCAAGTACTCGGGAGGCTGAGGCAGGAGAACTGCTTGAACCCAGGAGGCAGAGGTTGCAGTGAGCTGAGATCGCACAATTGTGCCGCAGCCTGGGTGAGAGAGTGAGACTCCAGCTCAAAAAAAAAAATGACACCCCAACTCTATACAAACTTAAAAATAAATTAGCTGGGTGTGGTGGAGCGCACTCGTAGTCCCAGCTACCCTGAAGGCTGAGGCGGGGGATCGCTTGAGCCCAGGAGTTCAAGGTTACAGTGGGCTATGATTGTGCCACCGCACTCCAGCCTGAGTGACCCTGTCTCTCAAAAAAAAATGCATTTGTTAAACCTAACCTACCAATCATCATAGCTTAGCCTAGCGTCCTTTAAACATGCTCCAAACACTTAACTTCAGCCTATAGTTGGGCTCATCTAACACAAAGCCTATTTTATAATTAAGTGTTGAATAGCTCATGTAATTTACTGAGTACTGTACTGAGAGTGAAAAACAGAACGGTGGTATGGGTTCTTGAAGTACGATTTCTACTGAATGCACATTGCTTTCACATCATTGTAAAGTTGAAAAATTCTAAGTCGAGGCCGGGTGCAATGCCACCATACAGGTGGAAATATCTTTAAGTCAAAAATGTATTTATGGTGAGAATTGTATTTTGGTTAAACCAACTCCACAGTGCCGGGTGCGGTGGCTCACTCACCCCTGTAATCCCAACACTTTGGGAGAGGTGGGAGGATCGCTTGAGCCCATGAGTTTGCGAATGGCCCGGGCAAGATGGCAAGATCCTGTCTCTACAAAAAAATTTAAAAATTAGCCAGGTGCGGTGGTGCACACCTGCAGTCCCAGCTACTCAGGAGGCTTAGGCAGGAGGATAGCTTGAGCTCAGGAATTCAAGGTTTCAGTGAGCTATCATCGTGCCACTGCACGCCAGCCTGGTCAGCAAAGGGAGACCTCCATCTCTAAAACAAAACAAAACAAAACACCCAACTCTATCCAGGTGGGGATTTAATCCCAAATCCACACAAGATCTTTGGGGGAAGGGTTTTTGGCTACCTTCACTCTGCCAAAAAGATGCACTGTGGGTATTGGAGAGAGATGATCTAAACTCTAGGATGAAGAGACTGAGGACCCCCATGGGTCAATCATACTTTTGCTTATTTTTGTTTCATTTGAGCTTTTCTGTAAGGAGCTGTGAGAGACAGACTGCATCCTGATGGCGAGCCTCTCCGGTATTTCTTGCCCTAAGCCTTCTGGCCCTCTGGGCCTCACTCTAGCTGTGGCCAGTAGGCATCTTCCATTATCCCAGGACACCTGATTACAAAGCTGCTGTCCTCTTATTTCCCTGAGGAGCATCCTGTTTTGCAGTTCCGCATCTGACTTAGGAGTTGTAAAATACAGTCACTGTGATGACAGCAGCGTGGGAACCTCTAGCCCCCTGTGCTAATTCCCCCGGGCTGCCACAGCAAATTACCATGAACTAGCGAGGCGTGGTGGCTCACGCCTGTAATCCCAGAACTTCTGGAGGCTGAGGCAGGTGGATCACCTGAGGTCAAGAGTTTGAGACCAGCCTGGCCAACATGGTGAAACCCCGTCTCTACTAAAAATACAAAAATTAGCTGGGTGTGGTGGTGGGCACTTGTAATCCCAGCTACTTGGGAGGCTGAGGCAGGAGAATTGCTTGAACCTAGGAGGCAGAGGTTGTAGTGAACCGAGATCATGCCATAGCGCCCCAGCCGGGGCAACAAAGCGAGATCCTGTCCAAAAAAAAAAAAAAAAAAAAAAAAAAACCAAAAACCAAAAAACAAAAAAACCCAAAAAACTCAAATTGTCATGAACGTAGTGGCTTAAAACAACAGAAATTTCATTCTCACCATTCTGGGGACCAGAAGTCTGAAATTAAGGTGTCAGCCAGGCTACTTTCCCTCTGAAGACTCAAGAGGAGGATGCTTCCTTGCCTCCTCCAGCTTCTGGGGGCTCCAGGTGTTTCTTGGCTTGTGGCCTCATCACTCCAGTCTCTGCCTCTGTGCTCCCATGGACTCATCGTGCCTCCCACATCTCTATGGCTCCCTATGTCTTCTCCTTTTCTGTCTCATAAGAACATTGGTCACTGAATTTAGGACCTCCCCTAAACTAGAAAGATCTGATCTCAAGATCCACATTTTAATTACATCTGTGAAGACACTTATTCCAACCAAGGTCACTTTCCGAGGTTCCAGGTGAACATCTCTCTCTCTCCCTCTTTTTTCTTTTAGGGGAGCAGGTGGGACACATTTCAACCCACTCTACCCCAGCCACCCTGTCCCCGTTATGTGACGTTGCTGTGGAACAAATAACATCCAGACATAGTGGCTTCAACAACCATCTTATTACCTCCCATGCTTTCTTTGGGCTAGGAGTCCAGGCAGGGCCTGGCTGGGCATGATCTTAGCTCCCTGCAGCCTTCTCCCAGGCCTAAATGATCCTCCTGTCTCAGCCTCCTGAGTAGTGGGACTACAGGCATGCACCACCACGCCCAGCTAATTTTGTTTGTTTTTTGTAGAGACCAGGTTAGAGCTCTGGGTCTTTCAGACAGGTGCAGTCAGGCAGTGCACGCTGCTGGGACAGCATGGGGCTGAGGTAGCAGGGGACAGGCAGGCATCTGTGTGTCCTCCTTCCTTTATGTGGCCTCAGGGCCTCTCCCTGTGGCTAGTTAGGGCTTCCTCAGTGTGTGGCAGCCTTAGGGAAGTCCGACTGCTTCCTGGAGAGCAAGGCAGACACCACACATTCTTTGATCTGGCTTTCAGCATCACAGAGGGTCACTTCCGCTGTGCTCTGTCAGTTGAGGCAGCCCCCAAAGCCTGTCCTCTGCCTGTTTGCATTTCTCAGGCCTAGAGGAGCCGGTTCACCAGGTCTCAGCAGTAGAGCTCTCTCCAGCAGTGAATCTCCGTTTACAGCTGGATAAATGGCATCTCCCTTTACAGCTTCAGTAACTAGCTGCCAGGTTATCCTAACTAAGGGCAGAGCCACAGCTGGATCCAGGAAGTTGACTCCAGGGCTCATGGCTACTGCCTGTCCTTCCTCCAGCCCGGGAAAGGGGGCTTGTCCGAGTCGAAAACTGCTCTCCAGCTGGGCGTGGTGGCTCACCCCTGTAATCCCAGCTCTTAGGGAGGCAGAGGCAGGAGGACAACTTGAGCCCAGGAGTTCAAGGCCTGCCTGAGCAATATAGCCAGACCCCATTCTCTAAAATATAAAATAAGGTCAGGTGTGGTGGCTCATGGCTGTAAACCCAGAACTTTGGGTGGCTGAGGTGGGCTGATCGCTTGAGGCTAAGAGTTCGAGACCAGCCTGGCTAACATGGTGAAACCTCATCTCTACTAAAAATATAAAAAATTAGCTCTGCACACCTGTAATCCCAGCTACTCAGGAGGCTGAGGCAGGAGAATCACTTGAATCTGGGAGGCGGAGCTTGCAGTGAGCCGAGATCGTGCCACTGCACTCCAGCTTAGGCAACAGAGTGAGACTTTGTCTCAAAATAAATAAATAGGCTGGGTGTGGTGGCTCACTCCTGTAATCCCAGCACTTTGGGAGGCTGAGGTGGATGGATTACCTGAGGTCAGGAGTTTGTGACCAGCTTGGCCAACATAGTGAATCCCTGTCTCTACTAAAATTACAAAATAATTAGACGGGTGTGGTGGCACACCTGCCTGTAATCCCAGCTATTCAGGAGGCTGAGGCAGGAGAACTGCTTGAACCCTGGAGGTAGAGATTGCAGTGAGCTGAGATTGTGCCACTGCACTCCAGCCTGGGTGACAGAGCGAGATTCCGTCTCAAAAAAAAAAAAAAAAGAAAAGAAAAGAAAAGAAAAGAAAAATAAATAAATAATAAATAAAAAGAAAAAAAGAAAACTGCTCTCCAGATGGTTTGCAGACAATAGGGATGCAGGGAAAGGAGGCCTGCGGACCGGTAGCCAGACAACCTGGCTTCCAGCCCTGGCTCTGCCATTTCTATTTGTGTGGTCTTAATGTAGTTTCCTGCTCAATCATAAAAGGGAGGATGCCTGCCCGGCTGCCTTTCATGGTTGTCATGGGTGAAATGTGATGAAATATATTAGAGTGCTTGAAACACTCATTACTGCTCTTCAAATAAAAGGTATTGTGTGCTGTTTTACTCCTCAGAGTGCTGCAAACATCCAGCCGTTTTACAAATATTTATGGATTTTAATGTAAATATTTCTATCAACCCCAGAAAGAGTGCCACCCAGCAACTCTACCCTGCCACCCAGGCTGGTCTCACCAGGGATACCACTAGGTCAAATCATTAATGAGGGACTATGGATTCTGGAGCTTGGGGGTCCTTGTGGCCCCGAAGTAGCCAGTGAATGAGGATGGGAAAGGGAACAGTTGTGTGAACACACTACCCCAAAACTTAGTGGCTTAACACAACAATTTATTTTTCTCTCTCATGGTTGCGTGGGTTGATGGGGCTCAACTGGCCAGTTCTTCCTCAGGGATCTCTGGGTAGTTGCAAGCAGATAGCAGCTGGGGCTGTGGTCATCTGAAGGCTCAACCAGGCTGGGTGTCCAAGGTGGTGACTCAGGGCTCCTCCACGTGGCCTCTCAGCAGTACAGCCTGGCTGGGGCTGCTTTTTTTTTTTTTTCTTGAGAAAGGGTCTTGCTTTGTTGCCCAGGCTGGAGTGTAGTAGCATAATTTCAGCTCACTGCAGCCTCCTTCCAGGTCTAAACAATCCTCCTGTCTGAGCTTCCTGAGTAGCTGGGACCACAAATCGGTACCACCACACCCAGCTAATTTTGTTTATTTTTTGTAGAGATGAGGTGTCACTGTTGCCCAGACTGGTCTCCAACTCCTGGACTCAAATGATCCTCCTGCCTTGGCCTCCCAAAATGCTAGGATTACAGGCATGCACCACTGCACCCAGCCCCAGGCTTCACAAATGTAAGCTCCTGGCTTCAAAAGCAGGTAGACATTGCTAGTCCTCTCCAGGCCTCCCGGCGCATCTGGCACAGAGTCACATGCTGACACCACCATATTCTCTTGGTCAAGACATCCCAGATTGAATGGGGTGGTGGAGAAAGGGACTCTACCCATCAATGGGGCAGTGACAGGGAGGGGAGGAAGTGGTGCCCGCTACCACCCAGAATGAGGGCCAGTCCCACTCCTAAGCCTCCTGAGCTGCCCAGGTTAGAAGGTTTGTCACTGTGACAATGTAGGGGTCCTGGCTTTGGCTGGAGAGTGTGGGGAGCAGCGGAGACCCCTGAAAAGAAAAGCCGCTGAGCAACCTTAGCCCCTCCCCAGCTCTCCAGATGCTGCTGGGTTGCCTGGTGCAATGGGGATTAGAGCCCTGGGCCACCAAGACCAGGGCCAAGATACAGAGTCCTGTCCCTGGCCACCATCCAGCCTGGCCTCCCTCCCATATCCTGACCACAGCCCTGACCAGGCAGTTGGGTGGTTTCATGGGGGTGGCTTCTGACTGTCCTCTGTGCAGGCACAGGCGCCAAAGCCGTCCAAATAAGCCTTTCATTGAACTGGCTATCTCTTGGATAAAGAACTGGCCACAGCTCTGCCTGTTTGCATTTCTCAGGCCTAGAGGAGCCGGTGCCATGCACAGCCAGCCTCACCTCTTCTGTGTGTTTTCTGGCCTCGCCCCCCTCCTGGCCCCCTGCAGTGGCTTCCCTTAAACTGGCACTGCTCCCCGGCTTTCCAAGCTATTCCCTGCCCCGCCAGCTGTTTCTCTCTTTATTTGTCCCTTTCTCTGTCCATTCTCTCACTCTACAATCATCACTGGGGACCTCAGAGTGGCTGGGAACCAGGGACATTGGGAACCACCCTCCAAAGTTCATACATAAATGCTGGGCATGGTGGCTCATGCCTGTAATCCCAGCACTTTGGGAGGCCGAGGCGGGAAGATCACCTGAGGTCAGGAGTTTGAGACCAGCCTGGCCAACATGGCGAAACCTGTCTCCACTAAAAGTACAAAAATTAGCCAGATGTGGTGGCCCACACCTGTAATCCCAGCTCCTCAGGAGGCTGCACTCCAGCCTGGGTGATAGAGCAAATGTCTGTCTCAAAAAGAAACAAAACAAAACAAAAAACCAAAGTTCACACATAAAATATTCATTTCCTGTCACTGATGAAAGAAATTCCTATAAACTGGGTGACTTCAGAGACAGAGACATTTATCCTCTCAATCCTCTCACAGTTCTGAGGCCAGATGTCCAAGATCAAGGTGTGGGCAGGGTAGGTTCCTTCTGGAGGTGCCTAGGAAGAATCTGTTCCATTTCTCTAGCTTTGGGGACTCCCAGCAATCCTTGGCATTCCAATCTCTGCCCCATTGTCACAGGGCCTTCTCCTGTAAGTCTCACTATGTCCTTTTTTGGTTCCTATAGGGACATTCTCATTGAATTTTGGGCCCATCCTAATCTTGTATGATCTTATCTCAGTCCTTACCTTTTTTTTTTTTTTTTTTTTTTTTTTTTTTTTTTTTGGAGGCAGGGTCTCACTCTGTTGCCCAGACTGGAGTGCAGTGACACAGTCATCACAGCTCACTGCAGCCTCCACCTTCTGGGGTCAAGCGATGCTCCTGCCTCAGCCTCCTGAGTAGCTGGGACTCAGGTGTGTACCACCACACTTGCCTAATTTTTGTATTTTTTGTAGAGACAAGGTTTTGCCATGGTGCTCAGGCTGGTCTCAAACTCCTGGGCTCGAGCTATCTGCCCACCTAGGCCTCCCAAAGTGCTAGGATTATAGGTGTGAGGCACTGCACCTGGCCCTTACCTTAATTCTATCTGTAAAGACCCTAATTCCAAATTGGTCACATTCTGAGATTCCAGGTAGACTATTAAATAGTGAGCGACGCTACCCAACCCCTTATGCAGCCACTGGGATGCTCATCCCACAAACCCCCAAGGAACCTTTCCACCAAGGGCCGTCAGCTTCCCAGGAAAGCCCGGCAGGTGTGCAAGAGACAGGCCCCCAGGCCCCCAGCTGAGCCCGTGGTGGCTCAGAGGCACTGCCCCCTCTTCCTCTGGAAAACATGAAGCCATAGTTATCCCAATACAGCTTCTTACCTGCCTTTTGTCTGTGGAGCCTCCCAAGGCGCCTCACCCACTCCTGTCCTTTTCTTCTTGTATATTGGCTTTCATATTTTCCTTTTTTTTTTTTCTTTCTCTTTTGAGATACAGTCTCACTCTGTCGTCCAGGCTGGAGTGCAGTGGTGCGATCTCAGCTCACTGCCACCTCCGCCTCCCGGATTCAAGCAATTCTCCTGCCTCACCCTCCTGAATAGCTGGGACTACAGGTGTGCACCACTACGCCCGGCTAATTTTTGTATTTTTGGTAGAGATGGGGTTTCAGCATGTTGGCCAGGCTGTTCTCGAACTCCTGACCTCAAGTGATCTGCCCGCCTCAGCCTCCTAAAGTGCTGGGATTACAGGCGTGAGCCACGGCGCCTGGCCCTGTGTTTTCCTTTTGACTACAGCTAAATTTATGTGCCCTTGGGCAGGTTGTTGCTTCTCTGAGCCTCAGTTTCCTCACCTGTAAAATGGGGATAAAAAGAGCAAACTCAGGCAGAGCATGATTGGTCATGCCTGTAATCCTGGCCCTTTCAGAGATTGAGACAGGCAGATTGCTTGAGCTCAGGAGTTTTAAACCAGCCTGGGCAACATGGTAAAACCCCATCTCTACAAAAAATACAAAAATTAGCCAGGTTTGGTGGCATGTGCCTGTAGTCCCAACTACTCAGGAGGCTGAGGCAGGAGAATTGCTTGAGCCTGGGAAGTTGAGGCTGCAGTGAGCAGGGATCATGTCATGGCACCCTAGCTGGGCAACAAAGAAAGACCCTGTCTCAAAAAATTAAATAAATAAAAATAAAAGAATAAACAAATGAGCCGGGATGGTAGCACACATCTGTGGTCCCAGCTCCTTGGGAGGACGGCTGATCCTAAAGGGTGCTCAGACCTGCCCTAGGACGTGCCTGGTGAATTACAGCTGGGTCAGCAAACTACAGTCCACAAACCAAATCCAGCCTGCCATCTGTTTGTATAAATAAAGTTTTATTGGAACGTGGCCATGCCCATTTGTTGCCTTATTGTCTGTCTGCTTTCGTGCTGTACTGGCAGAGTTGAATAGTGATAGGGACCACATGGTCACGAATGTAGTTGAAAATGTTTGCTATTTGGCTCTTTACAGAAAAAGTTTGCTGAGCCCTGAACTGGGGAGGAGGTGGGGCCTCAGGATGCTCTCTGCATGAGATGGTTTCTGTCTGGGATCCTGATGGAAGAGGGGAGAGATTTGTGTTTCCAATCAGAGAGAGTTCGTTGGATGGGGTATTTGTGTCTGTGTCCCAACCCCATGTGCTGAACTTGTTCAGGAGGGGAGCAGGGTGGGGGTCTGAGTGGTGCTGACTCAGGACTGGGTCCTCCTCACTCCTTCTCAGGGGCCACCCTGCTCACTGAGCAGCTGTAGCCCCCCTGAGGCTCGGGACAGCCGCTAGCGCAGGACAACTTGTGCCCCCTCCCCCGCAGGTCCAGGTAGTGGTAGGAGGACAGGACAGAATTTGTTTTCAGCACACAGGAATCCTACCCCCACCATAAATGTCTGCAGAGCCTGGGGGCAGGAGGTGAATTCCTGAGTGAGCCCCTAATGAGCTCATCTGTGAATGCGACCTGGTTGGTGGGGCTGGCTAGAGAGGCTGGGCTCCCTGCCGTCCCTGCCCTCTCTCCCCACTCCACAGAGAGAGGTCCTAGGGGTTCTGCCCTCCTGTCATTGGTCAGAGTGACAGTCAGGACTGCCCCATTAGGAACAGCGGTGGTCTCTTTCTTGGGTGCCTTTTCTTGCTACTGGGGTATCCTGGGTTCTCCACGGGCGGCACCCCCAGCTATTTTCTCAGATGTGGGAGGGGCTCTGGGGAAGCGAAGGCCTGCCCTGGACGGATCTCAGCCACATGGGGAGATCAGAACACGCATTCCACCTGCAAGCGGCTTCCAAACAGCAACTAAACACGTATAGAGGCACACGACCCCATTGCTCCTTGCTGCCCGGTGAAGTTGTGCCAGCCTCTGGCTGTGTCTTTGTGCCTGGAGTACTTCTGGCCAGGCTGGCCACTGCACCTGCTGAGCCATTGGCATGCCCTGAGCCCCCAGCTGCACCAGCTCCTTGGGAGGATGGCCTCTGCGCCCAGGTCCCTTTCTCTGGTGGGCTGCTGTCCCAGCGATTGATTTTTTAATGTGTTTTGTGCTGACTCTATTCTGTTCAGCAGCAGCGCTCTCTCTGGCACCACAGTGCCTGCCTGCAGGCTGGGCTGGCCAGATAGCCAGGGAGAAACACATGCTCCATGCCTGGGAGGCTCAGAGGAAGGAGGCAGGAGCCAGACTCACAGTCAACAGGAAGCCATGGAGGGGACCTCAACCCAGGTCCACATCCTAGCTGATTTCATCAACACCCTCAGGTTTCAGATATCCATGGGCTCAGCCCATCATGCTGTGAAACCGAAGCAAGCGACTCTGAGCTAAGCAACCCACAACACAGGCTAAGAAGGGTAACTGGCAGCTTAGCAGGGCTGGAGACTTTTGAAGACCACAAAACACATTATTACATTAACATACATGTGAACATTTACAAACTTTTTTTTTTTTTTTTTTGGAGACAAGATCTTGCTCTGTTGCCCAGGCTGGAGGGCAGTGGTACAATGAAGGCTCACTGCAGTCTTGACCTCCTGAACTCAGGCAATCCTCCCACTTCAGCTTCCCAAGTAGCTGGGACTATAGGTGTGCACCACCATGCCCAGCTAATTTTTTTTTTTTTTTCGAGACGGAGTCTCGCTCTGTCGCCCAGGCTGGAGTGCAGTGGCGCGATCTCGGCTCACTGCAAGCTCTGCCTCCCGGGTTCATGCCATTCTCCTGCCTCAGCCTCCTGAGTAGCTGGGACTACAGGCACCCGCCACCACGCCCAGCTAATTTTTTTGTATTTTTAGTAGAGACGGGGGTTCCACCGTGTTAGCCAGGATGGTCTCGATCTCCTGACCTCATGATCTGCCCGCCTCGGCCTCCCAAAGTGCTGGGATTACACGCTGAGCCACCACGCCCGACTGCCCAGCTAATTTTTAAAATTACTTACAGACATGGGGTTCCACTCTGTTGCCCAGGCCGGTCTCAGACTACTGAGCTCAAGGGATCCTCTCACCTCAGCCTCCCAAAGTGTTGGAATTACAGGTATTAGCCACCGTGCTGGCCTATTTTTTATTATTCAAATTAGAGATGGGGTCCTGCTACATTGCCCAGGCTGGTCTCAAACTCCTAGGCTCAAACAATCCTCCTGCCTCGGCCTCCCAAAGTGCTGGGATTACAAGTGTGAGAGCCACCATGCCTGGCCTACAAACTTTTTCAATCACAAAAGGAATCCGTATTTGTTAAAACATTTGGAAACAAGATCAGAATTAATCGAAGACAAAAGCGGAATAACCGCAGTTCTCTCCATTCGCTCCCATATCCTCTTCCCTAGAGAAGCCATTCTGAACAGTTTGGGCTGCCTCTTTCCAGATGTTTCCTAGAAAACTTGCTTGATCATTTGAGTCTTGCAACAATTCCATGAGATGAGCAGGTCAGATCGCATAGTTGCCAGTTTATAGGTGAGCACAACGGGCTTAAGGAAGTCATTCTTTGTCCCAGGTATAGCAGTAAGCCAGCGACAGAGCCAGAAGGAGCTCCTACATCCCAGGCCTCACCCATTTCTCTTTCCCCTGGGACTGGCTGTCTTAATGAGTGGCCCATGACTTCTCTTCCTCAAGCAGATCGTCTTGTTGCACAAGCAGAAAACTCAGAGGCCTGGTTTCAGGTAGTAAACAAGACAGCGACCAGCTCTAGAGGCCTCTGCTCTCCAGGCCTCTCAGGGATGCAGGGAGGGCCGGAGCAGGGGAGTCTTCCCAGGTCCAGGACCGGGGAGCTGGGAGTGGAGGGGCAAAGGACAGCTGGCTCCCCAGTCCCAGGAAGAAGGCCAGTAGGACTCTTTTAGTGATTCCCACTCACTTCAATCCTTCTCTTAGTTTTGGTGTTGAGTGGCAGCCTCGTCTGTTCTAGAAACCAGAGAATTGGAGGGCAATGTGTTCAGATCTGACAATCCCAGAACAAGACAAGATGAACTCTTGCTCCACTTTTAGAAGAAATTGTATGAGCAGTTTCAGGCAAGTTATTTGACCTGATGAAAAACATGTTTCAGAAGGATAAATAATATCTTCCAAGACGAGTCAGAAGTGTTCTTACCATTTTGCTGTCAAAAAAAGTGAATATAACTTGGCCTTGCAAACTAGTGGAGAACAAAATGCACAGACCAGCTCCACAGTGAGAAAAGAAAGCAAATCTGCACACTTCATGTTCCTTAGGCAAAAGGCAATCTGTTCTCCCAAGAAGCAGGTGAATGGCTGTTTTTTTTTTTTTGAGTTTTCTATAAAAGCAGCATTTCTCCCTTCCTTGGAACCTACCCAAAGGTTCTACCTAGAACTCTGAGTGTCAAAATCCTACTTAGAACAAAGAGTAAAATGGGGTCATCATAAGCCTATGCCTCGTAAAAATAAGTTAAAAAGAAGGAAAGGTTGGCTGGACGGGTGGCTCACGCCTGTAATCCCAGCACTTTTGGAGGCCGAGATGGGCGGATCATGAGGTCAGGAGATCGAGACCATCTTGGCTAACACGGTGAAACCCCGTCTCTACTAAAAATACAAAAAATTAGCTGGGCGTGGTGGCAGGTGCCTGTAGTCCCAGCTACTTGGGAGGCTGAGGCAGGAGAATGGCGTGAACCCAGGGGGTGAAGCTTGCAGTGAGCCGAGATCATACCACTGCACTCCAGCCTGGGCGATACAGCAAGACACTGTCCCAAAAAAAAAAAAAAAAGAAGAAGAAGGAAAGGTTGTAGATATAGATAGATGATTCTAAAATGTCTACGGAAGGGCAAAAGAATTGGAAAAACCAAACAATTTTGATAAAGAAGGATAATAAAGCAACAGGACTTACAATCACACTACTCTGCTTGAAGACTTATGGTGAAGTGGCAGTCATCAAGACAATGTGGTATTGGCAAATGGGTAGAGGCCAGCAGTCAATGAGAGAGACTAGAGAACACAGAAATAGACCAAACACAAATAAGCCCAACTGATTTTTGACAAAGACGTCAATTCCATCAGTTTTGACAAAGACGTAATTTAATGAAGGAGAACAATCTTTGCAACACATGGTTGCAATGATTGACATCCGTATTTTAAAAAGTGGGGGGGGGCACCTCAACCTAAATCTCACACCTTCCTCAAATGTTAACTTTTATTATTATTATTTTGAGACAGAGTCTTGCTCTGTTGCCCAGGCTAGAGTGCAGTGGTGCCATCTCAGCTCACTGCAACCTCTGCCTCACAGGTTCAAGCAATTCTCCTGCCTCAGCCTCCCGAGTAGCTGGAATTACAGGCACCCACCACTGTGCCTGGCTAATTTTTGTATTTTTAGTAGAGACGGGGTTTCACCATGTTGGCCAGGCCGGTCTTAAACTCCTGACCTCAAGTGATCTGCCTGCCTTGGCCTCCCAAAGTGCTGGGATTAGAGGCGTGAGCCACCATGCCCAGGCAGTCTGTAGTATCTATAACAGCACAAAATGGAGTAAGGCATTGAACTTCACCAAAATTAAAAATTTTTGCTGTGTGAAAGACACTGCTAAGAGAATGGAAAAACAAACAATAGAATGAGAGAAGATGCAAATCACATATTCCACAAAGAAACTTGCATCCATAATATATAAAGAACCCTTAAAATTCAACAGTAAGAAATAAAGAAATCCAACTTTAAAAGGGGCAAAAGATTTGAATAGACACTTTACCAAAGAGGATACACAGATGGCAAATAAGCTCATGAAATGATATTTAACATGACTAGCCGTTAAGGAAATGCAAATTAAAGGCATAATGAGATACCACCACATGTCTAGTATAATGGATAAAATTAAAAAGATAGACAATGTCAAACACTGCCAAAGATGTAAAGCACCTAGAACCTTCAACATTGTTGGTGGAAATGCAAAATGGTAAAGTCACTCTGGAAAACAGTTTGGCAATTTTTTTATAGAGTGGAACATACACGTATCATGCATTAGTCTGCTCTCATGCTGCTAATAAAGACATACCAGAGGCTGCGTAATTTATAAAGGAAAGAGGTTTAATTGACTCACAGTTCTGCATGGCTCGGGAGGCCTCAGGAAACTTACAATCATGGCGGAAGGGGAAACAAACATATCCTTCTTCACATGGCAGCAGCAAGGAGAAGTGCAGAGCGAAGGAGGGGAAAGCCCCTTATAAAACAATCAGATCTCGTAAGAACACGCTCACTATCATGAGAACAGCAGCATGGGGCTAACTGCCTCCATGATTCAATTACTTCCCACCAGGTCCCTCCCATGACACATGGGGATTATGGGAACTACAATTCAAGATGAGATTTGGGTGGGGAGACACAGCCAAACCATATCATACCACATGACCAACAACTTCAGTTCTGTGTATTCCCAAGACCAGGGTTTCTCAGCCTCAGTGCTATTGATATTTTGGGCCAGATCATTCCTTGTTGTAGGGACTGTCCTATGTATTATAGGTTGTTTAGCAGCATCCGTGACCTCTGCCAACTAGATACCAGCAGCACTTCGCCTTGACAATCATAAATGTCAGAGCCATTGCCAAATGTCCCATGGGAGGCGAAATTGCCTCCAGTTGAGAATTACTGCCTAGAGAAATGAAAACTTTTGTTCACACAAAAACCTCTGCACAAATATCTATAGCAGCTCTATTCATAATCACCAAAAACTGGAAACAACCCAAATGTCCTTCAATGAATGAATGGATAAACAAACTATGGTATCCCCATAATTAAACGAAATGAACTATTGATATACACAACACCTGCGATGAACCTCAAAGGCATTATTCTAAAGAAAAGAGCCAGTCAAAAGGTTATATCACGTAAAAGTCCATTTCTATGACGTTCTCAAGAAGACAAAATTACAGAGAACATGTTAGCCATTTCTAGGCAGAGGCTGGGGTGGGGAAAGAATGTGGCTCCCTGAAGGGGACTCTTGAGGAGGTTTCTTGGGGCGATGGAACTAGCTGTATCCTGATTGTGAAGGTGATTATGCAAATCGAAACAACAACAACAACAAAAATCAACTTTACTATATATTAATTTTATTTATTTATTTATATTTATATATTTTTATTTTCTGAGACAGTGTCTCACTCTGTCTGCCACCCAGGGCCCAGGCTGGAGTGCAGTGGTGCGATCTTGGCCCACTGCAACCTCCATCTCTCAGGTTCAAGTGATTCTTCTGCCTCAGCCTCCTGAGTAGCTGGGATTACAGGCACCCACCATCACATCTAGGCTAATTTCTGTATTTTTAGTAGAGACAGGGTTTTACCATGTTGCCCAGGCTGGTCTTGAACTCCTGACCTCAAATGATCTGCCCTCCTTGGCCTCCCAAAGTGCTGGCATTACAGGTGTGAACCACTGTGCCTGGCCAGTTTTACTATATATTAATATTTAAAAGTAAATAGAAATAAGGAAGGGGAGGTGAATTAAGAAAAAGGAAAAAAAAATTTTTTTTTTTTTTGAGACAGGGTCTCGCTCTGTCCCCCAGGCTGGAGTGCAGTGGTGTGATCACGGCTCACTACCGCCTCAACCTCCTGGGGCTCAAGCAATTCTCCAACCTAGCCTCCCTAATAGAGGCATGTGCCACCACATCTGGCTAATTTTGGGATTTTTTGTAGAGGCAGGGTTTTGTCATGTTGCCTAGGCTGGTCTCAAACTCCTGGGCTCAAGTGATCCTCTCCTCTTAGCCTCCCACAGTGTTGGGATTACCGCTATAAGCCACCGCACCTGGCCTCACTCTCTGCTTCAAAGATAGCACCTTCTTGCTGTGTCTTCACAGGGCAAAAGTGAACAAGCTCCCTCCAGCCTCTTTTTTTTTTTTTTTTTTTTTTTTTGAAACAGTATTTCATCTTGTTGTCCAGGCTGGAGTGCAATGGCACGATCTTGGCTCACTGCAACCTCCACCTCCTGAGTTCAAGCGATTCTCCCGCCTCAGCCTCCTGAGTAGTTGGGATTACAGCATGCACCACCATGCCCGGCTAATTTTGTATTTTTAGTAGAGACGGGGTTTCTCCATGTTGGTCAGGCTGGTCTCCAACTCCCAATCTCAGGTGATCTACCCGTCACAGCCTCCCAAAGTGCTGGGATTACAGGCATGAGCCACCGCACCCAGCACTCCAGCCTCTTTTATAAGAGCACTAATCACCTCCCAAATGCCCCACCTCTTAATACCATCACATTGGAGAGTAAGTTTCAACATATGAATTTAGGTGGGGCACAAACAGACCACAGCACAGTCCAAAAAGTAACTCCCCTAAAAGTCACTCAGGTAGGATGTAGCTGAGCTAGAATCTGACGCCATTCTCTGACAGCTGGTTCCTGAGCCCATATGTACTGTGGTCTAGATCATGTTCTAGGTGGAAATGGGGATAGCAGTGACCCAAGACCCCAGGTCTTGTCTGCTATAGAGTGAGGTAGAAAAAACCATGTGATGGGGAGCCCGAAAACCTGGATGCAGCCGGGCCTGGTGGCTCATGCCTATAATTCCAGCACTTTGGGAGGCTGAGGCTGAAGGATCACCTGAGGTCAGGAGTTCGAGACTAGCCTGGCCAACATGGTGAAACCCTGTCTCTATTAAAAATACAAAAATCAGCCGGGTGTGGTGGTGCATACCTGTAGTCCCAGCTACTAGGGAGGCTGAGGCAGGAGGATTGCTTGAACCCTGGCGGCAGAGGTTGCAGTGAGCTGAGATTGCACCACTGCACTCTAGCCTGGGTGACAAAGGAAAACCCTGTCTCATAAACAAAACAAAACAAGGCTGGGTGTGGTGGTCATGCCTGGAATCCCAGCACTTTGGGAGGCCGAGGCAGGTGGGTCACCTGAGGTCAGGAGTTCGAGATCAGCCTGGCCAACATGGTGAAACCCCATCGCTACTAAAACTACAAAAATTAGCCAGATGTGGTGACGGGTGCCTGTAATCCTAGCTATTCAGGAGACTGAGGCAGGAGAATCGCTTGAATCCAGGGAGGTGGGGGTTGCAGTTAGCTGAGATCGTGCCACTGCACTCCAGCCTGGGCAACAGGAGCAAAACTCCATCTCAAAAAACAAAACAAAACAAAACAAAACAAAAATACCTGGTTGTGAGTCTTGGCTCAGCCACTTGCTGTGTGACTTCCACAAAGTCACCTCCCCTCTCTGAGCCTCCATTTCTTCATCTGAAAAGAAAGGACTGCCTCTGGATTGAAAGCAGCAACAGAAAAGGAGAAACTGTTTGCAAAATATGAATGTAAAATGGAATGATCGCTTCCCTCCACCACCTCGTTCTATCCTGGAACTTGCTTGCCTCTCAAGTACTGGTGTCATTTTATTCCATTACCGAGCCAGGGGTTCACCATTTTTTTTTTTTTTTTTTGAGACAGAGCCTCACCCTGTTGCCAGGCTGGAGTGCGGTGGCGCGATCTCGGCTCACTGCAACCTCCGCCTCCCGGGTTCAAGCGATTCTCCTGCCTCAGCCTCCCAAGTAGCTGGGACTACAGACAAGTGCCACCATGCCCAGCTAATTTTTGTATTTTTAGTAGATACGGGGTTTCACCATGTTGGCCAGGATGGTCTCGATCTCTTGACCTCATGATCTGCTTGCCTCGGCCTCCCAAAGTGCTGGGATTACAAGCGTGTGCCACCATGCCTGGCCTCACCTTTTAAACTGTTTATTTTTTTAAAATAAGTAACATGTTTGCCTAGTTCAAAAAAATTTTTTGAATTTTTATTGTTTTTAGAGATGAGGGTCTCACTGTGTTGCCTAGGCTGGAATGCAGTGGCTATTCATAGACCCCATCATGGCTCACTGTAGCCTTGAATTCCAGGCTTCGAGTGATTCTTCTGCCTCAGCCTTCCAAGTAGCTGGGACTACAGGCACGTGCCACCCGGCCCAGCTAACATATTTTAAAATGCTCAAGTTACAAAAAGGTATATGCTTGCCTCTGTATAGCTAATGAAACCAATCTGGGGTATCCATCCGGAGATATTCCTTAGCACACACATTAGACCAGCATAGACATTGCTTCTCTGTTACCCTCCTTTACCCAAATGGGAGTGTGCCATTTCATCCATTCATCGAGAATTGAAACCAGCCAGCCCCACAGCCCGTTCTGCTCCTCAATTTCTTTTGTTTTGTTTTTCCTCTTTCCAATGTATCTAGGACACGGTTCCATACTCGTCCATCAATGGTTCCAATTATCTGTTCTGCCTACTGTGATCCATCGCATGGGGACACCGCAAGTGTGGAACCAGTCACCTATGTAGGAGCCTCCAATCCTTTGTCATTATTACAAACAATGCTGCCTGGGTCATGTCATAAATGTGCACGCATAGCTAGGTGTTCCGTTTGTACAGGTAGAATCGCTGGGTCAAAGAATTTGTGCACTTAGTGGATAGATATTGCCAACTTGCCTTCCGAGGAGATTGTATCATTTTACAGCCTGCTAGCAAAGCGGGAGAATGGCCTCCCCTTCTTGCCAAGTGAGTGTGTCCTGAAAGCTTGCATCTCTGCCAATCTGCTCTGTGGAAAATGGGGTCTGGGTATAGTTTTCATTTGCACTTGTCTCCTGCTAAATGAGGTTGAGCGTCTTTTCAGCGTCCAGCCCTATGGCTGGCTCCAGGTCCTCTCCGTACACAGCCTTAAGGCTGTGGCCTTGCCTGTGACTGGCTCTGCAAGATCCAGGACCAGATTTGTGTTTCTATCTTCCGGCTTCTCGCTGAGTCACTCCCAAGAAGGAAAGGGCAGCAGGCTCAGGTTATTTCTGCCTGGGCCATCTGAGCTGCCAGTCCTGGGAAGACCTTGGCCTCCTGCACTCCCAGTGGGCGCCCGGCACCTGTGCATTGCACCTGTCAAACCCAGGCTTCCTGGTCCCCCTGGGAGGGATAGGGGCTGGCAGATAGGGATCAGGCCAGACATCTTTGTAAACTAGGCATGAAAGGACCCAGCTAGACTGCAAGAAGGAGGATTTGGAAGAAAGCAAAATGTCACTAAGCTCTAAGTGACAAAATGAGAGCAATGAGGCTGAGTGGAGGGAAGAGACTTAGGCTATTGAGAGGACTTTGGGCAGAGAGGGTGGTGAGCCACCGCCGAGGGATGGTAAACTTGGGAACAGCTCTCACTGGAAGTCACGTGAGACGCACTGTGTAGCTTCCACCCTGGCTCCGTGGCTCATCGTCACTTCAGGGTTAGTGCTAAGAGTTGCCTAGGGTGGGAAGTAGAGACAGCCTCTTGCCTGTGCATGGAGAATTCAGGCCACGCATGCGACCAGCCAGAGGCCTGGGGAAGCCCCTCTCTCCACAGGGACCCTCTCTAAGCAGGGTCTGGGCATCTGCGGGGCAGCTCTGGTCAGGTGGTTGTAATTTAAGCTCGGGGCCACCCTGTACGTCTGGCTGAGTCTTGCTCACGGAAGGATGAGAGAAGCCAGGAGAAGCTGGTGGCTGGATTCCTGGGCCCCTAGGGAGTCTGCAGCCTGTTATTTCCTGACTCAAACAAAAAGTAAATTTGCACTGGAAATTGCTGAGGCAGAGTCATCCTGGAGCTCCTTGAAGGATGGGGACTTGTAATTTTCTAACTTCCAGGGCCTCTGACCCCTGGTTGCTGGGCTTTTCCATCTGTGAGCTTCATTGAAGACCCTGGGGCCTAGTCTAGGCTCAAACACCATCCACAGTCAAAGCTCCCCTGCCTGCTCTGCTGGGGCCGGCAATCCCGAGCTGGACTTCAGAAGTGGACAGGGAGAGAGGTTTGCTGTATCTGGGACCCCATTTCAGTTCCATCCAGGTGTCCCATGCTGCTGTGTCAGAGGGAAGATGAGCCACTGCTGATCTTTACCCCAGCCCTGACCAGAGACCAACACCGTTGCGGCAGGTGGCATCCCAGGTGGTGGGCAGGCAGTGTGGGGCCACCTTCCTGAAGCCAGCTTCTCAGAGTCTCTCAATGCCACATTACCAAGCAGAGTTTTCAATAACTGTAGCTAGGGATGCTCTCCTCCCCCCAGTTCTTCAGTCTCTCTGGGGGAAAAACACAAAAAGTTGAGGTTGTCCCTGGGGCCACCACGAAATGCTTAATTGCTTTCTGAGAGAATTGTCACCTCTTTCTGCTTTCCTCCCCCTCTCCACTGCTCTTCTCTCCTCTCCTCCGACCACTGGAGGCTCTTGCTGGGGGAGCTGGGGCTGAAGACATGAGCTCCCTGACTGTGTCCCAAGGGAACCGGGAGCATGTGCTGACTCGCAGTCTGCGTCTCCAAATATATTGCTGCACCACCTTTGCTGAAAAAAAGAACCCTATGTTTTGGGGGAATAAATGTTCTTTTTGCTGTGAGCCAGGCACTCTTTGACAGCAGATGGATGATGGCCCAGGCCAGCTGAGTCAGCCAGACTTTGGAGCAAGCAGTGTGAACCAAGACAGGGATGGGAGCCAGCCGAGGAAAGTGAGGTACAGGGATATTTGAAGGTTTTCATCCTGGGAGTTTAGTCAGCACCTTGTGCAACTTGATTTACACTGGGGGCCAAAGAGGGATGTGTATTATGAAGGGTAAGCTAAAAAGCAGTCACAGATAGACTCCCAAATGTATAATAGCTCAAATACCTTAGGAATTTATTTCTTAGTCACATAACAGACCAAGACGAGCGTTCCTGATTGGTCAGTGGCTTTCCTCCACGTGGTGATTCAGGGACCCAGGCTCCTTCCATCTCAGGGCTCTCCCCTTCCCCAGGGTCTCGTTGGTACCTATATCCAGCTGGCAAAGAGGAGGGAAGTGATGGAGGAAGCACACCTGCTTCTGATGCCTTGGCTCAGAGGGGCTGCACAGCTTTTCTGCTCACATTCTACTGGTAGGAATTTGTCACGTGGACACACCCAGTTGCAAAGGCAGCTGGGAAATGTAGTCTCTGCTCTTAGTGACAATACTGTGCTATGAAAGGGGTGTGCAGATTTTGGTAGACAGCTAACCATCTCTGCCACACGTCCTAAATCAAGCCATTTAGGTCACAAGACCGGGAGAGAGAGCAAGTCATTTTGAGTTTCTGTTTTTGAGACAGGGTCTCACTCTGTCACCCAGGCGGGAGTGCAGTGGCATGATCATAGTGCACTGTAGCCTCAACTTCTTGTGCTCAAGCCACCCTTCCACCTCAGCCTCCCAAGAGCTGGGACTACAGGTGCATGCCACCAGGACCAGCTAATTTATTTTTATATTTTGTAGAGACAGGGTCTCCCTATGTTGCCCAGGTTCGTCTCAAACTCCTAGGCTCAAGCTATCCACCCGCCTTGGCATCCCAAAATGCTGGGATTACACGCACGAGCCACCGCGCCTGGCCACTCTGGGTCTTTAATTAGGGAGTCCTGCCTGAGTAACTTGCTAAAAAGGATTTTCCTTTTGCCAAGGATTGGAAGATCCAACAGCATCAGAACTGGGCAGAAATACAGGGGAAAATTAACAGAGAAGAAAACTAATAAGAAACCTGGATAATGATAATAAGAAGCTGTGCGATTCCCCTGCAATTGGTTTATCTGTACATAGTTCATGCCCAAACTTCCCAGCCTGAGCACAGAAGCTTGGGCCTCTGGCAGAAACCGTGCGAGCAAAGATGTGGACGGTTCTCTGTGGAGGAGGGGCACAGCCAGAGTGCAGGGTGAGGCTGCAATTTCAAGGCTGTGGGAGAAATCAGAAGGCCTCATTTGCCTCCTCCCCTGGGATCAACATCCATGCCCTGGAACCTTCACTGTGCAGGCACCTGTATTAGGTATTATTTCTGCATAACAAATTGCCACAAATTTAGCAGCCATTTATTTGCTCACGGTTCTGTAGGTTAGCCATCTGGGGCAGGCTTCACTGGATCTCTGCTTAGGATGTCAGGAAGCCAAAATCAAGGTGTTGGTCAGCCTGGGCTCTCATCCAGAGGCTCTAGGGAGGAATCGACTTCCAGGTTCACTTAGGTTGTTGACAGAACCCACTTCCTTGTGGTTGCAGGACTGAGGTTCCTGTTTTCTTGCTGGCCGTTGGCTGGGCGTCTCTCTGAGCTCCTTGGGGCTGTTCACAAGTCCTTTCCATGTAATGCTTCCTGCATCTTTAAAGCCAGTGAACGTGCATCCCATTCTTCTTGTGCTTAGAATCTCTCTGACTTCCCTTCTGCTATTGGAGAAACTCTCTGCTTTTAATAAGCTCGTGGGATTAGATCCAGCCCACTCAGATAACTGACCTACTTGGAGATCAACTGATTGGTAATGTTAATTACACTGCAGATCCCTTCTGCCATATAATATAATATCATCAAGGGAGTAACACACCCAGGGACAGAGATTGTGAAGCCATCTAAGAATTCTGATTCCCATAATGTCCAAAGCTGTGGGTCTGGGACCCAGAATGGCCTACATTGAAGCTAAAAAGACTTTTGCTTTCTGGCCAAAGAGTTGCCCCACTTGGTTGCACCCAACCATGGTGAGGTAATTGCTGGGCCTGGTCCCAGCTCTTCCCATATACACAGGAGATCTAGAGACAGAGAGGAAATGGCCCCTCCCCCTGAAAGCTCCTTTCTCTTGTCAAAAGACAAAATTACAACAAATTTAAAGATCTTAATTGGCTTTTACTTGGATTCTAGAATTGGGCAATATCTCACCTTACACTATAGAATGAGTGTTCGGATTGAGCTGAGCAGTAGAGGTTGGCTTTGAAAGCAGAAACAGAACAAACATCAGATTTCAAAGTTATTTTCCTTGTAAGATTAAAGCAGAGGGGACTTCCTTATCATGCTGGCTAAAACTGGCCTGTTTGGGGATCTGGCTATTATCCCTCACTCTCCTGATGTCTCAGAATGTCAGATAAACAACTTAGTGTCAGCTGGGTGACGCAGAACTTCAGCATGAATGATTCCATTTCGGTTTGGTCTGCTGGGCCTCGTGCAGGAGCTCAGCCCAAGCCAATGGCTTCCTGTACATTTCATCAAACACCCTCAGAGCCCCATGGAGACCGTACATCCTGAAGAGGGGGCTCAAGACTGTGCGGAGCACTCTGAACCCAAAAGAAATACAGCCTGGTGGCCAGTGCGGTGTCTCTCACCTGGAATCCCAGCACTTTGGGAGCCCAAGAGTTCGAGGCCAGCCTGGGCAACATAGTGAGACCCCAAGTTGCTACCAAAATTTAAAAATTCGCCAGGTGCGGGGGCGTGTGCCTGGAGTCCCAGCTATTCAGGAGGCTGAGGTGGGATGTGGAGGCTGCAGTGAGCTGTGGTCGTGTCACTGTGCTCCATCCAGCCTGGGTGACAAAGTGAGACCCTAGCTCAAAAAATAAAAATAAAAATAAAAACAGAAAGAAAGGAAGAGAAAGAAAGAAAGAGGAGGGAAGAAAATAAGGAGAAAAAGAAAAAAAACAAAAAAAAAAAAGCAAAGAAAATAAGGAGAGAAGAAAGGAAGGAAGGAAGAAAGGAAGGGGAGAAAGAAAGAAAGGAATGAAAGAAGGAAGGAAGAGAGAAGGAAAGGAAGAGAAAGAAAAAGAAAGAGGAAGGAAGGAAGAAAATGAGAGGAGAGAGAGAAAGGAAGGAAGGAGAGAAAGAAAGAAACAAAGAAAGAAAGGAATTAAGGAAGGAAGAGAGGAGGAAAGAAAGAAAGAAAAAAAGAAAAAGAAGGGAAGGAAAGAGAAAGAAGAAGGGAAGGAAAAAGAAAAAGAAGGGAAGGAAAGAAGGAAGGAAGAAAGAGAGAGGAAGGAAGGAGGTAAGGAAGGGGGAGAGGAAGAGGGAGAGAAAGAGAAAGGAAGGAAAGAAGGAAGGAAGGAAGGAACAGAGAAGGAAAGGAAGAGAGAAAGAAAGAAAAGGGAAGGAGGAAGAAAATAAGAAGAGAAGAGAGACGAAGGAAGGAGAGAAAGAAAGAAAGAAAGAAAGGAAGGAATGAAGGAAGGAAGAGAGAAGGAAAGAAAGAAGAAGGGAAGGAAAAAGTAAAAGAAGGGAAGGAAAGAAGGAAGGAAGAAAGAGAGAAAGGAAGGAAGGAGGTAAGGAAGGGGGAGAGAAAGAGAGAGAAAGAGAAAGGAAGGAAAGAAGGAAGGAAGGAAGGAAGGACGGGATAAATACAGCCTGCCTGGTCCCACTACCAGGGATCTCACCCACTAATGGCCCCAACCTGCCTCCCTGATACTCCCCCACCCTCAAACTCTGGTCTCATGCCCTGAAGACAGCCTTGGAGTTCTCCAATCTCCCACCTGCTTGCCTCCCCACTCCCCCCATACCCCCTCTTAGGGAAGGGCAGGCCTGGGCACAGTGACTTCAGGACTTGGCTCTTCCTGGGCATTCCCGGGCTCACCTCCTGGCCACCCAGATGGTGCCCAGCCCAGAGAGGCAGCTCCTGGCCTGTCCCCCGCAGATAGCCTGATATTGGGCAGGGTAGGGCAGGGCAAAGAGGAGGGGGAGGACCCTGCTCACGGGGCATCCCACAACCATCTCTCAACCTGGCCTCTTGCCTGGCTGTGGGCATCCAGATTCCTTGAGAGTCTGCCCTTAACGCGTTTCCAGGGCTTTGCTTAACGTGCTTCTAGCTCCCTTCAATGCTATTATTTGTAGCAAGGCCAAGCGGGAGCCTCCTCTCCCCTCACCCAGGCCCCTCTCCCCTACAGTTACACAAGAATGTAGGCACCTGCAGCGAAAACCACCAAAAGCGTTTTCTTAGCTGCAGGGCCTCGCCCTGGGGCCCCACTGAGCAGAACAACCATTTGCGCAGCTCCCTTCTCCTTCTGGCTCATGAGCTGATATCTCAGACTCAACCTTGGCATTCCCCTTCCTTGTCGAGTTTCAGGTCCTGGAAGATTTGAAAAGGGCCCTCCTCTTTGCAGTCAAACAACTTAATTCGAAACTCCCATGCAAAGTCAACTACTTGGTCTTGTGGCCTTTTCTTCCCTCTGGGATAGCAAGAGGCATGGCAGGACTGTCTGCAGGAACAAGGGGTGTGAGTGGTCAGAGAGCCCGGGGAGCCAAGATTCCGTGGGGCCCAGAAACTGCGGTGTCAGCTGGACAGGATTTAGCACAGCAAGGGCAGTAAGACTGGTGTGGCTGGATGTGTCTGCCCTTTCGAAGCCAAAGGAAGGTATCCGATTGACCAGAGCCTGGAGGAGAGAGCCTGGGAACTGCTGCTAGAACCTCAGAGAGGCAACAGAGGGTTCTGGACCTGGCTCCCTCTCCTCCCAGTAAGGACCATAAGCACTGTAGATGCTAGGATGAAACCAAGGTGCCTTTTGCCAAATTTGAGTTGTTACCAACCAAGCAGCTCTGTCAGGGAAGCATTTTGTCTCGCAACTCCTTCGTTTTTGCATGTTTTCATCCCATTTCCTCTAAACCTTCTGGCTTCTAAACCACTAAGGCCCCCTTTCTCCCAGGGACTCCATCTTCACATCTTCAAACCTCTACTGTTGGCTGGGTGCGGTGGCTCACGCCTGTAATCCCAGCACTTTGGGAGGCCGAGGCGGGTGGACCATGAGGTCAGGTGTTTGAGACCAGCCTGGACAACACAGTGAAACTCCTTCTCTACTAAAAATACAAAAAATTAGCCAGGGGTGGTGGCAGGTGCCTGTAATTCCAGCTACTTGGGAGGCTGAGGCAGGAGAATCGCTTGAACCTGGGAAGAGGAGGTTGCAGTGAGCTGAGATCACGTCGCGCCATTGCACTCCAGCCTGGGTGACAGTGCGAGACTCCGTTTCAAACAAAACAAAACAAAAAAACCCTCTACTGTTTTCCTCTCTCCTTCTGCTCCTGCCCAGCCCAGGTTGCATTCCTTTCCCTTTAGCTTTCAGGGCCCAAGCCTTCTGCTGGCCTCCTTTCTGGAGAAAAGAAGGAAGAGAGGAGGCTGAGGACATGAAGCTGAGACGCCTGCAGGCTGCATGCGGAGACCCTCGTGTTGCCATCTCCTGCAGCAGCAGCGCAGAGTCAGAAGGGCCACCTACTGAGGTGGGGGCGGTGAGGGGCCAACTCCCCTCCCTGGCTCATGCTCCTCCTGTATAATATTTTGTGGTTGATGGGATGGTCCCAGGCTCTGAGACTGAAGTCTTTATTGGGTTGTGACCACACCCCTTGTGGATGGCCTGGGGATTTTCAGCCCAAAGCTGAGCCAAGCCCTTGGAAAAATCAACACGCACACCTGTTTCTCACAGATAGTCTTTTTTTCTTTGTAGGTGTGGCTCTTCCATCTTGAGGTCATAGAGGAACTGAGGCAGGAGGGAGAGGGACCAGAATGCCACAGGGATCACCCAGCCAGCCCGCTCGTATAGCGGCCACTTTTCAAGAGTGATTTCTTCGGCTTCTTTCCTTCCACAGGCCCGAGAAACCACCCACACTCCCCTGATCGGCTGGAACCCAGGGGAGCCGGCCTTAATCCTGGCCTCCCTGGGGCTCAAAAGAATCTGGATCACAACAGGTAGGGTTAGATTACTTGGGCCAGCGCCTCACTTCGCAGATGTAGAAACTGGGGCTTAGGGAGGGGCCTAGGGCCATGAGGCCAGTCCGGGACATGGTGGGACAGGCAGCCTGGACACCTGGCCCCCCAGGTCCACCTGACCTCCCCAGCCACCGCTGTTTCCCTGGGGTACCGTTCTTACACCATAAATCCCTTTCACTGTGTAGCCCTATAATATGGTCAAGGGAGTAACTCTGGGGACAGGGATGGAGTCCATGGGACGGGCTTAGAATTCTGCCTTCCGTAGTGCCTGAGGCTCCTGACCCTCCCCACCTGGTTGGATCCCCAGGCGGCTCCTGGGAGGAAGTGCCCTTCCCCACCATTGACTGCCCCTCCTCTCAGTGAGATCCGACAGCCGTCCCCAGTATGTTAATTATAACAATGTAACCCCGTGGGGTGCAGGCTCCCCCGACTCTCACCCTTCCAAACCAACGCCAGGTCCCTCCTGGCCAAGCTGGCCCAGACCCACAAGTCTCTCAGCCAGTGGTTCCAGGCTCCAACCAAGGACCTGGGATTCTTGCAGGATGCCAGAGAAGAGGTGGCCAAGAGAACCCAGCGGCGTCGTTCTCATTACAGGGGCCTCCTCAGCGAAGACCCCTCACTCTCTTCTGGCTTTCCTCTCTGGTTTCCTCACTGACGTCATAAAAATTTGTATTCATTCATTCAATAAATACTTATTGAGAACATGCCCAAAGTACTGGGGTAATTAAGAGTGGGAGACAAGGAGGCAAAAATGAGTCAGCTGTGAACTTTGCCTGCGGAAGGCTGAGACCGGCAGATTCCTGTCCAGGTTCTGAAACTTACTAGTTCTGTGACCTTAGCTACGTCAGCTCACTTTTCTGATTCCCAGTTTACTTGTCTGAAAAACTAGGATGATAATCACAGATTGCTGGTGAGAGACTGACTCTACAAATGGCCAGCGGCCAGACCAGACATAAAAATAGATCTCTGACCCACAATCTGCAGCAACCAGCCCAGGAAGCCCCGCCATCCTCTACAACGACCAGCCCAGGAAGCCAGCCTGCTGTCTGCTAGCTACAAGTCATACTTGCGGAAGTCAGGCGATCAGTTCTAATGACTGGTCCAAGAAGTCAACCAATTGACTCCACTTGGCCAGGACTTGATTTGTAATCGACAGTTTCCCTAATTCTCATCCCTGCTTCCAATTTATCCCCATTTCCAAGAAAAAGCCAAATATGGGCTGGATGCAGGGGCTCACACCTATGATCCCAGCACTTTGGGAGGCTAATGCGGGTGGATCTCTTGAGCCCAGGAATTTGAGACCAGCCTGGGCAATGTAGTGAGACCCCATCTCTACAAAAAATATAAAAATTAGCCAGGTGTGGTGGCACACACCTGTAGTCCCAGCTACCTGGGAGGCCGAGGTGGGAGGATTGCTTGAGCCCATGAAGTTGAGGCTGCAGCGAGCCCAGATGGCACCACTGCACTCCAGCCTGGGCAACAGAGTGAGACACTGTCTCAAAAAAAAAAAAAAAAAAGTAAAGCCAAGTATGCCCCTCTAACCAATCCCATAGGATGCCCTGTCCTCTTCTAGTGAGCTGCTTCCAGCTTCCTAGGCCCACAGCCTCCATCAAGGTAAACCTGAAGCTTCCCTTTCCTTTCCCCCTCCCCTCCCCTCCCCTCCTTTCCTTCTTCCTTTTTTTCTGTTCTTTTCTTTCTCTCTTTCTCTCTTTCTTTCTTTCTTTCTTTCTTTCTTTCTTTCTTTCTTTCTTTCTTTCTTTTCCTTCTTTCCTTCTTTCTTCCTTTCTTTCTCTCTTTCTTTCTTTCCTTTCTTCTCTCTCTTTTTTCTTTCTTCTCCTTCTTCTTCTTTTTTTTCAGGGTCTCATTCTCACCCATGCTGGCATTCAGAGGCACGATCACAGCTCACTGCATCCTTGACCTCCCGGCTCAGGTGATCCTCCCACCTCAAGCCTCCCAAGTAGGTAGGACTACAGGTGCATGCCACCACACTCTGCTAATTTTTTGTATTTTTTGTAGGGATGGGGTTTTGCCATGTTGCCCAGGCTGGTCTTGAACTCTTAGGCTCAAGTGAGCCCCCTGCCTCGGCCTCCCAAAGTGCTGGGATAACAGGTGGGAGCCCCCATGCCTGGCTGAGTCACACAAAAACAAACAAAAACTTACCTTCCTTTTGTTCCCAAATAGCCAGCTGTCATCTCACATGCTTACTTTATCTTACGTAAAACATATATTTATTAAGCACACCTCTTTTCCTGTGTAAAATGTGGATTCAGTGAGTACTAATCAAAGCCTCACAGGAACATAACAACTTCCCTCATTGCCTGCTCTCCCTCCCTTTTCCTTTTCCTTCCCCTGCTGCCTGCTCTCCCTCCCTTTGTCCTTTCTTCCTTCCCTTCCTTCCTGCTCTTCCCTCTTTAAATTTTTTTTTTTTTTTTGAGACGGAGTCTTGCTCTTGTCGCCCAGGCTGGAGTGCAGTATCGTGATCTCGGCTCACTGCAACCTCTGCCTCCTGGATTCAAGAGATTCTCCTGCCTCAGCCTCCCAAGTAGCTGGGATTACAGGTGCCTGCCACCACGCCTAGCTAATTTTTGTATTTTTAGTAGAGACGGAGTTTCGTCATGTTGGCCAGCCGGGTCTCAAACTCCTGACCTCAGGTGATCCTCCTGCCTCAGCCTCCCAAAGTGCTGGGATTATAGGCATGAGCCACCGCGGCCAGCCCCCTCTTTAAATGTTGAAGTCCTCAAATCTCCTGGGAAAAAGCACAGGCCACAGATCCTACTGCAACTCGTGTTTCTCTTCCTCTGGCGCGTCCTCGACCTTGGCAAATAATCCTCTGAATCGATGGAGTTCTGTCACAGATACTTTTTGGCTTACGCCACCCGAGAGCTTCCCTACCCCGCCCGCCTTTGAGTCCCTCTCAAACACAGGTGGTGGTGGCTGCCCCCTTGTTACCCAGCAAGCCCTGAATCATGGCCTTTGCGCCTTCTCATTCATGTTCTCTGTTTATTTCCACGTTGGAGTAGAGGAGTGAGGGAGTGTGGAAGAGCTGGTGAGAGTCCAGAACTCCAGAAATATGAGGTGGAAAGTCCACGGGCAGGAGAGCAGCTGGAGACTCCACATCACCGTGGGAGCTTCCTCCAGGCCACTGAGCCGAGCTCTGGCGTGGACACTGGTGTGGAGCAGCCTCCTCACATGCAGCCACTCGAGCCCTGTAAGGACAGGACCCTGCGCCCCTTGGCATCAGAAGAAGGGCAAAGGGAGTCTGGGCGCGGTGGCTCATGCTTGTAATTCTAGCACTTTGAGAGGCCGAGGCGGGCAGATCACTTGAGGTCAGGAGTTCGAGACCAGCCTGGCTAACATGGTGAAATCCCATCTTTACTAAAAATAGAAAAAATTAGCCAGGTGTGGTGGTGGGCACCTGTAGTCCCAGCTACTCGGGAGGCTGAGGCAGGAGATTCGCTTGAACCCAGGAGGCGGAGGTTGCAGGGAGCACTCCACAGCACTCCAGCCTGGGCGACAGAGCGAGACTCAGCCTCAAATAAATAAATAAATAAATAGGCCAGGTGCAGTGGCTCACGCCTGTAATCCCAGCACTTTGGGAGGCCAAGGTGGGAGGATCACCAGAGGTCAGGAGTTTGAGATCAGCCTGGCCAACATGGCGAAACCCTGTCTCTACTAAAAATACAAAAATTAGCTGGGCGTGGTGGTGGGCGCCTGTAGTCCCAGCTACATGGAGGCTGAGGCAGGAGAATTGCTTGAACCCAGGAAGCAGAGGTTGCAGTGAGCCGAGATTGTGCCACTGCACTCCAGTCTGGGAGACAGAGCAAGATTCTGTCTTAAAAAAAAAAAAAAAAGAAAGAAAGAAGTGGGGCAAGGGGGCCCAAGCAAGAAGAGCCTCAGAGGGTGGGGCCAGGCTACCAGGCCGGCCAGGGCAGTGCCTCTCTGTCCATCTCAATCACCCTTCCCTTCCGACCACCTCTGGGTACATGTCCAGAGCCCAGAGGGATACCTCTGAAACTCTGGACCCAGGGCTAAGCCCCCATGGACACAGGATGCTCACGGGGAGGGGTAGCTGAAGCCCCCATTCTCAAATCTCCTAGGGGATTATGTCATGACAGAGTGGAGCGCTGCTGCTTCTCTCTCTAAGCCTCTTGCACAATCCTCCTTCTTGCTAGAAGTGTTCCAGGGACCACAGAGGGTGTGAGCATTCCCTCCCTCTGCCCCCAGGTCTCCTCCAAACCCAGTGTACCCTGCAGAGGCTTCTGGTAGCCCTCCAGCTGCTCCCTGGCCTCCCTGTCTCTCGCCTGGGCTATCCCTCTGGCCTCCTAAGGGGTCTCCGGCCTCCTGATGTTTCAGTTCATCCTCCCTAATACCACCAGCAGGATCTTTCTAGAACATACCCTTAAGAACCATCAGGAGCTCAGTGTGCTGTATGAAGACCTTCAGTGTCAGTACCAGCCCATCATTCCAACGTTATCTTCCATCACCCCCTTTCTACCCACTAGGTCCCGGCCACACCAAACTACTCATCGTTTTTATCTAACTCCCAGCATTAGAGTTAAGGGGTATGTGCTCCTGTGTGCTGAGACACACAAAAGACTGACTGACTTCACCTTGAACCTGCCTTCTAGATCCAGGCTCTGCTAACTCTAGCATCTCCCTATGCCTTGCACACAATGGCGAGATGTACAGAAGGCAGAGAGCAACCGGCCGATTAAAATCCTGTTTTCCCCACTAACTAGTGTTCTTTGGTCAAATTGCTTAAACTCTCTGGCCCTCAGTATGTCCATGTATAAAATGGAAATAACAAGAATTCCTGCCTCGTAGGGTTATTGTGAGAATGGAATGAGACAGTGCATATAAGAAACTAGGCCTGGCGGGGTGTGCTGGCTCACGCCTGTAATCCCAGCACTTTGGGAGGCCAAGGCGGGTGGATCACCTGAGGTCAGGAGTTCAAGACCAGCCTGGCCAACGTGGTGAAACCCCGTCTCTACTAAAAATACAAAAATTAGCCAGTCGTGGTGGTGGGCACCTGTAATTCCAGCTACTTGGGAGGCTGAGGCAGGAGAATCGCTTAAACCCAGGAGGCGGAGGTTGCAGTGAGCCGAGATCGTGCCATTGCACTCCAACTTGGGTGACAAGAGCAAAACTCCATCTCCAAAAAAAAAAAAAAAAAAAAGAAAGAAAGAAAGTGAGCCTGGGAGGTGGGTGTGGTGGCCTATGCCTGTAATCCCAGCACTTTTTGGGGCAGAAGCCGAAGGATTGCTTGGGGCCAGGAGTTCAAGACTAGCCTGGGCAATATAGCGAGACCCCATCTCTAAATAAAGAAAAACAGACAAAAAAACACAGAGCCCAGTGCCTGGCACATGGAGATGCTCACAGGCTGTCTGTATTCTGTTAGGTGCCTCCCATCAGTGAGCTCTGTTTCTCCTGCTTCTACTCTGAACTAAGGCTTAGGTGCTTCACGGGGAATTGTAAGTTTGGTAGCATTTATTTTATTTTATTTATTTATTTTTTAAAGACGGAGTCTCCCTCTGTCACCCAGGCTGGAGTGCAGTGGCGAGATCGGGGCTCACTGCAACCTCTGCCTCACGGGTTCAAGCGATTCTCCCACCTCAGCGCCTGCCCTTACAGGCACCCGCCACCACGCCCAGATAATTTTTGTATTTTTAGTAGAGATGGCGCTTCACCATGTTGACCGGGCTGGTCTTGAACTCCTGACCTTGAGTGATCCGCTTGCCTAGGCCTCCCAAAGTGCTGGGATTACAGGCGTGAACCACCGTGCCTGGACGAAGCTGGGTAAGAGAAGTGACCATAGATTTAATGTAGCTCAACCTCCACATTTTACAGGCAAGATAACTGAGACTCTGAGATTAGAAACGACTCTCTTAAGATCACGTGGTGAGTGGGTGTGGCAGAAGGGCCTGGCTTTTGTATTCATTTTGCCTCAAATCACAGAGCAGTTTATGTGCCTTTATTGACTTTTATTTTCCTCCAGAAATAATATCAAGTCAAATAGTGTCCTTATAATTTGCAGGTATTAGGAGAGGGCCCTTTGGGAAAGGGTTGCATTAGCTGCCTCCCTTGAGGGTTCATGACACAGAAAGTTCTAGAAAAGTGACTGCCCCTGGTTAGGGGAATCAAAACAGCATCAGCTGGCATGGCTGGGTGGTGAGCGAACCCTGGATTGCTTCCACAGTGGGCCGCGCTAACTGTGGCAAATCAAGTCTTTCTCTGCCAGCTGGAGGAGCTGCTACTCTGATGCGCAGGTACCCAAGGCCTCAGCAGGTGTGGCTGGAATGCCACTGGGTCGGGAAAATGAGGTCTAGGACAAGCATGAGGCTCTCTTGGGTCTAACTGAGCTGATCCATTCACCTGGGAAGAAGAAGAAGGGAGGCGCCATGGAGACAAGCCAATAGGACCAAGCCCTTTGTCCTGGTCCCTGGGGACAATCCTGAGGCTGGGAAGCCAAGATCTGCAGAGTTATTCTTGGGACCTAGGGAAGGGTACAGACACTCCCGTTAAAAAAGCAAGCGAGCAAACCAAACGTCTTCCTTGTGAACTGAACCTCCAGAGGTCCCAGGTACTTGGAGGAATTGGAATAAGGTGAATCACAGGTTTCCCCACTTAGAGTCAAAATACAGCCCTTAGCAACCAGTCCCGCCTAGTGGTTACCTACTGAATACATTGCTCTCCCTGAGGGCAGAGTCCTTGGAAATAATCTCTAAGGAGGACATAGAAAAACCTGTCTGCCCTTGTCTCCACTGGCCACACCAGAGCTGCTGTCCCAGAATGAAAGCACAGCTCTGAGAGGGTGGTCACCTGGACTGGCCAGGGCTATGCTCCCACGGTGCTCCCTGGTCAGGGGTCCCAGCCATTTCAATAGGTGGTAGAAGCTCTTCTAGCCAGCCCTGCCCCATCACCTTCACCGTTAAGCTGTTTCCAGCCCTTTTCCACAATCCTTCGACATCCCTGGGAGACAGAGTCACTGGGCCCTTCTTTCATGGATACAGAGCAAGCTCCTCCCCCAACCCCACACACAGGGCCTCAAAGTCCTCTCTGAGACCGCAGCCTTCCCTAGGCTGTGGTTAAAGCCACTTAAAGCCAACTCCCGTACCTGCCCCTTCCCTCCATCTAGATGGGTCCCTTCCTCCATCCTACCCGGCTCCTGTGGCACTGCCTGCCTGCCCCTCCCTCCGAAGAGCGGTGTGGTAAGGCAGGGGCTGCGGTGCCAGGGCATCTTGGCACGCCTCTCCCGCCCCACCCCGCCCCGCCTGCTAAATATATATCTTGGAGGAGTCCTGGAAGGAGCCGCCACAGATGTGATTAACTCTTTCACCTCCAGCACCGTGGAGAGAGGGCAGGCTGGAAGGAGCAGTGGGAAGTGGGGGTACCCAAGTCCTGCCCAGGCTCAGCTGGGGGATGGGAGGACTCGGCCCCTCACGCCAGGCTGGGAGGACGGGGTCCTGGGATCCCAGAGACGCTGACTGAAGCCCTGAGGCTCCGCAGCCTGGCAGGCCAAGCTCCCCAGAGTGGGGAAGGCAGGTGAGCAGAACCCGAGGCCAGCAGGAGGGGCTGGCAGGACCCTGCGAAGGAGAGTGGAGAGAGGAGGGCGATGAACGATGAAAGGGCCCTTCACACCACTCTGCACAGGAAACCACCAAAGTCATCTGAGAAAATTGCAGGGCCCTGCAGCCCCGTGGCTGGCCAGCCCCAGCGTGGCAGACGTGGCTTTAGGGTGGAGGAGACTGACAGAGGGTACAAAGCCCTCCCACCCAACTACTCGGTGCTGGCTGCTGGCCCAGGGCAGGCAGTTTCTTTGCAGTAACTCGATCTTCCTTTGAACCTTGGCTTAAAGGCCCGCCCTCCCACTCCCTGGCCCGACCGTCCAGCCAGTCCTGCAGCGCCCCCTGCTGTCTGAGCTGACAGGGACATGCAAAAGGAGGAGGTGGGCAGAAAACCCGCCAGGGAGCTCAGGCCACCCCCAGCGACAAGGAGGCCAGGGAAGCAAGATTTCCAAGACACCCCCATGCCAAGGGCTGTCCCTTGGTCCCTGCCAGCCAGCACCTCTGTAATCTGGCCAACCAAAGTGCTCAATGTTTTCTTTTTTTTTTGAGACAGTGTCTGGCTCTGTCGTCCAGGCTGGAGTGCAGTGGTGTGATCTCAGCTCGCTGCAGCCTCAAACTCCTGGGCTCAAGTGATCCTTCCACCTTAGCCTCCTGAGCAGCTGGGATTACAGGTGCCCACCACCATGCCCGGCTAAATTTTTTTTATTTTTATTTTTGGTGGAGACAGGGTTTCGCCACGTTGCCCAGGCTGCTCTCGAACACCTGGTCTCAAGTCATTCTCCTGCCTTGCCTCCAAAGTGCTAGGGTTATAGGCCTGAACCACTGTGCCCAGCTGGCTAAATGCTTAATTTGGAAAATATGGTCTTGCTTTCTGGGCCAGGGTGCTGAATGGATTCTGCACGATCCCTCTGGAAGCTTGTCTCCCCGTCCCCATCATGTCACCCACCCCACCACTGGTAAAGCCACCTCCTCGGCCCGGGCATGGTGACAGGAAGGGAGCCTTGTCACCTTGTCAGAATCGAGGGACACTCATGTCTGTGGACTGGAGCTCCCATGAAAGATCCCAGAGCAGAAGCGACAGATGTGGCTCCCTTTTATCCAGCCAGCATGCCTCCTCTTTCGGACTGAAAAAAAGAGGGGAAGGGGAAGAGGAGCAGAGCACTCATGGGGGAGGACCAAAGTGAGCATGGGAGTCAGAGAGAGGGGCAGAGGCTGCGTGTGTGGTGGGGCCTGAGACCATGCCCCGGAAGCAACCTGGTTGCGTTGATATCCATTCCAGAGACAAAAAGAAATGTGCTGCTCAGGCCGGGCGCGGTGGCTCACGCCTGTAATCCCAGCACTTTGGGAGGCCGAGGCGGGCAGATCACCTGAGGTCGGGAGTTCGAGACCAGCCTGGCCAACACAGTGAAACCCCTGTCTCTACTAAAAATACAACAATCAGCTGGGTGTGCTGGCACGCACCTGTAATCCCAGCTACTCGGGAGGCTGAGGCAGGAGAATAGCTTGAACCCAGGAGGCGGAGGTTGCAGTGAGCTGAGATCGAGATCGCGCCACTGCACTCCAGCCTTGGCGACAGAGCAAGACTCCATCTCATAAAAAAAAGAAAAAAGAAAGAAACGTGCTGCTAAGGGGGAGTGTGCAGTGATAGCACTGCAAACCGGAGCGACTGGGAAACCCAACACAGAGGGAAAGAGCTGTTTGAGGTCTGAGCAATGAGGAAGCCAGGAAAGGTGCCAGTGGCAGCAGGACACCCCGCCAGAGAGCACATAAGAGTGGCCGAGGGAAAAGGGGGCCCGAAACCCAATTGTGATTAAGAAAGTCAAGAAGGCCAGTGCCGTGGCTCACACCTGTAATCCCAGCACTTTGGGAGGCTGATGCAGGAGGATCGCCTGAGCTTAGGAGTTGGAGACCAGCATGGGCAACATAGGGAGACCTCGTCTCTACAAACAAACAAACAAAAAATTAGCGAGGCATGGTGGTGCATGCCTGTGGTCCCAGCTACTTGGGAGGCTGAGGCCAGAGAATTGCTTGAGCCTGGGAGGTTGAGGCTGCAGTGAGCCGTGGTCGTGCCACTGCACTCCAGCCTGGGTGGCAGAGCGAGACCCTGTTTCCTAAAAGGAAAAGAGGCCTGTAATTCCAGCACTTTGGGAGGCCGAGGCAGACACATCACTTGAGCCCAGAAATTCAGGAGCAGCCTGGGCAACATGGTGCAACCCCCACTCAGAAAGAAAGAAAGAGAGGAAGGAAGGAAGGAGGGAGGGAGGGAGGGAGGAAAGGAAGGAAGGAAGGAAACGAACGAGAAAGAAAATAACCTTTTCTGAATGAAAAGATACTCTCAGTGTGGAAATTAAAAGGCCCACCTCCAGGTACCTGTTCAACAAGGGTGAATCTTCAAAAACTTCAAGATCTTCCAGGAAGAAAGGAGAGATCATGTTTAAAGATACGAGACTGGCTTTGAGTCCTGTTACGCCAGCCAAGGAGAAGAGAAAGGTGGGGATAGTTCGTATACAGCCAAGAGAAAAGTGACTTTTATTAAAGCCTGGATCCACAGCCAAGGAACATTTGTCCTTAAAATACCCATAGTTTCCCCCAACCCAAATTCATATGTTGAAGACCTTCCCCAGGTTGGATGAGAGCCCATCGTAACAGCCTCGTTTGAACTTCATCACCTCTTTCAAGGCCCTATCTTCAAATGCCGTCCCATTTTGAGGTACTGGGGACACAGGGAGAAGGTGACCTTCTGCAGGGCAAGGAGAGAGGCCTCAGAAGAAACCCAAGCTGCTAACACCTTCTTCTTTTCCTTTTCAGACAAGGTCGCCCTTTACTCTGTCATCCAGGCTGGGGTGCAGTGGCGTGGTCTTGGCTCACTGCAGCCTCGACCTCCTAGGCTCAGGTGATCCTCCACTACATCCAGCTGTTTTTGTATTTTTGGTAGAGACAGGGTCTTCCTATGCTGTTTAGCCTGGTCTTGAACTCCTGGGCTCAAGTGATCCCCCTGCCTCAGCCTTCAAAAGTGCTGGGATTATAGGTGTGAGCCACTACATTTGGTCAATACATTGTTTTGAACTTCCAGCCTCCAGAACTGTAAGAAAACACATTTCTGGCCAGGCAGGGTGGCTCACGCCTATAATCCCAGCACTTTGGGAGGCTGAAGCAGGTGAATCACTTGAGGTCAGGAGTTCGAGACCAGCCTGGCCAACATGCGAAACCCTGTCTCTACTGAAAATACAAAAATTAGCCAGACGTGGTAATGCATGCCTGTAGTCCTAGCTACTTGGGAAGCTGAGGCAGCAGGATCACTTGAACCCAGGAGGTGGAGGTTGCAGCGAGCCGAGATTGTGCCACTGCACTCCAGCCTGGGCGACAGAGTAAGACTCCATCTCAAAAACAAACAAACAAACAAACAAAAACTCATATGTTGTTTAAGCCACCCAGTCTGCGGTATTTTTTTAATGCAGCCCTTGAAAACTAATAGAGTCCAGAAAACAATTTGTCAACCAACTTCCAAACAGCAAAAATCATATATACCCTTGGGAAGAAATGAAAGACATGTGAGCAATAACCATCCTCAGATATTAACAAAGGACAAATGATAGACCGTAAGATCAAACAGCACATCAAACCTGTGGTGGGAATTGTTAGGAAAGAAACTCAGAATTTCAAAAAGGATTTTCTTTAGCTAAGATATTTCAGCAGATGAGTGGGTAGGCTATGGAGGGAGAAGGGAAGAAGGAGAAACTGAAACCATTTAAGTCTTTCTCTCCTCTAGAAGCCAGTTTGGCAGATTTAATAATACTTTTCATTTACATTTCAGTGACATGCTTACCAAGGTGATTATCACTTTATTTTATTAAAGGTTACACAAATGCTAAAAAGAAACTGTTACCTAATGTGTTTTTTCTCTTTTTTTTTTGAGTCGAAGTTTCACTCTTGTTGCCCAGGTTGGAGTTCCATGGTGTTTCTATGGCGCGATCTCAGCTCGCTGCAACCTCCGTCTCCTGGGTTCAAGCGATTCTCCTGCCTCAGCCTCTGAGAACTTGGAATTACAGGTGTCCACCACCACGCCCAGCTAGTTTTTGTATTTGTTAGTAGAGATGGGGTTTCACCATGTTGGCCAGGCTGGTCTCGAACTCCTGACCCGAAGTGATCCGCCCACCTCTGCCTCCCAAAGTGCTGGGATTACAGGCGTGAGCCACCACACCTGACCACCTAATGCATTTTATTAGGAAAATGTGATACTGGTTCTCAAATCTGATAAGTCCAGCACTAGAAAGTTCTAAGCAATGCAAAAGATCCCCGAGAGCGGTCTGCCTCTAATCTTCTACATCTGAGAGCACCTGCAAGGTGTGGGGTGGAACAGACAATGGACCAGGAACCAGGAGACTTGGGTTTGAGTGTCAGTGCTGCTCTTGACCAGCTTTGGGCTAGGGGCATACCATTTAATCTCTCTGTGCCTCAATTTCCTAAGTTTGTAAAACAGTTACAATACTCCATATGCAGGGTTGTTTGAAAAAGTCACTGACTGCCCCAGCCTGTCGGTACAAGTGAGGTTATAGCAATATTAACACTGGGGTTATGGTGGCTCAATGCAAAATTGTTTCAACCAGCCTGGCCAACATGGTGGAACCCCGTCTCTACTAAAAATAAAAAAATTAGCTGGATGTGGTGGTGTGCGCTTGTAGTCCCAGCTACTTGGGAGGCTGAGGCAGGAAAGTCACTTGAACCCAGGAGGCGGAGGTTGCAGTGAGCTGAGATCACACCACTGCACTCCAGCCTGAGCGACTGGGCAACAGAGCGAGACTCCATGTCAACAAAACAAAACAAAACAAAACAAAACTGTGTCTTGAAAGAGCCTCCCCAACAGTTTCTGGAAGTTCCTGGTTTCACTGGTGCTCAGAGACAGTTGAGCTAATATTGCAGCTGGCCTCCTGAAAGACAGCCCCCCAGCCAGCTGAGGAAGGCATCCTGCCTCTGGCCTAGACCCAGCTGCTGTTGCCATCCATGGAGACACAGATGCTCTTCCCTGATACTGGGTTCTCTCCTGCAGGGTCCCTGCAGGTTGTTCCATTTAGTTCTTCATCCATGGAACTTTGTGCTTTCTTCCCGTGCCCGCTTCTGTAGGGCAGGCTCAGGCTGGGCTGGGGCCGACATTATCTGGTCCTCCGGTGGACCTTCTCCCTCCCCGGGTACCTGCATTTGCATCCCCCTCCTCCTTAAGCAAAGAATAAAGCGCAGGTGCATCAACCCTGCCTGGGGATACATCTGTGTGTGCACATGGAGGTGTGGGCGGGTGAGGGGGTCCTCCATCCTTAACACCTGCTCAGGGTCAGTGTAGACCACCCCGGAGCAGAAGTGTTGGGCTTACAGGTCTTCAGTCCTTTCTCTGAACTCGGCACCACATGTCTTGGAATTCAGAATACGTCAGAGCAGAGGAAGGTGCTGTGTGCATGTAGTGGTGCGCGTTCGATCACGATTCCGTGGGGTGTGGACAGCAGTACATGATCACTCCACTAACAGTCCCTGGTGGGGCTGGCAGGACTCACAATCACAGGACAACTTCGGGACCAGAAATCACCTCACACCGGGTCACGCTGTGCCGCTAAACGTGTTTGTGGCACATTTCGGAAACATGTTTTGGTTTTCAGAGTTTTTTGGAGTTGAGAATCATGGCAAATGCATTGGAGACCCACATTATCCTCTTTCTGGGTTAGCTGAACCTCCCTGTCTGGACATCCCTGCTCTGGGGAGAAGCAGAGAGGCAAAGTGGAAAGCCAAGCATTGATTCTGCATTGACTGTGTGCTGGGTGCACAAACAGCTCTTTGACTGATGTCATCCCACTAAGAGGGTGGGGGCAGGTCTGAACCTCCCATTCAGGACAAAGGTCAGCTCAGCCTGACCAGGAAGCAGAAAGTGGTCCTAGCTCAGCTGCTAATGTGTTTACCCACAGCCTGGAGCAGCTGGGAGTTCCATCTGCTGATCTCTCCCAGCTGCCTCTCCGGGATGGTGGTGCTGAGAGGAGAGAGGGGCCCTGGAGAGCCTCCCTGGAGAGGCTGAGGGTGGGGAGCAGAGCTCCTCATGGCTCTGATGGACTCTGCCAACTCCCGCCTCCCAGTGGTGGAGGAAAAGACCTTTCCCCAAGGGGCGTGAGCTCGGGGGGCTCAGCAGAAGCTCAGGGTCATCTCCAGCTAGGTCCTCCTTTCCTGTTCTCCTAGTACCCTGGGTTAAGAGACCATTTTCTTTCTCCTCATTGGCAACAACAAAAACTATAGCCCCAGTGCTGGTTCTGGGCCCATGAACCTGTACTGGTTTAGGGCAGGGAGTAATGTGGAATCCAACCAGGGTGTTTGAGACCTAAGGGGCTGTGTCTCCTGTGGCTGGACAGACACAGGCCTGGGCTCCTCACATCTGATTTAAGATCACCCCTTTCTGACTGGCCCTGGGGGCTTTTATCCCCCAAGCAGCCCCCTCCCATTGCTCAGCTCAATTTCTTTGTTTCCTCCAGCCTAAGAAATGCCTTAAGTCCTGAAGATATCTTCCTTTTCAAACTCTGGCATTGCCACTAGGAGCTGGAGAGGTGATCCATTCAGGGAATGAGAAGCAGGCACCAGGAAAGGGGGGTGGGCTGGAGACAATTCACATCCATCCATCCATCCATCCATCCATCTATCCATCCATCCATCCATCTGTCCTTTTTTGTTTTTGTTTTTGTTTTTGTTTTTTTGAGACGGAGTCTCACTCTGTCGCCCAGGCTGGAGTGCAGTGGCGGGATCTCGGCTCACCGCAAGCTCCGCCTTCCGGGTTCACGCCATTCTCCTGCCTCAGCCTCCCGAGTAGCTGGGACTACAGGCGCCCGCCACTGCGTCCAGCTAATTTTTTGTATTTTTAGTAGAGACAGGGTTTCACTGTGGTCTCGATCTCCTGACCTCGTGATCCGCCTGCCTCAGCCTCCCAACGTGCTGGGATTACAGGCGTGAGCCACCGCACCCGGCCTCCATCTGTCCGTTTTTCTATCCATTCAACCAACATTAATCTGGCATTCACGATGAGCCAGGCAAAATGCCCCCCGCAAAGGAATGCCCACAGCACTGATGCTATTAGCCTGTGCCTGGCAGTGCCCTTTCATCTTCCCAGGAAATAGGGATTGCTGGTGAAGCAAACATAAGAGCTGGCTAAGTTGTCCTCCTCTCTACCTGGGAGCCACACCCAAAGGAGGAGCCTCCACCCCCACCCAAGGAAAGCAAGCTGTTGATAAACGTGTTTTGGGTACAACCTCAAAGGCCCCAGTACATGTGGCCATGAGCCACCCTGAGCTCCCTAGCTGGGCCCCCTCCTCTACACTTCTGCCCCTGTGGGGAGTCCCGGAGGCTCCATCACAGGCTTCGCCGCCATGCCCTCTGGCTGTGATGCCAAAGTGCAGGGCAGGTAGGCATCGTGGATGACCTGTCGGACAGTGGCCCGGAAAGTCTTGCTGACAAAGCAGTAGAGGCCGAAGTTGGCTGCCGTGTGGAGCATGGCCACCATATTGGCCACATCCAAGGCCAGGTGGACCCTCCAGTCCCGGTGGACAGGGGCCACGTACATGTGGTAGAGCATGACGAAGACCCGGGGCGCCCACAGGAGGGTGAACAGTGTGGTGATGCCCAGGAGGATGGCTGTGCTCTTGCCCACCCGGGGCTGCAGCCCACTCCGGCCCCTCCTCCGTAGCCGGTGGATGATGGCCGAGTTGGTGACCAGGAACACGCCACAAGGGATGAAATAGACAGTGAGACAGTGAGCCCACTTGAGGACCTCGTCCAGTGTTCTGGGTGAGTCGGTGTCTCTCCACATGTCCAGCCACCAGTAGAAGGGGATGCCGGTCAACAGGGCAGCACTCAGGACAGCAGCAATGGCCCGGCGGGTCCGGCCTGGGGACGAGGCGGCCCGATGGTGCAGGGGGTGGCACAGGGCAGTGTAGCGGTCAACCGTGAGCAGGATGGCGATCCAGACTGAGGCGTGGTTGGCAGCAAACTCCAGGATGTTGGCCGTGCGCACCACAGCCTGGGGCACCTGGCGGGCCAGCACTGCTCCCTGCAGGAGGAAGCCCGCGAACACGATGACCACCTGGATGATGATATCCGAGGCTGTGAGCGCCAGAAGGTAGTAGTAGGAGGGCCTCCTGGTCCTGGTGGCAAGGCGCGCCAGGGCCACTGCGGTCAGGAGGCTGACTGAGGGCAGCCGAGGTGAGGGAGGGGAGAGGCATCAGAAGAGAGCTCAGACTCTGCTTTCCAAGGTGTCGCCATCGCACCTCCCCATCTGCATGTGCAGAGGCTGCGCTGGCTTCTCTTTTTTCTCCTTCCAGATCCTTCTGAAACCCCACTTTGCCCAGAAGGCCACCCAGGCCAGCTCTGCCCTGTCCATCCACTGCAGGCCACTGGCTGTACCCCGGTTATGCACAGGTAAGTGCACATGGAAGGGTCCTCAGCAGCCACCTGTCCTGGCCAGGTGTGGTGGCTCACGCCTGTAATCCAGCACTTTGGGAGGCCAAGGCGAGCAGATCACCTGAGGTCAGGAGTTCAAGACCAGCCTGACCAACATGGAGAAACCCCGTCTCTGTTAAAAAAATATACAAATTAGCCAGGCACGGTGGTGCATGCCTGTAATCCCAGCTACTTGGGAGGCTGAGGCAGGAGAATTGCTTGAACCTGGGAAGTGGAGGCTGCAATGAGCCGAGATCATGCCACTGCACTCCAGCCTGGGTGACAGAGTGAGACTCCATCTCAAAAAAAAAAAAAAAGCTACCTGTCCTATGGCATTGTCCTCCAAGTCCTTTTTAGGTTTTCTGTGTCCTCCAGAATGGAGGCGTCCCTAGACACAGGCATGGGTTTAGCTATCAGACTTGGGGAAATCCCCAGGGCCGAGACCACCCGTCCTTCCCATATCCACACACCCACCTCTGCCCCAAGCTCTGCTCTCTGAAGGCATGGGCAGCACGGGGAGCTTTGTACTGAGCTGAGCCAGTTCCTATGTGAATTTTGTTATCCTAAGAGTGCGCTCACTGCTGGGGAAAACTTGGGTTTAGCTGTGAGCACCCCCAATCCTAGCCCCTTACTTGTATTCCCCTCCAGTGACCCAGAACACCCTGACAATGGCAAGGAAAGACCAGGGGTCTATGATCCAGGGCCTCAGGGGTCAAACACAGAGGACTGGCACCCATTGAAGGAGGATCCCCATTTCTGGCCAAGCCCAAGTCCCCAGACCCCAGCTCCCCACTCACCAGGCAGCCCCAAGCCCAGCAGGACACTGTAGTAGATGACAGGGATGACGCCAGCCACACACGGGGACCTCTCTGCGATCTCTGGCCAGTGGCTTTCAAACTCCTGGCTCAGCCCGCTGACGTGGGGCGTGGGCAGCAGGGTCACTCGTGGCTGGCCAGCTAGAAGGTGCGGATGGGCAGAGTCAGAGCCTCTGGTCTATTTCTAACCTGGCTGGGCGCAGCCCCGCCCTGACCTGGGGTCTTTCTAGTCACCCTGCTCTGTGCAGACCCTCTAGTCAGACCCAGCTGAGTGCACTGTCTGTTGCTGTGAGAATTCTTGCCAAGACCACCCTCACCCCCACCCCATGTCACCCCACTCCCTCAGTGGCCCGGCTCCCCCACTGATGGGAAGTCCCTGGCAGCACGGCCTGCTGCCATAGAGACCATTGCTCCCCATGGGTCCTCCCCATGGGCCCTCACCCGGCCTAGCAGGGGCTCTGAAACAGGGGGCACTTGTCGAGGTGCAGGCTCCTGGGCCGCCTCCGGGCCAGAGGGTCTGAAGCGGGGTTGCAGCAGCCGTGCTTGTAATCAGCAACCTGGGTGATTCCGACCCGGGTGATGCCAGCCACACACAGGGACCTCTCTAGGAGGTCCACAGTGGAGGCCCCAGGTCTGCACAGCTCCACTCAACAGCTGTCCCCCTCTAAGGAGAGGCTGTTGGTAGGGCCCCCTCTTTTCTAAACTAAAGATACCCTCTTCAAAGGTGAGCACCACTAAAGCTGGAATGGCCCAAGTCCACAGATGGGGAAACTCAGTCCACAGGGGTAAGGTGGCTGGTCTAGGATAAGCACCGTCCACTCTGGCCCCTGTTCCCCTGAAGCCACACTGCGCGTCTCTTTCAGGCTGAACTCCAGCTTTTCGTTTCCTGCTGAGGCCGGGGGGCTCACTGCTCACTCACTCTCAGCTTTGGCCCCTACTCCACCCTCTAGGTCCCTAACCTGCCTCCTGTTCCCTCCTGCCTTTCCACCTTATTGCCCCCAGCACACCCCACTTCAAGATGCCTTACCTGTCTCTCGTCCCTCAAGCCCCATGCTCTGGGGCCCTGAGTCCTGGGTCACCTGTGGCTTTTTCTGAGGGTCCCCGCAGCTCCCTGTCAGCATCGCCAGCTGTACCTCTCACCCCTTGGCTCTCCAAGTGGTTGTTTGCCCCAGGATCCTTACGCAGACACTGAGCCTGTTAGTGCAGGGGGCGGGGCGGGGGAAGGAGGAGGAAGGAACTGGTGGGCGGAGGCACCGGGGAAAGAGCTAGAGTAGATGCTGGTGGAGCAAACCAGGGTGCTCTAAGGCGCACAGGCAGGGGAAGGGGTCGGGCTGGGCAGGGGCTTCAGCTTCAGGAGAGACGAGCTGAGGGTGGCATGGGGTTCACAGGTATGTCTATGCCTGGGGGAGCAGGAAGTGAGGAGAAGAGGCAGGATGGCAGGATGGGGGTTCTGGGGGGCTGCCTCGTGCCCCGGGGCACTCTGTGAGCTGGCCTGTGTTCAGCTGGGGTCAAACCTGGGGCTGAGGACTTTGGGGACAGGCAGAAGGACTCAGGGTGCTGACTCTATGAGCATCCAGACTGAAAGGGAAGAGAGTAGGGCACCTCTGTGAGGAGTTGGGGAAGTCGTGCCAGGTAGGAGTGGTAAGGCTGCCACAGACAGGGCTATGATCCCAAGAGGCTCAGGGGACCAGGTGCACAGGGTCAGTCCTGCAGTGGCCATGGTGGGGGAGGTGGAGGCTACCCCCAGGGGCAGGATGGCAGGCAGCCGTGCACAGGGTGGGGCATCCTCTGGGAGCAGCCGGACGAGGCTGCCTGCAGCCGGTGCTGGGAAACCACAGTCCTGCAAGCTGTTGTTTCCCTGGCCCTGGTGAAATGGACCATCCCTCAAGAATATCAATCCCTGGCAAATAAACAACAGCCGTTGCTGGTGTGCACTCAGAAGAGGCCAGACTGGCTCTCCTGCCCTAGAGGAAGAGTGACCAGAGCAGCCCACAAGCAGGTACCCGGGACATGGATGCCCCGTGGACGGTCTCGGGAGGAGAGCTCAGGCCCCCCTGGAATCACCTCCCATGGCCTGTCCTCTGGGAATGCAGCAGAAAATATGGCAGGAAATATAGGGAGCTTCCCAGCTCTGGGAGTTAGATCTCACATCAGAGCCTGGAACTCCCCATCCCAACCCCCCCTCGGATACTCACAGCGCAGGCCCTGCTGCCCCCTGGTGGCCACATCCTGACCCTGCAAGCCTGAAAGTCCCATGGTTTGGCTAGGCACCCTGGGTGGCACAGTGGGACTGGAGACGGAGCTGCCCGCTCAGGGCAGGTCCTCTGGTGGAGTGCTGGGACCCCAGCCCCAGAAAGTGCAAGTAGCACAGATGACGCCCCAGGCCACCACCTCCTTGCAGCAGGAGGCTAGGGGTGAGAGGAGGCTGACCCTCTCTTCAAGGAGCTGCCATGGGTGAGGGGCAAGGAGGGTCCCTGCCAACATTTACCGAGTGCCCACCCTGTCCCTACACTTTGTTTTTTAAATTTTATGTATAGATATAGAGAGAGTTTGGGGCCTCGCTGTGTTGCCGAGGCTGGTCTGGAACTCCAGGCTTCAAGTGGTCCTTCTGCCTTGGCCTCTCAAAGAGCTGGGATTACAGGTGTGAGTCACCATGCCAAGCCCACTTTGTTTCTTTGAGGGATGTACACTTGACTGGAAACCTTAAATATTCTTCAGACGGAACACAAGGGTTTCAACCAAGGCTGTCACACAGGCTACACAGAAAACTAGAGCTCCCTGGATTCAGAGCGAGGAGAGGGAGAGATGGAGGAGGGGGACTGAGTTTGCTACAATGATGCCCCATGCACGTCCTTCCAGCAACTTACCATCCCACCCCATAGAAGGCCTGTTCTGGGAGGCAGCTGGATTCACCTGGCGGAAACTGCTGGAGTCCTTGGATGGCCTTATTCGGAGGTCCCAGCTTCCCCCTGTGACCTGTGGAGACCTCAGCCACCTGGAATGGCTGAGACAAGAATGCTGGCTTTTCTGTGCATGGGACACCATTGATTTGTCTTCCTCAGTATATGCTTCTGTACCCAGGACAGCAGTGATGTCCTGCAGGGAAGTGGGGACCCACTGGATCTTTTGCTCCATGGGCAACATCATAATACTCATTGCTAACAACGCTGGGATCCATGGTTCAAGAGATGGAGCCTGGAGATGTCCAGCTCAGTGGCAGCAGCAGACAGGACAGGGCAACCACGTCATCAGCCAGCACACAGCCTATACAGAGGTGAGAGGCCCCTTCTTGGTGGTGGCGATTCTTTCCTACATGGTGTGGTGTCAGTGACCAGGGTAGGCTGCTAGCCCACGGTGGAAGGGATCCTATCCACTAAGGCAGTCACCTCTGAGCCAGCCTGGGCAAGGTGAAAGATGTTATGAAGACCCAGCCGCACACCTTGACTTTTTTTTTCTTTTCTTTTTGAGACAGAGTCTCGCTCTGTCACCCAGGCTGGAGTGCAATGGTGCTATCTCGGCTCACTGCAACCTCTGCCTCCTGGGTTCCAGTGATTCTCCTGCCTCAGCCTCCCAAGTAGCTGGGATTACAGGTGCCTGCCACCATGCCTGGCTAATTTTTGTATTTTTAGTAGAGACGGGGTTTCACCGTGTTAGCCAGGCTGGTCCTGAGCTCCTGGCCTCAGGTGATATGCCCACCTGGGTCTCCCAAAAATGCTGGGATCACAGGTGTGAGCCACCGCACCCGGCCACACCTTGACCTTTTTGGTCTCTGAAGTCTTCAGCCCTGATCAGTCCAGCCAGAGCCACCAGGCCTGAGCACCAGGGTCTCTCTCTCTCTTTTTTTTCCTTCTGCCTCCCTACCCCTCAAGACAGGGTCTCACTCTGTCACCCAGGCTGTGGTACAGTGGTGTGATCATAGCTCACTGCAGCCTCGAACTCCCAGGCTCAAGTGATCCTCCCATCTCAGCCTCCCAAATAGCTGGCATTACAGGCAAGCACCAACACGCCCAGCTAATTTTCGTATTTTTTGTAGAGACGGTGTTTCGCCATGTTGCCTAGGCTGGTCTCGAGCTCCTGGGCTCATGCAATCCACCTGCCTCGGCCTCCCAGAGTGCTGGGATTACAGATGTGAGCCACCACACCTGGCCAAGGATTCCTTCTTATTTAAGTTTTTGTTTGTTTGAGACAGAGTCTCACCCTGTTGCCCAGGCTGGAGTGCAGGGGTGCAATCTCAGCTCACTGCAACCTCTGCTTCCCGGGTTCAAGCGATTTTCCTGCCTCAGCCTCCCAAGTAGCTGGGATTACAGTCACCAGCCACCAAGCTTGGCTAATATTTGTAGTTTTAGTAGAGACGGGGTTTTACCATGTTGCCCGGGCTGGGCTTGAACTCCTGACCTCAAGTGATCCACCCGCCTCAGCCTCCCAAAGTGCTGGAATTAAAGGTGTGAGACATCATGCCCGGCCTCATATTTACCTTTATGTGCTCCCCTGTGTACACGGGGCCTGGAACTTAAACCCATGATCTCCTGTCCCCAGTCCAAGTGGCCCAGTGACTCAGGGAACCCTAAGTCAGGACAGGAGGCACTACAGATGCAAGGGAGGGTGCCAGGTAGGGCCAGGCTGCGTCTGGAGCCCACCCCTCTGAGGTGTTACCACAGTCCAGTGTCTGATCACCCCCTTTGCAGATTCAGAAACTCTTTATCTGGTCCCAAGCTTGCAAGAGTTTTCCGTTGCTTTTACAGTACTAGAGATTCCTTGTCCAAAGGGATCACTTATCACAATTGGAAAAACTTCCCCAAAAAGACAGCATGGGCTGGACATGGTGGCTCACATCTGTAATCCCAGCACTTTGGGGAGGCCGAGGCGGGCAGATCACGAGGTCAGGAGATCGAGACCATCCTGGCCAACATGGTGAAACCCCGTCTCTACTAAAAATACAACAATTAGCCAGCCACTACAGGTAGTGGGTACCTGTAGTCCCAGCTACTCCGGAGGCAAAGGCAGGAGAATCGCCTGCACCCAGGAGGCAGAGGTTGCAGTGAGCTGAGATCGCACCACTGTACTCCAGCCTGGCGACAGAGTGAGACTCCATCTCAAACAAAACAAAACAAAACAAAACAAAACAAAAACACAACATGGGGTTGTGGAAAGAAAAGTCAAGTAGCCAGGTGCAGTGGTTCATACCTGTGGTCCCAGCTACTTGGAAGGCTGAGGCTGGAGGATTGCTTGAGCCCAGGAATTTGAGGCTGCAGTGAGCTATGACAGTGCCACCACACTCCAGCCTGGGTGAAAGAGTGAGACCCCATATCTAACAACAACAACAACAAAAATCAGAAAAAAGAAAAGTCAAGCACAACTCAGAACTCGAAAAATAAATCCTGCCTCTGAGGTTCCTGGTCATAAGACCTCAGACACATGGCTTGGGCTATAAACACTCCCGTCTGGGGCGGGAAGTAACACTCCTCTCTAGGATGGTGCTGGCTTGTGAATTCATCAGACTTGCCTTCAAGGAATTATGGCGCTCCCAGATCCATGGGGCCAATATATGTGTGTGTGTGTGTGTGTGTGTGTGTGTGTGTGTGTGTGTGTGTGTGTGTATATATATATATATATATATGCAGTGCTGCAGATTCTTCCTCTCAAAGACTTGGCCAAGCACCGTGGCCCACGCCTGTAATCCCAGCACTTTGGGAGGCCAAGGCGGGAGGATCACCTGAGGTGAGGAGATCGAGACCAGCCTGGCCAACATGGTGAAACCTCATCTCTACTAAAAATACAAAAATTAGCTGCACATAGTAGTGCACACCTGTAATCCCAGCTACACAGGAGGCTGAGGCAGGAGAATTGTTTGAACCCAGAAGGTGGAGGTTGCAGTGAGCTGAGATGGCGCCACCGCACTCCAGCCTGGGCGACAGAGCGAGGCTTCATCTCAAAAGAAAAAAAAAAAGGGCTCAGGGCAAATACCTGGCTTCCTCTCTCCCGCCCCAGGACACTCCCCCACACATACATATGCATGTACACATACCACACACACATATCCACAAATATGCATGCACACACACCACGCACATGCATGGACACACACAATACGCACACACATATAAATAGGCACATGCACACACACGCACTGCATACACACATGTGCACATGCATACCATACACACACACACACACACACACACACACACTCCAGCAATGCTCTGTTACGAAAATGAGAGGCCGGGCACGGTGGCTCACGCCTGTAATCCCAGCACTTTGGGAGGCCGAGGCGGTCGGATCACGAGGTCAGGAGATTGAGACCATCCCGGCTAACACGGTAAAACCCCGTCTCTACTGAAAGTACAAAAAATTAGCTGAGCGTGGTGGTGGGCGCCTGTAGTCCCAGCTACTCGGGAGGCTGAGGCAGGAGAATGGTGTGAACCCAGGAGGCAGAGCTTGCAGTGAGCCAAGATTGTGCCACTGCACTCCAGCCTGGGCAATGGTGCAGGACTCCGTCTCAAAAAAAAAGAAAAAAAGAAAATGAGAACAGAGAATGCCTCTATGTGGAAAGCTAGTTTCTAAATCATTCGAAGAGGGCCAGGGATAAGGGAGATTAGAAATAATGGGAGGTGGGGCCTGTCAGAGATGGGGAGTCAGAGGTGACTCTTCCGGGTCTTCTTGATGATCCAGGGCCTCCCAGCTTCCTTCACACTTGAAATGCCACCAATCTAGCTCTAGTAGGTAGCGCTTGTCTTGGGGTGCGTATAACAATTGTCTGGGAGTACTTAGAAAATACAGACAGCCAGACCCTGCCCCTGAAAATCCTGGTTCCAAGGTGGAGCATGGGAGATTCTAATGCAGGTGGCTACCCTTCAAGAATGACTGACACAAAATTAGCTAGGCGTGGTGGCACTGCCTTTGTCCCAGCTACTTGGGAGGCTGAGGCAGGAGGATCGCTTGGGCCTAGGAGTTTGAGGCTGCAGTGAGCTATGATTGTGTCACTGCACTCCAGCCTTGGTGACTGAGAGATTCTGCCTCTAGAAAAGCAAAACAAAACAAAGAATGACTGATGCAGAGGCTGAAGGAGGCTGGAGTTGAGAGGCACAAATATCAAACGACAGTTTTCTGAGTAGCGGGTTCTCTTATCATCAATAACATTCCTATCGAAAGCACTGTGCTTGGAAGCTGGGATGCCCTCAGGGACCAGGGCTGCCCTGCTGCATGGAGACTTGGACTTGCTGGGTTGAGCCAGGACATGGTACAGCCCATGGGAAGGGCAGGCGGGCAGCCAGTGGGCAAGGGATAGTGGATTTGGACGAGGGGAGCCAGGCATGAAACTCAGGGCAGCTGGAGGGGTTTCCGCTGGGCTGGAGAGCTCCAACTCTGCCAACCCGGACGAGGCAGGTGCCAGACCCAGTTCTTGCTCTCTCTGCGGCTCCAGAGAGGGGGTGGAGCTGCTGGGTCTCTGTGCCAGCCAGAGGCAGAAATCAATGCATCGAGCTGGCCCCTGGGATCCAGAGAGCCAGGGAGAGGAAGATTTAATTCATCCCCAACCTAGAGCCCTGCCTCGGAGTCAGATCCCTTGGGAGTCACCCACTTCGGTTAGCCAAGCTCAAAGGAGTCCCTCCCACGAAGAACTGGGGCAGACCCTGCTGGCTCCCTGCAAAGGTGAGGACTCACAGCATGCCACCCTACACACACACACACACACACACATGCGCGCGCGCTTTTGCTGAGCTCCAGACTCACTTTCCTCTCTCTGTTGCCTTTGTTTTTAGAAGAGCACTCCTCTGCACTAACCCAACTGAGACTGCAACCTAGCTCCCTGCCTCAGTTTCCTTACATTGGGAGTGAAACACCAGGTCTGCAGCATGCCTCCTTAGCCTGGAAAAGGAAAAATTACAGTGGGAAATAAGACAGAAGCTGGTAAAACAAGCCTTCCAAGGAGGTGAACCCAGAGACCTGAGGCCACTTGGGGAAGGAGAATTCAAGTCAGGAAATAGCAGGGCAGACAGTCCCCAGCCTTGGGCTGGCTGGAGCGCAGAGCTAGAAGGTGGCCAGCCCCGCTCTGGGCAGGGGTCACCCATGCAGTGGTGCACGGGGCAGGGTGCATCTGCTCTATGCCCAGCCCTGCCACCTGGCTCAGCTTGCCCCTGGGGGAGGCGACAGTCACAGTCCCCACAGAACTTTCCTGCCAGCCCATCACCCTCCCCACAGCATTCCAGGAACCTTCTTCAACAAAGAATATGAAACTGACATCAGTTGCCCATGGGCCCCTATTCGAGAGATCTCTGAGCTTCTCTCTGAGGAGCTGCCCCACCCCAAAATGGGAGTGGGGGAGGGGTGGGAGCCTCAGCCGCCTCTCCTTTCCTCTTCCAGGCCCTTCCTTTGCAGCCGGCTCACCATGGTGCTCCAGGCACGACGCTGCCAAGTGTGCTCTGTGCCAGGGCCGAGGCCTGGGGTTGGGGGAGGGAACTGGGGACCCTCAGGCCAATGGCTGCCAGTGGTCCTGGAGCCCCTCGCCTATTCTGCAGAGAGCCTGAAACTTTCCAGGGAGAGGCACGGCTAGCCCTGCTGGGTGGTAAGGAGATTGGGGGAGGAGGGTTCCGGATCTGTTCCCCTTGGGGGCCCACAGGCAGCACAATAGCCCCCGGGGCTGCCGCTCTCTGGCTTAAGTGGTTGCCTGGGCAACAGCTGGGGCCAGTTTCCACCAATCCATGGAGGAGGCTGAGTGGGGGAGGGAGGCCAAGCAGGAAGGGGGGTGCCGTCCCCTTGTGCCGGATCCTATATAAGGAAGAGGGATGTGAGCAGAGTGGTCTGGGCTTCACCGTCCCTCCAGTGGACTTGGGGGCTGAGCATAAAGATGCCTAGGAGAGGCTACTCCAAGCCTGGGTCCTGGGGCAGCTTCTGGGCCATGCTGACCTTGGTGGGCCTGGTCACCCATGCAGGTGAGCGGGCAGTGGGCCAGGTGCGGGGCAGGGTGGAGCGGCAGGTCGTCCCAGCCCTGGCTGCACGCGGCCGGCCAGGAGGGGGCGGTGTCCAGCTGCTGGGGAGAGCACGGGGTGGACCGGACAGCTCCACGGACTCATCTGTCTGAAGGAAGGAGGGGCCTGGCAGGCAGGTGGGCAGGGCTCTTAAGGACAAGAGGACCCTCCATTGCCCATTGTCCTGGGCAGAGGCTGAATGGGGACGCCATCAGCATTCAGGTCCTTCAAAGTGACAGCTGGGGAAGGCCGTGCTGGGAAACATACTACCCGCTTCTCTTTCACCCTCCCTTTGTCCCTCGGCCTCCCTCTCTCATGCACAGATGCTCTGCTCCTGTGTGAGCCTTCTCTCCTGTGTGCACCACGGGCCTGCATGTGCTGTGCGTGCACATGTGGCTGCGGCCCATCTGCTGCAATCAGGCCCCCGCCCGCCTCCCTCTGCGAGGCTCCCCTCGCTGTTCTCGGCTTGGGAAAGCTGCTGACAGTTTCTATAACTGAGTGCATATCCCCATCTGACTGTCGGGGCATCCTGGAGCATAAGCAAAGGGCCGGCCTGGCCAGCCTCAATGCTCAGTTACCCAGGAAGTTCTATTCCAGCACCAGCTGGCCCTTCGCACTTTCTCCTGTCCCCTGCTGGCCACCCCAGAAAATCGGCTTCTGTCTCAGAGATCAGGACCCAAGAGGGCAGGGCTGGGCCTGGAAAACAGCTTCCCTTCCACACCCGCAGCCTCGTCTCACACCCGCCCCTCTCTCCTGCTACTGCTGTGGCCTCCCTAATGCTCTCTCTGCTCCCAGTACCCCAGGCCCATTCCGTTCAAGGGCCTTTGCGGGGCTGGAGCCTGCCTTGACACTGGTTCCCTGGCTGGCTCCTTTAAAACTGGAGTGCTTATTTGTGTGTGTCTTACCCGTTTGATATGTCAATTCGTGCTTTTATGAGCATAAGAACTTGGCTTGCTTTGTCCACTGCCACATCCCAAGCTCTTAGGAGAATGTCTAGCATATAGTAAGTGCTCAATAAATATTTGTTAGTGAATGCACCACTTCTGACTACTGCTCCAAGGGGTTAGATGGATAATTCTTTAGGAAGTGAGAAGGGTGGGACCACGAGTTTCCTCAACCCTTGCCTGGGGGGCTGGCAGCATGGAGATGAGTTCTGGGCATGTTGTCCTAAACCTGAGCACAACCTCCCCCTGCCTGAATGCACCCCCTTCCAAGAGCATCCTCTTGGGGTTTGCATTGGCATGACCTTCCCACCCAGGGTGCGTTTGTATGTGCACCGATGCATCCACGCGCCTCGTGGGCACAAACAGGTATGCACATACAACCCGCCTAGGCCCACCTTGCCCTCTGCTCACACCCATGCATATGTCTCCAGCTGGTCCCTCTCCACCCCTGACTGAGGTTCTGGGCCCGGGCACCTTCTCAGGCTATGCTGTGTTCCTTCCTGCTGCAGCACAGAGAGCCGATGTTGGCGGGGAGGCAGCTGGCACCTCCATCAACCACTCCCAGGCGGTGCTCCAGCGCTTGCAGGAGCTGCTGCGGCAGGGCAACGCCAGCGATGTGGTTCTGCGGGTGCAGGCTGCGGGCACCGATGAGGTCCGGGTATTCCACGCCCACCGCCTGCTGCTGGGACTGCACAGTGAGCTGTTCCTGGAGCTGCTAAGTAACCAGAGCGAGGCGGTGCTGCAGGAGCCACAGGACTGCGCCGCTGTCTTCGACAAGTTCATCAGGTGGGGACGCGGAAGACTAGGGGATGGCTTCATCCCTTCCTCAGCCCCCGGCTCCTCCACCTACAGGGTCAGGGAAGCCCAGGCCCTTAGAGGTTGTTATGTCCATTTCCCCGGACATCACTGGGATGACAGTGACCCCTGCATCCCTTCTTCCACTGTACAGCTCCCTGTCTTTGCCCGTGTCATCTGTGCAGTTTGATGTCACTTTCGGTTCCTAGTAACCCCCTCAGAGCTGTTTCCAAACCTGGCCATAGACAGCTTTTAAAAACTACAGTTTTGGGGCCGGGCACGGTGGCTCATGCCTGTAATCCCAGCAATTTGGGAGGCTGAGGCAGGTGGATCACTTGAGGTCAGGAGTTCAAGACCAGCCTGGCCAACATGGTGAAACCCTGTCTCTACTAAAAATATAGAAAATTAGCTGGGTGTGGTGGCACACGACTGTAATCCCAGCTATTTGGGAGGCTAAGGCAGGAGAATGGCTTGAACCTGGGAGGCAGAGTTTGGGTTTGCAGTGAGCTGAGATTGTGCCACTAGATTCCAGCCTGGGTGACAGAGCAGGATTCTGTCTGAAAAAAATCAACCAACCAACCAACCAACCAACCAAACAAACAAACAAAAAAACTACAGTTTCACGGATCCCAACCTGGATTGTCAGTTTCAGGTCTAGGGTTAGGGCCAGCAATCATTTTTTATTTTATTTTATTTATTTACTTTTTATTTTCCTAAATATTCCATTATAGACGAATATTTTTTATTTGAAAGCATCGCTGTGGTTTTGGTGTTTGGCCAGGTTTGGAACCACAGGGCTAGGGAGCTGAAAAAGTTAGACGGCTCTCTCCACCTCCTGCCTCCTGCCGTGATGCTGCTCAGGGGGTGCCATTCACACTAGTGTCTAAGAAAGTAACTCTGTTCTAACGGCTCAGACGAGATGCCTGCAGAATTCCATACATTGCTTCCAAGTTCCAGGCAACAGGAAAGGGGATAAGACAGAAGGGCAAAAAGGGTCTTCCTGTTAACCCGGAATCAGTTGCATTTAATCAGCCTTCCTGCAAATCCCAAACTGCGCCCATTGACCAGCAGTTAGTCACATGGCCAAGGCCAGAATGAGGGAGCCTGGGAAATGTGGTCTTTTATTCCCAGAGGCAATCACGCAGGGGAAAGGGGAGAAATGGACGTTGGGGAAGATGGCTGGCAGTGGCTGCCACACTCCTATAGAGGCAAGTGCGGTGCCGTGTGCCGGTGGGGACTGGCAGGAAAGGTGAGCCATGGGACAGTGGCAGAAGTAAGACGAAGAGATACTCAGCAGAAGTGATCACCAACAGTAGGAGAGGAAAAAGAAAGGTGAGGCTGCAAAAAAGAAATGGGGGCTCACACCTGTAATCCCAGCACTTTGAGAGGCCAAGGTGGGAGGACTGCTCAAGTCCAGGAGTTTGAGACCAACCTGAGCAATACAGAAAGACCCCATCTCAAAAAAAAAAAAAAAAAAAAAAAAAGCTGGAGTGTCGTGGCATGATGATCATAGCTCACTGCAGCCTTGAACTCCTAGGCTGAAGCTATCTTCCCACCTCAGACTCCCAGGCAGCTGGGACTACAAGCGTGCACCACCACACATGACTAATGTTTTAACATTTTTTATTTTTTGTAGAGATAGGGTCTTGCTATGTTGCCCAAGCTGGTCTTGAACTCCTGGCCTCAAGCAATCCTCCCATCTTGGCCTTCCAAAGTGCTGAGATTCCAGGTGTGAGCCACTAGCACCCACCTGGCCTGTAGCAAGATTCTTTATTCTCCTCTGGTTGTCACAGTAACCCTGAGGGGTGTGTGCCACTCCCCCTTTCCTAGGTGATTGATTAGCCTAAGGTTCACTGAAGTTAAGTGACTTGCCCAGACTCATGGCAAGGAGAAGGCAGGCCATGGATCCCAACCAGACTGGAAACCCCAAAGGCAGGAGCCACGTCTGTTTTGTTCCAGCCTAGGGCTGCACGCCTAGTAGAGGCACAGTCAATGCAGGCAATTTCTACATCACCGCGGAAACGGAAAGAAGAGCCTGTGAAGTAAGAATGGCCTGGAAGGGTCCTTGAAAGGAAAACATGGGAAGCCTCAGGGTGGGGCTTCCACTGTGTTTGCACCCGGACAGTGAAGCTCCAACTCCAGGCCGGGTCCCCTGTGGACTCTAAAAAATCTATCCTGGGAGGTGGGTACCGCCCTGACCCCGCCCCACCTCTCGGTCTCTCCCGCAGGTACCTGTACTGCGGGGAGCTGACCGTGCTGCTGACCCAGGCCATCCCCCTGCACAGACTGGCCACCAAGTACGGCGTGTCCTCCCTGCAGCGCGGCGTGGCCGACTACATGCGCGCGCACCTGGCGGGAGGCGCGGGCCCGGCGGTGGGCTGGTACCACTACGCGGTGGGCACCGGGGACGAGGCCCTGCGCGAGAGCTGCCTGCAGTTCCTGGCCTGGAACCTGTCGGCCGTGGCGGCCAGCACCGAGTGGGGCGCCGTGAGCCCCGAGCTGCTCTGGCAGCTCCTGCAACGCTCGGACCTGGTGCTGCAGGATGAACTGGAGCTGTTCCACGCGCTGGAGGCCTGGCTGGGTCGCGCGCGGCCGCCCCCTGCCGTGGCCGAGCGGGCGCTGCGCGCCATACGCTACCCCATGATCCCACCGGCACAGCTGTTCCAGCTGCAGGCGCGCTCGGCAGCCCTGGCGCGCCACGGCCCCGCGGTGGCCGACCTCCTGCTGCAGGCCTACCAGTTCCACGCCGCGTCGCCGCTGCACTACGCCAAGTTCTTCGACGTCAACGGCAGCGCCTTCCTGCCCCGCAACTACCTCGCGCCCGCCTGGGGCGCCCCGTGGGTCATCAACAACCCGGCCCGCGACGACCGCAGCACCAGCTTCCAGACGCAGCTGGGCCCGAGTGGCCACGACGCGGGCCGCCGGGTCACCTGGAACGTGCTCTTCTCGCCGCGCTGGCTGCCCGTCAGCCTGCGGCCCGTTTACGCGGACGCCGCGGGCACTGCTCTGCCCGCCGCGCGCCCGGAGGACGGCCGACCGCGGCTGGTGGTGACGCCGGCCAGCAGCGGCGGCGACGCGGCGGGCGTGAGCTTCCAGAAGACGGTGCTGGTGGGGGCGCGCCAGCAGGGCCGCCTGCTGGTCCGCCACGCCTACAGCTTCCACCAGAGCAGCGAGGAGGCCGGCGACTTCCTGGCGCACGCCGACCTGCAGCGGCGCAACTCCGAGTACCTGGTTGAGAACGCCCTGCACCTGCACCTCATCGTCAAGCCCGTATACCACACCCTTATCCGGACCCCCAAGTAGCCTCGGGGTCTGGGAATAAAGGCCTGGCCTAGGTGGTCCCTGTGGGTCTGGGAAGGGCAAGGCGAGCCTGGAGGTGGCAACAAGCCTGGTCCCCTGGATGGCCAGGCGCCGGCCACCCTAGGGCTGGGGTGGAGTCCAGGTGAGGCGTGGTAGACAAGATGCCTGGTTTCAAGAGCTGATTTCACAGCTGACTTGAAGGAACGTTCTTGGTCCTGAATAAACCGATGCTCAGAGTGGTAAAGGGATGATTGAACCACTCAGTTTCTGGGTAAAAACAACCCAGGGAGGGTCCCACAAGCCAGGGGGTTTAGGGGTTTCACTCCCCTTTGTTGAGCTTTCCCCCCACCCAGACACAGAACTAGGGCAGGTAAAAGCATCCACATGGTCACAGCAACCCACCTGCCTGGGAGACAGGGAGCGCCCCATTCCCCTTGCGGGGGAGTCAGGGAGCACCCCATTCCCCTTGCAGGAGTTTCCTCACTTTGAGGCTGAGGGGCTTAGCTGGGCAGTTTCTGAGCCCTGACCTCGAGGGGCAACCGCCTCATCTGGGTTGTGAGACTTTCTGGCATCTGGGCCGCCTCAGGTCCCTGACCTCTCCTGGGAGGGTGCCTGGGCAGGTGTGAAGGCCAGTGGGATAGGGACATAACGGATCTTGCTAGCCCCACCATGGGGAGAGGCCTCAGGATCTAGAGAAAAACCCCTCTCCCCCAGGTATTTGTAGGTTGGTGCTATATAGCGAGCCAGGGGTAGATGGGGACTAGGGGGAGCGGGAGTTGGTTGAATCTTAGTCATGGCCACCCCACATTCCAGACAAGGTCAAATTTCCAACACAACCATCAAGACCCAAATGGGATTTTATTGTTAAAAAGGAAGGGTGAGAAAAAACCACTGCCAAGTAACAAAACCAGATTCCCTCCCTCACCCACATCCCCAATTGTAATACGTGAAGTGCCTGTCGGCGCCTCCCCAACCATCCAGGATGCCCGTGCCCCACACGTGGGCCAGGAGCCCCGTCTCACTGTCAGCTGCTTTCCTCCGTTACCAAGGCCGAGGCTGGCCTCAGGGCTGTGCAGGTTTTGGCAACAGCATTCTGTCCAGGGCTGGGAAGCCAGGGAGCCCAGCCGTCCTGGCCATGTCCCCTGGCCTCACCTCTTTTCCCCAGTGGCACTGAAAGCATGGGAGGGTTGGGCAGAGACCCCAGTTCCTGGGTCTCAGGAGCCCTGGCCTGCTGAGATCCTGAGCTTACTTCCTGGTCATCTCCATCTGCCCAGCCTCCACCTCCCATGCCCTGCTAGACCCCATTCAGTCTTGGGAGGTGAGAGAGCCAGTTCCAGGCAGGGCCCCTCAGTTATGCCGGGAGCATCCATCTTTGCCATGGGTGCTTGTGCCGTGGGGCAGGCGGGGCCCACGGGTAGCCCGTCGAGAACCACCACCTGGGTTGGGGGGAACAGCCAGGGGTGAGGAGTCCCCCGGGCCTGCAACAGGGAAAGGGGCAGGATCAGTGGTTTCGGAATGCCTCCCCAACTCCTCTCCCATCACCCAGTGGCCTTGAACTCTCTAGGGGCACCACCCCAGGATGCCAGTCCCATGAGTATTCTGCTAGAACCATGCTTCCAGCAAGGGGCAGCCAGAGGCGCAGGAAATGCAATGTGTCTTCTCTGCTCCCCTGCCTGGTGGAGGCCTCCCCTCCCCATCCCCTCCTTGCCCATACTGACCCGTGTTCTGGCTTGGAGGGAGTTTGACTTTGGCCAAAGGTAGCGTGACCTTTCCCAGATGCCGGATACCAGGGGCTGGGTGCCTGCACACTGGCATCCTGTGGTCCGAGATGCGCTCCGCCTGATGGGGCCCCAGGAGGTGTGTCTTGGGGTGGGAGAGCTGTGATGGTTGAACAGTGGGGTGAGGCCGAGAGCGGCACAGGGATCTGCTACCAGGATCTGTCCCAGCTACTATGCTAGGCTGGGGACAGAGACTGTGGAGGGTGGTGCCTCCAGGTATGGGGTAGGCTAGAGGTGCCCTGGAGCCTTTGGAGAAATCCAGCCCTCAGGCCTCCAGCTGCTATGGGAGTGCCTAGACACCCACCCCTGCGCCTCGCCTCACCCCTTGCCCGGTGACCTCGAAGGATCGGGACCTCCGCTTCCTTCTCTTTGCCTCCAGCGACTCCTCCCTTTTCTTGCCCAGGCTTTTCTTCTGGCCACGCAGCCAGGGCCTGGGGCCGTCCCCATGATGTCCGACTGCCCGGGACGGGGCCTCGCCCGTGCTGCTGGACAGGTTGTCCTCACTGGCAGCATGCTGTAGTGTGGGGCTGGGCGGCCGCTTGCAGGCCAGTGGGCCTGGTGGCCGCGCATCGTCGCCCTCGCTCAGTGAGTGCAGGGACAGGCTGCTGCGCTCTGTCGCGGGTGCCAGCAGGTGTCGCCCCTCGGTTCCCAGGGCCCGCGAGCGCCGCCGGGCGGCCTTCACCCAGATGCACTTGGTGCCAGTCAGGATCTCCTTCCTCTCTGCAGCGGGACACGGGGAACATACAACCCGAGATCAAGGCCACCTCTCAACACCCTCCTCTGACATGGCAGACGTGGGTAGGAGCCAGACCTCCTGGGTTTCAATCCTAGCACTTCCAGGGGTTTGCTATGTAAGAAACTTGGGCCCATTTCCGAGCCTCACTTTCATCTGCAAATGGGGGATGGTAAAACTAATGCCATCGGTTATTTCCAGGATTAATTGAGGAAATGGGCTCAACCTACATTATCCAGGGGGCAGACATTGAATCGATATTTGCTATTACAGTGATTACTGAGCGGAGGCGGCGGGGGAGGGGGGACATAAGTCTCCATGCCACATGTCTCTTTTCTAATTTCCGATTCTGCCCCCATCTCTCTAAATGTCCTTGACTTAGAGAAGACTCTTAAGTGTCCTTGACTGACTAATCCTCAGGGGCAATGGTGCCTCTACAGAATGTGTAGCACCCAATGCTTGGTTGCACTTGGCAGTGCAGAGGGCAGGAAAGGGCTTTGAGCTGGGTGATCTGAACAGTTTAGACAAGGCCAGGTGAGGTGGCCGGGCAGCAGAGGGCACACATACCTTTGTGGGACAAGGGGATCTCCGACAGGTTCTCACTGCTGTCAGGGGAAGAGTTGATCCAGCTGCCCAGGCTGTCCTGAGCCGGGGCCTGTGGGGTGGAGTGGTTGGGAGGAGGAAACCCTTAAACACAGCAGGGACCCCATGCCCCACTCAGCAGAGACAGCGGGGCCTCAAGCTGGTGCCGTTTGGGAAAGGGTCCATCCCAACTGCTGCTGTCCACCCCCATGTCCCGCACCCGCTGCAGTGGAGCTCGTGGGGCCATCGGGTACTGAGAGCTCACCTCCTGCGTCACCAGGCTGCCGAGCTGGATGGGAGGTGGGGTGGGCACAGAGGAGCTTTTTGCCTGCCAGGCCCCAGTACCAGCCTTGAACACGTGGTGGCCTTCACTGAAGTTGGCAGAGGAAGATGAGTGGCTGTAGACCAGGCTATCTCACCGAGGTCCCACCCCCACCCCAGGGGAGAAGCTGTTGGTGTGAAAGGAGAGAGAACCCAGGAGTCCTGGCTCCAGACCTGGGCCACCTGCTCCCTCTCATTGCTGCTCTGTGTTCCCCATTTAGCCTTAGTCTGGGTTGGCCTCTCTGGGACAGGGCACAGGGTGGGGGCTGGGGCAGGTGGCCCCCATCTCACCTCTCTGTGCTGAGGGGAGGGAGGGCGCTGTTCTGCAGGTGCTGGGCATCAGAGCTCAATGTCTTCACACTCTCCAGGTCAGAATCTGGGGTCAGTGAGGTTCCTGCTGGGGTAATTTTGGGCAAGGAGCTGTCCTGGGGAGGAGGGAGCCAGGGTGGACAGTTAGAAGATTTGGTCCTGGACCAAATCAGCACAGAGTCACAAAGGCTTACAGGGTGACAAGGGCTGTAAGATGGCCTGGGAGCCCCAGAAGGGCAGTGGGCTTGTGTTTGGGTCCTCGGGGTTAAGCTGTGGTCTGCTAGGCTTCCCCAGTGGCACTGCCTGATGCTTGGTCTCCTGGGAGGGCAGCTGGAGCCATTTGTGATATCTCAGATGGCCAGCCCTGACCCTCAGACCCTGGGTGGGAGCAAGTGATGCCCAGGAGTGCCCAAGGAGGAGGGTCTTACTCAGGCTTGACAAGGCTTTGGGTGGGGTAAGAAGGAAAGGGAGTCAACTCCCTGGGGTGCCAGCCAGCCTGGTCCTGTCCCCTCCAGCTGCCTGAAGGCATTGCCTTGGTCATCAGCCCCTCCCTGGGCACATGTGCCCATGTTCAGGCCGCCCAGGCGCCCACCCACCTGCAGGGCCCTGGAGGCCACTTGGTCCATGATGGTGGCCTGCTCCAGGCTGCCCTCCTCCAGCTCCCGCAGGTACACTTCGTAGAGCTCTTCCAGGCGCTGCGGGACGGCCAGGTTGTAGTCTGCTGGGGAAGGGGCAGGGCTCAGTGAGTGCCAGCGGCCCCCCCGCGGGTGGCTCAGATGCGCGGGGGCGTGGGCCCTACCGTCGATGATCTGCCGCTGGCCCTGGATAATCTCGTCGCAGAGACTGCGGTGCTGCTCCAGGCGGCGCACGGCCTCGTGGCGGTGGCGGAGCGCACCGTCGCGGAGCAGCGCGTGCGACTGCATCTCGGTGTTCTCCACCTCGAGCTCGTGCACGCGGCACAGCAGGCTGAGCACCTCGCGCTGCTCCTCGGAGCCGATGCGCCGCGGCAGCGTCTCCTCCAGGCGCCGGCCCCGCGCGCGCAGCTCCCGGCAGCGCTGCTCCAGCGCCAGCTGCAGGAGGCGCAGGTCAGCATCTGGCAGCGGGGAGAGGGGTCCGATCCGCCTGCCCAGCTCGTCCTCGACCCTCCAGCGCCTGGACTCCAGGCATCTGTCTGGAGCTCCAGCCTGAGGCCAACCCTAAAAGCTGAATCTTGGGCCTTACAATCAGGGACTGCTCCAAGGTGGCCCCTCAGTGTCCACTTTCTTGCTATCCTGACCGCAAACCACCCCTGGAACCAGCTTGGGGGATAACTGCTCAACCCCAGCCCATGTGACCCCCTCAGGGCTCATGATACCCTAAAGCCCCTTTGGTCTGGGTATGTCCCAGAACAGAAGGCAAAGATCTGTTATTGGGAAAACCCTAATTATTATTATTATTTTTCTTTTTTGAGACAGGATCTCTCTCTGTCACCCAGGCTGGAGTGCGGTGGCGCTATCCCGGCTCCCTGCAACCTCTGCAGGGTTGCAAGTGATTCTTATTCCTCTGCCATCCGAGTAGCTGGGATTACAGGCGTGAGCCACCACACTAGGCTTTTTTTTTTTTTTTTTTGTATTTTTAGTAAAGACGGGATTTCGCCATGTTGGCCAGGCTGGTCTCGAACTCCTGGCCTCAAGTGATCTGCCTACCTCAACTTCCCAACGTGCTGAGATTACAGGTGTGAGTCACTGTGCCCAGCCTGAAAAACCCTAATTATAACATTAGTTACCATTTTTTGAGTCCTTGGTATGTGCCAGGCATTTATGTAATCTTCCCAGCAACCCCATGAGGGCTGCACCATGGACTGCTCCCATTTTACAGGTGGGGAATGTGACGCATAGAGAAGTTAAAGAGCTTAGCAAAGTCACACAGGATTTGTGGCCTGAGTTCCCAAGTCTCACGGCTACCCCCACCCTGGCCCCTCCGCCTTGCCTCTCAAACCTGCTCACCCTGTCCCCTAAACCCACTCTCCTTGTCCCCCCAAACCCTGGACACCTTCTGCTTGCGCAGTTGCTTCTGCTCGTCCACCAGGGCTGCAATGCTCTCCCGGGCTGCGGCCACCTCGGGTGGCTCCAGGATGTCTGGTTGGTCATCACCTGTGTCTGAGTCCTTCTCGCTGTCGTCCTTAGCGTAGCACTCCTTTCGCTGCTCCTCCCGCCATTTGAGGGCCCGGCGGGACTTCTCATGCTTCCAGCTGCCGCAGCCCCACCCAGAGAGACAGGGCATTCAGGCCATGGGGGCAGGGCACACTGTACAGCCACAGGTCGTGCTCCTCTGTCCCAGGCACAGGGGTGGGGCCTGGAGGGTCCTGGGAGGGGGGCTTACCCGGCGATGGTGAGCAGGTGTCGGGAGGTGTCAATCTGGACCTCCATGGCGCGGTTCTCCAGCTCCAGCAGGCGCCTCCGCACATCCATCTGCTCCTGGAAGGCGCTGGCGAGCTGCTCCCGAAGCTGTCCCATGCCAGCCTTCTCACCCTGCCCGCTGTGCAGCTGGACCTCAGCTGCCGATGGGTGAGGGTGGGCAAGGTAGAGGAGGCGGCAAGTTCAGCTAGCAAAGCCTGGGCCCACCTGGGCCCCTCCCCTCCTTTTCTTCCCAACTCAGTGCTCCCACTTCCTGTCCAACTGCTTCCTCCAGGAAGACCCCCTAGATTACTACATCCTCCCAGACCCCACTCCCACATTGAGTCTTCAAGCTGTTGCCCAAAAGCAATTCCCAGCTCCTTGGTATGAACTGGGCTCCTGCTAACCCTTACAGCACCTCTGTGCCAACTATAAAAAGGTGCCCCTAGAAACTACCGTCTGTGGCCAGGCACAGTAGCTTACACCTGTAATCCCAGCACTTTGGGAGGCCTAGGCAGGCAGATCACCTGAGGTCGGGAGTTCGAGACCAGCCTGGCCAACATGGTGAAACCTCGTCTCTACTAAAAATACAAAAATTAGCCAGGTGTGGTGGCGGGCACCTGTAATCCCAGCTACTTGGGAGGCTGAGGCAGAAGAATCGCTTGAACCCGGGAGGCAGAGGTTGCAGTAAGCCTAGATCATGCCACTGCACTCCAGCCTGGGCAACAGAGCAAGACTCTGTCTCAAAAAAAAAAAAAAATCTTTACTGTCTGCCTCTCTCTTTATATTAGTAAATTTTTTTTTAAAAAAAGCTTTACTGTCTGTTGGAAAACCATCATAGCAAATATGCAGGTCTACAAGGAAACGGAGCCCATTCCGGGGGTGCAGGCATGACCTCGCAGCCCTACGCCACAGCCCTTAGTGTGCGCCCTGCGCAGCTCATTGCTCACGTGCCTCTCCCTCGTGGGATCCCACCTACTCTTCCAAGGTGGGGTTGGGAAATCGGCTTGTGATCTCTGGTAACTGTCTGAAGCAGAGATCACAACCCCATTTAACAGCTGAATGCTAGGAGGCTCAGAGCTGGTGAGTGCCTAGCTCAACCACCCAGCCAGAAAGAGCCCGATTCTGGATTTGAACACAACATGGCCTGATCCCAGAGCAACGTGAGGCTGGCCGGAGGGGGCTGCCACTCACACAGACCCACAGGCGCACCTTGGATGTGGCGGATGTCACCCCGATCCTGCCGGCCCCGGGCCTGGCCCCGCCCAGTCTGCTCATCAATCTTGCGCTTGAGTCGCTGGATCTCGCCCCGCAGGTCAGCGATGATGCTGGTGTACTGGGCGATGTGGTAGGAGACGTTCAGGAGGTTCTGCTTCACCTGCAGGGAACACGTATGGAGCGGAGGGGATGCAGTCACCCCAGGTGCACTCACCGAGGCCTGCCTGCAGGGCCTTTCTTCCCCCTGCCTCCCCCAGTCTTTCTGGGTGACAGTAATGGCCTCCTTTCCTCCACTTCCACAACCTCCTGTCACACTCACTGCTAGATCTCATCAACCTTCAGTGGCTTCCTAATGCCTGCGGGGAACGTCCTCATTCCTCCACCCGTTGTTGAAGGGCCACCCCCATCTCTCTGATTTTCTCTGGGCTCACCGCTCCTGCATGAACATCCCACTCCAGTTGAAGACCTGTCCTGCTCTCCCCATACCCACCACAGACGCCATCCCCTTCCTGCCTTTGGAACCTGTGCTCTCCCTGCTCCCACCTTTCTGGAATGTCCTCCCAGCCTTCAGGGTCCCACTCACAGTCTCCAGAGAGTTCCACTGGACCCCACCAGGCCACCCCCACCTCCTGTTCCTGTCTTGCCCCAGCACCTACCATTGGCATCATTTACCTGCTATTAGGAATATTCTGAACCATCAATGAGCTGTTTCAAGAATGTGTCTCCCGTCCCCCATTGAGGGGTTGGAATAAAACTTACAGCCCTCAGGGCAGCAGCTGGCAAGTGTTAGGTGTTGGGAGAATGTTCCCTACATGCTATCATACATGAATCCATTCCCACTCCTCCACACACGAACAGGTGGAAATGGATTTCTAAGCGGATGGCAAGGGTTCCGACATGCTTACAGACAGGTGAGGACACGGACTTGGAAACGGGGCAGATCTCATTTCCATCCTCAGCGCCATCACTGGCCAGCTGGGAAGTCACTTAACTTCCTTAAGCCTTGCTGTCCTAATCTGTACATGGGAACCGCAATAATACTGCTGTTTTTTGAGGATCAAAGGAGGTAGCATGTGAAACAGCTCAGAGCAAGTGCTCAATGAAGCTTGCCTCCTGTGATGACCATCATGAAGAGGTGCTTTGGAAATGCAAAGGTCTAAATGAGCATCTGAAGACGAGGAAGGGAAGAGAAGAGGGGATGAGGCAGGGGGAGCACAGTCCTGGGACTGGAGGAAGCGGGGACCCTTGGGAGCTGTCGGCTTCCCGGCAGAGGAGCAGGGTTTGGAGGTGCAGGGAAAGTGTACAGGTGACGATCAACTAGGGAATGAGGCCAGTGCAGCAGTGGCTGGTTCCAGAGAGTGCAGTGGGGTGGCAGGGATCAGCCCGGGGGCTTGAATCTCAGCCCAGGAAGGTGTGTCCTGGTGGACGGTCCAGGGGCCCTCACCCTAGTCTTAATGTTCTTGGCCCGGCCGGCGTAGGTCAGGGTGTTCCGGGACTCCTCGAAGGCACTGCTCGCAGGACTGATGTGAGCGATCATCACTGTGCGGCTGTTTCCTCCCAGAGAGTCCTGGATGGGAGGTGGCTGTGGTCAGTGGGGACTGCCTCCTCAGGCCTTCCTCCTGCCAGGCTGTTCACGATGCCCTCCCTGGCGAGTGCAATCTCTCTGTCTCTTTACACTTAAGGGACCCGGCTGCTGAGCGTCATATGGTGTGAGGCTTGGGAGGAAGAAAGCCCTGCTCCAGCAATTACCAGCTGTGTAACCTTAATAAAGCTCATTCACCTCTTTAGTTCTTTTTTTTTTTTTTTTGAGACAGGGTCTCGATCTGTCATCCAGGCTGGAGTGCAGTGGCGCTGTCTCAGCTCACTGCAACCTCCACCTCCCAGGTCCAAGCAATTCTCGTGCCTCAGCCTCTCGAGTAGCTGGGACTATAGGCGTCTGCCACCATGCCTGGGCAATTTTTGTATTTTTAGTAGAGATGGGGTTTCACCATGGTGGCCAGGCTTGTCTTGAACTCCTGACCTTAAGTGATCCACCTGCCTCGGCCTCCCAAAGTGCTGGGATTCCAGGCGTGAGCCACCACACCCGGCTTTCCTTGCTTTTTAAGGGGGCAGTCCTTTTGCAATTGTCCCCACCTCCCCGGCTTCTAGGTGCAGTCATGACGGCAGCTGCTGGCAATGTTAAGTAAGCGGTGACTCTGATATTAGATCAGGGAGGCCTCTGACTGGATCCTACTTTCAGCACTTACTAGTGTGAGCCCTTAGGAACATTACCTAACTGAGTTGTGCCTCAGTTTCCTCATCTGCAAATGTAATCCCTCAAACTCATAGAGTTGTTGACGAGATCTAAGGAGCTAATAGAGTGAAGTACTGAATTCAAGAGACCAGCCAGGAGTGGGCGCTCAGTGATGCTGCTATAATTTAAGGCCAAGGACACCCCTGCACAAAGGAGGCCACCCCCAAACAGCTGACCTGTGGGGCCATGAGGCTGACTGCCCACCTGCACCCCCAAATCTAGACGGCTCTGACCCACAGCCCTGGGTGGGGGTATCACGTGCTCCTTTTCCTTCCCATTGCCCAGCCTTTGGTTAGGGTCGTCAGATAAAATACAGGATACCCAGTTAAATTTGAATTTCAGATATGCAATTACTTTGTTTTAGCATAAGAATATCCCAAATATTTCATGGGACATATTTACGCTAAAATAAATTTTGCTGTGTATCCTGAGGTTGGAATTTAGCTGGGTGCCCTGTATTTTCATTTGTTTAATCTGGCAGCCTCACCCTTGGTGCCCAGTGCCCAGGCCCAGCTGTGGCTGGTACCTTCAGGAGCCGGGTGAGCTTGCTGTCGCGATAGTTGATGTACTTGTTGCTACCCTTGTCGCTCAGGGCGTTGATGCAGTTGCCCAGTGCCAGCAGTGAGCGGTTGATGTGGGCCCCCTCCTTCATACGCTGCCCACGATTCTGTGTCTAGGGGGCGAGCAAAGGGCACACGTGTGGCCTGATGAGGCAGGGGACTGGGTTTCTCCCCAGCCACCCCACCAATGAATGACCTGGTGATCCTGGGTAATAAACCCCCAAGGACCTTGTGGCCGTCCTCCTGCCAAGGCCACTGAGGGCATTGGAGAAGGTTAAGAGACCCAGAGGCCTCTGAACAAGAGTGATGGGCTGACAGCTTCTGAGGAGGGCTGAGATGGCCGGTTCTCCTCAGGGCAGGTGCCGTGGCACGGCCTGACACACAGTGCCATGGATGAGATGGGAGGGAGGTTGCTTTCCAGGCAGCTCAGCTGGGAGCCGGCAGGACCACTGGTGCTCCAGAGGGTGCTCCAGGGAGCAAGGAGGAAAGTGCGTGCACATGTGCATGGTGGTGGAGGGCAGGTTCTTCTCCTTTTCTTGGGCCTGCAGGAGCATGTCAAAGCCGAGGAGGCCCTGCCTGCAGCTCCCCTTAGGAGGTGGCTCTGCCCAGCCTGGAGAAGCCGGGACCAGCTCGCTCCAGTGGCTGAAGGGCACTCTCTCTCCTCCCAGGCCTCTCCCCTGTGTGCCTTCCAGGAAGCCCCCCAGGCTTTACTGGAAGGGAGGGGTAAGTTTCTTGAACCTGCCCTGTTCGGATCCGACCCCAGATGTTCAAAGACAAAAGACTGCTCATTCTTTCTGGCACTGTCATTTCCCTTGCATTTGTTCCAGTGCCAGCAATGGTGACATCACCCAGCCTCATTGCTCAGGTGACCATAAAACCCCCAAGATTGCCTGCACGAGGGAGCCCAGACCTACACCAGCTGGGTGGTGCTGCCACCAAGGCTGCAGAGCTCGGCAAGCAGGACTTCATGGGAGGGGACAAAGGTGCTGCCACAAAGCCAAGCTTCATGAGAGGGGACAAAGATGCTGCCAGAAATGGGTGACGGGGACCTTCTCCTCTTTGTGATGTGACTGGCTGGGTCCTCTCCCAGGATGTGTCAAGTCCTCCCAGTCAGGGGATGCTTGTCTCTCCCTGCCTCCAACTACTCCTTTGGGCCCATTCATTGTCTTCCTGGATCCCTCCCCTAGGGCAGCCACAGTCTCCTTCCCTGGAGAAACCCCCATCCTCCTTCCCCTTCCCACCAGAGCTCCTTGGCTCTTCCCGGGATGCCCTACCCCATTCCCCCCAACCCTGCTCCTCTGGAACGTTCCTCACTTCCTTAACCCGGGGGTCTCCACTCATCCCCTCCACCTCGCTGCGACATCCTCCCCGCTCCAACTCCTACGAAGCTGAGATGCCAGCGTCCCTGTCCCCACCTCCCAACCTGTCTCCCCTGTTCCTGTGGTGCTGGCCTTGCATGGGAGTCACCATTCCTGCCCTCCGCTGTTGCCTGGGTCAACCCTCCCTCCTCTGCCCAGCCCAGGTCCCAGCCTCACCTGCGAGGCGCGCTCTGAGCCAGCCAGGTCGATCATGAACAGGCGGCCCTGCCGCACCTCCTGCAAGATGTTCTTGACCCGGCTGCGCTGGCGCACGGTCACCTGCAGTACCGCGTGGGAGCGGGAGGACGTCTGGTTGGCGGCCGTGGGCTCCTGGGTCCTCTGCCGGTTCCCCTTCATCAGCAGCTGCATGATCTGGGTGGGAGGGAGGAGAGGCAGCTCTTAGCGACTGCCGTAGGTGCTCCGGCAGAGAGGAGCCCCTGAGGGGGCTAGCAGGGAGGGTCCTATGTCTGAGCAGTTGGGAAAGGGCAGGCTGGAGTGGGCTGGGCTCCGTGTGCTGAGAGGCCTGGCGTGGGCCTCGGCTCTCTGGAGGTCAGGGTCTCTGTGTAAATGGAGAGGCAGTGTTGCCTGGTTACTCTCCCAGGGTCAGCGTGGTGGGGGCATTGGGGCAGGTGTGAGTCCCCTCCTTGCTGCCACTCAGGATTCTCCTGTCTGTCCCAGCCTCAGCCGAGTGGGGAGCAGCTCCCTGGCTTCTGTCCCCGCCCCTCCTGCCCCTCAGGCGGTGAGCTTCCTCTCAGCGGCTCCAGGCTGGCCACACAAAACTCGCCTCCTTGGCATTGATGGTGGAGACTTCGGTGATGCCGGCCACCTGGATCACCCCCTTAGAGTCCTCCCGCAGCTCCAGGTAGCCCAGGGAGGGGTTCAGCAGGTCCCGGATCATCTCATTGTAGATCTGACGGGACAGGTGGGGGAGGGGTGGGGGAAGGGAGACTAAGGGCAGGAGGTCAAGGCCAGGGCTGAGTCCCCTTTCCTTTCGTGCAGGAAAGGGACAAGAGTTCACCCTTCCTGAGCCCAGGCTCTTCTCAGAAGAGCCCTGATTAGGAGGAAAGGCCCTTTCCTTCCTATGGGGTCAGGGGCTTCAGCATCCACAGGAAACATCGGGCTGCTGGAGCCAAGGTTACAGGAGGCTTTGAAACCAAGGAGCACCCCTTTCCAGACAGGCTGGGCACCGGGCAGGGTCCTGAGTGTGAATCCCCATTCCCTCACTTACTGTGTGACATTGACCTAGTTGCATGGGGACCTGACAAATGACCAGAACCCCCTTCCCCCACCCAGTGAGGAGCCCTGTTCATTGCTAGGCAACCCCTGTGCTCCTTCTGGGGGCACCCCCACCCCGTAAAGCGAGTCTTGCTGGCTGAATCAACACCTTGTTGGCCAGCAGCTGCTGGTGCTGTGCCTCACTGCCTCCTTAAGATGTCACCCAGGAGATTATCAGCTCCCGGAGGAGCCAGATGAAGTCCAGCCTCCCACCTCTTCTGGACTCTGTGTGCTTCCCCAGTCCCTGACATCCCATCACTGTCTGGTGATAGCACTCCCATGGGGTGGGCACCAGGAGGCTGTGGCTGGGTGGCAAAGGCCCACAGGTTCCAGACTGTACATGTATGTTCAGTTTTCACTGTACCCACATACACAGAATCGCTGGAGGCAGCCTGGCAGGGCAGACAGGGTCTGCTCTAAGGAATGGGCCTGTGAGGATGGTGAGGTGGTGAGCGTGGCACAGGGCGGAGCTTGGCCTTGAAGCTGCAGGGTCCTGAGTTTGAATCCCCGCTCCCTCGCTTACTGTGTGACATTGGCCTAGTTGCCTAACCTCTCTGATGAGCCTGCGATGTTTGTAAAGTGGAGCTCACAGTAGGCATGCAGGAGGGCAGCAGTGATGAGCGCCCCGGGAAGCTGCACAGTGACCAGCCCCAGGGAGGGAGGCCAGCCCCATCTGAGCCTAGGCTGGGGGACTCACCTCCAGGTAGGACATGGAGACCTCATACTCCATGTCATTGCTGGTCTCCTCGATGGCACGGAAGAGGTCGTTGAGGGTCTGAACATAGATGCCAGGCTCCTGGTCTGTGCCCAGCATGGTGTAGGTTTTCCCACAGCCTGGGGCAGAACAAGGTGGAGGGTGACCGGGGTGGGGCTGGGAGGGAGGCCTTGCTGGGCAGGCACTCCTGGAAACCGGGGTTTGTCCTCAAGGCTGGGCCCTCTCAGAGGGCCAGGGAGGTGGTGGGGAGTGGGGAGGATGATGCCCCGGCTCGGGTTGGGGCCTCTGGGGCTGGAGGGCCCTGGGTGAGATGTGGAGCGACCACATCCTGGATTCCTGCTCCAGCTGGGGTCAGACTAGTTGGAGGGTGACGGGGATTACAGGGGCATTGCGGTCCTCGCCCACAGTCTGGGCATTCCCCTTACCTGTGGGGCCATAGGCAAAGACAGTGGCATTGTAGCCTGAGATGACGCCCTCGATGAGGCTCTTGGTGGTGGCCTGATACACCATCTCCTGCGAGGAAGGAAGCCTGTCAGGGGCCGGGACACAGGCGGGGCACAGCACAGGCACCCACTGGCTCTTCCTGACCTCTGATAGGAGAGGTTTCTGTCCCTGGAGCCCCAGCCCCAAGATAAGTGGGGGTGGGGGGTGGGGGAGGGGATGTCTCTGCTTACACTCACAGTGGGGGACGTCAGGCTGAAAGAGAGCCCAGGACACCTGAGACGCCTTCCTGCGCAGCTGGCTCCTGGCCCCCCGCCCTGAGGATGCATCACATCTGTTCCTGGGAGCATCCCACAGATGGGCGAGATGGGGGTCCTCGAGGAGGGTGTCAGCTTCGCTGAACCCACCCTCTGCCCCTGTCCTCCCCACACCAGATGGCCTTCAAGCTCCTTTTCCAGCTCAGTAGGAGCCAAGCGAGTTGTACCGTGTAGGGTGGTGTCTGAGTGCCAACCCCAGTGCATCCTTGCAGGAGGCCGGGTGTGTGTGCCTTGTGTGCATGAGAACCTTCCTGAATGGGGAAGGCTCAAGGAACAGAGGGTGAGCAGGTGGAGTGGAGGCTGAGGTTCAAAGGCAGGGGCCCTGGAGGGCCCCTCCTGAGTGGGGCTAAGGGTGGGGGAGGGGCTCCTGCGTGTCTCCAGCCCAGGCCCTCCCTCACCTGGGTGGCGGTGAAGTCAAAGGCCACGTCGAACAGGTAGGACTTCTCCCGGGAGCGATGCGCCCGCAGGATGTCGTCGGGATCCTCCATTGGGTCCATGAGAACCACCATCTGCAAGGTCCCCAGAGGGAGGCCCACGGTCACCTGGGAACCCCGGGCCCTGATGAGGTCAACCCTCAGGAAGGTTAACAAAGTTAACCCCTTTGTCGATCAGAGTTAACAAAGCCCTTCTGGGCTCTGAATCTAGCCCTCGTCGCCTCAGGATGTGGGCAAGAGATGGGAGGGGCCAGAGGCCGGAGTCCAGGGCCCAGGTCCCACTGGAGGTAGGTCTCGGAGCCAGAGCCCATTCCTGTCCTCTTCAGCTTTCCCATGTCGGGTCAGGCTCGCCATCATCTGCCCTTGGATGCCCAAAGGGGACACCTTCCTGACAACGAGCAATTGCCTCTGCAAGGCCAGTACAGCCCCAGGGGAGCAGAGCACACACAGGTGATGCCCAGGCTACCACGAGCCCAGACCCTGGGGGCCTGCCCCTCACTTCAACACCCCCCATGCTGCCTCTGCCAGAGAGGTGCAACAGAAGAACGGGCAGCATCTGTCAGGGCTCATTTTGTGTCAGGACCTGTTGCAAGCACCCACACATACAGTCTCTTTTATTTATTTATTTATTTTTGAGACGGAGTCTTGCTCGTTGCCCAGGCTGGAGTGCAGTGGTGTGATCTCGGCTCACTGCAACCTCCACCTCCTGGGTTCAGTGATTCTCCTGCCACAGCCTCCAGCGTACCTGGGACTACAGGCGTGTGCCACCTGTATTTTTAGTAGAGATGGGGTTTCTCCATGTTGGCCAGGCTGGTCTCAAACTCCTGACCTCAAGTGACCCGCCAGCCTCGGCCTCCCAAAATGCTGGGATTATAGGCATGAGCCACCACACCCGGCCTCACACAGTCTCTTTTAACCCCAGCCATGACCCCAGGCTAAGGCCAGCTATGACTCCCACCTTACAGATGAGGAAATCAGGGTCCAAAGGAGTCACACCCCCCAGGTCGTCACACATCAGCAAGGGGAGACCCAGGGTGCCAACCAGGCTCTGAGTTCAAAGTCCACTGACTCCTATCCACCTCGCTACAGCCCTGCCTGCTCCGCCTCACCCCTCCAGGGCAGAGCCTGGGACAGAGCAAAGAGCCACAGGCAGCTGGGTGAGGGATGAGGTCAGCACGCTGGGCTTGGGGATCTCCACTCGCAGCTGAGAGGGCTGTGAGGGAACTGCTCCAGTGGCCCTTTGCAGCTTTGAGCCTGAGCCGGGAGTGGAAAGGGTGGAAAGGGAGGCAGAGGGGCTTGGGCTGGCAGCCAGGACAGGCCATGGGTGGGCCAATCCCAGCTGGGGCTCCCCTCCCTGCAGGGTAGGAGTGGCAGCAGTGTGTGTGTGTGTGTGTACGCGCGCGCATACCTGCTGGCACGTGTGTTGAGACACAGAAGGGTCCTGGCCGGGTTCTTCCCTTCCTCCAAAGGTAACCGAGGGGCCCATTTTCTAGAACTATCTCAGGGCCTGCTCCACTCTGCCCCTGCCTCTGCCCCTGTGCACTTGGTGTGTACTCAGCCTTGTCCCGAGCTCTATGCAGAGATGCAGAGGAAGGAGGCTGCGTCCTTGCTGGGGGCCCTAGTCTAGGGTATGGGAGGGGATAGAGACAATGCCAGATTCATGGAAATGACGGGAGACATTCAAAGATGCGTGGGAGGGCTTGAGTTTGGAGGATTTAGGATGAGAGGAGCAGGGGCAGCAAAGGAGAATCAGGGTAGGCACTGAGGGCCCTGTGACCTCTTATTGGTGGTCGGGCCTGGTATAACCTGCTTGAGCCTCCATCTCCTCCTCTGTCAGATGGGACAGCAGCATGATCCACCTGCAGCGCTGGGAAGACCCTGGAACAACGTGTAATGTGCTTGGGCACAGCGCTGGGCATGTGCCAAGAGCTCAACAGTCTTTGTTCAACGGGCTGTTAAGAGGGCAGGGGTGGAGACTGAGAGTGGCCACCTGTTCCCCGCACCCATGACTCTGCCATCAAGTCGAGACCCACAACTCCACCCTCACCGTGGAGAAGGTCACTGGGATTCCACAGGCCCTGCACCTGCCTGAGGTCCCTTTGGACCATAGTCCCTGTCCTCATGCACCACCCCCAACCACTGCACCGCGGAGGTGCCCCCTGAGAGGCAGCTGGCGCCTCTAAATGCTGCTCTGCGCCTGGGGACGCCTGGGCTCCCTGGGGTCCTGGCTTGTGATAGCCAGGGGAAAATGAGCCACCACCGTGCTCTTCATGAGAAGGGAGCATGCTCCCTGGGGCCGTGGGTGCTGAACGGAGTGCATGACGGCAGCCTCAGCCAGCATGGGCATCTCATGCGTCCCCTCTTTCAGTGGGAGGGAAGGGGGCGAGGGAGGTAGGGAATGGGTGTCTCATTGGTCCCCTCTTTCAGTGGGAGGGAAGGGGGCGAGGGAGGTAGGGAATGGGTGTCTCATCGGTCCCCTCTTTCAGTGGGAGGGAAGGTGGCGAGGGAGGTAGGGCATGGGCAGCCCCCTCCTCCCAGCACATAATCACAATGGATCATTGTGACTGAGCACTTCAATTTGAATCATCACGATGATTCTTCTCAGATGGGGAAGTTGAGGCACAAAGTCATGTTGCTAGGAAATGGCAGAGCCAGGACTGGGGCCTGGCAGTCTGGGTCCCAGCTGGTGCTCCGGCTACCCTTCTAAACTGCCTCTCACGCACACACTTCCACCCCTACTCCCACGAGGGGCCTTGTGGGGTGGGGCAGGTAGGGGAGTTCCTGCCCTGTCCCTCAGTAGTTCCTGTAATTCCAGGAAGCCCCAACACCCAGGGTGTGCATTAGCCCTACCTAACTCAACCGGGGATAAGATACTGTCCAAGGAGGTAAACTGAGTCCTAACAGCGGGCAGGGTACTGAGGAGGGTGGGCTGTCATAGGGGTGCCCCATAGAAGCAGAGACAGGGGCTATGCTCCCTTCCTGGGTCAGCAGGGGAGCCAGGGCTGGTGACAGTCCCAAAAAGGGCTTGGGAACAGACAAGGCATGAGGGGTGGCCGCTCTGGGGTGAGGAGAGGCTGGTGAGGGGGCAGCAGGCAGCAGAGCTGTGAGCACAGCCGGGCTCCATGGATCCAGGAGATCCTCGTGGGTCCCTCTGGGTCCACCCAGATCGAGCTTGCGGATTTAGAATGCCCAGTCCCAGGAGGATGACAGCCCTGGGGCTCCCACCAGACTCCCTCAGCATTCTACGTGTGCCCTGGGTCAAACCCCCTTCCTTCACCACCTGGACTCCTGGGATAGGTTCATACCTGTGCTCAATGCATCAAAACTAACCTATGACCATCAGGTATCTGGCAAGGCCCCTTCTGGGATTCTCAGTGGAGGAGGGAAGCGGGAAGAGGAGGCCTGACCCTGGCAGCCTCATGTGGAAGTCTTTCCCAATCAGATGGGATTTCAGGTCAGCCAGTTACAGGAGAGGGCTCTAGATAGGATGGACCGGGGGCTTTGTGCGGGGAAAAGAATGAGGCCACTCACTCAGGCTCCCTGCCAGCTGGCCAGAAGCTAGGTGGTCACAGTGAGCCTCTTCTAGGATCTGGCCCCTGTCCCAGGCCCCAAAGCTTGCAGCATGAGCCCTGCTCTGGTGTCAGACCCCACTGAAGGTAAAACCTGGCTCTGAGTTCCCCGGTATGGGTCCCCATGGGATGCAACCAGAACCCAGCCAGCTGCTCCCGCTCTCATCCCAATGCCGGTGTTCCTGTGGACACGGGGAGGACCAGTGGCCTGAGGAGCACCCTCTGGGAGGGGGGCCTTCAGTGCTAGGGAGGGTGAGTGGCATGCACCAATGCCCATCCCACCCATGACCTTCATACAACCTCCAGACACTGCCAAGTTCACAGCGTCCTGGGCATTTGGTTCCTTTAGCTAACCAGGCTCCTGTAGTACACTGTCAGCACAGCTGCCACGATCCCCGCTTAAAGAGGGCTTTGTCTGGGTTCCATCTGTCCGGGCTCCAGCCCCCGCCCCACCCTCGAGAGCATCACCCTATTCCTGTCCCCTCTAGCACACAATGGAGCCCTTGTGCCCCTCCTCCAGGTGAGCCAGAGCTGAGCTGGAGAGGGGTGGGGACAGGTGCTCTGAGCTGCCAGGGAGACCAGCATGGGGTGCTCAGGCCAGGTCAACACGCTTGCTGAGCAAGGTCTCAGGGACAGAGTGCAAAAGGAGGCCAGGTTTCCTGCCTTCCGACCCTCAAGGATCATGTCAATAACCTGGAAAGTGCCAGAGCACAGGGAGGCACCTAATCCTACTCCTAGAGGAAGACTTCCTGGAAGAGGTGGCACTAGCATTGAGTCCTAAAGAATGAGAGAGGTGGAGTGGAGAGAGAATTTCGGACTATTACATGAGCAAGGCAAAGAGGCGATGGGCAGGCTGTGGCACTGGTTCTCAGCTCAGATCACTGGGGTTTCTTGTGAGAAACACTGGGTCGGGAAGAGAGAGCTGGAGCTTCACCTTCCACTCAATGTGCCAAGGCTCTTCACTGCACAGATCCGAGAACTGACGTGTGCATCTACAGAGGCCAGCACACGCATGCCCCACCCACCCAGGCACCCCCCCCACCCCGTGAGCACATGCAGTCCCTACTAGGGGAGGCTTCTGTACATCCTCTGAGCCTCCCTCTAAAGGCCCCCCTGGTTGGCACACAGCAGATGTCCAAGAGACGTTTGCTGAATAAAGCTTTCGTTTATAGGGAGTGGTGATTGTGCCAGGCATGGTGCCAAGGGCTTGGCGTGTGTTTTCCCTGACAGCTTAAGAGTGGGCACTCTTGCCGGGCACGGTGGCTCATGCCTGTAATCCCAGCACTTTGGGAGGCTGAGGTGGGCAGATCACTTGAGGTCAGGAGTTCGAGACCAGCCTGGCCAACATGGCGAAACCCCGTCTCTACTAAAATACTAAAAATACAAAAACTAGCCGGGCATGGTGGCACGCGCCTGTAGTCCCAGCTACTTGGGGGGCTGAGGCAGGAGAATCACTTAAACCTGAGAGGCAGAGGTTGCAGTGAGCCAAGATTGTGCCACCACACTCCAGCCTGGGTGACAGAGCGAGACTCTGTCTCAAAAAAACAAAAACAAACAAATAAAAAAAGAGAGGGCACTCTTATTATCACTTGCCTGGAGATGAGGAATCAGTTGGGTTAAGTAAATTACCCACAGCCTCACTGCAAAGTGCAGAGCTGGGCAGATTCAGAGTTGTGGGTCTCAGAACCCAGCCTGCCCACCATGCTTCTCCAAGGGCACGAGTGGACAAACAGCTGCCTGGCTGGGGGGAGTACCCGCTTGTTAGAGGTGGAACTGTGTCCCCCCGAGATTTCATGTTGTGAAGCCCTAATGCCTAGTGCCTTAGAATGTGACCTTATTTGGAAATGGGGTTGTTGCAGGTGTAATCAGTTGAGGAAGGATGAGGTCACATTGGAGTAGGGGGAGCCCTTTATCCACTATGACGAGTGTCGTTATGAAAAGGGGAAATTTGGGCACAGGTCTGCATAGAGGGAAGCTGCTAGGAAGAGACACAGGGAGAAGATGCTCATCTAAAGCCAAGGGGAGCCAGGCATGGTGGCTCACGCCTGTAATCCCAGAACTTTGGGAGGTCGATCACCTGAGGTCAGGAGTTCAAGAACAGCCTAGCCAACATGGTGAAATCCCATCTCTACTAAAAGTACAAGAATTAGCTGGGTGTGGTGGTACACGCCTGTAGTCCCAGCTACTTGGGAGGCTGAGGCATGAGAATCTCTTGAACCCAGGAGGCAGAGGTTGCAGTGAGCGGAGATTATGCCACTGCAATCCAGCCTGGGTCAGGGAGTGAGATTCTGTTTCATAAATAAATAAATAAGCATAAAGCCAAGGAGAGAGGCCTGGAGCAAACCCTTCCCTGCTGCCATGTTGATTGTGGACTTCCACCTACTGTGAGACAGTAAGTGGCTGTTGTTGAAGCCACACAGTGTGTGGCACTTTGCTACAGCAGCTTGCAAACTAATACAACATCCAAGGCAGGCTCACCTGCCATAGGGAGCTGAGTGTTGCCACACCCCAGGTGGGGCTTCAGCCAGCTCCTCCCCCAGCCTTAAGCAGGTGGGCTCAGCATGGGCATTCTCTCTCACAGCCCCCCCGGGGAATGCATTCTCATGCTCATACTGGGTGCCTGTCTCTGGGAGGTTTCAATGGCAACTTTGCTCACATGGGAGGCGGGCAGCTTCAAGCCAGAGCTCTGTCCCTCCAAGCCCATCTGCTGCTGCAGCTCCAGGCTCCCAACTCAGCAGAGGCTCTGGCTTGAGACCCCACCTCCACGGCCTCCTCTCCCAGCCCTGCTCTTAGTTCAATGCAGATTTTGACCTTTCCAGAGTTCCAGACGGAGTCGGAGTCTTTTAAGCTGGAAACTCAAGATCCCGTAGGGAAGTGGGGGCCTCAGGCCAGGGAGAGGAGGTCTCATCCATAAGCTGTGTCCCTATCGGGGGACCAGGCTCATCCCAAGCATCTAGGTGAGAAATACTTTGCACAAAGCATGTCACACTACTAGGCTGCAGCTGCATTTATCAGCTTTGCACTTTTAACAGGATTCTTTCTGGCCTCCAAATGCCTGAGCACGGACCAGGCTTTCTCAGGCTTGGCACTGTTGACATTTTGGGCTGGATCATTCTTTGCTGTGGGGGCAGTTCTGTGCATTGTAGAATGTTGAGCAGTATCCCTGGCCGCTACCCACTAGATGCCAGTCGCACCCTTCCCCCGGTTGTGACACTGCCAAATGTTCCTGGGGGCAAAATTGCCCTGGTTGAGAACCACTGACTTAGACCATTCCTCCCACAGCCTCCAAGGCTAGTGGCAAAAATCTCCGAGGGAGGGGGTGCCACAAGTGAGGCTCAGTTTGACATTGCTGTGTGACTTTTAGGAAGCTCCAACACTTCTCTGGGCCTCAAGTTTTTCCCAGTTGGAAGTCAGGAGGACCAACATGGCTGTAGCCTTGAGAGGAGAAATCATATTATACCAACACCCCTATCCTACTCAGGAAGCCTCAGCAGATAATCTGGCTCTGGCTTTATCTGCAGCCCAGGGAGCCAGGCCACAGCCCCTTCATTCTTACAGGTAAAACTAAACCACAACAAATCCTGATTCTAGGCCTTGTAAGGCTGTTTCTGTTTCTGTTTCTGTTTGTTTGTTTGTTTGTTTCTTTAAAGGAGAATTTGTTGCTGGCCATGTTTCTAGTTGTAAACATACCATCCTGGGAGTCCTCAATAAAGGCAACGTTGATCCCAGGAAGGGTGTCCCTGGGGCCTGTCAGCCTTCAGGCTGGATGGAGAAGGCCAAAGTTGACCCTGCTGAGCTCATAAAGCCACCAAAGCCCAGCTGGCTGCTTAGGACACAGCCACACCTGGCTGATGTCCTGGTCAGATTCCTGCCTGGCTATACGATTCTGAGACCTGGAGGCTTAGGATGGGGAGTGTGTATAACCAAGAATATACTAGGGCTGTGTCTCTCAAAGGGTCTGCAGATACCTTCACCTGAGTCACCCAGGGAGCTTATAAAATGCAGATTCTCAGGCACTTCCCACACGCGCACAGTCAGAATCTGTGGGGAAATGGGCCCATAAATCTGCAGGTTAACAAGCACCCTTCCTTGTATCCATCCAGATGCTGAGTGTAAGGATCCTTGCAACCTAGAGGATTATGCACAAGAGCCAAAAAGAACAACCCACACACCCATCAACTGATGAAAGGATAAACAGAACACGGTGAATCCACACCTCAAACATTATTCAGCCAGCAAAAGGAGTGAAGTTCAGGTGACTGGATACAGTGGCTCACACCTGCAATCCCAGCACTTTGGGAGGCCAAGGCAGGAGGATTGCTTGAGCCCAGGGGTTTGAGACCAGCCTGGGCAAGATAGCCAGACCACACCTCTACTAAAAATTAAAAAAATCAACTGGGCACTGTGGCATGTGCCTATAGTCCCAGCTACTCAGGAGGCTGAGGTGGGAGGATCCTTTGAGCCCAGGAATTCAAGGTGGCAGTGACAAAGTGAGACCCCCATCTCAAAAAAAAAAAAGAAAAAAAAAGAAAAAAAAAAGGAGTGAAGTTCTGATAGGAGCTATAATGTGAATGAACTTGAACTTCAAAAATATTAGGACCAGCCAGGCACAGTGGATTGTATCCATCCAGATGCTGAGTGTAAGGATCCTTGCAACCTAGAGGATTATGCACAACATAAGGAGTGAAGTTGTATCACTTAATGAAGTTGTATCATAAGGAGTGAAGTTGATAAAGATTACACCTGTAATCCCACCACTTTGGGAGGCCAAGGCGGGTGGACCACTTGAAGTCAGGAGTTCGAGACCAGCCTGGCCAACATGAGGAAACCCGTCTCTACTAAAAATACAAAATTAGCCAGACATGGTGGCACACACCTGTAATCCCAGCTACTTGGGAGACTGAGACAGAAGACTCACTAGAACCTGGGAGGCAGAGGTCGCAGTGAGCTAAGATAGCGCCACGGCACTCCAGCCTGGGTGACAGCCAGACTGTGTCTCAAAAAAAAAAAAAAAAAAAAATTAGGACCACATACTGCATGATTCCATTCACATTCAATGTCCAGAAGGGGCAATATGGAGATGGATAGTACTTTAGTGGCTGCCTGGGGCTGGGAGGGGCTGGGGACACAGGCAGGTGGCTAAGCGGGGAGAGGTAAAGAATCCTGACCCCCTCCCCTAGCCACTCTCCACCAGCTCAGCTCTTTGGGGAACCAGGGCCAAGAAGCGTCCAGATGGTCGGTGTGCAGGGAGTTTCCCACCTCACTGCCCCCAGGCAGGCAGGTGGGCTAAAGACAGCTGCTCCCGCAGCACTTCTGGGCTCGGGCAGCTGACATCTGTCACCTTATACTTTATTTATCTTTCCCAACAGCCTCCCAGTTGCGTGGCTGCGCTCCCCCTTACATTATCTCCTTTAATCCTCTCGACAGCTCTCGGGGTGGGTGGGGCAGGTTTCCTGTTCTCCTGTCTTCTGATGAGGAAGCAGAGGCCCAGGGAGAGTTTCAACTTGCCCACCAGTATGCGACCAGGACATGGCAGGGCTGAGAGAGCCTGGGTGCTCTGGTTCCTGGGTCCCAGGCTGTATAGCCTCTGTTCTCGGGAGCTCAGGGCTCCTCTTGCCTACATTTCTCCTTTCCATCCCAGGAGTCACGCTGTCCGGCCAGATCTCCCCTGGTGGCCCTTCTGCCTTCGCTCCTCTTTCCTTTCCCACCCTCACCCAGCCCTCCTGGCCTAGGCCCCACAGCTAGGCCTGGTGGGAGCCCTTACCTGGCTCTACAGCACCCCGGGAGCAGAGGGGGGTGGCAGCAGGTAAATGCTAATGATGGGACATACACATGGTCAGCTGACTTAACTCCTGCAGACAAACAGCCTGGGAGAGCTAGGAGGAGGGTCTGTGGGCTGCAGGCTTTGGGAGGGATGGGGGATTGGAGGAGACGGCTGTTTGATCTGTAGCTTTTTCCCCCACCTGGAACGCTGAGGCCCCACCAGCCTCTCAGGCTGTCCCTGGCTCCTCTGGGGCCCCAGAGGTAAATTAAACCAGGCCCACCTGGTACTTCCCCGCTTCCTGTGTTTACACGTTAGGGTCTGATCTCACCCCAGGAGCTACTAAGACATGGAGCTCCCACCTTACTTCCAGGAACACACACACACACACACACACACACACACACACAAACACACACACACACACACACACACACACACTGAGGTGTTCATTTGGGAACCGTCCTGAGTGCTCTGACACAGGAAGAGGGAGCAGGAAGGCTCAAGGGCCAGGTTTTGTTTACCTCTGGGACCCGAAGCCATCCCATATTTCAGCCCTTGAGACACATTCACATTTATTAACCCCTGTGAAGACACATGCCAGGCACTGTGTTATGCACTGTGCCTCCGTTAGCCACAGGGACCCTCTAAAGAAGGCATTGTGACTACTAATGGAATTGAACGGGGTCCTGGAATCACTGGCCTTCCAAGGCAACTGGACTATCCCCATTAAAAATCCAAACCGGCTGGGCACAGTGGCTCACACCTGTAATCCCAACAGTTTGGGAGGCTGAGGCGGGTGTATCACTTGAGGTCAGGAGTTCGAGACCAGCCTGGCCACCATAGCAAAACCCTGTCTCTACTAAAATTACAAAAATTAGCTGGGCACGGTGGCGCGCGCCCGTAATCCCAGCTACATGGGAGGCTGAGGCAGGAGAATCGCTTGAATCCAGGAGGCGGAGGTTGCAGTGAGCCAAGATTGCACCACTGTACTCCAGCCTAGGTGACAGAGCAAGACTCCATCACAAGAAAAAAAAAAAAATCCAAATCCGAACTCCAGCTTCCCCAGAATCCAAGCACCCTGGGTTCCTGTCCCAGAGGACTCTCCGCCTGTGGGAATGTCCCCTTCTGCCAAGCCTCGTTGCCACAATCTCCTTCATTTGAAGTGTCCCCAGGAGAACAATGCCTAGACTAAAGAAAGCTGCCCCAGGACCCCTCACGGTGGCCCAGCCCAGCGGGTTACTGTGTCCCCGGTCCACCTCTCCCCACTCAGGACGAACATGTCCTGGCTCAGCTCCCAAATACACCCACCTGTCCATGGTGCCTCCAGGCCTTAGGAGGAAGGACAGAGCTTTGACGGGCCAGCTGGCCCCATCAGAGAAGCTGACGAGGACTGGACCCCCAAGCCTCCCTCTGGGCCAGGGCTGTGAGCGAGCTATGGGGTCACTAGGGTCAGGTGAAGGTCAGGAGGTGGGGGAACTGGTCAGGTCGGGGACAAGGGTAAGGGGGGGTCCATGTGCATTTTGCTTCCTGGGTTCATGTATCTTGTCTCCTACTTGCCAGGCATTTATTTGTCAGAGGGACAGTGTTTGTTACTAGAAGGGTCCCAGCCTGGCAGTTATGGCTGCTCCTAAACTACAGTCCTCCGTTAGAAGGGCTGGGCTGGATCCCTGGTGCAAGCCAAACTTTGAACCCACTGGGGACAGAAGGAGCTTAGGGCCAGAAGCCCACAGGGAGTTTGCATGGAGAGCTCTCCTCAGTGCCAGCCCAGACAAGACTCTCCGCACCTCCAGCTGACAAAGGAGCAGCCCTGTTAGAACCACCCAGCTCAGAGGCCTTCTTGGAGGTGGAGGCAGTGGAGGCGTATCTTGGCTGGATTAGGCCAGACCCAGAGAGGGAGCCCCTCCTGCTCCACACGCAGGGATAGAAAGGAACCAGTGTTTGCCGTGTGTGGGCACACAATGGGCTGTCCCCTTGACAGGGAGCGTTCCCATCAGCACCAGTTAATATTTATCAGCCCCCACGCAGGCCAGGAGCCAGGAGTAGCAGAGAGAGAGTCAGCATTGTCCCAACCCCGAGGACCTGATGTCTTCGGGACAAGTTGGACAAACAGAGTGGCTTTGCCTGGAAGGAGGTTTCTCCTCCTGAACTCTATGGCTCCTCTCCTGAGCCAACCCAGCAGCCCTGGGGAATTTCAGTCTCTAGCAGACGTTGATAACTGACATCTATGAAACTCTTCCTATGTGCCAAGGACTGGGTAAGCATGTGCGTACATTAGCCTACAAAGACCCTCTAAAGAAGGCATCATGATGTCTGTCTCCACTTACACATGAGGCAACTGAAGCTCCTGGAAGCAACCCCCCAGGCTGCACAGCTGGCAAATGGCAGAACCTCCTCGAACCACTGTTTATGTGCATTCATTCTGCTCCAGCTGGGTCTGACCCATTTAGACGAGGTCTTCCCAGTCATCCCCTGCTTTCCCCAAGGTCTTTGAGGAAGCCCACCCTTTTCCAAGAAGGAATATGGGCAAAGAAATGAGGATGCTGCTACCCATGGCTCTACTGTGCCCACAGTTCCATCATCACTGCTGAAGAAAGAGGCTTGAGTGGGCCCCTGCCCCTGGGGAGCCCAGAGGTAAACAGGCATTGGAAGTGTGCCATCTGCCTCTGGTTTGCTTATCCTGGGCCCAGGGCTTCATGAGTCCAGCCCGTGGGACCTGAGCCCAGGCCCATCAGGTGCTCACGTGTGCCTTTCTCTGCATTGTACAGTGCCACCCAACTTCTCTGAGCCATTAGCACATCCTACCACCACGATGCTCCTACCTGGGCACCAAGCCCACTCCTGTTGCCCCCACCACTGTGCCTGTGTACATCCCAGCACGAGTCCTCAACTGCCTACCCAAACAAACATCCTGGCCATGGTCTACAGAGTATGTGGTTTGGCCCAGCCCATTCACACCTCTTGCCCCTTACTCTCCTGCTTGAGCCACTCTGGCCTTTTCTCAGCTACCCAGTTGCATCCCAGTCCCTCTCACCACAGGCCCTTTGCACATGCAAGCCCCTCAGGTCAACATTTCTCCCCTCATGCATGCTACTAATGACCTCTTCTTCACCCCTTATGTTTTCAGCTCAAGCACAGTTTTTTTTTTTTTTTCTCTTTTTCTCTTTTTTTTTGAGACAGAGTCCCACTCTGTCACCCAGGCTGGAGTGCAATGGCGTGATGTCGGCTCACTGCAACCTCCACTTCCTGGGTTTAAGCGATTATCCTGCCTCAGCTTCCTGAGTAGCTGCGACTACAGGCACGTGCCACCACGCCCAGCTAAATTTTTGTATTTTCAGTAGAGACTGGGTTTCACCATGTTGGCCAGGATGGTCTTGATCTCTTGACCTCGTGATCTGGCCTCCTCGGCCTCCCAAAGTGTCAAGCACAGTTTCTTAAGGAAGCCCTCGCTGACCTCCAGGTTTAGGTCTTATCCCCTTCTTACCTACTCTCATGCCACTAAGCATTTCTTTGAAGCCCTTGTTAGCTGCAAACTCGTTTGTTTGTGATGCAATTCTTTGATGAATGCCTCATCTCTTCACACTAGACTTAAGGTAATGGAGAGAGGACAGGGCCTTTTCTGTTCACCACAGTTTCCCAGTTTCTAGAACAGTACCCAGCATGCTGCTGGTACTTGATACACACTTATTGCCTCGTGTGCCCTGCCTTCCTCATCCTGGTGACATGAGGACCAAGATTGCAAACAGAGAGCGAGGATTTTGCCACACGTTACACCCTAGAGGCGAGCTTTAGCTCTCAACCATATATATATGTGCTCTGTGGGCAGCAGGCATATTAGGGTGGGAAAGTCAAGCAATGAGCATGTGAAAGGTAAAGGATCAGGGCCCACCCAGGCTAGGGAAGCTCCCAGTTGTCCTTGGATCAATCTAGGAAGGCTTCCTGGAAGAAGAGCCCCCAGCTTCCTTGGTGATGTCATCAACAGCACAGCCAAGAGTTCAGTGAGTAGAGGAAGGAGGGTGCTGCAAGCCACAGGGGCCCTTTCTGCCCTCACCAGGTGAGCTGAGCCATCTGAGCAGACCTCTGCCCTGCAGCTCCTGCTGCAGAGCCCTGCATACCTGCTCATCCACTTTATGGGCGATGAGGGTAGCTCCTTCCTCCAGCTCTGCCACGCTGATGGGCCGGACCCGAAGCGCCACCTGGGAGGGAAAACCAAGCCCCTGGGATTAGAGGGAGAGGACCATGCTGGGCCTCAGAGAGACCTCAAGCAAGCCCCTGGCTTCTCTAGCATTCAGCCATCTCAGGCCTCCCTTGTCCTAAGTAAAACTCTACCTAGGTCAGAGGGCAGCAGGTCCACAGAGTGTTGGACTGTGTCTGAGTTGATGAGTCTCCCCAGGAGCCCTGGCCTCCGGGAGAGCCCCAGGGGAGAGAGCTGTCTGCTCCTCCAGCCTGCCTCAGCCTCACGCCCAAATAAAACACTCGCAGCTCCCCTGGGCTTGAACTTGGGGCCCTGGCACTGGAGCAGCCTCTCTGTGTTTCCGCGAATGACGTGCTGCAGAGGAAGGTGCAGGCACGGCTCTGGGATGAGGCCTGGTAGGTGGGATGGAGCAGGGAATGTCCCCCATCATCCCAACAGCCTGTGACCACATTCCTACACCGAGGAGAGTGTCACCTAGAGCGCCCACCCCCATCTGCCTGTCCTCCAGCCAGTGTGAAATGGGTCTCATCCTGTGCGTGGATCTCCCTAAAGAACAGGGTGGAGTGGGGAGCACGTCTTGTGCTGATCAAAGGGCAACAGCTGCTGGGTGTGGGGATAGAATGAACGGCCCTCTGGCCGAGTGAAGACTCCTTCAGGCCTGGCGTGGTGGCTCACGCCTGTAATCCCAGCACTTTAGGAGGCCGAGGTGGGCGGATCCTGAGGTCAGGAGTTCGAGACCAGCCTGGCCAACACGGCGAAACACCGTCTCTACTAAAAATACAAAAATTAGCTGGGCGTGGTGGTGCATGCCTGTTATCCCAGCTACTCGGGAGGCTGAAGCAGGAGAATCGCTTGAACTTGAGGGGCAGTGAGCTGAGATCGCACCACTTCACTCCAGCCTGGGTGAGAAAGTGAAACTCCGTCTCAAAAAAGAAAAACAAAACAAAACAAAACAAAAGGCACTTTCAGAGGGAACTACACTACCTGACGGGTCACCTTTAGTGGCATCTTCAGCCAAATTCCACTGGCGGGAGGGGAGGACCCTTCATCCCTGCTCCCCGGGGCACACAATACATGCCAAGGCCAGTGATTTTCAAAGAGACACATTCTAAAAAGCCAGAGAGGATGTCCTAGAGCCCAGGGCTTGCTTGGGGGCTGGAGCTGAGGCTCCTTTCAGAGAAGCAAGCCCACCCTTGAGAGGTAGGGGACTCTGGGAGCAACATTATCCTCCAGTTACCTTACTGCCCACCTTCTGGTGATGAGGGCCCTTCCCCAGACCTCAAAAATTAGGGGATGAGGAAGGGGCTTGCTGAGAGAGACACCCACCCACCCACAGCCTAGTGGTGGCCTCGAGGTCACTGAGTCATCTCCCTTGTTGCTCTGGCCCAGGCACCACTGATGATCAGGAATTCCACCTTCCCCTCCACAGCCCCCACTCTCACCTCCCCATCTGTCCCAGGCCCCAGGGCTCTGTGGGGCCATGGTAGCTGCATCTAGCACTTCTCTGAACTACTTCGAATCCGGACTTGGGCAGCATCCGTGTTGCAGCCCAAGAACCAGGCACTCCGGGCCCCATCCTGACACCAGGGGCCCTTGTCTTCCTACTGGTGACCCCCACATCCCTTTAAACTCCTGACCTCACCAGGGCTGGAGCAGCCTCTGATTAACTGGGAAACCGCCACCCTCCTTCTGGGGGCAGTTAGGTCAAGCCCTCCCTGCCCCTGGCGTTTCTGGATGAGAGAGCCGAGATTCATCTGCGCACGCTTTGGGGGCGGGATCTCCCAATGGGAGGGTGGAAAGGTGGGGGTGGGGTTGAAGTTGGGGTAATTTTCAGGCTCAGGAAAGTCTAAAAAGGCCATGGTCCCTTCTTGACACCCATCCTGCAGGACTTGGGGAAAGTTGCTCTGAAGAGTCCCGGCCCTGGTCGTTGCCTGTCCTCTCAGTGGGGTGGCGGCGAGGGGACAGGACTCTGTCGCTGGAGGCCGACTGAAGTAGACCACGGAGCGGGGTGGGGAGGAGGGTCTAAAAGGGTCTCACCATGAGTTGCTGGTCCTTGGAGTCCCCGCTGTCCTTCATGATTGCAGCAGGTGGAGGGGCTCAGGCCGCGCCACCGGGCATGGCTCAGCCGCACCCCCACCGCCTCCGGGTCGCGTCCGCCAGCTGCTAGCTGCCCGCCGCCTCGCGCGCTGCCTGACAACCCGAAACCAACAACGCGCCAGCGGCTAAGGACGCCGACCCGAGGCGGGGCAGGGGGAGGGCCCGGACGGCGCCGCCCCGCCCCCGGCGCCCGCCCCTCCCCGCGCTGAGGGTGAGAGTTGGCCGCCTCCGCCGAGGAGGCCCCCGAGCCTGAACCGCTGCGCGACGATGTGTGCCCGGCTGTGCGGCCCTGCGGCCCTCGGTGCGTCCGTGCGTCCGCCTGGCGCCTCCGTGTCAGTTCGCTAACTCCTGCGCGCCCACCCGCGCCCCTCTGCTCGCGGCGCGACCCCGTGCCACTGCCCTTTAGGGAGCGCCCCAGCAGCCACGCTGCCCCTTGAAGCACACGCATCTGCCGCTGTCTCTGGGGTCTCCAGGGCGGCGGCTGGCAGCCTCGGGTTTCCGTGGGCGCCGCGTGCATCGCAGCAGGTGCCTGTGCTGTGAGTGTCTGCACCCACTGCCCACTGGCATGGGTGGCAAAAAGTTGTCCCTTTGCTCAGGCCGCCCAGCACCTCTGTTACCTGGGGTGTGCTACAGAAGAGCCTGACTCAGTGCGACCCACTAGCAAACAAGTCTCTACCCCTGAACCCAGAATCTAGGTCACGATGGCTGGGTCCGTGTGCCCTGCTGGCTCCCCGCCTGCTGCTGGAAGAGCCACAATACTGTGCAAGAAAGTCTAGGTCTGACGCTACCGCCTCCATTCTTGGCGACAATAACAACGGTTGCACTCCCAGGGAACACAGGGGAAAGGTTCCTGTCCTCAGGAGGCCCTGGGAAAACTTGGATTCTGGTCCCAGTTCCGCCTCCAACTCGGCCAGCCACCTGGAGCTGGTTTTTCCTGCCTCCCTGGGGCCTCAGTTTCCTGGGGGATGTTGGAGCCTCTCCCAATTCTGATGTCCATCCTCTGTGTCCTCTGCCCCCACCGAAGCTGAGCCCGGCAGCCCCAAGACTGGGAGAGGAAGCCACGATGGGTTTCACTTTCCAGGGAAGGGGCTGGGAAAGGAAGCACTCATGTCCCCAGGGCTGCCTCAGACTGCCTGGGGTCCCTCAGAGGCAGAGTGTGATGCCAGCCTGTGCCCTGGGACTGGCTTCCCCGGCTGCCCCTGAGGAGCCTGTGTTGGGAATCGTTATTAATAAACAGCAGCAAGAAGCAGCCGTCAGCCTTGGGTTTAATAAATAGATAAACCAAGTAAAACTTGGTGGAAACCAAACTCTCCTGCCCGGGATCCCAGGTTTTGTCCTGTTCCTTGGCCTAGGCTGTAGGCTGGACAGTTTGCAAATGGGCATACTGTGACAAGAATCGGGTCGGGTTTTTTGTTTTTGTTTCTGTTTTTTTATGACAGAGTTTCACTCTGTCACCCAGGCCGGAGTGCAGAAGCACAATGGCACGATCATGGATGGCTCACTGCAGCCTCAATCCCTCAGGCTCAAGTGATCCTCCTGCCTCAGCCTCACAAGTAGTTGAGACTACAGGTGCGCACCACCACGCCTGGCTAACATTTTGTATTTTGTAGAGACAGGGATCTCACTGTGCTGTCCAGGCTGGTTTTGAACTCCTGGACTCAAGCAATCCTCCCACCTCAGCCTCTCGAAAGAGAATCGGGTAAGTTTTAGGGGTGTGTTGTGCTTGCATTTTAGGCTCCTGAAAAGAACCTATTTGGATCAATCAAACAGGCCCCTGGTCAACTGGGCTGTCACTATTTTTCTTTTTCTTTTCTGTTCCTCCACATGCATCAGTCCCACCCAGAATGCCCCATAGTTATTTTTGTTTTTGTGGGGTGTTTTTTGTTTTTGTTTTTGTATTTTTGAGACAAGGTCTTTCTCTCTTTCTCTTTTTTTTTCTTCTGCCTCCCCACCCCTCAAGACAGGGTCTCACTCTGTGGCCCAGGCTAGAGTGCAGTGGTGCCATCACAGCTCACTGTAGCCTCAACCTCCTGGGCTCAAGCGATTCTCCTAACTCAGCCTTGGGAGTAGCTGGGACAACAGGCGCATGCCATCACGCCTGGCTCATTTTTTTTTTTTAATTGTTGTAGAGGCAGGGTCTCAAACTCCTGAGCTCAAGCAATCCTCCTGCCTCAGACTCCCAAAGTGCTGGGATTACAAATGTGAGCCACTGCGCTGGGCCTATAGCGATTGATGGGTAAAAATAAGAAGCTTCTTGGCTGGGCGCAGTGGCTCATGCCTGTAATCCCAGCAGTTTGGGAGGCAAAGGCGGGCAGATCAGTTGAGGTCAGGAGTTCAAGACCAGCCTGTCCAAATGGTGAAACCCCGTCTCTACTAAAAATACAAAAATTAGCCAGGCATGGTGGCAGGCACCTGTAATCCCACCTACTCGGGAGGCCGAGGCAGGAGAATTGCTTGAGCCCAGGTGACAGAGGTTGCAGTGAGCTGAGATCGTGCCATTGCACTCCAGTCTGGGCGTCAGAGTGAGACTCCATCTCAAGAATAAATAAATAAATACATAAATAAATAAGAAGCTCCTAAGTAACAAGTCCCCACCCATCTTACACGAAGACTCATCACAAAGTCAGGTATATTCTCAAACAATGTCCTCTGCCTGACTTTTGGGTTTTGTCAATTAAACCACCATCCCCTTTATTTTATTTTATTTATTTATTTATTTTGAGACGGAGTCTTGCTCTTTCGCCCAGGCTGGAGTGCAGTGGTGCGATCTTGGCTCACTGCAAGCTCCGCCTCGCGGGTTCACGCCATTCTCCTGCCTCAGCCTCCCGAGTAGCTGGGACTACAGGCGCCCGCCACCACGCCCGGCTAATTTTTTGTATTTTTGGTAGAGACGGGGTTTCACCGTGTTAGCCAGAATGGTCTCGATCTCCTGACCTCATGGTCCACCCGCCTCAGCCTCCCAAAGTGCTGGGATTCTAGGTGTGAGCCACCGCGCCCGGCCCACCATCCCCTTTATACCCATTGCCTTTAAGGCATTTTTTACCGCATCTTTTTTTCTCATCTTCTACATTCAACTCCTGCAGATTCTACTTCTGCAAATATTTCTTCTCTTCATCGTCTCTTGCCATTCCCTGGGCTCCAGTTTTTACCCCTTCTCACCTGGACCATGTCATGGCCTCTTGCTATGCCCTGGCCCCACCGTTTTTGTTGTTGTTATTTGTTTGTTTTTTGAGATGAAGTCTAGCTCTGTCGCTCAGGCTGGAGTGCAATGGCGCAATCTTGGTTCACTGTAATCTCCGCCTTCCGGATTCAAGCGATTCTCCTGCCTCAGCCTCCCAAGTAGCTGGGATTACAAGCACCCACCATCACGCCTGACTAATTTTTGTATTTTTAGTAGAGACGAGGTTTCACCATGTTGGCCAGGTTGGTCTCGAACTCCGGACCTCAGGTGATCCACCTGCCTTGGCCTCCCAAAGTGCTGGGATTACAGGTGTGAGCCACCGTGCCTGGCCCCAGCCCCACTTTTGAAAGGGGAAGAGATCTGTCAGGCAGAGATCTTTGAAAGGGGAGCGATCTGACAGGCAGAGACCTCCTGTGTTCTCTAACACAGAAGTAAAGGCAGACACTTTACTCTCCACAACCCCTTTCAGCCTCCTGCCCGGCTTCATTTAAACTCATTCTGCTCTGTGGGCTCGGCCTTCCACTCACCTTCACCACTTGCTTATTCCCAAATGTATGCTAGAGCCAGGTCCTACACTGGGGCCTTTGCTCATGCCAGTCCTCCAACCTGGTACACCCTTTCCAGCTTACCTCTGTCAAATTTCTCGTCATCCTCCATATCAGACCCCTCCTCTCCTGGTCCACAGAACTCTCATTATGCCCTGACAGAGCCTGAATCAAAGTAAGCCCTGCACGGGCAGAGACCCAGGCACTTGATGTATGCTCAGTCCATGCGCTCTGCATCCTGGTCCTGCCCTGGAACCCGTTTCTGTCCCTCCTCTCCACTCCCATCACTGCTGCCTGCAGCCTGGGACTTCAGTTTCTCATCTGGATGACCACGTACACTGCGTGGTCTCTTTGCCTCCAGTTTGACTCCATTCCCTCACTGCTCTAGGACAGATGGGTGTCGTGACCTTACTTGAAATCCTGCCATGGTGCCCCATTGCCTTCTGTTTGGGGTCGGCTCTTTAGCCTGTAGTTGCAGCCTTCCCTGCCTCTTCTTGGCTCGTCCCCTTCTACCACCCTTGCTCTGGCCGTGCTCAACCAAGTGCAGTCCTCTGCGTGAGCAGCTCTTCTCTCCTCTCTGGGCTTTGTTCCTGCCACTCTGTCCTGGAGTTCCATTTCCACTTATCTATCTGGCTAACTCCTTCTTCCAAGCTCATCTTATGTGTCACCTCCCCTTTCCTTGGGGGAACTGCCTCTTCTCTAGTCCATGTCATTCTGATGGAGCCCATCACAGCATCCTGTTCCACTCCCAGCCATGGCAGAAGGCATGCAACCCAGACTTGACTGTGGTCACAGTGATTGGTCCAAGGGGATGGGCTATGACCCACATTAGGCCAATCAGAGCCTTTCCCTGGAATTTTGTTATACTGGGAGGGAGGAGCTCTCTCCTGCCTTTGGGATTACTGGCTGAAATGACTAAAATCGGGGGGTGGGGTCATATCTAATCCCTCCCCTTATCCAATGAAAGCAGCTTCACTAAAGCAGAAGTTCATAAAACTGAGGCAAAGAAAGAAGCTGTGCAGAGAGATACCAAATGACAACATCTGAGTTGCTAGATCCAGCAACACCTGAAGCTGTTAGCCTTGGTCTTCCAAGTTTCTTGAGCCAACAAATATTCTTTCTTGGCTTTAGCTAGAATGGGTTTCTTAAACATGTGACCAAGAGTCCTGACAAATACAGGGGTGCCAGCCTGCATCCCACTGGATTAGATCGGTCTCTCTCTCTCTGCCCCTCTCTCTCTCCTCTGTCTTGCTTTGTCACTCAGGCCGGAGTGCAGTGGCGTGATCTCAGCTCATTGTAACCTCTGCCTCCCAGGTTCAAGCAATTCTTATTATGCCTCTGCCACTTGAGGAGCTGGGATTACGGGAAGGCGCCACCACGCTGGCTAATTTTTGTATTTTTAATAGAGATGGGGTTTCGTCATGTTGGCCAGGCTGGTCTCAAACTCCTGGCTTCAAGAGATCCACCCGCCTCAGCCTCCCAAAGTGTTGGTATTACAGGCATGAGCCACGGCGCTCGGCCCAGGTCCTTTTTTCTATATACTTCTCTGTAACAGCACTCACAACTGGAGATCAGAACCATCTGTCCGTTTGTCTGAGCTGAGGGGCTGGCTCTGTCGCCCAGGCTGGAGTGCAGTGGTACTGTCCCAGCTCACCACCACCTCTGCCTCCTGGATTCAAGTGATTCTCATGTCCCAGCCTCCCGAGTAGCCGGGATTACAGGCATGCGCCACCATGCCCAGCTAATTCTTTCTATTTTTAGTAGGGACAGGGTTTCACTGTGTTGGCCAGGCTGGTCTCAAACTCCTGGCCTCAAGTGATCTGCCTGCCTCGGCCTCCCAAAGTGCTGGGATTATAGACGTGAGCCACCTGCCTCCGGCCAAGCTGGCTCTTAACTTCATATTTCCAGTACAGTATCTAGTGAGAGTTTAGTCAATGAATGAGTGAGAAAATCTACTTGAGCAAACCTGCCCACACACAGCAGGAGCATTTGATTTAGACCCACGTGCAGACATTTAAGATCCTTGGAAACAGCCGACATCTCATCAGAAAAGGGATTTAGGCCAGATGTGATGGCTCATGCTTATAATCCCAACACTTTGGGAGGCCGAGGCAGAAAGATCTCTTGAGCTCAGAGTTCGAGACTAGCCTGGGCACCATAGGGAGACCGCCCCTGTTCCCACCACCCTGCTGTCTCTATAAATAAATAAATAAATAAGGAAGTCAGGCATGATGGTGCACACCGCTAGTCCCAGCTACTCAGGAGGCTGAGGTGGGAGGATCACTTGAGTTCAGGAGGTTGAGGCTGCAAGTGAATTATGATCGTGCCACTGCACTCCAGCCTGGGCAACAGAGCGTGACTGTGTCAAAAAAAAAAAAAAAGAAGAAAGAGAGAAAGAGAGAGAGAGAGAGAAAGAGAGAGAGAGAGAGAAAGAGAGAGAGAAAGAAAGAAAGAAAGGGGGACTTACCGCTTCAGCTTCACCTCAGCCCAGGAAACTAAGGTTTAGTATGCACCTGCAATCTGCTGGTAGCCACTTTAGGTGCTGAATCTGTGTTGTCATGGTTAATCTTCACTAGAATCTTTTGTTTACCTATGAGGGTCCTAAGACTCAGGGATGCTGAGGAACTCCTGTTCATGGTCAAACCGCATACATTAAAGGTTACTAAAAACCTACCTGGGCTCAGGCTTTTGTGAGCTCATTGAAATCTTCATTGAGTTGCCTGAAGTGAGCCCTCCAATGGGCAAAACTTCTCTTGCTTAATAAGAAGGCTGTTGCTGCCAAAGCAAGTGTAGATGGCATCGGTGACCATCTCCAAGTAGCAATGATTTTTTTTTTTTTTTTTGAGACGGAGTCTTGCTCTGTCATCCAGGCTGGAGAACAATGGTGCGATCTCGGCTCACTGCAACCTCTGCCTCCTGGGTTCAAGCAATTCACCTGCCTCAGCCTCCCGAGTATCTGGGATTAAAGGCATGTGCCATCACGGCCAACTAATTTTTGTATTTTTAGTACAGACAGGGTTTCACCATTTTGGCCAGGTTGGTCTCGAACTCCTGACCTCAGGTGATCCGCCCACCTCGGCTTCCCAAAGTGTTAGGATTACAGGTGTCAGCCACCGTGCCCGGCCTGATTTTTTCAATCAGAGATATATGACATTCTCCATTTCCCCCCAAACCCACCTGTAGTTGGAAGCCACTGGTTTTGATAAGCCCTTTCTAAAGCCCGTTGGCCCTCTAGAGCTCTAGGGCAACCTGGGCAAAGTCCCACCTCCTTGTGTTCTGGGCATGGCTACTCCCAGGCTTGGCTCCTGGAGGTACGACTTGGGAGGGGAAATGGAAGAGAGTTATTGGGAAAACAAAGCATGGATTGAGGACTTTTCTCTTAAGCCCCAGCATCCTCTTCCAAATTTGGGGTGCAGATGCTGAAAGGACCCCAAGAAACAAATTCACAAGTCATTCTAGTAGCTCCTTGTACTAACCTAGAACTTGCCACCAGCCATGAGGCCTGTCCCAGGTGGTCGTCAGATGCTTCTAAGTGAGGGAGGTGATAGGCGTTTATTGAGCACTTATTTTGAACCCAGTGGCTAGTGTGTTATTTCATTTACTCACCCAAACAATTCCTGAAGGTAGATAGCAGAGGTGCAGAGAGGTAAGTAATTTCGTGGCCATCGCCCCACTCCAAGCTGCCATCTCTTTTGCCTGACACCACAATGTGCTCCCAACCGACCCCCAGGTGCCTCCCTCCAGGCCTCCCTCCACCAGCAAAGGCTTCATCAAGCCGCACCCGTGCTTCTCAGTGATCTTTGGAGCAAGGTCAAAATCCTTGACATCAAGACCTGCCCCAGCAGACTCTTGCTGTCGCTGGCTGGTTCCAGGCTCTAGCCCTTACTCACTCCGGTCACACTGATGACTCCCTGTTGGTCTAACAGAGCAGCACCGGCTTCTTTCCTCCTTCCGGAATTGTGTGTGCAGCTGCCCTGCCTGGGGTGCCCCTCCACACAGATGCGCACGTCATCACACATGCACACAGATGCACTCGCACGTGTACACACATCTCTGCTCATGCTTGTTCTTAAGGTCTCAGCTGCATTGTCCCTTTCTCATGGAGGCCTCCTGGCCAGCTCCTTCTTCTCTAGAGTCTAGGTTAGTTCTTCCTGTTATCCCTCTCACGGCACCCTGTACTCTTCCTTAACATGCACTTTGCACAACTGTCGTTCTGTAGGTATCTGCCTATCTATCAGCTTTCCCTGCCTCCCACTGGTGTACCGGCTCTGGGAGGCGGGGCCTGCATCTGGTTTATTCTCCACTCATGGCAAGTGCCTGGCACAGGGCTGAGTGTAGGCAACGTTACCCGGATGGCAAGCGCCTGAGCTGGGTTCAGACTTCCCTGCCTGGAAATGCCGTGAAAACACTGCCTCTATCTACACTTCCCACCAGTGCTGCAGGCGTCCCCAGGACGTCAGCACACAGAGAGGCTGGCTGGGGGGTCTCTGGATGCTGACCCTGGTAGGCCATCAGTAGTCACTTAAAAAAGTTTTTAATAGGCCGAGCACGACGGCTCATGCCTGTAATCCCAGCACTTTGGGAGGCCTAGGCGGGTGGATCACTTGAGGTCAGGAGTTTGAGACCAGCCTGGCCAACATGGTGAAACCCCGTCTCTACTAATAATACAAAATTAGCCAGGCGTGGTGGCTGGCATCTGTAGTCCCAGCTACTTGAGAGGCTGAGGCAGGAGAATCACTTGAACCTGGGAGGCAGAGGTTGCAGTGAGCTGAGATCATGCCATTGCACTCCAGCCTGGACAACAAGAGGGAAACTCCGTTGCAAAAAAAAAAAAAATTATATATATATATATACATACATACATATACATAATAAAGATGAGGTCTCCTTAGTTTGCCCAGGCTGGTCTTGAACTCCTAGGCTCAAGTGATCCTCCTGCCTTGGCCTTCCAAAGTGCTGAGATTATATGTGTGAGCCACTGCGTCAGGCCAGCAGTCACCTTTGCCTCCTACTTGGGCATCAGTAACATCTCAGGGGCCTCTGGGACCCGGGAAACACTTAATTTTGTTACTTATAAAGGGCAGGGGGTCCCTCCTCAGAGTCCTGCCTTGGGGCCTACAGTCCCCAGCAGCCACACGGTGGGGAAAGGGGACAGTGATTCTCCCAAGAGCCACTGGGCTGTTGTGGTCACAGTGGAAGCATCTTTGGTTAAGCGGTGCATTCATTAAGTCAGCTGAGCAAAAGAGGCCAAGGAAGCACCCCCTTTTCCGGGTGGCACGGACAGGAAGGACGTCACTGTGCTGTGGACACTTGAGTCCGGCCGCTGCTTCCGCACTTCCCAAACCGGCTCCAGCGTGGTCCCAGTGCACAGTCCACACCCACGGGGTGGGTTTTTCCAGGCACCTCTGGCGCCCCAGTGATGCCTCGTGGTTTGGTTTGCCTCCTCTTAGGAAGGGACTAAACAACAGATTCCTGGTGAGGCCAGCGTGAGAGGTCAGTGAAGGTCATCGTACGGGTTGGCAGCATTGGCACCGCACCCGCTGAGCTCGTGCTGCCCTTTGCCGGGTGCCGTCTGTGGGGCTCTCCTTTCCTCTTCCACGGCCACTCCTCAAATGCCTCTTCAAATGCTGTCCCTGCCCAGTGGCGTTCTCTGCACCCACAAGGGACCTGCTGATTCCATCAGGCAGCCTCCTTTTGCAGGCACAAGCCAAAGGTCAAAATTCCAGTTCAGTGAAAGAAGGTCCTCCTGCCTTCGAGCTCATGGTGCCAGCCTCTCACAGGGGCCTTCGGTGTGCTCAGGTTAGTGTGTGCAGAGCCTGTACTTTCTCTTGGGATGCTCCATTTGGGTAGATTTTTCTCTAAATTGGGCCTCTCTAGCATGACTCCACTGTCCAAAATGTAGGGGGCTGTCCTGTGTGCAGGATGCTGAGCAGGGTCCCTGTCTCTACCCACTCAATGCCAGAAGCACTCTCCTCACCGGTTGTCCCCAGACATTGACAGATGTCCTGTTGGGGGCAAAATCTTCCCCAGTAGAGAATCGCTGCTCTAGGCAGGGCGTTCCTGAGGACGGCACTGAGGCTGTGTGTGTCCCTGCTCAGCGAGGGGCCTGCTGCTCCCTCGTGGCCCCCTCCGTCTGATGCTGGAATGGCCCAGCCCACTCCTCTTACCCGGGTCCTGGGAGTGCAGTGTGCATGGCGTAAGCTGTAGGGCTGTGACTCTGGGCTGAAGTCTCAGCTCTGCTACCCACTCCCACTGGACTCAGCAAGTTACTCCCTCTCTCTCTCTCGCCTGCTACATCCATAACGTGGGGATTGAAATGTGAGATCACTCCTGGGGCACTTGTGAAGATCAAGCACTCAGCATAACCTGAATTATTGTTTTTATCAAGGTTAACCACAGTCGACAGCTCCATTTTTCTCTTTGAGTACGGGGGGCAGCTGGCCCTGGGTCCCTCCTCAAGGAGATTATTTTATTTTATTTATTTATTTTTGAGATGGAGTTTCACTCTTATCGCCCAGGCTGGAGTGCAATGGCATGATCTCGGCTCACTGCAGCCTCTGCCTCCCAGGTTCAAGTGATCCTCCTGCCTCAGCCTCCCGAGTAGCTGGGGCTACAGGCATGTGCCATTAAACCTGGCTAAGTTTTTTGTATTTTTAGTAGAGACAGGGTTTCACCATTTTGGCCAGGCTAGTCTTGAACTCCTGACCTCAGGTGATATACCCGCCTCAGCCTCCCAAAGTGCTGGGATTACAGGCGTGAGCCACCGCGCCTGGCCATTTTATTTTGTTTTCAAGACAGGGCCTTGCTCCGTTGCCCAGGCTGGAGGGCAGTGGTGCGATTGTGGCTCACCGTAGTCTCGAGCTCCTGGGCTCAAGTCATCTTCCCACCTCAGCCTCCTGAGTAGCTGGAATTACAGTGGTGCGCCACCACACCAGGCTAATTTTTGTATTTTTTATAGAGATGGGGTTTCCCCATGTTGCCCACACTGGTCTCGAACTCCTGGGCTTAAGTGATCCTCCCACCTTGGCCTCCCAAAGTACTGGGATTACAGGTGTGAGCCACTGCACCCAGCCAAGGAGATTCTTAACATGGCCATTTTTCTTTCTTTTTCTAAATTAGAGATGGGGGTCTCACTATGCTGTCCAAGCTGGTCTCAGGTGATCCTCCTTGACTCCTGGGCTCAAGTGATCCTCCTGTCTTGGCCTCCCAAAGTGCTCAGATTACAGGCGTGAGCCACGAAACCTGACCAACACATTTTTCAAGGGCATTTTTCAAGGGCACTTTGGGTCCCTGCCAAGGTCACCTGCCATCCACAGGATGATGATGGTCAGGGCATTGTTCCTTGTGCAAGGTTGGCACTGAAGTGCCCTCTCGACCTCCCAATGTCTCTGGTAATGGTCACTGACTGCTCTGTTGAGCTGCGGTTTCAGGGCACCCCCAGGGCAGCCCACTTCCCACCCTGGAGTCCCCGAGAGGCCTGCACAGCACCTGGCCCACAGTTGATGACCGTGCAGGGTCAGGAATGAGCTGCCTGGGCTCCCGTCCCCGCTGTGCCCCGTCACGAGTTCTGAGACTTGGGCACGTCCCTGTACCGCTCCTGGAACCTCCTGTGTAGTATAAAGGTGATGGGAGCACACAGTTCCAGGGATGTCGTGAATGAGTTACACGAGATAACGTGACAGGCTCTGGGTGCAGGATGCATCACACGTACTAACTCGTGGCATTGTTACGATTCATTTAATTTTACAAGAATTAGGATAACAGAAAGCATTCAGGTGCAGCAGAACAGCCAAGCTCGTCCCGCCCGTCCCCTCCCACATACTTGGAGGCTCCTGTCGTGGCAATGTGTCCAAATGGTCAGGGAGCTGCCTGGAAAGGTATTTTCAAAGTGGACAGACTTTCTGTTCCTGATTTGTAGGTGGACGAGGAGGGTCGATCATGGAGGAGAAACCCTTCCCCACTCCTGAAGGTCTTCCCGAGGCCCTGCCATGGCCATGCAAGTCTGGTTGAGGGTCTGCAAGGTTACAAACGAAAATGATTGCTGGGGAGCCTGTGAGAAGCTGAATCCCAGGAGACATCCAGGACTAGGACTAAGGTGGCCTCGGCCTTGGGGTGGGCTCAGGGTGGCTGAGACAATGGGGCAGCCAGCTCCGGGACAAGCCCCGCCCCTTCCCTCTCTCCAAGGGGTGGCTCAGGACTCAGTGCCCAGTGAGTCAGTGGGGGCTAGTGATTTGTAGGGGCTGGGGAGTCAGGGCCCGATGCTCCCAGCCCACCACCCAGTGCTGCTTTAAGGCGGAGCTCAGCCTCCCACTTGTGAGAGCGGGGCAATACCAAGAGGTGGGAAAGGAAGGCACACAGGGATAGCGCCGCAGTCGAAGGCTGACTTCTAGGCTAAGTCTTCTTCCACTTCTTCATCCCCTTCTTCCCCCGCTGCTTCCTCTCCCTCCTCCACCACCTGGTCTTCTTCTGGACTTGGTTGCTGCTGCAGGGGAAGACAGCACAGAAGTGTTGGTGTTGGTAGGGGACAGGCCTTCCCCACTCCCCTGGGATGTGAACCCCACGAGGACCAAAGCAGCCAAATGGCTGAAGCCTGGGTCGCTGAGCACCCTGGAACCCGGGTGCCAGCTCTGCGGCTGGTGAGGGCCCAGACAGTGCGGAAAGTGGGCAGAGCTGGGGGAATCTGGCAGACTTGGGTTCACGCCTGGCTTCTGCCACATGCAGACTGGGAGGCCTCGGGCTAGCTCCTCCTGAGTCTCCTTGGCCCCCTCACCCATAGAGAGGACAGGACACCTTGCAGGGCTGTGGCCAGGATTAGAAATAGTGGGCATAAGGACCCAGCCTATGTAAAACAGCTTCAGTACCACGCGGTACTTTGTGACCACCAGCGTTTTGGGCCAATTGCAGACTAAGAGAGAGACAGGAAGTGTGTGGCAGGCAGGAGGAGGAAGGGGCCAAGTTCTGTGAACCTGAACCCCTTCCAAGGCTCAACTTCTTCATGTAGAATGTTCAAGCCATGGTGAGGAGCACGTTTTGGGACATATGTCACAAAGCATGGTGCCTACCAGCCACCATTGCGTTGTAAAAGGTGGCCAGTGTCATCTTTGCCTTCTGCAGGGCTGGATAGGCCAGGAGTGGTGAGTGGGAGGAGCCCTGGATTAGGCGTCAGAATCCAGGATTCTAGTTTTGCCTCCACCAGAAGTGGAGGGAGCTCTCTGCCCCACCTGTATTACCCAGTGTGAGAAGAAAACATCTCATAACCAAGTACCCCCAAATGCAAAATGCACCTGTGGAAATCACAGCTTTAGACCCAGGGGGAGGGAGGCAGAAGAGGGAAGAAATCACAAGATGGAACCAGTTATCTTCCCTGTGTGCTCATGCACCATCCTTCGCTCTGTCCACTCTATCAGGGACCAAGAACTTGCCATACAGCTCTTCTTCAAGCAGGCGTCATGGGTGGGTGCTCTGTGCAGATACACTGGACCCTGTCTCAGCAGGGCCCACGCTTGGTTTAACGCTCTATTGTCACTGTTTTAAAATTATTAATACTTTTTAAACGAGGGCCCTCACATTTTCATTTTGCAGTGCCTGCAATCCCCAAGTCTGCAGCCAGTCTTGCCTACAAGGGTAAATCCTGGCATATACCCGCTGTTTCTTTTCCCTTCCACGCTGCTCTTTGGCTCTTTCATATCTTGGCATCTTATCTGTGGGGCCTGAAGGAGGTGACCCAGACAGGCAATGTCTTTTCTTCCTCTCTCCGCTGGTACAAAAGAGGGCCTGGAAGATGACCAGACACCATCTTTATAGCAACATCTCCTCATTTTCCAGATGGAAATGAAGGAAGCCAGAAGTGAAGCGACCAGCTCAGGTGATACAGCTAGAAAGTGCTTTAGAGCTGGGGCCATGGGCAGATGAGCTGACCACAGGTCACACTCCTGACACCAAACCTGGGTAAGCCAGCATGACGTGCACACCGCTAATGTCCCAGCCCTTCCCTCCAGGGGTCTCAAGGCCCATTCCTCTCTGACAGCTCACTTACCTCTAGGACCCTCGTTCAGTCACTCAACACACATGTTCCCTCGTTCAGTCACTCAACACGCATTTTCACCATGTGCCCTCTCTGGGGGGAGGGGAGGATACCAGGAGGCATGGAGTATGGTTCCTGCCTGTAAGGAGCCTGAAGTCTGTTTGGAGACTTGGGATGCTTTGGAAGGAAGGGAATAATTCTTCCCACTTGCCAGGTGAATAAATTAAGATCTAGCAGGTAAGACTACTTGCTCAAGGTCACCCAGGAAGTCGGCAAGCAGAAGCAGAACCCAAGTGCCATGTGTCCCGCCCAGTCCCCAACCCACCCAACCCCTGTCCAGGCCCCTACAGGCACTGGCGTCAGCTTTATGGCGTCTGCCTCCTTCTTCTTCAGCTCTGCGAAGATGATGTCGAAGAACTCCTCCTCGGCCTTGCTGACCAGCGCCTCCAGGTCTACGGCCAGCTCCTCATCGGTCTGCTCCTCATCCCTGCCCTCCGCCTTACCCTTCTCCTTCAGCCGCATCTCCCGGTGCCTGGCCTCCAGGATCTTCTCTCGCCGGGTCTCACGCTCAAACATCTGGGCACCCAGGGACAGAGAGAGCCCGGTGGGGAGAGGGCAGGATGGCAAGCGACTCCAGTGCTGGGGCCAGGTGGGGCTTCTGCTGAGCTCTCCTTGCTCTCCATACAGTCCCTGTACTGTAGAGGTCTGTACCCAGGGCTGGTGTCAAGGAAGGAGGGCTGAATATTGGGGTTGGAAGGCTGCAGCAGGGACACTGAGTTACTCAATGCCAAGGAGCATGGAGTTCCAGAACCACAGGCAGAAGAGCGCCCTTTGGAGCTATGAAATATGGCGGCTTTGGCCCAACAAGGACCAGCTCAATGGTGAGATCCCAGTCTCAGGCAGAGCCAGGAGGCTCTCCAGGCCTCAGCACTAGGGGTTTTCCTTTTTTGTTTTGTTTTGTTTTTGAGACAGAGTTTCACTCTTGTTGCCCAGGCTGGAATGCAATGGCACGATCTCGGCTCACCACAACCTCTGCTTCCCACGTTCAAGCAATTCTCCTGCCTCAGCCTCTCAAGGAGCTGGGATTACAGGCATGTGACGCCATGCCTGGCTAATTTTCTATTTTTAGTAGAGACGAGGTTTCTTCATGTTGGTCAGGCTGGTCTCGAACTCCCGACCTCAGGTGATCTGCCCGCCTCGGCCTCCCAAAGTGCTGGGATTACAGGCGTGAGCCACCACACCCGGCCCTAGCACTAGGGGTTTTCAGTTCCACAGTGTTCCCCATGGTTCTGGGGGGTTGCCTGCAGGGCTGTCCACTGGGGAAAGGATGTAGGAATGGATCTCAGTCCCCCTCTTCAAGTCCCCTTCTATCTGGCTTCCCTATTAGCATTCTACTAAGTCTTCAGGCTGGGCGTGGTGGCTCATGCCTATAATCCCAGCAGTTTGGGAGGCTGAGGTGGAAGGATTGCTTGAGCCCTGGAGTTTCAGACCAGCCTGGGCAACATAAGGAGACCCTGTCTCTACAAAAATTAAAAAATGAGCCAGGCATGGTGGTGCATGCCTGTGGTCCCAGCAACTCAGGAGGCTGAGGTGGGAGGACCGATTCAGCCTGGGAGGTAGAGGCTGCAGTGGGCCATGATTGTGCCACTGCACTCCAGCCTGGGCAACAAAGCAAGACCCTGTCTCAAAATGAAGTAAAATAAAATAAACTGATAAAATAAAAATAAATAAAATAATTAGGCTGGGCACGGTGGCTCACGCCTATAATCCCAGCACTTTCGGAGGCCAGGGTGGGCAGATCATCTTAAGGTCAAGAGTTCAAGACCAGCCTGGCCAGTATGGTGAGATCCTGTCTCTATTAAAAATACAAAAATTAGCTGGGCGTGGTGGTATGCACTTGTAATCCCAGGTACTCAGGAGGCTGAGGCAGGAGAATCACTTGAACCTGGGAAGCAGAGATTGCAGTGAGCCTAGATCTCACCATTGCACTCCAGCCTGGGCAACAGAGCGTGACTTTGTCTCAAAAATAAATAAATAAATAAAAATAATTAAATTAAAATACAATATAATATAATACAATACTAAGCCTTCATTGGAAAGTTTCCACAAAAAAAAAAAAGTGTTATTTGAAACTAGACAAACTGACCAAGTCGAACCTCTTTGATTTACAGGTAAAAAACTGAATCCTGGAGAGTGACGTGACTTACTGAAGGCCACTTAGCTACCCAGCAGTTGAGCAAAGGCAAATGGACACACCAACACCTATTTATGGAGCCCACACTGCTTCCCCCAAAATGTGCACCTATGTTCTGGGGGTGGGAGGGCGGGGCCATCTATTTGTCTGACTAGCCTGCTCTGCTGTGGGGCCAGGTCGGGACGTGCTGGAGGGATTTTCCCCAGGCACCCGGTGCTTACGGAAGAGGCTACGTTCTTCTCATTCCTCTGGAGGGTAGAGAGCCCAGGCGAGACCTCCAGCAGGGTGGTTGTCCCCAGCTGGGAGCCGCAGGCGATGAGACACCCATTGTCCTGCACCCGGAGGCAGAAGAGGGCCTCGTCACACACCTATTGAAGGGGCCGGGCAGACCCAGGTAGAGGAGAGAGGAGCAAAGTTATGTGTGTCTGATTAACTGGCCCCTGGGGAGGCTCAGCCACTTGGCCCTATTCAAACATCCTCAGGACGCCTCTGCCCACAGGATGAAGTTCAAACTCGGAGACTGGTTGTCAAGGCTCCTGGCTTCCCTGCCTCATCTCCCGCCCCACCCCTTCAGTTCCGCCTCACAGTCACCCTGTGGTTCCCCAATGCCCCCACCCTTCCGTGGCCCCAGCCAGTGGGGCTCAGCTCTGGCCACCCTGACATGAAGGGGAAGGTCCAGCAGCCAAACCCCAGGGGCTCTGAAGGAATCGGCCTGTGGGTAGGAGATGCCGGGTACCTGCTTTTGTTTCTTTTTAAATTTCCCCCAGGTGGTTCTGTTGTGCTACCAGGATGCCAAATCCCCCAGGCCCCTTAACCTTTGTAGGAGCACACGCTCAAAAGCAATCGCTGCAGTCAGCCTGCACACGGCTCCCCCACAGAGGCCCAAACACACCTGGCCACACACTGCACACGTGCTCACAGCACCCCACACTCACACCCACGCCGGGACCTGGCTCCCTGAGGACCTGGATGCACAAGGAGGGACATGCGCGTGACCTTCAAGCTGAGGGTGGGATCGCACTGCTCGAACATGAAGTCCCAGATATCCAGGGTTCCGTCCATCCTGGTGGTAAAGAAAACGGTCGGCCTCACGGGGCTCCAGGCAGCATCAGTGAGGTAAGCCATGTGGTACCTGTGGGAGGTAGACCACATCATGGTTGGAGGGACAGAGGCTTCTGAGCCACAGCTTGGCTCACTTGGTCCCTTCTGGGCTCCAGGATCTCAGAGTCTTGCTAGGTAGGAAGTTCTTCCTTGTGTCTGACTTCTAGCTGTGCTGACCTCACTCATCCACAGCTCACAGGTTGCTTTTTTTTTTTTTTTTTTTGAGACACTCTTGCTCTGTTGCCCAGGCTGGAGTGCAGTGGTACGATGTCGGCTCACTGCAATCTCTGCCTCCTGGGTTCAAGCAATTCTCCTGTCTCAGCCTCCCGAGTAACTGGGATTACTGGCGCCCGTCACCACACCCAGCTAATATTTTATTTTTGCTAGAGATGGGGTTTCACCATGTTGGCCAGGCTGCTCTCAAACTCTTGACCTCAGGTGTCTGACAGGCTGTTCTTTAAAGGGCTCTGGGCTGGTCATGTGCCTGTAATCCCAGCACTTTGGGAGGCCAAGGCAGGAAGATCGCTTGAAGCCAGGATTTTGAGACCAGCCTGGACAACATGGAAAGACCCTGTTTCTACAAAAAATAAAAAAATTAGCCGGGTGTGGTGGTGAGCACCTGTGGTCCCAGCTCCTCGGGAGGCTGAGATGGGAGGATCGCTTGAGCCCAGGAGGTCGAGGCTGCAGTGAGCCATGTTTGTGCCACTGTACTCCAGCCTGGGCAACGTAGTGAGACCCTGTCTCAAATAAAATAAAGAAAGGGCTCTGGGCACAGTCCTTCCCGTGGGCTGGCCACTGGCATTTCTCTGCTGCTAACTCCAGGCAGCAGGCACGTGTTGCTGGACCTGGTCCCAGCCCTGGGACTCACGGATGGGAGTCAGAGGAAGGACATGCCCAGAAAAGCTGCTACCGCTGAGATAAGGAGAGTGTCACTTCCTACTTGGTTTCATCTGGGTTTTCAAGAGTTTCTTCAGTGAAGACGGAACATTTTTTTAAAAGGGACACACACACAGTGCAGCCTTCAGATTTTCACCCAGACCTCCTCTCCCTTCCTCCATTGCAATATAGTTGTAGCTGGGCCCCTGGTGAGCAAGGCAGACTACACTTCCCAGTCACCTTTGCAAACCTAGTGTGTTGACAGCCAGACCACAGTGGGAGAAATGATCAAGACTAAAGAAAGGATCTGGGCCGGGCGCGGTGGCTCATGCCTGTCATCCCAGGACTTTGGGAGGCCGAGAATGGTGGATCACCTGAGGTCAGGAGTTTGAGATCAGCCTGGCCAACATGGCAGAACCCTGCCTCTACTAAAAATAAAAAAATTATCCAGGGGTGTTGGTGGGCGCCTGTAATCCCAGCTACTCAGGAGGCTGAGGCAGAAGAATTGCTTGAACCCAGGAGGTGAAGGTTGTAGTGAGCCAAGATCGTGCCACTGCACTCCAGCCTGGGCAACAAAGAGACTTCATCCCCCCAAAAAAAGAAACATCTGGAGATTTTTGGACAATGAATAATTTTTAGTATAAGTATATACCAAATATTGCATGGGACATACTTATACTAAAAAAAAAATAGTTTTTTTTTTTAAAATTCAGATTTAACTAAGTGCCAAATATTATTTTTTTTTGAGACGGAGTCTCACTCTGTCGCCCAGGCTGGAGTGCAGTGGCGCAATCTCGGCTGGTCTTGAACTCCTGATCTCAGGTGATCCACCCGCCTCGGCCTCCCAAAGTGCTGGGATTACAGGCGTTAGCCACCAAGCCCAGCTGATTTTTTGTATTTTTATTAGAGATGGGGATTCACCATATTGGCCAGGCTCGTCTTGAACTCCTGACCTCAAGTGATCCTCCCGCCTCAGCCTCCCAAAGTGCTGGGATTACAGGCATTAGCCCACTGCACCTGGCCCAGGGTCAAATATTCTTATTTGCTAAATTTGTTTAACCTTATGCAGGAGGAGGACAAGGGAGACCCAGGTTCTACGACACAGGTCCACCAAGTCCCTCTAGGAACCAGCCCTGCGAAAGGCCTATGGGTGCTGTGCTCGACACCCTGCTCCTTTCACACAGCCCTGGCAGCCTGCAGGACCTGAAGACATTGGGAAGGCTCCTAAAGCCTGTAAAGGGCTTCACATCTACTGGGAACCCCCTACTTGCTATGAGGCCTGGAACAATGCACTGCCCTTGTCAGCCAGCGTTCCCACCCCTGTAGAATGAGGACATCGAACCAGGTTTCTGCTCCCAAAGCAAGGACTGGCTGAGTCACAAGCCTGGGGTTGCTCCTTAGCAAACCCATTCCTGGGCTAAGCCCAAGATTCTATGTTAGTACCCCCAGGGTTGGGGCTGAGAATCTGGATTTTAAAAAAATCACTCCTCCACCAGGCACGGTGGCTCATGCCTGTAATCCCAGCCCTTCGGGAGGCTGAGGCAGGCGAATCACCTGAGGTCAGGAGTTTGAGACCAGCCTGGCCAACATGGGGAAACTCTGTCTATACTAAAAATACAAAAATTAGCTGGGTGTGCTGGCGTGCGCCTGTAATCCCAGCTACTCAGGAGGATAAGGCAGGAGAATCGCATGAACTCGGGAGGTGGAGGTTGCAGTGAGCCGAGATCTCGCCATTGCACTTCAGCCTGGGTGACAGAGTAAGACTCCATCTCAAAAGCATTTTAACAAACAAACAAAAACTCCTCCCAAGATATTCTGATGCAACCAGATTTGGGAAGCACTGGAACCAAAGATGCTCATTAGGGTTGCTGGTGGCTTTGACGTTGCAGGAGTCTGTGGTTCTGTGGGCAGGAAAGGAACCCCAGGATGTTTTTTTTAGCAAGAGAAAAAAGTAATTATTTATACATGCAATGCACAATACACATGGCAGTGCTCGGTGGTGAATGACTCAAGGGGGTGGTTAGAATTCGGGCTTATTACCTAATTTAGGAGATGAAGGGGAGGAGGAGAAAGGGCACTTTTAGACAAGGTAAATGGGCCCTAAGAAGAATGGAGGGGGATGTGATAGTCTAAGCTTCTCTGGTCTAACCATTGTGCTCATAGCTCTGTCTCAAGCTCCCTGTCTGTTGCTCTCCTCAGAGGAGTGGCACTGAGCAAGACAGGCTATGCCTCACTGCTGAATTGTGCCAAGGCACCCGCATTTCCCAGCCAAGCTTCCTTGGTTCACACCCAATCTCGGCTCCTCACTAGCTGGGAGAGCAGGAGCAAGTGGCTTGGCCTTTCTGTAGCCCAGTTCCCTAACATGAAAAATGAGATGAAGAGAAGAGCAATGCTGCCTCCTCCTGGGGATAGTTTGAGGATTATGAAAATTAAGCCAGCCAGACGCGGTGGCTCACACCTGTAATCCCAACGCTTTGGGAGGCCGAGGTGGGCAGATCACCTGAGGTCAGGAGTTCAAGACCAGCCTGGCCAACGTGGCAAAATCCCATCTCTACTAAAAATACAAAAATTAGTTGGGCATGGTGGCAGGTGCTTGTAGTCCCAGCTACTCAGGAGGCTGAGGCAGGAGAGTCTCTTGAACCTGGGAGGTGGAGGCTGCAGTGAGCCGAGATCACGCCACTGCACTCAGTCTGGGGAACTAAGCGAGACTGTCTCAAAAAAAAAAAAAAAAAAAAAAGGAAATAAAATTAAGCCATGGCCATTATTTTTAGTAACTGAGTGTTTGAAGCTTATCACTTTGTGGAGTGGCTGGAGCAAGTCACTTGCTAACACGAGCTCGGGTGTTTGTGGAAAGGTTTTTCTCCATTTTACATATGGAGGCTCGGGACTCTCCGGGGCCCAGCTGGGCTCCCTCCATCCCCTCCTGTCTCCTGCATCCCCTCCTGTCCCCAGCATCGCCTCTTACTTGGTCCACATGATGGACGATTCCCGGCTGTCTTCAGACCAAATGCGGGCTGTCCAGTCGCCAACCGTCAGGAAGTTCTTCGGGTAGAAGGGGTTTCTCTGGAGGGCGTAGATGGGGCCATGATGGCCCGGGAAGGTGCACACAATCTTTTCAGCTGACGTCTTGGCCTTGCGGTTGCAGGAGATGACGATGCCCTGCTCGGTCCCCACCATGAACTTGGTGGGCTGTGGAAGGAGTGACACAGGAGGGGAAGACTCCACGAACCATCAATTCTGGGATTAGCGGGCATGGACAGGAGCTTGCTTGGGGGGTCTGCAGGCGCTAGAAAGGCCCTCAGATCAAGCCTTGGCAAGGGCTGTGGCCCCTCCTGGAGAGCAGTCCCCACTCTTCCCGGGCTCCTCAGACCCCATCTTTTTGGAAGCTGCTCAAGGAGCCTGTGCTGAATGAAGCCCTCCCTGGCTCCTCCAGTCCTGGAGGGTTGTCAGGTCACTAGCCCCCTCTGCAGAGCACCACTGTGTCCTCGATGCATTTGGCCATAAAGATCCTGAATGTTTGTTTACAGAGAGAGTAAAGAAGACCCAGGGAGGGGATGCAGGGTGGCCCACCCAGATCACTCATGGGATGGGCAGAGCCTTCCCTGGCAAGACAGTGACATTTGTCATAGCATTGTCCAGGCTGGTGTCCCTGAGAACTCAGAGCAGGTGACCAACCAGCACTCAGGAAGTTACCTGGCAGTCGGTGATGTAACTCGTCCCCCTACCACTGGTGGGTGAGCTCTTTGAGGGGCACGAGCTTGTCTGACATGGGTCCATCGCCCACGAACTGAGCTTTAGTAGTTATTCACTTCACTGCGGACTGAATGCACAAAGGCTGGTCTCCTGACTCCTGGTCCAGTGCTCCCCTCGCGTCTCTGAGCATGACCCCCTCCATCACGCAATGCCCTTCCTTGTTTACTGTTCTGTCTTAACTTCTGGGCTAGACTGAACAACCTCCACCAGCAGGGCCTGAGCCTACAATGGTGCTGTGTCCTCAGCATTCCAAATGGAAAGAACAGCTGAGTGAGGTAGGGGAGGGGCACACTGAGGGGAGGGCCTTTGTCAACGGGCTCAGATGTCCTCTGCAGCTGGTGAACCTGCCCCTATAGAACTCCCAGGTTTTAGGCAGAGGTTGCAGTGAGCCGAGATCATGCCACTGCACTCCAGCCTGGCCTACAGAGCAAGGCCCTACCTCAAAAAAAAAAAAAAAAAAAAAAAAAAGAAAAAAGAAAAAGAAAAAAGAAAAGAAAAGAAAAAAGAACTCCTAGTTTATTTATTTATTTCTCGAGACAGGTTCTGGCTCCATTGCCCAGGCTGGAGTGCAGCAGTGCGATCTCAGCTCACTGCATCCTTGACCTTCTGGGCTCAAGCAGTACTCCCACCTCAGCCTCCCACGTAGGGACCACAAGCACACACCACCAGGGTCAGCTAATTTTTGTATTTTTGTAGAGATGGAGTCTCCCTATGTTGTCCAGACTGGTCTCAAACTCCTAAGCTCAAGTGATCTGCACACATCGGCTTCCCAAAGTGCTGGGATTACAGACCTGAGCCACTGCACCTGGCCCCCCAGCTTTTTTATTTTTATTTTTTTAAAAAACATATTGTTTTATTATGCAGTTTTCTTCTACCAGAAAATTACTAAAATGATAAATATAAAATCTCTAGAAAATACCCAGAACATGGCCAGGTGTGGTGGTTGAGGCACGAGAATCACTTGAACCTGGGAGGCAGAGGTTGCAGCGAGCCAAGATCATGTCACTGCACTCCAGCCTGGGCAAGAGTGAGACTCTGTCTCAAAAAAAAAAAAAAAATCAGCCTGGCTTGGTGGCATGTGCCTGTGGTCCCAGCTGCTCAAGAGGCTGAGGCTTGAGCCCAGGAGGTGGATGTTGCAGTAAGCTGAGATTACACAACTGCACTCCAGCATGGGCAACAGAGCAAAACGATGTCTCAACAAAACAAAACAAAAACCTGGGCTTCAAGTTGGGCGTCAAGGGCAAGTGGAAAGACCAAGCTTGAGAGGTCCAGAGAAGAAAGTATTCAAGCCGACTGCACGCCGCCCGTCAGTGAGCCAGAGAGAAAGGCCACCCAGATCTGAGTGGCCCATCGTGCCTCTAGCCTCAGACTTCATGGTGGGCTGCAGGTGGACACTCTGGGCCTCAGAGTTGGAGCCCTGGGTTTGAGTCCCAGCTTTACCAGGTACTAGGACTCACAACCTAATCTCATGAAGACTCATCGTGTGTGTCTGGCAAGTACGGATAATAACATTACCCCACGAGATGGTTGTAGGCGACTGCACAAGCTTATTAAATCAGGCAGCCACAAGTGTCCAACACACAGTGTGCACCCTGCAAGGGCCAGGCATGGAGGAGATGGCCCTAGTAGTGATGTGGCTGCATGTCTAGCACTTGGCCTAGAAAGCCTTGCCTCTGGGACAGAATGTTTTCCTGAGCCCTCGCCACCCCAACCTCCCTGCCCAGTGCCTTGTCCTCTGGGGAGGGGGTCAGTGGAATTGTCTCCTCCTTCCATCAACATTCATCTCTCAGCCTTGAGCTAGGGTTGCCCAGGTATGTTCGAGGCCAGGGCCTCCCAAAGCCCTAGGAATGATGGCCCATGACCCCGAAGCAAACAAGTGACACCCCCAAGGGGGAACCAGGCCTGGGCTGCACTAAGACGTAAACCAAGACTCAGCCCAAACCAAAAGCCAACAACAAGGGAAAGTTGTCTTCTTACTCTAGCGAGGAAGTCTTCCTTTACTGCTTCTAGGAAGCTTCCCTCCTCTAACACATTTGCACTATGCTCAAACTGATATTTCCTGTTTTTCTTTTCTTTGTTTTTTTTTTGAGATGGAGTTTCGCTCTTGTCGTCCAGGCTGGAGTGCAATGATGCGATCTTGGCTCACCGCAACCCCCGCCTCCCAGGTTCAAGCAATTCTCCTGCCTCAGCCTCCCGAGTAGCTGGGATTACAGGCGTGCGCCTCCACGCCCAGCTAATTTTGTATTTTTAGTAGAGATGGGGTTTCTCCATATTGGTCAGGCTGGCCTCGAACTCCCAACCTCAGGTGATCCGCCCGCCTTGGCCTCCCAAAGTGCTGGGATTACAGGTGTGAGCCACCGTGCCTGGCCCTTTTTTTCTTTTCTTATGTAGGGACAGTGTCTTGCTATGTTGTCCAGGCTGGTCTTGAACTGCTGGGCTCAAGTGATCCTGCCACCTCAGCCTCCCAAAGTGCTGGGATTACAGGTGTGAGCCACGGCGCCTTGCCTCACATTGATATTTTTCTTCTTTTTCTTTCCTTCCTTCCTTCCTTCCTTCCTTCCTTCCTTCCTTCCTTCCTTCCTTCTTTCCTTCCTTCCTTCCTTCCTTCCTTCCTTCCTTCCTTCCTTCTTTCCTTCCTTCTTTCCTTCCTTCCTTCCTTCCTTCCTTCCTTCCTTCCTTCCTTCCTTCTTTCCTTCCTTCCTTCCTTCCTTCCTTCCTTCCTTCCTTCCTTCCTTCCTTCCTTCTTTCCTTCCTTCCTTCCTTCCTTCCTTCCTTCCTTCCTTCCTTCCTTCTTTCCTTCCTTCTTTCCTTTTCTTTCCCTCTCTCTCCCTCTCTTTCTTTCTTTCTTTCTTGGTAAAGACTGGGCGGGCGGTGGGGGGGGTCTCATTATGTACCCAGGCTGGTCTTAAATTCTTGGCCTCCCAAAGTGCTGGGATTACAGGCGTGAGCCACCCTGCCCGACCTGAACTTTGATATTTCTTTGTCATTCTCAGTGACTGAACACCGAGACCATGCTTGTGCTCTGGTTTTCCAAGGAGCCTGCTTTGACCTCATTTTCCTCTCCAGTACCTCTTCCTTCCCCAGAGGAAGGCAGGTGACCAGCCTAGGGACCCCGTGCCAGGCAGGGCCAGGACCTGGGTTGGAGTCCAGGCCTCCCGATGTTGGTCCTGGGCGTGACCTTCCCCACAAAACAGGGCTTTTCTGGAATTGTTCTGTCAAAAGATTGCCCTCTGTGTTCAGCTGGGCCACTGGCCAAAAGATGACTTGGTGCCATGATGACTATGGTGTCCTTCTTCGAGAAGCTCTGCTGCCCCCTGCTGGAAAGTTGTTGTAAAGGCCACACACGTCTAGGATGGCTGCAGTGAGGGTGGCCTCCCTGGGCTGGTGCTGGGTTCCACGAGCACCTGATATCCTAGCAATGGCCTGTCTTTAGCCCTGGCTGCCCTGTCAATGCAAGTCGGGGAAGGGACAGCAAGGGACACTCACCAAAGTAGATTCGAACTCCAGGGAGATGGCCCCCAAGGCATTTTCCAACTGTTCCTTCTTGGTGATGTCCAAGATCACAACTTCAGTGGGCTCGCTCATCTTTCGGATGTCCCACCACATGACCTGGTGGGAGGAGGGGCGACAGTGAGACTTCGAGGCCCTGTATTTCCCCTGGCTTTTGCCTTCTCCGCCCTCACCCCACCGTCCTGGGGTCAGCCACTGGGCCACAAAGGATGGAGCTCCCGGCAATTCGTGGGAGCAAATACACTTTGAGGATTGCTGTTCTGTCCACAGTTCCCACACCTGGCTGATCATCAGAGTCGCCGGCAAGCTTCATACAACCCAGATGCTGAGGCCTCGCCCTCGACCTACTGAATCAAAACCTCCAGGTGCAAGGCCAAGAATCGGTATATGCCAAGACTCCCCACAATAAGGCAATATCCGGCAATGTTAAAAATGCATGTGTGCTCCGACCTAGAAGTCCCACTGCCAGCAATGTCTGCTGTAGATATATCCCCGCATGTGTGCAACAATCTGTGTATAAAGATGCTCTTTGCTGTATTTTTTGGGGGGTAGCAACAAAATATTAGAATCCATATATAAATTATGGTACACCCACATGATGCAGTTATTAATAGGCATGGGGCAGCGGTGTATGAAATATGAAACTATCTCCAAGGTACACACAATGGAAAACATCGAGTACAGAATAGTGTGTGAAGTGTGCAAAAAGAAAGAGTAAAGAAGAGAGAGGTGTGTTTCCTTGCATACGCAGAGACTAGCTCTGAAGGCAGACATAAGAGAGGGAGGGAGGGGAGGAGGTGCAGGCAGAGGTGAGAGGAAGGCATTTTCTTTTTTGCACCCTTTAGATTCTGTTCCGTGGGCATGTATTATCACTACTCAACTTAAAAATAAAGTGTTAGGCTGGGCGCAGTGGCTCATGCCTGTAATCCCACCACTTTGGGAGGCCAAGGCGGGTGGATCACCTGAGGTCAGAGTTCGAGACCAGCCTGGCCAACATAGTGAAGCACCATCTCTACTAAAAATAAAAAATTAACCAGGCATAGTGGCAGGCGCCTGTAATCCCAGCTACTTGGGAGGCTGAGGCAGGAGAATTGCTTGAACCCGGGAGGCAGAGGTTGCAGTGAACCAAGATCGTGCCATTGCACTCCAGCCTGGGCAACAAGAGTGAAACTCCATCTCAAAATAAAATGTGTTAAAGGAAATGTCCCCAGGGGTTCTGATGGGGAACCAGGGAACAGTTACTGCCCCTCCCTTCCCTCCTCTCTCCAGTGTCTGGCTGGTGGGTACCTGCCCATCCGTGGAAGCTGAGAAGCACTCGGTGCCCGTCTTCGACTGCAGCCAGATGGTGCCATACACAGGGTCTCGGTGGCTGGACTCAATGGTGGATAGCTCCGCCACCAGGCTGCCCTTTCGGGTGTCCCAGCAGGCTGGTGAGGAAGGAGATGAAGAAGGAGTGGAAGGGGGCACAGGCTTCCTTCCTTAGGGCAGGGAGCAGGGGAGAGAGGGGGCTGCTGCTTCTGGTTTGGCAGGTATGTGGTTTTCTAGAATCAGGGCTTGGTTCAAATCAGCCTGAGTTTCCTACCAGCCTCTACAGACTCTCTGGAGAGACTCCCAGAGTGCAAGCTTCATTCAGTTCCTTGAGCCCCTCCCAGGCATTGACTCCCTACCCAACACTTGGCCCTGGGCAAGCCTCTGGGGATAGGACAGGCATAGTGGCAGGGGAACACATGAGGGTGGTCAGGGAAGGCCTCCTGGAGGAAGTGACAGGTAGCTGAGATGGAAGATGAGCCTCAGGATGGAGGGAGCCAGGCGAGAGGAGAGCCGAGTCCCTAACGTAGGGAAAAGCACGTGGAAAGACTCCATTTAGGTGAATCTCTCTGCTACATTAGCCCATTTCCTCTTATCCTTTGTACCTCTGCTGCCTCTGTTGGAAAGAAACTCACAGAGGAGCTTTAGCCTTTACTGTGATCTGTTATTAGTGCTTTGCCAAGAAAGATGGAAAGGTTATCTGTCCTTTGTCCTGTTAGATTTCGTTTCCATTTTCCCATGAATGCACAATGAGGGCTCACCCTGTCACTCAGAGCTGTTTCTAGGAAAGGCCGTTTTGTAAAATAACAAAAGTACTTAGCTCGTAAGCTTTGACTTAGTATTTCTCCAAGTTCAAGGCATTTTCCCTGAACTCAGCTGGCCCAGAAATATGTTTTCTTAGATACGCCTGCTCAGCCAAGCACAGTGGCTCATGCTTGTAATCCTAGCGCATTAGGAGGCCGAGGCAAAAGGATTGCTTGAGCCCAGGAATCCAAGAGCAGCTTGGGCAACATAGTGAGACCCCGTCTCTACAAAAAATTTAAAACCTAGCTGGGCATGGTGGCACATGCTACTCGGGAGGCTGTTACTCGGGAGGCTGCCTGCTACTCGGGAGGCTGAGGTGGGAGAATTGCTTGAGCCTGGGAGGTTGAGGCTGCAGTGAGCCATGATCGTGCCACTACACCCCAGCCTGGGTGACAGAGCAAGACCCTGTCTCAAAAAATAAAAATAGGCCAGGCCTGGTGGCTCACACCTGTAATCCCAGCACTTTGGGAGGCTGAGGCAGGTGGATCACTTGTGGTCAGGAGTTCAAGACCAGCCTGGCCAACATGATGAAACCCCATCTTTACTAAAAACACAAAAAAATTAGCTGGGCGTGGTGGCAGGCACCTGTAATCCCAGCTTCTCAGGAGGCTGAGGCATGAGAATCACTCGCACCTGGGAGGCAGATGTTGCAGTGAGCTGAGATCATGCCATTGCACTCCAGCCTGGGCAACAAAGCAAGGCTGTCTCAAAAACAAAACAAAAAATAAAAATAAATAAAAATAAAAGATAAGCCTGTTCTACTTTGGCAAAGCAGTGCTCAAGAGTAGGTCCCACTGGGTCCCACATGGCCCTAGAGGGGCCCTTCTTGGAGCAGCGGAGCACCAGAGTCTGGGCTGGTATGAGCTGGCATGAAAAACCACTGAAAGAGGTTATGAATAATGACTGAGTCAAGGCTCTTGAATTAATCATGGCAAAGTGGCTCTGCCTCAGTCTTTTAGAGCTCTGGCACCCAGATAGTTTGGCAGGGACGTTTATGGGAGCCCGGGTCTATTCCATAATCTGAAAGCTCCCCTGGGCAGGAGGCAGCAGGTCTGAGAGGGAGATCGGGGCCTTAGGAAGCAGCTGACTACAGACAGCTTCAGAGGAGGAGTTTCTCAGCCATCCTGGCTCCCACTCCCGAAGAAGCAGCAAAAGTATAAGAACATACAGAGCAGAGAGGAGTGGGGAATGCTTTTTACGCCCAGGGTCAAGACTGGCCTGGGTGTAGTCATGGGTTGGGTGTCTGGCGACTCCAGGTTCAGGGGAACAGAGCAGGTAGGGACATTCAGAGCCAACCCAGGCAGGTGACTTCTGATCTCACTGGAGATTAAAAAAAAAAAAAAGCAGTTTGGGCTGGGCTTGGTGGCTCACGCCTGTAATCCCAGCACTTTGGGAGGTCAAGGTGGGTGGATCACTTGAGGCCAGGAGTTTGAGAACAGCCTGGCCAACATGACAAAACTCTGTTTCTATTAAAAATACAAAAATTAGCCAGGCGTGGTGGCATGCACCAGCCTCTGGGGAGGCTGAGGCAGGAGGATCGCTTGAACCCAGGAGGCGGAGGTGGCAGTGAGCTGAGATCACACCACTGTACTCCAGCCTGGGTGACAGAGCAAGACCCTGTCTCAAAAAAAAAAAAAAAAAGTCTGGGCACGGTGGCTCATGCCTGTAATCCCAGCACTTTGGGAGGCCGAGGCAGGCAGATCACGAGGTCAAGAGATCAAGACCATCCTGGCTAACACAGTGAAACCCCGTCTCTACTAAAAAAAAAAAATACAAAACATTAGCTGGGCGTGGTGGCGGGCACCTGTAGTCCCAGCTACTCGGGAGGCTGAGGCAGGAGAATGGCATGAACCTGGGAGGCGGAGCTTGCAGTGAGCCAAGATCGTGACATTGCACTCCAGCCTAGGTGACACAGCGAGACTCTGTCTCAAAGAAACAAACAAACAAAAATCAGTTTTCCAGGTGTGCCATCAGCAAAATCCGTGAAGTAAGGACCTCCAAAAATTCTCTCCTCCATAATAGCAGTGAGAAAACTGGCAAAAATGGTCAGAATCAACTTTTTCAGAACTCTGGAAATTAGCCAGAGGCTTAGGGCAGTCGGGAGAATGTTTATTCAAGAAAAACAGCAGAATCTTGGTAAGAACAGTGGCATTTTCACTTGCCCTAGTTAAGATCGCACACTCTGCAGTTCCGTGGTGGCCTTGAAAATTCACATTCTGCACTCCTGATGAAAAACAGCAGCCTGGCGCCACAAGAGGGAGCAGAATGAGGCTGGAGCTCCTTTCAAGTCTCATGCCCAAAGAACTGTCATTATCTGACCGGTCTGGTGGTTCCCTGATAAGGCTCCTCTTGCAAGGTTGGCTGTAATTGACTTGGTTCAGCCTTTGCCTGGTGTGAAAAGTCTTTTCATCAGGGTGTAATTGCAGGCAACTGACTAACTTTGCAGCTTCCTGAGGCAGTGGATAACAGGTGGGGAAAGGAATAGACCTACCGAAAAGCTTAAAAGGAAAAGCTGGGCCGAGTACAGTGGCTCACGCCTGTACTTTGGGAGGCTGAGGCAGGACTGCTTGAGGCCAGGAGTTCACAACCAACCTGGTCAACATAGCAAGACCCTGTCCCTATTTTCTTTCTTTCTCTCTCTCTCTCTCTCTCCCTCCCTCCCTCCTTCCCCCTTCCTCTCTCTCTCCTCTCTCTCTCTCCTCTCTCTCTCTCTCTCTCTCTTTAAAGGCAAGATCTCACTATGCTGCACAGGCTAGTTTCAAACTCCTGAATGCAGGCGATCCTCCCGCCTCAGCTTCTCAAAGTGTTAGGATTACAGACGTGAGCCACTGTGCTCAACTTCTATTACATTTAAACAACAAAAGTAAATAAGTAAAAGGAAAAGCTGAAGCATGATGTGTCCACAGGGCTTTGAAAAGATCTGACATATTCCTGGGAGTCTAGAAGGTCACAAGCATGGATAGAGCTGTGTGCACGCCCAGAGCTGTGTCATGCTCAGGAAAACCGATAAAGCCCTAAACTCTCTGGCTGACCTCATCTCTGCACAGACACTAAGGCAGAGTTGACAACTGCCTGGCTGAGTGTAAAGGCATGCTCACACACGCACACAGAGCCCCTTAGCAGAGAAGGGGAGATTTTTTGGTGACAAATGCTTAAGGAAATCTTTGTTCAATCATTAACTAATCACTAAGCTAAGCAGAGACTATAAGTGGTCACACGTGACAGGGAATACAGACTTTCCAGAACTAGCTAAGAAAATGTATTAATGAAACAAAGAACAACTACAACAAACAGCAACAACACAAACTCTGGGAGGTATGTCAATCTGATTTGCAAAGTTGCCACATTAAATCATACAAAAAGTATAGTTTTTAATAAAAAAAAAATTATAAGACATGCCAAGAAATACAAATGTATGGCCCAAACACAGGAATAAAAAAGCAATAAATAGAGATTGTCCCCAAGAAGCCCAGATATTGGACTAACTAGACAAAGGCCTCACATCAGCTATGCTAAACATGTTCAAAGAACTAAAGGAAGTCACATCAAAAGAACTAAAGAAAAGCATGAGATGATCTCTCACCAAATAAAAGATACAAATAGACAAAAATCATTATCATTATTATTTTTGAAGACAGAGTTTCGCTTTGTTGCCCAGCCTGGAGTGCAGTGGCACAATCTCAACTTACTGCAACCTCTGCCTCCTGGGTTCAAGCAATTCTCTTGCCTCAGCCTCCCAAGTAGCTGAGATTGCAGGTGCACTCCACCTCACCTGGCTGATTTTTTTTTTTTTTTTTTTAAGTAGAGATGGGGTTTGACCATGTTGCCCATGCTGGTCTTGAACTCCTGAGTTCAGGTAATCCACCCACCTCAGCCTCCCAAAGTGCTAGGTTTCCAGGCACGAGCCACCACATCCAAATGAGACAGAAATTATTTTTAAAAGAAAGAACAAAATAGAAATTCTGGAGTCATTAACCAAAATAAAAATATAGCAGAGAAGCTACAGGATGGCATATTTGAGCAGGCAGAAGAATCACTGAACGTGAAGATGGGTCAATTGAGATTATGTAGTCTGAGGAATAGAAAGAAAAGAGAACAAAGAAAAACAGAGTCTAAAGACCTATGGGACACCATCAAGCATGCCAACATACACATAATGGAAGTCACAGAAGGAGAGGAGAGAGAGAAAGGGTAGGAAAGAATATTTGAATAAATAATGGTTGTAAATATTCCATATTTGATTTTTAAAAAAATAATCTACACATCCAAGAAACTCAATGAATTCCAAGTGGGATAAACTCAAAGATATCCATACCTAGAAACATCATAATCAAAGCTGAAGACAGAGACTCTTGAAAGCAGCAAGAGAAAAATGACTCATCACATACACAGGATCATCAATAAGATCAATAGCTTAAGTTGAGTGTGGTGGCTCACGCCTGAAATCCCAGCACTTTGGGAGGCCAAGGTGGGAGAATTGCCTGAGGCCAGGAGTTCAAGACCAGCCTGGGCAACATAGCAAGACCCTATCTCTACAAAAATTAAAAAATAAAAAAGTAGCTGAGTGTGGTGACGTGCACCTGTTGTCCCAACCACTCAGGAGGCTGAGGTGGGAGGATTGCTTGAGCCCAGGAGTTTGAGGCTGCAGTGAGCTATGATCACAGCACTGCGCTCCAGCTTGGGTGACAGAGTGAGACCTTGTCTCTAAAAAAAAAAGAAAAGAAAAAAAAAAAAGAAATGATAAGGGAATTAAAATGGTACACTAGAAAATACGTGGCACAAAAGAAGGCAGTTATGGAGAAAGAACAAAAAGATGTAAGACATATAGGAAAAAAAAGCAAAATGGCAGATGTAAACTTTATCAGTAATTAAATTAATGTAAATAGATTAAACTCTCCACTTAAAACCAGAGATAGATAGAATAGATTAAAAGGAAAAAACCACGATCCAAGCTGGGCGTGGTGGCTCATGCCTGTAATCCCAGCACTTTGGGAGGCCGAGGTGGGCATATCGCTTGAGGCCAGGAGTTCGAGATCAGCCTGGCCAACATGGTAAAACCTCATCTCTCCAAAACTACAAAAATTAGCTGGGCGTGGTGGCATGCACCTGTAATCCCAGCTACTCGGGAGGCTGAGGCAGGAGAATCGCTTGAACCCAGGAGGCGGAGGTTGCAGTGAGCCGAGATCACGCCACTGCACTCCAGCCTGGGTGACAGAGTAAGACTCTGTCTCAAAAACAAAACAAAACAAAACTATGATTCACTTGTATGCCAGCTACATGTAATCTACAAGAGACATACTTTATTTTTTTATTTTATTTTTATTTTTTTGAGATGGAGTCTCGCTCTGTCACCCAGGCTGGAGTTCAGTGGCATGATCTCGACTCACTGCAATCTCAGCTTCCCAGGTTCAAGCGATTCTCGTGCCTTAGCCTCCCAAGTAGCTGGGATTACAGGTGCGTGTCACCACACCTGGCTACAAGACATACTTTAGATTCAAAGAGGCAAACAGGTTAAAAGTAAAAGGATGGGGAAAGATATACCATGCAAATGGTAACCAAAGAGGGCTGGAGTGCTTATCTCAAAGACAGACTTTGAGATGAAAAATGCTACTAGAGACAAATGAAGACATCATATACTGATAAAAGGGTTAATTCACTAGGAAAACTTAACAATTATAAGCATGTGCATGTACCTAATAACATAGCCTTAACATACAGGAAGCAAAACCTGACAAAATTGAAGGAGAAATAGACAATTCAACAATAATAATGGCAGACATCAGTATCCTACTTTCAATAATAGACATAATTACTACGTGAAAGATCAACAAGGAAATAGAAGTCTTGACCAACACTATAGACAAGACCTCCCAGACAACTATAGAAAACTCCACTGGACAGGCCAGGTGCGGTGGCTCACGCCTGTTATCCCAGCACTTTGGGAGGCCGAGGCGGGCGGATCACGAGGTCAGGAGATCGAGACCATCCTGGCTAACACGGTGAAACCCCGTCTCTACTAAAAAAAAATACAAAAAATTAGCCCAGCGTGGTGGCAGGCACCTGTAGTCCCAGCTACTCGGAAGGCTGAGGCAGGAGAATGGCGTGAACCCAGGAGGCAGAGCTTGCAGTGGGCCAAGATCGCGCCACTGCACTCCAGCCTGGGCGAAAGAGCAAGACTCCGTCCCAAAAAAAAAAAAAGGAAAACTACACCGGACAATAAGCAGAATATAGTCTTCTCAAGTGCTCATGGAACATTCTCCAGGATAGACAATATGCTAGGCCATAAAACAAGTCTCAATAAATTTTAAAAGACTGAAATCAGGCCAGGTGTGGTGGTTCATCCCAGCACTTTGGGAGGCCAGCCAAGGCAGGCGGATCCCTTGAGCCCAGGAGTTTAAGACCAGCCTGGGCAGCATGATGAAACCTTGTGACTAAAAAAACTACAAAAATTAGCCGAGTGTGGTGGCACATGCCTGTAGGCTCAGCTACTCGGGAGGCTGGGGTGGAAGAATTGCTCGGGCCCAGGAGGTCGAGGCTGCAATGAGCAGTGATTACACCACTGCACTCCAGCCTGGGCAACAGAGTAAAACTCTGTCTCAAAAAAAAAAAAAAAAAAAGAAAAAGAAAATGATTATAAGGGAATACTGTGAACAATTAAATGTCAACAAACTAGACAACTTGATGAAATGGAAAAGTTCCTAGAAAGACAGAAACTACCAAAAGCAATTAAAGAAGAAACAGAAAATGTGAAGAGGATCTATAACAAATAAACAGACTGAATTGTAACTTTTAAGCTTCCAATAAAGAAAAGCCAGGGACCAGATGGCTTCACTGATGAGTTCTACCAAACATTTCAAGAATTAATAGCGGCCAGGCATGGTGGCTCACGCCAGTAATCCCAGTACTTTGGAAGGCCAAGGAGGGAGGATCACTTGAGGTCAGGAATTTGAGACAAGTCTGGCCAACATAGTGAAACCCTAACTCTACTGAAAAAAGACAAAATTAGCCAGGCGTGGTGGCATGAGCCTGTAGTCCCAGCTACTCAGGAGGCTGAGGCAGGAGAATCACTTGAATCCGAGAGGTGGAGGCTGCAGTGAGCTGAGACTGCACCACTGCACTCCGGCCTGGGCGACAGAGCGAGACTCCATCTCAAAAAAAAAAAAAATTAATATCAATTCTTCACAAACTTCCAGAAGGGAATACTTCCCAACTCATTCTATAAGGCCAGTATTACCCATATCCGTTAGCATGTAGGTTTCCCAGAAACCTCTCCCAAAATAGGGCTCCCCAACGCTCTCATCATCCCTTTATGGCGGCCCCTAGTCAAATATTCTCTGATTTTACTTGAACTATAGTTTTTTAAAACTGTTTATTTTGAGCTAATTTTAGACTTACAGTAGTAACAGGAGACACTGCTGAGGTGTCAGCCAAACCTGCCTCACCCGTGTCTGCAGTTGGTCAGCTATGGGAGGCCCTCACCCCACTTAGTCTTCTGTGGCCGAGCCCAGGCTGCCATGTGGGCTCTGCCCTATAGCAGCAGGATTGGCTCTGACTATGAATCTGGGTCCCGGCCAGGTGTGGTGGCCCACACCTGTAATCCCAGCACTTTGGGAGGCCCAGGTGGGTGAATCACCTGAGGTCAGGAGTGCGAGACCAGCCTGGCCAACATGGTGAAACCCTGTCTCTACTAAAAATAACAAAAAAATTAGCCAGGTGTGGTGGTGGGTGCCTGTAATCTCAGCGACTCGGGAGGCTGAGGCAGGAGAATCACTTGAACCCAGGAGGCGGAGGTTGCAGTGAGCCAAAATTGCACCACTACACTCCAGCCTGGGAAACAAGAGCAAAATTCCATCTAAAAAAAATAAAAATAAAAATAAAAAAGCCTAGGTCCCTCCTTACCTATCTGTCCATTGTAGCAGCCACCCAGGAGTACGTGGGAATCTTTGGGGTTGAACTCCAACGTCACGAGTGGAGACGATGGCTTCAGAGCAAGTTCAGGCTTGTTGGGGTTTTCTATAAAGCACAAAAAAATTATCCCCACCAGGCCCGGAAAGAAAAGGACAGGATCAACCAGTTTCACCCCTTCTGCGGGTGGGTAGCGGGGGCATGGTGGCAGAGGGGGAAGCCTGGAAGCCCCTCCAGTCTTTCCCCAGCCTGCACCCCCTGGTCCACCTTGGCCAGAATCTGGCATTCTTGACCCTAGGGGCTTTGCTGATGGTTTTTATTTTTGGTGAACAGGATTGGGGTGTGCGTATGTGTGTGATAATTATATTTCTAGTCCAGTTCCTAGGTTTGGTGTGAAACGAGGTTTTGATACTAAAGTTTTTACACAAAGTCAACTCTCTGCCGGTTTCTTCCAACCAGGTCTGTGGACTGCAGATAATGACGGAGTCCACCCCATAGGGCTGCTGCCAGAACTCGCTGAGCTGTTGGAATGTCGGGCGTTAGCTCTCTGCCTGGCACCTACATGTTTATTTTAATAATGCTGACAACGAAGGGAAGCTGGAGAGCGTGAAGCCACCACCACCCTGTCCCTGCCTGTGTCTTGCCAGCCCTTCTGTAGACAATGGTTTGTGCTAATAAATGGACACGCTGCCCCTGCAGGCCATGAATTAAAGGCAAGTGTCAGGACAGATGGGACAAAGGCACAAGTTCCATTCCGCCGCCCCTTGAGTCCCTTCTCAGTCTGCTGGGCACTCTGTCTTGTTGTTGCTGTTGAGATAGAGTCTCACTCTGTTGCCCAGGATGGAGTGCAGTGGCATGATCTCGGCTCACTGCAACCTCTGACTCCTGGGTTCAAGCGATTCTCCTGCTTCAGTCTCCCAAGTAGCTGGGATTACAGGCACCCACCATCAAGCACAACTAATTTTTGTATTTTTAGTAGAGACAGGGTTTTATCATGTTAGCCAGGCTGGTCTTGAACTCCTGACTTCAGGTGATCCACCTGCCTTGGCCTCCCAAAGTGCTGGGATTACAGGCATGGGCCACCGAGCCCGGCCTGATATGCTCCTTAGGAGCTAAGAATTGAGATCCCATGGGGTCAGGTCTTCATGCCTCGAACTAAGAATCTGGAATTGGTGGGGGTTTCCTGCTTCTGATTTGACTCTGCTTGGCTCTGCCTGAAACCAGACAAGAGAGGAAGGAGAAGAGTGTGTTCCTCCTCGACTGCGGGCCCTTCCCTTGAGGCACCAACCGCGTGAGTGTCCTTGACCTCCTGCCCCTCCCTCCCGCTCCTCCACTTGTGCTGGTCCCAGCCCTCAGCCCTCCCAGGCCACCAGGACCCCGCTGCTTCTCACCCAGGTCCCAGATGTATGAATCGCTGCTCATGCCCACAGGTGCCCGCTGAAAATCCAAGCAGGAGTATGCCACTGCCAACTTCCTGTTGCCATCGGGGTGCCAGGAGAGGTGTGTGGCAGCCCTCTTGATTTCCTGGGGGTCCCTGCAGGGGAGAGGGAAGAGAGCAGAAGGCTGGATGTGAGGTTCCCCAATTTCTCCCCCTTTTTTTTTTTTTTGTCAGATGGAGTCTTGCTCTGTCCCCCAGGCAGTGGCATAATCTCGGCTCACTGCAACCTCTGCCTCCTGGGTTCAAACAATTCTCCTGCCTCAGCCTCCCGAGTAGCTACGATTACAGGCGCACACCACCACGCCTGGCTAATTTTTGTATTTTTAGTAGAGACAGGTTTTTACCATGTTTCCTAGGCTGGTCTCAAACTCGTGACCTCAGATGATATGCCCACCTGGGCCTCCCAAAGTGCTAAGATTATAGGCGTGAGCCACAGTGCCCGGCCCCTCGGATGATTTCTAATGCATCATCCTGCTCTGGTGGTCCATATACGAGGTTAGAGCCCAGCAGGGCTGGAGGGCAACAGGAAGGGCAGCCTCTGCCCCGCCATGCCCTCTCCTGCACACCCCTTGCTGACAGCCACTGGCCCTGCTTGCACACCATGAGTCAGCCCTGCCTCAGAAAAGAGTTCTTTCTTGCTGTGCTGGGACTGGGCTAGGTACTTCCCAGGCCCCTAAGTCAGTCGTGGTAGTGAAATGAATTCCCCAGAGCTGGGATCTGAGGCAAGTCATTTCCCAAACACCTTTCACACCCCTAGTCCTGCATCACCCAGACCCAAGGTCTGTCCTCTGCCCCAGGTCCACAGGCTTCCCCTCCGCATTTCCCCAGCTGCTCTATTCCAGCCTCCTGCTCATCTCCACTCATCTGATTGGACGGCCTTGCTTTTTTCTTCATGGTCAAAACCGAGGCCACAGAGCATGGTCTTTCTCACTTCCACCCACTTTCTGCAACTCCTTCCACCAGACTTCAAGGCCGAGGAGTCCTTCTTCCCCAGGCTTCTCCCCATCCCTGTTCCCAAGCTCTCCTTCCTATCAGCTTCTTTTGTACACCCTACAAAGGTGCTCTGGGATGGGGTATTCTGTTCCTGGGGCTGCTGCAACGAGGTCCCACAAACTGCGTGGCTTCAAACAACAGAAATTGATTCTATCACAGTTCCGGATGCCAGAAGTCCAAAATCACAGATGTTCTCCTCACATCAGGCATGTAAACATACATCTACACATATATACACACATACACATATGCATATATTTATACACATATACAGATGCTCCTTATCTAATGATGTTGGCTACATCTGATAAACCCATAGTAAGTTGGAAATATCAGGAGCTGAAAATGCATTGAATACACCTAACCTACCCAGCATCACATCTTAGTCCAGCCTATGTGCTCAGAACACTTATATTAGCCTATAGTTGGGCAAAATCACCTAGCACAAAGCTTATTTTATAATAAAGAGGTGAACAGCTCATGTAATTTTCTGAATACTGTACTGAGGGTGGAAAACAGAATGGTTGTATGGGTACTTGAAGTACGGTTTCTCCTGGATTTGCATTGCTTTTGCAGCCTTGCAAAGACAAAAAATGGTTTAAGTTGGGGACTGCCACAAAAAGTGGCACTCTGCACACCCTGTTCTGCACCGGCTTTGTTTTGGTTTGGTTTTCACATACTGAATCCTGGAAATGACTCCATATCAGCACATAAGAAGTTGCACTGCTTTTTTTTTTTTTTTGAGACAGAGTCTTGCTGTATTGCCCAGGCTGCAGTGCAGTGGTGCGATCTCGGCTCACTGCAACCTCCGCCTCCCAGGTTCAAGTGATTCTCCTGCCTCAGCATCCCGAGTAGCTGGGATTACAGGCATGTGCCACCACACCCAGTTAATTTTTGTATTTTTAGTAGAGACGGGGTTTTGCCATGTTGGCCAGGCTAGTCTTGAACTCCTGACCTCAGGTGATGCACCCGCCTTGGCCTCCCAAAGTGCTGGGATTACAGGCGTGAGCCACCATGCCCAGACTGCCCCGCTCGCTTTACCAGGTGCATGGCATTCCGTCGTGTGGGTGTGCCAGAACTGCTAGAACCAGTCCCCTATGGATGGACTTAGCTTGTTCTAGTCTTTGGCTGGCATACACCCTCTGCAGTGAATATCCACGCCTGCGGTGATTTCACACACACACACACACACAACCTGTGGGATGAATCCCTGGTGTCAAACTTCTATCCTCTGGAGTTATTCATGGATATACTCGCATGAGTGCAGGCCGCGGCGGGGGCCTGTGTGCCCACAGTGCTGCTAGCTGCTCATGCTTGGTACTTGTACTTACTCTGCCCTGCAGGAACATGCCCCACCTGTACGCAGCTGGGCAATTTCACTTTCTCTGGAGTCTGTACTCCCTTTCCATCAACCAGACCCGCCCCCAGAGCAGGGCCACTTCTCTGCTGGGTGACTTATCACCACGTCACTTATCAAGCTCAGAGCACAGACAGTGCTGCACCCAGGGCATGCAGCGATGGCAAGGAGTTGCCTTTGGAGGCGCCCATGCATGGGGGTGACGGAGGGTGGCCAGACACCTGCCTGGCTATGGCGCTACCTGAACACATTGATGGTTTTAGCTGAAGGGTCCTCCTCCATCACTTCCATGGCCTCCTCGTCATTGAAATACTCTTCATAGATGTCAATGGCATTGTTCTGCTTGATGCAGTGCTCCATGATCTAGGGGGGACACATTGGAAGTTCTCCGCAGTAAATGGAGGTCCTTTCAGATTGCCCAGGCCTGCAATGGAGTCTGGGAGGGACAGGACATAGCCAGGGGCTTTTCCCATCCACCTAACCATGTGCTTTCAATGGAGGAATTTTCAATTGGTTCCTGGGGGTAAAATAATATTGCTTTTTAGGTACAAAGCATGGAAATACATGCAGCGCATGAACAGATATACAGTATGTCTATAGCATTAACATTTGATGGGCTGGGTGCGGTGGCTCACGCCTGTAATCCCAGCACTTTGGGAGGCCGAAGCGGGTGGATCACTTGAGGTCAGGAGTTTGAGACCAGCCCGGCCAACATAGTAAAACCCCATCTCTACCAAAAATACAAAAGAAAATTAGCTGGGCATGGTGGCAGCCGCCTGTAATCCCAGCTACTTGGGAGGCTGAGGCAGGAGAATTGCTTGAACCCGGGAGGTGGAGATTGCAGAGACCCAAGATCACGCCACTGCACTCAAGCCTGGGTGACAGAATGAGACTCTGTCTCAACAACAACAAACATTTTATGGAGGCAGAAGGCCATTAGAAAAAACATGAAGGCCAATAATGAAGAAAAGGTTGAAGAACACCATGCTAGACAAACAAAATTATTATTATTATTATTATTATTATTATTATTATTATTATTTTGAGACACAGTCTTGCTCTGCTGCCCAGGTTAGAGTGCAGGGGTGCGATCTGGACTCACTGCAGCTTCCGTCTCTCGGGTTCAAGCAATTCTCCTGCCTCGGCCTCCTAAGTAGCTGGGACTACAGGCATGTGCCACCACACCTGGCTAATTTTTGTATTTTTAGTAGAGATGGGGTTTTGCTATGTTGGCCAGGCTGGTCTCAAACTCCTGAGCTCGAGTGATCTGCCTGCCTCTGCCTCCCAAAGTGCTGGGATTACAGGTGTGAGCCACCAAGCCCAGCCCAAATAAAATTATTAATCTCTCTCTCTCTCTCTCTCTCTCTCTATATATATATATGTGTGTGTGTGTATATGGCACTCATCTCCTTCTTCCTGTCCTTGCAGACAGCTGGTTCCTCCATCCAGAATGCCCTCCCCTTTATTGCAAATGTCCACCAAAGGACAACCAAGCCCTGCCACTTCTTCCAGGAAGCCTTCCCTGTTCCCTTCAGCAGGAGATTGACCCTCCCTCCTCATGGAGTCAAAGGACAAGTCATGCTTCTCTTTCAGCATTTCTTTCTTTTTATGTTATCTGGTGATGTCTCTGTATTTGTCTTTGACCTCCAATGGACTGCAATCTCTTTGGGACAGGATGTATAAGAGATTCTTTTTCTTTTAATTTAAATTTTAAATTTCTTTTTCCTTAAAACAATTTTTTTTTTTTGCACTGGCAAGTATGTAGAACAATTATGAGATTCATTTTGCAACCTCTACTGTGCCTGGCAGAGGCTTGAAGTTCAGTCCAAATTTGTCAAATGAATGAATGATCCCTATTGGCTGCTGGGTGGGGCACTTTGGGAGTCACCTTTGCCCAAGGTCAGACTCCTCCTGATGCCTGGTCAGCCCTTGTACCTCCCTGCCTTCCCTGTTGGTCTGTGATTGGGACCTCTGCCTGCTCCCAGACAGAAGGCTCCTTGAGGTAGCAGCTGGTCCCCTTCCCCCCAGCATTCACACGAGCCTCACAGCGATGGCCAGGCACAGCTGGGGCAGTGCATCCCTTGGGGAGCTGCAGTGATGGATGGGGCTCTTGCAGCTGGGGCAGGAGGAAGCCTTACAGAGCCGAGCTGCATGATGGCGTTAACGTAGTTCTCATCTTTCTCCACTTTCTTCCGGAAACGGATGGTCTGCTCCAGCTCCAGGGGGTTCACGTCCTTGGGCCAGCCCCCCTCGACATGGTTAACTCCCCGGGTCTCCATCTCAAACCGCTCTGAGTTGGCCTAAACAGAGAGCCGCAGGAGGGAAGACGTCACCCTGGTATACTCCCAAACCCTCGGCCACTTCTGCAAGCCAGGTCCCACGGGGGCTCCCAGGGCTGGATGCTGAGGCGCCCTGGCCGGAGCCACAGTATTTTCAAATGCAGGCAAGGAAATTCCTGGTGATCAGGTGGGCACAGGTAGCTGCAACAGCGCAACCCTGTGGAGCTAAGCAGCTTTGCAACTGGTAGCTGTGGTCATGAAAATCCTGTTCTGACCTTATCTGAATTCTAATGGACCAGAGAAGCCTGTCCATCTGCTCTGTGAGAATCCAAAGAAAAGGTGAATAATTGGCCGGGTGCAGTGGCTCACACCTGTAATCCCAGCACTTTGGGAGGCCGAGGCGAGCAGATCACGAGGTCAGGAGATCGAGACCGTCCTCGCTAACACGGTGAAACCCCGTCTCTACTAAAAATACAAAACATTAGCCGGGCGTGGTGGTGGGCGCCTGTAGTCCCAGCTACTCGGGAGGCTGAGGCAGGAGAATCACTTGAACCTGGGAGGCAGAGGTTGCAGTGAGCCGAGATCACAGCACTACACTCCAGCCTGGGCGACAGAGCGAGACTCCGTCTCAAAAAAAAAGAAAAAGAAAAAAGAAAAAGTGAATAGCCTTTCTTCACTCTATCATTAACAATGCCACCCTATCACTGACAATGTCAGTGTCACAAAAATTGAACGTTAAAACTCCAAGTTTGGATTTGCTTTGCCTATCCTCTCTAGCAGGGAGGACAGTTTTACACGTGGGTGTCGCCACTTTCCCTTCTTTCCTTTTTTTTTTTTTTAAGAGAGGGTCTCTCACTCTGTTGCCCAGGCTGGAGTGCAGTGGCATGATCTTGACTCACTACAGCTTTTTTTTTTTTTTTTTGAAAAGGAGTTTCGCTCTTGTTGCCCAGGCTGGAATGCAATGGCGGAATCTCGGCTCACTGCAACCTTCGCCTCCTGGATTCAAGTGAGTCTCCTGCTTCAGCCTCCCCAGTAGCTGGGATTACAGGTGCTCGCCATCATGGCCGGCTAATTTTTGTATTTTTAGTAGAGACGGGGTTTCACCATGTTGGCCAGGCTGGTTTTGAACTCCTGACCTCAGGTGATCCACTGGCCTCAGCCTCTGGAAGTGCTGGGATTACAGGCATGAGCCACTGCGCCCGGCCAGTACAGCTTTGACTTCTCAGGCTGAAGGGATCCTCCAGCCTCAGACTCCCAAGTAGCTGGGACTACAGGCATGTACCACCACACGTGGCTAATTTTTGTTTTTGTTTTTCTTCTGTAGAGACGGTGTTTCGCCATGTTGCCCAGGCTGGTGTCAAACTCCTGAGCGGAAGTGATCCTCTCGCCTCTGCCTTCTTTTCACTTTATTTTTTAAAAATTATTTATTTAGTTATTTAGTTATTTATTTTTAGAGACAGGGTCTCATTCTGTTGCCCAAGCTGGAGTGCAGTGGTGCAATCACAGCTCACTGCTGCTGTGAACTCCAGGGCATAAGCAATCCGCCCGCCTCCACCTCCCAAGTAACTGGGACCACAGGTGCGAGCCACCACAACTGGGTAATTAAAAAAAAAAAGTGTAGAAATGAAGTCTCACTATGTTGCCCAGGCTGGTCTCAAACTCGTGGCCTCAAGCATCCTCCCACCTTGGTCTCCCAAAGTACTGGGATTACAGGCTTGAGCCAGCACACCCAGCCCTTCCTGTTTTTAAGAAATTGTGGTAAAATACATGTAACATAAAATTTACCACATAACCACTTTAAAGCGTACACTGCAGCAGCGTTATTATACACAGTGCTGTGCAACCATCAACCCCACCTAGTTCCAAAACTCTTACATCACCCAGGATGGAAACCCCATCCTCATGAAGTCACTCCCATCTCCTTTCCATTTTTAAGCCAGCTCTCACAAAAGGTAAAATCTGGATCAGCACCATAGGAAAGGTTAAAACAAAACAAAACAAAACAAAACAAGTCTGGAAAAGGCAGAGCTGCTGGAAACGACAGGAGGGCCCCCAGGGTGTGGCCCACATAGCGGCCATTCTGCTTATTGGCTACACCATGGCCACAGTCCTTCTCATCCCCGGGGGAGCAGTTGGTCCTGGGAGAGAAGCACCTAATTCATTTGAACTGTGAGTCACTGAAACCACCCACACCCACCTGACTGTTGGACGTGTTTTGGCCAAATCAAGTGATTTCGTTATCATTTTATCTCAGCAGTTGTTGACCTAATTAGGGTGAATCACTTAGTTCATAGAGACAGGGAATTTTTGGCCTCTGAACACATGACCATGACCCTCAAGATAAGTTCTCTTATCGTGGAGGCCCCTCTGGCTGGAACTTTCTGTGGGACACTTCCCTTTTCTCAAGCTGGGTAGTTGCCTGTAGATATGAATCTCTGCTCCCTCAGAATATCTCTCCCACGCTGGGCACAGTGGCTCATGCCTGTATTCCCAGCACTTTGGGAGGCCAAGGCGGGAGGACTACTTGGGCCCAGGAGCTTGAGACCAGCCTGGGCAACATGGCAAAACCTCATCTCTACAAGAATTGCAAAAATTAGCCAGGCGTGGTGGTGCACACCTGTAGTCCCAGCTACCAGGGAGGCTGAGGTGGGAGGATCTATTGAATTCAGGAAACGAAGGTTGCAGTAAGTCGAGTTTGTACCACTGCACTCCTGGGTGATAGAGTGAGACCCTGTTTAAAAAAAAAATGTCTCCCAGCTACACCAAACATCCAAAACAACTCTGGTAAGTGTCTTCGAGGTGAAACAAGAGCTCTTGGGAGAGGGAACATTGTGATTTGCACTTCCCTGGCTCGAGGAAGGCGGGTGCTGGGTCTTCCTCTGACCCTGAGCACTGCGTGGAACTCAGGGGGAGCCTCTGCCCTCACTTCCAGCATCTGCATTTGGTCTACTCTAACTGGCTTTCAGGTGGACAAGGACCCACAGAACCACTCACCGGCCCCAGCTGGCCGCCCTGCCTGGCCACACCTGACAGGCCAGGGCCCTTGGGGCAGGGACCCACCTCGTGTTCCGACATGCTGATCGAGCACTGGATGCCCGTGTCCACTGGGTTCCGCTCCACGAACTGCTCGGCCAGCTCAGGGTTGGGCATGATGTCGATGTTCAGCTCGGCCTGGCGGTCCGAGAAATTGCACTGCTTCCCGAACTCGCTGCGCTTCTTGACGTACACGTACACAATCTCCATGGTGCCGGCTGCTGGGGGGCAGAGGGAGGGTGTGGGGTGAGGGACCCCACCGGCCCCTTCCCTATCTCCACAGGTCCTGCCAGGACAGCTCCAGGTTCTCAATCTGGTTGGGGCAGGAAGCAAGGGGTGGTGGGGAGATCCTAGGAATTTGTCCAGAAGCTGCATCCGCATTAAAAAAAAATCCTGAGTGCCGACTATATGCTAAGCATTACCCTGTTTAGTTATTGCAGTTGCTCTCTGAGGAGGGCAATAAAAATTTTGGCCAGGCGCGGTAGCTGACAACTGTAATCCCAGCACATTGGGAGGCCAAGCCAGGTGGATCACCTGAGGTCAGGAGTTCAAGACCAGCCTGGCCAACATGGTGAAACCCCATCTCTGCAAAAATACAAAAATTAGCCGGGCATGGTGGTGCACACCTGTAATCCCAGCTACTCGGGAGGCTGAGGTGGGAGAATCACTTGAACTCGGGAGGAGAACGTTGCAGTGAGCCGAGATCACACCATTGCACTCCAGCATGGGTGACAGAGCAAGACTCTGTCTCAAAATAAATAAATAAATAAAATCACCATTTTCTTTGAAGGCATTTGATGCTTAGATGCCATCAGTGACTTGCCCAAGGTCCTATAGCTAATGCATGCTGCAGCTGGTCTGCCCCCATTCCAAAGCTCTTACCCACCAAATGATACAGTTTTCGTCTTTTGTTTTTAGGGCTTTTTTTTTTTTTTTTTTTTGAGACAAAGGCTTGTACTGTCACCCAGGCTGGAGTGCAGTGGTGTGCTCACAGCTCACTGCAGCCTCAACCCCCGGGCTCAAGTGATCCTCCCACCTCAGCCTCCCAAGTAGCTGGGACCACAGGTGTGCAGTACCATGCCTGGCTAAGTTTTGTATTGTTTTGTAGAGATGGGGTCTCGCCATTTTACCCAGGCTGGTCTTGAACTTCTGGGCTCAAGTGATCCACCTGCCTCAGCCTCCCAAAGTGCTGGGATTACAGGTATGAGCCATCGCACGTGGTACAATACGGTTTTTACTGAATCAGTGTTTATTGACAGGGCAGGAGGAAATATTGATGGTGATGATGTTGGACTAAATTCCCTGCCATGCTGGGCATGAAACACACAGGACACAGATTTGAGACCCCTGGGCCTCTTCTTGAACCCCTCCTCTCCAACCCAATGACCCAACTCCCCACCCAATTGTCCAAAAGGCTCGTTGGTTGCCAGACTCTGGCCTCCACCACTGTCTGGGTACCATCCTGGAAATCTCTTCTCTCCAACCAGGACAGAGCTGAGAGTCAATCCCAGACAGAGAGAAAGCCAGGGGCTTCCCCAACAGGCGGGACATGGAGGCCTTTGGGAAAGCCTCTGACGCGTGCTACTGGTCATGGGACACAGCAGGGAATTGGGAAGTGGGCTGGGCTCGGCCCTGATTTCAAGTTCTGGGCCTCCCGTCACCAGCTGCGTGACCTAGGCAGGGCCACTTAGTCTTTCTGAGACCTGACACACCCACAGGATGCTGAGAAGTGAAATGAAAGTGCTCCAGCAGCATCAGAGGCGGGGTTCACAGGCCACGCAAGGAAGGGTTTCTCACTGATGCTGATTAGAAGTTGTAAAAATGCAATGGGCTGGGCCATTCCCACATATTGCCCTTGACCTTTCTGACTCCCCCATGACATCACTAGACTCCACTGGGTCTGAGGGCTTTCTCAATGAGTTCAGTGGTTGGCGCTTTGACCTGTGTACCTGCCATATCACACCATGGAATTAGCAGAGATTTCCGTCTGCCAGCCACCTGCACTTTCAGAAATTGTGCCTTTGATAGCAAGTTTCCAGGGGCTCAGATTGAGGATCTGTGCAAGGCTCCTGGGGTTGCACAGAGCCTTAGGACAAAAGATGTGGATGAGTGGCTGGTGCTGGTGGGAGGAAGATAAACTGAAGGAGAGCTTGCCTTGGTAGATTTACAACCAAAGGCCTTTCAACGCCCAAGAGATTAGGCCGGGCATTGTGGCTCATGCCTATAATCCCAGCACTTTGGGTGGCCGAGGCCGGTGGATCACTTGAGGTCAGGAGTTCAAGACCAGCCTGGCCAACATGGCGAAAACCCATCTCTACTAAAAATACCAAAAATTATCCAGGCATGGTGGCACGTGCCTGTAATCACAGCTACTCAGGAGGCTGAGGTAGGAGAATCGCTTAAACCTGGAAGGTAGACGTTGCAGTGAGTCGAGATTGTGCCACTGCACTCCAGCCTGGATGACAGAGCAAGACTCTATCTCAAAAACAGGATTACGTGAGCAGGTTTGCCTGTGAGCAGGTTTTGCTATTTTTTTTTAATTTTTAATTTTTGTGGTTACATAGTAGGTGTATATATTTATGGGGCACAGGAGATGTTTTGCTATAGGCATGCAATATACAATATACAATCATGGGAAATGGGGTATCCATCCATCCCCTCAAGCATTTATCCTTTGTGTTACAAACAATCCAGTTATACTCTTTCAGCTATTTTTAAATGTATAATTAAATTATTTTGACTATAGTCACCCTGTTGTGCTATCAAATACTAGATATTAATAGTCACATCATGGAGAATGGGGTATCCATCCCCTCAAGAATTTATCCTTTGTTAGTTATTTTTATTTATTTATTTATTTTGAGACGGAGTCTCCCTCTGTCACCCAGGCTGGAGTGCAGTGGCACGATCTCAGCTCACTGCAAGCTCCGCCTCCCGGGTTCACGCCATTCTTCTGCCTCAGCCTCCCAAGTAGCTGGGACTACAGGTGCCCACCACCACACCCGGCTAATTTTTTGTATTTTTAGTAGAGATGGGGTTTCACCGTGTTAGCCAGGATGGTCTCGATCTCCTGACCTCATGATCCACCCACCTTGGCCTCCCAAAATGCTGGGATTACAGGCGTGAGCCACCGCGCCCGGCCTGTTAGTTATTTTTAAATGTACAATTAAGTTATTGCTGACTGTTGTCACCTTGTTGTCCTATCAAATAGTAGGTCTTATTCATTCTTTCTTTTCTTTTCTTTCTTTTTTTTTGAGATGGAATCTCATTTTGTTACCCATGCTGGAGTGGAGTGGCATATCTGCTCACTGCAACCTCCGCCTCCTGCGTTCAAGTGGTTCTCCTGCTTCAGCCTCCAGAGTAGCTGGGATTACAGGTATGCGCCACCATGCCCGGCCAACAATGTTAACAAAAAGAGAAGCCACAGACTTGGATAAAATATCTGCAAATTATCTATTTGATAAAGAACTTGCATCCAGAATATGTAAAGACTGACCAGGTTGCAAGCACTATGAACAACAGTTTCCAGGCGTGCTTCCTGCATGCCCAGCACCACTCCCAAAGAGTGATCACAATTCTCACTAACATTTCTTTTTATGAGACAGTGTCTTGCTCTGTCATCCAGGCTGGAGTGCAGTGGCATGAACACAGCTTGCTGCAGCCTCAACCTCCCAGGCTCAAGCAATCCTCCCACCTCAGCCTTCTGAGTAACTGGGACCACAGGCAGACACTACCACATCAGACTAATTTTTTTTTTTTTGTAGAGTTGAGGGTCTCACTATGTTGCCCAGGCTTGTCTCAAACTCCTGGGCTCAAGTGATCCTCCTGCCTCAGCCTCCCAAAGTGCTGGGATTATAGGCATGAGCCCATTTTCGAGATGAAGAAACTGAGGCCTGGAGAGATGAAGTATTAATACAGGGCCAAAGGTCACAGTTCTTCAGTTCAGGCAGAACCACCAGGCATGTCTGGCTCTAAAGCAGTGATTGTTAGTCCTGACTGCACATTTAGAAACACCTGCAGGGCTTTGTGAAATCACAATGCTGTTTGAACCCCAGAACAACTACATCAGAATCTCTCATCAGTATATGCTTTTTTTCTTTAATTCTCCAGGCAATTCCATGTGTAGCCAACTTTGAGGACCATTGATTTAAAGTGAGGGAACTTAATCTCTCAACCAGCGTTTCTGAAACCTGGGATCTTCCTTAAAAATACACAGACTCCCAGGCCTCTCTCCTGCAAATGCTGAACTAGATGCCTGGGGCAGGGCCTAGCAATTCGTGTTTTTCACAATCACCCTAGGTGAACATGACTACCAGACCTGTGTCTTACCTACCCTCTCCCGCCTCCAGGGCTACAAGGCACCAGACCAGTGGGTCCTGGCCGCTGGCCCCTGAGAGGCAGGGCAGGAGCTGTGTGCCCCTAGAAGCATGTGCCAGGGGGAACTTGGGCCCTGGAGCAGCTGGGGCAGCAGGTGGGGAGAAGGAGGGTAGGAAGGTTAACCCTTTGCATCCATATACATTGTGTCTTGAAGACAGTACCACCCCATCCCACTCCTAGCCCCAGAGCAACTCAACCTTAACCAGACTGTTGCAGAAAGTGGCATTTTCTTTCTTTTTTTCTTTTTTCTTTTTTTTTTTTTTTTTGAGATGGATTCTCGCTCTGTCGTCCAGGCTGGAGTGCAGTGGCAAGATCTAGGCTCATTGCAAACTCCGTCTCCCGGGTGCAAGCGATTCTCCTGCCTCAGCCTCCCGTAGCTGGGATTACAGGCACATGCCACCATTCGCGGCTAATTTTTGTATTTTTAGTAGAGACAGGGTTTCAGCATGTTGGCCAGGCTGTTCTTGAACTCCTGATCTCAAGTGATCCGCCCACCTCGGCCTCCCAAAGTGCTGGGATTACAGGCATGAGCCACCGCACCCAGCCTTGTTTTCTTCTCTTTCTTGTAGTTTGGAAATTCTCTTTCCTGGGTGGGAGCAATGGCTTAGAGGGCACAGGGTGGGATGAGAAGCCCAGATTGTAGCGGGGTGCCCCAGTGTGTTTTTACCACATGGACAAAGCTACGGCCTTGTGAAAAAGCATGCAAATCCCGTGGCATCCTCCCCTTTGCCAACACAGTGTGAAGCAACTGTGCCTCCCACATGGGGCTGCAGGACTCAGGCAATTAGGGCTGCCTGTCTCTGACTTTTAAAAGAAATTGCTGCAAGCCAGCTGGCTCCTAGGGGACACAAGGAGATTGAAGAGAATGAGGAAACTCCAGGAAGACAGAAATAGCCTCTTTAGCCCAGATCAGATTTTTAACAGCTTTGCTTTCCTTCTTGGTGTTTCCCAAGGCCAAGCCCCGAGTGAGAACAGAGGCATTGTCTTGTGTCTGGAGGCAGACAGAGGGGACATTTAAAGACTGGCCTGGTGACGGGAAGACAACCCATTCAAGGACCCAGAGCAAGCTCTTCTCACAAGCTAGCAGGGCACACAGATGAATAGCAAGGTCAGCAAAGGGCGTCTCAGGAGGTCTCCCCCAACCTCTTGTGAGACTAGTGCTAGAGGGTGGGCTTCCCCAAGCAAGGCCTGAGCAGGAGTGTCTGCATGGGGTGACAGAGCGGGGACGGGAGCAGTGTCACTGCCCTCTGGAGTTTTGGGGGGAGATCCTCCCCCCGTGGGAACCTAGAGTCCCAGAGGCGTGAAGAACACCACTGTGAGTCTCAAACACAGGAACACGCAGAATCAGGGACGCTGTGGTCCAGACATCAAAGATTCAGGCGTCTCCCGCATCCCCGGGGAGGCAGTCAGATGGGAACCTTCACTCACTATAAAAACAAAACTCGTCTTGTGCAGTGAGAATGAGCAAAGTAATTCCTGGAGAGAACCTCCGGTGGCTTAAGGGAAAGTGTGTTTTCCAAGCTGGGAGGAAGGCCAAGGGAGTGATGGGGAGGAGGAGTGTCAGCGTGGGAGACTGGGAAGGAGGCAAGCTGGAAGGTCAGCCCTCCACATTGAACTCCCTAGTGGAATAAGGAGATGAGAACATTTTCCTCTTCTTCTTGGTCCCTGGTACAGCCCCTACTGGGTTCCTGCGAGTGGTGGGCCCTGCATGGCACCTGGCAGGAGAGGACTTCCTTCCCTCTTTCTTTGTTGTTGTTGCTTTTGGGACAGTGTTGCTCTGTCACCCAGGCTGGAGTGCAGTGGTGTGATATTGGCTCACTCCAACCTCTGCCTCCCAAGTTCAAGCGATTCTTGTGCCTCAGTCTCCTGAGTAGCTGAGACTACTGGTGCATGCCACCACACTCGGCTAATTTTTTTTTTTTTTGAGACGGAGTCTCAGTCTGTCACCTAGGCTGGAGTGCAGTGGCCTGATCTCAGCTCACTGCAACCTCCACCTCCCAGGTTTAAGCAATTCTTCTGCCTCCACCTGCCGAGTAGCTGGGACTACAGGCGTGAGCCACTGCACCCGGCCAGAATTTTTGTATTTTTAGTAAAGATGGGGTTTCACCATGTTGGGCAGGCTGGTCTCAAACTCCTGACCTCAAGTGATCCATCCTCCTGGGCCTCTCAAAGCACTGGGATTACAGGTGTGAAAACCGCACCCAGCTTTCTTTCTCTTTCTTATGTCCTTGTGCACCTTCTGGAATTCCGGGGTCCTGAGGGACTCACTCTACCCTCAAAAGAGGCAGACCTCCCTAGAAAGCCCCCATTTATTTTCCCCCAGGATAGCACTAAGCATGGCTGAGCCCCCCAAGGAAAGTGAAGGTTGAGGGCAGGACGAGTTGGGAAGAGGTCCCCAGAATTGGAGACCGATGGGGGTCAGTGACTACCTGCCCTCACAACTACCTTGTGGTCTCCTTGACGGAAAGACTGTGGTCTTTTATTCACTCCCGTCCCCAGGGACTGGCACATAGAAGGGGCCCAAGACTCCTGTCACCTGCTGCGTTAGTGACTGTGATACCAGCGCCTACCAGGCTTCTCTCTACAGCTCTCTCCCCTGTTCCTCCTCTGCTGACCGTGACAAACAAGCAAAGGATTTGAAACCAAGGATTCGAGAGGAAAACACATAGGGTCTGAAAGCTGGGAGAAGACGCACTTCTGTGGTTCAAGAGAATGTGGTAAACCTTGACCTTGAGCAGGAAGGAGGAACTGCACACGCTCCGGAGGAACTCACCAACTGTATGACCTCGATCACACGAGAACGCCAGCTCCCAGGTTGAGGAAGAAATGAAAGAAAGCACTTAAAACACCTGCCACCTAGCAGGTGTGCAATACTGTTAATTTACATCCCTCTATCCTGAGCAGAAAGCTCTCCTCTTAAAGGGCCCATCTTCCCATCACCCTAGCCGGAGGCTGTTTTTCTTCTTTTTTTTCCATCCATTCAGCTGTAAATCCTTCAGAGGTCTCCAGTCCACTCCAGGACAAGGACTGTATCAGGACCTGAGTGGGTAGGAGGGTATGAGGCAGGGTGTACAGAGGCTGCAGGGTCCTGCGACTTGGGGCGGATCCAGGGCAGCGAGGACTAAGGGGAAGAGGGCACTAGGAGCGCTAGTCCTGGCAGCCACCATCTGGCAGAGCTATCCCAGAAGGAAGCCCCCCAAGAGGAATGTTTGGCACTCTTGGTGGTTATTACCCTGTAAGTCTCTCCCTGTCACTCTCCACTCTAGTCTTTAGCCTCCGACGTCCTCCTGGCGCCCGCCCCTTACCCTGGGTCCGCTCCTTCTGCTTCTGGGTCTCTGGGGAAGCGTTCAATCCACGGTCGCGGCTCCGGTGCTCCTCAAACGGCGGCGTTTACCGGTTGCTTGGCAACCCCGGCCTGGCTCCGGACGCGCGGGGCGACGCGGAAGGACCCCGGAGCACGTGACTCCTTTCCTGCCACGTCGGAAGCGCAGGCCATCCCTCTTCTTTTTGGAGGTCTCCTGAGTTAGGAGAAGAATTAACCAATAGGTTGGTAACATACTAATAATGATCATGAATATTTGTAGGGGCGTTGCCAAGGCGCTTATCCAAGCCTACGTTTGTATGCATTTGCATCGAGCAAGGCACCCAGAAAATGCAAGGAAGAATAGTCAGTGCTTGGGAAGCCCTGATCCCTGGGTGGTGATGGCGGGCTCTGCTTACCATCTTGGCCGACTGTGTTGTCCTGCCTTCCTTCAGTTTCCGCATCCATTCAGTGGGAATTATAACTCTGCCCTCCCCTCTGCTACCATCCTTCCTCCACTTTCTGTAATAAAGACATCTTCCCGCACCACCAGAATGGAAACTCCTTGGGAGTAGAAGCTGGGGAATTTTTTTTTTTTTGAGACGGAGTCTCGCTCTGTCGCCCAGGCTAGAGTGCAGTGGCGCGATCTCGGCTCACTGCAAGCTCCGCCTCCCGAGTTCACACCATTCTCCTGCCTCAGCCTCCCGAGTAGCTGGGACTACAGGTGCCCGCCACTACGCCCGGCTAATTTTTTGTATTTTTAGTAGAGACGGGGTTTCTCCGTGTTAGCCAGGATGGTCTCGATCTCCTGACCTTGTGATCCGCCTGCCTCGGCCTCCCAAAGTGCTGGGATTACAGGCGTGAGCCACCGCGCCCGGCAAAGCTGGGGATTTTTACAGCTTAGCTGGGTGATTGGCACGAAATGTACTGTGTTCATTGAATGAATGGTTGAATGAATGAAACGAGTCATGTTTCTCAGGGAGTTAAGGCAATTGCGATCATGTAAATTAAAACAAGGGAATTTGGGGCTAGAAAAAAATGAATTTGAATCCCAGATTGGCTACCTACTAATCTCATGGCCCTGGGCAAGTTCCTTTCCTTTTCTAAGACTCAGCTATCCTCATCTGCAAAGTGGCAGGACAGTGGCGGTGCTTATTAGATAATGGGGAGGATTAAGTGAGAGACAACACAGGGGCGTGTCCAGCCCCCGTCCAGAGCTACTGGTGCCTGAATGAGTGGCAGCTCGGGGAATGAGGTTATCCCGAGTTCAGATGCTGACATCGGAAATTTGGACTGGGACAGAAGAGGAGTGCGTCATCCAAGAAGTGGGATTGGGGTTGGAACTGGGCCTTGAAAAATGGTTATGAGTTGCAGGGAAGAGGAGTGGGGAGGGCGTTCCAGATTGGGGGAGGGCATGGCGTGAGCAAGGAAGGAAGGGGCAGTCGTCATGGAAGAAAGGCATTTTGCGAGGATGGTGGGTGGATCAGTCTGGCTGGGGTTGAGAGTCCCTGCAGGGGAAAAATGAGAGAGGAATTTGCAAAGGTCAGCCAGGGCCAGTCTGTGGGGGGTCCCAAGAGAGGCAGGCTGAGGGGCCCAGACAGCTTTCCATGGGAAGCCCTCAGCGGGTTTGGGATCTGTGAAAGGACAGGAAGGAAGCAAACGTTTCTCTCCCACTTCCCAACTTCTCCATATATGTGTTGTCACCACTACCCACCTGCCTTTAGTGGGGCAGGTGCAAGGAAATTCCCAATGAGACGGCACCTTGCAGGGCCGCACTAACCAAAGACAAGCACCTAAATGACTGCTGCCACCAATCTCTCCTGATCCGTTCTGGCTCGCACCAGTTTCTCGGGACAAAGAACTCTTAGGGGTGGGTGCTGAGGGTCCTGACAGGGGCTGGGTGGAGGAGCTCCTGAAAGACGCATTGAAATGGCTTTGTGTGGTCAGAGGTGAATCAGACCCAAAGTCTCCAAGAATAGGAAACGATCCACTCCATGATGAGGTAGTGGCTGGCTGGGGTTGCAATCATAATGCAACCCTTTCCACTCCACCTCCAGCCCTGGGAAGCCGAGGGCTCTCTGAAGACACATTATTTTGTGGGTGGGAAAGTGGGTTAGAAGGGGAAATAGGAAAAGTTGAAAGGAAACTGCAGCCACCTTTACCATATTATCCAACAATTTAGTACAGGCTCCCCACCCCCACCCTCACCCAGAAGGCTGCAGGCCACCGACCACAGAGGGCAGCTCTGTTCACTGGCCAAACAGTTACCCCTTGGCCGGCTGCCTCGGCGTGAGGTCATATAATTAGAAGTATTCACAAGGACCTAGTTTGAAAACAATTGCGGTGCCTCTCAGATCTTCACCCAATCACAGCATAATTGGCAGCAGAAATTCTTTGCTGAGAGCCGCCCCTGGCCCTGGACATCCCCAGGCATTGCCACAACCCGTTCCACTGCTGTGTCCCCCTTTAGTCCCAATTTTTGTGTGCGTGGTGAACTACACATAAAATTTACCATCTTAACCATTTTTCAGTGTATAGTTCAGTGGTATTAAGTTCATTCACATTGTTTTTTGGTCTCGCTCTGTCGCCCAGGCTGGGGTACAGTGGTGTAATCATGGCTCACTGCAGCCTCAACCTCCAGGGCTCAAGCGAGCCCCCCTCCTCAGCCTCCCAAGTAGCTGGGAACACAGGTGCACATACCCATGCTCGGCTAATTTTTTTCATTTTTTGTAGCCACAGGTAAGAGGCAGGACTTGATTCTGGAGGCAGGGCTCAGACACCAGACCAGACTGAGGGCTAGCTAAAATAGGGAAGAGGCGGAAGCAGCTCTCCATAAGACACGCCCACCAGTGTGCCATGTCAATTTACCATTGCCATGGCAACACCTGGAAGTTATCCACCCCTTCCATGGCAATGACCCAATGACCTGAATGTTACCACCCTTTTTCTAGAAATGTCTGCATGATCCACCTCTTAATTTGCATGTAATTAAAAATGGGCATAAATATGACTGCAAAACTGCTTCTGAGCTGCTAGTCTCTGCACACTGCCTACAGGTAGCCCTGCTCTGCAGGAGCAGTCATGAGCTGTAGCACTGCCACCTCAATCAAGCAGTTTTCCTCTGCCACTGGCTCACCCTTGAATTCTTTCCTGGGCAAAGCCAAGAACCCTCCCGGGCTAAGCCTCAATTTGGGCCTTACCTGCCCTGTGTCATCCCTATGTTGCCCAAGCTGGTCTCCAACTCCTAGGCTCAAGCGATCCTCCTGCCTTGGCCTCCCAAAGTGCTGGGATTACAGGTGTGAGCCACTGCACCCAGCCTATGTTTTACCGTTCTTTTTTTTTTGAGACAGGGTCTCCCTCTGTCACCCAGGCTAGAGTGCAGTGGTGCAATCTCACCTCACTGCAACTTCCGCCCCACCCCAGCTCAAGTAATCCTTCTACCTCAGCCCCCCGAGTAGCTGGGACCACAAGTGTGCACCATCACACCTGGCTATTTTTTTTGTACTTTTTGTACAGACAGGGTCTTACCATGTTGCTCAGGCTGGTCTCAAACTCCTGAGCTCAAGCGACTCACCCACCTTGGCCTCCCAAAGTGCTGGTATTACAGATATGAGCCACCACACCCAGCCTTGTGCTACCTTCTCGAAGGCAGAGTATCTAGATAAATTATTTGGAATCCTGCATGAGAGATTCGTTAGTCACTTTTTTAGACTTAACTTTGCTTGGCTCATAATGTGCAATACAATAACATTTGGTAGGAACCATCTGCTCTTCCCGCCAATGTTGAAAACAAGCTGCACGTGGTTTGCAGGAGTGAGATGCAGGCAGCACGTTCTGCCGGCTCGCTGCTGCGGCACCCCCTTACCAAAGCGTCTGCCTGCCTCGCCAGCTTCCTTCCAGGACTGTGAGTGCCTAGAAAGTGGAAACCTCATTCTATTCATCTTCATAGTCACAGTGCTTGTGGGAGGGCCTGGTTTGTAAAAGCTTCCCAGGATGGAATTCATCACATCAATGGCAAGCCCACCAAGCCCTCATGTTGCTAGCGGTTAAGTAACACTAGTTGCACTTTTGCTAATGCAGACCAGATCTCTCTCTGCCATTCTGCCACCCCAGGGCAAGGCTACCTTGCATTCTTTTTGTTGTTGTTGTTTTGAGACGGAGTTTTGCTCTTTCGCCCAGGCTGGAGTGCAGTGGCATGAACTCGGCTCACTGCAACCTCCGCCTCCCTGGTTCAAGTGATTCTCCTGCCTCAGCCTCCCAAGTAGCTGGGATTACAGGCACGCGCCACCATGCCCGGCTAATTTTTGTATTTTTTAGTAGAGACGGGGTTTCGCCATGTTGGCCAGGCTGGTCTCGAACTCCTGACCTCAGGTGATCCACCTGCCTCGGCCTCCCAACGTGCTGGGATTACAGGCGTGAGCCACCATGCCCAAACTCCCTTGTATTTTTTCTGGAACTGTAGTCCTGGGGTCAGTCCTGCTGAGCCCTCCTCAAGGTCCCTTGCCTTCTGCTTTTCTAGAGCTCTGAGCAATATTTGACTAACCAGAGGCAGCTGTTCTTGCCAAGGGACATACTCCACTCATGCAGGTGTGGCTTTTCTTGGGAAATAAGGGGCCCCAGAATGAAAAAAAGTCATTCGTAGTCCGTGTCCAAAGAAAGCAAAATAGGAGAGTGGAAGACAGAGTAGGAGCCATATCCGAGTGCATTTCTGGGATCAACTGGAAAAGGAGACTTTGGAAAGGTTGAAACTCTTTTTTTTTTTTTTTTTTTCGAGACAAAGTCTTGCTCTGTCCCTAGGCTGGAGTGCAGTGGTGCGACCTTGGCTTCCTACAACCTCCACCTCCCAGGTTCAAGCAGTTCTCATGCCTCAGCCTCCTACAGAGCTGGGTCTACAGATGCCTGCCATCATGCTCGGCTTATTTTTGTATTTTTAGTAAAGATGGTGTTTCACCATGTTGGCCAGTCTGGTCTCAAAATCCTGGCCTCAACTGATTCACCTGCCTCGGCCTCCCAGAGTGCTGGGATTACAGGCTTGAGCCACCAGACCCGACCCCCTTTTTCTCTTTAATATTTTATTTATTTTTTGAGACAGTCTCACTCGTTCCCTCAGGCTGGAGTGCAGTGGTGCAATCACTGCAGCCTCGACCTCCTAGCTCAATCGATCCTCCCACCTCAGCCTCCCGGGTAGCCAGGACCACAGGTGCATGCCACCATGCTCAGCTAAGTTTTGTATCTTTAGTAGAGACAGGGTTTCACCATGTTGCCCAGGCTGGTCCCAAATTCCTGGGCTTAAGTGATCCTCCTTCCTTGGCCCCCCAAAGTGCTAGGGTTACAGGCATGAGCCACTGCACTTGGCCAGAAACTCTTTTAAGGCATTTTGGGAAGACCCCACATCCTTGTAAGCCCTGGGTGGCTAGCACCTTCTGCTTCTCTGACAAGGCGCCTCTATTTTGCCTGAAAAGCCCCTAGTGCACAGCACATCTGCTAGGAACGGTGGAGATGGGAAGGCTGGAGAGGGATGGGGCAACTGCCAGGAATCGCAGGGGAGGTGGAATCAGATTGCTCTCCTCCCATTCTGGCTGAGACCCGGGAGACTGCGGAGTCAGGGTGTGGGGCTCTGGGTCACCACAGGGCATCCGGAGTTTGAGGGAGTCCTGGAAGAGGCTGTGCCAGGCTGTCAACCACAAACTTCAAACATTTCTCCCTGGTCAGCTCTTCTTTCCCGCCTCCACAGGAGGAGGAACCTCTCCCTTGAGAGCCAGGTAAAGGCTAAGACCTTTTGCCCAGTCGCTTGTGCTCTCTAGCCCTTGTTCTACCTGGGGTGGTTTGTCGGTGAGGACCACCCCGTGCCCCTCCGCGAGGCCTCCCCTCATCGCTTCCCGTACACCAGCTCTCCGGTTTCCTTCCTGCTTCTTTATTCTTTCTCAGCTCTTTCTTCTGCCTGCTCCTTAATTTTTTTTTTTTTTTTAGACGGCGTCTGGCTCTGTCGCCCAGGCTGGAGTGCAGTGGAGTGATCTTGACTCACTGCAACCTCGACCTCCAGGGTTCAAGTGACTCTCGTGCCTCAGCCTGCCAAGTAGCTGGGACTACAGACATGTGCCACCACAGCCGGCTAATTTTTTATTTTTTTAGTAGAGATGGGGTTTCGCCATGTTGGCCTCGATCGTCTCAAATTTCACCATGTTGGCCCGGCTGGCCTCAGCCTCCCAAAGTGCTGGGATTATAGGCTCAGCCACTACGCCTGGCCTGCTCCTCAAATGTTGGGGTCCCATACTGGACTCTGCCCACTCTTTCTGGGCTCTTCCACTCTCTCCATAGCATTAGTGACGGCATCTATGTGTTGTCTCCCAGATCCAGGCCTCATCAGTCTAGACTTTGAGTTGCCTGCCTGACCTTGCCCTCAGATGTTGCAAAAACTCTTTCAAACCTATCAGCAATGGAGTGCTCTTCTCCCCATTAGCTCCTCCCCAGTGGTTGATGGGTTACTAGCACCCGTTTGTCCACCTGATCACCTAGGACTTAACAGCTCTTGTGAAGTTCCTCTGAAACAGGGTGACAGACTTGTGTATAACTACCATGACCATGGGCACTGACTTGCATTCGCCTGTTCAAAGACAAACATGAGTGCTGCTTCGTGCGTGTGAGCCTCAGGAAGGCATTTGCATTGTGCTTCCAGAAAGCACCCATCAAATCGACAATTTGTTGGCAGGCGGGAAGAGTGTTTTTTCTCTCTCTCTTTTTTTTTTCTTCGAGATGGAGTCTTGCTCAGTCGCCCAGGTTGGAGTGCAGTGGCAGACCTTCATGGTGAGTGTTACAGCTCTTAAAAATGGCACAGACCCAAAGAGTGAACAGCAGCAAGATGTATCGTACAGCGAGAAAAAACAAAACTTCCACAGGGTGGAAGGGTACCCAAGTGAGTTGCTGTGGTTGGCTGTGGGGTGGCCAGCTTTTATTCCCTTATTTGTCCCCGCCCATGTTCCATTTTTGTCCTATCAGAGTGCCCTTTTTTTCAATCCTCCCTGAGATTGGCTACTTTTAGACTCCTGCTGATTGGTGCATTTTACAGAGTGCTGATTGGTGCATTTTACAGAGCACTGATTGGTGTGTTTTACAATCCTCTTGCTAGCTACAGAGCGCTGATTAGTGCATTTTTACAGAGTGCCGATTGGTGCATTTTACAATCCCCTTGCTAGCTACAGAACACTGATTGGTACGTTTTACAGTCCTAGCTACAGAGTGCTGATTGGTGCACTTTACAATCTTCTTGTAAGACAGAAAAGTTCTCCAAGTCCCCACTCAACCCAGGAAGTCCAGCTGGCTTCACCTCTCACTGCCACCATGCCCAGCTAATTTTTGTATTTTCGGTAGAGACAGGGTTTCACCATGTTGGCCAGGGTGGTCTCGAACTCTTGACCTCAGGTGATCTGCCCGCCTCAGCCTCCCAAAGTGCTGGGGTTACAGGCGAGAGCCACCGTGCCCGGCCAGAGTGTTTTTTCTCAATGGGATTCTGGTGCTGACACAGTCTCCGCTCTTCTCTGTACTCCTGCATTGGTGGTTGAAAGTGGGACACATTTTTGTTGTTGTTGTTCTGTCAGACCAGCTGCTTTTGGGTGATGGGTATGTGGGGAAACCATTGGCTCCCAGGGGCATGAGCCCATTGCTTTACTTCTTTTATTTTGATTTTTTGAGAAAGGGCCCTTGCTCTGTCACCAGGCTGGAGTGCAGTGGCACGATCACAGCTCACTGTAGACCTACCAGGGCTCAGGCGATTCTCTCACCTCAGCCTCCTGCGTAGCTGGGACCACACACAGGTGCACACCACTATGCCTCAGTAATTTTTGTATTTTTTTTTTTTTTTGTAGAGACGGGGTCTCACTATGTTGCCCAGGCTGGTCTCGGCTTCCCAAAGTGCTGGGATTATAGATATGAGCCACTGTACCTGGCCCAAAAGTGGAGAGACGTTTTAAAGAATGAAAAGAAGATGTCCAAGATAAAGCACGAGGTAGAAAAAGCAATTGCAGAAGAATATGTATAGTGTGACTGTATTTCTGCACATCCATTAGGACAAAACCTGGAGAATGTGAACCAAACTGGTCCTGGTATTTTGCTCTGGGTTGATGGATTATGGGGGATTTTCACTTTCTCACACATTTTTGTAAAGTTTGAAATGTTTTCACCACACACATTCTTTTGTAATCAGAATAGATGATGATGGGCCGGGTATGGTGGCTCATGACTGTAATCTGAGCATTTTGGGAGGCTGAGGCAGACAGATTGCTTGAGTCCAGGAATTCAAGACCCAGCCTGAGCAACATGGTGAAACCCCATCTCTACAAAAAAAAAAAAATACAAAAATTAGCCGGGCATGGTGGTGTGCCTGTAGTCCCGGCTACTGGGGAGGCTGAGATGGGAGTATGGCTTGAGCCCAGGAAGTGGAGGCTGCAGTGAGCCAAGATCACAACACTGCCTTCCAGCCTGGGTGACAGAACAAGACCCTGTAAGGAAAGAAAAGAAAATTAAAAAGAAAAAAGGAGAGAAGAGGGGCAAAGAAAAGGAGGGAAGGAAGAAAAGAAAGAAAAAAAGAAAGGAAGAAAGACGATGACAATTAGACAAGCCGAAACAGGAGGCCCAAGATTCAAGGAGTTTAACCAAATGTCCAGATGAGACCCTGAATTTGTATGTAAGCAAGTCAGTGTTGATAATGTTACTTGTCTTCCTTGCTAATTTCTAAACTACATGAAGTCAAGGACCCTGATTGCCTTAGATACTTCTGTAGTCCCGGAATTTAGACAACGTGGTGTTGTGCTCAGCCAGGGGCCAGCAAACTGTAAACTACTAGAAAATGGAATAAATATTTTAGGCTTTTTGGGCCAAGAGGCAAAATGAAAGGTAACATGTAAGTACTTACTTTTTTAATGTTTATTTTATTTTAAGACATGGTCCTGCTATGTTGCCCAGGATGGTCTTAAACTCCAGGGCTCAAGCGCTCCTCCTGCCTCAGCCTCCCCAAGTGTTGGGATTACAGGTGTGAGTCACCATACCTGGCATAGGTACCTATGTGACAAGAAAGGAAACCAATTTCCACAGATTTTTTTATTTTTTATTTTTTGAGCAGAGTCTTGCTCGGTTGCCCAGGCTGGAGTGCAGTGGTGTGGTCTCAGCTCACTGCAACCTCCACCTCCTGGGTTCAAGCGATTCTCCTGCCTCAGTCTCCTGAGTAGCTGGGATTACAGGCACCCATCACCTTGCCTGGGTAATTTTTATATTGTTAGTAGAGACAGGGTTTCACCATGTTGGCCAGGCTGGTCTTGAACTCCTGACCTCAACTGATCCATCTGCCTCGGCCTCCCAAAGTGCTGGGATTACAGGTGTGAGCCAGAGTGCCTGGCCAATTTCCACAGTTTTCTACTTGATGAAATAAAAATGTTATAATAATTAAGTACAATTTTTTGGTAATACAGGTCTATTGAGAAGAACAGAATCTTTGGGGAGGGAGATAAATTTTGCCTAATTGAGGTTCACAGTGTTCTCGACCATCAAAATTAGTTGCAGGCTGGGCTCGGTGGCTCATGCCTGAAATCCCAGCACTTTGGGAGGCCAAGGCAGGTGGATCACTTGAGGTCAGGAGTTTGACACCAGCCTGGACAACATGGTGAAACCCTGTCACTACTAAAAATACAAAAATTAGCCAGGCGTAGTGGTGCACGCCTGTAATCTCAGCTACCTGGGAGGCTGAGGCATGAGAATTGCTTGAACCTGGGAGGTGGAGGTTGCAGTGAGCCAAGATTGTGCCACTACACTCCAGCCTGGGCGACAGAGCAAGTCACTGTCTCAAAAAAATCCTCAACCAAAGACCCTGAGTCACCGTCCCAGAAGAAAAAGAAGGAAAAAGTAGAAAGAAGACAGCAAAGCAGACTGTATGACGGGCACGAGCACCAGGCACAGGGATTTCCTAGCTGAGCGGTGGCCATCTCCATGCCTCTGACCTCCGCTGACCTCTGCCCACCATGGGTGGGAGCTAAACTGTTACCTTCCCTCGCTCCACAGAAGACAACAGCCAGCTGCAGGGGTCCCTGTGCTGGCCAAGCCAGTGAGCCTGCGGGGAGGCTGGTCCGAGGAGAGAGTGGACCAGCTCCCATGACCTCGCCCCACTCCCCCAACATGGGACGCGTCGTATAGATGTGTACAGTATATGTATTTTCTTAAGTGACCTCCTCTCCTTCCGCAGACCCCACAGGCCCAAAGGCCTTGGGACTTCCCACCACCTTGCTCCACAGACCCAGCTAGACCTGACCTGTGCCTCATCCCATATGCCACTCGGTCTCTGGCTGATCCCGAGGCTTTATCTTCCTCTCGTCAGTTCTTTTGGTTGTGTTTTTTGTTGTTTTTTCTTAATAACTCAAAAAAAAAAAAGGAGGGGAAAAAAAAACAAACCAAAAGCCAAAAAATAGTTGCAAATGTCTGATTTTTTTGTTAACCATTTAAAAATATAAAAACTATTTTATACCCACAGGCCTTCCAAGGCAGCTGGCCGGCTGGGCTCACTGGCTCTAGTTCATTGGCTCCTGTGTTAATCAATCAATCCATTATTTATTTATTTATGTATTTATTTATTTTTTGAGACAGGGTCTCACTGTCACCCAGACTAGAGTGTGGTGGCGCGATCTCGGCTCACTGCAACCTCCACCTCCTAGGCTCAAGCGATTCTCCTATCTCAGCCTCCTAAGTAGCTGGGATTACAGGTGTGCGCCACTACCACCCGGCTAATTTTTGTATTTTTAGTAGAGATGGGGGTTTCATCATGTTGGACAGGCTGGTCTCGAACTCCTGACCTCAAATGATCCACCCGTCTCAGCCTCCCAAAGTGCTGGGATTACAGGCCTGAGCTGCTGCACCCTGCAGTATTTATTTTTAAAGATGGGGTCTCACTATATTGCCTGGGCTAGTCTTGAACTCCTGGGTTCAAGAGATCTTCCCGCCTTTGACCCCCACCGTGGACCCCCAAAGTGTTGAGATTACATGAGCCAGCACGCCTGGTGGCAATCCATTTTTAAATGAATGAAAAGGGGAAGAAAGGAAGGTAAAATTTTCCATATGGGTATATCTGTCAACAGACACACCAGGCTTCTTGACTGATCTGCAATGTGGGGAGTTAAGAGATTGTGGAAACACCCCTGCTGGTCCTAAATTTAAGACTGTACAGCTTTGGAGGGGGAGAAAGCTCGTTGGAGATGAATTAGCTTTGGAGAAGAAACCACTCTGTTGGCTGCTCCCCGTGGGTAGGTCGTGGGCTCCAAATGACAGCCTGGGACACTCGTGGTGAAAGCTCCACCTGCTGTTCCAGGCAAAAGGGGTCTGGTGGAGTTTGCTGCTGTCTCTCTCCAGGAGCAGGTTAAGCTCCAGTCTCTCCTCCTAAGCTGGCTGTTCTGGGTCTGCAGTCAGGTTGCTGTTGAGAGAATGGCTGTTCAGAGGACGTTTAGGAGGGTAAAGGTGGGCCTGCCTGCAGACTGGCAGGCAAAACAGGGGCCCAGAACCCACTTCCCCACCCCACTCCTTTCCCTTGCGGGAGAGACTAATGCAGCTGAGATGAGAAAGGGAGATGACACGCGTAGTGATCAGACCACACTCCGGCTTGTGCATTCCCAAGGCTTCCTTCCTAGTTCATGCAGGGCCGGCCTACAAGTCAGGTCCCACTCCAGCTCCGAGACAATGGAAGCCCCCCAAAGCCAATCTCATTTGGGTATTGAGATGCAGTTAACGGCTGAGTGAGGTGGCTCACGCCTGTAATCCCAGCACTTTGGGAGGCCAAGGCAGGCGGATCATCTGAGGTCGAATTCGAGATCAGCCTGGCCAATACGGTGAAACCCCGTCTCTACTAAAAATACAACAATTAGCCGGGTGTGGTGGCACCCACCTGTAATCCCAGCTCCTTGGGAGGCTGAGGCAGGAGAATCTCTTGAACCCCAAAGGTGGAGGTTGCAGTGAGCCGAGATGGCGCCACTGCACTCCAGCCTGGGTGACAGAGCGAGACTCTGTCTCAAAACAAAACAAAACAAAAAGAACAAAAAAAGAACAGTGACCCTTAGGGGGAATTCTGGAGAAAGATCAGGGCAGAAATAAGTCCTGTCCCTGGTCCTGTAAGAGCAGCTGGAAGCCACGCAAGAGCACCATGACATTCGTTCAAGCCCCTCTTTCAGTCCTGGCACGGAAATCGCGACTGGAATCTGCTTCTAAGCCTCCCACCACATGACCCTGCCGGAGGGGAGCGCTCCATCTTTCAATACCCTCGTTATTTCCTGCAGCTGTGGAAGTCAGAAACGGAACGCACATTTTAGTACAAGTGGTTTATTTCTCTTCCAGGTGAGGCCGCATGTATATAAGCAAAGGTTTGCCCACCTGGTTCCTTCAGGAACTCCCCGAGGAATCTGTTTAGTTTCCATGCATTAAAAACAACCCTCTAGTTGCCAATAATGAAACTTTAAGAAGCAACACTTTGACGTCGCAGAGTTCCTCTCTGCATGTGACGCGGATATACCAAAGTGAGTTTATGGCATACAGTATGCATGGGTTAATGTAGGTGAGACAGGGAGTCCCGGCTGCCCTGTGGCCCCATTCTGTTGTGGAGGCTTCGCTGGGAGCTGAGAACACCCTGCTGTCCATGTTTTGATGACAGGTGGTTCTTCCAAAACAGAAGCACCGAGTCACCGCACGCCCCTGCTTCAGTGTGCGAGGCCGTGGGGCTCTGGTGTTGTGAACTCCAGGTTGGCAGGAGGTTGGAAGCACCAAAGACCCCAACTCTGGTCCCTCAACAGGCAGTATTGGGGGACATTATTCCCTCCTGGCCAATAAGCTCCTGTGGCCTGGGACACTGGGTGGGGACAGGTGGTGGGGGTGGGGCAGGGCAGAGGCCTATCCTCCTATAAAGACACAGTTGTAGCACTTTGCTAAAACCTTTTCTGGCAAACTTACTTGGAGACAACAGGGAGGGGACAGCTGATGTAGGCATTTGGCTAGTCCCCTAGAACAGGGAACTCTGGCTTTCCCTCTTGGCTTTTTTCTCCTCTTAAAGATCCTCCCTCTGTGGGTGAGATGAACCCAGATCCCCACCAAACAGTAGCTTGGGACAGGATGCCTCACTGATCCTTATTTAAGAATCGACTCCTTCCCGTCTCCTCCAGATCTGCAGATCTCCAGATCAGTGCCAGCAAAATCTGCAAAAGTAGTGACCTAACCAGGGTAAGGAATGAGCTGCAAATCTGTTGTAAAAACTGGATGTGCTAGGAGTTTCAATTCTTTGGATAATCAACATGTTTAAAACACTGGAGAAAAGAAAGACCTAAAGTCGTTTCAAAGTGTCTGTTCATACCTGAGACCATGCCTATCTGCAGCTAACACATTCTGCAGCATTGATTCTGGAATAGAGGCGAGGCAATGGAGGGTTAGGGAGACAGGCGGAATGTGGCAGGCTTTCACCTCTGTTCCCACCGGGGTTCACCAGCCTGTGATCCCCCAGCCCCGGAGCCACCAGCCCCCCACTGCAGAGCTTTCCTGATGCCTCCCCTCTGTGGCCCAGGAAGAGCCTGTCTGGCCCTGGGAACTCTGATTTGGGCTGTTCTGGTGTCAGCAGGGGTGCGAACTTCTTAAAGAGCATCTCCTGATCAGCCCTTCTCATGTTACCTGCAGGGAACGAGGACAGGGAACGAGGACAGAGGGGTCGTCTGGGCTCTTGGCTGGGCTGACAAGAGGCAGAGTCATCGTTGTGGGACCAGAGAGAACACACAGCTCTCTTGATGGTGGTGCCTGACCTGGCCCCCTCCTCACTGCCACTCCCCTCCTGGCAAGGGCGAGGCGTAGGGGTGAGCAGGGCCAGGCAGCCAGCTCAGGGATGGTACCTCTGAGGCAGCCAAGCACCTGGGGGCATTTCTGGTGTGGAGAGCAGGGCAAAAGAGAGAGGCTGGCCCGCGTGGTGAGTCTTCTGCACCCCCTGGGGCTTTGGTCGGGAATCCCAGCTGCTCCTCTGCCACAGCAGGAGGCCTCTCGGGCTCCAGATGCCTTTGGTTTCTATTAAAGAAACGCAGCTTGTATTTGCACTAATTAAAAACCAGAACGGAAAAAGGAGGCAGGAACCCCCGAAAGTCTGTTAGGCTGGAAACTGATTCCCGTAGTGCCTCAGGTGCTCATCCGCCACAGACAGGTAGGTGGCTCTCATGCTGGGAGAGTACTGCCAAGAGAGAAGAGAGGGGATGGTCAGAGCTGAGTCAGCCAAGCACTGCACCAGCAAAGGTGCCGGGGACTTCTCAGAGTGGAACTGGGTCGGGTGTCAGAGGGAAACCCGGCCGTGCCTCCACCCCACATCCATCAAGACTTCTGCCTCCCAGCCTCAAATAAAAAATGCACACACAGACCAGCTGTCCTCCAATGTCCACTCCGCCCCAGCACACACCCCCAGCATCCAGCCTGTCCCCTCACACTGGGGGCAGCGTCAGGGTCCACCAGCGCACGGAGGAGCAGTCAGCAGCCAGCAGGCTGAGGGCAGAGGCCCAGAGACTCAGAGAAGCAGGTTCAAATCCCAGCTGTGCATCTTACCCCGTGACCTTGGCTTAGGTTCTCCAGCCTTTTCTAGCCTCAGTTTCCCTACCTGCAAAATGGACATAAGAGCACCCAGCTCTTACGTTGAAAGGGCGAAATGATATGGAGCAGGGAAGAGCCTTAATAACACAGCTGCTCTCAAACTGGGCTGCTCGCCAGAAACACCTGGGGAGCCTAAAAACATCCCGATGCCCAGGCCACATCCACTAGTATATAAATATGTATATTTTTGTTGATGCAAAATGCACATAACGGTGGTGATTCATACCTGTAATCCCAGCACTTTAGGAGACAGAGGCAGGAGGATCGTTTGAGCCCAGGAGTTCGAGACCAGCCTGGGCAAAATGGCAAAATCCTGTCTCTATCAAAAATACAAAAAATTAGCTGGGCATGGTGGCATGCACCTGTAGTCCCAGCCACTTGGGAGGCTGAGGCAGGAGGAGAAGGTACTTGAGCCCAAGAGGTGGAGGTTGCAGCAAGCTAAGATCACACCACTGCACTTCACCCTGGGCAACGGAGCGAGACCCTCTCTCTTAAAAAAAAACAAAGACCACACACATAACATAAAATGAATTTAAAGAGCTATCAGTGTTTTTAGAGCTCTTTAGGCAATTCCAGTGTGCATTCAAGTTGGAGGAGCATGACCCAGTACAGAGTAGGTGCCTGACAGAACTTAGTTACTCGTCCTTGGCAGTGGAGAGGGCCTTTCACTCTATACCCTGCACACAGGCTACCTGGGGATCTTGTCCACAGGACCTGAGATTCTGCACTTCTAACAAGCTTCCAGAAACTGCCACTCTCCTGACCCGGGAAGCTTCAGGGGTCCAGGCCATTCACATCAGGGGGAATGGAATGCTTCCACTTGGGCTGGGGTTGGGGAGGAGGGAGCATGAGGTTTTCGACCCAGTGGGTCTCAACCAGGGATGTTTTTACCTCCCAGGGGCATTAGGCAATGTCTGGAGATATTCTGGTTGTCACAACTGGGCACTGGGCTGCCACTGGCATGTAGCAAGTAGATGCCAGGGATGCTGCTAGACGTCCTACAATGTACAGGAACCCCCCACCGAGAATGACGCTGCCCATCAATAGCACTGAGGCTGAAGAAGCTGGCCTCAGAGCAGTGGTTCTCCAAGCGTGGTTTCCAGGGCAGCAGCAGCAGCTTTACCTAGGAATATGTCAGACACGCACATCTCCGGCCAGGCACGGTGGCTCACACCTGTAATCCCAGCACTTTGGGAAGCCGAGACAGGTGGATCACCAGAGCTCAGGAGTTCAAGACCAGCCTGGCCAACATGGTGAAACCCTGTCTCTACTAAAAATACAAAAAGTCAGCTGGGCGTGGTGGTGGGGGCCTGTAATCTCAGCTACTCAGGAGGCTGAGGCAGGAGAATCGCTTGGTCCTGGGGAGCGGAGGTTGCAGTGAGCCGAGATTATGCCACTGCACTCCAGCCTGGGCAACAAGAGTGAAACTCAGTCTCAAAAAAACAAAAAAGGCACATCTCCAGGCTCCAACTCAGATTTTCTGAATCAGAAACAGGGTGGGTCCCTCAGGCGATTCTGATGCATACGCAAGTATGAGACCCTCCTTCTTCTTTTTTATTTTCTTTGAGACAGAATCTCACTCTGTCACCCAGGCTGGAGTGCAGTGGTGCAATCTCAGCTCACTACAACCTCCGCCTCCTGGGTTCAAGTGATTCTCCTGCCTCAGCCTCCCGAGTAGGTGGGATTACAGGCACCCATCACCATGCCCAGCTAATTTTTGTATTTTTAGTAGAGACGGGGTTTCACCATGTTGACCAGGCTGGTCTCGAGCTCCTGGCCTCAAGTGATCCACCTGCCTTGGCCTCCCAAAGTGCTGGGATTACAGGCATGAGGCATGGTGCTGGCCAAGACCCTCCTTCTTAAAGCAATATTTCCCAACTTGAATGATAATAAGTTTGTTAAACTTAGAATCTCCCAGGCTCCTTCCCCAAGATATTCTGTTTCTGTAAGTCTGAAGAGAAGTCTCAACGTCAGTATCTTTAACTGCCCTGGGTCATTTTTGTTCATCAAGTCCAAGAAACAGTGCCTAAAAGGACAGGAGAGATTATTCCTTGAAGGCAGAGCTGGGGGAAGAAACATTTCCAGCAAGGGACAGGCTGTATATCCCGATCACCAGGCGTGACATCACCCACCCAGTGAGGTCCCCTGACTGTCCCAGAGAGGGTGCTCGGCAGAGGGAGGAGTTTATCCACCTCTCGAACTTGCTCGGTGCTAAGGAGTGTTTAGAGCAGGCGCCCCGGGGAGGGTGGGGCGCAGCCAGCTGTGCTGTCTTTACTGGGGCAGACACCCACACCCTCCATGCTGTGGGGTTCCTTGGTCTGCGGCATCATTAGATGTCTCTCTAGGTCCCTTACCGGGCATGGAGGTGGAAGGGTCTTCCCAGGGCAGGCTGGGCTAGGTGGGACTGGGCAGTCAACTTGGCCAAAGCAATAAGTGTTTCTGGGCAGGTCTTAAATCTAGGGAGGAAGGGTTTTCTGTCCTTGAGCCTTGCAAATAAGGTCAGTTGCTGATTATCTCTGCTAACGGCAGGATGAGTGGCCTGGATCTTTCAAACAGAAGGGAATCTGAAAATCATTTTTATTTGGCATCACAGTGCATAGAGTAATTCTTTTTTCACAGCAGATTTCCCCTAATTACGTTGTGCTTAGATTAATATTAAAGTCAATCTGCATTCCTGGGGCCACGGCAGCTGGTGGTTGGAAAAAGGAACCCGGGAGGCTTCTGATTAGTGAGAGAAGCTAGGCTGGCATTTAAAAGGTGCTGACTTTTAGGCTGGGCGTGGTGGCTCATGCCTGTAACCCCAGCACTTTGGGAGGCCAAGGCAGGTGCATCACTTGAGGCCAGGAGTTAGAGACTAGCCTGGCCTGCATGGCGAAACCCCGTCTCTACTGAAAATGCAAAGATTAGCTGGGTGTGATGGCACGTGCCTATAGTCCCAAGTACTTGGGAGGCTGAGGCATGAGAATTGCTTGAACTCAGGAGGTGGAGGATGCAGTGAGCTGAGATTGCACCACGTACTCCAGCCTAGGTCACAGAGTGATACTCTGTCTCAAAAAAATAAACATAAATAATAAATGGTGCTGACTTTGAATACAGGTTCAACCAGCCCACTCCCGGGGACCCCAGGAAGAAAGAACGACATGAGGCTGGGGCTTGTGTTTGTAAAGCTGTGGGATGGGACAGCAGGTGAGGTGCTCCAGGCAAAAGCACCAAGGTGGTGGCACAGGAGTGAATGACAGGGGGATTGGTTCCAGCAGGCTTGCTAGCAGGTAGAGGCCAGGGATGCTGCTGAACATCCCACACGCAGAGGACAGGCCCCATAACCTATGGGCATTTGGGGCTGCACCGTGCTTTGTGGTGGGTGCTCCACTCCCTAGATGTCAATAGCATCCAGCCCCCATCCCCAGCCTCCAAGCGTGGTAATGAAAATGCCTCCAGACATTGCCAAATGTCCCCAGGGGGGAAAACTGCCCCTGGGTGAGCCCCTGCTCTACACTGTGGCTCAAACGCCACCTATTAAATAGAACCTTCTGGAATCCCCTAGAGCAGCAGCAAAGATGGCTCCTTCTTTCTGGTCCCAAAGTACCTTGTAGCACTTTCTACAGGCAGCCTTCTTGAGTGCCCCTTCTATAGACTGGAACTTCCTGAAGACAGGGACTGGGTTCCACTTGCTCTTTTCTCGGGTCTGACACTATGATTTTCACCAAGCGCCATGACCGGGAAGCTGACTCCCTGGGTGCCTGTGCGTGCACTTCCTGGGTCCTCAGGGCCCAGGTCTATCACGCTGGTCCCAGGTATTTGGGCCCCAGTGCTTCTGCTTTCCTGTTGGATGTCCCCTTCCAAACTATCTGGGTCGGGGCACTGAAATGCCTCGCCAGGCCCAATGAAGGGAGATGCCTGGCTCCAGGACCCTTCTGCCCACCCCATGGCAGACTTCTGGCCTTTCATTCCCCTTGTCCTTTCTTATAAATGCCACAGCTCTGGCCGGGCACGGTGGCTCATGCCTGTAATCCCAGCACTTTGGGAGGCCAAGATGGGTGGATCACCTGAGGTCAGGAGTTCAAGACCAGCCAGCCCTGTCTCTGCTAAAAATACAAAAATTAGCCAGGTGTGGTGGTGCATGCCTGTAATCCCAGCTAGTAGGGAGGCTGAGGCAGGAGAATCACTTGAACCTGGGAGGTGGAGGTTGTAGTGAGCTGAGATGACATCACTGCACTCCAGCCTGGGCAGAAGAGTGAGACTCCGTCTCAAAAAAAAATAAAAAATAAAAAATAAAATAAAATTGATAAATGCCACAGCTCTGTGGAGAAGGTGGGGTGGAAGAAAGTCACAAATAACAGCTCACTGTCCTACGGCACTCACTGGATGCTTCGCACGTACGCTCTGATAACAATCAATTTGCCCATTGCACACACCACCGAGGAGGAATGTGCTAGTATTCCCATACTCATTCTATAGATGGGGAAACTGAGGCACAGAGCAGCAAAGTGCTTGTCCAAAGTCACAGAGGCCATAAGCCATGAGCTGGGATTTGAACCCAGGCCTTTGGCACTGGAGTCCGTGTCCCTGAACCTTGGCGGTCACTTCACTGTCTGTTTACAGCTTTCTTTGTCTCAGCCAGTATTTCTGTGTCCTTTGGATACTTCTCTGGGATGAGACAGCATAGTCTTTCCTTCTCAACCTGCCCACCCTGAGCTACTCCCCTGAGGCTGTATCTCAGGTACTCTGGCTGGAGGTGGTGGGGTGGACAAGAGGCACTGGCCCTACTTGGGCACAGTCCTAGGGACATGGGGAGCTGAGACGGATTGAGGAAGGCTGTGTTTGGGTTCAGCCCTCCCAGACCCGCCACCACAGCCAACCCACCGTCCAGCCCAAAAGAGACCAAGGATTAAGGTAAACAGAAATCTAAAAAGAAAAAAAATTCCTTAATTTTCTCTGGAGCAAAAAGGGAAAGAGACCCCCTCTCTTCTTGCAGTATTTCCTTTAGAAAACTTATCATTGTAAATAATTTCTGTCTTTTGAGATGTCTGCAAACCTTCTTAAAGGCTGAATATGGCCCTTGCCAGTGTTACAATCCAGGTATGGTTTTTTCAGGTCTGGGAGCCATCTCTTGGAAGTACAAACATCAGGAAGACAGCACCTCATCTCCTTCTCAGTGACAGTTCACTTAGGGGCCTGGCTCCAAGTTGTAGCTATCTGATTGTCACGGAAATAGGAGTTTTATTTTTCCTCTGGATAAAGGCAATTAGCTGGCCGGGCGCGGTGGCTCATGCCTGTAATCCCAGCACTTTGGGAGGCCGAGGCGGGTGGATCACCTGAGGTCAGAAGTTTGAGACCAGCCTGGCCATCATGGAGAAACCCCATCTCTACTAAAAATACAAAAATTAGCCTGGCGTTGTGGCACGCACCTGTAGTCCCACCTACTTGGGAGGCTGAGGCAGGATAATTGCTTGAAACCTGGGTTGCAGTAAGCCGATATTGCGCCACTGCACCCCAGCCTGGGCAATAGAGTGAGATTCTGCCTCAAAAAATAAATAAATAAATAAATAAAGGCAATTACTTAACCAGGATGGCCACCCCAATTAGCAAGTGGATTAAGGTGGACTACTGTGACAAACAGTGCCGTCAAGTCCTCTTGCTGGATGACAGGTATGCAGTGGGCTGTGTCTTGTTCCTGCCTGGCTAGGGGAAGGAGTGAGATTTCTTGCATCTTTGCAATCTCCTTAGCGGACTGCCTGGGATACCCACGACGGTCTGGTTTAGTGCATATTCAATAACAGAACAGTTTCATTCTTTTCTGCCTTTGTGGACAGGATTCACTGGGTTGGCAGGAGGTTTTGTCTTTATGTATTACCCCAACAAGGAAGGGCCAGAGCCCCAATTACCGTAGGCGGAGGGGAGGCTCTCCCGATTAGTGGCACGTTCTCGTAGCGTGGGTTCCTACCAAAGAGCATGGCTTGGTTCCTGCGGGGATGAGAGGAGAGCTCAGGAGGGGATGGTGTGGGAGTGGGGGTGTGTGTAGATTTCTACAGGAGGGTCCCATGGGTGAGCACATGGGAGGTGGGGGATGGAACCAAACCACAGATAGAGTGGAGGGGGTGCAGTGGGCAGATATGGAGAAGAGCACCTTGGGAAGCCTGGGGACAAGTGGCTGATGGGCAACGGAGGCTGGGAGCAGCATGGCCTGGAGAAATGCAGCTTTTTGGGCCTGAGACCTGTCCCACCAGCTTGTGGCAGAGGCTGCTGACATCAGTGGTTTCTTCCCCCAGCACATGTGGGTGTGGAGGGGTGACTAGATGCTCCCCGGGGGCCTTCCCTCCAGGCACCCTGTGGCTGTAGTGGGGACCACGGGTGGCCTTGGATGCCTTCCTCCCCACACCCGGCACTGTGGACCCCACCCAACATGCTGTCCGGGCAGTGCTACCCAGCCTGGGTGTGTGTGCAGGCCGTACATGTACTCGGAGACAGGGGCGTTGGAGATGGTCTGGGCCGGGGGCTGCAGGCTGGTCTGACTTCCCAGGCCACTGCTGTAGCTGCAGAAGCTGTGAAGCTGTCCCCTCGGGGGACTGTGAGCCGCCATGCGCCAGGCTTGGGGGTTAAAGGGGTCATCATCATCAATGTCATCGTAGTCTCTGTTTCTAGAACAATGGGTAGAAGATGGCCGGCTGTGAAGGGTGAAGGAGGCTCCGAGGCAGCCAGGTCCTGTCCTACTTCCCTGCCTTTCCTCCCAGGACTCTCTGGCCACGCGTGTCTCCTTGAGACTCCTCTAAAACGCGGTCCCCAGCCTGCCTCCTGCAGATCATTCTGGCCCATTCCCAGCTTCACGACCAGCTCTTCCAGGCTCCCCACCACGCTGACCATGCGCATGTGGGTCCCCACTACCCTGCGTCCTCTTGCCTAATCCGCTCACCAGGTGCCTGTACACCATGTGTCCCTGCCCATCTCCTCAAGGGGACTGCAGGCTCCCTGAAAACAGTGACCCCATGTATCCTTCTTGCTATTCCTGGGGCACCCCTCCCAGCACCAAGAACTCTCCTCATTCCAGATCGCAAAGTCCTGGTGAGAAGAGAGGAGAAGGGAGGCCAGACTGTGGCCTGAGGGCTGTCACCACCCTGGGCCCCAGCTCTTGCTCTGGGCCCCACCGAACTCCTTTGGAGGGTCTGTGTGGACTCTTGGGGAAGCTTCTGTAGAAGTCAGCCAGCCTGTTGGGCTGAATGCCCGGGCCCTCTGCTGCCCTCCTCAGTCCTGGGTTATCAGCTAAATCGTAGAGCAGAGGCCCCTGTCTGCTGCTCTCCCAGAACTCCAGGCTGTGGGAGGCTCCCCTCCTTACTAGGCAGCCCACCTGGTGGTGAAGTGCTTCCAGGCCCTTGGCCCTGCACAGATCATGGTGGAGAAGGCGAGGGCGGCCAGGAAGGAGAAGAGGCCAAGGTACAGCAAGCCCTGGAGGCCGTCGTAGCAGATGCCAGCAAGAGCGTCCAGATAATCCTGGAGGAAGAGGAGGGACATGCAGCTAGTGAAGGAGCGGGGGCAAAGCCTGCGGGCCGAGCTCTCCTCTGGAAGTCCCTCTCCCCCGAGCCTGGACCTGGGGTCTCCTGGCTGCTCCCCATCCCGAGCGCCTTGCAGCACCATTAAAGGTCCACACTCTGGAGCCTAACACAATGGGGCTTCTTGGGTTCACGCTGGAAACATTTGCTGAGCACTTACTGTGAGCTGGGCACTAAGAAGCTGGCTCTGAACAGGGCGGAGGAGGTTGCAGGGTGGGGAACCAGAGACGGGGGCACTGAAGCTGAGGCCAGGATGGCAAGAAGCAGCACACCTTGAGAAGAGGGGGCAAAGGGGACAGGCTTGGCCTGTTCAGGAAAGAGAGAGAACATAGGCCAGCAGGGGCTGGGTCGTGCTGGGCCTTGCAATGCGGGAGAGGAGTACGGACTTTTAAAAGGAGTCAGAAAGACATTGGAGGGTGTGGGAGTGGAAGGGATGTGATCCAACCTAGTCTGCAAAAGGACTGCTCTGGTTGCATGTGTGAAAGCTCATGGGTGGTGAGGGGGCAAGAGAAAGTGGGAAGAGGCCACTGTCTGCTGGAGGGGCAGGACCGGATCGTGGTGGAAGCCATGGAGAGAAAGAGAAATGGATGGATTCAGGGTACAGCTGAGAGGAGAGCTGCCAAGACTTGCTGGGGATTAGATGTAGAAGGGGAAGAAGAGAGGAGACAGGGGTGACTGCCATGTTCTTAGCTCTGAGGTCAGACTACCAGGATCTAAACCCAAGCCCCTGATGTGCCAACTCGGGACTCTTCAGTAAGCCACTTTATAAATACACGCACACACACCCCCCACACACATGCACCCCCCACATGCACACACACATGCACCACACACACCACATACATGTGCACACATGTGCACACAACACACATGCACACACACCACACACATCACAGACATGCACACACCACACACACGCACACACCACACACCCCACACACACATACAGGCACATACACATGCACCACACACACGCATGCACAGCACACATGCGCACAAGCATGCACATACCACACACATACATACACACATCACATATGTGCACCCACACAACCGCAGAAACACACCACACACGCACAGACATATACACCACAAGTGCACACACACGCACACACACACAGACACACGCACGTGCACACACACATAGCTGTATCTATGGATCTATCCATACACACGCACAAGCAAGTCAATTTCCTAGGAAATAACGTGTGGTTCACAGTATAACTGTGAGAACTGAATGACATACTGGATATAAAATGCACAGAACAGGGCCAAGCATGGAGCTGACAGCTGTGATGATGACAAAGACTGTCTGCACTAAATCCATCTGGGATGTGAAAGCTGTCGCCATACACTGGCTCACTGCTTTTGGGTGGGGGGCTCTCACGTGCTCCCCATGTGTTCCCTGCATCATTGTGTCTGTCTGATATTCCAAGTTCCTGGAAAGAAGACTCTGGCAATGGGATTGGGACATCCACTTGCAACCCAGGGAGACAGATGTGTTGAGGAAATGGCTAGGAGTCTGGACAATGGGGAACAGCCTCCCTTGCATTGTTCAGGGTCCCCCAGTGACCCAGAGCCAACCGCATCCAACCCTCCCATCCCGAACCCCTGGTCCCTTGTACTGAGTCTCCCTGTCTCAGCCCCTGGAGAAGCCAGGCACCCCCTCCCTTCCCATTATCTGGCTTCAGTTCCATTCCTGGGCCGGAAGGGGACCCAGGCCATCGCTCCCCTCGGCCTCTACCGGCTTTTCTCTGGAAGGTGTGGCCTGCTGGGTGCCCTCACACTCTCCACGTGACCCCAGGGTCCCCATGCACCTTGTGCAGCCCTCGGCAGTCCACCATGGCGGTCAGCTGGTGAAGGCTGGACTCTGAGGAGTTCAGCAGGAGCTGGATTGCAAGCAGGTCTTCCTGAAGCGGGAAGAGAGCGAGAGAGGCCGAGGGGCTGTGGAGGAGAGCTGGCGGAGAAAACCACCACAGCAGCTGTGCTCAGGGGCCTCTAGAGCCAAGGGAGGGAGCCGAGTCACGGGGGCGGGAGAACAGAGAGCCAGCAGCAAGCTGTGCACAGCCTGGCCCTGGGGCCGGGGCAGGGGAAAGGGCTGTCAGGGTTCATCTGGGGCTCCCCTCTTCCTGCACAGCTGCCTTACCTCTGCAGTGGAGAAGAGGGGCACGGCAAACTGCAGCAGCCCCGCGACCTGGATCTGCATGGTGGTAAGTGCGCGCTGGAAGGTGGTCAGGGTCTGAGCCAGGAAAGACACAGCCCCACAGTGAGGCTCCGTCTCCCAGGAGCCCCACAGTGAGGCTCCGTCTCCCAGGAGCCCCACAGTGGCTGAGGGGCCTATGCTCCTGCCCCTCCCACCCCCCCACCTGGCTGCAGCTGCACAGGCCCCTCCACTTGCAGGAAGTCTCCCCCTACTCCTCTGGCTTCTTGAGAGCTGCACAGTCTTCTCCCTGCTTGCAGCTCAGATGTGGTCTTTGGACCAGCAGCCCTGGCCTCACCTGGGAGCTTGTGAGTAGTACAGAATCTCGGCCCCACCCCAGAGCTCCTGGACAGCATCTGCATGGGAACTAGCTCCCGCATTGAGCTGCATATGTGTTAACCACCAATCTAGAACCCACGACCAAAAGCACGCCCCCCTCACAGAAGCAGCTAAGGAGAGGACCACAGTGAGGCAAGCAAGGCCCTGCCACCTCCGCCATCTTGGTCAGTGGTGAGGCTTAGGGTCAAGGGGGAGCGGCTGTGGGCAGGGTGAGGGCAGGCCTCGGGGGGCCATACCTGCTGGAAGGGGCTGCTTCCACTCTGGCTGCAATACAGGTAGTAGCGAGTCACCTCTGCAGGGCAACGGCATAACGTTAGGCAGCTCACAAATGACCAGATGAGATCTCTATCATCCTTGGTGGCCAAGCCAGACCTCCCTCCCCGTCCCTGAGCTCCCAAGGGAGGCACTTTCTAGGAAATGGCCTAGAGCATGAGCTGGACTTGAAGTTCAGGGTTGAGGAGGGGTTGGATGGCTACAGGGCTGAAAGAGGTAAGTAGGGGCACAGAGTCCGGCCACCTATGCATCCACAGCAGCAGCCTGAGAGTGTGTAGTTACCTGTGCTGATCTGGCCCTCCGTGACGTTCAGGATGAAGGTGTCAGGAGCCACACAGAAGTCACTGGTGGCCTGAGTGAGGGAGAGAGGGACGGGGTGGAGGAAAATCAGGTATCAGGACAGCGGGGCCCTGGGAGGAGCCGGGAGCCCATCACCCCAGCCCCTTGAGCTCCCTCCCAGGTGGCAAAGGACAGTCTGGAGCCAGCCTCCTGGGTTCAAACCTGGCTCTGCCCCTTCCTAGCTCTGTTGCCTTGGACAAGTTACTTATTCTTCCTGTGCCCCGGTTGCCTCATCTGTGACATGGAGATGATAATGCTATTCACCCAATGCAAGTAAAGTGCTCAGAAAAGTGACTGGGGCAGAGCGCATGCTGTTACTCTTATTCCCGAATGCCTCTTCTGGGACAGACCTTTGGGGGCCAGCATCCTGGGCCCCAGGGCAGCTGCAGGCTGTGTGTGTGGGAGTTCGTTACACCATGGCCTCATCTGCTGTTTTACATTTTGTCTTGCTATGATCAAGTGCTACAGGGACGGGTGTTCAATCTATGAAGCCTCCCCCAAACTCTTTCTAAAGAATGAGGTTGGTGCTGAAGCATCTGTGAGCCTTGGGTGCAGGTGCTCACCTGCCAAGACATGGGGTGGGAAGGGCATGGAGCTGAGAGGCGGCTGCCACTTATGAGCTGGAGGACCTGGCCCCACAGCACGGCCTGGCTAAGTGATTGCTAAGGCCCATGCGGCAGGGTGGGAGCAGACGCAGGCCCCAGGAGAGGCGGCAGCAAGGACATGGCCTCCAAGCCAGGCGCACCCCAGATCTGGCCTGGGGTGCTCTAGGGACTGGATAAACTGGGGGGCCTCCGCCTTCCAGAGCAGCCAGGGAGAGCTCAGGTCCTCTGGCCTGTTCCTTAGGGATGTCCCCCTCCTCTGGCACATGCTCCCCGGGCAGGGGACCCCTCTGAGTGCCCTGCTCTGCCGGTGGCCCCGTCCTCCTTCAGGAGCCACTGCCTCAGGGGTCCACAATAGAGCATCACTCACTAACTTGCTAAGTTGATAGACATTTATGGAGTACTTACTCAGTGCCGTGCAGGGTTCTAGCACCTAGAGGTTAGTGCATCACAGCACTTACGGTCTAGAAAATGTGTGTATAGCGAGGGTGCGGAATAACACACCCCTCCAGATACAGAGCTTCCCGAGAGCCCCACATGCACGCACGCGCACACACACACACACGCATGCACGCACGCACGCACGCACTTAAGACCCTGGGAGAAATGCTTTATACACAAACCACCAGCATTCATAATACATCAACCTGGCCTATTATTACCTATCAGAGCTGCGGCGCCAGCAGGCCTGGTGGTGTGCCCCCACCCCCTGGCTGGAGTGACAGAGAGTGCAGCCAGGCCCAAGTGGAGGATGGGGAAGCCTTGGGGAAATAAAGAGCGAGGCCACCATCTCAGTTTGGGTCACCCCCAAGAAGTTTGGGAACCAAGAAAGGAGAGGGACAGGAGGCTCCAGTCCAAGGCTCCACAGTGACATGGTCTTCCTCCTGCCTCTCTCCTCCTTCCCCTCCCAGGCCAGGCCTGCTCTTCACACCCCTTGGCCACCCTGGAGCCTCCATCTCCTGGGATAGGTGCATAGGATGGTTTGGGGTGTGGGACTCAGTGAGGAGTCAACTCTCCTATTAATGAAGACAAGCACCTGTGTGCGTGTGCATGTATGTGTGTGATGCCCTTGTGTGTGTGCATGTCGAAATGGTCCACCCAGATCTCATCTTGAATTCCCACATGTTATGGGAGGGACCTGGTGGGAGGTAACTGAGTCACGGGGGCAAGTCTTTCTCACGCTGTTCTTTTGATAATGAATAAGTCTCACAAGACCTGATTTTTTTTTTTTTTTTTTTTTGAGACAGAGTCTCACTCTGTCGCCCAGGCTGGAGTGCAGTGGCGTGATCTTGGCTCACTGCAACGTCCACCTCCCGGGTTCAAGCAATCCTCCTGCCTCAGTCTCCCGAGTAGCTGAGATTATAGGAATGCACCACTATGCCTGGCTAATTTTGTATTTTTACTAGAGATGGGGTTCTGGCATGTTGGTCAGGCTGGTTTTGAACTCCTGACCTCAGGTGATCCCCCTGCCTCAGCCTCCCAAAGTGCTGGGATTACAGGTGTGAGCCACCACACCTGGCAGATCTGATGGTTTTAAAAACAGGAGTTTCCCTGCATACGTCCTCTCTCTTTGCCTGCTGCCATCCATGTAAGACGTGACTTGCTCCTCCTTGCCTTCCACCATGATTGTGGGGCTTCCTCAGCCATGTGGAACTGTGAGTCCAATCAAACCTCTTTCTTTTGTAAATTGCCCAGTCTTGGGTATGTCTTTATCAGCAGTGTGAAAATGGACTAATACACGTGTGCATTACTCATGCCATGGTGATAGGGATGGCAGGAGAGGGGACAGGAAGGAGGTCACTGAGCATAGTTGGGGCAGGTGGGAGAGGCTGCCCAGTAACCAGCCCAGGTGATGGCTGAGCCTGCAGGCAGCTCCTGAGAATGGAGGTGTGGGTCTGAAGGGACCCCCGTGACCCTAGCATGATGACGATGAATGCACAGGAAGCCAGTGGTGGCCACTGTTTATTGGACATTTTCTGTGTGCCTCCCAGGATGAACCCACTCATCTTTCCCTAGCAACAGCCCTTTGAGGTAAGTCCTGTTATTCTCTGTGTTCACCTAGGAGGAAGCTGAGGCACAGAAAACCTCAGGAACTTTCCTGGGTTTCCACTGCTGGGAAGGGGTGAAGGGAGGATGTGGGCCCAGACAGGGTGGCTGCAGAGGCCACACTCCCACCCTCTGACTCAGGGGCAGGCCTGGCTGCCCCTTAGCTGGAGGAATCCCCTGAAGTTCTCTGTCCCCAGGCTCGGTGGCCAAAGCACTTGTGACAGCCATTGCCTCCTCCCTCACAGCTGAACCCATTTCCTTCCCCTTCCTTCTTCCAGGGCTTCCCAGCCTCTCTGCCTGCTCTAGCCCCTCACCCCAGACACCTCCTGACTCGCAGTGCTGACCACGAGGGGTGGCCCCAGGGCCTGGAAGCTTGGAGCTCCGCTGCTCCCTCCTCTCCCTGCCTCACCCAGAGCAGATCTCCAGGGCAGTGCTCTGTCCTCATGGAGTCCTTTCTAGGGACAGGGAGGGGTAGGGGTCGGGGGTGGGGAAGGGAGGCCTTGTCAATCCTCTGGCCCCATGGCTGTCAAAACAGGCCTCAGAGAGCAGGGTGGCATTGGGAGGCCACACAAAAGCTCTCCACAACAACCCCGGGACAGCCGGCCGCCCTCCCCGCCCTCCTGGCTCCTCCTCACCCGGCTTCCTATTAAAATGCAGCAGCATCTCCAGCCCGTCAAAAGCCCATTCAGCTCCACCGCCTGCTCCCCATCTCGCACTCAGGGGCCTGACTAGAGGAATTAGGGAAATGGCCTTTCTCCCCAGCTCCCCGCATTCCAGGGCGCCCAGCTGGGAGATTAAATGGCCTCTGGTTTTCGTGAACACTGAAGCCTGGTGAGAGGGAGGAGCCCCCACTGGGAGGGGCGGCCACCACAGGGCAGCTCACAGCGGCAAGCTGGAAGCCACCGCTGCCTCCAGAAGGCAGAGGCTGCCCAGAAAGCGGGATGGGGCCCTGGAGGAGTTCGCCGTGTGCTCCCTGCAGCTTCCCTGTGCGTGGCCCTGGCCCCAGAGGAGAGGCTGGAGGCCAGGCAGCTGCCTGCATCACCCTGGCCAGCAGTGGCACTGTTTACAGCCGTCCCAGCTCCTGCATGCTTTCAAACATGACTTGGGCCTTTTCTCGACCATTCCTTGGTCCGTGGTCACTGCACTGGGGTGGCAGGAGGCAAAGACAGAAAATGCCCCCTCTTCTCCCTTCTGCACAAGCCTCTGCCTAAGGTGCTAAGTCAGGCAGTGCCAGAGTCCCTGAGGGCATTGTGTCCACGCCCAGAGCTAGTGGCCAGCCCCCAAGTCACTGGACGAGGTGTGAGTGTGGTTAGGGAGCTTCTTGTACAAGCCACCCCCATCTTATCCTATCAAGCCTCAGGTCACTATGGCAGAACAGATGCATGTCCCAGGGTTAGTCTGTGGACTTTGAATCAGTGAGGGGTTCCTTGAATTCCCCTGGTAAACTGTGTTCTCTTCTATCACGTGCATGTGCATGAACACACACACACAAACACACACACACACACACACACACACACTGCACCTCCACTGTATCAAAGCCTGGGGTTGCAGTGATCTGCCTATGAGTCTTGCTTCCAAAGGCTGGAACTTTGTCAACAGCAAACATCACGTCCTCTTGGCTTCCGCAACCCCAGGCAACTTGTACCATCGAGTGCCACCCAGCAAACAATGTCAGCTGAGTGAATGAACAGCCTCATGCACACAGCTTAGCGCCAGTGTTAGGTCCTTTAAAGATCATGTGGACCCGCATAGGAAGCCCCCAACTTTTTTTTTTTAAGCCATTTTGAGACATCACATCCAGAAACATACAGCATGTGTGCTTCAGACCGCGGGAGTCCTGGGACATTGGGATGGAAGGCAAGTCAGACACCACATTCTACAGTCCCAGGGCCTGGGGAGCTGGCAAAGCAGCAGCTTCTGATGCGGGAGGGATTCCCCAGTCTGAGGCTTGGACCCCTACCCATTCTCAGGAGACCCGGTCAGTTCTTCACACCCAGAGAGAAGCGCCCTGGTCACCCAGGCACGCCTAAGCCTAAGCACGTGTAAGCCTAAGCATGCCTGGGCAGCCGGGGGCTTCTCTCTGGGTATGAAGCATGAGTGTCTTATCCTGGCTCTGACCCTGGGCAGTCCCCTTCCTTTCTCTGGGCCTGTTTCCCCATCTGTAACGAGAGGGGCCGGTTCAGATGACGCAAGTCCCTTTGGTTCTGAGATTCTGGGATTCTAGGTTAGGAGCTGGGACCGGAAGCTGGCCCTGCTTGGAGACACACCAGAGTGTCCTGGCAGACCAACCACCACCCACCACCCACTCCCTCCCCCAACTCACCACTGCCGCAGAGCCATCAGCGGCCAGGGATGCCCAACTGAGGAGCAGGCTCAGTGCCCCACAGCACAGCATCCTAGGAGAGAGGCAGGCGACAACGTTGGCAGGCGGGGTCCCCTTCCTCTCAGCCATCACCCCACCCACCCTGCCCCCAGACCCTTGCAATGGATCCAAAGGCAGCCTCAGTCCCTGCCCTGACGTGGGCCCTGCTCACTACTAGGAAAGGACCATGGAGCCCAGGTCCTTGAGGCTAAAGAGACCCAGGCGTGAGAGCACAGGCTAAGGGGGCAGTGTTGGCTAAGACGGCCAGAGGCTTTCATGCACGGACCCATGTTTCTTAGCTGCTCAACAGAGTCAGGCCCAGAGAAGGAGGAAAGCCTAATGCTTGCTCGTTTGGTGACCAGATGGTGAGTTGGTGGCTGCTGTCTGTCTCCTCTGCTGAGTGCTGAGGACGGGGCAGAAGGTGGCCTCAGGCAGCCTGGCTATTTTCCCCACACTCTGGAGCTGGCCAGGCCCTCGTCTCTCTCTGATGATGGCATCCTGCCCAGCTCTTTGTCCCAGGTCCACGGGTAGGGATACTCACGAGGCCAGGAGACACTTGGAGCGCTTGGCCAGTCCCAGGCAGGCAATGAGGCAGATGACCAGGTCCAGGATAAAGAGCAGGAGGTAGGAGAGCCACCTGGGTAGAGGGGCAGGGATGGTCAGGAGCAGCAGGGTGGAACTTCTGACCTGCTGGCCACGTGAGAGGCCTGCACGGCAGCCCTGGGACACACTGGACCCTCTACTATGGACATGCTGCCCAGAGCCAGCAAGCACCCAGCATGCGTGGGCTGAAGCCTCGGGAGCTGCACCCCCACTGCTGCCTGGACAAAGCTGTCAATTCACACCCCCTGCCTTCACCTCTAGGCTGAGTGTCAAAACCAGCACTGTGCACTAGAACTTTCCCCAGTGGAGGAGCTGTTCTAAATCCCTGCTGTCCACTCTCTTCTTTGCCACTACCCACAGGTGGCTACCGAGAACTTGAAATATGGCTTGTGCAACTGAAGAAATACATTTTAAACTTTACTTAATTTTAATTAATTTCAATAGCCACACATGGCTGGGGCTACCACCCTGGACAGCACAGCTCTGAAGTGTCTTTCTGCGGCCTCCCAGCAGGCATCGCCTAGGACCCTGCTTCCCTTTGCTTCTAGAACTCTCAGACAGCATCAGACCAGCCAAGGCCTGATGTTTATAGCCACAGATCTAACACAGCCCCTAAGGTGCCTGCCTCTTTGACAAACACTCAGCCTGGCTCCCCAAGGCCTCCCATCTTGCCCCCTTGCTGGATGGGATCCATAACTTAAGACTTTTAGGTTCAGGACAGGCGCAGTGGCTCACGCCTGTAATCCCAGCACTTTGGGAGGCCAAGACGGGCAGATCACTTGAGGCCAGGAGTTCGAGACCAGCCTGGCCAACGTGGTGAAACCTCATCTCTACAAAATATACAAAAATTAGCCAGGTGTGGTGGCGGGCACCTGTAGTCCCAGCTACTCGGGAGGCTGATGCAGGAGAATCACTTGAAACCAGGAGGCAGAGGTTGCAGTGAGCTGAGATGGCGCCATTGCACTCCAGCCTGGGCCACAGAGTGAGACTCCATCTCAAAAACAACAACAACAAAAAACTTCAGGTTCATTTTTAAACAACATTTGTGCCAGGCACTGAGCTTGGCACCAGGGATACCCAGGTGAGTGGGCTCGTTTCTGACCATCAGAGGGCTCAGTGTGGAACCCGGGAGTCCAGGTCAGGGTACCTACAGCCCTGCAGACCTCCAGCCTCCTCCAAGCCCTTCATTCCTCTGGCCTTTTTGTCCCCAGGGCTGGACTGATGGGGAAAGGCAGTCACACCCCAGCTGGGAGACCTTGGTAAGCCACTTCACCCCTTGAGACCTTGGTTTCCATATCTGTAGAGGGAGCTGGAACCCCTCATCTCACAGGGCCAGAGGAAGGATTAAGTGCTTGCTAAATATAAAGGTTGATGGGGCAAGGCAGCCAAGGACTTCAAAGGCCCTGCCCTCCTGCTTCTCCAGAGAACAGGCTGAAGAATCAAAGTATCTTAAGCCAACGGACACTGAGAAGACCCCAAACAAAGTGCCCTCGTTCCTTTCCCTTCCACACAGGTCCCCAAGGTGGTCCTCACAAGGCCCAGTGGTCTCCCCTGGCAGCCATGCCCTTTACCCTGTGCTGGGCACCAGCGGGAGAGTGGACAGAGGAGGGGCGGGCACAGAGACAGGGGCTTCCCCGTCCCCAAAGAGGGAAGTATTTGGATCATTATTTCTCTTGCTGCAAGAGCCAAGTAAAGTCGCTGACCTCTCCTCTCCAGCAATGGTTTTCTGCTTCACTGACATCATAAAGGGGAAGACGGAGTTTGGAGCGTGGGCAGGGAGTGCCCTGGAGCTGGCAGAAAGTGGCAAAGAGGCTCCGAGGGAGAGAGGGGAGGGAGCAAGCTGGAGGCCTGGCAGCCAAGGGAGGTTCTTTCTGACTCCCCGAATTGAGGCTTACTGCCAAAAGAAGGGGACTAATCAAAGTCCTTGTCTCTGCACGAGCAGGGGGCAGCACACACTAGGTCTCTGGGGTTCCCCGGAATGGAGCCGGGGGCTTTGGGGAGTGGGCAGAGCCTGCTGCCACCAAGAAGCCAGTTTCCTTAGACTTAGCTCAGAGCTGGAAGGAACCTCGCAAACCATCTAGTGTTTGGATCACATTCTTATTTTTACACGCACACACACACACACACACACACACACACACACACGTATTATAAATACCGGGTCTGTCTATGTTGTCCAGGCTGGTCTCAAACTCCTGGACTCAAGAGATCCTCCTGCCTCAGCCTCCCAAAGTGCTGGGATCATAGGTGTGAGCTGGATCCCATTCTACAGATTAGTACAGATTAGAAAGCCAAGGCCCCTGGTGGGGAGAGCCTGGCCCAGAAATTCCACATTGTCTACATCAAGCTTCCTGCAAGGGACACAGCCAGCTACAGGGCACCTCTCGAAATACCCAGTTCATGTTTCAAACTTAAAGATTTCTTCTCACCACTCGCCTCCGCTCTGCAGAGCAGCAGGAAATCCAGTTAGGGGTGCTTCTAACCCACTCTCTGTGGCTGTGATTCAATGTATTTTCCCTGCCTCCACGCCTCATGTTGTCAGGGGTTCCTGGAAACATCTCCTCTAGGCGGATGTGTTTTCCCAGAGGAGCTGGGCGAGGACTGGGGGATGTATTCCTAACCAAGAACTCGGCTCTGCCTGCCAGAGCCACTCCCACCCCGGCTCCCTCTTCCCTCAACCGTAGCCTCTCAAAGAGAGGAGCCCCTTGGCTTTTTATCTCCTCCAATACTTCGCCCCGCCTTGTATAAAAATGCTAGGAAATATCTGCTTTGCTGCATGGTTATGCTCAAGGACTATCCCAAAAGCAAAGACAGGGGCCCTTCAGGGGAGGGCTTTTTTTGCAGAGCAGCTCAGGTGAGAGGAGAAGCCACAGATGGAAGCAAAGACAGGAGAAGGGGTAGAATATCACTGATGTTCAGGCGCCATAGGTGCCAACCTTGGACTAGACCTCTGCTTTTTTTTTTTTTTTGAGACAGAGTCTCACTCTATTGCCCTGACTGGAGTGCAGTGGCGCAATCTCGGCTCACTGCAGCCTCCGCTTCCTGGGTTCAAGCAATTTTCCTGCCTCAGCCTCCCAAGTAGCTGGGACTACAGGCGTGCGCCACCACGTCCAGCTAATTTTTGTATTTTTAGTAGAGATGAGGTTTCTCCATGTTGCCCAGGCTGGTCTCGAATTACTGGCCTCAGGTGATCCACCCACCTCAGCCTCCCAAAGTGCTGGGATTACAGCATGAGCCAAACCTCTTCTGCCTCAACCCGAATAAGCAGTGGGGAGTTGGGGATGGACTCACAGGGGGTCCTGTCAATCACCCACGCTGAAATAGCTGATGTGCAGTTGACACCATCCTTCCACTATTTTAATACCATCGCCTTAACAATAAGCCGCCTTTGATATGTAAATTCTGACTTAATTCCATCAGTGTCATTAACAAAATGCCCACATGAGGCCCTTAAACATACACAGTCCTCTGCTAGGTGTGCTCAGAGAAGAGTGACGTTAAAATGGGTCCTGCCCCTGCCTGACATAAGATTTCGAAGGCTCAGGCAATGAATGGCCCATGCATCAGGAGAATCATCAGACACCCCTGTTTTGGGGCCACAGGAGGTCACAGACAGTCCTTAGAGCTGGCAGTTTCCTTCTGTCCCTTGGGAGGGAGGCTCTTTTGCCCATGAGCATCCATCTGCTGGGGAGTGGGGCCAAGGTCCCTTCAATCCAGAGCATCCAGGACATGGCGGAGATGCAGGGACTGGACGGGCTGGGGAGGCAAGGTGTGGGGAGGACCCCCAGAGCTGGGGACTTCATGAGCTCCCTCTGCTCAGGGACCTGCCACCTCCTATTTTTGGGAAGGGGAGAGGCCCCTGGACTCAGTCCAGCAGTGACCTCCTGGAGTGGGGCTTTATGACACAAGGGGACACAAATCCAGAAAACAGAAGTAAGTTGTGCAACCCTGAGCTAAAGGCTCTGACGTTCATCAATGGCTTGAAGAGGAGCCAACAAATGGAGGGTGCGGGGAGGGATCCAAAGAACTGACACTCGCTCCTCCTGACTCATGCTTCCCCTCCCCACGTGCCTCCTCCATGCTAGGCCCGGGCCCTGGGAGCACAAGCCCAGGCCATCATTCAGCCGGGAGCCCTCCAAAGGCTGGGGCTGCTGCCTCCTTCCTGTGCTTTCCACGGAGCAAACTTCGCTGGACCCTGCACCTGGAGAGGGGCAGCAGGTCCCTGCTCCGCCGATTGTGTCCAGTGCCTCTGGCTAGGCTGGGATTTGGCAAATGGGGAGGCAGGGGAGATGTAAACAAAGCCCCAGAGGTCAGATGACACGGGCATGAGTTTGTACACCTAAGTGAGGGTGGTGCCCCTCAGTCCCCATCACTCAGGTTCTACATAAGTGAGGCTGGTCTGGGCATGGTGGCTCATGTCTGTAATCCTTGGACTTTGGGAGGCTGAGGTGGGAGGATTGCTTGAGGCCAGGAGTTTGAGACCAGCCTGGGCAACAAAGCAAGACCCCTATTTCTAAAAAAAAATTTTTTTTTTTTTTTTGAGATGGAGTTTCCCTCTTGTTGCTGAGGCTGGAGTGTGATGGCATGATCTTGGCTCACTGCAACCTCCACCTCCTGGGTTCAAGCAATTCTGCTGCCTCAGCCTCCCAAGTAGCTGGGATTACAGGCATGCGCCACCACGCCCAGCTAATTTTGTATTTTTTAGTAGAGACAGGGTTTCTCCATGTTGGTCAGGCTGGTCTCGGACTCCCGACCTCAGGCGATCTGCCTGCCTTGGCCTCCCAAAGTGCTGGGATTATAGGTGTGAGCCACCAGTCCCAGCTGCAAAAAAAAATTTTTTTAAACTAGCCAGGTGTGGTTGTATGCCTGTAGTCCCAGCTACTCAGGAGGCTGAGGCGGGAGGATCACTTGAGCCCAGGAGTTCAAGGCTACAATGAGCCATGATCACACCACTGCACTCCAGCCTGGGTGACAGAGTGAGATACTGTCTTAAAAAGAAAGAAAAAAAAAGTGAGTCTGGGGACACAGCCTCATTCCTCCCTTGTGCCTCCTCCACGCTTAGGCCCAGGCCCTGGGAGCACAATGACTTGTAGGTCAGAGCCTCCCCTGATGGCAACTTCTTAGCACCCTTAGCCGGGTGCTCATCTCCTCAACCCCCCATAACCCTGTGGCTGTGTCTGTGGATACAAGAAATCCTGTCCCATGAACTCTGGCAGGCGAGGAACCTATGAAGCATGTGGCGTTTCCACCCTGCACCAGCCACGAAGAATGCTAGTCCCAGAGAAGCACCCCACCGTGTGCGGGAGGCTGAGGCCAGGTCCAGCCTTTGGCGCGGGGAGTGTGAGCACATCCCTGTCCTCTGTAGCCTCTGCTGCCTATCTATTAAGGAGGCTATCCTGCATGCTCACCACGTGGCCCCTGTAAGCCCCCATGTTCTCCTGATTTTGGCCAATGGCTTATCAAGACTTTCTGGTGGGCTGGGCATGGTGGCTCACGCCTGTAATCCCAGCACTTTGGGAGGCTGAGGCCAGTGGATCACTTGAGGCCAGGAGCTCGAGAGACTAGCCTGGCCAACATGGTGAAACTCTGTCTCTACTAAAAATACAAAAATTAGTCTGGCGTGGCGGCACACACCTGTAGTCCCAGCTACTTGGGAGGGAGGCTGAGGCAAGAGAATCTCTTGAACCCCGGAGGTAGAGATTGTAGTGAGCTGAGATCGTGCCACTTCACTCCAGCCTGGGCAACAGAGCAAGACTCTGTCTTAAAAAAACAAAACAAAAAAAAAATACTTTCCAGTGGCCCTTCTCCACCTGGAGCTCAACATGCAGGTTTGGATAAACAAAGCTGATGTAGCCGCTGCTGCCCCTCCCTCTGCCTCCCACCGGTCCTTCACCTGTAGTACTCCACGTAGCCAGTCTGGTCGGATAGCTTGGTCAGCTCCATGGTGACCTCCCTCCACACGGGCAGTCCTGAGAGCTGAACAACAACGCTGCCCGCCATCTGCTGTATGAACTTCAGGGTCTGCAGGTAATCGCCCCGGGCAGCAAAGATCTCACTGAGCCGGGCCAGGTGCTGCTCTAGGTCCACCTTCATCTTCTGGGTAGTTCCGGAAACCTAGGGAGGAGCAGGGGGCAAAAGCCATGGAGGTAGAGCTTCTGATTCTCATCCCGGAAGAGGTCTTTGCAGGCAGCAGAAGGTGGCCTGGCCAGGTGCGATAATTACGCTCATGCCTGTCATCCCAGCACTTCGGGAGGCTGAGGCAGGCGGATTGCTTGAACCCAGGAGTTTGAGACCAGCCTGGGCAACACAGTGAGACCCTGTCTCTACAAAAAAATATATAAAAATTAGCCAGGTGTGGTGGCATGTACCTATAGTCCTAGCTACTTGGGAGGTTGAGGCAGGACAATCACTTGGACCCGGGAGGCGGAGTCTGCAATGAGTCAAGATCGCACCATTGCACTCCAGCCTGGGCGACAAGAGTGATACTCTGTGTCGAAAAAAAAAAAAAAAAAGCTGGCCTGGCCTGCTTAGGCATGAATGAACACACCATGCTGCCCCAGGCCTGAAGATCTCGAGCCTGTGCCCCTGGAGGAAGGACTGAAGACAGAGGCCGCCACTACCCACCCAGTCCTCATGTCCCTCAAACCAGGGGGCAGTCCCTGACCTGGCCTTAAACAGGATCTGGGCTCCGAGAGAGAGAATGCTGGCGCCAAAGGAGCACACCATTATGTGTTGCAGGCTGAGGCCAGGTCTAGCCTCTGGCGCTGGGAGTGTGGGCACATCCCTGCCCTCTGGAGCCTCTGTTGCTCTCTACTAAGGAGGCTATCCTGTGTGCCCACCACGTGGCCCCTGCTGTAAAGGGCTGGAATAAACGTATGCATTCATTACTATACCTTACTATATACAGAGACACCCAGATGGAGAAACCAACAAAATAATCCATTATTCTTTGAAGATTCTCTTAAAACTTTCAGCACTTTGGCTTACAAATTCTCTTTTAGAGAAACAGACTCTATGTTGCTACCTTGACCTTGTATCCCCACAATAGGATTTCTAATTGTTCTATAAGAGAAAAGCTTTGTTGTGGCACTAGCCGCAGCACACCGGGTCCTGAACGCTGAGTGAAGGCAGGACAATGGGACTTTGCAAAAACAAAAACAGCTGCGATCCTGTCTCTGAGGAGCCTGGACATGAGGCAGGAGGAGGAAACCGGCGCCTTCTCCTTGTATTCACATCCTCCCCTGGATGTGTGTCCTGCTGGGTGGGCAGACAGGCTCCTGTCCCTTGGCTGAGCCCTAAGGGCCTGGGGTTGAGTGGACCCTGAAGGAAACATCTGCCAATGCAAGACAGAAATAGAAAGTTGACGGCTGGCCATCCAGTTAAAAACATTATTTATTTATTTATATTTAAAGGTACTGCTCCTTGCAGAGCAGGGCTACCCTCTAGGCAGTGTGCCAGAGTAGCCCGTTCATCCATTTCTTTCTTTCTCTTTTTTGTTTTTTTTTTTTTTTTGAGATGGAGTCTCGCTCTGTGTCACCCAGGCTGGAGTGCAGTGGTGCAATCTTGGCTCACTGCAACCTCCGCCTCCCGGGTTCAAGTGATTCTCCTGCCTCAGCCTCCCTCCCAAGTAGCTAGGACTACAGGTGTGCACCACCATGCCCGGCTAATTTTTGTATTTTTAGTGGAGACAGTTTCACCATGTTGGCCAGGCTGGTCTCTCGAGCTCCTGGCCTCAAGTGATCCACCCACCTCGGCCTCCCAAAATGCTGGGATTGCAAGCATGAGCCACCACGCCCGGCCATGTGCATCCATTTCTAATGGTCCAAGTGGTCAACCCTAGCTGGCTTTTGAAGAGCACAGGCAGGGCTCGTACTGGTTAGCGGGACTTTCCCACAGCCCAGACCCAGGGTGCCTGCAGAACCCCGGGGTGCAGCTTGGCAGCCCCAAGCACGCCCTTGCTGGCAGCGAGCGGAGAAAGGGCTTTGTTGTTCTGAAACTGTCACACTAAACCAAGAAGCACAACGGGCCGGGAGTGGGGCAGTGTGCACTAATCCACACTCGGCAGCCTTCAGCTCCCACGGGTCTGGGAGATAAAAACGACACAGAAGAAGAGGCAGAAACTTCCCACAGTGAGATCAGCAAGGCCGATTAGATTCCACTCTCGGAGGCCAACGGTGTTCTCTGTGTTATGGGGACTTCACATCAGCTGTGTGGCCTTTTACATCTGCGCTACGCTGGGAGTTCCTAGTTCCAGAAAAGAGAATGGCTCTCTTTGTTTCATTTTGTTTTATTTTTTCAGTGTCAGCGGCTTGTTCCGTTTTCTGGCTTATGCTTGGTTCTTACGAGTTGGTTAAGGACTAAGAGATACCAGAGTACGGAGACACTCTACCATGTGCAGATTCGACAGCCCGAAGCACAGGGGAAAAGACCCCAAACCATGTAAAAGTACATTCAGTAACTAAATGTCATGCTAGTACACTTGGCTGTTCAATTTAATAAGATAAATGTACAACCACTTTGGAAACATTTATACAAATGGCACTATCATCAAAGAATAGTGCCATTCTGAACAAACCCAGTAATAGGTGACATTTCTATATTTCTATATTTCTATAAATCAAACAAACTTCAGAGTAAAGGGCTGTTAAAAAATTATCTGTAAACTTTTTCTGTGAGGCCACTTGTTTTCTCCCTCACAGTTCTACTCTCTCACAGTTAACTTCTCTATTTCTTAAACTCCTCCTTAGGGGGAAAAAAAAAGAAGGCAGTATTTGTATTTGTCATGCCTTCTCTTTCTTCCTGATATTTTCCCACAGGAAACAAAACTAAAAAATTGTTTTTTTGAGATGGGGTCTCGCTATGCTGCCCAGGCTGTTCTTGAACTCCTAGGCTCAAAAGATCCTAAAATTTTAAAAAATAAGAATGACAGCAGTGACCTACTTACAACTCCCCACTTCTCTATACCATCCCCAATTCCTTAAAGTTTCAGGACATAATACTCCCCGCAGGGACAGGTGGGATGACCCAGAGATGGAATCAGGCTCTCTCTCACGGAAAGCTCTGAGAACAGGAGGGACAGGTCAGTTTTCCAGGCTGGGCAGACTTAGGGACGAGCTACAGGTGGCGGAGACCACGGTCTAGAGGAAAGAGCAGTTCTCAAGTGTGGTCCCGGGACTAGGGGCGTAAGATGCACCCCCTGGGAACTCACTCACAAAAGCAAAAGCTCTCAGCCCTGCCCCAGGACCGCTGAAGCGGAACCTCTGGGGGCAGGGCCCTGCAATCAGTGTTTACCAACCCTTCCAGGTGATTCTGATGCAAGCTCAAGTATGAAAACTTCTGGGAGGGAGGACTCTCCAGCGCTCAGTGAGCTTATCTGGAAGTGTGGATGGGCCAGGTCAGTGGAGGTAAGGGGCTAAGACCAGGAGGCCTGGGTTCTGGTTTCTGCTCTGAAACATACACATTTTCAACCTCGGGTCAGCAATGCAACCTCCCTGTGCCTCAGTTTCTACATCTGAGGGCTGCCCATCAGCCTGCTGCAGACTCACATGAGAGAGCCTGGAGGGGCCGTGCTGGCTACCAGGTACAGGAAGTTTTGGTATCCCAAAACGACTCCTCTCTACTCCCCTAGACTGGGGCGTGCAGCCCTCCCAGGACCGCCTGATCCCTGAACCACCGCCCCTACCCACCAAGGCACAGGTGTCCCTCTAGTTGGACGTGCATAGGTATGGGGCTTCCAGTCCAGGAAAGGAGGACTTGGAGCAGGGCCCACCCCACTCTGTGGGTGCATCCCTAGAGGGCTTCTTGTTGGCCACTCAGCTGCATGATCTGGCCTCTGGCAAGGCCCAGATCCAGGTCCTGCCTGACCTGTCGACGAGTCCCCCATCTGCCTCTGCCGCCCACAGCGTCCTGGATCCCAGCCTCCCGCTGACCCCAAGGTGATTACAGTAATTAATAGCACTCATAATCACAGTCATACAGCTGAGTGTACTTTACAGTCTACCAGCACTTTCACTGACATTATCTCACTAGTCATTTATCTGATATCCGGACTTCTCCCCTTGGATCTGGGAAGTCTTCTAAGATCTGCTGCCTCCCCTGGAGCCCTGAGGACTGGTGTGCTGGGTGTCCACTCTGAGGCCCAAACCAGCCTCACAGGTCCTAGTAAGGACCCAGTGCCACCTTTCCACCTGGAGGCAAGGCAGCAGCTACACCTGGGCCCTAGGGGTTCACGCCAGAGGGGGAGGTGACCACCCACAGGCTGGAGGCAGCTATGGGCTGGCTGGACCAGTGTGAAGCCCTGGGACTCCTGACCTCACTTCTCGGTAACAACGGAGAGGACGAGGGGCTGATCTCCAGGGATACAGAACCCTTCTCTTTGGGAACACAGGGGATTTCAGAGAGTGGGGCCTGCTGTGAAATGTCCAAACCTGGCCCTGGAGCAGGGATTTCAGAGAGTGGAACCTGCTGTGAAATGTCCAAACCTGGCCCTGGAGCACCATCAGGCCATGGGGTGGGAGGCCCCAGCCTGGGGGCCCGTTCCAGCTCCCCTCCCTGGCAGCTCTCGTCCTGTGGGATAGGGACTTCTAGGACTTGATGTTTTCCCATAAGGGAGTTCTGGGAGTTTCTCTAAACCCGTGAAGGTCATGGCCCTGGTGCCTTCCTGGGCAGGGCAGGGGATTTTCCTCTCGGGGCTAGGTTCCTCCTCCAGTGATCCTGGTGCTGGTGGGTGAAGAGGAGGCAGGCAGCAGGATGGCAGGGAGGGGCAGAGAGAGCCTAGAGGGCAGTGACCATGGGGCCCTTCCCCACCAGGGCCTGGGGCAAGGGTGGGTGCCCAGAGGGAGAGTTCTCCCCAGGCAGGCCACACCTCTGCCTCCCAGGCCTGAGCTGGCTGTCCCTCAGCTCCTCCAACCCAGCCGCCCCAGCTCACCGCGCAAGGCTGTTCCAGACTAGCATCTCCGCACTGGGACTCAGCGCTCAGCTAAGGGGATGGGTCCCAGTGGACACGGGCGGTGGAATGAACTCTGCAAAGGACCAGGGCCCCTGGTTTTGTAGCCACCCTCAGCCCCTTTCTGGAGGCCAGGGCCTCCTCCCACAATTGACTTGGGCACGGAGGAGCAGCACAGCTGTCTCTTTAAGGTGACACCCCCGACCCCCCTTGTTGACTGAGGGATTAAAGCCTTAGAGGAGCTTAAGGGAGCAGGAGGGGGGCAAATGGGGTCCAATCCTCTTCTGGAGGATGCCGGGGCAATGGCCAAATTCTCCTGTTGGGGCTGGATTTTGTGGCAGAGGCTGCTCGGATAAGCAGCTGAAAAGGTCTGGTGCTTAGAGTGAGAATGACGTGTGTGGGGGCCAAGGTCAAACTGTGGGAAAACTCCAATTCCAGGCAGCTGGGGTAGAAAAGGCAGAGGCAGTTTTCAGGGAACCAAGTCCTCAGATGTCCACCCTTGTCGTGCTCCTCCCTGGGCCAGGTCCCCAGCAGAGGGGTGGCAGCCCCAGCAAAAGGCTCGTGTGTATCAGGCAGCGTCTGCCACAAAATCCAGCCCTGGCTTGGCAGAGTAGCCTTCCCCTTCCCCTAAGAGTCTGACACCTCCTCTGGCCAGGCCAGAGCATCCTTCACTGTGAGCCCCCACCTGGAGTCACTGCCTGGAAGCCAGAGCTCCGAGGAGCTGGGGCAGGTCTCCACTACCTTACATCACGGGGCTCTTCAATTTTTTTTTTTTCTTTAATTTTTGAGATGGAGTCTCATTCTGTTGCCCAGGCTGGAGTGTGGTGGCGTGATCTTGGCTCACTGCAACCTCCGCTTCCCAGGCTCAAGTGATCTCCCTGCCTCAGCCTCCCAAGTAGCTGGAACCACACCACAACTGGCTAATTTTTGTATTTTTGGTACAGACAGGGTTTTGCCATGTTGCCCAGGCTGGTCTCAAACTCCTGAGCTCCACATGCCTTGGCCTCCCTCAAAGTGCTGGGAAGACAGGAGTGAGCCACCACGCCCAGCCCTCAGTTGTCTCTGAAGAGAGTTTTTTCCTCTTGGCATCTCCTGGACCTTGCAATACTCCATATGCAGCACTTAAAATGAAAACAAAAAATGCAGTGGGGCTGATTTTCCATGTTCAAGGTCTCCTTTGACAAATCAGAAAGTGTTCGGCTTGTTGGAAAATGGGGTTTGATCCCACAGCTGCCTCCTTTAGTCCTCACCCCCATCCCTGCCACCCCTGCAGGCTTGGAACGCACAATTGCCCATTTGCCCCAGCAGAGGCAACTGCAGCGCAGGCGGGGGTCCAGCCCTCAGGCGTCACACAGCCCCTCCGTGTGCAGCTGAGCTAGCTGGGATCTGACGGGGGCCCTTGCTCTGACCACGCTGACCTTGTGGGCTGTGCCTGTACCCGGCCAGCTGCCCGGGAGCCTTACCAGAGCATCGATCCCAGAGAAGGTGTGGTTGGCATCGTCCAAGGAGTACATCAGCTGGTACGCCCCATCGTTGGTCTCGCTGTTTCCATAGAAACCAACGCCCACCGCAGCACTATAAGCAAGATCCCAAACAGAGGTTAGAGGTGATACACAGAGGAGAATGTTTGCTTATATTAAAAAATAAGCTTAGGGTTGGGTGCGGTGGCTCATGCCTGTAATCCCAGCTACTCAGGAGGTTGAGTTGAGGCATAGAATTGCTTGAACCCAGGAGGTGGAGGTTGCAGTGAGCCAAGATCATGGCACTGCACTCCCTCCTGGGTGACAGAGCTAGACTCTGTCTCCAAAAAAAAAAAAAAGCTTGTTTTTAGAGCAGTTTTAGGTTCACAGCAAAATTAAGTGGACAGTAGAGAGTTCCCATATATCTGCTGCCCCACACACGCACAGCCTCTTACTCCACCCTAAAACCCTGCACCAGAGTGGTACATCCATTACAACTGATGAGCCCAGATGCACACATCATCACCCAGAGCCCACAGCTTCCACTAGGGTTCATTCTCAGCGTTGCACATTCTATAGGTTTGGACATATGGATAATGACATGTGTTGGCTGGGTGTGGTGGCTCACGCCTGTGATCCCAACACTTTGGGAGGCTGAGGCGGATAGGTCGCTTGAGCCCAGGAGTTGGAGACCAGCCTGCGCAACGTAGTGAGACCCTATCTCTGCAAAAATTAAAAAAAAAAATGAAAAAATGACGTGTCCACCATTACCATATCATACAGGGTAGTTTCACTGCCCTAAAATTCCTCTGTGCTCTGCCCATTAAGTACCCCCTCCCCTCTAACCCCTTTATTTTTATTTTTATTTTTTTGAGACAGAGTTTCGCTCTGTTGCCCAGGCTGGAGTGCAATGGCGCTATCTCAGCTCACTGTAACCCCCGACTCCTGGGTTTAAGTGATTCTCCTGCCTCAGCCTCCTGAGTAGCTGAGATTACAGGTGTCCGCCACCACGCCTGGCTAATTTTTGTATTATTAGTAGAAAGGAGGTTTCACCATGTTGGCCAGGCTGGTCTTGAACTCCTGACCTCAGGTGATCCACCTGCCTTGGCCTCCCAAAGTGCTGGGATTACAGGCGTGAGCCACTGCACCTGGCCTTAACCCTTGACCTTTTCACTTTCTCCTTAGTTTTGCCTTTTTCAGAATGTCATAGAGTTGAAACGATACAGTGTGGAGCATTTTCGGACTGGCTTCTTTCGCTTAGTAATATGGATTTAAGATTCTTCCATGACTTATTCCAGCTTGAAAACTCATTTTTTTCAGTGCTGAATAATATTTCATTGTCTGGATGGACCACAGCTTATCCATTCACCTGTTAAAGACATCTTCGTTGCTTCCAAGTTCTGGCAATTCTGAATACAGCTGCTGTGAACATCTATGGAGAGCAGGTTTTTGACTTGAGCTGAGGAACTCTTTCCTGGGGGCTGCGGTGAGTAGGTGGATGACATCTCACATTCTGGCAGGTGGGGCTGGGGGTGGGGAGGTGAAGGTTCAGGGTCCCTGGCAGGCTGGTTCTACAGGACATTTTATTTGGGCAATAGGAAAATACTGTCCTCTAGTCCTAAGACTCCAAAAGTTGGGAGACTGTAGCCAGCCCAAGGGATGCTGATGCAGTAGATCTGGGGAGGGCCTAGGTTACCTGCACTTTTACCAGCCCCCAGGGGATTCTGACACAGGTGGGCCTGGGAATCGCTGAGGTCTACTGAGATCACATACTCATTGCCAACCTTGGGTCTCTCTTGACACCTCCAGGAATTGTGGACTCTCTCGACATCCTCCACCCTTTCCCCCAACATCCTCAGGCCACCCATGTCACAGTCTGTTCTTCCACTGTGAACTCCCAACTTATAGAATGTTCCTTCTTCTACTGAGCTGACACCTGCCTCCTTAAACCACTCACCCCCTGGATCTTCATTTGTCTTCTAGGGCAGCCTGGAAGAAGTTTCCAGTTCTGCACCGTGCCCCATCAGACAGCTGAACCTGGCTTCCTCATAACCCTCTCACCTCATGCTCTCCAAGTGGGCAGGTGTCCTTCTTGGGACTAAGGTTTCAGACCCTTGCCCATGCCATCACTGTCCTCCAAATGAAAGTCTAATTGGTTAATGTCACTCTTAAATGTGGCCTGAGTGAGTCACTCAAGTCCAGGTTGTTCATCAGCTCTGAGCGCAGCAGGGGTCATGCCTTAGGTCCTCCACTTCCCAGGGCACTGACCTGAACTTGCACCCGCCCTGGTTCCCCCCGCCCCCCACTGATCTTGTGGTCTACAAACAGCCCCTGAATTTCTTCCCAAGAATTGCTGTTAAGCCCAGTCTCTCCTCCTTCCTATAGTGCTGTATTGATTTTTGTGTTGTTTTAACCAAAAGCAGAACTTTAAATCTATCCCTGTGAAATCTCATCTAGTTGGTTTTAGTCCAACATTCCAGCATGAACAAATCATTTCAAATCTTGACTCTTGTCATCCATCATATTCCATCTGACCTGCACCACTTGAGACCATCTGAAGATTGATTAAGCAGCCTCCTGAGTTTTCATCCAAAATGCTCATTTGGGTTGGGGTGGGGGGAGATGAATGTACACGTCCACACTTATATTTGTTCTGTTGTTCTTTAAACAACACAGGATCTAGGACGGAACCCCCTGGAGGACTGTGATAGAAACCTCCTACCAGGCGCAGTGGCTCATGCCTGTAATCCTAGCACTTTGGGAGGCTGAGGCAGGCAGATCATCTGAGGTCAGGAGTTCAAGACCAGCCTGGCCAACATGGCGAAACCCCATCTCTACTAAAAATGCAAAAATTAGCTGGGCGTGGTGGCGCATGCCTGTAATCCCAGCTACTCGGGAGACTGAGGCAGGAGAATCGCTAGAACCCAGGAGGAGGAGGTTGCAGGGAGCAACGATTGCACCATTTCACTCCAGCCTGGGAGACAGAGCAAGACTCTATCTCAAAAAAAAAAAAAAAAAAGAAAGAAAAGAAAAGAAACCTCCTTCCAGGGCGCCCTCAACTCCTAATTTAGTGTTTTTCAGGATGTGGTCCTCAGACCACGGGAACAGAATCACCTGGGGAGCCTGTTAAGTGCAGATAAGCAGCCCGGCCCATTCCATCAGTGTGGTCTGGGAATGTGCCTTTTAAAATGAGGTTCCTGTATCATCCAAGATGGGGGGGCAGGAGACATTAAAAAAAAAACAAAAAAAAAAACAAGGTTCCTGCATGCTTTACGTATCTCTGTCTCTCTCTTACACACACCCCCTCTACAGTTTAGAAATCCACTGCATAAGTCAATATTCATTGGGTTCAACCAGAGTTGTGTAACTAGCTTTGAACCCAGTTAAATGCACCATCATAGAAAATGCAACTGTATCCACACAGAGGGGAGGAGCTTCACCAAGTGCTCAGCTGAGATATTTATACATTAAATGAATTGTCTTCCCGTGACCCTCCAATTTGTAACTTTATTTAAAAGAAAATGAACCAATTGTATTGTGCTCTGAGAAGCCCTTTTGTCGACTCCTTGTGTTCATCCTTTTCTAGCTCTCTGAGTCACGATTTAGTGTTTTCCAGGGATTCAATATGAAGCCAGCATTTTCCCATCCTTCTATTCTCTCGGGCCCTGTGGGTTTATCAGCGATGGGCCAGGAGGGGCTGTGAAATTACACCTCATCTTTGGGGATCAGAAATCGCCTTGGGGCTCAAGCCTGTAATCCCAGCACTTTGGGAGGCTGAGGCAGGCAGATCACCTGAGGTCAAGAGTTTGAGACCAGCCTGGCCAACATGGCAAAACCCCATCTCTACTAAAAATAAAAAAATTAGCGGGGCATGGTGGCGAGTGCCTGTAATCCCAGCTACTCAGGAGGCTGAGGCAGGAGAATCTCTTGAACCTGGGAGGCAGAGGTTGCAGTGAGCTGAGATCGTGCCACTGCACTCCAGCCTGGGCGACAGAGTGAGACTCTGTCAAAAAGGAAAGGAAAGGAAAAAGGAAAGGAAAGGAAGAGAAAAGAAAGGAAAGAAAGAAAAATCGCCTTGGCTGTTTAATGAGGTTCTCCTGGTCTCTCCTGGGGTCATTGATCCCACCTGGGCCATAGGAAAAACTGTTCTGCTTGAGGGAGAATAAGCGAGTTGGTGGTGTTGCTTTCCCCCTGGTGTGTTCACACTACTCTTTCCCAAATATAAAATCACTACCCTTCCCCCATAATAGAGGAGAACAAAGAGGTATATCCTCCTATCCCTTTTGCTTTTTCAGGAACCCCTTGTTGGTCTTTTCTTCTGCGGATTCAATCCCCCGCTTTCAGGTGGAATCACATCAGCAGAGCTCATGTGTCCTCCCACCTCAGTGCCCCAACCTTTACCTCCATCCCTTCTCCTGCTGCTGTCCCGACTCTCCTTCCTGCCCCTCCCATAACTCACACCAATCTGGCTGTTCCTGTGTCCCAGTGGACGCAGCTCCAAGGAAGGCGACCAATGACCTCCCACTTAACCCAAGGGTTTTTCCCAACCCCCCTCCCACGTGCAGTGGTCAGCTTGGTTCCTCTTCCTGGAACACGCTGCCCAGTGACTCCTGTGCCCTTGTGGCATTCCCAGCCCTTCCTTGTGGGACACTCTTTCCTGGTCTCCTTCACAGGCACCTTTTGCGTCCTAGCTGTTAAACACTGTGCTTCCTCCAGGCTTGGCCCCAGCCCCCTTCTCTTCTCACTCTGTGCTTCCTATGGCAGGTCACCCATGTGTGTGACTTCCACACTGGCCACCCTCATGACCCTGGCTTTATAACTCCAACTGCACTTGGATGGTTCAAAGGCACCTTAAACTCAATCTGTGTACAACCAAACTGACTGTCTGCTTCTCTTCCCGGTTCCCTGCCAATGTCCCTTGCCTTGGAGGATAGCACTGCCACCCCATCCGGGGGCTTAAGCCAGAAACCTGCAGATGAACTTCAGCAGCTCCTCCCCAAACCTCCCTAGCTGACTCTTCCTCTGGGCACTCCCCTCTGGTCACTGCCCACGCCCAGGTGTAAGCCCGCTGCTCTCCAGCTGGGCCTCCCTGATGGCCTGATTTTACTCTTGCCCGCATCTATGCGACCCTCTGCCTGGACCTGTCCCTCCTCTGTCCCCTGCCCTGTTCTCCATTACAGGGGTTGATCCCTCACACGGAATGTCTCGGGCTCCCCTGCCAGCTGGCTTCTGCCGATGGAGGTGCTGGTAGGAGACTGGAGGTGGTGGTAAGGCAGCCAGGGCCCTGCTCCCCTCGTTCTGCAGCCGCTGATAGGCAGGCTGTGTGGCTCCAGCTTCCCTGGTGACATAGCCTCTCCCTGTGTCCCTCTGGCCTGCAGGTGGTGGTGGCTCCTGCTATTGCTAATCCCAAGGTCGCTCACTGCCCTCATTAGGCCTCTGAGCTCTTCGGTCACCCGGTGGCCACTTCTTCACATTCAAGTCCCACTGTTCCGAATACTCCCGCCGGCCTGGGTTACATTCAACTTGAGTTATCGGGTCACGCTACCTCTTTGCAGAGCCCCTGCAGTGGCTCCCCTGGCTCTTAGAATAAAGACCCCGACCCCTCACAAAGCCTATGAGTTGCTTCATGGTTTGAATCCCATCTGCCCCCTGTGTCTTCTGACCCCGTGACACTTTCCCCATCCCACTGCCACTCATTGCTCACCCCGACCCTCGACAGTGCCCCCAACCCCCTCATCTGCTCCCTCTGCTCTGGCCACATTGGCTTCCTTTAGCCCCATGCTCGCTCCTGCCTCTGGGCCTTTGCACGTTCCTCTTCCCTCTGCCTGGAGGTGTCTCCGCCTCCCCTGCCCCCACCTTTGCCAAGTTAACGCCTTCTCATCCTATGGGTTTGGGTGCCCATGTCACCCAGGAACGCCTGGACTCAGGTGGGCCATCCACTTCTATGCCTGCTCCTTTCCTTCAGAGCTCTCTCCTTAGTTTTTTGGTTGTTTTTTTTTTTTTTGAGACGGAGTCTGACTCTGTAGCCCAGGCTAGAATGCAATGGCGCAATCTCGGCTCACTGCAACCCCTGCCTCCCGGGTTCAAATGATACTCCTGCCTCAGCCTCCCAAGTAGCTGAGGTTACAGGCACTCGCCACCACGCCCAGCTAATTTTGTATTTTTAGTAGAGACAGGGTTTCACCATGTTGGTCAGGCTGGTGTCGAACTCCTGACCTCAAGTGATCCACCCACCTTGGCCTCCCAAAGTGCTGGGATTATAGGCGTGAGCCACCACGCCCAGCCCTCTCTCTTTAGTTGCAATGATTCAAAGCAAACTGGTACACAGTTCTCAGCCTCTGCTGACAGATCATGAAAGCAGACTTGGTGCCTGTTTTCTTACTGCTGGTGCCCTCTTGCCTGGTACAAGTCACGCCCAGAATGTTGTGGGATGGATTCTGCCACGCACATTCCTTCCACCTTGAGTTTTCCCTACACTGCAGATAATTCTTCCATATTAGAAGAATTGACTCCTCATGCCATTCTTACTGTTCCAAAGTATTCTTCCAAAACAAGTTTGTCGTGTGGGTATCTGTGTGTGTGCATGTATGTGTGTATCTGTGTGTGTGTGTGTGTGTAAGAGACAGGGTCTCACATCACCCAGGCTAGAGTGCGATGGAGCGATCATGGCTCACTGTAGCCTCTGCCTCCTGGGCTCATCATCCTCCTGCCTCAGTCAGGACTACAAGCATGCACTACCATGCCTGGCTCATTTTTGTAGAGGTGAGGTCTCACTACATTGCCCAAGGTGATCTCGAACTCCTGAGCTCAGGCGATCCACCCGCCTTGGCCTCCCAAAGTGCTGGGATTACAGGCATGAGTCACCGCGCCCGGCCATGCAGGAGGATTTTTAACACCAGTCACTTCTCAAAGCTCTTCCACTGTACTGGGAACCGCACTCGACTGTGACCTCCCGGCCTGTCCAGAACTCTGTCCTCTGAGTCTCTTATTTCAGCCCCGGCCATGTATTGCAGCAGCCTTGGTCCCCTTCCTTGTGCTCAGAGCTTTGTCCGCCCCACAAGGCTGCTTTAGCGTCTCGCCTGCGTTTTGGCTTAGGTGAGCCTCCCACTACAGGCAGGACGAGATCAAGAACATCTTCCAACAGAGAAGAAACTCGCAGTGGCAAGGTGAGCTGCCTGGGTATGAGAGCCCAGGCATCCTCACCCCCAGGCTGACCAGGACCTGCCTGGCTGCCAGCCTGCTGCCAGGTAGTGGGAGACTCTACTCTCTGGGGTGACCACACCCCAGAAGCGTCTCTGCGTGGACACTAGAGGCTTTTGGAAAAATCATTATAGATTTAAAAACAAGAAAAACGCAACAACTCCTGAAAACAGCCAGCATGCATGTGGACGCCAGCTGGGGTGGAGTGGCCAGGCAGTGTGGTGGGCTGGGTATGGACTCCTGCACGGGAGTTATAAATCCTCACTTTAAGGCCCAGCATGGTGGCTCATGCCTGTAATCCCAGTGCTTTGGGAAGCTGAGGGGGGAGCAATGTCTGAGGCCAGAAGTTGAAGACCAGCCTGAGCAACATAGTCTCAGCCCAGGTGTAGTGCCTCACGCCTGTAATCCCAGCACTTTTGGAGGCTGAGGCAGGTGGATCACTTGAGCTCAGCAGTTTGAGATCAGCCTGGGGAACTTGATGAAAGCCTGTCTCTTCCCCGCCCACCCCCCGCCCCCCAAAAAAAAAGCCAGGCAGGCATGGTGGTGTGCACCTGTAGTCCCAGCCACTTGGGAGGCTGAGGTGGGAGGATTGCTTAAGCCTAGGAGTTTGTGGCTGCAGTGAGCTGTGATCGCACCACTGCACTCTAGCCTGGGTAACAGAGTGAGACCCCATCTTTAAAATAAATAAATAAAAGAAATTCTCCCTTCCTCATCCAAACCAAAGAACTGGCTAACGGCACTAAAAGCTATTGATCTCACAAGAAGATGGAATTGATTTGTGCTGGAGTCAAACTTTCTTCTGACCTCACAGACCCAGGGCAGCAGCTGGCAGGGGCCAGGGACAGAGACTGGAGATGCCCAGTGTCGGTGCAGAAATGCTGCCTGCACAGCTGCTGGGCACAGGACAAACCCACATTGGGGCAGGGTTTGTGGGGGGCCACTTGGGAGACCTTTCTGGAGACCCCATCACCACCCCAGGCATCTGATTCCTGATGCTTGGTAAAAAAAAAAAAAGGGACAACATTCATCTGGGGACAAGCTTTTCCATCAAGGTAGCTGGAGCTCCGTCAGAACATGGTCAAACAGTCCCTGGCCCCTTGCAGACTGAGTCACACACCCCAAGCCCAGCGTCCAGGGACACTCACCAGCAGATGAGCCCGGCCACCACGGCCGTCCAGGTGATGCAGCAGGAGTGGTGCTGCTTGGTCTGCACCGCATCGTCCCGCCGGCAGTGGCATGCACAGACCAGGTAAGCCACAAGGAAGATGAGGTTCAGGCCCAGGCAGACGGCGGCCACCAGCCCCAGGAACAGCAGCGACTGGAAGAGAGCAGAGGCCTGTTGTCACTCTTCATCCCTGCAGTGCGGGGCTCTGGAAGTGCCCTGCCCTTGGGCCCTGAGTGCCCCACTGCCTGAGCTGCATCTCTCGTCCATCCTTCCAAGCTCCACCTAGGGTTCAAGCTCCTACTCTGTAAACAGAGGGCCCGGCGCTGAGGCACTTGGGTGGGAGTGATGGAGCTTACAGGGCATGAGGCCAAGTGGTGGGCCTCGTGGTCAGTGAGGGAGGGGTGCCAGAGCTGGTCTCCGGTTTCTGGTTCAGACCCTGGATGAAGATACGGACCAGGCCCTGCTGATGAAGAGTCCGAGCCACTCAGGAGACAAGGCAGGAATCCCCAGCTAGCAGGGAGGGCTGTGGGTGGTGAGCTCCATGGCCAAGGGAAAAAGGCAAGGAGAGGGATACCGTCCAAGACCAGAGTACCCAGAGGCCTCGGGCGCTGAGTGCCACTGAGGCAGGGCCTGGAAGGACAGCCCTGTGTATCTGTTGCCTCTTCCATGCAAGGACCCCGCTGTCCCAGGCTGGGCATCATCCTCTACCAGAATGTGAAGAGCTTGTTCTAGGTGTTGGGGTCCATCCTGAGAATCGAGAAGCCAGCTCCATGCTTGGGGGATGTGTGAGGGGGCGGGATAGTCAGGATATGCAACTTCTGGAGTCCCTTCCACTGCACCCCACCAGGGACAGCTGAACCTCCAGTGCCAGAGGCAGCAGCAAAGCCAGAATTCTGAGGGGGCCGGAGGGGCCTGAGGCCTGCCTAGCACCTCGGGGCCCTGCAATGGGAGCCAGTCTGTCAGGAGGCCTGGTGCCACTCTCTGCTCATTCATCTCTTGATTTTGCCAGATAGGCACCAGATGGCACCGGGATTGGCGGCCGCCAGCCAGGGCTGGACCTGGCTCTAAGTCAGGCTCCTGAGCTGACAGCCGCCCCTGCTTCCCATGCACCCCCAATAGGGGTTCCCAGTCCCGAATCCCTAGTGCTCTGGGGGTGCTGCTGGGGAAAGCCTGTTTCAGGGAGTCCTATGCAGGGGGTGGCAATCAGCAGGAAGGGGGTACTCCAGGACCCTGCGGTCTAAGGGGGAGACGAGACTTGTGCAGGGACAGGCACACACAGAGATAGACCTGACAAACCAAGGCCGGGCTCTGCAGTCTGGGGCTTTGGGGCCATTTTCCAGGGGGACAGACACCTGCTGGAGGCCACGCTGCCAGCCCTGTGAGATGCGGGCAGGTCTTCGGGCCTCTGACATGGACTGCTCTGCTGGTCACTCTTGGCTGACAGACTTCTCAGCTGAAGTGATGGGGGCAGCCCAGAAAAAGGCAGGAGAGATGGCTCACTTGGGAGGGGAACAGATGGATTTGACTTTGGAAAATGTGGCTTTCCGCCAGGTGTGGTGGCTCACGCCTATATCCCAGCACTTTGGGAGGCCAAGGTGAGAGGATTGCTCGAGCCCAGGAGTTCAGGACCAGTCTGGGCAATACAGGGAGACCCTGTCTCTACAAAAAAATAAAAAATAAAAAATTAGCTGGGCATGGTGGCATCTGCCTGTAGTCTCAGCTACTCAGGAGGCTGAGGTGGGAAGATCGCTTGAGACTGGGAGGTTGAGGCTGCAGTGAACCATGATTGCACCACTGCACTCCGGCCTGGGTGACAGAGGGAGATCCCTTCTAGAAAAAAAAAAAAAGTGGCAGCTGGGAAGCCAGGGCCCAGTAGATCTGGGCACCTCCCTCTCCCAAAGACCTCACAGTGTGGCAGGGGGCTGGGGCTGGGGCTCTCCCCACCTGGACCACTCATTAGCATGGCCTGTCCCCGGGACTGACCCCAGCAAGCCCAGGGATAGAAAGAGATGGTGGAAAGTCACTGCCCCTCTTCTGGTCCTCAGTCCATGCCCCTTCACCAGAGGGCCCTGCAGCCCAGGCCCAGGCAGAGGAGGCCAAGACAGCTGGGAGTTGAGAGCCTCTTTCCTTGAAGTAAAGTTTACCACCCTGTGACCTGTGGCCCTGACATCTTCTGGGAGCTTGTTAGAGGTGCAGAATCTCTAGCCCCGCCCTGGAGCTAGTGAATCAGACCTGCCTCTAGAGATGATCCCAGGCAACATATATTCCATTAAAGTCTGGGCAGCACTGGATTAGTGTCAACAGAAGTTCTCAAACTTTTTCCAGTAGCTTAACTTTTTCTTCAAACTGACTTGCTTAGCAGAGCCCTGCAACACAGAGCTCCATCTGAGTGAGGAGTGGATAGAAATGCCACGTTCTGTCCTGGCCGCCCCTTGGCAGCCCCTGAGGCCTCTCTGCTAAAGCCCAGGGATCCTCTTAATCATTTGCAAACCAGCGAGGCCTGGTGGCATGCACTTGCAATCCCAGCTACTGGGGATGCTGGGATGGGAGGATCACTTGAGCCCAGGAGTTTGAGTCTAGCCTGGGCTAGGCAACATGCTGAGATCCCATTTCTTAAAAAAAAAGTAACCCAACCTCCCAAAAAAAACCCCAACCAAGCCAAAAAAAAAAAAAAATTGCAAATCATTGTGTAACATGCATGCCATGACCCAGCAATTCTGCTTTACAGAAAGGAGGGCTGTGTCCCTCAGAAGATACACAAATGTTCACAGCAGCTTCACACAGCAGTCACAGCCTACACCCAAAAAGACACAAACGTCCACCAACAAGAGAAAAGATATAGAACATGTGTTATAGTCTTAGAATACTATACAGCCATGAAAAGGAAACCAGCCACACATGACGGTATTTCTGGGATGAATTTCCCAGAAGTCAGGTTGAGAGAGAAAGCCAGACATGGAACAGCAGAGAACTGTATGGATTAATTTATATGAAGTTCAAAGTCAGAGATACTCATGAGTAGCCAGAGAAATGTGAATCACCGAATCATTGCTACCTTTGGGAGGGTGCGGATTTCAAGAGAGCACGAAGGGGGCTTCTAGGGGGTCAGGAATACGATCTGATTGGGATGGTGTTGCTCACACACACACATACCACGCACGCAGGTGCTCGAGGGTATAAATTCATTGAACTGAACTGCACACTTAAGACTGCACTCTTTCCTGTAAGTTATTCTTTTTTTTTTTTTTTTGACACGGAGTCTTGCTCTGTCGCCAGGCTGGAGTGCAGTGGTACAATCTCGGCTCACTGCAACCTCCGCCTCCCAGGTGCAAGGGATTCTCCTGCCTCAGCCTCCTGAGTATCTGGGATTACAGGCATGTGCTACCAGGCCCAGCTAATTTTTTTGTACTTTTTTTTTTTTTGAGACGGAGTCTTGCTCTCTCACCAGGCTGGAGTGCAGCAGCGTGATCTCGGCTGACTATAACCTCCGCCTCCCAGGTTCAAGTGATTCTCCTGCCTCAGCCTCCTGAGTAGCTGGGATTACAGGCATGTGCCACCATGCTCAGCTAATTTTTTTGTACTTTTACTACAAAAGGACCAGGCTGGTCTCGAACTCCTGACCTCAAGTGATCCACCTGCCTCGGCTCCCCAAAGTGCTGGGATTACGGGCGTGAGCCACGACGCCCAACCAAGTTATTCCTAATAACACAAAAATGTAAGGGAGCCCCAGACAAACCTGTGTAGCCTGAAGCCCAGTTACCATCCAGCCTGCCCCCAGCTACCCTTTGAGTTTGCCTCCTGAACAGTCCCACTATCATTTTATCCCCAGTGGGAAAAGCTCCTGAATCTACCAATGTCCCCACCCAGCAAGGAAGGCTCGTCCGAGAAGGATCAGGCTGTGGGTGATGTAGCCTGCTCCCCCGTTTCACTCTCTCAAGCCTCCTCCAGCCTCCCGGTCTCCCCCTTCGGCAGCCGCTGAGCCCCTGTGGCCTGGGGCCTCTCCAAGCTGGGCAGCTGGCCTCAATTAGGTTTCTGATAATGCTGTCCAGCTCCAGTGAAAGCGAGGCCTGAGAAACCCAAACTCGGAGGCATTTTTTTTTTTTTTTGATTTCCTTTTTTTAAAAAAAAATACAGACAGGCTCTCACTATGTTGGCCAGGCTAGTCTTCAACTCCTGGGCTCATGTGATCCTCCTTCCTTGGCCTCCCAAACTGCTGGGATTACAGGCATGAGCCACCCTGCCCAGCCTTTGGAAGCCTTTTGTTAGGGAGTTACTTCCCAAACCCTCCTGGGAACCCTACCTAGGTGCTGGGAAAAAACTGGGGGTGGTGGGTGGGACAGGGTGAGAGGGTGTAGGGGGAAAAGGAATTGGGAAGGGAAGAAGAAAGAAGAGGGAAGGTGGGCAAGGGAGGAGGAAGGAGGAGGGAAAAGAGGAGCAGGTAGGAGCCCACCCCCCTCCCCCTAACCAGCAGCACCCTCTTCCAGGGCCAGCTTGGTGGCACCTGCTGCTCCTAATGGGCAATTATTTTCTTGCTCCTAATTAACACTGCATGTCCCCATGTGCATGGAGGTGGAGGGGAATGGAGGAGGGAGCCAAGAGTTCTGCTTCCAGGCCCCCCTGCTCAGATGGACAGAGCTTTGCCAAGACAATTTCCCACGCCTCCCCACGCCTCCCACTGTGCCCTGCAGCCACCTCCTTGTCCCACAGCAACACCAGGCCCCCAGCTCCCACACTGGTGCTCAGACTCTGCCTCTCCCCTCATCAAAGGGACTTCAATTATTTCTGATTTGTCACTGTGTCATGAAAAACCCAGAGCGGAGAGTGCCAAGCTGGGACCCAAGTTGGGGGCCGCAGTGACCATGGCAGCGGGACCCAAGGGGCTTCTGCACTGGGCAGGGGAGGGGGCAACAGCCCTGGCCCCAGAAGACATAGAGAGAGGTGTGCCGGTCTCAGGGGGAGGCTGGGAGAGGGAAACTAGGAGCACCTAGAGGGAGAGTCTCCCTCCCAGGCCCACTGGGAAAGATTAAGCCCTCTCCCAGGCGCGGCATGACTGTCTGATGACCGTGACTCAATTTCACACTGGATGAATGGGGCTTCCTCATCCCAACCTCAGCTCTTCTCAGATCTCGGCTGGGATGGGCTTGCTGCCTGGTCCTTCTTCCTCAGACCTGCCCCCAGGTCAGAAGCAGGAAGTCCTGTAGTTCCGGTCCAGTCCCCAACTGTGTACCCTCCACTTTGTACTTTGGCGAATCTATGAACGGAACCAACCAATGAGAGAACACGTGGAAATACATGCCTAAATACAAAAAAAATTAACAACATCTCCTCTGCCTCCTAACACATGTCCCCAAAGAGCAGCTGGTCGGCTGATCCTGGGCAAGGGAAGCTGGAACAGGAAGCACACATGTGGCCACCTGCCTGTTGACAGTAGCAATAACTAACATTTGCACAGCCTTTGGGAGCTTACTAAGATGTTTCAAGAACTGAGCTCATCAGTGTCTGGTCTCCCCTGAGGGGCTGGCTGGATGGTGATGGTGGCACTCACGCTCAGGCAGGGACACCGAAGTGCCTCGTTCATTTGCTCAGAGAGACATTGCTGGATTCAGTGCCAGGTGCCCATTCCCTTCTCCCCAACACTGCCCAGTGGACACCGGCTGGCTGCAGTCTTCTCCTTCCTAAGCAGTGATTGTAGCAGTTTCCAGTGTGCCAGGCACTGGCCACAGGCTTCATAATCCATGAACTCATTAGTTCTTTTATCATCTCTTTAGAGTAGGAATCGTCTCCAAATCCAATCCCCCTCATCTGTCAAAGGTGAGAAGACTTGGGCTGCAGGTCTAGGCTGATTTCCTTCCAGACATACAGCCACATCTGGCAGCCCAGAGCTGGGTGCCCGCCAGGGCCAAGGTGCCCTCGTCCACAGCCCTGCCTTGGTGCTCACCTCTCATGCCTCTACTCACTGGAGGGTAGCCTCCCCACAAGGCTGGTGACACAGGCCAAGTGGCCTTTGCGAGGACTTGGGCTCAAGTTCACTGGGGGGAGAGGGGTGAGGATCAACTATCAGGAGGACTGGGGGCTTTCACGGCTCCCAAACACCCCAGAAAGTGAGTGAGAGCCCCTACTTCCTCAGGAAGGTTCTGGAACACTGAACTTGCTCAGGAAATCCCAGCTCACCAGGTGACCTGCTCTTCACCATCTCTGCACTTCCAAGAACCCCCTTGCCTTTGAGATCCCCCGCACCACCCACATCCTAAGGCCAGCACCTGCCTGTTTCCATCCTTGCTTAGTCTCTGATGCACACGCACCCACCCCCCACACCCCACACAGCCAGCACTGTGCATTTGAACATGTGGGGCATGAGCTGAAGCCCTTTCTGCAGGCGTTTTGTTCAGTCTCCCCCAATCAGAGTCTGTGGAAGAGATCTCCTTCCTCTCCATTCCCCAGCAGGGTACTGTCCTGAGACACACTCCTGAACCTCTCAGCCACTCCATTGAATGATCTGTGTCACTGGCTCCTGTTATGTGCTATGGGACTCTCTGTACTAGGCATGATATGTGGAATATCTCATCTAATTCTTGCAGATGAAGGGAACAAGGCTCAGAGAGGTTAAGACACCTACCCGTGGTCACACATGGAAAGAACTGGGAATCCACCCCAGCCAACTGGAGGGCAGAGCCCCACCTCAAACTGCTTGGTGTCTGCCATAGCACTGCGCCCAGAGCCCAGCCGCAGAAAATCCCCAGCAATTTCTCCTGAAGACCTGCTGCCTTGGTTACCACGGTCACCCCACGCCTGGCATAGCACTTGCTCCAGTCAAGCTTGCTGAAGACTGGGATGACCGACGGTCCACCTGACTCTGTTAGTGACTGGTGCTCAGGAGGAAAGAAGACATCCAGGAGAGACCTGTGGTCACAACAGGGGAACTTACCAAAAACAGGAGCCACCTTAAATAACACCCAGAGCCAGACTTCCGGTCCTGGCCCACCACGCTCATCTCCTACTCAGCGATCTGAGTGGTGGTGAGGGGGTGAGCGGGACCAGGAGCCAGTGGGCAGGGCTGGTGTCAGCTGCCCAGGAGCAGTGGCCGATGGGAAGGGACACCCTCTGGAACCATTTGATGCCCAGCACAAAGTGAGCCGGGGCCAGAATCCTGGGAGGAGGGGCAGAGGCTGGAGGTAGGTTCATCTGGCTCAACTGCCACCTGCCCATGGGACTGAGGGGGCTGTGGGCAGGCCCAGGATCCACCAGCCACAGCTGTTGGGCTGATAGGAACTGTCTCTGGGGCCATCAGGGTGAGGGAGTCCCCTTACCATCCCTACCCCCACCTAGGGGTCTTCTTGACCCAATGAAAAGTTTAGATTTCCTCCAGTGGAGAGGAGAAAACTATGGCTGGAGACCCCGGGTGTGGGATGTGGGGCACAGGGTTTGGGATGGGGACACACACACACACACACACACACACACACACACGGCTGTTTCTGAAATCATATCCGCCTCTTTTCATGCATTCTCTGGGAGAGGAAGATTCCCTGGAGCTATCCCCAGGCAGCCACATTCTCAGGGAACACAGACTCCCACAGGCTGGGCTCTGGGGGAGGGGGGTGGGTCCACCGACTGCCGTCTTGCTCCTGAGTGCCCACTGAACCCCAGGAAGGGGTCCTGATGCTCCCCTCCCTCTGGTAGGGCAGGCACCATCTGCCTGGGCCTGATGGCAGCCGGGTCGTCAGGGGTTATTATTAGACTCCCTGTCACTGGCGCTTGGGCACCTCACACTGGATCAGGATTCCCTCCAAGAGGCCCTGCTTTGCCCTGATCTGTCCCATATCTGGAGAACTTGACACAGGGAGAGGCCGCCGGGGGCCAAAGTCCTGAGATGGGCGCCTGGCTCTGAATAAATGGACCTCATCCTGGTCCACTGGCCCCAGAATCTTTGACCCAACACAAGGAACTGATACAGGTGGGCTCCCGGGGCCAGAGCAGGCGTGACCAGACCTGAGACGGGCTGGGAGATTCTGCAGCTTTGTTTGTCTGGGCAGGGAGGTCTGGGGAGCCCTGGCCCTGTTTGTGGGGTGCAGAATCCTGCCAAGGGTCAGCAGAGTAGGGAAAGGGCGGGGAAGCCGGGAGTGACTGCCCTAGGCCAGAAATTCAGGGCTTAAAGGTGTGAGGTAGAGAGAGGGGCGTGGGGGAACAGGAATGGGCCAGTCTAGGACCAGGGGACACAGAGAAGCTGACTGTCAATGCAAGGGGGTCCTCAGGACAACAGTGTGAGATGGGCTGACGGAGGCCACCTTCCTTCCCTGGAACAAGCGCAAGCAGCTGTGGGTTCTCTGCGCTAGAGGGGAAGTGACCCACACCGCTTCCCCAAGCCCTGCAGCCTTCCAGCTGAGACTCCCACCCTGCAGGCCGGGGCTGGGGAGGAGGGGTGCTGCGAAGACCGACTCGGGAGACTCTACTCAGTTTCTGCCAAACTTTCCTAGGCCACTCAGCCCCGGAAAGAGAGCGCCCCATCTTGGAATCTCAGACGGTCGAAAACTTCGGGGCACCCCTCAGCATCCCCGCACCTCGCGCGCCAGGATTACCCCGAGACGAATGCCCCTGTCCTTACCCCTCCCCCGCGCCGCCCTGCCCGCTCAGCGTTCAGCCCCTCACCCCGCAGGCGGTCTTGCGCCCTTCCTCCCCTTCCCCACGCTCGCTTCACTCTGATCTCTTCAGTTTTCCCGGCCCCCAGGTTCCCAGACAGGAGGGGACGCGGGCCACGGGCCTGGGAGGGTGGGGGAAAAGGGGAGAGGGGAGACGGGAAAGGGCTGCGCGGGGAGAGAAGGGGTCTGAGAGGCACGTGGGAAAGTGCAGGCTCTCGAGGGGAGAGGGGGTAGTGCGGGGACTTGGGGCGCGCGTGGCTGCGGTCTGGGGCGGCGTAAACTTACCTCCTGGTAACTCTCGTCGCCGGGGCTGAAGGTGCTGTTCACGGGCTGCAGGCGCAGGCCGACGTGCGGGACGCTGTGCAGCCACACGACCCACCAGGGAGCGATGTAGTCCACGCGCGCCGCCTGCATGGCTCGGCCCGAGTGCTACCCACAAGCTGAACGACAGCTGCGCTCACCTCCCGGCCGGGGCCCCGTGCCCGCCCCGCCCCCGGCCCCGCCTCTCCCTGGGCCCGCGCCCGCCCCGCCCCGCCGCGATCCCAGTCCCAGTTCTGGGCGCGCAGCCCGCTGCAGTCAACAGCCCCTTTCTGGGCGGGGATCTGTCCTGGCCGGATGGGAGGAGGGAAGTGAAAAAAGCTCCCAGAAGTCTCTAAATCAGTTTCAGTCTCGAGGTCCCCGGGCTGCTTCTTATTTATGATCAGATCAAGGGTATAAGGTGTCAGTGGGGGCAGCCAGCAGTCATAGGCCAGAGAGGGGCGACTGCCCGTCCCAAGGGCTTGTCACAGGGTAAGTAACCGACAGACTGGGAAAGGAAGGAGGCAATCTTCAGCCACTCGGTCACTCATTCTAAATTCACTCTCATTTTTTGGGCATCTATTGTGCAAGCCCTGTGGACTTAAAAAGAGAAATAAGACGCCGTCCCTGCCCTCGGGAGCTCCCGGCGCATCTGCCCCAACAACTCGCTGAAGCCGCCTGCAGGACGCCTGAGTGAGGACAAGGTGTCTCACTCAGAAAATTTGCTTGATTCTTCCTGGCAAGTGGGACAGGGTGAGCTTCCCGGAGGAGGGGACCTTCGAGCTGTGTAGCGGGGAAGGTAGGAGAGCGATGAGAGCGCCCGGAAGGGACAAGCATTCGGGGAGACTGAAGCGCATTCAACAACATATTTATTGAGCACCTACTACGTCCAGGCACTGTTACATCGGTGATGTAACAAAAGCCGACAAAAACCCTCACCCCGAGCGCAGGCACCGCAGAGGGCGATGACGACCCGAGAAGATGCCGAACGCAGGCCAGGAGGGGGCTCTGGGGAAAAGCAAAGGCAGGGGAGGTTGCCCATCGGGGAGCCTCGCGTCCCTGGGCCCTCCGTACTCTGCACATATGCAGAGGCCCCCACCCGTCCTGTAACCGCAAACTGCTTGGCGTGACTTGGCCAGCGGAGGGAGGAGCCCAGGCTGCAGGACAAGCAGGAGTCAGGGGTAGGTGCGGTGGAGTGATGGGGTCGCGGCAGATTGGGCGTGGAAACCGCGCTGGGCAGCCAGCCTGAGGGGTGCGTATCCACCGCGGCAGGGACGCGGGTGAGAAAGGAGCCCCGGGAGGACGGGGCGGGGCTCCTAGGGTTCTGGCTGAAGGGACCGGGTGGATGCGGACCGACTGAAAACGCTCGCAAACACATATGGCTGCTGGGGAGTGGGGCCCCAGTCACCCGGTGCTCAAAGGCCCTGTGTCCATTAGAGGAAGTCCTGGCCTCGGGGCCTCTCCTCGTGGCCGTGATCCCACGGTTCTGGGGCCCTGCAGGAGCCCAAAGCTGAGGGGCCCGGAAGGCTGGAAACAGCCATTCTTCTCTCATTGGGGTGTCTTTCAACAAATTTTCTTGAGCACGTTCTCTGTTCTAGAGGATACAGTAATGGATAAAACACACGTTCCCGCCTGCATGGCGTCTACAGCCTAGTAGGCGAGGTGAGGTGGACTTGTATCCTGCAAACAGCGATTGCAGGCCTTGTGAAATGTCAGAGTCCCTGCTGTAGGGAGAGGGGATGGAAGGTGGGCGTCAGGGTTGTTTCCCAAAGGACAGTGACATGAGCTGAAGGATGATCGGGAGTCAAAGAGGGGGGTGCTGGGGGAGGCCTCTGTGCAGAAGGAACAGGACCCTGTGAGATCAGGGACTAAGGCCAGTGGAAGGGGAAGCAAGCAAGTTCCAGAACAGGACAGGGAGCCGGAGAACTGCAGGAGCCAGGCGATCAGCTTGGAGACTGCGGCAGGGGAGGGAACTTCTTTGGGTGAAAACCTCCTTTTAAAAGGTCTTGGTCTCTGACTCAGTCCCTGCAGTTGCTGGGGAAAGTGGACTCTTCTGGTAGCTGCTTTTACAGCCCCTGCCCTCAGAGGCCCCCCAGGTGGGAAGGGCCTGCCTCCTAGGCAGTGGGTGGTCACCGAGGACTGACTTTGAACCCGGGGCAAGGGAGCCCCAGAAGGCTGGAGGCCTGCACACGGCACTGGAAGAAACAAACTGCAAAGGCTGTCCCTCAGGGCTATCTCCACAGCCACCGGAATGCGGCCTGGAATATCCAAACCTGTCAGCCCACCTGCACCCAGCCAGACAGCGACCATTCTAGCTGCTTCCCCGGAGGCCTGCTGACCCAGAGAGGTGTCAAAAAGCTGAAGCACAACAGACAGACCTCCCACAGACTCAGCAGGGAGTTGGAGGACAGTCGGCACACCAGCAGCTGTAGCCCATCACCTCCCCCCTCCCCATTCACCTGGTATGCAGCACTTAAGGGCTTGCTGAAGCCCCAGCAAAGCAGAGGCCCACCTGAGAGCTTGGAAACACACCTATGCCCCAGACCACCGCAATCGCAATCTCCAGTCAGCCCTGGCCACCACAGTGAACTGCCTAAGTGCCCCAGATGACTGAGTCACAAGCCAGGGCTGGGAAGCACTGCATGAAAGGCGGCCTTCTCTAGACAAGGCTGGACACACCCCTGCAAGGCCTGTCTCCTAGGAGCTGGGATGAAACTCTGGACGATGTGCTGGGAACAAAGAAAACCCACATGGTAAAGGCTCGCTTTTCCTTGGGAATCTGCAATGCTTACAGAACGGGAAAGGCTGAAAGCCGCCCACAGTGCCGCACCTGGGCCTGAGGGCTGGTGTACCCACCCTCTCCCGGAGGAAACAAGACCCGTGACCAGACTCAAAACCACCTCACACCCTCACAATCCTTACAGAATATTCAAAGACTGGCACTTCAACCTTACAACCTGAGCACGTCTAAATGCCTAACACAATACCAAGCACACTGTATGCCACGCTTTTAAAAGGTAGAGATCTTAAAAAAACAAAAAACACTACCTCGGGTATGAAGACAGATTTTATGATGCCAGTCATTTCCAGAGGGGCTGCCCGCTGTGGCACAGCACCACCTGGTGGCCACCCCAACCCATGCACCTCCCCCCATCCCAGTACCCTGACAGCAAGCCAATGAAAGAGGTGTTAATATGGCTATTTTCCAACTGAGGAAACAGGCAAAAGTGTAGTCATTTCTCCAAGTCAGTCAAGTTAGCGAGTGGTAGATGTGCTATACCTTGTTGCACCCATTTTGGGACCTGTTTGAATGGCATGCCCCACCATCGCTCCCACATCTGCCAGTTATGTTTAACCCCACGTGCTATTTCCATCATGGCCTCCCCACATCTTATTTTCAAACAGGCTGAAAACAGATGGCCTCATTTGCCGACTGAGATCATGCTCAAGATTAGGGATGCACCGGGCACGGAGGCTCATGCCTGTAATCCCAGCACTATGGGAGGCTGAGGCAGGCAGTGAAACCCTGTCTCTACTACAAATACAAAAATTGGCCAGGCGTGGTGATGTGTGCCTGTAATCCCAGCCACTCGGGAGGCTGAGGCAGGACAGTCGCTTGAACCCAGGAGGCGGAGGTGGTAGTGAGCTGATATCGCACCACTGTGCTCCAGGATGAGCCACAGAGCAAGACTCCGTCTCAAAGAAAGAAAAAAAAAAAAAAAAAAAGACACAGGAAGGCAGCAACAGAACCCGCGTCCTGTTCCCATCAGAAGCCACTACGAGGTAGCATTTTTCCCTTTCCCATCCGCAAAGACGAAAGACACTTAGGATTTTTAGTATTTTAATATAATACAGTTCCAATCAGTGTGTCTGGTTCATTTCAGTTCCTTCACTGCCAAACCTAGAGGGAAAGAGACAAAAGTAAGCCATCCAGAAGACACATCTGAGTTGCTGCTGCTTGTCTAAATTTTGTACTTAAGCTAAAGAGAGCACACAAGGTTCAGAAATTAGATCCACCAGCGAAGTTTCGGTTAAAATATTTAGTGTTTGATAAAAAGACTTGGTCTATTATATTCGATAAAAAGACTTGGTCTATTATATTTCATCTGTTCCCCTGTAAAAAATGGGGACTATCAGTACTAGCACCAACCTCGAAGGGTCGTGAACAGGATTAAATGAGCTCTAACCGCTCTTCTGGCTAAGGAAATGATTTCTGGTACTGTATATAATCTGAGAATCACAACTATTCCTCACACTCCCAACAGCAAGAGCAGATTCTTAGACCATAAAATGGGCTCTGAAATCTGAGAGGGATTCAAAACAAGATACAACATGGCCACACACAGCAACCTTCCAAACCCCACCCGCCCCTGAAGTGACTTCAGGCTCACTCACCGGGGGGCAGGGACTGCTTCAGTTTCTCTGCCTTCTCTTTGTCAGTGATGACCAGGGTGTAAAGGTATCTGCTGCATCGAACTTTAAACTTCACGTTGTCCTTATTTTTCTTGATCTTGACAGCTACCGGAGACCAGAATCAGGAATTAAATTGTATCACAGAAAACAGATGTGACACAGTCCATGTGCAAATACACTCAAGCAGTAAGCAGCATGCAGGAGACAGCACCCACCTCCAGTACCATCCCTCTGTGCAAACAGAAAACACTATTACCCGTTCCTCCAACTTGGGACTTTTATTGGGTACACTGAACACAACATTACAGAATATCTTCTATCAACCTTATTATCTTTCTTATTTCTACTTTGTTTTTTGAGACAGAGTCTCGGTCTGTTGCCAGGCTGGAGTGTAGTGGCGCAATCTTGGCTCCCTGCAACCTCCGCCTCCCAGGTTCAAGCGATTCTCCTGCCTAAGCCTCCTGGAGTAGCTGGGATTACAGGCGTGCACCACCACACCCAGCTAATTTTTTGTATTTTTAGTAGAGATGGGGTTTCACCATGTTTGCCAGGATGGTCTTAATCTCTGGACCTCGTGATCCGCTGGCCTCGGCCTCCCAAAGTGCTGGGATTCCAGGCATGAGCCACCGCACCTGGCCTATTATCTTTTTAAAAAGGGATAGAAGCAGTGATAAAGTAAGGAGACGGGCTGTCTGCTGGGACTGAGCGCTTTTCAGCACTCCACTCCCGGAAATCAGGCCTCCGCATGTGAGATGACATTCTGGGCCAGTAAGAGCTCGTTCTTCAGGATGCCTCCAGCCACTGCGCACAACACGCACCCAGGGTTTTCCTTGAATTTATGTGGAATCCATTTTCTGGGTTCTTTCCTGCTGCCAAGTTCTATTTCAGGATCATGGCTCAGACAAGAAACAGCTACTGTGTACCTCAAATTCAGCTGTGTGGGGTTTGAATCGTGCACCACTCTGGTTATGTACTAGCAGTATCAATGCATGGCCATCTGGCTGCTGTGAGACAACCCCTTCCCAGGAGTAGTTACCACTCCATGTATTCACTGAATGCCTTGTTCCAACTCTTTAAAAACTGCTCAGAGATACTCCCAGGATTTGTTATAATAGCAGTGATGTGCCAATCAAGAAGCAGGTGGCTGAGGGCTGAACATGGGCTCTAACACTTCAACGAAAGCACCTGGCCAGACACAGCACACAGCACTTAACCTGGCAGACGCACACAAGATGATCTTGTCCTAGCAATTCGGCAACTCCATTTCTGCCAGTAACTACTATAGGAATGGGGCACATCAGAGGAAGCAGCACTGTGACTCAGAGCCTGCCCAAGGCACGGGCTGCCTGGACTCTCGTTCTTAATACATCCAGACACCTGGATATTCATCCAAACTAACCTATTTCAGTATAACACTGCCCCTAGCAGCTGAACTAAGCTGAACACCACTTGTAAAGACATATGGAGCTCTTCAAAATGTTTATTCAGTTGGGTGCGGTGGTTCACGCCTGTAATCCCAGCACTTTGGGAGGCTGAGGTGGGTGGATCACCTGAGGTCGGGAGTTCGAGACCAGCCTGACCAACATGGAGAAACCCCGTCTCTCCTAAAAATACAAAAATTAGCCAGGCGCCTGTAATCCCAGCTACTCAGGAGGCTGAGGCAGGAGAACATGGGAGGCAGAGTTTGCAGTGAGCCAAAATTCCGCCACTGTACTCCAGCCTGGGCAACAAGAGCGAAACTCCATCTCAAAAAAAAAATAAATAAAAAAAAAGTTTACTCAACATTGCCATATGTGCAGCAATTCCATTTCTAGGTATATACCCCAAAGAACAGATAGCAACCACAGAAGAATATTTGCACACACATGTTCAGAGCATTATTCACACTAGCGAAAATGTAGAAGCAACCCAATGTCCATCAATAGACGAATAAACAAACCGTGGCCTACCCACACAATGGAAAACTCGGCCTTCAAAAGAAAACTCCGGTCTGGGTGTGGTGGCTCCTGCCTGTAATCTCAGCACTTTGGGAGGCTAAGGTGGGAGGACTGCTTGAGGCCAGGAGTTGGAGACTAGCCTGGCCAACACAGATCCATCTCTAAAACACCAAAAATTAGCCAGGTGTGGTGGCGCATGCCTGTAGTCCCAGAGACTCTGGAGGCTAAGGTGGGAGGATCACTTGCGCCCAGGAGATCAAGGATGTAGTGAGCCATGATCACACCACTGCACTCCAGCCTGGGCAGGAGTGAGACCCTGTTTAAAAAAAGCAAATTGCAGGCCGGGCACAGTGGCTCACGCCTGTAATCCCAGCACTTTGGGAGGCCAAGGCAGGTGGATCATGAGGTCAGGAGATAGAGACCATCCTGGCTCACTCGGTGAAACCCCGTCTCTACTTTAAAAAAAAAAAAAAAATTAGCCCGGCATGGTGACAGGCGCCTGTAGTCCCAGCTACTTGGGAGGCTGAGGCAGGAGAATGGCATGAACCTGGGAGGCGGAGCTTGCAGTGAGCTGAGATTCCGCCACTGCTCTCCAGTCTGGGCAACAGAGTGACATTCCATGTCAAAAAAAAAAAAAAAAAAAAAAGAAAGAAAAAACAGAAGGCAATTCTGACACATGCTTGAGGACATGTGAAGAGAAGCCAGTCACAAAAGGTCAAATATGCAATAGCAGACCCACTTGTATGGGGTATCCAGAGCAGTCACATTCAGGGACAAATTGGAAGGTGGTTGCCAGGGGCTGGGGAAGAATGGGGAGCTGGTGTTTAACAGAGGGAGTTTCAGTTTGGGAAGATAAAGTTCTGGAGATGGGCGGTGATGGTGGCAGCTGCTCAACAATGTGTATTTACTGAATGCCACTGAACTGTACAATTATGCTTTGTTGCCCAGCCCGGAGTGCAGTAGCATAATCGTGGCTCACTATAGCCTCAATTTCCTGGATTCAAGCAATCCTACCTCAGCCTCCTGAGTAGCTAGGACCACCAGCACACGCCCGGCTAACTTTTTTCTTTTATAGAGACAGGGTCTCACTATGATGCCCAGGCTAGTCTCATCCATCTGCCTCAGTCTCCCAAAGTGCTGGGATTACAGATGGGAACCACCATACCCAGTGTAAATGGTAACTTTTACGCTATGCCTATTACACGTTAAAAATTAATACAACCATTTTAAAAAGTTTTTTCAACAAACAGCTACTGACACTTTACTGTCCCCAGGGGACTGTGACCACTACCTTTAAAGCCACATCATCTAAAATGAAGGTTCCCAATTTTTTTTGTGAGACAGTCTCGCTCTGTCACCCAGGCTGGAGTGCAGTGAGACAATCTCAGCTCACTGCAACCTCCGTCTCCTTGGTTCAACTGATTCTCCTGCCTCAGCCTCCTGAGTAGCTGGGACTGCAGGCGTGTGCCACCATGCCTGGCTAATTTTTTTATTTTTAGTAGAAATGGGGTTTTGCCATGTCGCCCAGGTTGGTCTTGAACTCCTGGTTCAAGCGATCTGTCCGCTTTGGCCTCCCAAAGTGCTGGAATTATAGGCATGAGCCACCACGCCCGGACCACCACCCTTTTAAAACACAATCAAACGGTGGTGTCGTGTTTAACTTGCTGAGAAGGGTAAGTTACCTGCAGGTAGAGTTGGGCTTCAAACTAGGCAGTGACCCCATATGGTCTGAAATAAAACTGACCTGATAACCTCATCTCTTTACACAAAACACTAGCCAACAGTCATCATTCCCACCAGATGCTATTTGTCCCCACAGGTGGTCACTACCTCAAAGGTGACAGCCTGTTTTGGGTAATGGGGACACAAATATGACCCCCATCTCTGCCTACCCCCAACTCATTGAAAGACTCTCCCTGTACACCAACCACCGTCTGGCACCACGGCTGGCAGAGCATTAGAGACGGCTGGTGTCTTAGCCCACCTTAACAGGCCTGTCCCATGCAACCTCACTTCCACATGTGACCTGATTCTCAGTCAGCTGAAAAAAGATGACTGGGTTAAAGTAACAACATAACTCAAGACCTAGCTTGTATCAAACACAAGCCCCCCCAATCTCCTTCAAGTATCACAAAGGAGTAACACAACTACCTCTCACACTTGGTGTAAAAATTTAAGTAAGTGGGCAGCAGAGATTGGCACCTATCCATCGAAAACCTGCTGTTTAAGGTTTTTCATTAATCACCTTCTTTCCCCTGTATGTACAAGCTGGGAAACAGACCTATGACAGTCCAACTTAAACTCTGTGACTTTACAATGGTGGTAATGCGATATACATTCAGTAGAAGCCCTGCTTCAAATTTTGATCTTGGCGGGGCACAGTGGCTCACACCTGTAATCCCAGCACTCTGGGAGGCGGAGGCAGGTGGATCATCTGAGGTTAGGAGTTCGAGACCAGCCTGGCCAACATGGTGAAACTCTGTCTCTACCAAAAACACAAAAATCAGCTAGGCATGGTGGCGCGCCCAGCTACTTTGAGGCAGGGGGATCGCTTGAACCTGGGAGGCGGTAATTGCAGTGAGCCAAGATCGCACCACTGCAATCCAGCCTGGGCGACAGAGCCAGACTGTCTCAAAGAAAAAAAAAAATTTTTTTAAATATTTTTCTGGATTAGATAGGTATGATACCTTCTGACACTGGCCAGCGACCACAGGATCACGAGGTAAACGACCATACTACACAGTGTGCCGTGCTCGATACATTACATGCAAATATCCAGCACTTTATTACAAAATGGATTTTGTGTTAAGATTTTGCACAACTGCAGAGAACCTAAACAGTGTTTATGGGACGTGTGTTTTGAGGCTTTCGCGGAGTGGAGATTCCGTTCCGACAATTTACTATATTATACGAAAGAAAACTGAACTCAGGGCGGCCTCTGAGATGATCGCGATTAGCTAAAGATGGTCCTAGAAATTCCAGGGCCTCAACGTGCCCCCCACAGGTCTTTCTCATGGGAAACAGGATGAAACCACTGCTCCCAGAGGGCCAGGCACACACCCAGACGGCCTAACCGTCTCCTGCCTGACATTCCGGGGAAGACGCTCCCGGAGCGGTGCCAGGCTAGGCACCGCTCTTCTTGAACCTTCGGAGCAACCACTTACATTTGGCATCCTTTCGTCGGGCTGTGAGCAGGAAGTCCTTGATTTCCTCAATTTTCCGAGGCTGCAACACAAAGGAAGCGGGTGAACAGAGAGGAAAGAGACACGTCTCCCGGCGATGGCCCAGTCCACCAGCTTCTCCCGGCCTCAGGAGATCCTTGGGAGGCTCTCTCGCCCTCGCCCCGGGGCCCCACGAGCCCACCCCGGGAAGGCGCCAGGCAGGGACTGTACTCACCATGGCGACGAGGCGCGCTGGGCTCTGGCGCGGACCAGGACCTGCGGGAAACAGTCCTCGGCGTTAACACGGCGCGGGGGCTGGCAGCGAACCCCGTTTTCCCGCTCTCCCCCGAAATATCGGCCCCATCGCACTCCCCTTCTCCTCCCCGACACCCTCCACGCGGACCTGGGGTCCCCAGATTTCACCTGGCAGTGGATTGCCCCAGATTACCTTTCTCACCCACGTATCACCCTAGAGACACTCACAGCAAGCAGCAACCGGGGAAAAGGACGAAAAAGAACGAGACTTCCGTTTCCGGGCAGTTAAACCCTCCCAACGGAGGAAACTGGGTACGGTGCCTGCCGAGGATCAAGACTCATGTAGGCGTTCGCACTTCCAATTTCAGCAGCCCTGCCCCCTTGTGGTCGAAGTCAACAGTGCAGCTCCAAGAATGGAATGGACCATCCTGGCTGCCGCCCTCCCTCCGCCTCCCTCCTCTCGCTCCTCCCCATCCCTTCCTCCTAGGACCCCCGCCTCTTCCCCGTCCACCCCTTCCTGTCTTCCCCCGCAACCCCTCAGACCCCAGCCTGGCTTTGCTAGGTTTTAGCTCAGATTCAGTTTGAAGAGCTAACGCTTATTCTCCACGGCTTTCATTGGACCTGCGCAGGGGCATCCACACAGAAAATTCTTCATTCAATGGCAGGGACCCTCGTGTGCACCTTGTAGAACCTGTTGTTCTGGCGCCTCACGTTTTCTTCCCGTCTCCTTTTTGGCACCTGAACCTGTCATGACCAGGGCCCTGGGCTCTTCTTTCCATAAGAGGGAGCGTTCCTGCTTGCTGCTTCCAATTCCCTTAGGAATTGGTGTACAATGAAAGCAAGTTAAGGCCGGGCGCGGTGGCTCACGCTTATAACCCCAGCACTGGGGGAGGCCGAGGCAGGCGGATCGCTTGAGGCCAGGAGTTCGAGAGCAGCCTGGGCAACCTAGTAAGACCTCCCCCCCCCCATCTCTAGCAATAATGATAATAATAATAATACTTCCAAAAGCTGTCGCAGCGCTGCCCCTGGCTAAGTGTCTCACCCCTAGGGCTGATGGTGAGTGGGAGTGCTCCTGCTCTTGCGGGGTCTCACCGCGGCCCCAGAGGGGAGAGGTGGACTCAGGAGTTGAACCCCTGCTGGGCAGATTCCCCAGCCCAGGCTCCGGCCACTTCCTGGGGAGGCTTGGGAAGCCTGGGGAGGGCAGCGTTCCTTTCTCCCCCTAACATCCTTTAGGTTAGACTCTGAGCAACCTGCGGTTATCGATTTTATTTTTATCCTCCATTTTTATTTTATCTCCAACCTCCCTACAAATGTCTACATTTTATTATATTTGTTTCCCCAAAATTTAATAACCACACGGCAGAATGTAATTGCTTCGTGCTTATTATTACAGAGCGGCCCTCCTGAAGGGAAAGAACACTTTGCCATGAGCTTTACTTAGAACTTATTTAACTTAACCTTCCTTTCTTCCTCCCTCCTGCCCTTCCATTAACAAGCTCAGGCTGAGCACCTTCCTGGGGGTGCTGGAGATACAGGAACCAATAGACCTTGCTGCAGAGAGATCACAAAAATATTGTAATAACACTGAAGAGTCTTTTAAAGAAGCTGAACGATGTCTCTGCAACTGTAAATGTGTCGGGGTTCTAGCAGTGGGAAAAGTTAATTGGCAGAAGCCTAATTTTAGATGTCTGAAGGTCGGATCCGATCTGAGAAGCACGAGTGCTTCAGCTCTGACCTGAGAAGGATTTTCCCATACCTCAGAGCCCGGCTTTGCCAGCCCTTCCCATCTCAGGCGATGCCTTTCTGGTCTTTTCTACCCCACTGCTCCTCCACAAGCAACCACCCTTTCAGCCAAGCCGAGGGGCACTTTTGGGCACTTTCTGCCCTCCAGGTATTTGCTCTGCTGTCCACTCTGATGCCAAGTGCCACTGGTCCTTCCGAGCTCAGCTCCCGCCTCCCCTTTTTCAGGCAGGACCCTTCACCCTTGACTTATGTTGCTTGCCGCTCATACAGTGGTTCCTTGCAATCACTTCTCCGTAGGCTGCGTGGAGGTGTTTAACTTTTCATACATGCGCACCACTCTTTTTATTTTTAATTTTTTAAAACTTTTTTAGAGACATGGTCTCCCTAGGTTGCCCAAGCTGGTTTCGAACTCCTGGGCTCAAGGGATCCTCCTGCCTCGGCCCCCCAAAGTGCTAGGATAACAGGTGTGAGCCACTACGCCCCACCTTACCACTTTTCCTTGAAGGCAAGGACAGGGCTCAGCATTCTGTCGATAACTCTCGAAGTGCAGTACCCATCTGTACAGTAAGTGCTCAATGCTAACATTGCAGGATGATCCGGCTGGATGCGGCATCTGAGATCACTCACCATATAAAGGGGTGGTGGATGGAGGGAGGAATTCAGGGAGAGCCAGAAGGAGACACTGACGTGCCTGAAGCAGTGCCTGGCATGTAGTAGGTCCAAAAACTATTTGTTGAATGAATGACTGGTGCTTCTTGCCTCACTGCCGGCCCGACAGGACAAGGACGGGGATAGAAGGAGGAGCTGCACCTCCCTTTTGGCAGCGATCCCAGGGAGACAGATGTTCACCCTCTTGAGTTGTATAATTTAAGGGACCATAGACGTGTAGTAGCAAAACACAATGGCAAATTTGTTCAAGTACCAAAGACCTCCAGCTCCCCAAGGGGGACAAATAGCAAAATAAGCTGCAGCTACTAAAAGTGAGGCAAGGTGCCCAGAGGGCACGCTTCCCTGCTCCATGGGAAGATGAGCCCCAAATGTCCTGGAGTGGCCGGGGACTGTCAGAGACCAAGGGGGGCAGAGCCTAGGCCCTGAGTGCCACAGCCTGAGACCTTGAGCAGATGCTGACCTGGACATGAGCCTCCCTGATGACTCCCATATACACATGAAACAAAACTCTCCAGGGCCTAGGGTGGATCCTGCAGGAGAGGAAAGCCCCGGACTCGAGGGCAGGATGGCCCAGGCTGCCTGTTATGGTCGCTCTGGCCATTGGTAGGCTGGAATGTCCAGTGCTGGCAGCTGTGGGATGGTGAGGGCTATTGCTGTTGTCAAGAGGCGGTAGGGAGGGTCTCAAGCAGTGTGTTGCAGCATGGCTGGAGGCAGGAGAGGCTCAGAGGGCATGTCCGGAGCTACAGGACACAATCCAACCCTTTTCCTTCCTTCCCTTCCCTCACTCTGCTGGCTCTGGGCAGAGAGGGCCTCAGAAGTCACCGGGCCTCCCCTCCTCCCTCCAGCAGCCCCACTCTGGCCACCTCTGAAGGCCAAATGGTTTAGAGTTCTCTCTTCAGTTTTCAGGGACACATTGGAAAGAGGACCAGGATGGGTCAAAAAAACCCCAATGCCCCAGCTCGCAGGTGGGCAGAGGGCTGGCACGGCACATGGCTGGGAAGACTTCCCAACCTCCAGGATTTTCCCCCATTCAATCCATTCCGTTCACTTGGTGAACATCGGGCTGGGCTTGGGAATAAGCAGAATGCGGTTCCTGCTCCAAACACTCATGACTGTTGGGATCCCATAATAAGCTGTGGAGGATGCCCAGAGGCTAGGGGTCTAATTCCTCCTGAGGGAGTCCTGGAAGGCTTCGTGGAGGAGGGGACACAGTCTGCTGCCTCCGAGAGGGGTGCGCAGCAGCTTGCCCGGAGAAGGACTTCCAGACAGAAGGAGGGAGGGAGCTGACGTCAGCCCAGGGTCAGGAGAATGCGGGGTGTTTCTGAGAATGAGTGGGAAGTTCAGTGTGGCAGAGGTAAGGAGGGTCTGGGGCAGGGGGTCGGGGAGAAGAGGCTGGAGGGGGAGTTGGGCTGGAGTTCAGGGCCTTCAGGAGTTCCCCTTCCAGCCTCACTTATGCCCGCTGTGGTCATCGTCACCCAAGGGCCCATCCCTGGGGTCCATAGCACCTCCTTCACTGCCCAGCGGTGATCTTCCGAGCCTTAGTTTCCTGGTTTCTGTGTGTGTGTGCGTGCACGTGTGTGTATGTTTTGGGGGTGGGAGTGTGTGTGCTGTCGCCTCTCTCCCGCCTCGCAGGGTTGCAGCGAAGCTTCTATGGGGTGATTCGCAAAGCTCCAACCCGCACCTCTCAGGCAAGGCCCGCCCTGGGTGCTGTGTCCACTGGCGGCCGCACGGGGGCGCTGAGGCCGCGGCTGGAAACGGAATAGCCCCTTCCGCGCGACTCCTGGGAGCTCAGGCGGAGAGAAATGTCCATAAATTATCGGGAATATTTGTATGCGATTTCATACCTGGTGGAGTGCTTTCATATCCACCATCTCATTTAATCTCCAAGAGGCCCCTGCCTTTGGCTGCCGGCAGGGCTGGCCTTTAAACCATCTCGGAAGGGAGTTGTTTATTAAACCTTAAAGGTTGTCAGCAGGCCGGGACTCTGGTCCCTGGCACTGAACTCATTTACCTGGGAAAGGATGGGGAGTCGGGTGGCGGGGTGAGTTGGTGCTTTATTTATTTATTTTTTTGAGACAGAGCCTTGCTCTCTTGCCTAGGCTGGAGTGCAGAGGTGCAATCGCTGCTCGCTGCAGCCTCGACCTCTCGGGCTCAAGTGGTCCTCCTGCCTCAGCCTCCCAAGTAGCTGGGACCACAAGCATGTGGTCTTATATTCTTTCTTTCTTCCTTTCTTCCTTTCTTTCCTTCTTTCTTTCTTTCTTTCTCTCTCTCTCTCTTTCTTTCTTTCCTCTTTTTTTTAGAAATGGGGTCCCCTGTGTTGCCCAGGCTGGACTCTAACTCCTGGCCTCAAACGATCCTCCTGCCTTGGCCTCCCAAAGTACTGGGATTACAGGCTTGCGCCACTGTACCCGGCCCACTGGTGTTTTTTTAGAAACTGAAGATGGTGAGTTTAAAGGGATACTGGTTACTCACTCTCCCCCTGGCCCCCAAAGAGTCTGTGAGCCCCTGAGAGGTAGACAGGTTTAACATTCTCCCTGCTGCTGAGCTAGAAGCCACGAAGAAAGGCCAGGCAGACTGGAACAGGGGTTCTCACGCCCCACATGGTTGACCTTTGTGGATGGGGTCACTTTCACTTTTTGTTTAGGGGCTGAGGCTCTTCTGAGCCTTGTGAGGATCCCAGGCCCCTACTTGGTTAATGCTAGACCCTCACAATTGTGAGAAACGAAAATGTCTCTAGACATTGCCAAATGTCCCCGGGGGAAAGCAGGGCAATGCCACTTGTGGTTGAGAGCCGCTTGACTAGAAGGCCAAAACCACGAGGACATTCTTTTTCATAATGGATATCTCTGTTCTGTGCCTATGGCCAGGTAACTCATGGGCTCAGGCTACTGTCTTATTTGCACCTAGCCTAGGGTTTCAAAGCTTTTCTGTGGATGCTGTAAGGAGGACAGCCCTGGGTGCTGCCTCTGCCCGGGCTCAACGGGTGGCAAGGCGGGGTGCAGTCGGCTCTAGTTACCAGGAGCCTCGTCCCTACTCTGGGAGGCAAGGCAGCTGATGTCAGCCCAGAGCGGGTGGGGACACCTTTTCCAGTGGGAAGCCTCGGGATGGGGTGGGGAGCTGGGGTGGGAGAAGGGAGGAGAGGCATGGGGCACGTCTTTAAGGTGCCTCTAGGTACCTAAGTGGTGAAGATGCACAAATAAGATCCTGTCCCTGTTCCCATCTCAAGGGACACACAGAATAGTAAGGGAGGCAGTGATGAGGTTGGGCCCTAGGTGTAGGAAGTGTTTGGAATTGTGGGACCAGATGGAGGCCATGGGGGTCTGATACAGGCTGGGGAAGGGGTGATACAGGCCAGGAAAGTCCTCCAGGAGTAACATCGATGGTGATTCACAAAGAGGAGTAGAATATTGCTTTGTCCTGAAAACCCAACACCTCCAGAGGAGCCTGCTAGTATGTGCAAACCCTCATAGCAAATAAGTTCCAGGGTGACAAGAATGAAAGAAGCATCAGATTGAGTGGTATCAATCTAGGTGGTCTTCCTGGAGGAGGCAGTATGATAGGGTGGGAGGAAAACTCTTCCTGGAGGCAGGAAGTCTTAGATTCAAATTCAGTGTCTGGCTGGGAGAATTTGAATGAGTCTCCTGAGAGCTCTGAGCCTCAGTTTCTGTTGAGTATTAATTCCTGCTAGGATCCAGGCCACTGCGGCCAGTTGTGTGCAGCCTGCACAACTGTCTGCAGCTGCCCTGCTTATGAGAAACCAGAAGGCACCAAGAATAGAAAAATGCTTAGCCCAGCAGCCGGCTCTGTGGCTGTTAATTGAATGTGATTCCCAGGCAAGAGTTGCCAATGGATTTGGAGGAAAAAACCTGCAACCTGGTGGAGGCGTGGGCTGGAGTGGAAAGCAGCCCTCCTTGCCCAGACCTGTGAGGCTGGGGAGGGCCACTCCGAAAGCCCCGCACCATCTCCTCCATGGGGGGCAGAGTCAGTTTTGACAGATGACACCTCCCCAGCTCCCCTGCTTTTCCCTACTGGCCCCTTTCACTCCAAGAACTGCTTCCTGGGTGTCCAATCTGCAAGCACAGAAAGGACAGATGAGGCCTCATCCACCAACAGTGAGAAAAATAACACTGAGGCAGAGGAGAATGCATTTTCAGCATGAGGGACAAGCACCCCTCCTATAGATCAACATGTGCCAGGGTGAGGGGACATCAGAGTGAGAAAAAAGGGCACAGACCCTTCAAAGAGGGCTGGCCTATCGGCTTGTATATATCTTGCATTATGCGGTGGGAGAGAGGAAATCAATAGAGCTGTCAGCTGCTTCATGCATTCAGCCTCGCAGGCGTCTCCTCCTCGGGATGCTCCAGACAGATGCTTCAAATTAAAAACCAGGGAGGGGGGTGCTGGGGGTGCTGGGAGACAAACACCCTGACAGGCCAGAGGGAAAGGAGGGAAGCCACTGAGGATCTGGGGAAATTAAAGTCCATAAATCACGAGCGTCCCGGGCGTGAATGACACGAGCGTCTTAGCAGTAGTGCTGGACGGGTTGTGGGTCCTTCTGCTAGGCAGAGTCCCCCAGGGGAAGGCTGGTGACCCCGTGGGCGGGCTTCTCTCCCCCAGGCTCCGACCCCCTGCAGGAGGGAGAGGAGGGCGGGGCAGACCTCTGGCCTTGCTGGTGTTAGTGCCGGGATGGAGGGCGTGGGTGTGGGCTGGGCTGGGGCGTGGCATGGGGGCACAGGGTGAAATGGAGGTGATCTCATAACCCGGGTCGTGTGGGTGGAGTGTCCTTTGGGTGGGCGCAGGCGGGTGGGTTGCAGCATCTCCACGGGAGCACAGCGATTTGCTCCCTGGTAACTGCTCCTGGGAATCTCTGGCATCTGACGGCTGAAGCCGCGTCCCTGACCCGCTCCCTGGGCTGCAAGAGTGGACCCCATGGAGAGCCCCGCAGCCTACACTCAGTCAGCCCTGCCTGCCTCTCCTCTGTCCCCCGCTGCTGCCTGTGTGTCTGCTCCTCCTGCTCACCCTGTCTGTGAGCCCGTCCTGCCCGCTGGGCACCTGCTCTTCCCTCTGCCAGAGGTTCCTGCCTTCTGCCCCTCTCATTTTTCAGTGGAGCCCCCAGGTGCTGCTTTGTTCCCTTATTTCTTTTTTCTTTTCTTTTTTTTTTAGCCGGAGTTTCAGTCTCATTGCCCAGGCTGGAGTGCAATGGCATGATCTCGGCTCACTGCAACCTCTGCCTCCCGGGTTCAAGCGATTCTCCTGCCACAGCCTCCTAATTAGCTGGGATTACAGGCATACACCACCACGCCCAGATAATTTTGTATGTTTAATAGAGACGGGGTTTTGCCATGTTGGCCAGGCTGGTGTGGAACTCCTGACCTCAGGTGATCTGCCCACCTCAGCCTCTCAAAGTGCTGGGATCACAGGCATGAGCCAACGCGCCTGACCTCCTACTTTGCTCCCTCCTTCCAGCTGTGGGCCAGCGGCCCTTGTGAGGAGGCCTGAGTGGTCGTGGGTCCCCTCTGTGTCCTGCCTAGGGCTGGCCAGCCTGGCTTGGGGTGTGGGAGAGCTGGTGCAGAGGCTTGGGAGGGAAATGTTCGAGGGGCAGAAGGGCTGTCCCTGTCCCCCCGAGATAACTTTGTGCCACCCTCACCCTGGGCTCATCTGTCCATGGGGGCCCAACAGAGAAGGAAACCAGAGAAGAAACAATCAGGAGAGGAGGGGCTGTCTCCCCCAAATGCTGTTCGCCTCCCACCTGAGGGATCCTTCGAGGTCCTAGCAGGAAGTGGAGGCACAGCCAGACTGTGTGTTTTGAGGGTAATTTTCATAAAAGGTCTGTTTGCAGGCATGGGCAGGTGCAGGACACCAGAGAGGAGAGTGTGGAGCTCCAGCGAGTGTCAGCGGGGACTGTTACTACCACGGAGGAGAGGAGGGGGTCACCAGACCCAAGACAGCGCTGCAGTGAGGAGGGGTCTGCTTGATGGGGCTGGGACTTTCAGCCGAGCAATGCCCTCAGCCCGTGGCCGCCTCTCAGGGAAACGAATGCGCTGAGCTCACGATCTTCCCTTCCTTCTCTCAGTGTTCTGCCTGGGCACCCCATTGGCTGAGCTCAACAGGTTCAAGGCGGTCTTCCTTGGGCACAGAGCAAGATATACAGCCCACCCCCTCCCCAGCACAGTGCAAGGAGCCCATCAAAGGTGGTGTCTGGATGGCTTTGTGGGAGATCTCCTCTCCCCTTTCTGGTCACAAGGCAGAGAAGTCCCCCAGGGCTTGGGCTGGTGCTCTTCCATCCTGTCCCACTAGCTCTCAGGAGCCCTTCACTCCCTTATCCCGTAGATCTTGGCCATGCCTTTAGCTGAGGTTGGAGACACACTCTAGCTAGCCTGCACAACACACAGATGAGCCCAGACACTCCTCTCCAATGCACAGCTGAGCCCAGACATACTTTCCAATGCACAGGTGAGCTTGCATGCACGTATAGTCACGTGCCTGCCAAGGCATCTGGAGAAACAGATAGGCCTGAGGTTGCTTGGTGGTGTTACACCGCCCAGGACAAGTTCTACCAATTAAACTGGTGACCATGTTTCCAAAAGCAATTACCAGAGTGCTGCAATGCCTCCCAAGGTGAGGAGATTAAAGACACGGCTCCTGGCTAGAAGCAGGGACTCGAGGGGTCTGTGTGCTGCATACATCAGAGACGAGCCCACAAGTACCTGCCTGTGAGCACACACGTGCTTAGAGCAGCCAGACCCGGGAGGGATTTGGGGGAAGGAGACACACCAGGAACTCACCCGCAGAGGCCAGCAGCCCCTCAGCACAGGTGGGGCCTGGGTCACTGTGTTCCTTCTTTCTTCTGTTTTCTTCTCTGGTGTGTGCAAGCAACAGTAACAAAACAATTTGTGCGAATCTAGACTCAATGCTGGGGGATGGGGAGGAGATGTACCTGCTTGTTAAAAAGGGAGGAAGTGGCTGTCATTGACCTAAGTGGTAAGAAGCCACCTCTTCCTCACCAGCAGCTGCGTGTTCCCATGTCGCAGGAATCGCAACATCTTTGGAAAAAGAGGAATGGAGGTAGAAGTGGCCCTTACCCCTAACCAGTCTCCTGCCTGGCTGAGTCTTGGGGAGGAAGGGTTTCTGGAGAGGGCATGGCTGCTCTCCACAGTCTGGGCCTCCAAGCCATGGCTCTGTTCCTAACCCCCACCTGCTGTCAGGAGCACTTTGGAGGTGGGTCTGGGCTGTTCCCGTCACTCAGTCATCTTTCCCCTTCCCTGTAGCCTGTGGCTTCTGGAAAGTCAGCCTCAGGGGTGGAGGGAGGAGAAGGGGTAAGGGAAGGGGTGGAGGTGGAAAGGCAGGCTGGATGCCACTGCTTCATGCCCCTGGTCCTGTCCACGTCTTTCTTTTTTTTTTTTTTTTTTTTGAGATGGAGTGTTGGTCTGTCACCCAGGCCGGAGTGCAGTGGCGCAATCTCAGCTCACTGCAACCTCCACCTCCCGGATTCAAGCGATCGTCCTGCCTCAGCCTCCTGAGTAGCTGGGATGACAGGCGCCCACCATCATGCCTGGCTAATTTTTGTATTTTTAGTAGGGACGGGGTTTCACCACATGGACCAGGCTAGTCTCTAACTCCTGACCTCAAGTGATCCGAATGCCTTGGCCTCCCAAAGTGTTGGGATTACAGGCGTGAGCCACCGTGCCTGGCCCACTTCCTTCTTACCTTTCTGTTCACAACCTCCCTGTCAGCCCTCGCCCGACAGGCTGATCTGCTATTAATGGAGCAAGACAGCTGCAGTTGGCTTGTTAATTACAGCAGATGAAGTCTTCAGCCCAGGCTCCTGGGGAGGGCAGAGGAGGCGTGGCTGCAGTTGGTTGTCAACGTGGCCTTCCCCTTGCATTTAACGCCCTGAGAACAGAGGTCTGGCTGGGTTGGCAGAGGGTCAGCGTGTGTGGCTGGCTGGAGTCACATGAGACCTGGGGAGGAAGCCTGCTGGTGGAGCAGAGAGGGACCCTGTCCTGTGGTTTCAGCATAGAACAGGGAACAACAGCTTCCGCTGTGTCGAGTGTCTACTATGCGCCAGGAGCCACTCCAGCTGTTCCAGGAAGATCATCTGTAATCCTCACCACGGCTCTAAGTTAGGCAAAATTGAAACCCTCATTTTATAGATGAGGCCTCTGAGGCACAGAGAGGTTAAGTGACTCACCCAAGGTCACACAGCTAGTAACTGGAGGGCAAGGAAGCCTCGTGACTTGAGTGTGCAGCGTTGCCTTATTGAATGCCTCAAAGCCTTTGCCTCCTTCTCCAGGGACCAGCTGGGTCATGTGTTCGTCGGAGCAGGACCCAAACTGTGAGGTGACTCATTTATTCTGCAAATATTTACTAAGCACCTTCTCTTAGCTAGAACATGATCTTCTCTTAGAGATGAAGAAACATGTTCCCTGTGCTGATGGAGTTTGCCCTCCAGCCTGGGAGATGGGCTGTTTTCCCAGCTCCACACCCTGCCTGATGGCCTCAGATGATTAGACTATCCTGGGACAATCCTGGGGTTGGGACTGAGACTCAGAGATGCTCTGGTTTGTGGTTGATTGGCCTGAGATTTTATGCAAACCAGGGGCAAAGGGTGATTATTTGAGGGAAGCCATAAGGGGTGTTGTATGCAGAATCCAGAGAGCAGGTGGCCCTAGAAAAAGAGCAGCTGTGGCTGGGCACGGTGGCTCATGCCTGTAATCCCAGCACTTTGGGAGGCCGAGGTGGGTGGATCACCTGAGGCCAGGAGTTTGAGACCAGCCTGGCCAACATGGTGAAACCCCGTCTCTACTAAAAATACAACAATTAGCCAGGCGTGGTGGCGTACGCCTGTAATCCCAGCTACTTGGGAAGCTGAGGCAGGAGAATCGCTTGAACCGAGCCTGGGCGACAGAGTGAGACTCTGTCTCAAAATAATAATAATAATACTAATAATAATAATAAAAAGGGCAGCTGCTTGCTGGACATATTCTTTGTCCCCATGAAACCAGCTGTACTTTCTGCCCCGGGGTATTGTGAACTTTCCTGCCCCCATAGTTCTGCTTTTTCCTTTAGCTCCCTTCCCAGGCATGGTGGTGCTCACCTGTGGTCCCCAAAATGGAAAGCGAATGAGAAGTCCTGGTTAAGGTGGAAGAGAAGACGAGAAGTCCTGCCTAGGGCATAAGACCCTTTCACTGTGGGAACACTGAATGGGGAGCTGGATGACTCCCTGGGGCCTGAACAAATGTCTAGGTTTTCACCAGGCAGGGAAGAGGGACTGGCGAGGCATTCCAGGAAGAAGGAGTGGAACCTGGCAGAGGGAACAGCATTAAAGGTCGAGGGGGCTATGCAAGGGCGTGACATGCTCAGAGGCCTGCAGACAGGGGTGTGTTGGCAAATGTTTAAAATCCAGATTTCTTTCATTCTTTTTATTTTTTTTTTTGTGACGGAGTCTTGCTCTTGTCACCCAGGCTGGAGTGCAGTGGCGCGATCTTGGCTCACAGCAACCTCTGCCTCCTGGGTTCAAGCAATTCTGCCTCAGTCTCCCGAGTAGCTGGGATTACAGGTACCTGCCATCACGCCTGGCTAATTTTTTGTATTTTTAATAGAGATGGGTTTTACCATGTTGGCCAGGCTGGTCTGGAACTCCTGACCCCAAGTGGTCCACCCGCCTAGGCCTCCCAAAGTGCACGGTGTGAGCCACCGTGCCTGGCCTAAAATCCAGATTTCTGACCAAAAAAAAAAAAAAAAAAAAAAGCCAGAAAACCTTAACTGTGGCATTTGCTGATTCCTGTGGTGTAAATACTCTCACCACGGCTGATTTCAAGCTGCCAATTGCCTTGCAAAACTTTTGAGTATGTACAAAGCAGCTCTCACAAGCTGGGTGCTGGTATGAACCACTTCCAGCATGCCACAGCATCAGGTCATCTGTCATTGCCAAAATGCAGAGGCACTTGGGGAGGATAGGAGAAGAGGCTGGAGAGGTGGACTGAGAGAGGACTGGGAAGGGTTTGAACGTCACATTTGGGAATTTGAGCTTTAACATGAAGCAGCAAACGCCCAGACCCTGATTGGGTGGCTCTGGGTATATGTGTGAGCAAACAGTTGTCCTGCTGTTTGCTTTTCTGTTGTGCCCTGGCCGTCCCTTAAGCTGGTCCTCTGAATAACTCCAAGGGGCCTGTGTGGACTAGGTAGTAGACCTGGAGAAATGTGCACAGAATGTGAGGTGCATTGTTTTCTAATAGGGAGGGAGAAGGTGAGTTCTAGCTCACCCCAGGCAGCTGCACTGTGAGGCCATCCCTCATCTTAATGGGCTCATCCAAATCTCGTTTGCTAATGAGGAATTTAATGGTCACAGACTGACAAGCGAGGAGAAACGGGAAGGTCATTATGAAAATGAAGTATGTAGCTAAATACCACCTCACTTCCATCCCACCAGCCCACCCCTGTGTGCCAGCCTAGAGCGGGTAGGTTGGTGGGAGAAACAGGGACTGGCTTGATCTCAGCTTGAAACTGGGCTCCAGGCTGGGCCTGTGGGTCAGCACCACGGACAGGGCCAGCACTGTTCTTCAAAGTCCTGTGGGCTGGAATGCTTTTTCCTTTTTGCTCCCAGCCAGTTTGTTTGACCAAGACTCAGATGGGGTGTCACCTTCCCCTGCAAACCTTGCACACAGCCCCACATGGATGAGGGCCACAGTGTTTACATGACTTCTGCACATTCTCATAGTGCCTATGCCATGGTGCTAAAATGATACATTTCCTTGGCTGTTTTCCCTGCTAGCTTCTGAGTAACTTGAGTGCAGAGTCTGTACCATTCTCTGCACGTCTGGAATGCTGACCAAATGCCCGGTATTGTGAAAGACATAGGAAGAGAATTTCTGAGACTAAATGAATGAACTAGTGAACAAATGAGTAGGTAGAGGAGTGAAGGAACGAATGCATGAATAATGGGTTTGATGAAACCATCAATAGCAATGGAACCATAGGCCACGCTATTGAAAGGGAGGGTAAGGATCTGGATTCAAAAGAAACATCCCATCCCTTAGATTGCATACACAAGCCAGGCAGAGGGAAGTTAGAACAGAGATTTCCAGAAATCTCCACATCCACTCCTACATCCTCCCATCGTACAGGGCTGTTCATAATAAAACTACATATCCCAGCACTCTTTGCAGTCATTTGTGACCATGTGACTAACTTATGACCAATGGGGTGTAAGGAGATGTGTAAAGGGAGCTGGCATCTGTTCTCTGTTGCTGTAATGGAATATCTGAAACTGGGTAATTTGTAAAGAAAACACATTTATTTCTTACAGTTCTGGAGGCTGAAAGGTTCAAGGTCAAGGGACTGCATCTGGTGAGGGCCTTCTTGCTCATTTGGACTCTATATGGAGTCCCGAGGCAGCACAGGGCATCACAGGGTGAGAGGACAAGAAAAAACAGCCAAACTAACTTTTGTAACAGCCCTCTGGTGATAACTAACCCATTCCCAGGATAACTCATTAACCCGTGAATTTATCCCTTGTGACTCAATCACCTCTTAAAGGCCCACCTCTTAATACTGTTCCACCGGAGATTAAGTTTTAACATGAGTTTCGGCTTGAGTTTCAAAGGGGACAAACACTCAAAGCATAGCACATGTCCTTTTCCTTCCCTTCCTCCTCCCTGTTGGCTGGATGGTGGGAGTGATGGCTGGAGCTGAAGCAGCCGTCTTAGACTTGGAAGCCAGGCAACAACATGATAGAAGTGTGGGTCTTTTGATGACAGTGGGCTCCTCTCCTCATCCACCATGGAAGAGCTCAGTTGCATCTCACCTTGTGCTCAGTAGCCTGAGAAGGACGGTAACAGGTCAAGGCTGCTGGGCCAGGGCAGCCAGGAATCCTGGCTGGTGTTTGGGACATAGAGGAGACCATAGACCAGTGGGAGCAAACCTGGTCTACAGGGAAGAGCACTGGACAGAAAGTCAGAGGATTATGTCATATTCTTGGTTGTTTTCTTCATTTCTTCTCCTATTTGGGAAGACTTTCAATCAAGGCTGGCTGCTGGATTGTTTATTGGGGTCAGTTCAGCAAGCTGGGACTAGGGAGGCAAGTGGTGGTGAGGATGGCTCAGGAAGGGATGTCTTTTCAAGGCCTGGCTTTGGGAATGTGGGGAGGAGAGGCTGGAGAGAGAGAGCTCAATGGAAGGTGAGTTAGGCAGAATTGCACGATGAACCCCAAGGACTTACACACCCATTGTATGATTCCCTCCCCTTGTGTGTGGGTGAGACATGAAACTTGCTTCTATTTAATAGAATATGGCAAAGATGACTGGGCACAGTGGCTCACGCCTGTAATCCCAGCACTTTGAGAGGCTGAGGCAGGAGGATCACTTGAGTTCAAGAGTTTGAGACAAGCCTGGGCAACATAGTGAGACCCTGTCTCTACTAAAAACAAAAGAAAATTGGCCAGGCATGCTGGCACACACCTGTGGTCCCAGCTATTCAGGAGGCTGAAGTGGGAGGATTCCTTGAGCCTGGGAGGTTGAGGTGGAGGCTGCATGACAGAATAAGATCTCATCTCTTAAAAGAATATGGCAAAGTTGAAGAGGTTTTGCAGATGTCATTAAGGTCCCTAAATGGTTAACTTTAAGTTGATCAAAAGGGAGATTATTCTGGATGGGCCTGGCCTAATCAGGCGAGCACTTTTTATTTTATTTTATTTTATTTTATTTTATTTTATTTTATTTTATTTTCTTATTTGAGACGGAGTCTCTCTCTGTCACCCAGACTGGAGTGCAGTGGTGTGATCTCAGCTCACTGCAAACTCCACCTCCCGGGTTCAAGCGAGTCTTATGCCTCAGCCTTCCAAGTAGCTGGGATCACAGACATGCACCACCATGCCTGGCTAATTTTGTATTTTGAATACAGATGCAGTTTTGCCACGTTGGCCAGGCTGGTCTAGAACTCCTGACCTCAAGTGATCTACCCTCCTCGGCCTCCCAAAGTGCTGGGATTAGAGGTGTGCACCACTGCCCCCAGCCCATGAGCCACTGCACCCAGCTCAGTAAGCACTTTAAAAGAAGACCTGGACATCAGAGCCTCTCTCCTGCTGGTTTTGAAGAAGCAAGCTGCCACAAGTCTACAGCTGTAAGGAAATGAATTGTGCCAACGATCCCATGTGCTTGAAAGAGGACCCTGAACCTCAGATGAGACCCAGTCCCAGGAGACAGATTGAGTGCTGCCTCTCAGGACCCTGAACAGAGGAGCCAGTTGAACCATCAACAGGCTCCTGACCCACAGAAACTGTGAGACAATAAACGTGTATTGTCTTAAGCTCCTAAGTGTGTGGTCATTTGTTACACAGCAATAAAAGGTTTGTAAGAAGGTCAGATGTGCCCTGACTTCCCTGCTTTGGTTCAGCCCTACTGCCTGCGTCTCTGAAGCTGGGAGGTGGGGCTGGGATCACAGCTCAGGGTGATGCGACAATGAGAAAGAAAATTAAAATCCAAGATGGAGCGATTCAAAACTGTAATCTCGGCAAACAGTGGCACTTAGATTTCCCATTATTGATCCCCTCCGCGGATATTCTCCAGTCTCGTAATTACAGGAGGACTTTTTCAATTTGGGCTGAAATGCTTCCCCTCCCCCCATGCCCCTCCTTTATTTCTTTAAACTCGCAATAACACGCAATAGATTGTATGCAGCTGTGGAGTCTAAATAAACAGAGCTAATCATTTTAATTGAAATCCGATCTCAGCAGCAGGAAGGCCCTTCCGTTGTGATATTCTCCCCTTTATCTCCCTAGAGCAGGGAGCAAGTCCTGCTCCTGGCTTGGGCCACTCAGGGACACAGACACACACACACACACACACGCACACACCTTTCTCCACCTCTGCCTTTGCATCTGTTCATCCTCCAGGACTTGGTTCAGACATCACCTCCCTGTCTCTCCTCTTTGCTCCCAGTCCTAGGGCTGACCACCTGCAACCTCCTAGGTCCCCACTGGTTGCTGGGAGATGCTGACCAGAGTTGGAGCTGGGGGTCAGGCAGGCCCTCCCAAGCACAACCTCTTCATCTCCCTGCCTCCAGGCACAGGGTAGGCCAGTCTCTGCCCGGATCCTCCTGACAGCTCACCCACGTCCTTTATTCACCACGTTTTTGGCCACTGGTAGTTCTCTTCAGCTAATCTGGGGTTCTCAGACAGAGAAGGGCAATTTTGTCCCCCTCCCCCAGGAACATTGGGACACATTTTTAGTTGTGACAACTTGGGAGGAGAATTTCCACTGGCATCTAGTGGGTAGAGGGCAGGGGTGCTGCCAAACATCCTACAGTGCACAGGATGACCCCATAACAAAGAACCATCTGGCCTGAAATGTCAATAAATAGTGTGGATACTGAGAAACCTCAAGCTAACCTAAGTTCTTCTTCTTTTTTTATTTTTTGAGATGGAGTTTCGCTCTTGTCACCCAGGCTAAAGTGTGATGGCACGATCGCAGCTCACTGCAACCTCCACCTCCTGGGCACAAGCAATTCTCCTGCCTTAGCCTCCCAAGTAGCTTGGATTACAGGCACTGATCACCATGCCCAGCTAATTTTTGTAGTTTTTAGTAGAGACTGGGTTTCACCACGTTGGTCAGGGTGGTCTCAATCTCCTGACCTCAGGTGATCCTCCCGCCTCGGCATCCCAAAGTGCTGGGATTACAAGTGTGAGCCACCCCGCCTGGCCCCTAAGTTCTTCTTGAACTCATGTAATTTTGCAGAATGGAAAGAAGATTAATAGCCAGAGATGGAAGGAACCAACAAACCAGGATGATGACACACACGGCACACACATGCACACACGCACGCACGCATGCACACACACGCACACACATGCACACACATGCATGCACACACGTGCGTGCACACACATGCACACACGCGCACACGCACACACATGCACACACATGCACACACATCACACACACTCGCACGCACACACGCACACACGTGCACATGCACACACGCACGCACCCCCCCTTTCTCCACCTCTGCCTTCACGTCTCTTCATCCTCCAGGACTTGGTTCAGACATCACTTCCTCTTGGAGTCTTCTCCAAGCTGTGGGTTGTGTGACATGTCCCTCCTCTGTGCCCCCTGAGTCCCCCATATATGTGATTTCCTTAGCATTGACCATCCCCAGTGACATTACAAAGTTTTCATGCAAAACGGACATGATGACAAAGGTCAGGACAATGGTCACCTTGGGGGTGGGGAGTGGCTGGGAAGGACTTTTGGGCTTCTGCGGGGGTTGTTCTGTTCTGTTTTATTTCTTGCTCTGGGAGCTGCTTTGCTGTAAGGTTCACCTTGTGAAAATTTGCCTTGCTAAATAAACACTATCACCCGTGCATTTTAGGTATGTGTTTTATAATTCAATAAAAACTTAAAAATTTTTTCCTTGTAACCTCATCCAGGTAGAGACCCAATAATGACCCAATAATCAGACCTGAAGCGCGGACACATGACACACATCCCTGCCTTGGCTGCCCTGAACCCTGGCCCCCCGGGCCGCTGTCATCCTGGCTTGGGCCAGGTGTGGGCTCACCTCTGTCTCTTCCTCCTCCCTCCCTCGGCTTCCTCCAAGAGATGCCCTTGGCCACAGCTTCCAGAGTTGGTCCCTCTGTTCAGAGCCCCTCCCTTCCCCCTGGCCAGGAGCATGTTAAAGAGAGATGGTGCCATTGAAGTAATTACCACCGCAGGCACCAGGGAGACATTTACCACTCACTAAAAAACATTTTCCCTAGCACGCCCATTAAACCCTGGCATTTAACCAGGAACTACAAATCTCAGCTCAAGAGAGACCCTGCCACTTCATAACCCAAGAACCAGGGGAGCCACCAGCCTTACACAGCTTTTGCTTCTCATCACTTTTATTTTGTTTGAAATGGAGTCTCCCTCTGTCACCCAGGCTGGAGTGCAGTAGTGTAATCTCGGCTCACTGCAAGCTCCGCCTCCCGGGTTCATGCCATTCTCCTGCCTCAGCCTCCTGAGCAGCTGGGACTACAGGCGCCCACCACCATGCCCGGCTAATTTTTTTGTATTTTTAGTAGAAACAGGGTTTCACCATGTTAGCCAGGATGGTCTCGATCTCCTGACCTTGTGATCTGCCTGAAACTCCATCTCAAAACAATCAGTCCAAGGGGGCCAGGAAGGGAGTCCTGGGTACAGAACGGGCACACAGTGTGGCTGGTGTGAAATGAGGCCAGAGGGGCCAGTGTTGGATGGGGCTTGCACCCCACACCAAGGGGCTGCCCTTTATGCTGGAGGCAGTGGAGAGGATGCAGACGGTCCAGGCTACTCAAAGTGTGGTCCGAGGGCTAGTGCCAGTCTAAGAACTGTGTGTTACCCATCATTGACCAAGCAAGTCTAGAAACTGAGAGGAAGCATTTAGAAACGGTCGTAGCAATTTGACAAGCTAATTTTATGCCTTTTGATTTAATAATAAAAATTAGCCTTGCGTTTTGTATGTTATTTCAAATTTATTTTTTCTAATAATTAATATTTATCTTGTTTTTGCAAACACAGTAATGGTAACACCACTTTGGCAGTTCCTAAAAAAGTTCAACCTGGAATTCTACTCCTAGGTGTATACTCAAGAGAATTGAAAACGTATGATCACACCAAAACTTGCACGTAAATGTTTGTTACAACATCACTAACAATTGCCAAAAAGTGGAAACAGCCCAAATGTACATCAACTGATGAGCGGATAAACAAAATGTGGTATATCTAGGCCGGGCAAGGTGGCTCACACCTGTAATCCCAGCACTTTGGGAGGCCGTGGCAGGTGAATCATTTGAGGTCAGGAGTTCAAGACCAGCCTGGCCAATATGGTGAAACCCCATCTCTACTAAAAATACAAAAATTGGCCGGGTGTGGTGGCACACACCTGTAATCCCAGCTACTCAGGAGGCTGAGGCAGGAGAATCGCTTGAAACTGGGAGGTGGAGGTTGCAGTGAGCTGAGATTGTACCATTGCACTCCAGCCTGGGTGACAGAGTGAAACTCCATCTCAAAACAACAGCAACAACAAAACAAACCCCCCACTCCTGCCAGAAAAAAACCCAATGTGGTATATCTATAGGATGGATATATTTTTTTTTTGAGACAGAGTTTCACTCTTGTTGCCCAGGTTAGAGTATAGTAGCACGATCTCAGCTCACTGCAACCTTGCAACCTCCGCTTCCTGGGTTCAAGCAATTCTCCTGCCTCAGCCTCCTGAGTAGCTGGGATTACAGGCGTGCACCACCACATCCAGCTAATTTTTTGTATTTTTAGAGAGATGGGGTTTCATCATGTTGGTCAGGCTGGTCTTGAACTCCTGACCTCAGGTGATCCACCTGCCTCGGCCTCCGAAAGTGTTGGGATTACAGGCATGAGCCACCACGCCCAGCCTATGGGATGGAATATTATTCAACTACAAAAAGGAATGAAGTTCTGATCCATGCAATGACATGGATGAACCTCGCAAACATTGTGCCAAGTGAAAGAAGCCACATATTGCATGCTTCCATTTATATGAAATGTACAGAACAGGCAAATCCACAGAAACAGAAAGTAGATTAGTGATTGCCAGGGGCTGGGTGAAGGAGGAAATGAGGAGTAAGTACTAAGGGTATGAATTTCTTTCTGGGCTGATGAAAATGTTGCAGAATTAGGTAGTGGTGATGGCTGTGCAACGTTCTGAAATACATTGAAAACCACGGGATTGCACATCTTAAAAGAGTGAACTTTACAGTACGTGAATTATATCTTAATAAAAATATTTTAAGGTGTTGATCTGTCACAGACTGGTAATTAAAAAAACCCACAGGTCCTGCACCTCGGGTAGCTGGAGATGCACTGAATTAGCTCATCTGTCCGGTGAGAAGCTGTGTGCCAGCCAAGGGGAGGAGCGACCAGGCTCCCTGGGTGAGAAAGTCAGGCGGCCCAGGGCTCAGGTCCTGACTCCCGCCCAACGGAACCAGCACTAGGGAAATCAGTGTCTGTTATGTTCTGCGATGGGGCGGTTCTAGGCAGAGGTCAGTTCATGAGAAACAGGCATTGGGGGGATGTGATAATTCTAGAAATCTGTACCTCAAAACAAAACTTTGTTTGTTGCTGTTGTTGAGACGGAGTTTCACTCTGTTGCCCAGGCTGGAGCGCAGTGGTGCGATCTCGGCTCACTGCAATCTCCGCCTCCCAGGTTCAAGCGATTCTCATGCCTTGGCCTCTGGAGTAGCTGGAACTACAGGCATGTACCACCATGCCCGGATAATTTTTGTATTTTTAGTAGAGATGGGGTTTTACCATGATGGCCAGGCTGGTCTCCAACTCCTGGCTGCAGGTGATCCATCCGCCTCGGCCTCCCAAAGTGATGAGATTACAGGCATTAGTCACTACACCGAGCCATCAAAATAAAGCTTGTTCAAGACTTTTTCTGGGAGGAGGTGGGAGTGGACTGGCCTTCCTGACCTTGTCTCCCCGTCCACTTCAGCTGGGAGTTGGCCACTGCAGAGACCAGGCCTCCTCCGTCAGTCAGCGACCAGTTTGCTGGGATCCAGGGTGCCAGGAGCTGCCCTGTCTCTGCCAGGAGGAGCGGAGACCAGGGGTTTGTTTTCTTACCCTGTGGAAGATTCATTAATTTCCTGCCAAAATCCTAAGAAGTCTTCAGCCAGGAGAAGGTGTGGGGAGCACCTGTACCCAGCTGCCTGCCTCTGATCTGCACAGGGGCAGCCAATGTACTGGAGAGGGAGTTGGCAGGGGTCGGGGGGAAGGGACCAGGTCCCAGGGATCTGCTGGGAGCAAAATGAAAATAGCCTGGAGCTGGGCTACATAATGACAAACGATGACAATAATCATCCCTAGGTTTAATAGGTGCCCGCTCTGTGCTAAGAGCTTCACAAATGCTGCTGTTGCTAAACAGCCCAGCCCTCTCAGAGGAATGTCATTATTGTCTCTCAGTTACTGCTCAGGAAACGGAGTCTGAGAAGAGCCAAGCGGCAGCGCCCTCATGGTGGAGACGTAATGCAGGTCTGCTTGCCTCTGCAGCACACACACCACACTCTCGTGGATGCCACGCTCTCATGGGTGCCGCACACAGAGCGGATAGCTGGCAAGCAGGGAGGAGGAAGGGTGGCCCAAACATGGCAGGGTCCCCACCCCTGGGAAGGGTCACTCGAATTTTCCCTATCACTGCCGGCCATGGGACGAGGGGAGGGAAGCTGGTGCTGGTGCTGAGCAACTGACCCAAGGCCCTGGAGCTCCTTGCTGGAGCTGGGAGGGAGGCAGGGGAATGGATCAGGTGACCTGTAGTCCTTCCAGACTCATGACTCCATGGCCATGTGGCTGCAACAGGGTAAGTTCTGGGAGAATCGGAGGCTCCAGGCACTCTGTCTGCCATTTCCGAGCTTGGAGTTTGGCCAAGCATGTTGGGTGGGACCTGGGGGTCGTGATCCAAATGTGCGGAACCAGGAAGGCCTTCCAGCCCTTTTTGGGGGTTGCAGGGAAACAGGAGGGCCTGCTGAGGCCCTATACAAGAGGCCTTCCAATATAGGAGGCCCCCTAATGGGCAGACTGAGGCCTCTGAGGCCATGAGAAGCAGTTACATGGAGGAAACTTCCGGAAGGCAGAGCTTTCAGGCAGGGTCTGGAAGAGAAGGGAGGGAAGCCTGCAGGAGGAGGGAGGCAGAGGCTGGGGGCCAGAGGGCATTTCGGGACATCTCCACCATTATTTAACTTTCATTTTGCAACTCCACCATCACTCACTCTGAATGCAGATCATAAAAATTACAATTGATGTTTCAATTAGTTATAATTTACAGAGCGATTACATTTAATTTCTCTTTCATTGTATTTTAATGGCTTCAAATTTCTTGTTGATGAGATTCAGCCCCATGCTCTGAAGCTACAGGCCCAGGGTGGGGAGGGGGCTTGGTTCTTAAGGGGGCAGGTAGGCCTGCGGAGCTCTGGGGCCACTTGCTGCCTCGGTCTCCCCCAGCCAACCCAGCAGCCTCTCACCAGTCTTCCCAGCCTGGGGTGGGGAGTGGGAAGCAGGTAGAAGGAAAAGCTGCAGGGCCTGGGGATGGGGAGGCTTCGGGCCCTGCCCTGCAGCCATCTGTTTAAATGATGCTGCTAATGGAGAAGGAACATTTGCCTCTTCTTAACTAAGGATCCAGGGGAATGAGGTGGAGACAAGGGGAGGGGTGGGTGAGGAGCCCAGGAGAGAATCAATGATCTGTGCTCCTTTCTCAGGCTGGAGGAGCTGGAGACAGCCTGGGCTGGGAGCTCAGCAGCTCAGAGCCTAAAGTGCAGAGGAGAGAAACTGGGGAGAACAGAAGTTGAGCCTTTGCACAACTTCCATTTTCTTCGTGTGCCTAGCTCAGTGTGAGACAGCACAGGGGCACCCCTGGCGCTTAGTAAATATCAGACCAGTTGTTCACGTTTGTTCACGGGAACTCCTCAGGTGCAGTTCTTTGGAAGTGCAGTGTTCTTTGGAAGAAGTTCCTTGCAGACTCCTCTCCCTCCTCCTGCTCTTGGGTGACGATGGGCACTTGCTGCTGGCTGCAGAGGAAGGGCCCACCAAAGGCACTGACAGGGTGATGGTGGGCTTGGTAATTAGAGGTGGCCCAGGGCTGCGGGGACTTTCTGCAGCTTGGCAGCTGCTCACAACACAGTTGGCTTTGAAGAGGCTTCAAAGTGTCTCCCAGGAAGGTCCCCAAATCATCTGAAAAGCAGCCTGGAGTCTGTCAACTCTTGGGAGTGGGAGAAAGGCGAGAGCTTTGCTGGGCTTCGCAGGTGGGAGGCAGGAGTCAGTACGTCAAAGTCTCAGAAGCTGGGGACCTGGGGGGAGATTAGAGGTCCTGAATTAGGCTGTGGAACCACCTGCTGCCTGGAGAAGCTGCCTGGGATGGGCTCTGGATTTCTCTGTGGAGGGGGCTGGGAGGGCTGGAATGGGAGGAGTCAGGAGCTGGGCTCTCCATGTTTTGTGTCCACTCCTGGGCCTGGGGGCTGATGGGAGAGGCCTGATCTCAACACGTCTCTCCCCGCCCCGTGCCTCCGGGCAGCGGCCACCATCCTGCCCCAGCCCAGGTCTCCCGGCAGGGCCAGAGCAGGCAGCCCAGCAGTGAGGCTGCAGTGAGGAGCGGTGAGTGTGTGCACAGATTGCTTGCCAGCAAGGTGGAGGCCTTGCAAACTGTATCAAGGAAAGAAGAATGTTTCAAGGAATGAAATCTCAGCCTGGAAAAGAAGAAACTAGAAAGCTACTGCACTTTCTGACTTCCAAACAATTAAATTAGACAAGGAGCGCGAAGGCTCAGTGAGGGGTTGAACGTCCTCTTGACCCTGTCAAAATCTTAGGCCAAAAAAATGCCCGCTTGATCTCCAGCGCTTTGCCCGTTGCTCAGAAGCATTTAGCTTCCTGACGATTCCAGTGTTCTCAGCAGTGACTATCAAACACTCCAGCTTTTACTAATTAATCAGATTTTTTAACAAAGAAGAAAGAAAGAGGTCATGTATCAATTTTACTGAAGAATTCTTCCTTGTATTCAGAAATTCTTCTAACTATCTGAAGGGGACAGGCTGTTTAGCTTCTCTGGGCCTCAGTTTACTCATAAGTGGTTGATGGTGGTGGTGGTGGGGAGGTCCTAAAATCTCTGGACACTTTAGGGTCTGCCATGTCACACATGTGTGCAGGCTCTAGACAGACAGTTCAGGGAGGAGTGGTCCTGAGCCGAGTCTCTGCAGCAGAGTGGCGGCTGGTGGGCGTGGCTCTGGGAAGTGAGCTGACACCTCCACCAGGTGCTTTCCAGCCCCCTAAAACATCTGCCACCCCAGAAAATGGCACAGTGGACGACTTTTGGTCTTGGCCTCCTGGGTTCTTTTCTAAGAGCTGCCATCACAAATGATCACACATTTGTTGGCCTAAAACAGCAGAAATTGATACTCTCCCAGTTCTTCAGCACAGAAGTCTGAAATCCAGGTGTCGGAAGGGCTGTGCTCCCTCTGAGGCTCTAGGGGAGGGTCCCTTCTTGCCTATCCCAGTTGCTGGCGGGGCTCCTGGTGTCCCTCGGCTTGTGGCCACATCACTCGAGTCTCTGCCTCCATCCTCACGTGGTCTCCTTCCTGTGTCTGTGTGTTTCCTTTTTTGTCTCTTAAAAGGACATGCTCTCTGGATTTAGGACCCACCCTAATCCAGGATAATCTCTTCTTTTTTTTTTTTTTTTGAGACAGAGTCTCTGTTGCTCAGGCTGGAGTGCGGTGGCGCGATCTCGGCTCACTGCCACCTCTGCCTTCCAGGTTCAAGCGATTCTCTTGCTTCAGCCTCCCAAATAGCTGGTATTACAGCCACCACGTGTGCCACCACGCCTGGCTAATTTTTGTATTTTTAGTAGAGATGGGGTTTGGCCATGTTGGCCTGGCTGGTCTTGAACTCCTGGCCTCAGGTATCTGCCCACCTCAGCCTCTCAAAGTGTTGGTATTACAGGCGTCAGCCACCACGGCTGGCCCCCCAAAACACCCTTCAAAGAGATTATCAAGAGGATAATCTCTGCTTGATCCTCACCCTAACTACATCTGCAAAGACCCTATTTCCAAATTAGGTCACATCCTGAGGATCAGATGGAAGTGAATGTTTTGGGGGACACTGTTGAAACACTGCACTTTCTCGGCATGTCTCCTTCCCTCTTCCTGGTAAGATACCCTCCCTCATTTGGAAGATTCTTCTGTCCTACTTCCCATTGCACACAATTCTGATGGGCAGGTAGTAACAGTGTCCTTTCCCCTCCCCTTGACCACAGGGGCAGACATGTGTGCCCTGGGACATTGTACCTGTCTCTCAGGCCTTAAGAATGGACAGGAGGTTGGGCAGTGGGGACTCAGGGATCGGAACTGGTCCAGACAGAGTCATTCCTGAGATTTAGATATTCCTCAAGATATGTCCGGGCACAGTGGCTCACGCCTGTAATCCCAGTACTTTGGGAGGCCAAGGCGGGTGGATCTTCTGAGGTCGGGAGTTCAAGACCAGCCTGGCCAACATAGCAAACCCCCATCTCCACTAAAAAAGCATAAAATTAGCCTGGCGTGGTGGCAGGTGCCTGTAATCCCAGCTACCTGGGTACTTGGGAGGCTGAGGCAGGAGAATCACTTGCACCCAGGAGGTGGAGGATGCAGTGAGCTGAGATTGCACCATTGCACTCTAGCCTGAGCAACAGGATCAAAACGCTGTCTCAAAAAAAAAAAAAAAAGATATGTTCAACAGGAGAGGGAGAGGGAGCCTCTGGGATCCTGTGCTAGGATCGTGCAAGCCTGGAAGAGCCTGTGGCCATCTCCCTTCCTCCTGCTGCATGAAGGCAGCTGGTATGCAGAAGGGCAGGCTAGGACCAGCAACAAACAGAAGCAGAGTCTGGAGATGGGGATATGGGCATGGCAGGGGGCTAAGGAAAACAGAATAAAAGGATGGGAAAACCAGATGTGGTCATCCAGGCCTGCCAGCACCTGACTCCGTTCTCTTTCTTACCCTCAATCCGCACCTGCCAGCACCCAACTCTGCTCTCTCTGCCTGTGCAGCTCCCTTCTCTACTCCAGTGAATCCGAGTTGCTGTTCTGTCCCTTGCCACAGAAACCTGACGGACACAACAGCATACGGAATAACCGGTGGCCCTTGAGGGGGCTGGGAGAGCAGCCATCGGTGACGTTATCAGAAGGGATTCCCGCTTTGGCAGGCGCTGGACTGGATTAATGACTTCAATAAGCACATATTAGGCCCCTTCTGTGTGCTAGCTACAGGGGATGCAGAGATGCAAGCCAATGGTAAAACAGTCTTTAACGTATGCAAAGTAGGTTAACTGGAGGGTAGGAGTGCGGGGTAGACCTAGCTACAGGGGATGCAGAGATGCAAGCCAATGGTAAAACAGTCTTTAACGTATGCAAAGTAGGTTAACTGGAGGGTAGGAGTGCGGGGTAGACTATTTTCAGGTAGCTGTCAGGTGGTAGGGTTGGGGTGAGCCCTTGGTGGCTTGGGAGCAGCTCTCTCTGGTGCACAGCAGGTGTTGGGAAGTATGTGTTGAATAAATGAATTTAGATTATTTTATGGTTCACTTGCTTATGTCTGCCAGTGACTCATGCTGTGTGCCTCTTCTTTCCTCTGCACACATCTCTCCCTGTGCTCATCCATGCACACACACATGCAGGCACACACTGTCAACAGCCTGGTATGATGCTGGGCACCTGGGAGTGCTGACTAAGTGTCTGGGGGGGGGGGTCACATGATGGAGTGGCTGGCAGATTGGCAGCCACCGTGGTAGGAAGCTGTCCTATTTGTCTGGAATTTGGGCTTGTGCTCAGCTCCTAATGACTCACTTTGTGGATTGGCCATGGGGTGTTTCATCCACAGGTTCTCTCCCCTCCTCATCACCAGGGAGGTGTCTGGGTGGTCTTCAGCAAGGATGGGCAACATGGCCATTTCAACACTGGTTCTTGACTCCCATGTTGTTTGGGGGTCTTGGGGGTTCTTCAGAGGGAGAGGGAGGGATGCTGCAGAGGGCAGTATGGAATACGGGGCTCCTTGTTTCTAGATAGGGCTGTCAGAGGCTTCTCCATCTATGGGCCCTGTTCTTGGAAGCCGGGTCTGCGCTGCAGGTCCCTCACACAACCACTAGATGCCAGTGTTTCTTAATGGATGGAAGGGGGAGCCTGGGAAGGGCTGGCGGAGAGGGAAGGTCTAGATGGTCCTAGGGGGATAACAGGGCCTGGGCTGTGCCCATCTTATAGATGGGAATAGTGAGTCCTGGGAACTTAGCTAAGGCACAGGTAAGCTTCTCTAGACACTATGCAGTGAATCTGACGAAAGCGCCAGGGTTCCGGCTTCCACTTCCTTGTTCAGTGTCTTTATTCGGGATGTCTCACCTGTGCTGTCCAAGAAGGGCGTTGCAAACAGGTAAGTGGGGAGGGGCCGGAGGGGATGAGGGTGGTTCTGGGGAATCCAGCTTGGGAGGAGTGGAGCCTGACAATGAGAGAGGGGGTGAGAGAGAGGACTTGGGGGACCAGCAGCTGGAAAAGCACTGTTCATCCCATTCCGGCATTCATCCTTCCTTCCTGCCTCTCATCCTCCTTTCTGTTTTAGTTTGGTATCTCAGAAGGCAGAGAGAGAGACACACACACAGAAAGAGAGGAGGAGAATCAACCAGGTGAGGAGGCTCCACTTTTTTTTTTTTTTTTTTAGACAGAGTATCGCTTATTGCCCAGGCTGGAGTGCCATGACACGATCTTGGCTCACTGCAACCTCTGCCTCCAGGTTCAAGTGATTCTCCTGCTTCAGCCTCCCGAGTAGCTGGGATTACAGGTGCCCGCCACCATATCCAGCTAATTTTTTTTTTTTTGTATTTTTAGTAGAGACAGGGTTTCACCATGTTGGCCAGGCTGGTCTCAAACTCCTGACCTCAGGTGATCCACCAACCTCAGCCTCCCAAAGTGCTGGGATTACAGGCATGAGCCACAGTGCCCGGCCTGAGGCTCCACTATTCAAGGGAGAATCCATCTCGTGCTGAAATGAAGTGCAGGTGTGGGACTTCTGTGCTGTTCCCCATCCTTGCCCCCTGCTCCCTGGCCCTTATTCCTGGCACAGGGCCAGGTGTGCAGGAGGCCCTCCGTAAGTGTGTCTGGGTGGAGGTGGGGGCAGAGCGTGGCCAAGGACGGGAGATGGAGCTCCCTCAGTACAGTTCCTTCTGGCTTCCCATGGGGCAGACCTGGGGATTCCAAAACATGGGGCGAAGATTGACTGTTGAGCCCCCAATACAGTCCCAGCAATGTCAACACCACTCAGGGAAGTCACAGTTAAACATCGGGGGCCACGGCCTCTGCTCAGCCCCATTGGAGGGGAGGAGTGGGGGTCGGGATGGAGGGCAGATCAAGAGAGAGGCTAATGTGGTTTAAGCAGAGATAAGAAAGGCTGTGTGCTGCCTGCAATGCTTCCCGGTGAGCCTAGGATTCTATCATTAGAGACTGATTTATTTAGGTCAAGCCGTGACTCCCCCTAGGAGTTTTACATAGTTTCTTGCATGTAATAGACCATTCAGTAAATATTTGTCAACGGAGTCTCCTTAAAATGAAAATACCCCGAGGAGCGATAAACCATTTTCATTTGCTAACACTTCACCGTGAATTAGTTTATCACACTAACTAGTGTCCTAACAAGGTTTCTGAGGGGGAAACTCAGTACAGATGTGTTCTGAGGAGGCGCCTGCCTGGGAAGACGGGGGAGATGTGGAGTTTGGGCAAGTGCTGGAGATGATGTGACTTGGCCGAGAGCAAGGGCCAGCGTGCTCAAGGTGGGCACAAGGATGTTGGGTGTCTGCTGCCGGCCATACAGTCATGCCTCTTCCCTGTTGAAACTCTCTAAGATCTTCACAGTCCCTGGGAAAATGTCCCAACTCCTCTCTAAGGTTGCAGAGGTCCTTTCTGATCCAATCACCTCTCTCCTCCCCAGCCTCCCGTCTTGACACTGGCAATGCTCCAGCCGGACTCTTCCTTGAACTTAATGAGGCCTTATTACCTCCTTCCCTTTGTACTTGCTATTTATTCCCTATGCCTGGCTTACTATCTCACACTCTTTGCCTGGTTAATTTCAATGAGTTTTTCAAATTTTGTTTAGATGTCACTTCCTCCAGGAAGTCTTCCATGACCAACCCAGTGTAGAGGAGGCTCTTCTTCTTCTTCTTCTTCTTTTTTTTTTTTTTCTGAGACAGAGTCTCGCTCTATCGCTCAGGCTGGAGTGCAGTGGCGTGATCTCGGCTCACTGCAAGCTCCGCCTCCTGTGTTCACGCCATTCTTCTGCTTCAGCCTCCCGAGTAGCTGGGACTACAGGTGCCCGCCACCACGCCCAGATGATTTTTTTTGGTATTTTTTTAGTAGAGATGGGGTTTCACTGTGTTAGCCAGGATGGTCTCGATCTCCTGACCTCATGATCTGCCCGCCTTGGCCTCCCAAAGTGCTGGGATTACAGGTATGAGCCACCACGCCTGGCCGAGGAGTTTCTTCTTCTAAATGGTCTGGCAGTACTCTGTAACTGCACTCTCCTTGCAATTACATTGCAGAATTGGAAAAAAGTAACAAAAAGTAGTATACATGCAGAATTTAAACAAATTCCAATTGTATAGGAGGCTTATAATAAAAAATTACAGTTGCCTGCTTGTATTAGTCAGAGTTCAGTCAGGAAAATAGAAACCACACCAGTTATCTTAACAGAGAATTTAATATAGAGAATTGGCTAAACAGGTATTGGAGGACTGAAAAAGCCCAAAGAGAACATTGAAGTAGCATGGTTAGAGGAACTAGAGAAAGAAGCCATCATCCCTAGGATGGGCAGAACAAAAGGGAGATGTCGTGGTTATCTGACTCTACAAGCTTGAAGAAGAGGCCCCATGGAGCTGGGTTTAGACCTCAGACGCTGCAGCCTGGCTGACTGGTGCTGCTATCTCTGAAGGAGCATGATGAGATTGTGCAGTAAAAACTGGCTACTGGAATGCACTGCTGCTGCTCGGGGGGAGATCTGTTGCTGGAGAGACAGGGACAAGAAGAATAAGCCAGCAGAAAGAGCATATGCCTCTTTTCTCTCCTCCAGCCTTTGGTTTCTCTCTAGTCCTCCTACAGGCAGAACCCAACAAGGAGCCAGTTGACGAAGGAGAGATGTTATGTGCAGAGCCCCAATCTTAGCACCAAAACGTAGAGTTTAGAAGAGTGAGCTCGGGCTGGGCGTGGTGACTCATGCCCGTAATCCCAACATTTTGGGAGGCTGAGGCAGGCAGATCACCTGAGGTCATGAGTTTGAAACTAGCCTGGCCAACATGGCAAAACCCCACCTCTACTAAAAATACAAAAATTAGCCAGGTGTGGTGGCAGGCACCTGTGGTTCCAGGCACTCTGGAGGCTGAGGCAGGAGAATCACTTGAACCTGGGAAGCAGAGGTTGCAGTGTCTGAGACTGCGCCACTGCACTCCAGCCTGGGTGACAGAGCAAGACTCCATCTCAAAACAAAACAAAAAAAAAATAAAAATAAAAATAAAAATAAATGAATGAATAAATAAATAAATAGAAGGGTGAGCTCGGAGTTGAGAGATGATAGCTTGACAGCTGACACAGTCCTCCACCCCTTTGGCTACTCAGCATCCATCTACATGTACTGAACACCATCTAATGATAACAACAAACGTACACCTTTACCTTATAACATGCAATTATCTTTTGTACAAAGACACTCACAGTGTTCTCAAAGAGAGGAGACATAAAATCCCAAGAGCTCTTATATCCTCCTCTGAGTGACAGTCATGGTACTCGTTTCTAGATGATGTTGATCACCCCTCAAAACTAGTCATGGTCCCATCTGAATATTTTGTAACTTAAAGATGAAATTGTGAAGTTAACCACTGCTAATAATCTTTACATAAAATAAAAACGGCAAAGGAGAGAGAAGAGACATTAGTTAATATGTGCCAGTGCAAACATGTATACATATCAACAGGCAAGGAAGAAAATATTCCTGCTTTCTATGTTCTTGTTTTTATGAGGTCGTGTTGATATTAACTTCCTTCTCTCATTGCCTGTTCCATATCCATTAGTCTTCCCTTAGACAAGGAAGTACTACACGGGTCACCAGAGAACTTCCTGGGTTCCTTGTCTCCTTTATATAGTAGCTAACTAGTTTCTCTTTGCTAACTAGGAAAGTGATTCTCTTCTCTGCCTGTTTATTCAGCAGCATAAAGAGCCTATAAAATGTCCAGGTGTTAGCCTTGATGTCCAGTTCAGTGGAACAATCACTGGGTCTCTGGTGGAAACATTCCTCCTTTGGTTCCTAAAACCTCCAAACCAGCAGAGTTCAAAGTTAAAGAGGGGATAGGAAACAAACATTCTGTGAGAGTTGTTAGGTATGATAGTGAGAGGTGGCTGAGTGTGGTGGCTTAGGCCTGTAATCCCAGCACTTTGAGAGGCCGAGACGGGAGGATTGCTTGAGGCCAGGAGTTTGAGACCAGCCTGGGCAACATAGTGAGATTCCTTCTCTACAGAAAGTATTTTTTAAAAATAGTAAGAGGAGTCACTTCCACTTCCACTCCTTGTTTCCCTGGCCTGTGTATTCTGGTCTGGGAAAAACATGGCTGTAGATTGGACATCAATTCACAGCATATGCTGCATCCTGTAAAACAGACCAATCTTTTGGAATGTTATTGTCCAGTTGGCAGACTGAGTTTTCAGTAGGTCATTTGCTTGTTCTGTCAGACCAGCTGCTTTTGTGTGATGGGGTATGTGGGAAGACCATTGATTTCCAGGGGCATGAGCCATTGCTTTACTTTTTTATTTTTATTTTTTTGAGATAGGGCCCTTGCTCTGTTGCCCAGGCTGGGATGCAGTGGCACGATCATGGCTCACGGCAACCTTGACCTCTCTGGGCTCAAGCAACCCTCCTACTTCAGCCTCCCAAGTAGCTGGGACTACAGGTGCATGCCACCAAACCTGGCTAATTTTTGTTTGTATTTTTTTTTTGTAGAGGTGGGGTCTCACTATGTTGCCCAGGCTGGTCTCAAACTCCTGGGCTCAAGAGATCTTCCCGCCTTGGTCTCCCAAAGTGCTGGGATTGCAGGCATGAGCCTCCTCACCCAGCCCCACTTTACTTCTACAAAGTGAGTTTCTTGATCAGAAACATTGTCATGTGGGTGTATTAGTCCGTTTTCACATTGCTGATAAAGACATACCTGAGACTTGGAAGAAAAAAAGGCTTAATGGACTTACAGTTCTGTGTGGCTGGGGATGCCTCACAATCATGGTGGAAGGTGAAAGGCATGTCTCACATGGCGGCAGACAAGAGAAGAGAGCTTGTGTGGGGAAACTCCCCTTTTTACAACCATCAGATCTCGTGAGACTTATTCACTATCACGAGAACAGCATGGGAAAGACCGCCCCCATGATCCAATTACCTCCCACCAGGTCTCTCCCACAACACATGGGAATTCAAGATGAGATTCGGGTGGGGACACAGCCAAACCACATCTGTGGAATATCATGATGGTGGATAACCTTATCCTCACAGGATAAGGCACCCTATGAGGTCATGGATAGTAGTACTAGCAGAAACTTTGTCAGCAGGGAAGGTACATCTATATCCTGAATACATATTATTCTAGGGAGGGCAAATTGCTGCCCCTTTCCATATAATCAACCTGTTACCACATGTCTGGCTAATCCCCCTGCAGAATGGTACTAGAGACCAGCTCAGTGTTGGTCTCTGCTGTTGTCAGTTTGGGCATGCAGCAGAGGTGGTAGCCAGGTGGATTTTGTGAGTGGAGTTCTTATCACTAAGCCCACACATAGACTCTGCTATTGCCACTGTGACTGTTTTGTATACTCTCCTATTGCACAACCATCAGGGGCCTGGGGAAAAATGTAAATGGATATCCACAAAATGTGTCATCTTGTTGAAAACCTCCTCTACAGTGGCTAGACTTTGGTGAATATTCAGACGGCACACAAACATATTTGTCCTCTGTGCCTACTCCAAGAAGTCCATCCACATTCCTCCTTCCCAGAGCTCCTTGTCTTCATCTTCCAATCTTGTTATTTCCAAGTCCCTGAGCATCCTGTCCAGCCATTAACCACAGCCCATAAGTTAGTGTAGATCCATACTTTTGGTTATCTCTCCATTCAGCCCAAGTAGACAACCAAAGATAATGCTGGAACTTCTGTCTAGTGGGAGGATTTCCCTTAACCACTGCCTTTAAGAGATGCTCTCGATTACAGTGGTAATGTATTAATAGTAGTCTTCTTCTGGTTGATGCCAATATACCATGCAGAACCATCTGTAAATTAGATCTGATTTAATTTCCTTTTTCAGTCAGCTGATCATAAAGAACTCCCCACGAGTCTATACGTGTAGTTCTGTCCTTCAGAGGCAACCACTGTCGTGTATGTGTGTGTGTGTGTGTTGTGTGTGTGTGTGTGTGGTCTTTGGTGACCTCTAATATTGTTAAACTTCCATTTCTTGATTTGTTAACTTTAGGCCCATATTGGTTCCCTACTGTGAGATATGAAGACTTTGCTTACTTCCCCCATCTACGTCCTATTTTGGTAATTATTTCTTCTACTGGTTACCTTATCAATTTTAATTAATACACTTAAAATATCCAATTTTGTTGGTGGCTCACATCTGTAATCTCAGCAATTTGAAGGGATGAGGTGGGAGGATCATTTGAGCCCAGGAGTTGAGACCAGCCTGGGCAACATAGAAAGACCCCATCTCTACAAAAAGCAAAAAAATTAGCCAGGTGTGTGGTGGCATGTGCCTGTAGTCCCAGCTACTCAGGAGGTTGAGGCAGGAGGATCATTTGTGCTCAGGAGGTCAAGGTCGCAGTGAACCATGATCATACCACTGTACTCCAGCCTGGGCAACAGAGTGAAACCTGGTCTCAAAAAAAGTCCGATTCTTCCAATTCTGTTTTTTTTTTTTTGAGATGGAGTCTCCATCTGTCACCCAGGATGGAGTGCGGTGATATGATCTCAGCTCACCGCAACCTCCACCTCTTAGGTTCAAGCAATTCTCCTGTCTCAGCCTCCTGAGTAGCTGGGATTACAGCCACCTGCCACCACGCCTGGCAAATTTTTGTATTTTTAGTAAAGATGGGGTTTCACCATATTGGTCAGGCTGGTCTTGAACTCCTGACCTCAGGTGTTCCAAGGTGCTGGGATTACAGATGTGAGCCACCATGCCCAGCCTAAAAAGTCCAATTCTTATTCCCTTAATGTAAGCCAGTAATTCTGTGTGCCCACCCTGTAACACGAGGACATGATTAGATTTCCTATTCTCCTTTCTCCTCTTCTCCCCACCCCTTCTAACTTCCCAACTTCTGCATCCTTATCTTTCACATTGTCAAAATTGGCGACATTGAAAGTTTGTTTTTTAACCACATTTATGTCATTCATGTTTTATCTATACAATGATTTTAAAAGTTGAAATCCAGTCAACAGCCTTTGTATTTTGTGATGATATAAGCATTGTTTTCTGCAGTGAACCAGTAGTATGGTATAAAGGGATTATGTTTTTTTCCTCTCCAATCTCATATCATAACCCTTATACAAAATCAAATCTTTTTGTATTCTCCATCACTTGTTCAAAATCATGCCACATTTTAATTTGCTTCATGATTCAGATCATGATTGTTTGGTACAATTTTTTTCTTGGCATTTTTAAGTGTGTGCATGTGTGTGTGTGTGTGTATATATATATATGTGTGTATATAGATATATACTTTTTTTTTTTAGACAGAGTCTCACTCTCTTGCCCAGGCTGGAGTGCAGTGGCATGTTCTCGGCTCACGCAACCTCTGCCTCCCAGGTTTAAGCGAGTCTTCTGCCTCAGCCTCCCGAGTAGCTGGGATTACAGGCACGTGACACCACGCTGAGTAATTTTTTGTATTTTTAGTAGAGACGGGGTTTCACCATGTTGGCCAGGCTGGTCTTGAATTCCTGACCTCAGGTGATCCACCTGCCACAGCCTCCCAAAGTGCTGGAATTACAGGCGTGAGCCACTGCACCCGGCCTTAAGTGTATATTTTTCTTCTTTTTGGTGGAAGCAAAATTATCTTACTCATCATTTCACAAACATCTTCCAATTTCTTATTAAGTCTACCTATCATTTAGAATTTATTTGTTTATTTACTTTTTCTTTATTTTGAGACGGAGTCTCTGGAGTGCAGTGGTGCGACCTCAGCTATCTTGCAACCTCCACTTCCCAGGTTCAAGCAATTCTCGTGCCTCAGCTTCCTAAATAGGTGGGATTACAGGCATGCGCCACCATGCCTGGCTAATTTTTGTATTTTTAGTAGAGATGGGGTTTCACCATGTTGGCTAGGCTGGTCTCGAACTCCTGGCCTCGAGTAATCTGCCTGCCTCAGCCTCCCAAAGTGCTGGGAGTACAGGCATGAGCCACTGCGCCTGCCTCGTTCGGAATTTACTGTGCTCTTTTTGAAGAACTTGTCTTTAGAGTACACTGACATTTGGTTCCAACCAGCCATTATCCTGGGATTTCCTTTTTAGTGAGAGTTCTGCTTTTTCTTGAATCCAACTTTCTCTTTTTCTTGGTATCTTGTTTATATTGTTAGAGTACTTTTTCTGGTAATTTCTTTGGAAGTGATGCAGAGGAGGTAGTTTTTCTGCATTTTTGGATGTCTGAGACTTTTTTTTTCCTTCATTGTTTGTTTGGGTGGGCATAGTTTTCTAATTTCAAAACAAATTTTTCCTGGGAATGTTGAGGGCCTCATTTTACTTCTGGATCCAGTACTGCTGATGAGAAACCACAGGTGGTGTCTAATTCCTTTGTAAGTAACTTCTTTCCTCTCTCTGGAGACTTTCAGGGTCTTTTTGTTTGATGAACTAATGTTTCCCAATATTATATTCCGAAAGATTCTTTCTGCCTTAAATAATGGAAAACCTTCTTCTGCTTTTATTTAGTAGTTTACTTATGTATGTTTTTTTCTCTGCTCGCTTTCTATAGGGTCTATTAGTCAGACGTTGGACCTCCTGGATTGATGTGCTATGTCTCTTATCTTTTCTTTCTTTCTGCATATGCAGGTTTTCTCTTTCTTATAACATTTTGGAAATTCTCTCAACTTTACGTTCTAACCCTTCTAATGTATTTATATTTCAGCAACTATATTGTTTCTTTTTTAAAAACCACTTTATTGGGGTATGATTGACATACAAAAGCTGTACATATTTAATGTATACAACTGGATTGGTTTGGGGATAAGTATATACCAGTGAAACTATTCCTACTATCAAGGTCATAGATATATCCATCACTTCTCTAAATTTCCTCTTACTGACTTTATTTATTTGTTTTTGTGTGTGTGGGGCGGGGGAGTATGAACACTTAACATAATATTTACCCCCTTTGTTTTTCTGAACACATTTTTAGGATTTTTTTTTATTTCTGTGAAAAATGACATTGAAACTTTGATGGGGATTGCATTGAATCTGAGATACCTTTGGGTAGTATAGACATTTTAACAATATTAATTCAACCCATGAACATGGGATATCTTTCCATTTATTTGTGTTATCTTCAATTTCTTTCACTAATGTTTTATTGTTTTCAGCATGGTTCAATTAACTCCTGTGTTTTTTTTGATGCTATTAAAAATGGGGTTGTTTTCTTAATTTCTTTTGCAGATAGTTTGTTAGCAGTGTATAGAAATGCTATTGATTTTTGTAAGTCGATTTTGTATCCTGCAACCTTACTGACTTCCTTTATCAGTTCTGACAGTTTTTTGATGGAGTCTTTAGGATTTTCTATTTATAAGACCATGCCATCAGCAAGCAGAGACAATTTTACTTCTTTCTTTCTATTTCGATGCATTTTATTTCTTTTTCTTGCCTAATTGCTCTGGTTAGGGCTCCTAGTACTCTGTTGAATAGAAGTGGTGAAACTGGGCATCCTTGTCTTATTCCAGATCTTAGAGGAAAGAGCTTTCAACTTTCTGCAATTGTGTACGATGTTAGCTGTGGGCTTGCCATATGTGGCCTTTATGGTAACAACCATATGATTTAAATTCTAAGAACTTTTTCTTGTTCTCTGATAATTCCTTTTTTCATTGCAATCTGTTCTCTTTTTTGGACGTAATCGGCTTCCACATTTCTTTGATGATACATTTGGATTGCTGTTCATTTTCTTTTTTAATCTTAGAGTTTCTCTTTCATTTGTCACATGTCTAGTGAATCTCATTTTTCTGTTTCTATTTAAGAATGAAGGACGGGGGTAATTATTCTAGGAGGTTGGCGTGGGTTTCCTGATTTTTATATGTGGTTTTATTTTCCCATTGAGTACCTCCCCTATATGGAGATGCTGCCTCGGACCTCTGGGTTCATGTGCAGGGCTTGCTTTACTATCTGGCTTTGCTTTATGAGGACTGGCCAGGGACGTGGCTGTGAAGCTAGGTTGTGGGGAGGCAAAAATGGCAGAACGAGATGAACTTTACTATGGAACACCAGCAGCCACAACAGCCGCTCTGTTCTCTCTTTCTCTCTTTTTTTGAGACAGGGTTTCGCTCTGCTGCCCAGGCTGGAGTGCAGTAGAACAATCACAGCTCATTGCAGGCTTGAACTCTTGCGCTCAAGTCATCCTCCAGCCTCAGCCTCCTGAGTAGCTGGTACTACAGGCACACATCACCATGCTCAGCTAATTTAAAAAAAAATTTTGGTATAGAGGGGGTCTCCCTTTGTTACTGAGGCTGGTCTTGGACTCCTGAGCTCAAGTGATCCTCCCGTCTTGGCCTCTCAAAGGGCTGGGATTATAGGCGTGAGCCACCGCGCCGGCCTCCCATTCTCTACTAGCAGTTTCATTGATTTAGCCAGGAGTGCTTTCTGGTTTTCGCTGTGTTGCCTATTGCTCTGTTAGGTGGGAGTGGGGTTGGAGGGTGGTGAATGACAAATTTGTTCCACAGAGTTTCAATTAACCCCTGTGTTTTTGGCACCACCTCCCCCTTTTCCCTCCCACCACAGGTTGTATTTGACAACTGCAAGCCCCAATCTCTCTAGCGTTCTTTATGCAAATTCAGTGGCTGACTCAACCCAGCCTCCCGGGAGCATATTCCAGTGGCAGCTTCCTCCATCTGCACACTTCCATCATTTTTCCCTTTCCAGATATTTGTTGCACTTCTTCATCCACAAGTGACCTTTTTTTTTTTTTAAATAATGTTTGGTTTATTACCCCTTTTGCCCCTTTACTATATATTTATTATTTTCTTCTATTTTGTTAAGTGCTAACTATGTGAAAGGCACTGTTTTGGACATAGGGGACAGAAGAATAAATGAGGTCCTTACTCTCACGGAGATTATATTTTGGTGAATGATAGACCATAAAGAAATAAATACATTAGAAAAGGACAGATGCATAAACCAATAAATAAATTTGAAAAATACCGATTTCTTTCTTTCTTTTCTTTTCTTTTTTTTTTTTTTTGAGACAGTGTCTCCTTTTGTTGCCCAGGCTGGACTGCAGTGGCGTGATCTTGGCTCACTGCAACCTCCGCCTCCTGGGTTCAAATGATTCTCCTGCCACAGCCTCCTGAGTAGCTGGGATTACAGGCACGCACCACCACACCCAGCTAATTTTTGTATTTTCAGTAGAGACGGGGTTTCACCATGTTAGCCAGGATGGTCTCGATCTCCTGACCTCGTGATCTGCCTGCCTCGGCCTCCCAAAGTGCTGGGATTACAGGCATGAGCCACCACGCCTGACTGAAAAGTACTGATTTCTATGCAGAGAAATCAATAGGTGACGGATACAGATCCACTAAGCAGCTTCCTTTTCTTTTCTTTTTGTTAAGACAGGGTCTTGCTCTGTCGCCCAGGCTGGAGTGGAGTGGTGAAGTTACCGCTCACTGCAACCTCAACCTCCAGGACTCAAGCAATCCTCTCACTTCTCCCAAATTGCTGGAGGTACACAGGCGTTTGCCACCACATCCAGATTATTGAAACAAAAACCTTTTTTTTTTTTTTTTAAGTGATGGGGTCTCATTGTGTTGGCTAGCTGGTTTTAAACTCCTGGGCTCAAGCAATCCTCCTGCCTTGGCCTTCCAAAGTGTTGGGATTATAGGCGTGAGCCGCCAGGCCCAGCCCTGAGCAGTTTCTTTAGATAGAGCAATTAGGGAAGGCCCACTGGAGGGGTGACTTTTCAGTCAAGAGCTGGGAGATCAGAGGAGCTGGTCACATGAAGATGGGACTTTAGGGTTTGGTGGAAGGTGTGGAGGGGGAAAAGCTGTCTAGGCAGAGTGGGTGGTTGCAAAGGCAGGAATAAGCTTGAATTATTGGAGAAACAGAAGCTGTCCAGCGTGCCTGGAGCAGAGTGTGTGTGTGTTGTGGGGGGATGGCGTGCAGTAGCACCTGGGGGATGGGCAGTGGCAGATCCTCTAGGGCTTTGTCGGTTAAGGTAAGGAGTTAGCGTGCTGTTCTGAGTGTTAAAGAAAGGCATTTAAGTAAGGACATGACATAATCTGGCTTATACATTTGAAATCATCGCTTTGGCGTTTAAACGGAGAATGGATTGTGGGGGACAGCAGAGAAAGGGAGGAAACCAGTTAGGAGATTATTGGGGTAGTGCAGGCAAGAAGTGATGGCTGCCTGATAGTAGTGGAGATGGCTGGAGAGAAGTGGATGAATTCAGCCTATGACTGATGAGCAGAGCCTGCAGGACTTGCTGATGGATTGGGGGTAGCGGGTTAGGGAAAGAGAGGAGTCTGGGACAACTCCTATGTCACTGAATGCTATTTCAATGGCATGGGGAAGTCAGGGTAGAGGGGGTTCAATTCACTCTGCTGAGTTTACAACACCCATGTGAAGATAGCATGATATGCAGGCAGTTGGATAGAGGCATTTGGAGATCTGGGGAGAAGTTAGGGCTGGAATGGAGATGTGAAGGTCATTGGCCGTAGATGACAAAGTTACGGAAGTGGATGAGGCCCTTGGAGAGTTACTGGCTAGAGAAGCAGGTGGGCCAAGGGCTGAGTGTCGGGGCACGCCAGCACGCAGAAACATAGGCCAGTGGAGGCGGAGGAAAACTGGGAGGAGGCAGGAGCCCAATGACCAAGAGAAGGACGCACTTCAGGAAGGACAGAGTGGGCAATCATCCTGAACACTGTTGAGAAATAACACAGAAGAGGAACAGAAAACTTACCTCTGACTTTGGTGATCATTAGGAGGATGGGAACTTGGGAACTTGGATGAGTGTGACCACAGAGATGTGGTTTTACTCCACGTGGAGCAGTAAGCAGGGAACGAGAGATAAGGAAGTGAAGACTGTGGCCCTGGGCAGCTCTAAGGAAGTTTTGCTGGAGGAGGAGATAAATAGCACTGCAGGGGTCAGCTTACAGTCGCGGGAACCATTTATTGCAGCTGTTGCTGTGAGCACTTCACCAACATGATCCCGTTTCAGGGACTAGGTTTTTGTGGTGTTCCCTGTTTGTCAACTGCCCAGCTACAGCCTCCCTTGCTTTTCTGGGAAGGATGTCTCTCCTTCACCCAACACGTGCGCACGCGCACACACACACTCACACACACATTCACACACAAACACACGCACTCACACACACACTCATACACACACTCACATACACACTCACACACAAATGCACTCACACATGCACTCACCCTCACTCACACTCACACACACGCACTCTCACACACACATGTTCCAGGGTGGGGTTCTGACACTTGAATTGGCACATCACAGCCTCACCATGACTGCAGGTGCTTGGTCCAGGCTAATCTAAGTCACTCAGACTTCTCTCTCTAGATTATGGTGCCTTAGCACGGCTGATTGGCCCACACGTGTCACTTGATCCACTGGGCCAGCTACTACTAGAAATTTGGAATTGGGACAGTAGACAGACACACGTACATACAAACACACACGCACACACACACACACAGAGACTGATGTCTGTAAAAAAAAAAAGCCAAATCTTTTTTTGTTTTTGTCTTTTTTGTTGTTGTTGTTGTTTTGTTTTGCTTTGTTTTGTTTATTTGAGACAGAGTTTCACTTTTGTTGCCTGTGGAGTGCAATGGCATGGTGTCAGCTCACTGCAACCTCTGCCTCCCAGGTTCAAGTGATTCTCCTGTCTCAGCCTCCCGAGGAGCTGAGACTACAGGCACATTCCATGGTGCGTACCACCACACATGGCCAATTTTTGTATTTTTAGTAGAGATGGGGTTTCACCATGTTGGCCAGGCTGGTCTCAAATGCTAGACGTCAGGTGATCCACCTGACTCGGCCTCCCAAAGTGCTGGGATTACAGGCATGAGCCACCGTGCTTGGCTTGTTTGTTTTTGAGACAGTCTTGCTCTGTTGCCTAGGCTGGAGTACAGTGGCGCCGTCCTGGCTCACTGCAACCTCCGCCTCCCAGGTTCAAGCAATTCTTGTGCCTCAGCTTCCTGAGTAGCTGGGACTACAGGCATGTGCCACCATGCCTGGCTAATTTTTTGTATTTTTGGTAGAGACAGGGTCTTGCCATGTTGGCCAGGCTGGTCTCGAACTCCTGACCTCAGGTGATCTGCCTGCCTCGGCCTCCCAAAGTGCTGGGATTATAAGTGTGAGCCACTGTGCCTGGCCAGGAAGCCAAATCTTAACATATAAACCCAGGCTTTTTTTTTTTTGTTTTTTAAATAGGGTCTCCCTCTGGAGTGCATTGGTGCAATCACGGCTCACTACAGCCTGAAACTCCAAGGTTCAAGCATTCCACCCCTCTCAGCCTCCCAAGTAGCTGGGACTACAGGTGCGCACCACCACGCTTGGCTGATTTTTTTATTTTTATTTTTTGTAGACATGAGGTCTCACTGTGTTGCCCGGGCTGTAACCCAGGCTTTCTTTTAGTTTTCTGGCTTTCTCTACCCTGGCTGGGAAGTAGAAGGTGCTGGCTGGAGAGACAAAGAGAGGAGGAGAAACGTGCGCCTGTCTTGTTGTCTCTGGAAGACTCCTGGTGCTCTATGAGAGCAAGTTCCCCTCCTCATTTTAAGGTAGTTTGTGTGTGTTTCCCATTACTTGTGACCGAGAGTCCTAATGAATTCTGTATTATTGCCCCATTTTTCTAAACATTGGAGTTGAGTTTTGGAGAAGTTAAGTAACTTGCCCGTGGCCATTCAGCGAGTGGTGGTGGTTGTTGGAGAGAAGCCAGGTGTGTGGGCTACAAAGCTCAATGCCTCCCACTGCCCATCCCTGAATTCTTCCCCCATATCCTGGGGACAGCGATTTCTACTTTGTCTGACTCCTGCAATTTGGATTCACCATGCAGTCACGGCAACCGTACTTCTCAGAACTCTCACGACAGCTCCAATTTCAAACATTGCCCCAACCCTCCCGCGGGTGCAACAAGATTTCTCAGACCTCAGTCCTGGATGGGCTCAGAAAATACGGTCCCCACTACGATGCTGCCTCGCCTTATTGCCTCACTCTTCATGGTGTCTTTAACGGGACTTGAGGGCTAGAGAGGTCCAGGAAGCAGCCCCAGAGGTTAGCGGGTGCAAGGAGCGGGAGAGGGTCAGGTAGGCACGGGAGTCAGAGAGAATGAAAGGCGGAGAAGAGCCAGGTTATGAAAGAAAAAGGGGAGGATGTAAGACACGCAGAGACTAGATGGAACGAACACAAGCAGCCGCCGTTTTCAAAGGCATATTGAGCTGTGTGAATTCCCTTGATTCAACCCTTTGATGGCTTCCGGCTGCCCTTGGAGGAAGTCCCAGCTCTCTGGCCTTGTTCAGAAGGTCCTTCGAGGGCTGATGCCTTCTCCCTCCCTACCCTCAGGCCACTCCGGCTGCCCCTTCTTTATTCCCCAGACACATGAGCCCCTGGGACCCCTTGGATATCTGCTCCCACTCATCCTCGCTGCCTGGGGTGGTCTTCCTTCCTCTCCTCTCGGCCTGTGCAGCTCAGTCCAGCCGTCACTTGCTCAAGGAGGCCTCTGCCTCAGCCTTGATTCCCCTGAGATGAGGGCTTACTGGCATGTTGTTTATTTGGGAATATGATTCTTGGAAGTGGGAGCAAGGAAGAAGGGAGTGAAGCAGGGAAGGAGGAAAAAGCAATATTGGAGGCAGCTGCAGCCACAGGCACTGGCGCTTTGCCCCATGGGGTTGTATAATGTGCACCTCAGGCCTGCCCCCCAGGATGAAAGGGAAAAGCCTCTGTGCATGGGCTCCTGTCCCCGTCGGTCCATTGGTCGGGGTGCCTCCAAGGACGTGAAGTCGCCCACTCTCCAGGATTGCACAAGAGCGAGAGCCCTCAGATGTTTCCTTCCACCGTGACAGAGGGCCTCAGAGTCACCGTGTAGGCTGAGGCCAGGCACTGCCCTATGGCACCTATGGGAGGCTGGTCTGTGCAGGACTGGGAGCTGCAGCAGATGATGGGGTAGGAGGTGAGGCCAGGGTGGCATGGCAGGTGCTGGAAACACCTTCCCTGACTGCCTGCCTCCAGGCTGTCCCTGTGAGTTTCACTAGCTCAGCACCTCCTCACTTGTCGTCCACATAATGCCTAACACAATTTGTGTTTAGTTTATGTTTGTTCACCTATTTTATATTTGCCTTCCACTCATATCGGCTTGCCATCTTGTCTCACTGCAGCCTTGATCCCCCCAGGCTCAAGTGATCCACCTGCCTCAGTCCCCCAAATAGCTGGGACGCACCACTATATGCCAGGCTGATTTTTGCATTTTTTGTTTTTGTAGATACGAGATTTTGCCATGTTGCCCAGGCTGGTCTCGAACTCCTGGGCTCAAGTGATTATCCTGCCTCAGCCTCTTACAGTGTTGGGATTACAGGCATGAGCCACTGCACCTGGTGGCATTGATTTTTTTTTTTTTTTTTTTTTTTTTGAGACAGAGTCTTGCTCTGTTGCCCAGGCTGGAGTGCAGAGGTGCAATCTTGGCTCACTGCAAGCTCTGCCTCCCGGGTTCACGCCATTCTCCTGCCTCAGCCTCCTGAGTAGCTGGGACCACAGGCGCCCACCATCACGCCCGGCTAATTTTTTGTTTTTGGTAGAGACGGAGTTTCACCATGTTAACCAGGATGGTCTCCATCTCCTGACCTCGTGATCCACCCGCCTCAGCCTCCCAAAGTGCTGGGATTACAGGCGTGAGCCACCGCGCCCGACCCATTGGCTTTTTTAAGATTGCTTTCACTGCTGTGTGGAGAACAGACTCCAGGTGGGAAGAGTGGGATGGGGAGACCATCCAGGGGCCTCTACTGGGGTACAGGAGAGAGGTGATGGGACAGGGGTCATCTGTGGTGGAGGGGGGTGTCAGATTCAGCATGATTTTGGAGTGGAGTTGATGGGACTTACTCATGAATTAGATGTGGGCAGTGAGGAAGAGAGGGATCAAGGAAGACGTGGGGTTTGGCTTGAGAAGCGGTGGACGTGGGATTTGCTTGGTTGCTGGTGTCCCCTGATGGACAAGAGCTCACAAGATCAGGGCTGAATCTGCTGTGTCCACTGGGCTGCCCCACATTCTGCTGTATGAAGGCGCAATCAATATTTGTTAAATGAATGAATACGTGGAAAAAGACAGCAAGAGGGGGAGGGAGAAGGAGTGAGCAAGAGAGAGCAAACAAGAGGCCCACCAGGGAGGAGCTGGGCCCTGGGCACCTCTGCCCTGTGGAGGTCCTGCCCCTGGGCTGAGGCTCCCACCTTGACATTAGGCATGGTGGTCTTTTGTGCTCTTTGCCCTCTGTGCATGTGAAGGATTGCACTTGCCTACCTCTTTTAAAGTTGGCAATCACTATGCTACTCACTCTAATCAAGAAAATATGAACACACATGTTTCACTTCTGGGCAGCAACTTTCAGAACGGGTGCCTGGTCTGTGACACATCCTTCCCACTGCTGTGGGCAGGGGGAGCACTGGGGGCAGGGGGAGCAAATGTTGAAATAATGCCCTTGCCAGCTTGGCTTCCTGAGAGATCATGATAAGCTGAGCCCCTTGCTGATCTGTGATGCCCATGTAGTCTAAGAGACAAACTCTTATCTATGCTAAAGGACTAGGGTATTGGGGATATTTGTTACTGCAGCTTATCCTATTCTATCCTGACTAATACACTGGAGAAGCTGTCTGGCCAAGGGTTCCACTAACATTATGGGGAAAAGTCCCCCTTTAATTCTAGTGCCTGCTATTCCATCCTTCTCCTGATGAGGCATTCCCTATTCTATTTCTCAGCTACAGCTGCCTCTTCCCTCCCTGGATATGAGATTCCTTCCAGCTGAAGGAAGGAGGCTGTAGATCAGTTGTCAGCTTTGCTTAGGCCTTCAAAATCCTGTTGAGTTCTTAGCTGTGTGTGTGTGTGTGTGTGTGTGTGTGTGACTCCCTCCAGTTGACCAGCCTAAATCAGTGCAGACAGCTCCTGTAAACATCTCTACAGTCTAGAGGGGTTGAGATATTTACTAGGGCTAGTGCTGAGATCTCACACCCAGCTTTGTATTCTGGTGGAGGCTGCTTTAGGAAGAGCTCAGACTTGACCCCTTAAAGAATAGTTGAGTGTCTATGGGCAAAGCTACTTGAGCCCCTCAATCATGACCACTTGACCAATCATCAAACATAGACTTAGGGGCTCCCAGACCCTGGTACCAGGTACTGTGGTCCCAAAGAAGACCCTGTCTTCTAAGTTCTCGAGGCCCAAATAGAGCTATGATGTCCGTCCATGGACCCAAGGCTAAGGACCGGAAGCAGCTTGTCAACAAGCACAGGCCTAGCGATGCATGAGAACTGTGGGGTTCAGCGTAAGAGGAGAGATCATCTGTGTGGGTGGCATAACCAAGAGAACCTTCTGGAGGCAGTGCTTTGGGGGAAGCTGCCTTCTCTTGCTTATATGGACTCAGCTTCCACTAGTGATTCCTTGCCACAGGGACAAGGAATCTGTCATGGTTAGAAAATACCAAGTGCAGTTGGTTGTGGACATTATGCATGAGGTGTAATCAAAATAAAATGGGATCATATTCAGAGGGGAGCAAACAGGATGACAGGTCTGAAAATCAGGACTTTAAAGAAATCGGGGAGGTTCATGAGGCAGAAGATTAAAAGTGGGCTTCGGACCCGCAGGAGGTTGTCTAGTATATCACGTGGAAGAACAGGGATACAGAAAACTTGGCTTAACATCATGTATTAGAGGGTTCCCAGAGGTACAGAACTAATGGGATCTATGTCTATATGAAAGGGAGTTTACTAGGGTGAATTGGCTTGCATGATCACAAGGTGAAGTCCCACGATAGGCTGTCTGCAAGCTGGGGAAGAAAGAAGCTGGTATTGGCTCAGTCCGAGTCCAAAAGCCTCAAAAGCACAAAAGCAGGGAAGCCGACAGTGCAGCCTTCAGTCTGTGGCCGAAGGCCTGAGAGTCCCTGGCAAGCCACTGGTGTAAGTCCCAGAGTCCAAAGGCGGAAGAAGTTGGATTCTGGGGTCCAAGGGCAGAAGGAGCAGAAGGAAGCATCCAGCACCGGAGAAAGATGAAAGCCGGAAGATTCAGCAAGCAAGCTGATCCCACCTCCTTCTGCCTGCTGTGACCTAGCTGCGCTGGCAGCTGAATTGGACGGTGCCCACCCACACTGAGGATGGGTCTTCCTCTCCCAGTCCACTGACTCAAATGTCAATCTTCTCTGGCAACACCCGTACAGACACACCCAGAAATAATACTTTACCAGTTATCTAGGTGTCCTTCAATCCAATCAAGTTGACACCTAATATACATTGGTGCGAAAGGAATTGGGGTCGTTGCTATCACTTTTAATGATGCGCCAACCTATATTAACCATCACACACAGACAGGCAGATTCCAGCTCAAAATCAGGACAGAGGAAACCTTTTACTGGTTGCATTATCATTCCTGAGTCTTCATGCATTCCTTTTGTCACGTGATCTTGTGGGGTATATCTCCCTACCCCATTGGCATTGCTCTTGGCTGTGTGACTTGCAGTGGAATTCTGTTAGATGTGATGCGAACAGAGGCCTCCGATGTCGTGTGGTTTGGCTCATCCTCCTGAGAGCTTGTGGTCTGTCAGAAGAGTGCTTAGGTGGATTCTGGTCTCCAGAGAATGTGTAGACACATAGAGCAGACTTGAACCCAATTGGAACCAAGCTCTACCAAGCCCTCAGCTTGAAGGAGAAACATCTGAGCCACACGCAGACCTATGAGCAAGAAAATAAACTACTTGTTACTTTAAGCCACTGAGTTTTGGGATGGTTTGTTACACAGCATTATAATTGCAACAGCTAACTAATACACCGTCACTGAAGGTGATTAGCCCAGGCTTAAGATAATCTGGTAAGGCATTACAAAGGGCATCCAGCATTGGGTAACAGTTAGGGCTAGGGCATCTTTAAGGTTTTTTTCAGCCTCTGGACCTTGTGGTTTTATGTTCCAAAGGGAGTTGTGGTTAACTCTGCTTGTTGGAGGCTGGTACTTGGAATTCTAGGAGGCAGGATCAATATAAGATTAAAATTTTAAGGTCCACATGGACCAGCTTTGCACCTCCCACCTCATCCAGGCATTTCATGTACCAGTCAAGGTCCAATCAGAATTACATACACCACTCTAAATTTTTAAAGCAGACGGAATTTGGTTACACAGGTAATGGAAAAACTGAGAAACCAAACAAGGAATGATGCAGAAACCCAGAGGTTAGCAAAGGCAGGAAGTTTAACTACTTGTGGTTGGAGGAACAAGGAACAGAGATGGGTCCTTGACCCCAGGGGCTGGGGAGACCCAGCGGGAACCACAGCCAGGGGAGCTGCCTCCTGGGAGCTGGAGCCTCAGAGGAGATAACACCTGCTTCCTGGACTCTGCTTGAAGCAGAGAGGGAGGGAGATGTCCCAACTCCGCTACTCTTGCCCTTCAATCCCCTACCAGTGTCTCCCACTGGCTGAACCCAGCTGACACAGGAGCCTGGGAAATGCTGAGGTCAGCACCCCTCTGAGACACGGAGAAGGGCAAGGGCAGCATAAGGGATGGATTTGGCAGCAAACAGGCTGTGGACCAGCACTTCTGTCCTGTACATGCCTTTAGCAACCTTGTCCTCCTTGGCAGATGGCCTTCCCGTCCACCCAGCTGCTCGGACAGACTCCGGGAGCATCTGCTCCATCCTCTCCACATCGTCACACCTCCATTAACACTAATCCAGCTTGTGGCCTCTTCTCCCAAACGCAAATAGGTAAATATCCTTCTTGCTATTTCCTGTCACCTCCCAGGTCCCTGCAGCAGCCTCTGCTGGTCGCCCAGCCCGCATGTTCTCCATGTTGTCTGTTGCCCATCCATTCTTTTTTTTTTTGAGACAGAGTCTCGCTCTGTTGCCCAGGCTGGAGTGCAGTGGCACGATCTCGGCTCACTGCAACCTCCACCTCCCGGGTTCAAGTGATCCTCCCACCTCAGCCTCCCAAGTAGTTGGGATTACAAGCATGCACCACCACACCCAGCTAATTTTTGTGTTTTTTAGTAGAGACAGGGTTTCACCATGTTGGCCAGGCTGGTCTTGAACTCCTGACTTCAAGTGATCCACCCGTCTTGGCCTCCCAAAGTGCTGGGATTACAGGCGTGAGCCACCATGCCTGGCCTGCCCATCCATTCTTTACCTGGCAACCGAATTGATATTTTCCAAATACAAATCATATGATTTCGTCCCTTTGGTTAAAACCTACCAATCGGCTTCAAATCCAAACTCCTTTGTGTCATGTGGCATCTCTTCTGCTGCCTTTTCAAGCTCAGCTTATGCAATTCTCCTCTGTTCTCACTGTGTTCTGGGCACTCATTAGCTTTTACACAGCTCTAAAGGCCCAGTAAGATGTTTTTGCCCCATGGCCTTTGCATCTGCTGCCTTCTCACCTTTGACTGTAACGAACCACTTGTCCTCACCCTCATGTTTTAGTGGGCATGTCACCTCTTCAGAGACGCCTTCACTGACCACCCTAATGTGTCCCTGTGTGTTGCTATCCACCCCATCACCTGTAAGTTTTTTCTTTTCCTTTTTTCTCTTTTTCTTTTTTTTGAGACAGAATCTTGCTCTGTCACCCAGGCTGGAGTGCAATGTCACAATCTCGGCTCACCGCAACCTCCATCTCCCGGGTTCAAGTGAGTCTCCCGCCTATGCCTCCTGAGTAGCTGGGACTACAGGCACCCGCCATCATGCCCAGCTAATTTTTGTATTTTTGTAGAGATGGGGTTTCACCATGTTGGCCAGGCTGGTCTTGAACTCCTGACCTCAGGTGATCCACCCGCCTTGGTCTCCCAAAGTGCTGGGATTACAGGCGTGAGCCACTGCACCCGGCCCCTTTAAGATTTTTTCATAGTTCTGGTGATGTGCTGTGGTTCTTGTATTTACAGGTTTCCCTGTGTACTCTTTGTTTCCCAGACTGGAATGTAATCCCCAGGAGGGCAGGGCCTTGCCTGGCTTGTTCACTGCTGTGTTACTTGCTCCTCTCTCCATGGCTGCTACAGAGGTGACACTCCACAAATGTGGTTGAATAAAAGACTAAATTCGGACGAGAGCAAGGGACTGAGAGGGGCCAGGTGGCCCAGTAACACTCAGCCAGACCTCTGGGGAAAGAAAAGAAGTTGACATTTCCGTGGACAGCCAAGGGTCAGTGGCCCGATCTTTGTATGGAAAGACTGTGGAAAGGCTGTATCGAGTGTTTGCAAAACCAGGCTCCTGCTGTCACATCATGCTAAAGGGTTGGAGGTGGAGGAGTAGAAAGGTGCTAAATAAAGCCAAATTCTCATTGTCTGCGGTCTTCTGATTACCAGGCACTTAGGCTGCAGTTACACAGTCAGTGGTGATGAGCTGTAATTGCAGGCGTTTTCCATGGTTATTTTTTCCCCTGGAAAGATAAAGTGATACCTGTAATTTCCCAAAAGATACGCTCCAGGCTCCCATCCCCAAGCAGAGGCTGAGCGGCCTTCATTACCCGAGAAACAGGAGCTTTCCTTGCACCTTCCTGGTGAGTAGGTGGGCCGGCTGGGGGTGAGCGGTTCTGTGTCCTGGTCTAGATTCTGGCACTTGCTTCCCGGGTGATGCTGGGCCTCAGCTGGCCTGTCCAGAAGATGGAGGCTGTGTTGGGTCCTCAGAGAAGTGAGCTGGGGATTGGGGATTGAGTCCCAGTGGAGCCCATAGACATTGAGGGAGGAGCTTCCAGGAGCTGTGGTCTGAGCAGCAGGGGAGAATCCAGGAGGCTGGGAGTCAGCCTTAGCCACAGGCGCTGGTGACTTGTAGTGACTTCCATCTAATCCTTGGGCAGAGGCTACCCTCTTCATCCTAAGATACGGCCAGAAAGAGGGTACAGTGCCACCTTCTCCTGGGCTTTCCCCTGTGCCTCCTCAGCTCCTGGAGATGAATCTGAGCTTCAGAAGCCCCTCAAGTTCCTCCAGCTTCATCCCGGTCCTGTTTGCTGGAGTCCTCGCTCTGGCTATAAGATTGCCATCAGAAGTTTGGAGCTTGGAAACTGCCCCATGCCACTGCCCAGTAGTTGAGAGGATGGGAAGAGGAGGATCCCCTGACCTTGCTGCCTAGGGAACTCTGTGCTTCTAGCTCCCTGAGTTGTGACCGTGATTGTGCTTTCCAAGGGGACTCTATGACGTGCTCACCCCGTTGATTGCATGGTGTTTTGGTGGGCCACGCTCAGTGGGTTTCCTGTGAGTTGGGCTGGGGCCTGAGGAGCTGTGCACAGTCTTATTTCAATGAGAAGGTGCTTTCCAGTTCCAAACAGCAGATGTTTCAAAACACTTTTTGGATCCCAGCCTATTTTCAGGGTGGGGATAGCCTGTGCTGGCTTTTGGACTTAGAAAGACAGGCAGGCAGAGGGGAGCAGGGATGTCTGGCTTGCTTCTCTCCTGCCAGCCACCCTGGCTGCTGGGATCTCTGCTCCAGGCCACTTCTGAAGCAGACACGATCCCTGATTACACTGTGCTCTGTCCCCGAGCAGGCCTGCCCGTCACCGGAGGGTTTCTTGGGCTGGTAACACAGGGAAACTTAACATCAAAAGCTCTCAATCATGTGCCACCCTCTCTCTGTTTTTCTTAACCTAGACCTGCAAGGGGAAGACAAATTCCCCACCTGGGTATAAGTGATGAGTCATTCCTCAAAGGTCTGCAGAAAGATTTATCTACTGAGCAGGCAGTCTGCTGCCTGACCTGCATCTGCTCCGCCCCACCTCTGATCCAGGCCAGCCAGGAGACGGTGCCCTGCAGGCTCCCACTGTGACCACACTGATGCCATCTTGCCCCAAGCAAGGGCATACATTTCCCATCTCTGCCCCCGGCTCCTCCAACCTGGAGGATGCTGGTGGGAGCTTCTAAGGTGCTTGTCTGGTCTATGAGCATCTGCAGCCAGGCAATGTGGGGGCAGTGGGTTATTGCCCCCGCCCCTAGTCCTACAGGGCACAGTTCTGGGCAGCATTCTGTGCCATTCATTCTTCAGAGGTCCCGGAGGAAGGAGTTCCTGCTGCTCACAGTAGTGGTCTCAACAGCACTCCTGTGCTGGCTTTCTTCTGTCCCTATGTCACCCTCTTGTTCTTTCATTACTGCTCCCTGGGGTGGCCTCCCAGATAGGACACCCCTACTACAAATGTCCTCATCTCAGGCTCTGCCTTGGGGAGAACCTGGCAGGCTCAGACACTTATTTCAGGGGGTCTCCAGGAGGAACACAGAAATAAAGTGGGGCTATGGTTTCCAGGTGCCAGGCTAGTTCTGAGTCCTGGTTGGTATTCTCCCGGGGACTCAGCAGGGAATGAAATGCCTGCAGCCTGACCTTACCTGTCTCTTCCATTTGGAGTGGGAGTGGGAGGAGGCAGAGAAGACTTGGCACTGACTTGAGTCCCTGGAGCTGGGCTCAGTGGGGTCAGGAGGTGGCCCATGGCCTGGCCACTTTGACGTTGCACAAGGCAGGGCTACAGATGGAGCAAGGCAGCACTCTGGCCTGGTTGAGCATGGGAACGGCTAAAGTCCTGGCCATGTGGCTTGATGGCTGGAGCTCCATCATTTTCCCCAGCTCCAGCGGGGACCCTAGGCAGCCCCGGAGCCAGGGTGATCCACTTCGCTCCCACTCCCTCTTTTGGTTTCCACTTTTCTTGTGGTTTCTCGGTCTGATCCGCTATGTTGGCCTGGTGCATGAGTTTCTCGTTGCTGCTGGAATCAAGATCTGCAACTGGGTGGCCTCAAGCACAGAAATGCCTGGTCTCACAGCTCTGCGGGCTAGAGTCTGAAATTCAGGTGTCGGCAGGGTTATGCTTCCTCCGAAACCTACAGTGCAGGGTGCTCCGTTGCCCTTTCCTAGCTTCTGGTCTTTTCTTGTTATCTGCGGCATTCCCTGGCTCCGTAAGGATGCATGTATAACGTATCGTTCCAATCTCTGCCTCCATTGTCATACGGCTGTCTTCTCTTTGTGTCCACATTTTCCTCTTTGGCTAAGGACACTGGTCATATTAGATTAGGGCCCAACCTAACCACCCCATCTTCACTTGATTGTGTCTGCAGAGACCCTATTTCCAAATAAGGTCACATTCATAGGTACTGGGGTTTAGGAGCCCAACGTATCTTTTTTGGGGACATAATTCAACCCATAACACTGAGTGTATTCCTGGTACATTGGCAACTGGGCTGGGCTGGGCTGTCCCAATCAGTTAGCCCTGTTTCACCCAGCCCAGGTGATCAAGATAGTGGCACTGCAGGGTGGACAGAGGTGGGCACAGATGAGAGATAGGGAGTGCATGGGATGGGCTGGGCATGGATGTTGAGGGGCAGGGACCAAGAAGAAAAGTCAGGATGCCTTGGCTTCAGGAGTTTTTTTGTTTTTTTTTTTTTTTTTTTTTTGAGATGGAGTCTCCTTCTGTCACCCAGGCTGGAGTGCAGTGGCACCATCTCAGCTCACTGCAACCTCCGCCTCCTGGGTTCAAGCAATTCTCCTGCTTCAGCCTCCTGAGTAGCTGGGACTACAGGTGCATGCCACCACACCCGGCCAATTTTTTTTTTTTTTGTATTTTTATTAGAGACAGGGTTTCACCATATTGGCCAGGCTGGTGTCGAACTCCTGACCTTGTGATCCACCCGCCTCGGCCTCCCAGCCTTCAGGATTTATGTCTGCTTAATTGTTTGAAAGTGCTGCTAGCATTGAAGTGGAGCAGACAGGGGTATAGTGACAAGTCATAAGACCCAGCTTCCTCCCTGGGCAGGTGGAGACCTCATGTCACAATAGGTGTTCCGGCCTTCAGGATGGCGTCCAGCTGTTCGGGGAAGGGTCTCCCATGAGCCCCTTGAAACCTTCTTTGGAATAGGGTGATCCACCACCCTGGCTTTCGAGGATTTTCCTGGTTTCAGCACAGAAAGACCCGCATTCCGGGAATCCACTCAGTCTTGGGCAAACCAGTCCTTTTGATCACTCCCTTGGGGAACTCAGGGAGCTCTGGCCGGGCAGTGATAAGAAAAACATCAGGTCAATAAGAATTACACCCTGGTCACCGAGGAATGTGTGTGCCGCAGCCGGGGCATTCCTGGTGGCATGAAAGAGGAGGAAGTGGCCTGAGAAGGCAAGACAGGTTCTGCAGGGGAGGTGGGGTGGCGGGGGGAGGGAGGACTCAAGGCCAGGGAGCAAGGAGTACACTCCCTTCCCTCTCTCTTAGGTGAAAGGCACCCTGGTCTCATCAAATTTAGATTAAAAGAAGTCATTCTGTTGGAACGCCTGCTGCTCTGAGAGGCTGCTGTATTTCTCAGTCTCAGGCACTCCCGCCTCGTCTGCATGTGCGGACTCCCGGCCAGCCCTCCATCTCCCTCAACGCCCCTGCTTCTGCCTGGCTTTCCCAGGCAGGGGCCTTGCCTGGGGGAGGGAAAGTGGATTTTCTCTTTCTGATTCCTAATTTCTCCTTTGTTCTCAGACCCATAGTCTCTGTAGCACCCCCTGGGTGATGGGGCCCATATTATAGGGTAGAAGACCTTTTGGGTCTCAAGAAGCTGCCCAGACCCTGGAGGCCACCTCAATCCCTGAGTAGCTCCCGGTCCATCATTTCCCGAGAGCCCAAATAGAACGCAGTGTGAGTGTGTGTGGGTGCTGGGATGAGGTGGGGGTGGAGCAGGTGCCAAGAACAATGGCTTCATTAAGAGGCTCCCACAAAACAGAGATCTTCCAAGGCTAATGTTAATTGCAACCTGCAAATGCAAACATTTCTGGGATGATGAAGAACCCCGCAGGAGGGGAAGCTGAGGACCTTGTCAGCTGAGCGCAGCCAGGGAGATGTGGCCGGGCTGCTTTGCTCCCAGCAGGGCCATCCCTTTGCCCATTTTATCCCAGAAGTGCAGGGGCCCTGAGTGGGCCTCTGAGTGTGGGGCAGCCCCACAGCTGCCCTCTGAGCAAAATGCTGGGTTTGTCTTAAGTGTTCCCATCAACTTTCAGAAGGTTTTCCTCGTGCTGTTTAGGCTGGGGATATGGCTTAGGTTTGGGTTACTGTACACCTGGACAGAGATTCCCAGGGAGGCCGGGGAACAGCATGCGGAATGGGAATAAATGAGGTGGGACAACAGCCCACTTCTTTCCTTCCTTTCTTCCTTTTCTCCTTCCTTCCTTCCTTCCTTCCTTCCTTCCTTCCTTCCTTCCTTTCTTTCCTTCTTTCTTTCTTTCTGTCTTTCTTTTTTGTTTTCTGATACAGGGTCTGGCTCTGTCACTCAGGCTGGAGTGCAGTGGTGCAATCATGGCTCACTGCAGCCTCAACCTCCCAGGCTCAATCGATCCTCCCATCTCAGGCCCTGAGTAGCTTGGACTACAGATGAGCACCACCATGCCTGGCAAATTTTGTTTATTTTTTGTGGAGATGGAGTCTCACTTTGTTGCCCAGCTGGTCTCAAACTCCTAGGCTCAAGAGATCCTCCTGCCTTGGCCTCCTAGAGTGCTGGGATTACAGGCATGAGCCACGGCGCCTGGCTACTTCTTTTCTTAAGGGGTTGATCTATGCTTTCACTCAAGAAGTACTTATAGAGCATCTGCTGTGTTCCAGAAACAGATCTAGTCATTTGGGATGTATCAGCGAACCCAACGGACAACCATTGCTGCCCTCATGGGGCTTACATTCTAGTGTGGAGCTCAACCTAACAATGATCATAATAACTTAGGAAGCCATGTGGTACGTTAGAAGTCCACAGTGATATTGAAAAAAAAAAGTAGAGCAGAGAGTAAAAGGAATAGGATGATGGGGAAGGGTCAGGATGGGGAGTCGGTTGCAGAATTAATAATGTGGTCAGGGAATGACTCGCTGTGGAGGTGGGATTGGAGCACAGCTTTGGAGGAGGTGAGCCATGGTTCCCTATGCAAGCCCTGTGGGTGGCCCATCTTTGACTTGCACCAGGCAAATGATGCTTCCTGTTTCTCAGCGCCCAAGCCCTCCTCATTCAGGACTCCTGCGAGAGGAACTCAGGAACAGGTTCCCTGCAGGGAGATGAGCCTGTGTCCTGTCCACCTTGGTTTGAGGTCCCAGATGGAGACAGTCCTCTAAGAAGTTCCAGAATGGCTTCTTGGGATTTTTGGAAGCCACCCCCTCTTCCTGGCCCAGGTGGCTTTGCCTTCATTCCCTGGCAAGGTCTCCCTCCCCTCCATTTCCCCCCACCTCCCCCCAACCAATATGAGGACATCCCACAATAAGTGCATTGAGACTTGTGAGTTCATGCAAATGTATTCAAATAGCTGCAGTGCACTATGGAACAGCCATAATCCTGTAGCGTGCGATCTCTGTCTGTGGTCCCCAATGGCCCTCTCTAGCTTAGCCACTTCCTAACAAACCTTTATGCAGAAAGGAGGTGGGGAGGGCAGGAGCAGGGAGAGGCTCAGGATGGGGCACCAGCTGCAGAGGTTAAACTCACAGCCAGCAGGGTTGTGTGTCCCCACTGGGCTCCATGCTGGGGATGACAGCAAGGCCTGGGGGAGCTGATGTTTCTCCTGGGAACAAGGGTTCTTGATAAGGTTGGGGGGTGGTTATACGGCTCCTACTCTTACCGGAAGGCATCCAGGTCTGAATCTGGCTAGCAGCCAGGAGGCTTCTTTCCTCCTGGGCAGGGCCATCCTGGTCCTGGGGCTAATTTCCCAAGAAGAATGGACAGAGTGAGAATTGACTCAGTGCTGGGAATAGGTGACGCCAATTTTACGATTTACTCAAGATCACACAGACAGTGAGGAGTGGGGCTGGGATTTGAACCCAGGTTTCCCTAAATGAGGAGCTTGCCCATGTATCCAAAGCCTCCTGCTACTTCCAACCACCATCTCGGGCATGGCATCTGTTGCACCCCAGCTGTCTGAAACATGGCTAGGGACCTCCCTGTTACCCACGCCTGCACAGGGTGGGATCTGTGATGTCAGAGCCATCTGTCATGCATGGGCAGCTTCCTGCTTCCTGGATCCTTATCTACTCCCCATCCTCCTGCATCAGGAATCCCCTGCCCACCCTCAGGGCTCTATGCCATGCCCAGAGCGTGTGGCCAGTGCTGGGCTATGTGCACACAGGGCCCTCGACCCGGTAGGCGCTGACTCCAGGCCTTTCTGGGAATTGCCCCTTGCCCTCCCCTTCCCCTTTTCTACTTTAGACCTCACTTTGGCCCTTCTTATGAACCAGGGAAAGAAGTAGTCTCTCCTGGTAGGAAACATAATAAGATCTATGGGATTTAATAAGATCATCCAAGACTTGGCACTGCGGCAGTTTTCCAGTGACATTCGTTCTTTTGGGAGGTAAATTTCCTTCTCCTTAATCCACTGTTTCTTAAGCAGGTGACCCACTCCGTGTTATTACAGGCCGGTTATTATTTCCATAAATCCTTCTGCCTCCGCTTCTTCCATTTACATTAAATACAGTCTCTGTTATGGTGTCTAAATTAGCTTTCATACACGGAAATCTTTGTATAATTTAAAAGGGATGAAGACGTCGAGTGAGGCTGGGGAAGGGGAGGGCAAACGAGGGAATGCAATGAAGGTCTCGACCCCAAATAGGGGAAGGGGCCTGGGCTCACTGCTCCATGGGATGCTCCAAACCCTACAGAATGTGGGCATCTCTGAGTCCTTTCATCCATTCATTTGTGTATTTGGTAAATGTTTGTGGAAGATCTGTAGTGCCACAGGGGTCAAAATGATGGAGATACTGTGTGATTCTCACTATATGCCGTTCTGGACAAGACAAAACAATGAAGACAGTTAAAAGATCAGTGCTTGCCAGTGGCTCATGGGGAGGGCACAGAGATGGATAGGTGGAGCACAGAGTTTTTTTTAGGGGAGTGGAACTGTTCTGTATGTTATCGCAATGATGGACACATGTCATTCTACATTTGTCAAACCAGCGTAACATAGAGCAAACCCTAATGTAAAATATGGCCATTAGTGAATCATAGTGTGTCAATATCGGTCCATCAACTATAACAAGTGTTCCATACTAATACAAGGTATAAATAGCAGGGGAAATGGTGGGGGCAGGGAGAAAGGGGATTGGGGAAATTTGTACTTTCCCATCTTTTTTTTTTTTTACAAACTTAAAACTGCTGTAAAAAAAAAGTGTGTTAATTACAAAAAAAAAAAAAAAAAAAAAGTCTGGAGAGAATGTGCTAGCTTGTGTCTGGCAGCCTGCTTGGGAGGCAGTAATGTACCCATCTGCTCATTTTCTCAAAGGATTTATGGCAGACTGTGCATCTGTTTTAAGTACAAGGCACTGTTCTAGGCACTAGGGATACGTTAATAGATAGGACAGTCCCCAGATTCCTGGGGTTTATATTCTAGAGGAGGGGCGTTTGGTAAGCAGCAAGCCACCAAATAAGAAAGTAAGATGAGTTCAGGTGGCGGTAAGTACCATGAAGAAATTAAGAAGGGAACGGGACCGAATCGCTGTGTAGGTGGGAAGCCAGGGGCAGTGTCTGCATTGAATATTATGTTTGATCCCCTAAATTTCTTCTCCATCCTTCTCCACTCCGTGTCCAGGGGCTGACCTATAGCCGAGGGCTCCCTTGCCCTCTGAGTTCTGATTCAGTTTGCCCATGGGGAGCACTGACAGGGACAGGAGGGAGGAAGGAGAGTGAAGCTGGGTTTTATTTCCTGGCTCTCATCCGGACAGATCAACACTTTCTGGAAAGGGCTTCCCGTTCTCCTCCCCTACCCCTTTCAGGCCCAGGGGCATGAGCACCAGGCACTGTATTCTATCTAGTGGGCTCCCTACACTCTGGCCTCGGCTTTGGAAATGGTCTCTTTCTGAACTCACCTCCATTTTCCCTGTTTCGCCTGCCATCCCTTTTCTGCAGGAAACCTGATCCATGGAGCCTCTCTTAGGAACACAGTCCTGCAAGGATCTGGGAAAGAACTCTGGAAATGGCGGCAGGGGGTGGTGGGCGCGGGGGAACACAAATGCAAAGGTTCCCAGGGGTATGAGCTTGATGTGCTTGTGGAACTAAAAGAAAAGCTGGCAAGGCAAGAGCAAGGTGAGTAAAGGAGTGAGCTCTGCCAGATAGGGTCCTGTCTAGGTAGGGCCAGATCTTATAGGGCAGGCAAACCAGGCAAAACCCATTAGGTTTCCCATTGTGTCGTGTTCTGCTTTTTTTTTTTTTTTTTTTTTTTTTTGCTGACAGGGTCTCACTCTGTCACCGGGGCTGGAGTGCAATGGTGCAATCTTGGCTCACTGCAGCCTCTGCTTCCCTGGCTTAGGTGATTCTCCCACCTCAGCCTCCTGAGTAGCTGGAACTACAGACACATGTTACCATCATGCCTGGCTAATTTTCATATTTTTTTGTAGAGATGGGGTTTCATCATGTTGCCCATTCTGGTCTCCAACTCCTGGGCTCAAGCGATCTGCCCGCCTTGGCCTCCCAAAATGCTGGGATTACAGTTGTCAGCCATGGCACCCAGCCCAGTTCTTTTTAAACTTGTGCTTTTGTAGCATTTTTAAAGGTAAAATTAACAAAAAAAGGAAATGCACAGATCTTAAGTGTACAATTTGATGAGTTCTGACAATGGAAATACCCATGCAACCGAACCTCTCTCCAGTCAAAGTATAAAAATTCCCTGTGCTTTTTTCCCGTCAATCCCACTCTTTCCAGAGGCAATCACAGCTCTGATTTCTATTACTGTTGATGAGGCTTGCCTGCTCTTGAACCTCATATAAAGGGAACAGTACAGCAAGTACTATTTTGTGTCTTTCTTCTTTTGTTCAACACAGTATCTGTGAGACTCATTCATGCAAGTTTGTACCTATCACTAGTTTGATACTTTTAATTCCTAAGTAGTATTCCATTGTATCAGTACACATATAATTAATAAAGTACAGGCCGGGGCACAGTGGCTCACACCTGTAATCCCAGCACTTTGGGAGGCCGAGGCGGGCAGATCACCTGAGGTCAGGAGTTCAAGACCAGCCTGGCTAACGTGGTGAAACCCTGTCTCTACAAAAATACAAAAATTAGCTGGGCATGATGGCGGGTGCCTGTAGTCCCATCTACTCGGGAGGCTGAGTTGGAAGAATCATTTGAATCTGGGAGGTGGAGGTTGCAGTGAGCTGAGATTGTGCTATTGCACTCCAGCCTGGGTGACAGAGCAAGACTCCATCTAAAAAAAAAAAAAAAGTACATACATACATACATACATATAATACACATATATGTATAATTAGTACATGTTACTATATATATTTTCTCTGTATATTAATATGTACTAATATACTATCTCTTCTTCTGTTGATAGATATTTGGATTGTTTCTGGTTTGTGGCTTTTGTAAATGATGTTGCTGTGAATTTTCTTGTGCAGGTATTTCTTACGGACATTTGTTTTCCTTTCTCTTGAGTAAATACAGCTGTGGTTTAAATGTTTGCATCCCCTCCAAATTCACATGTTGAAATCCTAATTCCTAAGGTATTAGGAGTTAGGGCCTAGTGTTAGCAGTACCTCCTAGTATTAGGAGGTAGAGCCTTTGGGGCATGACTAGATCATTAGGGTGCCCTCATGATACCTATCCCCTAATAAGAGGCCCAAGAGAGACCCATGTGAGAAGACAGCAACAAGGTGCTGTCTGTGGCCAAGAAGCCAGTGATACAATCTGCCAGTGCCTTGATCTGGGACTCCCAAGCCTCCAGAATTGTGAGAAATAAATTTCTGTTTATAAGCTACCCAGTTTATGGTATTTTGTTAGAGCCACTCGAATGGACTAAGACAATATCTGGAAGTGCAGTTGCTGAGCCATAGGATAGGTAAAAGTTTAATAGTTTTCCAAAGTGGTTGCACCACTTCACTCTCCACCAGCAGTGGATGGAGTTCCATTTGGTCCACATTCTTGTCAACACTTGTTAGTCCTTTTGATTTTAGCTTTATAGTTGTATCAGTTGGTTCTCACACTGCTATAAGGACATACCCGAGACTGGATAATTTATAAAGGAAAGAGGTTTAATTGACTCACAGTTATGCAGGGCTGGGGAGGCCTCAGGAAACTTACAATCACGACAGAAGGGGAAGCAAACATGTTCTTCTTCACATGCCAGCAGCAAGGAGAAGTGCAGAGCGAAGTGGGGAAAACCCCTTATAAACCATCAGATCTTGTGAGAATTCACTCATTATCACGAAAACAGCATGTAGGTAACTGCCTCCATGATTCAATTTTCTCCCACTGGGTCCCTCCCACAGTACATGAGGATTATGGGAACTACAATTCAAGATGAGATTTGGGTGAGGACACAGACAAACCATATTAACAGTTTTATCTTTTATGTTAAGGCCTGTGATTCTTCTCAAACTAATTTTATTTGTGGTATAAGGTTGGAGTTCAAATTTTATTTTTTTCTATATGAATACCCAGTCATTCTAGCACTGTTGCAGATATTTTTTCCTTAAATTGCCTTGGTGCCTCTAAAAAATCAATTGACATGTGTGAGTCTATTTCTGGACTCACTATTCTACTGCATTGATTTATTTGTCTATCCTTACACCAATAACATATTGTCTTGTAGCTTTATAGCAAGGCTTAAAACCAGGTAGTATGAGTCCTCCAATTTCCTCCCTTTTTCAAAATTGTTTTGGCTATTCTAAGTCCTTTGTACTTCATATAGATTTCCTTTTATTTTGAAAAAAACCGTATGCAGCACCATTCCCTGTTTATTCTCAGCACCAGCAAGGGAAGAATGTGCCTTAAAAGCAGCTCTGCCCAGGGCTTGCCCAGCGGCTTCTGTGAGGTTTCCTATCAGTCCATGCAGTCATCTTCTTCCTCATTGGTGCAGTTAATGAGGCTTTCCACCCTCCTAGTGAAGGGCTCCTGAACTCTAGTTCACAAGTTTATTTTATGCAGAGAAGAGGAAAGAATTAGATATATTGATTGTTCCTCATTTAAACCATAACTTGATTTAAATACAAAAAATGGGAGGGGAAGAAGGGCCAATAGAGCATACACCATGCTGACATAGAGACTTTACATTTTAGTCTGAGTTAAGACTCATTAAAAGCCAACAGATAAATTTTAGAATCACATTATTTTCTACAAAATGCCTGCTGGGATTGTGATAGGGATGTTGAATCTACAGATCAATCTGAGGAGGAATTACATCTTAAAATACAGAGCCTTCCAATCTATGAACATGATATGTTGTTTCATTTATTTAGGTCTTTTTAGATTTTTTTCAGTTGCATTTGTAATTATCAATGTAGAGGTCTTGCAAATGTTTTGCTAGATTTATTACTAAGTATTTTACATTTCTGGATGCCATTGTTAATAGGATTTATTGCTATTTTATTTTCTAATTGTTTGCTGATTATATATAAAAATTAATTTTGGCCTTTGTCCTTCAGTTTCATTAAATTAACGTTTTAGCTCTAGTAGATCTTTTTCTTTAGTAGATTAGTTTTTTTTAATGTAACCAATCATGTCATATGTGAAAAAGAGAGTTCACTTCTCTCCCAATAAGTATACTTTTAATTTCTTTTCCTTATTTTATTGCTGTGGTTAGAACTCCAGTTTAATTTTAAGTAGAAGTGATAAAGGCAGAAATCTTTGCATTTTTCCCAATCTTAGGAGAAAAGCATTCAGTCTTTCACCATTAAGTATGATATTAACTATAGCTTTGTTGTATATGCCCTTTATTTGCTTGAATAATTTATCCTTCAATTCTTAGTTTGCTTTTCCTGAATCCTTTGAGATCTTGTGCTTATTCTCCTTTAATTCATTAATATACTGAATTACATTCCTTGGAAATTGCAGTGTTGAGCCAACCTTGCATTCCTGAGATAAACTCTACTTGGTTGAGTTTATACATTCATATGCATGAAATGTGCTATACATTTTATATATTGCTGGATTTGATTTGCTAATTTTCTTAAGAGTTTTTTTTTTAAAGCTATGCTCATAAGGGGTATTAGTCTGTAATATCATTTTCCAGGGTTTTGGTACAGAGTACCATAAAATGAATTGGGAGTATTCCCTTACCCTCTATTTTCTGAAAAAGGTTTTTGTAAGTTTTATGTATTATTTCTTTTTTAAGTGTTTAATACCATTACCAGTGAAGCTATCTGGGCCTAGCATTTTCTTTGCTGGAAGATTTTTTTTTTAATTAGGATTTTAATTACTTAAATAGTTATATAGCTATCCTCATTTTCTATTTTTTTCCTTCAGTCCGCTTTGGTAATTTGTGTTTTCCAAAGAACTTGTTCTTTTCACAGAAGTTGATAAGTATTTTGGCATAATGTTGTTTATAATATTGTTTTATTGTCCTCTGCATTTTTGTAGGATTTGTCCCTTCTTTCACTCACTGGTAAATTATGCTTTCTCTTATTTTCATTTGTTAAAAAATTTATTAATTATATCAATCTTTTAAAGGAAGAATATTTTGAGCTTTGTTAAATTTCTTCATGGTTTGTCTGTTTTCTATTTCATTTACTACTGCTCTTATCTAGTTTCTTTTCTTTTCTTTTTTTTTTTTTTTTTGAGATAGAGTCTTGCTCTGTTTTCCAGGCTGGAATGCAATGGCTCACTGCAACCTCCAATTCTCATGCAAAGCGATTCTCGTGCCTCAGCCTCCTGAGTAGTTGGGATTACAGGCATGCACCACCATGTCCGACTAATTTTACATTTTTAGTAGAGACTGGGTTTCACCATGTTGGTCAGGCAAACTCTTGACCTCAGGTGATCCATCCACCTCAGACTCTCAAAGTGCTGGGATTACAGGCATGAGCCACCATGCCCAGCCTCTCTCTTATTTACTTTCTTTTGCTTACTTGGTTTCAATTTTCTCTTCTTTTTCTAGCTTCCGAAAGTAGAAACCTAGATATTCGATTTTTAAAGCTTTCTTCTTTTCTAATAAGGGCATTTAAAGGTACAAATCTTTCAACAATCACTGCTTTGGTGACATCCCACAGTTTTTAAAAAATGACTTTATTGAAATACAAGTTGTATACAACAAAATTCACCCATTTTCAGTCTATGATTCACTGGGTTTTGACTAACGTTGTTACTCATGGGTCCACCACAACATCCAAAGTATAGAATATTCTCATCGCCCCAGAAAATTCCCTTGTGGCTGTTTTAGTCAATCCACTCCAACTGCTATGCCAACCACTGGTTTGTTTTCTGTCACTACAGTTTTGCCTTTTCTAGAATTTCACATAAATAAATTATGCAGCTTGTAGTCTTCTGTGTCTGGCCTCTTTCACTACGAATAATGCTTTTGAATTTACCCATGTTATTGTATGTATCAGTAGTTTGTTCATTTTATTGCTGTGTAGAATCCCATTTTGCACCACAAATGGTTTATCCATTCTCTTGTTGATGGGTATTTGGGTTGTTTCTAATTTGAGGCTATTATAAATAAAGCTCTTACGGACATTCATGTACAAGTCTTTGTGTGGACATATGCTTTTATATCTGGTAGAAAAAGATATTAGAATCACTGGGTCATATTGTGAGCATGTGTTTGACCTTTTTTTTTTTTTTTTTTTTTTTTTTTGAGATGGAGTTTTTTGCTCTTGTTGCCCAGGCTGTAGTGCAATGGCACAATCTTGGCTCACTGCAACCTCTGCCTCCTGGGTTAAAGCAATTCTCCTGCCTCAGCCTCCCGAATAGGTGGGATTACAGGCATGTACCACCATACCTGGCTAATTTTGTGTTTTTAGTAGAGATGGGGTTTCACCATGCTGGTCAGGCTAGTCTCGAACTCCTGACCTCAGGTGATCCGCCCACCTTGGCCTCCCAAAGTGCTGGGATTACAGGCGTGAGCCACCGTGCCCGGCCAACCTCTTAACTTTCCAAAGCAGTCGTACCATTTAGCATTTTAGAGTAAATCCATTTTCTGTTACTCCATCTTGGCCAGAAGTAGAACTATTATGTGGATTTAAGCAGCTAGTTATCTTTTGAAGAGATTGAAAAATGGATATTATAGATATCCACATATTAACCATTTCTGACATTCTTCCTTTGTATAGATTCAGATTTCCATCTGATATCCCTTTCCTTCTGCCTGAATATCTTCCTATTACATTTCTTAAAGTTCAGAACTGCTGGTGAGGAGTTCTCTCAGCTTTTGTATGTCTGAAAAAGTCTTTTTTTTTTACTTTTACTTTTGAAATATATTTTCACTAACTAAAGATTACTAGTTTGACAGTTATTTTCTTTCCCTTCTTTAAAGATGTCATTCCACTGTCTTCTGGTTTGCACAATTGTTGAAGAGTCTGCTGTCATTCTTATCTTTAATCCTCTTCAAAATGTGTCTTTTCCCCTTGGTGTGTGTGTGTGTTTTAATGTTTATTCTGTTTGGGGTTTACTGAGCTTCTGGATCTGTGGGTTTATCATTTTCATCCAATTTGTAAACAATTTGATTATTCTCTCTCTCTCTCTTTTTTTTTTTAGATGGAGTCTCTCTCTGTCACCCAGGCTGGAGTGCAGTGGTGCAATCTCAGCTCACAGAGGCCTCCTGGGTTCAAGCAATTCTCCTATCTCAGCCTCCTGAGTAACTGGGATTACAGACATGCACCACCGTGCTCAGATAATTTTTTATATTTTTAGTAGAGACAGAGTTTCACCATGTTGGCCAGGCTGGTCTTGAACTCCTGACCTCAAGTGATCCACCCACCTCAACCTCCCAAAGTGTTGGGATTACAGGCATGAGCCATGACACCTGGCCAATTATTATATCTGCAAATATATATATTTTTTGGAGTTTCAATTACACATAGGTTAGAACATTAATACTGTTCTGCAGGTCACTTATTTTCTGGTTGTTCTCTTTTTTTTCTATTCTTTTTCTATCTGTGCTCAATTTTAGATAGGACGTATTGCTCCACTTTCAAGATCAGTGATCTTCTGTAGTATCTAATCTGCTGTTAGTCCCCTCAAATGCATTTTTACTTTTTCTTTTGGATATTGCATTTTTGGTGTGTCTGAAAGATATTTTGGGGATTTTACATATATTTCATTTCTCTATTCATCATGTTCTTGTTTTCTTTCATAGTGTCTAGCCCAGGGGTCCCCAACCCTTGAGCCACAGACTGGTACTGGTCTGTGGCCTGTTAGGAATGGGGCTGCACAGTAGGAGGTAAGCAGTGGTCCAGCAAGTGAAGCTTCATCTGTATTTACAGCTGCTTACCATTGCTCACATTACCACCTGAACTCCACTTCCTATCAATGGCAGCATTAGGTTCTCATAGGAGCATCAACCCTATTGTGAACTGTGCATGTGAGGGATCTAGGTTGCACGCTCCCTGTGAGAATCTAATGCCTGATGATCTATCACTGTCTCCCATCACCCCCAGATGGGACCATCTAGTTGCAGGAAAACAAGCTCAGGGATCCCACTGATTCTACATCATGATGAATTGTATAATTATTTCATTATATATTACAATGTAATATAATAGAAATAAAATGTACAATAAATGTAATGCAGTTGAATCATCCTGAAATCATCCCCCACACTGTCCGTGGAAAAATCGTCTTCCACAAAACCAGTCTCTAGTGCCAAAAAGGCTGGGGACTGCCACTCTAGCCTATTAAAGTATTTGTCATCATTTTTAAATGCTTTTATGTCTTAATGCCATTATTTCTGTAATTTCTTGCTCTGTTTTCTCTTCGTCATGGGTTATATTTTTCCACATCTTTTCATGACTTGTTATTTTTGATTAAATGTTGAACATTGTGAATTTGTGCTGGATTTTATTTCTTTCTTTAAAATGTTTTGGATTTCATTCTGGCATACAATTAAATTAACTTGGATCAGTTTGATCCCTTTGAGGCTTGCTTTTAGTCTTTGTTCAGGCTTTTTCAGAACATCACTTAGCCTAGAGCTAATTTATCCCCACTACTAAATCAATACCTTTCTGAGGACTCTATGAAATCCTGTGTGTTATGAAGTCCTGCCACTCTGGTTTGTGGGAAAACAAGCTTGGTAAACATTCCCAGACCTGTGTGAACTTTAGGAATGGTTGAATCCACTGCTTTCAAGTGGTTCCTTCCCCTGCCTCGTGGAATTTTACTCCCCACAGAGGCAGATCAATGCTTAGCTAAAGATTTGCAGTGACTCTTTTGGACATCTTCTGCACGCTCTCTCTCTTTGTGTCTCCTTTCTGCCCAGTGTTATGCCCCCAATTTCGGTCCCTCAGCCTCCACAAACTCCAACATTTCTTTTCTTATCTTAGCCAGACCCTTTGCTCTGTTTGAGTTCCTCCTTGCTTTGCTGAGGCTTGGAAATCCTCTTAGCTGTAAGCTGGGGCTTACCTTGTTTGTTCTTTTATTTAAGGGATCACTGTTATGTTCTGTCCATAGTCCAGTATCTGAAAACAGCTGTTTTTTATATTTTCTCCAGTTCTCTGGTTGATTACAATAAGAGGGCAATTCTTGCAGCAGTTATGTCTCCATGAGTGGAAACAGAGTTTTTCCTCATAGATTTTCATATATTTTCCTTATGATTCAATTCAACATGTTTTCTTATTTTCCTTCTATGGAGAAGTATGCTGTAATATTTTAATGTTTCAAGTTTATCAAGACTAATGTTGCAGAATATAGTCTATCTTGGTGAATATTCAGTGATAATTTGAAAAGAATGTGTGCTTTGCAATTGTTGGATAGAATGTTCTATCAACATCGATTCGGCCAAGTTGATTGATAGTGCTATTCACATCTTCTATGTCCTTTGATTTTTTTTCTAGTTGTCCTATCAAGTATTAAGAGAGAAGTGTTAAGATTTCCAATTATGATTGCAAATTTGTCAATTTCTTTGTATAGTTTTGTTAGTTTCCTTCCATATATTTTGAAATTCTGTTAGTAGATACACATATTTTGGGGCTGCTATGTCTTTTTAATAGACTTATCCTTTTATCATTATGGAATGTTCTGTTCTATCTCTGGTAATATTCTTCACCTTGAAGTTTGCTTTATCTCATAGTAATATAGAGACATCACCGTTCTGATGTTTATTGTTTGCATGATATATCTTTTTTCATACTTTCACTTTTAACCTAGGTGTGATATTTAAAATATATCCTTTTTATTTTAAATAGTAAGTTACCCAATCTGATAATCTCCCCATTCAGGGGAAGAGATACGGGATACCTTATCAAGGAAGCAGAGGGCTTCTCTGCCATTTCCTTTTCAACCTGGTACCTTCCCTTTAACAACACCCAAGGGACCAGGCAATCAGAATCTGGAAACGGTGTCCTTTCAAGTGTGGCTATTTGCTGGTGGTGTCTCTCTCCACTGGGTCTTGTTCAGCAGACAGAGTCTCCCAGCCACCGATGACAGCGGGAAGTAGTCATGGGTCACAAACCGATCCAAATGAGGTGGGGGACAGGGACATAGACAGGTCCTGTCTTTATGATCTCTTCCATCCCCCCCAGCTCCAACCCTGTCCACACACTGAGCCAGATCTTCCTGGGTCACCTGCTGGGCCACAGCCCACCCTGGTTCCAGTCACATGTCTGCTCTTGAACACTCAAGCCAACCCAGGGGAGAGTCTCTGGGAGGGCTGGATCCAGGCACACTCCAGGGTGTGCTTGTTCTCTTGTAGGAAACCTGAACCCGGGTCCCAGAGCCAAGAGCTCAGGGGCACTGGCCTTGCCTCTTCCTGCTGGGACCAACATGGTTAAGATTCTGGACACCACCTCTTCACATTTATAATCCTCCTGACAGCGGCTGATGAAGGATGGGGAAGTGTGTCTATTCTGGGAGGTTCTGCCCTGAGCCAGATGCTGCGGGTTGAGGCTGTCTCTCAGCCCCTCCATCTTCTTCAGTGCCCACCCCACAGCACCTGCCACCTTGCCTCCCTTCTTGCCTGAGTCAATATCCTCCTCCCAGACAGCCTGGCCAGCGAGTGGGCACTGGGTGGCACCACTGGCCTTTCCAGCTCTTTGTGTGATGGATGAGTGGGCTGCACACCTCCTGTCCCTGCTCCCAACCTGTCCCCACCCTCCCCACCCTCACTTTCAGTGCAACGGAGCGTCCCTGGTTCTCTGGGTCCCCTGGGGCCTGAAGTCACGATGCCAAGAGTTCGTGAGGGAGGGAACTGGTTAAGGCCTGGGAGGAGCCTGGATTCCTGGGGTGAGCTCAGCTTATTTGGGGGGAGTGTATTTTGTCCTGCTCTAGACCCAGAGAAGCAGGACCCATCCTCCTTGCTCGTGGGCAGAACTTTTCTTTAGAAAAAACTCAAGCCTCTCAGCCAGTCCTTCCCAATCCAGGTCTTTCAGATGGTCTCATCCAGTCATTTTCTGACTTCAAAAAATAATCTTCAGAGCCTTATACTCAAATGCAATCAAATCCAGAGGCCTAACAGCTTAAACAGATTAAAATGGAGCTTTGCTTACTCATCTCCCTGCTACCTGCTCCTGCTCTTAGCAGCCCTCTAGGGGCCTGAGATTAAACCCCGGGGCTCCATGGAAACCAGCTTAGAAACCAGGGGTACAGGAGAAGGGGAATGGGGAGTGTTCAATGGGTGTAAAGTCTCAGTTCTGCAAGATGAAAAGGGTTCTGGAGATGGATGGTGATGACAATTAGGCAACAGTATGACTGTACCATACAAATGTGAATGAACCATATGAATGTAATACCGCCGCGCTGTACACTTAAAAATGGCAAAGATGATAATGGCATTCAGGACATGCTATACCCAGATACGCACCTTGGCATTTGAGGAAACAGCAGAAGCGGGAAGGTCTCTCTCACCTTCCCAAGACCTTGGCTTGAAGTGGGTCATTAGACCCTCATGTGAGATGAACCCTCCCTTATACCCAGAGGAAAGGAACGTCCTTATCTCCGAAGACCCAGGGATGCAGAGAAGAATCTGAACAAGCAGGCTTTGCTAAGTGCCCCCAGTGTATGACCGTTAGATCATATATATTTTTGGAGACAGAGTCTCGCTGTCACCCAGGCTGGAGTACAGTGGTGCAATCTCGGCTCACTGCAACCTCCACCTCCCGGGTTCAGGCAATTCTCATGCCTCAGCCTCCCGAGTAGCTGGGATTGCAGGCATGTGCCACCATACCCAGCTAATTTTTGTATTTTTAGTAGAAATGGGGTTTTGCCATGTTGGCCAGGCTAGTCTTGAACTCCTGAACTCAGGAAATCTGCCCATCTTGGCCTCCCAAAGTGCTAGGATTACAGGTGTGAGCCACCGTGCCCGGCCTAGATCATACTTTTTCATCTGAACATACTTCTCCACAACTGTTCACTTCTTTAGCAAACCTAGCATAAAAAATACATAGGCTTATTTGTTTTTTCGGATCTTCATTTCCTTATGAAGTCTCCTGTGTCATGTAAAACATTAAATAAATGTGTATGCTTTCTATGCTTTCCTCTTGTTAATCTGTCTTGTTACTGGGGCTTCGGCCGTGAACCTAGGATGGTGAGGAAAAGATATTTTTTTCTCCCTTACGATGGTAAGTTTTGTTATTATATTTTACTCACCCCCACACAAAAACGTAGTGGTGCAGTCCCATTTGCTGATGGGAAACAGGCCGAGAGAGAGGAGAAATGCGGCCAAGTTCATGAGCTGCTCGGCGACCAGGTTAAAACCTGAGTCTGTGGTCGCCCAAGTCCTGAGGTCATCCCACGCAGGCCCTCTCAGCCAGGCTGGGCTGAGGTCAGCGAGGCATCACGTTCAACACAGGGAGAGTAAGAGGGAGAGTGAGGCAGAACGCACCACGTTCCCGGGTAGGAAGGTGAGATGGAGGAGGCGCCGCTCTTCGAAGTTCTGGTCGGGAGGGCCCACCGGCATCGCTCGTTTTGGGTGGGTTGCTACATTTTCACCAAACGACATTTTTAATTGCTTGATTTACTTATCTCGTCTCGGATCTGCTGATATACTTTGCTGCCTTTTAATTGCTTGAAAAGTTGAGCAGTTTTTCATGTTTTAAGGAGTGCTGAATTGTATAATTAAAACACTAACAGTGTAAATCAACAGTGCAGAAGAAAGACAGCAGAGAATTAAGCAAGTGTGTTGGCATAATAATAAAATCAAACCAGCATGAAGAGGGACCATTACCGAGAAGATGCTGAATACTAATGGCGCCCTGGCCTGGGGGGCAGGGAGAAGACCCTGACCTGCCCCCTCCACCCTACCTAGAATGGCTGGGGAGAGAGGGGAGTTGAACAAAAAGATTGCAAACTGGGAAATCCTGTGTGGCTGAGGCCCAGGGCTCATGACAGATGCAAAGCCTCTGTCATGGAAATGTTTTTTGTTCTTTTTTTTTTCTTTTTTCTGAGGCAGAGTCTCGCTCTGTCACCCAGGCTGGAGTGCAGTGGCACGATCTCGGCTCACTGCGACCTCTGCCTCCCAGGCTCAAATGATTCTCATGCCCCAGCCTCCCGAGTAGCTGGGACTACTGGCATGCACTACCATGCCCAGCTATTTTTTTGTAGAGATGGGGTTTTGCCATGTTGGCCAGGTTGGTCTTGAACTCCTGCCCTCAAGTGATTCACTAGTCTTAGCCTCCCAAAGTGCTGGGATTACAGGCGTGAGCCACTGGGCTTGCCTGGAAATGGCTTTTAATTCATGTGTGATTGGTGATGTTTGGTTGGGAGGGGGTGGAGGTGGGAACTGACTGAGGAAGATGAAGGGGGTACTTGGGAGGGGGACGCCTGTGCCTGCTGAGCCTTCTCTCATGCCTGAGATTTTCTCTCACTTGAGGATGGGCTGTAGGAGCTGCAAACCCCAGGATCACGTTGACTCTCCCCACTTCTCTCTTCTCTCTGTATCTTTCTCTTCTCTCCCTTCCTCCTCCTTCTCTTCTTGTGTTCCTTTTCTTTCCTCCTTCTCTCTTCCCTCCCTCCCTTCTTTCCTCTCCTGTTTTCTTTTTTCCTCTCTCCTTCCCCCCCGTTTAGTCAATGCACCTGATAGCAATATCTTAAGCACATCCTGAGAATGACCCTGTATGGCAGACACACCTGAATGCGGTTTGGAGTTCTGAGCTAAGGAATCCGGAGTGGCCAACCCAGAGATTCATTCCTTATCTATGAGGAACATCTGAGCCGAGAGGGTGCTAAGTGAAACTGCTATAGAAACTGCATGCCTTTTGCAAACAGTTGCGGTTCTTCTCCCCAGCCTGCTGCCACTGATCTCTCTCCCCTCTGTATAAGCTCCCAGTAAAACCCCATGTCCCATTTGCTGGCTCTGGGTCCTTTCTTCAGCCTCTTGAATTTGTTGCCATTTCCATTGGAGTTGATAGGGGTCGGCCCAACACTCCCCTTCTTCCCCTGTCCTCTTTCTCCCCCTCTTTCCCTCCCTCCTCACAAAGTAATTCATGTGCTGTGTGAGACAATCAAACAATATAGAAATAGTTAATGTAAAATCTGAACATCCTTCCTGGGCTTCTCCTAAAGCCCCTCTCTCCTCTTCCTTCCTCTTACACCAAGGCAAGCTAAGTCGGAAAATGGAGTACAGCATAGAGGTCGATGGGGTTTAGGAGCCGCTACCCTAAAATATGGCACCTGGCACTTGAGGAGCAGCAGAAGCGGGAAGGTCTCTCTGGCCTTCTCCTGCCCTTCTCCCCGGAAACAGGCCATAAAGGAATTCTCTGCCCTTCCTCTGAAGCAGGTCATAGGACCCTAATGTGAGAGGTGCTCTTCCTGTGTCCAGAGAAAAGGAGCATCCTTAGACCTGAAGACCCAGGGACACAGAAGAGTCTGAACAAATGGGCCTTGCTGAGCCCCCCTAGTTTATGATGTTAACATCAGACCTTATGTGTCCCATTCACTTCTGCGCGACTGTCCGCTCTTTGACAAACCTAAGCACAGGAATACATGGGTTTGTTTCTTTGGGTCTTCATTTCCGAAGGCTCCTGTGCCACATAACACTTACATTAAATACATTTGCATGCTCTTCTCTTATTAAGCTGCCTTTAGTTACAGGTGTCTCAGCCATGAATCTAGGGGTGAGAAAAGAAACCTCCCCTCACCTACAAGGTCAAAGCGCAGGTATGGGTCCTGGCAGGACCCATCAGCAGAATCTGGCTGGAAAACTCTCACGCTAAAAACAGGTCAGTATTTCTTGACTATATAAGATGGACAACTGACCCAGGGAGATGTTCCATGAAAGAAGAGTTTTGAGGTCAATGAGTTTGCAAAATGCTGAGTTAAAATCAATTTTTTTTTGGAACTGTAGAACTGCCGAGGATCTTTGATGTCTTCCTCATGATGGCCCTCCACGCACATCTGCGGGTCACGCTTCTCCAACCGTGAAGGCAGTCCTTTCAGGTCTCACAAATACACAGCCCCTGGAATATGGGTTCCAAGGATGACACTTTGGGAAATGTTGGGTTCTGGTGAAAAGAGCATTTTGCTAGAACCGCATCCCAGGTCCACTACTGCTCAACCAGCTGTGTGAATCTGGCGAGTCCCACAGTCTCTCTGGGCCTCAGGTTCCCCACCTGACAAAGGAGGCTGACGGTGCCCACCTCTCAGGAGCTGGGTGAGGGGCAACCAGATAGTGCCAGAAAGCATGCAGCTTGGGGCTGATGCGGGTACTCCCTAGGGAGAAGGCATTGATGGCAGGAGCTCTCCTCCTTGCACTGCCTCCGCCACCAGATGCAAAGGCTGATCGTCACTGAGGTGGGTCGTGAGACCATGGGGGCTGGGGTGGGCAGTGGGGAGATGGAGTCAGAGTCTAGAAGACTAGGAAGGTCGAGTTGGAGCCAGCTGAAAGTGGGTTGGATAACTGGAAGCCGAGAGCTGGTAAGCAGGGGGAATAATCCCAGAAAATGCAGTCACTTGCAGAGCTGAGGGTGGGGTGAGGCATCATGCTGGACACAAAGTTTAAGGGGACACCAAAAATGCAGTAATCAAGATAAATAATATTTTAATGCAATATAAAAATAATCAAAAGCCAACATTAACGCAAAAAAAATTATGATGAATGAAATATCTCCCAGGCTTGGGCACAGGCTCATAGCCGTAGGTCTGGGCTCCCTCCGCGTTTGCTAAGAACAGGAACATCCCGTCCAGCTCCTGCTCTGCACGGGGCCCAGGCTGGTGGGTGAGCTTGGATCCACTCCCTCCTTTTGCTGCCGACTCTCGGCTCATTTCCAGGAAGCCCCTCTCGACTCCCCTCAGCTGGACATGACCTTGCTCTTTAAGCCCCTGGAGCACTCAGCACCCCTCCAACAGCACTTGCTCAGCCTCAGGTTTTAGGTGTTCTGGTCCCTTCCCCCACTGTAGCTTGAAATTCCCGAAGGCAGAGACCGCGTAAGGACCGGCTGATTTCCGAGCCCCATGTCCTGTGCCTTCACGAGCTGTGTGGGCATTCAAACTGAAATCCACCAGGAAAACCAAACTGGGGCTTGAGGGGTATGGCTAGGGTTAGGCTGCTCCTTCCTCAAGTGTGATGTCACTTTACTGGGCACATCTTCTGGAGGTAGTGATGGGACACTCTGGATTGGAGCTGTTCAGCGTCATGCCTCTGATATGGTTTGGCTCTGTGTCCTCACTCAAATCTCACCTTGAATTGTAATAATCCTTATGCGTCAAGGGTGGGACCAGGCAGAGGTAATTGGATCATGCTGGCAGTTTCCCACATGTTGTTCTCGTGAGAGTGAGCGAGTTCTCACGAGATCTGATGGTTTTATAAGCGTCTGGCATTTCCCCTGCTGGCACTTGTTCTCTTTCCAGCCACCCTGTGAAGAGGTGCCTTCTGCCATGATTGCAAGTTTCCTGAGGCCTCCCCAGCCATGCAGAACTGTTAGTCAATTAAACCTCTTTTCTTTATAAATTACCCAGTCTTGGGTATTTCTTCATAGCACTGTGAGAACAGGCTAATAGGTCTCATGGCACCAGGAGCCCCTGGCCACTCTGCATAGTAGTCATACCTACCATGGACACTGGTGGTTATAGACGTTGACCCATTTAATGTTCACAACCTTGCCGATTGCTGTCAACATTCCCATTTTACAGATGAGTAAAACCAATGCTTCAAGCAGTTAAACTTGTGAAGTTGACGAAGCTGGCAAACAGTGGGCAGGGCAGGATTCCATGCCCAGGTCTCCCTGACTCCACACCCACGTGCTAAACCTTAGGCTATGTTGCCTCAGCATACATGGGGATGAGAAACCCTCTCTACCCCGGGGTGGAGATTTGGGGAGCTCAGATGACGGCTTTTCCTGCCATGGTAAAGGAGAAAAGGGGAGGCTCTCTTTCTAGAATCCCTGCATATGAATATCTCCTTTCCATTTGAGGGGTCCTCTGTCTCTCCCTCCCCCTCACAAACCACACACACTGTGGCGGGGGTGGTGGCGGGAGGTTGCTGGAGTTGCTCTCATTATAAAATTGCCTTGGGGACTGTCCCAGCCTTAGACCACCTATATTGATAAGTCTTGGGCTGCAGACTTATTATTTGATATTTATAACACCCTGTTCTGCACTCTCATGATGGATGGCTCATATGTTGGGATCAATATGGCCCTCGTAACATTTACATATTTATATTATTAATAAGCAATAAGTCACCCAGGCAGCCCTGCTCTGGGTGTTCCATGCGTTCCCTACAGACAGCTAACCTTGTCCTCCGTCTCTTGGCTCAGCCCTGATGGCTGGTATTGATCCACTCGGCTGGAAGGGGGCACAGAGCAGAGCATGGAGCCATGCAGTGTCAGAGCTGGGGAAATGGCACTGGTGTCTTTTGCCTTCTGTCTGACAGACCAGCTCTTGACATTCCAGTGTGGAGGGGGACCTTCCTGTGTGGTCCTCTGCAGACAACAGCCACCCAGTTGGGGGATGGCTCTTTCCTTAATGCCTCCTTATCCACCTTGCCCTCTCTGTCCTCTCTGCCCTCCCTCCTGGTCCTCGGTGGTGCATGCCTGGATGCTGACCAGCCTCCTCTCTGCCTCCAGCCATCCACACTCCTGTGTCCCACCCGCTCTGCCGCGAGGCTTTGCTACTCGCTGCCCTGCTGAATGCCTGCCTGGGATCACCACTCTGCTCTGAAATCTCCCATGCCTTTCACATGCCGACTCCTCCACCTGCCTTCAAGACCCTTGATCATCTACCCTTGCTGGCTGACCTGATGTCCCACCTTTTCCCAACCTGCATCTCTGCTAGTCTGGCCCATCTCCTCCTGTCATCCAAAACACACACACACACACACACACACACACACACACACACACACACACACACACACGTTATACTCACCTCTTGGTTTATTCTGGTCTGTTCCACCCACCCAGAATGTCCTTCCAAATGCCTCCATCAACACAAAAATCTACCCCTCCTTTAAGGTCACCTCAAGTCCCACCCACCTCATAAAATGCTGCCCAGGTTTTCTAGCGAGTACTAACCATCTCGCCTCTCAGCATCTGCCCCACAATTATTTTTGCCCTTTCCAAAACATTTAATTTTTACTTTTTTTTAAAAATATTTATGTATTTATTTATTTTGAGACAGTGTCTCACCTTGTTGCTCAGGCTGGAGTACAGTAGCACAATCATAGCTCACTGCAGCCTCGAACTCCTGGGCTCAAGCAATCCTCCTGCCTTAGCCTCCTGAGTAGCTGGGACTACAGGCATGCACCACCACACCCAGTTAATTAAAACAATTTTTCTGGTAGAGACAGGGTCTTGCTATGTTGCCCAGGCTGGCCTCTAACCCCTGGACTCAAGTGATCCTCCTGCCTCAGCCTCCCAAAGTGCTGGGATTATAGGCGTGAGCCATGGTCCTCAGCCTACACATATTTATTGAGTGCTTACTACGGGCCAGGGCACTGAACTAGCTTTTTGGGTTATAACAGTACCAAAAAACAGTCATAATCTTCAAGAGCTTAAATTTAGCATGAAAGGAAGACATTCATCAAAGAATCACACAAAGGAATGTAAAATTAAATGGAGATTAGTGCCAGGAAAGAGCGTTACCATTTGGTACCAGTGGGGTTGGTCTGGTCAGAGAGAGCAGGAAAGGCTTCTTAAAAGTGTTGGAGGCCAAGGCGGGTGGATCACTTGAGGTCAGGAGTTTGAAACCAGCCTGGTCAACATGGTGAAACCCCATCTCTACTAAAAATGCAAAAATTAGCTGGGCATTGTGGGAGGCACCTGTAATCTCAGCTACTCTGGAGGCTGAGACACGAGAATTGCTTGAACCTGGGAGGCGGAGGTTGCAGTGAGCCAAGATTGTGCCACTGAACTCCAGCCTGAGTGACAGAGCAAGACTCCATCTCAAAAAAAAAAAAAAAAGTATGTGTTGGTTAGCTGGATGTGGTGGTGTGAGCTTGTAGGCCTAGCTACTTGGGAGGCAGGATTGCTTGAGCTCAGGAGGTTGAGGTTGCAGTGAACCAAGATTGTGCCACCGCACTGCAGCCTGGGCAACAGAGCAAGACCCTGTCTCAAAAAAAAAAAAAGATGTATGTTGGAAGGGGGTAAGTCGAATGCATCTTCGGCTGAGGTAACAACAGCATGTGCAAAGGCCCTGTGGCAGGAGGGAGCACAGAGAGTTTGGCGAGCTGAAAGAAGCCCGTGTGGCTGAAACACAGACAGCAGTGCAGGGAGTGGGAGGTGGTTACAGAGGAGGTGGAGTGGGTGGGTTTCACAGGGGCTGGGCCTTGCAGGACCCACTGTAGATAGTGACAGGACATGGGCCTTTAACCTAAGTGCACCAGGAAATCAGTGGAAAGTTTTAAGCAGAGAGATGATTTGGTATTTTACAAAGCTTGCTGTTGCTGTGAGGGCAGGTGAGAGGGGAGAGGCGATGGGGGTGGGGGAGGCTATTAAGGAGGCCATTGCAATGGCTATGCAGGAGATGGTGGTGGGGGACGGCTGTGGGATGGAAAGCAGTGGACCAGTTTGAATGGTATTTAGGAAGCAAAACCATCAGGACTCAGTGACATTTAGGATATGGGGAGGGGGGCGAGGAGGAGGAGGCAGGGTGGCTAGCTGATGACTTGTGGCCGTGGACAAGCTACTGTCTGACCTGGGCAGAGCAGAACAAAGTCAACTTGATGTTGGGAGGTGGGGGTGGGCACAAGGTTGGATCTGGACTTATTGAGGGTGAGGGTCTTTGATGCACCCAGGAGGTGATGTTGGATATACAGGTGGGGGACTCATAGGAAAGACTATCTTGGGACATACACAAAAATTAAGATGTGGCTGGCAGAGATGAGAACCCTAGGGAGAGAGAAGAGAGGGAGGAAATGGGCCAGGACTGAGCAGTGTGGGATTTCCCCGCCGTCTGCTTCCCACAGTTCTGTACTTCCTTCTACTCCTTCCCTGGGCACACGGTAGGAGCTCCAGCCCTCATTTCTAAGTGAATGCACGCTTATTCCACCGTCTTTCAGTTTCACATCTGTGTTGTCCTCCAGCCGTACTGGAGGCACGGCTGTGTTTTGGCTTAGTACCTGCCTGCCTTTGCAGTCATATCAAACACCTGCTGGCAGAGGAGGCCCTTCCCCATGCCAGGCACTCCATGGACCCTTGAAGGCTCACAATTCAGATAAGGAAACGGAGTCTGGGAGGGGTTGATTGACAGTTATTTAAAGATGTTCCAGTTATCTATTGCTGTGCAACAAGCCAATTTAAAACTTTGTGTCTAAAAACAATAAGCATTTATTTTGCTCAAGAATCTGCAGTTTGGGTAGGCGTGGTGGGGACAGCCCATTTCTGCTCCACGCAGCATCACTTTAGGAAGCTGGACTGGGGCTGGAAGATTCATTTCCAAGGTGACTCATTCACGTGGCAGGTGGGGTCTTGTTGTTGGTAAACGCTATTGATTAAAACACCTTCCCGGCCCGGCATGGTGGCAAACACCTGTAATCCCAGCACTTTGGGAGGCTGAGGATAGCGAGACCCTGCCTCTACAAAAAAAGAAAAAAAAATGCCAGATGCGATGGCAAATGCAAATGCCTGTAGTCCCAGCTGTGCTTGGGAGGCTGAGGTGGGAGGATTGCTTGAGTCTGGGATGTTGAAGCTACAGGAAGCCATGATTGTGCCATTGCACTCCAGCCTGGGAGACAGAGCAAGACTCTGTCTCTGAAACAAAAATAACAAGTGAACAAACCATCCCTTCCCTTCCCCTGACTTTCCTGTAAACAGAAAATACAACAAAACAAGATCCTTTCCTGGGGGAGGGGTTTCGACACCCTAGCCTCTGTCCATCTTCTCTCTAATCTTCCCCTCTGGAGAGTGACCCCTCTGGGTGACCCACACTCTGCCCAGACACATCGTCTGGCTCCCACCTGTCTGGTTTTGCCTTCTCGACAAGCCTTCATGCTCTGTTTGTCCTATTTCCCTCCAGGCAGGTGTCTGCCTCTCTCTGACGTCATCTCCATGAATATTTACCCTGACTGCAGTTATTTATTTAGCTCTTTGTACTCTCCCTTCTTCTAGAAAAGATTTAGGACAGATAAAAAGAATGCATAAAATATAAGAAGACTTGCATAAATGAAGAGTTTGGTCAAAGAAGAAATGATGTAAAATGGAGCAGACATAAGACTAAAGATGCATGTCCCTGTGGGATACACCCTGAAACATCTTTGATTCTAAGTTTTCCAATAATCACAGTGAAATGGGCCACATGGTCAAGTACATGGTTCACGGTGTCTAGAAGATGAAAGGGTTCAGGAGCTCTAACTGAGCCAGGGGAGAAGACTTCAAACAGATCCAGAACTGAGAAAATACTGCAAATAATACTTTAAGCATCACTCTAACCCAGCAGTTTTCATCTGGGGGTTATTTTGCCCCCAAGGTGAAGGTTGCTGATGTCTGGAGACATTTTGGTTGTCATAGCTGCAGAAGGGTTGGGGGACTTGCTACTGGCATCTAGAGAGTGGAGGCTGGGGGTGCCACTAAGCATCCTATAACGCACACAGGACAGCCCCCAAACAGAATGATTTGACCCAGAATGTCGACAGAACCCCAGTTAAGAAATCCTGATCTGCTGGGCGTGGTGGCTCATGCCTGTAATCCCAGCACTCTGGGGGGCTGAGATGGGTAGATCACCTGAGGGCAGGAGTTTGAGACCAGCCTGACCAATATGGTGAAACCCCGTCTCTACTAAAAATACAAAAGTTAGCTGGGCGTGGTGGTGGGTGCCTGTAATCCCAGCTACTCAGGAGGCTGAGGTGGGAGGATTGCTTGAACCCGGGAGGTGGAGGTTGCAGTGAGCCGAGATCGTGCCACTGCACTCCAGCCTGGGTGACAGAGTGAGACTGTCTAAAAAAAAAAAAAAGATGAAAAAAAAAAAGAAATCCTGATCTAGCTTTTTCTTTGGGCTGGAGATATGGCACTGCCTTCAAAAAAAGTCATTTGGGTTAGTCTGTAACTTATCCCTCTGGGAATGTCTCAGCACACCCTGGCCTGATACTGAATACCTTCTCTGGGGAATAGTGTGTTATCCTCCTGGAATCTTACAACAAGAAAGCTAGATGATCTCTGAAAGGCAGTGTGACTTACAGCAAAGACGTTTGAGTTCATAGTGAGCGCTGGGTTCATGGGCCAGGACAGAAGCACACCAGATGCGTGCCGCTTTCTATGATACAGCATGCGGGCAAGCCCTTACCTGTGTATTGATGATTGCAAACATCCTACGCTGAGCTCGGCACAAGTCGGGGGGCCTGGGAAAGGTTTTCTTTCTCTTCCTTTATGTGGTGGTCTTAAAAACATGGCCCTACAATTCTTTGTTGCTTCTCCATTGGAAGGTGGAGTCTATGTCTCTTCCCCTGGAATCCAGGCTCTGTGACCACTTCATCGGTAGAAAATGGTGGCAATGACACTGCATTTGTTTCTGGGACAAGGCCTTCAGAAATGGGAAGCTTGCCCTACTTGCCTCTCGGGGCAGTGCTCTTAGAACTCACCGTATTGTGAGGAAGCCAACAGCACATGAAGAGGCCAGGGTAGGGTTCTGGCTGATGAACCCAGCTGAGGTCAGAGGTGACAGCCAGTAACAACCACCAGAGAGCAGTGATGGCTTTGAGATGACTCCAGCCCCCACTGTTGGGTCACCCCTGCCTTTGAGCTTCCCCAGCCTATGTCATGTGAGCAGAGATCAGCTGTCTTCCCAGACTCTGCCCAAATTGCATATTCAGGAGCCAAATACATGATTGTTGTTGTTTTAGGCATCCTAGTTAAGGTGGATGGGTATGAAGTGGTAGATAACTGAAATACTTTTCTTCATGTTCCCTCCTTCTGGTGATTCAACAAATATTTTTTAGCATCCTGAATGAGTCAGCCACAATTCTAGATGCTATGAATAGAGTAGTGAAAAAACAGACAGGGATCTTCATGGAGCTTACGATCTGTGGGGGAGACAGACAAGTAAGAAAAACAAATAAAATAGATGGTTTGGAGGTGGTGAAACATGCTAAGAAGAAGAACAAAGGCAAAGAAGGGAATAGGAAGTTTATAAATAGGGTGGTCGGGGAAGGCCTTCCAAGCAGGGGGCACTGCATAAAGACTTGAAGGCAATGAGGAGCCAGCCAAGTGGATGCCTGGAGGAACAGCTTTCTTTTCTTTTCTTTTTTCTTTCTTTGTTTTTTTTTTTTTTTTTTTTTGAGACGGAGTCTTGCTCTGTCGCCCAGGCTGGAGTGCAGTGGTGTGATCTCGGCTCACTGCAAACTCCGCCTCCCGGGTTCACGCCATTCTCCTGCCTCAGCCTCCTGAGTAGCTGGGACTACAGGGCGGGCGCGGTGGCTCACGCCTGTAATCCCAGCACTTTGGGAGGCCGAGGCGGGTGGATCACAAGGTCAAGAGATTGAGACTATCCTGGCTAACACGGTTAAACCCCGTCTCTACTAAAAATACAAAAAATTAGCCGGGCATAGTGGTGGGAACAGCTTTCTAGACAGAGGGAAGAGCAAGTGCAAAGGGTCAGAGGCAGGAGTATGCTAGCAATATCCAGGGGGGCCGGATGGAGGGTGCAGGGCAGTCATAGGATGTGAGATTAGGATGGTGGTGGTGGGGTCAGACGGTGAAGGGCCCTGTGAGGATTTTCTGCCCTCATGAGAGGGTTTCAAGCAGAGGAGTAATGCATTTTAACAGGATCACTATGACTGCAGGGGGCTCAAAGATGGAAGCAGGGAGACTGCTGGGGAGGCCATTGCAATCATCCAGGTGAGAGATGATAAGGCAGGTGCCTTAAATCAGGATGGCAGCAATGAGGGTGGTGGAAAGTGGTCAGAATTCCAATATATTTTAAAGGGACAGCTACCAGGATTTGCTGAAGGATTAGATGTAAGTGGATGGAAGGGAAGGAGTTAAGGATGTCTCCAAGTGTTTGGCCTGAGCAGCTGGAAAGATGGATTTGCCATTCTCACTGAGATGAGGAAGACAGTGCAGATGGCTTTGTGCACGAAGGCAGAAACTTTGGGAGTTCCATTTCGGGCATGTTAAGTTTAAGATCCTGTGGTCACCAGCCTTCAATATGACCCCAGTGACCATAACCATTTTCTTTTTTTTTTTTTTGAGATAGAGTCTCACTCCATCACTCAGGCTGGGGTGCAGTGGTGTGATCATGGCTCACTGCAACCTTAACCTGCTGGGCTTAAGTGATCCTCCTCCTTAGCCTCCTGAGTAGCTGGGACTATAGGCATGCACCACCATATCCAGATACATTTAAAAAAATATTTTTCTGTAGAGATGCAGTCTCACCATGTTGCCCAGCCTTGTCTCAAACTCCTGGGCTCGAGTGATCTGACCACCTTGGCTTCCCAAAGTGTTGGGATTACAGGTGTGAGCCACTACAACTGGCCAGGCCCCACCTCTTGGTATTCACACCTGTGTGTAGTCCCCTCCCACACTGTACCAGAGTTGGTCAGTGTGACCAATAAAATGTGACAGAAGTGATGTTATGCCAGTATTTAGATTAGGTTGTAAAAGACTGTACCCCCTGCCTGTCTCATTCTCTGTCTCCCTTTCTTTCTTGGGTTATTTGCTCTGGGGGAAGCCAGCTGTGATATGATGAGCAGCCCTATGGAGAGGGTGTGTGGGAAGAACCTGAAGTCTCCAGCCAGCAGCCACATGAATACATCATCTTGGAAGCAGATCCTCCAGCCCCAGTCCAGCCTTCAGATGACTGCAGCCCTGGTCAACATCTCAACTGCAGTCTCATGAGAGACTCCAGACCAGAACCACCCTGCTGAGCCTCTTTTGGATTCTTGACCCTCAGAAACCCTGTGAGATCATAAATGCCAGTCGTTTTAAGCTGCTAAGTTTTGGGGTCATTTGTTAGCCAGCAAGATAACAAATACAGATCTGCATGAAACATACAAGCAGAAGGAAGTAGGCAGTCAGGTCTACAAGTCTGAAATTCAGGGAAGCAGTTCAGGCTGAAATATAAATTTGAGAGTTATTAACATATAGGTGATATTAAAAGCCATCAGGAGCAAAGGTTTCTCTTTTTATGGAAGCTTTCTCCACTTCCCTACTCCCTCTTCTGCGCTCTGATGTTGGCTTGCCTTTGCTGTGAGGTTGCACGGCGATGGCTTTGCTGTGCGCCCATCTGACCATTAGGTTCAGACATAACTGAGTCTTCTTTGGATCTTCTTCTAAACTTGGTACAAACTGGAAGTGCTTAATAAATGCTTTTGGGATGCTATGAATGCACAGGGGAGCTTAGAGGGTGAAGCGGACACTGTAAGTGTTATGACTCTATCCCTTTTTGCACGGTTGGGCTAACTTTCAACTGCCAGCTTTGGCCTCTCACAGCCTTGGTACCTCCAACCCCTGCATTGGGAGGCCCCAGAAAAGCCTAGAATGACCATCTCCCAGAAGCAGCCCTCAGCTGAAGATCATCATGAGTTGACATATAAACATCTCAGCTTACCCCTTATGTAGGTTTGGGAGTGGATGGTTCCAGATCCTGTGTTTTGCGTTGTTTCTCAGTTTCCTCACAGGATGCAGCCCTAGTGCCCACTTTGGCAGTGGGCTTAGAACAGCCCTTCCCTGGCTGCCTTCCCTTCTCTGGGTCATTTCCCTGCTCTCCTGCTGGGGCTCCCCCCATAGCCAGTACCTCTCAAATAAACAATTTGTGCTCAAATCCGCTCAGGAACTGCTTCTTAGGGAACCAAACCGTGATTATGGAGAGGCAGAGCGTGGATATGTGGAGAAGTAAAGCACCAGCTCAGGGCTCAGCATTGCACAGAGGGCATCTGGGGAGCTGAGCCCCTGGCGGTGTGACCTTGCCTGACCAGCAGAGAGGACACTGGGTCTTCCAAAGCTGGACCCAATTTTAGAGCGTTGCTGAGCCACACCTCTGATCTGGGAGCCCTGTGCTTGGTTTCATACTTTCACCTTGGCAAGGTCACTGTCTTCCTTGGAAGGGGAGAGCAGGTCCAAGGGTAGTGCCAGCTGCCCAAGCACACAGCCTGCAGCTGGCACCACCAGGAGGCATGACAAGCTTTCTGCACAGAAGGAGGCTGTTCCTAGGCAGATGGCACTTGGCTAACATGTTGGCGGTGTGACCGCATGGTTTCCAGTGCTGAGAGTGTTTGTGCCCCTCACAGGGGCTTCCCCTGAGGGGTTGCAGGAGGGAGTCAGACCGCATCTGGCTTCCGGAACACCCCAATTTTTACCAGCCTCACCCTCCACCTGGAGCCCCCTCAGCTCTGCCCTTAGTTCTCTCACTTTCATCCTAGTCCCTTTCTTTACCTCTTGGGGTGTGGCTGCTGTGTCCTGCGGGGCTCGGCTTGCACCTGACATATGAGACTCAGAGCTTGGTGGGCACTGGCCTGCTCGGTGTCTCCCTCCTTGTCCTTGTTCACCAGGGAATGCAGATTCCAGGGCAGCACCAGATTCACTGTGAAAGAGCTTGAGCCGGTGGCTCCCACTCACAACCAGATTCATTCAATGACTTCCATTACCTAGGTACTGGCTGTGTTCTCAGCTGGGAGATGCCACAGGGAGTGGAAAGACGTCTCCTAGTGGGTCCACCCTCAAGAGAGGAAGCAAGTTAGAGCAGAGGAACAAGAAAGTCATCAGTGCTCCAGGAAGAAGCTGAATAGCTCTCACAGGGCCTCCTTGTGCTAGACGCCTTCATGCACAAACATTCATGAGGTCCTCCCAGCGAGGCAGATAGCTGCTCATCCCCATAGCCACCCTCAGCCCTTCTCCCGCTGCTCTGCGCTCGGAGGCAGAGCTCCGTGGACCGCATCACTAGGCTCCCGACTCAGGTCACAGAGAGAGGGTGGGAATTTCCCCAGCCCTCCGACCCCTGTCAAAGCTCTGTTCCCATTCTGAGGCCTTCTACAGCGAAGGGACAGCTATGCTTTCTCCAGGCCACTCACTTGTCGCACAAGGAGTGGTTTCCCTAAACCCTGCCCACATCTTGGTAAAAAGCCCCTTCCAAGGCCAGCTTTGTGGGCCTGTGACCCATGACGTCATCCTGGGCCCGGCGCTTAGAAGGGCCCATTCCTGGTCTAATGCTCCGCTGTTATCATCTTGAAATTCTTAACACTTTTTAACCATGGGGCTCACATTTTCACTTTGCTCCAGATCTGTTGGTTATGTAGCTGCTCCTGGTCCCTTGGTTAAGGCCCTCTGGTCAGCCTGTTGGCAGGTGCCATCCGCTTCCTGCCGGGTTTGTTTTTCATCAGCAAATGGAGGTTGAAGGGAGTGCAATAACTTGCCTGAGACCACAGAACTAGTAAGTAGCAGAGCTGGGATTTGAACCTGGGACTTCCACCTTTGTAGTCCCTGTTTCTCCCGGCTTGAGTCCCCGGATGAAATGCCTGTGATGTCAATCTGCAGCACTTTGCATATACACTGATTGCTCCTCCCTGATGGGAAAGTCACGAGGCTTCCGGGGGCCTCTATTTCTCTCCTCCTGATTCTGGTGGTTTTCCTGATTGCCTTGGCCCAGCCGGCCTCAAAGCCTCCTGCTGGCCTGAATCACATATGCAGCTGCCCTGACCGCCTGATGATGGAGAAGCCAGGCCTCTCCCTGGTCACCTGAGCTGGGTTCCTCCCTCCTTGCCAGCCCCCTGTCTGCCATTTGCTGCTCCCAGCAGAGAGACCCTCACTTCCCAGTGCAGCCTCGAAGCTCCGGCCTGGACATGACGGATGAGAAAGGGAAATTTGGAAAGGACTTAATGCTCTTCCCGGCTGCCTCTAATTTTATTTTGAAGGGAAGAAAAAAGAGAGGGGCAGGGGCAGACAGGAGACGTTTCCCCTGATGGAGATGAGCTGGGAATCAAGATAAATGAAGGCTCCTTTTGGACACTTGTTCCAACCCTCAAACTGTTTTCCTGGCAGACAGGCACATGATCAAACCCCTGCCAGGCGGCCCTGGGTGAAGCTGCTGCTCAGATGCCCATCGGATGCTGGGGGTCTGGAAGGGAGGGTTCCACTCCCTTCAGCCTTTGGTCTTGGCCTTTCTGGTCAGCCCAGTCCCTTTGGAGACCACTGGTCCTCCAGAAAAATGGGAAGGGCTTCGACTCTGGATTCAGACAAATCTGGGTCCATTACTCTTTCATTTCCTGTAGGACTCCAGGTGCAATACTGAACCAAACCCGAAAGGCCCTGCTGTGCGTGAGTTTGGTTGCTGTCTCTGCCACTTCCTAGTGAGGCAGCCTTGAGCAAGCTCCTAAACCACTCAGAGCTTTGTTTTCTTCCTCAGGGACACAGGGAATGTCACACTAATTCTCAGCATAAATGTGAGCATCAGAGTTTGTGCATATAAGATCTTCGTCCTAAGTCTGACACCTTGTACCAACTCTAATACACTAACCACTGGCTTTTTTTGGGGAAAGAACGGTAGGCAAGACACGGCTTGGAGGGCAGTGGTCCAAGGGGGACGGTGTCTGGTGTCCCAAGTTTGTGCCCTGTTTATAAATGCCCAGGGCCCAGCCCCGCACGGAGGAAACAATTGAAAAAAAAAAAAAAAAAAGAAACCCTCAAGTCGGCAGCATCCTCTTCCAGCTGCAGGCTCACAGCTCCAGGGGGGACCCAGCTCTCCTTCCTCCCTTGTTATTTAAAGTCGAAGGGGTGTGTAAATCAACCAAAATAATTCACGCGAATCATTAGCGACTCCAAGGTGGCATCTTTTGACCAGCAGCATTAAATTAAAAACAGAACAAAACTGCGGCTTCTAAAAACACATCGGCTCTGTTTCCTCCCTCCGGCCTGCTGTAATCGAAAGCTGCTGGGATCTAATGAAATGGAATTAGCATCTCCAATCCCTCTCTGGCTACTGCTTACATAAAAACATCTCTCTGGATGGAGAGCTGAAGGGAGATGTCAGAATTGCAAGGGAGTCCCACCCTTCTCTGCCGGCCCCCTCGCTCTGTGGCGCCCACCTGTCCAGTGCCGCCCGAGCTGCAGCGACCATGTTGCAGAGGGGTCCGAAAGGAGTGGTCGGTTCTGTTTGTTCATCTCTCGTTTCTGCCTCTGCAGAGACCCGGCCCAGCTCAGCAGTGCTCACACCAGCTCCTTCACGGTTTCCTGTGACAACTGCACATCAAGACTGTCTCCCTCTAACCCCATTTCAGGTACCTTTCACCTGCTGTCCTCTCTCGTATCCCTAAACACTCAGCCGGCTGGGCATGCAGCCTAGAAGCTTTGCCATCCTTTCTCAGTTACCTGCCTCCCACTCCTCTTCCTGGGTGAATGGGAAGTCCTGCAACCCCCCTGTATCATTCCCCTGGGCTGTTTCTAAGTGTTCTTTCAGGGGTGTTCAATGGGGGAGCTGTGGCATTTGGGTCATGAGGAGAGTAACAGGGGCCCCTGGAAGCCTGGTGGCTTTCCCAGGCGCCAGGTCCCTGGTGCCTTGTAAATGCTTGGAAAATGATCCTTTCTTCTGTGGTTATGGTTGCAATAGGCTGTGAATTCTATGAGAGCAAGAGTGGGTGTCTCCCATTCCCTGCTTCCTCTCTGATATCCTGAACTCTACTGACGGCAGCAAACACTTGCTGAATCGTTGTTGAAAAAGGAATGAATGAACACTGGGTTTGGAATCAGGGTCTGTCTTTCATTTACCAACTGTGACTGGCCCCTGGACTGAGCGGGCCGCTCTTTGCTGCTGGGGGACTGTTGTGTGTATCGCAGGATGCCTCTCATGCCCACTTGATTCAGGAGTGCCCTCCCCGGTCATAGCAAAAAGGAAAAATGCCCAATACCTTTCAAGTGCCCTGGGAGTCTGGTGCCAGCTAGCTGAGAAACACTGATTCCTTTCCCTCCTCCCAGACGCTCTCTTGTTAACTCTCTGATTTTTCTAATATGAGATCATCTCCACATTTTCCTTAGAAAACTTTGCTGACTCCCAGGGACTTAATTCTTGGTCTCATTGTCACGGCCAGCATGAGGGTGTGTCTGCACAGCAAGGGGCAGGTGTGGGTGGAGGGAGTGGAGGGGATGTGGGCGTTACCTCTCCTTGGCAGGGGTTGTCCCTGACCTGACGCCTGCCTCCCACAAGCCACAGACTGTACATCTCCTGGCTTTGCTAGTAGGAGGATGTCCCCACATGCCTGTGATTGGTAGAAAATAGAGTCCTAACTCCTTAGCGTGGTGCCAGAGAGTTGCAGCTCCTGCCTGAGCCATTTCTCCTGCTCCCAGAGCCTAGTGCCCTCTTAGCGCATCCCTGCTGTCCTGGCTGTGATGCTCTGCCTGTGGCTTTGCATCGTCCCCTTTCCAGAGACAAAGCTGAGGCTCACACAGAGGTGATCCTCAGGCAGAGAGGAGGCTGCTTTTGCACTCCCAGGTCCACGCCCTGAAACTGTCTTAAAGTTACTCTTTCACTCCTTCATTCACTCACCCATCCGTGCTCTGAGTCTGCATGCCTCGCCCACTTCTGATTTGTCTGTAGCTGTGGGGGGCAGTCCATGCATGCTGAAACCATCTCCCAACCTCAAGTGCACCCCGAGTCTCTGCCTGGGGCTGTCCCCGGAGCAGGAAGGAGTGTCCCTGCAGGTGCAGTTGGAAAAGCAGGAGAATCAAACCTCAGCCCATGGGCAGGGGCCCGTGGGAAAATGCCTTAGTCTGCGGTCTTCCAGAGGAACCATTACAAGGCACCCCATGCCTGGCTTTGCAGAGGGGTCCCAGTGGGGTTGAGTCCCATTGTCCACAGTAGTGACAAGCCCAAGAATGCACCCCTCCTTGCTTTTCTCCCTTCCGAGTCTCACTCTTCCTGCCCCTCACTCCTGCTTCCTGGGGTCATCTCCCAAATAAAACACTTGCACCCAAGTCTTCGCTTCAGGACCAGCATCTCCAGTTTGTCTGGGGTGTGGAGAGGACTCTACATATGCTGCAGGATGAGGAGACCAAGCACTGTCCCCTCCAGCATCCACTTCCTCCTCACCGCCCCCCACCCCAAATAGAGCGACAGCATAGCTGGACCACAGATCTGCCTGAGACAGGCCTGCTAGTGACGGCCCAAGGAGGATGCGCAGACCAGCTCCACTGGCTCCCCAGCTTCCCAGTTCGGAGCCAGCTTTGCTCCGCTGTCCAGCTTTGCAGAGAAGTGATGGATTGTGTGGGGAGGTGGCGGTGATGGTGGGGAAGGCTAGGAACAGAGCCCTCTACTGTGGTGAGCAGGCCCTTTCATGGTGCAGCATGGGGTCTCCAGGAGCCTGAGGGGCACTGCACAAACTCCGGGTTGGCCCGGGGGAGGCTGAGCACCAGCCTGAAGACTCACCACCCTGGTCAGGAGCAGCTGGCAGCAAGACCACACCCTGATGGGCAGGCCAGGCAAAGCTTGAGGCTGGAGAACCCAAGGTTGGGAGCTTGACTGAAATTGGGGGTGTCTTTGATCACCTGTTGAACTGCTACACCATCGGAAGTGGCTTATCCACTGGGGGATTCCCTCCTTGCCTACTCAGCGCCTTGCAGGTGACAGGTGCTGAAATCAGTGCAAACAGAAATGAGAGGATCCCCAAATCAAAACCAGGAAATATTCCTGCCACTCAGCAGCTCTCCTTCCCGCTCCCCGGAGACAGGTGGCAGAACTCCCTATTATTGTCTTTGGGGGCAAATTGAGCCTGGGGCAGAGGAGGGAGAGAGAAAGACAGCTCAACTTGGGGTGGCAGGTCACAGATTATGTCCTGATTGTAAATGTCTGACCCCTGGCCCACCAGCTCTCCGTGTAACCCTCTTCCCCAAACAACCATCTCCTGATTTTCCTGTATCCCCGTCCCGTCTCCACCTCCCGCCTGCCCCTGCCCCCACCCCCTCCCCAGTTCAGATCTGCCTGGAGGCCTGGATGGCGACCATATGTTTAAGATGTTCCACTGCTGCTGTTGAGAGCCAGAAGGGCTGCCTGGGAGAAGGCACTCAGTCAAAGCTGTGTTTATATACACAAGGGCCGGCGTCTTTTTATTATGCATAATTATACGCTTCTTAATGTACAGGCATTTCGAGCCATTTTTCCTTCCTTGGTGAAGTCGCAGCAGAGGCGGGTGTGAGTCCGGGTGCTTGGGGGCCGGGAGATGGCTGCTCTTGTCTCCTTAACTCGGGGGTGCTGAGCCCTGAGCATGGCGGGTCCCTCGACCGATCAGCGTGCGAGGTCGCTCTGACCGAGAGAACGAATTCTTCCAAGGGGATCGGGGAGCCGGGACGCGGTGGTACATCGTGGAAATGTTGTAGATCATGAGGTGAAGCCCTCTCTCTCCCTCTTTGTCTTTGAGCCAAAGCCTCAGATACGCACTCCTGCCCTCATCCTGAAAGAAAATGTTAGATCCTTCCTACAAAGCATTGTTTTACATCTATACCCAGCGATTCTCCTCTTCTTTCTAAATTTCACAAACTTAGACTCTGAAAACCTGACATTGAGAGGTGACAGCATGCTGGCAGCCCTCACAGCCCTCGCTCGCTCTTGGTGCCTCCTCGGCCTCGGCGCCCACTGTGGCCGCGCTTGAGGAGCCCTTCAGCCCGCTGCTGCACTGTGGGAGCCCCTTCCTGGGATGGTGGAGGCTGGAGCCGGCTCCCTCAGGCTGCGGGGAGGTGTGGAGCAAGAGGCACGGGGGCTAACCGGGGCTGCGCACAGCGCTTGCTGGTAGAGTTCCCCGGGCGTGGGTTTGGCGGGTCCCGCACTCGGAGCGGCCGGCCGACAGTGAGGGGCTTAGCACCCGGGCCAGCAGCTGCGGAGGGTGCGTCGGGTCCTCCAGCAGTGCTGGCCCACCGGCGCTGCGCTCGATTTCTCGCAGGGCCTTAACTGCCTCCCCGCGGGGCAGGGCTCGGTACCTGCAGCCTGCCATGCCTGAGCCTCGCCCCTGCCCTCGCCCCCGCCCCCGCCCCCGCCGTGGGCTACTGCGCGGTCCGAGCCTCCCTGACAAGCGCCGCGCCCTGCTCCGCTGCGCCCAGTCCCATCTACCGCCCAAGGGCTGAGGAGTGCGGGCGAACGGCGCCGGGCGGGCAGGCGGCTCCACTGGGTGAAGCCAACTGGGCTCCTGAATCTGGTGGGGACTTGGAGAATCTTTATGTCTAGCTCAGGGATTGTGAATGCACCAATCGGCACTCTGTATCTAGCTCAAGGTTTGTAAATGCACCAATCAGCACTCTGTGTCTAGCTCAGGGTTTGTAAATACACCAATCGACACTGTGTATCTAGCTAATCTAGTGGGGATGTGGAGAACTTTTGTGTCTAGCTCAGGGATTGTAAACGCACCAATCAGCACCCTGTCAAAACGGACCAATCAGCTCTCTGTAAAACAGACCAATGGGCTCTCTGTAAAATGGACCAATCAGCAGGATGTGGGTGGGGCCAGATAAGAGAATAAAAGCAGGCTGCCGGAGCTAGCGGTAGCAACCCGTTTGGTTATCTTTCTGTGCTGTGGAAGGTTTGTTCTTTCACTCTGCACTATTTTGCAATAAATATTGCTATTGCTCACTTTGGGTTTATATTGCCTTTATGAGCTGTAACACTCACCATGAAGGTCTGCAGCTTTACTCTTGAAGCTTAGCGAGACCACTAACCCACCAGAAGGAAGAAACTCCGGACACGCCGCCTTTAAGAACTGTAATACTCAGTGCGAGGGTTCACGGCTTCATTCTTGAGGTTAGTAAGACCAAGAATCCACAAATTCCAGACACAACATGGTAATATATGGGGTCACTATCCTTATAGTGAGGGTTAAGCTTTAAATCATCACAATGAAAGCTTTTTGTTTCTCTAGCGTAGCAGCAAGGGAGAATAAGGCCTCTGGAGTCCAGGACTTGGGTTCAAATCCAAGCTCCACCGTAGCTGTGTGACCTGGGTTTATCATTTCGCCTTTTTGAATTTCGGTTTTCATTGAAATAATGGGAATAACATTAGTTCCTATATCATGGAAAGTACCTAGCACGGTCCTTGGTGCCTTGTAAATGCTTGGAAAATTATCCTTTCTCCTGTGGTGATGGTTCTAATAGACTGAGTTTTATGAGAGCAAGAGTGGGTGTCTCCCATCCACTGCTTTCTTTTTGATACCCTGAACTCTGCTGATGGCAGCAAACATTTGCTGAATCGTTGTTGAACAAGGAATGAATGAACACCGGGTTTGGAATCAGGGTCTTTTTTTGAGACAAGAGTCTCACTCTGTCTCCCAGGCTGGAGTGTGGGGGCTCCATCTCGGCTCACTGCAAGCTCCACCTCGGAGTCACGCCGTTCTCCTGCCTCAGCCTCCCAAGTAGCTGGGGCTACAGGCGCCCACCACCATGCCTGGCTGATTTTTTTGTATTTTTAGTAGAGACCGGGTTTCACCATGTTAGCTAGGATGGTCTCAATTTCCTGACCTCGTGATCTGCCTGCCTTGGCCTCCCAGAGTGCTGGAATTACAGGTGTGAGCCACCGCACCCGGCCAGGGTCTGTGTTTCATTTACCGACTGTGGGGCCAGGCCGTACAAGACCTCTGAGCTCCACAGATGCAAAGTGAAGAAGTTATGGATTGGCCCCATAGGCATGTGACGATGAGATTAACTGAGAGGCGCTGAGATAAAGCACGTGAAGTGTTTAGCTTGGTACTCGGTGTCAGGTCATGTCCAATTTTATTAGGAGCTTATATTCCATTCTGTAGCAGCTTGCTATTTTTATTTTTTTTTACTTTTTTTTTGAGACAGTCTTGCTCTGTCGCCCAGGCTGGAGTTCAGTGGCGCCATGTTGGCTCACTGCAAGCTCCGCTTGTCGGGTTCGCGCCATTCTTCTGCCTCCGAGTAGCCGCTTGGCTAATTTTTCTATTTTTGTTTAGTAGAGATGGGGTTTCACTGTGTTAGCCAGTATGGTCTCGAGAGATCTCCTGACCTCGTGATCCACCCGCCTCAGCCTCCCAAAGTGCTGAGATTACAGCGTGAGCCACTGTGCCCGGCCGCAGCTTGCTATTTGAAAGCATTTTTATTTCCATCACCCCATGTGATCTTCAAAACAACCTGTGGGCTGGGCAGTCTTCATCCCACAAATAAGAGGGTTTCAAGCCGGCCAGTGGAATCCCAGCGCTTTGGGAGGCGAAGCAGGGGGATCGCTTGAACCCAGGTGTTTGAGATCAGCCTGGGCAACATAACAAGATCCTTTAACTATAAAATTAAAAAAACCAGTTTCAGAAGGGTGAAATGACTTGCCAGCCACAGTGTCCAAGCCCCATGGCACTACCCGCCCCCTACCTATCCCGCCTTCCTGTTTGTCACTTTTGTTCCAATGCAACTTATTTGGTCCTTTGAGAGTGTCCCAGACTTTTAAATGTAGGAGATGCTGGAGCTCTGTGGTGTACATAAATCTTTCTTTGAAGCCTGCTTCCACCAGGAAGGCCCCCTAGGATGAAAAGACTTAACAGTCCAAAATGTTATCAGCCCACTTTGGAGAGCCCTTTTCTGGGCCCCTACCCTAGTGGGGAAGCACACACAGACTGCCAGGCTGTCATTCATACGGAGTTCACCCTGGGAGGAGCAGACAGATTACTGTGTGTGGGGCAGGGCACTTCCCACACACTTGCGTGGGGTTTCGAGCGGGGACGGTGGCCAGGGGCCCTGTGTATACACATTTTTTTTGTTTGAGACAGGGTCTTGCTCTGTCTCCCAGGCTGGAATGCGGTGGCGTGATCACGGCTCACTGCACCCTTGATCTCAACAAGCAATCCTTTCATCTCAGCCCCTCAAGTAGCTGGGACCACAGGCACGTGCCACCAGGCGTGGCTCATTTTTTTTTTTATTTTTGTAGAGACAGGGATATCCCTATGTTGTCCAGGCTGATTTTTGAAATGTGCTCAAGCGATTCTCCCACCTTGGCCTCCCAAAGTGTTGGGATTACAGGCATGAGCCGCCGTGCCCGGCCAACGCATATGCTCTGTGCTGACAGATTTCTTCTGAGCTAACAGATGTTGTCCTTTGACCCATATTGACCCTGTTGGAACACCCTAAATATTATTTAGCTGTCTCTCACCAAAACATTACAAGTTAGGCAGTTAGAGCTGTTTTTCAGATTTACCTGGCTGTTATGTCTTTTTTTTTTTTTCTTTTTTTGAGATGGAGTCTTGCTCTGTCACCCAGGCTGGAGTGCAGTGGCGTGATCTTGGCTCACAGCAACTTCTGCCTCCCGGGTTCAAGTGATTCTCCTGCCTCAGCCTCCGGAGCAGCTGGGATTACAGACACCCACCACCACGCCCAGCTAATTTTTGTATTTTTAGTAGAGGCAGGGTTTCACCGTGTTGGCCAGGCTGGTCTCGAACTCCTGACCTCAGGTGATCTACCTGCCTCGGCCTCCCAAAGTGCTGGGATTACAGGTGTGAGCCATCACACCTGGCCCATCCTGAATTTTCATCTGCTAAACGTAGCAACCCTAAGGACTGGTGACTTCCCAGCGTTGGGGCAGCTGCAGCTCTTCCCAGCTCCACTCTGAAGAGCTGGGGACCAGCCTGCCTTCCGGTCTCACCAGGAGCAAGGGAGATGCCAAGCTCCTTGGATGCTTCTCTGAGGAGACTGCGAATCCACAATAAAGGAAGCGTCCTTGGTAATGGGGAGATTTACCATCTGAAGGGCACCCCTCCCACTCGTAGGGGTGATTAGTTCCTAAGCACTTTTCTTGCAAGTGCTCTGTTTGTTCAGGGACACAGGAGGAGGCCCCCATCAATTCTTTCTCGTTCCCACCGCCCCCTGTCCCCCAGAGATTGAGAGTCAGGAGGTGATCTTCCCTCTCGCTTCCATTACTTTAGCACCTGAGTTACTGAGCCATTATCCCTTTAAGAGTTCTTTATTCGACCTCAGGCAACAAAATCCAAGGAGCTGCAGAAGCGCTTCCCTCTGCTCCGGGGCAGTACCTGCCCACTGGACTCGCCATTCATTTAGCTCTTTTATGGGCTGCCTCTGTGGCTCATGGCTAAACAACCTTGGGTGAGACCTTAAACTCCCCGAGATTTATTTTCCTAATCTGTAAAATAAGGTGGTTGAAATAGGTGCTCTCTAAGGTCCCTCATTTTCTGTGATTTCTTGCAGCCAATCTGGAGACAAAGCCCCCCATCCCAACATAATAGAGTTAAAAGGCCATGGCCCAGCCCAAGGGGCCATCAACTTTCTCCAGCTCACCTCCCCAAACCTTCACCCACCTCATCATGCAAAGCCAGCAACTCAGGAGGTGGGAAATTGACAAAGTTAATAGAAGACAGGAAAGGACAGAGTTGGGTTGAGATTCCCTCATTCAATGAGCAACGTGCATGAGGAATTGATTTCCCCCACCTCCTGTTTACTATGGTTTTTTTCCCCCTCTGGTGCAGGGAAGAAAGGCTTTGCATCAAGATGAGTCCTTCCACAGTGAGACTGCAACTTACCCAACATGTTTATTATTTCGGGAGCCCGAACACCTGTCGCAATAACTTGATTCCCTTGCCCTTGCTTTTCTTTGGCTTGTTTCTTTTTTCCTGTAGACAAACAGTTTCAGAGGAAGATCAATTCCTCCTCAGTTGTAGGTTCAGGGTTCTGTGGAGGTCTCGGGGAGGGGCCAAGGTCTCAGCAGGCCTGCTGTGGTGGGAAAGCTGCTGGTGCCTCTGTCTCTCCAGAGGGGCACTTTATTGACCGAGGACGTGAGCCTCCCAGCCAGGAGTCCAAATGGCTGAGGAGCCCCAGCGACACCTTTGCAGGCTGGGGTACCAGCAGCTCCTGCTCATGCCTTGGTCTCTGAGTAATCAAGATGGCTGGTGTGGGGGAAGGGAGAGCAGGTGGCTCTGATAAGGATGAAACAAAATGAATGTGTTTTCAAAGTTTCCCCCAGGCCCCAGCAGGATTCTGCAAAATTGTAATCCTATTTTGTAAATGGAATTGCCTTCTCTTTTTTAACCCATTGGAGATGCAAAGCCAGCTGCTCTCTCTCTGTCTTAATGCAACCGGTGAGAGTGGGGAGGCTAAGCTGTCGATTAGTCCCGGCACGTGGATGAGGTAAGGGAGCTACAGCGCGGTGAGGGCCCCAGAAACCTGTGCTGTTTGTCTCTGAAGCTTGGACGAGTCGATGCCCAAACCAGTGGTCAGTTCATACAATTCGGAATTAGACTTGGCAGACCCAGTGGGACACTGTGAGGCAGAGAGAACTGGTGGCTTCTCTGAATCTGTTCTGAGTCTTTTCTGACCAAGGGTCTGGGCTGATGTTCTTGGGACAGAGACTGGGGCCACCCACAACTGTTGCATTTCCAAAGGTGACAAGGGGACCTCAGCCAAACACCTGGCAGCAGAGCCTTAGCATGGGGACTGGACCTTACCCCAGGCACTGGAGCTGCTGGATGATGTGAAGGCTGGGCACAGTGGCTCACACCTCTAATCTCAGCCCTTTGGGAAGCTGAGACAGGCGGATAACTTGAGAACAGGAGTTTGAGTCCAGCCTGGGCAACATGGGAAAACCCTATCTCTACAAAAAATTAAAAAAAAAAAAAAAAAAAAAAGCTGGGCCTGGTGGCACGCACCTGTAGTCTCAGCTACTAGGGAGGCTGAGGTGGGAGGATCATTTGAGCCCAGGAGTTCAAGACCAGCCTGGGAACATGGCTAAACCCTGTCTCTACAAAAAATACAAGAATTAGCCAGGTGTGGTGGTGCATGCCTGTGGTCCTAGCTACCCGGGAGGCGGAGGCAGGAGGATCGCTGGAGCCCAGAAGGTCAAGGGTGCAGTGAGCTGTGATTGCACCACTGCACTCCAGCCTTGGTGACAGAGTTGGACCCTGTCTCAAAAAAGATGTTAAACCGGGCACAGCGTGATGGCATGTGTGTCTTAGATGCCTTTGCTGGCCAACTGGAGGTGGGGGTGGGTGGCTGGGACTGCAGGAAGGAAGACCAGGTGGCAGCGCTGTGGGAACCCAGCTCAGAGTGATGATGGTGGCCTTGGCCAGCGTCGCCCAAGAGCAGAGCATGAGCTCTAGGCCCGTTAAGGATGGTGGGTCATGGCTGGGTGGTGTCTGCTTGGGCACTGGGTGGGTGACAGTGTCATCCACGATGGTAGGGAGTGCAGAGGAGGAGTCCGTTTGGTGAGTGGAATTTGTGACGTCCCGCATTTGAGGTCCCTGGAACTCAGCGGCAAGGTCTGGACACGTGTCGTCGCGGGCACAGAAGGTGCGGCACGAAGACCAGCTCTTATCCAGAGGCAGAGGAAGAGGACCATCAAATTGGAGCAATTTTGATGACACATTCATTAAAATTTGTTGAATTGTACACTTAAAGTGGTGAATATTATGATGTTTAAGTTATACCTCATTAAGGTTGCTTTTTTTTTTTTCTTTCAAAGAAAGACAACGAGGAGGGAGCAGCTAGAGGGGTGGAAATGGGATCACGTGACCTTGCGAGAAGCAGGGAGAGAGAACACTGCGTCTGCTCCCTTTTAGAACAGGTGAGTGGGGTCAAAGGGCTGGAAGGTTCTGTTCTACCCAGCAGCTGGCAGCTGCCATGACCCCTGGCCAGGCAGTCTCAGGGAGGAGGTGAGAGCAGGAACTTGATCACGGTAGACTTGGGAGGCTTGGCAGGGGGTCAGATTGGGTCTCCTTCGGGATTCTTAAGTCATTTCCTAGACCTTTGCCATCTCCTGCCCTCAAAGATTGAGCTCAGGAAAGCAGAGTGAATTACTGGTGTTCAATAATTCACCAATAATTAGGGATACCACTGGCTGGAGTTTGGGGACTCTTAGGACTAATTGTGACGAGCAGTACCAGGTGTCAAAAGCTATTTATTTTTTAATTGTAATTTTTAGTTGTGGAGTACATGGGCAGGATGTGCAGGTTTGTTATGTAGGTAAATGTGTGCCATGGTGGTTTGCTGCACCTGTCAACCCACCACCTAGATATTAAGCCCAGCATGCATTGGCTATTTTCTTTTTAGCTATGTTTCCTAATGCTCTCTCTTTCCCCATCCCAACTCCCAACAGGCCCCCCCCCCCCCCGCCCATGTCCATGTGTTCTCATTGTTCAGCTTCCACTTGTGAGAACATGCGGTATTTGGTTTTCTGCTCCTACATTCGTTTGCTGAGAATAACAGCTTCCAGCTTCATCCATGTCCCTGCAAAGGACATGATCTCATTCCTTTTTATGACTGCATAGTATTCCATGGTGTATACGTACCCCATTTGTCAAAAGCTATTAAAAAAAAAAAACGTAATTCATAGGACAAGGGTTGTCATTGCACAGAGAGGGGGATGACTTGTTAGTGGGCCAGGTGCGCACCCTGGCTTGTCCCTCATCTCCAACCGGTGCCCTGACAGCCCTGCGTGATCAGGCAGGAAAAGAAGGGCTGGGGACAGCTGGAGCTTTCTCTGGGGGCTGCTGTTGTGGGGAGGAGGTGCCACTGCGTGGCTTAAATAGGTGCTGGGGGACAGTATTCACAGGCTGTCCTCTCAGGCATCTCTTCCTTCCCCTTTCCATTCTTCGAGGCTCCAAAGTCTTTTCTGAACTTCTTCAGTGAGTCAAGGCTGGGTATAATCTACAGCTGGAATGAGGTCTTTTCTGGGAAGCCACAGGGTGTGGGGCTGAGTGAGGAACAGAGCACCTGCCTGGCTTCCAGAAGAGACTTTGCCCAAGACCAAAAGCGACCTGGGGCTCCATGGAGCTTGAGGTGAGGTAGCCCAATTTCCCAAAGGTCATTTTCCTGAAATCCAGTGCACCCCATGGCCAGTCCTCCAAAGGGTCCATTTGCTGAATTTACTTGCTGCCTTCAACTCTTCATTTTTGTTGACTGGTTTTCATTTTGTCTTCATAACAGCATTTTAAGGGATTGACCTACAGCTGATAAGAGGTGCTTTAGGTTGTTAGGCCCGGAGGCTGACACAGGCTATTTCATGTAATGGGGTTTATGGACAGACAAGGCAATACGAAGACAGAAACCTCATGGGGATCTGGGAGCAGCCAGACTGTCAGGAAAGAACAGGAAGAGAAATGCAGCCAGCATCCTGGAGACTGGGATGAAGGTCATTTGGGATCATGGCAGCTCCAGGAGCCAGGTGTCCTTGCCACCCAACAGCTAGGCTGCATCCTGGTCCTTACCGATGAGTGAACACATCTGTGGCAGCTTGACCAGGTGGCTGTTGGGTTGCGTGCAACACGAGGGCAGGAACTCTGTCCCATTCCTTACTGTGTCCCCAGTGCCTGGCATGCAGCAGGTGCTCCAGGATGTTGGCGTACATGAAACTTGCCACTTCCTCTCTTGGGCTCTTCCCCTGTATTCTGAGGTTAGTTCCGATTCACATCTGCCTGTCAGGGCAACAGCACTTACATTCTTCTGCAAAGCCTCCTTGCATCCCAGGAAGTGGACAGGTGGGGACAGCCACAGTCATCCTGGAGGCTCCTGCTTCCTCTCCACCAAGCCCAAGCCCCTAGAGTTTCCTGGGCAGACCCAGGATGCCAGGACGCTGTGGAAAAGTACTCCATCCCCGCTACCACCCCTGGGCCCCTGCCCCCGGGGTAGTCTGTCTGCAGCAGCCCTGCTGGGTTTAAGTTCTTTTTCTGAGAAATAGAGGTGGCTTTGCCCCTCAGGAGGCTGGTACCTTTGGAGCCCTGATGCCCTCTACCCACCAGCCACTAGATAATGGGAAATCATTTCTGGTGGGAGGAAGCAGCATGGGGCCTTCTGTGCATTGGAGTTGTTGCTGCGTAACTGCAGCAAAGGGAAATGTAGGGCAGTAACCCTTCTGGCTCGCCACTCATGCTGTTGAGAGCAGCATCAACCAGAAAATACCCGCTAATGGCCTTCACCCAATCTCCTTCTAGATAATGATAAATTATGTGTATTTTTAGTTTGGAATTGAATTTCATCTCTCCATTGCTGGTGTTTTTCAGGTGTCTTTTTTCCTTCTCCCTCAGGGTTGGAAAACTAGACGTTTGTGCATTTACTGTGTGCATTTATTCCTGGCCAAAAATTGACATATGGACTCATTAATTCCTTTACACTTGTTCTCACCACCCCTCAAACACACATCTGGCTGGACCAGGAAGGGAGCTGTATCTAAGAGGGCTCTTCTGAAGGCATCCTGCAGACCTGGGGAACAGGTGTGTCCTGGAAGCAGGAGACTGGCCCCTCTCAGTGACCATTGGTTCCCACACTTGTGTGTGCCCCCAAGTTCCCAAGTCAGTAGGTTGGGATAGAACGCAAGAAGGTGCATTTCTAAGGAGCTCCTAGGTGATATTGAGGCTGCCAGGTCAGGGGACTGCACTCTGAGAACCAGTGGCCTAAATCCTTCCTCCTGAAAGTGTGGTCCTAGAACCAGCAGCATCAGTATCACTGGGGAGCTTGTTATAGATGAAGACTCTGGGCCCTCACCCCAGTCTAATAAAAGTTTTCATTTTAACACAATCCCAGGTGATTTGAATGAATATTAGTTTCAGAAACACTGGCCTAAACGATTTCTCAAAACTCAGCCCAGTGGCCTCGACCTTGGCTGAAAGATTAGAATCGTAGGGAGATTTTAACATTTCTGTAAGCCCAGGCTGCACCCCAGACCAGTTAAGCCAGCATTTCTGGGGCTGAAGCGCAGGTATCTGTTTTTAAAAAGCTTCCTAAGTGATTCCATGTGCGGTGACATCTGAGAACCACTGTTCAGGCTGGAGGAATCAAATCAGAAACATACCTCACCCAACCCTGACCTTGAACGGAGAAGGGCAGAGTTCTTCCATGGCCACTCATCCATACCCGGTTTTTGGCCCAGAGAGAGTTCAGCCTTGCTTGACCCCAGTGGTTGCCCATCTTTCCAGTGTGCCTTGCATGGGTTTTGGGAGCCCAGTGGCTGCAGCAGAGCATCCTTCTCTCTGATTTCAGTTTAGCCAACTGCGGCAGGTGGGGAGTGGGAGAAACAGCCAGGATTGGCCAAGCCAGCCTTTGCTCACCTCATTGGCCTAATTAGAGCAGGGCTCATGTACAGTTCTGGAATTTCACTACATAAGTCCTTTTGAATTAAATCTGGAATGTCAAATACCGAGTGAACCTACTAGGACTCTCCCCATCCTGTGTCCATGGCAGACATCACCAATTGATCAGCGTACTCTTTCTCATTGAGCCCAGAGGTGGCTTCAGAAGACTTTCCTAGTCTTCCCGGGGTGCTCTAGGCAGCCGGGGCCAGCTAGACCGGGCATGGGAGATGGAAGTTACTTGCCTTCCCAGGTCGAAAACATCAGCCCCTGTCACAGGAAGACACACCTGGGGCGAGAGTATCAAGTTCTTGTTGAGTGATTCATACTCTAGTAATACACACTCTAGTATGAATTACTTACCTGTTCCTTTCCAGGGTTAACCTAGAGCAGGTTTCTAAGTGGGCAGGAAGGAGGTGGTAGGGAGAGGTCTGAAAGGTGAGATGCTGTCCTGGGAGGCAGGGCTGGGGAAGCTCAAGTCAGCACCGGGTTTTGGGGGAAAAGAGGATCCCTTCTTCTTTGTCTTCTCCTCCTCTTGCCTCCAGTGCTAGAAGGTTTTGGCTGAGAAGACCCAAGGGTGAAATTCTCTTATCCCCTTCTCTGTACTTGAGGCTGGGGCTCAGTCTGACAATTTGGGGAAGGCTCTTTCCTCTTCTGTCATGCATTTCATTGTGGCCAGTTCTCAGACTCAGCCAGGATGGTATGGATGTGCAGAAAACAAGCGGGGTTGGTGGGGTGGAGATCCCCGTGCAGAGCCTGGCGTCCTGGGCCGGAAGCACCCTGGGGACTGTCGAGTGGATGACAGCCGGACACTGCGAGGCCAGCTAGAGGCACTATTCTATCCAGCTGCGGGGTGAGGTGAGGAGTGTGTGGAGGAGGAAGGACCGGCAGGGCCCCTCCTCCAATCCTGATCTTAACTCCTCCCGAGTGGACCTGAGGAAAAGGAAATGACATGAGAAGAAAGCAAAGAACAGATACTGGAGTGTGTCCTCCAGAGCAGCGGGAGCCTGCTCAGTAGAGTAGTGTGGCAAGCAGGTAGAACACAGCACCTGAGCTTACAGGCAGGAGAGGATATGACTTTCAGGAGGAGAAGGAAAGAAGAAAATAAAGGAGATGAGCATGAAGAGGCTTCTCCTCCAGGGCTGTGCGTTTATTCATCCACGAATGCAATACTTCTTATCAAACACCTACTCCACAAAAGGCTGGAAGCTGCTTAGCCCTTTCCCGTGTGGAGGAGTCCACTCTGTAGGAGAGGAGTGGCTTGCAGGTCATCTTGGTGCCATAGAGCTTGGGGGCAGAGGAGGTCTCACCAGCTCGAAACACAAGAGGCACTTGTAGCCTGGGAGGATGATGGAGACCCTCAGGAGACTGGTTCAGCCAAGAGCTTGGTCTTCAGAAAAGTGACAAAGCCTGGTCCCTACTTGCCCCAGTGCAGATGGAAGGCAGCCAGTTGGATGTGTGCTCAGTAGCAGACCCTCAAGGTCAAAGGATGCTAAACTAATGGAGCTTGGAACGTCCTCCAAATAGTCTGCCAAGTCACGGGGAGCTGCAGAGGAAGGGAGGTTAGGCACAAGCAGCCCTAATTGCATTTCATGACCTGATATTCATGCCGCAGAGGATGCTGGCCACTGCTGGCTGCCTGCTTCACTTCTCACCCCTTCATTCCCCTCCCCTGCCAGGCAGGCCTAGCAAGCTCTGAACTGCCCCTTTGCAGCTGGGGAGATCAAACGGAGAAGTGGACCCTGACCTCTTTGTCTAAGAGCCTTCCTTCCTTCCTTCCATATTCTATTCGTGGGCTTTGGGGAAGAGGTTGGCAGTCTCAGGCTCCATGAGTGTCCCCTGCAAGAGTGAAGGGCAGCAGCATGAAAAGGCTGGGCTGTGGGTCTTTGAGAAATGGTCGGAAGGAATTTAGGTGGGTGAAGAAGAGCCTCGCCTGTCTTCCTGGTTTTGTCCCTGGCATCTGAAAGGTACCCCCAGCTTTTCTGGCAGTTAAGAGTAGGAACGAAGTGTGGGATTGTTTTGTTTCATTGTGTGGCTGTGCAAGTGGAGCTTTGGATCTCTATGAGCAGTTTGACAGTGTATACATGTGTGCATGCATGTTTGTGTATGTATATATGTGCATGTGTATATGTGCACATGTGTAAGTGCATACATGCCTGTGCGTGTGTGTGTTCTGGAATACCTGTTTATCTGCCGTACTTGAGAATGTGTGTTGGGGTGAAGCTCTCTGCACGGACCAGGTCCTATGAATCTGTAACAGAGGAGAGGTCACCTCCGGAAGTAGAAATAGGCTACAGTCCTCATGGGAGGGGACATATTTAGAAGCTGGAGTTATTTTTCCATCCCTTAGGTGTGGAGCTCAGTGTTGCCCTGCACGGCCCCACTGAATGACCCTTTCCCTGAGAAGAAACTGACACCAGGAGAGGCTGCCATAAACTGAGGATGGGTTTAGTGAGGTGGTCCCGCTAAGAGGTGAGGCAGGGGGCTTGATGACCTCTGATGAGCCCCAGCTCACATGGACAGCCCCATCCATGTCCTGGACCTCTGCAGCCTGGCCCAGGCTCCCCTCATGTCCTAGCACCATCCTAGCCCCAGCACTCATGGACGGAGGCTTTGCTGACTTTCAGTGACCTTGACTCCTCACCCTCCCCACTTACATAGAGAGGCTTCTGCACTGCATGGTCTGTCTTTGCCACTCCAGAGCCAGCCTTTAAAATGACCTGCTTCATCTCTGCCGTGATGGGAGTCTGAGGGGTTGAGAAGCGATACCTTCCATTTCTACTTTTGATGACAGTGCCAAATGCGGTGACGCGCCCACCTCTCCCCGTACCCCACCCTATTTCATCCCTCAGAGTCCCCAGAAGCCCCTTCTCCCTCCTGCTCCCAGGGCTCCTGCCTGCCCTTCCCTGGCTGCCAGCAAAGCCCATCCTGCCTGGATGGATGGACCTGTTTGCTGGGGAGAGTATTTATTTCAAGAGGCATTTCACCTCGGCTTGGATGTGCTTGGCTTATTACCCATAAATATCAACTAACAGAAAAGGGATGGTGTCTGAAAGGAGAAGTGGATGTTTTGGAGGGAGACCAAGAGCAGACAGATTCCCAGGGGAATGAGGGAACCGTTCACGTGGCCTCTTCAGTGCCATCCAAAGGGACCCCGGATGTGCCCTGCCACTGAGCCAGGCCTGGCTGTAGCAGTGGGTCCACTACACAAGACCTGTGCCCTCCAGGACCTGGGTCTCTTGGAGCTAGATCCTAAGCCAAAATCCAGCCGGGGGCAATGGGACAGGCTAGGGGGTATGCGGAGGGCCTGGTTAGGAACCAGGGTTGAGGGACTGTGGCTTGCAGGGGTTTCATGGCAGAGACGACTGTTGGAAAGGTCTTGTTGATTGAGCGGAGGAGGGGAAGGGCATTCCAGGAGGGAGAAGAGCAAAGGCATAGGGGCCCACTGAGGAGGGCCAGGAGGCCTGCAGGGGGAAGGAAGGGTGGATGAAGAGCCGAGCATAGGGAGGGGGTAGAAAATGCCCACAGGCAGTGAAAGGCTTTGATGTCTGGGTTTCCAAACCACGCAGGGGAGTTAAAGTGGCTTTCCTTTTTGGACTCTGGGGAGTGAGCTTTGAGGGTGGTAATGATCCGAGGTTCCCTGCCTCAGCCAGGACAGATCATGCAGCTGACAAGGCAGACCCTGCCCAGGGATCGCTCTCCTCTGATTTCACGTGGGAGTCCACCATCTCCCAGCTGTGATCTCTGCAGGAGGGAAATGGAGTCGACCTCGTCGACCTGTCCCTGAGTGGGCAGCTCTGTGCTGGGTGCCATTTGATCTCTCCTGGTGTCCCCTGGGTGGCCCTCGAGGCAGGCATGTTGACTTCCACCAAGCAGGTGGAGAGAAGGACTCAGAGAGGGTGCAGAGATGGTCTGGGGGTGCACAGTTGCAACCACAGTCTAGGAATTCTCAGGCAGGGCGACGGGACAGGGACACCTTCATTGAGGATGTGCTTTTGGCTGCCAGGCAGTTTAGAGACACCTTCTTCTCTCTCCTTGCTTTCCCTGGGCATTTTCTCTGGAGGCCTTAGAAACAAGACAGAATCTTTCCCACTGGGATGCTCAGGCTAAGGTGATCCTGCCTGGAGGGGAGTGGAGGGGACAGTGTGAGACTTTCCCAGCCAGGAGGGAGATGCAGCCAGGTGGCCCCGTGTCCCCTGTGGAGCCAGGGGAGCAAACCCACAATGTGCTCTCAGTAAGGCCTGTGTGGAGGCAGTGGGGGGTACCATCTGGACCTTCAAAGAGACTACGTGACGGAGGAGTGTGTGTGTGAGAGTATGTAAGAGCATATGTGAGAAAGCGTGTGAACGTGAGCACGTGTGTGTGTGCAAATGTGTGTGAGCGTATGTGTGAGTGGGACCATATGTGAGTGCGTGTGTGTGTGTGAGCAAGTGTGTGAATGTGTGTGAATGTGAGACAACATCTGAGTATGTGTGAGACTGAGTCAGAGTGTGGGTGAGAGCATACGTGACTGAATGTGTGTGTGTGAATGTGCATGTGTGAGTGAATGTGTGAAAGTGAATGAAAGTGGTCTGAGTGAGTGCGTGTGAGAATGAATGTGTCTGAGTGTTAGTATGTGTGGGTGAATTGTGAAAGTGTTGCATGTGTAAGTGTGCATCTGCATGAATGTGTCTGTAAATTGTGTGTGTCAGTGTGAGTGCATCTGTTTGAATAGGCGCCCATGTGTCTGTATCTGAAGGAATAAGCACGTGTATGAGTGTGTCTGGTGAGCATGAGAGTGTGTGAGTGCGTCTGTGTATGTCAGTGTGTTGATTGTGTGCAAATATGTCTACAAGTGTGAGTGCGTTTGTGAGGGTATGGTGTGTCAGTGTGTGTGTGTATGCATTTCTGTGTGTGTCAGGGTATGTCTGGTGGGTATGAGGGTATGCGAGTGTGCATCTGTGTGGATGTGCGTGAGTGTGTGTGTGTGTATCCGGAGGCTGAACCTCACCAAGCATCATCCTCTGAGGGCCAGGGTGAGCTGCCCTCAGCCAGTCCTGCCTGGACCCCTCCACACACTGAAGGCAGAGCCGCCCGACTCATGGGTCAGCAGGTGTGAGGGAGGGAATCCCACAATGACTGTCAGCCCACGAGGACTTTCCCAGGGGGAGGTGAGCGGCCCCTCCTCTTTGCTCCAAGATCCTCCTTCACCACCCTCCCACTCCCCTGATGCATCCCAGGGCTGACCCTAGACCCCAGTAGAGGTTGCTATTAAGGCCCTTCACTCTTCTTGAGCCCCTAGGGACAGGCATGGAACCCACGCCTGACAAATCACAGGGCCTATCCCTCGTACAAAAGTAATCAGTCCGAGGGGGGTGGGGGGCATGAGAGCAGGGCCAATCAGAGTCCTTCCTTTGAGATTGGGCCATGGATCCTACCAGCAGGAACTTTTCTCGGGGGATGCGGGAGTGGGAAGGTGTGAATGTGAGGTGTCTGGTGGCCGTCTTCATCAGTGCGGAAGAGAGCCTGTCTGCGACCAGAGACAAGCACAGATGAAAACTGGGTAGGGGTGTGTGGGAGAGGCGACAGATGGATGGACTCATGGATGGAGTTGTAGACAGAATTGGTCCCAAAGTCCTGGTCCCCACAGTCTTTTCTTTAATTCTGTGAGCTGTCCCAGAATCCTCTTAGCTGCAAGAGCCAATAAATCCCTGTTTTGCTTAAGCTAGTTGAGTTCAGTTTCTGTCACTTGCAAATTCCAGAGTTCTGAGTGATTTATCGGTCTCCACGGGGCTGTGCCCAGCCCCACTGTGCAGCCTTATCTCTTGACTATGGGGGTGGCATTATATGCATCGGCTCTTTTCTCCTTCCTCTGCAAAATGAGAGTCAGATGTCCCCTTTCAAGCGTCTCTGTCCCTCTCCCTTCCCCTACTTGGTTGCTGATACGGTACATGGTCTCCAGTCTTCTCCCTGCTGCAGAAATACAGTAGCATACTTAGAGAAGTTTCCAAACGCCTGGGCTGGAAAAACGTTGAGAAACCCTGAGTGAAGACATAACTCAGGTTCTCCTGGGCACTCTGACATTGAGGACCAAGGGAGCAGGACTGAGACGGACGGGAATGAGGCCTCCTGGACCATGGTGTTCTGTTATCGTTTGTTTTTGTGGAGATGGGGTCTTACTACATTGTCCAGGCTGTTCTTGAATTCCCAGCCTCAAGCAATCCTCCCTCCTTGGCCTCCCAAAGTGCCGGGGTTACAGCCATTGCGCCCGGCCCCAGTGCTCTGCTTTTCTTGACATGGAAGCTACTTCATTCACAACATCCCTTCCTTCACTCTCCTTGTTTATATTCAATGACATGAATATTTATTATTAGGCTTCAGCCAGTTTATTGACTTTATTTTTTTCTAAAATGGAAATATCTGGGATTTTCCACCTCCTTCTAACAGTAATTCACAGTCATGATAATAATAGTGAAATAAAACCAAGTTACAAAAAGTGGAAAATTTCCTGACTTCAGTGCTGGCCTGTGCTGTAATTAATGCTACCTGTGTTCCCTACAAGGTCTATCTTGAGTTTGGTTTCTCACATGAGTCCTTCCCAGCAAACTCGTGTACATCTCTCCCCTTCTGGTCACTTGGCCCCTCTGGTAATCCTGGCCTCTTTTGTCCCCAGACCACGTTCTAGAATTGTAGAATCCTGGCAAGAAAAAGGCAGCTCGTCCAGCCTTCTGTCCAGTGGAACAGCCCCAGCCAGAGCAACTGACAGATGGTGAGCCGCTGATGTCTGCACACGGCTGAGCCAGGCAGCTCACTACTTTCTGTGGCAGCACTTCTACCATGGGGCAGCTCTAATTGCCAGAAAGTTCTTCCCTTTATTTAGCTGAAATCTGGCACCAGGATGCCCTTGGTTGAAGGCCTGTCCTCTGGAACACCACAAAGTCAATCTGTTATTCTTCCACATGACAGTTTTCACACCGTTGAAGACAGAATATCCCTTGTGGATTTGCTGTTAAACACCCTGATTTCTGAAAAAACACATCAGAGGAAGAACAGCGCGAGTGCCCTCACTGACCTGGTTTTCTCCTGGTCATGCTCTCTGTCTTAGTCCGTTTTGTGTTGCTATCACAGAATACCACAGATGGGTAATTGAGAAAGAAAATAATTTTATTTCTTACAGTTCTGGAGGCTGGCGAGTCCAAGGTCATGGGGCCCGCATCTAGTGAGAGCATCTAAGCTGCATCATCCCATGGCAGAAGGTGAAAAGGCAAGAGAGTGTGAGGAAGGAAGAGGGCAAGCGGGGGTCGAATTCACTTTTATAACAAGTCCACTCTCACAATAACTAACCTTTTCCTGGGATAATAACATTAATCCATTCATGAGGGCAGAGCCCTTATGACCTAATCCATTCTTAAATGTCCCACCTCCCAACCCTGTTGCATTGGGGACTAAGATTCAAACACATAAACTTTGGGGGACACATTAAAACCATAGCACCCTTTAGTATTCATCTTAAAGTGTGATACCTGGCCAGAGCAAAATTTTCCAGGGGAGTTAGACTCCAGGAATCAGCCAATGAGATGTGGTGATCCCATGCTGCAAACTTGGCACTGTGTGTGCAACAGAATCACTGGTAGCATTACACAAATACCTGGGTCTTATCCCCAGAGATTCTGCATCAGTAAGTCTGGGGTTAAGCCCAGGAATGTGTACTTTAAAGGAGAGCTTCACAGCCCTTTCCATCCAATGGTCGTTTTTCTGCAGGAAAATGGAGATGTGCAGATAAGATGCACTGGGCATGGCACTGTGAAGCCAACATATTAGTCAGGACTCACTTATTTGCAAGTGATAGATATCCAACTTAATCGGCTCAAGCAAATGGGGAATGTATTAGTCCAGGAGCTTTGAGGGATTCTGGGACAGCAGTAGGAACCTGCCTTCAGGGATGAGACTGAGGATGAAAAACTGTTGCTCCTCTGCCTGCTATCTTGTTTGGCTTCATTCTGGGAAATAATCTCTCTGTGTGGTGAGAAACATGGCCACAAGTAGCCCTAATTCATATTTTCCAAGCTTATCAACCTCAATTGGAAAGTAAATTTTGTCTTTTAGTGTATTTAAGTTAATTCTAGGGAAGGATTTTTATTGGACCAACTTGAGTCTTTTAACTGACCACTGTGTCATGTAGATGGAATGTTTTTTATTGGATCATGGACTTACCACTTCCCTAGATTGGAGAAGGCTCAGTATTGGGTGAGGGAGAATGAACCATCAGGAAAATGATGCTGGGCACATGCCCGCTATAGTCAACCTACACAAAGGGCTGGCTAGATTTTTCTCAGGGAAAGAAAGCTTTATTGCAACTTTTAGATGGAGGCAACATTTTTCTAGTAATAACCAGATTTTTAAAAGCCTTTAAGGTCACCAGATTAGGATGATGCTACTGGGATGAAAATAAGAAGAAATGTTGGTTCAAATGCTAGTTCAGTCATTTATGAAACTTGATTTATGCCAGCAGAGACTGGTGATCACATCTGTCTTGAATTAATCTCTACTTGTTTCACTGGCACAAACCTTGTCTCATCAGTCAGACTGAAAACAGCTCAAAGCCTGGAATTACAAGATACACAATTTTTATGTTTCTTCTTATACTCAGGTCCAGTATGTTGCTGGTTACCCAGTGAGTAGAATGCACATAATGTATTTCACCTCTTTAATGGACACAGCTTTATGTCTGCCTCTAGTTTGTATTCCCTCCCATGAAAGGCCTAGGTCTGCTATGGTTTGTGTGCCTCAAAATTCATGCATTAGAAACATAATCCCCAATGTGAAACTGTTGAGAAACAGGACGTTTAAGAGGTAATTAGGTCATGAAGGCTCTGCTCTCATGAATGAATTAATGGCATTATCACAAGAGTGGGATGCTGATTAAAAAAGGGTACGTTTGTCTCTGTTTCTCTCTTGGTTTTGCTCATGTGCGCTCTCTTGCTCTACCACCAACTACCATGGAATGATAACAGCAAGAAGGTCCTCACAAGATGCCGGCATCATGCTCTTAAACTTTTTGGCCTCCAGAATCATGAGTCAAATAAACTTCTATTGTTTATAAATTTCCCAGGCTGTTGTTTTCTGTTGTAGCAACACAAAATGGACTAAGACAGGAAATTGGTACTGAGAAGTGGGACTATTTTTTATAACAAATACTTGAAACTATGGAAGCAGATTTGGAACTGGGTAATGAGTAGAGGCTGGAAGCATCTAGAGAAGCCGGTTAGAAAAAGTCTAGATTGCCACGAATGGAGTAGTAAAGAGTGATTCTGCAGAGGGCTCAGAAAAAGAGAAGAAATGTAGGTAAAGTCTGAAACTTCTTAGAGATTACTTAAGTGGTTGTGATCTGAATGTTGGTAGACATATGGATGGTAGAGGCCATTCTGATGAAGTCTGAGATGGAAATGGGGAAGAAGGTATTGGGAACTGGAGTAAAAGCTATCCTTGTTATAAAGTTGCATAGAACTTGGCTGAATTATGTCCATGCCTGAGGGCCTTATGGAAGGCAAAAATTAAGAGTGGTGAACCAGGATATGTGGCAGAAGAAATTTTTAAGCAAAATAGTGAAGAAGCTGTCTACTTTTAATCATATACATTAAGGAAATAAATGATTTGAAGATGGAATTTATAATTAGCAGAAAAGAGAAGAAGAATGAAAAGATCTTAAAAATTTTCAGCCTGACCATGTGAAGAATGAAAAAACATGTTTAGGAGAGCAAACTAAGGATGTGGTTAAGTGACCATTCGCTAAGAAGGTCAGTACTGATAGGAATCAACAAGACAATGGGAGAGTGAACCTACTGTGGTTTGAATGTCTCCTCCAAAAGTCACATTGAAATTTAATCATCAATGTGACAGTATCGGGTGGCAGGAACTTTAAGAGGTAATTAGGTAATTAAGAGGTCTTTTTCCTCATGAATAGATTAATGCTATTATTGCAGGAGTGGTTTAGTTATTGCCAGAGCGGGCTCCTGATAAAGGGATAAGTTGTGCCCATTTCTTTCTGTCTTTTGTGCAAACTTCTGCATTCCACCTGTCTACCACAGGGTGGTCATTCCCTGATGCCAGCATCATGCTTTTGGACTTCCCAGCCTCCAGAACCAAATAAACTTCTTTTGTTTATAATTTACATAGTCTGTGGTGTTCTGTTACATTGGCAGAAAACAGACTAAAACAGACTCCAAATGCATTTCAGAGCTCTTTGAGGCTACTCCTCCCATTACAGGCTGAGAGCTCTAGCAGGGCAGAATGATTTTGAGGGATGATCCTGGGGTACCCTTCATGGGCTTGCTGCCCAGAGCCACGTTGGGCTTCTGTTCCCCACATTCAGGTGCAGAGCTCCTCAGCCACCCCAACCATGGCTCAAGTAGGCCCAGATGTGGCCTGACCCACTACAGAAGTTACAAGCTGTGAATCTTGGCAGCATTCACATGGTGCTGATTTTGCACATGTACAGAATATAAGAGCTATGGGGGCATGACTTTCTCTACCTAGATTTTAAAGGATGATGTGGACAGTCGAGGGCTGCAGCCACAGACTTGTCACCAGGGGCAGAGCCACCATAGAAAGCAGCCCCTACTAGGGCAATGCCAAGTGGAAATGTGAAGTCAGAGCTATGACGGAGTCCCCACTAGGGCAATGCCGAGTGGGGCCATTCCCAAGACCCCAGTACTATAGAGTAACTAGCTTGAGCTTGCAGCAACAGACTAAGAGAGCTGCTGGCGGCCAGGCATGGTGGCTCATGCTTGTGGTCGCAGCACTTTGGGAGGCCGAGGTGGGCAGATCACGAGGTCAGGAGTTCAAGACCAGCCTGACCAATATGGTGAAACCCCTCTCTACTAAAAATACAAAAATTAGCTGGGTGATGTGCACCTGTGGTCCCAGCTGCTCAGGAGGCTGAGGCAGAAGAATCACTTGAACCCTGGAGGCAGAGGTTGCAGTGAGCCGAGATTGCACCACTGCACTTGAGCCTGGGCAACAGAGCGAGACTCCATCTCAAAAAAAAAAAAAAAAAAAAGGCTGCTGGTCTGAGACTCCAGTCCATGAGATCTGCTGGGTGAACTGAGCCCAGTAAAACCATGGTTGTGGGGCCCAGTCTTTATCCTAGTGTTTCCAGAAGGCAGGGCATGGAGTCAAGAAAAGTTATTTGGAAGACTTAAGACTTAATGTTGTTTTCCCCATTGGGTTTTGGACTTACTTGGGGCTTATTACTCTTTTCATCTTGCCTATTTCTTCCTTTTGGAATGGGAGTGTCTCTTCTATACCTGTCCCACCATTGTATTTTGGAAGTAGATAACTTACATTGATTTCACAGCTCATAGCCGGAGGAAATTTGCTTTAGGATGAATCATGCCTTCCATCTCACCCACATCTACTTTAGGTGAGACTTTGGATTTTGGTCGTTTGAGCTGATGCTAGAATGAATTAAGACTTTGGAGACTATTAGAATGGGATGAATGTATTTTGCAGGGTGAAGATATAAATTTGGGGACCAGGAGTGGAATGTTATAATTTGAACACATCCCCCAAAATTCATGTATTGGAAGCACAATCCCCAATACAATTGTGTTGAGAGGTAGGACCTTTATGAGATGACTAGGTCATGAGGGCACTGCTCTTGTGAATAGGTTAATGGTATTATTGTGGGAGCGGGTTCCTGATAAAATGGATAGGTTAGGTTCCTTTCTCTCTTGCTCTTATTGGCACGTACTTTCTTGCCCTTCCCCTTTTGCCATGGGATGACATGGCAAGAAAGCCCTCATCAGATGATAGCACTATGCTCTTGGACTTCCCAACCTCCAGAACCATAAGCCAAATAAATTTCTATTGTTTATAAATTACCCAGTCTGTAGTATTCTGTTATAGCCACACAAAACAGACTAAGACAAGATCTAACATATTTTTGATATCATAGCTTCAAGTTAATACCGTACCTGAGGGTAAGAGAAATAGTTAGCTGACCAACAAAAATATGTTCCACATCCATGGTGTATCACCATTTCTGGAAAATAGCTGCTCAGTCATGGATTATATTTTCCAGCCCCTCTTGCATCTAGGTAGGTCCATATGATTAGTTCTCACCAGTGGAATTTGAATGGAAATGATGCATATTACTTCCAGGCCAAGGTGGTTGAGCATTGGGTGGGAGATTCTCCATGTTTTCTTTCTTTTCTCATCTTTCAGCTCAATATAGGGAATCCCTAACAGAGGACTTCCAGGATATCCTAGGGACAGCAGAGCCTCAAGATCCAGGGAGGATCCTGGATACCTGAGTCACCACTTGGAGGGGAATCTCCTGGAAGAACTGATTGATCAGCAACATCTACATTCAACTTGAGGTGAGTGAGAAATAAACCACTGAGCAGTTTTATTAAACCACCAAGATTTTTGGGCCAGTTGCTAGCTTTAATTACCCTAATTACTACAGTCAGTAGGCTCAGCTGGTGCTCAGTGTTGCTCCTACTCCCCCTTTCTGTGTCAAATTACCCCAGAGAACAATCAAACTTCTCATCTTAACCATTACCAAATCAGATTGTCTTGGTGATTTTAGCCTGTGCTGGGCTCTGTAAGAAGGGGGGTGCCATGTCTGGGTCTGGAACAGACTGCTCCATGGTTGATCATTTTTATTGTATTTATTAATTCTTTTGTCCATTCATTCACTTACTCCTTTATCAGTTCAGCCTAGTGTGCCGATTGAGCACTAGAGGTGGCATAGTTCTCTGCTGGTTTTTTTGCCCAGCTCTGTGGGCCAGTGGGCCACACTCCCCAACACAGGTGTGGCTGTGGCACCTCTCAACACACCTTTTCCAGTTTACAGTTGGACACCATGCAGGGTGTAGGGCAGTAAAACATCAGAAACCACACCAGTTATTTTAACAGAGAGAATTTAATAGAAGGAGTTGGAGTATTGGAGAACTGCAAAAGTTCTGTGATACTTATGAAGCAATCATAAAGGTAGCAACTGCAAGAAGCAGCCACCATCCCTAGGGCTGAGGGAACAAGGGAAGAGATTGGGATTATTGGAATTTAAAAGCTTGGTGGAGAGGCCACTAGGAGCTGGAACTCAGAGCTCTTCAGGGATGGGGCAGGTGCCAGTTGCTGCTGGGATCTCTGAGAGGGCACAATAAGGCACCTTCTGAAGTGTGGGACAAGCACATTGCAAACTAGGACCAACTACTGACAATAGAACCAGCTCCACCACCAGATTGAAGACCCATCACCAGAGAGGGACAGGAAGCAAAGGAAAGGAACAAGTCCTCCTCCCTCTTCTTGCCTGTCTCCCGAGTGCCCCCTACTGGCAGGAGCTAACTGGGTGCATCAGGCGAAGCACAACCATGGTTTGCAGAGTATGACTGGGAGGTTTGGAGGTAAGAGTCAGCAGTTTAAGAACCAGCACAGAAAGTTCTTAGCTTGGATCTCCTGATAGGTTTGCCGCGAGGGTCCTTCTTGGAGTCTGAGATCCTAGGAAACAGCTCTTGTCCACAGCCTCCCAGCCAGTCGCAGGGCTGACTTCTTGGTCACACACTGATACCTGAACCCTGGTTTCCAGGTCCTAGAGAGACTCATGTAGACAGACACCAGACTTCTCATGTGTGGTCTGTACTGTAGGCTCAGAAGGAGGAATTTTGCATCATTGGCTATTCAAGGTCAGCTGCAGATTGATGCTGGGGTGCAGGGGTAAGATCAGCCCTGTGGATCCTCCCCCTAAGAGGAGCAGCTGGAGGACTGCAGCTCCTCTTGGATTTTCCCAGGAAGGCAGCCATTACCTCTCAGTGTTCTGGCAAAGAGGACTGCAGTCCTTTCATTTATTGCCATGTGACCTTGAGCGAGTGAATTACCCTCTCCAAGTCTTGATTTCTTCCTCTGAAAAATCCCCTCCGAGGGTTGTTATGCAGATTAGGGCTAATGTATATAAAATACAGTGCCTGGCACATGGTAGATACTCCGTAAGTGGCAGGAATTGTTGTTATTTATCAGAGTGGGGGATGACAGAAGCAGCCTTTGCCCTTGAGGCCTGTGGGATGGCATCAATTCTCCGTGGTTGGTGAAGGGGTCCCAGGGAGCAGAAGCATGGGCAGAGAGAGAGCACCTCAGTGCTAGATAGTCCTGAGCCCTCCCCCAGGGGTAAGCCTTGGCCCAGAAGCCCTGGAGGGCCCAGACCCGCAGGGAGAAGGCTGCCCCACCCTGATGGGGCACTTGGAGGCCCAGGGCAAAGGAAACTGCCCTGCCTAGTGGGCGCCTGCCTTCCAGCCTGTGAGAGCCACAGGACAGCTCCTGCAGTGGTCCAGGGGAGGTGTGTGGAGATGCCTGAGCTGCATGCACAGTTTCCAGAGCCTGCTGCTGTGGAAGTTTGGATCTGAGCGAGTGGGTGTAAAGAATGTCAAGCAAGATTCGATTACAATTTTTATTTTGGAAAAACCTTCATCAAAATATGTATATCTAATTAGGACAATTACAGCACAGGAACAAAAAACTGATTAAAAATCAGACACTCCATAAATTACAAGTGTTTTGCTCCAGCTGGGGCACATCTCCGGCTGCTGAGCTGCAAGGCCAATCAATGGAGCTGGGGCTCTGGGAGCAGGAGTGGGAGGTGGTGACACTCAGGACAAGACATGGAAGGGGCTGCTGAGTGCAGGCTGCAGGGGACAGGGAGGCAGCTCAATCTGCTCAGGGCCAGAAAAAGTGGCAGTGCCCTCTCTGAGCAGGGGCCTCTGTCAGTGGGGTCTGGGGAGATGTGGACATGCCTATATGGGACAAGTGTGTGCGTGTCTGTGTGCACTTTGCTGATCTGAGTGGCAGATCATGTATGTGCACATGTGTCTGTCAGCATATGAACATCTGTGCAAACATCTGTGGCACTGCAAGAGGATGCAAATGCCTGAGCAGAAGCAAAATGCACAGCAGCATCTGGAGCCTGCGCCAGAGGCAGGCTGTGTGCAGAGGGACAGCGGGCAGCAAGCCTGTCATATGTGCCCTGGGTGCTACGTGCATGCTGGCCTTGGTGTGATGTGTGTGCAGGGGATGGGGCACAGTGTGTCACAGGCAGGCGGAGCTGCCCTTGGAAGACATCACAAAATGAGGCCATGTCCATGAATACAGCTGCCCTTTATCGAGTGGTTTCTGTGTACCAGGCATTGTGCTAAATCCTTGCCTTAAACCCGCTCAGCAACACTAAAAAGTAGATGTGGTAGGCAGAATTATACTCCCTTCTCCCAAAAGATAGGCACATCCTAATTCCTGGAGCCCTACATGGCAAAAGGGGCTTTGAAGATGTAATTAAGTTAAGGATTTGGGGCTGGGGGGTTTATTATTATCATAACTTGGGTGTGTCTTTAAAGCGGAAGAGGGGTCAGAGAAGGAGATGTGATGACAGGATGGTCAGAGAGATGCTGTGCTGCAGGCTTGGCAGACAGAGGTTAAGGGACCATGCGCCAAGGAATGTGAGCAGCCTCTAGAAGCTGGAAAAAGCAGGGGAAATGATTCCCCCCGAAGCCTCCAGAAGGAACGCAGACCTGCTGACGCCTTGCTTTTAGCCCCATGAGACCCATGGCGGACTTCTAACCTATGGAATTGTAAGATTATAAATTTGTGTTGTTTCAGGCCATTAAATTTGCGACAACATGTTACAGCAGCAATGAAAAACAAATACAGTAGGCAATGCTATCCTGCTACTTTATAGGTGAAGAAATGGGAGCTCAGAGACAGACATAAAGTGGTTTCCTGAGCTCACCCAGTCAGTAAGTGGCAGAGCCACACCCAGAGAGGCAGCCTCACCCCCAAATCTAAGCTGGCGTCTCCAGCCCGACCACTGCACTGCACTGTCTCTCACAGAGCAAATAGCAAGGGGCAGACTTATAATTTCCAGGCAAAGTTAGAGATGTCCTTCCTTAGTTGCCAGCTCAGAGAAGATGGAATTGAGGGCCCTATTCTGGGAAGAGAACATTGAAATGCCTGGACACGTTCCATTTAAAGCCTTCATTGAAAGCAGCTTGTGTATTTTCCCTCTAAGGAGGGGAAGGGGGCTTATGTCTGAGCTCGGATCTAGCTTTGACATACGGTGCTCTCGGCGTCCACAGCCAGTCCCCTCAGAGCACAACTCTGGGCCTCAGCCCCCTCCACTCCCTTTCTTCCTGCTCAACCCAAATCCCCCTTAAGTCTGCACTCTTCTGGACAGAGCTTCTGCAGCCTTTGGAAGCTCAGGGGATTGCTGTGGGCTCAGAAGCTCCCTGCCTTGGGCAGAAGGGTGGGGTGGGATGGGCTTAGAGGCCTACTGGTCTGCCCCACACTATCCTTGTCTGTGGCCATGAGCTGGCCGTGCTGTGCTGAGAGACCTAGAGCCCCTGTCTGAGACGATATGGCATTGGGAAGAGGGGGATGCTGGAAGAGAGTGTGGGGTTAGGAGACAGGTGAGCTGGGCCCCAGCCTTGGCCAGCCCAGCCGCTGATCCCTTTGGGAGGCTTTCTAGACTTACTCCCCCTACTGGGCCTCAGTTTCCTTATCTGTGAACTGAAGCACTTAAATAACATTGCTGAGATTCCGTCTAGCTCGGGGAGTGAGGGTTCTCTTCCTGCCTGCATGCTGTGGTCCAGCATCCTGGGGCCCACAGGTGTTCCTGCCCTACTTGGGTTTTTTTTCTTTTCTTTTCCTTTTTTTTTTTTTTTTTTTTTTGAGACAGAATCTTGCTCTGTCACCCAGGCTGGAGTGCAGTGGCACAATCTCGGCTCACTGCAATGGCCACCTGAGGCGATTCTCTTGCTTCAGCCTCCCGAGTAGCTGGGACTACAGGTGTGCACCACCACACCCAGCTAATTTTTGTATTTTTAGTAGAGACAGGGTTTCACTGTGTTGGCCAGGATGGTCTTGATCTCTTAACCTCGTGATCCACCCGCCTCGGCCTCCCAAAGTGCTGGGATTATAGGCGTGAGCCACTGCGCCTGGCCCCTACTTGGCATTTTCTATAGGGAGAGGTAGGTGTCACAGGAGAGGAGCAAGGGGGCCCTGAAGTGGGTGTCAGGTTTGTGTTTTGGCCTCTCGGGGACTGGGATTGGGGTGGTGAGAGCTGCTTGGCAGGAGGTTGTCCTAAACTCAATGCTAGGGGCCACCCCTGATACAAATCCCACATTGTGCATTGTTCCTCACCCCAGGAGGATGCTTTCTTCCAGGTCTGCTGTCCTGGCAGCTTCCTATAGCCGCAGGGCATGGGGGATGTTGTATAGTAGGAGAGATACTTGCCTGGAGCCACTGCCACCTGATGTAGGTGAGGCCTTCAGAGAGCTTTGTCCGCATCATCTGTGGGTGCACTGGAAGGGGACTTCTGGCTCTTCTCATTCTCTTTTTCCAGTGTGGGGGGGAGGGGATGTTAATAAAGAAATAAAAGTGAACATGACACACCTAAGGTCACACACTGGATTAATGAGAGGCTGGAATCAGACTTTTAAGCTCTTGACCTTCTAGCCTTAAACATCTTTTGGAAAACATGACTTGATCTTCCAGTTTGGGAGGCAAATATATTACAGCTCTTATTTTTTTCCAGTTGTTTGCCAGAATACTCACAATGTCCAGGATCTCCTCCTGTGGCCTCCCTCACACTGGATTTGTCCGAGAATCTCAGGGACTTACTCTGCACTAAGGGGTACAGCCCTATTCCAACAGAGACTTGACAAGTACAGTCTCATTGGTCAATCACTGCCATTACTTCCCACTGCCACCTGATGTCGCTGTTGGAGACTGGGCCTGCAGAGCTCAGTGAGTGACACTGACTAATTAATGGCAGGTGCTTCATGGTCTCAATCCCAACTCAGGGTACAGCAGTGCCACCCAAGGGCATCGAGGTCACAGCCCCCTATAGTTCAGATTTCCATGCTTGGCCAACAACTCCCACTGTGCAACCAAGTGATAGGATGATTTGATCTGGGGAGCTTCCAACATCAGCCTTAGTTTCTAGTAAAATCTACTCTTCTGAACAAACCTTTAAGCCATTGCATTGAGCTGGGTCACCAGCCTAGACTCTTCCTTTCACATGGCAGTTTTATAAAGCAAGAGTTCTCATTGTTTTTCTCAGCCACTAAGCTTTGTGCGTAGCCATGCTGGTCTATCTTGCTTTATCCACATAAATCTCTTTACCTTTGAATCTCGGGAATGGGAGTTGAAGTTTCTTTTCTTTCAAGTCTTGGGTTATATGCTCATTTATCCATTGATTTATTTCATTGGGGCTTTTTTGTTGCAAGTAACAGAAACACAACTTGAATTAGGGAATTCATTGGTCCATGTATCTGAAATGTCCAAGAGTTGTGCTGACTTTATGCATGAGTGTTTCCAGGGGTTCAAACAATGTCATCAGGACTTTCTCTCCTCTTCGAACTTCAATTTGGATTCATTCTCATGACAGGGTCCTGCACAGCACAGGCAGGATAACTACTGGCCCTGCAGGCTCTCATTCACCCAGCACTAGCAACTGTAGTGCAAAATATTATTACAATATTCAGACTCAATAAAAATGATTTTTTAAAAGATAGTTACAAAGGGCCTTTCATACCATCTCATGCCCCATACACAAAAGAAATTCAATAGCAGCTAAGCTATTTAATTCCTGTATCTAAATGCCCCTCCCAAAATATATAATTTCATAGAAAAAGCTTAGTTTGCATTTATGATTTTTAAAAAGATAGTTGCAAATGGCCTTTCCTACCATCTCATACCCCATACACAAAAGTTCAATAGAAGCTAAACTATTTAAGTAATTCCTGTATCTAAATGCCCCCCAAAATATATAATTTCATAGAAATAGCTCTTATTTTGCAAAGCGCAATTCCCAGCCCCTCTGCCTCACACACAGAAATATTTCAACATTAAATTATGATATTATTTCTTCCTTTTTTTTTTTTTTTGAGGCAGAGTCTCACTCTGTCACCCAGGCTGGAGTGCAGTGGTGCGATCTCCACTCTGCAACCTCCACCTCCTGGGTTCAACTGGTTCTCTTGCCTCAGACACCCGAGTAGCTGAGACTACGGGCATGTGTCACCATGCCCAGCTAATTTTTGTATTTTTAATAGAGACAAGGTTTAACCATGTTGGCCAGGCTGGTCTTGAACTCCTGACCTCAAGTTATTCACCCCCTTTGGCCTCCCAAAGTTCTGGGATTACAGGTGTGAGCCACCACACACAACCTGTATTTCTTTCTTTTCTATATTGGCATCTATCTGTTTTTTTTTTCCCCCGATTTAAAGACCTTAACCTTTTTGCTTTTAATAGACTTTATTTCTTAGAGAGTTTTAGGTTCACAACACAATTGAGTGGAAAATACAGTGTTCTCGTATACCCCCTGCCCCTCATACTGAGAGCCTCGCCTCCTATCTATGCAGGCACCTAGGGGTACATTTGTTACCATCTGTGAACCTGCCAAAGTATCATTTTTCCAACAGAGTCAATAGATTTGCCCCAGCAAGACTACTTGGCTGGCTTGAACTCCATGTCCATCTCTGAACCAATCACTCTGATCTGGGGAATGCAGCCCCGAGACAGTTCAGTCACACGATCACATGCATGATGTCACATGATCACTCTGTAACCAGGAGGGATCACTCAGGCCACTGTGTTTGAAGCTCATGTAGTGCATGAGGGGTCTCCCAAAAGAGCCCAAAGAAGGGCTAGAAATTTAAGCAGACAAAAGTGCTTTCCTAAATGCTCACCATGTGCCAGGTATGGTGTTAAGGCGCTGCTTTGGGCCAGCTATCCTGGGCGACCTTTGGACCATCTATTCCAAGTGACCTCTGAATCCCGGGGCTCTCAGGGCATGTCACAGTTTATACCCTTTACCTGCAACAGGTGGTGGCCTCCTTGCCATACACCTGTAGCTTTCAAGGGGTTCCCTCTTGGAAAAGGTCAGCTATGCTGCTGTGAGTTCTCCTCCACTAGATAAGGAAGGGGCTGAGACTATTTCTAAGTGCCCCCCTTCAATGAGCATCTCATTGACTCCCTGCTTTAATAGATATTCTGTTGCATTTTGACATGGTCTGGTCTGAGAGCCTTCCCAGGGAACTTTAATTCTGGGACACCTTGGTATGTTGTGCCCGCGCATGCATATAAGTGTGTCTAGTGGGGGTGGGCGCTAGGGATTTGGACACCCAGTCTTCATAGCAAGGGAGTGGTAGGGGAAGGGGCGGCCATCTGGGCTGCTGCCACACTTTCTCTGTGTCTGTGGCTCCCTGATTATCATTCTGGGCCAAGATAGAAGCAGCTGCGTGGTGGGGGGAAAGCTGACAGGCAGTGGCAGGTAACACCGGCTGCTGGGGTTGGAAGCTGACCAGATCCCAGCAGGGGTGGGAGGATGGGCCTGGAGGAGAGAGAGCCAACTCTCAACACCCCCAGCCCCTAGCTCCCTTTTTATTCAACTCAGCTGCGCTGTCTCCACTGACTCCGGTGCATGGGACAGGCCTGTGGTGCCTCTCCTCCTGGGTCTTCTTCCTCACCCTCCTCTTCACAAGTCCCCGGCAAGGCCTGAGGGAGGGAGGGGAACAACATTTGGTTTGGAAGTTCTTGTGCTGGTCAATTGCCTGCTGGTTCTCAGACCCGTTTTCGATGCTCCTGCTCTGCTTAGCACCTTGAGGGGCTGACCGTGGCAGCTGGCTCCTGACTGGTTTGGACATTAAGTCCCGGCAGGAGATGGGAGCAAGCAGGAGGGAGAAGCTAGAGTATTTTTCCTCCTCCTTTCCAGCATTGCTGGATTTCATCATTGCTTCTGCTCTCTTTAGATAGATCCACCAGCTTCCACGATGGACCTGGCTGTGGGGTCCACTGATGCCTTCTCCTCCGTTTGTCCTCCAGCCTGAGGTGGTAGCAGCTTCCCACTGTTGCTAATTCCCAAATTGCCTCCCTATCCCCTTCTCAGTTCTTCCTTCACCTGTGCAATCAAGTCCCTGCATAAATCTCCCCCTTTTAGACACTCAGAGTGGTGCCTGTTTTCTGCTTGGACTCTGATGCTGCAGCCATCTGATTGGGCCTCAGGCAAACTTGAACTCAGAGCTCCCTCTGCCACTAATGAGCTGTGTAACCTTGGCCTAGTGGCTTTGCTTCTCTGGACTCGACTTTTCTTATCTTGAAATGGAGAGGGGAGTGTAGAGAGCAGCCCCTTCTGAGCGCTGGATCCTCTGCCTGGGGCACTCAGGGCTTTTCCAGCGTTCTTCTGCTGTGGCTCCTGGGCCCCCTCCAGCTGTCTCCACCTCACTTGGAAGAGAGTGAGACACATGCTCATGGGGTGTGGCTTTGAGTCCTAAGCCCCCTTCTCCATGTATGTGGGGTTCATACCCAGGGCCCTGGGTAACACTTCTAGCCCCCAGGTGAGTTGGGAAGAAGACTAGGTGCCTCTGAGGAAAAGCAAGGGTGCCAAGGTGGGGCAGGCACCCCGAGGGCAGGGCTTCTCAGCCGCAGCACTTTCGGTATTTTGGGCTGGATCATTCTTTGTTGTTGGGGTGGCCAGGGCTGTCCTGCACATTGTAGGATACTTAGCAGCATCCATGGCCTCTACCCGCTTGATGCCAGAGCAACACTTCCCGGTCACAATCATCTTCAGACATTGCCAAACATCTCCGGGGGGGCAAAGCTCCCCCTGGTTCAAAACCCCTGATTTCCAGGGGTTTGGACCCCGAAAGTAGGGCTGAGGAGGTGGAGTTGGCTATACTGGGCAGTGGGAACCAGGGAAAATTTTCAGAAGAATCTCTTCCTCTCCTGCCTCCAGCTGCCTCCCAAAATCATTTGGGAGGTGGTAAGGGGAGAGGAGGGGAGCACGGGTGAGGGGTGCGAGGGCTGGGAGGGAGCAGCCAGAGGGTGCCAGTTGTTTTGGGCCCCTGTACTCAGGCCCCAGGTCCAAGTGAGGGGTAAGAAGGCGATGAGATCTGCTGGAAACCCCCCAGGTCCCCTCCCCCAGGAAGCCTGCCTCTCACCCTGATCAGGCCCAGATGGTTGTCATTGTGGGGAGGGGGTAACAGTCCGGGCTGGGAGCTGGGAGGGAGGGCAAGATCAGAGCAGAGCTGAGGCCTTGTTTTGGGTTTGAAATGCCCAAGCTGTTAATTTGAGAATAATCAATGCTAATTTGCACATATCTGGTTGCTACAGCAGGTTATCTATTTCCCGTCAAGATGTCCCAGAGGCTCCTGCAGCTCTTCCCGCCGCTGCCCACCCCGTCTCCCGCTCCCCACCCCGAGGTGCTGTGGGGCCAGTCCGACCAGGGGAACAGCAGCTCAGCACCCTCCCTCCAACCTCTGAGTCCACCCCAGCTGCACGGTGGGCTGGAAGAACTCTAGGGCGCAGGAGCCAGGAGCAGAGGAGTGAGGGGGCTAGCGGGGCAGCCAACTGAGCCTAGGAGGAGGAGAATTAAGCAAAAGTGCAAATTACCCAAACCCGTGATTAACATTTCTTCCAAATCTGCATGAATATTAAAGCACAACCCACCCTGGTCCCCACACAATGAATTCTGCATGAATCTTAAGATAAATCGTTTGGATAACTTAGCGGCAGCTGTACTCCCCTGCTGCCAGCTGCCTCCCAGAATCATTTTGAGGCGGGTAAGGGGAGAGGAGGAGAGTGTGGGTGAGTGGTGGGAGGGCCAGGAGAGAGCCAAGTGGTGCCTTTTGGACTCCTGCGCTCAGGCAGCAGGGCCAAGCAGGGCATCGAGCTGAGGGTGACCAGTGAGTTTCGCCAAGCCTTGGTCCCGCCCAGTTGCTGAGGCTAGAAAGGCACAGGGAGGAGCCGCGATGGAATCTCTGCCTGGCCGAGGACCCCATTCTTGGGTTTCTCCCCATGCTTGCTCTGTGCTTCTCCTAAGAAGCAAACCAGCCCAGCTAGCCCTCAGCTCATGCCCCACCATTTTGGAGGTCAGGGTTTTCAACCAGGGGGTACTCTCCCCACCAGGAGATGCTTGGCAATGTCTGGAGATGATCGTGACTGGGAAGGGGTGTTTCTGGCATCAAGTGGGTAGAGGCCACAGATGCTGCTAAATATCCTACAGTGTAGAAGACAGCCCCGGCCACCCCAACAGCAAAGAATGATCTGGCCCGGAATACCAGTCGTGCTGAGGCTGAGAAGCCCTGCCCTCGGGGTGCCTGCCCCACCTTGGCATTTTTGGACTCCTCGGAGGCATCTAGTCTTCCTCCCAACTTACCCTGGGGCTAAAAGTGAGTTACCCAGGGCCCTGGGTGGGGGTTGGGAGTCAGGCTTTTGAGCTTCAGAGCATGGCAACATCATCGTCATGACTGTCGTTGTGCCAGGCAGGGTCCCGGCGGGAAGCAGATGGTATCCTTGAGGGGTTCCAGCAAAGGCAGTTTACTAAAGAGGCCATTTATAGATTTGTGAGAAGAGTTAAGGAAACCAGCTCCCCTGGTGTAGGATCCAGGGGCCAGCAAGAGTGGGGAGGCTTTGCCACCTTTAGGTCCAAAGGGACAAGGAAAATAAGTGGAGGTATCGGAGCCTGGAGCCATGGAGAGGGAGCCACCCAACAGGAACCATGGCCCTGGTAGAAACAGCTGCTCTCAGAACAGCAGCAGGGAGGGAGGGAGAGGGTGGAATCAGTACCCCCATCGCTCCCTCCTCCTGCCCTCTGTCTCCTGCCAGTGCCTCTGATAGGCCAAACCCAATTAGAAGGCAGGAGACAAAAGGGCCCAGCTGACACAGCCTGGAGAAGTCACCCTTCCAAGGCACAGAGCAGAGGGGAGAAGAGAGCATGGTTTGGCAGGGCAATGGGAGGGGACGATGGGGGAGTCCAGTGGAGTGCAGCCAGCACAGTCATTTCCATCAGTACCAATGGAAGCTGCCTACAGGGCAGCCCCGGGAACTGCTCCTAGGAGCTCAATAAGTGGCACAGTAGTTAAAACCCATGGAACAACCCGTGACCAGGAACATGAGTGGGTCAGTACAAAATGCCTTTTGGAAAATTCTAGAGTCTTCCAGCGGTAGAGATAGGGTTAAAGTATTAGGATTCCCTGGGGAGCCAACCTCAGTGAGAGCTTGGGTAAGCCAATGGCATGCTGGGGTTCAATTTACAAAAATGCAGTTTAAGCCCAAATTTGCAGGAACACATCCATTATAAAAGGAATTCCACTTAGAGTGTCCAAAGAAACGGAAGTCAACCCCAGCCTGTCAGAAGAATGGACACAGACTGGTGGGATTGCTTCTCTGGAAAGGACTTGGTGATGGTTGGATGTAGGGGTGAGAAAAACAGGAGTCAAGAGTGAACACACGAGCTTCGGTCCTGAACAGTTGGGTGACTGTGGTGGTGCTTCCCAATATGGGGAAGACTGGGAACCCGGTTCTGTTAGACTCCAAAGCCTGGCTCAGGGTAGACAGCCACTTTCTGTTCTTGCCAGGCTGCTGGTCAGTGTCCCGGGACTGTGGTCAGGTCCTCTCCTCTTTCCAAAGATGCACTCTGTGTATCTTCTCCTCTCTGGCTACAGGCGGGATGGCAGCATTTGTGGAAACTGCTGGGGGACGTGAGGAAAGGGGTTTGGCCCAAAGAGCATGAAAGGCAAGTGGACCAGAGGGACTGCCTCCTGTTTCTGCTTTGAAGCAGCAGCCTAACAAGAAGTAGACAAACAGGAGCGCTTCTCAGCTCAGCAGGACGATGGGGGAAGCGAATTAAAATCCCATTATGAGAACACTGCGGAGGCTGCTGGCAGCCTGGCTGATGATCATTTACACCAATGTACACACACGAAAGCCTTCTTCACTGTGACTCAGGCCACAGAGGCAGCCTTGGGAAGAATTCTGAAGTCCACCTGGCTTTCTCACCTCCAAGCTTGTGTCCTTGGGCAAGTTGCGTAAAGTTTCTTAGTCTCAACTTCTTAGCCTCGGCTGTGCTGGAAGGTGTCCGTTTACTTTGCCGACCACCCTCCCTTCTTCTCCACCTGCTCTGATTGGGAGGCTGGTCTCTGAGGACCTTAGCTCTGGCTTGCACAGATGTGGCAGTGACAGAGCTCAGAGGGTAAGATGAGAGAAGTGACGACATTGGGTCCTGGCTCCTTCCAGGCCAGGCAGTGGCTTGGCAGTAGCTGTCAAGGCCTTCCCCTATAGTCCCCTCTGTCTCCAAGCTCTTCCTTTACCCACTCAGTCCTAGGGGCATACTGGCTTCCCTCTCTGGCTGGGCGCTGGGTGCGACACCCACATTCCTTGGATCTCCTTAGCCTGTTACACCATTGTCAATGGTTCTTTCATCAGGACTCTGTTAATACAGAGTCCAATTAGTCCATTTTCATGCTGCTGATAAAGACATGCCATGTGAAAGCAGAAGCCCCTTATAAAACCATCAGATCTCGTGAGACTCATTCACTAATTCACTACCATGAGAACGGTAGGGGGGAAACTGCCCCCATGAATCAATTATCTCCCACTGGGTCCCTCTCACAACACGTGGGAATTATGGGAGCTACAATTTAAGATGAGATTTGGCTGAGGACACAGCCAAACCATATCAGACTCTCTCCCATCACACCTCTAAGTAGGCCAACTGCTCCCTCCCAAGACCTCGGTAGCACACCTATTGCATAGAACTGAAGCCATCATGGAATGCAACAACTCATAGAAAGATGCAGAGTGCAGGGCCAGGCTCATAGCAAACATCGGAAGGCAAGAGGCCAGGTTGAACAGTGGTTAGCAGCTTAGACTGCCTGGGATTTGTCCAGCTCTGGCTTGGCTAGCTGTGACACTGTGGGCAGCTTGCTTGTTCTTCGTGTGTCTTGTCTACAGTTTTTCCTCCATAAAATGATGATGATGATGATTGATGATGATAACCCATGCATGATAGGGTTGCTGTGAGTTCAAATAAGTAAATTTGTGTGGTTTTTAAATGGCACATCACAAGCCATCAGAAACATTAACTATTACTTTTTACTGTAGTAAGTTCTCAAAAAATCTGTTTTCTTCCAGGCCACACAAAAGGCTTAGTCAGCAGCCAGTTTATGCATCCTTGAATAATGTGATTAAGGCACAATGTCTATGGTTAGAAGGACTCTGAAGCCATCTTTCTCTTAAGGGAGGTCCAGGCTTCCCAACTCCTAGATTAGGATACTCCTCCCTGAGAGCTTCAGGAAATACTTTTGAATCCAACTGTGGATATTTCTGGTCCTCAGTTAAACTATAGCTTGCTGAAGGGTTTGTTTGTTCATAAATGTGTATCAAGGGCCTGTTATAGGCCAGGCACTGTGCTGAGCCTTGGGAGTGATGTGTTAAACTTACAAGGACCCTCCATTTGCATTGGGTTTTTAACTTAGAATCAGTAATAGCTCTTGAGCCACAGTGAGCCAGATTTAGAACAAACATAGGAGAGAAGGCAAGTGTCAATAGCTCTGAGGCTCTTGGCTGCTGGAAGAGTTTGGAAGGGCCTTATATAATCAGCTCTATTCTATGGATGCCAAGTACCATGCCCATCTCCTTTTGTTGGACTTTAGAGGAGAGGGTTTGGCATGATCCTGGCCAGAGGCCTCCCTTTTCTGCAGAGAGGGTCCATGGCTTTTGACTAACACCAACGCCATCGTCACTGACACCACTATCAACACTACCATGCCTACCACCAACACCACCATCATTTCCACCACCACCACCATCATTACCACCACCATCATCACCACTATCACCATCACTGCTAACACCACTACCACCATCACCATGACCACATCTACAATCACCACCACTGTTGCCTCCATCATCACCACTAACACCACTACCACCATCACCACCATTACTACTATCACCATCATTGCCACCACCATTATTACCACAGCTACCATCATCACCACCACCAGCACTATCATCACCACCACTACCTCCATCACTACTATCACCACCAGCACTACCACTATTACTAGTATCACCATCACCACCACCACCATTACCATCACCATCAACATGACCAAAATCATTACCATCACCATCATTATTACCGCCACCAACATCACTACCATCACCACCACCATCACTACTATCACCATCACCACTACCACCATTATCATCACCACCATCATGACCAAAATCATTAACACCATCATCACTACCATATCCACCACCGCCACCACTATTACCACCACCACCACCACTGCTACACCACCATCACCACCATAGCCATCACCACTACCATCACCACCACCACCATCACTATGATCACCACCATCACCATTATCGCCATCATTACTATCACTACTACGATTTCCACCACCACTCACTACCATTCACCATCATCATGGCCATCTCCACCATCACCATCACCATCACCATCATGACAACAACAATACCAGCAAAACAGCTCTTCCCATTTTGGTCATTGCCTTTCCAGAACAAAAGACAGCACAGGAGGGAGGCTTCTCTCTTAGGTTCCTTGTTCTTATGTCAAAAAATAGGCTTTTCTGTAGTCCTCAGCAGGAGAATAAAGAGCAACATGTACTCCAGATAAAATCTTGAAGTGAGGCATCCAGAAAAGAGGTCAGGCTGGTGTCATGAATAGTTAAGGTCTGCCTGAGTTAATTAGGCCTAGAATTTCTATTACGTTCACTCTCAGTTTCACACTCTTACCTGTGCTCCACACCAGACGTATCATGATCATGGACGTTGAGGTCAGGAGAACCTACTCCATGCTAGCTGTGTAGCCTCAGGAACATTATTGAAACTCTCTAAATCTAAGTTACTGTTTCTATAAATGGGAATAAGAATACCAGCTTCATAAGATTGTTGTGAGAATTAAAAAAGAGATAATGTCAATAAATCCCTTGGTCTAGTGTCAATGACTACTATGAACACATAGTAAGTACTGATTTGATGTCTCTCTGTTACCCTATTCCACCTCCTCATCCATCTGTCCATCCATTCATCCATCTATCCATCCATCCACCCATTGATCCATCAATCCATCTATCAGCTTATCTATCTATAGATCATCTTCATGATTATAGCATTATTGCTTGGTTTGGGTTGCCTGTAGGTATGTAACAAACAAACTCAAATGTAGTGGTATGAAACAACTGTTGATATGCTTTGGATTTTTGTCCCCACCCAAATCTCATGTTGAATTGCAATCCCCAATGTTTGAGGAGAGGCCTGGTGGGAGGTGACTGGATCATGGGGGCAGACTTAGCCCTTGCTGTTCTTGTGATAGTGAGTGAGTTCTCAGGAGATCTGGTTGTTTAAACATGTGTAGCACCTCCCTCTTCTCTCTCTTCCTCCTGCTCCAGCCATGTAAGACGTGCCTTCTTCCTCTTCATCTTCCACCATGACTGTAAGTTTTCTGAGGCCTCCCCAGTCATGCTTCCTGCACAGCCTGCAGAACCATGAGCCAAGTAAACCTCTTTTCTTTATAAATTACCCAGTCTCAAGTGGTTCTTTGTGGCAGGGCAAGAACAGACTAATACAACTATCATTAATTATTACTATTCCTCATGATTTTTGAGGTTAACTGGTTTTAGCCAGTCAGTTATCACTTGGGTTCTCTCATGTGGTTTTATTCCGATGGTGGCTAGAGTCATCTGAAAGACTTCCTCACTCTCATGTCTGGTAGTTAATGTTGGCTATTGGCTGGGACCTTGGCTGGAGCTGTCTGACAGGACACTTACACATGGCTTCTCCGTGTGGCCTGGGGTTCCTCACAACATGGCAGCTGGGTTCCAAGAGTAAGCATCCCAAAAGAGAGGCAAGTGGAAACTGTGTCACCTGTTATGACCTAGCTTTGGAAGTCATGTAGCATCATTCCTGCTATACTTTGCTGAAGGAGTCACTAAGGTCTGATTAGGTTTCAGGGAAGATGTTGACTTTCCTTTTTGATAGGGGAAGTGGCAAAGTCACATTGTGAGAAGACCATGTAGGATGAGTGATATGGTCAGAGCCATTTTTGTAATAAAATTTTAACACTTTGATAGTGCCATTAAGCCTTGATATTTTCTTGTCCTCAGGTATTCACCCTCTCGGCCACCCTAAGCAGTCTTTTCTGGATCAGATAATGTGCTTTCTTTGCCCTTTAGGAAATCTAGTGCACTAGAAAGAGCACTGTCCTGGAAGCCCAGATTTCTAGTTCCTTGACCCAACTCTACTCTTTGTAGTGCTTTTGAGCAAATTTGGAGCTAACCACTGCTCCTTCCTTCAACTTCCGTGCCTTCCATGCCTTCAGGGCTCTGTAGCTTCAGAGGGAGGAAGATGGCATATCACATCTGATTTTTTCACTCTGGTTATCTCAGCACTTCTCCTCCATCCCAAAGAAGAAAATGAAATCATTTAATAGACTTTGGTGTTGGGATGTCTGCAGCCAAGACTTTTCAACATCAGGTCATCTGGGCTAAGTGTCATTCCCAATAAGCTCATCCCTGATCCACCATCCTGGCAGCTCAGGGTCTCCCAAGAGTATCTTTTCTTCTGTCTTCACTTTATTTAAGACTGCATAAAAATTAGCCTAAAATGGAGTAGCTTAAACCAACACACATACAATATCCTCTCACAGTCTAAGGGTCAAGAATCCTGGTGATCTTTGCTGAGTGCTGTGGCTCAGGGTGTCTCTCCAGGCTGTAATCAAGCTGTCAGCTAGGGATTCAGTCTAATCTGAAGTCTTGGTTGGGGAAGGATTCACTTTCATGCTCACTCATGTGGTTGCTGGCAAGCCCTAGTCCCTAGAGGGCTCTTGGCCAGAGGCTGTCCTTAGTTCTTTGCTACATGGGCTTCTCCATAGAAAAGATTACAACATAGCAGGTTGATTCAACAGAGAAAGTAAGTGATCAAGCAAGAGACTGAGAGCAAGCCAGAAGTTACAGTGTTTTACAGCCTAATCTTGGTAGTGACATCCCATCACTTTTGCTATATTCTGTTTCTTAGAAATAAGTCACTAGGTCCATCCCATGCTCAAGGCAAGAGGATTACACAAGAGCGTGAATACCAGGAGATGGGAGAACACTCAGAGCCATTCTAGAAGCTGCCTGCCGTACTCATCCTAACGCTGGGTTTTGGGGAAGACAAATATGAAATTCTCACTATTTCGCTAATGGTAAAAGTGGTTAGGGGTTCACGCCTATAATCTCAGCACTTTGGGAGGCCGAGGCGGGCGGATCACGAGGTCAGGAGATTGAGACCATCCTGGCTAACACGGTGAAACCCTGCCGTCTCTAATAAAAATACAAAAAATTAGCCGGGCGTGGTGGCAGGCACCTGTAGTCCCAGCTAGTCGGGAGGCTGAGGCAGGAGAATGGCGTGAACCCAGGAGGCGGAGCTTGCAGTGAGCCGAGATCACGCCACTGCATTCCAGCCTGGGAGACAGCGAGACTCCGTCTCAAAAAAAAAAAAAAAAAAAGTGGTTAGGGGTTGTTCATGAATTTTCACAGCAACGTTATTCAGAATAGCCAAAAAAAAAAAAAAAACACCCATATGTCTATCAACTGATGAATGGATAGATATGATGTTATATATCCATATTATTCAATAATTGAAAGAGACGAAATACTGATACGTACTAGAACATGGATGAACCTTGAGAACATTGTGCTAAGTGAAAAAAACCAATCACAAAGGACAGCATATTGTATGGTTCCATTCATATAAGATGTCCAGAATAGACAAATCTATATAGATCAGTGGTTGCCAGGGGCTGGGGAAGACAGAGGCAAAAGGACAATATAGTGGGTGGACGTGTGTTCCCCCAAAAGATACGTCCATATTCTAACCTGAAGAACCTGTGAATGTGGACTCATTTTTGTAAGATTCATAGCAGATATAATTAAGTTAAAGGTATCAAGATGAGGTCATCTTAGATTTAGGGGGGACCCTAAAGATGAATTCATCCTAGATTTGGGGTGGACACTGCAGATGAGGTCATCCTAGACTTAGGGTGGACCCTAAAGATGAGGTCATGCTAGATTTATGGTAGACCCTAAAGATGAGGTCATGCTAGGTTTAGGGTGGGCCCATTGACATGTGTCCTTATAAGGAAAAGGCTGAGAGAGATTTGGTCCTCAGAGGCACAGGGGAGAAGGCCGAGTGAAGACAGAGGCACAGGTTGGAGCGATGCAGCCCCAAGCCAAGGAGTGCCTGGAGCCCCCAGGAGCTGGAAGAGGCAAGGAAGGACTCTCTCCTGGAGTCTTTGGAGGGACCGCGGCCCGGACCACACCTTGATTTCAGACTCTGGCCTCCACAACAGACAGAGGACCAAGTTCTGTTATTTAAAGGCACTGAGTTTATAATTAATCTGTTACAATTGCCCCAGGAAACTAGTACAGGGGTGATGGCCAAGGGGTGCAGGGTATTTATTTGGGGTAATGAAAATGTTCGAAAATTGATCATGGTGATGTGTGTACAACTTTGTAAATACACTAAAAGCCATTGAATCGCAAATTTTATTTTTATTTATTTATTTTTGAAATGGAGTCTCACTCTGTCGCCCAGGCTGGAGTGCAGTGGTGCAATCTCTGCTCACTGCAACCTTCGCCTCCTGGGTTCAAGCGGTTCTCCTGCCTCAGCCTCCTGAATAGCTGGGATTACAGGTGCCCACCTCCATGCCCGGGTAATTTTTGTACATTTTTAGTAGAGATGGGGTTTCGCCATGTTGGCCAACTGGTCTCGAACTCCTGACCTCAAGTGATCTGCCCACCTCGGCCTCCCAAAGTGCTGGGATTACAGGTGTGAGCCACCATGCCTGGACTGAATTGCACGCTTTAAGTGGCAAATTGTATGGTATGTGAATTATATAAGACTGGTTAAAGAAAAAGTCTAGGGGATTTGCCCCTCTTACAGCCAGGTAGGGAAAGAGGCAGGACCAGAAGGTGGGATGGGAAGGTGGGTTGCTCCACGCTGCCAAGGCACTTCCCCTGGACAGCAGCACTCCTGTCCCCAGGGCCATCACCACACAAGCAGAGGTGACGCGTGCAGGTGGTAGGGAGCCTGGTCACGTGGCCTCCCCTGCCCCTCTGTCTCATGCATGTGATCATTCCCTCCTGCTGGTGTTTAACTTTATCTTTTCCCTACCTCAGTTTTCACGCCTCACTGCTCCCCACCTTCCCTTTGTGAGCTGTCTTCATCCCTGTACCCCCTTCCATCGGCCCCTCCAAATAGCAAACCTCCAGGGGCAGAATCCATTTCCAATCCCTTAGATGTCAGGGGAATTGAAAGCACGGCAAATATTTCCAAGATCTAAATTACACCGACCCCGGAAGGCTGAACTCGCAGTATAATCCAGGTTATGAATTGTAAATCAGATGCCATGCAAAGTACTCGCGAAAATTCAATAAAGCTTTCTTTGCTCCCAGCACAGCAAAGTTGGGCCTAGGGAGGCAGGAGGAGGCATGCTGGAACTTGGAGGAAAGGAGACCTGTGACTGGGGAGGAGTGGGTAGGGAGTGGGTGGGCAGGGTGTGGGGGCTCTGACCCTGCTTGGCCAAGACTTCTCAGGGGGAGGAGCTGCCCATTTTCCTGTTGGAGGAGTCAAGAGGTCTCTGTGGCCATTGGATAACATGCCCTACAAGATTTAGTCCAGCCTTGCAAATAAGAATGATACAGTTACCAGCCCGTCCAAGCTAGGGAGGCCGTGGAAGGAAAGGTGGCCTTCTAGACTACTCATGTGGCACAGACTGTCAGGCTGTATGTACATGCATGTATATAGTCAGAGGTGGAATGGATCCTGATATTAAGATGTTTTTTTTTTTTAATCCCTGCTTTAGTAAGAAAGCAGCCAGAGAACTCACTTTGGACCCACTGATGATAGGTACCCCTAGAATGGAGAAAGCAATGCACACTGGAATCTCTCAAGAGTTTTACTTGGAAGGGAGGCTGAAGAGCAAATGGCGCCACTCTATGGCTGGAAGGGGATTGCATAGAAGCTTTTATGTTTCAAAACCTGGCAATCTCTAGAGAAAGAAATGCGGGTGGGACAATGGCAGGTGTTCACTTCCAACCCTGGAGGTACACTGAGGCATGGCATCTCTACCCTGTCTGAATTGGAAGCCGGGGGTGCTGGGAGGGTTACATTTTGTATGGTTACATCCCTGGGGCACCAAGAAGGTAAATATTTACAAAAGCACTCAGCCTGCTAATCTCAGGTGTTCTCCCCTCTGCCTTGGTCTTCTGGCCATTAGAGAGTTTGAAAACATCCCCCTCACCCAAAGATAGATGGGAAATCAGAAGCTGGTGGAGACTAATTTTCCCTGCTCAAACTTGGTCTCATGGGCATCCTACCACATCTGCATAGATGACCCCTGTGGGCAGCCACTGACTCATCTCATGCACTGAGGCCCACCTGCCAGGCACTGTGCTGGCTGCCAGGGAGACAGGGCTAGGAGATGAGGCTCTTCCCTTGAGCAGGTTGGGTGGTGACGGGTTGGGTCTTTCACCCTTGTCTCCCAGATGCTCAGAAGACCAAGTTCCAGGCACACACTATACCAGCCTTGGGGAAAAGGCCAGGTGTTGCCCTTGGTTACTGCAGGTCTGTGGGGCTGGTGTAAAGAAGGTCTGGAGAAGACTTGAGCTGCTTGTGTTGGAGGGAGTGGGGGTTGCCAACCCTGGGCTTGAGCAGCCCTGAATGTTCCCAGCCTATTAATAGTCATGATGAGGAGGATGTGGCAAGTCTCCCCTTTAGGTGCTCAGGGCTCTGCCAGGCAATTAAAATATAGCCCTGCTCATGACTTTAATGAGGACACCATTAATATTGGGGGCAGCCTTAGCTCTGGGCTGTGTCCTGCAGGAACAGCCTCATCAGTGTAGCCTGGCCAGGAAGAGCTTAATGCATCTTTTTGTTCTATAGAAAAGTCTCTCTCTTTCTCTCTCCCTCTTTGCCTTCCCCCACGCCCTGCCTACCCTTGAAGAACATGGAGAAAGTATAGTGCAATGATATGGGCTTGAGCCTCCTCTACAAAGCCAGGGTGCATGTAGCTTGGCTTTCTAGCACCCACAGACCTTTGGCAAGCACGGTGGGAAGACTCCGAGATGGTCCCCCGCCCTGATTCCCACCTCGTGGTGCTCATGCCCTTGTGTTAGTCCCCTCCCCTAGAGTGTGGGCTGGACCTAGTGACTTGCTTCTAGCCAACAGAAGACAGCAAAGGTGAGGAGGTGCTCTTCGATGACAGGCTGCATCAGATGACAATCTCTGTCTTGTTAGATTCTAGTGCCTTCTTGGCTTGCCACTTTCATGAAGCAAGCTGCCATGTTGGAGAGGCTCATGTGACAAGAAACTGAGAGTGGCCTCCAGCCACCTGCCAGCTAGGATCCAAGACACTCAGTCCCTTAAGGAACTGAATCACAATGACCACATGAGCTTGGATGTGGATCTTTTCCCCAGCTGAACCTTCAGATGAGACCCCAGCCCCTCAATTGCAGCCTACGAGAGACCCTGAGACAGAGGACAGTTGAGCTCTGCCCAAATTCCCAGCCCATAGAAAGTGTGAGATAATAACTGTGTTTTAAGCCACAGTTTAAGTTTTGGGATAACTTGTTACTTAGCAATAGATAACTCATATAGCAAGTTATTTAACCTTTCACTTTTCTATTTCTCATCTTAAAACAGTTCTAATCCTACTACCTTTCAAGAATGCGGAGAAGTTTAACTGAGTAGATGCATGGAAGGTGTGTTGTGTAGTGTTGGGCACCTAGGAAGCAAGAAATAGCAGCTTCATTATTAATTTACATCATCCTAAATAGTAATGGCTGTTCTGGGCCACGGCATTTAGAGCCCCTGTGCTGGCTTGCCCTTAATACACACGCATTTATGCAGCTCACTCCCTTCATGTCCAGCCCTGCCCTGGCTGCATTCAGAATAACAATGAGATCCTAAATAATGCCCCAGTAATAATGTCTGCTTACATTTATAGAGAGCTTTATAGTTTACAAAGCTCACTTATATTGCATTGACTCAAAAGGCAGAGTGGGGACTAGGGGCCTTTGTTTTCTTATTTATTTGGGGTGTGTCTCCGGGGAAAACAGATTCCCATTTTCCTACTTTTGGGTGCCCTAGCCTGGTTCCTGTACTGCCTGGATCTTAAGCATTCACCGAAGGTTACAGCTGGAAGTTCCTTTAATTTTTTTTAGTTTAGGTAAAATTCTCATAGCATAAAATTAACCATTTTAAAGTGTATAATTCAGCAGCATTTAGTACATTCATCACCTCTATGTAGTTCTAAAATATTTTTTAAGCACCCTAAAAGGGAACCTGGGACTCATTAAGCAGTCATTCCCTACTCTCCTTCCCCCCAGCCCCTGACAACCACTAACCTGTTTTCTGTCTCTATGGATTTGCCTATCCTGGATATTTCATAGAAATGGAATCATAAAATATTTTTGTGTCTGGCTTCTTTCACGCGGCTTGTTTTTGAGGTTCATCCGTGTTGTAGCCCATATCAGTGCTTCATTCTGTTTTATGGTTGAGTAATATTCCATTGAATGGATAGACCACCTTTTGTTTATGGAAGGGGCCTTTTAAGAGAAAGAAACTGAGGCCTGGAGGAGGGACTGGCCCAGGTGAGAGGAGCCATCCATGGCAGAGTCAGGGCCAGGACCAGGAGCTGACATGGCATGGGGGTAGCTGTCCATCATATCTGGGGTTCCCTCCTTGCCCACTGCTGAGCCAGGTTCACCCTTTGCTGTTAAGTGGGGCCAGTAGCCCATGGACAGAAGTGATATCAGTCACTTCCAGGCCTGGCCCCTCAATCTCTCCACACTGCCCCTGAGCTCATTGGCCAGCTGGATGTGAATGATCCAGTGGAGGGCCCTGAGGCTGGGGGTCAGTGAGCCATGAGTGGGAGGAAGCCTGGGGCTTGAATGACTGTATGGAGTAAAACCCATTGAAGAGCAGGTCTCTTCAGAGGAGTAAGCAGTAAACCTTTGTGACGTTCAGTTGCTGGTTAAAAAAGAAAAAATTCAGCTCAGTTGTTTTCATCTGGGGGTGATTTTGCCTCCAAGGAAACATTTAGCAATGTCTGGAGACATTTTTGATTGTTATAATTGGGGGATAATTCTGGTAACTAGTGGGTAGAGGCCAGGGATGCTGCTAGACATCCTATAATGCCTGGGACAGGCCCCTGCTCCCTCCAACACAAAGAATTGTCTGACTCCAAATGTCCATAGTGCCGAGGCTGAGGAACCCTCCCTTAGCTAGTACGTCTGTCTTCCAGTTCTAGCTCCTGCTATAACACTTTGCTGCCTCCCAACTTCACCTGAGTTACGACCACTGAAGACTCGCTTGCCGACCTGCAGATGTCTGTCCTTGCCTAATTCGTGATCTGTCCTCTCTGCCTGTCTCATCTCCCATCCACTGGGATCTGTCTCTCTCAAGCATCTCACCTGCCCCTCTACTGCCTGAGAGCTGCTCTCTGCTGTCCCTATCTGGCACAGACTTCCTGCGCTTTGTACAGGTGGACATACTGGGGCCAGATTCTGGATTTCCTTCTCATGGAGTCTTCCCTAGCCTTCTGGATTTGTCACCTTACGAGACATGTCCCCAAGCCTGTGGCTTCCTCTCACAGAGGACTCTCCAGCTCACAGCTCCTCTGGTTTCTCCTGGGCCCCAAGGTGACCATGTGGGCTGCGTCTAGTCCCATCCACTCCCAGCGGGAAGCTGCCCAAGGAATGTGTCAGTGGAGCTCCTGCTTCTGTGCCACATTGACAACAGCTGATCCAATTTTTCTTAATTAGTACGTTTAATTATTAGTAACATTTTACTTAAGTAGAATTAATTACTCCATCGCCAGCTCTGGCCAACTATGTCTTCTCACCATGGTTTCCTATTGATATTCTTCTATTGAGGCCACATTTCCCCTCTCCCTCCCAGGGATGATCTCCTGGCAAAGACTCCTGGGAATAAAATCTCCCACTCCATGCATCTGTTGCGGACTCCAGCCAAAGCATCACATCGAGTCAGAAATTATGGTGGGTGTGGCTGAGCCCCAGGTGGGGACAGAGGGGCAGCTGCTCAAAGTGATTAGTGTCTCTATTCCTCTGGGCTGAGTCTAACCACTGGAAAAATCCTTTCTGCCTTTGGCTGGAAGGTTCCAGAACTGGTATCCAGCCAGGAGCATGATGAGGAGGAAGAGCGTGGAGTCCATCCCACCTTCCTCAGCTCCCTGCTTCAAGGTGGCCCAGGGAAGAGGATAGAGAGGTGGAAGCACTGGTCCCCATCCAGCCAAAAATTTGGATTTTCCCCAGGGGCTCCTGCCTTTGGATTCAGGCCCCCCACAGCGCAGGAGCTTCCCTGGGGAACAAGAAAGAGGCACTACTCAGAGACCAAATCAACTTGCATTTGCTTCTAGGTGTGCCGTTGAACAGAGCTCTGATAGCTACCTGAGCTAGCCGGTCAGGGAAGCTGCTTAAACCAGAGTTCTTAAATATTCCACAGAACCTGAGTCCCAGGAGGTGCTCTGGGACAGAACAAAGGATGGGGCAGATCCAGAGTTGAGTAAGTTTGGGAAGTGTTGTGTTGTCTACCTGCCTCTGAGTCGCTGCTGATTCTAGCTTGCTCATCTTGTCTCATCACACCAGAACTCCTGGCCTTGGGCAGGTCACCTCCTCTCTGTGTCTTGGCTTCCTGAACTGTAAAATGGGGATAGCAGTATGGAAATGAGTTAGTATTGGAACAGTGCTGGGCACATTGGGCCACAGGCAACATGGGCTGTTCTTATTAAAATCAAGATGATGGAGGTTCCAAGAAACCCTGGATCAAAATAATCTGTTTAATTTTAATTAACCCAAAGTTCCCCAAATTTATTTGACTGCAAAATTGTTTCAGAACTTCAGACCCCTTGTTCCTTGGGACACACTGTGAAAAAGGCTGGTCTAAATACTCTAGGGTTGTGCTTTCCTGGACGGTGCCTGGAGAGACCCCACAACTTATGGTACAAGTGCATTTGGGGGCTTTGGCTGCCTGACCCCTCTTCTTGGTTGGTGTTTCAGAAATGCGGGTCTTGGGCTGGGTACTGTGGCGCAGGCCTGTAATCCCAGCACTTTGGGAGGCCGAGGCGCGTGGATCACCTGAGGTCAGGAGTTTGAGACCAGCCTGACCAACATGGTGAAACCTCGTCCCTACTAAAAAAAAATATATATATATATATATGTATATATATATATATATATATATATATATGTATATATGTATAAAATTAGCCAAATGTGGTGGTGCATGCCTATAGTCCCAGCTACTCAAGAGGCTGAGGCAGGAGGCTCGCTTGAACCTGGGAGGTAGAGGTTGCAGTGAGCCGAGATTGCACCACTGCACTCTAGCCTGGGCGACAGAGTAAGATTCTGTCTCAAAAAAAAAAACAAAACAAAACAAAAAAGGAAATGCAGGTCTCAGGGGGCTAAGATGCTCCCTGTGATGTTTTGTGCTACTTTCTCAGGGTTCTTCAGCCTTTACCTTGTGCTGGTGTCATGTCAACTCAATAAACAGTTTCGGAGGGGTCATGGGTCAAGTCTACAGTGTGGCATTCTGACAGTTCCAGCTGTTAGTCTCTAAAAGCCATGTCTCCTGCTTTTCCACTTTAATACGTGCATTGAGAGCTATGGGGCATCTCCTTGAGTCTGCGTCCAGGCCTGGACAAAGAGTGGACGCATGATCCACAGCGCAGACAGCCATGCAGAAGCCCAGAGGACTCCACCCATCTCTAGTCCTGTCTGGATCAGACGCACCATTTACAGGAAAGGGCAGGTGGCATGAAAGGGGTCCCAAATTGGAAGTTGGAAACCAAGGTTCAAATTCTAGCTTATTAGCAGCATGATCTTGGATGAGTTGCTTAACTCTGCGGATCCAACCTAGAAAACTGGGAATAACTCTCTCCTTCCTGACTCCCCCACGTGGTGGTGTGGAAGATCAGTTCACATGCTAGATGGCAAAGTGTCTTGTCCTGAGTAAAATGCCATGATGTGATGCCTTGGCCACTGTATTCATCTATTTCATGTTGCTATAAAGGAATACTTGGGGCTGGGTAATTTATAAAGAGGTTTATTTGGCTCATCATTCTGCAGGCTGTGGAAGCATGGCACCAGCATCTTCTTGGCTTCTGATGAGGCCTCAGGAAGCTTTTACTCATGGTGGAAGGCAAAGTTGGAGAAGGCATGTCTCATGGTGAGAGGGGAACGAGAGAGAGGGGAGGAGTTCCTTAAACAACCAGCTCTCCTGTGAACTAGTAGAAGAAGAACTCACTCATTACCACAGAGAGGGCACCAAGCCGTTCAGGAGGCATCTGCCCCCAGGACCCAAACACCTTCCATTAGGCTCCACCTCCAACATTGTGGATCACATTTCACCATGAGATTTGGAGAGGACAAACATCCAAACCATGTCAGCAAACCCCTCCTCTCCCTTCCCACCCTCCCCTGGCCTTACCCCACCTGAGTCAGGCACGGTGAGCAGGACCAAAGCCCAAGCAGTCACAACAATGCGGGAATGAACGTTATTATGCGCTGTGACGATATTTGATGAATTCATATGCGCCTAGGGGAGCAGACTAAGTAGGTGAATAAAGTGAGACTATTCTCTGTGACAATCAATATTCCTTCAATTGAACCATCTCTGCAGATCTGACATTTTGATTTTTCTTTTTTGGACACATTAACTGGATTTATGCCTCCATATGGTGGAGACGGCAGGGAAGACGACTTGGAGACAGCGCAAGTAGAGAGATATGGTGGCGCCTCCACAGGCACCTGGGTAGGTGGGTGGGAGCAGGTGCATTTGCATAAGACCCTGGCTCAGTGGGAGCCACTGCCCCAGAGCACTGTGCTCACCTGGCCGCTGCAGCTCAGAGCTGGGAGGCCCCACCTGCCTGTGGTTCTTTCACAAGCAAGCTGAGAAAGGAGCCAGCTCCAGCTCTGGGAGTCCTTCTGCCCTGGAAGCCTGACCCAGGCTCCCGGAACACCCACTCAGCTCTGGACAGAACGGGGGCATGGTGGGGGCAGATGACTTCTTCAGGGCCCTCCCAGGGTCGACGTGAAGCCGACAGGCTCTGCTGACTGCTTGGTTTCAATTTCTGGCTCTGCCATTTGCTCATAAATAGTGCCAGGTGAGTGATCTTGGACAAAGTCCATAACATCTTTTGTCCCAGTGTACTGATCTGCAAAATGGAGCTGATGATAACACTGACTTAATAACTTGAGTACCTTTAGCTGCCAGGCATTCGTTTCAGAGCTTTACTGAATCAGTGTACCCAACTGTCACAATAATCCAGCAGGGTGGGTACTAGAATAGTCCCATTTCCAGGTGAGAAAACTGAGAGACGCAGCTATGCAGTTTAGGCACATGAGGGTTTGAAACTCAGTTCTGTCACTTAATAGATGTGTAAGTCAAGATTCTTTATGAAAAAATAAAAGTACAACTCAAAGGAGCTTAAGCACCAGAAGGATACAGAGATACTGTCTTTGGTACCCGGAAAAGGATGCTGAGGTTGCTTGAGGAATCCAAGGGAAGAAAGGCTCTAGAACCTTCTAGAACCTCCTAAAGGTTCCAGAGCCATAGGGGCTAGAACCCACCCCCAGCCCCATCTGCAATCTTGCTCTGTCATTGCCCATCATTATTTCTCTCTGCTTTTCTTTCCAGGTTGTTCCGTAAGACAGGATGGCACAGAGCTTTAAGCAACAGCTCTGGCATCTGACTTCCGTGTTTGCATCTGGCTTTGAGTGTGACTTTGGACAAGTTCCTTAGCTGGCCAGATACTCTTGTCCTCATCCATAAGATGGAGCAACAACGAAGCCTTTCTCATAGGTTATTGTGAGGATTGAATGAATTAGTATATGCCAAGCATTTGAAGCAGTGCCTGACATGTAGTAGATGCTGAGTAACACTGGGGATCTGCCTTTTCTTTTTCCTCTATGTGACTGGCAGCCTTAGCCAGACCACATCAGCTGAGATGATTTTCTCTGTAAGTTACCAGGATCACCTAGATCTGGCCAAGGACTTGCCCCTGTAAGGAAATTTGGAATAAGCAAAAAAGATCACTAGGTGTCGCCGATGGAAAACTAGGTTGTTTTGAGCATACCTTTGCATGTTATCTGATTTTAGCCTTTCAGGGTCTTTGAGCTATTTTATGGCTCTGTAGGTTGTACATAACTGATAGCAATGCAAAATAATTCTTGTCTATAGACATGCAAATAAATCCTGTCCAGCGGTTCAATTGACTACCCTCTTCCCTAAGGAAAAAGCCAGTTTCAGTCTATTTGTAAATTCATTTCCACTTTCCTTACTCCCTATAAATTTCTGCTTTTCAGATTTCTCCTTTGTTAACGTCTGCCTGGTTCCCTCATTAAGTCAAATAAAATCTTTAACACGTTAAAGTATGAGAGTCATGATCTCACCTGTTTTAGGAAAATTATCTTTTAATACTTCTGATAGGAAAGTTTCCTAAGCAGACCAAAAAGTAGGTACCACGGTCCCGTCTCCTAGTGGTGTGACCTTGATCCAGCTATTTTTCTATCCTGGTCTCAGTTTTCACATCTATGAAATGGGAGTAACATTATACACCTAAGAGTACGCCTGAGTATTTCTAAGAACTATATGGAAAGCATCCAGCCTCCACCTGGGCACAGAGAAGCTGCTTAAGGAAAAGGAGCTGGCATTGTTGCAGGGATGGTGATGTTTAATCCTGGTTATTGGTAACTCAGTCAGCAGAGGTAGCATAGGTGTCGAAACATAGGGAGAAGGACAACAGACAGGATGTGCTTTCTAAGGCTAACATGGATGGGAACAGAGAGGAGAGGAGACCTTCCTGGGCCGAGCTGCCTGTCACCTACCCGTGCACTCAGCACCTCTGCAGCTGTCACTGGACACATCCAACCCAGAGTGCAATTGACATGGGAAAAAACTGCACATGTAGACGTTTCAGTGTGGTGAGAGTATGTTGGCATGGAGATGGCTGCGTCTGCCCTCGTCAGGATGAAGGAGGGGACGGTCAGTGAGGTGCCAGGAAAAGAAGAGAAGTGCAAATCTGGGTGTGTCGGCTTGTTTCCCGGGGAGGTGTTGCTTTGCCCTGGGCAGATGTGATCATCTGGCTCTTTGTTCAGCATCTTCTGTGCTGCAACTCTTAGCTAGTCCCTAGATTATTCATCAGCCATGCAACCACTTGGTTAGCTTGAGTCTGTTCCCTCCACCTGGAGAAACCTTGGTGCACTCATAAAATGGGGTCTGCCCTGCTCAAAGGAAGAGCAGGCTGTGTGCTGGTTGTCAAATCAGGAATGTAACTGCTTTGAGGCAGCAGTAAAGTGCTAGACCAGCCTTCTAGATCTAATACATAGTCCAGCAAATTTTATCTCTAACTGTTCCTAGTTTTCACTCTCCCTGGCTTTGACCTGAGAAAGAGAGCAATCGTTTGAAAAGTATTAATGAGACTTTTCCCTTTGTTTCTTAGCCTAAATCAGCATCCAGCGGCCTTGAGGAAAAAGACTGAGGTTGCTACAGAGGAGAGCAGAAAGAAGAAGGGAGCTAACGTTCAGCTTTTGATATTCAAAATGAGATTTCTTGGCAAAATAATAGGAGAGGAAAAAATTTTTCCAAGTTTCTTTAGCTCCTATTTAACAGATCAAGACTGGCTTTGATGTGTTGCTCCAGTTCCCCTACCCTCTCCTGCCCTGCTTAGGCCTTGCCTCTTGGTTACATAGAGGGAGCAGTTGTGGGGAGGAAGAGGCCACCTCTGCTGGTCTACAGTCAAGGTATTATCTGGGGCTGGGGTCTCATCTGAAGACTCAACTGGGGAAAGATCCACATCTAAGCTCATGTGATTGTGGGGGAGGAAGGGAGGGAGAAGGATAGAGAGGGAGGTGCTGTGCTTTCTTCCCTGAGCCTTGGGAGGTGGGAGGTCTGGAGGTGGCCTTGAGACCAGCCTGCTAGGAGGTTATGGGACCTGAGGGGCAGGGGAAAGCTTTTGCCCAGCTACAGGTGGAGTGTGGTCACATCTCACATGCTCAGCCTGCTTGGGCTGAAGGAGGCCTGAACATTTCCATCCCCAAGCTGACCTCAGTTTATACTTGTTAGAGTAGCTGACGGATTGCTGAGAAGCTGGCTACTGGGGAGGACAGTCATTGTGGTTAGTCGTCTTTTTTTTTTTAACAGGTTGGGCAATGTTGAGGTCATCCTGCAAAAAGCCTGGGGTCCTGCTCTCCTAACCTTCAGCACCCCTTGAGTGTGGTGGAAGAGGGCTTTGAGTCTTGAGCAGTCAGAGAAACCACGTTGTGACTTGCTGCAAGGGCAAATGACAAATGATGGCCAGGCAAACCACCTAGGGACTTTGTCAGGCAAGACACAGGACTGTGGAAGTCACAGGAGGTATGGGGCAGCTGTCCCTCCTGGCTGGAGAACACAGCCAGCTATGCTCCTCCCCACTGACACCCAATCCCATGTGGCACACATCTCAAGGTCTGCCCTCAGTCCATTCATCCACTCAGGCTCCAAGAGACTCAAACCCAAGTGACTGAATTGGATGGAGATTAATGCATGGGGTTGCAATCAAGTACTTTCCTCCTCACCCCCACTGCTTTCTCCCTGCTACTTAGCTAGTGGGAGTTTGTGTAGACAGCACATCTCTTATAGGCAATAAAGTACTAGTGTGAGGGATTTTGTGGGCTGCTCCACAAGGCCTGTGATCCTCCTCTTACTATCCCCACCCCGATGTTTTTCCTTTGCTCACCAGGGCTGGCCAGGAAGGCTGCCTCTTTCAACGTCCCCAAGGCAACCACTCTATGTCAGCAAGGACTCCTGAACCCATGGCAACCCACCAGCTGCTGCTCTGGGAAGTGAGACCTTACCAGCTTGCTGCCTCCCCAGCAATGCAGCTGCCCTGTTGGTCAGGACAACCTCTCAGGAGGGTATCAGGCCCTGGTGTACAGTCCTTTCTTCTAGAAAGAGACAAACAGTGCAATCACCACAGCCTCCCACTTCTTCTTAGACAGATCTCACATCGGATTCACAGGGGCTTCCTGGGAACATAATTCTGTTGAGCCTTAGAAATCAGGTAGGATTTTGACTGATTTGGGAGGTTGGTTAATTTTACTTTTATTTTGTTCTCTACAGCTGCTGTTAAGCCTGGCTTAGGGGTCCACCCTTTCCCAGCCCCCTTCCCTTTCTTTATAACCTGGATTTTGCACAATCTATATCTCTCTATATCTCTGCATCCATCCATCCATCCATCCATCCATCCATCCATCCATCCATCTCCCTCCCTTTGCCCATTTGTCTCTTTCTTGATATAGGCTAGACTTTCCCAAAGTAATTTCAACAAAAAGTAAAGGAAAAAATCAAATGAGATGCACACCTTTCTCTCCAAGCCACAAACAGTGCATAACATCATCAGGTAGTCAGGCTTCTGAAGGTTCTCTACACACGCCTGATCTCTCCAATAGCTAAGGCTCTCACTTTCAGTGTGGTTAGTGGTTAGGGAAATGGACTTGAGAGCTGGACTGCCTGGGCTCAATTCTCAGCTCTGGTACTGGTCTCATGGCCTTGGGAAAGTGTTTTGTTGTTGTTGTTTTGTTTTTACATTTCTCTGCCTCAGTGCTTCTTCGGTAAAATGGGAATAAAAAGAGTAACTGTCTCATAAGATGACTGTGAGAATGAAATCAGTGAATTAATATGTACAAAGAGCTTAAACATCACTTGGAACATAGTAAGTGATATATGAGAGTCAGTTCTTATGACTAGTACTGGGCACATAAGGTGGCAAGACCCCCTTATCCCCATTTTTAGTTCTTGGCAAGTCCCCCTTTGACTCCAGGTTGCTAAGCACAGCTATGCAGGTTGCACACTACATACCCCATCTCCACAGACTCACTCACTCACTCTTCTCCTGTGCAGGGAGGAGTTAGGGTGGCGTTTCGGGCAGATCATTATGGCAAATGGAGTTTGCAGCAGGACTAACAGGGTCACCTTCAGGGTCCTGGATGAAGTTCATTCTTTCAGGGCCACAGAAGCGTAGAAAACTCTTTAGTCATAAGTTGGTGGGGGTGCCAAGAGGAAAGGCACAGCAGAGAATGCTAAGAGCCTAAGGATGTGACTGGAGAATCTCCTGAAGTTATAGATCCTGCAGGCAGGGCTGGCTTCAGGGAAGTGCAACCTGTGCAGTCGCACTGGTCCACATGCTTGGAAGAGGCCCCTTATTTTCACTTTGCACTGAGTCCTCAAGTTACATGACTGGTCAGTCCTACCCCATAAGGCATGGATTGCAAAGGAGAACAAAGAATCCACGGAGGTGATCGACTTTGAGGTGAAGCTGGGAGAGGAAGATGATGGTGCCATCAACAGAAAAAGGTCAGCCAAAGAGCTACATTTCGGTGGAAGAAAATGTTAAATTTGGATGTGGCCCCATTGTGTTAGCTTTCCCCAAGCTCACAGGGAGGCAGTGCCTTCTGTCTCCCAGGTGGAGGCCTGTGTAAACACACACACCTGGGGACGGGTTTGTATCAGACATGTCTCATACATGGCTTCAGTTCTCTGGGGACCTCTTTCTTCAGCTACTGAGGCAGCAACCAGTTCTATGCGAGCTCCGATTGCCTTTCTCAGCACCTGTCCCATCCCGGACTCCCCTTGTATCCTGTTCCTTTCTGACAGCATGGTGTGGGCTGTCCTAGGAGCCTGCTCTAGAACCCTGCACATGCAGCCTGGAAGCATGGGGAAGTTAATAGCAGTGGAGCCACCCTTGACCTCAGGGGTCAGTAGCTGATTGATGGTTAAATTCTTTCCCCTTTTGTTCCCTGGGCAAAAAAAAGTTCCCCTAGTTTTACAGGATTGAGCACTGGGTGCCTGTAGCCACGGCCAATTCCAAACAGCACGTCTTTGAGTTGTCTTTTTCTCCTTCCCTGCTGCTCCCTGAGGACACACCTGTAAATAAACTTGTGCCAGGGAGACTCTACAATGATGCCCAATCACCCCTTTCTCCTGAAATTCATTGTGCAATTCTCTCCCCTTGGGTATGGGCTCAGCTACTTGCCTTTAACCAATAGAATATGGAAAAAGTAATGGGATGTCCCTTCTGTGATTAAGTTACAAGAGAGAATAACTTCTGTCATGTTACAGAGTCTTTCTATTGCCTTCTTGGCTGGCAGGCTTTGATGACTCAGGCTGCCATACTGAAGATGCCCACATGGCCAGGAGCTGGGACCTTTATTCTAACAACCCTCAAGCAGCTGAATCCTGCCAATAATCATGTGAGCTTGGATGTGGGTCCTTCCCTACTTGAACCTTCAGATGAGACCCCAGCCCCAGCTGATACTTTGACTGCAGCTTTGTGAGAGACCCTGAGACAGAGGACCGAGATGAGCCATGCCTTGGCTGCTGGCCCACAAAAACTGTGAGATCAAAATGATGTGTTGTTTTAAGCCATTAACTGTGTGGTAACTTGTCAAACAGTGTATTAGGCCATTTGTGTTGCTACAAAGGAATACCCGAGGCTGAGTAGTTTATTAAGAAAAGAGGTTTAATTGGCTTATGGTTCTGCAGGCAATATGAGAAGCATGGTGCCAATATCTGCTTGGCTTCTGGTGTGGCCTCAAGAAGCTTACAATCACAGCGGAAGGTGACAGGGAGCCAGCATGTTACATGGCAAGAACAGGAACAAGAGAGAGGAGAGGGAGCCAGGTTCTTTTAAACAGCCAGCTCTCCAGTGAATCAGCAGAGCAAGAACTCACGCATTGCCATAGGGAGGGCACCAAGGCATTCATGAGGGACCCACTCCCATGACCTAAATACCCCCACAAGGCCCAGCTTCCAACATGGGGATTACATTTTAAGATGAAACTTGGAGGGGACAAAACATCCAAGCCATATTCCATAGCAACAGGTAACCAATACACCACATGTACCAAAGCCTTGGTCCAAGGCCCTGTCTTCATAGAGCCCAGGCTGTCCTGCGGTCTGCACTGAGCTCACCCTCCAGGAGGCATACTAGAGATCTTTGCACCTCCTTCTCCTCTTACCCACAGGACAGATATCTTGGCCAGTCTTTCTGAATGCCCAGCTGTCCGAGGATGCCTTTCTTTGCTTTTCCCCTCTGTATGGGGGCTGGAGGCAGGTGAACCCCTTGATGAACAGGGTCTCTCTCCTGGGTTTTGCCCAGTTGCAGTTCACACCCCCTTCCCCATGCTTTGTGCCTGTCTCCCAGTTGCTGGGTGGTCAGGGGAGACTCTGCAGAAGGGGCAGGTGCCTGTGCCTCTGGATGGTTCCACTGAAGAACTGATGTAAGGGATGACGTGTGGGGACTGTAGGGCTTCCAGGATCAGGAAGCGGGTGATGGAAGCACCTAGGCAATATGGCCCCAAGCTCCTGAAGACCACCTTCTCCCGTCTCCCTCCTCTCAGCCCCAAAACAACAGACAAGCAAACCTACCCTGAAACAGTGTCGTCACTGCACGAGGCACTGTGCCCATGCAATATCCCATCCGGTGCCAGCCTTGGAGGGAGGTGTCTTCATGCCCCTTTAACAGATGGGAAAGGCAGCATGGTAAGTGACTGCTGGGAAGTCACAGGGCAGCATTCGGCCCAGGTCTGTCACACTCCAAAGTCTGCGAGCTCTTCAGATTCCACTTGGAAGGCTCCTCCCCTTGGCCTAATGTCTCAGGCACACAGCAGCCAACTCAAGACGAGGGTCCCTATTTGGGGAGTCTGGATCCGTGTTTCGCAGTGTGGTCAGTCCATGGGCCAATCGCATCAGCATCAGTGTCTCCTGGGGTCTTGCCAGCAACCACAGATCCCCAGGCTCACCCCAGACCTGCTGTCTCAGCCAGCTAGGGCTGCTGTAACTACAGACCACAGACTGGGGCTTAAACAACAGGCATTGATTTTCTCATTGTTCTGGAGGCTGAAAGCCTGAGATCAGGGAGCCAGCATGGTCGGGGGTTGGGGATGCTCTCTTCCAAGGTTGTAGAGGGCTGCCTTCTCAATATGTCCTCACATGGTGGGGTGGGGTGGGATGGGGAGGGAGAGAGAGAGAGAAGGGGAAAAAGAAGGGGAGAGAGAAATAAGGAGAGAGAGAGAGGGACAGAGAGAGAGGAAGAGAAAGAGAGGGGGAGAGGCCGGGCGTGGTGGCTCATGGCTGTAATCCCAGCACTTTGGGAGGCTGAGGAGGACAGATTGCCTGAGCTCAGGAGTTCGAGACCAGCCTGGGCAACATAGTGAAACCCCATCTCTACAAAAAAGAATATATATGTATACACATATATAAAAACACAAACATTAGCCGGGCATGGTGGTGCATGCCTGTAATCCCAGCTTCTCAGGAGGCTGAAGCAGGAGAATCACTTGAACCCGGGAGGCCAAGGCTGCAGTGAGCCGAGATCGTGCCACTGCACTCCAGCCTGGGTGACAGAATGAGACTCCTTCCCATCCAAAAAAAAAAGAAAGAGGGAGAGAGAGAGAGAGAAAGAGGGAGAGAGAGAAAGGGAGAGAGAGGGAGAAAGGGAAAGGGAGAAAGACGGAGACAGAAGGAGAGAGAGAAAGGGGAGGGAGAGAGAAAGAGGGAGAGTGAGAGAAAAGGAGAGAAAGAGGGAGAGGGAGAAAGAGGGAGAGAGTGAGACAGAGAAAGAGGGAAAAAGAGGGAAAGGGAGAAAGAGGGAAACAAAGGGAGACAGGGAGAGAGAGAAAGAGGGAGAGCAGGTTCTCTGGTTTATCTTATGAGAGCACTGATCTCGTTATGAGGGCCTGGCTTTCATGACTTTAACTCATTATCCCCCCAAAAACTCCACCTCCAAATACCAGCACACTGGGGGCCAGGATGCAACATATGAATCTGGGGGGGGGACACACACATTCAGTTCGTAACAGCCACTGAGTCAGTGGTGATTCTGATGTACCCCAGCGTTTGAGAGCCACGGGAGAGTCTGTATGGAGGTTGTGGGATCTGATTGTTCCAACTGTGTCCATGCATGTCCTTGGGCTGTTCTTGAGGAAAGTTTCGTAGACAAGGAGAAAGTGTCAACATGTTTACAGAGTGCTTTGAGCTGCTGGGCACCCCAGATGCTGTCTCAGCATTTCCCAGATGGCAGGCCTTGAAATCAGTGTCCCAAACCAAGTAGGGGGCTGCTTGTGACTAATTATTGCTGGAAGAGAGATGGCTGGTAATATTCTTGCGCATCATCAGCCTTTGCAGGGAGAATGTGTGTTGGTTTGACTCAAAAAGACTGAACTGCAGTAGGAGAGACTGAAGTTAGACACCTTGAAGAACTTCCAGGCTGTTACGTATCTTACTAATTTTTCGAGTCAAAAAGGAGTAGGTAAAGGCAGCCAGGTCTGGAAGCCAGGGTCACACAAATGGCTACGTTGGATCTTTCTTAGCAGCTGGACATGTACTTCAGCAAACTAACCTCATAAGCATTCATTACGTGTGTGGCTGGGACGCTAACAGCCTTCGTTCAACATCACTTTGCTCTCTGTCTTAGCAAGAAGGAAACACATAAAATAAATAAAGGGAAGGAAGAGATTTCATGTTTTTCTAATAGAACGGGTGGGCCGGGGGGTGGAAAATGATTTCAGCCCAGCACTTCCAAGCTGCTGTCATAGCCATCCCTCCCCTCAAAGCAGCAAGAACCGCAAAGCCAAATTCAATAAAGATGAAGAACAGCATGTGTGAGCTGCTCTGGAATGAGCCCGTCATTCCCAGTGAGGCCCGAGGGGAGAGCAAGATGATGGGCTCCTGGAGTTCCACCACCGTTTTGAGATGGTGGCCTCTTCTGGCTCTGGAGATGGAAAGGCAGCAACAATCAGAGGTGCGGGCTGTCATGGGGCTGGGCCTCAGAGGCTCTCGGAGCAGCCAGGGTTGTGACTGGTGTCAATCAGGGCGGACGGTCTCCAGGTCAAGCTGCTGCAGCTCTGCTACCTTGGAGTGGCAGGTGGGAGCGAGAGAGGGAAGGCAGGAGGATGGGAAGCTGCTTTTCGGAGGCCTCGGGTTCTTGATCTGCTTTAGCTCGGAGCAGCTGTTTGCTCCCGGGCTGGTTGCCGCTCCTCTGCAAGCCTCTTATTTCCTTATCTGTAACAGGCAGGGGTGGGACAGACTGGTGGTTCTTCAACCTGGCAGGGCTGGGGTCCCAGCATTGCTACTGTTAAAAGGTTCCCAGAACATTCTCATGCTTTGGGCTGAGGACCACTGGCTTGGAGTCTGCACGGCTGAGCCTGGGGCCTCAGTGATCGCTAAAGACTCTCCAAACGAGGATACAAAACCATACTGCAACACCCTAGCCTGTCCCTCACCAGGGCTCCCGGGATCTCTCCACCAGGAACAACAGAGGGCGCTTGGAATCCCTGTAAGTGGGGTCATGCTGGCACCCCTCGACAGCCATGGAGAGGTGGTTATCAGAGTTTGCAGGGTTCCCTGGCCCGGCACTGGAACGCAATGCGCAAGTCTCGGAAGGACTTCTGATAGATCACTGCTTCTCTCTCTCTCCGGTGCCCTGGGGAAGGGAGATCAGGATTATGCAAGGACTGCGGGGAACCAGGCAGGTCCCAGCCCGGGTTCCTGTCGCTCAGGGGTCTGCAGCATCAGCACTGAGCTTCTCCAGGCCTGTTTACCCATCTGTGAAATGCAGATGAGAATCCTACCTGCCTCACAGGTGAGGGTGAATGACAGCAGTGCCTGGTGCATGGAAATGAAGCCCACTGTCCGTGTTACTGGCTTTCTGATTAAATGATGCCTTTCTGGAGGGCAGGGCTGGCCAGTGCTGGGCTGAGCTTGCACACCCGGCAAGCCGGAGAGCAGGCTGTCCACACACATCGTTGAATGTATGGAAAGAAAGACGGGAGGGGAGCAGGGAAGAAGAGATAAAGCGGGGTGGTGCTTACTACTTCTAGAACGTGACCAGCAGTAGAATATGCCCAGGAAGCTTTGAGGTGGCCCCTGCAGGGATGTGGCCCCACCGAGTGGGCCTAGACACAAGTGAAGATGGAGGAGGAGGAGGACAAGGAGGGCTGACAAGGGGACCTCCCTCCTTCCATCTCCTAAAAACCAAATCTTTGCCCCAACAAGTGGAATTCAACATGGAACACCATGGGTACCCCAAGGGTTGGTGTCAGAGCTCAGCTAGTTTTACAAGCTCGAAAACAACAACTCAGGCTGGGCGTGGTGCCTCAGGCCTGTAATCCCAGCACTTTGGGAGGCAGAGGTGGGAGGATTGCTTGAGTCCAGGAGTTCAAGACCAGCCTGGCCAACATAGTGAGACCCTTCACTATGTCTCTTCCAAAAAAAACAAAAATTATCCAGGTGTGGTGGCGCGTGCCTGTGGTCCCAGCTGCTCTTGAGGCTGAGGTGGGAGGGTCATTTGAGCCCCAGGACTTCAAGGTAGCAGTGAGCTGTGATCATGCCATGGCACTCCAGCCTGGGCGACAGGGCGAGACCCTGCCTCAAAAAAAAAAAAAAATGACAAACATTTTACTTGTTTTTTTTTCTTTCGCTGTCACATCAAAGCTATTTTGTTAGTATATGTTCAAAAAATGTTTTTTAATCTCTGAAATTATAGCTTCTCTAAGTGTTCTTGTTGTCGTAAATTACATTGTGATTCCCAAGCCAATTTTTGTTGTTGTTGTCATTTTTTGCTGGAGTCAATTAAAAAATTCCCCCCAGGGGCCTCTGCGGTGGAGTTCTGCCTGCTCATCCTACACCCCTGCAGTGATGTCCCGGCCCTGCCTCTGTTTTTTCCCACATCTTGTTTCCAGTAACCTGCAGGTGCACCAGCCTCATTTTCCTGTTCCTCCACTGGGGAAGGCTGTGATGTCTCTGCCCTCAGCCTGTGGGGAGGGCAGGGCCCTCCAAGCAAACCCAAATCCATGCTCCCTGGGAGAAGCGTGAACCCCACAGGCCCTTTGCTCTCGCGGGGCCCTAGGGCTTCCCCAGCCCGGGCAGAACTCTGGGCTCCACCAACCCCCCTGGCTGCTCCAACCTGTTGGCCTCACTAATTGCCCAGCACAGGGCAGCTCTCTACTCGTCACCCAGCCTCCCCAGCTAATGACTCATCCTCCCATTGCCATTTGTTTGTGCTGGTTTCGGACAGACTAATGGTTTTAATGGCACATAATCATTTTTCAGAAGTCATTTGATGCCACTAATCATCTCGGTAATATGCTGCGATGGAACGCAAAATGACATTTGGAATAGGACAAATGGCAGCGTGATTCCCGGCTTTCCCAACTCTGATCTATATTTTGCCACGTCCTGGGCTGCGAATGCCACCAGATGCTGTTAATAAGCAACTGCTTTAAGGATATTTTCCCCCTTTGGTGGTTGGAAGGGACGTGAGGGCACCCATTAAAGATGGTTCCTTCTGGAAGCGCCCGTGGGCAGGTGGGAGAAGGGGAGGGGATGTGGCCCTGGGGAGCCTCCCCTCCTTGCAGGGGTAAAGGCCTGGCAGGGGTTCATTTTGCCCAGGTGGGATGTGAGTTTCCAATGAGAAGATCAGGATGAAAGAGGAGAGAGTGGGAAGCCAGAGAAGGAGTGAGAATTGCTGACCAGGGAGGCTTTCAGCCACTTCCCCAGAGCCAGAAGGTTCTTCAGAGAAATGATTGTACCTGAGAGAGGTGGAGATGGGGCTCCGAGGAGACAGGTGGGGAGGGCAGAGGCGTCTTGCAGAAACCTGCTGGCCTTCTCCTTATCTGCCAAGGCCTTGGGTCACAGGGAGGGTCAGGGTCAGTGTATGGAGCCTTCGAGGGCTTTGTGGCTGCAGTAAACTCAGGAGAGACTCGATGTGAGTAGATGGGCATGTATGACACGCGTCTTGCCTACAGAGCCTCCTCAGGCTGGGGAAACTGGACTCGAGCTGTCCCTCCATTAAAATGGGCACGCGAGGCTCTTGGAAGATCTGAAAGTCAGCCACCTGCTACCTGGAGTTTCTGAGACAGTTAGTTCCATTCAGTTGCAAAGTATAAAATCAAGGATCCCCTCCTGGTCCTGAGTCTTAGGGGCCTCCAAATTGCTGTGATCAGATTTTCTCACTGACTGACTGTCCTTATGACAAAGCTTTTAACAATGATTTAAATGTGATCACATTATACCTACTGCCCGCCAGAGACTTGGTGCTCAATAAAATGCAGCAATTACAATAAATAATAATGACAGGGCAGGCTGGACACCTCTTCGGGAGACCCGTGGACAGGGCAGAGGGCAGGGACCGTGACAGCTGCCTCACCACAGCAAACGAATCCTGGCAAGCAGCCCGTTGTCATCCTCTGGGTCCTACCCACATGAAGCGGGGGATGTCCAGAGAGGAGGGCTGAGCTCGTTCCAGCATTTTCTTCCCTGTTCCTCCCTTTTTGGGCCTCCAGGGAGGATGTGAGCATAGGAAGTCGCCAGTGGTGATTCTCCCTGGGCACTCTCAGGCCAAGGGGAGCTGGGGAGGGTTTCAGAGTCGGTGGCCAGGGGCCCAGGGGGCAGCACAGTGGAGAGGTTAGGCTGGAGATGTCAGAGGGACATGGATCTTAGCCCTGGCTCTGTCACTTAGTGAGTGTGCAACACTGGGCAATAAGCCACTCTGGGTCCCACGTGCTCATTTATAAAGGGATGTGAATGACACCTCCCTTGCAGGCTCACTGTGGAGATTAAATAAGAAATGCGAGGGAAATGCTGAGCACCAAGTAGACCCTCATGCAACATTAATTATTACAGTTGCTGCTCTGGGCAGGTCTGGTGCCCCGCTGGACTCAGAGAGCCCCTTAGCAGGGGGACAAGAAGCAAAACTGACACAGGTGAGTGAACCCGACAGGAGCTTGCAGGGACAAGGTGGGCAGTCTCCACGGGGGTCCGCAATGCCTTTTCCTCCTCCAGTGCTGCATCCCCGGGCTGTGCCCAATCCCCTGTACATATCACATCAAGATGATGCACAGAGATTCAGTTGAGAGCCATCTGTTAACAAATGGCAAAGCCCCTGGCGTCCTTGCCGACGTTTAATAATTTAGCGTAAGCTGCAGGATGAGGGCCGACTGGAGCTCTGACATCCATCTTAATAAAGTCCTTCTCCATCTCTCCTCAAGCTCAGGCCTGAGGGGCCAGGGGCTCCACCAAAACCTGCAGGTCCCCAGTCACCTCAGCCTCCCACTTGCAGGTGGGCAGAGATGCGGGGGTGGAGAAAGCAATTAATCCAGACACACACAAAGCCTGGTGCTCAGAGAGTTCCAGATGCACATGGAGCTGCCAGCAGGGACAGCTGTCCTGCAGCTTGGGCAGGAATGAAGTCAGAGTCTCCAAGAGGGTCCATTCTCACCAGGGGGTCCCGGCCACGGCATGGCCTGCCCTGCTTTCAGGCCAGAACCAGGAGGCCTCTTTTGCTAAAGTCAGAAGAGCAGCAGCAATAGCTACTTTTGATTGGCGGTTATTCCATGCCGGGCATTAGGCTGAGGTCTAAAATGATCTCATGTAATCCTCCCCCAGACCCTGAGAGAGAAGTATCCATATCCTTGTCGTATAGACAAGGAAACCGAGTCTATGAAAAGTAAAGTAACTTGTGCAGCTAACAGGTGGTAGAATGGGGGTTCGGCACTGGAACCCCAAATTCCTGCTCTTCTCCAGCTGGTAAGCTTAAGATTTTTCTCTGTTTACTAAGAAACTCAGAAAGGATTGCCTCTAGGGGTTTCTCTTTCTCTCCCTCCCTCTCCCCCTCTCTCCTTGTCTTTCTCTTTCCCTTCTTCCTTTCATTCATTCATTATTGCTCAAAAGCTGCTTATTAAACCAGGCACTTGGCTAGGAGCTGAGAACAAATACAAACTGTGCACTTTCCTGAGGAGCCTTCAGAAGCCCAGTGGACTGCTCTACCGGGGGCCTCTCAGGAGGAAATGAGCCAGAGCCTTCTCCATCCCCACCCTGAAAGCCTCTATTTAGGGATTCCCTCTTATGATCTAGGCCAAAAACGCTGGAGCCCACACCCCTAGGCAGAGCTGTGGGACAACAGCCACTGCTGCCTCTTCCCCCTGGAAATCTATACATCCAGCAAATTGTTGCTTACACTGTATCGGTCAGAGGATGACCCCAGGCGTGTGTATGGCTGATAATGGCAGGCCATGAAGTGGGTGCCATCTTCCCCAGCAGGTTGGTGAGCCTCAGGGCCATGTGCCTGGAACAGGGATGGAAAAAGCCAGGAAGTGATGCCTAGACCACTTCCTCCTCCCGACCCCTGCTACTCCCCCCACCATCCTCTCTGTGGTTTTGTGGCCCAAGTCCAAACGACAGAGACTTGGTGTTGGAGGGCAGCAAGCCTCAGGGATCGCTATATTTACTTGCAGGCAGTGGCTGGCATGTCTGTCTAGTGAAACCTGCAATTTCATTGTTTTCAGAGCACAAATGTGCTGAGAAAACACGTCTCCGATCGCCTTTCTTGCGCTTCCTGCTGCCGATTCCCCAGGGTCTTACAGAAGGCTGAGTCTTTTCTCTCCCTACACATACCAGGAGGATCACCTTATGTGGGCCACACACTCACCAAATGTGGCGTCTTCAGCCTCAGGTACAAGAAAGTCCAGTGGGCTCACCCTGCAGGGCAGGTGGAAGCACAGTCCTCGACTGTAACCCCCTCTGTGCAGGGCTGTATGTGCTTCCCCATTGCACCCAGCACTGTGCCCTGTCCTGCGAAAGGGCTCCAGGAGATGCTTGTCCAACGAATGAATGATGGAGTGGATGGCCTCTCCATGGTGCTCGTGGCTGTCCCTGGCCCATCCCTTCTTTTTCTAGCTGCATGGCCCTATTCTTACCTCCAAAATGGAGATAGAGGAGTACCTACTGGCTGGGTGTGGTGGCTCATGCCCGTAATCCCAGCACTTTGGGAGGCTGAGGCCGGCAGATCACCAGAGGCTGGGAGTTCAAGACCAGTCTGACCAACATGGTGAAACCCCGTCTCTACTAAAAATACAAAAAATTAACTGGGCATGGTGGCGCATGCCTGGCATCCCAGCTACTCAGGAGGCTGAGGCAAGAGGATCACTTGAACCTGGGAGGCGGAGGTTTCAGTGAGCCGAGATCATGCCATTGCACTCCAGCCTGGGCGACAAGAGCAAAACTCCATCTCAAAAAAAAAAAAAAAAAGGAGTACTTACCTCACAGTTTTTCCTGCAGATTAATTGAAATAATGTATGTTCAAGTACCTGGCTCAGGGTAGGTGGGTGCTCAGTGAACACCCTTGGGCCTCATCCATAGCTTGTGGTTTGTCTATACAGTGAACTTCTTTTTTTTTTGAGATGGTGTTTCACTCTTGTCACCCAGGCTGGAGTGCAATGGTGTGATCTCGGCTCACTGCAACCTCTGCCTCCCAAGTTCAAGCGATTCTCCTGCCTCAGCCTCCCGAGTAGCTGGGATTACAGGTGCCCACCACCATGCCCAGCTAATTTTTTGTATTTTTAGTAGAGAGGGGGTTTCACCATGTTGGCCAGGCTGGTCTCGAACTCCTGACCTCAAGTTATCCGCCCGCCTTGGCTTCCCAAAGTGTTGAGATTACAGGCGTGATCCACCACACCCGGCCCATACAGTGAACTTCTACTCAGCACCAAAACAGAACCAACTACTGATGCACAAAAGTGCCTGGATCCATCTTAAATGCAGGTGATTAAGTGAAAGACGCTGGAATCAAAGGGCTTCCCAGTGTATATGACATGATGGCAAAGGCCAAACTATAGGGAAAGAAAACAGATCAGTGGTGGCCAGGGGCTGGGAGTGGGAGGAGAGGTTGACCATAGAAGGTGCAAGGCAACTCTCTGGGGTGACAGAACTGTTCTGTGTCTTGCCTGTCTTGGTGGCCACACAACTGTATGCACTTGTGAAAACTCTCGGAGCCATTCCCTTTTAGAAAGCGTGAGTTTTACTGTATGGAACTTCTACTTTAATTAAAAGAAATGAAAAAATCTATGGACCTGAAACAATGAAAAATCCAAAAGAGCCTCTCTGGCCTTTGGAAGACTTCTGTGGTTGGCTGCGTCTTGATTTCTCTCATCATCTTTGGCTCAGAAGGCCACGGGCGGTGTTGGTATTTCCTGCTGATGGGAAGATGGAGTCCAGGACATGGCTTGGCTCAGATGAATACTTCTCCGGGGAAACATTGCCAAAGTGGAAAATTCACACCTGGATACCTGAGAGTTGGCTAATGAGGGCCCAGTGGTTCATGTCCGGGAAATAACTAATGGTAGCAGGATCATTGGGTTAAAAAAGCCTGCGTCCGTTAGGGAGAGGGGCAGCGTGCAGCAGAGGACACGGAGCTAATGTGGAGTGTGTGTTGGGGAGGGTGGTGAGTTCCCGGCCTGATGAATGGCTTCAGTCAAGTGGCAAACCCAAGAGCATAAAATTGCCTCCTGCAATAGGTCAGTTTCGGTTCCAGCAGGCGGCAAAGGTCCTGTTAGTGCCTCCGTCATTAAGCAATGTAGACACAGGTAATTTGCTTCACTCTTCAGATGCAAAGTTAAATGGCTCATCATTATCTTATTAATGAAATCAGAGGCTGAAAATGAAGCTGCACTAGCATTTCTCCACACCAGCACTTTCTGGAGGGGTCAGATGTTCATGGCCTCTGCGGTTGACTTCCTTGACACTTTCGCTGCCATTCGAAGAGCTCATTTGTTTGCTCTCGGTCTCCCTGGGCCTCTGGGCAGGCAGTGGCATTCGGAGCCTGGAGGCAGAAGCTCTGTTGCTGCTGAGTCAGTGAGGCTTCTTCTAAATCCCAGCCACTGGGTGGCTGCCTCGGCGCCTGGGCTGGGCTCCGGAAAGAGCCCTTTTTGCCTCATAGGACTAGTTGGTTTTGGAGGCATGAAGTTTAGGTTTGGCTAAAGAGAAGAGGGGCCACGTGTTGTGGGCGTCCTTTGCATGCTGCACACTGCTGCACAATTCACAGGTGTCATGTGAACCTTCTCATGGCAACCTTCCAACGCTGGCAGTATTCCTCTCTTGACTTGATAGCTGTGCCCGTTAGGGCTTGGAAAGGGGGTGTGCTCTGCTGCAAGTAACAACATACAGCTAGAACGGACTTAAATCATTTATTTCCTCACACAAGACTCTGGAGGCGAGTGCTCTGGGGTGGCTTCAGCAGTGTGGTGATGCCAGGGCTCTGGCCGGCCTCTTTGCAGTTTTCTCAGTCTTCCCTTTGCATTAAAAGATAGCAACAAGCCAGGTGCGGTGGCTCACACCTGTAATCCCAGCACTTTGGGAGGCTGAGGCAGGTGGATCATGAGGTCAAGAGTTTGAGACCAGCCTGGCCAAGATGGTGAAACCCCATCTCTGCTGAAAATACAAAAACTAGCCAGACATGGTGGCATGTGCCTGTAATCCCAGCTATTTGGGAGGCTGAGGCAAAGAATTGCTTGAACCTGGGAGGTGGAGGTTGCAGTGAGCCGAGATCGTGCCACTCCAGCCTGGGCGACAGAGCGAGATCCGTCTCAAAAAAAAAAAAAAAAGATGGCGGCAGCAGCCCCAAGCCTCTGTCTTCACCCATCCATGTGCACAGATAGCCAGGGGCAGCAAGGGCTGCCCCTTGCCTCCCTTCTCTCACTCTCTCCCTCGCTCTTTTAAATGAGGCAGGACAGTTCATTTCTGTAGACTTTCAACAGATTCCTTGGGTCTCATGGACCAGACTGGCCACATACTCATTCCCAGCCAAAAGGGGGCAGAGATGTGAGTCCCAGTCAAGTGGCAAACCCAAGGGCCTCTTCTTACGTCTTTTAGGGGATGAAGTTATTGGACCTTCCTTAATATTCACAGAGCATTTCCTTGCCTATATTTCTGGGCTTTACCTCCAGGTCAGATGCAATTGCCGAAGTCCTCACCGTCAGACTCACGGGGGTATCACTGAGCATGCGTGGCACTAAAGGCTGAGCCATCTCAGAGGCAGGGCTGTTGCTGAGCTTTAAGCAGCTTTGAGGAAGGAGAGGGAAGCAGATGGGACCAGTGAAAAACTCAGAAAATAAAAGGGGGGCCGGGCATGGTGGCACCTGCAATTCCAGCACTTTGGGAGGCTGAGACAGGCGGATCATGAGGTCAGGAGATCAAGACCATCCTGGCTAACATGGTGAAACCCCGTCTCTACTAAAAATACAAAAAAATTAGCTGGGCATGGTGGGACGTGCCTGTAATCTCAACTACTCAGGAGGCTGAGGCAGGAGAATCACTTGAACCTGGGAGGCAGAGGTTGCAGTGAACCAAGATTGTGCAACTACACTCCAGCCTGGACGACAGAGTAAGACTCCATCTCAAAAAAAAAAAAAAAAAAAAAAAGAAGAAGAAAGAAAGTGAATATTTACTTAGTACCTGCTCTGCCAGGCCAGATTCTTGGCACACCTCTGAGGAAAGCACTTTGGCCCCATTTACAGGTGATGAAACAGAAGCAAAGAGAAACTAAGTAACTTTCCAAAGGCTGCACAGCTGGCAAGGGGTAGAGCTGGAGGACTTGAAGCCATCTACATTAACTCCAACACCCTGGCATCCAGGCAGGCAGCGTGGCCCGATGGTCTGGTCCAGAACTAGGCATGACGGTAGTGTTGGATTCTCACTGTGCCTTAGCTCTCTGCTGAGCCAAGGCCAGCCTCAGTTTCCCCACCTGTGCAGAACTGGCCTGAGACTGTGCCTGATGTTTCCAGCTGTAACTCTTGCTGGCAAGGAGTTCTTCCCTGATACATGAGCAGACCACTTGGGGCTGTGGCTTCTCACTAGGAACCAGGTGGCTAGAATCTTTGGGTCACACGGTGCCGTGCTGCTGGCCTTGGGAATCAGGGCTGGGTACATCTACAGGGTGGGCTGCCTGTATGTGTAGAGAGGTACTGGCCAGAGCCCCAGGGAGTGTGGTCACTCAGGGGCCTTGGAGCAGTCCATTGCTGAAGGCCAGGTGATGCCCCCCATATCTGATGGAGGTCATTGGGAACCCTAGAGCCTGCCAGCAGGCTGTGACCTCTGGGACCCTCCTGGTATCACCCATTTGTCCATGGCTGGGTGCTCTTTGACTTCTGATTCCTGTTGCAGGGTCTTCTTGCTTGGTGAGCCTGGTGGTTGGCCAACAGCTCTGGCATTGTGGGACCCACACCAGCCAGGTTAGCCTCCCATCCGCTGGACATCATGGGAGTACTGAGCATCAGTTCCTCCTTAGTCTTGCAACAGGTGTGTCCTGAATGTGTGGTTATGAAACCTGCAACTATTTCCTGCATGAAAGATTCTTCCTTTTCCTCCCCTGGACTTCCCCCCATCCTTCCTCCCTGCCTCCCCTCCCCAAGAAAAGTGCGGGCAGCTTAGGGAGTGGAGGGAAGGGGTGGCTTTGTCAAACACAGTCTGGCCACATTCTACCTGGAGTAGGCCAGGCCTCTAAGAAGAACATCCAGGGCTCACACCAGTTTCTCATCCTTCTCTTTCCTCTCCCCATCTGAAAGAGAAAAGAGAGGGGACCCTAGAAATCTCAGAAGATTCCAGTCCTGCTTAGGATGATGAGCCAACAAGCCATATGACAGCTATTGTCATGTGACTCATCTCAGCCTCAGGTTTCTGTCCCACTGTGCCACCTGTGAGTCATTCCTGCGAAGCCTCCAGCTCTCCATGGAGAAGGCTTTGGGCTGCCAGCAACTCCCTCACTGAGTCATCTCGCACTGCAAGTGAGGTTTTTCATGACATCCTGCTTTCCACGCAGACTCTCGGAGGGCCCAGAGAGTGAGCTGAGTTGGGCTCATGCAGTTATTTTGGGTGGCTTGAGAGAGGGCTGAAGAGAATAATAAGAACGATAAATCACGTACAGTGGGCACTGCTCACGTGTCAGATACTGGGATTTGTACGGATAACCTCGTCTAATTGTTCTGTCTTATGAGGGAGAGTCTATTACTTAGACCATTTTAGAGATGAGGATGCTGAGACTGGGGGAGGCTAAGTAACCTGCCCAAGCTCCCACAATTAGCCAGGGTGGAGATGGGGTTTGAGCCTCCTTCCTCTGGTAACCACTGCATGGCTTTTTCCACAATACTAGTTGCCTTTTTAAAACATTTCCAACATTCAAAGCAAGCTCTCTGTTTTCAGGATGGAACGGTTCCCAGGGCGCTGGCACTTCCATTGGCAGCAGCAGAAGAACCAAAATAGGACACACCAAATGGATCTAATTTTGCCTGAACCTCGGTCTGCAAGGTTTGGGGGTACACCCTGGGGGAGGATCAGAGCTGGGTCCAGAGGGGCCTTTGCTCTCCCTCCTTGCTCCTTCTACCTTCACCCCATTTGACGAGCTGTGCCATGTCAGGGCTTGGCTCCATAGTGCTGGTTTTAAAAAGGCGCCTCACTCATAGCTATTCAGATTTCAGAAATAAATGCTCTACACCACTGATCAAAACGCCTGGAGTCAACAGAGCCGGTGACATCTTAAGAAATGCACCCGGTACTTAAGGCTTTCTTCTTAATTATACATGTTCAAATCATAGACAGATTTTCTCCTTCTGGTCCTGAATATCGGAGCTGCCAAATCCAATTGAATCATCTTCTTTTAAATGCATTTTGCAGTACGCGTTTCGCCGTTTTCCCAATTTCCATTGTAAACGAGCACCAGAATTGTGCTGAGGGCCCTTTTCTTACAGGCTGCATTATTCAACCAGCAAATGAAGAAAGGAAAGTGCTGATTGCAAAAGAATTAAAAAATGGTCCCGGGCGGCCTCTGGGTTTGGCTAGGGCTTGGGTGCAGCCAGGCCCAGGAACTATCTTTGTTAGGGGGTTTGGATCCTTTTACCCCATGCAGGGACAGAGAGAGGAAGGTGTTTCTCCTAGGAGGGCATGGCCATTCTGAATGAGCCGGCTCTGAGGCTGGCTTCCAGGGCTGGGCAGGCAGGAGAGCCGTGGATGTCTGCAGGCCTGTTGTCATTGTATCACCACTGTCGTCAGCGTACAAGCCACATACTGTAACTTCTGGGGCGTCCTGGTTCAGAAGCCTGGGGAATGTGGCTGTGGATCCCCCGGGGAATGCCTTCTGATGGGCTGTACTCACCATCAGTGCCCTTCTCCACCAGCTGTGCCCACTGGTTCCATCTCCCCTGGGGTGAGAATGGGAGGTGATGGACTCTTAGACTTAGGGTGGTGACAGTAGCTGGTGGTGGAGGAGCAAGCCAGGAACCCAATGCCTGGAAGTCTGCTGAGGTTTGTCTTCCATTTCTCGCTTTCCATTCTCTTTCTGCTCAGGCGGAACTCCATTGTCAGCACACACTGTGGTTCTTTGCCTGTGTGGTGTGGTCTGCGTTCTCCTTTCCAATCACTTTCCACTTGCTGATTTCACTAAAGGCCAAAGCCCAGTGCAGTTATCAGAGCAGAGGTCTTTGGGCCCATTTTACAGAGAAGAATGTGCCTTTGCATCAGACAGGGCTCTGGATCCCAGCTGTCCCCTTAGGCAAACCAATTAACGTCTCTATTCTGCAGGCTGCTAATCTGTAAAGTGGGGGTAGAGACGATGCAGAGATTAAATGGATTCGCCCTTGTAAGGCGCCCAGGGTAGTGCCTGGCAAAGAGTGAGTGCTCAATCAGTGTTAGCTCTTGTCACAAGCTCTTGGGACATCACACAGCGTGGTGGGGGCAGAGCTGAGGGTGGAGCCCAGCCGTCCTGCACTCAGGCAAGGCTCCTCGGCCCCGCATCCATTCACCTGCTCACATGTGCGCACCATTTCTCCTTCTGTTTCGCAGGATCATGATTTGCCATCTGGGCACAAGCTTAGGGAAGCTCTGGGAACAGCTCTACTCCCAGAAAGCTGGGTGAAAATCAACTAGACCCAGCAGGGAAGTCTCCGCGTTGATCAGTGGGGCCTTGCTGGGCTGCCCTCCCAGTCCCCACAGGTGTTCCAAGGAGGGGCCTGAACACCAGGCTCTGGAAAACCTGAGGATGATGTTGCTGGAGTTGGTGCCGGGGCTCGCTCTAGGACAGGCGTGGGCTCCTCCTCTCCACTGGTGAGTGCTGGCTCTTGCCTGCCCTGCTGCAACCTCTCGCCTCCATCCTGTTGTATGTAACCACCCTGAGGAGGCCTGGGCCCCACCCGCCGGCCAGCTCCCTGTCATAGCTGGGCCTTGGAAGCAGATGGTTTGGTGTCCTGTGTCATATCCTCCAGCTGACTTGGAATTTCAGCCCTAGCTGTGGTGGGCAGTGTCCAGGTACACTCACAAGCTCCCACGGCTGGCACCATCGCGTGCTTTCCTTTTATATTCTGGATTTTTCCTCCAGCTGCTGGGGTTGCCACCTGGAGTGCATGGCAGCCCAGAAATGCAGGGGAGCTGACATCCTTGGGGGTGGGAGGTGGTGGATGAATGTCTCAGCCTCCTGATCTTCTGGGGGGCGATTCCGAGGCCCATGCTGCCTGGTTCCCCAGCAGAACTGAGGTCAGTTGCCACAGCAGGGATGCTATTTGATGCACTCTCTGTTGGCTTCTCCTCATCCCTCACTCTTCCTGCTTCTGCACACCTGCTAATGGACATTCTACATTTTTTTTTTTTTTTTTTTTTGAGACAGAATCTCCCTCTGTCGCCCAGGCTGAAGTGCAGTGGTGTGATCTCAGCTCAATGCAACCTCTACCTCCTGGGTTCAAGCCATTTTCCTGGTGCAGCTTCCTGAGTAGCTGGGATTACAGGCTCCTGCCACCACAACAGGCTAATTTTTATATTTTCAGTAGAGAAGGGGTTTCGCCATGTTGGCCAGGCTGGTCTCGAACTCCTGACCTCAGGTGATCTGCCTGCCTCAGCCTCCCAAAGTACTGGGATGACAGGCATAAGCCACCATGCCCGGCCCATTCTATGTTGTTTAATCCACATTTTTTGTTTGCTTGATTCAAGGGCAGAGAAAAGTAAAAGCTGAGACTTTAATAAACTCGAAAAGTTACATAGTAAGTAGCAGAACCAGGAACTTAACTAGCTCTGATTTAGCTCTTTTATATTTAACCACCTCAGGGCAGCACCACTGAACTACTCTACACTTAAGGACCAGGCTGATCCTGCTGGGTCTGAACTGCTACCAAGTTGCCCCCACTGGGTCACTCTCTCCTCACCTCCCCAGCTAAGTAGATGTCAGCCAGGGCTTAGGCTTGAGACATTGGCATGAGTATCTCTTTCTCTACATTTATTATTTAAAAACACATGCACAGTTGCAGAGAGGGAGCAATCGAGCCCTGAGGTTGTGGTTTTTTCAGGGGTATGTGACTTCCATCCCTCCATCCCCCATATCACCTCATCCAGAGCCTTGCACATAGCAGGGTTCGATGTGTCTGTCAAATGATTGAACGTAGTAGTCACAGCTGATCAGAGGGCTGGGGGAGCCCTGTGAAGCACCCCCAAACCTGCCCTGAAAGCAGTGGGCAGGCTCAGCTACATAGTTGGTAGAGCCCAATTTAAAATGGGGCCGGGTGTGGTGGCTCACGCCTGTAATCCCAGGACTTTAGGAGGCCGAGGTGGGAGGATCACTTGAGGTCAGGAATTTGAGACCAGCCTGGCCAACATAGTGAAACCCTGACTCTACTAAAAAAAAATAAAAAAATTAGCTGGGCATGATGGCACACGCCTGAAGTCCCAGCTACCTGGGAGGCTAAGGCGGGAGAATCGCTTGAACCTGGGAGGCAGAGGTTGCAGTAAGCTGAGATTGGGCCACTGCATTCCAGCCTGGGCAATAGAGTGAGACTTGGTCTCAATAAAAACCAACAAACAAAACAAAACAAAAAAACAAAAATAAAAGATAAATAAAATGAAAATGTAGGGATCCTTACTCAAAAAGGAAAAAAAAAGCTTGTTCCTTTCTCTTACTGTCTTTCTCTTCTACCCATCATGATGTTTATATTTGTTGTAAGTTTCCCTCCTTCAGTATGGGGATATCTGTGGGGTGACTGCAGATGCCCACAGATGCTTGGGGCCCCACTTCACAATTTGGTCCATGGGGTACACACCTCCGCAATGACCCTCTGGCACCCCAGTTTGCCACAGGGGGATGGCAGGGCAGCAGCAGTTGCTGGAGGAGGTGGAGTTAGCAGCTGAGAATCATCCCAGGGAGGTGTGGAAACAGAGGGAGGGGCCCCCACCCAGGGGCCCCAAGCCCCCAAGAATGCTCCACTGTCCCATTGACTTCGCTTACTAATCACGAGTTCAAAGATAGATAGATAGATAGTTTTTATTTTGTTTGGTTTTTTTTTTTTTTTTTGAGACAGAGTCTCAATCTGTTGCCCAGGCTGGAGTGCAATGGCAAGATCTCGGCTCACTGCAACCTCCGCCTCCCAGGTTCATGCCATTCACCTGCCTTAGACTCCCGAGTAGCTGGGGCTACAGGCACCCGCCACCACGCCTGGCTTTTTTTTTGTTTTTGTATTTTTTAGTAGAGACGGGTTTTCACCATGTTAGCCAGGATGGTCTCGATCTCCTGACCTTGTGATCCGCCCGCCTCGGCCTCCCAAAGTGCTGGGATTACAGGCGTAAGCCACCGCGCCCGGCCTTTTTTAAAAAAATTTTTTTTTGAGGCGGAGTTTCGTTCTTGTTGCCCAGGCTGGTGTGCAGTGGCACAATCTCAGCTCACTGCAACCTCTGCCTCCCGCACTCAAGCTATTCTCCTGCCTCAGCCTCCTTAGCAGCTGGGATTACAGGCACGCGCCACCATGCCTGGCTAATTTTTGTATTTTTAGTAGAGACAGGGTTTTGCCATGTTGGCCAGGCCGGTCTCGAACTCCTGACCCCAGGTGATCTGCTCGCCTCAGCCTTTCAAAGTGCTGGGATTACAGGTGTGAGCCACCGTGCCCGGCCTTAAAGATAAAATTATCAAGTTTTAAGAAGGTGACTTCAGAGGATCAAACTCCAAGCATGGGGCCCCCTCTGACTGCAGACCCTGGGTGACACTGCATTGGTCACATGATCAGGAAGCCGGCCTGGGCAATGAGTCTTGGAGCGTGGATACTTTAGGAGGTGTGTGTGTGTGTGTGTGTGTGTGTGTCACTCTTTCTCCCTGGCTACTTGGCAGTTGGCATTTCTTTGCACACACAAGATTCCCTGGGTTACTCCCACTGGCTCAGTGCCCAGGAGATTCAGTCTTCTGGTCTATGGAGGTGCAGCTATCTCTAGGCAACACACACACATCCTCCCAGCCCCTAGCGTGGGAACTCAGGAAGGCCCCTCCCTCCCGAGCCCTGCCCAGGCCCCTGGGCTCAGAGCTGCCTGATGCTCTCTGGCATTTACACTGTGTGGGGATGGGTAGATAAAGGTGCTAATAAGAGTGCTAATTAATTGCAGCAAGCTTTATAGCGTTGCTGTTTTAATGCTGAAAGAGAAAGGCATTTACGGTTTTCTCCCTTCCGCCCGCTCTTCTGTACAGTTATTTCATCTGCCGTAGAGAATATGCAGATCACTAATAATTATTGAATCTGATCATCATTGCCTCTGAGCTCCAAGGAGCATGCACAGCACATTCTTGACTCCTGCCCTCGGTCACAGAGTTCAGGCATGGACGGGAGGCAGAGGAGGGACGATGACCCGCTTTCTCGGGGGATCAGAGAAGACTTGATGTTCCTATTCTGACCTCTTGCCTTTTACTAGAAAGAAGATCTTGCTCCTGCTTTCCTGTGCATAGCTGTATATAAGACTTCCAGGGTCGGCCAGGTGTGGTGGCTCACGCCTATAATCCCAGAACTTTGGGAGGCCGAGGTGGGTGGATCACTTGAGGCCAGGAGTTTGAGACCAGCCCGGCCAACATGATGAAACTCTGTCTCTACTAAAAATATAAAACTTAGCTGGGTGTGGTGGTACGCACCTGTAATCCCAGCTACTCGGAAGGCTGAGACAGGAGAGTTGCTTAAATTCGGGAGGCTGAGGTTGCAGTGAGCTGAGATGGCAACACTGCACTCCAGCCTGGGCTACAGAGCAAGAATCCATCTCAACCAAAAAAAGAAAAAAAATACTTCCAGGGTCACTTTGTGTATGTATTGGAGGTGGGAAATCGCCTATGAAAATATCTATTAGATCTGCTTGCATATCTAAAAGCTTATTCTAGAGAGACTCGAGTTCTGTTTCAGGTGTAGTTAATGACCAAGCCCAGGGCCCAGGTGAAGAAAATCCAGGTACACTCTTGGGGAGGAGAGAACAGGGTCAAAGGTAAGCATAGGCTGCCTTTTGATTTAGTGAGGGCCCTGCAGGAAGCAGCTGGCACATTCAAAGGCTTAACAGAAAAGTTTAGTAAGAGGATGATTTTAGAAGTCTAGGGAGGCATATTAGCCATGTCCTAGCTTCTCTACACTTAGTGCTTTAATATCAGCCCTGCACCCATAGGCTGCACATGTCTGAGCAACTGGATGATGCTCGAGTCGTTTTTTTTGTTTTTTTTGTTTTTTTTTTGAGACGGAGTCTAGCTCTGTCTCCAGGGTGGAGTGCAGTGGCACGATCTCGGCTCACTGCAACCTCTGCCTCCTGGGTTCAAATGATTCTCCTGCCTCAGCCTCCTGAGTAGCTGGGACTACAGGCATGCACCACCACACCCAGCTAATTTTTTTGTGTTTTTAGTAGAGATGAGGTTTCACCATGTTGGCCAGGATGGTCTTGAACTCCTGACCTCATGATCCGCCCACCTCAGCCTCCCAAAGCGCTGGGATTACAGGTGTGAGCCACCGCGCCCAGCCATTGCCAGAATCCTCTTGCTTCAGACTCCTGCATTCCTCTTTCCCTCCCGCACCCACTTCCTCGGGAGGAATCTTCTTGGGAGGCAGTATATGAACCTTTCAAATACAAACCAACTGATCCAGAGTCTACGCCCTCAATTCCATCCCTTGCTGGGCTCTCACACTCTGACCACATCTGCCTGCACTAAACACCCCAGGGCTGGGTGCCAGACATCTAGGGATGGCTCCGATGCCTCAGAGTCCGCTGAAATTACTCACACTCACCAATGCTACACCTGCCCACTGTGCCTTGCTCATTTCATCCCAAGGAACCACAGTGAAGGCTCTTGCCCATGGTTGTCGCCTTCCTCTGTCTCAAAACCAAGCCTGTTGCCTTTCCGTGTGGCCCCTGTGAGTACCATAGACAGCCTTTTCAATGGCAGTTGTCTGCTGATCGGTTGACCTTGCAGCACCTAAGTAGTAAAACCCATTCGACAGCAGGGCTGAGGGAAACGAGGAGAATGAGACATCCAGGGAGTAGCTGTTGTGCTGAATCCCTATTAATTCCAATGGGGATGGCACCAGGTTCAGGAGACCAAAGAAGAGACCCAGAGCCAGCAGATGAGACATGGGGCTTTGCTGGGGGCTTACATGCAGGGGAGGGTTCAGCGGCAGTGAGCCCAACAGGATGAAGCACAGCTCCGTGGCTGTGGGCTGGGTGGGAGAACCATCACTGGTTACAAAAGCATGCAGTTTACATGGCATTTTTACTTAGCACCCTCCCCTAACCATCTCCACCTGGGCACCTTCACTTAACCCAAAACCATGGGCCTTGATCCCCTGTATGGCCTGTGTTCCACAGACTGGCTGGGGGCTCAGATGTTCCTCATAGATAAGGAATGACTCTCTGGGTTGGCCCCTCATGGATTCCTTAGCTCGGAATTCAGAGCGTGCATTCAGGTGCACCTGCCATACGGGCTCATTCTTGAGGTGTGATCAAGTTATTCCCATCAGATGCATCTGCTAAACAGTAGCCAGGAAGCCGCTGTGCCTCTTAGGCCTGACCAGGCAAGAGGAGGGAGCCAGGTTAATAGAGCTCAGCATAGAGCTTAGCCTTGGAGGGGGGTGCCCAGCAGATGTGAGCAGAAGGAGAAGAGCAGAGCAATTGAAGGGGCTTCAGTTTGAAGCCCTTTAGGGAGAGAGTCAGGAATACATTCCCCAGCATTTCTCTCTTCCTGCCTCCCATCGGCTGGATCCAACCAGACACCACAGGACAGTTCCTGAAGCCCCAGCAGAGCGGTGAGTGGAGGACTGATCTGCTGGGGAATGGAGTTGCATCAGAAGATATGGAACCATTGAGAGGACCTTTCTTGGTGAATGGCCAGATGCTTTAGAAATGGGTGGGGTGACCCAGAAGACTCCATGCCCTAAGGAGCCTCCACCGTTGGTGCCTGGGGAAGATCAATACAGGATGGGTGGGTCTCAGAGTGGGATAGACCAGCATCTCTCAAACCTGTACTGTGGATACAAATCCCCCCAGGAGTCTTGCTAAAATTCAGATTCTGACTGAGGGGCTTGGGGTGGGGCGTGAGATGCTGCATTTCTTACAAGCTCCCCAGGTGATGCCCGTGCAGCTCTTCCATGGACCACACACTGAGTAGCCAGCCAGCCGAAGGTGGCCTGGGTCTCTCTTCCCCTCTGCTCATGGGGACTGGGCTTGTCATGCTGTCCTAGTCACTCATTTCTCTCTGACATATCCTCCCCAGCTCTTTTCTATCTTTTCATTGCTCCTGAGTGTCTCTGAAATTTATTTTTCTCCTTCCACCTCAGGTGAGAGTAGATAAAAGCATTTCTTACCGTCTGGCCAGAAATCCACTTCCCTAAGATAGCCTGACCTGGGGTAACTTAAAACTTAAAAAAAGAAAGAAAAGAAGTTTAATTGGCGGCAGTTAACACAAACAAATTGGTTTGACACAGCTGCAATTATCAGTTTTCCCTTCTCACCCTGAATCTGCAGTTCATTTCTCCCTTTGCCAAAGACAGACCCGGGAAGGATTTTTGAGAAGCTGGTGGTCCCCACCCAGCTTGGGTGGGCTCTGTGGGTCCCTGACTGATAGTTGCCTTTGCAGTGGGGGTCTGGGGTGTGGAAGGACTGGGCAGAGGAGGGAGCTGCCATGTTACTGAGCCTCTGCTCTATGCCAGGCTCCGTGCCAAGGTCAGCATTTGTTAACCGTCTCACCATCAGCCTGCAGTGGCACTAGTAGCCCATTTTTATGGAGGAGGAATTGAGGCTTGGCTAGGTGTCATGGCAAAGCTGGACTTGGTTTTGTGTCTGATTCTTAATGTTCATTTTTCACTACCCTGTATGGCTTCCAAACAGGACCAAGGGTTGGGTGAGTAAGGCATTCCCCTTGGGCACTAGATTTGGGAGGGGGATTTTTTAAAAACTAGGTAATCAAGATATACAATATTAAAATCAAAATTCAAAGCTCCTCAATCCACAACGAAAAAAATATGCAAATTTTAAAATAAAGACAGGGTACCATAGGGCTAGGACTAGAGTGAGAGGCGGGAGGCCGAGGGCAGGGCTGGGTCTGGTCTTTATTTAACATTTGGACATTTTGTTTATCATGGATTTTTTTTTCTCAGGCCCATTCTGCACAGGTGGGGAAACTGAGTTGACCCTGTAAATGGGGGCAAATATGTCTTCCTTGGGGGTGTGCAAAGAACCTGGCCTGGCAGGGCAGGTACTAAGCGAGCATTAGCCCTCTTCGCTTCCTTTCCTTTCCCTGACTTCCTCTCTCTCCCCATCTGGCTTACTCTCCTTCCTCAAAGCTGCTTAAAACTTAGTTCTCACCTGGGCCTCTGGGAAGGTGTTGCTTTAGCAGGGATTCCCTGGGAGTCTAAAATTGAGGACCCTGGCAAGTGCATCTGCCGGGGAGACAAACCTGGCAAATATGCTGAGTTTTAGGGGGGCGCCCCCTTAAATTTGGAGGCAAATGCTTCACTGGCCTTACCCTAGTTTACCCAGCTTTTCTTCAAAAGCATAGGGAAATCTTTACCCTGTCCCTTTCCCACCTACCCTGCCGGCCTCCCTGGTTGAACTGGAGGGAAGTCGGGGGTGGTCCACAGTGTTGTTAGAGGCTGGGGGAGGGGAGGAGAGGAACCGGGACCCCTTGTAGATGCCTAATGGTGTTCATATTTTGAGATCCAATATTGCCTCCTCTACAAATGGAGAGGCTGGAATGCTCGGTGCCTTTAACACCTTTGAATGATGTAATTTCTTCCAGATGTGGTGGGTGGGGGGATGCTCCCAAATGGCCCTGCTTTCAGGCTTTATTCGTGAGTTAGTGGTGGGCAGGGGGCAGGGCCTGGGTTTACTAAGCTTAGGACACTGGGTGAGAGGAATACCGCACGGACCCTCGGCCCTCCTGAGGTCACCTGGCCTGACTCCTTCTCCCATCCTCCCAGGTGTGCCTTTGGGAAGGGTATCCTCCACCCACTGTGCACCCACCCGACCTGTGGCTTGGAGCAGGCCCTCCCTGGCCAGCAGCTCTGCTTCTGCTGAGTGAAGAGGAAGGAGCACTTGGCTCTCCCTCCAGGAGGTGCATGAAGATTAATTAGGTAAGTCTGTAAAGAATTTGGAAGTGAGAAGCATGGCCCGTGTCTTTCTCCAGGGACAAGATATTTCAACGGGGTGGGGAGAATTCCCTGACCTTGGCCAAGGTTCCTGGGGCTCAGCCCTGGGAGGGGACTGTCCCTCTGTTCCTGCCTTGCTCTCCTCGGTCTCCCAAACCCAGGGTGATCCTTTCCCTCTGTCTCCTTTCCCAGCAAATCAGTTTGGGCAGGGAAAGGAACAAGGCTATTAAAGTTAACACCCACTCCACCCGACAGTCGCTGGGCCTTCGCTATGCATCATTCCTAATTAATTAAAAAGTAATTACTTATGGATCTGACTTTCATTATTTACACCCCCCGGGCTGTGAGGATATTACTTTCCTCAGTCCCTCTGGTTCCCTAAGCTGCTCTGGCGCCAGCAATTGCAGTGGCAAATGTGACGAGGTCCAATCACACACAGCATCCCAGTAAGGGGATTTAAATCCCCATCAGAGGCCGTGCACCTGTAGCCCCTGCTGATGGCCCAGGAGGGGACTCTGAGGAGGCAGAGATACCCTGTCTGCTCCATGTGGCAGGTTAACCCTATGAAGATTGGAGCTGCCTCCAAACCTTGCTGCTCATTGTGTGGCCATCAACCAGCATCCATATCATCTGGCTGCTTATTAGAAATGCAGATGCTCAATCTCCAGCCCAGATCTGCTGAATCAGAATCTGCATTTTAACAGCATCCCCCAGGCCCCGGCAGCACATTCGAGTGTGAGAAGCGCTGCCCCAGTGGACAGAAGCAAAGCCTATCACACCCGCACCGACTCTCCCGGGTTCTGCACACAGCTGTGCAGGTTGTATACTGCACTGCACCTGGGCCCTCACTATGCCGGCGGTGGGCGGCGGGGAGGGGGGTGCTTCCTAGCCTGCTCCCCCACCATTTAGTCTTCTTCAATGGCTTTCCTGCTCTGAAAAGTTATTTGTTCAGGGCTCTATCTGCTCCCTCTTGTCTGAGGTGTCTAATCTGGTAAATGAATCCAAGCTAATTACCCATGGGTGTGTGGGTGATACATTTCCCTCCTCCTGGCCTGTAACAAAGTTGCAATATAAAAGGGCATTGGATGCCTGAGGTTTTGTCTAAGGCTCATGAACTGTGTGCATTTGGAGAGGTGATTTCTCTGGGCTTCCTTTCCTCAGTGGGAGATGCGGATGCTCCCAGTCTTAGAGCAGCTGTGAAGAGTGACCAGGCACAGGGCAGCTGTGAAGAGTCACTGGGCACAGGGCAGACACGGTTAGTTCAGTGGTTATCATCATCGTTGCCCAGCCTGAGGCTCAGCCCCAAAGTCTCCGCAAGCTGACTGGGGCACACCTGGACCTGGGACACGGTGTCTAGGGAAGGTCTATTATTTTTCTGTGTTTGAGGCTGGAGTCTTCTGGGCAGAGATGGGGGCCTTGGGGAACTCTCTAGGCAGGTCTAGAGTGCCATGAATTTCTCTAACAGAGAAAGAGTATCGAGGCTTGCCGAGTAATGGACTTGGGGTTTAAGATGAAGCCAGATATTCCATCCCGTTCCCCTGTCTCTGCTACTGGGGGTGCTGGGAGGATGAAAGGTGGAGTATGCTGTGGGTCTTGGCAGTCACCCTGCCTTGAGCAGGGACTATGAACGTTTTCAGAAGGGGGGGGTCCGAATGTTGTCAGACTCATATGGTAACACTGGCCTCACCAGGGAGGTGGCAGCCACAGCCACCCAGTTGTCTCTGGCTTTACCAGTGGATTTGTCTTAGTGTTTAACAGTGCATTAGAGATGAGCATAACAGGAGCTGGGGAGGGCATGGGATGGGCCAGGAGAGGAAGGTGGGAGCGGACCAGCGGGATGATGGAGGCAGGAGGGGGAAAGGAAAAACAGTCACGTCTGCAGGCGAGTCTCACTGTTTGTTTGTTTATTGAGCCAGGCTGGAGTGCAGTAGCGCCATCTCGGCTTACTGCAACCTCTGCCTCCCGGGTTCAAGCGATTCTCCTGCTTCAGCCTCCCGAGTAGCTGGGATTACAGGTGCGTGCCACCACGCCCAGCTAATTTTTGTATTTTTTTTAATTTTTTTTTAGTAGAGATGGGGTTTCACTATGTTGGCCAGGCTGCTCTTGAACTCCTGACCTCAGGTGATGCACCCACCTCTGCCTCCCAAAGTGCTGGGATTACAGGCATGAGCCACTGTGCCGGGCCGAGTCTTACAGTTTAGACCATGGACCCTGGGATGGGGCTTGGTATGCTGAGGAGGGAATCAACCTCAAAAAAGCTGAGTCTGCAAATGTTGTATGAGAAGGTATGACTCCAGCCTTCCCCTTCCCTGCGCGGCCTCTGGCCCTTTGTGTGCTGCTATCCAACCCTGATGACATTGCTGAGCCATCACCGGCATGGGCAGGCCACACCTGTGGTCACCACACCAGCTGCTTTCCACCCCCACAGTTCTGAGGATGGGGCTCCATCTCTCTTCCCTACAACCTTCTCCCTTTCTTCTCCTGATCACACAGGACAGGCTAACACTGATGTTAATTGGCGTGTTGTTTTTACTGGAGTGGAAGGCTCACACTGTCTGGGTTTGGTTCTTTGTATTTTCCACTCCCCTATCCCAGGGAGTCGTTCTGCCTGTTTGTCTTAGGGAACTTGCAGGGCTGAGGTAGAAGCTGTAAAGTCCAACTCACTCCTCCTGACTCCTGTGAAAGGATCGGCTCACGGAGGACGTGGTGCTGGGTGGCTGAGATTGGGAAGAGAGAGGGCTGAGGCTTTGCAGGGACAGAGATAAAAGTGGAGAAAGAAGAGATTCTCCCAGAATAGGAAGGGGATGGCCCCCACCCCTGAGTTCTGCAGCTGGCTCCCCTGAGATGCCCAGGGGTTGTGGAAAGTGGGTAGGGGTTGTGGAAAGTGGGGTGGAGGGCAGGTACCAGGGTTCCCCCTCAACACAGTCTAAGCCTTAACCTAGCACAGATGTTGAAGAGCTGCTGGACATCTAGGACCAGTGTAGACCACAGACAGGCTCCCCAGGAGTTTTACTTTGCAGGGATGTCTCTCTCCTTCAATATGACCCTGGGGAGGGAGCCCCAACATTGAACGGGATTGTTTCTTGCCATCCCCATGGGATGCGGCTTGCAGTCAGATTGAATTTGACTTAAAGAAAATAAAGTCATGCACCATTTCTTGCACCCTTGAGATGTTGATTGCAAATTTATTCATGGCATGGCCCTGGAGGGCGGGGAGGAAATGACTTCATTAAATGAATGGCTTTTCATTTCGAGGCCTCTTAACTTCTTGGTTCATCATCTCCATCTTGCCCAGCTAGTGGATGTGGTCAAGGGAAGTAACCAAAGTGGTGGCAATTTCTGGCCTTGGTTAAAGGTGTTTGCATTTAGCTGTCTGTGTTGACACGTATACAGACGTGGAGGAGCCCCACCCTGAGGCACCCTCTCTAACAGTCACACTGAGCTACCCAGAGGGTGCCCATCCTGCACGAGAAACCCGTACACTGCTCCGCCTGCCCACAGACGCATATTCTCAGGTGCCTTCCGCCAAACCTCCCATGATTCAGGAGCCAGTGAACACGGACGGACTGGAGAAACCCAAGGGTCGGGGTCTCGCAAGGCACTCTCTAACAGGCTGATGTCAGCCACGCAGGATCTAGGACTTAATGCCTGTGCTTCCCAAGTAACACTAGAGTCCCAGCCTCCACTTGAGCACAGGAAACCCAATCTGTTACAGATTCCTTAGTGCAGAGATTGTTGGGAACCCCTGAGGAATACTTCTACATTCCCAGATCAGGCCGTCCCAGCCAGTTATCAGAGCTTGCCTGCTGCTCTGCTCCTTTTTTTTTTTTTTTTTTTTTCCTCTCTCAGACAGTCTCTCTCTGTCACCCAGGCTGGAGTGCAGTGGCGCAATCTCGGCTTCACTGCAACCTCCGCCTCCTGAGTTCAAGCGGTTCTCCTGCCTCAGCCTCCTGAGTAGCTGGGGCATGTGCCACCACGCCTGGCTAATTTTTTGTATTTTTAGTAGAGACAGGGTCTCACCTTGTTAGCCAGGATGGTCTCGATCTCCTGACCTCGTGATCCGCCCACCTCGGCCTCCCAAAGTGCTGGGATTACGGGCTTGAGCCACCGCGCCCAGCCTGCTCTGCTCCTTTGGCCACTTGTAACCAGCTTCCCCAGGCTTCTGTCCACTGCTGCTCCATGTGGTTTTGCCCTAAGTGTAACAGGCGCACTGGCGCGTTGCTGGAGCTGGCTGATACCAGTATACCAGTGCTGATTGTTGAATTTCAGGAATTTCTCAAGCTCGGTAGCTTCAAATTGGCTATGGTGATTGTATTGACACCACGGAAATTGGCAAATGCTGCAAACCAGAAATCTTCCTCTCCCACTTTCCAACTCCCAGAGAGCGAGTTGTTAAATATTTGGCAGGACACCACTGGGTGCCTCCCTTTAGCTCCCCACAGGCTGGACTACCCATAGACTTCCCAAAGGCCTGGGCAGGCAGAGGGAATTATAGTTCAGAAAAGAAAACACAGGTGGCCTGCCTACTCCTGGAATCCATGGGGTTCCCTCCTTCCTCCCTCATCTCAGCCCTAACTTTGGCTTTGATTCAACCTTATGCTCCCTGCTCCAGGAGTGTCTGAGCCAGGTCTCCCTCCTAGAGTCCAGGCCTCCAATCCTCTGAAGTGCCCTGGGGAGAGGAAACTTTTATATTTTAAAGCAGCTATAATTTCAGAGGAAGTTTTCATTGCTATGCAGAGCATCTGTTCTCCATATCAAACTTGCTGGCTTCTTAGTATCTTCATTTTAATGCTGGAAGTGGGTGCCAGCTTTGCAAAACCAAGAGGCCCGTGAAGAGGGTAATCCCCTAAACAAGGGTTCAGTCTGCCCTCATTGAGAGATTCAGATTTGTGTCTGTAGATTAAAAACACACAACAGCAACTACAGGAAGCTCTAAAAATGAGGCTTTCTTGTCTGTATTTGTGTGTGCATGTGTGTGTGTGTATCCAGTGACGATGCTGAATTTCACCTGAGCCCCCCTGTTCCTGGAGAAGAGCCAAGGTTACAGGAATCCCCTCACCCTTTGTTCTGGAAAACACCTTGCTGCAAAGACTCATCTTTCTTCTCATGACTTAGATAAGACTCAGGGATGCCTCCCATGTTTACCTATGTACAGCAGGGACAGGCACAGGCCTTGCAGATTCTCGATCTTGGCCTCATAAGTGATTAGCAGAATGCTGGTCCCTATTGGTCAATGGGAACAAAGTGGCTCTTAGCCAAACTTTGGTTCTGCTTCTCTCCTTTCTCCAGACCCCTGCACTTTGGCCCACTCTCAGCACACCACCCCTCCTGAGAACAGGCTGGACTCAGGTGGAAACACTCTCTCTGTCTACTGTCCACCCAGTCTACCTTTTCATCCACTTCCCCACACTGATTCTTTCTAGCTTTGTTTTTTTTTTTTTCTGTTAAAAAAAACCTCTTTTTTTTAGATGGTATATAAATCCTTACCCCTGACTGTTCAGAGAGCCACTCCTTGTAGAGTATTCCCATGTGCATGCAACATAAACCTGCCCTTGAGACACTTGGAGATCTCTTGGTCACAGTATTCTCCCTATTGCAGTGTCCCCTAGACCCTCACCCCCTTGCAATAATAATCCTTTTGGATAAAGTCTCTCCTTACGGAGTCTGAATTTATTTATTTTTTTGTTTTGTTTTGAGATGGAGTCTCGCTCTGTCATCTAGGCTGGAGTGTAATGGTGATATCTCAGCTCACTGCAACCTCCGCCTCTCGGGTTCAAGCAATTCTCCTGCCTCAGCCTCCTGAGTAGCTGGGATTAGAGGGGCCCACCACCATGGCCAGCTAATTTTTGTATTTTTAGTAGAGACAGGGTTTCACCATGTTGGCCAGGCTGGTCTTGAACTCCTGACCTCCGGTGATCAGCCCACCTCAGCCTCCAAATTTGCTGAGATGACAGGCGTGAGCCACTGTGCCCGGCCAAAGTCTAGATTTATTTTCCCCCAACCCCAGCCTCTGTTAGAGTGTCAGGTGCATGAAAAGAATGGGCCAGTCTGGCAATAAGTCTAGTCTGGCTGGGGGACGAGACTTAGGCAAAAGAAAACACAGGTCCCATCAGAGGAGCCAGTGACGGGGAAGCAGGTCATGATCTTGCACGTTCGGAGGAAAGGGAGATCTGAAGATGAGGCTGCTGTCTGTGGGCACAGAGAGGGCTGAAGACATTCTCTGTCCTCTCCGGAACCTTATTAAGGAAACGAGAACTCCATGCTCACAGTCATATGGTGCCTGGCTCTGGTGGGAGGAGAACTTTTCCTCTACCAACTTAGGGTCGTGTAGTGGGGGACTGTGAATAAACAGGTTAACAGGAGAAAAGGCAGGTTTATGTCACATGCATGCGGGAGTACTCTGTAAGGAGGAGCTCTCTGAACAGCCAGGGCTAAGGATTTATATACCAGCTTTATGGGTGGGAGGGATGGGGTGGCTGGAGGGCAGGGTTAGGGCTTCAGTGGGAAAGTATAAAAGGCTTGGACAGGCTGGGCACAGTGGCTCACGCCTGCAATCCCAGCACTTTGGGAGGCAGAGGTGGGTGGATCACAAGATCAGGAATTCGAGACCATCCTGGCCAACATGCTGAAACCCTGTCTCTACTAAAAATACAAAAAAAAAAATAGTTGGACATGATGGCACGTGCCTGTAATCCTGGCTACTTGGGAGGCTGAGGCAGGAGAATTGCTTGAACCTGGGAGGTGGAGGTTGCAGTGAGCCGAGACTGCACCACTGCACTCCAGCCTGATGACAGAAGGAGACTCTGTCTCACAAAAAAAAAAAAAAAAAAAAAAAAAGGCTTGGACAAGGCTTATGTCATGGATGTAATGTTTGTTTCCCTATCAGATTCATGCATTGGAGCCCCAACCCCCAGTGTGATGATTAGATAAAGGGCAATTGAGGGGTCATTAGGGCAAGATGAAGTCATGGAGGCGGGGCCCTCAGAGGGGATTAGAACCCTTGTAAGAGACACCAGAGAGCCTGTTGTCTCTCCCTCTCTGCCATGTGAGGACATAGTAAGAAGGCGGCTGCCTGTAATCCAGGAAGTGAGCCCTCACCAGAACCTGACCCTGCCGATGCCCTGCTCACAGACTTCCAGCCTCCAGAACTGGGAGAAATAAACGTCTGTCATTTAAGCCACCTGGTCTATGGCATTTTGTTCCGGCAGCCTGAGCTGATGGGGACAGCTCGTTTACACAGTATTCCTGGAATGTCACAGTGTTAAAGGTCAGTTGCCTTCGTGTCTGGAGACTCCCCAAGTGGGGGCGATGGCAGCTGACTTCTCGGGAATCTCTGTTTTTGTCAGATAAGGGAAGCTCAGAAAAGGTCCCTTTGTGCATCTGCCACATCTCAAATGCCTTCAGTTTAAAAGAGTCTTTCTGTTATCCTGGTTGGCTGTCAGCCCTTCCCGCTCTGTTGTGCTTTCGGTCTTGTTACAGCTGGAGACCACCAGGCCCAGAGGCACGCAGGGCCAGGGACACTGAGGAATCAGAGAAACCTGCTGGGGGTGGGCAGGACTTGGGCTCAGCCCTTCAGCATACAGTGGCCTCCTCTCATTGGCGAGGCATCTCTCCGAAGCTTTCACATGCTTCGTCTCCATTCTCTCAACCTCTCCTTTTGACATAGGCAGGCAGCAGCATCCCACCAACTGGCAAGGAACCCTCTGACCCATGAGGTTGGAGGATTGCAGCATGGAAGCCTGCATGACTCCTGGGAGAGTCGGGAGGAGAACCAGCTTGCCCGCGATTTCCACCAGGATTTCCACCAGTCATTTCCACCAGGATTTGGATAAGCGGAGGGAAGAAGAGTCTTCTAGGATTGGGGGCTGTGGAACAGAGGCACAGGGATGAGGGCGAGCCTGCGGGGTGGCAGGGAGAAAGGATGCTACCCCAAGGGAGCAGAAGGGTGCATGGAGCGAGGTCATGAAGAACTTTACATGTCAGGCAGAGGAATTTGGTTGGATGGCATGGGGAGCTGAGTCAGGAGTGACACGTTAAAGGCCTGCAGTGGGCCGGGCGCAGTGGCTCATGCCTATAATCCCAGCACTTTGGGAGGTTGAGGCGGACGGATCACGAGGTCAGGAGTTTGAAACCAGTCTGGCCATTATGGTGAAAGCCCGTCTCTACCAAAAATACAAAAATTAGCCAGGCGTGGTGGTGCATGCCTGTAATCCCAGCTACTCAGGAAGCTGAGGCAGGAGAATCGCTTGAACCCGGGAGGTGGAGGTTGCAGTGAGCCAAGATCATGCCACTGCATTCCAGCCTGGGCCACAAAACAAGACTCCATCTCAAAAAAAAAAAAAAAAAAAAAATTGCTGCAGTGTTCTGGGATGTAATATACCCCTAGACTCTGAGATGCAGAGACTCATCATACATTGACTGCCAGTGATTCCCTACCGAGCACAGCCAGGACGTCTCAGCCCAGGGACCTGAGACTCTGCAGCCTGCAGAGCTTTGTCTACGTCTCCTCCCCTAGCCTTCCAAGGACGAGAGACTTCTCGCATAGTGGATTACACATGTGTGTGGTTTTTAACTGTCCAGTGTCCGTTCTCCTCTCTGACAGCATTCTGGTTTTCATATGCAAGGTCCCAGTTTTCATAGGCCTGTGGTTCTGCTGTAGCTGGTTCCAGCCCAGGCTGGGGTGGAGCACATGGCCTAGGCTGAACCAGTAAGTGGCTTCCACCCTCTGGCCTCTGGGATTGGCTCAGGGATGGACACATGACCTGAGTTGGACCAAGTAGAGCCAACAAGCCTTCATTCTGGGCCTTTTGAATTGAGCTCCAGGGCCCGCACACTCTCTTCGTCTGTATTGGGGGCTGGGGTTTGTGAGCTGGGGATTCTTATAGAAGCAGAATATGATACCAGTTCAGAAAGGCAGAGCCAGGAGAGGAAGAGGAGCTGGGTCCTGAGCCACTCAACACCAGTCCCACTGATCCTTGGAGGTTCAAGTTATGTTGGCCTAAAAATTCCCTTTTTTGATTGTGTCAGCTTGAGTTGGGTTCTTCCAAGTTCAAGCAGAGGAGAACCAACCTCCACCCTGGGTGGGCTCCTGGGTCCTCCTGGTTGTAAAGAATCAGGGGAGGAGGCAGACACAAAATAAAGCCAAGCACCCCTCCACACCCCGACAAAGCAAAACAAAAGCCAAACAAGGGAGTCAGGGGAACTAAGTGCATGCACCACATAAATGTTAAACCAGAGGGAGGCGGTGGGAGAAATGAGGAGTGTGGAAATGAGAGACAAGTTTCAGGAGTTGGCTGCAGGTGATGAACAGAATCACCTTTGATGTTCTTTGAGAAGTTCCAATAGAGATTTTAATTGAATTTCATTCATTCTGGGCTAACAAAGTGGCATTTACTTGTAACATTCCTCAAAGCGTAGATCGCACAGACTTTTTGCCCGGCTATAATAAGAACAACGGCTACCATTTATTGAGTATGTACTACGTGCCAGGCACCATGCTAAGTCCTTTATGTGTTTTATCCTCTTATAACAACCCTAGCAGGTGGGCACTGTCATTACCCTACTTTTATATGTGAGGGACCCAAAGTTTAGAGGATAAGTAATTTGCTAAGGTCACACAGCTGGGAAGAGGACGGGGAAGGAACATCCACCCCCAGAGGCTGAGTTATTTAATGTGATGCTTGGATGAAGCACGCCACATGTGGAAGTGTGCTTTTATTTTTTTACTTTTTTTGAAATTTTGAGACTGGGGTCTCGCTCTGACACCCAGGCTGGAGTGCAGTGGCACAATCATGGCTCACTGCAACCTCCATTTCTCAGGCTCCAGCAATCCTCCCACCTCAGCATCCCAAGTAGCTAGGACGGCAGGTGTGGGACCACACCCAGCTAATTTAAAAAAAAAATTTTTTTTTGTAGAGACAGGATCTCCCTATGTTGCCCAGGTTGGTTTCAAACTCCTGGCCTCAAGCAATCCATCTGCCTTGGCCTCCCAAAGTGTTGGGGTTACAGTTGTGAGCCATCATGCCTGGCTGAGATGTGTTTTTATTTATTTATTTATTTATTTTTATCTTACTGTAGCTCCTGGCCATCTTGGCATGGCCTGGGTGTTTATTAGAAATGCAGTCTTAGGCACCACCCCAAACTTACTGAACAAGAACCTGTATTATAACAATACCCACTGCATCCCTATACACCTAAGTGTGAGCCGTATCCCTGCAGCCAGCCTCCCGTTGCCCATTGTACACTTCCTTGCAGACCTGACCCTCATAGGCAATTTAACCCTGAGGCTGGACAAACTGCTCTTATGTCTGCAGGAGGGATTTATGGAATTCAAACCTGAGGTGCATCTTATTATACCCAAACCCTTATTATACCCAGAAAATGTTTGTCCTTTTGCCAGTGAGAGAGAGGACAACCATCCCATCCATCAGTAGGAAGATTCTGGCTCAGCTCATTTTAAGGGACCCTCCCTATTTTAACTGGGACAGCCAGTGGTAACATTCTCCAAGCCATACTCCTTTTCACATTCTACCAGTTGGCATGCTTTGTGTTACCACATACAGAAAACTTGACTCAAAGTGTCTTAAAAAAATTAAAGGGATTAATTGGTGCATGTGCAAGTCCAGAGATAAGGTACACTTCAGGTGGGAGTTGATTCAGCAGCACAGTGGTTTCTCCAAAGAACAGTATATTTCCCCTCCATTTCCATACTGTGCCTTCCATGGCATGGCCTTCTTCTGGGGCTGCCTGGCTCCTCACCACTTGGAAGGATCCATGCTTTTTTTTTTTTTTTTTTTTTTTTTTTTGATGGAGTCTCACTCTGTTACCCAGGCTGGAGTGCAATGGCGCGATCTTGGCTCACTGCAACCTCTACCTCCCAGGTTCAAGCAATTCTCCTGCCTCAGCCTCCTGAGTAGCTGAGATTGCAGGCGTGCACCACCATACCTGGCTAATTTTTGTATTTTTAGTGGAGACAGGGTTTCACCATGTTGATCAGGCTGGTCTCGAACTCCTGACTTCAGTTGATCAGCCCACCTCAGCCTCTCAAAGTGCTGGGATTGCAAGCGTGAGCCACTGCACCCAGCAGAGCCATGATCTTTCAATCCAGGTAATGTGGGATCCTGCCATCTGATTCCACCCAACTCACTGCCACTGAAGCTTCCAGAGTCTGAATTGCCCTGGCATTTCCTCCACATTCCTCCATTCACTTCTACTTCTGTGCTTTGTTAATGCTATTCCTCTCTGTTTCCTTAAAAAAATATATATCCTTTTATGATTGTAAATGTGATGCTTTTTCATTGTAGAAACTTACAAATCCACAGAAAGTTTGAAGAAGAAAGTGAAAAAACTTCCTACCCCCATCACCTCAAGATATTCACTGTGGGTGTGTTGGTGGACTCCTGATGGACACCCCAGCTTCTCAATACCTGGGAGTGCAGGCACAAACCTGTAATGTTCTGTTGTTTCATTTGCTGAGGAGGGAGGGAGCCTGGGGCAGGTGTGCGAGTAGCCCTTTGGCTGAGGCAGGAGCTGCTTGCTATTTGGCGTGGGTGCCTGGATGCAACTCTGCTGGGCTTCACGCCCCTTCCTCTGGGCACTCTCCAGAGGGGAGAGGCTTTCCTTCCTGTGTGAAGTGGCCTCTGAGTGGGAGATCAAACTTTAGAGAGAGCTGAAAAAGCAATTAACTTCACTCAAAGTGAAGGATATTGTTTTGTGCCACTAGATGATTTTCTTTCCCCAAGAAAAATTACACCCTCAAAATCAACATTTGATTTAGTCTTTGTTCGTTTTAAGAATGATGTGAGGATATGTCCAGACAACATGGGACTTTATAAAAAACTATGATGCAGTTGAAATGATTTTAAGGCTGGATATAATTTTGCATTTCCTTTCTGGAAAGCCTGTACCAATTTACACCCTACCAGCGGTGCACAAAGAAGGCCTAGTTCTTCATAACCTTAGCAGCATTGAGAATTATAATTTAGAAAACATTCATTTGATGGCAAAAATATTGCTTTCTTATATGTTTCTTTGCTTACAGTGAAGCTATTAATAAATATTCTTCCCTGTGGTTCTTACTCTCTTTCATTTTCTATCTTGTTTTTCAGAAAAGGTTTCTGTTTCTGCCCATTTTTTCTTCATTGCTTTCTATGAGCTCTTTACATTTTGTGGTTAGCATCCCTTGATCTTATACAGAGGTCCTTGGTTCTCATATTACTACAGTATCAGTTCCTGAAGTTATAATATTGCAACACAAAAATATGCATTCTTGGGCGTATTTTTGCTTGGGTGCCATGGCTTATGCCTATCATCCCAGCACTTTGGGAGGCTGAGGTGGGTGGATCACTTGAGACCAGGAGTTTGAGACCAGCCTGGACAACATGGGGAAACCCCATCTCTACTAAAAATACAAAAATTAGCCAGGCATGGTGGCGTGCCTGTAATCCCAGCTACTTGGGATGCTGAGGCAGGAGAATTGCTTGAACCCGGCAGGCAGAGGTTGCAGTGAGCCGACATCGCACCATTGCACTCCAGTCTGGGTGACAGAGCGAGACTCTGTCTCAAAAAAAAAAAAAAAAAATTCATTCTTGGCATGATCTCTTATAAACTCTGCCCGTCTTCCTGCATCCCTTAAACTTAACTCCAGCATATTTCCCCAGCCTGTATTATCATATTTGTGGGTCTGCCTGTTCCTGTTGGCCATATGTTGCAAACACTCTGGAGGATAATGCAAGACAATTTCAAATTTTGCAAAAGATGCAGAATTTCCTGAGGTTGATCAAAGTGATTACGGAGAATCACGTGCATCATGTGCAAAGCTACTGGCCAATGAGGATACGGCAGAGTTCTTAGCCGGTTAACAATTACAGAAGGGAAAATCTACAAGGCTGATGAAATGACAGGCACTTCAAACGAGAGAGATTTGAATTTTAGAGGATTAAGACAGGCCATTGGGAAAATTGATGCCTTCCAATATTTTTTTTGCAAAAATGTCCTTTTGGTGATTTTGCTGAGAAAGTCAAACGTGAAATCAAGGCTGTTGGATCATACGTGCTCTCAGACAATCTCGTCAGAAAAAGTATGTCCCCACAAATCAATATCTTGTTCTTTTTTCATCTGAAGAATTAAAAAGTTGCATTAATAGCCTACTTTGTCAAATGTAAGCTAAAATAAACTTTCATAATTTGTCTTTTTTTCTAAATATAAAGTTACAATCAAACATTTATTTCTTTCCATCTTTTTTTTTTTTTAAATGGAGTCTCACTCTGTCACCAGGCTGGAGTTCAGTGGCACGATCTCAGCTCACTGCAACCTCCACCCCCTGGGTTCAAGCAATTCTCCTGCCACAGCCTCCTGAGTGGCTGGGACTATAGGCGCGCACCACCACGCCCAGCTAATTTTTGTATTTTTAGTAGAGATAGGGTTTCACCACGTTGGCCAGGATGGTCTCGATCTCTTGACCTCATGATCCACCCACCTTGGCCTCCCAAAGTGCCGGGATTACAGTCATGAGCCACTGCGCCTGGCCTCTTTCCGTCTTTTTAAGTGGATTCACTTTGTGGTCTTTCTTTCCCCCCAATCCCAATTTTTCTTGACTAATGAGGACCTTCAATATTTTAATTTGGGCTTTCATAACAAGGATATATGCTGCCCTCAGTTCCCAGTTTGAGGCACTACAGGATCTGCCGGCCCATACCTAAAGTTCTGGTGCAGGTGTCTTCCCTTGGTTGATCCTCCTAGTGCCTGGGGATCCCCTTAGAGTACACAGGGAACCCAGGACATGAAGCATCTCTCCTGGAAGCCAATTTGTGGTGCAAAGGCTCAGAGGCCTGGCTGTACAAGCTCCCATCAATACTATGGCTGGGCCCTGCTGGACTAGACTCTGCAGCAAAAGCCAATCATGGTTCCTACTCACAGTAGAGCCGTTGCCAGGCTTGTCGCCCCTGGAAATGCTTCTGTGTCAAACAGCTCCTGGATGGACAAAGGGCGTCTTTGCTGTAGTTCTGGGTTGACCACATGCCAGGGTGGCTTCACGTGTCCTAAACTTGGATGAAGATTTCTTTTCCTGCTTCTCTCCTTAGGACTGTGTTCCTCTCTCTCCTTGATCCTAGACTTCTAGATAGAAGCTATTTCTTTTTCCCTGACATCATTTTAGCATTGTGTATTTAAAAACCTCTTCCCACCCCTCTGCCAAAGGGGGCTGCCTTGGATCCTTATACACGTCCCCTCCATGGCTGCTTGCTTTAGTGTCTTAAGGAAATGGGACTAAAACTTTTTAAGCTTAATCTTTAGCAGGTGTTATGTTATGTTTTCAATTGGCTTATAATGCTTTGTGATGCAGAGTCGTTTAATACTTCTGCAGTTAAACCCATCCATCTTGTTTCTTCATAATATTTCATTGCTTTTTAGCTTTGAGAGTCTTTTTAAAACTTATTTATGCTTTGATTTTTTTTCCTTTAGTTTTAAGTGCATCTGGAATGTATTTCTGTATGCAGCGTGAGGTGCACTGTGCCAGTGAGTCGTGGTCACGTAGAGTCCCGTAGAACAGCCGTATAATCTTGCTGGCGCACACCAGTGAGCCTCTGTTCTGGTGCTCATTTATTCTCAGCAGGTCGGCTGGGGCTCAGCTCATCCAGCCCAACCCCTGCTGACCCTGACTCCAGGCTGGGGCTGGAATCAGATCCTGCTCCATGAGTCTCTCATCTTCTTTGGACCAGCAGGCTACCAGAGTACGTTCTTTTTGTGGGGGTGGCTCAAATCTGAGGGGGCAAGGCCAGTCCTGTGGGCTCACACTGAGCCTTTGTTTCCTTAGCATCTGCTCCTACCCCACTGGCAGAAGCATTGTATGCAGCCTGAAGTCAGGGGTGGGGAGGTTCTCTCTGCCTGCCTTGGAGGCCCGGCCAAGGGCCACAGGGAGTGAAGGACCTAGACCCAAATTCTGTCTCCCACACTAGCCAATTTCACCAGCATCCGCTTGAATAAGCCACGCTTTTCCCTTAAATGATGGACCTAGAAAAGTGAGAGGAAGGAATAACTCTCCAAGGATCCTCAAACCCTCGTATAGCATGAAGAGAGGACATATATGCGTAAGACAGGACAGACAGGGGCCACTAAGGCCTGAGATGGCTCAGCTGCTGGAGCTCTGGACCCTGCAGGCAATTCTCCATCCAAACAAGACCACAGACAGCAGATCCGAGGCCCTGCCCTGGTCCTTTGGGCAGGTAACTGGTCGATCCAGGTCACTAGTTAGCCAGGTGTGGATGTATGCATGTGTACACACGTGTGTGCTTGCACACATAATTACATACATATGTGAGCGAGATTGTACCTTTCGGGTAATGAGAAGAATAGTAATAAAGGCAACTGATCTTTTTGCACACTCCCTGAGTTCGAGGCACTGTTTGAGCCTGAACATCAGGAGGCGTGGTGGGAGAGGCTGAGCATTGATTACTTTCTACAAAGAGGCCATTGTCCTAAACTTTTCCTTCTCGGTGATCAGCTGCTCCTCTCCTCTCCTCTTGGTCATTTAATAAAGATGGGGAAGGCAAGAGAGGATGATGTAAAATCCAATTAACTCAGGCTTCAAAAGGCACGATCTCCATGTGGTGCCAGTTCCCACCTCCGTAACAGTCAGGCCCAGCTGCCTTGCTGGCTTCGTAGAGGCCAGTGCTGGGGAGCAGGGCTGCTGTGAGCATCCATTCCCCAGACAGAGCAGCAGAAGTGAAGGTTGCTCCCTCCCCGTCAAGGCAGGGGTGGGGGTGGAAAGGATGGGGAGTGCATTGAAGTGCGTGGGCCCTCAGCTGCCTGTTGCTGCCCGTTGCTGCCCAGTGCCCCCACTTCTCGGCCCCTCTGTTTTGACCAAACTCTCTGCTCCCTAAAAGTCACCACATGTTTCTCTCAGCCTGAGAGTGAGCCTGTTCTGAGGTTTGCAGAGACAGTCCCAGGCCCTGTGCAGGCAGCCAAAACCCATCTTGGGCAGAGGTGGGAGAGAGGGCTTTGCTGCAGGCAGATGTTTCTGTTCTCCAGCGGAGACGGGGGATGCAGAGACTCAGCGTGTGCAGATGGGTGGGAGTGGAGAGGGAGCCTGGGGGACTGTGAGCAGGATCGATGCAGATGGTGTCAGTCGAACGCAATTTTGGTGACAGACGCCGATTTTGATAAAGCGCAGTGTGAGCTGTGCATGGCACATGAGCGCTTCTGATGTTTCCTGATGGCTCCTACTCCCTCGGTGCTGTCTCTCCTCCCTCTTCCACAGCGGTTTCCTCTGCAAACTACCATCTCCAGTGACTTCAGCTCTAGCCCCTCCGGGTCCTCCTTGCACCCAGGGCTCATGATTCCCAAATTTCCAACCTCTCTGACCTTCAGCTCCACTCCTGCCAACCTCTCCAGGCTCCTTCGTTGTCATCAGAAATTTTCTACCTCCACAGTCTCACTGTGAGCCCCTCCCTCACCGCAAGTTCCTTCCACTTTCTCCACCTCCAGTGGTTGTAAAACAAGCCCACAGATTCTTTGGCGCTCTTGTTGTGGAGAAGGTGCATCTGTTCACCCCCCTTCAATCTGGTGGACTTGTGACTGCTTCTCCTACCAGTAGATCATGGTGGAAGTAACACGATGGGGCTTCTGAGGCTAGGTCGGAAAAACCAGATAACATCTGCCTGGGTCTGTTGGGACACTCACCTTTGCAGCCCTGAGCTACCAAGTAAGAAGTTCAACAACCCAGAGGCTGCCATGATGTAAGGAAGCTCAGGTCACATGAAGAGGCTACATGCACATGCTCCTGCAGAGTCCAGCCGAGGTCGCAGCCCACAGTCAGCACCAACCGCCAGACAGGTGATGACCATGCCTCCAGATGATTCCAGCCTCCAGGAGTTATCTCCAGCCATTGAGTCTTCCCAGCTGAAGCTCCAGACATTGTGGAGCAGAGATAAGTCATTCCTGCAGTGCCCTGTCTAAATTTCTGCAGCATCTCTAAGCATAATAAAATGGTTGATGTAAGCCACTAAGTTTTAGGGTAGTTTGTTATGCAGCAGTAGTTACTGGGGCCACATCATCCTTTATATCTCTCCAAGGCTGGCACAGAAATGCACTTCAGGATCTTGAACAATTATCTTTTCCACCCCACCCCCTGTAGTTGTAGGGAACAGGAGAGGGTAGAGAGGATGTGTTGTGGAGGGAAAACATCAGAGGATCGCCGGATAAAATGCAGGACACCAAGTTAAACTGAAATTTCAGATAAACAATGAGTCATTTTTAGTATAAGTGTGTCCCATAGGATGGTTGGGATATATTTATATTAAATAAGCTATTTGCTATTTATGTGAAATCCAAATATTTTCTGGGTGTCCTCATTTTTATTTCAAAATCCAGAAACACTAAAAAGTAGAGGCCTGAGGTCCTGAACACCCTTCCCAATGTCCTGATGTCCAAGGAGGTCATGTTGCTTCTGAGATCCAGTCTCTGAGTGGTCACAGCCAGTGCTCCTGCAGTGAGGATGAGCACAGATATTTTCTGTAGATAAGATGCATCTGTTCTTCCTGCTTCAATCTGGTGGACTTGTGGCTGCTTCTCCTACCGAAGATCATGGCAGAAGTAACATGATGGGGCTTCTGAGGCTAGGTCAGCAAAGCCAGACAACGTCTGCCTGGGTTTCTTGGTACATTCACCTTTGTAGCCCTGAGCTACCAAGTAAGAAGTACTACAGGTCAGGCTGGACATGTTGTGATGGGATCGATCCTGGGCCCTCCCTCTCCAGGCAAGCCATGCCCCTTGGACTGAGGGAACCTTCATCTGAGGAAACAGGGCTTCTCCTTTTGCATTGGTTTCCACAATGGGCAGTAGGGGCTTTGCCTGTCCCCAAGACCCAGATGCTCGTGGTGCAGGCTCCAGAAAGTGTCATTCTCTGTGGTCGGCAAGCATTCTGATACTTCAGGAAGTTGTCTGCAGGGGCCAGACAATGGCTGCAACCAGAGGCAGAAGCTGGTTCTGCCCATAGGTTGATTTCCCTGTTCCTAGAGTGAGGATGTCTTCATTCTCTCCAGAGCAAAACAGAGAGATGTCCATTCGGGTTCTTCTCCTCCTCCCAGCCAGGTGCACCCCTAACTTCCTCGGCTCTTGCCTGACAAAGGAGAATGGGAAAAGGCTCTCATCCCCTTTTTCCAGCCAGCCGCCCCTTTCTTAGATCGTATGCGTTCATTAGCCAGGAATGAAAACCAGCTCACTCTCAACTTGCCGCAGTGTCTCCTAAATAATAGTGGGCAGAAAACTGTCTAGTCTACCTTTCAATCCCATAGTTCTCTCATTTAACTTCTCAGTCCCAGCATATTAGGCCAAGTGATATTAATGAGTCATTCTATTTCTTCCTTCTGCCTCCCACCCTTCCCTGAGCCCCGATTGCAGGGGAGATAAGCCCATGCTTATCTACAAGGCTGAATAAATGACTGATTTAATAGAGGCAGATGACTGGGGCCAATCTCTGAAGGTGTGCCCTAACTTTATATGTGTGTGCGTGCTCTTTCAAGAGAGTATAATCTCTTTCCTTTTTGTAGTGACCACTCTGTAATGCCACTATCATGCTCAGTTGTCCTGCTGTAGCTGAAATCATTTCTGCAGCAACCTCTTGGAATTACCTTGAAGAAGCAGCCCAGACAGATCCTCTGAACATTCTCTAAGGTAAGAAAGCTGTTTCTTTGGGGTCAGATTTGTTTTGGGGGTGGTGGTGGTCAGTCAGTCACCATTTGGAAACTGCTCCAGCCCAAACAATTTCAGAGTTCTGACACCAGAACCACCCTCACCCCGACCTTCGCCTTCGCCCCCTCCCCCTACACACACAGCCAAGGTTATGGCTTTGTGCTATAAAACATTTCTCACGAACTCACTCTAAAGGGAGTTTCAAAAGGAACATTTCAAAATAAGGTGTTTTGAGTAATGGCTACATTCCAGGAATAAGGCTACAGCCTCCCAGAGGGACAATTTGGATTTGAACTCCTCCTCTGATGGAGGAGTTCTCAAATGTTCTTTCCAAAAAGTTTGTTACTTTCTACATAGACCATATGATTTCCACCATTGGAGATCACAAGAGCCTGTCTGTGGTCTTCTTTTCTTTTCTTTTCTTTTCTTTTCTTTTCTTTTCTTTTCTTTTCTTTTCTTTTCTTTTTCTTTCCTTCCTTCCTCCCTCCCTCCCTCCCTCCCTCCCTCCCTCCCTCCCTCCCTCCCTCCCTTCCTTCCTTCCTTCCTTTCTTCCTTTCTCTCTCTCTCTTTTTCTTTTTTCTCCTCCTCCACCTCCTTCTTCTTCTTCTTCTTCCTCTCTCTCTCTCTGTCTTTCTTTCTGTATCTCTCTCTTTTTCTTGTGTTATATCTGGTTATCATAGGTTTGGTTGGGAGGGCACCTTTTCTTGGTAAAGATGAAGTGGGTAAGGACTGGCCATTCCTCTTGTCATCACCACCTTTTAGCCCCCTCCTCCTCTTTCTTCCTGGCCTGCCAGCTGGACACTCAGGCCTGGGGCTCCTTGGGGGCCGGCAGTCCCATCCTTCTGGCTCTGCAGTGCAGCTGTCTTCAAGGGCCCCCTTGCCACTTTCTTTTGGGGAGGAAGCAGATGGAAACACGCAGACTTGCTCAACTCTGTCTCTGGCACTTTGTCAACATCCTCCCCCACCCCTTTTCTCTGTCATGTCACCTAAGGATGTCCTCATCGGTTGGTAAATAATCACTCCATTTGATCTGTGTTCAGTCTGCCCTCTCTTCCTGTCAGTATGAATAATTTGGCGACATAAACAGTGTCATCGGTGATCGTTTGCAAGCTCCTTTCCATCAAGTGTGCTTTATCTATTTATTTACTTTTTTTAAAAAAAAAAAAGGGAAAGAAACTGGAAGATATCAGAGGAGGTTATGTTTCTTCTGTCTGTAGAATTTCAGGAGATTTGATAAAAAAAGTTCTGACAGCTGGTAAGCTGAGGCTACTTTTAAGTGAGGGCTAATAAATATCCCCTGGGATTCGGGGATGGTGTCTAAGGAAGGGGATTGCCCCTTCCCTGTGTTGTGGTTCTCGTGTCACATGCAAAGCCCGGCTCAGCTGAGCAGGCTGGAGTGGTGTTGAAACGAATCCAATACTTCACCATCTGGCCCTGATTGTAAACATGTGTATACAAAGTGAGTGTCACTTCAGCTAATTCACCAGAGCCAGGCTGCTTTTGTGGTGGCCGCAGCTGTCCCTGGGTGGAGGGCAGAACGGTGGCCCCAGAAGACAGCAGGTACAGGTGGCCAGCCTGTCTTCCAGCAGGGCCTGTGACCGGCAGAGGGAGGTGGCAAAGCTTCAGTCCGCTGGCCTGAGCATCGCACGTCCACATTTCCTTAGAGCTGATGGCGGCCTCCTACCCAGCTGCCTGGTCATCATCGCTTTGAGAGTTAATAATTTTCCTTCTGGACTGTAAATATCTCAAAGGCAGGTGGTATTACTCACCTGTTTCACCTCATCCAGAGACTTGCACTTGAGAAGTTATCACTGAGCTAGCAGCTACTTCTTCAAGTCGACCTAACAGCTTTTCTGTTCTCTATTATTATTATTTTTTTTATTTTATTTTCTTGAGACAGAGTCTTGCTCTGTCACCCAGGCTGGAGTGCAATGGTGCAATCTCGGCTCACTGCAACTGCTGCCTCCCATGTTCAAGTGATTCTCCTGCCTCCTCAGCAGAAGCTGGGACTACAGTTGTGTGCCACCACGCCCAGCTAATCTTTGTATTTTTAGTAGAGACAGGATTTTGCCGTGTTGGTCAGGCTGGTCTCAAACTCCCGACGTCAGGTGATCCACCTGCCTTGGCCTCCCAAAGTGCTGAGATTACAGGTGTGAGCCACCGTGTCCGGCCTCTGTTTTCTTTTGCATTGATTTCTTCTACATCTGCCTCTGTTGGGCAGAGAGAGGGTGGAGCCCTCATCCTTCTGGGGTGGAAGGATCTATTAATTAACGAGTTCTCTTTGTCTCTTGAGCAGGAAGCAGTGAGCTCTTAGTTCTCACAGTCTCCCCTAGGCCTCGGTTTTATCATCGTTCCGGTGGGATCACGGGCCCCACACCTTCACATGCATCCTCACAGGCCTCCAAACCCTCGTCCTTGTGGGAGGAGAAGGAGGCTGCAGAGTGACCTCGGATGGACAAGTGCTGCAGGGGGCTGGGTCCACTTCACAGTGACAAGTCACTACCTTTCATTCGCTGCAGCCCAGCCTCGTTCTTCCTGCACCCCCTGCAGCCTGTCTTGGAAAGTTTGGATGTCACCGGGTAGGCGTAGCTGTTGCTTTGTTCTAGGAAACTAAGAGTTGCTCCATAGGTTTGTTGGCTCCATAAATGTCTTGTTTTGAGAAGTGTCTCTTCATATCCTTTGCCCAGTTTTTGATGGGATTGTTTGTTTTTTTTTCCTTGTAAATTTGTTTAAGTTCCTTCTAGATTCTGGATATCAGACCTTTGCCAGATGGGTAGATTGCAAACATTTTCTCTCAGTCTGTAGGTTGTCTGTTCACTCTGATGATAGTTTCTTTTGCTGGGCAGAAGCTCTTTAGTTTAATTAGATCCCGTTTGTCTATTTTGGCTTTTGTTGCAATTGCTTTTGCTGTTTTAGTCATGAAGTCTTTGCCCATGCCTGTGTCCTGAGTGGTATTGCCTAGGTTTTCTTCTAGGGTTTTTATGGTTTCGGGTTTTACATTGAAGTCTTTAATCCATCCTAAGTTAATTTTTGTATAAGGTGTAAGGAAGGGGATCCAGTTTCAGTTTTCTGCACATAGCTTGCCCGTTTTCCCAGCACCATTTATTAAATAGGGAATCCTTTCCCCATTGCTTGTTTTTGTCAGGTTTGTCGAAGATCACATGGTTGTAGATGTGAGATATTATTTCTGAGGTCTCTGTTCTGTTCCATTGGTCTATATATCTGTTTTGGTACCCGTACCGTGCTGTTTTGGTTACTGTAGCACGTGTATCCCAGGACTTAAAGTTATAAAAAAAAAAAAAGAAGAGTTGCTCCAAGGAGGAGGCGGTTTCCAGGCAGGACCAAGAGGCCAAGTCTGCAGCCTGGGTCAGCTGGCACCTCCCAGCCTGTCCCTAACCAGGCATTCAGAAGACTGGAGCTTCTCCCATCCTACTTTCCACCCCCGACCCCTAGTCTGCTCGAATGAGTGAGTGACATTTCCCCCAACTCCCCCCTCCCGTGCTCCACAAAAACACAACAGATTTAATTTTCTACACATGTGAAGAAAATGTACTTTTCCAAACAGCCCCAGGGATCTGCAAAGAGGGAGAAAGCGAATCATCTTTCGTATTTTCTTCTATGAGGGAGCACAGCAGTAGGGATGGGAGAGAAGACATTGGCAGGGCTGAGAGCAGCCCTCAAGGCAGCCTCCTGGACACCAGTGCTGGGGGGCTGCACTGCTGGCATTCGGGAATGAGGGGTGAGGGGGTCACAGGGAGCCTGTACTTTCTATTCCCAGAGCCTGGCATCTGGAGGGTGCATGCAGGTCCCCACTGCCACCAGGCAGTCCCACAGTGGGGGTCTGCCAGGGTCAAGTCCCCTGGTGAGCCGGTGCTATAGGGAGGCCACCAAAATGGGACTGCTTGGGGACAAGCCCCTCCTCCTTCCTCCGGGCCCCAAACAGCAGGCGGGAGGTGAGGGTGGAGGGGAGAGTGGCCCAGGGAAGACAGAGCTGTGATTCTCAGGAAAAAGGTGTAGGTGTGGGGATCTGGCAACCCAACATCCCAAGCCTAAAGAATCAAAATGAGACAATTCCACTGCGTGACACCCTCCTTGTGACAGACGCCTAATTAAAACTGGACGGAAACAGGCAAGAAAACCACTTAATCTAGACTCTATTTGCCTTGCTAATTTAGGTGCCTGTGAATGTGTGTGCGTATGTGTTTTCCTGTTGGGTGAGTGTTTATGAAATCTTAATTAGGTTGTGCGTATTGGAACAGAGATGGAAATACGTCTTTTTTTTTTTTTTCTTTTCCTGTAATGGTCTCTTCCCCAGGGGACATTAAAGCTCCATACCCAATATTCTCTGAGTAGGGAAAGTAGTAATGGCCTTTGACGATGGGTTTCAGGGAGGAGGGAGAAGAGGCTCTCTGATTCAATCACAGATGGATGGCTGATAGCTTACATTAAAAAAAAAATCAAAACCTCAAATTGGACTCAAAGAAGCTATTTATAACCTGTCAGGAGAAGCTCGTATTTGAATATCAAACTCATTGAATACATTTTTTTTAACAACCTCTAATGTGGGAGTTCAGCAGGGACAGAAGGGACTCACTGTGCTGAGTGCATAGTAGGCGTTCAAGTGTTCCTTGAAGTGAACGGAAGGGAGCCCGTGAGGAAGGAGTCAGGGAAATCCCACAATATCCTCTTCTCTCCCTTCTCTGTCTCTGTCGCCCGGCCTGAGTCCCACTCCCGGAACTGAGGTCCGATGCCACTCTTCTCGGTGCATTTGAGGAGAGCGTGCTTAGGGAAGGCTGAAAGGGACAAGATTGCAGGAGAGAGGACGAGGGAGCAGGAGGCTTGGCTTAGATGACAATCTTGGGGCAATTCAGACTGTTACTCCTCAGGGGTGGCCCTTATAAAGCAAGCCAAGCTCCCTGGGCAGTTGCAATGGGTCCAGTTCAGCACTGGCCCATGTTCAGGGATGGTGCTAGAATGTGGTCAGCTGGGATGCAATCACCTCAGAGACACATCTTCAACTTGATCGTATGCGGATAAGGGGCTGTGCCATTTGTTTCTTGGATGACCTTTCTGGAATCTCTCTGTAGGCTCCCAGCACCTGCAGCTTGTGATCAAGGCTGAGATCTCCTGGAACAGAGTGGGGGATGGGGACATGGCCCTCGTGATGGGGGGTGATGAAGCCTGCCAGCCCTTCCCTTTTCAGGCAGTCCGTCGACTCATTTCCTGAAGAGGGCAGCACTTCTCACATTTTCCCCAGCATGCACACCCCCCGCACATCCTGTTAAAATGCAGATTCTGGCTGTTGCGGTGGCTCATACCTGTAATCCCAGCACTTCGGGAGGCCAAGGCGGGCACATCAGTCGAGGCCAGGAGTTCAAGACCAGCCTGGCCAACATGACAAAACCCTATTTCTACTAAAAATACAAACAGTAGCAGGCATGGTGGTGTGCACCTGCAGTCCTAGCTATTCGGGAAGTTGAGGCAGGAGAATCTCTTGAACCCAGGAGGTGGGGGTTGCAGTAAGCTGGCATTGTGCCACTGCACTCCAACCTGGGTGACGGAGCAATACTCCGTCTCAAAAAAATAAATAAATGAATAAATAAAGATTCTGATTTGATAGATCTGGGATATGGTGTGAGATTCTGCACATCTAACCAGTTCCCAGGTGAGGCCGAGGCCACTGGTCCAGGGACCACTCTTTGAGTAGCTGGGTCTAGAGACCAGCACAGTGACTCTGGAACAGGAACTCTCAGCAGCCTCACCCAGGGGGCTGGTGAAGACCCAGATGGCTGGGCCCCACCCCCAGGGTTTCTAACTTAGTAGGTATCGGATAGAGACTGAGAATTTGTCTCTCTAACATTTTAGAGAATGGTTGGTCTCTAGGAGTGCAGGGGCTGTTGGGGGAATAAGACAGGAAACAGGAGACAATGAACAGGGCACACCCTGTCCTGGGATCAGAGGAAGATGAACTGAAATCAGGCTTTGGAGAGTCAGTCAAATGCAGGTAAGCGGAGGGGAAGGGTGCATTCCAGATGGGGGACCATTTTGTGTAAGGCTGCAGAAGTATAAAAAAAAATACAGAAATTTTCAGCATTGAACTACCTTCTCCCTCCCAGTCCTTCTCTCCTCTTCAGGATCACAGAGGGGAAGGGCCATCCTCTGCTGGGACCAGGAGCAGCTCCACTGTGACCACACATTCCCACATTCCCAGAGTACCTGGAGAGGTGGTGGTGGTTGTTGTTTTTTCTGTTTTTTTTTTTTTTTTTTTTTTTTTTGAGACAGAGTTTTGCTCTTGTTGCCCAGGCTGGAGCACAATGGCGCAATCTCTGCTCACTGCAACCTCTGCCTCCCAGGTTTAAGCGATTCTCCTGCCTCAGCCTCCCGAGTAGCTGGGATTACAGGCATGCACTACCACACCCGGCTAATTTTTTGTATTTTTAGTAAAGATGGGGTTTCTTCATGTTGGTCAGGCTGGTCTCGAACTCCTGACCTCGGGTGATCCGCCCACCTTGGCCTCCCAAAGTGCTGGGATTATAGGTGTGAGCCACCACACCTGATCCCTGGAGAGCTTTTAAATATCATTGATGCTTCAGTCTCTTTTTCTGAGAGATTTTGAATTAATTGGTTTTAGGTGGGGCTCAGACATTTGTGTTTTATCTTTTTTTTTTTTTTTTCTCAAATAAAACTCCTTCCAAAATCAGGGCTGAGAACCGCTGGCCTAGACCCAAGCATACTGCCACGTGCCAGCTGCCGGTTAGTTGGGGAATCGGGCAGAGGATTGCCCCCTCCTTTATTCTCTGCATCCTTACAATGCCCCCTGCCCCAGAAGCAGTTAGCTGAGCAACTGGTAAGCACCTGCCCTGTTCCACCAGCATGGGGTGACCTACTTTTTTTGCCTGTGGCTTCTCTTGCACATGGGGACTCTGGGGACCGAGGGGCAGATGGAAATGTCAGCATGTCTGTATTGATGCTGCATTTGGGTGTCACCCAAGCACTTGTTTCCCTGTCAGATTCCGGATGCAGCGTTTAGGTGGTGAACCACTGCCGCCAGGCACTTGCTAGGGAGATCAGAGCACCCGGCAGCATCCTGAGACATCCTGGGTTCTGGCTGCCAAGTGCTGGCAGCTTGGGGCTCAGGGCAGAAGCGGGCCCGTGCCTGGACTGCTGCTTGAATGTGGACTCCGGGTGGACAGCAGTGTGCCTGAGGCAATCTTCACTCCCTGCAGGGCCTCCTTCACCTCCACGCTGGCTTTCCCAGCTACCAGAGAGCACGCGGGGGCACACCTGTCCACATCCAAGCTTGTCTGGGACACTGACCAGGGTGCTGTGATGCTGAGGGCTGCTTGCAGGTGTCCCCACTCAGTAGCCTTCATTGTGAGGGGACGCAGGGTCATGCAGGGCAAGACAGCCAGCCCCGGAGGGTCCATCTCGAATGGTTCCAGCATGGGACCAGACCCCTGGAAGCTGGCCCAGAGGCTCAGGACATGACACTCTTCTCCTTCTGCCTCTTCCTTTTAAGGAAAGATAAAGAGAGGCTGGATTCCATCCTTTCTGTGGGCCCAGTGAGGGCGTTTGGGCGGGACATTGCCCAGCCTTCTGATTTAGAAAGTCTTGCATGTCTGTCTCCGCCCCTGGGTGCCTCAGAGGTGTCTTCTGGGACTAGCAGACCAAAGGCAGGAGCAGGAGGAGCTGAGCCTGTGAGACGCACCAGCCCTGGGCATAAACCCAGGCATGAGCTTCCTTCTGGGAAGTGTTTCTGCTCACCGCGAGTCCCCAGCCACTGCCCTGTGTCACCCGTGTTTATTAACCTTTCTACATGCAGCAAAGAATATCGTGCCTCTCCACACAGCTCTCAAGAATTTCAATTATTTAGTGTCTGCCCCCACCATCCCCACTTTTCAGTAGGATCTGCTATGAACATCTCTTGGGCTGGGTTTCTGGAAGAATTGTTTGTCTCATTTTGACGAGAGAGTTTGAGAGAAGTGTGTGGACGTGGATGTACCTGGCTCAGGGCGGCTTTGGCCTCTCCTCCCCAGCCTTCCACTTCTCTAGAAATGTGAGTTTCCCCCCATCCTGCTCCCTAAGCGCTGCTACCAGTTCCAGAGCTGCTAGCTCTGGCCTCCCATTGGAATCACTGTTCCCCAGAAGTTTTGTCCTGGAAGGTTTGGGGGCATTTTTCTAGCCCACAGCCACTTCTCTCCCTGCTTAGAAAGGAAGGGTGGGAGGGGAGGTGAACAGGAAAGGGGCTGTTCTGGGCACACTGGAGGACACACTGATAGGAAAGGGGGCGGGGAGGGCTCCCCGCCCAGCAAAAGGTGCTGCTCGGGTTCAGCATCTTCTCCCTCCCTCCAGTTGGTCTCCAGAGAGTGTGCAGGTGTGTGTGTGAACAGGAAGTCATCCCTTGGGCTGGGCTTCAGAGGGTGGGTGGGTTTGTGGCCACGGGAGGGATGCCCCACCTGCCGCTGCAGGACTGTGCTGCTGGGCTGCAGGGGAGGAAACCATAGGTGCTGGAGCAGGAGGGGCTCCAGCCTCAGGTAGAGGCAACTGTCTTGAACATCCCTTCCAGCCACAAAAGCTAGGGCTTCTAAGGCTCTCAGAATAAGGAACAATGGAGAGGGCCTCCCAGTCCTCACCTTTGAACACTTAAACATCTATTGTTTTCCCTTCAGTGTAGAAAGAGGGAACAGCAGTGGTGGTGTAAACCTATGGAACCGGGTCAGGCTCCAGCCTAACTCAGTCCCCACACCTGCCTTCATCTCAGCCATACCCAGCACCCTCCTCCTCCCCAGCCTGCTCACACAGGCATGCTGCCAGGATGCCTCCAGCCTTGATCCTTTTCAAGGTTCAGCTCAAACGCCTTTAGCCTTCATTCGGTGTTGCCTTCATGCCTTCGGCCTCCTCTCCTGCCCCTCCCACCCTCCCAAGCAGGAAGCATTCCTTCTCCTTGGAATTCTCGGAACGCTTTCTCTACACTTTGTCAGGGTGCACATCAGTTTCTCCTTTTTATCCTAGTTTCCTACCTGCATATCTTGTATCATCTCCAAGTTGGCAAGCTTCTTAACGACAGGAGTCATAGCTCATCCGCCTTTATGGCCACACTGCACCCAGCCCTGCAAATGCTGATTGAATGAACAGAAACTCAACCTCATGACATTCTGGTATGTTTGTCATCGTGAGGTCGTTCATCTCTGCTTTGCTATTGAAGTCGGGGGCATCTCCTGGTCTAGGGAAGGTGGAGGAGAGAGATTCATTCTTCTGAGTTGTCAATTTACAGCTGTTTCCTGGGCGCTTACAGTGTGGTGTTGTTAGGTGCTGAGGGGCTACAGGCACAGACAGGACTCAGCCGGATGTCACTCTCTACCTCCCAGCCTCTCCCTCATGGATTAACAACTCCTCAGTCTAAGCTGATCCCCCATCTAGTCCAGCCACAGCCAGTGATACGGATCCTACCGTGAAGGCTTCTTGGTTCTCCTGGTACCTCTCCTAACCTTACCTCTTGACCCTCTTAGACCTGCCCTTCTTCTTTGTTTTGCATGTCTTTAATAAGAATCATTTATTTTCATTCTTAGTCACTCAGTTTGTCCATCCTCTGCACATTGTTTCATATACGAGTGTCTACTGTACTTGTGAACTTTAGAGGTTAAGGCCATACACCCCTCGCAAGCAACCTTTTGAGATTTACCCGGTAAAACATGCTGCTGCTTCCCCCAAGGTGGCTCGTGTCCATTGGTTTATTTGCCTTGTAGTATAGTTCTTGTATTAGATATTGTATTAGTATTGATAAAAGACTAAGCTGCTATAATACAATTGTTTAAGCAATAACGCAGTGGTTTAAATAACAAAGTGCCTTTCTCTCTTACCCAATACTTGAGGGGTGAGTGGTTTGGATTGCTGGGGCCTCTCTGCTCTTCATGGACATGGGAGAACAGTTTGCTCTGCTCTGTTGTTCTGCCTTCCCCTAGGTACTGTTGTCCTGCCTTCCCCTAGGTACTGTTGTCATAGACATGGCTCAAGCTGGGTTGAAGTAGGTTCAATCCAGTAGGAAGGAAAAAGAAAGCTTGGAGAAGGCTCTTGCTGAGGCGTTACTTCTCAGTGAGAGCTATCTTGGACATCGTGAGAGCCAGGTTTCTGTAGTGCTAGCACTGTGTAACAAACAGTCCCAGGAACCCTACATTATAGGTTGTGGTAGACAGAACCCTAAAAATGTTTCCAACATTCCCATCCTTTTTGTCAAACACTAATGTCTGAGCAAGGTTAACATAACCCCCACATGTCATGGGAGGGACCTGGCAGTGGGTAATTGAATCATGGGGATGGGTTTTTCCCATGCTGTTCTCGTGATAGTGAGTAAGTCTCATGAGATCTGATGGTTTTATAAAGGACAGTTCCCCTGCACATGCCCTCTTGCCCGCCACCATGTAAGACAAACCTTTGCTCCTCCTTCGCCTTCTGCCATGATTGTGAGGCCTCCCCAGCCATGTGGAACTGTGAGCCCATTAAACCTCTTTCCTTTATAAATTACTCAGTCTCAGTTATGTTCTTATAGCAGCGTGAGAATGGACAATACACTCGGGCTATCTAGGTGGACCCTGTGTAATCAAACAAGCCCTTGATAGCAGATGGAAAAGCAGAAGAAAGGAGAGATTCCAAGTATGAGAAGGCTTCAATGTGCCATTGCTGCCTCTGAGATGTCAGAACCAGAGAGAGAGGCCTCTGGATGCTGAGAGCAGCTCCCAGCCATCAGCAAGTAAAAAAATGAGAATCTTAGTTCTGCATCCACAAAGAACTGAATTTAGCCAATGATCTGAATGAGCTTGAAAGAAAATTCTTCCCACAGCCTCCCAGTAAAAGCCCAACCAGCAGACACCTTGATTTTGTCCTTCTGAAGCCTGGAGCCAAACTGGACTTCTGACTCACAGAGCTGTTGGGATCATAGATTTGTGTTGTTTTAAGTGGCTAGGTTTGTGGTAATTTGTTATGGTATCAATAGAAAACCAGTACAGAAGTCTTAAGTCATATTTTATTTCATGTTAGTGGTTGACAGATTGGCTGCGATTGGGCTGAGCAGGCTGGGTGGGGCTGAGCCAGGCTGACTGCAGGCTTCATGCACCTGGGCATGCTCTTCACATAGCAATGACAGAGGCACAGGAGGCCAAACTAAGGCTCACAAGCACACATGAAGCCTCTGATGCATCAGAGCAGTTGACATCCCGTTGGCCCAAGCAAATCACACGGCGAAGCCCAGCATCATGGGGCGGAAAAGGTATTACAACTCCTCTGGGTGGGAGGGGCACTGCTAAGTCACCCACCAAGAGCCAGGATATTAGATTCTGTTACCAGGAGGGTGTGGAAAACTGGGGACAACAATCCACTCTATCCACACTCCCTCCTGAAAATTCAAGCCAGGTTTGGTTCCTCATTCCTGAGCCTGTGATCCCAGCTACCCAGGAGGCTGAGGTGGGAGGGTTGCTTGAGCCTAGTGAGCTGCAGTGAGCTGTGATCATGCCACTGCACTCCAGCCTGGGCAACAGAGAAAGATTCCATTTCTTAAAAATAACAAAAAAAAAAAAGAAAAAGAATATTCAGTGTGCTTCCTCATTCTGCTCTATTTTATCCTAGCACTCTGCCTTCCAACATACAATTCACCTACTTCTTGTGTGTGTGTGTGTGTGTGTGTGTGTGTGTCTCCACACTAGAACACAGTAAGCCCCATGAAGGTGGGAAGTATTGTCTGTTTTGTTTTCTTATATATCCTAATCACTTAGATCAGGCTTGGAACATAAACTGAAGTCAATACATGTTTGTTGAATGAATGAATGATCTCAGTTGTGGCACCACCACCAAAGTCCTCATCATGGTCTGTGGTTCATTTTGTGTAGAAAAAGCAGCTCCTACCCCCTATACCCTAGTGAGGTGGACAGAAGCCTCATCACACTGCAGAAACAAACTTAATTCCCAGCCCTGGTTTGGAACTTCTGATGGTCTCAAGGGGTTGTAGGAAATTCTAAAAACAACTCTCCAAAAAATCCATTGTGATAGCAACCTTTTCCTCCCTCTGGCTGGTTATTGGAGGGGCCCATGTCTATAAATTCAAACAATAGGGCATGCCAAGTCCCCAAAGTCTTCACTCCTGGAGCTAAAATAATAATCAAGACTTGTTTTTGGCAGGATTTTCTGGATACCACTTAGCTTCTCTTGGGCATGAAAGGATGGGCAGTCCCTGCCAAATGTAACCACCATACCGAAAAGTTGGCCAAGGTTGTTAGCGCCTTTCTTTCCGAGTCAGCTAATTGGTGGATTTAACTGGTGTTGCGTGCCAGGCGTGGGCTTCTGTTAACCCTTTCAGTCCTCAGAAGCATAGATGTTGTTACTCCTTGTATAGATGGGAAATGGACTCACTTTTCCAAAGCTGAGCAGACAGAAGTGATGGTGCAGGGCTTCAAGGTCAAGCCTGTGACTCCAAGGCCAGTGCTCTTTCTACCACTTCGTTTATCTGGAAGATTCTAGAATTTCTAAAACTGGACTTGCCCAGGGGGTGACCAGAACAGTTCTGGGCCCTGGGGGCTGGCTGGTGGTGATGTGTACACATCTGTGTGATCTTCCATAACCCATGACCTGGCTTTTTGTGTACCCTTAACCTTGTGTGCTCTGAACTTTCCAGGACTCCCAGGCTCTGAATATAAAGGCAGTGCTAAGGCCCTGAAGGTGGTGGTGGGGGGGTGTGTACAAGAGCACAGGTGAGGGACAGAGGCTGGCTTGATAACACGGCCTTGACTGGGAACCACTGCCCTATGGACCTGGACCCATCATCATCATCACCACCTGTGATATTAGAATATCATCTATGCTATGTTGGTTTTTGTCCATGGTTCCTGGCTCATGACTCCCATGGTCCTTATTATACTGTTGGGGGGCTTTAGGCCTCAAAAGCAGGCCTCGAAAAACAGAATCTCTCTCTCTGAACTTCTCCTGCCCTCCTTTTACCTGGCCAAGGCAGGACTCCAGTCTTCCCCAGCTTTCTGTCTTGGGGCCAGCCATAAAGAAATTCTCTGACCTTCCTTGTCTGATTATAAGTCAATAGGGGCCCCCATTTCAGAAGAGGTCCTGCCCTATACCCTGGAGGAAGGAAGGCTGCACAGAGAGGCCAAGAAGAATCTGAACAGACAGGCCTGGCTGGGTTTTCCCCCTCAGTCTGTTAGTATTAAGATCAAACCCTTTTTGTTTAGTCACATATGGTTGTCTATATGGTTGTCAATCATGCCTATCCAATGAAGTCTCCATAGAGGGCCAAAGAGGACAGAGTTTGGGGAGCTTCTGGATAGCTGAGCATATGGAGGTTTCAGGAGGAAGGTATGGAAACTCCACACTCCTTCCCCCATACCTTCACCTGTGCATCTCTTCATCTCTATCCTTCATCTGTCCTTTAGAATATAGCGGTGAATGTGGTGTTTCCCTGAGTTCTGTGAGCTGCTCTAGCAGATTAATCGAACCCTAGAAGAGGATTGTGGGAAGCCAAGTTTACAGCCAGCAGGTCAGAAGCCCAGGTGAAACAAACTGGGGCTTGTGATGGGCACTGGAAATGTGGGGGTCACTCTTGTGGGACCGAGCCCCCAACCTGTGATCTGATGCTATTTCCAGGTAGATGGTGTTGGGATTGAATTGGGGTGGGAGGATACCTAGCTGATGTTCCCTGCGGAATTGATGACTTGCTTGGCATGTGGGGAAAAAGCCCACATGTCTGGGCACAGAAATCTTCTGTGTTGATTGTGATAGGAGGAGAGAGGAAAAGCAGCTTAAGTTTTTTCCACACAGACCATCATGACACGATTACTAATAATATTTATTGAGCATTTGCTGCACACCAGGCATCCACAGAAAAACCCCTAGTGTAGAGAGTAGAATGATGCTCGTTTTGCAGAAAAGGAAACTGAGGCATAGTTCAGGATCCTGACTAAGAATAGCCATTCAGTCAGTGTCGGAGCTGGGGTAGGGCTCAGCTGGCAGATTCCAGGGCCCTGAATCGTAATCTCTATGCTACATAATATCTGGAGAAAACAGATATTATGCTTTCATTGAAAATGCTACATTTATTGAGTGCTCCAGACTCACTCACTCAGAGAAGGGAACAGGAGGGCAGGGTGCCAGGTGACCTAGGATCAGAGAGGCCCTGATCTCCCCGGGATGGGGGGTGGGGGGAGTGATACCAGCAGTTGTATTAAAATGCAAATTTCTGCCTTGCTTGCTGGTTTATCATCTGACTCGTTATACAATTTGCCAGTTATAGAAGAAAAATTATCATAATATGGCCCTAGGGAATGGTTGTAAAAAGGAGACCAAACGTTACTTATCGGCCGTTCCACTACAATTATCTTCCGCGTTTGTTCTTTTTCTCTCCAGAAAAATGAAACCATCAATGCCAGCGACAGGGTGCTGACCAGGCGGAGGCAGCACGGGGGAGCACAGAGGCTGGGTGTTTACTTAGCTTCCTCCCTCTGTACTCTCTCCACCCGGCCCCTCAGCCCACCGCTCTTCTCTTCCTGGGGCAGTTCCCTCTGCTGAGCGGGCTGGATGGAGATTTTCCAAGCAGGAAGAGGAGTAGAGCCTCGGTAGATTAAGTTCAGCTGTCTCCTTCATTGTACTGGCTCAGGGCTGGCCGGGATCCTCTCTGCTAGGGGCTTGAGGTGGAGGCAGGACGGCTCAGGAGGACCCACTGAGGATCATTCTGCAGTCTCTGCAGGTGCTGGTCAGGTTCTCAGCGCTCAGGCTGCAGGTAGCTGGGCTTCCACAAGGGGGCAGGTGCTCTGCGGGGTGCACCCCTGGATCACCCGTGCCCTGGCAATAATTCATGCTCCTGAGATACCTTTCCAATCGGTATCTTCCAGCCTTCCCCTGCTCCCAGGCTCCGTGTGGGCAGGAGCTGAGTCTTCTTCAACTTGATTCTCTCTGCATCTAGTCCAGTGCTTGGAACAACATAAGCAGGAAATAAATATTGGATGAATGAATGAAAGTGTCTGTCTGCAGGCACGTGTCTGTGTATTTTCAGGTTATTCTAAAGTTGTCCTCCCCATGGGCTGCCTTCTTTTAGCTCCAGCCAAATCTTCTCCAAGCCCTGCAGCCTCCGGTGATTTATCAGGCTTCTCTACCCAGCATATTAAAACAGTCAGGGGAGCAGATAATGATGCTCTCCAGGCTGCCCTTGCATACCGTTGAGATATTTATGGTTTTTACAAACCTTGGGCTTCCCTATCATTCTTGTGCACTCCACTATGGACTGAGAACTTCCTCTGTCTTCATTCCTGGGGTACCTGCTCCTCGATTATTTATGCCACAATATGAAGGGCAAACTTTCTGTGCTTCCTCAAGTTAAATTTACAAAGGACAAATTCTAAGCAGTGCACCAGGCACTCTGTGACTATGTCTAGCAGTGAGGCCTCCAACATCCAGTGTCCTGGACTCTCTGCAAAGAGAGTCGAGGCATGGATTATTTGTTTTCTCACTTCTTTTTTTTTTGTTTTGTTTTGTTTTTTGAGACAGAGTCTTACTCTATCACCCAGGCTGGAGTTCAGTGGCATGATCTCAGCTCACTGCAACTTTCGCCTCCCAGGTTCAAGTGATTCCTCTGCCTCAGTCTCCTGAGTAGCTGGGATTACAGGTGACCATCACCACACCTGGCTAATTTTTGTATTTTTAGTAGAGATGGGGTTTTGCCATGTTGACCAGGCTTGTCTCGAACTCCTGAGCTCAGGTGATCCACCCGCCTCAGCCTCCCAAAGTGCTGGGATTACAGGCGTGAGCCACCATGCCTGGCTGCTTTCATGCAACTTCTTAGCTCAAGCTGGAGGAGCCAAATGCTGGAATCTGGGGGTTAGATGGCTTAGAACACACATTTCTAGTTTGATTTCTGGCTGTCCACCCCCATTAGAAGCTAAAAATGTGAGTATTCACATTCTCGGGTGGCAGGCGATCTAGAAGCCTCGTAGAGAAAGCAGTGCCTTGTTTGTACCTCTAAGCCTTTTGTCTGAGGGAACAGGCATCTCCCCATGGCCAGAAGGTTTTTCCAAGAGGAAGATGAGAATGTGGAGTAAGTGGATGCATGCCATCCAGTGACCATCTCACAGGTGCTTGGAGCCAGGGTCAGCAAACACAGCCCACCAGCCAAAGCCAGCTCGCCATCTTGTTTTTATAGCCTGCGTGATAAGAATAATTTTTTTTTTTACTTTTTCAAATGGTTGAAAAGCCATCAAAAGAGTATTATTCTATGACATGTGAAAATGATATCAAATTCATATTTCAGTGTCCATAAATAAAGTTTTATTGGAACACAGCCACGCTCATTCATGTACATATTGTTGAGGGCTGCTTTGGCATTACCACAGCACAGCTGAGAAGCTGTGACAAAGATGGTGGGCCTGCAGAGCCTGTACAATTTACCATCTGGTCCTTTACAGAAAACATTTGCTGACCCCTGCTTTGGAGACAAAATCACCCCTCTGCCCTCACCCCATCTCCTGGTGTGTCACCTGAACAAGCTGAACATCATGGGAAATTTTCTTGCCTCTTAGGTAGATTTTCTCCTACCTAAACTTATGCTTTTCAAAATGAAGAGAAAGAGAGATATTGAAGGATGAAGCTGGGAAGTAGTAATTCTTGGAATATCATATTTCTTGTGACCTGGCTCAAGTCATCTTAATTTCTCTCTGGGCCTCATCCTTCTCCCCCTGAAAAATAGGGCTGCTGGGAGTGAGGGGCGAGCCAGACGCACGGCCTTGTCAGTGTTCATCTTGGAGCCAGACGTCTGAGGACTGGCCTTACTTAAAGTGCTTCATCTGTGCCTGCCTTGGGTGTCCTTGTCCTAGTCAGACATGTCCCGATTTTTGTTTTTGAAGATATATATCATAACAACATGCATATGTTTTTAAATATCCCATTGAAAGACATTTATGGCCAGGCGTGATGGCTCACGCCTATAATCCCAGCACTTTGGGAGGCTGAGGTGGGTGGATCATGAGGTCAGGAGTTCAAGACCAGCCTGGCCAACATGGTGAAACCTCACCTCTCCTAAAAATACAAAAATTAGCCAGGTGTGGTGGTGGGTGCCTGTAATCACAGCTACTTGGGAGGCTGAGGCGGGTGGATCACGAGGTCAGGGGTTCAAAACCAGCCTGGCCAACATGGTGAAACCTCGTCTCTACTAAAAATACCAAAAAATTAGCCGAGCATGGTGGTGGGTGTCTGTAGTCCCAGCTACTTGGGAGGCTGAGGCAGGAGAATTGCTTGAACCCGAGAGGCGGAGGTTGCAGTGAGTCGAGATCGCGCCGCTACACTCCAGCCTGGGCGACAGAGCAAGACTCTGTCTAAACAACAACAACAACAACAAAACAACAACAACAACATTTATTTAGCACCTACCATGGGCGAACGTTGCACTGTACACTAAGGCGATGCGGGGAAATCAGTGATACAAAGGCCCTGTGCTCAGAGAGCTTTAACACGCGCGATGCTATTATGTGCACACTCGTCACAGGACAAAGACTCAGATGGCTGAACACCCATTGCAGTGTGCCCACCACTTTGCGTTCACAATTCTCACATCCACCCCCTGCAGGAAGACAAAATTAGCTCCCTTTACAGAAGAGGGAACCAAGGCTCAGTACCCAAGCTTCCCTCATCTAGTGGGTGGTCTCCAGATCTGTTGGGTCCAAAGCCCAAGTCTGTCCCACTGCTGATAAGAGTGCACAGCTTCTGCCTCCGAAAAAGAAAGATGGCGCTGCTGTTGCTCCCTAGACTCAGCTCCGCGGAAGGGGAAAAGGAAGGGTGAGCTGGTTTATTCTGGGGAAATCTCCCCATTCATTCTTAGGGTCCACTCAAGAAAGAAATTTTCTATACTCTCTGGTCCCCAGGGAGCTCTGCTTCACTTCCAGATGAGCAGCTGAGACCAAAGAAACACCAGGAAATGTACTTATTTCATTCCACCTTGAATTACTCCCCGGCACGTCTGGCTTATAAAATCCTTGGCTGCAGGGATAGTCTCTCAGTCACCCTTAGATCTCCCAAACACGCCAGGTGCGGTGGCTCATCCCAGCACTTTGGGAGGCTGAGGCGGGCGGATCACCTGAGGTCAGGAGTTTGAGACCAGCCTGGCCAACATGACGAAACCCCGTCTCTACTAAAAATATAAAAATTAGCCAGGCGTGGTGGCGCATACCTATAATCCCAGCTACTAGGGAGGCTGAGGCAGGAGAATCACTTGAACCCAGGAGGCAGAGGTTGTAGTGAGCTGAGATCGTGCCACTGTACTCCAGTCTGGGCTACAGAGCGAGACTCCATCTAAAAAAAGAAAAAAATCCTAAACAAATATTAAATACTTACTGTATGCCAGGCCTTATGCTAGCTGTGGGACACAGTGCTTTGTATATGGTAAGTGTTCACAGAATGCTTATTATGTAAATGAGTCTCTGCTGATTAAGTTCACATGAATGCCAGACTTTTTCTAGGAGCTTCCAGGAGATACTGGAGTCCTTGAAAAAAGAGGGAGGACACGGATATTCAGGGAATCTGTATTTCTCTCTTCACCTATTCCATCCTGCATCTCTGCTCTGAAAGGGATGTTCTCTCCATCGCTGGGTGGGGCCAGCAAGTTCATTCTCGGAGTTGCTGCTGCTTCCAAAGGCCATTTCTGAAAAGCCACAAAGGAGGTGAGGTTTCTCCTCCAGTCTCTTTCTCTTGATTTTTTAGCCTGTCCTGGAATCTCACTTTCACTGTAACCTCATTACCATTTTCAGTCCTCATGGACTCTTATTTTTTTTTATTTTTATTATTATTTTTTTTGAGATGGAGTCTCGCTCTGTCGCCCAGGCTGGAGTGCAGTGGCACAATCTCAGCTCACTGCAAGCTCCGCCTCCTGGGGTCATGCCATTCTCCTGCCTCAGCCTCCTGAGTAGCTGGGACTACAGGTGACTGCTGCTATGCCCAGCTAATTTGCTGTATTTTTAGTAGAGACGGGGTTTCACCGTGTTAGCCAGGATGGTCTCGATCTCCTGACCTCATGATACACCCACCTCGGCCTCCCAAAATTCTGGGATTACAGGCGTGAGCCACCGCACCCGGCCTATGGACTATTTTTAAGAGTCAAAAATCAAATGATCCCAAATAACAAAGACTTCAAGTATTACTAGGAGAGGATCCACCATTTCCCTTCATGCTCTGGCAATAGAGGAGGCATGGTGTGTCCAGAGAGAAGTCAGGCTTCCTTCCCCTCCAGCCTCTGAGAGCCTCCTTCCATGCTGGGTCTATTGGTAAAGTCTTCAGGCTGGCTGTCCCTCCTGAACCCTCTAGGTCATGCATGGACACTTGGTTGCTGAACATTTTGTCAAAACAGTACTCAGTGTCAGGGGAACCCAAAGGAAAGAAAAATGGCTGCCGGAGCCAGGTGACCCAGCTTGCAGCCGACGGTTTGCTCTCTGAAGCTCTTGGGCCCTCTTCCATCTTCCTCCCAGCATGATCCAGGTAGTGACATCACCTTGGCATCTGCCATCAGGAGTCCAAACCTGCCATCAGGAGTCCAAACCAGGGAAGGTCCAAGAGGTGAAGGCCAGAGGCTCATCTCTGTATTCCAACGTCCAGTCTGAGGTCACACTGCCACCTTGGACAATTGACAATGGGTGGCCGTGGTACTCCATGCAGAGAGGTGGGCTTCATACCTGTGGATCCACCAGGACAGCATCTCAGAACACCCTCAAGTCAACCCAACATCCATCCAAGAGATGGCCACAAATGCTAAGTGGCCATTTTGTAACTATGACTTGTCTCAAGAGTCTGGGGTGGTGGACAGAGCTCCAAAGAGAAAACACCTCCTTAACTTTCAAAGACGGTACCCTGCCACCTCTGTCCCCAGGATGTCTCTGTCTCCTCCTCTTTTCAGCTCACACAATTGTCAAAGTGCAGCTTGCTCCCCAGACACTGTCCTACTACTTTACAGGCAAACCCTGCCTTGCCGAACCTGAGAAGGGGGCAAAGTGTTTGCGGGTCCCAAGGTTACTCCCCAAAGGCTCTTAAGAACATTAAGAGAGTGTGTGAAATCATGAGCACGAAATTTTCACAGCTGCACCCACACCCTGTGTTCTCATCCCTCCCGGGTTCCATCCACTTATTTTTCTTGACCTCAGTGGGGTAGACTGAGTCACCCCATACTAGTCTTTGGGATTCATGACAATCTGCACCTGTGGATCTGGAAGGGTCTAAGTGCATGTTACAAGCAGGCAAGAAAGACCAAAGAAGAGAAGAGAATGCTGGGTCCCTCATTCTCAGCACTCCTGACACCTGGGGCCCACCCATTCTCTGTGGTGGGGGCAGGGGGCAACCTGTGAACGGTAGGATGCTGCATCCCAGAGCAGCATCCCTGGCCTGTACCCACCAGATGCCAGTAGCATCCACCCCCCAGTTGTGACAACCAAAAATGTCTCCAGACATTGCCAAATGTCGTCTGGGGGACAATGTCACCCCTGGTTGAGAACTGATGAAAAGAAGAACAAAAATGCTTAGAGGGCTTCATTTATTTAGAATTCATGACTGTGCCACGGAAGCTTCCTGCTGGCCCCCAGCCCTTGACCTTGGGCTGTTCCTTTTACATCGGTCTCTTAGCCCTGCTCACCTATACCCTACACACACAAACACACGCGCACACACACACACACACACACCCCTCCCCAGGCAGGCTTCATGTCCCCATTTCACCAAACTCCCAAAGGAAAGCTCTCTTGGCATAAGCTCTGGAAAGTGCGGTGGGGAATGCTGATGAAGGAATCAACAGGGTGGAGGGTGAAAGGGCCTGTCGTGGAGGGGCGAGCAGGCTGGCCGGGGGCCGTGATGGCCAAAACTGTAGGATGTCCTAGTTCTGAGAGAGGTGGGATGACTGAATAGGACACAGGAGGTAGCTGCGTTTGTTGGAACTTAAAATTGAAGCCATTATCTTCTTCGACCCTCTGACAAATCGACTATTTGATTAACTGTGAATCTCTTTGCCTTTTAAATGTTTGACTTTATAAACGGTTGACTCCGGGTTAATGCATGCCGTTGTCTTTCTTTCCTTCCTGGGTTGGCCTTCTCCTGGCCAGGGGTGTGGACAGCCGGAACCTTGCCCTCTGAAGGGCTAAAACGCAAGTGGAAAAGGCAAGGGGGCCCTTACAGGCTGTTCTGTTGGGTGAGAAAAGGCTCATAATATCATGTTAATTAAAAAGAGAAGGACTCAAAAGTGCATATAGTATAATCCTAACTGTGCTTTATAATGTAGACACATAGATGTTCGTGCGCGTACACACACGCACACACACACACATGCGCACACGAAAAGTCTCAAGGAGAATACACCAAAACGTTAACAGTATTTACCTCTAGCAGTGGATAAGCCGATTTTAGTATTGTTCCTTATACTACTACGCATGCTTCAGGTATTCTACAATCACTATGTATTAACTTTATAGCTTGAAAATAAAAACCATATTAAATGTTTTTTGTGTGTGTGTGTGAGAGACAGGGTCTCGCTTTGCTGCCCAGGCTGGAGTTTAGTGGTTCAGTCATCGCCCATTGCAGCCTCAACCTCCTGGGCTCAAGCGGTACCCCCACCTCAGCCTTCCAAAGTGCCGGGATTACAGGCATGAGCCACCACACCCAGCCTAAATGCTCTTTATTTTGTGTTATCATTATTATTATTACTATTATTATTATTATTTAGTGCCTGCAGAGGCTAAGAGGAATATTCATGTCTTTTCTGGAAGGGAATAATGACACTAAGACAGCTGACCCTGGGATGGGGTGAGGCAAAGGCAAGTCACATTGTTTGGGGTTCCTGTTCCTGCAACCCCCCAGAAATGAGAGGGTGCACATCTTGGGTGATGTCTGATGTGTGTCCATAGCCTCTGCTCATCTTTGGGGGCATCTGGAAGCCCAGAGCTCAGTACCCAGGGGCTGGAGTAAAGTTAGCCCCCTGCAAAGCTGCAGTCACTCCACCAGGGTCTCTGCCACTCCTGTGGCCAGCTGCAGGGGAGAGACCCAGCTGCTGGGAGGAGGAGCCCCACACCCATTACAGACAAATAGCACAAGATCAAGGGAGGGTAATGGCCCAATTTCACTGTTGAGAATGCAGTCCTGACGGCAGGGCGTGGCCTGGTAAACACTCCACAGTTGATTTGCAAGTCAGATTCCTAGGGCACCTCTGAGTCCTCCGGGTTCTAAAGTGAGTCCACCACTTCCTGCCAGGAGTGTTGGAAGAAGGTGGTCTCGGAGGGGCCAGCGAAGAGAGTTGGGCACTTGTCCACCCAAGTCCCTTGTGGTTGGCACTGGGCCCACCTGTTGGGGGAATAAGGTCAGAACGTTGTCCCTTGGCCACTGTGCAGCATCTCAATGAGTCAGATGTGGGGTGGGGTGGGGTGCGCTCCCACCTCCCACCCCTGTTGCTCCCCTGGTCCCAGGGCCCCTGCTGGCAACTATTAATATTAAGAGATGCCAGAATACAGTCCATATCTTCATACCCTGCTTAGGCCACTAACATTAGATCTGTGTAATTTGGGGTCCTTCCCAGGCCTTGGGCAGCCTCTTCTGGGGTCTCTGAGAACCTTCCAGAGCAGCAGGTTGCCCTCCTTCAAGGGATGGTTCCTGGGGCCTCGCCATCCTGCTGGTGGCTAATTCTGAAGCATGTGTGGTGGTGACCAGGCTATAGGAGGTGCCCAGGGGGCAGGTGGGGAGGTCAGGAGGAGGCCCGGCCAGGGGCTCTCTGCCCTCCATGCCGCACCCCCTAACGAGCATTCTTGCTGCCTACGTATTTTCTAATTCTACTTAGATTGTTTATATATATATTTTTTCTTAAAATAATTGAAAAAATACCCAACCAGAATATGTCTCAGTTCAAATCAACAAACATTTCTGGAGAAGCCACCACATATTATAAACATGCTGAGCACTGGGTGGGAATACGGGGAAGGTCTGAGATAGCAGAAGACAAAGGTCTCTGGCCTCTAGGAGCTTCCAGTTTTCAGGCTTAAGGAGCTACAGAAGTGTCCACATGTAGAGGGAGCAATTCAACTGGGAAAATCTGGGAGGGCTTCCTGATGGAAGTGTCATCTCAAAGCACAAGTAAGGTTTCCATAGTCCTGGAAGCAAGCGAAGGGAGGGGTGGTTGCATTCCATGCACAATCCCAGCAGCATGGAAGCTCAGCCTGTTCACCCGCGGCGCTGGAAGGGGAGCGCTCAGAGGATTCTCTAGGGCTGGTCCCAACTCCTGCCAGCGGGCTTGGGGCCCCACAGCCAGTGTCCCTCCCACCCAGATATCCCAGCCCCAACAGCAGCATTCCCATTTCACTTCCCTCCTGGGAAATGGTTACTGACCCTGAGCTCACCAGCCTTCCCCAGTCAGGTGTTCCATGTACAGTCAACTCCATTAATTTGGAAATTGTGATGATTTCATTGGAGCGAGGACGATGTTTGGCTTTGCATTAAAACTCTGGCTTATAAGCAAATTATTTCAGTAAATAAAATTTCAAGGCCAGCTGCTTGTCCTGCTCCAGCAAGCCCTTGATTCAGGCAAGGGCACTCCAGAGGGAGGACAGTGACGGACAAGAAGGAAGGCGCTGGGCTGGGCGTCTTCTTGTAGCTGGCCTGCCCTGGCGAAGCCGGGACCTTGTGGAGCAAACCTTGCCTCATCTGGAAAGTGTCAGCGGGTCCCAGAAGCGCGATCCCTGCCTGGGCTTCCTGGGAGTGTGTGTGGGTTGCTGGGGTAGGTCTAGCCACACCTCACTGACCCGCCTCCCATGCTTACACGTGGACATGAGAGAGGCCCCGTCTGCGTGTCTGTGTGCCTGTCTATCCCCACTCACAGTCAAGAGCTTTAGCGCCGACACCTGCTTTGGAATCCTGACTCCACTACTTACTAGCTGGTTGACCTTGGGCAGGAAATTTTCCCTTTCACCCATTTCTAAATCTGAGTGTTTACTAACTTCCAGCCACTGGGCTTCTCCAATAGAAGGTTATTAGTATTTCCACTTTGCAGATGAGGAAAACTGAGGTAGGGAGAAAGAGCGAGCAAGCAAGAGACAGACACACACACACACACAGAGCGAGTGAGCGAGCGCCAAGTGGTTTGCCTAAGATCACACAGCTGGTAAGGTGCCCGAGGGCCCTTTATCTTACAAGGGTGCTGCGAGAGTCAAGTGAGTAGCAGAGGTAAAGCTCCCGCATCTGGCACATAATGAGTGCTGGATAAATGGTCGTTATCATTGATATTCTATTGTCTCTACTCCCTGCCCCACCCCAGCAGAGCCTCCGTGGAGAGTGGGAGCGCAGGGCCATCTGTCCGTCCTGGGAGGCTGCACAGGTGAGGCTGGAGCCCAAGGACCAGGGCGGTGGAGAGGAAGGTTTTCTCCCTCCCAGCAGTGCTCTGATTGGAGCCCATTTACATCTTAAAACCCAACTTAGAAAACCACAATCCATCAGCCAGTGATGGTGTAAATTGCTTTGCTAAATATATTTCTGGGTACATGGTAAGTAAAAATATCATGAATTTAATAAGCCTTGGAATTCACATTTTTCCAATCCTAATTAAGTTTCTCCTCTGCTTTGGACGTGCTCCTCTCTTCGGTAAGATTGGGAAGGGAAGGCGTCTGTGCAAGGGCTGGGTCCAGCCTAGGTGCTTTACATCCGCTGACGTATTGCCTCCTTTCAGGGGCCCCGTGCAGCTGCAGTCACTATACTCATTTCATGGAGGCCAGACTGAGTCTCAGGGAGGTTCCCTGTTCTCTCCACAGTCATAGCCAAGAGCCAGGATTTAAACCCAGTTCTGGTCACCTCCTTCTACAGTCCCCACCCCCAACACTGGGTCAGTGAAGTGGTCCTTCTGGCCCCAGGATCTGGGCATAGCTTGGCTCACCTCCTGGGGGTATCCAGTGCCACGGGTCCCCTTTAGAGCTGTGTGCATGCCACATTTTCACTCGTGAGTTCCCACATCCCTAGGGATGAACCATGAACACACAAACACCAGCTGTGGGTGCCTTTGGCAGCGGCAGCATCTCTGCTCAGAACGGCCGCCACGGGTGTGTGTTCACTGTTGTGATGGCTAATTTGCTGTCAACTCGGCTGTGCCCAAATAGTTGGCCAAACATTACCCTGGATGTTGCTGTGCAGGTGTTTTTTGGATGAGATGACGTTGACAGTGATGGACTCTGAGCAAAGCAGATGGGCCTCCATGGTGTGGTGGGCCTCACCCAATCAGTGGAAGGTCTGCACAGAACAAAGCCTGACGTCCCCCGAGAAAGAGGGAGTTCTGCCAGCAACGGCCTTCGGACTCAACTGCATCTCTTCCTCCCTTTTCCATCCTGCCAGCCCACCCTGCAGATTTTGGATTTGCTGCCCTCATCAATCGAGTGAGCCAATCCCTTGAACTAAATATCTCTCTAGACCTAGATATGCACATCCCGTTGGCTCTGTTTCCCTGGAGAACCCCAATCAAATGCAGCCACGTTGCAGCCCTGTGCCAGGCCTTCTGCCAGCACGGACTCCTCGCAAACTCTGGAAAGCGGGAGCTGTCATCGGTCTTTTACAAATGAGTAACGGGAGCTCAGAGAGCATGAGTGGCTTGCCTTCTGTCCTGGCCGAGGAGCTGAGAGCCTTGAATTAATCAGAGCAGAGTTTGAATTCCCAGTCCTGATGTGTGACCACCGTGGTAGGCTTCTGTTTCCTCAATCACAGAGTGGGGAAAACACCTTCCCCACAGGGCCGTTCCAAAGGTTTAACTGGGTGAAGTCGGCAAAGCACTCGGCAAGTGGAAGCTGTTAGGAGTGGGGGGCAGAGTCAGGTTTTAACACAGGTGCACCAGCTGCTACAGCCATCTAGCTGGGTTTGTGGCCTCCGAGGGTCCCCCTCTGAGCACCATAGGGTTTTCTGGCCTCTGTCTTTGTGTTCAGGCCAGGACGGGCTCCTCCAGGATGCCGCAGGGCTGGTGCCTGGGCTCCTTTCTCATTTCCTGGGAGGCCCCAACATAGAGCAGCTGGGCGGCAGGGCAGGCCCTGTCTGCGGGAGGGGTGGCCTTCCATCCTCTGTTGCTGAGTCTGCGGTGGCACCACTGTGTAACTGTCCACAGAACATTAGTTGCACATTACAGGGTTATCTTCCATAGCTTGATGTATTCCCGAGATGGGTGGGATTCCGGAGAGCTGCGTGCAGGACCCCGAGGGAAGGAGCAAGGCAGGAAGCCTCAGCAGTCCCTTCCTTTGCTGGGCCTTAGGCTGCTGCACAGATGTTCTGAGTCACCTTAGGGAGGGTCCTCAAAGCACTGGGTAAGACCCGTCCACCTCAGTTCTCCCCCAAGACCCCCCACCTCTATTAGGTTGGATGGGGTGCAGGAAACCAGGCCAGGGCAAACCAGGCCAGGGCTCAAAGACAGCCCTGTTTGCTTTCCAGCAGCCGAGGGCCCTGTGCTAACTACTTTTCCCCTTGGGTCCAGTCTTTAGGATCTGACCTAGCTCTGCTTAAATCCTTCCAACTTTCCATTGCTCCTAAGACAAACCTCACGTCTTCAGCACAGCCTCCAAGCTATGCACAAGCTGTCACCTGCCCAGGACTCCGCCCCTCTCTCCTCTCACTCCAGGTTCCATCCCTTCCCTCCCTTCCTCCAGCAACCCAAGTGCCTCTTGCTACAGGCCCCGCCTGGTCTTTTCCATGAGGTGCCATCAGCCCCATTTCTGGAAGAAGTAAGTGTCCCTGTCACACGCTCCTGCTGCCCCCCTCTGCATCCCGGCCCTGACAGCAAGGCTGCAGGTAGCTGTCCCAGAAGGAGAGGGAAAGGGCTCAGCGCACCCATCTTACGTTTGGAAAACTGCCACCTGCTTCCACCCCACAGGGCTCAGGGAGCTGCTTCAGAGCCGGGTAAGGGTGTGAGCTGCAGAGCCAACTACTGGCACTTTCTGTGTGATCTTGAGCAAGCCACATCACCTCCCTTTGCCTCAGTTTACTCATCTCTAAAATGAAGATATTGGGCCGGATACAGTGGCTCACATCTGTAATCTCAGCACTTTGGGAGGCCTAGGTGGGCAGAGGTGGCCATGGCTGTTCGGGGTTTTGGGGTGGGGTGGGGGTCCTGTTCTTTGTACCTTGAGCTCAGGAGTTTGAGACCAACCTGGACAACATGGTAAAACCCCGTCTCTACCTAAAAAAAAAAAAAAAAAAAAAAAAAAAAAAAATTAGCTGGGCATGGTGGCAGGCACCTGTAGTCCCAGCTATTTGGGAGGCTGAGGCAGGAGAATCGCTTGAACCTGGGAGGTGGAGGTTGCAGTGAGCTGAGATCACACCACTACACTCCAGTCTGGGTGACAGAGTGAGACCCTGTCTCAAAATAAAATAAAATAAATTGAAGATATCAATAGTACTGGTATCACAGGTTGTGGTGAGGATTAAATGAGTCAGTGAGAGAGCCTGGAAAATGGGTACGGAACCTATTATTATTATTATTATTATTATTATTATTATTATTATTATCATCATCATCATCATCATCATCATCATCATCATCATCTCCCTTGCCCCAAGTCAACCAAAGGCTGGAGGAAGCTGGCCTTGCTGAAGTGTGGTTTCTGAAGGAAGGCTGTTCTCTCCCTTTCTATGGAAGAAGGAAAGGGGGACTTTCTCTCCCACATTATGGCAGCTCCCCGCTAGGCCAGCAGCGTAGCCAACAGACTGCCTAGCTATGCAGGCTGAGGACGGGAATAACTAGGGCAGCTGCGTCCAGGGAACGGTGGCCAGGATGTCACCTGCTCTCCCACCTGGCGGGCAGAGTTGTGTGCCCCTGCCTTGCATGGAGTGAACCCCATGGGAGGGAGCTGAGATGCAACCATCGTGCAGGTGCCCCACCCAGGAAGGTCCCTGGCTGGGTGAGAGGCAAGGGGCTGGAAGCGGTGGGGGCGGGGATGAAGTTGGCAGGAGCTGGACCTCCCAGATCAAGGAATGGTGCTGTGGGGGCCCCTTCAGGGTCCATGTGACCCCCATCCTCACAGTGGGACCAGGGACGGACGTTCAGACTTAGAGAGGCCACCAGCCAGAGCCTCCTGAGGTCTCCCCAGCCCCTCATGGCTGGGGGAGCCAGACAGGCAGGGAGGCAGTGGCTGGAGAGTACAAAGAGCAGGACCCCCACCCCGCCCCAAAACCCCCAACAGCCATGGCCAGGCCTGGCCTGCTGAGGATGGTGATGGGAAGGGAGGAGTGGAGCTTTGAACTTTGCAAAGACAGAAATTTTAAAACAAACTGGACCAAATACAGGGGTGAGATGGCGCTAACAGCTGGGCACAGCTGAAATGTATATAATTTGACCAGATGTCTTTAAGAGAGCAGGCAGGGGAGGCTTGACGGAATGTAGTTAGGGGGAGTTACAGGGACACATAAAACCACTTCCTATTTGCTCTAACAAACCAGAACTCCTCAGTGCATGGGTTCAGTGGATTTATTTGTCTAGTATCTGTCTTCTTATGTGAGTCGATCTGGGCTTTCCCTGGTGGAGGTGCTCGCATCCCATTGGGCACATAGTAGGCCTTTAATAAACGTGAGGTGGATGGATTAGGGAGTGGGTGGGCTTTGCTTTTCTAACCCTGGAGTCCAGGGAAGAGGAATTCTTTGCAATTGCCAGTCACCCTGAGAGTGGAGATCTCTCTGCCTCCCACCTGCCTGTGGCTAAACCTGGCCCTGTGTTTCATTCCTGGTTCCAGGTTGGAGCAGAGGGTGGGGAGGGTGAGGTGGGGGGAGGTGGGGAGGGTGAGAGGTGGGGGGAGGTGGGGAGGGTGAGAGGTGGGGGAGGGTGAGAGGTGGAAGAGAATCCTGGCGTGTGTTTCTGACACTCAAATATCTGCTCCTGGTGTTCTTTATTATTTATTTATTTTGAGACAGGGTTTTGCTCTGTTGCCCAGGCTGGAGTGCAGTAGTGCGATCTCGGCTGACTGCAACCTCCACCTCCTGGCTTCAAGCAATTCTCCTGCCTCAGCCTTCTGAGTAGCTAGGATTATAGGTGCCCGCCACCAAGCCTGGCTAATTTTTGTATTTTTAGTAGACGCAAGGTTTCACCATATTGGCCAGGCTGGTCTCGAACTCCTGACCTCAAGTGATCCACCTGCCTCAGCCTCCCTAAGTGCTGGGATTATAGGCATGAGCCAACACGCCTGGCCTCCTGGTGTTCTTTAAACTTGAGATTTTACTCAAAGTAAAAGGTGAAATAAGCATGCCATTGACAATGGCAAAACAGAGAGAGATGGAGCCACCTCTATCTTTCAGCCCGGTGGGAGCTGCATTGCAGGGGGCATGGAGGGGGATCGCTGGCTACACTGGAGGAAGGGTGCTGGCCCCAGCCGCATGCAGATCCAGGGCCCTGCGAGGAGCCAGCTCTGGATAAAATGTACCATATGTGTCTCTGGGGTGGGGGACAGAGCACATGACACTTTCCCCCAACTTCTGCTTTCTTCATTTTCCTGCAAAGCCTGGACTGTAAAGAAGGGAATCTCTGCATCTCATAAGCCCAGAGGCCCATAGATGGTTTATTTGGGAGTCCAGGTTCTGAGGCCACAGTCTGGAGAGAGCCCTGTCCGTGGCAGCTTCAAACCCGTGTCCAGCAGCCTGGTTCCTGGCAACTGGAGATCCTGGAGGAGACAGCCCCCGGTGGCTTTGTCGCTGACCTCCTCAGATCATTTTTTCAGACACATAGAACCTTCCTCGCTCCTCCTTAATAGCTCCCACAGCTGCCAGCCCTGAGGGCTTTTCTTCTGTTAAATCAAATTCCTCTCTGGGTTTAATACACACGTGCGTGCACGTGCTCAGGAGCCCACGAGGCTGAAGTGGACCGCGCCTTCTCAATTTGCCCAATTCATCCCTTTCTTGTCATGATGGCTTCTGGTCACTTGGTGAGCTGCTGCAATCACCTGTGGGCGGGTGGGGGGTGGTGGTGGGGGTGGGGTTGGTTACTGTCCAATTTGCTTCCCCTGGAGGAAAACCCTCTCCTCCACCACAGTGAGCACCCTGCTCGCTGACTGTCCCACGGCTGCCCTTGTGGGCAGGGCTGGGCGAGGGAGCATGTGTGGCTCAGGGAAAACCCATCCCCACTCCTGGTAGCACTTGAGATTTTAGTCAAAGTAAAATCTTTATGTCCCCCCATGGAGGGACATAAAGAGCAGTGGAGTCGCCTCACTTTCTCTGCCTCCTGTTTTCTTCTGTCAATCTGGCAGCCTCAGGACAGGTGCGCCTCTGTAACCAGCTGGGGACGTAGGTGCTGGTCCTCTGAGTCCAGAGCTGTTTCTCCCTCCCGAAGCTGGCTTCGTGTTCTAGAGAGGCTGGAGCCACTGAGGCTGGGACTCAGGCACGTGATCGTACTAGAGGTATTTTTAGCTTTCTCATTAACCGAGTGCTTTCAAATTAGCCTTGTATTAACCTCAAAGGAAAATGAAAGTGTTTTTTTCTCTTCCCAGAGTAAGTCTCTAATGCAGAATATCAAGGTTTCCATGATTAACGTTTCATGCGCCTTGAAGCTCTAATAAAGTTGGATTCGCTAATATCTAACTTGATGGAATAATTGGCTCATGATCTTTGCAATGGTGAGAGGGAAGCTGCCATGCGTGGGAAGTGGTCTTTCCCTTCTCATCTCACACATCTTTTGTTTCTGCCTCCCCATCCTCTCCACACCCTCATTTCAGAAGAGTCTAAGGGACCAACGCTCGGTGCCTGATCTCTGGAAAGCATTGCCTGTTCTGAGTGGATGATTCCAGACTGACACTCAGCCACCTCCTTTCTTGGAAGCCAGGAAACCAGGGTCACAGAGGAGGGCTCTTGACTTTGGCGATGTCCCTTAAAGTGGGCTTATTTCTCTGCATCCAGGGTTCAGGCTGGAGAGGGGAGTAAATAGTCTTGCAATTTCTGAGCAGTCCCAGGTATCAAGTCTGACGAGGTGAATCCAATTTCCACTCCCCCACCGGAGAGGCAGGCTTGATCTGTCTGGCCAGGATTACCTGTGAGCAGTGTCTTTGTCTCAGGAACAGCAAAGATGGGCTTTTTGGAGGGGTTGTGGTAGACCAGACCCTCAGAGGAGATTGTAGCTGGGAGTGGGTACCTGTCCCAGACAGAGTGAGCTGCTGAGACCATCTGTTCCCCCAGGTCACTGGAGGAAATGGGAGGGTTGCTTCCGAAGGACTCCAGTCACGGTTTTGATCCTTTGCTGACTGGTCTCTCCTGTCTCTGGGCCCCAGGGTGACTCCTCTCTGCCCTCCCCTTGCTCCCTCTTCTCCTTGAGTCCTCACCATTGCTTGCCTCTATCATCCCTACTTTGTCTCCTCCCTCTCTCCCTTCATTTGTGGGTCTGTGCTTTCTAGAGTTATAGCAAAGAAGGGCTCTAGGCTTCTCAACCGGAGGCCTCCTAGGGAGACAATTTGCTTCTCATCAGCATTTTGCTCCCTATGTGAGCAGCTCTGAGGAAGAAGTTTTTTGTCTTGTGTGTGGGTGTACTGCTTGGTCCCAGAGCTCCGTCTCACAAGTGGGACAGCGGGGGCTGCGGGGAGGGAGGTTTCCTCTCTGGGGATTCCCACTCAACCTCCCTTGCCATCCCAGCAGCCTCTGCCCTCCCCAAGTGGCTCACTTACTCTGCTCTAGATGTGGCCAGGTTCCTGGAGGCATAAGAAAAGACAGCAGGCCCATGATTTAAATGACTAAAGCGAAGATCCCAGAGCCAGGCATGCATGGATGACCTACATAGGCCTACACTCCTGCACCATGTATCCAATGGCCTCCTACCTGTCTCTACCTGAAGGCCCCTGCCACTCCAAAATCAACATATCCAAAAGCAAACTCAGGTCGGGCTCAGTGGCTCACACCTGTAATCCCAGCACTTTGGGAGGCTGAGACAGGTGGATCACCTGAGGTTAGGAGTTCAAGACCAGCCTGGCCAACATGGCAAAGCCCTGTCTCTACTAAAAATACAAAAAATTAGCAGGGTGTGGTGGTTCATGCCCTTAGTCTCAGCTACTTGGGAGGCTGAGACAGGCGGATCACCTGAGGTTAGGAGTTCAAGACCAGCCTGGCCAACATGGCAAAGCCCTGTCTCTACTAAAAATAAAAAAATTAGCAGGGTGTGGTGGTTCATGCCCGTAGTCTCAGCTACTTGGGAGGCTGAGACAGGAGAATCGCTTGAACCCAAAAGGTGGAGGTTGCAGTGAGCCAAGATTGCACCATTGCACTCCAGCCTGGGTGACACAGTGAGACTCTGTCTCAAAAAAAAAAAAAAAAAAAAAAAGCAAACTCATCACTTCCCTGTCAGACTCCTTCCTCCTTCTGTGTTTCTTACCCAGCTCATAGTGTCACCCTCGACCCTGTCCCCAAGTCAAATCTGGGGGTCATCCTAGGTCCCTCCACATACTTCCAAGTCATGTCAACACCCCTCAGATAGGCCCTGTTGTCCTCTGTCCCCATTACTCCTGCAGTAACTCCAGACCTTGCTACCTCTTCCTCAATTTGTCTTTCCGCTAAAAAATCCTTTTTCTGCAGTAGAGTGCTTGTTCTAAAATGTGCTTCCCCCTTGCTGGTATCTTTCAGTGGCTCCCAGTTACCTCTGGCCAAAGCCCACACCCCATGGGCAACTTGGAAATTCCCTAGGAGAGGGACCCACTGGTTTCTCCTACCTTCTCCCCAGTTGCTCTCCCTCCCTACAAATCTGTATTCATCCAGACCCATCAGCTGCACATCCCTTGACGTTTCACACTCTTGGGCTTTGTACACAATGCTGCCTCTGCCCGGAAGGCTCTTTCCTCCTGGCCCATTCAGTGAACTCCTATTCATCCTGCAAAACTTCCTCAAATGTAGCCCTCTCTGGGATGCTATTGCAGCTGAGAGGTTCTCCATGATGCCTAATGGAATCCCTGCATGTCACCATCTCATGTCCCCTAGATCTCACAGGTGTTTACACTAAGGCCTTACAGAAATGTGAGCTCAGGAGAAATGTTCCCTGGCTCTTTTGCATTCTGAGGTGCAGTTACGAGGGTGTGTCATCCTTCCAGGCTTTGCAGACATAGCCAGAGTTGTAGCTGCCCAAAGTCATATCGGTGTCTTCATTCTCCTCCTTTCTCCTCATTATCCTTCCCTCCATTTTTTTTGTTTTTTGTTTTTTTGAGACGGAGTCATCCTCTGTCACCCAGGGCTGGAGTGCAGTGGCGTGATCTTGGCTCACTGCAGCCTCTGCTTCCTGGGTTCCAGTGATTCTCCCGCCTCAGTCTCCTGGGAAGCTGGGATTACAGGTGCATGCCACCACAGCTGGCTAATTTTTGTATTTTTAGTAGAGACGGGGTTTCGCCATGTTTGCCAGGCTGGTTCCCACCTGTCTTCTATTCTGTTTATTGCAACTTTCCTTTGAGGAGAGTGAAGTCCTCACTAGGGTGTTGCTCTTGGAGGCTGGATTTGCTTTTCTAAACCAGAGCCTCCTACGGTCTTTCCCCTCTGCTGCTTCATATTCCTTGACCTCATCCTCTTCCTCCTTCTCCCCACTGGCAGAGGCATTGCCTTCTCATCTCCACGGCCTGCAGGCTCTTGTGTCTGGGAGAAGGAGCATCAACCTGTAACTACAGAACTGCCGTCACGGTCCACATCGGTACTGCGTGGCTGCTCGCAGCCCTGGGTCCCTCCAGCACTCATTAGTACCTGCACCAGAGCTAGATGGGGAAGGAGGAGGGATGGGATTCATTGGAGTCCTTGTTAGGAGGAATTCAGGCCAAAAGTTTGGAGAAGAGGAGGCTGGTCCTACTGGGCACGGCAAGGTGGGTGGATTTTCTGTTTCTCATCTGCCCATTGTCCCCCGTCCCCGCTTGGCTTCCTGCCCCTGTTCTCTATCATTAGCCTGCTTGGGAAAGGCAGCAGCACAGGTGAGGTTCATTTTGAAAAAGCCTCATACATTAAAATCTAGTCTTAAAGTCAGGTGGGGGGTAATTAGTCATATTTCAAAAGAATTCTTATGTTTCAAAGGGCTTCGTGGCAGGGAGCCTGTAATTGCCCACTCCCTGGAGTATGGACATCCGTGAGGACAGCCAGGCCACGTTGCACCCGCTGCGTTTGCCAGGTCTCACCAGCTTATTTTCCTTCCTGTGAGTTACAGAATTGTCTTTTTGTTTTAATTAACTTTTTTGTAATCAAGCCTTGGGGGAGGAGCCTGGGTTGATTTTCCTCATTTCACAGATGTAGAAAACTGAGGTTACAGTTGCACAGCCAGAAGCACAGAGAAACAGGATCCAAGGAGGGGCAGAAATGCTCATTCCACCCAAGAGCTGTCAACCTTTTCCTCCTTAGTGAGAGAATCTCTGTTATATTTGGGGAGGTAATGGAACCAGCTATAAAAGACCATATTTTCTGGCTTTCTAAGCAATGAAGTGTGGCTGTGGGAATAAATTCCAGCCTTGGGATGAGAAAGGCCATGCTCCATGGGACTTTGGGGCAGGCGGCTCAGCTAGGAGGGAGCACTGCCTTCAGATGCTCTTCCCACTCCCTCCCTCCCTGCTACCTGGAAGGTGATGGCTGGAGCTCCCGCAGCCATTTTGGACCAAGTCAGGGCCTTGGAAATGGAAGCTCAGCCCTAGGGTGGCAGAAGCAGAAAGACAGAGGGATACTGAGTTCTGATAACCCCAGAATTGCCTTACTAGCCTGAGACCACTTACCTCTGCACTTGTTCTGTATAAGAGAAGAAAGAAGTTGCCATCTTGGTTAAGCCACTGTTAGTTTGGGTTTTGTGTTGCATGTGGCTGACCCTAATTCTTGCTAATAAATTAAGTTTCCTGACTCTTATCTTCAAGACTACGTCATGCCCACAGCCTGGAGGCAGATGGGACAGAGCTGGTTTGCCCAGTCTGTGTTTACAACCCGCTTATAACTTTCCCAAAATCTAGTGTTTTTCGCCCTCTACTCCAGCTTTTCCTGTGGGCCTATGGACGTAAGTGATCTGGTAGCATCAAGGGGGTGTTACAGGAATGGGGTCCAGATTCTGACCCCAAGAGAGGGTTCTTGATCTCATGCAAGAAAGAATTCAGGGCGAGTCCCATAGAGTAAAGTAAAGGCAAGTTTATTAAGAAAGTGCAGGAATAAAAGATTGGCTGCTCCATAGAGCAGCCCTGAGGGCTGCTGGTTGCCCATTTTTATGGTTATTTCTTGAGAATATGCTAAACGAGGAGTGGATTATTTATACCTCCCCTTTTTAGACCATATAGGGTAACTTCCTGATGTTGTCAGGGCATTTGTAAAGTGTCATGGTGCTGGAGGGAGTGTAGCACTGAGGATGACCAGAGGTCACTCTCATTGCCATTTTGGTTTTGGTGGGTTTTTGTGGGGCTTCTTTACTGTCACCTGTTTTATCAGCAAAGTCTTTATGACCTGTATCTTGTGCCGACCTCCTATCTCATCTTGTGATTAGAATGCCTTAACCTCCTGGGAATGCAGCCCAATAGGGCTCAGCTTCATTTTACCCAGCTCCTATTCAAGATGGAGTTGCTCTGGTTCAAACGCCTCTGACAGGAGGACTCCTGAAAAGGGAGATAAAAGACTCTCCTGGGGCCACACCACTTAGCTGGAAGCACTAAGGGACCCCAAACCTCATGTCAGCATGTGCAGTGCCACAGAGGTGAAGCCCACTGCCCTTTTGTAGTCAGCTCTCTCTGTGGCCATGCGCACTCATTCAGGCTCCTCCCTCCTCTCCCTCTTGGCTGGGATCCCCGTTTGCTCCCACTACTTTTCAGCTAGTGCCCTTCCCTTAGCAGGTGAATACCCAGAGGGTGGGCACAAGAATCCGCACTGTGTCTTCCGTCTTACACAGGCATGTCTGACACACGTCACTTTGGCGCTCATGAGGTCCGCTGAGTCTGTGTAGCTTGGTGTGGGTTTTAGCCTATGCCAGATCTCCACTTCTCCTTCCTGTTCTCATCCCCACAGTGTAACTTTGGGCAACTCTCTTTGCATTTTTGGACCTCGCTATTTGCCCACCATAAAATAAATGAGTTGGATTGATCTCTAAGACCTTTCCCAGCTTTTAATCCCCAAGATGGCCAAGGTGGAATGAGCTCAGACAGAGAAAGTCACCAGCACCTAGTCTCCAGCCAGGACTCCGACCTGCCAAGCTGCCTCCTGGCTCCCATATCAGTGCTGGCAGGAGGCAGGCAGGTGGGGGGTTTCTTCCCCACTCTAAAGCCTTCCTTGGGTCCCTGCCAGGTGACATCTCTCACGGGAGCTCAAGTGGAGAGGAGAAGGGGTTGTGCCAGCTGGCTCTCCTCCTCACCTCCCATTACCCAGGTCCTCCAGGGCAGGAAAGCCATGGAAGGGGTGCTTTTAAAACTTAAGGATCTTCCTGAGCTCTTTAGCTGGCAAATGGTGTTAACAGTCCTCCCAGGGCCCTGGAGAGAGAGATTTGAAGGCCGCATTCATTAGCAGAAGCCGCATTAGCGGAGGTGGCCGCCGTGGCTGTGGCTCCGAGCAGGTCTTTGCGAGCGTCCTGATTTCCTGGCCTTCCTGGACAGACTTCTCAACACATTTCAGCATCGATATTTGCGGGCTTAACTTGCCGTGTGGGCCCTGATGAAGTAGCTTGCGGTTTTTAATCTATTCATTCTTTTCACATTAGCTGGGTGTTCCATCTCCTGTTCTGCCAACTCTTCCCTTCAGCCGGTGGTTATCTCAGCTTCCAGCAGTGGGTGGATGGGACTCCTCCCACTCCGAGGGCAGTGAAGCATCCACTGGGAAGCTGTCCTGGCGTCCCCTTCATGGGACATTAGTAAAAGCAGCGACCCAAGTTCTCAGAGTCCTGGATGCCGGCCAGGGGCCTGTTTTGTAGAAAATGACTGATCTTAGTTCCAAGATTCAGTGGATAGTATTTGAGTGAGATACAAGTTCCACCCCAACCCCAGGTCCTGTTGTCCCTGCTCCATCTCCCTAGGATACTGTCTATAGACTCCTTTCGATACTGACTGATGCTTTCCCTAATCCTGAAAAATTCCTAGAGGAGACTCCGCTGTATTTCTTAGAAATGCTTTTTTGTCAGGTCTCAGGACTCCTCAAAGAGAAGAACTTTTTTTTTTTCTTTATAAAATCATACAGCTAGAAGAGCCCCTAGGGATTATCTGGTGTAACCCCCTCCTTTTACAGATGAAAAAACTGAGGCTCAGAGAGGTGATGAGTCAGAGACCCAAATTTGCACAGTTTTCTCAGAGGCTAGGGCTCCTGACTCCCAGGCCACCACCGTTCTTTGACTCCTGATTAGCTCCAGGCAGCTCAAGGCCTGGCTGGAAGCACCAGGCCCTGTTGCATGCTCTAGGCCTCTGATAAAACCAACTCTCTTGAAATTGTTACTACTGTTGGGGCTCTAAGAATTCTCAGAGATTTCATCTAAGAATTTTCCTTTCCAGACTTGACCTTTAAGGATTCATCCTGCTAAGAAATTCTTCCATGGGGATCCTAGGGGGGGCTTGGATACATGCAAGCAAAGGGCCTGGGACTTCTGTGAATGCCTGGCGATCTATGCTTGTGCTTTGTGAGACAGCTGACCTCAGGGTGGGAGTGAAACCATCACTTCGTTGGGTGGGCTCACAGAAGACCTCTTGGGAAGGACAGGGACAGAGGAGAGTTTGGCAGGGGATTGGGAGGCTGCTCTCCCAGATGGCTGCCCGCTGGTATCATACCTCAGTCCTGGGAAGAGGTATTCCTGGACCAAACTGAGGGTCGGGCTGCTATTTCTCATGGCCCAATAACGAGATGCAGATGAACTGGGGAGGAAGAGAGTTTTTATTTCTGCAACTGGTGACAGGGAAAAGACCTGGAAAATATTGCCAGACGAACTCAAAATTACAAAGTTTTCTAGAGCTTACATACTTTCTAAGCTATGTATCTAAGTATAAGTGTACATTCATCTAAAGACATAAGTTGGGCTGGGTGCGGTGGCTCACGCCTGTAATCCCAGCACTTTGGGAAGCCGAGGCGGGCGGATCACGAGGTCAGGAGATCGAAACCATCCTGGCTAACGCGGTGAAACCCCCCCATCTCTCCAAAAAAAAAAAATTAGGCGTTGTGGCGGGTGCCTGTAGTTCCAGCTACTTGGGAGGCTAAGGCAGGAGAATGGCATGAACCCGGGAGGCGGAGGTTGAAGTGAGCTGAGATCGTGCCACTGTACTCCAGCCTGGGTGACAGAGCAAGACTCCGTCTCAAAAAAAAAAAAAGAAAAAAAAAAAAAAGACGTAAGTTGGCTGGGTGCAGTGGTTCATGCCTGCAGTACTTTGGGAGGCCGAGGCAGGCAGATCACCTGAGATCAGGAGTTCGAGACCAGCCTGGCCAACCTGGTAAAACCCCTGTCTCTACTAAAAATACAAAAATTAGCCACACATGGTGGCAGGCACCTGTAATCTTAGCTACTCAGGAGGCTGAGGCAGGAGAATTGCTTGAACCCAGGAGGCAGAGGTTGCAGTGAGCTGAGATCACACCATTGCACTCCAGCCTGGGTGATGATAAGAGCGAAACTTCATCTCAGGAAAAAAAAAAAAAAAAAAAAAGAAAAGACATAAGCGATTAACTTATTTTAATCTATACCTAAGGCCTGAGTCCTGAAGACCTTCCTCTGAAGCCTCAGTAAATTTACTTGATCTAAAATGGGTCCAGGTGCTGGGGTGATTACCCTTATCTTGTCTCGGGCTAAGTCACAGTGGTTTGGCAAGTTTCTTCAGACCCCCAGTAAAACTTGTTTAATCCTAAATGGGTCCTGTTAAGAATTCCTTTGTTATCTTGTCATGCTTTAAGGCCCAGGAAAGGCCTAGGCAAAACTCCTGGTGGGCCTTTGTTACATTCCAGCCTTTGTGTAAGGGTGCTGGCTTTTAATATTTAGCTTAGCCACTCAGTCAGTACTGAAACAGTTGTTATGGAAGCCTGCATCTGTGAGACCTGCCTGCCACAGAAGGACTAGAGTGGAAAGGAAGGGTGTTTGTCATACAAGACCCCCTGCCTGGTGCTGGGGATGCAATGGGATGCTTCCTGCACTCACCAGAACCGTCTGTGGGCCAAAGGGACATGGGATGGATGGGAGAGGGGATTGTCCCCTTGTCCCACCTGACCGCATTAGCAAAGGGGCTTCAGCCAGGTGGCATTGGCATTGTGAGGCTCTGGGGGCCATCAGTAGACAGGGCATGGGTGGCCCTAGGTGGCAATGGCAGCTGGTTTGTCTCAGCCAGATGGCCCCAGAAGCAGTTGTCTGGGGAGGTGATCCCAGGAAGCACTGATAAGGGACTAGGAAATGAGCGTGGAAGGGGAGCAGCTGGCTCTGGGTGTGTTCCAGGCCCACATCCTGCACCTGGATCCCTTCACAGGCCTCAGGGCCAGGTGCACCACATCATTCCAAATCATCCCTCCTGAGGGGTGAGGAGCTGAGATGTTTTAACATCCATAGGGGTTAATTCTCTGGCAGATCCGGCTTCCCCAGATGTGGGCTGTGAACATGCTCCTGGCTCCTGTGAAAGCTCCCAGACTGAGTCATGGGTGTTTGCAGTCAGAAGCCACGGGCGTTGGAACCGTCAAGGCCAAGGCTGAGTAGCTGGGGCACCGACAGTGTCTACTACAGGGGTGGTCCCCTGCCCGGAACTCCATGAGAGATGAAGGCGGCCCAAGCCGACAGGAGAGGGAGAGCAAATAGCGCAGGGCAGCTCCAGAGGCCTGGGGGGGGGCGGGACCCAGGCCAGGATGGGGAGAGCGAGGCACTTGCCTGCAGCCACGTTTAAAAGGGGCAGCCAAATACTCAGGAGTCAAGACCATCACACATAGTCGAAGCAGAGAAAATCTGTGATGAGCAAACTGTCTGCTGTCCACATGTGAAATAAAGACAGGATCTGGCCGGGCTGGGACTAGGGTGTGGGTTGTCCAAGTACAGGGACAAGGCCTGTCTTTAGTCCACATTTGGATATTTTGTTCGTTGTGGATAGTTTTTATTTCATGTTGGTTTCCTAAGAATGCCGCAATAAATATTATCTTGTTTAGTGAGTTTCTGGGGTCCCCCTAAATTTTCTGCCTGGACTGAGGGCCGGACTTGCTTCACTCTAGTCCGGGCCCTGTCGCACCCCTGAGGACTTCCCCCAAAGCTGGGAAGGCTGTGTCAGGGACAGAGCTGGGGCGATTGGAGCCAGGGCGCTGGGTGTGTGCACTCTTCTCTATGCTCCAAACCCTGCTGGCTCCCAAGGGTGAAGCAAATACAATCAGTCCCTGCTGGGAGGAACATGGCTGAATCTCAGAGCTGGAAGGACTAGGAGGTCACCTGGCCCAACTTTTCTCCTAATGCAGGAGGCCCCTCTGCAGCACTCTGGAGGGGAGAAGTGTCTGTTTCAGCCCACTGTGCACAGACAGGCTCTACTGTGTGGGGAATTTGTCTTCTCCGGTGATTGAAGCAGTGAACAATGTCTTCCTTGTCATTGCAGTAGACACCTCGTGGCTTCTCTGACATTGCTTATGGGCATGCTGGGGGCTGTTTAAGACCCTAACCTCTGTCTGCCCTGGGATTCAGGAGAGGTCCAGCCAGGAGGAGACGTGCGGGAGGAATGCAGGAGGCTTATGGGCAAAATAAACAGACCAACCCATCCTGAGAAAAGGAGTCGGAGTGTAGAGTTGGTTCTTGGGCACAGGTGCAGGGCCCGAGGGGAGGGGTCACTTAGTATGGTGGGGAGTGTTTTTTACGTTGTTGCCGTCTCTCTGTCCTGGGGTGTGGAGAAGGTAATGACAGACACAGGAACACACCAGCTGTTCTGGGAACTTCTGTCAGGCAAGGATACAAATACAGAAGCTCATATTGCTCTGTGGCCCACGTACCAGCATGTAATGCAAGGGTGATGGGGTACAGCTGGTGTCTGAGGACGACAGGGCAAAGTTCCAGAGAAGGCAGAGCACCTGGATGGCAAGGTAGAGCAGCTGCAGCCAGACCAGGAGCCACCGGCGAGTGACATGGGACTAGTGTACAGGGGACACCTCCCTTGTACCTGCATGAGCTTGAGGTCTCCCCTCTCCTCCCCTCCCCTGTCCTGCCCTTCCTTCCCCTCCTCTTTCCTTCTCAACTGATGAAACTCCGTTTTCACTCCTGTGTTGGTGTGACCTGGAGAAATATATGAGAAGTTTTCCAAACTGCTGTTGGGGAACGAAATGGAACCCATGAACCCATGAACCCAAAGTGCAGAAAGGGTGTGGTCAGGGGCTATGCTGACTGTCGCAGATGCGGGAGCAGCCCCAGAGCTTCAAAGGAGTGCAAGTTGCAGTGATCATCAGCGCGGTGGCCCCCGCTGTGGGCACGTGGCAGGACACACTCCCCAGCCCTGGAAGTAGGCACGGCTGTGTCTACTCTGTGAGCCAATGTGAGTCACTGCATCCCCTTACCCTGGCTGAGACAGCGTCTCTCGTAGCCATTGAAGTCACTGCAATGAGCAGAGCATCCATGAGCAAGATCATCATGGCATTTACTTAGCTTTTGGGGTTTCTTGTGGTCTGTTTTCACAGCACAGGGTGGCCTATCCTGAGGAGCATAGGAGGATAGGATCCACTTCTACTCGGCACTCATTGGTGCATCATTGTCCAGATGGGGACCCCATGCTATAGATTAGGGTCTTGGTTGCCACTCAGGCATCCATGCTGGGGGTGATGCTCACAGTTTTCCAAAAACAAATGCAAAGACACAGTGGGTTCAACTACCGCCTCCAGGCTGAGACATAAAACCGCCACTCAGATGTAAATCTCCCAGGTTTACCCTTGTATCCAGCTTTAGGCTCAGCTAAAAAAGAAAGTAATTAGTCTTTCTTGATTTCTTCCAACTCAATGGCAAAAAAAAAAAAAAATTCTAGTAAATAAATCTCTGGAACTGGAGAGGCAAAAGAACAAGCTGCATTGTTTACCCCCTCCATGCACTACAACTAATGATAGCAACAAAGAACTCGACTGACTTAGAAATTCTTTGTGATCCTTTAATACCACAGAAAAATAAGCCTGAGACAAGGATGGGGAAGTTGTAGGCACCCATGTGCGCAGGAGTGTGGCTGAATGCCTATTGTGTACCCTCAAGAGCTCTGTGGCATCTTCACAGTAGCAAAGATGATATGCAGACTCACTTGAAGCCAGCTTGATGGACATTGCAGGAGGAGTGTGGAATGACAGGTCACTATCTGGTCACCCACGCTGCACTTGCTGTTTCTTGCAAAGCGGAAATGTGATACTAGTTGAAAGCAGAGGCACAATTTGAAATTTCTTTTTCATTTTCAAGACTCTAGATTCATGGTGGAGTTGATACCTGTCTGTAAATACCCATGAATCTGGGGTTCAAAGGCCACCTGTCTGAGAGTCTGGAGCTGCCGTGGAAGGAAATGTGGAGTTGGATGTGAAAATACTTGTTCTTAGAATTGTTTGGTAGACTTCTGGATGGGCAGTGGCGAGGAGGGTAGCAAGATTTATGAATGGACAGATGGCTGAGAACTCAGTGTTCAAGAGAGAAGGAAAGCCGGGTGCAGTGGCTCATGCCTGTAATCCCAGCACTTTGGGAGGCCAAGGTGGGCAGATCACTTGAGGTCAGGAGTTTGAGACCAGCCTGGCCAACATGGTGAAACCCCATCTCTACTAAAAATACAAAAATTGCCAGGACTGGTGGCATGCCTGTAGTCCCAGTTACTCAGAAGGCTGAGGGAGGAGAATCACCTGAACCCGGGAGGTGGAGGTTGCAGTGAGCCGAGATCGTGCCATTGCACTCCAGCCTGGGCACCAGAGTGACACGCCGTCTCAAAAAAAAAGGAAACTCAGAGATGCAGAAATACCCAACAGATAGGGATGGGAGTGGTGACAGGGAATGCTTAAAAAACAACAGGAGATTATGAAGCAGGACATGTTCTTGGTGGCTACAGAGCATCAGGGACATGAAGACCCGAGACGGTGATGGCTGGAGGCAGATCAGTTAAGTAGGCATGAGACGAGGGAGCAGACCCCTTTGGGGGTGATCTCCAGGCTGAGCACAGACTGTTGGAGAGACAGCAGAGGCTGCATCAGGAGGGAGAGGACGTCTCCTACCCAGGCAAAAGAGACACCCTGCAGGAGCTAGAGCCAGAGAGGAGCCCAAGCAGGTGACGTGGGATGAGAGGACGGAACAGAGGGGCACCAGGAGAGGACTATCTCAAACTCGGGCAAAACATCTCATACCCTCTCTAAAGAGATGGCTCCCACTCAGGGATGACAATGAAGCGTGTCTGCAGTGATGGTGGGGGTGCATGGTGGAGGGAGACTGCTCAGTAGGCATCTATATGACACACACACAGTAGGCACTAAATAAATGCCTGTGGAAACTGATGAATACATTGCAGTAGACACAGTCGTACCAGTTTTGCGCTAGGAGCTGTTGCGTAACGGCAGCTATTCTAGAGAGTTATGGCTGTGATGAAATCAGCTGGGCTGCTGAGCGGCTCAGGAGAGTGAGGGCTGGTAGGTTTGGGACTTGGAGTTTACAATGAAGAGGAAGTGAACTAAACTAGCAGTGACCGCTGTGGCCATCTCTGAACATGAAAATGAGCAGCAGGAAAGGAGTGGGGCAGGGTGAAGCCTCCTCACAAAGACACACTCTAGGGTTGCACAAAGCGGTGGGTTGACTCCCCAGAAAACACCTCTTCGGGCCAGTGCAGAATAAAGGCAAATTCTGGTAAATATTGACCCTGTGCTCTCTGAAATTCAGGCCACTTCTTGCCACCACTGTGCTAGTGATCTCGGACCAGCAGGGTGGACCGGAAGAGGACTTTCGTGTGACTTTGCCATGTCTTGCTAGTGTAGCTAACATTAATTGAGCACTTAACATGCACCAGACATTGTGTAAGTGCTCTACAGGAATTAACTCTTCTAATCCTATGTGCCAGTAATAATTGCCTCGTTTTTACAGCTGAGTCAACTGAGGCACAGAGAGGCCATGAGCTAACCCATGTAGACCCAGGAACTGAGCACAGGCAGGTGGTACCAAGGCTTGTTTTCAGTCCCTTCCCTGTAGCTGCCTCTTCGAGTGCATGCATGTGTGTGGGTGGCTCTGGTTCCATGGAGGGCACGGCCACTGGACCCTTCAATCTTTGATGCTGCTGTTGCCTCCCTACCCGGCTCTGGAAGGCATGAGAGTATGGACTGTGGAATCGCATTTGCTGGGGTTTGGATCCCAGCTCTGCTTCTTAGGATTTGGGCAACCTCATTTATCTCATCTGTATAATTTGTGCTGTGAGGATTAGAGAAAACACATACATACAGTGTTTTGTATGTCTTGTGATGTGTAGTGGGTCTTCTATGAGAAGCCTGCACTCAGTCAACACTTGTTGTTCCTGTCCTAAGAAACATCCCCTGATGGAATTAACCAGTTCCTGCAGTGTGAGCATCTGCCTCTTCTTACCTTGGTTTTGGATCCTAATAGCATCCTTAGAGCTGATTCTTGGTTATGCCTATTATCAGTGCCTGGGATAGATTTCTCCTTGTTCACCCAGTAACTGACCTTGAATGGCCTCTATGGTCCTGACTCTTGAGTCACTGGCTGAATCAATTTGGTGTGTGCCTTCCAGACAGAGGAGGCCCGTGAGTGATGGCTGGGAGAGGAAGGAGCTCCATGCAGTGGGGCAAGTTCAGGCAGCTTGGTTGTGCTGGGGCATAAATTACAGAGAAGAGAGGCTGGAGGGGGCGCCAGTTTCAAGGAAGCCCTTGTGGTACAGCTTAAGGAGCTTGAGCTTGATCCTGCACTCAATGGAATGGAAGCATTTGAGGGTGTTACATAGGAAGGCAACCTGGTTACATCAGGGAGCTCACTCCAGTACCTGTGCGGAAAATGGGTTGGAGGCAAGCAAGACTGGAAGCCAGGATGCCTGCTAGGAAGTTGCTGCTATTGCCTCGGCATCAGCTGAAGGAGGGGCCCTACAGGATTTGGCCTCATTCAACTTCTTGGGCTCACTTCCTGCCTCCCTGCCTCCTGCTCTCTCTGCTCCTGCCTCATTTTCCCCTTGTCATTCCTCAAATTCAACAAGGATGCTCCTGCTGCAGACATTTGCCCTTACTGCAGCCTCCACCAGACACACTTCTCTAAGGTGTGTGCATGGTCTTCAGGTCTCTGCTCAAATACTATCTTACTGGGAAGGGTTTCTTAAGCACTCTGCAATAAATAACTCCTTGACTCCCTCACTTTCTAGCCTTTGATCCTACTCTATTATTTTCTTTACTTTCTCTCTTTATTTTTAGAGACAGGGTCTCACTCTGTTGCCCAGGCTGGAGTGCAGTGGTGCAATCCTAGCTCACCTGCAGCCTTGAGCTCTTGGGCTCAAGGGATCTTCCTGCCTCAGCTAGGACTATAGGCCTGAGGCACTGCACCTGTCTTCGGCTTCTCTGTTATTTTCTTCCTCAGCACTTATCACTACATGATATTATATTTATCCATTTGTTTATTATCTGTCTCACTGCACTATAATATAAGCTACTCCAGGCAGGGCCAGTGGCTATTTTGTTCACTGCTGTCTTTATACAGGTAGACCCTCAATAAGCATCGAATGAGTGAATGAATCCAAGTGATAACTTAATATGAGGGTGGCTCAACCTAATCTGCAATGAGCAGGGAGGCATTTCAGGGAAGGATTCAGTACTGCCTGTCTGCACTCACTGGCAAACATCTGATTTTTAGTTCTAAGCACTAAAGGCAAGTCTCCTTCATGGGTCCCGGGGACTGGTTCATCATTAGAAATAAATCCCCCATAGCCTTGTGCAGGTAGTTTGTAGGGACAGGCTTGCACAGATAGTTGGGGAGCAGCTGGACTCCTGTGCAGACAGTTTGTGGGTTGTTCCTCCTGCGATGACATTGTTCTTCAGTGGTAAGTAATTAGAGCCTCAGGGCCACCTCTCATTTTGTGGATAAGCACGGCTCCAACACTTTAGGCGAAGTGCCCATGATAAGAAACAGAACATTGCAATGTGCTCGCACAAAGCAAAAAGTCAATAACTGCTTGACATTCTGAGAAGCAGATGTTCACTGGTAGATCCAACACCTTGGAAGGTCTTTTCTCAGTGGGCACTAAAGTGGTTCAACGATGGTTGCCTTTTATGGAAGATAAAATGAATGAAAAGCCCTGGGCAGGTTGGAAGCTTTTGTCCAGTTTTGGGGGCAATGCAATCAGGTTTGCATGAATTTCATCTTAGGACAGGTGAATGCAAACAGCATTAATTCATTAGCCTAAGGAAGTGACGATGGAAGTTATGATGTCACAGGTTTTCTCATCTGGATACTAGATGATTTAAAGGGACTTATTTCTTGGATGATCCTGTAAATTGGAGGACTGCATTGAAAAGTGGTCTTGCACCAGGAATCCTATGAAGTATAGTTTCCATGAAACTGTAGGAAATTGAAGCAGTCCTCAGAAATTCTGAACTGAAGATGCCATGTTCAGGGTCACTCTGGGTGAGTGACAAGTATCTAGACAACTATTACTGATGTGGATAAATTTGGGGAATTTCTTTTTGCTGGTAAGACTTTTCCTCCAACTGGAATTTCAAGTGGTTAATGGTAGAGACCTCAAGTGCATTGTATACAGATCTTAAGGAAGCAGGGGAGGAAACAGAATTCTTGAGAGTCTTCTGTTAGCAACAGTATGATAGGTACTTTCTATACTTTAAAAATTTAACTTTCTTAACAACCCTACAAAATAGATACTATTATCCCAAATTTACAGATGAGAAAACTGTGGCTTAGAGCAGTTAAAAAAAATTCTCAAGACCACACAGCTAAAAAAATGGCAAGACTGGGTTCCCTACCCCCTGCCATATGCAATATGCCTTCTGAGCACCCGCATGCACATCTATCATCCGATTACTACTGAACTGTTAGGCTTCTGTATGAGCATGATCTATGCATTTAAGGAGGTGGTTTAAGGAGAATTTTGGGGGGTGGGTATAACAATGGGGGTGGGTATGATAACAATGCTGATTCGATTCTCAAGCTCTAACATTTCTTTCCATGGAAGAGAAAGCAAAAGTTGTTTCTAGGGATTGAAGGTAATTGAAGGAAAGGTTAGGTCAAGTTAGGACTGTGATATTTTCCTCTTACATAGTCTGTGTTCCTTAGTAATCACTGACAACTGTAACCTAGAGGTACTGATGACTTTGGACTCTGACAGCTAATGGTATGAGGCCAGGCTTTGCGTTTCCTCTATGCTATCAAGAAGCTTCTCCTCCTAAGATGATATGCCTTAATGTTAATAGTCTTCAGCAACACAAACTGAGTGACTATTTCAGTTTACTATAAAAAATAAAAACACAAGGTGGGAGCTACTGCCTTCTGGTAGTAGTGTAGTAATTTGGTCACAGTAAGTCTTCCACAGATGACAATTATAAACTCTGAGCAAAACACAAAACAGCACAGAGGAATACCCAAAAGTAGGCAGAAACCAGAGGTGAGTCTGCCCTTGTGAGACCGCATGAATGATATTTGTGAGTTGGAAGCGTTTTGCCTGGAACTCCCAAATCTGTGCATAAATTGAGGTGGTAGAAAGCTACAACTGTATTGGCTTGAGGTATCAGAGGACAGCATTCCGGACAGGAAGAAAGAAAGTTGGCCGGGTGCAGTAGCTTACTCCTGTAATCCCAGCACTTTAGGAGGCCAAGGTGGATGGATCACCTGAGGTCAGGAGTTCAAGACCAGCCTGGCCAACATGGTGAAACCCCATCACTACTAAAAATACAAAAATTAGCCAGGCATGGTGGTGGGCGCCTGTAATCCCAGCTACTTGGGAGGCTGAGGCACAGAATCGCTTGAACCCAGGAGGCGCAGAAGGTTGCAGTGAGCTGAGATCATGCCACTGCACTCCAGCCTGGGTGACAGAGCAAGACTCTGTGTCAAAAAAAAAAAAAAAAAAAGTTAAGAAGGAAATACTTGAAGGAAGTGTGCCTCAAAGGAGGAGAGCCCAAAATACATATGAGATTCACCCAAATTCTTGGCACATCTAAGATATGTATATTGAGAAGAGACTTGACAATTTTTTGGGTGGATTTGATAATGATATTGGTCTAATAATAATGATAAGGATCAGGAAAAAAAAAAGCAACTGGAAGTGGAAGAAACTGGTGGAGATTTTAGTTGCTACTGGTCAAGGGGGAGATGATTTTTGGAGATTGAGATACTCAATTGGCTTGCATGACTGAATAAATTGACAGAAAAACAAAACAGACTTCAGAGTCTTTACAGTGTATTTAAAAAAAATGTTTAGTATCCAATCAGAAATCACTAGACACATAAATAGGAAAATGTTGCCTCTACCAAAAAAAAAAAATCCCATCAGTAGAAATCAACCCCAGGATGATCCAAATGTTGCAATTAGTAGATAAGGAATTGAAAACAGCTATTATAAATATGCTCAAAGACTTAAAATATATACATATGGAAAATACATACAAAATGAGAAATCACAGTAAAGAAATAGAAATTATCATAGAGAGCCAAATGGAAATTCTAGAGTAATGCTGTTCAAAGAACTTTTGCAGCAATGGAACTGTTCTATATCAGCACTGTCTAACACAATAGTCACTAGCCTCATGTGGCTCTTGAGCACCTGAAATGTAGCTGCTGTGAATGAACCAAAAATTAATTAGAATTTTAAAAGGCACACAGTGATTACATTATTGGGCAGTACAGTTTTACACTTAAAATGTATATAACTGAAATAAAAGAATCCCTTGAATCATTCAGTAGTAGATTGGAAATGGAAGAAGAAAGAGTCAGTGACCTTGAAGGTAGGTCAATAGAAAGTATCCAGTGGAAAAATACAGAGAAAGAAAGTAATAGAAATGCACAGAACCTCATAAATATGTGGAAAATATCAAGCTAAAATATGTGTAATTGGAGTACTAGAAGGAGAGGGGACAGAAAATCAGGCAGAAAAATATTTGTAGAAATAATGACTGAAAATCCCCAAAATCTAGTGATGAATTTATAGATCCAAAAAGCTCAATGAATCCCAAGTAGAATAAATACAAAGTGGACCACATCTAGGCCCGTCATAATCAAATAGCTAAAATCTGAAGACAAAGGAACAACTCTTGAAAACAGAGAAAAACACCACCACATTCAATTACAAGATACTAATGGTGCCTGACATCTCATCAGAGACAAAGGAGGTTGAAGATAGGGGAACAATAACTTTAAAGTGCTGAAAGGAAAAGAAAAGAACCTACTACCCAGAATTCTACACCCAGCTAAATTGTCTCTCAAAAAATAAAAACAAAATAATCTGCTCAGGCTACCATAACAAAATACTGCAGACTGGGCAACTTAACCAACAGAAATTTATTTTCTAACAGTTCTGGAGGGTGGAAGTCTGAGGTCAGGGTGCCAGCATGGTGGGGTTCTGGTGAGGGCTTTCCTCCTGGCTTTCAGGTGGTCATCTTCTCATTGTGTTCTCACATGGCCTTGTCTAGGTTTGTGCTCATGGAGAGAGAGAATGAACTCTCTTCCTCTTCTTTTAAGCCACCAATCCTATCAGATTAGGACCCTACTCTTATGACCTCATTTAACCTTAATTACCTCCTATATCTCAGCCCTATCTCAAAATACAATCACATTGAGAGTTAAGGTTTCAACATGAGAAGTTTTAGGGAACACAGTTCAGTCCATAGCAGAAATACATTTTTTTTTTTTTTTTTTTTTTTAGTTGGAGTCTCACTCTGTTGCTCAGGCTGAAGTGCAGCGGCATAATCTCAGCTCACTGGAATCTCTGCCTCCCAGGATCAAGTGATCCTCCCACCTCAGCCTCCCAAGTAGCTGAGACTACAGGTGTGCATCACCATGGCTGGCTAACTTTTGTATTTTTAGTAGAGACGGGGTTTCATCATGTTGGCCAGGCTGGTCTCAAACTCCTGACCTCAGCTGATCTGCCTGCCTCAGCCTCCCAAAGTGCTGGGATTACAGGCATGAGCCACTGCTCCTAGCCTCATAGCAGAAATAAATTTATCAAAAGGTCTGCAAGGTCTGTATACATAAAACTACAAAATACTATTGAGACAAATGACAGGTTCTGTAATAATTTCCATAATGTATTTTTGTATTTCTATAATAATTATCTCTGTAATAAATGGAGAGACATACCATGTTCAAGAATTAGATGACTCAATATTGTTAAGATGTAAATTCTCCCCAATTATATTTCAATTCAATCCCAATCAAAACTCCTCCAGACTTTTATAAAATAGAAATTGATAATATGCTTTTAAAATTCATAAGGAAAAACAGAAGACCTAGAATAACCAACCAGTCTTGAAAAAGAAGATCAATGCTAGGAAACTTATACTTTCTAAACTTAAGACTCACTGTAAAGTAATTAAAACAGTATAATAGTAGACAAACTGGTCAATAAAAAAGAATAGGCCAGAAAGAGATTTACATGATCAATTGATTTTTGACAGTGGGACTAAAACATTTACATGGATAAAGAAAAGTCTTTTAACAAGCGCTGTTAGAACAACTTGGTGTCTACATGGGAGAATAAAAGAGAATTTCAACCTTTATCTCACACAACATACAATAATTAATATAAGATGAATGATAGACCCAAACATTAAAGCTAACATTTAAAAGCTTTTAGGAAAAAAAGAATATCTTTGTAATCTAGGGTAAGAAAAGTTTTTTGTTGTTGTTGTTGTTTTTTTACAAGACACAGAAAATAATAACTGTAAGAGAAGAAAATGGATAAATTCTTAAAATTAAAAACTTCTCATCAAAAGACACAATTAAGAAAATAGCAAGCCACAAACTGGGAGAAAACATTCACAAAATATGTATCTGATAAAGGATTTATATTTAGAATACAAAATCAACATCTAAAAGTCAATAATGAAAAGAAAATCAACTCGCTAGAAAATGGTGAAAGGATTTTAAGAGACACCTTACCAAAGAAGATTTATGAATGGACAATAAGCACATATAAAAGAGCTCAACATTGTATTCATTATCAAGTACATGCAAATTAAAGCCATAAAAAGATATACTACATAGTCACACCTACTGGAAAGTCTAAAGTGGAAAGACTTTCAACAAGAAATGTTGACAAGGATGTGAAGCAACTAGAAGTCTTATGTGCTTTGTGGGAGTGCAAAATGTTATAGCCACTTTCAAGAAAGTTTTGGCAATTTCTCATAAAGTTAATCATGTACCTATCTTTTGACCCAGTAAATCTACTTCTAGGTGTTTATCCAAGAGCAAGGAAAACATACGTCCAAAAAGTCCTATGTGTAATTATTCATTACAATCCTATTAATAATAACCCAAATTGGGAAGAGTGCAAATGTCCTTCAACAGAAGAGTAGATACACAAGTGTGGAATAAACCTACAAGGGAAAACTGCTGAGCAACAAAAAAGGAACTAGTGGTTCATGCAACAACATGGAATAATCTTACTGTAGTTAAGCAGATAGAATTAATCCAGACATAAAACTGTATATACCATATGGTTTTATTTATATACATTTTTAGAACCAGTACAACAAATCTATGGTGAAAAAAAATTTGAGTAGTGGTTGCCTGACAAAGGTGGGGGATATTGACAGGGAAGAAACACTATAGATTATTCTAATAAGATGAAAATGTCTATATTAGGCCATTTTTGCATTGCCATAAAGAAATACCTGAGGCTGGGTAATTTATAAAGAAAAGAGGTTTAATTGGCTCATAGTTCTGCAACCTGTACATGAGGCATGGCCCCAGCATCTGCTTCTGGTGAGGGCTTCAGGAAGTTTACAATCATGGTGGAAAGTGAAGGTGGAGCTGGCATATCATATGGTGTGAGAGAGAGTAAGAGACAGCAAGAGGAAAAGTGCTATATGCTTTTAAACAACCAGATCTCTTGCAAACTCAGATTGAGAACTCACTTATCACCAAAGGGATGGTGCAAAGCCATTCATGAGGGATCTACCACCATGATCCAATCACCTCCTAATAGGCCCCATCTCCAACACTGGGAATCATGTTTCAACATGAAATTTGGAGAGGACAAACACCCAAACCATATCATTCTGCCTCTGATCCCCCAAATCTCATGTTCTTCTCACGTTTCAAAATACAGTCATGACTTTGCAATAATCCTCCAAAATCTTAACTCATTCCAGTATTAACAGTCCCAAGTCAAAAGTCTAAAGTCCAAAGTCTCATCTTTCCACCTACAAACCTGAGATCAAAAACAAGTTATTTACTCCCAAGAAACAATGGTGGTGCAGGCATCGGGTATACATTCCCATTCCAAAAGGGATAAATCTACCAAGAGAAAGGGGCAACAAGTCTGAAACCCAATAGGGCAGTCATTAAATCTCAAAGCTCTAAAATCTTGAAATGACATTCCACGTTCAGGGCACAGTGGTGCAAAGGGTGGGCTCCCAAGGCCTTGGGCATCTCTGCCCCTGGGGCTTTCCAGGGTGCAGTCCCCATGGCTGCTGTCATGGGTTGGAGTTGAGCTCCTGTGGCTTTTCCAAGCTGAGGATGTAAGCTTCCAGTGGCTCTACCATTCTGGGATCTAGAGGGTGGTGGCCCCCTTCCCACAGCTTCATTAGGCAGTGAACTGTGTGGGAGTTCCAACCCCACATTTCCCCTTTGCATTTCCCTAGTAGAGTTTCTCTGTGGGGGCTTTGCCCCTGTGGCAGCTTCTGCCAGGCACCCAGGCTTTTCCATACATGCTCTGAAATCTAAATAGAAGCCACCAAGCCTTCTTTATGCTTGCATTCTGAGCACCTGCAAGTTCAACACCATGTGGAACCCACCAAGGCTTATGGCTTGCACCCTCTAGAGTGGTGGCCAGAGCTGTACCTGGGCCCCTTTGAGCTGAGGCTGGAGCAGCTGTGATGCAGGGAGCAGTGTCCTGAGGTTGAGCAGCACAATGGGGCCCCAGGCCTTGCTCCTGCAAACATTCTTTCCTCTTAGGCCTCTGGGCCTGTGATGGCAGGGGCTGCCTAGAGGATCTCTGAAATGCCTTCAAGGCCTTTTCCTCATTGTCTTGGATACTAGCACTTGGTTCCCTTTTACTCATGAGAATCTCTCTAGCAAGTGGTTGCTCTGCAGCCTGCTTGTTTTATCTCCTGAAAATGCTTTTCCCCCACTCCCAATCACATGGCCAGGCCACAAATTTTCCAATCTTTTACACTCTGCTTCCCTTTTAAGTTGGAACTTAAAGTTCCAACTTTAAGTCATTCCTTTGTCCTGAATCTGATAGTAGGTTGTTAGAAGCAACCACACTACTTCTTGAATGCTTTGCTACTTAGAAATTTCTTCCACCAGATACCCTAAATCATCACTCTTAAGTTCAACTTTCACAGATCCCTATGACCTGGATACCATGCAGCCAAGCTCTTTGCTAGGGCTTAACACAGGTGACCCTCACTCCAGTTCCCAATCTGTTCCTCATTTCCATCTGAGACTTTGTCAGCCTGGCCTTCACCGTCCATATTCCCTCAGTATTTTGGTCATAGTCACTTAACAAGTCTCTAAGAAGTTCAAAGCTTTCCCTCATCTTTCTGTCTTCTTCTGGGCCCTCCAAACTCTTCCAACCTTGCCTGTTACCCAGTTCCAAAGCTGTGTCCACATTTTCAGGTATCTGTATAGCAACACTCCACTCCTAGGCACCAATTTTGTGTAGTAGGCTATTTTTGTGTTGCTATAAAGAAATATCTGAGGCTGAGAAATTTATAAAGAAAGAAGTTTCATTGGCTCATGGTTCTGCAGGTTGCATACAAAGCATTGCACCACCATCTGCTTCTTGCAAAGACTTCAGGAAGTTTTCAATTACGGTAGAAGGTGAAAGTAGAGCCAGTGTACCACATGGTGAGAACAGGAACAAGAGAGAGCAATGGGGGGAGGTACCACACACTTTTAAACAACCAGATCTCTTGTGAACTCAGAGTAAAAGCTCACTTATCACCAAGGAGGTAGTGCTAAGCCATTCGTGAGGGATCTACCCTATGATCCAATACCTACCACAAGGCCCACCTCCAACATTGGAAATCACATTTCAACATGAGATTTGGAGGGGACAAACACCCAAACCCCATCAATGTCCTATATTGTAGTGGGGAGTTGGGTTACATGGCCGTATCCATTTGTCAAACTTGTAGAGGGAAGATTTTTGTGCATTTCAATGTATATAAATCTTATCTAAAAAACTGCAAAATAAAACCCAATAATCTAGTGTAGAGGTGTTGAGTAGGAGGGATAGATGAAACCAGAATGACAAAACAATGTTGATAATTGTTGAAGCTTCGTGATGGGTTCATGGGGATTCATCACACTCTTCTGTTTATTTGTACATATTTGTCCTTTCTTATAGTAAAAAAGTGAAAGAAAAAAATGCGGAGGATTTCACATACTTTGGCTCAGGGCCTTGTTGGAAATGATCAGAGAAATGTCCTTCGAGTGAAGCCCGAAGCCGCCAGCATTGGTGTCTTCTGACCCTCCTGGCTGTTTGTATACACCTGCAAGGACTGTAATATCCGGAGGCGTCTTGCCAAGAATTGTCTGAAAATGCCTCCCTCCTGGGCTTTGCTGTCATGTGAGGAGTCAAGATTCACTGGTGTCAGGGATGTGAGGTTCTTTGACAGTTTTCCAGGCTTCTTCTGACAAAGTTTTGAACCGACTCTTCCTCAAGGTGACCTATCTTCAGCAGAGCTGGATCTTTTCTTCCTCAACTCTGTCAGGAGCAGGAGTGGGAGCTGGTCGCCTGGACCAGGCTGCAGAGCTGAGGCACCCAGCACTTTTTCTGCTCTGTGGTTCTTACTCTCAAGAACTGAGAGGAGTCAGTTATGTTAGAAGCAGCTTTCTCCAATTCCGGGGTTTATGCCTTTTCCTTGCTCAGGACCTAGTATTGCATCATTTGTTATCCATGGCAATTTTGGTTCACTCAAGAGCCACTGCCAGAAAGTTGTCTTTCCCCACCCCCAGCAGCAAAGCAGCCCCCAAACAAGTCATCTTAGGAATTCCTCAATTCCTGCAGATGGGAAGGAGACAGCCACAGCGCAGCTCACGATGGAAGCAGCACTGTCTTCCCCAGGCTACAGCCTCCATTTGTAAAATTCAAAGCCATGCACAGAGACTGGGGGTGTGGAGCCTGTAAACCCTTTCAAGAAAAAAATAAAATAAAAACAAGCATCATAAGTAAATATCAAAACTAAGAGAGATTTAGGATGCTGGTGAGAAATGTTTTCTATTTAATCTGACCAAGTTATCTAATATCAAGTCTTAAGTGATGCTGGGAGCTGCGAATGGTCATCTCACTCTTCCAGGGGTTTGTCCTTCCTCTCCACCCCCCAGCAAACCCCACACCTGTCGGGCTCAGCGGCATCCTTGCTTACCCACCTTCACCTGAGCTTGCATATAGATGCGATGCAGGCATTTCAACACATGCATTTACCATCTCCCAGGGAAGGTGCTTGGTTTTGTTCATTTGGAAAATTCAAAAACTTTAAAAATTATTCAAAACTTTAAAATATATGTACAAATTAATAATTGAAAACTCACATCCCTAACCCCACTCAGCTCTTTTCCCATGCCCTCTCCCACAAATAACCACTGAAAAAAACTAGCACATTGTTAGCACCCGGGTTTTTTTCTTCTTGTGTACTTTTTGGATCAGGGTGGGGCAAATAAAGAGATAAACCCTAGGAAAGAAGTTGGTCAACATAAACTCTTCAGTACGGCTCCCTCCCTGCACCCCCAGCTGTGATTTTCATCCTGAGGTGTGTCCCCAGGGAGGTGGCGGAGGCAGCTGTACTCAGCGGCTTCTCTGTAGTGCTGGAGAGTGAATTAATCCTGCCTGCCATTGCAAGCAGATTCTTATCCACATTATCAGAAAAGATAGCAGGAGGAAGCCGGCAAGGGTGAGCAGGCCACCAAGCAGACGGTCCTTTATTGTGGCAAACTGCTCCTTTAATTTCTGTGACAGAGTAATACAGAGTCCCAGGCTATGACCTTTTCTCAGGCCATTATGGAAGTCAGATTTGGCTCTGTCAGGAGGCATCATTGGAAGGCTTCATCACACACTCCACACATAATGTGACCCCGCGAAGTGCTGGATAAAAATGGATGGGTGGATCCCACTCTTCCCCAAGCAGCACACACAGCAGGAGAGCCCAGACAGGCGGCAATGTGTGCTGGTACGTGGGCCTGCAGCTACCCTGGACCACACTGCCCTAGACAGGTGGTGGAGGGGAAGCAGAGGTGGAGGGCCCAGCGCTGAGCTGGGCTGAGCTGGGCTGGGCTGGGCTGGGCTGGGCTGGCAGGAACGAGGAAGGAGGAAATGAACTTGATGTTGCACCCTCTGAATAAGCTGCTGGGGCGCCCAAATCACCCCACACTGCAGCAAGGTACGTCCTGAACTCCTGCTGGCCAGAGCTTAGAGGAGCTCAGGGTATCCTTGGACTTGGCAGCTGTCTGGGACGTTGGAAGGCCTCTAGGAAAGAGGCCTAGGACTGTCAGGGGAATTGCCTGCAGCCACGGAGCCAGCCAGTGGCTTAAGTGTCCTGGAACCTGGGTCTCGTGTCCCCTACTCCCATGTTTATGCTTAATCCTGGGTGCTAAGAAGATTGGCAAGAGGAGGAGTGAGGCGGGAAGAAGACAGGCAACTGTTGACTCCAGGGAAGCCATCTTCGGAGGCAAAACCCTAGTGTCCCAGCAGCATTCCACAGAACCTGTTTTGTAGGCAAACGTTCCCACTGCTCCCAGAGGCCTCAGCCCTGAATTGAACAGTCCCAGGAGGCCAAGGCCTGCAGGGGGCACTGTTGGTTCTGTTGAGGCCCTGATGGTGCTCAGCTGGGCCTGGGGGGAGGCGTGAAGATACAAAAGCACCAGGAACTGGCAGCAAGGCTATCCAGCGTGGCCTAACTTGGAGAGACCCCTGTTCTAATTGCAGCTCTGTCACTAAGTCGCCCAGATGACCTTGGGCAAGGAGTAGTTTCTTTGCCTTCATCATCGGCCTCATCATCATCAGCCTTTATGCAGCACTTGCTATGTGGAAGGTACCATGCCAAGCGTTTTATATGGTCTGAGTCACTGAGTCCTCACAGCAATCTGTGATGTGGGTGCTATTACCACCCCATTGTACAGATGAGAAAATCAGGAAATGAAGCCTCCTTGCATTCTCTGGGGTTTCTCAGCTCCAGCACTGGAGGACTCTGTGCTGCTTCTTTGTTGATTCAATCTAATCTAGCCAGAATCAAGGGCACACCCAGGTAGTTAGAGTAAATTACTGCACTGCACCACTGCATTAATATACAAGCCTGGAGACTTCTGGCAATTTGGGGGAGTTTCTGGATCTTTCTGGAAAATTCCTGCATTTTTCTCCCTTCCTTTTCTTCTAGAAGCAGGAGTAAGGGGAGTAGGGGCATGGCAGCCAAGGTTGTAGCATGGGAAAAGGCGTGTCTGTCTGGCAGTTCCAATTCTGTACCTGCTGAGGGCCCTCTTGGGGCCCGCCTTTCCTCCTTTTTTTGGGAAATGTGGCATTGGATTCTCTGACAGCCTTGCCATCTTCTCTATAAGTAGGGGCTCTCCAGGAGGGCAATTAGATACTTCCCTAGGGTCTGAAAATGACCAGCACTCAGATACTTTCCCATAAAGGGGAAGACATGCGTGGCTGTGGCTAAGGAAGTCCCTCTCCCATTCCATCTCCATGGACACCAGCCAGAACATCTACTCCAGGAAGCATCCGAGGTGGAGCTGCCCATGCCAGAGCTTCCCCCAGCACCGTCCAACTAGGGGGTGACCCAGGTGTCTGGCTGGACACTTGCTGCTGGCAGAGTTGTGTCATCATTGCCAAAGAAATCTCAATGGAAACAGCCCGATCTGCTCAGGGGGAATTACAGACTAATGGGAGAAGAGGTGATGGCGATAGGTTCACACATACTCACACATCTAGGAAAGTGAAATGGCTAACCTCCCACAGGAATGGGGCTCAGGTTGAATTCATTACTCACCAAAACGATGCCCAATAAAGAGGGAGATCCGAGTGGAGTGGAACGATTCCAGAAAGTGCCTTAGAAGTGAGGTTTTTAGTTTTTGCTTTTCGGATCTCCCCTCCCCTTCCCGTCCCTTCCTTCTTTTCTGTCTTTTCTTCTTTTCTTCCTTTCTTTTTTTTTTTTTTTTTTTTTTTGACAACATCTTGTTCTATCATGGCTCACTGCAACCTTGACTGGAGGGGCTCAATTATTCTCCCACCTCAGCCTCCCAAAGTGCTCGGATTACAGGCATGAGCCACTGTGCCGGGCTAAGTAGTGAGCTGAGGCAGAACTCCCATCTTTTAAAGGCCACACCCACCCACTACCCTCCCATCTTGACTGATGCCTTGATTGTACCCAGACCTGTGCCAAGGTGCAGGGAAAACTGCTTGCTGATTTAGTCATTTATTTATTCATGCCACAACCCAAAGTTGAAAGTCTACTTGCCAAACACACAGTGCCTGCGGTGATGCAGGGAGATTTTCTTGGAACGGGGATTTTGTCAATCAAGGCTCTAAGTCAGGAAGTACATGGAATACAGGCAGACAATTAAGGACGTTGACATTCTCCATTCTCTTTTTTGGAGAATGGCCCAGTGGTTTTATCCAAGGCTGCTTTGAAGCTCCAAGTTCAACCTGTAAAATGGCGGCCACTATGCATTCTTACGTACATTGAAGCTTGGGTAGCTCCTGTCTGCTCATTGAAGAAACACTTATGATGAACCTGTGTGCCCTGCACTGTGCTGCATGATTTGGGCGGGGAGGGGGAAGATGCAGAGAAACAATAGGTGATGTCCTTGCCACCAAGGTGCCCTTGGGCTCATGATGCCTCTGCTCAGATCCCACCTGCCTGACCTGAATACGCCTGTACCTCTCACCACTCCACTGTCCACAATGTCTGTGTAGCTGGTAGACACTGCCTGGGCTTCAGTACGAGATTGTGTGTGTGTGTGTGTGTGTGTGTGACTGTGTGAATGTGTGTAAGCATGTCTGTTGTGAGAATGTGCATAATAGGGTGTGTGTGAATGTGCCTGTGTGAATGTGAGTGTGCCTGTGTGAGTTTGTCTCTGTCATGTATGTGAATGTGAGTCTGTGTTGCTGAGTGGGTATGCAAATGAGTATGTCTGAGTATGGGTGGGTCTGTGTGTTTATAGGTCTGTGTATGAGTGTGCCAGTATGTGTATTGGTGTGTAAGTGGGTGTGTGGTGTGCAAATGAGTGTACCTGTGTGCATTGGTGTGTGCATCTGTGAGGGGTCTATGTGTGTATTTGTGTCTGCGTGTGTCTGTGTATTTGTAAGGTATCTTGCATGAGTGTGTGAATGGTGTGTGCGTATATGTGTGTAAGTTTTGTGAGTCTGTGAATGAATGTGGGTGTTGGTGTTGTGTGTGAATGAGCATGCGTGTGGTGTGATCTTGTGTGAGGGGGTGTGTCTGTGTGTGAATGAATCTGTGTGAATGTGTGCATGAATGTGTGCCTGTGCGTCTCTGTGTGTATATGTATATGTGATTCTGTGTGTGTGTATATGTGATTGTGTGTGTCTGTGTTTATGTGATTCTGTGTGTCTCTGTGTGTATGTGATTCTGTGTGTCTGTATGTATATATGTGATTCTGTGTGTTCTGTATGTGTATATGTGTGTGTCTCTGTGTATATGTGTATGTGATTCTGTGTGTCTCTGCGTGTGTATGATTGTGTCTGTGTGTATGTGATTGTGTGTGTATATGTGATTCTGTGTGTGTCTGTGTGTGTATATGTGATTCTGCGTGCATATGTGATTATGTGTCTCTGTGATTGTGTATCTCTGTGTATATGTGATTGTGTGTCTGTGTGTATATGTGATTCCGTGTATATGTGATTGTGTGTCTGTGTATATGTGATTCTGTGTGTGTATGTGTGTGTATATGTGATTCTGTGTGTCTCTGTGTGTATGTTTATGATTCTGTGTGTGTCTGTGTGTATGTGTATATGTGATTGTGTGTTTGTGTGTGTGTGTCTGTGATTGTGTGTTAGGGTGTGTGAATGTGAGTGTGTGGGCATGGGCATGTGGGAATGTGTGTGTGAGGGTGTAAATACGTGAGGGTGTGGGGGGGGTGTGTGAATGTGTGTAAGAGAGTGTATATGAATGTGTCTACGTGTAAGTGTGTGTGTGAGCGCGTGTGAGGGTGTGTGAGCGTGAGTACCTGTGAGTGGAGGGGGGGGGGTCTGCGTTTCTGTGTGCGTGTGAGGGTGTGTGAATGTGTGTGAGGGTGTATGTGTGTGAGGGTGTTTGAATGTGTGAGGGTGTGTGTGTAAGGGTGAGTGTAGGGGGTGTCTGCATTTGCGTGTGTGAGGGCGTGTGTGTAAATGTGTGAGGGCGTGTGTGTAAATGTGTGCGTGCGTGTAGGGTGTGTGCGTGGAGGGGACTTCCTTCGGGAAGTGCAGGCTGGGATTTGCCTGAGCCAGGGCGGTCGGGCCGGGGGAGGCCGATGGACTGGAGCGTGTGAACTCCCGTGGTGGGTGACAGGAGCCTGGGTGGAGAGGGCGGCGGCAGCAGGAACGGAAGGGCGGGGAGTTGTGGAGGGCGTGGGGCGGGGAAGCGCTGACCTTGCAGCGGGAGAGGAGCCCCAGTGGGACGCGGGAGCCGGCCGGAGGGAGCCGGCAGGGGGCGCGGCCGCGGCGTCCGGGGAGCTTTGGGGGACCAGAGGGGAGGGAGGGCCCCGTCCTCTCCCGCCGTCCTGGGCGGCCCCGCGCACCCGCTAGTGTCTGAACCGGGGGCTGCGTCCACGCGGACAGAGCAAGGAGGGTGGAGGGTGGAGGGCGGAGGTTGGAGGTTGGAGGTTGGCGGGCGGGGAGCGCCCGGTCAGGCACATCGCCGAGGGGACATCCTCAAGGGCCCGGGCGTGTGGGACGCTCCCAGGTGGCGGATGGGGCGGCCTCCTGATGAGGTTGGGCGTCTTTGGGAACACGTGAGGGCGATGGCCTCGTCTTTGTCCCCGCGCAAGGGCCACATCGCGGGCCCGGGACCCAGGAGCCTCCTGGCCTGGCCACGTCTTGCGGCCGTTTTGCGTTGGCGCCTGAAGATTATCCATCCCCACCCCGCCCGGTTCGTCCAGCGCTGTCTCCTAAAGAGCGGCTCCCGTAAGCCCCGGGGGATTTGCGGCGCGCTGCAGCCCCTCCTGGGCCCCTCCAGCGCGTCTCTGGCTGATCCGGTGTCGTAATCCTGGGTTCTGGCATCGGAGCCGTTGCTATGGGGATCTCACCCACCGATTCAGCATTTTGTGGGTGGGTTCGGTGGGGGATGAATGCGAGGAACCGGGAGATGAATGGAGTGGGGGAGCAGCTCACTGCTGGAGGGCTGGGAGGAATTCTCTGATCCTCTCATGGGGGAGAGGTTTGGAAGCTGGCGCGGAGGAAGTAGGAAAGGGGATGTGTGAGTTTCCTGGGACTGCTTTTAAAAACTACCACAAACTGGTGGCTTAAAACAACAGAAATGTATTTCTCCACAATTCAGGAGGCCAGAGTCGAAATTCGAGTTGTCAGCAGAGTTGCTTTCTAAGGGAGGCTTTGCAGGAGGATCCTTTCCAGGGCTCTCTCCCAGCTTGGGGGCTGCACAGTCCTTGGCGTGGCGTGGCTCCCAGACTCGCATCCCTCCAGTCCCTGCCTCTGTCTTCTTGTGGCTTCTCTTCACAGGAGGAGTGAGCTGGGAGTCAGGGCCTGGTTAGCAGGAACACAACATCCATGGGATCAATCCTGAAGGCTGAGCACTGTGCAAAGGGCTTCCTGAAGGTTATAGGAAGGAACTATTATCATTCGTTTTGCAGATTGGGAAACTGAGGCACAGAGTCCTCTTTCCTCCTGTGGCTTTCTCTTCTGTGTCTCTGTGTCTGTTCCTTTTCTGTCTGGTATAAGAACACCCTTCCGTGGGTTTAGGGCCTACCCTAAGTCAACGATGATCTCGTCTCAAGATTTTTGTTTGTTTGTTTTTGGAGACAGGGTCTGGCTCTGTCACCCAGGCTGGAGTGCAGTGGTGTGATCTTGGCTCGCTGCAGCCTCTGCCTCCCTGGTTCAAGTGATCCTCCCCTCTCAGCCTCCTGAGTAGCTGGGACCACAGGCACACACCACCACGGCTAATTGTTGTATTCTTTGTAGTGATGGGGGTTTCACCATGTTGCCCAGGCTGGTCTCGAACTCGTCGACTCAAGTAATCCGCCCGCCTCGGCCTCCCAAAGTGCTGGGATTACAGGCCTGAGCCATCGCGCCCGTCCCTCATCTCAAGATCTTTAATTACCTGTGCAAAACCCTGTCCCCACATAAGGTCAGTGAGGTTCCCTTTACAGATTCCAGGGATTTGGGACTTGGACACACCTTTATGGAGGTCACTGTTCAACCCATTACAATGGGGAACTCATACAGAAAAGTAGCTTTGCCGTCTTGGACCCAACATGCCAGCCTGTGAGCATCAGGATCAGGGCTGATTCTGCTAGAAATCTGCCTCTTTGCATCAGCAGAGAAGCCCTTTCCTCGCTCTGGAGATCATGCTTTGGAGTGAGTGGTTAAACACACTTCCTCTGCAACGAGACTGGCTGAATTAGGGCCCCGGCTCTGCCACTGACTAGCTGTGAGATTTGGGGAAGCAATGGAAACATCTGTGTGCCTCAGTTTCCCAAGCTGCAAAACGAATGATAATAGTTCCTTCCTATAACCTTCAGGAAGCCCTTCGCACAGTGCTCAGCACTCAGGATTGATCACATGTACGTTGTGTTCCTGCTAACCAGGCCCTGACTCCCAGCTCACTCCTCCTGTGAAGAGAAGCCCTTTACTCCGTCCTCCTCAGGGAACCCTACAGAAAGCTTCCCACCTGCAGTACCTTTGTGCACCAGCATGCTTCAAATGGGTGTCAGGTGGGTGGAGACTTTGACCCCCCTCAGCCCCGGAGAGCCTGAAGCTCCGGGTCCCCGCCTCCACGGTGGGCAGCTTCTCTTGTTTGCCTGGGTGCGCCATCCCAGCCCTCTCATTTCATCATTTCACAATGTTCCCAGAGAGAAACTTCCCTTGTCTTTGGCAACATGAGAAAATCAAGGACAAGTCAGTGAGTTTTTCCTTTAAGTTCACTTTTTTTTTTTTTCAAGCTGCAAAGACTATCTTTTGTTCAGATTTTTGGCCTTCTTCCATTTTTAGCATGAAGTGTGTTCTGCCTTTGATGACAGAATAGTGACGATGGGCAAGCCACCGCTTCGTTGCTTGCTTGTGTTTCAGTGTCCTTAGGTGGCAAAATAGAACGCTGGAATCCTTATGTAAGCTCCAGATTACTGGAAACTTCCCTCGTCTATGAAATCTCAAAGTCTGGGAACCACTGCTGTGGAATTTACAAAACATTTTCAGGCACATAATCTCACTCATTTCCCATTTGACAGGTAGTGACAGATAATAAGGCTCCAGGATATTTTTTTTGACTTGGCCAAGGTCACATGGCTGGGAAACAGGGAAGGCAGGACTTCCCATCGAAAGCCACGCCTGCTTACCACGAGGAATAACTGAGACTCTTTTCTCTAGCACGGGAATCTCACACTGAGTCCCCCATTTCAGAGCAGCCGTCAGTCTAAAATGGGTCTGTCTTCTCCTCCTGTAGGAGTACAGTGTGTGCTGTTCTCAACGAACGCCCCCCTCCCAGCACCCTTTAGGTGCTGTGGATGCCCCTGAAACAAGGCCTCAGACTTGGCTTGGACTATGGGTTCCATCCATAGGGTTGGCCTCATTGATCAGCGTTACAGGAAGGCTTCGAGGTGGCTCCCTGTGACCGTGTTGTGAGCAAACCATTCCTGGCATCCCACCTTGCAGGTGAGGAGACTGCCTCCTAGCCGTGGTAAGTCCCAGCACCCCACGCTGCCTCTGTGGGTTTGGAGGTCTGGCTCATTCTGTTCACGTGGGATGGTGGGATTCAGCAAAAATGGGAGAGTTGGGCTGTGAACTCTTGAAGGTCAGCTCGTCCAGGAACTCATTTCGTGCATGTATACTGGCACCTGCTATGCAGTGGACACCGTTCTAGGCACTTGGGATACATCAGGGGACAAAACAGATGAATAGCCCTGCCTTCCTAGAGCTGACATTGTAGGAAAGAAGGAAGATGGATAATAAACAATAGATCAACAAATAAGGAAATTAAATCGCAGGTTGGCAGGTGGTAAGTGCTACAGAAAAGAGGAAAAGTGGTGGGAAAGGTGGGAGTGTCAGGAGGGGGTGAAGTGGGTCAAACCTACAATGGCCTGGCTAGAGAGTCTGCTAGTTTCCTGTTTCTCACCAAAGCATCCAAAAGATTCTTTAAGATAAGATGTAGCAAGTAGCACCCTGTTCCTCCAGCCCATGCAGTCAGCGGTTCTTTACTCTGATGGAGGAATCTACCTAACTCTGTAGCTACAACGGAGGCTTCAGCTGGTCCCCCTAGGAGCTTGTAAGCCAGATGGTCCACTTGAGGTGTCCCAAATGTGGCAGGGAAGCTGTGTCAACCGTCTCTGGGTACAGGCTGTCCCTGGGGAGGGGGTGTGACTTTCAGCATCAGCAGCCAATACTCCCAGCAACTGGGGAATGGCTGTGTTGGCCCTGACAGGGCATCGGGGCAGCACAGCACCTCACCCACAACAGGGAAGAAGACCCGTGGAGTGTGGTGATGCACACAGAGTCTTCAGCAAATTGCCTGGCCTATAAGGATGCTTGCCAGTGTGATGGGCAGTTTTCTGAAAGGTAGTGCTCCCTCCTCCACGAAGCATTTTCTTGACTTGACTTCCAGGAGCTCACAGACTCCTGGTTTCCCTCCTACCTCCCTGGCCACTGTTGCTGACTGTTGCAAACATGCCTCAGGACTCAGTCCTTGGAGCGTTTGTCCCTGCCAGCTGTGCACGCGCTCATGCATTCTCATGCCTTTAAATACCATTTATGAGCTGAAGACACTTAAATTTTTATCTCTTCCTTGAACCTTGCATTGAACTCCAGACTCATATATCTAAACTGCCTACTAGATATCTCCACTTACGTGTCTAATAGCCTGTGGCGGCTGTAAAATTGCTCCACTCACAACTTCTGTTGAGGGGACCATGGTGACCGACACCCCACCACTGCCCCAGTGGGCCCACCCCTATGGTGTGCTGAAGCCACACATGATGTGGGCTTCTCCCAGGCAATAGCTGAGCAGGTGGGATGGGGTTAGAGGGGGCAGTGTCAGGGCAGGCCCACACATGTGGGATGTTGGATACCCCCATGGGAGGTTTTGGCTCAAGGACCTCTCATCGGTCTGAATGAACACTCTTGGAGCTGTGCTGTGGACGGAAGCTCTTCCTCTCAGGCCTCCTTCCATCCCCCTCTCCTTTCACAGGTGCCAGGCCTGCATGGCAGTCTGCCAGCACCTGCTGCCTCCCCTTTGTCCTTCACAGACTTTGCCCCCAGTAAGCCTGTCCCATGTCCAATCCTGTCTTGGCATCTGCTCCTTGGGACATCCAAAGCGACACAATGGCATCTGAAATTTCACATGCCCAACACTGAATTAACCAGCAGCTCCTTCCCCTAGAAACGCTGGCTTCTCCCCTAGCCTTCCCTGGCCTCATAAGTGGCAGTGCTGTCTTTTCATCACTCAGGTCATCCTCAAGCCTCCTCTCTCATCCCTTATCTGGCCCAGCAGCAGATCCCGCCGACGCTCAGTTCAGAGGCCATTCAGCATCTGACCATATCCCACCCTCGCTGCTCCAGCTCAGGCTCCCATCCGCTCCCACCTGGTTTCTAGCAGGTTCTCCTGCCAGCTCCCTTCTCTCCTTGCCCTGCCCCTCTCACCAGCTGTTCTCAGCAAGCAGCCCAGTGGCCCTTTCAGAATGTCAGAATTCCCATTGCCCTGCCCATGGGCTCCCATGTCACTCGGTGTAAAAGCCAAAATCCTCCTGGCAGCCCACGAGGCTCCTCCCCACTCCTCCCTGTCCTCTCCTCCTTCTCTCACTAAACCCTGCGTCCTTTCCTGCTCTTGCTCAGCACCTCGGCGCTTGGGGTTCCTGCTCTCATGAGCCTCCCACCCCTACCTACCTCTTCATCCCCCCACCCCCACCGCCTCCTCTCCCCAAGTCTGTGCCCAGCTGCCACCTTCTCAAGCTTTCCCTAACCAGCCCCACCTGGCATGCCTCACTCCCCTTCCCAGCCGCCACCTTCTCAGGCTTTCCCTGACCAGTCCCACCTGGGATGGCTCACTCCCCTTCCCAGGCAGACACTGAGATGTATTTTGCTCTTGGACTTTGTTGGTCTCACTCCCGCCATGAGCACAGATGCTCCGTCGCGGCAGAATGTTGGCCTCCGTTTCTATCCCCATGCCTGCACAATGCCCAGGGCACAGCAGTTGCTCAAAAAATATTTGTTGAATGAATAAAAAGGGAAGTCTCAAAAAAAAACTGACATATAATAATATTTGATAAATATTGGCTTTATAAAATTTTGTTTGCTTTTATTTCATAAAATTCAAGAACTTGTGGAGAAGAAACAAAAATAACCCATAATCCCACTGTTTTGATGCCACTTACTGATATTTGAAAAGAGGTAAAAATAAAATATGAAGACAGAAAATCCCATCATGTATCCAAAGGCATGAATGAAAAGAAAGAGCCTTCTACCAGGACCTCCTGCACCACCCAAGAGTGCCATTTTCTCAGGGGCTGAGAAGAGCCCCTCCAACAGGGCAGGTGAGGCCGGGGAAGGAACTAGGAGCCAGCTGTGGGCAGTGATAGGACTCTATGACATCAACATCCTATGGCTTCATTTCTCTGCTTAGAACCCCTTAGGGCAGTGGTCCCCAACATTTATGGCACCAGGGACTGGTTTCGTGGAAGGCAATTTTTCCATGGGTGGGGTGGGGTGAGGATGGTCTCAGGATGAAACTGTTCCATCTCAGATCGTCAGGCATTAGATTCTTACAAGGAGTACACAACCTAGATCCCTTGCATGCTGGTTCGTAATAGGATTTGTGCTCCCATGAGAATGTTTTTGTTGTTGTTGTTTTTGGGTTTTGTTTTTGTTTTTTTTGAGACAGAGTCTTACTCTGTCACCCAGGCTGGAGCGCAGTGGTGTGATCTCGGCTTACTGCAACCTCCACCTCCCAGGTTCAAGCAATTCTTGTGCCTCAGCCTCCCAAGTAACTGGGATTACAGGCACCCGCCACCACGCCTGGCTAATTTTTGTATTTTTAGTAGAGACAGGGTTTTGCCATGTTGGCCTGGCTGGTCTCGAACTCCTAACCTCAAGTGATCCACCTGCCTTGGCCTCCCAAAGTGCTGGGATTACAGGCGTGAGCCACCACACCCAGCCTCTTATGAGAATCTAATGACATTGCTGAGCTAACAGGAGACAGAGCTCAGGCAGTAACACTCACTCGCCCACCACTCCCCTAGGCTATACGGCCCGGTTCCTAACAGGCCACAGACTGGGACCCCTGCCTTAGGGGATCCCGGTGGACTTAGAAAATTCACACTCTTTCCAGTTGTTCTAAGGCACTGAAAGGTCTGATTCTCACACTCCCTCCCTATACCCTTGCCCTGGTGGTCTTTCCTGCCTCAGGGCCCCAGTCCATGCTATCTTCTCCACCTAGAAAGCCTTCTTTCTCCCCACCACTTGGCCAGCTCCAACTCCTCCTTCCAGTCTCAGCTTACATGAGCAGTTCTCACACTTGTGGGAATATTGGAGTTACCTGGAAAGGCTGGTGCCCAAAGTTTCTGATTCAGTAGTTCTGGGGCAGCCTGAAAATGTAGATTTCTAGTAAGTTCCTGATGCTGCTGCTTCTGTGACTGAGAGAGCCCCACTTTGAGAGCCAATGGGTTATGTGATGCTTCTTTAAGATACAGGCTCCAGATTCCTCCCCCACCCCTTTCTAAATGAAATCCTCCCATATCACCCTGTGCTTTTTCTTTATCCCAGTTATCACAATTTTTAATTACACATTCGTTTGTATCTAATGATTGTCTTCTAATCTAGATTAGGCCAGAGGGAACATTTTAATTTCACCCCTCTATTCTTTTTGTGTTAAAACAATAAAAAGACCAATAAACAGACATCGTACCGAGATAGTGTCTCTAGAAGTGAGGAAACTAACATTTATTGAACATGAGTATACATCTTGCACTATCATAGATACTTCCAGAAGAATGATAACCAAGAGTGGCCACTACTTATTGAGCACCTACTGTGCACCAGGCAATGTACTTGGGCGGGATCAATGACGGCTTTGTTCACTTCTATATCCCCAGTGCCTGGCCGATAGTGATGCTTAATAAGTGAATGAATGAATGAAAATAAACAATTCTCCTTCATAGAACACTTTCTCCTCTCCTGGATGATGGAGAGCTGTTCCACTCTAGGATTTGTTTTATGGACCCATCTCCTATCTGGGGCAGGAGTTTGGGATCCTTCAAGATGGTGATCGTGGTCCCACCTCCCCAGGAAGATTGACAAGGCCCCTGGGAATACTGAGCTCTCACAGCATGGTGCAGAGATAGAGAGTCGGGCAAGACAGACGCCTTCCCCTCTGCTGTCTGTTATATAAAATAAGAAGAAAGAAAGAATCGGGGGAAAATTCATAGGCTGGTCTAATTCCATTAAATACAAAGCAGAAAATAACAAGAAGATCAAAGCAAGGCCAAAAGGAAGGAGACAGAAAAATAAAAGGAGGGGGACGGAGAGCCCGGAAGGGAGGAAGTAGAGGAAGAAAAAGAAGTGGGGGAGGATGTCCACTGAAAATTGGCTGTCCTCTTCCTAGGTGTCTGTGGACTACCTGCCAAATCAATTGATTACATCTGTAGGCAGAGTTGCCTTTTTATTTCACACCAGTTTTCACGGGCAGCGTAAGATAAAGATGGAAGAGATGAAGTGAATGGGAAAAGATGATTGAATGTTGATGTAAAAAAGGAAGGTGCAAGGAAGGGGGGGCCGCTGGACATGCAGTTACAAGAGCTTGCTGCAGAGGAGATTTTGGATCATGTGCCCCTCCCACCCCTTTATTCTTTTCTTTCCTTTATATACTCTTTGAGAACGCCTGTCTCCTATTCCCAGTGACCCGCTTGCCACAACCCACCTTGGCAAAAGCAGTGGATATGCCCCAGGACTCCAGGAAGCAGTGTGGCCTCAGAGAGCTTGGTGAGAAATGTGTGTGGGAAGCAAAGGGCAGCTGATGACTCACTGCATGCCCTTAACTCAGTCTCTTCGACTCCTGAAGCCTCAGTTTCCCCACCTGGGGTATGGTGATAATCACCCACTCAGCCACGATGCTGGGGAGTGCTAACAGGTGAGAAGTTTGAGATGTGCTTTGCAAAAATCAGGAACTATATGCAGGCTCCATAATCTCAGCAAACAAAAATCAAATCCTGCAAATGCAAAACAATGGCACCTTGTGGGAGGGTGTGTCCCATAGTGGGCTGTCCTGGTCCATGCTGGTGGGCTCTCGGGGGCTCAGTTCACTGCTCTCTCCCTGGAAGAGTCCTCCACTTATTTGGGCATCTGAGCTCTGTCTTCATAGGCCAGTGGCCAGCTATGAGGGTCTGTTTCCTAGAAACCCTTTGGTTTAGGCCTACCATCTGGGGACTGTGGAGAACAGGGCCTTGCTAAAAAGCCCTTCTGCAAAGAACTTGCCTCCCAGATCCTGAGGCTGTTCCGCACAGTGTCATAGGCAGAGACACTGGGGAACTGCCCCTCCCAGCTTCCCAGGCACCATTCCAAAGCCAGTTTTAACACGACCCTCTCTGCTGATACAAGCAGAGTTGAAGGTGGGAGAAAGGGCTGGCTTGCTGGCTGGTGTGTCACTTTAGTGAGGGGGTGTTTGACATTCTTCCCATGCTGGACCAGATCAACCTAATCCAAGGTCTTGATCTCTGCTGCAAAAAGGGCAAAGCAGGATGCCACCAACCACCCATACACCTACTTCTTTCTCCTGGCAGGCCTGGGCTATCACCATGGCAGGTCGTGTCCGAAGGTGGACTATGCCTCCTTGGAGGAGAGGGCCAACAGATGCCTCTGCTGTCCATCCATGGGACTGTAACTTCTCTGGACAGGGAGCTGAGCATCCCTGGGGGTTCTTTAGAATCATCACGACACAGAGGAGAAAAATAAGGCCCCATGAGGGCCATGACGCATCCCAGGGCTCGGAGCTACATACAGGCAGAGGGGTGGCTGGAATTTGGGCTGGCTGTCTTTTATTCAGGTGCTTTCCATGTGTGCCTCCATATGTGCGTATGTTTGTGCACACGTGCATTTGTGCATGCGCATGCATGCATGTATGTGCAGAGAGGGGCAGGGGCTAGGCACAGGGCACCTTTTGGGGAAGCAAGCCACATGGGGAGGCCCAGATTTCCAGGCTGAGGGGTGAGCTTGGCTCCTGGGACATGAGGCAGAAGTGATAAATGCATTTGCCTTGTAAACTCAGGGCATGCCCTGTCTGGGGAAAGCATGTCAGGAATTGTGTCAAACACCTGATGACTGCTGCTTGTATTTCTTCTTTATGGCCACCTGCACTGGGCACTCCTGGGCTCCCGAGTAGATCCCCGTGCACAAACCCATCATACCTGCTGGGCTGGCCAGCTCCCAGGCCCCCATCTGCCCTCCATGAGGAGCATGGGGGGCTGGGAGGGATCTGCTTCATCCTCCTATCTGTCCTGACACCCACATTGTCCCTCATTAGGAGCTCTGCAAATGGGAGGTGCCCAGCAAGAAGGGGCCCACAGAAGCAGCCAGGCTACTATGTCAGGCAGCCTTTTCTTGCACATGTGGGAGGAATGGCTGGAATGTGTGGCACCCCCAAATATCACCTGCCACATGTCATCAGACAGTGCGCTTTTCCTTATGTGCCATCAAAGTCCCCATGACGATATATATCCCTGGGGTGGGGAGAGGGTGGGGAGCACCATTCTTTCATCTGACACCTTGGAGCAGAGATTTGTTCCTATCAAAAAGAGAACCGGAAACAGATGTGAAAGAAAGTTGGGGCACCAAGGTCTACTCCCATGGATGGGCAAGTGTTTCCCAAACGTGGCATACCCTGTGGGTGGCCTGCCCTTCATTCCTTGACCCACCCAGAGGACACCCTAGCTGCGGTAGACAATTCATGCACACGCCAAGGCTCTGTACCCCCAACAACCACTGCTCTTTGCTTTTATGGGTTCTTTGGCCATGGAAGGGGGCTCAGCCCTGCAGGGCAGGCTAGAAGTGCTGGGAGTTAACTCCCTAAGTGGGGCTCTCAACCCTGAGGGACAAGGGCTCCTGGAGAAATGCCCTGGCTTCCTGGTGAGTTCTGCAGCCTCTTGGAGGCCTGGAGGGGTTGGGCCCCCAGGATGCACAAGGGAAACCTACCTCTTTAATCAGCTTTCCTCTTTCCTCTTCTTACTTCTCCCCTCCCTCACAGTGCCTCCTGCAGCCACCTCCCAGATAAACCACCAGTACTCCCATCCTTGTTGGAGGGCCTGTTTTTAGGAAAACCCTGACTAAGGCAGGAAGCTCCCCGCACTGCAGCAGAGGGAGTCAGGATGCTGAGCTCTGGGTGCCCCAGCTGTCTGGCTCACCAGCCATGAGATGCCAGGTATGCCCCTTGACTTCTCAGAGCCTGTTTCTGCATTTGTAACAGGAGGGTTAATGCTCCACAGTTCTGTGATTCTGCTTCTTAAATGCTGGAAGAATTAAATTCATTCAGGGTTGCCACCAGGCAGAAGCACAGGCTATATGCTATAGATCTGGATTACAAGATTAAAGATCAATACAACATTGTACAGAAGCAAGCGTTAAATTGGGTGACAAATGCTAAACAGAGCTGGGAGTGAGAGAAAGGAAGGATATAGTTGAAGAAGTCTTCTTGGAAGAGGTGAGGATTTAGTTGGCCTTAAAGGAGGTAGGTTGGGGCCCAAAGCTTGGGAATAGAGCTTGGGAAGAAGCCTCTGGAGCCAGCCTGCAAGGGTGTGGGAGCTCCTACACCTATCATGGACTCTTTTCAATCCTGGCCAATGGCAGTGGGTCACTAACTGCCATGTATTGTGCTACACAGGAGATGTTGGGGCTGCAGGGATGTTTCTGTTCTAATGACTGTCTGTAATTTTCTAGGAAAAAGGGGTGATGGGAGTGTATGGATAGTTTAAAAAGAGAGTGTCGGCCAGGCGCGGTGGCTCACACCTGTAATCCCAGCACTTTGGGAGGCCGAGGCGGGTGGATTGCCTGAGGTCAGGAGTTTGAGACCAGCCTGGCCAACATAATGAAACCCTGTCTCTGCTAATAATACAAAAATTAGCTGGGCGTGGTGGCGGGCGCCTGTAATCCCAGCTACTCGGGAGGCTAAGGCAGGAGAATGGCTTGAACCCGGGAGGTGGAGGTTGCAGTGAGCAGAGATCATGCCATTGCACTCCAGCCTGGGCAACAAGAGCGAAACTCTGTCTCAAAAAAAAAAAAAAAAAGCCAGTGTCCACCCTTTCCCTTCTCAACTCATCGCGTATCATTCCTTTTCTGCCCCTTTCCCCCTCTTCCCATTGTACCCTCCTATCTCATTCCATTGCGTGCCTTTCCTTCCCTTTCCTCTCATCCCACCCTGTCCCATGTTGTTCTATCCCCTCCCTTCTATCTCCTCCCCAGCACTCATTCCGTCTCATCCCTTCCCATCCCATCTCTCCTGCGTGAGAAGGGGATATTGGCACATGAGGAGACTTTGGAGACCTGTCCCCTTTATTTGGCCAGGGTGAGGGGAGCTGCAGCTGAGGCTGTGGCCACTAAGAACCACCTCTGGGGTTGTGGACCTGGAGTGACAAATGGTCTGAGGGGCTCTGACTGAGGAAGCAGCTTAGACACTGTTATTTCTAGAAGGAATGGAAGATTTTTGTCTCTGTGGCCCGAGCAGGGAATCTCTGGGAAAGCTGCTCTCCTCTGCCTGGTGAGCTGGGGGCCAGTCCTCACAGTGTAGCCACCGCCCACAGGGAACTAGGACTCTTGCCTGCTTTGAGCTGAACTCTCTCCATCTCTTTTGACTCTGACTTCCTGACCACTGTGGGAGGCAATGCGTAGAGTGGCTGAGAGCACAAACACTGGGGCCCAGCAACTGGGCTAAACCCCCAGCTCTGCCACCCACCAGTGCTGGGACCTCACAAAGTCTCTGAAAAGCTCCCTGCCTCAATTTCCCCACCTGCAAAGTGAGTCTAATAACAACGTATCTTTTTGGGTTGTTGTGAGGATGAGATGAGCTACCATATACGATGAGTTTAGAAGAGTACTTGAAACACAGTGAGCTTTGTCATTGTTAGCTGCTCTCTTCATCATCATCATCATCATCATCAATCATTTATCCATATAGGAAATGGAGGACCTGGCATTCTCTCCTCTTCTCTCTCTCTATACCTCTTCTCTCCTCCCTCCTTCCCCCTTCTCTGTATTTGTTCTCACAGAGGAGGCTGAATCTGGGAGGTCTGATAGCGCTGGTTAATGGCTTATAGATCGTTGACGCGTCAGGCCTGATGGAAGTGTCTGTTAGGGTTGGCATTGGGAGCCCGAGTCAAATGGCCCGAGACAGATTCATGGCTGTCTTCCAGCCACGGCAGGAAAACACTCCCAGAAGGATACAAGGCTCTCACAAGCTGGGGAAACTTAGAGCGATGGAGGGGGCCTTCCTGGGAGGCTGCAACCCTCCAACTATGCTGCAGGGCCCCAGGGCCCTATCTACAATGTGGGGAACCCTCCAGAAGTTAGAATGGAAGTGCTGAGTGTTAACAAAGTGTGAGCAAAGGACAGATGTCCAGATTCACTCAGAAACAAGTCCAGGAAGACCTAACTAATGAGCACTAATTTGGAAAGAGACCAGACTGACCTGGTAACAAATTGTGAATTATGGATTTTGTTTTTTTTTTTTTTTGAGACAGAGTTTTGCTCTTGTTGCCCAGACTGGAGTGCAATGGCGTGATCTCGGCTCACTGCAACCTCTGCCTCCTGGGTTCAAGCAATTCTCCTGCCTCAGCCTCCCAAGTAGCTGGGATTACAGGCATGAGCCACCATGCCCGGCTAATTTTGTATTTTTAGTACAGACAGGGTTTCACCATGTTGGTCAGGCTGTTCTCGAACTCCTGACCTCAGGTGATCCACCTGCCTCGGCCTCCCAAAGTGCTGGGATTACACGCGTGAGCCACTGTGCCCAGCCGAATTATGGAATTTTAAAGCATAGTTTCACCATTCTCAACTAAATAGACCTAAATAGAGCCCTATAGAAAGCACCTAGTGTGTGTGTGTGTGTGTGTGTGTGTGTAGGGGACAGAGAAGAGAGTCTTATCCGTGTGTGTGTGTCTGTGTGTGTGTGTGTGTGTAGGGGAGAGAGAGAGAGGAGAGAGAATCTTATCCTTGTCCTGAAGGAATTCACAAATGGGGTGATATACAATTGTATTACTTGGCACTTAGTAAAATTAAATTACCAAAATGGCAAACCAAAGGTTCTTGGGGACCCACTAGATGAATGATGTATAATTACCCATTTGTGTGTTTGCATGCAAGGCGGAGCTCTGCAGGGCTGGCATGCAGTTTGCTCTTTCCTGTAGGTTAAACACTTCTCTTTCACTCTGGTTTACACCAGAGTTTGTTTGTTGCGTGGCCCAACCCTCCCATTTCCTAACTTGCACAGGTACATTTCTGGCCCTCCAAAGTGGAAACCTGCTTGTTCTTCAATGAACAAAGGGGCTCTTGCTGAATGTGTGTGTGGCCCTGGAGTTGAAATCCATCTCCTTGACCTTGGAGGCTGGTTTTTCCCAACTCAGGGAAAATTGCTAAGAGTCCAGCAGCAGGCTCAGTGTCTTTTTGGAGTTTTCAGAGCTAGGATGCTCCTCTCTCTCAGGCTCTTTAAGAACCTTCCAGCATCCACCTCCAAGGGGGAGGTTTGGCATTTCCATATCCTTGGCTGGCAAATTGTAAATTTGGATATGAGCAGAAAATATAGTGACATCAAGGTTATGTGGTCTGCAGCTGACAAGATGGATAGCCCTCAGCTAGGCAGCATTTCCCAGCTTCTTCTTGGTTTGCACTCTCTGCACCTCTCTTTCTTTTAACCTTTTTTTTTTAAGGAAAACATTTTTAGAGACTTTAATAACTGTGGAAGGATGCTGTAAGGCGGGCAGGGAAATTGATCATTTTTATTCGGTTGTGCGTGATAAAATGTAAGTTTGAGCCATGAATCTTCTTACCTTGAGGGAAAAGAACGGTGTGCCTGGCTGTTAATATGACTCCCTTTTTGGAGATTTTAATGAAGGAATCCCGCTCCCCACCGCAGATTAATTCATAGCTGTGGACAGGGCGGGGCTGAGGCGGGAATACACTCTTTCCTCCAATCTAGCAACTGCTGGTTCCGTCTCTCTCCACATCTGCGTGTATTCGCTGTCTATTATTTTTAATCAATGTCTCACCAAACACATATAAAGCTCCCACTGTGTGCAAGACACCATGCCTAGCACCAAGGAGGGGAGATGCTGAGGAGTATCTCAGAGTCCTGTGTAAGTTGCCCAGAAGAGGGCTCCTCTCCAGGCCCTGCCTGTGAGCACCCCAGATACCTCCCCACTTGTCTTGGCCACAGCTATATCCCCCTACTGGAACATGGCAAGAGATGAGGCACACGGCTTGTGTTGGCCACAGGACTCCATTTTGGGTACCCTAAAAGGAAAGGCAGGGCTGCAGTCTCAGTCAGCTTGGGCTTCCATAACAGAATGCCATAGACGTTTATTTCTTACAGTTCTAGAAGCTGGAAGTCCAAGATCAAGGTGCCAGCTGATGTGGGTCCTGGTGAGGCCTCTCTTCCTGGCTTGCAGATGGCCACCTTCTTGCTGTGTCCTCCCGTGGCAAGGAGGGAGGGAGAGAGACTGACAGCGCATGCATGCTCTCTAGTCTTTTCCTTCCTCTTCTTATAAGGCCATTCATTCCATCATAGGGGCCTTACCCTGTGACCTCATCTAACCCTAATCACTTCCCAAAGTCCCCACATCTAAATACCATCCCACTGGAGTGTTAGGGCTTCAATATATGCATTTTGAGGGGACACACATATTCAGTCCGTAACAGACCTGTGTTGTGGAGCTCATTTCCTCTTTCTTCTTCTTAGGGGGTTGAGTATGGTGGAGTTGGAAAGTGTGATGTATGGTGTGGGGAGAGGACAGAAAGCGACCTCTGCTGCCAGGCGGAAAAATGCCCACCCAACTACTCCTGCCACATCAAGTCTGTGGCCAGAGTGTAGGAGGGTTCAGGCCACTGCTACCTCCCGCATCCTTGCCCTAGCATCCCTTCCTCAGGTCCTAATCCTAAACCTCCATCAGCTCCCTGCTTTCTGGATCCCTCCCGCAGCCAGGCCCCTCTCTTGCTGTGGCTCACCAGTCATCTGGACATTGCTGGCAATAAGCTTCCTTAAACATCCATGGTGCACACGCTGCTCTGCAAACAAAGACAGGGCATCCAATTATTCCAAAAACAACCTGTTTCTGTTTGCTTATCTGACTCGGACTGTTTGCCCCTGACATCGCTATTGATCAATTTGAACTTTTCCCCTTCAAGTCCAACATGATTCATAATTTGTGGTTGGGAAAAGCCACCTGGGCAGTGGGCCCCCTGGGACCAGGCCCTGTGCACCCATAATCTCATTTAATGCTCTATGTGGTTGGTATCATGATTTCTATCTGAAAGACAAAGAAAACAGGGGCTGGGGGAAGGTGAGCATTTATCCAAATCTCCCAGCTTATAGGTGATGGTTATCAGAATTTGAACCCAGGTCTGTCTGTTCCAAAGACTGGCCCCTCTCTAATACATTGAGATGCCTCCTGTGTAGGCACCCAGTTTTGATGGTCACCCCAATTCAGAATTGCAATCAGACAACAAACACCAGAGAATACAAAAGGCTGATTGTGACTCTGCGTAGGGAACAAGTGTACCAAGCTGTGCCGACAGTTTGATGGTGGGTCAGTGTGACATCTTGGAAAAAATAGCAGCTGATTATATTTTTCAAATCGACATGTGTTTTTAAAGACTTTTGAATCAGATGTGAGTCAGGAGCATTAGGGCAAAAGTGTAACACTTTTTTTTTTTTTTTTTTTTTGAGACGGAGTTTCGCTCTGTCGCCCAGGCTGGAGTGCAGTGGCGTGATCTCGACTCACTGCAAGCTCCACCTCCCGGGTTCACGCCATTCTCCTGCCTCAGCCTCCCGTGTAGCTGGGACTACAGGCGCACGCCACCATGCCCGGCTAATTTTTGTATTTTTTTTTTTTAGTAGAGACGGGGTTTCACCATGTTAGCCAGGATGGTCTCGATCTCCTGACCTCGTGATCCGCCCGTCTCGGCCTCCCAAAGTGCTGGGATTACAGGCGTGAGCCACCGCGCCCGGCCAGTGTCACACATTTATATTTGGTGAATGTGGGAAATTTCTCCCATGAAAACAAAGTGAGCAGTCACTCTTGAGGTCTGGGTGCATAAATTATAGTACATTTATACCATGCGATATTATGCCCTATTGAAAACAATTAGAGCAATATTGGAGGACAGAGAGAGAGTTCCCCAAGGTATTGTTGAGTGAGGAAAACAAGATGCAAGAAACTGAATATCATATATTTCTGCAAAACAAATAATGACAAAAGGCTGGCTATACATGTATAAGTGCACACATGTGTATAAGTGAATGCATGTGGGTGTGTATAAAAAGTTACATACATGTATGTACATACATGTCTACCACATGTAGTGTGTGTATGTATATATTTATACAGGATAATATGATCATGAAGAAAAATGTGGAAGGATCCCTACTAGGCTATTAGCATGAATTTCTAGTGGTTATGGGTGGAGGACAGAGGAGAGGTGTCAAGGAAAGTCAAACTAACAGGAAAAAAAACTAAGAGTCTGCACAAACACACACACACACATACACATGAATCATGTAATGACAACATTTATGCATTTAAATAAAGGTATAGGCATTCATGTAAATACATTCAAAGAAAAGTTGTAAGTTATTTTCCTACAGCAACAGAGCACTTACCCCAGAGATCTGCATGAAGGCATGACAGTGAACAGGCCTCTGCAGATCCAGACGGTACAGTCTAGAGGCTGGGGACAGCTACTAGGAAGCCACATCACTGGCTTCCCACTCCCTGCAATGGGAAGGGTTGGTTTATTCCTTGGCTTTACAGCCGGCACAAGGAAGAGGGGTACCTGTGTGATTTGGGGGTCTTCTCCAGCTGCTGCCTTAGAGTCCCCCACCTGGTTCAGGGGTAAGTGAAACAGTAGAAGGGGAAAATAAACTCTTTTCTACTTCTACTAACATTAGGGTAACCGTAACACTGATCATTTAAACAGGGACCACTTTGAGAGTGAAGAGCAGAACTATGAATAATTCAGGTGCAAACCACGACTGTCCCTAGCACACCTGGCTGTAGGGTCACCCTAGCTATAGCTCCTAAATGGGGGGTCTACATTCTAAATTTCACCATCTTCTCCATGCAAATGTGAGTATTAATTGATCCAGAACCCTGTAATTGTTGTAACTGGAGCCCAACAGGACTGAAATTACTCTTAATTATCATCCCATCCCAGGAGGGAGGGTCCTTTTCCCTCAAAGTTACAGAGACACGTGGTGAAACCAAGGGGGACGGGTGTGTGGCTTCCATGGGGCCCTGCTTAACCACAAATGTCAATGCTCTGGGCTGAGCAGGGCTGGGATTCCTGCACATGCTCTGTGTGGTTGGCCTGATCTATAAGAGACTAAATAATGACCAGGCTTGCTGCTAGAGCACTTTGTAGCTGATGTGTCTGGCATCACCAGCTTGGATTACTAAATGGGTACATGCTGATTAATCTACAAATTAGGTTGATGAACCCCCACCCTAGCTGTCTCAAGGATTTGTATATCTCCCCGGTGCCCTTCTTCCCAAGCATCCCTTTGTTAATTCAAGGGATCTACACAGAGACTGGTATTTGGACCAGGGCAGAGAGAAAGATAGAGGGGGAAAGATTATTTTTTCCCAAACTATTAATATCTACTAATCTGAAATGCCATAATTGAGGGCTAGAGGCAGCATTTTTCTTGGCTAGCAGGGGGAAAGCTATTTGAAATGGCCTTGAGAATATGACTAACATGAAGGAAGCAGACTGCAGAGATAAAGATGAAAGAAAGACCCTGATGATACTGTTTGAGCCACTTGCACCCTCTTCCTTGTGCTGGATCTTCAGGAGCACCTGAAGTCTGCTCCCCAAAGTTGGCAGAAAGAATAATGGCCCCCAAAGACATCCACATCCTCACCTCTAGAATCTGTGAATATGCTACCTTACATGACAAAAGGGGTACTGCATATATGATTAAGAATTTTGAGATGGGGAGATTACCCCAGATTATATGGGTTGGCTCAGTGTTATCACAAGGGGAAGCAGAACAGTTAGAGTCAGGGAGGGAGATGTGGCCATGGAAATAAAGGTCAAAGTTATGCCATTGCTGGAAGTGGGCTGTGAGCCAAGGAATTTCAGGCATTCTCAGAACCCAAAAGGCAAGGAATGAATTCTTCCCTACATCTTTTAGAAGGAATGCAGCCTTGCCACCATCTTGGTTTTAGCCACATAAACCCATTTCTGGATTTCTGGCCTCCAGAGCTGCAAAATAACACTTTATGTTGTTTTAATCCACTCACTTTGTGGTAATTTGTTACAACAGCAATTAGAAAACCAATACTCTCAGCTTTCTGGTGGCATGAAGCAAATTTTCTTGAGTTAGACTTGATTTTCCATCATTTGTAACCCCAAGAATCCTGTACTAGTAACCAGCTCCAGGAGGACTAACATCCCTTTCCAGAACAGCCCAACTACGATACTCTCCCAACTTGTCCTTTACCTCAGAAGTCCTATAACTAGGGCTTGAGAGGAACATGGGGACAGATTCGTCAACTTTCTCCTGCAAATGAAAAATCCAGTCAGGCTCAGATAGATCCAATGACTTGCCTGAGCAGTTGAAGGGGTTTCTACCCAGCATGGGTTCTAGATCTGGAGTCCATGGACCGGCTGCTGTGGCCCAGTGGACCTGTGAAGTCCTAGAAAAGAGTACAGGTTTGAACAAGTATGTGTGTCGATACCTTTCTTTCTGCAGCCCCTTGGGTGGTCCAGAACCACATCTCCCTGGGGCTGCTTTTGCAGCTGAGGAACCTGGAGGTCTAGCCCATCCTGACCTTGGCTCTGCCCTGTGCTCCACACCCAGCTAACCCATCTCTTTCCATGACACGCCCTAGATGGCCTCCCCCACGGAGCACATTTCTGAGTGGAGCTGCCTGGAGCAACCACTGAGATCAATCTCTTGGGATGCCAAAACGCAGACACCATCCCGCCTCCTAGATCTGATTGTTTTGACAGCTTCACCAAATTACAAAGCAAAGGCCCCATTTGGTGATGAGAAAAGCAATATTGTGGCAGGGGCGGCTCATTTCTTTGAAAATCAGCAGTAAGTGAATTTGCATCCACTTAGTAGTAAATACATCTGGCTGGCCCCCTCTACAGCAACTGCGAGGGATTTACATGCACTTGGGTTTGTTTTATTATTTTATGATGGAGAGAGGGGGGAGAGGGAAGAGGGAGGGGAGAGCAAAAGAGAGGAGATTGAGAGGGATTTCTTGGGGAGGAAAAATTGAGGATGGGAAGTTTCTCATTTTTTTTGCAAAGTTTCTTAGCCTGTGCCTGGGGTGGGTGAATCACTGAATCAGAGTGGGCAAATCATTCTTAGGAAAAGAAATAGCCCTCTTTCGGTTCTGTGCGTTATGATTTAGAAGACTCTGAAGAACCCTTGTCATGACGCGCTCTCTAAAACCCTCTTTAAAATTCAGCTGGAAAGGCCCAAGGAAAAGATATACAGGCCTTTGTAGAGAGCAGGAGAGCCAGAGACATTCTCCAGGATGGTGCCAGAGGGAATGTTCCATGCAAATGTGTTTAAAGTCCCAGGTCGGTAGCTGCTGGGAAGACCGTTTTATCCTTTTTAATAATAAAGTGGACACCATCTCTTTCTGATTGGAGAGAAGCCAGCGCCGAATGTTTTATGTTCTCTGCATAGGAGCACCCTCGGTGACCCTCTTCTCTTATTTGCTTCTGTAGCCAGGAGGAAACAGGAACCTGGGTGAGCAGACGGGGGAGCAAGTTGCCCGGGCAGTGGGTGTTCAAGGGGGTTGTTGTGCGCGTGATTTCCCAAGTAAGAACAACATCAGAAATGGAGTAGCCAGCAAGAGCCAAGACCAAACATCCTTAGCATGGCCTGCAAGGCCTCCTGGATGTGATTCCCAGCTTGCTTTCTGGTGCTTTCTATCACTGCTTAGTCAGAGAGTGTTTTTAGTTTGCAAGGTACAGAAACCCACTCACACAAACTCTAGGAAAACGCAGTTGATTGGAAATGGGCAAGGGCACTCTGAGAAAGGCATTTGGGTCACCCCTGTTTCTCCATCACTGAACGCCCTTAACTGCTTACTCCCACTGTGTTTGCTCATGGGCTCAGCTTTATTCTTCTGATACAACAGCCGAACAGACCGCTACATAGACAGTTGTTCTAGGGAAACTCATTTTATCCATAGAAGAAGCTAACATTCATTTATCACTTATGATGTAGCATAGAGAGGCAAAGGGCTCATTCAATAGGGACAGGATGAGAGGGTGGCAGGTGAGGAGCCACCTTAAATTTTACGTCCTAGGTGCCTCACTTGCCTCACCCTATTCTAGCCCAGTCATCCACGGTGACCCTAGGCCACACAGCTGGAAAGGGGCTGAACTAGGAATTTAACCCCGGGAGTCTGGCTCTTATGAACTCTGCCATATTGCCTCTCTAATAATCACAGATAATAATGTGCTCATTAAAATAATAATAATGATAGCAATATGCTTATTTAGCACCTATATGTGCCTGGCACCATGCTACTTTCATTGACATTTATCCCTTCTGGTAATCCTCACAACAACCCTATAAAGCAAAGATGATTATTATTTCCATTTTACAGATGAGGAAACCAAGACACAGAATGGTTGAGTAATGTATTAGTCTCTGCTCTCTGCTAATAAAGGCATTCCCAAGACTGGGTAATTTATAAAGGAAAGAGGTTTAATTGACTCACAGTTCTGCATGGCTGGGGAGGCCTCAGGAAACTTACAATCATGGTGGAAGGGGAAACAAACACGTCCTTCTTCACATGATGGCAGCAAGGAGAAGTGCAGAGCAAAGCAGGGGGAAAGGCTCTTATAAAACAATAAGCTCTCATGAGAACTCACTCACCATCACAAGAACAGCATAGAGGTAACTGCCCCCATGATTTAATTACTTTCCACCGGATCCCTCCCATGACACGTGGGGATTATGGGAACTACAATTCAAGAAGAGATTTGGGTGGACACACAGCCAAACCATACGAAGTAACTTACCCAAAATTGGACAGCCAATAAGTGGGAGAAAAGGCCTTTAATTCCATGCCCAGCTGACTCCAGGCCTGTATTCTTAGCCTCTAAAGGACCTGACTTCCCAAACAGCCAGGAGAGAGCCTCCCAGATTTCACAACTCAACATTTGCTGAGCCTTGTTCTGCACTGCACACCGTCCTGGGCAGTAGGGATTCCTGGTCCGTGTCCTCAGAGAATTCAGAATTGAGTGGAATGATAGACGTGTAAATGGATAATTACAAAGCAGGGAGAAGTGCTAGAGGGAATGCCAGCATTCCAAGGACTTCAGGAAGGCGAGTCTGCAAAGCCGGACTCTACTGTCTTGGCTCTGGGTTTGCAGACGTATCGCCTGTGAGTAGCCTATAGTGCTCAAACTCTCTCCTTCTTTCACATGTGGCACAGTTGTTGCTACGAATGGAGATGGCTGCTTTGCTCAGTTACTTAAAGGCATCAGGACCTGGGGGTGTGTGAGCAGGCGCTGGCAGAACTGCAGCCAAACACCATGGCTTCCCCTGCTCAAGAGACAGCCAGAAAGGCAAAGCATCGTCCTCAGCAGCCAGCCAGCTGTGCAGCCCCCACAGCGCTCACCTGGTGGCTGCCTCAGGCTTGTTTACTGTTGCTTTTATTGAATCTGACTAGTCTGGAAATAATTGTACTAATATTATTGACATTAATAGTACACCAGGATGTATTTATAACTTGCTTCTCTCTCAGTTGAAATCCAATCTCATCATCACCCTTACATGGGGTGGAAGTTGCAAGCAGAGCTGCTGCAAAAAAGGAGCTCCCTAGCATGGAAGTGGGAGAAGTCTGGCCCAGGTACCACACCTGTCTGGGAGGGACAGGCTTTGGAATCGGGGGATCTGTGCCCCAGACCGCAGAATCTTGAGTGTCTCAAGAGTTAAAGCTGCCTGGCTGTGGCTCCCACAGCCAGTAGGTGGGGTATTCTTTTAAAGGTAGTAGAAGAAAGGTTTGATGAGGTTTCAGAAAGTAAACGTGGGCTTTTCCAAAGAGCTTCCCAAACTGATGACATGGGAGATGATGTGTCTCCAGCCCTTCCCCCTGTTCCTTTTCTCTTCTCTCCTGCTGTTCCAGGAAGTTACCCACCCGCATCCTCTGCACTGGCCCACTCTGCCCCATGTCAACACGTGGATGCAGTTAGCTTTCTGTACTTACTCTGCAGTCCTGCCCCCTCCTGTCTCCTTGTCTGTCGCTGGGAGTCTTAGATGGAAAGAGGGTGCGTGTCCCGGATCTTATTTCCTGGGTGTCCAATATGGCATGACTTGCAAACTGAGATGTCTGCATGCTTTATTTCAGAGGTGCAAGTACTCCTTGATTCTCAAAATTTAGACTTTTCATAACCCACTAGATTTATTTTACTAGTCACTGGGGACTTAAATACAAAAAGGCTTCCTGTTACTTTTTTATTCAAAAGAGTGTAATGTATATATACACTGCTTAAAGAGTAATAATAAAACACCCACGTATTCACCATTCAGCTTGAGAAATAGAGCATTAGCAGCTCCTGAGAAGGCCCCTAGGTATTTATTTCCTATCACCTTCCTCTTTCCCTCCACCAGAGGTAACTTCTGTCTTGAGCTTCATATTAAGCATTTTCTTCCTTCTCTCTCTCTCTCTTTTTTTCACAAAGTTTTACAAGGTATATAAATATTCCTAAACAATATAGGCCTACCTCATAGGTATTGTGGGTTTTGTTCCAGACTACCACAATAAAGTGAATATCACATTAAAGTGAATCACACAAAATTTTTGGTTTCCCATTGCATATAAAAGTTACGTTTACACGATATTGGAATCTATTGAATGTGCAATAGCATTATGTCTTAAAAACAATGTACATACCTTAATTTTAAAATACTTTCTTGCTAACAAATGCTAACAATCCTCTGATTATTAGCAAGTCAATCATTTTTCTGGCAGAGGGTCTTGCTTTGATGCTGATGGCTGCTCACATCATCATCCAAGGGTGGTGGTTTCCAAGGGTTGGGGTGGCTGTAGCAATTTCTTTTTTATTTTTTTGAAGACAGAGTCTCAGTGTATCACCCAGGCTGGAGTGCAGTGGCACAATCATAGCTCACTACAGCCTTGAACTCCGAGGCTTAAGTTATTCTCCCACCTGAGCCTCTGAGTATCTGGGACTACAGGCACATGCCATTATGCTCATCTAATTTTAAAAAAAATTTTGTACAGATGGGGTCTTGCTATGTTTCCCAGGCTGGTCTCAAACTCCTGGGCTCAAGCATTCCTCCCATGTTGTTCACGCAAAGCACTGGGATTACAGGTGTGAGCCACCATGCCCAGCAGCAATATCTTATAATATGACAGCAATCAAGTATGCTGCATCCAGTGACTCTTCCGTTCATGAAAGATTTCCCTGCAGCATGAGATGCTATTTGATGGCTTTTTACCCACAGTGGACCTTCTTTTAAAACTGCAGTCAGTTCTCTCAAACCCTGCCTCTGCTTTATCAATAAAGTTTATGTAATGTTTTAAATCCTCTGTTGTTAATTCAACAATGTTCACAGCATCTTCACCAGGAGTAGATCCCATCTCAAGAAACCATTTTCTTTGCTCATCTGTAAGAAGCATCTCCTCATCTGTTCAAGTTTTATCATGAATTGCAGCATTTCAGTCACATCTTCAGGCTCTACTTCTAATTCTAGCTCTCTTGCTATTTCTACTGCATCTGCTGTTACTTTCTCCACTGAGATCTTAGACCCCTCAACATCAGGTTGGACTCCACTTCTTCCAAGCTCCTGTTAGTGTTGATATTTTGACCTCCTACCATAAATCTCAAATGTTCAAATGGCATCTAGAAGACAGAGTCTCTAGATGAAAAGATGGTGAATCCTTTCCAGAAAGTTTTCAATTCACGTTGCTCATCACTACTTATGGCAACTATAACTTTATGAAATGTATTTCTTAAATAGTAGGACTTGAACATCAAAATTACTTTTAGATCCATGGGCTGCAGAATGGATGTTGTGTTAGCAGGCATGAAGACAACATTAATTTTGTGCATGTTAATCAGAGCTCTTGGGTGACCAAGTGCATTGTCAATGAGCAGTAATATTTTGAAAGAATCTTTTTTTCCTGAGCAGTAGGTCTCAACAGTATGCTTAAAATATTCAGTAAACCATACTGTAAACAGAGGTGCTGTCAAAAGGCTTTCTGGTTTCACTTACAGAGCAAAGGCAGAGTAGATTCTGCATAATTCTTATGAACCCATAGGTTTTTAGAAAGGTCAGTGAGCATTAGCTTTAACTTAAAGTCATCAGCTACTTAGCTTCTAACAAGAGAGCAGCCTGTCCTTTGATGTTTTGAAGCCAGGTATTGACTTCTCTTCTCCAGCTAAGAAAAGCCTAGATGGCATCTTCTTCCAATAGAAGGCTGTTTCCTCTACATTGAAAATCTGTTGTTTAGTGGAGCCACCTTTGTCAATTATGAAGCTAGATCTTTTGGGTAACTTGCTGCATCTTCTCCATCAGCACTTGCTGCTTCACCTTGCACTTTTAGGTTATGGAGATGGCTTCTTTCCTTAAACCCACCTCTGCTAGCTTCAAACTTTTCTTCTGCAGCTTCTTGACCTCCCTCAGTCATTATAGAATTGAAGGCTAGGGCTTTGCTCTGTATTAGGCTTTGGCTTAAGGGAATGTTGTGGCTGGTTTGATCATCTATCCAGACCACTCAAACTTTCTCCATACCAGCAATAAGTCTATTTTCCTTTTTTTTTTTTTTCTCAACTTTTATTTTAGACTCAGAGGTTAAATGTACAGGTTTTGTTACAAGGGTATATTGCATGATGCTGAGGTTTGGGGTACAACTGAACCCACCACTCAGTTAGTGAGCATAGTGCTTGAGAGGGAGTTTTTCAGCCTTTACCCCCGTCCCTCTCTCCTTCTTCTTGGAGTGCCCAGTGTCCATTGTTTCCATCTTTATGTCCCTGCATATGCAATGTTCAGCCCCCACTTAAAAGTGAGAACATGCAGTATTTGATTTTCTCTTTCTGTTCACTTAGGATAATGGCCTCCAGCTACATTCATGTTGCTGCAAAGGACATGACTTCGTTCCTTTTTTTTATGACCACATGGTATTCCATGGAATATATGAACCACATTTTCTTTATCCAATCCAGCGTTCATGGACACCTAGGTTGATTCTATGTCTTTGCTATTGTGAATAGTGCTGCATTTCACTTTCTTATCACTAGTATGTTCACTGGAGTAGCCCTTTTAATTTCCTTCAAGAATTTTTCCTTTGCATTCACAACTTGGCTGTTTGATGCAAGAGGCCTGGCTTTTGACCTGTCTCAGCTTTTGACAGGCCTTCCTCACTAAGCTTAATCATTTCTAGCTTTTGACTTAAAATGGGAGAGGTACAGCTCTTCCTTTCACTTGAACACTTGGATTATTAATTGCCCTAACACCTAGGGTTACTAATTGACCTAATTTCAATATTTTTGTGTCTCAGGGAATAAGGGAACCCGAGGAGAAGGAGAGAGATGAGGGACCAGCTCCTCGGTGGAGGACGCAGAATACACACATTTATTGATGAGGTTTGCCATCTTTTATGGGCACAGTTTGTGGCACCACAAAACAATTACAATGGTGACTTTGAAGATTATTGATCACAGATCACCATAACAGATATAATGATGAAAAGGTTTGAAATATTGTGAAAATTATCAGAATATAACAACAAGACACAAAGTGGGCACATGCTGTTGGAAAAATGATGCTGATAGACTCGCTTGACACGGGGTTGCCAGAAACCTTTAATTTTTTTTTTTAAATGCAATATTTGTGAAGCACACTAAAATTAGGTGTGCCTGGGTATTATTTAGCTCTGCCTGAGTTTTGAACTTTATATAATGGAGTCATACTGTATATTTTCTTCTGTGCCTTGCTTCTTTTGCTCAAGAATATATTTGTTGGATTCATCTATTTTTAATGTGAGTGTTTGTGGTTCATTCATTCTCACTTCTAAATAATACTCCAGTGTATGAATATGCTGCAATTTATTTGCCCAGCCTACTGCTGGTGGAAATTTGGGGTTTGAGCTATTATGAATATTGCTGTGAATATGGATTTATGAAACTCAAGGTTTGCTACTCCAAGTGTAGCCCTCAGAACAGTGGCAGATTTTCAGGGTCCTATCCCAGATCTACTGAATTAGAATTTGCATATTAGCAAAATTGTATGCATGCTAGAGTTTGATAAGCACTGCTCTATGTACCTAGGTTTACACTGAGAAGTAGAGTTGTTGATCCTAAGGTAACCATGCATTAAATCTTACAATGAACAGGCAAACTGTTTTCCAAAATGGTTATGCCCATTCCCACTCTACCCTAGTGAAGGACCAGAGTTTCTGTTGGCCCACATTTCATCATCTCTTGGTATTGACAAACTTTTACATTTTACCAACCTGGTAAGTATGAGATGGTATCTCTGTAGGATTTTGCTTTTCATTTTCCTTATTACAGACATGTCCCAAAGGATACCACTGTGATCTAAGCAGGCCACGCTTGGAGTAGCAGCCGGGAGCCACAGCTTTTCATATGGTGAAGGGCCATTTTGCTTTCTTTTCTAGCAAATGCCTATTTATGTTTTTGCTCATTTTTCTGTTGGGTTTATTTCTAATGGGTTCATGAATTTTTTTTTTTTTTTTTTTTTTTTGAGACAGGGTCTCACTATGTCATCTAGGCTGGAGTACAGTGACGTGATCACTGCTCACTGCAGCCTTGACATCCTGGGGCCAAGCAATCCTCCCTCCTCAGCCTCCTGAGTAGCTGGGACTACAGGCATGTGCCACAAAGCCCGGCTAATTTTTTTATTTTTTGTAAAACAGGGTCTCACTATGTTTCCCAGACTGGTCTCGAACTACTGGGCTCAAGCAATCCTCCCACCTTAGCCTCCTGAAGTGCTGGGATTACAGGTATGAGCCACTCCACCCAGCCCATAAAAGATTTTTTGTTCATGACTTTTACATATTTGTTCATGTGGCAGAAACCACACAATGTGCTTAGCCCACCATTTCCTTGTCCTGGACATAAAGAAGAGCAAATCTGCCAGCCTCCTTTGCAGTTAGATTGGGACCATGTGACTGAGTTCCTACTAAGGGAATGATAATTGGATTAGTTTGCCAGGGCTTCCCTAACAAAATACCACAGACAGAATAGCTTAAACAATAGGTGTTAATTTTCTCACAGTTCTGGAAGCTGGAAGTCCAGGATCAGAGGGTCAGCAGATTTGGTTTCTTCTGAGGCTCCTCTCCTTGGCTGTCAGATGACCGACCTCTTGCTGTGTCTTCATATGGTCTTTCCTCTATGCATGAACAGCTGTGTCCTAATCTCTTCTTATAAGGACACCCGCCATATCGGATTAGCACCCACCCCTATGAACTTATTTTAATTACCACTTCTTTATGTCCAGGAAAAGGAAGTGGTGGGCTAAGCACATTGTGCGGTTTCTGCCACATGAACAGAGATGTAAAAGTCACAAATAAAAAATATTTTATGGGCTGGGTGGGGTGGCTCGTGCTTGTAATCCCAGCACTTCAGGAGGCTGAGGTGGGAGGACTGCTTGAGCCCAGTAGTTTGACACCAGTCTGGGAAACATAGTGAGACCCTGTTAAAAGTGGTAATTAAATAATTTAAAACATCATGAGACCCTATCTCCAAATTCAGTCACATTCTGAGGTACTCGGGGTTAGGACTTCAATAATTGAATTTTGGAGGACACAAGTCAATCCTCAACAATGGTGTAGTCACTTCTCTGCATGGACCTTAAAATCATCCCACGATTTTCCAGCCTGCACTTCCCCTTTTGTGGAAACTTTGGAAGCCGCATGTTCTAGGCGGTATAGCCATAAAAGAGAAGCAGCCTGGGTTCCTGTGTTACTGCCTGGAGCGGAGCTGCCTGTCCTGCAACAGGCTGTGACATGGAAGAGAACCAGACCTCCATAGTGCAAGACCACTGACATTTTGAAATTTGTTACTGCAAAATGATCAATTCTATCCTTACTAAGCAGTTTTTGCATGAGATTAGACTGATTTTTCTTGCCCATATCATCCTTGTCAAGTTTTGGAATTAAGATTTTGCTAATCTTTTAAACTGATGGGGGCAGGTTTCTTCTTTTTCTATGACCTGGAAAAGTAGTTCCTAAAACATTTTGTAGAAATTGCTGATAAATCATTTGGACCTAGTTTTTTTTTTTTTCTGGAAGATTTTTATCTAATAATTCAATTTCTTTAAAGGTCATTAGACTCTCCAGGTTTTCTACTGCTTCTTTGATAAATTGTATTTTTCTAGAATTTATCCACTTTTATCTAAGTTTTAAAATTTATCATAAAGTTTTTCTTAACCTCGTCTCATCTGTTTAATAATTGCAGCTTTTGCAGTAATAAGCCCTTTTTAATTCTTAATATTGTTCCTAATATTGTTTATTTTTTCATTCTTTCTCTCTCCACTCCCCATCCTGTTTATTTTCTTCTGAGTAATCTTGCTAGCTAAGGAATGGTCATTTTAAAAGCTTTTTTTTTTTTTTTCCAAAGAACCAATTTTTGGTTTTGACATTTCTTTTTATTGAACTTTATTTTTGCCTTTAGTTTTGTTCTTAGCTTGAATATTTTCTTCTTTCTGTTTTTATTGGGTTTATTCTGCTATTCTTTTGACTTTTTAAATGGAATGCTCAAGTCACTAATTTTGAGCCTTTAGTTCTAATATAAGCAGCTAAAGTTATATATTTTCCTCTAAATACTGCTTTAGCTGCACCCCCAAAATTTTTATATGAAATAATTTTATAATTCAGTTATTCATATTTCTATTTTCAAATTTTCATTATAACTCCTTTTTAAAGCCATCAGTACTTAGATATTGTAAACTTTCCAGACATAGATTTTTAATGGGTATATTTTTATTATTAAATTTCTTACTTGAGTGCATTAGAGCTAGATAATATGATATAATTGTTGAGGCTAACTCTGTGGTCAAGCACATAGTCAATTTTTGTAACTATTTCATGTATGCTTTGAAACAAATGTATATTCTTCTATTGTTGGGCACAGTATTCTATATATGACCATAAGAGCTTTCTGATTTGTACTGTCCACATTTTTAATATTCTTAGTAATTTTTTTGTCTGCTTGATCAATCACTGAGATGGATGAATTAAAAATCTCTATGTTGGCTTGGTGCTGTGGCTCATGCCTGTAATCCTTGCACTTTGGGAGGCCGAGGTGGGCAGATCACCTGAGGTGGGGAGTTTGAGACCAGCCTGGCCAACATGGTGAAACCATATCTCTACTAAAAATACAAAAAAAAAAAAAAAACTGAGTGTGTGGTGGTGCACACCTGTAATCCCAGCTACTTGGGAGGCTGAGGTGTGAGAATCGCTTGAGCCTGGGAGGCGGAGGTCGCAGTGAGCTGAGATCACGCCATTGTGCTCCAGTCAGGGTGACAGAGTGAGACTTTGTCTGAAAAAACCAAAAATAAAAATAAATAAATAAATAAAAATCTCTCACTTATGATTGTGCTTTTCTATTTCTTCCTGTAGTATTGTCAATTTTTACTTTACATATTTTGCATTTTGGTTCTGGTGCATGAAAGTTTAGAATTATTACATTTTTTTGATTAAACATTTTATCATTATGTAGAAAGTCCCAATGTTTTTAGTAATACTTTTAGTCTAAAAGTCTGTTTTATCTTATATCAATATAACTTCACCAGAATTCTTTTGTTCAGTATTTTCTTGTTAAATCTTCCTCCCTTTTTAAACTTAACTTTTATGTTTGACCTTCAAACTTCATGTTTTTTCTGTCTTGTCTAAGCCACATTTCGCTAGATTAAAGAAAATAGTCTGATAATCTTGGGCTTTTAATTCAAAAATTGAATTCATTCTTATTTATTATGAATACTGCATATAGGTTGAATATCCCCTACCCAAAATACTTGAAGCCAGAAGTGATTTTGGAATATATGCATATACATAATGAAATATATTGAGGATGGGACCCAATTCCAAACATGAAATTCATTTGTTTTATGTACATCTTATACCTATAGCCTGAAGGTAATTTTTTACAGTATTTTAAATAATTTTGTGCATGAAACCAAAGTTTTGACTGCGACTCATTACATGAGGTTGGGTGTAGAGTTTGTGGCATCATATAAGTGTTCAAAAAGTTTTGGATTTTGGAACATCGCAGATTTTGAATTTTCAGATTATAGACACCCAACCTGCATTTAGATTAATTTCTATCCCTTTAATATGCTTTTCATCTGGATTTTTGTATTTCTCTTTCTTTTAGAATGACTTTTTAATTTCTTTTTTTTTAATTATTATTCCATTTTTCCCATCTATTTCGGGATTATGTACTCTATGCCCATCTAATTTCGGAGTTATTCTAGTTATTTTGTATGCATACTTGGTTTAATAAGGCTTAAAGTTAACCAATACCTTTCCATTTCTTCTGAATCACATAAGGCTATTCTGATCGCATCTCCAAAGTTATTTGCTATAATCTTTTCTAACTACTGCTGTAGTTTCACTCCCCTAATTTCAGAATTCCCTGCCATCAGCATTCTAGTTGCTTGAGATTTGGAAGGCATGAAGAAGTTGGCAGTAAACCTTCCTCTGGCAGTGCCAGTGGACGCATCAGCAGTGATGGCAGTTTCCAAGAGCATGCACAGACTTCATGGTCCACTCTGCCTCCAGCTTTGGGGCCTCCCCTGCAGCTTCTTGCTTCTGATTTCTGAGTTTATCACCTGCAACATCTGAGTCTCACTCCTCCAGTGCTTCCAACAATTTTGCAAGCACCTAATTTCCTATGTTAATTCTTTCTTTTTTTTTTTTTGCTTAAAATATTTAGACTTATTTTTGTTTTGCTGACAGACTCTGACTGATTACATGGAATATTGAATGGTAGGTTGGCAGTAATTTTATTTCAGGATATTGAAGCTAAATTATTCTATGGTCTTCTGGCTTCCAATGTTGCTGTGGAAAAGTGAGCCACCAGCCTAATGACTGTTTCTTTGTAAGTTTTCTGTCTTCTCACTCTTGATGCTTTTAGGATAATTTCTTTTGCTTTGGCATTTCGTACATTTTTTCAAGCTAATTGAGGCATAATTTATATACAGTAAACTGTATTCCTTGTAGGTATACAGTTCTATTAATTTTGATAAATCCAGACAGTCATTTAACCATCACCATCAAAACATAGACCATTGCCTCACCCTAAAAAGTTTCCTCATGCTCCTTGATAATCAGTTCCTTCCCCACATCCCTTGCTTCTGGTGACCACTTATCTGTCTCCTATTTCTACATTTTTGCCTTTTCCATAATGTCACATAAATAAGACCATGTGGCATGGAGCTTTTTGATTCTGACTTATTTTACTTAACGTGGTGCTTTTGAGAGTCCATGTTGCTGCATGTATCATTGTTTTTTGTTTTGTTTTAATCAATGTGTAGTATTCCTTTGAATAGGTGAATCGTAATTTGTTTACTTACCAGTTGATGGGCATATTGGTTGTTTCCAGTATGGGACAATTATGAATAAAGTCATTCTAAACATTCATGTAAGGGTTTTGTTTGGATATATGAATTGATTCCTCTTGGGTAAATATGTGTGAGGGAGATTTTCTGGTTATCTCGTGCGTTCGTTCCCAAAAGCTGCCATAACAAATGACCACAAACTTGGTGCTTCAAACGACTGCAGTGTATTCTCTCACAGTTCTGGGAAGCCAGATGTTCAAAATCAAGGCATCAGCTTGGCTGCAGTACCTCAGAGGCTCTAAGAGGAGAATCTGTTCCATGACTCTCTCCCACCTGTGGGTGGCTGTGGTCGAACTTTGATGTTCCTTGACTTGCAGCTGCGTAATTTCAATCTCTGCCTCCATCTCCACATGGCCTTCTCCCTGTGCATCTGTCTCTGTCCCAGACTCCCTCTGCGTGTCTTTCTCCTTTTTTTTTTTTTTTTTTTTGGTGAGACAGGGTCTCACTCTGTTGCTGAGGCTCGAATGTAGTGGTGCAATCACGGCTGACTGCAGCCTTGACCTCCTGGGCTCAAGTGATCCTCCTGCCTTAGCCTCCTGAGTAGCTGGGACCACCATGCCGGGCTAATTTTTGTATTTTTTTGTAGAGATCGGGTCCCACTATGTTGCCCAGGCTAGTCTCAAACTCCTGGGGTCAAGTGATCAGCCCACTTTGTCCTCCCAAAGTGCTGGGATTACAGGCATGAGCCACCACACCCGGGCCCTCTACCTCTCTCTTATGACGATACATGTGATTGAACTTAGGGCCCACTGGGATAATCCAGAATTAACTATTTTCAAGGTCCTTAACTTAATTACATCTCTTGCCATATAAGATCATACTCACCCATTTGCCGTATAAGGTCATATTCACAGGTTCTGGGGATTAGCATGTGGACATATCCTTTTAGGGGGCCATTTTTCAGCCTACCACATACAGTCAGCATATGTTTAACTTTATAAGAAAATGCCAAACTGTTTTCCAAAGTGGCTGTACCATTTTTCATTCCCACTAGCAGTGTATACGGATTCCAGTGGCTCCACATCCCTGCCAGCATTTGGTATTGTCAAAGTTTTATTTTTGTTTTGTTTTTTAGCCATTCTAATAGGTATGCATGGATATCTAATTGGCTTTTAAGTTACATTTCTCTAGTATTAATGATTTTGAGCATATTTTTATGTGCTTATTTGCCATATGTATATAAGTATTAGTCCATTTTCATGCGGCTGATAAAGACATACTTGAGCCTGGGAAGAAAAGAGGTTTTAATGGACTTATAGTTCCACGTGGCTTGGGAAGCCTCACAATCATGGCAGAAGGCAAGGAGGAGCAAGTAACGTCTTACATGGATGGCAGCAGGCAGAGAGAGCTTGTTCAGGGAAACTCCCCTTTTTAAAACCATCAGATCTCATGAGACTTATTCACTAGCACAAGAAAGACCTACCCCCATGATTCAGTTACCTCTCACCAGGTCCCTGTCACAACACAAGGGAATTCAAGATGAGATTTGGGTGAGGACACAGGCAAACCATATCAGTATATCTTTTTTCATGAAATATATGTTCAAATCTTTTAACAAGTTTAAAACGTTTTTAAAATTAGGTTATTTTCTTATAATTGAGTTCTGAGAGATCAAAATGTATTCTGGTTACAGTCTTATCAGACATGTATTTTTCAAATATTTTCTCTTCCTATATGGCTCGTTCCTTTTATGTTTTAAACATGCCTTTCCAAAAGGCAGAATTTTGAGATTTTAATGAAATCTAATTTGTTAATTTTTTTCATTGTGGTTTGTGCTTTTTGTTTTCTTTCCAAAATAAAAACAAGTTTACAAAGATTTTCTCCTATGTGTTCTTCTAGAGGTTTATCATTTTAGAGCTCACATTGTCTATGATCCATTTCAAATTATTTTTTGTATATTGTGTAAGGTATGTGTCAAAGACTTTGTTTTGCACATAGATGTCAAATTATTCTAGTACTATTTGGTGAAAAATAATCCATACTCCATTGAATTACCTCGGCACTTTTGTTGAAAATCAGTTAACCATATTTTTATGGCCCTGTTTCTGGATATGTTTTCATTATTACCACACTGTCTTTATTAGTGTAGATATATAGTATGTTTTGAAATCAAATAATATAAGCCTCCAAATTTGTTCTTTTTCAGAATTGTTTCGGCAATTCTAGTTCCTTTACTTTTCTAAATGAATTTTTTAAATAAGCTTGTTGACTTTTATAAAGAAGTCTGCTGAGTTTTGATTGTAGCAAATTTATAGATCAATTTTGGGGAAATTTACATCTTGACACATCCTATATATCATCATGTATTTATTTAGATCTTTGATTCTCCTATCCGTGCTTTGTAGTTTTCAGCATATAAATCTTATACATGTATTTTATTGGTTTTGGTAATATTGTAAGTGGTACTTTAAAAAACTTTCAAAATTTCATTTTTTTTCTTTTCTCTTTTTTTTCTTTTTCTTTTTATTTTTGAGACAGGGTTACCCACTGTCACCCAGGCTGGACCAACCTTGCATTCCCACGATAAACTCCTAACTTGGTCATGATGTACTGTCATTTCATATACTGCTGAATTTATTTTTTAAATATTTTGTTAAGGATTTTTTGCACCTTTCTTCATTAAGGGTATTGGTCTGTGTTTATAGTTTTCTGTGTATTTTTTTTGTAATGTGTTTGGTTTTAGTATCAGTGTGATACTGTTCTCATCTTAAGTTAGGAGGTGTTCACTTCCTTTCTGTTTTCTGGAAGTGTTGATGTAGTGTTTACATTATTTCTTCATTAAATGTTGGAAAAACTTGCCATGGAGCACATGAAGCCATCTGGGCATACAGTTTTCTTTGTGGGAAGGTTTTTGACTACATACAGTGTGCAGTTTTTAATTATAAATTTAATATCTTTAATATATGTAGGACTATTCAACTTATCTATTGCTTTTTGAATAAGCTTTGATAGTTTCTATATTTGAGGAAAAGTGTCCATTTAATCTAAGTCACTAAATGTATTGGCATATAGTTGTCTATAGTATTTTCTTTATATCCGTTCAGTATTTGTAGGCTCTGGAGTGATAGCTCTCCTCTTTTTTCCCATCATTGGTAATTTCTGTCTTTCCCTTTTGATTTCTTATCAGTCTGACTAGAGGTTTATCAATTTGATTGACCTTTACAGAAAGCCAGTATTTCATTTTGTTAATTTTTATCAATTTTTTCTTTCAATTTTATTGGTTTCTGCTCTTATCTTTATTATTTCTTTCCTTGTGCTTTCTTTGGATTTAAATTGCTCTTCCTTTTATAGGTTTTTAAAGCCAAAACTTAGGTAATTGATCAGAGACACTTATTTTTTTCTAATACAGGTATATAATGTTATAAATTTCCCCAAACACTCTATTAGCTGCATCACACAAATTCTAATATGTTGCCTTTATTTTTACTCAGTTCAAACATATTTTAAAATTTCCCTGTGTCTTCCTCTTCAACTCACTAGAAGTGTATTATTTCATTTCAAATATTTGTTGAGTGCTCATATATCTGTCTCTTAGTGATTTCTAATTGAGTTGTGGTTAGAAAACATACTTTGTATAATTTCGGTGTTTTAAAATGTGTTTTGTGGCAAGAATATGGTCTATTCTATGGAATGATCCACATGCACTTGAAAAGAATGTGTCACGGGCTGTTGTTGATTGGGTTGTTCTATAAAATGTCAGAGTAAATTGGTCGATAATGTCATTCAGGTCTTCTATGTCCTTACTGATTTTCTGTTTACTAATTCAATCAATTAATAAGAGAGGAATGTTGACATTCTAACTCTATTCGTGGATGTATTTACTTATTTTCAGCTCTGACAGTAATTGCTTTATATGTTGTGAAGCACTGCTGTTAGGTGCATATACCTTTAAATTATTTCATTTTGATGAATTGATCCTTAATCATTATGCAATGCCCCTCTTTAATTTCGGTCATATTTCCTGATCTGAAGTCTACCTTTACTACTTTTAATGTAGCTACTCTAGTTATTTCAATTAATATTTGCATGGTTTGCATGAGTGTATCCTTTTCCATCATTTTACTTTTAACCAGTTATGTCTTTATATTAAAATTCTGTTTCTTGGATATAGCACATAGTTGAGTCTTGCTTTTTTATGCAGTCTGACAATCTTTGTCTTTTAATTGGGACATTTTAATTATTTAAATTTAGTGTTATAACTGATATGGTTTTATTTAATTTTCCTATACTGCTAAATATTTTCTATTTAGTCTCATCTCTTCTTTTTTTTCTATTTTTCTGCCTGATTTGTGACTAATTTTTATGATTCAATTTTATCTCCATTATTGGCTTATTATACTTTTTTAAGAAAAGTCTGAGCCAGGTGTGGTGGCTCATGCCTGTAATCCTAGCGCTTTGGGAGACTGAGGGAGGAGGATCACTTAAAGCCAGGAGCTTAGAGACCAGCCTGTGCAACATAGTGAGACCCCATATCAACAAAAAATAAAAATAAATAAAACTATCAGTTGTTGTCCCAGAGTTTTTAACATGTTTAATATATCACAGTCTACCTTCAAATAGTTTTATACTAAGTCACTATATTATATAAGAACTATATACTTTCAATTTCTTCCACCTATGCTTGTGCTATCGATGATACACATTTTATTTTCCACATTATAAACCCCAAAATATCTCCAAAATATAACTTTTTTTTGCTTAACAAGACAACTATTTTTAGAGTAACTAAAAATGAGAAAATAATATTTTTGTATTTACCTTTATTTTTACCATTTTTGAAGGTGTTTTTTTTTGGTATAGTTTCTGTGTGGTATCATATTCTCTGGGCCTCAAGAACTTCCTTTAACAGTACAGACCTGTTAGTAATAAATTCTTTTGGCCTTTGTCTGTAAAAGTCTTCAGTTTTTCTTGATTTTTGAAAATCATTTTCACTGGGACTCCAATTATATATATATTAGGCCATTGTGTATGTCTTTAGCTCATATATATTCTAATCCAGTTCTCTCCCCTTTCCTTTTTCTTTTTCAGTTTGTGTAATTTCTATTGACATATTTTGCTGTCTTGGGTGTACTAATGAGCCCATCAAAGGAAATTTTTTTCTCTGATTTTGTCTTTTTTCTTGTTTCTTGTATTCCCAGTTTACTCTTTCTTACAATTTCTTTCTCTTAGCTGAAATTCTACATCCATTCATGCATGCCGCCCACTTTTTCACTAGCTCCTTTAGCACTTTAATCATAATTATTTTAAAGTACTTGTCTGATAGTTCTAACATGAAGATCATATCTGAGTCTTATTTTTTTGGTTGTTTTATCTCTTTTAAATAATTTGCGTTTTCTTGCCCTTTTTTAATGTCTCATAATTTTTGATTGAATGTCAAATATCACACTAAAACTGGTTAGCAAAAGATAGATCATATGCATGCCTGGAAGTGGGCATGCTTCTTGTTTTGGGTCATTAGGTGGAGGGGTGAGTCATGCTAGCTACAGGTTGAGCTGGATTTGGATTTTGCTGTTGCTATGGTTACCATTATTGGACCGCAGGCTTCCAGGTTTCCGATCAGTGTGCTGCTGTTGCCTATATTTAGGGTCAAGGCTGGCGTGCTGGAGGGTTTTCACAGTGTGAGTGGTCCACCCTCAACTCACCCAGTCTTTCAATGCCTGTGTCACAAAGTAGATCTCTCTCCATGCTTTGTCCTTCCCCAGCAGTAGACTGCTGTTTCTGGGTACTCCCTGATAGGCTTGTGGAGGGGGCAGGAAGGTTCTCTGTTGCCTTGTCCAGCTTTAGTCTCAGGGAGACTCTGTGTACCTGAGCTTTGGGGGTAAAGCCTTTCCAGCACTGTTGCCCCATGTGGTCTCTTCCTTCAGTAGTCAAACTGCTTTGGTGGGTCTTAGACAGGCGTTTCCTGCTCTTCCTCCAGTGGTAAGAGACGTCTACTTAATATCAACATGGGCCCTTGAGCCCAAGACAGTTACCTGCTCATCACCCAGCATTGGAGTTTTTGTTACATCTTTTCATTAACCACGTTGTGTCTTTGCCTGGGTGCAAGAGGCTTTGCTCTCCCTCTTCAAGTGATTTATGGCTTTTGCTTTGTAGGAGAGAAGGGTCTGGACAGGGTGTTGCACCTGCTCTCTCCACCCCTATAGCCACTGATCACTAACTTTGTGCCCAGTGGGCAAAAGGGTTTGCACTTCCTCCTCTAGTGGTTTAAGGCTTTTGCTTCATATGAGAGGAAGCTCTAGGGAAATGGCAGAGTTTTCTGTCTCCTTCACGGTGGCAGCTGATCACCTTCTGCTGGTCTGCGCTGCAAATGGTGGCTCTCTCAGGTGTCCTGCCGGCCCAAATCTTTCTCAGAGCACCCGTCAGAGGCTCGTGGGAAATATCCTGTGAGTAAACAGGAATTCCTGTTTTAGCAGATGCTTGCATCTATTTCAGACTGATACACTAGTGCACACGGGGCCTTCAGCGGTTCTTTAAAATTGTAGCTGACTCTCCTTGCCACTTAGGCTGCAGAACCTCCTCCTCCCTTGTTCTGCCACGAGGGAGGTAGGTCATTCATGCATCTCTTCTCTCCTTGGAGGGCCTTGCTCCTTTGTGGATTCCAGGCTACTTAGTTACCTTGTGACTTCATCTCTCTGATGGGTCCAGGAAGAGTTGGTATTCTGTAATTTATCCAGCTTTTTCTTGATAGGAGGAGAGCAACTTTTTTTTTTTTTTTTTGGCAACTTTCTACAAACTAAGAAGAAGAAGTAGAAAGTAGAAGTGCCAAACATTTTTTCAAGGCACCAATCCTCCCATCCAGGAATAGCATCAGATACCACCAGAGCTTCCTGGATATAAAAATGTGTGTCTTACAAAAATATTTTGAAAGTTCTCAGCTATTATCTTTTTGAATACTATCTTTTTCTCATTTTCTTGTATCATCTCCTTCTGGAATTTTGATTAAACATATGCTAGACCTTCTCATTCTCTTTTTCCTTTTTTTAAATTCTGTCTTCCTGGAGTCCTAACAGGATAATTTCTGGGGACCTTTGACTTTGGGCCACCATATTTCTTAGAATTTTGTAAGTATTCTGTAAGTCATGTGGAAGCAGAGTTTCCCAGAGGGGATTTGCATTGGTTTCTGCCATGGTCTACCAAACTAGGACAACTTGTTTAATTTCCCCCTTGAGGTTTTTTGGACTACAGGTAGCTAAAATGATGACCATAGACCCTTGTGAAGATTGGCTCATGATTACACAGTCTCAAGTAAGTTTGTTTTCCTCCCTCCCCAAATGCCAAGGTTGAACAAGTCAAGCAAGTTTCCCCTTCACCTTTTTCTACGTGGCAGGTGTATTGCCTGCTCATCCTTACCTGATGAATACTCTCTGTGGTCCCAGATTGATGTGTGCTTCTATTAGATTGAGGATATTTCTCTTGTTGCCCTGTTTTAGACAACCATCAAAACAGAAGTCTGAGGCCAGGACAGTGGCCACGTCTGTAATCCTAGCACTTTGAGAGGCTGAGGAGGGTGGATTGCTTGAGCCCAGGAGTTCATGACCAGCCTGGGCAACACAGTGAAACCCATCTCTAAAAAAAAATACAAAATTAGCCAGGCATGGTGGTGTGTACCTGTAATCCTAGCACTTTGGGAGGCCAAGATGGGTGGATTGCTTGAGCCCAGGAGTTCAAGATCAGCCGGGAAAACATAGCAAAACCCTATCTCTACAAAAAATAGAAAAATTAGCTGAGCATAGTGGCAGGCAGTCAGCTTCTGTCCCAGCCACTTAGGAGACTGAGGTGGGAGGATCACTTGAGCCTGGGAGGTGGAGGTTGCAATGAGCCAAAATCACACCACTGAACGCCAGCCTGGGCAATAGAGTGAGACTCTGAAGACAGGAAGGAAGGAAGGAAGGGGAAGGGAGGAAGGAAAGAAAGAAGGAAAGGAAAGGAGAAGAGAAGAGAAAGAGAAAGAAAGAGAAGGAAGGAATGAAAGGGAAGGGAGGAAAGAAAGAGAAAGAAAAGTGAAAGAAAGAAAAAGAAAGAGAAAGGAAAGAAAGAAAAGGAAAGAAAGGAAGGAGAGAGGAAGGAAGGGAGGAAGGAAAGGGAGGAAGGGAAGAAGGAAAGAGGGAGGGAGGGAAGAAAGGGAGAGAGGGAGGGAGGGAGGAATTGAAGCCAAGTTCTCCAAGTTTCAGTAGAAATTCTCAGGGTAAAAGTTGGCTTGGCTACTTTCTGTTCCACTTTGGGGGTTCTGTGGAGCCCTTCCTCATGTGCCACATGGGCATTTCCAAAGTGGTATTTAAAAAAATTTCCCCCAATAATTTTAGTTGTTTCAAAAGGAATGTGAAAGTATCTAACTCACCATACTGCTGGAATGGAAGCCTATGCGTTAGTATTTCCCGGTGTGTGGCGTGACATGTTGGCGTCACACATTAGTCATCTCCCTCATCCCAGTCCTGAGCAAAGGAGCATAGTCACAGAGGAGCAGCTTGATGGGAGGGGTCCACTCTCATCTGTTATGTAAGAGGTGGGGGGTGGGGCAGGACTGTTTATGGGATGAGGGTGTTTCAATCATCAACATTTAATGTTTGCATATTACATGTGACTTTTGATGTGGCATGGAGGAAGGTGGCATGTGTCAGGGGCTATTGAAGACATCTAGAGTGAATGATGACAAGCACAGGACCCAGCACAGAATAACCATTGATTTATTGAGCATCTACTATGCATCAGATATTCTTCTGGCTCCTGAGGATATACTGGGGTTTTGAGACAAACAAGATCCACAGTTGGGGCTAATGGGAGCTTCCACGTCTGTGGCACCTGAATTAGGCAATCCGTTTTGTGAGTATAGTAAGATTGATTCTGTGTTTAATGCTTGCTGCACTCTCCTATGAGGACTGTGCTCTTCCAAGCTTGTCTGATAGCTGGAGATACTGAATCCTGATGGAGATAAGCACACTACCTAGGACTACACAATAATTGCAGAGTGTAGATACCCCAGATGAGTCTTTTCAGTATCAGAAGGTGGGGCACACCCTGGGATGAGGAGTGGGGAGCAATCCAAGTAATTTTCTCTGACAAATAGCATGTCCCTGGCCTGGACCATTTTCTCCTGGGCTGGATGGACTTGCTGCCAGGCATCTTAAAGGTGCTGTTTAGCCTTTGACAGTCTGATGATGCCAACATCAGTGAGAAACGATGGTGCAGAAAACCTAAAACAAAACAGCCACTTTGTTTAGTTGAAGAGGTTTGAATATAGTAACAAATCCTGATTGTTTGCCAAGTTTTTTTTTCACAGATGTTTCATTTTAGAACAGTTTTAGGTTTACAGAATTATCCCAAGGATCGTACAGAGAGTTCCTTTTTCCTCACTCTGCTTCCTCTATTATTTCCCTATTATTAACACCTTAAATGAGTACGGTACATTTGTCACAAATAATGAACCAATATTAATACATTATTATTAACCAAAGTCTATACTTTATTCTGATTTCTGTAGTTTTTTTTTTTTTCTGTTCCAGGATCCCATCCAGGAAACCACATTGCACTTGGTAGTCACGTCTCCCTGGCCTCCTCCTGCCTATGAGTCAGGCTTTTTTGAGGGGGTTTGATGACCTTGACAGTTTTGGGGCATGCTGGTCAGTTATTTTGTAGAACGTTCCTCAGTTGGGGTTTGTCTGATGTTTTTCCTATAATCAGATTGGGTATGTTTTGGAGGGGAAGACCACAGAGGTAAAGTGATCTTCCCCTCCAAAACATATCACCCAAGTTAATCACAGGATCATAATCTTCTTATCACATCCTATCAAGGGTGCATACAGGTAGTCATGCTGGGTTTCTACCCTGGAAAACTTCTCTTTTCTTTCTGCCTTTCCATACTATACTCTTGAAAGAAGATCACTATGCACAGCCCACACTTAAGGAGTGAAGAGCTGTTCTCTACTCCATAAGGGTGGAGTAACAAAGTCAATGATTTGAAATTCTTCAGCATGTGAGATTTGTGTCTTGTATCCACTTATTTATACCCTTCAGACAGACTGGTAGCGAAGCTAACTGTCCCCCATCTCTCTGCCCTCTCCCACCTCCTGGTTACCCTTAGTACCAGTGTTCTTTGTTCTCTGGGGCTGCAGCTGGGCCCAGACAAGCATGGTTGACTCAAGCCCATAGTCACTGTCACTTCTGTGATGACAGCCGTGATATGCCCTCAGATGCTCAGGAAGCCAGATTCTTGTCATCAAATCAGGGGACAACGAGCAGATGAGCTAATGAGTTGGGAAACAAGGCAACATTCCACTGCTGAAGTGAAGTGCCCTGGTGTTGAAATAATGGGCAAATTGAGGTCTGTGGTCCCAACTCCCTTCCCTGGATGGGGCGTCTGATGAACTGGAGGCCCTTTTGTTTGCCCAGCATCCTGATGGGTTGCAAATGTGGGCATAAAAGCTGGAGTGTAGTCAAATTGTTCAACACATAGGAGTTGAGGCAATTGACATTTCCAGAGCAGAGACCACTGGGACAGCTGCTGAGTGGAGAAAGGGGCCTGACACATGGGATTTGGAGAACAGAATGTCCAGTGTGGATGTTTTCGTTCTTGTGTCTTCAAGACAACCCCATTCTCTCCTCTCTAGAGAAGTCCAGGCTGATGATTAAAGTTGTCTGGGGAGCAGGAAAGACTCGAAGATGTGCCAGGTTCTGTGTCCAGGTGGAGGTGCGGAGACAGATAGCACATATGAACACTGGCAGCAGAGAATGCACCAATGGCTGCTATTTGGGCTGTGGGAATGATAATCACCCCTATAGCTGTAGAGTCTTCCACTTTTCTACCCACTGTGACAATGATCTTCCCAGGATTCTAAGTCAACCCGGTGAGGTAAGCAGGGGAGACAGTGCAGATGAGGAGATTGGGGCACAGAGAAGCTGCTGCCTGCCCAGAGTCACTGGTCACTGTTGTCTGGACACCCTATTCACTGCCCCTTTCCTTCTTCTACACCACAACCATCTATCCCCCTTTTTTTGGCCCCTGAGAAAGAGCCCAATTGCTTATTGCGCAGGGAACAGCAACTTTCAAGTTGGAAAATTCTGCTCAAGTCCAGGGCTCTAAAGAACATGCCCAACAAGGCAATCCACTTAAAATGCAAATTCCACTGACATTAATAAGCAATATATATACACATGCATTTACACATGCAAATGAGCAGCACGGAGCGCAGGACTTCCCTCCATTACACTCTGCACGGGATAACTACGTTCAAGACATTTCATCAGAGTGGAGCTGAGAGGCTGTCTCCCACCTCCCCTCCTCAGGCTCGGTCCTTCTGAGGTACACCTGGCTCTGCAGAAGCCAGAGCACCGCCCAAGTTCAAGGCTCCCTCTTAAGCTGGCTGGTGTGGCATAAGTCAGGCCACCTCTCTAAGCCTCAGTTGCTTGTCTTGCTGATCTTTCCCTACCTACCTGCTGAAACCTCTCTCAACCTTCAAGGTCCAGACGGATCTTCCAGAAACTCCTTAGTCATCATTGCAGCCCACACCTGAAGTCAGAACACCTGCTCTCATTCAGCCATCTTGGACTCACTGTTTAGCACTGACCCCATCATTGCCAAAACAGACCCTTCTCTGGAAAACCTCTACGTTCCTAACACCATCAAGCTTTCCCTTCAAAGGGTTTGAGATTCCTGGCAGGCAGAGAATATTTGGGGACTTTGCCTTTGGTATCCGCAGCCTAGGGACAGGGGTGAACAAAATCGATTCTCATAGGAAGGTGAGAGATGCTGATTATACTCAGGTGCACAGATATTCATCTGGAACATCAGGACATGCCCTTGTTTGTCCAACCATTTAAAGTTTCAGTAACACCTATCTCCATTCTCTTACTGTCACGACTTTTGTGGGGTCCTTTTGAATGGAAATCTTTCTAAATTACTCACACATTCGGCTGCCTTCCTAAGAGATGCTTGGCTCCAAGGTGCTTGTGATAAACATCGTTTGTTAGAGGTCTGTGTGACAACGTGGATGCTCTTGGGACCAGCAGGGTTCACAGCTCTCTCAGCCCCTACTCTCAATGATCCCATTTAGTTTTTTAATAAACTTCCCTAGACCTTTTAGGAAGAGGGGATGAGGAAGGCAATAGAATAATTACTACTATCTCATTTGTGAATAAATAAGTGTATGTATAAAAATGGCCAGAATTATACACACCAATATTATAGAAGTTATCTCTTGATGATGGTTCACAAGCTTTTTCTGTATACCAATAATTATTTTTCTTAAGTGGGAGGATCACCTGAGCCCAGGGAGGCTGAGGCTGCAGTGAGCTATGATCACACCACTGCACTTCAACCTTGGTGACAGAGCGAGACCTTGTCTTGAAGATAAATATTTTTCTACCACATGCATTTGAATGTTGGCATGGCATTTCATTATATGGATGTACCATAAGTTGCAGAACTTGTTTCCCAGTTGCTTTTCTCTGCTATAAATAATGCTCTGATAAACCTTGTACACGCATCTCTGTACACATTTAGAATAATTTCTAGATGTGGAACTGCTGGATCAAAGGGCATGCATATGGAAAGCTTTTTATACCTGATTTCAAATCACCCTCTAGCACTCTTGTACTGTTACTTCCACAGGGGTGTTTGCGGTTTCAGCCTCTAACAGCTAATGTCCCACCTCTCTTGCCCCATTGTGAGTCTGGTAGGAGGGTGTGTCCCCTGGCCCTGTGGCACCGTTTTTCTCTCTCCTTTCAGTACCTGCACTTCTATGTGCACAGCCGACTCCCAATAAATATTTGTGGCTTATTGAATGAGAGCTCCATCTCCCCAGCCCCAGCCCACCTCCTGGCACTCCCGGTGCAAGCCTGTCCTCCTCCTCCAACAGAGGCAGATAATAGATGACTACGAGCCCGCCTCAGCCTCGGCCTCCATGTGGTGATGAGGGGCAGGATAAATGCGAAGCGAATGGCAATATTTCCTGAAAGCAGGAAAAGGCAGAATCTATCACTCCACACCAGAGTCCCTGTAGCCTGCGAAGGCGCTGTCAGTGACAGAGTGCTGAGGAGGAGCATGGGGTCCAGGCTGGGGGCTGGGGCTGGGGCCACGGAGGGGGCAGGCAGCAGGACCAGGATGCCAAGGGGCAGGCTCAGTCCCCATCTCTGAGCAGGAAGGAGATTTGCAACCACCTGAGGTAAAACTAAAAATGAGAAGTTTCTGTGCAATCAGTTCCTGGCTCACCACATTCAGAGGCAGGTGTGGGTGGAGGACATGGGAGAAAAAAGGAGGGGAGGCAGACAGCCCTGTTAGATGAAGACCAAGGGCAAATTCACACCTCTGGGGCTTGCTCTGGTGTTTTATTTAACTCCTCCCTCCTCCCTTGCCCACTACCCACCATCCTTTCATCCTCAGGCCCCCCGTCGCCGGGACCCCAGGTGAGATTGGGAGGCTGGCTGGATACTGCTGATCTCCAACTAATCACAGCTGGAGATGGCTTGCCTTCCCGTGGGGGCCATTCCTGCAGCGGAAAGACTGGGCTTCTTTATCCCCAGGCTGCAGTGACCAGCACCGACTCAGAACTTGGACTCTGGCAGCAAGGCTTCCAAAGCTTTGGGGAGGGGACACCTCCAATCCCTTCTGACTGCTGCAGGTCCTGAGCTGGTCTTTGTAGGAGACTGATTGCGTTTGTGGCCTTGCGAATGGCTTCCCTCTATCCAGGCCCTGAAGTCATGACCTCCCACACTCCCCAGGAGGTTGCTTTGGTCCATGGTCGTAACTTTGACTCAAGCACAACTTGAAAAAGTGCTTGTGCATTTCCACCACACACCTATGCTCCCACTATGAGAACATGCCTAGGCGAGCCTGCTAGAGTGATGCGAGAGGCACCTGAAGGGGAGCCAAGGCGTCAAAGCCCAGATCCTGGGCCAGCCCACCATGGGCCAGCTCACGAGCTGATCACAAACGCCTTAGTAATTCCACATGAGATCAGTCGAACCCAGTCCAGTTGTCCTGTAGACGCATGATCAATAATAAATGCTTGTTTTAAGCCACTGAGACTTGGGATGTTTGGCATACAGCAATAGCTAACTGATACATCTCCCTTACTTATACATTAAAAGCCATTCCAGAGATCAGCCTGAAAGCAGTCAGCCTGGGCCCTAGAATCTGTGTAACTAGAGGGGGGCAGGGGTTCACACTATGTCTCTGATGCCCAACTTTCCATTTATGAAATGAGCCTGGAGTTGTCCTATGAAGACCCAGGAAAGTAAAGCAGGAACTGAGAGTTGCTAAAATCCTTTTCAATTCTACCTATTCCCCGTGTTTCAGATTTGATTGGTTTTCATTAAATTGCTCATCATAAAGATAACAAACCAAGTAAGAGTATAGAAAAACATTCCACTTCACTGCACCACTGCCTCCTACCACCTCCCCTGCTTGTCCCCACTCTGATCTCATTCCCTAGAGGTCACCATCATTAACAATTTGCTGTGGAACCTGCCAGATCATTTTCAATGCACACACATACAAACTGTAGATATAGTTATTTATTTTACAAAAATAGAATAATAAAATAGTGTTCGGAGACCTTCCTCTATTACTTAAAGGACCTCTGACAAGTCTCTCTCATTCTTTTTAATAGCTGTATAGTATTCCAGGGTATGTACATGCTATTTATTTATTTATTTTTGAGATAGGGTCTTACTCTGTCATCCAGGCTGGTGTGCAGTAGCATGATCACAGTTCACTGCAGCCTCAACCTCCTGGGTTCAAGCAATCCTCCCACCTCAGCCTTCCAAGTAGCTGAGCCTACAAGTGTGCACCACCACACCTGGCTGATTTTTTTTTTTTTTTTGATAGAGAAGGTCTCACTACATTGTCCAGGCTGATCTCAAACTCCTGGGCTTAAAGTGATCCTCTTGCCTTGGCTTCTCAAAGTGCTGGGATTACAGGTGTGAGCCACCATGCCTGGCCTGGATGTGCTGTACTTTAACTACATCCCTCATAGACACTTAGACTGGCTCGAATTTTGTTAGTATAACTGAAAGGAACTTCTTTGTATGTAACATCTTTGTGCATATATGGTGATACTGATATTTCTGTGGGGTACATGCCTAGCAGTGGAACTGGTCAAGGTTCATGCCCACCCTTCATGTTTAATGCATATTGCCAAACTCGTCTCTGAAAAGAGTGGACAGCCTGAGAATGTCTCTCTCCCCACACCCTCACCAACCCTGGCTGGTATCAATCTTGTAAACTTTTTGCCAATCTGATGGGGAAAGAATAATACCTTGTCTGAAATTATGTTTTATTACAAATGAGATAGAAATAGTTTTAGTTATTTATTGGCAATATGCATGTATTTTTTGGTGAACTGCCTGTTGGTATAATTTGACTGTTTTCTCTGTCAGCTTGTGATTGCTTTCTTATTGAATATGGCACGGCTTTATATATTATGGCTATAAACTCTTTTGTCATATCTATCCCAAATTTTCCTAAATTCATCATGGGTCTAGCTCTTCGACAATCCCATTAAAAACCCAGAACTATGGGTCTTAATTCATTCTCCAGGCATTTACTGTCTCTTTGTTTATTTACTTTATTTTTATTTATTTATTTATTTATTTATTTATTTATTTATTTATTTATTTATTTTGAGATGGAGTCTTGCTATGTTGCCCAGGCTGGAGCGCAATGGTGTGATCTTGGCTCACTGCAACCTCCACCTCCCGGGTTCCAGCGATTCACCCACTCCAGCCTCCCAAATAACTGGGATTACAAGAGACCACCACCACGCCTGGCTAATTTTTGTATTTTTAGTAGGGACGGGGTTATGCCATGTTGGCCAGGCTGGTCTTGAACTCCTGACCTCAGGTGATCTGCCCGCCTCAGCCTCGCAAAGTGCTGGAATTGCAGGCGTGAGCCACCACGCCCAGCATGTCTCTTTGTTGAAACACTGTAGTTGGACGATGGAAACCTTGGAACTATGTGGATAAGGAAGGCATGAGGAACTCACTCTCCCAACTCATTTGCACCCCTACCAGCAGCCCTAGAGGACTTGAATTTCTTTCTGAAATTTGCTCTGGGGCTTTTAGGGTTGGGGGTTATAGCAAACACTTTTCATAACCTCTCTGTCCACCTGTACCTGTAGCCTCAACCTCCTGGGTTCAAGCAATCTTCCCACCTGTACCTGTCTGTGCTGGCAGCCTTCTACCTCAAGCACCTGGGGTTCTCTGATGTTTTGCTTCTGATCATTCCCCAGTGCCTTAAGAGCTTGCACAGCCTGTGCAACCTATGCACTGAGCACCCTAAAGTGCTGGGAATTCAATACTGTGAATTTAATAACCCTCCGCCAAGGCAGGGCAAGTCTGAGGATAAAGGCTTCAGCTCCCCCATCCTTTGGAGGGGGACAGTCTCAAAGCATGTTCTCCATGATTCCTGAGTGGGTCCCCAGCTTCTTGGTATCCCTCTCCAAATAAGCTACCTGCAACCAAGTCCTTGTCCCAGGGTCTCCTTTGGAGAGAACCACACTAAGACAGGAGAGCAAAGCCATCTGTGAATTTCATAGTGCCTTGGTATAAACTCTGATAAAACGGTGATTTTTCCCAAGTCTCAGAGTTGGCACTGGGGTAGGCTTTACTCCTCTACATGAACGAGTCTTCCCCTGCAGACACAAGCAAGCACGCTTTGACCTCCCTTTCTGTTCTCCTGCAACCCACTGAGAAAAAGAGAAGGTTCCTGGGTAAACAGCCAAGGCTACGATTTCCCAAACTCCCAACAGGTCTCAGCACCAGGGAAGAGGGTGTGGCAGCGGGGATGAAGAGCCAGGCCTTGTGCTGACAGAGAGACCCCCAGAAAGCTGGGTCTTTTCTCAGCCAGCCATAGGAGGGACAGCACTTAGGTCAACAGGTGTCCCAGAGACACACAGCCCCCTCCTGTGAAGGCCTAACCTTAACTGGATAGCCAGAAGAGTAGAGGCTGTGGCAGTAGCTACCACATCCCAAGCCTGGGGTCCTCCAAGCAAAATTCATTCACCAGTCCTTCCTAAACAAGATTACTGGGAACCTTTCGCATGAGACAATGCAGAGGACATTCATCCATGAATTCAAACTACTGCATTATAATCAAACAGCAGCACCAGCTGGATCTCCAAGAACCACAGGCCGGAACCACTTCACCGGGAGGTCTGGAGAACAAAGACAGAGTGAAGAGTTACCAAGTGGCACTGGTTTAGGATTCCAAGTCCCGGAAAGGGGCTTCTTCTTGCACGAACTTCATTCCAAGACAAGAAACTTGGGTTACAATGATGTAGGATATCCAGCTTTGGCCAGCGTCTCGCCTGATTCCGTAGGGGTGGTGGCAGTTTCAGGGTCTAAGGTGTTTTTTCCAGGCTGTGTTTGACCGCAGCATCCAGGCTCCCTAAGCTGTAACCAGCCTGTTTTCTTCCCTCTTTATCCGCCTGGCAAGGTTCCTTTCCCTGTCCCCGCCCCCTTCCACTCCTCCCTAGCTTAGGGAACCTAAACTTCCCTTTACTTTATGATGCAGAACAGGCCAATGTTTCTTTGTCTCAATCTTCTCCCATCTAGACGGTACCCAGAGGCCAACAGGCCCATTAAGGTGTTTTCTTAAACAAAAGAACGAGTAAATCTTCCATTGCCTGCGAGTAAAAGGCTCAGAGTATGGCCAGCTTTTAAAATAACGGTTTCTGGTTTTCTCCGCAACAACACCTGTAAAGCACTTACCAGCTGCCTGGCACTGAGCCAGCCCTCGACGCGGGAAGCTCTCGCTAAGAGAAGCAGGTGGGAACTCCGAGGGGAGAGGCCGGCAGGCCGGCCTGGGGATGTGGCGCCCTGGGGTACTGGCCAGACAGGAGGCCTCTGGCACAGCCCCGGAAGACCCAATGGGGGCACACGGGGAATCAGAGGCCCTGGTCCGGTGACAGACACAGAGCCGGGAGGTGGAAAGGAGGCGCCGGATGGATCCTTGGAGTCCAACCCCTCTTTCCTTTTTCTCGGGGGACTCCAGTTGGCTTGTGGGAATCTCCTGGAAGCCTTGCCAGGAAGCCAACTTCTCTGAAGCCAAAGGAAGATCTTAGGAATCACCAGCTCCCCTGCCCAGGCCAAAGCCAGCGGTCTCCGTTGGAACTCGGGTAGGAGGAGGCTCGGGTGACCTTGAGCAGGCCACCTCTCTTCTCCTGATCTCCAGCTGGCCTGGAGCTCCCTGGCTGAGAAACTGACGGTCTGAGAAGGAAGGAAAAGGAAGCAGAGCTGGGATCCACCCTGGAGAGAAGCCGACGAGCCCCCTCAGTCCCTGCAGAACCCAGGCCACCACCGGGCGGCAAGCATCTGCCGCCTAATTGCGGACGGCAGGCGGGACCAGCAGGGCGGAGCGGGGCGGGGAGGGAGGCAGCGAGGGTGGCTGCACGCGGGGCCCAAGAATCTGCCCGCCTCTTTAATGAGGAAGTAATTCAGTTAGCTCGGATTTCCCGGTCAGCAGCTTTTATTAAATGCTGGCGCAGCCACGCCATTAGGGACATGAAGAGAAGCTCGGGAACCAGTGGAGATGGGGGGCGGGGGGAGAGCAAGCGGGAGAGCGAGGTAAGTTGTTAAGCAGGTTAGGAGCGGGGAGAACCGGCGAAATAAAGAAGAGAGAAAGCGCGCCATGGGGCGGCGAGAAGGAAACGAAGCGCAAACAGCCCAGCAAAGGCGGCGAAGGCAGGGCTGCGGGTCCGGGCGCCTCTGTTGTGTCCGCGCAGCGTAATCAGGTGCGAATGCAATCCCGCCTCCCTTGAAAGGCCCTCCTCATTCCCTCCACTCGCTGCAGAACCAAGATGTATACTAGTCACGCTGAAATAAATCATAACGCAGGTAGTCTGAGGTTCGCAGTCTCCCAGCCACGAAGTCAAAGTGATGTGCTTGGCCACAGCACTCAGCGAGGCACTGCTGGGGCCTGCCCCGCTCCTCTGGGCAAGGATGCAAGGTGAGGGATTGCCATAAAACACAAAAACCCAACATGATTGTGCAGTTGTAAGTACTTTTGTTTGTATCAACTCTCAGTGGTCATGTTAAGGCATTATTGTCCCTATATTATAGGTGAGGAAACTGGGTCAGAAGGGTAAATCAGGGTCAGCAACCTATGGTCCATGGGCTAAATGTGGCCCACCTCCTGTTCGTGTCAATAAAGTTTTATTGGCATACAGCAACACCCACTCCTTTATAGATAGTCCATGGCTGTGTTTGAGCTACAAGGGCAGAGTTGAGTAGCTATGACTGAGACTATGTGGTCCATAAAGCCTAAAGGACTTACTGTCCAGCTCTTGGCAGAGTATGTTTGCCGATCCCTGGATTAAACAGCCTGTTCAATTACAGAACCAGAAAGAGACAGACCGGGTGCCCAATCCAGCTTTATTCCTGAAGTTCTGCGACAATGGGGGGCCTTAAAAGGCCCCAAATGGGTCAGGACAAGGAGCACAGTGTACTAGGGGGAGAGAAGAGGTCAACCAGCTGGCCTGGTGCACCTCAATGCTGGATGGTGAGAGGGGAAGGTGCGGAGGACCCAGGCCATGCAGGGTGGTGTACAGGAAGCATAGTTATCTTAACTGTTCAGCAGCAGCCTTACCTGCCAGAACTCAGCCTTTTTTGGCCGGAGAGTGATGGACTAAGATCTCAGCTCTTGCAGCACCCATTCCTGGAGACTGGAGAGGGGCTCCATGAACCTGGAGCCAGCTAGACCAGGCCTGTGGGTGGAGGCTGGCAGGTTTCCCTGTATTCTCGTCCATTCCTCTTTCAGGCCAGCGGGCCTCCTCTGAACTGGACTTTGCTTCAGGCATTCCTTCAGGCTGTGTGATTAATGCTCAGTGGAAGCCTGAGAGGGCAGAGGGTGAGAGGAAGGACAACAGGGACTGCCTGCCTCCCATCCCTGATGGACGGGCAGGGCTCGCGGGCTGTGTTGGCGCTCCTGCTGGTGGTAATCACATCTGAGGAGCTTGGAACCCAGGAAATGCAATGAGCCCATCTGGAAAACTGTGGGCTGAAGCACCTCCCAGGTCGGGGAACAACTGCCCTCCTGAAACATGCAGTCTGGCAAAAGGGATAGGTTAGGGGGAGGAGGAGTCAACTCAAAAAAAAACCTCCAATGTGCTTGGCTATCCTGGCCAGTTAACTCCATACACTATTGCTAATGATGTTAGTGTATACTGTGAATAATCGTAAACTATAAAATTACGTATCATTTCATTCATTCAGGAAGTGCTGTTTGGGCACCTACCACATGCCAGGCACCGTTCTGGTCTTGGAGGACACAGTCGTGAGCAAACAAGTCCCTGACCCTGAAAATTACCTTCCAGAAAGGGAGACCAAACATCCCACTGCATCCAAATAACATATGATCTAATTTCAGGATGCAGAAGTATTAGGAAGAAACCAGGCAGGGAAGGGGCTAGAGCCAAGACCTGAGGAAAGCAAAGGAGTGATCATGCAAAAACATAAGGAAAGGTGTTCCAGGCAGAGGGAACGGTCAATGCGAAGGCCGCGAGTTTGGGAAGAGCTTGGTGTGTCTGAGGAACATGGGAAAAGAGTGGGTCGTCTGGAGGCAGTGGGAGAGGAGGTACAGAAATCAGCAGGGGACAGGTCGCGCAGAGTGTAGAGGCCATGGAAGGTCTTCGGCTATCACTGAGTCAAGAAGAAGCCCTTGGAGAAGGGAAATGGAGCTGGAGCACATAGGCAGTTTTGGAGGAGTTTTTCTATAGAGGAGCAGAAAGATGGGGTACTGGCCAGAGAGGGGAGAGGGCTGGGAAGAGATTGTTTTTCTTATTTTTAAAGAGGGAGCTGGGCGGGGCACGGTGGCTCACTCCTGTAATCCCAGCACTTTGGGAGGCTGAGGCAGGCAGATCACGAGGTCAGGAGTTCAAGACCAGCCTGACCAATATGGTGAAACCCTGTCTCTACTAAAAATACAAAAAAAATTAGCCAGATGTGGTGGTGGGCTCTAAGTAGTCCCAGCTACTCAGGAGACTGAGGCAGGAGAACTGCTTGAACCCAGGAGGCGGAGGTTGCAGTGAGCTAGGATCACACCACTACACTCCAGCCTGGGCAACAGAGCAAGACTCCATCTCAAAAAAAAAAAAAGAGGGAGCTATTAATGCGTGTTTATGGGTTGGTGAAATGGCCCAGGAGAGAGGAAGACAACAATGACGCCAAAGAGAGGGGGACAATTATAGTAGAAAGTTCTGTGTAGACAAGAAAAGCCAGGAACAGCCCACATGCTCCTGCCGTCTGTTCCAGGAACGTATCTACGTTTCCTGCTTGCATCTGTACAACGTCCCCATTTGGAGGGTGACACCACGCACTGAGATTTTTGTGGGATTATTCCCAATGATGCCTTTCTCCTGATGTAATTATGAAGAATTTTTATAAGTGTCCCAGTTTGGACAATAAATTAGGTGGTCGTTCTATCTATGAGGTAGGTAGTTTTTTTATTTTGTTTTGTTTTTTTGTTTGTTTGGAGACAGTCTCTCTCTCTTGTCCAGGCTGGAGTGCAGTGGTGCAATCTCAGCTCACTGCAACATCTGCCTCCCAGCCTTACTTGATCCTCCTGCCTCAGCCTCCTGAGTAGCTAGGACTACAGGTGTGAACCACCACACCTGGCTAATTTTTTGTATTTTTGATAGAGATGGGATTTTACCATTGCCCAGGCTGGTCTTGAACTCCTGAGCTCAAGCAATCCACCTGCCTTGGCCTCTCAAAGTGGTGGGATTACAGGTGTGAGCCACCGCGCCTGGCCTGTAGGTACTATTTTTATCCCCATTTTACAGTTGAGAACACTGAGGCTTAGAGAGGTAAAGTAAGAGGCCCAAAATTGGAGAGCTAGTAAATAAAACAAGGCCTGCAACTCCAAGTCCTTGACCCTGAACCCCCGTGGGTGGAAGTTTGGTTCTGAGCACAACAGCAGACACAAGAAGCAGAAATGAATCCCTGTAGGCACATGAAAGGGTTAGGTAATAGCTGAGCATGGGGAAGGGGCAATAGAATTTCCCCTCAAAATCACACATGGTGGCCGGGTGCGGTGGCTCACACCTGTAATTCAGCACTTTGGGAGGCCGAGACAGGTGTATCACTTGAGGTCAGGAGTTTGAGACCAGCCTGACCAACTTGGTGAAACCCCGTCTCTACTAAAAATACAAAAATTAGCCGGGCGTGATGGCACATGCCCGTAATCCCAGCTACTCTGGAGGCTGAGGCAGGAGAATCGCTTGAATCTGGGAGGCGGAGATTGCAGTGACCCAAGATCGTGCCACTGCACTCCAGCCTGGGCGACAGAGCAAGATTCAGTCTCAAAAAAAAAAAAAAAAAAAAATCACACATGGCATGAGGCCCCTTTGCTTTTTTTCGGCAAGGACCATAGGACAAATAATTTAATTATAAAGAGGTTAATATGGGTTTGGAGCTCTTCCAGAGCTGCCTGATTTTCAACGTTAGCCTGTCCTGTCTGATGCCTGCAGCTGTTACGTCGTACCCAGCTGACTGGTGACCATGTGGCTTGACCATGTTTCCAAATTCTAACTAAGAGAACCAGGAAAGGTTCAAGGCCATGGAAAACTGATCATAGACCCATAAATGCAGCCATGACTCTCCTCCTGCACCCAGAGTAGACATAACCACCCATCATGCCATCTTTCCAGCTTAGCCGGGAATGTGCAGCAGAATCCTTCTTAATGCAGTGTTCCTGTCAATTACTCTCCAAGTCAAGGCTGGTCTTGAAAAGGAACCTCGTAGCCATACTTTATTTAGGCAAAGTTTTTCCTCTAAGTAGGGAGATGGAATAAATAGTCTCTAAAGGTGCAATCCTAACATTTATTTTATGCCCCATATCCACATTTGCTTATACTATCCATTCCAGAGCCAGTGCCCTGTTCTCTGATGAGAGCAGAGAACAGGATTGAGTTAAACATGTTTCTCTCTTCCCTTAAGAAGGCACGTATTTTGCTGTGAGAATCAGCCATCATGACAACCTTCATTTTGATGCCAGACCAGCTATTTTCTTTATCCTGAAATTTTAAAAGTAGACTGTCACCTCTTCCCTCTTTCTTTTTCTCTGTTACCATTTCTACAGCAGTAAATCACAGATCAAGGTCTAGGTACATGGTCAGAAGGCTTCCAGCAAATTAGCGACGCAAACTGTGATATCAGCCAACGACCTTGATTACATTTACTTGTAAAAATCAATGGAAAAAAGTGAAAGAAAAATGCAGCCAATTCTTTTTAAGTGTAAACTATATTTGCTGGATATTGTAGTAATTATTACTCCTGTTTATTGCCTACCTAATAACCATCAGGTATGTAATGTATCATGCTGCTCCAGGTTCTTTAAATACTCCGCATCCATTATTTCATGCCATCTTTACAAAAATTCTTGCAAGATAGTGACTGTCATCTTCGTTGAACAGATGGGGACGTGTCCAAAATCTTACATCTAGTAAGAAGTGAGCCATATGTTTCAATTCTTTCTACTCCTTCAGTGCTTTAGCATTTCCAGAGATGAACAGGGGTCTGGAGTCTGGCAGACCATTCTAGAAATGAATGATCATCTAGCTCGCTGACCAGCCATCAGAGTAGGTCAGGGGAAGTCACACCAGGAGCAAAGACCAAGAAATGGAAACTGCAAATGCTGATGGAGACCAGATGTCAGAGCCATAGATCCAAGGGCAAACTTATGGCTGTTAGGGGAGGGGAGGGAACTAGACCTTTGCATGGTGAAATAGGGATACCAGGGAGGTCTGGAGTAGCCAGCCCACGAGCTTATTGCCGGAGGCTTTAAACACAATGACTCAAGAGGTAACATCTTCATTGACCTTGCTTCTAGATCCTCCTCCAAACCCTGATTAGTTGGAGGGTTAAAACCTCTGCATTTCCATTTTACTGCTAAAAACAGTGAGACCAGGAGAAGTAACTTGATCAAGGTCACACTGCTGAAAAATGACGGAGTTGGACCTACGTGGGCCTGACTCCGACTCCAGCACCCAGAGGGCAGGTTATCTCTGTGGATCGTCAGCGGAAGGTTTGTATCCTGCAGCTACCAACCAGCAGTCCAGCTTGCCTCTGGCTCCAGGGAGCTCCACCTCACCTCTGAAGACAGGGCACAGAGGAGCCTGACAGGTTACTTTTATTATGAAATAATTCTCACCTGTGGAAACAATGAGCCATGTGTATGTAAGTTAGAAAAATTAATACAGTGAGTTCCCGTGAGCCCCACTTATGAAACAGATGATTATAGGAGCTGGGAGGACCCCGGGTATCTGTCTTCCTTTCAGTTCTCCCCTAACAGAGAAGCCCTGTGCTGACTTCTGGGTATAGCATTCACACTCCTCGATATAGTTTTACCATGCACGATTGTGTTCCTAACAACAGGTTGTTTATTTTTGCACATTATTGAGCTCAATATAAATGGAATCATAGCTAACACTTACACAGGCTTACTATGTGTTTATTCAGCTTCATGTGTACTTTATGATAATCATCCCCATTTTTAAGATGAAGACACTGAGGTATGGGAAACGTAACGAACTCTCCCGAGGTCACACCACTGGCAGGGGATAGAAGCAGGATTTGAACCAGCCAAGCAGTCTGGCTCCCAAGCCGGCACTGTCACTGGGATGTGGTGTGGTGTTATCCTGGAGCTATTCCTTGGTGACTTGCTTATGTCTGTTGGTGCCTGTAGCTACCCTTCATTAGTTTTTGTACTGCATAGGGCAAGCTGCTGGGACAGGTTAGTGATGTTCACGCAGATGACTTTCAGGGGCCGGCACTGTGGGATGCCCGTCTGCTGTTTGATTCCCCTTTCCACCCCTCTTTCCTTCTCACTTAGCTGAGCTCTGTTTGAGCAAGTGTGTTCAGTGATGATGACCCCACCCACTCGCCCACAGCCCCAGGGTGTGAATTATGGTGGGTTAAAACCTATTTGATTCAGTTTGCTGGTGTTTGGTTAGGCGTGGACATGGGGTCAAGGGGACAAGAGCTAGATGGCTTTAAGAAAGGGTTTTTTATTTTTATTTTTATTTTTATTTTTATTTTCACCAATAAAAAGGTGCAGGGAGAGAGGACGGTAGTGCAACTCTACAGTGGAGAAATCTGGCAAACCCTATCCTGATCAGTTGGCCAAGGCCAACATCATTAGAAATGTCGTGTGCTATCATGTACCCCCTGATAGAGTGTGATGAGGAGGGACAACTTCCCCTCTGTGGTCCCTTCCCCAACAGCTCATAACCTCAGTTAACGGTGAGAAAAACATCAGACAAAGCCACGTGATAGTACATTCTAGTAAATCCCTAACTGGCACTTCTCAAAAGTGTCAAGATTGTCAGAACCGAGAAAAGACTGAGAAATTATCATAGACCAGAGGAGACTGAGGACACGGGACCACTAACTGCAATGCAGCATCCTGGGTGGGACCCTGGATCAGAAAAAGGGAAGAAAGTGGAAAAATTAGTGAGATCCGAATAAAACCTGCCTTTTAGTTTATAAGAGGGGAAACTAGATGGGGAGTATACAGGAACTCTGTGTGCTATGTTTGCAGCTTTTAATTACATCTAAATGTATTACAAACTAAAAAATGTAACAAAAAGGAATGAGGGGTAAAAGATGCACAGAGAGAAGCGTCCTCCTGTTTGCAAGACCCCACCCTGCATGTGGGAGAGAGCTGCAGCTGCCACCAAGTGACATCACTCACCTGTGAAGGATGGCAGAGTGGATAGAAGAGAGCTGCTAGTAGCTGACAATATCATCAAGCCTCAGATTTATCCAATTTTGCAACCCTATCTGTCCCCAAGCTTTTCTTTATGTAAGATAATAAACCCTTATTGTTAATGTTCTTTTAGGCAGGGTCTTTTTCTTTCTGTTACTTGCAGCCAAAAGCATCCTAATTTGTCCATTCCAAGACTCAGGCTTCTGACATGCCTGGATCAACTGTTACTTGCCTAGGCTGCCCTCTTGCCAGCTCGGGGTTGTGTTGCCTGGGGCAAGGCACCCTCATGGCCATCGTGTGTGTGTGTGTGTGTGTGTGTGTGTGTGTGTGCTCATCTCCAGCTTAATTAATCTTGTGTTGAGTGAGGGTGCTGGAGTGATCCCAGCAGAGCCTGGGAAATGACTATGCTGGAGTGAAACAAAAGGGACCCGCTGGACTGTGACAGCTGATATTAAAATACTACAACTCACTTCATACCCAGAGTCAATGCATTATATTCCTAATAAATAATGGGTTACTGCAGGTTAAGTGTTGCTGCATTCCAATTGTTGATATTTAATTAGCTCTAAAATTAAAGTGTTCTTTTATCACCACACTGCTAGGACTACTTTATTCCTAATTGATTGAGATTAAAGTGTCTCCCAAAGATCCCGGTGTCCCTTTGTCAGCCCAAGTGTGAGAGGATTTAATGAAAACGTTTGACATTTCAAAGTGTCATATAAATATCTTGAAATTAAGCAAAAGACAGGTTTTTTGTTATATTTTACAATCAGGGTGCTGATGGGTGAGGAAACACTTTTTAATAGGGATGAGGTTTTATGAGAGGAATAATAATGGCTGAGAGATTATGCAAGTGGGTCGTGACAAGGTGGTGGAAAAAGTCAGCTTGATGTGAGGTTTTCCTGGGGCCCATCTGATTGCCTGGAGGGTGGGTGGGAGAATGAATTCTAAGAGAAAGAGGACTGGCTTTGGGGCTCAATGTGGGTTTGAACCCAGCTCTGCCACTTACAAGCTGAATGACCTTCAGCAAGTTATTGGTCTGCCTGAATTTCACTTTCTAATCCTCAAATAGGAATAATGACACCTGCTTCTCAGAGTCATGAGAATAGAGGTCATGTTGGCAAAAGAACTGAGCCTGAGCTATAGCAGGTGCATAATAAGTGGTAGCAATTATTGGCCCCCTTAATATAGTTCTGAATGTATATTTCAGGATGACTCAACTGATCATCTATGAGTAGGACAGGGTGAGGCTCTCAGCTGGCCTGGGCTCTTTGAAAGTTAAGCTACTTCTCCATCTGGCTCCAGACCTCTCCACTTTACCGACATCTTTGGCAGGTATTAGGGGTCCCCAGCCAGGCTCAGCAAATGTTCTAGCCAACCCCTTTGCCTGAGACCCCACTTGCCACTCTCTATCTAAACTTCTTGGGTCAGAGCCTACTTGTTTTCCTCTCTGACTTATATCCAGCCACAAATCTCAAACACTAATACCTGTGCCACCCTCCCCTTCGATTGACCTCCTTGCATTAGTTACCCATTGCTGCATAACAAATTGCCATGAAACATAGTAGTTTAAAGCAACACATGTTTATTATCTCACAGTATCTGTGGGTCAAGAAACTAGGTGTGGCTTACCTAGGTCGTCTGTTTCAGAGTCTCTTGCAAACTAAAATCAAGATGTTTCCCAGGGCTGGGGTCTCATCTGATGGCTCCAATGGGGAAAGATCCACATCTAAGCTCACGTGACCTCAGATTGGGAACCAAAACCATAATTAGCCTCAGGAGCACCATGATATAAACATGGAGCTAACAAAGGGAGAACTAAGCCCACAACAGGAGTTCGTGTATTCACCTGCCTCACCTGAATCTCCAACCTCAACCCTGTCTCTCAATTTCAGTTTTTCTTTCAGATTGCTAGTCCTTCGCAAATCTGAATGACCAAATCCTTGTGACAGGGTGTCTTAGCCCGTTTGTGCTACTATAACAAAATATCTGAGACTAGGTAATTTATAAAAAACAGAAATTTATTTCTCACAGTTCTGGAGGATGGGAAGTCCAAGACCAAGGTGCCAGCAGATTCAGTGTCTGGCGAGGGTTTTGTCTCTGCCTCCAAAATGGTGCCTCATTGCTGCATTCTCCTGAGAGGACAAACACTGTGGCCTCACCTTGCAGAAGGGATGAAAAAGAGCAAAAAGGGCCCAGCTATTTCCCCCTAGCCCTTTTAGAAGGTCACTGATCCCATTCATGCAGGTGTCTGCATGCCCCCATAGGGTCTAAAGGCCCCACCTGTTAATACTGTTGCAATGGGGATTACATTTTAACATGAATTTTGGAGGGAACACACACATTCAAACCATAGCACAAGATTATTTAAGACCAGGTGAGTGGTGGAGGCTAATTTCATTCATTTGGAAGGGATCTTAAAGATTTAATTTCACCCCTAATAATTGTTGGAACCACCTCTACAAATGTCTGTGCCACCTCCACTGGTAATTCATTTCACTCAAAGAAGTCTCTGGAAGTTTGAAAGTTTATCTCTTAAGGGTATTGAATCTGCTTCCTTGTTGCTTTCTCCAATGAGCCCCTGGACCATTTTAACTACCTTTGTGATGGTCATAAGTGCCATCTTTTGCCCAATACTCTGCCTCTTCCATACTCCAGGCGTATGGTAGAAGTACACTAACTGGCCCCCTGTGGTTGGATGGAATCATGTGGCCACTTCTGGCCGATGAATTGTGTCATTTTGGGCTGGGGATTTAAGTGCTGATGGTAAGACCCACTATGGCTGTCTTTTGCCTCCATGCGGTGATCAGCAAATTTCCTGGTGGTGGCTGCTCCATCAGCTTAGATTCCAGAGCAAGGATGATGACTATGCAGGGGAAGAGCCCCATGGAAACATAGCGGGAATTAGAAAGGGGCTCTTCACGTTTCTGCAGCTGAGACTTTGGTGTTGTTTGCTACTGGAGCCTAACTCTTCCTATCCTGACTGATACACTCCTCTCCTTATCCCCACTCTTTTTTTTTAATTATTTTATTTTATTTTATTTTATTTTATTTTATTTTTGAGACTGAGTCTTGCTGTATTGCTCAGGTGGACTGCAGCGGTGTGATCTTGGCTCACTGCAAACTCCACCTCCCAGGTTCAAGTGATTCTCTTGCCTCAGCCCCCTGAGTAGCTGGGATTACAGGCACCCACCACCACACCTGGGTAATTTTTGTATTTTTAGTAGAGACCAGGTTTCACCATGTTGGCCAAGCTGGTCTCGAACTCTTGACCTCAGGTGATCCACTCGCCTCAGCCTCCCACAGTGCTGGGATTACAGGCATGAGCCACCACGCTCGGGCCTATTCCCACTCTTTAGTTTAGTAGCTCTGCCATTGAGGGAAAGGGAAGTTAGGTAAATTCTAGGGAAATTGGATGTTTCCTTGCAAGGCTACAGATGTTTGGTCCATCAAGAGTTACCTGACACAGATGCACAGCATGAAGGCTGTGGGAAGCCAGAGGTAACAAGCTGCAAACCTGTATAATCCCATTTCCCACTGAACATGGCATGAAACCTGCCGAGATCCTCACCTCAAAGAACATGACTGCCTGGAGACAGCATGCACACTGCAGATCTGATTCGAGCCCCACACGGGTGTGAGGTCTCAGCTGCTGCACTCTGGCTCTCCTTGAGCATGCCCCGGCTGTTAGGGAGAGAAATTCTGTGCCTGCGCACATCCTGCTGTTCTTTGTCCCCACTGGGTTCAACACATTCATCGAGTGAAAAACAGTCCCTGACTCTGGTGTGAGAGGGCTAATTGGCAAGTTTGTGCATCGAACGTCTGTTCAGCTTTCCTTCTATAACTTCAGTGTTTAGTTGAGAGGGACAAGATAGGATACAGGATGTATTATTTTCTGAGTTGTTGACTGTCTGCTAAAAAATCACTTGGCTTGTGAAGTTCAAACACATTTGTGAAAAATAGCAGATGCCTATGAAATTGGACAATTAGCTTTTGGAAGAGAAAGCTAATCAGAAGCATAGCTCTGACAGCAATTATTTGATCCTGTCATCCTGAGAATCTCTGTGGATGCTCATTAGCCATAACATGCACATTCATTCATATGCACTCATGCACACACCAGGTCTCATGCAGGCAACAGGCCCTTGCAGCTTCCTGCATTTTCTAACATCTCTGTACCATCACCTTGAGGGAATGGGAGAACAAAAACACAAGGCTTCATATCCCAGGAGAGGCCCAGGCGGCAACACTGGCGATACCAATCCTCAGAGGTGTCTGCGTGCCCATAAGCAATTTTACAAAGTAAATGGGGGTCAAACTCTATCAGGGGAAGCGAGTGACAGGCTCTCTGTGGCCCAGGACATAAATTGTGCTCAGACTCCCGCTTCTAGAATGCTTCTTCTCCTCTTATCCTGCCATAGAGTATTTCCATCTTCTCTCTAATACGAACAGCTGGCCTGCAGGCAATCTCGCATGTTGTGTTGACTTTGTAGGTAGCTTGACTGCAGGCTAGGGCAAGCTTCCCAGTGCAAACTGGGAAAATACAAGGTACAGAAGCCCAGGTAGAGGTGCTCAGGCCCTTGCACAGGAGGGATGGAAATCCTTCTGGTTTCCCTCCCCAGCTCCCTCCCCTCCACAACTTACACCACACCCACAGAGGCCTATGTGCTGTAGCAACCACACACCTTGAGATTTGCCAAAGTTGGCCTGGTTCTATGGTGACAGCTACAGGAGGAACCGTTCTGACTCCAGAGCAAACTCTTGCACTGAGCCTGCCCTAGACCACCACACCTCTAACAGACCCTCTTCCTGGACACAGGTAGCTCTGCTACTGGGCTGAAGTCTGGAGTCCTCCAGGCTGGAGGTACCACTCAGCTGTGAGCCCTGGGGGCAGTGAAGCTGTGGCTTGCGCTACGTTGGTGTTTTCTTGCCGAGAACTGTTTTAGGTTATGACTGTCCATAATGGGATTGAATTGTAATGATTTGGTATTGAATTCCCCTTAACATTCAAGGGAAATGGATCCTGACTGTTTGTAAATGTGTTTGCAAATAGTGGAATGATCAGACTAGACCTGTGTGTGCAACTCCTTTCTTGGTATGCCAAAAGCAGGGGTGGTCGGGATGCTGAGCAGAGAGGAGGAGGTGAGCTTTGAGGTTCCAGGACCAGGCCTTGACCTTCCTGGCTGTGGTTAGAGAAGGCTGCTGTCTGCCCCAAGGCCTTCCTTCTACTGGCTTGTGGTAGGGCTGGGTTGTATGGGTGGTGTGTGGTCAATTGCATGTGCTAATGTAAGTAGAAACTTACCATGAAGAAACTTAGCCGTGAAGAATAAATACCATCAACACTTATATGATATAATGGACAGGATGAATGTTACAAATATTATCACTGCTCTAAGCATTGTACATGTAGGATCTAATCTAATCCTCATGACAGTCCTAAGAGGTAGGTAATATTCCTATGTCCTTGATGAGAGAGCTGATGCTAAGTAACTTGCCTAAGGTCACACAGGCACAAAGTAGAGGCCCTGAGATTTGAATCCAGGCCATATGGCTCTGGCGTCTATGGCTTGACTGTCTTACTGTGCTGCTAACAGCAGAGTCAGGTATGATCTGGTGTTGATGAGCGCTTGGGAGAGCATGTTAGTTATCTACCGCGTTTAACAAATCACCCCAAATCACTCCAAAACTTCACAGCTTAAGGCGATCACATTTGTGATCTCAGTCTTTGTGGGTGGGGCCTCTGGGTGTGGCCTGGCTGGGCCCTCTGCTTTGGACTGTCTCTCAGGCTGCAATCGAGGTGTTAGCCAGGGCTGGAGAGTGGGCACTGTGCCATTTGTGAAGGCTTGACTGGAAAAGGCTTCACTTCCAAGTTCACTTTTGTGGCTGTTGGCAAAATTCAGTTCCTTGACAGTTGTTGGGCTCAGGGCTTTCGTTCCCAGCTGGCTGTAGGCTGGAGGCTTCTCTCAGTTCCTTGTCGCACCAAAGAAGCCAGCAAGAGAGAAAGTCCACTAGCAAGAGAGAAGTTACAATCTTTTAAAACTTATCTCAGAAGTGACAATCATTATTTTTGCCATATTCCTGTGATTAGAACAAGTCACCAGGCAAGACCATGTTCAAGGAGAGGAGATTACACAAGAATGTGAATACCAGGAAGTAAGGATCATCTTAGACCACCTTAGAGTCAGCCTGCCACAGAGAAGAGGGTAGCCAGCTCCAGTGCCTATGACCCAAATCTAAGATTAGGTGAACATTCTGCAAAGCTTAGAGGCATGGGTTTCCTACCTATGGGCAGGGCAGCTCACTTCTACTCCAAAGAAGCTTATTGAGAGGATGACCTCCTGATAGTTTTATCTCCTATCCTTTTGTGTAGATATCAGAATGAGTAGATAGAATCTTGTTTCTGAAAATGATGCTAAGATCTGCTACACAACCATCATTTTAAAACAATTTTCCACCATGTTCCTAACCTTCCTTCCACCTCTCCTTGTTGAGGGGTTGATCCGTTTGTTGATGCAGATATTTGCTGCTATGCAATCGGCACAGCACCTGCTAGTAAAGACCTACAGATAAAACACACAGTTCCTGGATTTAAAAGAGCTCAAGTGACATTTATTATGTTAGCCATATTCCTTTGGTTAGAACAAGTTGCCAGTCTGGCCCACATTCAAAGAGAGAAGATGACACAAACGTGAGTGCCACGAGGTGGGGATCAGCTTAGACCATCTTAGAGTCCACCTGCCACAGAGAAGAGGTATCTAAGCAGAAGATCCTCTGCAAATGCGACATAGCTCTAGGAAGAGAAGGCTCAGACTCCTTTCCATTATAACCCAGATGCCATGTGTTACAGCAGAGATTATAACAGCATGCCATGGGTAAGCTCAGGTAGGCTTGGAAACTCGGGGCCTATGGAATTTTCCCCAGGGGAGGTGATAAGATTAGCTGCATCCGGAAGGACAATGAGGAATCAGGGAGGTGGTGGATGAAGGAATCCCCAGACAACACACACAACTTCTAGAAGAGTCCAGAGGCTTGAGGGAGCTCAGCACTTTCTGGGAACTAGAAGACACCTGGTGGGGCTAAACTCAATGAGGTGGTATGAGGAAGCTGCAGGTGGTTGAGAACATGTCCCAGCCCTACTGGCTGCATTTGGAAGGTCTTTGTGTCAAGAGGAACCTTCATTATCAATACATACTTCATGAGCACTTACTGCATACCACTTGTGGTTCTATGCACTAAGAAGATAGTGGTAAATAACACTGAAAAGGTCGTGGGTTCCCAAGACCACTTCCCTTCTGACACCAATGGAAAAGTTTGGGGGTTATCCAAGACCAGCCTCAGGTTCAATGATTCACTGGAAGGACTCAGAACTCAGCAAAGGCATTATACTTATGGTTGTGATTTATTACGGTGAAAGGATACAGATGGAAATCAGTCAAGGGAAGCGGTACATGGGGCAGGGTCCAGGAGAGACCAGGCATGAACTTCTGTTGTCCTTTCCCAGTGGAACTTTGGACAGCACCTGTTTCTTCCAGCAATGATGTGCGATAACACACACAGAGTCTGGCCAACCAGAGATGCTCACCCAAATCTTGGTGTCCAGAGATTCTATTGGGGCTCAGTCACATAGACACGATTGACTGCCTGCCAGGTTGACCTTAGTCTCTAGGCCTTCCAGAAGTCAAGCTTATACCAAGTGGTCCAAGACCACCCCCCCAACCTACCACAAATCATATTGTTAGCATAGAAAATTTAGGGTGGCCCAAGACCCCAGGTAAACAAAGATGCTCTTATCAAACAGGGCATTCCAAGGACATAGAGGTTCCCTCCCAGGAGCCAGGGCCAAAGACCCAAACCTTTCTTTGGGTAAAGTTGATCCTTTACTGCACAAATACAGACTTGGTTCCTGACTTCAAAGAATATGCTTCCTAGTGGGGAAGACAGATCACACCCCTCCCCCACACACAACCACCGCCACCACCATTACTACCGCCACCAACACTCAACCAACAATATAACTACAAATGGTTATGAATGCTGTGAAATAAAGAGTCAGAGGTATAGCAGGACACTGACCTAGAAGCGCAGAGAGAGACTTCATTGATAGGGTAGGGAAGGAAGACATCTCTGAAGAGGGGACTTTGGAGTTAAGACCTGAAGAATGACAATGAACCATCATGCATGACAAGAGCTGGAGTTAAATCATTCCAGGCAGGTAGAATGGCAAGTACATAGTAAAAAGGAGAAAGGGTCTTGGTGTGTTCAAGGAGCAGAAAGGAAACAGGTATGAATGGAAATAGTGAGCCAGAGGGAGGGGTCATGTAATGGAGCTGGACAGACACATCATGCATAGCTTTGTAGGTCACTTTAGGGAATTTGAAATTTATTCCAAGAGCAATGGATATCCAGCCAGCTGATTGCATTTCATTCTAACTCTACGGAAAAGGATGATGAGTGTGAAGCACACAGAGCGTCTAAAAGCCAACCTATACAAAGCCAGTTATCATGCAGTGGTGCACCCCGGGGACAGGGCCTCTTAGAGAAAAGGCATCAGAAGGCGCTCTGGGGTCAAAGGGATAGCTGAGGAACAGAGAGACTGTCACAAAGGCAAGAAAAAGAATCTAAGACTCTCTTCTCTTTGCAGACCTGGAGAGCACTCTGGGTGTTATGTAGGTCTTAAGGGGGACCTGCTGACAGCTGCTGTGTGGCCTGAGATGGAGCATGGAGGAGCAGAATGGGCGTGAATCTCCCAGGACCTTCCCTTAGCCTCAGGAATGTCAACAGCTCCGTATAAGGTTGGAAGCCTGCAGTGAAAATCAGCATGTGTGTGCGTGTGTGTGTGTATGTGTGTGTGCGTGTTTCTAATTTTGTGGCCTCATTGACTCAATTTTTTAAGGTGAATCTTAAAAAGTCTTAAACGAATGGAGGCTGTGATTGCAAAAGCTGCAAGTGGATGAGGAGCAAGTGGCTTCATGTGGTAGAGTGTGCAAGGAAACACCTTCATGTTCCCATGCAGGAGAGGAGAAGAGAATGTGGGTGCTCGAGAGGCGCACAGAGGGCCCAAAGTGGCCATAGAGCCCTCTCCAGGGCACAGAAGAGCAGGGAGGAGCCTTCCTTTGGGAGCCTCTGCACCTGTCATTCCCCATGAATGTGCCAGAGGAGGAAGGGACCAGAGTGGCCTGAGCTTTGTTCACTTGTCTCAGTGGCTTCCCCTCCTCTCTCAGGAATTAGTGAAGACTGCATAGCAGCAGTGGGGTCGGGGGGGAGGGTGGAGGTGACCCTCACACCTCACAGAAACTGCCACCGACCCAAAGAAACTGCCACTGGCCCAGGGTAACCCTCATACCTCAGAAAAACTGCCACTTGCCTAGAGAAACTACACTGGGCCACTGGCAGTTGCCACTGTAAGACGTGGCATCGTCTTGCCGCCATGATGCCCTGAAAAGCCAGACCCGCACATCTTCAAGTAAAGACCTTGAAGCTTGGGGGAGTTAATCACCCACATCCAAGGCCACATACCCTCTTGTGGGCAGAGACATGATTTAAGATGGGCAGTGGGACTTCAGTGCCACCTGCCCAGCCATTGGGACCTCTGTCCTCCTGGTGGCTGTTATGTTCAGTCTCCACTGTAGCTGGATCTTGGGGGAAGATATTCTAGTTCCTTTGAAGGGGCAAGGACGGATCTGTGGCTGGTCACAAAGGGAGAGAAGAATAAAGCAGAGGAAGGTGTCTAGAGCGTGTCAGTGGAGGTGGGGAACAGAGATCTCAGGCTTCTGCTCAAAGGCCCCTCATTACTGGGTCTTCTCTGACCATTCTATATGGAATAGCAGTGGCCCGGAGCTGCCCAGCCTCTGCCTGACCCTCTAGGCCAGCACCCTGTCCTTCCCACCCTGCTCTGTGTCACAGGAGGCTGACTGAGTGGGCTGCATCGACCAAGCCCCCTTACCCTCTGCCTTCCAGTTGGGTTTGGCCAAACGAAGTCACCCACAGGAGACCAGAAGGCGGGAGGAGAATCAGATTGGGGTACTGACTTCTCAGCTCTCTCATTAGTGGGCCACAGGGTCACTTTCACAGCGACAGCCCACTCTCAGCTCTGGCAGCTCCTCTCTTTCCGTGCTCCTAGGTCTAGAAGTGGCAGCAGGCAGCTTCCCATGATGCTGGGTCCAGGGTGACTGGCCATCCCTGAGTGGGTCCTCTGACTCTGTCCACCTCTTTGTCCCTTTATTAATTGTCCCCATCACACTAGTTGAGGAGGGGTCTGCTTTCTGCCTTGTTACTAATATACTCTCCTCCCCTTAGTCTGTAGCCCCCCTTCCCTGCTTTATTTTGCTTTGAAGCATGGCTCATTACCTTACATTGTATTATCTATTTCCTGGTTTATTTTTATAGTCTGTCTCCCCTACTGAAATGAAATCAGAGTGAGGCAATGCCTCACTGAAATACCCTTGTTGCCCAGGACAAAATGTGCACGTGACGAATGTTTGCTGAATGAACCCCCAAGGGGAGCAATGCACCCCACTTTGCCATCACTCTGCCCTACTAGCCTTTTAGGAGTTTCTTCTGCAGAGAGCTGGGGTTCCTGATGGGGTGAGGCTCTCAGGAGCTCGGGCTTTGGGAGGGTCTCGGAAGATGCCAGAGACAAGGAGGCCGGGAGTTCATGGGGAGGAGGGAGCAAGGCGTTCTGTCGTCTAAGCCACACTCACACCAGGAAATGAAACGCTTTCACCTTTATTAGCACTGATAAGAATAATAGTCCATTCTCCAGGCTTTTAAATCTTACTCTATCATCATTTTCCAAGCAAAACTGCTGAGCATAGTGGGAAAGACAGGCTCGATGTGGTTCAATCATTCTCAGTGGCTGAAGCTTCTGTCTGCACAAGGCCTTAGGGAGCCCGGGGTCTTCCCTCTTCACCTTGGAGGTGCCCTAGAGGAAGGGGAAGATTCTTGAGGACAAGGGCTGAGCCAATGCACTTTGGGCTTGCATCTCTACTCCTAGCCTGACCCAGCACAAAAAAATAGTACCAATGGCAGGACAAAGCATGTAGGTGCAAGACCCAGACTGCCTGGGTTCAAATCCTGACACCACACTTACTAGCTCCGCAACGTTGGGTATGTTATTGACCTCTCTGGGCCTCTCTTTCCTCATTTCTAAAGTGGGAGAGATAAAAATCACAGGTAATCATGGGATCATTGCAAAGAATCAATGAGTTAATATGCATAAAGTACTTAGACAAGCATGCGGCAAATACCAGTTGAGTATCCATTATCCGAAATTCTGGGGACCAGAAGTGTTTCAGCTTTTGAATTTGTTTTGGATTTTGGCTTTTGGAATATTTGGATTATGTTCGGCATCACTAATCTGAAAATCCCAAATCTGAAATGCTCCAATGAGCATTTCCTTTGAGATCACGTTGGTGCTCAAAAAGTTTCGGATTTTGGAGCGTTTCGGATTTTGGAGCATTTCGGATTTTGGAGCATTTCGGAGTTCAGATTTGGGGATTAGGGATGCTCAGCCTATGCGCTGGCTGTTGTTGTTATTAGTTGGGTGCTTGCTCTGTGTCAGGCAGGAACCCGTGGAGGATCGCATCATCCCTGATGAACAGATGAAGACCTTGAAGCTTGGTAGGGTTCATCACCCACATCCAACACCACATACCTTCTTGAGGGCAGAGATGTGATTTAAGATAGGCAGTGGGACTTCAGTGACACCTGCCCAGCCTTTGGGACCTCTGGCCTCCTGGTGGCTGCTATGTTAGTCCCCCAAAGTTAGTCACAGGCTGATGATTTTGCCTGGGGCTTGGGAGGCAGAAGAGTGGGGCTGGAGATGGGGGTGCACAGGGCAGGGGACCCTCCTCCCAGAAACTGCACATCCCAATGTCCCCTGCACTCAGAGTGAACACACAGCCACTTCCCTGGGATTTAGGTTTACTGTCTTGTTGCTTCTGAAATGAAAAAAAAGGGTTAAGTCAGGAAATAGTGAGCAGATTCAAATAAGATGGGGAGGGTGGGGGTGGGAGAGTGAGGAAGGGAGCGGGGGTGTGGGCACCCCCGAGGGTGCGTGAGCACGGACACATGCACTGCTCATGGACACACGTGCTCCTCAGCAGATGGTGCTATTCATATTGATCTACCTGATTTTCAGAAGCAAATTGATCTTGGCTTTTCACAACTTATCTAGGACAGAGAAGTCTCTGGGAAGTCTTTTCACATGGTAGACAGCCTGGGGTGCTCATGCTTTTGACAGCAGAACCATAGACTTCATCTCCCAAGTGCCCAGGCTGGTGGCAGAGCCTCCAGCCTCAGCAGGGTCCCAGGAGAAGGCACAGTGGAGATGGCATGGAAGGGGGGTTCAGCCCTGGCTGGGGAGGGAAAGGAGGTCATCTGGGACAGTCAAGGCTCAGAGATCTGGAGAGGGGTTAGGAAGCAGACACCTCCCATTGAGGAAGTGTGGGAGGAGATCGGGAAGGACAAATGCCCAGGAGAATTCTGCAAAACAGCTTGGCCTCCTCTCTCCAGAAGCCCTGCCCAGGGGGAAGCATCTCCCCCTTTGAGAAGAGCCTGTTGCCAAAAATGCCAAGACCATTTACTTATAGAGCAGGTGACAAAAGCACCTCTCTCCAGCGATTAAACAGGAGGACAGTTATTGGAAAGCAAATATCCTCGTGTTCTCGGGCACAACAACAGTGGCAGCTGCTTTGGCATGGGCACCGCGGACAGGGGTCATGATGGGACCTTTTCAGGCCCCACGGGCAGTTGCCATGGCAGTAAAGGCACTGGTGGGTGGGCTCCAGACCCAGGAGGTGAGGAGCCCGCAGCCTCTGAGACCTCGGGGCAAGATGTGTGTGTTATTGTTCCCTCCGTGCGGAAAGACAAGAGCCATGTCTCTTCATAAAGGGAGGGAGGTGAGAGTTATTACCCATCACACGAACCCTGCATGAAATCTAGCAGCCCGAGGTGGGCATTCACCACTGATAGAAATCTGTCTCCCTGCCAGCTTAAAGTGCTACTTAAAAGGCAAATGTATAATTTACCTGCAATTTGGGAATGTGCTTCTATAGGGTGACAGCTAAGACTCTCCACCTTTGGGGAAAAGGCCCTGGAGGAACCGTCAGAGAGGGGTCATCCTTCTACAATTGACTAGGGAGGATGAGCCACATGGCGGAGGTGGGGGGGTGTGGATGGGGAAAGTTAAAGCAGGTGCTAGTTGTTTCTTTGTTTTTTGTTTTTTGTTTGTGACAGAGTCTTGCTCTGTTGCCCAGGCTGGAGTGCAGTGGCATGATCTCGGCTCACTGCAACATCTGCTTCCCGGGTTCAAGCGATTCTCATGCCTCAGCCTCCTGAGTGGCTGGGACTACAGGGGCACACCCCTACACCCGTCTAATTTTTGTATTCTTAGTAGAGATGGCGTTTCACCATGTTGGCCAGGCTGGTCTCTAACTCCTAACCTCAAGTGATCCTCCCGCCTCAGCCTCCAAATTGCTGGGATTACAGGTAGCAGGTGCTAGTTTGTTAAGAACAGGTGACCAAGGTGTGGATAGGGATCAGCTGCATCTCAGCCAAATGAGCAGCTGGCATGTTTTCAGGGCTAAGCTGTGCTTCCTTGGACTCCGTAGGGAACCCCAAGTCTTCAGGGAGTAGTTGGGCGAGGTGATGGCCTTGCCTCTGAGCAGTTCTTGGGGTGGGACAGATAGAGAAGTGTCCTTGGAGGGAGTGCTGACTGCAGGGGACCTGAAGATGACTGGGGGTGGGCCCTGTTAGGAGCCCCTCAGGCAGAGTCACCACCCCCAACTCCTGTAGCAGATTGAATGGTGTCCCCCTAAGTTCATGACCATCCAGAACCTCAGAATATGACCTTAGTTTAGAAATAAGAGCTCCACAGATATGATTAGTTAGGATGAGGCCAAACAGGGTTAGAGTGAGCCCTAAATCCAATGACCAGTGTCCTTATAAGACAAGGAGAAGAGGCCGGGCATAGTGGCTCACAGGTGTAATCCCAGCACTTTGGCAGGCCGAAGCAGGAGAATCACTTGAGCCCAGGAGTTTAAGAACAGCCTGGGCAACATATCAAGACCCTGTTTTTACAAAACAATTAAAATTTAGCCAGACGTAGTGGTGCACACCTGTAGTCCCAGCTACTAAGTAGGCTGAGGTGCGAGGATCACTTAAGCCCAGGAGGTGGAGGCTGTAGTGAGCTATGATCATGCCACTGCACTCCAACCTGGACCACAGAGCCAGACCCTGTCTCAGAAAAGGAAAAAAGAGACACACAGGGCCACGCACAGAGAGAAGGTCATGCGATGACGGAGGCAGAGATGGGAGTGATGCATCTGCAAGCCGGGAAATAACAAGGATTGCCGGCAACCTCCAAAAGCTAGGAGAGACGCACTAGGAGAGACACACTAGGAGAGAGGTATGGAACGGATTCTCCTTTGGAGCCTCCAGAGGGAACCAATCCTGCTGACACTTTGATTTCGGACTTCTGGCCTCCTGAACTGGGAGAAAACACATTTCTGTTGTTTTCAGCCTCCTGCTTTGGGAGAATTTGTTGTGGCAGCCCTAGGAGTTGGAGGCAGCCTCCACGCCCCCAGGCCCTGCAGGGCTGACCTGCTAATGTGCAGACTTGCTTAGTCCAGGCTACCCTGGAGGCATTCTGGGCACCTGGGCCCAGCCCTGGACGTCATGTTTTGGCTTCTTGCCATGTACAGCCTGCATCCTGTCCTCCCGCAGCTCTGTGGAACAGGCAGGGCTCCTGTCACAAATCCCATTTTGCAGATGGAGAAATCAAGGCCTGTGGGGCTAGGACCTAGATCTGGCTCTCTGTGATGTGCTTGTCAATAAGGAGAACGTGGAATGAGGCAGGTCGCATGGCAATTCTCAGAGTCCCCTGCACAGAGGACCTTGGCAGAGTTTGTCACTCATGTACCTTGGCCGGCACAAGGGCAGGCAGAGGACCTCTGTGTCCTGAGGCTCTCCCCGCTGTCCTCACTGGCCCTGGTCTCTCCCTGCAACCTCAGGGCTGAGGTCCCCTCCCTCCTCCTTGACTGCCACCCTCAGCTTCTCAGAGACAGGAGCCTCTCACCTCTGTCTCTCCCAGACACCAGCCCACCAACTCTTCCAGCCTCCACATGGGGCTTGTGAGCCTGCAGGATAAAGGGAGCCGCTTCCCTACAGGCTCAATGGGACCCCGGGTGGGTCGGTGCTGGTGCAGGCAGCATGGGTGCCCTATAAGCACATCGATAATCATAAAAGGAGGTAAAGTTTATTGTCTTGGCTATTTCAGGTACCAGAGGAAAAAAACAATATGAATTGCAACGATGAAAGATTTACTGCATCTGTCAGCGCAGATAGAGGGGTTGGCTGGAATTATTGCAGCCGGGAAGAATTGTGTTTTAGGATCTGCCCCAGGTATTAATTTGTGGCAGGCTTATCCTGTCAGGAACATACAATGCTCATGGTGTCGAGAAGTAATACTTTAAAGGGCCTTAATGCCAATTGGATGGGAGCTGGGAGTCGGAACCTGGGAGGCAGCTGATCCCCTTAGCGAGGTTTTCCAATAAGTTCCAGATGAAAAGCGTGAGGCTGCTGAGTAATATCATCTTCGGAGACTCTCAAACTAGATCTGTCTCCACTTATTGTGCTGGCTCGTGCATCATTCTCCTCCCTGATGCCCAAGGTGACGTCGTCTCTACTTCCAACCAGGGGCTGGACAGACCGCAGGGCGCCGGGGATCCTGGCCGATGGCCTGGACTCCCGAGTCCCTCGTGCAGGTCATGTGTGGTGGGCTCCGCCGGGTACCTTGAGACTCAGAGTCTTGCAGCCCCCAAAGACTGGCCTGAGGCCCCTGCCGACTCTTCAGGAAAGGGCATTCTGTGACCCTCAGTTCCCACCCTCTGTCATGGGGCCTGGGTGCCTCCTCTCTGTGACCTGGAGACAGGCTGTCCTGGCTCTCTGATTTTGCCAAAGACCCAGTGAACCCAATCCTCCACCTCTTTTTCTCCATCTCGGGGATGTCCAGTCCGACCTGATTTTTGCCAAATGCCACATGCAAAGATGGGGAATGGTTCAGAGAGCATACGGCTTGCACTTCCTCCTTGGAGACCTTTCCGGGTTTGAATATCATCAGGATCCTGAAGGTTTTCACACCTTAGCGGCTTCTGTGCCTTGCTTCCTCTGTATTTACCCACCTCCTTTGGTCCAGGTCTTTCTGGTGCTGGAGTAGATGGTGGGGATTGGAGCCAGTGGGAAGAGAGATGAGGAGACTAGAGTCCCGGAGCTCTCTGGGAGCAGCAGCACCACAACCACCTCCCAACCCCAGCCACAACAGCAAAGGGAGGCAGCCAGAGGCAGAAGAACACAGCTTCAGGAGGGACCACATGGAAAAGGAGCTCACATCTGTGCCAGCTCTGGTGGGCCTTATAAAGGGAAATGGTAAAGGGGCCGCCTCCAGGTTTTTCCATTTGCAAAATGGGATTGTGACACTGGCCCTGCCTGTTCCACAGAGCTGTGGGAGGACAGGATGCCATCAGTGGTTAAAAAAACGAAAAGAAAAGAAAAATCCAGGGCTGGCCCAGGTGTTCAGAATACCTCCAGGGTAGCCTGAGTGTTCTGGTGTCTACACACCCCCTGAAGACCCAGGCGGCACTAGGCTGTGGGCCTCCCTGGCTGAGAGAGGAGAGGCTCCTGGAGCAGCCCCCCTGCGGTGCTGAGCCAGGACAGGGCCTGCTGGGCACGGGGGCGGCTCCAGCCACCGAGATGGGTGGATTGTTCCTGTGGACTCAGGAGTTGCTCTGGAGGTCGGTCTCTCCCTCTGCCCTTCACCCCCGGCCGTCCCTCTCCTCCCCTGGGGCACAGGGGCAGGGGATCTACTGAGAGCAAGGCATTGGGAGGAATTGGGGCAATGTTGCCCATGTGCCAGGCATTTGGAAATGGGGCAGGGGTAAGTTGTCGCAGTGCAGAGGGGGTGCTGCTGGCATTTGGAGCATGGAGACAAAGGATGACCAGGGAGATAAGTCTGTTCTTCCACCTGGAGCCCTGGGAGTGGCTTGTGGGGGTTAATTGGCTCCTGGTCAGTGCCCCAAGGGTTTCCCCAACATAGCCCGGGCAGCTCAGCCTGGGGTCTGAACCCGAACTCACCTGGCATCTTGAGGGGCTTCCTTCCTGTCTGGGGATAGCATCTACTCGGGGACAATGGGCCGGGCTGGAGTGAGGCACACAGGGAGAGTGAGAGTCAGGGTGGGTGTGATGGCCAGAAGATGGCACAGATCCTGCTTGGGATGCATGGTGGACACTCGTGTATTGGAAGCTACATTTGGAGCAAGGCTGGGTCAGCTTCCAGAGCTGGAGTTGGAGCTGGAGGGTCTGGAAGCTGACCCAGCCTTGCTCCAGCTGTAGCCAGGATTCCTCTGTGGATGGGAGGTGAGGAAGGATTGCTTGCCTTCTTTATGAAGTGAGGCCCTCTTTCAAACAGCCACAGACGGGGACTCCAATCTCAGGCAAGCTCACCAGGGCTGAGCAGTTGAATGTGGCTGGTTTCTCACTCTCTCTGGAGCAGTGAGGCCTCCCTCTCCACCAGCAGCTCCATGGCAGGTGTCACCTCTTCTCAGGTGAGTTTTCAAACACCACAGCCCCTTGCTGTTGCCCAGGAAGAAGCAGAAAGAGCTGCAAGGGAGAGGAAGGCAGGCTAGTTCTTCCCTTGACCTTGACCAAGGTCAGAAGAGGCAGTTCTGGCCTGGACATCTGGGAACTGCCAATAAATCTGTCTTCTAGTGGTTTGGAGCCAAACACAGAACAACTGTAAAAGGTGCATGGGGTGCAGATGTCCTCATGGCCAAGAGCAATTTTAAAATGAAAGAACAATTTTCTCACATCGATCAGGTGTATCAAAGGCCTGTTTTTAGCCCTCCCTTCCCCCATTGTCCTTAGACCAAAGGAAAAGGAATCTTTTTCCAGTTCAGGTGCTGGGGCTTCATGGCTGCACCCATGATGCCCTGGGTGTCTACAGAAACCTGATCTCCAATGCACAAGGGAAGCAGCAGGGCAGAGAAGGTTATAATGAAGATACACAAAAGCGTTTCCAGTGCTCATGTTGGAGACGGGCGGGAATGCCCATTTCCTGGAAATGCCCTGGATGGGTTTTGCTGGTTGGATTTGCAGGCTCCGGGCCCAGACCCTCCTAACCTCCCCAGCAGGGTCTGTTAGGCTTTGAGCACTGGTGGTCAGTCACAACGGTGGTCCTTTCTCTGAGTTTGGAGCCAGATGAGAGAGGGACTCTGGCGTCAAACTCCTTTGGAACCAGGAGTTCAAAGATTGCAGCCTTATTACCATAAAAGCTGTATTGGCACAGCTGTGGGGCCACAGGGGGCTGCTGTGTCCTCCCTGCTGAATTGAAAATACTCCCCAGAATGGCAGCCAGCACCTGGCAGGGCAAGATATCTACAAGGATGGAAATCTTTCCGCAGCTCAGAAGGAGTGCAAGAGGCCAGAGGGGCTGAGCCAGGCATGCGTGATTAGGTCACGCTCCCTGATAGCCTGGAGAGAGTGGGGGTAGGAGGGGGTGCTGGGAAGGCCCCTGCTTCATATTTCTCAGCAGGGCAACTCGGGGATTGGGGGGTGGCGACTGGTCACCATGTGGGTCTGTGCAGGGCACTGCACGGGGCTGGTTACGCTTGGCGTCCATGCTCCAAATGCCAGCAGCACCCCCTGGCCATTGCGACAACTGCCCCTGCCCCATTTCCAAATGTCCAGTAGATGGGCAGTATTGCCCCAGTTGACAGCCACTGAGTCATGGAGTTCTAAGAGGAGGGGAATGGCCACTCCCAAGCTGCACCACCGTTTGTGGGTGAGGCACAGGTTGGAAAGTCCTTGGGGTAACTTCCTTGAATGGATAGAGAGGCAGGTCTAGCCCGAGGTTTGGGGTTTAGGAGGGTGGGTCAAGACAGGCTACGATGACAGAGGGGACAGAAGACCAACGAGATGACCATCAGATGAAGGGAGGCGTGCACAGAGGACTTGGAAACCCAGAGTGAGGAGGGGCACAGGATGCGGATGGCACTGGGGAGCCACAGGAGAGGGAAGCAGGGATGCAGCTTTTCTAAGCTGTAGGTGAGACAGAAAGGGTCCTGCCCCCTATAAGAGCCACCTATCCTCCTTGGCTCCCAAACACCTCAAAATGAGATCCTCCCTCTGTGGCATTCTTGGGGGCTCCCTGGACCCCTTAGTCCACTCTGCTGAGGATGACCTTTGATTGCACACAAGGTCACTTCCTCAGCTCACCCTGGGAATTCCCTCTGCTAGGGAGTTGCGTAATTCAGTGCTTTGCACACAGTAGAAACCCAGTAAGTGATTGTTGAAAAAACGAATGAATGAATGAATGAATGAATGAATGAATGAATGAATGTTACAGCTTTTGTTGCTGCTCCACCCTTACTTCCTACCCTCCAGTCCAACTCAGAGTTGTACCTGTTTGCCCCCAAGTCTGCTGGAGAAGCAGGTCCTCTTCTGCTTTGAGCCCAGATCTCTCCAGTTTGGCGTCTGCCTGAAGCAGCTGCCCAGCAGCCACCTTTCCCATTAACCCTCCGGAGCCCTCTGGCCTTCATCCGCCCCTAGGAATGCTAACGGCTTCATCTTTACTTTCTCTTGCCCTTCCTTCTGGCCTTTCTCCTCATCAGATCTGCTCTGCCACAAATTATCCAGCTTCCGCTGACCTCCTTCCTCTCTGAAATCATCATTTCCTAAACAGTTCCTCCTGGATCAGACCACCCTTCCTCCCTGCCCCTTGCCAAACCCCTCAGCTTAGACTCAACCCTTGCACTGCACACATTCATTTCATTAAAGCAATCCCTGTCTCTCTCTGGGAAGTCACCACCATAATCCACCACCACAATTAACTTTTCAGAAGGTTCCCTATTTATATATAAGCACAAATGCCAGTCCTGCCTGGGGAGATTCCTTTAATCCACAATTATTTCAGTGGGGCGAGAGAGGCACAGTGGGATCTAGAGATGAGTTTAGTGTTGTTTGAATGAGATTGCAGAACCTCCTAAGGGGTTCAGCTGTCTGCAAACGACATGAGTTGGATTGAGCTGCCCATGGCTGGGTGTATGCAAGAATCAGGTGGCCTCTGAGAACCCTTATGAGTTAATGGGGGTGCATTGAAAATAAAAATGGCAATGCAGATTGAAAATCTTTGGGACAGAGGGAAAAAGCAAAACCAGCTGCTTCTATGAGATTCAGTTGGTTGAAAGGAGGCTGGGGAGGCTGGGGCCGGAAAGGACCCTGAGAAGGCTTCTGTGCCTTGGAGGCAGGAGCCCAGGTGGGGATGTGGAAAGGGAAGATGATGGCAGGCTTTGGGTCATGCTCAGCAGGAGGGGAAAATGGGGAACCACGACTCTGCTCCATGGCAGGCTATAAACACAGAATTTCTCCCTTGCCCTCCTGTGAACTCAAGGGCAGGGGATGCTGCACATATGATATAGCAAGACCTCAGGGTCAGCCAGACCCCAGGTTGTCACACCCACACTGATATGGCCCACGCACTGACCTTGCTGGGGGCCAGGGTGGAGATGGACACCTGTGTCTGTACAAAGGCGGCTGCTTCTGAGGGAAAGGCCTGCAGGCAGGGACTCCCCAGCCACGCATGAACTTGTTTCTGTCTGCTTCTCCCTAGTGTGACTCAGCAGCTGCTGTGTACTTTTCTTCAAACTCCCCAAGACACAGGAGATCCCCTAGTGCACTGTCTGGCACATAACAGGCACTCAATAATATACTTCTTAAAATAACTGAATTTGAGTAGATTGCTGAGGCCCTGCTTAGGCGCAGATTACTGGGGCAAAGATGGCCCCAGTAATATCTCCTCTTCCAGATCTGTATTAGGCCATTCTCACGCTGCTAATAAAAACACACACGAGACTGGGTCATTTATAAAGAAAAAGAGGTTTAATGGACTTACAGTTCCACATGGCGGGGGAGGCCTCACAATAACAGCGGAGGGCGAAGGAGGAGGAAAGTCACGTCTTACATGGCGGCAGACAAGAGAGCATGTGCAGGGGAACTGCCCTTTATAAAACCATCAGCTCCTGTGAGACTTACTGTCACAAGAAAAGCACAGGAAAAACCCGCCCCACGATTCAATGACCATGTGTGGTGGGGTCCTTCTCATGACACGTGGGGATTATGGGAGCTACAATTCAAGAAGAGATTTGGGTGGGGACACAGCCAAACCATATCAATGTCCATCTGACCTTGACATTATTCTCCCTCAGTCCTGGAAGGACCTCTGTGATTGCCTTGACCAATAGAATATATAGAGGTGACATGAAGTGACTTCTAAGGCGAGATTATAAAAAGGCCATGCAATCCCGCCTAGCTCTCCTGGAGACTCTCATTCTTGGAACCCAGCAGCCATGATGGTGGGAAGCCCAAACTAGCCCACTTAGATACCATGGAGGTGTTCTGGTTGGAAGTCCAGCTGAGTTCCCAGCCAGTAACAGGCATCAACAACCTGACTTGTGAGTGAAGATGCCTCCAGATGATTTCAGCCTCAAACTGTTGAGTTGTTCCTAGCTTCTTGACTTCCCAGCCAAGGTCCCAGACATCAGAGAATAGAGATAAGTTCCCACTGTTGCCTGTTCAAATTCCTGACCCACAGAAATCATGAGAGATAATAAAGTGATTATTGTGTTAATCCGCTAAGTTTTGGGATGACTTGTTACCCAGTAATAGACAACTGATACAGTCAGTATCCACATGGAACACCCTGGCTGGCCTCCCTTGTGTCTGGCTTACCCATAACTGCTTTTGGCTGGAGTGCAGTCTCCCTGGCCCAGCGTGGTTGCCAAGGTAACCAGGTCCCCTGGCACAAGAGGTGGGAGCAGACTTTTCAAGGAAGCGCCTGGGGCTGCTTTCCTTAGAAGAGAATACTTGCATTTTCAAGGCCTGGCCAGTGCAGAAGAATCTAAAGCTCTTCCTTCTAGTTCTTACTCTGACACCAGTTCTCTCAGGACTTTAGACACAGCCTCATCTGTCTGCAGCTTTCAATTTCCCCCTCTACATAAGGAGCAGGTTGGATAAGGTGAACTTAGGCCCCTCTCAGCTCCAGGCTTCTATCAGTGGTTTCTTTTCTTTTCTTTTCTTTTCTTTTCTTTTCTTTTCTTTTCTTTTCTTTTCTTTTCTTATTTCTTTTTCTTTTTCTTTTTCTTTTTTTTTTTTTTTTTTTTTGAGACAGGGCCTCACTCTGTCACTTAGGCTGGAGTGCAGTGGTGTGATCGCAGCTCACTGATGCCTTGATCTCCTGGGCTCAAGCCATTCTCTCACTTCTCAGCCTCTCGAGTAGCTGGGACTACAGGCATGCGCCACCACACCCGGCTAATTTTTATATTTTTTGTAGAAATGAGATCTCACTATGTTGCCCTAGTTGGTCTTGAACTTCTGGGTTCAAGTGATCTGTCTGCCTCAGCCTGGGATTACAGGCGTGAGCCACTGAGCTCGGCCCCTATCACTTGACACCTTGACCTGGCTTTGCATGGGGGCTCTGCATCTGATCTTGGGGGTTTCACTACCCAGTGCAAAGAGGAGGGAGAGGCCTGAGACTCCATGGAGGAAGTTGGTGGGGGGGGGGGGTCTCTCCTTCCTTCAGCAATTTATTGAACATTAACAATGTGCTAGGCCTTGGTTGTAAGTAATAACGCTCTGAACACGTTGGCTTTCTTTATTATTTTCTTGTCCCCACAGAGGGTCATTTGCACATGATTAATCTAAATCATTATTTAGATTCTGTCTAATCACTTTTTTAGACCAGCATTGATAACCACAGCTGTCTGTAATCTATCTGAGAGGTGATCATTTTCCATGAAAGGGGCTGGCTCATTGGTTTATCCTCCTAAGGGGAGGGGTGATTCCCAAAATCAGGAGACTTGTGTTGACCATTGCCTCAGTTTCCTCACCTGTGAAGTTTCCCACCAGGGGACCCCAAGGGCATAGAAACTGGTCTCCCACTCATTTCCTAGTCATGTGACTTAGAATGTCTCATCTTCTCTGAGCTTCAGTTTCTTGGAAAATATTGTCCCCTCTGCCTGAAAACACTCTGCCTTTGTACCTCACTCCTCCCTCAATCCCAGCCTGTCGGCTTCTATGCATCCCTCAAGCCTTGGCTTCCATAGCACTTCCTCCAGGAAGCCCGCCCTCAACCCTTCCTTGCTGCTGCAGGCTCAGGTGCAGCAGGGACGCTGCACCAATGGATGTGTCTCCATTCCCTGCCAGAATAGAGCTGCTTTCAATAGCAGCCACCAAATCTGTTGTGCCCCCTGATCTGTTCCCAGGTCCTCACACAGCCTCAGGCTTGTAGTAGATGCTCAATAAATAGTTGCTGAACAAATGATTGATAGAGAGAATGCCAATGCCTCTGCTTCCTAGGATCTGGTGGCATAATGGATGTGCGAGCCGTCCTGCAGAGTGGGACCCAGGTGAGGCATCATTAGTATCAATAATGATGATAAGCAGCCGATGCTTATCATCAGCTGCTCCTCGGCTGAAGGACACACCCGCATCCAAAGGAATTCCAGCTCCTATCCAGATCTGCACACCGAGAATGCCTTGAATGAAAATGCCATTCCCTCATAGGCACAGCCAGGCTTCTAGAGATGGAAAGGGCTCTATCAAGGCTCCTAGATGCTGTGGGAAATCTTCCCAGGGCAGACAGGAGGGAGAAGCAACGGGCCATTCCATCTAGCCTTGGCAGCTCATCCGTCCCTTCCTCCCTCAGCTCTTTCATTTTACCTCCTCAAGGAAGAGGATGCAAAACACCACAGGGAACACAGGGCATTGGGTCTGGGGGTGGCAGGGAGTTCTGTTTCCCCATCTGGGGCTGCCAGTCAAAGGATAGTTGTAAGTAGCTTTTCAGCAGATAAGGGAGAAACGAGTGGTCATGTTTTGTGGTCTCAAGGAGGCACACTTCTCCAGGTGCACTGGACTTCCCAGGGCTTCTAGAATAACCGGGAGGCTGGACAGAGCCCTTGGTCTTATCCTGGGGAGACCCTGCAGCCATCTTCTCCAACAGGCAAGCAGCCCCTCCCCCCAGCCTATATTAGGCTCCAACTCCAGAAATTCTGCAAGTAAAACTCCAGGGCATAATCTGGTGTGGAAGGGAGAATGGAGTGTGGGTATTACACTGTGAAAACCCCCAACTGCCTGGCCTGGCAAATGAATTAACTTGTTAAACAAAATGCATACATCTGCATACATTTGAATACATGAATAGGATCAACTCAGACCCTGCCCAGGTCCAACTTATCCTCTAGGGAGGAAGAGGAGGAGAGAAGAGAGGAGAGGAGAGGAGGATCCCAGCAAAAGAGGGTTGGACAGTTCTCAAGGCTGCACCTTAAAGAGCGCATGGCTTGGCATGCTGTATTTATAAATTAAATGCAAAAGCATCTCACTGCTGCATTAAAAACTACCCATCAAGGCTGAGGACTCCAAGGAGCAGTAAAATCAATCTCATTGCATAAAGACAACAGCAAGCAATTGGCATGACATTTTAAGTAAATGCTACAGCCATTTGTAAATGTTCATTTTCTGGGAGACCCCATCTATTATATGACAGCTATTTTCTTAGCATCCCAGTGTGAATTCAGTCAGTTTACAGATAAGCCCGTTGAGGAGAATGGATATCAAGATGTAAAGTGCTATAATACGGACAATTTGTTACCGCCGTACCAACTCGCTCTGTCATTATCTATCTGCCTCTTTCAGGGCTTGGAAATCATTTGGCTATTTTTGCAGGTTGGAGTTAATAAGTGACGGTGTGTGAAGAGGGTGGAGAAGAAGTAGGTAGGGACAAAGGAGACAGCAATGGCTTAGAGGTGGATGGAAGACAGCAGACTCAGAGGCAAAGGCAACTTCCTCCATAAAGTCTTCAGGGTTGAGATTTGCCTTTTCCCTTGCTTCTTACCCAAAGAGGCCCAGGTGGGAGAGACAGTTCCCTCCCAGAGCAGCAGAGAAGGGTAGGCCCAGTACCTCTCTGGTTACCAGCAAGGCCCCAGTTCCAAGAGGAAAGGGTTCGTCAGAGGCCAGAAACATTAATTACAAGGCTGACCACTTTGTTTCTCAGGTGCCTGTGCAAAGACAGGCTCGTTGGACTGGACTCAAGGAAGAACTCTCTTTCCTAGGGTTTCATTCCCAGCACCCTGTACCTCCTGGCAGAGCCAAGAGGGCAAATTGGGGCTGAGAAATATCATAGCAGCTGCAGGGAGAACTGTTCAGGAGCTGTCCAGGTTGAAATACGTCCTGAGAGAAACTGAGGGCTCTCCAGCCTCATAACTCATCACTAACGCTGATGACAGATGTTTCCAGGGAAGAAATAAATGACCTCCTGCATGAATCCAGAGTTGTGCAGGGGAATTGCAGCATGAGATGGGTGACAGATCCAGCCAGGCTCCCCAGGGGGATGAGTTCATGGGAAAGGACTCAGGTGTCAAGAGGCCCAAATACTTGAAAATTAAAGTCCATTTTCAAAAAGGGTAGACGTCTAAAGAGATCGACCACACTGCTGGTCATTTAGGGCACAAACCTCAGGGCACCTATTTACCCATCAAGCAAGCCCCCTCCCAGAATTTACAGGTCCCTATGCTTGCAGCAGCTTCTCTTTTGCCATGCATTCATTCAGCAAACATTTGGGGGCCTATCGGGTCTTTCCCCAGGCAATCCTGACTTCCTCAGGCTTTGCTTGCAGTCAATCAGGCTGAGCATAGGGCAGACCATTTCACCTGTTAACCCTTCTAGGGTCCAAACTATATCTTCCATGCCTAGTGGTGTTTGGCACATGGCAGGACACAAATAGCTGTTGAATAAATGAACAAGCGAGCAAACAGGTGGATGAATAAACAAATCAATGAGTGCACAAAGGCATGCTTGCCTCTCCCCATCAAGTGCTAGTTCTCCAGGTGGCTGGTGCCTCAGCAGGGCCTCCCTGGGGGCATTTGACTCCTTCCTCTCCCTGTGGTTGGTTTGGACACAATTCCTCAACAGCAAGTCCCACGGCCTGAGTTTTAATCCCAGGTGTGGTGTGAGCCAGCTCTGAGCACCAGCAAGTCAAGCTGCTCCTTTGTGAAATGAGACCATGTGGTCTGTAAGAGGCCTTCCATCCATTAGATCCTGCGACTCCAGCAGAGACCAGGATAGGCAAGGAGAGGCTTCAGGGAGGGGTGTACACTCAGGACTCAGTGGGGTGGGGGACACCTCTAAAGCACTGTGCAGGTTCTGGCCCGAGGCTGGTCCCCAGGAACAGCAGCTGCTCTTTTCCTTCCTCGGGGTGGAGGGTGCAGAAGTGGCTGCCACTCACTGGGGAGTTGTGGGTCTTTCCAAGAAGTGTCCATCTGTGCTCTGATCAGGCTTGTAGAGGTGGTCTGCTCAGATCCACTCTTTCCTGGTCTGCTTTGACTCCAGCTCACAGTGAGAATGAGGATCCACTCAGCGTCCTCCTAGGAAGCTGCTCGAGGGGTCCCAAAGTCCAGAGCCTCCCCTGAACTGCTCAGTGGTGACCTCCCCTGAGCATGGCCCTCATGGTTTCAGGCTGACCACACTCCAAGGTGGACATGGTTCTGTGGAAGGGGCAAGTGAACACGCCACATGTGGGTGGCCACCAGTAGAGGGGAGCGAGCCGGGCAGAAGGTAGAGGGCTGTTCTGAGTGACGAAAGATCGCATCTGTAGAGCGCTGAATCCATGCTGGCCTGAACTGCTAAGCGTTTGGAGTTTATGAGCAAGGGTATAGGTGCAAAGATCAGCTCTTCTTTTAAGATAAACAAACGAGGCCGGGCACGATGGCTTATGCCTGTTATCCCAGCACTTTGGGAGGCTGAGGCGGGTGGATCGCCTGAGGTCAAGAGTTTGAGACCAGCCTGGTCAACGTGGTGAAACCCCGTCTCTACTAAAAATACAAAAAATAGCTGGGCGTGGTGGTGCGCATCTATAATCCCCGCTACTCAGGAGGCTGAGGCAGGAGAATTGCTTGAACCTGAGAGGCAGAGGTTGCAGTGAGCTATCACACCACTGTCCTCCAGGCTGGGCGATAGAGCAAGACTCCATCTAAAAATAAAGAAAGAAATAATAAAAAAATAAAAAACAAACTGTGGATCACATGGGAAGGAAAACCAAGGGGGACATTATTCTTTCTGGGCAAACTGAGGCAGAATAGAGTAATGATTAAGCGATGCATTGTTAATGACGATGAAATGCATTGTCAGAGATAACAATGAGTTGTAAAACGTCCCAGGCCTCCTTGTAGAGGTGGACAGTAGCATGGTGATTGCCAGGGGCCGGGGGAGTTCAAGATTTTCATTAGGATGAATGAGTTCTGGGGACCTAGCATGCAGCATGGTGGCTAGAGTTAGTAAGAGTGTGTGCCATACTTGAAAGTTGTTGAAAATTGCTGAGAGAGTAGATCTTCAATATTCTTGCCACAAAAAAATGACTGTGCCTGGGACAGAACAGACATTTAAAAAGTGGGAGCCGGCTATGGAAATGTGGGGTGACTTGGCTCGAGCAACACAGTGGGCCAGCGTGGGGATTGAGGTCCGAAACTTCAGTCTCTCCATGCTCAGTCCAACGGTTTCCATAGCAACAAATCCCAACTTGGCAGCGAGTACGCTTGGTTTTGTGACACCCCACAGTACATAAAAGTATCTGAAGGCCGTCACACGATCATTCCATCGCGTGCTCAACTGTGCTTCCTCTTTGGTGAGCATGTCATAAAGATTTAACAACAATGACAGGATGTCAGTTTGGCTCCTAAGGACTCAGACGTCTCAGGTTCAGCCCATTGAGATGATTTTTGCCTTTAACTCTGACATGCGAAAAGTTGGAGTTGGATTCGATTGTTTGGGCCTTTCTCATTTGCCTCTGGGTACTCAGCTCCAACGGCCCCAGCTCCTTTATCCCTAAATGTCCCACTCATTGCTCTGTCACCCCAGAGCTCCAGTCCATAGCTCCCACCCTCAAAAGCTCTTTCCTAACCCCTGCCCTGCCAGGCCTGAACCCAGCGCCCAAAACACCAAAGCCATGCTCCTTAAACGTTAATGGGTGAGGGAAGCACCTGGGACCCTCGTGGAACTGCTGATTCAGATTCAGCAGGTCTTGAGAAAGCTGAAGATTCTGCGCTTCTAAGAAGCTCCCGGGTGATGCTGCCTCCTCTCCCTTTGAGTTGCAAGGTAGTTAAGCAGCAATTCTCCAACTCTGGCATCAGAATCACCTCTCGAGCTTGTTAACACAGATCGCTAGGTTGTACCTCTAGAATTTCCGATTCAGCAGGCCTGAAGTGGGACCTGAGAATCTGCATTTCTAATAGCTTCCCGGGTGACGCTGATGCTGGCTGGTCCAGGGAACCATTGCACTAAAGGCCAGGGCTTTGCCAGGTGATGCAGAGAGCCTCCCCGCCCTTGCCCCTAATCCTCCCACCTGTGCGCTGACCCGGCGTCTCTCCTCTGGGCCTCCTGTTCCTGCCCTCCTTCCATCTCTCCCTGGATGAGTTTTTCTATGTGAGATTCTCTCTTATCACAGGGCAGAACCACCCCTCCGCCCCTGCATGGAGTGTGTATATATATATACACAGAGCTAGATGGAAAGAGACTAATTTTGCAAAATCTGCACAAAAATCGGCTGAATTTATGTTTCCCCTGCAAGAGAAATGCTGCTGAGTGGAAATAAAATGCAGGATTCCTGGGTACTTCTATTACCTTTTCATGTCACTGGCAGTGACTGATGGCAAAAAGTAAGATTGCAAACGGAATCGTTTTTGCTTTGCCCGGAACAAACTCCGCCCGGCGATGGAGCCTCCTTCAAATCTGCAGTTCTCCCTAGTGTCACCAACAGCAGCCGAGAAAGAAGCTGGGAGAGCAGCCAGTGTGGAGGAGAGAGCGTTCACCCAGCCCAGGCCCTGGGGGTCCGTCCTTCACCTCAAAGCAGGGGCCCCTGCGGGCAAAAGGAAATCCAGTTTGATTTAATATGGTTCATTTTTCTTCCTTGTTTTAATCACGGAGTAAAAATAATAATAAACTCGCCTTTATATAGTGTCTTTCATTGCCAGTGTATCACCGAACACTTTACAGATTTAATAATAGAGTTTCAGAAATAAATAATGGGGAATAATAACAGGAGGGATAAATAACGTATTTATGGAATTGTATTGTGGTTTATGGTGGTAAACAATTCCTCATACAGCCAGCAGCAGGAAATTAAGATGTTTGGAAGGGAAAAGGGAGAAGAAGAGAGAGATGCCTTCAGGTAAGATTTGAGCTGAGCTGAGGGGTGTCAGGGGTAGAAAGAGTGAAGATGAGAGGGTCCTGCGTGGGGCGTTCCCACAGAGGGTGGGGCTGGGAGAGCAGCGCAGTGGGCGCCTGTGCTGGGAGGAGGTGGCTGTCCTTGGTTGGGTTCTGCAGATAGAAACAGGCCAGGCACAGTGGCTCATACCTGTAATCCCAGCACTTTGGGAGGCCAAGGTGGGCAGATCACCTGAGGTCAGGAGTTTGACACCAGCCTAGCTAACATGGTGAAACCCTGTCTCTACTAAAAATACAAAAATTAGCTGGGTGTGATGGTGGGCACCTGTAATCCCAGCTACCCGGGAGGCTGAGGCAGGAGAATTGCTTGAACCTGAGAGACGGAGGTTGCTGTAAGCAGAGATCATGCCACTGCACTCCAGCCTGGGTGACACAGCAAGACTCCATTTCAAGAAAGGAAAGAAAGAAACTCCCAGAGGGCAGGTGCATGATATTTATGGGGGATCAACTTTGTATAGGGAGGGGGAGGATACAGGATTAGACAGAGGTAGAAGTTGGGCCCAAACAGCCAAGCCTTTAGCCCCCCATGACCTGGCTCAGTCATGAGATGCAGGGCTGCCCAGGAGGGCTGTGACCTCAGGTCAGGCCACTCTCTACATAGGCAGGGGGAGATGTCCTGGATCCAATCCACCTGGAACGATGCCCTTGAAAAGAAAAGCAAGTAGTGGTGCAGAAATTTCTCTGAGCAGATTGAATTTTCTCCTGAGCCTTTAGCTGGTGCCAGGCTGGAGGGATCAGTGGAGTCAGAGGTGCAAAGAAAGGAGACAGGACCTGGCCCCTCTGCCAGGCTGAACAGAAACTGGGGTTTCTTCTTGCTTTATAATAGCCATTTCTCTTCCCTGGCCGATGGTGTTGAGACTGGAGAATTCATCCCTGAGAATATCAGCAGGCCGGCTTCCTTGCTTAATTGCTATTGGCCTGGCAGTTTTCTTAGAGCTTTACATATATCGTCTCTTTTGTAGAGGAGGACACTGTGACTTGGAGGCTGAATAACTTGCCCAGGGGCAGCTGGGAAGGTGTGGCTAAGTCAAGACTTGACCCCAGCCCCATGCGAAGTCCGTTTCCCTCTGCAGACTCGAGGTTTTAGTGGAAGCCAAGATGTTGCCAACATCAAATGCTGAGGGTCGGTCAGTCCCCTGGGCCTGTTTCCAGAGGCTGAAGACCTCTGAGAGATGCCAGCTTCCATCTGTAAATGAAGTACCAGGTGCGGCAGCTGACTCCGCCGGGCCTGGAGGCTGGAGGCAGGAGCTGCTGGGGGCAGCTTGTCACCGAGGCCTTGGCCTGCTGCTGGCCGGTTCTGCAGCTCTGTGCTCTGGCAGATAACCCCATACAGGGAGACCTGCTCCAGCCGTGTGCCCTGTTTTGGCACCAGCCACTGCCCAGCAGGGAGCTACCTGGAGTTGGTCTGGCCCAGCAGAAGCTCCCGCTGGGTGGATCTTGTTTTCATCGGAAAATGCTGGACCCATACAGGCTTGTACACAAGTAATGCTCACCTCGCTGCTGCCTTATGTTGGCTTTAAATTAATTAGTCCTTTTTATTGTCTTGTAGGAGGCAGATCGCTAATTCACAAAGCACGCGTCCATCTCGCCAGAGCATCTCTGGTGTCTGGATGCTGAGCAGATGTAACTCTGTACCTGGCTGGGGGTGCAGGAGGGAAGAGGGGCCGAGTGCTGGGCTGTGGGATTCAGCCAACTCTCCCCTCTCAGTCCCCAGTTGCCACCTATTCCTGAGATGCATGTTTTTTGAGCACCTACTGTGTGTCAGTGCTGGGCAATGCCCTCTGGAGAGAGCCGTGAATAAGTCAGACAGAACCCTGGCTCACGCCTGTAAGCCCAGAACTTTGAGAGGCTAAGGTAGAATGATTGTTTGAGACCCAGAGTTCAATACCAGCCTGGGAAACAAGGTGAGACCCCTTGTCTATAAAAATCAAAATATAAAATATAATAAAATAAAACAGAACCCCGGCCCCTCAAGTGATTCTAGAACTAACTCTAGGTTTGCAATCCTGCTAAGGAGATCCAAGCGCTGGGTAGATGTTCGCACTGATGACATTGATAGAGCATCAGTTTCCACATCTGTAAAGTGGCAGGGATCCCTAGTGGTCAGTGACTTGGAAACTTGCAGGGAAACACAGCAGCCAGTGTGTGGCCCAGGCCCCCACTCTTGCCTGCGAATGCTGCGATGTGATTTTCGTGGAGATGGCATTTGTTACTGTTTCCTCCTTGTCAGCGCTGGCAGGCTGCGCAGGGATCTCCTGTTGGGCACGGTGTTTGGCATTGGAGTCAGACCACCAATTTGCACTTTATTCTTTTGAAAAACACAAAGCCTCCCTCACTGCTTCCATTCCTGGAGGTAGGTGCTCTCTATCAGGCATGATGGGCAGAGACCAAGGCCACCTTGGGCTCTCAGGTCGTCCACTCCCAAGGTTTAGTGAACTCTGGGTGACGGTGCTCCCGTACTCACCTTCCATCACTGGTCAGCCAGGCCCCCAGTGAACAGAGATCTGTCCAGGCTGTGTGGGGCAGGGTGTGGTCACTATCAAGGTGTCCCTAACCTCAAGGAGTATAGAACGATGCTCAGAAGAGAGCACAAATAGAAGAAAGCCTGTTTACAAAGCAGCAGACCAGCAAGTCCTGGTGAAAGCAGGCCCTGCTATTTATAAAGAGCCTGGTGTCACCTGCAGAGAGCTGGAGGAAGCCTCGGAGGGAATCAGGCCCCCACGCCCAGCTAGGCAGCCCTCACCCAAATGCTGCCAGCAAGGGGACACCCTCTCTGGCTGCAGACCCTCTGAATGGCTCATGTCATTGAGCCTTACTTTCTCATTACAAGTCCCACTGGCAGCATGAATGGGGGGTCTGGAGTCCCCTCTATGTGGCTGTCAGAGGTGTTTGAACAAGAGCAACTCCATCTTGAATGGGGGCTGGATAAAATGAGGCTGAGACCTACTGGGGCTGCATTCCCCAGTCAGGGTTAAGGCATTCTAAGTCACAGGATGAGACAGGAGGTCAGCACAAGATACAGGTTATAAAGACCTTGCTGATAAAACAGGTTGCAGTAAAGAAGCTGGCTAGAACCCACCAAAACCAAGATGGCAATGAGAGTGACCTCTGGTCATCCTCATTGTTCATTATATGCTAATTATAATGCATTAGCATGCTAAAAGACACTCCCACCAGCACCTTGACAGTTTACGGATGCCATGGCAACATCAGGAAGTTACCCTATATGGTCTAGAAAGGGGAGGAACCCTCAGGTCAGGGGATTGCCCACCCCTTTCCCCGAAAACTGATGAATAATCCACCCCTTGTTTAGCATATAATCAAGAAATAACCATAAAAATGGGCAACCAGCGGCACTCAGGGCTGCTCTGCCTATGGAGTAGCCATTCTTTATTCCTTTACTTTCTGAATCAACTTGCTTTCACTTTATGGACTCGCCCCAAATTATCTGGTTGTGCAGGATCCAAGAACCCCCTCTTGGGGGTCTGGATCAGGGCCCCTTCTGGTAATGTGGCTAACACAAATGTCACCACCAATATGAATCCAGGGCAAGGTCCTGAGCCTGAGTCTCTACTTTCTCATCTGTAAAATGGGGATGATGACAGCATGGACCCCAGGGTGCTTTTGGAAGATCTACCAGGTTAATGGGTGACCCCCAAGGTTCCAATTGACAAATGGGAGCATCGATCTTTCACCCACCTTGCCCTCTGAACTCATGGAGCCAAATGCGTGTCAGAGTCTTGGAGGCCCAGTAACTCTCAAGCAGATTGGCAAACTCTGGCCCACAGGTCAAATCCAGCCCTGCTGTGGCCTGCTTTTATAAATAAAGCTTTATTAGAACACAGCCACTCTCATTCATTTACATATTGTTTGTGGCTGCTTTTGCATGACAATGGCATCGAGTGGTTGCAACAGAGACTGTTTGGGGCAAAAAGCCCAAAGTATTTACTATCTAGACCTTTATGAAAACATTTGCAGACCCCTGCTTTAATGGGCAGGGTCTCCTGAAAACGCTTGAGTGGAAAATGCTCATAGGGCCAAAGTCAGAGTCTTCTACCTACTTCTCTCTCAAACTGAGACATTAGAGTCTGCCCGGAGGAGACCTGGGCCCACCAGGCAGGCTCTGGACTCACCACCTCACCCATTGGTTCCCCAAAGGGTTACTGCCTGCCTTGCAGACCCCGTCATGCATGGAACGGAGAGCTGGCACCAGGAGTAGAGAGCGGTGGGTGGTGGCCTCCAGGCTAGCCTGACCCAGCCATGAATCTGTTTATCAGGCTGGGATGTGGCCCAGTTGAGATCAGGTATCTCCCAACTAGGCCCTGATTCTCTTCGTTTAGGAGGGAGTGAGGACTCTCCCCACACACTCTGGGTCACACAGGAGGTCCTGGAAGGCTCTCACCTGTAGACCAAGGTGGAATCTTAGGGGTAGGAGGAAGAGGGCCCTGCGTGTCTGAGACATTGCTCTCCGAGGCCAGTAATTGTGTGCCATTACTGTTAGTAAGGGTTAGAAAGCCAAGTTTCTCCCTGTTCTTCTGCCTTCTGGTCCTAACACAACCTTTGAACAATTCAGAATAAATCAATTCCTTTTTAAATAGGACAACTTTAAAAAATATTTGAAGATCCCAGCCTCGAGTCACCAAGGGGGAAAGTGGCAACCGGGTCCAGCCAAGTTCTAGCAGTTTCCATCACATGGAGTCGCCTCCTGGCAAATGATGCATTTCATTGTCTCAGAGTTGAGCCTATTTACTGTCTAAAAATGTGCAAATAAGCCTAAAGCTTACGTAGGAACACTGTGAGCCACCGTGTTTCATTAGAATGTGTTCCTGGACTTTCTGTGTTCATTGATCCTGACACACCCAGAGGAATGTTTGAGTTCTCAGCTGGTCTTGGGCACATTGGGTGTGGTGTGGGGTGAAGGAGGAAGCGGATCAGAATTGGCAAGAGAGTAACTTGTTTAATTGAGTCGTTGCCTCTTTTTTTTTTTTTTTTTTTTGAGATGGAGTCTCACTCTGCCGCCCAGGCTGGAGTGCAGTGGCGTGATCTTGGCTCACTGCAACTTCTGCCTCAGCCTCCTGAGCAGCTGGGACTACAGGCACCCACCACCATGCCTGGCTAATTTTTGTTCTATTTTTTAGTAGAGACGGGGTTTCACCATGTTAGCCAGGATGGTCTCGATCTCCTGACCTCATGATCCACCCGCCTTGGCCTCCCAAAGTGCTGGGATTACAGGCGTGAGCCACCGTGCCCGGCCCGTTTTTTTTTGGCTGTACTTATACACACACTCATAGGACTTAAGGGAGTCCCTTGCCTCCCTGAGCCTCAGATGTAAAATGGAAATCCCCTCACCCACCTGTGGGATTACAGGGACCGTCTGTAAATGCATTCCCAGCCTCCTGACCACGTTGGGTGGAAACGGTGCACGCCAGGCGAGGCTGCATCTGGGTTTGCAGACACATGCCTGTCTGCACTTCAGTCCAGGTACTGCTTTCTGGGTATCTTTGATAAATGGCTGAGCTTTTATATTCTAATTGGTGACAGAGACAATACCTCAGAGGCTCAGGGGAAGCCCCAAATCCAGCTCAAAGGGGAGATGAAAGTGTTTCCAATGAGAGAGACTGATGCAGAAGAAAAATGCAGGAGGCAGTTGGGAAAATGCTCAGGAAGTGGGGACCAGGGGAAGTTTGTTCTGGCAGAGGGGAGAGTGGGCTTGTCTGGGCCTAGAGATCAGAATGGCTACTCCATAGGCAGAGCAGCCCTGAGTGCCGCTGGTTGCCCATTTTTATGGTTATTTCTTGATTATATGCTAAACAAGGGGTGGATTATTCATCAGTTTTCCAGGAAAGGGGTGGGCAATCCCCTGACCTGAGGGTTCCTCCCCTTTCTAGACCATATAGGGTAACTTCCTGATGTTGCCATGGCATCTGTAAACTGTCTTGGTGCTGGTGGGAGTGTCTTTTATCATGCCAATGCATTATAATTAGCATATAATGAACAATGAGGATGACCAGAGGTCACTCTCATTGCCATCTTGGTTTTGGTGGCTTTTAGCCAGCTTCTTTACTGCAACCTGTTTTATCAGCAAGGTCTTTATAACCTGTATCTTGTGCTGACCTCCTGTCTCATCCTGTGACTTACAATGCCTTAACCATAACTGGCGCCAGTAGGTCTCAGCCTCATTTTATCCAGCCCCCATTCAAGATGGAGTTGCTCTTGTTCAAACACCTCTGACAGTCACATATAGGGGACTCCAGACCCCCCATTCATGCTGCCAGTGGGACTTGTAATGAGAAAGTAAGGCTCAATGACATGAGCCATTCAGAGGGGCTGCAGCCAGAGAGGGTGTTCCCTTGCTGGCAGCATTTGGGTAAGGGCATTCTTTTTTCCTTTACTTTCTGAATCAACTTGCTTTCACTTTATGGACTCGCCCCAGATTATTTTCTTGTGCAGGATCCAAGAACCCTCTCTTGGGTGTCTGGATCAGGGCCCCTTCTGGTAATGTGGCTAACACAAATGCCTAGAGATCAGACCCAGCCAGCTGCCTCCACGAGCAGGAGGGGAGGGGGTCCAGGGAGTTGGAAGTAGGGGAACTTCTCAAGTGGGGAGTCAACATTCTCGAATATCCAGAGTGAAGGCCGGGATGTGGCTAGACACAGGTGTCATCCGGCCCTGGAGGTCAGCAAGTGAAACATCTGGTAAGCTGGACCAAACTGGCCCAGACGAACTCTGCACCTGCCCCCAGTTCCCTGGGTTCCTTAGAGCCTCTACATGCTCATCCCCCTCCATTCACCCCAACACCCCCCACCCTCCGGGAACGTAGCACTTGTCCTGGAGAATTGTCACTGTAATGCACCCTGAGTCCCCAGGGTCTTTATATGAAAGTGCGGATGCCAATTTCATATTCTAGGGTGGAGCTGGGATTCTGTGACTCTAACAAGCTTCCAGGTAATGCTGGTGGTGGGGCGTGTGGACCGCTCAGGGGGGCGACCAGGGGGACAGTGGGGCCCCTGCTACTAAAAGGATGGCCTTTGGAGTCAGTCGAGGGTGGGAATCCTGGGTGTCCTGCTTATTTACCAGCTCTGTGACCTTGCAGAAGTTACTTAACCTCTCTAAAACTCGGTTTCTCCATTAGTCAAATGGGAATTAAACATCGTCATGCGATGGCCGAGAAGATTTGGTGATGTGAGTTCAATACGTTGAGCTCTGGGCTCTGCTAAAAAGTAATAAATAAGGGGGCTTGCATTATTACTAATAATACATCACAGCCAGGCCAAAGCTTAACTCGGAAGATCAGGGCAAGAGGGGAAACGCCTGTTCTCCAGGCTGCTGCCTCCACAGGTCACCCCAAGCTCTGAGTGGTGACTCCAAAGGCAGGGAGCCTGCTCTCAGGGTAGCTCCACTATGAGGCCTCCTCATAGTGTGCCCAGGAGGGACAGAGCCTGGCATCAGGGCGGGAGATGACACAAACACAGCCTCACACCTCTCAGACCTGTCACCTAAAGAAGCCTGGTCCGGATTGAAGCCACTGGGCAGCGAGGGGGCCCTGAGGGAGGAGGGAGGGCTAGGCCAGGTGCCTGGGATGCCCCAGCCACCCTCCCCACACCCCTGCTTATACAGTGAATTTCCTGGGATTAAATAAGAGATGGGACCTGCAGGGGTGGGAGGGGAGGAGTACTTCATGCATTTGTTTGTTTACTACCTACCCACTAAATTCCACACCCGGTGTAGCCTGTCTTCACAGGAACCTGAAGGGTGAATGGCACTATTGCTGTGAGCACGTGAGACCCCAGCAGGAAATCTCCTGCCCCAGCCAACCCTCAACTCTATCAGGACCCCTCTGAGGCCACATCATTTGGGGGGGGGTGGGGTATGTATGGAGAACCTGCGTAGGTCGTGAATGTGCTAGTTTGAGGATCGAATATAGATGGGGAAAAAGCCAGATGACTCCACCCAGGAACAGGTTAGCCTGGTCTCAGTAAAGCCCCTGCCACTATCTGGCTTTCTTTCCATAGAGCGGGGTTTCTCAAGCTGGGCTTTGCTGACATTTGGGGAGGGATAAATCATGTTGTGGGGCTGTCCCATGCACTACAGGTTGTTTACCAACATCCCAGGCTCTGCTCACTAAATACCAGCAGCATCTCCCAACCCCAGTCGTGACCATCAGGAAAGATCTCCAGATATTGCTAAACATCCCCTAGGCGTCAAGTCGCCCCCAGGGAGAACCACTGCTATAGAATCCCGATACTTCCACTCCTTGGACTCAGACACCTGTGGAGGCGATGAGGGCTGAAGACCTGTGAACTTGGCAGTGGGCAAGGGGTTCAAGAGGCGGATGATCTCCATTTCCTCCCTGCAAGCTTCCAGGAGTCTGTGGCTGCCAGCATCTCGGAAGCCTTCTGGGTGGACTATTTAGTGCTTGGCCATCAGCTCCCTGGCTTCCTGGCCTCCTCCCGCTTTGGTCGGAGAAAGGAGCAAATAGAGGAAGCTTTGGTGGGAGGAGGGCTCCGCAGGCAGCAACCCCCACCCCACTCCCACCCCTGCATCTTCAAGGGCCCGGAGGTTCCTGGGAAAAACACCTTTGGAAAGGGCAGGGCTGGAGTTGGCACTGGGAGTTCTTGTTGGAGAAGTCAAGGGATGCGGAGGCTGAGTGGGGGAAGAGAATGTTATCACAGAAACCTGATTTTTCTACACACTCTATCAGCTCCCCATCTGTTCCTTGATTAAATGTATCGCTGCCCTCCCTCCCCACATGCCCGCTGCCAGGACGTCTCCGGAGCCCTGATTACATCTGTGGAGAGAGCCTCAAGCCTCACAGATGAGCAGGCTTATCGATCAGCCTGGCAGCTGACGTTTGTTTCAAAATGTAGAGGAGGGTGAGCAACAGAGCTGGCCGGGTAGGGTTGTCAGAGGTAGGGTCGTCAGGGGAACCTCATGCCCCAAAGGGAACATCCTCCATTCCCCTTCCGGCCTCTACAAGCCAGGGCGGCCACTTAGATTAGCATCAAATATTGATTTCCGGCTCTGTGACCTTGGGGGAGCCACCTCCCTCCTCTTGGCCTCAGTTTCCTTCTCTTTAGCATGAGGGTGTTGCAGCAGGTGATTTTAGAATTGTCTCCAGAGTCAGTGCCTTGTGACTCTGAGGATAGGCCATGGGCCAGCAGCCCGGTCATGCCCGGGGGGGACCTGTTAGAAATGCAGGCTCTCAGGCCCTGCCTAGTTCCGCTGAATCAGAAGAATCAGAATCTGCCTTTTAACAAGATCCCCTGGTGCTTCATACGCACATTACAGTGTAAGAAGCGTGTCTATGCTTCTGTTCATTTGGCTACTTCAGAGATGAACATGTATAAGAAATCTCTCAAAGGGAATGACTCACCATCTTCTCTGGCCTCAGAAAACTTCTACGGAGATTAACTTCCTGCCTGAGAACCTTAGCTCTGCGAAGGAGCCAGCTCCAATATCCCAGCCGCCTCTTGCGGTTTGAACCTCGAGATGAAAATCTTCATTCGATGAACCACTTAACAAGCCTGGGGATAAAGTGAGAAGCAGGACCCACTCCCTGTCCTCAGGGGACTGCCTCTCTCGCAGAAACAGGAAGACTCTCTCCCACGAGGCTGAAAAGATGCCAGAGAGAGAGGCTGGTCCCACGGGACTATCGCCAAGCATCTTGTCCTCTTGGCATGGGAATCTGATCACATTTCCAAGAGCAGCACCAGCCTTTTGTGGCTCTCTATATTAGTTTCCGGGGGCTGCTGTAACAAATTACCAGAAACTGGGAGGCTCCAAACCACAGAAATTCATTTTCTCACAGTTCTGGAGGCCAGAAGTCGAAATCCAAGTGTTGGCAGGACCACGTGCCTTCCAGAGGCTCTAGGGAAGACTCTTCCTCTGCCCCTTCCAGCTTATGGGGCCTACCAGTAACCCTTGGCTTGTGGCAGCACCACTCCCATATCTGCCCCTGCAGTCACAGTGCCTCCTTCTCTTCTCTGGGTGTTGAACGCCTTCTGCCTTCTTATAAAGACACTCGTGCTGGCATTCAGGGTCCGCTCAGATAATCCGGGATAATCCCATCTCAAGATCCTTCCTTATGTCTACAAAGACCCTTTTTCCAAACGAAGTCACTTTCACAAGTCCCAGGGATTTGACGTGGCTATCTTTTGCAGAGGGAGCTATTTTTCAGCCTACCACACTCTCCGACCAAGACGTGGCCTCACTGTGGGATCCTGGGTGGGTTACTTAACCTGGCTGAACCTCAGTGTCCTCCCCTGTACATTGGGGCAATTCCCCTAGGGTAGTTTTATGCTTGAATGAGTATCAGTATCACCTTGTTGAATGCAGCTGGCTGGGCCCACCCCCTGGTCTCTAATTTAGTGGCTCTGGGGAGAGCCTTAAGACTGTGCATTTCTAGGCTGGTTGGGGCGACTCACGCCTATAGTCTCAGCACTTTGAGAGGCCAAGGAGGGCGGATCACCTGAGGTGAGACCAGCCTGAACAACATGGAGAAACCCCGTCTCTACTAAAAATACAAAATTAGCCAGGCATGGTGGTGCATGCCTGTAACCCCAGCAACTCGGGAGGCTAAGGCAGGAGAATCGCTGGAACATGGGAGGCAGAGGTTGCGGTGACCCAAGATCGTGCCACTGCACTCCAGCCTAGGCAACAAGAGCGAAACTCCGTCTCAAAAAAAAAAACCAACTGTGCATTTCTAACAACTTCCCAGGTGACACTGAGAGCCACTGGATTAAATAAAGTGATGGGTCTAAAATGCCTTAAAAAGTCCCCACCCAAAATAAGTACTGAGTAAATAAATATTTATTTTTTCTAGAGACAGGGTCTTGTTCTGCTGCCCAGGCCGGAGTGCAGTGGTGCAATCATAGCTCACTTGCAGCATCAAATTCCTGGGCTCAAGTGATCCTCCTGTCTCAGCCTCCCAAGCAGCTAGGATTACAGGCAGGCACCACCATGCCTGGTCTCACTATGTTGCCCAAGTTGGTCTCAAACTCCTGGCCTCCAATGATCCTCCTGTCTTGGCTTCTCAAAGTGTTGGGATCACAGGCATGAGACGCTGTACCTGGCTAGTACTGAATAGGTAAATGTTGGTCAACAGCTGACAAAAATGTCACTCACCATGGCCACTTGGTTAATTGGAAGGCAACACAGCAAAAGGGCCAGTGTCCCATTAGAAGGTGAGCTCCCTGAGGGCAGGGCTGTGTCTATTCAGCTTCTCAGTCCCAAGTGTGCTGCTTGGGGTTCAACATGGTTATTGGCCTTGAGCTAGGCACTGCGCTGGGGCTGGGCCTTGCCTCTATTTGCCGTCAGATATGTCAAGGGTTTTCCATGTGTTAGTTTTCATGCTGTTGATAAAGACTTACCTGAGACTGGGTCATTTATAAAGAAAGAGAGGTTTAATGGACTCACAGTTCCATGTGGCTGGGAAGGCCTCACAATCATGGCAGAAGGTGAAAGGCATGTCTCACATGGCGGCAGGCAAGAGAGAATGAGAGCCAAGAAAAAGGGGAAAACCGTTATAAAACAATCAGATCTTGTGAGACTTATTTACTACCATGAGAACAGTATAGGGGAAACCGCCCCCATGATTCAGTGATCTCCACTGGGTCCCTCCCACAACACATGGGAATTATGGGAGTTGCAATTCAAGATGAGATTTGGGTGGGGACACAGCCAAACCATATCACCACGTAAGTTAACAGTGACCACATATGTGAGGACCAAAGGTATCAGAAGGTACAGAAATCATACCCAGGAGATGGGGATGATCCCTCCTGAAGGAGGCCCTGTGGAAGTGGGGATGCCTGGCAGGGTGCTGGGAGGAAAGTCAACTTGCCAGCAGTTCCAGGGAGCGGGAACAGCATGCGCTGGCCTGCGAAACATCAGTGTGGCAAAGTTATGGCATCGAAGTGCTGGGCAGTTGGGGAGATGGGCCAGAGACCTCAGCAGCAGCCAGGAAGAGACCAGCTTTTCGTGCCTTACTTCAGAGTGACTACCTGTAGCTTGTAGGTAATGGGAAGGACATTACAGGGTTTCTTTGGGAGAGTGACTTATTTAGCTTCATGTTGGGGGAAGATTGCCCTTGTGGCCCCACAGGGGGCAGGCTGGATGAGGAAGAGACTGGACACAGGAAGATCATTTAGGCAACTGGTAAAGTGATTCAGGCAACAGATGATGAGGGGCTAGACTGAAATGCACGCTTGGCACTCATCTGGCTTGATGGATGAAGGTGTGAGCGAACAAATGAGCAAATCATCAGTTAAGCCAGTTTCATCCCGTCTCAGAAGAGATGGACTCAGAGAGCAGTGGCAGCAATGCCCTGGTGTCCTTGGGCAGTTTGGAGTAGGGACACTGCTCTACCCTCCTCTGCATTCCCTCCATCCTTGAGGGGAAATGGCGCCTCCTTTGTAATTACCCAGTGCAGGTTTTGCTAAGCATCTCCCAAATGTTAAACTGGCTAATTTCTGTAGGGATTTTTCTTTAAGCCAGCATGACACAGGCTTTAAATCAATTTGAAATCTGTCGTCTACAGATCCACACAGAGAGGGTCCTTGGAGGATGGGTACCAATTATTCTCATCAGTCAATGAGGACAGAAAGACTGTGATAGGTCTGGGTGGCAGTGGGGAGACTCAGCTTTAGATTGTGGGAAACAAGTTAGGGGCCCAAGGCTGGGCCAGGAAGGTGCGATGCTGAGGACACATGGATGTCATCCAGGCTGCAGGGAAAGGGCCCCCAGTGTGACTCTGAATGAGAGGTAGAAAGATGGGAGACTTGGGTAACAAATGAAGTGATAGAGAAGAAAGGGGCAGGGTCTGGGCAGGGCGATGGTGGTGGTGGGTAGAGGGAAGGTCAAGGGGTTCTCATTAGAAGCTATTTGCAGGCTGCTTGAAGCTCAAGATCACTGAGAATATTTATGAATAAAATCCATCTTGCCCCCGATGCAGGGAGACAAGCCAGATTTACCAGCTCCATCTTCCCGTCCAAATGGCTCTCTTCTCCTTCAGAATATTGCTTTGTAATGGAGCCCATCCTCCCATCCTTCCTCCCACAAGGGAGGTTTCCAATTTGTCTGCTGTAAGTGGAGGACATGGGAAGTTGCCAATATGGCACTGCCCTAGTGGGACCAACAGGCAAACTGGGGAGGAGGCAAGGGAAAAAACTTCAAGGACAGCAGCAGACTTGTACATCTGGGGTTGCCCCCATTGTAGGCAGTGTGGCAAGGCACAGTTCCCCAGAACCTTCTGCTCAGCCCAAGGGAGAGACCTTCTTCTCATTACTCTGATAGCCTGGGTCAGTCAGGTGACCTGTCTTGACCAATCCCAACAGCCAGGACCCAGTCAGGTGACCAATGTGACCAATGTGACCAATCCTGACAGCCACAGTTGAGTGAGGTGACAGGATTGGCCAATCCCAACAGCCAGGGTCCAGTCAGGTGACCCATTATGGTCAATCCTGACAGCTAGAGTCCAGTCAGGTAACTGGTTTGGCCAATCCCAACAACCAATAATGTCAGGTGACCTGTTGTGGCCAATCCTGACTGAGTCCAGTCAGGTAACCGGTTTGGCTAATCCCAACAGCCAATAATGTCAGGTGACCCACTGCGGGCCAGTCCTGACAGTCCAGTCAGGTAACTGGTTTGGCCAGTCCCAACAACCAATACCCAGTCAAGTGACCCATTATGGTCAATCCTGACAGGTAGAGTCCTGTCAGGTGACCCATTGTGGCCAATCCTGACAGCCAGAGTCCAGTCAGGTGAGCAAGCTTAGCCAATCATACATTCTGGCTTTGACTTTGGCTGAGTAGTGAAAAGACATAGAAACAGTTAGAATTTGCTTGTAGTAGCCTCTTGACATAGCGGCTGTGTGTGGAGACCATGGAGGCAGAAGTGTCAGACAGATTCTGCTTTCCAGCTTCCAGAACCCTCTTGCTCCCTACTTTCCAAGCCTTCTTTCTTTCCTCCCATCAACAGTGTGTGCCCCCATATCCTTCCAAAACATTCCTTCAGCATCAGTTTCCATTGCTTGCAACCAGAACACTGATAGATTCAGGAGGAAGTTCCTCAAAGACTGTGAAAGGCAGACAAAAATACACTCATGTGCAGGGTGGAATGAAGTGTCCTTGGCCTGCTCAGAGGCTGAGATGAGACACTGGGTTCCCCTCCTTCTTCCTCCTGAATTTTCCACTGCAATGACTCCTTTCTGGAGGTGTATCACAGAAAGCTGACCGATTCTCCTTTTTTTTCCGCTAAAGAACTGGAAGCCCTTTATGCCCACCTCCTCCCTGTGGTCATGATGTTGCTAAGATACAGGAAGAGGAAGCTGACATCCCTGCCCATGTCAGCAAGTCAGAGGTGGCACAAAGATTAATGAAATATTATCTCCCAATCCTGAGAGCAGCAGCCTGGCCTTGTTTGTGGCAGGGGCAGCCTCAAGGGGTCAGTAGGGATAAATCATGACCCCCAGTGCTTTCAGGGCTGTCTATGCCTGGGCATTATTCCAGACACTTTGCAGTCCATGGTGTTATTATTCCCATTTTACCGTTCAGAAAACTGAGGCATAAAGAGGTTAAACAACCTGCTCAAGGTAACCCAGAGAGTATACAGTGGGATTTGGATCTGAGCATCTGACTCCAGAGTCCACGAGTTTGCAGAAAAGCCTCAGAGGAAAGAAAGGGAGGAGGCGGCCTCATGAGCCACGTGGCACACAAGTCCTGGAGAGGGTGGATTGGGGTGGGGGTCTCTGCAGCCTTTCCACTGGTCTCCCTCTGACTGGAGAGGTTAAACCAGGTGCCCAGGGCAGCCTGCCTCCCTGCTGACCAGGGCCCAGCCTTTCTTGAGTAATCTGACAAGTTTAATGATTTATCAGTTCCTATTTTGGAAGTGGCTGTGCTGTTGGCATTGTCATCCCCTGTTAGTAGGAGCGGTAACAGGTTTTCCTCTGAGTCCTGTGCTGCCTGCTCGCATGTGGCTCTGGCCTGGGGGGCTGGAAGGGGACTGAGGAGTCATGAACCCCAGGCAGCTGGTCCTCTGAGGATGTGGCCTTGACGGTCAGTCCTCCACCCTTTCCCTTCCTGGCCTGCTTCAAGGGTAGAGTGGGACTCTCTAGAAGGGCATTCCAGCCTATGCCTGTGACCCTTGCACTGACTTTCAGGATGGAAGTGGGAATGAATCCACATCTGGAAGCCCACCAGAGGCCAGGTGGATTAGACATAACCAGATGTCAGATGGAGCCTCCCTGTCCCTTGAAATCTAGAGAAAGGGTCCTATGCCCCTTTCATACCCCAGGAGGTCAAGCCATGTCCTCATGCCCCCCTCCAGCTCCAGAACCCTGCTTCTGTGGATTTGATTTCATTTCTGGACTGAATATCCACCCCCCATCCCATGTGGGCTGTCTCTGTCTTGGGCCTTGAGACAATCAAGTCCTTTCTTGGTTTTCAACAAAAAAAGGGAAGACTCACTCCTGCTCCTCTTCCAGCTTTGGGGTTTGGAGAGGGATAGAGAAACTGCACACAGCTCTGTGAACTTCCTAGACATCGAGTTCTTTGGTGGCACAACAGTGTCGACTTCCAATGGTCACTTGTCCCCAGGATGGTCTCCGCCATCTTCCTCATCTTGCTGGCCCCCCACCTTTTTTTTTTTGTTTTGTTTTTGTTTTGAGATAGAGCCTTACTTTGTTGCCCAGGCCGGAGTGCAGTGGCGCAATCTTGGCTCACTGCAAGCTCTGCCTCCCGGGTCACACCATTCTCCTGCCTCAGCCTCCCGAGTAGCTGGGACTACAGGTGCCCACCACCACGCTCGGCTAACTTTTTGTATTTTTAGTAGAGATGGGGTTTCACCGTGTTAGCCAGGATGGTCTCGATCTCCTGACCTCATGATCCGCCCGCCTCGGCCTCCCAAAGTGCTGGGATTACAGGCGTGAGCCACCGCGCCCGGCCTTCTTTTCTTAGTCATCCTCCCATCTCTTCATGTTCCCTTCCCCCCTCCGACCTCAGAGCTGTGAATTTTCCTCTGTTGTTCATTTTCCTTCTTTTGTGCAAAGAAGTTCATTCAGTGTTCTCAGGCACTCACACTAACCCCAGGCACATTTCTGTGTCTCCAGACTCATCAAAGTACTCAGAACACAGAGGCCTCCAGGGAATGAGTCCACTCTTTAGGAATCAGTTGTAGTTATACATGGAGTGGGGAGGGAAATAATCTCTCCCTTGAATGCAGTTTCATTCAACCTCATCACAACTCTGCAAGGTGGGTCCCACCCACTGCACTACACTGCACACGAAGCAGAGGCTCAGAGTTTAAATGACCTGCCCAGGGCTCACCACTGCAGGGTAGTAGAGACCAAATGTATGCCCAGGCCAGGTTCCAAAGCTCGCTCTGCATTGGTTGGCTGCCAGGAAGCAGCGAAGGAGGCCAGGCTGCAGGACATGCTCAGGGGGTGCTGGGTGGCATCTGAGTCCCGAGAGCAGAACTGTGTGGCCTCCCATGTCCAGAGAGGAGGCACCTGATGGAAGGACAATAATGAGCTGCAGTCAATGGCAGTGAGGAGGGTCAGAGGTCAGAAGTAAGTAAGGGGCTGGGTGACATGGTGGGTGTCGAGCACTGAGCAGGGAGGGGACAGAGGTGGGTGGAGAGAAGGACAGAGGGGAGGCCTTGCCAGGGAGCCAGGTCCAGGTCTGGAAGCCCATGCCTAGAACACCAAGTGCGTTTGGAAGCACTAACCTCAATCCTTTAGTCCCAGCCGTGTGTAGCCAGACACGGACCTCCAGCTTCCCAGCTTCTGTGCCTCCCATAGGCTCCAGGTGTCTGGACAACTAACAAACCTGGAGCCTGGCTGCCCCTTCTGTGCTCACACGGGCTCCTGAGCAGGGCTCCCTGTGTCTCCTGCCCATCCACAGACTGGCTGGCTCGGGTCCTCTTCATGCCGTGTTGGGGGAGGCCTTCCAGATTCATCTTGCACGTTCTCCTTTGCTCCAGGCTGCTCCTGGGAAATGAAAACCCACGAATCAATGCCAGAAAAATGACCATCTCCACTCACCCTCGCCAGGAAACCAGCTTTCAACTCTCCCACCTTGGGCACAAGAGGCGCAGTGGGGCTTAAATTCCTTAAGTTCTGTCTTCTCTTGGGGTGTGCTTCCTATAGCTCAGGGCCAACTCATTAATTTATCTGTCAGGAGCACTGAGGCGGCCACGAAACATTGATGAGGCCATTAGGGCATGAGGGTGGACGGTAAAGTGTGGTGGGGGAGCCTGGACTGTGTGCCCCTGGCGGTGGATTTGGGGTGCATTCCCAGCTCCCGAGCACGAATGTGGCGCTGCTTCAGGCAGATCATCACACGCCGCTTGGAAGGCCTGAGTTAGGATTAATGGCCGGGCATTGTGCAGCTTTTCATCTCCCGCTTGTGAATATATATGAGCACTGTGTTCTCGCCGCAGCTGGAGTTAAAGAGCTGCCACCACCTCACTGAAGACTGGGAGAGAAACATTCAGCTCAGAAGCAATTTGGCTCCCAGGCTGGTCCCTGCGTGGTGGGCTTGTTTCTGCTTTTCCCTTGCTTATTGGTATAATTAAAGCAGTGGGGGCAGAAAAGGAGTTGGGGATCTTAGTGGCTGAGGATTCCATGTCTTTGAGGTCAGTAAGACTTGGGTTTGAATCCTAGCTCCACCAAAAGCTCTGTGATCTGGGGAAAAATTACTCAACCTCTCTGAGCCTCAGTTTTGCTGAGATAAAGCCACCTTCCTCAAGGCCTGGGTAGGGCTAAAGGAGATGATGTGAGTAGACTGTGGAGTTCCTAGCCCAGAGTTGGCTGCTGCAATTAGGGTTCTAGATCCAAGCAATAGAAACTGATTCTGGCTAATTGAAGCAGCAGAGAAATTTGCTGAAAGGGTATCAGGAGGTTGCAGAATTTCTGGGAGGGCTTGTGTCTTAGTCTGTTTTCACACTGCCATAAAGACATACCTGAGGCTGGATGAGGTGGCTTACACCTGTAATCCCAGCACTTTGGGAGGCTGAGGTGGGCTGGATCACTTGAGGTCAGGAGTTTGAGACCAGCCTGGCCAACATAGTGAAATCTCCATCTCTACTAAAAATACAAAAATTAGCCGGGCCCGGTGGTGTGTGCCTGTAGTCCCAGCTACTCGGGAAGCTGAAGCAGGAGAATTGTTTGAACCTGGGAGGCGGAGGTTGCAGTGAGCCAAGATCATGCCACTGCACGCCAGCCTGGGCAACAGAGCAAGACTCTGTCCAAAAAAAAAAAAAAAAAGACTTACCTGAGATTTATAAAGGAAAAATATTTAATTGACTCACAGTTCAGCATGGCTGGGAAAGACGCAGAAAATTTACAGTCATGGCGGAAGTTGAAGGGGAAGCATGGCACCTTTTTCAGAAGGCGGCAGGAGGGAAAATGAACACAGGCGGAACTACCAAACACTTGTAAAACCAGCACATCTCGTGAGAACTCACTATCATGAGAACAGCATGGCGGAAACTGGCCCCATGATCCAATCACCTATACCTGGTCTCTCCCTTAACACATGGGGATTATGGGAATTATAATTCAAGATGAGATTTGAGTATGGACACAAAGCCTAACCATATCAGCTTGGCTTTGTGACAATGTATACAGGACCACAGCCAAAGTCACAGCCTAGGCATGGTCTGGTGAGGACCCTCCACCACCTCCATGGAGCACCAGGGGCCCCATTTTGTGGGTCCTGGATACAGGATGCCACTGCAGCCACTACGAGGCCACTGTCCCCTGGGAACTGGATAGAGGCTGTTAGTAACCACGACCACAGGTTCTCCATTCGTCCTGCATCTGTCTATCTTGCATCTGTGTATCCTGCATCTGTGTGGCCAGCTCCAGACAAAAGGTCCAGGAAGGGCACATCCGGTTGTCAAGCCTGGTCACAAGCAATGCAGGCTGGCAGAGTGCGTCACTGGCATGCTTAGATTCTATATCGGGGACTTTTTCCAAACATACAGAGGGGAGGTGGATTCTGGATGGCCCAAAATAGCCATCTTCTTTGTGCTCTAGTATTGTCACTGGAGTTGGGACATACGCAAGGCAGTTCTCACCTGCCATTTATGTCCAGAGCCAGTTCCGATGGGTTCATGCCTGTGCCGATTGCTAAATGACACCCAGTGGACCTTCCACTGCTCTTTCCTGCTACATCTCTTCAAGGCGGGTCTCCACCAGCAGCATCCCCACTATTGGCTGGAACAACAGCAGTGCCCCCAAGGAAATGGAGAACTTTGGTGCCCATGAAGGAAGTCCACAGCCTCACTGAGTCAGGGTCCTCCAGAGAAACAGAACCAACAGGAGATTTTTACATCATGTAAAATTTTATATGCGTGTGTGTGTATGTGTGTGTGTGTGTGTGTATGTGTGTGTGTGTGTGTGTGTAAAAATTTATCATGAAGAGCTGGCTCTCATGGTTATGGAGCCTGAGAATTCCCAAGATCTAGAGTCAGCAAGCTACAGACTGGAGACCCAGGAGAGCCAATAGCATAGTGACAGTCTGAGACCAAAGGCCTGAGAGCCAGGAGAGCCAGTGGTGCAAGTTCTAATCAGAAAGCCAGCCGGCTTAGGACCTAGGCTGAGTCTAGGCTGGAACAGATCCATTTCTGAGCCCAAGCAGTCAGGCAGGAGGAATTCACTCTACTCAGCCTTCTTGTTCTATTCAGGCCTTTAACTGATTGGACGAGGCCGACCCACATCAGGGAGTCCATCTATCGGCTTTACTCTGTCTACAAATTCAAATGGGAATCTCATCCAGAAACACCCTCACAAAGGCAGCCAGAATAATGCTTGACAAACGTCTGGGCACCTTGTAGGGCAGTCAAATTGACCATAGAATTAACCATCATACCCACCCAGTGAAAAACACCAAGATCTTTTTTGTTTGTTTGTTTGTTTGTTTTTGAGACAGTCTCACTCCGTCACCCAGGCTGGAGTGCAGTGGCACGATCTTGGCTCACTGCAACCTCTACCTCCCGGGTTCAAGCAATTCTTGTGCCTCGGCCTCCCTAGCAGCTGGAAGTACAGGTGCCTGCCACCACACTCACTAATTTTTGTATTTTCAGTAGAGATGGGATTTTACCATGTTGGCCAGGCTGGTCTCGAACTCCTGACCTCAAGTGATCCACCCAACTCGGCCTCCCAAAGTGCTGGGATTACAGGCGTGAGCCACCGCACCTGGCCAAAAACACCAAGATCTAAGCAGAGAGAACCAAGCAGAAGTGGGGAGAGATCCCCTTTCCAAGATCCTCTTCCGGAGCTTTGTTCTCTATCAACTTCAAGGACATTTATAATAGTGGTTAGGAGCCCACTGTGAATCCAGACCCCCTGAGTTCAAATCCTGCCTCTGCAATGGAGAAGCTGTGTGATGCTGGACAAGTCAGTGAAACAGTCTGTGCCTCCATTTTCTCATTTTCAAAGCGGGGATAATAATAACACCCTCCTCATAGAATTGCTTTGAGGGTTGAGTGAGCTCATATATGTAAAATACTAGGTGCTGGGCAAACAGTAGATACTTAATAAGTGTGAGTTACCTTCATTCCCCTCCAGGAGATAGGATGCTGCAGGATTGGGTTACAGCTGTAATGTTGAAAGTGCATAGTTAGGTGGGAATGAAGTGGCCATGAGATGGTGTGGACTTGTCAGGAGAGCTGGGACTAGGAAGCTAGCCCTGCTGCCAGCTCCAGGTCTCACAGGGGTCTTGTTGGAGATTCCAAGATGAGAAGATCCAAGGACAGGCAGATTCTGTCTGGCGGCTACCTTTGGGAAACTTAAATTCCTGCCCAGATCCTGCCTTTGCCCTGACCGAGGCATCTCCGTGAACAACAAAGACATTCATGAGTCTGGCATGAGTCTAGTGCAAAGCCTGGCACTTCGGAGTGGCCAAAGATGCCATCTTGAGCTAGCTTGAGTCCCTTGGCCCGAGCGTATTGTCTCATCTCCTAAACTGGTCCTTGGCTGTGGGCTTGGTGACCATTTTAAGGCCTTTTTGACAGCAGCAGAAATCCGATTCCTTGTCAGCACAGGCCTGCGATTCTCTGTACCCACCCTCTGCCTCCACCTGTTAGGACGCTATCCCGACAGTCATTCAAAGACAAAATCCCAGAGTTCTGATTCCTGAGCTCACTGGATTCTGAAGTAAGACTGGTGCTTCTAGCCACAGCACCCTGAATCCCACATTAGCTCTGATCAAGAACTTCAAAAAGTTAAGGAGACCACCAGTCCCTCCCCTCCTAGGTATCTAATGCAGAAAGACCTTCATCTGTGGACCCAAAGGCTTTCTTTGGGAGGGTGACAGCCTCCTAGGGAGAAAGACATTGTGGTTTCTGGAGTTCAGGTCCCTAAACCGCTTTCCTCAATTTTGAGAGAAGGGGCACTGTCTCTAGAGTATGTTGCAGCCAACAGGACAAGAGCCCCCTGGACCATGCAAACCATTCCTTTGCCTTCAGAAAACACCTGCTCCCAACCAGAAGTTGGTGCCCACACAGCACTAGTGCCAAGCTTCAGGGGAGGGGGCCTCAAGTTTGGGTTTCCCCAAAAGCAGATGCTGAGACAAGGATTTGGGTGCAGGTAGCTTATTTGGGGGCATGAGGGGAGTGGGGAGACTGCGGCAGGGAAGGTGGGAAAGCCAGTAGAAGGTGTGTAAATGAGTGGGTCACTGCTGTGGGCCTCTGGCCCATCCTGCCCCCCAAGGTGAGGGCCCCTCTGCATTAGAGACCTAGGATAGGAGGGGCTGGCAACCTCCTCAACTTCCTGAAGCTCCAGTGAGATTCAATGAGGGATTCAGGGCCGTTTGGGTACAAGTACCAGTCCCAGCTCAGAATCCAGCCCTGAGGCCCGTGGCCCACAGGGGAGCCTCTGTGAGACTGTGGGGAACATGTCTCAGGACTGGGGTCCTTCCCACGGACTCTACCACTTTGGCTGGGGGTTGCTCCTGGAGGATGAAGATGAACCCACAGGGGTTGGCAGCCTGCTCCATGACTAAGATCACCTTCAGGTCAAGGATGGGACCCGCCTACAGATGGCCTCTGCAGTAGACTAAGGGGCTATGGGTGGGCACTGACTGCGTTGGCTAGGGAGAGCTTCTGGAAGCCAAGGGACCTTGCCTGACATTCAAACAGGTGGCCAGGGGTTCATACAGGACTGTGTGGCTGCCCTGGGTGGCCCAAACACAGTGACTCCTGGGTCAAGCCCCCTTTCTCATGCTCCATCTCCCCTTCCCACCTTGCGTGATCTCTGCACGGCCAGCCCAGGGACATTTTGCTTCCTAGAAGAAGCAGGGAAACTGGCCAATGCCAGGAATCTAGCCTCTGCAGGCCAAGGGGAAAAGAAGAACAGAAAAGGAGAACCCTTAAAATATCCCTCAACTGTTTAAGGATTGGAGATCTGCACTAAATCTTGAGAAAAAGGAGTAATTACACTGTCAGCAAAGGTGATATAATTTTTAAGACTCAGTTCCACAGCCGTAATTTTTCCTCATCCTCCCCGTGTCTCCTGGGGGATTTAGGGGCCAATTACCTGTCAGTTTGCCGAGAGGTGCTGTTCCCAGGCAAGAAGCCGTCACTTGCCACAGCTTTCATAGAAAATCAGTTGGCTGGGAGGGGCACCCAGGGCTGTGAGGGCCACACCATGGGCAGCCAGAGGGGAGCGGGGGAGGACAGAGCACTGCTGGCCTCTGACCAGCCCTCAGCAAGAGAACGCCATCTAGGCCTCTATCCTAGCAAGGCCAATCCAGACAGAGGCTTGGGGTGAAGGCTTGGGGGGTCGTGCAGGGAGCAAAAAGGTTCTGGGGTCCCCGGGCAGAGGGGCTTTTCTAACAGAATCTGAGCATCTCAGGGCAGACCAGGTCCTTCCAGCCCAGTGTGAGGTTGCCATACAGAGGTGAAGCAAGGGTGGCCCTAAACACAAGAGCTCTGAAGTTGGGGGCAGCCTGAAGGGAATCCTGGCCCTATGTGATCTCAAGCAGTTTCTTAACCTCTCTGTGCCTGCAGATTCTTAGGGAAAAATGGGTTAAGAAGGAGACCCACCTTATCAGGCTGATGGTAATTACATTTTAGCCTTACCTCCACCTAGTGCTTGATTCCTGCCAGGGGTCGCCCAGCCTCTCTTGAATACCTCAGTAGACAGGGAGCTCACTAGGTGGAGAGGTGATCCATTTGCTTTGGACCACAGGGCTGACCCGGACTGAGTCAGAATTTCTTCTTAGTGTTCCCCCATTGGTGCCCCGTTAACCCATCTCAACCCTTAATCGTGTGCCCCAAGCTCTAGGGCTCAACTATCAACACCAGCTACCCACTCCCCGCCACTCAGGAGCATCACAATCAGCCACTCCAGCTGTCCTCGGGCTCTGAAACATACAAAGTTTCTACTCCACCAAGACAGTCTGGGCACCCCTGGGCTGGGGGACTTGACCCTGGGATACCCTCCCTGCCTGTTTATCCTGAACTTAGGATGTGTCTTTGAGGATCAGTGGAGTCATCTTGTCTTTATCTCTTTTCCTGCTCCCTCCTTGTTCTCAAGGCCCCAGAAATTCCTTGGAGCCTCTCTCTAAAATCATATGACTCTGGAGGCCTAATTAGCTTGGGCTTCCTTCTGGTTTGGGTTTCTCCCTGGGGCATGTTCCCATTCTGGTCAGTAGAGGATGCTGTGCTCCATGGCATCAGTGCCACCAGGCCATGCTGGGCACTGTTGGGAGGTGGGGATTCAAAGACAGGTACCACATGGTCGGGACCCACCAGGGGCTCACTTCTCCTCCAGGGACCTCTTGCTGTCCCAGGAGCATCTCATGGGAGGAATGTGGCCACTGGGCTATAGGTTAGTGTGGGGCACAGTAGGAAACCAATATTCTGCCAGGAGAGCCCCCTCCTTTGCCCTTCCCTCAGGGTGAGCACAACTTCTTCATCCAGAGACAGTATGAGTAGGTCATACTGACAGTATGAGTAGGACAGTATGAGTATGAGTATGTGAAGGTCACACAGCCCTGCAGCCAGACCATCTAGTTTAAATCCTGCCTCCTCCATTCCCAGGCTATGTAATCATTGCTCCATGCCTCCGTTTCCGCATCTGTTCAATGAGGATAATATTTGAGTTAAGTGACTTGAATGCACGTGGAGCATTTAAGAAGTGCCCCATGTGTGTCAGCCCTAAGCTTTTGGTCATTTGTCCTTGACCCCAGACTTTCTGCCCCTTGGGGATACAAAAGTCCCTCAAGTAACTGTACCATCCTCCTTGGAGAGCAAGGGGGCTGGGCTCTCTACCCCACACTGGGCTGGAAGGGCCTGGTCTGCTCTGAGATGCTCAGATTCTTGCTCTCCTTGGAGAGCAAGGAGGATAGTGCAGTTACTTGCAGGACTTTTGCATCCCCCAAGCTGCTCATCAGAAGATTCCTTTCACCCTCACCAGGATCTCTAGCAGTATTCCAGTGATTTCTACTGAGCTGTGTGAGCTGGCATTTGGGCACCTGCCCTATCTAGCTGCCCTGCCTGCTGACCTGGCTCTGATGTGGAGGTCACTTCCTCCAGGAAGCCTTCCTGGGTTTGTAGGATGAGAGGAACAGGCTCTATCCATGCCACATCTTCAAGACATCTGATGATATGTACTCCAATCTGTTCCACTCTGAGATTTTTTTAGACCTTGTCACTTGGAGACCCGGAATTTGAACCCCTGACAAAATGCATGAGTCACTAATGTCCACTCTTCTATCTAATGGCTATCTTCCCTTTTCTCTGTAGAAATACACAAAGTCATATAAGTCATTCATTTCTTTAAGTTTTGTGATTTGGGTATTTTATAGTTACAGCTTCCAACTAAGGTTGTGAATCTCAGACTGTAGGGATGGGGACTGTCTGTTTGAATTGCTGTCCCCACACCCACACCTCCACCCCCACCCCAGCCTCGGGACCAGAAGGTTCTTTACAGAAACCAACACCGGAGCTGGAAGAACTGTCTAACCCCTACCCCTTACTTTCACAGGTGGGAAGACACTGCCACTGTCAAATGCACACAGTTAGGGTGAACCCAAGGGCCCTCCCTTGTTCTGGGATCATCTTGTCTTGCTAGGCTGCTTTGATGGGGGTCTCACGTGCCCAGGTGGGTGTTTCCTCCAACTTCTGGGCCTGAGCATCCATGCTCTGTCTTCCTTTCGCCTCCCACCTTTGCCTGTGGCTCTCAGGCAGCTCTTCCTGGCTCCAGCCATTCCCCTCCACCTGGAAGAAAGAAAGAGAAAAGGGAAGGGCTGCCTGAGGGAACAGGGCCTTCCTCATGCAACCTCTTCAGCTTTGTTCCAACCTTCAGTGAGTGCTCAAGAAACGGAAGAAGTAGCAAAGAATTGGAAAAGTTTGGGGCAGGATGAGGAGGCTAGAAAAGCCTTAAAGAGCCACAGGATAATGAAAAGTGTCCATCCTAGTAACTGGGAAGGAATCTTCCCTCCATCCACTCACCTGCCCACACACCATGGACCCACAAGACACACCAGGATCTAACAGGCCACCTTTCTCTAGCAGTCCAATCTTAGGGAGCATTTGCAAAGGGTACAACCATCAATCTACCCAAGGCTCTTCCCTCATTAGAGCCATGGAGAGCTGTGGTTGAGCATGGGGTAGTGGTTAAGGGTAGGGGCTTAGTTAAGGGTAGTGGTTAAGTCAGGGCAACCTGGGTGTCATCCAGCTCATGATCCTATGGCAGGTGCCATGACTGCAAGTGCTACATCAATAGAATGGAGATGAACAGTATCAGGTTATGGGGAGATTTAAATGAAATAAGGCATCACAACACCAAGCACGTGGCACGCAGAAAGGCTCAATAAACACATTGTTTCTATTTTTACTGGAAAACAGAAGGAGAAGGAAGTTCACCGCTCTTTCTCCACTTCTCACATCTCAGAGCGCTTGATTTCCGGCCACTGGGGGGACATCCAGGTTTCTGGATGGGAAAGCAGGGACCCCTCCCCAGTACCTGAAGGCCAGCCCCGCTCCCAGGAACCACGGGAGCTGCATGTGTAAGCTCTGCGCATGATCTAAGCAGTTAGGAAAATCATTAAGTGCTAACTTTTCATTTTTTAAATGAAGTTCTGGAGTTAGAGATTTATAATTGCTAATGAGCCAGACTAATAATTAGTTGCTTTATAATAAGGGTGATGATCACTCAGACAGAGGTAGAGAGAGCCAGGCTCTGGCCTGATTTTTCTCCTGTAATTATGTGACATGCCCAACTGCATGGAACTCCTCTTCCCCTTCTGTTCTTTTGCTCCACTGTAGTGCCAAACTTCCCTGGCACTGTCCCCACACCCACACCTCCACCCCTACCCCAGCCTCGGGACCCTGAGTGCCCAGTGCCTCCTCCCGAGCAGCTGTTGTCCACTGCCTGCCTCCTCTGATGTCCTGTGACCTGAGTCCATCTACCCTTTCTCGGTACCAGGGTGGGCTGGAGGGCTGGCTCCCAGGGGATGCAGAGCCAAGCTGGGCTGGCAGCCAAGTGAAGAGGGCTGGGATTGAGCGGACTCTTGTCTGTGGGCTGCTGCCTCCAGCTGTCACCTTGGAGGGAGGTGGAGACTCCTGCTATCCTCCATGGTGGCCTACAGCCCGAGGGAGGCTGGCAGTAGAGCTGTTCCCCAGCAGACAGAACGGGGGCCTCAAAAGGCCATGAATTAAACTACCCTGGTGATGGAAAGCAGGGGGCCAGGAGAGACAGCCAGCCCAGGGGACAGGCTGCCCAACCCCCATGACCTTCAGGGGTCTTCCCAGTTTCTCGAAGGTGGATTGGAAAGAGCTCTGGAGGGCATGCTGTGACATGGTTTAGAGTCACGCCCACCATTATCTGGCTGTGCGACCTGGGCAAGCCTCTTGATGTTCCAGGGCCCAGATTCACCTGGGTGTAAGGTGACAAAGCTGGACTAAGAATAAAGTCTTCCTGGTCACTGAGCCTCTATACGTTGCTTTGACATGGGCATGGCTTTAAGAAGAATGCAGGAGAACACAAATTTGTCCCCTTCCAGCAGTGCTGAAGCCTCTAGCACCCCTTGGGACATGGGGGCTCACAGGAGGGAAGGGTCCCAGGGGAGCCAGTGAGGGAGCTGATGGAGACAGGCACAGAGACAGACAGGTCCTCTGTCACCGTTCGCTTGTGGCTCTGGACTTAAATATTTATACCGTTTGGAAGTAGACCAGCTCTCCAGCAGCCTGTGACTTTAGCCTCAAGTAATTGGTATCTGTTTTGAACCAAACAGGTTAACTATTCATTTTTCCCTGGTGAAAATGGTGATTCCCTCACTCCTACCATACATACTTCCTACAGCCTCTTGAGGCTAAGGAAGTTCTCTGTGACTTGGGAATTATTTTAGTAAGAAAGCGGACACCTCTGTGCACAAAGCACAAAAGATACACCAACCTAATGTGAGCTCTACCTTAGAGTCCATGACAGAATTCAAGGGGTCTGCACACTTGGGTGGAGAATAATACATCCTTATTCTCACTGGCCTCAAATAAAAGTTATCATTTACTTCTGTTATGAAGATGGACAACAAACCACAGAAATATTAGCAACAACCGAGACTTTTGCACCAATGGAAAACACAGATATTTTCATATTACATTTTAGTTGTCGTAGATATCTCAAAATATTGTTTCTGCTCATCACTACTTTGAAATTATGGTAGCCATTAGACCTGTTAGACCTGCTGCTAAATCTTGCTATTTAACATGTTAATAAAGGAGCACACAAATGAACAGATATTCAGTTTTTAAAATGCAAATCGGCCAAGTTTGGTGCCTTACTCCTGTAATCCCAGCACTTTGGGAGGCTGAGGCGGAAGGATTACTTGAGCCCAGGAATTCAAGACCAGCCCAAGCAACATGGAACAATCTTGTCTCTACACACACATAAAAAAATACAAAAATTAGCCAGGCATGGTGGCATGTGCCTGTAGTCCCAGCTACTCGAGAGACTAAGGTGGGAGGATCGCTTGAACCCAGGAGGTTGAGGCTGCAGTGAGTCAAGATCATACCACTGCACTCTAGCCTGGAGCAAGACCCTGTCTAAAAAAACAAAAAACAAAAAAACAAAACCACACACAAATTACTACAGATTTGCTCTTTTGAATAGTTTGATAGCCATGTCATAATATAATTTCTCTCCTTTGTAACTCTATATATTTTGTTCTCCCTCCTCCCTCTTCCCACTCCATATTTAAGATCCACACTTTCCTCCCCTCATCTCTTCCCAACACGGGGCACGTTGGAAAATCACTGTTGACCAGAGACTGACAGATCATGTTGGACACGACCCAGAGGAGGCCAGAACCCCAGGGGGAGAAGGTGTTAATGTGATCCAGGGAGAGTGTATTAGTCCATTTTCACGCTGCTGATAAAGACACACCTGGGACTGGGTTTATAAAGAAAAATTTATAAAGACTAAGAGGTTTAATGGACTTACAGTTCCATGTGGCTGGGGAGGCCTCACAATCATGGCAGAAAGTGAAAGGCACATCTTACATGGCGGCAGACAAGAGAGAATGAGAGAGCCAAGTGAAAGGGGTTTCCCCTTATAAAACCAGCAGCTCTCTTGAGACTTATTCACCACCACGAGAACAGTATGAGGGAAACTGCTCTCATGATTCAATGATCTCCCACTGGGTTCCTCTCACAGCACATGGAAATTATGGGAGCTACAATTCAAGATGAGATTTGGGTGGGGACACAGCCAAACCGTATCCGACAGGGAAGGAAAAGACATGAGGAAGACAGACACTGAGGGCTCTGCCCCCACCAGCTCCCGTGTGGCCCAGGCAATGGCCACACAGGTGCCTAAAGTCTGGGTGGGGCAGTGGCTGGCCAGAACACTAAACAAGCATCCGCACACCAGAAACAGCAAACAGACAAAACATCTTCTGGAGTCCTGAGTGGGGCTGACTGTGGGGTCCAATCCACAACTACTGCTGGTTTCCTCCAGTCTGGTGGCTAGGTATGCAGGGAGAGCCGCTGGTGGGCCCAAGTGGACAGCAAGATTTCTTGGTGCTGACTCTTCTGGTCACTTCCTACCAAGGTAAAGAGCATGTTTCAGGAATACACTTGTGTCCATTTTATTCAACAAGTATACTGAGCATCTCCTAACGGCATGATGTTGAACACAGTAGTCAGGCACAACCCCACTCAGGAGCTCAGGATAGAGCGATGGGGAGGCGGGGGGAGCACCATTAGGAAAATAGCATGCCAATAATTAATGACCGTTAATCGATAAATAATGACAAATAGTCGATGTTTGGGGCAGTGAGAGACTATAACAGAAAACCTGATATCATACAATAAGCTCAGCTCTTACAGGTGCCCCTAGACTGCCACTGTGACGTGTCATTCACTTCTGATCTTTCATTTTGTAGCAAACTTAAAATTCAAGATGAGATTCCCTGGACCCACCACGGTCACCACACTCCCTGGACTTTTCAGAACAGCTCTGATTTCAAGAATTCTATTCCTTTGTTCTCATAAACCATAGAAACGTCAATATTTTCAGCAACCAAACAATGTCTCCTAGATTGCCTTCTCTCAAATCCACTTGCACGCAAATCTTCCAGGGCTCCGGGTCCTGATTTGAGGTTTGGAAAATGTGTTGTGGGGGAATTATACTGCTCAGCCACTACTGCTTCCTCCTCCCCTAACTCCCACCCTTCTCTGTCCAGTCCCCCACCGTCTATCTCAGACAGTGCTTACGCAGGAAATGAAAAGCCGTTTGGAAATTAGAGTAAGCAAAACAGAATAAGCGAGACAGGTTGTGGTGTAGAGAGGTCACATAATTCATTCTCAAGCCCAGTGGAAAAAAAGTGTTTCTTTCCTGCCGTTTGTATAGAAAATTGAGCATTTTCTGTTTCCTCACCCAGTACAGTCTGTCTTCAAAGACTCTGGGTACACTAGAGGAGAGGAGTAAGTTGTAACGGATGGAGTAATTGGGCGAATTAAGCCTGGAAGTAAAATTCTTTCTACTTGGAAGGGGCAGGACTCTGCAGAGGAGGCAGGCAGCATTTCACTGAGGTGGGTTTGGGCAGGGGTGTTTTGCTTTTGTTTTTCAAATAAGAAGAAAGATTTCTTTATTAATGGCAGTTGTAGAATAGACTTGCAGTCCTCTAGGAAACCACCGGTGATCAGGGTCATGGTTCATGAGGATGATGGGTAACAGCTGTCATTTATTGAACACATACTACGTGCCAGGACCCAGGAAAGCGTTTTATATGGGCTGCCTCATTTAACCCTAACAGCCCTACAGAGCACGTACTGTTTCTAACGAGAAACTGAGAATTGAAAGAGATAAACATCTCATTCACTATCACACTGCAGGTGAGCCCGGGAGCCAAGATGTGAATCTCAAAGCCCGTCCCCAGCCCTCACTCTTAGACACCGCCCTGTGCTGCGAAGGGCAGGGCCATGCCAAAGTTCAATAGCACCTAGGTAGAGGGAAGACTTTCTGGAAGAGACACACCCCTAAGCAAAATTTTAGAAAGGACGTATTCTAGCCTGGCAAATGTCAAGAGGGAAGAAAAAGGAAACGGCGGCTGTGTCCATCTCACAAGTAGCTGGTATTGTGTCAGAATCTTTACCTACGCTCTTGTTTAAGCCTGAAGACGTGAGTTAGGTATAATGACTCCCATTTGACAGATGAGAAAACTGAGGCCACACCGTAATCGAAGATTCGAGTCAGTTTATGGAAGGACCAACCTCCTGACACTCATCCCCATATTCTGTTCAGGGCTTCACTTAGCAAGCCAGCAAGGCAGGGAGAGTTCAGAAGGTTGGCAGGGAACGACTGGCAGAAGCATCAAAAAATTAAGTTAAAAATCGGCTCCAAAACACCTCCTCCAAGAATCCTGCAAAAATTGGTAGCGGGCTTGGTTTTCATGGCACCTGAGAACCTTGAGCCCAGCAGACCCTTTAACAAACACTTGTTGAATAAAACCTGTGAACAAGTGACTGAATTTTAAGGTCACCTTTTTAAAAGCAGGCGTTGTCTCTTGATTGGGGTCCCTCACCCATCTCTTTGGCCCTAGTTCTGTCTTGTCTCTCTCCGCCCGCCTCTTATCTATCACGCTCGCTTTTCCTGCCTTCTCTCATTAGCGCTGGAAGGGAAATGCGCCACTCCAATTCTCCGGCTGCCTCCTCACTGCTGTTGAGCTTCAGAGCACAGTATTTAAATCCTGTTAAATAACCTGTTTTCATGGGCAATCACAGCCAGGTTAGTAAATTCCCCACACGCTCACGCTTTAGACAAAACCGACATCCCAGGTCCACAGAAAATTGGCCATTGTCCTTTAATGGTGAAATTGAACTGAGCAAATGGTGGCACTTTAAAAGAAAGTCGTTGCCATTCACACAAAAAGTTCAGCCTACTGCTCTGGAAATTTCCAGTTCACAGCCCATTTCTCTCCAGGTATAAAGGAGAAAATAAATACCCTTGCAAGGCAAGTGATTAATTTCAGCCAGCATTTTTGAGGCTCCTGCTGATGGCTGGCTCTCGGGCTCTTAATCGGTGGCCCTGGCCAGGTGGGGGGTCCCATCTCTGGGATTTCAAACTGGCAGCTTCTCTGCTTCCACGTGACTGCGAGTCACAGGAGGAATATGCCTCTTGTCATGCTCCAGAAGATGGAGAGGCAGTGAGCGGAAGAAGCTGGGAATTACTCATTTTTTTTCATGACTCTAATGGGCTACGAACCTAGCTTCTGTCATGTTCTCCACCACCACCTCCATGCCTTTAATAGGCACCACTGTGTGCATGGCTGCACATTAAGGGGACTGTAGAGAGATGCCAAGAGGTATATGAGCGTGCCTCCATTGGTGAAGGGATTCAGTAGCTTTATTATTATTATTATTATTATTATTATTATTATTATTATTATTATTATTTTTAGAGACAGAGTCTCACTCTGTCGCCCAGGCTTGAGTGCAGTGGCACCATCTTGGCTCACTGCAACCTCTGCCCCCTGGGTTCAAGTGATTCTCCTGTCTCAGCCTCCCAGGTAGCTGGGATTACAGGCGCCTGCCACCATGCCCAGCTAATTTCTTGTATTTTTAGTAGAGACGGGGTTTCACCATCTTGGCCAGGCTGGTCTTGAACTCCTGACCTCATGATCCATCCGCCTCGGCCTCGCAAAGTGCTGGGATTACAGACGTGAACCACCACACCCAGCCAGTAGCTTTATTTGATCCTGAGGGTGGCTCAGAAGATGCCTAGACTTCCTGCCACTAGTAGATGGTTTAGATCCAAGCCTTTAGTTTTTTATTTTATTTTATTTATTTATTTTTTTATTTTTTTGAGATGGAGTCTCACCCTGTCACCCAGGCTGGAGTGCAATTGCACTATCTCGGCTCACTGCAACCTTCACTTCCCAGGTTCAAACTTCTGCCTCAGCCTCCCGAGCAGCTGGTACTACAGGTGCCTGCAACCATGCCCAGCTAATTTTTGTATTTTTAGTAGAGACAGCGTTTCACCATCTTAGCCAGGCTGGTCTCGAATTCCTGACCTCGTGATCCTCCCACCTCGGACTCCCAAAGTGCTGGGATTACAGGTGTGAGCCACTGCGCCCAGCCAAGACTTTGGTTTTTGTTATACGTGGGCAGCACCCAGAAATGGCACTCATCTCCCATTTGCCCTAAACCAATAACACCTTGTGAATCAGTCATCGACTACTGTGTAACAAATAACCCTAAACTTGGTGTGGCCTCAAACAACAACCATATACTCAGTCTCAATTCTGTGGTTTGCCAATTTACAGTGGACTCAGCTGGTCTGAGATGTTCTACTGAGCTTCACTGAGCTCAGCTGCATTCATCTGCACAACTGCTGGGTGGGCTGGAGGCTGGTTGGCCTAGCTGGGCCATGGGCTAGTTCAGGCTTGTTCACAGGTGGTCTTAGTGTTCCACGGTCAAGAGTGGAGGCTTCATGGCCTTAGAGTGGACACATTGTCACTTCTACCAGCTTCTGTTGACCACAGCAAGACAAATGGCCAGTTCAGATTCAAGGGGTGGTGTAGTAGTTTGAATAGTGTCCCCAAAAAATGCGTGTCCATCTGGAACCTCAGAATGTGACTTTCCTTGGAAATAGGGTCTTTGCAGATGTAAATAATTAGGGATCTCCAGGTGCAAACATCCTAGATTTAGAGTGGGCTCCAAATCCAATGACCGGCATCCTTGTAAGAAGAGAGGAAGACACAGAGACAGAGAGACACAGTGAGAAAGACACACAAAGTCAGAGGCAGAGATTGGAGTGATGGAGCTACAAGCCAAGCAAGTCCAAGGATTGACACCAGGAGAGAGATCTGGAGTGGATTCTCCCCTAGAGCCTTCAGAGAGAGCATGGCCCTTCCAACAACTTGACTTTGGACTTATTCTGTTGTTTCAGCCACCTGCTTTATGGCAATTTGCTACAGCAGCCCTAGGAAGCTAATATGGGAGGGAAATAGACTCCAGCTCTTGATGGGGGAAGATGCAAAGTCATATTGCAAAGGATGAGAATACAGGAAGGCAGGGGGAAGTAGAGCCTCTTTTGCAATCTTGCACCTTGGTTTACCAGTCCCCACTTTGTTCCTGGCAGGTGTCTTAAAACCGAAGAGCATCACAGAATGCCAGACACCAGACACTCACCACACGCAGTGGGTGCTATTTCTGCACCAGGCTCCAGAGAGTGCGTTCCTGGGTGCTGACGCTCCTACAGCTGCCTCCTCTGCAACAGCCTCTCTTCCCTGTACAGATTCCTCACCACATCCAGCCAAATTGCCTTCATCTCAGCAGAGGCTGTAGAAGGCAGACGGCCAGGAGAGTGGGGCCGTCAATGCACTGGGTACAGCAGTGATCCTCCAGGATTTTCAACACCTCAGGTCCTAGTGGCCTGGGATGATCTGACCCCAGACACCCTCCCCAGATGCAAGTCCATCCCCAATGCACAGGAAGGAATACATCTCTGGATTGACTAAAACATCATACTGGAAAGGAAGTTTGACAGAGGAAGGTCATTCTCATTCCACAGGCACTTCAAAGACAGGCTTCTCTCTTGGGAGTCGAGCTGTAGCTTCCATGAAGTTTTCAGCACGTTTTCTGAATACCCACCTGTCATCGATGCTTGGAGGTGCAAAGTGGGTTGGATGACTGAATCCTGCCCTTGAGAGCTGACACTGTCACCAACGTTGTTGAGATGGGCTGGAGTCACCCACTGAGCACTCAGTGACTGGTACGCCAAAGGCCAAGGCCTCACGGTGGACACCATGATGAAAACAACATACAATTAGATGGGAGGAAAACATTCTGTTCTTCTCTGGCACAGAAGAGTGGCTATTGTTAATACTAATGTACGGAATATTTCAAAATACCTAGAAGAGAGGACTTCGAATGTGCTCACCGCAAAGACATGACAAATATTGGAGGTGATGAATTTGCTAATTACCCTGATTTGATCCTTACACAAGCTATACATGTGTGGACACATCACACTATACCCCATAAATATGTACAACTATATGTTCTTTTTAAAAGATGGAAACGATGCCAATGTCCATCAACTGGTGAATGGATAAACGGAGTGTGTGTGTCCATATGATGGGATCGCATTTGTCCATGTAAAGGAAGGAAGTGCTGATACACGCCACAGCGTGTGTTGGTGGACTGCTCGGGGCCCATGCACACCTTGTGTCCAGGCTTCCTCTTGCAGGACCAGGATCTTCCCTGTCTCCTTCCACGTTGCTGAAGAGTCACCCTGCATCAGGCAGTGGATCACAGTGGCAGAGTGATGAGCTTGATAGACAAGGAGCAGCCTTCAGGGAGCTTTCACCCAGTAGGGGAAATGGATGAATAACCAACAACAACACCTACTTACAGCTTGTGAAGGTGCCAAAAAGAAACCAGAAAGGTGCCCTGGGAGAGGGGAGCTGGGGTGGGGATAGTGGGTGAGAAGGAGTTGAAATCTGAGCTGGGACATGAGGAACTGTGCTATACAGGGTTGAATAGTGCCCTCCCCTGCCCCCACCACCATTCATATTTTCTCCAGGAACCTCAGAATTTTTTTTTTTTTTTTTTTTTTTTAAAGAATCAGGGTCTTAGTGTGTTGCCCAGGCTGGTCTTGAATCCTGGCCTCAAGCAATCCTCCCACCTTGACCTCCCAAAGTGCAGGGATTGCAGCGTGTGCCACCATGCCCTGCCAGAATATGATCTTATGTGCAAATAGGATCATTGCAGATGTAGTTAATGTGAGGTCATACTAGAGTAAGATGGGCCCTTAACCCAATATGATTTGTGTCCTCATATGAAGGGAGAAGAGACACAGCCATGCACAGAGGAAAGACAGTGAAAGCACAGACACGCAGAGGGAGATGGCCTCGTGACAACAGTGGCAGAGGCTGCAGCGATGCAGCTACAAGCCAGGGAACCCGGAGGATTGGTGGTAACCACCTGCAGCTGGAAGAGGCAAAGAGGATGCTCTCCCACAGCCTTCAGAGGGAACAGGCCCCTGGCAAGACCTTGACTTTAGAGCTGGGCCTCCACAATGATGAGAGAAGCCATTTCTGTTGTTTGAAGGCACCCAGTTGATGGCAATTGGTTACAGCGTCCACAGGAGGCTGAAACAAGAGCGAAGACTGTTCCAGCAGAGGGAGGAGCCAGCGCAGATGACTTCACGAGAAAGTTCCTAGGCCTGCTGGAGCAGCGGCCGGGACGCCCAAAGGAGCGGGAGCCCTACAGGCAGGCAGGGATGGTCCCAGAAGGAGTTGGTGCCCAGCCACAGGGTCTTGTAGACCATGGTGATGATGTTTGTTTTATTCTAAGAACGCTGGGAAGTCATTGAAGGATTTTACAAGAAAGATGAAACATGATTTGAAGTTCATTTTTGAAAGATCGCATCAGCTGCTCTGTGAAGAGGAGTTTTGAAAGAGGCAAGAGAGGAGGCAGGACAGCCACTGTGGCCTGCAGGTCCTCAAACGATTACACAGAGTTACCGTGTGACCCACAGTTCCACTCCTCTGTATAGACCCACGAGAAACGAAAACATATATTCATACAGAAACCTGTACAAAATGTTTAAAGCAGCATTATTTGTAATAGCCCAAAGATAGAAACGACATAAATGTCCACCAATGAATCCATACAATGAGGTAGTTATTTGGCCATAGAAAGGAATGAAGTGCCGATAGGACAGCATGAATGAACCCGGGAACCATCACGATAAGTGAAGGAAGCCATTCACAAAAGACCACGGATTGTATGATTCCATTTAGACAAAATGCCCAGAAGAGGCAAATCTCTAGAGACAGAAAGTAGATTACTAGTTGCCTAGGGCTGTAAGGGTGAGCGTTGGGGAGGGGAGATAGCTGAAGGGTCAGAGCTTCTTTTTGAGGTGATACAAATGCTGTAAAATGGACCACGGTGACGATTGCAGCTACATGGAATATACTAGCAACCATTGAATTGTATACTTTTTTTTTTTAAGTGAAAGCAAGCTTATTAGAGAAGTAAAGAAACAAAAGCATGGCCACTCCATAGGCAGAGTAGCCTGAATTGTCCACTTTAAATGGGAGAATTACATAATATATGAATTACATTTCAATAACGCTGTTTAAAAGAAAAAAAAAAGAGTGAAATCTCAGAGGAGGCCACTGAGCACTCTGGTGGAAGAAAATGGTGACTTAGGCCAGGGTCATAGAAGTAGAGACAGCAAGAAGGGATGAAAACAGTGGATTGTGGAGGCCGAATAGACAACCGATGAATAGGTCAACACCTGCTGTCCATCTGTACGAGGGAATATTATTCAGCCATAAAAAGAAATGAAATGAACCTTGCTGCAACATGATGTTAGGTGAAATAAGCCAGACACAAAGGCCCCATATGGAATGATGTCACTTACACGAGGTTTCTACAATAGGCAAATTCATAGAGACAGAAAGAATGGAGGTTACCAGGAACTGGGAGGAGAAAAGAATGGGACATTATTATCTCACAGTTCCAGAATTTGTTTGGGATGATTTAAAAAAAAAAAAAAAAGCTCTGGAAATAGATCATCAGGATGGTTGCACAATGTTTTGAATGTAAATGCCACTGAATTGTACACCTTAAAAGGGCTCAAATGGTAAATATTATGCTATGTATATTTTACCATGATGAAAATAAACGTACAAAAGTGAGACAGCAGTGAGTCTAGGCCTCCCTTTTAAGAAGCGATGGCATCAAAGAGAGCAGAGGAAGAGAGATGGAAGTTAGGAAGGGGTTTTTCAAAGAGCAGATTCACGGGAAACGATTCATTCGTGCAGGAGAGAAAGGATGAAGGAGGAGCGGGGTCCCTTGAATGTCCACAGGCAGAAGACGAGGGCAGAAGGGGAGGAGGTTGTCTTTGTGGCGGACAGAGGAGCTGTGAATAGGGAGGGAAACAAGGGTGTGCCTTCCGTTTACTCAGCACAGGAAGAAGCAAGGCGAGGAAGAACAGGCTCCTTTTTGAAATGCAAAAGCCTGTTCTTATCTAAACACTCTTGCATAAGACAAACAAGAGCGCTACCCAGTTGGTGACTTGGGACAGGAATGCCTGCCACCCTCTTAAACGTTCTCTCCCCTCCCCTAGCCTAGACTGAAGACCTCGGCCTCCAGCTTCTCTCCCAGACCCTTTCTTGGCTGGATGAGGTCACTCACCCCTTTTGAAAGCTCCACAGGCATTTCTGGACCAAGTTCCCTCACTCTTTTAAATGGTTCTGTAATTGCTTCATTCGCATAAACCTGCCCTCCTGGGCATCTGAACAGCCCCAGGGCAGGGCCTGACTGCAGAGCCAGCTTCCTTACGCCAAGGCCCTCGTGCCTGCGTCCCTCCTCGCCTTCAGCCATGAGGTTGCCTGGCCAGCGGTGGGGGTCGCCTGGATCGTGGGGATGTTCCCCCCACCCACCTGGCCCCACCAGTGAAGGGCCCCAGCTGACACCATCTCTCTTGTTTCCTGTTTTCCTGGGTCAGACCCAGCTGGAGGTCTGCAAATTCTGAAGCAGTTCTCAACCCTGGGTGCACATTTTAATCATTTTTTACAAAATACGAATGCCTGATGTCCAGCCCTGACACTGGTCTGCTTGGTCTGGGGGTGAGGCCCTGGAACGGATGTGTTTAGATTTCCCATGAGACTCTGATGTGCAGCCAGGGTACCAACCTCTGCTCTAAAGCAGGTGAGATTGCCCTGGGGACTTCATTAGAATCAGTGCCCAATTCCTCCACCCCCGCAGAGATTTCGCTTCTGGAAGTCCAGAGTCGAGGTCCAAGAATCTGTGCATTTTAACAATACAGCCCCCAGGGGAGCTTGATGAAGGTCCCTTGGGAAGTTCAGGGCATGGTGCAGGGGACACTGTCTCTCTCTCCTTCCCTCTCATCTGCATCAGCTCCCCAGGCAGGTGGCACTTTCTCTGGACAGGTCTGGAGTCAGGGCTGCAAGGCTGGTTTATGCCTGGAGGTCGGGGGATGATGTGAGGTGTGCATAGAGAGAAGCCCCTGTGAGGAACGGGGACCACTCCTGCTCACCCACATCAGTGACAGCCCAGCCTGGGGCTGGCCCTGGAAGGCCAAAGAGTGAACAGGTCTGGGGGCTGGTGCTGGGTTGAGCTCAAGGGCCTGGGGCTGGGGTCTCCATTCCAGATTCCTCCTTCCCTCTGTCACTTCAAGTACCATCAGAGCCACCTGGGGATTTTGTCCTGAGTCACTCTGAGGCAGAGCAGGTGAGGCTGTGCTGGGGAGGAACATGGGGGCCTGAGCCCCCGACTCCTCCCCATTCCCCCACCTGCCCTGCTTCAAGGACTTGTCTAAACTACACAATGCCAGGCCGGCGCTCCCAGCTTGGGCTCTCACCCCAGGTCCCATTGAGAAGGTGGAGAAGGGTCAGGATGGAAGTTTCAGGCAGGTGGTCCAGGAGAGGACAGTCCTGGGTGGAGTCTGGGTCTTGGGTGCTCTGGGCAGCTCATCACCTTGAGTGTCCAGACTGTCAAGTCCGAGCGAGACAGGCAAAACCCCTAAGTGGACAAGAGTTGGCAGGGACCAGGGCAATGATTAAATCCACTTCAGATCATTTCTGTGGCCGTCTTGTTACCCAGCCCTGGCTATGTGTTTCAATAACGGCTGACAGCGGGTGCAGTGAGCTGGGCTGGAAACTGCCACATCCATCCACCCTGCTCAGGGACAGCTGCTCCCCTATCCACAATTCCCTTGTCCCAGAGGCCAGGACTGAGGCCAGGACACTGACTAGACACCCAGGCCTCCTGGCCTCTAAGAGCCACTCATGGGAGTCATCCACGACATCTGGGGAACCTCCTTGACTTCAGAGGAGGATATTGGAGCCCAAGCTAATTGATGGGTAAGCCAGGACCTGAACACAGGTGGTCAAGCTCCATCCTCCCCTTGGAGAGAGGACACAGTCCTACAGAAAGCCAGACTGCTTGGATTTGAATCCAGGCTCTGCCTCAGACGAGCTGTGTGACTCTGGACCTGGGTCTCAGCCTCTCTGTGTTCCAAGTGTCCTGTCTATTAATGTGGACGATAACAGTCCCTACCTCTTAGGGTTACCATGGGGATTAAATCTGGTAATTTAATTTTTGTCTTTCTTTTGAGTCAGAGTCTCGCTCTGTTGCCCAGGCTGGAGTGCAGTGGTGCGATAGCTCACTGCAACCTCTGCCTCCCGGGTTTAAGCAATTCTCCTGCCTCAGCCTCCTGAGTAGCAGGGATTACAGGTGTGCACCATCACGCCCAGCTAATTTTTTTCTATTTTTAGTAGAGACGGGGTTTCTTCATGTTGGCCAGGCTGATTTTGAACTCCTGACCTCAAGTGATCCACCCACCTCAGCCTCCCAAAGTGCTAGGATTATAGGCATGATTTTTCTTTACACCTCTTTATATTAGTGCTTACCACGTGTCAAATACTTTCCTAAGCACTTTATAAAAATTAAGCTATGGATAGTGACCCCGATGAGGTAGGTCCCACACTTTATACACAAGGAAACTAAGTCACAGAGAGATTAAGGTTATACAGCCATTAAGTGGCAGTTGGAATTCAAGCTGGAGTCTGGTTCAAGGGTCCATCCATGCTCTTCGCTACTTACCATGCTGATGCCCATATGCGTACCAGAAGGCAGTAGGTGCTTAAATGTTTACAGCACCAGTGATTACTATTAGACCTGAGCTGCAGAATTTGTGGCTGATGGTGGCTGGTCTGTGATCATTGTCTGGTGGGTGGGTTGCCCTAGCCCCCAGGCCTTCCTCTTGCTTTTTTTCCCCTCCACTCTTGAAAGGGAAGCTGAAGCTCTGGAAATCTACAACTATCTGCTGTGGGGGCTGCCTGAGCAGGTGGCAGGGCCCTTCTCTCCTGTTCCACAGACGATCTGATTCACGGTGGGCCCCTCGTGGCTGCTCCTGTCCACCTGGGCTACCACTCACACCCCTGCAGCCCTCCCTCCGATCTTCTCAAAGGCATGTGAGATGGTTTGCAAAAACACCCTCAACCCTGAAGAACAATCTAACTGTAAAATGCTCAAGGCTGGGCACAGTGGCTCACGCCTGTAATCCCAGCACTTTGGGAGGCCGAGGCGGGCAGATCACTTAAAGCCAGGAGTTCGAGACCAGCCTGGCCAACATGACAAAAACGGGTCTCTACTAAAATACAAAAATTATCCAGGTGTGGTGGTGTGTGCCTGTAATCTCAGCTGCTCCAGAGGCTGAGGCAGGAGAATCGCTTGAACCTGGGAGGCAGAGTTGCAGTGAGCCAAAATCATGCCACTGCACTCCAGCCTGGGTGACGGAGGAAGACTCCCTCTCAAAAATAAAAATAAAAATAAAATGCTTAAGAAAAATGAAACAAAACAAAAGCAATATCATTGAAATAAATGGCAGGAGGCTGCTTATTGAGGGGGTGTGGGAGAGACAGGGAGAGACAAGGAGAGAAGGTCATTTCCAGGATCTGTTCCTCAGATGGAGCCCAGTATGCACCGCTCTTTCCCAGAGCGGCCCTCTACAGATGAAGTGTCACAGCAAACAGAAAACCACAGATTCAGCCCTGGGGGCTACCAGCTTGGAGACTGGAAGCTTTCTGCTCCTCCTCTTAATTACTTTGTGCTTGAAAACCCTCGTGGCATATTGACCCTCCCAAGAAGCAGTAGGACGGGGGAGGACTCAGGACCTCCTAGACAGTCCTCTGAGTCCTGTCCCTTCATTCCCTGACAGTCAAAAGTGAGATTTTTTCCTCCATAAAGGAAAGGTGAGTCTGCCACTTCAGATTCTCAGCAGGCACTGCCGTCTCAGTGTTCTGGCCTGAACTCTTTGGAGGAGTCGTGTGACTACAAGCCTGAGAGCTGAGGACAGGGCACCCAGGGGATCCCAGGGACCAGCAGAGAGCTCTTTCCAGCTTCCTAGGTGGGTGTCCTGGCCAGTCCCACAGGCCCTTGTTTAATGGTCTGCTGTTGCTGTCTTGAAATTTTAAATCATTTTTCACAAGAATTGCAACATTTTCATTTTGTGCCGCCCTGCCAAGTGAAGTGGCTGCTTCTGCCTGGGGGTGTCAGTGTCCCATGGACATAAGGCACTGAAGTTAAGGGGCTCCTTTCTCCTCCCTCCTGGCATTTTTCACAGCAGGTTTCTCAACCACAGCAGTGGTGACACTTTGAGCTGAATTATTCTTTGTGGCGGGGGCTGTCCCGGGCCTTGCCGGATGTTTAACACCACTCCTGGCATTTACCCACCAGACGTCATCAGCACCCACCCTCCCAGATGTGACAATCAGAAATGTGTCCAGACATATCCAGATGTCCCTTATGGGGAAGGGAGAATCGCCCTGGCTTTGCAGACTCCAGCTGGAACCCCTGCTGCAAGCGATGGAGGAGGTGAGCTTTTCTTTCAGACTGACATAGAAAATTCCTTGGCAGGTCTTGTCCTGGGTTCACTCAGACACCACCAAAATAAGGAAATAGCTGAAGAAGAAGGCCAGAGCTTCTGAACGAAGAGAAACCCTACCAAATTTGGGTAGGGGGAGACTCTGAGGAATATTCCATAAGGTTGGGAGGGAGGTAGACAGGTGGATCCCAGACACCTGGACTCCTTGATGGAGGCAGGTCTAGCTCCCCTTCGCAGCTTCTGAGCATGCCCCCTGGCCTCCTCTTTGGACTCCTGCATCAAGAGGGCAGATGGGAAACCACCAGGCTTTGGGTCAGAAGACCCAGATTTAAATTTCAGCCACCCGCTATGTGACCCTGAGCCAGTTTCATAACCTTTCTGAGCCTGTTTTCTCACCCACAAAATAAAACTAACCATACCTACCTCGGGAGTCACGAGATGAAAGAAAAAGTGTGTCAAGCCCCTGGCAGGTGCTCAGTATCAGCAGCTATTAAGCTTTTTTCTAACCAACTCTGAGCAAATCCCTGACCCCCTGGAGCCCTCATTTATCCTCACCTGGGCCACAGAAAAAATAGCTGACTGGCGTCTTTCCCCCAGCCAAGGAGACAGAGACAGCCTGAAGATAAGACTGAAGTGAAGAGCCAGGCGCAGTGGCTCACACCTGTAATCCCAGCACTTTGGGAGGCTGAGGCAGGCAGATCACCTGAGATCGGGAGTTCGAGACAAGCCTGGCTAAGATAGTGAAACCCCGTCTCCATCAAAAATACAAAATTAGCAGCGCGTGGTGGCGCGTGCCTATAATCCCAGCTACTTGGGAGGCTGAGGCAGGAGAATCACTTGAACCTGGGAGGCGGAGGTTGCAGTGAGCCGGGATGGCGCGACTGCACTCCAGCCTGGACGACAGAGTGACTCCGTCTCAAAGAAAGAAAAAAAAAGGATTGAAGTGAAGAGCGAGGAGTGTGCCTGAGAAGAGGCAACCATCTCGTGCTTTCGTGAGTAATTAAAAATGGTATTTGGTCTCCGGTGATACCGCCGTGAAAGAACCTTGACAAAATGAGCTTCAAAGGTGCGGCGTTCCCCAGGTGTTTCCTCCCGAGTCCCACATCCTAGCATCTCAAACCCCATTAAGGGGCATCTGTGGCTGTGGGCAAGGCCAGGCCCGCTCTCTCCTTGAAAGAGATCAAATCCTGTCTCAGAAATTTGATTTTAATTGCGACTGTTCTTATTCATCTTGAAATTCATTTGAGGCCGTAAATCCACTCATCCTGCCTCACTTTCTTCATTCTATTTGGTATAAAGTGATGGAGAAAAAAATCATACTTCGCTATAGGTAAAAGGAATTGAAGTTTGAAACCTGGGCAAGGGTTGGCTCATGCAGGGGAGGGGCCTGAGAATTGTGCATTAAGGGAATTGTGTGTCCAAGTTTGAAACCTGGACAAGAGTTGGTTCATGCAGGGTGGGGGCCTGGGAATTGGGTGTTAAGGGCTCCAGCACTGCACTAAAATTCTCTTACGAGCTCAGCGTCTCCTTCTGATACTGCTGGGAATCTAGGAGGCATAGCTATGCCCTTGAGGAGGTGACAATCTAAAGTTTTTAGGGAACAGATGCCGACCAGTTGTCCAACTCCATATAGAGCTGAGCAGCAGAGAATCTTCCAGACACGTACGCTGGACTGAAGAAGTTTTGCTCCTATAAATTCTAGAGCTAGCAGAACTCTTCTGCCTGAAATGTCCTTCCCCACAGCCACTCACTCCTTTATTTGTAAAAATAACTCCTTTTTATTCTTCAAAACCCTGAGGATGAGCCACCTCCTCTGGGAAGCCTTCCTGGAATATTCCCAAGGGCTGAGTGAATCTTCTTATTCTATTGACTCACTCACTGTACTGCATTTACTTATCTATGTGTCTTGTGACTATTGCTCTATTCATCTTTGAGTTCCTAGGGGACAGGGACTTTGCCTCCCTTGTACTTTTTATTTTTATCTGGTTATTGGATTTAGCTATCAAGCCACTTAGAGATGGGGACCTGGACCAATGGCTTCTGGAAGTCCTTGCTTTCTCTTGGAGTTTCAGAATTGCTCTTTCGCCCCAAGATGAATACTTTGTCCATTTAGTAGGGAAAGTGGAAAGATAATTTCCTGACCCTAATATGCAAGCTGAGATATTCTCAGCCCTTAATGATCAAAGGGCTGCTTGGGCCTCCCTAGACACAGGAGTCTCAGGGAGGACTCTGTAGCTCCCAGGCTTAGTAAATGGCTTTAAACCTTGCGATAGCCCAGGCCTCCGTAATTAAATTTTACACGTTAATCTGAACGGGAGCTCTGCGAAGCGCTTCCTTTGAGCCCTGCAGGGCTAATTCAGCAAAGCAGCAGTTAGGACGCTGCTGCGGTGTAAATGGAAATAGAATGGCCGCCACCTGCAGGCTGGGCATTGGAAGCGGCCATATGTTAATGGGGGTACCCTGCTGACTTAAGGAGCATTGTGGAAACATCCTGTGTCCCATCAATGGGCTGCTGCCCCACGTGGGGTTTCACTGGATCAGTCCCTCTGTTTCCAGGACCATGTGCGGTGATGCCAGCAGGGATCTTAACGGTTCAGTCTTAATTGGTTCCGGCTGATTTGATGACTCACCACAACCCTAATATCAAAATGAGTGGGTGTAATGCTGGTGAGCTCCAGCATCCCTGGGTCTTCAAAAGTACGAACTGTGTTAAGAGGCAGTGGAGGAAGGCTGTCCAAGGCACCCGCCGTGATGAGGTTAAACCTGTCTCTATGTGGTTGAAGCCCATAATTCTTAGAACTTTCCTTGATTATAGTCTCACCTTACAACTCCTTCCAGAGTCCCTAAAGACCTAAGCGGGTTATTCCTTCCTGAAATAGCACTTGTTTTACAAGCTGTCAGCGAGGGAGTGGGCAGAAAGAGCTGTTAGTTGGGCAGCAAGCCACGCTTTCTCAGACTCTCACATACTAAGAGGTCACCTGGGCACCTTGTTAGATTCAGATTCTGAATCAGTACGTCTATGGTAGCCTGGGTTTTGCAATTGTTGTTTTATCATTTTTGTTTTTAGCAAGAGCCTTGCTCTATCACCCAGGCTGGAGTGCAGTGGTGCAGTCACGGCTCACTGCAGCCTCAACCTCCTAAGCTCAGGCGAGCTCCCAAGTAGCTGTGACTACAGCTGTGTGCCACCATGCCCACCTAATTTTTTGTATATTTTTGTACAGATGGGGTTTCATCATGTTGCCCAGGCTGGTCTTGAACTCCTGGGCTCAAGTGATTTGCCCTCTTCGGCCTCCCAAATTCTTAGTGATGGCAGTAGCAGGCCATCTGGTGCAGCTACTAGCTGCCATCACACTGGCCGCTGCAGGGAGGACACAGGGAGGAGGCAAACAGCCCTGCCCAGCAGCCCGCCACCCTGGGACCTCTGCGATGGGGCCAGGCCGGGTTGTGTGCTGGGGGAGGGAGAGCTCCCGGCTGCCCCCGAGCGTCAGGGCCACAGCGGGCGTTCGCAGCAATGTCACTCCTGCCCGGATGATGACCCAGACCCAGTGAGGACCTGGAGCCCCCAGCCCAGGCTGCAAGGGGTCACAGCCCAGTGCCATGCTCCACAGAGCTGGTGGGAGCTGGGGACAAGTGGGATCCCTGCCCCTTCCAAGTTGGTGGGGCAGGAGCTCCCAAGGTGCAAACTGCAGCCACCCAAGCCACAGCTGTAACTCAGGCACCCCTGTGCTCTTGGGAGCCGGGAGTAGGCAGGAGTCCCACCTCCCTGGGCAGGGCTGTAGCTGCCCAAGTCATAGCTGTGGATCTGGGCCTCGAACTCCATGGAGCAGGCAGGAGCCCCATGGCCCTGAGCACAGCTGCAGTCACACAAACCAGGGTTGCAGACCCAGGCATCCCTGCACTCTTGGGGAGCCTGGGAAGGCCCCCCTTGCCCTTGCAGGCTTGGAGGTTCCTGCTCCCACTGCCCGGCTCTCCCCACTCCAGGCTCCTGCTCTGATCTTGGAGCAGGGTTTGGGGCCAAGCCTGGGTGTTGTCACAGCCCGGCCAGGTATACACAGGCTTGGGGTGGTGCTGACATGCCAGCCCCCTGCTGCGTCAGCCCCCTCCAAACTTTGGGCACCAAGGAGCGTGGGGTGGGGGAAGTTGAAGGGGGGCTGAAGGTGGCTGGGTGCTGGCCTGCAGGTGCCCCTTGGTGCCAATAGCCTGGGCACCATGGATGGCCGAGGGAGGCAGACAGACTTCTGGGTGGAAAGGGGTGGGTCCCCAGTGAAGCCCTACCTTCAGGACAGAGCAGGCCTGAAGCCTGGGGGCCAGGCTGCCAGTCCTACAGAGCAGAAGGGGAATTACAGTGCTTTCTCCTGGGCCTGCCCATGGCTGCCCATGGACCAATCCACACACACTTCCCCCCTCTGAGGCCCAAACAAGCCCTGGGCTCAGCCAGAGGAGCCAGAGGACAGAGAGACAATGGGATGACCAGCTGCAGAGAGGAGCTACCCTCTCTACTGAGAGCTGCAGACATCAGGACAACCAGTTGCAGAGAGGAGCTACCCTCTCCAGGGCCTCCTCTCTGCTGAGAGCCGAACACTCAATGGGACACCCTGCTGACAGAGAGGAGCTACCCACTGCGGGTCTCCTCTGAGCTGTTGTAACACGCAATAAATCTCCTCTTCATCTTGCTCACCTTCCACTCATCTGTGTACCTCTTTCTTTCTGGACACGGGACAAGAACTCAGGCAAAGGCACCACCGGCCACAGACGTTTCTGGCCAGAAAAGCAATACCCTAAAGATCCCATAATACTAGGATTACAGGCATGAGACTCTGCACCTAGCAGGTTTTGCATTTTTAACAGTCCCCTTAGTCAAATGCCATAATTGAATGGCAAGAATCTACCAGCATCACCCCATCCCACCCTCACTGCAGTGTTATGAGGAGGGAAGGAGACTAGCTTTTCAGGAGCACCTGTTACCTGGCAAGTGGAGTGGTCAACAACCATGCAGAATGTGCTTGTTCGAGACTTTGGACAAGAAGGTTAACCATAGATCAAAACCTGGTGTTTATCACCTTTCAGCAAGTGGGGAAATGGAGGCTACAAAAGTTAAGGGGAGGTAGGCCCAAGGGAGAAGAGGATCGATTGAGGGGTGATATGTGATAGGAGTGGCCTCAAAAAGATACAACAGCCTTTCGGTAGTTCTGTGTTTGGAGGATGGGCCCTCTTATTTGATTCTTCCCACTGTTCAGAAATGGAGCGTTATAGGTGACCTTTGATTCTGGGGCCTTAGGGGAGGTGCATGGCTGTGGGGTCTGTGTACACTTTTAGGCTGGTGGTGAGGAAGCACACTCTTGCTCCAGTTGAAAACATTTTTCAACCCCAAATTTAGTGTGCACAGGAATCAGTTGAGGGTGGTAGTTCAAGTTCAGATTTCCAGGCTCCACTCCCAGGAACTCTGACTTGGTGGGTCTGGAGTGGCTCTGAGGACCATCTGAATGGCAAGCAAAGCAGCTTCGTTCTGATATTCAGGTGATCCTGATGTAGCGGACACATGGGTCTCTCTTGGAGAAAGCTCTGCCCTGTGTGTTTAGATTAAGAAAGACAGATATCTAAGGCAACCACAAGGACCAGAGAAACCTCAAAAATCCTCGTCATCAGAAAGTAGAACCTTTACTGAGTTTTTAGTTATAATGGACATTGTGCAACTGAGACATTCTCTCTGCCTTCCAAAACATGTGGCCATTAACTCATATTTGGGGAACATAACAGAATAAAATTATTACAACCATTTGGGTAAAGAGGAAGTAAGTTTTCTTAAGCATCTTACCATGTGGAAGACTAACTAGGTACCGGTATGTGGAATCTCATTTATTCCTCCTTCAGCCCAAATCGCTAAACATTATTATTATTCTCACTTTCGAGCTGAAAAAAACACGAGCTTAGTGAGGATGATCAATTTGTCCACAGTTGCACATGTAGGGCGCAGCAAGGACTGAAACCTTCTAACTTATGTTCTTGCCACAATGTCTTCTGGCTGCATTTAACCACTGTGTAGGCCCACTGTCAACACTTGGGCCCATTTGCCCAGACTGTTTGAATCTAGCCTCCGGCAGGAAGGCCCACGAGTGCAATGAGAGGCCACGGTGTTCTGTGGTCTCTCGCATGCATGCATTCATTTGCCCACTCAACAAATATGAATACCAAGCACAACGTTAGATATTAGGGGCATCTCAGGAAAGATGACAAACCTGGGCCCTCTCCTCCTCTCCCCTGGTGCCCCTCTTTGGTTGTGCCTAGTTTGAACTATGAATTCCTGGCCGGGCACAGTGGCTCACACCTATAATCCCAGCACTTTGGGAGGCCGAGGTGGGCAGATCACTTGAGGTCAGGAGTTTGAGACCAGCCTGGCCAACATGGTGAAACCCTGTCTCTACCAAAAATATAAAAAGTTAGCCAGGTGTGGTGGTGCATGCCTGTAATTGCAGGTACCCGGGAGGCTGAGGCAGGGGAATTGCTTTAAAAAAAAAGGAACTATGAAGTGCATGGCACAAGGGCCTTGCCAAGACTGTGCCAAGAAACTTGATTGTCTTCAGCTTGGCTTCCATCTGTACTAGGCCGTGTTCTTAAAGGTGACCCCAGCCCCTGATTTTTAACAAGTGCCGTTTAAAAAGTATCTGGTACTTTTTTTTCCTCTTTGTTTTTTTGTTTTTTTGTTCGAGACATGGTCTCACTCTGTCACCCAGGCTGGAATGCAGTGGTGCGATCCTTGCCTCAACCTCCCAGGCTCAAGTAACTCTCCCACCTCGGCCTCCTGAGTAGTTGGGACCACAGGTGCTATGCCACCATGCCCAGCTGATCTGTAAAATTTTTTTGTAGAGGCTGGGTCTGTATGTTGCCCTCGTGTTGCCCAGGCTGGTCTTAAACTCCTAGGCTCAAGTGATGTTCCTGCCTCAGTTCCCCAAAGGTTTGGGATTATAAGCGTGAGCCACTGTGTCTGGCCTGATGCTGTTTTTCATTGATGCTGGCATCCTTCAGAATGCAGAGACGAGGTTAGAAAGGACTCTGGAAAGTAGATATAGTTTGGACTCCATGATAAGGAGTTAGGACTTTATCCTCTTGCCAGTTAGGGAATAATTCTGCCTGTGAAGCCGTGTGGAATGAGATAACCCAGTAACTCTCTGCATAGGAACAAGAAGCAGCAGGCCCTGCCTTTTGTTCTGTTCTGGGTTAAATACCCTGGTTTCCAACAATTCTCCAAACTGAGCCCCTCTCCATTCTGGTTGCCTTCTCTGGATTGAATGTGCTATAATGATTGATGAAAATATTCATTGTCCTATTAAAATGTACTTCTTGAATGTTACTTTTATGTGTTGATATTAAAGCTATTCTCTGATTCATTCGACCCTTATAAAGAGGGGAGTCTGTATCAGAAAACATATGTATTTTCGTTCTTGTGAATAGCCACTGCACTCCAGCCTGGGCAACATAGTGAGACCCCATCCCTAAAAAAGAAAAGAAAATGCGGCCGGGCAAGGTGGCTCACGCCTGTAATCCCAGCACTTTGGGAGGCCGAGGTGGGCAGATCACGAGGTCAGGAGATCGAGACCACCCTGGCTAACACGGTGAAACCCTGTCTCTACTAAAAATACAAAAAATTAGCCAGGCGTGGTTGTGGGCGCCTGTAGTCCCAGCTACTCGGGAGGCTGAGGCAGGAGAGTGGTGTGAACCCAGGAGGCGGAGCTTGCAGTGAGCCGAGATCACGCCACTGCACTCCAGCCTGGGTGACAGAGTGAGACTCCGTCTCAAAAAAAAAAGGAAAAGAAAAGAAAACATATGTATTGACCCACATATGAAAACTGGATCACTGCTGGTCACGGACCTCACTCCCTGGCTCTAGGATCTGAGTGACCTCGACCTAGCTCTGTATCCAAGAGGCCCAGCTAAGCTGTCAGAAGCCTTTTCTGAGATTTTCCATACTGAGGCTTGGGTGAGACAGCCTCTTTTCTTTTGGGTCTTCTGGAATGTGATGTGATCCTCATGGCCGTATTCCCCAGCAGGTGAAAAGAGCTCATTTGCAAGAGAAGAACAGGAAGCCGAGAGGCAAACGTAAACCTGAACTGAGAGATGGGGAAGAATCCTGATTTATTTTTTAAAAAGCCAATTTATTTTATCTTTTTAATTGACAAGTAATTGGACATATTCATGGGGTACATAGTGATGTTTTGATACATATAATGTATGGTGATCATATCAGGGTAATTAGCATATCCATCATCTCAAAATTTTATTATGTTTGTGTTGGGAACATTCAATATTCTCCTTCTAGCTATTTGAAACTATATATTATTGTTAACTGTAGTCATCCTATGGTGCTGTAGAACAGGGGTCTCAGTGGTCCATGGCCTGTTAGGACCAGGCCGCCCACAGGAGATGGGTGGTGGACAAGCGAGCATTACCGCCTGAACTCTGCCTCCTGTCAGATCAGCAGTGGTGTTAGATTCTCATAGGAGCACAAACCCTACTGTGAACTGCGCATGTGAAGGATCCAGTTTGCGCGCTCCTTAGAAGAATCTAATGGTAAATGTAATGCCTTGAATCATCCCAAAACCATCCCCATCCCCACTCCAGTCCGTGGAAAAATTATCTTCCATGAAACCCGTCCCTGGTGCCAAAAAGGCTGGTGACCACTGCTCTAGAACACTAGAACTTACTCCTCCTATCTACCTGTAATTTTGTATCCTTTGTCAAATCGCTCTCTATCCCTTCCTTCCCCTTCCCAAATCTTGTTTGAAACAGTAACAGCTGCTTTTCACCTAAGCAACACTGATGTCTTCTGATGCCCACCGATTTGGGTGGGTGGTGGAGAGAGCATGTTAGCAAGGTGGGCCGTGAAAAACCTTCTTTAGAGAACGAAAAGATGAATTCTGCACTGGAAAGGAGGTTCCCCAGGGCTGTGCTATTGATGATAGCCACTGTTGTCCCTGGATGGAGACTACCAGGAAGGGGTGAGTTTTTCTTTACTGAGATGAATAGTTTAACAGGAAAGTGACAATTTCCAAAATCTCAAGGTAGTAGAGACAATAACCTACTCTCAAAGGGTGGTGAGAAGTTCGCATGAGTTACAGACATGTTCTGTATAACCACAGGTTATATCTGAGTCCCTTAACCCTGTCTGCACATTCGAGCCACCTAGGAAGCTTTTTGTTTCAAGCCCCTTCCCTTACCAGGCAGATGTAATTGGTTTAGGGTGGGGCCTCAGCATTGAATATTTTAAAAGCTCCCCAGGTGATTCTCACGTGTAGCCAAGGTTAAGATTAAACCAGCAGTTCTCGACATCAGCATGAATCAAATTCACGTGGAGGACTTGTTAAAGCAACTGCTGGGCTCCACCCTAGAGTGACTGAAGATGCAGCAGGTTTCCGGAGGGGCCCGAGAATTTGCATTTCTGACACGTTCTGGTTGACTCTGCCTTTCTGAGAACCACTAGCTTTAACTGGTGATGAGTCAAGCATTCGTTTAAAAAGTACACAGGTATCTTTATTTCTTTAAATATTGCTTTAATTGACTACCACTAGTGACAGTAATTCATAATTCTAGAATCTTTTTTGCTTTAATAAAATGTTATAGCTTCTACTTTGTAAGAAGGGTTAGCTGTTGGGGGTGCCGAGGTGGCGCATAGGATTAATTTCTCCATTAGCCCTGCTCATGGGCTAACTTGGCTTCTTAGCCCACTGAGCCTAAGGAAGTCTCTGCTTGCCCAAATTTCAGACAAAATACCAAACAGAAAACCTGTCTTTCTTTCTTTATAAATGTAGGGAGTACAAGTGCAGTCTTGTTACATGATATATTGCTTAGTGGTAAAGTCTGTGCTTTTAGTGTAACCATCATCCTGAATACTATACATTGTACCCATTAAATAATTTCTCATCCCTCATCCCCTTCGCCCTCCCGCCCTCTGAGCTTCCAGTGTCTATTATTCCACACTGTATGTCCGTGTGTACACATTATTTTGCTCAAACAGGAAACATTTCTGAGTGTTGGGCTTCTAAATCAACCTCTAGTATTGGAAAGATGAGCATTCATAAAAACACATTCAGTGAACATTTGCTGTTGTTTATCTGTCCAGCAAGTGTCTACTCCCTTCCTAAGTGGCCAGGTTTTCCCATTGTGATGCCTGGTGGACGGCAGGAGAAGGAAGGTGCTTAAAGGGGCCCAACATTCCCATTCTGCCCCCACAAATATGTTGAGGACACACAGCTGGGCCAATCAATTCAACACTCTGAGCCGGCCTTGTATGGAGGGAGTGACACAGAGTTATGGGGTGCGCTGGGTGAGTCGCTACTGCAGCATGGCTGAGAGTCCTAGGGCTCGGATGGAAGTGGGGGCCACCAGCAGTGGCACCCTGGCCACTTTATTTTCATTGCTTGACTTCCTTTGGTTCCTGTTCATTTTCCCAGACTGGTTCACCACCCCTCCTGTCCATTCTGTGAGTGCCCCTGCTTTCTTTCCAAAGCAATCTCTTCTGCACAAGTTAGCCAATGTTGGCTTTTGTGGCTTGATACTTTACCGTGACTTGCTACCCATTTGACACACCAAAAAGGTTCCTGATGGGTGAATGCCCATCAGGAACTTTCAGATGGCCATGGCATGAGGGAACAGAGGCAAGGGGTAAGGAAGAAACTGAAAGATACTTGCCATTGTTGTAGAGGAAAGCCAGATGCGGGAAGTCAAGAGGTGGATGGAAGAGCCTGGCCGAAGAGCAGGGGACCAGACTTGGCCATGCAGGGAGGAGGTAGCACAGCAGCAAGTGGGCAGAGGGTGGTACCCAAAGAGCTACTCGTGGCTGGGCCTTCCCCAAAGTGACAGCTGTGCCAGGTGGAACATTTTATTGTTGGGTTATCAACAATGATGGTTTCATTACATCATTCCTGCTTTTTCTTTCTCCCTAGACTGGTAGGAGGATTAGCTTTTTCCCGTTTCTGATGTTGGTTAAATATTGACAAGAATTCATAAGAAGGCTAAGAGAGAGAGATGCTATCACCATATTTCATAGAATCTAAGACACCACCAACTGTAAGGTGCACCACTATTTTATACACCAAGAAAGAAAAAAACCTGCCAAATAAATTATGACATTGATTGTAAAATGTGCCCAATTTCTGGAATACTAAAATAGGAAAACACTGTCTTAGAATCAATAAAATATGGTAGTAATAATAATAATAAAATACGAATCTGAGCTCTTGCTTATTAAACCCTCTGCCAAACTCTACCTCTGTTTACTCATTGAATCCCTCAAGAACCCTTATGTGACAGGTGCTATTATGAAGCAGAAAAAGTGAAGCTTAAAAATTTGAGTAAATTGGTCCCGCAGCTGGTAAGTGATGGGTGTTGAACTTTGGGCTCTCTGGATCCTTTAGAGTGAGCTGAAGGAAGACTCAGAGCAGAGACAGGAAGAATCTTGTCTCATCGTTGTGTTGCTAGAAACATAGATGCTCAATAAATAATTGAACGAAATGGCTAGTCCAAACAGGTAAAAGACTTTCAGTTGAGGTTTCACAGTGGAATAGCCTCTGTTTACATCTGCTGTGCACCTGTTTCAAAAATCTACGTACAAGGCAATACATGAACACCATTGTCCTTTTAAAAAATTAAAGCAATATAATTAAGGCAAAAGGCCCATTGGCCCCTTACCTTTCTCTGAGTCCTCTTCCCCATCTCTATCCAGAGGCAAATAATACAGTCATTTTGGTTTCTATCCTTCTGGATGTTTCTACGCACTCACATATATATATGGGAGTGCATGTATTTTCATGCATTTGGAAAGCATAAGGTATTGTACTATAGGGTGGACCCATTTTTTTAAGAACTAAACTTATTGAGATACAATTTACATACAACAAAATGTACTCAGTTTGATCAATTTTGACAAATATATACATTCATCTAACGCCAATGCCAATAAAGATGCAGAAGCACACAAAGTGTCCTCATGGCTATTTATAGCCAATCCCCACTCCCCTCAGCAGCCCTGGCAACCTTCGATCTGCTGTCCATCAGCACAGATAGTTTTACCTTTTTTAGAATTTCATATAAACGGAATCATACAGTATGTACTCTTCGGTGTCTGGTATCTTTCACTCAGCATAATATTTTTGAGGTTCATGTCATTGTTGCACATATCAGTAATTCATCCTCTTTTATTGCTGAGTGGAGTTCCACTGTATGAGTATGCCACAATTTGTTTACGCATTCTCCTGTTGGTAGACATCTGGGTTCCTAGTTTGAGGCTTTTAAAAATAAAATTCTTTTTTTTTAAATTTTATTATTATTATACTTTAAGTTTTAGGGTACATGTGCACAACGTGCAGTTTTGTTACATATGTATACATGTGCCATGTTGGTGTGCTGCACCCATTAACTCGTCATTTAGCATTAGGTATATCTCTTAATGCTATCCCTCCCCCCTCCCCCCACCCCACAACAGTCCCCGGTCTGTGATGTTCCCCTTCCTGTGTCCATGTGTTCTCATTGTTCAATTCCCACCTATGAGTGAGAACATGCGGTGTTTGGTTTTTTGTCCTTGCGATAGTTTGCTGAGAATGATGGTTTCCAGTTTCATCCGTGTCCCTACAAAGGACATGAACTCATCCTTTTTTATGGCTGCATAGTATTCCATGGTGTATATGTGCCACATTTTCTTAATCCAGACTATCGTTGTTGGACATTTAGGTTGGTTCTGAGTCTTTGCTATTGTGAATAGTGCCGCTATAAACATACGTGTACATGTGTCTTTATAGCAGCATGATTTATAATCCTTTGGGTATATACCCAGTAATGGGATGGCTGGGTCAAATGGTATTTCTAGTTCTAGATCACTGAGGAATCGCCACACTGACTTCCACAATGGTTGAACTAGTTTACAGTCCCACCAACAGTGTAAAAGTGTTCCTATTTCTCCACATCCTCTCCAGCACCTGTTGTTTCCTGACTTTTTAATGATCACCATTCTAACTGGTGTGAGATGGTATCTCACTGTGGTTTTGATTTGCATTTCTCTGATGGCCAGTGATGATGAGCATTTTTTCATGTGTTTTTTGGCTGCATAAATGTCTTCTTTTGAGAAGTGTCTGTTCATATCCTTCACCCACTTTTTGATGGGGTTGTTTGTTTTTTTCTTGCAAATTTGTTTGAGCTCATTGTAGATTCTGGATATTAGCCCTTTGTCAGATGAGTAGATTGCAAAAATTTTCTCCCATACTGTAGGTTGCCTGTTTAGTCTGATGGTAGTTTCTTTTGCTGTGCAGAAGCTCTTTAGTTTAATTAGATCTCATTTGTCAATTTTGGCTTTTGTTGCCATTGCTTTTGGTGTTTTAGACATGAAGTCCTTGCCCATGCCTATGTCCTGAATGGTATTGCCTAGGTTTTCTTCTAGGGTTTTCATGGTTTTAGGTCTAACATTTAAGTCTTTAATCCATCTTGAATTAATTTTTGTATAAGGTGTAAGGAAGGGATCCAGTTTCAGCTTTCTACATATGGCTAGCCAGTTTTCCCAGCACTATTTATTAAATAGGGAATCCTTTCCCCATTGCATGTTTTTCTCAGGTTTGTCAAAGATCAGATAGTTGTAGATAGGCGGCATTATTTCTGAGGTCTCTGTTCTGTTCCATTGGTCTATATCTCTGTTTTGGTACCAGTACCATGCTGTTTTGGTTACTGTAGCCTTGTAGTATAGCTTGAAGTCAGGTAGTGTGATGCCTCCAGCTTTGTTCTTTTGGCTTAGGATTGACTTGGCGATGCAGGCTCTTTTTTGGTTCCATATGAACTTTAAAGTAGTTTTTTCCAATTCTGTGAAGAAAGTCATTGGTAGCTTGATGGGGATGGCATTGAATCTATAAATTACCTTGGGCAGTATGGCCATTTTCATGATGTTGATTCTTCCTACCCATGAGCATGGAATGTTCTTCCATTTCTTTGTATCCTCTTTTATTTCATTGAGCAGTGTTTTGTAGTTCTCCTTGAAGAGGTCCTTCACATCCCTTGTAAGTTGGATTCCTAGGTATTTTATTCTCTTTGAAGCAATTGTGAATGGGAGTTCACTCATGATTTGGCTCTCTGTTTGTCTGTTATTGGTGTATAAGAATGCTTGTGACTTTTGTACATTGATTTTGTATCCTGAGACTTTGCTGAAGTTGCTTATCAGCTTGAGGAGATTTTGGCCTGAGACGATGGATTTTTCTAGATATACAATCATGTCATCTGCAAACAGGGACCATTTGACTTCCTCTTTTCCTAATTGAATACCCTTTATTTCCTTCTCCTGCCTGATTGCCCTGGCCAGAACTTCCAACACTATGTTGAATAGCAGTGGTGAGAGAGGGCATCCCTGTCTTGTGCCCATTTTCAAAGGGAATGCTTCCAGTTTTTGCCCATTCAGTATGATATTGGCTGTGGGTTTGTCATAGATAGCTCTTATTATTTTGAGATACGTCCCATCAATACCGAATTTATTGAGAGTTTTTAGCATGAAGGGTTGTTGAATTTTGTCAAAGGCCTTTTCTGCATCTATTGAGATAATCATGTGGTTTTTGTCTTTTGTTCTGTTTATATGCTGGGTTACATTTATTGATTTGCATATGTTGAACCAGGCTTGCATCCCAGGGATGAAGCCCACTTGATCATGGTGGATAAACTTTTTGATGTGCTGCTGGATTCGCTTTGCCAGTATTTTATTGAGGATTTTTGCATTGATGTTCATCAGGGATATTGGTCTAAAATTCTCCTTTTTGGTTGTGTCCCTGCCAGGCTTTGGTATCAGGATGATGCTGGTCTCATAAAATGAGTTAGGGAGGATTCCCTCTTTTTCTATTGATTGGAATAGTTTCAGAAGGAATAGTACCAGCTCCTCTTTCTACCTCTGGTAGAATTTGGCTGTGAATCCATCTGGTCCTGGACTCTTTTTGGTTGGTAAGCTATTGATTATTGCCTCAATTTCAGAGCCTGTTATTGGTCTATTCAGAGATTCAACTTCTTCCTGGTTTAGTCTTGGGAGGATGTATGTGTCGAGGAATTTATCCATTTCTTCTAGATTTTCTAGTTTATTTGCATAGAGGTGTTTATAGTATTCTCTGATGGTAGTTTGTATTTCTGTGGGATCGGTGGTGATATCCCCTTTATCATTTTTTATTGCGTCTATTTGATTCTTCTCTCTTTTCTTCTTTATTAGTCTTGCTAGTGGTCTATCAATTTTGTTGATCTTTTCAAAAAACCAGCTCCTGGATTCATCAATTTTTTGAAGGGTTTTTTGTGTCTCTATTTCCTTCAGTTCTGCTCTGATCTTAGTTATTTCTTGCCTTCTGCTAGTTTTGAGTGTGTTTGCTCTTGCTTTTCTAGTTCTTTTAATTGTGATGTTAGGGTGTCAATTTTAGATCTTTCCTGCTTTCTCTTGTGGGCATTTAGTGCTATAAATTTCCCTCTACACACTGCTTTGAATGTGTCCCAGAGATTCTGGTATGTTGTGTCTTTGTTCTTATTGGTTTCAAAGAACATCTTTATTTCTGCCTTCATTTCATTATTTACCCAGTAGTCACTCAGGAGCAGGTTGTTCAGTTTCCATGTAGTTGAGCAGTTTTGAGTGAGTTTCTTAATCCTGAGTTCTAATTTGATTGCACTGTGGTCTGAGAGACAGTTTGTTATAATTTCTGTTCTTTTACATTTGTTGAGGAGTGCTTTACTTCCAACTATGTGGTCAATTTTGGAGTAGGTGTGGTGTGGTGCTGAAAAGAATGTATATTCTGTTGACTTGGGGTGGAGAGTTCTGTAGATGTCTATTAGGTCTGCTTGGTGCAAAGCTGAGTTCAATTCCTGGGTATCCTTGTTAACTTTCTATCTCGTTGATCTGTCTAATGTTGACAGTGGGGTGTTAAAGTCTCCCATTATTATTGTGTGGGAGTCTAAGTCTCTTTGTAGGTCACTAAGGACTTGCTTTATGAATCTGGGTGCTCCTGTATTGGGTGCATATACATTTAGGATAGTTAGCTCTTCTTGTTGAATGGATCCCTTTACCATTATGTAATGGCCTTCTTTGTCTCTTTTGATCTTTGTTGGTTTAAAGTCTGTTTTATTAGAGACTAGGATTGCAACCCCTGCCTTTTTTTGTTTTCCATTTGCTTGGTAGATCTTCCTCCATCCCTTTATTTTGAGTCTATGTGTGTCTCTGCAGGTGAGATGGGTTTCCTGAATACAGCACACTATGAACATTAGCATACAAGTGCTTGAACACACATTTTCACTTCTCTTGGGTAAATATGTAGAAGTAGAATTGTTGGGTCATATGTGAAGTATATACTTAGCTTTATAAGAAACTCCCAGATTGTTTCCCAAAGTGATTGGACCACTTTACATTGCCACCATCAATACGTGAGAGTTCAAGTTGCCCCTTCTTCTCACGAACTCTTGGTATGGATAGTATTTTTTATTTTACCCTGATAGGTATGTAATGTAGTACCTCGTTGTGGTTTTAAGTTACATTTCCCCTGATGCTATAGACTGAATATTTGTGAATTCATATGGCGAAACCTAATCACCAAGATGGTACTAGGAGGTGGGGCCTTTGGGAGGTGATTTGGGTGGGTAGTGCCCATGAATAAGATTAGTGCCCTTGTTCCTACCACCATATGAAGACACAGCTAGAAGATGGCCCTCTGGGACCAGGCAGTGAGCCCTCAACAAACACCAAATCTGCCAGTGCTTTGATCTTGGACTTCACAACCTCTAGAACAATGAGAAATACATTTCTGTTTTTTACAAGCCATCCAGTCTATGGAATTCTCTTATAGCAGCCCATATGAACTAAGACATCTAATGACTAATAGTGTTGAGAATCTTGTCATGTGTTTCTTTTTTTTGGTTAAGTGTTTGTTTAAATATTTTCCTTTTTCTTCCCATTGAATCGTTTGTCATATTATTGAGTTATAAGAATTCTTTATATGTCTGGGTACAATTCTTTTGTGAGATATGCATGTTATAAATATTTTCTCACAGTTTGTGGCTTGCCTTTTCATTTTATTAATGTGTTTTCGAATAGCAGAATTTCTACATTTCTGTAAAGTATAACTTATCAATTTTTTTCATGTTTTTTGTGTCCTAAGAAATTTTTGCCTATCCTAAGTTTACAAAATGTTTTTGTATGTTTTATTCCAGAAGTTTTACAGTTTTAGATTTTATGTCTCTGATCCATTGTAAGTTACACTGGAGATAAAAAGATGACAGATTCTGACTCTCTCTGCAAGGAGCTCATGACTTAGTGTGGGAAATACACAAACTGATTGACAATTATAATATGGTATGAAAAGCACTAGATAGAGATGTGCATACATGCACCACTTCCTTTAATTTAATCATATAAATGCAAGTGATTGCTAACACTACAAGATACAATCTTCTTGGTGCCAATTTCACCGTGTGTGGTGTGAGGTAAGGGTCAGAGTTTATTTGAATAGGGCTGTTGCCTTTCACTTTCCAACCACTCCTACTGGTTTCTAAATTTTCCATCCAAGCCAGGGCCATCCATGTTGACAAATTGAGGAGCCACTTTTCAATCCTCATTTTATTTGGTTTTTCTGCAGAATTCTACCTCATGTACCACTCTCTCCTGGACCATCTCTCTCTTCACCTGAAGGGCAATATGTTCCTTTGTCTTTCCTCCCACCTCCTTCTCTTTGGCTGGCATCTGCCCCCACCAGAGTGCAACCTATGTGCACCTGATCTCTTTCTCTGTTTCTCTCTCTCCAGGTATTCTCCTCCTATCTTATGATCTTATATCCCATCCAGATGCCAAGGACACCCAAATTATCCCATCACCAGCCTATATTGTTCTTGAACTCCAAAACTGTTGTCAAAATCCATCCAGCTCCATGTTGTTATCTAGCAGTCATCTCAGGCTTGACATGTGTAAGGAAGAACCCTTGATTCCACCGTTCTCATATTTGTGGCTCCTTCACGTCCTACATCTCAGTACATGGGACACATCTCCTGGTTGATCAGGACTCTTTGGCTGAGGAACATGAGTCAGGCAGGTTCATTCTGAGCACGCACAAGTCCAAGGAATGAGGTCTACCTGATTCTGTCCACTCCCCTACATTCATCACAATCTGTTATGATGATGCCCTGTGTGCAATGAGGAAAAAGACTCCTAGATCTTAAGCCCTCATCATTGTTCTGGGGCATCTTCAATGCCCAGCATAGGGGCCTGCATGTTCACTACACTGCTCTAACTTCATCATGACAAAGACAACCTTAATACTCTTGGATGGGGATAAGGAGGGATCAATATTTCAGATACAGACCCTCTAGTTGGATGCAAAAAAGAAACTTTGCTCTCTTCCCCATCACTCCCAACTCCTATCCCTTTTCGCTGCCTTTTGAATTCTTACCTATCCATCAGAGCTGCCTTTTTAGTGAACCCACCGTTGACCACCGTGTGCAACGGTGAGCTCTCCCAACAGGGAACAATTCTATTTTTGCTATCTGTGCTGCTCAACTGACACTGAGCAGACCACACCTTGTAGTATTAGCTTTTTATGTGCACTCACTTAAATTTATGTGATTAAATTAAAGGCGGTAATGTGTGTGAGGACACCTCTATCTAGCACTTTAGACTCGGTATCATAATTGTCGGTCGGCTTGTGTGTCTTCCCACTAAGCTGTGATCTCCTTGCAGACAGAAACATCATCTGTCATCTCTGTCTCCAGCACCTGGCACCCAGTAGGTGCTCAGCAACACTGGAACACACTAATATCTGAAGGCACTCTGTGAAATGTAAAGCACTGAACACACTTAGAGCATGGTAATGATGAGTTTGAATGATGATGCTGTTTACAAGTCATCTCCCTAGCAAGGGCTGCATTTTCTTCCTCCGGGAGCACATCAGAATACTCAGCCCGTGTACATGGTGGGCAGTGCCTATACCTGGGGCTGAATTTTAAGGAGCCTCCGGTTACCTCCTGCTCTGCCGCTTAAGAGCTGGGTAATCTGGGCAACTTCCTGTCTTCGCTGAGTCTACTTTCCCATCTAAAGAATGGAAGCCTGGGCAGCTTGATTCCAAGGTGCCGTGGAAGGCCTTAGGTCTCAGCAAGGGGGCTGCGTCAGCAGCAGGGGCCAGGGAGGGCTTGGGTGTCATTTGATGTACACAAGTGCCACCTATTCCACAAGAAGACTGCAGGGCAGGGGAGAAGGGCTGGGGGATCAGCAATCAACAACAACACAGCTGTGACAGGGAGGAAGCTCAGAGCAGAACCAATCTCCCTTTAACATTCCAGGCCAGCGGTGTGTGCCTTGGATAAAGTTCAGGTAATTGTGCCTTCAGCCTGCCTCCTCCCCTCCCCCACCTTTCCCCTGCTCTGTGCTGACAGAGTTATAATAATTGGGTGCCGCTGCTTAAACTCATCAGCTCCAGCTTCCTGAAAGGAAAGTTGCAATTAGCAGTCCTCACCCTGTAATAAAGCCTTTAATATCCACTTTCATGGTTCATATTACAGTCATTCAGGCCTGTCCCCTTGCACACAGCCTGTCAGGCAGTGGGGCTGTGTGCCCATGAGGGAGCTGCCCGCTGAATGGCTCAGCAAACAATTGCTCCCAAGGCCCAGCAATCCTGGCCAGGCAGCTGGGGAATGGTGCCGGGAAATGAGAAGGGATATTTCTGTGCTCCATGGCTCCAGAGGGCCAATGGGGAATGGGAGGGAGAAAGGAAGGGGCTTCCTCTCCCTTTGCCTCCCACCAACCCTCCAAACTTTCCCACACTCTTCCCTCTTTCATGGAGCCACCTTTCATTCCACTGCTGGAAATTTTAAAACAGGAGCAAGAAGGTAGAGGTGGTATTGGGGAGAATCAAAGGGCTTCACCTGTGCACACCTGCCAGCAGGTAACAGATCTTACATGGGAGAGGCGTCCTGAATGGCAGCAGTGAGGGCCAGGTATGTTTTAGTTGAGGAGTAGCTTCAGCCAGGGCTTCTGCCCACAATTGCCTGAGTGGTGGCCATCCTGGGAAGTCACTTCCTGCTCTGGAAAGAACATTCCTTGCTATGGGTTAGCAGGTCATACTCAGTCTCTCACTTCCTCAGTGAGTAATTTGCAAGCAATTAATGAGAACCAACTATGTGCGAAGCACAAAGATAAGTAAAAGATAGCCCATGCCCTCAATGAACTAAACTAAAAAATAATGACAGCACATATGGTGGGGAATACTAGCAAGAGGCACAGGAGTAGCCTGGAGGAGGGAAAGGGACATCCAAGGACTTCTTGGAGGAGGGGCTGTCATATGTGGCAGATTATATTTTCCCTCAGTGGCTGCAACAATATTTCCATCCCACATGCTCTCTTCAGAACCTTGCCATTCCCTCATCACGAAGTGAAATATCCCCTTCCTTTGAACCTGGGCAGGCCCTTGTGACAACCTTGATGAGTAGACTGTAGCAGCAGTGATGCTACAGGACTTCCAAGGTTAGGTTAGAAAAGGTCAAGAAGCTTCTGCTGATCTTTCTCTCTCAGTATGCTTGCTCTAACAACATGGCCACCATGTTGGGAGGAAGCCCAAGCCACATGAAGAGCCTATGTGTAGGTGGTACCCACTGACCCAGGCAGACATGTGAGTGAGAAAGTCCTCAAGATGACTCCAGCCCAGCCACTGTCTGACTGCAGCCATATGAGAGACCACGAACAAGAACAGAACCCAGTTCTGAGCCCAGTCAAGCCCAGAACTATAAGATATGGTAATAAAATGATTGTTGTTTTAAGCCACTAAGTTTGGGGTTATTCATTACATAGTGATAGATCATCAGAATAGTGATTCTTAGATTACAATAGAGGTTGACCAGATGGCGGATGAATGATGCTCCAGGCAACAGGGACAACACATGCAAGGCACAAAAGCATGAGATGGGGCCTTTGATTAGAGACACAGGAGCTGGTATTGCCATGGGTGCCTGCTGGAGATGGTGTTGGAGGGTGTACAAACCATGTAAAATTAGGCAGCATGGGGTGAAACTATCCTGGAAGTCACGGCATGTTATGGAGGTTTTCAAGCAAGACAAAGATATAATTATCTCTGGATTTTAGGAGAAGGACCACTAGCAATGTGGACAATGGAACGGCCTGAGATGGGGCTTATTCATTCAGTAAATATTTGCTGCCATTTACCCAAGTGCCAGCCTCTGGGCGAGCTCAGTAGGGAGGATGTACAGATGAAAGACTACCCGATGAATCTGCTCAAGAAAGGAAGACAGTGTCAGTGAAGACAGGAAAGAGAGTCCTGGGCTATTTTGGGCATAAGATCAGTTTTGTGGCCAGATGAGTATGAGATATAAAGAGAAAGGGGATTCTGGAAAGCCTCTTGGATTTCTGAATTATGAGAGTAGGGGAATGCCAGTCCCTGAAATAGAAAATAGGAGGAGAAGCAGGTTTAGTGGGGAAGATAAAGGGCTCCATTTGGGCACAGTGATTCTTAAGTAGATAAAGATGTCCCACTGCCAGCTGTATTTACAAATTCTGGAGCTCAGAAGCAAGGGTTGGGATTTAAAGACAGATATAAAATTTATCTGTGCAATCAAACCATAGGAGGGCCCAGAAAATGGGAAGAGAGGAGGGCCAAGGGCAAAATGCTGGAGGGGGCCAGTGTTTAAGGGTGGCAAGAGGGAGAGGAGCAAGAGGAAAAGATGAGGAGAGGCGGGTGCCAAGGATGGAGCCTGGCCAGGTGGGCGTGGCCAGGGATGGCACACCATGCACATGGCAGCATGGGCGCCCGCCTTCTGGATTCCATTATGTGTGTGGCGATGGGAGGAGCAGGGAGGCTGGGCACGGCAGGGAGCCAATGGGAGTGGAAGGGAGAAGACAGGCATTTCTCTCCTGGGAGAGAGTAAATTGGGCATCTATCTGTTGGGCGAGGCATTCTTAACTGTGGGGGAAAAAGGCTGGATAGGATGACACCGCTCACCTCTTGGCTGAGTGGCTGATGTGCTCAGGACATTGGGCAGCAGGGATGTTGGAGGCCAGCCAGGCCAGCTGTCCTCCACTGGTGCCCTTCTACAGGTGAGGACATGGAGATTCAGAGACAAAGTGACTTTTGGTCTTTGGGCTAGAAGAGTGAGGACTAGAACCTAGGGTCCCAGCCTCCCAGATCAATATTCTCACTCTACATCCTTGCAAAACAAGGATAGCAGAAAGGCTGAAGTGCTAGGCTATTCTGGGTCTTGGGGCGAACATTTAAGCCCTAGGCCTGTCCCCTCTCATCCCTTCTCCCTCCTCCGGCAGAGGGTGGCTTCTGCTTTTTCTCCTTCTGCAGACGTTTTCTCTCAGCCAGTCATCGGGGAACCCTGAATCTCTCAGCTTTGCCCCTCAGGCTGTCACTAGCTCACGGAGGTCCCTAGAAGTGGGTGGCAGTAAGGCAGGCAGGGGAGGGAATGGAAGGAGGAAGGGAGAGGATGTTTGCTTGGTTTAAGGAAAGCGAGTAGGGGAAGGAGAGAGAAAGGGCATCAAGTATGTGTGTGCACAGATCTCCCGAGACGCCCCCACCGCTGCCACCCTGCCAGCCTCCTCCCACCTCCAGTGCCCAGCACCACTGAACCAAACTGCATTAAGGGAAGGCAGGCAGGTGCTTAGCGTCTCTAATGTGTTCCATTACAAATGCTCCACAATAAGGTAATTATGTTAGAAAATAATACACGTGTCAGTCTTTCTGGAAATATTTTTACTTCTGGCGAGGGGGAAACAGCACTATTGTTTTTCAAGTGCATCTCTGCTCCTGTACATATTAATTAACTGTGCTCAGGCTCAGCACCTCACAGCATTTGTATTATTCATAAATGTCTTGGGGCTGCAGTAACTTATGTACTCCCCTCCTCAGCTTGGAATCATTTTTTAATTTCAGGGTTTTTTTTTGACTAATTGCACTTGTGGTTTGCGCCTCCTGGACCAAGAGTTCTGTTCCCTGGCGGTTTCTCCATGTTCTCTTCCTCTTCTTTTCCCTCTGCTTTTTCTAGGATCTCTGTCTTCCAGGGTCCTCGCTGGGCCCCAGAAAGAGGCAGATTTGGGCTTTGGGAGGGGAGAAAAACTTCAGGAAATCCTGGGAAATGGTATTTGCTCATCCCTGCAGTCTGTAATCTTCCTCCTCCTCACCTGCACCCAACCCCCTCTTTATGACTCACCCCTTTCAAGGAAACTTCCCAGAATGATTTCACCCTCTCTTTATTTCTTCATCCTGCAATTTAGAAAAAATTAATAGACTTTATTATTTAAGCAGTCTTAGGTTTACAGAAAAATGGAAGGTACACAGAGTTCCTGTATACCCTTTTACTCCCACTCCAGCACCCCCTGTTATTAGCATCGTGCATTAGTGTGGTACGTTGGTTACGAGGGATGAGCCAATGTTGATGCATTGTTATTAAAGTTCACAGTTTACATTTAGGGTTCACTCCTGGTTTTGTACATTCTGTGGTTCAGGACAAAGGTGTGGCATGTATCCACATGACAATACCATCTGGAAAAGCTTTACTGCCCTAAAAGTCCTCTATGCTCCACCTATCCATCCCTCCTCCCCACCTCTGAAACCACTGATCTTTTTTTTTCACTGTCTTCATAGTTGCCTTGTGCAGAATGTCAGATAGTACTATGCATACAGTACAGAGCCTTTTCAGATCCCCTTATTTATTTATTTATTTATTTATTTATTTATTTATTTTTTTTTTTTTTTGAGATGGGGTCTCAGTTTGTCATCCAGGTTGGAGTGCAGTGGCACAATCTCAGCTCACTGCAACATCTGCCTCCCAGGTTCAAGTGATCCTCCCATCTCAGCCTCCCAAGTAGCTGGGACCACAGGCGCACGCCACCACGCCCGGCTAATTTTTTGTATTTTTGGTAGAGATAGGGTTTCACCGTGTTGCCCAGGCTGGTCTTGAACTCCTGAGGCCAGGTGATATGCCTGCTTCAGCCTCCCAAAGTGCTGGGATTACAGGCTTAAGCCACCGCACCTGGCCCCCAGCCTTGCATTTTTTTAATTTGAGTCTTAGTTCTTGAGTTGATGGAAGATACAGTCTGTCCCCTGATCAAGCTGTGGGCTCCCCTGGAACAGGGAACACATAATTGCATGGAATCTTCCTGGCTGTCCCTGGAAATATGTAGGCACACACCAGGATGCTGCAGGCAGGGGCAATCCAGAAGGGGCCTCACCATGCATTGGATGGTTGGACCAGAAAGCCTTTAAGATTTGAGATTCTGAAGACAAACCAGGTGTCTGGAAACAGCTGTGCCCCTAGACATTCATCCAGTCCATGTGAAGCAGGAAGTTCTGGGTTCCAGAGAGTGGTCACAGCTCAGGATGACTTCCCAATGACCAATCCTCTTGATTGGTCTGAGGAGATGAGCAGTGATGTTGAATCCTCTGGGAGGAACTGGTTGTGACATGGTTACCTTGTAGGGAAGCAAGTGGGTTGGTGATTATAGCTGAGCCTTCTTGTGTGGAATTGAATAGGGACATGTGACCCTCTGGCTCTATAGTAATAACCCCCTTCAGCCCTATCCTCTCTCTCTCCCTCCCCCTCACTATTGCCTATTGACCATATCTCTGGAAAGGACAGTATTTCTGACCAAGCCAGACCTCTGCTACATGATCCCAGGGAGCCAAGAGAAAACTGCTCAGGAGTAGCCATTCCTCCACATTTTGCTGAGATTTTAGCTAAAGATGAAGTCACTGGAGAATTCAAGGGCACAGAAGAAACATGGATACTCCTGGTTCCATTCTTTGTGCAAGGTGATGATAAATTCTTCAGAATTTAAATACCTCTTGAGAATAAGTGGAATGCTGTCCTTTTTTTTCTTTTTCTTTCTTTTCTTTTTTTTTTTTTTTTTTTGTAGAGATAGGGTCTTGCTATGTTGCTCAGGCTGTTCCAGAACTCCTGGGCTCAAGTGATCCACCTGCCTCGGCCCCCCCCCCCCCGGCCAAAAGCACTGAGATTACTGGCATAAGCCAGTATGCCAGGCCCAGGGAATGCTGTTCACCATCGTCCATGTCAGACCTTCCTGTTGGGAAGCTTTTGCTGATGTGTAAATTGCATCTATCAGGCAAAAACTGCAGTATATCATTTGTTGCTCAACTCCCTTTGGGGTAGGAAGAATGGCTGAATCATAGTTGGCAAGGGTCCAGGAGGGCTATAAGTCCAGTCATCCATCTAAATGGTTGGGATCCAAACCACTCAGATTCTTCACATGTAGAGAAATCAGCGAAAACAAGAATATTTGCTGTACAGCCTGAGTCAGAAGTCCAGGTTGGAAGAGCTCCAGAAAGTAGGGTTGGAGAGCTCTGATCCCAGGCCACACACAGCTATCTCTCCCCTGGTCAACCCTTGGACCCTCCTGAGTCAACAGTACTAGCTGGACAGTGTTGATTCAAAGCTTGAAAGAGGATTCGGCACCAGTTGACTCAGGATAGCGATTTGAAATGCTCAGTGCTTTCTGGCGGTTTAAAGCCTTTCTATTCTGGGCAACTTCCCCAAGGCTTCTATTCTCTTGCTAGCATTTTTGTTTTCACATAAGGAATTAAGCTCTGGATGACCGATGGCTAGAGTTGAAGCTAAGGCTTTGGAGCACATACATGTATCTTGGCCAGGGTCCCCAGAGTCCCCAAATCAAAGGACACAGGTGAGGGCAAATAAAGTCCTCTTGTCCCAGGGGCACGCATTGGCACTACCCTTCTCCTTGGGTTGGGGTGTCTAGATGAGCCTTCTTCCCACCCATGAAGACTGGGAATTGCAGGTGGCAAGAATCCACAGGGACAGCCTCTGGCTCAGCAGCCACTGCAGCTTGGAAAAACGGCCACTGCTGGCCCTGGTATGCACAGCTCTGGCTGTGTTGCTGAAGCAAGGCCCCAGCTGGTGCCCACCCCTCTGGGCCCCTGGCCATTCCTGGCCTGACATCCTCAAGCCCAGCCTGGCTGGCTCCTCTGAAGGCAGTTCTGGGAGGAGGTGTGGATGGAGGCTGGGAGGGTCGGGATGGGAGCAGCAGCTGCCCAACCCTTACTACCTCCTCAGCTCACAGGCAAGGTGAAATGGGAGGTGTTTCCTCCTTACTCAGTCTCCCAGTTGGCCCTCTTATAATCTGGGTGCTCCATTCTTCTCACTGAATAGGGATGCCAAAGTTGAAGCCTTGTCACCTCCTTTTCCGCTGATCCCTGCTCGCCCAGCCAGCCACAGAAACAGACCCTCTGCGAAGAGAACCCTGTTCGTGGAGCAGGTGGAAGGGTCCCTGGCAGGATGAGTAGTAGGTGTGGCCACTTTGGGATTCTGATATTTGTCCCTGTGCTGCAGGGGACAGCCTCCCAGCTTTGAAGCCACAGACCCTCAGATTCAGATCTGACTCAGTTACTCCTGGGCTTTATGAATTTCAGGCAGCTTAGACGCCTCAAGCTTCAGTCTCCTCATCTGTAAAGTGGGGGTAGCCGGCTCGCCTTCCGAGAGTGTTGTGAAGATAAAATGGGACACAGTCTGTAGAGACTCTCACTGGGATCTGGGTAAATAGCTGCTCAGATGCTGCCAGCTCCCGTTCTGTCTTCTTTTCAACCAGCTGCTCCTTTCTTCCCTCCCACCTGCCTTTCTTTTTCCTTCTCTCTCCTCACTCTGTGAGTCACCTTCTTATCACACAGCCTTTATATTTATTTCTTGTATATTTCACCCAGCAGTCGAGTTTTGCGGCTATTTCCATTTGCTCGTCCAATAAATATTTATCAGATGATTATGCTTGCAGCACGCCGTGTGCTGGGCAATGGGGTTACACCCAGGAGAAAGACAGGCATGCTTTTGGCTCATGTCAAAAATCACAGTCTGGTGAGGAAGACTGGGGCTGAACGAGTCATTTTAATGGAGAACAAGAGTTAGGATCATTTATCATGAGGTGATTCATCTGGTTCAGATGATCAGGAAAGGCTTCCTGGAGGAGGTGGCACATATGAGGAAATCTAAAGCTAGAGGAGGTCTCTTTAACCTGCACTTGGTGTCCTGTGGCTGCAGACACAAGCTCCATTATCATTATACACCACTTCCGTTTTGTTCTTCATAATTTTTTTTTTTTTTTTTTTGAGATGGAGTCTCACTCTGTCACCCAGGCTGGAGTGCAGTGGCTCCATCTTGGCTCACTGTGACCTCTGCCTCCCAGGTTCAAGCAATTCTCCTGCCTCCACCTCCCGAGTAGCTGGGATTAATATTACAGGCACCCACCACAACGTCTAACTAATTTTTGTATTTTTAGTAGAGACAGGGTTTTACACATGTTGGCCAGGCTGGTCTCGAACTTCTGACTTCAAGTGATCTGCCAGCCTCTGCCTCCCAAAGCGCTGGGATTACAGGTGTGAGCCACCATGCCTGGCCTGTTCTTTATAAATGTAAATGCCACTTTATTCCCTAAACTATTCCTGGTACCGATGTGTAATTCCATGAAGCAGTGAAGTATAATAAAAAATTAAGACCAAGGAAAATAGAGGAAACTAAGATCAGAGGCAAAGGCTATCTGCAGCTGTTGGAGCCACAGGACCTGTGTCATTGCTAAAATTAAACTGCACATTTAAGCCTGTGGGTCCAAGCAGTCAATACAAAAGACAAACATGATCATTTACAAAAATTCTCATTGTCTAAGAAAATAAAGCTGTGTGGTGAACACAGACTAAAATAGTGGGAGACACCACCAACTGCATCGTTTCTAGAGTAAACACAGTGAACAGGTGTTGCAAGGCCTGGAAATGATCTGATATAACCCAGGGATAAAGCCCAGAATGTTTGGGTCAGTGTTTCTCAACCCTGCCTGACATCAGAGTCACCTGGAATCCAGCAGACACTGGGGCCTTTCCCTTGTGGTTTGTGCCGCAGGGTACAGGTGAGATTTCAGCCTCTGTATTTTTCCAAAGCTCTGCAGCCATTTCTGATCCATAGCTAATGCTGAGAAACACTGATCTCTACCAGGGATTCTTATATTGTTCCACAAAGCCCCCAGGAACCTGCCAGCAGTCCTGGGAGCTGCTCCAGGGAAAAGGGAGCTACAAGGCAAGGATCACCCAGGGCCACCAGAAGCTGGAGGAGGCAAGGAAGGACCTTCCCCTAGAGGCTGTGGTCCATTCAGGTCAACCCCCAGGGCCCAGTGCGGGGTAAAGAAGGGCAGAGAGCAAGGTGGAGCTCGAACCCAGGGCTGCGGGTGTCCTGGTGGCTTCCTCCTCACTGCCCCTTCCATTTCCCATTCTTCAGAATACTGCATTTTCAGGGGTGTGGTTTTGTTTTGCTACACCTGACTCTGGAATGGCCAGCTCCATAAGAGCCCAAATGTGGAATTGACATTATTGGCCTTGCTCAGTCACTGATCCCCTGCTAGGAAACAAGAGCTGAGGTCATGCCTTTGAGGAGCCCACCATGGTATTTTGAATGATACCCTAAGCATCTGGATTTCCCATTGGAAGTCAAATGTTTCTCACTCCACTTAGGGCTTCTCAAGGTTCTAATCAATTGGGCTCCATTATTGGTACTGGTCTCAGTAGATCTTCCCTGGCCAGTGAGTCATGGCTCAGATACAGGGTCAGGATGCAGAGGTCCACAGGTTTTTGTGTCTCAACCAGGAAAAACCTCAGTGAGGGATGCCTTGGCCTCCTGGTTTGCATGTAAAGACATTATAACTTTTCAGAAATAAGACCCCCAGCCTCCAGAAACCCACCTGTGCCTCTGTCTGAAGCCCTGGGAAAACGCCAATTAGTTCCTCTCAGATTACAAAGACAGGAAACGGTTACTTCCTTCCTAGCTCAAAATATTCATCCCAAGAAAGGCAGAAAGCTTTTCTAAGGTTAATCGTATGACTTGGGTGATCTTGGACAAGGAAACTAATTTCTGTGAGCCTCGGGGCTGCTCTCCTGTGTAAAATGGGGATAACACACCTCAAAGAGCCCAAATTCTTAAAAAAAACTCATGGAAGGACCCCCCCCATCGGGCCTGACAGGTGGTAGCACCTAACCAAAGTCACTTACCATCTCCCTGCCCCTCCGCGAGGGTTGAGAAGTGCGGAATTCGGTCACTTTCCTTAGGAAGTTCATGGTCTGCTTGGGAATGGGGAAGCCATACATGCGGAGAAGGTCTTATGCTTGCTGTGTAAATCTGCATAATTGTAGCATGTCAGGACATCAGAACAGGCCTCTGTCTGGCACTCACGCTGCAGGGACAGACCAGAAGGCAGGCAGGGATGGATGAAGGGGGCATCAGAGGGGGCAGAAAGGGAAGACCAAGGGAGGGGTCCCAGCAGAACTTTCTCTTGAGAGTTGCTTAGTCTCCAGATCCTCAAGCCTTGACTCACCTAATGGATGGAAAATTTGTTTTCTAACTTGCTTGTTCTTTTATTAATAATATATGCATATGCTATGGTTTCACACATACAGCACTGTGACCAAGAGCCCTGGCTTTGGAATTGGACACACTTGGGTTGACTCTCAGCTCCGTCATGCATTGCAGGGCTCTCTGAGCCTCAGTTTTGCCATGTGTACAATGCGGATAATCCCATCTTCACAGATGTTATGAGAAACATGAGAATATTGTAAATCACTTATCAGTGTGCCTTATCAACACATTGCCTATCTTCTCACCATCATCAGCTATACCCTTGGCCCACCCTTTTTGGTCCCTAAGTTCATTTCAGCCCAACTATGTGCAAGGGCTCTGGTGACAAAGATCAATACAGCAGTTTGCACTTTCTATACACTCAGCAGGACAGCCCAACACCTAGATAGGTCATCCATAGAGAAACTTCCTCCATAGCCATAGAAGTTGGTGCAGGCTTCTCTCAGAGCTTAGAATTTGGGACTCTGTCTCAGTCTGGGACCTCGAAGGAAAAGATGTTTAAGCTGAATCACGAAAGATGAGCAGGTAGACACGGAGAGTGGAAGCGTTTGGGGTAGAGGGAATCGCAGAAGCACAGAGGGAGGCCAGGCATGGTGGCTCACGCCTGTAATCCCAAGATTTTAGGAGGCTGAGGCGGGTGGATCACATGAGCTCAGGAGTTCGAGACCAGCCTGGGCAACATGGCAAAACCCCACCTCCATAAAAAATACAAAAAATAGCTGGGCATGGTGGTGTACACCTGTAGTCCCAGGTACTTGGGAGGCTGGGGTGGAAGGATTGCTTGAGCCCAGGAGGTAGAGGCTGCAGTGAGCTATGAGGGCACCATTGTACTCCAGCCTGGGTGACAGAGCAAGACCCTGTCTCAAAAGAAAAAAAAAGCACGGAGGGGCGTGAGGTCTTTTTTAACTGGTCACTGAGAGGTGGGTGGTTCATGGCTTGGCCATAGGGTATGGGACAGAGAAGGTCCACAGACTATCTCAGGTCGAAAAATCCTGGGGGGGGATTCCTCTCCTCTTGGTCAGCATCATAAGACATTATAACCTCCCAGAGATAAGACCCTAAGCCGCCTAAACCCAGGCAATGCTGATGTTTACTCAGTGCATCTCTCTGAAGCCCTGGGCAAACATCAATTAGTTCCTCCTCCTTCCAAGCTCTGCTGCAGCCTGAGGAAACTTCTCCCGGGGCAGGTCCTCTCTTCAAGGGGCACAGAGGTTTGGGGCACAGGCCCCAAAGCTGCTGCTCCCCTCCCTGGCTGGGCTTATCATTAGGGATTTGTCATAGGCCGGGTTGATGGCTCCTGTGTATCCCTCCATATCTCCAACTCGGAAGTGAAAAGTGTGGCTTAGTTTGGGAGTATTCACCCATATGTATGTCTATATCTGGGGACAAAGAGGAAATGAGGTGGAGGGGAGGGCTGAGGGCAGACAGAGAAAGAGAAGAGAGAGGAGAGAGCATACAAGGGCATAAGTGGTGAGAGAGAGACATTTCACAGATTTTAAATATAGGAATATAAATATTTGAAAGTCTGGAGAGCTGTACATGTGTGGAAAATGCAGATTGGACTTACAAAGTCAGATACCAGGAAGCAAAAATGTTCATTCTCTTGAAATATTGTGAAAGAAAGCCCATGTCTATTAAGAACTCTCTCTCACATACATACATGACACACAGATGCACACACTTATATAACCATACAAAAACTATGACATATACATAAATGTGTACTGATACCCAAACACATATAGGAATGCATTAAAAATATGTACAAGAATTAGCCTTTTACTCAAAGGCACATATCCATCCATTCATTCACGGGTATTTATTACCTCCTATGTGCCAAGGACAATGCTAGGTTATGAGGATGTGGTGGTGAACAGGACCTGTGTCCTCTCCTAATGGTGTTTACAGCCCACTGGCATAGCCAAGACATGATCCTACACGTGCACAGAGCTGGAGCCAGAGGCTGGGGCTGCTGAGGAGGTGCGCCAGGGATTCTAGACTACCTTAGATTCATGTGTGCTCTTAAGCCTCTGAAGCAAGGTGAAGGGTTTACATATTCCAATTATTGTGTTTCATGACTGCTGTAATCCCTGATCCATAGATCATGAATAAATGAATAAGTTAGTGAATAATAGATGAATGAATGAGTGAAGAAATGAATGAATGGATATTCTGCCAACTAGCAATGAAGTAGACATGGCCTTGGGCTGCCCAAAACTGCAGAGTTCCATTCCATTCCTGAAAGAGAGGAGCCCCAGGTGCTCTCAGCTTTCAGAGGTTGAACCAAGGAAGGTGATCGGCCTTCCCAGCTCAGACCCTTGGGCATAGACAGCACTTCCAGGCTGCCCTCCAGCTGCTGAGCCTCTAGGGCCTGTGCAGGGGAGGCTGGTCAGGCTGCAGCTCAAAAGAAAGCCAGCTCTCTAACAAGCTTTGTACATCCAACGCCTCCTGTGTGTCCCCAGACGGGTGGGTGGAGCTTACTGCTTCTTCTGTCCTGGAGCAACTCCCATCCCCAAGGGATCTCTTCTGGGGTTTCAAGCTCTTCACGAAGCTTTTTGGGAAATTCTCCAGCTTCGGCGGAAAAGACATAGACCTTTACTAGCTGGTTCCTAATAAACCTCATTTAATGAACTTCATTACCATGCAAAGGAGCACCCTGACCATGGACAGGGAGCAAGAGGGGAGCCCAGGGGTGGAGGAAGGTGCTGTACTGCAGCCATATTCCTATCCCACTGTGTGTGTGCGTGTGCGTGTGTGTGTGTGTGTGTGTGTGGAGGGGGTGTGGGTGCACCTGCACATGCAGGGGTTCAGATGGGGGCCAGGCTGTCGCAGATGCTCTGGTCATTCCCCCTGCCATATCCCCCAGGCCTGACCATTTTGTGCTCTCAGCCAACCTCCCACTACCAGTGTCTATTTCTCTGCCTGAGAACTTTATCCAAAACTGCAGAGGCTGCTCTGCCCACATGTGCGTAGCTTGCCAGGACAGCGAAGGAATTTGCACCCCTTGGAGGAGCCTCTACCAGAGCCTGCTGGGAGTTGGTGTTTTCCACACCCAGTGTCTGTATCCCTGGACAGGGGGAGGGGTAACTCTGAGCTGGGTGTTTTACAGAGTTTCCTAGAGTTGACTCGGAGAGTAAGAGCTGGTTTCCTGCTGGGGCAGTGGGTTCAGGAGCCCGCCCTTCAGTGGCCACCTTCCCCTTCTTGTGTCCCTTCCCAGTGCCCTCCCCACCCCACCCCACCAGTGATCCCTATACCTCCCAACCCAAACTCCAAGCACTCATGTCCTTCAGGGTCAGCTTCTGGGGGAAACCAAGTGAAAACATCTGCACGCCAAACTCTTTGCCAAGTCTGACTGACCCCAAGGCCACTCTGGCAAAGCCTTCCTCGGGCAAAGTCAAATTTCCCCAAGGTGCCTCTATAGAAGGAAGAATGAGGGGCTTCTCTGGGAGGGCTAGCTGTGTCTGAAAGGAGATGGTCTCTTCCCTGTTCATGAGATACAAGGCTTGAGTCCAGGCTGGAAGAAGTTTTCTGGGATCCCCAACCCTTTCATCATCAACTCACACCCAAACTCACCTCCCACATAACCACCTGGGGCAGCCCTTAGCTCTTCGGAGGCACTTCTCAGTGGTCTCTTGGCAGAAGGAGGAGAGAAGAACTAAACCCAGGGAATATCAGAGGGAAGGCACAGGTCTTTTTTGGCAATTCTTAACCTCTCAGTAACCTGGAAAGGCAACCCATTTATAAATGAATACGAATATACTGCAACATTTAATGCAGAGAGAAGAAAACGCGTTGGCTTTTTTAGAAAGAGACTTTATAAAAGGCAGTTGGTTGGGGCTGGGGAGGAGGAGTGATGGAGGGTGATAACTAAAGTCTACAGGGTTTCTTTTGAGCGTGAGGAAAATGTTCTAAAATTGACTGTGGCGATGGTTGCACATATCTGAGGACTTACTAAACCCATTGAATCGTACGTTTTAAATGGGCGAATTGTAGAGTATGTGTATTATATCTCAATAAAGCTGTTTTAAAAAGGGGACAGTTGGTTATTAGAAAAGTCTGGCTTTGGGGGCTGGACAGATGTGACCTTGGGTTCCAGCTCTGCCACTTACTAGCTGTGCATGCAAGATATTCAACCTTGAAATCTCAGCTTCTTTGAGTGAAAATATTTCACTTTTAGGGTTGTAGAGTAGATTTAGGATACTTTATAAAGCACCTTTAAAAGTTTCTGGCACCTGAAGAGTATTATGATTAATAATTTTTAATAATTAGCGGTGAAAAATTATACGAACCTGCTACTAGAAATCATTGCATGTAAACTTCTCATCCATCAGAAGAGAAGCTAATTAGCACTGAAACGAAGCCATCCTTTCGAAATTGACTTACCTGGTAACTTAGCTGGTTTTAAAGAATTGTGTTAGGAAAGGCCTTTTGCAAATATTGAGAATGAGACTGTGATTATAATCAGTCTTTTGAAAATTCTGGTCTCAAAGAGGAATGGTCACAAATGAAGGGTCACGCAGGCCGGTAGCATTAGCACCCGAAGAAAGATCATTTCTATTTGAAAGATAAGTAGGTCAAGGGGGTAATAGGCTTCTAACAGCCACAGAGTGAGTGGGGTATGGGTGTTGAGGCGAGGCTAGACCCAGATTTTCTTATCAAGGCCGAGAGCCAGTTGATGGGATCCAGTGAAACATCCTTGAGGGAAAACAGGAACTAGCTCAGAACTGAAAATCACATGGAACCTGGAACCCAGAGGGCACCTCATGGTGCCCAAGTGTTGTACTTCTTTTAACTCTTGATACAGAATGAATCTGTTTATGTATCTCATAGAAAGGAGAAAGGGAACTAATTTCTGTTATTTTATATCTAGAGAGAAAGTGGTCATTGATGGAGAGTGTTTTGTTGTGTTTTAATATCTCCTCTTGCTTACCCATCTCTTAAATGCACAGGTTTTAGAGGAAAACAGATTTAGATTACATTGTCAAGAACTGTGTGGGGTCTGAAACCTTGCCCCATTTGCAAGTTAACAAGTTAGTCTGGCCTGCTACGGTTTCATGGATGCTGGTGGAAGACATGAGACTCATGGATCAGAGACAAAGGACAGTTTATTACACAATAGTAGCAGCCAGAGTATTAGGGTTTTGTGCCAATTCTCCAAGCCATGGTCTCCATAAGGCAGCACAAAGAGGGCCCTAGGTGATACCTGCTCACACAGAGTGGACTGTGTTCCAAAAGAGGAATCCTGAGCTTAAGGAATAGGAATCTTTTATAATGGACAGTAAGCATGCCTACCCTTTGCTCCAGAGGAAGATATTGGATTTTCCAAAGCTGTTCACCAGGCAAGCATCCTTATAAGGATAGTTCAGACAAAGGCAGTCAGTGTCTCTCTTTGCAAGACACACAGAAATGTGAGGGGCCCTCAGAAAATTGTCTCCCAAAACTCAATAGCTGTATAATCTCAGGCAAAATTACACTTATCCTTTCTGAGTCTCAGTTTCCTCATCTGTAAAGTAGGAGTAATGCCCATTTGCCATGTGGTTGGAAACAATAAATGAAATATCAGTATAGTCTTCCAAGCACAGTTCCTGGCACGCAACAGATACTCAAGAAATATCGATTACTTCTTCCTGCCACCTCTTCCCTCAACTAATGCCAGTTTAGTGAAGACTTTACTCCAGGCAAATCTATACTCATACCAACTCTTATGTAGATCCATTACAATCACACTCATATGAAAACCTTACATCACTATTTTGTTTCAAGATAGCAGCCCACCAGGTGCATAGAATCTAAGCCTGTCTTGATCCCATCACACTTGATCAATTTCAGCCCAACGACTCATCATTAAACAATTCAAAAATCCCAAATCCTCCAGCTCAGGGGCTCTCAGGCTTTGTGGCATGTTTAAATCACCAGAGGAGCTTTTAAAAAATGCCACTGCATCCAATACCAATTAAATCATACTCTCTGGGGGTGGGACTCAGGTTCCAATCATTTAAAACATTCTCCAGGTGAGTCCAATATACAGCCAGGGCCCAGCGCTCTAGCTCTTACTCAGACAACTAGCAGAGTCTGCGTGTGTGAATTTGCAATGCTTAAGCTGTTTCAGTTGAGTAATTGGGCCAACTCTAAAAAGGTCATCAGGCATCTGTAGGTACTTCACGGAGCCCAGGAAGGAGCTGTGGCCTGGGGAGGGGGAGTGGGCACAGAGAAGAAATTGAAAGTGGGGGAAGGTGGTCCATGCTCTAATAGAAGACAGGAGACAGCCCCCTTGTCCTTTGGAATTCCAGCATGGCCTGAGAATAGGGTCTATATACCCTGGGTACTCAATTAATGCTTTCAAATGGTCTCAGGCTTTCCAGCTCCTCCCCCCAGGCATCAAGCATTCTGCATGCACACTTCGGGTTGAAAATAGCTCCAGTCCTTGCCTTGCTCCCTGGCAGACTAGATTATAGGATTAACTCTTCACCTCCCAGCTGGGCTATGGGAATCCTCTTGCCTCTTTTCCTTAGGTATGAACGATCAATAATATAGATTTTCTCACTTTCTTCTTCCATCTTTGGAAGCTGTTCTTAGGCAGTTACCTTTGTTTTGCTGGCAGATCCAGAAGGAGAAACTAAGGCCTGCGTGGCCCTGGGGAGGGGTCGTGCTCCCTGATGACTGCCCTGTGGTTATGTGACATCCGCTGATCTGCTTGCTGGGGAGCTACTCTGTCCTTCCTCCTTTCTGGTAGGGAAAGTAAAGGTGCAGCAAAGGGGCTCCAGGGCCCCCAAAGTCAGGATTTCAAATTTGCTTTCTGCTACTGTGCAGTCCCCTTCACTCATAAACATGCAAATCACCCAGGTAATTGAGCCACCTGAAGTCCAAGTGAGCCTAATTTGTCTAACGAATTCAGGCTGCACAGCAAATTACCTGAAACTCAAGTGAAAGTGGGCTTTTCAGACTGGAGAGAGCCTGCCCGAGCCTTTGTTTCCAAACGGTTGCTGCATTTTCCTCATGGTGCCTGGCTGGAACAAAAGGGACCACAAACACCAAGGGAGGCTGGGGGAGCTGCTTTTGTCGGTCGCTGAAATAGCCGCCACGTTGCTAGCTGAGGCTAGTTTTGAAAGCCACTTGGCACTGGGGCTTCCTGCAGAACCCATGCTGCGATGAGGGAGCCCTGGAGCCTTATTTTTGCAGGAATGTGGGGCCTGAGCTGACTAGGGTGTGCCTTCGGGTCATAGTTCTTGGAAGGTGCAGGGCTGACTGGGGAAAATGGTGCACAGGGGAAACTGAGTCCAGCACACACTGGCACACTTCTCTTCATGACTCGATGGCTTTTAAAATCATAGCTGTTCAGGCAGGAGTGTGGAGCCTGCATAGGTGCCTGGGGAAGGAGTTGGAGGAACTTTTTCTGCCTTCTCTAGCTGAGCCTGGCGATGTCCAAGCAGGAGTGGTGAGGGATGGCTGCAGAGTCAGATCTCCCCACTCCATTCCCACCCCACCCCTACCCTGGGTTTTCATTATGTATCAGGGATGATGGCACAAAAACAAGATCTTTGTTCCTCCCCTCCTCCTGGGCACCTGCTGCTGTCATCCTACCCACCTGAAGGCTCACAGGCCACCACCAGTGACATCACAGGGCCGTCGCCACGGAAACGGGCAGTGAGGTCAGACAGCAGGGGCTTGATGGCTTCAGGCAGGGAAGGAGGGGAGCCAAGACCGAGGGGGCCAGGGTTTCAGGAATGGAGCTTGCTAGGGATTAGAGCAGACACAGCGAGAAGGAAAATGTAGCCAGTGAGCTTCCCTGAATCAGGAGAGGGCCAGGTTCCCGCTCGAAGGCCCTATCAATTAGTCACTCACTGCATGAACCACACCCGCCCAGCGCCAGCCTCCAAAACCTGATTGCCATTCGGGGGCTGGTTCTACTTGTAATTTGCTGGCTCAAAGGTCGGAATGGATTCCTAAGGAAAACGGATTTCCTGGTAGCCATTCCTTGGGGACTGAGCTCCTGAAATCAATTGGCCCAAATTTCAGCACAAATCAAGCCTTTAAATTCCCATTGAGGGTGGGAGTGGCTCACTAGGGGGATGGAGAAAAAAGAACAGCCAGAGGCTGGGGAGAGCTGGCAGAGAGGCCAGGATCTGTATGTCCAGAGGGTCAGGGGCCAGCAGGTGGGGAAGAGGGGGAGGGACAGGGGGAGCCGCTGGCGCCCTAGGAGGCAAGGAGAGAGGGCACTCTATAAATCACCAGCGCCTTTTTAAAAATGGAGTTTAACCTCCCCTAGCTTTGCTTTTGATTTTATTAGCGGTTTCATTTCCTTGGGTAATAATTCATTATCTCATTCCCAGCCTGGGGAACGGTGCCGGCCCAGAAGTGGCATTTACCTTCCTCACCTTAAAGTGATGCTTTTTTAGCTCTGTCATCTTCAGATCACTCTCAGCCCTGGCCCTGTTATCCGGCTGCAGCTCCACGTGGCCCCCCCCAAGACCTCACAGCTCCTAGGCACTGGCTGACCATGTGAATGAAGGGTGGCCCAGCTGACCTGGCCGCCCTTCCCTCCCCTCGCCAGTGCTCCAGCGTCTGCTTCTCCGACGCTATTTGCACCAGAACTGTCTTTGGGGCCCCAGCTTCTCTCTGTTGTGAAGCGAGACAGCTGGCAGGCTGCGGTGAGATAGAGCCGTTCTGCTGGAGCCGAGATAACTGCTCCTGGGAGGGAACCCAGTGGAGGATTGAAGGGTCCACATGTGTCAGCTTAACTGGAGGATCTGAAAAAGCTATTTCAATCTCGTCCCCAAGTGGGAAATTGGCAGATGCCCTTCTGTGGAATGAAAGTTTCCTCTTCCTCTCCATCCTCTCTGCCAAGGAAGAAAGCTTGATTAACGAGGGTGTGACAATGTTTTTCACAAGGAATAAGTCCTCCCAAATCCATTCTGGAGTCACAGAAAAGATCCCCTCCTGATGGGAAGTATGGCAGGCTGGAGATGAGGATGCAGTGCTCTCCCCATCACTGGCCAGCATCCGTTCCTGCGGTGCCCCCTGTCCATCATCCCCCCGTCCCACCCCTACCATGTTGCAGATGCTGGGCACTAGGTGTATCCATGAACAAAGCCATCGTTGACCCTTCCTCCTGGAACTGACAGTCCAGTGGCCTGTTCCTGCTCTCTGGTAAATGACCTGGAGCGTGTGTGGAGTGCGAGGAGCAAGCGGCATCTCCTTTGGTGGTCTAGTTCTCTAACGGCTGAATGAACGGCCGGTGTTTATCCTCTAATGAGTTTTCCATCTCTTCTTCTCCTCACAGGAGGTCAGCGTCATTACAATCACTTTGTTCTACACACGGGTACAGGTGTCCCACAGTGGAGCTCAAGTCGCATGTTAGAATCTCCTGGTGCCCAAGCCTGGACCATTATATCGGAATCTCTGGGGTGGAACCCAGTGTCAGTGTGGAAGGCCCCCAGGGGATTCCCACATGCCCACAGCCCTACACCCTTGCTACTCAAGTGTAGCCTGGGAGGCAGCATCATTTGGGATCTTGTTAGAAATGCTGGATCTGGGTCTTACTCCAGACCTGAGGAGCTGGAATCTGCATTTTAACCAGATCGCCAGGGGACAGCTGAGTATCCTTCCTCATAGGCACTGAAATCCCCTGAAGGAGCCACCCGGTAGAGCTGTGGTCCTGTCACCTCTTCCCTCTGCTCCCTCAGCCTCGCTGTACTGTACATGGGGGGTCACAAGTCCCCAGCATAGGAAAGGAAGCCACTCCTTTCTCCCAGGTTAGTTGTCAACCTGCTGGAGCTCAACCCTGCAGAGAAAGGAACTGGAGACAGGGGAAGGGAGGAGACGCGGGGACCTCAGATCCAGCATGCAAATCACATGCAAATCAGCATCCTGGAGGCTCTTTGCATTTGGGCTGGGGAGAGTCTTGGAACCCTGCAGTGAGGTTAAGAAGTGGCGGTAAGGTTGGGGTTCGCCAGCGCTCTGCATCCTCTCTCCAGGCCAACAGTTCTGCTGGCTCAGGCCTGGCTCATGCAGCGTCTATCTCCGGGCTCCCAGGCAGATGAAAGGCTGTGAGGAGTGGCACCTGGTGGGCCCCCTCCCAGCTCCCCTTCCCCGTGCCCAGCTCCTCTCAGCCAAAGCCTCCACTCCTGACCTCCTTCTTTCATGCCAGCAGCTAGGCCTGAACTCTGGGGCTCCTGGCACCTCCTGCTTTTGTGTCTTATTTGTCAAAATTGTGGCATGTGTCAAGGGCTTAATGCGGAGTGTTTCCTCCTGATTGGCGCTGTTCCCCTGTTAATGGGCAGCACCTGTTTTCCAGGCTGTGGGAGAAAGTGCAGGGAATGGAGGAGAGGTGGAGAGACAGCCCAGCTCATTCCGCTGGGGTGGGGGTCTCAAACTATGGGGGTGCCACTCACGAGCCACAGGCAGCTTGCCCAGACTGAGCTCTGGGTGTCCTCTTTGTGGCCCTAGAGAGCCACGTACTGGGCAGGAGCTGTGGCTCAAGGTGCAGCCCCTCTGGGTCTCCTAATTCAGTGGATTTCTGGCATCTCCACAATAAACATCAGACACGTGCAGACCTCTGATCACCTAGGAGAAACCTTTTCCCAAGGGCTCCTTCCTCCTCTGCAGGTTCCCCTGGTACTGTTTCTATCCCAAAACTAGGTTCAAAAAGCAATGGAAAAGTAGACAACTGAAACTGACACCCAGAGGTCAGAGTTCAAGTCGCAGGACTTCAGGAGAGTCACGTAGCTTCTCTGAGCATTGGTAACTTCGGTGGAAAATGGGCAGAATGAGGCCCATTTTGCTGCTTTCTGGTGAAAATAAAATGAAATATGCGAACGCTCCTAATACAGTGGTGGGCACATTGTAGGTGCTCAAATATGTGTTCATTTCTAGATGGATGCCAATACAATCTGAGTAGTAAATTAGTCCAGTGGTTCTCAAAGTGTGGTCCCTGGACCAGCAGCAGCATCTGGGAACTTGTTAGAAATGCACATTCTCAGGCCCCGCCCCAGACCTGCACAATCAGAAGCTCTGGAAGGGGCCCAGCAGGCTGTGCTCCAGCAAGCCCTCCAGGTGACGCTGTTGCATGCTTAAGTTTGAGAACCAAGGGTGTGGACGCTAAATGTTACAGGTAATACGGCATGAGTCTCTGTGCCCTTCCTTTGAAGTCACATCGATTTGGTGGGAAAATGATACATGGAATGAGCAGAGCAGCTGGCACTTACATGGCATGTACCATGGGCCCATGTGTGAGGTGCTCTTGCATTAACACACTTAATCGTCACAACCACCCTGAGTGCTAGGTGCTGGTGTTGTGCCCATTTTATAGAGGAGGAAACTGAGGCACACAGAGGTAAAGTGATGTGCCCAAGGTGGTAGGATCTGAAGCCAAGCATCCTGCTTCCAGAGGCTGTGGGTGGTGCTTCCTCATAGTATGCAGAGGATGTGGGGACAAGCAGAGGTGGGTAGGGAGAGCCTGGGGACTGAAGGGAACAGGATGTGTGGGAGGAATCCAGACCACATGGCTACTTTGCGACAGAGCTGGATGGAGGACCGGTGTCCAGTCTGGAGCCCTGTTCCCTGCGTCTTCCTATCCTGCCAAGCCCAGATGTTTCAGCCGCGCATCAGGCAGAGGTGCCCTGGGCTTGCTTTGCAGGTGTGGCAAGCTGCACTCCAGAGGCAGAGAGCCTGGACCTGGGGAATCAGTGAGGTCCAAGGTCAGAATCTGGTGGAGGAGGAGGCTGTTGCACACATCAGGCTGAGGGGAGGACAGACAGGAGGTTGTGGGGAAGCCGACTTCGGGGAATTATCTGAGCTCACAAGTTCTCTGATATTAAACTCTCATAGCTTCCTGTACGTCTTTCAACACCTCTGTCACAAATGCAAATCAAAGATGTATTATGTTATTTGCTCAACGTCTACTTGCTCACTATAAGCTTCATGATGGCAAGGGCTGTATCTGTCATGGGACATTGTATCCCCCCGACACTAGCAAGGTGCCTGGCACACAGTAGACAATTAACATTTGCCAAACGAATGAATGAGCAAAGTAAGAACATTGGTGTTCTTTCACCAATGCTCACACCCTCACTGTGATTATTTTCACATGTTTTCCTTCTAGACTGAGACCCCTATGACCACACAGAGTCTTATTTATCTTTGTGTACATAGTTCCCAGAACAATGGCTGGCGTTATTTGTTTTGTTTTTAGTTGAACCCAATCAAATTCTAAAACTCCAGCGGATCCCGTTGCTGAAAAGATCATCTTCCCTGCCCAGGGAAGGAGGGGATGTCAAAGTAGGAGTCTCCAAAATATTGGACTGAATTCCTTTTTCATGATATACTCATAGATTATAACTCTCTGTGTGGGTAGGACCAACAGTCGCATTTCCTGGGTACCAGGACTGAGCCAGGGCAGGGCTCAGCCTTGAGCAGCTTAATCCACAGGGTGGAGAGGTTGAAGCTTTGAGGTAAATAACTCCTGCAAAAGGGCTCCACCTGACCCTCTTTTCTGCAAATCTAAGATTGTGAGTCAACTCTCAATTAACCTCTTCTCCTAGATTCTGTTCATTGCAAAAGGTTTTATTCCAAAGGCAGAAAAACTATTTTAAGGTTACCTCTGTTATTGTGTTGATACCAAACCAGAACAGGTCAGTGCGCTTCCTGTGCAACCAGAAATACGTAGTCTCAGTCACCAAGTGGATGGAAGATTCCATGCAGCAGGAGAGGCTGTCCTGGCTGTTCCTCCTCAGCCTCCTGACCCCTCCCTTCCCTTGTCCACAAGGGCAGCTGCAGAGAGGTGTTGCTTTTTTAGTTACAAATCTCGTTAAAATGATGAGGCTCCCACTTTCGCTTCCCATCCATTGACTCCCCTACATTTCTTGTCCAACCCGCAAACCATCTTTGATAGCCAAAATGGTGCCTTTTCATACAAAAGGACAGGCAGCAGCCAGGCGTGGTGGCTCACACCTGTAATCCCAGCACTCTGGGAGGCCGAGGTGGGAGGATCACCTGAGGTCAGGAGTTCAAGACCAGCCTGGCCAACATGGTGAAACCCCATCTCTGCTTAAAAAAAAAAAATACAAAAATTAGCCAGGCATGGTGGCATGCACCTGTAATCCCAGCTACTCAGGAGGCTGAGACAGGAGAATTGCTTGAACCTGGGAGGTGGAGGTTGCAGTGAGCTGAGATTGTGCCACTGTACTCCAGCCTGGGGAACAGAGCGAGGCTGTCTCAAAAACAAAAAATAAAAAATTAAAAAATTAAAAAATAAAAACAAAGGGCAGGCAGCAAGTCCTAGAGAGGTCTATTTTTGGAAAATTACTAGGCTCGTATCCCAACCTTATTTTTATCCCAAACCTATTTATTCATGAGCTTATAGTTTAGGTAGTTTTGTTCAGGGCAACCTACCAGGAAAAAGCCAGGAGACATGAAGACCCAAGTGAGATGATGCAGAGAGCTCAGGGCAGGTCACCTTACTCCCTGAAACACAATGCTAAGGGCTTCTGTGCCTTGAAGGAAGATGCGTCATGGAGATATTGATTTGCTTTGGTCTGTGCCCTATTTATATGAATGAACTCCTGACTTTGATATTCTCCAGAATGCTCCAGATATACATTCATTCAGCAGGGACTGTGAGAGCCACCGTTTCTCATCTAAGTAGTTAGGGTATTAATGGGGGATGAGGAGGGTGTGAGGAAAGTTGATGGTGGATGGAATGGATGGATAAATAAATAATGACATATCTGTGAAGGAATATTATACAGCCATTAACAATATATGTGCAAAGAATCTTTAATGACATGGAAAATGCTCGTGATATAAAATTAAGTAAAAAAAGTTAGGCTTTAAAATTATATATTGAGCACAAGCCCATGTCATATGTTGAAGAAAGACTGGAAAGAAATATATCAAAGATTGCCTTCTTTATACATGTCTGTATTCTCCCTGTTTCCCATGATGTGCCTTTATCCTGTCTGTTTATTTTTATTTTATTTTTGAAACAGAGTCAGCAAGACTCTGTCCCTCAGGCTGGTGTGCAGTGGCATGATCTCAGCTCACTGCAGCCTTGACCTCCCAGGCTCAAGCAAACCTCCCACCTCAGCCTCCCAAGTGGCTGGGACTACAGGCGCATGCCACCACACCTAGCTAATTTTTGTAGAGACAGTGTCTTGCCATGTTGCGCAGGCTGACCTTGAGCTCCTGAGCTCAAGTGATCCTCCTGCCTCGGCCTCCCAAAGTGCTGGGATTACAGGCATGAGCCACCACGCCCAGCCCCTGTCTAGTTTAAATTTTTCATTTTAAAACCTTTTTGAAGTATAAAAGTAAGACATTCCCCATGTAGAAATAAATGCTAATTATACTGAAAAATAAATTCAAATTATGTAGACATGAAAGCTATACCCCGCCATTAACTCCTATTAATCATTTGGTATATAGTCTCCAGAGATTTATGTATAACGTATATGTATTTTGTACACAAATGTACACATGTATGTGTATATGTATGGGTATATGAATTTTAACATGAACGAGATCAATTTATCTAGATACATGTTATTCATATTTTTTATGTTGAGGATATCAGGCTACTTTTTATATTAAAAATTGTTTTCCTTTTTTTCCTTTTTTTTTCTTTTTTTGAGATGGAGTCTCACTCTGTTCCCCAGGCTGGAGTGCAGTGGTGCAATCTCGGCTCACTGCAACCTCCACCTCCCGGGTTCAATCGATTCTTCTGCCTCAGCCTCCAAAGTAGCTGGGATTACAGGTGCCCACCACCATGCCAGGCTAATTTTTGTATTTTTAGTAGAGACAGGGTTTTGCCATGTTGTCCAAGCTGGTCTAGAACTCCTGACCTCAGGTGACCCAACTGTTTTGGCCTCCCAAAGTCCTGGGATTATAGGCATAAGCCACCGTGCCTGGCCTAACGTTTTTCCAAATACACAATTTTTGGTTTGCAGATGTCACTTTAAAACAGGGAAAGTATCCTGTATTACCCAGAGAGAGTATCCTATCATTATACAGGTAGATCTAATGTAATCACAAAGGTTTCTACAGGAGGAAGGCAGGAGGGTCAGAATCGGAGAGGAGACTCGATGAAGGAAGCAGAGGCCTGAGTGAGGTGGTTGCTGGCGGAAGGGGCCATGAGCCAAGGAATGCAGGCAGCCAGTGGAAGCTCGAAAAGGCAAGGAGCGGCTTCTTCCTGGAGGCCTCCAGAAAGACAAAAAGCTCTGCTGACATCTGATGGGGCTCAGCCCCCTGAGACACCCACTTTAGACTTCTGACCTCCAGAACTGTAAGACAATATATTTGTGATGTTTTAAGCCACTAAGTCATACTGTGTTGTAGTGGCAATAGAAAACTAAGACGCTTTATCTGGCTGGGCGCAGTGGCTCACTCCTGTAATCCCAGCACTTTGGGAGGCTGAGGTGGGAGGATCATTTGAGCTCAGGAATTCAAGATCAGCCTGGGCAACATAGCAAGAGCCCATCTCATTCTTTTTCATATAGTTTTTAGTAAATTAATAAAAGAAAAAAAAGAAAACTAATACACCATATCTCAGGTTACCTTCTGGAAGAATCTACCCCAAGACTCAGAATTTCACTTAATTCTCTTACGTTCAGTATGGTGCCTCCACCATGCATGGCTTCTGTAATGGGAACTTTTCTACATATTTTCCTTATATAATAAAAAAACACATACTTTTTAACCGAAAAGTTCTAATGTGTAGGTGAGGGGGTATAAACTTGCTAAACGACTCTTACAGGCCAAGTACTGTGTAAGCATGTAGGTACCATAGTGAGCAAAACACAGATTTCTGTCCTCATGGAGCTTGTATTCTAGCAATTCTGGTTGGGGGAGACAGTAAATAGCAACCAAAAGAAATAAGTAAATTATGTAGTAAGAAGGGATACATACAATGAAATACAAGCAAAAGCACAGGAGAGGAGAAAGACTGGGAGTGTAGGATGGAGGTGAGAAGCCAGTGGCATGTTTGTCTTTCTTTTCTTTTCTTTTCTTTTTGAGACAGAGTCTCGCTCTATCACCCAGGCTGGAGTGCAGTGGTGCCATCCCAGTTCACTGCAACCTCTGCCTCCCGGGCCCAAGCGATTCTGCTGCCTCAACCTCCCAAGTAGCTGGGACTACAGGCATGTGCCACCAAGCCCAGCTAATATTTGTATTTTTAGTAGAGACGAGGTTTCACCATGTTGGCCAGGATGGTCTCGAACTCCTGACCTCGAGTGATCCACCCACCTTGGCCTCCCAAAGTGCTGGGATTACAGGCATGAGCCACCACGCCTGGCCCTGGCCAGCATGTTTAAATAGGGTGCCTGATGTCAGCTCATTTGATTTATTCCTTTGGTAGTCGCTTATTTCACATTCATTCTGGCTATAAGTCCTTTACAAATATTAAATCATTGAATCCTCATTATAACAGTATGAATTAATGTGATTATTTCCCCATTTTACAGAGAAGAAAACTGAGGTAGGGAGAGGTGAAATACCATTTGCAGTGTCAGGTGGTCAGTAAATGTCAGCAAAGGCCCTTGAGGCCAGGCAGTGGGGCTCCAGTCTGTGCTCTTATCCTCTGCACAATGCTGCCTTATGCCTTGAAATAAGAATCTCAAGGCAGTAATGGAGTCAGCCATCAGCCATGCAGGTCTCTGTGGGACAAGCCTTCCAGGCAGAAGGAACAGCCAGTGCAAAGGTCCCGAGGCAGGGGACTGCCTGGGTTATTTGATCATAGGGCAAGGCAGCCAGTGGGGCTGCTGTGGGGTGGGTAGGGCGGGCAGCTGGGGAAGGGGTGGTCAGAGCGGTCACTCAGGCCACATTGCAAGGGGCCCTGAGGCCATGGCGAAGACCCAATTCTCGTTCTGGGAAAAGGAGGAGGTCTGAACGGTTTGAGCTGTGAGTGGCTCACCCTGGCTGCCATGCTGAGCATGGGCTGCCAGGGTCAGGATGGGGCAGGAGTCCCAGCTGGAGCCGGAGAAAAGCACTTGAAATGGGGAAGAATGATGTGGGATTCTGGGCAGTTTGAAGCAGAGCCGGCAGCATTTCCCAATGGATGGAATGTGGAGTGTGGGAGAAAGAGATGCATCTGTCCTGGCTCATAGATGTGTGGCCCGAAGAACAAACTGGAAGGACAGGGTTGCTCTATGCCGAGATGTGGGAAGAGTCTGTTTGCTTTCTGAGTGTGGCAGCTCCCTCTGAGGATGAAATCACAGCATAACACATTGGAATGGCAATAACTGCCTTGAGACAGAGGTGTTATATCCAAGAAAAAGCGCTTTCAGAGGAGGCTGTGGTTGAAATAATAATGATTGTTTTGATGCATTCCGTATCCAACTGATGGAAAGCACACTTAGCAAGTCAAGAAAAACATGAAAGAATCCAAAGGGCTCCAGGCCAAGACCCAAGTTGACATCCTAAAGCCGCCTGGGAAGTTGAGAGGAAATCGTCTCCCTGCCCCTCCTGGGAGTTGGGGCAAATGGCACCATGAGGACCCTAGCCTCCACCGGGGCGTCTTGGGCCACATCTCGCTCCAGCAGTCAAGCCTCCGAGCTGCCGATGTACGGATGTGGTAAGGATTGCCGATGACTTTTTCATCGCTTTTACGGCAACTCTCACTGCATCCGCCATTCTTTGCAAGGAGAATGTGAATGAACTTCAGATTGAACTACAGACAGAAGAAATTCTTCCTGCCAAAGACACTTAAAACCCCTCCCGTCGGCACCGAGCCCCAAGAATTCTGATTGTGGCAGAGAAAAAACAGCCAGCAAAGATAATACCAAATAGTATAAAAATAGAGTGGGCTTAAGGCAGAGAGACAGAGAGCTGTAGTGTCTCACGCTCACTACAAACATTTACAGAGCATGCAGCTGGGAGGCAAGACCAGCCAAGGAGATACCAACGCCACGAAGCTCTGGGCGAAAGAATCTTGCTAATACTGACATCCATTTCTTCGGGCCTTCATTTGATGAATATTGAGGTGTACAAAGCTCACAAAGGTGTCACGTCCAACATGTCTCTGATGGCGCTGATAGACCGAAGGGGACTGTTTTCAACAATTTGAGCCAAGGTGCTGATGTCCGGCGTGTGAAACCTGGGTAAGCAACCATCTCCAACACAGGCATCTCCATGGGCAGGGCATAAGCCACGCTGCCCAGGACCACCTGTCCCCGCTCCCTGCCTTCACGATCATTCTGTTTTTACCCCTGGGGTTAGGGATCGGAGGAAGGCTGCAGTTTCCTAGCGACCATCTGTCCCTCATCCTTACTATTCCCTGTTTCTGCTTGTGAGGGTGACGTGGGTTTGCGCCTGGGAAGGGCATCTTGTAAGGCTTTCTGTTTGTCAATCTGTGAACAAATATCTATATCCAGTTTACTTCAGGCCAGGCCTGTGCTAAGCGCTGTCATGTAATAGGCTCTCAATAAATATTTGTGAGGCTTCAGGGATATAAACCTTATGAGCCTACCTGGACAGAAAGCCAGGTCCCTTCTCCAAAAACTTCCAGACATTTTCCCTCGAAGCAATGTCCAGGGAGAGAGGCCAGTGGGACATGGACGGGGGTACCCAGGATGGGTAGGGGATGGGACCTCAGTTCTCTGCATAGAGTCCCCACGCACCAGGCATTTGCCAGGTCTGCTGTGGCAATGACGTCCCACCCTGTTAGTTTCTCTCACTTCCAAAGCTCCAGGAAAAGCACTCAAGCCTTGGTAAATACAGTCTCTCAACTGCAGCCCTCACCTTCAAACCTGATTCCTTCTCTCCAGCCCTCAGCCTTGACTGTTCGAGTGAACCTGGTCAGCATTTCTGACCGACCTGTCACTTGGGTCTCTAGTCTCATGCTCTGGGACTAATGGATCACATCATCTGGGACAGGTGCCCATGCCTGGGCAGACCCATATACATGCAGTCCTACTCGGTTATAAATATCTATGGAGTGCAATACCAAATAATTGTGGGGCATATTTCACCCTGCCTGTTGAACACATTGCAAGAAAGGAATTGATCCCTGCTGTTTCATTTATTAGATGGTGTAATACCACAAAAATCGTTTCCACAGTATCCCAAACTAAATCATTTATTCTTGACAAAAATCCAATAAAGAGCTCAATCCTTCTCCATAGGCAGATAAAGCACAGATTAATGGGACTGCCTAGATCAAAAAATGCTGGGAAAATGAAAGCAAGATAGAGAGAGAAGCCTCCTTCCTCCTCCTCACTTCCCCAAGACTGCCTCGGCTCAGGGTTTTATTACAAAAAGCCGCCTAAGTATTACAGGCTAATCCGTAAATCCCAGCCTAGTAAAATATGTGACGGATTTGTAAATTGTGCCCTTTACAAATCTGATTGAACTTTTTTTTTTTTTTGGCTGGGAATTTTGCCTTTCTCCTTTTCCTCTTCTTCTCACCTTGTCCCATCTCGCTGGGTCCCCAGTGACCCGGAACCCTGCATCTGACAGTGTGGGCCCCCAGCACTGGCAACATTCCTGGTATGTTCAGCCCTTCCATGACCCTTCTATGACTTGACTGACAGAGGGTGGAGATTGTTGGTGGTACGAGAGGCTGAGAAAACCATCATTCTCTTTATTTACCATCTAAGGGGAAATGAGATTCAGATGGGGCCAGGGCCCCAGGGCCAGGCGTAGCAATGTCAGGGGCACAGGGCATGCTTGCAGCCAAGTATGAACGTGGTGAAGGATTTGTACATTGTTTCCAGTGGAGACAGGAGTAGATCAAGCTGGTGACCTTCAGATCCACAGACTGGCTGCTCAGAAGAGCCTTTGCCTTGGCTGGGCGCGATGGCTCACGCCTGTAATCCCAGCACTTTGGGAGGCTGAGGTGGGCAGATCACGAGGTCAGGAGATTGAGACCATCCTGGCTAACACGGTGAAACCCCATCACTATTAAAAATATATATATACAAAAAATTAGCCGGGCATGGTGGCAGGCGCCTGTAGTCCCAGCTACTTGGGAGGCTGAGGCAGGAGAATGGCGTGGACCCGGGAGGCTGAGGCAGGAGAATGGCGTGAACCCAGGAGGCAGAGCTTACAGTGAGCCGAGATCATGCCACTGCACTCCAGCCTGGGTGACAGAGCGAGACTCCATCTCAAAAAAAAAAAAAAAGAAGAAGAAAAAAAAGAAGAGCCTTTGCCAGCAAATCTCATTCTGCCCACTGACTTGAGCCCACTACCTTCAACCACCCAGAGCAGGTGGTTCTCCAGGGTCCATCCACTGTACCTGGTCCACACTGTCCTTGGCGTGCACTCCATCTAGGGTACCAACCATCTCAGTGTGCCCGAGACTGATGGGGCTCCCAGAAGGCAAGACTTTCAGTGCTAAAAAGTCTCAAGCAAACCGAGATGAGTCACTCGCTGGCTGTGCATCCTCTGCCTGAAGTTCTGGGCCTTCTGCACCCTGAGAAGAGCTAATCACTCAGGCCAGCTTTTAGCTTTCTCTGCCTGAAACCACTTCCCTTGCAGAAGCAGAAAAGTGCCCGAGCAATAGCATGGGCTTGGTAGTCATCCAGCCCTGGGTTTGGGTTCAGGATACCCGTGGCCATTGGAAAGTCACATAGCCTTTCTCGGCCTCAGTTTCCTCATATGAAAAGTGGAGATAATAATACCTACTTAATTGGATCATTGTGCTAATTAAATGAACAACAAAAGTGAAGCATCTAGCATAGAGTAAGCACACGGCAATATCATCATCATCATCATTGTTTGAACACATCTCCTTAAGTAAGACTGAAAAAGAAAAGTATGACAATGGTGAAAAGCCCTTTGAAAGCTGGTGCAATGACAACCCCCCGACCATCTCACTAGAGATATAGCTCCTTATTCTTGCAATCTGAGCACTGGCCAAAGCCCAGATGTCAGTCTTTAAAGGAGCCAGTAATGCGAGCCGCTGGGACGCAGATGATAGGATGGAAACCAGGTCTTTCTGCTTGGTGCTGTGCCTCACATAGTTTCAATCTATGGGGCTATACCCCAGCGCCCCAGGAAAACGACTGCTTCCTCTTCTTACAGATTTTACAAAGGCAAAGGAAAGAGCCACCTGGGATGGTTGCCCTATCAACTTTCCTCAACCACCGCCCCCTACACACTTAGGCCTGTCCAGCATGGAAGCAGGGCTAGAGAAACAAGGAAAGGAGAACGGTCCTGGACCAGCAGCCTGGAATGGCATTTCACAGGCTCTAGAAATGTGATAGAGAGTACCAGCCCTGCAAACAAGAGTGCTGCTCCCTGATCCTGCTCATCCTGTTGCCGTCTGGGGGTGAAATTGTCTTCAGAATTCTAGATTGATTGACTGCTGGGAAGTTCGTCCTGCTGTTCCACCTCCATCCCTCCCAAGGATGAGGGTGCCTTTGGAAGGGACAGGTGCCCATGCTTGGGCAGACCCATATACATGCAATCATACTCGGTTACAAATACCTAGAGAGTGCAGTGGAGGCAGTGGGGCAGTGGAGAGCTCAGGACCTTTTCCAGGTCCAAGAGCCTAACAACACTGCATCTTGCTTGGGTCCTAAGATAGGCCTTCTGCAATGAGGCAGGGAAACTAGGAACAACTTGTAGATAGGGGATTTGCCTCCCCAGAACACTCTAAAAAAGTGGAGTTCCCATCTGCTGTGTTTCTGAAAGCAGAAGGAGTGGATTCTGTGAGCTCAGGCTGCTCCCACAGAGCCAGGGTCCTCCTTTTTGTCCCTTGGAACATCCAGTTGGCGCCTCCACTGCCCCAGTCAACCTTTATCCCTCTATTTCCTGCTGAGAGTTAATCTTATTTCCTGCCTTCTGGGTGTTTAGCTTGGCAACCCAGAGAGCCACTCAGCTGGACCTCTCCCATTCTGCTGATCACAGCTGGGAGAAGGTTAGAGAATGTGACTCCCACAGCCATGGCCCTGGATGGGGTCTCCCGGGCAGTTTATCCTGCCATTGTGGTTCTTGGCATTGAGATGCAACGATTCTAGTTCTGTTATTGAGGGGGTGCTGTGTGGGTGTGAGGGAAGCAGGTGATCGGTCAGGGGGTTGAGGGGCAGTTGCCAGGGTGTGGGAGGGGAGGGGGAAAGCTGTGCCCATTACTCTTTTGTGGACTTGGAGGTGAAAAAAAAATCAATGAGACATCCTGTTTCAACTCATCCTGAGTTCAAGTTTAAGGGCATTTGAAAAAGTGCTCGTTTTCTTTTCTGGGGTGGGTGGTCATGACATGAAAGAGGACGTACCAAAGGATGGGGTTCCCATTCAGTGGGAGGTTTCATGGTGTCATCCCTCCACCCATCACTCAAAAGGCCTAAGATCTGGGAGGCAAGATGAGGTCTTTGTAGATAGCACAGGCTGGGGTCTAGGTTTGGGAGCCCCTTGGTCATGACCTGGCTCCCATTCCCATACCCCTGTTGCTCCATCGAGAGCCCATAGATCAACCACCAAAGCTCCATTCAGGGTCTTGTAGATTTCGTTCCCTCATGGAGGATTTTAAAGGGAAGGAGGGCAGCTAGCAAGGCCAAGAGGCATGAGAAGCAGGGCCCCTGTGTTACCACCACACCAAAGCTTACCTGAGTGGAGCTTGGCAGCTCTGTTCCCCCTGATTCTCCCAGGCATCCTTCCAGAAGTCCTAAAGTCAAAATGCCAGAGATCTGGCCACGTGGGTTCCTGCTAGCTTGTCCCAGCCAGCACCCAAGAGACCACAGGGCATGATGAGTAGAGGGAGTGCCAGAGCAAACTCATTGGACTCAGGGTGAGCATCTCAGTAATTTCTTATTTATTGGCCTCCTCCAGTCCCACAATCACTGGTTCTGCTCAATATTTTATTCTTGTTGCACCTACTCAGGCGGCAGAGCTGCAGGCATTTTTGATAAATGGATTGAAAGGTTTGTCTACTTTTGCTGAAGCTTCCATAAGTGCCTCTGTATCCTCCACTGAAATTATATTTCCCAACTTCCTACAGTGATTTCTCTCCCCTCGTGACTCCTCTCTTCCTATTTGCTAGGTCTTGTGCACTCTGTCTCTCTCTTCTCCCCATCTCCTACAAACACATACACACACACACACACACACACTCATGCAGAGATGCCCATATCCATGAACTCACAAACTTAACTACCCCTATGACCACTCAGGGGAGCAATATACAAGGGACCAGAGAGTATATCTATCCATTGACAGGGACGCACATACAACAGCCATGCACACAGTACATCCCCTCAGGCACACGAATATAGATGCACACATGAGCTGTGGCTTGTGATTGAAATCTCCATGCTGCTCTTTCTAAGCTCATCCAGACTCAGACCCTGATGGCAGGCTGCAGAGACCACAGGTCCACCCTGAGCAAGGGAGGACACAGATGGGCAGACGCCAAGGAGAAGCATGGTGCCCCAGTGATCCCCGCTGGGGACCCCAGTGAGCCTTCGAAGAGCCCTGCCCCATCAGCGGGCTGACTCCCCCAGCCCTCCTCCAGCCCTCCTTCATCCTCACCCGCCTGCCTGGCCTCAGCAGCCCCAGTGGGCCAGCTGGAGGCTTTATCCCAGCCACATCTGAAACAGCTCAGGAGCTGTGCCTGGCCGCCAGCCGTTTCCATAAATAACTTGCTGGGCCTGGCTCCTTGCCCTCCTGGTGATGTCATTGGCCTTGGCCCAGATGATGAGGTCACAGGCTTCCCTTCCCTCGCCACTCCCTTGGGGTGGGATGGGGGAAGCATGAGACCTTCTTCACAGAGCCTGTCTGCCGAGAACCTGCCTGTCTGCGCCCCATCCTGTTCCAGCCCGGCCAGGCAGTGGATGTGGGTTCTCCACCATCTGGGACTGCCTGCATGGTGGTGCCAGATGGCAGCCTTCCCCCTCCTTGTCACCAGTTCCTGAACAGCCTCCCAACTTTTCCATCTCCCCACTGCCTTCTCCCCTTGTCATGATGTGATTTCCAGGGGACAGTGGACTTGGTGCCCGGATGGAGCTCCCCCTAGGTCCAAATCCTGGCTACCCCACCCACTAGCTGTGTGACTCCGGACAAGATGCTTCACCTCTCTGTGCCTCTGTTTTCTCATCTTTAAAATGGAGGCACTGATAGGACCTATCTCAAGGGTTGTCGTGAGGCTGACATGGGCTCATACCTATAAAACACAGTGCCTGGCGCATTAGTAGACAAATAAATTGATTCCATGATCACACTTCCCTGTGCCTGCGTGTGCTGGGGAGAGGGGAGGCTCTTGCTTTGTGCATTTTCAAATATGTGGCAGGCAGAGGCACCCGTGATCTCCTGTCTGTGGCTCTCACATCCCCCACAGTCACCAAAGATTCCATTTTCCCAACTTGGGCTCTCCCCATCGCCTCATTCTATTCCAGTGGTGGCCCCAGCTGATTCCCAGAATCATTGCTTTGGTCCTGGAAGTGGGAATGGCCAAGATGTGAGAGGGTCTTTGAGAGCTCCAAGGTGTTCTGAGGCCCCACAGCCACCCCACTCCACAATTACCTCCAATAGAAGAGAGCCAGACTCCCTCCCTGGCCAGCACTAAGGTCACCAACATGAACAGTATCAGACAACACAGAATGACCAGCCAGGAGCCCGTGGGCATTGGCTCCAGATGTGTGAGTTTGGAGAATGCCCTGCGGAGGCCATGGGGAGATGGCCGTCTCTGGACTGGAGAGTGGAGAAGTTTCACTGTGATTTCATCACTGTGCTGTTGGATATGACAGCCCTGAGCCACATGTGGCTATTGATCACTGGACACTGGGCTAGTGAGGTGCCTGAAGTGTGGGATACACACAGGACTTTTAGGACCCAGTATGAAAAAGAGATGGCAAGATATCTCATAAATAATTCTTTTATATTTATTATGCATGGAAATCATGGCATTTTTCATATATTGGGTTAAATGACGTATGCTATTGTGAGCAATCTCACCTGTTTCTTTTCACTTTTTTTTAATGTGGCTGCTGGAAAATGTAAGGCTACACGTGTGGGTTGCGGTGTCTTTCAATCAGGTAGCCCGGGCCTGTTCTCTCACTGAGTGCTAGAAAACATTCTTTGGCTCCCATCCCGAGGGTTCTGACTTGGTGAATGTGGTGTCTTCCGGAGCTTAGGGCTGCTGCCTTCAGCCAAAATATGCCCGCACCCCTTCATCAGTATCTGGAGAAGACCGGGACTGGGCACTGTACCAGGTGCTCTGGTTTCCTCCCCACGTGTGGTCACCGCCTGCCCACCATCCTGAGCTCAGCCTTATATATTTAAGGGGGGGCTCCCTAAATTTGGCCAGAACACCCCCAGGACATCAAGCACTCAGTGCCACGTGGCCCCTCCTATTCTTCCCGCCACAGCTTGTAGCACCTGCCTAGAAGTTGTGCCTCTCTTCTCCCTTCATGTAGATCTTATTCATGCTTTAAAACCTAAATCAGAAGTCACCTCCTCCATGAAGCCTTCCTGGACCCCTCCACTGGATGAGTCACTCTGGACCATCATAATACTTTGCCTCAAACTCAGTGAAGCTGTTTCTCAGAGTGTGTGTCCTGATAGAAGGTGTTACATGCCAGGCCATTTCTGTTCACATAAATCTTCATCACAATCTCAAGAGGCAGAAAGTAGGATTATTCTTATTTTCTATATGAGGAAACTGAGGGAGAAAGATTAAGCATCTTGCCAAGGTGGCAGAGTTTATAGTAAAGAAGCAGAATTCCTGCCCATGGGGTCTGATTCCCAGGTCATGCTCTATCTGTCATGCCTGATGGCCCAGTCACAGGTAGCATCATTCCTGGTACCCCCCCAAAAGACAATGACAGTATTGAGAGTGGGGCCCCAGTTTATCCATCACTGTAATCCCCATGTTATTCACTCAGGTTTAGGCACACAGTAGGTGCCCAATAAATGTGGACTGAATGAAACCAGCATTTAGTTATTAGCCTTACTGTGCTTTGAAATTGGGTCCTAGTACCCATGTCCCCAAGGCCAGCCCTGGCCATCTCCCACCCCTCACTCCACCCACCTCCATCCTGCCTTCAAGGCTCAGTGGCCTCTCCGTACCTCCCCAGGGAGTTTTGAACTGTGCTTGTTCAAAACTCAGTTATTGTCGTGCGACCTCTGTTAGCCAGAAATTAATTCCCCAGGTTACCACTACATAAAAACTCAACTCTTTTTATGGTCTCTATATGCCTTGCCCTTTCCTCTTATGCAGGTCTCTCTGTACTTCTAGGGAATAAATAAATACAGTGTAACTTTTAGCAGACTTTATCCACTGTAGCCCTCCGGGCACCGTGGGGCCTGGAGCCAGCTAGAACCCCAGCTGCATCTGGGGGTTGGCAGGTGGGGCATTGGGAGGATTCTGTGTCTCACCCTAGAGCTCTCTGTTCTGGGGACTCCCTGGGTCTTCACCAGCCAGGCACAATCCCCATCGTGGTCCATGGCTGCACCCCTCCTGCCAAAGCTCCCTTGAGGAGTTGTTGCCCCCTGCTGCACCCACTCCTTGCACCTGTAACCACACTTGACAGTGGTGAAATTGGCAGCAGCGGAAGGAACGCCCACTGAATTTCAGTAGTGGGTCAACCCCAGTGCTGATAGAGGCTGGGCCAAGGGGCACAGCGTTCGGGGACTCCAGCTACTGAAACCCCCTCCCATCCCAGGGAAAGGCATCAGAGAAGATTTTTGTCTGGCTTCTAGACCATGCCCTGTGATTCCAGAGGGTCCCTCATGTAGGTGGTGGGGTCTACGACTACCCTGGAGCCATGAAGCTCCCCTCCCGCATTTATATCAGGGCTGAACAATCTCCACCTTGCTCATGTCCCAGTGGGACCTGGACTCAATGGTATGCTTGCTAGTCTGGGATCAAAGGCCAGTAACTCTGACAATGTTTCTCATCAGGAAGGCAGGGGGACATCTCTGTTCTCCTAGTTCCCACAGAAAGATCTATGTGTGGGTTGAGTCAATACTCTGTTGGAAGAGAGAAGCTCTAGTCTCTGCAGGGACAAGCCAGCTAAGGGCCCTGTCAATTTCATTTCCCTTTCACCATTTAACCAAGAAACATCCCAGTCTTTTTTTTTAAAAAGTCTCCATGTAGTAAATGATGATTAACACCAAAAAATAAGGGCCTCTTTCCTTTCCCCTTCTAGTTTTCCTATGTTTGAATCCCAGGGCAAAACCACCTTGTTAGGTTGCCTGGTCCGTATATCCACCTCAAACTGGCTCTACAAGAAACCCTTTGGATTTTTGTACCAATCCTCAGAGCTGGGAATCCTTCGCCTCCGGCCTACAGTCCTCGTGCTGCCTCTACTGGATCCAGCGATTGCTTGGGGACAAACGATCATTTCTCAGCTTAGGAATTGTGAGAAGAAGGTATTTAGGCTCTAGGTAGAACTGCCAGATTTAGCAAGTCAAATCACAGAATGCCTAACAACAAAACTAAACAGTGGGTAGGGTTTTGGCATAAGTATGTCCCATGCAATATTTGAGATATACTAGAATTTTCCCCATTGTTTCTCTGAAGTTCCACTTTAGCTGGGTATCCTAGCCCTGGGCTGCAGCCTCAGGCTCCCAGAAGTGATTGTGGGGTCTGTGGGTTGTCAGCCTACAGAGAAGGATTATGTCTATAACTAGTCCCACCAGTGACGACACACAGTCTTTACGGTAAGGTGGGGTAAGTTTTGTGCTCGGGATGAGCTGTTTAGGGTGGTCCGGCTCTCCCTTTGCCATGGAAGAATGAAGCCTCCCTCTCTTTCTGGCCTTGAAAATGCCCCAGCCTTTGCTCACTCTCTCTTTCCCCGCCCTAAGTCCCTGTAATGGACCTCAGGGTCCCCTGTGGGCTCCAATCTCCTGTAATGAGTCGGTTGCCATGGGTGTGTTTGGCTCCAGCAACCGTGGCTCTTGGGACCAGTTGACTCATGTTCAAGTACACCTTTGGAGTCCACGTGCTCCTCTACTGCTGCTGCCCTTGGCTCAGCAGGAATCTCACAGCTAGAGTGTTTCTATATCTGGGGCCTTCCCAAGCTCTACACCCCCATCTCACCGCTCCCTGCCCTCCATAAGAAAGTTTCCGGGGATGGGAGCAGCTATCTCTGAGATAATTGCTTAATTAGGGGAAAATTACTTAAATTTCAGCAGCAGCAGCAGCGGTAGCAGCAGCAGCCACTGTGCTGCTCTGACTATAAAATCCTCTAAAACCCAGTTCCCTTAGAAAGGAGATCACTGCCCACTCAACACCTACTCCTCCTTCTCCAGGGAGAGGGCAGGAGAGAACCTGAGCGGGATGTCAGGGGCCTCTCGCACACACACTTGGACACACACACACCCCTACATCCATGCACACACGCACAAACACTACATCCGTGCATATGCACACACACAGGCCCTCACCATCGCAGCTGGGCTCTGCTAGACGTTGGTGAGCTTGTGATTTTATCAAAGTCCAGAGGCGGACATATGTTACGGACTGAATACTTGTGCCACCGCAAAAGTCGTATGTTAAAGCCCTAACCTCGAATGCAATGGTATTTGGGGTATTTGGAGGTGGGGACTTTGGGAGTAGATTAGGCTTAGATCAGGTCATGAAGGTGGACCCCCAAGATGAGATTTGTGTTTTTTGGAGAAGAGGAAGAGAACAAGGCTGCTTCTTTGTGCCACATGAGGATACAGTAAAAAGTCAGCAGCCGGCACGCCAGGAAAAGATCCCTTACCAGAACCCAACCATGCTGGCACCCTGAGCTCGGACTTACATCCTCCAAACTGTGAGGAACAAATGTCTGTTAAGCCCCCCAGTCTATGATATTTTGTTATAGCAGCCTGAGCTACGATAACACACGTTCTGGAAAGAGCCTGAGAGCAAACATGTTAGGCATTTGTTTCAGCTACTCAATGAGGCCAATGTAGCATGAGCAGTCACAAACGATACTGAAATGCACAAGCAAAGCTGCATTCCAATAACACTTTATATGTGGCCCTGGAGCCAAAGTTTGCTGACCCCGTCAAAGGCTAACTATTGGGATGCAGCTGGAATGATTGGGCTTAGGTGGTTCTCGGCGCCTTGGGGGATGATCTCTGTGAGCAGCCCGGCTCCACCAAGGCCCAGGGAGCTCCGAGAAATGATTGTGCTTAGCTGTGAGGCTGTCACAGTTGCAAATATGGGCCATGGGGGCAGGCAGTTCTGGCCCAAATTCTTGCTATATGATCTTAGACCAGGTATTCAACTCTCTGAGTTTCCATTTTCTCATTTCCAAATTGATCATCATAATGGTTCCTTCCTCTCAGGGTCATGGTGGCAGGGCCCAGGGATCATGGGGTGAAGCTGAGTCTGGTCCATAGTCAGTGCTTATGGGTGTCAGCTTCTGGGAGTGTGTTTTGGATCTCAGAGGAGAGTCCTGGTAGGAAGGTTTTAGGGTTTCTCTTCCCTTTTCCCCTCCAAACTTGTTACAATCCTATCTTCCCTTGGGATTGTGCCTCTTCTGAAGAGTCAAAGAGAAGACAGTGGAAAGCCACAGGGTTCCTGGCTTCCCTGCTGCCCCGACAGAGGCAGATGCTGGCCAGGGTGAGCCGACCCCACCCCACCCACCCCTGCCCACCCGTGGCAACCCTTTGTCCTGCCTAGCTATCCTGGCAGCCCTGGCCTGCAATGAACATTATCCTGGAGGGGACCGACCATCCTCCAGGCTACCCACAGTGGGTGCTGGAGAGCCCCCTTCCCCAGCATCCCTGTCATCCAGTGTCTTCCCTCTCCTCCTTCCAGGCTGCCTCCTGCCTGTCAGCTCTCCTCTACACAAGGCCACCCATCCAGAGACGCTCCCTTTTCCCCTGGGAGCCCAAACAGCCTCCTATAACATCACCATGGGCCGAAGAGAAACCTCAGTCTAGAAGGAGTGGTCCATAAACTGTGATCAGGCATTGGAGACAAGATGCCCATGCTGATATTGGTATCAGGAGAGATGGTGCAGGTACCCATCAGGCCAGCTGCCAAAGGTGGAGCAGAGGTGGCAACCCGGGGGCAGGGAGGGGATAGAAATCCCGGTAGTGGCCATGAGCAGGAAAGTGGAGCAGAACAGGTGCAAGGGAGCTTGGGGCCATGGGTTCAGAGAGTCTGGAAGCAGGAACAATTCAAGACCTGGATCCTAGGAGAGCCAGATGCTCAGGAAGGTTAACCAGGAATAACCGTGCTTGGGTGAGAACTCTGGGAGGGAGATGGGCAGGAGATCCGGCAGAGCAGTGCCTGCACGTATTCTTGACTGGCAGATGGACAGACAGACATCAGGCCCAGCAGCGAACTTATTCCACTGTGAAGTGGGTAATAAAACTTTATATGAGGCCCTAGAGTCAGGGCCACATCTAGCCTGAGAAGCCAGTTTGTTGACAGGTCTGAAAAATCCTCCGGAAGTTAATTAGATCACTCAGATCCCATTGAAGCCTTCGCCATCCTCCTGGTTGCTCTTCTAGGTGCTCTGAGTCCCTTGCACTGCCTCTCTCCTAGAGATAGTTTTAATGTATTATAATTACTCGGGAACATATTGATCTTCCTTATTCGCAGTGAGGTTCTAGAGGCAAAGATAATAGTCTTATTTAGCATTATATTTCCAGTGCCAACCACTGGGCCAGTGCAGAGTAGTTGCCAATACGTATCTATTGACGGCAGAAACCAATATAACTTTTCCTGGTGTCTATCAATGTCCCACCCTCACCCCCAGCCATCCTACCAAGCCCACCCACCCTACCATCTTGACACAGCGCCCACTGCCTGGACCCTCAGGGCCTCCTGCTTAAAACATAACTAAGTGGTGTAAAGTCTAGATACCAGCTTCCTTTAAATCATGGTCTGATGTTTTGTGTACTTTAAATAAACCACTGAGTGGATGAGACTGGCAAGACCACCACGGGAGAAGAGACGTCAGGGCTAAGACACAGGGACACAGCCTTGGGGACAGAGGCAGAGATGAAGGTTGTCCCAGCACCAGGAAGTTGGTGGAGACATCCATCTGGGCTCTGTTAGCTGAAAACCTCAGGAGCACCCCTTCCTGGGGTCTGTCTGCTCACCCACTCCCCTTCCAGTCCCCTTGCCTGCTCCTAGGCTGCTGAAAAGAAATGGAATCAACTTCCAGCTGCTCTGCTTGTGGCTGGATTCTTCACTCTTCCCGGGAGATGTCTCCCTCCCACAGGCAATTGGACCAGCAGCCAGGCCTTGGGACTAAAAGAGAGGTCTGAGCGGCGCTTGTGTCACTGGGGCTTAAGTCTTGAACAAAGCCTGTCTGACTGGGTTCTCCCAGGCTGGGTGGGCTGCCACTTAGGGGCCAGCAACAGGGTGCCCTTTTTTTTTTTTTTTTTTTTGAGACAGAGTCTTGCTCTGTTGCCCAGGCTGCAGTGCAGTGGCGTGATCTTGGATCACTGCAACCTCCAACTTCCTGGTTCAAGCAATTCTCCTGCCTCAGCCTCCCGATTACAGGCACCCACCACCATGCCCGGCTAATTTTTGTATTTTTAGTAGAGACGGGGTTTCACCATGTTGGCCAGGCTGGTCTCAAACTCCTGACCTCAGGTGATCCGCCTGCCTTGGCCTCCCCAAGGCTGGGATTACAGGCATGAGCCACCGCGCCTGGCCGACAGGGTGCTTTAACTAGGCTGGCACCTCACTGCACACAGTGAATCAGAGTCTCTCCCACGCTATTTCTGGGCCTGCTCTGTGGGATTCACGCCCTTGTGTGCTCCTGACCTGCAAAACCAGGCCCATTTGTAGCTGTGTTTTTCTCCCAGAAATGAGGCCTAATTGCCTAAAAGCAGAGAGTGTAGGAGTCTTGGCCCACTGCTCACCTCCTCAGCCAAATGAGTTGGAACTCTGACCCCAGCCCCAGTCTCTGGCTCTGTCCTTGCTCCCTTGGGACCTCAGCCCTGCCTGGGATCCTGTTCCCATTTCCTGGCTTTGCACTTCCTTGTCCTGACCATCTTCTGCTGCTTCAGCCCCTCCAAAGCCATATCATGATTCTGCTACCCACTCCCTGCATCTGAGCCCTGCCTCTCCCCATCTGCACCACGCCATCTGCCTGCCCCGAGACCTCAGTGGTCTCTCAAGCCAGTCTCCTCATCATCTCTCATTTTATTCCCATTTCTTTCTACCTGCTCTCCTTGCTTCCAGATCCTGCACAGATCCTCTCTCCAACACAGTGGTTCTCAAACTGTGGTCCCAGGACCCAAAGCAGCAGCACGTGGGAGCTTGTTAGGAATACAAATTCTCTGGCCACAGCCCAGCCTTGCTGAATTAAAAACTCTTGGGCTGCAGGGACCAGTGATCCGTGTTTCCACCAGCCCTCCAAATGATTTTGATGCAGTCAAGGTTGAGAACCTCTGTGTCTGGCACATCCTCCCTGTAGCTTCTAGAGTGTTCTTTCTAAAATCCAGGACAAGCCCTCTCATTCTCCTGCCCCAAAACAGCACATACCTCTCTCTTGCCTTCAGAATTAACTTTCAACTCTCTTCTTAAGAACAGTATCCAAGGCTCTTTACCATCTTGCCCACACTTTCCTCTCCAGCCTTCTCCTTTCGACTATGGAAGGCCCGGTGGTTCCAATGTTGCCTTTCTGAAGCCTTCCCCATCTTCCTGGTTGCTCTTCTAGGTGCTCTGAGTCCCTTGCACTGCCTCTCTCCTAGAGATAGTTTTAATGTACCATAATTACTCGGGAACATATTGATCTTCCCTATTCTCAGTGAGGTTCTAGAAGAAAGGATAATGGTCTTACTTAGCATTATATTTCCAGTGCCAGCCACTGGGCCGGTGCAGAGTAGTTGCCAATACGAATCTATTGATGGCAGAAATCAATATAAATCTTCCTAGTGTCTATCAACATCCCAGCCTCACCCCCAGCCATCCTACCAAGCCCACTCATCCTACCATCTTGACACAGCACCCACTGGCTGGACCCTCAGGGCCTCCTGGGATCTCCCTCCATCCCATCGTATTCCTGTGAGTGCTTCTAGGCCAGGTCACTTCCAGCCCAGTCATTCTGCTGTCAAACAACTCATAGGAAGAGTGAAGGTGAGGGCCTTCCCGGGACCCCTTGCGCTGGTGGAGATCTGTTCTCCATCCCAGGGGTTTCGGGGGAGACAACCTCAGTATCTCCTTCAGGCCCCATCCAATGGTATGAATGATTCCCAATTCCCAGAGGAAACATGCCCCTGCTTCAAACTACCCTCCTGTGACTGGACTTAAGGCTGCAGGACAGGGCTTGGGGTGATATTCATTTTGCCTGCTCCCCTCTCCCACTAGATTTACCTTCCCAATGATGTCTGCTTGCACCAATATTAAAATGAGCCTTCATTCCCTGTGCACACAGCAACAGCTCGGCAATCTGGAGGCAAGGTGGGAGGTGGAGAAGCACGGAAACGAAGTCTCTGGCTCAACCAGCAAAAGTGAACCACTCCCCAGGTAGGTCACCAAGGATGGTAGTCATTGTTTCAGTGGGATCTGAGTGATCTAATTAACTTCCAGGGGGTTTCTCAGACCTGTCAACAAACCGGCTTCTCAGGTGAGTTTTGCCAAAGGACGGAGCAGAGATGCACAGAGGGGCTCTTGCCGGATACTCAGGTTCAGGTTTAAGGAGCACAGGCACTTTTGAGGCGGCGATAGAACCAGAGTCCCCAGTTCTCTTGGAGCCACCCTTTAGGGCCTGGCCCAGGCTCCTCTGAGCCCTGAAACCCCTCCCACTTGAGCCCCTCCTGTGTCCTTCAAACTGCAGCTTCCGAGGCCATTGGAAGGTAGTGAAGGGGGCGTGGTGTTTGTTTCTCTGTGACTTCCTGGCTGTGGCTGCAGTGAGCAGTTGACTTGTGTCACACTCATCCTCAGTCATGATTAGGCACACCCACACTGTCCCGCTGACCACACTCCAGAAAAAGAGCCTGCAAGGGTCCCTCTGTAAGTGGAAGCAGCCTCCATCTCATTGGCCCTTCTAGAGACCGCCCGGGTCCCCTTCTGCGATGATGCCACACAGACCCACTCCATCCTCTCCCCACACCTTGCCCTCAGGTCGCCTAGCAACCTCAGGGCGGCCAGCCTGGCCAATCACCTAATCACCTGTGGCTGCCAGCATCCACCTGCCTCCCCAGGCTGGAGGGAGCAGGAACTCAAGTGCTCCCCTGCCCCTGGCTTCACCTCCACCCTTCAATCCCCCCCACTGCCCCAGACCTTACAGAGGCAGCACAGTGACCAGCATTTCGCATCTCACCCTTTGCTCCCTGCCCAAGGCCCACTCTGCGGCTTAATCTGTGACATTTAACATAAATGGTTTTCTATTCCCAGCTGACCTTTAATGGCTTTTATCATCAGCTGTGGTTCCTGGCAGCCGTACAAGAGCTGGTGTCGGCTGCCCGAATCTATTCCAACAGAATACCCAAGGAGAGCCCACAGTTTTCGCCACGTGAAGCTGGGGGGGTGCGCCTGGAGATGTCTGCCGAGACTTGAGCTTGCCACTCTCGGCCCGGAAATATCATTATGTGTTTCAATTAGAATTAGTGGGGAAGCCAGTTATTAAGTGGTTAGTTATTATGGTAATGGAGACACTCCACAGTAGCTGGTGCGGGCCACTCTTGCCTTCCTCTAACGGCCACTTTTTAAATCCCTAATCCCTCCCTGATGCTCTGTTTCCAAGTGCAGTAGGATGGAAATGGGAGGGAAGAGACCAGAAAGAGGTGGGTTTTGCATCCCCCTCTTCCGCTCCGTGCCCCTTCCCCCGCCAAGATACCATTCCCAGCAGGTGTGTGCTGTAGTGACATTAGCAAACCCTCCGCCTGAAATCCCAAGCTGTGTCTTCACACCCTCAGAAGCAGAAGTCATTGTGAGGGAGCGCCCACTTCCACCAACCCCTCCGGGCGTCTTTCCTCCCACTCACAGATGGTCACCGTGTCATCATGGAAAGGATGTGAGAGGACCCCTGTGGAGGTTTGGGTTTTGGCAAAGACCCTGCAGATACTGAAGGTGCAGAGAAGTGAATGAGGACTCTCAGGCTGAAGGGCAGGAGAGTGGAGCTCTGGGCCCATCCTGCGAATAACCTTAGGCAAGTCACATGTCTTCCAGGAGCTCCAGCCCCTCCCTGCATACTGAAGGTTCCGACCAGCTCTCAACCCTTCCTCTGCTCACCTGAGGGACATGGCATTCCCTCCTCAGGGGTGACAGCCCATAGCCGGGTAAATCAGGGATGCTTGCCCAAAGTCACTGCAGCAAAGTTGGGCAGAGGCATGGCAGAGTCTGGAGTGGGGGTCCCGGTACCCTGCTCCCCTCCCTCACTGATACTCAGTCCTCTCTGCCTGGAGGAGATACTTGCAGAGGTGCCTTCTTATCTTGCCTTTTTTTTTTTTTTTAGGCAGGGTCTTGCTCTGTCACCCAGGCTGGAGTGCAATGGCACAGCTCACAGCTCACTGCCGTCTCAACCTCCTGGGCTCAGGTGGTCCTCCTGTTTCGTTTTTTTTTTTTTTTTTTTTTTTTTTTTTTTTTTGTAGAGATGGGGTCTCACTATGTTGCTTGGGCTGGTCTCAAACTCCTAGGCTCAAGTAATCCTCCCACCTCAGCCTCCCAAGTAGCTGAGACTACGGGTATGTGCCACCACACCTGGCTAATTTTTTTTTTTCTCTCTCTTTTTTTTTTTTTTCTGGTAGAGACGGGGTCTCCTATGTTGGCCAGGCTGGTCTTGAACTCCTGGCCTCAGGCAATCCTCCTGTCTCAGCCTCCCTTAGTGCTGGGATTATAGGAATGAGCCATCATGCCTCGCCCCCATCTTGCTTTCAAATATTCCTCTCCCACCATCCCTCCCTCCTCCTTCCCCAGGCCTGAGTAGGTCGGTAGCTTCTCTGCAGTCAACAGGCAGAGCTCACAGCCTTGGTTCCAGCCTTCACCAGCCACAAACCCTGAGGCAAGTGCAGAGCCCCTGGTCCTCCCTTTCCTTATCTGATAACGTATCATAAGTGATGCAAGGGAAGCCATCTACACGGGCTGGCAAGAGGCGAGGACGGTTATTGGTCATGATTATTGCTGTTATTATTTTAAAGACCATCAGAGCGGAAAAAAGAAAAGAAAAAAAACAAAAAAAAAACAAAAACAAAAAAACAGGAAGCAGCCCACAGTGGCTTCCTTATCCTTGAACTCTGACAGGTCTTTAAGGAGGGGAAGGAAAAGAGATGCAGAGACCAAACAGGAGGTGAAAGGGGCAGAACAGAATGGAGATGACTAGGAAGAAAAACAGAATGGGAAGCAAAGAGAGAGAGAGAGGAGAGAAAGGAGAGAGAGAAAGAAGAGAGAGAGGAGACAGAGAAGAGAGAGGAGAGAGAGGAGAAGAAAGAAAGAAGAGGAGGGGAAGGGAAGGGAGGGGAGGGGAGAGAAGGGGAAGGGAGGGGAGAGAAGGGGAAGGGAGGGGTGAGAAAGGGAAGAGAGGGGAGGGGATGGAAGGGGAGAGGAGGGGAAGGGGAAGGGAGGGGAAGGGAGGGGAGGGGAGGGGAAGGGAAGGGAGGGGAGGGGAAGAGGAAGAGAGGGAAGGGGAGGGGAGGGGAAGGTAGGGGAAGGGGAGGAGAGGGAAGAGGAGGAGAGGCCCGTGGGTGGTGGGGTGGGAGGCTGGTGGAGGGAGAGCTGCTTAGTTTGTTTCCTTCTGCTCAGCTGTGCCAACAAAAAAGAAAAGGAATCTGTGAAGCCCAGACAAGGTGGCCGAGTCGCAGTGCCGAAGCGCAGCTCAGTGGAGGAGGCGGCAGGCACAGGGCCCAGAGAAAATTATCTTTCTAACCACTACGTTGGTACCATAATCACCTTCACGCAGCAGCTCTGGTTCCTGGGGGAGGGGCCACTGGAGAGCCACTTGGTTTGATTCCTTTAATCTTTTGACACCGCCTGTCACGGAGGAGTGTGTAATTAGGCCGCACTGTACCTTCCCAGCAGCCCAAGCCGCATGCACCTCACAAGATGAGAGCAGGTGCTACTGGAGCCGCCGGGCCAGCCTGGGCTCTTAATTGGCTTATGTGCTTCTCCTGGAGTCTGTCCTGTTTTTCCAGGTTTGCAGCTACCTCCTGGACCGTGGTGGGGATTGCTCTCTCAAGGGGTCTCTGAGGGACCAGGGACCCTGCCGTGATGCTGGTCTGGGGGCAGGGTGGTGGCAGGTGAACTCTGGCCCAACCAGCTAATGGCCTGAGAATGTGCTCTGCCTGCCCTGAAGAGCTCCCTGACCCCAAAGACCCTGCTGTGCACACATCTGAACCCCCATCCCTGGTGTCTGCACCTTGCTATAAAGAGTCAGCCACGGAGACGTGTGGCGACCGCAGGAGCACCGGGAGGGAGGCTCTCCTCGCCTGGGAAGGGACCAGCCTCTTGTTTTCTATGGTGGACAGGCCAAAGAGATACAGCCTCAAGCGTTTGAGGATTTGGAAAATGGAAGAGATTTGAGGATGGCCAGGAGGGGTTTGGAGCCCTGTTTTGCTCAGCAAAGAGCAGAGTAAAACAAGGCTGTTTATTCAGGCCCTAAATGATGGGGATGCTGGCATCTGCCCAGCAGCCCACACGCTGGGGGCATGTGCTCAGGCAGCGCTGCTCCCTCCTTCTCCCTGGAGCCTCAACCTCTCCTTGGGTATGCAGGAATCTTCCTCTCCATCCCGCAGCGGCAATTTTAGACAAGGGTGGCAACTTTCCCCTCTTCCACAGCCAGCCCCTGCTCAGTAGTCTTCCTGCATGAAAAGCTGAACAGGAGCCCCTGGTCTAATCCCCCATCTGGGAGCAGCGGGGCTTCATGTAAAAGTGTGGAGCCAACCAGAGCAGGGATTGGGGGTGACCTAGGGAGGGGCCACGTACAAGGATGCCCTGGCCCATCCCTGAATGTCCTACACCACTCTGCTAGTCCTGGAAGGCCCAGGCATGGACAGGAGGGCAGGGCACCCTATTGAGGGTCTGCAGGATTCTGGAAGGTTGAATGTCATGGTGATAATCAGCTCAGCTCTGGGGTCCAAACGCCACTTCAAATCTCAGCTTCACCGATAGGGGTGACCATAGGCATGGTTTAACCTCTTTATGCTCTGTCTTCTCCTCTGCAAAATGGGGTAGTAAAGCAATTCTTGAATCATAGAATTGCTGTGAGCACTAAAGCGGATAGCTAAGGCAAGAGCTTGGCATGGGAGACAAGCTCCACAAAGTCAGCTGTAGGGTTCCTTCAGCATTGTCTCATCAAGTCCCTTAACCCCAAACAGGACAGGAGCCCAGGAAGTTTTGAGATCCTAGATTATTCTACCGAAAGGTGGCTTCTAGGTCTCCCAGCCCACACTTCTCCAGGACGCCCATCTCAGCCACCCCAGGTCCCACTTTTTTGTTCAACAGCATTCCCGGAAAGGAAAGCTCTGGCCCAGCCTAAGTTGTAGCAAGGTGAAATACCTTCCCCTGCCCCCTCTAAATAATAGTTCCGGGTCTTCTGGAAACTCACCAGCAGCCACTCTGGATCCCTGTGGCCTGTGGACCTGCAGCATCACTGTCCTCCGAGGGCTTGTGAGAGACACAGCGTCTGGAGCCTCAGCTGAGGCCTGGGGTGTCAGAATCTGCCCCTGGACCAGATCCCCCGAGGATGTGTATGTGCAGAGAGTGTGGGAAGGCTGCTCCACGCCTCCTAGGAGACCACAGGTCTCTCTCACCACCGTGACAAGCTTCAGCAATGTGTCCCGGGGAAATGCGAGCTACCTGCAAGTAAATTATTATTAATAGTTACAGTACCAACATTTGCAAATAATGCCATTTTTGAAAAAGGAAATTAGAGCTGACTCAAAGTTATTCCTATCAAGACATCACTCTTATATGTGCATTCCAACATGCTTTCTTGAAGGGGAATTACTGTCATGATGCACACGCACAGGGGACCCTGTCAGCAGGTCTCCACTAAGGAGGGAGGACCTAACCCACCCTTCCTCCTGAACAGCAGTCCTACCTGCTATGTTCCCAAGAGGTGGTCAGTCCGATGCTGTAGGAGGCAGAATGGCCCAAGGCAGCCACATCGATGCTGGGCAGGCCTCGTTCTTGGAAATTCTTCCTTACATTGGTCTGCAAGATGCCCCCCTGGAACTCTCACCCTTCCTTGCTAAGTCTCTGGCTGCAGATGGAACTAGCCCACCTCCTCTTTCATAGGACACAGCTGTTCATTCCCGTTGCTGCCAAGTAACTAATTGTTACAAACTGAGGGGCTTGCAACAACAGAAACTGATTCTGTCACAGCTGTGGAGGCTGGACGTCCGACAGCAAGGTGTCGGCGGGACGCGTTCTCTCCGAAGCCTCCCGGGGAGGATCGTGCCTTGCCTATTCCCAGGCGTCCCTTGGTTTGGGGCTGCCAAGCTCTAATCACTGCCTCTCTCATCTGTGGTTTTCTCCTCCTCCCTCCCAAATCTCCCTCTGCCTTTCTCTGTCATGACACCTGCCGCTGGATTTGGGGTCCCCCCTGAATCCAGAATCTCATTTTGAAATCCTTAACTTAGTTACATCTGCTAAGATTCCTTTTCCAAATAAGATCACGTTCACAGGCTCTGGCAAGCAGGACGTGCACAAATCTTTTGGGGGCCACTAATCGACCCATAGGAGGTCCATTCAAATATTTAAAGGCACGCTCTCAACCCATCGCCTCTTCTCCACGCAAAGACAAATCCCAGAATCTTTCAGTACATCTTCTGTGTGATCTACCATCAGTCTGACTGACACCCCTGGCCCTGGACAGAATGTCCGTCTCCTCTCAGACAAAGGACTTGAATGATTTTTTTTTTTTTTTTTTTTTGAGATAGAGCCTTGCTCTGTTTCCCAGGCTGGAGTGCAGTGGCGCGATCTTGACTCACTGCAACCTCTGCCTCCCGGGTTCAAGTGATTCTCCTGCCTCAGCCTCCCAAGTAGCTGGGACTACAGGCGCCCGCCACACGGCCAGCTAATTTTCTGTATTTTTAGTACAGACTGGGTTTCACCATGTTAGCCAGGATGGTTTCAATCTCCTGACCTCATGATCCACCCACCTCAGCCTCGCAAAGTGCTGGGATTACAGGCGTGAGCCACGGTGCCCAGCCAAGGACTTGAACGATTTTAACCTTGTAGGATAGGATGAGTTATGATGGGCAGTGGGTGGTGTCATTTAGTAGAGAACTTGAAAAGGGAGGTTCCCAAAAGCAGGGCTGGCATGTGGGTGAGGCAAGAGAAGTCCCTGGAATCTAAGGCACCGCTCTCTGTCAGTCTCATGCAGGCAGGCCCATGAGTGTGAGTGCCTGCTTACATCCACACCCTGGGCCTCGCTGTCCTCTCCCTAGCCCCAGCCTGCCCTAAAGAAGCCAGCTGGGGGACTTCCGGGCCCCCCTCTCTAGAGAAATGTTCCAGAACTGAACCACCCACTGACACGAGTGAGCTTCCTGCGAGAGTGAGGGGTGACTCCCTGAACCTCTGCTGGGTGATCCCCACCGCTGCCACACCAGGTTCCCAGGGGTCGGTCCCATCCCTGCCTGGGGCAGAGTCAGAGAGAGTCCTGGGAAGAGGAAATGGCACATGGTGGAGGGTTCCTTTCCCTGAGGGTCTCAGCCACTGCACCTTATTCACCATGCATGGGAGAGTATCCAGGGATAGTGCCCCCTGGGATTGGCCAGTGTACAGGTTCTGCGGTGGTTCCAGGTATTTCTGGGCACACAACCACCGGAGACTCGGATTCTTTCATGGACCTCCTCTTCTAAGCCCCTCTGGAGGTTGAGGGTGAGTCCTGCCTGGTGCGGTGCCCACCCAGCCTCATCTAGGTAGCCGCTGGCACTGCACCAGTTAGTAGTTTACGGCTGGTCCCCCAGCCTTCCTCCCCCTCTGCCTCCTGGGCTCTTTTAACAACCCTCATTTACATAGCTGTTTTGAAGTTTTGCAAAGAGCTTTTTACCTCTCCTTTAATGGGACCTTCACAATGACCTTGACATTTATTCATGAGCCCCATTGTACCAAGATGAACCTGAGGTGAAGGCAACAAATCCGCTGCCCCGGGCTCCACAGCTCAGAATCTGGGGTCAGGACTGGTCTCCGGGTCCGTCCCTCCCAGTGATCTGCCCTTCCTTTGCCAAGCATCTTTGACTAGATGTGCAGCAGGAGTGCCCAGTGAGTCCAGGGGAGGCACAAGGCCTGCGGGCACAGGCCTGGTCACCTAGAGAGTTGCATCTTCTGACCAAGAGGAAGAATTCATGAAGAGCCAGCCTCCGGGCGTGGCAGGCAAGGGTTTTACCTGGTCATCAAACTTTTTCAAGAGGCACCAAGGAAGCAAATAGCAGGTGGCCAGGCCAGGATGGACATGGTCAAAGTGAGTCAGCTGGTTTCCTGGAGCTGCTAACCCAGTCGCCACCCTCTCCTGCCTTCCAAGTAGCAAATTCTCTGGTCCCGCTCGCAGTCAGCCTGGACCTGGGTTGCTCATTCTTGAAGAATGCTCACTGCTGGGCCTGCCTCTGTTTCTGAGATGAGTCCAGGAAAGCTGGGGTGGTCTCGGTCTGTGTCCCCGTTCCGCCACACCCGACCCCTGGGACAGCTCAGAAATCTGCAACCTTTCACAGCTGGTTGGCTTTCAGCACAAATGGGCAGGTGCCTAGAGCAGCCAGCAGGATCCACTCATCTGAAAACACTTGGGAAGCTCAGGGGAACAGCTCTCCATCCAGGCTGGCGAGAAGTGAGGTGGGCCTCAGCCTGGGCCCAGATTCGTCAGGGTAAATGCCACCTGTGGGAACTCGGGCTCTGCCTGGCAGGGGCCCTCAGAGCCCTTCTGAGATGACTCTTGCTTCTGCTGCCAGCAACTGCGGGTTCCATCTTAGGGAGGGCAGGGAATCAATCCTCCATTAATCCTCGGGACTGGTTCTTTAAGTCCACCTGGGTTTAGTCCTTGACTTCACTATTTACTGGGTGACTTCAAACCAGTGACTCAACCTTTCTGAGTGCAGGCATCCTTCTCTGTTAAGTGGAAATAACTGTAGAACCTCCAACCTTACAGGTTGTTAAAAGGATCACATTAATTGATGGATGGAAAAGTACTTGTAATGCATAAATATCTGGCAAATGCACTTCCTGGTTTTATATATATTTTTTTCTTTTGAGACAGAGTCTCGCTCTGTTGCCCAGGCTGGAGTGCAGTGATGTGATCTCGGCTCACTGCAACCTCTGCCTCCTGGGTTCAGGTGATTCTCCTGCCTCAGCCTCCCAAGTAGCTGGTATTACAGGTGCCCACGACCATGCCCAGCTAATTTTTATATTTTTAGTAGAGACGGGGTTTCACCATGTTGGTTAGGCTGGTCTCAAACTCCTGGCTTCAAGTGATCCACCTGCCTCAGCCTCCCAAAATGCTGGGATTCCAGGTGTGAAAATGCAGTTAGTGTTAATGTCATTACTGTTGCAATGGGAAGCATGCAGAGGGTCAGGCAGCAGCCATGCCCTGCCCACTTACCTACCTTTCTGCTCTCCTCATGGTCCCCCCAATACCAAGTTTCATAGTGCCAAGGCCCACTGCTACTGTTATGAGCGGAAATGGGTCCCCTCCAAATTCATATGTTGACATACTAACTCCCAGCACCTCCAAATGTTACCATTTTTGGCAATAGGGTCTTTAAAAAGATAATCAAGGTAAACCGAGGCCACTGAGGTGGGCCCTAATCCAGCATGACTGGTGTCCTTATAAGAAGAGGATATGTGGACAGAGACATGTGCAGAGGGAGGACCATGGGAGGACACAGGGAGAAGACAGCCAAGTCGCCAACCCTGCCTACACCTTGATCTCAGACTCCCAACCTCCAAAACTGTGAGAGAAGGAATTTCTGTTATTTAAGCCCCCCAGTCTGTGGTGTTTTGATAGAGTAGCCCTAGGAAAAGGATACTGTTATATGACGCATCGTAGGTTCTGGAAAGCATTTGTTCTGTAGGACGTCAATAGGGCTTGTGTGAAAACAGGGTTCTGCAGTCAAAGGAGTCTGAGAACAACCGGGTCGAGCATAGCTTACCAGGTTTTCTTTAGTGGAAGCCTCCTCACAGCCATGACTGTGCTCATGGGTGTTTTGAATCCCTAGGAGGGGAGAGATTTCCCAGCCTTTCTTGAACATGGAATCCTCATCATTGCAAAACACGGGCTTTGGGTTCTGCAGAACAGGCCTTCCAACATGCTGGAAGCCGAGACCAGCTGGAGTCGGGAGGAGGCACAGGGGCGGGGTAAGACCCAGGGCCCTCTGCCTGTGCTGGCGAGTCCCTCCATCTCCCTTATCAGACAAGCAGCAGGGCCAGCCAGGAGTGCCACATTTTATGGCTCTATCATGTGTGAGATCTTGCCCATTAGGGAGAAGCTGTCAACACAAAACATAGATTTCAAGATACGCTTTCTACTCCAGGATTATGAATAACCTCTTCGATCATTAGAACCAGAGCATTTTTTAAAAATCCAATTTGTTTCCCACTTCAGAACCCATTTAGTTTGCTTCTTGCCCTCCCTCTGGGTTAGGGAGGGAGGGCTGGAGGCTGGAGCCTTCCAGAATCCTGGCTCTGGAAACCTTGCACCCCCAGAAATTGTGCAGGTTTTTCATCTGAAACCTTGATTTTCCTAGGAATCATCTGTTATCCATTTCCTATAACCCAGCTGTGTATTTCTGTTGGAAGGTATTACCTTTATAATCAGACAGAGCTTCAGGGAGCCCTGTGGAGTGGGCAGCATCCCCCAGAGGGCCAAGGGGAGATATTCCAGACAGTCTTCCAGCAGAGAAGTTTGGGAAGATGCTGATTTCATCTGTCCAGTCCTAAAGCAATGCACTAATCCAAAATTAAACGAAAACAAAAATATTCACCAGGCAAAGGAGTGTGAAAAATCCCCATTTCTGTCTCTCTCTCCTCATCAGCAGTGGAAACCGGGGCTTCCTAGAAGAAACGATGCACTCCCCACCTCCCTCTGTTTGTGCTGCAGTGAAAACTGACACGAGAGATTCATTGGAACATGTGCCCTCGTTCCACTCTCATCAGCCCACCGCAGGGACAGGAGCTGTTCATCTTTTTGGCTGTGCTCGCAGCCTCCAGAACACTTATGAGGGGCACCTTGTGGGCGCCGTGGTCGGATGAGGCCCCTGGGGCTCTTCCAGAGGCTGGCACTCTCTGCAGTTGTCGCTCACATACCTGCTCAGGCCAGGCCAGGCCAGAGTGGACAATGTCTTCCCAGCAGGCCAGACCAGTCTCCCAGGAGGCTGAGGCTGCTGTATCACTCACCAAACCCTCTCATCTGCCGGCCTGACCCTGTGCTATGCTGGAAATAGCACTCGAGCCAGACGCCCTCCCTGACTTGGACAAGGGCAGTGCCCTGGAAGGAGAGGGCACAGAAGCAGCTGTTTACAGAACCTCCGAGGGCTGCAATGGGGCAATGGGGTGTGCAGGAGAGTGACCAGGAGCCCGGGGCAGCTGGTGACCCACCCCTCCAGGCATTCGTGAGGTGTCAGAAGAGGGGGCCCCTTGAACGGGGCCTGCAGAGATGGCTAAGAGTCCATCAGGCAGATGAAATGATTTGCTTTCTTCACACTTACCAAGCTTAGAAATGACCTCCTTCATGCATGTGAATGACTTTATTCATGTATATGACTCACCTTCCTCATGCATGTGATGATCTTATTGTATGTGACTCACTTTCATGCACGTGATGACCTTATCCATGTATGTGACTCACCTTCATGCATGTGATGACCTTATTCATGTAGGTGATTCACCTTCTTCATGCATGTGATGACCCTATCCATGTATGTGATTCACCTTCTTCATGCATGTGATGACCTTATTCACGTATGTGATTTGCCTTCTTCATGCATGTGATTACCTTATACATGTATATGACTCACCTTCATGTATGTGATGACCTTATTCACATGTGACTCGCCTTCTTCATGCATGTGATGACCTTATTCACATGTGACTCGCCTTCATGCATGTGACGACCTTATCCATGTATGTGACTCACCTTCTTCATGCATGTGATGACCTTATCCATGTATGCGACTCACCTTCTTCATGCATGTGATGACTTTATCTATGAATGTGACTCATTGTTTGTCTTCCCATCCCCCTAAAACATAAACTCAATGAGAGCAAGGCCTTTGTCTACTTCTTTTTAATCAGCATATCCCCAGTGCCTAGCTCAGTACACCATAAGTACTCAAAACTACGTGTTGAATCGTTGGGAATGAAGGCCAAGGGGGAGTCAGGGTGGGAAGGACCCTGACAGAGGGTGACAGGTGCCTGCCCCATCCCACCGATCTTAACAGGAATCACCCCCTGACTTCCCCTCTGACAGGTCCCAGGACGGCCTCACCAAGAGGTGCATGGCCATGACCCATTCACCTTCATAACTCCCAGATGCACCAAGTTGCCATGGAGAAGGCCCAGATGAGGTCCCTGGGCTGCACCAGCTTGCCAGCAGGTACAGAGCAGCGGGTGGGGGCCGCTGGCTGGCCCTGCCACGCACCCCTCAGGCTCCCGCTCCTGCCTCCCCGAGCCTCAGTCCTTTTAGCTCTCATTTGTAAGTGGGCCTCAACCCAAGCGCAAGATTCAGTGGGAATCCGGCCGGGTTCCCCGACGCTTAATTGGAGCTGGGCTCTTCATTACCCGCACACCTGTTCCCCAACACCATATGGTCTGAGGTAAATAGACTATAATTGTTTATCCAGAGTCTGTTCTGCCGTGAGTGAGTGAGTGCAGGGCCGCCTCCGCCGCCACCTCCACCTCCCCCGCCATCACACCTGCCACTGATCCCTCACCGGGCTGCTGAAGGACGAAGCCCCACACAAGGTTAAAGAGTTTACAGCTGTCCCGGCAGAGCCATCTTCCACGTCTGGGGCCCATCTTGGAGCAGCTTCTCCAGCTCCAAGGAAAAGTCCCTGCCCAGCTATGCAACTGCCGGGAGCTTGGCAGCCGGGTCTCTCTGCCCTTCCAGTGTGGCTGAGCAGCCGGGCCCCTCGCTAGCCCTGGGATCATTTATCTCTTTCCCTGTGGAAGCTGGAGGACGTCTGAGAAGGGCCTGGGCTTTGGAGCCTGGAAGGCATGGGCCTCACCTGCATCTCCGCGCGGCCACTTTCCAATTTAGTGGCCTCAGGTGAGTTTCTTCACATCTTAGGCTTTGGCCGCTGCGTCTACCAAAAATCAGGGCATGATTTTTTCTGCATCACATGGTCGTTCATAACAGAAGGCGTTAATGTTCACGGGGTACGTCCTGTTGGGTCAGCATGCTGCTGTGTGCTTTAGAGAAAGGACCTCTTGGAGGAAGGCGCTTTGATTATAAACACTTTACAGAGGAACAAAGTCAGGCTTAGGCGGGTGAACCCACTTGCCCAGTGCTACCCAGCCAGAAACTGGGGGAGCTGGAATTCTAACCCAGTTCTGTCAATTTTGGAAGCTGATCTCCTGACCACCATCCTATATTTACATGATGAGATCATGCATCAAAGGGGCCTGGCCTGGTGCCTGGCATATCGAAGAAAATCAATAAGTGCCCATTCTTTTCTCTCTGCCCTTCCTTCAGTGAACAGATGCCCCCGCCACCGCCACTCAGGCTTCTGGGAGGCATCCAGAGCGCTGGGCTGCCAATGTGCCCTACCCCAAGATACAGTATAAATAGAGCACAGCCCGGTCCCCTCCCCAGTCCCCTTGCCTTTGTTCCTGGCCAGCCCTACCAGGAAGAAGTGGCCCTTTCCCACCATGCAGCCGATCCCCAGATAGTCCTGGACCGCCACGCAGCCAGGCAGAAAAAGGAGGAAGGCAGGACGGCAGGCAACGCCCCAACAGAGCTGAGCTCTCAGCCTCGGAAGGAGTCAGATGAGTTGATCTTAAGAAACAGCAAGGGCCCCTGAGCATTCTGGGGGCTCTGGCTGAAAGCATGACCCCATGCAGGAGGCAGAGTGCTGGGCACCTTGGGGGGAACCAGAGCCACATGAGAGCCTGGACACTCGGGGCACCTGGGACCTCTCTTCAGGGGCACGGGAGAAGGCTGCTCTTCACCATCTCGCCACCTGAGTTTTTCCCTTTCCTGCCCAGAGCTCCTCCGCCTGCCCAGAGCTGCTCCAGGAGGATGGATGGCTTCCCCAAACCCAAGAGAACAGATGCTGTGTCCTCTTAATCTGCACAGAATTGGTCTTTAATATGATGAAGGGCTTCTAGACCTTTCAGCTCTGACGGATCCCCTATGTAGCAGAGTCACTGGCTCTTACCAGAGCCTACCTGGGCAGGCAGACACCCTCAGGTGGGCTCAGAGACGGTCTCACCCCCAGCCAGTCGGCAGCAGCTTCCCCAGCCCAGAGAAAGGATGAGACCCAAGTCCTATCCTTCAAGACACTGTCATCCCCCTGGATAGACAGACACCAAGTTCCCACTACGCACACACTCATCGGTCCACAAAGAGGAGCTCCACACGTGAAGCACATGGCCACAAGGAAGCCAGAAAACCACGGGGAGCAGAAACAAGCAATGCTTGTGGGATAATTGGGGAAGTCTTCCTGCAGGAGGTGCCCCCAGGGGCCTTGAGAGCTCTGATCCCCATCAGTTACCTGCTGGCTCTGTGGAAGGTAGAGAATCAGGCAGGAACAAGAATTGCAACCAAGAAAAAATATATATGAAAAAAATAGGAAAATCTTTTCCTAGCAAGTTTTCCATCTGCCTACGGGGAGACCCTTTGAAGAAGAGCCTGGGGCCTGAGCAGCAGCAGCAGCCGCCTCCCCCATCTCCGGGGAGGGGAAGAAGTTTTAAAAGATACTTAAGCTGCTGTATAAATTGGCCCCTCAGGGGATGCCATGCAGATCTGCCTTGGCCTGATGAGCATGGGGATATCTGCAAGCCCAGGCATCAGGCAGGGCTGCTGGAGTGGTCAGCAGGGTGCCCCCTGCCCTGGGCATGGGAAAGATGCAGTGTCCTGGAAACAAGAGTCCAGCTCCCTGGGAATGTGAGCCTCTGAGGAAATCTCTGTAACTCAAAGACTTGGAGGGCCGGGCACGGTGGCTCACGCCTGTAATCTCAACAGGTGTGGGGCCAAGGTGGGCGGATCACGAGGTCAGGAGTTTGAGACCAGCCTGGCCAATATGGTGAAACCCCATCTCTACTAAAAATACACAAATTAGCCGGGCGTGGCGGCATGCACCTGTAATCTCAGCTACTCGGGAGGCTGAGGCAGAAGAATCACTTGAACCTGGGAAGTGGAAGTTGCAGTGAGCTGAAATTGTGCCATTGCACTCCAGGCTGGGTGACAGAGCGAGACTCCATCTCAAAAAAAAAAAAAAAAAAAAAAAACCAAAGACCTGGAAACTGGACTCAGGTGTTCTGGTCAGGGTCCTGGTTGGGGGCTGGAGCCCTGCATGAAAGGGAAGAGGAAGGAATGTGTCCTGGACTCCTGTTCTATGGCTGGACACGGGACCAGGCACTTTATAGACACTCTCTCATTTAACCTTCGAAGACCTTCCTGCTAGGTATCATTGCTACTCCCATTTCACAGATGAGAAAACTAAGGGCCAGAGAGATGAAGTCACTTGCCCAAGGTCACAAAGCCAGAAGGGGCCAGAGGCGGCATTTGAACCCAAGCCACACACTGTGCCTCTCTTTGAACGTTCCACTTCAGTTAGGGAAGGTGGAGGAGCTGGAGACAGTCCCCAGACCTCTGCAAACTGTCCTGGACTTTGTGGCACAGCCTTGGGCCCTAAGATGCAAGGGACACACAGAGCGGGCAGGGTTTGAGATGAGGGAGAAGGACTTTTCTCCTGGGCTCGTTCCCTTATCAGAACACCTGTGTCCAGCTTCAAAGCCACGGCTGTCACTGCCAGGGCCCCACCCACACCTCCTGGGCACCCAGCAGTCAGCACATGGCACAGACATCTAGGACTCACCTGAGGGCTTCTCTCAGCCCAGGTAGGGGCTGAGCTCAAGGGGCTGGGGAGTGAATGTCCTTGGAAGCAGCCTCGGCCAATGTCAGATGGACTCAGAGGATGAAACCTCCAGGTGCCTAAGTTCCCCAGTGGAATTTGGCCCCACTGCCCATGGCAGTAACCTGCTCAATAGCACAGCATCCTGTATTCACTTCTTCCTGTCCCCATCTCCTTCCCCACTCCCCTACTAGTACTTCCCAAGATCACCTCCCAAAGAAATAAATGCATGCAACCCCTTGTCTTGGGTCTGCTTCTGGGGGAACCCAAGCTAAGCCCTCCCCTGTGCATCCTTCCTGCACCCATCCCTGTGCCTCCCGTCCACCTGACCCCCATGCATCAGGAGAATGAAGGTAGGTTTTCTCCTTGAGGAAACATAACTAATAACAAGATCACAAGCAACCCAAAGACACAGACATCAAATATTACACACCCGGAGTGAGATCCGTATCTCTCTATCTGGAGCGCCGTGCTTTAGAGTGATGGCGCGGCCGCCGACCCTCTCATTGATGAAGTATGTTATAAGTGCTAAGTAATAATAATACTGTAAAATGCCTCAGTGCTCAAGCATGAGCTCTGGGCTCCAGATAAAATGCCAGACAGATAGATTAGCAGGCGGAGGAAACGCTCCAAAAGCCATCTCCCCACAGCTCCCTGGGCCTAATAGACGGGTCCAATCAGCCCACTTCAATTACTACTTGGGGACTATTAGCCAAGAGGCTGATTAAATCCCCTGCTTAAGCACCTGTGCTGTGCAGAGCTGGTGACAGCAGGACAGCAGGACGTGAGAACGAGGAGAATGAGATGGTGTGCGCTTTCCTTCCCTGGGATAGGGGAGTGTGCAAGTCGTCTGGGAAGATCTGGGCAGATCTGGGCTAATCCTGCTGCAGTTCCCCATCTGTCCTTACTGAGCCATGTCCGAAGCCCAGGCCTCCATCCCCCAGCACTGGCTGGGCCCGGAGCAGGGCTGGCCATCCTCTGCTGTCCTCCTTGGCTGACTCCTCTCCACTTTCCATCAAGAGAAAATGGAGAGGCTGAATGAGGCCATGGAGAACCGGAAGGACAGCTGATTTGCTTGTCCTCGGGGGATAATTTGGGGGAAGGAGGTGGTTTTGCCTCAGTGGAGAGCCATCAGAACCAAACCCAGGTGGAGGGGAGCACCAGGCAGTGAGGCCTATCTCAGAGTGAAAGGCAGGAAGAGGGAACGATGGCCAAAGCATTAGACAAGGGCCCTTGAGGACTGTGGGCCCCAGAGGCTAGAACTTGAGTAGGGGCCATGAGAAATGCAGAGAAGGAGAGGTTCCAACTCCCAGATACTGCCTTCCACAGGGGCTGGGGGACAGGTAAGAGCACCCCAGGAGCCACAGGTGGGTGACTGTCAGCCTCAATCTCCACTGGCCCCCAGACACCTGCTCCCTGAGCCCCATCTGTTCCAAGGTATAAAAGTTCAGATGACAGCTGTCGCTGCAGTGGGAGGGGCAAGGCCTTCCCCAATGGAAATGTATCATGTGTGTCCTGCTGAGCCAGGGAATCTTTTTTCATATAGGGCCTTTGACCTTCAGAAAAGTATTTGAATCAAGGAGTGCGGGAGGAGGAAAAGGACGAAGAGAGAAAGGGGGGAGGGAAGGAAGAGGGGGAGGGGAAGGAGAAAGCAAAGAAGAGAAGGAGGAGGAAGAGGAGCGGGAGGAAGGGGAGGAGGGAAAGAAAGAGGAAGAGAAAGAAGAGGAGGAGGAGGGGGAGGAAGGAGAGCGTGGGAGAAGGGAGAGGAAGCAGAAACAATTTACGCTAAATTTTATATTTGAGAGAGAACGCAAGGAAGCATTTGATTTTTTCCTAGTCCATCTGAGAACAAAACAGTGTGAATGTTGCTGAACAAGTGTTTTTTAAAAATGAAAAACAGAGAATGTAAAATCGTATCCAGGCCTCCCAACAAGTAATATCTAATGCTCACAACTGGGTCTGCCGATCCGAAGGGACAGGGCTGTGTGAGGGAGGAGGTGGGGAAGGGGGTACCTTTGACAACAGGCTAGGAAACCTCTGGGTCCCAGAGACCATGAAGCCGGAGGAACTCGCCCCTCCTTGTTGAAGAAGAACATATAAATGCTCCACATATGGAAACTCAACTTGTAAACTCTCATTACTCATGAGCCGGAGGTGAGCAGATGGGAAATGAAACGGCACCAGCAGCAAGCCGGGGAGCCCAAATGTGAGCGTGAACCGGCGCGGGGAGGCCGAGCCTGGGAGGGGCAGCCAAGGGCGGGAGGAGGCGGAGGTGGGGCCGCGGAGCAGGAGCAGGAGCGGCCCATGGGGGCTGTAACCGGAGGGGCCTGGGATATGGGAAAGACACCAGCAGGGAGGGCCGCTCACCTGCAGGTGGGCACAGCGGGAAACATGAGTGAGAGGCTCTTTCTTCCTTTTCATTCCAGAGGGTCTAAGAGAGAGGAGAAGAGGTGCCTGTGGATGGCAGAACAGACCCCGCCTGGGCCAGGTCTGGGCTCTGCTGCCACAACCGAAGTACATCCCACAACATTCCAAATTCCTCCGTAACCCTCTTTCAGGTTTTTATTCTAACAAAGGAGACGCCAGACTGGGGTCCTGCTCCGTGGAAACAGGTCTCTGCTCTGCCTGGGGGCCCCTCTCTGCTTTCTTCCGTGTTCCTTGCTCTTCTCCCATATTCCTTGGGCTTCCACCCAAGCTTCAGAAGCCTGCCTGGTCACCTCAGTGGGATATGCGGCTTGGCGCATGAATCCGTCTGCTAGGGCCGTCATGACAAAGTGCCGCAGGCTGGGAGGCTTAAACAACAGAAATTTGTTCTCTCGCAGTTCTGGAAGCTGGAAGTCCGAGATCAAGGTGTCGGCAGGGTTGGTTTCTTCTGAGCCTCTCTTCTCCTTGGCTTGGAGGTGGCTGTCTTCTCTGTGTGTCTTCACATGGTCTTCCCTTTGTGTTTGTCTGTGTCCAAATCTCTCCTTCTTAGAAGGACACCAGTCATACTGGATGAGGATCCACCATCATTTTAGCTTGATCATTTTTTTTTTTTTTTTGAGACGGAGTCTTGCTCTGTCGCCAGGCTGGAGCGCGGTGGTGTGATCCCGGCTCACTGCAACCTCTGCCTCCCAGGTTCAAGCGATTCTCCTGCCTCAGCCTCCCGAATAACTGGGAGGCATGCACGGCCACGCCCAGCTAATTTTTGTATTTTTAGTAGAGACGGACGGGGTTTCACCGTGTTAGCCAATATGGTCTCCATCTCTTGACCTTGTGATCTGCCCACCTCGGCCTCCCAAAGTGCTGGGATTACAGGCGTGAGCCACCGCGCCCGGCCTTGATCGCTTCTTTGAAGACCCCCCCATCTCCAAATGCAGTCGCTTTCTGAGGTGCTGGGGTTGGGTGTCCACATCTGGATTTGAGGGGGTTGCAGTGCAGCCCATGGCAACACCCAGCAGAGGAGATGCATAACAAGGGCAGGGCGGGGAAGGTAAGAGGCAGAGGTTTGGGAGGCTGAGGTGGGAGGATCACTTGAGGTCAGGAGTTCGAGACCAGCCTGTCCAACATGGTGAAAACCTGTCTCTACTAAAAATGCAACAACAACAACAAAAAAAATTAGCCAGGCAGGGTGGCGGGCACCTATAATCCCTGTTACTTCTTCTAAAAAGAAAAAAGAAAAAAAAAAAGAAAGAAAAGAAGAGAAAAAGAAAAAGGAGGCAGGGGACAACTGCACAAACAGACCCCCTTTTTAAGCCCCCAAGTGATGGTGCTAATGGTCACCAGGGCAGAAAGTGGGCAGCCCCTCATCCAGGCAGACCTCAATTTACAACTCATGTGGCTTCTGTTTCTCCTTCTCCTCCTGCTTGGGCAAGGCCTGCTGTGTTCTGCCACCCTAAGTCTCAGGCAGCAAGTGGGACAGAGGTCTGAGAAGGAGGGGACCCGGCTGTTGTGGTCAACAACCCCCTTCCACCTTCTCCCGTCCTCAGGGCTCAGTGGGGAGCAGGGAGAGGGCAAGACCTTCATCAGCTTAAGTGACAATGATTGTCGGGGAGACTTGAGGCCAAGCCGCTGAAGGTGAAGGGAAGAGGAAGGGAGAAAAGGCCAGGGATACTTGGTAACGCTCAGAAGAAGGGAAACCGAGTCCATCTCTGCCACATCCCGGCTGTGGAGTGCTACACATGCCTTCTGGTGTTTCAAACCCTCATCGCCGCCATGAATGAGGATGGCATCATCAGTGGCTCCATTTTCAGAAGAGCAAACAGAGGCCCAGAAGGGTCTGGTGACTTTCTAACACCATGACCGGCAGGTGGAGGACGTGGAGTTTGAACCTAGGTTTGTCCGACTGGCCAGCTCCCTTTCTGCTGCGTTTCCTGCCCTGCACTGCCAGGCTGTGCCTGTGTGTTAGGTCCCCAAGCGGGAGGGTGAGCCCCCGAGGTTACCAGATGTCAATATCAGGCAGATCGGCAGTCCAGGACCTCAGGGAAGGTTTAGAGGACGGCACAAACCACAAGTCAGAAGTGAGCCCAAAGTCAGGAAACCCGGGATGACTGAATGCTGGGAAGAACAGGTGGTCTCCCAAATCTAAGAGGAAAGGCTAATTTGGTCAAAGCCCCAAACATGGGAGCCCTGAGGTGTGCTCTCGAAATGCATCTGTGTAGGTCTTGCCCTAACCCCATGCAGTTGCAGGCTCCCTGGGCCAGGAAGTGAAGGTCAAAACTATGCTTGCAGCATGATCCAAGTCCAAACGAGGGGGACACAGAAGTGAGTCCTTAATGTCTCAAGTTCCCTCTATTAAGGAAGACAGTCTCCTTGAGGGATCAGCCAGGTCACAGCAGACAGGAAGAAGCAGTTGAAGATGCAAACTCAGGTCACCCAGCACTGACCTGGCCCAGCCATTGCTCTTGGGAGCAACACACTGTTGGGTAACCAGGAAGGAAGTTCTTAACAAGAGCTGGGGTGGAGCTGTAGTAGAACGGGGTCACACGTCTCCTCCGGAATGGCTTTTCAGCATTAATAACCGGGTGGGGATGCAAGGTCAACGAGTGAGCTCTCTCTCTCTAGCCCATCTATGTCCAGGATAACGGTGATGACAATAAGACCAGTGCCGGGCTTCCTGGGTTTACTGTATGACCTTGGCCGAGGGACTTAACTTACCTATGACTTAGTTTTCTCATCTGTAAAACGTGATAAACATAGCACCCACCTCACTGATGAGCCAACCCAGGCAAACATCTCCCAGCCTGCCTGGCCCACAGTGAGCACCTCTGAGCGTTAGTTGTCAGTGCGTGCAGCGGACAGATGTTGTCCCGCCCTCCCAGCAGCTGGTAGAAGGTTCCTCTTAGAGTGAGAGAACTGCCTTGCTTTTGAAAACTCCTTGATATGGTAAGGCCCCTGGTGAAAAAAGCTAGGACTTCAGAACCCGATGGGGGATTAACTGCTCTGTAAAAGACAAGGGAGGAGTGTGTTGGTTGCACTGGAAGGGGAGGAAGGACAGAGCCAGGGTCAGGAGGGTGGGGAAGCCAGGGAGTGCAGAAGGCTGGGAGGTTGCCCAGGGATTGTGGAAGGCTGGGAGGTTGCCCCCACCCTGCACCCCTCGAGTCTCACTAAACTCACAAAATTCTCCAGGCCAGTGGATGGTTCTGGGGAAAGGGTGAAAGGCTGTGTCTTGTATCTGTGTCTGCCCAAGTAAGGTCCCCAGTGGCCTCAGGCATGACACTGAGGTTTGAAGCAAGGTTTCCTAAATCTCCAAGGGGTGAGGGATGCTATATTTACCACTGGGCTTCAGCTGGATCAGCTAGAGGCCAAAAAAAGTGAGCCACACAACAGAACCAGCTTCCTATGGACACGTCAGAGGGGGAAACCAGCATCTCAATAAAACCAAATCAGCTCCAACCTGAGGTCTCTGCCTGCTGGCTGCAACACAGCCCTCAGCTACCACCCTGTGTAAGTTTTGTCGCATTTCAAACAGCAAAGACAGTTGGATGTCAGAGACAGTTTGAGTCTCCGACTTTTGTGGAATTCCCAGTGCGAGAGCCTGCGGGCTCAGGGAAAATTTCCCCAGTGGCAGTGCTTTGCTCCCAACATGCGCCTCGCCTCCCAGCCTCCCCGCTATTGAATCCAGCATGATTGGTTCTGGGGCCCATAATGGAATTTTATCAGGGATTCCTATAACTGGATTGCTTATTTGCAGCCTTCCGCCGGCAGCAGCTCCAGATAAAGAATGCAGAGTATGTGCTTCAGTGTCACAAACTGTGCCTAGCCACCATCCATCATCCTGTCAAGACATCACTCCAGACAGCCCGGCTTCAAGCAGAACCAGGTTGGGGATTTTCCTCCCAAGAATAACAAACAGCAGCTAAGTCAGGTTAGGAGCCTCTGCTTCCCCCCGATCCCTTCATTACAGATGAATGAATTTTGGGTTTCCCTACGTTGTCCAGCTAGTCCTCCTCCATTTCCTCAGGGCGTAGAGCAGCAAAAGTCACCAACCCTCATCCAGTTCAAGAAGCCTCTAAATGTCACGTAAGTTTATGCAACCCTTGGCAGGTAGGATATGGAGTTTGGAATAGCAGAAATTCTTTGCAAGTAGAGAGCATTTATAAAATTCATCCACGTACCTTATCCTGTTGATCTTTACGGCCACCCTATAAGGCAGGGATTGTATTCCCCAGTTGCCAGTTGAGCTGAATGAGACTCAGAGAAGTTAAGTGAGTTCTCCAAGGTCACATAGAGTCAGGGGAAGTTGGGGTCTGCTCCCAGTTCTTTTGACTCTAAATCATGCACTCCTGGTACTCCTTATGTTGCAGCTATTCTTTCTTCCCCATACTCCTCCTCTCCTCAAACTGTGTCTCTCTGTTGCTATCTGTCTTTCCATACCTAGTCCCGAGCATACAGTGAAGGTCTGACCATCTCAGAAGCTGCATGGAGGGAGGGTCTGGCCATCTCAGAAGCTTCATGGAGGGAGGGGCTGGCCATCTCTGTAGCTGCATAGAGGGAGGGGCTGGCCATCTCAGAAGTTCCATGGAGAGAGGGGCTGGGCATGTCACTGGCTGCATGGAGGGAGGGGCTGGCCATCTCAGAAGCTGCATGGAGGGAGGGGCTGGCCATCTCAGAAGCTGCATGGAGGGAAGGGCTGGCCATCTCAGAAGCTGCATGGAGTCGGGGTCTGGCCATCTCAGTGGCTGCATGGATTGGGGGACTGGCCATCTCTGTAGCTGCCCTTGATTGTCTCCAGAGAGGCACTGACTGATCATCGGCGAGTCTGCCTTCCCCTCCTCTGAATCATAACCAACCAGGATCAGCGAGGCTGGAGCTATGAGGGGGTTGCTTAGAGTGATCTAGTTCTCCTCTTTGATTGGATAGATCCAGGAGCCAGCTGAGGCCAGCACAGTTCTCTCCCTAGTGAATGTGACAATAGGCCTGGGTCCTGATTCCCCACATCCTACTGCCTAACATGATGCACCCATCATCTCCAACCAAGAGACAGGGATCAGAGACTCAACATGTTAGCAAACTACAACTCACCCACATGCAAGCCAGCTGTCCAATGGGAATTCTCCTGATTGAGTGATGGGGTGGACTGAGGTTTCACACTTGCTTCCTCCAGTGATGCAGAGCACCATTTCCAAACCCAAATAGTCCTCTGGCTCCCAAAATGAGGGAGAAGATAGGAGGGGAAGGAGGAGCTAAGCTGCACCCATTATCAGTGAGCACAGGTGCAGGAGAGAGGGGGTGCCAGACACATCTCCACCTCCATCCCTGGATCTGTGATTGACAGGCGCTCATGTAATTCACAGAGGCCAAAGGGGATGAGGTAGGCAGAATAACAGCCCCCTAAAGATACCCATGTTCTAATCCCTAGAACATGTGAATGTTAACCTTATATGGCAAGAAAAGGATTTTATAGATGTGATTAAGTTTAAGTTCTAAAAATGGAGAGGTTATCCCGGATTATCTGAGTGGGTCCGATCCGCAATCACGAGACGGAGGCAGAGGCAGATGATCGACCCCAGACAGGAGAGGAGAATGCAGCAGGGCCCGCAGAGGCAGAGGCTGGAATGGAGCAGCCCCAAGACAAAGCATGCTGGCCACCACCAGAAGCCAGAGTACATGAGGCACAGACCCTTCCCTGGAGCCTCCAGGGAAGCACAGCCCTGCTGACACCTTGATTTGCGCCCATTGAGACTTATTTTGGACCTTTGGCCTCTAGAACTGTGACAGAATACACTTCTGTTTTTTACACACTTTGTGTGTAAGACTGTGTTACCGCAGTTGCAGGAAACTCACACCAGGGACTAGAGCAGCACTGGCGGTGACCGCTGGTGCTGGCAGATCTGTCCAAGTGGACCAGGCCCTGGTTCCACAAGTGAGGCCCTCATGCAGAGGGCGGGTCTGCACACCTGGAAGGGAGGTGGTGATTAGGTAATGAACAGTTCTTCCATTCCTGTCCCAATTGAACATGGTGGTCCCCTCTCTCCTATTCACCCTCGTCCAGCCTCCTCCCCACCAACCCCATCTGCCTCCCGAAAGGGCACTTACCTTCACCTTGCTGCTGCTCTGATGTATTTGTTTTTGCACTGCTATAAATAAATACCTGAGCCTGGGTAATTTCTAAAGACAAGAGGTTGAATTGGCTCATGGTCCTGCAGGCTGTACAGGAAGCATGGCGGCATCTGCTTCTGGGGAGGCCTGAGGGAGTTTTACTCATGGTGGAAGGCAAAGTGGGAGCAGGCGTCTTACACGGCAGGTGCAGGACCCAGAGAGAGAACAGGGAAGTGCCACACACTTTTAAACAACCAGATGTCACTAGAACTCACTCACTGTCTCAAGAACAGCACCCAGGGGGTTGGTGTTAATCCATTCATGAGAATCCACCCCCATCATTCAGTCACCTCCCACAAGGCCCCACCTCCAGCACTGGGGATTACATCTCCACCTGAGATTTGGGTGGGGACACCGATTCAAACCACATCACCCGATATTTACCCATAGGTCTCAGGGCTTCTGCCCTCTCCCCAGGGTGTCAATATAGGCTAAGTCTATGGTCTGTCCAGGAACCCAAGCCTGAAGCAGGGGGCCTGACTGTACATTGTGAAGTCTGACATGGGTGGTGAGTGTCCGCCTCACTCCCTGCCACCTCCCTGCATCGGAGGTGAGTGGAGCCAACTCACCTTCTTCTTCCTCAAGGCCCCACTGAGACCCAGGACCAGCCCCAGGGTCTTGTGAACTCTCCCTTCTTTCCTGCCTGTCCCCACCTGCCACACACACACACACACACACACACACACACACACACAGAGAGAGAGTCAAAGGTTAAGAGGCACTTTTTTCTTTCTTTCTTTCTTTCTTTTTGTGATGGAGTATTGCTCCATCACAAAAGAGATCTTGGCTGCAGGCTGATCTCGGCTCACTGCAAACTGTGCCTCCTGGGTTCAAGTGATTATCCTGTCTCAGCCTCCTGAGTAGCTGGGATTACAGGTAAGCTCCATCACAGCCAGGTAATTTTTGTGTTTTTAGTAGAGATAGGGTTTCACCATATTGGCCAGGCTGGTCTCGAACTCCTGACCTCAGGTAATCCCCCCGCCTCAGCCTCCCAAAGTGCTGGGATTACAGGCATGAGCCACTGTGCCCGGCCAAGAGGCACTTGTTAAAGACCACATCCTTACAGGTGGAGAGGGTGCCTGGAGGGGGGATGCTACAGGGTGAGGAGGTGGTGGGCAGAGCTGTTCACCTGAAAATGGCACGCACATGGCCCGGGGGTAAAAGTGGTGAGTAAGGGGGGGCAGGGCAGGAGGGCATCACGGGACTCAGCTTGAAGGTGAAGAGTGAGGGAATAGGAAGAGAAGGAGGGCCAGGGCCACAGGAGCAGAGTTCAACATAGAGAGAAGCCAGCCTCCTGGATCAGGTGCCTGTGTAGTGACCCCTCCCGAAGGAGGAAAAGGTGGTCAGCAGAGGAGATGAGCCGGTAGAAACCAGGCAGCCTTTGGAGGTGCCTGGCAACAGGGAGCAACAGTGGAGTTCATGCGAAGTGGCTGGGCAGCTGAAACACGGTCCAGAGAAGCCCATTAATCATTCATTCATTCATTCATCCAGGAAAACACTCACTGGGCTCTGACTGACTGGGCTAGGCTCTGGAGATACAGAGATGGGTGAGAAACAGTCCGTGATTTCCAGACATTTGAGCCAGGCAGAGAGATGGCAGTGCTACCAGTTCCGCTGTGGGAGGCTGGCCAGGTTCTGTGGGTACCAACTCCACGTGAATAGCTCTGTCTTCTCCTTCCTCTGCCTGTTGCACCCACCCCTCCAGGCACCTGCTCTACCTGAGGAGACATGGTTTTGAAGAAGTTCCACTTAACCTTTGAGTGTGTGGCGAGTGGGGATGGATGGGCATCCAGTCTCCTGGGGGTGGTAGGAGAGCACTTTCTCCTCATAGTGACCCTAAACCTGCATCTTGAAATGTAATTCAAACTGAATATGCAAGCAAGAGGTGGGGGCCGTGCAGGCAGATGGTGTCCCAGGACCAGGCACAGAGGCCTGAATGCAGCTGCTCCCTGTGTGGCTGGAGCAGCAGGTGGAAGGGCCATTGGCTGCGCTGGATGCAGAAGGATGCTGTCCCAAGAGGTCTGGACATTCTCTCAGGGGCAACGCTGTTCAGGTGGAGCAAGCTTCTTTTTGTGTTTTATAAAAGTAGGAAAGATGCATGGGTGAGGGGAGGGGTGGGAACAGAGCAGAGGGAGGGAGGGAGATCACCTGGAGGCTGTTGTCACAGACCATGCATTCCATAAGGGGGTGACATCACCCCCAAAGTGGCAAAATTGGTTCTTGGGGCGTGCCAGAAATCTTACCTTTATGTTTAAAGGCATAAAAATACACACAGCATAGAAACAGACACACAGTCTATCTGTGGCATTGCAATTTCATAGGGGCAGGTGATTAGGAAAAGACTTCTTGACAGGGAATAATGAAAAGAAGATTGGCCGACACTGACCTATGCTGTGCAGGTAGGGGCCACCCCCGCAAGTCAGAGGGGAGATGAGGGATAGGAGGGTGTGACTAAGGAGTGTCAAGAATGACTGGAGTAGAGGATGAGAAATGGAGAAAGGAGAATCTGCATAAGCCCCACGCTTCTTGGCTCTGGGTGACTGGGCTGGGGGAAGGAGGGGGGATGTAATTTACCAAAAGAAAGCTTGTTAGGGGGTGAGCTAAGGGTGTACCAGGATGAGTGGCGACCCTCTAAAATGCATGACCACCTGGAACCTCTTCATTTGGAAATAGGTCTTCCAGCTCTAATTAATTAAGATGAGGTTATACTGGATTATGGTAGACCCCAAATCTAGGGTCTCAAAGGCTGATGTCCTTAAAAGGCCGTGTGAAAACACAGAATGACACACAGGGAAGAAGTCCTTGTGAAGACAGAGGCAGAGGCGGAGGCGATGCAGCCACAAGCCAAGGAATGCCAAGGATTGCCTGGAGCCCCAGGAGCAAGGAGGGATCCTCTTGCGGAGCCTTCAGAGGGAGCACTGCCCTGCAACATCTCGATTTTGGATTTCCAGCCTCTAGAACTGTGAAAGAATAAATCCCTTGTTTTAAGTCTCCCAGTTTGTGGTACTTTGCAATGGCAACTGCAAACAGCAGGTTCTGTTTGGGTCCCTTGGTTTGGAGGTTCCTGTGGAATGTGCAGCTTGACAGATCCAATAGAGACCTGCAGTTTAAGGAAGCAGTGATGGGTGGAGACACTGATTGCCACCAGCGTGCAAGCAGCAGTGGGAAGAAGGAACTTGGCTGAGATGATTCAGGGTGAAAGTGGAGTGTGAGAAAGGCAGGGAGATCAGGACCAACCCCAAGGAAATACCATTCAAGGACAAGCATGAAAGATGCCCCCTTAAAAGGAGACACCAATGAATGAATAAATGGGGAAACAGAGAGAATAGTGTCCCAGGACCCATGGAAGGAGAGAATAAAAACCAGCAAAAACACTCTGCAGTCCCAGGACCGGCCTCACTCAGTGCTGGGATCCTTGGGAAGTTGCTGCAAGGAGTATAAAGCCGTGGCATCCATGCCCAAGGATATCACAAGGGGGCACGAAGCCAAGACATAAACAAGCAAATTTTAAATCACCCTCAAAGAGTTAACTATCAGCACAAGGCTACAGGAGAAAAAAAAATGATGTCTCAAGGCAGCACAGTGGATGATTAATTAACGAACGAATTGCACAGGCTAAAATTATATAAGAGTTCAGAGGACAGAGAAAGCACTTAGGGCTTCAATTGTCGGGGATGGATTTGCTGAGAGGTAAGATTGGACCTGAGTTTTGAAGAAGGAGGATATAACTTGTACAGGAAGACACGTGAGGAAGAGCTGGTTGGGAACTGCCAGGCTGGGAGAGGAGAAAAAAAAAAAAGACAATAACTCAGGGTGCATTTGGGCAGAGGGGAGACAGGGAAACTGGTGCAAGGAGTGGGTGCTCAGGGGTGAGGCTTGGAGGTCATGGTACAAAGAGGCCTTTCTACCTCAACTAGAAAGTTGATGCTGGGCGCAATGGCTCACGCCTGTAATCCCAGCACTTTGGGAGGCCGAGGCGGGTGGATCATGAGGTCAGGAGATCGAGACCATCCTGACTAACATGGTGAAACCCAGTCTCTACTAAGAATACAAAAAATTAGTCAGGCATGGTGGCAGGCGCCTGTAGTCCCAGCAACTGGGGAGGCTGAGGCAGCAGAATGGCGTGAACCCGGGAGGCGAAGCTTGCAGTGAGCCAAGATTGTGCCACTGCACTCCAGCCTGGGCGGCAGCAAGAGACTCTGTCTCAAAAAAAAAAAAAAAAAAAAAAAAAGAAGGGTTACCTGAGGGTTTGCAGGTGAGACCAACAGTTCCAGATAGGTCCTTCCCTGGTTTGGGACAAATAGAAGATTTTAAACAGGGAAGTGATATATCCAAAGCAGTATACTAAAGTGAATCTGCTGGTAGGGTGAATTAAAGAGGTGTAGAGGGAAAGAAGAAAAGTCATTGGTTGGGGAGGTCATGAACAGTGAGCAGATGAGAGTGCTGGTGGCAGGAATGGAAAAGAAGCCAGCGGATGAGAAAGAAGTTTCTGGAGAAGAATGGATGGACAGGAAGACTCGAGGTATGAGACAGAGGAGCAGAGAGGGACCAGGGGGACTTTGCCTGCCAGCTGTAGTGCTCAGACTCTGGGCTGGGGAGCCCCAAAACCACCCCACACCTACCCACACAGGAGTACTTTGTCTGTTTGCTTTTATTTTACTTTATTTTGTTTTACTTTATATTTTGTTTTTGCCCTGGTGTGGGACCAGCAGGGCTTGAACCCCAGAGCTCTACTCAGTAGCAGCATCTGAGATGGTGTGGGGAGCTCCGACTCCTCACGCGGCCTCGTGAACTAGGTGACACCCAACTCTACCCCTCCATGCGACCCTCAATGGAACTGCCTCCTGCACAGCCTGCAGGGCACGAGCTGTCTGCTCCTTATCTCCCACAGCGCCTTCTGCAATAAACAGACCAAAGTGGGAACTGGAAGAGAGAAATTCATTCTCATTTCCTCTCCCCAATTCAGAGCTGTATCTTGCCCACAGGCCTATTTTGCAATCTCTCCTCTGGCACGTTTTAATATTTATAGCTGCGTGGACAGAATGTGGAGTGTGAGGGCTTGTCAGCATCAGGAGCAGAGACTTAGGAGAGCTGTCACCCACCCGAGGCCCCAGAGATCTTCAGGAGCTGTCCCCAGGGCCATCACTGGGCAGCCCCATCTGAGAGGGCCGTGGTGGTCATCTGGTCACTCCCTGTCCCCACCCAAGTTTCACCTTCATGTCATTGTTCTCTTCCACGTCCTGCATTGCCACCAACCCAACCCCAATTACCCTACTGCTTGTGAGGACCAATTTTCCTTCCTTCATTAAAATATTCTTCATTGGTTTATTAGTTTTCTATTGCTGCATAAAAAATTACCCTGTAACATATTAGCTTATAACAACCCACAGTTGTTATCTCACAGTTTTTTGGGGTCAGTAACCCAGACATGGCTTAACTGGGTCCTCTGGCCAGGGTTTCTCACAACGCTGGAATCAAGGTGTGAACTGAGGCTGAGATCTCATCTGAAGGCTCAACTGGAGCCAATCCACTTCCAACCTCGTTCTGTGGTTGTTGGCTGGATTCCATTCCTTATGGGTTGTTGGACTCAGGACTTTTATTTCCTTACTGGCTGGTGGTCAGAAGCCACCCTCAATTCCTTGCCACACGGGCCTCTCCAACATGGCAACTTACTTCATCAAAGAGTGTATCTTGATCAGGCAAGAAGGAGAATGAGAGACAGAGTACCTGAAAAAGGACTATAACCCAGTCTTTTAAAGCCTAATCTCCTAGCACTTTTGCTGTATTCAGTTCATTAGAAGCAACTCAGTGGGTCTGGCTCACACTGGAGGAGAGAGGATGACACAAGGACATGAATCTCAGGAGGGTGCTTCTTTGGAGGCCATATCAGAAGCTGCCTTCCACAGTGGGTATCTACATGTCTAGCTCTTGCTGCTTCACAGTAGAAGTGATGGAGTTCTCTAGGATCCCACAGTGGAGTGACAAGAGAGATAAGTAAACCACAATTGTGTACTGAGCGTATATGTTACGGTACAGCAGGCCACAAAGAATGTGGGCATCATTGACTATATTCTATGGGAATGCACAGGATGGTTCCTAACCCAAACATGCAGGGAAGGCTTCCTGGAGGAAGTGATGGGCAGGGACTTCCTCTGTCCTAGGACCTGCCATAACCCTGATAACTCCATGAATATGGCAATAACCTGGGGCTGCCTTCATAGGAACTGCTTCTGGATTGGGGAACCTGAAGGGCCAATTAGAGATGACTACAGAACTCCTAGACAGGAAGAAGTGAGAACAGAGAAACAGAGGGAGGGAAGAGAAAAGAATGGCCTCTTCAGTGACCTACAAACATCTTGCAAATGCTATGGGACATGGTGAAGAGATGGAAATTTTAGAGCGCACCCTTCATGCAGTGTATTAGCCAGGGTAGACCAGCTGCTATAACAAACATCTCCCAAATGTACTATGGTTTAACACTATACAGGTTTAATTTCTTGCAGTAATAGCCTAAAGTGAGCTAGCTGGGATGTTCCACTCCTCCCAGTCTTTTGGGGACAAGGCACCTCCTTTCTAGTATCTCGGTAGTCTTCTAGGGCTGGAGAGTCCTCCACTGCATCAACTGCATCTGGGTGGGCTACCAGAGAAGGCAGAGAGAGCCTTTTAGGGCCCAGCCCTGGAAATTGCAGCAACCCTTCTGCCCAGATTCCATGGGTCAGAGTTCAGTCTCCTGGACCCACCTAACTGGGGGAGGGTAGGGAGGCACAGAAATGCAGACCAAAGCGGAAGAGACCAGGCATATCTGTGAAACATTCCCTGGCTTCTGCCCCATGCAGGTGTCATATAATAGACGAATGGTCAGGGATGGAGCTGGGCCCTTCCCAGCCTAGGTCCTCCTTCCCCCTGCTGCCCACCCCTTCTGCCCCCACCATGAAATGTTCTTTCCCAGTGCCTCCCCCAGATTTCTCTGGCCATCTTCCCCCAAGTCTATAGGCAAATTCTTGGGTTCCTGAATGGCCCTCTCTCATGTGATGTCTTCTCGAGCACCTCTTACTCGCCTCATGAAATCTTCTTTGCAGGCAAAGAGTTTGTCTCACTGTCCCACAAGCAGAATACATCAAACACTGGTCTTGAAGTGCAAAACCCAACTTCAAGTCTAGCCACTGCACTTTTCTTTAGACTTCTAGGTCTTGGTTTATTAAATGGGTGATAGGAAGGGGACGGGGAGATTTGAGCTAAGTGATCTCTAACATCCTTCCAGTGCGTCTCACATGAACTAACTCAAGCCTTGATTTTCACCAGATGTTCTCACTCATGCAGCTGTTTTCTGGGGCTGCAGTGCCCTTCCCCACCCAAATCACACACTTTTGAGTTTCCACACATCTGTCACTTGCCCATCCACCACCTACACCCCCATGCCCCTGCCACCAAAGAGAGAAGCCGCCATTCAGGGAAAGCTGGGGTTGGGTCATTCTCTGCACATGACTACACTGTCAGACACTAAACCAACACTGCTCAATAGAATTTTCTGTGATAAGGGAATTGTTCAGTAATCAGTGCTGCCCAATATACCAGCCACAAACCACGTGTGACTACTGAGCACTTGAAATGCGACTTGTGTGACCGAAGCACTGAAATGTGTCACTGTACTTCATCTCCATTACTATACCTTTGACCTTAATAGCCACACATGGCCCATGGCTGCCATATTGGGCAGCACAGTGCTAGAAATGAAGTCTAGAGCTTCGCCCGCTGACTTGTGTCAGAGGCTCTTTCTCTTAGTTGTTGGAACTCCAGTAGAAGCTCAGTATGATGGGGGTAACTGAAACCTTCCCTGGGGTCGATAACTAACACTGTGCTTCTCAAGCATTTCAGTGCATGTAAGTCATCTTATTAAAAAATACAAAAAGAATTAGCCAGATGTGATGGTGCACACCTGTAATCCCAGCTACTCAGGATGCTGAGGCAGGAGAATCCCTTGAACCCAAGAATTGGAGGTTGTGGTGAGCTGAGATTGCACCACTGTACTCCAGCCTGGGTGACAGAGTGATACATCTCAAAAAAAAATTAAATTAAGAAAAGAAAAAGGCAGACTCTGGCCAGGCCTGATGGCTTGCGCCTGTAATCCCAGAACTTTGGGAAGCTGAGGATGGAGGATCGCTTGAGGCCAGGAGTTTGACACCAGCCTGGGCAACATGGTGAGACCCTGTCTCTACTAAAAATCCAAAAAATTAGCTGGGCATGGTGGCATGCACCTGTAGTCTCAGCTACTCAGGAGGCTGAGGCAGGAGAATCGCTTGAGCCCAGGACGTGGACGTTGCAGTGAGCCGAGATCACGCTGCTGCACTCCAGCCTAGGCGACAGAGCCAGACCCTATCTCATAATAATTTTTTGAAAAAGCAGGTATCTGATACCCTAAATCTGGGGTCGGTCTGAGGTTCTGCATTTCCTACAGGGTTTCCAGGTGGTGACAGTTCTGCTGGCCCATGGACCCCACTTTCAGCAGCAGGGCACTGCAGTGTCCCTTCCTTCCCCAGCAGGCAAACAGTCCAACTTCCTTCCACCCGGCTCCTTCATGCCATTGGCTCACGCCTCCATCTTCTGCATTATTCCATATATCCCTTTGAAGGAAGAGATGCCTGAACCCTCAGCTCCCACTCCCCCGGAGCCCTTAGACCAGGCTGAAATCATGGGAGAAGGGCCTCACGGGTCCCGCCCTCAGCCGCACTTAGATGCACAGCACCAGCTGGGACGTTTAATAACCATTAGAGCAGCCTCACCTGCTCAGCACCGGCCCACTGGCCCCAGAGGACCTCTGACTTGCTTGCTCTCCAGGCTGCAGGAAAGAACATCCACAGGAGAGCTCTAGAGCCTTCCACTGGAAAGGTCTATTCAGAGCTGCACAGTACCTGGCTGTAGGCTCTGGAAAGCACTGGTTCAGCCATGAGATTGAGCCCAAAAGGCTGAGATACGAGTCCCAGATCTCTTTTCCTGCAACACATAAAGCAGCCTTCTCAGCAGGTTATACACACCAACTTATCTCACCCTCATCACATGGTGTGAAAAGTGCTTCTATCAGCTCCTCTTACAAATGGGAAAACTGAGGCACAAGGCGGTTGAGAAAGTGATCTGAAGGCCACATAGCTTGTAAGTGGCAGAGCCCAGAATCCAACCCAGGCAGCCAACGCAGCCCACTTACCTGCTGCGAGTGCTGACCCGCCCTGCCTTACCTGTTAAAACGGAGATCCCAATGGTGTCAGCCTCACTTGCTGCCCAGGGAGACTGAGATGTGGAAAGCCTTGTGTCCACCGCACTAGAGAAATATTGGCTATTGTGGATGGGGTTCGGGAAGGTCTGTGGGTGGTGTTTCCAGGGAGCAAGTGCGCCCTTTCTCCTCCACACACACCCAGGTGTACACACACCTCCATGACGCACACCTGACGCCCTCCTGGGAACAGGGCCTGTCAGGCTCATTATGGCTGCACCCTGGTGCTTGGTGCTAAGTTCTCCCTGTCTCTGAAGGGAGCCTGCAGTACTCACTGATCCACATACACATACCTTCCTCCCTCCCTCCCTCCCTCTCTTCTCTGGACACACCTCCATTCAAGAACTTTCGGGCTGATCCAGGTTGATACTGTCCCTGTTAATGGGCAGTGATGGTTCCTTGGGCCACCCAGCCTTCACTCCTGTTCTTGAGCTTTAGGACGCATCATCCTCCCCATGTCCCCTGTGAACCTGACCCCACTCCTGACTCCCAGAGCACAGGACTGGTCCATGGATGCCCATGTGACTCAGTCAGGCACAAACTTGGCTTTTATTGGTTGAGGAAGAGAAGCTCGCTCTTTCTCCCAGGGCCGAAGCTGTGGGCCACCATCTTGCCCCAATTGCCTGAGCAGGGACCAATGCAGAAAGAAGCAGAGCTGAGAAATCCAGAGACCAAATCTCGATCTCACCATCACGCCCCGGGTTCGGCCAGACATGGGTATTTCAGTAAAGGGAACCAATGAGAGACATGACTGCCGACATGGGTATTTCAGTAAAGGGAACCAATGAGAGACATGACTGCCGACATGGGTATTTCAGTAAAGGGAACCAATGAGAGACATGCCTGCTGACGTGGGTATTTCAGTAAAGGGAACCAATGAGAGGCATGCCTGCCGACATGGGTACTTCAGTAAAGGGAACCAATGAGAGACATGACTGCCGACATGGGTATTTCAGTAAAGGGAACCAATGAGAGACATGACTGCCGACGTGGGTATTTCAGTAAAGGGAACCAATGAGAGACATGACTGCCGACATGGGTATTTCAGTAAAGGGAACCAATGAGAGACATGACTGCCGACATGGGTATTTCAGTAAAGGGAACCAATGAGAGACATGACTGCCGACGTGGGTATTTCAGTAAAGGGAACCAATGAGAGGCATGCCTGCCGACATGGGTACTTCAGTAAAGGGAACCAATGAGAGACATGCCTGCTGACGTGGGTACTTCAGTAAAGGGAACCAATGAGAGGCATGCCTGCCGACATGGGTACTTCAGTAAAGGGAACCAATGAGAGACATGCCTGCTGACATGGATATTTTAGTAAAGGGAACCAATGAGAGGCATGCCCGCCCTTTTTGTCTTCATGAAGCCATTTTGAGGTACATCTTCTCTCACTTCTGGCCAGTAGATCTGACACAGCCCTTTGCCTCCTTGACCCTCTATGAGCTCCCCTCCCAACCCCACACACCACCCTGTCCCACAGCTGGACTCTTACAGGGAGGCAGGCCGGCTCTGCTCCAGCCTGAGAGGCCCAGGTTTGTCACAGTTCAGCGGGCACCAAGAAGGGGGTGCCTGCTGCCCTTCTGCTGCCATCTGGCAGCAGCCGGGCTTGGCCACCCACCACCAGGAGCTAATTCTGCAGTTCTCAAAGAGAGAGAGCAAGGACGGCGCCCCTGGCATGGCTGCTCATAGCCCAGGCTACCCTCCACATGCCTTGCCTTGGCCTGGGGTACCCTGGTAGAGAGCCATGACCCCAGAACACCGTGCACTTAGCAGGCTAGGTCTTGCCCCTGTCCAGGACCTTAATGAAGACAGAGCTGCCATATTGATGGGGTACTGGGACATCTACTCCAGACCCTCAGACTACAAGTCAATAGCCTGCAGCTTTCTCTGCTCATGTTGTCAGGAGCACAAATAAATGTGCAAAGCTGTCATATGTTCCAACACCCATCCTGCATCCCCAAGGCCTGGATGATGATTCACAGCCCTGGATGGTGAAGGGTGCATGGGACACCACCCTCACAGCAGCTTCCTTAGCCTCATCAGGGCTAAAACCCACTTTTTCCGGGAGCTGGCCTAGCTTAGCCCAACTCTGCCCAAGTGTGTCAGATTCAGGGACAGTCCAGCATAGGGCCTCCAAAAGAGACAGCAGCCTACCAATCCTAGTTTGTCACTTACCAGCAGTGGGACCTTATTAATGGGCTTCCCTGGTCATCAGCATCCTCTTCTGTAAGACGGGGCCCTAGTGCACCTGCCCAAGCACAAGACAAACCAAAGTGATGGGTGAAATTATTGAGCCACCACAAGGGTGAGGGAGATGATGGTTGTTATCAATATGATTATATGATTATCAGACATCATCATCTGCAATTGCTGTCACTGGGTAGGGCCTCCAGGGTCTCTGCCTCCCGCAATATGCACAGACCCTTCATCACAGACGTGCATATGCACACGCACACACATACACTCCAAGTTACATCAGCATTCATTCCCAGTTTGCCTAAAGCAGATTTTTCACCTGAAAATTCAGGATTCCTTGCCAGGTCCCTCTTTCTGGCCTGGCATGCAGGGACCCTGCCCTTTTTCTGCTGTCAGAGACACATGTCTGCAAAGCCAAGCTAGTTTAGGAAAGGAAATTTGTTGTAAATTGGAATCCTAATGCATTCCAAATGAGGTGATTTTTGCATTATTGGCTGTGTAGATAGAACTGTGCCACCGCCTCCCTCCATGGGGTCGGGAAGGGCAGGAGTACAGCTATTGTTCCGCGTTGGATGCTGGGTTTGAGTCCGTCGCAGAATCACAGTCCGGAATCTCAGAGTCGAGAGGCAGCTTTAAGGTCATTGCATCCCTAGCAGCTCTCACAGAGGCTGCTCCGGGCAGCCTGATTCCCCTAGGCCCCGGCTCCTGAAGGCCTGGCCCAGGGCTCTTCATGCAATTTTCCAGGTTCCTTGGACTGTATCTGTTTGGTCCTGAGAGTCTCCTGCCTAGTTCTTTCAACAGGGATGCTCACAACAGGACTCCACAGCCAGTGCTGTGTGTGCCCTCTGTCCCATGCCCCACAGCGCCTGCAGCAGCTAGATCCAGGTCTCGTCCATCCATGGTGACATCGGCCAAGACCAGAGCTGGAACATCCTTCCCCTCCCAGCAAGCCTGAGTGTCCAGAAAGCCCCTTTCCCTCAGGGATCTTTGGCTGGGCTCTAAGATCTCAGAAGTCTCTCCCATGTGTGACTATCTGAATTTTGTCAACACCCTCATAGCTGCAAAAAATCCCAAAGTGGGCACAGCAGGGAAGAAGCTATTGGAAGGAAGCATTTCCTGGGACCTGCCCCAGAAGGGAAGTGGGGACTGCTGGACAGGCCAGCTCCACGCCCTCTCCAGCCTCCCTCTCCTAGCACTGCTGAGCAGGACGTTGATTTTAAGGGAAGGACGTTGATTTTAAGAGCTACCCATTCCAGTGGCAATTAAAAGGCTCTGGCAGTGGCACGGGGCTTGTGCTGAGAGCTGGGAAGAGGCTTAATTAATTGCTCTAGTCCCTGGGAGCCTCATCAGCTCAGCCAGGAGCTCCATCGCTCTGTACTCTCACACCTGATAGAGCCTTGGCAGGCGAAGCCAGAGGGGACACAGGGCTGAGGAAGGGACTGAACCCTAGGCAGGAGAAGGATCTGCTTTTGCTCAGCGCCCCATAGCACACCCACCAAATTACACCCACCCCTACACACACATCTGGCACACACAGATGCACCTTCTCATACAAAACTAGAGGGCCTGTGGGCATGGGGATCCTATATTCCTGTTTGCCTGGGACACCTCCCATTTTACCTGTTATTGTGATGTAATCATTAATAGTACCTTTCCTAGTTTAGAGGATAATTTACCTGATCACCTACTTGAGGGGAGCTTAGGAGAGTGAGAGGGATAGGAGCAGATTGGAGAGATGCTACCGAGGATGGAGACATCAGTCCTATTTGCTTTGTTCTCTGTCCAGATCCTGTATCCTGGACAGAGGCCCCCTGGGAGTGGCTACTGAAGATTGCTATATCCTTCTCAACTCAGATGAGGATTCCCCATGTCAAATTCAGGAACACGAATCACGTGATACTCTGCTTCAAAACCTCACAGTATGGCAAAAACCCTTAGCTTTTAGGCAGGGTGAATGATTATATCTGCTATTATAAATCACAAAGACCTTTCTTATCGAGGTATCTGCATATCTGCTGCATGGTTATTGGTGTCAGGGAATCAGTTTTAAACTGTAAGTCCCCAGGGAAGATGTGGAAAGCATGTTGCATCTTGGGTGTCAGCTCTGGATCTCGGCATTCGTGGCTGCCTGCTGTATTGGAGTATGAAGAAGGATTCTGAGGCTGTGTCCCAGTTGAACATAGGAATATCATGAATTACATCTGCTTGGGCCACGGGAGATGAATTAGTGAAATCCTTGACTGGTATCTGTCAGTCTCGTCCCAGAGGGTATCAGAAGTCTCAGGGTGTCTCTCGCTGCAGAGCCTTGGCCTAGTGCCCTGCTTGAATGAACGTTTGGGAATGACCCTGGGAACACTCTGCATTGCCTACAGGGCTCTCCCTCCAACTGCAGTACAGTCTCACTGCAAAGAGGGCACATTGTTGGCTGCCTGTCATTGGGAAGAAAATTGGACAAGTCTGGGACCAAGAGATAGCTTGGGTGGGCAAGATACCTTCTCAGAATAGCATCAGCCCTTGAAGAAATGGTCTGCCCCTGCCTGGTACCAGGCACAGCTGTGATACATCCAGAAAGATACATGGACATCCTGCCCCTCTCTTCTTCCTGTCTTCCTCCATCAGACCTCAGCCTCCAGCTTCTCAGGCAGGACAGCAGGGAGGCTGCCTCTCCCTCTTACTCTCAGAACCTTACCGTGGCCTGCTTATTAAAAGAATTCCACCCTTAAGGAATGCCTAATGTAAATGATGAGTGAATGTGTGCGGCAAACCAACATGGCCCATGTATACCTATGTAACAAACGTGCACGTTGTGCACACATACCCTAGAACTTAAAGTATAATAATAATAATAAAAAGAATTCCACCCTTAGACAGAGAGGCAGCAATGCAGAAGCTTTCTTGGCTCCACAGTCAGAGCTGCCACTTCTGTGGCAGGTGTTTCTTTGAGGTCTGTTTGGTCTCTTCAGTCACAACCACCCACCTCAGACAGGATGTTGTCTGTTCTAGGGTATCAGAGGAAGTATTTGCAAACAGGCCCATCTGTTCAAATGAGAACCAGGCTTCTCTCCCAAGCCTCACAAGGTCGCAAAGCCTGCGGTGTCAGAAGCTCTGCCGAATCCTTTATCATGTGTCTTTCCAGCCAGCGGCTGATGAGAGATCGTGTGTGAGAGATCATGTTGATTTGAAATTCAGCTGGTCCAGAAGGGGCCGGTCCTCCCTGTTGGCCATTTCAGGTCAGCTCCATAAAGGATGCAGAGGATGGGTTTTCATGATGGAAACACACGGCTGATATTTGCAAAGCTAGTTCATCCAGGAACATGAGTACAGGGTGAGTTTTTGGGGAGTGGGTGAGGTACAGGTGGCGATTAAGTCACTGTGGTGTGACTCCCATGTTGTCACAAAAAGATTGACCTTCCTGGCTGGGCACAGTGGTTCACGCCTGTAATCCCAGCACTTTGGGAGGCCAAGTGGGGTAGATCACGAGGTCAGGAGATCAAGACCAGCCTGGCCAACATGGTGAAACTCCGTCTCTACTAAAAATACAAAAAATTAGCCGGGCGGGGTGGCGGGCACCTGTATTCCCAGCTACTCGGGAGGCTAAGGCAGGAGAGTCACTTGAACCTGAGAAGTGGAGGTTGCAGTGAGCCGAGATCACGTCACTGCACTCCAGCCTGGGCAACAGAGTGAGACTCTGTCTCAAAAAATATATAAAAATAATTAAAAAAAATAAAAAAAGGCCAGGCACGGTGGCTCATGCCTGTAATCCTAGCACTTTGGGAGGCTGAGGTGGGCAGATCACGAGATCAGGAGTTTGAGACCAGCCTGACCAACATGGTGAAACCCCATCTCTACTAAAAATACAAAAAATTAGCCAGGTGTGGTGGTGCATGCCTGTAATCCCAGCTACTCAGGAGGCCGAGGCAGGAGAATCACTTGAACCCAGGAGGCGAAGATTGCAGTGAGCCAAGATCATGCCATTGCACTCCAGCCTGGGCAACAGAGCAAGACTCTGTCTCAAAAAAAAAAAAAAAAATTGACCTTCCTGATTCTATGACTGAACCTTGGCTGATGTCATGATTACCCAGAAAACAATCCCACTGGCTGAATTATGAAGTTAAAGAATCCGAACCCCAGAAGTTCCACTTCGCCAGTGACAACAGCCAATGAATGAACCATGTCCACAAACCACGCTGAAGCTAAGCCTCCGGACCGACTGCTCCACTTTTCCCTTAGATTTTGTCTCAGTGTAGTCCTATATGATGTCAAAATAGCTACCTAGGTTCAGCCCAAATCTCTGACTCTGGAATATGGAGGTTTAAATGGCTTAAAATGTTCCTGTATGGAGGCAGAAGAAAGAGACAGAGGAACCCTTCCCTTCAGCAACTGTGGGGTTGCTTCTTATAAAGGGCCGATTTTGTGCACTTTTTCCGAATTTGAGGCACGTTCAAAGCTGATTCCAAGTAAAACTATTGAGCAGTTCCACTTTTAATGTATTTGTCCCACAGGTTCTTGGTACCTGTTTGAACTGCCCTAAAAACAATCCCTAAACCCATAGACCTTTGCTGTCACTGGTCTTAGTTCAGGTTCACCCAAAAGCAGGTCCTGGGAGAAGGATCCAGTACACCTTTAGGAGATACAAGACCACAGTCAGGGAGGCGGGAGGGGACACAGGGAGGACAGGCAGCAGGGGAGGAGGAGGAGGAGCAGGGGATCAAGCCAGCACCCACGCTGGCAGCTGGAGCTTAGTCCTCCGGGGTCCTCTGGTGACCTGTAGAACAGATGCCTCCAAGTCCTCCCTGCTGAGGGCAAGGTAGCTGGGGTATTTATACACCCAATCCCCTCAGCCACCAGCTGAGTAGGCTGCTCTGGGGGAGGGTATTCATTTCCCCTCTTCTGACAAAGCAAACTTTTACAGCTTTAGAAAAAGCCCTCAGGCAAAGAGATGCAGACACTGGCAGGTGGAGTCAACAGGAGACCATGGAAGCCACCAGGCCCCGTCTAGCGCAAGCCACAGCACATTCTAGCTCAGAGCCCAAGGTTACCTTCCTGTCCTGTGCACAGGAGACAGGAGATTCAGCACCAGCGCTGGGCCTCAAGGCCTGCAGTGGCTGTTGTCTCGGGGCCCAGGGCTGGTGTCAGCCATACCAGCAGGTGGCTACGGCGGGTGACAGCCACATCGCTGCCTTCTTCCTCCTTGTGTGCCCTGTTCTATCCTAGAAGGTGGAAGCCTCAGGACACACTTACAGGAGCCTCTTTGCTCGGTCCCAATGCCTCTACCCTTTCCTGCTGCCACCTGGACCACAGAAGGCACAGCCAGGCCTGGGGCAATAATATGCTCCTAGAAACATCTTGGAAGTCCTTAAATCCATGACCAAAACACAAGTGCCCTACGGCTGGAGACAATCAAGAGTGATTACAAAAGGGCCACTGTGTCCTTTTCTTTCTGGCAGCAGCTGTTCCTGTCATGTGGTCTGAAGAAGTCCAGATGTGTTTGTGCAGGGTGCGGAGCCAGGCCCTCCCAGGAGCAGGGATGAAAGAGCGGCGGCCGGAGCAGCTGGTACACAAAAGAGGCTGGTGCAAACCAGACCCGGGGCGGGAGGCCTCGCAAGCCGCTGAGTGGGCTGGGATGTTTCTATGGACAAGGAGCCGGCGCCGCGCACAGCACGGCAAAGAGGCAGCAGCATCCACAGGCCTGGGGGCCCAGGGCTGGTGCTGAATTGCCTGACTCCCACGCCCAGGGTGGGAAGGTCACCTTGGGCTCTGAGTGGCAGTGTGCTGTGGTTTGCACTAGGCGGGGAACCCTGCAAGGACAGGCATTTTCTCCCAGCAGCAACTGGCCTTGAGCAAAAAGGCTTGTGCAAAAAGCCTGGCTGCTGCATTTGCAGCACAGAGGTCAGTGCAAATGGTGCATCAGCCGAGGAAGAAAGGCCGACGCAGGGGTCACAAAAAGACAGGGCACATCACAGCACCGGTCAGGAACTGTGAGGCGGGGGAGGCGGGGGGGGCACGTGAGAGTCCCCTGGGACAACCGTCAAGTGCTACAGTTATGGGACAGAAGTGGCTTCCCCCAAACCTGTTTCTCTCCCAGGCTCCTCTGCCTCAGTAAACAGCAACTCACTCCCCAGTTCTCAAGCTGGAAACCCTCGAATCATCCTCCACTCCTCTCTGTCTCCCACACCCCTCGCTCTAAAAGCTCTACTTTCAAAATGCATCTACAGTCCAGTCACCTCCAGCCACTTCCTCTGTTGCCACCACAGTCCAAGCTGCCGTCGTCTCTGCCTGTGTATAAACATGGACTTGCCCTCCGTCCTCTCTCAGCTGTTCTCTGACTGAAGTCTCTTCCTTGCACTCCTCTGCACTTGACCCTATGCACTTGACCTATGCACGTGCGCCTTCGACGATGATCTCTTTCTCTTTCTCCCCAGTGGAATATGGACTTTGCCTCTTTGGCTCTTCTGCTTGCCCAGTGCTTTGAACAGTGCCTGGCACAAGGTGAGTATTTGTTGAATTCATTCCAGCTGAAGACTCCAGACCCCGCAGGTGTCACTCTGCTATAGGTTTGTCTTGTCCCCTTGCTCAAGGGTCCTGAAGCAACTCCTAATATTTACCCCACAGGGGGAATGAGAAAGAAGCAGTCTTATCCTAGAATGCTGGAAGAAATACTCAACAATGATAAGCAATATGGGGGTAGGAACACTGGCACTGCACCATCTCTGTCTAATCCTCAGGGGGTCTAGCCTACACCATTGTACTATCTCTGTCTAATCCTCAGGGGGTCTAGCCTGTGCCACTGCACTATCTCTGTCTAATCCTCAGGTGGTCTAGCCTATGCCACTGTACTAGCTCTGTCTAATCCTCAGGTGGTCTAGCCTATGCCACTGCACTATCTCTGTCTAATCCTCAGGTGGTCTAGCTTGTGCCACTGCACTATCTCTGTCTAATCCTCTGGGGGTCTAGCCTAGTGCAGCTACTCCAGACACTTGCTGAGATGAATTGAGTGAACAGCCTCCCTTCCTGGTAGCCCAGGCTGGCTTCTCCCTCCTGCCTAGGGGTTTATCCTCTGTGTTCTCTTAGCTCCCTGAACGTTTTTCTAAATTAATGCATGTGACACGGTCTTAAGTATGACTCCTCTGACGCTAGCAGTGAGACTTTATTCTTGGTATCCCTGAGTCCGCCTGGTATTACTAAGTCCGTATTCTGACACATGACAGCTGCTCAATAATGTCAAATGGTGAATGAATGAATGAGTGAGTGAGTGAAAAAGTAAAAGCAAGATGGTGAACCCTAAACCAAAGTTAGCTGAAACCTCCTATAACCAGCAGGGACAACTACCACCCAAAGATGGTAGGATTAGATGATCCATCGGAAAGACAATCCCTGCCCAGGCTAATGGGAGAGGCAGATGCCCACATAAGAGATGCATGTGGATACGTCCAACAGCCACATCACAACACATGCATAGCTGTAGGCAGCAGCTCAGAACCAGCAGGTGACAGGCAGGCCAGAGCCATCCAGTAAGGCTCCCTGAGCCCTGGCAGGTCCAATCCAGGCAGAGCCCTAACTCTGTTCAATTGCAATCTGTGTTTATGGGCCCATAATCAAATGGAAACTGAAAGTTTCTCATGAGAATCATCTGTCAAAATTGCGTGGTGTCCAGGCCCAGCGCTGGGAGGCTGGGTTGTAAATTCTAAGCTCCGCTCCAGCTCTGCTCCATCTCTAGGGACATATGGGTCATTTTTCAACCCAGCCTCAATCCGAGGAACTCGATCTTCGATCAAACACTATGTCTAACAGGCTGGGTATTTGGGATACTGAATGTCCCCTGTGGGATCGGTGGGGGGAGGGGGGAGGTGGGAAAAGTGATCACGGGAGGAGAGTCCATGAGCCAAGCTCACCTATCCTACAAGCTGAGCTGCTTGCATAGCCACCTGCCTCCTGGACCCCACCTGGCAGCTGCCCTTCCCTGAGCAGACACCTCCAGGCTCCCACCACAGCCCGTGGCAACTACAGAACGCTGGACCAAAGGACCTGTAACAGAACCACCTCTTTTAAAAACCTGGTTTTCCTAATTACAAAGGAGCTCAATGTAGTAAAAGTGGAAAACCAAAAAGCACAAGAAAAAGAAAAATTGCTCATAATTCTCTACCCTGGAGGAAACCTCTTTAACATTTTTGCTGCAGAGATTTCTAGCCTTCTTTCCCTCTCCTCCCAGTCCTTTTTCTTTATAAACACACGTACCATTGTACATACTATTTTCTAGCCTGCTTTCCCTATCATTCATGCCCCCCTCCCCTGATACTAGTCCATTATGACCATTCTGCCACGTCACTATCTTTCTTACAGCACGGTTTTTAATAGCCACATTCATTTTCTTGGTCAGTCCCTTTTATTGAATAATTAGTTGGTTTCCGTTTCTCCGATAGCATAGAAGATTCTGAGAAGAACATATTGTACATAGATCTTTGTACAAATCGGAGTCTTTCCTTAAGATAAATTCGTAGGAGTAAAATTGTGCAGGCGGTCAAAGAATCTGTACACTTTAAAAAGTCATTTGATACTTTCTACACTGTCTCTCACTGTGTTTTCATGTCTTTAGAAATAGCCAACTATGAGCCAGGCGTGGTGGCTCACGCCTGTAATCCTAGCATTTTGGGAGGCCAAGGTGGTCGGATCACTTGAGGTCAGGAGTTTGAGACCAGCCTGGACAACATGGTGAAGCCCCGTCTCTACTAAAAATACAAAAAAATAGGGCCGGGCGCAGTGGCTCATGCCTGTAATCCCAGCACTTTGGGAAGCTGAGGTGGGCAGATCACTTAAGGCCAGGAGTTCGAGACCAGCCTGGCCAACATAGTGAAACTCTGTCTCAAAAGAAAAGAAAAGAAAAGAAAAGAAAAGAAAAGAAAAGGAATAGCCAACTATTGGGGGGATAATCTTAACTGGTAACCACCTTTGAGTAATAGCAGAGTAAGGAAACTTTGTATCTGCCACTAACAGGACCAGACGGTTCCTCTCTCTGCTTCCACTGGTTCATAGTTCCGCTTCCCCAGAGTCACAGTTCATCTCCTCTGGCTACAGCTCTGGAGACATGGTATGGTTTAGAGTAGAGGTTCCTCTTAGAAAATCAACTCTGAGCCCCCAAACTCCTTCTGACAGTGTTGGGTCTTTAGAATTTATTTAAAAGGTAACACGGTACCTGCTCTTGGTTTGTGAAGACTTTCACCTGAACATGGTTACTTAATTGGGTGACCTGGTGTGGGGAGTGGTCTGATGGAGTATGAAGGTAGGGAAGACGAGTCAGCTGGCTTAGCGGGGGAAGAACAGCAACGTAACAGCAATTAGAAGGGTTAAGAAGAGCAATTAGATGAGAAAGGTTTTGAATTGCCTGGGACCAGAGGGAATGGAGAAATGTCTTTTCCGTTGCTGAGCTCTGTGAAAGCTTGCATGCACACGTGGGCAATGACAGCTTAGAGTCAACCCGGGTGGCCCATTTAAATGCACCTAAAGAGTCACGAGGCGCAGGGAGGCAGAACAAGGCCCATTGCTATTTATCATCCATTCCTTGTACGAACTCACAGAGACAACCTCTGAGCCTCCCACGCAGAATGTTCCCTTGAAGAAAACACATCAGGGCACCCAGGGGCAGGGTCAACCTTTGGGAAAATTGTAAATAGAGACAAAATTGTCTTTGGGGGTCCTTCCGCCTCCCTGGCAGTGGCTTTCTTCCCTCCTGGTCTCCCCACCCTCCAGAAGTACACCACCAATTACCTGCTGCTGCTCTCAACAGACAGCTGGCAAGGCGAGAAGAACACGGGCTTTCGGCCGGAGGGATCTGCATCTTACCTCACTGTGCAATCTGGGGAAATTACTAAACCTTTCTGATCTTGTTTTTGCATCTGTACAATGGGGGGAAATGCTGGCTTGATTTCTTCTTGTTGTGAAGTGAGATGGCTAATATATTCAAAAGTACCAGGCCAGGCGCAGTGGCTCACTCCTGTAATCCCAGCACTCTGGGAGGCGGAGGCAGTCAGATCACTTGAGATCAGGAGTTCGAGATCAGCTTGGCCAACATGGTGAAACCGTGTCTCTACTAAAAATACAAAAAAATTAGCCGGGCGTGGTGGCACATGCCTGTAATTCCAGCTGAGGCATGAGAATCGCTTGAACCTGGGAGGCGGAGGTTGCAGTGAGCTGAGATCATGCCACTGCACTCCGCCCTGGGTGACAAAGTGAGACTCTGTCTTAAATAAAATAAAATTGTTCAAAAGTACCCAGCACACAATTTGCACATAATGGACACTTATTGAATATAATTTACCACATTTTCCATCTCGACATCCAGGGCTACCATTCCCAGGAGGGCTACAACTCTGTGCTATGACCCTGGCTCCAGCCTGTATGCTCTGATCCCTTTGGAAGGGACAAGATCAGCTACATGACGCTAAATGTTGGTGATGCTTCAGGCATTGAAGTAAATAATGATGGATGTAACTACAAAATTGTTCTTGACAACATTGTTTCTAATACCTGAGAACCAGATGCAATCCAAATAGCAAACACAAGATGAAATAAAATATAAAACATCCATATAATAAAACACCATCAATATAAATTTTGGTCAATCTGTGAGGTTAAAAAAATGATAATCCAATTGTTGGTATCCATTTGCATTTCTTTAATCTTTTTGTTGGCTGTCTTTCTTTCAGTGTTGACTGCTTACCCACATTGTAGGTATGTCTTTATATTTAGTTATTTTAATTTTTTTCTTATGCGTTATCTAAATGCATCATAAGTTAATAAATTGGCTTCTTGTCTGTGATTGGTGCTACAAATATGACTTCCCATTTACTCCTTGTCTTTCGACCTCAATAGTCTTTTGTCTTGATTTTACCCACACTGATGCTTTCGTTTTTCTGAACTAGATTGATCAGTCTTTTCCTGTGTGGCTCCTGGTTTTCGTTTCCCACTTTGGAAACTGGTTTCCAACTCCAACATTGTAAATATATTTACCCAAATGTCTTCCGTAACTTTTATTGCTTCATTTTTTTCTTTAGTATGTTAATCCTTGACCCATCGGGGATATATTTGGGTATAAGGAGTTAGGTAAGGATACTGCTTTATTATTTTTTTTCAAAGGGTTGGCCAGTTATTCTGACACTATTTACTGAATAATCCCCCTTTTAGACAAACCATTTCAATAAATCCTTTCATGAGGGGGGTCACAGAACCCTTTGAGAATCTGATGAAAGCTACAGATCCTCTCCCCAGGAAAAAATATGTGTCTATAGCACACACTAAATTTCACAAACAATTTCAGCAGGGCATGTGGACCTTCCGGGGCACATCCGTTGACTCCCAAGAGGTCTGTAATCTCCAGTTAAGCACCCTCTCCTTTATATGGAAGAAACAGTTCTTAAATAGTGGGATTCAGCCTCCAACACAGGTCAGTGAGAACTCATTTTGTAGTGGAAAACGTGCTAAAAATAGTCCCACAACCTCCTCAAGGCAGAAAACTCCAGCCTACCATTAGGGCTGTGGGATACCTCAGACTTCCACCATCTTATGTCCTGGGAGCTTAAAACCTTCCACTCACCATTCTGCTGGCCCAGTGCATCCAACAGACAGCACGTTAACCTTTCTCTAGAGTGCAAGTAGCCCTCATTGAACAACTTGCTCCTGAACGAATGGGGCAGGTACAGGTACGTTGCTTCATGTGACTCAGTTCGCTGCCATCATAGTTCGCTGCAGCCTCGAACTCCTGGACTCAAGCAATCCTCCCTCCTCCGTTTCCCAAAGCACTGAGATTACAGTCGTGAGCCACCATGCCCTCCCAGCAGCCAATTTCAGACTCCGTTTTCCACCCCAGATTTGCCTACTCCTTCTGAGATCTGATCTTTTGGGTTGTGTATGTCCATTCTCACACCTTCACCCTCAATTCCTTCCCGTGCATTGAAAGCCAGCGCTGGCCTTTGGGCTTTCTGACCCTTTGAGAAATAAAGGTTTGAGCTGAGCTGGCCCCCTTGCACCCTCTTGACTTCTGACTCGGAAGCAGCAGCAGCTGTGACCCGGCCACAGAGCTCGTCTGGACAAGCCTTCCCTCTGCTGGGATCCCCCGGCGCTACCCCATTCCTCTGGCTCCGAGGATTCTCTGAATCAGAAATTCTTGGCAGGTACCCAGCAACGTGGGTTTTTACAGGTACCTCAGGGAGGGCCAGCTATGTCCTTTGTGGGGATCAGGGCAAAATGAAAATGTGGAGCCCCTTATTCAAAAAATATTAAGAATCTCAGGATGGCAACAGCAGACTACTAAACCCTTCTGAGTGCGGGGTCTTTCTGAGTGCAGGCGTCTTTCTGAGTGTGGGATCTGAGTGTGGGGTTCTTTCTGAGTATGGGGGTCTCTCTGAGTGTGAGGGTCTTTCTGAGTGGGGGGTCTTTCTGAGTGCGGGGGTCTTTCTGAGTGTGGGGATCTTTCTGAGTGTGGGGGTCTTTCTGAGTGCGGGATCTGAGTGTGGGGGTCTTTCTGAGTATGAGGGTCTTTCTGAGTTTGAGGGTATGTCTGAGTGTGGGGGTCTTTCTGAGTGTGAGGGCCTTTCTGAGTGTGGGGGTCTTTCTGAGTGTGGGGGTCTTTCTGAGTGCGGGTCTTTCTGTGTTTGGGTGGGACCTGTGAGACTGTGCACGTTGCCCTTGCTGACACTGATGAGAACTCGAGTTTTAGAATCGCTGTTGCAGCCAACGCTGACACTCACTGACCCAGGCATTTCTCACCTGGCTCCAGGAATGGTTCTGGGCCTTGGCAGGTTCATCTTCTCACTGCTCCAGACCCCTTGTGCACAGGCTGCCCATCACGGGGACCTGAGTGATCTCTGGAAGTCTCTTCTCCTGGCACTCCCTTCCCGGTTCTTGCCCTGTTCAGGCATGCATTAACACTCTAGTTAGTGCCTCTGTGGCTAACTATGAGTGCCTTGTTCTGGCATCAGCTGGATAAAATAAAATCTCACATCCTTATTTTTGTGGGGATAAAAGTTTCTCATTTACACACACACACACTCACACACACACTCTCTCTCTCACACATAAACACACACGGTTTTCCCATGTGATCCTCAGCTCCTCCGGCCCCCACATGTGCACGCACACACAAACACATACATTCAAAGAGGACCCTGCCTCGGTTTTGACCTGGCCTGACCAGGATGACAGCTTGGCATGCAGCAGCCCCTCTACTTGTCCCGGGAGAATCGAGCCCTGGAAGGCTGGCGGGAGCCAGGACCTGAGGCTGGAGGCTGAACCTCTCCTGGTTTCTCCACAAGCTTCTCCTGTCAGATGCCCAGATGTGACATCTGTTCCCAGCCCAGAGGCCTCTGCTGCCCCTGACAGCCCACTGCACCTGCGCTCAGTTTGAAATGTGAGTCTGTCAGACAACATCCACTCAGAGGAGGAGAAAGGCAGTGTCCTGTTGGGGTGCGCCATCCAGGCAGCCTCTGCCCCTGCCCTCTATGCTCTGAAATCCATCTCATGTCACCAACATTAATTTAGCAGCTACTAAGCTCCAGTCACTGTGCAGGGCACTCGGGGTCATGAGTTATTAAAACCTAGTCCCTGCTCCTGAGATACAGAGAGCTGTCGCAGTGACACATTGCAACCAGTTCATGCCAGTTTGTACCAGCTCATGGGAGCCTATGGCTAAATTTTCAGGAATACTACAAGCCCATCATCAAAGCATCATTAGTTTAAAATTATCATCCTTGGAATATTTACACCATGGAAATTGGCAAATGCCCCAAATCAAGCCCTTTTGTGGAGGACCACTGCAGCTGTGTGAGGCTGGGTGAGTGACCTATCCTCTCCAAGACCTCCTTTTAGTATATCCTTAAACAGGTTAACAATTGCACCTCCTTCACTGACTACTGTGAGGCTGAAATGAGATCATCCACAGCACGCTCACCATTCAGTGCCTGGCAGACAGAAAGTGCCCAACAATTCATAGCTGCTGTCATTTTTAGAATGTAATGATGTTATTATGCAAATAAGTAAGTACCACAGTGCGCTTGGTATAGCTACAGTGTTAGAGGCGCATAGATGAGGAAGTGGTTAACTCTGCATGGCGATCAGGGCAGCAGTCCAGGAAGGCCTTGAACCAAGCCCTGAAGAACAAGTTGAATGTGCCCGAGTAGACCAGGTAGACCAGATGGGCCAGGAAAGGAGAGGTTGTCCAAGAAGAAGGAATGGTGTGTGCAAAGGCGGGGAGGCATGGGGGGCTTGCGGAGCAGTCTGAAATGACCGGCCTACAGGGCTAGCAAGGGAGTCGTAATGAGCACCTACTGTCAGGCCCTTTGGAAACCATGATATCAACGGGTCTTCTCCATAAAGCCCTATACCCTGCCCGCTTTGCAGGGAGCACATCTAAGCTGGGAGGGGCTACATGCTTTGTTTGCTTTGCTTTGCTTTGCTTTGCTTTGCTTTGCTTTGCTTTGCTTTGTAGGGGAGCACACCCAAGCTGGGAGGGGCTACCGTCTTTGACCACAGAGCAGGTCAGCAGCTGAGAAGAGCTGAGCCTGACTCTGTTCTGTCCGACTCTAGGACAGAACAGGGAGAGGACTCTGTTTCACACCAGCCTCCAGGATGGCCCACCTCTCCAAAGGCGGTGGAAACTATCTCCAGGAATCCCTGGCTGACAGAGCTCGAGGAGGGGTGGCTGCTGACCTCCGGCACCCCAAGCCTCCCAGTACCAGGAGCATTGGCCACTCCCAAGATTCTCAGATGCATGTCCCATTGTCCCTGAGGCTTCCACAGCTGGTCCTCACTACCCCATTCCCTTCTAGCCCTTTCCAGATGAGAGTGGCCAGGGTTCATGGTCATGCTCACATCCTCCCTGGACACACACTTTTATTCTGCCTCCCTCTGATGGCTGGCATAGGATGACACAGCCACTTAGGGAATAACTGAAGAGACGAGTCATAATAGATATTCTCATTAGTCCATTCTTCCCCGCCAAGGCCTCCCTGGCCGTTCACCTCTCCGCCTGTCTTCCCTTGCTAGCAAATTTATGTCATTCCTCCATTGGCCAGAAGGGGTCACTGCTTCCATATGCCCCTAAACTTCCCGGGTAACAGGCTCCTCTCCGCCCCACTTCCAGCGGTGCAGCCGGCCGTGCTCCACACCCCACCCACCAAAGCCTGTGTCACCTTCAGAGAGACTCGCTGCTGAGTTCCAGCAAGCGAGGATGACGGACAAGCCTGCGTGCCAGCAATGCTCTCATCGTGTAAGCCAACCAACTGCCCTTTGCTGGGCAGCGGTCAAGGTCTGCAGATGGAGCTTGGCCATTGTTACAGCTATTTAAAATCATGTTTAAATAATATGATGTGATCATCTCTAATGCCATCTTGATCACCACTTAACACAGGCGGGGGAGATGAGGCAAGCTCAGCCTCTTTCATACACCTTTGATGTTCTAAGGAGAGCCAAAACCAAGACAGGTTGGAATCAGCTTCTTTTCTTCTGCTGGAGGCCAGGTCTGGGTCAGGGTGTGTAAATTACCAGCAAGCAGTCAACAGTCCCCACTCCTGTGCCTGTTGAAGGCATAACTCATGGAACCCAGTTCTCTCCCCCGGGAGGCCAGGGGCAGACCCACATCTGGAGTCTGCATGAACACAGAACTTCTGGAGTCATTGCTGTTTAGTCATGCTAGAATTTAAAATGTCTAGATTAGCCTTTCTGGACTGAAAAAATCATGGAAAAGTGGTTCTCAAATCATGAATCTGGGCCTAAAGCATGGGGCAAGTACATCCTAGTCTGTGCAGAACACACTGAGAGCTATTGAGGTATTGGAGTTACCTGTGTAATGCCACGCTAAATCACATCCCATTTTATATGAGATTCAGGTATTGACGATAGGATGATAAGTGCCAAAAGACTCTACAAAAATGTGGAAAACAACAGAATAATCAAAGAAATTATATGTACTAATGTATTCTATCTGCAAATTGAGGAAAGACAGTCATTATCCCATTAACCTGTAGAACAGACTCCTCGGTTCAGCGTATAGAACGCAAGTCAGTTCAGAGCAGAAACTAGGAACTACAGCATCAGAGAAACAGCCTGGAATTTGAAGTCAGGAGATAGGATTCTGGTCCAAGTCCTGATAGGAATAACACATGACCTTGGACAAGATGCTTAATGTCTGCGCCTCAGTTTCCTCAACTGTAAAACAGGGACCATAATGTCTACTCTGCTTGGCTACTATGAAAATTAGGAGCAACAACAGAAGCAAACATGCTAAGTCCTGAATCCCTGCTTCTTGGACCTGGCTGAGATCGGGAAGTAGTAATCCTGAGCTGAAGCAGAGAAGATGTGTCATCTCCCAGTGCAAATGAGAAAACCCAGTGGGTACCAAGGCTGACCAGGACACTGGTACTGTCCATTTTCTCCAGAGGGAAGTTGGGGCTATTCAGAGAGAGTCCCATCCATCTCCCATCTTTGCACTTCTTTGTATTTTTCTTCCTCCACTCTTTCGGTTCCCTCCTCCATCCTCTAAAGACAGAAGAGTCTCCAGTTAGTATCAGGTCAGTATATGCTCATCTGGGCAAGTGGGAGCCAGGACATGTACCTGGGCTGGGATCTGGAACAATGGTGGAGTGCACAGCAGAGGGAAAGGGCTTGCCCATGGCTACATAGCACAGAACTGATGGGGACCAAAAGGACACTTTTCCAGGAGCAAAGCTAGAGTTGAGAACGAAATAGCAAGTCAGATGATGTTTCAGTCTGAGGAGACAGGCAGAGAACCTGGTGAAAGGCATGGGCTGGGCTAGCAGCCAGTGCTGGTGAGAAGCAGAGGGCAGGCTCAGATAGGTGGGTGGGGAGAGCTGAATGCAGGGGAAGCCCTCCAGGAATGGTGTAGCAACCCAGGGTTCCAGGTATGAACAGTAATGGATGGGAGCAGGTACCAGAATATTGGCGAGAGCAGATGCATAAGAGGACAGCTTAGGCAGAAAGGCGTGGACAACCCCAGTACCTGCAAGGAGGGACCTAGGGAAACCATGACTCCAGTTCCCTCTCCTCTTGCTTTCTGATCTCCAGTCATGCCTTCCACTGGTCTACCCCAACTGAAACCAGAAGGCAAAGCAGCCCCTTGAACATCTCTATGAAAGTCAGCTGGCCAGGCGTGGTGGCTCACGCCTGTAATCCCAGCACTTTGGGAGGCCAACGTGGGTGGATTACCTGAGGTCAGGAGTTCGAGACCAGCTGACCAACATGATGAAACCCCATCTATACTAAAAATACAAAAAAATTAGCCAGCGTGGTGGCGGGCACCTATAACCCCAGCCACTCGGGAGGCTGAGGCAGGAGAATCGCTTGAACCTGGGAGGTGGAGGTTGTGGTGAGCTGAGATGGCACCACTCCATCCTGGGTGACAGAGCGAGACTCCATTTCCAAAAAGAAAGAAAGAAAGAAAATCAGCCCCTTGGAGCACAGAGAGAGGTGGAGAGGAGGGTGAAAGGAGATCTGGGGAAGTAGCCTGAACACCAGCACTGCCAGGAACTGGGGGAATGCCAAGAGACAGCAAGCAGGTTTGGGGGCACTGGAGGTGAGGATCCAAGAGAATCACAAATGCCCAGAAAATAGAAAAAGAAAGCTTTGTCGAGAGGTAGAAGGAGCCTATGAACAACACATTTCCAGCTTCCCTTACGATGAGGGAGACACAGAGCATATGCACCACCTTGGGCCACTGGCATGTGAGGAGAAACTTTTCAGGGCTTCTGTAATAGATTTTACTACCAGATACAATGAAATGTGGGGACGGAATGGCCATTGGATATGGCTGTGTGCAGTCAAGATGTTTGGAGCAATGGCAACCCTTTTGCAACCATGAGGAAACCAGTGTCACACTGAGAACGGCAGAGCTTTATAAAGATGAAAGAATCTGAGTCTATGATAAAATCACTGGATCATTACATCAGCTCTGGAACCACCTTGACTCCAGGCTTGTTAGGGGAGAAAATAAATATCCTTGTCATTTAGGCTACGGGCAACTGGCTCTTCTGAAATGCAGTTCCAAGTATCTTGGCTTAAATGGATGATCCCAGGACCCAGCAGAATGCCTGACTCATAGTAGACGTTCAATAAATACATATTGATGAATTAACAAAGTAATGATTGGATGGATCCGTAACATGTGAGTGAACACCAGGTGTCATGGAACCCTTTCTCTCCACCTCTGCTGATAGAGAGCTCGGAGAAACCTCATCTTCCTGGGGGAGGAGAAGGTTGGCGGCTCCTGAGCGCCTTTGAGGACGAGCACAGGAAGGCCACGCTGCTACACACACACAGATGACTCATAAAGACGTATTTTTACCCCCTTCAAATGGTGATGTTCCTGTAATAAAGAATTTAATAACCCGCTGTGCCTGTGCGGAGAGAAAACTCATTTGTTTAATAGGCAGCAGTTGGGCTTTGTCATGTTCATTTAGTTTTTAATGACACACAGTTGTGCCAATATTGATTTTAGCTTATAAGGACTCAAAAAATTTACTGTCTAGATGGATCCAAGATGCAACCATTTTATTTTGCCTGCGTTGAAGGCACACAGTCCCCAGCCCTGGCCGGAGAGGGGCTCGGGAGCGCAGGTGGAGAACTGAGAACTCTTTGCCATCTCCGTCCCTCCTTTCTGCTTCCTCCCTGCCTTGCCTCTTGCCCTCATCAGATGGGAGTGAGGCGGCTGCTGTGGGAGGTGATGTGTTTTTCGTCTTGGAAAGCAGAACAGGACTGTATCAAGGAAACGAGAATTAATTTTCTGGGCACATTTTCAGCAATGAGTGTGTGTGTGTGTGTGTGCACGCCTGTGTGCCCACTCAATAGCAAGCCCAAAGCATGCATCCCAGAACAGGAACGGGGCCCTGCCGGTTATTCCGAGTGACTTCAAATACCATTTGGATCCACTGGGCTGGAGCACCCCTCCTTCACATTACTTGCGATTTTGTTTTGGTTTTTATTTTTAACTAGGGAAGGTATACGAACAGCAAAAGGGATTACCGAGACGAGCCGAACCTACTCTCTGTTTTCTAAACAGTCAATTTGAGCATAAATTCATAGAGCAGGCCCTTGGTATTTCTGGGTTTGACATTTGTCATCTTAACTGTGTGTAGTTTCAATTATTCAAGAACAGCACTGAAGAATTGACTGGAATAATAATAGTCAACATTTATTCAGCGCATACTAGGTGCCAGGTGAATATGATATGCCCAACTTACAGGAATTACCTCGTTTCATCTCTGCATCACACCTTGAAGGTAGGTAAGTGACTATTTTAATCTTCAGTTTAAAGGAAAGTTCTGCTTGGAGAGGTAAAATAACTGGTCCAAGGTCCCAGGGAGAGTAAATGACCCCAAACCTGTGAGCATCATTGGTTTCTGCATTTTCAATCGTGCGGAGTTCATGTCTTAAGGGAATGCTGGAGACTGGTGTCTGGAGTGCATCCCTTTCCTGGTGAGTCAGCTTTGCTGACGAGGCACTGTCTGCATCTGGGGATGAGTGCGTGCCAGGCAGGGACTTAGCTCCATGTCCAGGCCATGGTCACGTGTGTAACATTTATTTCTCCGCTACAGTTTGACACAGGCAGACTTTCCCCAGGGAGCCAGGGGACATTTGCTCAGTGGCTGCCTTTCCTAACCCAGTGTTGCCATTAAAATAAGGCTGGCATTAGGGGGAAAAGACACAGCTCTGTAGACAGCACATTATGATAACGATTCATATTAAATCTAATCTCATGTCATTGGCCCATTTAATCTATTTATGTAAGTTTTAGCGAGTGCTTTGTTCGTGATGGGAAAGTCATTGAGGATTGATTCTTTGATTCATGGGATTTGAAAGGACCTATAAATCATCCATACAAGTCCAGTTCCCGGAGAGGTGAAATGACCCACCCAAGGTCGTGCAATTCAATTTGAAGTTGTAGCCTTTCCTAGGAAAGCAAGGCGCTGGGACCCTCAGCAGGAAAGCTGCCCCCGCCAGAACCTTGGTCCTATTGGGTATTGGTTTTCACCTACACCGTTTCCCCTTCGAGTGCCATTTCCAGGCGAGTGCTCCCAGGCTCATTAACCAGAGCCCCTGACACCCACAACTACTGCTTCCATTGCTCTTCTTACAAATGCCCAGATCCTCAGCATGGCATGCAAGCGTGACCCTGCAGGGTCTGGGCCCCATGTCTCTCTCTGGCCTCTCCTTGTTCCCCACTCTGCAACTTCTCTGGCCTTCTTTCAGCATCTCCTTCCTGCCCCAGGACCTTTGCTCGTGCCAGAATACTCTTCCTCTCACCTCCTGTGAAATTCCTGTTTTTCCTTCAGATCTCAATCATCACCCCTTTCCTCAGGGAACGCTCCCCAACCTCTCTGGACCAATGCACTCTCCTAGTTCTACAGAGCTCTTCAATGTTGCTATGATTTCTAGTACAATTTTATGTGGGAGAGTTTAATATCTATCTTCCCACGTGGACCATACGTTCTTTGAGAGCACAGTCCAGTCACCTATTGCTGTGTAGCAAATGACCCCCATGCTCAATGGTTTAAAACAACCATTGTATTTTGCTCATGATTTTGTGTGGCAGAGATTTGCGAAAGGCTCACCTAGGCACTTGGATCTCCTACACAGCTGCAGTCAGATGTCAGCCAGACAGTGGTCATCTGAAGGCACGACTTCCAAGATGGCGCACTTACTGGCCTGGAAGTCATTGCTGTCAGCCAGGAGCCCAGGTGACCAGAGCACGTACATGTGACCTCCCCAGCATGGCAGTCTCAGGTACTCAAACTTCTTACAGCCCACAAAGTGGGCTTCACGGCTTCTTCTAATCTGAGGAAGTCACACAGCATCACATGACTTCAGCTGCCTTCTACTAGTCATAAACGAGTCACTAAGGCAGGCTCAGTTTCCAAGAGAAGGCCACAGACACCTCCCTTGATGCGAGAGTGGCAAGACCACATTGCAAAGCGTATGTGGGATGGGAAATATTTTTGCAGTCATCTTTGGTAAATGCAATCTGCTACACAGCAGGAAGAATGCCATCCTTCCTTGTTGCATTGACTCCCTAGTACCCAGTATAAAAATTCAAAAACGATTGGATAAATAAATAGGTAGATGGATAGATGAATAAATATACATAGGTACATAGAATCAGGAAGAAAAAGTAGGAAGGAGGGAAGGAAGGAAGGGAGGAAGGAAGGAAGGGAGGAAAGAAGGGAGAGAGAGAGGAAGGAAGGGAGAGAGGAAGGAAGGAAGAGAGAGGAAGGATGGAAGGAAGGAAGAAGAGAAGGAGGGAGAAAGAAGGAGAGAGGAAGGAAGAAAGAAAATGAGAGAGCAAAGAAGGAAAGAAGAAGGGAGGAGGAAGGAGGGAAAGGAGAGAGGGAAGGGGGAAGGGAGGGAGAAAGGAAGAAAGAAAGATAGAGAAGGAAGAAAAGAGGAGGCTCTTCTGCCCTCTCTACTGAACACATTCTGGTACAATTCCTTGTCCGTTTGTAGGTGTGAACTCAGAAAGAGAACCTCATTTAATATCAGTCATAGGAAAACAAATCTGCTGTTAAAAAAAACTAAACTACAACAACAAGCCAGTCGGGCACACAGCACCTTTGAAAGTCCAAAAGAGCTAGACTTGAATTATTTAAGCATCCTGATTTTGCGCCCGTCACGGGAGAGAGGTGCCGTGTTTTATGCTGTGCCATGCAGCCAGGGGCACTCGGGGCAGAGACGACGTCTATGTTCCTAAAGCTGATGATTCAATAACGTGGACTTCTTTGATTTACTCCCCTTGGTGGGTGGCAGGTTAATAAAACTTCAGTCAACTTGGTAATTGCCCTTCCTGGTTCTCATGACAGGGTAGAGCACATGCGGGAATCTCAAATTGCAGTCCAGTCCAGGCAGCACCTCACCTGGAGAGAGAGAGATCTGCCTCTCCCAAGCCTGCATCGTCATCCCCAGTGCTTCCAGAGGCCCTGATACCATTAGCCATGGTGTGGCCAGCAGGGATAAGTCCAGCCAGCCTCACTGCTCAGCCCGGCCTGCACAGCCCCTCCCCTGGCCAGGCCTTCGGCAGGCACAGTACTCAGTTGACCAGGAGTACAAGGTGCAGTGAGCCCACAGAGCCTGCTGGTCAGATGGGTTGGGAACACTACAGGCCTACACTGGAAGGACCCAGGTGCCTCTGTGCCCCTAACTGTTAGCGACCCCCCCCAGCCCCTGAGTCCATTAGCCCTGGCACTGTACCAAACGATCATTTACAGAAAACCACCCTGAGGCCATTAACCAGAGTGGAACTCAGCTGTGATTCCTTGGGACTCCCAACAGGCAGGAATATTCAGGACCATCAATAGCTGAGAGTTATTCTTTAAAAAGGTCTCCATCTGGAGAAGGGGGTACAGGTACACCTCATTTCGTTATTCTTTGCTTGATAGAGCTTTGTAGATAACTGCGTTTTTTACAAATTGAAGGTTTGTGGCAACTCTGCGTCAGGCATGTCTCTCGGCACCACTTTTCGATAGCATGTGCTCACTTTGTGTCTCTTGTCACATTTTGGTAGTCTAACAATGTTTCAAGCTTTTTCATTATTATTATATCAGGCCGGGCGCAGTGGCTCACACCTATAATCCCAGCACTTTGGGAGGCTGAGGCGGGCAGATGGATCACTTGAGGTCAGGAGTTCAAGACCAGCCTGACCAACATGGTGAAACCCCATGTCTACTAAAAATACAAAAATTAGCCGGGCATGGTGTCACATGCCCGTTATCCCAGCTACTTGGGAGGCTGAGGCAAGAGAATTGCTCGAACCTGGGAGGCAGATGTTGCAATGAGCCGAGATCGTGCCACTGCACTCCAGCCTGGGTGACAGAGTGAAACTCTGTCTCAAAAAAAAAAAAAAAAAAGAGATGATTATTATTATATCAGCTATGGTGATCTGTGATCAGTGATCTTCGATGTTACTGTTGTAATTGTTTTGGGACATCACAAACAGATGTGTTGTCACCAAGATAAGACAAAGAACTTAATCTATAAATGCTGCGTGCATTCCGACTGCTCCACAAACCCGCCCTTCCCCTGTCTCTCTCTCTCTCTCTCTCTCTCTCTCTCTCTCCTTGGGCCTCCCTATTTTCTGAGACACAGCAATATTGAAATGAGACCAATTAATAACCCTACAATGGCCTCCGAGTGTTCGAGTGAAAGGAAAATTCGTACGTCCCCTCCTTTAAATCAACAGCTAGAAATGATTAAGCTTAGCGAGAAAGGCAGGTGGAAAGCTGAGATCAGCCAAAAGCTAGGCATCTTGTGCAAATAGTTAGCCAACCTGCAAATGCAAAGGAAAAGTTCTTGAAGAAAATTGAAAGTGCTACTCCAGTGAACACAAGAATGATAAGAAAGTGAAACAGCCGTATTGCTGATATGAAGAAAGTTTTCATGGTCTGGATGGAAGATCAAACCAGCCACAATATTCCCTTAAGCCAAAGCGTAATCCAGAGCAAGACCTTGACTTTCCTCAATTTTATGGAGGCTGAGAGAGGAAGGAAGCGGTAGAAGAAAAGTTGGAAGCTAGCAGAGGTTGGTTCATGAGGTTTAAGGAAGAAAAAAAGCCAGCTGAGCACAGTGGCTCACGCCTGTAATCACAGCACTTTGATAGGACAAGGCGGGCGGATCACGAGGTCAGGAGTTCAAGACCAGCCTGACCAACATGGCGAAACCCCATCTCTACTAAAAATACAAAAATAAAAATAAAGTAGCCAGGCATGGTGTGCATGCCTGTAATCCCAGCTACTCAGGAGGCTGAGGCAGGAGAATCGCTTGAACTCAGGAGGCGGAGGTTGCAGTGAGCCAAGATCACACCACTGCATTCCAAAGTGGGTGACAGAGCAAGACTCCATCAAAAAAAAAAAAAAAGCCATCTCCATAACCTAAAAGTGCAAGGTGAAGCAGCAAGTGCTGATTGAGAAGCAGCAGCAAATTATCTGGAAGATCTAGCTGCACAATTGATGAAGGTGGCTGCGCTAAACAACAGACTTTCAAGGTAGACAAAACAGCCTTCTGTTGGAAGAAGATGCCATCTAGGCCTTTCATAGCTAGAGAGGAGAAGTCAGTGCCTGGCTTCAAAGCATCAAAGGATGGCTGACCCTCTTGTTAGAGGCAAATGCAGCTGGTGACTTCAAGTTGAAGCCAACGCTCTGTGTCATTCTGAAAATTCTAGGGTCTCTAAGAATTATGCTAAATCCACTCTTCCTGTGTTTCATAAACAAAATAAGAAAGCCTAGATGACAGCACATCTGTTTATAGTATAGATTACTGAATATTTTAAGCCCACTGTTGAGACCTATTGCTCAGAAAAAAATATTCTTTTCAAAATAGTAGTGCTCATTGGTAATGCACCTGGTTACCCAAGAGTGCTGATGGAGATGTAAAAGGAGATTCATGTTGTTTCATGACTGCTAACACAACATCCATTCTACAGCCCATGGACCAAGGAGTAATTTTGATGTTTAAGTCTTATTATTGAAGAAATATATTTTGTAAGGCTGTAGGTGCCATTGATCATGGTAGATCTTCTGATGGATATGGGCAGAATTCATTGAAAACCTTCTGGAAAGGATTTTTTTTTATCATTCTATTAATAGATGCCATTAAGAACATTCATGATTTCTGGGAGGAGGTAAGACTATCAACATTAACAGGAATTTGGAAGAAGTTTCCAGCCCTTGTGGATAACTTTGAGGAGGTCAAGACTTCGGTGAAGGAAGTCACTACAGTTGGGTGGAAATAGCAAGAGAACTAGGATTAGAAGTGGAGCCTGAAGATGTGACTGAATTGCTGCAGTCTCATGGTCAGATCCAAACAGATGAGGAACTGCTTCTTATGGATGAGCAAAGAAAGTGGCTTCTTGAGGTGGAATCTACACCTGGTGAAGATGCTGCAAGCATTGTTGAAATGACAACAAAGAATTTACAGTATTGCATAAACTTAGTTGATAAAGCAGCAGCAGAATTTGAGATGATTTGGAATTAGACTCCAACTTTGAAAAAAATTTCCACTATGGGTAAAATGCCATCAAACGGTACACATACTACAGAGAAATCTTTCATGAAAGGAAAAGTCCAACAGCAAACCTCATTGCTGTCTTATTTTAAGAAATTGCCGGCCAGGTGCGGTGGCTCATGCCTGTAATCCCAGCACTTTGGGAGGCCGAGGCGGGTGGATCACCTGAGGTTGGGAGTTCGAGACCAGCTTGACCAACATGGAGAAACCCCGTCTCTACTAAAAATACAAAATTAGCCAGGCATGGTGGCACATGCCTGTAATCCCAGCTACTAGGGAGGCTGAGGCAGGAGAATCGCTTGAACCTGGGAGGCGGAGGTTGCAGTGAGCCGAGATCGCGCCATTGCACTCCAACCTGGGCAACAAGAGCAAAACTCCATCTCAAAAAAAAAAAAAAACAAGAAAGAAATTGCCACAGCCATTCAGCAACTTTCAACAACCACCACTCTGATCAGTCAGCCACCATTAACATCAAGGCAAGACCCTCCACCAGCAAAACAATTATTTGCTGAGGTTCAAATGGTCATTAGCATTTTTTATAAATCACATATTTTTAAATTAAGATATGTACATTTTTGAGACATAATGTTATTGCACATTTAATAGACTGCATTATAGTGTAAATGTAACTTTTATAATATATGCACTGGGAAACCGATATATTTGTGCGACTTTTTTATTGCAATATTTGCCTTATTGCAGTGATCTGGAACCAAACCTGCAACACCTTCAAGGGATGCTGTATCTCTAAATAACACACTGTCCTTTCTGGTATACATCTTACCTTCTTTAATAAATAGCGTTTAATAAGTAGCTCTTATAAAATTTACTATTATTAGGTACTTAAAATATTATTACATCCTTACTATAATGTTATGAGGTACATAGTATCATTGTTCACTTATAGATGAAAATACTGCAGTTCGGAGAGACTGAATGACAAGGTGAAGGTACCATGATTGGTAAATGATGGAAGGAGACTGAAGGCCAGGTCTGTGATTCCAAACCTGGATCTCTTCCTTCTGTAAGTGGAGGTCCCTGCCAAGTGCATTTGCCCTTCCTCTTGGGGACAGCAAGGCTCACCGTTCAAAGTGGGAGACAGATAGTGTGCCCATCTTGCAGCAGCACAGAGGTCTGCCGAGGGCTTCCCTGGCATGGGTGGAACAGGTGCAGGGGTCCGTGTACAAACCCAGCCCAGATTCCACCAGCACTGGCAGGCTCTCAATTCTCTGTTTCTCAGATGTGAGAGGAGGTGGTCACTGACCTTCACAGAGGCTCAGCCTGAGAGGAGAGTGGTCCAGGAGGGGAAAGGCACGCCTGCACAGCCTTCTAGCTTGAGCTTTCAGAATCCGCTGGTATCAGCTCATACTTGGGGGAGGGGGCTGCCTTGGTGCTGGGGATTGTTCTAGATACTTTCTGAGAATCTGCATCCTCATAAGCACCCTGTGAGGTAAGTATTGTCATCGTTCTATTTTAGAGATGAGTAAACTGAGGCATGGAGAGGGTGAGGAACTTGCCCAAGGCCACACAGTGATGAGCAGTACAGCTGGGATCTGACACTGTCCCAAGCAGTGCCCTACCGTCCACTCATCCCTACTGGCTAACATGTGGTTTGGTAAAAATGGCTTTTTCACCCAGTTTCCAGGGCTGCCATAACAAAAGATCACAGCCTGGAGGGCTGAAACAACAGACAGTTATTTTTCCATCATTCTAGAGCCTGGACGTCCAAGATGGGGATATCAATAGGGTCAGTTTCTTCGGAGGCCTCTCTTGTTGGCTTGCAAGTAGCTGCCTTCCCACACTGTCTTTCATCGGTGCACGCAGGTCCCTGGTGTCTCATCATGTGTCCAAATGTCCTTTTCTTATAAGAATATAAGTCAGATTCAATTAGGGCCCCCCAATACCCTCATTTTAACCTAATCACCCCTTTAAAGACCTTATCCCTAAAATAGAATCACATTCTCAGGTCTTTGGGGGCAAGGACTTCAACCTCTATTCGGTATGAATTTTGAGAGGACATAATTCATCCCATAACACCTGAGAACTGGAGAGCACCCACGAATGGGGACAGAAATGAAAGGAGAGGAAAAAAAATTAAAACGTGTGGGGTTGCATCTCTTCTTCCCAGAAGCTGGAGTAGCTTTTCTTTTTCCTAAAAAAGAGGACAGTAGGAACAATGGTGGTTACGCAAAGGGAGCATGGCAAGATTGGAGTGATGCCAAGAACAAGCTGGCTGCGACAACAAGGCTCAGAGCACCTGCTGGGACAAACAGGGACAAGGTTCACGAGGAAAGAGCCAGGCAGGCACTGAGGCACACTTGGGAGAGTGACCATGGCCAAGGACACCGCTAGGGGCCTCACAAGCCAAAGATGTGAGTCTCCTACTGGCTGTCCTTACCCCATCACTCCCCAGTTCCCCATGCCAGTAAGAGGCCACCCAACCCATGCCAGTGAAGAAGCACAACTTACTCCTGCTATCCTGTTCATGGAAAACAGGGTCTGGGGTTTAGATCTCTACAGGCAATCTGCAGATGGAGTGTGGGGCGAAGATAACTTCTCATAATTTGGGTGATGCTGGCAAGTAGGGGAACTGAGGCTGTTTAGTGGGGTCTATCTCTCAGGTTCCAGGCAGGGGCATAATGTTTAGTCAATGAGTTATTCACAAAAAGCGGACCTAGACACTTCCGGCAAGGGGAATTTCCACACAAAGACAGCAGTTTTAAGCCCTCCTGTGTCTGTACTGTTTGCCGCAAAAGGAGGAAAAACTAACCAAGAAACAAAACAGGTTATACATCTTTAAAACTAATAAGGAGATGGGCTCCTCTGAAGCCGGATTTCTCTCTGAGCACAGGAGGACACTGGGGAATCCCCTGCAACCCCTGCCCCTTTGATTCCAGCCACCGCACTGTTTGACAAGGATCAATGAAAGAAGGATTGCATTTTTCTATGCCCTGAATTGGAAGCAAACTGCATGTGGAAATCAAGAAATCAATTTCCAACCTTAGAGACTTCCTGGGAGACCATCCTTCTCCCCGGAAAGGAAAAATGAAGGGGAGAGTGGAAATGCTGAGCCTTCAGCATGACCTTGGCCTTGAGGGAAGGCCAGTGGTTGGTAATCAACTCCTCTCACCTCTCAAATTCCAGAGAGCCACAGGAGCCTCAGGGAGGGGAGATGTCATGCCAAAGACCCCCCAAGCCCAGTGTGTGCTGTGTGCATGCACAAATGTGTGGTTGTGTATACATGTGGTGTGTGTGCATGCATGTGTGTGGTTGTGTGTGCATGCATGTGTTTGATTGTATATGCATGTCTGTGGGCTGTGTGTGCATGCATGTGTTGGATTGTATATGCATGTGTGTGGCTGTGTGTGCATGCATGTGTTTGTATATGCATGTGTGTGGCTGTGTGTGCATGCATGTGTTGGATTGTATATGCATGTGTGTGGCTGTGTGTGCATGCATGTGTTTGTATATGCATGTGTGTGGGCTGTGTGTGCATGCATGTGTTTGATTGTATATGCATGTATGTGGCTGTGTGTGCATGCATGTGTTTGATTGCATATGCATGTGTGTGTGGTTGTGTGTACATGCATGTGTTGGAGGTGTGTGCATATGTGTTACTTTATGTACATGTGTGTGGTTGTGTGTGTGTGTATGTGTTTGGTTATATGTACATCTGGTTCTATATACATGCATGTATGTGTGGTTGTGTATGCATGGTTGTAGGTGTGGTTGTATGTGCATGGCTGTGTGGTTGTGTGTGCATGCACATGTCTATGATTGTGTTTACATGTATGCATGTGGTTGTGTGTGCACACATGTGGTAGCATATGCATGAGTGTATCAGGGGTGTGTGTGCATGCATGTGTGTGGTTGTGTGTGCATACATGTGTTTGTATATGTATGCACGTGTGGTTGTGTGTACATTCATGTGTTGGAGGTGTGTGTGCATGTGTTATATGTACACACATGCATATGGTTGTGTTTGCATGCATGTTTTGTTGTACGTACATCTGGTTCTATATACATGCATGTATGTGTGGTTGTGTATGCATGGGTGTATGTGTGGTTGGACGTGCATGGCTGGTGTGTGATTGTGTGTGAATGCACATATGTATGGTTGTGTTTACATGTAAGCATGTGCTTGTGTGTGCACACATGTGTGGTTGCATATGCATGAGTAAGATAGGTGTGTGTGCATGTGTGTGCAGTTGTGTGTGTATGCATGTTCTTGGTTGTGTGTACATGCATGCATGTCTGGTTCTATATACATGCATGTATGTGCAGTAGTGTATGCATGGGTGTATGTGTCGTTATATGTGCATAAATGATATATGGTTGTGTGTGCATGTATGCATGTGGTTGTGTGTGTGCACATGTGTGGTTGTGTATGCATGAGTGTATCATGGGTATGGGTGTGCATGCATGTAATTGTGGGGGTGGGAAGATGAGGGTCATGCCAGAGAACCCCAAGACTTGAAGCTCCCCCAGAGAGTTGAGAGCAGGTCTTAGAGGCCTAGTTGTACTCTAACCACTGGTGGCCCTATGGTGTGAGCTCCAGGGCCTATGGGACACCATCCCAGGACAGGTTTCCTGGAAGCAGAGTCTGACAGAGGGATTCCTGGGCACGTGGTTTATGAAGGGAATGACATCAGGAGAAATTTGTAAGGGAAAGAGGGAAGTGGGCTAGGGCAGGAGGGAAGTTAGGCAAAGATGGTTTGAGGGAAGTGTAGCCTCAGCCTGGCCCCATGGGGAGCTCTAGGATGTGCATTGCACCACAGATATTATCTGCCCCATGTGTCATCAAAACTTAGCCAACACATCACCTTCACCCCATGCAGACCAGCCCTCCAGGCTCTGGATAGCAGGTCTCATAGATGGAGAGAAACCAGGCAGGAAAGGTGTGGGCTGGGCTGTGGACTCTTGCACAAGGCAGAGCAGCTGTAGGATGTGAGGACTTCATGTCTGCCAGCCTCTCTTATCCTCAGGGCCCTCCCCTCAGCTGGCACCAGGGACTGGGCATGTCTGGGCAGAGTGGGGCCTGAAAGTCCAGCTCTGGGGTAGCAGAGTCCTCCCGACCCTCCACCTCCATGTGCATGTGTGGTTGTGTGTACATTCATGTGTCAGAGGTGTGTGTGCATGTGTTATTGTATGTACACACATGCATGCAGTTGTGTGTGCATGCATGTTTTGTTGCATGTACATCTGGTTCTATATACATGCATGCATGTGTGGTTGTGTATGCATGGGTGTATGTATGGTTGGATGTGCATGGCTGGTGTGTGATTAGAGGCAGGAGAGACCATTGGAGGCCAGCTGGCCTCATGTGTCTGGAGCCAGGTCTGACAGCACAGCAGGTGCTGAACGAGACATAAAGAAGACAAAGTCCTGCCCCTTGGGGCTCCCGTCAAGCCCAGCAAGCAGCTCTGGCATCAAACACTCACTGAGATGCAGGTGAAATCTCTGCCAGGTGGGCCCTGTAGTGTTCTTCTTTCCACAAACTCCATGTGGAGAGAGAGGGCAGCTGGGCCCACTGCTTCAGTCCCTAGGCCAAGGTAGGCAGGCCACCAATGGAGCTGGCAGCCTGGAGCTTAGAAACCCCACCCCTCACCTTTGTCCTTAGCTTTCATCCCCCAGACACCATAGCTCCCTCTTCCCACCACCTCATGGACTTCCCTGGAACCCTGAGCACTAGAAAGGAGGCAAGCATTATACCCACTCCCTCCCCAGGACAGGCGGGAAGCAGGCCCCCGAGGTGAAAGGATAACCAGCCACAAACTCACCATCTTAGTCCATTCAAGCTGCTGTAACAAAATGCCATAAACTGAGTGGCTTATAAACAGCAGAAATCTGTTGCTCACAATTCTGGAGGCTGGGAAGTCCAAGGTCAAGGCACTGGCAGAGTTGGTGTCTGGGGAGGACCACTTCCTAGTTCATAGATGATGCCTTCTTGCTGTGTCATCACATAGTAAAAGGGATGAGGGAGGTCTGTCTTTGGGGTATCTTTTATAAAGACACTCATCTCATTCATGAGGCTCCACCCTCATGACCTAACCACTTCTCAAAGGCACTGCCTTCAAATACGGTCACACTGGGGATTAGGTTTCGACATAGGAATTTTGGGAGGACACACATTCAGTGTATGTCGCTCATGAAGGACGATCTTGAGATGATCCTCCACCAAGGACATAATAAGAGAATTAAACCGCAAGAGGAAGACATGCAAGAGGAGAACTTCCAATGGGCTATGGAATCAAACAGGGAAGACTGCGAATTTTACCTCCCACCCCTCACCAGCTGCCTAATGCAAGCAATGACTGTGCCTAAATCTTTGTATCCTCCGTGGTGGGATGGGGGTAAAATGCAGAGTGATCACTAGGCCTGGAAACAGAGGTAAATATCCAATAAAGAGATTATTGATATTGCAATGGTTGGTAAGATCATCATCTCTGTTCCAAACACCATGGCCACCCCATAGTACACACCTTCCAGGCTTGTCAGGAAGATTGAATAATGAACTTTTATTGCATGCTCCCCAAGTGTCAGACACTGTTCTGAGTGCTTTACGCACACAATACAAGTTAGTTATTCAACTAATAAGTGTTGGGATTGAATGTGACCATATCCATCAGGCACAAAACCAATATTCCACAAATTGTAACTTGCTGATGGTGGTTGTCATGGAACACTAGAACAGATGAGTTAAAGATTACACGATCAAGGGGCATCCTGGAAGTAGAGGTTTTCATCCTACCAAATGTCCTCAGCTACAAGAGATATACCTTGTTCATTTGGTCTAAGGGCACGTGATTCTGACAGGATCCTCTGAGCAGAATTTCGGTCCTTTTGGGAGGGGCGTGTGTGTGTGCGTGCTCCTGGATCTATTGTATTTCCGTTGATGAAGAGTCAGACGAAACTTGCACCAATTAGCAAGCATGATCTTCCCCTGGCTTATGCTTTGCTGCTGTTTTCAAGATGCGATCCGGTCCCAGCCAAAGCAAGGAGACAGACGCCTCGTCCCAGGACTGAGAGCTGCGCGGTACTCACAGCCCTTTGTATCCCCTGGTTTCACAAAGTACAAAAATAGGAGGCAAGCTCGAGACAGCTCAGATGCCTGGCTCAGGCAATCACAGTCAGGAGAGAGGAGAGGAGGAGGGGGAGGCGAAACACAAGGGAAAGAGAAAGAGAGGAAAAGCAGCCACTTAAGGTCAAAGCACTGAGAATAACATGAAAATGCTGCCAACCGAGTGGAATCAAGACGCCTTCAAGGTTGGAAATGTGACAACCGAGCTGTTGTTGCCTCTGGGCTGGTGTCACCATTGTAGTCTCACAGGAGCTGGGATGCTAGATAGAGACTTGTTGCGGGGGGCGAGGTAGGTAGGCTGGGTTCAGCTCTCAGACAGGGGTGTGCCTGGGTCTTCCTAAGGAGGGCTGAGCGACTGCCCGTCATGGCCTCGTAACCAAGAAGGCAAGCCCAGCCTCAGCAATTCTTGAGGGCTGATGAAATGGAGCTTTGATGGATGGCATTTGATTGGACAGCATGCAAATGTATGCAAACAAGGCCTGGGAGAACCTGGTGGTGCTTTTCTTTATTTGTTTATTTAGTTGAGACAGGAGAGATACATGTTCATTGTAAACAAATCAGAAAATTGCAGATTTGCACCAAGAAAGAAGTCAAAATCCTTTATTAGCCCACTACTCAGGAAACAAAGTTTTAAAAAAAGCAGAAAAACTATTGCTAACATTTTGGTGTACAGTCATTCTTCCAGACAATTTTTGGCCCATACATCTATAGTTGGGAAATTTTTTTCTAACCAAAATAGGTTCTTACTTCACAAACTGTTTTGCAACCTGCTTTTTTTGCATTGAAAATATATCATAAGTGCGCATATGGCACTGTAATTTATTTAACAAACTCCCCATTGTTGGAAATCTAGATCATATTCTGCGTTCTTAGGCAAGGTTAGAAGACCCCAAACTCAACTGCAAGAGGCAGATGGAGTAGAACAAGATGTAAGGGAAGCCTGCCCTCCAGGGAAGTGTGTGTGTGGTGGGGATGGGGATGGGTAGAAGCAGCTCAGACCATACTGCTTTGGAAGCCAAATTAATTTTATTGTCTCCAGAGCTGGGGGAACAATTGCTGCCCAAATATCAGGCCCGAAGACCAGAAGCAAGTGACATAGACCCCTCGTAGCCACCCTCGTAAATAACTCTCCAGGAGTCCCAGCCAGCTGCGAGTGTGGCTCAACAGCTTCCCCGGGGGAAAGAGAAAGAAGACTTATCCCAATAATTCACCATCTCATCTTTTTGCATCACGAATTTGGCAGCCCCAGCACGTGGACCCGTGTTTCAGCTATTGTAAGGAAGGACAAATAGAAGGAGTGATCACCTCAGTCTAATGGGAAGATACAGTTAAAGAACAAAGAATATACCCACTGCAATATGAACTAGATGTTCTATGCAAACTGGGCCCCTAAGTGTGGAAAGGTGTGGGGTAAGAGAGCCATTCCGTTAACTTTAGTTAAATACCTTCTATGCCTCCTACGTGCCACCTCTGTGTAGGCCCCTTTGTTTGGAGTATCTTGTTTAATCCTCAAAACGCTCTTCTGAGAAAGCCACCCTTCTGCCGCTGGGGTCACTGAGGACCAGAGAGAGGCCTTGACTTGCCTAGGGTCACATGAGTCATTCAAGGGCGGAGCTCAGGGTGCAGCTCCTCCCAGACCCCAGAGAGGCCCCATGTGAATAAATCGTCTGCAAAAGGTGGGCTGTATGAGGGAAAGCTGCTGGGAGGCAGTGACTTCGGAGACCAGCTTTGCAGAAAGGAAGGGGCATAGGAGAGGGGAGACAGGGAAGACTGTAGGAGAAGGGGGAAGCTGGGGGTGGCATGGCCATGAACAGACCAGGTGCAAGGCGGGGGGCAGATCAGGCTGACAGCGGAGGAAGTTCTGAAGTTGGAATGAAAAGCATGCAGCCGGGGACTCGGAAGGAAGAAAGGGCCAGGCTGTCCCGAGAGCCCCAAAGACAGGTCAGGGTTGGGTCACAAATGGGAAATGAGAGGTGTCTGTCGTGTCTGCCTGCATGGGGGGAGCTCAGGACCCAGTGGTCAGAGCAAAGGCAGAGAGGGAGCTGCTCCCGCCATCACCCCTCCAATTACAGCCTCAGGCCCCAAGTGAAAGCCACTTTGGGCAAGATTTATTAGGCTTCTCCCTTTGCAGTTGAGCTTCATTTGTTTTGCTCCATATTTGCTGGTGGCTCTGGAATGGCATTAATGGCCTATTTGGGGTCCATGATCCTCCCATGTCCTCTCTGAGGCCGGAGGGGCCATCTGGGCTTTTTATTTGCCCAGTTGGCTCGCTTTTTAATTACACGGAGTGGGAGAGCAGGGGCTCGGGGCAGCGTGGATGGCTGCAGCCAATATTTATCATGATTGTTAGTATTTTCACTGCTAATAATCCCCGCAAATGAGAAACGGTAATCCAGAGGATTGGGGTTGTTAATTGAGAAATCATGCAGTGGAGCTACACCCATCATGTGGGTGGAGCCGAGAAAGGAGGAGGAACTGCAAGCTTGCTCCTCCCACGTCGCCTGGGATGAGCCCAGGCCCCTCCTGGCCAGAGGAAGCACTGATCTGTGTCCTGGGAATCCAAGATAGAGTCATGGATTGTTTTGTTTTTTTAATTCTGGAAAATGGGTTTGGGAGTACTTAGGGGCTGCAATGGATACCCCAGGGAGGGCCATCGTTGGGGAGGTCAGAAGGAGCCACCAAGACTAGTTTGAAGTCAGCTCCTTCATCAGCCACCCCCGCCCCTCAAGCTGGAGAAGGCAAGAGAAGAAAAGGTCATTCCCAAGTCGAGGATACCGGCAGTGGCTCTCCCTCACAGTCGCCACAGTGACAGAGTACTTGCGTGGAGCTTTTCCGGAGAGTGCTTTGAAAATAGGAACAGAGAAATCCTAAAAGCATTCCTCCCCTTTGACCCAGCCATCCTGCTTCTCAGAATGCATCCTCATGACGCTAGAGATGAGGACAAGGGTGGGCGTGGCAACCAGGATTTGGGGGAAACCTCCAGTCCTCCCCGCTCCTAGAGGAAGGTCTGGAGTTGGGTCCAACAGGACAGCCGCTGGCCATATGGGGGTATTTACATTTAAATCAGCTAGCTGAACTCAGCCCCAGTCACACGAGCCCCATTTCAGCTGTTCCACAGCCACTGGGAATGAGGGGCTGTTGTGCCAAACCCCTGTTAACCTCCGTAGGGAAGGCACCAGGTTCAAGAGGCCAAACAGGAGACCCAGAGCCAGCAAACAAGACATGGAGTATTATTAGAGGCTTACATACAGGAGAGAGAGTCCAGTAGCAAAGGCTGACAACACATCCACCTTCCCTACAGTACAGTGGCGTCGGGCTGGCCAGGAAAACCCCAACTGCCTGCAAACGGTACACAGTCTCCATAGCATTTCACCTAACACCCTCCCCTAAATGACCTCCACCTGGCACCTTCATTGATCCCAAAACTCGGGGCCTCAATCTCCTGTACAGCCCATGTTCCACGGGACAAACTGGGGGCTCAGATGCTCCTCACAGGTAAAGAACGAATCTTCGAGTTGGCCACGCCAGATTCCCTAGCTTGGGACACACATTTAGACGTGCTGCCACAGTGTCATTCTAAGAAAATAAGTTATTGCTCTTAGGTTCATATACCCTACAGGGGCCGCTGCACTGGACACTGCAGATGCAAACACTTCCAACATCTCAGAAAGTCTTATTGGAAAGCAGGGATCTGGAGACTCACCTCCAATCCAGCCTCCACTCAGGGACGAGAGGGATTATTTATAAAAATGTAAATGTTTTCATGTCATCACTCCCCTGGAAATCCTTCAGTGCCTTCCCATTGCCCTTAGAATGGGGTCCAAACTCTTCCCACGGGCCCCTCTTGGACCAACCTCTACCTTGTCAAGAGTTCAGCAGCGCTGATCTCCAACAGCTTTGGAACATGGAAACCCCAGGGTTTTTGCACTGGCTCTTCCCTGAACCTAGAACCTGCTACCCTCACTTCTCAAGCCTGCTAGCGGGAGGTGGCTGCACATCTGAAAAACAGACTCAGGAGCAAATTGGTTAACCAGATCCCAGCAGGGAGGGGTCTCACATGTCAATCCAGCACTTCCTCAATAGGCCCCCTAGAGAATGGGGTCTCCTCAGAGGTCTTTTTGTCTTTTTATTCACAAAGAGGGAGGTCCAGACTCTGAACCCAACTTCTGGAGCTTTGATGTGATGAGTGTAATGAAAGAGAAGGGTCCAGAACTGTGGCTCCATCCTCCCCACCAGGAAATATACCTCTGAATTTCCTGCTTCATGGCAAACACAGGTTGACAAGCTTGGTTTTCAGGGTCACTTTAGCTCATCTTCACAGTCATCATTCCAGGCAGCACCGATGAATGTTAGCTATGCTTTTGTTCAGCCTCTCTGGGCTGCAGGCTCCCTCACCCTAGGACACACTGACCTCCCCTCCTCTGTGTTCCTCGGGACTCCCCAGCCACCCTGAGTGATCACTGACCATTCCCAGGGCCATCTGTTTCCCTAAAGAACAAGGTCCCCGAGGACAGGGCCCTGTCCTGTTTCTCTTTATATCCCAGTCCCAGCTGAGAATGTGGCATCTAGTAGGTGCTCAATAAATGCTCATCAAATGAAGGAAAGGAATAGGGAGTTTCATCTTATTCCGAATCTGAATTAGATGATTCCTGAGAAAACCTTTGAGAAGCTTACAGCTGGGATACTAAATCGAGTTAAGGTGTTCTTAATGATCTTAATGGGTATTGTTATTTCAAATTAACTAATTACTCTGATTTTAATGTACTCTGGCAATGTAGGCTCATCATTATCATTATTATTATTTCATAGCCCCTATGAATCCAGCCTTAGATGTGTCTGTTCAGCAGGTGTCTTATCATCACTGACTGTTTGTATACAAATTTCTAGATTCCACTAAAGGCACCCAGAATTGAGACTAATGTGAATTAATAGCCATTGGACTGCCCTGTTATATTAATGTTATTATTCAAATTCCGATGTCAGGAACATCGTTTAAGAGTCACTCTCCAGGGAGTAAAATGAAAACAATCTCAAGTAGAGGGGATCAGTGAGATAAACCATGTAGTGCACGTAACGTGGTGCGATCCTCATTCTCTTTTCTCCAAGCATCCAAGCTTGGGTCATCATCAGTGATACCCTCTCCTCCACACTCTGTGGTTAAGCAGCAAGTTCTCCTTGAAGTCTCTCCTGCCTCTCCTTTCTTCCTCATTCTCCCTTCTCATGATTAGGGCAAACTTCCTCCCACTATCCCCATTGCTGTGTCTGTTAGCATCATTGCTAGTTGATTTCCTGCCCAGTTCTCCTTCTGAAAACCATCTTATCCAGCACACCCAGATTTACTTTCCTTGTCTCCTCCAATCAGGCCTCAAATCCTCTCTTCAGCCTGCCTTCCACTCCCTGCCCACCTCTAGCCATGCTCTCCTTCTAGGTGTCAGCCCTGTGCTGGGTACTGGAATAACAAATATATGGACTAGCCAAGCCCCAAGCACACAGCCTCCTAGAGTAGACACATGTAAAAATAAAGAATAGAGCACAGCAAGACAAGCGCTGATAGTGGTGGATACAAGGTATAGAGGTGCCCGGAGGAAGGGGCCTGCAGGTCTTGATGGAGAGAGGGAAGTCAGGGAAGGCTTCTCAGAGGAGGGGCTGTTTGTGCTGTCAAGAGGATGAGCTGTCATTCAAGTCATGTATTAGGCCATTATCACGTTGCTATAAAGAAATACCTGAGAATGGGCAATTTATATGAAAGAAAGGTATAACAGGCTCACAGTTCTGCAGGCTTTATAGGAAACATGGTGCTGGCATTTGCTTGGCTTCTAGGGAGGGCTAAGGAAGCTTACGCTCATGGTGGAAGGCAAAGGGGGAGTAGGCACATCACATGGTGAAAAGGAGAGATAATTAAGAGGGAGACGCCACACACTTTTAAATGAGCAGATCTCACGACAACTCACAATCATGAAGACAGCACCAAACCATGAGGGATCCACCCCTATGATCCAAACACCTCCCATCAGGCTCCACTTCCCACACTGGGAATTACAATTCAACGTGAGATTTGGTAAGAGGGGCCACAGATCCAAACTATATCATTCTGCCCCTGGCCCCTCCCAAATCTCATGTTTAAGTCCAAAGTCTCATCTGAGATGAGGAAAGTCCCTTCCGCCTGTGAGCCTCTAAAATCAAAGGCAAGTTCTTTACTTCCAAGATACAATGGGGATATAGTCATTGGGTAAATATTCCCATTCCAAAAGTGAGAAATTGGCCAAAAGAAAGGGGCTACAGGCCCCATGCAAGTTCAAAACTCAGCAGAGCAGTCATTAAATCTTAAAGCTCCAAAATAATCTTCTTTGACTCCATGTCCCATATCCAAGGCACACTGGTGCAAGGGGTGGGCTCTTAAGGCCTTGAGCAGCTCCACCCCTGTGGCTTTTCAAGGTACAGCTACCCCTGGCTGGTCTCATGGGCTGGGGTTGAGTGCCTGTGACTTTTCCAGGCACAGGGTATAAGCTGCTGGTGGATCTACTATTCTCATGTCTGGAGGATGTGGACCACTTCTCACAGTTTCACTAGGCAGTGCCCCATTGGAGACTCTGTGTGGGGGCTTCAACCTCACATTTCCCCTTGGCACTGCTCTAGTAGAAGTTCTCTGTGAGAGCTCCACCCCTATAGCAGGCTTCTGCCTAGACACTTAGGTTTTCCATACATCCTCTGAAATCTAAGCAGAGGCTGCTAAGCCTCAACTCTTTTACTCTGTGAACCTGCAGGCTTAACACCACATGGAAACTGCCAAGGCTTATGGTTTTCATTCTCCAGAGCAGTGGCTTGAGCTGTGTCTGGGCCCTTTAGAGCCACAACTGGGGCCAGAGCAGCCAGGATGCAGGGATCAGTATCCTGGGGGCCTGTGGGGCAGTGGGGCCCTAGCCCTGACTCACAAAACCACTCTTTCCTCCTAAGGTTCTGGGCCTGTGATGGGTGAGGCTACCCCAAAGGTCTCTGAAACACCCTCAAGGCCTTTTCCCCATTGTCTTGGATATTAGCACTTGGCTCCCTTTTAGTTATGCAAATATCTCTAGCAGGTAGTTGCTCCACAGCCTTCTTGAATTCCTCTCCCAAAAAAACTTTTTCTTTCTTTGCCATATGACTAGGCAGCAAATTTTCCAAACTTTTATGCTGTGCTTCCCTTTTAAATATAAAATACAACTTTAAGTCATTTCTTTGCTCCTGCATCTGAGCATAGGTTGTTAAGAAGCAGCCAAACCACTTCTTGAACACTTTGCTGCTTAGACATTTATTCTATCAGATACCCTAGGCCATCACTCTGAAGTTCAAACTTCCACAGATGTTTAGGGCATGGACACAATACAGCTATGTTTTTCACTAAGGTGTAACATGCATGACCTTTGCTCCAGTTCCCAATGAATTCCTCATTTCCATCTGAAACAAGCCTGTCATTCATCAGCCTGGCCTTCATTGTCCATATTTCTATGATAACTGTGATAGAAATATGGATAGTGAAGACCAGGTTGGTGATGCTTGAGTAAGTCTCATCTTCCCAGCTGGATGGAAACCCCTTTGCTAAATTTCATCTATCTGAAATGGTCTTCAATGTCCTTCAAATGTCCCCAGGGCTCACGTCTCACCTTCTTCAGAGTTGATCAAGGTCACCCTACACTAAGGCCTTCCCTGACCACACTATTTAAATGAACCTCCCTCTCCCCAACATATACATCCAGCTCTGGTACTCTCTGTCCCTCTTCCTTCATGAAACTATAAACAAATCTCTTCTATTTTTCTCCCTAGCTCCTATCATCATGTAATATACTATGTGTTTTCATTTGCTTATTGTATGACTCCCTCTTCTACAATGTAAGCTCCAGGAGGGCAAGGATTCAAGTCTATTTCATAAAATGTTGCAACTCTGATGCCCACAACAGTGCATAAGGCACCTAGCAGGTGCCTAATATGTGACTGTTAATCTAGTGACATGAATGAAGGTAACAAAGTTATTTTATGTCATTTCCCATAAAATAGCTTTGCAGTGCAGTGCCTCTGCATAGGATCTAATCCAATGTTAGCAGTGGTCTCCATGCCCCTTGAAGAACTGGATAAACCAGACCCTTGGTTTCTCTATCCCTGTCATTCAAAGAGCCCTATCTGTGATTGCTGAGAACTGCTGGGGCTTCCTTCTGCACACCTCTCCCTGTGTCTGGGTCCTGCCCCTCTTGGGCTGCCTCAGTCTAATTGATTCTCATCAGATCAGACATGGAAATCCACAGGTTCTCAAGGGCCTCCACAAAAAATGTCCACTTGCACCAAGGAGTTTGTGAGCAGAGAAGGTTGCTGGAATATTGGGGGAAGGCTGGGGTTGGCCGCCTTCCTCATCAGTCCCAGAGGTTTTGGTCTCCTGATGATTTGCCACTGCCCACCCCTCTCTGCTTCCTTCTCTTTCCAGTTGCTGCCACCTTCCTTCCTGGGGCTCAGCAAGTCAGCTCTGCCCACACCCAGAGCCTCTGAGGCCTCCTCTTTAACCCTCAAGCAGTTCTAATCAGAGCATTCCTCCAAACGGGAGCACTTCACTTTCTAAGAGGAATTCCAACATCATTAATTTACAGCGGGTTTGGTTTTTATTTTGTGTCTATTATTTGCATTATACAGAGACAGAAGAAACTGGCCTCAGAGATGATAAGCAAAACACAAGGTTACATAGCTCATCAAAAGCAGTTTCCCTAGCTACAAAGAATAAATCAAAGAAAACCCACCCCTGTACCCATACCAACTATCTGCCTTCTCCCTGCCTCCCTCCCAGGCAAACTGCTTCAAAGGAACGACTTTGCCTACCCTTTCTTTTTCCTCACCTCCCACTCACATGCCTCCAACCATCCAACCTGGCTTCAGTCCAATCACTCCCAAGAAAAAGCTCCCACGGACGTCAACAGTGACTTCTTGGTGCTGTATCCCATGGGGATTTCTCAGGTTCAAAACACTAGTCTTTTCAGCAATTTGACACTTTCAGTGATAAAACCTTGTGCCACCCCCACTCCATCCTCTCTCAGTGAACTCCAGTGCATCCTTCACTCTCTGCTCAAGTGTCACTTCCTCAGGGAAGCCCTCCCTGACTTCCCAGGGTAGGTCAAGTTCTATTGTATATGCTCTCATATCTCCTATGCCCAGCAGTATCCGGCATGGAGTAGGTACTCAATGAACACCTGTTAAATGAATGGAGTGAATGAATGGATCTGTGTTTACTTCTTTCAGAGCCTTACAGTTTCACATTCATTAGCACATGTCTCCCCCACTAGGCGGTAGATGCCCAGAGAACAGGATCCATGCCTGGTTTTCCCTGTATCATATTTCTGGCACCCACCCCAGGGCCCAACACATGGAGGAATCTCCCCCATATGTGCCACATGGAAGAGCTGGGATTCACACCCAGGTTGCCGGTTCCAAAGCCTCTGCACTCAGCAACTACTGGTTGATTGACGGACGGTAGGTGACCCCTAGCCGTCTCTACTAACGCAGCCTTCTGAAATTTTAATGTGCACAAGAATCACCTGGAGAACTTGTTAAAATATAGATTCTGATCAGTAGGTCTGAAGTGGGTCCCAAGATTCTGCATTTCTAACAAGCTCCCAGGAGATGCTGACAATGGGGTCTGTGGACCCCGCTTTAAGCAGCAGGGGTAAATACAAGGTGCTGATCTGTAAACAGAGCATCGTGGGCATCCCAGAATTACAGCAAAGAGTAGGGGGCAGGGCAGCAGGCTCCGAATCCACAAAGGCTGCCAAATAGTGCCTGAAATCAGAATCAATGATATGTCTCTCAGATATATGCCACAGTATCCCTTATTCTGGCTAGGACGAAAAAAATGCTTTCATTTAAAAGCATTAGTGAATTCATAGTAACTTTCCATTGTTATGCATTTAATCAACTGACTGATAGGTACTAAACATATAGGGATGGTGGATAGGAAATCTAAGGGACCTTTTAACATTAGGAAAATGTTGGGAGGCGATAGGACTTTAAGACCTGCCTGGACGATGAGGTGGCCTTGTGTCCTGCTCTTTTCAGGGGCCAATTGGCTGGAAACATAGAAGAGCACCCTGTGGGGACTGATGAAAAAGACAGACAGAGACGGATGGACAGAGAAACAGAGAGAGAGAGGCACAGGCACAGGGGACAGAGACCTGAGGTGGAGGCTGGAAGCAGGGCAAAGGCCACTGTCCCTCCAGGATGCTCTCTGGGTTGGCATGGCAGCAGTCAACATTCGTGTCAATAGCTGACCCATATTTAATTAACAAAAAGAAAACAAGAAGATGGGAGGGAAAGGAGGAGGGCAGAGCCTGGCTGGCTCCTCGCCTGGCATTGCAGGGATTAATGGGCCTTTCTCACTGGGCAATGGATGCTGGCAGAGAGCAAGAGACACCAGACACGTAAGAGTTCTTCTCAGGCAGCCGCCTGCTCCCAGCACTAAGTAGGGGTAGACTTTCCTTCAGAAGAGTAAGGCCAGGGCAGGGCCTGCACGGTGTAGGGGCTCCGTAAACACACATTTCTGCAGTGACAGCAGCAGCAGCAATGCACTGATGATGACCATCATTACTCTAGGCCAGGCACCCTGCCACACTCTTTGCACGTTACTTTATCTAATCTGAACGAGGACACTATGAAGTAAGTGATAGGATTATTCCCATTTCCAAGATAAGAAAATTGAGGCTTGGAGAGGTTGAATAACTTGTCGAAGGTCACATGGCTCCTTAAGTGGCTGTAATAGTCTGTACATTAATGACCTTGGTGTGGCCCCCTCCCCTTGAATCTAAGCTAGCCTTGTGATGTGCTTTAACCAGTACAATACAATACAATACAATACAATACAATACAATACAATACAATACAATACAATACAATCAACACAGTACCAATACAATGTGGCAGCGCCCCACTAAGCCTTAAGAAAGTCTACAGCTTCTGCTTTGTGCTCTTGGGAGCCCTGAGTCGCCATGTAAAAGATCTAGCTATCCTGCTAAAGAGACCACATGGAAAAGAACATGGAGAACATGGAAAGAGAGAAAGGCCCAGCCAAGCCAGCAGTCCCAGCTGAGCTCAGTACACTGAAGACCACCAGACCAGCAAGATCAGCAGAATAGTCACCCAGCTGAGCCCAATCCAGATGACAAAATCATGAGCTACTAAAGTGGTTGTTCTTTTAAGTCACTCAATTTTGGGGTAGTTTGTTTTGGAGCAAGAGGCAATTAACACAAAAAGGTTCCACTGAGTGATTGGCAGGATTGGCCTGCCCTTCTGCCCAGCCTCACCACCAGCTACATCCCTTCTTCTCACAACAGTGAGTAAGGATCTCCAGCTTACAAACGTGCTCTCGTTTCTCTACCTGGTTGCAAAACACATTTCACCAAAATATGACTGTACTGCCAAAAGTGAATAAGAATAAGATACTCTGTTTCCACCTGCCCCTGCCTAGCCCAATCCCCAACCAGGTCTTGCCTGGATGAGTGTAGTAACTTCCTAAGAGGTCTCACCCTTCTCACCTCTTGCTCTCTCCCATCCATTCTTCCTTGCATCTGATCATGTTTTCTTTTTCTTACCTGGCCCATAAGGTTTAGCAAGACCAAGTCCCATCCATCCTACACACTAGCCCATCTACTGCCCTCCTTTCTCCTCATTCTCCAAACGCCTCTGGTTCCTCTCTGTTCTTGGAGTACACTAAGACCTTACCCACCTCATGAGCATCCCAAACATGGTTCCTTCTGCCTAGAATGCTCTTCTCCCCTTCACCCAAGGCTAATTTCTACTCAGCCTTCAGTACCTTAGGTTTCTTTCCCATGAGAGAGAGGTGAGGTATATTTTACATAAAATAAAATGCATAGATCTTAAGTGTATCATTTGGTGAATTTTGACAAATATTTATACCCACATTACCATCACCCAAATGAAGAAATATAGAATGCTTTCATCAACCTTCACCCAAATCAAGATATGCAGAATATTTCTACCACAGCAGAAAGTTCCCTTGTGTTCCTTTCCCATCAATGTCCTACCACCAGGCGATCACTGCTTTGTTTAGCTACCACTATGAGATTAGTGCTGCCTGTTCTTGAACTTCATATAAGTGGAATCAATTCGTATTTGCTCTTTTGTGATTGGCAGCTTCTTTCACTCCACATAGTGCTTTTGAGATTAATTCATGTCATGGTGTGTATCTGCAATTTGTTTCTTTTTGTTGCTGAGTAGTATTTCTTTTTTTGTTTTGTTTTGTTTTGTTTTTGAGATGGAGTTTCACTCTTGTTGCCCAGGCTGGAGTGCAATGGCACAGTCTGAGCTCACTGCAACCTCTGCCTCCTGGGTTGAAGTGATTCTCCTGCCTCAGCCTCTCAAGTAGCTGGGATTGCAGGAACACGCCACCACGCCCAGTTAATTATTATTATTATTATTTGTATTTTTAGTAAAGACAGGGTTTTGCCATGTTGACCAGGCTGGTCTTGAACTCCTGACTTCAGGTGATCCACTTGCCTGGGCCTTGCAAATTGCTAGGATTACAGGCATAAGCCACCGCACCCAGCTAGTATTTCATTACATTAATGTACAAGACTTAATTTGTTCATTCATTCTCCTGTTGATAGACATTTGAAGTTGTTTCCATTTTTGGAAGTTGATAATCCAATTGCTATGAACATTTGCATACAAAGCTTTTATATGAACACATATTTTCATTTATTTTGTGTAAATACCTAGGAATTGATAAATCAAAGAGTAGGTATACATCCAACTCTATTAGAAACCAACAGTTTCCCAAAGTGGTTGTATTGTTTTACATTCTACAGGCAGCATATGGGTTCCTGTTCCTCCCAAATTGTTGCCAACACTTGGCATTTTCGGTCTTTTTAATCTATCCATTCTGATGAGCATGCAGTGGTATTGCCTTGTGCTTTCAATTTTAATTTCACTACTGACTAATGATATCGAACACTTTTTCATCTGCTCATGGCCATTCAAATATGCCCTTGTGTGAAGTATTGGTTTGGATCTTTTGCTTATTTTTAATTGTATTGCTTGTCTTTTTATTGATCTATAGGTCTGTTTTCATGTTTTTCTCAGGAAAGTTCTCCCTGAAGGCATCCTTCCTCCCACCTGCCATAAACACAGACACACACACACACACCACACACAAGACACACATGTAACATAGACATACAACACACACATCTCACATACACACATCACAGACACATACCACTTACACACACATCACAGACACACACTTACGCACATACCCCATATACACACATGCCACACAGACACATACCACATAAACACATACCACATATATACACATAACACATATATACACATACCAAATACACACACATACACCACACACACACACCTCACAACAGACATGACACACATGCACACAGTTAAGTCCCTCTGTTGTAGGCTCTCACAACAGAGAGCCTGGGAGAGGTCTTGTGCTTCTGCCAGCTGTGCCTTGCACAGTTGAAACACATCACACAACCATGCCTTGTACAGTTGAAACACGTCATCCCATGGCCTTCCCTTGCACAGTTGAAGCACATTGTTCCACAGTCTTGCCTCGCACAGCTGAAACACATTGGCTCATGGTCTTGCCTCACACAGCTGAAACATGTTGGCCCACAGCTAACATTGCTGCTCCTGCAAACTCTGCTCCCCGAAGGTTTGAACCACATCTGCCCTGTTCACTGCTCGTTCTCCAGCTCTGAGCACAGTCCTGGGCACAAAGAAGACCTCAATAATTTTTTTCACTGAACAAATATTTATTGAATGCCTAGAATGCACCAAACAATATTCTTGGTGCTGGAGGTACCACAGCGAAGAAGACAAGTGAACCCCTTGCTCTCATGAGGCTGCTATTCTGGGATAGGAATGGGAATGGGGTAGGCAGAGTCATTGAACAAGTAAACCCAAGTGTAGTAAGTGCATGGAGTTGAATAATCAAACTGATGAAGGAGGCTAGAGAGTGGTGCTGAATGCAATGACTGGGGAAGCCTCGTTGGTAAGGCAACAAGTGAGCAGGTTGCTCACTTGCTGAGTGATGAAGATGAGGAAGGGAGCCATGCGGATGCCCGGGCAGGAACTGGCACGATGGATGCACGGCAAGGGGGTTTGCAGGGCAGGAGGGAAGAGAGGGTGGGGAGTAAAGCAGACAGACAGGAGGGGCAGGGGCCGGGGGCAGATGAGGTAGAGCTGTTTCTCAAACTTTTCACCACAATTCAGTGAAAGAAACGCACACATGCACATACACAAACAGGCACTCAAACAATTTCCTATAGAAATTCCTATCTTTACTATACATGTAATATTCTCTAGTATCTTTCTTTCTCACTCTTCTGTTCCATTTCATATAATGAAAATGCTGATCATGATGCACTAGATTGATTTCACGACCCACTGACAGATTTCTGTGTACATGTCAAAGATTTTGGGTTTTACTCTGAGATGAGACGTGCTGGAGGATTTTGAACAGAGGAGTGACATGACCTAATCGATGACTAATTTTTAACTTAAATTTTATTTTTTAAACTGTATAGTGGAAAATTGTAAACAGACACAACAGAGATAATGTAGTAATATATCCCCTTCATTCAGCTTCAACAATTATCAACATTTTGCCAACTTGCTTCACTATTCCAGTCCACTTTTTTGGCTGAAGTATTTTAAAACAAATCTCAGACGTCTTATTATTTTGCCTTCATATACTTCCATATATATTTCTAACAAATGACAGTAATACCTTTTTCATACCCACTAAAAATAACAGCAATTGTTTAATACCTTCTATTACCCAGTTGATGATCAATTTTTCTTGATTGGCTCAAAATGTGTTTTTACAGTTGATTGCTTTGAATCAGGTGATAAACAAGGTTCATATATTGCTTTTGGTTGGGATTTCTCTTACGTTTCTTTCCTCCCTCGTCTCGCTTCCTTCTCTCTTCTTCCTCCCTTCTTCCTCTGATACTGAGGTTTAAGCTACGTAAAATTAAAATGAACAATTTGGGCAGGGCTCAGTGGCTCACGCCTGTAATCCCAGCACTTTGGGAACCTGAGGCTAGAGGATCCCTTGAGCCTGTGAGTTTGAGACCAGCCTGGGAAATATAGTGAGACCTCTTCTCTACAAGGAATTTAAAAGTAGCCCCAGCTACTCAGGAGGCTGAGGTGGGAGGATCGCTTGAGCCCAGGACTTCAAGGTTGCAGAGCTATGAGTGTGCCACAGCACTCCAGCCTGGGAAACAGTCAGACTCTGTCTAGAAAAAGAAAAAAAAATTGATGGATATTGGCAATTGATACAGCCCATGCAACAACCACCCAAATCAACATATAGAACACTTATCACCTCAAAAATTTTTCTCATGCCTTTTGCCAATCAATCCATGTCACTCTCACCCAAAGGCAACTGTTTTCTTCGCTTCTACTACCATACATTTTCTTTGCCTGTTCTTGAAGGTGGTAAAAATGGAATCATACTGTGTTTTATGTCTGGACTTATTTGTTCAAATAAGGTCCGTGAGATTCTTCGCCATTGTTGTGCATCCATAATTCGTTTTTTAAATCACTGAGTTGTATTTCATTGTATGAATGTACTGCAATTTGATCAACTACTCTCCTGTTGATGGACATCTGCGTCGTTTTCAGTTTGAGGCTACTAAGAATGAGGCTGCTTTGAACATTCTTGTACCAGTCTTTTGAGGGTTTATGTTTTCATATTTTTGGGTTAAACTTTGTTGTTGTTTTTTCAAGACAGTTTGGCTCTTCTGGGCCTTTACTGTTTTCATATAAATCTTAGAAACAGCTTGCCAATTTCTATTAAGAATTCTGTTGTGATTTTGATTGGAATTGTATTGAATGTATAGATTGATTTGGGAAGAATGACCATCTTAAAAATGTTGACTCTTCTAATCCATAAGCGGGGCATTCTCTCTCCATCTAATTATGTCTTCCTTAATTTCTCTCAGCAGTGGTTTGAGTTTTCAGTATAGAAGTCTTGTATGTCTTCAGAAAAACTTATTCCTAGATATTTCATTTTTTCTATGCTATTTTAAATGGTATTGCTTGTCAATTTTATTCTCCAATTGCTCATATTAATATATAGAAATCAGTTGAATTTTGTATATTTGCTCTTGTAACCTAAAATCTTGCTAAATTTACATATTAATCATAGGAATTATTATATAAACTTATTAGAATTTTCTACATTTACAATCACATTATCTGTGAATAAAAACAGCTTTATTCTTTCTTTCCAACTTTTATAGTATTCATTTCTTTTTCTTGCCTTGTTGCACTGGCCAGGCTTCGAGTGCAAGGCTGAATACAGAGGTAAAAGTAGGAATTCGGTTTTATTTATTTATTTATTTATTGAGACTAAGTCTCACTCTGTCACCAGGCTGGAGTGCAGTGGTGTCATCTCAGCTCACTGCAACCTCCACCTCCCGGGTTCAAGCTATTCTCCTGCCTCAGTCTCCCAAGTAGCTGAGATTACAAGCACCCGCCACCACGCCCAGCTAATTTTTGTATTTTTAGTTGATATGGGGTTTCACCATATTAGCCAGAATGGTCTCAATCTCTTGACCTCAAGACCTACCCGCCTTGGCCTCCCAAAGTGTTGGGATTACAGGCGTGAGCCACCGCGCCCAACCAGAATTCTTACCTTCTTTCCAATATCATAATAATAATAAAAGCATAATAATATGTCACCATTAAGTATGATTTACCTTCAGGTTTTTCATAGATGCCCTTTATTAAATTGAAAAAGTGTGTTGTTTTGATCTTTAAAATGCCGCATTTTTTTTAAAATCGAGAATGGAGGTTGTGTTTTGTCAAATGCTTTTCCTGCATCTATTAAGATGACCAAGTGTTTTTTCCTTCATCATTCTGTTATGTGATCAATTATATTAGTTGATTATTAAATGCTAAATCAACCTTGTGTTCATGGAGTAAACCCACTTGGTATTAAAACATTATCATTTAAAAATACGGTTGAATTTGGCTGGCCATTGTGGCTCACACCTGTAATCCCAGCACTTTGGGAGGCTGAGGCGGGCAGATCACCTGAGGTCAGGAATTCAAGACCAGCCTGGGCAACATGGTGAAACCCCGTCTCTACTAAAAATGCAAAAACTAGCCAGGTATAGTGGCAGTCACCTGTAATTCCAGCTACTCGGGAGGCTGAGGTGGGAGAATCACTTGAACCCGGGAGGCGGAGGTTGTAGTGAGCCAAGATGGCGCCACTGCACTCCAGCCTGGGCAACCGAGTGAGACTCCATCTCAAAAATAAATAGATAAATAAATAAATAAATAAATAAATAAATAAATAAATAAAATATTGCTGAATTAAATTTGCTGGGCTTTTTAAAGGGAGTTCTTCTGTCTGCGTTCATGAAGGAGGTTGGTTTATAATTTTCTCCTCGTTTGAAATTGCTTTGCAGGTTTTGGTATCAGGGATATGCTGACCTCATGAACTGAGATGGGGAGAATTCCCTCATGATCCATCCTTGTAAGATGGGTATTTTTTTCTTCCCTAAAAGTTTGAGAGAATTTGCTAGTAAAACTATCTGAAACTCTTATTCTTTATGTGGGGGAAGGGTTTATTTTTAAATTCAATTTCTATAATTGATGTAAGACTCTTCGGGTTTTCTGTTTTATTGTGACAAATTGTGGTTTTCAAGGTATTCATCCATTTCACCTAGGTTGTCAGATGTATTGGCATACAATTTTCATAATATTACCTTATCATCCCTTTATTGTCCATGGGATCTGTAGTGATGATGTCTCTTTAGTGCCTGATATTTACAATTTGTTTTTTCTTTCTTTTTTTAATCAGTCTTTCTGGGCTTCATCAATTTTATTAGCCTTTTTAAAGAACAAACATTTTGCTTCTTGGTCATCCTTATTGATTTTATCTATCGCTTTTCCATTGTCTGTTTCACGGATTTCTGCTTGTGTTTTTATTATTTCCAACCTTGTAGTTTGGGTTTAATTTGCATTTTTTCCTTTCTTCCTCAGGTAGATTTTAAACCATTCTTCCTTTCTATTATGAGCATTTAAAGCTGTAAATTTCCCTTAGAACCCTCAAATAGCTTCATTTCACAACGTGTGATATATTGTGTGTTCATTTACATTCAATTTAAAATATTTTCTAGGGATTACATCAAGCTAAAAAGCTTCTGCACAGCAAAAGAAACAATCAACAAAGTGAAGAGACAGCACACAGGGTAGAAAAAAAACTTTCAAACTATCCATCTGACAAGAGATTAATAACCATAATATGTAAGGAGCTCAGATAACTCAATAGTGAAAAGAAAAGAAAAGAAAAGATAAAAACACCAAAGAATTTGATTTAAAAATGGGCAAAAAATCTAATATTTCTCAAAAAAAGACATACAAATGGCCAACAGGTATATGAAAAAATGCTCAACATTACTAATCATCAGAGAAATGCAAATCAAAACTACCACCAGATATATTCTCATCTCATTTAAAACGGCTTTTATATAAAATATGGGGAGTAACCAATGCTGGTAACAATGAGGAGAAAGGGGAATGCTCATACACTGTTGGTGAGAACATAAATTATCATAACAGTGGAAAACTGTATGGAGGTGCTACCAAAAACAAAAAATAGAAATACCATACCATCCAGTAATTCGCTACTGGAATTCAAAAGAAAGAAAATCAATATATCAAGGAGATTCTGCACTCCCATGTTTTTGCTGTACTGTTCACAATAGTCAAAATTTGGAATCAACCTAAGTGCCCATCAACGGATGAATGGATTTTTTTAACGTATATATACACAGTAGAATATTATTCAGCCATTAAAAAGAATGAATCCTCATGATTTGCAGCAACATGGATGGAAATGGAGATCATTAGGTTAAGCAAAATGAGCAAAACACAGAAAGACAAATATTGAACATTCTCACTCATATGTGGGAGCTAAAAATTAGATCTCATGAAGATAGAGAGTAGATTGAATCTAATCAATTTCTATAATTGATATGATTCTTCAGATATCCCAGAGGTTGGGAAGGAAAGGATGGGGTATGAAGAGAGGTTGATTCATGGGTACAAATATATAGTTTGATAAAAGAAGTAAGATCTAGGGTTTGTTAGATCAGCAGGGTAAATATAGTTTACAATAGTCAGTTATATATTTCAAAATAGCTAAAAGAGAATAATTCAAATGTTTCTAGCATAAATAAAAGACAAATATTTAAGGTGATAGATACTCCAATGACACTGATTTGATATTTACAAGATACATGAATCTATTAAATTATCACATGCATCCTGAAAATGTGTACATCTATTATGTATAAATAAAACATTAAATTAAGAAAAGAAAAATAAATAAATAAAACATGTTCTAATTACTTTTTTTTTCTCTGACCGGTGGTTTATTTGAAAACATATTGCTTAATTTCCAAATATTTGCAGATTTTTCTAGAATTTTGTTATGGATTTATGATTTAATTATATAATACTTAGTGAACATAATTTGTGATATTTCTTTTTTTAACCTTTGAGATTTTTTTTTTCTTGATCCAGCACATGGTCAGTCTCGGTGAACGTACACATACATTTGAAAACCATGTGCATTCTATAATTGTTGAGTGTAGCTGTGTTCTATAAACATCAACTATATCAAGTTGTTTAATGACATCGTTTAAGCCTTATGTGTCCTTTATTGATGTTCTGCCTATTTGTCATGGCAATGAATGATTAAGGGGCACTAAAATCTTCAACTATGATTGTGTATTTGTCTGTTTCTCTCTTTATTTCTGTCATTTTCTGCTGCACATATTTTTAAGTTCTATAATTAGCTACACACAGGTTTAAGGCTCTTAGATGGTTTTGACAAAGTCACCCCTTATTAATATTATTAATATGAAATGTAAGGTTACGAAATCCTGCTAATACTTCTCATTTGGAAGTCCACTTTGATAATCTTTTTTTTTTTTGAGATGGAGTCTCCCAAGGTGGAGTGCAGTGGCATGATCTCGGCTCACTGCAACCTTCTCCAGGGTTCAAGCGATTCTCTCGCCATGGCCTCCCGAGTAGCTGGGATTACAGGTGTGTGCCACCACTCCTGACTAATTTTTGTATTTTTAGTAGAGATGGGGTTTCGCCATGTTGGCCAGGCTGGTCTCGAACTCATGACCTCAAGTGATCTGCCCGCCTCAGCCTCCCAAAGTGTTGGGATTACAGGAGTGAGTGATCACCTGGCCTTCTTTGATAATCTCTAGGCACAACAGCTTTCTGATACTTGGTGTTTGCATTGGGATATCTCTTACTGTTTTCAACTTGTTCATGATTTTATATTAAAGTATGTTTCTTAAGATATACAAAGGGCCAACAAACATATGGAAAAATGCTCAACGTCACTAATCATCAGGGAAATACAAACTAAAACCACAAGGAGACACCACTTTACTCCTGCAAGAATGGCCATTATTAAAAAGTAAAAAAACAATGGATGTTGGCATGGCTATGGGGAAAAGGGAACGCTTATATACACTGCTGGTGGGAATGTAAATCAGTACAACCTCTATAGAAAACAGTGTGGAGGTTCCTTAAAGAGCTAAAAATAGATCTATCATTGGTTCCAACAATCCCACTACCAGGTATCTACCCAAAGGAAATGAAGTTATTATATGAAAAAGACACTTGCACATGTATGTTTATAGCAGCACAATTTGCGATTGCAAAGATGTGGAACCAACCTAAGTGCCCATCAACTAATGAGTGGATAAAGAAAGTATGGTACATATACACCATGGACTCAGCCATTAAATGGATGGAAACAATGGTATATATACACCATGGACTACTACTCAGCCATTAAATAGATGGAAATAATGTATTTGGCCGGGCGCCGTGGCTCACACCTGTAATCCCAGCACTTTGGGAGGCCAAGGCGGGTGGATCACAAGGTCAGGAGATCGAGACCATCTTGGCTAACACGGTGAAACCCCGTCTCTACTAAAAATACAAAAAATTAGCCGGGCGTGGTGGCGGGCGCCTGTAGTCCCAGCTACTCGGGAGGCTGAGGCAGGAGAATGGCGTGAACCCGGGAGGCGGAGCTTGCAGTGAGCCGAGATCATGCCACTGCACTCCAGCCTGGGCGACAGAGCGAGACTCCGTCTCAACAACAACAACAACAACAACAACAACAACAAAAGAAATAATGTATTTTGCAGCAACTCGGATGGAGCTGGAGGCCATTATTCTAAGCGAAGTAACACAGGAGCGGAAAACCAAAAACTTTATGTTCTCACTTATAAGTGGGAGCTAAGCTATGAGTACATGAAGGCATATGAGTTGTATGTAGGCTTTATAAAGAGACTCAGAAGGGGAACGATGGAAGGGGGACCAGGGATTGGAAAAAACTACGCATTATGTACAATGTATACCGCTTGGGTGACCAGTGAACTAAAATCTCAAAATTTGCCACTATATAATTTTTTTTGAGATGGCATCTCACCCTGTAGCCCAGGCTAGAGTGCAATGGCATGATCTCAGCTCACTGCAACCTCCGCCTCCTGGGTTCAAACGATTCTCCTGCCTCAGCCTCCCGAGCAAGTGGGATTACAGCTACCCGCCACCCTGCCCAGCTAATTTTTGTATTTTTAGTAGAGACAGGGTTTCACCATGTCGGCCAGGCTGGTCTCGAACTCCTGACCTCATGATCCGCCCACCTCAGCCTCCCAAAGTGCTGGGATTACAGGTGTGAGCCACCGCGCCCGGCCTCTATAATTTATCTATGTAACAAAAAAACCACTTGTACCCCAAAAGCTATTGAAATAAAAAATAATAATAAACCATGCTTCTTAGAAACAGCATGTAGTCAGACCTTGCTTTTATCCATTCTGATAATTTCTGTCTTTTAATTTGAGAATTAGGTCCATTTATAATTTTAAAAATTATTCATATTGTTAAATTTAAGTCTACTTTCAATATTTGCTTTCTCATTGTCCTATTTTTTGTTCCCCTCTTCTCCACTCCCTGCCAGCTTTTTGGATTAATTATTTTTCAGTATTCTATTTCATCTCTTCCACTGATTTTTTTTCAGTAATACCTTTGTGTTAATATTTCATGGTTACTCTAGGGTGCAATATGCATCTTCAACTTAACACAGTTTGTCTGTAAATAATGTTGCACTATTTTACAAACAACGTAAAACTCTTACCGCTGCATAATGTGCCCTCACTGCTATATATTTTACTTCTACATAAGGTAAAACCCCACAATACATTGTTATAATTTGTACTTTTGACAATAGTCTTCTACAGAAGTTTAGAAATATATTTACATAACACATAAATATAATTTTTAATATCATCAGGCTTATACTTTTTGATACTCTTCATTTCTTCCCACAGGCATTATTCTTCATTTCTTCCCATCTGGTATTATTTCCCTTCTACCCTGAAAAACTTCTTTTAGCATTTTTTGTCATTTTTTGTAATCCAAATCTGCAGGAGAAAATTTTCTCAGCTTTTGTCATCTGAAAACATTTCTGTTTCACCTCTGTTTTTTTAAGAATATTTTCACTGGGCATCAAATCCTAGATTGAAAATTCAGTTTTTGAAAATTCAGTTTTTATTTTTCACACTTTAAAGATGTCATTCATTGTCTTCTGGCCTCTAATTTTTGTGTGTGTGTGGAGTCACTCATCATTCTCATTCTTATTCCCCTTAAAATATAATTTTAGTTGGTGGCTTTAAAGTTTTTATTTCTCTTTAGGTTTTCAACAGTTTGATTATGATATGGGTGGGTATGGTTTTGTACATGTTTACACTGATTAGAGATTACTAAACCTCTTGAATCTATAGGTTAATGTCCTTAACCAATTTTAATATATTCTTTCTTTTTTTTCTTTTTTTTTTTTTGAGACAAAGTCTCTCTCTGTCACCCAGGCTGGAGAGCAGTAGTACAATCTTGGCTCACTGCAACCTCCACGTCCAGGAGTCAAGTGATTCTACCATCTCAGCCTCCCAAGTAGCTGGGACTACAGGTGTGCACCACTGTACCTGGTTAATTTTTTGTATTTTTTGGAATGGACAGGGTTTTGCCATGTTGGCCAGGCTGATCTCGAACTCTTGGCCTCAAATGATCCACCCACCTTGGCCTCCCAAAGTGCTGGGAATACAGGCATGAGCCACCACGCCTGGCCCTCAAATATTCTTGACTATTATCTGCTCAAATATTTCTTCACTGCATTTTCTCTCCTCTTCTTCCGGGGCTCCAATTATATGTATATTAGGTCATATTGGTATTTTTCCCAGGGCCCAGATGATCTGTTAGTTTGTTGTCATGTTCTTAGTCAGGTGGTTTCTTCTGGCCCAACTTAAAGTTCACCAATCTTTTCTGCTATGGTGTCCAGTCTGCTATTAAGCCCATTCAGTGAATTCTTTATTTATGATACAGTAGTTTTCTGTTTTAGAATAACCATCTGAGTTTTTCAGTAGTTTGATGCTGAAATTCCCCATCTGTTCACGTATGTTGTTCACTTCTCAAACTGAATCCATTAAAATATCTAAAATTGTTACTTTAATATCTTTGTTGGCTTATCGTAACATCTGGAATATCCATGGATCTGCTTTAATGACTTTTTTCCCTTTTGATTATAGGTCACATTTCTTGCTTCAACAAGTGCTTTGTAATTTGTAATTATATTTCAGACATTGTGTATAGATGAACAGGAGAGTCTAAAGTATTAATAATAGAGTCTATATTACATATAGTATACCACATACTATATAATATTTCTATTATAGAATATAATAGAAATAATATAATATAATAAGATATAATATAATATAATAGAAAGCCACCATACTCACACAAAAGGAAGTAGAAAGTAGGAAGTAAGAAATATATATACTATATAATATAAATAAATACTATATAATTTCTACTATATAGTATATATGTATATATACTATATATACACCATATAATATGCATATAATATACATGCATTACTTAATCTATATATCATATATTATATATTATTTCTTATATATTATATATCATATATTATATAATTATATTACAATTATATATAATACATATATAGTAATATAGTCTAAAGTATAATTACTCACTGAAGTGAGAGGCTGAGTCAACTTATTCTGTGGTTGAGTTGAGTTGAGTCTCAGCTCTAGTGACAGCCAGTTCACTATGGACTTCAAATGTTTTGAGGGTTGGATCCCTGCAGCAGGATTCGGGATCTGAATTCCAGCAAGTCTTCTGAACCACAGCTGATCGCGCTCTGCTTTGGCTTTTGGGTCCACTGAGTTCGGCTTTCCCTCTGGGGTGATGTCTCTTCATTCCACTTCTCTGGCCATGTCCTCTCGCTGGCATCTGCCTTGCCCTTGGTGACATCCTGGAACACACCAAGGACATATCTCAGCTCTCCTGATTTGCCTCCACCATAGCCATACATTTGGAGGTAAAGGTGGGAATTGTGACTGGGATCCACGGGCTACAAATCTGTCATGTTGGCCTCTACATGACTATTAAAAGTTGATTACACTTTGGCAGGCTGAGGCAGGCAGATCACGGGGTCAAGAGATAGAGACCATCCTGGCTAACACGGTGAAACCCCATCTGTACTAAAATATACAAAAAGTTAGCCGGATGTGGTGGCACGCACCTGTGGTCCCAGCTACTCGGGAGGTTGAGGCAGGAGAATTGCTTAAACCCAGGAGGCAGAGGTTGCAGTGAGCCGAGACTGTGCCACTGCACTCCAGCCTGAGTGACAGAGTGAGACTCCATCTCAAAAAAAAAATAAAAAATAAAAAAGTTGATTATAGTTTGGCTTGTTTCTTTGTACCCCTATCCATGCTGGGTTTACCCCTCCTCTCACCACCCTCCAGTCATGAGTCTCTTCTGTCCTAGGAAGGGCTTGCAAATTTATGTCCTCAGCTCTCTGATGGATTTTAAAAGAGGTGATTTTGTAACTTATGTAGCTTGTTTTTGTTTGGGGGAAAGAAAATCAAAGTGATGGTCTCTTGTAATTTTCTGCATCCTAACTGATAGCAAAAATCCATTCTAACCAGAAGCAGATGTTCTAATAAGCAGTGATTAAGTGAATGTATGTTCCTTCTGCCCGGGCAGCTCCTGAGCCTCTTGTCTATCTGGAAGATGCTCCCTCAGCCTCCACATCTTCCTCCTTGAAGTCTTTCCCAATTTCCCCATAGCCTTGGGCACTTCTTATACTAGTCTCCTCTGTTCTTTGATCCTGCCTACATTAAAGCTATTTTTCTCAAAATATCATAATTGTTTTCATGTCTGTCTTCTCTGTTGAACTTTGAGTTCCTTGACAGCAAAAACCCTGTAGTTAATAAATTGTATACATATATACACATGCACCCAAATGCACACACACACGTGCATATATGTACTATATACATATACATACATTATCCACAGAATACACTCATCACTAAACCAAAATGTGCTTACTCAACAATTAACACGTGATTTCCATCTTTTGTGATCAAGTCCTCATGCCCTGTCTGACACATGGTAAGCGTGCAATACGTGTTTGTGGCGTTCATGAATAAATAAATAAAAGAGCAAACTCCTGCCTCTGTCCTGAAGCTTCATCGCCATTAGACATAGTTACTGCTGGCTCACGTGATCTTTTACTTTCTGCTTCGTTGGGAGGGGACTGAGTGAGTGGACAAGTGTTTATGTGCATATGCAAATTTAAAATTCAGCCTGATTATTCTAAGTTTGGGGTGTTTGCTTTGAAGTTACATTTTTGGCACCAAGAGCCAGTGTCCAGAGGTGGCACTAGGCAGAGGATTTGGAAATCTGCCCAAAGCTGGCCCATGGTTGGTTAAATCTACCCCTGACAGGAAACAGGGCTTTGAGAACTGAGCTGCTGTACCAGGAAATGGTCTTGAGCAAGTTTGGTGCTCTCTGTTTCTATTCTTAGAATTTCAGATCCAGGGCAGGATAAGGACATCAAGGGCATCTATTACAACTCTTTAACCAAATCAGATGCTTGAAAGTCCTCATATGTCTCCTCCGTCCCCAGAATCCTTCTTTCCAACACAAATGTTCAATTATGCATGAGACTGGAGTCAGACAGAGTTCCAATCTCATCTCTTAAACTCTCTGAGCCTCTGTTTTCCTATCTGTTAAATGAGTATACTAATGCCTACCACCCAGGATTATTTTGAGCACTCAGTGAAATCCTGTTTGCAACGTGTGAGCACCAGGTTTCTTCTCTTTCCTGGCATCTTCTACCCACCTCTGTGTGAGCATCTTTCCATCACCATCGGGAAAAGTCACCACTCTGGCCGAAAGGCAGAGTCAAGGCACAGTAGGGTGTTCGCTTTCTCCTTCTCCTTCTCCATCATCTCCAAAGTTGCACTCAGTCCAAGCCACCCTCAGCAGGGCAGGGCCTAGGGAAAGAAGAGGTGGGAGAGATTCATCACCAGGGCTGCTGGGAGCTTAGAGGTGACCACGGAGAAAGAAAGGAAGAGAGAGAAAGCAGACGGGAACAGGGAGCCACAGTACTCACACAGAAGGAAGCTGAAACAATGCTGCCCAGCAGAGGCCACAGACAGCCCCTGCCCCTGCCCTGGGCCTGGAGAACTGTGCCCAAGATCAGCTGTGCCTTCATGCAGCCAGGCCAGGCATACCAAGGTGGATGAATAAGTGGGCCAATTGCTGAAAGCATGGCCAGTAAAGACAGATTAACACAGTTTGATCATAAGAGAGAGATATTAGTCTGTTCTCACGTTGCTCTAAAGAACTACCTGAAACTGGGTAATTTATAAAGAAAAGAGGTTTAATTGACTCACATTTCTGCAGGCTGCACAGGAGGCATGGCTAGGGAGACCTCAGGAGACCTACAATCATAGCAGAAGGCAAAGTGGAAGCTGGCACGTCTTCCACGGCCAGAACAGGAGGAATAGAGCGAAGGAGAGGGTGCTACACACTTTTAGACAACCAGATCACTCACTATCATGAGAAGAGCAAGAAGAAAACCTGTCCCCAGGATCCACTCACTTCCCACCAGGCTTCTCCTCCAACACTGGGGATTACAATTTCTCATGAGATTTGGGTGGGGACACACATACAAACCATACCAAGAGGATTTCAGCGCAGCCACATGTCCATTTTTTTCATCTTTTTATCAGTGGGGAAGCAGGAATAAATGAATATGGCAGAGAATGTGAGGGAGTGAGAGCAGAAACTACAAGTGGAGAGTCCTGACCTCTCAACTTGGCAAGTATCATAATAATAAAGCCTGAACTTGGATTTATGAAACACCTACTAGGTGCCGGTCACATACAGACAGAATCTCCATTCTTCACATCAAGGTAGGTAGTATGCCCACAGTACAGATGAAAACACGTGTCGGTCATAACACTCCAGGATTTGCTCCTAGGAGTGTCTGATGCCACAAGGCAAACTCTTTTTACTAGATCAATCTGCCTGATCTTCAATCAGGTAAGCTTGGGTGGGTTAATACCTGTTCCAGTAACCAGGTATCTCTTTCCAAAGTCTTGTGGATGTCCCTATAGGATTGAATGTGACACGGAGGGGAGGAAAGTCAGGAAGAAGGGAGACGCGGGAGGGAGAGAGAGGGAGGGAAGACAGAGACAGAACACACATGGGTGTTTCTCTCCTTTCATAGTAATGGATAGTAATTCTGAGAAAGTTCCCTTTGCAGGATTCAGGCTATGTTTGGGAGTTTGTTTTCCCACTCTCTGCAAGAAAGTTAATCAATTTTAGAACCAGCCCCTTCTGTGCCAAGATGACAACTGGGAGAAAAGGGATTGGTTTTTTAGCTGCTGGGTTTGCTGGGCAGCCCCCCTCCCACTTCCATGGGGCCACTTATTGACATTGAAATATCTCGACAATAAGCAGCTATTGATGGCTCCTGAGGTCAATACCAAGATTCATTGACCCAGGCTGCAAATATGGAAGGCGGTGAGTCCAAGGTCACTATTACCTGAAGCGATGCAAAATAAATCTTGATAAGAACCAAAAATAGAAATCAATATGCATACTGTGGTATGCATTGCATTACCTCTCTCCAGCAGGAGGCTATTTTAGGAGGTTTCAGGGCTCTTCTGCCATCAGAAGCTGAGCTCAGGACTGGAGAGGAAGTAGGAATAGAAAATGATCCTTCTCTGGTTGCCCCAGTCAAGGAGAATGAGCAACCTACACCACCGGTAGGGATCAGCCTGGTCTCCACAGAGAACCTCAGCACCTCCGGTCACTCTTCCAACCTGGAGAAAGAGCAGAGTGAATTTCCAAACCGTATGTGCCATGATGGGTGAGGCAAGGTGGCCATTTCTTCAAAGCATACTTTAGTGAACAGTGCCAGGAGAAGCACCTTTGGGGTAATTAACATGACCTTCACCTTTTGGGGAAACTTCTGCTTCCAAAGAGGATGTAACCTGGTGAGGAAGGGGAGACCCAGGGCTCAACCAACTACTAAACCCAGGGTCGAGCAGGATTCACTGATACAGCTGGCTACCTAGTGACATATGCCTGCCTTTCACAAAGATTTCAAAGGGCTAAGTTGCCGTGATGTGACATATCCTCTCCTTTCAAGGCTATTTTTTTATAATTATTTGTTTAAGCTTAATTAACTTCTTTTCCAGTTACAAAAGAAATTCGTGTTCTTTGTAGAAAATGTCAAGCCTATTTATGATGATCCTTTTAATCTCACCCAGAGTGTTCATGCTGTCTGAAAAAGTGAGGAGAGTATGAGTTTTGAATTCAGACAGATCTGAGTTCTAGTTCCAGTTTTGCAATTTAATAGGCATATGGTCTCAGGCAAGTAAAGGAGTAATTTTCTGCTGCCCTTTTCTCACAATATAAACCTTCTTTGTGAAGTTGATGTAAAGCTTAGAAAAGGATTTATGTAAAGTCCCCAGCAAAATACTAATAGAGTAAACAAATGTCTGACAATTTTGATCATGAAACACACATTCACATAAAAATAAGTAACTTAAGAAACAGAAATGGGAACATAACTACTAAAGTAAAGATGATTCTTAAAATTGTAAGATAATATATACAACTTTATTCTAACAAATTTTAAATTCAGCAAGAAATAGATGACTCCTTAAGAAAAAGTACATGATCAAAATTGATTAAAGGAGAGGTATCAAATCAAGGTCTTAATGAATCAAGAACCAGTCAGAACGTAGAAATCATGCTAGGTATTTCAAACCAGGGGAGTTTAATACAGGAATTGGTTACATAGGTGATCATAGAGCGGAGAAACCCATTAGGGTTGCTTAGCAACAGTAGAAAGCTGTAAGAACAAAGGGTGGAGGCACTTATATCAGAGACCAGTTCAGTGGGAACTGGGCCCATTGGGGCAGGGGCTGAGAACAGTGACTGGAGCCACAAAAGCAATGCAGGTGCTGTCAGCTATCTAAAATGGGGGCTGGAGGACAGGAAGGGAATGTCTTTGCTTCTCACCACTTTCTTTCCTCCATTTTTGAGCCAGTGCCTCCCATTGGCCAACCCACCTGGAAGCCTGAGGGTAAACAAGCCTGAAAATGCAGTTCTCTGAGATACAGAGCAAAGCAGGGCAAAGGCAGGGAATGAAGCTGATGGCAAACAGGACTATGGCTCAAGGTCATGATTGTAGGGAGTTCATGAACAAGTTCTACTAAATCTTCAAGGAAGAGTTTTTTCCCATGATATAGAAACTATTCAGGAGCATAGGAAATGAACATGTTTCACATTAATTCTATGAAGTACCATGACCTGGTACCAAACCCAGAATGGCATAAAAAAGCAAGCAAACACCTAAGAGCCAACCTCATTAATAAAAATGAGAGGTGAAAGGCCAGGCATGGTGGCTCACACCTATAATCTCTGCACTTTGGGAGGCCAAAGCAGGAGGATCACTTGGACCCAGGAGTGCGAGGCTGCAGTGAACTATGATTATGCCACTGCACTCCAGCCTGGGTGACAGAGCAAGATACTGTCTCTAAATGTATATATACATCAAATTCTTTAGTGTATTAAAAGAATAATACAATATACTCAAGTTTAATTTGTTTTAGGAATTAAAGGTTGGTTTGACATTGGGAAATGTATTAATGTAATTTTTTACATTAACAAATTAAGGGAATAAGCATTCTGATCATTTCAATGGGTATTGAAGAGAAATTTGATAAAACACAACACACTTTCTCACTAAAAACACAAAACCTTGGCAGTTATGAAGAGGTTTCCTTTTGCAAAAGGTAAGGCTGTGGTAGAGAGTAATTTTTCCCCCTGTTCTCAGGAGGAAGAATGAATCAGCTTTGTAACCAGCTTCATCTGACGGCTTAGATGGCCACTAGAAGGGAAGGTGCTGTGATTTGAACGATGTTGTCCCCTACAACATTCATATTGAAACTGAATCCCCAATGCCACAGTATAGTAAAAACCTGTGGCTTTTGGGAGGCAATTGAGACATAAGGGCTCCATTTTCAAAAATGGGATTAGCCTTTTAGAAAATGGCTCAAGGGTGAAGAGAACATTCCCTTGGTCTTCTGACTTCCACCACTAGTAAGGACACAGCAACAAGGTGCCATCTTGGAAGCAGATGTCAATGCCAGCAGCTTGGTCTTGGACTTCCCAACCTCCAGAACTATAAGAAATAAATTTATGTTCCTTATAAATTATCCAGTCTCAGATATTTTGTCATAGCAGCACAAAAATACTAAGACAGAGGTTTGAGCTTATCAGCTGGTCTCTTAGGCAAACCTCTCTTATTTTCACTGAGTTGCTTACTGACATTGAACCATCTCGATAATAAAAGATTGACAGGATAGAAAAAAAATTTTTCAACCTGGTGAACCTTCCTTCATACTATAGCAAGGTAATCACAAATATCATTCTTAATGGTCGCATATTAAAATCATTCCCACTAAAAGCAGTTTCAATAAAAGTTTAAACACTATCACCTCTACCATTTAACACTGGAGTGGAGGCATGAGGCCAATGCATTAAAGAAATGAAGCAAAACAAGGTCAAATATTGGTAAAGGAGAGACCAAACTGTTGCTACTTGCACACAATATGATTATCAGCCTGGACAATACAGGAGAATTAACCACAAAGCTATTAGAACAAATCAAGTTAAGTTACATTTAAAGTCACCATACAAAATCCAATAGCTTTTCTATTCACCAGCAATAACCAATTAGAAAATCTAATGGAAAAATAGTTGCTATTCACAATTGCAACAGAAACTATAAAATACTCAGACAAACCTAATAAAATATATATGAAAAAATGTATAAAACTTCACAGAAGAGCACCAAAAAAAAAAAACTTAGATGATAATATTCCACTGGGGAAGGCTCAAGTTTGAAAGTACAGTAATTCTCTTTATATTGATATATAAATATAAAATGGCCACAATTAAAACTCAGACAAGAGATTTTTAACTTAATGAGCTGATTCTAAAATCCATATGGAAAAAAGCAATGCCCAAAAATGGCTGACAAATTTTTGAAAAAGAAGTACAATGAATAAGGTCTTGCTCTATAGGCAGCAAAACATACTATACAGATATTTGTTAAGATAACATAGCTATGATGCAGAAATAGACAATCAGATCAAATAACCAGAATAAAGAACAGAAACAGATACATTATAATTAGCTGTGGTTTCCATGCAGTGGAATTGATCACTAAAACTTATGTCTCTAGTGTAAATGAAACATCGTACCCTTTGATCAACCTCTCCCTTCTCTGCGTTCTTCCCTACCCAACCCCAGCCCTAGTGCGCAGTAACCACTTGTCTACTCTCTGTTAGTATGAGATCAATTTTTTTAGATCCCACATATCCATGAAATCATACAGTGCTTGTCTTTCTGTGCTTGGCTTATAGTCTGCTCTGGCGAGGAGGGTATGAGACTTCCACGTGCTGAAGCAGGAGACTGGGCTCAACCTCCACTTCCCGGGTTCAAGCGATTCTCCCACCTCAGCCTCCCAAGTAGCTGCAACTACAGGCGCATGCCACCACACCAGGCTAATTTTTGTATTTTTAGTAGAAATGAGGTTTCACCATGTTAGCCAGGATGGTCTCGATCTCCTGACCTCATGATCTGCCCGCCTCAGCCTTCCAAAGTGCTGGGATTACAGGCATGAGCCACTGTGCCCGGCCCAAATTACTTTTAAATATACAGATGCTCCTCACCTTATGATGGGGCTACATCTTGATAAATCTTAGGTAAGCTTCAATCTTAGGTTGAAAATATCGTAAGTAGGAAATGCATTTATTGCACCTAATCTACCAAACACCCCTAGCCTACTTCAAATGTGCTCAGAACACTGACATTAGCCTACAGTTAGACAAAATCATCTAACACGAAGCCTATTTTATAATAAAGTATGTAATATCTCATGTAATGTATTGAATACTGCACTGAACATGAAAAACAGAATGGTTGCATGGGCACTGAAAGCATGGTTTCTACTGAATGAGTATCACTTTGGCACCATCGTACAGCTCCAGGAGATAAGGACCTCACTGCCAAAGAGATCCTCTGACTTTCACACTTTGCTCTGAATTGGTGATTAATAAACTTGGGCCCGCCATTTCTTTCTTTGCTGCACTAGTGTCTCTCAGAAACAGCCTCTCAATTCCATAATCCTTATAATTACTGTCTCTGCTATAATGCTCCAATGCCAGAAATATTGCAAAAGCCAGTACATCCCCTTCCAACTGTAAGCTGTCACAGAAATTGTATCGCTACCAAATGCCAGGAGCTATCATTTCTCCTTCTATCACCAGTGTTGAGTTTCTCATTGCCAGCGGGTTATCCAACTGCAGACTCCCGTTCTTAGCATTTGCTTCTCCTGGCACCAACTGTCTTATGTCAGGGTCCTTAGAAGAGTGGTTCTCAAAGTGTGGTCCCTGGACCAGCATCATCAGCATCAACTTGCTAGAAATGCAAATTATGGACCCTTTCCTAGACCCACTGAAACAGGCAGTGGAGGGGAAGCCCAGCGATGTGTGCTTTAACAAACCCTATTGGTGTTTCTTTTCTTTCTTTTTTGAGACAGGGTCTTGCTCTGTTGTCCAGACTGGAGTGCAGTTGCCCAAGTATGGGTCGCTGCAGCCTTTACATCCCAGTCTCAAGTGATTCTCCCGCCTTAACCCGCCAAGTAGCGGGGACTAAAGACACATGCACCATGCCTGGAAAATTTCTTTGTTTCATTTTTTGTGGGAACAAGTTCTCCCTATGTTGCCCAGGCTTGTCTCAAACTCCTGGGCTCAAGCAATTCTCCCACCTCAGCCTCCCAAAGTGCTGGGATTACAGGTGTGAGCCACCACACCTGGACGGTGATTCTCATACATGAGAAAGATAAAGAACCATCACCCTCAAAGCGGAGCCTGAGATGAGAATTCTGGTGCAGGAGAGTTCTTAAAGGAATCCTCCCAGGAGGAAGACGAGAGGACATGAGGAACACAGAATAAGTCAGGAAAAGCAGCGAGGCAAAGATGCGGGCTCTGCTGATGTCCTCCCACAGCCCACAGTGAGCTCTGGAGCATGAATGGTACCACAAAGCTGTCCCCGCTTGAGACAATAAGGCCAGCCTTGTACACCTGCATCAGTCAGCCATTGGCTAAAGCAACCCCTGCCATGCGGGGCTAAGGGAAGTTTCCAGACATCTCCAGCTGAGGCCACTCTAGTGGCCATGGGCAATTCTCTGAGGAAGGGCAGCTGTGACCTTTCAGCCACCAACACTTGCAGCCCCTGGGGGATGGGCACAAGCTCCCGCAAAGGCCCATGTATCTGGTTGGGGTCCTAGCAGCATCTACGCCAAAGTGCCCAGAGCTTGTTGATGTTCTTTGCAGCAGGAAAACACAGCAAGGCAGCCTGCGGTCATGGAAAATGCCCTGGACAAAAAGTCAAATGACTGGGATTTGAGCCCAGCACCAAACTACAGTTCTGTGGCCTTATCTTTGGCCTCAGTTCCCATGTTTATAACAAGGGGCTGACACTGCTACTATGCTTGTGAACGTCAAATTAGGTAATATATGTAAAACTGCATTAGAAACTTGAAATCATAAAAGAATATTATATATTTTATGCTTTCCGTTGAGCAGAAAAATAAATACGTAATTTACCTTTGGTGATAAGGATTTATGACAGAGGTATAATTCCTAGATCACCGGGTTGAGCATTTTCGCCTTAACTAGATATTGCCAAATTGCTCTCTAAAACGATTATGTCAATTGTCACTCCCACCATCAGCAGCATATGAAAGGTCCCATTGCCTCGCCACCTGGCCGGTTCTCTCTCATTTGCTTTGGCCAGTCTAATGGGTCAGAGAGACATGGACAGAGGGGACGCACATTCAAGTACATTCTTTCCAGCCTTTTTGTCAAAGATAACACTGGAGATAAGCCAGATGTACCTCATTAAGGGGATGAATAAATCAATTGCGATGTATTCCTACAGTGGATTGCCATATAACAGTTACAATGGATGAACTAATTTATAATATATATGCATCCACACATATATATAACAACACTGAGTGGAAAACATTAGTTGTACAATATTATGTAGCACAGAATTCCATTTACATATTTTTTAAAAGCACGTAAAACCATACCATATATTGTTTATGGATACGCACGTTTGTCATAAAAATATTAAAAGTATGAACTGAATACACACCAAACTCAGACAGTAGTTACTTAGGGGGAAGGAAGGGGGATAGGTCTGGGGAGGGAAGCACAGAAGACTATAATGTTTCCTCTAAATTTATTTTCCTTAACGAAAGAGAGAATGATCATCAAAAAAATATGAAAAGGGGCCGGGCATGGTGGCTCACGCCTGTAATCCCAGTACTTTGGGAGGCCGAGGCGGGCGGATCACCTGAGGTCAGGAGTTCAAGACCAGCTAGACCAACATGGCAAAACTCCATCTACACTAAAAATACAAAAATTAGCTGGGCATGGTGGCACATGCCTGTAATCTCAGCTACTCGGGAGGCTGAGGCAGGAGAATTGCTTGAACCCCAGAGGTGGAGGTTGCAGTGAGCTGAGATCATGCCATTGCACTCCAGCCCGGCAACAGAGGGAGACTCTGTCTCAAAAAAAAAAGAAAGGAAAAGATGCTTAACATTTGTTGATCTGGCAGAGTGGACCCATGGCTTCTTGCATTTGTTGTCCTTTTTTTTTTTTTTTTTCATTTTAATTATTGTTTTAACTGCCTAGGGCAGTTTCTTCAGAGGGGGACCGAGGGTGTGGCTGCCATCTCACTTCATTTGGCAACATGTGCTGGGCTTGACGTATGCACCACTGAACAAAACAGCTGTGAACTTTGCCCTCATGGAACTTCCCTCACGGGGAAAACAGACCAAAATTGTGGTAAGCACAAAAATGAAAAATTAAAGGGTGCAGTGAGAAAGTAAACTTTAGTTAAATTTAAATCAGGGCATTGGAAAGGGCATTTTAAGTTGAGACCTGAGGTTAGCAGGAAGGAGCCAGACTGGAGAAAGGAGGCTTCATCCCATACCTTGGGGATGATAGAGGAGACGCCCCCTGGCGTCGGTGGGAATGGAAAGGAGCCCGCATGGACGGCTGCGTGGTGGAGCCTCGGAAGCCAGGTGGGAATAGCAAGAGATAAGGCCAGAGGTGCTGGCAGGGCAGGCCACGGTAAGGATGTTTGTTTGCCTTAGTCATATGAGAAATGCAGAATCTTTGCCATTTTTTAAACTTTTTCATTATAAAATTTTTCAAACACATGCAAAAGTAGAGTAGTCCAGTGAAGCCCTGTGTACTCGTTTCAACATGACCAATTTCTTACCTCCCTGACCCACCTGGTGTTATTTTGAAGAAAATCCAATACATCCTTTTTTTTTTTTTTTTTTTTGGAGACGGAGTCTCGCCCTGTTGCCCAGGCTGGAGTGCAGTGGTGCAATTTCGGCTCACTGCAACCTCTGCCTCCAGGGTTCAAGCAATTCTCCCTGCCTCAGCCTCCTGAGTAGCTGGCATTACAGGTGCCTGCCACCATGCCTGGCTAATTTTTGTATTTTTTAGTAGAGACGGGGTTTCGCCATGTTGGCCAGGCTGGTCTCGAACTCCTGACCTCAGGTAATCTGCCCACCTTGGCCTCCCAAAAATGCTGGGATTACAGGCATGAGCCACCTTGCCTGGCCCACATCATTTCTTATATGAATACTATGATATGTACCTCTAAATGAGAAGCACTCTCTTTCAGAGGGCAGGGGGAATAACCAAAATACAAGATCACACCTTAAAGAATAATAATTTCATAATAACATCAAATATTAAAGAGTTTTCAGCAGGGGAATCCCATTATGTGATTAACTTTTAAAAGACTATTGTAGCTGGGTGCAGTGGCTCACATCTGTAATCCCAGCACTTTGGGAGGCCGAGGCAGGCAGATCACTTGAGGTCAGGAATTCGAGACCAACCTGGCCAACATGGCGAAACCCCGTCTCTACTAAAACTACAAAAATTAGCTGGGTGTAGTGGCACGCACCTGTAATCCCAGCTACTCCAGAGGCTGAAGCAAGAGAATCTCTTGAACCAGGGAGGTGGAGGTTGCAGTGAGCCGAGATCACACCACTGCACCCAGCCTGCGTAACAGAGTGAGACTCTGTCTAAAAAAAAAAAAAAAGACCATTGTGCTGCCCTGCCTAGAATGGACTTGAGGGCTGGAGAAATGGAAGCAGAGAGCTAGCAGGCCAAGGTAGAGGCCCAGGCGGGGCTTGGTGAGGCTGGACCAGGACAATGGCAAAATACACAGGGGGAAGTACAAACGTTGGGTCTATTTCAGAGGTAGAAGCATAGACTAGGTGATGGACGGATGAGATAGGGGGATGCCAGGGAGGGCCCACAGGGCCTGGCTGGAGCATCAGGAACAGTGGAACTGCTGTTACTGAGCTGGAGACCCCTGGGCAAGCAGTGATGGGGATGGGTGGAAGAAAGGCAGAGGGAGCGCTCAGCTTTAAGGATCTCTCTTTGATTCTATGAGCTTGCTCAGAGGAGTGATGGAAGAGGTACCTGCCTTCCCCCCGGCCTCCTCTGCCTCTCCTCCTTCCATGCCCTAGACAAGGAGGCCCAGGCTGTAGGCGGGGATGCAAAGCAGCCACTCGGTTTTCCGAAAGGGCCACAAACTGTCTGTGGGCAGCCAGGGGCTTCAATCTGGTTTGAGGAGTGAGTTTTGCCTTCTACATACCCACAAGATGCTTCTACACCCTAGCCCCGAGCAGTCACCTCTGAAATGTTCTCACATCATGAGTATGAAAGGAGAAGAGAGACTTTTCCAGACACTGAGGCAATTGCACTGACAAGATGCCCCCAAGCTGGGACAAATATCCGAAAGGGCACAGAAGAGGTACGAGACTGTTCCAGGGGCACGGCAAGCCCACAGAGAACCTTTGGGTGAATTCGAAGAAAACACCCCCTTGGGAAAGATGTAGTCCCCAGGCACATGGCTTTGAGGGTTGCCAGTATCTCTGTGAAGATGAAGAAACGATATTCCTTTTCATGATGGTTCAGCCCCTTGTCTAGCTGTCCTTGGGCTGTGGGAACAGACGAGGCAATCAGTCACAATAGCACAGACTGTGTCCTTGCCCCTGGTAGCTTTAATTTGGTTGGTGAGATGGAAAGGTCATTGCAATAATTACATTATTATTACTATTATTATTATTTTAAACAGATTCTCGCTCTGTCGCCCGGGATGGAGTGCAGTGGCATGATCTCAGCTCACTGCAACCTCTGCCTTCTGGGTTCAAGTGATTCTCCTGCCTTAGCCTCCCAAGTAGCTGGGACTACAGGCATGCATTACCATGCCCAGCTAATTTTTATATTTTTAGTAGAGACGGGGTTTCACCAGATTGGCCAGGCTGGTCTGAAACTCCTGACCTCAGGTGATCTGCCCACCTCAGCCTCCCAAAGTGCTGGGATTACAGGAGTCAGCCACTGTGTCTGGCCAATAATTACATTATTATATACCTTGTCTGGTCTTTGTGTGTGTGTGCCAAAAGGAGAACACTGAATGGAGTCCGTAGATCAATGTGGAATGCAACCGTTAGGAAAAGTCTCTCTGAGGCGGCCAGATTGGGCTGAGCACTTAGGGAAGGGCAGAAGAGGGAGGTCATCCCAGAGGAGGGCATTCTCACGCTTTCTTCAGTGGGATAAGGCAACACCAAGGTGTCATGAAAGTCATGGGCAGAGCATGTTTCAGAAGGTCACAGTGGCCAGCCGTAGCCAATGCTGCCAAGAGGACCTAAGAATAAAGGCTGAGTTAAGGACTTTTGAAAAAGTTTTTTTAGAGCAGGGAGTCAAAAGCCAGGTTTCCAGCAGTTAAGGAAGGGGCTGTGCAAAGAAACAGAAGTAGAGCCTGTTTTGCATGAATTCAAGAAATTTGGCAGGAAAAGCCAATTGAGAAATTGGATGGGAACTGGAAGAGGCAAAGGGGTCAAGTGAAGCTTTTTCAGGTTGGGAAATACCTGTTTCTATTTAGAGATGGTATGAAAAGAGCTGTAGAAAGAAAAAGACTGAACATGCCAGAGGGGACCTGGTACAGAAAGGAGAAGGATCCCTTGGGAGTTAGAGGGTTTCTCATCCCTGATTTCTAATCCTGGGAAGATGTGAGAGGTTGAGTCCAGGGACAGTCGTGGTAAGAAGTGAGGGCTCTTCTAACATGTCGCCCTCATATTCAACAAAATCTAAGGTGACAGTGAATTAAAGCAGCACTTCTTAAAATGTCATGTGCACGCACATCATCTAGGAATCTTCTTAGAAAACAAATCCTGACTCAGCAGGTCTGGAGTGAAGCCTGAGAGTGCATCTACAACACGTTCCCAGGTGATGCCCATGCTGTTGGTCTGCATGGACAGTATCCAGCTGCTGAGAGTCCTAGAAAGTGGGAACAGAGAATATGGAGGCGGAAATGACCAAATACTCAACAGAAGGAAGTTTCCTTAAGGAGAATGAAGACCCATGTCCCAACCTAGAGTGAAAGGGCCCACTAAGCAGGATGAATGAAAAAAGGCCAACACAGAAATACAACCTGGTGAAATTTCAGAATGAGAAGCATGAGTTCTCTCTAGAGAAAACAAACAGGTTGTCTGCAAAGCTATAAGCATAAAACTGACATCTTAGGTTTTATCAGAAATGCAGGGGCCTCAAATATCTACAGTGTCCTGAGAGAAGATTATTTCGAACCTAGGATTTTATATACCCAGCCAAACTATCACTCCAATGGAAGGATATGGTATAAAGCACAACTTATTGAACAAGAATCTTATGGCTTCTGCCTCTTGGGGCTGTTTCTCATACCATCTTTCAATGAATCAACTGGCATAATGGCAATCTGAAATTCAGGAACAGCAAGGCAGTAAAAGTTATGTAGTCTAGGTATACAGGTCTAATTTTCTGACTTTATCTAGAAGTCAACAGTTGAATAATATAGAGGTAAAAGGAGGTACAGTCATTTAGGAATGGGGGAGTAGGTCATGTCATTTCACCTTTAAGATGGGGAGGTGAAAGCAAGATGCAAGGAAAGTATTTTAGTGTAAGGAAATGCATGCCTGTGATGGAATGGGCTTCAAAGGAGGCAGTAAAAAATAGGTTTAGGGAGATTGATTGGCATGAGGGTGAGGTGGGACTAGGATAGCAAGGAGAGAACAGCCTTAGATAAAATGCTTCAGCACAATCAGCGGGAGAGAAACCAGGATTTCCCGGGAGCCTTTCAACTCTTCCAGTTGACAGGATTTATGGAGATTTAGTCCCATTTAGGGTATTTAAGAGGAGTAAAAGGAAAGGAAAGGGCCCCAACCTCAGTGTTCTCAACTAAATGTCCTCATTGTGTTTACGTGAGCATTGGCCGGCAGTGCTTGACTGGCTATGGGCAGACCCAGTCCAGGCAGATCTAAGCCAGGAGCTTATACATAAAGGGGTGAGAAACTTGAAGAGGCCATGAGCTCAAAACAGCAAAGGCAGAGGAAGAGGGGGAGGTGGGGTGGAGCAAAGCAGGAAGGACAACATCCAGAGAAGTCTGCGAAAGCAGAAAGAGGGTACCTGCAGGCTACAGGGCCCTCAGGCTAAGAAAGTGATACCAGCAAGCCAGGGTAATGTTTCTGCACCCAAGGCAGAGGATGTTTGTTCTCTGCCCCACTTCTTTACATTGTATAGGTTCTTGCTAGGTATGATTTTTAGCCAGATAGCAGGTGCAGGGAAACTGAGATAACCTCACATCACTGAGCTGCTGCCCTAGATGGCTTCAGGCAAGTGTGGAAGGACTGACAGATACTTTTACCTACAAGACAAATGGTGAGAGCAGACCTAGGCAGGAGTATAATCTAGAATCCAGATCTAAAAAACATGTGGAATGACTTGCATTCATTTGCTTCTAGAGCAAGAGTCAACAAACTTTTTCTCTAAAGGGCTATATAGTTAATATTTAAAATTTGCAGGCCATACAGTCTCTGTTACAACTACTCAACTCTGCTGTCATAGAGCACAAGTAACTGCAAGAATAATCACAGGCAATATGCAAAGGAATGCACATGGGTGTGTTCCAATAAAACTTTATTTACAAAAACAGCTGGTGGGCCAGATTTGACCCATATATGATATCTATCAACCCCTGCTCTAGAGTAAATTCTACTGCCATTGTCTCTAGAAATATTGTTCTATTATCTCTAGGAGTACAGTAAGCAGAATTGTTCCATAAATCTAATCAACAATTGAAGAATGATTTTTTAATCTTAATAGCTAATATCATTGAGTCCTTATTAGTTGCCAGACCCTCTGTGTTATCCCACTTAATCTTCACAGCATTATAAGGCAGGTACTTGTATCCATCTCCTCAGAAATGAAGAGGGTTTTTTTGTTTTTGTTTTTTGAGATGGAGTCTTGATCTGTCGCCCAGGCTAGAGTGCAATGGCACAATGTTGGCTCCCTGCAACTTCGGCCTCCCAGGTTCAAGCGATTCTCTTGCCTCAGCCTCCTGAGTAGCTGGAATTACAAGCACATGCCAGCACGCCCAGCTAATTTTTGTATTTTTAGTAGAGACGGGGTTTCACCATGTTGGCCAGGCTGGTCTTGAATTCCTGTCCTCAGGTGATCCACCTGCCTCGGCCTCCCGAAGTGCCAGGATTACAGGCGGGTAAGGCAGTATCTTCTGCTAGTACCTGTGAGGCAGGAATTTGAACTCAGATCTCTCTGAGGCTGTGTTCTGGCACTCATTCAATCTTGCATTTTGCCTCCTAAAAAATGCTTCCATCATCCTGGCTAACACAGTGAAACCCTGTCTCTACTAAAAATACAAAAAATTAGCTGGGCATGGTGGCGGGCGCCTGTGGTCCCAGCTGCTCGGGAGGCTGAGGCAGGAGAATGACGTGAACCCGGGAGGCGGAGCTTGCAGTGAGCCAAGATCGTACCACTGCACTCCAGCCTGGGCGACAGAGCAAGACTCTGTCCCCCCCCAAAAAAAAGCTTCCATCTTATCCTAGCATGGGTAGGCTTTGATCCTAAAATGTAAATGGAATCTTATTTTATATGCATTGGCTTTGAAGGATTCTGTAGTGTAAACTTTTATAAAAAGAAGTATCGTTTTCGGAAACCAAGTAAGCAGCCCTAACTCATTCATAGCCTAACTTAGAATGTGTATATTGTGCATAGCTGTTGAGAAGTGGCCTCAGGCCTAAAACTCACGCTGCCTTTCAACTTATTTGGCTCTGCAAAGCCTTATTTCTTAGAAATTAATTTAATGTATGCGATTGTATATGTTGCAGATATTTGTCAAATACTGGGTTAATTTTTAGGGATTAGTGAGTGTTTGCTGTAAATCCAGATATCAGAAAACACACATTTGAGGTGTAAATAGCTTAATTTGCAGGGTCAACTGAAGTAAAGACACAGTAATAAAATTGAAAGGCTGTTCACACTTCATGTATATTTTCTCTCATTGTTTTGATTACATTGAACAAATATCATCGCTTGGTCTGATTTTGATTAAATACACAGGGACAAATAAGCAAAAGTTCTTGCCTTCAAGCTGCTTGTATTCTAGCAGGGGAAGGTAGGCAATAAATAAACAAGTAAAATCTATGATATATCAGATAGTGGTAAGAGTGCTAAAGGGGAAAAGGTAAGAAAGGGGGAGTAGGGAGAATGTCTGTATGTGTGCACTGCAGTGAGTGCATGTGTGTGTTGGTGAGTTGGCAGGGCTGACACACAGCAGGGCATGCTGGTGGAGAGGATCAGGCAGTAGCTTCTGTGATTGGTCAGTACCTCTGCTTTTCCAATGTTGACTATTTTGAACATCACGCAAGAGTGGGATTGCCCTTTCAAAGCAATTGACGGGGAGGTCTCACTGGCCGGGTACCTTCTAAACGCGGATGCAGCGAAGGTGGGGACGTTTGGAGGGAGGGCATTTCAGACACAGGGATCTCCAAGAGCAAAGTCCAGAGGCAGGTGTGGCTATAATCGGGCAAGGAGGTCCGCGAGGCTGGCCAGGAACATGCCCAATCAAAGGCACTCACCCTCTAAGTTGTGACACTTGGCTGTGTAGACTCTGAGAGGCAAATCCACTAGCTTGCTCTCGTACTAGGCAGATTAAATAAACATTGTTGAAGTTAGAGTTCATCACTCTGTGATTTCGAATGGCCCTAAATGATTCTAATTCTTTGTGCAATTCAAAGATCAATGTCCCAGCCACCCAGAGGCAGACTTCTCCCTGGTGTTTACATATCTTATAGTAGACACATTAAAGACATTCATGAGTAAAATGGGTGCTATTTTTCTTTCTGAAACTACCACAAAGTACACATTCTGACCCCACCAACCTCCTCCTTCCTGAGTCTTCCAGCAGCATGTTTATAGCACCCTCTCCTGTCTGGCAGTTGCACTGGGCTTCCACCAGACTTGGCTGAGCACACACCCTCACCTCCCCATGCTCTGCCCGTGGCTCAGAATAGCTAAACTGGCCCAGAGAGAGAAGATTCCCATTTCTTATGCACTCATGTCCTCCTCTAGCCTAGCCTACATTTAGCAGCTTTATTGTTTAAAAATAATGTCTCCTGTGGTCTCTTAACGTCTTTTTCTCTCCGGCTTGCATCTGGCTCCCAATCAGCAAGCTAGTGAGCATTTCTGCACCAGTATTGGTGGTTTGGGGATATTCTCTTCCATTTCTCCATGTCTCTTTTCCTCTTTTCCTGGAGAACTGGTGGGCACAAGCAGGGAAGAGCATAGAAGTTGGAACCTCAATCTGTTTAGGTCTGTGCCCAGCCAATCAAATCCCAGGGCTTGAAAGCCAGGAGTAGACCCCACAGTGGTTTTGACCTTAGCACAGAGAAGCTGAAGATACAGGCTTCCCCTAGCCCAACCCAGCCATGGACATGCATTGAGCACTTAGGCCCATTCCCATAAAGCAAATTTTAATGGGTAATTGAGGGTGGGGACGGAGCCTGGATTAGGATTGTGTCTAATCCCAAATTCAAATGTTGAAACCCTAACCCTCAATGTGATAGTATTAGGGGTGGGGTCTTTGGGAGGTGATTAGGTTTAGATGAGGCCTTAAGGATGGGGCTGCATGATGAGATTAGAGTCCTTGTAAGAAGAGAAAGAGACACACTGTCTCTCCCTCTCTCTCTCATTCTCTACCCTGATTCTCCCTCTTTCTTCCTCTCTCTCTCTCTTGCTCTCTCTCCTTCTGCCTCGTGCAGACCCAGCACACAGCAAGAAGGCGGCTGTCTACAAACCAGGAAGAGAGGACCTCTCACCAAGAACTGAATCAGCCAGCACCTTGATCTTGGTCTTCCCAGTCTCCAGAACTGAGAGAAATAAATGTCTGCTGTCAACAAAATTTAGCTCTGTACATTGGTAAAGATGGCATCAAAGCAGAAAAAAAAAATTAAGTGCATAGGGTGTAAATGAAACAAGAAGAGCCGCAAGCTGATGACTATTGAAATGGGCATAGATAAGTAGGGGGGTCTATGCCAACACTGTCCAAAATACGTCATGCGAACCATATGTGTCATTTTAAATTTCCCAGTAGTCATATTTTACAAGGTAAAAAGAAATAGGCTAATTCTTTTTTAAAATTATCTTTATTTAACTCAATAGCTGCAAACTATAATCATTTCAATGTGTGTCAGTAACCCAGTCTGAAGTGCTCTGTCTCACACATGGCTGGTGGTTATCATACTGAACAGCAGAATTCTATGCTAGACACTCTACTAGTATGCATGCTGAAAATGTTTTCCAGAATAAAAACAAAAAGTTGACAAACAAACCAAAATGCATGTTGCTTACACTGCCCAGTCTATGGTATTTTGTTATGTCAGCTGGAGCTGAGACAGGGACTCAGGGCTTCTCTCTCTCCGATTGAGATTAATAAACCACTTCTACCTCTTCCACTACTTCCCTTTCTCCACCTTCAACACAGAACAAAAAGGAAAAATGAATGCCATGAGGTATTTACTGGAAGCCCTTGTTTCAAGGCAGTGAGGTGTCTCAGTTCCCTGCAGGTAGTATAGATGGCTTTGCTGAAAGTCTCTACTCTGGGGGGCCCTGGCCCAGCCCCACCTACAGCAACCCTGAGAACAGCCTCACTCTGAGGAATGAGATGCTGGGAACGGCGTAGTTGGGAAGCACGAATGAGTGATTTTGTTCTGTAGACCCATAGTTTAAAGGCCACCTCCACTCTGCCTCCTCTTCTGGCCTCACTCATTTTTCTTCTAAACTGAGTTGTGTCCAACCCTTGCGCTCACTCCTTCCACCTTCTTTTCCCAGGCAAAATCGCCACCAGAGTGCATTTCTTGGCTAAGGGCAGCCCCCAGCAACTTGGGAAGCAGAGAACTTGGGATGAGGGAGTGGGTACAGGGAGTGGGTACAAGGCGTGAGGAGGGAGCAAAAGCACGTGCCGCTGCCTCCCTGGTATCACCGTCACTGCCTCCTGGCTGGTCCCTGCCAGTCCCCGACACAGATCCGGGGCTGCCAGAGGATACAGTCTTACTCTGCAATTGCACACTCTGTTCTAGCTGCTGTTACATTTGAGATTGAAAATAGAAAAAAAGAGACACAATAACCATATTGAAAAGCTGATTCTGTCCCTGCCCAGCCTTTGGGTTCTGTGTGGGAAATGGAGTGTGATGTAGAGGGACGGCAGGCTAAGGAGGATCTGGGCCTTCTGTGGCTGAGCAGCTCATCTGACTGTCCTGGGTTTCGCCTTCGTGCTCCTTGGCTGGGGCATGGGGTAATTCTCCTCCCACTCTGAAGCCTCCCTCACAAGATTCTGCAGGGCTGCCCTTTCGTTGACTATGTGTGGGATGGAAGGCTAGGAAAAGGGCCCTATCTGGGGTTCAGTGAGCATTTTCCTAGAAGGGTAACATTTGAAAATCACATCCACTTGGAAGGGAGAAGGAGACAGAGCAGAATGATCTAGGCTTTTCCTTCTCTTTGGAAATGTGTTGTGATGCTCTCTGCTTCCGCCGCCCCCCACCCCGAACTAAAAGAGCCAAAGGTATGGAGAGGAGGGTCTTCAACAAGGTGCAGACCCCGGGCATGAGGGAAATGGGATATAGATGAGGAAGACCCAGGTTCCGTCCCGAGTGTTCCGGGAGAGCTGTCCGTGCGGGCTCCAACAGGAAGGGGCAGGCTTGCAACAAGGAAACAGAGTGAGCCTGGGAAATCCTCGCAGCCCTCCTGACGTGGCGCCCACTGTAACTGTACCGATGCAACCTCTAATTATACCGCTGGTGGCAAGAATGAGCTCATGGTGTCTGCAAGTGACTTTCCCAGTAACGAGCCCCTCTCAAAGTGGCAGACTCCCAGCTCAGCCTTCTCCTGGGCCAGCAAAACTCTGGCAAGAGGCAAAATCAGAGAGTTCCTTCCTGTGTGTGTATGTGTATGGGTTGAGGCCAAAAAGAGCTCAAATCTTCTTCTTCATCCTAGATGGATGGAGACCGAAATCTGCTGTAGGAGCTGCAGGAGTGGTGTCCTTTCCTCTCTAACTGGCAGGCATGCCTGGAGACTTCCAACAAAGAAAAGGAAACCTCCTTCCTCACACCAGTCCCTGATGGGTCCCCGTCTCACGTGTTAGGGATGAAACTCCCAGAAGAAGGTTTGTAGGGCTCCAAACGGTTGTGCAAGAGGCCTCCTCTTAATAAGGGAACGATGCTATTCGAGGCCCTAGGCACGTGGAGCTCACATTCCTGCCTGCTGGACTTCTGGGAATTGGGCACGATCAGGGTGGAATCCACCCAGGTTTCAGACTTTTATGTCCACGCGAACTCCTACCCTCTGTGATGTAAACGGAGATGCAGCCCTTTCTGCTATCTGGCCTAAGAGACAGAAGGAGAGGTTCCCCGCAAATACGGCTCTCAGGCCCCCTCTGTGAGCGAACAGAGTAACAGCACCCTAAAGACCAGAGCTCTTCCTGACAGTCTGGGAAGGGCCTGAGCTCACAGCTGGGGACATTCAGAGTATGTAGGGGGTGTGCACTGTCACATCTGGGCATCATTAAGCAGGTGGGAGTGACATGGCCACCAAGGAGAAGGAGAGTTGGTCACATCTAGGCTGCCTGCCCCCAAAGCCCTCGCATTTACAAATCAGCCAGCCAGAGGGGCTTCAGCTGGGGATGGAGCAGGTTGCCAGGGGGAAATGTTGTTTGAATTAGGTGATTGAAACGCTGTAGGCAAGGCAGGCCAGCTTCTCAGACATTTTTAATAAATGCTTACGGTTCTTCTTCCAAAGCAGGTGAAAGGAGAATATATAAGTAACGATATATTTGCGGTGGCTATGCCTATTCCACAGCAATCACAAGGGGTGTCCTTGGGGTGGGAGTGCGCCTGGGAAAGAGTTGGCAATCAGTGAGTGACAGTCCTAGACTTCAAGGACCAGAAAGACTAGGCAGCCGTGGGGGACCAGACTAAGTAGGACCACGAGAGAGAGTAGAGAGAAGCACTGTGGCAAAAGATGGAGGGTCTCACTAGCTCTTTATTTCCCAGAAGAAATATCAGACACGCAGGGTAGACTTCTGCATTAAGCACCGCAGGCCCAGTGCCAGGGACCATAGTCTTTTGGGGCCCATGAAAATGTTTTGATTTCTTTTAAAATCAGAAAAAAATAAGTAAAGCTTTAGGCTGAAGAACATGTTTTAATATGCAATATTAATATACTTTTCCTTATGCCAACGCAGTTGCAAAATCTTATTTTTAATAATTTTGTTAGCAGGGAAAGGAGTCCACCGAGGCGAAGGCACCTGAAATTTTCCCAGTGCCCGGGAAATTTTAACAGAAGCCTGTTAACCCCAGCTGAGCTTCGTGGAGTAGGCGCTAGCTCTGGGCCACAGCAGAGGACGCCTCCGGGCTCTCTTGTTTGAATTCCTCCACCAATGTCCGGTTCTTCTACTCTTTACAAGCTGGGCTCCGAAGGAAAAAAGAAGAAACAAAGAACGCACGCTCCTTGGCACCAACTTCACTTTCTCAGGCTTCTGCAGGTCCCAGGCCTCCCGATGTCTCCCCCTCCGCCCTGAGCATTTCCAGACCTTGGAGAGCCTGACTTGGGAAGGGGAAACTGGAATCAATCGGTTGACCGACCCCCTTTTCCCAACCGCCGCCTCCCCACCAATCACTCCATGTCCGGAAGGGGGCTGGGGGCTCCCGACTATAGGAGACTCTGGGAGTCCTATGAGGCCTTTGAGACAGGGGCGCGAGCGAGGCTGGAAGGAAAGGCTGGGCAGAGAGCGGAGGGGCTCGCGCGCATCTCTCCCGGCGCGGCAGAAGGTTGGCACTGCTGCCCCCCTGCGGGTCCCAGAGCCGCTGGGCGCCCGCGGCCGCGCAGTCGGATTGTATTTCTGCGGGGCTCGCTCCCGGGCCTGGCTCGGGGCCGCCGCCGCCGCCGCCGCCCCTCCCGGCGCGCAGGCTGCTCTCCAGTCGCGGCCACGGGGTAGCGCTCGGCCCCCCTCTCCGCGTCTCCGCCTCCGCCGCGCTCGTCCCCGGCTCACGCTGCCCCCGCAGCTCCGGCTCGGCGCAGGCAGGAGCGGCTCTCTGGACGCCGAGCCCGGGAAGCGGAGGGCGGCGGGCTCGGCGAGCGGCAGCGGCGGCCGAGGCGCTGGGGCGGCCGTTGCTCCTCCGGCCCGGGAGGTCGGCGATCGCCGGGCGTCCGAAGGGGCGCCGCGTCCCCGGAGCCGGGGCTGCCCGCCGGGCTCTCCGTGCGTCTTCCCGAGAGCTCCGGCCGGGGCGCGGCGGAGGGCAGAGCCGCCGGTCTCCATCCTCGGGCCGGCAGGAGGCTCTGCGCCCGGGCGCCGGCGACAGCCCGCGTCGCGAAGCCCAGCACCCTCCCCCGCCGCCCCGCGGCTGGCGCGGACATGGGCGCTCAGGGCTGCGCGCCCGGCTCCGGGACCCGCAAAGTTTGCTAGCCGGCTGGGCGCGGAGCCGAGGGCGCGCCCGGCCCCAGCGCCCCCGGAGGAGACCCGGCGTCTCCCGATTCGGCGCGAGGGCGGTGGAGCCCAGAGGGGGTGGTTCGGCCCCGCCAGATGCTGCCTGCAAAGTTAGAGAGAAGAAAACTTCAGCTCCAGGGAGATTCGGACCGCTATGCTCACCGCGTCCCCCGAAACCGGCGCCCCTAAAAGAACCCCCGCACCCGCGTCTGCCACTGCGCTCGGCTCTGGCCGGGTCCCGGGGGCCCGGCGCCTGGAACGGCGGTGACTGCGTCGGCCGGGAGAACCCAACCAGGGGGCGGGGAGGGGGCGGGCAACGTGGCCACGGGAGGAAGTTTCCTGAAGTTGTCCATTTATTCCGGAGCTCGGCCGGCGACCCGGCCGGATCGCAGAGGCCGCCCTGTTTGGGAGAAGTCGGAGTTGGGGTGCTAAGGGAGAGAGGCGCCCTAGTCCGAGAGGGCGGCCTGGCCTCTTTCTCCCTGCTCGCCCCTCGCCTTCCGGGCGCGCTGCCGGGCTCGGACTAGTACAGAAGAGGAGGAAGGGTTGGGGTAGCCAAGCGCTGCCCCTCCCGGGCATATTACACCCCGGGGCACGGAGCCGCGTAGACTGACTGTTTCCTGGGACTAAGCCACGGGGTATCGGACCCCACCAGGATTATAAAACAGGGCGGAGGGAAGGGAGACCCCGAGGACCCCTCTCCAGGCTGGTCACCATGTGGGGGCTTTTGATCTGGACACTGCTAGCTCTGCATCAGATCCGCGCGGCCAGAGCCCAAGGTAAGGAGGGACCCCCACGTGGGGACAGGGAGGGGGCTGGGAGAGTGGGCGGGGGAGGGGCGGCGGGAGCTGGCCGGCCTCACGGTGACCTCCTGGACACCCGGCTTAGCCGTGGCAGAGCCCTCTCCAGGGAGTTTCAAGACACCCCATCTCCCAAGTTTTGGGGCTCTTTTGGGGGTGGGGCAGTCTCTCCGAGACTTGTGGCTTCCGAATGGGGGAAGGTGGGGACGACCTGGGGAGGCAGAGAAGAGCCCAAGGTGAAGTGGGAGGGGCGCTCCCCTCCCCCCGTCTGCTGTGGCTGCCCTGCGCCGGCTTGGGAGGGGAGCGACATTCCGTGCCGGGCTCCACGCTCGGCTACGCTGAGCTTCCCAGACCGAGCTCCTGGTTCCCTGCTCGGTGTCTGCGGGGAAGGGCAGGGCCCCTGCCGGGCAGGCGATGGCCTCCCCGGGGCGAGGGAGTGGGGTGGGCGAGCGCTGGATGCCGGGTTGCTCGCCCGGGGAGAGCAATTGCCCGGCTTGGCCACGTACGGGAGCCCGCCCCTGGCTGCTCGGCCAGCCGCTGGGGCTGGGGGTGCTTCGCTGCGCGGGCCTGGAGCCAAGGTCGCGGGTGCAGCCGCGGACCCACCGGGGGGTGGTGCACAGGGAGGGTCTGAGGCCTCCCCTCCTACCCATCCACCCACACCCAGCATCCCCGCCCCTGCCTCCAGCCTCCGCTGTTCGCTCGATAGTCTGTGCAGCCGCTCGCTGCTGTGACCTGTGGCTGCCGGGAGCAGCCTCGCGGTGGAGAAGGGCTGGTGGCTTTGGGTTTGGGAGTGCTACGAAGGATCCGAGGTGTGATCTGCGCTGCCCGCTTCCTGAGGGTGGATGCCCAGACGTCCCCCTGGTCCCCGGGCAGGTCCCCGAGGTGAAGGGCGGCTGCACCGGCGGTTCCTCGACTTTGGGGTTCGCCGATCCAGACAGTGGTGTCAGCGGTGTCCGAGCGGCGCCTGCTGGGGGCGGAGGGAGACGAAGCCTGGACCGAGCTCCAGGACTCGCAGGGCTAGGCCTTCACTCTCGCAGGCTCAGGAGGGGGCCAGACCCACCCTAGGGGTCCGGACTGTGGGGGCTGCAACCCACTCCCCACGCCGCCTCGTGCGCCAGGCAATCCAGAGAGCCAAGATCAAAGAGATGAAAATAATCAGCTCTCACTCACAGGGCTGAGGGGAGGATTTTACGAGGTAATTTACATAAAAGCACTTCGAAATTTTGTAACGAGCCCTATAAATGTAGGGTAATAAAAGTTATTATTTTTATGATCATCATAAAATCTTTGAACAAGCGAGGACCTCAGAGGTCATCTTATTCTAGTAGCCATTTAACAGATAGGGAAACTGAGGCCAAATGGCATTAAATGACTTGCCCAAGGCCACTCTGTGATCTGGGGGCAGAGGCAGGTCTGGAACCAGATGAGTTCTGAGCCTCTCTCCCTCAAACCAGGACTAGCTGCATGGGGTCTCCTTGGTCTGGGCCCCCTCTCTGAGGGGTCCCAGGAGGACCCTGATGCTGGCAGAATAGGAATGGGTTGTCCTTCATCCTGGAGCAGCCTCACAGTTGTGCTCTGGGACAACCAGTGTTACTAGCCAAAAGCCTGGACGGCGTGGAGGGACGGGATGCCAGCATCTGTCTGGACCCTTCTAACTTCATTGCTCTACAGACTTTTCAACAATGGTATGATTTCCCTGGGCAGGTGGCTCACCAATTCTTGTCTCATCTAGGACCAGGCCCTTATAGAGTCCCCAGGGCACCTGATGGCCCTTGCTTTGGGGTCTTCATGTGTCCCTTCCTGCCCCACGTCCACACCTGTGCCATCCACTTGAGGCCAAGATCCCACCCCTCCTGCTGAAGTTAAGGCCAGGTGGCCCCCTGTCCCTGCGCCTCCTGCGGGAGGGGCTTCCCTGTCAGAAGCAGAGAAAGTCTCTGTGATTGATTCACTTCCTCTCTGCCTTTCTTGTTTGCTGGCTTTTTGCGTGTCAGGCTGCCCAGGTCCCCTGCTGCTCCGCTCGTGTTCTCTGGCTCCGAGAGTGTTTTCCAGCATCGAGCCCTCTCCTGCTGTGTGTGTCCCTGGAGGCAAGCCTTGCAAAGGATTGTGGGAACGTGGTCCTAGGCTTGGCAGTGCTGGGTTTGAGTGTTGGAGGGGGTGGGATTAGGGCATGAGGTCCTTTCTTATCTGCTTTGGGGTTAGAGAGTGAGTTTTTTCCAGTCTCAGGCCATGACATTAATCCTTTGGGGGGTAGCTGAAGCCACTAGCACTGTCATTTCTGAGCCCACAAGCCTGCTTCTCCAGGCATGGCACAGAACGAGGGACGAAACAATTGTTCCTCCCTTGAGACAAACTTCACATCGACCACTGTCACCAGATTTTATCTGAGCCTAGCCTGGTTGGTTTTTTTTGGGGATGGGGGGTGGGTGCTGGACCTGAGCGACATCACCTGGGTATACTGAAAGCTAACATTTGACCATTGGCCGTATGCCCGATGGGTCACATGATGCAAACTCATTTCCCAAGCAAAGTGCAGTGAGGTTGTAGAAAGAGCATTGGCTTTGGCAGCAGAAAGAACGGGCTCTCATGATCTGGCTTTGCCGCTTCGCTGAAGAGAGGCCTTCTGCAAGGCTCTTAGCCACTAAGAGCCTCAGTTTCCTCATCTGTACACTGGCAATAATAGCTCTTGCCTTGTAGAATTGCTAGGAGAATTCAAGATATTCCAGGGGCAGGGCCCCAGCCAGTGCCTGGCACATAGAAGGTACTTAATACATGGCAATTATTATTCTTGTTATGACGGTTTTAACATTAAGCTAGAAGTCCATGAAGAATGGTACCCTGCCACCCACCAATAAGACCTTGAATTCTTTTTCCTTACCCAGGAGGTTTCTTTAAATTCCTTCCATGGCCACATCACTGTGTCTCAAAGAGTGGCCCTCAAGCACTTAGCTCCCAGGGAGTTGTAGCAATGCAGATTCTTGGGCTCCGCTCCCAGACACTGATTGGAAAGGTCTGGGTGAGCCTGGAAGTCTTTTAACTAGAGTCTCGAGAGATTTCCCATGTGCTTGGAAGCTTGATTACTGCTGGAGGTCATCCTGGCCAGCCTGAGAGGTTGGGAGAAGGGCAGGAGCAGCCGAGCCAGCTGCTCCAGAAGTTTCTTTCAAGAGAATCATGCCTGGGGGGAGAACAGAAGGAAGGGAATCTGAGCCGAGAGAACAAGGCAGTGGGGACAACCCTGAAAGAGGACTGGAACCCCCAGCTCTAGAGGCTCCTGAAAGGCTCCAAAGGGAGAAAGTTTAGTGCTGGGAGCTAATCACAATAAAAGCCAACAGTACACAAGGGAGCGGGATGAAAGTTTAATTACATGGTGTGGCTAAGCTGTAATTATTAATTACTGACAGCAAAAAATAACTTATTGATCAGGGCCTTTCGCTAATTACCAGGAGGCCGAGTGTCGTGCTTGCCTGGGGCTCAGCTGTCAAAAGCCCCACTCGAGAGTGGAATGGGGGTGTCCCTGCTCTCCCATGCCCCTCTTTCCCTCACCCTTTGTACCCCTTGGCTTCCGCGGGGGAGTCCGGAACATTCTGGCAGTGGTTAGATGAGGGATACAGCTTGGTGCTTCCACTGGCTGCAGAAAATGGCCCCTGCCTGGGAGGAACAGAGTCAGGACCCCCACCCAGAGGCTACATCCCGCTGGCAGCCTGACACCTGCCTCGGAAATCCCACCCTCGACCCCCCCACACACACACCCCACCCCCGCTTCATGCATTTGTTCGGCAAATATTTATCGACTGCCTCTTCCTCGTGTCCTCTACTGGAAGGCCGGCATAGGGGCCAGGAACCTTGTTCTACAAGGGAAAGGAGGCTGGGAAGGAGGCCAAATTCTTTACAGCGATCCTCTGTTTAAACAGCGCCTGAATGGCTGACTTTAAAATGAAGTGTTAACCTGCATATTGGTCCACATTTGACTTTGTACCACAGGACGCAGTCGGGCTGTAAGCTAACAAGGAGGGGAGAATGGGCTTATCTTCTGTCCTAAGGACTAATGGGAATCATTGCATTTGACTTGAAAGACACACGAAAAGTCATCTAGGACCGTCGTCTGCCCACAAGGCCATCTGGTCTCTGCTTGCATACCCTTGATGATGGAGGACTCACTACTGCTCAACACCAGCTGGCTGTTAGCTATGTTTTATGCTGATGAAGAAATTGTCCCCTTATAGCTGGTTTTCCTAGGATCTGGCTGTGGTTGAAGGGGTCCTCTGATTGGCTGGAACCCTCTCCCTGTCCCTACGGACTCCCAGCCCCTCTGGGAGGCAGGAGGCTGAGTTGGAATTGATGTCGGGTGTTAGTGTGCGCCCTGCGGGGTTTCTACCCCGCTCCCCCTGGAGCATGTTGCCACAGACAGCCCTGGAGCTGCCTAAAGCGGTGGGAATTAGTCATCATAATTTGGGGCCTTGGGATGCCAATAGCAACAAATGGGCCAGCAGCAACTGGCGGCTGCAGCCCACTGCCTGTAATGGAAAGGAAAACAAGCTGGTTGCCGAGACACCCCGGGTGCCCCCTCCCCTAGGTGTCCCACCCCTGCTGTCCATGTGCTGGGCAGGAGGCAGAGCCAGTGAGCAGCGTTGAGCAGGGATGCTCAGCATCCCCGGGGGAAGGGAGAGAGGGGACTGCAGGGCTTGTCCCCTCAGACTCCCTGGGCCTGGTGCCTGGACCAAAAAGCCTCTTGCTGAGCCCAGGGAGCCCTGGGGAGACCCTTCTCCTGCAGACGTGGTGAATGGCTCCCAGCGTGGCTTCTGCCCCTTTGAATCCTGCCTCCATCACTGGGCGATGCTGAGCTGAGCCAGTTTTCTCATCTGTAAAATGAGTAAAGTTAAAAATAGTTGTGTCTACCAGCCAGGCACAGTGGCTCACGCCTGTAATCCCAGCACTTTGGGAGGCCGAGGCCGGCAGATCACTTGAGGTCAGGAGTTCGAGACCAGCCTGGCCAACGTGGGGAAACCCCATCTCTATTAAAAATGAAAAAATTAGCCAGGCGTGGTAGTGGGAGCCTATAGTCCAAACTACTTGGGAGACTGAGGCAGGAGAATCTCTTGAACCTGGGAGGCGGAGGTGGCAGTGAGCTGAGATCGTGCCACTGTACTCCAGCCTACACAACAGAGCGAGACCCTGTCTCATTAAAAAAAAAAAAAAAAAAGACTGTTATCTACCTTTTAGAGTTGTCTTGGATAATCAAATGAGATTGTCCAGATCACTTTGAAAATGCCCTTTGTAAATGTTAAGTTCTTATAATGTGTCCATTACAGTCCAGGAGGGTGTCCTGATCACTGCCCCTCTACTCCCCAGACATGAACCTCCCCTCCCACCTCATCTCCTCACTCCCCCTGCATTCACTCCTGTCCCCACACTGACTGCCTGTTGTTCCTGGAATTTACCAGGCCTCCAACCTGGCACTTGAAGTTCCTGCCTTTCCATCAGTGGTGCCCACACCACCCAGATGTCTACAAAGTTCACCCTTGTTTCCTCCAGGACTTCCTCCTAATATGTCTTATCCATCTCGGAGCACCCTATAACGTGGCATCTTCCAGCACCCACTCCCTCGCTCTCCATCATTTTCTCCATTGCACTCAGCTCCAGCTGACATATATTGACTTGTTTGTTTATTATTGGTGTCTCTGGAGGGCAGGGGCTTTGTTTCATTCACTGGTATATTTCTAGCCACTAGGGCAGTGCCTGGCACGTAGGAGGAGTCAGCATAATATGAAGACTGAATGAATGAATGAATGCTTACTGGAGGCATACAGCCCACGGTCATCTGGCCCCTCCCAGCTCTCCAGCTTCCTGCCAGGCCTCTCGCCCCATCTCCAGAGCTGATTGACTTGTGAAATGCCTCTCGTCTCTGTACATCCAGCACACCCCATGCCATGTAGCCCTCAGCGCACTGAGCAGCCAGGTACCTCAAGAGTGGGGGCCCCGCCCTCCAGCAGCTCCCGCAGATGCATCCATGGAATGGGGTAGTGTTGCCATTGAGACAGGAGTCCCTGCTCAGATTTTCTGGTCATTTTCCCAGCTCTTCCTGATTCTGGCCCGACAGATGAATCTGCCTCTTAGCAGGCCTGGCATCTGGGTTGGGCAGCCCCTGGGTCTCTGCTGAAGCCCCATCAGCTGAACTCCAACTTTATGATGTGAAGGAAATTGAGAGGAGGGGTAGAAGGTTTAGGGGGTAATGCCATTCATACATGGATGTACCATTTGAAATACACAAGGTCCTTGATTAATGCTCCAGAGGAAAAGGGAGAGGAAGATCTTGCCTCAGCACTTATATTCCCCTCCAGGCGCGGTGGCTCATGCCTGTAATCCCAGCACTTTGGGAGGCCGAGGCAGGCAGGCTGAGGTCAGGAGTTTGAGACCAGCTTGGCCAACATGGCAAAACCCTGTCTCTACTAAAAATACAAAAATTAACCAGGTGTGGTGGCGCATGCCTGTAATCCCAGCTACTTAGGAGGCTGAGGCAGGAGAATTGCTTGAACCTGGGAGGCAGAGGCTGCAGTGAGCCGAGAACACGCTACTGCACTCCAGCCTGGGCGACAGAGCAAAACTCTGTCTCAAAACAATAATAATAATTATTTAGCCTGTGTTTCTTCTGATTGTAGCCCATTCATTAGAGTGGATCACATGGTCCCACCTAATGGCAAGGGAGCTAGGAAGTGCAGGCTTTCGTGTGCTGGAAAAAGACAACAGGATCTCATGCACTGGCAATGCCTAGTGTTCCTTCATAACCACAGAGAAGACATTGTGGTCTCTGCATTTCATACAGAGGGTGACTTTACACAAGACATTTTTACCTTGCACATTCCTAAAGCAGAACCCCAGTCTGTGCTGTTACTTCCTTGTTTGGAGGCTTATTTTATTCCCCCTTAAGCTGTTAAGAAGTGGTATGTATAGGATCAGTGCCTCAGAATTGGGCTGACCTGGGTTCAAGCTCTGTCAGCTGCTATCTGTGGCACTCTGGGTTAAGTCACTTAACATTCTCAACCTCTGTTTCTTTGTCTGTAAAACAAGGAGAAAAACCTTCCAAGGCTTAAATGAGATAATACACATAGAGCAGTGAGAATGGAGCCTGACATATCATAAGCACTTGTTTAATAAATGACTTTAACTATATTTGTACTTCTGTGCTTGCCCCTCCAAATGGCCTTAAGACTGCATTAAGACGGCTTTTCTTCTCTGGTATCTTTGCTGTATATTTCACCCATATCTTCCACATCTTCTCACCTTTTTCTTTTCTTTTCTTTTCTTTTTTTTTTTTTTTTTTTTTTTTTTGAGACAGAGTCTTGCTTTGTCACCCAGGCTGGAGTGCAGTGGCATGATCTCAGCTCACTGCAACCTTCACCTCCCAAGTTCAAGTGATTCTCCTGCCCCAGCCTCCCGAGTAGCTAGGATTACAGGCACGTGCTGCCACGCCTGACCAATTTTTTAGTAGGCACAGGGTTTCACCATGTTGGCCAGGCTGGTCTCAAACTCCTGACCTCAAGTGACTCGCCCACCTCGGTCTCCCAAAGTGCTGGGATTGCAGGCATGAGCTGCCGCACTTGGCTCACCCCATTTTCTTTTGCTTCTTCCCCAGTTTAGAATCTTTTTGTCTTCCCTTCCATCCCGAGCTCACGTTTGGTGCACAGTTCTGCTTGTCAGACATGGCAAGGTGCATTACAACCATCGTCTGCCTCAGTCCTCCCTATCACTCTGACATGTGGATAAAGTGAGGCTGAGAGATTAACCACCCAAGACCTTCTAGCGGGGAAGTTGAGGAGTCAGGATGTGAACCCAGGCCTCTCTGGTCCCAACATCTGTCCTCTTTCCACTGCTCCAGGCTGCCTTTGGCTTCCACGGCATACGTCACTGTCTTCCCAAGAAGAGACAGCTATTCTCCAGGGAGATGCCCAGACAATTGTACTGTTTGAAGACGGGCTGGTCCAGGGAGGGGTGTAGAGTTTGGAAAGAGGCCTTGGAACTCCTCCTCCTCCTCTTCCTTTTCCTCCTCCTCCTCCTGCTCCTCCTGGCTCTTGCCTCCACCCTGGCTGTGTCCTCACTAGGCCTTAACTTGGCAGAATATTGAAGGTCTTCTGCTCTCCTCCTTGTCTCCATCTCTCTCTGGGGTTGGGATGCCCCAAAGCTATTTGAGGAGTTCCCTTAAGGTCATTTGGGGCATTCAGAACTGGCTTGCCAGTAACTGAGCCACACAAATGCCTTCTAAATTGAATGAGGTGTGAGGGTGGGGAGGATGAGGGGAAGAAAGGCAATTAAAGTTTGATGCCATGTAGGAAGCTATTAGTGACCCAGAGGGGTGATGAAATTTTGATGATGTGACAGTCCTAACGGAAGGAAATATTATTTGCCATAATGAGGCTCATTCAGGGAATTTGGCATCTGGGGCGGACACCAGTGACTCTCAAGGGCCTCGTAAAGCCAGGACTCTGGAAATTTCCCCCTTCCCTGGGCACCTCCCTGGAGGTACAGATCTGGGAGGCCCAGAATCTGAGTAAAGGTCAAAAATATCACTGGGCACCTGAACAATTGGGCTGTCACCACATAATGTGAGTTAATTATGAATCTGGAGCTGATGCTTCATTTGCTGCTTCGAGCCGTGAGAGCCAGTGCAGAAAGTGGCAGCAGGGGCCCAGACGGGACAGCAGAGAGCACCAAGAAACCTGAAATGGGCCGGGCGCAGTGGTTCACACCTGTAATCCCAGCACTTTGGGAGGCAGAGGCAGGCGGATCACTTGAGGACAGGCGTTCAAGACCAGCCTGGCCAACATGGTGAAACCCCATCTAAAAATACAAAATACAAAAATGAGCTGGGCATGGTAGCACGTGCCTGTAATTCCAGCTACTCGAGAGGCTGAGGCAGGAGAATTGCTTGAACCTGGGAGGCGAAGGTTGCTGTGATCTGAGATGGCGCCACTGCACTCCAGCCTGGGGTACAGAGTGAGACTCTGTCTCAAAAAAAAAAAAATAGAAACCTGAAATGCGGGTGACTCCCTGGGCTCAAATCCTACCTGTCATTTACTGCCTGGGTGACCTTGGATGAGTTACACACCCTGTCTATGCCTCAGTTTCTTCATCTGTAAAACGAGGATAACAGTTGGGTTGTGACAGGGTTTAACGAGCTGTGCTAAGCTTTTAGGACACAGTGTTCTGTGTATGTATCATAAACACTGAATAAGTGTTTGTCATGTCATTGTCCTTAGTATCTTTATCTTGGAAGCAAGGTCCGTTTGGGGCCTGCAGTTTGACAGGTGCCCCTGCCCCGACAGCTTTTGTTCCTTTTGTCTTTCACACACCTGCCAGTGGCATCTAAACTTCTGCTGTTAAGGATTTATTGATTTGGTTAAGACATTCTCTGTCTCCAGCTTAAAATGCAAATATGGCACAGAGAACCCACCTATTAAGCTATTATCAGCTGTTCAGCCTTAAGGTGAATGTATTTATTGGATCCTGCCATAAAATCTCAAATGTATGTGGGTAGCTTTCATAGACATCGCATTTGCTCTTCACCCCAGTCTATGAAGGAGGTTGGCCAGAAAGTATTAATGTTATTAACATTGTTAGTATGGAAGTTCAGAAATATTAAGTAACTTGCCAAGGTCGCTTGACTTGTAAGAAAGAGATGATGAATGCAGGTCAGCTGCCTCCCAGGCCATTGCCTTAGATTTGGCCAAGATACCCACATTCAGGAACTGTTTGCCATGCTGCTTTGGGCTGGTGGACCCAGGGTAGGCTCATTTGACCACAGGCTTCTCCTTAGCTTGGGTGGGCACAGGAGGAGGACACAGGGGGCACCCTGGGCTGGCCTCTTCTTTCTCTAAGGACACTTGGAGCCCCCTCTTGATGTCCATAGGGTCTTAGTGATGGGGTCTGGATGCTGAGACCTGTCATTATCACGCCCTTGCTCTTAGAACCCTGGTAGCTTCCCCACAGCTGTGGCCTCAACGGCAAACTCTCCACAATCTGGCCCTACCTGCCACTGCAATCTCGCCTCCACCTGTCCCCACGCCAGCCTTCCACCAAGCTCACACTGCCCTCCCCACCCTGCCAGCCCAATAGCACCTTCCTTTCTCCCCTTTCGAACCCCTGTTCTCCTCTCCACTGACCCCAAAAAGTCTAGCGTGAAGCCGTCCCTGACTTCCAGCTGGGACTCCTCCTCCCAGTTGTTCCAGTCTAGATGTCTCGCTGGGCACTTTGGCCTTGTTGATTCTGAATTATCTTTTAATATCTGTGTGTAACTGATTTCTTTAATTGTGAACTCCTTGAGTTTAGATAATAACCCTTCATCCACAAGGACTGAGGTACTAGACGTAAATTATTTCTTGAATTAATGCACTTAACTCTTTTAAGGGTGCTATGGAGGTAATTGTGAAGTCAGAGAGAGAATATAACAAGTTCATGACTCTGTGTGGGCCTCAGAGGCCACAGTGGAAGAGTCTCATTGGGTCCTTTTGGGCCAGGCCTTTTAGCCTGTGTGGCCACAAGTGTCCTCATTGGGAAAAAAATGGGAAGGTAAATGCAGCTTTTCCAAACTCTTCCATGATGTTCCACTCATGGTAAGGAGGGTGGACACATGCCCTGGGGTATCCGGCCATGCAGCCTGAAACCACCTACTATCCCATGACCTTTTCCTTATATATTTCTAAATTTTATTTTATATTTAATTTTATATTTTTTGAGATGTCGGTCTCTGTCAGCCAGGCTGGAGGGCGGTGGCGTAGTAAGAGCTGACTGCAGCCTCAACCTTCTAGGTTCAAGCGATCCTCCCACATCAGCCTCCTAAGTAGCTGGGACCACAGGTGTACACTACCATACCCAGCTAATCATTTTATTTTTTTTGTAGATACAGGGTCTTGCTCGGTTGCCTAGTCTAATCTTGAATTCCTTACCTCATGTGATGCTCCTGCTGCTGCCTCCCAAAGTGCTGTGGTTTCAGGTGTGAGCCACCACACCCAGCCTATTTTAGTTTTAAAATGTGTGAATATGTGCATTCTACTCCATGGGCTATCTAAATTCTATCCCAACACATAAAGGATATGTTAAAGCTGGTTGATGCTGCTGGAAGATGTGGCTTGTCGTCCCCATGGCTTCCTGGACCCCCTAGAACATACATCAAAATCTGGTCTTGAAAGACTTGAATGAGTCACAGCATCTGTAAGATTCTAAGATGCTTTACATGTATATATTTAAGCTGTTTGTGTTTAAAATTTTCTGTGCTGTTTTCTAAAGCAGTTGGACCTCAAACATAGTTGAGTCACTCTACCTGTATTAGTCAGGGTTCTCTAGAGGGACAAAACTAACAAGACAGATGTGTATATGAAGGGGAGTTTATTAAGAGTATTGGATCACACAGTCAGAAAGTGAAGTCCCACAATAAGCCATCTGCAAGCTGAGGAGCAAGGAGGTCAGTCCAAGTCCCAAAACCTCAAAAGTAGGGAAGCCGACAGTGCAGCCTTCAGTCTGTGGCCAAAGGTCTGAGAGCCCCTGGAAAATCACTGGTGTAAATCTGAGAGTTCGAAAGCTGAAGAACTTGGAGTCCGATGTTCAAGGGCAGGAAACCTCTCACACGGGGAGAAAGATGGAGGCTGGAAGACTCAGCAAGTCAAATTCTTCCACGTTCCTCTGCCTGCTTTAATCTAGCCATGCTGGCAGCTGATTAGATGGTGCCCACCCAGACTGAGGGTGGGTCCACCTCTGCCAATCCACTGACATAAATGTTACTCTCCTTTGGCAACACCCTCATAGACACACCCAAGAACCATACTTTGCATCCTTCAATCCAATCAAGTTGACACTGAATATTAACCATCACACTGCCTATCTGCTATGGCTGGCCTATGGCCATGCCTTAAGGGTGGTGGGAGTGAGGATACGGCTGTTGCCCCTCCCAAGGGGACCCTGCTGCTTGGGTGATTGGGTGGTAGTCTGGGTTCTTCTTCAGCTTCACCCAAACTGCTCCAAACCATTAGAGGAGCTGTCTTGGACCCTCCCACCTCCCCCTCTTAATTTGGGCCAGGCAAGCCAATCAACACCAGCAGTGGGGTCTTATTTGGAGACTAGTTGAGGGCTTGAAGACTCTCTTAGTCAGAGGTTTGGGCTCTGGGATCACTATGTCCACCGCCCAGGGGCCTTTTTCATTTAGATGTGTGGGTACCTTCCAGAAGAGCTGAGGCTCCCAGAAGACCAGCCCCTTGCAAAGTAGGTCCTTACTGTGTGTGGCTGGTGCCCCATACAGCTGCAAGCACCTTGCCTTCCCCATGCATCACTAAGGAAATGTTCTTGATTAGGTTCAAGCACCTCCTCCCAAAACATCCACCCAGTCCCCCACCAGGGTTTCTGGTCAGCAGCCCGCCTGCTTACCCAGTTCCCCGGGGTTCCTGGCTGGCAGCCCACCTGCTCACCCATTCCCCTGGGGTTCCTGGCCGGCAGCCCACCTGCCCATCCCTGATGTTTGTCTCTGGCTGCCCTGGCTTGAGGACTCAGAACCCAGAATGGAAGAGGGGCTTCTGCCCTGAGACGGTGCCCGGTGCTCAGACCTGATTGCTCGGTCAACCCCAAAGTCTCTTCCCCACGGGCAGTGTGCGTGTTGGCTTTGGACAGCTCTGGCTGGCTCAGCCTGGTGACCCTTGACTTCCCCATTTGGAGTTCCTTTCTGTGCCCTGGTGTAGTGTCTACAGGCAGAGAGCGGGTTGGCCGGCAGACCGTTGTGGGGCCTGGGCTGCCAAGGAGGGCCGAGGGGAGTTCCTCATTAGCTGGGCTCCAAGCTCATTATCCGCCTGCGCATCACTGGGTGAAAAATGGTAGTCGTCGGGACAGTAATAAATACGCGGCTGTCAGTGTTGATGTGATGGCTCTAATGAAGAGAAATCAGCCCCAGAGAGGAGGCGCTTCTGGCTGTGGCTTCAGGTGGCTGGAGAGCTCTGTCCACTGCCCATGCTCCTCTGTCCCAGAGCCCCACGAAGACAGAGAAGGGAGGTGTTGGCATTTAACCCCTTCCTCCTCAGGCCCTGGTGGACGAAGAACCTAGAAAGTGCTGGAAACCACCAAGAAGAAGGAACACCGTTCTGCTTCAGGGAGGGGCGGTGTGCTGAGGGGTTGCCAGCCTCAGCCTGGGCCTTGGGCAAAGGCAAGCAGGACAAGCGGGGTGGACAGTGGTGCTTTTGACAGCTCAGCCTCCCTTGCAGAGCCCTGGTTTGAAGCAGGAAGGCGTGGGGACGAACACAAGGCCCATTGTCTGTGCCCCCAGGCCTGCCACCTCCCCGGGAATGTTAGGACTTATTGTGTCTCCAGGAACTTGGAATGTCCAGCCCCAGGGTTTAGGGATTAGGCCTCTGCTGAGAAAGATCTTGAGGGGTCCTGGGTCCTTAGAGCCCAGGCTGAGTCCAAGCTGAGGCACAGCCATGCCTCCTAGATGCTGGCAGAGAGAGGGACGACACTTAGGCCCCTCATAGTGCCAGGCCCTGGGGGAACCTGGGGGTTGAGGAGGGAGGAGGGCGGGATGGGAGGGATGAGGGGGTGCCCTTTCATCTGAGGCATCAGGAGCCACATTCTGAGAGCCCAAGTGTCACCTGCCTCTTGATGGAGGTAAGGGAGTGGCCTAGAGCAGTGGGTCTCATACTTGAGCACCATTTGGGGACCTGTTAGAATGCATATTCCTGGGCCCCATTCCCAGAGCTTCTGAAGCAGTGGGTCTGGGAGGGGCCTGGGAATTTGCATTTCTGACAGTTCCCAGGTGTCGCTGCCACTGCTGCTGGTCCAGGGAGCCCACTTTGAGAAGGCCTGGCATAAAGATTTGAAGAGAAGGTGCTTCTCCTAGGGCCCGAGTCTAGGTGTCATGGTGGTGGCTGAGCTGAGCTACTTCTGCCCATGGACTCCGAGTCGGCTGCTGCAACTGCAGAGGGCTACAGCAAAGCTCAGTTAACACATGAACTTGAACGTGGTGATGGCCTTGCACCTGGTGGGGGGTTGGTATTGACCAGCACTCATTCTTCACTTCTTCCTTCAGGAGGCTCTTGCCCCTCCTGTCCTGACTTAAAAGAAAAGGAAAGAAAATCCAGCCCAGAGCCCTCCTTCCTGGGAGAAGGAGCTTTTCTAGAAGCTCCAAAGTAACCCCCATGAGCCAATGGATAACCAAAACCATGAACCTCTTTTGCTTCTCATGCACTTACTAAGCACCATCTGTATACTAAGTGAGGTGCCCAGGATCCAGCCCAGTCTAAGGCAGGTCCTTGCCCTCAAATTGCTCACGGTCAAGTGAAGGCAGCAAGCCTGTGGTTGGTACTATAGGACAGGTGATTTGGGAGTCCAGAGGGATGACCTGAGATGCTGCCCCAGAGGAGGAGGTAACATAGAAGCTGAGTCTTGTAGGATGGGAGGGGCCCCCGTCTTCCCTAGGAAATGCTGGGGTCTTCTTTTTCATCCTTACTGATACCAAGCAGCAATTATAGACAGCAAATACGCACCTTGGTCGTATCTAATCACTAAGGCCAAAGTGTACCTGGCCACACCCCAAGTGGCTTCTGCCCTCAGGTGCTTACACTCAGGGTCACTTGCATTCCTGGGCAGCAACCATCTCATAGAAGCTATGCAAGCGTCAGGAGGGAAACAGCAGCTTAAACCACGGTGAATCATCTAAGCACATGTGGGACAGGCAGATGCGTCTGGGGCTTGTGGTCTTTCTTCCCAGCACCCTCCTTGGGCTCCAGATTCTGGAGCCTCCCTGAGGGCCCGTATCTGAGCTAAAATGGTAGGGAACAAAGAGAATTACTAAGGTCAGATTACAAAGGGCTACCTCACTTTATAGAGGAGGATGTGCAGCCAAGAAAGGCAAGTGAGGTGCGAGCTCAGGAGCCTGGCTTTCCTGCCCCCTCCGCAGGCTCCACCCACTGCAGCTGCTGGCCAGTCTCTGGCAGGACTGAGTTCTCTGGACCCTCCTTGGCACCATCCCCCACGTAGGAATCAGCAGAATTGGGAGGTGGGAGAGCTGCAGAACAGCTGGACCCATGATCTGGCTTCTCCAGCTCACGTCCAGGGGGGTCTGGGCATGGACACCCCAGATCCACATCTGGGTAGCCACCAGCCTTTGCCAGGGGTGGGAGGGGGTGGCTGAAGAGCCAGTCTCTGGGGCGTGGCTTTGGAAGGGGGCCACACTTCCTCTCGTGTGCCCCAGCACCTCTCTGAAGTGTGGTGAGTTTGAATATCCTCTGCAGGGCTGGGAATCAGGGAGGAGGAGTGACCAGCCTTGGGCTACCCCATGAGCAGCACAGACGGCCACTTCCCTGGCTCTCCTGACCCCAGAACTGGCTGCTTGTTTAGGGGTGTGGCTCTCTGGGCCCGTCCCAGGTGGTCAGTTTAGCTCTCCTATGCCACACCAGCCCCAGACACTCAAGGCCCATGAGTGGGGTTAGGGGAACCTGCAGGTCAGCTCCCGGATCAGGAGCTTTTGGGGTTCCCCAGAACTCAGGGCATCATAAAAGCTCACAGTGACTGAGCCTTTGCAGGTGCAATGTCAATCTAGATGCTGTCTGTGGATCTGCCCCTCCAATCCTCTCAGGCGTCTAGGAGGAAGCATATTTTCCCATTATATGGACCAGGAAACCGACACAGAGAGCCCAGCAGCTTGCCCAGAGTAGCATGGCTTATGAGTGCTGGATTCAGGAACGGACCCAGGAACTGGGCGCAGAGCCTGTGTTCTCAGCCACGGTGTGTGCTGGGTGGCATCCTGGCCCCCCTGCCTCCTCTCTGTGCTCCTGAGGAGGCCATATTCTCAGGCTGGCCTGTAATGTGGCCTAGTTCTGCCTGCTTGGCTAAATGACCTTGGCCAGATGACTTAGCCTTTCCCTAGCCTCAGTTTCCTCATCTGTTAAATGTGGTGTTTTTTGGTTTGGTTTTGTTTTGTTTTGTTTTTGAGACGGAGTCTCGCTCTGTCGCCCAGGCTGGAGTGCAGTGGCACGATCTCGGCTCACTGCAAGCTCCGCCTCCCGGGTTCATGCCATTCTCCTGCCTCAGCCTCCCGAGTAGCTGGGACTACAGGCGCCCACCACCACGCCTGGCTAATTTTTTTTTGTATTTGTAGTGGAGACGGGGTTTCACCGTGTTAGCCAGGATGGTCTCGAACTCCTGATCTCGTGATCCGCCCAATCTCGGCCTCCCAAAGTGCTGGGATTACAGGTGTGAGCCACTGCGCCCGGCCAAATGTGGGTTTTAAACAAACAAAACATCCTCACACTCGAGGGTTGGTGGGAAGATTGTCTGATGTACGATTTGGGAACGTGGCTGACCCAGCAATGGAATTACTATGTGAGCCCGAGGGGCTCTGTTAGGGGCCTGTCCCACCCACTGCCCACCGTGCTCCTGACCTGTCCGCCTAGGGCTCAGCCAACCTGGGCACCCTTGGCCCAGGACTTTGTGCTTATCCCTCATGCCCTTGGGGTCTCTGCTCCCTGGGGCCTCCTGCTCCCTGTGGCCTCTGTGCCTGTTTCCACATGGGTGGGGGAGCTGAGGAGCACCCCAGGACTCAACTCACATGGAAGGAGGCGTCGCTGAAAGATGCGGTCTTAAGAATACAGTGTTCCTTTTCATCCCATATTTGACTGAACCTAAGACACATCAATTATAAGGCATGTTATTTTATGTGCCGCCAAGAAAGAAAAAAAAAATGCTGCCATTTAATCCACAAAATACATTCTGACTCCAGAGATATGAAAATGAAAACAATGTGCATTTAGAGGAAATATGGTAATAACCACCATTTATATAAAGCCTATCCCCTTCCCAGTCTGTGTTCTAAGCGCCTCACATGTATTAACACATCGAATCCTTTCAACAACCCCCATGAGTTTGGAGGTGACCATCCTAGCAACTAGAAAATGGGCTGGTAGAGTTGGTTCAAAATATACAAGATGCTCATGCTGGCAGTGTTCACCAGTTGTCCGATATTGCAAAGGTTCTTTTTGGATTTTACACCCCCCCGGCTAGTGTTGGGTTCTGTTGATTGGGCCCCCTGCGCAGGCCAAGATGGAGAAGGGGTCACAGGGTGAAGACGCTACCCAAGGAGACCGAACACTGCCCCTCTGTCCTCAGCACAGCAGGTCCAAGCTCATGGATAAATCAGGAAACCCTCTGGGGTCCACATCGAAGACCAGCCCCTGGGGCTCAGACAACCTCAGGCCTGTCCCCAGGTCTCCAGAGAACCCTCCCATTCCATCGCTGTCTTCCTAGAATGTGCTGGGCTGATGAAGTCTCTCTTCTGTCCTGCCTCCATCCCAGAATTCCTTCCTCAGCCCTGTCTGATGCCAGCACCTGTCTTCTGGGCACAGGACAGTGGCCCAGAGGAATGCATGTCTGGCTGGCTTTGCTCTCCACCAGGCCTGAGTAACCAGTGGTGGGGGATGGGGAGCTGGAGGGAGGCCTCTTGTCTGAGCTGGAACTTGCAGGCCAGGCTGGAGCTTCTGAATCCAATCCACTTGGCCTTTTCCTTCTCCTTTGGCCAACCCAAAATCAAAGTGAAGGACTTGGCTTAAATTCCCCAGAGCCCCTGGGACAGGCTGGCATAGCTGGGCGCCGTGCATTTGCCCAGCCCTTGGGGTTTGGGTGTGGTGGGGGTGGAGGTTTCCTTGGAGAGGCCAGGGCCCTGAAGACAACTGGCCCCTGTCCTCCCCCTCCCGAGCCCCGGCCAACGCATTCATCTGTCACTACAGACAAGAGAGGAGGACTTGGGATCTGTTCCCCAGCTCGCTCAGGCGCAATTCTGGCACATCTCTTGCCCTCTCAGAAGGTCCTTCCTCCCTCCTGGCCTCTCCTGAAGTTTTCTTTTGTTTTCCAGCCTGCCAGGCTCCCGCTGCCTGGAGGTTGGGGCTTGCAGCAGCCTGCCCAGAGACGGCTCTGTCTCGCTCAGTGCTCAGGTCTTGGCCTCCAGGAGCAGCTCGGAAAGGGGGTATAGCCCTGACGTGTTCTCTAACCCACTGGCAGGACCAGCGGCATCTTTTGCAGGATCCGGTGCAAAATGAAAATGCTGCAGGACTCGGTGATTCACGCCTATAATCCCAGCACTTTGGGAGGCTGAGGTGGGTGGATCACCTGAGGTCAGGAGTTCAAGACCAGCCTGGCCAATATGACAAAATCCTGTCTCTACTAAAAATACAAAAATTAGCCAGGTGTGGTGGCGGGCACCTGTAATCCCAGCTACTCGGGAGGCTGAGGCAAGGGAATCGCTTGAGCCGGGGAGGCAGATGTTGCAGTGAGCCGAGATTGCACCACTGCACTCCAGCCTAGACAACAGAGTGAGACTCTCTCTCAAAAAAAGAAAAAGAAAAAGAAAAAAGAAAAGAAAATGTGGTGTTAAAAAATTAATCAGAATTTCAAGATGGCAGCGGAGAAATATTACACCAAGGGTGGTGCCCTTCTAGGCGTGGGGCCCAGGGTGACTGCCCAGGTCGCAAGCCCAAGAACCCTGCCCTGCCCACTGGTGAGACCTTCAGGTGTTCCCCTCCCCTCTCCAGGCCTCAGTTTCCTGCTCTGGAAAGCAGAGAGGCCACCACCTAGGACCCTGTTCTCCTGCTGCCCCCTCTCATGGGGCTGACAAGGCCAGGGGACCCTCTTCTCTCAGGCTCCAGGAATACGACAAGGGTGAGGTAGAAGAATGGTGAGCAGGCCTAGAAACTTCTCCATGAAGTTCCCCAGTTTTGCCTAGGAGACTGTCTTGGGCGTCACAGGCAGGATGTGGAATTCCGCCTCGCGCCCTGGTGCCTGCTTGTCTGGTCCTGCCTGGTATGCACTGCTCTCTCTGCCTCTGTCTCCCTGTCTCATGAGAGGCTGTGTTCAAATTACCATGGTCTTGAAAGCCAGAGCACACCTCAGCTGGAATCCTGGCCCTGCTGCTTGTGAGTTATGGGACCTCGGCAAGCTACCAAAGCTCTTCCAGCCTCAGTTACTTCGTCTATCAAATGGGGCAGTGAGACATATTGCAAAGAAAATGTTAATCCTCTTATATTCAGTTTCCTCCTTCCCTGTTGACTCTTGGAGAGAGATTAGGAAAATCCTGCAAGGCTGGATAGATTTTCCTTCTGTTGTACCACAGTGGCATGGAGTATCTGGTGCAGAGTAACTGCTCAATAACCACTCCTCCTAGTAACAACATCACCACGGCCACCCTTATTATAGTTGCATCTTCCCCTCGTGAAGCCGGATTAGTTCAGGGCTTTTGGATGCACCAGTTCCTTGAGTGGCTGAGAGCGGTGCTTATGCCGGCAGCCTCAGCATCACTCAGCGGTTGCTAAACATGCAGAAACTCAGACCTCACCCCAGACCTGATGAATCAGAATCTGCATTTTAAGATTCCCCAGGTGCGGCATGCACATTAAATTCTGGGAAGCACTAGAGTTCATTTGCTGCTGTTGCTATTTTAAGATTGATTTTAGGAGGGTCTCTACTCTTCTAAAAAATAGGAGTGATCAGTTCTATTCTTTTTTTGGAGACAGAGTCTCTCTAGAGTGCAATGGCACAATCTCGGCTCACTGCAACCTCTGCCATCTGCCACTCCCGGATTCAAGAGATTTTCATGCCTCAGCCTTCCAAGTAGCTGGGACTATAGGCGCACTACCACACCAGCTAATTGTTTTGTATTTTTAGTAGAGACAGGGTTTTGCCATGTTTCCCAGGCTGGTCTCGAACTCCTGAGTTCAGGCAACCTGCCTGCCTTGGCCTCCCAAAGTGCTAGGGTTACAGGCGTGAGCTACCACGCCCAGCCCAAAAATATGAACTATCAGTTCTATCAGCTTGCCTGGAGTATGTATGGAGAAGCTATTGGCTTCCTAACACTGGTCTATTTTGAATCCCAATTTTCTGCTCTCAGAGGGAAGTCCTCCTCCCTGCTCCTGCTCCAGCCAGCAGTGAGGGGGACCTGGGAGGGAGCCTGGAGGTTGAGGAGGCCCAGCAGGCTGAGCGGCCCTGCCCAGTCCTCCTCCTGGAAAAACAACCCGGAGGCCCTGCTTTGTTAATGGTCTGTCTGCCGTGCTGTCTTTGATACAGGAAGGAGAACATGAAAAGGAATCACCCCCTTAAGTAAACAAAACAGAAAATTCTCTGGAGGGGGAAAGCACAGGAGAGCTCTTGGGGGAACTCATCACTTATTGAAGGGCAATTCCCTCTGCAGTATGGATCTGTTTCACATCCGGGAAACGGGCAGAGCAGTCCAGCCTGGGCCCACAGGCGTGAAGAAGCAGAGAGAGTCGGGATCTGGGGCGGGGTGGGGTGCAGTGGAGCTGACCGAAAGGGGATCAGAGTCCCAGTGTCAGGTGAGATCAGGGGGCAGCTAGGCAACCAGAGAGAAGACAATCTGTGCTCTCCCCACCCTATCCCTGCTTTTGCAGAGCAGAGAGGCACTGAACTCGGTTAGGGTACCATCTTATTTCCTCAGTCTTGTCCAACTGGGCTTGTCCTCCTCAAGCTCTGGGGGCCTTCAGGGGGAAGGCCTCCTCCCCCTCACTCCTTCCTTCCCCCCAGGGCTCTTGGCAGAGTGCCAGGCTTTTCTATTCCTCTACTTAATCAATTGATGAGGCCTCAAGCAGTTTATAGAGCAATAGAGAACAGAGAGGGGGAACCCCAGAGCCAGACTGCCTCTATGATGACCCTAGACAAGTGACCCAGCCTCTCCGAGCATCAGTTTCCCTATCTGTAAATGGAGGATGATAGTCCTCACTTCATGAGGTTGTTGTGAGGATTACCCAATTATTTGTAAAAGCTCTTAGAAGAGCTTCTGACAGATAGTTATCTATAGCATAACAAAAATATTGAATAAATCAAAATGAAATAGAAAGCAATGACTCAATGGGGAAGAAATACCTTCCTCATGGGGGCATCAGAAAGGACTTTAAGGAAGATGGGACATTTGAACTGGGGACATAAAGATACTTAGTCACTGGAATGTAGGGATGCAGGCTCAGGAGGAGGATTCCAGGCAGAGGGCACTGCAAGGGCTGGCCGAGGCCTACAGATGGGAGCATTAGCCAAGTGCAGGATGGGTGAAGGGGAGGGCTGGGCCCCCGCTACCTCTCCAAGGAATGACAAGGAAAGGACCAGATGGTCAAGGCCCTTGAATTCCAAGATGAAGACCTTGGAGTTCAGGGCCCCAAAAAATGAAAACCAGAACCAGCCCCAATCATGCGCATGCAGGCATTGGGCATCTGAGCATTGCTCTTGGGCCATGATAGATCTAGGAAATCCACTGAAGAAGCTGCTTCCCCTGTGGTCCTTCTGAGGCCCTTGTCCCATGGGAGGAGGGGGTGAGGCACGGGAAGAAAGACGCACCTCTCCTTACTTTCCCTAAGTGTCTCTACGTACCCTTTGCAAATCACTCCAAGTGAGGCAGTGGGTGGATTTCCACCTCTGCACCAGCCACAGCACTCTTTGCCTCCCTCCCTCCTCAAACACTGAATTGTGGGGAAGAGGAGGAAAAAGACTGGGAACTATTACTTTCCTCCCTGAGCCAAGAAAACTTGTCCCAGCTATGAAAACAGCCCTAATTTCTGGAATCCAGAAGCATCATACTGTAGTTCAGGAGGGACTCACAGAGGGAGGAGAGACCTCTGCATCGGGCTTGGGGAATCAGCTGAAATCTGCACATGCAGATAACGGGGGCATGAGGGAGGGCCCTGGGTCCCCTTTCCAACGTGTTGCTGACTTTCTGGCAACCCAGAGATAAAAGGTTATTTTCTCCCTTTGGTTGACCTCTCTGTTCAACATAGAGAAAAGGACTTATAGCCCATGGCTGGGCAGGAATGAGCCTGGGCAAAGCCTTCTGAAGTTTGGGCAATTGGAGCTCAGCATTCCCCATACACTATGGTAGGAAGCTGACTCTAGTGGACACATGGATTGGTGTCCAGGTCTGTACCAATTGTCTAATTGTTGAAATGCACAGGACGGGTAGCTGAGAACTGGATGTAATATCCTCTTGTCCCCACTTTCTTTATCTTAGGTTTTCAGAAGTTTGACTATGATGAGTCGTTGGTTATCCTGCTTAGAGTTCACTGACCATCTTGAATCTGTAAATACATGTCTTTCACCAAATTTGGGAACCATTATTTCTTCAAACTTTTAGCCCCATTTTTTCTTTCCTTCTTGAGCTTCACTAACACCTATGTTAGATGTTTTTATATTGTCCCTGTTCACTTTTTTCAATCTTCTTACTCTCTGTTCTTCAGATTGAGTAATTTCTATGGATATATATTTAAGTTCATTATTTCCTTTATTGTCTCCATGTTTTGGTTAAGCCCATCCAGTGAATTTTTAAATCTGATATATTTTATTTTTCAGTTCTAAAATTTTCATACATTGTATATATGTATATATATAATGTATAAAAAAGTTATATTTATATATAACTTCTAGCTTTCTAAAGATTTACTATTATTTACTAAATGAGCACATTGTCATTTATTGCATGAAATATATTAGCAGCTTTAAAATTCGTGTCCGCTAATTTCAACATCTCATCATTTCAGGGTCAGTCTTGATTATCTTTTATCTTGAGAATGGGTTGCATGTTCTTTGTATGTAGAGTAATTTTGAATATATCTTGGGCATTGCAATAAGTCAGAGAGAATCTAGATTCTATTACATTTCTTCAACAAGTATTGATTTTACTTTTTGTTTTAGGGGGAACTAACTTAATTGATTCAAACTGCAAACTCTCCCTTGGGGCAGTAGCTCAAATCTCAGTTCAGTACATTTATCCTCAGCTGGGTTACTTGCAGTCTGCCCTGAGTACATATAGTTCAGGGGTCAGCCAGAGATTTAGGCATCATCTATACAAAGAATTTGATGTTCCCCTCACTGGCTCTCCACTTTCCAGGATCCATCCTCACTTTCTGGTGCCTGTGGTTGCCCTGAATTCTAGACTGTGAGTTTCCTCTTGGAGGTTTTTCTTATGTTGTAATTGAGGTGAAATTCACATGACATAAAATTAACCATTATAAAATGAATAATTCAGTAGCGTTGAGTACATTCACAATATTGTGCAACCATCACCTCTATCTAGTTTCAAGACATTTTATCACCCCAAAAGGAAACCCCTTACCCATTAAGCAGTTGCTCCCCACTCCTTTCCAGCCCCTGGCAACAACTCAGCCACAATCTGTATCTGTGGATTTACCTATTCTGGATGTTTCACATAAATGGAGTCATACAATATGTGACCTTTTGTATCTGGCTTCTTTTACTGAGCATAATGTTTTCAAGGTCCATCCGTGTTGAAGCTTGTAGCAGTACTTCATTCCTTTTTAATTGCTAATTACTATTTCATTGCATGTATATGCCACGTGCACTTGTTAATGGACTTTTGTGCCATTTCCCCCTGTTGGCTGTTGTTCACAGTGCATGAATAGGTGTGTGCATGTGTTTGTTTGAGACCTTGTTCTCAGTTCTTTTGGGTCTATACCTAGGAGTGGAACTATTGAATCATGTGGTAATTCTATGTTTAACTTTTTGAGGAACGAACAAACTATTTTCCACAGTTACTGAACCATTTTACAATCTCACCAGCAATGTACAAAGGTTTTGATTTCTTCACACCAACACTTGTTATTTTTCATTTGTTTAATTATAGCTGACCTGGTGGGTGTGAAGTGTTACCTTATGGGGGTTTTGATTTGTATTTCCCTGATGACTAATGGTGCTGACCATCTTTTCATGTGCTTGTTGGCCGTTTGTATATCTTCTCTGGAGAAATTTCTGTTCAAGTCCATTGTCTTTTTTTTTTTTTTTGAGACAGGATCTCACTTTGTTGCCCAGGATGGAGAGCAGAGGTACAGACACAGTTCACTGCAGCCTCAACCCCCTGGGCTTAAGCAATCCTCCTACCTCAGCCCCCCACATAGCTGGGACTATGGGCACATGCCACCACACCCAGCTAATTTTTGTACGTTTTGTAGAGACAGGGTTTCACCATGTTGCCCAGGCTGGTCTTGAACTCCTGGGCTCAAGCAAACTGCCTGCCTCAGTGTCCCAAAGTGCTGAGATTACTGGCATGAGCCAGCCACCACATCCAGCCTAATTTTTAATTATGTTTTGTTGTTGTTGTTGTTGTTGTTCAGTTGTAAGGTTTCATTACATATTCTGGATACTAGACCCTTGTCAGATGTATGATTTGCAAATATTTTCTTTCATTCTATAGATTGCCTTTCACTTTCCTGATCATGCCCTTTGATACACAAAAGATTTTAATTTTGATGAAGTCCACCTTACATTTTTTTTTCTTTTGTCATCATATCTAAGAATCCATTGCAAAATCCAAGGATTTTAAGATTTAACCCCATGTTTTCTTCTAAGAGTTTTATGGTTCAGCTCTTCTATTTTGGTTGTTGATCCATTTTGAGTTCCTTTTTGTATATGATGTGAGGTAGGGGTTCAGGTTCATTCTTTTGCATGTGGTTATCCAGTTATCCAAGCTCCATTTGTTGAAGAGACATGTTTTTTCCCCATTGAGTTTCCTGACAACTTTGTCAAAAATCAGTTGGCCATAGATGCATATAGACTCTCTGTTCTGTTACACCGGTCTCTGTGTCTGTCCTTATGGTAGTACCACACTGTTTTGATTTCTGCTGCTGTTTTGATTTCTGCTGGAGGGTTAGCTGTCTGTGCTGTGCTGACTTCAGCCTGCCCTCAAGTTTTGCTATAAAAAACAGGAAACTCACGTTGTGCCATCCATTTCTTCCAAGCAGCCAGTTCTCTCCGGTGTCTGCCCACTTTGGTTCACTCCCCAGGGCCTCCTAGGATTTGCTTTTTTTTTTTTTTTTTGAGACAGGGTCTCGCTCTGTTGCCCAGGCTGGAGTACAGTGGCACAATCTTGGCTCATTGCAACCTCCACTTCCCGGGTTCAAGCAGTTCTCTTGTCTCAGCCTCCTGAGTAGCTGGAATTACAGGCACGCACCACCACACTCAGCTAATTTTTGTATTTTTAGTAGAGGTGAGGTTTCGCCATGTTGTCCAGGCCAGTCTCAAACTCCTGACCTCAAGTGATCCACCCGCCTTGGCCTCCCAAAGTGCTGGGATTACAGGCATGAGCCACCACACCCAGCCCTAATAGTTGCTTTTTTGGTGTTCTGTCCAGGGTTCATAGTTGTTAGCTGTGGGTTTTGTGCTCTGGTAGGCATTTGCTCTGCTGTGCCAGACACAGACCCTCCACCTGTCCATCGCCTTTATTCCTGGCATTGCTTTCCTTGGCCGTGAGGATGGCAGGGGTGATCGGGGAATAGGAAGTTGCCTGTCTAAGTACCTTCCCTGTAGAAGAGTCTTGCTTGGCCTCTGCTTCCCTGACTCCCCCATGCCGTTCTTGGGCACCACGTGGACTCTAGATTCCAAAGGGAAACACCCTTCCTGTTCATGGGGCAGAAATGGAGACTCCTTTTTCCTCTCTCATTTCTCACACTGTCCTGGGCATACAGTAGGTTTTTTATAGTTCCTTGCTGATTAATTAAGAGGTCATGATTCTAAAAGGGCAAAGGAGTGATGCTTCCTTGAATCCTTGTGGCTCCATAGCCCTTGGGCTTGGCCGACCACTGCCTCCCTGGAGAATCTTGTTTTGACGACTATAAATGAATCCACAGGCACAGCGAGCTCTCCCTCTCCATGGGGAGAGGCCAGTTGGCATGAACGGCCATTTCTGCCCCAAGCCAGAAGCAAAACATAAAATGAGGCTGGGCAAAGGTATGGGGTCTAATTAAGAGGGACACTCCTAGGTATAAGAGCTGCGTCATTTACAGGCTAATGAATGGGTTTGGGTTAGCAAATTACCATTTCCCTACCTGCAGGTAAGGAAACCTATCTATTGGTTCAAGGTCTCTTGCATTTGCCTGGTATTAAATTAAGCACCTCTCTCCCCTTTAACAGGCTTCTCTCCCTGGCCCATCACACTCCATGGGACCTCCCTGGCTCCTTGGCCTGGTGGGTTCGGTCTAGTGGTTAACTCGTCAGACAGCAGCTTGCCCTCCTGACATCTTGTTTTTCTTTGTTCTGTTTTGTTTTAAGGCGTTTAGATCTCGATGTGTTCTCAAAACAGGGTTGTTGGGTATTTTGTTTTGTTTTAGTTTTACCATATCCCAGAGGCCGGGGGATGGATGAGATGACTTCCAGAGGCCTTTTCAGGCTCCCTCTTATGATGTCCTGTTTTTCTGGAGGTGAATTGGGAATTCTTTAGTTAATGGGCATAAAGTGCTTTGAAAACACAAATTGTTAAGTGGCATCAGGGACAGACTCACTAATTATTTATGAGTTCAGGAGAGCCAGTTAATTCTCCAGGAGATGGAGTTGTATTGGCAGGGGGTTGGTAAATCACTCAGGAGAACGCAAATAGCTGGGACGCCCCCTTCGTAAGCTCCCCTGGAGCCTGTCGACTAGGTATGCTGGACAGGGAGAGATCTCTGCAGCCAGAGGACAGCTCTAAGGGCCTTGTTGCCTGTCACCCTCCTCCCCACCTTGGCTGAAGTTAAAAATCAGAGCCAGGAGCCAGAAGGGCCCCTGGGGGTCTCTGGGTTCATTTCCTTGCCTTAGAGCAAAACTGCATTCAAACCATCCTAGAAAGAGAAGCATTGACTCTTTGCCTCCTAAGAACCCCCTGAAGCCCTCTCCCCTCCCCTCCGCAGGAGGCCTCTCCCCTCCCCTCTGCAGGAGGCCTCTCCCCTCCCCTGGAGCCCTCTCACCTCCCCTCTGCAGGAGGCCTCTCCCCTCCCCTCTGCGGGAGCCCTCTCCCCTCCTCTCTGCAGGAGGCCCCTCCCCTCCCCTGGAGCCCTCTCCCCTCCTCTCTGCGGGAAGCTTCTCCCCTCCCCAGAGGCCTCTCCCTTCCCCTCTACAGCCCTTCACCTTCTTTGCTCAGTGCGAGGTCAGCTCTCTCAACCACCCCTGCCCACAAGCATGCTCACAGCTATGGCCTTCCATTCCTTCATTCATTCAATAAACATGTGTCGTGGGCCTCCCATGTGCCATGCATGGGCCTGTGAAAACCCGCCCTCTCATCCCAGCACCTTTTCTAGACCTCCGCTCTCCCTAGGAGAGCTGTCTCTCCGCCCACTTTGTCTCCCCTCTGCATTCTCAGCTATCCCCACTTCAGAAGGGGCTTCTGTGTCCCTGAGCCCTGGAATCTGACCCCTTCCCCAGGCATCTCATGGTGGGAATGCGCACAGTGCAGTGCCTGCAGCTCTGAGAGCACCTCCCTCACCTCTCAGGCACCTCTCTAAGGGCTGGGCCCAGGAGGAAAGTGGCTTCCTATCCTGTAACTCTCACAGCATTCTGCAAAAACTAGCTGGACTAGTTAGTTTCTTATCTTCCTTCGTTTATAGCATCATGGAACGTTCATTTTCTCAGCCCCAAACACCCAGGACTAAGATTCCATTACTCCAGAAAAAGGATCTGCTGCCACGTGGTAATTCAGCCAGGAGAACGAAACAAACCAAAGCAACAAACCAAACAAAGACAAATGCGTGCTCAGGCCTAAGCATTGCGACAGTGGTCCTTGAGGCCACGGTCAGCCTGCCCAAGTGAAAGGAAATCACCGTTGCTTGCCTCTTTCCCTCTTGTTTTTTTCTCCTTCCTGAGCCTGCATGTGTGTGTGGGATGCTGAGCTGGGGCTGGGGAGACTGTTGAGGTGGGGAGCCGGGGGTGGAAATTTGTCTAGCTCAGACAGGCGGGGAGAGGGTGGGGAAGGCAAGCAGCACCGGGATGCCTGGGGCTGCCGAGCACAAGGTTCACAGTGCCCTGAGGTCAGTTTGCAAGGTAGCATGCAAGTGGCTTGCCTTTCTGGTCGCTTCCTGATGTTCTGGGGAAGAGGAGGTACCGATTCCACAAACTGGATCATATGTCTACTTCATGCACACTGTCAAGCTCAGATGCAGAGGGAAGAAGTATGTATGTGTGTGTACGTGTGTGTATGTGTGTTCATGTGTATATGCATATGTGTCTACATGCATGCGTGTGTACGTGTATTTGGGTTGTGTGTTCATGTGCATGTGTAGGCATGTGTGTCACATGCATGTGTATTTGTGTATATATGTATGTGACTGTGTGTACATATATGTATGTGTGAATGCACATGTGGTTGTGTGTATGTGTTGTATGTTATTGTGTGTATGTGTATTTGTGTATATGTTTATGTATGTGTGTATATATTTGTGCGCATGTATACTTGTGTGTGTGTGTTGCTTATTTCACATGACTCTGGTTTAAAAACGTGGCCTCCAGTGGGCTGTCGGACCAGCTTGTGCATCACTCTGTCTTCCCACATCCTCACCCTGGGCATCACCTAGCTGAGAGTTTTATTCCAGAACAACTTCCACCGCAACCACCATCAGACCCTGGGGTCACGTGTGGTGGACAGGAACAGGACTGGGGATGGAGGGAGGGACGGGGCTTGGGGAGAAGGTCTGTGTCTCCCTTCTTTTTGGTGAGCCGAACAGAACACTGGACCTGTCTTATCCCTGATGTTCTCTAAGTGTTATGCAAAGACCTGGACTCTGCAGAGAAACCTAGAAAGAGACTTGCTTTGCAGCTCAGGAGCATATAGCTCCACTGGGACTAGGGCTTATGGTGAGGAGGGCATCCGGGCAGAGACTCATACTTCGTTGGGACATCAGGAGGCCCAGTTCTAGACTCAGCTCTGCTAGTGGCCAATTCAGGGGCCTCTGACAACTTACTTTACTTCTGGGGCCTCAAATGCATCATCAATGACAGCAGAACGTTAAAGTCAATGATGTTTGAGGTTATCTTCTTGCTAGATCTATCTAAGACTCTGAAGTCAACAGTTGTAACATCAAGTATGTACTCATTGTGTGTCAGGCACGGTTCAAAGAGTTGAAAAATAAAAACAAGGACAATGAGAAAAATAATAACCTAGAGGTGGCTGACACTTACTGAGCACTTTCTTCTGTGTCAGGCACGATTCAAACATCAGTTTAGGAGCAGCCTTTACAAACTTTCTTTTTTTTTTTTTTTTTATCTTCTATTCAGGGGACACACATGCGGGTTTGTTACCTGGATATATTGTGTGATGCTGAGGTTTGCGCTTCTAACCATGCTGTCACCCAAAAAGGGAACCTAGTACCTGATAGGTAGTTTTTCAATCCTTGTCCCCCTCCCTCCCTCCGCCTTTTCAATCCTTATGCCCCTCCCTCCTTTCCCCTTTTCAATCCTTGTCCCCCTCCCTCCCTCCCCCTTTTCAATCCTTGTCCCCCTCCCTCCCTCCCCCTTTTCAATCCTTGTGCCCCTCCCTCCCTCCCCCTTTTCAAACTTTGTCCCCCTCCCTCCCCCTTTTCAATCTTTGTCCCCCTCCCTCCCCCTTTTCAATCCTTGTGCTCCTCCCTCCCTCCGCCTTTTCAATCCTTATGCCCCTCCCTCCCTCCCCCTTTTCAATCCTTGTCCCCCAGTGTCTTTTGTTCCCATCTTTGTGTCGCTGTGTACCCAACATACAAAGTGTCTTTCAAACATGCCCAGGACATGTTTCCCCAACCTCCAGTCTAGCCTGACTCACAGTCATCTAGGGGGAAACGAGTATAAGCAGGTAAATCCAATATGATGTTTAAATCAAGGGCTAAGAAAGAGGTGTCATCAAGTCCTTTAGGAAACCGAGGCAGGGCAGGAAACGTGGTCCATCCTCGGGTTCGAGAAGCTTTCTGGAAGAGCGAGACCCCTTCCTGCACTTAACTGTAAAGCGAGGCAAGAACCAGGCCTGCCACAGAAGGTGGGGGTACTTTCCAGGCTAAGTGAGTGAGCAGCCAGGGCAAAGGCCTAGAGGCTGCAAGGGCCCTGGCATGCTTGGGAAATGAAAAGCAGCTGAGTATGAAGTACAGCAGTGGGAGGGGAGGGGGAGGGAGCGAGGGCTGGGGAAGGGCAGGGGCCGGCAGGGAGGCCCAGTGGGCCAGTCTGGGAAAACTGGACTCTGTTGTCCAGATCTCGTACTCCAAAGGGGTGAGGAGCAGTGGTGTTTTCTTTTGTTTTTGTTTTAATAGCTAGATCTCTCTGGCTGCACTGTGGAAGATAAATTGAATTAAGGAGCACTGGTCCTTTGACTGCTCAAAGGTCCTCCTTCTCTCTCTCTTCATTTGCAGAAAGTAGCTGACACTTGGCTAATTCCTTCCCTGTGGAATCTGAGAGGCCCCTCTCCACGGCTCCCCCTTCCCTGTCCCCCTCCTCATCGCAGGGGGCTTGGCTGAGGCATCCCAGGCCTGTCCTGCTGTGGACCCAAAATAGAAGAGGTGGGGCAGCTGGGAGGGGCGTGAGGCCCTACGTGCCACTGGATGGGGGTTGGCCGGCCAACAAAGGGGTCCGGCCAGCAAGACTGATGGATGAGCATATGTAGGGGGAGGGGGCTGGGGGTGGGGGTGGGGGTGGGGCCGCACAGTGGCTCCGATTTCAGAAACCTGCCTCCCAAATGCCTGCAAACAGCTGACAGCCATGGAAAGCGGATGAAATGGGATTAGAACATCCTTTCCAAAGAGAGCACGGATGGCAGAGCGTGACAATACGGTGCCTGTCCTGCTGGCTTCACGGCTAATTCCGCCAGCCTGGAACCATCTCTCTCCAGGGGCCTGGGGCCAGGGGGACCTGGAGGGCGGGGGTGGGGAGAGCAGAGGGGGAGGGAGCGAGGTGAGCCGGCTGCTCATTGGCGTCTCCAGGGAGACGGGGCTTGGAGTCGTGGAGGGCCCCTTGGCTCCTCCAAAGGTCAGCTTGTCCATCTTCCTGCCCCCTGCCCAGCCACAGGATTATGGAGATCTTTTTCAGGGAAAACTAGTCTTGCTGTCTCTAACCCGGGCCTCACTTAGCGCTGCAGGAGAAAGTCTCCTGAAATGAAAATCTCTCGTGCCGCTTTGTGCTCCTCATTCCTCCCGCATCAACTTGAGCAGGACCTTGGTGTGTTTGTTCATCTATAAAATGGGACCGTGTTTCCCACCCCACAGGGTTGGTGGCAGATCAGACAGCATGTCGCACAGAGCCTGGTGTATACTAAACATCTGGTAGGCTGCTATTATTACCATTACTATTATTATTATTATTATTATTTGAGACGGAGTCTCGCTCTGTCACCCAGGCTGGAGTGCAATGGCGCGATCTTGGCTCACTGCAACTTCTGCCTCCTGGGTTCAAGAGATTGTCCTGCCTCAGCCTCCTGAGTAGCTGGGACTACAGGTGCGCACCACCAGGTACAGCTAATTTTTGTATTTTTAGTAGAGACGGGGTTTCACCATGTTGGTCAGGCTTGTCTCAAAGTCTTGACCTTGTGATCTGCCCGCCTGGGCTTCCCAAAATGCTGGGATTACAGGTGTGAGCCACCTCGCCTGGCCTACTGTTACTATTATTATTATTATTTGGCTCTCTGGGCTTCTCATTTTGCCACCGCCCCCAAGTTCTGAAGGGGTCAGAATGGGGAAGCCGGGACCCTCAGGCTGCCACCCTGGGCTTGTCGGCTGCAGAACTCCCTTCCCTTGGCCTCCTCTTCTACCCTCACCCCGGCAGGGCCACAAGGACCCAGTGAGGGTAGGGGACCTTGGGAGGCCAGCCTGCAGCCTAGGTGCAGCTGGGCCACAGGGACCCGGTGAGGGTGGGGACTGTGCGGGGCCAGCCTGCAGCCCAGGTGCAGCTGGGTCACAGTGACCCGATGAGGGTAGGGGACCATGCGGGGCCAGCCTGCAGCCCAGGTGCAGCTGGGTCACAGGGACCCCGTGAGGGTGGGGGACCGTGGGGGGCCGGCCTGCAGCCCGGGTGCAGCTGGGCCACCACTGTGGTGTACTTGCATTTATCTTTCCTCGCTTGAAGAGGCTGCAGCGGGGGTGAAAGGAATTGCTGTTTATTTTCATAACGAGTTCTCAATGCGTTTGCAAACTAATAAAATCAACTCATTAGGCCACATGTTTAATTCACAACTGTACTGTGGGGAGACTTCCCTGGCGGCTGATGGGTAATGTGGGCTCCCTCCTGAGACAGGGAAAGTGTCTGTGGTACTTACAGTCTCTGTGACCATCAGCACACGTTGGGGTCCTGCTTCTCCCCTTCCCCACGCAGAGTTGGGCATCAGTTTCTGTCCAAGCCCAGAGCCGGGAGATACTTTCATCTGACCCTGGGCTCTGGTGGCGACTCCCTCCAGCTTGGCTGCAGGGGCAGGGGCCGGGCAGAAGCTGGGCTGGACTGCCTGCTCCAAAGCTGGCAAGGACGTGGGTCCCAATAGGAGGAGCGTGGAGTGGGTAGGCCTTACAGAGCTGGGGTGGGGGCAAGGGACCCTCTCACTGCACCCTAACTTGCTGGGAAGCAGCATGACTGGCCATGAGGGAAGGTGGGGAAACTGAGGCTGGGAAAGCCTCTGCAGGTCACAGGCTCAAACTCAGGCCTCCATGAGGCCGTGCTCATTCCACTTACCATGTGAGCAGAGGCCACAGGGGAACTAGGGAAGCACACACCCAGCCAAGGTGTTGGGGTCCCCCCAGGGCACCTCTCCCAGGGGGACTTGGGCGTCCAGCAAGGAGGGGCCACAGAGGCGGGCCCCAGCCTTGCTATGCCATAGCCTGGCCTCCTGGAGGCCTCTGAGTGGCCCTGGGGCGTGCTCCACACTGGTCAGAGCAGTCCCTGACCCTGCCAGAGAGAGGACGCTGGCTTCATCATGGTTCTCTGTAGAAAGTGCCAGGAAAGGAGAGGACAGAGCCAGAGGCTGAACTTGGGTGAGGGGTCTTTGTCCATCAGCAGTGGGGGCAGAGAGAGAGAGAGTGGGATAAAAGGAGAGAAAGTGAGATTCTAAATCCCCCTCCTGGGAGAGAACCAGAAGTCTTTGACCCTCAGAGCTGTGTGAGCCTGCGTGGCACCACAACCCCTCGGAGCCCCTGGTCTCTTGCAAAATCGCAGCACGACCTAGGGCACGATGACTTGGATTTCTAGCAAAATGCAATTTCAGACTGTGCAGAGAATACAGTATTAAGACCTGTAGCTGACTTCACATCCTTCAGAACATTCTATAACATTTCTGACAGATCCTTGTGTTCATTCTGAGAACTGGGAGGTGGGGGGCACAGGCCCCCATGTTCTCTTGGTCTCCATACTCCTGCCTGACCCTCCATCTCTCTGTCTCTCATACACACACACACACACACACGCACACGCACACCACACATACACTCCTCCACTTGTACACATACCAAATGCATAGATATATACATGAACACACATATATAGATACATATGCTCACACACCCTCTCCATCCTTCCTGGGCACACCTAACACACACAGACACACATTACACACATGCCTTACACACAGAAAACACATGCACACACAGAAACACCAGTTGCACACATAAACATGCACACATACTCACTCCCCGCCTCCCTCGTGGCTACTGTGGGGGAAATTAGCAATGCCATGGGCTCTCCTGGCCGTCTTGTGGCTGCAGTGAAGCAGTCCTGTGAGTCAGATCCCCAGTGAGTGACCCAGATACCAAGCGTCATGCATGCTGTCACTGGGATTTGCAGCCACTTGGAATGCGTGCTGGGCCAAAATTCAGGCTGAGAACAAAATGGTCAGTTGATTGATTTTTTTCCCCCTTTCTGCAGTGTCTGGGATGGGGCAAGCAGCTTTTGAGCTTGGAGCAGGGCAAAAGGTGCATTTCGGGGTGCCCTAAGTGACTGGCTGGGCCTCCGCATCTCTCCTGAGGATATAGTCCCCTTCGAAGAGCTGATGAAACCTACGGGTTTCCTCCCCAGTCACATGCCTGTGCATGGGCACACAACTTTTAGGGTATACTTTCAGGGAGCTTCAGCCCCTCTGACTGGGGATCCCTGGAGAACAATGAGTCCAAAGCATCCTAGGCTTTTAGTGTCTCCCCGAGACCAGTGTCATCTCCCCAGGGACGTGGAGGAGAAAGACGGGGTGTCTTCCCCATGTCTCCGTGGGGCTGATGGGCTGCACAAGCATTTGTGGGGGACCCTGCTTCCATCTTGTTCAGCAGGACACCTGTTTCCCGTGCAGCTGCCTGGCTGAGCTCCGCACCTACTACCAGTCCCAGCCCTTGCTCCAGTGAGCTGTTTTTGTCTCCTGACAGCTGCCTGTTGATTGCTGGAATGGGAGGGACATGGCCAGCAGGGACTCTGTCTCCTTGGGCCCTGGGGGCTCTCGAGGTTTTCTGGAGGTTCTCATGCAACTTCTCTTTCCCACTTTGGCCCCAGCAGTTCCCTCCCTCCCTCCTGTGCTTTGGCTCCTTTGGGATTTGGAGAGACCCTGGAGAACTCTTGTAAACTGCACGTAGGTAAGAGGGTACCCATTACCTCCCTTGAAAGTCATTCCCATTAGCAGAGAAATGCTTTGTGATTTCTCCCATCTTGAAAAAACAAACCTTCTCTTGAGCCGTTTTCCCTGTCAGCTTCCACTGCATGTCTTTGCTCCCTTTGCAGCAAAATGTCATGAAAAAGTTGCTAATGCCCCTGTCTCTAATTCCTGTCTTCCCTTTCTGTCTTAAACCCAGTCGGGCTTCCACTGAAGCTGCTCTGCTGGGGCTGGTTCTCAGCCCTGCGACTAGGTCCATCGTGGTCTTCTCTTGGCTGGCTCTCAGTTTGGTGCCTTTCTTGCTGGCTCCTCCTCCTGGTCCAGCCTCTGATGTCAGGGCGTTCTGGACTCAGTTCTGGGCTCTCTCCTCCTTTCCATGAGTACCCACCCCTTGGTGATCTCATCCAACCTCTGCCTGCGATACCCATGTGTATTCCCTCCAGCCCAGACCCATCTCTCACACTCCAGGCTTATCTCTCCAACACTGCATTCACTTTGATGACCAAGTCATCCCAACTGAACACACACAAGGTCTTGCAAACTCCTGATCTTCCCCAAAAAGGCTTTCCTCCAGCGGCCTTCCCAGGCTTTACTGAGGTCAATGCCAAGATGCAGTGATCTGCAGCCCAAACCTCAAGGCTAACCCTTGACTCTTTCTCTTACACCCCACATCTAAGCCAATAGAAGAATCTGATTAACGGAAGATATTTGATTCGTATATGTAGAGTTCAGTTGCTTCTCATCATCCTTCTCCGCTGCGACACGGTGCCAGCCACCATCATCTTTGTCCTGAGCCACTGCAGTCACCTCCTCACAATAGACAGTAGCCACGGTGATCCTTTAAAAATAGACATGATCTCCCTTCCCTTGAGTGTGGGCTGCTGTTAGTGCAGCTGCTTCCTGAGAGTACCATACAAAAAGGGAAATTTTAGGCCTGGCACAGTGGCTCACACCTATAATCCCAGCACTTTGGGAGGCCAAGGCAGGTGGATCACCTGAGGTCAGGAGTTCAAGACCAACCTGGCCAACATGGTAAAACCCCATCTCTACTAAAAATAAAAAAATTATCTGGGCGTGGTGGTGGGTGCCTGTAATCCCAGCTACTCGGGAGGCTGAGGCAGGAGAATCGCTTGAACTCGGGAGGTGGAGGTTGCAGTGAGCCGAGATCGCGCCATTGCACTCCAGCCTGGGTGACAAGGGCAAAACTCCCTCTCAAAATAAAAGGAAATTTTAAAAGTAACTTTGCAGTGGAGAATGCTGGTAGCAAACCCTGTCTCCCCAGGTGATCAAGGTTAACATAGTCAGCGACGAGGCATGTTGCCAGCAGGCACCCTGACACGATGGGATGAGAAGGGCCCTTTACCTCCGTGATCGTCCTCCCCAAAACCCACAAGCTCAGTCTAACCATGAGAAACACATCAGAGAAAAATAAAGGGAGGGACAGTCTACAAAGGACCCGACCAGCACCCCTCAAAACTGTTGAGGTCGTCCAACACCAGGCACATCTGAGAAACTGTCACAGTCCCAAGGGGCCCAAGGAGAAGTGACGGTGAAACGTAATGTGGGATTCTGGATGGGATCCGGGAACAGAAAGGGACATTAGGGAAAGACGAGGGAAGTCCAAGTGTACTGTGGGGTGTAGTTGGTGGTCATGGACCCACATTCTTTCCTTGGTTGTGACAAATGTACCGTAGTGTGCAAGATGTTAACAAAAAGGGCAACTGGGTGATGGGGTGTGTGGACACTCTTTGTTCTATCTTTATAACTGGACTGTCATCTGAAGCTGTTCTGAAATAAAATATTAACAACAACCAAAAAAAAAAAAAGCACACAGAAGTCAGAGCATGTGTCCTTCGCTCAAAAGCCTGCAGCGTAAAACCCTCAGAGTAAAAGCCTTTTCTACAGAAGCTTAGGAGGTCCCCGAGATCCGACTCTCTGTTGCTTTCCAGCCGTGTGGCCTCTGTTCTGTCTCCCAAGCCTGCCCTGCAACCCCTTCTGGAAAACCTTGGGGTGTGCAGATCTGGCTGCCCTCAATGCTGCACCCCAGGTGACTCCTTGGCTCAGTGTCACCTCCTCAGTGGGGTCTGGCCCACCTCCCAAACTGAACACCGTAGCCTACTCCTGACACCTGCTCTCCCACCCGAGACCCCTTCCCTGGCTCAGCGTTTTGCTTTTTTTCATGAGCTCCCCAGGGGCAGCAATCTTTGTCTTAAGGGTCCCCCGGTAGATCCCAAATGCCCGGATGAGGGCCTGGTACATGACAGGTGCTGAACACACACACACAGTTGAATGAAGAAATGAGTGCGTGTGGGCCTCTCCCTGCTCTCAGGCCAGGTCCCAGCTAAGATATGTGCCAATCGCACTGGTTGATCAGAGTGGACGTCTCAGCTGTGCTTTTCTACAGCTGCCTGCTAGGGCCTCTTCTCAGCAAGGCTGTGGTGGTGAGGACAACTCCTCTCTTCCTCCTTAGAGATCTGGAGGATCCTGTGAAGTCCTCTTGACCACTTGTTGTCCACACCACTTATTTGGCACTTGAATCAGTAGTTGCCTCTTCTTGAGGACACATTTCTCCCAGGGAGCATGGGACAAAGAGGCCACTCATGAAAGGGGTAGGAATGAATGAGGGAGGAAGGGACTGTCTCCCTTGCCTGTCCAGCCTCATGGTCTAGCTTGAATATTGGAGACCCTCAAGAAGCATTGGCTCTTGGGCCATTCCAATGCTTTTCCATCTTGGAAGCCTGGAAAACCACCCTTCTGGTTCAGTCATTGACTGAGCTGCTCCACTCAGCATGCCATGGGAAGCTTTCCCTCCGCCTGATCTGCACCCCTTCTCACCCACTATGTCACCACTCCCAGAATGGAGAATATGTTTCCGTGACTAATAGAGCCTGTTCCCTTCCCCTCTCCATTCTCGGAACTGAAAATCTGGATTCTGCGTGGATGGGGTGGATAGTGGCTTTTTCTCCATGGATAGAGTCGATCGTGACTTTCCAAAAGAAAACAGGCTCTGCAGGGAACCAAACCTGGGTTTGAACCTAATTTCACCATTCACCAGCCACAGCACGTTTGTCGATTTATGACAACTCATTGAGCCTCATCTGTGGAGTAGAAACGGTGAAACCCGCCTTCGTGGCTGTCGTAAGGGTTACAGATGGTGCGGGTAAAATAGGAGAGGACCCGGCCCATACCAGGCTCTGAGGAGGTGGCAGCTGATGTTGTTTTCTTACCTCCTGAAAGCCCCTTCCAGCATTTACTCACCAGCCCCAGCACCCATAAGCACCTGCCCTGCCCCCCCTCAGAGGAGGGGCTCAGCAGACCACCCAGAGCCCCTGCCCCATCCATCTTTCCGGGAGGGGGGCCCTGCCCCACCCAGCTTCCCCAGGGAGCTCCTGCCCAGCCCAGCTTCCCTAGGGAGCTGCCTCTCACCAGCTTCTGGGCTCCTGCTGCTGCCCCTGAGAACGTCAGCCTCTTTTCATCATGAGTCCATTGTGCTAGTCAAGATGTGAAGCAAAAAGTAATAATAAGCAACAAGCATGGTGTGCCCCTCCAAGCACCCTACAAAATAAATAGAATCTTTGCAAAAGAAAACCAACACAGCCCCATCTCTGCTAGTGAGATCCCATCAGCACGTCAACAAGGCCATCTCATTTTGTTTGTTTGGTATGAGTGGGGTTTTTTTTTTCTTATTTTCCTTAAAACACAGGAAGGAAAAAACCAAACTCTACAGTTTGCTGTGGTCTTGCTGGGCAGTCAGGGAAATGGGGTGTCAGCTTTCCCGGGCTTGGTGAAGAGCAGGAGGCTGAGTCCAGAGAAGGGACTACCGATCTGCCAGTCACTCAGCAAGCATTTTGAGCGCTTATTACGTGCTGAGCGTGCCACAAAGGGCTGGTGTTGTATACGTGCATCCGATCTCTTGGCACATGCTCATAGTTAGTGAGGAACCCAAACAGGTCATCCCGGTGCCAAGGTCAGTGCATGGAGGCACACCAGGGTATTGCCCGAATTTGGAGGAGTGACAGGGAACTCATCCAGGATTAGGTAACAAGGAGGCCTTCCTGGAGGAGGTGATGCTGGGCTGACTCAGGAAAGGAGAGCAGGAAAATCTGACACAGGAGTTATGGGTCATTATTACCATCTCTCCCACCCTCTCCACTCCCTCCTCTCCTTAGCTGAAGGCCCCAACTGCCTTCTCCAAGACATGAAGAACCCCTCAAGTGAGAATCTCCGGGATTCCAGCCTTCCTTCTAGCAAGACTTTTTCCACCCCCTGTGCTTTCTTCTCCACACCCATTTCCTGTGGTCAAGGCCGGACCTCCACCTGAGCCTGGATCCCGCCCCCTCACCTGGACCTCCATCCTCTCTCTCTGCCAAGTCTTTCCCCTCAGCCTGACCTGCTACGTCCCTCAAACCTTAGCAATTTCTCTTGACTGCTCCGGCCTCTTCCCTACATCTTTCCTTCACTCAACCTCTTGAAGGGGCCGTCACTCTTTCCCCCACCTCATTGCCTGCCCACATCACCCCAGGCCTCATCCCTTTTTCGAAGCTTCAAGGTCAAAGTTGCCTGTGATCTCCATGTTGGTAAACCAGAGGGACCCTCTTACGGCCTTGCCCCCTTGCCCATAGTTGGCCTTGCCCAGTGGTGGCCTCTCCTTTCTTCTCAGCTTTCAGGAACACTGCAGCCTTCTGGGGTTGCCTCTCTAACTCTCCTTCCAGGACCACTGGGGGCTTCCTCTCCCGCAGTGGTCCACTAAATGTGCATATGTGCCAGTGTTCCCCAACCCCCTCCCACGTGGCTTTAGTTGCCATCACTGTGCTGATGGCATCCTCGCCCACCACGCCTGCTGCAATGGCTGTGATGAGCTCCAGACCTCCTGGACCTCGGCGTGGTCTTCCAGTCCTTCCCTTAGCCCCACCGCCCAAGCTGAGCCTCCTCATTTCTATACCCACATGCCTGTTGTGAGGCCCACTTGGCACACTAGCTTAGGCCTGAAACCCTAATGCTATCCTTTCTCTCTCCACACCCCTCAGCCCCGCACTCCTCATGCTGGGTCACCAAGGTCTCCTGGACTGTTGCAGCAGCCTCCTGGCTGTCATCCTGCCTCTCTAGTCCCAGGGCTCAGCAGGGCAAGGAACAGGAGGTGGCAGTGGAGATCCCAGAGCAACTGTTTGTTCCTTTAAGCCAGCTGCCCACCGGCCTTTGGGGATGTAAAGTGTCATGTGTGGTTGCAATGCCGTGTTTTGTGGGCTGGTGACTTCCCTGGCAAACCAGGGGTATCCCGAGTGCCAGGTCCCTTCCCTGTGCCCTGAGTTTGTTTTGTCCTCCTGGGAGATGATGCGAAGGACAAGGGGGTGGTGGAGGAGCTGGCTCTGACTGGGCGTTCCTCTCTGAATCGCCTTTTCCACCCTGCCCGGAATGCAGGCCATGAGCTTTGCGGGTCCGCTCCTCTGGACAGGCTGAATGGGGCTCTGTTCGCTCAAGAGAGTGTGTGTGAGCACGTTATTTCCACGGACCCCCACCTGGAAACCACTCCTAGCCTCGCCCTGGAAATAAACACTCTCCTGGCCAGGAAGGCTGACGCTGGCGCTGCCCGGCGCGGGCGTTCCCTCCGCGTGGCAATCTCCAGGGGATCTGCTGCCCATTTGGCCCTGGGTTCTGAGACAGGCATTGTCCTCCTGCCAGCTGACGTTGGTGGGTTCTGCGCTTCCCCCTCTCTCCCCATCCTCCTCTTTATGACACCTCTTCTCCAGGGCTCTGCTAAGAGGACACTCATTGTGGCCGCTGACCTCTGATCCCAGGAAGTGTCCCAAGTTGGGGACATCCTTACAAGGTTCCAGGTGTGCCAGGATCTGTGTTGTAGAAGGAGCCAGACAGGCCTAGGTTGAAGGCCCAGCTTTGCCACCCACAAGCTGTGTGACCCCTGGCAACTTTCTTAACCTCTCTAAGCCTTGGTTTCGTCTTTAAAGCAAGGCTAATATGTCTTCTCTAGTAGCGTAGCTTTAAGGAGAAGCTATAACTGGATCACTGAAAAGTTCCTGGCACAGAACTGGGAAGCGTAAGTGGCTGCTGCCATGTTTATAGATTCTGAGTTGAGAGTGGGAGCTACAGGGACCCAAGCTCCCTGCACACTGGGAAGCCCGTCCTGCCTGGTGTAGCATCCTAGGCTCCCCTGGGTGTGCATCACCTTGGGACCCAGGCTAGCTACATTTCAGAGGAGAAAAGAGTCGTCTCTCCAACTTATCAGTGTGATAGATGCCCAGAGCATTTTTGAATCTTCTAGGGGAAGGGACATTGGCGGTCAGTATGAATCCTCTCAGTCCGGCCCAGAAGTCTCTCTCTAGCGCAGGGGGCCAGCCTCTGCCCGCATGGCCAGGCAGCAATGGTCACTTCCAGGATAGATACACTGATCTGCTAACCCCTCACTCTCCACCAAGTAGGGAGGTCTCTGAGGCCGGGACCTGGAGACTCTTCACCTGTGCACCCCTATGGCCAGCACAAGGTGGTCTCAGCAGGGAATGACATTGCCCTCCAGGGGACATGTGACACTGTCTGCAGACACTTTTGGTTGTCACAACCTGGGAGGGTGGTGAGTGTCTCAGGTCATCCTCCACCAAAGAATGATCCCACCCAAGCTGTCAATAGTGTCAAGGTTGGCTGGGCACAGTGGCTCATGCCTATAATCCCAACACTTTGGGAGGCTGAGGTGGGTGGATCACTTGAGGTCAGGAGTTTGAGACCAGCCTGATCAATATGGTAAAACCCTGTCTTTACTAAAATACAAAAATTAGCCAGGCGTGGTGGCAGGCCCTGTAATTTCAGCTACTTGGGAAGCTGAGGCACGACAATCACTTGGACCTGGGAGGTGGAGCTTGCAGTGAGCCGAGATCACGCCACTGCACTCCAGCCTGAGTGACACAGTGAGACTCCATCTCAACAACAACAACAACAACAAAATAGCGCCAGGGTTGAGAAACCCTGCTTTAAATCAACATTCTCACTTAAGGACAGTGCCCAGACCCGAACATAGATTTCCTTGTGTGGGTTTCTTGGGATTTAAGAGACTGAGAATGGGAAAAATGTCATCCAACTTTATTTCTATCTGGCATCAAAAAAGGAGGATTCTGCAAAGGAACTTCATTAAAAAAAAAAAAAAGAACTTAGACTTTTTTTTTCTTCCATCCATGTATTCATTTATTAGTGTCTGCCAGGCAGCCGGCACTCTGCTAAGAATGAGAGAATCCTGGATACTGAGTCAGAGATGGTGCACTGTTGCCAAGGCCCTGTTACAGGTCTGTGTGTGCAGCTGAGGATGCCATGGAGGAAGAGGCTCCCCGTCCTTGCTCTGCCCAGGCCTCGCAGCCCTCGCTTTCTTCCTAACAAAGTGGCTGAGGCATGCAGGCCTGGGCTCCTTCTCAGTCTCTGGGCCTCACAGAGGATTCATGGAGTGGGAGTGGGGATCTCAACTCCAGCCTCAGTTGTGTCACTGCCTTGTTTTTGTGACCTTGGAGTGAAGCACTCCAACTTCTGGGCCTCAGTTTCCCAAACGTGGCCAACTCACCTACCTACCTGTATTGGTTTCCTGTGGCTGCCGCAACGAAGCACTACAAACTGGGTTGTTTAAAACACAGTTCTGGGCTGGGCGCGGCGGCTCACGCCTGTAATCCCAGCACTTTGGGAGGCCAAGGCAGGCGGATCACCTGAGGTGAGGAGTTCGAGACCAGCCTGGCCAACATGGCAAAATCCCATCTCTACTAAAGATACAAAAATTAGCCGGGCATGGTGCTGGGTGCCTGTAATCCCAGCTACTCGGGAGCCTGAGGCAGGAGAATCACTTGAACCCAGGAGGCGGAGGCTGCAACGAGCCAAAATGGCGCCACTGCACTCCAGCCTGGGCGAAAAAGCAGGACTCTGTCTCAAAAAAGAAAAAAAAAAACAGTTCTGGAGTCTGGATGTCCAAAATCAAGGTGTCGTCGGCAGGGTTGGTTCCTTCTGGAGACTCCAAGGAGAGCTTGTCCCGGGACCGTCTCCTAGCTCTGGGCGCTACTGGTGATTCTCCACATGCCTTAGCCGAGAGATGCCTCACTCCAGTCTCTGCCTCCGTTGTCCCTCGGCCCTATCCCTATGTCTCTGTGCTTCATCCCGTCTTTTCTCTGTGCGTGTACCTGTGTCTAAATTTCCCTCTTCACAGGACAGCATATTGGACTAGAGTTCACCGTAATTCAGAACATATGCAACAACCTTCTTTCCAAATTAGGCCACATCGTGAGGTTCTGGGTGGACATGAATTTGGGGGGACACTATTCCACCCAGCATGCCACCTCAAAGGGTCCATGTGCTTAAACTTAGATCATTCGTAAGGCCAGGCGCGGTGGCTCACACCTGTAATCCCAGCACTTTGGGAGGCCGAGGCGGGTGGATCACCTGAGGTCAGGAGTTCGAGACCAGCCTGGCCAATATGGTGAAACCCCGTCTTTACTAAAAATACAAAAATTAGCTGGGCGTGGTGGTGCATGCCTGTATTCCCAGCTACTCGGGAGGCTGAGACAGGAGAATTGTTTGAACCTGGGAGGCGGAGGTTGCAGTGAGCTGAGATCATGCCACTGCACTCCAGCCCGGGCAACAGAGTGAGATGCCATCTCAAAAAAAAAAAAAAATTTTTTTTTAAATAATAAAATGAAAAGATCATTCATAAAGGCACCAAAGGCCCTGAGGCCTCTCTTGGGTGGGTTTCTGTGCACAGAGTCCTGCCCCCCAGACTCTGGTATCCTGCCTCCTGTTCCCTGGTGGGCCCAGACCAGCCGGAGCAGAGATTGGAATGCAGAGGAGTGAGCAGCTCTGGATTAGTCCGTCTGAGCTGCTCCAAGGACAGGGAAAGGGTATCCGGTGGGGAGTGGAGATAGGATGGACCAGGCACTGGGGAGGGGACTGTTTGTTTTCACAACAATAAATGCCTCTTGATGGGCTGTGGTTTGCACAGGGACTTGATGCCAGATCAAGTTGTCCGCATCGACTGGATGGCCACAACACCCTGTCGCAGAGCAGGAGAGGAGCTGGCAGGGGCTCTTGTCGGCCTCTCCCCACACTGTCTGCTGGCACCATCGGAGTCACTTGGGGAGCTAGGGGCTGAGTGACCAGAGCAGGTGAGGCTCTGCCCCAGAGAAGCCCTGGGTGTCCCCCTAGGTGGGACAGCTCTGATCCTGGGACCAAGGATTGCTGTCGCCCTCTCCACACCCCGCCTCCCCCAGGGGAGGCAGAAGCCAGGGAGGCCTGTTGGGAAGGCGTCCCGTTTTTAATGAACAAATTACTGCCCTTGTTAGCAGCACGAACAGGGCTTTGGGAGGATCAAGAGAGCCAGAGCTTGGGAAACAGCCACCAATTTAATGAAGAGAATGAATTCCAGATGTGGCCTCTGGCCCAGCACACGGCTGCCATCCATGGGCTCCTGGAGGGAAACCCAGTGCTGCTGGATGGGACCGAGGAAGTGGCGGGAGCTGCAATGGCCAGGGAAGGGTGAGGGTCTGCCCCGGGCTCAGGCCACCTGGGACCAGGTCCCCTCCTGTCCAGCACAAGGACCCCTTTCCCCAGGAAAGTCAGGGATCTCCATGTGCTTGTGGTTGTTTATTTAGCAACCACTGTTTGAGAAAACATAGTGACGAGGGGCTGCTACGGGTTCAGTATCACTTTTAAATGGACGTCTAGCGTATTAATCACAACAGCAGTCACATACTTTGACAAATAACCGTAGGTGTGTGAGACAGAGTGACTGTGTTGGCAGACAGGACTTGGCACCTACCTTCACTGAAGGACCCCCCATCACAGCTGAGGAGCCTGGGCCCCTGTGTCAGAGACCACTGGCTGAGCTCCCTGCAAGTGGGGAACAGGTTGGGCCTGGCAAGGACTGTGGCACAGCCTCTGCTTTTAGCCTGAGTCTCAGGATGGAGAGGAATGGCTTAGGGTGGTGGAATGGATTTTGAGCTATGCTTGAAGTGAGAGAAAAAAGAAACTGGCTTAATGTGTGTTCCCCTCCCTCCCTCCTTCTTCATCCTTTCCTCTTCCCCCTTTCCTCCCTCCTTCCTTGCTCCCTCTCTCCTCCTCTTTTCCCTCTCCCCTTTATTTTTATTTATTTAATTTAATTTTTTTTTTTGAGATGGAACCTCACTGTCATCCAGGCTGGAGTGCAGTGCCGCTATCTCAGCTCACTGCAGCCTCCGCCTCCTGGGTTCAAGTGATTCTCCTGCCTCAGCCTCCTGAGGAGTAACTGGGATTACAGGTGCCCACCACCACGCCAGGCTAATTTTTGTATTTTTGGTAGAGATGGGGTTTCGCCATGTTGGCCAGGCTGGTCTTGAACTCCTGACCTCAAGTGATCCACCCCCTTCGGCCTCCCAAAGTGCTGGGATTACAGGCGTGAGCCACCGTGCCCAGCACCTTCTCTCCTTTCTTTTCTCACTCCCTCCTACCTACCTACCTTCCTCCTTCTGTACGAATGTACTAAGCACTACAAGAGACACATCAGTGGGCCAGGCCCATTGCACAGGACACAACAATGAAAAATATCCAGCCTCAGCCTTCTGGAAGCTCGGAGACTTCAGTTGGAAAAACAAGAAAAGGGGTAACTCTTTCTAGGGGGATGCTACATTTTCCACTCGCTCCTTACCCGGAAAAGTCCGTTTTCTTCAGCACTCTCATCTATTGGGGATCTGTCTAAAATTTTACTTAAAGAAAGGGTTCCACTACTTGAAGAAAAATCGAAGCAAGCCGGCGCTTGGTGCCTGATCCATTCATTTTATTGTGTAAATGGAAACGGAAAGCAGGAGAGGTGCTGTGACTTACACGAGGCCTTCGAGCTCACAGGTGCCAGGCCCTGGCCAGACCACGTCTTCTCAGCACCTGTCCAGTGCCTCTCCCACCTTCCCCTGCTGGAGGGGACATAGGTATACAGCTAGGGGTGGTCCCTGGAGGGGGATGGGCTGCTCCCGGTGGGACTATTTTTAACCTCTGTAAAGAAAAAGGCCAGCGATCCACGTCGTGCCCGCTGCCTCACACTTACTGGGCAGCTTCCTCTCCTGGAGGGTCATTTACTGACAGTGATGGGTTTCAGGTGGGCCTAGTTTAGCAGGTGGTTTCTATAAAGAGCAGAGCTGCATCCCCAGGGAACGAGAGCCGGGCAGAGGGGAAGCCAGGGGAGACAGGCACTGTCCGTGTTATGGATTTTATCGAGTCATAAACAAGGCTGGAGAATAAACAAAACTGGCTGATGCATGGGGCTGCCTCGGCCAGCTGGCTGTCAGGGAGGCCTGTGCCATCTGAGCTGCCCTGCATGAGCCCGCACAGGTGCCGTCGGCCAATGACCCAGCGACCTGAGCCAGGAGGACAGGGGGTTAGCGTCTAGGAACTCACGCCCCACACCGAGTCTCCCAAACCCAGCAAACTGCCTGTGGGTCCGGCCTACTCCTGTCACCTGTATATGCTTAGATGGCTCCAAAGTCATGGCAGTGGTGAATGGTGGGAGGGTGGCTGTTAACTGGGGTTGGGGCACGGGATCCTAGCACCCTCCCCCTGGGGAGATGGGATGGAAAAGTTCTAGGTTTGGGGCACCTGAGAACAACTCGGACACCAGCTGGCTATGTAACCTCAGAATAGTGACCCAAACCCTCTGAGCGTCACTCTTCCCATCTGTAGAAGTAGAAAGGGAATATTTCACCTTGTAGGGGTATCATAAAAATGAAATAGGCCAGGCGCGGTGGCTCAGGCCTGTAATCCCAGCACTTTGGGAGGCTGAGGTGGGCGGATCACGAGGTCAGGAGATCGAAACCATCCTGGCTGACACAGTGAAACCCCATCTCTACTAAAAATACAAAAAATTACCCGGGCGTGGTGGCGGGTGCCTGTAGTCTCAGCTACTTGGGAGGCTGAGGCAGGAGAATGGCGTGAACCCGGGAGGCGGAGCTTGCAGTGAGCTGAGATCGTGCCACTGCACTCCAGCCTGGGCGACAGAGCGAGACTCTGTCTCAAAAAAAAAAAAAAGAAAAGAAAATAGTCCAGAAGCACACAGTGAAAACTCCTATGAATACATATTTATAAGGATAGCGGTGGGCTGGGGGCAGGATCGGCAGAAGCCTGTCGTTCCATGAGCCCTGAGAGACAGGACGGTAATGTCCATAGTTCTGTTGATTGTGTGTCTCCCACGAGCCCAGGAACTATTCCAGACAGATACGTCCACATCGCAGAGTTCTATAAGCAAAGTATCACAGGAGAGGCCCCTGCTTTATAGAACTGAGATCACAGAAGTTAAATAATTTGCCTATGGTCAGAGGGTCATACCTGGCAGGGCTGAGACTTGGTCACAGGTTTCTTGTGCCCAGCTTCCAGAAATCTGATTGCATCCTCTCATCTTCCACCCAGGGCAGCTCCCCGTCTTGTGTCAGTAGTGGGGTGCTGGGTAGCCAGCACCAGGGAGAGTCTCCACCCTTCAAGGCCCCGGTGAGGTGAAGGAGAATGAAAATATCCAAAACCCATCAGGAGAATACGTGTTAAAGGACAAGAGAAAGACAGATGAGCTTGGGAACATCTTGGCTCTTGACAGGCACTCCCACAGGGATGATTCAGATGAGGTGAGTCCAGGTGCACTGGCCCGGTCCCTGGGCATGGAGCAGGTTCAGACTGAAGTGAGGAGACGATTCCTAGGGCGCCGGACTCCCGACCAGAGTCCCCAGAATGGAAATGGCCGGGGTTCTGCCTGCGCATCCTGGACTAGGGGTGGAGGGAGCAAGCGGGCAACTCCGAAGACAAGGTTAGCACCTCCCATTCCAAGCCAGCTTCATCTCCCTCTTTTGCTCAGACACCGCCAGCCATGGCAGGGAGCTATCCCCAGGGACTTGTCATCTGGAGGCCATGGAGGGAGGATGAGAGCTGGAGAGGCCACAAGATCAGAGTGGAGCTGGGAGGGTCGGGGAGGCTGGAACCAGCCACCCTGTCCTGTGTCCCCTGTTTCTGCTCCTCCTCATCTCCCTTCTGGGGGTGGGGGGAACATCAGAGACCACTGGGAAGGGGGTTGGCTGTGGGTTCCGGGGACATGTCACTGCGGGAAACAGATACATCATGAGCCAGCGCCCCCTTTCAGAGGCTGGGACGCTGGGACAGGGAGGCCAGAGAGAATGCAGAATATGTATATGCAGAAATATATTGAGAAGTAAAATGCACTGATAGGAGTTTTCGTACATTCACACAAACCCATTATGCAGATGAGGAAACTGAGGGTCGCAGAGGTTGACTGGAGCTCCGGCCAATGTTCATACCGTGTCATGCCCCTCTCCAGGGAGGGGAGGAGGCTTCCTCCAGGTCCCCAGTTGGAGTGGGGACCCAGGTGTGTTGACACCTTGCCCTGATCACTGCCCCATATGCCAGGCTGCCTTCTCTCATAGAGGTCGCCACTGCCTCCCCACTCACCCTGCGGGTCCCTCTCCACTACCCCTGCCGCCCCAGATTGCCCAGTGGCTCTGTCCCAAAGCTGCCCAGGACCCAGGTCTCCAGGCTACCACCACCTGCAGCTGGGACTCCCTGTGTGTGCATCCCTGCCCAGGACAGCCCAAACGTGTTGGGGCAGGCACAGGGGGTAGGTGAGGGCCGTCTGCCTGGGACATAAGACTGGGAGTGCCGAGGCCTCACTGTATCCCCCTAAGGCCAAGACCTCTGACTTCTGCAATCCTATGTGTCAAGGGCTTCTCCATCAGGCCGCCTAAGCCATGTCTGCCACACTCTCGGGCTGCTTGATGGCTGCTTCTAGGCAGCAGGGAGCCCCACAGGATGGAGCCTGTCCTCCCAGCTCCCCTGGCCCCTCTCAGCCCCCCTGGCTGCCTCCAAGCCTTCTAGGGAGGATAGGCCCTTGCCAGGGCCTGCCGGTGAGGAGTGGATGCCAGCCTTGAACTGACACTGCCCCCACCAGGCCCCCCTCCAAACTGCATGCTGGTTCCCAGTGGGTCAGCGGCTACTCCCCGCACCCCAGCTTCCTGCCTGCCCTGGGGCTGTGGTGAACAGCTGGGGCCATCTGGGCCTGGCCTGGGCCCCAGGCTGCCTTTCTGGTGACTCCATACCTCCCTAGGAGGGAGCCTGTGCCACTGGCCAGTCCAAGCGAGGAGGAGACAGCGTTTCCTCTGATGACCCGAGGCTGGGTCCCCTCCAGGGCCCAGACTCATGGCTGTGTGGGAGGCTGGTGCTGTGTGGGATCTCTTGGAAGCACAAGGGCCTCCTTCCCAGGCCCTGGCACACACCAATATTGTGCCCAGACATCCTTGGGACACCCCCTCAATCTGGAGCCATAGGGCAAGAGAGTCTCACCACAAACGGCATTCATTACCTGTGGCCACCCCGACTCTATTTCTCTGTCTCTCCGACACAGGGCCACGCTCTCCCCCAGGCCTGCCTCTCCCCATCTCTCAGACCTCCCTTTCCTCCCTCCTCCTCCTCCTCCTCCTCACCTTCACCCACACTCGAATTCTCACTGACACCCCTTCTGTGGCTCATGGCTTCACTTATTCAGCAAGTGCCCACCCAATGCCCACTTATTTCAGGCACCGTGCTAGGAGCTGTGGGTACAGAGGTAGAAACAACAGAAACAGGCCGAAGTCTTTTCTCGTGGTGATGGCGTTCTGATTGAGGAGGTGATCCACAGAGCAGAGGGTGACAAGGGCTGGGGGAGTGAAGCAGGCAGGTAGTGAGGCCTGTTGTATGTGTGTGTGCACGTGTGCTGTGTGCAGGTGTGTGCTGTGTGTATTTGTATATGTGCAGGTGTGTGCTATGTATGTGCTGTGTGTATTTGCATGTGTGCATGTGTGTGCTATGTGTGCATTTGTATGTGTGTCTGTGTGCTGTGTGTATTTGTGTGTGGATATGTGCTGTATATTTGTGTGTGTGCATATGTGCTAAGTGTATTTGTGTGCATCTGTGCTGCATGTATTTGTATTTGTGCATGTATTTGTGTGCATATGTGTGCTATGTATTACATGTATGTGTGCATATGTGTGCTATGGGTGTATTTCTGTGTGTTCTGTGTGTATTTGTATGTGTTGTGTGTGTGTGTGTTCATTGTCCCATCATGAGGCAGGCAGGGAGTCTTGCAGGAGCAAGCACATTGCTGGGACTCCAGCTTGCTTCTGTGATATCTAATATATTCTCTCTCTCTCTCTCCCCCTCCCTCTCTTCCCATCTCCTCATCCCCACCACCAACACTTTCCAGGGGAGCAACCAAGTTCTTGCCTCTAGGGTCTTAGGGAGCAGCACTGGGGGAGGGAAGGGCATCTTTATACTCAGGAGAAGGGCTTGAGACCATCTGATCTGGAGCAGTCTGAGGACATGAGACTCAGGCCCTCAGCTGCTGCCCGGGGGAAGGCCAGCACCCCAGCCTGAGGGGGTCAAGGGTCGAGGGAGCTGTCCAGTGGCTGACCTTCCCCTACAGCCCACGAATCCCCATCAATGCCGCCTTCCCGCTGTCCAACACTCAGCCTCAGAGGCTGGCCAGAGTGAACCACCTGCTGGCTCCCAGACGTTGGGAGGCCTGACATGACCAGGTTTGGGGAAACAGTTTTTGAGTTGGAAACGATATTAGATAAAGCTGGATTGGAATTCCAGACATATTTATTGCTGTGGGTTGTGGGGCCATTTTCTTAACCTCCAAGCCTCTGTTTTCCCTTCTGTTACATGGGGAGGTTGAAACCTACCTTGTAAATTCCCTGTGGGGATTAAAGGAGATAATGCAACCAAATTGTCCAACACAGACTCGGCCACATGGCCAGTGCTCAAAGAAGGACGGACAGTGAGATATGGCCAAGGAGGGTAAGTGAGGAGCCAGGGACAAAAGAAGAAGAGGGCTGAGGAAGCAGGGTCCCCTCAGCCCTGCCGCCCAGGCCCCTGTGTTATTTAATAGCCACTTTCAGCTGGTGTCTCCTGGAAGCCTTCTGCCTAATCCAGTTAACACCTTCCGTGATCCGATTACTGCATGTCAGAAACCCCAAATCTGATCAGTAAACATGTGAGTGGCACACTTTGGGGGGGCACTGCAGAGAAGGGGTTCAGCTTGAGGTACCATCTGCTCCTTCCCTGGGGGGCTCTGGCCCTTCCAAGCTAGGTGTTCTGCCTCTGGGTCTATTGTCCTGGGCCACTCCTGGTCCCTTAGAGGCAAATGTTGTCCAGGTTACCCCAGGGCCCAGAGCGCATGCCTCATGGTCTCTGGGGGAAGCCCCCCACACCCCATCTCTGTTCCTTTGGGTGGGGGTTTCCTGCACAATGAGGAGGAAGGATGCTCTTGTGGCCAGGATAGGGAGTGGGTGCTGAGGCTCCTTCATTCTCTGCTCCCCACAAACGTTTTGGGCCTCACAGTAGCCCAGCAACTTGAATTACAGAGGTGTCTGGGCCCCCAGGAGTAACTCTGGATCCAGGGATGACAGAAGGACCACAGAGCCCCACATCCACACTGAACACAGCCCCCCAGTGGCACAGACGTAGGCAGAGGGTGGGGTGGGGTACCCAGCCTGTCGAGGGAAGACCTGCAGCAGGAGCTGGGGTGGGGAGGAGGAGGAGGGACGGCATTTGCGCGGTAAGCTTAGAAACAATCCCCCCCACCCAACCCTCCCTGGGCCTCGAATGGGGAATGAGCTGGCTGGACCGGCTGAACTCCAAGTGTACGTCCCACACCACTCTGGGGTGATCCTGTGACACCGGCGAGCTACGGACACCCCCATGCGCTGCAAACACAGCATTACCGGGGTGAGCTGAGGTTAAACCCTGAAATATGCTTGGGAGACGGGCATGTGGCCAGGCCATGTGTCTGTGACTCTTTGATTCCGTAGATTCCCCAAAGCTCTTGGTGTCACGCACGGTGGTTACAATAGGCTCTCCCTGGACCTCCGTTCCTGTCCTCCTTCCGGAAATGGGGAGCCGCCAGGGTGTGCCTGACTGTTCCGTCTTCCCGTCATCTGAGCATCCTCAGCCAGCCACCAAGGTCCCTGTCCTCGCGCTTCCCCGGCCCTCTCTTCCTGTCTTCATGCCCCAGGCTTGACTCAGGGTGACAGCTCCTGGTGTGCCCCGGTTAGACTCCAGACAGTCACATTTCTGGAAGCCAGCTAACCAGGCCAGGAGGTGGTGGGGACAGATGGCTGGAGGTGCTGCCGGGGGCATGGGGAAGAAGTCGTCCCCACCTCCATGTGGTTGGCCTGCTTAAAAAATAAAAAGCTGGAGACTCTTTCCCTCCCACACTCCCTCTTTGGCTGGGTTCTGACTCCATTTTGGTCATTTTAATTTTTATTAGTCCAGTAAAATCTGCTCTTACACATTTCTGATCATACAGGTGTAACCCTGCTGGCAGGTGCAATGCAGCCACACGGAGCCAGCCTCTAATTTCGGCATGATGGGGGCCGAGAGGCCTAGATCTTTCCAAGAAGTGTACAGTGCCAGGCCCACGGAGGCATGGCTGTGGCCTGCAGCCCATGATGCTTTCTTCCAGTTGTGGATTTACCTTCCTTTTTCTGTGGTGCAAGGGCTACTGGTAGACAGGCTGCAGTTCCCTGCATTCATCGTTATTGACAGATGAAGTCCGGAAGCCTGGGATCAGCATGAGGTTTTTAAGCTGAAGGGGACCGCAGAGATCAACTCCCCCCTCATGTGGGTGAGAAACTGCAAGGTGCATTCATAGCACGTACCCCACGTCCCCAGAGAGGCTGGGTGTGCTCTTGGCAGCCTTTTATCTCTCCTCGAGTCTCCGCTGCACTCCAGACCTGGCCACTCTTACCGTTTTAGTGCTTGATGCTCTTTGAAGATGAGGAGGCTTCCTGACAGCCGCGTGATGGCTGCCCTCTGGTATTGCCCCACCCCACAGATAAGCATCTCCGCAAAGCTCAGTCATGTGCCTGCATGAGTAGGGGGTGCTGGATGGGGACCAGGTCTCCTTGTGTCCTCTCATACCTTTCGCCATGCCATGTCCTAGTTCTTGTAAACCTGCATCTCCAAGTAGATAGGGTGCCAGATAAGAGACAGGATACCCAAGTAAATTTGGACCTCAGATAAACATTGCTTCATCTTTGAGCACCAGCATTCCCCAATTTGCGAGAGTATTCTACACGTCCTACAGGTTTGCACTGTTGCAAACCCCAACTCTAACAGCCTTGGGTCTGAAGGGAAGTTCAAGTGTAACCGAACATCCTGTGTTTGTGTTTTTGCTAAATCTGGCAACCCCACTGTGGCGTCCCGGAAGAGTGTGCTGGTGGCCGGGGGAGCAGAGAGCTCAGGGCAGGTGTTGTGCTGAAACCCTGTTAACCTCAATAGGGAAGGCACCAGGTTCGAGAAGCTGAAGAAGAGACCCGGCGCCAGCAAAGGAGACATAGGGTTTTATTAGGGGCTTACATCCAGGGGAGGGTCCAGTGGCAGCTGTCTGGACAGGAGAAATGCCTTACATATAGAAACAGTTAAGACCGGGTGCGGTGGCTCACACCTGTAATCCAAACTTTGGGAGGCCAAGGCAGGTGGATCACCAGAGGTCAGGAGTTTGAGACCAGCCTGGCCAACATGGCGAAACCCTGTCTCTACTAAAAGTACAAAAATTAGCCAGGTGTAGTGGCAGGCGCCTGTAGTCCCAGCTACTCAGGAGGCTGAGGCAGGAGAATCACTTGAACCTGGGAGGTGGAGGTTGCAGTGAGCCGAGATCATGCAACTGCACCCCAGCCTGGGCAACAAGAGCGAAACTCTGTCCCAAAAATAAATAAATAAACATAAACAAATAAATAGTTCAATGACAGCTAGCTGGATAAGATGTCCGCCTTCCTACAGTCCGGTGGTGGCAGTCTGGGCAGGAAAACAGCAACCATTTGGAAAGGGCATACCAGTTTACATAGCATGGCCACTTAACACTCTACCCTTAACAACCTCTACCTGGCAACCTTCAGTTAACCCAAAACTCAGGGCCTCAATTCCATGCACAGCCCATGTTCTGGATGGGCCCAGGGCTCGGATGTTTCTCATAGACAAGGAGTGACTCTCCGGGTTGGCCATGCCCAGATTCCCCACCTCAGAACACACAATCAGGTGCGTCTGCCACCCAGGGTCATTCTCAGGGTGTGTTGAAGACTTAGAGTCACTAACCTGTATTTTCCCCAGGTGTGCCCTGTTAAAGACTACTTAGGCCAGGGTCTGAAGGAGCAGCCCAGAGCCAGACGGGGCAGAGCAATGGTGTTGCACAGCAGGTGGTGCGGGTCTTGGCAACGAGCAAAGTCAGCTTCAAGTTGCTGCTGTGCTTCTTGTGGGACCTTTGAGCTTTCCAGCATCATCTCCGACAGGGGAAGCGAATGCCGGGGAAGGAGGTGCTGGTTGCCAGGTCCTGTCAAGTCTCATGTGTTCCTGGTACTCCTCTGCATTAGCACATGCCTGGATTACAGTAACAGATTCCGAACTGACCCCTCTGGTCCAGCCGTACCTTTCCATCCACCCTGCAGACAGCCGTCCAATTCTCGTCTTGCTAAATGTCTTCTTTCGTCAATTGCCTCCCCCTTCTCAAAGGCCCTCATCGGCTCCCTGTTTCCTGATGAGCCCAGACTTCGATTCCGTGTGGGTTTAAGAGGCAGCATGTAAGAGTCTGTAACTGGCTGTATCCTTTCTGGCCACCTGAATGGCCCAGGCCCTCTGGCCGTGGGAAGGAGGCCACATTCTAGAGAGGAGTGGACACATTGGAAGAGATTCCTGCCTGACAGCTGCTTGCTTTCTCTTTAAGGCGCTCCCCTTTTCAGTCCCTTCTCTGTTCACCTGATTACAGCAAGGACAAAGGCGTAATTAGGTGCTAATGGCACTCAGCACCTCTGTAACACCTGCTAATCCGCAGTGGCTCTGCGGGGCTGCTCAAAACCAAATGTGCGGCTTGCCTCCTGCTGCCTGGGGATGAGGCTTATTGCTCTCTTGTCTGCCTTGTCCGATTTCACACCCCACTTTGGGTTCCAGCCTGTGGTGACCAGATCAGCATTATCCTTGGTCAGGGCCAGCTGATGCTGACATAGGACAGAGTGACGCAGAGTGCCTGTCTGAGCTTCCCCTTTTATCCTGCCTAAGGCTGCGGAGCCAGTAGCAATGTCCCCATTTTGCAGATTGGGAAATGGAGGCTTGTGGAGTAAGCAGCTTGGCCAAGCTTCACGCTGCTGGAAGTGGTGGAGCAGAATTCAGAGCCACATCTGTCCAACTCCAAGGCCACGTCCCTTGCCTGTGGTTTTCCGGCCTCTTTTCCCAGCTCTGCAAATCTGCCCCACACCTCAATACCCAGCTCCCCAACAGGGTCACCCTCATTCCCATTCTATTTTTCTGAATGCTTTGAGCACCTACAACTCTGCACCTTGGGAGGGACTAGAAGAGACATCTCCTTGCCCTTCAGGGTTGTGTGTTTGTGTGTGCACCTGCACTCACGTGCATTCATCACTGTGAGCTGGAGCGTGAATTTCTTGCATCCTGGGACTACTCCAGCACACAGTAGAATAATTGGCTTAGGGAGGAGCATACAGTAGCCACTGACTAGACTGAGTGAGTCAGGGACTGTGATGCCTGCAGTTTGTCTTTCTTGCTCGAACAGATCATTTAGTAAGAACCAAGCCTCTCTCCATGCAAGGTCAAGTACGTGGCATCACAGGGAGGACCCCGGCTCTGGCTTCACTTGCTCTGGGGCCCTAACCCTGCCCTGGTGCTCACCAGCTGTGAGATCACGGATTAGTGGCTTCTCTGTGCTTCAGGCATCTGGCGCCTTCTGTAAAGTGAGCCATCAGGAATGAAGTGCGTATGGCACCTGCGCCACGTAGAGGAGTGTGCCCCACGCCTGTCCGGTTGTCACCCAGAGCTGCTGTGCTTGTGCATTGGCCCTGGAACTGTGCCGCCCCGGCCCTAGGCACAGCGAGACTTCCCAGTCTCCGCACTACTGACACTTTGGGCCAGATTGTTCTTAGAGGGGAGGCTGTCCTGAGCACCGCAGGAGGCTGTCCTGAGCACTGCGGGGTATTTCATAGGATCCCTGGCCTCTACCCACTAGATGCCAGTTGTGACGACCAAAAATGCTTCCAGATGTCCCCTGGGGGGCAAAGTTGAGTTGGCCCTGATGAGAACCAGCAGCCTAGAGCACTGGTTCTCAAACTTCACTGTGCATCAGAATCACCTGGGATACTTGCTCAGTCACAAACTGCCAAGCTCCACACCCAGAATTTCTGATTCATCAGGCCTGAGACAAGGCCCAGAATTTGCATTTCTTTCTTTTTTTTTTTTTTTTTTTTTTTTTGAGATGGAGTTTCGCCCTTGTTGCCCAGGCTGGTGTGCAAAGGCGCGATCTCGGCTCACCGCAACCTCCACCTCCCGGATTCAAATGATTCTTCTGCCTCCCCCTCCCGAGTAGCTGAGATTATAGGCATGCAGCCCCAGGCCCAGCTAAGTTTGTATTTTTAGTAGAGATGGCGGGGGAGGGGGGGGGGTCTCTCCATGTTGGTCAGGCTGGTCTCGAACTCCTGACCCCAGGTGATCCACCAGGCTCGGCCTCCCAAAGTGCTGGGATTACAGGCGTGAGCCACCGCGCCAGGCCAGAATTTGCATTTCTTACAAGCTTCCAGGTGCTGCTGTTTCAGCTGTTCCTGGGACTCCCTCCTCCCCTCACTTTGAAAACCACTGGACTAGAGTCTTATGAACATGGTGGGCTTTAGAGATGGTGAAGTGAGTGGCTAATGGGATGCCAAGAGCAGATAACAGGACAGGGAGTTTCTTAGAGAGATGCCTCCCTGAGGGTGTGAAGAATTGTAAACAGACTTCAAGATTTTACAGAAAAACAAAAACAGACTCACAAAGCAATGAGAAGACTTTAAAAGCACCTGTGTGGTTAGGAAAGGAGAAGCCAGTTCAGGGAAATGTAATGAGCCAGATCCAGAGAAGCGGGCCTGAGGGTTTGATGGGCACAAAGAGGGCTGTTTGCCAGAGCGCTGGGTCTCAGATAGGAAGGTGATTGTCCCCCGGGGCTGGAAGAGTCAGGAGAGGCTGCGGAGCTCGGCTCTGAATGGGCAAAGCAGCTCCAGAAGTGGCCTCAGAGTCCCGTCTCATTTATGAATGAGCCTGCACCAGGATGACATGAGTCACGCCCCAGTAACACAGATAACGTGCAGAGATGGCCCGAGCCACCCTGCGGCCAAAGGGAAATTGCTGGAGACTGTCAGCTGCTAAGTAGGGTGGTGATGCTGGAGTGACCCAGGGACAGAGGCGTGCCAGAGGGCGCCCCAGTTGGTATTGGCTCAAAGTTACTTGGCAGCTGGAGCAAGGCTGGCAGTTGTGTCCTCTGTCCAGGCTCTGCCCTGGCCCGTCCAGGCTCCTGGCTCCACCTCGGGCCAGTGGCTTATGGACATGTACTTGGGGTGGGCATTTGACAGGCCAGAAGGAGGGGGCAGCTGAGCTGATTTTGCCTAGGGGACCTAGCCTGGGGACCTCAGGCTCTAGAGCCTGGAGATGGAATTCCAAGGGCATGGAATTTGAGTTGAAGCCTATGGCCCAGACTGCCGATTTGTAGCTGGGTGGATAGTCTTGGGCAGGTCACTTAGTGGAATATCTCTACCCTGTGCAGCAGCCACAGGCCAGGCACCATACCGAGCCCTTTACATATGACAGTTAATCCCATTCGCACTTCAAAGCTGCAAGAGGCATTCTCTTTCCCCTTGGACAGATGAGGAAACTGAGGGTCAGAGTGGCAGCTAGAAAGCAGCAGAGGAGGAATTCCATTCAGATCTGACTCTAAAGAACATGTTAGACTTAGTTTTTCCATCTCTAAAATGGGGCTCATATTCCCAACCTATTCCTCCTCATAGAGCTTGCATGAGAATCGGATGAGATAAAATCTCTGAAAGCCTTTAGAATGCCAACGATTATAATCATGCAACGAAACTGCTGGACCTTCAGGCTTAAAGAGTCACACATGCTTTGCCTGCAGACGTCATGGGAGGTGGTTGAGTCAACCCAGCTGGTCGACCAGGGGTCTGGTTCTGGGACTCAAGTTTGGGTGGCCCCCAACACAAGACCACCCACCCACCCCCTGCAGTCCACCGAAGCATCAGAAATTAAATTTCACGGCTGGGTGCACAGAGATACCAACTTGAGCTCCATATGTTTATGGCTCGAGGAGGAGATAAGATTTGATTAAGAAGACCGCTATTAATTTATGGCGAGTACACTGGCGCGAAGGGAGAGGCTGCTTTTAATTAATAGCCAGAAGGAATTTACGCTCTTGGTCTCAGCGAGGGGGAGAGGGGCGGAAGGAGGAGGGAAGTGGAGCCAAGTGAGCGACATGGATGAATTGATCCAGCCACACACACCCCTTCCTTTTGAAGAGAATATAAATAAATAAAGAGCAACAGGAGGGAGGGAGGCAGTGCCATCCAGGAGAATGGCAGGAGGGCAGGGAGAGCTAGCCAGCAGGAGAGGCATGGTGGGGAGAAGGAGGAAGAGGAGGAGAGCTAACACCTTATCCAGTGCTTGCTATATGCCAGGCCTTATGCACAACCCTTTGTAGGGATCACCTCCATTAGCCCTACAATAGCCCATGAGGCTGGTAGAACATTTTTGGAAGAATAACACAAGCATGCAGTAAGAATGCATACATCCCCAAAGGATCTTCACTTCCCACTGAAGTTCCAACTGTCCGTTTCTTGTCCCTTTCCGAGTACATCCTATATATATATTTCCTAGGACACACATATGTATGGATGCGCTTGGTGTGCCGTTTAATGACATTCAATTCTGTATGTCTTTCCAGTCTTTATGTTAGAGACGTGGAAATTGGAGCTCAGAGGGGTCTAGTTACTTTCCCAGGGTCACACAGGAAGTGGAAAAGCTCATTTTCAAATCACAGTGCTGGCTCCTAAGTCCCTTCTGGTCACTACCACCCTCTGTTGGCTCACACAGAGAGCTGCATTCACAGTGTGGGGTTGGGGGCTCCCCCTGGACTCAAAGGTGTGTGGCTTCTGAGTGTAGGGGGTAGTCAGGCCTGAGGGAGGATGGTGGGTGGTGAGGACAGGAACACCACAGGGTTTTAGCCAGTATTTCCCCGCCTGGCCATGGAGATGGGGGATTTTTGCCAAAAGGAACCCAAGAGACTTGCTAGTTAGTAGGTGCTATTCAGAGTGTGGCCCACAGACCCGCAGCACCTACTCAGGACCAACCCGAACAGAGTATCTGGGGAAGGCTCAGGAGTCTATGTTTTAACACCCCCTCCGGGGGATTCCTGCTCACAAGAGAGAGTAAAACTGAGGCCCAGAAAGAGCTCCTGTGTTATCCGTGGCACACCACTCCATGGCAGAGAAAAGCCTGGCCTTGCACAGGCTCCAGACTTCTCATCGCCCTAGACTCTGCCACCCACTACGAGAAGCGCATGGCATAGGGGAAACAGAGTGCATTCTGAGACAGTTCTGGGTTCAAATCCCAGCTCTGCCTCCAGCTGTGTGGCCCTGGGCAAGTTACTTAACTTCTCTGAGCTTCAATTCCTCACATCCCCAACAGGATCAGCACCACTTTCCCCGCTGGGTGTCTGAGCAGCCTCAGTGAGGCTGGGCACTGTTGTGTGTGCTGGGCACTGCCCCCTGACTTCCCCATGGCAGAGAGCAGGACCAAGCCCTGAGCAGTGTGTGGACCCTACTCTGCCCCCAGCCTTTAATCTTCCACTGGAGACTGATTTCTAATCAGCAGCAACCACAGATGAACGGCCATCAGCATCCGTCACCTGTAACAAATCAACGGGCTTCGACCTGAGCGTCTTCCTGTTCTGAATCACTCCTCTTCTCCTGTAGAGACTCGAGGGCCAGGGATGTGGTGGCAGGAGAGGCAGGGGAACCCTGCAGGGACACAGGCAGAAGGGGGAGAAGCACAGCTGGGAGACCCCATTAAGATGCGGAGCCTGACCCTCCCATTTGACAGTTGAGGAAACTCAGGCTCAGAAGTCACTATCACCCTCTGCCCAAGCTCACTCTGTAAGTCAGTGGCAGAGCCAGGAATACAATTTCAGCCCCTGGACTCTTCATCTGGAGCTCAGGGCCTTTGATCCAGCACTGGTCCCAGAAGGTGCTCCCTGGGTACGTGCTAGGGGCTGACTCTCTCCAAAGCCTCCTACAGTCGGAGAGCAGGGCAAGGCGGAGGTGGCACAGTCCCGCCCTCGGAGCTGACTGTTTCCCTCTTTGGGGAGAAGGGAGACATCCTATACCCGGGCATCAGGGCGCTCAGGTCTGGAAAGCACTGAGAGGGTGACCCTCACCCAGCCCTTTTCTACCGACAGCAACAACCTTATTGGAAAAGCTGGTGCTAGGTGGGGCCGCCAAGGCAGCTTCCCACCCCTGTAGCACCGGCCAGCCCAGTGAGACCCTCACTCCCAGCCCCATGCTAGGGCCTGCCAGCCACTTCATCCTAGCACTGGGAGAAGGTGTGCAGAGCAGGCGAGGTCCCGGCGGCCAGGCCAACTGCCCAGCTCTCTCGGTTGGCCAGTGTGCAGGACACAGCTGGGAGGTGTTTTGCCTGCCTGGGTGCCCACTGGGCAGGGAGCTGGAGGCATGCTCTCCCCTCTCCGTCCGTACTGCTAGAGAAGGCCTTGTGAGCTTTGAGTGATGTCTTGCCAAGAGCCGACATCCCACAACCCCAAGTTTCCTCTGCTAAGGAAACCATTCCAGGTGGGCTCCGTGGCCAGGGTCCTATCATCGGAAGTCAAAATCTGCATGTCAATGGGACACTGATCCCTGGTGGATTTGACAGTTGAGGAAACTGAGGCTCAGAAGTCACTACCACCCTCTGCCCAAGCTCACTCTGTAAGTCAGTGGCAGAGCCAGGCATAAAATTTCAGCCCCTGGACCCTTCATCTGGAGCTCAGGGCCTTTGATCCTGGGGGCAGGCAGCCTGGCACTCTCCCTGCCCCCAGCCCACCACCCGTGTGCTCACCCTGAGCCTGAAGCACTCTTGGCCCTGCATCTTCCCTCCAGGCAGTGTCCATGCAAGCCCAAGTGTTCGCTGGTTTGTGAACAGGGTGAGGGCCGGGGACTGTCATCACAGCCAGGGCACACCGCACAGGGTGGCCCTTCTAACTTTTCATCCTAGTTCTTGAGGTTTGGGGGCAGTGGCTCAGTGGGTGAGAGGCGGTTGTTGAGAGCCCTCCTTTCTCTTTATTTGGTGGGGAGCTGGCCATGCCTTAGAATAGAGATGGGATGCATCACGAGATGCAGGGACTGTTCCAGAAGGGAGAATTCCACCCTCGTAGCAGACCCCCAGCAGCCCAAAGTGCTCACCCGAGTGGGAGAGAAGATGGGAGGTTAGAGTCTACAGGAGTCAGGGCTTGTTCCTGGCATTCATGCCTTCATCCATGGATATTTATTAACTGCTGTATGCTAAGAAGATAGCAGTGGGCAAGAAACCACGGTCTGCTGTCAGGGAGCATGCAGACTACAGGGAGAGACAGACATTCGATTAAAAACTTTCATTACTACAGTGATTGGTCCCATAAGGCAAGGATTCTGTGAAAATATTGAACAGGGGATCTGTGACCTAGTTGAGCGGTCCAGTAGGGCTTCCCAAAGGAGGTGACATTTCAACTGACCCCTAAAGGATGCATAGGAGTTGGTATGCAAAGAGGCAGGGGGTGAGTGTCCTGGGAGAGGAGGCGGGCTGTGTAAAGGCCCTGGGGCAGGCAGGAGGGCACTTGCCACGTTAGAGGGTTGTAAAGGAAGCTAGCGGGGAAGAATGTCTCAGCCCCAAAGAGCTCACAGAGAGGGGCGTTGCAGGGAGGCTGACGAGACGTGAGTCCTGACCACCACGCTTCTGCACACAGAAGTGAGAGTGCAATGCTGTGGGGGAGCACAGAATCTTCCAGAAGGCTTCTTGGATGGACAGATCTAGACCCTATATCTGAAGGGCTGAAGGGGGGTACCCAGGAGGAGAAGGGGTTCTGTTCCTTTCTGGGGGTGCTGGCTAAGAAGAGCAGATGAAGGCACCATTCAGGACACAGCCTCTCCCTACATCCAGGCTGCCCAGCAGGGTCAAGGGTGAACAGGCAGCGAGCAGGAGCCTTCCGGGAGCCTGGCCCCTCGGCTATCACTCTCTCTCTTTCTGACTGGCAGGCTAGCGGGGCTTCTACATTATTAATAGTGACACATAGTAAACATTTTGATAATTGTCACAGCCACAGGCTCTGAGAGTCAGCACCAGCTGTTGCCAGCATGAAAAAAAGGCAAAGTGTTCGTGCCTGCACAGTGTGTACCCCCAAAAGCTGATGCCTGCGTGGTGTGCACCCCCAAATGCTGATGCCTGCATGGTGTGCACCCCCAAATGCTGATGCCTGCGTGGTGTGCGCCCCCAAATGCTGATGCCTGCGTGGTGTGCGCCCCCAAATGCTGATGCCTGCGTGGTGTGCGCCCCCAAATGCTGATGCCTGCGTGGTGTGCGCCCCCAAATGCTGATGCCTGCGTGGTGTGTGCCCCCAAATGCTGATGCCTGCGTGGTGAGCGCCCCCAAATGCTCGGGCCTGTGCAGTGTGTACCCTACTCACTACCTTGTCTCTTCTCTTCCTGCCATAGATCAGACACTGTCCCCTGCTCAGCCCAAAGTGGGGCACCAAGTAAGATACGAGAGGGCCTCTCCACACCCTATCCCATCCCAGTCCCAAGTCTCACCCTGGGTGAGGTAGAAAGATGCAGGAGAGAGCCCAGGCTCCAGACAGAGTTCTCACAAGGGCTCCTATCCTGACCCCTGAGGGATAGTGTGGGCTGTGAGTCCCTCCTAAATAGGCCACACCACCCTCAGGTGGCTCTGCCAATGGCTGTCTGCCCCCTCCCCAAATAACACCATCCCCCACTCCTGGCCCACTCGGGGCTCATTGCCCTGGGGGTGACCTGGGCTGTCTGAAATAGGCCCTGCGTCAGGTGCAGACAGGCTGCAGAAGAGGGGCTGCCTCCCCGAGGTGTCCTTTGAGAAAAGCCCTGGGCAAGGCTGGCATTCCGAGAGTGTTGCCTCCTGCCATGGGCAAAGATGCAGGGGTGGGCAGCAGCTGGTCCAGCGAGCACCAACTGATGAATAGCTGTCAGTCCTGCAGAGAGAGGTCACAGCTCAGCGCCCACTGCTGTCAGGGCCTAAAAGCCTCTAAGCCTTGAAGGTGCGCTTATCACAGCCAAGCTGGGGCAGGCGGGGCTGGTATGTGGACCCCAGACCCAGATTCTCTGTGTGCCAGAACAAAGATGATATGTGAGAGTGGGTGCAGAGTTTCCTGTGGAAGGCCCAAGAAACTAATGAGGAAGAGACTAGCCTTAGGACCAGTTTAAGGGGAGCTGACCTGGAGCGTTTCCTACTTTGGGCATGGGACTGGCTACCTAGTTTGCAGGGCCCAGTGTAAAGTGAACTTGGGGAGTCTGTGTTTGAAAGACCAGCAAAAGTGCTGTTAAAGGTACAGATTGAGCACCCCAAATCTGAAAATCTAAAATTCAAAAAGTGCTGAGCGCAGTGGCTCACACTGGTAATCCCAGCACTTTGGGGAGGCCAAGGTGGGTGGATCACTTGAGCTCAGGAGTTGGAGACCCACCTGAGCAACATGATGAGACCCTATCTCTGAAAAAAAAAACCAAAAAATACAAAAATTAGCTGGGCATGTGGTCCCAGTGACTTGGAAGGCTGAGACACTTGAGCCCAGGAGTTCGAGGCTGCAGTGAGCAGTATTCATACCACTGCACTCCAGCCTGGATGAGAGAGCAAGACCCTGACTCAAAAATTCAAAATGCTCCAATGAGCGTTTCCTTTGAATGTCATGTCAGTGCTCACAATTTTCAGATTTTGGATTTTCCTATTTGGGATGTTCAGTGGTAAGTATATAACGCAAATATTTCAAAATCTGAAAAAAATCGCAAATCCAAAACGCTTTGGGTCCCAAGCCTTTTACATACAGGATACTCAGCCTGTACTAAAATACCAACCTTTTTCCTTCTTTGTGTAGCTCCTCCGCTTACACATATGTGCCATTGTTCCACTTCACTTACAAAGCACAAGTTCAAAGATGAAGGCATTAAGAATTTCAAGATGGCAACAGCAAAACATTAAACCAAGCACGGGTCCCTCTGAGCTTGGGGCCCTGTGTGACCACATGGATCTCATGCCCATGAAGCTGGCCCTGGGTCGGCGTGAGCCCCGGTGTTCCGGAGAAGCCAGTGCTGGTCAGGAAGGCTGTCCCTGCGAGGGGGCAACAGCCTTACTCAGGGTACAGTACAGAGCTGGGGGCCCCATGGAAAGGGGTGCTAACACCAGGGAGTGGTTATAACAGATTTTGGCCTGGAAAGCAAACCATGTCCTCAGAGCATCTGTGGGAAAAGAGGGGGCTTTGCAGCCTGGCAGAGGCTGTGTAATTACACGTTGGTATGTGCCAAGAGGGAGAGGAATGAGGCAGGCGGGAGTGTCTAACAGAAAGGAGAACCCACTGCAGGTGAGGGGGCAGGGAAGGCGTCTGTTTTCATTTGCTAGGATGGCCATAACAGAAATGAATTGTTCCGCAGTCCTGGAGGCTGGAAGTCCAAGACCAAGGTGTCTTCAGGTCGCTTTCTTCTGAGGTGTCTCTCTTTGATCATAGATGGCCATCTTCACATCATCTTCCCTCTGTGTGTCTGCATCCTAACCTCTCTTTTTTTTTTTTTTCTTTTTTCTTTTTGAGACGGGGTTTCGCTCTTGTCCCCCAGGCTGGAATGCAGTGGTGCGATCTCAGCTCACTGCCACCTCCACCTCCCAGGTCCAAGCAGTTTTTGTGCCTCAGCCTCCCTAGTAGCTGGGATTACAGGTGCCCTTCACCAACCCCCAGCTAATTTTTGTGTTTTTAGTAGAGATGGGGTTTCACCATGTTGGCCAGGCTGGTCTTGAACTCCCGACCTCAGGTGATCCACCTGCCTTGGCCTCCCAAAGTGCTGGGATTACAGGCGTGAGCCACCGCGTCCAGCCTCTAATCTCTTCTTATAAAGACATCAGTCATATTGGATTAGGGCCCATCCTACTGACCTCATTTTACCTCAGTGACCTCTGCAAAGACCCTATCTGCAAACACTGCTGCATGCTGAGGTGCAGGGGTTAGGACTTCAACATCTGGATTCTGGGGTGGGTAGGGCAATTCAGCCCATCACAGCTTCCTGAGAAGCGCTACGTGAGCTCAGTCAGTGAGGGTCGGGGAGACTCTTCAGGGAGGGGGAGCACCGTGCGAGAAGCCTGAGTAAGAGGATGCAGGGTGCTGCCAAAGGGCTGTGTGATAGGCAAGAGCATGAGGAAGATTCTGGAAAGCAGTGCCCCATAAAGTTGCAGAGGGCAGCAGAGGCCTGACCCCTCGGGCCCTGATAAGAAACATGGTCTCTATTCCCAAAGCCTGGTAGGATTTAATCTTGAGATGATCACTTGGATCTGTGACTGCGGTGATGAGAAGAGCCTGGGGAGACTGCGGAGGATGAGTGAGAGGCTCTTGAAGGGGCAGGCAGAGGTGGCAGGAGCTCAGGCCAGACGTGCAGCAATAGGGATGGAGAGATGTGGAAGAACACCAGAGGAAAGAGCTAGAACTGGCAGGGCCCAGGAGGAACCAGTGAGGATGCCGAGGGGAAGGGAGGGGTGGGGATGGCTCCTGGGTCCCTGACCCGGCCGACAAGGGGTGCCCCTTCCAGAAGGAGACCACGCTGGAGAGGAAGCCTGAGATGGTGATGTGGGGAGCTTGGTCTGGGACAGAGTGACTTTGGGGTGCCTTAGAGACACTGGGCAGAGAGAGAAGTGAGGGCTGGAGCTCAGGCAACCTGTGACAACCCAGGGATGAAGCTTCGAATGGGAAGTGGGGTCGGCCTAGACTGTGCCTCAGGTTGGGCTGGCGCGAATGGCTGGGTGGATAAGCTGAGTCCACCTTCCCTGCCTGAGGTGCTCCAGCTAACTCAGCCTCTCACACTGTTGGCCCAACCCCAATCCCTGCCCCTGACCCTTTGACCTGAGTGTCCTCTGTGCCAAGGGCTCCGGGACCTTCATGCTGTCTCCAGTAGGAGCCCCCAACCCAGGCCTGGTCTGCAGAACCATGTCCTCCCAGCTCCCCAAATAATCACACTCCTCTGTTTGCTGTGTGTCACCGAGTCATTAATTGTCACAACCCTGGGAGGTAGGGACCACTGTGGTGTGTGAGCTTCTGGGATGCTGTAACAAAATGACCCCAAATGTGGTGGCTCAAAACAATACAAATTTGTTATCTTACAGTTTGGGAGGTCAGAGGTCCAAAATGAGCCTCACTGGGCTAAAATCAAGATGTTCAAGCTGGGTGTGGTGGCTCACGCCTGTAATCCCAGCACTTTGGGAGGCCGAGGCGGGCAGATTGCCTGAAGTCAGGAGTTTGAGACCAGTCTGCCCAACATGGTGAAACCCCATCTCTACTAAAAATACACACAAAACATTAGCCAGGTATGGTGGTGTGTGCCTGTAATCCCAGCTACTCGGGAGGTTGAGGCAGGGGAATTGCTTGAACCAGGGAGGTGGATGTTGCAGTGAGCTGAGATCGCACCATTGCACTCCAGCCTGGGTGACAGAGCGAGACTCCATCTCAAAAAAAAAAAAAAAAAGATGTCCATAGGGCTCAAGACCCTGGAGGAGAACCCATCTTCTTGCCTTTTGCAGTTTTTAGAAGCTGCCTGCTCTCCTGCCACGTCGTTCTGACACTCACTCCCCTTCTGCCGTCCTCTTCTGCATTTCAGGACCCTCATGTTACACTGGTCCCACTCAGAATTCAGGATAGTCTCCCTATCTTAAATCATCTGATTAGCAACCTTAATTCCATCTTTGCCACATAACAGAACGTATTCACAGGTTCCAGGGATCAGGGCATGGACTTCTATGGAGGTGTCATTCTGCTGACCACAGACAATCATCATTGCTATTTTACACGTGAGGAAACTGGGGCATAAGAAAGTCAAGGGTTTACCTAGTGTCACCAAGCTCATAAGGGAGGAGCAGGATTCACGCCCAGGTAGAGATGGTCTCCTCCCTCCCCCACAGCACCTGCCTCTCTCAGGGAGAACTGACTCCAGCACTGGTAAAAATGAAGGACACCTTGATATCCTGGAGGAAACTGACCTGTGATATAAACAGTCCTATGCCCGCAGCCCTGAAGGGTAGAACTATTGCCCTCCACTCTCCACACCAGCTGGGGACCCTCTCTCCCCCACTGAACTTACGGCTTCTTGAGTGCAGGGACTGTCAGCTTTCTGCCTGTCTGTCTCTGGGACCCAGCCCAGTGCCTGTGATGGGGTGGATGCTTAGTATATGTTTGTTGAGTAAATAAGAAAATGAATAACTGGGATTGGTCCTGGAACTTTGGTGCCAATGGATTCCACTTAAGAGTTTTTTTGGATAAATTCCACTGAAGACTTTACAGGTCTCTTTATGGGTTCCTAAACCTCGGCTAACAGTACCTGTGGATGAAATTCCTTCACTCTTCTGTGTCCATCTCTGGACCCGGATTTCAGGTCCAAGGATCTGCTTCCAGGACAGTCATTCCAAGGCTCTTTGGGGTCTACACCTCCATATCCAGTCCGTGTCCTTTCTCTAGCCTGGACCCTCCCATAGGGGACATGCTTCCTGGAAGGGATTGCAGGTGAGGCTGCCATGGGACCTGGGAGATGGCAGCAGGGCCACTCCCACGCTCCGAAGCCTCTGCTGTTCAGAGGCCACAGTGTATCCTTGGCGATTCCCATGGCATCCTGGGGGCCTTGGTAATCAGGGCTTGTTCTCAGAATTGCACAGAATGCTTTGGACGCTAATAGGGCAGCATTAGTGGTACCCTGGGGTTGCCAGCCATAGCAGAGCAAGGTAGTTAAGGCTGAAGGTTTTATAGCAGTGGCTGTAAAAATTCACTGTCAACAATAGCTTGGCCAAGTCCTACTGGGTGAGGGAGACCTATAGGTACTGGCAACCCCCTGGCCTCTCTGGGGGAGTGTACTACACCTGTGATCACGAGGTTCCTTTTACATGCACCAATTTTGTATTTGCAGTACATTGAGTTGCATTTTCTTAGGCCATGATGTTGGACAGTGATGAGAATTTGTTCTAGCCAGCTGTGCCTTGGATGTCTCACCCTCTCTCATGGAACTCCACCTGTGTCCGGCAAGCCTGCCTGGCTCACTCTCCCTCAAAGCCCTTTCCTCTCTATCCATGCCTCTTTGCTTCTGCCATTTTACTGCTTGGAATGACATGCCCTTCATATCCTTGTGACACCCCTCCCTTCCTTGGGATGTCCTTCCCATCCTTGGGACGCCCCTCTCATCCTTGGGACGCGCTTCCCATTTTTGGGGATGCCCTTCTGATCCTTGGGACGCCTTTCCCTTCCTTGGGGACACCCTTCCCATCCTTGGCATGCTCTTTCCCATCCTTGGGATGACTTTCTCATCCTTGGGACGTTCCCTCCCCTTCTTTGGGATGCCTTTCCCTTCCTTTCCTTGGGACACCCATCCTCATGATTTCATCATCTTAACTTTCCCACACTCACCTTCCTCCCAGGCATCCCAGGCAGCCCCTTTTGCCTCGAGAATTTGGCTGCCTTTTGGTCCTGTTCAATAGGAACCTAGTTGCCCTGCCTCTGTCCTTGGTGCAAACTTCCTCATCCCACCACAGGCGTGTCTTTTGCTGAAGTCATCCCCCACGGCCCCCAGCTCAGTGCTGCATGTATTGGGCTGCAGACGGTGTGGAATTTTGGTTGACTTTGCTCTCCCTTTTTATACCTCCTCTCCCCCTTGAGACTGTGAGCCCCTCAAGAGCAGGCCCTGCCCCTTCGTGAGAATCCACAGCCCCAGCTTTTGTTCGTCTTCCTCTCCTAGCCCTAGCGCTGCTGCGTTGCCGTTGTCTGTGTATGCTCTGTCTCCCACGCTAAGCTGAGCTCCTTGAGCACAAAGATTGTCTATTCAACTTTAATTCCATAATTACAAAGACAACAATCATATCTTACTTGCCAAGTGCCAGACGCAATCCTACATGCTTTACACATATTAACTCGTTTAATCCTGATCACCACCTGGTGAGATAACTGTGATGACTGCTCTATTCTGCAGATATAGTACAGACTGGCACGGAGAGATTACGTGTTTTGCCCCCAGGTCATGGCTAGCAAGAGATAGTGCTTCAGCCCCAAATGAGTCTACCTCAGAATCCAAGCTCTCGTCCACATTGCTATGCCACTTTTCACAGCCTCACATGATGCCTGGAACTGGCAGGCGTTCTGGAAATACCTGGTGAATGAACGAGTGAAAGAATGAAGTGCTGGTTCAGAGTGGCTCCTTCTGAGAGCCCTGGAGTGATTGGGGCAGATTTGGAGTCCATGAGGGAGAACCCAGGGTTTCTTTGATTACAAGAGTTGTCACAGGATGGCCCAGGTCAAATTAGAACTCAGCAGTGGCTTTGATCTTCCCGATGCAGGTGTCATTCGCCCCATTGAGGAGCCTGGAGCCCAGGGAGCTTCAGCAGCCTGCCCAGGATCACCCCAAGGGGAAGCAGCAGAGCCAGGACTGTTTGATTCCCAGGGGATATGCCCATCTTCCAGATTCCCAAACCCAGGCAGAGCCCAGCCTCCCACTAACAGGGGCTCAAGGAAGGTTAATTGTCTGAGACTATACGAGCAGTCCTTTAGCCAACCAGTCACTGAAACCTTGAGCAGAGAGGACAGATGGCTTCCCTAAGTCCTAGGGCTGGCCTCTACTAAGGTGCAAGACTTGAACTCTTGGTCTGTTGGTATAGCCTCCAAACCCAGCACCCTCTAGGGTGTTCCACTGGGTTTCCACCAGAGACTCATACTTCTCAAGACTCAAGACTCACCCTCTTGGTTAAGTTGTACTTGGGTCATTATTACCAGGAGCATCTGATCTTCTAGCATAAGCCAGGGTGGTAGAAAGTGTCTAGAGAGGTGGAGAAGGCCAGTATGGCATTAAATGTTTAGGAAGGAAGCAAGGGCAAGGCATTTAGAGCTTGCCTTGGTTCCGAAGGGGAGGTAGAGGTGATGGTGTGCCCACAGAGGACCTTGTCTCCTGGCTGATAGCTGAGCCTGGTGGGGAGGGCTGGCCTTGAGGGAAAGATCCACCCCCATCTCCTGCACTCACACACAAGGTAGTCTCCTGAAGTTGCAGCTACTGGGAAAAAGGGAGAGAAAAAACTAATAAGGCTGATCAGCGAGGCGTGTATGTGTGCATGTGTGCTTGTGTGTGCACGTACACATGTGCATGCACGTGATGTCAGCTGTGATCAGGGTTGGATCTGATGTTCTTTTATAAACAAATTTAACCAAGGGGAACTGATCAATTAATCAACAATGGATTTAAAAGTATCCATTCATGTAACAAATACTTGTGTCACCTACCCCTAAATTAATAGATATTACATAAATATTCATGTGATAAATATTTATTGGTGTATTAGGCAATGTTCTAGGGGCTGAAGGGACAGGAGCCAAACAACACAGACAAAAGTCCTTGCCTTCATGGAGCTTCCATTCCTGAGGGTCGGGCAAACAGTGAGGAAATGCATAGATGTGGGCAGAGCTTCCATTCCTGAGGTCAGGCAGACAGTGAGGAAGCGCATAGATGTGAGCGGTAGTGTCAGGAAGGGACAGGGCCCACGAAGGCCAGGAAGAAGCCAGCAGGTCTGGGGAGTGGCACTGGAGTGGTCCTCATGGTCGGGGAGGTGACATTTGGAAGGGGGCAGAGACGGCGGAGCCCAGGGCCCCTGAGAGCAAGGCCCGGATAAAGGGCAGGGTTGGGCATGTGTGGAGAGGAGGCTGGAGCACAGGAGAGCCAGGGGCCCATCCACACAGGCCTTTGCAGGTTGCAGTCTGGACTCTGGATTTGACTGGGTGTGAGTGGCAGTCACTGGAGGCTTTGAGCCAGGTAGTGGCATGATCCAATTTATGCATTAAATCAATCCCTCTGGCTGCCATGTGGGGCTAAGGCTCAGGGAGCGGAGGGGAGCAGGCATGCCTGGGAGGAGGCTGTGGTCCAGGCCAGAGCTGGTGGTGGTGCTGCCCAGGGTGATGGCAACATGGGTGGTGAGCAGCAGTTAGATTCAAGGTGCGTTTGGCGGGTAGAGCCAGCAGGATGTGCCGAGCTGATGGACTGAATGACGACTCCAAGGTTTGGGGTCCTAGCAGCTGGGTGAAGGGTAGAGGTGACCATTCCTGAGATGGAGAAGCCTCTGGGGAACTGGGTTGGGAAGGGGGTGCAGAGTGACCTATCTACTGGCTGTGGGCCTGCTAGTGCCAGGTACCAGTGTCCTTTCCCTGGTGCAGCAGTGAGGCAGGAAGCTGATGGTTGGGTCCCCAGCCCACCACGCTGGAGCTCTGAGGCTCCTCACTCACCCTCCTTAGACTCATCATTGTCTCAACCCAAAGAGAGACCCGAGCCACCTCGTGCACCCACTTCCATTGCCCAACGACCGCCTGCTGGCCCAGAGTGTGTTCTCTGCAGAGTTTTGCTCAGACATTGGGAAGGTGTCTGGGGGTGCTGATTGTGAGGAAGTGGAGGATGGAGAGGCCCCATCCTATATGAGCAGGTCATCAGCCTCCAAGGAGGTGGTGTTGCCCCATAGTAGCAGGGCCATGGGGCAGTCACCCGTTCCTTCATGTGGCACACCTGCACTGGACACCTTGGCATGTGTTGACACTAGACACCTGTGCTCTGCTTCCTGGTCCAGGAAGAAAGAGATAAGAAGGCGCCATTACAAGTGAGCATGCTGGGTGTTTGACGGCGCTGGGAGGCTCCCCGGGAGGAAGTATCTCAGATGAAAGATAAAGGACAAGTAGATACTGACCAGATTGGGGTGGAGGAGTAGATGGAAGACACATCAGTCATGAGGGCTGAGGACACAGAAGGGGTCAATGATAGGAAGATGTTGATGCCCCTTCTCCAGCAAGCTGAGCATCATATGCTTAGACCATTCATTCATTCAGTCAGTCAGTCAATCTTTATGGACTGCCTGCTGTGTGCCTAGCACTGGGCTCATGCTGGAGATGAGACAAAAACAGACATGGTCTTCCTCCCTACAGAGCTCAGGGAATAGGAAGGCGATAAGCAAATAACTACACAAATAGAAATATCACTGGAAAATGTAGGGGTATGCTAAGAAGGTGAAGAGCTGGGTGATAAGAGGGAGGCTGGCATGAGAGGAAGGGAGGGCAGGGCTGGGGACAGGGTGCCATCAGGATGTGGGGGTGGATGGGAGCTGGCTAGGAAGAGGGGTCGGAGCGCTCCAGGCACAGAAAACAGTGCGTGGTGCAGGCCAGTGGTTACTAAACTGTGTCTGCAGACCCCAGAATTCTACAGGGATAACTGAGCCCTCACGGCAGGTAGGGGATAGGACAAAGTGGGGAGGGAGGGAAACAGCAAAACAGACAGGCTGTGGACCCCACCCTCACCCCCACTTAGATGAGGACAACCACCCTTACCTCTGTTATATCTCTTGGGACCCTCAACAGGATTTTGTGGGGACCGAATCTAAAACCATTTGGACAGCTCTGATTTGGTAGAAGACAACACCTGCACTGAATGCCGAGGTCTTGTCCGCCTGCAGTTTAGGCCCCAGAACTGTCCATCTTTCCCAGGCACATCCCCATCATAGGGAGGAGGGGAGTCTCTGTGGGCACCCGCCTGGCCCGGCATGCCCAGGGTGCTGGCCCACCCAGGGGAGCTGGCCCCGCGGGCGCTCCTCCTTCCCCGTGGGCCGTGAGGTTGGCCATGGAAAGCCCGGCATGTGTTGTCAAGGGGGCACCTGGGGCTCTGCCTGTCCTGTCCCTGGGCCCCTGCAGGCTGGGAAATGCCCAGGGAGGAGAGAGCCCCTGTGGAGGGTCAGACCCCGGTCAGAGAGGGCAGGGGAGGGCAGGGCGCTGGCCGGGCCCCAGCCGGGCTCACCTTTCCTGGAAGGCAGGCCGGGCGGGAAACGGTGTTTCCAGTAAGAAGGCGTAGCCCCCGCTGGGCACATGCCCCACACCCGAGGAGGAGAGCTCTCGGAGCTCCTCGGCCCTAATGAGTGCTGTGGAGAGCTGTTTACAGCTAAGTGAGCTGTAATGGCTTTCTGCGGTCATTAGGCACAGGCTGCTTAGAGCGCCCGGGGGGCCACCGGGCTGGACTCCCACATGTTCCCCCCAGGACCCAGATCGATGGGCTCAGGGTTGGGCCTGGGTGGGCCACCGAGCTCCCTGAGTGACCCAGAGTGTCCTGTGGGCATTGGAAAGGGCAGGGAACTTGACTATCTACTGGCTGTGGGGTTGCTAGTACTGAATATCAGTGTCTTCGCCCTGGTGCCTCAGTGAGGCAGGAAGCCGGTGGTTGGGTCCACAGCCCACCATGCCTGGGGCTCAGGGGGCTCCTCTGTCACCCTCCTTAGCCTCTTCATTGCCTTGACAGAAAGAGACCCGAGCTGGGCATGGTGGCTCACGCCTGTAATCCCAGTTACTCGGGAAGCTGAGGCTGGAGAATCGCTTGAACCTGGGAGGCGGAGATTACAGTGAGCCGAGATCGCACCACTGCACTCCTTCCAGCCTCAGTGACAGATCAAGACTCCATCTCAAAAAAAAAAAACCCGAGCCACCTCCTGCAGCCACTTCCCAGCAAACTCCTGCTGGCCCAGAGTTCGTTCTCTGGAGTTTCACCCAGGCATTGGGAAGGTCCCAGCAGCCACTCAGGACCAGACCAGGGCTCACAATAGTCACCCTTGACCCCAGGCTGTGGGCTGAGGAGGAATAGGGGAGCAGAGACCCTAAAGGGGGCACAGAGCATGTGAGGTCAGCCATGTCCCTGCAGGCCTGGGAGGAGCATTTCGGGCTAAACTCAGTTCAGTCCAGTGAGGGGCAGGAAGAACACAGGAATGGGTAGAAGAGGGCCCCTCCAAAGGGCTCCGGTGTTAGAGACTGACCTGGCTTTGATATGAGTTCTGCCACGGGCAAGGACTTGATCTTCTCTGAGCCTCAGCCTTCCCATCTGTAAAACAGAGCTAAAGCAGTGCCCTTTGTGGGTGGCTGCGAGATGGCGGTGAGCTGATGGTGGTGTTCAGTGCCTCACGGGTAGTCAGCGCTCAGTGGAAGGTGGCAACATCACCACCATCAGCCTCACCATCACCATCACCGCCATCATCACAAGAGGGGTGCTGGGTGGGTCCCCCTCTTTTTGATTTTTGGGCTAATCTAGTGGCAAATGGCAAAGCGGCACCAACTGCTCACCCAGCCAGCAGTGGGAGCCACCTCACCCACCCTCACATGCACCTGGAGGCTCTTTATTGAGCATATGCTCTGCTGCGATTTGAGAAAACAGAGCCAGGAGCTCACAGAACCTATGGGTTGTGTGGTTTCTGGACCCGGTGTAGACGGGGTCTACCACTCCTATGGGGTGGTAGGAGATGCATGTTGAGGCCGGGCTGTGCTTAGGAGGCAGGGGTGTAAACAGGGAGGGGAGGTAGCAAGGCTGGGCCCCTGGGGTGGTCGCCCTGTGTCCACCAAGCTCAGCAGTCCCAGTCTCTCCCCAAGAGGGGCTCTGGGGGGCCGTCCCGAGGGGCTCTGGGGAGAGTCATGGGGCCGCCTGACTCTCTTCCTTCCCCAGCCGAAGCCTGAAAGAGTTAGAGCGCTGAGGTCCTGCTCCTCATCCTTCACCCAGAGTAAGTGTCCCGTGTCCATGGCTGCAGCCTCCCGTAACTCAGGACCTGCTGCAGAGAGGCTCCTCGGCCGCTTTTATCACCCCCATATCTTCTGGACCTGAGAGTGGTGACAGCCGTGTAGCTCCTAGAGATCAGGAAAAGACAAGGAAGGAAGGGTACAGGCTTACAGATCAAGGCTCGGAGCTCCGTTCTGAGGACCTTTGCGGGGGTTCTCATCGCCCATCTACCAATGTGAGTGGGATTGACCCAGTTTTCTTTTCTCGTCTGATCTTTCCCAGAGTGCAGCATAGTGTACAACAGTGACTTTCAATCCACATCAGACCTTAAAATCACACAGAGGGGCTGAAAAAAAAAAATTCCAATGCCTGGATGCAGCCCTGACTAATTCTGATTTAATTCGTTGGGGGTGGGGATTGCTTTTGAAAGCAATCCCCACCCCCATCCCTCACCACGTGATTCCAATGTGCTGCAAGGGTTAATAGGCACGAATACAAAATAACATGGGGCCCAGCACGGTGCCTCACGCCTGTAATCCCAGCACTTTGGGAGGCCCAGGTGGGCAGATCACCTAAGGTCAGGAGTTTGAGACCAGCCCAGCCAACAAGGTGAAACCCCGTCTCTACTAAAAATACAAAAATTAGCTGGGTGTGGTGGCGTGCGCCCGTAATCCCAGCTACTCAGGAGGCTGAGGCAGGAGAATCACTTGAACCTGGGAGGCGGAGGTTGCAATGAGCTGAGATGACGCCATTGCCCTCCAGCCTGGGCGACAGAGTGAGACTCCATCTCAAAAAAAAAAAAAAAAGAAAAGAAAGAAAGAAAGAACATGGGCTTTGGAACTAGGCTTTCAACCCCAGCTCTATCTCTTACTACTAGCTGTGTGATCTTAGGTGAGTTACTCAACATCTCTGAGCCTTAGTGCTGATTTTGGTTTTTAAAAAATTAATAATAAAACAACTTGGAGACAGCAGTTCCTGGTTCTTGTGGTTACTATGAGTGTAAATTAAGAAAATATACACAAAGGCCATTAGCACATAATAGGTGCTTTTTCAACCTTTGCCCCCTGTGTGCACTTTTTAGGGAGACGATGGCAATATTGTCATGTGATGTATCACAAAAGTACATGAAGCCTGCAGAGAGGTGGGCCCTGCTGTCCAGCGGTTTGAAGATAAAGCATGTTCCTTCCTTCTGCAGTCGCCTGTTTAACGACTCTTCTCCTTGTATTTATCCTGCTTGGGGTTCATTGAGCCTCTTGAATCTTCAATTTGTCTTTCTCCAAATTTGGGGAATTTTCAGCCCTTATTCCTTTAACTACTTTTTATGCATTCATTCACTCCTGACTCTTCCTAGACTTCATGTATAATATATGTTAGACCTTCATCTCCAGTCTGAGGCTCTGGGCTTTTTTTAAAGTCTTCTTTTCTGCTGGTTCTTCAGGGTGGGTATTTTTTATTGATCTATTTTCACATTCATTGACTCTTCTGTTCTCATCAATCTGCTGTTAAATCTATCCAATAAATTTTTAATTTCAGATCTTGTATTCAGCTTGTATTAGTCCATTTTGCATTGTTATAAAGGAATACCTGAGGCTGGATAATGTATAAAGAAGAGACGTGTATTTGGCTCACGGTTCTATAGGCTGTACAGGAAGCATGGCACTAGCATCTTTCTAGCGAGGGGCTCAAGAAGCTTCCACTCACTGGCAGAAAGAAAAGAGGGAGCAGTTGTGTCACATAGAGAAAAAGAGAGATAGAGGGTGCAAGAGAGAGGGGGAGAAGGTGCCAGCCTCCTTTAAACAACCAGCTCTCTTGTGAACTAACAGAGCGAGAATTCACCCATTACCGTGGGAAGGGCACCAAGGGATCTGCCTCCCAACACAAACATCTCCCCCAGGCCCCATTTCTAACATTTAGGATCCGGTTTCCACATGAGATTTGGAGGGGACACATATCCAAACCATATCATTCCACTCCTGGCCTCCTAAATTTCATGTCATTTTTACATTGTAAAATATAATCATTTTTTTCCAATAGTCCTTGAAAGTCTAAACTCATTTGAGTATCAACTCAAAAAGTTTAAAGTCTCATTTGAGACTCAAGGCAAGTTGTTTTAAATTTATGAATGTGTAAAAGCAAAACCAAGTGATTTACTTTCAAGATACAATGGTGGTACAGGCATGAGGTAAACATTTTCATTTCAAAAGGGAGAAATCAACCAAAAGAAAGAAATGACAGACCCTACCCAAGTCCGAAACCCAGCAGGGCAGGTGTTAAACCTTAAAGCTCTGAAATAATCTCTCTTGACTCCATGTCCCACATCCTGGGCACACTGGTGTGAGGGTTGGGCTCCCAAGGCCTGGGCAGCTCCACCCCTCTGGCTTTGTAAGGCACAGCCCCCCTGGCTGTTTTTAACGGGTTGGAGTCTGGTGCCTGTTCATGTTGAGGTTGTAAGCTGTTGGTGGCTGTACCACGCTGAGGTCTGGAGGCTGGTAGCCCCATTTCCACAGCTTCACCAGGCAGTGTCCCGGTGAGGACCCTGTGGGAGCTTCAACCCCACGTTTTTGCTTGACACTGCCCTAGCAGAGGCCTTCTGTGGGGGCTCCGCCCCGTGGCAGGCCTTGTCTGGGCACCCAAGTTTTTTAATACATCTTCTGAAATCTAGGAGGAAGCTGCCAAGCCTCTTTCACTTTTGTATTCTGTGTGCCTGCAGGCTTCACCATGTGGAAGCTGCCAAGTCTTATGGCGTATGCCCTCTGAAGTGGAGCCCTGAATGGTACCTGGGGTTCTTTGAGCCCTGGCTGGAGCTGAAGCAGCCAGGGATGCAGGGAGCAGCCTCCTGGGGCCGCAGAGGGCAGCAGGGATCCAGGCCTGGCCCCTAAAACCATTTTTTAGGCCTCTGGGCCTGTCATGGAAGGGATTTTCCCCAAAGACCTTCCAAATGTCTTCCAGGTCTTTTTTTTTCCAGTGTCTTTGTTATTCGTGCTTGACTCCCGTTTAGTCATGTAAATTTATCTAGCAGGAGGTTATCTTACAAGTGCCTTGGGTTTCTCACTGGAAAGGCACTTTTGTTCTCTACCTCATGGCCAAGCTGGAAATTTTCTAAGTTTTTACACTCTGCTTTTTTTTTTTTTTTAATTATAAGTGTTAAATTTAAGTCGTTTTTTTGTTCTCATATCTAGTCGTAGGAAGTTAGAAGCACCCAGGCCACATTTTGAGTGCTTTGTCGTTTAGAAATTTCTTTTGCCAGATATCTTGGGTTATTACTTGTAAGTGGTGTCTCTCATAAAGCCCTAAGCCATAGACACAGTGTAGCCCAGATTTTTATTAAGGCATAACCAGGGTGATCTTCACTCCAGTTTTTAATAAGTGTTTGTTTTCCTCTGAAACCTCATCAGCCTGGGCTTTGCTATCTATATTTCTATCAGGACTTTGGTTACAACCATTTAACTAGTCGCTAAGAAGTTCTAAACTTTATGTCATGTTTTTGTCTATTTTTGAACCCACCAAACTCTTTCAACCTTTGTTCATTACCTAATTTCAAAGCTGTTTCAACATTTTCAAGTATCTTTATAGCAACACTCCACTCTCAGTACCAGTTTTCTGTACTTGTCTGTTTGCATTGCTGTAAAGGAATACCTGAGACTGGGTAACACACACACACACACACACACACACACACACACACATATATATATAAGAATTTTATTTGGCTTATAGTTCTGGAGGCTGTACAAGAAGCATAGTGTTGGCACCTGTTTCTGGTGAGGCCTCAGGAAGCTTCCACTCATGCCAGAAGTTGAAGGGGAGAGCAGATGTGTCAGATGGAGAAAGAAGAAGCAAGTTAGAAGGCAGGAGGTGCCAGGCTCTTTTAAACAACCAGCTCTTGGCTGGGGGCAGTGCCTCACGCCTGTAATCCCAGGACTTTGGGAGGCCAAGGTGGGTGGATCATGAGGTCAGGAGATTGAGACCATCCTGGCCAACATGGTGAAACCCGTCTCTACTAAAAATACAAAAATTAGCTGGGTGTGGTGGCATGCGCCCGTAGTCCCAGCTACTCAGGAGGCTGAGGCAGGAGAATCGCTTGAACCTGGGAGGCGGAGCTTGCAGTGAGCTGAGATTGCGCTATTGCACTACAGCCTGGCGACAGGGCCAGACTCCATCTCAAAAAAACAAACAAACAAACAAACCAAAAAAAGAAAAAACAACTAGCTCTCTAACAGAACGAGAGCTCACTACCATGGGAAGGGCACCAAGCCGTTCATGGGGGAACCCCCTTACCCAAACACCACCCGCTAGACTGCACCTCTAACACTGGAGATCGCATTTCCACATGAGATTTGGAGGGGATAAATACCTGAACCATATTAGAGATCTAGAATTTTTATGTGGTTCTTTTTATGCTTTTTATTTTCCTACTAAGATTTTCTATTTGTTCATTCATTATGACCACATTTTTCTTTATGTCCTTGAGGATAGTTATAATAGCTGTTTTAAAACAATCTGTATTGATTGCCTTTTCTATTGTGTAGGGATCACATTTTCCTGTTTCTTCATGTGCCTAGGAATTTTGGAATGTATCCTAGATGTCATGAATTACATGTTTTTTAGCAAACAGGTAACTTCCCTGCACTCAAACTCCAAACTTGCTCTCCCCTGTGGTTGACAGTAGCAGAAATCTCTGTTCAGTCCCTCTAGCCTTTGCTGGGCTGCTTGGGATTGGCCCCATGTGTACATATTTCAGAGATCAGCCTAAGGTTTGGGTAGAATTTATATACAGAATTCAGGTCTCCTCCCTCTGGCTCTCCTCCTTCTGGGATTCCTGCCCTCAACTTCCAACTGCTGCGGTTGCCGCAAACTCTGTCCTCTAGTTGTTTAAGCCAGTAAGACTGGATTTTCTATCTGGATTTAGCCACCCCACTTGGCAGGAGCTAGAGCCTGACCTCAAACAAATACCCATAAATATGGGAAGTTCACCCAGTGCCATTTCTATCTTCTAAACATTGACTTCCCTCTAGTGTCAGCCTGCTTTTGGTTGTTCTCCAATGCCTCAGGCAGTTGTTTATTGCTATCTGGGGAAAGGGTTGACCTAACTAACAGCAGCCACTCCACCCTTACCAGATGCCCAAAGCCCAGCTGTTTAGTCTTTTGTTTTGGGTTTGTTTTTGTTTTTTGTTTTTTTTTCAGACAGAGTCTCTCTCTGTCCCCCAAGCTGGAGTGCAGTGGCGCGATCTCGGCCCACTGCAACCTCCGCCTCCCAGGTTCAAGCGATCCTCCTGCCTCAGCCTCCCGAGTAGATGGGACTGCAGGTATACGCCACCATGCCCAGCTAATTTTTGTATTTTTAGTAGAGACAGAGTTTCACCCTGTTGGCCAGGCTGGTCTCAAACTCCTGGCCTCAAGTGATCCACCTGTCTCGACCTCCCAAAGTGCTGGGATTACAGGCGTGAGCCACCATGCCCAGCCCCAGCTGTTTCGTTTTAATGTCATGGGGAGGGAGCAGGGCAGGACACCAGGCACCTCTCTGGGTCACACGTACATCCAGTGGAATTAGTTAAATCAGTTGTTCAGATGACGACACAGCCCAGGGGCTCAGATGCAGGAGAGAATACACACCTGCCTCACTTTAAGCAGAAATGGACTCAAGTGGACTTTATACTCTAAGCCAGTAGTGTCCAGTAGAACTTTCTGTAGTGATAGAAGTATTCTGTTGTCTGTGCTGCCCAACATGGTAGTCACTAGCCATATGTGGCCAGTGCTACTGAGAAACTGAATTTTTAATTTTATTTAATTTTAATTAACTTAAATAGCTATATGTGGCTATTGGTTACCGTATCGAACAGCTCTAAGTAAATCCAAGAAATTGAAGTGTGAATTTACAGAAAAACGTAAAGCAAGGTGAATACAAAAGAAGTTTTCAAAAAGATTTACTGGGGGCTGGGCACAGCGGCTCATACCTGTAGTTCCAGCACTTTGGGAGGCCGGGTGTGTGAAACAAGGTGGGTGGATCGCTTGAGCCTAGGAGTTTGAGGCCAGCCTGGGCAACATGGCAAAGCCGTGTCTCTACAAAAAATATAAAAAATTAGCTGAGCGTGGTGGCACATGCTACTCGGGAGGCTAAGGAGGGAGGATGACTTGAGTTGGGAACGTTAAGGCTGCAGTAAGCCATGATGGTGCCATCGCACTCCAGCCTGGATGACAGAGGGAGACCCTGTCTCAAAAAAAAAAAAATCAGTGAGAGAAAAAAGAAGACTCACCTAGGCCATTTGAAATGGGATTTCACTCATCTCAACCCTGCCCCCAAAATATGTATACCTAAAATTGACCCTTTCAGAGCACTGTTGTACTACAAAGTTGCTCAATGAATATCAAACTCAGAGATAGATATATTAGAGAATGATTACAAAAGGGCACAAAGATTTTTTTTTAAGAGACAGAGTCTCATTCTGTCTTCCAAACTGGAGGGCAGTGGCCTGTTCATAGCTCACTGCAGCCTCAAACTCCTGGGCTCGTGCAATCCTCCCACATTCAGCCTTCTGAGCAGCTGGGACTACAGCCGTGTGCCACCGCACCCAGCTAATTTTTTATCTTATTTTTTGTAGAGGTGGGGTCTCACTGTGTTGCCCAGGCTGGCCTTGAACTCTTGGCCTCAAGCGATTCTCCTGCCCCCGCCTCCCAAAGTGTTGGGATGACAGGTGTAAGTCACTGCACCCAGCCAGAAATGTTTATAAGTTGTGAATTCCCTAAGATATTTGAGCTATAATGTGATTTATAAAAATTAGATTTGCCTGATACTTCTGGGGGAGGATATTTCTGGTTCGAAGAGAAGTTGACAGTGACTCACTTCATCTTATCCCAGCCTTGCCAGAGGCCATGAGTCTCCTCCATGGTGCGTGCCTGTCCAAGCCTCCTCGCCAGCAATGGCCCGAGGACCAGGGTGGGGCGGCAGGCAGTGAGGCGGTATCAGAGCGGAGCTGTCCTTCCCCTCCCCTGCCTTCCTCCTCCCTTCCAGAAATGGCTTCAAGTGCCCAGGTCCGAGTCAGACTGCCTGGGCTGGTATTCCAGCTTCAGCACAGCCCTACAGCCTTGGTGCTTCTGCGTGCCTCAATTTACCCATCATCAAATGGGAAAAGAGGTATAACCTGCCTCGTGCGGCTGCTGCCAGGATGAAATGAGTTAGCACGTCTTAGTAAAGCTTACAAAACGCAGACGTGGCATTTCCAGCAGCCCGTGGCGCCTTCCGCACAGAATGCCTTGCTGGTAATTTTTCTTTCTTACTTCTTTCTCTGTGCTCTGCTTCTCTCTCCCTTTTCCCCACTCTTTCTGACAGTCCCAGCCCCAGGTCTCATCCTCATCTCCCCATCCTCATCCTTGTCCGGCAGCCTGGACAGACACTCAGAACCACCTCCCAACCCCCTCCCACGCCTGCCTTCTTCTCCCCGCCTCTCCTGTCTCTCTCTCTTCTTTGAGAAGTGCCTGGCCTCATGTTCCCCCAGATTCCACGTGGCTGTTGTTCTCTTGTGTTTTCACCTGGCCTAACTTCTGGAGGGAGGTGGGAGGAACAGGCAAGTTAATTGGATCTAAAAAGAGAACAGATACAAGACCAAGCCCAAAATCTTAGGGGGGTGCTCCCAAAATTCAGTAATTAAACAAATGATATTTGAATGTAATATTTTTAAAATGCAAATTAATGCAAAAATTCCACAAGGAACAAAATATCAAAACGTCCGATAAAGATGGGAACCATCCTGGTACCTTGGAGGCTGTTGCAGCCCCGTTGGAGCGTGTCTTTTTGTAACATTTTGGTGGTGTTCATATTAAATTTTTTGCTTTGACTTGGATCCTTTGAAATATTATATTAAGATGTTATTTGTCTTTTTTTTGAGACGGAGTTTCGCTCTGTCGCCCAGGTTGGAGTGCAGTGGCAAGATCTCGGCTCACTGCAACCTCTGCCTCCCGGGTTCAAGCAATTCTCCTGCCTTAGCCTCCCAAGCAGCTGGGATTACAGGCGCACACCACCACGCCCAGCTAATTTTTGTATTTTTAGTAGAGACGGAGTTTCACCATGTTGATCAGGCTGGTCTCGAACTCCTGACCTCAGGTGATCCACCCGCCTCAGCCCCCCAAAGTGCTGGGATTACAGGCGTGAGCCACTGCACTTGGCCTACAATGTTATTTATCTTGATGACTAGGATTTTTGATAGCCCCTCCTTTATATGTTGCACACAGTCCCTCATTCGGCTCCCTTCATCCAGCCCTGGAACAGAGTCCTTGAGAGCAGAGACTCAATTCAGGGGAGGCCGTACAGGAGTCTGCACAGTGCTCCCCACTCTAAGGCCACTCTACTTGTTCCTGGCCTAGGCGTGTAGCCATTGGAGGCCACCAGAGGCCAGACCTCAGCCACGTACAGGAAGATGGCCCATGACATAGTGATCCCCAGTGCCCCCAAAATGACCCTGTGTCATGTCTCCTAGAGCCCAGGACAACAACCACACAGTATGGCCTGAAGAAGGCGGCTGACTGCTCCTTCTCCATGGCAGCCCAGAGAACCATGGCTTCTTGGCCACAACTCTGCAGCCACGTCACCATTTGGGGTCCTCCCAGGTGGCCCTGTGCTGACGTCTTCTCTCCCTACCCTAGCCCCTTTTGGAGACTTTCCTCTCTACCTCCCACTTCCCCCTAGGTCTCGTCATCATCTGTGCTGAGGCCAGGCTGAGGGCTGACCGCAGGTGGGGTGGGTGGTGTGGGTGGAAGGCATCGGCCCTACCAACCCCGTAATTGTCTCCCTTTCACACCCACCACAGCTCTTTCCAGACCCAAAATAGCTCGCTTGGCCCCTCCCTTGGCCCCATCTCGGGCACAGCTAGAAATGCCAAGTTGTGGAGTCTGGGGTGGAGCACTGGCCAGGTCCCCAAAAGCTTGGGCAGAGTGACCAGGAGCGAGGCTGGGTCTCTCCTCTTTCCTGTACCTGTGGGTAGTGGGGTGAGGAGGGGGTCCTGATTTTGCTGTGCCTGGTCTGGGTGGGATGAGCAGGGACATGCCTGGCCCAGTGGCACACCCCACACGCCCCGCTTCCTGACCTCAAAGAGGATCCTGTCTCCTGCCACAAGTCCTTGCTGGCCCAGACGCCACCCACTGGTCGAGGAGCCTGTGTGCTCCTGAATCAGGATCGGGAGGGGGTGGGCACCAGTGGCTCCATGATCTGACCAACCCTCACAGTAGCCCTGTAAGCAGGGTGTGTGGTCCCCAGGACTCCCCACCAACATGCGGGTGCTTGGATTTTGAAGTTCTGTATTTACACAGCTGGTAAACAGCTGCTGTCCTGACATCTCTGAAATGTTCCATGTTCCACACCTGAAGGGTTAATGAGGCCAGGCGAGGTGGCTCATGCCTGTAATCCCAGCACTTTGGGAGGCCGAGGCAGGCGGATCACTTGAGGTCAGGAGTTCGAGACCAGCCTGGCCAACATGGTGAAACACCGTCTCTACTAAAAATACAAAAATTAGACGCGCATGGTGGCGCACGCCTGTAGTCCCAGCTACTCAGGAGGCTGAGACAGAGAATTGCTTGAATCTGGGAGGTGGAGGTTGCAGTAAGCCAAGATGCACCACTACACTCCAGCCTGGGCGACAGAGCAAGGCTCCGTCTCAAAAACAAACAAACAAAAACAATAAAGGGTTAATGCGAGGCACGGTCGGGTGCAGAGCAGCCTCCAGCCCAGCTCCAGCCCTGCAGCCCAGCTGTCATTTCCATGAACATTTCTGGTTATTCAGTCTTTCTAACAACACCTTGTCTGTCATTTATTGTGGTTTTTGGTGGTGGCACTAGGAGTGACTGCATCCTTTTAGTGAGGAAACTGAGGCTGTAAGAGCTTAGGCAGTTTGCCCTTAGCTGGATTTGAACCTGGCTCTGTGTGCGGGTCCTCCATAGTTCACTGCCTGGTCTCAGTAGGGCCAAGGCAGGACCCTTGGGGCCATAGACCCGCTTCCCGTGGTGTGATGGCCCAGAGGAACCCCCAGCCCTTCATGCCATCCCTCCCAGGGGTGACTGCCACTGAGCCCAGCAAGCTAAAGATACAGAGGAAATGCTTAGTGAGGCCAAGACAACCAGCTGGTGCCCAGCCCTGGGGGGATCAGGCCAGGGACTAAAGGCTTTGAGTTGTCTCAGACCCTCTCTTTCTCTCATCCTATCTCAGCAAGGTTTTTGTGGCATTATGATTCGGGAGCACAGGCATTAGGGGCACTTGTCTCTAGCAGGACAGGGAGGTAGGGAAGAAAAGAAAGGGGGAGGGGCCAACCTTACCTGTCCCATCCTGTTCAGGCTGCAGACCTGCCTGTGGGGTGGCCCTTCGGAGGCTGGAGAGCAGCCACAGTATGGTGACATGTGTGGTATGGTGGCGGGGGCGGGGGGCACAGGGAGCGGAGTGGGGAGTGGCGGATGGACAGAGCTTGCCCCCACACCATCCTGCTCAAGACTTACTGCTCTTATCTCAGTGTTCTTCCCATCTGCCCCTCTCATTCTCCACGTTGGCAGAGAGTTCTCATTCTCAAGAGCCCGCAAAAAGAATTATAATACACATTACAATGTAATTGTTATATCGTCTATTCCATTTATCAACTCCTTGCTTCTTGCCAACAGTCTTGCGTACATTGTCCCATTTCATCCTCATTGCCACTCCATGGCACATGTATCGCCACCATCTCTACTTTACCAGCGAGGAAACCCAAGGCTCAGAGAGGTTAAATAGTTTTCCCAGAGGCAGGCAGGAAGTGTGTGAACTCGGCAGGCATGCTCTGTCCTTCGTGGGTCACTCTGCCCCATTGACTGGAACAAATACTTTCAGGATCTGGGTGTTGCTTGTGGGGCCCCGGTGCAGGCAGGAGAGTCCAGTTGAAATCAGTATTTAGGTTTTTCTTTCTCCCCATAGAGAAGAGAGAAAAGGGGAGGAGATGGTGCATTCTTTCCTTCCCATGGGTGGTTTTCCCATCTCAGCTAACTTTCGTTTGTTTCTCAGCTACCTTTTTAGTCTTTGAAATGAGGCCACGTCCTGGGAGCCAGGCTGCAGACAGAGCCAGGGAGGCAGGCGTTTTCTCTCCAGGCCGCTACTGCAGTGAGTGAGAGTACCTCTCATTCTGTAGGGACTGGTGGCCCACAGTTCCAGAAGCCAGGCAAAGAGCTCCTATCTAGGGGGAGGGTTGAGACCCCATTTGAGAGCCCATCCTCCAGGATCTTGTAGGAGAGACACATGGCTTGGTGCGGGGGCCCTGAAGTTCTGTTAACTTGGGCACTGACTTCCCATGTGAGGTGGGAAAGGCACTCCATCTCATTGGGCCTTGGTTTCTTCATCTGTCTAATGAAGCTGGATTTGAACCTGGCTGTGTGTGGGTCCTCCATAGTCCACTGCCTAATAATGCTGAGCTGTGAACTTCACAGGCTGGATGATAAAAGGAGATACAGTCAATGCAAAAGTGCTTGAACATTTTAAAGTGCCATGAAAAAGTGCTTGAATATTATTCTGTTCCTCCCTCCCTTCCTCCCTTCCTTCCTTTCTTCCTCCCTCTCCCCTCCCTCCCTTCCTCCCTCCCTCCTTCCCTTCCTTCCTAACTGAAGTTAATTTCAGAATAAGGCATCCGAGTCTCTTTCCATCTCTACCTGGGCATGGTCGTTGTCATTAATGGAGAAATTCTGGAAGGTTCCACAGGAAATCTGGCAGAACCCTAGGCAGAGCTAGTCACAGCCACATCTTTTCAGATTTGCCAGCCCCTCTGACATGTGCTCAGTGAGGCTGTGGGGTCAGAGTCTTTACTCCCCATCAATCTACTGGCAGAACTTTGGGGCTGCCCCTTTACAGCAGACCTGCACCCCTCCTGCCTCAGCAGAAGGCGCTTCACTCCCAGGTGGCAGCTCGGGCTGCTAAGTGCCCCCAGGGCACCCAGCCCATGGTGTTGGGGATGGGGCAGGACAAAGGGGGATAGAGCAACAGGGTGAGGAGGGTCCTAGAACAAGAGAGCTGGACTTGGTTGTCCAGGGAGCCCTGGGGAGAGGCTGAGAGAGAGGATGAGTGAATCCAGGTCAATGCCACTGGCTGCCATTTCTACTGCTGAGTCCAGAGGTGCCCATCGTATCACTACCTGGTAGAGGCTGCAGGCAGACCTTACTGAGGGCAGGAAATCTGGACTCACAGAGTTTAAGGAACTCCTGTTAATGGGAAAGGAAATTAGAATGGCAGGGCTTTGACACTTTGGGTTCTCTCTACCCTCTATTGAAAGAGGACCTCCAACCCAAAAACAAGGAAGGAAAGAAAAGAGGGAGATTAGGAGGCAGGGAAAGAAAGTAAGAGAGAAAGAGAGAGAGAGGAGGAGGAGGAGGATGGGAAGAAGAAAGGAAACATTATAATATTTTATCTGGCTGGGCACAGTGGCTCATGCCTGTAATCCTAGCACTTTGGGAAGCTGAGGTAGGCAGACCACTTGAGGGCAGATGTTCAAGACCAGCCTGGCCAACATGGTGAAACTCCATCTCTAATAAAAATACAAAACTTAGCCAGATGTGGTGGTACACACCTGTAATCCCAGCTACTCAGGAGGCTGAGGCAGGAGAATTGCTTGAACCCAGGAGGTGGAGGTTGCAGTGAGCCGAGATCGTGCCACTGCACTCCAGCCTGGGCGACAGGCAAGACCCTGTCTCAAAAAAAAAAAAAAATCTCGAGGTACAGCAGCTCCTGCAAAGCCTTTGAGGTAAGCCTTGGCAAGGTCGAGCTTGTTCACTGGGGCAGCCACCATTTGTTGAGCGTGCGCTATGAACTGTGTCATTCCATGAGCTTCAGTTGAAACTTACTTCTTATGAGGAATGAGTTCTCATTATTCCCATTGTATAGATAAGGAGGCCAAAGCCCAGAGAAATTGATTTGCTCGGTTTTATACAGCCAGAATATTCTGGAGAATTCAAACCCACATAAGGCCAACCCCAGTGTCTGCACTTTCTAGCTGCTGCGTGGCCTTTGCCTAGCTTAGAAGAATGAAATTTGCTAAGGTTTGTTTCCAATCTCAGTAATCATAGCCCCATACTGTCAATCTGGTGCTAATTTCCTTGTGTGTTTAACTCACACAATCCTCACAAAGCCCCTGTGAGAGAGTTTCTATGATCATCATCACCCCCATTTTACAGAAGAGAAAACTGAGGCTTAGAAAATCCCCTCAAAAGCAATACAGGGCAGAGCTCAGATGTGAACCCAGGTGGTCTGGCTCCAGAATTTGTGCTGACAGCTGCCAGGTTAGACTTCCACCCAGGCAAGCTGAGTTATTAACATCTACTGAAGTCCTTTCAAAACCGGAAACAGGTTCCCAAAGGGGAACAAATGGTAACAACCATACAATAACAGCAATGCCAACAGCCGCATAAGAATTCAGCAAATATTTTTCCTAAAATGTGTGCTTAAAAGAAGAATCATGTGCAGGTCAAACGTGAATGCCTCTACCAAAAATGAGTCACGGTACATAAACATCTGACCATACACAGCCTCATGTCCAGTGAGCATCGCCCAGATGGGCTGCCCAGACATACCTGGCTCTTCGGAGGAAGCCAAGAGAGAGCCATTGTATTTCTTTCCCATCTGGATAAAGTGAGCTCTGTCTAATCAAAGAAAGTCGTCTTCCTTTATTAAACAACAACAACAATAAAAAAAACCCAAACTCCGAAGGTAAAAGCTTGCCGCTGGCTTCTTGGAATTATTTGTATTTAACTAAAGCTGTTAGCTGTTTTGCTCTGTTGATCTGTTTGTTTGGAAAGAACCTGCCGCTTCCCATCTTGGTGATCTGCCTCAGTGGCTGTGCCTCCATTCCCGATGTCTGGGGTCATTAAGAGGGAGAGGAATGGTCCCTGCATGTGTCGTTTCCTGGCAGTGACTTCCACTGAGTGCCATCACTTTGCCAACTGTCCACCCCAAGCCCAAGCCCCATGGACAGTGCCCCCATGTCTCCCAAAGCCCCTGCCTTTCCCTGGAAACCCCAGAAGCTCAAGCCCATCTGTGCATCCACTGCCTGTCTCCCTGCAGGGACCATCCACTGCTTCTGGCCAGCAAGGAGGGCTGACTCCCTGGTCCCCCCTGACTCTCTGTGTCTTTCCCAGGAGCAAGGTTTCAAGCCGCCAAACCTCCCCAGGTGTTTGGAGTCTGCAGCATTTCAGTCCCGTGTTTGCTTTTTATGAAAGAGAAGTGATCCCCTCTGCAGAATATTAAGTGGCTCCGGCAGCTTTGGGAAGCAGAGCTGCTAATCCGCCGACATCTGCTGCTTATGTGGTCTTGGCGCCTGGCAGCCCCTCACTTCCTCTACCCCCACCTGGGCCCTTCCTCATCTTCCCAGTTGAGCTCCGGGACATTGAGGCAGAGAGGGAGATGATAGGGGATTCAGGCTAATCCACCATTCTTGCCTGATGGCAGGGACTGGAATAGTGACCTCCAAGTCCCCTCTGAGGCCCAGGGGCAGAGAGGCCTGACCACAGTGAGCAACCTTGGGCCAGCCCCTTCCTTTCCTGGGCCTCAGCATCCTCAGTACATAGAGACGAGGATGAGCTGCGCGGAGTCCAAGGTCCAGTGCACCGCTCCCAATGGCGCCTCCCCCAGGCCAGGAATACTCCCATTCACATGCCACACCTTTGCATGAGCTGTTCTCCCCACTGGAGATGAGCTCCCCCTGCCCTCAACCAGTCCAAGTCCTGCCAGCCTTCAAGGCCAGTTCCAGACTCAAGCCCTCCATGAGGCCCTCGCTGGCTCATCTGTATAGACAGCACTCCTGTTACTCCTGCTCTCTCTGGTTACCATCCTCTCCTCTGCTCAATTCATAGCCTCCCAGGGCAAGACCAAGTGCCCATAGCCCAGCTCGGGGCTGCATATGCAGCTAGACAATGCAAGCTCTAGGGTTCACCAGGGCTGGAGATGGGGATTGGCGCTGTCAGAGGGCCAACCCAGAACAAAGCTCCCCCATCCTCCTTCCTCCCAGCCTGGTCCCCAGCCAGTCTGGGCACCAAGGCCCTGCCTGAGCTCAGAGCACCTCGAGGGCTCCTGAAGATGGAAGAGACTCAGGTCTTGGCAGGAGGAAACTCACAGAGTTTTGATCCTGTAATAAAACCCAAATATGGGTTTGTAACATTTACAGAACAACCCATAAATAAGTGTAAATCAATACTCTACAAAGGATGCCCAAGAGCTCCACAGCACAGCTGGCTTCCTGGAGAAGGTGGACTTTGAGCCAGGACTTGACATACAGAGCTCACACTTGCAGAGATAGAGGAGGATGCATTCCAGGGAAGGAAAGAGATTTGCACAGAAGTGTGTATTAGTTTCCTACAGTTGCTGTAACAAATACCAGACTAGCTGGCTGAAATGATGGAAATTCATTTTCTCACAATTCTAGAGACCAGAAGTCCAAGACCAAGGTGTTATGGGGGTTGTTTTCTTCTGTGGGCCATGAGGGAAGGCTCTGTCCTTGGCATGTAGATGGCCATCTTCTCCCTGTGTCTTCACATGTTCTTCCTCCATATGAGCCTGTGCCCTCACCTCCTCTGCTTATAAGGACTTCAGCCACATGGGATTAGGGCCCACCCCAATGGCTTCATTTAACCTTAGTTACCTCTGTAAAGATCCTATCTCCAAATTTAGTTGCATTCTGAGGTACCGTGGCTTAGGACTTCAACAGATGAATTTTGGGGGCAGGAAGTTTGGCTCATAACAGTGTGGAAGTGGTTCTGCTTCATCTAGGTGCCTTTACATAATGGATTGATGAGCTGCCCCTGTGTGCCTGGCATTGCGCAAAGCACTGGGCTTCCAAAGGGGAGGATGACTTGCCCCCTGTCCTCATCAGGGGGCCTCCTGGAAGAAGTAGAAGACCTGAAAGGGGGCAGAGACCATGGGTTGATGAGGACAAGGGATCTGCTCCAGGGTTAGGAATAGGTGGTCCCAGCTCCCCCTGGAGGACATAAAACCCCTCTCCCTGTGAGCCTCAGGGCCCCAGCTCCCCTAGTAACCCTCCCTCCATGCTCCTGTCCTCTCCTCAATGGGAAGAAGCCAGGGCTTCAGGGGGATGTGTTGGGGCTGCTAGGTATCTCCCCTTGAAGAGGTCTTCTGCAGGCCAGATTTATACCTAGGGAGGGAGTAGGGAAACCACCACTCCTGCATCCAATCTTATGCCCAAAAAGCCTGAAGGGAATCTGAGGCTCAGGCTGGAGCTGGTCATGCCCCCTCTGCCAGCACCTCCTCAGGAAGGGGGTGACTGGCATCCCTGGGTGAAGGCTATGCTGTAACAAGGGTGGGGGTTTGGGGGTGGTGCTATTCACCTGCAGGAGGTGTAGGCCCGAGGAAGGAGATTGCAGGTGGGATGGAGGCTGTGGCCAGGTAGTGGCTCAGGGGTGACCCTGGGCCTCAAACCTCTCTGTCCCCCCCTGTCCTTCCTTGTGCTATCCTGGCTTCTGAGAGGGCAGCTCCCTGCAGGAAACACCATCATAGGAATAGGTGCAGCCGGCAGGGCTTGGGGGTGACTCACCACTGGGCTGCTCACTGGCCCAGTGACTTTGGGCAGGACTTGTTTGATCTCTTGAGGCCTCAGTTTTGTCATCTTTACCAAGGGGATAATAACATCCACCTTCCAGGGTCACTATGGAGACCCTGGTATTAAATAGGCAGTAAGTCCTGGCTCAAAGCCCTTGACAGTGAGAATGGTCTATCAATATCAATTTCCCTACTGGAGGCAGCCTTGGGCTCCCACCACTGGCCCCCCGTGGCCTGTCCTGCCCCATCTCTGCCTCTTGCCTCTGATGGTATTCAGAACACACACACACCCCAGAAGGTGCTTCCATGCTCAAGGCCACCTCCATGCCCAGAGTGGGGCCAAGAGCTCCCTCTGGCCCTTCCCTCCCAGCCCCCACAGAAGCCTCTGCCTTTGCATTCATCCATCCAGAGAAGCAGCGTGACGCTGCAGCCGTCTGCCCTACCTGGGAGCTGCAGCCAATCCCAAAGGGTTGGGATTAGGGTGCTCGAGGAACCCAGAACCCAAACGGGTCTGAGCCTCTCCTCTACGGCTCCTCTCCAAACAGTTCATCCCATCTCTGAGCGCCAGCCAGAGGCTCAGGGCAAGGGCTCTCGAGTTGAGAACTTGCCAAGGAGAGGGCTTAGAGTGCAGTGTAAACGAAGCCAGAGCGAGAAGTGCAAATGAGTTGGTTCAAAGATGAAGTCGCTTAGGGAACTTCGTCTGGGAAGCAGCCTACAGCGGGGTCCATTGGCAGGGTAGTAGCACCGTCCTCAAGCTCTGCAGTCAGCCTGGCCGGGCTCAAATCCTGTTCCCCCGTATCCTGCCAAGTGACTTAACCCATTTATGCCTCAGTTTCTCATAGCTCAAGTGGGCGTGATGCTCGTACGTACTTCTTGAGTGCCGAGAAGCTAATCTAAGTGGCTCATGATGGGTACTCCGGCCGAGTACACTCAGACCTGCGCCTCGACCACTGACCGCTCGGCCATCAGCTGGCAATGTGGACGGCCACCCCCTCAGGAGGGTCCCCTGCGCCACTCCAGTTTCAATGCGTGACACAGATGTCATGCGTCCTCGCCAAGCTGCCTTAACATGAGGGGGTTCTATCTCAAATATGTTTCACAAATGAATAATAAAAACAAAGGAAAATTACCCTCTTTATTGAAACTCATTTTATGAATAAGACAATTATTCTGGTAATTGAAAAAATGTGTCGTTAAATTAAATGCAGTGGTTCCTATTAAAATTTTAGTGCGTTTCTGCTGCTGCCGGCTAGAGGCTGGTAATTATAGACGAGAGTTTCGCTTTCTCTTTATTGTTTTTTAATCTCTCTGTGCTGTGGCTCTCCGACAATATTTTATGTCAGAGAGATTTAGAGCTGGGCCCCAGACAGGGGGGACAGGCTGGCCGAGGGGTGGGGGGCAGGCGGTGGGGACTGCAGCGGCACCTGCCTGACTCTAGGTTGCCTTGCCACCCTGGCTGTCCCACAGTCTTGGTTGGTCTCTTCACCCATCTATCAGTCTGGTGGCAGCCAATCACAGCCCCCTGAATCTAGTGCCCTCTCCTCTCTGACCCTCTTTTTACTCAAAAGGGGTTGGAGACAGAAGGGAAGCCTGGAGTTGGGTCTCCAGATGGACTGGGTCTCAGCTTCCTCTTGGAAGCTGAGTTTGGAAAGCAGCGGGGTGGGGTGGTCTGAAGGTCCCCCTGCCCTTAGGGGGACAACTAGGGAAGGTTGCAGAAGCTCTGCGTGTGTAAGCACCGTGAGGGCAGGGACCAGGCCTGTCTTGCTCGCTATGGCATCCACAGCGTCCATAGCAAACAGTGTGTTGGAGGCTTTTAATCCATGTTAAGGAAGGAGGGGAGGGAAGGAGAAAGGAACAGCTGTATTAGAGCCTGCTTGGTCCAGGAGGGGTTAGGTTGAGAAAAAGGTGGAAGAATGGCCTAGAGAAACTTGGGGTATCCTTTCCAAGTCACCCCTGACACCAGAGATGGAAGGAGGGAGAAAACCGAAGGCCTCGGCCGCTCCGCCCCCTCCCCATTCCTGGCAGGAGCTGCGAGGCTCCTGGGCTCACTTAGACCGTCAGTGACTCCCGGCAACATGTTATATGTCTCTGGCCCAGGCCGCGTTTCTGTTCTTTGTCTGGGAGATTAAGCTCCTGGTGGGCAAGGTCTCTGGCCATGCAACGTGCCACGGGGAGCTTGATGAATCGGGCTGGGGTGGGAGCGTGTGGGCATTTATCACGAAGGCACCAGAAGCTGATGGGGAGCCGGCCGCCATCACCCAACAGTGTGGGAGGGAAGACAAGGTGCGCGTGGAGTCCCCGGCTAGCGTGCTTTGTGGCTTCAGGCTACCACCTCGACCCACTGTGTCCTTCGTGGGCTGTGACCTCTCAGGTCCTTTCCTTGTCCTGCCTCTGCTCTGTCCTGTATCACAGGTGGCTGTCTTCCTGGCTTCCCAGGCTCCCCGGTCAGCTGGCTTCAGGTTAGGCTTGGCCAGTGGGAAGCACTGACAGGAGACAGGAGGTAGGCAAGGGAGAGAAGCTGGGGTCTCTCCCTTCCCTCCTGCCTCCACTGGCTTCCATGAGCAGCTGCGTTTGGCTCATGACTCCAGCTCCCTGTGGACGGGTGACTCGCCCTGGGATCCAGCAACCTCACTTCCTCCCTGGACCCCTCCGGCCTAGGGATGGTAGAGGCCTCTTGTGTCACCGATCTCTGGGTTACCTCACTGTCCCCCGCTGGGCTTCTCGCTGATTATCACCTGCAACCAGTTCCCTGTAGCAAATTCCTTCTGTGCGAGTATAGCCAGTAGTTTCTGCTTTCTTGAGTGGACTCTGACTCCATGCCAGCCTCCTTAACATCCCAGGAAGAGACGTGTGGCAGGAAGCTGCAGGGTAGGGGTGGGGGAATGGGAGACGGTCAAAAGCTCTGTGGCTTCCTTGGGTCCCTCCTGCCCTTCCACCGCCACCCTGACTCCCCCGCCACCCAGGGTCTCTGTGTCGTGGCCCTCCACCTTTCCAAACAAGTGGCTGCTCATGTCCAGCCCATTCTAATTATCCTTTGGTGCTACTTCATCCACCCCAGGACAGCTTCTCATTTTGGCAGTAATTGAGCTATTTTCCCAGCGGGACAAAGGGCTAGCAGGTTAGGGGTCCCTTCCTGGGGACGTAGCATTAAGCAGCATATATTTCAGAACCGTTAACCCTAGAGCAGAGTCGCTAGGAGGCCGGGGAGAACCAGAGGCTCCTACCTTGGCAGTCTGCCACCTCCCTGACCCCTGGCCCCCTGCTGCAGCAGGCTTAGAACTCCATCAAGCATATTTCCAAGCCAGGCCAGCTCAACCTGACCTGGAAACAGTCAGGAGCACTAGACCTGCCATGCAGGAAAGGGGCAGGTAGGGAGGGGGCCTGGCTGGTGCAACCAGAGGGAGAAACCCGGGGCTCAGTGCCCCCGGGACACAGTGCAGAGCAGCGGGAGGGGTGCATTAGTGTCTTGCATGCATCTGCCTCTATGCACCCCCGGCGGTCCTCACCCACAGTCTCATTCCAGATTCTGGTCACCACCACCCCTCCACCTGGTTATGACCAGGTCCCACTTGGCGTTCCCCACTACGTTGCAGCCAGAGTGATCTTTCTGTTACAGAAATCTGATCTGTTGCTGCTGAAACCCTTCAGTGCCTCTCATCATGCCACCTCGCTCACATCTTGAGCCCCGCTCTCACCCCTCTCCTTGTCTCTGCCCCCCATCCCCTCTCCCACACACTGTGGCTGATGGGACCTGCCGCATTCTGTCTGACCGGGTTGCTGTTTGTGTGTTCACCTCGCCTAAAACTTGCCCCCATCTCTGCTTGGCTGACTCCCATCCATCCTTCAGGGCTTGACTTAGACACTCCCTCTTCCGGGAAGCCTTCCCTGACCCATCCAGCCCCATCTACTTCCCCCATAGCATGACACCTTACCAAGACTTCCTCTTCAGTTGGTCTATGAGCAACTTGAGGGCAAGGGCTGAATCTTTGTTTGCGATTCCCAGCACATGCCAGGTGCTCCAGGAATGGTTTTTGGGTGAATGGATGACGGATCAAATCACTTAACTGAAAATTAATTAATCAGGTACAAGCTAAAGGGCAAAGAGTACCTGCAGAGCTTTGAGTCATGAGGAAGTGATGGGAAGCTTTCTTCAACAGTGAGCAGCCCAGGTGGCTGGCAGCTGCTCAACAATCAAGGAGGGCTGCCAGGAGGAGGCAATTGCCTCCTCTCTTCCCACTCCTCTCTCCTTCTACTCCTCCCTGCTCCTCACTCCGGCTTCTCTGCCTGCCTAAGAGCTTTCTCATGAATGAAAATTGCTGCTTGCTACGTTTTTCCTTCGCAGGGAAATTGTTCCTTTATCAGCCAGCAACAGGGCCAGGGTGGGGGCTGCTGGTGCCCAGCACCTCGGCCAACAACGGGAAGGCTGATGGCGTCATTTGGACAGGAGTCCTTGACGTGTCTCTTCAGGAGGCAGCCGGGGTTGTCATTGAGACTCTGAGTGGTGCTGAGAAGGAGAGAGCTGACAGCTTCAGCGGCTGGCATGGATGACGCATCTTGGGGTGTCTGAGAGAGTAACTGGGGCCAGAAGGAGGCTGGGCTGGGCCCCAGGGAAGCCACCTTCCAGCTGCCCTCCGTGGGATAGCAGCAAGCTTAAGTGTGCAGGCCCAAGGCCCCCCACCATGCAGAGCCTGGTTGGTGAGAGAGAAGCCTGATTTCCTCCCCCTCTACTTCCCCCAGACAGTGTGCAAGGACTGGGCAGTGCCCAAGGTCATTTCCTCCCCAGGGAGGAGACAGGCTATCCAGGGCCTCCTGGGAGCAGGGCACACTGCCCTCTGGGCATCAAAAGCTAGGCCACTGGGAACCCCAGCAAGCTTGGTCTGCAGAGGAAGCCCAGTGCTCCCAGCTTCTGTGCCAGTTGGACCTTGGCATCGGTTTCTGTGTCCCACAAATGGGATCAGGATTATCTGTCCCCCACCCCAGGAGGAATAATCATCCTGTGCCTAGGAAGCTGCAGGGGGAGCTTAGAGAGCAGCAGGAAAGCAGGGTTTGATGCTGTGTGGACAGGAGGACCCACTCGGGGGCAGGGGGGATAGGGAAGAGGGTTTCTGGAGGCACAGGTCGCACCACCAGCTGGGTGACAGAATCCTCTCTCTCCCAACAGCTGCAGCACTAGAATTCTCCAAGCTGCAGGGCAGCAGAAAGGGCATGTGTCCCAAGATTGAATGCCACCACTGCCACTTCCTAGCCCCGTGACATTAGCGTGTGACTTAACCTCTCAACCTCAGTTTCCTCAATCTGTAAATTGGGCCATTGATAGGGTTTGGCTCTGTGTCCTCACTTAAATCTCATGTGGAATTGTAATCCCCACGTGTTAAAGGTGGGGGGCCTGGTGGGAGGTGATTGGATCACGCCGTTCTCGTAATAGTGAGTTCTCACAAGATCTGAAGATTTAAAAGTGTGTGGCACTTCCCCATCTCTCTCTCTCCTGCTCTGCCATGGTAAGACATGCTTGCTTCTTCCCCTTTGCCTTCTGCCATGATTGTAAGTTTCCTGAGGCCTCGCAGCCATGCTTCCTAGTAAGCCTGCGGAACTGTGAGTCAATTAAACCTCTTTTCTTTGTAAATTACCCAGTCTCAGGTAGTTCTTTATAGCATTATGAGAATGGACTAACACAGCCATTAAGAACACTTCAGCAGATCTGATCAAATGAGATCAAAAATCTAAAAAGCATCCAGCACAGCCCCGGACCCCCTGAACTGCTCAAAACAGACTTTTTCCTTTGCCCTCCCTCCCTTCTGACCAAGAGCTTGAAGGAGACCATTGAGGACCTTCTGAACATCTTCATGGTGTCTCTACCCTATCTGGGGTGGTACAGACAGGCCCTATTGGGAGGTGGGGAATGGGACACAGGACTTGCTGAGCCTCCGCTGTCCCCATCCCCCGATCTGTACCCTTCGGTGGCTTCCTTGCTGCAGACCAGCCCTATTGAGCTGGCAACGTACATGCAGCACAGAGAGGTTCGTCCTGTCCCTGGGCACAGTGGTTGGTCTAGCTTCAGAGCCTTTTACCCAATCCAAGCCCAAAGCCTCCGTGTCTTCAGTAAATCAAAGGCTGCAGGTCACTCATCCCTATTCATAAAATCACAGAAGCAATAAACGAATAACAGCATGGAAGGACCTTTAGGCTCCCCTCTCCCATCCCCTGAGTTGCAGATGAGGAAGTTGAGCCCTAGAGACCTGCCTGCCCTGCAGAGGGGGCGTGGCTTAGAGCCTTGCAACATGCCTAGGCCTGGAGGGCGTGGACTCTGTGAGACACTGACTATATCACTTGCAGCTGTGTCCAAAAGAGGAGACTTGGCTAAAGCCAGACCAGATGCCCTAGGCAGGGCAGGCTAGGACCAACCACCCTGACTCAGGGGGATGCATACAGAGGAGGGAGGGAAGCACCTGGATCAGTGCCTGGCTCCAGAGTCAAGTCCGGCTTTCCCAGTGTCACGGCAGGACAGCACAAGGACGTGGCTAAGAGTGCAGACTGGGGGTTCCAGGGAATCTGAGTTTGCATCCCAGCTCTGCACCTGTCTGTACCATCCCTGCACCTCTCTGAGCCGTCCTGTTCTCAAGACCCTGATAACTTGAGTGGTTGGGCATTTGAAAAATCAGTCTGCTTATTCTGAAATGTACCTTCCCCAACAGATCATAGATCTTGCCATGTCAGAACTGAAAGGGACTTATGGGTCACCTGGCCAGGTCACTCCACAGACCCACAAGGGCCCCAAGACCCAGAGACAGGAAGCGAGGTCTCCCCACCACCATGCCAGGGGTCTCTGAGCCACACCTGCTGCCCAGTCCAGGCCATGGCCCCAGGCAGGCCTGAGAGGGACCTTGCCCAGACACCTTGCTCCCTCTGGTCAGCCAGAGAGGAGGCAGTGTGGCCTGTGTGGTGACTGGGCTGCAGTGTGGCCTGCCTAGTGACTGGGGGTGGGGGCCCTTCCCTTCTCTGGCCAAGGCTGTTCCACATTCTCCTGCTTTCTCTGCCCTGCCTGCGGCTCCCTCCTCTTTAAGCGAGCCCCGTGCTGTGGCAGAAGCTGCTGGCCCAGGTATCATTTCAGAGCAAAAGTGCCTATTAAACCACCACTGGCCGCCAGGCCCGTCAAGTCCCGGGAGCCATGTTCACAGACGTGTCAGCTAATGAACTAATTGATTCTTTCCTCCTCCGCCTGCATCCGCCTGCACAGGAGAGAGGGCAGGTCTGAACTCTGCCTCCGCCTGCCCTGGCACCTTCAGGGAGGGGAGAAAGGCGGAGGGGGCAGCTGGGGTGGGTCCAGGCTTCCCATCTCTCTCTCTGCCTCTCCTCACCCCCCGCCCCCGACAGCACTCCTTCCCCCAACACTTTCCTGAAAAGCCTTTCTGGTGTCTTTTCCCCAGCCCCTCCCCAGTCCCATCTTTTGAGCCCTGGGGTCTGAGTCTATGTAGGGATTGGCCTCATCTGAGTCCCGGGTTGCACAAGCCTCCTTGCTCTACAGCCTACCTGTTCCACACCCTGGCCACCTCCTAACTTGTCTGATCCAACCCAGTCCTGAGAGGCAGAGGAGGAACTGACCCCAGCCGCCTCAGAGACCCTCTCCCAGGCCCCAGGCACACTGTGAGGTTGGTGGAAGAATGAGACCAGAACCAGTCCTGGACAGACAGGCGGGGCATCCCAGGGCAGCCTTGCAGCGCTGGGTCACCCTCCTGAGAGTAGCTGATGGTTGTATCATCCAGCTCAGTGGGGTCTTCAATTAATTGGCCTTAATCTGGTTGGAGGAGCAGCTGGAAATGGCGGTGCTGTCCCCCAACCTCCCAGTGTGATGTTTGTGATCCGCCTTCTGAGGCCCCAGGCAGTGGTGGGTGGGGATGGGGACTCCTCTGTTTCCGGTCCCTTTGCCTGCTTGCGGCAGGGCATGTTTAGCTCAAACGCACCCCTTCTCTCCCTTCCCTTGTTCTTGCACATTTCCCCTCAACCCCCTCATCTCTAACCCCTACCACCGGTGTCTCTCAAGTAGCTCGTGTGTGTGTGCATTCATTTATTTAGGAAGAAAGTCTCACTGAGGTGGCGACACAATCACTCTCCACAGGGTCCCCCTCCTGCCATGGGACCCGAACCACATACAGTAGGGGTGGGTCAGAAGCAGGGCGGCAGGCTCGGCAGCTGGGGAAGAAGCAGGGCGGGGTTGAGCGAGTCCAGCAGGGGCAAGCTCCCTGCAGTTCACTCCCTAAAGGAAGGGATTTCCAGGGGAGGGGAACCCCAACAAGATACAGAGGCCACAGCCCCCAAGGTGGCCTTCTTCCTTGAGCCTCCACTTTGTGTGTGTGTGTGTGTGTGTGTGTGTGCGTGCACGTGCACGCAATGAGAATGCTTTATTAGGCAAAACCACATACTATGAAAATCTTTAAAATGCAACAGGAGGGGGCCCAAGGAAGAAGGAGTGGAGGCCCAAGGAAGAAAGAGCCTTGACAAGGGGGTGTGCTTGGGAGGCCTGTCTCTGCAGAAGACAGGTCCAGGGAATGGTTGAGGTCCCAGTGACCTGAGATCTGTAATTCACTCCTGATGGTGAAGGACCTGCCGCCCCAGCAGCCTGGATGAACAGCAGGTCCTGGCATGGGTGCTGCACACCCGAGCTCTGACCCCTGCTGCTCCCTTGTTCCCCTCAAAAGTGTCATGGAAGCCATTTCCCCTCCATGATCTGTTTCCTCCCTGTGAAATGAAGAGGTTAAGTTAGATGCTTTCTGAGGTGATTCTTGACATGATGCGACTTGAATCTGGGACTGCTAGGTATCTCAACCATCCATCCACTATCCATCCATCCATCCATTATCCATCTGTCCATGTATCCATTCTGTCCATCCATACACACATGCATACATACACATATTCATCCATCCATCTGTTTATCCATCTATTCATCTGTCCGTTTGTCTTTCCTTCTTTCCATCCATCCATCCACTCCTCCATCCAATAAGTGGAGTATCTTCTTTCTGCCAGATCCCATTGCAGACTTTGACGGTGACACAAAGATCAATGTGCCAGGCAAGTCCCTGTCCTCACGGAGCTCAGTGCGGGTGGGGAGACAGGCAAGGGAATGGCAGTGATGATGCTGTGAAGAGGAGGAACTATGAGAACAACATGGCAGACCCCAGCCCATCCACTGGGGAGTCCAGGAAGGTTTCCTGAAGGAAGTCACTGAAGCTGCAACCTGAGGATGACAGGGCCAGGCCAGCTTCACAGTTTGTTGTGGGAGTTTAAGTGAGTCCCTCGAAGGCAAAGGATGTGGAAAGCCTCTTTGTACATACAGGGGACCGTCATTATGGGATAAACCTTTAGCATCTCCTTGCCTCCAGGTGCCCTGACTTTTGGCCACGTGAAACTATCTCCTGTGTCCCAAACATGCTGTGCTCACGTTACCTCATTTCCACTCATCTTCAAGACCATGCTGAAGGGTGACTTTGTCTGTGGAGCTCTCCTGGTGTCCCCTAGATGTCCCTCTGCCTGCAGTTTCAGAGCACTTGCATCTCTCTCTGAGTGACTGCCTCTTCCCCGTGATGAGTGTCTGGGACCCATGGGTGGCCTCACCCAGGAGGCACTCAGTTCACACTTGTAGAGCGGCATCACCCAGGGACAGAAGCTGCCTCTCCCCCTGCACCTTGGGATTCCTGGAGGGCGGGCCTGGCCCTTGTGCCTCTCCTAGTTGGAAGCTGGTCAGGCTGGACTCTGGAAGAGGGTGGGAGGCTGGCCTGCCCCTATCCCCCAAGGGCAGTGCCCATGCACCAACCTGGGCCAGTGGCTCTTCTTGGGCTCAGACTCACGGCCACATCTGCATCAAGGTGCACTTGCCCAGCCCACATCCCTTGTGTTAATAACTCCTGTGTCGATTGCCGGAAGAGTCTGGGGAAGGTGATATTTTCCTCTGAAGAGTGGTTCTCTGTCTGGTGGGAGGAGGAAGCAATCATTGGGCTGTCGCTTACATAGACTCTGCATCTGCACATGGAGGAATAGGGATGGGCTGTGCCACACACCTGTCCTCAGAGTGGGGAATCTTTTCCCAGGGGATATGAGCGGCATGGCACCTGCCCTGGTGTGCCTTCTTTGAGGACATCGGAAGGACAGCCCCACACACACCACACCTGCGAGGGTGCGGGCACCATCACTGCCTCAACCCCAGGGAGGGCAGGCCATCCCACTCCAGCCTCTCCTCCTCCTCCCCTCCCCAGCCCTTCTGGAGTCCTCACATCCTGGATGAGAGGGCAGGGAGCTGAGTGCCCCCAGTAAATGGAAGGCTGCCGGTCACTCATCCCTATTCATAAAATCCCAGAAGCAATGAACAAATGACAGCTGGGAAAGACCTTCAGATTCCCCTCTCCCATCCCCTCTTTTGCAGATGAGGAAACTGCGCCCTGGAGGGGACCTGCCTATGCTGCAGAGGGGGCGTGGCCTAGAACTTGTGTGGCCCCCATCCCAGGACTCACACCAATCTCCCCAGATCCGAGTCTCGCTCTCCAGGGCCTAGGGGAGGGTGTCTTATGAATGTCCTCACTTCTGGGTGCTTGTGGGACTGCAGTCATTTCCGGGAATCTCCTGCCCTTTCCGGACTTTGGCACCTAATTTTATATTTGATATTTTGTGTTCTTAAAGAGGGCCACCAAATGGCATGAATTTCAGGCCTGTTGCAGGCCCAGGGAGGGAGACCAAGTGTCCTCGGTTCCCAGCCTGGCCCTGCTAGAGGCCCCGAATCCCAAGACCCCTCCACTACTGCCTCTCCGTGGCTGGCCCTTCCCCTGGGTCCTCCCTCTCCCCTTGCTGCCTCATAATCCTGCCCTGCCTCCACCCCTCCTCGTTGAGGGGACGGAGGCCCAGCCTGCCCAGCAGGGCACAGCTCACGGAGGGCCACTGTGCTGCTTACCAGGCCCGGCTGCTCATTGAGAGCCCTGTGCTGCTCACCACCAGGCCCTGGCTGGAGTTCGCTTGTGGCAGGTTTCCCTCATTCCTGCTGAGCTGTTTCACCAGCCCCCTCCACCAACAGGCACCCAGGAGGCCAAGCCAGGGTCGCTCCAGGCACGTACAGATGGGAGGACCCCTGCTCTCTCTTGTAGCACCCCCTCCATCACAGGAGCAGCCATCCCCACCAGAAGCTGCCCCTGCTGCTGTCAGGCAAGTCACAACCTCAGTTTTGTTCTCCCAGCCATGCTGGTCCCTGGGAACCCACCTCAGAAGGCACCAGGGATGGGAAGCGTGGAGGGTCAGACAGAGAGGCACAGCCCCCAGAGAGGGACTTGGGGCCAGCGCACTGCCTGCACTGTGATGAGATGGGCCAGTCCCAGGTACTTTAGACATCCCTGGAAGCAGACAATCCAAAAATACAACCTCACCATTGTATGACACTTGGCAGTTGGCAACACGCACTTCACAGATGCTGTTTTATTTAATCCTTGTCGCGACACTCCTGTAAAAGAGATGCCATTGACACTGTTTATCAGCAGAAGAGGCAGGCTCAGAGAGGTTTGGGGCTCTCCTCAGGGCACACAGGCAAGAACAGGCCTGGACTTGCATCCCAGCCTAGGTGGTTTCCACCAAACCATGAGCCCGATTGACGAGGATCTTCCACTCGGCTCTAAATACATTTTGAATTTTCCGTAGCCGGATTCTGTTTGTGCCAAGCTGCTTTTAATTCAACGTCTGCACATTCCTGTCACTCAGCGTGACTCCGCCCCGCGCCCCCTTCCTTCTGCCGCTGTGCATTCTGGGCAAACTCATTTTCATATCAAACCAAACAAAAGCAGGCAAAATCAGGAAGGTAAACACGCCACGAGAAATGAAGAGCCAGCAGGGAGAGACGGAGGGAGGGTGGGGCGAGCTCTGGCCTTGAAGTCGCCATGAAGTAGACCACGGGCACTCACCCCTCTACCTATCTCGGGGTCCTTGTCTGTGAAATGGGGGTGGTGCGGTATTGCCCTGCTAAGATAGAGGTGAGGATGTTGAGAGGGGATGGGATGGAGCACCCAGCAAGGCGCCCATGTGCTAAGTGTGCTGCCCGAGCTAGCCTTGGTCCTTCTGATGTCATCTGCAGCTTGGGGATTAGCCATGCCCCACATCCGCTCCACCAGCAGGGAGAGCCTGGCTCTGGCCCTGGTCCACCTTTTAGAAGGGTGGAGAGCTCCTGGCAGGCAGCTCTTTCCACACACTGCAGCCCATCCCCTGCAGCCCCCCGGGCACCTCCCTTCACTGCTGCCCCAGCCCTCTGGGGCCCAGCTGCCTCTCCCCAGCCAGAGCTGTCCTCACAGCTGCTCTGAGGGTGCTCATACCACTTTGGCCAGGAGTAGCGGGAGGGGTGCCCCATGTTAGGGGCTGGGCAGACACTGGCAGACACCTACTCTCAGGGGGCCTAGCAGCTTACCATTGGCAGCTTGATGGCCGAGACCACATTTGCCAGGAAAGTGCTGTAGGGGAGGCTGGGGTGTACGGTGTAGCCACAACTCAGCACCTCTATCTCTGGCTAGGGCAGAGGTTCTGCAGGCTTAGCCCCAGCTCCTGCCCCAGGGAAGACTCTGGACCACCCACTTATCTCCTGTCAAGTGCTCACCTGCCTTCCGGGTAGGGCCTGACTTAGGGGTAGATTAACCACAGCCCACGAGGGGAGAGGCAGAAGACAGGTCACTGGCATGGGTGCCCAAATGTGAGACTCTCCTACCAATTGATGGTTGTCCTCCCAGTTACCCCTCCTAGCTAGCCTCAGTTTCCTCATTTATCAAATGGGAAGAGGCCCAAGGACCTTTTGGTGAAAGCAAGTGACATAGCACCAGGGTCACGCACGAAGTGTTTTGCTTAAGTGGGAGCAATAAATAAATAAACATTATCCTCAGTTATAAAATGGGTATATTATATATATATTATGTTATGGGTTTAATAGCAAATATCATACCTAGTCCCATATTCTGTTAGGAGAATCACAGCGGTGATGAGAGACCCTGCTGAAGCTAAAGTAGTCTCATTGCGACAGCAAGAAGCATTGACGTTAGACACAAAGAAATATGTTTAGTATATTGGGGACTGTGTGTGTGTGTAAAGTTCCAGTGTTATTGGAGAATAAAGTCAGGGATGGAATTCACTCCTGGGATTTGCAGTAACAAAGTCACATGCTGAGTGGCTTAGAACCACCGAAATAGACTCTATTGCCATGCTGAGGATGGGACATATGACCTCAGCAGGGCCCTGCTCCCTCGGAGGCTCTGAGCAGAATCGTTCCCCACCTCTTCCAGCTTCCAGTGGGGACAGCCCATCCTGGGTACCGTGGTTCACAGCTGCATGACCCCGTCTCTGGTGGGGGCTGCTCCTCCTGGGTACCGTGGCTCACAGCTGCATGACCCCGTCTCTGTTGGGGGCTGCCCATCCTGGGTACCGTGGCTCACAGCTGCATGACCCCGTCTCTGGTGGGGGCTGCCCATCCTGGGTACCGTGGCTCACAGCTGCATGACCCCGTCTCTGGTGGGGGCTGCCCATCCTGGGTACCGTGGCCCACAGCTGCATGACCCCGTCTCTGGTGGGGGCCGCCCATCCTGGGTACCCCAGCTCACAGCCGCATGACTCCATCTCCGCCTCTGTCATCACATGGCATTCCCCCCGTGTGTCTCTGCCCACGTTCTCTCTTCTTCTCAGGACATCAGTTAAATTGTATTAGGGGCCACCTTTGTGACCTCATCTTAACTTGATTACCTCTGCAAAGACTATATTTTCAAAGAAGGTCACATTCACAGGTCCCAGGACTGAGGGCTTCACTGTATCTTCTGGTGGGACTCAATTTTACCCATAACAAAGCTCTTGCTGCCACCCAAGCAAAATGCTTCATATGTGACTCCGGTGCTGTGTCACTTGCTTTCACCAAAGGGTCCTTGGACCTGAACCCTAGCCGTGCTTTTGCCCCCCACCACCCCCCAGCTCCCTCTCTCCTCTCCCCATCAGCGTCCCCATCTGGCCCTCCCTCTCCTGCTGGCCTCTGCCCACTCCTGGCTGTGCTGAGCCGAGCAGGGCTGATGTACAGCTGGGTGTTTAATCTCTCCCTTCCCGCTGACCCTGCCCCGGCGCTCCCAGGCTGTCTCCCTCACAGACTTCACTTCCCTTTGATGACAGACGAATGATTTCTGGCTGTCCCCGTTAATGGTTGTTTTTTCACTTTAAGGGGCCTGCTCAGCCTGTCCAGTGAGTGATGGCCAAACACATTTCAAGCGACAAGGAAACATCTCCAAAGCTTCTCCTTAGTTCCTTGGGAGATTTGGGGTGTGGGACATAGCCTGGTTCCTCTTCTCTTTGGGGATGGGGACTTCTAAGGAACTGAGGCAGGGCAGCATGATAAGGCCACTCCACCTGTCCTTTCTCCAGCCTTCTCCTGAGGTCACCTGCCCCCTTCCTCTTAGAGGGAGGCTCACTATGTTCTACAGAATGCTCCCAGGGTCTACAAAGGAGATCAGAAGGACAGCTGGTGGTTCAGAAACTAAGTGCCCTGAAGGTTAGAGCAGCAATGGGGTGACCTCCTAGGCCCAAGGCAAGGGAGTCCAGAGGCCTGGCTTCTAGGCCCACTCTGCTTCTAACTGGTCGGTGCCCCATCTAGAAAGTGCTGACACTGAGGCCAAGGTGGGACTCCTAGCCTCTTCAGGCTGAGACGAAATGGCTGTGGCATACACTGGGTGCCTGCTTATGTGATTTTCTGTCCTCTTCCTCTCCTCTACCCTGATGTGGTAGAGGTGGGTGCTTCCAGAGGAATCATGATGTTTCTCCAGAGCTTCCCTCCCCGAATCCCCAGTGTGGGCTAGGCGTGGGCGAGAAGTTGTTTGACTCTGTTCATTCGGAGGCCAGGAGGTGGTTTGCTCATCCATTCATCTTTTCAAATGTCACCTGTGCACATTTAATTTACTTATTTTTGTATTTATTGAAAGAGCTATGCTTGCACATTTTAAAGCCGGAGTCCTGGCTGGGTTAGGGCTCCGAGGCCCCAGCATCACATGGTGGGTTTCTGGCAGAAGACCCTAAATGATCCATTTAAAAGGAGACAGAGAGATGGGTGGAGGCCAGGGAAAGCTGGTAAGGGGAGTCCAAACAAAGAAGAAATCAGAGGCCTGGTGGAGCCGCTGGAGTACAGACTCAGGAGCCAGGAGACTGGTCAGCTGATTTTTATCTGGGTGGCTTTGGAAAGCTGCTTGACCTATCTGTGCCTCAGTTTCCCTGTCTATAAAATCAGCACAACCGTGGCACCTACTGGAGGTCAGTCTGTCTGGCTTCTGAGTCTGTGCTATTACTACAAATATTCACTGAGCCTTTCCAGCCAGGCCAAGTGCAGTGAACACCGCCGTTCCCGGGAGTCAGAAGTCTGTCTCCCAGGTACCAGCTGTAAGTTACCTATCCACACTCTACCATCTGCAGAATGGAAATAAAACCACCCATCCTTGAAGGGATCAGTGGGTACTGTGTTCCAGGTCAGGTCAGTGCACAGGTGACCCCTCCACCCTCTTCATCCTCTTTTCTTTCAGCCTTTGGGGGGTTTGTGAATGGAGAAACTGTTTTGTTATTTTTCCCGCGGTGTCATTTTTTATTTTCACTCATAAGAATGGGTTCAGGCTGCTTCCTGGCAAGACAATAGAAGAGCAAAGTGAATTTGAAGTGGGGAATCTGAGTCTATGCAGCCGGGAGATGCACCATCAGATTGGCACATTGAGAAGGGCCTTCCTTCCCCCTGCTTACAGGCAATTCTCCCTCCCTGAGTTGGTTTCTGCCTCCTCCTACATCCCAGGCTGGGCACGTCCCCACCCACACAGGCTTCGGTCTGCTTTGGCAACCTCTTCATCCCCCCAAACCTCCCCCTCTCCCCAGCCCCCACCCTCCAGGCTGCAGAACCCACTTCTCCATCCCTTCCACCCTCTGCCTGCCTCTCCATCAGCAGCTCTGGAGCCCGATGAAAGGAGCCCTTATGAGCTGGGTCAATAGATCCAACTTTGGGAGATAAAAGCATGGGGGCTGGGGAACAAAGTGGGAATCGAAGGCAGAGGAGGCTGGAGTCGGGGCAGAAGGGGGAGGTGAGCCACCGAGTTCTGAAGGCCCCAAAGCGAAATCGGCAGATTGGAAATCTGCTTTGATGGCCTCTCCGTTTATCTCCCTCGTTAACAGACGCGGCCATTTGGCAGGGGCAAGGCGAGCAGGGCAGGAGGTTGGCTGAGTTTCAACTTTGATTTCTCAGGGCTCACAATCCATCGTCTCTTTGCATAGAAAGGGATTAATATCTGCGGCTGAGTATTAACTGAGCGCCCAGTCACACATGATGCGCGCCCGCACACGCACGCACGCACATGCGTCGTGATCCTGAGCCGCCACCTCCAACCAGCACCATGCTACGATCCATCCTCACAGTCCCCAAAGCCTCAGGGTGAGCTAATGCTCCTGCACCCCAGATCTCACTCCTGCCCCTCCACCCAGCGGTCCTCCAACCTGGTTAGAGGAAGGCCTCCCTGACCCATTATGTAAGTAAAGTGCAGGGACAGAGATGTTGATCCCATTAGGGGGATTAGTTACTCAGGAGGCCGAGATTAGACTATCAGCAGGAAGGCGGAGTAGGGAAGGAGGCGGGGCTACAGTCTCCTTCACCCTCTGGAACCACTTTTATAGCCCCCCAACTTCAGAGAGGCCCCCAGTGGACCCTTGTCACCTGCCCCCAGCATGGCCAGGGGATGTGAGGCAGAAACTAGTTGTGCATTGCTTGCACATGGAACCTTGGAGAAGGAAAGCAACGAGTGATTTTGCGACCCCCGCACTGGCGTGGGGGCAGCGTGTTCTGCTGCCTCTAGGACAATAGCCAGCAGCCCCAGCTGTCTCTGTGTGGCCCCCCTGGTCAGCTCTCCCCTTGCCTGAAAAGGCTTCGGCACACCTAGCCCTGGTACAAAGAGAGGTGGGAGGTGCCCAGGTGGCCCAGCCTGGGGGTTTGGAGGGTGTAGATGGCAGAGAGGTGCAGGGGTCAGCGGAAGCCTCGGAAGGAGGCTGGAGAGGGGTTGGGGTGGAATGCCAACAAGGAAGTAAGTCGTAGGCTTTTCTGGGGCTGGAAAAGAGCCTCTGAACTCCCAACACCAAACCTTCCACAACAGCACAGCCTGCAGCTGTCTGGATCCCAGTGACCTGCTTGCTGATCCAGGTCCAGGGGTTCTTAAAGGATGGCCTCTAGGGCAGCAGCATCACCTGAGAACTTGCTAGAAATGCAAATCTCAGGCCCACCCAGACCTGCTATATTAAAGGCTGTGAGTGGGGCCCTGCACCTCTGTGGTCTAACAAGCCCTCTGGGTGATGCTGATATAGCCCAGGTGTGGTCTCGTCCATGAACTGCAGGGCGGGGAAATTGGGATTTGCTTGCTAGTGTAGGCAAAGCACGTGGAACCAGCTAAGAGTTTCTAAGATGTGTGAAATCAGAAAAGGAAAAGTGTCAGAGTGGGCGTGGAGGAAACAGAGGAATTAGGAAGAAAGGATGTGCTTGGTGGGTGGGCGTGGTCCTTATGGAGGGCATGCATCACCCCCAGCCGCCCCCTGCCTTCTCCCCACATGAACAATGATCACTCTGGTCCAAGCAGCTTTGTGTGGCAGGAACTCAACTGACCTCACCCAGGTTCCTAATCAGCCCCCTGCCAGCCACATCCATGGATAGAGAGATTTCTGCTCCACACCCTACTTTGGTGATGGCAGGCAATGGTGTGCCAGAGCCGGTGCTCACTGTGTGCCTCTCTTCCCAATCCGTAGCCCATGATGTCCCACTGATAGCTTCAAATCAGCCACAGCTAGAGCATTTACACCAGGGAAATTGGCAATGGTGGGCAATCAGGGCTTTTTTATATTTCCTGGGGAACAGGATGTTAAGTGTTCACCAGCACACATATAAGCACACACGTGTTGCATGTGAAGCAAGACAGGCGAAGAAGGAAACAGTCTATGTTCCCCAGGAGGCAGCCGGACTGCAGAATGCCCCACCCCGCCATTCACCCAGCAGATGCACACCAGTACCAGGCACCATGCTTAAGATGAAGGCATCATGTCATTTTTCCTGTCAGCGACACCAGGAGGGAGGGTGGAGATCCCCATTTGACAGATGAGCTCAGAGAAGTTATGCAGCGCCTTCTAAGCCACACAGCACAAAGTGGCAGAGTGGGGACTGCAACCTGAGTGGCTGTGACTCCCATAGTCCTGCTCTCAAGGAAGGTGGGATGGGAAATGTACGCAGCCTATTCACAAGAGAGGGCAGCCCCCTGCTGTCCTCACACATGGATGAGGCTTGGCGTCGAGGCCACCTTTGGTTTCCTGGTCAGGGCTATAGGGGATTGGCGGTGTCTTCTGGGATGTCACTATGAGATGGGCAGGGAAGAGGTTCCACTCTTTCTCCTCCAGATTCCAGGATGTCCTGGGGGCTCCTTCTCAAACTGTGCACCAAGGCCTGGGCTAGAGACCCCACCTGCCCCTTGGAGTTTCAGGCTGCCTCCCTCCTCCTGGGTTCCTTAGACCCAGTAGCGGGCTGATCGGCCGATCGCAGAGTATCCAGTATCCCCACAAGGAGGCCTAGAAGATGCAAAGGAGTCCAGGGAGCCCGGCCCGCTGCCCCCAGCCTACTGAGAAGAAGGGGAGTTTAGGTAATAGAAGCCGCTTTCCCCTAGATGAGAGGAAGAAAGGTCAGGGCCTAGGCCTACTCCACTCTCAGCTGTCAGGCAAATGGATGGTTTCAATCCCAGGCTGCAGAGACCTCTAGGATGCAGTCACACCTCCTCACCAGAGCCAGCCAGCACCAACACTCCAAGACCTCTGCCTCCCCTCCACCGGCCTTCCCTGCTGCCTTGCTGGTCTCGCGCTCTGCCTCTGTGCATCTTCCCATCCCTCCCTTTTGTGACTTTACTTCTCCTTCCTCCTCCCTCCTGTCTGTCTTTTCTCCCAGCCCCCACACTGTCCCTGAACCTTCCCCCACATAGCCCCCAGGCCTCTCAGAGGTCAGGCATCTGTCGGCAATCGTCTCTTTAGCACTGCCTCTGTCCCAGGAATGCTTTTTTCCTGGTCCCTGCCTTGCCCAGTGCCACCTTCCTCAGAATCATGGACAGCTGTGTCTCCCTGCCGCCAGCTATTTAATGCCACTCCCCTTCCCCCAGCAGCGGACCCGCTCTTGCATCTGCTTTTTGATCCTCATTCGTTCATTACACATGCATTCATTCCTTCAGCAAGGATGTACTGAGTCTCTCCTACCAGCCATTGCACTGCATTGTCCCGTGGTTGCTGAATAAAAGTGCAGACATCCCCAGGCCTTCTAGGGGCTTATTGGAAGGAGAGTGGGAAGGAGGAGGAGGAAGAGGAGGGGAGGAGGCGGGGAAGGAGGAGGAGGAGGAGGAGCAGGGAGCAGGCGGAGCAGAATGGCGTCTTGGCTGCAAGCGGAGGTGCAGATGTTGCCGCATCACTGTGCTTTTCCTGCTGCCGCATTGTGTTTGGAAAGTGATGAATTTCAGCACCAGCTAATTAGTCTCTAATTAGCAAGTGGAGTGTAAACAATCACAACAGATGGGGGAGAAAAGGCATTAGCAATAATGACCCTTCTTTGGGGGCAGAGTCTCAAAGAGACACTTCCTTGAAGGAGCTGGAGGGCAGGCTGAAGGGGCCTGCTGGTGACAGGGAACCTGGCGAAGACAGAGAGAGCTGCAAGAAAGGTGCTGGTGATGCCCAAGTGGGTTCCCCAATTTGTCTGGGGGGGTGGGGGGGTGGGGGGCTGGGGGAGGGCCCTTTCTGGGAGCCTTGCTGGCCCATCTGTAGCTGAGTGTGGTCCAAGTGGCAGCACAGAGCGTTTTGGAACCTGAGTCTTGGAGGTGGAGAGGACCTCCCTGTGCCAGGGAAGTGATGGTGGGCAGTAGTGATGATCTGGAGCTAGGCGTTTCCCCTAGAGGGCCTCAGGGCCTGTGTCCAGGGACGTGGGGTGTCCCAGACTGTTTGCACTCTTGCTGGGACACAAACCTGTGTGGCTGGCCACTGCCCAATGACCAGACAGACTGCCAGGGGATGTGCCCGCCAGCTCTGAGGATGTCATTCCTCCAGGCTCGGCAGCCTGCCTCTGAATCCAGGCCAAGCCACCGTGCCAGTCGGCCCCGGGGCCCCAGAGTGTGGCCTGGCTGCACGCCCACCTGTGTCCTTGGCTGCGGGACCAGGGATGCTGAGGAATGGGGTCAGGAGGCAGTGACTGGCACATCCCGCCAACACATACCAGCCGAAGGGGATACCGATGAGGGGACCTCTCTGGGCCTTGCTTGATGGAGCGCTGCACTGCCTGCGTCCCGTAGGGGCATGAGGGTTACACAGAGGGCTGGACAGAGAGACTCTGAGAAAGGCAGGAGCAAGATGGGCATCCAAGGAACGGCTGGAGAGGAAGAGAGAGAAAGATGGATCCTGAAAGGGGAGAGGGGCCCTTTGATGTTTATACTCATCTTTATTAAATGCCTTTATTAAGTGCCTGTCTGGGTAAACCGCTGTGCCGAGGGCCACAATAGAGTTAACTGCGCTGTGCCCTGCCCCTGGGAAGCCTGTGACTGAAGACAGACACACTAACCACCCTTTCAGGCCCAGGCCTCGTGGGGCCATGGCCACGGTGAGATGAGCCTTCCTTCCTGTCTGGGATGCAACTAAGCCCCGCTGCATGCCCCACCTCTGGTGGGACAAGAGAGAGCCTCCAGCCCCCCCGTTTCCTTGGAAATGTTGTACCCTTTGCAGCTGCCATTACAGGCCTAATTAACAGGCTTGTTTGTCTCATCAGTCTGGCAGTCCATGTTGATAAGAAGGGCGATTTCATTGTCTGGCAACGTCATCACAGCCCTGACAACTTGTTAGCTAAATTGGTTGCATCCGCCCTGGCTCCTGGAGGAAGTGGCTCTCTCTGAAGGACAGTACTCTCCTTAGCCTCCTCCCCTGCCACCTGACTCTGGGGCCTGGGAGGCAGCTGGCACCTTTTCTTCGCAGCCCAGGCCTCCTGTTTGCAGAAGAAGTGATCCAATTTCACTCTAGGCCTGGGGTGGAGTGTGGGGATGTTCACTCAGCAGACACACGATGCGGGCCTACTGCGTGGCAGGGTCAAGGCAAGGCCCTGGAGGTGGGAATGGACAGACAGGGAACTTGCTCCTGTCTAGCCCAGAGTTTCTCAGCCTCAGCACAGTTGACATTCCGTGCTGGATCGTTCTTGGTTGGGGGTGGGTGGGGGGGCTGTCCTGTCCATTGTAGGACATTTAGCCTGGCCTCTACCCACTAGACACTAATAACATCCCCCTCCCTCCAGTTGTGACGACCAAAAACATCTCCGGACATCGCCAGGGGTCCCCCGGGAGCTGGGGGCAGGAGTACAGAATGACCCCCCCTTGAGAACATCTGGTCTCTAGAGAGAGACGAATGCATAGAGATCATTGTAATGCACCACGATGGAGATTAGAAGGCGCCGATAGGTACAGGCACCTCAGCCACTCTAGGGCTAGACTGGCAGTGTCCAGGAGAAGCTGGTGGGTGGGCACAGGCCGCAGGCATCAGGCAGTGGATTGACAGGAGTGAAGGCCTGGGGGAAAGGGTGTGTGGTTTGTGAGGAAACCACAAGTTGTTAAGCCCTTCCATGGAGTCAGTATTTCCAGAATTTCCACCATGTCTCTGGTTCAGTGACAAAAAGAGCTATGTGTTCCCCATTGAGGAGTATTTTATCCTGTATGCAATGGAGTGCCATTGAAGGAATTTGAACAGGAAGCACATGGTTAGAAATACCTTTAATTAAGTAGATTGGGCTAATGACTGGCGGCTGGGAGGCGATAAGGGCCTGGCAGATGGAATCTAGATCAGAGATGGGGCAGGGGTGGCTTGCCAGTTTAAGGAATACTTAGCAGGTGAACCCAGCAGGACTAATTTGTTAGTTCAGAAAATATTTATTGAATGCCAACGGTGGACCAGACGCCGTGTTATGCACCAGAGCTGGAACAGGCAGCTGGGCTCACAGGGCCTGGGGGTGAGTGGGTGGTCAGAGGTGGGGGAAGGGCAGAGAAGAATCCAAGGATGGCACTGTTATTTCTGGATTGGATGACTGTACAAACAAGACCGCTAAGTATATTAGAAAATTACGGTACCTCTACAAGCTTGCAGAGACCAGAGCTCAGCTGTGGATATTTTAAACTTTTGAGCATGTTGGAGGTCATCAAAATACAGTTGACTTATTCAGGCAAGAAATCAGGGTTAAAGATCTGGGAGGCATTCACATCCAGGCCATAGCTAAAAGCAGAAAAGAAAAGCAGCTGTACTTTCCAAGGGATGAGGGTGGGAACAAGGAAGATCGGAGCAGAAAGCTGGAAACATCAACATTTCAGAACCACAGGAGGAAGGCAGGGAAGGAAAGGCGGGAAAAGGAGGAGGACTAGGAGAAGGTGGTGGAAACCAGGGTTACAGAGTCAGGAAGTGAGTGACTGGCATATTCAGACACCCCAGAGAGATCCCTCAAGCCTCCCTAGGGCTGGTGATTAGGGAGAGTCTTATGCCCCTTGTCAGAGAACACAGACGGGGTCCCCTTTTCCTATGGGTTTGTAGCTAGATGCTCTACTGGGGCCACAAGGGGCATGGTTGTTCTCACTAATAGATGCTCAAAATGATTCCCTTCTGAAAATTAACATGGTGCCGTGACATTTGTTAAGGCCATCATGGGGAGAAGGTTGGAGAATGCCAGGGGTAATTGAGACTGTAAGACCAGGTGAAAGGGATGCATGTGGTAGTGCCATTTGGACATCATTGCTCCCACCCAACCAGCAGTACAAGCTACACCCCTGCGAGGGGCTTACAGCCCCTACCATTGTATATAGGGTCCTTGTATATAGGGTGTTCTGTGGATCCTAGGGAGGTGATATGGTTTGGCTCTGTGTCTCCACTGAAATCTCATCTCAAATTGTAATCCCCAGGTGTCGAGGGAGGGACTTTGTGGGAGGTGATTGGATCATGGGGACGGTTTCCCCCATGCTGTTCTCATGATAGTGAGGGAGTTCTCATGAGAGCTGATGGATGATTTTATAAGTGTTTGGTAGTTTCCCCTGCACTCTCTCTCTCTCCTGCTACCATGTAAGACGTGCCTTGCTTCCCCTTCGCCTTCTGCCATGATTGTAAGTTTCCCTCGGCCTCCCCAGCCATGCAGAACTGTGAGTCAATTAAACCTCTTCACTTTATAAATTACCCAGTCTCAGGCAGTATCTTTATAGCAGTGTGAAAATGGACTAATGCAGGAGGGGACTGTCATAAACAGTTGCCAGAGAGGAGACAAGAAGCTAGAGCAAAGCATAAAGAAGCTAGCTGTCCCATTCTTCAGGTATGGGTTCGACTGGAATGCAAGATGTGGAAGGGTAGTTTTGCCCCCTTCCTTCCACCTTGCCCATGTCCATAGAGAATTTCACTTAACCCCACTGGGCAGCAGGAATGGGTCCTGCATTAAGGACATCTCTCCCACTACCGTGTTAACAACTCTATGTGTTTCCTGTGGCTGCCATAACAAATACCACAAACTGGGTGGCTCAAGTAACAAAAATATATCATCTCAGAGTTTTGGGGCACAGAAATCCAAAGTAAAGGTGTCAGCCCAGCGGGTTCCTTCTGGAGGTGCTGAGGGAGGACCTGTTCCATGCCTGTCTCTAGCTTTTGGTGTTTGCCGGCAACCCTTGGTGCTCTTTGACTTGTGGATATATTGCTGCAATCTCTGCCTTTGTCTTCCCATGGTCATCTTCCCCGTGTGTCTCTGTGGCTTCACCTGGTCTTCTTGTAAGGGCACTAGTCATTGGATTCAAGGCTCATTCTGATCCAGTATGGCCTCATCTTAACAGGAAGAATTACACCTGCAAGGTCTCTATTTCCAAATTAAGGTCCCATTCTGAGGTTCCAAGTGGAAATGAATTTTGGGGAACGCTACTCCACCCAGTGCCCTGACCTAATTTGCCTATGGTTTATTAACAAGGCAGCCTTGTTAATAATCCTAGCCTGCCTTGTTTAATAATCATTCCACTCTTCATATTGACGGTGCTAGCTCCATTTCAGATGAGAAAATTGAGGCACAGAGGGCTAAGGTGGCCTTTCCAAAGTCTCCCAGCCTCCAGTGGTGGAGGCAGACCCGAGTGAAATCTCTGTTTTCCAGCCTGGTCCTCCCTCAGCTGTCCCCAACCTCGGTACTGACTGTAGGACTCCCCGGTTCCCACTCATGCATGCTTTTCGCTCATTACAGACGAAACCACCTCCTCTCTTCCCAGAATCATCTTTCTTCTGGACAAGGAAATAGTTTCCCCATATGACAGAAAAGAAAGCTAAGCCCCTAAAGGAGGTATTTACAGAAGGCTCAGGTAGACAAAATGGTGTAAGAGGACTCAAGAAAGACAGAAGAGGGGGCAACAATGAGAAGACCTTGTGAGAGCCACCAGAAGGAGCTGCAGAAGCTGGGCAGAGCTCAGGGACCTCAAGGATGGCAGAGGTGCAGGGGCGAGGCCTGCTCCCCTGGCTCCTTGCACCTGTGTCGGTGCCATGGTCCAAAGGGTAATGGCTGTATTGATTGGTCCGTAAGTTATCTGTGCCTGGGGATGGCCAGGGGACGCTCCTCTCACCGGGAAATAAAAGCTTCGACCATCAGGGGATAAATGCAGTGGGAGCAGATGAGCCGTAGAGAGATTGATCTGCTGTACTGGATGGTGACCCTGCAGTGTCAAAGAGTCAACAGAGAGCAGGAGAGAGATGGAGGAGTGGAAGGCCTCAGCCCCTGGCTTAGGGGATCACAGTGGAGAACAGAGAGCAAGCAGCCCTCGCTGTTCACCTGGGGCTTAGTGAGGCAGTAGGTCGCCTTGGGATGAGAGCAGGAGCCAAGGACTTGACCGGCCCCAAGTGTGAATCCCTCCACTGCTCGCTCCCAAGTGACCTTGGGCAGATCCTCAGCCTCACTGCATCGCTGCTTCCCCATCTATTAGAGAAGTGGTAGTGACCTTGGAGGATTGTCATGTGGACTTGGTGCATCGCCTGGGACAACCTGGCACATTGCAAGCTCTTCATACGTGTTACTTCTTTCACTGCACCTGCACAGACTAGGAATGGGGCTGAGGAACCCAGGATGGGAAAAGAAGCCGGGGAGACTTTGGAGATGTACTCAGCAAAGACTGCCGGGCTCCCTACCTCTTCACTCTCCCCTGTCTCTCTGGGAATTTTGAAAGGTGTGCAGCTCCAGTTCCCCTATATTTGCTAACTGATGGCTCCACACCCCTCCTCTGGGGTCCAGGACTGGCTAGCACCTGAACGTTCCACCTGGATAACCAGCTGGCCACAACATGCCCAAAACTGGACCTGGCATCTTCTCTCCAAACCAGCTGCGGTGTTTCCATCTCGGTCACCTCGCCCTCACTGCTGACGCTTCCCTCTCCCTCAGACAACCCCCGCCCTCCAATCTAACACAGGTCTTCTTGGTTCCACCTCCAAAACAGCTCCACAATCCCCATTCTTCTCACCACCCCCATCGTCAGCACCAGAATCCTAGCGAAAAAGCCACCTCCTCTCCCCTCAGCATCATTTTTCTTCTGGACAGGGAACAGTTTCCACATAGGATGGAAAAGAAAACGAAGTCCACCAAAGGAGGTATTTCTCCCTGGGAGATCGTCTCTGCCCTGGAGTCTTACAGCAGCAGCCTCCAAACTAGACTCTCAGCCGGCACACCTACCTCCTTCCATCCACGCTCCTCTGCACTGCCAGGAGGGGTGCAGAAAACTGCCAGGCTGGCAATGTCACTTCAGGGCCTTCTTATCGGCATTAGGATAGAGCCCTGGAGCCTGGATGTGGCTCACTAATGAGGCCAGTGCAGGCCCTGTGCATTCTTCTCCTGTTCCCTCTTCCTTTCCTCTTCTTGCCATTAGGACTCCAACCATAGGAGTCCCCCTCCAGTTCTGAGCCAGATGTGAATGGGCCAGGCTGTCTTTCCCTCCAAACTCCCTACCCTGCTGTTCCCTCTGCCTGGCTTCTGTCTGCCATAAGGGTGACCTTTTTGAGAGGTTTCTCCTTTGCATTATGCATTCCCACTGTCATCTGCACACCATCCACACCCCTTCCCCCACTCTTGCAGTCCCTGCTTCACGTTGCATTTCTTGGTAGATGCTAAGCTCCATGAGCTCCAAGACTGCATCATCCTGCTCCCCTCCCCCTGTGCAGAGTGACAGTCCAATGCCATTGGATTGATCCGTGAACAAATGACTCACAGGGTCCCCTTCCTCCCTGGAGCTCCCCTGACTGCCCCGCCAATCCTCAGTGGCCCCACTCTTCCCCAAGTGCCCATCCGCCTAGCTCCTGTATCCGCAGTGAGCCCATGCCCGGTGATGCCTCACACCGTTAGTCATCCCTCACAGTGTGAATCCTATCTCTCAGGCCAGCTTGTGAAGGCCTCCAGGCAGGGCCATGTCTACACCTCTTTGTGTTGCCAGGGCCTATAACTGGTGTTCACTGATCAGGAAAGGTCAACAAGACAAGTCATGACTTTGAGATCCTCTGTGTTGAGGAATTGAGGGTCCTTTATTGCATGCTCATCAAAGATTATTCAGGACCATCCTCAGCTTCATCTTTCCTCACACTGCACGTAACTGTCCTCTAAGAAAGGCTGGAGATGGAGACATAAGTGGGTTTGTGGGGCCTTGGGCTGATCCTGCCACCCAAACAAGCCCTCAGGACACAAATACACACATATGCACACAAACACACACATATGCAAACACACACATATGCACACATACACATGCACACACACACCTATGTACACACACACACGCTCAAAATCTCCAGTGCCTCGCCACCACCCACAGATGACATCCAAGCACCTAGGCATAATTTATAAGCCTAGGACTCTGATCGTCACCATTCATTCATTCATTGATTCATTGAAAGCCCAGAAGCCAAGCTGAGAGATACGTCTGCATTTTCTCCTCCAAAGCAGATATTAATACATTATTCCCACCCCCTTCTTTCTCCTCAAAGAGGAACCAGATCAAAGAAGTTACCTGACTGGCCCAAGGTCATGCAGGTCCTAATTGGCAAAGCCAGGGCTTGAATCAGAGTTCATCTCACCCAGGCCTGCTCTTGCGGCCCCTGTGCTGGCCGGCCACATCTCCCCCAACCTTGCAGCCCCCAACCCTGCACCCTCCAGCCCCATCATGCTGAAATAGCTAAAGTTCCCAGAAGCCACCGTTCCTTGCACGCATCCTGGCTTTTCACAAATGACACCGTCTGCCTGTGAGTGTTCCCGACTGCCCCACCTGGCTTGTGCCATTTAGGATGCTCATTGGAGACACCTTCCCCAGGGCCATTACGGTCCTGTAAGCTGTGCCTCCGCAGCAGCCAGATGTATCAAGGGCTTCACTCTGTCGCGCACTTGTCCCACTGCCAAGTGGCTCATCCATCTCCCCTGTGAGCCTGGGAGCTCCTTAAGGCAGAGATTTCCTTCTTGCTCACTCTGACATTTTGTGGCACGTAGTACGTGCTCAAAAAGCATTTGCTGAATGAATGAATTGACCTTTGAGTGAAAGAATGAATGGTTGAAATGCATATTCTGCATTATGGCTAAGAGCTGAGGGCATTTGCATGGGATGGGAGTCAAGGGCACCGAAATCTAGGGGGCAAGGTAGGGGGGAGCCTTCTTGGGTAGGCAGGGATGGGGGAGCCAGTGCAAAAGGGAGGGAATTACTTCTAGGATAGGGATGGGATCCTGCGGGGCCGTTTGGAGAGAAGGTTCTGATGCCAGCATTGATCTGAGAAGAGGCAGAGGAGGTGGTGGTGCAGTGAGGAGAGCCACCTCGCCGCCTCCCACAGGCTGCTCAGTGAGCCTCCGGTTCCCATTCTTTCCCCCATTTCCCTCTTCCCTTCTCATTCATCCTATTGACAATCTCACATGGGGCTTTTTTGGACCACGTGTTTTATTCCCTGTCACCAGCCAAGCACCCTATTATATTAATTTATTGTCCTTTCCGGTAACTTGTCGCCTTCCTGTAAACTCTCCCTTTCCCTTGCTGGCTTTGTCCATTGCCAAACCCTAGCTACCGGCCTGCCCTCCTGCCTGCTGTGCCCCTGGCCTGGCTAGAGTGAGCAAAGATCTCCTAGGACCCTCCTGGCGTTCACCCCCTCGAGGGCTGCTTCTGGGGCCCTCCCTCTCCCTGTGTCAGTTCCCCATGGAGAGCCTGTCTTGGATCTCACACAGCTGGGGACAAGACCCATGGTTCTCCGGGCTTCTTGCCTCAAAGGCCAGCTCTCGCTTACTCCTTGGTGCCCTGGGGAGGGGTGGGCAGAGACGAGCCTCATCATGCCCTAAAGGGAATGAGGCCCAAAGAAGTAGCCTGGCTGCCCAGGGCCACACAGGCCTAGGAAGGTGAGTCTTGGACAGCCATCCACGGCCTCACCCATGGGATGCATGTGATGGTTTGGCCTTTCCCAGGCAGCCCAAGTCCATGGGAATGATGTGCGCAGAGGCGAGATGGAACCCTTGCTCCTGCCTGAAACGTCTGCATGATTGAGGAGGAAGCACCCAGCGATGGCTCTGTTGCCTTTCCAAACCGCTTCATGCATTGTAGTGGAAGGAGCGTGGGCTTTGGAGATAGACAGCTTGGCATTCCAATCCCAGGGTCTACACTGACCATGTGTGTAACCTGGGTGAAGTCACTTCATGTCTTTGAGCATCAGTGTTCTCATCTATGCAATGGGACAGTCGTGCTACCTGGGCTCAGGGATCACACACAGAGAGCACAGAGGTGCCTGGCCCTCATGACTGCAGACAGGGGTCCTGGGAAGGAGGCCCCCTGCTCCAGTCATGCTAGAGGGAAGAGGGCACAGTAGGTGTGTGACTCTCACATCACTCTGTCTGGATGTGGGTGTCCTGGCAGGAAAAAGGGGAATACAAGGAGCCCCTCATTCTCTGCCTGAGCCCAAGAATACTAAACATCCCATCCACCTTCATCCCCAGCCCACCAGGGGAAGGGCAGGAATTTTAGTTCTGGGAAAGAGGGGAGGCAACAGAAAAAGAAGGGTGAATGGCCGGGGCGGGCGGGGGCCATGTTGGTCTCCTTGCCAGAAAGCTCCAGCCTCTGGGGAAGGGGTTGGAAAGGACCTATCAACACGTAGGCTATCAATCACACTGTGCCTCCTGCCAACATGCCAATCCTGCTGCCCGAGGGTCCCTGCTACACAGAATGTCGTCAGTCACCATTAGCTGAGCTCAGGCCCAACTGCAGAGCAGCTGTCATGACATGATTCTGGGGCCAGGGAGGGCAAATGGAGGCCCAAGCATGGAGAAGTAGCCAGTAGGAATGAGAAGCGATAGGTCAGAGGGATGCAGGGGCAGGTAAGGGATGATCACAGAGCCTGGAAATGAGAAAATCCCTTTCATTCATTCCCTTGCTCAATGTCCACTGAGGTCCTATTCTGTGGAAGACACCAGATTAAGGACTGAAGGTACAGAAATGACCAAGATGTACCAGGTCCAGTAAGGCTCTCAGAAGTTTAGGGCTGTCGTGATGGACATGTGAGCATACAAGAGGGGGCTCGCTTCTGCTGGGGCAGCATCTGGGAAACCTGCATAGAGAAAGGGGCTCTGCGCAGTGCTGGCCTGTTATTTGGGGGGTGCAGGTGAGGGGGTGGTTCCATTTGCTGCTATAAGAAAGTACCTCAACTGGGTGGCTGCAAACAACAGAAATTTCTTGTCGCGCAGTTCTGGAGGCCAGTAGGCTGAAATCAAAGTGCCCAGCAAGGCCACGCTCCCTCTGCAGTCTGTAAGGGAAGTCCCATCCTTGCCTCTTCTGGTTTCTGGGGCTGCTAGCGATTCTGGCGTTCCCATGCCGGCAGCTACATTGTTCCCATCTTCACCTGTCTTCACGTGGCCATCTTCTCCTTGCGTGTTTCTCATCAGTCATGTGGGATTAGAGTCCCCTCTCATGACCTCATCTTAACTTGATTACATCTGCAAAGACCACTTCTATAATAAATAAGATCACAACCACGGGTATCCAGGGTTAGGACTTCAGTGCAATTCAGCCCTTAATATGGGGTATAGCAGAAGTCCATGAAGAGCATTCCACAGCACCAGCCCTCCCCTCATCAAGAGGGGAAGCTTGGTCTCTCTCGGGGAAGAGAGGCTCTCCTGGCATAACCAGACATCCTCAAAAAGGCCCAATTGCAGAGCCTAGACTTGGAAGGGGACAGCAGGTGACTGTGAAACCTTCATGCCCATTTTAACAGGTGGAAAAAATGAGGCTAAGAGCTATCAAGTGAGACAGAGTGACTTGGTATCAAAATCTAGCTCCAATTCTCCCTTGGTCTCTTCTGCGTCGGTTTTCCCATCTGCCAGCAAGAGAGGTTGGGCTAGATGAGTTCCACAGATGCTTCCCACTAGAGAAGCTAAGAAGCTGTGGCAGCCACAGCCGGGACAGGGCCTGGCCTCCAGCCCAGGGCTTTCCCTGATGTCCAGCCTCAGCTGCCTCTTCCTGCCTCATCCCACCCGCAAGAGGAGCTGGGGACCAGAGACAGAGACACAAACTCCATTTGAATGTGAACCTTGGCACCATGGAGATGCTCAGGGTGAGCCCAGTCTGCTCTCTCATTAGTATGAATTTCCTTGTGTTTCTGTCTCTCTCCTCTTCCCTGGTATCAGCTGCTGGCCCCAGGTTCCTCCAGAGAGGAGCGGGGGTGGGTGGGGTGGTGCTGATTAAATCTGAGGACATGACATTGAGCGAGAGAAGCAAGGGGAGCTGCTGACCTCCCTGGATGGATAACCATCAGGAGGCGGTAGCAGAGTCCACATACCATCACCTTCTCCTGCAGATGTTGGTTCAGCCACCTTTCCTCTACCACAGATGGGCTATGTGTTTTCAAAGCAGAAGAGCAGAGACGGCAGAGAACCCCAGCTGGTTCCCAGGCAAGGATAATGAATACAGTCCCCTGGAATGTGGGGGCCTGCCGCCTGGCCCTCCCCACCACCAACTGCCCCCCTTCAGCAGACTCCTCTGCTTCCCCAAGCAGGTGGGCCAGGCTGTTGTCTGGGAATGCCACCTGCCACCAGGCACATGAGCAGCCAGGCCAGGATGAGGTGGGCAGCAGAGGTGGCTGCAGCCTGGGGCAGGGGTCAGCACAGCATCTCTCCTCCCTGCCTTTGGGGCAGCCCATCCGCCCACCCTGGAGCTCCGCCAAAGCAAAGCCCTGCCTTCTCTCTCCGGGGCGCTCAGAGTTGCACACTCTGGGTTGGTCTTTGATGACACCGGCCTTGTGGAAGGAGCAAAAAAACAAACCTTTAATGTGGACCTGCAACACCTTCCATTCCACTTCCATTATGTAATCTTGGGAGTCACTCAACTCTCCAAGCCTCAGTGCCCTCCTCTGTAAAGTGAGGCCGTGAATAGTTCCGACTCCACAGCATTGCTGTGTGGTGCAAATAAGAAAATACACTTGACGCACCAGCACGAGGCCTGGCACCTGCCTGGTTCCTATGATCTCTGTGTGCCAAGCCCTCAGCCAGGCAAAGTGTCCCCGGGTTTTTCTCCAGTTCTATGGCATTGAATCCTAACAAAACCCAGCAAGGGAGGTGTCACAGGACTTCCTGGTACGCGCCAGGAGACTGTGGCTCAGAAAACAGGTGTTGACTCTGTCTCGAGCAGTCTGTAAATGTGGAGTTGGGGCTCACCCCCGCCCCCAACTCCCATCCTCTAGCAAAACCAAGGCCTTCTGTCATTGCAAATGGCCTGCAAACTTGAGAGTGATTGGAAATGCATCCCCACCCTCCAGAACCCAGAGGAGACCCAGCGCCTGAGCCCACACATGGGAGAAGCTCCTGAGTACAGGCAGGGCAAGGGCGGGAGGCAGGAAGGCAGGAGCCAGATGATGGATTAGCACAGGAAGGAGCACAGCACCTGGAGTTGCTTTTTAGTCTTCTTCCCAAGAACTGCATGGGGCTGGCAGGGAGAGGAGGGGAAGTAGGAGGCCACACGACACCTGGCACCCATTGTATGTTTTTTATTTTTTTTTATTTTTTTGATGGGGATAAGATTTGCATGACATAAAATTAGCCATTTTAAGACTGACTCATGCCTTAATCCTAGCACTTTGGGAGGCCGAGGTGGGTACATTGCTTGAGTCCAAGAGTTCGAGATCAGCCTGGGCAACGTGTCAAAACCTCATCTCTACTAAAAATACAAAATATTAGCCAAGCATGGTGGCACGCGCCTGTGGTCCCAGGTACTCGAGAGGCTAAAGTGGAGGATCACTTGAGCCTGGGAGTTCAAGGCTGCAGTGAGCTATGATTGCACCACCACACTCCCGCCTGGGCAGCAGAGCGAGACCCGGTCTCAAAAAAAAAAAAAAAAAAAAAATCATTTTCAAGTGAGCAATTCAGTGGCACTTAGTACATTCACAATGATGTACAACCACCACTGAGTTCCAGAATACTTTCATCACCCCAGAAGGAAGCCTGTACCCACTCACAGTCACTCCCCATTCCCCTCTCTCCCAACCACCTGCCAGTCACCAATCTGAGCCCCATCTCTATGGATCTACCTACTCTGGATATCTCATATAAATGGCATCATACAATAGTTGACCTCTTATTTAGTTTGATGGCAAGAGGGGGAAGGAGCTGCTGCTGGAGCCCCTCCAGGCCCTGCCTGAAGCTTCTGCTTCTGGGGAAGTTTCTAGATGCTCAGAGGGAGCAGCCCAGTCTGCCCTAGACCTTTGTTTACCTCCCTCCTTGGGGCTCCGCTGTGTAGTGGACTGGGTGCCGGTGGTCCTGGGCTTTGGTCTCAGCTCAGCAGCTGATGCAGAGTCCTCAGGGAAGCTGCTGCACCTCTCTGGGCCCCAGGGGTCTCGTCTGTGAAGCGAGCGGTTGAACTTGTGGGTCCCTGTTGCTGCTTTTGCACCCCCCCACTACTCCCAATAAGTTCTGAGGAGAGACGGGACTCCCTGTGGTAGAGACAAAGGGCCACTGCTGATTGGAGGGGAGGAGGTCCAGAAGCTCCTTCTAAAACGGAAAGAAAGAGAGGGGAAGTGGCCTTGACCTTGGTCCAGCAAGGGGCAGTGGGCCACCAGACCTCGTGGGTTCTCTGCCAACCATGAGAGCCAGTAAAAGGGATAAAGAAGGTGACCAGGGCAGGAGCAGAGCCCAGTGTCCAGGGGTGCACAACGGCCTGCTTCCCTCCAGATTGGGTGCAGCCCCAGATGGGTGACACCAGGATGGCCGTGGGCCCTAGGAGTGACTGGGGAGGAGGCCGCGTGTGTGTGGTGTGTGCTGGCCGGCAGGCATGTGCAGGCTTCTGTGTATAATCTGGCTTGTAAATTGCTCGGGGACTGTAACTGCGGAAAGGGCCATAGAGCCGCGTGGTGTTATTATTTATGATAAAGCACAGAGGTGCCTGCCAGGGACTAGAATGGGCTGAGCACTGCGTGCAGGATGGACGGCAAATTGAACTCCAATTTTCTGCTCGGCAGTCTTTGTTACACGCCACAAAGCGCTGGTACACCGGGGTCACCAGCCTGATGAATGTGTGTTCTTCCTCAGCGGTGGCTCCATCTCTCAGCCTCCGTGCAGAGAGCGACTCGTGCTTTGTTTTTTCCTCCCTGCGGGGCCCAGCCTTGGAATCTGTTCCTGGGCTCCAAACGCAGCCTGGACAGAGGGGAGGTCAGAGGCCTTGCATGGAGGCAGGCGGCTATGGGTTCAAAACCCAGCTCTGCCACTGACACACATGTGACTGGGTACCTCTCTCATCTGAGCTTCAGATGAGAGAAATAAAAGAGAAGTCCTCATAGCACTCCCCTAAGGAGGCTGGGAGGATTAAATGGGTAAACATGCGCTGCTCAGTGTGGAGTAGGCCTTTAACAAATACCCATCTTTCCTTCTTGTCCCTGGGCTGAGCAGCCTCGCCCTGAAGCCAGGAAATTGAGGAGAAGCCCCTGAAATTGGGCAGACAGGCCCCGTCTGGGGGTGGTGAGGTCAAGCCCCTAAGGACACCTGCTGTCCAGCTCAGCCCTCTTTATTCAATATTGGGAAACCAATGCTGGTGTTAAGTCAGAGCCACTGCCCCTAGCTCCCATCTTCCCCCAGCTTCCATCTCTCCCTCCTCTTAGGTGATGGCCCGTCTCCAAGGGTGGGCAAGAGGAGGAACAGGGGCTGCCCCTGGGAAGCATGCCAGCCAGAGCTCTGGGGTGCTGGTCCTTCCTCACGGCACAGCCTTCCGTGCCCTGCATCTGGTGGCACCATCGCTGACCAAGGAGGTAGACACTGGAGACCCCCAGGCTGTGGGTTCTTGGACGCATCCCTGGGCCTATGAGTCCTCGCTCTGGGCTCCTGCAGACCTGTAGGAAGACAGTGTCTCTTTGTCACCAGAGTCCCCAGGCTTAGGGGATGGGCAGAAGAGTGGTACCTGCATGGTGGACAAAGTCACCTGTGAGAAGGGTGACAGAGGTGAGGCAGAGCTGAGTCTCATGAAGCCACCCAGGCCGGCCAGGCCATTGATCAATTTCTAGGGGGTCTCAAGTCTCAGCTGTAAAACTGGAGAATTGCTCCAAGCATGCTGTCCTGCCTTGGGGCCACTGAGGGGAAGAGGACTGTGGTCCATGTAACACCATCGGGCTTCTTGGGAGGAATTCCAGGACTTAGTGAACATTTTATTATCGCCACTTTTATAGCTCAAATGAATCTGAATACACTAAAATGATACTAGCACCGTTAGGCCAAAACATTCTAATCGATGGTATAAGTTTAATCTCTGAACCCTCCAAGGGAAATGTAAGAAAGAGCTCCCTTCCCCTCTGTTAACTGCAAAATAAACCTATTGGAAATGAGAACCGTCTTTTTTCCATGCAAGGTTGGAGGTGCTTTGGCCCTGTTTACCTGTGTGGTTCAAACAGGAGGCCCCGGCTATGAGAAGGGCTTGCAGAGGCTGCACCAAGCCAAGATGAGGAATAATAACAGCCTTCTTTCCAAGGGCTCTTTCTCTGTGCCAGGCACTGGTTGAAGCACTTACCCCTTTCCATAGGCCAACGAGGTAGGCACTGCTATCCCTATTTTTCAGGAGAGGTGCAGCAGAGTTACAGAATGATGCCCAGGGAAACACAGCCTGTGAGTGGCAGAGTCCACTGGGTTTGAACCCAGGTGGTCCCATTACAGGGCCCAGTAAGGTCATCCCCCAGAGGGCTACTCGGCTCTTATAATGTCAGGGCTGGAAGGGAACTTTGTGATCTCCATTCTGGTCCACTCCCAAGAAGGGAGGGACCCGCTGGTCCACAGCAAGTTTGCTTGCCCACTTTCTCATGGATCTGGGCTCTTCTGCAGGCCAGGCTGTTGCCAGGCTCTGGGGCTAGGAAGATGAGGGAGCCCCAGTGTGCCCAGCAGTGGGGGATGTAGCATGGGAATCACCAAGCATGCTGGGAGGGAGGCGATCTCAGGAGTCTGAGGAGGACATCTGGAGAAGAGTTACAGAGGGCATGGCATTTGAGCTTTGAAGGGGTGCTGGACAGGAACTAACATGGATTGAAAACCAACATTTTCCTGGTAAAGAAGGTAAGAAAGGGCTCCCCAGGGAAGAGAGTGGCATGGCGCACGTGATGTGTCTGGGAAGGACCAGCTACATCCAGCGAGGCAGGGCTCGGACTTCCTTCTGGTTCTCTGCCATGCTGCCTTCTGTGGAATGACGGACAAAGCTTCCTGTAGGCATTGCATGAGTTTCCTGGGCTGCCATGACAAAGCACTATAAGCTGGGTGGCTTTAAACAGCAGAAATCTGTTCTCTCACAGTTCTGGAGGCCAGAAGTCTGAAATCAGGGTGACAGGGGCATGCTCCTTCTGCAGGCTCAACGGGAGACTCCGTCCTGCCCCCGTCCTAGGCCTGCCTGGTGGCTCCCAGCAGTCCTTGGCATTCCCTGGCTGGTAGATGCGTCGCTTCAGTCCCTGCCTCTGTCTTTACTTGGCTCTTGTCTTCTCCTTGTGTGTCTCTTTCCCTGTGTTTCTTCTCCTCCTACCAAGACACCAGTCACGGAAGGCCCATCCTACTCCAGCGTGACCTCATCTTAACAAACTACATCTCCAAAGACTCGATTTCCAAATCAGGTCACATTCTGAGGTTTTGGGAAGGACATGAATTTGGGGGAGACATATTCAACCCAATACAGGCATCACCTAGTCTTGTCCCACAGATGACTTTATTAAACATCCCTTGGCTTCCATGTTGGGCCTTACTGTCATTCATTTGCCACATATTTCCCAAGCATCTTCTTTGTCTCAGGCTCTGTGCCCAGTGCCAGGGCTATAGAAAAACAGGAGTCTTGGGCCCAGCTCTCCTGGCATCTGTGTGATGTGTTCTGCTTTTCTCTGTGACTTTTTTGGCTGGACGTACCATGGGCTGAGCTCAAGGAGGGCTCGGTGGCAGGCCCAGGGCACACAGCCCTCCTTCCCTAGACTGGCCCCGCCACCCCACTTATGATTCCCTGGGGCCATGTCAAGGCTCAGTTGCACTAGCTGCCCTGGTGGCCAGTGCCCCCCTAATCAGATTAGATGTGTATTCAAACAAATTGATGATCCGTTCCATTAGATGCTTTTCAAACACGCTTCTCTGAGCAAGAAATCCATTCAGGAACAGCTGCGGAGGCCACGGCGTAATTGATGATTGCACCATCCCAGGCTCCCAACGTCAGAAGGTGCCTGGTTCCTGAAGGTCACTGGCGAGGATTAGACGAAGGAGGGCAAGAGTCTTCTTTCCCGGCTAATGAAGCGCTTGGCATGCAGGCAGCACCGGGGCCAGAGCTGGGCCAGGCATCTGCTAGGATACAGGGAGGGGCATAAATTAGCATCTCATTTGTGGGAGAAGGGAGGAGGAGGGAATCCAAGGGGAGGGGGCTAGGGTGCTCTGGGGCCCTGGCTGGTGAGGCAGGAGCAAGAGGCCTTGCCAGGCATGGGGCTGGGAGAGGGAAGGGACTCGCCAGGAGCCCCAGGCCCTGCAGCCTTTATCAGGCAGCTAGAGAGTCCCTGCCCCACCTAGCTAGTGTATGACGTGCAGACATTTCTTCTGAAGGGCAGGGGCCGAACAGGGCCACAGCAGCCTCCTCCTGGGCCCTCGGCACCCTGACCAGTACCATCTCCCACCTGGGTTTGACCAATGTTGTGGGACCAATCCACGCAGGCGTTTGCAACCCCTCCCCAGGCTCCAGCTGTCTCTACCAGTCCTGACCCTGCTCAAAACCTTATGAGCCATCCCAGGCAAGACCCAATTTTTGAGCCAGCTTAGAATGGCATTGAGGGGGCTGAATTTGGAAGCCTCAGACGTAAGAACTTCAAGAGACTGCGGGCTTCTTAGGGGAATGGTTCTGAGAAGCGGGAAACAGGTGGAATGATCATAACAGCCCCTGCCCCTCTTTCCCCATCTCCTTCCTATGTGGTCACCCCCAATGGTTTGTGTGACAGAAAGGGGCACCTCTGAGGCTTCAAGCACTGTGGCTCCAACCTCACCCACATTAGCTCATTTGATCCTCCTGCAGGCTCTGGGGCAGGAGTTTCCATCTGTTTCACTGATGAGACAGGTAAGGCCCAGGAGGTGAATTTGCATAAGGTCAAACTCTAGTTAGCATGGAAATGGGATGTAAACCCAATTTATCTTCTCCCACTGGGATCTTCAAGCCAGATTCTTGAAAAGGTGGTTCCTCGGGAGCAGGGCTGCAGGGTGGGGTCCCCCAGCTTAGCCCCTTCTTCCCAAGAAGCCCCTAAGGCTCTGGCCTCTGCTTCATTTTACTTGGCCCCCACGCCTGCATGCGTTCATCTTCTGTGCTATTTGACCTCCATTTCCAGGCTTCTCTCCCTGCCCTTTCTTAGCTCATCCACCTGAAACCCTCACCCCCTGGGCGGACCAGTCTCTTCTGGGATATTCTGCCTCCTTATCCTTCTAGCTAATTCGCAGGACTCATTCCCAGCTGGGCCGCCTGTTTCGCCCTCATCCCAGAATCTGGCTCTGGGGCTGTGACATCGCAGGCTGGAGTATGAATGCTGCGTGACCTTTGCTTGTGGAGTCAAAACCAGTTCCCTGAGAGAGGCCACCAACCTCCTTGAATGTCCCCCGTCCCTCTCACCACCCCTGGTGCTACAGGTTGGGGTATGAAGGGTGAGACAGCTTTGGGAAGTCTTATGCTAATAATAGAAAGATCCAGAGCTCTGGAACCTGCCAGATCTTGGCTTATGTCTATGTGGCAGAGTCCAGTTACAGAACCTTTCTGAGCGTTGGTTTTCTCCTATTAAAATGGGGAAAATGATAGTGGTTTCCTTGAGATGAACTCAGGCCTCTTAACTAAGATGATGAATGTAAAGTGCTTCATGGATAGAAAGTTCCATGGTTAGTATGGAATAAAGGCAGCAGCAAGACTAGAAGTTTGGAGAGAAGTGAGGTTTGGTGAGAGCAGCCCACCCTGAGCCCCTGCTCCCTCTGACCCCGGGTCCATCCTGCTCAGGTGTGTGGTCCACCAGGGGTAAGGAGCACAGGTTTCCACCCCTGGCACCCATTAAGAGGCCGTGGTAATCAGTCCAGGACACGGTGGTGGGGCCAAGACTAGGAGATGGTGGGAGAAAAGTTTGCGAGTCTAGAAATCCCAGCTCCCACCCTGTTTCCAAGCATTCCAGGGAAGCTCGTGATGACTGAGCCCTTATTCTATGCCTGAGAAGAAGCCGCAAAAAGAGAGAGGTTTCTGCATGTTTCAGAGCTGGGAAGGGAGTTTGTCCAGGCTTGGTACTCCCTGCAGCTTATTCTGGAGGGCAGATGGACATCATTTGGCCAATTAGGTGGCTGGCAGAAGCCATCACCCCCTTCCTCCACCCACCGACCCATTCCCAGCAGAATGGCTCCACAGGAGGTGCGGTTCCCAGGGCTGGGCTGGCTGGGAAGTCAAATCCCCTGAACAGTGAGATGGACACAGCCTGGGGACTCCAGAGAAAGATGACATTATTTTGCAGAGAAGGGGAAAAGTTGAAGTTGAGATTGGCTTCTGTATGGGGCCATTTAGCCTGGAGCCTAGGGAGGACAATGGGGGTATTTAGTGCGAATATCAAGGGAAGATGGCAGTCAGCGATCCCCTGACCTGTTATGGGAAATTACAAGGAAGCCCCGGGCTGAGGCCTCTTGCTGGCCTCTGAAGGCCGCTCTTCATTTAAGCAGCTCAGGCTCTGCTGGTCCGGGACCTCCGAGCCACGTGACATGCCTAAATGACACACAGAGGGTCTGTCCTCTTCCCTGTCATCAATGGGATCACCCTGTGAACAGCTTACCATGCACACTCACATACACGTATGCACATGTATACATATATCTGATCATAGATAAGTAATTCATACCTGTGGTCCACAATATCAATGTTACACAAAGGTATAGAGTGAAAAGCTAGTCCCCCAACCCAAGTCCCCGGGCACCCAGACCTCCCTCAAGTGTCACTGGGATCCATTTTTCATGGAGCCACTAGAAAAAGCCTGTGCCAATACAAGCAAATTGATTTTTATACTTGAAGAAGAAAAGCTTCTACGTAAACAGTAGCAGATTATCCACCCTATTCCATGCCTGAGCTTATCCACCCTATTCTTGTTTTTGTCACTTACCAGTAGTTCTCAAAGATCGCTCAGGCGCCGTCTGCTGCACAGAATTCTGTTGTTTGGAGGGACAATCGTTTCTTTAAGCAGTGCCCTCTTGATAGGCATTCAGGCCATTTCCAAGCTTTTGCTGTTATAAGCTGAGCGGCTCTGAAGTACTGTCATTTCACACATGCACAAGTGAGTCTGTGGAGGGTGAATTCCTTGAAGAGTTGGCGAATTGGAGGATGTGTGCATTTTTAGCTTTGATAGCATTGCCAAATTGCTCTCGTAGAGGGCGTACCAAGCTACAGTCCCGCAAAGCTGTCTGCGAGGGTGCCTGTTGCTCTACAAATTCACCAGCCCAGAATATCACACTTTTACATCTTGGCCAGTGTGATAAGGGAAAAAATGGTATCTTATTGAATTTTAGTTTTCCTTTTTCTTATCATGAGGCTGAGCATCTTTGTGTGAGTTCCAGGGGCATTTGTAATTCTCTTCTGCGAACTTCATATCCTTTGCCCATTTTTCTATTGGTTTGTTAATCTTTTTCTTACTGATTTGTGGGAACATTTCTATATCAGGAAAATTAGCTCTTTGCCCGTGATAACAGTTGCAAATATCTTTCCCCAGTTTGTCATTTGTCACTTCTTTTTGTTTATGAGGGTTTTTTTTTTTCCAGGCAGAATTTCTGTGTAGTTGAAGGTATCAATCTGTTTTATGACCTTTTGGAGCTTGCATAGTACTTAGAAAGTACTTGGCGAGTACATTGCTTTGCCAAGACAGTATATTTTTAAATCTCTGATTTTTTTTCTAGGTCTTTTAGAATTTCATTTTTCATGTTTAAAACATTGATCCATCCAGCATTTATTTTGAGGTAAAAGTGCCAGAAAGAGATTCATCTTTATTTTTTTATCCCCAAATGGTTCCCTAGCTGTTTCAAAACCATTTATTGACTAATTGGTGTATTACCCACTGATTTGAAATTCTACTTTCATCATACATTAAATTTCCTCGTATGTATTTGGGTCTATTTCTAGACTCCCGGACTATTTCTTCATCAGTCTATTTTACAAGAAGGCACTGTTTTCATTATTGCAGCTTTGTAATGTAGTTAAATGTCTATGCTAGTTTCCTCTGTTTGCTATACTTTTTCAGAATTTGTTTGGCTATTCTTTCATGGTTGTTGTTTTGATGTGAACTGTAGAATCACTTTGCCTACTTAAAAAAATTCCTTCGTATGTGTATGTGTGTGTGTGTGTGTGTGTGTATGTGTGTGTGTTTGAGGTGAAGAAAAGTTTAAGAGAATGACATCTTTATAACGTTGATTCTTTCTATCCACAATTCTCCTTCCTTCTCAATTATCTCCTTTTCCACAGAGAGGGTGGCTAACAGGGCTGTTGTGTACAGTTGCACAGGTTGTTTACTGCACCATCCTAGTACTAAGGCTGAGGGGAGCCACTGGCAGCTGCCAACAGGATATGAGCTCTTCTCTCTGGGCTGATCTGTCCATCTTTATATAGATCAATAGTGTTAATAGCCACCCCTCCTAGCACGTGCCAGGCTCTGTTCTAAGCACTATATATTTATTAATGTATTTAATCTTCAAAGCAAACACATCTCCAATTTATAGCTAAGGAAAATGAGGTACAAAGAGGTTAAGTAACTTTCTCAAGGTCACTGGTTTGTGCTACCCTCCTGAGCATTCACAACACAGAAATCTGTCCCTGCACATAAATACACACACATACACACAGATATGTGCACACAGAAACAGACCACAGACACACATACTTGAACACAAAGGCTTGCACACACAGATGTGCACTGACACACACATTGACATTCACAGATATGTGAATGTCCACACATGGACATACATGCAGACACACCTGCACACACACACACCTGCACACATAAACACGTGCACACATAGACACGTCCACACGTTCTGTTATCCCAGCAGCATCTTCTTCCCCTCAGTCTGTCATTCTTCCTACAGCACACACCCTGCCAGCCCCCTGCCATCTCTTGCTTTCAGACGAGGCAGGTCCTGGAGGAAAATCAGCTGTCACTGCTCAGAGTCCTAGGTAGGGCGTCCCTCCCAGGATCCCTGTATCCAGGGGGCAGGTTGACTTTCGGGAGGGGGTGACTTCACCGCAGGAGCTTGGGGAGAGGAACCTTGTGAGGACCACAGGAGGCGAGGGATGTGGAGCCCCCAGCCCAGGGCCTGGTACCCAGCAGGCTCTCAGGGAAAGGCCTCCCCTTCCCTCTCCTCCTCCCCAGAGTCATTATCTCCAGCAGCCTCTGGAGTCAACCCATCCAAGCAAAAGTCATTCTGCTGCAGGCTGGCACCCCCGGGAGGGCTTGAAGAATGAACTGGCAAACGCGGACCTGGGAGGAAATTGCCCAGTGAGCAGGTTTACAGAGGCGAGGGCGTCTGGGCGCAGAGCGTGTGCGTGCTCGCGCGTGTGTGTGTGCTCACACATATGCACATGTGTGCATGCAGATACACACACTGCCCAGCCCCTCTGACTGTTCTGGCTCTGAGTCAGCCCCACATGGAAGGGATTTAATCACCCAGGGGCTGGATCGTTATTGTTTTAAAACAAACGAGTGATGACAGCAATGAACAGAGGGTTTTTAAAAGCGCGATTCAAAGGGCTCTTGAAAGCTGCTGGAGAATATGAATGCGCCTTTGAAGTAAGAATGTGCCCATTTGTTAAGCTGAGAGCAGAGCTGGCTGCTGCCAGCCGGGCGGCGGGCAGTGGGTCCTTTTCCTTGGCAAATGGGTGCCCATCAGCCTCTCCATCCTCCCTAGCACCTGGCCAGAGGTGGCCTAAGACCCTGGAGGCACAAGTGCCCCTGGAAGGGACCAGCAGTGGTAGTCACACCTCCAAGTCCACACTCAGAAAGAAGCATCTTCTCAACTGTTTTTAAGACGCTGCGTTCACCTGACGCTTGTTAAGAGCAATGGAAAGATGTGCATGAATGAGCAGGGAGAGATGCATGATTGAAACATTAGCAAGCCGGGCATGGTGGCTCAGGCGTCTAATCCCAGCAGTTTGGGAGGCTGAGGCAGGCAGATCATTTGAGGTCAGGAGTTCAAGACCAGCCTGGCCAGCATGGTGAAACCCCATCTCTACTAAAAATACAAAAGTTAGCTGGTGGTGCACGCCTGTGATCTCAGCTACTCAGGAGGCTGAGGTGGAGGGATCACCTGCGCCCCAGAGGTCGAGGCTGCGGTGAGCCAACATTATGCTACTGCACTGCAGCCTAGGCAACCGACCGAGACCCTGTCTCCAAAACAAAATGAAACATCAGCAGTCAGACAGACGTAGAGGGAGCAGTCGAAGGCAGCCTCTGGGCAGCAGCTGCCCTCTGAGCCACCCTGAGGCCACCCTCAGGTTTGCCCCTCTGGTGGTCCCCACAGTGAGGGTTAGTAGCAGCCAGGGTGGGAGTTCAAGGAAAAGCCTCCCAACCTGCCGCAGGTTATATATTAATAAGATTGAGCCCTCAGGCCTGTGGGGTGCAAGGTTTGGGGGTGCTGTGCAGCAGGGCCAGCTGACTTGGGCCCCACATGTATATGATGGCTTCTGTTAAGTTGTGAATCTCTACCTGAACCCAGTGAGGCCTGGAAACAAGGGCTGAACCTGACCAAAGACCAGGATGTCCAGTACTGGGCAGATCTGATGGTGAGAGGATAGACCTGGGTCCTGGGCTCTGGGCCTTCCTTATGCTCCAGCCTGGGGTGCAGGAGAAGGCCCGCTGCACCCAGCCACAGCCAGCTACCACCTGGGTCCACTCCCTTCCAGCTGCAAACTGCCCCCTCCCTAGCCCCTTCCTCTTCTTCGGTTGGTTTGTTCCATTTCTCTTTTACTTTTTCTTTCTTTCCTTCTTTTTTTTTTTTTTTTTTTTGTAGAGATGGAGTCTTGCTCTGTTGCTCAGGCTGGAGTGCAGTGGCACGATCTCGGCTCACTGCAACCTCCGCCTCCTGAGTTTAAGCGATTCTCCTGCCTCAGCCTCCCAAGTAGCTAGGACAACAGGTGCCTGCCACCATGCCCAGCTAATTTCTTTTGTATTTTCGTAGAGATGGGATTTCACCATATTGCCCAGGCACCGTGTTACTCCTGATCTCAGGCAATCCACCTGCCTCAGCCTCCCAACTTTCCTTCTTTTTTTTTTTTTTTTTTGGTGAAGAGGGGGTCTCACCATGTCGCCCAATCTGGTATTGAACTCCTGGCCTCAAGCGATCCTCCCACCTCGGCCTCCCAAAGCACTGGGCTTACAGGCATGAGCCACCATGGCCAGCCTGGTTTGTTCCATTTCTTAAGCCAAAAGAAGGCTGTCTGGTGTTTTCCACCTTCCAGGCTCACAGGGTAAAGTTAGCTGTCTGACCAAGATGGGCCTGGGGCATCAGCCAGCACTGAGGGTGGTGGAGCCCCTTCCCTGGAGGGGACACCGTACTTTAGGGTTCAGGAAGGAAATGAACATTGGCAGAACATGTACTCTGGGCCGGGCACAGAGCCAGCATTTTCACCATCACTATTTCCTTCCATCCTTAGACGTGAAGGTAGCTATTTCTTTTCCTGTGTCCACTGATAGAGAAATAGAGACTCAGATAAAGGAACGCTTGTCCACCGCACGCCGCTGGGAAGCGGTGGAGTGAACGTAGACAAGTCCGTAGATGACAGACCCCCCACCACTGGCCTGAAGGTCGGGGTGCCCAGGGCCTACCCTGACAGCAGCAGCCTGCACAGCTTTAATTACATCCCACCCCTCTGGGCACAGTGTGGTCACTGGAAGGTGCATGGAGTTGGGCTGGCAAGCCTGGACTCCTCCCCGCCGGCTGCTGCCTCAAGCCCGTGGCACATAGTAGGTGCTCACTAGGTGAGCTGTTGAGTGGTGCTTTCTAGAACCCACTCCCTCGAATCTGTCAAATGCAAGGCTCATTGGCACAAGCTCTGGGCATCTGCAGGTTCTTCCCTGATATCTGTCCTCTCCTCCCACCCGGGTTTTGGCTTCACGGAGGGAGGTGTGGGCTCAAGTGCTCCAGCTCTGAAGCTGTCTGTGGGGCTGAGCACCTCCCGCCCAGTTGTGTGACCTTGGGCAGGTTTCTAACCCCTCGAGGCCTTGGTGTCCCCTCTCCAAAATGTAGATTGTAATCCTGTCTAGTCATGAGGTTGCTGTGAAGATTAGACGAGCATATGGTAGAGCCCCTAGAACAGCCCGGAACAGAGCAGGTGCTGTCATCTTTGTGGATATTGTTACCAGATGCTGGCTCCTGCCGCCCGGCCCCACCCTATCCACAAAAAGGCAGGTATCTCCTTGACGGATTAGAGCCCCTCCCCTTCCCTCCGTCTCTCCCATTGTTCCATCAGTTCCCTTGTGTACACTCATGTCCACCCTCTCCCACACTGGCCAGAAGGGCAGAGGCCCCATTTCCATCCAGATCAGCCAGCTGAGCAGTCTTGTGAAGTCTGGGGCGAAATTCACGGTCTCTGTCGAGAGAACCGTGGCGGGGCAGGGAGGTCTGCGAGGCTGAGTCAGCTCAGAGGATAAGGGTGACTGCAGAGAGGGGGAAGCAGCTGTTCTGCTCTTCACCCATCATCTGGGCAACCAGGCGGCCAGCCTAGAGTGAACGGGGAGGTAGAGGCAGGCTGGCTCCAGGACCCAGGATGGAAGAAACAGGCAGCTGGTGGCCATGGGGCCCTGCTGGATGGACTCTGTGATTGACACTTTGAGGGCTTCCCCCAGCCTTGGGGAGCAGGACTCAGGAGACCCTTTACCCCCTACAGTTGTCAATCTGCCTCCCTATTCTCCTTGTGACATTGATATTCCCTTTGGCTGGGCCACAGAAAGTGCCCCTCTTGCCTCCTGCCCTGGAGGGGGAACCCATGAGCAGAGTGGATGGAGTGGATGTGTATGCTGAGAGGGAAGTGACAGAAGATGCTGGAGTGTGGGCTGGCAGCAGGGCAATAGCCCAGCGTGGTCTGGGGAGGAAGGAGGCAGGGCTCTGGTTGGCAGATGTCGGTGACTCCCGCTGAAGACCAAGCCTTGGAGTCAGACTGACCCAGGTTCAAGTCCCTCCCAGCCACGGGACCTTGGGCAAATTACCTGGCTGCACCTGCTCCATCTGCCTAAGGGCCTTAGGATACTAAACGCACCAGGTCACATAGGTGAGCAAGTGATCACTGGTGGCTTTGTCTCCCTGTTTCTGCAGATGATGTGTCCCCGTATTTCAAGACAGAGCCTGTGCGGACACAGGTGCACTTGGAAGGAAACCGCCTGGTGCTTACATGCATGGCCGAGGGCAGCTGGCCACTGGAGTTCAAGTGGCTCCACAACAACAGGGAGCTGACCAAGTTCTCCCTGGAATACAGGTAAACTGCCCCTCCCCGCCCTTCCTCCTGGCTGCCAGGACCACTGCCCTGCTTTGAAGAGGGCATGGTGAGGAGGGGGTTTGTGTGACAGTGTGGGGCTCAGGGCTCCTAGAGCCTGGAGTTCTGGAAGTGAGTGGCAAAGGCAGCCCTGCCCCAAGGTGAGATGGCTCCACCCTACTGATCCCTGCAGAGGATGGCTGGGTTGTGGACCAGGGGCCAGCGCTGCCTGGACAGGATGGTCTGTACCACAGTGCATAGGAGCAGAGGTGGTGTTGGGCACAGGGACTCACTAACAGCAGCTGTGGCTGTGGCTGTGACTGTGGCCCCCTGCTCACTCTCTCGAACACTGCCATCTCCAGGGGACTCTTGTTGTGGGGCCTGGGTCCAATGGAGGGGTGGGCTCTGCAGCAACCTGGGATCAGTGAAGGAGGGGACATCTTCTATCTATGGGAAATTCAGGTGGGACACAGAGATGGCCCTCTCAGGGCCTCTTGAGCTTATCTTCACTTCCTATCTGTGCCCGTGCCATGGAGCTCTTGGGCCTGACTGGCCTTTCCCTGCCGGGACATTGCCAGGTGGGGAGAAGGAAGAGCAGGGAAAGAGAATAGGGTCTCAGCAAGGGTGGATCTGCTGCCAGCAGGGAAGCAGCCCCTCACCCAGGCCACCCTGGCCTCCAGCCTTTCCTCGCAGCCACAGACTGGGGCAGGCACTCCCTCCTTTCTGCTCTTATCCTCCCACCTCCGCCTGTTTTATTGGCTCCAACCCTGTGGCTGGTGATTAATCCCAGGGCCTGATGTGCATAATCGGTTTTGTTGGGGAAACAAGATTGTCTTGCCCTGGGGATGTTGACACAAATCTGCTGCCAGGGACAGGTATGCAAATAAGAGGAGGGGGTATCATTGCTTGATCTGTCCTTCTGGAGAACCAGCCTTTCCTTTAGGGAGTGCGGAGGCCAGAGTTTGGAGTGACTCCCCACCCCAGTCTTTCTGCCTTAACCCTGGACTGCATGGGCTGGTGTAGTGTGGCCACATTGGCAAAAGAAAGCCCAGGACAGGGCACCCCCTCCCCTCCTGCAGAGGGGAGAGCTGGATGAGCAAGCAAGAGGTCCTGCAGGGCTGGCCACTCTGGGCCTCCGGTTCTCCAGGAAGCCCACAAGGAGATCAGAAAGCTCTCCCTGAGCAGCCCCTTCTGTGGTTTTCAGTTGGGGGCCAGAGCCTCTCCTGGCCACCACCTGGCACACCCAGGAAGTTGTGACCGTCTCTGTGAAGGGCCCCTGCATCATCTTAGACTTTGGACACGCTCAAGTGGGTGACCAAGAGCATGGGATGGCATACCACACGTGCAAGTAGTGCCGGGCCTAGCCTGCCCCTGACTTCTTCCGGCTGGGAGCCGGAGGCAGGATCCAGGAGGAGGGGAGGAGGAGAGTTGGTTCCTTATCTGGTTCAGAGCTGCTCTTCTGGGGCCCTGGCACTGCTAGGATGCAAGGGCGGGTGGTACACAGAAGCAGGTTCCAGCTCAGTGGAAGGACCATGTGGAATGGCCTGCCTTTGAAAACAGTCAGCCCTTGTCCCTGCAGGCATTCAGGGAGTGGACAGGGTCCAGCTATTGGTGGTGATGATGATGATGATGAGGTCCAGCTATTGATGATGATGAGGTCCAGCTATTGACGATGATGAGGTCCAGCTATTGATGCTGATGAGGTCCAGCTATTGACGATGATGAGGTCCAGCTATTGATGATGATGATGATGAGGTCCAGCTATTGACGATGATGAGGTCCAGCTATTGATGATGATGATGATGAGGTCCAGCTATTGATGATGATGAGGTCCAGCTATTGACGATGATGAGGTCCAGCTATTGATGATGATGATGATGAGGTCCAGCTATTGACGATGATGAGGTCCAGCTATTGACGATGATGAGGTCCAGCTATTGAGGATGATGATGATGATGATGACAATAACAATGATGATAGCAATCATAGACAATGAAAAAGAATTTCTTATATGGCAGACATTGTGATGTCCCTCTGCGATTATCTCATTTAATCCTGCCCACAATCCTATGAGTAGTTTCAGTTATTTCCCCCCATTTTACAGATAAACACACTGAAGCTCAGAGAAGTTAAAGACATCACCTAAAGTCAGATGGTTGAGTTGGGCTTCAAAAATAAGTTGTCTGACAGCAGAGTGGGAATTTGTTACCATCCACCACACTGCCTCTCATTGAAGAAGGATTGCTGCAATTGCTTCCTTAATGTGTATCCTAAGCAATCTTTCGGCTAACTGCTCTGCAAATTCTAGAAAACAAAGCAATCGGGAGAATGCAGATACTCCATTTTATAGCTATGTTGGGTGGAAGTTATTCAAGGGAAATAGATGAGCGCGCACTTGGGAAACTCATTCCTTTACCTCCTCGCCCCTAAGAGTGTTGGATCTGGTGGCCTGGGGGCAACGGTGTGCCTGAATGCAGGTCCAATCAGGATTTTCCTTCAATTAAAAACTTGCTGTGCCCCTGAGGCAAGGTCTGCACTCCTTAGAAGGGCCTTAGAACTCTTCCTGATCTGCTCCTGCTGGCATAGTCTCACCTCCTGCCACCCCCGCTAGACCATCAAGGGTCTCAGGACAGTTCCCTGCAAATTCCCTCTTCTCGGACTTTGTCCAAACTGTCCTATCCCCTCCACGGGAATATTTCCCCTTTTGAAAACTTTTTTTTCTCCTGCAGGGCCCAGCTCAAATTCCTTCTCTTTTAGAAAACCTTTCCTGATAATGCATGTATTCTTTTTTTTTTTTTTTTTTTTTTTTGAGACAGAGTCTTGCTCTGTCCCCCAGGCTGGAGTGCAGTGGCACAATCTCGGCTCACAGCAAGCTCTGCCTCCCCGGTTCACGCCATTCTCCTGCCTCAGCCTCCCAAGTAGCTGGGACTACAGGCGCCCGACACCATGCCCAGCTAATTTTTCGTATTTTTTTTTTAGTAGAAACGGGGTTTCACCGTGTTAGCCAGGATGGTCTCGATCTGCTGACCTCGTGATCTGCCCATCTCAGCCTCCCAAAGTGCTGGAATTACAGGCGTGAGCCACCGCGCCTAGCCAATAATGCATGTATTCTTAATTTCTCTCTCTCTCTCTCTTTCCCTCTCTCTTTCTTTCCCTCTCTCTCTCTCTCTCTTTCACACACACACACACACACACACACACACTTTCTCTCTCTCTCTCTCTCTCACACACACACACACACACACACGCACGCACTGCTCCATCTCCTCTGTCCTTTGTGACTGTCCAGAAAGTATGGCCTTACATATCCCCTGACACCTTTTTTGCCTTCTCATTATTTACAGAGGAGACCACAAGTGCACCACAGAACCGAAGTCAGAGCTTCCAGAACCTTGGCAGTTCCTGGAACCTCAGGACTTAGACCAAGAGCTTGATATTGCCAGGCCCTCTTTCCTCCAAGTCGCTCAGCTGTGCCCACCTCTGGGTTCATACTTCATGAGTCATGAGTGACACTGAGAAGTTCAGGGCTCACAAGCTATAGCTGCCTGATTTCTGAGTAGAAAGAACTTTTCTGGAAGTTTCACTTAGAAAGTCCCAGGGAAGGATTCTGATTGGCCCAGCTCAGACCATCCCTGACCAGTCGTGGTGGGCAACAGCATGGAGCACCCTGATTGGCCAGGCCTGCATCATGTGCCTACTCCAGGGCTTGAGACATCAGGATTGGCAGCCCTCACACTACAGCCACGTGGTAGGGAAGAAGGGTGAAAGTTGTTAACATAAGAAGGGAAAAGAGTGGTGGTTAGATGGAAGCCACCTGTGTCCCTGGCTCATAGCAGGTGCTTCTTTCTTCTCTCTTTTAATTTTGATTTTTTTCAAATCTTAGTAAAATCGTTAGTACTGTAAACACCTGCATACATGTACCATCACAATTGCTAACATTTTGCTCATTTGTGCTCTCTTACTGTCTCCCTACACACGTATAAACATGCACGTTTTCTGCTGAACTATTCAAGGATTTGCTGTAGACATCATGTCACTTCATTCATAAATAATATTTCCTAAGAGCAAGGCATTTACCCGCAGAACCATGCACGACACAATTTTCACAGTTGGGAAATTTAACAATGATACAATACTGCAATCTAAAAAGCAGCCTATATTCAAGTTTCTCCATTTGTTCGGATGGACGTACCTTTATCCCAGTGTCCTTCATGGCCATGGTTGTTGTTCTTCTTCAACGCCGGACCTAATCGGGGATCACGTGTGACCTTTAATTGCCATGAGTCTTGATACACCTTAAATCTAGAACTATTCCTTATTGTTTCTTTCCTACCTTTCATGGCTTTGGCACTTCTGAGAGTCCAGCCGGCTTTGCAGAATTTCCCTCAATGTGGGTTTGTCCAGTTATATCCTCATGATTAAACTCATGTTAAGCCTTTTGGGAAGCATATTTGTAGGTATGTGTCTTTGATGCTTCACACTGGAAGGTGCCTGATGACAATTTGCCCCGTTATTGGTGATGTTAGGTTTGATGAACTGGTCAAGGTGATATCCACCAGATTTCTCCATTGTCAAAAGGTTGAAGTATCTTCTTCCCTTCGTTATTGATGAGTGGACTATAGAGGGATAACTTGGGACTATGTGAATAATCTCCTTCCCACGACTCTCCCACCCAGTGGTTTAGTATCCATTGAAGAGTCTTACCCGAATCAGTTATTACTATGGTGGTTGGGATAAGGAGATTTTCTTGTATTCCTTTTACTTAGGTGGCATTCTTTTGTAAACAGCTTTCCTTTCTGACCCCCTTTAAAGTAATTTAGCATCAGTATAAACTCATGCATTATGGTTTTTATTCAATGTGCTTTAATCCACGCATGACATTGTTCATTTCCATACTCATCTTAACCTAAATTTGGCCAGTGGAGCTCCTTCAAGCTGGAGCATGGGTCCTTTGAATATATCCCCATTAGATTCTGAACATTTCCTTGTTTTGGGCTCAAAAAATGTTCCAGGTTCACCTTTTAAATAAATGCATACTGAAAAGTGCATTCCATAGGAGACTGTCCAGCTTCATAGCCCACGGCTCTCCAACCACTGCTGGATACTGAGGACTTCCCTGTCTTTTACAAACCCCAGGCTCTGAGTAAGATGATAATATCCAATTTTCAGGCAGGAAAATGGCTAAATTTACTCAGCAAGTTGAGAGAAAATAAGATTAGAAGTGCTGCCATAAATTTATGTTTCCAAAGGGAGGAAAGTTTATATTCATGTCCAGTCTCTGAAAGTCTTTATTCTTGGGTTCTGTAGCCAAATGGGTCTGGTGTGTGTGTGTGTGTGTGTGTGTGTGTGTGTGTGTATGTGCACTACACAAAGGCAAGCCTGTGCACCCTTCTGAGTATGTGTGATTGTGGCATAAATATGTGGGTCCACATCCATCATTGGGGTCAGAGTGAAAAGAGCATAGACGTTGAAGTCAGGCCTGCATGAATATGACCCTGTCCCTGCTAGCTCTGTCACCTTAGGCAGAAGTGGTTAGCCACCCTGAATTTGTTTTCACTTCTTGGAATCAGGCGCAGTAATGCCTGCATCAGAGAATTATTGTAAGGAATACCTGGGATTCTACAGGTCAAGCCCACCCTGGTGCAAAAGATGTGACATGAATGGTACCTGTTAGGATTATTCAAGGTGTCTGTCTCGACAAGATCCTGGAACAGATCTGATAACAAACCCCCTAGAAAATCACGTGTGTAGGTAGCTTGTCTCCTCTGAGTGGCCACCTGGGGCTCTGTACACCTGTGCAGAACTCCTCTTAGGCAAGAGCTGTGAGAACCCTTTGTTGGTGACAAATCATTATCCATTTCGAAACCAGCCTTGAATTCCCAGTTTGAGAAATGAGGTGGCTCTAAGAGCTGGGAGCACAGCAAGGAAACAAAGCAAAATCTGACTTTAAAGAAATGAGATCCTTTCTCTCATGTGAGCAGGAGGATACTGCATGGGAGACCCTCCTCAAGGTGTGGACACTGGCCCCACGGCCTGCCTCTCCCCTGGAACAGGCACGCAGCTTCCCAGAGTGATTCCTGGGGCATGTGCTGGGGACAGGTGGTGGGGGGGAGGAAGAACACAAAACTTATTTGGATATACAGAGTCTAATGTATGGAGTCTAATGTGTCTGCTAAAATATGTGTGTGTGTGTGTGTGCATGCACATGCATGTATGTGTTTGTGTGTGTATGATTCCCACACAGCCTTGTGTGCAGGTTAACAGTTAGTCACGAGCCTGTCTGAGTACAGCAGGAAGGTGTGTGTGCAACTCACATAAAAGCCCTAGAGGTCAGGCCCTCTAGTGTTAGTGCTGGAGCCTCTCTCATCTGACCGCTCTCAGCTCCCTCTTCTCCAGGAGCCATCTCCCAGGTTGAATCCTTTCAGCTTAAGTTTACATCCACTTCATCAGCAAGGGCAGCATGGCTGGAGACAACCCCCCTGGCTGGAGAAATGACAGGACAGGGGATGGAGATGGAGGAGGACAGAGGGAGGATGGATGGAGGATGGAGGAGATGGAGGGAGGATGGATGGAGGATGGAGGAGAATGGAGGGAGGATAGACAGAGGATGGAGAACTGAGGGAGGATGGAAAGAGGATGGAGGAGAACGGAGGGAGGATGGACAGAGGCTAGAGGAAGGATGGATGGAGGATGGAGGAGAATGGAGGGAGGATGGACAGAGGATGGAGGAGACGGAAGGAGGATGGAGGAGAATGGAGGGAGGATGGATGGAGGAGATGGAGTGAGGAGGGATGGAGGAGAATAGAGGGAAGATGGAGAGAGGATGGAGGAGATAGAAGGAGGATGGACAGAGGATGGAGGAGAACAGAGGGAGGATGGAGAAGGATGAAGGAGAACTGAGGGGGGATGGATGGAGGATGAAGGAGAACAGAAGGAAGATGGACAAAGGATGGAGGATAATGGAGGGAGGATGGATGGAGGATGGAGGAGATGGAGGGAGGATGGATGGAGGATGATGGATAATGGAAGGAGGATGGACAAAGGATGGAGGAGAATGGAGGGAGGATGGAGAAGGATGGAGGAGAATGGAGGGAGGATGGAGGAGATGGAGGGAGGATGGAGGAGGATGGAGAAGGATGGAGGAGATGGAAGGAGGATGGAGAAGGATGGAGGAGATGGAAGGAGGATGGACGGAGGATGGTGGAGAAGGGAGGGAGGATGGAGGAGATGGAGGGAGGATGGATGGAGGATGGAGGAGAATGGAGGGAGGATGGACAGAGAATGGAGGAGAGTGGAGGGAGGATGGATGGAGGATGGAGGAGAATGGAGGGAGGATGGACGGAGGATGGAGGAGAATGGAGGGAGGATGGATGAAGGATGGACCCTGCCACTCATCCTTGGGTCTGTGCCCTGGCAACGTCATCAACCAGATGATTTTGTCCCACCTTGGTAACACCTTCTGGCATAATTATTCTCACACTTAAAATCGAATAGAAGAAAAAAGAAAAGATGAGCAAGGCGATCACTCAAACACACACACACACACACACACACACACACACACACACACACACACACACAGATTCCCATGCATAATTGGGCATGCACGGATTAATGTTTATGGAGGCTCATGGGTGCCAAGTCCTTTACTGCCGTCATCTCACAACAGGTGAATCTCATTACCTTCATTCTGCAAATGAAGAACCTGAAGTTCAGAGAGGGTCAGAAACTTGCCTGGGATTATCCAGAGAGTGAGCGGCAGATCTGGGAGCACTGTTGGACCTGAGTGTGCTGCCCTCTCTGCAAAGGCACACATGGTTTCCCATTGGGCTCCTTCTGTCCCTGCCCCACATCACTGTGTGTCATTCTTCTGCCCCGGGGGCCATGAAGGCAGGACCCCCTTCCGAGAGGCAAGCGTGAGGGTGTGAGACCAGCTGAGGCCGAGTCCCACCCCTGGCCCATGTGGAGAAGAGCAGATGTGTGCAGGGGAGGCCCAGGAGAGCCAGGTGGGCATCTGGCCGGCCCCAGGCTGGGTCCCCAGCCCCCATGCCATGCTGAGGTCCTTGTGGCAGAGCTGTGGTGTCTGTGAACTGCATGGGCTTGGCAGCTGGGAGAAGAAAGTATATCTGAGGCAGAGAAGCCCTGCACATGTGACGGCCCCAGCAAGGGACACAAAAGCAGGGGACGCACGCGGAGCCACTGGCAGCCTTTGAAACTCCTCAGATAAGAAGATGAAGAGAAATTCCCCAGGCCAGCGGCTTTATCTCTGGCTTCTCTGGCCCTCTTTCTGGCCTCCCCTTAGAAGAGAGAGCAGGCAGCAGAGATGGGGAGGCAGAGGCCAGTGGGCCTTCCCAGAGGGCACGGGAGCACAGGCATGGCACAGGGTAAGTGCCAGGAACCGAGCCAAGCTCTTACGGGCAGCAGTTCTGGAAGACTAGTGCAATTATTATCTCTGCTTCCTAACTAGAATTCACAGCTCAGAGAGGTTCGGCAACCTACCCAAGGTCACACAGCCAGTACACGGAGTCAGGTTTCACCCAGGATCTTCAGGACCCCAAGCCTGCGTCCCTCCCCTGCTCTGTGCTGCCTGGCTGAGCTTGTCCTTCCCCCGGGCAGTGGCACTTTCTAAGCCACTGCAGAAGGAGAAATAGTACCTTAACTCTTATTAACAAACACTCCAAACGATCACCTACCTCATGCCAGGCCCCACACTGCGACTTTTACTTCGGTTCTTCTGAATCCCTTAACATCAGCAACTCCTATAAGGAGAGGCGTCTTGATACATGAGGAACACAAAGGCTCAGGTTTCATTTCTTGTCCAAGATCTGAAATCATAAAGTTAAGACAAGTGCCAGGCCTTCTGCTTCCAAGCCTGGTGAAGGAACAGCAGGAGATGCCAGCATTTGTTCATTCATCAGGCAAGGACTGGGGGCCTTCTGCCTGCCCGGCACAGAGCTAGGCAAGGAGGACAATCGGAAAGGCAGTGCCAGCCCCGCCTGCCCTGCCACCTTTGGAAATGTTTGTTCTCACTGGAGCTAGAGGTGCTCACAGGACTCTAAGTACCATGGCTGAGGAGCAACAGCAGGGGACTGAGGCCAAGTGAGCGTGGGAGTTTCAGGAAGAGGCAGAAAGAGGCGAACAGGAGCTGGAGGAGTTTGGAGCAGCACCTGGGAGACACAGAACTTGAGTAGTGTGGACAAACCGTGAGAGAAGGAGGTGCTCGTGTCAGGAGACGCCAGCATCCCTGGGTTACTACAATGGGTGCCGGTTGTGACCAGATACCGGCTGCTGGTGATATGGTCCTAAATAAGACAGGAAGATCCTGGCCCCCATGTGTAGAAGCAGAACTAAATAATAGTGCAAGTGTGGGTGGATCCAGTTTTGATGCGTGCTTTCAAGGGAAAGTAAGGTCAAACAGATTCCACTGGGGAAGTTGGGACCCAGAGAATGAGTGGAGGTAGCCAGGGCAGGGGGATGCCAAAGGAATGGTCCCTGCGGCTCCATCCAAGGACCTTGTGTCTGGAGGATCTGAAAGAAGGTCCACGTGGCCAAGGAGGACACTGGGGCGAGATCAAGTAGGGGCGTTTAGCTCTCTTAGGGACTTGCATTTTCTGCCAAAAGCTATGTGGAGCCCTCGAATGGTTTTTCCCAGGGAATGGACATGATCAGATGCTCATGTTTCAAATCTTTGCTCAGGAAGCTGGGTGAGAAGCGGGTGGAAGAGAGCAGAGAGGAGGTGTGGGTCCATTGTGCTGCGAGGGGCGGCTGGGCCATCTTGGTGGGAGCGGATGGGTCTGAGATGCATTGAGGAGGGATAACTGGTGGGACGTGAGGCTCTGCTGGCCATGCAGGAGAGGGAGGAAGATGGGCATTGAGGTGGTTGAGGAAGGAATCCCAGGCGGAGAAGGAGCTTTCTGGGAAGACACTGTACTCAGTTTTGGATGCTGGATCGGGATGTCCAACAGGCAACTAGAAGAAAAGTCTGAAGATATTAATTTAGGACTCACTGGTGTTGACATGGCAGGATGAGAGAATGAACATAGCATCAGAGGAAAGGGCTCTGTGGTCCCACCAGGCCATATATAAGGGAGTTGGAAACCAGCCTGGCAGAACAAAACCTAGAGGCTGGATGGGAGAGGGGAAGCCTGGAGATTGCAGTGTCTTGGGAGGAAAGAGGGTGTGTTCTTGGTTTAGGAAGGACCAACTGTGTCAACCGCTGCTGGATTCCAAAATCATGAGCTCAGGCTGGGCGCAGTGGCTCACGCCTATAATCCCAGCACTTTGGGAGGCCAAGGTGGGTGGATCACCTGACGTCAGGAGCTTGAGACCAGCCTGGCCAATATGGTGAAACCCCCGTCTCTACTAAAAATACAAAAGTTAGCCAGGTGTGGTGGCTCGTGCCTGTAAGGCCAGCTACTTGGGAAGCTGAGGCAGGAGAATTACTTGAACCTGGGAGGCAGAGTTTACAGTGAGCCAAGATCACACCACTGCATTCCTACCTAGGCGACAAAGCGAGACCCCATCTCAAAACATAAATAAAAACAAATAAATAAATCGTCAGCTCAATTTAGGGACATAGAAGTCTGGTGACCTTCAGGAGGGGGAGGATGGGGCAAGTTGAGGAGTTAGAGAGGGATGAGCAAGTCGGGGCAGGGAGTGGAGGGGGAATCCTCACAGGCAAGTAGGAATCAAGAATTGGAGACTGGAAGGGGCATGACAGGTTGAGCCAGTTGCCCTAGGAAGTGGGAGACATGGCTGACCCAAGATGGCAGAGGTAGGACCTGGAACGCCAGGAAGAATCTTCTCGGATATATCCAGCAGGCAGTGGACAGTCTCGAAAGGATTTTGGTCGAGGGAGTACAAGACCCTGTATCACCGGGTCCTGTCCATCTGTCCAGCCTCCTCTCTCACTAACTCCCTTCGCTAATGGGCAGAACGCATCGTGCACCCGTGGTCTCTGCTCTTTCATGCCCTCGTGCCCATGCCCACCTCTGTCCTCCACCTCTACCGTCCTCGCACGCCTCTGCTACCTGGCAAACCGTTGTTTATCTTCCCAGATCCAGCCCCAGCATCCCACCTTGTGATGTCCAGTCCTGCCCCTGACTCACTGTGTGCCTTTGAGCAAACTGCCTAATCCCTGCCTCGGTTGCCTAGTCTGGGAAATGGGAATAATAAGACCAGTAGCTACCTCCCAGGGTGGCTGGGAATGTCATGCAAGATGAAGCGTGCAGAAGAGTGTCTGGTCACAGATGGCTCCATCAATGGAAAGGATGGTCTGAGAGCCACCAAGGGCATGACGCTGACTCCCACCCAGCAGGGCAGGCTCCTCCCACCTCATTCTTCCTGGCCACGGTTCCTTCCCACCCTCCCGGGAAGTCCAGGTTCCTTTTCCTCAATGAGGCTAGATCCTATCTGCCTGTTCCAGCCCTTTGGAGATTTACTCCAATTTGGCCATGAGCTTGGACATCTTGTCTGAAAATTGAAGGCTGATGGTGAGAAAACTGAAGTACAGGAATTAGTTATGATGGGCATAAATTGAATTTTAATAGAGATGTACGTGGCATGGAGCCAGTGTACTCAGGCAGAGGGAAGGTAGTAATTAAAAGTTAACGAGTTTGGAAATGGCGAAATCCTCAGGGAGGAATGGGAGAGGTGGGCTGGGAGGAGGAGCAGGCTGTCCTTCTCCCGACCTGAGGCCAGCTCCTCCCACTCCTGAGGATCGGGGAAGGTGGGGAGGCTGAAGGGACCCCATCTGCCTACATAGCACGCATGCACACACACACATACACAAACAAACACACACACACACACACACACACACGGGGCAGGCCTCCAATATCCAACAGCGAGGCAGAGGGCGAGGCAAGGGGTATCACTATTTGAGGATCCTCAGGCCACAGCCTTATGCTGCCTGGGAGGAAGGCACCAGCTAGAAACAGCTAGAGCAGGGCTTCTCAGCCTCAGCACTGCTGACATTGGAGGATGGAAAGTTCTTTGTTGGAGGGTGGGAGTCTGTCATGCGTGATGTAAGGTGTTAAGAGGCAGCCCTGGCCTATAACCCCTAGATCCCAATAGACACCTTCTGGATGTGACAACCAAAAATGTCTCCAGATGCTGCCACCTGTGTCCTGGGGCAACAGCACCCCCATTGAGAACCATGACCTACAGTGAGGTGCTGGCATCCCCTGGACTCTCCCAGCTGGAGCTGAGCTGCCCTTCTGTGCATAGGTGCCCTGGCACATGGGGTCAGGGTCCTGGCATGGAAGGAAGGGGTAAAGAGCTGGCTGGCCACCCCTCGCTCCCTCTTGGGGGTCCCTCCAGCCCCCTTTCTCATAACAATTCAACTAGAAGGCGCTTCCTGCTGTACAGGCCACCTTCCTTGATGCTCTGTTGGATCCTCAGCCCGGGGCAGGTACAACACCTCCACTGCGCAGAGAAGTCAGAGGCTCAGAGAGAATGATTCACTCCCGCCTCCTCTGATCAGTCCTGCTAAAACCATTAGCCAAGAGGTTGAGGCCACTGGTGCCAGAGGACATGGGGTGGTGCTCCTTACGACCTGCTTCCCACAGATGCACGCGGTCCTGCACGCAGCCCGTGCCCCCACCCTGGCCTGGGAGGCCCCCTCCTGCTTTAGGACAGGTTCTTCCCGACATGAGGGGACCGAGTGTGGCCTCAGGATTTGCTAGTCAGTAGCAGGGAAAGGCAGGGTGGTGGCAGATGGGAGGGAGAGAGGCAGCAGGGAGCATCCCCAAGGGTCAGTGCTGGTGCTGGGCAGCGAGAGGCACAGCTGGCTCCTTGTGCCTTGAGTTGACAACCTCGCAAAAATTATGTCAATTAAGACTAATAAGTTCAAAGTGTAAGGGGAAAGGCGGAAAAAAGATGCAAAAGTCTCTCAAACCGTGACTGGCTTGGTTTCCATAGCAACCTGTTTGCTCACACTCTCCGTAACGGGTCCTGGCTTGGGGAGAAAATGGGTCCCCCACTCCCGAGGAAGCTGGAGATGGACGATGGGTGTGGCCTCGCTGGACCTGGGCTGAGGACACCGGTGCAGGGGGCAGGCAGGGGAAACTAGGAGCTATGAGAGAGTCACGCAGCCACAGAACACCTCAGCTGGCATCCAGGCCAAGCCCTGTCTTACAGGGGGGACATGGTGGCCCTGAGTGGAAATGACTCCTTGGGGGACATGGCATGAGTTCACATCAGAATTAAAATTCAGACCCAGGCCCCCTGAGTCTCCGTGCAGTGCTGCTTGGATCTCACTGGGCTCCCCAGCTCCTCAGCATCCTGGCGTGATCAGAGGCAAAGGTGCCAACATCAATTTCACTCAGTGTCATTTCCCTGGTCAGGCTGGGCCCCTGGGAACAGGAGAGGGACTCGCCGGGTCAGGGATGGGAACATTGCCAGGCCCGGCATCCCCAGGTCACATGTTCTGTCCTCACCTCTCTCTTCTGATGAGATGTTTGCAGAGTTCCCTCGGTGTCCTTGTTTGATTGCAGGATCACACAAGGACGTCACAGCCCACAGAGAGCTGTAGGTGGGACGGGGAGGACATTTCTATGAAACTGTGGAGCTCTCTGAAGCTGGGGCAGGCAGGGCGATGCTGCTGTCTCTCAAAAGCACCCTGTGTGCCCATGCACAGCTCTGGATGTCCATCCATAGTCCACAGAGCATGACCCCACACACAGCCATGCACAACATGCCTTCATTAGTGTTAATGCATTTAATTCTCACAAGGAGGGCTGTGAGGATCCAAAACACCTATTGCTTTGCTTTTACTTAATACAAAACACTTAATGCCTCCCATTTTATAGATACAGAAACTGAGGCCCAGAGAGGTAAAGTGACAAGTCCAGGGTCACACTGCAAATTAGCGGGGAGCTAGGGATGTGGACCTGCCACCAGCTCCTCTGCATGGAACAGTCTGGAATGCACAGGTGCGCACACACAGCCACACCCTCACTTCTTCCTGTCATCTCCTCCCACTTCCCAGCAACGGATGCATTTTCCATGGCCCATCCTGGCAGCCCTGGGGCCCCGCTGGCCACATCCGCCCAGACTCTCCAATGTGCCGCACAGAACATGCAAATGAAGCACTCGCCGCCGCCTTTAATGAAAGGCTCCCGAGGAAAGCTCTTCCCTGATGAACTGAGGCTATTTATTTCCACCACAAGGAAATTTAACATGCAAATTAGGAAGGGTTTCATCATTCATCACCTGAGATTGACATATTTGAATTTGGCCTGAATCCCTGGTTAACGGGTGCACAGACATGGGTGCAGGCCATGTGTGGCCCACAGTCCTTGGGGAGGGGAGGGTGGGCTCCATCGGAGGCACATATGTTTTTTATCTGGAATGGTTCAGTGCATGGAAATGAGAGTTCATTCTTTTTCCGCACACAGCTGGGCTGGAGACCCCGCTTACCCTGAGAATCTCCCGCTTTCCACCCCCTCCCAGGTCCTCCTGCGCCCGGCCTTGGCTCTCAGCCAGGACACAGAAACTAATTAGATCTTGACTCAGTTATGCGCTCAGGCAGGCAAATGGTCTAGACAGACGCCTGGGGAGTTGGTAATGACCCCTGCTTCCTGGGGGCTGCCGTGGCGCCTGACTCCCCTCCCCGCCCCCAGCCCATTCATAGGATTCCTCAGTGTGGGAGGGTGCAGGTACCTCTCCCCTGTGTCTTCGTCGCCCTGAAGAGGAATATCTGCAGTGGGCCATTTGGCAGGGGAGCTGGGGTTTCTGACTTACCAGTCCAGTCTTCTCCCAGGGTCGCCCAAGTCCGCTGGGATGGCAGAGACTCCTCCTGGGAGGGGGTTGAAAATAGGGGTTTTGGCTCTAACTGGCAGCCCCTGGGGGCTGAGAGATGCTGGTGTGTTCTGTAACTCAAGATAAACAGAAGGCATAGGAGGGGGTTCCAGGCACTGGTGGGCTCACAGACAGCTGGAGAAGGAAGAGGCTGTTCTTTCTGCAGAATGAAGACTAGTGACTAAGAGAGACAGTCTCTCCAGGGGAGATAGGGCACAGTCCCTGGAGGCCAACCCACAGCACATCCACAGGCTCCAGCCACCGCGGCACTCAAACACCATGGGCCTGGGAGTGCACAGTGAGGTCCTGCCTGCAGGAGCGTGCCGGCCGGGCCACAGATAGCTACTCTGCTCAGCTACCTACTGCTGCTTAGGAAACCAAATCAGCACTCGGTGGCTTAAACAACCGGGATTATTATTCCCCCTGGTCTCTCCTGGGCTGGCCATGAAGTTGTGCCCATCTGGCAGTCGGCTTGGGCTGGGCTTGGTGGGGACAGCTGGGTGCAGGATCTCTTTCTCCACGTGGTTTCTCCTCCTTGGTAGCATGGTGGGCCACCATGGTGTTGGGGCCCTGATCTTAGAGGGTGAATGTAGAAGCTACAAGGACCACATTCTGTCAATGAAAGCGAGGCATGAAGCTGGCCCAGATTTCGGGAGTGGGGAAATGGACTCCACATCCTGATGGGGGTCACTGTAAAATATCAGAGCTGTGCTCCTCAGTCCCCTCCTGGCCTCCTCTCAGATCTGGCCATTACCCCAAAGCCCACACCGACCACCTTTTCCAGATGGCGGCTCGCAGGCGGGTCCCCAGCGCTTCCTTAGCACAGTTCTGGTCCAATTCTCCCACTTGGTATCTCTGAAGGCACCCGCAAGGGTGACTTTGGAACACCCAGAGAGAATGGGCAAGGATTGGAACTGAGTCACGGAGGACAAAGAGCAGAAAGCTCAGAGCTGGTGGGATTGAATCTGGGACCTGCTGCCTGTGATCTGAGCAGACGTTGAGGAAGGTAGAGAGAGGGGCCAGGCACAGTGGCTCACGCTTGCAAGCACAGAGACCTGTGCAACATAGCGAGACCTCGTCTCTACTAAAAATAAAAATGTTAGCTGGGCATAGTGGTGCACGCCTGTAGTCCCAGTTCCTTGAGAGGTTGAGGTGGGAGGATCGCTGGAGCCCAGGCGGTCAAGGCTGCAGTGAGCCGTGATCGTGCCACTGTACTCCAGCCTGGGTGACAGAGCAAGACCCTGTCTCAAAAAAAAAAAAAAAAGCCAAAAAACAGAAAGGCAGAGAGAGGAGTTGGCTCTGGGGCGTAAGGCTCCCAGCAGCCAGGGTCATAGCTTCTGACACCTGGGACTGAAGCTCCCCAGGCTGCTTTGCTGGGCCAGGGCTTGTCCTAGATAAGGATATGTTGAGCCATGTCAGGGTGCTGTTAGAGGATGCTGAGAGCAAGGACAGATGAAGGAGTAGTAATAACATTAATAATAATGGCAACAGCTAACTCTTAAAGATTGCCGACTATGCCTTACGCCAGCCCATATCCTAAGCACACTACATGTATTAACTCATTTAATCCTCACACTGGATCTTCAGGTAGGGGCTATAGTAGGGTGGTTAAGAGCACAAAATCTAGAAGCCCACTGGGGCTCTGCCAACTACTGGCCATGCAAACTTGGGCAAGTTCCTTAACATCTTTGTTCCTTGGTTTCCTGATCTTTTTTATCTGCCACATTTGGATATTATTATTTCTGACCTCGTAGGGTGGTTAATAAGGAGTAAATGCATTATCACATGTGAAATGCTTAGAACACTGCCTGGGGCCAGGTGTGGTGGTTCACGCCTGTAATCCTAGCATTTTAGGAGGCCAAGGGGTGGTGGATCACTTGAGCTCAGGGGTTCGAGACCAGCATGGACAACATGGCAAGACCCTGTCTCTTAAAACATAATAATAATAATACAAAAATTAGCCAAGTGTGGTGGTGCATGCCTGTAGTCCTAGCTACTTGGGGGGATCACTTGAACCCAGGAGGTCGAGGCTGCAGTGAGCTGAGATTACCCCACTGCACTCCAGCCTGGGTGACCAAAAAAAAAAAAACCCATCTCAAAAAAAAAAAAAAAAAACACTGCCTGGCCCATATTAGTAAGTATTGTTACAACTCCTATTTTATAGATAAGGAAATGGAGGCACAGAGAGATTAGGCAGCTTGCCTAAGGTCACACAGCAAGTGGAATACCCAATCAAAAACCCTCCTTCTCCACCTGTGTCTACCATCCCTTAGAGCAGAGCTACCTGGGCAGAGCAAAGCCGAGTAGTTTGACTTGGGACGCCTTTGTGCTGTGCTTTATCAGGGTGCCCTCCAGCCCTGCAAGCAGTGGGCCTGCCCCGGCTTCTTGATCACCCACTGTGAGTTAGACAAAGTGTCAGGTACCAGGGGCACTCCAAAAACAGGTGGAGCTTGCAGCCTTGCTAGGGAAGTCAAGACAGGCCGCCAAAAAAGTCAGAACGCAACCCCAGAGAGCAGGGCGGCTCTGAGAAAGGACACAGTTCTCAAGCTCTGGTGCTCAGTCGTGGAGGAAGGCCCGGGGTGGTGGTGTAAGAAGTCTGCTGTGAACTAGTCAAAACCAGGGCCACGTGGCAGGTTCTCATGATGGTAAATCCACTCTTTGCAGAAAACTCTGTGCCCTTTGTCCTCTTTTGATGTTAAAAATGGCCTTTTTAACAAAGAAAATGAAATCTGCATGACAGATTTTTTGCTTTTGTTGTTTCACTTTTTTGTTGGCCAAATTAAAGTTAGCTACTCTACCTAGGTTGAAATAGACATTGATGATATAGCGGTGGGCATAAGTATAGATACAGATCCCAGAGCAGAGAGCCTCAGCCACACCTGAAGCCTTGCAGCAGATATAGAGGGTCAATGCTGGCCTTCAGGCAGGGCTGCCAACAGCAGGCACACCAGGGCGGCCTCTTTCCAGCATCCCTTGACCTACCAAGCTCGTTATAGGGAAGAACCTGGAGACTGTGGCTCATCCTCCAGCCTTATCAACATCCAGTAATCCTGGAACATCTGGTCTAAGGAAACCCAGAGCCTGGTGAATCCCAGAGAGCAGGACTCAGCGGGACAGGAAGCTCCGGCCATCTGGGCGGTGCTTGGCAGGGTTCATGCCATCACAACTCACCAATCCCTGCCTGGTACCCCCCTCCAAGTTAATGCTTCCAATCCACTTACCCCGCCACCTCCAATCGTAGTATGAATTAGCTTGACAAAGTCATTCCTCCCCAAAGATGACCAAGTCTTCATTCCCTTAAGGTCCCTGGGATTTGGAGATGCTGAAAGACCTGATGTTTAACTCCTTCCCTCTGGCCTCCAGGGAACTGACCACTATTGTCTTCGTGGGTAGCAACAGGAAATGAATGGACTCGAAGTAGAGCTGGGGAACAGTGCATTTCTAAGCCAAGTGTGGCAGCAGCAGTAACGTTTTCACCTAAACACAAGCAGCTGCTGATACCACAGTACATGGAGACAAGGGTATTGCTATTGCTTTTGTTGTTGTCATTATTACTGCTAATTCCCAGTGCCTAACACAGTGTCTGGCATGGTGTAGCTCCAGTATGGGTAGAATGATTCATAACAGTGGGAAACCACATAAGGACACATTTCGTGACTGCTTACCGAACGTCAAGCGCTGTGCTAAGCACTTTGCAGTCAGTTCTGCTGCTGTGTGACGGATACGTTGGTAGAAATCACCATGCTATGCCAAACTGTGCGATAAAAAACAAAGGGCTTACGGGGGAAATGGAGTGGGGGCAGCAACACGCAAAAACTTCATTAGCAACACATTAAAAAAGAAAGGAACTTAATGAAGATAATTGCACAATTTTACACATATTAAATGGTTAAGAAACGCATAACTACTATAATACTTATGGCACTTTGCCTTGGAAAAGGCTCCCAGTGTGCTTGCGGAAGTGGGTGTCAGAAGGGGTGCAGCTTATAAGTTACTGTTAAGTGGTAGAAGGAAGGTTGTCGGAAATTGGAAAAAAAAAAAAAAAAGTTGCAACACCAGGTGTGGGTGTGTAACATTTGCAGTGAGCTGGGGACCCCAGAGCTGTGTGCATTTTGTGCACAACTGTGCATCCCACCTCAGCTGGGTGCAATTTTCTGTATTGACTCCTGCTTCTTGCAGACAAAACTGTGCACAGCAAATGCAAAATCCACAGATGCTCATATCGTTCTCTAATATATCAATCGCAGTGGAACAAATGTGTGTTTGAAAACAAGCCTTACAGCGAGCTGCCTGAACTTGTATTTTCTATAAGACAGCCATCTTGGCCGGGCGTGGTGGCTCATGCCTGTAATCCCAGCACTTTAGGAAGTTGGGGCAGGCGAATCACAAGGTTAGGAGATCGAGACCATCCTGGCTAACACGGTGAAACCCCGTCTCTACTAAAAAATACAAAAAATTAGCCAGGCGTGGTGGCAGGCGCCTGTAGTCCCAGCTACTTGGGAGGCTGAGGCAGGAGAATGGCGTGAACCCAGGAGGCAGAGCTTGCAGTGAGCCGAGATCGCGCCACTGCACTCCAGCCTGGGCGACAGAGCAAGGCTCCGTCTCAAAAAAAAAGGGACAGTCATCCTTACTTTGCCCGTTATACAGATGGAGTGTCCGAGGTATAACAAGGTTCTATCCCTTGTCTGAGGTCACGTGCTCAGTGAGTGACAGAGCTGGGACCAGAGTAAAGGGTTGTCTGAAGCCACAGCCGAGGTTGTTAAAGACTGTGACTCTTTGGGGCTATGATCAGCCTTTTCATTAACTATGATCAAAGTCATCTCACAGACTGGGAACCTGAGGACCGATGAGGCAGCACCCTGACCTCCGTCATCACCTAGACCCGTTTCCCATTTGAAGCCTTGATTCTGACCTCCCATCTCCCTCACACCCGTGGCTCCATCTCATCACAGAGCATGGTAAAGTTGTGTGTGCAAGGACTCACCCTGGGAACACCACACATGCAGATTCTGATCAGCAGGTCTGGGGTGGGGCCCAAGATTCTGCATTTCTGACCCGCTCCCAGGTGACGCTCCTGTGGCTGGTCCCCACACCTCACTGTGAGCAGCAGGGCTGTGGAACGCCTTCCACCTCTTACCCTGGCCCTCCCGCCCCATCTGTCAGTTGCCTGCTGGCTGAACCTGCTTCCCCAGCCAGTGGACCCAGTCATCACCATCTCAGCCTCCCTCTTGCCAGTGTCTTCAGCCCCCTGGCATTGGGGTCCATCTGTCACAGCTTCCTGGAAGAGCCCCAGCCTTGGGTCAGCCCAACTTTCAACCCACCTTGCTCCTTCCATAAGGCTACTGAGCCCTGCTGAAGAAAGCCAGCCACCTGTGTAGATAGCACCTGTACAAAGTCAAGGTACTGGCTGGGCACAGTGGCTCACACTTGTAATCCCAGCACTTTGGGAGGCTGAGGCGGGTGGATCACCTGAGGTCAGGAGTTCAAGACCAGCCTGGCCAACATGGTGAAACCCCATCTCTACTAAAAATACAAAAATTAGCCGGGCATGGTGGTGCGTGCCTGTAGTCCCAGCTACTCGGGAGGCTGAGGCACGAGAATCACTTAAATCTGGGAGGCAGAGGTTGCAGTGAGCCGAGATTGCGCCATTGCACTCCAGCCTGGGCGACAGAGTGAGAGTCCATCTCAAAAAAGCAACAAATAAAAAACAAAGTCAAGCTACTGCCCTCACCTGTGCCTTCCCACAGTTTCCCAGTCAGGTTACTCATCCTCAACAGATGCTGTTTTGAACCGCCAGCCCACCGCCCCTCCCTTCACTGCCCCCTTCCCCAGGAAGTAGGAGCATTGTAAGGAATTGATTTCTCCCACTTCCTGTCACCCTGCTTCAGTTAACTCTGCCCTACCAGGCCTCTCCTTCTGCCAGGGACTGCACTCCACTGGGTACAGGACCCCAGACCCTCAGGAGCTGGCTGTTGGCTCCATCACTTGCCCTCTCTTTCTGCCTCTTTTTTTTTTTTTTTTTTTTTTTAGAAGCAGAGTCTCACTCTGTCACTCAGGCTGTAGTGCAGTGGTGCAATCATAGCTTACTGTAGCCTCCAACTCCTGGTCTCAAGCAATCCTCCTTCCTCAGCCTCCCAAGTAGCTGGGACTACAAGCACATACCTCCACACTTGGCTAATTGTTTTATTTTTTGGTAGAGATAGATTCTTGCTATGTTGCCCAGGTTGGTCTCAAACTCCTGGCCTCAAGCCGTCCCCCTGCCTCGGCTTCCCAAAGTGATGGGATTACAGATGTGAGTCACTGCTCTCAGCCTCTACTTCTCCTAACTGCTCCCACCACCAATGTTTAAACCTGCTCAAGTCTCACATCTTTAAAAACCAAAGTCCCTCCTATAGACTTCCCTCTGCCCCACATTCCCTCTCTTGCCGGGAGCCACTCTCCTCTTTTTAGCACACAACTTTGCATTCTCCACCTGTCCAGACCCCTCCTCTCCTTGCCAGCTGTGCCCACTGAAACTGCCGCCTACCCCAGACCATCAGGTGCCCCCTCATGCTAGCACCAGTGACATCTTTCCACTGTCCCCTGGCCCCCCAGCATCATTGTACATGGTCAGCCCCATCACCTCTCTCCAGTCTATGGCAAAGACCAAATTGGCCTCTAACCCTGTGGCCTTGACCAACTCCAGTTCCCTCTCCAGTCTGCAGTCAGAGTGACCTTCGTACACATGTAAACCTGCCTATTTTGCACCAGGGGTTGGCAAGCATTTTCTGGTCCAGGACAGACAGTGAATGTTTGAGGGTTCACAGGCCACACAGTTTATGGCAACCTTCAACTCTGCCTGTGCAGCAGGAGAGCAGCTGCAGACGCTGTGTCCACAAATGTGCATGGCTGTGTCCCAGTAAAACTATTTATGGATACAGAAATTTGAATATCATATAATTTTCATCTGACATGAAACATTACACTTGATATTGTTATATTTTGCTAAAAATGTGTGAACTCTTTCTTCCTGGTACACCTATTGTAGAGGCTGTGGCTGTAGATTTGACCCATGAATATAGTTTGCTAAGCTCTGTTTTATAGCCCTGGTTAATACCCTCAGCATATTTCTACTATCCTCAGGAAAAGGCCCAAATTCTTCAGCCCAGCCCATAAGGCCTGGTGGGGACTGGCCCAGCCATGAAGTCCAGCCTCCCCGTTATCCCAGCCAGGCTCTTTCTCTGGCCAGCACCACAGTCGATGTCTCAGGAATCTCTGTCTCTGACATCTACTTATCACGCCTGGCACTCTTCAACCATCCTTGCCTTCCCCTCAGGATCAGCACTGGACAGCACCTCCTCCTTTTCTTCCCTCGCCCCCTCAGCCTCCATCAGCACCTGCACTTACCTGAGCCTTCCTGCCCTCAGGAGGGAGGTGGAGAGGCCCAGCTCCCACCTCTCCACATACACACACCCTACCAAGTCCCGCCCATCTCTAAGTCACCCCACGGCTCAAGCCTCAGCTGTTATGAGTTGAATTGTGTCTCCTCTAAAAATATATGTTGATGTCCTAACGCCTAGTGCCTCAGAGTGTGACCTTATTTGGAAATAAGGTCATTGCAGAGGTAATTGGTTCAGCTGAGGTCATACTAGACTAAGGTAGTCCCTAAAGCCAATACGATGGGGTCCTTTTAAGAAGACAGGAGAGCCCAGGCACAGTGGCTCATGGCTATAATCCCGGCACTTTGGGAGGCCAAAGAAAGAGGATCATTTGAGCCCAGGAGTTCAAGATCAGCCTGGACAACATAGTGAGATCCCATCTCTATTAAGAAAGAAAAGTGGGGGAGGAGAGAAACCCAGAGAAGAGAACACCAAATAAAGGCAGAGGCAGAGATTGGAGTGATGTGGCTGCAAGCCAAGGAACACCTGGGGCCCCCAGAGCTGAAGGAGGCAGGAAGGATTCTCCCTGGGATCCTTCATGCAGGGCATGGTGCTGCTGAGCTTGACTCAGACTCCTGGCAGCCAGGGCTGTGGAAGAAGAAATTTCTGTCGTTTTAAGGCACCCAGGCCATGGTGCTTTGTTACAGCAGCCCTGAGAAACAAATACGCCCCTGGATGCCCCAGTGTCCTGCTTCCCTCAAACAAGTAGGGCCTCTCGCATCAGGGAACCCACTCACTGTGAGGGAAGAGGCTTCTCAGCCAGCACCACTGTGCATTCAGCAGGTCTTATTAGGAGGCCGCTTCTCCCAGTTTGAGAAGCAACTGAGTCTCCCCTGCACACCTGGGAGGCTGGAGTGAGCCCGGAGAAGTGGGTCCATGGGGCTGCTCTGGCCACCCACCATGATTCGGCCACAGAGCCCCAGCCCCTTGGTTCCCTGAAGCCTGGTTTCCATGCAGCCTCTTTATCAGCTTGTCTTAATTTGGTTTCTTTCTGATCCACCTTGGCATGAAAAGAATCATAAAGAATTTCAGCCGGGTGCCAGGAGCCCGGGACAAAGGAGTCCTCCCCAACCCCAGGAGTGGGAGCTGGGTGGCGAGGCTTTCCTCCCCGAGCCGGAGGAGCGGGGAGCGGTGAGGAAATTCTAAAGCACAATTGTAATCGAGGTGAGAGGAGATGCTCCTTTCATTTTGCTTTTCTGTTTTCTTGTTTTTTAAAAAATAAAATAAAATAACCACACTGCCTCCCTCAAATCTCAGCATTTCTTTTTTCCCAGCCATTTAAACTGAAGACTGAGTTTTAACTCCTTATACCCTGGACAGGGCTTGTCTTCTGTGGTTTTTCATTCCTTTCTGCTCCTAGTAATAAAACGTTCTGTCTGGCTGGGCGCAGTGGCTCATGCCTGTAATCCCAGCACTTTGGGAGACCGAGGCAGGTGGATCACTTGAGGCCAGGAGTTTGAGACCAGCCTGGCCAACGTGGTGAAACCCCAACTCTACTAAAAAAAAAAAAAAATATATATATATATATATATATATAAATATATATATATATATATATACACACACACACACACACACATATATATATACATATACATATATATACATATATATACACATACATATATATACATATATATACACATACATATATATACATATACACATATACATACATATATACATACATATATATATACACACACACATACACACACACACACACACACACACACACACAAAGATTAGCCAGGTGTGGTGGTGCACGTATCTGTAGTCCCAACTACTCGGGAGGCTGAGGCAGGAGAATTGCTTGAACCAGGGAGGCTGCAGTGAGCCGAGATCGCGCCACTGCACTTTAGCCTGAGCAAAAGGATGAGACTCCATCTCAAAAAAAAAAAAAAAAAAAAAAAGTTCTGTCTTGTGTCGGTGCAGAGTTGTCCGCGGGTCGCCCCACTCTCCTCCCATCTATGTAGCGGCTCTCTCCCAGCTGGGCTCAGACACAGCTCCTGCATCAAGGCAAGGCCTGGGCAGCTCCCCAGAGGAATTTCTTTCTGGATTGTGAAGCAAAAACAAGCAGAGAAGACCTACCGCAGAGCAGTCTTGAGGGCCCCAGGACGGGTCAGGGCGGGCAGGTATAGGGCAGGAGCACGGATGGGGTCACATGGGCCTGAAAGGGAATCACTTTGCTGCCTCCTAGCTGGGTGACTTCAGGCCACATGCTCAACCTCTCTGAGCCCAGGTCCCCTGGCTGTAAAATGGGAAGAGGAGTCCCTTCCCCTGTAGTTGACCTGGGAATGAACCAGATAGCGTGTGTCAAGTGTTTGGCTCACAACCCGATGCTGCTACTGTGGTTGTTATTTAGGGAGGGATCCCTGCTTATTTTCTCAAGCAGTGGGAGTCCCGCTCACCCAGGAGGAGTAGCCGTCTTGGGCTCCCAGCCCTGTCCTGCCCTCATCTCACCTCACTGGCTCCCTCAGCTCTCTCCTTTGCTTTCTCATCCAGCCAGACCTCTGTGGGGACCACTGGGCTGATGGATCACAGTTTAATGAAGTCCTTATCCTTGTTCATTGAGAGCACTTAATTGGCCCAGAAGGTCCCAGGGCCGACAGACGCCTTCCCCCAGCCATCGCAAGCCAGAGCTGTCACCGGGATAGCGGCCCCCAGCTCGATAACACCGCCATCCTCTCATTGACCGCAGGGCCGGGGGATCAATCGGAGCCTCACGGGCTTTTCTGGCAAAGCGGGGGAGGCTCAGTGGTGGCCAGCAGGCCCTGAGACATCTCCTCCCCTTATGAAGCAAACCGCCCAGCAGCAGGTGCTTGTGCAAGCCCCAGGTTGTGCCTCGGCTGAGCAGCCGCTTTCAGACACATCTGTATCCTGCCCTGCTCAGCCCTATGAGGAACCAGAACCAACAGGAGACAGACCTGCTTCTTCTTCTTTTTTTTTTTGAGATGGAGTCTTGTCACGCAGGCCAGAGCACAGTGATGTGATCTTGGCTCACTGCAACCTCCAACTCCCTGGTTCAAGAGATTCTCCTGCCTCAGCCTCTTGAGTAGCCAGGATTACAGGCACACGCCACCATGCCCCACTAATTTTTGTATTGGTAGTAGAGGTGGGGTTTCACCATGTTGGCCAGGCTGGTCTTGAACTCCTGACCTCAGGTGATCCTCCTGCCTCAGCCTCCCAAAGTGCTGGGATTCCAGGCGTGAGCCACCACACCCGGCCTATCTCCCATATTCTACGGTCGGTGTATTAGTCGGGGTTGTGCAGAGAAGCAGAAGCAATGGGAGAGAGACAGATGCACGAGGTTCGTTATGGGACTTGGCCCATGTGGTTATGGAGGCCAGCCAAGAACACCAACTGCCGCCTGCAAGCTGGAAACCCAAGAAATCCAGTACCGTAATTCAGTCTGGGCCCAAAGGCCTGGAAACCGAGAGCCCATGGGTGTAAGTCCTAGAGTCTGCAGGCCGGGAACCAGGAGCCCCAGCGTCCAAGGGCAGGAGAAGATGGGCATCTCCTCCCAAGACAGCACATTCCTCCTCCCTCCGCCTTTTTGTGCCATCCGAGCCCTCAGTGGATTGGATGGTTCCGTCCTGCGTTGGTGAGGGATCCGGCTACGTCCTGCGAGGGGAGAGGGCTTTCACCACTCTGTCTCCTGTCTTTCTGTCTCTCTCTTTCTCTGTCTCTGTTTCTCTGTCTCCCTGTCTCTCTCTTCTTTACTCCATCTGCTGATCCAAATACTGATCTCTTCTAGAAACACCCTCACAGACACACCCAGACCATCCTTTACCAGCTGTCTGGGCAGGCATCCTTCATCCCAGTCAAGTTGACACCTAAAATTAACCATCACATCAGAGTCAGGGGTTCCTCCCTGTTCTGTCCACTGCGGGTACCCCCTCTCCACCCTCAGGTTCCCTAGAAGGTGGGGGGAACACACTGTGCCCAAGTCCCCCCTCCTCCGAGGGACACAGAATCCTTCCCTATCCCAGTGTCTGTCCTCTGGGAGGGGACAAGTCCAGGGCCCTCCCCCACCTTCCAAGGATTCTGGAACCCCGTGCTCAGCTCGCCTGGGCTTGCCTGTCCCCTCCCCAGTGCCTGCTCCAGAACCAATTCCGGATCTTCCCCTAACCCTTCCCCTCCTGAGGCTGCTGCCTCCCCTTCAAATGGCGGCCCTGTAGCCTCCCAGCCAGGAGCACAGCATCCTTCCCCAAGTACCATCCACAGAACAGGCTGTGCCTGTCACCAACTCTCACCGAAGATGTGGGAGGGGAATTACAGCACAGGACAGAAACTGCTTAAAATAGAAAAACAGACATTGCTGTTCCTGAGGTGCCCTGGCTGTCCTCACCACAGGGTGCAGCTGACATCACCCTCCCTGGCCAGCCTGCTCCCAACTACCCGGCCTCTGGCTGTGTCCTACATGGGGAGAGGGCTTTACCTCTCTGTCTCTGTCCCCTGTCTCTCTTTGTCTCTTTCTCTGACTCTGTTTCTCTGTGTGTGTCTCTCTCCATCTCAGCCTCCCTGTCTCTCTCTCTTTCTCCCTAGATCTCTCTGTCTCTCTGACTGTCTCTCTCTGTCTCTGTCTCTCATTTTCACCCCCACTCACCCCCAGCAGATCCTTAGGGCTGCTACCAGAAGGGAAATTCAACATTACAGCCACTTGATCATACCGAACAGGTGAGCTCTGTTTGCCTCAACCCTTTCCATGCCTGAGCCTCTCCTTCCACAATCAAAAGATCCACTAAAGGGGCTGCCCAAGCCATCCAGCTCCTTCTTCCTGGGCCTCCAGTGTACTAGACTGGCCAGCACTCAGCAACAATTTTTGATTAACATGGCCTAGATCAAAATTTAGGCCCTGCCCAGAAATACTCTGCCTCTGTCTATGTGAAGCAGGAGGAGGTAGACAGCCGAACTATCCTCTTCTTACCCTAGGAATGAGAGACCCCAAGCCATCGGATACATATCCCGTTAGGTTCATGTTGTCAATGGGCCAGACTGTCCCATCATTCTAGGTACTTAGCTGTGTGACCTGGGGTAAGTTACTTTCTCTCTCTGGGCCCCGTTTTTCTCATCTGTGAACCGAGGTTTATGTTAGCACTGCCTCTGCAGTACTGTGAGGATCAGATGAGTGGATACGTTAAAGTCCTAGAGGGAGAGGAGCAGAAAAAAATAACTATTGGGTACTAGGCTTAATACCTGGGTGATGATAAAGAAAATAAAACTTAGGTCAGGTACAGTGGCTCACGCCTGTAATCCCAGCACTTTGGGAGGCCAAAGGAGGTGGATCACCTGAGGTCAGGAGTTCAAGATCAGCCTGGCCAACATGGCGAAACCCCATCTCTACTAAAAAATATTAAAAATTAGCCGGGCATGGGGGCAGGTGCCCGTAATCCCAGCTACTTGGGAGGCTGAGGCAGGAGAATTGCTTGAACCCAGGAGACGGAGGTTGCAGTGAGCCGAGATTGTGCCATTGCACTCCAGGCTGGGTGACAGAGCGAGACTCTGTCTCAAAAATAAATAAATAAAAATAAGACTTAAAAAATAAAATACAATTACAGCAATGTGATTAAAAAATATAAAGTCCTTAGAGCAGTGACATTTATTATAATAATAGTTATTATGTTAATTGCATAATGGTATATTGTTATTATTTATTACCTGGTACATGTTCTTTTCCCTTTTGATCGCCCTGGACAGAGTTTTGCCCGATTTCCTGAAGAATCTTTGCAAAAGCAAATCCACAAATATAGTCAGTCTTTTTCTAGCCGGCCACCAGTCCAGTGGCCAGGTCCTCGATCACCACCTAAGTCTTCCTGCTGCAGGAACAGGCCCAGTGTGTGCTCACAGGTGTCTGAGGACACACACACACACACGCACAGACATGCACATGCTCAGCACTTGCTGCTTCTCCTGCCTGCTGCCCAAAAGTCCATGGGGAGAGGGAAGGAAATCTGGGTTCCCGAGCTCAGTGGCCCACTGCTGTTCCTGGAACCTGTGTTGGCCTCAGACATCTGGGGCGACACCTGCAGGCAGCAGGCACACATGGTCCCCTGACCCCCCAGTGGACATGATGACCCACCTGCCTTCTCTACCTGAGCACAGTTCACTTGAGGAGAGGAGGCCTCATCCAAACATGTGTGTGCACAAATGTATGTGCACAGTCATGTATGAGTTTGCAGGGAGGTGGATTGCATGAGTTTGCATGTGTGTGCACAGCACGGCGTGCATGAATGTGCGTTGTACCATGGGTGAGTATGCATGAGTGTGCTCCGTGTATGTGCACAAGTGTGCACATGTGCACTCACACACACCTCCTTCCTCCATGGGAGCATCACCGCGTGCATCTCCAGGCGTCTGATTTATTAACGAGGACAATACAAGGAGAGTGTGCCTATTATTTCTGGTGTCCGCATCAGCTCCTGACAGCTTCGTGGAATTGAAATATCTTATTTAATGCGAGTAAGAATCATTTTAAATATCAACTGTGACACTCAAGGACTCGAACCAAAAAGGGCATTGTGTGTTTCCTCATGTGCTGGAGAAGATGCCACATTTGTTAGGCTGTTATTGTCCCCCCTGCTCCTCTCTTGTCGCTAAAAATCCAATTATCTGTCCTGGCTCTTCCTCCCACTGTTGTCTTGCGCCCTCCACCCTGAGCTCATCTCTTCATCTTCGAAGAGTGGACTGAGCCGCAGGGTCCTGCCGGATTAAAATCAGGACAATCTGTGATGGAGATGACGAGAACGGGTGTGGATTCTTGGCGTATCTTCCTTCACTGCCCTCTTTCTGCCCCCAGCCCCAAGCCCAGCCCCTGAGGTGCTCTCTCTACCGCCTGCTGCTTTTGACCATTGAACTGGGAGAAAGCAAATCTTCCTCCACCCGGAAGATTCCTCAATACTCTGCAGCTGTCAAAAAGCCCGAGGAAGCTCCATGCACAGCTACGGAAAGATTTTTGAGATACATTGTCACTTGCACAAAGCAAGGAGCAGAACAGTGCCTACAGGAGGCCATGTCTCCTGTTTATAATGGGGAGGGATTCTAAATGCGTATTTGCTTGCATTTGCATAAAGAAGTTCTGAAAAGACACTCAGGAAACTAATGACAGTCGTTTCCTCCCTGTGTATGTTGGGGATCAGGATGACAGGGCAGCTGGGGGACAAGGGTGGGAGAGACGTTTTGCTGTGTACTTTTTCTTTTCTTTGAATTTTGAATTGTGAATATATTTCCTATAATAAATAAATAAAGAGCAGTCCTTTGAAAGGACCTAGGGGTAGGTGAATGCAGGTGTGTGCTGGCTCCCAGAGGCCACAACCCAGCAGCTCTTCCTCGTTGAATAGAGATTAAGGTTGCAGGTCACCCAGCCACCGTCACTGTTCCTCATCCCTGGAGGAGCCAGGTTCCTGCTCTTCCACCTCAAGGAGGCACATGGAGGTGACTGGGAGGTTGAGGGGTCAGAAGCCGAGGAATGTGCCAGGCAGGGGACTCCATGCTCCCCTAGTGCTTGGCTGAAGCCCCTAGAGGATCCCCATTCTAGGGGGAGGGCCTCTGCTTCACCCTCCTCTCTGAGCCTCCCCGCCAATGACTCTTACATTTGCCCCTTCACTTGGCAAGCATTTGTGCAGGCATTTGTATCCACGGCCTCGCTGGATGCCCACATCAAAGATGGCCATCATTATTCCCATTTTACAGTCAGGGAAACTAAGGCTTGCAAGGTCCCATAACTTGCCTGGGCCACACATCTAAGAAAGAACAGAAGTGAAAGTCAAGTGTAAGTCCCCCTGAGGTGGAAGTCCTGGTGCCTTCTCCAACACTGCACTTCCTCTTGAGTGGATCAGGTGTGGACCCTTCAGCTCCGGCCCTGCTGCTCCTCCAGGAGCCATTTAATCCACCCCCCACCCCCGGGGTGACCTGGATGGGGCTGGACTCAGCCAGTCTCCTGCTGGGCTGGCAGCTACGGGTGAGTGGGGCAGGCAGAGCTGTGGGCTGAGTGTGTCTTGGTGGCCCAGGAGGGAGCGCATTGGGGATAATGAGTGCTGTTACTGTCATTATCGGAGGTGCTTACAGTGCGCTGGACTCACAAACCGAGAAGCTGGCCAAATGCCTCTTCCACCCGCCTGGGAGGCAGGGAGACGAGAGCTGCAATTTGGGTGGAGTGAAGTGGGTTTCCCTGGTAGGAAAGGCAGTGGGCGGAACTGTTACTTTAAATAATGTTGCCTACAAGCCAGAAATAGGTCTCCCAGGCAGGGAGCACCAAAGAGACAGCCCAAAGAAACGGAGGCGGAGGAGCGGGAGAGAGGTTGTACCCGCACTGCTGGGGCAGGGATTACCTGCCCTCGATCGCAGAGGGGTACAGAGGGCGGCCTGGGGGAGGGGAGGGGGCCAGCAGCCCACGGGCCTTCCTCATGGCCCTAATTAGACCCTAACTGGGACCTGGGTATTCCTGGCTGAAGCAAATAGACATAGTCCTCGCTACTTGGAAGGTTGAGGCAGGAGGATCGCTTAAGCCCAGGAGTCTGAAGTTACAGTGAGCTAGGATCTCGCCATTGCCCTCCAGCCTGGGTGACAAAATGAGACCCTGTCTCTAAAAAATAAAAAAAATGAAAAAGAAATGGGCTTTTATTAAAGTTTAAATTTCACCACGCCTCACTGACATCAGCAAACAAATCCAGATCCAATGAGCCCCTGGTGCCGTTTTTATAATGTATGCTTAAATTATGTGCACAATGTGCATCTTTTTATTTTACTTTTAAAATAAAAGCAATATATGCGTACGATAAAGAAAATTCTGATGGCATAGAAAGACATAAAATCAAAAAATAGAAGTTTCTTCCCTCCCCATCCCGGGTATCTCTCCCAAAAGGGAGATAACACATTCTGGAGTATCCGTCTTGAAAAAATTGTATGCCTATCCCAGTGTGTTTGTGTGGTTATAAGTGTGTGCGTTTGTGCTTGTGTATTTGTATACACACAATACACAGAAATATATATATACTATTTCAATTTACCCAAATGGCATCATAGCAAATACTATCATGTCATCACACTATTCTTTACCTTTTTTTTGTTTGTTTGCATTTTTGCAACAAACTTAAATTATTATTGGTTTTTTTGAGACAGAGTCTTTGTTGCCCAGGCTGGAGTGCAGTGGTGCAATCTCAGCTCACTGCAACCTCCACCTCCTGGGTTCAAGCGATTCTCCTGCCTCAGCCTCCCGAATAGCTGGGACTACAGGCGTGTGCCACCACACCTGGCTAATTTTTGTGTTTTTAGTAGAAACGGGGCTTTGCCATGCTGGCCATGCTGGTCTTGAACTCCTGACCTCAAGTGATCTGCCCACCTCGGTCTCCCAAAGTGCGGGGATTTTTATTGGACCAGTTTGTATGATGTAAAACATTAAGGGTTTGGTAGCCTGTATCAATGAACAGCAACCGATAAGAATATATTATCATTCTTGTCCCTAACAGTCAACTATGAGATTGTTTAGCATCTTGCTATCGCGTGCTTTTATTCGCAAACCTTCCCCTCCTCCCCAGCTCTTACTTTCTTTCCATGCTCTGTGTCTTGGACACCTTCCTACCTCCTCTCATAACATGTGTTCATTCTGTGGCTGCTGCATCATTTATTGATCCAATTCCATTTTGATGGACATTTAGTTTGCTTCTAGCTTTCGTTTGTTTGTCTCTGCGATGGCAAGCAAATGCTACAGTGAACAGCCTTGCACATATTTTTTTGTCACATAGTTGCTAGTGTATCTAAAAGGCCAGCTCGCTGGGAGCCATGGCTCACGCCTGTAATCCCAGCAGTTTGGGAGGCCGAGGTGGGTGGATCACCTGAGGTCAGGAGTTCGAGACCAGCCTGGCCAACATGGTGAAACCCCATCTCTACTAAAAATACAAAAATTAGCTGGGCGTGGTGGCAGGTGCCTATAATCCCAGCTGCTTGGGAGGCTGAGGCAGGAGAATTGCTTGAACCTGGTGGGTGGAGGTTGCAGTGAGCCAAGATCACACCACTGCACTTCAGCCTGGGCAAAAGAGTGAGACTCCATCTCAAAAAAATAAAAATAAATAAATAAAAGGCCAGCTCCTAGGAGCACAACCTCTGAGTCAAAGAGCTGGCATATTCTAATTTTCATAGACTTTTTCCCAAAGGCTGGACCAATTTCCAGTACCACAACAGTACTGCAGGTATACTTTCCCCTCCCCCTCACTCCTGCCGACACTGGGTTTGACCACACCTGAAAATCTTTGATGATCTGCTAGGCAAACATGGTCTTGTCGTCTTGATTTGAATTTCTTTCACTATGACGGAAGTTGAGCATATTTTCATGAGTTTATCAGCCATTTCTATTTCTTTTCCTCTCTCTGGTGCTTTTTAATAATATCTGATTCCATTTCCAAAGGCAGAGAGCTTTTCCGGCCCATCTCTTCTTCCATCTCCCCTCTAGGGTCACCCCATCACTTTACAGACTCAGACAGTTCCCCCACAGTGGCCTCCCCTCGCCTCGGGAGAGAGGGGACGCAAACAGGAGAGAGGGCTGAGGGTGGATTTGAAGATGAGGTGAACGGAGGAAGAGAGATTTACCAGAGCTTGGGCACTGCTGTCTCCCCGCCATCACACTGCGCACAGTAGCAAGAGACAGATAAGAGCTGCAGCCGGTGGCAGAGATAAGGGGCTTGGGCAGCCAGAAGGTTCTGGAAAATGCTGCAGAGCCAGAGCGAACTTGGCACGTGGCCAGTTGTGAGTCAGCCCTGCACAGACCCAGGATGGAGGGTGGGGCCCTTGGGATGTGACCTCAGCTTCACAGCCAGGCTTGGAGTCTGAAAGGCTCTGTGGGACTTTGCCTCTTACAATGTGTGAAACTTACAGGTTACTGACAAGATATTTCTGAGCCTCAACTTCTCCACCTCTAGAAAGAAGGTGCTAGTAGGGTTAGTGTGGAGATTAAGTCACAGGCTCTCAAGTGCTGACTGATGACAGTTTGCAACTGTCCTCATAAAAGTCAGGGTAGTGGGCTTTGTGTAAAATTTAAGTTTAAAAATTTGTTAAAAATTGGCTGGGTGCGGTGGCTCATGCCTGTAATCCTAGCGCTTTGGAAGGCAGAGGTGGGAGGATTGCTTGTGCCAAAGAATTCAAGACCAGCCTGAGAAACATAGAAAGACCCCCATCTCTTTTTTCAAAAAGTTTCTTTTTTTAATATAAAGAAGGAAAAATGTTTTTAAAATGCCTTTATGCTGAGATTAGGAGTTTTTTGTCATCCCAGAAATGTCCTTTTTAAATTAAATGCTGACCATTTCTATTTATTTTTCTTTCCCTGGCACTTTTTAATATTATCCCTTTTTAAGTGTTTTTGTTGTTGTTGCCTGATTATTTGTCTGTTTGCTTTCTGGTTGGTTGGTTTTAATAATCTTGGCAAAAGAAGAAGTTCACAGTCTCATGTTGGTCCCACTTTTTTAAGTGTTACTGGTTCATGATATTCAATAGGCTGGGAACTGCTGTGTGAAATGAAGAAACGTATGAAAAGTACTTAATACAGTGTCTGATGCAGAGATGGTGCTCCGGAAGGGGTGGTTGTTGTTTTATTCTTGGCAAGATGATGATGATGACAGGCCCTAGCCAGATCTCATGTATTAATAAAACCAAACTGGCATCTCCCAGGAATAAGGCTGCTGCATCCCAGGGTTGGCACATCTAGAGATACCCTAGAGGCAGGTGTCAAGGAACTTGTCCACCAGGTCTGCTGGGCAAACCCTAGGATACCAATGAATTGGAGAGAGGCATCCTAGGACATCCCTTCTTCCTCTGAGGGTCCTGTGGGACCATTGCCTAGGGATGGGAAAGGTGACCACCAAGGGTGAACCAGGAGAACTAGCCCCTGGACCCCGGTCCCCTTCATCCACTCCTGTCCCACTGTCAGAAGCTCCTCTCACTGACGTGCCTCCTCCTTGCCTCTCAGCTAGGTGAATGTACATACACCTGCTCCCAGCCGCCTGCCCCCCAATGCCAGAGTCTGCTGCTCTGTGGGTAACAAGTATTTCTGGAGTGGGCTTTCAAGGGGCCAGCCTGGAGTCCCACATCCTGTCCCCAGAACCCACAGAACACTAGCTTGTCTTATTCAGAAGGCTCTGCCCAACCCCGCCAGCCCAAAAGCTGCAGTGCAGCTGTATTATTAGTCCGTTTTCACGCTGCTGATAAAGACATACCTGAGACTGGGCAATTTACGAAAGAAAGAGGTTTAATGGACTCACAGTTCCATGTGGCTGGGGAGCCCTCACAGTCATAGCGGAAGGCAAGGAGGAGCAAATCACATCTTACATGGATGGCAGAAGGCAAAGAGAGAGAACTTGTGCAGGGAAACTTCCCATTATAAAACCATCAGATCACGTGAGACTTATTCACTATCACGAGAACATCATGGAAAGACCCACTCCCATGATTCAATTATCTCCCACCTGGTTCCTCCCACAACACTTGGAATTATGCGAGCTACAGGATGAGATTTGGGTGGGCATCAGGGGCTGTCTGTAATTTTAAGAAAGGAATGATACTGAGCATTTGGGAAAACATGTAAATTTCCCTGTCTCTGTCACCTCCATCCATTTCAACTAATATAGCACAGTCCTCTGCAAAGACAAAAAAAAATGCCCCCACCTTTCTCAGTCATGTGAGTCACAGGTCAGGGAGAATAGCTGCTTCCAACACAGCTGACACAGCCTTAGGGTCAGGGTCAAGGATTCGGGTGCAGCACCTTCCCTGCTTGGAGAAGGGCAGGCTAATTCCCAGGCAGCTGAGCAAAGGCCTCATTGGCTTTGGGAGGAACCCTCCTATTTATTGATAAAGACCTTTGTGTGATCCTATGACATGGCTAGAGAGTCAAGAGTTCCCTGGTACTCTTATTCCAAAAGAGGGTGACCTGGCGACCTCTGACCTCTGAGCCCAATCTGACCTCTGTACCCCTGCAGCTGCCTGACTTGCTCACTGGCTGTCTCGTCTGTCCCATAGATACATGATCACCAGCCTGGACCGCACCCACGCTGGCTTTTACCGTTGCATCGTGCGGAACCGAATGGGGGCCCTGCTGCAGCGGCAAACCGAGGTCCAGGTGGCCTGTGAGTACAATGGGGACCCAGGGGCAGGGGGGGCGACTGTGGTGCCAGAGTGGCACCCACCAGCCACATCCTGGGCAGAGCCAGATCCCGTCATGGCCATCAACACCCACTGAGTGCCCATGGTGCCCCTTCCAGCCAGCAACCTCATTTTGCAGTTGGTAGAACCAAGGCCCAGAGAGGTAGCAGGCCCTCTTCAAGGTCACGCAGCTGTAAGTCTCATGCACATCTGCTGACCCTGTGACCCCATCACATGTCCCGAGAGCCAAGAGCTCCCTGGTGCTTTTCATTCATTTTAGACAAGGGTGGCCTTGTCTGTGTCCTTTAAATGGGACCAGCTGATTTGTGTTTCAAAAAAGGGCCTTGCACCTGCTTCCAATGCCTCCTCTGTGGTCCACCTCACACCTGGGAAGGGGCATCTTCAGAATGGCCACTCTGAGCCTCTCCAGCTACAACCCTCTTCTCAGCAGACTTCCCAGGGCCTCCATGACTTTTATTTTGTTTTTGTTTTTGTTTTGAGTTGGAGTCTCACTCTGTCATCCAGGCTGGAGTTCAGTGGTGCAATCTTGGCTCACTGCAACCTCCGCTTCCAGGTTCAAGTGATTCTCCTGCTTCAGCCTCCCAAGTAGCTGGGATTACAGGCATGTGCCACCACACCCAGCTAATTTTTTGTATTTTTAGTAGAGATAGGGTTTCACCATGTTGGCCAGGCTGGTCTCCAACTCCTGACCTCAAGTGATCTGCCCACCTCAGCCTCCCAAAGTGCTGGGTTTACAGGTGTGAGCCACCGCGCCCAGTATGACTTTTATTTTCCATCCTCCAACTCGCTCAACCCTGGAGTGATAACAGCCTGAGGGTCTCCGTGATCTTCCGGGGGTGCTGGGAGGTGCCTCATGGTGAATGCTGAAACTCCAAGGGGAAGGGGAGAATGAGGAATGAATCAGGGTTCCCAGAAAGGCTGGGGGGCAGAGAGTGAAGTGGGAGGCCCTCACCAAGCCTTTGTGGGTAACGGCCTTCTCCCCCGTGCCGCCAATTCCAGAGGATCTCCCTCCGAAGAGGAAGGGAAGACAGCTTCAGAAGAACCCCAGGGCATCTCAGGGGCCAGGGTCCTAGAGTACCAACCGACACTCTTCCCCTAAGACCCAGTGTTACCTTCCCAGCCCTGTCCCGGCTTCCTCAAATATCTGCTGTCTTCTAGAAATGAGGCTCATTATGGGCTGTTGCATTCTGGGTTTTCCTAGGAGGAGAAGTCCCACGTTGTACTGTGGGACATAACAGGGTGGCAATCCTTAGGCCAGAATTTTTGTTAAGGCACCCTCTCATATGGAGCTCATGGGAGCATGCTTCTAAATTAGCACAAGAGAGAGCTTGCTACTTAAAGAGAAGTGCAGGAGAGAAATCTAAAAGAAAATCTCAAGTGAGGCAAAGAGTGTTTATGATAATTACGGAAAACAACCGTAATCAAAAGTGGAGGATGGATTGTCCCCATAAATCAGCACTAACGGCAACTCAACTTACTCCAAGGAGCAGAAAAAGCCCTGAATTAAAGTGATGGATCTCAGGCAGCTGTCAGCGGCTGGAGGGCTCCCCGGGAGCTTCGCTTAGTCAGTGCTGAGAGTCCAGGGGGCAGGGGGAAGCTGAGGCTGGGCCTCTAGAGAGACTGCATATGTGTGTGTGCATGAGTGTGTGCCAAGGTGTGTGCATGGGTGTGTGCAAATGTCTGTGTCCAGGTTGGTTGGCCTTTTTGTTCACATGTGTCTGGGAAAGAATGAGTGTGTATATGTGCGGGTGTGTGCACAAGGATATTTGTGTGTGTGTGTGTGTTTGCATGCATGCATGCATGTGTGCTTGGGTATATGTTTCTGTTGCCAGTCTGCCTCTCACCTGTGTATTTGAGAGAATGTGTATTGTAAGCATGAGTGTGAGTGAGTGCAAATGTGTGCCCTTGCATTGCATGTATTCATGTGTGTGCATTTGAGTATGTGCAAGTGTATACACATACATGTATTGGTTATGTGTTCAGATGTGCATGTCTGGAGTAATCTGCCTCTTTGTTTACCTGTGTGTGGGCCAGAACCTCTGTGTGTGTGTGTGTGTGTGTGTGTGTGTGTGTGTGTGTGTGCGCGCGCGCGCAGTCGCAAATGCCATTCAGGATGCCATTTAGTCCAGGCTGTGGGGTGGGAGTAGGTGGTAAGTTCCAAGCCCTTGGCTCATAGGAGACAGTAGAAACTTTCTGGAGTTGAGAGCCCCTGAGATGAAATGACACAGCCTCCCTGGGGTTGGCTCTGCCAATCAAAAAGAGAAAGGAAGGGAGGTCAGTGTTTCTGTGGCTGAAATGCTTCTCTTCATGGCTGTGATAGGAATCCCTGAGCCCAGACTCAGCTCCTTGATCCCCCTCCTTAGGCAAACTCCTTCCCACATACACACAAACCCAGGGTGGGGGGAACTCCCTCCACACCAGGCCAGACACGTGTGTGGTCCCTTCCCCTGGACCCACAGGTCCTTCTACCTTCACACTGGGGGAGGGGTGTGACCAGGCCCATCTGCAGGGCGAGCAAGCAAGTTGCACTGATCATGGGCAAAGGTCCTGGCATTTCCTAGGTGCTGCAGAGAAGGGCTCAGACAGACCTGGGCCCGCCCTCTGGGCACTTCCAGGCCATGAGAAGCAGATGGAAGGGGACTTGTGCTGCCTAACACCCTGACACCTGCTTCTGCCCAGGCACAGACCCTGGGGATGGGGGTACCCTGAGCTTCCCCTTCCCCACACTGCGGGTTCCAAGGGCCCTGGACCACCCTGGGTGATGCTGGCAGTGATGACCCTCAGTGGCAGTGACATATGGGGGCCTGGCTCAAGAGGGAGCTTCTGAGATCCAGGGAGTTGCTGAGCTCCAGGGTGACAGTGAAAGGGCTTTGCGGGTAGTGCCTTACAGTGTTGGCAGGCTGGGGGCTCATCACCATGACAGGCAGTGTGGCTTAATAAAAAGAGTGGTCTGGCCAGGTGCAGTGGCTCACGCCTGTAATCCTGGCACTTTGGGAGGCTGAGGTGGGCAGATCACAAGGTCAGGAGTTCGAGACCAGCCTGGCTAACATGGTGAAACCCCATCTCTACTAAGAATACAAAAATTAGCCGGGCATGGTGGCATGCACCTTTAATCCCAGCTACTCGGGAGGCTGAAGTGGGAGAATCGCATGAACCCAGAAGGCAGAGGTTGCAGTGAGACAAGATCATGCCACTGCACTCCAGCCTGGGCGAAAGAGTGAGACTCCATCTCAAAAAAAAATAAAAATAAGGCTGGGTGCGGTGGCTCAAGCCTGTAATCCCAGCACTTTGAGAAGCCAAGGCGGGTGGATCACAAGGTCAGGAGATTGAGACCATCCTGGCTAACACAGTGAAACCCCATCTCTACTAAAAATAAAAAAAAAATTAAAAAAAAAATTAGCCAGGCGTGGTGGCACATGCCTGTAGTCCCAGCTAATTGGGAGGCTGAGGCATGAGAATTGCTTGAACCTGGGAGGCGGAGGTTGCAGTGAGCTGAGATCATACCACTGCACTCTAGCCTGGGTGACAGAGCGAGACTCCATCTCAAAAATAAATAAAATAAAAAGAGTGGACTTTGGAGTCAGACAGACCACATTCACATCCTTGCTCTGTCCTGGATTGCTGTGTGACCCCAGGGAAGTGACTGGACCTCTCTGAGCCTCACCCCAGCTCAGGTTCTTCATCCCTAAAATGTATTAATAATATCGACCTCCTAGGCTCGTTGGAAGGATTTCTTGAGCTCATATGTGCCAAAGCGTCTAGCCAGCTCCCAAACAGTGCACCCTGCATCAGTGGGAGTGACTGCTGCAATTAATACTCTATATTATCACCTTAAGGAAGTAGAGAAGCAGGCCACAGAGCAGAATAGCCTTCAGTAAATGCTGTCCCAGCAAAATGCAGCAGGCTGGCACCTTCCCCGGTGCCATCCTGCCAGCCCGGCCCTGCCCCTCCACTACCTCTCACAGTAGGATTCCTGCCCTGTTCCAGCAGCCCCCTCAAAGCCCCAGAGCTCCAGGTGCCCCCAGACATGGTTAAGACCATGGATGTTGCTGCGTTCCACCAGGACCATGCTGTGCTGCCCAGCTGTGCACATATGGGTAAGGCCCCTGGCAAAGGAATAGGACACCTTGGAGTGGCTGAAGGGGGAGCAGAGAGAGAGACCCAGGTTAACCTCCCCCTGTCCACCAGCTGCAGCTCCCTGAAACCAGCGCTGGGAAGCTGCATCTGCTACTGTGCACGGCTTTGCAGGTGTGAAGCTGTTTCCTCCATAATGTCGTGAAGTGGTAACCACAGTCCACAGCCCTTTGGGCCCTAAAGCCAGGAAGTTAGAAAAGCCCTAGGAAGTCCTTCCGACCCTTGAGAAGAACGCAGTTCCTGACAAGCTAAGGAAGGTTTCACCCAGCCAGGATGGGAAGGAGAGAAGCATACCTCCCCCATTCATGCCCTTGCTGGACACACTGGCCTCATCCCAGGGGGCCTCCCTCTCTAGCTGTAGAAGCTGAAGAATCCTCTGTCCCAGCCCCACTTCCCTGGGATTCTGGGCCTAGGGAAACACAGCACTTGGCAAAACCATTCTCACTCATAGCAGTGCTCGTCCTGAGGGTCACTGTGCTGGGAAGGGCACAGTGGTTCTCGTCCCAGCCTGCAGAGTGCAAGTCCCCATCTCCATGTTACAGATGAGGAAACCGAGGCTCGGCCGGGTGACACACCTTGTCTAAGTCACACAGTTAGGAAAAACTGGGATTTGAACCCATGACTGCCTGATTCCAAAACAGCGCCACTCTACTGCTTGAGGACAAGAAGAGAAAAATCAAAATTGGGTGTGTGGGAGGAGGGTGAGGGTGAGCTGCTGGGGTCAGAGTTCAGACAGAATCAGGGACAGCCCTGGGCTGTAATAATCCATGTCCAAACAGCTCTGCAAATGCACAGGGTCTCCCACCTAGGGTGAATGTCTAGTGCCAGCGGGTGGGGTGGGGTAGACTCTACCAATCACATCGTTTTCCTTGCTCTCAGCAGGACGAGTAGATGAAAAGTACCTACACAGAGCTCCAGGGTTCTTCCGTGTGCCAGGCATGGCCCTTGTGCCTGAAATAACGGCATGTCTTGGGGATGGAGGTCCGAAAGCGTGGATTCTCGCCCCAACCGAGGCACTGACTAGCTTGGGACTTTGAGCACCTCCCTTCCCCTCTCTGGACCTCAGTTTTCCCATCTGTAAAATGAGATCCATTTCAGTTCTGATGTTAACAAGGTTAAAGTGACCTTCAGGGTCATGACCCATGGGGCCCAGCCTGGAAAGAACTGTCCCCCAAAGAAGCCCAGAGCCCCCCAAAGATGCAGAGCCTAAGCCGGGGGGGGGGGGCGTTCCCCAGAGCCTCCAAAATGATCCATCCTGCTGTGCCATTGTGTAAATGTCTTTCTTCTGTGGGCTCCCAGGACAGGTCTGAGAGGTTAGAAGGCAAATCGTTTGAGGAACATAAGAGGAGCAAACTGGGGCTCAGAGGGGTTGCAGAATAACCCACAGTTCCAGTTCCACAGCTGGCAGTTCCACTGTCTACCTTCTTCTGCCTGGCAGGGTGTAACCGTGGCCCCAGCTGTGAGCCCTGGCTTTAAATCCCGACTCACCTCCCACAAGTGACCTTAGGCAAGTTACTTCTCTGTAACTTTGGTTTTCATTGTTTGTATAACAAAGGATGCTACCATGAGTACGGACTGACCTGAGTGGTTGAAAGGATTATGGTATCAACGCACACAAACCATTGCAGTGGGTCCCCAGACTGGACGGCACTCAGGGAGAAATAGACTTTAGGTCAGCCAGGAAAGGTGTCCTGGAAGAAACAACCTTCTTGAATCTGTCTACCCAAGTAGATACATGCCTAGCCACCCTCTCTACTCCTGCTCTCCAGGGCTGGACTAGGCTGAGGCAAACCAGGCAGTGAGGGTGCCCAATTTAAGGAGGTGCTCATTCTCAAGTGCTCACCCCGTACTTGCATGACCCCAAGAGTGGGTGCCTCCTTAAATCTTTCACCCTCAGCACTTCAGTCCCCTCTCCCTACCCCAGTCTGGGGCCCTCCCAGGATTCTGTGCTTCAGGCCTGCTGCAGCTGCCTGTCTGCCAATCCGTCTGTCTCCTTACACACACACGCAGATGGCACACAGTTCTGAGAGAGGGTGGGGTATGGTCACTTTTCCCAAATGCCCCTCCCCTCCTTGGCTGTTCCTGTCTCCTGGGGTGACAAGGGCTTGTCCTGGGGCCCTAAGCAGCCAGTTCTCCTATCATGGAGCCAGGCTGGCCAACCCCTGGCACCCAGCCCCCTTCCCAAAGAGAACTGTGAATTGGGTTCTAATGAGAAATTAATAAGGCAGCTGTGCTAACAACTAATGATAATGGCAAAGTCGTTAAAAAAGGATTCTTTACATGTTTTTAATTACAGCAATTAAGGGGAAGTCAATAAAACATCTTCCCCCCTCCCCAGCCCCTTCCTGTCCCCACTTGGAGTCTCTTCTTTGTGTTTTTTTAAGTCACCATAAATTTCCAGCATTCAGCATGTGGGATGAATGGCTAAGAGGGTTGGGAGAGCCTTCCGGAGGTGGCAGAGGACCTCGAGCCAGCGTTTCACCACAGCCAGCGTTTCACCACATCCAGGTCCTGAGGGCACCTCTGTGTTCTCCTCACCTGGGTGAGACCTCCTGACCCCTTCCCCCAGCCCTCATCTGTGGGACTCAGACTTGAAACCATCCACTCCAGCACCAAACCCACGCACCCACCCACCCACAGCAGGGCAGAGCGCCTGCCCCATCCTGGGAGGCTGGCCAGCTTCCTTCCTACCAAGCAGCTTAGCAGCCACTCCTACAAAAGACAATTGGAGGGGAACAAGCCCGCTGTCATGTGGGTTAGGAGTAATCCTAAAATGCCACCCATAGGCCTGTTTCTCTTCATTTTCAGCCTGAGGTGTGGGTATTGAATGCAGGATGCTTAGGGGCCAAGTGACAGTTCCTGATAACATCAATGTGTCTTTCTGGAGCACTCATGTTACCTGAGTATTCAAATCACTCAGGAAACAATGATTGCTGCACACCCCCATATGCCAAGCACTGTTCCAGGCAGTGGGGACACAACGAGAGACAAAACCAAGACACACGTCTCTGCCCTCGAAGAAAGTAGCAAGAGAAACAAAAGTTAAAAGGTGAATGTATAATATATAGGTTATAGATAAGGCCCATGACAAAAACTAAAGTGTTCTAAGGAGAGATGAAGCTGGGCGAGAGGTTTGGAGGATGGGGCAGGGGTCTTATTTGATATGATGGTGGAGGGTGGCCATTGGGAGCGGGTGACATGGAATCGAGTCTCAAAGGAAGGTTGTTGGGGGTAAACCATGTAGACAGAGGAGGAGATCATTCCAGGTCAGATAGCAGGTGCAAAGGCCCTGAGGCAGATGTGGGTGTCTGAGGCCAGGTAGCTGAAGTGGAGTGGGGAAGCAGAAAGTGGAAGATGGTGAGGCTGGAAGGAGAGAACTTGGGGACAGATCCCGGCATTCTAAGCTGTGGTCAGTGCTTTGGCTGTGTATTAGCCTGTTTTCAAGCTGCTAATAAAGACATGCCCCAGACTAGGTAATTTATAAGGAAAGAGGTTTAATTGACTCACAGTTCCACATGGCTAGAGAGGCCTCACCATCATGGTGAATGAGGAGCAAAGCCACATCTTACATGGTGGCAGGCAAGAGGGCTTGTGCAGGGGAATTTCCACTCATAAAATCATCAGATCTCGTGAGAACCCACTCACTATCACGAGAACGGTATGGGGGAACCACCCCCATGATTCAATTATCTCCGCCTGGTCCTGCCCTTGACACATGGGGATTATTACAATTCAAAGTGAGATTTCGGTGGGGACACAAATCCAAACCATATCAGGATGCTACTTGGAATGAGAGAGAAGTCATGGGTGGTCGAGGGCAGAGGCATGAAGTGATCTGAAGTGAGCAGCTTTGTTTCCATGATAAACAACACATAAAACCACAACAAAGTACCATTCCGTGCCCACCAGGTTGGCAGAGACCACAGTCTAACAACACCAAGTGTTGGTGGAAACTCACATGGCTGCTGGCGTCAAGTTGGTAAATTGATACCAACTGGGGTTTATGCAAACGTTATTAGTAAAATGAATGTGTGTATAACCCCACAACCCACAATTCCATTTCTAGGCACATACCTTAGAGATTCTCTTAGCCATGTGTGAGGCTGCTCTTGGCAGGACAGCAAAGCACCAAAAACAAATGAAGCGTGATCCACAGAATTCCATCCAGCCGTGAAAATGACTCAATGAAGGGCAAGGACCAGGATGGAGCCCCCCCAAAAAAATGTTGCACAAAAATGCAAATCACGGAAGACTATATACAGGATAATCCCAGGTGTAAAATGTTTAAAAACAGAATACATTGACCACAAATTGTGTAAGTTTGCATCTCTAGGTAAGGAAACGTGAAAGGAAAGCAAAGGCACATGACCTCAATATTCAGGAGAGAAATCACCTGGTGCCGGGGAAGGGGGGAGATCCAGGGTAGGGGAAAGGTATTGTTAGTGTTCTAGGCCTTCAGCTGGGAGGTAGGTGCAGGAGTGTTTATTTTATTCTTCTGTAAACTATACATATAATTATATTTGCTCTTTTGTATGCGTGACATATTTCATGATTTTAAAATGTTTTTAAGTAAACACATAAAAGCAAGAAATATATTCTGAAGTGGAATGCACACTTTACAAGGCCTTTTAAGATATGACAAAGACATCAGGAATAATTTTCAGCACCTTCTACTGTGCCCCAGGCCTGCACTTCTTTGCTCTTGGGGGAATTTCTTGGGAATGTTGGATCAGCCCTGCAGGGCATAACACGGCGTATTAGCAAGCAGGTACCTCGGGGAGTCAGTGTGGCAAGCCCTTAACTGTTTTTGCCTTAGTGTGAGTGAGTTTTCCCAGGGGATCGTGGGGCCTCAGTCTCCGTTATCACCGTCATTGTCTCCACCCTCCCTTCTCGCCTCTAGCCTGCACTCCTGCACTGTCTGGCTGAACAGACCGCCTCTTAGCAGCCTCTTGCTGCTGTGGTTCAGTGCATACATGGCTGTGTGGGTGGGGCATACACACACACATATGTATGTATAAATACATTCACCCATGGCCTGCTCAACAAGGAACTCCCTGGGCAGATCCAAGAAGCACATTTGACAAAGTACAATGGAGAGACTGTGAGGGCCTTGGGGCCTGAGAGCCACAGTGAGGTGGGAAGATGTTGGAGTGGAGAAGTGGAGGAAAGGGGCAACTGCAGAACCTGGACCAAGGCCAGCTGTGCCCTACCTGCTTCCATCCACCTCACCATATAAACTTACGTGTATGCATACATACAACCATCCTTCCACCACATATACATGCGTGTATGCTTGCAAACATGTAGATACCTTTGTCCCACCATACAGGCACATATATGTAAACATGCATACACACAACCACCCCTCTCACCATACAAACATACATGCATACAAACATATACAACCATTCATCCCACCACACATGCATCCATACATGTAAACATGCATACATGTAAATATGCATACATATAAACATGTATGTGTGTGTGTATATATATATACCATCCCACCAAATGCATCCATATATGGACATCCACCATAAATATATTCATACATGTAAACATACATGCATACAACCATCTATTCCACCATAAAACATATACATGCATACATACAACCATCCATTCCACCACATATGCACACATGCACATAAACATACAACCATGCATCCCACCATACATACATACAGGTAAATGTACATACATACAACCATCTATCCCACCATAGACACTTGTACATACATACAACCATCCCACTATACATGTACACATATATGTAAACATACATACAACTATACATCCCACCAAACATGCATGCATGCAAACGTGCATAAACAACCATCCATCCCACCATACATGCACACGTGCATGTAAATATGCACATAAGCAACCATCTATCACATCATACAAACATACATGCATACATACATGCAACCATTATCCCATGACACATGCATACATGCATATGTAACCATCCCAATAATGCATACATGTAAACATACATACAACCATCCATTCCACCATACAGACATGTACATGCATACAAACATAGCTACATACAACCATCCATCCCACCATATAAACGTACAGGCATACAAGCAAACACAACCATCCATCCCACCATCCAAACATACATACATGTAAGCATATATACATACAACAGCCATACCACTATACAAATGTACATACATACAACCATCCATTCCTCTGCCCTTCCTCCATTCATCCACCCATCCCTCTGTCTATTCTTCCATTCTTTCCTCCATCCACCTATTCACCCATACAACCTTCCATCCCCCCATCCATCCAAACATCCATCCATCCACTGAACAAATCCATGGCACTGCCCCACTGGCCTTCTTTTATTTCCTCTGTGAACCCCTTCTCTCCTACCTCTGAGCCTTCACGTACTTCCCCTCCCATTCCCATATACACCCCTAGGGAATACCTACTCAGCTTAAGAAAAGCCTCACCTAAATCCCAGTCTGAAGTAGGTCCTCCTGCTATTCCTCTCCTGAAGAACCTCATTCCCTCCTTTTCGACAGTTGTCATAGACATCACCAAACGTTTGCTTTTGGGTTGATTTACTTATTCCTGTCTCCCTGACCAGACTGGAAGCTCCAAGAGGGCAGGCATTAGGTCTTCCTTCAGTGCCTACCCCAGAGCCTACCTGGCCCACAGTAGGGGCTCCATAGGGAAGTGGTGAATGCTGGCATTGAGTGAACTTAGAAAGTACTGTGTGCAGGGCACAGGCCCAGATGTCTTGTCAGGATTTGCTTCTGAATGTGACTGCCTCTCAAGGCTTAGCATCTATAGAAAGAGATAAAGAATGTGTATGCAGGATTGCAATGCAGGATGCGACTCAGGAAGGAGGCAGGGAGGGATGGCATGGGGAGGGCCAGGGTGAACATGGACTGAACCTGGCCCTCAGTGTTCACAGCTGCATAAGCCACTCGATCTCCATGAGCCTTCATTTCCTCACCAGCAAAATGGAGCTAATAAAACTAGAGAGGAGAAAGAAACACTATTACCATAAAATTGCTTTAAATTGTTCAAATATATCTTCTGAGTTCTGTGAAAAGTTTTTTAAGTAGATAAAATTATTTTAAGAACTGAAATCAATGTGATTCATTGATGTAATTTTTTATAGACAGAGCCAAGTAATGGAAATTAATAAACAACTAAAAACATATATTTATTTAAATTGAGATTGTCATGTTATTGTAAGGATCATGGGAAATCTACCTAGAAAGAAGTTCTTGGCAGGGTAAGTGCTCAACTGCTCTGTTTTTGAATTCTATTTGAATGGTTTTGGGTAAACTTCATTGAGGAGGTGATGTTTAAACTAAGCTGTGAAAAATATGTAGGCTTCCAATATTTTAACACTACAAATATTAGATACAATTTTTTAACACTTTTATATACTCTTCTAGTTTCTATGGCTATGTAACAAACTACCCCAAAACATAATGGTATACTGCAATCATTTATCATGTTCACAGATTCTGTGGCTCTAGAATCTGGACAGAGAATAGCAAGGGCAGCTTGACTCTATCCTGGGATGACTGAGGCCTCAGTTGAGGCTCAGTCTGGGGCTGAAGGCTGGGGCTGAAGTCCTCTCAGGGCGCACGTGTTTGTTCACATGTCCAGCGTTGGTGCTGGCTGTCATCTGACCTCAGTTCCTCTCCATGTGGGCTGCTCCCACATCTGCTTCGGCTAGATTGAGCTTCCTCACAACATGGTGACTGGATTCCAAGGGCGAGTATAGAGAGTGAGAGTCAGGTGGCAGCTGTATCGTTTCGATGACCTAGTCTCAAAAGTCACATGGCATCACTTCCTGCACATTCTACTGGTCAAATAGTCACAAGGTCCCTAGATTCAAGGGGAATTGACCTGTGCCCCATCTGTCAGTGAGAGGAATGTCCATCATACTGTAAAAAGAGTATGTGAATAGTAGCAAAATATTGATGCAGCCATCCCTGGAGAGACACAGCCTGACATACACATATCATCTCATGAAATACTCAGTACAATCTGTGAGGAAGGAGCCCTTCTTAACTCCATTTTATAGAAGAGGAAATTAAGGCTTGACAAAGTCAAAAGTTTTGTCCTAGCTGGGCACAGTGGCTTACACCTGTAATCCCAATGCTTTGGGAGACCGAGGTGAGAGCTTTAAGGCCGGAGTTCATGACCAGCCTGGGCAACATAGCGAGACTGTGTCTCTACAAAAAAAAAAAAGAAAGAAATCTACCCAGCATCATGGCTAATGAGTAATGGAACGACAGAACTAGGATTTGAAGTCAGGTCTAAAAAACTCCAAAGCCATTACCATTACACACACTGTCTACCAAGTATAGAACAAGGATGCCAGCAGCAGATTTGATCTTTTGAAACACTTAATTGACTACATCCTTCCAGGATGCTGTAGAACCATGGTGCCTTGGTGACTCTTGGCTTCCTCTGGTGGCATTCCAGGCAGTGGCCCAGCCAAAATACAGGCCGTGGGGTGGGAGGTGGCAGGACGTGGTGTGGGCATTAAGGCAAGAAAGGTTGTCTAGGGTCAGATTAGGGAAGAACCTTGAGTCCAGGCCAGGGAATTTAGACTTTCCCAGGGCAGTGAGGAGTTCCCAAAGGCTCCAAGGTCAGAAAAACTAATCAAGAACAGTGTGTAAGATGGACAGAAGGGGATCTGGAGTTGGGAGGCATATCCCAGGGTCTGTGCAGCTGGAGTAAGGCCAGCCCATTGGCAAGGCTGGAGGAACCAGAGGGACCTTGGTAAATGACAGTAATGTCCCAGAGAAGTTGAAAGGCTTGGTGGGGGCAGGGAAGGGAAGCTCCACCAAAGGCTCCAGGGGTTTGAGCTTAGGTGATTGGGTTTGCAGGGCATGAGGGGAGTTTTTTTGTCTGTTTGTTTGTTTTAGTTTTTGTTTTCTGTGAGATGGAGTTTCCCTCTTGTTGCCCCAGGCTGGAGTACAACGACCCCATCTCGGCTCACCGCAACCTCCGCCTCCCAGGTTCAAGCGATTCTCCTACCTCAGCCTCCCGAGTAGCTGGGATTACAGGCATGTGCCACCATGCTCGGCTAATTTTTGTATTATTAGTGTAGACGGGGTTTCACCATGTTGGCCAGGGTTGTCTCGAACTCCTGACCTCATGATCCGCCTGCCTCAGCCTCCCAAAGTGCTGGGATTACAGGCGTGAGCCACTGCACCCGGCCAAGGGGAGATTTTAACAGAACTTAGGATGCAAGGAGAGCTTGGCAAGGAGGTGACGGAGGGCCCTCCTTGGAGAAATGCCCAACAGACTGTTGGAAATTGGATCTCAGAGCTCAGGGCAGAGCCAGAGCAGAAGGCACAAGTGTCATTTGCAGGGAGATTGTGGTCAAACCATTAGGCCAAGTGAAGCTGCCAAGGGGCCAGCATGGCTGGAAAGAGAATCAAGACTAGGGCTTTGGAAAATGAACTTGTAGGCCCGCATTCTCAAACGATTGTGTGACAGAATCTGCAAACCAAGAGAGTGAATCAGGTACTCAGAGAGCCAGACGGGCCTTTCTGTGCCCTGGGGGATGCCTGGGAGGGAAGGAGAGTGGTGAGCACCTTTGTGAGTTTGCCAAGTCTCAGGAGATTCTGAGACCCACCCAACTCAGCCTTAGCTCACGTTGGAACTACCTGAACATCTTTAGAAATACTCAGGTCTGGTCTGGGCACAGTGGCTCACGCCTATAATCCCAACACTTTGGGAGCTCCAGACCAGCCTAGGCAACATAACAAGACCTCGTTTCTATTAAAAATAAAATTATGCAGGCATGGTGGTACACACCTGTAGTCCCAGCTACTCAGGAGGCTGAGGCGGAAGGATTGCTTGAGCCCAAGAGGTTGAAGCTGCAGTGAGCCATGATCACTCCACTGTGCTCCAGCCTGAATGATAGAGCGAGACCCTGTCTCTAAAATAATAATAATAAACAAATACTGAGGTCAGCCCACACACCCCAAAAGATTCTCACCTCTGGGAATATTAAAGGGTCCTCAAGGTTGCTAAAGTGCAGCCAGGTTGGAGAATTCCTGGTAGAAGGAGAGGAAGAAGAGTCAGTGGTCTTAGAGGAGTTGAGAAATAACACCCAATGCAGTAGGAGGGGACCCGGTAGCTTAGGATGCGGCCCCCTTGGTTAGGGAGGGATCTGCTAGGCAATGGGGAAACAAAGGCCTAAAGTCAGCAGTGTGAAATCTTTCTGCACGTGGGAATTCTGTGCACAGGTCCAGGCACATCCTAGTGATGGCTTGGGGTGATGTAGGCTGGGCACGGTGGCTCAGACCTGTAATCCCAACACTTTGGGAGGCCGAGGCGGGCGGATCACTTTAGGTCAGAAGTTCAAGACCGGCCTGGCCAACATGGCGAAACCCCATCTCTACTAAAAATACAAAAATTAGCTGGGCGTGCTGGCGGGTGCCTGTAATCCCAGCTACTCAGGAGGCTGAGGCAGGAGAATCACTTGAACCTGGGAGGCAGAGGTTGCAGTGAGCCAAGATTGTACCACTGCACTTGGCTGATTGAAGCCTGGGTTACAGAGTGAGATGAAAGAAAGAAAGAAAGAAAGAGAGGAGAGGAGAGGGGAGGGGAGGAGAGGGGAGGGGGGGAGGGGGAGGGAGGGAGGGGGGAAGGAAGGAAGGAAGGAAGGAAGGAAGGAAGGAAGGAAGGAAGGAAGGAAGGAAGGAAGGAAGAGAAAAGAAAATGGAATGATGTGAGATGTCTCCCATCCCCACACTCCACGCCAGTGAAATCAGAAGCTTTGGGGGTGAGGCTCCCATCAGCATTTTTTAATTCTACAGGTGGTTCCGACACACAGTCAAGTTTGGGACAAATAATATGCTCCTCACAGTTGAACATGGACACACTTGCCAAGCGTCTTGCTAAAATGCTGCTTCTGATCCAGCAGGTCTTGGGGGGCCTGAGACTCTGCATTTCTGACAGGTGCCCAGGTGTGGTGCCTAGGCACCTGCCCATGGGCCACAATCAAAGTAACAGGGATGTCCATTAATTTTCAAGGGTGTGGTAGAGACACAAATACCCCTTCCCAAACCCTATCTCCAAGCCTCCGTGTTGGAATTAGTCTCCCTACCCCCTTGTCCCGCCCCGGCAGGCCGGCAGGCTGGCTGAAGAGTTTCCTACCCGCGTCTCCTCTGCTCTGTGCTTACCTCCTGGCAGGCAGAGCCAGGATAAATGTTCCCCTCCTTATCTGCCAAGGCAGTGGCATGTTTTAAAAGAGCAATATGGTATTTATGTTCACACATACACACAAACTCACACACTACACACTACACACCCAAGGCGCAGGAGAGAAACGCTGTCTGCACCCATTTGCAAGCATCTAAGACCCCATTCTCTCAGCATGCCCACACTTCTCTCCCTGAAAGGGCACAGAAACCTGCCCTTCACCTCACACAGGAACCCCCGCCATGCTGAAGGGCACACTGTAGGGCAGGGGAGGAGGAGCTACATAGCCTGACTCCAGGGTTTAAGGTCCGAGTTCAAATTCTGACTCTGTCTCTTCCTAGTTAGGTGACCTTAGACAAGTTAACTAACCTCTCGGAGCCCATTTGAGCAGTTTTTTCCATTGTAAAATGTGTGAAATGATGACCAACCTCTCAGGGTGGTTGAACGAACTGGCCGATTGAAGGATATAGGGATATGAATGGAGACAGTAGCTTAGGGCAGGGTGCTAGTGGTGAGGCAGAGAATGGGGTGGCCCGAGCAAGGTGTCCTCCTTCCCTGTGGTCATCCTGTCTGCCCCGAATTTTCCGTCCATAGCCACCACTCCCAACCTGGGAGCTGGGCAGTCCCTGAGGCTGACCTCCCGCCCCTGATCCTACTGCCGTTGTCCCGGCTGCAGACATGGGGAGCTTTGAGGAAGGTGAGAAGCACCAGAGCGTCTCCCACGGAGAAGCAGCTGTCATCCGTGCCCCGCGCATCGCCAGCTTCCCCCAGCCACAGGTGACCTGGTTCCGGGACGGCCGCAAGATCCCGCCCAGCAGCCGCATGTGAGTGCATCGCTCTGAGGGGACGGGGAGGGGAGGGGTGTCTGGGGGAGGAGGTTTGGGGCCAGATAAAGTCTCCCTTGAGTGTGGAGGAGGGCCTTTGTGCAGAAGCCCCTTTCAGCTCCTGTGGGACACAGCCAGGTAGGGGACCTCCCAGGGGCTTTCTTAGGATGCACAGGCAAGGACTTGGGACCATGAAACCCATGCCCGGTCCCCTTCCTGGGGAATCCCAGGGCGTTGCCTCCACCATCAGCTGGAGAATAAATCTGCTTTTCAGAGCACTTAAAAAACCCAAACAGGCATATACGAAGGCGCTGTCACCGTGGTTACAGGCCCAGGACTCAGGCCAGTGGCGCTGGGGGACCTTGGAGAGGCTGGCGTCTCCTGGGCAGCCGGGAGGCCCTGGGCGCGTCCGTTGGCAGGGTGTTTACTGGTGTGTGAGGGCTGTGTGTGTCTTGGCTGTGCGGCGGAGGTGTGGCCAGGGAAGCCCTGGGCAGAGAAACACACAGGCCTCTGAGTGTTCACAAGGCCGTCTCTGTGTGCCCCCTGGGATTGGCTGGGGCAGCCCAGCCTGTGGGCAGGAGGATGGAGCCAACACCCCACACCTCCGCAGAAGGCGAGCAACAAAGCAGTTCCTCCCGAGATACACCCGTCTCCCCGCCCTCCTGAGCCACCCCCGGGTCTGGAGGCAGCTGGGGCTCTCCTCTTTCCAACTCCAGCTCTCCCCTGCTTCCAGAAGACCACCTTCTGATCTACCCAGGCTGCGTGTACACAGGACTGAGCCTGTCCTGGTCTCTGTAGAGAGTGGAGGCGTAGATGGATGGTTCCTGCCTTTGGGGAGCATTAAGTCTAGTTGGGGGAAGGAAGCATAGTAACAATAACAATAATAATAATATCACTATCACAGGCCGGACGCGGCGGCTCACACCTGTGATCCCAGCACTTTGGGAGACTGAGGTGGACTGATCACTTGAGGTCAGGAGTTGAGACCAGCCTGAGCAACGTGGCAAAACCCTGTCTCTACTAAAAATACAAAAATTAGCTGGGCATGGTGGCAGGTGCCTGTAATCCCAGCTACTCAGGAGGCTGAGGCAGGAGAATCGCTTGAACCTGGGAGTCAGAGGTTGCAGTGAGCCGAGATCGGGCCACTGCACTCCAGCCTCCAGCCTCCAGACAAAACCAGACTCCATCTCAAATAATGATAATATCACCATCATCATAATAGCAGCTGCCGTTTATTGAATGGCTGCTATGTCCTGAGGACTGAGCTAAGCACACCACACACATCCCCTCTCTTTCCGGACAGCCACACTCTGTGAGGAAGAAGATGCTCTCAATCTCGTTCTCCTTCCAGTCCGCAGAGCACCTGCAGAAAGGAGGCGTTGTTGAATGAATGACCCTCACAACAACCCGGTGAGGTGCTGGGTTTCTCCCCGTTTTACAGGCAATCAAGTGAAGTTCCCAAAAGTTTAACTACTTTGCCAAATCTCACACAGCTGGTCAGCACTGGAGCTGCATCCAGCCCTGCCAACTCCGGAGTCAGGTTCTTTAATTCTTGTATTATGTGAAAAGTGCCTGAAAACAGGTTCACAGACTCGATGAAAAGATAGTGTTTGTGGGGAACAAGCCCTGTGGAGTATCTCAACGTAGCTACCTGTTGAAATCATTTGGGAGTTTGGGGATACAGTCATGTGTTGCTTAATGGCAGAGATACATTCTGAGAAATGTGTCATTTGGCTGTTTCATTGTTGTGTGAACACACACCTAGATGGTGCAGCCTACTACACACCCAGGATGTATGGTGTAGTCCATTGCTCCTAGGCTATAAACCTGTACAGCATGTTACTGTACTGTAGGCAATTGTAACACAATGGTAAGTATTTGTATAAATAAACATATCTAAATATAGGAAAGGTACCACAAAAATATGGTGTAAAAGATTTTTTTAATGGCACACCTGTATAAGGTAGTTTCATTATAATCTTATAGAACCAGCATCATATATGTGGTCTGTTTTTGACTGAAACATTATGCAGTGCGTGACTGTGTACTGATCCTTGGGCTCTATCCTAAGACTCTCTGACTTAATTGAAATGGGATGGAATTTGAGCATCAGAAATTTTAAAAGCTCCCCAGGTGGTTCTAATGTGAAGCCAGGGTTAAGAACCACCATGCTAGTATGTATCAGCTACCCACAGCCACAGATATGCTGCGTAACAAAACAGCTCAGTGGGCCAGGTGCAGTGGCTCATGCCTGTAATCTCAGCACTTTCAGAGGCCAAGCTGGGCAGATCACATGAGGTCAGGAGTTCAAGACCAGCCTGGCCAACCTGGCAAAATCCCATCTCTACTAAAAATACAAAATTAGCCAGGGATGGTGGCACATGCCTATAGTCCCAGCTGCTCAGGAGGCTGAGACAGGAGAATCGCTTGAACCTGGGAGGCAGAGGCTGCAGTGAGCCAAGATTGCACCACTGCACTCTAGCCTGGGTGACAAGAGCAAGACTCCATCTCAAAAAAAAAGAAAAAAAAAAAAAACCCCAGCTCAGTGGCTTAGAGCAATACACATTTCTTTTTCTTGTGAGTCTGCAGGCTGGTGATTTAGGCTGGGCTTGGCTGGGTGGTTCTTCTGGTCTTGGCTGGGCTCTCTCACTTGTCTGGGACTGGCTGACTTGTCTGGGTGACTGGGGTGACTTGGCTGTGCTGCACAGGAACATACACTTTTCCAGCTTCTGCTAACATCCCATGTGCCAAAGCAAGAACATGGCAGAACTCAGAATCAAGATGTAGGAAAATAGACTCTGTTCCTTGAGCAGCAGGACCTGCAAAGTCACGGGACAAAGAGTGTGGATACAGAGCAGGGTGAAGAATTGGAGTGGCACCCCAGGTTAACAGGGGACTCATGCTGTGTGAGTCAGAGTGTGCCCTCTTAGGCCTAACTTAATGCTCAATAAAACCAGCAGAGAATGGTTCTTAGCATGGATGTTTCTTAGCGTGGATGTTGAGATTTTGCTGTGGAAGGGGAATGCTCTCCACACAGGTTTTGGGACAAGTAGACGAGTCCCAGCCCCATCCCAGCTCCCTTTCTGAGGTTATTTCCCATGGCCTATTGCAAGCCAATCAATTGGTAGTGGCTGCCTGGAACACTGTGTTGAGAAGGATTCTGATGTCCCATCTAGACTCATTAGAATGAATATCATGATTGATTAGCAATGTCTGCCATGGCTGCATGAGGGGTGTGCTGGCACTTTCCTGCTACATTTGTTGTGGTGGGTGAAACCCTTTCTACAACCTACTCCCATCATCCCTTTCCTAACACCTCTTCACCTCCTTTTCTCATTCCAAGCCTCTGTCCTCATCCTCTTTTAATTCCCACAACCCTGTGGCACCAGGACAGAACACCCTGGCCTGCACACACATGCATACCTCCCTGGTCACACACACCCCCAGCCCCTGCACACCACCGCAATATTCCTACCACCTACATGATAGAACACTCTGGGGGTTTTATCCTGGCAATTACAGCAAATTAATATTCATAAGTGAGCAGAAAAGGTCCCTGGCAGCAAATTCCCTGGTGTCTGTGTGTCAGAGATACACATCTGATGAGTGCTATCTGCCAGAGGGGTGTGCAGGGCACAGAAGGCGCTGCTATCTACAGAGAGCCGCTCTCACTGGTGGGGCAAGAGCAGAGATTAGCACCACCTCATGCATGCCCCGGTGCTCATTGTTGCAAAGGAGACAAGATTCCTCATAAAGATGCATGCTGGGGGCTTTGGACACATTCTAGGATAATTTATTTCATGCATAATTAAATTATCAATGGGGGCTGCAGGGAGCTGAGAAAAATGGCCTGGATTAACAGGAGCAGTGGGGGGAAGGGAGGGCAGGGCTGGGCCAATCAGAGCCATAGCAAAAGCCTAGTACATTGAAACCAGGGGGTGTGGCTGAAAAATGGAATCCAGCCCCTGCCCAAGAGTTGAATTCTGCTGTCTGTGTCCCCCAAGAATTCTTCCTCCAGCTTCTTTCCATCTGGGTTGCCTCTGGGGTGCAGTGCTGCAGGTTGGAAGCCCTCCTGAGTGCCAGGAAGAGCACCCAGTACAGTACAGTACAGCATCATCCCAGGAATGTCTATCAACGAGATGGACATTCTGGAGAGAGCCACAAGCCCAGGGACCTTCCTTCACTGCCTTTGGGGGTCGCAGAGAGGGCAAGTCAAAAGGTATCTCTGCCTCCTGTTCCACTCTGTGTTTAAGACTTGAACTCAGGCCCTGGGGGTCCCAGTCCAGGGTGCTTCCCTCCAGGCACTAGTTAAAGCAGAGCCCAAAATCTCAGTGACTTCACACCATAGAAGTTGAGTTCTTGCCCATTTATTGTTGTTGTTTTTGTTTATGTTTTTGTTTTGAGATGGATTTTCGCTCTTGATGCTCAGGCTGGAGTGCAATGGCACGATCTCAGCTCACTGCAACCTCTGCCTCCTGAGTTCAAGCAATTCTCCTGCCTCAGCCTCCAGTAGCTGGGATTACAGGCATGCACCACCACATCTGGCTAATTTTGTATTTTTAGTAGATACAGGGTTTTACCATGTTGATCAGGCTGGTCTTGAACTCTTGACCTCAGGCGTTCCACCTGCCTCAGCCTCCCAAACTGCTGGGATGACAGGCATGAGCCACCGTGCCCAGCCCCATTTAAAGTCCTACCATGATGAGAGGCAGGAGTTTTGCCATCATCAGCACACAACCTTCCAAGTTGTCCTGCTCTGCCAGAGAGAAAGGGGGCAGACATGAGGATCGCGCAGGAGGCGCTCATGGTCCAAGCTTAGCAACGGTGCACATCCCTTCCTCCATATCCCACTAGTTCAGCCTCACTGCCCCACCTGGATGCAAGCAGAGATGCAAAGTCTGTCTCTGGCTTCCCAGCCACTGCAGTCCATGACACAAGGGAAGCCTGAGACTGAGGTGGGCAGCGGCCATCTCTGCCATCTTAATATACACTCTACCTAGGACAGACCATGTCAGGCATGGCGCTCTTGACATCTGGGGCCTGATCACTCTTCCCTGTGAGGGCCTTCCTGTGCACCACGGGATGCGTGCTTAACAACACCCCCGGCCTTGACCCCTATTGTTAGTGGCGCTCCCCGAGCTGGCAACCAAAAGTTGTCCAGACATTGTCATCCCTGGAGGGCAAAGTCAACCCTGGTTGAGAACCACTGACCCAGAAAGCTTGATCATGATATAGACAAAATACAGTGAAAGGAGCCTTCCTGATCAAGAAAGAGATGAAATTGGAGGTGGGAGCCTTCTTGGAGACCAAAAGGGTCCTAAGACAGGTGGGTGAACTGGAACGTGGGCCAAGCTGTGCCCAGTGTGCCCACTGGAGGCTTGAAGCTGCTTCTATGATAGTCATGGATGTGGCGTGGCTGGGGGAGCTGGGCCGGCATGGTCCCGGCACATAGTGCTCATGAAAATCCTGTCAGCCCTGAAGCTGGCCATGTCCCGGTCTGCGGGGTGGGAAGAGACAGGTGGCGGGCTGCAGGGCTATCTTGGGCCTAATGAGGAAACAACAGAAGCAGCAACAGGAATCAGAATCCTTCAACCTCTGGGCTGGAAGAAATCTCACAGAATACCTGCTTCCACCCCTGCACAGAGGAGGAAACTGAGGCCCAGCAAGGAGGAAGCTGCATGCCCTTTAGAGGCTAGGGCCAGAGCTCCATTCCAGAGCTCACCCCGTGCCCCAGCCAGAGCCCTGCACGGGGAGGACCCCTCCTCCAACTCTCAGCCACCCTCACATGCTATACCTAAGGACAAGTCCCTGCAGGAAACTCTCAGGTGGGAAAATGACCACTATCCCTGTCTTATTTTAAGCTTTTGAAATATTTTCGCCTGGCTCTGGCCCCACCTCCTATTGCCTCATTAGCTGGAGGTTAAAAGGACTCTCCTGTTTTTTGTTTCTTGTTTTTTTGTTTGTTTGTTTGTTTTGTTTTTTTGAGATGGAGTTTCGCTCTGTTGCTCAGGCTGGAGTGCAACGGTGCGACCTCGGCTGGCCGCAACCTCTGCCTCCCAGGTTCAAGCGATTTTCCTGCCTCAGCCTCCCGAGTAGCTGGGATTACAGGCATGCACCACCACCACACCCGGCTAATTTTGTATTTTTAGTAGAGACAGGGTTTCTCCATATTGGTCAGTATGGTCTCGAACCCCCGACCTCAGGTGATCCACCTACTTCAGCCTCCCAAAATGCTGGGATTACAGGCGTGAGCCACTGTGCCCAGCCAAGAGCTCTCCAGAAAAAAAAAAAAAAAAAAAAAAAGAGGTGGGGGGGCATCATTAGGGTACCCAGGAATTGGGGGCAGGAGGGCTTGGCTTCCTGCTTCCCAGAGCTGTGCCAAGAGTGTGATTCTCAGCATGTGAAGCACCAAAACCAGGAGAGAGTGGGGCGAAAACCAGCACAGCCGGGCTGGGAGAGTGCTGGGCTGGAGAAGCATTAGTGGGGATGTTTATTTGAGAGCCTGTTTAAAACTCTGTAACATTCACCTAATGGGAAAATTTGAAAAGAATTCAACTGGATTTGTCCTTGTTAAACTAACATTAAGGATGTTTAACAGCTGTCTCAGGCCCATCGCATTAAAATCCAGAGATATACTTGACAAACTAATGGCTTTGTTTGTCATTGGGAGAATGGGTGGAGGGAGGAAGAGCCGGTGTGGGTGGCGCTTCTGGCTCCATTGCACCCACATTCCATGGAGCCTCCAGCTTCCTGCTTGGACAAGCCCCTTTTCCCTGCCAGAAGACCTGGCCTGAGAAGGGGCTGCATGATGGGATCCCAGCAAAGGAAACCAGCTGAGGTAAACAGCCCATCACCACACCCCAAAACACACCAGCCTCTTTTTCCCTCCTAACCAGCCCACCTAGTCCCACTCTTGGTTATGAGCTTCAAAGAGGTAGAAACTCCAGCTGGGTACAGTGGCTCACACCTGTAATCCCAGTACTTTGAGAGGCCAAGGCAGGCAGATCACTTGAGGTCAGGAGTTTGAGACCAGCCTGGCCAACATAGCAAAACCCTGTCTTTACTAAAAATATAAGAATTAGCCGGGTGTGGTGGCATGCACCTGTAATCCCAGCTACTCAGGAGGCTGAGGCAGGAAAATCACTTGAACCGGGAAGGCGGAGGTTGCAGTAAGCCAAGATCGTACCATTGCACTTCAGCCTGGGTAACAAGAGCAAAACTCTGTCTCAAAAAAAAAAAAAAGACTGGGCACAGTGGCTCACGCCTGTAATCCCAACACTTTCGGAGGCCAAGGCGGGCAGATCACAAGGTCAGGAGATCGAGACCATCCTGGCTAACAAAGTGAAACCCTGTCCCTACTAAAAATACAAAAAATTAGCCAGGGGTAGTGGCGCGCACCTGTAGTCCTAGCTACTCGGGAGGCTGAGGCAGGAGAATCGCTTGAACCCGGGAGGCAGAGGCTGCAGTGAGCCAAGATCATGCCACTGTACTCCAGCCTGGGCAACAGATCGAGACTGTCTCAAAAAAAAAAGAGGTAGAAACTGATACCCAGAAAGGGGACTGAAGGGAGACAGGACTTCCAGAAGTTGATGTCACCAGGTGACCTGTGGCCTTTGAGTCCATCAATCCTGAACAGATTTAGGATTAGGGTTAAGGCATGGACTCTGGAATGGCCCTGCATTTCTAAATTCATTAGCATTCATTTGTCATTTACTTATTCATTCACCGACATTCACTAATCCATGCTGAGAACATTTCTTCAGTGTCTGGATGTACATCATGCAGAAATAACCACACACAGCCATGGAGGCTGTGACCTGGGAAAGGGCAGAATTCCAAGGGGATACCTGGAAGCCCCTTGCCCAGTCTTGGGGTAGGGGCCAGGGAAGCTTCCTTTGGGTGGCCTCGGCGTCTGGGCATGAACGTGCTGTCTCTGGGTCTGGTTGACAGCATCAGCACCGTGTTTAGCATTCTCTGCAAACTAAACGTGGCGGGATGTAGGCAGTAAGAGGTTGGGGAGGGGGTGGCAGGAGGGGCCCTGGGAGGCTGGGGACTGGGAGATATGGTCGGGCTTCCCCCTTAGGGTTTCCACTCCCACTCCCTGGAGGTTCAGAGCCCCTTAGGCCCCTGTCAGAGGAATCCTTTTCCTCTTCCCAGAGCCATCACGCTGGAGAACACCCTTGTCATCCTGTCAACGGTGGCCCCTGACGCAGGTCGCTACTATGTGCAGGCTGTTAACGACAAAAACGGGGATAACAAGACCAGCCAGCCCATCACGCTCACCGTGGAGAGTAAGTACGCACAGGGCCGGGACCGATCTTGGAGCGGGCCATTAAATCTTAGCAATGGTGCTCCAGGGGATCATTGGGAAGATGGAGTGGCAGAGGAGGGGGACAGGGAAGCTAGGGGACGGCCGGGGGGAGCCTTCCCAAGGAGGACGAGACACAGCAGAGCCAGGGGTGCCTGGGCAGGAAAGGAGCAGCTGAACGCTGGAGCCCGTTCCCATGACACGCCTGAGATCCTGCATCGGTAGAGAGGATGCTTAGCACAACTGTTAGCAGGGCTACCAGGGACCCAGGGAGGGGTGGGGCAGAGGAAGAGCGTGTGCATGTGTGAGTTGCAGCCACTATCGGGGCTCAGATGCTGACCAGGAGGGCATGTGGGTGATTGCAGGGCTGAAGCTTGTTTTTACAGAAATATACTAACTGTCTCTACTTGGCTGTCACATAAGAAGTGCTGTCTATATTGGGAGCCAGGTGGTCCCTGCTGATGGGAAGACAGGCCCTCTGCCCAGGCACCCACCTAAAACACCTCCATCCTCAGACACCTCCAGCTCCCTGGGCGAAAAGGGCAAAGCCCTCCCTAGAACTCACCACACAGTGAGACACACACAAAAGCGTGATTCCCTTGGTGTGCTTTGGCAAAGAGACGCTTGTCCAGCCGAGACTGAAGCCAGTTTTCTTTGGAGGGACGAGATGCTGGGATGTTCTTTCTGGCCTGGTTCTCCCTACTGGACGAGCCCCTCCCTCCATACTCCATTCCCAAGACAGAGAAGGAGGGAGGGGTGGACAGCCCAGGAGCAGCGTAGGCCCAAATCCCAGAGTATGTGGGGCGAGGCCAGAGCTTCCTCCTCAGCAGCAGCTGAGCCATCACACAAGCTGGGGGAGGCAGATGTTCACCTCCCTCCACATCTGTACAACTCCTGCTCCCAAAGTAAGCCTCATTTATCATCCTTGGTCACGATGGTACTTGCCCACCAGCGGCAAGATGAGGGTGTGGACCAGCCTGGGGCCTTTCTGTGCTCTTATTCTGATCCTAGCCTCTGCTGTCCATGTCCAGAGGGCCCAGGACATTCCCAGGCCTTGCCATCCCCATTCCAGGGCCTTTCACACTTCAGCAGGAACCGCTTCCCATTATCCCAGGGATCTCCTTCCCCTACTCAGCATCCAGTCTGCCTAGAAGGAAATCTGAATGCGGGGAGGAGAGTTTCATTCTGGAGACTGACCCATCGGCGTCACAAGTATATCTGGAGACTGACCGTCAGGGTTGAGGGTGTAACCTCTGACATCGAGTCAGGGTCTCAGTCAAGTCTCAGCAGCCTGGGCCCCAGCCCATACCCTGGGGCTGCTGTTTCTATAGGAGAAGGGAATTTAGTCATCAAAGAGAGATGCTTCTCCCCATATATTTTCTAGTGATCAGATTCCCTGGAGTCTCATGGAATCCCGTCATTTGGTAAGAGACAATGTCAAAGACACAGGAGTGGTTCATGGTCCAAGTCAAAGCCAGGCATCCTCCTAGGTGACTCAGTTTACCCTGAGACAGAGTCGGGGCCTTCCTGTCTGTTCCCCTTCTCCGGCATCCAGCTCCTCCTCATAGGCGTTAAACTAGGCTACTCTTCTTGTCTGACTTTGGGAGTCATTCGCTCTCTGCTCCATCCCAAACCACCCAACCCTCCAGCTGGCCCCAGGGAGGTGGGCAGGTCACCTCTGACCCCCTGTACCCACCCAAGCCCTGCCTAGTCACCTGCTTCTCCCACCCCACTGCCTCTTGGCCTCCTGCCATCACACGCTGATTTATCCTGAATTCAGAGCAGAATCCGCTGATTTTTAGCTAATTTCTCTTTCCACAAGTGACTGCACTTGAAAACCCTCTTCCTCTCTGTGACACAAATCCCCAGCCTGCCTGCCTGCCTGCCTGCCTGCCTGCCAACCAATTTGTGAGGAGCAATTGACGCTTCGCCCACCACCAGCACCAGCTCCCCTCATTCCTCTCCTGGGCCTCACCCCTCCGTCTGCTCTCCCCTCCGCACCGCTTCCTCCATCCCTCCTGGACTCCAGGAAGTCCAGCTTTCTGCACCTCTTTATAGGGACCCTATGCTCTTCAGAACCAGAGAAGGAAAGAGCAAGTCTGGTGACCCCAGAAGTTGCCCCCTGCTCAGGATAACCCTGGTGACCTCATTCGGACTGTCACAGCTCCTGAAAACCCCATGCTTGGGTGGATACCGGGGATCAGGGCTACACTGTCGAAAGGAAATAGAATGTGAACCACATGCGAAATTTTAAATTTTCCAGTAGCCCCATTTTTTTACCAAGTAAAAAGAAATCGTTGACATTCATTTTATTACTCTATTTTATTTAACCCAACATAACAAGAAGTTATCTTTTTAACATACAATCAATGTAAAGAATATTAATGGGATATCTTCCATTGGTTTTTTGCATACTAAGTCTTTGAAATCCTTGTGTATTTTACGCTTATATCACATCTCAATCTGGATGTGAAATTTTCACCCGAAATACGTGATCTGTATTTAGATTTCACAAAATTTATAGCTGAAAAGTAGAGTCGTATGCATAAGTTGTTCCGTACATGCTTAAAAGTGTTCTAATAACTGAATTGGGGATCCATTCTTAATTAAATGTAAATTAGTTAAAATTAAATCACATTAAATCAAAGGGACACCAGCCACATTGCAGGAGCTCATAGGCACGTGTGGCTCATGGCCCCTGCATTGGGTGGTTCAGGTCACAGGGCCTGGATACCCTGGCTCCTGGGCAGCTGGAGAACAGGCATCCCAGAAGCCTGCCCAAGAGAGGGGAGCAGCTCACACCCCTGCCCCACCGCTCACCGACCTGTGGCCCAGGCGAGTCCCATGGTCCCTGAGCCTCAGTTTCCCCATCTGTAAACTGGTGCCTATGGCAAAGTTGGGAGGACTAAATGAGGTGGCACAGGTGGGTCACATGGTCTCTGAGCCTCAGTTTCCCCATCTGTAAATTGGTGCCTATGGCAAAAATGGGAGGATTCAATGAGGTGATTCAGGGAGGATGGATCACGTTAGATGTCCCTTGTCCTGGCTGTTACGCAAAGCGTCTGGGGCAGTGAGATCCAGTGAGGCCCCCCGTGTGGGGAGCCCCGTACACTTCCTCCCACCCCAGGGCCCACCCTATGCCAGGAGCTCACCGGGAAGACACCCCTCCTCTTTGCTCGGGCTCACCTGTGATTTTCATGGTCTGGCCTTTGGAGCCCCATTTACCCCAATAACCCACTTGTGCTGGGGTGACCTTCATTAACAGTAAATCTGCTCCAGGACTCACTTCTCTGAGACCCACTCAACTCCCGCTGTCTCCCAGGGAGCCACGCCATGAAATGCCTGAGGCCTTGCCCGGTACCCTGCAGGGCTTAATGTGCGTCCCCGAGCCTGCGACTCCCACCTCTCCATAGCCTCTGAGTCTGTCACTTGGACTAGGGCTAGCAGGGAGAGCTCTTCCCTGCACAGGCAGGCAAATCTCCAGGAGGGGAGGCTGTCATTTATTGAGCACCTACTGTGTACCAGGCACTCTGCAGTCACCCCAGACCAGCTTAGCTGCCCCCTTCCCGGCAACCATCACACGCTCTTTCATTCATTAACCCCACGAGCATTGGTTCGACTTCCTCTGGGACATCACCCTCCATGAGGACAGACCCTGGCCATCTCGCTTGGTGGAGAATCTCTGGTGCCTGGAACACAGCCTGGCACGTGTCAAGCATTCACCTAGGAAAGATTTGTTGAGCTGGGGCCTGAATTCATACAACCCTGAGAGGTAGTGACTTTCATCCCCATTTCCCCCCTGAGAAGACTGAAACTCAGTAGGATGAAGTCACCAGGATACCTGGGGGCAGAGCTAGGCTTTGAGCCCAGGTCTTCCTCACCCCTGGGACCCTTTCTCACTGTGCCAGCATCCCTGGCCACCTCAGCCCCCATCGAGCCCTGCAGGCTGCCACCTGGGCCTGAGCACATGGCCATCTCTCCTCCATTCCTTCCAGAGCCAACGAGCCAGCCCTGAGCCCTGGGGCAGCCCTCGTATTTTTAAACTCAGAACTCGCCTTCCTTGAGGTCTCCCTGTTTACCTGGCTGTGCCATGCGGCGCTCTGGCTTGGGCTCTAACTGTCTGTCTCTTACTTGTGCCCCATTAATCTGAGCCGTGGTACCTGCGCGCCCCCGCATGTAATAAACAACTTAGAGCACACTTTTATGGATTCAGCTATATCAGCAGCTTTCAATCCGATCGCTCGTTATGGCACCTACATGAGGCTTTTATATTGTTGCAATTATTTTGCTTTATATGCTTCCTTTCTTTCCCCCTTCATTTTACTTTATTTTTTACATTTTATGCGCATTCTTCCTGGGCCTTTTCTAGCAAGGCCTGGAGTCAAGGAAGGAAAACCTGCCCAGGGCTGACAAGGTGGCCCAGAGGGGCAGTGGGGCCACTGTGCACCCTGCCCCTAACCCCATAAAGAACAGCCTGTCACTGTCACCGCAGGGCCCAGCATGTCATCATGGCCTACTACCTCCAGAACCTTCTGGAAAGGGGCCAACTGGATAGATTTGTTGTGGAGAAAAAGTCCTCAGAGGTTGTATTTTCAGGAGCCATGGATCAGGCATACACAGAATATTGGAGTTTATGCCAATATCGGGCCTACACTGACCCATCAAGATGAAAATCTGGCCTCTACTTTAAAAAAAAAAACTCAAAATATAAAAAAAAGGAATTGCTACCACCTCTATTAGAAGAGGAGTTTGGAGTGTTTCTCTCTCTTTTTTTTTTTCCAATAAAACCCACTTACAGGAAGTTCTTGTTCATTTCAATCATCGACCCTGGGAGTTGGATGATGGTAACTCTAGATCCATTCATTTGTTCACTTAACACACGTATTTGAGCACTTACTGTGTGCCAGGCATCCTTCTTCGTGCTGGAGGAGAGGTGGTCGTCAAGACCGCAGGAGTTGGCCAGGCGTGGTGGCTCACACCCATAATCCCAGCACTTTGGGAGGCCGAGGCGGGTGGATCATCTGAGGTCAGAAGTTCAAGACCAGCCTGGCCAACATAGTGAAACCCCGTCTCTACTAAAAATACAAAAATTAGCCGGACGTGGTGGTGGCACCTGTCATCCCAGCTACTTGGGAGGCTGAGGCAGGAGAATCACTTGAACCTGGGAGGCAGAGGTTGTGGTGAGCCGAGATCGTGCCACTGCACTCCAGCCTGGGCAACAGAGCCAGACTCCGTCCAAAAAAAAAAAAGACTGCATGAGTCAGCTCTTGGTGCCATAACAAAGCACCACAGCTGGGGGCTTACAAAGCAAATGTTCTGGCTCCCACCATCCTGGAGGCTGGAAGTCCCAGATTGGGAAGCCAGTATGGTCAGCTTCTCTTCTCAGCTTGCAGATGTCTGCCTTCCAGCCGTGTCCTCACATGGCGGAGAGAGAGCCAGCTCTGGCCTCTTCCTCTTTTTATAAGGACATGAATCTGAAATATGGAAATATACACACCTAACAAGTACCTGGAAACCTGCTTTCTGAGAGTTTCATCCTTAACTCTTTCATTTCATTCAATGAGAGAATTAAAGTATTACATGCTTTTCTAAGCAAAAGTTGACAATATGTTAAGAGAACATTTTTCTTTTTCCTTGGGACCCTCATTGGCCCTCATGAGGCCCGGCCCTCGTGGCCTCATCTAATCCTAATCACCTCCCAAGGGACTCCTCCAAATGCCATCACTTTGGAGGTTAAGGCTCAACATATGAATGGGTGGGGGACACAGCTCAGTCCACAGCAAAGACCCATGAGGTTCCTGGTCAGGGAGAATTTTAGTCTCTTATGGCCTGCACAACAAAGTACTACCAGCTGAGTGGCTCACAACAGAAATTGAGCCTTTCACAGTTCTGGAGGCCAGAAGTCTGAAAATCAAGGTGTCAGCAGGGCTATACTTCTCTGAAGATTCTAGAGGAGTCTCATTTCTTGCCCCTTCCTGGCTTCCGGTGGTGGCCAGCAATGCTTGGCATTCCTTGGCTTGTGGCCACATCTCTTCACTCTGCCTCTGTCTTCACAGAGTCTTCCAGGCTGTGCATCTGTGTCTCAATTTCCCTCTTCTTACAAGGACACCAGTCGTATTGGATCTTGAGCCCACCCTGATCCAATATGACCTCACCTTAACTAATTACAAACCTGTAATGATCCTATATGCAAATAAGGTCACATTTACAGGTGCCAGATGGGCATGAATTGGCGGGAGGTGTGTTGGGGGAGGGGGCCGGTGACTCTGTTTGACCTCGTACAGAGAGTTTGCATTCTGGTGGAGGACGTGGACAATGCAGAACTAAACCAACAAGGTCAACCCGGGCAGAGGGAAGGATTTGAAGGGAATGGAACAGGACAGGGTGGTGGTGGGGAGAGGGGGGTGTGGCTGCTTTACAGGAGGGGTGGGGAAGGCCGTCAAGGTCAGCGATGTCTCTCCTTGGACCCTGGTGTGGTGACTCATCAACAGAGGAAGTAGAGGGATCAGGTAGTCCCTGGGGTCAGTGTCTGGAGGTCTGCTCTGGGGCTGCCCCCATGGCCACCTGCTCCACTCGGTAAGGACAAAGACCTCCCAGGGCATCAGCCTCTAATGAGGCTGGGCAGGGATAGGATTTCCAGCCTCGCCCCCAGCTAACATCTGATCTCTCTCCAGATGTAGGGGGGCCTGCAGACCCCATCGCACCCACCATCATCATCCCACCTAAAAACACCAGCGTGGTGGCCGGCACCTCAGAGGTTACCTTGGAGTGTGTGGCCAATGCCAGGTAGGTAGTGCATCTTCCCTCGCTCCCGCACCCGTAACTCCAGCTGCTGCTCCCAAACTGCGGGCTCCAGGGAGAGCAGCCAGAAGCCACATCACCTGAGGATCCAGGACAGGGGAGGAGGGATGCAAGGAGACCTGCTGGCTGTTGTCAGAGGGTTGCTGTGTACAACCAGGGCTGGCTTGTTCTCTGTAGCCCAAGAAGAGAAAACCAGGCCCTGGATGGAACTTACAGGGAAGGGGACGTCAGCCTGGGACGTACAGGACTGGAGGGAGGGTGGACTCACTTCTAACCCTTGGAGGAGCCCAGAGGGAGTGGGTGGCCTCTCAAAGCGAGCCCTCTTGCATGCAGGGTTGTGCAGGAGGGAAGTGTGCATGGGAAACGATTCACATGGTGGTTAAGAGTACGGCTTTGGGCGCGATGGCTCATACCTGTAATCCCAGCACTTTGGGAGGCTGAGGCGGGCGGATCACCTGAGGTCGGGAGTTCAAGACCAGCCTGACCAACATGGAGAAACTCCATCTCTACTGAAAATACAAAAATTAGCCAGGTGTGGTGTCACATGCCTGTCATCCCACCTACTCTGGAGGCTGACAGGAGAATCGTTTGAACCCAGGAGGCGGAGGTTACAGTGAGCTGAGATTGCACCATTGCACTCCAGCCTGGTCAACAAGAGTGAAACTCCATCTCAAAAAAAAAAAAAAAAGAGTATGGGCTTTGGAGTAGGGCAGATCAGGGGTCAGGAGCCACCCGAGCCCTTCCCAGCCATGTGCGGCCCTCACCTCTCCCACACAGGAAACAATTATGAAACCCCTGAGCCTCATTATGTGTGGCTAAGTGCCTTCCGTGCCCTGCATCCTGCTAAGCACCTTCCCACAAGACCTCTTTCCTCCCAAAACAATGTATGGCATAGGTGTCACCACTTCAGAACCCAGAGAGGGCAAGTGGCCTGCCCAACGTCACCCAGCTGGATGATAGCTGAGTTGAAATGCACTGCCCCCTCTCCCCCAGGCCTGTACTCACTGCCGCCCTCTGGGCCTCAGTCTCCACATCTGTAAAATGGGAATGATCTGAGCACCAACCCCAGCGGAAGGCGCATAGGCAGCGCGCTGACCCAGCCTGACCTGACCCTTCCTAAGTGCACTATAAAGTTAAACCAATGGGATGGGCAGGGGGTTAGACTGATGATCCCCCTGAGGTCCCCTTGACCTGAAACTTCCTGGAGAGGGAGAGCATGTCCTGTAGCAGCATTTTTTTTTTAAGACAGGGTCTCACTATGTTGCCCAGGCCGGTATCAAACTCCTGGGCTCAAGTGATCCTCCTGCCTCAGCCTCCCAAAGTGCTGGGGTTACAGATGTGAGCCACCGTGTCCAGCCTTTTTTGTTGTTGTTGTTATTTTTGGCAGCATTTCTAAAAGTATGCTCCTCCCATCCCAAGTTTCTCACAGGCATGGCGTATTAGCCCATTTGCATTGCTATAAAGGAATACCTGAGACATGGTAATTTACAAAGAAAAGAGGTTTATTTGGCTCACGGCTCTGCTGGCTGTACAAGAAACATGGCACCAGCATCTGCTTCTGGGGAGGCCTCAGGAAGCTTCCAATCATGGCAGAAGGAGAAAGGGGAGCCAGCGTGTCTTATGGCAAGAGAGGGAACAAGAGAGAGGGGAGGAGGAGCTAGGCTCCTTTAAACAACCAGCCCTCACATGAACTAACAGAGTAAGAGCTCACTCCATCACCAAGTGGGTAACACCAAGCATTGTGGATCACAATTCCACATGAGACTTGGAGAGGACACACATCCAAACCCCAGGACTTGGGCAAGGCCACCAGGGTGCAACTGTGCAGTGAAAGCCCTGAGAAGCCCCTCGATGAAGAAACTGCCCAGCGTCACCTCAAGCTACTGTCACTCAAGCCGCTGTTTCCCAGACGTATGCGGCCACAGAACTCCTTTTCCATGGGGCCCTTCTGAATACCCCCATGGCACTAGCAGGGGCCCACTTTGGAAGATCCGTCCTCAGGGACCCACCAGGTGCTAAACAGGAGTGTCTGGACAGACCCAAGTCTCGGGGGCTTGGGGGTGCAGGGGTTGGTGATGGTGGAAAGCCAGGCCAGACTCACACCCTTGCTCTTCTCTTGCAGTTGGGGAATGGGTTTTTCTGTCTGTCTGTCTGTCTGTCTGTCTTGTCTGCCCTTATTTCCCCTTTTCAAACTCTGGGTGTTTCATGTTTCTGTCTGTCACTTGCCCTCACCTTCATCTCCTCCGTGTCACTGATCTGTGGTCAGATGGGGCACAGCACACAGGGAAGACCAGAAAAAAGAGCTGCAAGCCAGGCTGCTTTCCTGCTTTGCCTGAGCTGCCAAGCCCTGAGTTCCAAGTCCATCAGCAGGCCCTGTTCCAAGCACTTCACTGGCACTAATGCATTCATCTTGGCTACAACCCCCTGGGCGGGCACAGATGCGCCCACTTTATAGAAGAGGAAAGTGAGACCCAGAGCCCTGTGGGAACTTGCCCAAGATCTTGCATCTACAAAGTGGCAGGAAGGTGGCAAACCCAGGCAGCCCGGCTCCCAAGCCCACACTCCTTACCACCCCCTGCCCTGCCTCTCAGGCCTCTGGGAGTCCTCATGGCTGAACACTGGCCTTCCCTTGCCCTCTGCAGGCCCCTGATCAAGCTACATATCATTTGGAAGAAGGACGGGGTATTGCTGTCGGGCGGCATCAGTGACCACAACCGCCGGCTCACCATCCCCAACCCCACCGGCAGTGACGCCGGCTACTACGAGTGTGAGGCTGTCCTGCGCAGCAGCAGCGTCCCCTCTGTTGTCCGGGGCGCCTACCTCTCAGTGCTGGGTGAGAGAGGGTGGGGCTGCTAGGGCTCCCCTGAGGGGTAGGGGCAGCACGGCGAGGGTCCTCCTTAAGGGTGACCCCCTACAGTGGCTGGATCAAAGCGAGCATGGCTCTGACCCCCTCCCCTGGTCCTTCCTCCTGCAGAACCGCCTCAGTTTGTCAAGGAGCCAGAAAGACACATCACTGCGGAGATGGAGAAGGTGGTGGACATCCCCTGTCAGGCCAAAGGTAATGAGGTGGCACCGCTGGAGGGGGACAAAGACCCCAGATCTTCAGCCTCTCCCATCCTCATTGTGGACATTTCTAAATTCCAGCTTCTTCTCGAGACCATGTCACTAGGCAGAGAGTCTGTCTGGCTGTCTGAGCAGGCACCCCAGGAAACAAACAGGCCAAATTACCATAATCTCAGGCTGGAAATCAACCTTTACGGTACCAAAACTTGAGGGTTACAAATGAACCCAACTTACAGTAATTTCAGGACAGGTGACAGACCCAAATTTCCCAAAATTTGAGAGCTGTAGACAATGACAAATTACCGTAATGCCAGAACCAGCAGCCCCCGGGTGCATCTCACCTGAGATGTGTCTTATAAGCTCAGCCTGTTTCCTGGGCCATTTTGCTCCATCTCCTCTGCCAGCTCCCTCCGCTATTCCTACTTAACCCCCCTTGAAAGAGTTCCTGGAGAATTTCTACTTTCCCCTTCCCCACCGTCCTTCCTTCTGATTCATTTCCGCCAAAAGACAGCCCGCAGCCAGGGTGAAATCCGGGATGATAAAGAGAGAAGAGCGTGCACAGTGGGACACGCTGAGCAAAGGGGCAAAATGTGTCTCTGCAGGAATGAGGACTGTGCTGGAGGGGATGAGTAATGACTTCCCTTCTGAGACTCCACAAGGGGAAGGCAAAGATCCATCCATTCAGGCAGCAAATATTTTTTGAGGGCTTACCATGTGCCGATAGTGTCCTCAGGAGTGGGGAGATACATAATAAACCAAACAGCCAGATCCCTGCTCGCGTAGAATGTAACATTCTCGGGAGGGAGATGGGCAAGCTGATAAACAAATAAAGAGAACTTATTTCATCTCATCTAAAATGCCATGGGTTGTAAGATGCCCCATTATTTTATGGACCACTAAGAAAGAAAAAAGGCAGCCAATTAAATTATGACATGCTGTTGATTATAAGACACATCCTGATCTCGGAGACGTGACCATGGGAAAGAGAGCGCATGGTGGATTGGATGAAATGTGGCATCACAGGCTGTCAGGATCAAAGGGTGCCGGGAAGGGAAGGCAAGCAGGCTTAGTGGGGACAGGGCCGTGGGGTGCTCCTTGGAATAGGGTGTGGCCAACTCTTCTGGGGAAGTCTTTTTTTTTTTTTTTTTTTTTTTTTTGAGACTGAGTCTCACTCTGTTGCCCAGGCTGGAGTGCAGTGGCACGATCTTGGCTCACTGCAACCTCTGCCTCCCGGGTACAAGTGATTCTCCTGCCTCAGCCTCCCAAGTAGCTGGGATTACAGGCATGCATCAGCACACCAGGATAATTTTTGTATTTTTAGTAGAGACAGGGTTTCACCATGTTGGTCAGGTTGATCTCAAACTCCTGAGCTCAGGTGATCCACCCGCCTCAGCCTCCCAAAGTGCTGGGATTACAGGCATGAGCCACCACGGCCCAGCCCAGCTGGGGGAACTTATGAAAACAATGTGCCAGGCTGAGAGCGAGGAGAGGAGCCTCCTCCTTTCACCTCCATGTGCAAAGCCGGTATGGGGGGCTTCCAAGTGCCCCCCAGGGAACACTGGACCCTCTACGTGCTCTTCGACACAGGGCGCCATTCGTTTGGGAAAGCATCCCCCACTTGGAGGTTCCCAGAGCACACATACATGTCTGCTAAGTACTGCAATAAAAAATAAGAAATTAGGCCAGGTGCAGTGGCTCACACCTGTCATCCTAGCACTTTGGGAGGCTGAGGTGGGAGGAACGCTTGAAACCAAGAGTTCTAGACCACCCTGGGCAACCTAGCAAGACTCCATCTCTACACAAATAGAAATAAAAAATAGAATAAATAAATTAGTTTGTCCAATCCAGTTTCCATGCTAAACTGATTCCCGGATCTTTACTCTGTCCCAAAGACTTTGAGAATTACCACTCAAAGAGCATCTTCCTCCTCTCCCTAGACCCAAAGTGGCACCTCTGAGAAGGTTCTAGACACCAAGATTCACCAGGGACCCCCTCGCAGATTTCCGGGCCCGGCCTCCTCCCAAGCACCCCTCCTAGGCGGAGAGGAGGCAGGAGGCAGGTTGACGGTGGGCCCACGTCTTGCCCACAGGTGTGCCGCCGCCCTCCATCACCTGGTACAAGGACGCAGCCGTGGTGGAGGTGGAGAAGTTGACCCGCTTCCGGCAGCGCAACGACGGGGGCCTGCAGATCAGCGGCCTGGTGCCCGATGATACCGGCATGTTCCAGTGCTTCGCCCGCAATGCAGCCGGCGAGGTGCAAACTTCCACCTACCTGGCTGTCACCAGTAAGTTGGGCCTTCCCTTGTGCTGCCCGTGAGCCCCTCTTCCCAGGACGCAGCTTTCTTCCAAGGTCTTCCGAGGGGCCTCTTGTGCATAGCACGTTCCATTAAGCAGATAGGATCCCCAAAGGCCGCCTGCTGCCCAGCAGCCTGGGGGCACAGCCAGTTACCGCTGCTGCCTCTGCAGCCCTGAGTCCAGAGCCCTGGAGGAAATCTCTGGTCCCTAGAAGTTCTCTCCAATGTCCTGGGGCCCAGGTTGCGTTCACGGCTTTTTGAGAAAAGGAGCTATGAAACCAACCACGGGTACCAGCTCTGGCACTGCGACTATCCCTGGGTTCCCAGGCAGGGCTGGAGTAACCCCATTCCAGAAGACCTGCTCATGTTTCCAAAGAAGAAAACTGGTGTTTTTCTCTTAGTTCTCCTGCTCGCAAATCCCTTTCTGCCCTTGGAGTCTCTGTCAGGGGTTGCCATAGTTGCCCTGGCCGCTTCCCAGAGCTGTTTTTAGCAATCAAAGGTGATAACTGTGGGCCGGGCACAGTGGCTCACACCTGTAATCCCAGCACTTCGGGAGGTCGAGGGGGGTGGATCACTTGAGCCCAGGAGTTTGAGACCAGCCTGAGCAACATGGCGAAACCTCGTCTACCAAAAATACAAAAAATTAGCCAGGCAGGGTGGCACACACCTGTACTCCCAGGTACTAGGGATGCTGAAGTGAGAGGACCACTCAGGCCCAGGAGGCAGAGGCCAAGATGGCGCCACTGCACTCCAGCCTGGGTGACAGAGTGAGACCCTGTCTCAAAAAAACAAAAGAAAAAAGATGATACTGTGAGTGGCCCATAAGCTCAAAGGTCTGTGTAAATGCAAAGCACTGGTGGGCTCCTCAGGAAGAATGGGGATGTTCAGGGGTCTCCTTGAGCTCCACGGTGTTCATCACCCAGACCCACAGAGGCCGCGGACAGGGCAGCTGTGGGGCAGAGAGCTTGTAGGTGTGCCCCAAAGGTGGCTACCAAGGGGCTGCCGTCTTGCTTCTGGCTTCCAAGTGCAGGTGAACTTAGCTCTGTTCCCACGCCCATCTGGCGAGCTCCTTCCTTGAGGGCTGGGATGGGGCAAGGAGAGTGCAAAGCCAGGAGGCTGCCCCAACCCTAAACGGTGGCCATGGCCGAATGGAGCTCCTGGGGCAGGGCCACTTAGAAAGTGGCAGAAGTCCCCCTCTTGGCTGTGGCTGTTTTTCTTTTAAGAAGCCAGAGCCTTCCTTTCACTTTTGGCTTGTAAACCCCAACAACCTTGTCAGGGAGGATGGGAGCTGCCTCCTGGGGTCTTCAGTTTCCCCCAAATGCAGGCCTGAGAATCCAAGCAGTGTGGGGACTGGTGTCACCTGGGTCCTTCCACAGGGCAGGTGGCATAGGGGAGTCCTCATGACCCCTCCGGGCTTCTTCCAAACACTGGGGCTCCATCAAGATGCCTACATCCTTCCTCGTGGAGGGCCCCTCACCATGGCAGGGGGAGGATGAGGGCCTGGCCCTCGGTGGGCTTGGAGGCCCCTGGCCCTCTGGCTTGGGGGACATCTCCCAGGGTGTGGCTAAAAGGCCCCACTTCTCTGTTTGCAGGCATCGCCCCTAACATCACCAGAGGCCCCCTGGACAGCACGGTGATCGATGGCATGTCAGTGGTGCTAGCATGTGAGACCTCGGGGGCGCCCCGACCAGCTATCACTTGGCAGAAAGGTAGATGGAACACACCTTCAGAGAGTGTGGCTGGGTGATAGCCTAGAAGAGTCTTCAGAACTAGGCTCTGGAGCCAGCCAGGTTGGGTTCCCCACGTACACTTGTGAAGGTCATACACTGTACAACCCAAGAGAGCATCTCTCGGCCGGGCGCGGTGGCTCATGCCTATAATCCCAGCATCTTGGGAGGTTGAGGTGGGCAGATCACCCTGAGGTCAGGAATTCAAGACCAGCCTGGCCCAAAGTGGTGAAACCCGGTCTCTACTAAAAATACCAAAATTAGCCGGGCATGGTGGCAGTTGCCTGTAATCCCAGCTACTTGGGGAAGGGGCTGAGATAGGAGAATCGCTTGAACCTGGGAGGTGGAGCTTGCAGTGAGCCAAGATTGTGCCACTGCACTCCAGCCTGGGAGACAGAGCGAGACTCCGTCTCAAAAAAAAAAAAGAGCATCCTTCACATCCCAGCCTTGCCAGGCTCAAGGTCCAGCTCTTCATCTTCCAAGACCTGCCACCCTGGTGAGTTACTAACTCACTCTGAGCCTCAGGTTCCCCATCTGTAAACTGGTGACAATAATATATATACCCCAGGGTGATGTGAAGACTAGACTATAGCGTGCATGTGAGGGTCCTGCATTATGCCTGGGAGTCCGAAAGCCCAGGAAACGATAGGTGCTTGATGATGAATATTATTCTAGTGGTGGCTGCTGCCAGTCTCCTACCCCAGGCAGCTCAGAGGGCTCCAGATGGCGGAACCAGCAAAGCCCAAGCCACCTCCCTAAGGCCATCTGCCCTGTGTGCTTCCTCTTCACCTCTGTGTGTGCACACTCACCTTCACAACTCTCCCCTGCACACACACACATATGCACACACACGCATGTGCACACACATGCACACACATACATGCACACGTACATACACATGTGCACACATATGCACACACATGTACATACACATGTGCACACACACGTACAAACACAGTTGCTCCTTCACACCGGCAAGCCCCAGCTCAGAGGTGCCTCCTCCAAGGACTCACCCTGCCCCAGCCCCCAGCCCTCCCCTCCAGCCCTACCTCCTTCACTCCCCACCTTCTCATGCATTTGGTCATCGGCTTATTTACCTAGCTCATGGCCTGTCTCCCCACAAAGTCAGGGGTGTCGGTTTTGTCCACTGCCGTCTCCCAGGACCTAGAACAGAGTCTGGCACACGGTAGGCACTCAATAAACATTTGTGGGGATAATAGGGGCACACCTAGGCACGTGCTTACACATGGAAATAAACACATCCACCCAGCACACTCAGTTCACTGTGCCTGCACGCATGTACAAACGGACATGCGACCCCCAGATGGACACATGGAGATTCCCTTCCTTACGGGGGTGGGGGGTTCTTTAAAATAGACATAGTCACAAAGACCTGCATTCCCAGGCTCACTCCTGCAGGTGCACTTGCACTCTCTCTTTCTCCCCCTCTTTCTCTGGCCAGGACCCTCCCAGGCTGGGCCCCAGGCTCCCTGGGTCCCCCTGCAGAAGGAGGTCTGTCCTGACCAGGGCTGCTGCTGGGGGACAGCGTGTCCCTCTCTACCCCACCCCCACTCCAGGCAGCTCCCGTCACTTCCCTTCACTCTCTTGAAGGTGACTCTCCCCAGAAGCATCCTGCCGCAGGATGCCCGTCATCACCTTGTCAGAGCTGTCCCCCCGCCAGCTCCCCCAACCCGGGTGCCAGCTGCCTCTGAGGGCTGTGCCGGGCTACTGCTCACCGTCATCAGGAAACTGCGCCCCCTTCTCTGTTGAAGGGCACGTGGTGTGGCGGGCACAGGAGCATCAGGGGACCTGGGCTCTAGGCTGCCCGCTCTGAGACCCTGTGCCCTCGTGTCCGTCCCTAAGCCAGAAAGCTCTCCAGGTCTCTCAGCCCCCACCCCAGCCCCACCGCCATCTGTCCTCATTCCTTCCAGCATTTCCAGAGCCAGGGGCCTGTGGGGGGACCATGCTGCCCTGGAGCGGCCAGGGAAGGGCAGGGTGTGCCCTTGGGGGCTACAGGCTGACCCCCACCCTGTTTTGCCCTCAGGGGAGCGCATCTTGGCCAGTGGCTCTGTGCAGCTGCCTCGCTTCACACCCCTGGAGTCGGGCAGCCTCCTCATCAGCCCCACACACATCTCCGATGCGGGGACCTACACCTGCCTGGCCACCAACTCTCGGGGGGTCGATGAGGCCTCAGCAGACCTAGTCGTTTGGGGTGAGTGTGCAGAGCCACAGGGCTTTATACATTTGTGTGTGCGTGTGTACATCCCTGTAGGTGCTGAGGACTCAGGACAGCTACGGGGCACAGGCTCATACCACCAGTGTCTCCATCCCCAGTGTCTGTCCCAGTCAGGGCCCTTCTCATCAGAGGGACAGTGACAAAGTGGTTCAGAGGCCAGGGACTAGGAAGATTCTGCCGGTGATGCTATGCTTGGCCGACTTGAGAGAACATTGAAGTTATAGGAGAGCTGCCTTCATATATTTTAGGGCAGAAATCGGCAAATATTTTCAAGAAAGGGCCAGATCATAAATATTTTAAGCTGTGTGGGCCAGACGGTCTCTGTCACAACGACTCAACTAGCTTCCGTTTTATCTAGAAAGCAGCCACAGACGGTATGTCATCCAATGGGCGTGGCTATGTTCCAGTAAGGGTTTATTTAGCCAAAAAGGCCACCTGCCGGATTTGGCCCCCAGCCTGTAGTTAGCCGACCCCTGCTGTAAGAGAGCTTCTCAAGCCACTTCCAACTTTGGATCCACACCCAGCATACCTGTGGGCCACTTGTCTGGGCTGAGCCCAGGGGTCCTGGTGCATGAAGCACTAGACTGGAAATCAGAAAGCCCTATTTTTACCCTGGCTGGACCACTGATATGCTGAAAATATGGTCCTGATCGTCCTTAGAGTTTGGTCTCTCCATCCCATACATGGTTTGTGAGAGCAAAATTTAATGAGCCCCAACTATGACGTGGCTTCCAAGAATTAAAGTACCAGGGAGCTCATTGTTCTTTTTAACCATTTGGGGGCTTTCATATGGTATCCACCCAGAGTCCAGCCACACAGCCCCCACACCTCTTCTCACCATGCTGTCTCCGCTGTATCTTTCAGCTCGGACCCGCATCACCAAGCCCCCCCAGGATCAGAGTGTCATCAAGGGCACCCAGGCCTCCATGGTGTGCGGAGTGACCCACGACCCCCGAGTAACCATCAGGTACTGGCTCTGCTGTTGACTCCAGGCAAGAGGGGAGGGGGAGCCTCTGGCAATAGCTTGTAGCTGGGCGAGTGTCCACATTAGGGAGGTAACAGCTGCAGAGCCACGCCTTCTCCTGGGCAGTGGCATTTCCAGAGCTGAGTGCAGGGCTGAGAGGTAGGGGGTATGAAATAAACACCCGGGAACTGAGCTACCCTGAATTGAGTTAAGCCAGTTTCCAAGGTGGGAGGAAAAGAGGAAGGGGTGCAGAAAGATGAAGTAAGAGGAATGGAGGAGGGGGTGAGGGAGGGGAAAGGAAGAGGCTTGTGGGTTAGTGAGCATGGAAGGGAAGGAGCTGCTGTCTCTGGCCCTGGACGCCACTGCTAGTGTCCCCCAGCCCACCCCAAGTCTTTGGCCCTCTGGCCTCTGAATGGGCAGCAGAGGGGTCTGGGCAGGCGGATATGGGATCAGCTATAGGGGTGGGGCAGGAGATGACCCCTGGGGGGACCCTGCAAGAGAAGCACATGTGGGAAACTGAGCCTCCAAACCGAGGTCACCCCACCATCTTCCATGGCCAAGCCGGGACCTTGGCAAGGGACTTGGCTTCCAGGTAACTCAGTCCCGCCTCTGTGGAAGCCACTAAAAGGGCTGGGAGGAAGCAGCCAAGAAAGGTATAAAAGCCGGGACCCCTCCCAAGCACCTGAACCAAACCCTACCCCCACCCCCAAGGCTTTGGAAGCTAAAACCAGGAGGAGATTGTCCCTGCCTTCTCTTCCTTGAGCTCCAGAATGCTGAGGGAAATGCAACTGCTTCCTTAGAAATAAATATTCCCTGCGTGTTGCTTCTCTATTTTATGAGCAATATCACTGTCAAAGCAACTGGCACCGAGGCTAGAAGGGGCCGGCGCTCCTGCACTGGGAGAAATGGCCTCCTCCTCATGCCGAAGGCAGCTGCGTCCTGGGGCGCCATCTGGTGGCCACTGGACCTATGACAGTCTGTACAGCCACCCCCAAATGAGACTCCGGGGAGCCCAGGTTGGTACAAGGGGCTCCAGGCTTTTGGCCAACACTGATTCTCAGAGAACATATCAGCGGCCCCAGTTTGAGAAACACCTCATGAAGTGTTGACCACTTAAGGCAGTCATCACATGACGCTAGCACAAATGCAAAAATGTACATAGATGTATTAATAGTTAGAAGATTTTTGACTGAGATTCCAGAATATGCTTATTTCTGGGTTTAATAGATTTTTCTTAAAAAATTAACATACCAACTGTAAAAAAGGTCCTGGGAGAGAACCCACATAGAATACTGCTGTGTATCTCGGGCCCATTCATTGTGTAGTAGCTATACTTTTAGCATTCATTAATAGGGAAATTCTGAAATTCAGTATACTTTAAATCAGACTTTATTTATAAAAAAGATGACTTACTTATAAAAAGTGTCAACTTATTTGAGAAAGACATACATTGTATTCATTCTCTAGACAGTTACTGATGCATAATGGGATTCGGGGGTCTCTTGCAAAGTAACCTGCAGACCCACTCTGTAGGCCCTTCCAGTGAACTGCAGGTCAGAAATCCCTGTACCAGGTTACTGAAGGGAGGTCCTCGCCTTAAACGGAATTAACCATCTAGGACCATCTTTTCATCAAAGGGATGATTCTGGGGAGCAGAATCATCCCTTTATCCCCCCCAAAATTGGCAAAGTCTATGCCCAAGGCCACCCCAGCAGCTCCCACCCCAGTCTGTCTTCCTTGGACTGGGGGGACGGGGACATCCCTTCTACCCTCCGTCTTGAGGTAGATCTTGGGGATGGGGTGAGACCCAGACCTCAGCAATTTTAAGAAGCTCCCCAGGTGATTCTAATGTGTCACCAGGATTGAAAACCCTGTTCTATCTGCAAAACACAGCAGGGTTCCCTAAGCAGACTATTAGGTGGGTGCAAACGTAACTGCGGTTTTTGCCTTTGAAAGGAATGGTCAAAACTGCAATTACTTTTGCACCAACCTAATAGAAAGGATCTCAACAACCAAACCAGACTAAAGTGGTGCCGCTGAATCCTGAGTGACACGTCCTCAGAGCAAAGCCAGGTGCAGGGGTGAGGGCCTGGGCGGGTGCAGGTTTCTAGCATGAAAACCTCCAAAATAGTTCTAGAAAAAAACACTCTGGCCAGGCGCCGTGCCTCACGCCCATAATCCCAGCACTTTGAGAGGCCGAGGCGGGTGGATCATGAAGTCAGGAGATGGAGACCATCCTGTCCAACATGGTGAAACCCCGTCTCTACTAAAAATACAAAAAAAATTAGCTCAGCCTCCCAAAGTGCTAGGATTACAGGCGTGAGCCACTGTGCCCAGCTGGATTTTGGCCATTCTAATAGCTGTGCTGTGATATCTCGTTGTTGTTTTAATTTGCATTTCCCTAATGACATATGATGTACAGCATCTTTTCATTTGCCTGTTGGTCTTCTGTGTACCTTCTTTGGTGAGGCATCTGTCAATGACTATTTTTTAATCAGATTGTTTTCTTATTGCTGAGTTTTAAGAGTTCTTTGTAGATTTTGGATAGCAGTGCTTTATCAAAGATATCGTTTACAAATATTTTCTTCTAGTGTGTGGCTTCTCTTTTTATTCTCTTGAAAGTGTCTATCAAAGAGCAGCAATGTTTGATTTAATGAAATCCAGCTTATCTGTTCTTTCTTTCATGGATTGTGCCTTGGGTGTCGTATTTAAAAAGTCATTGCCAAACCCAAGGTCATCTAGATGTTCTCCTGTATTATCTTCTAGGAGTTTTATAGCTTTGCATTTTACATTTAGCTCTGGGATCCAATTTGAGTTAATTTTTGTGAAGGGTGTAAGATCTGTGTCTAGATTTTTTTTTTTTTTTTTTTTGCATGTGGATGTCAAGGTTTTCCAGCACTGTTTGTTGAAAAGACTTCTTTTTTATTTTTATCTTTGTTTTTGTTTTGTAATTGATTTGTTGGAGAAACCAGGTTCTAGAAGACAGAGGTCAGCAATCTTTGCTGTAAAGGACCAAAAAGTAAACATTTTAGGCTTTAAGAGAGCCATATGGTCTTGTCATGACTACTCAACTCTGTTTATAGTGCCAAAGCAGCCATATGTAAACAGGCACTAAGTAAACAGATGGGCATGTCTGTGTTCTAATAAAACTTTATTTACACAGACAGGCAGCAGGCCATAGTTTGTTGATCCTGCTATGGAATATTCAACACTCTGGATTGGCCTGGCTGCTGTCTCACAGTGTTGTTAACCTGTTCTTCTATCCTCTGTATTTATAATTCAATTTCAGTAACTGCTAATTAGATTCATGTTCAATTGTTTTGGCACAAATACTTCACAGGCAGTGATCTCTGCTTCCTAAAGCACCACATTCTGAAGCAAAGAATGTCTGCTTGCCATAGGCTATTTCTTTTTTTTCTTTTTTTTTATGAGATGGAGTCTCGCTCTGTCACCCAGGCTGGAGTGCAGTGGCACCATCTCGGCACACTGCAAGCTCTGCCTCCCGGGTTCACGCCATTCTCCTGCCTCAGCCTCCCGAGTAGCTGGGACTACAGGCTCCCGCCACCACGCCTGGCTAATTTTTTGTATTTTTAGTAGGGACAGGGTTTCACCGTGTTAGCAGGATGGTCTCAATCTCCTGACCTCATGATCCGCCAGCCTCGGCCTCCCAAAGTGCTAGGATTACAGGCATGAGCCACCGCGCCCGGCCCCCATAGGCTATTTCTTACATGGGAATTACTCTCTGCAACTAAATTTGCTTTTAAGTAAAATTCTGCCCATCCTGTGAGTGCTGGCAAGTCCTTTCTAAATAAAGGGATGAATTGAAGGTGATTACTGTTGTTGATTTGTAAATAGGTATTAAAAGACTTAAAAATTAACTCAACGATTTCACTGCTGAGAATTTGTCCTTGAGGAAATGATTTGGAATGGTTGTAAACATTTTGCCATAAGGACCACAGCTTTAACTATAATATTAGAAACCAAGGAGCTAAACTGGATGTCCAACATTATGGGATCGGTTAAATTACAAAACAGCTGTACTGACACATGTGCATCCAATAAAAAATCATGGTGTGGAAATATCACATCAAAAAGAGTTTATGATATTTTTATTGAGTCAAAAAGCAGCTTTAAAAACAGGATGACTGGTCAGGCGTGGTGGCTCAAGCCTGTAATCCCAGCACTTTGGGCGGCAGAGGCAGGCGGATCACCTGAGGTCAGGAGTTCAAGACCAGCTTGGCCAACATGGCAAAGCCCCGTCTCTACTAAAAATACAGAAAAAAAAAAAAAAAAAAAAAAAAAAAAGCCCAGCATGGTGGTGCAGGCCTGTAATCCCAGCTACCAGGGAGGCTGAGGCAGGAGAATTGCTTGAACCCGGGAGGCGGAGGTTGCAGTGAGCCAAGATCGCACCACTGCACTCCAGCCTGGGCAACAGAGTGAGATTCTGTCTCAAAATAAAATAAAATAAAATATAAAAATAGGATGGCTGAATAGATTGCTGTATACCATTCATGTAAATATACTGTATCATTTAAAATATGTAACAAAGGCTAACTGTTACTGACCGCTTGCCGTGGTTCAGGCACTTCTCTATTTTATATTAGCTTGCACAATCCTCACAGCAGTGCTATGAGGTGGGTGGTGTTAGTTTCCTCATATTACAGGTGAGGCAACTGAGGCCTAGCAAGGTTAAATAAACTCACCCAAGGCCAGGCGTGGTGGCTCACACCTGTAATCCCAGCACTTTGGGAGGCTGAGGCAGGTGGATCACTTGAGGTCAGGAGTTAGAGACCAGCCTGACCAACATGGTGAAACCCCATCTCTACTAAAAATACAAAATTAGTCGGGCGTGGTGGTGCTCGCCTATAGTCCTAGCAACTCGGGAGGCTGAGCCACGAAAATCACTTGAACCTGGGAGGTGGAGGTTGCAGTGAGTCAAGACCGCACCACGGCACTCCAGCCTGGGCGACAGAGCCAGACTCTGTCTAAAATAAATAAATTCATTAATAAATTAGCTCACCCAAGATCACAAAGCTGGAAAGTAGCAAAGCCAGCATTTGGCCTGAGAGTCTGACTCCTGAATGCAGCAGTGCTGCAGTGCACTGCCTATCCGGGCGGGGAAGAAGGGTCTGGAAGATATGCACACATTCAAATGTTAATCGTGGTTCCCTAGTATCAGAAAACTTTTGAGTTTTCTTTTTCTTTTCCTTTCTTTTTTTATTTTTCTTACCCGTACTTTTTACTTTTCTGTTGGTTCTGCTTCTGTTTTTTGGGGGGGCTTTTTGTGTGTTTTTGAGATGGAGTTTTGCTGTGTCGCCCAGGCTGGAGTGCAGTGGCACCATCTCGGCTCCCCGCAACCTCCACTTCCCGGGTTCAAGTGATTCTCCTGCCTCAGCCTCAAGAGTAGCTGGGATTACAGGCACTGGCCACCACGCCCGGCAAATTTCTGTATTTTTAGTAGAGACAGGGTTTTGCCATGTTGGCCAGACTGGTCTCAAACTCCTGACCTCAGGTGATACACCCACCTCGGCCTCCCAAAGTGCTGGGATTACCGGTGTGAGCCATGCACCCAGCCTGGTTCTGCTTTTGAAACTTAGGTTAAAAATATTACAGATTCACTCTCCCTAGTTATCTGACATTATGTAAACCCAGATAGTCCTGGGAGCCAGCAGCTCAGGCCCCCACCCTGTACCCCAGCTGAACGGGGCTATTTGCAAAGCATCTCAGCCACCACCGGGTTCCTCACACTTGTACTGAGAACCAAGGCCAACCTCGCCTGGGTTCATTGTGTGGCATCCTGCCCCCCAGGGCTGGCACTCCCTGTATGTTGATGACAATGATAATGGTTCTATTTCCTCAAGAACAAATTCAGAGAAGATATTTTTTATTGTCAAGCACTGATGCGTGTGTAATTTCTCAAGCCCCATTTGTATTGACTGACCGAAGCTAAAGGGATTTTTTTGGACACTATAGTCAATTTGTCACACTGATGCATTGATATAATGATTCCCCTCATAAAACTAATTCAGAAATGTGACTATGAGGAAACTTGCATTCCTTTTTTCAGCTGTAATCTTTCAGCCTCTTCAGAAGAATACCTTTCACTGGCTGTTTTGCAAGCGCTTCTGGCCAGAAGCAACAACGCTTTGACCCAACCTGAACTGAAGGTGTAACGACCAATAATGACTGAATGCGTTCGCTCTCCCACTCTCCTGCACCCTCCCCGCAGGAACGATGGGCTTCCAGACTGTTTGGCCTTCAACAGTGTCCCGCTCCCCGATCCCAGTGTCCTGCCTGGCTGTTGCCTGCAGTTGTCCTCTGCCCAGCTTTGGAGCTATTTTCTCGGGACAAGCTTCAGGCTAGGCCCACTCCCAAGGTACCTTCCTCTCCCTCTGTACTTACGGGTTCTTCTTACTTTTAGGTACATCTGGGAGAAGGACGGGGCCACCCTGGGCACGGAGAGCCATCCTCGTATCCGCCTGGACAGAAACGGCTCCCTGCACATCTCACAGACGTGGTCGGGAGACATCGGCACGTACACCTGCCGGGTGATCTCAGCAGGAGGCAACGACTCTCGCAGTGCCCACCTGCGAGTCAGGTAAGGGCAGCCCTCCCAGACCCCGGCAGAGGCGGTCCAGGCAATAGCAACTGGCATGCTCAGAGCCAGCCGAGTCCCTTTTTTCAGATCCCCAGGCCACGTGTGACCTGAACTGTTCAGCTTTGCTCAGGACATACCCCCAGCATCCTTCCAGGCCTTTCTCTCAGCTCAGTTAGGCCCTCCGTCAAGAGCAGGGGGGTGTGAGGATGGCTTTAGCAGGAGGGCTCTGGTTCCAGAGAGAAAAATCTCCAGGTAGATGGCCCGAAGGCCACATTTTACGTCTAAGCATGCGGTATCATGGAAGGTCAAGGCCTACACAACCTGTGTCCACAGCGCCCCCGTCACCTGCCTGCAGACCACATAGGGATGCCTGACCACGTGTCTCTTTTCCAGGCAACTGCCCCACGCGCCCGAGCACCCAGTGGCCACTCTCAGCACCGTGGAAAGGCGAGCCATCAACCTGACGTGGACCAAGCCCTTTGATGGCAACAGCCCCCTGATCCGCTACATTCTGGAGATGTCGGAGAACAGTAAGCTTCCCGTGGTCACCTCCAACACCTCCCGCCCAAGCTTGGACTTAGGAGTCAGCCCTGGGCTGGGGTCCCAGCTCTCCTGCTTCCTAGTTCTGGGCCTTTGAGCAGATCCTTCCCTCTGGCAGCCTCAGCGTTCCCATCTCTGAAGGAAACACAGGCATCTGCCTGTCAGGCCCTGTTACAGTTGAAAGAGATGACGCACAAAAGGTGCTTAACTCAGGGCCTGGCACAGCAGAAGCTGCAAAGAAAATGGCCAGTATTTATTTATTATTTATTTATTTATGTATTCCCCAAGTCAAATGAGCAGGCATAATTCGCATTGCATTTTATTTATTTATTATTTATTTATTTATTCATTTTTGAGACGGAGTTTCACACTTGTCACCCAGGCTGGAGTGCAATGGTGCCATCTCGGCTCACTGCAACCTCTGCCTCCCGGGTTCAGGTGATTCTCCTGTCTCAGCCTCCGAAGTAGTTGGGATTACAGGCATACATCACCATGCCCAGCTAATTTTGTATTTTTAGTAGAGATGGGATTTCACCATATTGGTCAGGCTGGTCTCAAACCCCTGACCTCAGGTGATCTGCCCGCCTCAGCCTCCCAAAGTGCTGGGATTACAGACATGAGCCACCACACCCAGCCTGAATGGCATTTTAAACACAGCTTGCCTAGAGCTCATCAATTTGTGGGGGGTAGTGGGGGAGACAAATGCATCTCAGTTCCCATAAGCCCTTACTTTCCTCCGGCACCCTCCACCGTCTCCTCCCCAGGGTCGTGTGAGCTAATGGGACCTAGAAAAATGGCATGGCGGGCCACTCCTGCACCAAGCTGGGGAGGCTCTCTCTTGCCAGCCCCAGTGAAGCTGGACCCTGCTGGGAGTGGGGAGTAAGAAGCATGCTTCATCCCACCCAAGATACCCACTTCTGCCCCACTCACTGTCCCTGCAGATGCCCCCTGGACTGTACTCCTGGCCAGTGTGGACCCCAAAGCTACCTCAGTGACAGTCAAGGGCCTGGTTCCTGCACGCTCCTACCAGTTCCGTCTTTGTGCCGTCAACGACGTGGGGAAAGGACAGTTCAGCAAAGACACCGAGAGGTGAGGGCACTGGCGCTCTACAGGGGCGTCGCCAGGACTCCAACAGGCAGGGGCTGCAGCCGAAACCGATGTGGCAGATTCTGGCTCAGCTCCTCCTGGCCCCCTCTAGGCTTCCGCCTCTGTAGAAGGGGAGAGCAATCCTGATGAGTGCCTCACCAGGATGTTGCAAAGGTTAAATGGGGTGCTCTGAGTAGGGCACTGGGGAACGCGGTGAGCACCAACCAAATGTAGTCATCCCAGTTACTGGGAGCTGTGCAAGCAAAAAGGCTCACCTCCTTCCACTCCACATCCGCATGGGCTGCTGTCATTGTTAAATGGATGCAAAATTCCAGAGATACAGGATCTACACAGATCTCCATATCCATGTCTTGCACGACGCCAGGCCCTGCTAGGGTTCCCGCAAAGCTTTTATAAAATGATGGAAATTGCTGGGCACGGTGGCTCACACCTGTAATCCCAGCACGTCAGGAGGCTGAGGCGGGCGGATCACCTGAGGTCAGGAGTTCGAAACCAGCCTGGCCAACATAGCAAAACCCAGTCTCTACTAAAATATGAAAATTAGCTGGGTGTGGTGGTGGGCGCCTGTAATCCCAGCTACTCGGGAGGCTGAGGCACAAGAATCCCTTGAATCAGGGAGGCAGAGGTTGCAGTGAGTCGAGATCCAGCCTGGATGACAGAGCAAGACTGTCTCAAAAAAAAAAAAAAAAAAAAAAGATGGAAATTGAATAAAAGCTGCAGATGCTTCATATAAAAACATCACACGGTGATACCCATCTATGTAGAAGGAGAATTCTATCCTCTCCAGCTCCGTAGAACAAGCAGCCACCTCTAGCAAGAAAGATGTCATGGGAGAGGTCAGAACAACCGTGATACAAATCACGTGCGCAAAGCCTTGCACTTGGCTCTTTGAAAGACGCCTGGGGCTTAAATCAATCATGGTGGTTTTGCCACAGTTGCAATGAGCTTGGGTCTCTCTGGCTTGTACTAAGGTAGCACCACTGGGGTCAAACAATCTCACGGGAGGGAGCAGTGGCAGGTGGCAGCCCGTGTGGAGAGCAGTTACAGGGGGATTTACATACTCACTGTTTACTGAGCAGCTACCGTGTGCCATGCCACGTTTGGACCACTGGAGGGAGGACAGGGAATGAACAGACATAGCCCCAGTGCATCTGGAGATACACAATCCCAACAACAGAGAGGCTGAAAGTGTAGGGGAAGCTACCCTGCAACTTCTCCTGCCCTGCGGCTGCACCGCATCACACTGACTCACCTTCCTAATGTACCTTCATGCAAACCGCCCTGAGTCACCAAGAAAAAGGCCAAATCCTCACGCTTGTAATCCCAGCACTTTGGGAGGCTGAGGGGGGCGGATCACTTGAGGTCAGGAGTTCGAGACCAGCCTGGCCAACATGGTGAAACCCCATCTCTACTAAAAATACAAAAATTAGCCAGGCATGGCGGCACGTGCCTGTAATCCCAGCTATTCAGGAGGCTGAGACAGGAGAATTGCTTGAACCCGGGAGACGGAGGTTGCAGTGAGGTGAAATCGTGCCACCGCACTCCAGCCTGGGGGACAAGAGTGAAATCTTTCCTCAAAAACAAAAAAGAAAAAGGCCAAATCACCCTTACCCCAGCCTCTACAAAAACACAGGAGCGGGCCAGGTGCAGTGGCTCATGCCTGTAATCCCAGCACTTTGGGAGGCAGAGGCAGGTGGATCACCTAAGGTCAGGAGTTCAAAACCAGCCTGGCCAACATGATGAAACCCCGTCTCTACTAAAAATATAAAAATTAGCCAGCCCTGGTGGCAGGCACCCATAATCCCGCTACTCTTGAGGCTGAGGCAGGAGAATTGCTTGAACCCGGGAGGCAGAGGTTGCAGTGAGGTGAGATCATGCCACTGCATTCCAGCCTGGGCGAAAGAGCAAAACTCTCTCAAATAAAACACGGGAGCGAGCAGCATGCTTAGGAAAGCTATCCATCAAAAAGCAAAAACATAAACAAAAAGGGAAAGTCATCCATCAAAAATAATTAACTTTTGTTTGGAGTGGACACGTGTCCGTGATGTGAAAAGTACACTTAGGCAGAACACAGCATCCCCCAGCAATGCCAGAGAAAGACGTGCTGTCGCGCTTGGCTCCCCGAGGCAGGGTGGGTGTCCTTGGCTCTCTCCCTCACACGCCATGCCCGCCCTGCTCCTGCCTGGGGCTCAGCTGGCCAGCAAAGGAGGCCTAGTTAAGGTACACCAGCAGCTGACCAGTGGGATGTGACCAACATTTCTGCTTATAGAACACTTGGACACTCATGACCTCATCAGCCCCAACAGCAGCTTCCTTGACAAATAGGAAACTGAAACTTACATCCCTCAACGGCACCAAAAACATGTACATTAATTTTTTTTTTTTTTTTGAGACAGGGTCTCTGTTTCCCAGGCTGTAGTTCCGTGATGCAAACACAGCTCACTGCAGCCTCAACCTCCTGGGCTCAAGCCATCCTCCCACCTCAGTCTCCCAGGTATTTGGGATTACAGGTGCAAGTCACCAGGAGGGAGTTTTTTTGGGTTTTTTTTGTTGTTTTTTTTGGTAGAGACAGGGTCTTGCCATGTTGCCCAGGCTGGTTTTGAACTCTGGCCCTCAAGCAATCCTCTTGCCTCAGCCTCCCAAAGTGCTGGGATTACAGGCATGAGCCACAGCATCTGGCCTTATAGTTTTTAAAAGACATATACATATATCCACATATACACAGAGACTATATATGTAGTATCATTTGAGCCTCAACTAGTCTCATAAGGCAGGCAAGTAGAGCTTTATTATAATTCTTTTATAGAACAAGCTCAGAGAAGTCAGGTAACTTGCCCAGATGCACACAGCAGTTGTACCGAATTATCCAGAGTCAGAGCAGGCCAGGGTTCAGCCTTCTCATATCCCATTCAACTCCTGTGTTTGACCCCAAGACTAAGAGCATTGGTGTTTTGTGATCCAGGGTCTCCCTCCCCGAGGAGCCCCCCACGGCCCCTCCACAGAACGTCATCGCCAGCGGTCGAACCAACCAGTCCATCATGATCCAGTGGCAGCCGCCTCCTGAGAGCCACCAGAATGGAATTCTCAAGGGTTACATCATCAGGTGGGTGTCCACCCTGGGGACAGGAGCCCAGTCCCAAGGGGAAAGGCATGGGGGAAGATCGGGAGTGGACTGGAAAACAGTGCAAATTCATGGCAGGCCCTTCGCCATCTAGGAAGGACTAGGTAACAAGAAATGCCTACTCAGTGGTAGGAAGGATTTAGGTTGGACACCTAGTAGAACTTCCAGTGGCAAGACCCCTGGACACCAGCGAGGAATGCGTGAGAGGGGAGGCTATATGGGCTGACATAGGAACAGGCCTACAAGGAGACAGGAGAAGAAATAAGTAACTTTCCAAGGGGCAACGCTCTGGGAAGCCGCGAATATTCCATCACAGGCCAGAATTCTCTTGACCCGTGAGTGGAGAAACCAGCTGGCCGAAGAATTGATGGAAAAGTGAAAGTTCTTTCTTTGGTTATTACTGGAAATGAAGCCCAGTTATACAGACCCTTATCTTTGCATTTGACTGAGGGACTACTCTTCTAGTAACCTAAATGGGAGTCATTAAGGGTCACTAAAATGTGGTATTCATAAGTTCAAATTCATAAGTTATCTGAGGTTACTGAGAACTCTCATTGATATTCTAGATTCTGGCTACAAAATGCTATGCAACTTCGTGTGTCTCATTCCTGCATGTACACACCCTCACAGGGGTTTAACTGCTCCACTATTGGTTAATTTTGTTGTGGGTTTTTCACTAATCCTGAAGGGCGGTGGTTCTCAAAGTGTGGTCCCAGCACCCATGGCATCAGCCTAACCTGAGAACTGGTCAGAAATGCAAATTATCAAGTCTCTCCAAGACCTACCAAACCAGAAACTTTAAGGATAGGCTTAGAAACCTTTGCTTTTAAAAAAATCTTTCAGGCCGGGCGTGGTGTTTCACGCCTGTAATCCCAGCAATTTGGGAGGCCAAGGCGGGTGGATCACGGGGTCAGGAGATTGAGACAATCCTGGCCAATATGGTGAAACCCCATCTTCACTAAAAATACAAAAATTACCTGGGCATGGTGGCACACACCCGTAGTCCCAGCTACTCAGGAGGCTGAGGCAGGAGAATCACTTGAACCCAGGAGGCAGAGGTTGCAGTGAGCCAAGATCGCACCACTGCACTCCAGCCTGGGCGAGACTCCATCTAAAAACAAAAAAAAAAAAAAAAAACTCATCTAGGAGACTTTGATGCATCTTCAGGTTTAGAGAAGCAGTGTTTTAGGGCATTGTAATGCATCAGAATACTTTGAGGTCCTTAATTTTCCAATAATTAGATGCTGAATTATATATGCATCGTGTTTCTCAAATGAATGACCCATCCTTTGTGTCTGACCCCCAAAATTTGCTTGTACACATTTACTTCTTTAGTGCTGTGAGTTCTTTTTGCCAGTGGAGGTAGAAATGGGTCGAGTAGGTAGCCCAGGTGTTTCATTCCACCTGGGCGAGTAACTTTCAGAAGAGGGAGCCTTGTATCCTAGAGGAGGAAAGAAAATGAGCCCAGGCTTCAGGGACAGCTCTCCAGTCCATGACCCCTCCAAGGCTGAGACCTGCAAGTTCTGCCCTGGGACCTCTCAGTGCCCCTGGTTAGCAATCCTCCCCCATCAAATAGAATAGTCCAGACACATCCCCTAGACCTCTGCTACCCAGTAAGGTAACCATTAGCTAGCTCTGGTTACTTAAATTACAGTTGACCCTTGAACAGTGTGGGGGCTAGGGGTGCTCACCCCCTCACGGTTGATAATCCATGTATAATTTATTTTCTTTTTTTTTTTTTTGAGACAGGGTCTCACTCCATTGCCCAGGCTGGAGTGCAGTGGCGTACTCTCAGCTCACTGCAACCTCCACCTCCTGGGCTCAAGTGATCCTCCTGCCTCAGACTCCCGAGTAGCTGGGACTACAGGCATGTGCCACCACATCCGGCTAATTTTTTTTTTTTTTTAGTAGAGACAAGATTTCATCTTTTTGGCCAGGCTGGTCTCGAACTCCTGACCTCAAGTGATCCACCTGCCTGGGCCTCCCAAAGCACTGGGATTATAGGTACGAGCCACCATGCCCGGCCCAATCCACATATAATTTTTGACTCCCCAAAAACTTAAATACTAATAGCCTACTGCTAGCCAGAAGCCACACCTATAACCAGTCGATTAACACGTATATTTTTATGCATTTATGATATAACTTTTTCTTAATTTTTTCAATGTTTCTAGGCCATGTGATTCATCTGCGAGTTTTTTCAAATTGTCACAAATCTCTAAAACTTTTTCTGATATGTTTATTTTTAAAACTCTGTGTAGCTGGGCATGGTGGCTCACGCCTATAATCCCAGCACTTTGGGAGGCTGAGGCAGGTGGATCACGAGGTCAGGAGTTCGAGACCAGCCTGGCCAGCATAGTGAAACCCCATCTCTACTAAAAATACAAAAAATAAGCCAGGCATGGGAGCGCATGCCTGTAGTCCCAGCTACTTGGGAGGCTGAGGCAGGAGAATTGCTTGAACCTGGCAGGTGGAGGTTGCAGTGAGCCAAGATCATGCCATAGCACTCCAGCCTGGGTGAAAGAGCGAGACTCCATCTAAAAAAATAAAATAAAATAATAGTTCTGTGTGTACGCCAACCTGTACAGTTCCAACCTGTGTTGTTCAAGGGTCAACTATAAGCAAAACTAAAACAAATTCTAATTCAGGCCAGGTATAGTGGCTCATGCTATAATCCCAGCACTTTGGGAGGCTGAAGTGAGGTAGGCAGATCACCTGAGGTCAGGAGTTCGAGACCATCCTGGCCAACATGGTGAAACCCTGTCTCTACTAAAAATACAAAAATTAGCCAGTGTGGTGGCACATGCCTGTAATCCCAGCTACTCAGGGAGGCTGAGGCAGGAGAATCACTTGAATCTGGGAGGCAGAGGTTGCAGTGAGCCGAGATTGCGCCACTGCGCTCCAGCCTGGGTGACAGAACAAGACTCCGTCTCAAAAAAAAAAAAAAATTGAATTCATTTCTTCGGTTGCACTAACCACATTTCAAGTGCTCAGCAGCTGCATGTGCTGGCGGGCACCCTGTCGGACAGCACAGGTGCAGAGCACTTCCGCCACCACCGGAAGTCCTATTGGACAGCGCTGCTCTGGACAATTTCCTGGGTACGAGGCCAAGGAAGCTGACTCTGACTCCACTGTGCCTCGCCTCTTCCCCTCAGGTACTGCCTGGCCGGGCTGCCCGTGGGGTACCAGTTTAAGAACATCACGGATGCTGATGTGAACAACCTGCTGCTGGAGGATCTCATCATTTGGACCAACTACGAGATCGAGGTGGCTGCTTACAACAGCGCTGGGCTGGGGGTCTACAGCAGTAAAGTCACCGAGTGGACGCTGCAGGGAGGTAGGTAGAGACTGTGGTCTCAGACCAGGCGCGGTGGCTCATGCGTGTAATCCTAGCACTTTGGGACGCCAAGACGGGAGGATTGCTCAAGCCCAGGAGTTTTAAGCCAGCCTGGGCAACATAGGGAGACTCCATCTCTACAAAAAGTGAAAAAAATTATCTGGGTGTGGTGGCATGCTACATGCTACAGTGGCACAGCTACTCAGGAGGCTATGGCAGGTGGATCGCTTGGGCCCAGGAGTTTGAGGCTAACCTAGGCAACATAGTGAGACCCTGTCTCTACAAAAAATGAACAGAACTAGCTTGGTGTGGTGGTACATGCCTGTGGTCCCAGCTACTCGGGAGGTCCCCAAGGCTGGAGCCTGGGGAAGTTAAGGCTGCAATGAGCTGAGATCGTGCCACTGCACTTCAGCCTAGGTGACAAAGTGAGACTCTGTCTCAAAAAAAAAAAAAAAAAAAAGTGAAATGAAATGAAAAGAGACTATGGCCTCAGAGGAGCAGGTGCTTCCCCTTCTCCCAGTCCCATGCCTGTTGGGTTCTGTGCCTGTCCAGGCCCGAGAGCCTTGGCTGTGTGGCCTGTTCTCACCAGGCCCCTACTATTGCACCCTGGGGCTGGAATCACCACCCCAGGCCAATCTACCCCACAGGGTGGGAGGACTGAGGGGAAGAGGAAGAGGAGGCTGGCTTGGACATGGTGAAGGGCAGAGGCTCCAGGCATATGGGGACCTTCTGTGAATTTCATGTTAAGTAGATCATGAAACAGCTTACTTTTAGCATTCCACCTGAAAACCATGCCAGAGCATTTTTCATCCGCACCCCTCTTATTTACCAGTACCCTGTGAGGTGGGTCAGGCAAGTTTTATTAAACGCAAACTAATCCAGAGAGAATATGAAGGCCTCTTAAGTCTACACAGCGAGGGAGGAGTTGGGGTGGGGTAGGGGGGTGCAAGGCAGAGGCTATAGCCCCCACCCCTGCGTTTTCTCTACTGAACTGGGCAAGAGAGACTGACTGGGCCCCCTCCACCCCACCCCGTTCTCTCATCTCCTCTAGTTCCCACGGTCCCTCCGGGCAATGTGCACGCGGAAGCCACCAATTCCACGACCATCCGCTTCACCTGGAACGCCCCCAGCCCCCAGTTCATCAACGGCATCAACCAGGGCTACAAGGTACATGAGGCATCTCCTCACCCAAGAGGAGGCCCTAAGATCTTCTGGAGGGGGTGGGGAGAGGGGACAGAGTGGGCAGGAGGAAATCCCCCCTCTGTTTCTGAAGTCATTGGCTCGAGTCAAGCTAGGGACACACATTAGAGGAAAAGAGTTCCAGGCCTTCCCCAAGGCTACATGTGGGCCACAGGAAGTGCAGACACTGCCCTGACTGACACTCAGTGCTACGGTCCTTCCCAGCGAGACTGGGTTATACACAAAACCCAGGTTATTTCAGGCTCAGAAACACCTGGTGTAGGGGCCGGGCACAGTGGCTCACATCTGTAATCCCCAATTTGGGAGGCTGAGGCGGGCAGCTCACCTGAGGTCAGAAGTTCAAGACCAGCCTGGCCAACATGGTGAAACTCCGTCTCTACTAAAAATACAAAAATTAGCTGGGCTTGGTGGCAGGGGCGCCTGTAATCCCAGCTACTCGGGAGGCTGAGGCAGGAGAATCACTTGAACCTGGGAGGCGGAGGTTGCAGTGAGCCGAGATTGCAGCCATTGCACTACACCCTGGGCCACAGAATGAAACTCTGTCCCAAAAAAAAAAAAAGAAGAGAGAGAGAAAAAGAAGAAAAAGAAACACCTGGTATAGCCATGGCCCCATGAGAAAAATCCACCATTCACTTCTTACCGTGGCTCTTGTGGGCTTCATGCTCAAACGTATCCCCAGGCTGTACTCGACTCCACGTAGTGTGTGGTTAATGGCACAGGATTAGGACTCAGACAGACTTGGTGGTTAAAGTCCCAGCTTTGCCTCTTGCTGGCAACCTGCGCATGTTCTTTAATATGTCTCAGCTTCTGTCCTTCAATCAATATTTATTGAGCAGCTACTCTATGCACTGCTCGCACCGCTGAATAACTAAAATAAACTCAGTTTTCTCATTTGCAAATGAAGATGATAATACCTGCTTCTTGGAGTTGTGTGAGGATTAAGTGAGATAATATTTCTAATTTGTTCAGCACAATGACAAACACATGATAACCACTTGGAAAGTGATTTTAGTGGTCGTAGAAATGCATTTGGGCTGCTATAACCAAGTACCACAGACTGGATTGCTTAAAGCAACAGTCCCCAAACTTTTTGGCACCAGGGACCAGTTTCATGGAAGACAATTTTTCCATGGATTGGGGTGGGAGGAGGGATGGTTTCGGGATGATTCAAGCACATGACATTATTGTGCACTTTATTTCTGTTACTATCACATTGTAGTATATAATGAAATAACTATACAACTCACCACAATGTAGAATCCATGGGAGCCCTGAGCTTGTTTTCCTGCAACTAGATGGTCCGATCTGGGGGTGATGGGAGACAGTGACAGATCATCAGGCATTAGATTCTCATAAGGAGTACGCAACCTAGATCCCTCACATCCACAGTTCACAGCAGGGTTCACGCTCCTGTGAGAATCGAATGCTGCCACTGATGGGAGGTGGAGTTTAGGTGGTAATGTGAGCACTGGGGAGCAGCTGTAAGTACAGATGAAGCTTCACTTTCTTGCCTGCCGCTCACCTCCTGCTGTGCAGCCTGGTTCCTAACAGACCACAGACTGGTACCTGGTGGTCCGTGGGGGATTGGGGAACCCTGGCTTAAACAACAGAAATTTATTTTTGCACAGTTCTGGGGATTAGAAGTACGGGATTACTGTGTGGGCAGGGTTGGTTTCCTCTGAGGCCTCTCTCCTTGACTTCTAGGTGTCTGTCTTCACTCTGTGTCTGTGTCCAAAGAGATCTTGGCTCACTGCAACCTCCACCTCCCATGTTCAAGCAATTCTCTTGCCTCAGCCTCCCGAGTAGCTGGGACTGTAGGCATGTGCCACCATGTCTGGCTAATTTTTTTGTATTTTCAATAGAGATGGGGTTTCACCATGTTGGCCAGGCTGGTCTCAGACTCCCAACCTCAAGTAATTCGACTGCCTCGGCCTCCCAGAGTGCTGGGATTACTGGCATGAGCCACCGCGCCTGGCCTAAATGTCCTCTTCTTATAGGGACCTCAGTCACATTGGATTAGGGCCCACACTAATGACCTCATTTAACTACCTCTTTAACAATTCTGTCTCCAAATACAGTCACATTCTGGGGTGCTAGGGGTTAGAATTTAAACATACAGATTTTGCAGACACAACTCAGCCCATAACAGATAATAATAGTAATAATAGCAGTAGACCAGGCATGGTGGCTCATGCCTGTAATCCTTGTACTTTGGGAGTCTGAGGTGGGTGGATTACCTGAGGTTGGGAGTTCAAGACCAGCCTGGCCAACATGGTGAAATCCCATCTCTACTAAAAATATATATATATACACACATATATATATACACACACACACATATATATATGTATATGTATATGTTCCAGGATATATGTATATATGTATATGTGTATATGCATATACATATATGTATATGTGTGTATGTGCATATACATATATGTGTATATACATATATACGTATATATACATATACACATACACATATATACGTATACATATATACGTATACATATATACGTATATATACATATACATATATACGTATATATACATATACGTATATACATATATATACGTATATATACATATACGTATATCTACATATATATGTGTGTATATATATACGTAGATATATATATACGTATATATATATATACACAAACACACAAAAATTAACTGGGCATGGTGGCGCATGCCTGTAGTCCCAGCTACTCGGGAGACTGAGGCAGGGGAATTGCTTGAACCTGGAAGGCGGAAGTTGCAGTGAGCTGAGATTCTGCCACTACACTCCAGCGAGACTCTGACCAAAAAAAAAAAAAAAATAGCAGTAATAATAGTAGTAGTAGTACATTTGCTCTCCTTCCAACTGAGCTAAAGGTCAGGACTTCTCAGTCCTCCCATCCTGGAACACAGACCTCAGAGCCCAGGCCCGGTTCTCTCGTGTCATTCCATGTGGGCCCCGTGCCTGTCCTCCCCACGGAGGACTAAAGACAGAGCACAGCATGGGGGATCCACACTATGTTTTAAAGGGGTAGGACCTGCCCCCAGCAACGTGGGGCAGACGGAAGGATGCCGTCCACTCCCTCCAGATGTGGGAGGGGAGGCAGAGCATTTGAGGGGAGGCCAGCTGTGAAGCGGAGAGCACTGCAGGCCCTGAGCTTCAGTCCAGGGAACGCATGACCTCGAGGTGACCACTGACACATCCCGAAGGTTCCTGCACCCCTCTGCACTGTGCTTGCCACAACTAAGATTAATTCTAGGACTCGCTGCCTTAGCGGTTCTTCCTCCAAAGTGGGGGAGGCTGGACAAGAAGGGACTGGGATGAAATAATGAAGAGGAGTTTCTGCTAGTGTTGCAAGCAAACAAAGGAGGGATGGTCCAGAACTGGAAATGACCCAGCTTCACTCCGGCCTTGGCCCTCTCAATCCCAGGAAGGCAGTGAACCCAAGGTCGAGCAGAGCTTTGCAGGGCAGGGAGCAGCAGCTGAATTCTTGGAGCACTCGCTGCCGGAAAACTCTCCTAATTGGGACCCTGGGGGGAGGCAGAGGAAGGAAGGGGAGGCCGGCATTGCTGAAGAGCAGAGGAGCTGAACTGGGAACAATTAGCTTCTTGCTACCAATTCTAAGCACAAGTTTTATTCTACATATGGGAGGGCTGAGCTACAAACTTTTAAGGCAAACAGCTCCCCCGAGGGCCAGGAAGGCCAGCCCATGGCCAGGACAATTAGGGCAGTGGCCCATGGTGACCCAGAGCAAGAGGAGGTGGCAGAGGCCACTGAATTCCCAGGTCCAGTCAGTGCCCAGCCCCCAGTAGCTACTCGATAAAGGTCAGCAGGAGTGAATTGCCCAGACGTTTTGAGCACAGAAACTGGTGGAGGAGTAAGGAGACCTCACACTTACAGGGCCCTTTCTCTGGGCCAGGCAGTACACTAAATGCTTCGCTCACATTTATCTTTCATGCAAGCAGCACAGGGACTCTAAGAAGCAGCATTATCGGCCGGGGGTGGTGGCTCATGCCTGGAATCCTAGCACTTTGGGAGGTCGAGGCAGGAGATCACTTGAGGTCGAGAGTTTGAAAACAGCCTGGCCAATATGGTGAAACCTTGTCTCTACTGAAAATACAAAAATTAGCCAGGTGTGGTGACACACATCTCTAATCCCAGCTACAGACATAGGAGGCCGAGGCAGGAGAATCGCTTGAACCCAGGAGGCGGACATTGCAGTGAGCTGAGATCACGCCACTTCGCTCCAGTCAGGGAGACAGAGCTAGACTCTGTCTCAAAACAAACAAACAAACAAAAACAAAAAGGAATATTACCATCACACCATTTTACAGAGAAAGAAACTGAGGCACCAGAGGGAAGTTACTTGTTCAAGGTCAAACACAGTGTCAAGGTCATGCAAAGCTCAGATTCAAACCAGAGCCTTCACTTTTCCTTACATTAAAAAGAAATGTCAGGCTGGGCACCGTGGCTCACGCCTGGAATCGCAACACTTTGGGAGGCCAAGACAGGGGGATCTCTTGAGCCCAGGAGTTTGAGACCAGCCTGGGCAATATGGCAAGACTCCATCTTTACACACACAAAAAAGTTAGTCAGGTGTGGTGTTGAGTGCCTGTGATCACAGCTACTCAGGAGGCTAAGACAGGGAGGATTGTTTGAGACCACGATTCAAGGCTACAGTGAGCTGAAATCACGTCACTGCACTCCAGCCCGAGTGACAGAGTGAGACCCTGTGTCAAAAAAAGAAAGAGAGAGACAGAGACAGACAGACAGACACAGAGAGAGAGAGAGAATGTATTATTTTTAATTGTAGATAACATTTTCAATACCAATGAATAAAAGCAGCAGAGATTTTTTTCCTCTGCTTCTTTAGCCTTCAGCATATCACAAGGAGAAAAAAGCAGTGTTTGTCCCTTGTATACCTCCAATAAGAATGAGCATTTTTCCCCTTTTGTGTTTTTTTTTTCTTCCTTTTTTTTGAGATGGAGTTTTGCTCTTATTGCCCGGGCTAGAATGCAATGGCGCAATCTCAGCTCACCGCAACCTCTGCCTCCCGGGTTCAAGCGATTCTTGTGCCTCAGCCTCCCAAGTAGCTGGGATTACAGGGGCATGTGCCACCATGCTCAGCTAATTTTTTTTTTTTAAGACAGAGTCTTGCTCGGTCACCCAGGTTGGATCTCGGCTCACTGCAACCTCCGCCTCCTGGGCTCAAGTGATTCTCCTACCTCAGCCTCCCGAGTAGCTGGAACTACAGGCATATGCCACCATGCCCGGCTCATTTTTGTATTTTTAGTAGACATGGGGTTTCACCACATTGACCAGGCTGGCCTCAAACTCCTGACCTCAAATGATCCACCCACCTTGGCCTCCCAAAGTGCTGGCATTATAGGCGTGAGCCACCACACCCGGCTGCCCCCTTTTAATTGTGAAAATTTTCAAACATCCACCCAAGTAGAGGAAAGACTGCAGTGAACACCTGTATCCCCATTCCCAGCTTTAACAATGCCCAACTCCCAGCCAGGTATGTTCCATCTCTGCCCCAACCCTCTGCCTTTCCCTTGGAACATTTTGAAGCAAATTCCAGGCATTGTATCAGTTCATCCATGAATGTTTCTGGAAAGAAACAGTATAGATGAGATCTCTATTTAAAATAAAACCACAGTAACTGCATTATCATTATGATAGCTAAAAATATCAGCAGGCCCTGTAATATCATCAGATATCCAGTCAGCCTTCAAATTCTCTTGATTGCCGCATAATCTGTTACTCGTGGTTTTATTTGCTTCAGGATCTAAATGAAGTTCACACAATTGCAGTCAGTTGAGGGGTTTTTTTTAGGTCTCAGTCGATCTATAGATTCTTTCTCTCTCTCTCTTTCTCTCTCCCTTTCTCTTTCTTGTAATTTATTTGGGAAGAAACTTAGTCATTTGTCCAACAGAATTTTCCACAGTCTGGATTTCGCTGATTGCATCCCTGTGGGGTCATTCAATGCATTCCTCCAAACAATATAGTTACAATGAATTGTAACTTAAAGCTAGAGGCTAATCTGATTCAGGTTTGATTTTTTGTTATTTGAAATATTTTACTTCGGGGTGTGATGGCTCACGCCTGTAATCCCAACACTTTGGGAGGCCAAGGCAGGTGGATCACGAGGTCAGGAGATCGAGACCATCCTGGCTAACACGGTGAAACCCCGTCTCTACTAAAAATATTAAAAAAAAAAAAATAGCCAGGCGCAGTGGCAGGCACCTGTAGTCCCAGCTACTCGGGAGGCTGAGGCAGGAGAAAGGCGTGAACCCGGGAGGCAGAGGTTGCCGTGAGCTGAGATCGCACCACTGCACTCCAGCCTGGGTGACAGAGCGAGACTCCATCTCAAAAAAAAAAAAAAAAATTAGCCAGGTGTAGTGGTACATGCCTCTAATCTCAGCTACTCGGGAGGCTGAGGCAGAAGAATTGCTTGAATTCTTGAGGCAGGGGTTGCAGTGAGCAGAGATCACACCATTGTACTCCAGTCTAGGCGACAGAGCCAGACTCTGTCTCAAAAGAAAAAAAAAAAAAAAAAGGAAATATTTTACTTCCTAGATGGTGTTATGTATTTTGATCAGAAAGCACAAAGTCCGGCTGTCTCTCTTACTGTGAAGTCAACCACTGACAGTCATCTATGAGCTATCATTTCAATAAGGGTTATAATATGGGGATAGGCAAATATTATCATTTCTTCTTGACTTAGTAGCTGAAATGCTTTCAAAAACAAGAATTTTCCCTTTATCAACTTTTTGGTTACCTGAAGTTTCAGTTTATCTAGGAAAAGCAGGGTAAGCATTTAATTATTTTTCCTTACTTACCAAATTTTTCGTATAATGAATTGGTTCTGGCCGGGCATGGTGTATCACACCTGTAATCCCAACACTTTGGGAGGATGAGGCAGAGGCTTGCTTGAGGCCAGGAGTTCAAGACCAGCCTAGGCAATATAGTGAGACTCCCCCGCCCCCGCTATCTCTATTTCTAAAAAACAGAAAAAATAAAGACTAAATTGATTCCTTATTGTCTTATCAGGTAACAGATGAGCTTGGGTTGGAGGGGGACGTCTTTCTGTTTTGTTTTGGGTTTGGTAGTATTATTAGATAACCAAGGATTTTTTTTGTTTTGTTTTTTGTTTTACAAATCTGACATGTTTCAATCCATTACCATTATTATGCTTCTTAAATGGTACTGGGTGCTGCCAGTTCAGTGGTACAAATGGACCCATCATTGGCCTCTTCGACTTGATGGTGAGCCCTCTTGACGTGGCCCCAGTAGTCTCTGATAGCTTCCTTGCAATTTGGTATGACAAGATGTTCCAGACTATTATATATACATTCCCCTCACTGTGCCAGGCATCGGCCATTTCTTTAAGGGGCTCTTGTTGCTTTCAGTGAGAAATGATAGTTAGATACCACAGTTTTAGCACTTGCATTGCATTTATTCCAGAAATGGTTGTTGTTTCTAGGCCCTGTTAATGGCTAGCTAAACAATATTTTTTAAGATACTATAGATACTCACACTTTCAATTCCATTTCATGATGACAGACTCTTTAATAATCTCATTGGTCTTTTGTCCATACTGAAAATCCAGTTCCTACAATACCAGCATTTTACCCACCTACGTTATTCCCACAAACACACACAACAGTTTCAGAATAGTCATATCCACACTATGATTACTGAACGTAGTTTCCAATTATTGCCATTCTTCTTGTTCCTGAGGTATATCCCTCTAGGGATGGACTTCGCACTGCATTGCTAAGTCTTTTGAAGTCATTTCTCTCTGTAATTTTACCACAGCTCAATACTCTATTAGTTCATTTGCTTCATTGTGGTTTTGATTTTTAGGGATTGATTTTTTAATTTAATTTTATTCTATAATTACGTTGAATATTTACATAATAAAGTCAAATCCACAAAGCAAATTCAGAGAAAATCAGCTTCAATCCTTGTCCTCTCACTCCCCTATAGGTCTGATTGCTTTCTGTTTTCTTGGTTTGGTTTTTTCTTCCATTTTTTTAATATAAACAAGTACAGGCCAGGCGCGGTGGCTCACGCCTGTAATTCCAACACTTTGGAAGGCCGAGGCGGGCAGATCATTTGAGATCAGGAGTTCAAGACCACCATGGCCAACATAGTGAAATCCCATCTCCATTAAAAATACAAAAAAAAAAATTAGCTGGGCGTGATGGCAGGTGCCTATAATCCCAGCTATTCAGGAGGCTGAGGCAAGAGAATCGTTTGAACTGGGGAGGCAGAGATTGCAGTGAGCGGAGATCTCGCCACTGCACCCTAGCCTAGGCAACAGAGCGAGACTCCATCTCAAAAAAAAAAAAAAAGAGTGTAGTAGGCCCTTCTTAGCCATGGATTCCACATCTGTGGATTCAGCCAATCTCATAAGGTTCTGAAAATATTCAGACAAAAATGCATCTATATTAAACATGCACAGAGTTTTTTGTCATTATTCCCCCAAACAATACAGTATAACAACTATTTACATAGCATTTATATTGTGTTATGTATTACAATAATCTAAAGGTGATTTAAGATATATAAGAGGAGGGGCCGGGCACGGTGGCTCATGCCTGTAATCCCAGCACTTTGGGAGGCCAAGGCAGGCGGATCACGAGGTCAGGAAATCGAGACCATCCTGGCTAACACAGTGAAACCCCGTTTCTACTAAAAATGCAAAAAAAAAATTAGCCGGGCGTGGTGGCAGGCGCCTGTAGTCCCAGCAACTCGGGAGGCTGAGGCAGGAGAATGGCGTGAACCCGAGAGGCGGAGCTTGCAGTGAGCGGAGATCGCGCCACTGCACTCCAGCCTGGGCGACAGAGCGAGACTCTGTCTCAAAAAAAAAAAAAAGATATATAAGAGGAGGTGTGTAGGTTACATGCAAATACTACACCTTTTTATATCAGGTACTTGAGCAGCTGTGGCTTTTGGTATCTGCGGGCGGTCCTGGAACCAATCCCACATGAATACCAATGATTTGCTGTACATGCATACATAAATGTGTATGCTCTCCTTCTCAGATAAGTGACAATGTACTTTCCACATTCTCGATCTTTATATATATATATATATATATATATATATATATATATATATATATATATATGGTTTTTTGTTTGTTTTTTTTTTTTTTTGAGAAGGAGTTTTGTTCTTTTGCCCAGGCTGGAGTGCAGTGTCGCAATCTTGGCTCGCTGCAACCTCTGCCTTCCAGTTTCAAGCAATTCTCCTGCCTCGGCCTCCAGAGTAGCTGGGATTACAGGCGCCAGCCACCATGTGCGGCTAATTTTTGTATTTTTAGTAGAGACGGGGTTTCACATGTTAGCCAAGCTGGTCTCGAACTCCTGACCTCGTGATTCACCCACATTGGCCTCCCCAATTGCTGGGATTACAGGCGTAAGCCACCATGCCCAGCCTAACTTTTATTTTCTAACTTTAGTAGCTAGATGCCATATACATCATCCTACACCTTCAACCCTGTAGAGTACTGCCTCCACCAGGGACAGGAGACATTTCACCTGCTCCTCCCTGAAACCCAGCAAGGCAGCTGTTTCTATCCCCTAGAATAGCCTGAGGCTCAGAGTGGTCAAGTGACTTTCCGTGAGTCCCACAGTAAGTGACAGAGCTGGGTTCAGGTTCAAGTGTGCCAGCTGCAAGGCTGCCCTCCCCCAACACCCTCCATCAGCAGCACTGCTGCTCAGTTACAAGGCTTGCCTCCCTGGGCCTCTGCTCTCTAAGGGGGAATTTCATATCCCAGGAACTCAGGTCTAATGCTCGTTCCCCAGAACACACCCGAGCCTTCTCAGGGGAGCCCCGTCTACTTAGAACCTGAGACTAAGGACCTAGTATGGTAAATCAACACTGAAACTGACTAACAAGGAGAAGGCACAGAGATGTCCTAAAGAACACTCATCTCAGCAGCTCTGTGTACCTTTGAGAGACAGAGGTCATCATGAAAGGTCTCAGGGTCCACAAACTGAGCCAGCTCTTAGTAGGTCCATGTGCAAGCTCCTTAACCTTCCTGAACCTCAGTTTCCTTTTCTGTAATAGCATAGGACAATGATTTCCATCTGCTCCTCATCGTGATGATTAAATAAGGCCAGGCACACGGTAAGAGTTCAACAGGTGGAAGCCCTGTTGTGTGTTGAGCTGAGCACTGAAGTTCCATCCCACGGCTGCCCAGAGCCCAATCCCTTTAGGGCAATGAAGGACACAAAAGGCAATTTTACTGTCTCTCTCCCTGGACCTGAGGCAGGGAGGCCTCCTATCCCCAAGCCTCCTCCTCTCCACGTGCAACTGGAGAAGGACAAGTGGCTCACATCCCAGAGTAAATATTTTGAAACAGCCACAGGAACCCATGACCCTGCTGCCATCTTGGATCCAGGCGTCAAGCTGTAGGATAATGAAGTCAAGAGCGTGACTCCACAAACCACACTGCCATTACCCTGTGCACTTCCTCTGGGTCATTTTTGTGGGTAAGGCCCAGTGATATTGTTTTAAGGCACATGTAAAGACACCCTTTTTCCTTTATTTAAAAAAAATGGTAGAGCTTATAATTGGCCTAAGCCCAGGAAGATAATATTTACCCAGATTTTATACTTGCTGGGGAACACACCACACAATTAATTCTAACAGCATAATTAATTTGAATGTACATTAATTAAATTAAATTAAAACATTAAACTTGTTTCTTAATCTACTCCAAAGAAGTTCGGCAACATAATTGCTATGAAACAAGATAATCGAAATACGGAGGATATTTAACACACTTATTAAATGCCACTTAGTATTTCTGTTTAGTATTTTGAGGGTCTAATTAGTGTCTAATTAACTTGCTATAGGCTATCTTTTCACAATACCAATTAAATTTCAAAACATCCTTTATAAATACACAGCCATGAAAAGGAGAAGATTAAGCATTGTTATAGGCATGAGTTAACCGGGAGACATTGGCGTGGTATTGTTTTATATCTATAAATACCCGTGCTTATTAAAACTCATCAAGTGTTGCTTTTCACCATTAATTGCTATTTAATCAACTTCAAATAAATGAGGAAATCTCTGAAACCAGCTGTCATTATTGGAGACAGATGAAGGGCCTAGAAACAGGAGCGTGAGGTGAGAGCAGGAGGCGAGACAGGCGGGAGGGGGCGGGGGCCAGGTGTGATCTGCAGAGGGGAGATGAGCAAGAACTTGAGGGATTTCCAGATGGGACTTTCTTGCCGATGCCCCGCCTCTACTTGATATTTAAGATGGAAATCCCAACTTAGAAGGAGTGTAAGAGGATAATAGTTACCCACAAACTGAAGTTCCCAGCTCTGTAGGAAGTAACCCTTGGAGAGCTCCAAAGACGAAGCTGCCCCAGCTCACATGGGGCAAGATGTAGGAGCTCAGGGCTTGGAATCCCAGAACCAGCTTCCCCCTACCTGTGTGAGCCTCTTTGAGCCTCAGTTTCCTCATCTGTAAAATACAGGGTTGGGCTGGGCACAGCGGCTCATGCCTGTAATCCCAGCACTTTGGGAGGCCGAGGCGGGCGGATCACTTGAGATCAGGAGTTCGAGACCAGCCTGGCCAACATGGTGAAACCCCCATCTCTACTAAAAATACAAAAATTAGCCGGGCATGGTGGTGCATGTCTGTAATCCCATCTACTCTGGAGGCTGAGACAGGAGAATCACTTGAACCCGGGAGGCAGAGGTTGCAGTGAGCCTAGATCTTGCCACTGTACTGCAGCCTGGGCGACAAAGTAAGACTCTGTCTCAAAAAATAAAAATAAATAAATAAATAATAAAATAAAATACAGGGCTGGGCCGAGCATAGTGGCTTACACCTATAATCCCAGCACTTTGGGAGGCTGAGGTGGGAGGACTGCTTTAGCCCAGGAGGTTGAGGCTGCAGTGAGCTGTGATCATGCCGCTGTACTCCAGCCTGGACAGCATAGTGAGACCCCATCTCAAAAAAGGAATACAGGGCCGGCTTCATGGGTGTGCCACCTGTGCAGTCGTCCAGGGCCCCACGTTTGGAAGGACCCCACACTTAGTTAAATGCTCTGATGCTATCATCTTAAAATTCTTAGTCGTTTTTGAACAAGGGCTAAATTTTTCATTTTGCACTGAGCCTGCAAATTATGCAGCTGTTCCTGGTGAAATGCCTCCCTCCTGGGTCTCTGTGAGAATTGAGTACGAGGCGATTCCTGGGAAGCACCCAGCACGGTGCTTTGCATAAAGTCAGTGGCTCAAGAAGTGGAGAAGCGCCCCAAAGTGAACCCCAGTACCCCGCAGGTTCCCTGCACTGCCTGTCCCTTCCCTCGGAGGAGGCACCACAGGGACTCCGGTCCCCGGACACCATCTGTTGATTGGCCCAGCCTGTGGGAGAGGGCTTGGCCTCCTCTGGAACCTTCCTGCTGCCCTGTGTGACTTGCTCGCCTCTCCGCAGCTGATCGCCTGGGAGCCGGAACAGGAAGAGGAGGTTACCATGGTGACCGCCCGGCCTAACTTTCAAGACAGCATCCACGTGGGCTTCGTGTCTGGCCTGAAGAAGTTCACCGAGTACTTCACCTCAGTGCTGTGTTTCACCACCCCCGGGGACGGGCCACGCAGCACCCCGCAGCTGGTGCGCACCCATGAGGATGGTAGGCACCCCCCAGCCCTGCTCTTTCTGCCCCCCCCCGCCCAAGGCCAGGCTGGGCGCCCCAGGCAGAAGGGTGGCCCAGGCTTGTCTCCCAGGCTGAGATACCCCCAGATTACCACAGGCTATCTCACAGATGGTGGTCTCTCTCTGGCTCTAACTGGCCTTGGGGGGTGGGGGTTCCTTTTGGGGTGCAGTGCCTGGGCCCGTGGGACACCTGAGCTTCAGTGAGATCCTGGACACATCGCTGAAGGTCAGCTGGCAAGAGCCGGGAGAGAAAAATGGCATCCTCACAGGTAGGCACTGCAGTGTTTCTGAACCAGAGGGCAGGACAGGGCTGGGAAAGGTCAGAGCTGGTCCATCCCCTGCCTTTGAGCTACTTTTCACCCAAACTCTTGAAGCCAACCCATGCTTTCTTAGAAACCACTCACAGGAGGCTCTTGGCACCTCCACTTCATAACACATCCCAGAGTCTGCAGCCCCACACCTTCTGCCACAGATCTCAGTGGCTGCCATGATGACTCACTATGTCCCCTGCAATTCCCTAAAGTGCTGGCATCCCACTGAGGCGACACCTGAGACCCAGGGCATGATGCCAACAGCTCCCACCTCCCTTGGCCCCATTGCTCCCAGCGTGGATCTAATTGCCAGCCTAGTGGAGAAGTGAGAAGTGGAGTAGTGGGTCAGGCCAACTTGTGATCACAGCCAAGCTCATGCCAACACGGCGGCTCTCCCCAGGGTACCGGATCTCCTGGGAGGAGTACAATCGAACCAACACCCGTGTGACCCACTACCTGCCCAACGTGACCCTGGAGTACCGTGTCACGGGCCTCACCGCGCTCACCACCTACACCATCGAGGTGGCCGCCATGACCTCAAAGGGCCAGGGCCAAGTGTCCGCCTCCACCATCTCCTCTGGGGTGCCCCCAGGTAAGTGCCCACTCTCAAGGCAGGACTCTTTGAGTTCTCCTGAGCAGCGTCCCATTCAAGAGGCCCCTTGTCGGCTGGGCGTGGTGGCTCATGCCTGTAGTCCCAGCACCTTGGGAGGCTGAGGCAGGCGTATCACTTGAGGTCAGGAGTTCGAGACCAGCCTGGCCAACGTGGTAAAACCCTACTAAAAATACAAAAATTAGCCAGCTGTGGTGGTGCATGCTTGTGATCCCAGTTAGTTGGGAGGCTGAGGATGGAAGATCGCTTGAACCCAGGAGGTAGAGGTTGCAGCGAGCCGAGATCACACCACTGCACTCCAGTCTGGGTGACAGGGCCACATCGCGTCTCAAAAAAAAAAATAAAAAGAGGCCCCTTGTCTTTCAGGAATACCAGCGTTCTTCCCACAGGCTCTCCCCTTCCCTTGTGCTGTGTGGGTCTGGGTCCCCTCAGAGCAGGCGGAATCCCTGGGATCCCAGGTCTCTGGACAGGGGCTCCCCTGGCTCCCTGCTGCATCCTCCCACAGCTCTCAGAAAAGCAGAGGCCCCCTGCCTTGTCTCATTTCCCCACCAGTCCCTCCCTTCACCCATTTCTCACCAGATTCCACACCAGGCAATGGTATCTGTGATTCAGGGGAAAATTTCCCACTGTCGCCCAGAGGGTCCACCTTGGATTCCAGCGTGTGGAAGGGTTGGTTGGGAGGTGGCAGAGCACGGTGGGGCTACTCCTAGGCCTGGCACAGAGAGCAAGCCGAGGTCCACTCTCAGCTCTGCTTCTGCCAAGCCCTACAACCTTGAGCAAGTTCTGTGTCCCCTCTGTGCCTCAGTTTCCCCATCTGTATATATGGGAAGTTGGACCAGATAACCATGTGGTCCCATCCAGATCAGTCAGGCAGTGCTTGTTTGACCTGCCAGCATCCCTCCACCTGCTGCGTAGATGGCTGGGCTGCCTGAGTCTCAGCCAAAGCCCAGTGATAATTACAGCCATGCTGGCAAATAGGTATGTAGTGTTCACGGGGCATGGTGCTGGGAGCTTTGCTCACGTTGACTCATTTAATCCTCACAACAACCCTGAGGGAGGTGTTGCTATTATCCTCTTCATTACCAAGGAGGACATGGAGGCACAGAGAGTTGGATAACTTGTGCAAAGACACACAGCCTGTAAGTAGTGGAGTTAGATTTAAACTCATTCTGACTCCAGAATCTGTGTTCTTTCTGTTGTTCCTGAGCTCCAAGAGCCCCAGGATTCCTGGCCAGAAAATAAGCTTCCCCCTGTCCCCACCCATCCTCTCACCTTCCTGAGCTGTAATTAGGCGTAGGAGGTGTGCAGGGGTCTGGGCGGATGGAAGGGAGGATCGGTCCCGTTTGGTTTCTTTCTCAGCACAGCTTGGTTTTAATGCAGCTTTTAGCTGCCTTATGATTACCTCACTCACATCCAGAACTGCCAGGAAGAAGGCGGCATCCCGGCCCCTGTTTCCTGGCCCTGAGAGCCTCCTCTCAGCCCTAGGAGATCCCCTTTGACCCCCAACTCTGTCTCAGCCTCCTGGCATGAACATGGTTCTCCGTAAGACACAGGAACAAAGACTGTGGGTGGAGTGGGGCCGTGGCTGTGCTTCTCCTCAGACATTTCCAGGAAAAGCGTGACACACAGCCCCCTCCATGCCCAACAGTCCCGTTCAACATGGGGGGCCATTCTCACCGGATCTCCTTCCCCACCCTGTTCTCCTTTTCCAGAACTCCCAGGGCCCCCCACCAACCTGGGCATTTCCAACATCGGCCCCCGCTCTGTGACCTTGCAGTTCAGGCCAGGCTACGATGGGAAAACCTCCATCTCCCGCTGGCTGGTGGAAGCCCAGGTAGGGCAGGCCTGGGGCCTGACCAGCAGCCCCCGCCAGGGCACCCCGTGCCCTTGAGTGCAAAATCTTATGTGTATTTCGGCCTGTGTGAATTTTCATGTGCAGCTCTCAATGGCCCATTATACTCCAAATGCTCACACTTGCCAATGTTGTCTCCAACTCCCCCTGCCCCTCACCTGTGTACATGGAAAAACACACACACACTACAGTCCCCTCCTGGGTCGGGGGGTGCCTAGAAAAATACCCAGTTGCTGGAATATAAAAATATCCGCCTTGGCTGTACCCTGGAATCATCAGGGGAGCGTTCAGAAGCGCCAACACCTGTGCCCCTACCCCAGAAACTCTGATTCTGATTTAGCTGATTTGAGGGGCAGCCTGGGTCTCTGGAAGTACCCGGGGTGTTCAAGAGAATCACCTGGGCTGCTTGTTAAAAGCACAGATTCCTGGGCAGCACTCGAGGGATTCTGTAAGTAGTGGAGTTAGATTTAAACTCATTCTGACTCCAGAATCCAGGAATATATTGATCACAAGCATCCTGAGAGATTCTAAGGCAGGAGGGTTGAGTCACACTTGCAGTCATGTTTAGGGGCCTGGAAAGATGGTAGCCCCATATGGTGCCCTCCAGATGAGCCCTGGGTTCTGAACCAACTTCTTCCCTGGCAGGGCTTGTACTGGGGCTCGGAGCACCCCGTGTGGGCCCTGTAGGCTGGACAGGCCTAAGATCCTGCCCTTTTCCAGGTAGGCGTGGTTGGGGAGGGAGAGGAGTGGTTGCTGATCCACCAGCTCTCCAATGAGCCCGATGCCCGCTCCATGGAGGTGCCCGACCTCAACCCCTTCACCTGCTACAGGTAATGAGACTGGCCCGGGGAGAAGGCAGCAGCCTCAGGGCTGGGGGTGGGTGGGGGCTATGGCCCAGACCAGGACAGGGTTGAGAGTTGGGTGAGCTGCCCTTACCATCTTGCTCATCTCTCCCCAACCCCAGCTTCCGCATGCGCCAGGTGAACATCGTGGGCACCAGCCCCCCCAGTCAGCCTTCTAGAAAGATCCAGACCCTGCAGGCACCCCCTGACATGGCCCCAGCCAATGTGTCTCTGCGCACAGCCAGTGAGACCAGCCTGTGGCTGCGCTGGATGGTAAGGCTCCCTCGAGGGCAGGGGTGGGACCTCTCCATGAGCTTCTGGTCATTGCCTCCTAGAAGGTGCACATCAGAATTCCTACAGCTCCTTTCTCCTCTCTTTCTGTTTTCTGATGAGATGCCTGATAATCAACATCTTAGCCCAACGAACAAATGCCCCCCCGCCCGCCGATGAGAGGAAGGAGCTCAAAAATACTGTTTACTGAGCATCGCCAAGTGGCAAGCATTTTAAATTTTCATCCCATTTGATTCTCCCAATAATCTTACAAAGGATACATGATCATCCCAATTTACAGCTAAGAAAACTGAGGCTCAGAGAGGTTAAGAACTTGCCCACAGCCACACAGCTCCCAAGCGGCGGGTCTGGGGTTCAAGTGCCACTGTGGCATTCAGAGAGTGTCCCCAGATCCGGGCTGTGTGTTGAGGGTCCTGACCGTGGGCCATCCTGCACGAGGTAGTGACAGTAACACACCGAGGCTTCCTCTCCTACCAGGCGCTGTTCTGACAACAAGCCTGTGACAGCAGAGTGATCCTGGTCCCCCTTTTGCAGATGAGGAAACCGGGGCAGAAGAGAGGTCAGATCACTCGCCCAAGTTCTCCCGTATCCTCCCACGTGCTTTCATGAACAGCAGGGCTGAGGTCCCAACCCGGGGAATCTTTACCCGCAAGTCCACAGCCCTAACCATCGGGCACACTGCCGTCTCATCCTCTGGAGAACAGGCCACTTCTCCCCACCAGGCCCTCTGGAACATCGTTTCCCAGCACGTGTCCCACAGAGCAGCAATCCCAGGAGGCGTGTGGAGCAAACAAGAATTCTTAGACAAATAAATGTGGGAACAGCACCACATACCACAGCTCCATAGAGAATCCAGGAACACTAGCATAGCAGGAGCCCTCTTGACCCTGCTTCCCCAGGCCCATCTGACCACACAAACCCTTTGTTTCCACGTAAGATCTCACTCATTGTGCAAAACACAACTTGCAAACACACCACACTGTGAAGTCATTATTGCCGTTCCTGTGCGCGGACAGCTTGATGCTAGCGGCCATGAAAGCGCTTGGCGCCGTCAGTCCTCGATAAATATGAGTTATTGATTGCAGTTCCCTTCCCAGAGTGGCTGGTGCCTGAGCAGAGCTGCAGAGCTGTCTCGGCCCACCTCAGTGCCCCGTGCACAGTGTGACTATACCCACCTCCTGCCTCTTTGCTCCCAGGCATCCCCACCCCAGGCTGGCTCCCTGCTTCCTTCCTGAATCTCACTTTAAGGTTTGCAGCTACTAAAAGGTTAGAGCCTGATGCGGAGGGCAGGGACTGCATGGGGGAATAGAAAGGCAGCTGCCATGTGGCACAGGGCCCTAGACACTTCTCAGGCCCACGCTTAATGGTGCGTGGTCCATTACCTTTCCTCAGCAGGTAAAGGAACTTGCACTTAAGCCCCATCTCCGGCTCTCAGGACCATCGATTGCTATCTTAATGGTCTTTGGTCGGCTTCACTAAGTGTCTGCAGGAGGGAGGAAGCGTGTAGTGAGCAGGGGAGGTTGGGGCCGAAGGTGAGGAGTGGGGTAAAGTGGGTCAGCCTAGGGTGAGCCTGTGGACCAAGGGCCCTCCAGAGCCCCTGGGGAAGCAGAACTGGGGGAGGTGAGGGCTGGAGATGCCCCCACCCCAGCTCTGTGCCCTTCAGAGTAGTGGAGGCCAGGCCCTGGGCTCCCCTCCCTGTGTGCACACCTCCACTCTCACCAGCACTGCCCATGGTCATCCACACAACCTTAAGCTGGTGACCACAGCCCCATCAGCCTAGTCCTAAGGCCCCAAAGAAATCTGACTTTTCTTTTCTGTGAGACTCAAACAAGAAGGAGGAGGCTGGTTGGGCGTGGTGGCTTGTAATCCCAGCACTTTGGGAGGCCGAGGCGAGCAGATGACTTGAGCTGAGGAGTTTGAGATCAACATGGCGAAACCTCGTCTCTACAAAACTTAGCAGGCATAGTGGCACACGCCTATAGTCCCAGCAAGAGATTGCTTGAGCCCAGGAGGTAGAGGTTGCAGTGAGCTGAGACAGCACCATGGCACTGCAGCCTGAGAGACAGAGCCAGACCCTGTCTTAAAAAAAAAAAAGAAAAGAAAAAGGAGGCTGAAAATGCAGCAGGAGAGGCTGAGGTTTGCTGGACAGAAGGACTTCCTGACTGGCAGGTGCCCCACTCATCCTGCTCTCTGCCCATGCTCACTCAAAGGCAGGCATGAGCTGAGACCAGGTGCGGTAGGCAATTAAGTGTGTGCTGGCAGCCTGAGTGACAGAGGTAAGCAGCAGAGACAGCAGAGCCAAAGGTGGCGGTGCTATCGGTGTGTCAGACACACAGCCTTTGTGGCTCCTGACTCCCTTGGCAGGGTAATAGATTTGTCACATACACAATAAAGAAAGGATGCTGCTTCTCTGTCCTCCCTGCAGGAAGATAAGAGCCCATCAGAAACACAGTCACACAACCTAAGCCACACTCGGGTGAGAGAGCCTCATGTGGACACTGACCGGGTGACAGTGGGATGGATAGCCCTGAAGGCGCCCTGGAGGAGAGGGTAGCAGGGCAGTTCCTCCCTGCACAGTGGGGGGCCTGGCTCATAGCAGCTTTGCCACCCCTGCCCCGCTGCAGCCTCTCCCGGAGATGGAATACAATGGGAACCCTGAGTCCGTGGGCTATAAGATCAAGTACAGCCGGTCAGACGGGCATGGCAAGACGCTGAGCCACGTGGTGCAGGACCGTGTGGAGCGGGACTACACCATCGAGGACCTGGAGGAGTGGACAGAGTACCGCGTCCAGGTCCAGGCCTTCAACGCCATCGGGAGCGGGCCCTGGAGCCAGACGGTGGTGGGCAGGACCCGGGAGTCAGGTACCAACCCCTCACACCCAGCCACCCTGCTGCCTGTCCCCTCCTTGGTCTCTATGCCCTCAGGGTCATCCAAGCGCGTGCCAGGCTGAAGGTGTTGTTCAAAAACAGCCTGAGCTCATTTCCTCTGCTTATGCTCAATGTCACAATGATGTTGCCGCCTCTCCCAGCACCTGCCACTTCTCTGCAACTGTGCCTGCTATTCCCATATTCCCAAGGGGGGCGGGGGTATCCCTGCCTCTGGAGGACAGCTGGGTAGGCTCCACCATTCATACTGCCCACTCTCCTGCCCTCAGCTTTAACCCTGAAACCCAGTGGTGCCTGAAAGACCACAGTGGAGGGGTCGAGGAAAGGGTTAGCTCTCAGGACATTCCAGAATCACTACCGGAAGCTCCTGGGGGCCTGCCCAGGGGTGACCCACAGAATGTGAGCCCAGCATTCAGGCAACTCTCATCCATCCACACATGGTTCACTGCTCTGTGGCTTTTTCCTGGCACCCTTTAAATGACAGACAGCTCTCCTGGGCCACCCTGGTCCCTCTGCCAGCCCTCTCTGCTGTGCTAGCAGGAAATGCAAGCTCATCTAATCCTAACCTGAGCAGAGAATCCTGTGAGGAGGCTCATCTGAAACCGGAAACGGCATCTGCAGCATTCCAAAACCAAAGGCCATCTTAGTGGGATTGTTTGCAGTTTGGGGACCATGTGTGCCACGTTTCTTCCATAGAGAGGCAACATCGAGCTGGCCCCTCCCTCGGCCCCCTGTCCTGGTCCACTTCCCTTGCACAGTCAACGTTGGGTCCTGAGTGCCTTCTCTCCACTCCCTTTCCCCCACAGTTCCCTCTTCCGGCCCCACCAATGTGTCTGCACTGGCCACCACCTCCAGCAGCATGCTGGTGCGCTGGAGCGAGGTCCCCGAGGCTGATCGCAACGGGCTCGTGCTGGGCTATAAGGTGAGTCCCGGGATCCCAGGAGGTGGGGTCCCTACACTGGCCCCTCCAGCCTCTCCATCCAAGGGGCCTTGTCCTTATCACCCTCTAGGTCTCTGCCTCCTAGAGTGGATACAGGGGATCTGCCTGGCGTCCTAGCCAATGGTCACCATGGCAACCATGAGTCATCCCTTGTGGGTGAGGAGGCACCCAGAAAGGACCCAGGGCCTAGGGCTGCTCCATCTCTCCCGGGAGGCCACGCTGGATGCCCCCAGCCTCACTCAGCTCTGTTGGACCCAGTTTTGCTTTTCATTATCTTTTAGAATTCCTTTTAAAGCTGTGCCTAGCCACATGGTCCAGCCCTGGTCTGGAAGTTGGGAGATGTGTGACACACAGCTGCTCATCCTGGGGATGAGACTCGGGAAAAGTGTAGATGGGTGAGATGCAGGCCTGAGGCCCTCACCCTGTGCTGGGCCCTGACAGGTGATGTATAAGGAGAAGGACTCGGACACCCAGCCCCGATTCTGGCTGGTGGAAGGCAACTCGTCTCGCAGTGCCCAGCTCACCGGCTTGGGCAAATACGTGCTCTATGAAGTCCAGGTGCTGGCCTTCACACGCATCGGGGACGGCAGCCCCAGCCACCCTCCCATCCTGGAGCGGACGCTGGATGATGGTGAGTCCGTATCCCAGCAAGCTTGGGGAAGGCTGGGAGGAGCCGCCCTTCCTCCTGCCCATCTGGCCTTGCCCTTCTGGGGTCAGGCTCTGCCCCACAGGGAGCCATGGCCTCAGATGCCTCCGGTAGGGATGGGTCACCCAGAGCTACCAGCCCCACTGCAGGGGATGCTAATTACAGCCTGTGTATCCCTGAGGACAATGCGGAGGCAGTTTGACGTCTGATTCAGTCTCTTGGTCTCTCTGCAAAACAAGCATACAGAATAGGGACTTGCACCCGTTTTAATTTACTTTTCTTTTTTTTTTTTTTTTTTTTTTGATAGAGTATCACTCTGTCACCCAGGCTGGAGTGCAGTGGTGCGATCTTGGCCCACTACAACCTCCGCCTCCCAGGTTCAAACCATTCTCTTGCCTCAGCCTCCTGAGCAGCTGGGATTACAGGCGCTGGCCACCACACCCAGCTGATTGTTGTATTTTTAGTAGAGCTGGGGTTTCACCATGTTGGCCAGGCTGGTCTCGAACTCCTGACCTCAGGCAATCCACCCACCTCAGCCTCCCAACATGCTGCAATTACAGATGTGAGCCACTGCACCCGGCCAGTTTTACTTTATTTTTCAACTGGAGCAGGTTCACTTTGAGTAAAGGTCTGTGAAAGTATTTTTCCTGGACGCACGAACCTCCTGGTCCTGTTTGCAAAAGAATGTCACCAGTGGGCTGCAGGCATTCATCCCTGTAGCAAAACTCCCCATCAGAAGCTCACCAATGCATCCCTTGCCCCCTCCTATCTCCCCGCACACGCCCCCACCTACTGCCCACCACAGACATTTGCAGGAACCGGACCAGAGTGCAGAAGGAAGCCCAAATACCATATGTTTGCATATGCTAACATTATTCATCAAGCTAATGAACCGTTAAATATGTTCTATCCTCCTGCCTTGACAGATATACCCTTACAACGATCTGGAAGGCCAGGTTCAAGTTTAGAAATCTCAGGCTGGGCGTGGTGGCTCACGCCTGTAATCCTAGCACTTTAGGCAGCCAAGGCAGGCAGACCACTTGAGGTCAGGAGTTCAAGACCAGCCTGGCCAACATGGTAAAACCCTGTCTCTACCAAAAATATAAAAATTAGCCGGGTGTGGTGGCACACGCCTGTAGTCTCAGCTACTGGGAGGCTGAGGCAGGAGAATCGCTTGAACCCGGGAGGCGGAGCTTGCAGTGAGCTGAGATTACGCCACTGCACTCCAGCCTGGGCAACAGAGCGAGACTCGGTATTAAAAAAAAAAAAAAAGTTTGGAAATCTCAGACATCTTATTCTGTTCTGCAGTGCGGCAACACAGAAGAGTGCCCCTCCCCAGCTACCCTCCCCCACCCCCTGCCCCATTCTCTCCTCACCCTGTCCTTTGACCCACTCCATTCAATCTTCATCTCCACACCTGCAAAATAGCTACCGCTTGGCCTTCCCTGGAGCCAGGGGTGCATAGCCTACCCTCAGGAGGGTGGATGTGGGGACGAGGCCCATGCAGCCTCTGGAAGCGTGCTTAGGCCTCTCTGGGCAGGGAATTCCGGGGTCCCAGGATTCCAGAGCAAGGTCTAGAGAGAGAGAGGAGTGGTGCAGGCTGGGGGTGGGCATTTCCCATTACCCCACGGCCACTTCACCCCATGGGTGGAAGGAAGTCAGAACAGGACCTTCTGAAGCACTGACGCATCCATCCAGGGCCCACGCGCCCAGCTCTGAGGGCAGCCCGGTTCTGGGGCGTGTATACAGACAATGAGCAGAGGAAGCTGGAGCCTCAGGTCGCTGCCAAATGATGCCTATTTTGAGGGCAGAAAGCCCCCTTGGTTCCACGTTCTTGCCCCTGGCTCCTAACACAGTGTCAGGCACAGGGCAGTACTCCACAGAAATTCACTGAGCTGGGCGGCCCCTTCCCCCTCCACCCTGCCAGGCTGCTCTGCCCGAGCTGGGCTCATCCCCAGCTGAGCGGCAGCCTCATGGGTCGGCCTCCTCTCCTTTGCCCCCTCCAGTCCCAGGACCACCCATGGGCATCCTGTTCCCAGAGGTGCGGACCACGTCTGTGCGGCTGATCTGGCAGCCCCCTGCCGCCCCCAATGGCATCATTCTTGGTAAGCCTTTGCCCTTCCCGTGCCCCGGCTGCAGGAAGAAGGAAGAGGCATGAGCTGCAAAGGAGGCCACTTCGTTACCAGCTTGAGGGAGAGTAGGTCCAGGGAGCCTCCACATCCCCTCTAGAATGGGATCTGGGTGTTAGTCCTCCTGCTAGAAATTCCAGTGTGTAAGATTATCTTCCGGAGGGCAAGATCAGAGTTGAAGTCCCTTAAGAGTCATGGGTTGGCTTTGCGTCCCCAAATGTCCCCAGGCCCCCAGCCTGCCGGCCATCTGGTAAACCTCGGACGCTGTTCCTTAGCATGGCCAAGTGAGGGCACGCTGGCAGGCTCAGCACAGCTGGAAAAGAGTCTCAAGGCGCACAGGAGGGAGGCTACAGATGGGAAGCTTCATCTCACATTTAGAGTTCCCCCAATACACACACCCAGGGTTCCGGTCGGCAGCTGCGTGAACTTGAGCAAGTCTACTCCCCTCTGCGGCCTCAGTGCCCTCACCTTTAAAATGGGGGCTTGGACTACCTGTACCTGTCCCAGGGTTCTCAGTCCTGACCTCACGCACCACCTGCCCTAGAGCAATGCCACATCCCCAAGACAGAGTGGGGGCAGGAAGGACAAGTGCATTAGCCCAGAAAGACCTGGGCTGGGATTCCAGCTCTGTCACTTACCAGCAGGTGGTCTGGCCTCTCCGGGCCTCAGTTTCTTCACTTGGGGCTGTTACGGGGGTCACAGACACTGTGCATAGAGTGCCTCTCCATGCCACCCACAGTCCACCCTCCCCAGGTGGCAGCTGAAGACTGGAGAGTGACCCAGAGACCTCAGGCAGACAGACCACAGCCAAAGGGACCACGGCAAGGTGGCCATGTACAGACACAGCTGTGGCTTTGGACGGAACAACCCTTCCCGGGGCCCTAGGAGCGGCTTGCCTTGCTTGCCATAATAGCCATGTGCTTCCTTCCCACAGCTTACCAGATCACACACCGGCTCAACACCACCACGGCCAACACCGCCACTGTGGAGGTGCTGGCACCCAGCGCCCGGCAGTACACAGCCACGGGCCTCAAGCCAGAGTCTGTCTACCTGTTCCGCATCACGGCCCAGACCCGCAAGGGCTGGGGAGAAGCTGCCGAGGCCTTGGTGGTGACCACCGAGAAGAGAGGTGACTGCCCACGGGGGCCAGGGAAGGCTTGGGGGCAGCTGAGGGGGGGCCAGCCAGTGCTCTGAGCTGTTCCTAGTGGATGGCTGGTATGAGCTGCAGTGCCCTGGATGAGAATGGAAGGTGGGCTCCAATCTCTGAAGTCAAAGTCAGCAAGGGGTCTAATAGACTCCCAGAGATGAGCCGCAAGTTCACACCCAAGGACCCTACTCTGGTCTGGTCTTCTAAAGGGAAAGTTTGTGGCCAGGCTTAGTGGCTCACGCCTGTAATCCCAGCACTTTGGGAGGCCAAGGCGGGTGGATCACTTGAGGTCAGGAGTTTGAGACCAGCCTAGCCAACATGGTGAAACCCCGTCTCTACTAAAAATACAAAAATTAGCCAGCGTGGTGGCACACACCTGTAATCCCAGCTACTCAGGAAGCTGAGACACGAGAATCACTTGAACCTGGGGGACGGAGGTTGCAGTGAGCCAAGATCGCACCACTGCACTCCAGCCTGGGTGACAGAACAAGACTCTGTCTAAATTAATTAATTAATTAAGGGAGGGTTAGTGACCATCTTCCCTCTCCCCTCCCCACTCACAGCCCTGGCCTTGTCAACACAGATGGGCGCAGGATCAGGGCTGCAGCCTGGAGCCCCGGCTGCCACTGCACTGCTGCCCTGAGCTGGCACCTTGCCTGATCTTGGACTCCCCAAAAGCAAGCCTGGGACCCCGACTGGCCTGATAGGGATATATTAGAAACTACTCTCAACCTGGGCCACATAGTGAGACACCATCTCTACAGAACATAGAAATATTAGCTATAGGCCGGGCATGGTGGCTCACACCTGTAATCCTAGCACTTTGGGAGGCCGAGGCAGGTGGATCACCTGAGGTCGGGAGTTCAAGGCCGTCCTGGCCAACGTGGTGAAACCTCGTCCCTACTAAAAATACAAAAATTAGCTGGGCATGGTGGCACATGTCAGTAACCCCAGCTACTTGGAAGGCTGAGGCAAAAGAATCGCTTGAACCTGCGAGGCGGAGGTCACAGTGAGCTGAGATCACACCACTGCACTCCAGCCTGGGCTACAGAGCAAGACCGTCTCAAAAAAAAAAAAAAAAAAAAGAAAGGAATATCAGCCAGGTGTGGTGGTGTACATCTGTAGTCCCAGCCATTCAAGAGGCCGAGGTAGAAGGATTGCTTGAATCAAGGAGTTTGAGGCTGTAGTGAGCTATGATCGTGCCACTGCACTCCAGCCTGGGAAACAGATACAGACCCTGACTGTGTTTTAAATAACGAAAGAAAAAGGAAGGAGGGGAAGGGGAAGGGGAAGGGAAGGGAGGAGAGGGGAGGGGAGGGGGAAGGGAAAGGGAGGGGAGGGAAGGGGGGAAAAAGGGAGGGAGGGAGGGAGGGAGGGAGAAGGAAGAGAAGGAGGGAGAAAAGAGAGGGAGAAAGAAAAGGAAAGGAGGGGGGAAGGAAGGAAGGAAGGAGAGGGAGGGAAGGAAGGAAGGAGGGAGGGAAGGAAGGAAGGAAGGAGAGGGAGGGAAGGAAGGAAGGAGGGAGGGAAGGAAGGGAGGGAAGGAAGAAGAAAATGTACTCAGGAAAAACCATTAGTACAGTGCTTCTCAACTGGGGACTTCTTTGGCCACAGGGGACATTGGACATGTCTGGAGACATTTTGGTTGTCACAGTGTGGGAGTGCTACTGGCATCAAGTGGGTGGAGGCCAGGGACACTGCTGAGCATCCTGCATTGCATAGGATGCCCCCGCCACAGAGTCATCTGTTCTGAATTCCAGTACTGCTGAGGTTTGAGAAGCCCTGCAGAAGGGGCGGGGCAGCGAGGCTGGGGAGAGAAGGAAGCCAAGCTAGGGCCTGGAATGAAGCAGCGCTTCTCGTAGGGAAACAACCTCATCCTGCTCAATCAGGGACAGCGCAGGGCCCGGCTCAGCCTCGTTTCAGGCAGGAGCAAAGGAGCTGGGTGGGTGTTTGTCACTCCTCACCGTCAATCCTTGCTTAGGGCTGCCCTGAGGAGCTGTAAGTTCCCAGGCCCTGGGGCTCTAGGAGCCTGAGGGTGGGCCTCTAACCAGGAGAGGGGTGCTGGCTGTACCCAGGTGTGAGAACCTGCAAGGATCCTGCGTGCATGGAATTGGGATGGGAAGGGGATGCCAGGCCTGAGCCCAGATCACCTCCTTTCCTCCCTCGAGAAAGTCCAGCCCCCTCCACCATGGCCTGGCCCACTCACCTGCTCCTCCCCCTCTGCCACCTCCCAGACCGTCCGCAGCCCCCCAGCAGGCCGATGGTGCAGCAGGAGGATGTGAGAGCACGCAGCGTGCTGCTGTCCTGGGAGCCAGGGAGCGACGGGCTCTCCCCTGTGCGCTACTACACCATCCAGACCCGCGAGCTGCCCAGCGGCAGGTGGGCACTGCACTCGGCCTCCGTGAGCCACAATGCCTCCAGCTTCATTGTGGACAGGTAAGGCTCGGGTCCATGCCAGCATCCCCACTGCCCCTCTCCCCGCCGGGACCAGCGGTGCTCCTCCACTGGGTAGGGGGCCTTCTGAAAACACCTCCAGCCTGCCCCCAGCTCTCCTCCTACATGCACCACCCAGGCGGCCCCCGCGTCCACTCTCACCCTCGCAAATCAGCTCTATCCTGCTCTTCCTCACTCTGTTCCCTCTGGAACTCTGTTAGGTTGCCTCTTAATTATCTATTTCTGGAGCCTAGAAGTCCCCCTTTAGTGAAGTGCCTGTCATCCTTCATTAGTGATTCTTCCAGCCGGGCGGTATCTTCCTCTCCAGCTTTAATAGGGGAGTGGAGCGTCACTCCGAAATTCTAGCTTCAATTTAATTCCGAGTGGGTTGAATTTTTTATATTCCAGTTGATGTGACCGGGAGTTTTGAGCAATACTTTCTTCCCCACCTCTCCCACCCCCCATAAATCTAAAAGAGAGACGTTTGCTCCCAGAGGAAATAAGGCTTATAGAGATGAAGTACTGCTTAACTCTTGAGAACCTCAGCTCCTCCCTAATTTACTACATTTAAAAAAGAGAGGCCAGGAGCGGTGGCTTACGCCCGGAATCCCAGCACTTTGGGAGGCCGAGGCGGGAGGATCACTTGAGGTCAGGAGTTTGAAACCAGTCTGGCCAACATGGTGAAAACCTGTCTCTACTAAAATACAAAAATTAGCCAGGTGTGGTAGCACATGCCTGTAATCCCAGCTATTCAGGAGGCTGAGGCACAAGAATCGCTTGAACGCGGGAGGCGGAGGTTGCAGTGAGCCAAGATCGCACCACTGCACTCCAGCCTGGGCAACAGAGTGAGACTCTGTCTCAACAACAACAAAAAAAGACTCCATCTCAAACAAAAAAAAAGAAAGAGATGGCAGTTTGTTGGGGGCAGGGGAGGAGTTTGTTCCGAGTGGAGGTATTGGTGCTTTTGTGACTGCATGGTTCTGCGAAGTGGGGAAGCTGCAGACATTTCCTTCTCGGGATGCTATGGCTTACAACTGGGGCTAAAGGCACCCCAAGCTGGCATGGTCTGGAGGACCTGGTCTAGGTGCTTGGGACCCCTGGGGCCGGGTCCCAGTTTGTCCTCTTTGCAGCAAAGCTCCTTTCTGAGCCTCAGTGTGCCCTTCTGTGTAGTAGGCTGGCACCCTGCCCCCTTTCCCGAGCAGGGCCAGATCAGGGAGACTCCTTGGTGGGAGCATGGGGCGAGGCCTTTAAGGAGCACCTTGGCTCATTGGCCCTGATTTCTCCCTACAGGCTGAAGCCCTTCACGTCCTACAAGTTCCGAGTGAAGGCGACCAATGACATTGGCGACAGCGAGTTCAGCGAGGAGTCGGAGTCACTGACCACCCTGCAGGCTGGTCAGTACCCCTTCCCCAGCAGTCTCTCTCTCAGCCCACTGGCTGCTTCCTGGGCATGGGGCATTTTCTTACGGGGGGAGGGGCCTCCAAAGATGAGAGAGGCGTGGGACCCACTGGGCCCTTCAGCTCCCGGGGTAGGGTCTCAGGGAGGTTTGGGCCAGAGACACTTTTGCCAAGGGCTCAGGGTCCCAGGCCCAGCCTGGCCTGTGGCGTATTCCTCCTGTCCCACAAGCTGCCAGTGAGCGGGACAGGAGTTCTCAGCAGCAGCAGAAGTGGTCTATGGCTCTGAGGAGCAGAGCGGAGGGGGCTCTGGGACCCTTGGGTTTGGGCTGAGTCAGCTCACAGTCCCTCCCTCCCTCCCCTTTACACCAGCCCTTTGTTCTGCAGAAATCGGGCCAGCAGGCATGGAGGGCGATGCGATCTGGACCTGCCCCGCAGTCCAGTATTAGCAGAATCTGGTCTCAGTGGGCTCCTGGGGAACTTGAAGCTGCGGCCCCCAGAACCCACCTGTCTGCTTCTCTCCACAGCCCCCGATGAAGCACCCACCATCCTCTCCGTGACGCCCCACACCACCACCTCCGTGCTAATCCGATGGCAGGTATGGCCCAGCGGGCAGGAAACCTCCGTGAAGACCCAGACGAGCTCTGCTCTGGGACTGGAAAGCCAGCAGTCCCCACCAGGGCTGCGTGGAGCCCCCAAGTTCTCTGCCCCCAGAGCGCCTGGGAAGCCATGAGAAATCCAGGCATGTGCATGTCACAGAACATTCTATACACCGTGTGCCCACACATACACACTCCCATAACACGCCTCATTACACTCTCTAGATAGTCACATCAGGCAGGTGCTGTCATCCTCTTCTGCAGACAACCACTGAGACTCAGGGAGGGGACCCGAATGGCCCCAGGTCACATAGCCAGTGAGTGGCAGGGCCAGGTGTATTAGCCTTAGGCCTGCTGAGTCCTTGGGCTGAAAAGTGCTTGTGGCTCTCAGGGCCCCCAGAGTCTCCATGAAGCCCCACTGGTCGGTGAAGGGATTCCTTGCAGAGACCTATGCCCGTCATCATCACTGTGCAAGTAGAGAGAAATGCCCCCCTTCGTCCATACCCCTTCCAGATGCCCACTCTTCAGTGGGCACTGCCTGCTCTGCCATGGCCTGGGGAAGACCATGGGCAAACCTCAGCGACCAGGCTGCTCATGGGTCCTGCCCCGCGGAGCCCTCCTGTGCCCTCTGAAGTTCAGCCTTGCCTCAGCAGGTCACCCACATGAGAGGGACCCCTGGCAAAACCCCATCTCTACTAAAAGTTAAAAGCACTGAACTCCCATCACCACTTCTCCAGATCAAAGGGGCAGGCACTCCCCTTCAGCCATCTGCCACTCCACAAAGGGAAAGCCCTTGAAGACAAAGCCAGGAGGGTCCCCCCAGCCTGAGACACACAGCTCAAGGAGAGGACGCTCCCGTAGATAAACATGACTTAGTGCACCTGTGACCGGGACGAGGCTGGAGCAACGTGGCAGAGGGAGGGGGCAGGGAGGTGCCCATGGCAGCCGGGGAAACCATTAAGGAGCTAACAAAGCCTGAGCTGTTTCAGCAGGTTTTTGGTTTTTTGGGGTTTTTGTTTTGTTTTGTTTTGAGACACAGTCTTGCGCTGTTGCCCAGGCTGGAGTACAGTGGTTCAATCTTGGCTCACTGCAACCTCCGCCTCCCAGCTTCACACGATTCTCTTTCCTCAGCCTTCCAAGCAAGACTACAGGCACATGCCACCACACCCAGCTAATTTTTATATTTTTAGTAGAGACGGGGTTTCGCCATGTTGGCCAGGCTGGTCAGACCATTCTTCATAAGCAGTATCATTAAGAAGTAGTTTCCACCTTCTCCCGAAGCCGGTTCTGCAGCTAAGCTGTAGACGGGAGAGGAAGCAAAGGAGAACTTGATGAAGGGGTGAGGGGCACACTCACCCTTGCATGTACTAAGAGTAGGAGAGGGCTCAGCTTGCAGGAAACACCAGGAAGTGTTATCCAGATGCTAAGGCAGGGACCAGCAGGCCTGGGGAGGCTGGTGATCAGGTGAGGGCAGCTCTTGAAGACAAAGGAGGTGAACAAGGAGCGGCTCTAGGAAAACAGCTGTGTGCTCCAGGCCCCAATGATGCTCTGTGATCTTGGGCAAGTTCCTTAACATCTCTGAGCCTCAGTTTCCTGCTTGGATAAAAGGCGATTACTGATTCCTGCCCTTCCCTCCTTCTAGGGAATGCTGCAGGGATGAAATGGCCTCATCAGAAGTGCTTTGTAAATTTAAAATGCCCAATATTATCTTGATTTCTTTTCCTGGTTAAAACATAGTCCCTGCTCTGTGGCTGCAGGAGGCATGATGAGAGAGCGTGGGGAGGGGTGGGTGGTGGTCCAGGTGCCCTCCCCATGCCCTACTCCCTTCCTGCAGCCGCCAGCAGAGGACAAGATCAATGGCATCCTCCTGGGCTTCCGGATCCGATACCGGGAGCTGCTCTATGAAGGACTGAGGGGCTTCACGCTTCGAGGCATCAACAACCCAGGGGCCACATGGGCTGAGCTTACCTGTGAGTGACACTTGGGAGCCAGAGGAATGGGTGGGATGGGGGCGGTCACCCTCACCTTCCCGCTCTGGAGCTCTCAGCTTCCTGGAACCACTCTAACCTGAAACCTTGCCTCCCTCCTCCATGTGTGCCTCTCCCTCCTCCCATCCCATTCATTCATTTACTGAATATTTACTGAGCACCTTCTATGGGCCCCGAGTCACTGTGGGGCACACCAATGATCAAGACAGACAGGGTCCCTGCCCTCTTGGAGTTGCAGGCTGGAGGAGGAGCCAGGCGAGCTGGGAAGGAAACATTCTAGGAGGACCTAAAGCCAGGGACAGGCAAGGCTTCCCCGGCACCAGCACTGGCGCTAACACGGAAGGATGATGCCAAGTTAACCAGGACAAAGGGACGGGGACAGCCCGGTGCATGAGAAGGAGCACCCTGCCCTTGAGGGACCAGAAGCCTCACCTGGTCACACCCCTAGAGCAGTAGTCCTGGCCCCCTCTTTTTCCTGGGGGAAGCCACTGCCCTGCCTGTCCCCTGGAGCAAAGGAAGGAAAGAGGGGAGCCCAGGTGGAAATGTCAGGGAGAGCCGATGCCCAGAAGACCACGGCAAGGGAAAGACGTGTTTGGACTTTTGTGTTAGGAGCCACTTTGGTGGCATGAGGATGATGGCTTGGCCATGGTGGGAGGATGGAGAGCCAGAGGCAGGCGCCCAGATAGAGGCTGTTGCAGTCACGTGGCAAGAGAGCAGGAGGTTGGAACCGAGGCACAGACTCGGGGTGGACCGAGGCCAGTATGGGAGATGATATGTGATGGGCGCAGATGCTCCAGGACTTGAGGTTTTTTTGTTTTTTGGGTTTTTTTAGACAGAGTCTCGCTCTGTTGCCCAGGCTGGAGTGTAATGGTGCCATCTCAGCTCACTGCAACCTCCGCTTCCTGGGTTCAAGTGACTCTTGTGTCTCAGCCTCCCAAGTAGCTAGGACTCCAGGCGTGTGCCACCACGCCCAGCTAATGTTGTCGTTGTTGTTGTTGTCGTTGTTGTTGTTGTTGTTAGTAGAGACGGGGTTTCACCATGTCGGCCAGGCTGCTCTTGAACTCCTGACCTTAAGTGGCCTGCCCGCTTTGGCCTCCCAGAGTGCTGGGATTACAGGCGCGAGCCACTGTACCTGGCCTGTTTTTGATTTTTCAAAGTAAATCAGCCACTCGCATCATAATTATTTAGTATTCCGCATTGGCGGACAGTTAGGTGCATTTACGACAGTTAAGGGCTTTGGAGAAAATGCTGCAAAGTGGTGCAACCGATAAAACACGTTACAGCACAGCAGGTAGCAACGATAATTAGAACACCTTGGTACATAACGAAAGAAAAAACTGAGGTTTTCCCAGTGGCTCAAAACTGATGTTCATCTACACCTTTGGCTTGTTTGGGTCTGAAGTGCTTGCGTTCACCTAAGATTTGGACTCAGACCACTAGAGATTTTTATAAAGAGCCTCCTTCCCTAAATATCCTCTATCCACCCACCTGGGACTCCATGACTGATTCGTAGTAGAAGACGGCAGCAGGCAGGGGTACCCCAGAGGACTGGGTACTCAGGTGGGTGTGGGACACTCACCCAAACAGACTAGCAGGAGAGGGGTCAGTTTAAGAGCCTCTTCTTTTTTTTTTTTTTTTTGAAATGGAGTTTTCACTCTTGTTGCCTAAGCTGGAGTGCAATGGCACCATCTTAGCTCACTGCAACCTCCGCCTCCCAGGTTCAAGCGATTCTCCTGCCTGAGGCCTCCTGAGTAGCTGGGATTAACGGCGCACACTACCACGCCCAGCTAATTTTTTGTAATTTTAGTAGAAACGGGGTTTCACCATGTTAGCCAGGCTGGTCTCGAACTCCTGACCTCAGGTGATCCACCTGCCTCGGCCTTCCGAAGTGCTGGGATTACAGGCATGAGTCACTGCGCCCGGCTTTTGTTTTTTGTTTTTTGTTTTTTTGTTTTTTGTTTTTTGAGACAGAGTCTTGCTCTGTCACCCAGGCTAGAGTACAGTGGCATGATCTCAGCTCTGCTGCCCAGGTTCAAGCGATTCTCCTGCCCCAGCCTCCCAAGTAGCTGGACCTACAGGCGTGCACCACTATGCCCAGCTAATTTTTGTGTTTTTAGTAGAGACCGGGTTTCACTGTGTTGGCCAGGCTCGTCTCGAACTCCTGACCTCAGGTGGTCTCGAACTCCTGACCTCAGGTGATCCACCCACCTTGGCTTCCCAAAGTGCTGAGATTACAGGCATGAGCCACTGCGCCCGGCCCAGCCTCTTCATTTTCACGTTTCCTCCCTTAGTTCTCTCAAGCCTTTTGTGCCTTGTCTTCTAGTGAGTTAGCAGACAACAAAATGATGAGCATGTAGCAAAGGAATATTAATAGAAAAACTCTGAAGTAGCTGATCCAACAGCTTGCGTTTTTGGTGGACTTTTTTTCCTTCTTTTTTTTTTTGCCCATATGTGCTTGTGGTTGTGATTTTATATTGCCTGTGTATAATACAGTCATATTTCCTAGTAGTAAAATTGTTTCTGGTTCATATGAGGAAATTAACGACTCCAGTATTTCATGCTGGTTTCCAGGAGCTCTGCCCTGAAACAAGGAAGAGAATTGGGGTGAGAGGGTCCCCCAGAGATGTCCCTAGAGATGCTGGGCTACAAAGAGCTCACATCACCTTGGGCCAGTGCACACCAGGGTGGGGCAGACTGTCCAGGGAGCCTCCACCTTCCCCTGCCCCCACAACCCTGTTATCCTGGCCCGTAACTCAGCATTGGAAATTTGGAAACACTCTTCCTGTCTGTTCACGCCGTCAGCCCCGCCTGGCCGGGGTTTCTTTGTGGGGTGGGGATGTGTGAGCACTAACCTCCTCTGTCTGCTGTCTCCCTCTGCGCCCCCGCCCCGGCACCCCCACCCCATAGCCATGTACTCCATGCGGAACCTGAGCCGGCCCAGCCTCACGCAGTACGAGCTGGACAGTAAGTCTCCTTGCATGGTGGCTTCATCGCGGGCCCAGGCCTCGCAGGGGATTGGGAGTGGGGCCTCCTTGAGAGACCTGATCACAGGTTGAGGGGGTGTGCCCACCCCAGGGGGCTTAAGAAACGGGACTACCCTGAACACAAGTGATAACCCTAAACACACGGAAAAGTAGGCCGATGACAGGGAAAGTCTCCTTCAAGCCTGCCCTCTGTTGGGTGTGGGCTGGAAAAGGGAAGTCTGTAACCCTGTGCTCGGCTGGGTCGGGGGACAGTGACAGCGGGGCCGCAGCAGAAGCTGTTGGACGCTGCTGGGTAGGTGGGCAGGTGTCCACGTGGTTGCTGCCCCATCTAGTCCCATCGAAGGCACTTCTCGGCCCAGCTGGGTCTTACAGTCTGGCCCCACACCTGGAGGGAGGTGACAGCAGTTTTAGTCACCTGCGTCCGTCGTCCTCCCGTGCACCAGACATGTTCCTGCTGCTTGCATGCCCCAACCCTTGATCTTTCTCTAAAGCATCAGCCGTGGTTCTTCCTGAAACCCAGGGCCTTAGGCAAGAGGGTTTCGTGCTCAGGAGAAAATAGCACTAGTTTAAGGCTAAATTCTCTTCCTCCTTCCTCCGTCAACCAATGACCAACCCAGGCTGCATAGACAGCTAGGCAAGGGTGACACCCCTCTCACAACCCTGTTAAAGGGTAGACCTACCCAGGGGAAGGAAGCAGGGGCAGGGAACCCAGAGAGAAGAGTGGAGAGGGTGGGAGAAACTTTCAGCTACGGGGGACAGTGACTGCGCCCGTTTCTTGCAGCTGCGTCCCATTCCCAAGTTCTGCCAGGCATTCTCAGCCAAGCACCTCAAACTTGGCAGAAACATCAGGTTTCTTAGTCCAGAATTCACATCCAATGCGCCCCTCCCCCCTGGAGCTGAGCCCCGCTGTGTAAAGAGTTGGTGGATGGGGACTCTGGGCATCTGTCACGGTGGGGAAAGAGGACAGGCTGGGGGTAGGGGGTGACCCTATGTCCAGGCATGCCCAGGACAGCTTTGGTTTACACTGGTTGTCCCGGTGTAAATATTCATAGTGGTTTCAGTCTCAAAAGTGTCCAGTTGAACAATAAAATGTACGGCCACCCTAGGCCAAGAGGCCAACCAGCATTGCCCTATGTCCAGATTGGCACAGAGCGTCCCCTGGGGGCCCCGCCTCTCACCTCCTCCTTCATGCACCTTCACAGAGGGGGCTAGAATGGCGGGGGTGCCTCATTCCTCCCCCTGCAGCCTCCACCCTCCCTGGGGACACCTTCCCAGCAATGACGGTGACCTCAGTGTGCTTCCCCTCCCCCACTCTCCCCCACAGACCTGAACAAGCACAGGCGGTACGAGATACGGATGAGCGTGTACAACGCTGTGGGTGAGGGGCCCTCCAGCCCCCCGCAGGAGGTCTTTGTTGGGGAGGCAGGTGAGCAGCGCCCGCCCTGTCCGGCCCCAGCATGCCTTTCCCAGCCCCACCCAGTTCAGCTGGAAGAAACGGGATCTGGGCTCCCCATCCCGCCCAGCCCACCTCCCCTCCCAGGTTTACTCGCATGCTCACTGCCTACCCTGCACGCCCTCCAGTGCCCACAGCAGCACCTCGTAACGTGGTCGTCCACGGCGCCACGGCCACACAGCTGGACGTGACTTGGGAGCCACCTCCGCTGGACAGCCAGAATGGAGACATCCAGGGGTACAAGGTAGGGTGCCCTCGGGCAGAGCAAAGGGGTGCACGGATGAGAAGCCAGGTCGGAGGCTGGGGAGTGAGTGATATGTGGGAGGCAGGCAGGTCCCCAGGCCCTCCATTCATCCAGCCAGCTCCTCGGCCCTTCAGGCTCTGTGGTACACCTGCCACCTTGGCTGTTTGGACCCAGTTCGCAGAAATATTTGTACAGCTGAAGCTGAACCACATCCATCCCCTCCAGCTTCCTGAGGGCAGGCTGAGCTTAGGTGCAAGAAACTCTAGCCATCCCTAGGCTCGTACCATCTCTGAGCAGCACACACATCCCTCCCCACCAGCCCCCAACCCCATACATAACTTAAGACCCTCCAAGGGGCTTTTGGCCCCATAATTACAATATTGATATTAATCAGATAGCCAGTTAGCAAAGCATCACTGCCTAGTATTTGGAAATCTCTGTTTAAAAATCATTTCTAGGCTGGGCGCGGTGGCTCACACCTTTAATCCCAGCGCTTTGGGAGGCCGAGGCGGGCAGATCACCTGAGGTCAGGAGTTCGAGACCAGCCTGGCCAACATGGTGAAACCCCATCTCTACTAAAAATACAAAAATTAGCCGGGCATGGTGGCAGGCACCGGTAATCCCAGCTATTCGAGAGGCTGAGGCAGGAGAATCGCTTGAACCCAGGAGGCAGAGGTTGCAGTGAGCCGAGATTGTACCACTGCACTCCAGCCTGAGCAATAGAGTGAGACTCTGTCTCAAAAAAAAAAAAATTAAAATTAAAAATCATTTCTAGGGCTGTGTGTGGTGGCTCACACCTGTAATTCCCGCACTTTAGGAGGCCAAGGTGGGCGGATCACTTGAGCTCAGGAGTTACAGAACAGCCTGGGCAACATAGTGAGAACCTGACTCTACAAAAAAAAATACAGAAATTAGCCAGGTGTGGTGGCATGCGCCTATAGTCCCAGCTACTTGGGAGGCTGAGGTGGGAGGATTGCTTGAGCCAGGGGGGCAGAGTTTGCAGTAGGCCATGTGGAGCCATTGCACTCCAGCCAGGTAACAGAGCAAGACACTGTCTCAAAAAAGAAAAAAATCATTTCTAGATTTAGGATGATGTCCTGTGCTATAAGGGGATTCAATTTCTCCCTAATATTCACAAAGCCCTTTGGAACTCTTGAATCTTCATGAAAGGCCCACGAAGCTGGGAGGATATGGGTTTTTATGCCCAAATGAGGAAACTGAGTTCCAATTTAGTTGACCTGGTAAGATCACAAAAACAGCAGGCAGGCCGGGTGCGGTGGCTCACACCTGTAATCCCAACACTTTGGGAGGCCAAGGCGGGCAGATCACCTGAGGTCGGGAGTTCGAGACCAGCCTGACCAACATGGTGAAACCCCATCTCTACTAAAAATACAAAATTAGCCGGGTGTGGTGGCGCATGCCTGTAATCCCAGCTACTCGGGAGGCTGAGGCAGGAGAATCACTTGAACTTGGGAGAGGGAGGTTGCAGTGAGCCGAGATTGCACCATTGCACTCCAGCCAAGAGGTCTCAAAAAAAAAAAAAAAGCAGGCAGCAGAGTCAGATTCCAAGTCTGGCAGCTCTCACCCCCCGAGGGGTGAAAAGTAAGCACTAACCAACCACATGAGCACTAGGGGAAGTAGATTTAAAAAGGAACATGGGCCAGGTGTGGTGGCCTACACATGTAATCCCAGCACTTTGGGAGGCCGAGGCAGATGGATCACCTGAGGTCAGGAGATCGAGACCAGCCTGACCAACATGGTGAAACCCCATCTCTACTAAAAATACAAAAATTATCCAGGCGTGGTGGCGGGTGCCTGTAATCCCAGCTATTTGGGAGGCTGAGGCAGGAGAATCGTTTGAACCCAGGAGACAGAGGTTGCAGTGAGCCAAGACCGTGTCACTGCACTCCAGCCTGGACAACAGAGCAAGACTCTGTCTCCAAAAAAAAAAAAAGAAAAAAAAAAAAGGAATGTGTCTGTCTGGTTGGAAGAGCTGGAACACATAACCCTTAGCTGTGTCTGCCTCCCGCACCAGTGTCCAGTTGACTCTCATTCTTGGCGGCTGGTTGTTACTCCAGAGAAGAGCCCCAGTGCCATGGCTTAAGTGGGGAGTAGGAGAGACGCAAGGCACCTCATCCCACAGGTGGGGAGTAGGAGAGACACAAGGCACCTCATCCCACAGGTGGGAGGAGTGTCAGCAAAGGGGAAGAGCTTACCCAAGTCACACAGCTCATTAATACAGGTAGTCCCGATTTAGGATGGAATCCAGCATAAGAGTCTCATTCCATCTGGGGTGAAGGAGGAGGAAGGAAGGAGGAAAGGCATGTTGCCAAGGAAGCCCTAAAGATGGATGACACCCCTCAAGGCATTGCCCAGGAGCACCAGCTGGGAAAACTAAATATTGCCCCCCTAGCATATGCCTCCCATGGGAAAAGAAAGGGGCCAGGGCAGCGCCAGCAGCAGTGTGGCAGCCACCAGACTGTCGAGGCTTGTAAGTGGTGAGTTAATAGACAGACCCAGGAAAATGTGCAGGTGCACAACACCATACAGAATACAGCAGAGGCCTACATGCTCCAGAAAACATGACCCGTACCTGAGCGGCAACTGTGGATGTGAACGGAGAAAGTGCTACCTCCTGGACCTGTGATAACCAAGGTACTGACATCAACACGCACGAACATCAGTGACGCATTAACTTCATCAACCCATGAGCACACCGAAGCTGATACTGCATTCCAGTCAGACTGCACCCAACTGGTGCGTGGCAGGCACATTCATGCACGTTCTGAGAGCTCCAGTCTTTCAGTTGGTCAATGACACGTGTTTATTGAGCAGTTATTGTGTGCCCAGCATTGTGAGCTTAGATGTTAGGGAGGGAAGGCCAACACGGGGCAAAATAAATAATACCGCCAGGTGGTGGTAAATGAAGCAGGTTAGGGGAGAGCCAGGTCCATGAGGAGGTTTGAATTTTTTTTTTTTTTTTTGACACGGAGTCTTGCTCTGCCGCCAGGCTGAAGTGCAGTGGTGCAATCTCAGCTCACTGCAACCCCCACCTCCCAGGTTCAAGCGATTCTCCTTCCTCCGCCTCCCAAGTAGCTGGGATTACAGGTGCCTGCCACCATGCCCAGCTAATTTTTGTGTTTTTAGTAGAGACGGGGTTTCACCATGTTGGCCAGGATGGTCTCAATCTCTTGACTTCGTGATCCACCCACCTCGGCCTCCCAAAGTGCTGGGATTACAGGAGTGAGCCAGCGCATCCAGCCTGAAATTTTATTTTATTTTAGTTTAGTTTATTTTATTTCTTTCTTTCTTTTTTTTCCTGAGATGGAGTCTTGTTCTGTCACCCAGGCTGAAGTGCAGTGGTGCGATCTTGGCTCACTGCAACCTCTGCCTCCCAGGTTCAAGTGATTCTCCCACCTCAGCCTCCTGAGTAGCTGGGATTACAGGTGCCTGCCACCATGCCCAGCTAATTTTTGTATTTTTAGTAGAGACAGGGTTTCACCATGTTGGCCAAGCTTGTCTCGAGCTCCTGACCCCAGGTGATCCGCCCTCGGTCTCCCAAATTGCTGAGATTACAGGCGTGAGCCACTGTGCCCAGCCAGGGTTTGAAATTTTAAATGGGTTGTTAAGGGCTGGGCTCAGTGGCTCACAACTGTAATCCTGGCGCTTTGAAAGGCCGAGGTGGGTGGATTGCTTGACTCCAGGAGTCCAAGACCAGCCTGGGCAACATGGTAAAAGCCTGTCTCTACAAAAAGAAAACAACAACAAAATTAGCCGGGTGTGGTGGCACATGCCTGTAGTCCCAGCCAACGGGGTGGGAGGTGGGAGGAGTGCCTGAGCCCGGCCGAGTGAGGGTGCAGTGAGCCATTGTTGCACCACTGCACTCCAGCCTGGGCAACAGATCAAGACTGTCTCAAAAAAAAAAAAAAAAAAAAAAAAAAAAAAAGGTTGTTAGGAAAGGACTTAATGAGAAGGTGATATTTGAGCAAAAACCTGAAGGAGAACAGGGCACAAATCACATGGATCCAGAAAGAGAGGAAAAAAGAGCAAAGGTCTCAGGGTAGACAGGTACTTGGGGTATACGGAGAGCCTTGTGTGTCCCCAGAGTGAGTTCCAGGGAGCGCAATGGGAGATGGGAAAGCCGGGGCTGGAGCACCTGGGGTCCTTCGGGGCTTTGGCTGTCACTCTTGAGTGAAGTCCTCTGAGTGGAGGACTGGGACCTTCAGAGGGTCCCGCTGGCTGCTGTGCTGAGCAGAGTCTGAAATGGGGAAAGCCCAGAAGCTATGGGGAGGCATCTGAACTATCCGGGTGGGCCATGAAGGGGGCTCAGATCAGGTGAGAGCAGAGTGAGAAGTGGCCACTCTCAGTTAGTCCCAACAGCAGAGCTGGTAGAATTTGCTAACAAATCAGGCTGGGCACAGTGGCTCACACCTGTAATCCCAGCACTTTGGGAGCCCAAGGCGGGCAGATCACTTGAGGTCAGGAGTTCGAGACCAGCCTGGCCAACATGACGAAACCGCATCTCTACTAAAAATACAAAAATTAGCTGGGTATGGTAGCGCATGCTTGTAATTCCAGCTACTGGGGAGGCTGAGGCAAAAGAATCCCTTGAACCCAGAAGGCAGAGGTTGCAGTGCACCAAGATCACGCCACTGTACTCCAGCCTGGGCAACAGAGCGAGACCCCATCTCAAAAAAAAAAAAAATTACCGACAAATCGAACATGGAATGGGAGAAAAGGGAGGCAACAAGGACAGCCCCAGGGTCCACAGGATGATGGAGCAGGAAAAGACAAAGCTGGTGAAGGAGGAGGCTAGGGAAATCTGGAGTCTGGTTCCAGATGTGTTTGGTTTGAGACGTCTGTTGGACATTCGAGGGGAGACAGAACAGAGTCAGAGATGCATGTCTGGAGTTCAAGAGAGAAGGATCAAACCAGAGATGTGAATTATAGAGTCCTCGGCATATAGATGGTACTGAAAGCTAGAGATTAGACAAGGAAAGATAAAGAACAAAAGAAGTCTACAAATTGAGCCCTGAAACCAAAAACTGAGTGATGTCTCAGAGCTCATGGGAAGAACATGCTTCCAGAAGGAGGGAGAACCTCTGGAATGGGAGAAATATTTGCAAACCATACATATGACCAGGGGTTAGTAGCCAAAATATGTAAGGAACTCATACAACAAAAGTGAAAGAAAATGGGGCAAAGGACCCAAATGGACATTTCTCAAAAGAAGATACATAGGCTGGGCACGGTGGCTCATGCCTGTAATCCCAGCACTTTGGGAAGCCAAGGTAGGCAGATCACCTGAGGTCAGTAGTTCGAGACCAGCCTGGCCAACATGGTGAAACCCCGTCTCTACTAAAAATACAAAAATTAGCTGGCCATGGCGGCAGGCACCTGGCTGAGGCAGGAGAATCGCTTGAACCCAGGAGGTGGAGGTTGCAGTGAACCCATATCATGCCACTGCAGTCTAGCCTGGGTGACAGAGCAAGACTCCAACTCAAAAAAAAAGAAAAAAGAAGATATATAAATGGTCAACAGGTATCTAAGAAGGTGTTCAACATCGCTCAGCATCAGGGAAATGCAAATCAAAACCACAGTGAGATATCCCATCACACCTGCAAGGATGGCTGTTATCAAAAAGTCTAGAGATAAGTGGTGGTAAGCGTATGGGGAAAAGGGAACCTTTGCACGCTGTTGGTGGGAACGTATATCAGTACAGCCATTATGGATAACGGTATGGAAGTTCCGCAGAAAATTAAAAATAGAACTCCAATGATCCAGCAATCCCACTACTGGGTATTTATCCAAAGGAATTGAAATGAGGCTCTTGAAGAGCTATCTGCAGGCCCATGTTAATTTCAGCATCATTCACAGTAGCCAAGATGTGGAAATAGCCTGAGTGTCTGTGAATGGATGAATGAATGAAGAAAATGTGGTTTATACACAGTGGAATACCATCCAGCCTTGAAGGAAATCCTGCTGTTTGCAACAACACGGATGAACCTGCAGGATATTATGCCAAATGAAATGTACCAAGCACAGAAAGACAAATACTGCATGACCTCGCGTATATGTGGAATCTAAAATAATCAAACTCATAGGAACAGAGAGTAGAACAGCGGTTGCCAGAGGCTGAGGGAGTGAGGGAAATAGGGAGAAGGTCCCAGGATACAGCGTTTCGGTGAAGCAGGCTGAATACGATCTAGATCTAATGTACAACATGGTGATGATAGTTAATGATACCGTATTGTACACTTGAAATTTGCTCAGAAGGTTCTCACCACAAAAAGATGATGAACATGTTAATTAGCTTGATTGTGGTAATCATTTCATAATGCATGTGTATATCAGAACACCATGTTGTATACCTTAAACACATACAGTTTTTTGGGGTTTTTTTGTTTTTTGATTTTTTTGTTTGTTTGTTTTTTTCGAGACAGAGTCTCACTCTGTCACCCAGGCTGGAGTGCAGTGGTGTGATCTCCACTCACTGCAACCTCTGCCTCCTAGGTTCAAGGGATTGTCCTGTCTCAGCCTCCCGAGTAGCTGGGATTACAGGCACCCACCACCATGCCCGGCTATATATAGATCTTAGATTGTCAATTATACCTCAATAAAGCTGAAAAAAGAAATGAAAGGGCAGAGAATTGGGCATAGTAAATGGCAGGTTCGTGATTATAATGGTGCACTCCCATGCTTGCCCCTGTCCACATAAGGCATTTATTCATCCAGCAGATATTGATTGAGGACCATGGATGTGCCAGCCATGATTCTAGGTGTTTGGGTCCCAAGGGGGCCACATGGACCGAGATGCCTGCCCGCTGGAGCCTGCATTCTGGCAGACTCCTGGTTACCCATCAATGTGCCCCATGCAGCTCAGCAGTGTGCCCCATGGGAACCAGGATCTGGGCTCAGTCCCTTTATGTCCTTTGCACGCGTGTCAGTCCCTCTCACTGTGAATCATCAGCTAACAAAGGTCCGCAGAATGCAGCGCTCACAAACAAGATGCACCTGCCGGAGTGCCTGGTTTGTGAAGACAGCTGTCCCTGGGTTCTAGGCCCCGACCCACTCCTCACCCAAGAGCATGACTGCAGCCATTGGCCCTTCCTCTCCTCCACCTCCCCAGTGGATAGCTCCCACGGGCAGGGCAGAAAAGCATTCTGAGATATGTTTCCTCTTTTTATGCCTTTTCCTGACCTCACTTTTTTTTTTTTTTAACGGACTCTCGCTCCGTTGCCCAGGCTGGAGTGCAGTGGTGCTATCTCAGCTCACTGCAGCCTCCACCTCTCGGGTTCAAGTGATTCTCCTGCCTCAGCCTCCTGAGTAGCTGGGATTACAGGCATCCGCCACCATGCCCGGCTAATTTTTGTATTTTTAGTAGAGATAGAGTTTCGCCATGTTGGCCAGGCTGGTCTCAAACTCCTGACCTCAGGTGATCCACCTGCCTCAGCCTTCCAAAGTGCTGGGATTACAGGTGTGAGCCACCGCACCTGGCCTGACCTCACATTTTCTTCCAGTTGTCACCCATTTCTTTGGCCCCTTTACAGCAGAATTCCTCAAAAGAATCTTCTGTACTCACTCCCTCCGATTCCTCTGCTCTCTTTCTCCCTTGAACTCGCTCCAAATAGGTTCTCATCCCCGCCACCCCACCGAAGCTCTTCCTGCCAAAGTTGTTAATAATTCCCATGTTGCTCATATCGAGTCAAACCACAGGCTTATCCTGCCTGACTCAGCAGCTGTGTTTGACACATGGATCTCTCCTTCCTCTCAAAATGCTTGCTTTCCTCAGCTTCCCTCGCTAGCTCTTCCTCCCCACCAACCACTGAATGCTGGAGGCCCCCAGGGATCAATCCACAGCCCTCTTCTCTACCTAAGAGAATCCATTCATTCTCCCAGTGTGCACTCACGGAAGACCACCTGTGTGCTAATAATGGCAAACTTTTAGCATCAGCCATGACCTTTCCAAATCCAACAGGAACTTTGTTAACTGTTGTACCCCCATTAGTATGAATGCATGAGTGAATGAATGATTTCATACATGACTGCCTCTGCTTTCATTCATCTATCCATATGAGAAGAATCTGCTTTTCGTTATTTTTATGTTATTTTAGAGATGGAGTCTTGTTCTGTTGCCCAGGCTGGAGTGCAGTGGTGTGATCTCAGCTCACTGCAACCTTCACCTCCCGGGTTCCAGCCATCCTCCTGCCTCAGCCTCCCAAGTAGCTGGAACTGCAGGTGCACACCACCACTCCTGGCTAATTTTTGTGTTTTTAGTAGAGACAGGGGTCTTGCCATGTTGCCCAGGCTGGTCTTGAACTCATGGGCACAGGCGATTCCCCTCTCTCAGCTTCCCAAGTGCTAGGATTACAGGTGTGAGCCGCTGCACCCGGCCCTCTCCCCCTTTCTAAAAAAGAAATCACTACAAAAGAAATCCCCATCTCTACGAAAGAAATAGCCAGGTGTGGTAGCACTCATGTAGTCAGAGCTACCTGGGGGGCTGAGGCGGGAGGATTGCTTGAACCTGGAGGTCAAGGTTACAGTGAGCCAAGATCATGCCACTGCACCCCAGTCTGCGTGACAAAATGAGACCCTGTCTTGAAATAAAATAAAATAAAATAAAATGGGAGAGAGGGCCGGGCACAGTGGCTCACACCTGTAATCTCAGCACTTTGGGAAGCCAAGGTGGTTGGATCGCTTGAGCCCAGGAGTTCAAGACCAGCCTGGGAAACATGGCAAGACCCCGTCTCTACAAAAAATTAAAAACTTAGCTGGGTGTGGTGGTGCACACCTGTAGTCCTGGCCACTCAGGAGGCTGAGGTGGGAGGATGGCTTGAGCCCAGGTGGTTGAGGCTGCAGTGAGCTGTGATCGTGCCACTGCACTCCAGCCTGGGCAACAGAGTGAGGCCTGTCTCAAATAAAAAAATAATAATAAAGGGGGAGAGGGATTGGAGAAAAGCAAGGATTTCATGGTAACAAGATGTCCTAACTGCCACCCATACATGCCAGTGGGGACACTTTTATTAGCTCTTTCTCACTTTATGGGCTTCCTCCAGGGAAATGAGAAATTGAAAAGCCGGTGACATGCAGAAACCTCATTGGCCAGCAGGGGGCGCCAAATGACCTCCAATTTTGCACGTGGCTGGGCCCAGCTGGCCGCTATCTGGATGGCCTCAGTCCTGGAACTAGCAGAAGTGTTAACCTGTGCTACAGAGGAAATGATTGAAAACAATGGCTGGGCTTGGTGGTTCGCGCCTGTAACCCCAGCACTTTGGGAGGCCGAGGCGGGCGGATCACAAGGTCAGGAGATCTAGACCATCCTGGCTAACACGGTGAAATCCCGTCTCTACTAAAAATCCAAAAATTAGCCGGGCGTGGTGGCGGGTGCCTGTGTCCCAGCTACTCGGGAGGCTGAGGCAGGAGAATGGCGTGAACCCGTGAGGCGGAGCAAGATCGCACCACAGCACTCCAGCCTGTGTGACAGTGCGAGACTCCATCTCAAAAAACAGAAAGGAAGAGAAAACACCAGGGAGCATCTGTTGTGTTCCTGGCCTAAAGCCTTCTGCAGCCACGGGGTTCCTTAGGAAACTGGCCAAGTACCTGGGTGAAACCCTTAGAACCTGCACCCCTCACACGGACCCCAGGAAGTACGTGTCCTTAACCTCACTGAATGTACGACAAAACTGCAGCTCTGGGAAGTCAGCTGGCCAGGTCCCGCTGCTGTATGCGGTGCAGCTGGGATTCAGCCTCCCGCTGCCCGCCGTCTTGGCCGAGGCCTTCCTCTGCAGCGGGCCTTGTTCCTGTTAACCAGCAGCTGCTGGTGCAGCGGGCCCGGGGTGGCCCTGAGACTCTGCATCCCTCACCAGCTCCCAGGTGACATGAGGCCACCAGCACTTGCACCACACTCTGTCTGGATAGACTCCACACTGCCTTATCTCCCCAGCTCAGCCTCCCGTAGGACGGATTTGCTTTATTCCTCCAGGAACTGTACTAAGTGCTGATGTGCCAGCGCTATGGTAAATCCTCCAGGCATGGCGGGAAACACAGACACTTGGGGGCCATGCCCTGGAGTTTACTGTCTGGCAGAGACCAGGGTCTTGGCTGTGAAAAGGAAGGTTCCAGAAAGGTTTCTAAAACAGTTCTTAAATTCTTTTTTTTTTTTTTTGAGATGGAGTCTTGCTCTGTCACCCAGGCTGGAGTACAGTGGCGTGATCTCAGCTCACTGCAACCTCCACCTCCCAGGTTCAAGTGATTTTCCTGCCTCAGCCTCCAGAGTAGCTGGGACTACAGGCACTTGCCACCATGCCCGGCTGATTTTTTTGTATTTCCAGTAGAAACGGGGATTCACCATGTTGGCCAGGCTAGTCTTGAACTCCTGGCCTCAAGTGATCCACCCACCTCTGCCTCCCAAAGTGCTGGGATTACAGGTGTGAGCCACCGCACCCGGCCTCTTAAAGACTTCTCCGCTGTTTCCCAGGTGACTCACAGCAATGAAGGTGTCTCTGAGACTACAGGTCAGCAGGGACAGGAGGGACTCTCATTGCCCCTGTCCCCCTCACTCCCACATCCTTCTGTTCCCACAGATTTATTTCTGGGAAGCCCAGCGGGGGAACCTCACAGAGCGAGTGAAGACGCTTTTCCTGGCTGAGAACAGCGTGAAGCTCAAGAACTTGACTGGCTACACGGCCTACATGGTCAGCGTGGCCGCCTTCAACGCCGCTGGGGATGGGCCTCGGAGCACCCCCACCCAAGGCCAGACCCAGCAAGCAGGTGGGAGAGGGGGCCCTGAGGAGGGGAGGGGTAGGTCGGCCACGGGGGGTTGCAAGAGGACCTACCTGGCATCCGGGCTCTTGGCAGGCATGGGGGCAGCTGCCTTATCCGCCTGAGGATCTGGTCGTGGTACCCAGGTCCCCAGAGACACCCTCCCAAGTGGGAGAGCCCATTCTCAGAAAAGAGAAGCTGTCCCCATAAAGCCTTGAGAAACCCCCACACCTCATCCCTGTCCTCCCCACCGTTTGCCCCGCCTTGCAGACGGACAGTCAGCACCCCCAGCCCCTCCCAGCCAGCCTACTTCTGCTCCCTGCCTTCTTCCCACCTGCCTTCCCTCTGTCTCTCTGGCTTTGTTCATTCCACAAATACTGAGTGTCTTATGAGCCCGTGCCATGCTAGATGCTAGGGACACAACAGTGAGACCAGCAAGGTCCCCACCCTAGTGCGGGGGACAGATCATAAGCAAGTTGATGAAGTAAATGCAGACGGGGGTCAGCACAGGTGACCTAAGAGTGAGGCAGGAGTGGGTGGATGGCTCTGGATAGGCTCACCCACAAAGCCCTCCCTGAGGAGGTGAGATTTGAATGAGAAGAGGCCGGCAGGGGCCAGGCATGGTGGCTCACGCCTGTAATCCCAGCACTTTGGGAAGCCAAGGCAGGTGGATCACCTGAGGTCAGGAGTTTAAGACCAGCCTGGCCAACATGGTGACACCCTGTCTCTACTAAAAATATAAAAAATTATCCAGGCATGGTGGTACGTGCCTGTAATCCCAGCTACTTGGGAGGCTGAGGCAGGAGAATCACTTGAACCCGGGAGGTGGAGGTTGCAGTGAGCCGAGATTGTGCTACTGCTGCACTCTAGCCTGGGTGACAGAGTAAGACTCTGTCCCAAAAAAAAAAAAGACAAGAGGCCAGCCATGAGATGCTCTCAGGAGGTGGCAGAGGGTGCTGGGGGCTCCAGGCAGAGGGAACCGCAGGTGCTAAGGCCTAGGGGCTGGAGAGGAACCCGGGAACGCAGAGAAAGCCAGGTGGCTTGCAGGAAAATGGGGCGAGAGCTCAGGCTGGGGGATTGGGATTGGGATTAATTATAAGTACAATGGACCACACATGGTATCTCACACCTGTAATCCCAGCACTTTGGGAGGCCGAGGTGGGTGGATCATTTGAGGTCAGGAGTTCAAGACCAGCCTGGCCAACATGATGAAACCCTATCTGTACTTAAAAAACTACAAAAATTAGCTGGGCATGGTGGTGCACCCTTCTCCAATCCCAGCTACTCAGGAGGCTGAGGCAGGAGAATCGCTTGAACCTGGGAGGTGGAGGTTGCAGTGAGCTGAGATTGTACCACTGCACTCCAGCCTGGGTGACAGAGCAATAATCTGTCTTAAAAAATAAAAAAATTTAAAAAGTATGCTGGGAAGCCATGGGAGGGCTTGAGCAGTTGAGCAACAGGGTCTGGTTTACATTTAGAGAAAAGTGCTCCGGCTGCTGTGCAGAAGATGGCCTGGTGGAGGGGAGAGAGTAGAGGCAGGGAGGGGAGATCGGGAGGCTGAAGGGTGGCGGGTGCAGAGGAGAGGGCGCTGGTGAGAATCCTGCTGCCTGTGTGCAGAGCGAGCCTGGTAGTCAGGCACTGTCACACTTAACCCTCCCAGAAGCCCCGTGGACAGGCAGGGCAGGCAGCACCCTCATCTCACGATGAGCCGGGGTCACCCAGGAAGTTATACTACTTGTCCAGGGTTGCCCAGCTGGTCACTGGGGCAGCAGAGGCTGGAACCCAGGATTTCTGAGAGAACCAAGTGTTCTGTCCTCGTGGACTGGAATACTGGCCTTTTGCCCCGGCCTCCCTTGAGCATCTTGTTCAACCTGCTGCTTCCTATGCTGTCAGTGACATGTGGCTTTTAAAGAGCTGCAGAGGGCACACCTGTGGCATCAGTTCCTCATTATGACCCTCTCTGGGGACAAGCCCTGGCTCCAGGGAACCCTTTCCCTCCACTACCCCCAGGGTCTGACGGTGGCCAGAATGAGCGTGAGCTGCTGAATATACAAGTCTGTCCGTCCGCCTCCTGTCCCGGCCACTCTTTTGTCAGTGCCATCTGCCAGATGCGAACCCCAGGGAACCCGAGGCTTCCGTCACTGCGGCAGCAGGACAACATGTTCTGTCCCACGTCCCTGTAGCACAGGGGAGGCAGGAAGGGCCCCCTGAGCTCACCTCCCTCCTTCAAAGACACTCGCTGACTCTGCCTCCTGGGGCTGGAGCCGGAAGCAGGTCCGGATTAGCTCCAGCGTGGTGGGGAGGCAGCGCCGGACAATAATAGCCTGGTCATCCTCCCTGGGCCAGCTGGGGATGCCGCAGATTGGGACGCTTCCTGCCCTTCCTCTGTCCTCCCCATCAGGGGAGCCCCCACCCCCATGATTTTGGGGTTGCCACAGGGTTCTTGGTCCGAGAAAACATTTCTCCCAGAGGGTCTGACTGTCCTTGGCGTGGCTCCCCCTGACTGCGTGGGGCCTCTGTGACAAGCCCTGGAGCCCCAGGAGGAGAGGAAGGCCATCTCCGTCTGCTGTGGTTCTGGTGTCTTCTTTGTTTAGCGCCTACCGAATATTCTGAGGCCCAGACACCCCCACCTTCTCCACGAAAGCCAAAAGACGAACCCCGCAAAGCCAGGAAATGGCCTTGCCCCACGATGACCCCGGGGGTGTGACAGCTTGTCCCACACTCATAGCCCGGGCTCAGAGCCACTTAGCAGGGAGAAGCCTGAATTCTGCAACTTGAGGGAAAAATCGAGTTCTCTTTCTTCCCAGTTCTTAGGACTCTGATACTGGAAAGTTGAGAGAGGAGAGGAAGGGGGCCTGATGGCCTCCAGTGACCCCTCCTGCCCGCCCTTTCTGCCGAGCCCCACGCTCTTGTTCCTCCCGGGCTCAGACCCAATACTCCCGCTAGCTCCTTGGAGCTGAACCCGAGGCTTTGAACTTCCACAGAAGAAGGAAACAAAAACCCTTTGCTGTCTCCCGCAGCCCCCAGCGCTCCCAGCTCGGTCAAGTTCAGTGAGCTGACCACAACCTCAGTGAATGTGTCCTGGGAAGCCCCGCAGTTCCCCAATGGCATCCTGGAGGGCTACAGGCTGGTGTACGAGCCCTGCAGCCCCGTGGATGGTGAGTGGACCCCCCAGCACAGCTCCCCAGCCCCCCACTTTGCAAAAGCTCGCTCTCATCTCAGCGCCCATCACAGCCACTACACATGAGTGAGATTCGGTGAGAGTCTCCCCATCTTATAAACACGGAAACTGAGTCCCAGACAAGGGAAAGTGCATTTCCAAGGTAAAACAACAGCAAGTTGAGGGCAGAGTTGGAAGAGAGATCCAGGTCTCCTAACTTCCAGGCAGAGAATCGTTAAATATATTCTTCCCCCTTTGGTCAACGGAAACAGGGAGGAAAGGAAGGGAAACCTGAGTGGACAGGGCTCTGTTGAGACCATAAAGAAGGGGGGCAGCCAAGGACGGTGGCTCACGCCTGTAATGACAGCACTTTGGGAGGCTGAGGCGGGTGGATCACCTGAGGTCAGGAGTTCCAAGACCAGCCTGGCCAACATGGTGAAACCCCGTCTCTACTGAAAATACAAAAATTAGCCGGGTGTGGTGGTGGGTACCTGTAGTCTCAGCTACTCGGGAAGCTGAGGCAGGAGAATCGCTTGAACCCGGCAGGCAGAGGTTGCAGTAAGCCGGGATCACGCCACTGCACTCCAGCCTGGGCGACAGAGCTAGATTCCATCTCAAAAGGAAAAAAGAAAAGAAAAAGAAGAGGGGAGCCCCTGAGGGTCCTACTTTGCCCTTTCCCAAACCTTAGGGTTCTCAGCTTTACTGTGGGTTAGTCCTTCTTTAGCTTTGGTGGGAGTCAGGAACCCCTTGGAGAATCTGATGAGAATCTGACCAAAGCTTCAGAGCCTCTCCCCAGGAAGATACACAAGACCAAGGAGGTCCCTGCACCCCCCACTGCTATCTGCGGACCCCAGATCAAGAGCCCTGCTCTGCAAATGACCTCGCTCTTGTCCTTAACCCTGTTCATCTGACTGGTCTTCTGACCCCTTCCTCCGGGCCCCAGCTGGGAACCTGCCCATTTCTGGGCTCCTAGGCTGGGCTGCGCAGCCCCTGACAATGGGCATCTGGTACCTGCCAGCTTTCTACCCCTGGTAACATGCCAAGAAATCCCTGCCATTTTGTTATGAACAACCATCCTATGAGGATGGGATTTAGGCAGGAAGGAAACTGCGTTCCTCACTGCCTGGGACTAGTCCCAGCCAGGTGCTGGGGGTGTGGCTGACCTCTGGAGCCACCCCTCTCACTCTCACCCCCTCCAATCACGGAGCCTGGCAAGAACAAGGGGCAGAGACCTGGGAACATCGTTGTGACCAGCAGTTCTCGGTGAGCCTAGGGAACAATGGCCCTCAGTCTTCCCTGCTACCACCTGGGTGCCAGCAGCTCGTTCTGCAAAGGGGAGCTGTGTGTTAGAACACCAGGGGGGAGCCAGGCCCCAGCAGGAGATCCAGTCAGGTGCAGGGCCGGAGTGGGGCAGAGGACAGCAGTCCCCGAGACAAGGTACAGGGGGCCAGCACAAGCCCTCTTCACAGGGGCCTCAACCTGGCCTGTCCAGGACCCTCTCAACTTGAGGATGTGAGCTCTTTGCCTTCCAATTCCACAGTCTGGTGGGATCTGGACTGTGTGGCTCAACTCCACACCCCTACACATTCCCATCTTCCCATAATAGTTCAGTTAATAAGTACAGCAAGACAAGGCCCCGCCTGGACAGCCCAGTGTCCACACCCCAGTTCATCCTGGGTTCAGGTCAATAGCAAACCAGCCTCACAAAAGCCCAGCAGCCCCCACTGTCCTGTAGGGAAAACCAAGGTCCAGGCAGATGAGGGCTTTGTTCAGAATTGTCAAGGAGCAGGTAGCCAGAGTCCCTGTTCCTGGTCCCAGGGTCATTTCATTCTTTCAGGAAGCCCCTCTGAGCCTACATTGTTCCATCATTTAGTAATCCACTTAGCGGCCGGGTGCAGTGGCTCACACCTGCAATCCCAGCACTTCGGGAGGCCGAGGCGGTGGATCACCTGAGTTCAGGAGTTCGAGACCAGCCTGACCAACGTGGCAAAATCCTGTCTCTACTAAAAATACAAAATTAGCTGGGTGTGGTAGTGGACGCCTACTCGGGAGGCTGAGGCAGGAGAATCGCTTGAACCCAGGAGGCGGAGGTTTCAGTGAGCTGAGATCGCGCCATTGCACTCCAGCCTGGGCAACAATAGTGAAAATCCACCTCAAAACGATAATATTAGTAATCCACTTAGTCAATAAATAGGTCAGGCACCTACATGCTCTGTTATTTTACTTAAAGCTCATAGCATCCCTGCCTAAGATGCTGTGGACACCCTCACTCGGCAGAACAAACTGAAGCCAAGTTAAGGGACATGCCGGGGCCGGCGCCATCACTGGGTCTGAGCCCAGCCTATTGGCTGCAAGGCCTGTCTTTCACTGGTGACTGGCGTGCTCGATGGACATGGGAAATGACACTAACCCCGGCTCCCAGGGAGGCTGGCAGTCAGGAGTATTTGGATTCGCGAAGCACAGAGTGCAAACCCCCACCTCCTGAAAGCTGGCTCAAGCGTCCCCTCTAGTTGCTGTGATTTGGGGTGCTGAGGCATCCTCACTTTTGCCCTAAAAAGCTTGGTGGACTGGGCATAGTGGTTCATGCCTATAATCCCAGCACTTTGAGAGGCCAAGGTGGGAGGATCACTTGAGGCCAGGAGTTCGCGACCAGCCTGGGCAACATAATGAGACCCTGTCTCTACAAAAATTTAAAAATTAGCCAGGCATGATGGTGCACACCTACAGTCTTAGCTACTTGGAAGGCTGAAAGTGGCAGGACGGCTTGAACCCAGGAGGTCGAGGCTACAGTGAGCCATGATTGTGCCTGAGCAACAGAGCAAGACCTTGTCTTAAAAAAAAAAAAAAAATTGTGGCAGATATAGGTGCTGGAGGGCCATGTGAGCTCCTGGCTGAACCCCAGAGGTGGAGCTGGAGTGGGGCTCAGGTGGAGGACCTGGTCAAAAGTGTGTCCCCGCAACTCTGGGCTTTTGGTATTTTTATGGAAGCACTTCCTGAAAAAGGATATAATTCTAGTCCCATGGGATGCTGCATAAGGGAATAGCAATGGAGCCGAAACATATTTGGGGTGCAGAGGTTACATTAAACAGGATGGCGAGTGTTCTCTTTTCTGTAGATGCTGATGATGGACCCTGTGGCTACTCAGTAGACACAGACAGTAGTAGCTTTTCCCAAACATACTGAACCATGGAGCCGTTCTCCCTGAGAACAGCAGGCAGGACCGTGCTGTGAGAAACACAGCATGGGCAATGTGGTTGTGTGGGCTGGGGGTGCATTTCAGCCTGACCTCAAGGAGTGAGGCCCCTACCCAGGGTCCCGGGGCCCAGGCCACGGCCGCTTCCCCTTCCCCATGGCCTCCAGTGCCCTCGGTGGGCCCTGTGCCCAGTCCCCACTTGCTGTGCCTCCCCCAGGAGTCAGCAAGATCGTGACCGTGGACGTGAAGGGGAACAGCCCCCTGTGGCTGAAGGTGAAGGACCTGGCGGAGGGGGTGACCTACAGGTTCCGCATCAGAGCCAAGACCTTCACCTACGGGCCGGAGATCGAAGCCAACGTCACCACGGGCCCCGGAGAAGGTAGGAGAGCAACGGACCAGGCATGTCTTCCACACGGCGGTTCAGCGTCCCCAGTCAGAAGGGGCCCCCGGTGTCAAGAGCTGTGCTGGACCCTGGAAACAGAGTGGAGGACAGAGCTCACTCTTTCCCCTGGTGCCCAGTGACCCCTCCCCCCGCTCCCTCCTCCCGGGCTCCACGCTTTGATTAATGTGTCCTCAGGTTCCTCAAGCCACAAACCCTGGAGCAGCGCCCCCTCCTCTCCCACTTAGGCCCAGCCCACAGGCCTGGCCTGGCCACTGCGCCTGCTTCGTTCTTTCTCTCCCTGCTAATTGCATGGCCTCCTTTACTTCCGTCCTGGAAGGATGCAGCCTGGCAGGTGCCCCTGCCTTTCGCCCAGCCAGAGCCATCTTCCCACGCCCCTGAACCACCCCTACCCTCCAGGCAGCGGTTCTCAGAGCAGGGCGCACTAAAATGCACGTTCCCAGGGTGGATGCTCCGAGGGGTTGATTTCCTGGGGCTGAGGTGGGACCTGGCAGTCTGCACTTAGACAAAAGCCCCTGGAGGCCGTGACAAAGTGGCACCTTGAGAAACACCTGATGGAGCAGGTCACCTATTCACAGCCAGGGCCCTGCCTCCCCCACCTCACCACCCACCCCCTCCGCAGAACGCCCTTTTGTGTGTAACTGCCCGCCCCTCACCCCAGGAAGTCTTCCTTAATCTCCTGTATTGTTTCTGTTGTTGTTGTTTGGGCTTTTTTTTTTTTTTTCTGGAGACAGAGTCTCGCTCTGTCATCCAGGCTGGAGTGCAGTGGTGCAATCTCAGTTCACTGCAACCTCCACCTCCCGGGTTCAAGCAATTCTCAAGCTTCAGCCTCCCAAGTAGCTGGGATTACAGGTGATTTCTACCACGACCAGCTAATTTTTGTATTTTTAGTAGAGACAGGGTTTGGCCAGGCTGGTCTCCAACTCCTGACCTCAAGTGATCCACCTGCTGCAGTCTCCCAAAGTGCTGGGATTACAGGCATGAGCCACTGTGCCCAATCGCCTCCTTTAAATGTCCTCTTCACCTCCCTTCCCCTCCCACCCCTCATCCCCCCAGGCATTTGCCATGGTCAAGGTTTAGCCCTCCAAAGTCCCTGTTACTGGTCAGTGTAGAATGTCCTGTCCTGAACACAAAAGTCACCTCCCAGACCACTCTGCTGCCTCCCTCCCTAAGAAGGGGTACAGCCCATCCTGGACTTCCCCTAAAATCCCATCTCCTCCTCTGCCCACCCCCTTCAGCCAAGAATGGCGCAGGCCTCCCCTCCCCAGCAGTCCCAATTAGCCTGACTCAGGAAGAGAGTCTTCCCCTAATGGCTTAGTCTGGCTGCGCTTCACTTTTTCTTTCTGGCCAGTCACTTTCTATTCCCCACAGTCTGGTTCTGCAAAGAAGCCCTGTAGCTCTAGGGCAAACTCAGGACAAAGCCTGCAGGAGGCAGCCCAGGAGCCACCCAGCCGCTGTCCTTTCATCTGCCTCCAGCCCCGCCCCGCGCTGCCTCTCACCTGAGCCAGCTTCCTGGGAAACAAAAGTAGGAGAGAGAGCTGGCAAGCAACTGAGGACCAAGCGTTGGCAGTGGCCTGGGGACAGGAGAGGGCTGTGCGGAGGACAGGCTGTTCTATCCTGAGGCTTGAAGTGTCCCAGGCTGAGAGGTGGGGAGGTGGGAGGAGATAAAGGGCAGAGGGTTCAGAGAAGGTAGTGGAGGGCACTCTGAGAAAGAAAGAACCAGCCGGGTGTGGGGGTTCACGCCTGTAATCCCAACATTTTGGGAGGTGGAGGCGGGTGGATTGCCTGAGCCCAGGAGTTCAAGACCAGCCTGGGCAATACAGCAAAACCCCATCTCTACAAAAATAAAATTATCCAGGCATACTGGTGAATACCTGAAGTCCCAGCTACTCAGGAGGCTGTCGTGGGAGAATCGTTTGAGCCCAGGAGGTGGAGGCTGCAGTGAGCTGTGATCGTGCCCCTGCACTCCCGCCTGGGCAACAGAGTGAGAACGTGTCTCAAAAAAAGAAATAAAGAAGCCATCCTCCCACATGGTGTGGGTGCAGGGGGCGGTCTGCAGGCGGGGAACATGCAGCCAGGCAGTGGCTGGACTCGCTGGAAGCTCCTGGCCCCGGAGAAGGTGCAGGCTCTGTCCTCAGCCCTGAGTACTGTCCTGTGCAGGATGAGTACAGGGTCCTGAGGGCTGCCTGCCCTACCATACTCCCTCAGGCGTGTCCACCCCACCTGACCCCGCAGTTACTCTGCCCTTGTGCTGCAGACAGGCTGCTCCATAGGGAAGGAAGGAAATGGTGCCCTCCAATGCTGTGGGGTGGGCATAGGGGCCAGGCGGGGCTGCCAGGCTGTGTGAGCGATGGGGTGGGCATAGTGGCCGGGTGGGGTTGCCAGGCTGTGTAAGGAGGGCCTGCTGGCCCTCCAGGGCCCTGGGGGAGCATCAGTGTGATGCTAGACTCTGCTCCACAGAGACCCCCCACCAACAAACCAGGTGGCCACCCACTCATGCACTGGTTCCCTCCCTCATCCCCTAAGCACAGAGGAAGCACCTACTGTGTACCCAGCTCTGGGGGTACAGAGCCCCACCTTTGGTGGGGAGCAGGATTGGAGGTGACAGCATGTGGGGTCGGGATTCTGGACGGGCACCCCCAAGAGAAGGGGCTCAGAGCCCCTTGCAGACAGATACCTGGCTCACTCCTCTCATTGCTGGAGTCACCTCCTCTCATCTGCTCCAGCTCCTAGGGCCGGCTCCCTCACTGGCCCACATCCCAGGCTGCTCCTGACGTACCTTCATTCCAGGAGCGCGGCATGGGGCCCAGTCCTTCCTCCCTCCTCCTAGCAGCACAGGCCCCAAGGCCTCCTGGGGCATAAACCCCCTCTCCCCTTGTCTAACCTAATAGGAAATGCAGTTGGGGTTGGGGGATTTTAGGCAGGAATGAGGGAGGGCGGACATCATATCACCTACCAGGAGGGAGAAACTGGACTCTTCAGCCCCGCTCCGACCAACCCCCTCCTCTCATGGGCCCACTCTGCCATCATCGCACCCACCTCTATTCCCCACCATCCAGGACACAGCCTTCAAGCCTTACCTTCCAAAAGGCCCTTATAGAGGGGGAAACGGAGGCACTGGAAGGCTATGTGAATTGATCAAAATCACCCATCTAACACGTTCTGGGCTGGAACCCAGGTCTCCTGGCTCTACTCCAGGGACCTTTCTGGACCATTCCATTTGTCTTCTGCCCTGGGATTTGGAATATGGAGCATAGGGGTAGCCCAGGGGGACAACAGTCCATCCTGGCAGGCCCAGCCTGAGATGTACTCTCAGGCCGCGACATTTGCAGGGCTTCCTGGCGGCTCTCTGTCCAGGGTTGGTTTTGTCACCCAGTGTTCCTCCTCGAGCCCAGGGTGACGGGCTGGGTGGCTGTTCTGGGTTCCATACATCCCTCGCCTCTGTGTGCTGTCTGCAGGTGCCCCAGGACCGCCTGGCGTGCCCATCATCGTGCGGTACAGCTCTGCCATCGCCATTCACTGGTCCAGCGGAGACCCGGGCAAAGGGCCCATCACCCGCTACGTCATCGAGGCCAGACCTTCAGGTGCGCCCCGCCCTGCTGGGCTGAGACCCCACAGCTCATTATCTCCCTTCTTCCTGGGTCCCTCCACTTGGGGCACTTGCCTCTGTCCTCCGCCTGAGAAGGCGCTTGTGCTACTACAGGTGAAGTCACCTGGCCCTGTTGAGGAGTGGGAAACTGGGTTGGGGGGCTCCTAGAGCTGGACTCCTAGCTAAGTAACCCCCAGGAGGCCCCCAGAGAACGGCTGTTAGTGCTAACTGAGGACCAGCTTGGGTTGAGGATTGCTCAGGAAGCCGGAAGCCTGAGCACGTGGCTCACGTGGGTCACACACCGAATCCTCCACACGACCCCACTGATGGGTGCCCCATAACTAAGAAGACCCTGGCTGCCTCTCGAAGCCCTGTCTCTGCCATCATGGCTGTCTCAGTGGCTGCTATAATCGTACCAGCCTCTCCTGTCAAGCCTGAAATTGAATCACAAGAACTTCCAAAGCCATCAGGAGATGAGTGACAGATAAGTCAGTCGGGGGGCTGCTCCCCACTGCTCCGGTTTCACCCATCCTGACACCCGCTTGCTGGGCTCTGCTTACTCTCAGGAGCTTGCAGCCACTGCCAGCTCCCTGCGTTGCTAGGTTTCCAAGTTAATCAGAGGTGCCAGAGTCAGCAAGAGCAGGAGGCCTGTTCTCTGTATCCCATGGATCCGCGGTTAGGTGATTAAAATTGAGAAGGAAAACAAGATTTTGTTGCTCTAGCCCAAATAGCAAATAACAATCATAATGGGACGCCACCAGGCATCTCGGTAGCTAGTACTTCTAATGGGGAATATGGAAACATCCCAGTGATGAATTGTTAATACTTCGAGGTAGCTGGGCACTAATCATCCCAATAGCAGAGAGTTAATAATTCTAGTAGCTCCTGGAAGACATTACCACCGCTCCTGCCTTAATCACATGCTAATAATCGCAGTTGCATATAGCGAATACATCTAGCTGCTCAGATCTGCTGTGTGGCCGGAGGATGCATGCGGGGCTGGCTCTCTCCCCACTCCAGATGGTCCCTCCCTGGCCCTCTGGTGCCGGCTGCTGAGTTGGCCAGGAGACCACTACGTGCTTCTCCCAACCAGGGCCTGCACCTGTTTATTCCACCCAAGTTGGCCAGTTGGGGTGCCAGGCTGTGGAATGTTGGCCCCTGACTCTGGCTCTGTTGATTCTCAGTGTTTCCTGGGAGGCCCAGCGTGGGACTCTGGTGTTCCAAGTTTGTGGGCTGTGACTTGGTCCACACTGGTGGAATCAAGACCTGAGCATAAAAGGAAGGACCAAGCCAGGGCCCTGTGAGAAACCAGGACTCGGAGCAGGGCCAGGGCCAGAGAGCAGAGGACAGGATCAGTAACCAGGCACAGGGAGGAGGGAGGAGAGGGGGCAAGGGGCATGGTGGTCTGTCCCTAAGGCTGTTTGAGAGCAGGCTGCTGTTATGGGGTGAGCATCTCTCCCCTCCATGCCCCCTGCCCCTTCTTCTGTGCTCCCCTTCTCATCTTCAGGATGGCATAGCCCTTGTCATACATTTGCCCTTGAATTGCTTGTGCTTCGTGCTAGGCAGGATAAACTAAATACACCCCCTTTCTATAAGCCAGGAGCTGCCAGGCGCTGCAGACCCAGGGAGAGGTTCGCCCAGGGATTTGCAGCCCCAGGAACCCGTCCTGCACATCAGCCAACTCCCGGGGCTGGCGGCTAGAGCCCCAGCGTGACATTCCAGCAGCTTCTGGCCTGGCCCGGTTGACTCAGCCCCACCCTTTGTCCCTGTGTGGGGTGGAACAAGGGGGGTTAAACAGCAGGCAGGAGATCCCAGCTTCTGGAAGGCAGCAGCAGGGGCCTCAATGATCCCAGCCCATCCAGCAAACACAGGTCCAACACCTGACTGCGTTGGGCAGGGAAGTTCGGTGCCAGAAATGAGGTGGCCCCAGGCAGTAACACCAGCTCTGCTGCTGACAGCGTAGGACCTTGGGAAGATGAGTGAAGCTTCCTCCAGGCCTTGGTGTCCTCATCTGTAAAATGGGGACAGTAGTTCATCCCTCTCGCCATTGCTGTGGATTTGAAAAGGAAAGCACGTAGACCCAGGATGCTTGACAGAGGCGTAAGTGCCAGCTGTTGTCACCGTCATCATCATCATTATGATATCATTCAAAGATGAGTGAGAGAATTCAGAGGCATGTGAGGAAAATGGATTTGTACCCCAGTACTAAAATTTCAAGGCATGAAGTTCCGAAACTGGGCAGCTAATGCTATGAAAAGGCCAGGGAGGAAAGGTTCCATTTATTTATTCAATAAATGCTGAGAAGGTGCCTGTGCTGGGTGCTGGACTAAGGATGACTTAAGACGAATTAGTCATGATCCTTGCCCTTGAGGGATTTCACAGCCAGCAAAGGGGAAAGAGAGAAAGAGAGATATTAAACAAAAAGATGGGTCAGGCACGGTGGCTCACGCCTGTAATCCCAGCACTTTGGGAGTCCAAGGCAGGCGGATCACGAGGTCAGGAGATCGAGACCATCCTCGCCAATATGGTGAAACCCCATCTCTGCTAAAAATAAAAAATAAAAAATAAAATAGCTGGGCTTGGTGGCGTGTGCCTGTAATCCCAGCTACTCCGGAGGCTAAGGCAGGAGAACCCGGAAGCCGGAGGTTGCAGTGAGCCAAGATCGTGTCACGGCACTCCAGCCTGGGTGACAGAGTGAGACTCTGTCTCTAAATAAATAAATAAATAAGTTAGCCGGGCGTGGTGGCGGGTGCCTATAATCCCAGCTACTCAAGAGGCTGAGGTAGGAGGAGAATCTCTTGAATGGGAGGCGGAGGTTGCAGTGAGCTGAGATCATGCCATCACACTCCAGCCTGGGCGACAGAGTGAGACTCCGTCTAAAAAAAAAAAAAAAAAAAAATATATATATATATATGGAGGTGTAGGAGGCAGAGGCTCAAAAACAAGTAAGACCAACAGTGAGGCCGAGGTTCGGGACCCCGGAGCCTTCTGCAAGGACAGCTCTGATGTAGACTGGGTCCCCATGGCCTTCCCCAAATTGGAAGGATCCACACTGGAAGTGGGGAGACAGCCCCCTCAGCAGTTCCCACCACTGGGTCCAAAATTCAGACAGGACGCCAGGGTGTCGAGGCGCCTCTGCTGCAGTGCTCGACTTACACGGCTGGGTCTATGAGAAAGTATGGTGAGGAAAACAAAACCATCAGCCCTGGGGAAGGGCGGCCTTGAACTGGGCACACCTCTGGCGGGAGAGCAGCTTCAACCAGAGGGTGCAGAAGCAGAACGGCGAGAAGAACGGGCCCTGCATGTGAGAGACTGGAGGTGCTTGGTTGGGGCAGGCTAGGGGAAGTTAAGGCCTTTTAGTCCCTGGTGGCAGCGGCCTGGAAGACCCACTGTTGGCCACTGGGTGACCTCCCTGGAGCAGGCCAGACAGAGAGGACCTGCGAGCTGGCCTCACTGACGTCCTTCTACTGTGAAGAGGGGTCTGGCTAGGCCCAGGGTGGCTTGGATACCTCAGTTTCCAAATCAGCCCCGCACTGCCACCAGCAGGAAGACGCACCCTCTCTCAGGGCCAGGCTGACCCCATCAGCCCCACCCAGAGCATGCAGCCAGGGCCCCTCCTGGCCTTCCCACCAACATGATGGATGCCCCAAGGCTATGTCAGGGGCTTGCCTCGTCCCTGACCCAGGCAGCACCCGCACCGCTCTGACTGAACAGCATGAAGGTGAATTATGTCCCACGAGGGCAAGGCCCAGAGAGCCACGGATAAAGAGGGGAAGGGGATCTGAGGGAAGCTCAGGTGCAAAGGACAGAGGTGGCTGACGCCAGCACAGGGTGGAGAACAGACAGGAAACCCAAATTTTTCCTGTTGGCTGAGCGCGGTGGCTCACACCTGTAATCCCAGCACTTTGAGAGGCTGAGATGTGAGGATCGCTTGAGCCCAGGAGGTTGAGGCTGCAGTGAGCCAAGAGCACACCACTGCACTCTAGCCTTGGCAACCGAGCGAGACCCTATCTCAAAACAATTTTTTTAAAACCAAATCTTTCCTGCAGCTGTTACTAAAAAGAAAAGAAAAAGACCGGGCATGGTGGCTCACACGTGTAATCCTCTTTGGGAGGCCAAGGCAGGCAGATCACCTGAGGTCAGGAGTTCAAGACCAGCCTGGCCAACATGATGAAACCCTGTCTCTACTAAAAAATACAAAATTTAGCTGGGCGTGGTGGAGTAAGCCTGTAATCCCAGCTATCCGGGAGGCTGAGGTAGGAAAATAGCTTGAACCTGGGAGGCGGAGGTTGTGGTAAGCTGAGATGGCACCACTGCACTCCAGCCTGGATGACAGAGTGAGACTCCATCTCAAAAAAAAAAAAAAAAAAAAATTGGCCAGGCACAGTGGCTCACACCTGTAATCCCAGCACTTTGGGAGGCTGAGGTAGGCAGATCACCTGAGGTCGAGAGTTCGAGACCAGCCTGACCAACATGGAGAAACCCCGTCTCTACTAAAAATACAAAATTAGTCAGGCATGGTGGATTTGGAAAGCTGAGGCAGGAGAATCGCTTGAACTCGGGAGGCAGAGGTTGCTGTGAGCCGAGATCCTGCCATTGCACTCCAGCCTGGGCAACAAGAGCGAAACTCTGTCTCGAAACAAAGAAAAAAGAAAAATAGCGCTCTTATTTTTGTCTCCTGCCACCATTGTGTATGTTTTGAATTAGGAAAGGGGGTTAGTTAAGTAAAGAAGGGTATTCCCATATGATAATGTCTTAGGCAGTCACTTAAAATCATGTTTCCAACCATTTTTAATGAAGTGGAAGACAGAATCCATAGTGTTCTGCTTGCACAAGTGCTAATTCCTTGAGCCTGTTTCTCTGGACGGTGGTTCTGTCATTGGTTGTGACAGTACTTTCTGCACAGTACGTATCTTTTAATGTAGTACAGATATTTTAATAAAAAGAATAAAAGAGATGCTCCAAAAGGTGTCTTTTTTTTTTGAGACTGAGTCTTGCTCTGCTGCCCAGGCCAGAATGCAGTGGCGTGATCTCAGCTCACTGCAACTTCCATCTCCCAGCTTCAAGCAATTCCCTGCCTCAGCTTCCCCAGTAGCTGGGATTACAGGCATGTGCCACCACACCAGACTAATTTTTGTATTTTTAGTAGAGACAGGGTTTCACCATGTTGGCTAGGCTGGTCTCGAACTCCTAACCTCAGGTGATCCACCCACCTCGGCCTCTCAAAGTGCTGGAATTACAGGCATGAGCCACCGTGCTTGGCCCGAAAGTTGTCTTTTTAAGAAACTTCAAGGGAGGACCAAGGCCTGCGATTCAGTGTGGAGCAGGGAGGATCCAACAGGCCCAGCCCTCAGGGAGCATAGTCAGAACGGGGCTGGGAGCGGGATTTGGGGCTTCCCCTCACCTCCCAGGGCCTCCATCTCTGTGCTCCTGCAGACGAGGGACTATGGGACATCCTCATCAAAGACATCCCCAAGGAGGTGAGCTCCTACACGTTCAGCATGGACATCCTGAAGCCGGGCGTGAGCTATGACTTCCGGGTCATCGCGGTCAACGACTATGGTTTCGGCACCCCCAGCAGCCCCTCCCAGTCTGTGCCAGGTACCGGCCTGGGGGCTGAGGGAGTGGGGGAGCCCCACAGCAGAGCCTGGGGGCTGACACTGGGCAGGGCGGAAGGAGGAGAGGCACCAGGGCACCAGGAGCATGGGGCGGGAACAAAAACACATTGTCCCCTCGGGGCTGTGAAGAGGCAAGTGCTGGTGCCCAGGCCTGGGTCAGCCCTCAAGACCAGAGGAAACTAGGGATCTTCATCTTTGGGGCTCCCTTTCAAGGAACTCCAGAAGCCCTGGGTAGGGGCAGAGCAGAGGGCCCAAGATGCAAACTTCCATGCACTCATCACCCAGGACATTCATGGGCACCAGGCCATAAACTATCTTTCCATGGAAACCTCCAGCCCCAACGTGGCAGGGTCAGCAGCCTGCAGAGCAGCAGAGACACAGGTGGGCCTTAGGCCTGACCTAGTGCCTGGGTGCAGCAGGGTCACCACCCCTCCCATTTTCCTCCCCTCATTCTTCCTATCTGGCATGTCTTGGAGCGCACAAAGGGCTCTGCTATCTAAACCCTTGACCCAAAATGTTATCACTAACCACCCAGAATACAAAGGCCCCTTCCCCCAAGCAGAAGCACAACTCAAAGGAACCCAGCCTCCTCCCCCTGCCACACATTGCCCACATTGAAGAACCAAATCTTCTCCTTTACCCACATTGATAAAACCAAATCCTGGGACAGAAGTGCTTCAAGGCCGAAACAGAGAGCCCATCTCTTGTCCACACAGCATGGGTAGTCCTGGCTGGGTGCAGAAAGCACAGTCTAGGGGTTTTGAGAAAAGGGAGCTCTACCTGGAAGAGACATCCTAAAGACCCTCTCACCACACTCTGGTTTTTCTTCAGATCGTGTAAATCTTTCACCTTTTACTAAAGAACCCCTGTGTCCATCCTCCCAATTCCCCCTGCCTTCTGCTACCAGCAAAAATTTCACTCCAAACTAAACCTCAGGAAAAGCTCTCTCATCCTCCTGCAGGCCAGAGAAGCACCTTTCCCCACACAGATTTAGGTATGCTTATCAAGATAGCTCCTAGACAAGTACAAAAGAAAAAAAGAAAAGGGGCCGGGAACGGTGGCTCACGTCTGTAATCCCAACACTTTGGGAGGCCGAGGCAGGTGGATCACCTGAGGTCAGGAGTTAGAGACCAGCCTGGCCAACATGGTGAAACCCCGTGTCTACTAAAAATACAAAGATTAGCCGGGTGTGGTGGCAGGTACCTGTAATCCCAGTTACTTGGAAGGCTGAGGCAGGAGAATTGCTTGAACCCGGGAAGTGGAGGTTGCAGTGAGTCAAGATCATGCCATTGCACTCCAGCCTGGGAAATAAGAGTGAAACTCCGTCTCAAAAAAAAAAAAAAGGGGAAAAAGTAGCTAACACACTGCCACTCTCCCCTCCTATGTCCCTGGCAGACATCACTAATCAATCTTAGCACTCTTTCCTATTGAGCCAGGTAGCCATCTCAGAACTCATCTGACATCAGCCCTCCAGGCAGCCCTTTACCGACTGATCAGAGCGGATACTTGAGGTGAAACTGTCCTTACAGAGGTTCTGCCTCATTCGGAGGGTACAGACCCTGCCTTCCCATAGATTGTAGCAGTTAGTAGGGTCCCAACTGGAGCAGGAGATTTGGAGGGAGGAGGGGGCTGAGCACCCTATATACCTGACTATCTGTGCTCCAGCCCAGAAAGCCAACCCCTTCTATGAGGAGTGGTGGTTCTTGGTGGTCATTGCCCTGGTCGGCCTCATCTTCATCCTGCTTCTGGTCTTCGTGCTCATCATCCGGGGCCAGAGCAAGAAGTACGCCAAGAAGACAGACTCGGGTGAGTGAGCTGGCACCAGCCATGCTGGCTGGACTTGAGTTTTATGTATCTCCTTTTTGGCCAGAACAGGGGTGATCAGGTCCCTCTCCTGGCTCCTGGCAGCGCACCTGCTCTGGTGGGTGGGGCAGCCTAGGGTTTCTACACACAATCTCAATCTCTTATTTTGGTCTCAACTCTACCAAGAGAAAGAGGGGATAACCCAGCCAGGTGGAGAGTGGTATGGGAGAGGGGAGGCCACACAGTCTAAAGGGTGTCAATCTCCCGCCGACTTCAGGGAACAGTGCCAAGTCTGGAGCCCTAGGCCACAGCGAGATGATGAGCTTGGATGAAAGCAGCTTCCCTGCCCTGGAACTCAACAACAGGCGGCTCTCCGTCAAGAACTCTTTCTGCCGAAAGAACGGCCTGTACACCAGGTACTGGGCCCTCTGCGTGGGTTGGGGGCCAGGCCCAGCAGTGCCCAGGTGGGGAGAATGCTGGGGAAGGCCATAGAGCAGGGAGTGCCCACCTGGCCATACCTTGTCCTGGGAAACACCATTCAAGCCCCAGGGCTGGGAACGATCAGCAGAAAGACACAGTGGGGCCCAAGCAGGACAACTAGGGTCCCAGTCCCCACCATGCCCAATCACAGCCTGGGGGTGAGGGCGCACTGGGGAGAAATTTACAAGGAGGTAGCTACTAAGAGTTCCTGACAGTGACAGTAGAATGCAAATAACTGGCAAAATTTTTCAAACCAACCTACTGATGTTCGGAGCCAACTGCCAGGGAAACAGCCCTGCAGATCGTCACTGGCCCCAAAGGCAAGACAGGCCCAGCCAACGCAGACCGAGCAAAAACACCTTAGCGAAGGACGCCTGAGCACCCGCATTATCGCTATGCCCTCCTGTCTTCCTCCCCATTTGGGAAACCCTCTCCCCCAGGTCCTTATTTATACCTATTAAAGGACAACCTCCTATCCCCATCAGCCTCAAAGGGCAGCATCTGAAAGCAGCCCATGAGGACAGGACAAGGCTCGTGGTGCAAGCACAGCTCCTATTTTCTTCTGACTTCTTTCTAACCCCAGCCCCCTCCTAGGCCCTACTCCCTGTGGCCATCGGGCTGCCCATTTCCAAGGGCAGGAGCAGCTGCTGGGGCCCACCTGACCCTCCCCTGATGTGTGGCGGTTTTCTGTTCCCCTGAGCTCAAGAAAGACTGGGCCAGAGGGCTCCTGTCTCCAGCCTCAGCCCTATTGGCATTCCCAGCTCATTGGAGGCGGCAGTCAGGAGGAGTCCAGCCTCTCTCAGGAGCTCACAAAGCTTCCCTCTGTCTCTGTCTTAGAGGGACGAAGCTATGTGTGTGTTCATCTAGAGGATGGAGGGAGGAGCTCCCAAAGCCGAGCTCTTATCCTCTGCCAAATCCAGCCTTCCAAAGAAAGAGCTGTTTGAGGCCCCCACAGCAGGCCCAGCCAGGCCCAGCATGGCCATAGCAGCCCCGCCAGGCTGGCTCCGGGGCCCTACTACATGTAACAAGGGGGCATTTCACACGTGGCCTCACCTTCCCCTGCCCTTCCCAGCCTCTCCTACCCACAGTGCACACACATCCAGGCCCCTGTGTGCCCCCAAAGCCACTGTGTGTACACAAAAATCCCGTTTGCACCAAAGCAGCCCCAGGATGTGGGGTCCTGAACCCAGCCACGGTGACATCCCCCCTACATTCACCCTGCATGTTGCCATGACAGCATTAGCCGGGCACCCCATTTTTCCCTCTTTGTCCTCCTCCAGATTCCTACCTCCCAGGCCCGGGCCCCTGGAAGGCAGACCCAGGAAGGAGGAGGAGCACAGGGTGGCAGGGATCCGTGTTCCCCAGGCCCCCACTGTGGTCTCCCTAGGCCAGGGGAGGCCGCTCTGAGTGAGTGCACCTCTCGGCCCCACTCCCCCGCTCTCTCCAGGTCTCCCCCCAGGCCCAGCCCAGGCAGCCTGCACTACTCGGATGAGGATGTCACCAAATACAACGACCTCATCCCTGCAGAGAGCAGCAGCCTGACGGAGAAGCCCTCAGAAATCTCCGACTCTCAGGTGAGGGCAGGAGGGCCAGGTGTCCTGCAGGGGGCAGGGAGCAGCGCCTCCCAGAGTGGGGCAGTGAACGTAGATGGGCTTTCTTCCTTTCCTTCAAGGGGCAGCAAATATTAAGGGGCCCAAGAAACCACCCTGAAGTCATATATGGGCCATCTGTCCCCTCCCAAGTTCTGCTCAAAGTTTGCGGCCAGTGCCAATGGGGTCCCGGGAACCTTGATCATAGGGGGTACCCCGAAGAAGACGGCCCTCTCTACGTTCAGGGGTCACCCCACAGGCTTAGTTACTCATTAGGGCTGTCCTGCAAGAGAGCACGCTGAAGGTGCGGAGAGGGAGACTCTGGGGAGAAGGTTGACACACAGCCCTGCATTCCAGGCCAGAGACCTGGAAAAATGCTCAGCTTCACTACTCACGCATCAAAACAGCTTCAGAAACAAAGGGCTGGGTGCCCTGGAGCCCTGAGGATGAGAAGCAGTGTAGACCAGGGAGACATTAAGCTTTGGAGGTTTGGACCTGAGTGTGAATCCTAGCTTTGCTGCTCGTGACCTGGGATGTCCTGGGTGTGCCAAGTAACCTTTCTAAGCCTCAGTTTCCCCATCTGTGGAACAGGCAGGGGTGATACTAGGCTCTGTCCGAGGCTGTGGGGAGGATCTGCTGAGTTAGACACTGGTGAACTCAGTGTAGAGCCAGGCACACGGCAACCATTCCGTAAATGTCAGCTTTTATATGAAGAGGGGGTCGGTGCCTCTGGAAGACACAGAGCTTCAGAGAGCGGCCATTAGGTGGGTCACGTGGGGACACTGTCCCAGGCTGTGTGGGGAAGGGGCTGTGTGTATTCCAACCATGCAGCCTTACAGCTTCCCACCCTCACCCTCTGCCTCAGCCAAGCCCAGTGGTTATTGAGGAAAGGGCCACGAAAGGCCACTGCATCCCACGCCCTGGACCTTTCTGCCCAGGCCTGGGAGAGGAAGTGAAGGAAGAGGTGCCAGCAGGGAGCTGGGCTGCTGGCTGTGCAGGAGGTGCCAGGAAGCCTGGGATCACGCTGTGGGCCCCGTGGGCTGAGGGCCTCCCACTCACTGCTGTTTTGTTCAGCTCCAGGGTTACTGATGGGCTTGGCAGAGCTGAGAAGGCTGGACCTAACTCCCTAGCTCAAAGCTGGCAGGGACAGAGACCCCCAACTTAGCATGGCTTACCCAGGAACTTATTGTGGGGGACAAAACCCACGTGATCCAAGTTATGAGTTTTTTTGTTGTTAAGCCAGGGTCTTGCTCTGGAGTGCAGTGGCGCAATCTCCACTTACTGAGACCTCTGCCTCCTGGGTTCAAGTGATTCTCGTGCCTCAGCCTCCAGAGTAGCTGGGATTACAGGCATGTGCCACCACCCCTCACTAATTTTTGTATTTTAGTAGAGATGGGGTTTCACTATGTTGGCCAGGCTGGTCTCAAATGCCTGACCTCAAGTGTTCCCCCGCCTCAGCCTCCCAAAGTGCTGGGATTACAGGTGTGAACCACTGTGCTGGCCCCACTGTGGTCCTTATGAGGCTCCTAAATAAGTCAGTGCTGCTGCCACTCAGCCACGTGAGAAGCAGCTCGGCTACCAATCAGCATCTGCAATGCGGAGCCCCCACCATTGCGACCTTCAAGTGGGGGCTGATGGGGATGCCACTGGTAGTTCTCCTGCCTGTGACAGTTTGTGCAAGGGTACGTCCCTGAGGATCAGCAGCTGCACAGGCCAGGGCCCCTCGGTTTCAGCCGCCAGGAAAAATGACTGCCTCTCTTTTCAAGGACACCCCTTCCCCCAGGTCTTTGGAGAGTGGGTTTTGCATACGCCACCTGGTTTATATTCTGAGACAGACCACCCAAAACCCACTCTCCAAAATTGGCAGAAATCTGCCCAGTCGTTTTCCTGTGATATGGCAATAAACAAAGCGTCAGTTTGACTTATAAACAAACACATATGATGTGATGTGAGAAAGGCTATAATTCAGCTGGGGGTGATGGGCTAGAGGAGAGAGGGGCTGGCTCTCCCGTAGAGGGCCCAGGGTGCAGGAGAAGGGGGCACCAGGCAGAGGGCAGGATGCACACAAAGACTGGAGATTTAAAGGCCTGTTTGATGGAACTTTAACACTGCAGCCTGGCTGGACGGCAACTTCATTTTCAAAAGAAGAGCCCAAGTTTTGTACAAAAAAAAAAAATGTATATACTTAGCACACAAGTAAATCTCAATGGAAAAGAAATTCCGAGCCAATGGCACACACCATCTAATCTTGATCTTCAGTTCTTGCAGTATCATGGACAGCCTCTTCAAGTGCGTTGAAATCAAATTAAGCACACTTTAAAAAGGAGATACACAGAGCAAATCATGTTTTCTTTTTCTTTTTTTTTTTTTTTCTTGAGACGGAGTTTCGCCCTCGTTGCCTAGGCTGGAGTATGATGGTGCGCGATCTCAGCTCACTGCAACCTCCACCTCCCGGGTTCAAACAATTCTCCTGCCTCAGCCTCCCAAGTGGCTGGGATTACACGCGTGTGCCACCATGCCCAGTTAATTTTGTATTTTTAGTAGAGATGGGGTTTCACCATGTTGGTCAGGCTGGTCTAGAACTCCTGACCTCAAGTGATCCACCCACCTCGGCCTCACAAAATGCTGGGATCACAGGTGTGAGCCACAGCACCCAGCCGTGAATCATATTTTCTGTACTATTTATTATGCACCGATTTATAATAGCAAACATTTATGAAGTGTTCAGTAGAAGCCAGGAAGGATTCTAAGGATTGTTCGTGAATGACACCACCTAAGCTTCAGAGTCCTCTAGGAAGCACTGGTGGCATTAAGGCCATTTGCAAGTAAAGATGATGAAAAAGAGAGTTGGGAAGGCCCCCACCCCTGACAACAAGCCCAAAATGCATCCCGCCCCCATTCTCCCTATTGACATCTGCCCTGCATACCAGCACAGGTAAGACTCTGTGTGGTACGTGGGAGGAGTAAGTGATGGGTTTGCTCTCTATGAAGCTCATTCATTCATTCCTTGATGCATTTACTCAACAGCTATTTGTTCTGTACCCACAAAATGGAATCAGACGCTATATAGGAACGATGGCTACAGTAGTGGGCAAGACAGACTCTAATGAATGTTGCGTTATAATATGTTATGATTTACTAGGGAAGACCATACGTGTATAAATAACCACGTTTTCATTTCTCATTCAAATATTATGGAACCACAGCAACCTGAGGAAGAAAGTGGTGAACAAAAGTCTTTCTCTTTTTTTTTCTTTTTTTTTTGAAATGAAGTCTCGCTCTTGTCCCCCAGGCTGGAGTGCAATGGCTTGATCTCAGCTCACTGCAATCTCTGCCTCCCAGGTTCAAGCGATTCTCCTGCCTCAGCCTCCCGAATAGCTGGGATTACAGGCACCTACCACCACACCAAGCTAATTTTTGTATTTTTAGTAAAGACGGGATTTCACCATGTTGGCCAGGCTGGTCTCAAACTCCTGACCTCAGGTGATCCGCCCACCTCGGCCTCCCAAAGTGCTAGGATTACAGGCGTGAGCCACCGCACCCGGCCAAGTCTTTCTGTTTCTTTCCTGCGATGCAGAGGCAGATAAAGCACCATAAGGAGACCACTTCCCCTGGAGGCTCAGAGAGGGCTGCCTGAAGGAGGTGGCATTTATTTGAGCTGGGCCTCAAAGTGTGAACAGCACTGGGTCATGCCTAGAAGGGAAGCGTGCAGGTTTGCAGCTGGCTGGAGCAGGGTTATGTTCTGCCGTCACCATTCTACTGAACGGCTCTGACCTTTTGCCTGTGTTTGCCTCTTTTCCATCAGATTGGGCCATGAGTCCAACAGGCTCAGCTGAGACCTCGTTGATAGCCTGACCATCCCCCAGATCCTCGCAGCCCAAAGTTGTGCCAAACAAGAAACGCTGTGGGGCAGAGACAGGCCGGGGAGAGGCAAAGCTACATACTGTGTGCCAAGCCCTGTGCTTTGTATATTCTCATTTAACATCTAGCTGTCCTGCCATGCAAGTGAAACTATCCCCATTTAACAGCTGGGGAAACTGAGGTTCACAGAAGTGAGGCAGTATGCCCTTGGTCACAGAGCTCAGAAGTACAAGCAACTGGGATTCAAATCTAGAGCCAGCTTGCTTGGAGGGTCATGCCTACTGCAGCCTGGCCTCGTGCAGCTGCCCAGCACGGAGAGGAGATTGAAGGAAAGAGGCCTTCACTGCCTCCAACCCCACCCCAGTGACCTCCCTTGAGCCTCCTGACCACAGACATCTCTGACAGCCGGTTGTGGGTGTGGGGGGAGGGGTACACATTGGCTGTCACTTTACCTATAAGGGCACAGGTGGCACATATGACATTGCTTCTGAGCTGACATTTTTCAAAGGACATTCTTGGGAGATTTCCAGCTATCTTAACACAGGGAGCCCAGAGCCTCGACAAAATTGTGCCTCCAGGGGCACAATTCTGAGGTTCTTCAGAGACACACAGGAGACACATCACCCCTACCCCACCTTTAATCCAGAGGCTGCAGCCCCTGCAGAGAGACCCTGGCTGGCCCCCCGGGTAGAGGCATCCAGGGGACAGGCGGAACACCCCGCACAGATGCGCTGCCGGCTTCAGGCTAGAGTCAGTGCAGAGCCCCTGGGACCGTGGATGAGGGAGGGGCTCCTGCTTCCAGTCTCCCACGGAGTTTCACAAGGTGACTTCTCTGTCATCTAGGGCAACACATTCCTCCCAGACTTCATGAGATTCAACAAGATAAGGGTCCCCTGCCTGACCCCAAGGTCTCAACACCATCCCTAAGGCTGAGTCTGGTGCCAGATCCTTTGGGCTGGAGATGAACAAAAAAGCAAAAGGGCTTTGCTTTGCTTCCTCTTTTCTCCAGGGGTCCTGCCTCCTTCTGGCCCTCCCTCCCCACTCCCATCACCAGGCCTGGAGTCTGTGCTCCCCCTCCGCAGACCCCAGTAATTGCTGATTGAGTGGCTTTGAGGAGCTGTTAAGAGACCAGGGAGACGAAGCAGTCACTTGATTGCCTGGCGGCCTGGCAGGACAGCCCCTGAAAGGCCCCCTTTGTGCTGGGCCGGTCCCTGGGAAGCTGCATTCAATTACCGAGGCCCGTGAGAATTGAAAGCTGCAATAGGAGCCCCTGGTCTCCCCCTCGCTTTCTTCTCTTCTCGCCCTACCCCCACTCCGAAAAGAAACAGATGTTCAGGGAGATGGAGGCGGGAGCAGCAGTCGCTGATGCAAAGCCCTCCTGCCTTGGCTTTGGAAGGCGGAGCGGGGGAAGAGGCAGACCAGACTCTCGCCTGCCTGGCCCCTCCCGCAGCGCGGGCTCTGTTTGGCTCCCTGCTCTCCCTTCTAGTGCCTTCCATCCCCGAGATGCTGCCCATAGAGTGCCTGGGATCAGTAGGCATTCTGCAGATAGTAGCTGGTAGGACGGGGATGGTCTAGATGAGTGGGCTTTGGGATCTGGGCCCCTAGGAGGGCTAGAGAATCCCACTCCCCACCTTGCTTCCAGTCCGGACATGCCTCTGTCTTGGAGTCGGGGGTTAGTGGGTGGGGTATCAGCTAACCTTCTACTCCCATTCCACCTGCCTGAGCACTGAGTCAGCCTCCCCGGCTTCCTGGCCCCTTCTAATCCCTCCCAGGGGAGCTTTGAGGCTTCTCACTCCATCTCTTCCCTTTCCCACCCAGGCCCACCCTCACTGTCCCCATTGATAATACCTTTTACAGCATTCTCTCCTGGGTTAGCTCATTTCACCCTGTGAACTATGGAACTCTACCCATTTTACAGACAAGGACACTGAGGCTGAGAGAGCCTGAGTGATGGCTTCCTCTGCTGGTAAGAGCCAGAACTTCCCCGTGCCACAAGCTCCTCCCCCCAGAGACTCGTTTCACTGTGGGATGGTCCCACAGTCACCCAGGGGTTCCTTCCTCTGCAAAGCTGGGGCCTGGGGCTAGCCAAAATTCTAGAACCCCTGGAGCTGATGCTAACAACTGTTCAAGTCAGTTAGTGGGTGGAAAGACCGAACCTGTAGGGAAAACTGGGGGACATCCCTGTCTGGTCCCCCGCATTCACAGACCCTCACTGTTCCTGGGCGGGATGGACCCCCAGCCTCCTGCCTCACAGATCCCCGCTGCTCCAGGCCAGCCTCACTCGGCCCAGCATCAGGTGCCCCCGCTCGGCATATGGAGTCTCCCTGGCCTGCCTGTGCCCCCTCTTTGTTCTCCTGGGCGGGCAGCTGGGCAGTAGGCACAGAAAGGGGCTTGTATTGTGCTGCATTGCGTCATGGGGCAGACCGAGCCCAGGGACTTTCCATTGTCTTGGGCAGCCGGCTGTGCCTGCCAAGAGGATTGAGGTCCTGGCGGGGGAGTGTCTGCTGCAGGGGTGGTAAGGAGAGTGGCTGGGGTTGTAGAGGGGTGAGGAGAGGGAGGGGAGGGGCCAGAGAACATAAATTAGCAGATGGACTAGGGAGTATTTAATTCCTGCTGGGAGTCGGGGTGGGGGGTTTGGGGGGAGCTCTCGTTCCCATCCTGTGGTCTCCAGGCAGGAGTGCAGGAGTGTAGGAGTTAAGAGGTGTGTGGGCTTTAGAAAATCAGGCAGATTGGAGTTCAAGCCCGGCCGGATCACTTCCCCAGCAAAACCCTCACCCTTCCTGTACTTTATGTGCCCGTCAGTACCCAGGCAGCGTCGGTGCTCAGGTAGCAATAGGAGCTGCCGCACAGAGGTGTGAAAACTAAATACAGTTATGCATGTCAGCGTTTCAGACTGTCTGGCAGAGGGCCTGCTCCATTAGCGGGGATCATTATAGTTCTATTCATTGTAGCTACATCCCTCGAGATGTATCCCCATGTTATGAAGGACTCCGAGTTCCTGAGAACAAGCCGTGCATCTCATTTCCCAAAGCCCAGACCCTCTGGACAAAGGTCCCCACTCCATTTTCTTTACCTGTAAAGCAGGACACAGCTCCCCATCCCAAACTTGTCTGGATTGGGCTAACTGGCTTTTATGTTCTACTTGGATTGCTGTGATTCGCTAACTGCCCCCAGGCAGGGGCATTAGCTGGGCAGGACTGAGGAGGCCTGGGTGGGGTCCTCTGAGCTGCAGTGCACTGATCGTGTGCTGTGCGCTAAAATCGGAGCACTTCTCTTCCAGAGAGTTCTGAGGGGGGGCCCATCTGTTGTCTTATTAGCTCTCAAAACATTGCTGGGAGCTCAGGGTAGGGGAAGGGGTGCACCATGTTTTTAGCTCCACAATTCAGATTTTACTTTCCAACCGAGATTGATTCTTGTTTGGGGCTGATGTCCCCAATAGATAGATGAAGCCTGTGCCTAGGACATCAAAGTGTCAAAAAAAAAAAAAAAAAAGTCAGGAATAATTTAATATTTTTATCTTTAAAAGTAAAAAAGAACTTCAGGCTGGGTGTGGTGTAATTATGCCTGTAATCCCAACACTGGGAGGCCGAGGCAGGAGCATAGTTTAGGCCCAGGAGTTTGAGACCAGCCTAGGCAACAAAGAGAGACCCCTGTCTCTTAAAAAAAAAAAAAAAAAACAGACCAGCCGCGGTGGCTCACGCCTGTAATCCCAGCACTTTGGGACGCCGAGGTGGGCAGATCACCTGAGGTTGGGAGTTCGAGGCCAGCTTGACCAACATGGCGAAACCCCATCTCTACTAAAAATACAAAAATTAGCCAGATGTGGTGGCACATGCCTGTAATCCCAGCTACTCAGGAGGCTGAGGCAGGAGAATCACTTGAACCCGGGAGGCAGAGGTTGAGGTGAGCCAAGATCGTGCCACTGCACTCAAGCCTGGACGACAAGAGCAAAACTCCATCTCAAAAAAAAAAAAAAAAAAAAAAAAAACTTTAAGGTTTTCATTACATGAAAATTCTGAACTTTGGTTTAGATTTTTCTCATGCTTAGTTTGTAACCAAGTGTTGTTTTTATGTTGGATCACACGTGGACAGGCACAGGCATTTTTCACTGTCCAGAGCCTCTAAAGGTCTTAATTAGGCTCTGGCTTTGTCCCCAGTCACAAAGTAAAGCAGAAGCTGGACCAAGATGGTAACTTAGTAGGTTGTGGTTGAACCTCAAAAACATGACACTGTGTCAGAGAAGCCAGACACAAAAGACCACATATTATATGATCCCATTTATAGGAAAGTCCCAAATAAGTTAATCCCTGGAGACAGAAAACAGATTAGTGGTTGCCAGGGGCATGGATATAGGGAGTGACCGGTAGGGGCAGAGATAGGGAGTGACTGCTTCCTGGGTACAAGGTTTTACTTTGGGGTGATGGAAATGATTCAGGGCTGGATAGAAGTGGTGGTTGCACAACACTGCGACGGTCCTAATGCACTGAGTCATAGACTTTAGAATGGTTCACTTTCGGTTATGTGAACCTCACTTCAATTGAAAACAAAGGTAGACTGGGCACGGTGGCCCACGCCTGAATCCCAGCACTTTGAGAGGCCAAGGCGGGTGGATCACCTGAGGTCAGGAGTTCAAGACCAACCTGGCCAACATGGTGAAACCCCATCTCTACTAAAAATACAAAAAATTAGCCAGGCATGGTGGCAGGTGCCTGTAATTTCAACTACTCCAGAAGCTGAGGCAGGAGAATCACTTGAACCGGGTAGGTGGAGGTTGCAGTGAGCCCAGATTGCACCATTGCATCCAGCCTGGGCAACAAGAGTGAAACTGCGTATCAAAAAAAAAAGAAAGAAAGAAAAGAAAACAAAGGTAAGGTAAAGTAGCTCACGCCTGTAATCCCAGCACTTTAGGAGACCAAGGCAGGAGGATCACTTAAGTCCAGGAGTTCTAGACCAGCCTGGGCAACATAAGGAGAGCTCATCACAAGAGAAAAATTTTTTTAAGTTAGTGGGGCGTGGTGGCATGCACCCATAGTCCTGGCTACTCAGAAGGCTGACATGGGAGGATAGCTTGAGCTTAGGAGGTTGAGGCTACAGAGAGGATCACACCACTGTGCTCCAGCCTGGGCAACACAGTGATTCCCTGTGCCCCTTCCACTCCCCGCCCCCCAAAAAAAAGAATAAAAAGGAAAGAAAATAAAATTTGCCAGGGATAGTGGCTGACACCTGTAATCCCAGTACTTTGGGAGGGTGAAGCGGGTGGATCACTTGAGGTCAGGAGTTCAAGACCAGCCTAGCTAACATGGTGAAACCCCTAAACATACCAAAAAAATTAGCCAGGCGTGGTGGCACATGTCTGTCATCCCAGCTACTCAGGAGGCTGAGGCAGGAGAATTGCTTGAACCAGGGAGTCAGAGGTTGGAGTGAGCCAAGATCATGCCAATGTACTCCAGCCTGGCAACAGCGAGATTCTGTCTCAAAAAAAAAAAACAAAAACAAAAACAAAAAAAAACTCAGGTCTTCTGATTCTATCAGGTATCTCCCAGCTCTGGGCCAACCCCATAGTAGATCCTTCCGGTTCCGGATCTGCTGTGAAGGAAGCAGCAGGCGGGCACAAACGGGCACCAGACCCCCTTGGCAGTGAGGGGGCTGGGAGGCCCACAGTCCAAGTCTTGAAAGAGGCAGAGCAGAGTTTTGAACCAGAATGCCCTGTGCCTTCCGGCCCCAACCACAATGGCCTGTCCCTACGGGGCCACTGACACACCCTGATTCTCTGTCCTCCCAGGGAAGTGACAGCGAGTACGAGGTCGACTCAAACCACCAGAAGGCCCACTCCTTTGTCAACCACTACATCAGTGACCCCACATACTACAACTCGTGGCGGCGACAGCAGAAGGGCATCTCGAGGGCACAGGCCTACAGCTACACGGAGAGCGACTCGGGTGAGCCAGACCACACCACCGTCACCAACAGCACCAGCACCCAGCAGGGCAGCCTCTTTCGGCCCAAGGCCAGTCGGACTCCAACGCCCCAGAACCCCCCTAACCCCCCAAGTCAGCAGAGCACCCTCTACCGTCCCCCCAGCAGCCTGGCCCCAGGCTCCCGGGCTCCCATAGCAGGATTTTCATCATTTGTTTGACATCAGAAGAGGAAAAAGCAGAAAGAGAAATGGCACCAAACTCCTCCTTCACCCCTCCTCTCACTGCCTGCCAGAAAACAAAAACACCAAGAAACCAAGTCAACTTTTCACCTCCTGAGTTTATTTTTCCAGAGATTCCAGGGCCAGCAAAGCCGGCGTTCAGAAGGAGGGAGAAAACCGTGAGAGGATGTGTGTGGCCAGCAGCTCTTCAGCTTTGAGATGGTGGGGTTCACTGCTCCCTTGGGAATTACACGGAGCTGGGGAAGTGGCTGTGTCACTGCTATGGACACGGAGTGGGGCGGGCATCTGGAGAGAGAGAGGGAGCGGAGGCTAAGGACTGGAGGCCGCCAGGCAGGCGTGGCCGAGGGAAGAAAAAGCTTCTGGATGTCCAGCCAGCTGCCCCCTTCCAGCCCCTCCAGGACCCCTGGACCCACTGCCGCTGCTCTCTGCAAAAAGAATGGGCATCCCGGAGGCCACGCCTATCTTCTCTCTCTGCTCCTCCTTCCCTCCATGCACCATCACTGTGGCTGGCAGGCATCGGACAGCCTCATCCAGACCCCCTGCCCTGTCTTGGCAACCTCTACTGCCCATCTCCCCTGCTCAACTTCTCCACCAAGCATTTGGTTTATTTAGAAAAAGGAAGAAAAACAAAAAACAAAAAACTAAAGGGTGAGAATTTGCTTAGCGCCTTCCTTGTTCCTGCATATTTTTTAAAATATTGAATCCAAGGAAGAGAGCCCAAGGGTAGGGGAGAAACCCCCCACAACTGACCCCTGCCTCCCTGTGCTGGAATTGACTTTCCTGAGCATGGACAAGGAAAGGTGAAGTCTGGGGAGCAGAGGTGTAAATAAGGCGACTGGCCTTGGCACTGTGGGATGATTAGGTTTAACGCATTGTGGGCAAGATAAGAATGACACTTTGACTGTTCTCTTTCTTCCAATCCAGGTTCCATCCGTCCTCTCTTTAAAGGGGTAGTCAGCTTCCCAAGGCTGGGGAGTGGGGCACAGCTGAGGGATCTCCCTCTGGGCAGACACGTCACTCTCCACTGGATAGATCCTCACCACACACACACACACACACACATCTCCCATGCACTTACAAGGAACAGGGTCTAGGGATCCTCTCCAGAACAAACTCATCTGGGCCCTCCTAGCCAGACAGCACACTCACTTTCAGATCTGTGTCCCTCTCACTGCCACCCGGCAGCCTCCTAAGCACAGAGGCACAGGAGCCCAGAGGGGTGGCCCAAGTCCCTGGTCCAGAGGCTGGAATACCCAGAGTTTGCTCAGTCAGCCTAGCACCCAGTTTACAGGCAAAAAGGCAAAGACACCCTAACCCCCAGTAACAGCTTCCAGGCTGGGCTCCGCCTGGCCAGGGCGGGGAGGGGAAGGGGCAGGTCAGGAAGCTCAGTCCAAAGTGGACCCAGCATTTGAATTGCACGCCCAGCAGGGGCAGGTCAGATGGGACCAAGTGACAAGAATAGCTGATGGGAGGGAATGCTTTTACACACACACACACACACACACACACACATACACATACACAATCTGCTCCAAGGAGTGTTCTGCAAAAAGCCACATCCAGTGGCCAGGATCTTCCCGTCCACTTGGTACTTACGGATGCCAGGGTTTAGGGAGAAGCCTTTCTATCTAACTCCATACATTGTCCAAGGCCCTCTGTGCCCTCAGCCAGCCCTGTAAGGCCAGCCCAACACCTGCCCCACCGCTGAGATGGGTGGCAGATGGCCCACAGGGGCCTGTCTGATTCAGCGTGAGCCCCTTCGTGGAGCAGGGCTCCCTCTGTGCACTGTGTACAGGCGCTGCTGGCCCTGCCCAAGAGATGATGCTCTGTTGGGGTGGGTGAGCAGAGTTCAAGGAAGCCCAAGTAGGAGATTTGGGAAACATGCCAAGGTAAGAGAGAGCCTGGACCACTCTCCTACAGCCCCAAGTCAGTCACTGTGCTAATGGTGACCGGGAAGGGAAGTCAGGGTCTGGGGCCCAAAGAACGGGCACACCCAGCCATGAGTTTTTCCTGAAGCACTTGACCCCTGGGAAATGTGAACGGGGAGATGCTGGAAGATGGCTCAGCAGACAGGCCAGCCCAGCTCCAGTGTCCAAAAAGCGGTTTCTCCAATAAGGAGGCCTGGGAAGGGAAGCACAATCTTCCCCAAAGGAGAACCAAGGGCTGAGGTTCTGCCCCTCCAGGAAGTAAGGTGCTCTCGGGGCCTCCTTGGACTTGTCTGGGGGCTGCAGTGGAGTCAGCTGGACACCTGCTCCACCCCTGCCACCTCCGCCCCCACCCTCTGCAGCATCTGGCATCTCCATGGCAGCACATCTGCAGCTGCCGGCCTGTGATCGTGCCGCACAGCTTTCTTTTCTTTCCTCTCATCTTTTTTTTTTTTTTTTTTTTAAATAACTTCATCCCTTTCCCTCTCTGCTGAGCATTTAACCATTTAAGGAAGTTCCCAGTTTGCATTAGGGAATTATTTAAGCCCAGCCCAGTGAGGGATTATTTGGGAGGAAGCAGGAGTGAGTAAAAACATTGTGTCTGTGTATATATTGCACATGAGGTCAATTTTCCTTTGCCTTTAATGAATCACCTGGTGCACTAAGATATTCCACCCCCCCACTCCCCACACGCTCATTCGCACCCATGCTGACACCTACGTGTACATGCGGGATGGTGCCCATGCACGCCTGTGCTTACACACATGCACACACAAATATGCACAGAACACACATCTGTATGTGTGTTAGCAAAGAGACTCCTGAACTCCCTCTGATGGCTGAAGCCATCTCTCCCCTGTGAGGCACAGGTGGCCTGGGTTGCTTGCACTTGGGGCGTGGCTGGGATCTATTGTCTGAGAGGGTGAGGACACCACGCAAATTTAGACAAGCCCATGAGATCAGGCTGGGCCCATGGTGAAAGTCCCACACTTAGTCAATACCCACTCATCTGGAATATTGTCTCCACAGCCCCAGCCACAGCTGGAAGCCCAGGCCTGCAGCTGTGGAACTCTAGATTTTTTCAGGACACGTCTCTTTGCCCTTGTTTACATATCTACTGGCACAGCCGAGGCTCCCAACCGTCCTCCCAGAAACCTGGCCACATTAGAAAGGGGTGGTGGGCCCTGCCCTTTGTAGAAAGAGTGGGACCCTTTCTGGCCTGTGATTTTCCGTGCCAGTGATGCCAGGGCCCCTGCCTGTGGGACTCCACCCAAAGCAGGTTCACACCAGGACACACCTGGCACCTTTGGCATTGCCTCCTTGTGCCCTAAGCAATCTCCCAGTGTTGCACCCAGGAGCCCATGCTGGGCACACCAGGGCTTTCCCCTTCCTGGCTGCGCCTCCAGAGTTGACGTCAGCTCCACACCCACACTGCCAAGACAAACCAAAAAGATGCTCTGGGCTCCAGAACCACCATCCTCCTAGGGCTCCAGAGAGTTTGCAAACCCAGGCTGCCTCCCCTTCTGTCCATCCCTCACCCCCCGGCCCCCAAAACTCCTACCCCCAAACCTGGCACTGCCGTGATTTAGAGGAAACAAGGACACAGCGGGGGCTGCCCCCACCTGGTGCACGCTGCCTCAAGGCCTTCTGTTGCTGCCCACGCCTCCCTGGGCAGTGCTTCTAAAGGTGCCAGAGCCTCACCACAGTGCCACTCTGGCTGGGCAGGGGCTTCCCTCAGCTTCCCAGAGTGCACATCTGAAGGTGCCTACCCTGGGTGAGGGGCTGGTGGGCAGGAAGGTAAAGGGGAGACCATCTGAGCAGCCGCCACCCGCTCCCCAGTGCCTCTGTATGGCCCTATCCAGGGACACCCATGGGCATGCGCACATGGCAATCCTGACCACCACCTGAGCACAGGTGCCCCCTCGGGACCACCCCCCTTCTCTTTGTTTCCATCAGAATAACCAAAAGCATTTAAACGTGTTACCTTTCTCCATCCATCTAGACTCCAGAAACAAAAATCAACACAAATCTTTATTTTTTGATTTAAAAGATATAACAAAAAATTATGGGGAGAGTATTCATTATGGCAGGTGTCTGTCTGTAAGAAAAAAATATATATCTCTATGTCATATAGCGTGTTAGCAGGTTTATTTTTTAAATGAAAGGTAAGAAAGAAATTGATTTGAAATATATACCACAAGAAGTCCCGTGTCCTGTCAAACTGTCAGTATTTTATAAATAAACTTTTTTTTTTGGAGATTTGAAGCAACATTCTTTTCCTTCCTGTTACATGAATGGGGTCACCTGTCCCAGTATCATACCCAAGCAGTTCATTCCCCAGACAGCAATTTTTAGCCATGCTGTGCTTTTGCAGAGAAGAGTCAAGGGTCTGACTTATCTGCTCTCTTAATGCATAAGTGAGTGCCTTCCAGTGAAATGCACTATTTTATTTATTTTAAACTTTTAGAATAAGAACCTACTTGATGCAATGTGCAAATTATAGTGAATAATAATAATAGCAATAGCTAATATGTCTATGGCATTCACTCTGTGCCAGGCACAGTTCTAATCACTTTACGTTTATTAACTCATGGAATCTTTGCGACAGTCCCAAGGAGGAAACCTGGGACAGGGAGACTTTAAGTGGCTTGCCCTCGGGGAGTGGTGGAGCCAGGATTTGTACTAAAGCCTTCTGGCTCTCAAAACATAATGCTGCCTCTCTGATATTTTAAGGCAAGCTCCTTGTCCATTTTTATTTTAATTTCTACAGAGCTAGCACCCCACTTCCCAGTGATCTTAATGCCATGAGAAATGCTATGTTGTTTGGTGGATCTAACCCAGTTAATCTACCCAGGGTTAGAGTTAGGGCTTAGATTGCTGAATTTATGAGTACAGCGGTGTTGCATTATACCACATTTATCTCACATTACTTAAGTCATGTGGACTCAATAGACTCAAGAGAAACAGAGGGAAAATCTCTCTCTGTCTACTTTTTTTTTTTTTTTGAACCGGAGTTTCACTCTTGTTGCCCAGGCTGGAGTGCAATGGCGCAATCTCAGCTAACCGCAACCTCTGCCTCCAGGGTTTAAGCGATTCTCCTGCCTCAGCCTTCCCGAGTAGCTGGGATTACGGGCATGTGCCACCACGCCTGGCTAATTTTGTATTTTTAGTAGAGACGGGGTTTCTCCATGTTGGTCAGGCTGGTCTCGAACTCCCAACCTCAGGTGATCCACCCACCTCGGCCTCCCAAAGTGTTGGGATTACAGGCATAAGCCACCGCATCCGGCCTTTTTTTTTTTTTTTTTTTTTTTTTGAGACAGAGTCTTGCGCTGTCACCCAGGCTGGAGTGGTGTAGTGGCATGAGGCATGAACACAGCTCACTGCAGCCTCAACCTCCTGGGCTCAAGTGATCCTCCCACCTCAGCCTCCCAAGTAGCTGAGACCACAGGTTCATGCCACCACACCCAGCTAATTATTTATTTTTTGTAGAGATGAGGTCTCATCCTGTTGCCCGGGCTGGTCTCGAATGCCTGGGACCAAGAAATCCTCCCACCTCAGCCTTCCAAAATGCTGGGATTACAGGCATGAGCCACCATACCTGGTAGGGAAATCATTTTAATAGGACATGTAATGCCACTCAATGAGTACACTTATTTTGCACAGTGTACATTATTGCATAATGCACATCAGACATTCATACAGAGGCTGCTTAACTAACCAAACACAACTAAAGCAGGGAATTTCATATATATATTTTTTTCATATATATATATTTTGTTGTTTTTGTTGTTTTTTTTCTTGAGATGGAATCTTGGCCTGTGGCCCATGCTGGAGTACAGTGGTACAATCTCTGCTCTCTACAACCTTCTGCCTCCCTGGTTCAAGTGATTCTCCTGCCTTGGCCTCCCGAGAGCTGGGATTACAGGAGCCCACCACCACACCTGGTTAATTTTTTTTTTTTTTTTTTTTTTTTTTTTGAGACGGAGTCTCGCTCTGTCGCCCAGGCTGGAGTGCAGTGGCGGGATCTCGGCTCACTGCAAGCTCCGCCTCCCGGGTTCACACCATTCTCCTGCCTCAGCCTCCCAAGTAGCTGGGACTACAGGCGCCCGCCACTACGCCCGGCTAATTTTTTGTATTTTTAGTAGAGACGGGGTTTCACCGTTTTAGCCGGGATGGTCTCGATCTCCTGACCTCGTGATCCGCCCGCCTCGGCCTCCCAAAGTGCTGGGATTACAGGCGTGAGCCACCGCGCCCGGCCTAATTTTTATATTTTTAGTAGAGATGGGGTTTCACCATGTTGGCCAGGCTGCTCTCAAACTCCTGACCTCAAGCCATCCACCCACTTTGGCCTCCCAAAGTGCTGGGATTACAGGCATGCACCACTGCGCCCGGCCTCTAACCCACTCTTTTATTTATTTATTTATTTATTGCAACTTTCTGTTTCCAAAACATTGAACATAATTTTCAGAAAAATAGTTATTCTCCTTTTCTACTCTTATTTTATCTACTTACATCATATTTAATTAAATTATGTAATTACTATAAAAAGTACAACTGGCATAAACAAGTTCAGAAACAATGATAATTGACTCCTTGTAAACATACAACTCAATTCAGTAGGAGCAGACGTATGCTGGCCTGATAGAAAGCAGCCTACTACCTTCAGCATTCAGGCTACTGTGTACATCTCTTTGTTTTGCAAAAGGAATATAGGGTATCCATCAGTATGGCTAGTTCACTAAACGGGGGTCAGATGAGACTGCTTCTGGACATATCACGCACAAACCGTGTATACGGTACTTTATGACCGATTTTCAAGGGTAATTTTGACTACAGATAATTTTGATCTTATACATCATTTGGAATCCCACATTACACATAACCCCATGCCCGCTGCTCTGAGGATGTTTGGTTAAAAGATAATAACATAGCCGGGTGCAGGGGCTCACGCTTGTAATCCTAGTACTTTGGGAGGCCGAGGCAGGCGGATTGCCTGAGGCCAGGAGTTTGAGACCCGGGCAACATGGTGAAACTTCGTCTTTACTAAAATACAAAAAATTAGCTGGGCGTGGTTGTGGGCACCTGTTAATCCCAGTTACTCAGGAGGCTGAGGCTCAAGAATTGCTTGAACCCAGGAGGTGGAGGTTGCAGTGAGCCGAGATTGTGCCATTGCAGTCCAGCCTGGGCAACAAGAGGGAAACTCTAAGAAAGAAAAGAAAAAAAGAAGGAGAGGAGAGGAGAGGGGAGACGAGGGGAGCGGAGGGGAGGGGAGGGGGGAGGGGGGAAAGGAAGAGAAGGAAAGGAAGGAAAGGAAAGAAAATAACATGGAAGACATTCTGGACCTGGAGTCAGAAGAGTGGGTTCTGATTCTAGAATGGTCCCTTGCAAATGGAGAGACTTAAAGCATCTTTTCTCAGGGGAAGTGAGTGGCCCCTGATCTACCACCAATCAGGTTATTATAAAGATCAAATAAAATAATGGGACTTGGAGGAAAACGCTTTGAACACCAAAATGTGGCAGGCACAGAAGGCATTTCTGTTCTAGACCTGCCAGAAGGCTCACAGTGTCCCTTAATTCCTTTTTTCTTTTCCTTTTTGTTTTTTTAGACAAGGGTCTCTCTGTTGCCCAGGCTGGAAGGCAGTGGTACAATCTCAGCTCACTGCAGCCTCAACATCCTGGGCTCAAGTGATCCTCCCACCTCAGCCTCCTGAGTAGCTGGGACCAAAGGCACACGCCACTACACCCAGCTAATTTGTGTGTATGTGTGTATTTTTAGTAGAGATGAGCTTTCGCCATGTTGCCCAGACTCGTCTTGAACTGCTGGGCTCAAGGGATCCACCCACCTTGGCCTCCCAAAGTGCTAGGATTACAGGCATGAGCCACCGCACCTGGCCAGCGTTCGGTTCCTTAATTCCAATCTTCCTCTTCATTGATTTTGAATCCCAGACTGGCTCCTCCCTAATTGTGGCCAGTGAACTTTGGCCATCTACAGCTCTGTAACCGGTCAAATACAGTAGGGGGGAAGAAACAATGACTACACACACACACACACACACACACACACACACACACACACACACACACACACACACACAGTAAGGTAAATCTGCTAAGAAGATGGGTGGTGAAATGGCGCTTTCGAAAACCAAGGAGAAGCTGGGCGCAGTGGCTTATGCCTGTAATCTCAGTGCTTTGGGAGGCCGAGGTGAGTGGATCACCCAAGGTCAGGAGTTTGAGACCAGCCTGGCCAACATGGTGAAAACCTGTCTCTACTAAAAATACAAAAAAAGTTGGCTAGGCGCGGTGGCTCACTCCTGTAATCCCAGCACTTTGGGAGGGAGAGCTGAACCGACCTTTCCGAGTCTATCAGTCAAGCTGGAAAGCAATGGCGCACTCAACACAGGCCCATTTCAGGAGTTTCAGGAAGAGACCATTCACCAGATTGTGGGTAAGGACCCGGGGTAGTGAGAGCTGGGGTCATCACCACCCCAGGCCTGGCTGGCAAATGCAGGGAGAAGTCACTGGAACCTGCAGACAGAGATGGCTGGCAGGAGACAGAGACGCCCAACAGAGGCAGGGAGGGTGCTAGGGGATCCATAGCTCCCAACCTCGCTCTCCTACCGTCTTCCATTCTCCTGGGCTTTTTCTTTCTTTCCTTATTATTATTTTAATAATTTATTTTTTTTTTTACTTTCTTTTAAAATAGAGGGAAGTTCTTGCTATGTTGCCCAGGGTGGTCTCGAACTCCTGGGCTCAAGGTATCTTCCTGCCTCAGCCTCCCCAAAGTGTGAGCCACTGTGCCTACCACCATGTCTGGCTTTTTTTTTTTTCCCTGAGACGGGGTCTTGCTTTATCACCCAGGCTGGAGTGCAGTGGCATGATCATGGCTCACTGCAGCCTTGAACTCCTGAGCTCAAGCCATCCTCCTGCCTCAGCCTCCCAAATAGCTAGGACTATAGGCATGCATCACCATACCCAGCTAATTTTTTTTTTTTTTTTTTTTTTGGTACATAAGGGAACTCACCATGTTGCCCAGGCTGGTCCTGGGCTCAAGCAATCCTCCCGCCTCAGCCTCCCAACTGCCTGGGTTTCTTATGGTCCAAACCAAATGAGAATTTGGAAGACACTGAGATGCCATCCACACGGGGCAGCCTCCCAGTGGGGCGCACAGCAAGGTCAGGGGATAGGAGGGGCCAATGGGACCAGCAGGCCCACGGCAGTGCTTCCCTGTGCCTTCCGGTGCTGCTGTCCCCATGACCCCTTACCCTCTTTTACCCAGGGCCCATCATATGCACGTCTCATATACTCTTTTCTTAACGCCCATAAAGAGTGAGTGAAATTGGATCCAAAGAGGTTTGCTGAGCGCTTCTACCACAAAGGGTGGGATTTTCTAGTGTGTTGTAGAAGGTAAGAAGTCTTTGACGGGGGACTGGGCGCAGCGGCTCACGCCTACAGTCCTAGCACTTTGGGAAGCAGAGGAAGGCAGATCACCTGAGGTCGGGAGTTCAAGACCAGCCTGACCCACATGGAGAAACCTCGTCTCTACTAAAAATACAAAATTAGCCGGGCATGGTGGTGTGCGCCTATAGTCCCAGCTACTTGGGAGGCTGAGGCAGGGGAATCACTTGAACCTGGGAAGCAGAGGTTGCAGTGAGCCGAGATCGGGCCACAAAGTGAGACTCTGTCTCAAAAACAAACAAAAAAAAAGATGCCGTGAGTGGAGAGGTGAAGGGACCTGCCATGGAAGTGCCAGAACCAGAATTTGAACTCCGGCTGCCTGGCTTCGTTGTGCCCCCTCTTTTAACCATGAAGCAGCTTTCACCCAGGGTTAAGACACTGCTTGACCTGGAGGAGAAAAGTAGGGGAGACCTCCAAACTCTGGGTGGGCCACAGATGAGGCAGGAAACGTTGCTTCCAAACAACATTGTCCTTTAGCTGGGCATGGTGGCATGCACCTATAGTCCCAGCTACTCGGGAGGCTGAGGCAAGAGGATCACTTGAGTCCAGGAGGTCGAGGCTGAAATGGGCTATGGTTGCATCACTGCACTGCAGCCGGGGCAACAGAGCAAGATCTTGTCTCTTAAAGAAAAAATGTTCCGGCCGGGCGCGGTGGTTCACGACTGTAATCCCAGCACTTTGGGAGGCCGAGGTGGGCGGATCACGAGGTCAGGAGATCGAGACCGTCCTGGCTAACACGGTGAAACCCCGTCTCTACTAAAAATACAAAAAATTAGCCGGGCGTGGTGGCGGGCGCCTGTAGTCCCAGCTACTCCGGAGGCTGAGGCAGGAGAATGGCGTGAACCCGGGAGGCGGAGCTTGCAGTGAGCCGAGATCACGCCACTGCACTCCAGCCTGGGCAACAGAGCGAGACTCCGTCTCAGAAAAAAAAAAAAAAAGAAAAAATGTTCCTGGGGTCGACAGACTTTCTTTTGTTTTGAGACACAGTCTCACTCTGTCGCCCAGGCTGGAGTGCAGTGGCATGATCTCGGCTCACTGCAGTTTCTGCATCCTGGGCTAAAGTGATTCTCCTGCCTCAGCCTCCTGAGTAGTTGGAATTACAGGCACGCACCACCACACCCGGCTAATTTTCGTACTTTTAGTAGAGGCAGGGTTTCACCATGTTGGCCAGGCTGGTCTCTAACTCCTGACCTCAGGTGATCTGCCTGCCTCAGCCTCCCAGAGTGCTGGGATTACAGAGGTGAGCCACTGCGCCCGGCCTCAGCAAACATTTTCCCTAAAGGGTTTTGCCGGCCACAGAGTCTCTGTCATAGTGCAGAAGCAGCCACAGAGAATACATAAACATATGTGCATGGCTGTGTTCCAATCCAATTTTATTTAAAGACTCTGAAATTTGAATTGTATATAATTTTCACATGTAACGAAATATCATTCTGGCTTTTATTTTTTTCTGAATCATTTAAACATGTAACAATCATTCTTAGCTCATGGGCCATACGGAAACAGATGGGGTCAGAAGTTTGCAGAACCCTGGTCTAAAGTAGTTTGTGTCAAGTCCACACTTGCTAGAACCCCTGTGGGGTTCTGGTGTGACTCCCAGATAAGATTGTCAAGGGCAGTGCAGTAGGCTAAATGTTGTCCCCCCAAAAATCACATCCACCAGGAACCTCAGAATGTGACCTTATTTGGAAGCAGGTTCTCTGCAGATGTAATTAGTTAAGATGAGATCATATTGGATTAGACTGGCCCTAAATCCAATGATTTGTGTCCTTATGAGAAAGAAGAGAGAGGCTGGGCGCGGTGGTTCACGCCTGTAATCCCAGCACTTTGGGAGGCCAAGGCGAGCGGATCACGAGGTCAGGAGATCGAGACCATCCTGGCTAACACGGTGAAACCCCATCTCTAGTAAAAATACAAAAACAAAATTAGCGGGTGTGGTGGCGGGCACCTGTAGTCCCAGCTACTCAGGAGGCTGAGGCAGGAGAATGGCATGAACCCGGGAGGTGGAGCTCGCGGTTAGACGAGATCGCGCCACTGCACTCCAGCCTGGGCGACAGAGGGAGACTCCATCTCAAAAGAAAAAAGAAAGAAAGAAAAAGAAGAGAGGATGGCCAGGCACGGTGACTCACCCCTGTAATTTGGGAGGCCGAAGCGGGAGGATTGCTTGAGCCCATGAGTTCCAGACAAGCCTGGGCAACATAGTGAGACTTTATCACTACAAATAAACAAAAACAAAAAAAAGAAGAAGAAAGCCAGGCGCGGTGGCCCACACCTGTAATCCCAGCACATCAGGAGGCTGAGGCGGGTGGATCACCTGAGCCCAGGAGTTTGAGACCAGCCTGGCCAACATGGCAAAACCGCATCTCTACCAAATATACAAAAATTAGCCAGGTATGGTGGCACGTGCCTGTAGTCCCAGCTACTTGGGAGGCTGAGGAAAGAGGATCGCTTGAACCTGGGAGGCAGATGTTGCAGTGAGCCAAAATTATATCACTGCACTCCAGTTTGGGTGACAGAGACCCTATCTCAAAAAAAAATAAAAATAAAAAATAAAAAGCCAGGTGCAGTGGCTCACGCCTGTAATCCCAGCATTTTGGGAGGCCGAGGGAGGCAGATCGCTTGAGGTCAGGAGTTCAAGACCAGCCTGGCCAACATGGTGAAAGCCCATCTCTACTAAAAAATACAAAAGTTAACCAGCTGTGGTGGCGTGCGCCTGTAATCCCAGCTACTCGGAAGCCTGAGGCAGGAGAATCACTTGAACCTGGGAGGTGGGGGTTGCAATGAGCCAAGATCATGCCACTGCACTCCAGCCTGGGCGATAGAGCGAGACTCCACCACAAAAAATAAAGCACACATGGCCGGGCGCAGTGGCTCACGCCTGTAATCCCAGCACTTTGGGAGGCCAAGGCGGGTGGATCACAAGGTCAGGAGATCGAGACCATCCTGGCTAACACGGTGAAACCCCGTCTCTACTAAATATACAAAAAAATTAGCCGGGTGTGGTGGCAGGCACCTGTAGTCCCAGCTACTCGGGAGGCTGAGGCAGGAGAATGGCGTGAACCTGCAAGGCGGAGCTTGCAGTGAGCGAAGATTGCATCACTGCACTCCAGCCTGGGTGACAGAGCGATACTCTGTCTCAAAAAAAATAAAAAATTTAAAAAAAAATAAAGCACACAAACACACCAAAAAAAAAAAAAAAAGAAAGAAAGAAGGAGAAGGAGAGGGAGAGGACATGGGCTGAAAAACTCCCTATTGGGTACTATGTCCACTACCTGGGTGACGAGATCAGTCACACCCCAAACCTCAGCATCACGCAGTATACCCAGGCAACAAACCTGCACATGTATCCCATGAATGCAAAATCCAAGTTGAAGAAAAGAGAGAGACGACACAGACACACACACAGAGGAGAAAGCCATGTGAGGACACAGGCAGCGCTTGGAGTGATGAAGCAACAAGCTAAGAAATGCCAGGGACTGCCTGGAACCCTCAGAAACGGGAAGAGCCAAGCAAGAATTCTCCCCTAAGCCTTCAGAGGGAGCACAGCCCTACTGATAACTTGATTTTGGACTTCTAGCCTCATAACTGTGAGAGAGGACATTTCTGTTGGCTTAAGCCGCCCAGTTTGTGGTCATTGATTACAGCAGCCCTAGAGAATGAATGAGCAGCTCTCCTGGGATCTCCAATGTGCATCTTTTCTCTTTGGGAGTTTAGGTTCAGTAAACTCCCGGACTCCAGCGGGACCCCAGGACGGCCCCTCTGGGACCTTGGGCCTCCCCTCCACTCCCCTCCTCTTCCTCCCTGCTCCCTCCCCCAGCCGTCTTAGATTTCTGCAGAAAAGCATCAGCCAACCCTGGGTTCAATTGGCAACTATGGGATACTTGTTTTCCTGTTTCTTCCCAACCTCCCCCTCCCCCGACTTTTAAAATTGTTTCCACCCCTCACTAAGAGCCAAACAAGTCGTTCCCCGGGGTCAGGAAAAATGCTCACCGGCCATCAACCTGCAAAATATTAATCACAGATGCCGGGACCGGAACTCCAGGGCCTCTCCCCTGTCATCTGTGTCTGGCTCTGGGTACAGGCAGGGGCTCTGGGGAGCACTGGTGCATTGGAGGTGGGGCGCAGAGGGAGAAGGAAGGACATGCTGTTTTCTTGGCCTGGCACAGTACCTGGTACGTGGGGAAGCAGGGCAGGCTTCTATCCTGCTGCCTGGGCTCACTTCACCCTCGCGCTACTCTGGGAGCGCAAAGGGCAAGGCGAGTCTCTCTACATTGGCCAAACTCTACTAGAACCCAACAGTATGTGGCTAGATGAAGGAAACGGAACTTCATCAAAGATGCATGCAAGTGTTAAAGGCTTTGCACAGCACTTTGCATAAGTTAAATCACTTAACCTTACAAAGGCAGGAGCAGGAGATACAGAGATGCTAAGTAACTATGGGAGGTAACAGCTAGGGTCTCCAGGGACATCCCTATTGCCTGGGGACTCTCCCAATCCAGGCTTGAAGAGGGCTCTGCTTTCTGGGTGATGGGACCGGCCCACACTCCTACACAGGACCCGGCACAGCAAGGACCATTCTCTGACCCAAGACCTGGGCTGCTTCTGTTCCGCAGACTCTTCCACGGAGAAAATTATTGCTCCAGTTGGAGGCTCCTAAGACGACATAGAAACAGCGTTGGCAAACTTGGTGTTGTTTACTTCCGTAGCATTTTCGGTAAAGGGATTTGGCCAGTCACAGGGAAGATCTGGGAAGGTTCTAGAAGATACATGTGGATGGGAAGGGCGGGAGGTCAGGGAAGCTACCTCAGAAGTAGCCCCAACATCATTTATTGGAAGGAGGCCCGTGGGGGAGGGGCAGAAGGAGGCGGCGCTGGTGGGCCCCACGAGGGTGGCTATGATGACCACATCTGTTTGCAGTTTTCCAAGCAGCCTCCCCACCCCCACCTTGTCCTTCCCCCTGCAATCAGCTAGCTGCCTATGCTTGTCCAGCCTCGTCCTCCTGCCCGGACCAGTCCCGCAGATACTGGGGCTGTGAATCAGGGGCCAGGCTCACGTCTGTTGCCTTCTGTTGGTTCTCAGGGTAGCAGGGTGGGTTGTGAAGATCATGACACTGTGATTTCACCCTGGGGGAAGTTTCTGGGGTTCCACCCCAAGGACCTCCCTCTGCACAACCTGGGGCAGAGGGACAGAGGGTGGGGGGAACAGGGAGCACCCTCAGTTGCCCAGGGATCTTATTCTGCACAGCCTGGGGGTGGGGGACAAGGGGACCCCCTCAGTTGCCCAGACAGCAGGCAGCAATTACTGACCCGAGAGAAGCAGGCTGCGTGCAAGGGAAGTCACAGCTCTGCATGGTGAGTAATGGCAACTGATATGGTGGGGCCTCAGAAGGGGGTACCCAGGAAATGGGTCAGCTGGAGCGCCCTGCCTCCTAAAGGGGGCAGCTCTCACTGGCTGCTGCCATGGGGAAATCAGAGCCCAATGCTGTTGGGTTCTTCTGATTTTTTTAAGAACAAGAAATCAAGTTTTATGTAAATTCCCCTTATGCTTAAATACTAGCAACTAAAAATAAATGTTTTTCAAACACTGTCTTGGCAGATTGCATCTTCTAAAAATGACTGCAACAGTATCTCCCACCTTATATGCCCCAGACACACTTCCCATCAAGAGGGAGTCCACGCTCCTTCCCCTTGTTCCTGGGGGGAGGGGCTGGTGACACAGCAGAGGTGATGCCATGTGACTTTCAAGGCTAGGTCATGGTTATGGGTTGAATAGTGTCCCACTCAAAAGATGTGGAAGTCCTGGACGGGCGTGGTGGCTCAGGCCTGTAATCCCAGCATTTTGGGAGGCCCAAGCGGGTGGATCACTTGAGGTCAGGAGTACCAGACCAGCCTGGCTAAGATGGTGAAACCTCTTCCCTACCAAAAATGCAAAAAAAAAAAACAAAAAAAAACATTAGCCGGGCGTGGTGGTGGGCGCCTGTAATCCCAGCTACTCAGGAGGCTGAGGCAGGACAATCGCTCGAACCCAGGAGGCAGAGGTTGCAGTGAGCCAAGATCAAGCCATTGCACTCTAGCCTGGGCGACAAGAGCAAAACTCCATCTCAAAAAAAAAAAAAGTGATAGTTTCCTGGTTCTCTTGGGACTCTGGAGCTTGACATTTGGCTGCCATATTGTGAGGAAGCCTAAACTACCCCATGTGGAGAAACTAGGCAGGTGTTCTGACTGACAGCTCGGCTGGCACCAACCACCAGACATGTGAGTGAAGATGACCCAGAAGGTTCCAGCCCCTAACCACTGAGTCCCCTCTCATCTTTGAGTCTGCCTAGCTGAGACCTCTTGAATCGGGAGCAGAAACAAGCCATTCTGTGTGCCGTCCAAATTCCTGAGATTCATAGACTCCAGAGGCATAATAAAGTGATTGCTTGGGGAAGAGTTTATTTGGCAGTAATTGTGGATGCCAGACAGAATATAGCTTTAGGCTGCCTCTGATCGAGTTAAGGGGAGGCAAGTGGTTTGCCTTTGGAGAACCCAAGCAAGTCTGCCTATGGGTTCTTCGAGGCTAAAAGCTTCCCAACCTGGAGCCACATCAGGGGTGGCGGTGAATTAAAAAACAGGGAAGGAAAGGGGAGGAGATGAGGTAAGGTTCAAGGGCAGGGTTATGCGACAGGATATCTGAATAAAAAGTCACCCTCTACTAGCAAAGATTCCATTTCAGGAGCCCAGATGTCAAAAGATTTTTTTTTTTTTTTTGAGGCAGACTCTCACTCTGTCACCCAGGCTGGAGTGCAGTGGCGCAATCTCAGCTCACTGCAATTTCTGCCACCAGGTTCAAGTGATTCTCCCACCTCGACCTCCCAGGTAGCTGGGACTACAGGCACATGGCATCAGGCCCAGCTAAGTTTTGTATTTTTAGTAGAGATGGGGTTTCACCATGTTGGCCAGGCTGGTCTTGAACTCCTGACCTTAAGTGATCTGCCCGCCTCAGCCTCCCAAAGTGCTGGGATTACAGGTGTGAGTCACTGTGCCCGGCCTCCAAGAGATGTTGTTTGTCAGGACACGCATGTGGAGGAGGGACCTCTGCAAAGCTTACAACTCCTGCAGCCCCACTGGTGTGGGGGTCTCACAGGGTTTCTGGAAATTGAAGGAGCTACTACATATAAAATTCAGAATAATACCTAGGTCTTATGGAAACTGTATTGAGGGCTTATTATTGTTAGGGTTAGTGCTGTAGTCTTCAGTTTCCTGAAGGCTTAGGACCTCCCAGAGGTACCCCAAGAACTGCATCGAAAAAGGCAAAGCAGATGGGGTTCTGGAACCCTCACCCCACTTCACCACATAGTGGGACCACCTTGATCTGTTTGACGTCATGTATGTTTCACTTGCAAGGTGGCGGGGGAAGGAGAGGGAAGGAACCCCCTGCTTACAAAAATAAATGTTTGAAAACCACTCATGTAGCAGAAGCACTGGCCCTGGGTTAGGGGAGTTCATGTCTCTTATCCCAGATTCTTCTAGTAGCTGGCTGTGTGCCCTTGAACAAGTCACTTGACTTGTCTCTTTTTTTGAGACAGAGTCTTGCTCTGTTGCCCAGGCTGGAGTGCACTGGCACAGTCATGGCTCATAGCAGCCTCGACTGCCTGGGCTCATGCATCTCACGCCTCATCTCAGCCTCTTCAGTAGCTGGGACCACAGACATGCGCCACCGCGCTTGGCTAATACTTATTATTATTGTTTGTAGAGACGAGGTCTTACTGTGTTGCTCAGGCTGGTCTCAAACTCCTGGGCTCAAGCAATCCTCCTGCCTTGGACTCCCAAACTGCTGGAATTACAGGCATGAGCCACTGCGCCCGGCCTTCACCTGACATCTTTGGATTTTATTTTCTGTTCTGAAAACAGAGTGGCTTAGGCGATCCCTAACATTAAATCATTCTCCTTAAATTAGCCAAATTCTTTGCTCATACAAAAGAGAGAAACATTCTCTTCCACACACTTTCATGCATGTAATTAGTTTATTATAGATTCAATTACGAGGCTCCTGAGCCTCCTCACCCTATCTCTCTGTCCTTGTTGCCTCTTGGTGACCTTGGATGAGCCAGGTTTTGCTTTGCTGGAGGACTCCCAGGCCACAACTCAGCCGGGATTTCACTGGCTACTCAAAAACATGCCAGTCAGGGGCTGGGGTCTGGGCCCAGGGCAATGTGCTCCCTGACTCCTCATTCCTAGCTGACCTAACATGTCTTTTGCCTTCAAATACAACTGCTTTCTGGAGAGCAAAAGGCTTGTAGAGGTAACAGAGGGGTTGGAGAGTGGAGAAAACTCATGCCCTGCAGCATTCAAGCCATCAAGCTGGGAAGTATAAATTAGCCTTGACATCAGACTAGGATGAGTTATTGTTATGAATCAAAGGCTTCCCAGGACCAAAGGACACACACGCGCGTGCGTGCACACACACACACACACACACACATGCACACATGCCAACACTCAGGAAACTGAAAGCTGGAGAAGAGAAAACAAACTCCATAGCCACAATGATCAGCTTTGACAGTTCCATCCAGTTCATACATACCTTTTCCTCACTCTCCCCACAAGAAGGGACACGGAGATGCCAGGCCCTTCTCCCTTCTCACTCCTTTTTTTTTTTTTTTTTTTTGAGACAGAGTCTTGCTCTGTCACCCAGGCTGGAGTACAGTGGCACCATCTTGGCTCACTGGAACCTCCGCCTCCCAGGTTCAAGCGATTCTCCTGCCTCAGTCTCTCCAGTAATTGGGACTATAGGCATGTGCCACCATGCCTGGCTAGTTTTTTTTTTAATTACAGTAAAAAAATTTAATTATGATTTTTGTAAATTATAGTAGAGCTGGCCCTATCTCACATGTATCTTAAAGCCCATTTTCTTCTAGAAGAGTCTCCCTTTCTGTGCCCAGGATGGCTGGGAAAATGCAGTGAGACCCTATGGTCAAATAGAAGTATAGAAGCATCAGAAGTTTACCCAAGGGTCTGGGATTTTGGGAGCTCAGTAAAAAGAGAAGGAAGGAGGTGGGAGTGCCCCCAACAAAAGGTACAGATACCAGAACCTACTGATTTGAGAGGGCTGCTCCTTTAAGCACTGGGAACATCTGGGCAGAGGTGTCACATCACATTGGGATGGAGAGAATGCTGAGTGATGCCATCAGCTCTAGTAATCCTCACCCCTGGGCCATGTGCTGAGCTCTAGGAAGGGATTTAATCGGGGCCTTTGGTTTAGATGTGGTCTTGAGCAGGGAGCAAAGGGTGATGGGGGCAGGTGGCGATTTGAGATACTACTATAGCTTGCTAAGAGGTGCCTTCAGGCAGGGTGAGTCCGTTCTCTTTGAAACAATGTAGACTCCTCCTGGGCACACAGAAGCCTGTCTGCTTGGTGAAGATCATGCCAGTCTCCCCTAGCAACCTCCTCTTGCCCACTGCGGCTCAGTATAGTAACGGGATCATTTCTGTTTCAGCTGGAAACTTCCTTTCCTACCTTCTCATGGTTCTGTGGCTGGACTCTCACCATCAACGTGTTTCCAACCCAAGATCTGGCCTCACTAGCTGCATAATCCTGAGCAAATTACTCAGTCTTTTCTGTTTGTTTTTTTGTTTTTGAGATAGAGTCTCGCTCTGTCGCCCAGGCTGGAGTGCAGTGGCGCGATCTTGGCTCACTGCAACCTCCACCTCCCGGGTTCAAGTGATTCTCCTGTCTCAACCTCCCAAGTACCTGGGATTATAGGCATGTGCCACCACACCCGGCTAATTTTTGTATTTTTAGTAGAGACGGGGGTTCACTGTTGGCCAGGCTGGTCTCGAACTCCTGACCTCAATTGATCTGCTTGTCTCGGCCTCCCAAAGTGCTGGGATTATAGGTGTGAGCCACTGCATCTGGCCTTTTCTGTTTTTTATCTGCAATGGGAATCATAATGGCAACCACTTTGTAGATTTGAGATGCAGAAATCTTTACATACAGTAAAGTACTCGATAAGTAAAGTACTCTAGAAGTGGCCCTGCCTTTTCTAAGTGATCCTTATTCAAGTCCCGTTTGCCACTGACCCGGGCTCTCAGGGGAGAGGCCTTTTCTGGATGCAAACAGAAGTGCTTTGCTTCACCTAGTCTCTTTTCTTTCCATCCCTCTAGAAACCCTGAGGGCTTCTGGCTATCACCGGCTGTTCTCCAGCAGAGCTGGGTCCCCGCCCACCCTTCCCCAGAGACAATGACATAAGGGGGGCCCCTCTGGGTGAGCCCACCAGAGCCTGAGTCCTTTATCAGAAGCCCAGGACTGCTTCTTGCAGATAATGCTGTTAATTTTTGTTTTCTGTTAGCTCAGTTCTCAGAAACACTAACAGGGATGGCCCCATTCTGTGGCAAGGATGAATGTCAGAATGAAGCTTGCTCCAGAAAGTCTAACTTCGGTCCTATTTCTTTATTTATTTATTTTTTCAGAGATAGGGTCTCACTCTGTCACCCAGGCTGGAGTGCAGTGGTGTGATCTTGTCTCACTGCAACTTCCGCCTCCCAGGTTCAAGCGATTCTCCTGCCTCAGTCTCCCTAGTACCTGAGATTACAGGCGCCCGCCAACTCCTGACCTCAAGTGATCCACGCGCCTCAGCCTCCCAAACTTAGGTCCTTTTAACTGTGAGACCAGCCAGCATCCAAGTAGTGACACCTTGGTGTGGTCCTAGCTTGGGGATGAGTTCTGACCTGCATTAGCCACCAACCCCACGCCATCAGCATGAGTGGGATCTCTTGTAGTCTCCATTGTGCAAATGAGACCAAGCCCTGGGGGAGCTCAAGGGACTTCTCAGATCACAGTGACAATTTAGATTCAAAGCCAGTATCATCTGGCCCTAGGGCCCGTGTTTCTAACCAGGACTCTCAGGCCTTTGGAGCACCAGGTGGAATCCTCTGCTCAGAGGCGTGGTTGGGCTCCCCCATTTTTGCCACGGGTCACAGTGGGTGAAGCTCTGGGCTTCAGAAATCCGGGGGTCACAGGAAACATTCTTCCCAGGGCCCCTGCTTGCAAGTTTTACTGACTTTAGTTGACTTCTCTGCTAATTTTCTCAGCAGCCCAGAGCTTTTGCTGTATCTTTCTTGCCCACTCTTTTCTCCCTGCTGGATGAACAAGAAATTTAATATCATCTCCTGCTTTCTTGGAAATGTCCCAGCTCAGTGGTCAGGAGTGGCCTGTTAATAACCTGACAATGCACAGTGACAGATTCCTGAGTGGGGTGTGGGGAGGCCTGGCTGTCTGTCTTTTCCCTGCAGAGGGAAGGAGGGAGCCACAGTACCCAGAACCCTAAAGCTCAACTTAGTAACAACCTAATAGTAGCTAGGGCCTTCCTTTAGACTTTTCAGGAAGCAAGATCACACGCCTTATCTCCTTCCATTCTTCTGATAGCCTCCTATGGCCTGAATTATTACCATGCCCCCCTTACAGGTGTGACTCAAAGCGATAAGACGACTCCTCCAAGGTCACACAACAAGTACAACCCAGGTGTTCTAAGCCCCACATCTGGACTCATTTCCTGTAAATTTCATGACCCCTCTGCTCTGCTACTGCCCCTTCACACACCTCATCCCATCTTTGAGCCTAGTTCAATCCTATTTTCACCTCCTGCCTCCAGAGAACCCCCAGCCTTGTGAACGGCGTCTCTCTGGGCCAGGGGACCTCTGACACACAGCGGCCTCCCTCACCTCCTGGGCCAATTTGTGCTGTGAACCCTTGGGAGCTGCCGTTCTGGGACGATGTGTGACCCTGTGGGCCAGTACAGCTCATTTCAGGGAAAAAGTGACCACACAGAGCTTAGTTGAGGCTGGGGTTGCAAATGGAAGAAGGGAGGGATGTGGGCTGTGAACTCTGCTCATTCATTTGTCTAGCAAATGCACTGTGTGCCAACCCACGCTGGAGGTTCAGACATGAACTGAACACCACCCTGTCCCCAGGGAGGCCAAGGGGAAATCGTATTGCTTTACTCTCTAGGCATGCACTGGCTGCCCCAGCCCCCTGATGTGCGTGAACTCCCCCAGAAAATCAGGGTTATGCCCCTGAAACCTGGGGCAGAAAGAGCCCCCAGATGCAGGTACTTTTCCCCACCATGGTGGAGGAGTCTTGTCTGGAGCCCCAGGCACTCTGCCAGTAGTTTGGTATTTTCAGGATTTTCCCAGCTGCTCAGCAGGTTGCCCCAGCCCCATGAAAGGGCTCCAGGTGGTTCCCAAGAACGGGGAAGCAAGGCGTGAAAGAGCCTCTCTCTTGCAGGCATGGGAGTGGACAGCCCAGCGCCAGGCCACCCCAGCTGATGGGCTCCTGACCTGGATCACCAAGGCTCCACCCAAACTGTGCTGACATCAAGCCATGGTGGCACCTTGAGGTTCAGTCCAGGACCATCTTGTCTCACCTCAATAGGGGAAGGGGGGCTCAAAATAGACTTGAAAGCCAGGCACGGTGGCTCACACCTATAATCCCAGTCCTTTGGGAGGCAGAGGAGGGAAGATCACTTGAAGTCAAGAGTTCGAGATCAGCCTGGCCAACAGGGTAAAACCTGCCTCTACTAAAAAAAAAAAAAAATTAGCCAGGAATTGGCTAATTGGTAGTGGGCACCTATAATCCCAGCTACTCAGGAGGCTGAGGCAGGAGAATCGCTTGAACCCAGGAGGCGGAGGCTGCAGTGAACTGAGATTGCGGACTGCACTGCAGCCTGGGCGTCAGAGCAAGAATCCTAAAAAAAAAAAAAAAAAAAAAAAAAAAAAAGGGGAATAGACATAGAAAGTTGTAGTGTTCTTGCTTGGGGAGATAGCTTATTTCACGAAGAGAAATGACCTGCCCAGAGTCATACTTTAGGACAAACACCAGACTGGAATGAGTGGAACTTCCAGCCCCTCCAAGGAAATAGGACAAATTGGCCGGGCGCGGTGGCTCACGCCTGTGATCTTGCACTTCGGGAGGCCGAGGCGGGCAAATCACGAGGTCAGGAGATCGAGACCATCCTGGCTAACGTGGTGAAATCCCGTCTCTACTAAAAATACAAAGAATTACCCGGGCGTGGTGGCGGGCGCCTGTAGTCCCAGCTACTCAGGAGGCCGAGGCAGGAGAATGGCGTGAACCTGGGAGGCAGAGCTTGCAGTGAGCCGAGATCATGCCACTGCACTCCAGCCTGGGCAACAGAGCGAGACTCCGTCTCAAAAAAAAAAAAAAAAAAAAAAAAAGGAAATAGGACTAATTAACCTCTTAGAGCTGGGACAAAATAACATGAACTAAAATGCCCAGAACTCCATGTTAACAAACACTGGGATGTGGTATGTTGGTGCAAAAAAGTAATTGCGGTTTTTGCCATTGAAAGTAATGGCAAAAACCGCAATAACTTTTGCATCTACCTAATATGTGTTGGGGGTTGGGGGTGGATATTAGGGAGGGGCAAGTCCATGAAGCTGCAAGGATCATGCATGCCCAAGTCCCAGAGGCAGGCAGGCCCCAGCGGCCCCAGACAGGCAGAGACACACGCCTAGGCCTAAAGGCTTACAGGTCAAGTTACACCAAGGGTGCAGTTAAGACCTCAAATCCCTCTCCAAAGTCAGGGGCTTAGAGCTTGCCAGAAATTTCAAGTAGGTATGTATTCAAGCCTCAGATTTTTTATTTTGTTAATTTCCTCTGGTTACTCATAGACAGCTCTAGCCTAACGGGTTGGAGCAAAACTTGCTTCAGTGGATCCTTCGGAGAGAAATCCACAGGTCTGGGATTCCCACCATCAAAGAAAATGATCTTCTAATCACATCTTCCCTCAGAGGGCTAGGATGCAGTCTAGAAGCATCTACGGAGCCCCTCCCTGAAGCAGTTTGTTTCTACTCTAGGCGTCCTGAGGGCAGGGACTGGGCTTCGTTGTCTTTGTCCCCAAAGGCAAGCCTCCACTGTTGTTAAATGTTTGTGGAAGGAGCCTGAATTTGGGTAAGGAGCAGAATTACAAAGGGACCTAAAGACTTTGTCCCGGAGGTGTGCTTAATAGATATGGATGATAATTGGGAAAAGGAAAACAGATTACTAACAGCTAGCCCTAAGAAAACCGAAATACTTCATTTAAAATGGAAGGAAAGAGATGGGGAGAGGGAGATGTCTCAGAGAAAATAAGAAACGTTTTTTTTTTGTTTTTGTTTTTAACTTAAGCTATGATTTCAGGAGAAAGAGGTCCTGGAACGCCAGGAACCAGGGAGGACTTCCACCTGGAAGCAATGTGGTAGAAGGAGACCCACTGAGGGCCTGCATATGCCCAGCAAATGGCCAGGTGCCTTTGTTTGTTTGTTTGTTTGTTTTTTGAGACAGGGTCTCCCTCTGTTACCCAGGCTAGAATGCAGTGGCATGATCTTGGCTTACTGCAGCCTCAACCTGCAGGCTCAAGTGGATTCTCCCATCTCAGCCTCCCAAATAGCTGGGACTACAGGCATGCACCACCACACCTTGCTGATTTTTGTATACTTTTGTAGAGATGGGGTTTCGCCAGGTTGCCAGGTTTCTCTTGAACTCCTGGGCTCAAGCGATCCACTGGCTTCAGCCTCCCAAAGCAGTGGGATTACAGGCATGAGCCACCGCGCCCAGCCTAAGTGATCTCTTTTAATATTCACCCCAATAGGGGAAGGTAGAGATTGCTGTTCTCACTTTACAGATGGGGAAGCTGGTGGATAACTTGTCAGCTCATAAATGGCAGAGCTAGAATTCCAATCCAGAGGCGTCTCCAAACCTCTATCCAGCGAGCCTTACCCACAGTCCTGTTGCAGCTCCTACTTCTTTTGAGGACACCTTTGGCACTAGGTCATGATGACAGCAATCACCTCCATTCTGGTTGCTTTCTAGTCATAAAGCGCTTTCACACCTGATATCTCATTCCTCTTTACACCCTCCAGACGAGGCTAGCAGAGGGGTCCTGTGCTCTTTGGACACATAAGGACAGCCAGGCTAGCTAAGGGTCAGAGGTGGGAATTAGCGACTTCCCCATGTGAAAGGGAATAGAATCTCGGGACCCCAAATTCACTATGTCAAAGGGAAAGTTTAATCCCAGCACTTTTGGAGGTTGAGGTGGGTGGATTGCTTGAGCTCAGGAGTTTGAGACCAGCCTGGGCAACATGACAGAACCCTGTCTCTACAAAAGAAAAAGTACAAAATATGTAGCTGGGCATGGTGGCGCACACCTGTAGTCTCAGCTACTCAGGAGGGTGAGGTGGGAGGATCGCTTGAGCCCAGGAGGCCAAGGCTATAGTGAGCTACGATTGCAGCACTGCACTCCAGCCTGGGCAACAGAGCAAGACCCTGTCTCCAAAAAAAAAAAAGGGGCGGGGCTGGGGGGGACGTTAAGCTTGGAAACCACAGAAGCTGCTTTCCTTTTGTTCCCAGATAGCTGCAGTTTCACAACCCTGTTGACACAGGGTTTCCTTTGCTCCCCTTAGACGTACTGAGTAGGAGACAATGCATCATTGACTTTTTCTTCTATTCCCTTTCACATGTAAAATGTAGACTTACAGACACTAAATCAGAGCCTCACACGCTTGTGACCTCAATGCCTTTCCTCCCTCTCTCCCTCTTCTTTTCCTTTCCTGCTTGCTTTTTCTCTTTTAAATACAGAAGTTCCCAAAACCTTTTTGGAAAAAAGGTGATTTTTCCCCGGTGGATCCTCAACCTTGGCTAACTAAACCTCTATTTGATTGAGATCTGCCTTAGTCACTTTTTGGTTTACATCCATGATAACCCCGCCAGGGTTTGAATCCACAGTGTCTGCCTCCCAAGTGGCTCCAAACCCTACCTTTCCCTCCAGATGTCCAGTTCAGAATTTGATTTTACTTATTATTCATTTATTTTTTTTTTTGAGATGGAGTCTACCTCTGTCACCCAGGCTAGAGTGCAATAGCGCGATCTCGGCTCACTGCAACCTCCACCTCCCAGGTTCAAGCGATTGTCCCGCCTCAGCCTCCTGGGTAGCTGGGATTACAGGCGCCCACCACCATGCCCGACTAATTTTTGTATTTTTGGTAGAGATGGGGTTTCGCCATGTTGGCCAGGCTGGTCTCAAACTTCTGACCTCAAGTGACCCCCCACCTGCCTTGGCCTCCCAAAATGCTAGGATTACAGGCATGAGCCACTGCGCCCAGCCCAGAACTTAATTTTCACAGCAGGATGGAGTGGCCAAACCATTAGCTCTCAAGAGCTGGTTGCTGTCGCACTGCAGAGGGAAACGGAAATGTGCTGTCCCCAGAAAGCAGAATGTTCCTGAGGGCTTAGGGACCTCGCAGCCATGGGGAAAGTCTGGGGCCTTCACCCTCACTTCCTTTAAAAACCGAGGGTGGGGTTCAGCTAGAGGCAAGGGAACTTTTCACTTTGCGCCTTGTCCACTTTAGTTGACTACTTCGCAGCTGGCATTCTACCTTGATAATGATCATTTCAACTGAAACTATTCCTCTAAAAAGAATAGAGTCCAAGGCCTGGGACTTGGATTCAGGCTCTGGGACTCAGGAGTTGATCCTCCTTGACGTTCACCTGGTGCAAATTTAGCCTCAGCTGATACTTAGGAGGCAAAGGCACAGACGGGGATGCGGGGAGCTCAAGGGCTGTCACCCTGTAGAAACATTTCTGACGCCCAGTCCAAGCCTGGCCTCGGGGCTGGCCGGCTCCTCCCCGCTCCCTCGTTTACAGCGAGAGTCTGGGATGGCACCCACGAAGCTGGTGGCGCCAGCCCTCCTGCCCCATCTCCCGACAGTACTGCAGCCAGGTGGTTAGCAGGTCCGGGAGGGAGCAGGAACGAGGAACGCCACCCGGGCTGGAGTTCTTGGTTTCTTGCCCCGGCTCGAATGGGGAAGAGCCTCAAAAGAGCCTCGCGCCAGGCCCCCGGAGGGAGACGCGCCCCTGGCCCTGGGGGCCCCAGTGGGGGTTCGCGGCCGGAGCGCAGGCTGGGGCGGGAGTGTCTCCCGGAAGCCGGGCGGGCCCAGGCTGCCCCATACGGAGTTGGGAAAGTCTCAGGCTTTCAGTTTGAACCGAGGAGGCCGAGCAGTCGGGCAGAGGTTCCCGACGGCCATTGGCTGCTGCGGCGCCGTGACATCAGCGCAGAGGGGTGCGCGGGGAGGGTTGCGCGGGGCGGGCGCGGGCGGAGCCTGGAAGGGGAGTGTCCTGGAGGCTCCCAGCCCTGAAAGCCCGAGAGCCAGAGGGAAACAAACGCCGGCGCTGACAGGGGCCGCCAGCCCCTCCGCCGCGCGGAGCCCACGAAGGGGACAGCGCAGCCGGCCCAGAGCTCGGGTCTCCGGGGACCGAGGTAGGCGACGGGCAACCGCCTCTGTCTGTGGTAGCCGCCTTCGCGCTGGGTGCCCTGGGTGGGCTTGGGGGTCTCGAGTCCCCCTGTGGGGCAGAGAGGATCGAAGCTGGGGATGCGAGGCCGCGGCGCGGGGAGAAGGGCGCGGAGCCCCCACTTCTCGGCGCTCGCGCTTTTCACCGCGCCCACCGCGGTGCCTGGGACCCTAAGCTGCGCACCTAGTGTCCTGGCAGAGCGGGATGTGTGGAGGAGGAGGTGGCAGGGAGCCGGGCGCAGCGTTGCCGGGACTCCATTTCCTCTCTCCACGCTGGAACTCCCGGCCCTGGCCAAGGGTGCCGCTGAGGGGGTTGGGGGCCGGTTTTAAAGGGCCTCCCCCTTCCCAGGAATGGGGTGTGTGTCGGTGTGGGCAGGAGCGCAGCAATCGGCGGCGCGCGGCCCGCGATCTCCGCGAGGGGGGCGTGTGTGCGCCCGGAGTTCTCCATGAATAAGAACCGAATTCTCCGCCTGTACGGGCAGAGGCGTGTACACATCTCGCTCTCGTACACACACTGCAGCACACGCCACCCAATGTCACCCGGCCGGGAAGCCAGAGGGAAGGAGCTGTCTGGAAGGGAATGGCCGAAGGAACAAATGGTCCTCCTTTCCCCTACTCCCGCCCCGCGAACCCTTCCCTCCCCCGCCAGGCTCCCGCCCCGCCCGCTCCCTCGGAAGCCCGGGAGGCCGAGGCGCCTCCTGGCGGGGTGCGGGGGGAGGGCAGTCGAGCCACCCGCCCCCTTGGAGCCGGGGAGACGGCCGCTCCTGGGCTAGTGCGCCCCGAGCTCAGCGCGCTCAGCGGGATCGCAGGCGGGAGCGGTCGGTTAATGATTTAATCGCCCGCTTGGGGCGGGTGCGCGCGGATCGGCCGTCCCTGGCCCCGCCCCCTCTCCGGAGCGCCCCCAGCCGGGGTTACAAAACTGCCCCCTGCCCCCGGCGCGTCCCCCAGGAGCCATCCTGCCCGCGGGGATCCCGTCAGCCGGTGAGTGCCCCGGCCGGGAGGGCTGGAGAGCTGGGCGGGAGCCGGGGCTGAGGCTGAGCCAGCTTCCTGGGAGAGGACTGAAGTGCGTGTGTGTGTGTGTGTGTGTGTGTGTGTGTGTGTGTGTGTGTGTGTGTGTGACTGGGGGAGGGGTGCTCGCTGCTAACTCAAACCAGGTTCCCTGTGTTTTCCCAGTGACTGCGGCCTCGGCTTTGGAAGTTTTCTTTTTCTCCCTGGGAGAATGGAGGGGAAATACAATGCCTTTTCTTTTCTCGTTGCCTCTGGAACTTCTCTCTCTCCACGACTCCCACCCCTTGCAATCTGACCGGCTCCCACATCCCTTACTGTGTGCCCGGTGCCCACTGTTTGCCCAGATAGCTGAGCAGCTGGATCCGGGTGGAGTCCTTGGGAGCCCCCGTCGCTGCGAAGCCCCCTGCCCTCCCCTGAGGGTCCAGGGTGCTGGAGGGAAAATCTCTCTCTCGTCCGAACCCCAGCAGCCATCTGTACCAGAGAAATGTCCCATCCAGCGAGTGTAAATAATGAGGGGCCGGTGACAGGGGCCTCCTGCAAGGCGACTTCTTTGGCAGTCTGGGTTTCCAATAACTCCCTCAGCCCCCGCCCGCTTCTGAGGCTAGGGTGGAGGAGGGACCACCAGCAGGGTGGACTGAATTTTAAGAGAACAAAGAACAGGCCACAAAGGAAGGGATTGCTGAGCTGCGGATTTCTGATTTCTCCCAGAAATCGGGAGTTGGCTGGGACTGAGCCAGGCCCTAAGAGAGCCCCTGGCAGCCCCAGGGGCTCCTGGGGCAATAACAGGGCATCCACCAGGATCTCCTGAGGCTCTATCTCTGCTGAGAAGCCAGTGCCTACTGAATGCGGGGGTGCCCTGCCGGTTCCTGCTCTCATCAACTGCCCTGTGTGAGCTGCACATGTGACTGACTGATTAGTGGGGTGGCTTATCTCCTCTGAACTTGGACTTTGCCTCTCCACTCCTTGAAGACAGCTGCTCCTTCCCACAAGGGGTGTTCAGTGAATTTGGGGAGATCCCAAGTGGATTCCCAGGCATCCTGGTGGACCCCTGCAGGGACTAGGAGGGGCCCGCTGTGATCATATGGGCGGTGGTTCTGGGGTGAGTCTCAGCGCCTCCCCTCTGAAATCTCCCTGAAGTCCTAGGGTCCCTGCACACAGAGGGCAGCTTGCTCCTGCTCTGCTGTACAGCCTAGGCCTGTGCTGTGAATGATTCTCCATTTTCTGGGGTTTCTGCCTCTCTCTTTTTGGATTCCTCTTCTCTTTTCCCCTCGTTTCTCTCTTTCCCTTGCCCACCCACCGTGCTTGTCCCCATCCTCTGTACCCTGCCTCCACTGTGCTGCTGCCTCTGGAACCCGACAGCACCTCACAGAACCAGAGACCAAGGAGTCAGAAGCAAAGGGAGGTCTCATGTATAAAGGTCAGGGGAGTGAGTGTTGACCTGGGAGAGGAATCTTACACCAGTCTTTTGATTTTAAAAATAATTTTTATTTTATTTATTAATTTTTTGAGACCAGGTCTTGCTCTGTCACCCAGGTTGTGGTGCAGCGTCATAGTCAAGGCTCACTGCAGGCTGGACCTCCTGGGCTCAAGCTATCCTCCCACTTCAGCCTCCTGAGTAGCTGGGACTACTGGCGCCCACCACCACGCCCAGCCATTTTTTGTATTTTTTGTAGAGGTGGGGTTTCACCATGTTGCCCAGGCTGGTCTTGAACTCCTGAGCTCAAGGGATCTTCCCCCACCTCGGCCTCTCAAAGTGCTGGGCATACAGGTATGAGCCACTGCACCTGGCCAACCCTTTTTTTTTTTTTTTTTTTTGGAGACAGAGCTTTGCTCTGTTGCCCAGGCTGGAGTGCAGTGGCACAATCTTGGCTCACTGCATCCTCCACCTCCCGGGTTCAAGCAATTCTCCTGCCTCAGCCTCTGCAGTAGCTGGGATTATAGGTGCATGCCACCACGCCCGGCTAATTTTTTTTTGTATTTTAGTAGAAACAGGGTTTCACTGTGTTGCCCAGGCCGGTCGCGAACTCCTGAACTCAGGCAATCCACCCACCTCGGCCTCCCCAAGAGCCGGGATTACAGGCGTAAACCACTGCACCCAGCCCTGGCCAACCCTTCTTAACAAGTCCAGAGCTTTTCCAGAAGGGCCTTGGGTTGGCAGTGGCCCAGGGCTTCCACCCCTTTGGAGTGACTGATTGATTTCTGCGGCCCGGACTGTCTGTGCGCAGGTGTGGCCAAAAGGTGTTTGATGTTGGCCTCTCCCTTTCACTCTCCCCCACCCCACGCCCCTACGTTTGGATTGGGTTCGAAGTGAAGAAGTCAGAAGTCAGAGTGGTCAGGGTTGCACTTGGTTAGCAGTAAGTCCAGCCTTCTGTGTTCTCATTCTGGTTCTGCAGACTCAGAGGAGTTTGTCCCTGTGGGGGGAGGGAGGAGTCCGTCCCTTGGAGGAATGGGGAGCTGGGTTGATGCCAGAGATAAGGCCTGTGGGCGGAGGGAGAAGGGTTGAGCAATCTCGCCCTGGAAACAGAGCTGACCTGAGCTCTGCGTAGCTCTTCTGACCTACGTACTGGAGGATTTTTCCCGACCGTGAGGAAAAGAACCAAATTCTGGAGCTGGGGACACTTTGAGGGGTCATCCGGCAGAGTGTCCTGAAGGCCAACTCCAGCCAGTGCTTCTGGGGTGCTCTAGGAAGGCCAAGCCCATGCGTGCCCTCTCTCGGCAGGGAACTGGATGGTAGTGCTGGAAGGAGCCCGCATGTGGCACTGGACACAGCCCTTTTTGCTTGAGTGCGTTGGGAAGGAAATTCAGACATTAGGGCCGGGCACAGTGGCTCACGCCTGTAATCTCAGCACTTGGGGAGGCCAAGGCGGGCAGATCACTTGAGGTCAGGAGTTTGAGATCAGCCTGGCCAATATGGTGAAACCCCGTCTCTACTAAAAATACAAAAATTAGCCGGGCATGGTGGCGTGCACCTATAATCCCAGCTACTGGGGAAGCTGAGACACAAGAATCGCTTGAACCCAAGAGGTGGAGGTTGCTGTACTCCAGCATGGGCGATAGAGTGAGACTCCATCTCAAAAAAAAAAAAAAAAAAAAGAGAGAAATTCAGGGCCAGGCGTGGTGGCTCACACCTGTAATCCCAGCACTTTGGGAGGCCAAGGCGGGTGGATCAGGAGGTCAGGAGATCGAGACCATCCTGACTAACACAGTGAAACCCTGTCTCTACTAAAAAGTACAAAAAATTAGCTAGGCTTGGTGGTGGGCGCCTGTAGTCCCAGCTACTTGGGAGGCTGAGGCAGGAGAATGGTGTGAACCCGGGAGGCGGAGCTTGCAGTGAGCCGAGATCGCGCCACTGCATTCTAGCCTGGGTGACAGAGCGAGACTCCGTCTAAAAAAAAAAAAAAAAAAAGAAAGAAAGAAAAATTCAGACATTAGTCTCCCACATTCCCGCTCACCGTGCCCCGAAAGCTCCAGCTTAAAATACGCCTTCTTGAGGAGACTTGGGCTTCCTTCCAACTAACTTACATTGGAGTCTCCCCCAGGCACTGCCAGCTTGCAGCTCTGGGCTCTGTGCCAGGATGGCAGTGCTGGCATCCAAAGCCCTCCCTTGCCAGGAACAGGGGAACTGGCTGTCTCCACTCAAGCTGAGGAAGGGTCTCTCTTTTGGGATTCAGGTGAGCACAGTTTAGGGTGTGGTCATTAATGAAGGCTTACAGTTCCCCACCTGTAAGAAACTGCTCTGCACACCTGGTGTTTCCCCTTCACCCCAAAGATGGAGCTGAAGGCATCTGGAAAAACCACAGTGCCAGGCAAGAAGGATCCCTGGATGTCTGTGCTCAGCCAGAGCTGCTTCAGCCACCATCTTCTGCCTTGGCCATCACGGTAGCAGAGGTTGTCTGGGGCAGCCTCCACCTCCCAGCATGAGACTCTGGGTTCTTCTTTTGCCCAGACACCTGCAGTTCTGGCAGTCACTGAACTTGGTCTGGAGACCCCAGCTTTGAATCTCTCCAAGTGTGCCAACAAAGCCAGGTTCTGTGTGCTGGCTTCTCTTTCCTGCCTGTCCTTCCTCTCTACCTCGGGTCTTCACTCAGTGCAACCTTCTTATTTCCTTACACTGTTGCCTCCAACCCTGAAGCATCAGAAAGGGACCTGTTCCCCTCAAGTCCTGGAATTGGGCTTAAGGCTTTGTCAAGTGGTACAAGGAGTAGAGAGCCCAAGAGAGCCCAAAAAGAGCCTAGGGGCTCGCAGTACGATTTGTGGTTACCTCTAAGGAGAATCTGGTTAGGTCCAAAAGATCAGATTATATTTTATTGGGGGTTGATCATATTGAAGTTTTGTGCATTATTTTTTTGTTTTGAGACAGGCTTTTTGCTGTGTTGGCCAGGCTGGAGTGCAGTGGTGCAATCACAGCTCACTGCAGCCTCAAACTCCTGGGCTCAAGAGATCCTCCCACCTCAGCCTTGAGTAGCTGAGACTATAGACGTGTGCCGCCATGCCTGGCTAATTTAATTTTTTTTTTTTTTTTTAGAGACAGGGTCTCACTGTGCTGCCCAGGCTGGTCTCAAGCTCCTGGGCTCAAGCGATCCTCCTGCTTCTGCCTCTGCCTCCCAATGTGCTGAGATTTCAGGCATGAGCCACGGTGCCTGGCCTGTGCATTATTTGTTGCTAGTAGCACCCGGGGTCTGGCAAATTCCTGAGTTACTTTTACCCTTATCCTAGGAAGGAATGGAGGAGCTTCTCTTTTCCCACCTCCACCTCACCATCTTGTCTGAGAGAAGCCAGGCTCCTTCTTCTGGCATCATTAAAGGTTAAAAGGTGACGGGATGAGGGAACTCAGATCAGGAAAGAAACCAGATCCGAGGGTTTCCTGCCCCCGACTGCTGGCAGAGACTACAGAGGGAGGGCAGAATCTGTACCTGGGCTTCAGCAGCTTGGGGGACCCTTCCCCCTGCATCAGATAATCCTGGGAACCCCCAGGACTTTGAAAAGGGTCAACCCATTGTCTCAGCCCACGTTTCACTGTACAGACTTTTGAATTAGGTGCTCTCAGGTGGCTGTTCTCTATGAAGTTTGCGAAGTGACAGTGGCTGGAGTGTCACTGGGTGTGACAGCATCATCTTTATAGCACACATGGAACTGTGCTCACCCGAGCACAGCACTTGGGAGTTATGTAATGTTATCAATTGTTCTGAGAGCTAATGAGGAAACTGAGGCACAAATAACTTGACCCACGTGGCAGGCCACCTTGTGACCTAGGGAGTGGGGCTCTTTGTCCCCAACTTCCGGCAGGGCCAAGATGCAAGATTAGCCTGTCTGCTCTGGAGGGAGTTTAGATCTGCCAGTCTCCTGGAGACCCCAAGGTGGCCATGAAATTCCCAGTTCTTAGCTGAGCACCCGGCTCTTAGGAGCGGCAAAGTGAAACCAAACAAGGCCTGGCAGATCTGATTTCAAGCGCGGCACTTTCCTCTGCGATCACTCCCGAGCAGGAGGGAGGCACCCTGCTGCCCAGTAGTAGCACCACTCCTAGAGGAGGAGGGCCCAGCCTGTATGGGGGCAGTGGGGCCCCCCACCAGGCATCCATCCTGCCTGGCCCAGATGGTCCCTCTGCTGGTGGCTGGCTTCGGGTGGTGGCTCCGGGAAGCACACATTTCCAGGAAGGGCCCTGTAATCAAGTGAAGTTGCCGGATGTCCTTGAGTCACTGGCTCCTCTTCGTCTTGACTCCTCCGTTGTTGCTTCCGGTCACTCCCTAGTCTTGGCTCCTTTTTCTTCCCTTCTCTGTGCTGTTCTAATTCCCAGGAGGTGAGGGAAGGTTTCCCCTTCACCTCCTGCTGACCTGCTTCTCCCCTGGCCTGAAGCCTGTGGTTCTGGGATGGGGATGAGGATAAGGATGAGGTGGGTGCAGGAACGAAGATGAAGGAGACAAGCAGGGCAGCTGGTTCCCAGCCCACAAGGAGCAGGAGGCTCCCCTGGATGGACCTGGGGTGTTGGGCTGTAGCCTGTATTTTCCAGGATTAATCTATAAGTTCCCTGGAGTGGTGGGGAATGAGGTGCTCAGACTCAGGAGATGTTAACCTGAAATTGTGTGCACAACTGCGTATCCTGTGTGTACTCATGCATCCAGAGCCTTGAGCAGCCCTCCCAGGCCTGAGCCCCAGGGACACTTATGATGCACTGTCCCCCTCGCACCACCCGCCCCCCCCACCCCGATGTTCCTTATGGTGGAGTGGAAAAAACCCAGAGTCCAGCACATCTGGATTCTTGTCTCTCTCTCCTAACCAACCGTGTGTGACTTGAGTAGAGCACGTGCCCCTCTAAGTCTCGGTGCTCTTATCTGTGAGCTGGGGATGATAGTGATAACTCCATGGGATTGTTGGGAAGAATACATGAGATAAAGTTTTTCAAATGCTTGGGACCGTGTATGACTACAAAGTTTATCGTCCCAGCACTTTGGGAAGCAGAGGTAGGAGGATGGCTTGAGCCCAGAAGTTTGAGGTTACGGTGAGCTTTGATTGCACTGCTACAGTGTACTCCAGCCTGAGGGACAAAGCAAGACCCTCTCTCAGGAAAAAAAAAAAAAAGAAGAAGAAGAAAAGAGACAGTTTAATCAAAATAAATCACCTAACACAATGCCTGGTGCAGAGTAAAAAGCTCAACAAATCTTAGTTCTTTCTCGTATTTTCTCCATGACATGTGGCCCAGGAATAGTTACTGCAGAGTCTGGGGAGGGGTCTACCCCTGAGGTTAGGTAGGGTCTAGAATAGTATTTCCTTAGAGTGGGTTCCTCAGCACACAGTCTTGCTATCTGTTGGGATCCACATGGAGAGATGTTATTCCGGAGTGTTCTTGATAATGAGTCACCATTTAAACTAGACTAGACTCCTTATGCTATATCTTCCAGCAATTAAAGGGTAAATTATTTTAAGCCGTAGTGTGTTTTCCCATAACTCAGCCTGGCTGAGTGAGTTATTGGCATCATTTTCCCATAAACTGTAAGAATTGTGCATTCCTTAAGGTGGTGGAGAATACTTGTGTGATATTCAAATCACAGTGAGCAGGATGATCAGTGGGACTAGCCCTAGGATGATGCTGTCAATAGGAATGTGACGCTAGTCACATATGGAATTTTATGCTTTCTAGGAGCCATGTTTTTAAAACTAAAGGAAGGGGGAATTAATTTTTTTTTTTTTTTTTTTGGAGACAGAGTCTTGCTCTGTTGCCCAGGCTGGAGTGCAGAGGCATGATCTCATCTCACTGCAACCTCCACCTCCTGGGTTCAAGCGATTCTCCTATCTCAGCCTCCCAAGTAGCTGGCATTACAGGTACCCACCACCACGCCAGGCTAATTTTTGTATTTTTAGTAGAGACAGGGTCTCACCATGTTGGCCAGGCTGGGGTTGAACCCCTGACTTCAAGTGATCCATACTCCTCGGCCTCCCAAAGTGCTGGGATTACAGGCGTGAGCCACCGTGCCCGGCCAATTATCAGTTTTTGTTTGTTTGTTTGTTTGTTTTTGAGATGGAGTTTCACTCTTGTTGCCAAGGCTGGAGTGTAAGGGTGCGATCTCGGCTCACCGCAACCTCTGCTTTCTGGGTTCAAGCCATTCTCCTGCCTCAGCCTTCCGAGTAGCTAGGATTACAGGCATGCGCCACCACGCCCAGCTAATTTTGTATTTTTAGTAGAGACGGGGTTTCTCCATGTTGGTCAGGCTGGTCTCGAACTCCCAACCTCAGGTGATCCGCCCGCCTCAGCCTCCCAAAGTTCTGGGATTACAGGCGTGAGCCACCGCGCCTGGCCAATTATCTTTTTTTTTTTGAGACGGAGTCTGATGCTGTCCCCCAGGCTGGAGTGCAGTGGCGCCATCTCGGCTCACTGCAAGCTCTGCCTCCCGGGTTCACGCCATTCTCCTGCCTCAGCCTCCCGAGTAGCTGGGACTACAGGTGCCCGCCACCATGCCCAGCTAATTTTTTTTGTATTTTTAGTAGAGACGGGGTTTCACCATGTTGGCCAGGATAGTCTCGAACTCCTGACCTCGTGATCCGCCCGCCTCGGCCTCCCAAAGTGCTAGGATTACAGGCTTGAGCCACCGCGCCCGGCCAATTGTCAATTTTTAAATGTAAAATAATTAAAATTTAAAATTCTGGCCACGTGTGGTGGCTCGTATCTGTAATCCCAGCACTTTGAGATTACACTTGAGGCTAGGAATTTTAAGACTTGGCTAGGCAACATGGTGGTGCACACCTGTAGTCCCAGCTACTCGGGACTGAGGTGGAAGGATTGCTTGAGCCTAGGACGTTGAGGCTACAATGAGCTGTAATTGTGCCACTGTACTTGAGCCTGGTTAACAGAGTGAGACCCTGTCTCAAAAAAAAAAAATTAAAAATTCAGCTCCTTAATCACACTAACCACATGTTAAGTACTCAGTAGCCTTATGTGGCTTGTGGCTGCTGGATTAGATGCCGGAGGTTTAGGATATCACTGTAAGTGCCAGAAAGAGAGATGTTTCATGTCAGTGGTATTATTCAACATTATATTGGCAGTGTAACAAATATAACGAGATAATGAGGAATGGAGGAGGCAAAATTATTATTAGTTGCAGATGATGAGCTTATCCACTTCCAAAGCCCAAAAGATTCAATCATATAGTTGCTTAGAGCCTGTAAGGTAGTATAAGCTTGGTGGGGTGGCCATTAAATATGTTAGGGGGAAAAAAAGGTAGCCTGCTGGCCGGGTGCAGTAGCTCACACCTGTAATCCTAGCACTTTGGGAGGCCAAGGCTGGTGGATCACCTGAGGTCAGGAGTTCAAGACCAGCCTGGCCAACACAGTGAAACCCTGTCTCTACTAAAAATACAAAAATTAGCCAGGCAGGCAGGGCATGGTGGCTCACGCCTGTAATCCCAGCACTTTGGGAGGCCGAGGTGGGTGGATCACCTAAGGTCAAGAGTTGAAGACCAGCCTGGCCAACATGGTGAAACCCCATCTCTACTAAAAATGCAAAAATTAGCTGGGCATGGTGGCGCACGCCTGGACGCTGAGCCACAAGAATCGCTTGAACCCTGGAGGCAGAGGTTGCAGTGAGCTGAGATGATACCACTGCACTCCAGTCTCGGCAATACAGACTTGGCCTCAAAAAAAAAAAAAAAAAAGCTGGGCATGGTGGCGTGTGCCTGTAGCCCCTGCCACTTGGGAGGCTGAAGCACAAGAATTGCTTGAACCCAGGAGTGGAAGGTTGCAGTGAGCTGAGATACACCACTGCACTCCAGCCTGGGGGACAGACTCACAAGAATGTATCATCTGGAAATAGTTAAGGTTATGCACATAATTGCCTGAAAGGACCTTACAGAGTTTCAACTGAAAATGGAAACAACCTAGCCATTCAATCCCTGATTGGATGTAAAAATTAGATATTAAGATTTAATTTAAAACAATGTAGCATAAATTGTTAACATGTAAATATTTTGACCCAGCTGTGAACAATGGTTGGCTTTATTTATCCATCTACAAGGGAACATGCTGCTTGTGTAATAAGGGGGAAAATGTCTAAATTATTGCTCTCCAATAGAAGTCTTAGGCAAGTGCCATACATAATTTATATTTTAATAGTTACATTTTAACAAGTAAGAGGAAATGGTACATTTTGACTCACTATATTCAGAATATCATTTTAACACATCAGTCTAAAATATTAATGAGATATTTTATACATCCTCTTTTTTTATACTAAATCTTAGAAGTCCAGTGTGTATTTTCCACTTGTGCACATATCCATTTGGACTTGCCAGATTTTTTTTTTTTTTTTTAATTTTTTTGAGACGGAGTTTCACTCTTTTTTGCCCAGGCTGGAGTGCAATGGCGTGATCTCTGCTCACCGCAAACTCTGCCTCCCGGGTTGAAGCAATACTTCCTGCCTCAGCCTCCCAAGTAGCTGGGATTACAGGCGCACGCCACCATGCCTGGCTGATTTTGTATTTTAATAGAGATGGGGTTTCACCATGCTGGCCGGTCTGGTTTCGAACACCTGACCTCAGGTGATCTGCCTGACTCAGCCTCCCAGAGTGCTGGGATTACAGGGGTGAGCCACCGCGCCCTGCCTATTTTTTATTTTTGTGTGTTTATTTTTATGTGTATAAATATAAGGAGTGCAAGTATAGTTTTGTTACATGGGTATATTGTGTAGTGTGAAGTCTGGGCTTGTAGTGTAACCATCACCCAATCGTGTACATTGTACCCATTAAGTAACTTCTCATCCCTCACTGGGTTCCCACCCTCCCAGTCTCCAGTGTTTATTATTCCATGCTGGCCACATGTCAAGTGCTCAGAAGCCAGAAGTGGCTGGTGGACAGTGGAGGGTCAATTATTATTAACTCATAGAGAGAAGGCATAAAGTGGAAGTAGCTGGGAGGTTCTGGTGTGCACTATTGCTTTCCTCCTTGTCCAGGTCACTCTATGATCCCTGCTCTCCCTGATTCACCCCCCTTCCCAGTAGACTCCTCCCTCCCTGACCCACACCCGGTAGGGATACCTGGGGAATGGGCACTGTCTTGTAGCTTGGAGGCTGGGGGTGGTGGGGGGAAGACATGGCATGAAATCTGGGACCTTGCCCTTTCTTCAGGAAGGGGCCATCAAAGTAGAGGATGTTCATCTCCAGGAAATGGGATCTGCCCCAGGGTGGCTGTGCAGTGGCACCTTTGCATCAATGATCCTGGCATGGATTGGCACGCGGGCAGTGAGGGTGGGGCAAGTGGTGTTGGGTCACGGTTCTGGTTTTTCTTCCTGGGAGCTGGAATAACCAAGGAACACAAGATGGAGTTTGGACAGAGCAGACAGGAACACACTAGAAGTGAGGCCTTGTGCTGATCTACTCCTGACTATGCCGGCAGAGTCCTGGCTTGTGCTTCAGGGTGATCCTTCCCATCCCTCACCTCCCAGAACACCAGAACATTGGGAGGTTCCTGAGAGCAGGAAGTGGGAATGGGCTCCTGGGTAAGAGAAATCTCCTTTCAGGAGGTTTCAAATGCAGCCATGCCTGGGGATAGAGCTTTAATGGGGGAGGCAGTAATGTGAGTCTTAGCTCCAAGAGTCTTAGGTTAACCGGCTCCCAGACCCTTCCTACCCCACCCTGCTCCACATGTACATCCTCAGCTGCAGACACCTGCACAGGTCAGGCAGCATCACCTCATATGGAAAATCACATGCTCCAAGGTCTGCCAGAAATGGGCTCAAATAACCACTTAGAAGTTGTGAGAGGCTGGGTGTGGGGTGCAACGGTTCGTGCTTGTAATCCCACACTTTGGGAGGCTGAAGCAGGAAGATTGCTTGAAGCTAGGAGTTCAAGAGCAGCCTGGGCAACAAAGCGAGATGCCATCTCTACTAAAAATGTGTGTGTGTGTGTGTGTGTGTGTGTGTGTGTGTATTTTTTTTTTTTTTAGGACGGAGTCTCGCTCTGTCACCCAGGCTGGAGTGCAGTGGCATGATCTCGGCTCACTGCAAGCTCCGCCTCCCGGGTTCACGCCATTTTCCTGCCTCAACCTCCCGAGTAGCTGGGACTACAGGCGCCCACCACCACGCCTGGCTAATTTTTTTTTTTAAATATTTTTAGTAGAGACAGGGTTTCACCGTGTTAGCCAGGATGGCCTCGATCTCCTGACCTCGTGATCTGCCCGCCTCAGCCTCCCAAAGTGCTGGGATTACAGGCGTGAGCCACTGCACCCAGCCTATGTATTTATTTTTAATAAACCAGGCATGGTGGTGCCCACCTGTGGCCCCAGCTACTTGGGAGACTGAGGCCGGGGAGGATCACTTCAGCCCGGGAAGTTGAGGCTGCAGTGAGCCATGATAGCACCACTACACTCCAGCCTGGGTGACAGCAATGCCGTGTCTCAAAAAAAAAAAAAGCTGTGAGATGTGAGAGTGAGTAAAATAATTCACTCTGTCTGAGTCTCCGTTTCTCGTTCTTTAAAATAGGGGCAATCAGGGCAGCCTCCTTGCGAGTTTGCTTTGAGTTTCAAGGGCATAAATGTATGTTGTCCTCAGTACAGTGCTTGGCACGCAGCGGAGCCCAGTGAATGAGAACTGTTGAATGAGGAGGTGTACTGGAGGGATGGGGTAGGAGGGGATTAGGGAGCCTGTTTCTCTGACTCTTGAGCTAAGACTCACTTTAGTGCCTTCCCCATTAGAGATCTACCCCCAGGGATGATCTAATTCTGCACACAGCTTGGCGGTCAGTGGTGGCTGGAGCACCTGGGTGCTGGTTGCCCTCATGTGACCCCTTCTTGTTTTCTCTGCTCCCTTGTAGTGACAGTCTAGCCAAGCTAGAGCTATAGAAGTAAAACCTTCACCTGCACAGGATCTCTCTGAGAGGATCCCACTGTTATGTGGGAGGCTGGCCTCCAGCTTGGAGCTTCAGTGTCACTGGAAATAGGCCGATCTCCGGTAGGGTGGGAGTGATCCTTATCGCTCATCTCCTGCTCAGCTGGGGAGGCTTAAGCATCAGGAAGCAGCTGTTGGAGAGCGAGTTCTGTTTTTTGAGAGGGTCCCGATCTCCCTGTGCCCCCTGATGTCAGGTTAATAAAGCTTGCCCACTTCCTCCGCCCAGGCAACTTAGAATAAAACAAGGACCTAATAAACGTGTCTGGCTTGGGGGTGATTTTGAGGGAGGAAGAGAGAGAACAGACATCAGTGGGAGATTTTCACGCAAGAGAGGCAGAGTACGGATGGAGACCAGTTCTCACTCAGTCCTCAGTTGGCATCTTATGCTGGGATGTGGCTGCCGAACCCAGAGAACTAGATAGTCTTAAGCTGGTTTTGAAATGAATGCTTTTTCTTTAAGCCTTTGATACTTTGGGTTTTTTTTTTTTTTTCGCTGTTGTTGTTTGTTTGTTTGTTTTAAAAAGAAAAAGGCCAGGTGCGGTGGCTCACACCTGTAATCCCAGCACTTTGGGAGGCTGAGGCGGGTGGATTGCTTGAGGTCAGGAGTTCAAGACCAGCCTGGTCAACATGGGGAAACCCCGTCTTTACTGAAAATATAAAAATTAACTGGCCGTCATGGTGTGCACCTGTAATCCCAGCTACTTGGGAGGCTGAGGCAGGAGAATTGCTTGAACCTAGGAGTTGGAGGTTGCAGTGAGCTGAGATGGTGCCACTACACTCCAGCCTGGGCGATAGAGCAAAACTCCATCTCAAAAATAAATAAATAAATAAATAAACAAAAAGAAAAAGAGGCTGTTTTCCTCTCAAGGCTAACATAACTTCTTAATTTCTCCATGTGCCCTTTTAGTCTTTATTCACAGATGCATATTTGTGTAGAGTTGTAACCACTATACATAAACAAGTATATGTTCTGCCTGTTTTTCTATTTATTTTAAATTTTTATTTATTTTTTTTGAGACAGAGTCTCACTCTATTGCCCAAGCTGGAGTGCAATGGCGTGATCTCAGCTCACTGCAACCTCCGCCTCCCGGGTTCAAGAGATTCTCCTGCCTCAGCCTCCCGTGTAGCTGGGATTACAGGCACGCGCCACAACACCTGGCTAATTTGTGTGTGTGTGTTTTTTTTTTTTTTTGGAGACGAAGTCTTGCTCTTGTCCCCCAGGCTGGAGTGCAATGGCGCGACCTTGGCTCACAGCAACCTCCGCCTCCCGGGTTCAAGTGATTCTCCTGCCTCCGCCTCCCAAGTAGCTGGGATTACAGGCGCCTGCCACCACACCTGGCTAATTTTTGTATTTTTAGTAGAGATGGGGTTTCACCATGTTGGCCAGGCTGGTCTTGAACTCCTGACCTCGGGTGATCTGCCCACCTCGGCCTCCCAAAGTGCTGGGATTACAGGTGTGAGCCACGGCGCTTGGCCTTGTGTATTTTTTTTTTTTTTTTTTTTTTTTGAGACGGAGTCTTGCTCTTTCGCCCAGGCCAGACTGCAGTGGCGCTATCTCGGCTCACTGCAAGCTCCGCCTCCCGGGTTCACGCCATTCTCCTGCCTCAGCCTCCCGAGTAGCTGGGACTACAGGCCCCCCTCACCGCGCCTGGCTAATTTTTTGTATTTTAGTAGAGATGGGGTTTCACCATGTTAGCCAGGATGGTCTCTATCTCCTGACCTTGTGATCCACCCTCCTCGGCCTCCCAAAGTGCTGGGATTACAGGCGTGAGCCACCGTGCCCAGCCGTGTATTTTTTTAAAAGTAGAGACGGGGTTTCAACAAGTTGGCCAGGCTGGTACTGCACTCCTGACCTTCGCCTTGGCCTCTGTTCTGCCTTTTGTTTGCACTTCCATTTAATGCCATTTGGTAAACATTTGGTCCATGTTGTCTATGGTCTTCATAGTTCCCACTTTCCATGACTGCTGAATGGTGCTCTGAGTTAATGGCTCCCAGCTTTCTTAGCCATTCCATTCCTCCATCACTGGGCATTAGGCTGTCTGTCTCCAGTCTTTTTTTTTTTTTTTTTTTGAGATGGAGTCTCCCTCTGTTGCCCAGGCTGGAGTGCAATGGCGTGATCTCGGCTCACTGCAACCTCTGCCTCCCAGGTTCAAGCCATTCTCCTGCCTCAGCCTCCTGAGTAGCTGGGATTACAGGCGCACACCACCAGGCCCAGCTAATTTTATTTTTTTATGTATTTTTTAATTTTTTTTTTTTTTGTATTTTTAGTAGAGACAGGGTTTCGCCATATTGGTCAGGCTGGTCTCAAACTCCTGACGTCGTGGTCCACCCGCCTCGGCCTCCCAAAGTGCTGGGATTACAGGCGTGAGCCACTGCGACTAGCCTGTCTCCAGTCTTTCGCTATTATGAATAAGGCTTCAACAAATACGTGTGTGACTTTTTTCGCCTTTGAAATAGTTCCACAGGGTTAAGTTCTAGGAGGTAAATCATATTCATTTAAATCACATTCATTTTAAAGCCATTATTTGAGGAAACTGAATCATATTCATTTTAAAACCATCATTCTTTTTTTTTTTTTTTTGGAGATGGAGTTTCACTCTTGTCGCCTGGGCTGGAGTGCAATGGCATGATCTCAGTGTGCTGCAACCTCTGCCTCCCAGGTTCAAGCAGTTCTCCTGCCTCAGCCTCCCTAGTAGCTGGGATTACAGGCACCCGCCACCATGCCTGGCTAATTTCTTTGTATTATTAGTTGAGATGGGGTTTCACCATGTTGGCCAGGCTGGTCTCAAACTCCTGACCTCAGGTGATCCACCTACCTCAGCCTCCCAAAGTGCTGGGATTACAGGCATGAGCCACCACACCTGGCCAAAACCATCATTTATTTTAAAGCCATTATTTGAAGAAATTTTGCTGGAGTTTCATGTACCGCAAGACCACCCCACCCTGGGACCATTTTGACTCTGAGCAGCTCTTGGATCAGAGTTTTGTAATGTTCCCCCTGCCTGGTGGCACCTAGTACCAATTGCTCAGTGGGAGGAAGGTCCTTCCCTCTTCTCTTTCCCAGCTCTTAATTTGGGCAAGATGGTAGCAAACATCAGAAGGTTGTCCTAGTGCCTGGCGGTGAGCCCATTGAGGTGTTATCTGGGGAAGATCTTTGGGGTGGGAGTCAAGAGACTTGGGCTCCAGCACCGCCCGGCTCCCTTGTGAGTTCTGTGGCCTTTGGCAAGTCACCTCTCCTGGTCCCAACAGCCTAATCAAGACCACTGGGTTGGATCCTCTCCCAGATGTCTACCATCTCTCAATCTCAGTGGGAGTCATGTGACACAGTGGGTGCTGCATTTTAGCACCCCAAGGAGTACATAAGAAAATCCACTGGGGCCAGGCGCAATGGCTCAAGCCTGTAATCCCAGCACTTTGGGAGGCCGAGGCAGGTGGATCCCCTGAGGTCAGGAGTTTGAGACCAACTTGGCCAACATGGTGGAACCCCGTCTCTACTAAAAAAAATACAAAAATTAGCCGGGTGTGGTAGCAGGTGCCTGTAATCCCAGCTACTCAGGAGGCTAAGGCAGGAGAATTGCCTGAATCTGGGAGGTGGAGGTACAGTGAGCCAAGAGTGCACCATTACATTCCAGCATGGGCAACAAGAGCGAAACTCTGTCTCAAAAAAAAGAAAGAAAAAGAAAATCCACTGGGATTTAGAAAGAACACACCAAAACTTGTGCACATGCGTGTGTGTGTGTGGTGTGTGTGTGTAAACTAAAACTTACTAATGCGTGGAATGACAATAGACATGAATATAACCTATAAAAATATATATGTGTGTAGATATATACACATATATGTATATACACAAATTACATATTCAGTGTTTGTCCTGTGATGCCCCCTACTTTTGATAGTACATTGCTGTTTAAGTGAATGGAGCCCTGGGGTGGGAATTAAACTCTGGCTTCAATCCATGACCTAGGGCAAGTCCCTTAATTTGGTCTTTCCATCTTGAAAGTATGATCCCTCCACACCCAGGTATTTTAAGGAGATATTTGACACAGATACATAAATGGTACAGGAGTCCTGATGGTGACATTTCATGTTCCCATCCTGGGTTTGTTTTTTTGTTTCTTTGTTTGTTTTTTTTTGAGACAGAATCTTGCTCTGTCACCCAGGCTGGAATGCAGTGGCGCGATCTCAGCTCACTGCAACCTCCACCTCCTGGGTTCAAGCGATTCTCCCTGCCTCAGCCTCCTGAATAACTGGGACTACAGGTGCACACCACCATGCCTGGCTGATTTCTGTGTTTTTAGTGGAGATGGGGTTTCACCATGTTGGCCAGGCTGGTCTCGAACTCCTGACCTCAGGAGATCCACCCGCCTCAGCCTCCCAAAGTGCTGGGATTACAGGTGTGAGCCACCACGCCCGGCCTTGTGTTTGGTTTTTGATTGTGGTTACTTAGGCTCAGAATATTACAGCAGTGAGCCTTAACCTCCTTGCGCACGCAGCACACTTCCAGATGCAAGGGCTTTTGAGCAGGGCACATGAAGGAGTTAAAAGATCCCCAAGAATACTAAAGTCAGCTAAAATCACAACACAGTCGGCATTGAAGTCCTGCCTGGAACATGTAACCACGTGTATCTAAGCGGTCACTGTTCTCGCCCATTCACTTAGCTGCCCTCAGCCCTGCCACAGTTTGAATGAAACACAGTCTTCCGCCTTCCCTGTGCTTTCCTATCTTTGCAGGGTAAGGCTGGTGAGTGTTCCAGAAAGTACTGGATTTTTCTCTGGTGACTAAAGCCAGAGTCCCTCACCTCTTAGAGTTGTGGCCCATGTCCCAGTGAGCCTCTTGCACAACCCCCTCCAGCGTGCTGTTCCATCTGACAAGCCTTGTGTAGCAGAATGCCACCTGTGTTTCGGCAAAGTGAAGTTCCGCCTAGGGGTAGGATGTCAGCCCCTCCTGTGAGAAGGGGCCGTGGCCTGCCAGGCAAAACCTGGGAAAGGATGGCCAGGACCAGAGGCTGCCCCTGGAAGGCCTGGAGTCCCATTTGATCCTGTCTTTTCTCTCCTCCCTGGTCTGGGCCCTCCACAATCCCGGGTGTCTCTACCTCCAAAACATGGCCTAAATGTCTCCCACTGTGTCCCCCTTCGCCAGACCCACATCCTGGTCTCCATCCTCTTTGACCTGCATTTCTGCAACAGCCTCCTGACTGAATTCCAGCTCCCCTCCTTCATTCCTCCAATGCCAGGACCTCCGGGAGCTTCCAGATACACAGATTGAATCACTCGCCTGCTTACAAACAGCCGCCGGTTTCCTTGTACACCTATAATGACCTCCAAACTCCTTACCTGGGCTGGGTGCGGTGGCTCATGCCTGTAATGCCAGAACTTTGGGAGGCCAAGGCGGGTGGATTGCTTGATGCCAGGAGTTCGAGACCAGCCTGGCCGACGTGGTGAAACCCCATCTCTAAAAACATAAAAAAATCGGCCAGGAGCAGTGGCTCCTGTAATCCCAGCACTTTGGGAGGCCGAGGCGGGCAGATCACCTGAAGTCAGGAGTTCAGGACCAGCCTAGCCAACATGGTGAAACCTGGTCTCTCCAAAAAATTCAAAAATTAACTGGGCATGATGGCAGGTGCCTGTAATAAAAACTAAAAACAAAACAGAACTCTTTATGTGGCCTGGTAGGGAGGGCTCTATGTAACCTGGGCCCTGGCTGCATGGATTTTTATTCTATTCCATAAATGCCACAAGCCTGTTCCTATACCCCGGCGTTTGCACGCGCCGTTCCCTCTGCCTGGGTCGCTTCTGACCCGGCTGGTTCCTTCTCATCATTTGGTTCTCAACTCATGATGCTCCTTCCTCAAGAGGGGCCTCCCCCAGACCCCCTGACTCCCACACCCACTCATACCACCCCTTTCCCTCCTTATACTGAGGAATATGAGATACCATTTATTTTATTTATAGGTTTACACCTCCATTCCCCACCCCCACCCCCCACACTCACACTACACACGTGCCCTGGGAAAACAGCGTGCTATTTTCACTGCTCTATCTCCAGGGCCTAGAAGAGTTTGTGAATATCAGTGGGTCTGCAGGAAGTCATGGAGTGAGTGACTGGATGATGAGTAATGGAACAAAGCCTCTTGTAGCCGATCCAGGTCACAACTAAAGTCATCGTGCACTAAAAGCCCTCTGCTATTCGGCCACATTGCCTGGACCTGGCATCGGGTGGTTGGTTAGAACAGCTAGGGGAAGGCCCTGCAGAGGGCATGCTGCCCAGCAGCAGTGGCGGAGGCAGTGGCAGTGGGCATTGAGGCATGTTGTGTACCCTGTATACCGGGGTGAACCGCAGGGCAGCTTCAGAGAGCGAGGCCTGCCTAGCTGCCCCATGAGAGCTCAGGTCTGGCGCCTGCCTCAAGCCAAGCTGCCAGGGACAGGCCACTGCCCGGTCACTTGGAGTGAGAAGTGTTGGTCCCGTCTGTCCTTCTGCTCTGGGTCTGCTGGGCTGGCCAAGCTGGGAGGGCCAGGGAGGATAGGCGAGGGGTCCAGGCAAGGGTGGTCTTCCGTAGTCTCAGGAACAGGGCTGAACTAAAGGTGTGGTTGCTGTGACCCAAGCAGGGGCCTGACCTTCTGGGGAGGGCTCCTCGTTCCCACCTTAAAGGAAGGTTCCGTGGTCAGTGGGCTGAGGGTAGAGGAATCTGTTCCTCCGGAGGCTCAGGAGAGCTAGGGAGGGCTGTGAGCTGTGATCCATTTTCCCTCTCCCTGCCAAGAAAGTGGGATGTGGTTTCTGGGGTGGGGTGGGGGTGTCCCGCCCAAGGCAGGCTATGGGGAGTGCCTGCCCCACGTTGGGCAGCCTATTTTAGCCACTTCCCCAGAGCTGAGTCACCATGCTTCTGAAAGCCCCGCCCAAAGCCACAATGCCCTGTGGCCTCCCAAACCATAGCTGCCCCCAGGACCTGCCCAGGCCTCTGGCGAGACTCCCACCACCTACTTTCTCTTAAACTCTATGATCCAGCTCGTCACCTCCAAACTGTTCTCTGTTAGAAGCTCAGAGTGACTCAAGGTCACTCAAGGCTGGTGAAACCAAGCTGTTGCTGACCCTCAATCCTGCTGGGTGGCCTGTCTAGTCTGAGCTCCAGACACCCAGGCCTCATCCCCAGTGTGGACTGCCAGGTACTGCAGCCCCCTCCTCGCTGGGGCAGTGGGACAGATGCGTGACTCCCTCTAGGCCCCAACTCTCTCAGGACCCTTCCTTGCTGGTTATTGAAGATGGCTTTCTACAAGCCACAAAGTCTCGTTCCCAACCCCCCAGGAAGCGAGACCGTGGCAGCAGGCAGCACTGGGTAGACCTGTCCCTGTCTTTCTGGGGTGTGGGGTTGAACAAGATCCTGGGGACCCCAGGGCTAGCCCAGGATGGCCGTGATTTCAGCTGAGTTTCCCTGCTGTCCCCTCTGACCTACCTCAATAGTTCTACCCGCAAGGATGTGCTGGGTGGTGTGGCTAATGGGATGCGGGGAGCTGTCCTCCCCTGTAGCCATCATGGCCAGGATATTTGGTCCCTTTGGGCAGCCACAGTGACCTGCAGCTTCTCTGGTGAGTCCTGGGGAGCCGGGTCTGTGGTTTCCCTTTCTTTCCTCTCTAATGAGCGTATAAGATCGGGAAACCACAGGACCTGACATCACTCACAGGGTCTGGGGGTTCCTGCCTTGGCGTTGAAACCCTTAACGCAGCTCTGGGGGCTCGTGCCGCCATGTTCTCACCCGGTTCTGACCATCCACACCCGCCTCCCTGCTTCTCTGTCTTTGTTGTTTACCTGGTGAGCATACCTGCTCTATCTTCACCTGTGTGTTCTCACTCAAGGCTGCTGTTTCTCAACTGGGGCAGTTTTGCCTCCTGGGGGACATTGGGCAATATCTTGAGACAGTTTTGCTTGTTGTGACTGGGGGGTGGATGCTACTGGCATCTAATGGGTAGAGACCAGGGATGCTGCTGAATATCCTACAGTGCACAGGGCAGGTCCACCTCCCGATGAGAAATTATCTGGCCCAAATAGCAACAGTGTGGAACCTGCTCTAGGATTACACAAGAACCTTCTTGAAGCAGCTGTTGGGTACCCCCTTCTCTGTACCCTGCCGGCCAGCAGTGGGGAGGAGCACTCAGTGGTCGGTGGTCACTGACCAGCAATGCCGCCGCCAGAGCTGGAGAAGGGCCTGGAGTGGAGCGGAGAGAGCTCTGGACTCAAAGACCCAGTTTCTAGCCCAGCTCTGTTGCTTTGGGCTAAAAACCTGGATAAATCACTTTCCTTCAATAAACTTGTTTCCTCATCCATAAAGTGAAAGTGCTGCACTGAATATCCCCTCCAGTTCTTTGAGATTCCTGGATGCTGTGCGTAGAGCCAGGAGTCGGGGTGCAGGCAGGTGGAAGATGGGGTCCCCTCCGTTCCTGACTGGTGTCCCTGCTGGTGGCAGTAGAAGCCTGAAGGATTTGCCAGGAACGAGAGTTCGTTTGAAGCTTGGCCTTTTTCCCTTCTATGCCCAACGTGACTGAGGCAGAGTCTACCTTCTCTTTTTCTTTTTCTTTTCTTCTGCTGCTTCTTTTTCTCTTTCTTTCCTTCCTTGCTTTTCTTTTCCTTTCTTCCTTTCTTCTCTTCCTTTCCTTTCCTTCTTTCCTTTCTTTTTCTTTCTCTCTTTCTTTTTTTCTTTCCTTATTTCCTTTCCTTCCTTCCTTTCCTTCCCCTCCCTTCCTCCCTCCCTTCCTCCCTCCCTCCCTTCCTCCCTTCCTGTTTTCTTCAGAGTTTTGCCTAGGAGCCCATGGCTGGCCAAGAGGGTCATATATGATATTCAGGAGTCAGCAAACTACAGTCCATGGGCCAAACCCAGCCTGCGTTTGCTTTTGTAAATAAAGATGTGGCTTTTTGGTGGTTTTTTTTCTTTTACTGGTTTATTACAAAAGATACGACTCAGGAACAGCCAAACGGAAGAGCTGCATGAGGATGCGTGGGGTCAAGTGTTGGGGTGGGGGGCAGGGCACGCACCACCTTCCTGGCACCTCGATCTGCTCACCAACCCAGAAGTTGTCTGTAAATAAAATGTTATTGGAACATAGCCATGCCTACTTGTTTACATGTTGCTATGGCTCCTTTCTTTCTTTTTTTGATTTTGTGTAGAGATGGGGTCTCACCGTGTTGCCCAGGCTGGTCTGGAACTCCTGGGCTCAACTGATCCTCCTGCCGTAGCCTCCCAGAGTGCTGGGATTACAGTTGTGACCCACTGTGCCCGGCCAACGGCTAGTTTTATACTAAGAAGACAGTTGAGTAGCTGTGACAAAAACCCTATCAGCCACAAGGCCGAGAATATTTACTCTCTGGCCCTTTGCAAAAAGTGTTTGCTGACCTTTGGTCTAGCGGTTCAATGTCTAATTGTTTAGAGGTTGAGGTGGGGCAGGAGGGTGGGGCCCAGAGATAATCCAAGTTAGAGTTAGGGGAAGGTCACTTTCCTAAGGGTAGGGAGGAGAGAGAGCTGACCTATGACCCAGAGTAGAGTATCATCTCAAGGCATCCCTCACGTCCTCGCCCACGTCACTGTGTGGCAAGTCTGCCAGGTGCCTGGCTCCCCCTCCCTGCCCGAGAGAACTTTGTGTTTGCTGGAATGATAAGCGGTATGGCGTGGGCACTGGGAGGGGGGACATTGCTGGTGGGGGAAGCCATGAGGCTGGGCAGCAGAGGCTTGAGAGAACAGGGAAGCGGATGGGGGTGAGGATGCAGAGAGGTCAGGCTGGGAGCCCTGGAGCCAGGCTGTGGGCAGAAGGGGAGGAGAGGAGGGAGGTGCTGGACTTCCAGTGGGTGCTTGGAGGCGGTTGGAGGCGGACCATGTGTCACACCCTGCTGGACCAGACTCGGTGGTAAACAGACCTGTTAAAACCCTCTGGATGGACCAGGCGCGGTGGCTCACGCTGATCCCACGTCCTGATCCCAGCACTGGGAGGCCGAGGTGGGTGGATCACCTGAGGTCAGGAGTTCGAGACCAGCCTGACCAACATGGTGAAACTCCATCTCTATCTCTACTAAAATTACAAAAAAAAAAAAAAAATAGCTGGACGTGGTGGTGTGCACCTGTAAATCTCAGCTACTCAGGAGACTGAGGCAAGAGAATCGCTAGAACCCGGGAGGCAGAAGTTGCAGTGAGCCAAGATCATGCCATTACACTCCGGCCTGGGGGACAGGGCGAGAATCTGCCTCAAAACCCTAGAAGTTTGTACTGCAGTGGGAAGATGAGAGTCCAGCCAGCAGGGACAGAATAATGTAGCCAGTATCTGCTGGAAGAGGGGACATCTCCCAAAGTGCCGTGGGGGGCAGGTGGTGGCTAAAGGTTTCCTGGGAGTAGTGATGTGTCCCAGCTGAGCCCTGAAGGATGCTGGGTGTGGCAGGGGTTGCATTGGGGAACTGTTTGTATCCACTGCAGCTCAGGGGATAGATCAGGGTACAAAAGTAGGGGACACTGAGGAGCGAGGTGGGGACTAGTCATTGGATCAAGGGGTCTGCACTGGGTAGGGCGTCATGTGGATGGGTTTTGTTTTAGCCAAGAGGTGAAGGATGGACAGGAGGGAGACCAACAGGGAGACCTGTCAGGCTGATGTCAGGGGCCAGGTGGGGTGTGGTGGGCTTGTGTGACGCAGCGGCAGGCATGCGGAGGAAGCACCCAGCATCTGAGTTTTGCAGTGGGAAGAGTGGGTCTGGACTGGGGGTGCCTCTCAGAACTGTGCTGCTGGCTGGACTGGGAGGCAGGCAGGTACCTGGTGTCCAAGCATCACCTCTCACCCACCATACTTTGTTAAATCCCTGCACCCATCTCTCCCCAACCTGCCCAGCTCTGCTGGGCTTAGTATTTGGGGCAAGCCCCTCTAGGGAAGAGAGGGGCTGGTTTGGCCCCAATGCTGAACTTCAACTTGGCCCTTGTCAGGAGCTGTGAGAGTGGTGCCTCCAGGCTCCTGGGCTCTACCTCTGCTGTTTTTTGGATTTCTGGTGAATCACCTAGGAATCAGTCTGCAGATCCTGGGGGGACGAAGTCATTTAGGGTCCAGTCCCTGCCTCCCACTCCCCTAATGATGAAAGAAACTGGAAGTTGCCCAATCTTGATCTCCCCGAGACACCAGAAGGTGGACCCTCAGCAAAGAGCCTGGGGCTCCACAGTGGAGACGTCACAGGCGGGATCCTCATTTATGGGATACCAAGCGAAGGCTGAAAGGCTGGGGAGCTGGTTCTGTGGGTCCCAGCAGCCCCACCCCAGTTCTGATTCAGAAAGAGGACTGTGCCGCCCACGCAGGGGGAGGAGCTGGTCAGCCTCTGTCTCCCTGAGCCCGTCCTGTCCTTTCCCTTCTCTCTCTGAGGACCAGGACTCAGGGTGGGGTGTCCACTAACTCCACAGGGATCGAGGTTAGACAGCAGGAAGAACTTACAGCACATCTCCAGGCTGACTGTTCATAGGAGCCAACTCATAGACTCCATCTCTTCCCTGGCTTGCTGCCTGGAATTGCTGGATTTACCTTCGCGTCCTTAAATGTGGTCATGTTTACTCTGGCAGCATCCTGGCTTGCAGGGGCAGGGGAGGCATTGTCTTCTGCAAGAAAGGTTCTGTCTCTCTCAAGTTTCAGGGAAAGTGTGTCCGAGGCTACTGGAACTCTAACCAGATTTGCAAAATCACTCCTCTACTCTGAATGCCTGCGGATGAAGAAACAGGCAGGGTTATACCATGGATTGCTGGCTTATTTCACAGCATTTAACTTTGGTAGGAGCGCTGGGGTTTAAATGACAGTCCCCTGGCAAAGAGGCTTTTGTGCCGTGTGGCCAGCCCGCGTTAATCCTTTGCCTCTCATTCTCTGCTTGCAGCCTTATGATCTCCTCATTGCGTCCCCCTCTGCCCACTGGACTTGGACTTCAGATCTGACCCCAGACCTGCCGGCTACCTCGGGAGGGCCCACCTCCCCGCCCATCCAGCAAGATGCCAATCCTCAAGCAACTGGTGTCCAGCTCGGTGCACTCCAAGCGCCGTTCCCGAGCGGACCTCACGGCCGAGATGATCAGCGCCCCGCTGGGCGACTTCCGCCACACCATGCACGTTGGCCGGGCCGGAGACGCCTTTGGGGACACCTCCTTCCTCAATAGCAAGGCTGGCGAGCCCGACGGCGAGTCCTTGGACGAACAGCCCTCTTCTTCATCTTCCAAACGCAGTCTCCTGTCCAGGAAGTTCCGGGGCAGCAAGCGGTCACAGTCGGTGACCAGGGGGGAGCGGGAGCAGCGTGACATGCTGGGCTCCCTGCGGGACTCGGCCCTGTTTGTCAAGAATGCCATGTCCCTGCCCCAGCTCAATGAGAAGGAGGCCGCGGAGAAGGGCACCAGTAAGCTGCCCAAGAGCCTGTCATCCAGCCCCGTGAAGAAGGCCAATGACGGGGAGGGCGGCGATGAGGAGGCGGGCACGGAGGAGGCAGTGCCCCGTCGGAATGGGGCCGCGGGTCCACATTCCCCTGACCCCCTCCTCGATGAGCAGGCCTTTGGGGATCTGACAGATCTGCCTGTCGTGCCCAAGGCCACGTACGGGCTGAAGCATGCGGAGTCCATCATGTCCTTCCACATCGACCTGGGGCCCTCCATGCTGGGTGACGTCCTCAGCATCATGGACAAGGAGGAGTGGGACCCCGAGGAGGGGGAGGGTGGTTACCATGGCGATGAGGGCGCCGCTGGCACCATCACCCAGGCTCCCCCGTACGCCGTGGCGGCCCCTCCCCTGGCAAGGCAGGAAGGCAAGGCTGGCCCAGACTTGCCCTCCCTCCCCTCCCATGCTCTGGAGGATGAGGGGTGGGCAGCAGCGGCCCCCAGCCCCGGCTCAGCCCGCAGCATGGGCAGCCACACCACACGGGACAGCAGCTCCCTCTCCAGCTGCACCTCAGGCATCCTGGAGGAGCGCAGCCCTGCCTTCCGGGGGCCGGACAGGGCCCGGGCTGCTGTCTCAAGACAGCCAGACAAGGAGTTCTCCTTCATGGATGAGGAGGAGGAGGATGAAATCCGTGTGTGAGGCGGACAGTGGGTGGCCACCGGGAGCTCTTGGCTGCATCTTCTCCCTGCCCCCACCCCACTATGACCTTTGACCCTACGGCGCAGGGGCAGCCAGGACCCTTGATTCAGACCATGGACCCTGGACCTTGTAGATGAGGGACACTGGCCTGGCCCTCGGGTCTTCGGAGGACGTAGGGGGCTGGCATGGGTGCCGACTGGCTGCCTGACTTCATCATGCTCCCTGCACTTAGGCTGCGTGGGACAAGGGCTGTGTTGTCACAGCAGGAATAGGTTTTCCTCTGTTGGCCTCCCTTTCCTCCACCCTGGCCTCAAATGGATGCCAGATGCCAACCCCAGTTCTGGCCACGTACAGCCAGCGGGTCAGCCCAGAGGCAGCCTCAGCTCCAGGGCTAAGGACTCTCGGCTCCCATTTTCTCTGCTGGCGTTTCTGCTGTGCCCAGCAGTGGCTGCTGGGGAAGCAGCTGCAGCAGGAGGGAGACGGTCTTGCCTCTCAGCCCCTCCCTGCCCCACCCCAGCTCCTGCCCTGGAAATCTGGAGCCCCTTGGAGCTGAGCTGGACGGGGGGCCAGCTGCGAGCATGTGCACTAAACGCAGCCCTTTCCAGGGGAAGAGAACAGGATGGAGAATGGAAGGAAAGCCCCCCAGGCTTCGTGAATTGCAAGAAGGGACCCTTCCAGGATGACACTAGGAACAGGGCTAGGGCACTCGCTCAGTCCCTAGGGGCTTGTTTGTTCTTTATTATTGTGTTTAAATCCTTATAGAGCAATATCAGGATGGTGTTAATAGGTCTGCCTCAGAATGAGAATCAATCCTTTTAGAAAACCTTTATACTAAGCCTCCTCTTCAAAATTCACAGTGGCGATTAGCGGACTGGAGTCTGGTGGCGATTAGCGGACTGGAGTCTGGGGACATCCGTGGCAAAGACACCAGCTCAACTTTAGTGCTTCCCAACTTTATTTAGAATGACATGGGGTGGGTGTCTGGTGTGTGTGTTTTCCCTACGCACCTCCCATAGCTATTAACAACTGAGGAAGGCCAGTGCAGAATATTTTTGGAGAACGATTTTTTTTTTAAATAATATATCATTCCTATGGGGGGAAAGCCTTTTTTTTCTTTTTGGCTGAGTTATTCCCTCCCTCCCCTCAATACCCTCAGTACTGACTACTTCCCTTTCTTTTCTCAGGCCTCCCCCCACCGACTTTTGAGGCCAGGGTTGGCCAGATTTAGCAAAACCAAAACAGAGTGCTGAGTTAAACGCAAATTTCAGGTAAACAAAAGATAATTTTCTAGCATTAATATGCCCCACGCAATATTTGGAACACTTATGTGAAAAATGATTTGTTTTTCTGAAATTCACGTTTCTCTCTGAGTCCTGTAACTGTCCCCGAGGGGATTGAGCAGAAGCTCGGGTATGAGCCCTGAGGTTGACTGCCGGTTATTTTTCTGTCCTGGGAACAGCCTGACCCACCTCCCTGTCTCCATGTAGCCAGTGAGGGGAGGGGGAGACACAGAACCAACCACAGCCAGGGGCGTCCCCATGGCGACTGTGGCCCGGCCCCTCCTCTCTTGCCTGACTCTCCTCTCTTGCCTGACTCTAGACACTAACTTAGTTCCAGGTTCGGTGCCCTGTTGGTGCTCCTGTTTCCAATAGCTTAGGTCCCATGGTGGGGGAGGAACCTCAGGGGCTATGCAGCCCCCGCCAGCTGCCCTCGAATCCCGTCCAGGCCAATTCCAGATTCTAAACTGATTTTTTTCATGATATTGTCAAAACAGTGAGGAAACATTAAAAAAAAAGCCCTAAAGCACGCCTGGTGTCTGTCTCTGCTTTTTGGGAGGGCTATTTCAGGATGGGGGTGGGGTCTGGACCCAGGTCCTAGAGCTGTCCAGGGGGGCCTGAGGTGGCTTCTGTCTCTCTGTCCGTGAGGACCCGCCCTTCCTGCGATGCTGTCTGCCTGGGCAGGCCCCTTCAGAGTCTGGGGACTCAGGTGTCCCTAACTGCCATCTCTTGGAAGCCCTTGGCACTTGGTCGCTTAGCTGTTCTGTGCCTCCCTCTCCTGCTCTGTAAAATGGGTATCCTGCCACTCTTAGAGGGTTGAGGCACAGAAACAGTGACATGGGCTTTTTGTGGGGGAGGGGGTTGGTTTTTTGTTTTTTTTTGTTTTTTTTTTTTGTTGTTGTTGTTTTGTTTTTTTTGAGATGGAGTCTCACTCTGTCGCCCAGGTTGGAGTGCAGGGGTGTGATCTCAGCTCACTGCAACCTCCGCTTCCTAGGTGCAAGCGATTCTCCTGCCTCAGCCTCCCAACTAGCTAGGATTACAGGCGTGCGCCACTACACCCAGCTAATTTTTGTATTTTTAGTAGATACTGGGTTTCACCATGTTGGCCAGGTTGGTCTCCAACTCCTGACCTCAAGTGATCCGCCCACCTTGGCTTCCCAAAATGCTGGGATTACAGGTGTGAGCCACCGTGCCGGTCGACATGGGCTTTTTATACAGTTGTGATTAGGATGAGAGTGACTGTGTTCTCCCCAGCCCCCTGGTGTCCTGGTGCACGGAACTGTCACCACCAGAAAGTGGCTGGCCCTGAAGGCAGTTTCTGCATGATGCTGGGAGCGGGGCTACCACCTCCTCTTTCCCCTTTTACCGTTAAGCCTGGAAAATCAGCTTACAAGTGGCAGGTCCTCAGTTCAACCTCACTTCTCAGGGAGATAGAAGCTCCACATCCCCATTTTCCAGATGGAGAAAGATGATCAGATAAGCCTCGAGGCCGCCTTCTCTAATGCCCAGAATTCATTCAAAACTCCTGCCCTTCTCACCCCACCACTCCTGGGCACATCAAAACCTCGGGATATAAAGTCAGGGGGTGAGGGTCTAGTGGCCCCTGAACCCACTGCCCTGCCCCTGCCCTACCACCTCCTTCCCTTGAATCATGTTCCCCTCTTTCTGGACAGCTTCAGAAGGGAGCCCTGGTCTGCGTAGGGCTGGCTCACTGCTTGTTGAAGCCCCCGCTTGCTCTCAGGAAATCTGGGGAAATCTTGGGGATCTCAATGTGGCTGAGTTCCTGGTGGAAACCCTGCACTCTCCCCTGAGCACCCACAGAGAAATGTGAGTTCCCCACTCATCTCCCTGGAAAGCAATTAGAGGCATAATTAAAATGTCACTCAGGTCCCTCCCTCTGTCCCTAGACAGGCTCATTCGTGTGGGAGTTATGAGCGGGGACTTCTGGCTGCCCCAAGGGAAGAAGAGAGAGGGAGGAGAGCTGGGGCCCATTGGGAGACGGGTCCCTAGGGGCTACAGTCTAGCTCAGGGATGACTGGGGAGAGGAAGGTACTGTTCAGGCGAGGACCAGGCAGATGAGAAGGGGCTGTGCCTCCCAGACACAGTGCAACCTCCCAAGAGAGAGAAATGACTGTACCTACACCGACTAACCAGGGACTCCCTAGGGGCCCAGAGAAACCAGCCGCCCCGAGCCCCAGAATCTGTTTCTTGACCATTGATGGAAAAGCTCTGAGCATTCAAGAAGACCCGGGGACCTGGCTTGATTCACAGCTTTAAGGAGCATACCTTCTGGCTGGGGGTTCAGTGGACCCAGGAGACAAGGATGAGATGAACACGCAGAACCAGCCAGGCCACAGAGCTCTGTTAAGATTTGCTGGGAGCCAGGCGCCGTGGCTCACACCTGTAATCCTAGCACTTTGGGAGGCTGAGGCAGGAGGATCCCTTGAGACCAAGAGTTTGAGATCAACTTGGGTAACAGCGAGACAACATGTCTACCAAAAAATAATTTTTTTTTTTTGAGATGGAATCTCGCACTGTCGCCTGGGCTGGAGTGCAGTGTCACGATCTCAGCTCACTGTAACCTCCGCCTCCCAGGTTCAAGCAATTCTCCTGCCTCAGCCTCCCGAGTAGCTGGGATTATAGGCGCCCACCACCAGGCCCAGCTAATTTTTTGTAATTTTAGTAGAGACGGGGTTTCACTATCTTGGCCAGGCTGGTCTCGAACGCCTGACCTCATGATCCACACACCTCGGCCTCCCAAAGGGCTGGGATTACAGCCATGAGCCACCGCAGCCAGCCAATAAATAAATTTTTTAAAAAAGATTTGCTGGGTAGCCTTGGGCCAGTTATTTTCTCGCTCCAATTGGCTTCAGTTTCTCCATCTTTAAAATTAGGCAGTAGCTCAGTTGTTTTCAACTTTTTACCAGAAGCTTTGTTTGCAATGAGGTCATGCTATTTTTTTTAATTGATTTTTTTTTTTCTTTTCCGAGAACGGAGTCTCGCTCTGTTGCCCAGGCTGGAGTGCAGTGGTGCAATCTTGGCTCACTGCAGCCTCCACCTCCCGGGTTCAAGCAATTCTCCTGCCTCAGCCTCCTGGGTAGCTGGGATTACAGGTGCACGCCACCACACCCGGCTAATTTTTGTTTGTATTTTTAGTAGAGACGGGGTTTCATCATGTTGGCCAGGCTGATCTCAAACTCCTGACCAGGTGATCCGCCCACCTCGGCCTCCCAAAATGCTGGGATTACAGGTGCGAGCCACTGCACCCAGCCTTTTATAATTGATTGATTATTCATTTATATATTTATTTATGAGATGAGGTCTTATGTTGCCCAGGCTGGTCTCAAAATCCTAGCTTCAAGCAATCCTCCCACCTTGGCCTCCTCCCAAAACTCTGGGATTACTGACGCAAGCCACCACACCTGGCCTCATATGAGGTCATACTTTGAACCTCTATGGAGGCTGAGCCAGAGCTTCCCTGGGTGGGGTTGGATTTGGGGGGTCCTTACTCTTTCCCCGTTGGTCTCTGAGGTTCACCTGAGAAACCTAGGGCCCCGCAGGGCACTTCTTGCTTTAAAGATGTTCTGTGGGCCCTTTCTGTCTAAAGGAACCAGGAACTACTTCTGGGTAATAATTTGGTCATTTAAATTCAGATCTCAGTCACCATTTTCCAAAATGGGATGGGACCCAAAGCCTTCTGGCCCGATGATGTCCTGGCACCAGCCCCGCCACCTGCCCCAGCGGGTCCAGAGCATCTCCCTCCACGTCCCCCATGTGGATAGGGCTGTGCGCCCGTTTACTGGGCACACGCCGCTCTGCACCGCTGTGATACGGGCCATATGTCTTAGCAGCTATGACCGCCATATGCTAGGCATTGTTCTTTGCATTGGCCTCAGTTCATTCTCATAACAATTCCGTGAGGTCCATGCCATTCATATCACCCCCATTTTACAGGGGAAGCAGCTAGAGGTGAAAGAACCAGCCCACCCCACAGGTCTAGGAAACAGAGGAGCTGGACATGGAATGACAAGGTGGGGCCGGTGGCCTGGCTTGGCCAAGCAGCACAGAGACGGGGCTATCAGCCTCTCAGAGTGGGGCATGCCCATCTCCCACGGTTCTGTGTGCCCAAGGGAAGTGTCAGGGAGGCACTGGCTGCTCCAGCCCCCTTCAGCGGCAGCTGCTGCTTCCCATAGGTCACCTCTGCCCACCAGGCGGCCAAGGCCCTGCCCTTCTCAGGGTTGCTCTGCCTGGCCTCTGGCTCTGCTGGGCAGGACCAGGGCTCTGGGTTGGGCCCCTTGCCTCTCAAGCCTGCAGCCTCGGGCCTGTGCTCCTGCTGGCATCCAGGCTACTCCTGCGTGGTGTCCATCTTTGACCCCAGAGTTACACACGCCCAGCCACTCCTCCTCTCTCCACCAAGGTGGCACCACATTCCCAGAAGAAAGTAGAACAAAGGGACAGAGGCTGTCAGGACACATGAAGGCAGCAAGGGATTCTCAGGATCCTCAAAGTTTAGGATCTAGTTTCCTCTCCCTGCTCATTTTATTTTACTTTATTTATTTATTTTATTTTATTTAGACGGAGTCTTGCTCTATCACCCAGGCTGGAGTGCAGTGGCATGATCTCGGCTCACTGCAACCTCTCCCTTTCAGGTTCAAGCGATTCTCCTGCCTCAGCCTCCCGAGTAGCTGGGACTACAGGTGCCTGCCACCACACCCGGCTAATATTTGTATTTTTAGTAGATATGGGGTTTCACCGTGTTAGCCAGGCTGGTCTTGAACTCCTGACCTCAAGTGATCCGCCTGCCTTGGCCTCCCAAAGTGCTGAGATTACAGGCATGAACCATTGTGCCTGGCCCCTGCTCATTTTAGAGATAGGAAGACTGAGGCTGGGAGGACAAGAGATTAGCTAAAGTCCCACGAGTAGAGCAGAGCAGAGCAGAGCAGGTGGAATTCTCTGGGCTGGCCTGGGTGCTGCAGCCTGGGAGGTGAGGGACAGGTTGAGGGATGGCGTGAGCAGCAGACTGCGTGCAGAGCTGGGAGTGGTATAGCTGCAGGGGTGGCTGGAAGATCCCTGAACGCAGGGCGAGATGGAGGGGTGGGACTTTCCAGGTGTGTGTGGCACTCCCCACCCCTGCCTGGCTCCCCTCGACCCTCATATGACAGACTCCCCAAGGCCCCCACTCCCTCCACACTTGGGCAGGTGCCCTTCCTGGCCACCCTTCACCCGCAGCACTTAACACGTACACGATCTTTCCCTGAGCCCTGAGGGCCCTGATTTAAGATGCCAGAAATAAAAGTTAGGAATGAAAATGGGAGACCTTATCTTTATTCTTCCCCTTTCCGATCTCCTCTAGGCCCCGTGGCTTCCTGCCAACAGACAGATGGGAGACTGGGAAGAATATTTTGGTGGGAGGGAGTGGTGCTTGCAGGCAGATGGATACTGGCTCTACCTCTAAAACCTGTTGCTCTAACCTACTGAGCTGCTGTTCTCCACAGAGACTCCCAGGAGAGATAGGAGGAGCCAAGGATAGCTGCCTTCCCTGGCCAGAATCCAACCCTAAATGACACTTGGCATGTTAAAACACACTTGTCAAGGCCACAGGGTTCTGATGAATCTTGTTTTCTTCTTCTGCCCTGCTTTCTTCCAAAAAGGATTAGAGGCAGCTTACAAAAATTCATAAAATACAATAGGATAAAAATAGATCAGAGAGAAAACAACACTGGAACACATGGTACAATGAACCAAGAGGGTAGGACACAGAAATGTTCTTTGGCTGGGGCTCCACAATCCTCAAAGGTGGACTGCAAACAGGATTCTGAGCTTCGTATCAGTCAAAACAAAGAGGGAAATCTGCCGGTTTTGAGACTCACAAAGTCCACAAGATTAAAACCAACCCTGGCCGGGTGCAGTGGCTCATGCCTGTAATCCTAGCACTTTGGGAGACCAAGGCGGGTGGATCACATGAGGCCAGGAGTTCGAGACCAGCCTGGTCAACATGGTGAAACTCCGCTTAAAATTAGCTGGGCGTGGTGGCAGACACCTGTAATCCCAGCTACTAGGGAGACTGAGGCAGGGGACTCACCTAAGCCTGGGAGGTGGAGGTTGCAGTGAGCCGAGATTGTGCCACTGCACTCCAACCTGGGCAACAGAGCAGGATTCTGACTCAATTAAAAAGCAAAATAAAACACTCAACCTAGAAGCAGCGCAGCTATTTCTGACACTAAAGTCTGAGAGGAATTCTCGTGGGACCTTTGAAGGGATGACGGGTAGTGTCCCAAGCAACACCGTCAACGACAGTCCTTTTTTGTTTTAGAGACAGGGTCACTCAGTCTTGCTCCGTCTCCCAGGCTGGAGTGCAGTGGCGTGATCTCGGCTCACTGCAACCTCCACCTCCCGGATTCAAGTGATTCTCCTGCCTCAGCCTCGCGAGTAGCTGGGACTACAGGCTCACGCCACCACACCTGGCTATGTTTTGTATTTTTTGGTAGAGACAGGGTTTCACTGTGTTGGCTGGGTGGGTCTCAAACTCCTGACCTCAAGTGATCTGCCTGCCTCGGCCTTCCAAAGTGCTGGGATTACAGGTGTGAGCCACCGTGCCTGGCAAATTTTTGTTGTTTATAAGCCACCCAGATTGTGGAATATTGTTTATAGCACTCCAAATGGACTAAGTAAGACACAGATACAGTCACACAAACCCTATCAGCTGCTTTCTACAGAGTTACTCAGGATAAATTGAGGGTTTGATACCAAGGCACAGATCAGTAAAACCCACTCTATGGAGGGCCAGACCCACATGATCCAAGAGGCACAATTTAGATCCTCCCAGAGGAGGGTTTCTCAACCCAACACTATTGATATTTGGGGCTGGCTCATTCATTGTTACTGGGGACTGACCTGCGCACTGTAGTGTGTTTGCAGCATCCCTGGCCTCCGCCTGGTAGATGCCAAGCACTCCCTCAAATTGTGACAGTGGAAAATGTCCTCAGACCGGGCTCGGTGGCTCATGCCTGTAATCCCAGCACTTTGGGAGGCCGAGGCAGTTGGATCACTTGAGCCCAGGAGTTCAAGACCAGGAGTTCAAGACCTGGCCAACATGGTGAAACCAGATCTCTACAAAACATATAAAAAATTAGCCAGGTGTGGTTGTGTCCACCTAGTGCTCCCAGCTACTGGGGAGGCTGAGGTGGGAGGATGGCTTGAGCCCAGGAGGTTGAGGCCGCAGTGAGCCGTGATCACACCATGCACTCCAGCCTGGGCAACAGGGTGAGACCCTGTCTCAAAAAAAAAAGTCCCCTGACATTGCCAAATGCCCTATTAGGGGCTGAAAACCACTGCTCATAAAGGAGGAGTGAGCCACTTTCTTAAAAGGTTGGTGCAAAAGTAATTGAGGGTTGGGTACGGTGGCTTACGCCTGTAATCCCAGCACTTTGGGAGGCCAAGGAGGGCGGATCATTTGAGGTCAAGAGTTCGAGACCAGCCTGGCCAACATGGCAAAACCCTGTCTCTGCTAAAAATACAAAAATTAGCTGGGCGTGGTGGCGCAAGCCTATAACCACAGCTACTTGGGAGGCTGATGCAGGAGAGTTGCTTGAACCCGGGAGGCGGAAGTTGCAATGAGCCAAGATCATGCCACTGCACTCCAGGATCTGTCTCAAAAAAAAAGAAAAAAAAAAGATGTAATTGCATTTTTTGTCGTTAAAAGTAATGGCAAAATATAAAGACCAATTTAAGACAAATAAAAGTGTTTTCAGGGCCGGGCATGGTGGCTCATGCTTGCAATCCCAGCACTTTGGGAGGCTGAGGCAGGCGGATCACAGGGAGTTTGAGACCAGCCTGACCAACATGGCGAAACCCCGTCTCTACTGAAAATACAAAAATTCGCCGGAAGTGGTGGTGTGCGCCTGTAATCCCAGCTACTCATGAGGCTGAGGCAGGAGAATCGCTTGAACCCGGGAGGCAGAGGTTGCAGTGAGCCGAGGTCGTGCTACTGCACTCCAGCCTGGGCAGCAGAGTGAGACTCTATCTCAAAAAAAAAAAAAAACAAAAATAGTTTTTAGGTCACATTCTTTTCTTCAAAGCAAAAAAAAAAAAAAAAAAAAAAAAAAATTTATGCAGTCCCTTGAGGAAAAATGTATATACTTACATTTTTTAATTGCCTGCTTGATTGAGAAAATTGATACTTCCTATTAGCCAGTAAAATGTTTCTACATGGGTATACTTGAGAAGTGGCTGTACCAAGGCAGCTTTCTAATTTTTCATCCTGAAGTCAGATCGAGGATTGTATTGAGAAGGTGGCATGGGCCAGAGGGCTTCTCCTTGCAGATCTAGAGTAGTGAGAGGACTGTGTCATCTCCTGGCTGACTTGAAGACAATCCTGCATCAATATCATTTCTCACAACCGTGGTTCTTCCCCAACCCTCCACCAAATCTGGGCTGACTGCAGAGAGTTTGCTGTTGTATTCTCTGAAAAAAAGAAAACTATAGTGCAGATTCCTTTATTCATCAGATATGTACTGAGCCCCTGCCATGCTCCAAGTACTCTGGGATGTGTTGGGAGGTATAACAGTAGGCAAAGCCAACACAGTCCCAGGGTGGCACTGTAAGTTGTGTGGACCCCTTCCTCCATAAAAATTGTGAAAATTATATTTATGACTCTGCTGCTATAAACCTACAGGTTTGCATATTTTCTTCTGTTTGTTGTTTTTTTTTTTTTTTTTAGAGGGAGTCTCGCTCTGTTGCCCAGGCTGGAGTGCAGTGGTGCAATCTTGGCTCACTGCAACCTCTGTCTCCTGGGTTCAAGCAATTCTCCTGCCTCAGCCTCCCGAGTAGCTGGGATTACAGGTGCGCCCCACCATGCAGGGCTAATTTTTGTATTTTAGTAGAGACAGGGTTTCACCATGTTGGTCAGGCTGGTCTCGAACTCCCGACCTCGTCATCTGCCCGCCTTGGCCTCCCAGAGTGCTGGGATTGCAGGTGTGAGCCACCACGCCCGGCTATTTTCTTCTGATTTTCAAATAAATTAGAACACGTTTGTGGGCCCCTAAAAGGGCAGAGGGCCCTGGCACTGTGTCTACTGAACTGTTGCCGAAGTCACCCGGATGGGCCTTGGCCTTAAGGGTTTGGGTTGGAGGGCTTGGGAAACAGACACTCAACAAGCAAGAAGATAAGTAAAAGCAGCAAACATGGTACTGATTTGAAGGAAACACACATCTAGATGCTGGGAGGGAGACTAACGCTCAGAGGGAGAATAACCCGGGGCCTCACTTTGGATAAGGTCACTGGGGGCTGGGTGTGGTGGCTCACGCCTGTAATGCCAGCATCTTGGGAGGCCAAGGTAGGAGGATTGCTTGAGCCCAGGAGTTTGGGCAACATAATGAGACTCCATTTCTGCAAAAAATAAGCTAGCTGGGCGTGGTGGTGCATTCCTGCAGCCCCAGCTACTTAGGAGGCTGAGGTGGGAGGATCACTTGAGCCCAGAAGTTGAGGCTGCAGTGAGCCATGATTGTACCACTGTACTCCAGCCTGGGGTACAGAGTGAGACCCTGTCTCACAGGTCATGGGGGGTAGGTGCTCCCTGAAGAAGTGGCATTTAAATCAGACTCAGAGGATGAGGAGTCCGGGAGGTGAATGGCGGGGACAAGCATGTTTAGAGAACCAAAGATTCACCTAGCTTTTGGCCTGAGTGTCTGGGCAGTTTCACTTTTTCTGAGCAGGAAAGACTGAGGGAAGAATGGATTTGGGGGAGTTTGAGTTTGATCTCAGATACATGGAAGCTGATTCAAATGGAAATGGCAAGCTGTTGTGAAGCGAGTGTTATGGACCAAATGTTTGTGTCCTCTCAAAACTCACACACAGAACCCTTAATCCCAATGTGATGGTATTAGGACTTGGAGGTCTTTGGGAAGTGATTAGGTTTAGGTGAGGTCCTGAGGGTGGAGACGCCATGATGGAATCAGTGTCTTTGTAAGAAGAGAATGAGGCCAGCGTTCAGTCTCTCTCTCCTCGCCTTGTAAAGACACAGCAAGAAGGTGGCCATCTGCCAGCCAGTAAGAGAGCCCTCCCTGGGAACAAAATCTGCCAGCACCTTGATCTTGGACTTCCTAGAACTAAGAGAAATAAGGGTCTGTTGCTTTTTTTTTTTTTTTTTTTTTTTTTGGAGTTTCGCTCTGTTGCCCAGGCTGGAATGCAATGGCACCATCTCATCTCACTGCAACCTCCGCCTCCCGGGTTCGAGTGATTCTCCTGCCTCAGCCTCCCAAGTAGGTGGGATTACAGACATGTGACAATATGCCCGGCTAATTTTTGTATTTTTAGTAGAGATGCGGGTTTTGCCATGTTGGCTGGGCTGGTCTCGAACTCCTGATCTCAGGTGATCCACCTGCCCCAGCCTCCCAAAGTGCTGGGATTACAGGTGTGAGCCACCTCGCCCAGCCAAACATCTGTTGCTTAAATCACTCTCTACAGTATTTTGTTACAGCAGCCCGAGCTGACTAAGACAAGGAGCAACTGTCTCTTTGTCTGCAGAAAACACATCCAGGAGTGGGAGCCGTCAAATGAGAACATGGAATTGAAAGCCTCACCAAAAGGAGAGAGCAAAGACAGCGCTAAGTCAGCGGCCAGGCGCAGTGGCTCACGCCTGTAATCCCAGCACTTTGAGAGGCTGAGTCGGGCGGATGACGAGGTCAGGAGATCAAGACCATCCTGGCTAACATGGTGAAACCCTGTCTCTACTAAAAATACAAAAAATTAGCCGGTCATGGTGGCAGGCGCCTGTAGTCCCAGCTACTTGGGAGGCTGAGGCAGGAGAATGGCATGAACCCGGGAGGCGGAGCTTGCAGTGAGCCGAGATGGCGCCGCTGCACTCCAGCCCGGGTGACAGACAGAGACTCCGTCTCAATAAAAAAAATAAATAAATTTAAAAAAGACAGCGCCGAGTCTGATGAGCCCCCGACCGGAGGGAAGGTCAGGATGTTGGTGGTGGGGTGGCCTTGGTCTGCCATGCTCTACTGAGTCTCCCTCCAGCACCCCCTCCAGGGTCAGGGCAGTTTATCCAGGCGGGGAGTGAGTGGGGCCCGCGCTTTGCCTCCCGCTCCCCCTGCCCACACTCACTGGGCTTTGTACACAAAGTGGGTACAATCGACTCTTTGTCAATAGTCGGGGCCTGGAGGGTTTTTCCATCTTACTCTCTGTCTGCCTCATGACCCAATAATTATTTAGAGATAACAGACCAGAGGGCAGTCTATGGTGATGAAAATAGAGTTTTTCTTCCAGACTCAGTTGACCCAAAGACAGATCAAACTTGTGACCCTGGACCCACCATCCATCAAAGTGAGCACCCTGGGCCACGGCTGGGAGAATTAATCCAACACAGTGTCCACAGTCAGCGGGCGGGTCCCTGCTCTACAGAAACTTCCCTCTCTCCTCCTCCCCATGGGGGTAGGGGGTTATGCGTCCCCAGGGGAACACAGGACCATCCGTTAGGGCATAGGAATAAATATTAAAACTTTGTTGATAATTGTGGTTTATCTTGACCTTCTGCATTTTCCCTGTTTTAGAAAGTACAGAATAAAGCAGGACTGGGGAAAGACGCCTCCTTTCTTGGAGCTGCTTTACCTTTTTTTTTTCTTTTGGGATGGAGTTTTGCTCTCGTTGCTGTGGCTGGAGTACAATGGCACAATCTCAGCTCACTGCAACCTCCACCTCCCGGGTTCGACCGATTCTCCTGCCTCAGCCTCCCAAGTAGCTGGGATTACAGGCATGTGCCACCACGCCTGGCTCATTTTTGTATTTTTAGCAGAGACGGGGTTTCACCATGTTGGTCAGGCTGTTCTCGAACTCCTGACCTCAGGTGATCCACTTGCCTTGGCCTCCAAAAGTGCTGGGATTACAGGCGTGAGCCACCGCGCCCGGCCACTTCTTTCTTTCTTTTTTTGAGACGGAGTCTCCCTCTGTGGCTCAGGCTGGAGTACAATGGCACGATCTTGGCTCATTGCAACCCCCACCTCCCAGGTTCAAGTGATTCTCCTGCCTCAGCCTCCCAAGTAGCTGGGATTACAGGCGCCCACTACCACACCTGGCTAATTTTTGTATTTTTAGTAGAGATGGGGTTTCACCATGTAGGCCAGGCTGGTCACAAACTCCTGACTTCAAGGTGATCCACCAGCCTCAGCCTCCCAAAGTGCTGGGATTACAGGTGTGAGCCACCGCGCCCGGCCTGGAGCTGCTTTTCAGCCAATTCTAGATTCTGGCAGTTGGCTGCCGGATGTCCTTCTTTCATGCCTTCTCTAGAGAGTGGCCCCAGGACTTTGCAGCCAGAGGGCTCTTTCTAAAATGCAAATCTCGACCAGTGCAGTGGCTCACGGCGCTGGAGTAATTCCAGACCTTTGTAATCCCAGCCCTTTGGGAGGCCGAGGCAAGAGGATCACTTGAGGCCAGGAGTTTGAGACCAGCCTGGCCAACACGGTGAAACCTTGTCTCTGCTACAAATACAAAAATTAGCCGGGCGTACTGGAGCACACCCATAATTCCAGCTACTCAGGAGGCTAGGCAGGAGAATCGCTTGAACCCAGGAGGTGGAGGTTGCAATGAGCAAGACTGCACCACCACACTCCAGCCTGGGTGAGAGAGTGAGACTCCATCTCAAAAATAAAAAATAAAGTAAAAATGCAAATTTCAACAACATCGTAAAGTGGGCTTTCAGTGACTCCTCAAGGTCCCAGGTTTGAGGCCCTTCGCAAGCCTGGACCTCCCAGTCCCCCGAGCCACCCCCAGCAGCCAGTGTGCCAGATCTGATCCTATAGAACCAGAAGTGGTTTCCTAAACGCATGGCGGCGGCTGGAACCATTGTCCCCCTTCTGCCTTGACAAGACTCTACATGTCTATGCCTTTGTTTCACTTCCTCCCAGAAGCTTTCCTGCAACACCTAAGTGAGAGCTCAGCAGCCTTGTAGTAGCTCCGCCAGTGCCTTCTGATGTCACTGCCTGCTTATTGGTTACGTTCCTCTCTATACTAGTTTCCTTATTGTTGCTGTAACAAATTACCACAAATTGGCCGGGTACAGTGGCTCATGCCTGGAATCCCAGCACTTTGGGAGGCTGAGGTGGGCAGATCACTTGAGATCAGGAGTTCAAGACCAGCCTATCCAACATGGAAATGATCCCGTCTCTACTATAAAACAATACAAAAATTAGCCAGGTGTGGTGGTGCATGCCTGTCATCCCAGCTACTCAGGTGGCTGAGGCGCAAGAATCACTTGAACCCAGGAGGTGGAGGTTGCAGTGAGCTGAGATGGCACCACTGCACTCCTGCCCTGGTGACAGAGTGAAACTCTGTCTCAAAACAAAACAAACAAATAGAAAACACAAATTGCCACAAATCTGGTAGCTTAAAACTGTACTTTTTTGGCCAGGCATGGTGGCTCACGCCTGTAATCCCAGCACTTTGGGAGGCAGATCACGAGGTCAGGAGATCAGAGATCGAGACCACGGTGAAATCCCATCTCTACTAAAAAATACAAAAAATTAGCCAGGCGCGGTGGCGGGCGCCTGTAGTTCCAGCTACTCGGGAGGCTGAGGCAGGAGAATGGCGTGAACCCGGGAGGCAGCCCTTGCAGTGAGCCAAGATTGCGCCACTGCACTCCAGCCTGGGCGACAGAGTGAGACTCCGTCTCAAAAAAACAAACAAACAAACAAACAAACAAACAGCACTTTTTTTTTTTTTTTGAGACAGGGTCTGGCTCTGTCGCCAGGCTGGAGTGCAGTGGTTCAATCTCAGCTCGCTGCGACCTCCTTCTCCTGGGTCCAAGCCAACCTCTCACCTCAGCCTCTTGAGTAGTTGGGACTACAGGTGCAGGCCACCACGTCCAGCTAATTTTTGTAGAGATGGGGTCTCATTATGTTGCCCAGGCTGGTCTCAAACTCCTGAGCTCAAGCAATCCACCCTCCTCCACCTCCCAAAGTCCTAGGATTATAGGCATGAGCCACCATGCCTGGCCCACAAATGTAATATCTCACATTTTTAAAGGTCAGAAGGCCCAGATGGCTTTCACTGAGCTAAAATCAAGATGTGGGTAGGTCTGTGTTCCTCCTGCAGGTTTGAGGGCAGAATCTGTCTTTTCTACTTCTAGAGGCCACCCGCATTCCTTGGCTCATGGCCCCTTCCTCCAGCTTCAAAGCCAGCAGTACAGCATCTTCACATCTCTCTCTGTTTTTTCCTCTCTTCCTCTGTGTCTCTCCCTTCCTCTGACCCTGCCTCCTCATAAGGATCTTTGTGGTGCTATTGGGCCCACTCAGATAATCCAGAATAATCTTCCCATCTCAAGATTCTTAACTTAATTGCATCAGCAAGGTCCCTTTTGCCTTGTAAGGTAACACACCCACAGTTTCTGGAAATTAGGATGTGGGCATCTTTGGATGGGAGCACATTATTCTACCGAGTGCAATCTCCTAGGCAAGTGGCTGTGTCTTGTTTGTTCTGTGTCTTCCAGAGACGGCAGCAGTTAAAAAATACTTTTGAGCGAGTGAGTGAGTGAATGAGTGAGTGAGTGAGTGAGTGAGTGAATGAGTGAGTGACTGAGTGAATGAGTGGGTGAATGAGTGAACAAGTGGGTGAATGGATGAATAAGTGAGTGAATGAGTGAGGGAATGAGTGAGTGAGTGGATGAGTGAGTGAATGAGAGAATGAGTGGGTGAATGAGAGAATGAGTGAGTGAATGAGTGAGTGAGTAAGTGGGTGAGTGAATAAATGAGTGAATGAGTGAGAGAATGAGTGAGTGGGTGAGTGAATGAGTGAGTGAATGAGTGAGTGAGTGAATGAGTAAGTGGGTGAGTGAGTGAATGAGTGAGTGAGTGAATGAGTGAATGGGTGAATGAATGAGTGAATGAGTAAGTGGGTGAGTGAATGAATGAGTGAATGAGTGAGTGAGTGAATGAGTGAGTGAATGGGTGAATGAGTGAGTGAATGAGTGAACGAGTGAGTGAATGAGTGAGTGAATGGGTGAATGAGTGAGTGAATGAGTGAACAAGTGAGTGAATGAGCAAATGGGTGAATGAGTGAGTGAATGAGTGAATAAATGAGTGAGTGAGTGAAAGAGTGAGTGAATAAGTGAATAGGTGAGTGAGTGAATAAATGAGTGAGAGTGAATAAGTGAGTGAATGAGTGAGTGGATGAATGAGTAAGTGAATGAGTGAGTGAGTGAGTGAATAGCTCCCCAGAGGAGGGAGGGTAAGAGCCAGACGTGGGAAGCCAGAGGACTGTGGTTAAGGAGGAGGAGACCAGAGTGTGACCCAAGCTGCCCCACCTGCCACCTCTGCCACTTCGGCTTTGCGGACAGGCCGGGCCTGCAGCTGTGGGTGACAGGCTCCTTTCTCACAGGTCATGGGGGGCAGGGGCTGAAGCCTGTGGAGTTTCCCTCTGAGCCCAGGGAGGCTTTGGGCAGCCTCTGCTCAGCCTGGAGAGGCTCTGGGCACAGAACCCCAGGCAGGGCGGAGGATGACCTGAAGACCAAGTGAAGAAACGTCGCGGCAACAGTGGACAGGGAATGCTATCTGCACACCCCTTTGAGCAGGGCTGACTCCCTAAGCCCAAAATGTCCTATTTCCTTGATATTTGGACCAAAAGTAGAATCTGCATCCTACCTACTCAGGAACAAGCAAAGGCTCAGTAGCTGTCTTGGGCCTCAGGGGTCTGGGTGGTCTTCCCAGCCCAGGGGAGGTGGAGCCGTCTCCCACGCTTAGCTTGGTAGGCTGGAAGGAGCTGGCTTTGGGGCCAAGCAGACCTGAGCTTGTGGTCTTTAGGAAGCACATCTAAGCCTTTAGCCTCAGCTTTTTTCAGTTGTAGAAGAGAAAGAATAATAGCTCTCTTTGCAAGGTTTTGTGGGAATTAGAGAGAATACAACGTAAACAGTGAACCTAAACCAATTAAGTCCTAGTAACTGGTAGCAAAGGTTGGATTCTAGGCCCCCATTCCCACATCTACTGGCTATATAAGCTTAGGCAGTGGTTTCACTTCTGGGCCTTGATTTCCTTACCTATAAAACGGGTAGAGCAGCTTGGAAGTTTACCTTGAGAATGGGAGGAGCCTTGAATGAGAAGTGTGGGTGGTTTATTAGTCCTGTGGCTATTTCCAAGCCCCAAGGGGAAGTAGATGTCTTTCCCTGGGTGCAGGTGTCAGAACTGACGGACTCCTAGAGACTGAGTTCCTGCACAATGACAGAGCAGGACCATCCTGGCTGCAGGGCCTCCCTGCCCTGCACTTCAAGTGGCCACTGTGAAGCCAACAGCTGTCCCCTCCAAGTGGCATTCTTGGGGCACAAAGGGCGGTGGAGAGAGCAGGGAACACTGGCTCATTGTCCCTGGGACTGAGCAGCAGCAGCGGCGGGTGAGGGGCACCCCTCCTGACCTCCAGCCCCTCCCAACCCCGTGGCTATTCGGCTGCCAGGCCATCACTGCCGGATCTTACAGTAGCCCCCAGCAGCACCTGAAGCATCATGGGACCCCTTCCCCCATGGCATCTTTTACCAGGGGCCCTTAGGAATAATGCATTTTAAGAAGGGATAGGTCCAAGCGCAGTGGCTCATGCCTTTAATCCCAGCACTTTGGGAGGCCGAGGTGGGCGGATCACTTGAGGTCAGGAGTTCGAGACCGGCCTGGCCAACATGGTGAAACCCTGTCTCTACTAAAAATAAAAAAAGTAGCCAGGCATGGTGGCAGGCGCCTGTAATCCCAGCTACTTAGGAGGCTGAAGCAGGAGAATCGCTTGAACCTGGGAGGCGGAGGTTGCAGTGAGCTGAGATTTCGCCACTGTACTCCAGCCTGGGGGACAGAGCAAGACTCTGTCTCAAAAATAAAACAACAACAACAAAAACCACTCCTGTGACAGGCAACCACGTGTACTTTCACTGATCCTCAGTCCTCCAGGGACATGGTGTGCATTGGTCCCATTTTACTAATGCAGAATCTGGGGTTCAGAGAGGCGATTAAATGCCTGACCCAGGATGTAGACTGGTAGCTGACAAAGGCTGGATTTGAACCCTGACCTGCCTGACGCCCCTGTCTGCACTGTCGCCATAAAGGCAGGGCGCTCCGTGGAGAGGAAGGCAGGTACTCCAGATAAAAGAAAGGTGGTCATGGCCACGATCTGTCCAGCAAAGCACTGGCTGCCGTTGATCCCAGGCCGGGGGCATGGGCATGAATGACCTTGCCAGGCCCTGCAGCCAGAGAATTCCAAAGCTCCCCCCACCTCCACCCCCGCTTTTCAGAGCAGAGCATTAATAAAGGGGAAGGAGCTGGATGATGACGATTCAGAAATTTGCAGCCCGAGCTAAATGAGAGCCTCATAATGATGGTGATTAAAAATTCACACTTCTGTTTGTACAGCGATTTGAGTGTCCACTTAGCACCATGAATCAATTAATAAACGGAAACACAAGGGCTAGGGATAAGCTCCAGGGCACAGAAGAGGGGGCTGTGAGGTTTCAGAGGGGACATCCCAGGGCTGGGGCACTGCTTTTTGTTGTTGTACGATGGGGACACTCGTTGGCTTCAAGAGCCATGAGGTGGGGCAGCTCCCCCGGCCTCAGCAAAGCTTAACAATCACTCAACTTCTCTGGGTGTCTGTTTGCTCATCTGTAAAAGGGGTGAGGTCGGCCAGGCACAGTGGCTCACACCTGTAAACTCAGCACTTTGGGAGGCCAAGGCGGGCAGATCACCTGCGGTCGGGAGTTCGAGACCAGCCTTATCATCATAGAGAAACCCCGTTTCTACTAAAAATACAAAATTAGCTAGTCGTGGTGGCGCATGCCTGTAATCCCAGCTGCTCGAGGGGCTGAGGCAGGAGAATCGTTTGAACCTGGGAGGCGGAGGTTGCGGTGAGCCAAGATCGCGCCATTGCACTCCAGCCTGGGCAACAAGAGCAAAACTCAGCCAAAAAAAAAAAAAAAAAAAAAAAGGTGGGATCTTCCCAAACCAAATTTCTTTCTTTCTTTCTGTTGGGACAGAGTCTTACTTTGTCACCCAGGCTGGAGTGCAGTGGTGCAATCATGGCTCACTATAGCCTTGACCTCCCGGGCTCGAGGGACCCTCTTGCTTCAGCCTCCTGAGTAGCAGCTGGGACTACAGGCATGCGCCACCATGATTAGCTAATTTTTAAATTTTTTGTAGAGATGGAATCTCACCATGTTGCCCAGACTGGTCTCGAACTCCTGGGCTCCAGTGATCTTCCTGCCTTGGCCTCCCAAAGGGTTAGGATTACAGGCATGAGCCACCGCGCCCAGCCTTGAATCTGAATGCCAAGTGAGAAGGTCTATTCATTTCCTAGAGCTGCTGTCACAAATTACCACAAAGGTGGCTGAATACAATAGGAATTCATTCTCTCACATTCTGGATGCTGGAAGCCTGAGGTCAAGATATAGGCAGGGTTGGTTCCTTCTGGAGGCTCTGAGGGAGAGTCTGTCCCACATCTCTCTCCTGGCTTCTGGTGCAGATGGCAATCTTTGGCCATCCACGGAAGCTGGGTCACCCCAGTCTCCACCTCTGTCTCCCCATGGCCTTCTCTGTGTCCCCTCTGTGCCTGTGTCTCAATTATCCCTCTCCTTTCTCTCATAATCACACCAGTTACTCGGTTTAGGAATCATCCTAATTCCAGGATGTCCCATCTTGAGATCCTTACCCGAATGACACCTGCAAAGACCCTGCTTCTAAAGAAGTTCATGTTCACAGGTACCAGGGGTTAAGACTTTGATTTTTTTTATTTTTTATTTTTATTATTTTTATTTTTATTTTTTTTTTTTGAGATGGAGTCTAGCTCTGTTGCTCAGGCTGGAGTGCAGTGGTGCAATCTTGGCTCTCTGCAACCTCCGCCTCCTGGGTTCAAGCGATTCTCCTGACTTAGCCTCCCAAGTAGATGGGACCACAGGTGCTTGCCACCATGCCCTGCTAATTTTTGTTTGTTTGTTTGTTTGTTTGTTTGTTTGTTTTTGAGACAGAGTTTCGCTCTTGTTGCCCAGGCTGGAGTGCAATGGCGCGATCTCGGCTCACCACAACCTTTACCTCCTGGGTTCCAGCGATTCTCCTGCCTCAGCCTCCCAAGTAGCTGGGATTACAGGTGTGCGCCACCACGCCTGGCTAATTTTGTATTTTTAGTAGAGACGGGGTTTCTCCATGTTGATCAGACTGGTCTCGAACTCCCAACCTCAGATGATCCGCCCACCTCGGCTTCCCGAAGTGCTGGGATTACAGGCGTGAGCCACCGCGCCCAGCCAATTTTTTGTATTTTTAATAGAGACGGGGTTTCACCATGTTGGCCAGGCTGCTCTTGAACTCCTGACCTCAGTTGATCCACCCACCTTGGACTCCCAAAGTGCTGGGATTACAGACGTGAGTGAGCCAACATGCCTGGCCTTTTTTTTTTTTTTCCTTTGAAGAAAGGGTCTTGCTCTGTCACCCAGGCTGGAGTGCAGTGGTGCAATCATGGCTTACTGCAGCCTCAACCTCCTGGACTCAAGCAATCCTCCTGCCTCAGCCTCCCAAGTAGCTGGAACTACAGACATGTGCCACCATGCCCACCTAATAATTTTTTAATTTTTTGTAGAGATGGGAGTCCTGCTTTGTTGCCCAGGCTGGTCTTGCACTCCTGGGCTCAGGTGATCCTCCTGCCTTGGCCTCTGAAAATGCTGGGATTACAGGCGTGAGCCACTGCACCTGGCCTAGACCTAGACTTTTTGGGTAGCCAGTTCAATTTACTGCAGAAGGTATTTTGAATAAGCAAAAACTATGAATGCAAGCCCCGTTGTTTGTGTGCCAAACTAATGATGAGCCACTGGGAGAAGGGATTTCATCCATGTGACACCCACCACACACCTCTGCTGGCCAGGCACCTAGAAGTGGGATGGGAAGCCCCTGGTGGAGGAGCAGAGAAGCTGGGGTGCTGGAGGGAGGAGTCTTAACCAGGAGTCTCCTTCATGTTCATCCCTCATCAATTAACTCTTGCAGGCCACCAGAGTAGCAGAAAGATCTCTGGGCTATATCCCCAGGGCTCTCATGATTTTAAAAAATCATCCCCAGGCTGGGCACGGTGGCTCATGCCTGTAATCCTAGCACTTTGGGAGGATGAGGCAGGCAGATCACCTGAGGTCAGGAGTTCGAGACCAGCCTGGCCAATATGGCGAAACCCTGTCTCTACTAAAAGTACAAAAATTAGCCAGGTGTGGTGGTGTGGGCCTGTAATCTCAGCTACTCAGGAGGCTGAGGCAGGAGAATTGCTTGAACCTGGGAGGCAGAGGTTGCAGTGAGCCGAGATCGCGCCACTGCACTCCAGCCTGGTCAATAGAGCAAGACTCAGTCTCAAAAAAAAAAAAAAAAAAAAAATTCATCCTCTAAGCAGCCCCTGTCCAGTCTTCCCCCGACCATCCCTCAGAGAGCCATGTACAGTTCTCAGAGCCCTGTGGTGGCTCTGCTGCCTTCACGATCACTTCCCCCCAAAGCTGGCCCCAGCAGGCCCCCCAGAGTTGGGTCCCTTCTCAGCTCTTAAGCCTCATTGCCCCCATTCCACCTCTTTACCCCCGCTTCTGCCAAACCAAACCCTTGAGCGCCTCCTCAGCCTTCACATTGCTCCATGCCCCAACCTTCATACTGCTGGCCTTCTTCCAGAACATTCTCTCCCCATCATCATGACTCTCCATTGAGAGAGCTCTGCCTGCTACCCCTTCCTGCCCTGCTGGGCCCCTCATGCCTCCATCGCATTATTGTGTGAATGGCTAATGTCCCCTCCTTGATGGGGCCATCTCTGAGGATAGGGACGTGGCCCTAGTGCAGAGATGCTCAGGGATGTTTAGGGAAGGAAGTCATCAAGAGACCTAGATGTGAACCCCATCCATAGCGCCTCCCAAACCATGTGGTCTTGGCCTCCCTGGGCTTTGATTCCCTCATCAGTCCTGCCTGCGCTGCCAGGCTTCTGTGAGCCTTTAATGAGCCTGTGTTGACAGATGAATGCATTCTTGGGACTACTAATCAACGCATACAACTAAGGCCAAGAGAAGCCAGGGTTTCTACCCCAGGGACCCCCTTGGCCCCACCCTCTAGCCCTGGAGCTGGGTCCCTCTGCCTCTCCCAGGATGCAGTCAGAGGCCTGAGCTTCTGGAAACTCTTGGATCTCGTCCCTGCTCCTCCCAGTCCCACCTCGGCTCCAGGTGTCTATCTCTCCAGCTATTTTCTTTTCTGATCTGGAGTTCAAAAGAACAGATCTAGGAGCAACAGCCACGGGGAACAACAGCCAGCAGGCTAGTTCATGTTGGCCCAGCTGAGAGCCTGCGGGGCTGCCCACCTCTCCCTGCTGGGTTTGGGCACCCAGAAAGGAGGGCGTATGGGTTCTGGTTCTATGGGCATTAAAAGCCAATGTGACTGAGAACAGCAGCTCTAGTTAGAGGCAAGGCCAGTTTGGGGCCAGAGCAGGGGGAGGGGGAACCTGGTCTAATTAGAGCCCTAACATGCTCCTTTGAAAGCATTGTCAGATGTCCCCAGCCCTGCAGGCAGGGGTGGTGTAATAATAATAAAACAACATTTGCATAGAGATTTCATTTATAAAGCACTTTCTCAGGGGTGGGGTGGCACTGGGTGGCCCTGTGGAATCCTGGCTGGGAGGCCGCCCTGGCCTTGGTCGGTTCCGCCCTCCCGCCAAGCTGGCGATTGTGTGCGAGGTAAACAAAGCGCCATTCATCCAACTGTTTCAGTTCCTCTCCTCTTCATTCCTTTTTCCCTGTCTCCCACGAAGAGCTCACTCGGGGCTTGTCACTCAGGCCAGAAAAGGGGTGTCAGGGGCCCCAGAGGGAGACCCCTTCCCTCATGGGAAGAAGCGGGGAGGTGGGACGGCTCCCTCCCTCTGCAAACCCCCACCACCCCCAGCTCTGGCAGAATAACAGCCTTGCTGCGGTTGGTTTGTGCAACTCTTTGCTAACCTGTGGCTGTGTCTTCATGGACAAAGTATGAGCCCAGGTTTGGTAATGTCTGTGTGCACGCCACGTTTGTGTTCGGTAACATGCAAAGATAAGCAGTTTGTGGGGCTCTGCGAATCCCTCCCTATCCGAGTGAGCCTTGTGTACACAGTGTGGGGGTGAGGGGCCCTGGGGTGTCTGCCCCTGCACTGGGTGGGCCGGGTGAGGCAGCTGGGCCCTGCTCCTGTACAGCCCAGGCTGGAGCGTCCCCTGCAGTCACCTGGCCACTGGCACCCTGGGGTGAAGGGGGAGGCATTGGGCGCTGGCCCCTTAAGGGCCTCTGATGAGCTATATTGGGCCCACCTGCCTGGGTTCCAGCAGCTTCCGCAGCCCCAGCAGGAGACGGAAGATGCAAGAGGTCATTGCGGGGCTAGAGCGGTTCACCTTTGCCTTCGAGAAGGATGTCGAGATGCAGAAGGGCACTGGGCTCCTGCCTTTCCAGGGCATGGACAGTGAGTGAGGGTGGGGCCACTTTCCCTCCCCTACCTTCTCTGTTTTTTTTTCTTTGAGACGGAGTCTCGCTCTGTAGCCCAGGCTGGAGTGTAGTGGCACAATCTCGGCTCATTGCAAGCTCTGCCTCCTGGGTTCACGCCATTCTCCTGCCTCAGCCTCCCGAGGAGCTGGGACTACAGGCGCCCGCCACCACGCCCAGCTGATTTTTTGTATTTTTAGTAGAGACCGGGTTTCACCATGTTAGCCAGGATGGTCTCAATCTCCTGACCTCGTGATCCGCCCGCCTTGGCCTCCCAAAGTGCTGGGATTACAGGCATGAGCCACCACGCCCAGCCTCCCTCCCCCTTCCTTCTCTACAGGCCTCTCTGCTCAACTCCCTGATGCGACCGCCCCTTCTCTGTCTCTCTCTTCTGTGGCTTCGGGGCAACCCATTTTCCAGACTGAGAAAGAGAGGCACAGAGAGACGGTGAATTGAGAGAAGCCACACTGGCCTCCCGAGCTCCTGGGCCAGGCTTGAGCCCCTCGAGCTCCTCTGTTTCAGAGTTGGGGGGTTAAGGGTTGAGGTCTGCTGGCTGGCTCTGCAGGTTAACCTCTACAGGGCCCAGATTTGGGATCCCATAGGCCAGAGCCTGGGGGAGGTCTAGGTGGGACATGCCGATGGAGGTGGAGGCTTCCGGAACAGCTGCAGCCTCTGGGGAAGCTACCTTCTCCGTTCCCTCTTCTCCTTCCAGAGTCGGCCTCAGCTGTGTGCAACTTCTTCACTAAAGGGCTCTGTGAGAAAGGTGAGTTAGCAGACAGGCCTGGGCCCCAAGCTGGGTGAGTGTAGGGTCTGTCTGAGCTACACCCAGCAGGGGCTCTGCCTGGCCTGGGATAGGGTGTCGAATTTGCACCTGGGGAGGGAAAATTGGGATGGAACGGAATTTTATTTTTATTTTATTTATTTATTTTTAGATGGAATCTCGCTCTGTTGCCCAGGCTAGAGTGATCTGGCGTGATCTCAACTCACTGCAACCTCTGCCTCCTGGGTTCAAGCGATTCTCCTTCCTCAGCCTCCCGAGTAACTGGAACTACAGGTGCATGCCACCAAGCCCGGCTAATTTTTGCATTTTTAGTAGAGATGGAGTTTTGTCATGTTGGCCAGGCGGGTCTCAAACTCCTCACCTCAGGTGATCCACCTGCCTGGGCCTCCCAAAGTGCTGGGATTACAGGCGTGAGCCACCATGCCCGGCCATGGAGCAGAATTTTAGACTTACAGGTAGACAAAGGATAAGTGGTTGGATCCACCGAGCAGCCTGCCCCTCCCCTAAGATTTTCCCGCCTCAGCAGCAGTCTTCATAGTTTGCAGTTCGCATCAGGGTAACCAGGCTGCCTGGAAAGGGGTATTTTTTTCTTTCTGCCTTGCTGGGATGGGCGTGTGTCTGAGCTTTGGCCTGTGCATTCCCAGGAGGCTCCAGCTTCTTAATGTTTTTCTTGATTTCCTCCCAGCTAGAAGAGAGGCATCCTTCTCCCCCAGTCCCCTGCTCTGACTCAGTTTGTAAACTGGTCAATTGTCTCATCCATTCCCTATGCCCTGAGGTAGCACCTGCCACCATCTTTGAAATGCTATCAAAAAGCATCCTCCACTTCTCTCCTGCCCTGACTTTGGGTCAATACTGTCTTCCTAGGCCCCTCTCCCCAAATGCAGCCATTCTGGGAAGGCCTGATTCAAATATAAGAGTTTTCAACTTTTCTTCTGGCTCATGGCTCATGTAGAGGCTCTTTCAACAGAAATATACAATTGCCAAAAAAAACTGGCTTCCAGTTTTAGGGTTTCCCTGTCTTCCTCCCGCTTGCCTATACATTTAGGTTAAGAAATCTCACTGGTGTGAGAGTTTAGGACATGTTTTCTGATCCAAATGAGTCTGTCCCTGGAAGCTGGGGGGCTGGAGGGGACCAGGAAAGGAGGACCTGGGGCCATGTTCGCCCACCTGCCTTGTTTGTCTTGGGGCCAGCCCTAGACCATACAGGGAGAAGGGAAATGGGATCACTGGTCGCCCAAGGCCTTGTGCACCCAGGACCCTGCAGGCTCAATGTGGACTGAGTGGCATCTCCTCAGCTCAGCCCAACCAGTCCCTAGAGCAGTGGTTCCTAGCAACACCCTTCTGCAAAGAAAGAAAGCTATTATGGTGGAAGGTCAGAACCAAGCAAGTCAATAGCCAGGGGTGGAGGTTAGGGGTATTTAAAAAGAGCACCTTGGCCGGGGGAGTAGGCTCACACTTGTAATTCCAGCACTTTGAGAGGCAGAGGCTGGAGAATCGCTCAAGACCAGCCTGGGCAACATAGCGAGACCCCATCTCTACAAAACATAATTTTTTTTTTTTAAAAAAGGAAAAATGGAAAGAACACCTCCCCTAGCCCCCAAATTATGTCAGAGAACTGGCCAGGCATGAGGCTGGACCTGCTTAGAAACTCAGGAACTGCCAGCCTGGATGACATGGCAAAGCCCTGTCTCTACAAAAAATAAAAAAATTAGCTCAGTGTGGTGGTGCATGCCTGTAGTCCCAGCTACTCGGGAGGCTGAGATGGGAGAACTCCTGAGTCTAGGAGGTTGAGGCTACAGTAAGCCATGACTTTGCCATTGCACTCCAGCCTGGGCAACAGACTAAGATCCTGTCTCAAATAAATAAATAAATTAAAGAAACTTAGGAACTGGGTGTCCTTCCTGCTAATAGCAAGGCAGACTTGAGTGAAGATGATAAAGCAGTTAAATGTAACATTTCCATGGAATATTCCTTATAAATCATTACAAAGTTGGCTCTTCTGTCACCCTGTTAGGTCTCTGGAATCGGGAAGCATAACATTTGATGTTTTTAAAGATGGGAATTCAACACACCCTTACTGAGCACTTACTATGTGCCAGGGGCTGGGCTGGGTGTGGGGATTCTGGGCTGGAAAGCCTGGCCCCGCTCCCTGGCAGGACGAGAGGGGGTGTTAGGCACTCTGGGAATGAAAAGGAGGCAGCTGTTCTGAGCCCAGGTACTTCCCTGGAGAAGGGCATGGCACTCCAGGCAGATGGGAAGGATGGGCAAAGGTGTGGTAGTGGGAACAGCTGTGCTTTAAGAAGAGCTTGCCCTGGCCAGTCACGGTGGCTCAAGCCTGTAATCCCAGCACTTTGGGAGGCTGAGGCGGATGGATCACCTGAGATCAGGAGTTCGAGACCAGCCTGGCCAACATGGTGAAACCCCGTCTCTACTAAAAATAAAAAAAATAGCCGGGTGTAGTTGCAGGTGTAATCCCAGCTACTTGGGAGGCTGAGGCAGGAGGATCACTTGAACCTGGGAGGTGGAGGTTGCAGTGAGCTGAGACCGTGCCATTGCTCTCTAGCATGGGCAACAGAGCGAGACGCCATCTCAAAAACAAGAGCTTGGCTGGGCGCGGTGGCTCACGCCTGTAATCCCAGCACTTTGGGAGGCCGAGGTGGGCAGATCACAAGGTCAGGAGATCGAGACCATCCTGGCTAACACGGTGAAACCCTGTCTCTACTAAAAAATACAAAAAATTAGCAGGGCGTGGTGGCTGGCGCCTGTAGTCCCAGCTACTCAGGAAATGGAGGCAGGAGAATGGCGTGAACCCAGGAGGCGGAGCTTGCAGTGAGCCAAGATCGCGCCGCTGCACTCCAACCTGGGCGACAGAGCGAGATTCTGTCTCAAAAAAAAAAAAAAAGCTCTCCCTTCATGCTGCCTCGGCTCCCAGTTCCAGCCCCTACAGGGTCCAGGTGAAGGGATAAGGGGACAGCCGCTGGGGACTGAGTCAGGTACCCTCCTGGGGAATCCCCTGGAGGGCTGAGCTGGGCCCAGGCTGTGGATGAGGGGCCTCCCAGCCAGGTGCTCTGGCATCTCCAGGGAAACTCTGCCCCTTCCGACATGACCGAGGGGAGAAGATGGTGGTATGCAAGCACTGGCTCCGGGGGCTCTGCAAGAAGGGTGATCACTGCAAGTTCCTGCACCAGTATGACCTCACCAGGATGCCTGAGTGCTACTTCTACTCCAAGTTTGGTAAGGCCTCTTCCTGGCTCGGTGCCTCACCCTGGAGGGTGGCAGTGTGGGCTGTGAGATGGGAAGGTTTCTAGAGGAGCGGGCACGCAGAGGAGGCTGGACATGTCCCTGGAGGCCAGAGAGACCTGTCTGAGTCTCAGGTGTCTGTTCTCCAAACCCCTAGACAAGCAGAAGTGCACCCTGAAGTCCCTGCCCTTTACTGCCCCCTGGATCAAGGTGCATACCAGATACCCCCAAAAGGGAAGAAGGGATTGTTTCTCTCCCCATTCTTGGTTCATCACACACCCAGCCTGACTATATTGAAATGTCTCAAATGAGCCATCTCTCAGGCCCCGGCTAGAACTTCTCGAATATCAGGCCTTCAGAGCCACATTCACGATGCCTGCTGTACCCTCAAAGCCCCAGCACCACTGTCTGCTCTTCCAACGGTCTTGCTATTTTAACTCTTACTTTAGAAGAAACTTTGCATTGTTTCCATAAACGGAGAACTAGCATCACTTGTTGGAAATCAAAGGTCATTGTAAACATAAATCCATGAGGTTCAGAGGTCTAGCACCTAAAGTCATCTTGTGCGGTCAAGCCTGGACCAGCATCTTACCTCCCTCTGGCTTCAAGGCATCCTTTGTCCTTTTATTTATTTTTATATATTTTTTTGAGACAGCGTCTTGCTCTGTCCCCCAGGCTGGAGTGCAGTGGCGTGATCTTGACTCACTGCAATCTCCACCTCCCGGGTTCAAGCCATTCTCCTGCCTCAGCCTCCTGAGTAGCTGGGATTACAGGTACCCACCAACATGCCCGGCTAATTTTTATATTTTTAGTAGAGACGGGGTTTTGCCACGTTGGCCAGGCTGGTCTTGAACTCCTGACCTCAGGTGATCCACCTGCCTTGGCCTCCCTAAGTGCTGGGATTATTGGTGTGAGCTGCGGTGCCCGGCCTCCTTTGTCCTTTTAATCAAGGGACTGTTTATGGGGCAGCTGCAGCCACTTTCCCGCTTACTTAAGAAAGGAATTTGTAAATGTGCTTCAGGTCTCACCCTTCACAATACGATTCTACAGCTCAGAGCTTTTCGGAGCTGGAAGGAGCCTTACGGATTATCTAGTCCAGTGGTTTTCCAACTGTATTCCATAAAGAGTGACCTACAAAGAGAGAGCTGGCAGAATCCCCTGGATGCCCCTGACTCAGGAGGCTTGGCTTCCAAATGTGGCTGCAGCCAGCTTCAGGGCCCCCCAAGCGGCTGCTCCTCATTAGTGCCAATGGGAGGGTCCTGGGTACCTGAGAAGGAGGCAAAGCATTGCCTAGGCCAGTCAGAGCCCCACCCAGGCTAATATTCCATTTCCTGCCTGCTCCTGGGAGGCAAAGGCATGGCAGTTCCTGAGAGCTGCCCCCATGTCTCCCCTGAAAGGACAATGTTTATCCAAGTTCCCCTTGGTCACTGCCTAGCATTCTGTGACTTTAGTAATAAAATGCCACCTACTTAGTTATTCCCTCAATAGCCCTCGGTGTTTGTTTGGGGATCAGGTGCTCCTGGGCATGGATACAGGAACAGGACCAGGTCCCCCTCCGCCCCCAGATAACTCCAATTAGTAGAGGACAGACTTGTAAGCCCATGATTACAAGATGTAATCTACTGTTCTTACAGTAAATGAATGCATATGGCTTTCGAATATCAAAGTGATGATCACTCTAATTGGAATCAGAGTGTTGTTGGGGAGGTGTAGGAGTGGGACAGAGTCACTGGAAGGGACTGGTGTCCGGGGTCTTCAGCCCAGTACCCCCGTCTCTGAAAGGCGGATTGAAGGCTGAGGTGCTGCTGCCACCTGCTGGCCAGGCCAGGAATGCAGAGACGTGCACGCAGCAGAACGGCAACCAGTGTAGATGACTTTCTGTTATCTCCATCCATCAAATGCTGGCCAGCATCACCTAGGGGGTGATGTCACTTTGATTCATTAGAAAGCTCAAGCCCAGAGTCAGCACTCTGCCCAGTGCTGTATACTGACAATGAACAAATGAACCCTTCATGAACGTGAGGAAGCTGAATGAAATGGATGTGGCCTTTTCCCCTCTCTGAGCCCTGGCGTTCTCTGTGAAATGAGAGGGCTGGGAAAGAATGGTGGTTTTAAACTCTTAGGAATCAGGGGTACTCTCCTTTTTTTTTTTTTTTTTTCTTTTTTTGGAGACAGAGTCTCGCACTGTTGCCCAGGCTGGAATGGAATGGCACAATCTCGACTCACTGCAACCTCTGCCTCCCAGGTTCAAGCGATTCTCCCACCACAGCCTCCTGAATAACTGGGACTACAGGCACGTGCCACCATACCTGGCTAATTTTTGTATTTTTAGTAGAGATGGGGTTTCACCATGTTGGCCAGTCTGGTCTCAAACTCCTGACCTCAGGTGATCCTAAGGATCACCACCTCGGCTTCACAAAGTGCTGGGATTACAGGCATGAGCCACTGTGCCTGGCCTAGGGGTACTTTCCTTTAGGCGAAACCTTGCTCTGTAGAGGCCCAGTGTATAAAATAGATCTTCCTGGAGCAATTTGAAAATCAGTGGAATAGACGCTACGACGCTCCTTCAGCTCTGAAAAGCACTGAGCTGTAGACATTTAAGGAGGATGAAGTTGGAAAGATTCATGAGTTCTCAACTTGAATGAAGTGAAAGTGGGATGAATCTTCCCCCATGCTTCCTTCAGAGCTTTCTTCCTAAGAGAAATCTAAGAGAGCTCTTAAAATGACACCTGGGTCCGGGCGTGGTGGCTCACACCTGTAATCCCAGCACTTTGGGAAGCCAAGGTGGGCGGATCACGAGGTCAGGAGTTCAAGACCAGCCTGGCCAACATGGTGAAACCCCATCTCTACTAAAATACAAAAAATTAGCCATGCGTGGTGGCACATGCCTGTAATCCCAGCTACTTGGGAGGTTGAAGCAGGAGAATTGCTTGAACCCGGGAGGCGGAGGTTGCAGTGAGCTAAGATTGCGCCATTGCACTCCAGCCTGGGCAACAGAGTAAAACCCTGTCTCAAAATAATAATAATAATAATGACACTTGGGTAGCCTGGGCCTACTGGGCTGGCTCCCTGTAGGAAATAAACTAAACCTGAGACTTGGTCTAATCCATAGAGAGATGATGACGCAGGCTTAGTATAATGCAGGTGCCCACTCTGTAGAATGTTTCTTTTCATACCTGTGCCACCTTGAGCAGGGCTCTGCTTTTCTTTGCATTTCCACCAAGGGGAACAGCTTCCCTAGGCTCTGCAGGCAGCATGGGTTTTGTAGTAGAGATGAAGAGGGGGCTGCAGTTACAGCGACATGGAAATATCTCCACTTAACGTCGCAGGCCTTCTCGGCTCTCCTTGTTCCTGCTAGCCTCTAATGGCCTTCAGTTCCAGTGCCTCCTTCTCCATCTGGGGTCCCTCACTCTTACTCTTCCAGAGGTGTATATTCAGACCATGCCCTGCTTAGCAAATAGGACTGGGATCCACCCTTTTTAGACTGCAGCAAGGATTAGGCATACTTTCCATCTTCAAAAAGCTGGTGACTCCCAGAATAAAGGCCAGTGTCTTCTGTGTTTGTGAGGGGCAAGGTCAATCTGGTTTGGGGACACAGAAGTGATCACAAAGAGAAACTGCTTCTACAGAGAGTGCTGGGATTTTCAGGTGACTGCAGCAACAAGGAGTGTTCCTTCCTCCATGTGAAGCCAGCTTTCAAGTCCCAGGACTGTCCTTGGTATGACCAAGGTTTCTGCAAGGACGGTGAGGCCTTGGAAGCCAGGGAGCCCTAGGGGCTGTGGGGATCAGGGTGGGAGCTCTCAGCAGGGGAGGGGCCATTTTCCTGATGAGGCTGTGCCTTGGAGAAACCCCAAATAGAAGGCCTTTCTGTAGTTCTCCTCCAGCTCTGCTGTGACACACAAAACACAGCCTGGTGTGGGGCCATAACAGGCTTGAGGCAGACTGACTTGGGTTCAAATCCTACCTTCAGCATGTATCAGCTGCATGCCTTTCTCCAAGTTACTGAACCACACAGGAAGCTCTTGACACAGGGTCAGGCCCATAGGAGACGCTTAGTTCATGTGTGCTCTCTTCCGCATTCCACTTACCCACCTGGGGGGTCCTGAGTGTTGCTTAAGCATGTCCTACCTTTCCCATTGCTGCCAGCCAAATTTAAGAGGCAGCTTACCCCAGCAGGGTTCCCATGCCCTAAGCAACAGGGTTTCTCCCTCTCCTTTGTCTTCAGATAGGTTTTTCTTACGGAGTTCTTAGTGCTGTTGGTTTTAGGGATCTGGGCGGGGGTGAGGGCTGCTGAGAAGATCAGTAGGATTGTGGGGTTAGCTTTTTTCTTTCTATCACCCAGGTTGGAGTGCAGTGGTGCGATCTTGGCTCACTGCAACCTCCACCTCCCAGGTTCAAGCAATTCTCCTGCCTCGGCCTCCCAAGTAGCTGGGGTTACAGGTGTGTGCCACCATGCCCAGCTAATTTTTGTATTTTTAGTAGAGACAGGGTCTCACCATGTGGCCCAGGCTGGTCTCGAACTCCTGGGCTGAAGTGATCCACCCACCTTGGCCTCCCAAATGCTGGGATTACAGGTGTGAGCCACCCCACCCGGCCAGGTCAGCTTTTTCTCAGCTGTACCTCCCATACTTAAATAAATAAAAGGCAACAAAGTGTGGTTCATATCCATGCAGTCCTCCAGGACACAGCATGTCAGTGACATTTCCAACTCTATTTCAGAACTTGCCAGCTGACACCTGCTCCAGCACATTCCAAGGTTCCTTTTCCCCATCCCTGTCTCATGGCTAGAAGTGGATGCTTTAGGGTGGTACAGAAAGGATGGGAAGATTTATCCACCCCTATTAAGTGAAGCCCCTATGACCATCCACACCCTTCCTAGGGAGCTTTTTCATGTGTGTTTTCCCCTCTTGCTGAAGCGGATCCTTCTCATCACTTTCTCTTTGCTCAGCAGGTCCTCTGTGTAAATACCGCCATGTCCCCAGAATAATGTGTCTCAACTATTTAGTTGGCTTCTGCCCCGAGGGACCCAAGTGCCAATTTGCTCAGTAAGTATGATCCCTCAGTTACCAACTCCCACCAGAGTGCTAGGCCTGGCCTTCTAGTTCTAGATCTTTCCATACCTTCGCTGGTCCTTAGTGGAAAATGAAGCATCTGGCAAGCATCCGCTCCAGTATTTTCCTGGCACCACTGCCTGACCCTGGCAATCTCAGAACTCTAACCCATCCTCTTAATGTGTATTCATGCTGGGGATAGGTGTCGATCTTTTCACAAACTGTTCTAGTAATAAGAGAAGAAACACTTAATGCCCATTTCTCCCCAGTCCTCTGTAATTCTCCCTCACGCCCTGGCTAAGGGAGGGCAACTTCCCTACAGGGTTCTGAAATATGAAATCTGCAGCAGGCTGGCGCAGAGCATGTTAATGAGCAGAAGATGGGAGGGCGAGAGCTGGGCTGTAATCGTCTCTCTCTCCACTTCCCTTAGTCCCAAGATGAATCTTTTACTCAACCCGAGTTACATGAAGGTGAGTGCAGGCAGGCACGTGCCGTCATCCCTCATCCCTTTATTCCCACTCCTTTCTGCTCCCCAGGGAAGCTCACCCAGCAGCACTGCATGGTTCCCAGCGAACCCTCACTCTCCTTTGAAAGGCATGTCATCATGCATGTGGGACACATATATGTGGTTGTTCCTCCCAGACTACTCTCCAACCTCTAGAATCTCTGCTGTGGGTAGGGTAGGACTTCTCTGTTGACCAGTCCAAGGCTTTCCTTCTGCTAGCTGGGTAGCACGCATGGTTTTTGGAATCAGGGCTGGCCCTGATTGAGAACTGTGCTCAGTCCCTATGGAGAGACACACACACTCTATAGACCCAAGTGTTGATGAGCACCTATGTCAGGGGTTGGTAAACTACAGCCTGTGGGCCAAGTCCAGCCTGCTGCCTGTCTTTGTACAGGCGAGGGGCTAAGAATGGTTTGTAAAAAGTGGGAGGAAAATCAAAATATTTTGTGACATGTGAAATTAATTCCAGTGCTCATAAAGGGTTTTGTTGGGACATGGCCATGGCTGTTCTGGTGCTTACAATGGCAGAGTCCAGTGGCTGCAACAGAGACCCAGTAGCCTGCAGAGTATAAAATATGCACTGTTTGGTGTTCTATAGAAAAAGCTTGCTGACCCCTGGTCTAGATGACTGAATGTTGGACACCTGTTTAAGTATCACAGAGGCCAGACAGCGCCAACACTGGGGCAGCTACTGACGGCTACTGGGGCCTCCGAGCACTGGATGCTGGGAGGGTGATGGCCTGGGAGGAAGACAGTCCCTGCTGGTTCTGAGCAGGCTTTGAAAGAAGGTGGGAGGCGATCTGTGGGACTGCGGGGAATTTACAAGCCCATTTACAATGAAAGCCTAACTTTGATGGAAAGGTATGCTTTTGGCACTTAAAACTGTAACTAAAGGCATCTTGAACCCTGGTTTCACCCTAAATGCATGGCCAGCGTCCCGGCCCTCTGTGAAGTTGGTGTCTGCACACAGGGACTATCTGCAGTAGGTGTTTTCTCACGACTGCACTTCAGCTGTAGCTTGCCAGCCGGCCCCGGGATTCAGCACCTCCTATTTCTGCTGTGGAAGCTTGGAAACCCCCATCCCCAACAGAGTGCCTGCTCTCCTGCCTGGGGATCAGGGGTCAAGGGCAGGGCCTGTGCCACAGGGTGGACAAAGGAACCCACAGGGCTGGGCTAGTGCTTGGCTGAGAGCTGGGAGGGCAAGGAATGATCAGGGAGCTGGAGAATGACTCCTTTTCTGCAGCAGATAGGAGTGTGAATTAGGGGAGAATGAGAGGATACTGTAAACCATCCTGTTGGCATCTCCTGCTAGACAAGACTGTTCCTGCAAAAGGAACAGTCATTTCCCACTTTGTTGCCTACTACTATTCAGTTACTTGTACATAACGTCCTTAAAATTCTTCTTTGGCAGGAGGGCAGAGTATGGTTAAGGGAGGGAACGTATCACCTGGTTCCTTTTTCTGGTATCTTCTGGTTTATCAGAAAGAAAAAAAATCATGTTTGATCATATCTTCATTCTCATAGCTTCTAAACTGTCCTGAGCTTTGCAGTCTCCATTCTGCAAGAGAATAGTTTTATTGGGATGACAGGTAAGAGTGGCAGAACCCTTGACTTTTCTTGTACAGTTGCTTTTATGTGCCAGCCTCGTTCTCTGGGATTGTGATGCTGGGCTTGAATGCCTGAAATAAGCTTCACCAACAAGCAGAATCCATCCAATTCCTCACAAAGGTAGCTAACCATCTCCTATGGTTCCCTAGACATCTTTAGAAATCTGAATTTACAAAAAGTCATGCCATTCACTTTTTCTGTTTTTGTGTCAAAGACCAGGCCATTATGCCAGTAAGTACAGTAAGACTCAACTGATAGGAGTTATTAAAAACTAACCTATGGTCAGGAGAAGATGCTCAATGGTCTTACTATGGGATTCTGTTTCCCAAGTTCCACAGTAAGCCTGCTGTCATCCTAAGCAGGGTATGAGTGAGGTGCAGAAGTAGCCTGTGGCAGGCAGGTTTATTTCTTTTGATCCTGTAAGTGAACGAGCTACTAAAAATACAACAGGTTTGGAGGCAGATTGGCAGGAACGAGTTATCCATAAAACGGGAGCAAAATGTACATAAAACCAAAAGCTCGAGTCTATGGGAAATCCACGATCATTATACTTTGCTCAGCTCCTACCAACAGGTCTGGGTTGCACGTGGCAGCTCCTCTGTATATGGCTTCAGCTGCCGCTATCAACTGGCAATTAACTCAAATGGCTTTCTTTAGCATGACAGCTGCTTCCCTGTATGGCTTATTTAAATCTAAGAATATACTCTGTACCTTATGTGTGGAGTATTATGGGGCAGTAGATGGAATAAAATAGGCTTATCCTGGGGAGGTAAGGTAGTAACACAAAAATTTAACGGTATTACCATCTTTTAATGCCATCATGAAAGGCCAATACCAAGCAACTTAATCCACTGGGAAAGGGGGGGTAGTGGCTGTGCTGAGCCTTTTGGAATAATGGAGAAGAGCAATGGGATGTGTGAGGAAGAACTGGCCCCCCACCTTGGTAAAAAGACAGGTGCCTGGCCTGCCTGGAGCTGGAGTCCCCAGTCAGGGCAGTCTAAAAGAATGGAGCCCAGGAGTCGGGTTTTGGGGGGTTGAATGCCAGTTCAAACCAATGGGGGCTGCTATGTGATGAACAGCACAGAGCTACGTAGGCAAATCACTCTACCTCAAGCCCGTTTTCTTTTTGGAAAATGAGCAGGATAGCACCTACGCCACAGGACTGTTTGAAACTAAAAGGAGAAAACACATGTAAAAAACCTTGCATGGCACTCGGCACAAAGCAAGCCCCAGATGTTGGCTGGATCTGCCTGTGGATTGCAGTAGGGCCTCTCTTCCTCCGTTCAAGGTTGGAATTTATATATAGTATGATGGCACATACTACAGGCTTTAGAACAGCTGCTGTCAATGAGTTCCTACCATCACAGACGTTGCTGGAATTAACACATGTAAGACTTCTAATCTCACCAAATGTCTGCAAAGTAGGAATAATTATCCCTAAATTACAGTACAAAGGAGGCTCCAGTAAACTGGGTAACTTACCCAGGGACACACCCACCCATTTCACAGGTGAGGCTCTAGAAGAGGCATATAATCAGCTCAGGGGAGTACTTTTTATATTTTACAAATAATTTTATTATGAAGAGTGGCGGAAGTAGTATGTAGATGCCCCATAAAGTATAAAAGAGTCTGCTGATAATAAAATGATTTTATTTTTAACAGCTAAAATAAATTTTAATGTGCATTAGAAAAACTACACATTCCCAAGTAAACTCAGTCTTTCAGATATTATTCAGGATTAAACAAGGCCGCCCCGAGGTTAATCCACTTACACAGACCACGTGTGAGTTACAGCCGGGGTATTCAGGCATGTCCGTGAATATTCCCAACTTGTAGTAACAGAACCTTCAAATACGTCCTCTCAAGCATGGACAGTAGCCTGGGTGTCACCATGCCTCTTCTGCGGGATGGATGGGAAGGTGAATATGGATTACGTGTATGGATTCTCACGCTGCATTTGTATGCACCTTGCAGGAAGATTCGGGAATTCAAGCTGCTGCCTGGAAGCAAGATCTAAGCGTTGCTTCTTACCTAGCGGGGCACTCCAATGCCACAGACAGGGCAGAACACGACTTTTACCCCCTCCTTCTGCAGCATGATTTTAAGAGACAAAACTTATAAGGCTGTTTAAAATGGTAAATCATGTTAGAGACGTTCTTTTTCTTTCCTTGGCTCTGTGAAGAGATGAGTAGTTACCCCGCCTCACACCTGAAGCGTACTGGCTTCTGTGGGTAGCAGTCTTACTTGTCTACTATTCGTTCTGAGGAGTCTTGTCTTTCTGGATGAAGCTTTTAATCTGGTGATCACATACATGATTGGAACTGGCTGTGCAAATGAACTGATAGGAATTTTGCATACATGAGCGAAAAATGTATCCTCACGAGGCAACTTTACATCAGTATTGCACCCTGGAGCTGTGAAGTGTGCTTCCTCGTCATGCTGAGTTTGTTTAGATCTAAATCTCAGAAAATAATCAGCTATCAGTTTACCTCAACAACGCTCTTAAACTATTCTGAACATTAAGAAGAGATTCTTGAAGGACTTGAGAAAACATCTTCAATTATTTTCCCAACCCAGGTGGCAGCAATGAGCAGACAAGGAAGCCTTTCCTTCCATTACTCTGTAGACATTTACAAGTCATCCCAGAATGTGGAGATGTTTCCAATGGCTTCTTGAAAGTTATCCACACTACTGTATTGTGGATTCTCAGTATCTAATTCAAAGAAGTCAGTGGAGACTTTTTGTTGTTTCCTACTATATGTGAGTTAGAATTCTTGGTACTTACCAATGTCAAACAAAAAAGCTGTCTTCTTATTAATACAGGATCTCACCTTTGCCTTAAACTTGGCAATACAAGGCAGATATCCTTTTAGGACTCATGGATCATTAAATAGTTCTATTCTCATTAAATAACTTATTTTCAGGGATATAAAATATTTACTGTGACTAAGTTAAACCTTTTCATTATGTTTCAGCACCCTGATTATGACAAGTGATACTACTTTATTTATAGCAGTGATACAAATGCTCCTGATAACCTTGAGGGCTGAAAAGCTATCCCTTAATGCTACCACTACACTTAGGTGTTACAGGGCAATTCAGTGGGCAACACAGGGCACGAAGGCACTAGAGAGAAGTCACGAAGGCTTCTCCTACTTAAACGTGCTTCCTAATCCAAACATGTTTTAGAGCGGCAATCCCCAGTCGTCTTCGCCACACCAATGCATGGAGGTACTGTGCTCTTCCAGGGCAGGGGTCGGCACAATTTTTCTGTAAAGGCCAGATAGTAAATATTTTCAGCTTTTCAGGGCATATGGTTTCTGTCGCAACTACTCGACTTTGCTGTTGTTGTGTGAAACAGCCATGGATGCCACCTAACCAAATGAGCAGGGCTTGTTTTTGTACATTTTGACTACATACAAAAACAAGGCAGTGGGCTGGCTTTGGTCCGTGGGTCACAGTGGGGTCTGCTGCCCCTGCTCGAGGGAACTGGGGGACCGGGAAAGAGGGTATTACTGAAGGTCATTCTCATCTACCTTCTCACCTTGAGAGTTTCTGGTCTTGAGTAAGGACACATGGGGAGGTGTGGAGAGAATCCTTAAGCATCTCTCCTAAAGAGCATTCACAGAGAATGGGCACAAAGCTCTTTCGGCAGGGAAGATTGTTCTGGGTTCCAATGAAGTTCTTAGTAATATTAAACTAAAATAACTGAATGTAGAACTCTTCCCCTCAACCACAACTTTTTTCCTTACAGAGAATTCTAGGATACAGGGATATATTGCTGAATACCTTAACTATGAGAATTTGTTGCAGAATTAAATTACTCCCACTAGGGATGGAAAGGAGCAGGGGATTGGGAATAGAAAAGGTAGGTAAAAAGTAGCCCCAGCATTCCAGCTTTGAGAAGAGAGAGAAACGACATACAAGTCAACACATGCTGGCTGTGGCTTTCCTGTAGGTTTTTTGGGATTTTTGAGACAAGGTTTCACTTCCATCACCCAGGCTGGAATGCAATGGCACAATCTCAGCTCACTGCAGCCTCCGCCTCCTGGGCTCAAGTGATTCTCCTGCCTCAACCTCCTGAGTAGCTGGGACTACAGGCGTGTGCCACTGAGCTCAGCTACTTTTTACAATTTTTTTTTTGTAGAGATGGATTTCACCACATTGCACAGGCTGATCCTGAACTCCTGACTTCATGATCCGCCCGCCTTGGCCTACCAAAGTGCTGGGATTACAGGCGTGAGCCACCGCACCCAGCATTCCTGTAGTTTTAAAAGAGCTGGGACATAAGAGGAACTGACCTCATGTATTTTGGCATGAGGACACCACAAGCAAAGCTGAGACAGACGGGTGTGTGCGTGTGATATATAACTAACCCTCTACGTTAGAAAGGAGGTTGGGGAAACACTTATCCATCAACGTTGCCTAAATTTCCTCAAAGCTTTTTCTACCTGTAAGTATCCAAGTTACTCTCTGTGGGCCAAAGCAGAAGTCAAAAAATCAGACACTGAATAGTTTGATGAGATGAAGAGACACAGAAAACCCACCAGCCAAAAACAACCCTAACAAATGGAGAGGAATTTCTCAGTAATGCACAGAAACTCTTGAGAAAGGGATAGATAGGGGTGGGATTCTGAAAAGTTTCCAGGAAGAGATGATACATTAGCCACCGGTTCATTATTATACTCAATTAAGATGTATAAAATGTGATTTAACATTATAGTTAGTGTGCTATTTTAAAAATCAGCTTAAAAATATTTGTAAGCTTTTTTTCGGAGGCTTACCTGCAACTCGAATGCCCATCCTTAGCTCTTGTGTTTCTCACACCTTATCAAGATCTGGTCAAGGGCCCCAAAGAAACTAAGGGGAAGGGCCTGATGTGGGCTTATTTTCTGCCAATTCAGATACTTTCCTGTATCAACATATAGGTAGTAGTCTGGTATCTCATATAGCTGAATGGTAATGAGATACTAGCTTTTTACTGAGAAGTGACTTCTTAATTTTAGTGATGAACTTTGTCATCTTCACATCTCCTTGAATAACAACTTTATGGTTAAACAAAACTAGTTTTTCTCTAATTCTCAGTTGCTCCTGAGAGCAAGCCAAGAACATCCAGACAGAACCAGATCTGTCTATATTAATAATACGTTTACTTCCTGTATCATTATTTTAGATTCCAATAATTTTATTCTTTATTTTTTTCACTCCCCTCTCCCTGTCCCAAATATTATACATTTTTAAACTGTTAAGTATGTATTGCAGTCGTCTCCACTGTACGCCCTTTGCTGTTCCAGAGCTTTAAGTGATGTCCAGGTCAACACTACTTACGCCACCGCTGCAGCTCTTTGGATAAACAGAGACAAATGTAAGGATCCGAGAGGCCACTTCCAATGACTGTTACTATCTTTTGCCTCTACAGATCATTCTCTTTTTGTTTTATAAGTTTAGAAATAGAGTATTAAGCACAATGAGAAGTTTGTTTCACTTTCTTCAGTCTCTGTTCATTAATGTCAGGTATCAAACAATCCCTTTCAGACTGGTAAAACTTTAAGAAAAGCCCTTTTCTCTGTGGGAGAAATGACTCTTGGTTTTGGGCCTCTCCATTTATGCAGGACGATCAGAAAGGCACTTCTTTTCCTCACCCATGGCCAGGTGTCTGATACAAGAGATGGCGGCGAGGCCATCCCAGCCAGCATGCAGGAGTGCTGCCGCCTTGTTCCTGCTGTCGGACCTACCCGCTACTCACTAGGCACTGATTTCATCAAACGAATCCCAATTAGCATCAAATTGTGATTTTTTTTTTTCTTAAGAAGTCCAGTGTGTGAATTATGCTGGCCTTCAGAATTCATCGTTATCTTGTACTTTTACACCTGAAGTTTTCATCTGAAAGTGGGCTTTTTGTTTTAATTGTACAAAAATACTGGTGGTTTTTTTTTTTTTTTTTTTTTTTTGAGATGCAGTTTCACTTGTTGCCCAGGCTGGAGTAGTGGCGCGATCTCGGCTCACTGCAACCTCTGCCTCCTGGGTTCTAGCAATTCTCCTGCCTCAGCCTCCCGAGTAGCTGGGACTACAGGCGCCCGCCACCACGCCCAGCTAATCTTTGTATTTTTAGTAGAGACAGGGTTTCACCACGTTGGGCAGGCTGGTCTTGAACTCATGACCTCAGGTGATCTGCCAGCCTCGGCCTCCCAAAGTGCTGGGATTACAGGCGTGAGCCACCGCGCCCGGCCCCAAAATACTGGTTTTTGATTGTACAAAAACCAGCACAAAAATTTAATTATACAAAAATGCTGATATTTTTGATACCCACTCATCTTTTTAACTAGAAGGATTTTTTTAATAATACAATAAGAAATGAACAAACACATCTTGAATTAAGATAAATGAAATTAAGGTATTTTCCTTCTGGTTAAGACTTAGTGCAAGCTGAAACTTGGAGAATGGCACTTTGTTTTTTAAGTGTTCAAAGTAGATTAACTGAGATAGCAATAAGACTTAGACACATTGGTAAGTGACAGCTGTATTCTATTCCTCCTTCTCTCTTTTGTGGTGTAAAGGTGTTTGGTTTCAATGCCAAAAAGGTGCTCTTAGGCACCAAGGAAAAGCACCTTCCATTGGAGCAGGGTAACAGTTCTTAGGTACCTGACCTTTTAGCAGGGAAGGGAAAAAAGCTACAAAGGCTGAGTGCGGTGGCTCATGCCTGTAATTCCAGCACTTTGGGAGGCCGAGGCAGGAGAATCATGAGGTCAGGAGTTCGAGACTAGCCTGGCCAATATGGTGAAAACCCTGTCTCTACTAAAAATACAAAAACAAAGTTAGCCAGGCATGGTGACACACACCTGTAGTCCCAGCTACTCAGGAGGCTGAGGCAGAAGAATCACTTGAACCTAGGAGGCAGAGGTTACAGTGAGCTGAGATCATGCCACTGCACTCTAGCCTGGGTGGGAAAAAAAAAAAAAAAAGACAACATGAAATGGAGGACAAGGGCAATTATGTAAATTCTAGTCAAATCTTATACAGGCCATTACAACCAAGCCTCTAATAAAACCCCGGAGCCTGCCAGGTGCAGTGGCTTATGCCTGTAATCTTAGCACTTTGGGAGGCTGAGGTGGGCGGATCACCTGAGGTCGGCAGTTCGAGACCAGCCTGACCCACATGGAGAAACCCCGTCTCTACTAAAAATACAAAATTAGCCGGGCATGGTGGTGCATGCCTATAATCCCAGCTACTCGAGAGGCTGAGGCAGGAGAATCACTTGAACCCAGGAGGCAGAGGTTGCAGTGAGCTGAGATCGTGCCATTGCACTCCAGCCTGGGCAACAAGAGCAAAACTGTATCTCAAAAAAATAAAACCCAGAAACCCCAGGCAATAGCTCATTCACCAGGGCATGCCAGATACTGTAAAGCTGTAAAAAAAAAAAAAAAAAAAAAAAATTCAGAGAATCCCTTGGAGGTCCACATAACGGAATGGGACCTGTTATTTAGGCTAGAAATATAGAAAGACTTACTCAGACGTCTGAAACTCCAGCTACAACACAGGACGAAGTATCCTGTGAAGAGCATCGTGATGCCACCGAATCCACTCTTCCTTATGGTGGTGTTGCACCTGATCCAGCCTGTTCAAAAGGAAACACGGCTTGTTGTTACAGCAACTGAAACTAGGGCCAGTATCCGCGAGTCATTCAAGTTTTCCCAGTTAGCCTGAGTGATGGAACTGTAATTCAGAGATTTACACGCACATATTTTAAACACATAAAGGCTAACATCAAAGAACCTTAACTTGACTAGATTCAAATTAGTTACTCTTGTTTTGGGTGCTTGGTTAAAATCTTTAGTGGGAGGAGGCTAATACAACTGGTTAACTTGAGGTTTAGAGTTTTTCTGGCTTTGGGAGGAGGCACAATCAATGTGGGCAAGGGAAAGTTGGGGGTAGGTATTAAAAAATACAAGCTGTTGAATAAATGGTAGCTGTTATTAGCTTTGGTGCTTTCAATTATGTCCAACTCCAAAATGAACACAGACAAATGGAAAACTAGGAAGACAACACACATTTTAACATTTTTTTCCTCTCCTCTTTAGCCTTGCTTAACAGCCCGAAGAGAAACTTTTCCAAATGCCCAGAACCTGCAACAGAAGACAACAGTCAAACTCCAGCCTCACCTTTTTGTACAGCTCCCAAGAGCCTCATTAGAGAGAAGTTGGAGGTTGTAAGTCCGGCAGGGGGTTCCAAACTCCTTATATGAGTTGAGCTTCGTTCCAACAAAGAAACTATGGTTCCAAACAGAAGTCACTGTCATTGTTTACCGAAACGTACCCCCTTCCCTAACATCCAGTGCCGAAGGATCCACGGCTAAGCCTCAGGAAGAGCATATTCTAAACAGGTGCATTAAAGATTTCTGCATTGGACTGCAGCTAAGTGTTGAAAGTCAAATCAATTACAGGTTGAAAAAATGTTTTTCAAAAGGCCAAGGGACCCCTGAAAATCAGGGCGTCTACTTGTTTTTTGGTCTGCTGAGTACCCTGGCCAGGTGATTGATGCGCATGTGCTTCATGAAGTGAGTCTCTTACATCATCTTTTTGTTTTTGACACAGTCTCACTCTCTCGCCCAGGCTGGAGTGCAGTGGCATGATCTTGGCTCACTGCAACCTCTACCTCCTGGGTTCGAGTGATTCTCCTGCCTCAGCCTCCCGAGTAGCTGGGATTACAGGCACACGCCATCACGCCAGGCTAATTTTTGTTATTTAGTAGAGACGGGGTTTCGCCACTTTGGCCAGGCTGGTCTTGAACTCCTGACCTCATGTGTTCTGCCCGCCCCAGCCTCCCAAACTGCTGGGATTATAGGCATGAACCACTGCGCCTGGCCTCTTTTACATATTCTATCATCTGCTAAACATGTCAGCTAAAAGCGTGACTTTCTCCTTTTATGATTGTGACTTGCCCACAGTCAACATGCCTGTTCTATCACCCTATCGCTATTATTGGCCAGCAAACATTTCCTATTTATGTTCAGTGCATGAATAACTTAAGCAGAACCAGAAAAGAGGGCTTATGCAGGCCGGGCGCGGTGGCTCACGCCTGTAATCCCAGCACTTTGGGAGGCTGAGGTGGGTGGATCACGACGTCAGGAGATTGAGACCATCCTGGCTAACACTGTAAAACCCCGTCTCTACTAAAAAACAGAAAAAATTAGCCGGGCGTGGTGGCGGGCGCTTGTAGTCCCAGCTACACGGGAGACTGAGGCAGGAGAATGGCGTGAACCCAGGAGGCGGAGCTTGCAGTGAGCAGAGATCGCTACACTGCACTCCAGCCTGGGCAACAGAGCAAGACTCTGCCTCAAAAACAAAAAAAAGAGGGCTTATGCTCCTTAATCACATTTCTCCTGTACATGGTTTTCTCCATGTTTTATGACAGGTAATCTCTACTACTGATAGTTCTCTAGTCTTGGTTTGGTTCATCAAGATAAAGAAGAAATTAAACACCGACAACAGGTTTAGCAAGTGTGGTAAAAGTTGCTGTGGATGTAAAAATATCCAAATGATCATTAAAGAACAATGAAAAGAATCATGCTGGCTTCCAAGAAATTGCACAGAAGATAATTCTCTTGCAAGGTGAAGGTTAGTCTCTTAAAAAAAAAACCCATTCATCTTGGAAAAAATTTGAGGAAAACGGTGTAAAGAGACAACTTCCTGAAAATTGCAACCATGTTGTCAGCAGTGTCAGGATCACGTGGCTCCCTGACCTTGCCCTGCTTTCTCCAGTCAGGTGAGCCTACTGTCCTGACCTGCAGTTAATTCAGTAACTGTTAGCTCACTGGCCCTGCCTTTTAAGTACCAAAGGAATGAGTTGGCTTCCTGAGAAGGGCAAATGACCTATCAAAGGTCTTGCCTGAGTGAGAAAAGGTATAGCCCATTCTCTTGTGCAAAGATTCCAATAAAACTCTAATTTGCAGTCATTGGAGACAGTCATTGCCTGGTGAAATTACAAAGCTTTTTAAGGAGCCAATGGCACCATCTTTTAATCCCTATAGATTGATATGGCCTTGAAGTCCTTGGCCAATGGAGGGATCAGGGCTTGACCTGATCCTAGGGTCTCTCTCCTCTAGTATCTTGTGTTCATTTGGTGGTAACATCAAAGTCTGAACACTGATCCTGGATCCAACTTCAATAGTTTTTCAGTTTATAATAGAAGTAGAGGCCCTATGATGATTACACCTTATTTACTGTCTTGATGTAGAAGTCCCAAACTAAGTACAACATTTATTAGTTACAGACTATGAGCAATAAAAGGGATTAAAATAGTTTCTCACCACTATTTGGAAGGAACTTGTTACTGAAGAAAAAATTCTATTTTCCCTCCTATATCCTGTCTCATAACCTTGGTAATTTAATGTTTTAAGTTACTGTATCTTATTATTGTATTCTTAGGAGCTAACAGTGAAATGTATCAATAACATATCAAACAAGGTATTGACTTCTATCTGTGGTCTTTAAACTCTACTTGAGGCTTACTGTTTGGGAGAGTTAGTAGTTAATACCTCCAGGTTCACCTGACTCTTCTATCTGTGGTCTTTAAACTCAACTTGAGGTTCACTGTTTGGAATAGTTAGTAGAGTCAGACGAACCTGGGTTTGAATCCTGATTCTGTCACTTACTGCATGAACATAGGGAAGTCACTTAATGTCTGAAGCTCAGGCCAGGCCTGGTGGCTCACACCTGTAATCCCAGCACTTTGGGAGGCCAAGGCGGGAGGATCACCTGAGGTCAGGAGTTCGAGACCAGCCTGGCCAACATGGCAAAACCCCATCTCTACTTAAAAAAAAAAAAAATTAGCTGGGCGTGGTGGCAGGCACCTGTAATCCCAGCTACTCTGGAGCCTGAAGCAGGAGAATCGCTTGAACCTGGGAGGTGGAGGTTGCAGTGAGCCGTGATTGTGCCATTGCACTCCAGCCTGGGAGACAGAGCAAGACTCTGTCTCAAGAAAAAAAAAAAAAGATGTCTGAAGCTCAGATTCCTCAAGAGGAATAAGAGGGTGGGACAGTGGTGTCACTCAGAGCTGTTATGAGGATTAAATGACATAATGTATCTAGCATAACGATAGTCATAGTCATCACAGATAAACGTCAGGTCCCTCACTTTTTCCTCTAAAATGAAAAGTGTGTATCAAGGACACTCCTAAGCACTATAAAATGTAGTACAGAAAATACACAAGTCCTTCAATTTGGTAGAGAGATTTATCATGGGGGGAGTGTGTGCATCTGCAACTGAAAAACACAGAAGGCTGGACACGGTGGTTCACACCTGTAATCCCAGCACTTTGGGAGGTTGAGGCGGGCAGATCACCTGAGGTCACGAGTTCAAGACCAGCCTGACCAACACGGAGAAACCCCATCTCTACTAAAAATACAAAATTAGCCGGGCGTGGTGGCGCATACCTGTATCCCAGCTACTTGGGAGGCTGAGGCAGGAGAATCGCTTGAACCCAGGAGGCAGAGGTGAGCCAAGATCACACCACTGCACTCCAACCTGGGCAATGAGCAAAACTCTGTCTCAAAAAACAAACAAACAAAAAAACAAAACACACACACACACAGAAAAGTATGGCACTATAACAAACATGGTTTTAGTTATGGTGTATTTTCTACAACATGGTTTAGTGGAAAAGATTAAACTAGGCCTCAGGAAACTAGGTTCTCCTTGCAGCTCTACTATTTATTGGCAACACAAACTTGGACAAATCACTTATGCTCTCTGTGCCTGTTTCATCATCCACAAAATAGGATAAATTCACTCTGCCCACCTCTCTGTCCACCTTGTGCCCAAAATAAAAAAAATACAGATGGAGGCACTCTGAAAACCACAAAGCAACACAAATGTTAATATAATTAAATGTGTTTATTACGGAGAAGGGGCTTGACTTTGTGACTACAACTTTGTGCAAAAAGGTCTAGACGTTAGGCCTGTTTATAGAAGGTAGTTAAAGAAAATGTAGCTTTGGGCTAGCAATGTTCTGCTTTTAGTACACATCCATTTTGAGACCAGGCAAATAGAGGTTTAGTGAATATGAGATCATTTGCAAAATCTACCAGAGAAGAAAATGATTTCCCTTTAGGAAGAGATAATACCAGTTTTTCTCTTGCAAACCTATTCTGAGTTGTTACAGGTCTCCTGTCAAAATAAGCATGAAAGCACCAATGGCCACTACACACGACAGGTATGCTACTTTACAAACGACAGGTATGCTACTTTACAATCACCCTGCCCCTAGAAAAGCTTAAGAAACTTTATGTATTTTAACTAGAGAGGTGGTCTCATAACTAAAGATGAGATTCAGCAGAGAAAAGCAAAGATATTTCAAATGACTGTCAGGAACTTCCTGGCTCCTTGGGCCTTGGTCTTCCCTCCTGTTAACCGATTCCAGCCATCAGCAAAAGGAGCCTCTAGGAAGCTTCTGAAGTTTGATTCATAATCAAGGTGAGTTTCAACGTTCAGTCTTTCGCCCCAAGCCCTTCTCGCCTCATCTCTCCTGTTTCCAGGCTCAATCACTGGTTTTATTCTTGGGTCCTAGTCTCTGTGGCCTACATTTTTTCTTTTGTTTTTGGCCACATCCTCCGTTTCTGGTCCTTGATCTTCACTGTTCATTTCCTGAGCCTCCACTTCCACTTATCTGCCTTGCCTGCCCGTCTTACCTGGCTAGTTTTACCTGTGTCCTACCACCTGCATCCTACTTTGCTACTCTAAATTCCTAGATGTTGCATTTGCCTGAAACCTAGAACCTATTTCTTGTCCTGTAAACTTAGAACCTATTTCTTGTACAACCTGGTCCTGACTGGATTCTGAACACAGTGCTTATTCTATCTAGCTGAATTTCAAGTCTTTATATTTTTCTCCAGTCTGTTTACCCATCCAGTTTCTACTGGACATGCCTCTTCTCAAGGCAGAAACTCAACTGCTTTCAGTATCGCCAGCCTGCCCTAGTGTAACCCTCAACTCTTGGGGGAGAGAAAAAGAGAGGGATAAACCACCACTACTGACCACTGAAGCAAGAAGTAATGTTTTCAGGACAATTTTTTTTTTTTGAGACAGGGTCTCATTCCCGTCGCCCAGGCTGCAGTGAAGTGGCACATACTCGGCTCACTGCAGCCCTGATTTTCCGGGATCAGGTGATCTCCCACTTTAGCCTCTCAAATAGCTGGGACTACAGGTGCGCCACCACACCCAGCTAATTTTTTGTATCCTTAGTAGAGATGGGGTTTCACCATGTTGCCCAGGCTGGTCTTAACTCCTGAATTCAAGTGATCCACCTGCCTTGGCCTCAGCCTCCCAAAGTGCTTAGATTACAGGTGTGAGCCACTACACCCAGCCTCTTTCAGGACAACTTTATATGCAGTCTACTGGCATGCCTAGGTGAAAATAAACTAAATGACTGAAAATGTTAGTATTTTGACCCTTATAAATTCAAAAGGCAGAGAGAGCATTTTGGATGGGACAGATGGCAATTGAAAATAAGCTTGTTTACCTTGTGAGAGTCTTTCCCCCTGGGGACTGATAAGTTGTGGCTTCTGGGTCATTGCATTCCAACACTGAGGCTTCCCTGGCAACACCCCTAGTCCAAGGTAACCAGGATAGAGCTCTGGAAACCACTCCAGCCCCATGCAGCTGCGAAGAGTCTTCCTGCCAGCAGCTGCAGCATGATTGGTGAAGGGGCTCTGAGGAGTGTGACGCTGGGCTGAACATAAAGGGCTCTGGCACCCAGTGTGTGATGCTTGGAACTGACTATCAGATTTGGGCTCCAGAGATAACTGTCCCTCGGGACTCTCCATTAATGCCTTTACATCAGGGACACAATGATGATTCTGGGCTTCTGCTTTCTTTTCTTGAAGAAATGTTGTAGCTAGAGAGGCAAGACTTTGACTACTTGACTGCGATACAGAATGAAACTGGTAAGTCGTCTCCCTCGGAATGAACAAACTTAAATGTGGTCTTTCCCCTTGAGACTCCTTTCCTGTGACTGAATCCCTGGTGTTGAAGTTCTCACAGCCATGGCTCATGACAGTCCGTTCCTGCTTTTCTGTTGCAGACATACTTTTCTCTGCATTTCCTTTGCTCCCACACGTCTCTACTCCCAGGGTAAGTCCTTTCTCTTGTTTCTCCATGACTTGGATTTTACCTAATGAGCTCATTTTAAGGCTTAAAATGAGGGATTCTGTGTTCTTTTCTGGAGTCTCAGTAACTGTAACATCAGTAGGGACTCCTGAGAGGTGATCCCTGCCTTTGGAATCTCTCTCATTGCTTAATAATGTTCTTACCCTTTTAACCCCATCACTGACATTCTTTGGAGAAATATGACAATCACCAGTAGGCACATCTAGTAATTTTACTAGAAGTTCCTGTCTTTGGGGATCAATTTTGTCCAATTTGAGATCACCAGAGGTAGTTTGTACATCATTAGGTAGAGTTGAGGAATATTTTCTATCTTGATTTGACAAAGAAGGTTCTATTGAGCCAACCAGTAAAGACGCTCCAGCTTCTGAAGGATTACATCGACTTTCTCCTGATTTAGGCAAATCTTTGGCAAGTTCTCTTTTAGGAGAGGTTTTCTCTGATGCGTAAAACTGAGCCTTGGTTTCTTCTTGGAAAGTAGTCATTGGTTTAGTATTTTTTAACATTTTGAAGGATGGTTGGATTGGATTCTTGATGTCTTTATCTGCCTTTGTAGTAGCTGCTCTTTCCAAACCAACAGCTGGCAGTGGAAAGGTCTTCACTGTCTGTTCTGGTTTGTCCACCACCAACTTAGAATTTCTTTCTTCATTCTCTGTCTCTAACTCTTTCCCTTTAGCTTTAATTAAATCTTTGATTGGTCCTTTCATCTTTTTAGCACGTGGGAGTGTAGCTGGCTTGGACTGATAAACTTTTTGATCAGTAGGTATGGTTGGTCCTATCATCTTACAGTATGGCAAGTGGGATTTTAATCGTTTAAATGGCTTCTTACAGTAAGGACACACTTCCATTCTGGGTGGATTATCACTCATCCTATTCCTGAAAAAGGTAAATGTGAGATTATGAGAAGCACATAGTTTGTACATACCAATATTTTACTTATGTGTTGTATCTTTTAAATTCATTTGGAACAAGCTAGATGTTTGCTACTTACGGTTACAGCAAGTCAACTAGTCATTATATGAGTATAAAAAATTGTTTAAAAACCCTTAAACACGTTATTCAAGGACAGAATGGTAAAGAATAAAAAACTTAGGCCAGGAACCAAAGGTTATTTATTTATTTATTTATTTTGGAAACAGAGTCTCACTCTGTCACCCAGGCTGGAGTGCAGTGGCACAATATCTGCTCACTGCAAACTCCGCCTCCCAGGTTCAAGCAATTCTCGTCTCAGCCTCCCAAGTAGTTGGGACTACAGGGGCATGCCACCACGCCTGACTAATTTTTTGTATTTTAGTAAAGACGGGGTTTCACCGTGTCCGTGTTACCCAGACTGGTCTCGAACTCCTGAGCTCTGGCAATCCACCCACCTCAGCCCCCTAAAGTGCTGAGATTACAGGCGCGAGCTACCACGCCCACGCCCAGCCAAAGGTTACTGATTACAGCAGAGGTTTCCAAAGTGATAAATAGAATATGCACTAGGGTGTAAGAAGAAAATATTAGAATTACCACAATCAAAGAATGAGAAATGAAGCTCTACTAACATTTAGTAATATGCATATACACACACACACACACACAGATATACATAAAATGTATGCATAATGCACAAATATATACATGGCCAAGGACACAGTCCTGTTTTTCACTTATACTTTTTTTTTTTTTTTTTTGAGACAGAGTCTCACTCTGTCACCAGGCCGGAGTGCAGTGTCGGCTCACTGAAACCTCCATTTCCCAGGTTCAAGCTATTGTCCTGCCTCAGCATCCCGAGGAGCTGGGACTACAGGCATGCGCCACCACGCCAGGCTAATTTTTGTATTTTTAGTAGAGACGGGGTTTCACCATGTTGGCCAGGATGGTCTCAATCTCCTGACTTCGTGATCTGCCCGCCTTCGGCCTTCCAGTGTGCTGGGATTACAGGCGTGAGACACCACGCCTGGCCTACTTATAGTTTCTAGTACAACAGATTACTGGCAAATTAGTTTGACATCTTTGTTAAACATATACGATGTAAAAAATTAAAAAAAAAACATTTATACCATGTATATTTGTACCTGTTATTCTTTAGAGTCCAGAAAAGAAAATGTTTAATTCCAATGTTTAGTTGAAAGTTATTTCCTTTCTACATCTCTTATTCTTTCTATAAAGTTCCAGAGGGCAGGAAACATATCTATCCTGCACACAGCTGTATGTAAAAACCTAGCACTGAGCCTGGCATACAATATTTGTTCACTTAATTCTTTAGATATAAACGTTTAAATATTATTCAGTACTACAACTGATAATATCTTCTGACTACCAAAGAGATTAAAAAGGGTGACTGAAACCACTTACAAAATAGACACAATCTTCACCAATCCATTCAATAAAGCAACCAACCCACCTTATCCTGTACGAAGTCCTTCAAAACAAAACTGTTTTCTGCCAACAGATTACAGTAATCATTTTTACTTTGTTGTTGTTTGGTCTTTTTTTTTTTGAGATGGAGTCTTGCTCTATCACTCAGGCTGGAGTGCAGTGGCGCGATCTCGGCTCACAGCAACCTCAGCCTCCCAGGTTCAAACGGTTCTCCTGCCTCAGCCTCCCGCGTGGCTGGGATTACTGGGATTAAGGGCGTGCGCCACCACGCCCAGCTAATTTTAGTATTTTTAGTAGAGACGGGGTTTCACCATGTTGGCCAGGCTGGTCTTGAACTCCTGACCTCAGGTGATCCACCCGCCTCGGCCTCCCAAAGTGCTGGGACTACAGGCGTGAGCCACCGCGCCCAGCCTGCTGGGATTACAGGCGTGAGCCATCATTCTTTCTTTCTTTGGAGGTACACACTAACAGGATGAAAGCCACAGACTGTTTGTTTACAATAATACACACAAATGAAGCCAGTCCATGGACCTTCGGCTAACAACGTTAGGAAGGGCTTGACACCTGCTAGACGTTTCTGCCTCCACTCCACCTCACACTCAACCCTACTTGAAAGATCCCGGTACATTCCCACGATAACGTCTATACGTGGGTGTCTGTTTTCTTACCCGAGCTCCTCCAGGAGGATGCTAGTTTTGTGGGTGCTTCTCCCGGATCCCCATGCTTCCCCGATCACCGTTCCCGAGTGTGGCAGAATGAAACGTGAATGTCAGCCTGTGTAGGACACGATCAGACAGGTGACTTGGCAGCATGCACAGTGAGTAAACGCGGCACGATACTGAACCAAATAGAAACACAGGTTCCGGAAAGCAGAGAGTTAAGACCTCCCCAGCCTCCGGGCTCAAGGAGGACCTCAATAGTTCCACTAATCCTCACCCTCACCTCCGGCGCTCTCCAGCCGCCTTTCCCTCCTCCCGCTGCGTTACCAGCCTGCCCACCTCCCCGCACCCTTCCTTTCCCTGAAAGCTGTTCTGATTCTGCCAGCTGTTCTGATTCTGCGGAGTGGATGGGGTCGGCCCGGCAGCTCCTGGGTCAGGGACAGCCGTTCCCGCAGCCCCACCGAGGATTTCCTCCTGCGGTTCCAGGAAGACCCTCCGCCGGCCCCGGCACCCGATTCCCTACCCTCTCCGCTCAGGAGAGTCTCCCCCAGACTTAGAACGTGGGCCGCGGAAAACAAACCCGCCCTTGCAAGCTCCCCACAGAGCACCGTCCTCACCTCGGAAGACCTGAAAGCCCAGGCGGCCCCGGCGACAAGCCCCCCAGGGAAGCCCCCCAGGCCCCTGCCCAACCCCCGGCCAAGGAACCTCGTCAGGCCGTCTGCACCACTGCCGGATAGGTCCGCCTGTTTTAAAATATGTTACACGGATTCAACTCAAATACTTGTATGATATTATTATGACATAATTGAATTTATTTGAAACCTGGCTTGACTTTTATACCGTACCCTCCGTTGGCTGTGAACAGGCGAGCGCTTCTGCCACCCCAGGGGAGGTCCTTTCTCCCAGAAGCTCCTAGTCGCTCCTCCCGCTCCGAGCCCGCCTCTTCCCGTGGGCGGGGTTACCAGTCGGTGCGGTTGGGATGGTGCCACTGCGCAGCCGCGAGAGGGCGGTACCACGGCGGCAGCGACATGGGGGGGCGCGGAGCAGACGCCGGAAGTAGTGGTGGTACGGGTCCGACTGAGGGGTACTCGCCACCGGCTGCGTCCACCCGAGCGGCTGCGAGAGCCAAGGCCCGAGGGGGTGGGCGTGGCGGCCGCCGAAACACAACCCCCTCTGTTCCCTCTCTTCGCGGAGCGGCGCCGCGTAGCTTCCATCCGCCAGCTGCCATGAGCGAGCGCCTCCGTCCCAGGTGAGAGGGAAGGGACCCCCTTTCCATTCGTCGCCTGAGGATCTGGGAGATAGAGCCGAGGGGGCGCGCGAAATGGGGGTCGGAGCAAGAGTGGACCCGGCGGGGCTCCCTGTGGGGTGCACTGCGGGCCGGGGGAGGAGGGGAGAGGGATGCGCGAGTGATCGGATGCTTGGTTCCTGTGGGTAGCTGGAAGGTGACTCTCCGGGGTCCAGGTCTCCCGCCCCTCCATCTTTTTTCCCCCCTGTCTTTTCCTATTTGGAACGAAGTGTGATCGGTCCCGGAAGAGAGACGGTGGCCCTAAAGCTTTCCTGTCCTAAATTTAGGAGGGTGGGGGGATGGGATAAACGTCTCATCTTGGAGAGGGAGCCCCCAAAGGCTTTTGTGAGGGCACCGGGCGGGGAGCTGCCGGCTCCCCAAGGTCAGAAAGAAAGGTTGGGCTTAACCCCGCAGCAGGGAAAGATTCGGTTAGACCGAAGAACTTGTGCCCTGAACGGTTGTGAACACAGAAGGGCAGATGACCAAGGCGGGTTATGGATCTTCTCTTGACTGTGGCATTAAGAACAAGCTGGATTCTAAACTGTTTGGATTGCGGGGCCGTTTGACTCCGAAGGCGGGAGGAAAGATTTTATCGCGATGCACTCGCTACCTTCCCGAGGGAGCCTGGCCTCGGGACGCGGGTCTTAAATTAGGGGTTCTGTGCTTGACATGTACTACTAGAGTCCGGACTAAGTTGGGATTTCTTAATTTTTTTCTCTCTCTTAATTTCCTCTGCAAGAATGTGTGGAGGAGAAAGTTGGGAAAGGTTACCTCAGAATGCTCTTCCTGTTACGGTCTTTCCACAAGGATCCTTCTCTGAAATAATTATTTCATGTGATTGAAGTTCTCAAAAGTATTCTGAGTTTATTTGGTCCCATAGTGAAAACCTAGGGTTCCCCAAGCTGCTGCATTGGATTATTGATTTGGGTCATGTAGCAGGTGGAGCATAAAGCCTCTCCTTGTATAGAAAAGAAGAGTGGACTAAATTTGAAATTGGGGGCCCAATTACAGACATGCCATCGGAATTAGGAGCAAGATCTTTAGATACAGTGAATCTGACCCGACTGCCATATTATTCTTTCCCAAACCCAGTTTATACTTACGATATTCTCTTGGGGTGTCTCACATATCTGAAAAAAAATCTAAATATTTCCTACAAATAAAAATTCTACTGTACATAACTAATCTGAATGCATTTATACTGGCAGTAGATTCCTTTTATCTTGTACACAAATAATCTCAACATGTTTTAAAGAAGTTATTTGATTTGGACAGGCTTTTCCTGCCAGTGTTTAATGGAGTATGATGGGCCAGCTCTGCCAGCTCTAGGATGGTCTAAGACGGTGGTTTTTCGGCTGGGTGCGGTGGCTCACGCCTGTAATCCCAGCACTTTGGGAAGTCAAGGCGGGCGGATCACCTGAGGTCAGGAGTTGGAGATCACTCTGGCCAACATGGTGAAACTCTGTCTCTACTAAAAATACAAAAAAATTAGTTGGGCCTGGTGGTGGGCACCTTCATCCCAGCTACTTGGGAGGCTAAGGCAGGAGAATCGCTTGAACCTGGAAGGCGGAGGTTGCAGTGAGCGGAGATCACTGCACTCAAGCCTGAGCAACAAGAGCGAAACTTCCATCTAAAAAAAAAAAAGGGTTTTCAGGCTCTCCCACAGTAGATTGGATAGCCGCAGAGAGGTGAGTGTGTAGTGAGGGAGTCCCTGCTTATTGATTGATTGATTGGTTGATTGATTGACTGATTGATTGACAGAGTCTCACTCTGTCGACCAGGCTGGAGTGCAGTGGCCCCATCATGCCTCACTGCAGCCTCAACCTCCCAGGCTCAGGTGATCCTCCCACGTCAGCCTCCTGAGTAGCTGGAGCACAGGTGTGAGCTACCACACCCAGCTAATCTGTGTATTTTTGGTAGAGGTGGGGTTTCACTATATTGCCCAGGCTGGTCTTGAACTCCTGGGCTCAAGGGATCCACCCGCCTCGGCATCCCAAAGTGCTGGGATTACAGATGTGAGCCACCTCACCAGACTGGGAGTCCCTACTTTAACAGATCCTTTATCTCTTATATAGAGAGAATTTTTTTACAGTAAGAAAGAAAGAGTTCTGTTACTTTTTAAAATAAAGTTTGAAAACCACTAGTTTCCATACTCTTTTTTTTTTTTTTTTTTTTTTTTTTTGAGATGGAGTCTCACTGTGTCGGCCAGGCTGGAGTGCAGTGGTGCGATCTCGGCACACTGCAACCTCTACCTCCTGGGTTCAAGCAGTTCCCCTGCCTCAGCCTCCCAAGTAGCTGGGATTACAGGCACACGCCACCACGCCCTGCTAACTCTTTTGTATTTTTAGTAGAGACAGGGTTTCACCATGTGGGCCAGGCTGGTTTCGAACTCCTGACCTCAAGTGATCTGCCTGCCTCAGCCTCCCAAAGTGCTGGGATTACAGGTGTGAGTCACCGTGCCCAGCCCATACTCTTAAGATTATTTCTATGCCGAGTCTCTAGGAGATGACAGGAAGGTTGGAGAGAAATGAAATAATGCAACGTGATGGAATCAACCATCTGTAGAAGTAACAGATGCTAACTGGTAATCTGCACCTAGATGGTTAGGGAAGAATATAATCAGTTATAGGGGTGCCTGCTAAAATCATAACCTGGTCTGTGGCATTAATGCCAAAAATTGTAATCTGATTGATTGAACTGATAGGGATGAGCATGAAGCTGTAATCTTGCCAGTTGTTAACACCATTGTTGAAAGAAGAATGTTTCAAGGATGAGATCTGCTAAGAGCCTAGAAAAAGGCAAATGAAGAGCAGGTAGGACTCTTTCTTAATCTGGTACCATCCAGAGGAGAAGGCTACCAACAGGCCAAAGAGATTATTCTGGTGCCTTGAGAGATCAAGTAATTTATGAGGCAGGGATATTTCATGTGACTCTCCCAGAGATTAGTTGAAATCCACAAAATCATCTCATCTTTTTTTGTTCTTACAGTCCCTCTGCCATGCAACCTCCTTGACATTCATAGTCTTGTCCCTGGAAAGATCTATCCCCCATTATAAATGAGGAGATAGCAAATTTTGATCAGGCTCCTAAGTTTGGTTAGAGTGACTCAGCAGCCCAAAGCCCAGTCAGCTGTTGGCACGCTGATAAAATGGGTGTGTGAGGACCAGCAGCTGCTACTTACTCAATGACTTTCTCTTTGGGTGTCGACTGGCCTCCCAGCAGACATTGCTTTGCCTCTGCAGAACACTCCCACTCAAATTCCCTGATCATATTAGGATGAAATTAGCAGTTTCTTGGTTCAAATTTATGATAAAAGCACACCCATTTAATGATTATTAAAACCTGATATTCATCTATTTTTTTTTAACCTCCAACTACTTCAAAGTAATGTGCAGCTAAGATCTGATCTCCTAAGAGAAAGGTGGGGAGCAGAAATGTCTTAGAATGAAGTAAATTACATAGCCCAGTGCAGGATGGTTGAAGCTTTATCAGAACCACACACTCTTTATTATTCCAAACTTAAGCTGGGATCCATACTCATTATTAAAGTTAGACCTATTCAGAATGTTGCAGAGTACAGAGAAGTGAGCTTAGGGTGATCATTTATTTTCTCTAATATTCAAACCTCAACTCAAAACCTTTAGGATTAAAGGCCTGCCACTGTAAGCCACCCTACTCTCATAGAAAGTGTATAATTATTTAGAAGACACTATATCCTCCAAATGTACATGCTTTCCAAGAGCTGTGTGTCCACACTAGCCTTTTGTCTCTTAACTATAGAAAGCTGAAACTTCAAGGGTTTTGTAATAGGTGCTGCTGCCATGTACATACAGACCTCTAGCCTGTGCTGCTCCGGAGAACGTTCTGCAGTGACGGAAATGTCCTTTATCTGTGCTGGTCAGTGCAGTAGCCACTAGCTACACGTGGCCACTGAGCACTAGAAACAGGGCAGCTGTGACCTAGGAACTGGATGGTTAATTTTAGTTAATTTAAATGTAAATAACCATATGTGGCTAGTGGCTACCGTATTGGACAGTACAGTTCCGGGCAATTTGACTGAAAATTATACCTCCTTTAATTTATTTCTGTTTTCTAACAGGTTCAGAAATCGTTTTGACAGCACATAATTCTTAAATAGAGTACATGCAAATTTGGTCTTTCTTGCATGTCCGAGAACACTTGCCTAAGAAAGATGTGTGATTTTTCTTTAAACCTGGAAATTTTAAGCAGCTTATGCTATCATCTCATAGTAACAATCTAGTGAAGTAATTGTTATATCATAATACCGGCTAGTGTTGCCAGAATAAGCAGGTGAATGTGACCAAGAGGTACTTTTATAAGGGTTTTCAGGGCAAATAGGCAAAGGCAGCCACTCTTATATCAAATGTTGTCATATGGAAGGGAGTACAATTAGGTAACTCGGAATCCTAATTTCAGGGAGTGTAAAAAGAAGAAAACCTTAATTAGGTTAGAGGTTGAAAGCTTAGTCATTAACCTCTTCCTGTTCTTGTTTCAGTCCCAACAGACATTTAAAATTGTTAAGCTTCTTTTTAGAAATGAGTTTTACTAACTTAAGCTTGACCTCGCTGCTGCTGTCTTGTATTTTTGCTCTTAGTGTCCAGTGATGCTGTACTTCCAACTGATAACCTATTGGGATATCATATGCTGAATTATGTTTTCTCAGGCCAGAGGGCAAATTTATATGTTGTTATGGTTTGCAATTCAAGTGTCCAAAACATCGGTTGTTTGGGTTTTTTTTTTTTTCTCCTTGTGATTTAATTTCAGGAAAAGGAGAAGGAATGGCAACGAAGAAGACAACCATCTTCCCCCCCAGACCAAAAGAAGTAGCAGAAACCCTGTCTTTCAGGATTCCTGGGACACAGAGGTAGGAAGTGTGGTCACATAGTCTGTTGTTTTCACTGCTTGAGTTAAATAACCTAGTATCTGCTGTGTAATTAAATTTACTTAAACAGTAATTTAAAATGACCTTAGTTGATTATACTGGTTTAACCTTTCTGTTTCCAAATCAGGGTCCCTTTGAGGAAGCTGTGTACCCTGTCCCCAGCAAAACAGTACATATGTGCACATAGTCATATATGTACACACTCATTTGTATTTGTTAGAAATTTCGTGGCTTTTTGAAAGCCTATGTTTGAACTCACTGTTTTGTATTTCAGCAGCGAACTTCTTTTCTGGTAGTTTATAAACCATGAATTGTCCTTAAGATAAACATATTTTGTTGCTTCAATTCAAATGCCTTTTAAGAGAAACTTTAAGCATGTAAAATATGTAAGGTATGTGTATGCAGAATCCCATTTCTCAGTGTTTTTACTTTTCATTATCTTGTTGTGAAAAGAGCTCCTGTGGTGAGAGGGAAGGGGAGTTGGGTGTTCTGGAACTTTTTTACAATTTTTGATTTCATGAAAGAGTGCTTCAGTACGCAGACTGAGGATACATTTTCTGTGCAATTGGAAGGCTGCTCTGTGCTGGGGAAAGGAAACCAATATAAAGTAATGCTGCTATTAAGTTATGCACCTAGAGATTTTGACCCTTAACAGTTGTCACACTAAGAGAAAAGCCTCAACAACAAAGAGCCCTAGCCTCATAACTCACAGTAGAATTCTCCCACACCCAAATAATTTGTACTTTAATTAGTTCCTGATAATAGGATTTGACCTATATCCAGTCTGTCTTTGCCAGCAATTCAAAGTAACTCCCCCAAGGGGGAAAAATCAGGAACTTTCATGTAGGTAACAGTCATTCAGAGACAGTGAACAAGTGCAGAGTAGAATCCTTCTGTGTGGAGACCTGAGTTTCTATAGCTGTTTTTCCTCTTCAAATATTTTCCTGGCCGAGCGCAGTGGCTCATCCCTATAATCCCAGCCCTTTGGTAGGCCAAGGTGGGCAGATCACGAGGTCAGGAGTTCGAGACCAGCCTGGCCAACATGGTGAAACCCCATCTCTACTAAAAATACAAAAAATTAGCTGGGTGTGGTGGTGCACGCCTGTAATCCCAGCTACTTGGGAGGCTGAGGTGGGAGAATGGCTTGAACCCAGGAGGCAGAGGTTGCAGTGAGCTGAGATCGTGCCGTTTTACTCCAGCCTGGGCAACAGAGCAAGACTCCGTTTCAGAAAAAAAAAAAAAAAAAATATATATATATATATATTATATATATATATATTTTTTTCCTATTTGCTTTTTTCTTTTCTTTTTAAAAAATGATTATCAGAAAGGTAATTGAGCTTTGTTTAATGTAATAGTTGGGAATCTCAGGGATGAAAGAAAACAAGATTAGAGGCTACCATGAATATCTAATGATAAAACCCTGTAATAGTAATTGAGTTTCCATTCTTTTGAATTGTAAGACTATTCATTAAAAGAGTATGCAAAGATTACTTCTATGGTGTTGGCCATCAGTATTTCCTTACTTGTGTCTGTATGTAAGTCCTGCTATATGATGTTCATTTCAGTCAAGGGTATGGTAGGTCTAACTCTCTGTATTAACGTTTTTTTCCCGTATCTGCCAGTTTTGAAGCCTGAGAACAGCAATAGAAATTGCCATCTTTTTCTTGCTTTTGTCTCTTGGTTAAAAAAAAAGAAAGAAATTGTCATCCTTTTTTAAAAAAATTAACATTTCTGATCTCTTAAGTAAGGCAGATATTGTAGATTTTTAAATTTTATTTATTTATTTATTTAGTTTTTGGTACAAAATGACCTTTACTCTCTTTCTAAAATCCGTGCATTGGTCTCACAGAAGAAAACAACGTCTTGTTACTCAACCTCCTGGGTTCTCTAGCTGAGCTTGTCCTTACTTGTCCAAAGAAATTCAGTTGTTGAGCCACTCCGTAATCATTATCTGAAGGAAGGACTAGATTGTCTTCCTTATCGTTTAAGGTCATTACTGGTAGTTTCTGTCTGAACTCACTGGTAGATCACCTAATGGGGTGTTACAACCATTAGTTTCAGCCTTGCTTACTGAACATTGACCAGAATAGCCTGCTGTGCCGTCCTGTGCTGTCCTGTCCTGTCCTATCCTATGCTGTCCTGTCCTGTCCTGTGCTGTGCTGTGCTGTGCTGTGCTGTGCTGTCCTGTCCTGTGCTGTGCTGTGCTGTGCTGTCCTGTCCTGTCCTGTCCTGTCCTGTCCTGTCCTGTCCTGTCCTGTGCTGTGCTGTCCTGTCCTGTGCTGTCCTGTCCTGTCCTGTCCTGTGCTGTGCTGTGCTGTGCTGCGCTGTGCTTCCTGGCAGTGGTATTAACAAGTAACAAGGACAAGTGAATGATGAGAGAGCCAGAGAAGCAAAAGGCAGAGGGAATATCTTTTAAAATGGAAAGTTAAGCCCCAAATAATGAAGTTTTCACTACTGGAATAAATGATTATGTTTGTAGCAGCAAAAAATCAAGTTTAGGGACATTTGGCTGGTTTTTGATGATTGTGTATAAAAGGGAAAATAAAACAATTCATTTTTAATTATATTAACAATTTAGACAAAATATTTTATTAATAACATTACTAATGAAAATGTTTTCTTTTAATTCTGAGGTAGGGCCATGAGGTCAGTTTCCTTGAAACTTAAGTTATGTAAGAGAAACCATTTCCTATGTTTTCCCTGAATGAATAAGCTTTGTCACCCAGACTGGAGTGCAGTGGTGTGATCTCAGCTCACTGCAACCTCTACCTCCCAGGCTCAAGCAATACTCCTACATCAGCCTCCCAAGTAGCTGGAACTACAGGCACATGCTACCATGCTGGGTTAATTTTTTAAGGTTTTTTTTTTTTTTTTTTTTTTGGAGAGACGACGTCTCACTATATGGCCCAGGCTGGTCGTGAACTCTTGGGCTCAAGCGATCCTCCCACCTCAGCCTCCCCAAAATGCTGGGATTACAGACTTGAGCCACCATGCCTGGCTAGAATTCCCTTCCTTCCTTCCCTCTGTTCTCCCCTCCCCTTCTCTCCCCTACCTTCTCATCCCCTCCCCTCCACTTTCTTCTCTTCCCCTCCTTCCTCTCTTCCTTTCTCCCTCCCTCCCTTCTTCCCTCCCTCCTTTCCTTCCTCCCTTTCTTTCTTTTCTTTCTGGCAGGGGCTCCCTCTGTTGCCCAAGCTGAGTGCAGTGGAATGATCATGGTTCACTGTAGCCTCAACCTCCTGGGCTCAAATGATCCTTCCTCTTCAGCCTCCTGAGGTGCTGGGACTACAGGGATGTGCCACCAAACCTGGCTAATTTTTTTAATTTTTTGTAGAGACAGGGTCTTGCTGTGTTGCCCAGGCTGGTCTTGAACTCCTGGCCTCTGACCCTCCTCCACTGGGCCTGGCCAAATTCTTTTTCTTATTTTCTTTTTTTTGTTAACCTGGCTGTTTAAGAATTCTTTTTCTTATAACTTGAACTTCATGAGGAATTTTTTTTTTAATTCTAAGAGAGATTTAAAAGTTACTTACAATTCATTTCTAAAAGTTAACCTTTTTGCTTAAGTACAATAATAATGGCGAGTACTAGGAAATATGTGAGGTGTTTTATTTATGTTAAACCATTAAATTGTGCCACAAGTAAATCACAACTATCTGTACAGTGGAGATAATAGTATCTGCCTCTTCTTTCCTAGATACTATAAAGCTAAATAATGTGAACTGATTTGCCGGATTAGTTATATAGAGAGAAACTTCATGTGTGCATAAATTAATGTGTGCATAAATGGCTTCTTTCCCCCATTTTATTTTTTTATTGTTTATTGTTTTTTGAGAGGGAGTTTCACTCTTGTTGCCCAGACTGGAGTGCAATGGCGCAATCTCGGCTTGCCATAACCTCTGCCTCCTGGATTCAAGCGATTATCCTGCCTCAGCCTCCCGAGTAGCTGGGATTACAGGCATGTGCCACCACACCCTGCTAATTTTGTATTTTTAGTAAAGGCAAGGTTTCTCCATGTTGGTCAGGCTGGTCTTGAATTCCTGACCTCAGGTGATCTACCTGCCTTGGCCTCCCAAAGTGCTGGGATTCCAGGCGTGAGCTACCGTGCCCAGCCTGTTTTAGTAGGTATTATTATCTCCACTTCTCAGATGGAAAACTTGGCACACAGAAAAATAGTCACTTGTCCAAAGAACACAGCTAGTAAGAGGCAGAGGAGGAACGGAGCCCCAGGGTGTGGTTGTTGGGCTGCACGCTCCTGACCATGGTGTGTGCTCTCCCAGAAGATAGAACAGAGGTTCTGCGAGACTTTGCTAAATATATCCAGGAGCAGCTAGAGCCTAGTCTTCTCTTTTTTTTTCTTTTTTTTTTTTTTTGAGACAGAGTTTCGCTCTGTCACCTAGGCTGGAGTGCAGTGGCATGATCTCAGCTCACTGCAACCTCCACCTCCCAGGTTCAAGTGATTCTCCTGCCTCAGCCTCCTGAGTAGCTGGGATTACAGGCACCCGCCAGCTCGCCCAGCAAATTTTTGTATTTTTAGTAGAAATGGGTTTCACGATGTTGGCCAGGCTGGTCTCAAACTCCTGACCTTAGGTGATCCATCCGCCTTGGCCTTCCAAAGTGCTGGGATTATAGGCGTGAGCCACCGCGCCCAGCCCTAGTTTTGTTTTGAGTCAGGAACAGAGAAGAACAATTTTCCTTCTCTTTTTATCTAGAAGCTGTTTTTTCCAAGTACATGGCATGATATGATCTTAGCTATAAAGCAATTTTAGATTTCTAGCAAGAAAAAAAACAAAAATGTGGTCTTGTGTTTTTTTTTTCCAAATCTCTGATTAGTGCTTGAATTGAAGACTTTGAATTTTAACTCCAGTAACTTGGACTTAATGACTTATGAGCCTTAGAATACTATTTTTTTAAGTTGAAGTATTTACTAATTTAATTTTTTTTTTTTTTTTGAGACAGGGTCTTGCTCAGTTGCCTAGGCAGGAGTGCCGTGGTGCTGTCATGGCTTACTGCAGCTGTGAACTCATGGGCTTAAGCACTCCTCCCTGCTCAGCCTCCCAAACTACAGGTGTGCGCCACTACACCTGGCTAGTTTTTTTTTTTTTTTTTTTTTTGAGACAGAGTCTCGCTCTTTCCCCAGGCTGGAATGCAGTGGCGCATCTCAGCTCACTGCAGCCTCCGCCTCTGGGGAGGGTTCAAGCAATTCTCCTGCCTCAGCCTCCCGAGTAGCTGGGACTACAGGGGACCGCCACCACGCCCAGCTAATTTTTGTACTTTTAGTAGAGACGGGGTTTCACCATGTTGGCCAGAATGGTCTCGATCTCTTGATCTCATGATCCGCCCGCCTCGGCCTCCCAAAGTGCTGGGATTACAGGCGTGAGCCACCGCGCCCGGCCCACCTGGCTAGTTTTAAAATTTTTTTTGTGGAGATGGGGGTCTCCTCATGTTGTCCAGGCTGATCTTGAACTCCTGGGCTCAAGCAATCCTTCCACCTTGGCCTTCCAAAGTATTAGGATTACAGGTGTGAGCCACCATGCCCAGCCTAATTTTTTGTTTCGTGTAAAGCCATTCTAGATGAATCACATTAGTTAACATCTATCTCAGGCTCAGTTTTCTCTTCACTGAGCAAGAAGTGAAATGATTTTATCAATTTTTTTCTATCAAATCCTGATCTTGGGCAACTATTTGGATGGGTAAAAACTACTTAGATTTAACTTAAATTTTTTTTTTAGGGTCTAGTCTTTTTAGGTTGAATTCTATTATTTACATGTAGAAGGAGTAATGTTCTTTACTTTCAGTTTTAATATCTTTATCTACAAATTACACTAGAAGTTTCTGTGTAAATCTAGCTTCTGTTACCTAGGTATATGCCTTGTAAAAAGTGCTTCTACTTGAGTAAATAAAAGCAGTATCTTCTCATCCTTAGGAGGGAAGAAATTAAAATCTAAATTTGGCTGGGGCCCGGTGGCTCATGCCTGCAATCCCAGCACTTTGGGAGGCCAAGGCGGGCAGATCACGAGGTCAGGAGTTCGAGACCAGCCTGACCAACATGGTGAAACCCCGTCTCTACTAAAAATACAAAAATTAACCGGGCGTGGTGGCGCGTACCTGTAATCCCAGCTACTCAGGAGGCTGAGGCAGGAGAACTGCTTGGACCCGGGAGGCGGAGGTTGCAGTGAGCTGAGATTGCACCACTGCACTCCAGACTGGGCGACAGAGCGAGACTCCATCTCAAAAAAAAAAAAAAAAAAAAAATCTAAATTAAAAAAAAAGCAATACCTTTTAAAAGTACAAAGACCTCAATTTTTTTTAATACCTTTAACTTAGCTTAACAAGACCATTTTGATTTTTTAGACCAGTGTGAAGTAATATCAGATAGAGAGTGAAAAAATGTGGAGATAAAACAGAAGTGGCTGCCGGGCCATGTCTATAATCCCAGCACTTTGGGAGACAGAGGCAGGTGGATCACCTGAGGTCAGGAGTTTGACACCAGTTTGGTCAACATGGTGAAACCCCGTCTCTACTAACAATACAAAAATTGGCTGGGCGTGGTGGTGCATGCCTGGAGTCCCAGTTACTCAGGAGGCCTAGGCAGGAGAATCACATGAACCTAGGAGGCGGAGGTTGCAGTGAGATGAGATCGCACCACCGCACTCCAGCCTGGGTGACAGAGCGAGTCTCCATCTCAAAATAAAAAACAAAAAAAAGAAGTGGCTTACCTAGGACAGCTTCAGCCCCTTTGTCTCTACTAGAAGGCAAAATTTTTGATGTTAATATTAAAATCCTAAGGGAATTCTTAGTGGGAATGCGGAAGTGTGAGAAATTAAAAAAGAATAGAACCAGGGGATCCATTTATCATAAAGTTAGGAGTCTATAAATTCATTTGTTTTAACTGATAAGAATTAGCTGAGTGTTGGGTGATTTTTTAAAAAATAATGTGAATTCATATGACAATAGGAGTATTTAGAATAATTTTTTTAAATGTTATTTTAAGCTCTTCATTCTTGCCCATTCTCATCTTTAATCCGTCTTAGAGTTGTAGTATTAATACATTCTAAGAGACAGACTGATTTGGCCGACTCTTTTCAGTGAAACTGTTAGGATTGTGTGTTTAGAACCCTGTAGCAAATTAACTCTGAAATTAAGTTTTGTTTTTTTTTTTTTTCTTTTTTTGGAGACAGGGTCTCACTCTGTCTCCCAGGCTAGAGTGTGGTGGTATGATCATGGCTTACTGCAGCCTTGACCTCCCCAGGCTCAGGTGATCCTCCCACCTCAGCCTCCTGAGTAACTGGGACTACAGGCGCGCACTGCCATGCCCAGCTTATTTTTATATTCTTTTTGTAGAGACAGGTTTTCACCATGTTGCCCAGGCTGATCTCGAACTCCTGGACTCACGTGATCCACCTGCCTCGGCCTTCCAAAGTGCTAGGATTATAGGCATGAGCCACCATGCCTGGCCTGAGATTAATTTCATTTTTTTTTCTTTTTTCTTTTTTTTTGGAGACAGAGTCTCGCTCTGTTGCCCAGGCTGGAGTGCAGTGGTGTGATCTCCGCTCACTGCAAGCTCTGCCCCCCAGGTTCACACCATTCTCCTGCCTCAGCCTCCCGAGTAGCTGGAACTACAGGCGCCTGCCACCACACCCGGCTAATTTTTTTGTATTTTTAGTAGAGACGGGGTTCCACAGTGTTCGCCAGGATGGTCTCAATCTCCTGACCTCGTGATCCACCCACCTCGGCCTCCAGAGGACTGGGATTACAGGCATGAGCCACCGCGCCCAGCCGAGATTAATTTCTTAAAAGATCCATTCAAAAGGGAGGAACAGTGCTGTTAGTCTAATTTATAGAATACATTTACTTTGCTTACAGTTTAAGTCCTTGATATGTTTGTAAATACCTCAATTCACAGCATACTAAGCTACCCCAAGCAGTTTCGTCGTTTTTTTTTTTTTTTTTTTTTTGAGACGGAGTTTTTCTCTTGTTGCCCAGGCTGGAGTGCTATGGCACAATCTTGGCTCACTGCAACCTCTGCCTCCCGGGTTCAAGCGATTCGCCTGCCTCAGCCTTCCGAGTAGCTGGGATTACAGGCAATGCACAACCACACCTGGCTAATTTTTTGTATTTTTTTTTTTTGAGACGGAGTCTCGCTCTGCCATCCAGGCCATAGTGCAGTGGCATGACCTCGGCTCACTGCAAGCTCCGCCTCCCAGGTTCATGCCATTCTCCTGCCTCAGCCTCCCAAGTAGCTGGGACTACAGGCGCACGCCACCACGCCTGGCTAATTTTTTTGTATTTTTAGTAGAGACGGGGTTTCACCGTGTTAGCCAGGATGGTCTCTATCTCCTGACCTCGTGATCCGCCCGCCTCGGCCTCCCAAAGTGGTGGGATTACAGGCGTGAGCCACTGCGCCTGGCCATTTTTTGTATTTTTAGTAGAGACGGGGTTTCTCCATGTTGGTCAGGGTGGTCTCGAACTCCCGAGCCCAGGTGATCTGCCCACCTCAGCCTCCCAAAGTGCTCGGATTACAGGCGTGAGCCACCGCGCCCGGCAGCAGTTTCTTATTGAAACAGAATGTTAAAATCTGTTATTAAGTACTGAAGATATACACATACACATCTTTTTCTACTGCTGGGCCTTATTTTTTGGCCTGTTGAAATGGAAACAAAGTGAAAGTGATACTAATAATACAGTATTTCCATTCAGAAGGAACTTTAAACACATTGTGTGGTCCAGTTTCACCTTATAAGGGTAACAAAGGTATAGAAAGGATGTTATTTATTCATGGAGACAGAAAAGTTATCACCTGCATTTTCTTTCCTTGCTTATTTATAAAGTGGTTTTAATTAACCCACTGAGTTCATTTGGAATCTTGTGTCACCAATATTGGTAGATCTGAAGTTTTCTGAAATTATTGGACACTTTGGAAGCACAAAATTTTACATTAGATGCTCTGATAGACTTGGCTGGGATCATCTCTTGCATTTAATCCAGATTCTGTGGCAGCCTTAGAATGAAAATGAGCTTCATCATGACTCCAGAGATGGAGTATATACTATGGGTAAGATTCCTCTTTTAAGGTTCACATTAATTGAAAGCACCATTGAAAGAGGGGATGGAGGTAAGGGGAAGCTGGGGCTTGACAGAAAATAAAATACTACATTGATCTTTTATTTTCTTTTTGGAGGTAGAGTCTCGCTCTGTCGCCCAGGCTGGAGTGCAGTGGCGTGATCTCAGCTCACTGCAACCTCTGCCTCCTGGGTTCAAGCAATTCTCCTGCCTCAGCCTCTCAAATAGCTGGGACTCCAGGCGCACGCCTCCACGCCCGGCTAACTTTTTGTATTTTAGTAGAGACAGGTTTTCACCATGTTGCCCAGGCTGGTCTCAAACTCCTGAGCTCAGGCAATCCACCTGCCTCAGGCAATCCACCTGCCTCGGCCTCCCAAAGTGCTAGGATTACAGACATGAGCCACTGCGCCTGGCCTTTATTTTTTATTTTTTATTTTTGAGGCAGAGTCTCACTCTGTCGCCAGGCTGGAGTGCAATGGCACGATCTCAGCTCACTGCAACCTCCGCCTCCCAGATTCAAGTGATTCTCCTGCCTTAGCCTCCCGAGTAGCTGGGACTGCAGGTGCACGCCACCACGCCCAGCTAATTTTTGTATTGTTAGTAGAGACAGGGTTTCACCATGTTGGCCAGGATGGTCTCGATCTCTTGACCTCGTGATCCACCTGTCTGGGCCTCCAAAGTCCTGGGATTACAGGCATGAACCACCACACCTGGCCTTTTTTTTTTTTTTAATTGAGATACAGTCTCACTCTGTCCCCCAGGCTAGAGTGCAGTGGCACATTCTCAGCTCACTGCAACATCTATCTCCTGGGTTCAAGCGATTCTCCTGCCTCAGCCTCCCAAATAGCTGTGATTACAGGTGCTTGCCATTATGGCTGGCTAATTTTTGTTTTGTTTTGTTTTGGTTTTTTGTATTTTTAGTAGAGATGAGGTTTCACCATGTTGGCCAGGCTGGTCTCGAACTCCTGGCCTCAACTGATCCACCCGCCTTGGCCTCCCAAAGTGTTGAGATTACAGGCATGAGCCACTGGGCCCAGCCCTGCTTTTCAAATTAAGAAGAGAAAGCATTTGGTTCTAGATAATATACACATAGCTCTCTTTTTATGAAGTGGAATGGCTTAGTGATTAATATTTCTGTCTGAGGTGGGGGTGCTTTCTTAAGGTTATTAGTAGAAATGGTGTTTGGAGTTGTTTAGTTTCTGCCATGGGTATAAGTGAGTTGTCTCTTAAACTGACTTTGCACACTGGAAAAATAAAATGAAAGGCAGGCCTGGCTGAGAGACCAGAGCTTCTGTGCCCTTTGATGTATCATTTGAGCCCTTTGGACTAAGAAAATGAACTTCAACTTCCCCGTCCTCTGCTTCACAATTTAGTTATATCTAGCCCTTCTGCCAAAGAGAGTAGTGTGTCCTTCTGCCTTTTTGCTCTATATTCTCTCAAGACTCCTGAAAGCTTTTTCTAGTATTTCTCCCTTCTTTTCGGCTCTTCAGATTCCTTTTACCCACTGTTTCTTTCCCTGGCCTGCTAGTGGGCTCTTTTCCCCACTCACCTCCTCTCTGCCTTGTTTTCCCCTCAGCTTCCTGTGTGCCTTCTCCCTCTCCCTCCCGCCAGTCACCTTCAGTTGCCTGCAGCCACTGCTGGGACTTTCTCATCGGCCTTCCCTCCCTTACTCTCTGGATCCTGGCTTCCTCCTTGACTCTATTCAAACTTTTTGCCAGGCTCACCAATGGTCTTTCCATTCAGCAAACAGTTCCCAAACACCTGCTGTCTGCCCAGCACTGTCCTGATGCTCGAGTACCCTATGTCTTCTTCCTCTCCTTCCGGAGTTCTTTCTGTCCTCCTCGGGGGTGGTGCGTGTTCTCCTTCCTTGTCATTTCCACAGTCCTCCTGGGCCTGCCTTCCTGCTTGTTGTATTAGGAAAGCTCCCAGTAGGGCTCTGCTTTCAGATCCTTAACCTCATTCATCTCCCACAGATTCCTAGGATCCCCACTCGTAAGTATAGACCTGAGCCAGTCTTCCATGCTCAGGACCCACCTGTTCCTGCAGCCCTCATGGCTCTTGATAATCTAGCCATCACCTCTTGTGCAGTTTCCCTCTCACTCACTCCTGTCAAGGGCCCACCCACACCACACCTTGCTTTTCTGAGTTTGCTCTTGTTCCCATTGGTCATACCCTGCCTGTGAAAATTCTTCCTTATCCTCCTGGGCCCAGCTGAGACACCATTCATGTTAAGGATCCTCTCCTAGTACTCAGTCAGCATCCATTGCTGGATTCCCATCACCACAGTAGCTGTGAACTGTTGTTACCAATGGGTATGGTGCCACCATTTTCTTGATTCAGCTCAGTAAATATTTACTGAATGCTTCAGCAGCCCTAGTGGAACGCCTTGTACATAGTAAGCACACAAACATTTCTTTGCCCAGTGGTTGGATGTGAGAACAAGCTGCACCTTCCTTTTGCCAGCATGGTGCTGAGGTGGGGCCCTGGCATTTACACTTTAAAAAGCCCCTAGTGGCCAGGTGCAGTGGCTTACACTTGTAATCCTAGCACTTTGTGGGGCTGAGGCAGGAGGATATCTTGAGCCCAGGAGTTCAAGACCAGCCTGGGCAACATAGTGAGACCTCGTCTCTACAAAAAATAGCTGGGCATGGTGGCATGCGCCTGTAGTCCCAGCTGCTCAAGAGGCTGAGGCAGGAGGATCGTTTGAGCATGGGAGGTCAAGGCTTCAGTGAGTTGTAATCATGCCACTGCTCCAGCCTGAGTGACAGAGCAAGACCTTGTTTCAAAAAATGAAATAAAAAGCCCATAGGTAATTCCAAAATAGATTGTATCATGGCAGTTCTCTTCTGGGTCTTACCCAGATGTCTGCGGTTATAAGGATACAGTGGTAGGTTTTATTATTACCGAAACTAACCTAGAATCCTTTTTCACACAGATCTTCAAGACAGGACTCTTTGTATATTGTTGAGAGAGATTCTTGGCCAGAGCCTTCATAAATTTATCTTGCTTGTGTTCACAGACCTGCAAGGGGTTTTTATTTCACAGATCACACGCAGCTTTATTCTCTTTGGATTGTGTCATGAAAATAGCCTGGTCAGATGTCATGTCAGCACTAAGCCTAAATGGACAATTCAGAGAAAAGAAAATGAGCTTTGTAACCGTTGATTTGGTTAAACTGTTTGATGAGTCTGTAAGGAATCAGGATCATAAGAGTGGGATTCCTATTTGATGGTCCTTCTCAGTCCCAAAGTCTTTGGACCCTTGTTTCTCTTTTGGTAAAAGAATTTGGTGTCTTTTCGAGAACAAATGTGACAAGGTAAACACTTCTCTACTAAGATAGCAGTTTCCATTTCCAAAGCCGTGCATCATCAAGTATTGGCTTTTGCCCTCAAGCAATCTGATATTAAAAAGCTTCAACTAAGTGAGGGAAATAGGATTTTTTCCTGTTTCAAGATGTTTACTTTAGGAGACAAAAATGTTTTACTTCTGTATATATCTTAAGGCACTAATACAGACTTCAAATTTAGTTTTATGCCTTTTGGGTTAAAAGTGAAGAATGGTCTTTCCTTTATCCCATAAAGCAGATGACTTTGGTGGCTGACAGTGTTAAGATCAACTACAGTAACTTCAAAAAATTTTTTGACCCTGTTCCATAGAAATGCTTTATTTTGTAACCCAGTACATACCAAATATATTTGTGAATAATTGAAAGAAAGCTTCACAGAACAATATCCTTATGTTGCACTCTGTTGTCCTTTTTTTTTTTTTTTAATGCTGGTTGTAACCCACCAATTTGATGCTGGTTTCACTCTCAATTTGAAAAATCCTGGTCCATCTATAGATTGTGTGACACTCCCTAAGCCTCCACAGTAGTGAGAAAACTGGTCTGAATTGTCAGAAAATAGAAACCAAAGCCTCAGTAGTTTAACACTATCATTGGTCTGCTCAATGCAAGTTAATACAACTGAAGCAGCTTTAGAAGTTCTGAGGTAGTTAAGGTGAAACAATCTTCTCAAAATCATATTGGCAGTATCAATACTTTTCAGTCTCCATTTTGAAGTTAAATGTAATTGAAGACCTTACTTGGTTTCCTAGTAGCATTCTTTTTTTTTCTTTTGAAACAGAGTCTCACTTTGTCACCCAGGCTGGAGTGCAGTGGTGCCATCTCGGCTCAGTACAACCTCTGCCTCCCAGGTTCAAGCGATTCTGCTGTCTCAGCCTCCTGAGAAGCTGGGACTACAGGGATGCGCCACCACGCCCGGCTACTTTTTGTATTTTTAGTAGAGACGCGGTTTCGCCATGTTGGCCAGGCTGGTCTCGAACTCCTGGCCTCAAGTGATCTGCCTGCCTCAGCCTCCCAAAGTGCTGGGATTACAGGTGTGAGCCACCATGCCTGGCCCATGGTAGCATTCTTTAGTTCACTTACTCATTATCAGTTTCTTCCTCAAAAGAAATGTTTTTTGATAGACACTTGAGAAAATAAATTTTAAAATAAAATAGAAGATCCAAATCGTAAATATTTTGTCATATATATCCTTCCAGATTGTTTTTGGTGTATATAAATATATGTATGAATACACTTGAGAAAAACATTTTAAGAATCAACTGATATACTATATATACTGCTTAGTATGAACTGAAATGATGTAAAAAATGATGCCAAAGACTTCGATGTTAGTATATGTATGTCTCTATGATCATTGCTAATGGCTGAATAGAATTTCATCATATATGTATATTAATGGATGTAATATAATTAAACCAATTCTCTATTAGACATTTAGGTTGTTTCCAATTTTTAGCCATTATAAACAAGGCCCAGTAAACACTTTTTTTTTTTTCTTTTGAGACAGTCTTGCTTTGTTGCCAGGCTGGAGTGCAGTGGCGTGATCTCAGCTCACTGCAACCTCCGCCTCCTGGGTTCAAGTGATTCTCCTGCCTCAGCCTCCCAAGCAGCTGGGACTACAGGCACACACCACCACGCCCAGCTAATTTTTGTATTTTTAGTAGAGACGGGGTTTCACCATGTTGGCCAGGAAGGTCTCGATCTCTTGACCTCATGATCTGCCCATCTCAGCCTCCCAAAATGCTGGCATTACAGGCGTGAACCACCGCGCCCAGCCAAGATTTTTTAAATGAACTGGAAATTGCAAATCTACCTAACCCTAAAAAAAATAAAAAATAAAAAAAAATTATGTACAGAAATCTTCCCTAATCTGTTTAAAGAACTTTTGCCTTTTCTTAGAGTAGCATCACCCTTGTGCTATTATAGTACGAAATAGATATAATTTGAGATGAAAACTTGACTTACTAGAAACTGATTGTAGTTCTTGCCTTGATTTTCAGACAGTACCTGTAATGAGAAACAGTAAAGAAAACAGACTAAGAGGAAACAAAGCGTTCTGCGCGGTGGGTTTCTAATTGAGTGTAGTGACCTGTTTGTTAAATATTCATGATTCGCAAGGTGCAAGTGGCCATTCTACATTGTTATACTAGGTTAGGAGACGCCTTTGTAGAATACAATTTTTGTTTTTGACTTTGACTTCTTAAGCCTCTAAGTAAATACAGTTGCAGCTGGCTGCAAATCCTGCTATCTGACTTCATCAGCCCGGCCCATTATCATCCTTTCATGAGGTTTTTATTTTTTTATTTTTTTATTCTAGAAAGAGGGGTTGTCCCCTGCTACCTGTAGGTATTGGGGTATGTGACCATAGCTCCAATGGCCTCGGCACCATCACAAGTCTTGGTTTGAGTCTTGTTAATGATGGCAGCTTTGTGAACATTGCTTGTTTTCATTGTTTCAGATAAGTTATCTATATGCATATTATTGGATGTAATTTTTGGTCAAAAAAGGGATAGAACTAGGATTTTAAGAATCACTTTAAAATATATATCTGTAAACAGCATTTTGTTTAATTTATACATTTTTATAATAAAAATACATAATAACCACATTGCAAAAAAGTTGAAGTGTAGAAAAAGTCAAGCAGCTATAATCTTTCCATCCTAATATAACTACTGTGATTTCGTTCTTTCTTTCCAGTCTTTATTTTTTTTGAGACAGTCTCATTCCGATTGCGTAGGCTGGAGTGCGGTGGTGCAATCTTGGCTCACTGCCACCTCGACCTCCGAGGTTCAAGTGATTCCCCCACCTCAGCTTCCTGAGTAGCTGGGACTATAGGCGCGAGCCACCACGCCCAGATAATTTTTTTGTTTTGTTTTGTTTTTGAGATGGAGTCTTACTCTGTCACTAGGCTGGAGGGCAGTGGCGTGATCTCGGCTCACTGCAACCTTCACCTCCCGGGTTCAAGCGATTCTCTTGCCTCAGCCTCCCTAGTAGCTGGGACCACAGGCACACACCACCATGCCCAGCTAATTTTTGTGTTTTTAGTGGAGATGGGGTTTCACCTTGTTGGCCAGGATGGTCTCGACCTCTTGACCTCGTGATCCACCTGCCTCGGGCTCCCAAAGTGCTGGGATTACAGGCATGAGCCACCGCGCCTGGCCTTTTTTTTTTTTGAGATGAAGTCTTGCTCTTGTTGCCCAGGCTGGGTGCAATGGCGCGATCTCGGCTCACTGCAACCTCCACCCCCCAGGTTCAAGCGATCTCCTGCCTCGGCCTCCCTAGTAGCTGGGATTACAGCCGCCTGCCACCATGCCCGGCTAATTTTTGTATTTTTAATTGATACGGGGTTTCACTATGTTGGCTAGGCTGGTCTCAAAACTCCTGAGGCATGAGCCACTGCACCCGGCCAATTTTTTTGTATTTTTAATGGAGATGGGGGTTTTGCCATGTTGGCCAGGCTGGGGTTTTGCCATGTTGGCCAGGTCTCGAACTCCTGCACTCAAGCAGTCCACCTGCCTCAGCCAACCAAAGTGCTGGGATTACAAGTGTGAGGCACTGCACCTGGCCTCCAGTCTTTTTTTTCTTATGTGTAGACTTTACCTAGTTGTAAGCAGACATTTCAGAACCAATGTCTTTGCCTAAGGGAACATAAATGTGGATGTATTAAACGGCTAAGTTTTAAAAAACAATTATATGCTAGATATTAATTACTAGAATTCTTTCTCATGTGCTGAATACAATATTGTATTGCACTGTAAACACAGAAAGGTACTGCCAATTCAGTTATCAGGGTTGTCATTTATTAGAAATGCAATAGTAAAATTGTAAAATAAGGCTGGGCATGGTGGCTCATGCCTGTAATCTTTCCTGCCTGGCACTTTCAGAGGCCAAGGCAGGAGGATTGCTTGAGCTCAGGAGTTGGAGACCAGCCTGAGCAACATAGCGAGATCTTGTCTCTACTAAAAAAAAAAAAAAAAAAAAAATAACGAGGCATGGTGGCGTACGCTTGTAGTACCAGCTGCTTAGGAAGCTGAGGTGGAACAATTGCTTGAGCCCAGGAGATTGAGGCTGCAGTGAGCTTGATCCACTGCACTCGAGCCTGCGTAACAGAGTGAGACCTTGTCTCCAAAAAAAATTGTAAAATACCATAATTCTGAAATGGGTCCTTCGTGTCACCCTCCCCTTTGAGAGTCCTAGTGGTGGAAGGCGGGAATTTCTGAAAGTGACTTTTTTTTTTTTTTTTTTAAAACATGAACTGCAGAATGAAAGTGACTCTTATCAGGGATCTCCGAGTAGCCTCTCCAAGATGACTAAAACACCAAGTCATGTTAGTTACATTAAAGAAAAAGTTAGGCACGCTCATGTACACACATGTACATATGAACTGCAATAATGCCAACATAAGATAACTTGACCAGAAGTCTATTAAAGTCCTTTCAGGGTCTGTGTCCTGCAGTTACAGAATACCATTTTGTGTCTATGATGATCACAAAATTGGCATAGGCTTTTAGTTTTTATCTTCGCTTATACCCAGAAGCCATCTTATTTGTCACCTTTTTTATACTCTGTCCCAATGACTCATACATTCCCTTGGAGGCTGAGAACTGCCTTCTTTGGTTGGAAATTATTGAAATGAATGGGAAAAGCAGGTATAGAATATGTGCAAAAGAATTAGGATATAGTTGAAAGGATTTGGAGTTAGGCAGCCCGTGCTTGAACCTGGACTGGACCCATCCTCCTAGAGCTGTGTATTAAGGACAATAAACCCTGCTCAGCCTGACAGGGTGGCTGTGAGGAGAGGATGAAACGTTTTAGGAGAGCGTACTTTATCAATTCCAAAGCCCAGTATATGTCTTCATCCTCAAGCTGAACTGGAAAGGTACTCTTAATAGAGCGCTGTACATGAAACCACAGTAAAGCTCTTAAACAAAACAGCCTTATTGTGACCCTGTTTCTTTCTTCTTCCTTCCAGTCTTCAGGCAGTGACAGTGGTGGGAGCAGCAGCAGCAGCAGCAGCAGCATCAATAGCCCGGACAGGGCCAGCGGGCCGGAAGGCAGCTTGAGCCAGACCATGGCCGGATCCAGCCCTAACACGCCTCAGCCCGTGCCCGAGCAGTCCGCGCTGTGCCAAGGCCTCTACTTCCACATCAACCAGACCCTGAGGGAGGCCCACTTCCACAGCCTACAGCACCGAGGGCGGCCTCTGACATGATGTGCCGGCAGTTTCTTGCCTTCTGTGAAGGGACAGCGCTGTGCAGATTTGATATTTCAACTTACAACTTGTTTTAAAAGAAAAATTGCACACGAAAAATGCCTGTTGGCTTTTCAGTCTATATTTGAAATAACAGGTTAACAGGCAGTTGTTTACTTGTGGTTTTGCTGCACTATTGCAATTTCAAAGGGGCTTTGAAGCAATTTTTTATAGGATTCTTTTGAGGGAGGGTATCAAATCTATGTCAAGGTAGTGGTTTGAGGAAAACTCATTCTGTGTGTTGAATCCATAGTATGTCCCATTCAGACTGATTTCCAAATCTGTCAACTAGAAACTCTACTTTATGTAAAGGGCCTTTTAAAAATGCGGGATCTTCAATTTTTTTTATTCAATAAACTAGTAAAGAGTATCTAGTTTCCATGAAAAAACATAAGTTTTTTTCCAAAATATAGGAAGCTTGATTCAGTCTTGCACTGAAATTAACTGCCATACTACCTCTCAGTATGTAGATGTTCTATTGAAAGTACTCTCTCCTGTGTAACAGGAGAACAATCAGATCCAATTCAGACTGTCAGTGAAGCACACTCCCTAATAATAGTCTCTACTCTTTGTTATATATTTGTATTTCCAGAGAGAATGTCTTTTAGATTCTTGTATACCCAGATAACTTCTGTGTCACTATTCCACCAGAGTCTGCACCTCAGACTTTAGTAGGAAACATGGCACAGTTCTGCAAGTAAAGTAATATGTAATGACTTTTTGTCCTACAAACTTGGTCAGTCAGCAGCTTACATGATCTCATTGACAATTCCACCTTGTAGTGTCAACAATTAAGGTGTTGTTGAACGCTGATAAAATGTAAGCTACCTGAACTGATGTCTAAAGCAACAAGTATTGTGAAATTTTGGGACAAGGATTAACTTGATGCTTAAAGTAACCCCCAACAGTAACTAGGGGGCCACATTCCATCAGTGAAACTGGAAAGATTGGTGTGGCTGAGAATCAGATGAGCAGAGGCACCTTTAGAAGAAATAATGTGGTAGTATTTATTTAGGGAGAGACAGATGTGTTGCCATGTTACTTAGTCATACTAGAGAGCCAGCCAAGTTTGAATAATGAAGGTGCAGACGTGTTGTCTTCTTCACTGACAAGCTGTCTGAACAAGGAGCCAGGAACTGTCGGGTCACCAGCTGTGGAGCGTGCCGGGGGGACAACCTGCCATTGGATGTAGAGAAAAGTGCCTTAGAGTTGGCCTGAGCCCTCCTGCCCACTCGCCCTCCGCGCGACGCCACTCGGAGTCCACACGGCACACACAAGCGGAGCTGAGAAGCACGATGGCTCTAGTCAGAGGACTTTGCTGTCGGTCCAGATTTGAAGAGGACACGGAACAGCATGAGCCTTTGTGACAAAACTAGAATTTGGAAATGAGGACTGTCTTGGGAAAAGGGTAGACACAGGCACTTCTCTCCACAGCCTGCTAACCTAATGTGGGCAGAACTGAAAGATCACTGCAGTGGAAACTGTTCTGGAAGAGGCTGCAACATAGCCCATGCTTAGGGACTGGATGGTTTTTGCAAGAGCTTTTTTTTTTTTTAAACTACCATCTCCCAACTTTTAAAGCCAGATACTTGACAAGGATTTTAGATCTTAATGGGTTCGATGGTAGGGAATACGGAAAGGATACACTGCTAATATTGTGTCTAACAATAAAGCAAACAACTCGATGCTGTAAGAAGACAAGCTGTTTGAGCTTTCAAACACACATGCACACAGCACAATTCAGAAATACCCAGGAGGATTCCTGCAGGCTTAACAGTTGGCATCGTACTGAAATGAAACGTGTATTAACAAGAAAATGTCAAACTTTTGGGGAAACAAATTTTCTGTTACTTCCCACCCAACTAAAAGGGAAGATAAAACCATCATCACCAGAACAAAACAGATTTTCTCCAAACAAGTACAATGATAGTGCCGGGTTGGCAGTTAACTCTTTCACCCTACTAAATTCAAGAGCTCATCTCCACCCTGTCCTGTATATTTTCTACATTTCTATTAAGAGGCTACTTGGTAGTGTCAGCGGGCATCTTTTACACCTTCTAGTAGCTCAAGCTAGTAAAACCTTGTACTTCTCTATTGCGCCGCCATTAAAAGCAGCATTAGTGCATTTTGTCATTCAGTTCTTAATCAGTTATTTAAAAGGGAGCTGATCATGGGTGGCTCGGTGGGAGGTGGGGACCCATCCACGGATGAGCCTCTTGCTCTTGGCACCAACCTGAGCTTTTGTTTCGATGTTTCTGGTTGATTTAGCCTTTCGAGTGCTTGTCATGCTCAGTGGGAGAAGTCCAAACCTCCAAAACAAGAGGAAAGAATTTAGTAGCACAAACAGGCAGCTCTGGGGCCCAGCAGAAGCCTCATTTTTTTTTTTTTTTTTTTTTTGAGACAGAGTCTCGTTCTGTCGCCCAGGCTGGAGTGCAGTGGCGCAATCTCGGCTCACTGCAAGCTCCGCCTCCTGGGTTCACGCCATTCTCCTGCCTCAGCCTCCTGAATAGCTGGGACTATAGGCACCTGCCACCAGGCCAGCTAATTTTTTGTATTTTTTTTAGTAGAGACAGGGTTTCACCATGTTAGCCAGGATGGTCTCGATCTCCTGACGTGATCCGTCCACCTTGGCCTCCCGAAGTGCCCCGCAGAAGCCTCTTGGCAGCCTTTACCTGATCTGACTGGATGCCAGTGGCAGGATGTTATGGGGTTCTTGGGAGTTGAACGTACTGCTCCGGGGGGCGAGCTGATTCTCTGTACCAGTCACCAATCCAAACAGAACCTGGCAGACAAGAGGTGGAGCAGAGGTTTCATTGTGCAGGTAAAAGAAAGGCAAAAAAAAAAAAAAAAAGGTTAGTCACCCATCGCTACCGTATTTCTAACTGTCATTTTGGGGAATGTTCTGAGTGCATTTATGCTTCACGATTACTTTTTATCACTGCCCACAGGTCAGAATCTGAGAGGCAGGGAGTTTTTATTCCTCTTTCTGAGGCCTGGATAAAACTGTAATAATCCTTATTTACAACTTAAGGGGCCAAATCTTGGTTGCCTCAGTGTGTGAGATTTTATCTAATCCTCTTTCAGTCCTTATAACTACACTCGGCTATTTGTGTCTTATTCCCCTCCCTATGCTGCATCCTGGAGTATTACGTGCTTGAGCAGGTTAATTTTGTTATTTGAGCCTGTATCGCTTCGTTCGCACTAAGCATGTTTTTGATTTGACTCACAGAAGTTCGCTGCACCAGGCGATGAAGGTTGCTGTTGAGGTGTGGCGTGAAAACGTCCAGGTCAAATGGATCAATGAGGGCTTCCAGGTGGTCAGTCACTTTCTCAATTCTGAGAAAAGGATTAGGATCATTACTGTCCACATTTTTTAGGATCAAAAACAATCTTATGATATCCTACTGCTGTAGAAATCTTGGAGTTGGGTTTTATTCTACTTAGTTGCTGGCTTAGTACGTTTGTCACTGATGATAGTGCTTAAGTCACCCTCAAGCATGATGTCTAAGTGAAGTCCACCCTTTCCCCCGTTCTGTCTATAAGGAGGGCACTAAGGGCTCAAATGATACTCAGCAGCTGCTAGGCTGACTCAGAAGAGAGGGGAATAAGAGTCCACCTATTTCACTTGACCATTGCATTTATCCAGCAGGCGGCCATTATTTAACTTGCTGGCAATATGAGCACTTACTGTTCAAAACAAACACAATGAATGTGCAGTATAACAGGCTGACTCTGGTGGCTTCCCAGCAAAGGGACTATTTGCTTTTGGAAGAGACCGCCTTGACATAGCTCCCTAGAGGATACGACACCTGGAGTCTGGCTTGCTCCGGCCACTCTTCACCTCGTCACCCTTGGCTGTCAGAACAATGTTGAGGTAACGCAGATCATAAAGCAGCTGCAGCGCCCGGTTCTGGGTGACTGGAAATGCACCTTCTTTCTGCAAATGAATTCCCAGTCCCCACCCATGAAGAGAGAGGACTTGGTATGTGAGCGTAATAAACAGCTTCAAGTTTTGGTTGAGTTTCAGCTTGCTATTTCAGAAGCAGATGGTTTTAATGCTCATATGGCCAGTTTAATCTCACAACAACAAAACAAATTTTGTTAGAAACTTGACCTTAAAATTAAAAACCTAACAGCAGGGAAGAGACCTGGCCCTTAAAAAAGGCCTCAGATGCTGTAAATGGTTGTTCTAAAGGGGAAAAAAAGGCTCCTTGCCTGAAGGAGAAGTGTTTTGAGGAGGCTCATTAGAGAAGACTTACTGAATTCTTTCCAAAATCAGGATTTGTTCCTTCTTGGGTTTTTGTTTGTTTGTTTGTTTGTTTGTTTTGAGATAGAGTCTCGCCTTGTTGCCCAGGCTGGAGTGCAGTGACACAATCTGGGCTCACTGCAACCTCCACCTCCCAGGTTCAAGCAATTCTCCTGCCTCACCCTCCTGAGTAGCTGGGACTACAGATGTACGCCACCACACCCGGCTAATTTTTGTATTTTTAGTAGAGATGGGGTTTCACCATGTTGGTCAGGCTGGTCTCGAACTCCTGGCCTCAAGTGATCCACCCGCCTTGGCCTCCCAAAGTACTGGGATTACAGGTGTCAGCCATCGCACCTGACCATGTTCCTTCTAAAAAATGTTACTGGCCAGGCGTGATGGCTCCTGCCCATAGTCCCAGCACTTTGGGAGGCCGAAACAAGCGATTTGCTTGAACCCAGGAGTTTGAGACCAGCCTGGGCAAAATCGCAAAACCTGTCTCTACAAAAAATAACAAAAATTAGGTGTGCTGGCGCATGCCTTGTGGTCCCAACTATTCGGGAGGCTGAGGTGGGAGAATCTCCTGAGCCTGGGAGGTTGAGGTTGCAGTGAGCCGAGATGGTGCCACTGCACTCCAGCCTGGGTGACAGAGTGAGACTCTGTCTCAAAAAAAAAAAAAAAAAAAAAAAGTTACTAATGAAATGGGATTATACACCAAGGGCAGAACGCTTCCTAGACAGTGAAAGCAGTGTGAAGGGTTGGGAGACAAGAACTCCCCGTAAGTAAGCACCTCTGTGTGTCACACTTTGTGGCAGGCAACTGTTCTCTCTAACTCCCCACAGTCACCCCTGAGGTAGGTGTGCTGTGGCTGGGGCCGGGGGCTGTCTGCCTTTTACAAGTGAGGAAACCACTGAGCGGTTTATCTACAGGATCACATTTGGCCCTAAGGAAACGGAGGTTAATGATTTGCCCGGAGCCCCCAGTGAACCAGTGGCAGCACTGAGGTTGGAAGCCAGGTCTTTTATTTTGAAGCTCTGATCCTTTTCATTGTTTTTTGATTTTTTTGTTTTGTCTTTTTAAGAGACAGGGTCTTGCTTTGTCGCCCAGGCTGGAGTGCAGTGGTGAGATGATAGCTGCTCATTGCAGCCGTGAACTCCCAAGCTGAAGCCATCCTCCCACCTCAGCCTCCCAAAGTTCTGGGTCTTGGTGTTTCCATCTGTGCTGAGCTGCCTTCTTAGCGAAGATCTGCTGACCCTTTAGAATGAGTGTAAGTAAACTCACAGCGCTGGGTGCTACTCCTAAGATAGAGCATTTTTACAGGACCCGATGCCTGGGCTGGGTGATCCTTAACAGTTTGAGTCTTTGATGTGAACTGCTCAAACCCAAGACAATGCTAAGGTTTTCTTTTGTTTAATTTGTGTTTTTAATGGGCAAACATTCAGACACCTACCTTAATCTGTTTTTCTTCGGAGAGTTTCTCATAGGCAGCTACTACTTGAACCATACAGCTTTTCAGCATCTCCTGTAATGTCACCTTTGGCAAGGCATGGCCTCCAACCCGATTAATTTCCTGGCATAAACTAAACAGGAAGGACTGTACATACCAGGACGGCTAAAAGAACAAAGAAATGTCACATTGCCAACTTGCACCAATTAAATGACACACAGTGAAAGTGAATCCACTTAATCTTACAAGGCCTATGTGCCAGGACTTTGACCCCTCTCAGCAACGCTTCTTACAGGCAGACTGTTCAGCAGACACAAGGCCCCTGGTTAAGTGCAATTTGCTGTTACTGCCTCCACGGTCTGAGGCTGATCTCGAAGAGGTGCCTGTGTTTTATGCTGCTGATTTCACGGCAAGTAAGTGGTTCCCTAATTAGCACAGAGCCTATGCTACAAAAGGAAAGAATGGTTAACTGACTTCTTGAACAGTCTGCCATTTACTTAGCCCTACATCTACTATGCCCCCACAGTAGAAAATTACAGATGTTACTTTCAGCTATTCCTCAGAAGTTGTATGTTGAATGATTTTCTAAAATCTTTCTTCTTTTCCACGGAGCAGTTTATTCCCTTTTTCAGCCCATGGTCCCTGCTCACCTGTGCAGGGAGTCGGATCTTGGATGTGACACTGCTGCCAGACTCTGCCTCCTCCTGAATTTCTAGCTCATCCCAGCTGGTGGCTGTGGCCAGAACTGAGCCAGCATCATCTAGAAGTAATGACTGGGTGAATCCATGAATCAAAACCTGGTAATAAAAGGCAGATATCCATACAAGCCACTCAGATCCTCTGTAGAGTTTCTTTAAAACAATCTGTGTAATCCTGAGAACAGCTCAAGCTGCTGAAGTTGTAGGTACAGTGATGGTATCAGTCCTCTTTTGGCTAATTATCAATGATATCAGCCATGGGAATTTTGTTGCTAACTACCCTATAAATGTCAAATACCACTTCTTTTTTTTTGAGACAGGGTCTTGCCCTTCTCCCAGGCTGATTGCAGTGGCACAATCACAGCTCACTGCAGCCTCGACCTCCTAGGCTCAGGCAATGCTCCTGCCTCAGCTTCCCAAGTAACTGGGACTACAGGCGTGCACCATCACATCCGAATAATTTCTGTACTTTTTGTAGATAGGGGGTTTCATCATGTTGCCCAGGCTGGTCTTGAATTCCTGGGTTCACACAATCCAACCATCTCAGCCTCCCAAAGTGCTAGGATTACAGGCATGAGCCGCCATGCCTGGCCCAAATACCACCTCTTAAGGTACAAGTGGAGGCTACTGGGAATATGATATTTAGGTTAAAGAGAGGAAATCCAGGCAGAAAGTCTTTCATTCTCATCTGATGCAAGGAAAAAATGCAGCTTTTCTGTCTACTGAATCTAAGCTAAAAATGAATGAAAAAGTTTTTTTTGAGACGGAGTCTCGCCCTGTTGCCCAGGCTAGAGTGCAGTGGTGCGATCTCGGCTCACTGCAAGCTCTGCCTCCCGGGTTCACACCATTCTCCTGCCTCAGCCTTCCGAGTAGCTGGGACTACAGGCGCCCACCACCATGCCCGGCTAATTTTTTGTATTTTTTTAGTAGAGACGGGGTTTCACCATGTTAGCCAGGATGGTCTCGATCTCCTGACCTCGCGATCTGCCCATCTTGGCCTCCCAAAGTGCTGGGATTACAGGCATGAGCCACCGCGCCCGGCCAAAAAAGTTTTTACTGAACTTTCTGGCAGAGATAAAGTTAACCGTATGAAATCAGAATTGTTTTGCCTTTACTACTGAAGGAACTGATTGAGGTTGGCAAGACTGGAATATGACAGAAGTGAGACAAGACAGGGATAAGAAATTACATCACTCACTTTCACAACTGCACTGCTCCAGACCTGGTAGCCCATCACGCTCTGCTGGAGGAGTACTTCTTTAACCTCTTGCCACTTGGCCTGTGTAGGAATGATTTCCTGAGTTTTCACCTTTCCCTGTTTTCTCAGAGCCCTAAACTCCCTTGCTGGTTTCTCTGAGCTCTCTGATTTTCCCAGGATGCACTGCTTCAGATGGGGGCACAGCTCTCCCAGGGACTGGCAGAGTCTGGCCATGAAAAGAACTGAGTGCAGCTTGGCACTGTTGAGGGCATCCTGTTGCCCTTGCACACCCTCTTCAATGCTCTGTAGCTCTGCCCGGATGCAGTCCACGATGTGCTTGATGCATGCCACGGACTGAGTCCGCAGCATCTCCTGCACGGTCCCCGCATCTGCGTATCTGTCAAAGGCAGAACTCTTGGCCTGTGTGGGAGAAACGTCCTTGGGCAGTGATGAGTCATCAGAGGGGAGGTAAGCCAGGAGGTCATCTAGTTTAACCTTCAGCTTAGAATCCAGGGCAGAACAGAAGTTCTGTACACAAGGGCTGATGGCTTGTGCTTTCATGGAGAGGCCGCTACTGGCAAACTGACCCCGGTTTGCCACGCTGACCCAGGCCGCATCGGAAGGCAGGTCATTAGGACTCTCAGACCAGAGGAAGAGCGACATGTTGTACTCAAAGTGGATGTGCTTATTTGAAGGGGAGTTGCTGGTGCTGCTTTCAAGTTCCTGCAAAGCTGAAACCAAGAGCTCCTTGGAGCTACTGGAGATGGAGTCAAAGCCTTCTTTTGTCAGAGTCTAAAAGAGAATGAGAGAAGAGTTCTAATCACAGTTCCTTTAAGGACATTTCAAAACAAAAGTACCAAATGGTAATTTATCCTAGCATTCAGAAGGTTCACCATCTTCAGAAAGATGGCATGGTGTTGGCAGAGAATAAAGCCATTATTGATGAACATGGGCCCATTCCCGATCAAGTGACAGAGGCCTGGTGTATTTTCAGCTCTAGACTCTGGATCTGTTACTAAGCAGGAAAAGAATATACTTGGGAAGCGACAGAAATCTCCCAAGACAGTCAAAATACCACTAGGATTGGCCATAAAACAGGTAGACCATGTGACTGTCCAGCTCACCTGTAATCGGTCAAGGAACAGTTGCTGCATCATATCTTCCCAGAACAAGAGCGGCTTCTCCAGAAGCCGCCGACATAGCACATCCCAGCTGTGATTGGTGGACTCATTGGTAAGTAACTCCCACATGGCGTCCCGGATTCCCGCGAGACCCTTCATGCTCTTCACGTACATGAGCAGGTTGGTGATCCCATTTTTAATGTCTTCATTACACCTGCAACAGAATCATGTTCTTTGGGCTCCATCAGAGGCATGGTGTTCACATCTTTATTAAGAAAAACATCAGAATCCCATTTGACAATCTCTTATCTGAGTTCCAGTAGATAAATATCTATGTGTCTCAGTGTTGATAGACCTGTAGCAACACAGAGCGTTTTGGCTGGGTTGGGGCATGCAGTCTGTTGCCCACACCAGGCCTACCCTTGCTTCCCCGAGGATATACGCAAGTCTGGACCCTGCGGAATGGCTTAAAAAAACAATGCATTAAGTAAAAACAGGAGTTGCAGAACTCTCACATAAAGAGAATTTAAAACTCCCACATAACCTTTTGAAAGACAAATTCCTTCTTGGTTCTCCCACAGCGGGTGCTGAATGACCTCAAAGGTGGCAATGGGTCACAGAGTGAGAGGCTGGCTGATGGGCAGCACGCCATCCAGGACAGGCTTTCTGCACATGCCTCGCTGACCCTTGTAATGCCCCGTACAAGGCTGCATGGGTGGCTCCTGCCAGCTGCAGGGAAGCTCTTTCTGGTTACTTACATGTGGATCCATTTCTGCAGCGTGTCTTTCAGGTATTCCTGACTGATGGGATGTGCAAGGGTTCGGAGTGTTGGCTGGAACTCGACGATGGATGCTGGCAGGTGTTTAAACCAGCTGCAGAGTTTCATCTCTTCCTGCAGGACACCAGTGCCCTTTCCTAAAGAGAAGGCCAAGTGAGAAGCCATCTAGGCCACCCTTTGAAGTGCATATTGAAACAGGGAGTTAGGCCAGGCCAGCTTGGGCAACACAGTGAAACCTCACCTCTACAAAAAAGAAACAATTTGCCAGGCGTCATGGTGCACACCTGTAGTTGCAGCTACTTGGGAGACTGAGGTAGGAGGATCATTTGAGCCCAGGAGGTCGAGGCTGCAGTGACCCATGATCATGCCACTACACTCAAGCCTGGGCAACAAGGTGAGACCCTGTCTCCAAAAAAATAAATAAATAAAAGATGGACTTAGAAGAAATTTCCAAAACTTATCAAGTTTTCCTTTGGAAGGTCAAACTGGACTTCTGAAATACAAGGAAAGAGAAAGTACGGGACACGTGTGAGGTCCCATCAGGGAGTGTGGCAGCCGCCCCACAACTCTGGTCATTCTGTTGGTTGAGAAGAATGGCAAAGATCGGGAGGAAACAAAAACGGGGATCAAAAGAGTAGAAAGAAGAAATGAGTGCTATGCAGTCCTGGGGGTTTTCAAAGTAGAACTTAAGTTGTCAAAAAAGCAAAAGGTAATGGCTTCCCTTTCCTCTCAATCCTCCTACCTCCCCCGAAGATGGAAGGAAAGAATCGATGACTGCTTATCCTGATTAACTGAGTCGTTCATAGCTCTTCAGAGGTGACCTGTCAAGAAGGGGACAGGCCTGCACTGCGCAACTCTGGGAGGCCCCGTTCACTGTGTTCTGAGCATAAGGCACCCTCCGGAGTTTGAAACCCAGGGCCCTCCCAAGGCCCCTTGTACTGCTTTCTAAAGCCATGACAAGTCAGCCAGTACCCACCCTTCCTGAGTGGGATGAGGTACTAAATGTAAGCACCTTGAGGGAAAGCGAAGCATAAGGAGGTGGAGTTGAAAGATAAAGTGAGCCAAGATGAGGTGACATTAAGCACCTCTCTCTGGAAACAGCCACGTGGCCACCACCGCACTCTTCTGTTTCCTTTCTACCTTTGGCTGTATCTCCTTTGTCAATTTTGCTGACACCTCCATTTGACCTTGGATTTCTGGAGTTCCATAAGGCAGAGTCCTCTGTCATCTCCTTACTGATGATGTCATCCATTCCCACAGCTTGAAATAACAGCCACATGCAGATGTACAACAGTGTGTCTCCAACTAGACCTCCCAGCGATCTGTTCTGGGCCCTCAGGCACCTGCCCGCTTCACAGTCCCATTCCAAGGCCTCAGCCATCGCCAATGCAACGTTTTCTCTCTTTCGTTTTTTTAAAGACAGGTTCTCGCTCTGTCACCCAGGCAGGAAAGCAGTGGCACAGTCACTGCTCACTTCAGCCTCAACCTCCCTGGCTCAAATGATCCTTCTGCCTCAGCCTCCCAAATAGCAGGGACCACAGGGGCATGCCACCACACACAGCAAATGTTTATCTTTTGTAGAGATGGGGTCTCACTATGCTGCCCAGGCTGATCTCAAACTCCTGGACTGCCTCAGCTTCCAAAGTGCTGGGATTACAGATGTGAGCCACAGCACTGGGCCATTTCAAAGTGAACCCATCATCGGCCACTTCAAACCAGCTCCATTTCTACTTAACTTGGTCACCTCCCTTCTCACATCCTTACAGCCAATCTGTCACCAAATCCTCTCCTCCTAAACAGACGTCCGAACATGCAATTAGCTCCGTCTCTATTGTTCCTTCGTAACCCAAGCTCCCAGCGGCTGACACCTGGATCGTGGCAACAGCCTCCTAAGTGAGCTCTTGGCATCCATTCTAGCCCCAAGGGGATCTATTCCACCTAAAAGCCAAATTCATTTATTTCATTTCAGTTGCGATAAATGCTACCAAATAAAAGTACAGGATGCACGGGCACACATAACAGAGGGTCCGCACCAAGCCTGGAAGGTCCCAGGAGGCTTCCATTGTTCTTTGGATAAAGTCTAAATTCCCTAGCCTCGCTCACAAGGCTGGGCATTATCTGGCCCCTGGCCCCACCTCCAGTCTCTGCTCAAGCAGCTCTCCCCCTCACCCAATGCCTCACTGGCTGTCTTACAGTTTCTTCTTGCCTCAGGATCTTTGCACATCCTCTTCCCTTTGCCTGAAAGCCTGTTGCTTGCCTTCTTCATCTAAGTGACTCCCACTCAACCTTCAGCTTTCAGGTTAAAGGCTTCTCCAGGGAAGCCTTCTCTGACCTTGGTGAGTTACTTCCATTCAATGTTCCCAAGGCAACTTGTACTAAGCCTTTCTAGCAATGACCAATATAGACACTAAATGGATATTCGCATATTTGTGAGTCTGATACCTGCTTCTACCACTCAACTGTGGCCTCGATGAAGGAAGGGCCTCTATTTGTCCAGTTCACTGCTCCATCCCCAGAGCCTAGCATGGTGGCTGGCACACGGTAGACGCTGAGCAAATTATCAGTTGAGTGAACCAGAATTTAAAAAGCTTGGCTAAGAGCTCACCGGCAGGATGCTGGCCTGTGATGGTCTCCAGAGTAGAGAAGAGCAAGCCACATGGCAGGGCTGGATCTGGCAGCAGTCCTTCTGGCAAAGTGTAGAAAAGGGCATGAGCTTGCTTCAGAGTGGTGGCCAGCAACTCCACTAATGAGCAAATCTGAGCCTTGATACCAGCACCTAAAAGAAGAAACCATCCTCTTTGAAACAATTACCTTTCCCAAAGTGAAAGACAGAGGACGCTCTGGAGGCTTCAGTCTCCCGCAGCTCACCCTTCTCCATCCCATATTTAAGGACCAAATGTTGGCCAGAAGCCACACCCACCATGGTGTGGCTGGTTGAGAAGTTTCTGAATAGTTGCCTTTCTGGCCAGCAGGAAGTCTGTGAGGGCTTGGCGAGGAGAACTCTCTTCTAAGAGCATTATAGAGCACAGGGCCTCGGCCACAGCTTGGTCAGACACACCTTGGCATTTGAGCAACATCTTGCTTTCATGCAGAATAGTTGACCTAGAAAAATGATGACAGAAGTCGCCAGGGTGTTTTTCACATCTTGGGTAAAGAGCTTTGGTACATCAGGAAAGAAGACAAACGCCATAAACCCGTAATGTGAAGCCTGGCCACCACCAGAGCAGCTCTTTGCGCTGGATCCACTTACCGGAAGTGGCTGGCGGCTGCCACCTGCCGGATGAGTATAGGAAACCGGGAGAGGACGGGACTGTATCGGGAACTAGAAGAATCCAGCTGGAGCAGGCTGTGGAGGTGGCAGCAGAGCAGGTAGAGCTGTGTGGCGTGGAGACACTGAGAGGCTTCCATCGAGCTCCAGATCTTCTCCGGAATTTCTAAGAGTAGCTTGATCTGGGCAGCCATGCTGTAGAACTTCTCCTGGGATGGCTGCTGTGGCTGCAGGGGAAGGCACAGAACTAAACCAGAAGAACGAACAAAAGCAATCTCAGTGTTCTGTAGGCTTAGGAAGAAATCTGGGGGTATTTAAGGATACAAAACTTCTATTAAGCTGGGTTCAGTACAACTCAGCAAGTCATCAAAGCCCAGTGTAGAAGAGTTGCCAGAGTCAGGAGTGTTGTAAGATCCCATGGTTTTTCCTACACACGCGTGCATTTTTGCTCAGCCCCACGAAGAGGCAAACTTTCGTCTCCCACCAGGCCCCACCTCCAACATTGGGGATTATAATTCAACATGAGATGTGGGCAAGACACAAATCCAAACCACAGCAAATGGATCAGTGCCTCATAAAAGGGCTGGAGGCAACTTTTAGGTTCTTCTACCTTCCCCCACGTGAGGATACAGCAAGAAGGCCCTCACCAGACATCAAAGGCCAGTGCCTTAATCTTGGACTTCCCAGACCCACAACTGTGAAAAATACACTTGTGTTATAAATTGCCCAATCTCAGGTATTTTGTTATGGCAGCACAAATGGACTAAGAAACCTAAATTCCAAATCTCATCATGCCCTTAAGGTCCCTCCTTACTAAGAACAACCCAAGCCTAAACTGACTTCCTTCAGAACTCCTAGGGTAAATATACACAATTATTTTGGGAATCAAACATCCCGGGTTCCAGTGATTCTCCTGCCTCAGCCTCCTGAGTAGCTGGGATCGCAGGTGCGTGTCGCCACGCCTGGCTAATTTTTGTATTTTCAGTAGAGACAGGGTTTTACCATGTTGGCCAGGCTGGTCTCAAACTCCTGACCTCAAGTGATCCACCGCCTCAGCCTCCCAAAGTGCTGGGATAACAGGCCTGAGCCACCGCGCCCAGCCTTTTTTTTTTTTTTTTTTGGGACAGCATCTCACTTTGTTGCCCAGGCTGGGGTGCAGTGGTGCGATCATGGCTCACTGCAGCCTTGACCTCTTGGGCTCAAGAGATCTTCCCACTTCAGCCTTCCAAGTAGCTGGGACCACAGGCATGTGCCACCATGCCCGCTCACTTTTTGGTATTTTTTGTAGAGATGGTGTTTCACCGTGTTGCCCAGGTTGGTTTCAAACTCCTGTGATCAAGCAATCCACCTGCCTTGGCCTCCCAAAGTGCTGGCATGAGCCACAGCGCCTGACCTGTTATTCTAAATTTTTTTACATTTTTTTCTCGTCAAGTTTCCATGGATTTATTTCCTCGACCAGGTTGTAAGCTCCTTCAGAGCAGGAATTGGGGGACTTCTGTTTCTTTGTAATGTGAACGAAGAAGACACTCAAATTTTTGTAGGGTTAACCGAGAATAAACCAGATATAACAACTATGAAAATCAATACGTTTCTAAAATCAGGCATAATTCAAGTTAGCGTTTTAATAAACCCTGAAGCATGACTCAGTTACAGCAAAGGCTGGCCACCTAAGGGGACACGTGTACTAAATGTTAGCTTTGGGAGGGATGAGGTCACTCATTTCAAAAATATGCAAACTTATTTGCAACTTCCTATAGTTTTATTGTGTCAGTCCAGTCTACTGACCAGGATTTCTGTAAAGCTCAGATAGCATGAACAAGTTCCAAATTGGAGTTAGACTGTACTTTTCAATTTTTTCTTCTATGTCCCAGTAAGTTCTCCCAGGCTGTTAAAAACAACTAACTGTTTACCTTTTTCACCCTTCATGCCCTTTCACTTCGTTCATTGCTAGGTCTATATTCTTTAAGGGGCCGTGCGCGGTGGCTCTCGCGCCTGTAATCCCATCACTTTGGGAGGCCAAGGCAGGCAGATCACATGAGGTCAGGGGTTGGAGACCAGCCGGGCCAATATGGTGAAACCCCGTCTCTACTGAAAGTACAAAAATTAGTCGGACATGGTGGCAGGTGCCTGTAATCCCAGCTACGCGGGTGGCTGAGGCAGGAGAATCGCTTGAACCCGGGAGGCGGAGGTTGCAGTGAGCCGAGATCGCGCCACTGCACTCCAGCCTGGGTGACAGAGCGAGATCCTGTCTCAAAAAATAAAGAAATAAAAATTCTTTTTTTTTTTTTTTTTGAGACAGAGTCTCGCTCTGTGGCCCAGGCTGGAGTGCAGTGGCGCGATCTCGGCTCACTGCAAGCTCCGCCTCCCGGGTTCATGCCATTCTCCTGCCTCAGCCTCCCAGGTAGCTGGGACTACAGGCGCCGGCCACCACGCCTGGCTAATTTTGTGTATTTTTAGTAGAGACGGGGTTTCACCGTGTTAGCCAGGATGGTCTGGATCTCCTGACCTCGTGATCCACCCGCCTCGGCCTCCCAAAGTGCTGGGATTACAGGCGTGAGCCACCGCACCCGGCCAATAAAAATTCTTTAGGAACGCAAGCTGCAGCTCCAATATGAGGATGTGTTTGTTTACCTCCCATCCTTCCTCATTGTGTCTAATCAATAGCGTTTGGGGGGAAGAACACGGGATAAGGAGAACCTGAATGAAAAAAGCCTTAGTTCTGAAAATGAAAATGTTCAGCTATTAAAAGGTAAGGGCTTGGCCGGCTGTGGTGGCTCATGACTGTAATCCCAGCACTTTGGGAGACCCTGTCACATACATACATAAAGTTAAGGGCTTGATAGCTGGTACCCTCAACAACTCCCAAAGGGTAGAACAGCTATTTGGGGTTGTGGAAGTTATTCTTGGGGAGATAAGGGGAAGGTTGGGATGAGGAAGAAATGACTTGGAGTGCAGGTGTCAACATAGGGGAGAAACCTGAGGAAAAACAATGTCAGGACATGTTATATAGGTGAGCGTTGAACTGTCAAGACAGAAACTCCTGGCGTTTTCCGCTAAAATTGAAAGGAGCCCAGTGAGGTGTAGGAATCAAGGCCCGGAAGTCGGGGGAAAGCGCCTGAAGAAACTGTTGAATGGCATTTCCAGAACGGATCAGCAGCCGCATATGTGCAAGGAAGGCTGGCACTGTCCTCTGAGGGGGGCCCAAAGGGTGAGGGGCGGATAGGCTCCTGGCTAAGGAAGGTGAGGACTCGCGGGGTCTGGGACTGACAGAGGGGGGCGGGGTTGACCTGCAAGGCCAGGGGCTCCGGGACCCGCCTGCGGGTCGCAGGGTGGGGGCACGGGGACTGACCTGCTGGGCCCGCGGTGGCCGGGGCGCGGCCGAGCCGGCCTGGCGGAGGCGGGCGCAGTACTGGTCGGTGGCCTTCACGGCGTCCACTAGCCCCACGGCGCAGCGGCGCATCTGGCCGATGGTGTCGGCCGCCTCGATCAGGTCGCGGTACCGTTCGCCCACCATCTGCCGCAGCTCCTCCTTCTTGTGCTCGATCTCGGCCCGAACCTGGCGCTCCAGCCCGCGGATCTCCTCCGCTCCATGCGTCTCGAAAAGAGCCGCAGGGTCGCGCAGATCCAGCCGCTTCAGCGCGGGTGAGGTTGCCGCGGTGGCCATGGTGCACTCGTCAGCCCCCGGCGATCTACCTACGCCCTTTTAGTCCCGCCCCCTCCGCCATCTTCGTTGGGGGCGGAAGCGCTTCCGCCCCGCCGGGGGCCATGTTTGTTACCCGAGGGGGCGGGCGCGAGGGGGCGGGCGCGAGGGGGCGGGCGCGAGGGGGCGGGCGCGAGGGGGCGGGCGCGAGGGGGCGGGCGCGAGGGGGCGGGCGCGAGGGGGCGGGGGCGGGCGCGGGCGCGGGGGCGGGCGCGGTCCTGCGCGGGGTTTTCTTAAACGGAGCCGGCTGGGAAGTGAGGTCGCCAGAGAGGTGAGGTCGCCAGGTTGGCTGCGAAACTGTGGCTGAAGTCTTCCCTTTCCCTTAGGAGCAGAGCTTCTCTGTGGAGTTAGGTGTCGGGATCGGGCCCCGCGGACTGACGGCGTTGGCGCAGGCGCAGCCGCCGCTCTCCGCGCGCCTGGCGCCCGCGAGCAGACTCGGGCGCGCTCGCCGCCGCTGGGTCTCGGATCGCACCCCGCGTGCAGTTTTAGGAAGAGGGACATCCGCGCCCCTCGCTGTTCCCCGGGAAGAGCTACCACGCCGCCCCTGAAGGGGTTCTGAGCGCTTGTTTGGCGTCTGCTTTTCCTCTGCTGTTGATTCGTGTTGGAGGTTTTCCATTTCGTTTAAAACCGATGTTTAGCCCCTGAAGACGTTTTCCCTGCGAGAGCCTGACCTTGGTGGCCATGGGGGAGGAGGGCGGCGGGCTGGGCGGGAGAGGCTGGGACGCCCCGGGGAACGCAGCGCCAGACGGGTGGGCGCTCCTCACGTGGCCCAGGAATAGTAGAATCTGGAGATTGTGGCTTGTTTCTGCTAAGTCCCAGACCCTTCTTTTTTTTTTTTTCTGTTTTAATTTCTTTTGGAAGATTTCACCCACACCAGTGTCGACAAAATGATGCAATGTGCGCAGCGGCCATGCTGAGCCCCCAGCAACTCAGGGCCTACCCTGCATCCCTGCTCATTCCCTCTCCCACCCGCCACCTCCGGACGCACAGAATTTCAATCTGCAAATAAATGGTGCATTTATAATATTCCAGTTTAACCCGCAAGAGCCTTGCGGCGTAGGGAGTATCATTCTCACTTTACAGACTCATTTTACAGATGGGGAAACGGGGGCCCGGAGAGGCAAAGGGTTTTTTACTCAGTAAAAGTGCAGTTTTCAGAGCCTGTCCACGAGATTATCTCATTTTCTCGCACATCGGCCATGCCAGGTAGGTAGGAGTAATATTCCTAGTCCATTTATGAGGAAAAAAAAAAAAGAAACAAAAGCTTATTTACCTGCCCAAATTACATAGCTGATAGGTGACCCAGTGAGTATTTGGACGTCGATTTTTAAATTACTGGCTCGCGCTCTTTTCTACGTTTTCACATAATTTCCCACAGAGCACCCTCTGTTGGCAGGCCTGCAGTTTGCAGTCTCTAATCCCATTCTGCAAGGGACACTTACTGGTATTCGGCTGATAAGCATCCGCAGTATCTCCTTTCTGTGATTGGGGAATTCATCGCTATCTAGCAAAATCTTTTTTTCTGGCGCCCTTTATAGCTACGGTGCCAGCCTGCGGCCTGGGACTGGCACAGCAGGCACAAGCGCCTAGGACTTGGGTGAAGAGTTAGTGACATTAAGAAGCAGGCTGTAATCCCAGCACTTTGGGAGCCCAAGGCGTGTGGATCCCTTGAGCCCAGGAGTTCAAGACCAGCCTGGGCAACACGGCCAAACCCCGTCCTTACAAAAAAATACAAAAAAAGGGGCGCGCGCCGGGTGGCTCATGCCTGTAATCCCAGCACTTTGGGAGGCCGAGGCAGGCGGATCACATGAGGTCAGGAGTTCGAGACCAGCCTGGCCAACATGGTGATACCCTGTCTCTACTAAAAATACAAAAATTAGCTGGGCGTGGTGGCGCACATCTATAATCCCAGCTACTCGGGAGGCTGAGGCAGCAGACAGGAAGCTGAGGCAGGAGAATCACTTGAACCTGGGAGACGGAGGTTGCAGTGAGCCGAGATCGAGACACTGCACTCCAGCCTGAGCGACAGAGTGAGGCTCCGTCTCAAAAAAAAAAAGAAAAAGAAAATTAGCCGGGAGTAGTGGTGTGGGCCTGTGGACCTGTAGTCCCAGCCACTTGACAAGAGGCAAGTGAGGCAAGAGGATCACTTGAGCCTCTGGAGGTCGAGACTGCGTCAGTGAGCCATGATTGGGCCACTGCATTCCAGCCTAGACAACAGAACAAGACCCTGTCTCAAAAAAAAAAAAAAAAAAAAATCGCAGGTGACAGGGGCGATTGCATTTTGGTGGTGGCACAGGTATCACCGGCAACATCCACTCCCTAAGGACAGCAAGGGCAGTGAACTTAGCTCCAGCTCCCAGCTGCTAATGCTGGCGGTGGTGCTGGTGGCAGCCGTGGGCACCCACAATGACGTCCTCGACAGAATCACCATGTGGTGTGCTCGTCTAGGTTTTAAATGTTCTGTTTCCCTTCCTTCCTTCCTGCCTGTCCCCTGAACCTGCCTCCCCATCTTTCCCAGAGATTCTATGAACTGTGCAGTGTCTTACTGATCAATTTTGTTTCTTTGAAAATCAAAATCGGTTTCCCTGGTTTGCCCTAGCCCTAACTGATATACACTGCACTAAGGTTCCAGCTCCATGAGAGTTTGGTTGAAGCCTTTCTTACAGCAAGGGGAGAAATGTCAACATATCAGGGATAGTGGGGGGCCCAGGGCTTTGTATGGGATGGTCCTTGCGCTTGTGCACAATACCTGTAAGCTCAGGTAGAGAAAAGACAAACTGGCCAGCTGTCAACACTGCAGTGTGTGTGTGTGTGTGTGTGTGTGTGTGTGTGTGTGTTCTGAGTCAGGTAGAGAAAAGACAAACTGGCCAGCTGTCAACACTGCAGTGTGTGTGTGTGTCTGTGTGTGTTTGTGTGTGTTCTGAGACAGGGTCTCACTGTTGCCCAGGCTGGAGTGCAGGGGTGCAATCACGGCTCACTGAAGCCTCCACCTCTTGGGCTCAAGCAATCCTCCCACCTCTGCCTCCCTAGTAGCTGGGATTAACAGGTGTGCACCACCATGCCCGGCTAATTTTTTAATTTTTGTGTAAAGACAGGGCCTCACTCTGTTGCCCAGGCTGGTCTCAAACTCTTGGGCTAGAGGGATCCTCCCACCTCAGCCTCCCAAAGTGCTCGGGTTACAGGTGTGAGCCACCTCACCTAGTCCAGAGTGTGGTTTGAAATCAGGGTGTTCCCTGCCTTTCCTCTGTATTTCCCTGGCCAAGTTCATCTGACTGGCCTGAAGATGCCACTGTTGTTCCTCTGCCTGCAGAACTGAGCACTGACAGAAGCTGTCACCTGACTGCCTGGTCACTGGAAAAGCTCCTGGCCCTGGAGGAAATGTGTCTTTAACTCTTTCCTCTCCATGGCTCCTTTCCTTGTCCTCTGCCTCCCAGGACAGCACCACCCCCTTCCTCTGCCTTCTGCATATCAGCTGGGACCATCAAAACCACGGATCAGGGGCAAAGACCTCAGCTGCCACAGCCGGGCCAGGCACTGTGCCGGGGACAGCAAGACAGAGATGAGAACCTGGAGCCTTTTTTTCTCAAGGTATTAGGAGGTACCTGAGTGAAAGAGGCACCTTTTCGCCTTATTGCCATAGTTTAGTTCTGGTATAGGGATGAGTTCATGTGTGTTGTGTGATAACCTTTAGCATCAAGCAACCTGCGTGAGTTCACACAGGTGCCTGTCTTCAGATCCCCTGGCTCTAGAAGTCCTTGATCTTTCTACATTGTCACATTATTAGCTTCAAAGAAAATTTCAGAATATCAAGAAACAGATGGCTCAAACAATTCTGAGCACCATTCGGATGGTACCCACACTGCTTCCTGATCTCTGCCTAAGGGTGGGTCTCTACAGTCAGTTTGGGCACCCAAGTTGGAGTGGCTATCCAGTGATTTGGGGGCAGATGACACATGGGGTGGCCATGCCTGGTAGCCAAGCATCTGCATGCTGGAGGGCAGTCTTTCAACACAGTGGATATATTCTGACATTTTAGTTTCTTTAGACCCATCGGCACACTCTTTTTTTTTTTTTTTTTTTGAGACGGAGTCTCACTCTGTTTCCCAGGCTGGAGAGCAGTGGCATGATCTCAGCTCGCTGCAGCCTTCCCATCCCAGGCTCAAGCAGTTCTCGTGCCTCAGTCTCCCAAGTAGCTGGGACTACAGGCGCGCACTACCACACCCGGCTAATTTTTTGTATTTTTAGTAGAGACAGGGTTTCACCATTTTGGCCATGCTGGTCTCAAACTCCTGACCTCAGGTGGTCTGCCCGCCTGAGCCTCCCAAAGTGTTGGGATTACAGGCATGAGCCACAGCGCCCAGTCCTGATCAGTATAGTCTTATTCAGAACATTGAGCAGACAGATTTCTCCTGTTATTTATTTATTTATTTATTTATTTGAGACTGGAGTACAGTAGCATGATCACAGCTCACTGCAGCCTTGACCTCCTGGGCCCAAGCGGTCCTCCCACCTCAGCCTCTGGAGTAGCTGGGACCACAGGAATGCACTACTACATCCAGCTAATTTCTAAATTTTTTGTAGAGATGGGGGTTTCACTATGTTGTCCAGGCTGGTCTTGAACTCCTGGCCTCAAGCCATCTTCCTGCCTCAGCCTCCCAAAGTGCTAGGATTACAGGTGTGAGCCACTTACCCAGCTCTCTTTACTTTTTAATAGAAATATAGAAAGCAAGCCAGGATAATGCCCAAAGTGGAGAGTTTCAACATTGCAGATTTTGTAGACACCACATGTTCTTTCCTTATGCAATCTGTGATCTAGCATCTGGGAGCATGGGTCCCATAGATCTTGGCTGTCAAACCAAATGATTCAATAAATATTTGCAAAATATGCCAAGCATATATGTTACATAATCACAGTGTCTACACAAAGGATGCACTGGAAAAGGCACAAGGGCTTTTCGCCCTCAGTTGTCTAATTGAAATAATAAAAGCAGTAAGACAATTCTCACCCATCTCATCTCACATCCACTTCAACCCTTCTTCCAATACCTCCTCTTCGATGTAAGGTGGCTGCGTTTTTGGCACGTCCATATAGACTCTGAAGAGTGAACCTGCTGAATCTTGTACCTGGGCCCTGATGATGTTGGACGAAGGGTCATTCTCTGATAAACTTAGGAGGGAATTAAAGCTGGGGATACCTGGAGAAGAGAAAATAAATGGGAGAGACAAAATTACCCAGGAAAATGAAAATAAGAAATTTAATTCTAGCTAAGCTAGGAGAAATGGAAAGGGTGAAAGCGAGAAGGAAGAAAAAAGGAAAGGAGAGGAAATTGGAAATTGATCACAAATTAACAAACAGGGGAGGAAAGAAAGGGAAATTTGATGTTGTAAGGGATACACTGTCAATAAAAGTAACATCCGGGGCAGGACAGGAGGTTGAATTCCACACTATTGCTCAGTGGGATTCGGACAGTTGGTGTTTGCTCTTGGCTGAGATGCCAATGGGATCAAGAGAGCCCTAATGTAGTTGTCTTGACATCTTATCTTTATGGCAGTGTTTATCAGCCTGTGTCTACTGGAGGTGACATTTGTGGTAGAAGCGGTGGTTATTTGACTTAACTGTTTGCAGATACCTGAGACTCTGCCTTCAGCAAACAGCCAGGCAGGCATGTTTGCAGAAACTCCTACATTTGTTCCTCCTGCGCCTATACTCCTGTCTTGTACATCTGGCTGCCTCCTTAGAAACTCCACTTGGGGCCGGCGACGGTGGCTCATGCCTGTAATCCCAGCACTTTGCGAGGCCAAGGCCTCCCAAAGGATCTCCTGAGGCCAGGAGTTCGAGACCACCTGGCCAATATAGTGAAACCCTGTGTCTACTAAAAAAATACAAAAATTAACCAGGCGTGGTGGTGGGCACCTGTAGTCCCAGCTACTCAGGAGGCTGAGGCAGGAGAATTGCTTGAACCCAGGAGGCAGAGGTTGCAGTGAGCCAAGATTGTGCCATTGCACGCCAGCCTGGGTGACAGAGTGAGATTCTGTCTCCAAAAAAGAAAAGAAACTCCATTTGGATGTCTAAGAGACATCTCAAATTTAACACATCCAGAATAACAACTCTCTTCTTAGTGTCCCTCCTAGGCCCTCACTCCAAGTCATTCCTATCTCAAGAAATGGCACCGCCCAGCTATTCATGGCTCAGACTCAGGAAGTCTTCCATCTCTCTCTCACTCTGCATACCCAGTGCTTTCACAAGCCCTATCGGCTCTTCCTCCAAAACACAGATGGATGAGCTTTTGCTATAAAGAGCCAGATAGTAAGTGGACTTTGCAGACCCTGCAGTCTCTGTCTTTTTTTTGGGGGGGGGGGGGGTGGCGGTAAAGATGGGGTTTGACCATATTGGCCAGGCTGGTCTCGAACTCCCGACCTCAGGTGATCCGCCCATCTCAGCCTCCCAAAGTGCTGGGATTACAGGCATGAACCACTGCACCCGGCCAACCTTGCGGTCTCTGTCAACACAATTCAGCAAGCCCGTTGTCGCCCCAAAGCAGCAACAGGCAGCACATCCGCAGGTGGGTGTGGCTGTGTCCAGTAAGACTTTACAGGCATCCCCCAGTATCCGAGGGGGATTGGATCCAGGACCCCTGTATATCTCCAAATTCGTGCACACTCAAGACCTGCGGTCAGCCTTGTGAAACCTGTGAGTATGAAAAGTGGACCTTCCATATACACGGGTTTTGCATCCCACAAATTCTCTATTTCCAATCACTGTTTGGTTGAAAAAAATCAGGAAAAAAATGGACCCGTGCGGTTTAAACACGTGTTGCTGAAAGGGCCAACTGTATTTAATAAAACAGGCGAAGGGCCCATTTTGGCTCTTGGACCATGGTTTGGTGACCCCTGCTCTTTTTCCATTTCCACTGGTCCAGGTTAACAGCTTCTCATCCTTTCTTTCTTTACTTTTTTTTTGAGATGGAGTCTTGCTCTGTCGCCCAGGCTAGAGTGCAGTGGCATGATCTCGGCTCACTGCAACCTCCACCTCCCGGGTTCAAGCGATTCTCCTGCCTCAGCCTCCCAAGTAGCTGGGATTACAGGCATGCACTACCACACCTGGTTAATTTTTGTATTTTTAGTAGAGACAGGGTTTCACCATGTTGGCCAGGCTGGCCTCGAACTCCTGGCCTCAAGTGATCCGCCTACCTCGGCCACCCAAAGTGCTGGGATTACAGGCGTGAGCTACCACGCCCGGCCCTTTTCTTTTCTTTTTTCTTTTCTTTTCTTTTTCTTTTCCTTTCTTTCTTCCTCTTTCTTTCTACAGAATCTTGCTCTGTTACCCAGACTGGAGTGCAGTGGCACAATCACAGCTCCCTGCAGCCTTGACCTTCCCAGGCTCAAGCAATCCTCCCACCTAAGCCTCCTGAGTAGCTGGGACAACAGGTGTGTGCCACCACAACTGGCTAATTTTTAATTTTTTTTTTTTGAGAGGGGGTCTCACTTTGTCACCCAGGCTGGAGTGCAGTGGCAGGATCTCAGCTCACTGCAACCTCCACCTCCAGGCTCAAGCAATCCTCCCACCTCAGCCTCCCGAGTAGGTGGGGCCACAAGCACGTGCCACTGTGCCTGGCTAATTTTTGTGTTTTTGGTAGAGAAGGGGTTTCGCCATATTGTCCAGGCTGGTCTTGAACTCCCGAGCTCAGGTGATCTGCCCTCCTCAGCCTCCCAAAGTGCTGAGATTATAGGCATGAGCCACTGCATCTGGCCTAATTTTTGAATTTTTTGTAGAGACAGGGTTTCACTGTGTTGCCCAGGCTGGTATTGAACTTCTGGCCTCAAATGATCCTTCTGCCTCGGCCTCCCAAACTGCTGGGATTATTGGCGTGTGCCACCGTACCCAGCCTCTACTTCTGACCCCTTTTAGTTCATGCTCCTTGCTACAAAGCCGACTTTTAAAAGTGGAAACCAGGTTTTGTGTATCCTCTGCTTAAAACCTCCCCCGGCTGCCCATCCCTCTTGGCCAGATGCAAACTCCCATCAAAGACCTTCAAGTCCCTGCGTGGCCTGACCCTACCTGACCCCACTCTCCTCCTCCCTCACCCCACTCTCCTCCTCCCTCACTCTACTCTGGCCTCCCTGGTCTTCTTCCTGCTTCATAAACAAGCTTTGGTTCCCTCCTTCCTAAAGCCATTGTTTGTGCTGTTTCTTCTGCAGATCTTCATATGGCAGTCACCTCCTCCAAGAAGCCTGCCTGAACCACCCATCTAAAATAATAAAAGCTAGTGTTTATCAACAACTCAATACATGTCAGCCACTGTTATCACTCTTATAAACCTTGAAAGTGAACTATCTTGATCCTGTCCTTTTTTTTTCTCTTGAGACAGGGTCTTGCTCTGTTGCCCAGGCTGGAGTGCAGTGGTGTGATCACAGCTCACTGTAGCCTTGACCACTTGGGCTCAAGTGATTCTCCCACCTTAGCCCCCTGAGTAGCTGGGACCACAAGTGTGTGCCATCACACCTGGCTATTTTTTTGGAGAGACAAGGTCTTGCTATGTTGCCTAAGCTGATCTCAAAGTCTTGGGCTCAAGCAATCTTCCTGCCTCGGCTTCCTAAAGTGCTGGGATTACAGGGATGAGCCACCATGCGTGCTTCAGATCCTGTTGTTATCTCCACTTCACTGAGGAGGAAACTGGGGCCAAGGGAGGTTATGTAATTTGCCCCAAATCATTGAGGAAGTAGCAGAGTTGAGATATAAACCAGCTGTGTGGCTCTCAAACCCAGGCCTTTGACCCCCACTCTTTACTGCTTATGCATTTTCTTTTTCTTTTTTGTTTTGAGAGGGCGTTTCACTCTTGTCGCCTAGGCTAGAGTGCCGTGGTGCCACCTAGGCTAGAGTGCAGTGGCGCCGTATCGGCTCACTGCAACCTCCACCTCCTGGTATCAAGTGATTCTCCCACCTCAGCCTCCCAAGTAGGTGTGTGCTACCACACCCAGCTAATTTTTGTGTTTTGAGTAGAGACGGGTTTCACCATGTTGGCCAGGTTGGTCTCGAACTCCTGACCCCAGGTGATTCGCCCACCTCGGCCCCCCAAAGCATTGGGATTACGGGCATGAGCCACTCACTGTGCCTGGCCTGCTTATGCATTTTCATCATAGCGTTTGTCACGGTATTGGAATTACATGTTCATCTATTTATGTGTGTTTGTTGAGTGTCTCACAACAAGGAGCAGAGACCTGGTCATTTATTTATTTATTTATTTATTTATTTATTTATTTATTTATTTATTTATTTATTTAGAGACAGGGTCTTGCTGTGTTTCCCAGGTTGGTCTCGAACTGCTGGGCTCAAAGGATCCTCCCAACAGCCTCACAAGTAGGTGGGACTACAGGCGTGCACCACTGTACCTGTCTTCTGCTCTACCTTTTGTCTTTCTTACTAAATTCTCAGCTTCTAAAACAATCTCTGTCACACAGTAGACACTCAATAATCATTGAGTGCCTGAACGCAAATTTAGCTTTGTAATAAGGTAATTTCCTGATATGCTAAAAAAAAAAAATCCGTAAATATTCCAACTACGTGTTACCCTACAATTCTTAAATGAGAGAAAGAAAATGACCAGATTGATTTAGTCTAGTTTCAGAAATGCTGAATTCATTCATATTTATATTCATGTCTAACATCAGCCCTTCCCTCCCCGTCAAACAATGTGAAGTCTGGACTTTTGAATGTTCCTTATGGAGTTAGAGAAGGCTTCTGTCCCTTTTAAGCCTTTGTATTCCCTTATTCCCATGCCCAGTCTCCAGGCACCTCATCCGTCTCTTGGTGGCTCCTTTGCACCTGCCCCCACCTCTGTATGTAGCTCCTTCATTCCATTCATTTCAACTAAGCCCTTGCGAGTGTGCCATCTGTCTCCAGCTGGACCCTGGAGCAGTGCAGATGGTGATAAACCCAGGATTCACTGCACGCTCCTCTCTCTATGGTGAGCGCCAGGCCCCAGGCCAACCGTGGTCCCACACTGGAGGGAGGAGGAAAAGAGCTCAGCGATTTGTAACATACCACGAACTGCTAAGTTTCCAGAATGCTTTGGCAAGACGATGAAGCTCTGTTTAGGGAGATGGAAGTTTATTCCCGGTCCCGTGTGGTAGAGACCATTGAATTAGGGTTAACAGAGGAGTAAAGTCCTCTAGCCAGAAAGGAACACTCTTTGTGCAGCGTGTGCCACCTTATCAGGTAGCCAGCTAATTGCATTTACTTTTCTGCACTCCGATTTGCTTTCATCTTGCGTCACATGGCTGGTTTTGTTAGTGCTGGCCAAGCTTTCTACCGATGGCAGGATTAGAAGCCGTAGTTTAATATTAGCAATTTTGGAAAATGATCAGCTGTTTAACAACCAAAACATTTCTGGTCTTCTTTTGCTCTGATTAAAGGTGAAGGGATGCTAATATGTACTGGGTACCTCTCTTTGTCTGATAATGTGACAAATTGTCTTCAATATTTCTTTTCATCTGATCGTTACAGAATTCCTTGAGGTACTTGGTGTTATCCCTGTTTTGCAAACGAGGAAGCATGGTCTCTGGAAGGTCAGGCACTTGCTCAAGCTCACACTTTCTGTAGGTGGTCATGCAATGTGGAGAAGTGGGTAAGAGTGCAGGTACTGGCTGGGCATGGTGGCTCAAGCTTGTAATCCCAGCACTTCGGGAGGCCGAGGTGGGCGGATCACGAGGTCAGGAGATCGAGACCATCCTGGCTAACACGGTGAAACCCCATCTCTACTAAAAAATACAAAAAAAATTAGCCGGGCGTGGTGGCGGGCGCCTGTAGTCCCAGCTACTTGGGAGGCTGAGGCAGGAGAATGGCGTGAACCCAGGAGGCAGAGGTTGTGGTGAGCCAAGATCACGCCACTGCACTCCAGCCTGGGCGACAGAGCAAGACTCTGTCTCAAAAACAAAAAACAAACAAAGAAAAAAGAGTGCAGGTTCTGGTCAAGTGACTCAAGTATGCTATGCCTCAGTTTGCTCATCTGTATAATGGGAATAAAAGTAGCACTTACTTCAGAGAGCTCTTATGGGAATTGAATGAGATGATTCATATTAAGTGCTTAGAACAGGGCTTGGTACATAGTGAACAACCAGCTAATTTTTTTCTGATGTTAGCGTCTGATTTACTCTAACTTAAGCAACTGGAATTTTCTTATGTTTTGGATTTGAGTGAAAGATGAGAAGATGGTAACAAGTTGGTTTTGGGGGCCTAATTTCTAAACTCTGGGCATTTGTCTATAGTCAGCTTTGCTATCACTGAGACCTGGTGCATCTTTATGGCACTTTTAGGGCACCCTTTTGTCATCTGCTTGACGATGACTTAGACATTCTGTTTAAACTAGGCTACAAAATCTGGAAGAGACCAGATGGGGCCATTAAAAATTAGTCTCTGTGGCTGGGTGCGGTGGCTCACACCTGTAATCCTAGCACTTTGAGAAGCCGAGGCGGGTGGATCACCTGAGGTCAAGAGTTTGAGACCAGCCTGGCCAACATGGCAAAACCCGTCTCTACTAAAAATACAAAAAAATTAGCCGGGCATGGTAGCAGGTGCCTGTAATCCCAGCTACTTGGGAGGCTGAGGCAGGAGAATCACTGGAACCCAGGAGACGGAGGTTGCAGTGAACTGAGATCATGCCACTGCACTCCAGCCTGGGCAACAGAGCAAGACACCGTCTTTAAAAAAAAAAAAAAAATCAGTCTGTGGACAAAATGGGATTCACCAGTAGTTGCCAATTTTCAAGGTTTTTCTTTTGTTTTTTTCTTTTGCTCTCAGACAAGTGATAGCCAAGACCTTGGTAACATCTAGAAAAGACTTTGTAGGCTTTCTGTTGGGCTTAGAGTTTTAAAACAAATTGTGAAATTTTAAAGCCTATTTCTAGTTCAGGGCTTTAGGGAACTTAGAAAGTGTAGGTTATGTCACTTAGGACTCTGGCCCTCTTTCCTGAGCATGTAGGATATTTTTCAGAGGCAGGGGACAGAGGTGAGTTCACGTAGCTGGCCTAATGAACAAACTTCGATCTGAGTCTCTTTGATTGAGAATGTGATTTTGTGTGAAGATAGCTATAAAATGGTACACTTGTAAATTTTTTAAAAAGTCACTAAAAAGAAACATTTGCTGCTTGTTTTCTAGGATTAGGATTATACAATCACTTTTAACAGCAAATAGGAAGGTAAATTCATCTGACAGAGAAACACAGCCAGTCACAAAGTCTCATTAGAAGGCAAATGCAGTTTTAACTGTTTTATCGAAATACTGGACATGCAGAGATGACATATTATTAAGAATAATTACATTCAAAAATACCATAATAATAATAATAATAATAATAATAATAATAATAAGCATGGTGGCTCATGCCTGTAATCCCAGCACTTTGGAAGGCTGAGGTGGGCGGATCACTTGACGTTAGAAATTCGAGACCAGTCTGGCCAACACAGTGAAAACCCATCTCTACTAAAAATATAAAAATTAGCCAGGCATGGTGGCGCGTGCCTGTAATCCCAGCTACTGGGGAGGCAGGAGAATTGCTTGAACCTGGGAGGTGGAGGTTGCAGTGAGCCGAGATCACACCATTGCACTCCAGTCTGGGTGAGAGAGCAAGACTCTGTCTCAAAAAAAAAAAATAATAATAATAATAAAAATTCTAGCTGTGGACCATGTGCACACCTACTCTTGACATGTTAAAACCACCAATCACATCACATAATTGAAACTGTTTTTGCAGTCAGGGCTGCTGAAGACTTTTCCTGGATGTCCCAAGCTTCCTTGTCTCCATTTAGTCCTCAAAGACTGGGGTGATCTCAAAGGCTTCTCGGCACCACCCAAAAGGACAGAGCAGGGTGAGGTGTGTGTGGGAGCCATGTGGAAAGAGTGTTCAGTTTCCTTTGATCATGATTGATCTACTGTTTATAAAAATCCACTGTTGTTTATGGGTGAGTGACAGCCAGAGAGTGATGGATAGATTAGCTATGAAATCAGGAGTAGGTAGGCTTCAGGAACAATGCGCTGTTCAGATTATACTAGCTTTTAACCAGTCTAAATGTCAGCTCCCTGTACTCCACGCCCTGCTCTTTACTGATGAGATGGCTCTCAGGTTGTTAGACCCTGGAGTGGAGACTTCCCTGGGTCTTTCCCCTTGAATTGTCTGCTGCTACTTTTTGTTGGCAATCAGAGCACGCATATGAGACCTCTGTGAGCTGGCTAAGCTGGCTGGTTGACCCCTCCAAGTTAATGGGAACCCTGTCTTAACTGGCTTTTCTAACTAGGAGCCCTTTTCCCCTGCTCAGCTACATATTAAATTGTTTCTGTCAAAGGGCAGGCAAGACCAAAAGGAGGGAGAGATGGAGAAAAAGAATGAGACCCGGCTCTGCTCCATCCACCCTGGGATGAAATGCCTTTGTTGACTCTTTCGAAATTGCTTCCCAACCGCATTTTATGAAAACAAAGTGTCCCTTTCGAGTTGTTTAAAGGAAATATTGTGGAATTCTCAAATGCCTCTTTAAAAAGGGATTTTAAGGCCAAGGTGGGTGGATCACTTGAGGTCCGGCATTCAAGACCAGCCTGACCAGCATGGTGAAACCCTGTCTCTACTAAAATACAAAAATTAGCTGGATGTGGTGGCCCACTCCCGTCATCTCAGCTACTGGGGAAGCTGAGACATGAGAATTTCTTGAACCCGGGAGGCGGAGGTTGCAGTGAGCTGAGATCGCGCCATTGCACTCCAGCCTGGGCAACAGAGTGAGACTCCGTCTCAAATAAATAAAAATAGAAAGGCATTTTAAATTTGTATCTTATTTTTATTTTTATATTTTATTTTTAGAGACAGAGTCTCTCTCTGTCACCCAGGTTGGAGTGCAATGGCATAATCGTGGATCGCTGCAGCTTCAACCTCCCAGGTTCAAGTTATCCTCCTGCCTCAGCCTCCCAAGCAGCTGAGAGTACAGGTGTTCACCACTACACGTGGCTGATTTTTAAATTTTTTTTTGTAGAGGTGAGGGTCCTCTGTGTTGCCCAGGCTGGTCTCGAACTGCTAGGCTCAAGCAATCTTCCTGCCTCGGCCTTCCAAAGTGCTGAAGTTAAAATTTTAAATATAAACTATAAGGGGACATTGTTTTGAAAGACAGATCAAGGGCATAGTTAAAGGAAACAAACTCTAATTGCTAAATTTTAAACATGTGAGACTCCCTGCTCAAAGGCAGCTGGTCTCCTGTCTTGACTTTGCTGAGAGCAAAGTGGGCCTCCACTGACCTTGACACTCTCTAAGGTGAAGCTGATCTCTGAAAACAGACGTCACTGCTGAAGCAGCCTGCCACATCAGTGCCTCACCTTGGTTCTTCTCCAGCAATTAACATTTACTTTATTGGTCCTGGAGGCAGGAAGGAAGCCCTCAAAGTCCCAAACTCTGTAAATACCCATTTCCATGTCTGCCCAACATCCCAGAACCATATTACTGATATCCAACCAGATTTTGTGTCGGCTCAGCTGGACTAGAAATGTTCCATTTAAAACCAAGAAGCAATAGGTTTCCTGGGCTGCAAAGACAGACCTTCGAGGAGGCCACATGGTATGGCTGAAGTTGCATGTTCTGCTACCTTTGAGCTTGCAAACCCTTGGAGACAGGTGGTCACGTGAAGGTGCAGAGAAAAAAAGTGGAACAGCTGTGGTCTGTCATCTCCCGAGCCCATCCACCTGGGAGTTTGGAAGAGATATTTAGGACAGGATTTTCATCTGCCAAAAAGTGCTTAAGCTGAAGGCAAAAAAAGTAAGTCTTCCTTCCACCCAAGCCTTTGCTCTGTGAGTGTCTAGCACGCTGGGCTGGCAGCACAGCTGAGACTAGGCTAGCTTTAATTAATCTTGAGAATGAACCCTGGAGATCAGACTTCTGTTCCTCAGAGGAAGACATAACAATACTCTCTTCTCCATCACACACTGGCTGATACTTAAGCAAACAAGATGAGCCAAGGTAGATATCCCAAGCCACGGAAATGAACAAGCAGGACCATGGACAAAGGGAAGGTTTCCTTTCTGTTTAAGAGACTCTTTTGCGGAGGTGTGCTCACGGGCAAGGAAGACAGCGGCCATTCATTTTCTCACTGGCAGAGTATCACAGCTTCCCCATAGCGTTCAGCCTTGGATTTGTATTAAGAAGCATGGTCCGGGGGACCAGGGGGAAGAAATGTCTGTTAAGATGCTGTCATTGATGAGACTCAATTTAAGAATTATTTTCAGTGATTTTTCTATGAAGAAATTGTATCATTTTTCTTATGCAAAAATGTTGCTGTTAGCAGTACAAGTGCTTCATGCCAATGGACCGGTGGGGGTGATTTGCAGGAAGCCGTCACACCCTTTTGCCAACCCTTTTTGCTGGTGGTGTTGAATTGAGGCAGGGACAGCTGGCTGGGGCTGGGCATGCTAGGCATGCAGTCTGTGATCTAGCATGGAATTCTCTGGGTAAAAAACTAGTTTATGCATAATGTCCTCCTCCCTATCGTGGCAGCAGTCTAGAAAAAATGACTAACTGGCCAGGCGGGGTGGCTCATGCCTGTAATCCCAGCACTTTGGGAGGCCGAGGTGGGTGGATCACTTGGGGGTCAGGAGTTCGAGACCAACCTGGCCATCGAGGTGAAACCCCGTCTCTACTAAAAATACAAAAAAAATTAGCTGAGCGTGATGGCACATGCCTGTAATCCCAGTTACTTGGGAGGCTGAGGCAGGTGAATCGCTTGAACCCGGGAGGTGGGGGTTGCAGTGAGCCAAGATCGCACCACTGCACTCCAGCCTGGGCAAAAAAAGCGAAATTCTGTCTCAAAAAAAAGACTAACTATCCCTAGATTTGAGATGAGTTAGTCAAATTATATTTATCACCCTCTGTTTAAAGCTGCTGGAGAATCTCTGCATTGAGGTCTTGCCGAGGCAATACAGGATGTATACTGTGTGTACACATCACACACATGCCTCCCATGTACACATGTGCATCACGTGTGCCTAACATGTATGTGCATGAATATCACACACACGTGAGCATGTCTTTCACATGCATGGTACTTAAGCAAACAAGATGAGCAGATGTAGACTGAGCCATGGAAATGGGCTGGAGCAGGGCAGTGGACAAGGGGAGGGTGACATACATGTGAAGCATCACACATGTGTTCTGTCATGCCACCTATATGCATGTACATTACGTGTGTGTTTATGTGTGCATGTGCTTGGGAGCACAAACTAGAGTGAAGGTACAAGTTGGGAACTTGAGAGCCTTAGAACACCATCCATGTCTCCTGAGAACTGGGATGCTGGTTAATGTTGAGAAAGCCACCAAGCCTTGGTTATTGTATTAGTCCATTCTCACACTGCTAATAAAGACATACGCAAGACTGGGTAATTTATAAAGGAAAGAGGTTTAATTAACTCAAAGTTTAACATGGCTGGGGAGGCCTCAGGAAACTTACAATCATGGCAGAAGGGGAAGCAAACACATCCTTCTTCGCATGGCAGCAAGGAGAAGTGCAGAGCGAAGGAGGGGGAAAGCCCCTTATAAAACCATCAGATCTCGTGAGAACTCACTCGCTATCACGAGAACAGCATGGCGGTAACCACCCCCATGATTCAATTACCTCCCACTGGGTCCCTCCCACAACACCTGGGGATTATGGGAGCTGCAGTTCAAGATAAGATTTGGGTGGGGACACAGCCAAACTATATCAGTTATGTTACACGAGAACCATTTAGCTTTCTTGTTAAAAAATCATACCCATGAAAAAGATATCAGCGTACTCAGCAATGTACATATCCCCTTACATGGGGACAGGACCCCTCCCAGGAACTGATAGCCCAGCCTACTGGGAGGGCAGAAGAAGCATGGCTGCTCCCTGGCTGCACCTGCTGAGTTGACAGGTAGTCCCAGAGAGCTGGTCGTGGGTCTTCCTCTCTTAAGACAAGCAGATTTCCTTCGGGGTCCTTGGCAATGTATTCTTTGTAAGGATCTGGGATGACTGTGTCTCCCTCTGTGTCCAGGGCTAAAACAGTCTTATTTGGTGGCCCCCAGCAGCCCTTAGGACTGGGTTCATCCTGGGCTTCCCTTTCTGTCTTCAGTGACTCCCACTGCAAAGGGGCCTTCTCTATGGCTTAAGCAACTGGAGCCCTGTCACTGAATAATTGGGGTGGACAAGGCTGTGGGGTATCATTTCAGATTTCGTCGAAGGTGGCTTTGCATCATATTCCTTAACAGGCTTTTCTAAAAGGATAGAACAATTTTATCTCTAACCAGGACATTTCTTTCCTGCTTCCAGGCCTAGCAGGATCAGGAGATGAACTTAGTATCCCCACTGTCGACACCAATGTCTAAGCAAAGAGGTGTTCTTTCCCTGCACCTCCCCCCAACGCAGCCCGTCCAGGAAAGAGAGAGTTGAGGAAAAATTGGCTGAGCGCGGTGGCTCGTGCCTGTAATCCCAACACTTTGGGACACTGAGGCAGGCGGATCACCTGAGGTCAAGAGTTCAAGACCTGCCTGGCCAACATGGCAAAAACCCATCTCCACTAAAAATACAAAAATTAGCTGGGCGTGGTGGCACGTGCCTGTAGTCCCTGCTACTTGGGAGGCTGAGGCAGGAGAATCACTTGAATCCGGTAGGTGGAGGTTGCAGTGAGCCAAGATCGTGCCACTGCGCTCCAGCCTGGGTGAAAAAGCGAAACTCTGTCTCAAAAAAAAAAAAAAAAAATTAGAGGCTGCCCATGGGAATGTTCCCAGAAATTCACATATTAAAAGCAAAACAAGCACTTAGGTAAAGGTTTACTCTGACAGAACATTTGATGGGAAATTTGGTGTTTTTGAATTTGGCAAAAATGTGGGATGAGACAAGTGATTGATTGTTGTTACTATAAGTTCCACTGCTTGGCTTGCCAGCTATTGGGATTCTTAGAATGATAAGCATTTTGGAAACACTAATCAGATCTTCCCAACCATCTATGGAAACTTTTGATAATTCTCTTGCCACCTTTCTTTCTTTCTTTCTATTTTGACTGTTTAAAGAATTTTTATTAAAGCAAGAATTTTACAATCCAAATTACGTTTCCCTGCTCAGTTATCAATTCTGTTACTTAAAACAGAACTGATATTTTGAGCTGTTCTACAGTAAAGAATTACAAAATTAAAGAAAGGAATGCTTTAAATTTTTGTACTTTGCTGAAAATTCTTTTCCCCAGGGTCTATAAAACACTAATTTGTTTTTATATTTTACTATTTTTATGGGTTTTTGTTGTTGTTGTTTTTAAATCAACAGGTAACCTAAGACAAGCATTAATTTGCTAGACCTTCAGCCACTCTTCTTTAGCAAGGCCAAAGGTCATGTGTGCCTTACACTGTAACTTTACTGTCTTCATTGAATAGTCACATTCAGAGCTGATCAGGAATATGAATCTTTTTTTCTTTTCTTTTCTTTTCTTTTTTTTTTTTAAGGGCAGGGTCTCACCATATTGCCTAGGCTAGTCTCAAAATCCTGGGCTCAAGCGATTCCCCAGCCTCGGCCTCCCAAAGTGCTGAGATCACAGGTGTGAGCCACCATCCCCAGCCCGGAACATGCATTTTAACAGTCCATTGCTTCCTACCTGTCTCTGTGATCAGCCTGTGCACTTTTCCAGCACGGTGCTCCTCATCTAGGGCAGCTGGGGCTGCGAGTTTTGGCAAGAAACACTTGTATTCCATCATGGAGAGAAGGTTAAATTTGTGTAAGCAAATAGACTCCAGTTCACTGCCAGGTCTAGAAGCCTCATCCACTGGCCCGCGTGTTCCTCTCTGCATGCCATTTTATTCTCCAGTGTCCCTCTGCCATGCTATGTATGAACCCCACTTAAGTTTCTTTTTCTTCTTCCTTTTTTTTTTTTTTTTGAGATGGAGTCTTGTGCTGTCACCCAGGCTGAAGTGCAGTGGCGCGATCTTGGCTCACTGCAACCTTCGCCTCCCGGGTTCAAGCGATTCTCCTGTCTCAGCCTCCTGAGTAGCTGGGATTACAGGCACACGCCACCACACCCAGCTAATTTTTGTATTCTTAGTAGAGACAGGGTTTCCCCATGTTGGCCAGGCTGGTCTTGAACTCCTGACCTCAGGTAATCCACCCGCCTCAGCCTCCCAAAGTGCTGGGATTACAGGCATGAGCCACCGTGCCCAGCCCTGCTAAAGCTTCATCTACACGTCCAGTATTACCCAACTCTGTTACTGAAACACAAGCTAACATCATTCAACATAGGCCACAATATCATATTATTTTTCCCAATATCTTTTTCACTGAGTCCACTTAGGTTTAATCAGCACTTAACTACCCATGCTAATGGCGGGTAAGTAGCAGCTTGCATAACCCAAGTGATCAGATACTCTGAAATCAATGGGGTGCATTACTTTTTATTCCCTCCCAGCACCCAGCAGATTTGTCTTCATCATTAAATATGGAATGGAGACTAAAATTTTTGAATTAAAATGATGTTAACCTTTAAATTAGCATGTTGATTCTCTCTTTTAGATAAAAGAGAACCAGAGAGCAAGTTATCTTTGAAACAGATACTTCAAAAAGTAGAGAATAGCTTTCCCTATGGTAGAAACCTAACTGTGTATTTGGATGGAATTATAGCATCAGATTTAAAGGCCTGTCTTTTAGCCTTAGAATGGTCATCCTGCTGATGAAGACCCACAGATGCCTGGGTCTGCGTTTCATTTTCAGGTTACAGGTGGCTGCTTTGGACTCTGGCCTCCCTACAGGCAGTTTCTCTGGTTGCAGGGTCATGGGTACTATAGAATTAGTCTTTGTTTTTTTTTTTTGAGATGAAGTTTCGCTCTTGTTGCCCAGGCTGGAGTGCAATGGCACGATCTCAGCTCACCGCAATCTCCACCTCCTGGGTTCAAGCCATTCTCCTGTCTCAGCCTCCCAAGTAGCTGGGATTACAGGCGCCCGCCACCATGCCTGGGTAATTTTTTGTATTTTTAGTAGAGACAGGGTTTCACCATGTTGGCCAGGCTGGTCTTGAACTCTTGACCTCAGGCAATCCACCCACCTCAGCCTCCCAAAGTGTGGGATTACAGGCATAAGCCACCACGCCCGGCCTGTAGAATTAGTCTTCTCTGCCTTGAAATTATTTCTACCAATTCTTGGTCCCTTGGAATCATTTCCCTAAAACTCAGCATTTATTCAAGGACCCTGGAACATCTTATGTTATAATAATTGTAAAGTTAGGTCTAAAGCATTTTCTTCCAAATCTTTGCTTGTTTTTGTTTAAAAAAAAAAATCACACTTCGCTAAACATGGCTGCTAGGAAGCCCTGAGCTGAACTTACAGTTGACCTTACTTTTACTAATGGTGTGGGATTTTCCTGCATGCAATTTCTGCCACAACTTTTTCTGTAGTCTTGTTTTATAACTATACCTCTTTTTATTTTTGTATGGATTTATCTATCCAAAATCTTATTGAACATATTTTTCTGAGCCACAGGAAGTACTTTTGGGAGTGAGGTGGTGTGAATTTATACAGAACAAAAGCAGCACATTAAGAAGGACACCCACAGGTGGAGCACTTAGTCACTCCCACCGGCCAACAGCGCTTGCTTAGGGAGCCGGATGAGGAAAGCTCATTTAAAAATATGGTAACATCTATGTGTGAGATGCTGAGTGATGCTCTCAGATGAAACCCAAAGATGATGACATCCTTGCAGACACCCAGGTGTGTATTTCTTCATACTCTAGAAAATGATCAGTCAATGAAATGGATATTGTCTCTTTTCTTATCGCTTGTAAATGTCAGTTTGGGGAACGAAAAAAATGCCACTTTATGGTGTGAAGTGCCTGTCTACAATAGTCCTTGCAGAGCGGCTCAGTGAGTCCATGGCATTAAAGATATGACAGTTACTATGTATACAGTCAGTGAGGAAGGCAGCACAGCAGTATCTCCGAGAGGTGGGGCCCCACCAACACTCACACCACACCCCCTGCACGCTGCATATTCATTGGCAGGTGAGGGTGCTTTTGTTTTGTGAACAATGTCTTCTGGTCTTTAGTACGCATTGTGGTTTTCCTTTTTTTTTTTTTTTTTTTTTTTTTTTTTTTTTTTTGAGACTGAGTTTTGCTCTTGTTGCTCAGGCTAGAGTGCAGTGGCACAATCTCAGCTTACTGCAACCTCCACCTCCCAAGTTCAAGTGATTCTCCTGCCTCAGCCTCCCGAGCAGCTAGGATTACAGGCACGTGACACCACGCCCGACTAATTTACATATTTTTAGTAGTGATGGGGTTTCACCATGTTGGCCAGGCTGGTCTCGAACTCCTGACCTCGGGTGATCCACCCACCTCGGCCTCCCAAAGTGCTGGGATTACAGGTGTAAGCCACCACGCCCGGCCATGCATTGTGGTTTTCTTAATGCCCAGCTTTGTATGAAGTCCTCTAAAGTCCCCTTTGAGGAGTCGTCGAATTACATTTCCATTTTCTTTCATTAGGAAGCTATGTCTGGCCTGAAAAATAAAAACAATTTTATGGTTTCTCATAAAGGTGTAATTTTGCTTCACTCTTATTCACTTATTTTCACGATGGAGAGAATGAAATTGTTTCCCCACAGGAATCATAGTCCATTTTTTGCCTTTCATGTTAGTGATTTTTCCCCCTCATAGCTCCCTAAGAAAAACTAAAGCAATTTGAAAAGAAAAAAATGCAATCTTATAACAAAGTTGGCTTTGTCTTGATAAATACAATGATGGATGACCACAACCACTTAAGTCCTTTTGGGCAAATGAATAATTCTCTGACTATATCTGAGAAGTGGAAACACATGAATTTACATTCTGGTTCTTCAAATATCTTCTCCCTTTCCCTTCTTACATTGACCTCACTTGCCTGAAATTAATGAAGCAAATCCCCAAGGGCAGAGGCTAGAAGGTTTGTGAGGCTTGAAGCTTATACGAGGTTCCTCTTTAAGAAAAACAATACAAACATATCTTACTTTCACAATTTTTTACAAAAACATATGACCACATGAACATACTGCCCAAGTCCCTCCTGGGCCTTGGCAAGGCCCGTGCAAGAGAGATCCCTGAAGCTTGAACTTTATTGGCTTCACGGTAAGTCCATTTCTGCGGGCAGTGTGTTGTGGCAAATGTCCATCTACACTATGCATACTCGAATTTGCTACTTGTGTATGTAAACACAGGAACGTAGGTAATGCCTATACAGAGAATAAATAGGAATATACAAGTATACATATAAAAACACAAGATTACATATTGAGTTTTCAATACACAAACACACAGATACTTATTTTTTTCTATTTTTGTTGTTTCTAAAGATCATATCCAGGCATGATCCCTCTTCTCCAGACTTTGAATTGTCTACCTGCATTTCAGTGTTCGCTTTAAGGGGGAGGTAATCAATTTAGCACATTATCATTCAATCAGACAAGCTGACTCAAACACCGTTCTCTGAATTGGACTCATGCTGAGCAATCCTCTATTCTAGAAGCCAGGTGTGAGGGGTGGGAGGCAGGAAGCCAGTGTGGGTAGGGAGCCCATTGCCAGTAGACAGAGCATGGCTTGGTTCTTTCCCACCCCCCAAGCAGTTCAGATACTGGTTTGGAGGTCTCCATTGAGGAGGGTCCTCTGGGTCTCCGTGGTCTCATTCAGCCGGGATTTGTCCTGCTTACTGTCACTCCGCTCCCCATCATCTGTGCCGCTCACCTTGACCAAGCAGAGGACATTCTGGAAGCTCTTCTTGAAGTTGTCAGACAAGAAGGCATATAGGATAGGGTTGGCACAGCTGTTAGCATAGGTGAGGACCACCACAAAGTCAAACATGCCTTTAAGGGCTGGGGTGGGGCTGATGGCCATGGAGACGGAAGAAACGTTGAATATGTAGAAGGGAAGCCAGCAGAAGATGAAGACAGCCACCACGATGGACACCATTCGGGTGACCTTCTTCTCAGACTTCTTCCTCTTAGAGGAGCCCACTCGGATTCCAGAGGACTTCACCTTGATGATAATGAACAGGTAGCAAAGACAGATGATGGTGAGGGGTACCAGGAACCCCAGAATGAAAGTGTAGATGATGAACCCTGTGTACCAAGCCCCAGATTCACCTGGCCAGTTGATGGTGCAGCTGCTTCTCCCCCACTGGTTGCTCCGGAGCCCAGCATATATCATGATGGGCAAGATGACCAGCAGAGAGACTCCCCACACAGCCATGGTGATCATCTTGGCCGTCCGGGGTCTCCTCCACTTGGCCGACTTGATGGGGTGGACCACAGCCAGGTATCGGTCGATGCTCATGACTGTCAGGCAGAAGATGCTGGTGAACTGATTGATGCCATCCACAGTCATGACCACCCGGCAAATGGCCTTGCCAAAGGGCCAGTGGACCAGAGCCACCTGCATAGCCAAGAAAGGCAGACCCAGCATGAAGAGCTCATCTGCGATGGCCAGGTTGAGGATGTAAATGTTGGTGATGGTCTTCATCTTGGCATAGCGGAGGATGACATAAATGACAAGTGTGTTGCCACACAACCCAATGATGCAGACCACAAAATAGATGAATGTGAGGACTGCATTGCTTGTCAGGTCATAGTACGGCTCTGTCTGGTTTGAGGTGTTGGTTGACACCACAGAGCCATTGAGGTCAAATGGAATGGATAGCCATGTGTGGCTTCCATTGAGTGGCTCATCCGCCATGTCCATGGCTGCTTTTCAGTCTTAGGCTAGTTCCAGCCAGCCCAGAGATCTTATTCTCACCTTAATGGACCCTGGAGGCCAAGGATCCAGTGTGACATCTGGAAGGAAAAGAGGAAGATTGGCCCGTCGGTCACAGGCTGTTTAAAGTCTCACCAAATTTACACATTTCTGGTTTAGCCTCTCAGACATACTCTTAAATTGAAAAATGTATTATCTTTCCACATCAACATTAAGCTCTAGAGTTCCTCATCAGTGTGCAGACTTTTTGAGTTGTTTTTCCAATAGTAGGGAAGGGTTTGGGTTCAGCCATCATCTGCTGACGCACATGTCGGGGAGGGCTGTGGCTTCAAAAAGCACATACTTTGACCCCTAAGAAGTTGACTGATCTAAACTGCAGAAAGGCAGAGCTTGGAGAAGTTCAGCGCCTGACCTCAGAAGGGTCTGACACTGACATTCCTGGCCTCTTCCCTACCAGGAAATCTATGCTGACTTGCTGACTGCCTTGGAGTCTTTCCATTCTGAAAATGCCATAGTGGAAAAAACCCAGACTCTAGAGGCAGAACAAACCGGGTTCCACTGCTGAGCCCGTGTGACCACATGCCTGGTCCTTAATGGTTCTGACTCTTATTTCTTCACATGGGGGCGTCATGAAGGTTAAATGATGGAATATATGTGAAAATGCCTAGCCTTGCGTTGGGCTCATAATGGGAACCTCGTAAGTTGTTTCCCCCCATGTTTTCCTCTACCATCTCATTATCTCTGATTTATTGAAATCTACCTACGTGGTGAAACAATTTATAGTCTTCAGTATTAAAAATAAAAGTCTGGTTTGCTTTCATTTTTGAAATGTAGGCTTCAGTTTATTTTTTGTTTTTCTTCTATTTTTGTTTTCCAATACCTAATGCTTGACTTCCTCAAGAGCTCTTTCCCAAAGTCCCTAAGGGGATGCTGCTCCCAAGTGCTGTAACACTCCAGAGAATTTGCCTGCCATTTTCTAATTACGGACAAAAACGGGAAGCAGGTGTGGGACACAAGCTCTTTCACAGAAGTAAGCAGAAGGCTTCCAGTACTGATATAATTCATTCACACTCACGAGTCCCTTGATCTCCCCAACTGTCCTAGGTGGTAGGGATAATTACCCCCATTTTAGAGATGTGGAAACTGAGGCTTAAGAGAGTTTAAGGAGCTCACCCCATTCTCTTGCACATAATTGGTGGAGCTGGGATGTGAACACAGGCCACCTGGCCCCAAGTCTTTTGCACGTCTCAAGGCATCCCCTCTGCTCCTCAGTGGCCTAGAGACCGAACGGCTGATAACTGGGCTTTGGTTTGAAGCAACTGACTCCTGTGTTACTTCCTTGCTGAGAAAATAATTGGAGCACTATTGGCTTGGCTTAAGATCTAAAACAATAGTTCATCCCATAATTAAATGATTGATATACAGCCATTCAAAAAATATCACGGGGGTTGGGGGCCTGGAGAGGAGGCTTCTTTGTGCTGACAGCAGGGATGTAGAAATGAACAAACTTGGCCAGTGCCCTCTAGGAGGTGATAATTTAAAAGGGGAGATAGGAAAGGAAGCCAGCTCATATAGGGTGGGCATTGCACGAGAGATAAATGAAGGACTTAAGAATGCCTTCCTTTCCTGGGGGACTCAGAGGAGGCTTCCAAAGAGAAGTGTTTGAGCTGGGTCTTGGGTATATGAAGAGTGAAGCAGGAGGACAGCAAAGAGGCCAATCTAGGAAGAGGCGAGATGTTCAAAGGGTGGTGTGTTCAGCAGAGTGGGACTAATTCACTTGGCTGACACATTTCCCCTGAGCTAGGTCCTTTTCCTGGTGCCTGGGTGTAGATGGAAGATTACTTCTTAATCCTTGGAAAGACTGCAGATCAGTTAAAGGAGACTTGGCCAGCAACAAGTACTTGAGGATCCTTGCTCACCTTTGCTTCTGATTGATTCTGAACTGCCAGGTGCATTGCTCGTTCCTTCTGTGCTCATTTCCCTACCACACAACTGTCTGTGAAGTGAGATCTGGGCTTTGTGGCTGACCATTTTGTGAAGTATTTGAGGCACCTGGAATTTCATGTCTGCATTGCGTAAAAAAGCATAGACTGGCAGCAATTAAAACAGAAGCTGTACAGAAACTGTGGTTAGTATCCCTGGATTAACTTGGGTAGTTTCGTTATCACTTCTAACCATCTGGTCAGTTGGTTTAATTCTACAGAGCCAGAATCCTATTCAAGCTGCCTGCAATCAGAGTGTACCTTATCATGGGGATTTCCAGGGGCCCATCTATATAACATGAATGGTCACACTCCAATGTCTGAGTAACACGGAATCCCCCTGGGTTGGCAGAGCCCCTGTCTAAGAGCTTTTGGGCTAGGAACGATGATGGTGCAGGGAGTATGAGAGAGGGTTGAGTGTTGCTTTCCAGCCCTAACTCGGTCATTTTAACTGGAGTTTGAGTCAACAGGACAGAATTGCTTAATGGTAGCAACAGACAGGGTTCAGAGTCTTGGTGAAGGTGGTGGAGGTGGGAGGCTGGGGAGCCGGCTGAGAGTGGGAAGGCTCCTCTAAGCAAGAAATGAGCTTAAATCATGGGGAGTCTTATTTAACAAAGAAGTCAGCCGCTTAAGGTCTTCCAGAGACTTCTGTTTCATTTTTGTTTCAGAGAAAGAATATTCCAATGCCAGGCAGACAATTCTAGATGAATTGTGGTTAAATTAAATGTACAAGGAAGTTTCGTTTTCTGCATTCTTTGTTTTTCCAGCCCAAGAATTGTTAGATGCTGGAAATGGCTAGTGGTTGGTTTCCTCTGAACCATGTCCAGGCTCTGTAGAGAGGAGGGTGAGAATGGTCTCACGCACCTGCCCCCCCCGCCCCCCTTTTACATAGGGGCTGTGATTACCAGCCCAAGAAATGAGTGTTGGGATGGCGACCCGACATCAGGGGAGGTCCTAAATCCTACTCAGCTTCAGTTTCTCCTCTCCCCATCATGTTTCCCGCATTCACTTCCCACCCCCCGCCTCCCTCAGGGCCTGCAGAACCCGGCTTGGTCTCTGTGCGGCTAGAGCGAGAGCCCCCACTGGCAGGGTGACAAAAGCCCCTGAGGGCCACCGCGGCGCGTGAGCGCCTGGGAAAAGCCGGGGCGGTGCTGGCCTACGGGGTTGAGAAATGGAGGGGCGAGTGTCAGGACCGCGGAGCCGGTTGCTCCCGGCTGGCACAGAAAGTCCTCCTCCTGGCCATCCAACTCGCTGATCCTCAGAGCAAGGGTTTCCCAAAGAACTCTGTGCCATTTCCAGGAAGACGAGGCAAGAGCGGAGATTGTGGCGCCAGCACGCCCAGTATCGAAACGCACAGCAGGGGTGCCGGGTGTGGGGGGGGGGCGCTGAGGACAGAGACATCGGGGCGCAGAAGACAGTCGCTTGGGGGACTTGGCCAGCGGCTTTTGGGCACGGCCTATGCAGTGGTTTTTTCTCTCCAAACCTAGACAAACTGTCCTTTCTGTCCCGAGGTGGGGGACGGGGACGGATCCTAGATCGTTCAGCGTCTAGGGAGAGAAGCCCCTCTTTCTCCGCTCTGCGCCCGCCGCCTGCCTCTGGCAGGCTCGGATCTCCGGGTGCGCTCCCGCAGGAGCCCCAGCTGGCATCTCACGGCCTCGCTCCCCTCGCGCCAGGTCTCTTTTGTAGGGGGCTGGGAGAGAAGTTGTCACCCGTCGCAGCTACCTGAAATCTCGGGCTAAAGGGCACACGCCACGCACACGGGCATGAGGCTGCGAGGACACGTCCGTTCCAGCACACTCTACCCACAGCCCCCTTACTCAGGCAAGGGTACCCGTTGTCGTTCATTCCTACTACAATCACCCCAAAAGGCACAAGAGCGGAGAATCACGCACCGGGACCTAAGCTCAGGCACTCGGATGGGCACACCACCATCAGCGCAGATGCACACAGGTGCCCAAGTGCGCTTCTCGCTCCCTCCATCTCTCTTATCACACACACACACACACACACACACACACACACACACACACCCCTCACCTTTGCTTTTCCGCTGCAATCCGCTAGCTCCGGTCTCCGACACCCAGCGGCTGTCCCCGAGCCAGCTGGGCGCCGGGGCGCGCAGCAGCTTGGCTAGCGCCTGGCGCCGGACGTTTGGGGTTCCTGGCTCCTCGACCCTCTTGTGCCGGCTCCCGCTAGCCCCTCGCACGTAGAGAGCTCCCCTCGCCCGCAGACCCCCGGCGCCAAGCCTCAGACTGGGGCTCTGGGCGCTGGTGGTCTTGCGAGCGCGCGCGCATGGGTGGCTGCGCCGCTGGGACTGGCCCAGCCAGCCCGGGCCCCTCGGCACATTTCCCCACGCCCCCCTCCCGCTACGTCACAGCGGCTTCGCTCCGCCCCCCCAACCCCTCCTCCCGGGTCCTGCAGAAGGACAGGGGTGAGACCGGCTGAAACGCCTGCGGGTGGCCGCAGGCAGAGCTTACAGACAGCCGGGGAGCGGGGAGAGAGGGGACCCGCCTGCGGGGGCGTAAAAGGTTAAGCGTTTTCGGTCTCCTCAAGACTCATGGCAAGGACAAGCGCTATTTTCCCTCTGATTTCACAGAGTCGATTCCCTTCCACCCATATATTCTAGGCAGCTGGAGTGGCGGCCGGGGTGACCCAGACTTATACCGGGACCTCTGTGATTTCCTTAGCCAAACAAGTTAGCAAAGCTGTGTTTACCGTGGGCCAGCCCCGGGCGCAGGGCGCAGGGCCAGGCTAAGAGTAGGGAGAAAAAGGGCTCAGGGGATAGCGCTTCTCCATGCAGTTCCCAATGAGCGCAGGGAGTGTAAACCCGCACCTGGAGTCCAAGATTCAGTCCTAGGAGCCATCAGAGGGCCAGTGGACGTCGACTGGTCCCAGCTGTCCCTGCGTCCCACAGCTTGGAGGTGCAGCGGCCATACAGGTGGTCCCCTTGCTGTAGCCACGTCAGTCAGCACCTGCTGGTCTGACCCAGCACAGTCTCTCCTACATGCTGTGAGGGAGCAAAGGGGAGCAGGCAAGAAGTGGGAGTCGCATGGAGTTGCAGCTGTTTATTTTTGACTGTGATGATTCAGCCTCTTTTCCAATAGTTTAATAAGTCATAATCAATCCTGCAGCCTCCCCTTCCTCACCCTCCTCCAAGTACATAGGTATACACACACACACACACACACACACACACACACACCATCCTCAGTACAGTTTTAGAGGATGTGAAAACAGAAAGCAAACCCCAACTAGCTTTCTCTGTGAGCTGAGCTGCCTTGATTTGTCCATCCTATTATCTGATTTCCAATTCACCAGGGAAAAGTAAAAGTCCAGAAGCTGTGTGGCAGGTGGGGTGAGCCTTAGAGATAGATGAGTGACATGGAAAAGCAACCACCAGGTACAGCAGCAGCCAGCTCTCTCTTCTATCTGGGCCAAGCTGTATCTTGGGGTACCCACTGTGAGATGGGGATCAGGAGTTTCCATCTCTCTCTGAGACGTTGGTCATGATAGGGCTTAAATCTTGGCATCCTGGAGCTCAGGGTGAGATGGAAATTGAGCTGCAATTGCCTTAAGTTCCAGGAGTCAATCTGGGAGCCAGCATCTCTTTTAGACATGTGTATGCAAGTGGAAGGGCTGGGGTGGCTAGCTCACTGGAAGAGGGCTGTGTCTGCTCACCGTCAGTGGGAAGAGGGAGAGGCAGAGAGGTAATAGTAATATCAGGAGGGCATCGTGGAATTGTGCTCAGGGGAACTCGGCATCCTCTGGCCACACAGTTGCTACAATGCCTGTTGCCACCTCCAGTTTAAAACCAGTAATCTGACTGGTTTCCAGGAAAAGAAGGAAGAGCCAGGAAGTGCCCACTCTGCCCTCAAATTCCTTTCCTAAAAGTTCTCAAACTGTTAATACCAGATTTACGTTTCATTAAAAAAAATAATAACTGGAGCCAGCAGAGTCCGAGATGATGCTGCTGTTCTACCCTGGCTGCAGGGATGGGCTGATCGTGGAGGAGGGACAGCGCTGCCGCTGCCACTCCCTCGCCTGCAACACGTGCCTCTGTGTGCACTTCACCCACAAGGTAACAAATTGGAAGTACTCAAAGCTGAAAGAAGTGGATGATGGGCTTGGGGGAGCAGCTGCCTGGGAGGATGTTGACTCTACTGCAGAGCCATGTCCTCAATGAGAACCTCCTTGTGCTTACTACATGTAGCTTCAGACCCACTCTGCAGATGAGCCGAAGACCACCTTCTACCAGTGCTGCAGGACTCAGTGTGGACACCACTGGAGGGATTAGGGCAAGGACGGCCCAGGTGCCTGAGCGTCTGCTTACCTCCGGGTAGATGCTCAGCTGGGAATATGAATCGTGTGTCCTGAGGGTCTTTGCTGGTGTGGTGGAAAGCTAACCCTTTTAAGGTGAAGAGACAGGGTGTCAGGAAATGTGGCCTATCTGCCAGTCCGAATGGATGAAGTCATTGATGTCCAGGGAGTTTTTCTGTGTGGGGAGGGGACCCATAACTAAGTATGCTCTGTTTGAAGTCCTGTTCTTTCTTCCTTCCTTCCTTCCTTTCTTTCTTTCTTTCTTTCTTTCCTTCTTTCTTTCTTTCTTTTTTGAGACGGAGTCTCGCTCTGTCGCCCAGGCTGGAGTGCAGTGGCACGATCTTGGCTCACTGCAAGCCCCACCTCCCGGGTTCACACCGTTCTCCTGCCTCAGCCTCCCGAGTAGCTGGGGCTACAGGCACGTGCCACCGTGCCTGGCTAATTTTTTGTAGTTTTAGTAGAGATGCGGTTTCACTGTGTTACCCAGTATGATCTTGATCTCCTGACCTCGTGATTCACCCACCTCGGCCTCCCAAAGTGCTGGGATTACAGGTGTGAGCCACCGTGCCTGACCTCTTTTTTTTTTTTTTTTTTTTTTTTTTGAGATGGAGTTTCGCTCTTGTTGCCCAGGCTGGAGTGCAGTGGTGCGATCTTGGCCCACTGCAACCTCCACCTCCCAGGTTCAAGCGATTCTTGTACCTCAGCGTCCCGAGGAGCTGGGATTACAGGTGTGCGCCACCATGCCCTGCTAAGTTTTGTATTTTTAGTAGAGACGGGGTTTCACTATGTTGCCCAGGCTAGTCTCAAACTCCTGACCTCAAGTGATCCACCCGCCTCGGGCTCCCAAAGTGCTGGGATTACAGGCATGAGCCACCACGCCTGGCCTAATTTTTATTTTTTTTGAGACGGAGTCTCACTCTGTTGTCCAAGGTGGAGTGCAGTGGCGTGATGTCAGCTCACAGCAACCTCTGCCTCCCAGGCTCAAGTGATTCTGCTGCCTCAGCCTCCTGCGTAGCTGGGACTCCGGGCGGTTGCCACCATGCCTGGCTAATTTTTGTAATTTTAGTAGAGACAGGGTTTCACCATGTTGGCCAGGCCGGTCTTGAACTACTGACTTCAGGTAATCGCCCACCTCAGCCTCCTGAATAGGCTGAATAATCCCAAAATGCTGGGATTACAGGTGTGAGCCACCACATGTAGCCCTGTATGCTCTTTAATGTGGATGACCAAATAAAGCAACATTCCCCTTCATGCACTTTCCTTGTCGAGCCTTCCCCTCCTTATCACATAGGGCAGACCCAGCCTGGAAAAAGTACTGATGCACCCACGTTAGGCACACCTGTCTTACTGCAGCTGGCTGAGTGGGCTCTGAACAACATGGACCTTGACAGCAGAAATGTGTCATCTAGGATGATTGTTGATTTTGTCCAGAAAATGAATGCCTCCTCTCTTCTCCCCTCCCCACCTTTGAAGGCCTCCAAAGAGCAGTTTGGGCTGCCAGCAGCACTCAGGGGCCAACCTCGAGTTCCTATTCCACCTTTGGCTCCCCCAGGCTATTTTGACTCTGCCCTCCATCTGCTGAATGAAGTCTGAGCTGTAATCCACATGGGGCTACCTCTTCTTCCTCTGCAGCTTGGCTAGTAACTAAGTAACAAAACCTTGAGCCAGAAAAATAGAGGGGTTGGGGAGGAGATAACCTTCTAACTGGCTTGTTTGATATCTTTAAAGCAATTAAATAGCACCCTTCCCTCTGTCAGCAGTTATCAGAGAGACAATAGGTGGCAGGAAATTAAGAAAAGGAGGAGGACAAAGGGCCAGGCCAGTGTCCAGCCCCTTCCATGGGGAGGGGCTGCTCGGTTCACTCTTGCCAAGAGGAGTTCATCGTCTAGGAGCTCCACAGGGAAGACACAACTCCCAAATAGGTCATTATGTCTCTGAGTGGCTTAATAAATTAAATGGGGGAAATTGTTAGTCTGCAATCAATTTGGTGAAAGTAAGTATTGCAATTAAGCCTGGAGGAAAGCAAGAGAGCCCTGAGGGGAGGATTGGATGTGTTTGAGAGTGTTAGATACCAGTCTGAGCATCCAATGTGGTTTTTATCATCTTTACGGGAATGCCAGGGTGAGGTCTGCCATTTCTATTGATGAGAAAAGAGCAATGCTTCTGCCGTGGAGAACATCAGATATCCGGTGGTTTGAGGGGGCGGGGGAGAAGATACTCGGCATGGTGATCGTAGTACCTTGGCTTCCTGGGACACTCCTGTTTTTAGCTGTTATTTCCCTTGTCCCCCACAAACCATCCGCATTTTACGAAAATGGAAATGTCAGCATGTAAAAGCCTTTCTGATACCATGGGTCCTGATGTTTAGTTTGGAAAATATAGAGTACAGTCACCATATCACTGTTTAAAAACTTGAGGGCTGGGCACAGTGGCTCATGCCTGTAATCCCAGCATTTTGGAAGGCTGAGGAAGGAGGATCACTTGAGCCCAGGAGTTTGAGACCATCCTGGGCAATATAGTGAGACCTCATCTCTACAAAAAAAAAAAAAAAAAAAAAATTAGCCAAGCATGGTGGTGCACACCTGTAGTTCCAGCTACTTGAGGGGCTGAGATGGGAGGATCTCGTGAGCTCGAGAGGTGGAGGTTGTAGTGAGCCAAGATCATGCCACTACACTCCCGCCTGGGTGATAGAGCAAGACCCTGTTTCAAAAAAAAAAAAAAAAAAGGAGGTTGGGGGGGCATTTGGCATAGTCGATTTAATAGTCTCTTCAAATACACAAAGAATTCAAATGAGGACCTTTCTTCCTCTCTCTGTCCCCTAGCCCTCAACAGCTATGAGTCTGGCATGGCGTGTCACCATTTTTCTCTATTAGCAACCTCGACCCTCAGGGAATACATTGGCCAAGTGAGTGAGTAGGCATTAGAAGCTCTTTGGAAACCACCCCCAAACAAGTCTAGAATCAGGAATCGTGGTTAGAAGACACTGTGCTCTAGATAGGATTCCCTTTTTTTCTTCTCATCCCCATTTTGGCCGAAATGCATATAGACATAAAATCCTGGAGCCAGAAGGGTCCTTAGACATTCTCAGGTTTATAGCCTACATCCCATCATTATCCAAGTAAAGATACCAGGCTCAGAGAGGACAGGTGACTTGACCAAGGCCACCCAGCAAGGGAGTGGCAAAGTCAAGAGTCAAATCAGCTCTTCTGAATCGCGGACTCATGCCCCTTCCACAGGGACCCCACTCGCACGGGGTATGAAAGCTGGAGGAGAGAGGAGTCCCCAGCTCCCCCACCGTCTGTCCCAGCACTTCTCTGGCACCAGTACATTCTTCCTGATAACCACATCTCTGCTGCTCTTGCCTGGTCCGGCTCCTCTTTTTCAGTGCCATGGTGACAGAGTTGGAAAATTTGAGGCTGTCTCCTGCTGTGACTTTTTCCAGAGTGTGCTTCCTGGACCACTAATTCTCAGAGCAAGATGCTACGTAGAAAAATCGGCTGGGCATGGTGACTAACGCCTGTAATCCCACTACTTTGGGAGGCCAAGGCAGGTGGATCCCTTGAGCCCAGGAATTTGAGACCAGCTTGACCAACATGGTGAGACCCCTGTCTCTACCAAAAATACAAAAAATAGCCGGGCATGGTGGTGTGCACCTGTAATTCCAGCTACTTGGGTGGCTGAGGCACGAGAATCACTTGAACCTGGGAGGCGGAGGTTGCAGTGTGCTGATATCACACCACTGCACTCCAGCCTGGGCAACAGAGTGAGACTCTGTCTCTCGAGAAAAAAAAAAAAAGAAAAAGAGCACAGGCAACTCTGGGAAATGGTGCACAGCTGCACATTCACCATTCACCCCATGTCCTGCAGATTCACATTCATATATATATCATATGTCTCTCTCTCTCATTCATATATATATATGTCTCTCTCTCTCACATTCATATATATATATATATAGAGAGAGAGAGAGAGAGAGAGAGAGAGAGAAGAGAGAGAAGAGAGAGATAGGGTCTCACTGTGTCTCCCAGGCTGGAGTGCAGTGACGTTATCTTGGCTCACTGCAGCCTCGACCTCCTGGGCTCAAGCCATTCTTCCATCTCAGCCTCCCAAGTCACTGGGACTACGCCTGGCTAATTTTTGTATTTTTAATAGAGATAGGGTTTTGCCATGTTGCCCAGGCTGGTCTCGAATTCCTGAGCTCAAGTGATCCGCTGGCCTCAGCCTCCCAAAGTGCTGGGATTACAGGTGAGAGCCACTGCGCCCGGCCTCACATACTTATTATAATGTCCATTACGTGCAGGGTGCACTGAGTGTTTCACACACCTTTTATCTCATTTAATTCTCTCAACCTTTGTGGCACATGCCTTTATCAGTAGTAACATTGGTATTTTGAGAAATCTTGCAGGAAAGACAGCTGTTGATCTTTAACCCAGTGTTTCCCAACTTATTTAGCCATGGATTCCCTATGAGTAATTTTCCCTGTATTTCCCTGAGTAATTTTCAACACCTATTCTGTGCTTACTGTGTGCCAAGCACTGTGCTAGATGCTTTCTGTTAACTCATTTAATCCTCACTGTAATCCTATGAAATACCATCAGCATTATTAATCCTCCTTTTTGTGAATGAAGCAAGGCACAGAGAGGTTAAGTACCCTGCCCAAGGTCACACAGCTAGCAGTGACAGTTTAACTACCAAATCCTGAACATAATTATGCAGAGCAAGAATCCATTGGCAAATGGGACTCCCACCTTCCTTAATCGTTCTTAGAGGCTGATTACAATACTAGAGACAATCCCTTCCCCTGATCGATAGCCACAATTGTTTGTTGTGTTGTTGTTTGAGACAGTCTCATTCTGTTGCCTAGGCTGAAGTTCAGTGGCTTGATCACTGCTCACTGCAGCCTTGACCTCCTGTGCTCAAGCAATCCTCTCACCTCAGCCTGCCGAGGAGCTGGGACTACAGGCATGCACCAGCAGGCCTGGTGAATTTTTGAATTATTATTATTATTATTTTTTGTAGAGACAGGGTCTCGCTATGTTGCCCAGGATGGTCTTGAACTCATGGGCTCACGTGATCCCCCCCATTCCCACCTCGAACCTCCAAAGTGCTGGGATGACAGGTATGAGCCACCACGCCGGGCCCACAATTGTTTTAAGCCCTTCTCCAGGCAGTTACTTTCCCATCCTAAGAACGTCTTTGTGGATGAGTTCTGGATTGTTTCCAAGTTCTCTGAGGCTCTGACAATCATCCAGGCCTCCTAGAAGAATTTTTTCCTCTCCCTTCCAGAATGACCCAAGTGACAGAAGTGCCTGGTGCTTTCCTGCTGTGTGACTCCCTCCACCCCCACCCTCCACCAAATGCTGAATTGCCTGATTAGCCTAATCAGAAGAGCAGCCTCTTCCCCAAAAGAGGAGCTGCTGCTGGGGGGTGGGAGGGATTTATAGACTCACAGCGGCAGAACGCCCCTCTGAGAGCACCTGTCAGGGCTTTGAGACAAGGCTGCTACATGGGAAAATCACCTGGGGAATTCTAAAACTAAGGGTGCCCTGGCTCCGTCCTTAGCTATTCTCATTTAATTTTTGGCATGGGGCCCAGGTAATTTTTTCAAGCTCCCCAGTTGATTTTCATGTGAGCTAGAGCCGAGAACCTCTGAGAGTTAAACTGTCTCGATTCTGATGTGGAGAAACTTTAGATCAGGAAGGGAGAAAGACTGTCCTGGGTGAAGCCACAAGCAACTCAGGAGCTCTCCTCCCCCAGGGAGGAGACTGTGGACTCACACTGCACTCCATCACCCTGGGAACCCTGTTATCTGGGCAGAGGGCATTCTGAGCAGGGTTTGTGCAGCCGTGGGGCCTGGAAGTCTCTGTTCCATGAGCAGATGGAACCAGAGTTTTCTCTCTCATAAGGAAAATCCCCTTCAACTACCTCTCCTCTCCTAGTGAGATAGCAGGGTAGACACCTCACCTCACTTCCCTTTGGCAAGATGCACTGGTTCCTGTAGAATGGGTGTTTCACAGCTTGTGAAAGGGCAGCAACTTCACAAATGGGCCAGAACCAGTAATTCGGGTCCTCGTTGTAATTAGAGCGACGAAGGTCAGGATCTAATTTAATCATGGCCAGAGTTGACCACACTGGCCTTTTCCCTCCTGGGGTCTGTGTTCCTGTGTGTTGCCAGCAGCTGGGTACCTGGGTGAGGCTCCCACCCTGTCCCGTCTCCACGGATAGCTCCTCCTTGCTCTGGAAATTCTCCTCGTCCTAGTCTCCTTGTGCTAGTGGCCGAAACGGTAGTTCCTCCCTAACGGGACACAGAATATTTAAAATTTAACAGGGCTTTGGGAAGGTGCAGACCCAGAAGAGAGGATTTCCAAGTGGAGATGTTGGCCCAGCGTTGGCAGGAGTTGGGGGTGGGTGGGTCTTCATGCTGAGCGGCGTCCCATCTCTTATCACAGAGCCTGTTTCTTTCTCTCTCTCACTTTCTGAGTCAGGAATTTCTGCTGCTGAAGGGCCTCTGCTCCCCGGAAGAAGCAAACACCAGGAGTGAATCCAGCCACTGCAGCTGATATAGTTCAATTACGTTTCCAAAGAGGCTGCAGTTCCTTAGCCGGCCCCGGGGTGGGGTGAGCGCACAGAACTCACCTCCGGGGCGGCCTCTGCGAGCTCGGCACCCGGCCTTGCAGGATGGGGCCCAAACGTCCATCCCAAGGCCTTTCTTTTCTCTTTTCTCACTCCCCTCCCCATCCTCCTGCCCATCTGGGGATGCGATGCTGCCCTGTTAGAATCAGGATGATGGCAGTGCCTTGGAATCCAGATCCTGGCGTTTTCTGTCTCCCCTTCTCATGGTGGCTTTCCTCTCTCTGGCCTCACTGACAAAGAGAATCTCCTCTATCCGAGATCAGGGTGCCCTTCTTGGGAAGAGGCAGGCATGAGATTGCTAGAGGCCCAGGTGAGAAGTCATTGAGGGCAGATGTCAATTCTGCAAAGGGAGTGGATTCTGCAAAGACAAATGGATTTGGAAAAGGGTCTTGAAAAGCTATCTGGGGGTGGCGGGGTAGCACTTAGTGCCTGTTTGGAGGCTGAATGCTAAAGCCGCAAAGGATGCTTTTGCTGAGGGCTACAAACGTTTCTGTAAGGCTGAAAGGGTGGGTTTTCCTTCTTTGACACAGGAGGTGACTCCACAGAGCCCATGGGCATCGGAATGGGTTCCAGTCGTGGGACCAGGAGGGACTTTGTTCAGCCAGGTGAGGCCCTCGTGATGGGACCTGGCCACTTTCCAAAAGTAAGACTTCCCTGCTGGCTTCTTCTTGCTCCCTTGTAGCGGAGCCAGCTTGTTGGCTTTGTTTGCTGGTTGGGCTGCCAGTCCCCAAGCTTCATGGTACCCGCCTGCCTGAGGCCCCAGAGCAGATGGCCGGCCTGGTGAGGGGGAATGGGAGCCCTGCCCCCGCCCCCGCCCCCGAGTCATTCATGTGTCTCCTCTCGCCCTCACAGCCTACAAACGGCTGCTCCTCCTCCCCCTCCCTGGCTCTCTCCCACCTCACTCTCCAGCAGCCAGATCTGACAGATTGTCCCTGTGCCTGCCACTGAAACCTAATTTCTCCATACCACTTCAGACACTCAATCTTTCTCCCTGGCAAGACCCTTTTACTTGGGGTTGCAAAGCATGACAGTTCTAGGCTTTGTTTCTAGCCTGTTGGAACACTGGACTCTTTTGAATAATTGGATTCAAGACTTAGGAGGTGTCTTCACTCCCAGTAGAGATGGGTAAGGACGTTGTAGGATCCTAACATGACCTGCCAGAGCAGGTGTCTGGGGAGATGAGGCTTGGCCTCACAGTGTGACCCTGCAGAAGCGCTCACTTTAGTGCTCCTTCAATAATGAGCCCATTTAAATAGAACTTAAACAAATTTTTTTTTGAGATGGAGTCTCGCTCTTGTTGCCCAGGCTGGAGTGCAATGGCACCATCTGGCCTCACTGCAACCTCTGCCTCCCAGGTTCAAGCAATTCTCCTGCCTCAGCCTCCCGAGTAGCTGGAATTACAGGTGCCCACCACCATGCCTGGCTAATTTTTGTATTTTTAGAGTAGAGATGGGGTTTCACCATGCTGGCCAGACTGGTCTTGAACTTCCAACCTCAAGTGATCTGCCCACCTCGGCCTCCCAAAGTGCTGGGATTACAGGCATGAGCCACCGCGCCCAGCCAGAACTTAAACAATTTTTAACACAACTTTTGCATGTATACATAGCATATAAAAATTTTAAACAACTTACCAGAATATGACTGGTTCTAAAAATCCTATCTCCCATCCCCCCAAAATGAAGACTTGACACCAGTGAGTCTATTCTAAACATTCTGATTTCAGCTCCAAAGTGAATTTTTAAGGACAAGTTCCAGAAATGAATTGGCAGTGGTGATATTAAATGCATATTTAGTTTTCCAAGATGTGCACTTTTTAGTGCTGTTGGACTATTTAGGAATAGCCAGTACTCACTTTGATGTATAGTTCTGATGTTATTGGCAAAAATAAACAAGTCAAAAGCACAAAACAGGCAACTGACAATGTCATGTCTCTGAAGAGCATGTCTGTATATAATCCTCCTACACAGGTATACACACCTTCATCCATCTATTCTAAACACGAAGAATGTATAAGAGAAATGGGGAGAAAATTGGTTTCTAAGCCCTGCAGTCCAACTCTTTTTTTTTTTTTTCTTTTTCCTGAGATAGAGTCTCACTCTGTCACCCAGGCTGGAGTGCAATTGCACGATCTTACCTCACTGCAACCTCCACCTCCTGGGGTTCAAGGGATTCTCCTGCCTCAGCCTCCTCAGTAGCTAGGACTACAGGCATGCGCCACCACCCCGGCTAATTTTTTTGTATTTTTAGTAGAGACGAGGATTTCACCATATTGGCCAGGTTGGTCTCGAACTCCTGACCTCAAGCAGTCTGCCCACCTTGGCCTCCCAAAGTGCTGGGATTACAGGTGTGAGCCACTGCGCCTGGCCTATGCAGTCCAACTTTTGACTGTGTCCTCTCAGGATAAGGGAACTCAGAAGCCTATCCCAGGCCTGAAATCCTTTGCAAGTGTTCAGAAATCATGCAGGACGGTAGTTGCTTTTGATGTCCTCCTGCCCTTCACAGGCCTTTCAGAAATCCAGTGTTTTTTTCATGGCCTCATATATTCTATTTAGGAGAGATGCTATAAAGGGTTGTCATTTCTGAAACTGGTTTTGTTCCTGTTTTCAGTATCTTGTCACAAAACTGGCAGTTCATCACAAAGCAATTAATGCTGCATGACTTAATGAACATTTGATGCATTTTTTTTTTTTTTTTTTTGAGACGGAGTCTCGCTCTGTCACCCGGGCTGGAGTGCAGTGGTGCAATCTTGGCTCACTGCAACCTCTGCCTCCTGGGTTCAAGTGATTCTCCTGCCTCAGCCTCCTGAGTAGCTGGGATTACAGGCATGTGACACCATGCCTGGCTAATTTTTGTATTTTTAGAAGAGTCAGGGTTTCACCATATTGGTCAGGCTGGTCTCAAACTCCTGACCTCAGGTGATCCTCCTGCCTCAGCCTCCCAAAGTGCTGGAATTTAGGCGTGAGCCACCGCACCCAGCCTGATGCGTTTATTTAGTTGGGTGGGAGGCAGAGTAGCTCTGTAGCCCTGAGTAGATAGACGCTGCCTAGTGGGCTGAAATAACTCATCCTGGTTAATTTCTTCTAAAATTATATAATTCTCTATAATTTGAGGTCCAGATAGTAAAATATATGCTGATAATATATGCTGATCTTCAGTGCAAACCAGTAGAAGGATTTGTTTGACCAGTAAAATCTTTTTATTTTAAATTTTATTTTATTTTTTATCAAACCAAACGGTAGGATTAGACTTCTAAAGAAAAACAGCAGACTATGGCTGGGCACGGTGGCTCACACCTGTAATCCCAGCACTTTGGGAGGCCAAGGCAGGCAGATCACAAGGTCAGGAGATGGAGACTATCCTGGCCAACATGGTGAAACCCCAACTCTACTAAAAATACAAAAATTTAGCCGGGGGTGGTGGTGCACGCCTGTAGTCCCAGCCATTTGGGAGGCTGAGGCAGGAGAATCGCTTCAACCGGGAGGCAGAGGTTGCAGTGAGCCGAGATCGCGCCACTGCACTCCAGCCTGGTGACAGAGTGAGACTCTGTCTCAAACAAACAAACAAACACCCAGCAGACTCCTGCTCTATCCTTCTCCACTTCTGACACTTTCCCTAAGTACAAAAACTTTCAATTCTTTTTTTTGTTTCTTCTGTTACTGAATTTAACCTCTATGTTTTCTAAATGGCATACTTATACTTCTATTTCTTGATTTTTCTGTTTTGGACTCTATTGGCTTCCTATGAAAGAGCCCCAACTCACCACCTATGTGATGAACTTCCCTATTTCCTTTCCTCCCAATATAGTTACTGTGTTAGTTCATTCTCACACTGCTATGAAGAAATACCCGAGACTGGGTAATTTATAAAGAAAATAGGTTTGATTGACTCAGTTCCGCATGGCTGGGGAGGCCTCATGAAACTTACAATCATGGCGGAAGGCACCTCTTTACAGGGTGGCAGGAGAGAGAATGAGGTTCAGCAGGGGAAATGCCAGACACGTATAAAACCACAAGATAAGATTTCATGAGAAGTCACTCTCACGAGAATAGCATAGGGGAAATTGCCCCCATGGTTCAATTATGGGGGTTATAATTCAAGATGACATTTTGGGTGGGGGCACAGCCAAACCACATCATTTGCCATCATTTTTATCAAGTCAGTAGTCAATGTTTGCATTACTATAACAATGTAAATATTATTTACAGCTGAGCCAAGCACTATGCTTTGCTGGCCTCTTTTTTTCTTGTAGAGTCTTTTGTTTTCCCTGAAGTTAATGATTACCTCTTTGTTAAAAAAAAAAAAAAATTTTTTTTTTTGAAACAGAGTCTCACTCCATCACCCAGGCTGGAGTGCAGTGGCATGATGTCGGTTCACTGCAACCTCTGATTCCTGGGTTCAAGTGATTCTCCTGCCTTAGCCTCCCGAGTAGCTGGGATTACAGGCGTGCACCACCACGCCCAGCTAATTTTTGTAATTTCAGTAGAGACGGGGTTTCACCATGTTGGCCAGGCTGGTCTGTAACTCTTGACCTCAAATGATCTGCCCCCCTTGGCCTCCCAAAATACTGTGACTACAGGCGTGAGCCACCATGGCCAGCCCCCCAGATTTTTTTTACTTCCTTTTTTGTGTACCTATTAATGATTCATTCCTAAATTCTGCAGTCAAAAATCTTCTCTAACTTTATTCAACATATTGATTTCATTTATGGCTTAGAGGCATTCTTCCTGGAGATCATTATCCTTCTGCTCAATCTAGACCAGTTGTTCTTGAAGTCTGCTGCGCAGCTCTCATCTCAGGACTTCTCTTTACCATTACCCTGAGGATTTCTTTCTTGCTTCCCAATGTTCGTCTTCTGTTTGCTCTCTCTTGCTCTGTCTGGCTTACTTCTTCGTTTTGGTGGAGCATCACCTCCAGGAGTTTCTTGAGAAAGGGTATGTGGTAGCCAGCCTCCAAGATGAGCCCTAATAAACCCCATCTCCTGGTATTTACACCCTGCACGGCCCCTCTCACATTGTACCAGGATTGATCTGTATGACTAATACATATGATGGATGATGGTATGTCACTTCAGAGATTAGGATATGGAAAGCATTGTGCCTTTTATCTTGGAGGCTCTCACCCGTCTCCACCTCTCCTCCTCTCTCCTCCCTCCCCTCTCTTCCCTTCCTCTCACCTCCCCTCTCCTCTCTTCCCCCGTCTCCTTTTGAGGAAAGGTCGTGAGCCCTGTCTTGAGCAGTCCTATAGGATGGGAAGGTGGAACCTCCAGCCAACAACCACAGGAATGAGCTTAGAGGTGGATTCTTCAGCCTCAGTCAAGCCTCAGATGACTGCAGCTTTGGCCGATTCCTTAATTACTCCCTGATATGGTTTGGCTGTGTCCCCATCCAAATCTCATCTTGAATTGTAGCTCCCGTAATTTCCACGTGTTGTGGGAGGGACCCGGTGGGAGATAATTGAATCATGGGGGAGGTTTTCCCCATACTGTTCTCATGGTAGTGAATAAGTCTCACGAGATCTGATGGTTTTATAAGGGGTTTCCCCTTTCACTTGGCTTTTATTCTCTCTTGCCTGCTGTCACGTAAGACGTGCCTTTCACCTTCGGCCGTGATTGTGAGGCTTCCCCAGCCACATGGAACTGTAAGTCCATTAAACCTCTTTTTCTTTATAAATCACCCAGTCTCGGGTATGTCTTTATCAGCAGTGTGAAAACAGACTAATACACTCCGTCATGACAAATCCTTAGCCCAAACCACCCAGCGAAGCCCCTGCCAGCTAAGCCACTCTCAAATTTCCCTCTCATAGAAAATAGGAGATAATAGATGTCCACTTTTTAAACAACCAAAATTTGATGTGACTTGTTATACAGAAATAGATATGACAAAGGTAAATTTTTTGACACTATGCTTATGTAAAGATGTCTTTATATACCCACACTTCTGACTGATGGTTTAACCGTATATAGAATTCTATTCAACCATTGGAAATCCTCTTCCCTCAGAATTTTAAAGATATTTATCCATTAGATCCTGGTTTACAGCGTTGATGTGGGTGTGTCCAATGTCTTTTCCCCAAAACTTTTTTTTTTGAGACGGAGTCTTGCTTTGTCGCCGAGGCTGGAGTGCAGTGGCGCAATCTCGGCTCACTGCAAGCTCCGCTTCCCGGGTTCATGCCATTCTCCTGCCTCGGCCTTCCGAGTAGCTGGGACTACAGGCGCCCGCCCCCACACCCAGCTAATTTTTTGTATTTTTAGTAGAGACGGCGTTTCACTGTGTTAGCCAGGATGGTCTCGATCTCCTGAACTCGTGATCCACCCGCCTCGGCCTCCCAAAGTGCTGGGATTACAGGCGTGAGCCACCGCGCCCGGCCCCCAAAAACTTTTAAAATCTTCTCTTCATTGCTGGTATTATGAAATTTCATCAGGCTATGCTTTGGTGTGAATCACTTTTTTCTTTTATCATTTGTGTGGTTTGCATTCAGTGAGCCCCTTTAATCTGGAAATGTATGTCTCTTATTTTTAAAAGATGTCATTACATTAATTTTTTAAATTACTCCTCTTCTGTTGTCGTTGGTCCCTCTTCCTAACACCTCTATTACTCAGACCAGTTCCCTGATTCCCTTGGCTTTTCTCTTTTATTTTCCATATATTTGTCATTGTCTGACTTTCTGGGTGATATTTCATTTCTAACCATTCTATTGAATTTTTTATTTCAACAATTGTATTTTTTTTTTCTTTTTTCGAGACGGAGTCTCGCTCTGTCACTCAAGCTGGAGTGCAGTGGCATGATCTTGGCTCGCTGCAACCTCTGCCTCCCAGGTTCAACTGATTCTCGTGCCTCAGCCTCCCAAGTAGCTGGGATTATAGGCATGCGCCACCACGCCTGGCTAATTTTTGTATGTTTAGTAGAGACGGGGTTTCACCATGTTGGCCAGGCTGGTCTTGAATTCCTGATCTTAAGTGATTCTGAAGGGTTTGAGAGGGAAGAATCTGGAAACCTAGTGGCTTATTAGATTTAGGGAACAAGAGGATTGGGGTACAGTAGGGAGATGGGGATTCCTGGATTTCTGGCTTTGGTGACTGGATGGGAGTGGTACTATTCACCAAGAGGAATAAAGAGGAGGAGCACACACCCCATGGGAAGAGAGGGTGAGTTCTGTTTGGGTTCTGCTGAGGTTAGGATGCCCATAGGATGGCTAGAAAATAGTTTGATCTATGAGTTGAGACACTTGGGAGAAAAAAGCTGAGCTAGACATTTAATAGATGTTTAGGTTTGGGACATTAAGTTTGTTGTTGTTGTTGTTTTGAAACAGGATTTTCCCCAGGCTGGAGTGTAGTGGTGTGATCACAGCTCACTCAAGCCTCAACCTTCCCAGGCTCAGGTGATCCTCCCACTTCAGCCTCCTGAGCAGCTGGACTACAGGTACGCACCACCACCCCTGGCTAGTTTTTGTATTTTTTGCAGAGCTAGGGTTTTGCTCTGTTGCCCAGGCTGGTCTCAAACTCCTGGGCTTGAGCAATCCTTCCTCCTCAGCCTCCCAAAATATTGGGATTACAAGCATGAGCCACTGCACCTGGCCAAATCTGGGAGTTATTATCTATGGGTGATAGGTGGAAGTGAGAGAGTAAATGAGATCACCCAGAAGGAATGTAAGGGGGAGAAGAAGAGAGGATGGGGAATGCTGACTTTTAAAAGATGCCAGGATGCCAAGGCTGGTGGATGATGAGGTCAGGAGTTCGAGGCTAACATGGCGAAACCCCGTCTCTACGAAAAATACAAAAATTAGTCTGGCATGTTGGGTGGGGGGGTGCCTGTAATCCCAACTACTCGGGAGGCTAAGGCAGGAGAATCGCTTGAACCCAGGAGGCAGAAGTTGCGGTGAGCCGAGATAGCGCCATTGCACTCCAACCTGGTCAACAGAGCAAGAATCTGTCTCAGAAAAAAAAAAAAAAAAAGTCACACACACACACCCACACACACACACACACACACACAGAGACGGAGAGAGAGAGATGGAGAGAGAGACGGGGGAGAGAGAGAGAGAGACGGGGAGAGAGAGAGACGGGGAGAGAGAGAGAGACGGGGAGAGAGAGAGACGGGGAGAGAGAGAGAGATGGGGGGGAGAGAGAGAGACGGGGAGAGAGAGAGAGACGGGGAGAGAGAGAGACGGGGAGAGAGAGAGAGACGGGGGGAGAGAGAGAGATGGGGGGAGAGAGAGAGACGGGGAGAGAGAGAGAGACGGGGAGAGAGAGAGACGGGGAGAGAGAGAGAGACGGGGGGAGAGAGAGATGGGGGGGAGAGAGAGAGACGGGGAGAGAGAGAGAGACGGGGAGAGAGAGAGAGACGGGGAGAGAGAGAGAGACGGGGAGAGAGAGAGAGACGGGGAGAGAGAGAGAGACGGGGAGAGAGAGAGAGAGACGGGGGGAGAGAGAGAGATGGGGGGGGAGAGAGAGAGAGAGAGAAAGAAAGTAGCAGGGAGGAAAGCCTGCTTGGCAAGAGGAGAGAGGGTCTCATAGGTAGGGGCATGAAGAAAGTAAGGTTATGGAAGAGGAGAACTGAAAAGTGAATGTTAGATTGAACATCCAGGAAGTCACTGGGGCCTGGCAAAGTGGCGTGGGTAGAAGGCGGATGGCAGCATGTTGAGGAGGAAGGCGGCTTGGATGAGAGGTGGTAGAGATGGCAAGTGGAGTCAGTTCTTTCCAGGAGCTTAGCTGAGAAAAGGAGGGAAACAGCAATGGTTAGTTAGAGGAAAGCATACGGCTGAAAGCAGTTTTTAAAAGGTGGTAAATGTTATATATATATATAAAAACACACGCGCATGCACGCGCGCGCGCGCGCACACACACACACACACACACTGTGACAGAAAGACAGCAAGTGGGGCTTCCCTTGCATTGTGTTTGGAGACACTCATACAACAGGGAGTGACTGCAGGCATTGGCAGTAGGTGGGTATGGCGGTGGATGTGGGTGTGTACAGGGTGCATATGGAAGGAGCAGGAAGGATCTGAGAGCTCTTTTTGTCTCAGGACCATCCATACAACAAATTCTTTCTGGGCATTTACTCAGTTCGAGACCCTGTATTTCTTGCTGGGAATAGGGAATGAAAAACGCAACCCCAACCTTGGGAAAGCAGGCTTCTCAGGATGTTAGACATAGGTATACCAAAAAATGCTGGGGGCCTCCTGCTCCAGCCTGGGAGTGGGGGTCAGGAGATGACTCTAGGGCTCACCCTGGAGCCAGATCTGAAAGGATGAGAAATAATTTTTCAGGTGGACAAAGCGAGAAGGTGCACTCGGCTGTGCAGTTTAACCACGAATCTCTATGAGGCACCTTTGCATGCCTGTTGGGCATATTGGGCATGCAAGGATGGTGGCAAGGGAGTCAGCCACCATCATTTGCATTGGGCAGAGACTCAAAAGCAGGCAGAGGAGTGGGAACGCTTCATAATGGAACGTGGGGAAGGCCCTCGTTTTGCCCTGAATGGAGACGGTTGTAATGGGGAAGCTGGAGGCAGGCCAACCTAGAATCCCACACTGGATTCAAGGCCAATAAGGTGCCGCTCCCACGGAGCAATATACAATATCCAGTGGAGGAGACAAGCAAATGGGTTTGATGTCATATGCTAAATCTGGGGACATAGAAGGTAGCTTCTTGTGGAAGGAAACAGAATATGGGAGAGGGAAAGGCAGGGCAAGGGCCTTAGGTGATGTTGTGGGTTGCATTGCATCCCACAAAAAGATATTTTGAAGTTCTAACCCCTAGTTTCTGTGAATGTGATCTTATCTGAAAATAGGGGTTTAAGCTGGGCATGGTGGCTCATGCCTATAATCCCAGCACTTTGGGAGGCCGAGGCGGGTGGACTGCTTGAGGTCAGGAGTTCAAGACCCACCTAACATGGTAAAACCCCATCTCTACTAAAAAATTTTTAAAAAATTAGCCAGGCATGGTGGCGGATGACTGTAATCCCAGCTACTTGGGAGGCTGAGGCAGAAGAATTGTTTGAACCTGGGAGGCAGAGGTTGCAGTGAGCCGAGATCACACCACTGCACTCCAGCCTGGGTGACAGAACAAGACAGTCTCAAAAACAAAAACAAAAACAAAAACAAAAAACAAGAAGAAAGAAAATTGGGATTTTGCAGATGTAATCAAGTGTGGAAATAAATAAATCCAGAACCGCCTAAATGAGAACAAGCAAAGGCTATTTGTTCAGAGCTTGCTATAGCAAGGGAGTCAGCCACCATCATTTGCGTTGGGCAGAGACTCAAAAGCAGGCAGTGGAGTGGGAAGACTTCATAATGGAACATGGGGAAGGCCCTCATTTTGCCCTGAATGGAGACGGTTGTAGTGGGGAAGCTGGAGGCAGGCCAACCAGGAGCAGGCTGACTGCGTTCTATATGGTTGGTTAGGGGAGTATATCTGGCTTTCTCTGATAGGTCCTAAGTTGGAAGTGGGAGCAATAATTAAGGAAGCTGTCAGTTACAAATCAGATCAAAACAAAACAAGGGTTATTGTTTAGCTTCCTGGACTGGTTGCTACAGGAAGTAGTTTTACTTCCTGGACTGGTTACTGCGGATAATGGGTTGGCTTCTTGGACTGGCTGAAGATTATGGGTCAGAGTTTGATTTTTATGTATGATCTGGCCATTGTCTCTGCATATACAGTCTCTCATGAGTTAAATGAGGTTATTAGGGTGGATCCTAATCCAGTATAACTGGTATGGTATCTTTATAAGAAAAGAAAACAGAGACACAGGAACAGACACACAGGGAGACAGCCATGGGCCGACGGAGGCAGAGATTTGAGTGATGCTGCTACAAGCTGAGGAATGCCAAGGATTGCTGGCAACACTGGAGGCAAGAAGAATCAGGGATGATTCTTGCCGAGAGCCTTTAGAGGGAGCGAGACCTGCTGACACCTTAATTTCGGATTTCTGGCCTCCAGAACTATGGGAGCATAAATTTCTGTTCCTTTTTTTTTTTGAGACTTTCCATATGCATCCATTGCCTTTCCATATGCATCTTGAGAATCAGCTTATTAACTTACTAATTTCTTCTATCTTCTCTGGGGAGCAGTAGAAGAGGGAATAGGAGCTAAGGGCTTGGAGAGTTAGGAGAGTTCCCCCAAACTTGAGGGAAATGAGGAAGCAGTGAACACGTGAGATTACTGCCTAATATCTGGAGCCCAGAAGCGGTTGGAGAGTGTGAACTTGGGGGCCATCACCTATGTACAAGGTTATAAGATTTTCTCTAGCAATACTGAACAGCATGGGGCTTGGGTTGGGAATGGAGATGTTGGCTGGTTATATTACCAGCAAAACATGGTCCTCCCAAAGGTCTTGCCCAATTCAGTTACACACAGAAGAGAGGACAAACATCTTTATATGATAGGTAAGGTCTGTCACAGTCTGTTCCTGTCCCACTTCTCCACCCTTTCAACAGACAGGCCCAAACACTTCTGAACTTTAGTTGTAGACAGGGTTTGCATTCTTACCTATAGAGCTCCTGAGCTTCATGCAAACCAAAGAACATGGTAGGGTATTCATGCCCACATCCCAGAGCATTCTATGAGAGTTAGCAAGCCCATCTACTCAGATTGCACAGACGGCCTCGGGTCCAAGAAAAGGCTGGAAAACGGGGAGAGAAAATATGGCTCACAAAACCTGAGTAGGGGCCATGAAGGTCAATGGGTGCTAGGTCCCAGGGACAATAAGAGTTCAGCATACCTCGCCATGTCTAATTCATGTGACACTCTCCACTCTTGCCTTCTGATACGGTTTGGCTGTGTCCCCACCCAAATCTCATCTTGAATTGTAGCTCCTACAATCCCCATGTGTTGTGGGAGGGACCCAGTGGGAGGTAATTGAATCAAGGGGGCAGGATTTTCCCATGCTGTTCCCACGATAGTGAACAAGTCTCATGAGATCTAACGGTTTTATAAAGGGCAGTTCCCCTGCATGTGCTCTCTTGCCTGCTGCCATGTAAGACATGCCTTTGCTCCTCCTTTGCCTTCCACCATAATTGTGAAGCCTCCCCAGCCATGTGGAACTGTGAGTCCATTAAACCTCTTTTCCTTTATAAATTACTCAGTCTTGGGTATGTCTTTATTAATAGCATGAGGACAGACTAATCCATCTTCCTCAAGGTACCTGTGTGCTCTGGGAAAAAGAGGGTTACAGTATGAGGGGGAGAATCACATTCCTAGCTTACAACATCCCTTCTGTGGTCCTCACCACAGAACAGCAGGTCAAGCAAAACTGCTGACCAGGGATGGGGAATCACAATAGAACCAGGTGGCCTGCAGGAGCTAGGCCAGAAGTCTAGGGTCCAGAGACGGTCAGCAGCAGGTGGCAGTGAACTGTGGGAAGTTGAATGACAGGGGTCATTGGAGGAAAAGATACTGCAGGAGAAGAGGGATGCTACAGGGGACAGCTCTGACCAAATGTATGGCAACCCCTCAACCTGTGAGGATCCCAGGAGGTAAAGTGACCTTACTCAGATTCTACCCCCATTCCCAGAAGATTCTGGGGAAGATAAATCCTAGGAAAAGACTCAATAATGCACTGCCAAGGGCTCAGAACATTGATAACTGGGTTATGAGTATAAATGCCACAGAGTTGTATTCATATATTCTTCAGAAGCATTCTGCAAGGTGAGTTTTAGAATCTCCAGCTTACAGTTAAGGAACTAAGGCTCAGATAGGCTATTGTTCTGCTCAAAATTATCTGTTAGTAAGTGGCAGAGCCAGGTCTGTCTGTCCCCAAAGCATACAAGCTCCACACCCACTCCAGTTCTCAGCAAAGTCTTCCTGTAATCACCAAGACAGAAACGGCCCCTCTCTTTTATATAATCAGCTCAGTTTGCTCACAGATCCCTCATCATTGGTTGTTTCTCTGTCTTTTGTTACCTCTCCGCTGGTCCTCAAACATTACCCTTGCAAGGATGGCCTGAAAAATTGATCCAAACCACATACTTTGTAACTAAGTGAATCACGAGGGCCTAGGAATCTGCATTTAAACAGGATGCCCAGGCATTTTCTCCAAGATCAGTTTCGTTTTTGGTATGCAGCAGGCAACAAGAGCTGGAATAGATGAGCCACAATCGTACCATTTCCTGTTGGTGGGTAGGACCCAGTCCTCATCCTGCCCTGTTCCTTTTTTTCCATTTTCTTCCTTCCTGTCTGAGTCAGCTCAGGCTGCTGTAACAGCATATCACAGACTGGACAGCTTAAACAACAAACATTTATTTCTCACAGTTCTGGAGTCTGGGAAGCCCAAAACCTAATGTCTGGAAAGGGCCCACTTCCTGGTTTGCAGATAGACGCCTTCTTGCTGTATCCTCACATGGTCGAGAGATGATCTGTTTTCCATGTGAGGATATCACAAGTTCTCTCTTGCATCTCTTCTATGGGCACTAATCCCATTCATGAGGGTTTCATGCCCATGATCTCATCACTTCCCCAAATCCCCATGTCCTAATACCGTCACGTTGAGAATTAGGGCTTCAACATATGAACTTGGGGGGATGCATTCAGTCCATAGCATCCCCCTCAGGAGGAGCCTGAGGCTTTTGGCCATTTATTTTTTCTGGGGGTGGTGGGAAGAGCTAGTCCTGGGTCTTGCCACTCATACTTTTTTTTTTTTAGACGGAGTCTTGCTCTGTCGCCCAGGCTGGAGTGTGGTGGCGCGATCTCGGCTCACTGCAAGCTCCGCCTCTTGGGTTCTCGCCATTCTCCTGCCTCAGCCTCCCAAGTAGCTGGGACTACAGGTGCCCGCCACTATGCCCAGCTAATTTTTTGTATTTTTAGTAGAAACAGGGTTTCACCGTGTTAGCCAGGATGGTCTCAATCTCCTGACCTCGTGATCTGCCTGCCTTGGCCTCCCAAAGTGCTGGGATTACAGGCGTGAGACACTGTGCCTGGCCGCCACTCATACATTTCAAAAGAAGTCTTGCTTGTCTGCCGTCTTCCCAGCGCCCACTCCCAACCTGAACCCACTTCCTTGGTGACCATGCTCTTAGGAATACATGTCTTCTTTTAAAAATAAAACAAAAAAAATTTTTTTTTCATTACAAAAATAATTGCGTGCTCAACAAAGATCACTTGAAAAACACAGAAAAGGCAGGCTGTGGTGGCTCACACCTGTAATCCCAGCACTTTGGGAGGCCAAGGCGGGTGGATCACTTGAGGTCAGGAGTTTGAGGCCAGCCTGTCCAACATGGTGAAACCCCATCTCTACTAAAAACACAAAATTAGCCAGGCATGATGGCATACGCCTATAATCCCAGCTACTCAGGAGGCTGAGACACGAGAATTACTTGAAGTGGGGAGGTGGAGGTTGCAGTGAGCCAAGATTGCGCCACTGCACTCTAGCCTGGGTGACAGAGTGAGACTGTCTCAAAAAAAAAAAAAAAAAAAAAGAGAGAGAGAGAGAAAGAAAAACACAGAAAAGCACAGAGTACAAAACACACACCAGTCAAGCACTGGGTGATCCTCTCAGACAGATGCAGCCTCTATACGAATGTGGTGTCTGGCCCTCCAGTCTTTCTAATGTGTGGTCGTAGCTTCCTAGAAGCACCCCTCTTTCCTCCAAGTGCACCCAGTGGCTTGATTTCCCGAGCCTTCCCCATACCCCTACACCCCCCACCCCGCCCCCTAGTGCCCCACTTGCTTTGAGATTATGGACTCATCTGTGTGATCTTCCAGCAGGCCTGCTCCCTCCCTCTCTCATTCCTTTTACAGGAATCGCTGTCTTTGGGGCACACATTGCAGCATATAATGCCACATGCTTTGCTGACATCAGTTACTACTCCATCTTCCTCTTTCCTGTGTTCCTTCTCCCTACCTAGGACTAGGAAGTGGCATCTTCTGTATTAATATTTTAAAATTTTGGCACAGAAAAACATTCAAAGACTTGGGATCCCACTGCAAATTGAAAATGAAACAGCCCTGGCTGGGCGCGGTGGCTCACGCCTGTAATCCCAGCACTTTGGGAGGCAGAGGCGGGCAGATCACGAGGCCAGGAGATCGATACCATCCTGGCTAACACGGTGAGACCCCGTCTCTACTAAAAAATACAAAAAAAATTAGCCGGGCGTGGTGGCGGGCGCCCGTAGTCCCAGCTACTCGAGAGGCTGAGGCAGGAGAATGGCGTGAACCCAGGAGGCGGAGCTAGCAGCGAACTGAGATCGCACCACTGCACTCCAGCCTGGGTGACAGAGCAAGACTTTGTCTCAAAAAAAAGAAAAAAGAAAATGAAACAGCCCTATGGGGATTATTCCCCTTTCTCCCCCTCCTCCCCTCGTAGAGATGTCCTGAAGTCCACAGGCAATCTGTATCCAATCTCTCCTTAAACCCTCAGAAGCTGGCACTGCCCCCCTTCGCCTTCCCCATGTTGCCAATGTCACCTGTAATGACTAGGGAGAGTAATGGATGTATTTGGGGATAATAAACCTGACCTGCTTTGGAACCAAGAACAAATCCTGTTTCCATGCAAATGCAGTTTGTAATAAAAACCTGCCAGGATGGAAGTACAGGGGCTGCTCTTCCCAGCAAATTGCTCCCTTTGACAGAACATTCTTCAAAGTTATCCCAGGAGTGATCAAAGCAGCAGCAGCTGTTGAAAGGGTTTACCTCTAAAGGATTTGGATGCGTGGCCACTTCTGTTTAATTAAGCAGTGACAGGGCGGCAGGAAGCTGTGCAAGGTGGCTTAAATATTGTAAAATGCGAGGTAGGATAGCAGCCCGTCTTTGCTTTCTCAACATTGTAGGCAAAGCGATAATCTAAAGTAGCATTTGAAGTCATATGTTTCACCATCCTACCTGGCAGAATGAGCTCTTTGCAGATTCTCAACTCTGAAGTGTGCAGAGATTGGGTAAAGGAGTAGGGATGCAGGTATTTCCCGTGTGCCTTCTCTGCGCTTGGCCTGATGATAGTACTCGGGGGGCAGAGTCCCATTTAATCCTCAAAGAACACAGAAAGCTATCTTCCTGGGAGGAATAACTTCCCACCTCCACTGTGAAGAGGTCAGTAACCTCTTAAGTTCTCACAGCTGATTAACGCATAATTGGAGTCACTTTGTGAAACCCCAGTTCTTTTTTCCCTAAGCTTTATTGAAGTGTCACTAACAAATAAAACTTGTATATATTTAAGGTGTATAATGTGATGATTTGCTTTTTGCATGCATTGTGAAATGATTACCACAATCAACTTAATGAACACGTCCGTCACCTCATAGAGTTACCTTTTCGTTTTTGTTTTTGTTTTTGTTTGTTTGAGACAAAGTCTCACTCTGTAGCCCAGGCTGGAGTACAGCGGTGCAATCTTGGCTCATTGCAACCTCCACCTCCCGGGTTCAAGCAATTCTCCTGCCTCAGCCTCCTGGGTAGCTGGGATTATAGGTGCCCGCCACCACACCCAGCTAATTTTTGTATTTTTAGTAGAGATGGGGTTTTACCATGTTGGCCAGGCTGGTCTCAAACTCCTGACCTCAAGTGATCCGCCCACCTCAGCCTCCCAAAGTGCTGGGATTACAAGCGTGAGCCACTGTGTCCAGCCTACCTTTTGTTTTTAATGGCGGGGACACTTAAGGTCTATGCTGTCTGAGGCCCAAGGTCTTTTCCTATGCTATTGCCTACTTGCCCTGGTCACTGAAGGAGCGCAAGAGAGAGTCAAGGTTATCCCAGAAGAGGGAATGTAATTACTTCCAGGCTAATGGATGGACTCCAACGCTACCTGAAAACAGAACTAGGGTTCCAGGAAGCAGAGTTGAAGCAGGACAAGACCCCAGGGCTCTGAGAGTCTGGAGGTGCTTCTGGAGGAGGGTGTGGTGCAGGAAGAGGAGAATAGTGCATTGTGGGGAGGTGGCCAACAGACGGTCCTGGCGCCATGTCAACTTCATCCTCCTGATCAGCTGTCACTAAGAAAATGTGCCCTAGGCTGGAAAGGAGCCAAAGAGAGGAGGGGAGAGAAATTTAGACATAAACATGAGCTTCCAGAATTTTGTTATTTTTCATTCTCCTCCTACCTCCACTTCTAGATAACAGTGGTCTTCAAGGGGTACAGACAGCAAGCAAGAGCCTTCCGAGTCAACTGTGCTTTGCTCTATTGCCATGCGGAGTCTCACTCTGTTGCCCAGGCTGAAGTGCAATGGCACAGTCTCAGCTCACTGCAACTTTTGCCTCCCAGGTTCAAGCGATTCTCCTGCCTCAGCCTCCCAAGTAGCTGGGATTACAGGATGTGTTACCACGCCCAGCTGATTTTTGTATTTTTGGTAGAGATGGGGTTTCACCATGTTGGCCAAGCTGGTCTTGAACTCCTGACCTCAGGTGATCCTCCTGCCTCGGCCCCCCAAAGTGGTGGGATTACAGGCTTGAGCCACCGTGCCTGGCCCAGATGTGGCAGCTGCTGGGCTGAGGTTTGCATCTCCAGTCAGTGATTCGTTTGTTGCACCCTCGCCCACACCCGCTGTTGGCTCATCCCCTGTGGTCCATCTGTGTGGGCTGCTGTTGGCATTTGCTAGCACTGGGCTGGTATCTGGCCAGCAGGTAACTGCAGGACCCAAAGGGACTGCCCACCTGACAGCAGTATTGCCAGGCAACACTGGACGAGTTTCCCGCAGATCTGACTTCAACCGTTAAGCTCCTTGTAAAGCCGTGTCTCTGTCCAGCAGGCTGCGAGTCAAATCAGAGACAATGTGACACCACTCTGGGGACTGATCACAGGGCATGTGGTCAAAAGCACTTTGATTGAGACAATTATTTTCTTCCAGCACTGTGTATGGGTGTTATATGTGGTACACCTTTGAATCAATAGGTGGGGACAATTTCATAATATTTTATAAATGTTTCAAAAAGGATTTTTGACTTTTAGAAGTTGTTCTTTTTAACGAATGCCTCCCTATCTTAAAATTTCTGATAAAAAACTTTTTTTTTTGCAAATAATTATTGCTCTGTGCTGTTAGTAATTATTACATTTAGAGACCACCTCGATGTCCAGTAATAGAGGTTTGATGAAATGTGCCATTTTTGTGAAAATAGCTAGACCAATGCAAGGACAGGATCTGAAATAACAGCTAGTGTTTCTAGAAGCTCACTGTGCACCAGGTATGCTAAGGGCTCAGTCGACCTTATTTCATTCAGTCTGTACAACAACCTTATGAAGGGACATTAGCATCCCCTTTTCATAAATGGAAAAACCGAGGGGAGAGAGATGGAGGAAGTTTTCTAAGGTCATGAGGGTTTAGATGTGGCATTTTTGTTTTTTATTTTTTATTTGTTTTGAGATGGAGTCTCACTTTGTTGTCCAGGCTGGAGTGCAGTGGTACAATCTCGGCTCACTGCAACTTCCACCTCCTGGGTTCAAGCGATTCTCCTGCCTCAGCCTCCCGAGTAACTGGGACTACAGGCCTGTGCTACCACACCCAGCTAATACTTGTATTTTTGGTAGAGACAAGTATTCACTATGTTACAAAGTAATCTGTATACCAAGTGTGAGATGTAAATACATACCTGGTTATTGTAACAACTTTGCAAATTTTAAAAATTAGTGAGGCAGTGCCAAAACAGTAAAGCAGGAATAATTGATTTAAAGTGAGTTGGAATTTTTTTTTAACTATCCCCATCTCATCTACTCAAAATTTAGATTCTTGTATTTTAATGTTTTCTCCCTACTGTTATATATTTTGGGGTTGAATTCCTGAACTCAGGTGATTTGCCTGCCTTGGCCTCCCAAAGTGCTGCGCTTAGAGGTGTGAGCCACCACGCCCAACCCAGATGTGGCAGTTTAACCCCAAAGCCTATGCTCAAAGCTACTGTCCTGGAGATAAGGCTACTTGTCACTGGGTGGTGAGATTACAGACATTTTTATATTAATCTTGCTGTCTGTATATGCACACATTGCTTTTGCAATAGGAAAATAACCAAAAATGTATAACAGTAGGGAAAAAACAATAAAATATAAGAATCTTAATGTTCAGTAGATGAGGAGATGGGGATAGTTAAAAAAAAATTCCCAACTCACTTTAAATCAATTATTCCTGCTTTACTGTTTTGGCAATGCCTCACTAATTTTTTAAATTTGCAGTCATTACAATAACCAGGTATGTATTTATATCTTCCGCTTGGTATACAAATAACTTTGTAATTGTCCCTAATTTGTTTTAATGAATTGGTGGACATTAAGGTTGTTTTTAATTTGTCCCTATTCTGTAGACGGAGCTGGGAATAATTAATTGGAAACAAATTTGAAGGTGCCGGGTGCAGTGGCTCAAGCCTATAATCCCAGCACTTTGGGAGGCCGAGGTGGGCAGATCACCTGAGGTCAGGAGTTCGAGACCAACCTGGCCAACATGGCAAAACCCCATTTCTACTAAAAATACAAAGATTAGCTGGGCGTGGTGGTGGGTACCTGTAATCCCAGCTACTCGGGAGGCTGAGGCAGGAGAATGGCTTGAACCTGGAAAGTGGAGGTTGCAGCGAGCCTAGATCGTGCCACTGCACTCTAGCCTGTGTGACAGAGTGAGACTCCATCTCAAGGAAAAAAAAAAAAAAGAGAGAACGAAAACCCACGAACTAGAGGAAACTCGAATTGTGGAAAAAATAAAGTGTTCATAAAGCCAGTTCAGGGTGTTTAGGAATTAGGAATCCTTAGGGAAAACACAGGGGCAGTAGTTTGGATCACATTGCCATCATGACAAAACGACAGTCAAATTGCATTGTAGTGAATATTTGTCTTTTTTGGTTGCCCACCATAGGAATCATCTTATGGGGAATTTCCTATCTTATGAGATAGAGCTCACCTCTGGAATAACCAGGTATCAGACTTCCCAGCCTCCTTTGCAAATGGACCGGGATGCATGAGCTTAGAAATGCAAATCACATGCACCTGCACATGGCTTTGGATGAGAAGCTGGTGACAGAAAGAAGCAGCGGCCACAAGGAATCTATTCCTGGGCCAGGTGCAGTGGCTCATACCTGTAATCCTAGCACTTTAGGAGGCTGAGGAGGGTGGATCACCTGAGGTCAGGAGTTTGAGACCAGCCTGGACCACACGGAAAAACGTCTCTACTAAAAATACAAAAATTAGCCAGGCTTGGTGGCGGGTGCCTGTAATCCCAGGTACCTGGGAGGCTGAGGCAGGAGAATCACTTGAAGCCAGGAGGCAGAGGTTCCAGTGAGCTGAGATCGTGCCACTGCACTCCAGCCTGGGTGACAGAGGGAGACTCCATCTCCAAAATAATAATAATAATAATAATAATAATAATGCATTTTTGTGAGGGTGGCAGAAGCAGTGGTTGTGTCCAAATCTGGAAGACACATGGCAATGATTCTGGAAACAGTATCGAGGGGTCTCAGTACTGACACAGCCTGAAGCACTGACACCCTCAGGGTTGCAACACCACTGTCCTCACTGGGTTAGTTCTATGGTGCAATTATGGGATTTCATCTGACTGTTTACCGCTGTGTGGTCGTTCTGTTCCTCCTGAGAGGTCTGCAACTGACTCAACCATTTAATAAATTTTATTTCCATTTCAATAAGTCAGAATTAGTTTTTATTAAATGCAAGTAAAATTTCTGATGGATGTACACGTTACATTGATTTCTATATATTTACTATGTATACCTTTAATCCAATAGTGTCTTTTGTTTGTTTGTTTGTTTTGTTTTTGTTTTTGTTTTTGACAGTCTCGCTTTGTTGCCCAGGCTGGAGTGCAGTGGCACAATCTCGGTTCACTGCAACCTCCACCTCCTGGGTTCAAGCGATTCTCCTGCCTCAGCCTCCCAAGTAGCTGGGACTACAGGTGCCCACCACCACGCCTGGCTAATTTTTATATTTTTAGTAGAGTTGGGGTTTCACCATGTTGGCCAGGCTGGTTGCGAACTCCTGACCTCAAGTGATCTGCCTGCCTTGGCCTCCCAAAGTGTTGGGATTACAGGTGTGAGCCACTTCCCCCAGCCCCAGTAGTGTCTTTATACTATAAAATGATTGTAGGATCAGGAAATACATCCAGGATTAAGAGAGTTTTTCAGAAGCTTTGGGCTTTTAAAAATAATACAAAATATTTGCATAGCTAATAATGTAAGATATTTGCATGGATGATCTAAGCTTAAAATTTTATAGAAGTCATTTAAAAGGATTGGAGAGGGATCTTGTTTTAGTTAATAAATTGGGTCATATATTGAAGTTTCCAAAAGCCATGAAGGTTGGGATGAAAACATTATTTATAATGAATCTCATACTGAGTTATTTTCCCAAATGGCGGTACATTTACATAATAGCAGGAAGTCTTGATTTTCCATGTTGCTGTGATTCTAGCTCATTTAGTCCAATAGCATATCATTAATAACTCTTAGGTCAGCCTTGCACCACTATTGAAATCTGTGTCTGGGGGATACCTAAGAGAAAGAAAATACTTTTTCCAGCCATCTTCCCCTTCCACACAGGAATATCAAAGCACATACATACAGATATATTTAGGTCAAGGATTTTGTGAGGTTTCTAGCCGTGCATTTTAATTGAGGTTTTATATGAGGTTAGGGGGAGGTGGGAGTTTTTGGGCCAGAATCTGGAATGCAGGATACTGTTCGGTTATGAAATGGTATCCTTTCAGCAAACCTTCCCTGAATCCCTTTCAGGCTACTCTAGGTGCTGAGGTCATGCATAACTTACAATTATATTCAACTCCAAGTAATAGAAAGCCCCAAATAATAGTGGCTTAAGTTAGAAAAAAGCCTACAAGTAGTCCAGGGCTGATATTGCTTTAAATACTGTTAGTGACCCAGGATTCTCCTGTTTTATTGCTCTGGTAGGGGTTGCTTTCACCCCCAAGGTCCCTTGTGGTCCAAGAGGGGCTGCTATAGCAGCAGCCGTTATTCCGCATCCCAGCCAGCAGGAAACAGGAAGCAGAGAAGGGCATGCTTCCTCCTTTTAGGATACTTCCTGGTTAGCGCTTAGTCACATGACCATGCGTAGCTACAAGGGATGCTGGAAAATACAGTCTTTATCCCAGTAGCCATGTGCCCAGCTAAGAACTGGAGTGTCTTTAATGGAGGATGATGAAGAGAGTAGATTCCCAAAGACAATTAGCTGCCTCCATCCCAAGCAGTTACAGAGAATTAGAGTTTATCTTCTAAGGGAGGAAACCAACATGTGCACTGTCAACTACCTTCTTGCAATGTGTTAAATTGCAAGAGTGAGGTAGTCAAAGTGTTGTAGTCAAAGGGCTGTGGGAGTGGCAAGAAGGGAGAAGCAGCCTGGGACAGTGTAGAGGCCCATCAGACTTGCTCTAGAGCTTGACTACCAGGGCTTGAATTTGTTTTTGGCATTTCCTACCCATGATGACCTCAGGCAAATTCAAAACCTCTTTGAGCTGCAGCTCCTCACCCTATCCCCTGCTTCCTAGGGTTACTAAGTAAAATACAGGACACCCAGTGTTCCAATGCTTATACTAAAATATTGTTATTTATCTTAAATTTAAATTTAATGAAGTGTCCTGTTTTTTTGTTTGTTTGCTAAATCTAGCAATTCTACCCCTTCCCCATCTGTAAGATGGGGAGTTATTCAACATAATAAAAATATAGTTAATGAATAAACAAATACTGATTCCCGGAGAGCTTATTATATGCTGGGTATTGTTCTAGGAATAGGGGTTAAACTTACACTATGGGGTTATTTGAGGATTAACCAAAAAACCCCCCTGTACAGAGCTGGGCCTGGAGGAGGCTCAGAGCTCCTTGACTGGTTCTATGGCTGCTGCTCCTACTCTTTGGCCTAGAAAGCTCTGATGGAGAAGAGGCTGGAGGGTCCATGCAGAACAACTTCTGACAGGGGTGCTTTGGAACCTGTGACAGGGTTGATGGACTCTGACCATCTTGAGTGGCCACAGGAGGCGTCTTGCTCACCCTGAGATCTGGGCCATGTGCTTGCTTCTCTAGAAAGCCCTCTGGGGCCAGTCTGGCTGGAGCCATCTCTCCTACCTCTGAATTCATTGTATGTGTCTATATTTCTTTCTTGGCCCTTATGAGAAAGAAATACTTATACCTTCTTTTGTTCTATAAAAGGTTTGAGGTGACTTAGTTGGCAATTTCTTGTTGACTGCATTGGCACAGGTCTTCTGTTTACCCTCTTTCTCTCTCTCTCTCTCTTTTTTTTTTTTTTTTTTTTTTTGAGATAGGGTCTTGCTCTGTCACCCATGCTGGAGTGCAGTAGCGTGATCACAGCTAACTGCATCCTTGATCTCCTGGGCTCAAGTTGATCTTCCCACCTCAGCGTCCCAAGTAGCTGGGACTACAGGTGTGTGACACCAGGTCTGGCTAATTTTTGTATTTTTAGTAGAAACAGAGTCTTGCCATGTTGCCCAGGCTAGTCTTGAACTCCTGGGCTGAAGCTATTCATCTACCTCAGCCTCCCAAAGTGCTGGGATTATAGGCCTGAGCTACTGCGCCCAGCCATTTCTCTCTCTCTTTCTTTGATTAGCTCTTGTAGTAGTATTTGATGTTCTGTGGTCTCTCTGCCTTGTTTGTAAACTTCCTAAATTCTGAGGCCATGGCCCACAACCCATAAGAAGTAGTCTTCAGCATCTCCTGAGAGGCCGATTGACCCTACCCATCTTTAGAGTCTTTGGATGGAGAGTTAGTTTCAACCCCTCCCATGCCTCTCCCTGGCACCAGCTGGGGGATCCTAGAGAGTCCTCCCCTGGTCTGCCCACTGACCATAATGCTATCAGCAGGCTACACAGCTCTGCAAGCAACAACCCCAGGAGCTGCCATGATGGACAGAGAGAGGCCGTGAAAATGGTAGAGCAGTTTAAGAGTAACCGTTCTAGAGAGAACCCTTATTTCTTATTTGTATTGCAGCTTTGGCTGGGCCCTGTGCTTCCTCACAGGGTAATGCCACCCGTTTTTTTTGGTGTGCGCCCTCCCCCCGCGCCCGCCACTTTAGATCACTTCTGCATTCACCCCTGCCTTTCTGCCTTGCAGCTGGTGGGTGTAGGGGGTGCTCTGGGAGTGCAGATGCATCTTGACATCAGCCTAAGTCACACATGATTAAGAAGGTAAATCTGCTGGGGGAAGTAGTGAGAGATAGATGATTCCTATTAGCATCTGAAACCAATTATAAATGCTTTTGCATTAACCGCCGCTGGGGATTTTCCGTGGCACTTCATACACAATTGGGAATTGATTGCGCTAGGATGCAGAACAGCAGGAGAAAACAAAAGGGAACGGGATTTACTGGCCCTTGAATAAGGAGCGAAGCATTATGTCCTTCCCTACACAGGACACCGTTTTCTTTCCCTAGATCGGGGGTTGGCAAACTTCTTCTGTAAATGGTCGGAGAGTAAATATCTTCTGCTTTGTGGGCTATACAGCTTCTGTCACAACTACTCAGCTCTATTGTAGAAGAAACAGCCATAGATGATAAATCAATGCATCAATGATGGGCCATAACTAGGTTCCCATAAAACTTTTTTTTTTTTTTTGAGTTGGAGTCTCGCTCTGTCACCCAGGCTGGAGTGCAGTGGCGCCATCTCGGCTCACTGAAATCTCTGCCTCCCGGGTTCAAGCAATTCTCCTGCCTCAGTCTCCCTAGTAGCTGGGATTACAGGTGCCCGCCACCATGCCTAGCTAATTTTTATATTTTTAGTAGAGACGGGGTTTCCCCACGTTGGCCAGGCTGGTCTCAAACTCCTGACCTCAAGTGATCTGTCCGCCTTGGCCTCCCAAAGTGCTGGGATTACAGGAGTGAGCCACAGTGCCCAGCCCCAATAAAACTTTATTTATAAAAACAGGCATAACCAGACTTGGCCTGTGAGTTGTAGTATACCAAATCTTGCACTAGCGTTTAGGAGGGCCCAGTTCACTCCTTCTTTCTCCCTTTCTTTGGAAGTTTCAGGCTGCTCTGCCTATGGAGTAGCCAATCTTTATTCCTTTACTTTCTTAATAAACTTGCTTCCATTAAAAAAAAAAAAAAGTTTCAACTAGTGCAGTTTAGCACCCACCCTGCCCCCCATGGCTCCAACCCAGTTCTTGGGGTCGGGGGAGGAGCACTGCCCTCCAGGAGAGACCCACTTTGTAATTAAGGTTGATATTTTCTGGACTGAGTTTTGTACAGCCAGTTCTTGGCAAAGAGCGCTTGAGCTGACTTTTCTTGTTAATGACTCCTGCTTCATGAGCCTATTCAGATGGTCCCCCTGCAACTTCATCTAGCCATATAAACTTTTCCAATCTGTGCTGATGAGTTCCTGGAGACAGGATATGGAGCCCAGCTCTCCTCAAGGGCATTGCTGTCCAAAGCCTCACCCACCAGGATAGTCCCTACTCAAAACCAGGCAGCAGAGCTCTCACGGGTTCAGCTACCCTCTCACAGGCTGGTTTAAGAACACAAAAAAATTAAAGATGTATAATTATACATTCATGTATACGTGTGTCTATAGCTTCATAAAATTGTAAAAACACATAATGTAGAATTTACCATCGTAACTATTTTTAAGTATGTAGTACCATAATGGTAACTATATGCACATCATGTGCAAAAGATCTCTAGGATGTTTTATATTACGAAACTGAAACTCTATATCCGTTAAATAACTCCCCTTTTCCCCCTCTTCCCCAGCCCCTAGCAATCACCATTCTACTTTGTTTCTACAAACTTGACTGCTTTGGATGCCTCGATATAAGCGGTGCGTCGTGTGGTATTTGTTCTTCTGTGACTGGCTTATTGCACTTCGCATAATGTTCTCAAGGTTTTTCCATGGTGTAGCATAAGATGGATTTTCCTCCTTTTTAAGGCTAAGACGCTGTTGTAAGCACAGACCACATTCTCTTTATCCATTCATCCATGGATGGACATATAGTCGCTTCTACCTCTTGGCTATTGTGAATAATGCTGCAACGAACAAAGGTGTGCAAATATCTCTTTGAGATCCTGTTTTCAATTCTTTTGGGGGTATATCCAGAAGTGGGATTGCTGGATCATATGGCAATTCTATGTTTAATTTTTTGAGAAATCTCCATCGAGTTTTCCATAGCAGCTACATCATTTCGCATCCCCACCAACACATTTATAGCTTTTATTTTTTAAAAAAAGAAAAAAAGGTAAACAGGATCACCTGCATAGTTTCATTCACTTATTCATTCACAAATATTTATTGAGCGCCCACCCATGGCTAGACAGTGGGGTGTTACGTTGAACCAGACAAATCACTACCCTCTTGGAGTTAGCCTTTTTGGGCAGATAGTAAACAAATAGACATATAATTCTGCTAGAGAAATAGAAAAGAGCTTAATTTAGCTATGTTTGGGGAAAAAAAGTGGCGTCAGGGGTTCCAGAATAGAAATAGAGGGAGTGGCCCTTCTTACGACCCTTCCCAGGTGAGGCTTCTGCAGAAACCCAGTCGGAGCCAGCTATTGTAAGCCTACTCACCAGACTTAAAAAAAAAATGAAGTAAGGGGGCAGGGTCCGTGGCTCATGCCTATAACCTTGAGTCCAGGAGTTAAGGCTGCAACGAGCTATGATTGCACCACTGCATTCTAGCCTGGATGACGGAGCCAGACCCTGTGTCTAAAATAAATTAATAAATTAATAATAATAAATTAAGGTGAGGCCGGGCATGGTGGCTCATGCCTGTAATCCCAGCTTTTAGGGAGGCAGAGGCGGGAGGATAGCTTGAGCCCAGGAGTTTGAGACTTACCTGGGCAATATAGCGAGATCCCATTCTCCACAAAAAGGAAAAAAAGACAAAAATTAAGGTGAAATTCACATAACATAAAAGTAACCATTTTAATTGAACAATTCAGTGGCATTTAGTATATTTGCAATGTTCTACAAGTACAAATTCTATGTCTTTCCAAAAAAATTTTAGTCACTCCAAAATAAAACCCTATACCCATAAAACAGTCATTACCTATTCCCCACTCTGGCAGCCCCTGACAACCACAATCTGCTTTCTCTCTTTTTTTTTTTTTTTTTTTTTTTTTGAGAAGAGTCTCACTCTGTCACCCAGGCTGGAGTGCAATGCCATGATCTTGGCTCACTGCAACCTCCACCTCCTGGGTTCAAGCGATTCTTCTGCCTCAGCCTCCCGAATAGCTGGGATTACAGGCACCTGCCATCATGCCCAGCTAATTTTTGTATTTTTGTAGAGATGGGGTTTCATCATGTTGGCTGGGCTGGTCTTGAACTTCTGACCTTCGGTGATCCACCCATCTTGGCCCCCCAAAGTGCTGGGATTACAGGATTGAGCCACCGCACCCAGCCCAATCTGCTTTCTCTTTCTGCAGAGTTCCCTATTCTGGCTATTTCTTACAAATGGAATCATACAATATGTGGTGTTTGGTGTCTGGCTTCTTTCACTGAGCATAATGTTCTGGAGGTTCATCTGCATTGTGGCATGGATCAGCACTTCATGCCTTTTCATGGCTGAATGATAATATTCTATTGTATGGATAGACCCCATTGTGTGTATCCATTCATCAGTTGATGGACATTTGGGTTGCTTCTACCTTGTGCCTGTTGTGAATAGTACTGGCATGAACATTTATGTACAAGGATTTGTTTGATTTGAGTCTGTTTTCAATTTTGGGGGATACTATGATCACAGATTTTTTGCAGCTTAGGACTCACTCGGGTTCCATTCATTATAAGAAGCAGAGGGTGACGTGACTTGGCTCAGTGAGTTAGTGAAGCTTCAAATCTGAACTGGGGTTGGGATTTCCAGGCAGTGTTCCCACCACTGCACATGCTATAGTTTCATTTCCATCCCCTTCGCTGCCTGGCTGGGCCTCTGGAGGTTGTCTCCTGAAGCCCTGCCTTCCCACTGCTGTTCCTAAGGTAGCTGGAGGTGAAATCAGACTGTCCTTGGCAGCAGGGATTGGGCTCTGACCTCATATCTGCCCCATGTAAGGCCTTTTTTTTTTTTTTTTCTGAGACAGAGTCTTGCTCTGTTGCCCAGGCTGGAGTGCAGTGGCACGATCTCGGCTCACTGCAACCTCCACCTCCCAGGTTCAAGCAATTATCCTGCCTCAGCCTCCCAAGTAGCTGGGATTACAGGTGCCCACCGCCACACCCGGCTAACTTTTGTATTTTTAATAGAGACAGGGTTTCGCCATGTTGGTCAGTCTGGTCTCGAACTCCTGACCTCAGGTGATCCCCCCGCCTCAGCCTCTTGAAGCGCTGGGATTACAGGTGTGAGCCATCATGCCTGGCCCAATGTAAGGCCTTTGGTATGGCAGCCTTTGCTTTGGGAGCAGTGATAGGTGTTATGGGCCAGTTGAGGTGACCAGGGGAGGTTGTGGAAACTGCTTTTGTGGGAGGAAAGCAGTCTCTTTCCTCCCTGTCTCTTCGGATCTCCTCTCATGGATCCCTCCAGTGGATCCCCTAGGGTAGGAAAGAGATCCTTGCCCTGGGATTGTGATCCAAGTGATTTTAAGATTCACTGAGTTGGCTGGGTGTGGTGGCTCACGCCTGTAATCCCAGCACTTTGGGAGGCCGAGGTGGGCAGATCACGAGGTCAGGAGATGGAGACCATCTTGGCTAATACGGTAAAACCCCATCTCTACTAAAAATAGGAAAAATTAGCTGGGCATGGTGGTGGGCACCTGTAGTCCCAGCTACTTGGGAGGCTGAGGCAGGAGAATGGCGTGAACCCAGGAGTGAGCTGAGATCACGCCACTGCACTCCAGCCTGAGTGACACAGCGAGACTCCGTCTCAAAAAAAAAAAAAAAAAAAAAAAGATTCACTGAGCAGGTGGCAGAGGAGGCCAAAGGCCTTGGTGCTGAAGTTCTCTTTTCAGATGCTTTCTACTTTAGGAAGAATGATTTGTTAAGTTCCAAGCATCACCCATTGGTGCTATCTGGGAGTGCCATCATTGGTCAAATTAAATATAAGCAAGAAAGAGGAAAATGGATAAACTGATATTGAGTGGGAAAAAAAGAACAGAGCCTGCAGAGTAGAAAATGAGAACAGAAATGAGATGTTCCCATGGTGGAGAGGGCCGTGCCTCCTGCAGGCCCAAAAGCTCAGTTGCCTGCCTCTGTCTTTGACCTTGAGGGGCTGAATTTTCTCCAGCACTTAGCAAAGAACCCAGTGTGTGGTAGATGCTCATAATGAGTCAGCACAAATGAATGATGTCTTCCATTGGAATGAGGCTGGGATGGGGCACGTGGAGCTTACCAAGTTGCCACTGAACCCAAATCTTCGGGATTCTTTCTCCCTGAGATGCGAAATCAATTCTTGGGCATTCAAGTAACTCAGTTACCTGTGCTCCAGGCAGAATCAAAAAGTGAAATATCAGCTAGTTTGGGTTCAATTTTGAAAATAATCATGTCTAGGTCACTCTGGCTTCAGGTTCTCAATTTTCTGATTGACAGAGGTTGCGAGAACTCTGTATTCGCTTATTAGTCTAATGGACAGACTAGCCCGTGGCATCCCCGGGCAGAGCTGCTTTTATTTTCCACTGTATTCCTTAACTGACCACTGGGGGACATCTGCATTATCTAATTTATTCCTTTGGAGCATTTAATTTTGGATGATTGCTGCTTAAAGGTCATTTCCAAATAAACATGGAATGAAAGGTCATTGTACCCAGCTGAAGAATTATCATAAAGCAGCTTTGGTACTGCTCAATACCACTGCTGACCTCTTCTGCTGGCCAGCAGAGCCTGTTCCAGGACTAATTGTCTTGTCTTTTGCTTCTCAGCTCTGGATTTGGGGATGGAGGTTAGCAATTGGATGGCAACAGGTCCAAATCTCATTGCACATCTTTATTTATTGAAGTGCAGGCTAAGCTGTGGAGGCTCGATCATTTATTTTCTCTGCTGGCTTAGTTGGCAGGTAGATGGGGTAGATGGGGTGAATGTCATGAGCATGGCAAGTTGGGATTTTAGCAAGGCATTCACCATAATGCTTGGGCAAGCTAGGTGGGCTCAAGATCTGCCCACGGGGGCTAGAGCCCAGTGAGGTGTGGGTTCCAACAGAGGGAAAGGTATGTGCAGTGGGTTGCCATAGTGAGGAAAAAGAGTGTGGTCAGGAGGATCAAAAGGATTATGGAGGAGAGCAAAAGGCCCTGCGAATTGGAGAGAAAGGCAAAGAAGAGTGGAGGACACAGAAGTGAAATTGGTGGTTGGGAGAGTTGAGAGAGAGGTGGGTTCTGTAGAGAATGTAGAATTCTGGCCGGGCACGGTGGCGCAAGCCTGTAATCTCAGCCCTTTGGGAGGCCAAGGTGGGCAGATCACGAGGTCAGGAGATTGAGACCATCCTGGCTAACACGGTGAAACCTCATCTCTACTAAAAACACACACAAAAAATTAGCCGGGCATGGTGGCGGGCGCCTGTAGTCCCAGCTACTCAGGAGGCTGAGGCAGGAGAATGGCATGAACCCGGGAGGTGGAGCTTGTAGTGAGCCGAGATCACGCCACTACACTCCAGCCTGGGTGACAGAGCAAGACTCCGTCTCAAAAAAAAAAAAAAAAAAAAAAGAAAGAGAATGTAGATTTCCAAGGGCTTGCTTCCATTTAGAATGGGGCAAAGATTCTGTGCTAAGAGCTTTACACGTACCCTTCATACATCACATCAGCACTATGAGTTTGCCCATTTTGTAGATGAAATGGAGGTACTAGTTAATAACAGGCAGAAGTATGCTAGAATCCTGGCCGTTGGACAGCGGGGCTCCTGTGCTGAACCACCGTTCCACCTGCCTTTCTGAGGATATGGCTGGTGCATTAGCACACAGGAGGGCCTCAACCACTGGGGGAAGATACCAGTGAGGTGCTATTTTTTACCTATCAGATTTGGGGGGAAAAAAGAATTCCAAGTCACTGGTAATGGAAGTGAAATTTGGAGAACGCTTTCAGGAGTGTAATTTGGCAATATCTATCAAAATGAAACATGCACACACCCTATGGCCCAGTTTGCATTTCTTGGAATGGGTCCTGTAGAAATACCTTCCTTGGTGCTTAAAGATAGGTGCCTAAGAATAGTCGTTAGAGGCTGGAATCGGTGGCTCATACCAACAATCCCAGCACTCTGGGAGGCCGAGGTGAGAGGATCGCTTGAGCCCAAGAGTTTGAGACCAGCCTGGGCAATGAAAAGAGACCTCATCTCTATTAAAAAAAAAAAAAAAAATTGGCCGGGCACAGTGGCTCACATCTGTAATCCCAGCACTTTGGGAGGCTGAGGTGGGTGAATCACTTGAGGTTAGGAGTTCAAGACCAGCCTGGCCAACATGGTGAAACCCTGTCTCTACTAAAAATACAAAAATTAGTTGGGTGTGGTGGCAGGTGCCTGTAATCCCAGCTACTTGGGAGGCTGAGGCAGGAGGATTGCTTGGGCCTGGGAGGCGGAGGTTGCAGTGAGCCGAGATCACGCCACTGCACTCCAGCCTGGGTGACAGAGCAAGACTCCATCTCAAAAAAAAAAAAAAAAAAAAAGAATCATTGTTAGAACATCAGACAACGCAAAAGATTAAAAACATCTTCAAAGTCCTTCGGGAGGGGACTGGCCAATTTTAACACAGCCCAGCTCCAAATGGAGCACCACAGACACGACAAAAAAGGAAGAGGGAGAGTGGTGTGAAGCCCCTTGGGAAAGTATCTATGATATGCCACTCAAGTGAAAAAGACAAGTTCCAGAGTAAGATCTATGTAATAAAAGATGATAGTATAATTTAGTAATTATATAATTAATGTAATTGTAGCTCACATAATTTTATCTATACTTATAAATTTACATTTCTTTAAGTACATATACAGAAATACATGTAACTAAATAATTAGAAGTTATATGTGTATATGTGTGCATACATTTGGGTGTATTTATATAGATATAAACGTATGTATATGTATGTGTATGTATGTGTGTATACATCTATATCTATATATGTTTGCATATGACAGTAAAACATTTTAGAAGGAACTATCCAAGCTGTTTGCAGTGGTTACCTCTGTTGGTGAAGATAGAAGGAGGAGGATTTTACTTCATTTCAATTTTAATTTAATTTAATTTAATTTTACTTTTTGAGACAAGATCTTGCTCTGTTGCCTAACCTGGAGTGCAGTGGTGTGATCTCTGCTCACTGCAGCCTCCACCTCCTGGGCTCAAGTGATCCTCCTGCCTCAGTCTCCCAAGTAGCTGGGACTACAGGCACATGCCATCATGCTTGGCTAGTTTTTTAAACATTTTTTTTTTGTAGAGGCAGGGGTCTCACTATATTGCCCAGGCTGGTCTTGAACTCCTGAACTCAAGCAATCCCCCTGCATTGGTCTCCCAAAGTGCTGGGATTATAGGCATAAGCCATCACACCAAGCCTACTTTTTACCTTATATCCCTCATAAAAACAGGAAGGAAGGAAGAAGGGAGGGAGGAAGGGAAGGACGGAAGGAAGGCAGGAAGGGAGAGAGGGAATGGTGGGTTATGGGTGACTTTTCTTTCTCCTTTGTTCATTTTGGTATTTTCCAAACTGGAGAAGGAGGATGAGGCACAAAGTAGGAAGAATGAGCCCTGTGCGTAGACAGAGCCATTGTGCCCACAGGAAGCAGGGAGGCCCAAGGCTTCACGTTCTCGTCAGGGCACTCAAGCCTCAGCACACTCTGTGAGAGCGTGTTGAGAGTGGAGAGCTGAGAGAGGAGACCTAGTGGGTGGTGAGGGCCTGGGCTTGGTCAAAGGAGGAACGGTTGGAAAAACAGATTTTTAGGTGCAAGGAGGGAAGAGTTGCGGAGAGGACCTGAATGCTGCTTTTACATAAGAGGGAAAGGATTGATGAGACCTCAGAGGCAAAGCTAAAGCTACTGGGTAGCAATTCTCTGGAAAAAGACACCACACTTTTAATCGATGGGCAGTAGAGTCCCTGTTACAGGTCAGGTTTGGAAAGCGGTGGTGCTTCCACTGGTGGGTGATGTTGTGGTTCAGCCTTGGACTCAGAGAAGCTGACGCTCTGCTGTGCCTCTTCCTTGACATTTAAGGGATTTGTGGCCTCCTGCCACCAAGTGTTCCCAGGCCTGTTATTCGGGCTTTGTGCACTTTACACTTTTGTGCACAAACATTGCTTTGAGCATGGTAAAACATTAGCTATTATATGTAGTTTTTTAAAGGTCTTGAGATGGGTCAGGCATGGTGGCTCATGCCTGTATTCCCAGCACTTTAGGAGGCTGAGGCCAGTGGATTGCTTGAGCCCAGGAGTTTCACCACCCTGGGCAACATGATGAAACCCCATCTCTACAAAAAATACAAAAATTAGCTGGGTGTGGTGGTGCATGCCTGTAGTCCCAGCTACTAGGGAGGCTGAAGTGGGAGGATTGACTGAGCCCATGAGGTGGAGGCTGCAGTGAGCTGTGAGCACACCACTGCAGTCCAGCCTGGGCAGCAGAGTGAGACCCTGTCTCCAAAAAATAAAATAAAATAAAATAAAATAAGATAAGATAAAATAAAATAAATAGGTCTTGAGACCTCTCCCCTGTCCTTTCCATTCCTATCCCCAAGCTAGCCATTGGAGACTCTCTGGTCTAAGAGAGAGGGACATCTTTGAACCAATAAATTCACTGGCGAAGTTGGCAAATTTATTTATTGAGTGCCTACTCTGGATTTATTTCTTTAGGTGCTGGATATACCAGGCTGAACGATATCACCATTGTCTTCCTACTCTGGAGCTGACATGCTCATAGGGAAGACAGACCAAACAAACACCACAACCCCTTTCCCTGCCCCCCTACCATTGAAAACAAATAAATGAAATACCTACAAGTTATTTGTTTTCACACGCTGATCCCAAGATCCACATCCTTATCCATGACTCCTTCATTCGGTGAATGTTTAATGATCACCTCTGTTTAAAAGCAACCCCGTTGTGCAGGAGCCACCATCTTACTGATCCTCAAGTTCCTGAAGTTCATCCTGGCAGCAGGACTTTCTTATCATCTGATGCCCGAAGAGGGAGAAGGGACGGTCTCTCCTTCCAGGCTGGCGCTGGCTTCAGGAGGCCAGGCTGGCGGGCTGAGCCATTGTCGCTCTGTGAAACACATAGCTCCCTCCATAAACTTGCGTGATGTCAACCACCAGACTCATGTCTTGATTCCCTCTGGATTGGCTCTATCTTGCTGCAAAGCAATTATTTTAGTGTCTAGTCAATTCCTGTAAGATCATGCAGGAAGCTCAGCGCTCAGGCCCAAAGAAGGCATACAAGAAGAGAAAGAAATCTGACTGCCAGGAAGAATTGGGGCTGCTTATCATGTGGATGTCTTATCACTTTCTCTGTTTTCATGACTTAAGAACCCTGGGGGGCCAGGGGCTCAATGCCTGTAATCTCAGCACTTTTGGAGGCTGAGGAGGGGTGGATTGCTTGAGGCCAGGAGTTCAAGACCAGCCTGGCCAACATGGCAAAACCCCGTCTCTACAAAAAATACGAAAAGAAATTAGCCGGGCGTGGTGGTGTGTGCCTGTAGTCCCAGCTACTCGGGTGGCTGAGGCAGGAGAATTGCTTGAACCCGGGATGCGGGGTTGCAGTGAGCCAAGACTGCACCGCTGCTCTCCAGCCTGGGCAACAGAGTGAGACTCTGCCTCAGAAAATAAAAATAAAAATAAAAAAAGGACCCTGGGGTCCTAGGTACAACAGAGAGGCTGGTTTCTGATTCCCAGGCCCTAACAGATGCTCTGTGTCAGTTCATTGTCATGGGTGGAAGCCACCCTCTTCCAGCAGTGCACAGCTGTGGTCCAGATGTCAAACTTAGCCCAGCCACTTATCCCATATTTTGTTTTAGACATGCTGGAATTGGAGAGGAGCATCGATTAGTTGGAGAGAATGCAGAAAGAAGCCACCGTGATGAGAGCATTAGGAAATGGGACTACCTACCGTAGGGTCAGAGGAAGAGCCAAGTGGGGGAAAATAAATCTGAGAAAAGGCCGATTAATGATCTTTGAGTACGGAACACACTATCATGTAGATAGCTGCAATGTGGCCTTGTTGAGAAGGTTTAAACTGTATCACAAAAGAGTTAGGTTAGGTGAGGCAAAGTTACACAGTAGAATTCCACATTTTATGGAACCTAAGACTCTGCCAACCCAAGGATGCAGTATTTTGTGAACCGTCAAGAAAGAAAAAGTGTATAGTTCAAAACTCGAATACTTGCTTATACTTAGAATATTTAATTTTTACTTATTAAAAGAGCTCTTTTATGGTCAGATGTAGTGGCTCACACCTGTAATCCCAGCAGTTTGGGAGGCCGAGGCAGGCGGATCACTGGAGGTCAGGAGTTTGAGACAAGCCTGGCTAACGTGATGAAACCCCATCTGTACAAAAACTAGCCAGGCATGGTGCTGGGTGCCTGTAATCCCAGCTACTCAGGGGGCTGAGGCAGGAGAATCACTTGAACCCAGGAGGCAGAGGTTGCAGTGAGCTGAGATCATGCTGCCGCACTCCAGCCTGGGTAACAGAGCGAGACACTGTCTCAAAAAAAAAAAAAAAGAAATTTTTAGACTTAGTTTTATTATGTGCTGTGCATACTCATGAAGAAAACTATACATCTATGCATACATATAAATATACATTTTGCATGCATATAAAGGAAATATAATATTTAGAAGAGGAATCGCTTCCTCAAACTTTCTCATATTTGAGTCTGATGCTTCTCTATCACTTTTCAAGTCAGAGTACTTGAGATAGTATTTTTTCATATATTATCGTCTTTGTCTACAGTATCCATGATGTAACATTTCTTAAAAGATTCCTTAAAAGAACTAAAGGCCATTGTTGCTAATAATTGTTGCTAATATCGATTTAAGCCAAGTTCGTTGATTTAAGTCAAATATGTAGAGCAGCACTTCTCATCTCGAGCCTACATCGGAACATCCTGGAGGGCCTGAGACACAGATTGCTGGACCAGTTCCAGAAATTTATTTTCTTTCTTTCTTTCTCTTTCTTTCTTTCTCTTTCTTTCTTTCTTTCTTTCTTTCTTTCTTTCTTTCTTTCTTTCTTTCTCTCTCTCTCTTTCTCTCTCTTTCTTTCTTTCTTTCTCTTTTCTTTCTTTCTCTTTTCTTTTTCTTTCTCTCTTTCTCTTTCTCTTCTCTCTCTCTCTCTCTTTGTCTCTTTCTCTCTGTTTGTCTCTTTCTCTCTCTCTGTCTCTTCCTCTCTCTCTTTGTCTCTTTCTCTCTCTTTCTGTCTCTTTCTCTCTCTTTCTCTGTCTCTTTCTCTGTCTCTCTTTGTCTCTTTCTCAGACAGAGTCTTTCTCTGTTGCCCAGGCTGGAGTGCAGTGGTGCGACCTTGGCTCAGTGCAACCTCTGCCTCCCGGGTTCAAGCAATTCTCCCACCTCAGCCTCCTGAATAGCTGGGATAACAGGCACCCGCCATCATACCTGGCTAATTTTTGTATTTTTGTAGAGGCGAGGTTTCACCATTTTGGCCAGGCTGGTCTCAAACTCCCGACCTCAAGTGATCCGCCCGCCTTGGCCTCACAAACTGCTGGGATTACAGGCGTGAGCCACGGCGCTGGGCCCACTCCCAGAGATTCTGACTCAGTAGGTCTGGCATGGAGCTCGAGAATGTGCATTTATTTCCTGCCAGCTGCCAGGTGATGCTGATGTTGCTGGTCCAGGCACCACTCTCTGAGTAGTACTCATGCAGAGTAGGGTTGGCCCACTCTGCGCCTTCAGGAATGTTTCTGAAGACATCCAATTCCCTGCCTCCTTGCCCGTTCTCTATGACCATCAGTCTTTTATGGGCCAAAAGGGCACTCCTCTTGGATTTCCCTCCAAACCTTCTGGACTATCCTGAGAGTTTTTTGCAGGTGCTTTTGACATTGGCGCGTCGTCAGGCCCTGATGGCTGCATCCCACCTTATACCTGTCTGATGGCCATTGTCCTATTGCTGTAAGATGAATCCAGATTTCCAAGATGCTGAACTGGGGGTGGGAGCAGGGAGGAGAAAGTGCATCTTAAAATTGACAAATGGAGTAGTTAACCTCCTTTACATGCCTTGAGGAAGGGTGTGGCCCAGGCCAGCCCGGAGGCAGAGATGGGAATGGTTTCTCAGTCCATAAGCCTCCTGGGGCTACCCAGACACTAAACAGCACCTGCTCACAGCAGGGACCAGCTCTGCAAGTGCCCCATCTGGTATGGCCTTCTGCCTCATGTGATGATGGTGGGGGACTGAGCCAGATGGTTCACTCTGGTGATTCTAACGTCAACTACTCAGTCTTTTTTTTTTTTTTTTTTTTTTAACAATGCTGCTAGGAAACCTCTAATATCGTTCAGCATGGCACACTAATAAAACGGCAAAAGGTCTTTCTTGCACTCTGTGGCTGAAATAACAAAGAGCAGCTGTAAGTGGTGGGGCAGACGGCTTGAGCCCTGGCAACTGGGGACTGCTTGTCTTCATTAGTGTCACTGGCAGACAGCTTCCCCTTCGACATGGGGTGGGCCTGCAGGTCACCCAGCTGGTTCTCTCCAGAAGCCTGTTGGGTATCAGTGTGGCCTTGTTTTCAGGGTTTTTTTTTTTTTTCTTTTTTTTGGACAGGGCCTCGCTCTGTCACCCAAGCTGGAGTGCAGTGGTGTGACCTCAGCTCACTGCAGCCTCCACCTCCAGGGATCAAGCGATTCTCCTGCCACAGCCTGTTGAGTAGCTGGGACCACACGTGTGTGCCACCACGCCCGGCTAATTTTCTAATTTTATGTAGAGACAGGGTTTCCCTATGTTGCCCAGACTGGTTTCAAACTCCTGGGCTCAAGCGATCCTCCCTCTTTGGCCTCCCAAAGTGCTAGGATTACAGACGTGAGCCACCGTGCCATGCCGAACATAGTTTTCAAGACTTTAACAAACTCCTGGCAAGCACAAGCTCCCTCATGTCTGCTTTTGGCTCTTATTTCCATGAGCATGTCTTCTTTGTCTAAGCCAGTGGTTCTTGACTGGGGGCTGTTTGGCCCCTTAGGAGACATCGGGCAATGTCTGGAGACATTTTTGGCTGTCACAACTGGGAGGAGGTGCAATAACAGGTGCATCTAGTAGGCAGAGGCCAGGGATGCTGCCAAACATCCTACCATGCACAGGACAGCCCCACAGCAAGGAATGTGCCGCGCAGAATGCCAGTGGCGCTCAGGTTGAGAAATCCTGGCAAAGCAACCACTAGAGTCAAAATGTTCTGGACTGCTGCATTCTGTTTCTTGAAATCTGGAGAAGAGAATGAAGAGAGGAAACAAAATCACTCTTTAGCCTTCTTGCAGTGTGGTGTTGTAAATGGTCATAAAAAGCTATAATTCACTTGGCACCAATTTTGGATGGTTTCTTCTGATATTGAAACAGTCAAAATAAAATAGCACATGCACAGACTCATGGATGCTGAAGGAACAAATTTTATCTAATAACCCTATGTTCCTCACACCCGATGGGCACAGGTCCCCAGGAATCAGGTTGAAATGTGGGTTCTCATTCATCAGATCAAGGTGGGGCTTGAGATTTGAGATTCTACATCTTTTTTTTTTTTTTGAGACAGAGTCTCACTCTGCTGCCCAGACTGGAGTGCAGTGGTGCAATTTTGGCTCACTGCAACCTCTGCCCCCTAGGTTTAAGCAATTCTCCTGCCTCAGCCTCCTGAGTAGCTGGGGTTACAGGCTCCTGCCACCACACCTGGTTAATTTTTGTAGTTTTAGTAGAGATGAGGTTTCACCATGTTGGCCAGACCAGTCTCGAACTCCTGATCTCAAGTGATCAACCCACCTCAGCCTCCCAAAGCACTGGGATTATACGCGCAAGCCACTACACCTAGCCGAGATTCTGCATCTTTTTTTTTTTTTTTTTTTTTTTTTTGAGACAGGGTCTTGCTCTGTTGCCCAGGCTAGAGTGCAGTGACGTGATCATAGCTCACTGAAACCTCCGCCTCCCAGGCTCAAGCAATCCTTTTACCTCAGCCTCCGAAAGTGCTGGGATTATAAGCATGAGCCATTACACCCTGCTAGATTTTGCATCTTTAACAGGCTCCTTCGTGGTGCCTACCTTGCAAGCCCAGGGACTACACATTGAGTAGCAAGGTAGTAACCTGAGCTTTGGCTTTCTTTCGTGTGCAATGTGGTGTAGAGTGACCACCTCATTTTTGTTTGCCCAGGACTGTTCCAGTTAACACCAAAAGTCCCACATCCCTGGAAACCCCTCAGTCCTGAGTAAACCAGAACAGATGGTTACCCTATCAAGCCCCACAGTATCCCCAGGGGGCCAGGTAAGATTGGACCTAGTGAGCTTCTTTTCATAAGAAAGGCTCTGAGACCTGGTGCAGTGGAAACTCAAAGATGTTTGATTGACTCAGTTATAGTAAGTTTCTGTCCTATTCTGGGAATGAAAACAGGTATGATGTTATGTACTCCACTGCCTAACATTGGGGCACATTTTCTGTCACCAGGAGGGTAGTGCTTCTTGTCTTCCACCTGTGATTTGCATTCTCCACCAACAGATTTCTCAACTCCAGTCTTTTTTTTTTTTTTTTTTTGAGACAGAGTCTCGCTCTGTCATCCAGGCTGGAGTGCAATGGCGTGATCTCGGCTCACTGCAACCTCCAACTCCTGGGTTCAAGCAATTCTCCTGTCTCAGCCTCTCGAGTAGCTGGGATTACAGGCACATGTCACCAATACAAAAAATTTTCGTATTTTTAGTAGAGACAGGATTTCACTGTATTGGTCAGGCTGGTCTGGAACTCCTGACCTCAGGTGATCCACCCACCCTCGGCCTCCCAAAGTGCTGGGATTACAGGCGTGAGCCACCCCACCCAGCCTCAGCTCCAATCTTTTCTTGCCCCCATCCCTGTTGCCCACTGTGTCCAGATTCTTCCCCAACCCCTCCTTTGAGCAGGCCACACCCCTGCCCTAAAACTTTCATTATTTTCAGACTAATATAGTTCCCGAGGTTTTTATCCTTAAGGAAGTAAGTTTTGTGGTGGGTAGAAAAAAGTAAGAGATATTTTTAACTCTTCGGTAACTGATATTCTCTCAAGGGTGAGAAATATACATAAATCTTTTTTTAAAAAAGTTTCAAGATTTTATGTAATTCAGGGCTACAATGTTAGATCCATAGGGTCTGCGTGGATGTGGATTTGCAGGTGAATTAGAGTAGAATCAGTAGGCATGCTCTCTAAAACTCCTTTCTACATGGCTTGGCCAGTTTCCATGTGGTTGGCCAAACACTCCTGGTTAATTCCTATTTCCTTGTTTTGGAGACAGAGTCTTGCTCTGTTGCCCAGGCTGGAGAAAGGTGGCATGATCTCAGCTCACTGCAACCTCCACCTCCTGGGTTCAAGCAATTCCTGTGTCTCAGCCTCCCCAGTAGCTGAGATTACAGGCACATGCCACCATGCCCAGCTTATTTTTTATAGTTTTAGAAGAGACGGGGTTTCACCATGTTGCCCAGACTGGTTTTGACCTCCTGAGCTCAGGCAATCTGCCTGTCTCAGCCTCCCAAAGCACTAGGATTATAGGCGTGAGCCACCATGCCCGGTCCACTCCTGGTTAATTTCTTTTGCTTGTTTTTTTTTTTTTTTTCACTCCTGGTTAATTTCTACCTCTTTCAGCCTACCCACATCCTTCACATCCTGTAAGGATCTTGCCCTCACTCCACCAGTCCCCCTCGCTATTTCAGCACAGTAACCAAAATCCTGCCCAGCAAAGGCTCAAAGATGGGAAGCCTCTTCAAGAGAAGAGAATGAATAAGCATTAGGGAGAGGAGATCATCTCAGGGTGAGCACCCACTAGACCCACTAGGTCTCCTGCCAGCCTAATCACCCAATGTCTCTCCAGCCTCCTAGAACAGCAGCTGCACTTACTTTCTTGATTAATTTTGGACTTTGATGTTGTTGTGAGATCATGTACCAGAAGTCTTGCCTAAGAGTGTGCCCTGTAAAAATTAATTGTCTTAAAAAAAAAGTGAGTCACCGTTCATTTATTTGACAAATGCGTATTAAGTGTCTTCTCTCTTCACCAGAGGGATAATATACATACATTGTATTCCTCTTTAGGGCTGAGAAACCTTATCAGTATATGTATTAGTTCGTTCTCACACTGCTATAAAACACTACCTGAGACTGAGTAATTTATGAAGAAAAGAGGTTTAATTGACTCACAGTCCATAGGCTTAACAGGAAGCATGGCTGTGAGGCCTCAGGAAACTTACAATCATGGCGGAAGGCAAAGGGGAAGCAAGCACCTTCTTCACATGGCAGCAGGAGAGAGACTGAAGTGGGAGGTGCTATACTCCGTCAACCAACCAGATCTCATGAGAACAGCAAGGGAGAAGGCTGCCCCCTTGATCCAAAAACTTTCCACCAGGCTCCTCCATCAACACGTGGGGATTACAATTTGACATGAGATTTGAGTTGGGACACAGAGCCAAACCGTATCAGTATGTATGTTAGAACAGCAATGGACAAGGATTGGGAGCTGCTTATGTAGTTAACTGTTTTGCGAGGACATATTTACATTATTGTTTTCCTTGTTTCTCAAAGCCAAGGACAGTGTGTGTCATTTATTCTTTACCCCCTGCAGCAGTGACTTCCAACTTTGGGTTCCTAAGCTTGATGGGGCTGCTGGCATCACATCGATCAATTATTAATATTTCCAAATGCTGAATGAAGCAAAGGCAAATGATAATTCGGTTTCTTTACTTTTGGCTGGAGTGACAGCCTCGCAGTTTTGGAGCCCTGGTATTTCATACTGATCTGAAGCTCTGGTAGCTATATCAGTGTTTTTGATAAATATAAGATGGGGAAAAGAATGAATTATTTGCTAATACAATTTACTTGACTAACCATTTTTTGAGGGGTGTATTAGTTTGTTTTCTGTTGCTTATAACAGTACCAGAAACTGAGTAATTTATAAAGAAAAGAAATTTATTCCTTATAGTTACGGAGGCTGAGAAAACCAAGGTCAAGGGGCTGCACCTGGTGAGGGCCTTCTTGCTGGTGGGGACTCTGCAGAGTCTTGAAGTGGAGCAGGGTATTAAATGGCTGGGGGCTGGGTGTGCTAGCTCAAATCTCTTCCTCTTCTCATAAAACCACCAGTTCCCCTCCCATGATAACCCATTAATCTATGAATCCCTCATGATCCAGTCAACTTTTTGTTTTTTGTTGAGATAGGGTCTCATTCTGTGCCCAGGCTGGCATGCAGTGGCACGATCTTGGCTCGCTGTAGCCTCAACCTCCTGGGCTCAAGCCATCATCCAATCTCAGCCTCCCAAGTAGCTGGAACTACAGGCGCGTGCCACCATGCCCGACAAATTTTTGTATTTTTTGTAGACACAGGGTTTTGCCATGTTGCTCAGACTGGTTTCAAATTCCTGGGCTGAAGCAATCCTTCTGCCTTGGCCTCCCAAAGTGCTGGAATTATAAGCATGAGCCACCATGCCCAGCCCCAATCAACTTTTAAAGGCCCCACTTCTCAATACTGGTACATTGGGGATTAAGTTACAACATGAGTTTTGGAGGGGATATTAAAACCATAGCAGTGGAGTTAGAGCAATAATAATAGCTGGCCTACATGCTAGGTAATCAATGCTTGTTAAAATTAATACAAAATGAATTTTGGTATTAAAATGGACTAGAAGGTACTTGCCCACTATGGCTATAGAAAATTCTGGAAGAACTTAGCATAGCCTTCTCAACCTCAGAAGCAGGCACCTTGGCAGACAACATTCTAATGTCCAAGTGCCAGGTGGCTCCCTGATGGCAGCTTTGGGTACATGTCAGGGGCCCTGTGGAAAGTCCCACTTTCTATCCTTTTCTGGGGCTGTAGGGAGGGAAAACGGAGCCTTTGGCTTAGACACTTTGCCCTGAACCTATGGTTTCCTGGGAGCATCCAGGTAGCATTTAGGAAGGCAGAGGGATGGAGTCTCTGGTGGGTGGTGAAAGTCCACGGGTCTGTAGGCCCCGCATGGTTCAGATGTTCTGTCAAAGCCCAGGCCTCGCCAACCATCTGCCTGTGAAACTGATAGGGAAGAGACATGAATCGCAGAGTGAGAGGCTGGCATGGTGGTGAAGGCAGGCCCCAGGGGCTTGGAGGAGGACCCTGTGCTTGTAGGAAGAAGGGTAGGAGGGAGGAAGGGAGAAAGCTTCCTTAGGCCTTTGGTTCTCATCACATGGAGACAACCTCATTCTGCAGCTGGCCTGTTGAAGAGCTAATGAGGTGAAGAAAATTCTTGGGAAACGATGGATTAAAACAAATCGTGGAAACTTTCAATTGCAACTGGCTTTCCAAAGAGTTGGGTGTTTTAAACATCTAGGTGGCCGTGGATATAAACACAGGGTTTATTTTATTGTTTGAGAGTCTTGTGTTGAAAATTAGGAGCCCTGGGTTTCGTGACTGTGTTTTGATACCTACTTTAGGTCTTATTGTTTAAGCTCAATGAGCCTTACTTTCTGTATGCAACCTTTTTTTATACCTTATTAAAATATATTTAAATTATAAAAGGAAGATAACATTACAGAAAGAGGAGGAAAACCTATGCTCTTATCACCGAATGCCCCAACTACTTTAAATTATTAGGAATTATCTGCCAGTCTTCTGTGATTTGCATATTACTTTTTTTTTTTTTTTTTACCATTGCAAGGACAAGTAGCATATATTTTTGAATCCTGCTTTTTTCACAAGCTTGATATCATAAATATTTCCTATAGTCCTATGATGTTTATCATTTAGCAAATGGCATAAAAGTCCACTGCACTTATGCTCTGTAGTTTATTTAACCTTTTGTTGAGCATTAAGATGATCAGTATCTTTTTTCCCCTTATATTTTGAATAGTTTTATTAAGCAAGTTCCTGGGAAATCATATTGATGGGTCAACACCCAACCTACTCTAGTGGGAGTGGAAGGCACAGGGCAATTTGTAGGGTGCCATCATTTAATTAGACAAATGATTTTTTGAGTGCCTTTAATGTGTGAGGCTTTCTGTGTGGGTTATTATCTGTTACAGGGTCCGACTGAGGTTTCCTGAGTATGTGGTGAAGCCTTGCTGATTAGGATGACTTTAGGTAAAAGACCAATGTGAGTCTGTAAAGTCTCAGTGACATATTATTTTAAAATAATCGTAGAAGTCTCACCATGAAAATAGCTATAGTATTCACACCTCTCTCTCTCGATGTCTCAAGACCTGGGCAGAGAACGTCAGTTGTTTGTCGGAGGATGTACCTGGGAAGTCCTCGAAGCATATTTTTTTTTTTTTTTTTGAGTTGGAGTCTCGCTCTGTCGCCCAGGCTGGAGTGCAGTGGCGCGATCTCGGCTCACTGCAACCTCCGCCTCCTGGGTTCACGCCATTCTCCTGCCTCAGCCTCCCGAGTAGCTGGGACTACAGGTGCCCACCACCATGCCTGGCTAATTTTTTGTATTTTTAGTAGCGATGGGGTTTCACCGTGTTAGCCAAGATGGTCTCGATCTCCTGACCTTGTGATCTGCCCGCCTCGGCCTCCCAAAGTGCTGGGATTACAGGCGTGAGCCACCGCGCCCGGCCTGTCCTTGAAGCATTTTTATTAGCTTTGGTATTCTGACTTGTTTCCCTGTAGTTTTGCTTATAATAATCATTTTCGTGGTTGAGCTGCAAAGCTACGACTCAAATCTGACAGCCTAGGGTGATTAGGGGCTCACCAGTGTGTGGAACGTGGGAGAATGGGGCCAAGGCGAGATCTGGGTGCTTCCATCTGTGAAGTGAGGGGCTTGGACCAGATGCTCTTGGAGGTTCTTCCCAGCACTAAATTCCCCGGTGGAAGTGACAGTGACCTTTAGCATTGGATTAGTTTGCTAGGGTTGCCTTAGCGAAGTGCTATAGGCAAGGTGACTTAGACAACGGACAATTTATTGTCTCTCATGTGATTCAGGAGGCCAGAAGTCAGAAACCAAGGTGTCATGGGGGTTGCTTCCTCCTGAGGACTGTGAGGGCTGTGAGGGAAGGATCTGTCCAGGCTTCTCTTTTTTTTTTTTTTTTGAAATAGGGTCTTACTCTGTCACTCAGGCTGGAGTGCAGTGGCACAATCGTGGCTCACTACAGCCTCCTTCTCCTGAGGCTCAAGTGATCCTCCTACCTCAGCCTCCTGAGTGCACCACTACGCCCAGCTAATTTTTTTGATTTTTTTTTTTTTTAGTAGAGATGGGATCTTGCTATATTGCTCAGGCTGGTCTTGAAGTCCTGGACTCAAAGATCCTCCCACCTCAGCTTCCTAAAGTGCTGGAATTACAGGTATGAGCTACCGTGCCTGGCTTTTCTCCTTGGCTAGTGGATGGCCATTTTCTTCCTCTGTCTCTTCATACTGTCTTCTCTTAATGCGTATCTGTGTCCAAATTTCATCTCTTTTTTTTTTTTTTTTTTTTTTTGAGACACAATCTCGCTCTATCACCCAGGCTGGAGTCCAGTGGTGCAATCTCTGCTCTCTGCAACCTCCGCCTCCCGGGTTCACACCATTCTCCTGCCTCAGCCTCCCAAAGTAGCTGGGACTACAGGCGCCCACCACCACGCCTGGCTAATTTTTTGTATTTTTAATAGAGACGTGGTTTCACCGTGTTAGCCAGGATGGTCTCGATCTCCTGATCTCATGATCTGCCCACCTCGGCCTCCCAAAGTGCTGCGATTACAGGCTTGAGCCACTGCGCCAGGCCCCAAATTTCATCTTTTTTTTTTTTTTAAGGAAACCAGTCATATTGGATTAGGGCCTACCCTAATGACCTCACCTTAATTTGATTACCTCTGTAAAGATCCTCTCTCCAAATAATCACAGTCAGAGGGACTGGGGGTTAGGACTTCATCAAACAAATTTTGGGTTGGGGGTACACAACGTAACCCATAACAAGCTCACTGCAAACTGATGCATGGTCACAAGACTGGAAGCTGAATTAGGAGCTCTGGCTGTTTTTCTGTGAGGTTGAGATAGTCCCCATTAGCACAGGGAGGTGGTTTTTGTTTGTTTGTATTTAAATTGTTTTTGTTTATTTTGGAACAGAGTCTCATTCTGTCGCCCTGGCTGGAGTGCAGTGGCACGATCTCGGCTCACTGCAACCTCTGCCTCCCAGCAACCTCTGCCTCCCAGATTCAAACGATTCTCCTTCCTCAGCCTCCCTAGTAGCTGGAACAACAGCTGCCTGCCACCACACCTGGCTAATTTTTGTATTTTTGGTAGAGACAGGCTTTTACCATGTTAGCCAGGCTGGTCTCGAACTCCTGACCTCTGGTGATCTGCCTGCCTTGGCCTCCCAAAGTGCTGGGATTACAGGCGTGAGCCATCGTGCCTGGCCTGTATTTAAAATTAAGGATACAACAGAATGCCTTAAACTGGATGAGGCCTTGGTTCCAAATTCACAGCTGTGCTCTTCCAGTCTGGGACCTGGCACTGTTTTACTGAGGCAGTAAATCAGAAACTCAGAGCCTTCACTGAGAAAGGGACCTTGGACCTTCCCTGGTCCAACTCTTCTATTTCTCAGGACCAGAGAGGAGAAGGTTGCCCAGCGAGTTACTGGCAAAATCTGGGCTTAAACTGCCATGCCCTGGTCTCTTGTCACATGCCTGTGTGCTTCTGCCTTTATGCCTTTCTGTCGCTGCTGCTGCTGCCCTAGGGAAGAAGCCAGCAGGTCCTAGAGTCTGAGGCATCCACGGCCTAAGTGAGGAATACCTCCCTGAATGCCCACATGAGTGCTGTCGTTGACAAACCCACAGACCTAAACGAAGGTTTTGCTGAGCAAGAACTCAGGCTTCTGAGAAGGCTTTTCGGCTAAGAGAGATTTTACTATTTTTGTTTGTTTGTTTGCTTCTTTTGAGACAGGATCTCTTTCTGTCACCCAGGCTGGAGTGCAGTGGCAAGATGTTTGCTCACTCTGCCTCCTGGGCTTAAGCAATCTTCCTGCCTCAGCCTCCTGAGTAGCTGGGATTACAGGCACACGCCACCACGCCCAGCTAATTTTTGTATTTTTAGTAGAGACGGAGTTTCACCATGTTGGCCAGGGTGTGGTCTGGAACACCTGACCTCAAGTGATTTGCCCGCCTTGTCTTCCCAAAGTACTGGGATTACAGGTGTGAGCCACCTCGCCTGACCTATTTCACTATTTTTAAATTCACCTTCCATAAAAGTTTTTTGGGAAAAATTTAAAATGATGCATTTCAGGATAAGTTATCCTCCAGTGATTTGTCATGGCAGGGGATGGGGATGGGAGGTGGAGGGGTGGGCATGAAGGAGACAGGCAGAAAGGCTGGCGGGAAAATAGAAAGTAAGCTCATTCAGGACAATGGAGCTCCTACGTGGCTGTCGGGAGATTCATGCACCTGTCTACCTGTGCAGCCTTCCTCCTGATGCAGAAGGGTGGGGGAGAGTATGTCATGGACTCTTTTGCTCAGGGCAGTCCCTGGTGCTTGGGGGACTTCCTTGCTGGCCTTGTGGTAGAAATGGTAAAGTCAGGGTGTCATCCTTTCCTAGGCCTGCCATAAGAAAAATACTACAACATTGTCCAGGTGCAGTGCCTCACACCTGTAATCCCAGCACTTTGGGAGGCCAAGGTGGGTGGATCACTTGAGGTCAGGAGTTCAAGACCAGCCTGGCCAACATGGTGAAACCCCATCTCTACTAAAAATACAAAAAATCTGCCATGCGTGGTAGCGTACGCCTGTAATCCCAGCTACTCTGGAGGCTGAGGCAGGAGAATCACTTGAACCCAGCAGGTGGAGGCTGCAGTGAGCCGATATCGCGCCACTGCACTCCAGGCTGGGTGACACAGAGAGACTCAGTCTTAAACAAAACAAAACAAAACAAAACAAAACCCATACAAAATACTACAAAACACCACAAACTGGGTGGCTCAAAGCTACAGAAATTTATTCTCTTACAGCTCTGGAGGCCAGAAGTCTAAAATCAAGGTGTTGTCAGGGTCGTGGTCTCTCTGAAGGCTTCAGGGGAGGATCCTTCCTTGCCTCTTCTGGCTTCTGGCGGCTCCGAGCGTTCCTTGGCTTGTGGCTGCTTCACTCCAATCTCTATTTCTACGTTCCCATGGCCTTTTCTTCTTCTCTGTGTCCCTGATTTCTCCCCTTTGGTCTCTTACAAGCACATATGTCATTGAATTTAGGATTTAGCTGGTTAATCTGGATGATCCCATAAGATTTTTTTTTTTTTTTTTTGACACGGAGTCTCACTCTGTCGCCCAGACTGGAGTGCAATGGCACAATCTCAGCTCACTGCAACCTCTGCCTCCTGGATTCAAATGATTCTTCTGCCTCAGTCTCCCGACTAGCTGGGATTACAGGCGCCCGCCACCATGCCCGAGAGATTTTTGTATTTTTAGTAGAGACGGAGTTTTACCATGTTGGCCAGGCTGGTCTTGAACTCCTGGCCTGAAGTGATCCGCCCGCTTCAGCCTCCCAAAGTGCTGGGATTACAGGCATGAGCCACCACGCCCGGCCCCATCTCAAGATTTTTAATTACATCTGCAAAGACTTTTTATGAATACAACGTTACATGCACAGGCACAGCGACTGGGATTTGAATGTCTCTTTTTGGGGCCACTATTTAACCCCTATGCAGGTCTTCTCAAGTGACCTTGCACAGCGGCCATACGTTTCCACCCCCGGCCTTGTTCCCATCCAGAGCTGTCTGATGGGGTCTGGAGAACCTTGGGGTCTCTCTCGACTGTGGACAGTTGAGGGACCAGCTCCCACCTTGTTCTCCTCTGCATCTATGGGAGGTGCTCTTCACTCTTTTCCAGGAGTTCTCCTTCCCATCATCCCATCCTCTGAAGGCTCCTGGCTTGCTGGTCTCATCCCCCGGGGTGATGATAACAGCAAGAGACCACCCTCCTCCCTGGGAAGGCCCACCCTGCTTTTTCCCTGACCCTATCATCAGCCCTCCGTGAGCCTCAGCTAATTCACATGGGATGAGTTTTGTTTCTGCTCCCACTCTGAGAGAGGAATTAAGTTTCTTGGAATCCCGTTCCTTCCCCATTCCCTGGGGCCTTTTAGGCTCTGTATAGACCTCTAAAAAAACTCCTGCTTTTTGAGGACTCATCCCATATTGCAACAATCATATTAAAATGCTCCCCCATTCCACATTAAGTGCTTTTATTCCTTATGAAAGAATCAGAAAGATTTTTATAATTTTGCTTTTGAAAGTATTTGGCCCCTAAGCATATTTGATTTACGATTGACTGCGATTTCTTGGCCATCATTGTGCATACTTAGGAATTCTCTTGAAGTCAGAAAAGCTAAGCCTTAGATTGCTTTTTGAATGTAATTAATTTTTTTCTTTCTCTTTTTAATGACCCAGCAGCCAACAATGGGAATATAATTAAATTTTTTATGAATACCAAAGTCAATACTTAAAAGGTTTTATAGACATTTAGTTAAATATTATATTTAGATTTCTACAGTTTTTTTCCTTTTGAGCCAATATCTATTTTTTTAAATTCTTTTTTTAAAAATTAAATTTATTTGGCTGGGTGTGGTGGCTCACGCCTGTAATCCCAGCACTTTGGTAGGCTGAAGTGGGCAGATCACTTGAGGTCAGGAGTTTGAGACCAGCCTGGCCAACGTGATGAAACCTCGTCTCTACTAAAAATACAAAAATTAGCTGGGCGTGGTGGCGGGCACCTGTAGTCCCAGCTACTCGGGAGGCTGAGGCAGGAGAATCACTTGAACCTGGGAGGCGGAGGTTGCAGTGAGCCGAGATCGTGCCACTGCACTCCAGCCTGGGCGACGGAGTGAGACTCTGTCTCTGCAAAAAAAAAAAAAAAAAAAAAAAAAAAAAAAACCAACTTATTAATTCATTAATTTATTTTTAAGACAAGGTTTCACTCTATTGCAGAGATGTGATCGTAGCTCACTGCAGCCTCTATCTTTCTTTTTTTTTTTTTTTTTTGGTTTCACTCTTGTTGCCCAGGCTGGAGTGCAATGGCACAATCTTGGCTCACTGCAACCTCTGCCTCCTGGGTTCAAGTGATTCTCCTGCCATAGTCTCCCGAGTGCTGGGATTACAGGCATGCACCACCACACCCGGCTAATTTTGTATTTCTAGTAGAGATGGGTTTTCTCCATGTTGGTCAGGCTGGTCTTGAACTCCCGACCTCAGGTGATCTGCCCGCCTCGGCCTCCCAAAGTGCTGGTGCAGCCTCTATCTTTTGGGTTCAAGTGATCCTCCCACCTCAGCCTCTCAAGTAGCTTGGACTGCAGGTGTGCACCATCATACCAGGCTAATTTTTAAAATTTTTTGTAGATATGGGGTTTCACTGTTTTGCCCAGGCTGATCTTGAGCTCCTGGCTTCAAGCAATCCTCCCATCTCGGCATGTCAAAGCTCTGGGAATACAGACGTGAGCCACCAGGTCCATCCCACTTAAAAAAAAAAAATTAACCATTCCTCACACCTGAGAGCTTAGAGACCCCAGATAGTGGTCCACTAGTTTCTGATTGCTGAGAAGATGGTCTTACCTTCTTTCTTACCTAGCTTCTCATTTCCATTGGGAATTGAAATTTCTCCTTCTCAAATCCCAGGCTCCCCCGGCAGGATGTCCAATTCCCATTCCCAGGCTCCTGGGGTTTCTGCTGCTTCCCTCCCTGGACTGGCTTAGATCAGGACTTCCCGTTCTGGCTGTGGGTATTGCACTTTTTTGCATTTTGCTTTCCCTCCATCCAGAACTTCTACTTCTGAATCTCTCTGTGGCTTTTTTTTTTTTTTTCTGAATAATCAACCCTGGCTGATTTTCCCATTTTGACACTGTGGGCTTCATTCTGGGCCTGCCACATCAGCCCAGGGATGCGATGGGCTTCATAGACCTGTGGCTTGTGTGGTCACACAAGGCCCCATGTGCAGAAGGAACTGGGCTTGTTTAATGCTCTGCTGTCATGTCTTGAGATTGCTAATAATTTTATCTTTGAACTTGTGTTTTGTAAGCAAAGTTCAGTGAAACAATGGAGTCTCCACATTGCCAGGGGAGGGACATAGAAGAAAGGAAAAGCTTTATATTCTAGTTCCTTTAATGGCATTTTCCCCCCTGCTTTTTGAACCGGGGGCTTCCTATTTTCATTTTGCACCAGGTCCTGCAAATTATATAGTTGGTCCTACCTAGTCATGACAGTGAACGAGGACCCAGTATGGAACCTGGTGGTTCACAACATCACCGGAGAAGGGTGTCTGTGAAATGAGGTGTTTCCAGACAAAAGGAAGCGTGTTTTTCACGGCTGCTGTAACAGCTGATCCCAAACGTAGTAGCTTGAAACAGTACAAATTTATTATCTTACATAGTTCTGGAGGTCAGAAGTCCTAAACATCGAGGTGTCTCAAGGCTGCACTCCTTCTGGAGGCCTTAGGACAGAGCCCATTTCTTTGTCTTGTCCAGCCAACATTCCTTGGCTTTTGGCTGCATCACTCCAACCTCTGTTTCCCTTGTCGTTGAATCACCTCCTCTTAGTCTGACTCTGCAGTCTCCCTCTTTTTCTTTCTTTTTTTTTTTTTTGAGATAGAGTCTTGCGTGTTGCCCAGCCTGGAGCGTGGTGGTGCGACCTTGGCTCACTGCCATCTCTGCCTCCCAGTTTCCAGCGATTCTCGTGCCTCATCCTCCCAAGCAGCTGGGACTACAGGTGCATGCTACCATGCCCATCTAATTTTTTTTGTATTTTTAGTAGAGGCAGGGTTCACCATGTTGCCCAGGCTGGTCCCAAATTCCTGGCCTCAGGTGATCCACTGGCCTTAGCCTCCCAAAGTGCTGGGATTACCGCACTTAAGCCACCTCGCCTAGCCCTCTTTCTCCTTATAAGGACCCTTGTGACTGATTATGTGGGCCCACCCAGATAATCCAGGATGATCTCCTATCTCAAGAGGCTCAATCACATCAGCAAAGACCCTTTTGTCCTGTAAGGTGACATTTTCACGGGTTTCAGGGATTAGGACATGGACATCTTTAGGGGAAGGGAGGGGGTATGGTTCTGCCCAGCAGAGGAAGTTATTTGTTTTCCTTCTTAAATCTCTAAACATTCACCCAGGACACATCCAGGTTTTGTGGATTCTGAAACTTATACAATTTTGAAGGTCTTCTTTAAGAAAAAGTAAGAAATTTAGGTAGGAAAATGAATATTACTTTAGAATGAGAAAGAAATCACAAATACCTAGACTTTAGATTTAGGTCCTTTTCTTCTGAGATCTCTTTTGACAATTTATCAGCAGAGTTTACATTGATATGTAACTGGTCTCCTCCCCATCGGGAACACTCTCTGCTCACAGCAACCCACTTGCAAGTGAAGGCCCTGGGCCTGGCTGTGTTGAAACGCGTGAACGATTGTTCTCTCCTGTTGATTTGTCCTCACTAGCTAGAGTGACTCACTGGCTTCCAGCAGTGGAAGGCATGGATGTATTATGAGGAATAAGAAAAAAAGGAGAGAGGCAGTTTAATAATAAAATAGCTTTGATAATAAGCCTTAGTTTCTAATGCAGAATTGATCCAATTTCCGAAGCTTCTAGACTGGAAGCATCGTGAGGCCACGGTTGCATCTGCCTCGCCTCCTGGTGTGTACCCAGTGATCCAGACGTGCCTCTGACACAGGAGTGTGTGGTAAACATTTGCTGAGTGACTGAATGAATGAACAGATCATTTACATGATCCATGAAATTGTGAAAGAATAGCCTCAAAATAGAACTTAATTGTTTAGCAATTTCCCTTCGTAAGCGTATCAAAATGGCCTCCACAGAATTGCTTAATATGAGATGCCATTTGTTTGAAGCAACAAATGTAGAAATATGAGAAAAACTGATTTATGCCGATTATCATTTCAGAGACAGAGATGATTTCATATTCTGTCAGTGGTGGGGTTTTTTTTTGTGTAATAACTGGATATCTTATTAAGCTGGCAGTCAAGCAAGCTTGGTTTTGCATTTTCAATACCTGTCACAAGTCCAGGCGCGGTGGCTCACGCCTGTAATCCCAGCCCTTTGGGAGGCTAAGGTGGGAGGATCACCTGAGGTCAGGAGTTCAAGACCAGCCTGGCCAATATGGCGAAACCCTGTCTCTACTAAAAATACAAAAATTAGCCGGGCGTGGTGGCGTGCATCTGTAATCCCAGCTACTCGGTAGGCTGAGGCAGGGAGAATCGCTTGAACTCAGGAGGTGGAGGTTGCAGTGAGCAGAGATTGTGCCACTGCACTCCAGCCTGGGTGACAGAGTGAGACTCTGCCTCAAAAAAAAAAAAAAAAAAAAAAAAAAAACCTATCACAAAATCAGAAATGTTGCTCCTAACAATAGATGTGCGTAAAGTCAGTGAAACTGGCCAGTCACGGTGGCTCATGCCTGTAATTCCAGCACTTTGGGAGGCCGAGGTGGGCGGATCATGAGGTCAGGAGATCGAGACCATCCTGGCTAACATGGTAAAACCCTGTCTCTACTAAAAATACAAAAATTTAGCCAGGCGCAGTGGCGGGTGCCTGTGTCCCAGCTACTCGGGAGGCTGAGGCAGGAGAATGGCGTGAACCCAGGAGGTGGAGCTTGCAGTGAGCTGAGATAGCACCACTGAGGTCCAGCCTGGGCAAAAGAACGAGACTCCGTCTCAAAAAAAAAGAAAAAAGGCATCATGCTACCTGACTTCAGACTATACTACAAGGCTACAGTAACCAAAACAGCATGGTACTGGTACCAAAACAGAGATACAGACCAATGCAACAGAACACAGCCCTCAGAATTAATACCACACATCTATAACTATCTGATCTTTGACAAACCTGACAAAAACAAGAAATGGGGAAAGGATTCCCTATTTAACAAATGGTGCTGGGAAAACTGGCTAGCCATATGTAGAAAGCTGAAACTGGATCCCTTCCTTACACCTTATACAAAAATTAATTCAAGATGGATTAAAGACTTAAATGTTAGACCTAAAACCACAAAAACCCTAGAAGAAAACCCAGGCAATACCATTCAGGACATAGGCATGGGCAAGGACTTCATGTCTAAAACACCAAAAGCAATGACAACAAAAGCCAAAATTGACAAATAGGATCTAATTAAACTAAAGAGCTTCTGCACAGCAAAAGAAACTACCATCAGAGTCAACAGGCAACCTACAGAATGGGAGAAAATTTTTGCAATCTACTCATCTGACAAAGGGCTAATATCCAGAATCTACAAAGAACTCAAACAAATTTACAAGAAAAAACCAACCCCATCAAAAAGTGGGCAAAGGATATGAACAGACACTTCTCAAAAGAAGACATTTATGCAGCCAACAGACACATGAAAAAGTGCTCATCATCTCTGGCCATCAGAGAAATGAAAATCAAAACCACAATGAGATACCATCTCACACCAGTTAGAATGGCGATCATTAAAAAGTCAGGAAACAACATGTGCTGGAGAGGATGTGGAGAAATAGGAACACTTTTACATTGTTGGTGGGACTATAAACTAGTTCAACCATTGTGGAAGTCAGTGTGGCGATTCCTCAGGGATCTAGAACTAGAAATGCCATTTGACCCAGCCATCCCATTACTGGGTATATACCCAAAGGATTATAAATCATGTTGCTATAAAGACACATGCACACATATGTTTATTGCGGCACTAGTCACAATAGCAAAGACTTGGAGCCAACCCAAATGTCCAACAATCATAGACTGAATTAAGAAAATGTGGCACATATTCACCGTGGAATACTATGCAGCCATAAAAAGGATGAATTCATGTCCTTTGTAGGGACCTGGATGAAGCTGGAAACCATCATTCTCCTCAAACTATCACAAGGACAGAAAACCAAACACCGCATGTTCTCACTCATAGGTGGGAATTGAGCAATGAGAACACTTGGACACAGGAAGGGGAACATCACACACCGGGGCCTGTGGTGGGGTGGGGGGAGGGGGGAGGTATAGCATTAGGAGATATACCTAATGTAAAGGATGAATTAATGGGTGCAACACACCAACATGGCACATGTATACATATGTAACAAACCTGCACGTTGTACACATGTACCCTAGAACTTAAAGTATAATCATAATAAAAAATCAGTGAAAGCTTTACTGTTGTGCCTCCCTTGAGCCTGTGTGGTGCAGGTTTGGATTCGAACATTAGTCAAAGGTAAGGAGGGACTGAATTGGCAACTTGGTTTCTCCTTTAAGCCTCTAGGCAGCATTTCCTTGTACTAGGCCCAGAAAATGGTGCCAGGTGGCTGTTGGCTGCCCTGGATGGTGCTTACATAAGAGGCTGGTTAGAACTTCCTGTTCAGAGGCCGGGCACAGTGGCTCATGCCTATAATTCCAGCACTTTGGGAGGCCAAGGTGGGCAGATCACTTGAGGCCAGGAGTTCAAGACCAGCCTGATCAACATGGTGAAACCGCGTCTCTACTAAAAATACAAAACTTAGCCCAGTACGCTGGCGGGCACCTGTAATCCCAGCTACTCAGGAGACTGAGGCAGGAGAATCACTTGAACCTGGGGGATGGAGGCTGCAGTGAGCCAAGATTGTGCCACCGCACTCCAGCCTGGGTGACAGAGCGAGCCTCTGTCTAAAAAGAAAAAAAGATAAGACTTATGTGTCAGATTGACTTACTCTTTAAATAAATCTTGAACAGCTACTGTGTACCATGCACTGGGGATACAGTAATACAAAAGGCAGACGTGGTAGTGCTCTCATGGAACTTGCATTTGGGGAGACCAACCAAACAAACAAACAGGATTACCAGACATCAAGATGTGCCAGGAAGAAAATAAAGAATGGCTTGGATGATCTACATTAGATTGGATATTCCAGGAAGGCCTCTTGGAAAGGGTAGCATTGGAGCTGAGATCCAAATAACAGAGGACCCAGACAGATGAAAATTTGGGAGACAGAAAGAGGGTGCAGCAAGTGCAAAGGCCCTGAGGCAGGAGTGTGCTTGGTGTTCCAGGAGAAGGCAGATCAGCCTGGATGAAGCAGAGTGAGGAAGGGGTTCGGAGTGATTCTGGGTGTTCCTGAAGCCACCAGCGTTTACATCAAGGGCAGTGTGGAGCTCTCAGAGGGTTTGTCATAGTAGACTGGCATGACTGTATTTTTGTCTTTTTTTTTTTTGTTTGAGACAGAGTCATACTCTGTCACCTGGGCTGGAGTGCAGTGCCACGATCTTGACTGACTGCAACCTTCACCTCCCAGGTTCAAGCGATTCTCCTGCCTCAGCCTCGTAAGTAGCTGAGACTACAGGCATGCGCCACCATACCCGGCTAATTTTTGTATTTTTAGTAGAGATGGGGTTTCACCCCGTTGGCGAGGCTGGTCTCGAACTCCTGACCTCAAGGGATCCACTCGCCTTTGCCTTCCAAAGTGCTGGGATTACAGGTGTGAGCCACCGTGCCCAGCCTGTATTTTTTGTCTTTAAAACATCACTTTGGCTGCTGTGAAGAGTGGGAACTGTTTGGAGGGCACTGGGGGAATCAGGAACACCTATCAGGTGGTTAGGGCAGGATGATGAAGCAGAGTTGTTTGGGTACAGGTGACAGCGGTGGCGGTGGAGGGAAGGGGATGAATTCTGCATAGATGGGTGGAGGGTAATTTAAAAAATCCCCTGAACAAATAACAATAGGAAACCCCTTATATTTCTATAGCACGTCTATAAACTGCCTATTACTGTCACTGTTGGGTTCCCATCTGCAAATCTGAGAGCCAGTTCCTGCTGGGTTTATTATCTGCACTCTGCGGAAGGAAGGAACAGGCTGCCCCAGGCTCAGAGGCTCAGTCCTCACGCTGTGTCGGTGGTCAGCCTCCAGCACAGGGGAGGAAATGGCAGGCAAGCGAGGGCGGACAAGGCAGAGCCTCATCTGTTGAGTTGGCTGCCCTGTACCCGGCTCCAGCAAAGTGCACGACACAGGGTAAGCACTGAAGAAAGGTCTGCTGAGTCCATGAAGAACGAATAAGTGAAGGAGGAAGAGGGCTGATGGGTAATAATCGTTCAAGGGAGCCTGGATACGTGCTAGGCAGGGTGTTGGAGGCGTCACTCCAGGTCACAGTAACCTGGAGAGAGCACTGTGTTATTTATTCCCAGACTCAGGATGAGGAGAATGAAGCCGAGAGTACAACTGCCCAATGGGTTCACCTTGCCCACTGCTTAGACAGAGCCCATTTATTAAGACAGGGGAATTGCAATAGAGAAAGAGTAATTCATGCAGAGCAGGCTGTGCCCTGCTCTGTCCCACTGCCGTCTTCCAGGAGGAGGTGCCAGCATGGCATTTAGCCAGACCAAACTACAGCAATTGCTGTGGAAAAGGCCATCCACCCTCTTGTCCTGCAGTTCCTTTGCTGATGATCAGCATCAGTCAGGGTCCTCTGATGCATGGGAAGCAGTCCTCGTTGCCTGCAAAGCACCCTGCCACCGGAGTTTTATTGTTACTCAAATCAGTCTCCCAGAGCACTGGGGATCAGAGGTTTTTTGTTTGTTTGTTTTTTGATATGAAGTCTGGAGTGTAGTGGTGCGATCTTGGCTCACTGAAACCTCCACCTCCTGGGTTCAAGCGATTCTCCTGCCTCAGACTCCTGAGTAGCTGGGACTACAGGTGCACACCACTATCCCCGGCTAATTTTTGTATTTTTAGTAGAGACGGGGTTTCGCCATGTTGGCCAGGCTGGTCTCGAACTCCTGACCTCAGGTGATCTGCCCACCTCAGCCTCCCAAAGTGCTGGGATTAAGGTGTGAGCCACCATGCCCAGCCAAGATCAGAGTTTTTAAGGATAATTTGGTGAATGGGGAAGGCCATTCAGTTGAGAGTGCTGATTGATTGGTTTGGAGATGAAACTATAGGGAGTTGAAGCCGTCCTCTTGTGCGGAGTCAGTTCCTAGGTAGGGGCCACAAGATCACATAAACCAGTTTATCTATCTGGGTGGTGCCAACTGATCCGTCAAGTGCAGGTTCTGCAAAATATCTCAAGCACTGATCTTAGAAGCAGTTTAGGGAGGGTCAGAATCTTGTAGCCTCTAGCTGCATGATTCATAAACCATAATTTCTTTTTTCTTTTTTCTCTTTTTTTTTGAGGTGGAGTCTCACTCTTGCTCAGGCTGGAGTGCAGTGGTGTGATCTTGGCTTACTGCAGCCTCCACCTCCTGGGTTCAAGCGATTCTTGCATCTCAGCCTCCTGTGTAGCTGGGATTACAGGTGTGAGCCAGCACGCCCGGCTAATTTTTGTGTTTTTAGTAGAAACGGGGTTTTACCATGTTGGCCAGGCTGGTCTCAAACTCCTGACCTCAGGTTATCTGCCCATCTTGGCTTCCCATAGTGCTGGGATTACAGGCGTGAGCCACTGTGCCCAGTCATAATTTCTAATCTTGTGACTAATTTGTTAGTCCTACAAAGGCTTCTTGCCTAAACCCCAGGCAAGAAGCAGGTTTGTTTTGGGAAAGGGCTGTTATCATCTTTGTTTTAAACTATAAACTATAAATTCCTCCTAAAGGTAGTTCAACCTATGTCTAGGAATGAACAAGAACAGTTTGGAGGTTAGAAGCAAGATAGAGTTGGTTAGGTCAAATCTCTTTCACTGTTGCCATTACAGTTGTATTTTTTCTTTCTTTCTTTTTTTTTTTTTTTTTTTGAGATGGAGTCTTGCTCTGTTCCCCAGGCTGGAGTGCAGTGGTGCCAATTTTTCTTTTTTCTTTTTTTTTTGAGACGGAGTCTCACTCTGTTCCCCAGGCTGAAGTGCAGTGGCGCCAATTTTTCTTTTTTTTTTGAGACGGAGTCTCGCTCTGTTCCCCAGGCTGGAGTGCAGTGGCATGATCTTGGCTCACTGCACCCTCTGCCTCTCAGGTTCATGTGATTCTCATGCCTCAGCCTCCCCAGAAGTTGGGATTACAGGCGCCTTCCATCACGCCTGGCTAATTTTTGTATTTTTAGTAGAGACGGGGTTTCGCCATATTGGCCAGACTGGTCTCAAACTCCTGACTTCAAGTGATCCGCCTGCCTCGACCTCTCAAAGTGCTGGGATGACATGTGTGAGCCACCATGCCTGGCCTCTGTTACAGTTTTGCAATGGTGGTTTCAAGAGGTGTTGGGCAATGCATCCGTGAGAACCCACATGCCAAGCTAGGCTTTCTTCTGTGTGGTCAGATTCTGAGGCTAGCAATCAACTGCTATATTACCTTTTAAGAGAAACAGGATGAGAGAGAGGGAGAGGGAGAGAGAGAGAGAGGGAGAGGGAGAAAAACAAAGGTGAGATCCAGGACTCATTGGGGTGGACAACTTTATGCCCGTCTCCATTCTTTCTGCAAAGCTGCTGTCCATGATCCCTCTGCTTGCCCCCCCGCCACCACAGTCTTCCAGGAGGAGGTGCCAGCAGGGCATTTAGCCAGATCAAACCACAGTGACTCCTCTGGAAAGGGCCGCCCACCATCTTGTTGCCTTGCAGTTCCTTTGCGGATGGTTGGCATCAGTCTTAGGGCCCTGTGACGCATGGGAAGCAGCCTTCACTGCCTGCAAATCCCCCTGCCACTGCTTCTGGAGCCACTGTTCTGGTCTGTTCCTGCATATCCCATCCCTTTGCCCTGGGGGCGTCAGGCCACCTTAGGTCCCATGGGAGAGAATAGGAATGGACTGTGGGTGGGGTGGAGGTCAGAGCCAGTGTATTTAGCTTTCAGGAAACATTTTCTTCTTTCTTCTTTTTTTGAGATGGAGTTTTGCTCTTGTCGTCTAGGCTGGAGCACAATGGCATGATCTCGGCTCACTGCGACCTCCGTCTCCCAGGTTCAAGCGATTCTCCTGCCTCAGCATCCCGAGTAGCTAGGCTTACAGGCGCCTGCCACCATGGCCAGCTTATTTTTGTATTTTTAGTAGAGATGGGGTTTCACCATGTTGGCCAGGCTGATCTCGAACTCCTGACCTCACGTGATCCACCCACCTCAGCCTCCCGAAGTTTTGGGATTACAGACGTGAGCCACCGCACCTGGCCCAGGAAACATTTTCTTCTGGCCAATACTCTGGCCCTTTTGACTGTAAGGAAGTATGTGAAAGGGGGCAGTTTGCATGTTTGCGGAGTGGGCATATGTGTGGGAGTTTATTGAGAAAGATGGGGAAATGGTAAGATTTGTCTCCTGGGGGTTAGCACCCCTCCCGCTTATGGGCTTGGTGTGGTTTAAAGAAAGTGAGATGCAGAAATGCTGATCAAGGTGGCTCTGGGTCTCATCCTGTGAGCCCTGAATGCCCCATGCAGGAAGGGCACCATCTCAGGAGTCAGCTGGGCTTGGTGTCCCACACTGCCCCATGGACCTTGGGTCACTCCAGAGCTTTCCTGAGCCTCAATTTCCTTATCTGTAGAATGGGGATAATGATACCTTCCCCTCAGAGTTGTGAGTTTTACATAAGAAGAGGATATAAAGATAAAGTGGCCCAGGTTGGGCATTCAACAAATGTTAGTTGCTTCCCCACTTTTCCTTTCCCACATCAAGTTTACCTATGCATTGCATGCAAGCATCTCTTGAGGACATGCTATAATATGAGGTGCTATCCTGGCTGGGATGAGGGGAAGAAGCTCAGTAAGGAGCTTGATTCTAATCCTGGGTCTGTATGCCGAATATAGCAGTGAAGTTAGATCCTACAGTATAAGACAGAAGGAGGCAAGTGCCTTAGAATCCAGATGGAGTTCTATGGGACCTTAGAGGATAGAGACTCGATTTGTAACCAGGGCTGGGACAGGTGGGAGATGAGGTCAGATGGGGTGCCCAAGGAGAATGCATTAAACCTGGGTCTTGCAGGATGGTGGGGCTTAGATTTGGGAGGCGAAGGGCAGTTCAGCAGAAATGGTATAAGGGAGATAGGAGTGGCAGGGAGGGAAGGCTGTGTGGAGGACAGCGAGCTGTCCAGCCTGGCTTGGCCAGAGGGCACAGGGAGGAGAACCCTGGGAGACAGACTTGAGAACGTTTAGTTGGAATCATACCACAGCAAAACTCAAATTCCAGGCTGAAGCATTTGAACTTTATGCCAAAGGCACTGGGGAGCTATCGGAGCTTTTTGAGCAGGAGAGTGTGATGTGCTGTGCTTTAGGCAGGCTGATCTTGGCGGTGCTACATGGAACAGACTAGACAGGGTGGAGTGGAAGGAGGTGACTCCATGACCTAGATGAGGGATGGGCAGGTTGAATCCTCACAGCAGCAGTGAGAAAGGAGAGAAAGGATTGGGCAGGAGAGGCACTTTGTGGATCGTTGTAAACATTTCTGTTTATTTTTCATTATAAAGAATTTAAGCGGCTGGGCGCAGTGTCTCACTCCTGTAATCCTAGCATTTTGGGAGGCTGAGGCAGGTGGATTGCTTGAGCTCAGGAGGTTGAGACCAGCCTGGCCAACATGGCAAAACCCCGTCTCTACTAAAAATACAAAAAATTAGCTGGGTGTGGTGGCACGCACCTGTAGTCCCAGCTAATTGGGAGGCCAGCTGAGGCAGGAGAATCACTTGAACCTGGGAGGTGGAGGGTGCAGCGAGCCGAGATTGCACCACTGCACTCCAGCCTGGGTGACAGGGCGAGACTCCGTCTCAAAAAAAAAGAAAAGAATTTAAGCATCCACAAAAGTAGAAACAGAAACATTTAATGAACCTCTACGTGCCCGTTCCCCAGGTTCAACAATGGTTAATTTTTTATTTTTAAGAGACAGGGTCTTTCACTGGAGTGCAGTGGCACCATTACGGCTCACTGCAGCCTCAAACTCCTGGGCTCAAGTGATCCTCCCCACTCAGCCTCCCTAGTAGCTGGGACTACAGGCCCAGCTACCATCTGCCACCATGTCCAGCTACTTTTTAAAAACTTTTTGTAGCGACGAGATCTTGCTTTTTTGCCCAGGCCGGTCTCAAACTCTTGGGCTCAAACAATCTGCCCACCTTGTCCTCCCAAAGTGCTGGGATTACAGGTGTGAACCACCATGCCCAGCCTAAGAATGGTTAATTCATGGCCAATTTTGTTTAATCTCTACTCCATCCACTTTTCTCTTCCATCATATTTTGAAGTGAGTCTAAGATATTGTGTCATTTTATGGCTATTGCAGCGTGCAGGAAGAGGTATGACATTTTGGAAGATGAGTTGATGGGCCGTGCCACATGGGTATTGTGTCTCTGTGTGCCTGTACATACTCTCTTATGTGGAATTGCAATGGCTGATTTGACTCTTCCAAGTTGGGGGTCTTTTAAGGGCAAAGACCACCCTCCAGTGGCCAGGCTGTCTTCTCCTCCCCATGGAGTGCTTGGTATATGGTGCGACCGTCAGTGTGAACAACCTAGTTCCACTGGAAGAAAGAGGCCTGTTATTGGACCCTTTGGGCTATGGCCATCGAGACCACGGGTAGCTTTTCTGCTCAGGTCACGCTCTGATATGTTGTCAAATAAAACACAGGACACTCAGCTGGGTTTCAGTTTCAGATCAACAACAAATATGCCTGTAACATAAGTATGTCCCACACATTGCCCGGGGCATATTTATAGTAATAAATGACGTTATTTTTCTGAAATTCAAATTTAATCAGGCTTTTTTTTTTTTTTTTGAGATGGAGTTTTGCTCTGTTGCCCAGGCTGGAGTGCAGTGGCGTGATCTTGGCTCACTGCAAGCTCGGCCTCTCGGGTTCACGCCATTCTCCTGCCTCAGACTCCCGAGTAGCTGGGACTACAGGCGCCTGCCACCACGCCCAGCTAATTTTTTGTATTTTTAGTAGAGACGGGGTTTCACCGTATTAGCCAGGATGGTCTCGATCTCCAGACGTTGTGATCTGCCCGCCTCGGCCTCCCAAAGTGCTGGGATTATAGGCGTGAGCCACAGCGCCCAGCCCAGGCATCTTGTTTCTATCTATTTATTTATTTTGTTTTGTTTTTGGCTAAATCTAGTCAATCCTATCCTCTGGTCTTTTCACAGAAATCCTGCAGATCAAAGCCTTTGACCTAGGGCAGTGCTTTTCAAAGGGTGGTCCCAGGACAGCAGCATCAGCAACTCCTAGCTCAAAACAAGATCTCAGGCCAGGCGCGGTGGCTCATGCCTATAATCCAGCACTTTGGGAGGCCCACACGAGTGGATCATTTGAGGTCAGGGGTTCGAGGCCAGCCTGGGCAACGTGGTGAAACCCCGTCCCTACTAAAAAAAAAAAAAAAAAAAAAAAAAAACAAAAATTAGCGGGGCTTGGCAGCATGCACCTGTGATCCCAGCTACTCGGGAGGCTGAAGCAGGAGAATCGCTTGAACATAGGAGGCAGAGGCTGCAATCACCCGAGATTGGGCCACGGCACTCCAGCCTGGGCGAAAGAGCGAGACTCCATCTCAAAAAAACAAAAGCAAAAACAAAAAAATCCCAAAATGTCAGCCCCACCCAGAATGACGGAACCAGAGCCTCTGGGGGTGCTGGCATTTTGTGTTTGACCCCCTCCAGTGATTCTTTTGAGGGTCATTGACTGGAGAATGATGCCGATGCCATCACATTACCCGCCCCCAGCCTCTCCCGCAACACACACACAGCACATCCTGCTCTGCTGCGCACCCAGTGGCATGGACCTGGCTGCCAAAGGTGTAGAAGCATAAGTAACATCAGGGGTGTTACAAAGGGCTCTTTCCTTGGGTGTTTGTAGCTTCCCTTAGGGCTGCAGTCACTCGCAGACTGCTGGGCTCTTGGCCTCAGGGCTCTGTTCTGCCCGCCCAGATCTGTTCCTGAGCCTGCAGACGGCTGTGAACCAGAGAATCTATTCTTCAGGCGGGAGTTGCCAGTTGCGGCCAAGGGGGCGGGGCCCGGAGGCGGGAGGGCCACGTGTGCGGGAGGGAAGCAGGAAGTGACTGCGGGAGTGGAGCCGGCGAGAGAGTGGCAGCGGGGGCTGATGGAAGTGCAGTGGGGGCTGGAGAGGGCACCCTAGTGAGTTGGCTTTTCTCTCCTTCGGTGCCTTTGGTTGGGCTCGAGGCCCGGGGTCGGAGGCCATCAGGACAAGAGTGTGGGACTTGGAAGGGCAGCCACCTGGAGCTTGGAAGGGGGTACGCCTGGAGAGAGGAGGGGTTTGGAGGAGAAATTGGAGGCTTTGGCAGGTGTCGGGGCGGGGTGGGAGGGTGAGGGGCGGTGGGAAGGAAGTCCCCGGACCCCGGCTATGTCCCTCTCCAGGGTGATCTGGAAGGCAATGACATGCCTTCCTTTTACAGTCCTAACCCAAATCCTCTTCGTTCGTCCCTTCCTAGGCGGTGTGTGGGGGTACCCGGGATTCCTGGGAGCAGAGGCAGCTACAAATCCAGCTGCTCCCAGGCCCCTCCCACTTGCTCTGGCTGTTAGCTGGACCTCTGGAACTTGACTGGGAATCTGGTTAACTTGCAGCAGGTCTGGGTGGGGCGTGACAGTGTGCATTTCTAACTAATTCCCAGGTTGGGTGGTCCGCGGACCACGCTTTGAGTAGCGAGGCATTAGAGAACTTTTCCACAGTCCTCTCCGCCCAGACCTGAATCCTTCTGCTGGATTCCCCCTCGTGGAGTTAGGGCATGTGTGTGCAGCTCCACTAAGGCCCAGCAGCCCTAGTGCTGTTTCCACTTCTGCAACTTCACCAGCCTCTTGAACTGACTCTTGGAAGCGGAACAACAGGTTTAAAAGGGGGAGAAAGGAAATAAAGAAAACAAACCTGTATCAATCAGCCGGGAATGCCCATGTGCTGCTGTGGCAGGTGTGTACAAGTCTACAGGCTGTTGGCATGTTAAAAGTTGGAACGGTCAGAGAATGATTCTCCCTGCTGCTAACGAATCAGGGTTGATGGAATTAATATCCCCATCGTGAGGAATTCTGAGCCCCATTGTGTAAGCTGTGATGGAGATGCTGTGTCCTAAAGTTGTTACTGGTCTGCCGGTTAGAGAAAACTTCTTGTTCTCTTGGGACTCTGCCAGAAACTTTTTCTTCTCTTGAGACTCTGCAGAAAACTTTCTGTTCTTTTGGGACTCTTCTTTGCTCTTGCCAATCCCACATGGGGCAGGAGAACTCATTTTCTAAGCTCTTGGTATTGTAGAAGTTTTACCAGTTTTATTTATTTATTTATTTTTATTTTTTTTTGAGACAGAGCCTTGCTCTGTCACCCGGACTGGAGTGCAGTGGCGCGATCTCGGCTCACTGCAACCTCCGCCTCCCGGGTTCAAGCGATTACTCCTGCCTCAGCCTCCCGAGTAGCTGGGACTACAGGCACTGGGACTACAGGCACACACCACGACGCCCAAGTAATTTTTGTGTTTTTAGTAGAGATGGGGTTTCACCGTGTTGGCCAGGCTGGTCTCGAACTCCTGACCTCAGGTGATCTGCCCGTCTTGGCCTCCCAAGGTGCTGGGATTACAGGCATGAGCCACTGCGCCTGGCCAAGTTTTACCAGTTTTAATCTTTTGCTTTCCACAGTTTAATGTGCATAAGAATCCCCCATGGAATTCCACAAAATGCAGACCCTGATTCAGAAAGTCTGGGGTGAGACCTGAGTTTCTGCATTCCTAACTAGCTCCCAAGCCGGACCAGTGCTGCTGGTTCTCTGACCACCCTTGTAGCGAGGATTTAAAACAGCAAATAGAGAAGAAACTTCTCCGAGGGGCACTGGGCTTGCATTGCCCGTGATCAATGCTGCTCCTGTTGGGATGGAAAGGATGGTGGCCTCGGTCTTCCCTCTGTGTCCCTTTTTCTTACTCAGGAGGGTGCTCAGATATACATGGGGACAGGCTTAGACGGGTGTTTCCCTATCCCACTAACCACCAGGAACACCCACGAGCTCCCTCTGTTCTGTTCACCAGCCCACAAGATCCACATTGACTTTGGCCTGTTGGCAAATGTAAATTGTTTGCTCTCTTCTGTAGCTGTCAAGAGGCACATTCAAATACAGGAAAGAAAGGTGTTTTTGTTATGCCCTGTCTTGGATGATAAGTACTAAGAGGATGATCCCTTTGTGCTGTTCTTTGTAAATGCTGTTTGAAATTTTGTCCACAGCAACTCGGAATAGATGATTGGTGTAATGGTCCAGATGGCTTGGTTTAAAAACAAAGACCAACCCCTCTTTTTAGGGTGGCTTAGCAAGATGACGGATGTAAAGGGTAGTAGTTTTTTGAAAATGATTTTTTTTTTCTTTAATTGGCGTGGTCACAGTTTTCACAGTTGGTGCAGTTCGTTTAGAGTGCGGGAACTAGAGTCTGATTCCATAGATGCTATTTATCTCAGAGTTTCTGGCACAGGGGCTGAGCCAGGGCTCACCTGGGCTCACCTGGACCTATACCCTTCCTAGGTTTGAGCCTGGGTGTGTTGCTGAGCCGCTTGGCATAAGGGCTGCGTCCACACTCTGCCATGGTTTCCTTCCAGGGTCAATCGAGGCAGCGTCTTCAGCTCTTGATCTGCAGGCTCAGGGCTGCTGGCTCCTCACAGAGCACCGGGAACTGGCAGGGCTGAGCCCAGTGTGGTTGTGTCCAGCCAGCCCTCTGGGTGCTGGCAGACCATCAGGGAGATGAATGAGGCTTTGATATGAGGCCCTGAGCCCAGTGTTTGTGTACCAGAACACAGGGCTTTTCAACAAATGGGTTTCTCTGCCTTGTAACTTTCCACAGGGAGAGATCTGATTGTCATCTCAGATCCAGAATTTTAAGCATGTTAAAGTCTGGAGGAGGTTCTCTGGACTGAAATGAGAGGGAGTGGTACTTCCCTTCCTTTCCTTGGTGGGCGGTGGTGTAACTTCAGCTTCAGCAGCAGGGTGCTGAGTTGACCAGGGGACATTCCATTCCTGGGTCCTTTTGCTTGTCCTTGCTGACTGTCCTGTGCAGGTAAGCTGGCCCTTTTCCATCCAGCACATATTTTTCAGGGGTTACAAAGCCCTATTTTACAGGGGTGCCAAATGTGAAAAAGCACCGTCCCCGTCCTCAAGCAACTAAGGCTGTAAAAGATGGAGGCAAAGCCACACTGAGAGAGGACCAAAGCTGCATGCTAGGACAGGGCTGGGGAAGGCCAGAAAAGCCTTGGTCGTGAGGTTGGCATTATGTGGGCTGCAGAGGGTGCTCCGGGTTCTGATGGCTGGAAATGTGCAAGGAAGGTATTCCAGGAGGGAACTGCATGAACAGGGACTTGGAGGCAGGATTGTCTGGGGCTTGTGGAAGGTGCCATAAATAATTCAGTTGAGCTGGAGTTGGGTGCTCGTGCAGGCATGATGGAGAACGGGATTGGAGAGTCGGGGGTTGGTGGGTATCAAAAGTTGGTTGGTGGAGTTTACCCTTTGGCTGGGCAGGTGCGCTGTTGCAGATGTGATGGGGATTAAGATTGGAAGCGTGTTGACATCACCTGAGCTAGTCACCTGTCTTTGGTGGAGGCTGAGTGCGGATGGTGGGCAAGAGACGGTAGAAGAGGCAGATTATGTGGGGGAGGCTGCATCAGACCCTCCTATGCCCCCTTCTTCTGGAATAAACCACATTCTTTGTGCTTCTCTTTGAAACCACTTTTCAATGTTGCAGCCTTTTTTGTGGATTCCCCTGGCATCTCCCTGTGCCTTCTTTCAGATTAAGACGATTTCCAGTTCCTGGGGGACCTGGATAGAGAAGCCTGACCTGTGTGCTGGGTGGCTGAGGGACACAGATGGCGTGGTGGAAGGGTGCATACGGTCAACCTGGAGGGAGGCCAGCTCCCACACAGGGTGTTAGGACCCGTCAGAATATGCGCCTGTCACTGAAACGGACCACCGGTGGCTGACCCTCTCGCTCCTCTTGCACAGCTGTATCCAGCATGCTCCAAGGCCACAGCTCTGTGTTCCAGGCCTTGCTGGGGACCTTCTTCACCTGGGGGATGACAGCAGCTGGGGCAGCTCTCGTGTTCGTATTCTCTAGTGGACAGGTGAGTTGCCTTGCTTTGGTTCTGGATGTTGGTGGGGAGCCCGTTGGTAAAGGGGCACTGTCCCACTCCATGGAGCAGGTTTGTAGACTTTTCAGTGCCCCTGGCCACACCCCCAGGCATTGTGTACTGGGGTTTGTTCGCTGTCTTCTTATTTTCTCACCTTCTCCCTGCCAGGCCGGGAGAACAGATGTCTGCTTGCTGTAGACACCTTCATGCACCATCATCTCCCCTCTTGACCCTTGACAGCCTGACTTGAAGGGAATAGGAAGTGAGAAGCCCAGTTATTGAGGCTTCGTTAGCCCGCTGCCTAATTTCTACCTGCCATGTAATTTCTTTTCTTTTTTCTTTTTTCTTTTTTTTTTTGAGACAGAATCTTGCTCTGTTGCCCAGCCTGGCGTGCAGTGGCAGGATCTCAGCTCTCTGCAACCTCCACCTCCCGGGTTCAAGTGATTCTCCTGCCTCAGCCTCCAGAGTAGCTGGGATTACAGGCATGTGCCACCACGCCTGGCTAATTTTTGTATTTTTAGTAGAGGTGGGATTTCACCACTGGTCTCAAACTCCTGACCTCAGATGATCCACCCACCTCGGCCTCCCACAGTGCTGGGATTGCAGGTGTGAGCCACCGTGCCTGGCCTGCCATGTAATTTCTTTCAGGCCTGGAGCAAGTGGTACTATGCGTGACCGAAGAACATTAGATTTCAGGTGTAACTGTCCTCCCCTGTGGACTTGAGTTGGGTGGGATGGTTGGAAAGACCTTGGGAGAAGAAGGGGCATCTGTTCCCTTTTTTTTCAACCCATCTCCAGGTTGTTTCCTTTCCCCTTGGGATGAATATAGACAGACCCATGTCCCTGGCCCCCTGCAAACTCTTACTTCTTTCTCCTACATCTTCCTTGTATCCTACTCCCAGTGCCCTCACTCACTGTCATGGCCCCACAGCCTATCTCTCCCTCCTCCCACAACCCCATCCTTACACCCCTTCTACACGCTCTACCTATAGTCCCACATACCCACACTTGCACACATACCCATACCCATATGCCCTCCCCACACCTCTGCACAACCCACACTCACCTCATATACCTGAAATTGCATTCTTTTCTCCAACCCAGATCACCCTCAGTCCGCAGCCCTGGAGCCATCCATGGGTATCTTGATGAATGCACAATCCCTGCATCGATCACCTCGGTAGCCTGAGACATTGTAGAAACGGCAAATGAATAAGTGACTTAAGATCTAGTTCAACATGTTGTGAGGGAGATCTGGAAATGAAAACACCTTTAGGAAGTTCACAAGTCAGGCACTCTTGTGTTAGAGACCAGTACAGCAGGCCTTGATTTCAACAATAAAATCCCGACCTCCCTTGCTGCGCTGCACTGCCCCCGGGAGCTGATGGGTTGGAGACTGGAAATCAGAAAACACACAATCCAGAAACATGGTTTATCTGGAACCTAGGTATATAAGATGCCAAGATAAGTCAAATTCACAGAGACACATTGTAGAATGGTGATTGCCAGGGGCCACAGAGGAGGGCAGAAATAAGTTATTCTTGAATGAGTACAGAGTTTCAGGGTTTTTTGTTTTTGTTTGTTTTTTTTTTCTTTAGACAGAGTCTTGCTCTGTCACCCAGGCTGGAGTGCAGTGGCGTGATCTTGGTTCACTGCAACCTCTGCTTCCCAGGTTCAAAAGGTTCTTCTGCCTCAGCCTCCCGAGTAGCTGGGATTACATGCATACACCACCACGCTCAGCTAATTTTTTTTGTAGTTTTAGTAGAGACGGGGTTTCGCTGGTAACCCCATCCGGCCAGGCTGTTTTATTTATTTATTTTTTATTTTTTTTGAGCTAGAGTCTTGCCCTGTCACCCAGGCTGGGGTTCAGTGGCATGATCTCAGCTCACTGCAACCTCCACCTCCTGGGTTCAAGTGATCGTCCCACCTCAGCCTCCCAAGTAGCTGAGACTACGGGTGTGCACCACCATGCCCAGCTAATTTTTGTATTTGTAGTGGAGATGGGGTTTCACTATGTTGCTCAGGCAGGTTTTGAGCTCCTGACCTCAAGTGATCTGCCTGCCTCGGCCTCCCAGACTGCTGGGATTACAGGTGTGCACCATCATGCCCAGCTGAGTTTTAATTTTGTAAGGTGAAAAGTTCTGTAGACCACATGGCTTCTTTCACTTCAAAGAATGTCCATAGAGCTCATCCACGTTATAACATGTGCCAGAATTTCTTTTGTTTTTAAGGCTGAAGACTATTCCATTGTATGTACATACCACATTTTGTTTATCCATTCATCTATGGATAGATAGCAAAAAAAAAAAAATCTGTATTGAAATAGAAGATGCTTATGGAAAAATGCACATTTTATTAGGCTGGTGCATTTTATTAGGTTTGCACCAACCTAATATAAGTATGCAGCTTGATAACTTTCCACAAGTGCTCATGAAACTAGAGCCCAGATCAAGAAACAAAACAGTACCAGCTCCTCACCTCACAGCCCCTTCCAATCAGGAGCCTTCAGTCTCCCTTCCAATCTCACCATCCCCAACCTTTACTCCAAGGGTCATCTCCCATGTGATCTCTAACAGCACGGATATTTTCCCTGTTTCTGTGCTTTATTTAGATGGAGTAATCATATAGTACGTACTGTTCTGCATCTGGCTGATTTTACCCTACTTGTTTTCCAGTTTCTTTAATGTCCCTGTCTGTTTGTAAGATGTAACTGTAGTATGTGTGTGCGTTCCCATCGCCATTATGGTACCTGTTGTATGAGTGTATCCTAGTTAACATATCCATCCTACTGTTGGTGAGAGTTTGGGTAGTTTCTAGTTTTGGGCTCTTAGCACTGCCGAACATTTTTCTTCATGGGTTTGTTGAATACAAGTGCATTCCTGTCATGGGATTACTCAGGAGTGGCACACATAGTGTTCACCTCTCATCGGTGCTGCCAAATAGTTTGCCAAAATGGTGGTACCCGTTTGCACCGCCATTGTGTGAGGGTTTTTTTTTTTTTTTTTTTTGAGGCGGAGTTTTGCTCTTGTTGCCTAGGCTAGAGTGCAATGGCATGATCTTGGCTCACTGCAATGTCTGCCTCCCGAGTTCAAGGGATTCTCCTGTCTCAGCCAAGTAGCTGCGATTACAGGCATGCATTACCGTGCTTGACTAATTTTTGTATTTTTAGTAGAGATGGAGTTTCACCACGTTAGCCAGGCTGACCTCAGATTCCTGACCTCAGGTGATCCACCTGCCTTGGCCTCGCAAAGTGCTGGGATTATAGGCATGAACCCTTGCACCCAGCCTATTTTTTTTTGTATTTTTAGTAGAGATGGGGTTTCATCATGTTGGCTAGGCTGGTCTTGAACTCCTGACCTCAGGTGATCTGCCCGCCTCAGCCTCCCACAGTGCTGGGATTACACATGTGAGCACTGTGCCCGGCCTGTGTGAGGGTTTTGATTGTTCCACCTGCTCCTCTGCTCCTCACCAACGCTCAGTAATTCCCAACTTGTAGACAGGCTACTTACTAAAGGTTTACAGTTGTAATTCACAGGGAAAGCTGAGTAAGAGACAACACAAGGGCCAAGACAAGCCAAGCACCACTTGAAAGAACGCTTCTGATTGGCTATGGGGTGGGTGGAAAGTTAACCAAAGACTTTCCCCGTGGTTCTTGGCCCATGGTATAAACTGAGTAGCTCACGAGCTCAGGAGTCGGCCAGTCTTTATTTGCGTGGCTCTTTTGGGCCTTATGGTTTCTTCTTGTCCCAGGAAACATCATCTTATTGTCTCTTGGAAACTGAAACATCTTGTTTTGATTTTCAGAGGCGGATCTTAGATGGAAGTCTTGGCTTTGCTGCAGGGGTAAGTAGCATGTAGTAGGAGAAATGGAAATTGAGGCATACTGATTCTGACATGTGTCTGCCAAGGGCTGTCTTCAGTCCCTCCCCTTGCGACCTAGATGCATCTCTGTGTTCCTCAGGCACTAACACCTCCCTCTTATCACCTGCCATATTTATTTCCCAGCTTATCAAATGCCCATTTCTCTTTAGACAGCAATCGAGGTTTATTTGACAGCTGCCTCAGGACTAGGGAAATAAGATCTTATTTGGTAAGGGCCTAGCACAGGCCTAGCCTAATACATAGTTGGCTCTAACTAAATATACTTTTTCCTCCCCTTCTCCCTTAAAAGATCTTTTTTATAGGCCTTTTTTTTTTTTTTTTTTTTTTTTTTGAGACAGAGCCTTACCCTGTCACCCAGGCTAGAGTACAGTGGCACAGTCATGGTTCACTGCAGCTTCAACTTCTCTGGACTCAGGTGATCCTCCCAACTCAGCCTCCCAAGTAGCTGGGACTACAGGCATGTGCCAACGTGCCTGGCTGATTTTTGAGTTTTTGCAGAGATGGGGTTTCACCATGTTGCCCAGGCTGGTCTTGAACTCCTGGGCTCAAGTGATCCACCTGCCTAGGCCTCCAAAAGTGCTGGGATTACAGGCGTGAGTTATGGAACCCAGCATATTATAGACATTGTTAAACATGTAAAAATTGTGGATAGAAGCCTGTAATGCATCCCAGACACCCATCTCCCAACTTCAATCATTATTGACATTTTGCTAATCTCAGTTCACCTGTCCTCCCCAAAACTTCTTGGGAGGTTAGAATATTTTATAAAAGCTAATCCCAGATGACATGTAATTCCACCTGTAAATTCAACACACATGTCTAACTGAATGACTTTTTAAAAATAAACATAATCACATGGCCATTATACCTACCAAATTAATAATTCCTTTTTATGATCTAACATCCAGTCCATATTCAGATTTTCTTCATCTTTCTAAAGGTGTCATCTAATATTGTTTTGTTATAATTGGGGTCCAAACAAGGTTTCTATATTGCATTTGCTTGTTATATCTTTTAAGTCTCTTTAATTTTTTAACAGTTCATTTTTTTTTTCATGCTAGTAATTTGTTGGAGAAACTGGGTCATTTGTCTCTAGAATGTTGGCTGATTACTTCCTCGTGGTGCTGCCTAACTTGTTCCTCAGTCCCCTGTATTTCCTGTAAGCTGAGAGTTAGACCTGGAGTCTTGATTAGTTCAGATTCCATTTTTCAGGCATGAAGATGTCATGGTGCTGTGTATTGCAGATGTATTACCCATATCAAAAGGCGTGTAATATGTGGGTTTCCCTTTTAGTTGATCAGGGTTTGGTTTCTTTCTTCAGTTTTTATAGCCCTGCGATCTGGAAAAACTAGCCTGGAGGTGGAGCCTGCCAGAGGCCATCTGAGTCAGTAGCTGTTAGACTGGAGCCACTGTTCCGTCAAAAACACTGTCCTTTCTGAGCCATACACAGGTGCACAGAGAGTGTTGAGAAAATTAGTTTCTAGGTCCTCAGCTTCCATACGTTCTCTTCCCTATAACTGCTGTGCCTGAGAATGCCGGGGAAGCCAGCCCTACTTTCTTTCCTTCCTTGGCACAGCTTCCCTTTCCCACCTTACACAAGAAAGATGCTCTTGCCTTATAACCTTGTCTCTGGGTGGCATGGTCTTCAGGCAGACATGGAGGGCCCCTTGGAATGTTGGTGCTGGCACGGAGAAAGTGAAGGGCCTTGTCTCTAATCACTGGGCATAAGTCCATTTTTTTTTTTTTTTTTTTTGAAATGGAGTCTCCCTCTGTTGTCCAGGCTGGAGTGCAGTGGCTGGATCTTGGCTCACTGCAACCTCCGCCTCCCGAGTTCAAACAATTCCCCTGCTGCAGGCTCCCGAGTAACTGGGATTACAGGTGTGCACCACCACGCCTGGCTAATTTTTTTTTTGTGGTTTTAGTAGAGATGGGGTTTTGCCGTGTTGGCCAGGCTGGTCTCGAACTCCTGACCTCAGGTGGTCTACCCAACTCGGCCTTCCAAAGTGCTGGGATTACAGGTGTGAGCCACCATGCCCGGCCCACAATTCCTTTAGCAGTTCTGATGTGATCCTGTCCTTTGAAGGTGGATCTAATCAAATTGTCAACAGAGAGGTCCTTGAAAGTAATTTTCCATGATGGAGGGATTTTGGATCTGTAACTTGAAAATAGTACAAAGAACAGAATGCCAGTATTATAACACAACATCTCTTTTTTTCCCCCATCCTCTCATTTATATGAACACATTTTCTCTTTCCTTATGTTATGAAAAAGAAAAAAACAAAACAAAAAAGAAAAAAATCAAATAAAAATAAAATTGATGAACTCTGTCTTATTCTAGTAATGACTACTTAATAACTATCCTCATATAGATGAATGAATTGAAAAAACAAGAATAAAGCCCCATTCACTAACATATACATTTCAAATAACATTTTGCTTTGTAATGTTTAATAATTATAAAATGGTTTCTTATATATTATTTATTCTTATGTATCTCTTTCCTATCACTAATAGTTATCATTATTAAATCCAAGAAATTGTTATGTAAGCATTTAGAGCCCTAGGCTCATAGGAAAATTTAAAAAATTAAATTAAAATGTATGTAGGTATTTATTTATTTTTGCCCTTTTTTTTTTTTTTTTCTTTTTTTTTAGTTTCAGTAGGTTTTGGGGGGAACAGGTGATGTTTGGTTAAAAGGATAAGTTCTTTAGCGGTAATTTCTGAGATTTTGGTGTACCCATCACCCAAGCAATGTACACTGTCCCCAATATGTAGTCTTTTATCGCTCACCCCTAGCCCCCCTACCCTTTCCACCAGATTCCCAGAGTCCATTGTATCATTCTTATGCCTAGCTTAGCTCCCGCTTATGAGTGAAGATGTGATGTTTGGTTTTCCATTCCTGAGTTACTTCACATAGAATAATGAATTCCATCCAGATTGCTGCGAGTACCATTATTTCATTCCTTTTTATGGGTGAGTAGTAGTCCATGATATATATATGTATATACCCACACACATATATGTATATATATATACATACATATATACATATATGTGTATATATATACATACATATATACATATATGTGTATATATATGTGTGTGTGTGTGTGTGTGTGTGTGTGTGTGTGTGTGTATGTATATATATATATATATATCACATTTTCTTTATCCACTCCTTGATTGGTGGGCATTTGGGCTGGTTCCATATTTTTGCAATTGTGAATTGTGTTGCTATAAACACGTGTGTGCAAGTATGTTTTTTGTGTAATGACTTCTTTTCCTCTGAGTAGATACCTAGTAGTGGGATTGCTGGATCCAATGGTAGATCTACTTTTAGTTCTTTAAAAGGAACTTCCACACTGTTTTCCACAGTGGTTGTGTTAGTTTACATTCCCACTGGCAGTGTAAAAGTGTTCCCTTTTCACCACATCCACACCAACAGCTATTATATTCTGATTTTTTCATTATGGTCATTCTTGCAGGAGTAAGGGGTGTTGCATTGTGGTTTTGATTTGCATTTCCCTGATCATTAGTGATGTTGAGCGTTTTTTCTTATGTTTGTTGGCCATTTGTATATCTTCATTTGAGAATTGTCCATTCATGTCCTTAGGCCACTTGTTGATGGGATTGTTTGTTTTTTTCTTGCTGATTTGTTTGAGTTCCTTGTAGATTCTGGATATTGGTCCTTTGTCAGATGTATAGGTTGCAAAGGTTTTCTCCCACTCTGTGGGTTGCCTGTTTGCTGATTATTTCTTTTGCTGTGAAGAAGCTTTTTATTATTTATTTATTTATTTATTTATTTATTTATTTTATTGTTTTTTGACATGGAGCCTCACTCTGTCGCCCAGGCTGGAGTGTGGTGGTGCGGTCTCAGCTCACTGCATCCTCTGTCACCAGGGTTCAAGCGATTCTCCTGCCTCAGCCTCCCAAGTAGCTGGGACTACAGGCGCCCACCACCATGCCTGGCTATTTTTTGTATTTTCAGTAGAGACGGAGTTTCACCATGTTGGCCAGGCTGGTCTTAAACGCTGGACCTCAAATTATCTGCCTGTCTCAGCCTCCCAGAGTGCTGGGACCACAGGTGTGAGCCACTGTGCCTGACCTACAGAAGCTTTTTAGTTTAAAAGTCTTATCTGTTTATCGTTGTTTTTGTTGCATTTGCTTTTGGGTTCTTGGTCATGAAATCTTTGCCTAAGTCAATGTCTAGAAGGGTTTTTCCAGTGTTATCTTCTAGAATTTTTATGGTTTCAGGTCTTACATTTAAGTCTTTGATCCATCTTAAGTTGATTTTTGTATAAGGTGAGAGATGAGGATCCAGTTTTGTTCTTCTATATGTGGCTTTCCAATGATCCCAGCACCATTTGTTGAATAGGACGTCCTTTCTCCACTTTGTTTTTGTTTGCTTTGTAGAAGATCAGTTGGCTGTAAGTATTTACCTTTATTTCTGGGTTCTCTATTCTATTCCATTGGTCTACATGTCTATTTTTATACCAGTACCATGCTGTTTTGGTGACTGTAGTCTTAAAGTATAGTTTCAAGTTGGGTAGTGTGATGCCTCCAGATTTGTTCTGTTTGCTTAGTCTTGCTTTGGCTATGTGGGCTCTTTTTTGGTTCCATACGAATTTTAGGATTATTTTTTCTAGTTCTGTGAAGAATGATGGTGGTGTTTTGATGGGAATTGCGTTGAATTTGTAGATTGCTTTTGGCAGTGTGGTCATTTTTACCATATTGATTCTACCCATCTGTGTGCATGGGAGGTGTTTCCATGTGTTTGTGTCATTTATGACTTCTTTTCAGCAGTCCTTGTAGAGGTCTTTCACCTCCTTGGTTAGGTGTATTCCTAAGTATTATTATTATTATTTTGCAGCTATTGTAAAAGGGGTTGAGTTTTTGCTTTGATTCTCAGCTTTATTGCTGTTGGTGTATAGCAGAGCTACTGATATGTATACATTAATCTTGTATCCTGAAACTTTGCTGAATTTATGTATCAGTTCTAGGAGGTTTTTGGATGAGTCTTCAGGGTTTTCTAGGTATACGATCATATCGTCGGCAAACAGCGATGTTTGACTTCCTCTTTACTGATTTGGATGCCCTTTCTTTCTTTCTCTTGTCTGATTGCTGTGGCTGGGACTTCTAGTACTATGTTGAATAGAAGTGGTGAAAGTGGGTATCCTTGTCTTGTTCCATTTCCCAGGGGGAATGCTTTCAACTTTTCCCCTTTCAGTATAATGTTGGTTGTGGGTTTGTCCTGGATGACTTTTATTACCTTAAGGTATGTCTCTTCTATGCTGATTTTACTGAGGGTTTTAATCTAAAATGTATGCAGATATTTTTATGGCAGGGAAGCATGATAAAGAAATCAATAATATGGCTGGGTGCGGTGGCTTATGCCTGTAATCCCAGCACTTTGGGAGGCTGAGGTGGGTGGATCACCTAAGGTCAGAAGTTTGAGACCAGCGTGACCAACATGGTGAAACCCCGTCTCTGCTAAAAATACAAAGTTAGCTGGGCATGGTGTCACATGCCTCTAATCCCAGCTACTTGGGAAGCCGAGGCAGGAGAATTGCTTGAACCGGGGAGGCAGAGGTTGCAGTGAGCCAAGATTGCATGCACCCTTGCACTCCAGCCTGGGCAATAGAGTGAGACTTCATCAAAAACAAACAAACAAAATCAATAGATTTTCTAGTATAAATATAAGTTGCTTTAGGATATATTCTGTGGTGAAATAGAATTGAAATACAAGTCAAGCAGAAAAAGCAATGATGTAAATTTTTTGGCTTTTGAAAAAGAGTTTGCTTATGGTGCATTTGTGTGTGTGTGTGTGTAAAATGTAACATGCAAACAAAAGTGCATCAAACAAAGAAACATAGGCTTGTTTATGTATTCTGTTTTTAAGTGGATAATGATGGGAATAAAATCTCTATTCTATTTAGGACCTACTGGATTCACTTAAAAGACTGATGAGATAGGCCGGGCATGGTGGCTCACACCTGCTAATCCCAGCACTTTGGGAGGCTGAGGCAAGTGGATCACCTGAGGTCAGGAGCTGAACACCAGCCTGGCCAACATGGCGAAACCCCGTCTCTATTAAAAAAAAGACAAAAAACAAAAATTAGCCAGGCATGGTGGCGGGCACCTGTAATCCTAGCTACTTGGGAGGCTGAAACAGGAGAATCGCTTGAACCCGGAAGGTGGAGGTTGCAGTGAGCCGAGATTGCGCCATTGCACTCCAGCCTGGGCAACAGAGTGAGACCGTCTCAAAAAAAAAAACAACAAAAAACAAACAAACAAAAGACTAATGAAACAGTTTTATTTAAACAAATCTATCTACCTAGCTACCTACCTACCTCCTTACTTACCTACCTACCTATCTATCTATATCTGATCTATCTGTCTGCATATTTACATGCCTAAAATGATATCTTCTGCAACTATTTAAACTGGAGACAAAAATGTTTTAAATGTCAACTTACAAATGAGTGATGGGGCACCTAGTTTTTCAAAGTTCTTTTTTTTTTTTTTTTTCCTGAGACGGAGTCTTGCTCTGTCACCTAGGCTGGACTGCAAAGGTGTGGTCTTGGCTCACTACAACCTCCGCCTCCCGGGTTCATGCCATTCTCCTGCCTCAGCCTCCCGAGTAGCTGGGACTACAGGTGCACGCCACCACACCCGGCTAATTTTTTGTATTTTTAGTAGAGACGGGGTTTCACCATGTTAGCCAGGATGGTCTCGATCTCCTGACCTTGTGATCCACCCACCTCAGCCTCCCAAAGTGCTGGGATTACAGGCGTGAGCCACTGTGCCCTAGGTTACTCTTTTAGATCAGAAGCTATTGTAAGATTCACATAGCAAAAGACAAAAACCAAAATAAAACAAGAAAGGAAACAAACCAACAAAACCAGATAGAGTGTAAGAAGTTTTCAGGACATGAAGAATGAATTTGGGAGCATGAAAACATGAACATTTAAGATGTAATTTCCTTAAAAAAAATCACAAGGCCAGTGTGTTATCACGAATGAGGAGCTCAGATAGTTGTACTTCTGACTTTTAAAGTAGTCGGTAGAAAGAAAGAGACTCTAAAGATTATGTGTGTGTATTTATCAGAAAGAAATGATTTACTTTTCTAAAATTGTCCTTGAGCCAGATGCGATATCTCACACCTATAATCCCAGCACTTTGGGAGGCGGAGGCAGGCGGATCACTTGAGCTCAGGAGTTTGAGACCAGTCTGGACAACATGGAGAAACCCTGTCTCTGTCAAAAAACAAAAGAAAACCAAAAATTAGCCAGGCATGGTGGCATGCGCCTGTAATCTCAGCTAGTTGAGAGGCTAAGGCAGGAGAATTGCTCGAGCCTGGGAGGCAGAGGCTGCAGTGAGCCAAGATCGTGCCATTGCACTCCAGCCTGGGCAATAGGAGTGAAACCCACTCCCAAAACAACAATAACAAACATTGTTCTTGAATATGAGGTAGTTGCACAAAGAAACTCCTGGTGGGTCCCCAGATGCATAGGGAATGTCAGAACATCATATGGGAGACAGTTGGGACTCAAACCCAGGGGATTTTAACAACTCAAAGTGGATTCTCATACATGTTTCCCTGAACTAGGGAAAGGCAGTATGGCCCAGGTGGCCTGGGCAGTCACAGTGGCTTGTGCTTATATCATGGAATAAATTACATTTAATAAGGCCAACACATTGGCTGGGGCAGTAACTCTTAACCGAGGGCAATGTTGCCCTCCAGGTGGCATTTAGCACATTTGCCACGTGGGTATCTAGTGGGTAGAGGCCAGGGATGCTACTTAACATCCTGCAACACACAGGGCACGAGGCATCACAACTACAAAGGACTCTCCAGCCCCAAGTGCCAGTCATGCCAAGGCTGAGAAACCCGGGTCTAGAGAATTTGTTGTATCAGCCAGAGAGTAGAATGTGGAAAAATTCAGATGTAAAAAAAAAAAAAAAAGAAAAAAAGAAAGTCCCCTTGCCTCTTCCCCTTACTTCTCCTAGGTCACTACTGTCAATCCTGAGTCTGTATCCTTGGAGAAATTGTATTAGGCACACGTAGTGAGTGTCAGGTCAGTGAAATGTGCCATCCTGTGTGGTATCGTAAAGGCTTTGCTCCCTCAGCCCAGTTCTGAGATGCTTTGAATATATGTCTTGAAAAAGACAAAACTGGCTATAAGATAGTTGACCGGGGTCCCATTGTACCTTGCACAGATGTCTACACAGCACTGTAGCATGCTGTTACAGTTGGTTTGTATACATTTATGTATTTGTTGTGCGTACATTGCAATACATCTGTAATATAATGCTGCAGTGACATATTTATACAATATATAATTGTTCACCAAAATAGGTGTTTCTGTAAGAGATTCCAGGGACAGAGGACATGTGTATTTTAAATATGCTTAGCAAAAATATATTTCGCAAGTTGTTTTTTCTCATTAGCAGGGCCCTGGAAGTGTTAATCATTTTTTCTTAATGTCTCATTTTGGAATTTATTTGCCTATTTTTCTCCTGACTCCTTAAATTACTCTCCAAGTCTCTAGTAATCATTGTCTTTCTCTCATCAGCACTTGTGTCTAGCCTTGACTTTTTTTTTTTTTGCCTGAGGCATGAACTTAATAGGAGAGTGGTTACCATTAAAAAAAGTCATTATTCCCTCTCAGGATCCTAGAGTAATATAACTTAAAGGGTGGAAAAGATTTTAGGTGATTAGAATACCTAATATTTATTGAGTCCTTACTGTGTACAAGGTGTTCTGCCAAACACTCTACCTAGATCAACTAATTTAATTTTATAAGAATGACTCTTTGAGGTATATACCAGTTACTATTATTCCTCCCCACTTTACAGGGACAGTGAGTTTAAATAAATTCAGTATCACATGGTGAGCAGATCTGGGATTTTTTTGAGATAGAGTCTCACTCTGTCACCCAGGCTAGAGTACAGTGGCGTGATGTCAGCTGACTGCAACCTCTGCCTCCAGGGCTCAAGTGATTCTCCTGCCTCAGCCTCCCTAGTAGCTGTGATTACAGGCACCCACCACCACGCCTAGCTAATGTTTGTATTTTTAGTAGAGATGGAGTTTCGCCATGTTGGCCAGGCTGGTCTCAAACTCCTTACCTCAGGTGATCCACCCACCTTGGCCTCCCAAAGTGCTGAGATTATAGGCGTGAGCCACTGCGCCCGGCCTCATATCCAGGATTTGAACCCATAGTCTGACTGTAGAATTTACACTCTTATACCACAATGCCTCTGAGCTGATGTCTGGTCCAGCTGCCTTTGTTTACAGACAAGAAACAAGTCTGGGGAGAGTAAATGTCTTATTTAGAATTGAAAATTGCTAGATAATGGCGGAGGTAGGATGAAACCCAGATAAGATGTCAGGGGCTGCCAGTATTTGGCAGAGTGACCTCGGGCAAGCTCATTGGTCTTCCTGGGCCTCAGTTGACTCTGCTGAGAAATGAGGACGTTGGAACGGATGGTTCATTAAGAGCTTCTTGTTTCTGCATGTTTAAAGGGACAAGTTGCAGCACAGGTTGGCAAACATCTTTTCATTGTAATTGTGAAGTGTTTCAGTTGGATTTTAGTTCACCTGCTTAGGGATATGATTCAGTGGTAAAATTAAGCATGCAGTTGAATATCCTTTTCATGTGAGTGAGAAGGCAGTCATTGTCCCAAAAGACATCTGGATGAATTTGGAGTGGCTGAAACATCGGGGATCACCATTTTAATTTTATTTGCTGTGGGTCTGCTGTGTCTCTTTGGCAAGTCTTGAACCAACTAGGAATCTCTGTATCAGTGCATATTCTATCAAGGAAGAAGCACTTATAAGGAATAATAGGATCATGAAGCTGCAGAAGAGAAAGACAGTCTTACCAATCAAGAAACTTACTTCTAGGCGTGAAAAGGCAATTTAATATCTATTATTTCATCCCTTAGGGAGCTGGTTTCTTATGAAAGACATGATTTTATTAAGGAGGTTTTGGCTAAGTCTGCTTTTGTGCAGCAAGTGGTGCATAATGTTTTTTCCAAATAACTGGCTCACTGTTGGAAGTTAATGATGCTCTCCAGTGATGGCTTGAGTCTGGAGGAATGATAGTGACCAGCTGTTCTCTATTTCCAAAGAGAGCTGGATGGAAAGAAATGGACTTAAATTGTAGCATGGCTGGGTACGGTGGCTCACACCTGTAATCCCGGCACTTTGGGAAGCCGAGGTGGGTGGATCACGAGGCCAGGAGTTCGAGACCAGCCTGGCCAACATGGTGAAACCCTGTCTCTACTAAAAATACAAAAAATTAGCCGGGCGTGGTGGTGGGCGCATTTAATCCCAGCTACTCGGGAGGCTGAGGCAGGAGAATTGCTTGAACCCAGGAGGCGGAAGTTGCAGTGAGCCAAGATTGCACCACTGCACTCCAGCCTGGGTGACAGAGCAAGACTCTGTCTTGGGGCGGGGGGTGGGGGGAATAATTGTAGCATGAAGTCAGGGATATTTCAGGAGGGCCCCTGGAAAGGTTTATTCTAGAGTAAATATGATTGAGGGAAAGTCCAGGGGAGGGAGCAGTCATTGAATTCAGGGTCTTTGGAAATCCTAGCTTTTAGATCCTGGATTGAGAAATTAATAATTTCTCAATTATTAATATTTCTCAATAATTAAATCCTCTATAGATCCTGGATTGAGAAATTAATAATTGCTGCTACCTTTTTTTTTTTTTCCATCTTACTGCCTGAGAGGTAGGGAAGCCTGATATGTTTTCTTGGAGATATTTTATGGAATTGGAATGTGAGGGGTGTTGGACCACACTGAGATGGGCTGGGCCACAACCAAAGCACCACAAGACCATATGCAAGGAATAGGCTCATGGACTCTGAGGAGGCTCCTGCAAAGATCATTGCTGTCACTCTGAGCTATGGTTTTTCTCTTTAGGAGGCTGGGAGAAATGAAAGACCCTGAGATGACCTCCCTGGGATGGTGACCTCCCAGGGATAAAGGAGAGAGCCAGAGAGTGCTTGGACCAAGAGCAGATCCGTCCCCAGCATCACTCAGGCCTGACTTCCTAGGCCTGACCTTGGAAGTTTTGGGACAGTTGTCTACGGTGAAGCTCCTCTCTTAAATTTGCTTTTTAAGGATTTAGGGAGTTGGGGAGCCCCAGGGCCTCCAAGGTTCTATTCTTTGCAGGTTTGCTTGTTCTGCACTGGTACGCAATAACAAGGGAGGTGCCTTTTGTCTATCTTAGGGCTACGGCTGCCTTCTGGGTGGGCACTCAACAAAGAGGTGAGACAGTGTAACAGGGTTGGTTTGGTAGGACCTTGAGCTACCTGCCCCAGATGCCCCATTTGACAAGCCCAGTGTGGCCTGGTGCCTGAAGAGGACATGGGGGAGGGTCCCTCTCTAACCATTATTCACAGCGTGGTTGCCGGGTCCATGGCACAGGTGCTATGGGGCACCCACTGCCTTCTGACGTGTTGCTTCCTGCATAGCAATGCTACAAGACACTGGCACTCCACACTCTCATAATTGGGGTATTGGGACCCTTAGAGTTTATGTGATGAGGAGTTGGCATTTTATTTTATTTTATTTTTGGGGTGGAGTCCCACTCCGTCACCCAGGCTGGAGTGCAGTGGCACAATCTTGGCTCACTGCAGCCTCCACCTCCTGGGTTCAAGAAATTCTTGTGCCTTGGCCTCCCGAGTAGCTGGGCTTACAGACGCCTGCCACCACGTCCAGCTAATTTTTGTATTTTTAGTAGAGATGGAGTTTCACCATGTTGGCCAGGCTGGTCTTGAACTCCTGACCACAAGTGATCCACCCACCTTGGCCTCCCAAAGTGCTGGGATTACAGGCGTGGGCCACTGCGCCCAGCCAGCATTTTATTTTTAAAGACCTCAGATGGTCAGTTTCCAACAAGAAAACCGCTGTGCATTGGCAAAGGTGAACATTCTCAAACCACATGAGGCACGGACAGGAGACCGTGAACATATTTTGGGAGACAAGCCTGACTGTTGGCCTGGCACTCCCAGCCCCCAAACACTAGTGGTTTTTGTGGGCTTGAGGCTCCCTGACTCCCGATTCCTCTGGGAGGAAGACAAAGTCTTGCTTCAAGAAGAGGGGGTGGCACAAAGTGGGGAAGGAAGGAAGAAGAAAGGGTAGCAAAACACTCAGGAAGGAGACGGATGATGATGATTATTTTTGTATTTTTTCTTTTCGGTTTCATGCTTCAGATTTCCAATGTCATTATCCACAGTGTGGGGGAGGAAGTGATACACATCACCTTCTCTGTGCCGTGATGGGAAGTAACAGCCTTTGTCTTGACGCATGAGCCCACGTGTATGCTGTTGCTCTGTTGAGCATCTGGGGTGGTGTGGCTCTGAGGCCTGCCCAGAGCCCTGCAAACAGTCCCTGTCTGTCCCCATCCCTTTCCCCCTTCCTCCCCACGTTCATACTCTGACTGCGTGAGTGAGTATCTGGCGCCCCTGCCTCCCCTCCTACCCTTCTGTGTTTCCCTGCAGGCCTGGGCCTCTGTATTGATAGGGCCACAGCATTCCCCCGGGAAGATCTTCCTCTTTGTTTGGGGGCATCCTTCCCTGTTCCTATGAAGGAGAGGGCGGGAATGAGTATATGTGATTGATGGGCAGAAGGTTAATAAGGGCCTAGAGATTCAGTTTAAATAGTCAGGGGTAAGTGCTCTGAAGTTGCAGTGACTCTTATTAGTTGCTCTATAGGAAAAGGTAGATGTTTAATAGATATTCCTTTAGGGTAGTCGGCTCATTTTTTATTCATTCGTTCTTTCGTTTGTTTAGCATTTATTGAGAACTTGCTCTATTGCAGTCACTGTGCCGAGTGCCAGGGGTTTGAAGAAGTGATGGGAGATGGCCTGTGTGTGTAAGGAAGTTGTGTTTTAGCGGAGAGGTGGGCAAAGTACATGGGTGCCTTAAATTCGGCCTGCTGCCTGTTTTTGTAAATAAAGATTTGTTGGAACACAGCCATTCCTATTTGCAGAAATATTGCATGTGATTGCTTTTGGACTACAGTGGCAGAGTTGAATAGCTTCAACAGGACTCTGTGGCCCCAAAGCCTAAAATATTTACTATCTGGCCCTGTAGAGAAGAAGTCTGCTGGCCCCTGATGCAATGTTTATGACACGGTTTTCTGAGGTCTGGTGACAGTGGACTGCTTGAGCAAGAACCATCGGGACCACTGTGCTGGAGGAATGCTCTCTGGAATGTCCAGTGTTCCCAACTGGCTGATTTCCAGGGGATCACCACATCACCACTTTGTGGTGGACCCTCCCAAACAGGGCTTGCTCTTCATTTAGGAGCTCTGTGCTGCAGCAGCTCTTCCTTTGCTCAACTTTTGCCTTTGAAGAATCTTCAGGGGCTGGCTTTGCAAGTGAAGTGTGATGAGTTATCTGGGCCCTTTTGCTCCATTCTTCTTGTCACAAAGGAAACAGGTTTCAAGACAGATGGCCAAGCCAAAAGTGTGCAATTTGAGATTGTGAGGGAAAGCTAGCTCAAGCAGCACTCAAATTTGTAACAGTCGCTAGCATCTGTAGTCTAGCAGAGTAAGCTAACTTGGCCTCATGTCCTTGATGGTTCACTTCCAAAGAGTTCTCTGGCTTTGGGGAAGTTCTCTTCATTCTGTTGCATTGTTTCTCCACCCTGGCTGCACATTAGAATCACCTAGAGAGCTTTAAAAAACCCCAATGCCTTGAACATACCCTGGATTAACTACCCCAGAATCTCTGAGGTTGGGGGGTGGAGGGACCCTAGGATAAGGCACCAGTAATTTTTAGAGCTCCCTAGGTGTATTAGTTCATTTTCATGCTGCTGATAAAGACATACGGGAGACTGGGCAATTTACAAAAGAGATGTAATGGACTCACAATTCCACGTGCCTGGAGGGGCCTCACAATCATGGCAGAAAGTGAAAGGCATGTCTGACATGGCGGCAGACAAGAGAAGAGAGCTTGTGCAGGGAAACTCTCCTTTATAAAACCATCAGATCTCATGAGACTTACTATCATGAGAAGAGCATGGGAAAGGCCCGCCCTCATGATTTAATTACCTCCCACCGGGTCCCTCCCACAACATGTGGGAATTGTGGAAGCTACAATTGAAGATAAGGTTTGGGTGGGGACACAGCCAAACCATATCACCAGGTGACTGTGATGTGCAGCCAAAGCCGGGAACCCCTGTTCTAATCGGGATCATGGTTTAATGAAGGATGAGCTGGTGTTTGGAAAAAGCAGACTCCCTTCAAAGGCTCCATGTAACTTTGAGGCTAAGAATTCAACTGAGTTAATGCTTAGGGTTCAGGTCACAGTCAGAAGAGCTCTGGACATAAAGAATGGGGCCCTGGAGCTTGGATGAGGGAAGCCTGGGAGGAGGCTGTCACCTCTGGTGTCTAGCTGCAGCCCTGTCTATGGAAGGCTCATACTTGACATTAGTGTTGGTTCTCAAGACTGCTGATCTTGTTACCAGCCTGGGTTGGGGGCATTTGTCATACTTTCAGGTTCATTTTCCAGTCGGTCATGGGATACTGGTCAGCCTGCAGCTGGGAACTCGGGCCTGTCCTCTGGGCCTGGCTCCTTGGCTCTCATAAAAGAAAGAGGGCAGGCAGGATCTTTCCTGCTTGGAAAGTTTGAGCTTGAGTTTGAATTCTCTCTTGATGCACAGTGCCTGTTGGATCACATACTATGTCTGAAAAATCTCAGGCTGGCAGAGACTTGTGGGAGTCATCTCAGGCAGCCCTCTGCCATCAGACGGGCCAATACTTCATTGAATCCAGACAGATGGTAGGAGTAGAGATTGTTCCCAAAGATATTTGTGAAGCAAGACTTTATACTTTTTTTTTGTAACCTAATTGAGTGTTTAGCTAGCTTGTTAGAAACTTATCTGATCTAAATGTCTTCTGCTGCAATTTAAATAATAGGGAGTAGCTGACATCATTTTTCTTATGCATCTTAGTACCAACCACATGAAAAAGCACTTACTGAGTATCAATTCTTTTGAAAGATACCCTGAGTGCAAAGGATCAAAGTTAATATTGGTTAAGTTTTGTCCTTTAGCCCTTGCATGTCAAGACCAAATCCATACACAGATTATTAACACAAGTGCTTTGTGGAGAGGCTGCGGTTGGATTGCATATTATTGCTTTTTAGCAGTGGCTTGCTCATAAAAGGGGAGAAGAGCCAGTAATCAAAGCTTTGTCAAGGGCCTGTGTAATTTTAGAGTTGGCCCAAACGTGTTCTGTTTGCAGAATAACCATTTGTTTCTTTCTTTGGAGAACAGCTGCTCAGAATGTGGGAGCAGGGAGAGAATTGTCTTCAGGCCAAGCCCTCAACCATTTAGTGAGCACTTACTATGTGTAAGGCATTGTGGGAGAGCAGGCAAAGAAGCAAGATATAATCCCTCCCTGCAAGGAGCTCAAGGTCGGCTGGGGAGAGAAGTCACATTTGCCTGTCATTATGAGGCGGGTCAGCATGTGGTTGTTAAGAACGTAATGAACAAAAGGTGCTGGAAACTCAGTGACAGGGAGGTTACTTCTAGTTGGGGAATTAGGACTTCTTCATGGATGAGCTTGGGTGGGAGGGATAGGTTGAGTTTTGACAAGTAAGGATGGGAGTGGGGAAGACGGGGTAGGGGAAGGAAATGCGTTACAGGCAGAGGGAACAGAAAATTGGAAGCATAAGAGTGGAAAATACAGGGCTGTTGGCAACATAGTTATTCGTTTGGTTGGGAGGTGATGCCAGAGAGGTAGGTTGAGGCCCGTACGTGATCAACCTATAGTTCCTTAGAAAGGAGTTGTGCTCTGTTCTCTAGGTTGATGGGGAAGTTTCTGGAGACGTTTTTGAGAAGGGGACAGGATCAGAGCTGTGCTTTTAAGAAATACATTCTGTTGGTAGCAGATGGACTGGCCATGCGTGTGCACAGGGGGAGGCTGGCAGTTGAGAAACAGGATGGAGGTTCTTGCACTTAGGTGAAAGGTAATAATGAGGTTTTGACTTTGGACAGAGGCATAGGAGATAGGAAGTGTGAGAGACAGTCCTGCTGGAGAGTCTAGAGGACTTGGCAGTCCTTTGATTGTGAAAGTAGTCAAGCAAAGCTGTTCAAGCTTACAACAGGAACTGTGTGTCTGGGGCCAACTGCCCTGGGGCTGTTAAAGGGTTTGGCATCACCGTTCTGCCTTATGGACTGAGGGGGACTCTACCGGAAATGAGGAGGCCAGGGGTCTCTTAGGCTTACTTACATCAGGTCTGTCTTGTTTGAGTGAGTTTGTACTTTGGAATCTGCATGTGTTGGGGTGGTCTCCATGGCAACCAGACACCTACAGCTAGTTGTACTGGTGGTGATGTTTCCTGCTTCTCTGCTTTTGGTGATCCATATCTATGAGGATTAGATTTGACTGAGAATAATTGAGACCTGAAACATAGTGGCTAAAACAAGAAAGACCCCGGAGTCTCTCCAAGCAAGATGGTGGAGGAGCCGCAGTCCATGTTGCAGCTTCCTCCCTCAAGTGCTACTGGAGGGGAAGGACTTACGGAGGTCTCCCCAGAAACAACCACTCTGGAGCCCCCGTCTTCCACTGCAGTTTCTCCGGGAACAGAGGAACCTGCTGGCGACACCAAGAAAAAAATTGACATTTTGCTAAAGGCTGTGGGAGATACTCCTATTATGAAAACAAAGAAGTGGGCAGTAGAGCGAACATGAACCATCCAAGGACTCATTGACTTCATCAAAAAGTTTCTTAAACTTGTGGCCTCAGAACAGTTGTTTATTTATGTGAATCAGTCCTTTGCTCCTTCCCCAGACCAAGAAGTTGGAACTCTCTCTGAGTGTTTTGGCAGTGATGGTAAACTGGTTTTACATTACTGCAAGTCTCAGGCATGGGGATGAACCACAAAGAAAATCAACTTGCTACATTAAATGGATTTTCACAGAAGAGACAGCTCTGAAAAGTTGTGATGCTTGTGGCAAGAGACTTAACAGATGTGATCTATTCAGTACGTGTCTACTCTATGTTTATGCATAAGAAAACATCCATAGCATGAATGGACTCAAAAAAATGTGATTTGTATTAATACGCCAGTCATCATAAAAGATGGTCATTATAGTACCCCCATTGCTCCTGCTTGTTACTATTATTGCTGCAGATCTGCTTCCAAGGTTGAAAAGGAGACTAAGACTGTATAAGCGTCTTCATTGCCAGTTCTCAAAAAAAAGAAAAAACAAAAAACAAGAAAGACCCCTCTTCTGTAGAAGAAATCTAGAGACCATGGCTGGGAAAATAGGTTCATGGAGTCAGCAGGGATCTAGACTCCTTTTTGGCTCACTGCTTTGCCCAAGAGGGCAGCCTTTGTCTTTCTGACCCAAGGTAGTTGCTGGAGCTCAAGTCATCACATCTGCCTTCCATGCTACAAAGTGGCAGGAGGGAGGTAGATTCCCTGAAAGTCCTGCACAGCAGGTCCACTTACATTTCATTGGCCACAACTTATTCATATGACCTAAGGTAGCTGCAAGGAATGCTGCGACACATGTTCTTTTAGCTATGCAGCAGCTTGCCCAGCTAAATGTTGATATTCTATTACTGAAAGAGAGGGCAGACGGAAACTGGAGCAGGCACTCAGCACTCTTGTGGCCACACAGCCTAGTGCGGAGAGAACTTTTAGTCTTCATTCTGTTATTGATTTACCTTCTTGGTGTATATTTTGTATGTTGCTTTTAAAATGAGTTCTTTCTTTCTTTAGTTTCATTTGAAAGGAAGAAGTAATACATGAACTTGGTAAGAAATTCAAGTAGTACAAAGGATATACGATAAAAATAAGTCCCTTAGTCTCTTTGTATTAGCTAGGACTTTTGGGATCATGAATGATAGAAAACCTAACTCAATCTGGCATAAAGAAGAAATAAAATGTATTGGTCTATGCAATTAAAATATCCAGGAGTAGAACTGGTGTCTGGGCACTGCTAGACTCTGTGGATCAAAGGATGTCACCAGCACCTGGTTTTTCTCCATCTCCTGGTCCTGCTTTTCCCTGTGTGGCTCCACTTTCAGGCTGTTTCCCATGACAGGCCAGTTACTCCTGGCCCATGAAACTTGAGCAGGATGTGTGCTCATCCCTGAATACTAATGTATGTTGCCAGGGGATGTAGTGTATTAATGGCCAAGCCTGGGCCATGTGTCCTGTTCTCCCTCCTCCCACCATTAGAGTAAATAACAAAGATAATAAGGATGAATAATGGAGGGAAAAGTGATTCCTCAAAAGCAAATTAAGGTGTTTTTGCCAAGGAGGTGTAATGGATGTTGGGTAGTTAACAGACTGTAAATGTGGAGTATGGTTAGAAAACACCTCAAAACTTAGTAGCTTAAGACAACAATTTATTTCCCCTGGTTCTAGGTTGCTGGGCTCAGCTGGGTGCTTCTTCTGCTGGTCTTGCCTGGGGTCACTCATGAGGCCGCGGTCATTTGGCAGTTCCACTAGACTGGAGAGTATAAGGGCCTCACTCAGGTCTGGGGCCTTGGTGTTTGTTGCCTTTTGCCTGGGCCTCTCCATGTGGTTGCTCATGGTTCAGTAGTGTAGCCTAGGCTTCTTTACATGGCAGTGGAAGAGCTCCAAGAAGGTGAAGGTGGAAACCGGAGAGTCTGTTTCTCTAGTCTCTAGTTCTCAGTAGGCGGAGCTTACAAAATATCATGGCCATGCTTTGCTGTCTACCACCTCTCCTTTGGAGAGATGACACCTGTTCACAGTCCATCCTTCCAGAATCAGTATTCCTTTTTTGGTGCCAGGTGCCTTCATTGTGGCCATTCTCAGCTGTCACTTGATCCCGACACTGGGCTTCCCCTTTGTCTTGTTTTCTCCGTCCTGCCTCTGAGCCTCCCTTTGGGCACCAACTCCCATCCAGTGAGAAGAAATGCTGGCTTTCTAAGTGTCTATTCAGTTTACTAACTTAAACATTGGTGGAAAAAATTTGAAGCCCCAGTTAAGCCTAATGTGTTCTCTGTTTGTAAGCGGCAGAGAAGTAAAACCTTTGTGGGCCCAGATCAGTTGTAGGTGTTCTGGATCTGCTGAGAGGAAAGGATTTGAGCTAAACTCTCAGTCCAAGGGCTGTGTTATTCTGGAAGCAAGAATTAGCTGTTGGGTGAGGTGACATTCTATGGCTGACAGTAACTTAATATCTTCAGAATCTTTTTGCTCGGGGGAAGGATTCCTGACCTCCTGAGAACAGGTGTGTCCAGGCTGTGGAATTGGAAGAGGCAGGGAAGAGAGAACTTTTTTATATTCTAAGCTTCAGCATGACTTGATTTTGTTAACCTGCTCTTGTATTACCTTTATTGGTTTATTTTTATTTTATTTTTTGAGCTGGAGTCTCGCTCTGTTGCCCAGGCTGGAATGTAGTGGTGCGATCTCAGCTCACTGCAACCTCTGCCTCCCAGGTTCAAGCGATTCTCCTGCCTCAGCCTCCCGAGTAGCTGGGATCACAGGCGCCTGCCACCACGCCCAACTAATTTTTGTATTTTTAGTAGAGACGAGGTTTCACCATTTTGGCCAGGCTGGTCTCGAACTCCTGACCTCAAGTGATCTGCCAGCCTCAGCCTCCCAAAGTGCTGGGATTACAGACGTGAGCCACTGAGCCTGGCCTCTTTTTGTTTTTTTAAGGACCCAATAATAATTCTCTTCCACAATCAGGAATCAATCTCTTTCCCCCTTTGCTGGGGAGACTCTGTCTCATTTTATAAATTTAATTTATGGCTATAAAGACACTTTGACTGAGAGCAGGAGGGAGAAAGGGGAAGCCCTGTCTTGGTGTTCCTCAGGCAGGGGTATGGGGCAGAGTAGGGGGATACAGTGCCAAACTGTGTTTTTTCCCCTATCCCCCCTCTGCCAAGTATGGTGAGAAGAGAAGCACGGAGACCAGAGGAGCTGACATTATGGGCTGAGAATCCTTGCTCTCTGCTTTTCCCAGGGCCTGGAGAGGTTTGCTGGCTACAGGGTTGGATGCCGGATGGATCAAGGAGTTTTCTTGGCCTCATTCCACTTCCCTTCCCTGGTGGCTCCCACCCTAAGGAATATGACCTTAGGAGTCCCTGTGAGCACCTTTGCAATACTGCTGCTTTCCTTAGAGGGGGGACCTCCTCTCTGGGCAGCTGAGGCCAGGAAGCAGAACTCCATCCTACACAGTAATAAAGAGAGTGTTTCAGCACAGATGGGGAGTCTGGAGCCCTAGGTTGTATTTCTAGCTGAGCTGCTTAGAGTCCTCAGGATTAGCCACAAGTCCTTTAACCTCCAGGCATCTCAAGGCTCCACAGAGACTGAAATCCTTTCCCTCCCATTTTGTGCAAATGGTGGGAGGATAAATTCAGTCATGACTGTTTAATGCTTCTGTGCCCTCCGGAGAAAAGAAAGAACAAAATACCAGGGAGAGAAACTTTTTTAATAGCTTGTTGGTGGAAGCTGATCTTTGCTGCCACTGTGCCCTGGCTTCTAATCCCACATCTGACTTTGGCTCAGGGCCATGAGCCACAGTGCTTGGTTTCTGCAGACTCACTGAACAGCAAACCAAATGGAACCATCAGGCCCGATGGTGAGAATTGTGTGTCTGACACACAGATGAAGGGGAGGCTTCACACCGACCAGTGCGTAGGTTTTCTTTCTTTTTTTTATTTCCTTTTTTTTTTGCTGTAGCATTTCTTTGGAAACCTCTGTCAATTTCTGAGGCGCTGGTCTTCTTGTAGAGAAATCAACCAAGACAGCCCTGGAGCTAAATGAGTTAGTTCTCCAGGAGTGTGGAAAAATTAGATACCTGTTAAATGCATAAACAAGGGGAAACCAGATTAGTATTGTATTTAAGATGGAGGAAGGGACACACGGTCATTGCCTGTGCATAAACTTTAAACAGATTACAGACGTGAATTTGCTGAACACTTTGTAATTATGCATGAAGATTTCTGTGTGGGGGAGAGTATCCATGGGCTGATGGCAGCGAACACTTGCATCTTATGGGCTCAGGAGCCCCAAATATTATTATGTGACATTGGTTTATTGCTTTATACTTTTTGAAGCACTTTCTCATCCGTTACCTCATCTGACCCTTGCAATAATCTTGTGGCCATAGGTTTTATTTTTAATTTTAATTTTAATTTTTTTTTTGAGATGAGCCTTGCTCTGTTACCCAGGCTGGAGTGCAGTGACACGATCTCGGCTCATTGCAACCTCTGCCTCCCGGGTTCAAGTGATTCTCCTGCCTCAGCCTTTAGAGTAGCTGGGATTACAGGCACGCGCCACTGCACCTGGCCTTGAAAAGCTTCTTTTACCCTCTGAAAATACATTTTGACACAATTCGTTAAAGTCTTGCAGCATTTAATTATATTAGAGTTTATAAGAGTGAAAGATACATGAGGTTCTATTAGCAGCGTAGGCCTTCCAGTAATTATTTCATAAGGGGTCAATCTGTATATCCCAGTGAGAATGGATCTGATTGCCATTAGTGCTAACGGTAGTACCTTTGGCCAAGTCAATCCAATTGATTCAGTTACCTTCGTCAAATTCATTTTTAAAAATGCCTTTTGTCATTTTTATCTTTCCAAAAGACTGAGGGTGATAGAGACAATGCTAGTACCTTGTGCTTCTAACATTTTAACTCTTTTATAATTTGTCCAAATGGATTCCTGTGTCACTAGAGATTTTGACAGGGATGTCTCCTCAAGCAGGGGCCCCCAACCCCCAGCAGGCCCCCAAGACTTACTGGTCTGTGGCCTGTTAGGAACTGGGCCACACAGCAGGAGGTGAGTGGCGGGTGAGTGAGCAAAGCTTCATCTGTATTTGCAGCCACTCTCCATTGCTCTCATTACCTCCTGAACTCCTCCTGTCAGATCAGCAGCAGAATTAGATTCTCACAGGAGCACAACTCCTATGGTGAACTGCACGTGCAAGGGATCTAGGTTACGGTCTCCTTATGAGACTCTAACGCCTGATGATTTGAGGTGGAACAGTGTCATCCCAAAACCATCCCCCACCCCCAATCCGTGGAAAAACTGTCTTCCACGAAACCAGTCCCTGGTGCCAAAAAGGTTGGAGACCACTGCCATAAAGGAAATAAATTTTGTAATAACTTCCTTGCTACTGTCATAGCATTAGCTTTTCTACATGGAAAGTTTCTATCCAACCAGGAAACATGCAAACTGTTGCAAGACATACTGATATCCTATTGAAGGTGGCAATTTAATGAAATCCCTCTGTAGATGTTCAAATGGCCTATCAGGTAGCAGAAGTGTATCACCTAAAGTTTTTTTTTTTTTTTTTGAGACAAGCTCTGGCACTATCACCCAGGCTAGAGTGCAGTGGTGCAATCTTAGCTCACTGTAACCTCCTCTGCCTCCCAAGTGGAAGCCATCCTCCTACCTCTGCCTCCCAAGTAGCTGGGACTACAGGCATGCATCACTACACCCAATTTTTGTATTTTTTTTTATAGAGATGGGGTTTTGCTATGTTGCCCAGGGTGGTCTCGAACTTGTGAGCTCATGTGATCTGCCTGCCTAAGCCTCCCAAAGTGCTGGGATTACAGGTATGAACTACTGCGCCCGGCCTCATCTGAAGTTTTGATTGTCTTTCCAGGATTATGAGTTTGACAAACTAAGCACTCACTGGTTACAAACCATCCTAGTAATTCTAGAACAGTCGCCACACCATTATTTTTCCATAATTTGTTTCATTTTGTCTGTGGTATGAAGAGTCATGGAACAGAGGATTTTTTTTGTTTTGTTTTGAGGCAGGGTTTCAGTCTGTCACCCAGGCTGGAGTGCAGTGACGTGATCACACGAGGTCACTGCAGCATTGACCTCTTGGTCTCAAGTGATCCTCCCACCTTAGCCCCCTGAGTAGCTGGGACCACAGGCTTGGGCCACTACACCCGGCTAATTTTCGTGTTTTTTTGTAGAGATGGGGTTTCACCATGTTGCCTAGGCTAGTCTTGAACTCCTGAGCAGAAGCAATTCACTCGCCTTGGCCTCCCAAAGTGCTGAGATTGTAGGCATGAGCCACTTGCCCAGCCTGCACAGAACTTTTAATAATGGAAGCTTTAAGGACTCAGAAAAGACCAAGTAGTTGTCTAAGCCCTCTATGAGTCTACGCTTAATGTTGAATTTACATCCTTTCAAGTACAAGTTTTATTTCTCCAATTAAGATGCATAACCCTGTCCAATGAATAGGTCATCATAGGTGATTTGACTTGGATAAATCTTAGGGAGTTCATTCAGCTTCTATATCTTAACAATTTCACAATCAACTGACTTAGCATGAAAATCTGACTTAGCATTTAAGTAATTCTTGTTCTTTTGATGGTGGGTTAACAGTTTTATGAACCAGTGAGTTTCTTCATACGAGTTCTGAGAATTTTTTTTTCCTTGAGACAGAGTCTTGCCCTGTTGCCCAAGCTGGAGTGCAGTGGTGCAATCTCAGCTCACTGCAACCTCTGCCTTCTGGGTTGAAACGGTTCTCTGGCCTCAGTCTCCTGAGTAGCTGGGACTACAGGTACCTGCTACCACTCCCGGCTAATTTTTGTATTTTCAGTAGAGACGGGGTTTCACCATGTTGGCCAGGTTGGTCTCGAACTCCTGACCTTGGGATCTGCCTGCCTTGGCCTCCCAAAGTGCTGGGATTACAGGCATGAGCCACCACGCTCGGTGAGTTCTGAGAATTCTTACCCAGTTTAATGATACGATCTTAAAGTAATCACAAACCTGTACTTGTCAGAATCTTTTCCGTGAGCCTCCTTGAAGACAAAACTATATAGGCTTATAGTTGCTTAGGAAAGTACCGAGCAAACAACCGTCTGTGAGTGACAGGACTTAAAATGTCCATGGTTAAAGAGCTGTTGAAATTTCATTCAATAATGACACAATTGACAAGGAAATTTAGTTGTTTCTGTGGAATACAACCATTTAACATAATAACTGAAATTATGGCTGATCACGTATCAAATTTCTAAAAATTGTAAACAATTTTCTAGAACACATATGAGTAAAATTCAAAGAAGGTTCAGCATTACTTATTATTTGACAGTACTTCCCATATAATTTAGTATACTAAATAAGCCTAATTCGTATAATATCTCCCCTTTACAAGGTGAGAGATGTATCCTTTGAGGCTTTCTCAGGGCCCAGCAAGAGAATCCCAAAGTTAATTCTTGGTCAGAAAGACTAAATTTAGAGTTTGATTTTGGTTTAAATATCACCAAGGTTTAAAACATTTCATCAAAATGGGATCACAAGTAACTATGAAATAATAGTCATTAATTTAACCAGAGTGATAAAGACTTCAAAGGTGAATATAAAAAGCAACATATTTGGAGGAAAAACCTTAGCTCTTTAATAGTTTTCTATAGTTATCAAAAACCTGATAAAGACAACGTGAAGGACAAAAAGTTATTTTGGTAGAACGCAGTCTTCATTTCCTTTGCCAGTTTCCTAAAAGGTAAAGAAACCCCCCAACTTTTTTTTTTTTACCTTGTTTTCTTTTTTTTTCTTTTTTCTTTCTTTTTTTTTTTTTTTTTTTTGAGATGGAGTTTCATTCTTGTTGCCCAGGCTGGAGTGCAGTGGCGTGATCTCGGCTCACTGCAACTTCTGCCTCCCGGCTTCAGGCGAATTCTCCTGCCTTAGCCTCCCAGGTAGCTGGGATTACAGGCACCCACCACCATGCTTGGCCGATTTTTGTATTTTTAGTACAGACAGGTTTCACCATGTTGGCCAGGCTGGTCTTGAACTCCTGACCTCAGGTGATCCACCTGCCTCAGCCTCCCAAAGTGCTGGGATTACAGGGGTGAGTCACCACGCCCTGCTGATCACAATAAAATTTCTTTCACATGATTCACCGTCCACAAACCTCCTACAACCTTCTTATATTCCATCAGTTTTTTATTTATCCTATCTATACCTTCCCTCTTTCTCATTTTGGGGCAACCTGTCATTCTACGTTAGGGTGAAAATTACTCTTTTTTTCCTTAACAAAGACACATATTTCATACCTCATAGCTTCACTTAACAAAAACATATCTTTTTTTTCCTTGCATATGGAGTTGTTTCCCATATTATTTCCAGTTTTTTTTTTTTTTTGGAGACAGTTTCAGTCTTGTCGCCCAGGCTGGAGTGCAATGGCGCGATCTCGGCTTACTGTAACCTCAGCTTCCCAGGTTCAAGTGATTCTCCTGTCTCAGCCTCCTGAGGTGGCAGCCGCCCCCATGCCCGGCTAATTTTTGTATTTTTTGTGGAGACAGGGGTTCACCGTGTTGGTCAGGCTGGTCTCGAACTCCTGACCTCAGGTGATCTGCCTGCCTCAGCCTCCCCAAAGTGCTGGGATTACAGGCGTGAGCCACTATGCCTGGGCTTATTTCCAGTTTTCACTAGCTTATATTGATTAGAATTTTAAACTGTTACTAACCTCAATTTCTAGTGAAAACATAAGAAGTAAAACAATTTTAAACTGTTATATACTAACATTTCATGAATATACATTTGTAATTTCTAGAAATATGTGCTTCCTCCTAGAACAATGTTTTCATGTTTATGAACAAACCCAAATATATTCAGCTTCTCTATATTGTACAAAACCAAGATGCCAAAGTATTTATACTTGAAACTTATGTTTAGCAGTTAATGTTCTAGTATTTTAACTAAGAAATGACTCAGACATTTTATAAATATCTATTACTTTAAAATTCCAAATTGCTGCAAAAGATTTTTGAAACAATGACAAATTCATTTATAAACTTTTATGCTGTCCATATTCACCTAATTTATTCTTTTTTTTTTAACAGTTATTATTTAATTGCTCACTAAACAAAACTAGCCATTGAAAGCATTCAGGGAATGCCACCCCAAAATGTGTTGCTTTGGTAGTCACATTTTTGGTATATTAATTACTTTGAGTTGAAGGCAAAACACAGGGCAAGGCCTCCTGAGTTCTCTTTCATCTGCCAAAAGACAGATCCTACAAAAGGAACTCAACTGCGTCAGTCTTCTGAAGATTAACCCTTTTTTATTTTTTTGAGACAGAGTTTCGCTCTGTCAGCCAGGCTGGAGTGCAGTGGTGCGATCTCGACTCACTGCAACCTCCACCTCCCAGGTTCAAGCAATTCTCTTGCCTCTTTCTCCCTAGGAGCTGGTATTACAGGTGCCTGCTACCATGCCTGGCTAATTGTTGTATTTTTAGTAGAGAGGGGGTTTCGCCATGTTGGCCAGGCTGGTCTCAAACTCCTGACCTCAGGTGATCTGCCCGTCTGGGCCTGCAAAAGTGCTGGGGTTACATATGTCAGCCACTGCACCCGGCCAAGATTAACTCCTATCACAGGAGACGAGATCAGAAGGCCACCCCAGCTGGCCCATCATCCATTCTTCCAAGGACCTATCTATCTTTTCCGCATTTACTCTGCGGATATTTTCTTTATCCCCCGACTGTTTTCATTCTAGCAAGGGGGTTAAATCAGAGGACACTTCGATTACTCATTATTGCCCCCAGGGATTGTCAGCTAGCCTGATAACCAGATTTCAGGCCAAAATAGTATTATTTGCCAAGACAAACAAACACGCAAGCCTGGTGAAGACAAAATGGTGAAAGGCAAGGCCTGTGAAACAAAGTTAAGTCTTGACCTTCTCCATTTTGAAAGTTTCTAGTGATTTAGGGTGCAAAGAGGGACACACCCCACAAATGGAGACTTTTCCCACAGAAGTAAATTTCTTTTACAAAAAAAAAAAAAAAAAAGAGTCTAAAACGAAATAACTAAAATAACTAAAGATAGGCAGCTTCCCAAGCCAGCCTGTGTTTTCTTTTTTTGGAGATAGAGTCTTGCTCTGTCCCCCAGGCTGGAGTGCAGTGGCACGATCTTGGCTCACTGCAACCTCCATCTCTGGGGTTCAAGCGATTCTTGTGCGTCAGCCTCCCAAGTAGCTGGGACTACAGGCACCTACCAATGTTCCCGGCTAATTTTCGTATTTTTGTAGAGACAGGGTTTCACCATGTTCGCCAGGCTGGTCTCGTACTCCTGACCTCAAGTGATCTGCCCGCCTCGGCCTCCCAAAGTGCTAGGATTACAGGCGTGAGCCACCGCGCCTGGCCTCAGCCTGCATTTTCTAACTAGATTACTGAATTCAGGTGGAAACCCATTATGAACAGGGCTGAATTTAAGATTTTCACCAAACCATAAAAGTGGCTAAAGAAGCAGACCTCGTTGATCTGAGAGCTTAACTTTTATAAATCACTTTTATTTGTTTTTGTTTTTAAGATTGGAAGGTTACTAAGAGAAAAAGTAAATTCAGACTAGGCAGAGGAGGATAGAAAGATAGAGAAAAGGTGCGGTCAGAATTGTCAGTCAACATAAAATATTTTTTCTCATCAATGAGTCACTTAAGCTTTCTATTTGCCTTTTATAAAGAATCTATTAAAAGAGGCAATGTTTGATTCATTTAATCATTTAGATGCCCCTGCAAACCAGTTAAAAGTGCATCCTGGCCAGGTGCAGCGGCCCCTGCTGTAATCCCAGCACTTTGGGAGGACAAGGCGGGTGCGTGGCTTGAGCCCAGGAGTTCAAGACCAGCCTGGACAACATGGCGAAACCCCATCTTGATATACATGTATATACATCTCCCACAAAAAATTAACTGGGCATGGTTGCAGGTGCCTGTACTCAGGAGGCTGAGGCAGGGAGGATCAATTGAGCTCAGGAGGCAGAGGTTGCAGTGAGTTGAAATCATACCGCTGCACTCCAGCCTTGGTGACAGAGCAAGACTGTGTCTCAGGAAAAGAAAAAAAATGCATCCCATTGTTTTTTGGGGTGTTTTGATTCTTCCTTTTCTAATGTGCCTCACAAATAAAAATTAAATATAGTTTAAAGCTTCCCCACTGTGGCCACTGTAAGTCTTCTTGGTAAAGTTCTCTCTTTCTCTAGAAAAGCACAGGTTCTGGGTTCATAGTTCTTGTACATGAAATTGGCAGGAGTTCCAGTTAGAGGAGTAGATAGGAGGATAGATTCATGGAGACCCCTTGGATCCAGGTGAACCCATGACTCCCTGTCTTCTCGTAACCTTCCCCACCTACCAGATCCAAGCCAGCTTGTTTGACCCAGGCAGGCACCTGAGGCCTCCCTACAGGACTCAGTCCCGTCTTTGTCATGACTTTGACTTTTGCCAGTGACTTGCCAGCCACCACAGATCCCAGAAGCTCACGTGCTCTCATCCAGCACAATCTAATCCTGGATGCAAAAGCCAAAAAAAGATCAGGGACTCAATGTAAAAAGAGCAGAGTCCAGCCGGGTGCGGTGGCTCATGCCTGTAAACTCAGCATTTTGGGAGGCCGAGGCGGGTGGATCACTTGAGGTCAGGAGTTCCAGACCAGCCTGGCCAACATGGTGAAACCCCGTCTCCACTAAAAATACAAAAATTAGCTAGGCATGGTGGATGGCGCCTATAGTCCCAGCTACTCGGGAGGCTGAGGCAGGAGAATTGCTTGAACCAGGGAGGTGGAGGTTACATTGAGCCAAGATTATTCCACTGTACTCCAGCCTGGGTGACAGAGCGAGACTCCGTCTCAAAAAAAAACAAACAAACAAAAAACCAGAGTCCAATCTGAGAGGCATTCACCACCCTCGGGGCTCTGTGGGGAAGATGGGACCTCACGGGGCCAGCGGTGCCTCTCCTGTGCCCTCCAGGGGCCTTGGGAGTTGCCAGCAGTGTCCTCTGTGCCCCATAGTGGGCACCAAAAGTATCAGAAAGACAATTACAGCAAATTTAAAGATCTTAATTGACCTTTATTTACGATTCAAAAATCAGGCAGCCCACAGAACCGGAATGGCTTGAGAAGCCCAGGGCTGCAACGTGGTCAGGGGACATTTATGGACAGAAGATGGAAGGGCTGCACAGAGATAGCCTAATTGGTTACAGCCTGGTGTTTTGCCTTATTTGAACCAGCTGGCTGCCTATGATTGACTGACGCTCAGCTGCTATGATTGATTAAGATTTGGTGGCTTACTAATCCCAGCACTTTCAGAGGTTGAGGCAGGAGAATCGTTTGAGCCCAGGAGTTCAAGACCAACCTGGGCAACATAGGGAGGTCTCCGCTCCCCTCCACCCCTGCCCCTCGCCCCCTACCCGCCTTCCCTCATTTCTACATACACAAATTATCCAGCCATGGTGGCAATGTGCCTGTCGTCCTAGCTAATCGGGAGGGTGAGGTGAGAGGATTGCTTGAGCCCGGGAGGTTGAGGCTGCAGTGAGCTGTGATTGTACCACTGCACTCCAGCCTGGGCAACTGAGTGAGACCCTCTCTAAAAAAAAAAAAGAAAAAAAAGTGTACTCCTAAGCTAGGCTTTCAGTTAGTCTATGTCCCAGGCCAGGTTGCAGTTGCCGGGTGAGACTCAATTGTGCAGACATCCTCAGGCTTAAACAGGTCCTACCTCCTGTGGACCTCTGCTTCCTTTGAGAGCCTTAATGTGCCCAAATATGTGCATGAACTCCCCTCTGCCCCACCCCAATGTCACGCATGAATGAATGTGGAGCACTCTAACGGGAATTCATTTCATATCCCCCCTCGACTCCCCAGAAGAGCCCTTCTCTTCCAGAGACAGCCAGCAGCCAACTGGCTTGGGACAGGGACACTCCTGGCATCATGCAGGTTGGATTGGGAGGTGCATTGTTGACAGCTGGTGAAGGGAGAGTTTGCTTGTCATTTACTCCAGCATATGACCTCATCATGGACCTGGCTCCCAAAGCCCTTGGGGTTCACTTGCTCTGCCCTTCTCTTCTGGACCCTGATCCCTTCCAGATCCTTGTCATCGAGTCTTTGTTTCTTAAGGAGATTTTTTTGCTTCTTAATTTCTGAGCCCCCTCCACGATGGGATTGATAAGCCCCTTGATAAGCATCTGCAGCTCTCCCCAGCACTTGTCTCTAAATTCTTTTTTTTTTTTTTTTTGAGACGGAATCTTGCTCTGTCACCCAGGCTGGAGTGCAATGGCACGATCTTGGCTCACTGCAACCTGTGCCTCTCAGGTTCAAGCGATTCTCTTGCCTCAGCCTCCTGAGTAGTTGGGATTATAGGCACATGCCACCATACCTGACTAATTTTTGTGTTTTTAGTAGAGATGGGGTTTCACCATGTTGGCCAGGCCAGTTTCGAACTCCTGACCTCAAGTGATCCACCTGCCTGGGCCTCCCACTGTCTCTGGATTCTAATTGTTTGTCTTCTTTCCTCCCCAAACTAGAAGCACCTTGAGGGCAGAGGCGGTCTCTTTCACTGTTGAGCCTTGGTCCTTATTACAGGGCCTAGAACATAGTTGGCATCCAAAAATATTTTTAAAGTGAATGTTGAATAAATGTGGCGTGTGCATTAGAGTTTTTTTTTTTGTTTTTTTGTTTTTTTCGAGATGGAGTCTTGGTCCAGCTCCCAGGCTGGAGTGCAGTGGCGATCTTGGCTCACTGCAACCTCCGCCTCCCGGGTTCAAGAGATTCTCCTGCCTCAGCCTCCTGAGTAGCTGGGACTACAGGCATGCGCTACCAAACCCAGCTAATTTTTGTATTTTTAGTAGACACGGGGTTTCACCATGTGGTCAGGCTGGTCTCGAACTCCGGACTGTGTGGTCCACCCACCTCGGCCTCCCAAAGTGCTGGGATTACAGGCATGAGCCACCACACCTGGCCCGCATTAGAGATTTTCTTTGGGGTTGGCTGCCTCTCAGCTCAGCTTGATTTTTCCAGACCCCCCATGTGTGCTGATTTATATTACTGGAACATCAGAATGAAATCTCAAAATAGGCAGCAAGAAATCCTCCCTGCTGAGTCTATACGGAAATCAGTCTTTCTGATTCTCCCAATGAAGGAAGAAACTAATTGAATGTAAACTCATTACATCTCTGAAGCAGTTTGAAAATTTCCCCACGTTTTAATTATGATGAACATCTCAGGATGCAGTCATGCCAGGAAATGTCTCAAACCATCAGCTGCGTGGGGTGAGCTCAGGGCAGGGGGCGGTCGGCACCATGGGCTGGAGCCCTTTTTTATTAGTGGACATGTATTCTGGCATTATAAAGAATCCTGGGGTCACCTTGCTTGGGTTTGATCCTGGTTTCGCTAATCACTAGTTGTGGGAGCTCGGGCTAGTTAGCTAGACTTTGTAAGCCTGAGTTTCCCCATTTGTAAAATGGAGATGATAGTACTGTCTCCTGTATAGGATTGCTGTACAGATGAAATGAGTAAGTATATTTCAAGCATTTAACACAGTAATTGACACATAGCAAATGCTCATCAATACATGTTGATGACTATTCATATAAAATGGGTGGGAGACACATGAGCTGTTTGGGTTTGATGTAAGTCTGCGACTGTGGGTATCAGTTTTCCTCTAGTATGTGGCCCTCAGGGTTACTACTTACCTCTTTTATCCCTAGTTGATTAACTTCTCCATACAGACTCCTATAAACTTTCTTCTCAGTAGTATCAATCTTCTATCGTTTTTTCTTCATATATAATTAAAAAAAAAAAAGAAAATCAAATGGGCTCATACCATACATAATGGTTGTTTCTGTTGTTGTTTTGTTTGAGATGGGGTCGCGCTCTGTTGCCCAGGCTGGAATGCATTGGCACAATCTTGGCTCACTGTAGCCTCCGTCTCACTGGAGTGAACTCATCTCAGCTCATGTGATGGAGTAATATGTAACCACCAACATAACAAGAAAAAGATTAGAATACATTAAGTGAAAGAACATGTTTTTAAACATTAGGTTGGCCAGGCTCAGTGGCTCATGCCTATAATCCCAGCACTTTGGGAGGCTGAGGCAGGCTGATCACCTGAGGTCAGGAGTTCGAGACCAGCCTGGCCAACATGGTGAAACCTTGTCTCTACTAAAAATGCAAAAATTAGCCAGGCATGATGGCACGCTCCTGTAATTCCAGCTACTCGGGAGGCAGAGGCAGGAGAATTGCTTGAACCCGGGAGGTGGAGGTTGCAGTGAGCCAAGATTGTGCCACTGTGACTGCAGCTTGGGCAGGAATAAAACCACTAATTCTCTACCTCACCTTCCATGGTCCTGCCCTCTTTTCCAGTAGTAACCACTTTTGTCTGCTTTTTGAGACATTTTCTCCCACATTTCTAAATAAATGTGTTCTGCAGTTTCTCAGTTTGGAAGCCAGTGTCCCTGAGTTCTGGTAAATGTTATTTTATATGCCTTTAATAGTTCCCCTGGCTGGTCCTCTGTCCTCTCTTTATTAGTCTTATTAGTTGGCTACTGGCCTTCCTGGACTTAATCTCTCACTCTCCTCTCTTTTCGCTCTTTATTTTATCATCTGTTTGCTGCTTTGTTCTGCGTGGTGGAAAATTTCATTGATTCCATAAAAAGAGCAAAGTGTTTTCGGTTGTTTTTGCAGTTTTAGGTTTTGAAAACTCTCTTAGTCTTCCTGTTTTTTTTTTCCCCTCTAGCATCCTGTCTTTATGGGTTTATTTCATGCATCCTTATCTGTCTGATAATAATGAGAGGTTTTTCTTGTTATAAATGTTGTCCCCCTGGATTCTCCAGATTCCCTCTGAGAGGCTTTCTTCTTTTTTTTTTCTGGGGTTGATTTGGTCTCTGTCAGCAACACTGGGGGGCTTGCACTTAACACTCGGTAAAAAACGGGGCACCTTGTATTAGAAATAGCCAACATGTTGAGTGCCTAGAACACAGATGAGCTCATTTTGTCTTCACGACCACTTGATGGAGCTGGGGATGGTTATTCCAATTTTACAGCTGACAAAACTGAGGCCCATAGAGGTGACACGGGTCTGAATCAGTGTCCTAAGCCTGATGATACATTTTCTTTGATTTTTCTTCCATTACAGATGAGTTTCGACATTCCCTCTGGCACCAACAAACTTTTTGCTTTTTGCTTTTGAGATGGAATCTCGCTTTGTCACCCAGGCTGCAGTACAGTGGCGAGATCTCAGCTGACTGCAACCTCCACTTCCTGGGTTCAAGCGATTCTTTGGTCTCAGCCACCTGAGTAGTTGGGATTATAGGCACATGCCACCACACCTGGCTAATTTTTGTATTTTTTGTAGACACAGGGTTTCACCATGTTGGCCGGGCTGGTCTCGAACTCCTGACCTCAGGTGATCCGCCCGCCTCGGCCTCCCAAAGTGCCGGGATTACAGGCCTGAACCACGGCGACTGGCCTGAACTCTTGACGGCTCCCCCTCACTTCCTATTCCATCCTCACCTCCTAACCTGTCCTCCTTCACTGTGTCTCTTCTCAGTCAAGGCTGCCACCTTCTACCAAGTTGCACAGTCCCCAAACCTGAGTCATCTGGATTCCTGTCTGCCTTGGGTTGGAAAATGTCCTCACCCTGCAAATTCCTGTCTGCACAGAACCTGTGAATGTGACCTTCACAGGTCTTTTTAGGGCTCGGAAATGGGGTCTTTGTGGATATAAACAAGTTACTGTCATGGAAATTTAATCAAGTTAAGATGAGGTCATACCACATTAGGACTGGTGTCCTTATAAGAAGAGGGACACAGACAAACAGACAGGTGAGGGTGGCCGGGTGACTGGAGTGATGTATCCACAAGTCAAGGAACACCGAGGGCTTCTGGCAGCCACTAGAGGCAGGGAAGCTTTCTTCCCAAGAGCCTTTAGAGGGAGCGTGGCCCAGCTGACACCTTGATTTTGCATTTCTAACTTCTAGAACCGTGAGAGAATGAATTTCTGTTGTTATAAGCCACTCAGTTTGCAGTCTTTTGTTATAGCAGCTCCAGGAAACCAATACATTCTCTTTTACTGGATCTTGCCTTATTCTTCCATTGACAAGCCCTGTAATCCCTCCCTCCAAAATACATCCCGAATTGGATCATCTTTCCTCACCTGCACTGATGACACTGGTCCATGCCCCTCAAGGGGCCTTTCTGCTGGTCTCTCTGCTCTTGCCCACTCCATCCCTTCCCTTTCACCTCCCCCATCCCCAGAAGAGAGCTTTAAAAATGCAAGTCAGGCCAGGCATGGTGGCTCACGCCTGTAATCCCAGCACTTTGGGAGGCCGAGATGGGCGGATCACTTGAGGTCAAGAGTTCAAGACCAGCCTGGCCAACATGGTGAAACCCTGTCTCTAGTAAAAAATATAAAAATTCGCTGGGTGTGGTGGTGCGTGCCTGCAGTCCCAGCTACTTGGGAGGCTGAGGCATGAGAACTACTTGAACTCGGGAGGCAGAGGTTGCAGTGAGCCAAGATTGAGCCACTGCACTCCAGCCTGGGCGACAGAGTGAAACTGTGTCTCAAAAAAAAAAAAAAAAAAAGTCAGTTCACATGGCTCCCTGCTCCTATAAGATCCTAACTGCCTCATGGCCCATGAGGACCCACTCTCCTCCCCGCTGATAACCCTTCCTGCTTTGGTCATTCTGCTTCTGCCAAGGTCTTTTTTTTTTTTTTTTTTTTGCCACAAACAGACCAAACTTGTTCTGACCTTAAGAATTTGATATGCCTTCTATTTAGAATTGTATATGGCTCCTTCTCACCATTCAGGGCTCAGCTCAAATGTCACCTCCTCAGAGAAGCCTTCCCTGACTACCCAAGTCAAATGGAGTCCACACTGTTACTCTCCACCCCCGGACATGTTTGTTTGTTTGTTTGCTTTTAAATAGAGACAGTCTCACTCTGTTGCCCAAGCTGGAGTGCAGTGGTGCAATCTCAGCTCACTGCAACCTCTTCTTCCCGGGTTCAAGTGATTCTCGTGCCTCAGCCTCCTGAGTAGCTGGGATTACAGACGTGCCACTCCGCCCGGCTAATTTTTGTATTTTTAGTAGGGATGGGGTTTCACCATGTTGGCCAAGCTGGTCTCAAAGTCCTGGACTCAAGTGATCTGCCTGCCTCAGCCTGCTGAAGTGCTGGGATTATAGGCGTGAGCCACTGTGCCTGGGACCTCATTTCATTTCCTTCATGTCATTCCTCGTTCTCTTGAGTTTCTTGTCTGTTTGCTTTCTTGTTTATGGCCAGTCTGCTCTTACTGGAGTGGAAGCCCCTCTCAGGCGGGGAATTTGCCTGTCTTGTTCATTACAATCCCTAGTGCACGGCAGAGAGTAGGCACTTGAAAAATATTGCAGAATTTATTAATGCTGCCCTCAGCATCATCTTCCTAAATCATATTTGAGATTCTTTAACTGCCCCTACCCCGAAGTTTTCCTTGGTTCCTTAGTTCTTACTGAATAAGCTGTAAGCATCTTGGCACAGGGTTCTTGACTCTCCTTGGCATATTTCCATCCCCTTTCCAGGCTTCCTCCCAGGACATGTTCACATATACCTGTGCCCTGCCTTGACCTCTTCTGTTCCCTAAACCTGCCCTGCTGCTCCTGGAAGGCGCGTCCGCCCAGCTGCTCCTGCCCTGGAAGGCGCATCCGCCCAGCTGCTCCTGGTCCCAACCCTAACCTGCTTCTCAGCCTTTCCTGCATCCTTTCGCATAGCGCTCTGTGCAGCCTTGCCTGGATGCATCTAGTTGAAGCCCCTGCCCCCAGTCCCTCTCTGGACCCTCTTGGAGTGCTGTAGCGCCTTTGGCCTTATGATATATCCTCTGCCAGATCCTGCCCTGCTTGAAACTTTGAGCTCCTGGCTGTCTGGAATCCCAGCTACTTGCCGACTCACTCTCGCAGTTGGGTGGCACAGTTCTTTGTCTACAGACCTGTGTACAAATAGCAGCTCACTTATACATAGCATTGAATTGGACTGAAACTTACAGCATCGCCGAGGGACCCCTGGGCTGCTGGGAATGACACCCCTTTGTCATTTGTTGTGTGTGTGTATCCATCTGGTCACGCAGCACATCTGCGTTATTATCTATTCACAGACACCTGTATCTACCATGTTCAGGATGGGTAAATTGGGCTTAAATTCCCCAGGAACTCTAGCATTTAGATCATAGGGGTTTGATTCAACCCCTTTTCTCAAGTCATTGGCTGCAATAATAGTAAGAATAGAGACATAATAAACATACGTAGTATCCGCTTGTAGGCCAGTTTTTGTGCTGAGAATTTGGCACACATAATCTCATTTAATCCTTACCACCACCCTAGGAGATAAGCTCCACCTCAGGAGGTAGGATGGTGTTATAGTCACAAGCAGGGCTAGAATTAGTTCAGCCACTGTGGAAAGCAGTTTGGCAATTTCTCAAAGAGCTTAAAACAGAGCTACCGTTTGACCCAGCAATCCCATTACTGGGTATACACCCAAATGAAAATAGATGATTATATTAAAAAGACACAGGCACTCATGTGTTCATCACAGCGTTATTCACAACAGCAAAGACATGCAGTCAACCTAGGTGCCCATCCGTGGTGGACTGGGTGGAGAAAATGTGGTACATGTGCACCATGGAATACTATGCAGTCATAAAAAAGAATGGGATCATGTACTTTCTAGCAACATGGATGGAGCTGGAGGCCATTATCCTAAGCGAATTAACACAGAAACAGAAAACCAAATACCGCCTGTTCTCACTTATAAATGGGAGCTAAGCATTGAGCACACATGGACATAAAGATGGGAAAAAGAAGCACTGAAGACTCTAAGGAGGGGAGAGAAGGAGGGGGATGTGGTTTGGAAAAGTACTATTGGGTGCTGTGGTCACTACCTGGGTGCAGTATACCCATGTAACAAAGCTGTACCTGTACCCTCATATCCAAACTAAAAGCTGAAATTAAAAGAATCTAAATGTAAAGGTTGGCACAGGGTAACTATACATGATATATATATATATATATATATATATATATATATATTTTTTTTTTTTTTTTTTTTTTTTTGAGATGGAGTCTTGCTCTGTCGCCAGATTGGAGTGCAGTGGCACGATCTTGCCTCACTGCAACCTCTGCCTCCTGGGTTCAAGCGATTCTCCTGCCTCAGCCTCCTGAGTAGCTGGGATTACAGGCACATGCCACCACGCCCAGCTAATTTTTGTATTTTTAGTAGAGACGGGGTTTCACCATGTTGGCCAGGCTGGTCTCAAACTCCTGACCTCAAGTGATCTGCCCGCTTCAGCCTACCAAAGTGCTGGGATTACAGATGTGCGCTACCTCGCCCAGCCTATTTATTTTTATTTTTATTTTTTTAAGTGCCACACTGGCTGGGCCTGAATCTTGGCTCTGCTGCTTACTAATTCTGTGACCTTGTTCAATTATTTAACCTCTCCAGCCTCTGTTTCCCCATATGAGAAATAGGAATAACAGTAATACCTAACTCTTAGTGTTAGGAGGATTAAGAAAGTTTCTCTGTATGTAAATGTTATTTTATTTACGAGTGTTACTATTTCTATTATTATTTCCATTTTACATAGGAATAAATAGTAGCTCCAGAGAGGTTAATCTCTTACCCAACATCCCCCAGCTGGTGAATGGTGGAGCTTGGATTTGAATCCAGGTAGTCTGACTGACAGAAGGTGGTTCTTCTTGCCGGGCGCGGTGGCTCACGCCTGTAATCCCAGCACTTTGGGAGGCCGAGGCGGGCGGATCACGAGGTCAGGAGATCGAGACCATCCTGGCTAACACGGTGCAACCCCATCTGTGCTAAAAACACAAAAAATTAGCCGGGCGTGGTGGCGGGAGCCTGTAGTCCCAGCTACTCGGGAGGCTGAGGCGGGAGAATGGTGTGAACCTGGGAGGTGGAGCCTGCAGTGAGCCGAGATGGTGCCACTGCACTCCAGCCTGGGCAACAGAGCGAGACTCCGTCTCAAAAAAAAAAAAAAATAAATAAAATAAAAAAAGAAGAAGGTGGTTCTTCTTTCTACTAGGCTACATTACCTTTCGTTTTTTATTTTTTGTTTTTGTCTTTTTGAGACTGGGTCACACTCTGTTGCTCAGGCTGGAGTGCAGTGATGAGATTACAGCTCACTGCAGCCTCAACCGCCCGGGCTCAAGCGATGCCCCCACTTCAGCCTCCCAAGTAGCTGGGACTATGGACATGCGCCACCACGCCCGGCTAACTTTTGCCTTTTAGTGGAGATGGGGTTTTGCCATGTTGCCCAGGCTGGTCTGGAACTCCTGGGCTCAAGGGATCTGCCCACTTCGACCTCCCGAAGTGCTGGGGGTGTGAGTCACTGTGCTAGGCCTGTATTACCTTCCTTAGAGAGAGAAAGAGAGACAGAGACAGAGAGAGAAGATGACGATAATTACTGGTGGGGGTAGTATAGCCAGGAAAAACATGTAGTATTAGGGACATGCTTATACTAAAACAAGTATTTATTCTTTATCTGAAATTATCATGTAACTGTTCATCCTGTATTTTTATTTGCTATATCGGGCAGTCCTAGGAGGGGGCTTTTTCGTAGGACATCCAGTTCTCCTTTGGGATTCTGCCCCATCACTCCTTACCTCCTGCCTTCCATCTCCCAGGAATCATGGCCACCATACGCATGGGAGACTGCTGCATCCCTCTGGTGAATTAGGACAGAATACACTTTCAGAACCTGTATTTTCACGAGTGGTGGAATGAAATGTAATACTATTTAGAACAAGGAGGAGCATCTTTCTTTTCCCTTGACCTTGAAGATCTGCCTCCAAGCCTCATGGCTCGTTTGAGCCAAGAAAAGAGGCATGAAGCTAGCAGGTGGGTGGTTTGTCATCTCCATCTTGAGGGAGATGAGTGAAGGGGGAGAAACTCCTCTCTTATAGATCTTTGCGTTTTGTATCAGTGGAGCCAGACTGCCGAGTCTTCTCTTCTCCTTCAAACATAGGAGGGGCTGCTTTCTTAGCAGCTAGATCTGGAACAGATTGGATCAGTGTGAGTGAGTGGTGATGCTGGGGTTGGGGAGGCTTGAGCAGCTGGTGCGATGCCCATCAACAGACCTGAGCTGAGAGAGTGCTGATGGGTTGGTGGCTGAGTGCCACGGGAGGCAGCTTGGGGCAACATGTTCTCACTCTCTTGATGACCAGCTGGTGAAAAGGTTTAATAAGGATGCCCCACATCACTCTGTGTTTTTTTGTTGTTGCTGTTGTTTTTTAAGTCTGCATGGAGTTAACAATTTTGGCAAACTGAAGGTTTCTGGGAGTCTTTCTCATCTGGCTGGTCTGGATCTGCCTTGAAAGGACCAAAGTAATGAGTATACTTGCCATTTCTATTATTCAGAGTAATGGGTTTGTAGAAGAGGAACATTGAACTCAAACAAAAAAGCCTAAGCGTTATTAGACTGGAGCACAGCAGTCTTACATTAGGTGTAGCTGAGATCATTGCCAATGGGAGCTCCAGTCCAGCTGGGCATCTCACTCATGGTAGTTGCTTAGTAAATGTTGGCTGAGCTGAGTTGCACTTGGAAAAAAAAGAAATATAGGAGCTTAGTTTTGGAGCAGGACTGGGCATGGAGGCTTTTTTTTTTTTTTTTTTTTTTTTTTAACTCTGTTTTCATGGCACTGGAGGTAGAATTAGGTGACTGGTCAATAAATTTGAAACCCAGGTATGTCTTGGATGGTTGCCTTGCTGTATGGAACTTATTACTGTCTAGGACTTCACCTGGGGGACCTACAGTCACTGAGAATGGATGCTGGGAGGTCCCTTTGGGTATGACTTCCATGCTGGTTTAACACTGCTGGTACTTAGAGTTTGAGAATGGGCCTGGGCCTTGTCAGGTACTTAGTGACTGTACCCAAGGCTACCCCAGAGAGGCCATTTTAGGATAGACCCCAGAACCTGGATACCCAACATGCTGTCTGTGTAGCAAATGTGGCTCATCAGAATTGGGGGAGCAGGTAGCCTTTTTGAGACTTAAAAACCAGATCTAATACATATACAATATGCCCAGATCTTAAAGTGTCAGCCCAGTGAGTTTGGTCAGTGGTGTGTATCTGTATAACCACCACCCAAAATGAGAGAACATTTCTTTTCTTTTTTTTTTTTTTTTTTCTGAGACAGAGTCTTGCTCTATCACCCAGGCTGGAGTGCAGTGGCGTGATTTTGGCTCACTGCAACCTCCACCTCCCAGGTTCAAGTGATTCTCCTGCCTCAGCCTCCTCCTGAGTAGCTGGGATTACAGGTACCCACCACCATCCCCAGCTAATTTTTGTATTTTTTGTAGAGGTGAGGTTTTACCACATTGGCCAGGCTGGTCTTGAACTCCTGGCCTCAAGTGATCCACCTGCCTCGGCCTCCCAAATTGCTGGAATTACAGGCATGAGCCACCATGTCCAGCTGAGATAGAGAACATTTCTAACATCCCTGAAAGAGCTCCTAGTCCCTAAGTCAGGCTCCCTCCCAGCCACCAACTAATGACTTCTAACCACAGAGTAGTTTTGCATACCCTTGTGCTTAAAAGGAATCGTGTAGTATCCATATAGTTTTTGTTGTTTGTCTTCTTTCACTCCGTGTAATGATTTTGAGATTCATCCAATGTCGGCATGATAGTAGTTTGTTCCCTTTTATTGCTAAGGAGTATTTCATTTCATAAATATACTACAATGTGTTTATTCATTCTCCTGTTGATGGACATTTGGGTTATTTCCAGTTTGGGGCTACTGTGAATAAAGCTGCTGTGAACATTCTTGTGCAAGTCTTTGTGTGGACGTATGTTTTCATTTCTCTTGGGGAACAAGGAGAGGAATGACTGGGTCATATGGTAGATTTTTTTTTTTTCTTATTTAAGCAAAAGTACTTTTTCCTAGTTTGGAGATTGTAAGCCAAGCTCCTGCCCATCATTATCACTGGGTAGGCGTAGCTAAGAAGAGTCAGGTCATTCAAGCCCATCTACGTTAATTAATAACTGTAATTGAAGCTGAATGTAATTGATTATAATTTTGAGCCGTTGGGTTTAATTCTGTAAAATTATTTAAAGCTGGTATATTATGAAGGCTTCTTGATAAAAGCAAATTAAGTACAGATATAGCTCCCATATGGATTTGATTCATACTGAGTCATGATTAATAACTGACATGCCAAATTTAAGGCTGACTCAATGCAAAATTCATGTGGCCGCTCATCATGGGTTTCTGATTGACTGACTTGATATTGAACAGACATGGGCAGCCTCATTCTGGAGGGTTACCTGCAGATTCCTTCCTTCTTCCAAGTTTCTCTGTCTGCTCTCTGGTCTCCTGCCCTGTGTCACATCTGGATTATGTCCAGAGCCCAACAGCTGGATGTTGGTGTCCCATCTCCCCACTTAAATCAATTCTGCTTGCTGATGCCAAGTTACCCTTCCAAAATGCCTCCGTTACCCTGCCGAAGACAGTGGGTACTTAATGCTGACCTGCTCCATGCTGGCTAAGCTGCTGCAGCATCACGTGTGAGGCTTTAAAACACAGTGTCCATACCCCTGCCCTGGCAAATCTGTTTCTGTAGGTTGTGGAGGGGAGCTGACATCTGTAGCTTGAAAACTCCAGGTTGATTTTATAGTACAACCAGAGTTGGAAACAAGCCACCCATTGTGTGAAGTCCAAACCATTCTGCCTGGTTTCATCATTATACCCAAATGTCTGGTTGTAAACTCCTCCCTGCCTTCTTTCGCCTTGTGGACTCCACAACATAAGCCTCTGTGTACTTGCCTCCAGACTCTGCCCACTCTGCGCTTCCCAGCTAGAAAGTTCCTAACCTCATTTCCTTTCCAAATTGTGTCCAGCCTTCCAGAGCCCCTCCCTGTTCTTTGATGTTCTGCTTTTTAAATTTTGAAACAATATTGGTATCCCCTTTCTTGGCATGACTGCAGACTTTCTTAATTTATCCTATCATATGTCTTCTGTAGCCTCTCTTATTATAGTCCAGAGCCAGCTCCTGGAGGCAGCGCCCAGATCCACACTAGCTCTTTCTTCCTCTCTTGCAACCCCCTGGGGTCTGGCAGAGTGTTGGCCGTGTAACAGTCTCTGCTTAGGAATTGCTGATTGACTTTTAACTGTTAATTTTATATCTGATTTGGAGAACAACTTGGAGACAACTCTTGGCTTCTGTACTTTCTGGGTAATTCTTCTTCTTATTATTATTATTCATTTTGAGACGGAGTTTCACTCTTGTTGCCCAGGCTGCAGTGCAATGGCGTGTTCTCGGCTCACTGCAACCTCCGCCTCCCAGGTTCAAGCAATTCTTACTGCCTCAGCCTCCCAAGTAGCTGAGATTACAGGTGCCCGCCAACATGCTCGGCTGATTTTTGTATTTTTAGTAGAGATGGGGTTTCACCACGTTGGCCATGCTGGTCTCGAACTCCTGACCTCAGGCGATCTGCCTGCCTTGGCTTCCCAAAGTACTGGGATTACAGGCGTGAGCTACCATGCCCAGCCTCTTTCTGATTATTGCTTTGACCTACATGGATTGCAAGTTTGTGTGTCCTCCTTAAGTACACAGTAACCTCCTTGAGGTTAGAGTCTATGTTCCTTTGGTTCAATAAACATGAGGGAGGATCTGCTCCATAGTAGGCACTGAGTTGGGTGCTGTTCTTTTGAACTGTGTCTTCCTGTCCTACCTCTGTGTACCTTTTTAGAGGTGTGAAGAGTTGACACATTCAGTGCATTGTAAGTGAGCTATGTGCAATAATTTTCTTTCCCCTATTTGTTACGAGAAAAATTTTGTTTTGTGGCTTGGATTTTGTTTTGGTATTGAAACTGTCACTACTATAATAAAGGAAATGCTCAACTGTACCCATCGTGCCAGAATATTCTGATGTATCCCTTAACTCTTCACAAATTCATTTCTATTGCCAGAGCTGAAATTCCTTCAAAATGAACACTTACACAGAAATGGAAAGGTTTGCCTAATGTGGGGTAGGTGTTAAGTTGATTTTTTTTTTAAATCATTCTATGCTGGTACCTCTGACACCAGAGGGAAATTAATAGCATTATAAAGTACAGATCCCTGGGGCATTTTGCATGATATTTTGAGAAAAGAGATCGGATTATGAGCCTTTCTAGGTTTTGAGAACTACAGGAGGGAAACAGGGATTTTGTTCTCAGGGACTATGAAGAAGAGCTTGTAAATATCTGGTGATTTTAAATGTTTTCTCCAGTCCCTTTCAGCCTTCTGCTGTTAAGGCTGTGATTTACAAGCCTTCCACAAATGCACAGTCCAGGTGGGTGTTAAGGTTATCATGCAGAAACATTTCTGAAAATTGAGTTTTTGTACATAGGATTCTTTACTCGCATTGGATTTTCATTGTGAAATCAGGGTGAAGATGTGGGAAGATGCTGGGTGCCCCCATTCCAGCACATAAACTATCACTTTTTCTCCTGTTTTCAGCCTGGTATCCCCACCCTTAGCTGGGCTGGGGGTCCTGCAATGTCTGGTGGGACAGTTGCCTGGCTGCCTGGGGTACAGGAGGAATCTGGAGTTTACTTGCTTCTTACCCAGGCTTCCATCAGGTCTCTTTTAGGCCCATCTGCACACTCATTGTCAAAGGCTCCCTGGCTATTCTGGGGCTTTGTGGGATGAAGCACCTTCCTTCTAGTCTCTTCCTTCAGCCCCAGGTGGCAGCCTTCTTGAGCATCCATCAGCGATTACCTGCTTCTCTCTTCAAGCTTCCAAAATGTGGCTGCCATGTCCTCTTCCTTTCCTTCTGACTTTGGCCTTTGGATCCTTCATATCCCTGTACCTTTACTCCAGTGAGAATTTGGAAGCTTGTGTTCCATTGGCCATGTTTAATTAGAAGCCCTACAACGTACATTCTGTGATATTCCAAAGTGGACTAGGAATTTCACATTAGTGTAGTAAACCTTTGAAAATTAGATTTAGAGGGGAATTATTCTCTGATTGGATATACTGAGTAAGTGATACTGTTAATACTGTTTTTTTTTTTTGTTTTTTGTTTTTTGTTTTTTTTTTGAGATGGAGTCTGACTCTGTTGCCCAGGCTGGAGTACAGTGGTGTGATTTTGTCTCACTGCAACCTCTGCCTCCTGGGTTTGACTGATTCTTCCACCTCAGCCTTCCGAGCAGCTGGGACTACAGGAGTGCATCACCACACCTGGCTAATTTTTGTATTTTTAGTAGAAACAGGGTTTCACCATATTGACCAGGCTGGTCTCAAACTCTTGACCTCAAGTGATCTGCCCACCTCAGCCTCCCAAAGTGCTGGGATTTCAGGCATGAGCCACCGTGCCTGGGCATGTTATAATCATTAACTTTTAATAAGCTCTTTATTTGGAAGTATTTTAGATTTTAAGAAATGTTGCAAAAATAATACAGGGAATTTCTGAATAGTGCCCTTCATCCAGTTTCCCCCAATGTGAACATCTTACATAAATAATCATGACACATTTGTCAAAGCTAAGAATTAACATTTGTTTGTTACTATTCCCTAAACTCCAGACTTTATTTGGATGTCACCAGTTTCCCCACCAATGTCCTTCTTCTGTTCTCAGATACCAATCAGGATACAAACTGCTTTTAAACTGTTCCTATTTTAAAGTGTAATTTACAGCAGAGGGAGGCGTACCTTTTATTCAGAGACTTAGACCAAAAGTATAACATCTGTATGTTTTGTTTTGAAATCCCCAACTTTAGCTGTGCTGCTGGGAGGGGATTCTAGTGTGACTTACAAAATTGCTTGTTTCTCTACCTACTTCTAAGGAAGTCATGGGATATTAATGGGTTTAAGTTTGTGAGGTTTGATTTATCTTTGTGAAGCAAGTATTTAACAGGATTATTAGCCCTGTTCATTAGTGGCCACAAATTTTCTAGTGCTGGGTTTTCTTGGAGTAGTTTCTATCAGAATATCGGGGAATGCTATGGGATCGATTGCATTCAGTTATTGCTGACACTGATTCATCTCGGACTTCAGCTTTGGGATTCCTTCCCTGATAATGGGGGAGGTGGTAACTTAAACCTGGCCTTTACTCTGTAGCCCGCAGAATTTCTTACAAGATTCTGAGTTGTCAAGTAGGGGTAGAGGGTAGCACAGTCAACTTGGGACAGACCAGCTTGCTCTGGGGCTTTGGGAAAGCCACTGAATCTCTTTGGTGTCAGCCTTTTCTTCTGTTAAGTGAGGTTTTTAGATTAAATGGTCTCCTAAAGTCCCCTTTGACTCTAAGTGAGTCTGTGATTCTATCAGTAGACTTCAGTAGATTATCTGTGAAGCTTCGAAAATTCTGCGTTGGCCCTTTTCCACACCCATGAAAATCTCAATTATTTTAAACAATTACTCACCCCATGTTTGTGAAAGGACAGAAGGCATTTGAGTATGAGTCTGTATAATACTTAATTTGGAAGCTAAAAATTACTGTAAAAATTAGGCATTAGACCAAAAAATGGGTGTTGAATCACTTCCTGATCATGCGTTCTCATTTCTCCACCCTCGTTCCTCCCCTTCATTAGCAAGGATGACAGAGAATGCGATTAGGCAACAAATGTTGAATAGTCGCTCTGTCCAGGACTACTCTGATGGGGGTGCCAGGTACAGAGATGCTTAAGGCACAGCACTCTCCTGGGCATGTGCGACGTTCTGGGGGACATGGACACGAGTGATGAATCTAGTGTTATGGAAAAGAGCCGCCTTAGAAGTGGGGTATAGCGCAAGATGGGAGGAGGAAGAGAGGATGTCTGCAGAAGGCATACGGGGAGAGGGATGAATCCAAAACAGCACTGACCCGTTGCATATTTCCTGCTGGGAATCGGGTTGGGGTGGTATTTGCATTGACTCTCAGGATTCTTAGGACAATCCTGTGAAATGTACCATTTTCAGGTGACAAAACTGAGCTGCAGAAGAGAGCTTAGGTTATTTGACTGGGGCTACCTAACCAGTAAGTAGCTGAGCCAAGATTCAAACTCGGACTTGATTCTAAGTCCTGCATTTTCCCATAATAAATATGGACTTGGGCAAAGAGTTGAGGGTGTTCGGAAGAAGGGGCATGGGAGATGGGTCTTGGCGTTTTGGTGTTGTCACAGATTGAGCTGCTTAGGCCAAGGTGAGGGAGCAGAAGAGTTCAGCAACAACCAGGGGCAGTAGTACAAATGGGGTCCCTAACGGTTGGGTAGGCCAGTAGTCTCAACCTCAACTCGTCCCCTCCCCTCCCTCCCTCCTCCCTCCTCCCTCCCTCCTCCATCCCTCCTCCCTCCCTCCTCCCTCCTTTCTTTCTCTCTCTCTCTCTTTCTCTTTTTCTTTTTCAACAGAGTATTGCTCTGTCGCCCAGGCTAGAGTGCAGTGGCTCCATCCCAGCTCACTGCAATCTCTGCCTCCTGGGTTCAAGTGATTCTCCTGTCTCAGCCTCCCAAATAGCTGGGATTACAGGCACCCACCACCATGTCTGGCTATTTTTTTTTTTTTTGTATTTTTAGTAGAGAAAGCGTTTCACCATGTTGGTCAGGCTGGTCTTGAACTCCTGACCTCAGGTGATCCGCCCACCTAGGCTTCTCAAAGTGCTAGGATTACAGGCGTGAGCCACTGTGCCCAGCCTATACTCAGCTTCTTAAATATCACCTTGCCTGGGAATCACTTTGTTCAGCATTGAGACTTCTGAGCCCTGTGGTAGACCTACCAAACCAGCCAAAGACTGAAGTTAGACTTTCAATCCATTCTCTTTTGTTTTTTCATTTCCTCCTTAGCCCTTTTGCAAGAGTTGTTTTTGTTGGTTTGTTTGTTTGTTTTTGAGACAGTTTCTTGTTCTGTCACTCAGGCTGGAGTACCATGGTGTGATCTCAGTTCACTGCCACCTCCGCCTCCCGGGTTGAAGTGATTCTCATGTCTCAGCCTCCCGAGTAGCTGGGATTACAGGTGTGTGCCACCATGTCTGGCTAATTTTTGTGTTTTTTAGTAGAGACGGGGTTTCGCCATGTTGGCCAGGCTGGTCATGAACTCCTAACCTCAGGTGATCCGCCTGCCTCGGCCTCCCAAAGTGCTTGGATTATGGGCGTAAGCCCCTGTGCCCTGCCACGAGTTTTCTTTTGCTATTGAAATACTCATCCTTGAGCTTCTTTCATTATTTAGCAAAAGAAATTGGGCTGCTTTGGTCTTAGCAACATTTAACTTGGAGGATGGGCCCCACCCAAACCTTCCCCCTGGCTTCATTCGATTGGGTGGGCTTTTCATTTTCATTTCAGGAATAAAGAGGCAAAAAAGACTTTGGGGGTACAGCGAGGCCCCTGCCATGTGTGTTGAAGCTGATTATGGATTCCTTTTATAGACAAAGGTGAGGAAAAGGAAGATGCCAACCATCAGCTCCTTACGGTTATACCTGGTGTCTTCAGCGATGGCCCTGTTAGCCCACTTGTTTGCCTTTACAGGCGGGGTCACAGCTGCAGAAGGACTTTTGTTCTCTACCATCCGGGGCTATGAAGGGACTGGCTGGCAAAAGTATTCCCTGAAGTCTTGGGCCTGGTACTCAGCACCTTCTCCTCTGTGGCCTGCCCGTTCCAGGCCCTGCTTCTTAGGGATAGTTGAGAGGTAATCAGATACCCTGCTTTCTATTCCTGCACCAGCTAGTTCATATGTCACTACACCCAGATTTAAAAATGCCTAACATATAAAGGAGCATTGCTGATGTTGAGAGTTTCACCTCCCCACCTGTGCTGGGGGATTATTTAAAAAGTGATGCTTATCATAGGATCCAACAATTCCACTCCTTGGCCCTTATTTACCGAAATGAATGGAAAACTTCCAGTCCACACCAATACCTGCACACGGGTGTTTATAGCCACTTTATTCATAATCGACAAAACTCAGAAGCAACCAAAAAGTCCTTCAATAGGTGAACAGATAAACTGTGGTACATCCAGACAATAGAATATTATCCAGTGCTAAAAGGAAATGCTTTATCAAGTCATGAGAAGACATGGAGGAATCTTAAATGCATTAAAAACCAAGTGAAAGAAGCCAATCTGGAAAGGTTCCATGCTGTGTGATTTCAACTATAGGACATTCTGGAAAAGGCAAAACTATAGAGACAGTGAAAAGGGATTTCCAGGGAATAGCGGGGAAGGAGGGATGAATAAATAGGTGGAGCACAGGGACTTTTTAGGGCAGTGAAAGTATATGATACAGTAATGATGGATACATGATATTATATATGTGTCAAAATCCATGGAATGTATAGCACCAAGAGTGGACCCTAATGGAAACTATGGACCAGCTGGTCGTGGTGGCTCATGCCTGTAATCCTAGCACTTTGGGAGGCCGAGGCAGGTGGGTCACCTAAGGTCGGGAGTTCGAGACCAGCCTGACCAATATGGTGAAAACCCATCTCTACTAAAAGTACAAAAATGAGCTGGGCGGCATGGTGGGCACCTGTAATCCCAGCTGCTCAGGAGGCTGAGGCAAGAGAATTACTTGAACATGGGAGGCAGCGGTTGCAGTGAGCTGAGATTACGCTACTGCACTCCAGCCTGGGTGACAGAGTGAGACCCTGTCTCAAAACAAGCAAAGAAAAAAAACAAAAAACAAAACAAAAAAACGATGGCCCTTCGGTGTTAATGCCATATCAGTGTGGGTTCATCAGCTGTATCAATTGTACCACTGTGGTGTGATGTTGATAGTGGGGAAAGTTTTGGGTATGTGGGGACAGGTAGGCCTATGTCAGAATTCTTGGTACTTTCCACTCAATTTTGCTATCAATCTAAAAGTGCTCTAAAAAATAAAGTTTAAGAAAAGTAACATGTGCCTGTATTAATTTTCTATTGCTGTTGTAACAAACTACCATGAATGTAGTGGCTTAAAACAGTGCAAATTTATTATCTTACAGTACTGGAGGTCTGAAGTCCACAGTGATTTTAACTGGGACAAAGTCAAGGTGGCAGCAGGGCTGGGTTCCTCTTGGAGGATTTGGAGGAGAAGTTGCTTCCCTGCCTTCTCAGCATCTTGGGGCCACCTCCCTTCCCTAGCAGATGGCCTTTTCTTCATCCTCAAGCCAGCAGCATGGCATCTTTCAATCTCTTTCTGACTATAGCCTCTGCTTTTGTTATCATATTTTCTCTCTGATTCTGACCCTTCTTTTTTTTTTTTTTTTTTTTTTTTGAGATGGAGTGTCGCTCTGTCACCCAGGCTGGAGTGCAGTAGTGCGATCTTGGCTCGCTGCAACCTCCGCCTCCTGGGTTCAAGTGATTCTCTGGTCTCAGCCTCCTGAGTAGCTGGGATTACAGGTGCCTGCCACGATGCCCGGCTAATTTTTGTATTTTTAGTAGAGACAGGATTTCACCATGTTGGTCAGGCTGGTCTCAAACTCCTGACCTCACGACTCTGACCCTTCTCACTCCTTCGTAAGGACCCTGTGGTTACATTGGTCCCACTCAAATAAGCCAGTATCATCTCCCCATCTCCAGGTCCTTAATTTAATCCCATGTGCAGAGTCCTTTTTACTTGTAAGGTGAAATATTCACAGGTTTTAGGCATTAGGATACAGTCGTCTTTTCTACCCCACTCGCCCTTTAAATAACTTTTTGGCCGGGTGCGGTGGCTCACACCTGTAATCCCAGCACTTTGGGAGGCTGAGGTGGGCAATCACTTGAGGCCAGGAGTTCGAGGCCAGCCTAGCCAACATGGTGAAACCCTGTCTGTACTAAAAATACAAAAATTAGCTGGGCGTGGTGGCTCATGCCTGTAATCCCAGCTCCTTGGGAAGCTGAGGCACAAGAATCTCTTGTACCTGGGAGGCGGAGATGGAGGTTGCAGGTCACGCTGCTGTACTCCAGCCTGGGTGACAGAACGAGACTCTGTCTCGAAACAAAAACAAAAACAAAAACAAAAAACAAAAAGAATTTTGCTTTGGGTGCTTTTTTCATTTTAGACAGGCAACCCTATTCAATTTCCCGATTGTTCTTTGGTGGTTTTCCAGTTTGTGTGTGAGGCAGGGAGGCTCACAAGGAAAAGAAATGAAGGAAATCCAGCTGGATCCTAAATTTGACTGGAAAGATAAAGGGCAGTGATTCTCAAGAAGGGGGCTTACCTGAATCAGCTGGGATGCGTTTGCATTGCAAGCATCCCAAATTCCAACACACCCTCCCTTGAGAGACACTTCTCTTCTGCTCCTGCTCCTTGAATAGCTTGTGGATTGTGTGCTTCTCATGTGTAAGGGCAGAAAAAAGGTTGGTACTCAGTGATGCAGAGGGATGGAAGGAAATGTGGACAGAAGAGTTTGGACCTGGGGTTGAAAAGGAGATGAGAGCAGAGGTTGGGGACGTCTCTCAAGTGATGCTGACAGCGATGTTATGTTTTTTCATCGGAGTGCAGGGTGGGGAGGATTTAGAGGGTGAGATGAGTGGGCTTACTTGGGCCATGTGGTTTTAGAGTTGTTGAAGGTGGGACCGTATGGGAGAACCAGAGAAGCTGCTGCACAGGTCAGGTTTAAAAAGAAGAATTGGGCCAGTAGCAGTGGCTCACGCCTTTAATCCCAGCACTTTGGGAGGCCAAGGTAGGCAGATCACTTGAGGTCAGAAGTTCGAGACCAGCCTGGCCAACACGGCAAAACCCTGTCTCTACTAAAAATACAAAATTAGCCAGGTGTGGTGGCAAGTACCTGCAATCCCAGCTACTTGGGAGGCTAAGGCAGGAGAATTGCTTGAACCTGGGAGGCAGAGGTTGCAGTGAACGGAGATTGCACCACTGCACTCCAGCCTGGGTGACAGAGACTCTGTTTCAAAAAATGCAAAGAAGAACGGGCACCTTTCCATCTCTGTGTCTTGTTGCAGGTCCTCTTCGATGGGGAGTTTACCATGCAGGGCAGCTACTGAGGGCTGTTGAATTCTAAAGCTAGTAAGACAAAGTCTGGAAAAGGGGTGGATTAGGCTGTAGCAGGGAGGGGGAGCCCTCACATTTCCTTTGATGGTCTTTATTGACAGCCCGGCTCATGGAGTTGAACGGATCAGCCTCAGCTCCCATCCTGTTGAGCAGAGGCATTTTCATTCTTAGAGTTTTGGAGGCTTTTGCAGGTTTCCATGGGTGGCACTAAGACTTTTGCTGGGAGAATTTGGCCCAGAGCAAGTGACTGTGCATGTTTGACAGCTGGAAGAAGGGAATTTATGGATTTATGCTTGGATTTGTTCTTTATTGTTGCTGTTGTAATACCTGCTTCTGTCACTCTGAGTGTTATTTTGAAGATGGGTGATGCAGATGATTTTTTAAGGCAAGGCATAATTAAGTAATTTTTAGAAACCCATTCAACATTTTCTGTGTCGGCGATGACTGCCGTATAGTTACGATGGGTGGTGGGTGTACTCTAGCCAAAAGATGTCATAGCATCTGTAAGAGTAAACAGCCATGGATGAGTGTTTAGTTTGGTCAGTGCTGGAGAGCTTCTTATTTTTAAGAGGCAGAGTCTCGCTATGTTGCCCAGGCTGGCCTTGAACTCCTGGGCTCAAGGCTCCCCAGTAGCTAGGACTACAGTCATGCACCACTGCGCCAGCTCATCTCCAGCAACTATAGTCATGCACCACTGTGCCAGCTCATCTGCTGGAGAACCTTTTATTGAATTGACTTTGCTGAGATTTGAGACTAGCCTAATTTTTTTTCTTCTCCTTCATGTTTCTACCGTCATTGAGTTGGTTATGGTCCTGCTTGGTCATTTCCCTGGATCTGCTACTTACTGCCTATGGCAGAGGTCCCCAATCCCCGGGCCATGGACCAGTGCTGATCCATGGCCTGTTAGGAACCAGGCCGCACAGCAGGTGAGCAGCGGACAAGTGAGTGAGGATTACCGCGGGAGCTCCGCCTCCTGTCAGACCAGTGGCGACATTAGATTCTCATAGGAACGTGAACCCTATTGTGAACTGTACATGCCACGGATCTAGGTTGTGAGCTCCTTATGAGACTCTAATGCCCGATGATCTGAGGTGGAACTGTTTCATCCCAAAACCACTGCCTGGTCCGTGGAAAGATGGTCTTCCATGAAACTGGCCCCTGGTGCCCAAAGGATTGGGGACCGCTGGCCTGTAGGACCATGAGCAAATTACCTTATTATTTCAAGATCCAATTTCTTTATCTACAAATCGCAATAGAAAACATCATCTGCCTCTGGGGTGGTTGTGATGAAAAGATAAGATATCAAATGTAAATCTTGGCCCTTGGAAATACCAAGTGATCAATAAATATTAGTTCCCTTCGTCCTTTTTAGAGATAATTGATGAGACCAATATGACGTTGACTTGCTGGTTATCTTCAGATATTTCAGAGGCTGTCACATATCACACAGGAGGGACACAGTTTTTGGTGTTCTAGGGAGCAAAACCACAGCTAAAAGGTAAAAGTGGAAAGGAGACAGATTTCAGCTCAACATAAGAAAGAACTTTGTAATAATTAGACCTGTGTTACAATACAGTGGAACTCGTGAAGTAGTGAGCAATTTGTCTTGGAAGAATTTAATTAAAATAGGATTTTTTGGGCTGGGCATGGTGGCTCACACCTTTAATCCCAGCACTTTGGGAGGCCGAGGTGGGTGGGTCACCTGAGTTCAAGAGTTTGAGACCAGCCTGGCCAATATGGCAAAATCCCATCTCTAAAAAATACAGAAAAATTAGCTGGCTGTGGTGGCACACACCCATAATCCCAGCTACTCAGGAGGCTGAGGCAGGAAAATCACTTGAACCCGGGAGGTGGAGGTTGCAGTGAGCCAAGATTGTGCCACTGCACTCCAGCCTGGGTGACAGAGAAAGTCTCCATCTCAGAAAAAAAAAAAAAAAGAATAGGAATTCGCAACAGCATTCTCATTGACATTTGGGGCCAGATAATTCTTTGTTGTCAGGGGTGTGCTGTGCATTGTAGGTTGTTTACCAGCATGCTTGGCCTCACTCATTAGATGCCAGTAGCAACCTCCCCCTACGCTCCTCCCAGTGTGACAGCTAAAAATGTCTCTAGTCATTGCCAAATGTCCTGTGGAGGGCAAAACCATTGCTGGTTGAGAACCACTGAATTATAGGCTAGATGATGGCGAACTGGACTGCATCCTCCCAAGGTCAACTCTATCCTACCCAAAATTGAGTTCTTGCAATAGTAAGCTCCGGGAATTCTGGGGATGGCTTTTTGGTTTCTGATAGTACCTCCCAACCTGGGACGAAAGACTGAACTCATGTGAAATTGTAGGGGTCAATCTGGGCCACAGAGAGCAACTGAGGTCCTGCCTGGAAAGCCTTCTGCAGTTGCTTTAACGTTTATCTCTCGTTGTGGTTTTTGTAGGTCATGTTGGCAGCTTCCTATTGGTCTCTTCTGGCCCCAGCAGTTGAGATGGCCACGTCCTCTGGGGGCTTCGGTGCCTTTGCCTTCTTCCCTGTGGCTGTTGGCTTCACCCTTGGAGCGGCTTTTGTCTACTTGGCTGACCTCCTGATGCCTCACTTGGTGAGTACCACTCTACTTTTAGCTGTCGTATCGGGATACAACCAGCTCTGTGCAATGAATTTATTTCTGATCAAACCTGACATACCTGTTAATGTCTCTGTTAAGTAGCCAGTGGTATTTAAACAGAGAACAAGGCATTAGAGGAACTGATCGGTGATTTCTTTCTTAAAGTAATGTCTTGGTAATTACCCCCTTATTTACATTTTAGTAAGTTCGGATTTTGAATGTCACATTTCATTAAAAATATAGAGTACAGCTGATGTGCTGGGTGGCACTGTATATATATGAGAGGACCTAGAACGATCACTGTGGTGCTGGGTTTTATTGAGAGTATGACATCATCAGGGAGATGATACTCCCGCCCCACCCCCACAATCTGTAGCATTAGGCCTTTGACCATGGATCACATTATGAGGGCTGACAGGAGGGTGAGGCAGGGCTCTGTGCAGCAGGGGTCTGGGCTGGAGCTCACACCTGCCATTTACTGATTGTATATCCCTGAGCTCTAGTTTTCCATCCTTTAATTTGAGGATAACTCCCCCGAAGGACTGTACAGTAAAATTTTAAAAATGTAAAAATGCACTGGAATTGGGGATAAGCCAGAGATTTCAGGCTTTTTTACTGACATATGGCAGGAGAGCTGGATTTGGGAATGAGCATGTATGTGCTTACAGGGAAGCACCGTGCAAACCGCAGCCTGGCATGTGGCTGTGATCACCGAGCCAAGAGAGCTGGGGCCAGGTCATGCGATGGGAACCGCAAGCCATTGGCTAAAGCCCTGTCATCTGCATGCACCACTGTCAGTAGAGGAAAGGGGTCCAAGATCATAACAGCATGAGACAGCCTTACCAGACACTGGGCCCGACAAGTTCTAGAGATGGCAGAAGCACCCCTGAACTGGTGCCAGAGTTCCCTGCTCCCCTAGAAAGGGAAGTGGTGCAGGGAGAACTCTCTGGAGAGAAATGGGTCAAAGTCCATTTCTCCTGCTGGATCACGGTGAGACAGGATTAAGTCAGACTCACTGGAGTCAGTGGTCATGTACCCCGGGAGGTAGGTAGGTTGAAGTTCTCTTCCCTGCCTTCCTGCTTTCTTTTTTCCTTAACTTCCCAAGTGGAGAAAGAGAAGGAATGATGGGTGATTCTGTAACTATAACGATTCCCAGGAACTATGCCTCTAGGTCCTGGGCTAATGTAAAACAGATTCCTTGTGTTACAGAAGAACTGTCCTTTGGATCAGACAGCTGAATGTGATGTTGGACGGCTGTGATACTGTCTTAAAGCAGAGGTCCCCAACCCCCCAGACCAAGGACCGCTACTGGTCAATGGCTTGTTAGGAGCTGGGCCACATAGCAGGAGGTGGGCAGCCAGCTGCCAAGTGAGCTTTATCTTCTGAGCTCCGCCTCCTGTCAGATCAGCCGTGGCATTAGATTCTCAATGGAGCACAAACCCTGCTGCGAGCTGCGCATGTGAGGGATCCAGGCTGCGTGCTCCTTAAGAGAATCTAACTAATGCCTGATGATCTGAGGTGGAACAGTTTCATCCCCAACCCCCTACCCCGGCCCCTGTCCATGGAAAAACTGTCTTCCACAAAACCAGTCCTTGGTGCCAAAAAGGTTGGGGACCACTGTCTTAAAGACCATGTGTCATTTTTTGTTGTTAAAAGATTGAGTGACATGGCTGGGCACAGTGGTTCATGCCTGTAATTCCAACACTTTGGGAGTCTGAGGCGGGCAGATCACTTGAGGCCAGGAGTTAGAGACCAGCCTGGGTAACGTGGAGAAACCCCATCTTTACTAAAAATACAAAAATTAGCTGGGTGTGGTGGTGCGCACCTGTAATCCCAGCTACTCAGGAGGCTGAGGCATGAGAATCGCTTGAACCTGGGAGGTGGAGGTTGCAGTGAGCCGAGATGGTGCCACTGCACTCCTGCCTAGGTAACAGAGCAAGACCCTGTCTCAAAAAAAAAAAAAGATTGAGTGGCCGTGTCTGTCTCCGTCCCCTGGACATGTGGCTTCCTTGCTGCCGACTATGTGTGGTAGTGGCGTCCAGTGGCCCTCAATGCAGGCTGCCATATTCTGATCTCAAGGCCACCCTGGTTTTGTGTGAACTTGTTGTTGGAGTGTATTCTGCTTGCCCTGACAGGTGACCAGTGGCTTCAATCCCTGAGCAGCAGGCAGAGATCTGGCTCAGTGGCTCTGCATGGCTCCTGCTGGATCCCATTCTACTCTTCTCTCCTGCACCCAACTGGGCTTCCAAGATAGTCTCTTGGAAAGGACTCTGCAATCCTTGTGGGTCTTACTATGTTACTGGGGAGTAGGGGTGGTGGGGCGGTATCAGATGTATTTGGTCAGCTGTCTGAATGTAGGGATTTTCTCTGGGCGGTGTAAACAGTCATTGGCTAATTTGCACTATGCAGCAGTAATTTTTTTTTGTGTGTGTGTGACGGCGTCTCACTCTGTCACCCAGGCTGGAGTGCAATGGCGTGATCTTGGCTCACCGCAACCTCCACCTCCTGGGTTCAAGTGATTCTCCTGCCTCAGCCTCCTGAGTAGCTGGGATTACAGGCACCTGCTGCCATGCCTGGCTAATTTTTGTATTTTTAGTTGAGATGGGGTTTCACCATGTTGGCCAGGCTGGTCTTGAACTCCTGACCTCAAGTGATCCTCCCACCTTAGCCTCCCAAAGTGCTGGGATTATAGACATGAGCCACCGTGCCCGGCTGCAGCAGTGTTTTTTTTTTTTTTTTTAAACCTTTTGGTTCATATTTGTTCTAATATATGCTTTGAATATGGAGGAGATCCCAGAGGGAAGCCCTGGATAGAATCAGTAATGGTTTGGGAGCAGCTGGTGAATGTCTGGGGAGGGATTGCAGCAGCTCAGAAACAGACATCATCACCACAAATGCCCAGAACCTCACTACTTGGCAGAAAGGTCAGCCTGACAGTAAACATCTGTTCTAGGAGATTTAAAAAGAAATGAATTCTTGCTGTCGATGTGAGAGGGGGAATTTGTCTTAGAAGGTCTCATACATGGATGAGAATTACTTATGATTGCTACAGTCAGTGAATACAAATGTTGTTGAAAGAGTTGTGCTTGGAAACAGTCTGTTGACCTTCACTCTGAGGCTGGCCAAAGGTTTCCTTTGGTTTCACTATTAATTTGCTCACCAGACCTGAAAAGGGCAGCAGCTTGGATCTATCGAAGATGCTCTGTGGGGTCGGAGTTAATGGGTTTTGATCTTGAGTCGTTGCGGTTGGCCAACATCGACTGAGCACCCACGCGTTTATAGTCTAACAGGGTAGGAGCAGGGCTAGAATTTGTGTTCAGGATGTTTGCCCTTCTTGGGATCTATGAACCAGTGGCTTTTGAGGCTGTGGGAAGTTTTGTGGGTAAATTCAGCCCCAGATCATTTCAGTTCCTGATTCATTCCCCTGATGATGGAGTCCCACAATTCAGCGGATGGCCCCAGGAGCAGAATGAAGGCAGAGGAAAAGCCTTTGGCTGCGGTTCCGACCAAGGGGCTCTCACCCTTTGGGACGGGCCCCAGGATGTAGGGGGCCTGTCTGCAGAAAACCTCAGGGTCTCCTTTCTATCCCCTGGGGACACGTCTGCTTGGAGTTTGTTGGGGTGAAAGGAAGTGGGTCAGTGTCTGTGTTATTTCACCTGGAGAAATAAGGAGATGCGGAAGTCTGGAAAAGGCAGCGATATGGCTTGAAGGATTCTGCAGCAGTGCCCTGATTTGACCCTTGCCCGTGACCATTCAGGCACAGGCCCCAATGCCTGGGAGCGTCAGAGCCACCCACCCTGGTTATATGTGTTCGGGACGTGAAGGGCATCACACTCTTGGGTTGGTGGGAAGAGAATGGTTAACACATGACTGTGTTCTTTAACTCCATTTCTGTTCCTTCAGCCTTTCAGATTTATCTGTCCCTCTGTTGGAGGCAAAGCAAAATATTGCTCATGGAAAGGGCATTACTCAGAAGAGCCTGTCAGGATGAAGCCGTTGTGGCTTTGTTAACTTCAGATGCCTCAAGTTCCTCTCCAAACTGGGTGTTTGTTTTCAATTATTTATCTGGGAATAAAGTAGAGAAGCTCTGCGGTAACTGTTAATGGGAAGTGAACTGACAGGGATTTGCAGAGACTTTGCCAAATGGCGTCTTAATGAAAGGGGAGAAAAAAAGGGGGTGGACAAGGAAGGTGCAGCCTACTGGGCCTGGGAGGAGGCTGGTGAGGGGTCGGATGATGGGAAATGCTTTCGAGGCCAGCTGGAGCCCATGCTCCCCTTAGGATGGTTCTAGGCAGAAACAGACAGGACACTGAACAGCTGTTTGGAGACATTGACATGTTTCTGATTTTGCAGTTGTGCTTCTATGTGAAGTTAAGGTATAGCAGTATGTGGGAAACTGTCATCTTCAGTTTATTATTGTTATTATTTGAGACAGGGTCTTGCTCTGTTGCCCAGGCTGGAGTGCAGTGGCATGATCGCGGCTTACTGTAGCCTTGACCTCCTGGGATCCAGTGATCCTCCCACCTCAGCCTCCTGAATAGCTGGAACCACAGGCGTGTGCTACCATGCCCGGCTAATTTTTAATTTTTTTTTGGTAGAGACAGGAGTCTCCCTATGTTGCCCGGGCTAGTCTTGAACTCCTGAGCTCAAGCAATCCTCCTACTTTGGCCTCCCCCTCTTCAGTGTTGGGATTATAGGTGTGAGCTACCACACCTGGCCCGCCTTCAGTTTAAAACAGTGATTTTTCTCCTGGTGGGTTGATGGGTAGGGTGGGGAGGAGGGTAGTGTGTGTGTGTCCCCAAGGTCAATTCTTTATTTTTAGTCATGTTAGCGTCGCATCAATACAGTACAAAAATCTCGTTATAAAACAGTTTATAAAAATTTTATGTGAAAACCCTTCTCCTACTTTTATCTTTTCCCCCAGACCAACCAGTCAAACATTGTTACCAGTTTAGCGGGTATCATTCTAGTGTTTCTCTTCTTTTCTTTTGTCTTCTCTTTTCTTTCTTTCTTTCTTTTTTTTTTTTTTTTTGATGTAGTTTCGCTCTTGTTGCCCAGGCTGGAGTACAATGGTGCGATCCTGGCTCACTGCAACCTCTGCCTCCCTCCCGGGTTCAGGCGATTCTCCTGCCTCAGTCTCCCAACTATCTGGGATTACAGGCATGCGCCACCATGCCTGGCTAATTTTGTACTTTTAGTAGAGATGGGGTTTCACCATGGCTGGTCTCGAACTCCTGACCTCAGGTAATCTACTCACCTCAGCTTCCCACAGTGCTGGTGTTACAAGTGTGAGCCACCACAGCCGGCTTTTCCCTTTTCTCTTCTCTTCTCTTCTCTTCTCTTCTCTTCCCTTCTCTTCTCTCTTCTCTTTCTCCTCTCCTCTCTTCTCTCCTCTGCTCTCTCTTTTCTCTTCTCTTCTCTTCTCTCTCTTCCGAGGTGGATCTTCCTCTGTGGCCCAGGCTGGAGTGCAGTTGCTCAATCTTGGCTCATTGCGACCTCCGCCTCCCGGGTTCAAGTTGTTCTCCCGCCTCAGCCTCTTGAGTAGCTGGGATTACAGGCACCTGCCACCGCACCTGGCTAATTTTTGTGTTTTTAGTGGAGACGGAGTTTCAGCATGTTGGCCAGGCTGGTCTCAAACTCCTGACCTCAGGCAGGCGGATGCCTGCCTCAGCCTCCCAAAGTGCTGGAATTACAGGCGTGAGCCACCACGCCCAGCCCCTTTTCCTTTTTTAAAGAAAACCAATGATACTGTGTTTTTTAATTATTGAAATATAAACACTTTTCCAATTTGCTTGTATTGTTTGAGTATACTTTAAATCGACTTTATAGCAGTAGGAACCCTGACTCCATTTCGATCTTCTTTTCTTCTGACTCTATTTCGATCTTCTTTTCTTGCATATGTGCAAGCATACATTTTTACACAGTTGGAATCAGTCTGTGCATTCTCTTTGTGTTATTTTTAAATTTGAAATGATTTTTATTGATGATATTTTAATACCTACGTAACATTCTGTCATCCAGTTCATTTGCTCAGCCATCTCTCCGTGGTTGAGTAGTTAGACTGCTCTGTGCTTTTACATATGTTTGCATGTACATCTGGAGATGGAATTTTGTTTCATGTTTTCTGAAAAACAAATGGCAACATACTGTCTGTGTTGTTGCTGCTTGCTTTTCGCAGCTTGGTTTGCATCTTGGCAGACTTTTTCCTGGGAGATGTGTGCTCCCCTCCCCCTCCTCTCCCTCTCTTGGTATTCAGTATCTTGAGGAGGCTGCCCAAGTAGGTAACAGGTGCCTGTGACCCTGAGGCTGTCTCCTCCACGTGGACTTGGCCAACAGTCCTGCCCAGACGGGCTCCAGGAGGGTGGGGGAGGCTGGCAAGCAGGGATCACCCTCTTCTCAGCTCCTGCCTTAATTTATCTGAGTCCTCAACCATGTTCAGTTTATTTTAGTTCTCATTGTGATGGCAAAGAAGATGCCTCTAGTGAAGCTTAAATGAACAGTGTGCGTGTGTACTTTGAATATGTACCCAGTTTTGGCCAGGCGCGGTAGCTCATGCCTATAATCTCAGCATTTTGGGAGGCCGAGGTGGGTGGATCAGTTGAGGTCAGGAGTTCAAGACCAGCCTGGCCAACATGGTGAAACCCTGTCTCTACCAAAAATACAAAAAAAAAAAAAAAAAAAAAAATTAGCTGGGCATGGTGTTGCGTGTCTGTAATCCCAGGTACTCAGGAGGCTAAGGCAGCAGAATCCCTTGAACCTAAGAGGCGGAGGCTTCAGTGAGCCGGGATCACGCTGCTGCACTCCAGCCTGGGTGGCATAGCAAGACTTTGTCTAAAAAAAAAAATGTACACAACTTTTACTGGTATCAATATTTGGCTGGCTGGAGCTGCTATTGAGAGAACAAATATGACAACTGTCTTAGAAGTGACAGATGTTCCAAGAGGCAGTTTTCCTCCCAGAGGTGTGTTTGCATGTATTTATTTCTCCTTCGTAGATTTCCTTCATCTTTAGCATTCTGATTCTAGTTCACGAAAGAATATCTTAGGGAATTAAAAAGGAGAAATGAAAAGAGTATCTCACAGAAAACAAAAAGGACAAACTTCAGCAGCAGCCACCTGAGAGTCTCTACAATAAGCCTGATATCGTCAAGTAAGCCCGACTCGTTTCGTGGGGACATTGAACAGTAGCCCTTTGCCCCATTTTTAGGATTGTGCTTTCTTATACTCTGTTGAGGCTCCAGATGGGCAATTCTACTTCAAGCTATATGCTGCATCCTGGGGTTGAGCTATTGTTGAAATTTCTGCCTGGCTGTAGAAAGCCTCTGGGGCAATAGCAGATCCTTCCAGTGTGGGGACACAGTTGTGCCATCTGAAGAGGGTGGCATGTTGGGTGGATTGGGCAGCCCCAGGCCAAAGAAGGTGGCAGTTCTGCAGTCGGACCTTTTACTTCACTGTCTACACATCTGTATTATTTCGCTGGGGCTGCCATAGCAAAATACTACATACAGGGTTGGCTTAAACAATAGAAATTTATTTTCTCACAGCTCTGGAGGCTGGAAGTCCAAGGCTAAGGTGCCGGCAGGGTTGGTTTCTTTTGAGGCCTCTCCACTTGGCTTGCAGATGGCTGCCTTTCCTGTGTGTCCTCACACAGTCTTGCCTCTGTGCTCACATCCCTGGTGTTTCTTTACGTGCCCAGCTTTCCTCTTTCCATGAAGACACCAGCCACATTGGACCAAGGCCCACCCAAACAGCACCATTTTGGGACCGGGTGTGGTGGCTCACACCTGTAATCCCAACACTTTGGGAGGCCAAGGTGGGCGGATCACGCAGTCAGGAGATCGAGACCAGCCTGGCTAACACAGTGAAACCCCATATCTACTAAAAATACAAAAAATTAGCCAGGCGTGGTGGCACACACCTGTAGTCCCAGCTACTTGGGAGGCTGAGGCAGGAGAATCACTTGAACCCAGGAGACAGAGGTTGCAGTGAGCCGAGATCACACCACTGCACTCCAGCCTGGGCAAGAGTGAGACACTGCCTCAAAAACACAAAACAAACAAACAACAACAAAAAAAACCAGCACCATTTTGATTGGACACCTTTTCAACTCTTGGGCTCAAGCAGTCCTCCTACCTTGGAATCCCACAGTGTTGGGATTACAGGCATTAACCATGGCACCTGGCCCATCTTCAGTTTAAAACGTTGATTTTCTACTGGCCCTATCTCTAAATACAGTCACATTATAAAGTATAGGGGGTTAGAGCTTTGATACATGGATTTTGGGGGGCACAATTCAGCCCAGGGTAACATCTTTTTTTTTTTTTAGGCACTGTGATTGAAAGATGGTAGAGTGGCAGGAGCTCAGCTGTTAGTTGGGCACTGGGCGTTCTGAACCAGTGGTCGCTTCCCTGACACTGGAACAGTGGGCTGGCTGGCTATGCCCTGAGGGGCATGGCAGGCTAAGGAATACAAATACACAGTACTAATTAATACTTCAGTTTCTAAGGGAGGAAACCTGTGAGCTTGCAGTAATGGAAGCGGTGCCTGATAATTCTGGGCTTGGGGAGGGTTGAGAAAGCTTATTGTTCAGAAGGGTTCACTGGCAAAGGAAAACTGAGTTTTTTTTTTTCTTTGTGAAACAGGATATTTTAATTCACAGGGTGGGGTTGCTCTTGACACACTGAAGCCACAGGCCCTTCATAGTGTGAAGTTTGGAGAGAGCTGGCATTCAGGCTGTCCTGGGTACCAAATGTATTCCCAGGGGCAACTGGAAGCCATGGTTAGCATTGTTTCTTCCACCTTTGGAGGCATTCCACAGCCTCCCGTGACTTTTAGGAAGATGTTCAGATGTTGTTTTGGGTCCTGCTGGCATGCAGACAGGCTGAAAAGGGGATGAAGGCAATTTCCTAGTATGGTGGGCTGGCCGATTCTTTTTTTTTTTTTTTTTTTTTTTTTAAGATGGAGTTTTGCTCTTGTCTCCCAGGCTGGAGTGCAATGGCGGGATCTTGGCTCACTGCATCCTTCGCCTCCCAGGTTCAAGCGATTCTCCTGCCTCAGCCTCCTGGGTAGCTGGTATTATAGGTGTGCACCACCATGCCCAGCTAGTTTTTGTATTTTTAGTAGAGACCAGGTTTCGCCATGTTGGCCAGGCTGGTCTCGAACTCCTGACCTCAGGTGATTTGCCCGCCTTGGCCCCTCAAAGTGCTGGGATTACTGGCATGAGCCACTGCACTCGGCCTGCTGGCTGATTCTTAGAGAAGACAGCAGTTTTGACCATTCTGTGGATGCCTGCAAGTGCGCATTTAGGTGATGGGAATGCATGCCATGAACTCTCTCTTTCTTGCCATATGCTCTCTTGGTTTTCTAGGGCAGCTGGTGAATACTGTTCTATGCATTTGTATGCCCATGTGTGTTAGCTGTGTACACAGTCCTTGCTCATTGAGGCTGCAGGAAAAATATCTGTGGCTTTGCAGTCAGTGGCACAGAGCATTTCAAGCGTGTCTGCTCTCTGGCTTTTGACCAGGGTTCAGAAACCCACCTCTGTTGTCGATATATATTCCCGGAGGACCCCGTGGGTCTGGCACGAACACGCGCGCACACACACACGCACTGCGTGGGCTGGCTTGCTGAGGGGAACTCCTTAAGCACGGAATGGTTCTTGTTCTTGGTCTAAGAGTGGTGGGGAGTCTTGAGTGCAGATAGGCTTGGTTGGAACCTTCTAGGACTTAGATTTCCTTCTCCGTGGGTAGAACACCTTTTCATTTGTTAGGCCATAAAGTTGTAACTGGATACCTGTCCTCTCTTGCTGTCTCTTGAGCTCAGCCACATGTTTATGAAAAATGCCCAGAAGCCACCGTGGAAGCATATTGAACCAGTCGATAGCCGAGGGTGGCAAAGATGATTATGAGTATGGAAGGGGAAAGAGGCTGGGAGCGGTGGCTCACGTTGGTAATCCCAGCACTTTGGGAGGCAGAGCTGGGCAGGAATTCATGACCAGCCTGGCCAACATGGTGAAACCCCGTCTGTACTAAAAATACAAAAGTTAGCCGGGCATGGTGGTGCCTGCTTGTAATCCCAGCTACTTGAGTAGGGCTGAGGCACAAGAATTGCTTGAACCCAGGAGGCAGAGGTTGTAGTGAGCCGAGATTGCACCACTACACTCCAGCCTGGGTGACAGAGCAAGACTATGTCTTAAAAAAAAAAAGAAAGAAAGAAAGAGTAAGGGAACTGAGTATGCATCTAATCTTCACTGGATCCCTTCTTCTTGGCAAAGGTGACTGGGACCGTGTCTGTCTTGCTTATAACCGTACCCCTAGCTGGGTGCTCCATAGAGCAGGTCCTGGTCATGCCTGCGTGGTCCATCTCCTCTGGGATTGATCGTGGTGCTGGTAGTGTTGATGCAGGTCCCCAGGCTCAGGAACCAAAGTTGGAGAGTTAGATAAACAGTTCTGGCTGGTGTCAGGGAAGAAATGAGAAGTGAAGTTTGGGGGTAGAGATGTAGTTTGGCCAATTCATGGGAGGGAGGGAGTTCTGTGAAAAGCACTGGAAAGCCAAAGCATTGTTCTCTCCGGGCTGGGCGTGGTGGCTCATGCCTGTAATCTCAGCACTTTGGGAAGCCAAGGCAGGTAGATCACAAGGTCAGGAGTTCGAGACCAGACTGGCCAATATGGTAAAACCCTGTCTCTACTAAAAGTACAAAAATTAGCCGGGTGTGGTGGCACGCGCCTGTAGCCCCAGCTACTCGGGAGGCTGGGGCAGGAGAATTGCTTGAACCCAGGAGGCGGAGGTTGCAGTAAGCCAAGATTGCACCACTGACTCCAGCCTGGGTGATAGAGTGAGACTCCGTCTCAAAAAAAAAAAAAAAAAAAAAGAAAGAAACAAAAAGACCCCCCAAAAACCCAAAAGCATTGTTCTCTCTCACATGGTCCCCTGGGGAGGTCATGAACAGTATAAGCTGAAGCAGAAGTTCTTTTCAGATTTCACTTGGTTTCCTTTAGAAATACTGCTCCATGTAAAAGTCAAGGCAGACATCAGCTAAGTGGGTTCCTGCTATCTAAATTGGCTTGGGCTGCCATAAAAAAATACTGAAGTCTGGCTTAAAGAACAGAAAAATATCAAGGTGCTGGCAGATTCAGTTCCTGGTGAGGGCTCTCTTTCTGTCTTGCAGATGGCCACCTTCTTGTGTTCTCACATGGTAGAGAGAATGAGAGAGGGCGAGCTCTCTGATGTCTCTTCTTACAAGGACACTAATCCTATTATGAGGGTCCCATCCTCATGACTTCATGTAACCCTAATTACCTCCAAAAGCTTCCCATCCCACTGGGGCTAGTGCTCCAACAAATGAATTTTTTTCGAGGGGACACAAATATTCTGTTTGTAACACCTGATATAAAGAATGCGAGGACATTCTGTCCCGTCATCTTCAGTACATAAAGGGCTCTGAATATGGTGAAAATTTTCCAAACATAACTCGAAATGGACACTTTTCTAGATAGAAGGAGAAGGAGTGTGATTCTTCAGTTTTATTCTCAATGAAATTAAGTTATAATACTTTTTGTCCTGAAGTCTACTTTGTCCTGATATTAATATAGTTACTTCTACCCCAGTTTCATTTTGTTAGTGTTTCCTTGGTATATCTTCTTCCATTTCTGTACCTTTACCTGAGTCTTTATATTTAATAAACAACATAACATTGTGTTTTACTTTTTCATCTAGTCCAAGGATCTCCGTCTCTTAATTGGAATGTTCAGTCAATTTATATTTAATATAATTACTGATGTGATTGGGTCCGTGACTACCATCTTACTATTTATTTTCTATTTATCCCATCTATTTTATTTTGCTCTTTGGTACCTGCTTTCCTGCCTTCTTTTGGGTTAATAAAATAGTTTTTAGTATTCCATTTTAGTTTCTTTACTGGATTTAAAAATGTATCTCTTTGTGTTATGTTTGCAGGTTGCTGTAGGGATTACAGTTTCCTTAACTTATCATGGTCTACCTTGAATTAACATTGTAATGGTCCATCATAGTCTACCTTGTAATTGTCTTATCATAGTCTACCTCGAATTAACACTTCATGTATGATATAAGAGCCTTAATAGCACTATACATCTATTTATCCCTCTTTGGTTCATACTATTTTTGTCATACATTTTATTTCTTCACATGTCATAAATCTTTAGTACATTGCTATATTTGCTTTAACAATCGGTTGTCTTTAAAAGAAACTTTAAAGTGAGAAAAAGTCTTCATATTTTCTCAGCCTTGACTTTTCCATGTACTTTCATTTTCACTGCTTTTCAGTGACAGTCCTCAGTAGACCCATATTTTTATCTAATATTATTTTTCTTCCATCTGGAGAACTACTTTTAATATTCATTATAGCTTAGGCCTGCTAGTGACAAATTCTCTTAGCTTTTATTTATCTGAATACATTTTTATTTTGCCTTCATTATTTGAAGAATGTTTTCACTGGATATAGAATTCTAGGTTAACAGTTTTTTTGCTTTTAGGACGTTGAAGATGAGATTCTAAGGTCCTCTGGCTTATGTTGTTTCTGATGAGAAGTCAGCATTGTTCTCCTATATGTAATGTGACTTTTTCTATGGCTGCTCCTAAGACTTTATCATTAGTTTTTAGCATTTTGACTCTGTTATGCCTTTGTGTGGTTTTCTTTATGTTTATCTTTCTTGATTTTTTTTTTTCTCCCAGTGATTAGTAACATTTTCTTGTTTCTTCTCATGTCTAGTAATTTTTTATTGTATGCTGGACAGGGTAATTCCTGTGTTGTTGAGGATCTCTATTTTGTTGTCTTTTCTTAAAGAAGTTTGAGTGTTGTCATGGCAGGCAGTTAATATGCTTGATACTCCCAAGTCTTGGTTTTAGGCTTTGTTGGGATGGATACCCTTTATCTGAGGACTGCAATAGCCCTATTTTTGTGGTTAATTGTGCTTCTTGGGTCTATAGATTGATTTATTTTATTTTTACTTTATTGTTTTTTTTTGTTATGGAGTCTTGCCGTGTTTCCCAGGCTGGAGTGCAATGGTGTGATCTTGGCTCACTTCAACCTCTGCTGCCTAGGTTCAAGTGATTCTCCTGCCTCAGCTTTCTGAGTAGCTGAGATTACAGGAGCCTGCCATCACGTGTGGATAATTTTTGTAGTTTAGTAGAGATAGGGTTTTTCCATGTTGGCCAGGCTGGTCTTGAACTCCTGACCTCAGGTAATCTTCCCACCTTGGCCTCGCAAAGTGCCTGGATTACAACCATGAGCCACTGCACCTGGCTGAATGTCTAGTAATTTTTTATTGTATATTGGACATTGTCAGTGGTCTATTGTTAAGAGACTAGATTTAGTCATCTTAAAGAGTGATGGATTTTATTCTGACAGGCAGATAATTTACTGGTGGTTCAACTTGATCCTGTAAAGTCTTGGTTTTCAGCTTTGCTAGGATGGGTATAGAGTAGCTTTTACTCGAGGCCTAGAATAGCTCTGCCCTTAAAGAGGATCTTTAGGGTCTCAACTGAATGACTGGGGTGTACAGTGAGATTTCCTTGCTAAGACTAGTTGGAATTTTATCTTCTAGTACCATATGACCTCTGGAATCTCCGTTCATCTCACAGTCCCTTAGAAAGAATTCTCTTTTCCAGGCCTCATAGCATTTTACTTTGCACATGCATAGCTTAGTATTTAGTCAGCAACTCATGGATATCCCTTTGCATATTTCTGAGATTTCTTGTTTGTGTGATGATCCTCCTCTGTGGTATCCTACTCTGCAAATTACAGCTGTGTCAGCAGTCCTGAATTTTATTTTTTATTATTTTGTTTTTATTTATTTTATTTTTGAGACGAAGTCTATATTGCCCAGGCTGGAGTGCAGTGGCGTGATCTTAGCTCACCGCAACCTCCGCCTCCCAGGTTCAAGTGATTCTCCTTCCTCAGCCTCCCAAGTAGCTGGGATTACAGGCACGTGCCACCACGCCCAGCTAAATTTGTATTTTTAGTAGAGATGGGGGTTTCACCATGATGCTCAGGCTGGTCTCGAACTCCTAACCTCAGGTGATCCACCTGCGTCAGCCTCCCAAAGTGCTGAGATTCCAGATGTGAGCCACCACTCCTGGCCAGCATCCTGAATTTCAATCTTTTTCTGTATACTGCTGCATTTCTTTATGCTGCAGTTTGGAAAGTCCCTACCTGCCCCCAGTGTTCAGGTGAACGTGGTGCACCCTTTGCATGTTTTCCGTCTGGCTAGGATCACAGCCCTGCATAGTCTATTATTGTCTAGTCCCTGAAAATAGTTGCTTTATATATTTTACTTAACTTCATAGTATTTTACTTATTCTAAAATAGGAAGTCACAGTGGAATTAATTGGAAACATTTGCTCCAGATTCTTTGCAGGTGTTTTTGGCCTCATTTTTCCCCCTCGTTTCTCTCTGCCCTCCAATCCACTTTGCCTTCTAAATGAAGGTGATTTAACTTGTAAGGTCATTTTAAGAAGAAGCTATGTGTGTTTCTGGCAAAAGTTTCTATACCTCTCCTTGCAGAAGTTGACTGATACCTGCTTCTAGAATTTTTGCTGCATTCTGGCCACAGGCATTTCTTTTAATTAACAGGCGCTTAAGTGGAGAGCTAGAGTCTCTTGATCATAATAAATGGAGTGTTGCTTCAGATGGCAGGAATAAGCATAATTGGATGAAAACCCTACACACAGAGAGCCAGGACACTGGCTGATTCAGGGAACCAACTGAAGGCTGACCCTCATGGGAAGGTGACTAGATTTAGCTTTGGTTCATTGGTTCTGAAATATTGCCACAGCTGCCTTAACTCTTCTCCACTTCAGGGGGACTGCTTACATTTAGCAAATCACTTCTTTGTAACAATGCAATTAGGTGCTCTTTGGGAGGTTTTGTGTGCATTGGAGTGAGGTGTGGTGGCTCACGCCTGTAATACCAGCACTTTGGGAGGCTGAGGCAGGTGGATCACCTGAGGTCAGGAGTTCGAGACCAGTCTGGCTAACATGATGAAACCCTGTCTGTACTAAAAATACAAAACTTAGCAGAGTGTGGTGGTACATGCCTGTAATCCCAGCTACTCGGGAGGCTGAGGCAGGAGAATCACTTGAACTTGGGAGGGGGAGGTTGCAGTGAGCTGAGATCATGCCACTGCACTCTAGTGTGGGCAACAGAGCGAGACTTTGTCAAAAAAAAAAAAAAATCAACTTTCTGATACTTCTTCACCCTGAGAGTCTCATTTAGGAGAACTGGAGTGGAACCCAGGAATCTTTACTTTTATCAGGTGTCTAGGAGATTCTGATGTAGGTAATCCATGGACCTCCCTTTAAGAAACATGATATAGTGGCTTTTTACAACAGTGTTCATTCTAAAACTGGACATATTGTCATATCTAGTACTGTATTTTCCCTTCAGAAAAGCATATAGGCAGAATAGTGACTATTAACCCATGATACAGATAGTAAAACTGAGACCTGAAGAAGTTACAACCTTCCCAGGGTCTGAAAGCATCTTGGTGTTAGAGCTGGACAGAGCCCAGCTGTCCAAGATGGCTATATTCTCCTCTTTGGACTCGTTGACCTTAGTTAATGATGTCATAGTCTAAGATGAGAAAGCACCGCCATTCCTCATTCTTTTCATTTTGCTCTAATCTCCTTCTTGGCTGGGCACGGTGGCTCACACCTGTAATCCCAGCACTTTAAAAGGCCGAAGCGGGCAGATCACCTGAGGTCAGGAGTTCCAGCCAGCCTGGCCAATATGGGGAAACCTCATCTCTAGTCAAAATACAAAAATTAGCTGGGCGTGGTGGTGCGCATCTGTAATCCCAGCTACTTGGGAGGCCAAGGCACGAGAATTGCTTGAACCTGGAGGTGGGGGTTGCAGTGAGCCAAGATCGCGCCACTGCACTCCAGCCTGGGCGACAGAGCAAGACCCTGTCTCAAAGAAATAATAAAAATAAAAATAATCGCCTCCCTGTTGTAGAAGTGCTGTTCCACGTGGCAGTTTGTTAAGGACGAGTTATTGGGGAGAATCGGATGGCATACAGGGTACATTGAAATACTCCAAATTATAAACTGTATATGCTAATGTGAGGTGTTATCCCTTGAGCTTGGGATCAGAGAGAAGTTTGGGATTTTTGCATAGGTCGTGACGTTATCCAGTGGTGTTTTTGTAGATTAATCTGGCACCAGATAATAGAATAATTTGGAAGAGTGAGAAACCAAAGGCCCAGGGACTAACTATGACATGAATGCAGTATTCCCAAAGGCAGGGAGGGCCCGAGATGATGAAAATGGAAAGGAAGGCATGTTTGAGAGACATTTAGAAGAAGGAACCGTGCAGAAGATCAGATGAGTGCTTATATGGAGGAAGAAAAAACAGTACAGGGCAATACCGAGGTTTCAGACTTCAGTGGCTGTGAGGCCATACCAGAGTAGGATGGAAACTCAGTATTTGGGAGGGATAGATGGGCGTGGAAGGGAATACAGTTAATTGGAGAAACATGAATTCAACAAGCACTGACTGATAGACTGTGCATGTGTTGAGTTTAGGTTGACAGTGAGGTACCTGAGTTGAGATGGCTCTAGGAAGTTGGGAGTATGAACCAGTGGCTCAGGGGCGGGATGGAGGCTGGAGTTACAGAAACAGCATTGGGAGAGCTCTGAACAGGAGAGGAAGATGTCACGCACGAATACATGAGATAGGAAATTGCTGCAGGCCGGCCAGGGGCTTATGTCCAGTCCAGAGGCAAGAGAAACGTGCAGCCAGAGGGTCAGATGACGCTGGGAGCGAAGAGAACAAGGGCCTCAAAAGCTGGCCCTCTGGGACTTGGTGAAGCAACGTGGGCCCCAGTTTGCTTGTATGTGCCCATCCGCATGGTTTTTTGTGAAAGGGTTTCGCTCTGTCACCCAAGTTGGAGTGCAGTGGCACGATCACAGTTCATTGCAGCCTTGAACTTCCAGGCTCACGCGATCCTCTTGCCTCAGTCTCCTGAATAGCTGGGATACAGCTCATGTTAACATGACCGACTAATTCTTTTTCAGTTTTTGTAGAGACAGGGTCTTGCTACGTTGCCCAGGTTGGTCTTGAGCTCCTGGACTCAAGCAGTTCTTCCACCTGGGCCTCTCAAAGTGCTGGATTACAGGCATGAGGCACTGTGCCCGTATCTAGTTTTTGATAGTTACTCAGCTGATTGATTTCTAACAGGACAGATCTGATGGGTTAATTGCACCGGGATAGGGAGTGAGAACTGAATGTTCCCAGCAACATATTCCTCCCCAGACATGCTGGGTCGAGGTTAACTGATCATCTCATTATAAACTGAAAGGACTTCAGGACGGGGTAGTGTGAGACTCTGGCTCTGCAGGAGGCTGAGGCCCCAGGAGACATGAAGTTGATTTAGGTGCATTCTGTGTTTATATGAGAGGGAGTGGGCTCTGCAGAGGATGGGTTAAGGGAACTAGTTGAAGGCTGGGGTGGCCAAAGTAAGCAACTCAGATATGTGAGGGTGTGTGGTGCGTTCACATCTGATTTATTTACGATTGCCAAGGCACAGCAGGGGGCACTGCTAAGAGAATTTGCACTGAGGCTTGGGTGTGACTGCCCTCCATCAAATCGCTGGGCCTCTGCGTCTCAGATTCCTGATTTAGGAGTCATTGGTGACAATGCCTACTTTCCTCCTCATCTCCTCTGATGCCCTGCTGTCTCCTTTCATTATCCCCTCATTGGTCCTGAAACCATGTGGATGTGATCCTTTACAGCAAGTGTGTCCAATCTTTTGGCTTCCCTGGGCCACACATAAAATACAGGAACAAATACTAACGATAGCTGATGAGCTAAAAAAAAAAAATCACAAAACCTCATAATGTTTTAAGAAAGTTTATGAATTTTTATTGTGTTACATTCAAAGCCGTCCTGGGCCACCTGCTGCCCGTGGGCCGTGGGTTGAACAAGCTTGCTTTAGAGGGAGGGCTGGCAAAGTACAGCCTGAGGGCCAAGTCAGCTGCACCTGTTCATTTATGAACTGTGGAATCCCCTGCAGCTGCTTTTGCAACACAGCAGCAGAAATGAGTAGCTGTGATGGTTGTGATTGAACACAGAAATAGAAAACCAAGTATCACATGTTCTTACTTATAAGTGGAAGCTAAACACCAGGGCCAAGTGCGGAGGCTCACGCCTGTAATCCTCACACTTTGGGAGGCTGAGGTGGGTGGATCGCCGGAGGTCAGGAGTTCGAGACCAGCCTGACCAATATGGTGAAACCTCATCTCTATTAAAGATACAAAAATTAGCTAGGTGTGATGGTGCACGCCTGTAGTCCCAGCTACTCGGGAGGCTGAGGCAGGTTCCTTGAACCCAGGAGGTGGAAATTGCAGTGAGCCGAGATTGTGCACTGCACTCCAGCCTGGATGACAGCAAGACTGTCTCAAAAAAATAAAATAAGGGCCAGGCACAGTGGTTCACGCCTGTAATCCCAGCATTTTGGGAGGCCGAGGCAGGTGGATCACCTGAGGTCAGGAGTTCGAGACCAGCCTGGCCAACATGGTAAAATCCCATCTCTACTAAAAATATAAAAATTAGTCAGGCCTGGTGGCTCGCACTTGTAGTCTCAGCTACTCCAGAGGCTGAGACAGGAGAATCGCTTGAACCTGGGAGGTGGAGATTGCAGTGAGCCAAGATTGTGCCACTGCCCTCCAGCCTGGGTGACAGAGTGAGACTGTGTCTCTAAATAAATAAATAAATATGTGGCTCTAAATAAATAAATAAATAAAATAAAATAAACATTGGGTACACATGGTCATAAGGATGGGAACAGTAGTCACTGGGGACTACTAGAGAGGGGAGAGAACAGGGGGCAAGGGCAGCAAAACTACCTACTGGGTACTGTGCTGACTACCTGGGTGACAGGTTCAGTCCTACTCCTAACCTTAGCATCACACAATATACCTTTGTAACAAACCCGCACACGTACCCCCTGATTCTAAGATAAAAGTTAAAAAAGAAAAAAAAAAACTGGGAAATACTATCTGACCCTTTGCAGAAACAGTTTGCTGATCCCTGATTTAAATACTTATTCAGTCGATCCTTTGTTTAAAAAGTTTTTTAAATTTTTGTGGCTGCGTAGTAGGTGTATATGGGGCACATTAAATGTTTTGATATAGTCACGTATAACGATCACATCATGGAAAATGGGGTATTCCCTCAAGCGTTTATCCTCTATGTTACAAATAATCCAATTATATTCTTTTAGTTATTTTATTTTATTTTTGAGACAGAGTCTTGCTCTGTCACAGGATGGAGTGCAGTGGCATGATCTTGGCTCACTGCAACGTCTGCTTCCCGGGTTCAAGCAATTCTTCTGCCTCAAACTCCCCAGTAGCTGGGACTACAGGCGCCTGCCACCACGCCCGGCTAGTTTTTCTATTTTTTGGTAGAGATGGGTTTTCACCATGTTGGCCAGGCTGGTCTCAAACTCCTGACCTCGGGTGATCTACACGCCTCGGCCTCCCAAAGAGCTGGGATTATAGGAGTGAACCACCGCACCTGGCCATCTTTCAGTCATTTAAAAATGTACAACTAGGGCCAGGGGCAGTGGCTCACACCTGTAATCCCAACACTTTGGGAGGCCGAGGCGTGTGGATCACCTGAGGTCAGGAGTTCGAGACCAGCCTGGCCAACATGGTGAAACCCCATCTCTACCCAAAATACAAAAACTAGCCGGGCATGGTGGTGGGTGCCCGTAGTTCCAGCTACTTGAGAAGCTGAGGCAGGAGAATTGCTTGAACCTAGGAGGCGAAGGTTGCAGTGAGCCAAGATCGCGCCGCTGCACTCCAGCCTGGGCAACAAGAGTGAAACTCCATCCAAAAAAAAAAAAACCAAGAAAACCAGAAAACCAGAGGTACAATTAAATTATTTTGACTATAGTCACCCTGTTATGCTGTCGTATAGCAGGACTTATTCATTCTTTCTACTTTTTTTGTACGAATGATCTTTTGTCTATGTGCCCTGGTGACCTCTCTGTTCAGGGTACCTTCGTCTCCCCGCTCCAGATCATTTTCCACAGGCCCCCAGAGTATCCCACGCAGGTTGTGAGTCTGATTGTGTTTCTGGCTGAAACCCCTTCAAGGGCTCCTCTACCTTCCATTTGCAGTTCTGTTTTCATAGAGTGCTTCCCAGAGTCCTTCTGATCTGGCCCTAACTGCCGTCTGCAGCCTGGTCCCTCCCTGCTTATCTCTTGCCATCCTTCCGGTTTCCTTCCTGTCCCCCCTGCCTTTGCGCCAGCTCTGCCTGGGGCACCGCCTCTGCGGTGTTTTGCCAGACTCTCTTCCTTACCCTTTGGGGTGCATCTTGTGCATTTCTTCCCCACAAGGCTCTCCAGACTTGCCCCATATCTTGGTTTCATTTTGTACTTTCCTCGTCCTGGCCCTTCCCTTCCCTGGGCTGTCATCACCTGTGTGCCTGTGTACCGGGGGCCTGAAGGTGGGGGCAAGGGCACAGATGGGTCATGTCTCTGCAGTGTCCTGTACACTAGCACAGTGCCCGGCACAGAGTAGGTTCTCAGGAGGTATTTGATGAATGAATCAATGAAAGAATAATTGGAGAGGTTGTGAAGATCAGAGGAGATCATTGTTAGGAAAACGCTTCCTTACGGCATCGAAGTTGAAAGTGCTTTACACATGTGAGTTATTTTTGGGGAGCAGATCCATGCCCGTTGCAATTGACCGCTTTTTTGGCCCTACAAACATGAAGCACAGATAATTAAACACGCAGGAGACAAAAAGAAAAGCTTAATCTGAAATTTGCCTGTGTCATTTGATTTTTCATGCCTTATTTACTTTCATAATTATGTTTGCCTAAGAAGCTAGAGACTCATACTGCCATTTACTACAAGCATTTTTCGAGCGACCTTTGAGTAAAGGGTGAGGTGGAGAGCAGGGAAGTTGCCTGTGTTGCTTTAGAAAAAATATTAACATCTAGACCTCCCTCTGGAGGTTCTGACTGATGGTGTCCATGGTACGGCCTAGGTACTTTTAAAAAAGTTCCCGTAAGGACTCTGACGTTCAGCCAAGGTCAGTGACCATTGATTGAAGGCTACCTATAACTCGCTTTTGTTTAGTTACTGGGTTATGTTTCATTCTCCATAATTCAAGTATCTTCCTGTTTCTTTTTGAAGCCCAAGTCTTCTCCTATTGCAAAAGACTAAGAAAAGAGGGAAAGAAGAATTGTCCTGCAGTTGATTAAGTAACAGTCCGAAGATGAAAAGGGAGAAAGGGTCTGGTTGTATTGATTGCAAACTTCAGACCACACCAGAATCACCTAACAAAATGCAGGTGCCGGGACCCCACCCCAGACTCTGTGCCTCAGAAGCTCTTGGGGTGAGGCCCAGGCACCTGCATTTTGAACTAGATCTCCAGGGGACTTAGATGCTCCCTCTAGTCAGAGAACCACAGTCAGTCCAGAAAGGCAGGTAGCAGCACAGCAGGAGTCTGGAAAGCTGTAACATCTGGGAGAAGAGTACCGAAACCTTGGAGTGGAGAGGGCTCCAGAACCTACTCATCTCCTGGGCTCCTTAAAAAATTTGTTGTATTCGATGAGAACACTTGGACACAGGGTAGGGAACATCACACACTGGGGCCTGTCGTGGGGTGGGGGGAGTGGGGAGGGATAGCATTAGGAGCTACACCTAATGTAAATGACGAGTTAATGGGTACAGCACACCAACATGGCACATGTATACATATGTAACAAACCTGCACGTTGTGCACATGTACCCTAGAACTTAAAGTATAATAAAAAAAATTTGTTGTATTGAGATGAAATTCACATAGCATAAAATTAACAATTTTAAATGGAACACTTCAGTGACATTTAGTACCTTCATAATTTTCTGCAACCAATACTGCTATCTAAATTCCACACATTTTCATCACCCCCCCAAGGAAACCCCATGCCTATTAAGCCATCACTCTCCATCTCCCCATTCTTCGCTTACTCTCCACCGCCTGGCAAACACTAATCCACTTTGTTTTTGTGGATTTACCCATTCTGGACATTTCATATTACTGGAATCCTATAATATGTGACCTTTTGGGTCTGATTTCTTTCATTTAGCATTGTGTTTTCAAGGTTGATCCATATTGTAGCATGTATCAAACTTCATTGCTTTTCTTTTTTTTTTTTTTTTTTTGAGATGGAGTCTCGCTCTGTCCCCCAGGATGGAGTGCAGTGGCGCAATCTCGGCTCACTGCAAGCTCACGCCATTCTCCTGCCTCAGCCTCCCCCGTAGCGGGGACTACAGATGCCCGCCACCACACCTGGCTAATTTTTCGTTTTCATATTTTTAGTAGAGACAGGGTTTCACCGTGTTAGCCAGGATGGGTTCGATCTCCTGACCTTGTGATCCGCCCGCCTTGGCCTCCCAAAGTGCTGAAATTACAGGCGTGAGCCACCCCGCCCCCCTGCCTTTTTTTTTTTTTTTTTTTTGAGGCAGGTCTCTCTGTCACCCAGGCTGGAGTGCAGCATTGCAATGGCAGCTCACTGCAGCCTTAAGGGCCCCAGGCTCAACTGATCCACCGGCCTTAGCCTCCTGAGTAGCTGGGACTACAGGCATGTGCTGCCACGCCTGCCTATTTTATTTATTTATTTTTTTTTGTAGTGACAGCATCTCACTATGTTGCCCAGGCTGGTCTTGAACTCCTGGGCCCAAGTGATCCTTCCACATCAGCCTCCCAAAGTGCTGGGATTACAGGCGTGAGCCACTGTGCCTGGCCGAGAACGTCATTGCTTTTTTTGGATGAAGAATATTCCACTGTGTTTGGGCGTGCCATACTGTGTTCCATTCATCCATTGCTGGACATTTGGGCTGGTTCTGCCTTTTGGCTACTGTGAATAGTGCTGCTAGTAAGATGAGTGACCAAGGATTTGTTTGAGCACCGTTTTCAGTTCTTTTGGGTCTATATCCTGGTGTCCCTATAATCAGGAGCACCTGATTAGGTTGAACCTGGTGGGCAGCCAGGCTGGTGGCTCATCTGGCCCACAGCTTGCTGGAGCCACATGTGTGAAGCTCAGCTCTGAATGGGAGGAGCTGGAAGGACACTTGGGCAGTCGGCACGGGCAGAGGGAGCGGCCTGGTCAGGGCAGTGTGGTTGTTTGGGTAGAGCTTCAGGCTAGCTTTCATTGTAAGTGCCTTCACTCTGCAAGGCTACAGAGGAAATAGCCAGAATAATCTTATTAAAAATATGTTTCTGCTGGGTGCAGTGACAGGTGCCTGTAGTCCCAGCTACTAGGGATGCTGTGAGGCTGGAGGATTGCTTAAAGCAAGGAGTTTGAGGCTAGCCTGGACCATTTAGTAAGACCCCATCTCAAAAAAAAAAAAACAAAAAAAAAACAACAAACCCCAACAACAAATGTTTCTTTTTCTTTTTCTTTTTCTTTTTTTTGAGACTGAGTCTCGCTCTGTCACCCAGGCTGGAGTGCAGTGGTGTGATCTTGGCTTGCTGCACCTTCTACCTCCTAGGTTCAAGTGATTCTCCTGTCTCAGCCTCCTGAGTAGCTGGGACTACAGGCTCACGCCACCACACCCCGCTAATTTTTGTATTTATGGTTGAGATGGGGTTTCACCATGTTGGTCAGGCTGGTCTCGAACTCCTGACCTCAGGTGATCCACATGCCTCGGCCTCCCAAAGTGTTGGGATTATAGGCGTGAGCCACTGTGCCTGGCCCAACCACAAATGTTTCTGACGATGTCATTCCGTGTCCAAAATCCTTTGCTATCTTCCCATCAAGTCCAGGCCTTTTTCCTCTTTTTCCCTTTAGCTTGGACTTCGTTCACCGTTCTCCTCCTGGCCCCTCCCTCCTTCCCTCCCTCCTTAGCTTGGGCTCAGGCCAGTCCTCCACCACCCAAACCACCCACCAGCTCCTGCAGCTGGTTCTCAGCACACGTCACACTGTTTGTCTTTTTGAGCCTTTTCTCGTGTTCTCCCTCTGCCAGGAACCACCTTCCTCCTTTTGCTTTCACCAGGCCAAGTCCTTCCTTTTCAGGTTTTGGCCATTGTCATTAGTCCATGATGATGATGGCGTTGCCCTGAGGCTGTGTCTGCTGTGTCTTGCTTTATTTTTTTGAGACAGAGTTTCACTCTTGCTGACCAGGCTGGAGTGCAGTGGCATAATCTTGGCTCACTGCAACCTTTGCCTTCCGGTTTCAAGTTATTCTCCCTCCTCAGCCTCCTGAGTAGCTGGGATTATAGGCATGTGCCACCACGCCTGGCTAATTTTTGTGATTTTAGTAGAGATGGGATTTCACCATGTTGACAGGGCTGGTCTTGAACTTCTGACCTCGTGATCCACTCACCTCGGCCTCCGAAAGTGCTGGGATTACAGGTGTGAGCCACTGCGCCCGGCCCTGTGTCTTGGTTTTGAATCTCTCTGTGGCCCCTTGACTGAGCGCCGTGCTGCGTGGTTGCTTAGCTGCCCATGTCGCTGATGGGCTGTAGGCTCCTTGGGCAGTGGCGTCATCATTCTTGTTTGCCTCTGCATCCCCAGCGCCTGGCACAGAGCCTGACACGGAGGGGCCCTGAAACTGATTTGCTACAGGAAAGAGTGAGTGTTCAGCCTGGAGCTTTATTCATCATTGAATCCTCGAGGCTTAGAACAGTGCCTGGGACATGGAGATGCTGAGGCCCCCTTAATCTCTCCCCTAACAACTCCCGCCGCAATAAACGCTTCCTAAATGTGTGAACGGTTGGGTGGAAAGGAGACTCAATCACGTACTGTCTGCAGTGTGATGACAGATAATTGTATATTCATCATTTTATATCAAGGGTCTTTGTGTTCCTGATAATTTTTGTAGGGGTGCGTGTGTGCATGTGTGTGTGTGTGTGTGTGTGTGTGTTTACAAACTGAATTCTAAGTAAAGCACCCAAGGCTTTGGGTACTTATTGTCTGAAGAATCAGGTGGTCGGGTGAACTAAAGCAGGGTGAACACACTTTTTCTGTAAAAGGTCAGATAGTAAATATTTTAGGCTTTGTAGCCACACACAGCATCTGCTGCTGTCTCTCCCCTCCCCATCCTCTTCTCCCTTCCCCTTCCTTTCCCTTCTCCAAGACCCTTTAAAAATGTAAAACACATCCTTAGCTCGTGGGCTGTACAAAACTGGCTGGATTTGGCCCACAATCCATAGTTTACAAACCTCTGATCTAGAAGATCCATTAAGGCCAGTTCTTTTAAAACTTTGTTTTGTGTTCTCATGTTGGATGTATTTATTTATATGTTGCCCTTTTTCTTGATGATGAAAATTATGTATGCTCATTTTATAAAGAAATGTAGAGAATAAAAACTCCAACAGGTAAGGAAAATACACTTTTAATCTCATCTCATGGACGCCACCCTTATCCATGTGTTGGAACATTGGCTGTCTGAGTATTTTCTGAGCTTTTTTTTCTGTACGGGACATGTCGTGACAATGACTCACAGTCATGGAGTGTGTGTCCTGTCTCAGGCACGGTGCCAGGCTCTCTATAGGCATTGTCTTGTGAGGTAGGTGCTAATGATAATTTTATTTATTATTATTATTTTATTTTTATTTATTTTTTGAGTCGGAGTCTTGCTCTGTTGCCCAGGCTGGAGTGCAGTGGTGTGATCTCGGCTCACTGCAACCTCCACCTCCCAGGTTCAAGCGATTCCCTTGCCTTAGACTCCCGAGTAGCTGGGACTACAGACCTGCGCCACCACACCTGGCTAATATTTTTTGGTATTTTTAGTAGAGACGTGGGTTCACCCTGTTGGCCAAGCTGGTCTTGATCTCCTGACTTCGTGATCCGCTTGCCTTGGCCTTCCAAAGTGTTGGGATTACAGGCGTGAGCCACCATGGCTGAGGTCACTCAGGTGGTGATGTGATCACAGACTCACGTGTTGAGATGGAGCCTCTGTGAGCAGGTCCCTAGGTGGCTGGAGCGGGCAGAGCCTCTGCATATAGAACAGGAAGGTGCTTTGTTGTTGCAGCAGAGCCCAGCCCATCCTGACTGGCACCCTGCACCGCAGAGACACTTGAGCAGCCTCCAAATTAATTGTGAGAGGGTGGCCATGAGGGTTAAATAAAATAACACGCAGAGAGTATCAGACACACAGTCAGGCATGCAGTAGGTATTTGATACGTGTCAGTTCCCTTATATCAGGAACTGTGGAAGCTCCTGGGGATAACTTTTTGGTCCTGTTTCTTATTTGCACAAGTTGTGGGTTCAGGCTTAACAAAACGTTGTGTGTGTGGGCCGGGCACGGTGGCTCACGCCTGTAATCCTAGCACTTTGCGAGGCAGAGGTTGGCGGATCGTCTGAGGTCAGGAGTTCGAGACTAGCCTGGCCAATACGGTGAAACCTCTTCTCTACCAAAAAATACAAAAATTAGTTGTAATCCCAGCTACTTGGGAGGCTGAGAAAGGAGAATCGCTTAAACCTGGGAGGTGGAGGTTGCAGTTGAGCTGAGTTCACACCACTGCATTCCAGCCTGGGGGAAGGAGCGAGACTCTGTTTAAAACAAACAAACAAACAAACAAACAAAACATGACATGTGTATATGTGTTGGGGGGTTAGGTCGGTGTGCTTATGTGCTGTGATCTTCGTGGGGTCCACATTGCAGTGTCTGCTGGTCCTGCCTCTCGTGGACTGTTTGGGTATTCCATGAGCCGATGGCCCCTTTCCTTCCAATATTCCCAAGGGAATGGGCCAGAAAGCTCTGCCCATAACATCGTGCCCTAGGACCACAGTCCATCTTTGCCCCATTGCCTGTGGCCTCTTTTTCTCAGAGAGATTGTTGAAAGCAACAGTTAAGGATCAAATGACTTGACCAGGTGAAGTAGAAACCTCCAGGTGTCTTACGCTTTAACTTCAAATAATGAGACTTATTTTACCCACTGAGCAAGTTGCTAGTGGAGTGCCAACCTGGCAGGATACCTAGGTTATTGCCAGGGCCAGAATTGTAAACCTTCCACATTCGTATGTTGAAGCCCCAACTCTCAGTATGATGGGAACCTTTGGGAGGTAATTAGGTTTAGATGATGTCGTGAGGATGGGGCCCTCATATGGGATTAGTGTCCTTTTAAGAAGAGACACCAGAGAGCTCGCTGTCTTTCTTACTTCACCCTGTGAGGACACGGCAAGAAGACGGCCCTCTGGGAGCCGAGGAGCAAGGCCATGTCAGAACCTGATGATGCTGGCACCCTGATCTCGGACTTCTAGCCTCCAGAACTATGAGAAATAAATGTTGCGGAAGCCCTGTAGTCTGTGGCTTGCTTGCTTTTTCTCTTTCTTTCTTTTCTTTCTTTCTTTCTTTCTTTCTTTCTTTCTTTCTTTCTTTCTTTCTTTCTTTCTTTCTTTCTTTCTTTTTTTCCTTCTTTCTTTCTTTCTTCCTTTCTTTCCTTTCTTTCTTTCTCTCTCTCTCTCTTTCTTTCTTCCTTTCTTTCTTTACACAGTCTTGCTCTGTCGCCCAGGCTGGAGGGCAGTGGTGCGATCTTGGCTTACTGCAACCTCTGCCTCCTGGGTTTAAGTGATTCTCCTGCCTCAGCCTCCATAGTAGCTGGGATTACAGGCATGCACCACCATGCCCAGCTAATTTCTGTATTTTTAGTAGAGACGGGGTTTCACCATGTTGGCCAGGCTGGTCTCAAACTCCTGACCTCGGGTGATCCACCCGCTTCAGCCTCCCAAAGTGCTGAGATTATAGGCATGAGCCACCGTACCTGGCCTGTGGCATTTTATAGTGGCAGCCAAGGTAAGAGAGTTGTGAAATCTATAGTGATTATCCCGGATCTTGGTGACTCAGGCCTTCTTTGTCCCTTGCATTGGTTGATGCTGCCCTCTGTGGCCACCTCACCCCTGGCTCAGTCATTGTCCTGCCCAGGACTCACAACAGCACACCTCTGTGAAGTTCCCTTCCCCTTTTCTCATGTAGACTCAGATTGCTTTCTCTGCCCTCTCCGTGTTCAGCCCGGGGTCTTGTCTGCCTGCTCTCTGAAACAGGCACCAGTCTCATCCTAGCCTGGGGTCTTGTCTGCCTCCTCTCTAAAACAGGTGCTAGTCTCATCCCTTTTCTGTCTACTGCCCACCAGTGCCTTTGTGAGGGTTCTAGTTCTCCATCAGTCTCCACCCAGGACTCTGCCCCCAACATCCAATCAGACCGGTCCAAGGTCATTTGTCATATGAGTACTTTGCAGCATTAGCACACACAACTCAATTTCTGTTGTAATGATTCCCGGCCCGTCAAGCTGGGGTGATCTGTACATTTCCAGATATTTGCAGGTAAAGTTTCTCTTCCACTGTAAGTTTTGAAAAATGGAAATATCAAACTAACATTTCAAATTTCAACAACCTGTGTATATTTGCTTAGGTGTCTGGGCTTGGGAAGCCCCAGCAGCAGGTTCCACCTTTGGTTTGTGTGGTCAGCTGAATAAGGGCCATCAGAGATACTCAGGTCCTAATCTCTGGAGTCTGTGGATGTTACCTTATATGAAAGAAGGACCTTTACAGATGCGATTAAGTTAAGGATGTGGAGATGGGGAGGTAATGCTGGATTGTCTCCAGGGTGGGCCCTAAATACAATCTCAAGCCTCCTTATAAGAGGGAGGCAGAGGGGGATTTGAACAGGAGAGGAGGAGGCAACATGACCATAGAGGCTGAATTGGAGGGAGGAAGCCCTGACAGGAGGCAAGGAACAGATTCTTCCCTAGAGCCTCCAGAGGGAGCATGGCCCTGCTGACACATTGATTTCAGTACAGTGATACTGATTTTGCATTTCTGGCCTTCAGAATTATGAGAGAATGAATTTCTGTTGTTTGAAGCCATTGCATTTGTGATAACTTGTTATAGCAGCTGCAGGGAACTCACACAGTTTGCATCTTTAGTTCTCCCCATAGTGTGCCTTTCCTCTTGCCTTGCAGGGGAGCTGGCATTGCTCTCTGCTCTGTGCCATTGAAGGAAATTTGGTAGTGAGAGCCCTTTCTCTGACCCTGTCTGACCAGCTCAGTGCTCATGGCTAATACCTTTTGGTCATCTAAAAGCTCAAAATAGAACAGTAACATTTGCACATGTTAAGTAAGAGTTTGATCCCTGACTTCTAAATGGTTTAAGAGGCACCAGAGTTACCAGTAGCGCAGGCTCTGGCATCCCACCGACTGAGATCAGATGCATGCTCTGCCACTTGCTGACTGTAGGACTTCGAACTAGTCACTCAGCCCCTGCCCCTTTAAGCCCCAATACCTACTTCATAGGAATTGTTATAAGGATTAAATGAGCTGCCATGTTCCCTTGATTGTAAGAAGCATTTTTTTTCATATTTTACTATCTTTACAATTGGGATGCATCTTACAGGCAATGGCGGGTCATTGTTTAATTGACAGCATATTTTTCTTTCTTAGTGATACCTCAAGTAATGGTATGTCTTACAATAGAATGCATTTTGTAATTGATGACTGTGGCAATCTGTGCAGATATGCTTAGCTCAAGGCCTGGAATATCCTAAGAGCATCTTAGTAATGATGCTGTTGTTATTTCAGTTGTGGCAAACAAGCAGAGGGTTTTAGGCATGTTTTCACCATTCTTTCCTAAGCCTGATAGTCTATTCCCTGCTTCCCACCCACTATGCTCAGAAAACTTATTATTTTTTCCCATACCTGTTCTGTCTGTGATACTTTCCATTGCCCTGGTACAGCCTCTCTGCAGGACTTGGTGCAGGGGACCTGTGGGCTCTGAGTAGTATGTCTGGTCTTGTCTTTCTTTTGCCTCCTCACATTGCAGAAATCACCCAGGTATACACATAACCTTGCTTGCTGGACTTGTATGGCTTGAACTCATTCCATGGCCTCTGAGTCTGAGACTTTACATCTTGACTTGGCTGGAAACTCTTCTTCCTTCCTATTTCTCTGTTTCTGTTTTCTCTGGTTGCAAATGGGATACTCATACAACTTTTTCTTTCTTTTTTTTTATTATTATTATACTTTAAGTTTTAGGGTACATGTGCACAATGTGCAGGTTAGTTACATATGTATACATGTGCCATGCTGGTGTGCTGCACCCATTAACTCGTCATTTAGCATTAGGTATATCTCCTAATGCTATCCCTCCCCCCTCCCCCCACCCCACAACAGTCCCCAGAGTGTGATGTTCCCCTTCCTGTGTCCATGTGTATACAACTTTTTCTTAAGGCTGATATCTATCAGTCAGGTTCTAGTTCCAGATAGAAAGCATATCAGTTATTTGAACAGAGAGAATTTAACACAACAAATGGCTAACTAACTGGAATAAAATTGTTAGCTAGGGTAAAAAGAGAACTCTAAGGTATCACAAAGGTAGCAACTATAGAAAGCAGCTACCACTGCTCGGGATGAGGAAATAGAGAAAGAAGTTGGAATTATTAAAACTTAGAAACTTAGAGAAGGGCCCTTCAGAGCTGAAACTCAAATGTCCATGAGGAGGGGCCAGCAGGCTGGTGATGGTGTCTTAGGCTAGGGCACAATGAAGACAGTTCTGCAAATATTGGAAAAAGTTCAAACTGGATGCAGCAGATACTATAGGAATGAATTACGGCTGCCACAGTGAAGAAGCATTTCTGGGGTAAAGCTCACAACAATAGTCAGCAGACAGAAAGGAACGTGTCCCTTTTCAAGCACTAAAGTTTTCTTCTAATATCCTTGACTTGCAGAGCCTAACAAAGAACAACTAGCAAAGCAAAAATGTAGTTTCAAAGCCTCAGCCTTAATATCTTGGAGCTATAGGAAGGTATGTTTGGGCTGAGAGTCAATGTAGGATTTTAAAAAACTTCAGTTGGCCTCTGACCTTGTGATATGATATATGAAAATGAGTGTGTTCCTCAGTCAGGGTTCTGGGTTGCAAGCAACAGAGACTGACCCTGGCTGATGAAACAGGAATGGAGCTTATTAAGGATACCAAGTAGCTCCCAGAATGTTGATGGGAGAGGAGGGAAGGAGAACCACACTCAAGGCTCAGCTTCCAAGAGTAACACCCAAAACCAAGTCGCTGAACTGTTCTGCTGAGCAGACTGCTACTGGCCATGCAGCACCAGAGGCCTATGTGCCTTGTTCCCATATCCTTGTCGGGAACATAAGTTGGATGCAATTGCTGCCACTTTTGTGTCAGCCAGCATCAGAGAGAGAGAGAGGAGGAGGAGGAGGATGAGGAGGAGGCAGAGAGAGAGGGGAGAAGAGAGATGAGAGGAGAGGGATTGAGAGAGAGAGAGAGAAGGCAGAGAGAGAGGGGAGAAAGGAGAGATGAGAGGAGAGGGAGAAGGAGAAGAAGAGGGGAATGGGGGAGGGGAGAAATGGATCCCTCAGCTGATTTTGCTGCCTTCTGAGATAGTCTGACTATCCCGGTGCATCTGGTAGGCAGAACTCGGTCATCTGGCAGCTCCTGTTATGGGAAGAGGTCTTTGTCCTTGTCTCATAAAGTGGGCAATTCCCTAGACACAGAAAGGGGTTCAGATACAGGATACCGGCCAGGTGTGGTGGTGGCTCAGGCCTGTAATCCCAGCACTTTGGGAGGCTGAGGTGGGTGGATGAGCTGAGCTCAGGAGTTCGAGACCAGCCAGGGTAACATGGCGAAACCCCCATCTCTACTAAAAATACAAAACTTAGCCAGGTGTGGTGGCGCGTGCCTGTAATCCCAGCTACTCGGGAGACTGAGGCAGGAGAATCGCTTGAACTTGGGAGGCAGAGGTTGCAGTGAGCTGAGATCGCACCACTGCACTCCAGCCTGGGCAACAAGAGTGAAACTTCATCTCAAAAAAACAAACAAACAAAAAAACAGATACAGGATAGCTAAAATAAAAGAAAACCATCTGCAGCCCTAGGCAGTCAGTGTTCACCACAGCAGGAAATGGACCTGTTGCCTTCCGTGGCTCCTCAGAGGAGTCTGCAATCCCCAGTGCACTAAAAACTGCTAGGGATTACTCCTTGGAGAGCACTCAAAACACGTGTATGAAATTATCTCCAAATATAAGGCTCAATAAACCCTTGGTGATGAGAACTGTTTGATGGTTTAGGCTCCAAGGTGTGCAGCAGGTAGGCTAATGATTAGCAGCCTGGAGCGGATCTTTCCCTGCAGAGTGCTAAGCCCTATGAGATTCCTGGACTGAAAGGGCCTCTTTGAGCCCAGTCTGGTTTTTAATTAATTTTCCAGCAGGCTTGCAGAGTGGAAGGATCAAATATTATTGCATTCCAGACAAAGAGATGGCTGGGGAGAGATGTAAATTTTTGAGGATGGCAGTGAGAGAATGAGAGACAGTTAAAAAGTAAAGAATGTAATTTGGATAATTGAAATCTCCAGAAAGAGATATTAGTGTTGCGCTAGGAACCTATGATCTTTTTTCTAACGGGATGTATTTTGAGATGCTAGGCCTTGAGAAATGAGCCACCATCCTCCTTTTGGTGAGGATGGGATGTAGGGCCGTGCTTACGTCACATCAGACCTGTTGCCCTCTTGGAATCATCACCATCTTCATTGTCATCGTCCTTGTCCTGGTCATTGTTCTGCTCAGTGAGACTCTGAAACCACTCTTGGTATGTGCTTCACTCTCACCACATTAAAGTCAGAGAGTTCTTCCTAATAGCTGCTTTAAAATTGCTGCCTTTCTCATCTGACCCCACCTCTGTGGCTGCGGAAAACGCCGCCATCTCCCTTCCACCTCTCAGAACGGGACTCCTCTGCTGTCTGGCTTTCCTTGCAACTTTACTGAGTCATTTCAGCGGGGACCCCCAGAGTTCAGTTCTGTGATTCAGTGATTGGATGAGTTTCATACTGCAAGGTGTACCCCAAAGCAGCTGCATGTGTCAAAACCACATAGAGATGTGAGTCTGGACTTGAGACTTTTTCAGACTTTTGCAGTGTTCCCTTCTAGGCTGCCAGTCTTCTTCCCTTTTCCTCATTCCCACTTACTGCCCCATTCCTATCACGTCTTTGTTTTCTGTGATTCATTTAGTGCCAACTTTTGGTGCCAGACATTTTGCTTGTGTCAGGGATCAAAAGCCCTGTAATTATATAAACAAGCAATTACAGAGTGGTAATTACTGTCTATAATGGAGGTGAGCATAGGCTGGGAGCACTGAATAACAGTGACTCAGTCTACTTGGGAGAGTCATAAAAGGCTTCCTAAAATTGGTGCATGACTTTGGACTTAAAGATTAATTTGGAATTTGTCAGGCAGATGGGCTTGACAGGAGATGGTGGGGCATGCATTTCAGACAAAGGAACAGTACAGTGGTCCTTGTGACATAGCACGGCTCTACATCCTATCCTCGTTAAAAGGAGGATGGTGGTCCTTATCCATGGGGGATACTTTCCAAGACCTCCAGTGGATGCCTCAAATCCTGGATAGTATCGAACCTGAGGGCCGTCAATCAAAACACATTTCTGTTCATGTCTTCCACTCGTAAATTTAACGCCTTTTTCATCTTAGCAGTTACATACCCCGTGGTGCAACAGCAAAACTGGCATGAATTTATTTTCCTTCTTCACAATTTCATGGATAACAGATTTGTTTAGATCTTTGCAACCTCAGCATATGATTTTCTTCTGAAGTCAAGAACTTTTACCTTTTCATCTAAAGGAAGCATTTTATGGCTTCTCTTTGACATATTCAAATTCCCAGCATCACTACTCTTGTGCTTGGGGCCGTTACTGAGTAAATTATGAGTTACTTCCACAAAAGCACCATGAAGTCGTGACAGTTGATCTGATAACCAAGACGGTTACTAAGTGACTAATGGATGGCTAGCGTAGACAATGCGGGTACTCTGGACAAAGGAATAATTCACATTCTGCGCAGGACAGAGTGAGATTTCATCATGCTACTCAGAACAGTGTGCAATTTAAAACCTATGAATTATTTTTGGAATTTTCCATTTAATATTTTTGGACCACACTTGACACTTGACTGGGTAGTTTGGGAATGTGGAAAGCAAAACCATGGATAAGAGGGGGCTACTCTGGCTGGGCGTGGTGGCTCACGCCTGTAATCCCAGCACTTTGGGAGGCCGAGGCAGGAGGATCACTTGAGGTCAGGAGTTCAAGACCAGCCTGGCCAACATGGCGAAACCCCATCTCCATTAAAAATATAAAATTAGCCGGGCGTGGTGGTGGCCACCTATAATCCCAGCTTCTCTGGAGGCTGAGGCAGGAGAATCGCTTGAACCTGGGAGGCGGAGGTTGCAGTGAGCTGAGATCATGCCACTGCATTCCAGCCTGGGCGACAGAGCGAGACTCCATCTCAAAAAAAGAGGGAGCTACTCTGTACGTTAAAGAGACCTTGCAGCAGGCCGGCTCGTTCATTGTTGCTGTGGCACAAAGTGTATGCATTCGTTAACTATTGCTGCATGACAACCCCAAAATCTCAGCGGTATACAACTAGAAGGATTGATTTTCTTGGTGTCTGTGAATTGGCTGGACCAACTCTATTGATAATAGAGCTTTCTCATGCATCTGTGGATCAGCTGGGGGTCAGCTGCTCTTGACTACATTAAGCTGCAAGACTGCAGATGGTCGTGGGGAGGGTGGCTCTGCCCCAAGTGTCTGCCATCTGCCTTGGACCAGGGCATGTTTTTCTCATGACAAGGGCAGAGGCACAAAAGGAAGAGCAGTAACAAGGCTCCCTAAGGCCTAGGCACAGAACCGACCCATGGATACTTCCATCCACATACCACTGGCTAAGCAAGTCACATGGTAGAAGCCAGCATCAAAGGGTGGGTATACTGGGTTGAATAGTGTCTCCCAAAATATATGTTTCTTGGAACCTCGGAACATGACTTTACTTGGAAAAAGGGTCTTTGCAGATGTAATTAGTTAAGATGAGGTCGTACTAGAGTAGGGTGGGCCATAAATCCAATATGACTCATGTCCTTCTAAAAAGAGAAGAGACAAGGGAAGCAAAGACACAAAGGAGATGGCCATGCAAAGATGGAGGCCAAGATGGGAGTAACGCTGCCACGAGCCAAGGAGTGCTGAGGGTTGCTGAGAACCACCAACAGCTGGAAGATGCAAGAAGGATTCTTCCTTAAAGCCTTTGGAGAGAAAATGGCCCTGCTGATACCTTGATTCAGACGTTTGGCCTCCAGAACTCTTAGAGGATAAATTTATGTCATTGAAGCCACCCAGTTTGTGGTGATTAGTTCCGGCAGCCCTAGAAAACCAATAAAGTAGGAAAACATACTATTCCCATGACAAGGCCATGGGAAGAACGTGGACGCACATAGAGGTAAAACCTGAGGCCAAACGTTCAAGCGGCCACGGAGGGTGCAGCTGCGGTAAGAGACGGGGCCGAGACACCAGGCAGGGCTGTATCAGGAGGGGCGTGACATGTTATACAAAGAATTTAGATTTTATCCTGTAGGCAGTGGTGGGACTGAGGGATTTGGGGCAAGGGAGTGACATCTTCAGATTTGCATTTTAGAAAGGTGGCTCTGGGGTGAAGGAGGGCAGTGTGGAGGGTGCTGGACTAGACTCCAGCTACTACAATAGGCTAGGCGGGAAGGCAGAAGGGTGGGGATTAGGGTGGCATTTAAGGAAGACAATTAGGGGTAGATCTAAAAAAAAGATGTTCAGAAGAAACAGCTAGACTTGGTAACCAATTGGATGTGGGAGATTATTTTTGGCTTGAGGAGTATATTAGTCAGGATTCATTGGGCGGGGGGAGGATTTATTAAAGAAATTGGTTTGCACAGTTATGGAGGCTGAGATCTGTTGTCTGTGAGCTGGAGAACCAGGAAAGCCAGTGGTGTAATTCATCCAAGTCGGAAGGCTGGAAAATCTTGGGGAATTCATGGTAAAACATTCAGTCTAAATTTGATAGCCCAGGAACCAGGAGTGCCACTTTCTGAGGGCAGGAAAGATGGATGTCTCAACTCAAGCCGAGAGAGAGTGAATTCATGGTTCTTCCACCTTTTTGTTCTATTCAGGCCCTCCATGGACTGGATGATACTCACCCATGCTGGGAGGGCCATCTGCCTTACTCAGTCTACTGATTCAAATGCTAATCTCTTTTGGAACCACCCTCACAGACACACCTGGAAATAGTATTTTGTCAGCTATCTGGGCATCCCTTAGTCCAGTCAAGTTGACATGTGAAATTAACCATCACAGGGAGTTAGGTGGATTTGATCCCTCTCCTTGGAGCTGGTTATGGCATTGGGGAAAATGATGAGTTCATTTCTTATGGGTCAGGCCTGATGTAGTGCTTAGTACACCTGCTCACAATCTCTTGGCCAATTCATAGTCACTTGCACATCTATTTGGATGAAAGGCAAATCACATGGCCAAGCCCAAGGTCAAGGGGTGGGGAAACACACTGTGCTCATGATAAGGCCATGACAAGGGCATGGTTGCAGGGAGGGCTAAAGAACTGGGGCCAGTCATTCAACCTGCCATGGAGAGCTTGAAAGTGTTGAGAGATGAGGTCAAGACAGGAAGGCAGGGCTGTATCATATATAATCTAACTCTCTGTCCAGGTTGAAGAAGAGACATAGATGCTAGTGGGAATGGCTGTTGGCTGCCTAACTGGCTACTGCAAGCTTTTTAGGGCAGGGTCTTACCTAACTCACCTCTGTATCCAGGTGGAAACTAGCACCATGCTTTGTCGGGTAATATGTTCAATTAGCCCAAATAACCCCCTCCTTCACCTCCAACATATAATATATTCAAAGCATGGAGAAGCTAAAAGCATCAAGAACCCAGTCCGTATAGGGCATTTGATTTGAAAGTCTCATGGAGTGTTTGTTCTTTCTAAAGAGATGATTTAGAGTTAAATGATGCACAGAGATCAAGCGGGTCAGGCCATATCCTCAGCTCCTATCTAGAGAGAACCTTCTACTTAAAGTAGGCTGGATCCTGTTTGTGGAGTACCAGAGCTCAGATTTCTAATTAAAAGCGCTTTTTCACTTTATTATGAAATATGATACACGTAAAAAACTTTATACAACAAACGTAATGAATAATTCTAAAGCAAATATCTTTGTAACCGCCACCATGCCAAGAAACAAAAGTCCCCCTAACTCCCCATGTATTCCCCTCTTGATCAATCCCTGTTGCTACTTGCTGCTAAGTCACCACTATTCTGACTTTTATAATTACCTCTTTTTTATAGTTTCAACCCTTATATGTACATCCCTAAACAACATGATTTAGTATTTCAATTGTATATAAATGAAAACATTCTATATATATTAGTTGTGTATTTTGCTTCTTTCATTAAATATAGGAATAAAATTTATCCACATCATTGTCTATAGCTCTTGTTAATTCCTTTTGACTGTTATACAATGCTCCACCATATGAATATATTTATTTATTCATCCTATTGTTGGTGGACATTGAATTGCTTGTGGGTTTTGGCTACTGTATATGAAGCAAATGAAATACTGCAGGATTTTTATGAAGAAAAGTAGAAACCAGGCCAGGCGTGGCAGTTCATGACTGTAACGGGTGAAACTTGGGTGAAACTCGTGAGGCTAAATATGTAGTTCATATGGAAAAATACAGGACCAAGAATAGGTGCTATCATGAGAATAGCACGGGAAACACCCGCCCCCATGATTCAATTACCTCCCACTAGGTCCCTCCCAGGACATGTGGGAATTGTGGGAGCTACAATTCAAGATGAGATTTGGGTGGGGGACACAGCCAAACCATATTGGGGGTGCTGACTCGGAAGGGGCAGTAGGCACCAGGGAATTTCAAGGGTAGGAAAAAATCTTAAATTTTGGAAGGAGAGTAAGAGAGGGAGGAGGAAGAGAAAGGATTTTGACCTTGCAAACAGCAGAACATTTTGGTAATTACAACAGTGTGACATTGTGCCATAGCTGTACAGAATCAACGGGGAAGACTGGCAAGTCTCATGAATATATAGAAACTTGGTGTATGGAACATGGCAGAGTTGCCATTATAATTCAGTGGGAAAAGGATTGATTAGTCAATAAATGTTGATCCAGTGGAATCGCCTCCAAAATTGTAATCTACCATATACCCTTTGCAAAAATGCTCCCAGGCGAAGTTAGCAATGCTTCAACAATATTTAGGACAGTGGTTCTCAGCCCTGGCTGCACATTTTAATCATCTGTGGACACTTAAAACAAATACAGATTGTGGGTTTCAACTCCTACAGATTCTAACTAAAATTGTACGTGGTAGAGCCCAGGCATCTGTTTTTTCAAATCAACTGTATTGAGGTATAATTTACATAAAACGCTCCCATTTTAACTTTCTAGTTTAGTGTGTTTTGACAAATGTGTACACCTGTGTAATCTTTACAATAATCAAATTTAAGATTTTTTCCTACCCTTGTAGGAAATTCCCTGGTGCCTGCTGCCCCTTCTGAGTCAGCACCCCCGATATGGTTTGGCTGTGTCCCCCACCCAAATCTCATCTTGAATTGTGGCTCCCACAATTCCCACATGTCCTGGGAGGGACCTAGTGGGAGGTAATTGAATCATGGGGGCGGGTGTTTCCTGTGCTGTTCTCATGATAGTGAATAAGTCTCACAAGATCTGATGGTTTTATAAGGGGGAGTTTCCCTGTGCAAGCTCTCTCTTGTCTGCCAGCATGTAAGATGTGCCTTTCGCTTTCTGCCATGACTGTGAGGCCTCCCCAGCCATGTGGAACTGTGAGTCCATTAAACCTCTTTTTTCTTTATAAATTACCCAGTCTCGGGTGTGTCTTTATTAGCAGCATGAGAACAGACTAATACATCCCCCATGTGCCAATCTGAACCCAGGTAACCACTGATCTGCTTTCTAACGCTGTAACTTATTTTTTAGCATTAGTATTTTTTAAAAGCTCTCCAGGTGATTTTAATGAGTAGCCAACTAGTGATAAAGCAATTTATAACATTAAGAAAAACAAACTTCTCTGTGACAAAAGACGTTATAGAGTTAAATTCAAGCCAAGGCTTGTGAGAAGATATTTGCAATACACACAACTGATGAAATATTGGTGTCCAGAATATATAAAGGTCTTCCACAAATCAATGAAAAGGGGCAAACCGTGCACAGTAAAAAAATTGAACAAACTATTTGATTAGGAATTTATGAGGAAGGAGCCCTAAAGAACCAATAAACACATGAAAAGATGCCCAGTTTCACTGGTAATAAAGGGAATGCAATTTAAATTATTTTGTTTTTCTTTTTTTGTTCGTTTTTTGAGATGAAGTTTCACTCTTGTCACCCTGGCTGGAGTGCAATGGCGTGATCTCGGCTCACTGCCACCTCCACCTCCTGGGTTCAAGCAATTCTCCTGCCTCAGTCTCCCAAGTAAAGCTGAGATTACAAGTGCCTGCCACCAAGCTCGAGTAATTTTAGTATTTTTAGTAGAGATGGGGTTTCACTATGTTGGCCAGGCTGGTCTGGAACTCCTGAACTCAGGTGATCCATCTGCCTCAGCCTCCCAAAGTGCTGGGATTACAGGTGTGAGCCGCCACTCCTGGCCTCTGCGATTTAAATTCTCACCTTTTGTATTTGACCAAAAAAAATGAGAAAAGGTTTGACAATATTCAGTATTGACAAAAGAGATTTTTGATAAATAGGAACTCTCATGCACTGTTGATGGGAGTGCAAATTGATACAACCATCTTGGTGAGTAATTTGTTAATATCTGGTAAAACTGAAGATATAACATATCCCATGACAAAGCAGTTTCAGTTTTAGATACATGTTCTTCAGGCATTCTTGCGAATGTACACAGGGAACCCTGCATGAGAATGTTCATTGCAGCATTTCTTGTAATGGTGAAAAATTGGAAATGAATACATTATCAGTCAGTAGAAGAATGAATAATTAAATTGTGGTAAATTCATTAAGATAGCATGGCTAAGTAGCCATTTAAAAAAGTAAGTTGCATGGCCGGGCCCAGTGGCTCACACCTGTAATCCCAGCACTTTGGGAGGCCAAGGCGGGGGGATTATCTGAGATCAGGAGTTCAAGACCAGCCTGGCCAACATGGTGAAACCCCCATCTCTAATAAAAATACAAAAATTAGCCGGGTGTGGTGGCGTGGGCCTGTAATCCCAGCTATTTGAGAGGCTGAGGCAGGAGAATTGCTTCAACCCGGGAGGTGGAGGTTGTGGTGAGCCGAGATCACGCCACTGCACCCCAGTCTGGGTGACAGAGCAAGGCTCCATCTCAAAAAAAAAAAAATTAAAAAATAAATAAAAATAACAAAAGTTGCCGAATGCTACATACAGTAAAATACTATTTAACTAAAGTTTGAAATTGTATAAAATAATAGTGTGAATTTTTTGTAGACATATAAAAATATATTAGCATGGTATTAAAAGTGTAAAAATAGCGTTATAAAGCATACCCATGGAATTTTTCAGATATTGAGTACCTCTAATTGGTGCGGAGAGAGAAGAGCTGCAATTCTTTCTGTAATAGTTTACTTAAAAAATCTGAATCAAATATGGTAACAGGTTAACCTTTATTAAATCTAGATCGTTGGTACGTGGACTTACATCTTGTTATTCTCTGTACTCTTCTACATTTCTGAAAGATTGCCTTAAGAAGGAGTCTTAAAAACTATTGACTAAATGACCTCAAAGTAAAGGAAAAACGAATTGTATTTGACAGTAGATCAGCAGACTTTGTCTCATGTAATAGTCACCAAAATATTTCTTCCGTACTTTGTATAACAGTAATGGTCCCTGGTCTTGACAGTCATTAACTTAAGCAGCCTAAACTTTAGTCTCTAGGTTATATATATATACACTGTAAGATTTTAGTGTAGATGTGTGTGTGTTGGTCGGGGAGAATTATTAGAAAATCCTGATATGGGACAGGCACGGTTCTTCACGCCTGTAATCCCAGCACTTTGGGAGGCCGAGGTAGGTGAATCACTTGAGGTCAGGAGTTTGAGACCAGCCTGGCCAACATGGTGAAACCCTGTCTCTACTAAAAATACAAAAAAAATTAGCTGGACCTGGTGGCGTGCACCTGTAGCTCCAGCTCCTCGCGAGGCTGAGGGCTGAGGCAGGAGAATCGCTTGAACCTGGGAAGCCAAGGTTTCAGTGAGTCGAGATCACGCCACTACACTCCAGCCTGGGCAACAGAGGGAGACTCCATCTTGAAAAAGAGAGAGAAAAAAAATCCTGATAGGAAAAGGAAATGTGTTTCTTTAATATATCACACTATTATACTTGAACCCTTCCTGGGGGTTTTTTCCTTCTTGGTCATTTTGTATTTATTCATTTATTTTCTTCTTTCTTGGTCATTTTGTAGTGACTAGGATCAAGCTGTCTGAACCCGGCAGTCTTAGGGTTTGTAACTGGTTGGAATAATTTATTTGTAGCAGCCATCAAGGCTCTGCATCGGTTTGAATGTCAGCATTCTAACTGTAAGACCAAGCAGGACCTAAGGGTAGTGCATGTCACCAATTTTTGTTTAATTAATTTTGCAGCCTAATGCTTGCTTTTGAGATGGAATATTTTTGATGTTATGCCTTTCATGTACTAAGATGGGTAAGTCACTTACAGCATCATCTGCAAATAGTCTGATACTACGTGCAGCATTATCCATTTTTAGGCTGTGTAGTTTAGGATGACGTCTCATCGAAAGAATAAATTACTGAAATAATGAAGACAAAAGAAATTTACTGAAGAGCCTCTAACGAGAGCAGTCATTTTATCCTAGGTGACAGTTATGTCCCTAAATAAGTTTCGTAATTTCTGTATGTGAAGCCCATCACTGGAAGAGTGGTATACCAGGGCTCAAATACTGGTGGAGACTTTACGTAATGATCTGTTTCATTTTCAAGATGAGAGTTTATCACCTTCTCTTAACAAATGCAAAAATCCACATCTTGAAACAGTGGAATAAGAAAAACAGTCTTCACTCAAAGCCAGCTTGATAAACTATGGAAGGTGAGGGTGCATGACAGAATTGTCATTATAAATGAACATACTTCCCAAATACAATGATAATTTCTTGGAACGGTAGATGCCCTTTAAAAATTCTATTAGAAGGCAAAAACAGATACAAGACTAGATCATTTAAAGGTAATCTATGTCTTTAAGACATATCCTGGGATAGTATAAACAAAATGATTTGACGTAATGGAATATTTATACCCTCGCTGTTATGTTATAAGGGATGATAGTAGCTCCAAGAAATGTAAGAGAAACTTGTACTGTTATCTTGGTAAAATCATTTCATTGCAAATAAAAGGATCAAACAATTAAAGGAAGGATGATTCTAGAGTCAGGAGAACTCTGTGAAATACAGCCAAGATCTGGCTGTGCTGTGGGACTGCAGCCTCTGGCATTGAGTAAGGATGGACAATTGTTTTCTTTGTTGTTGTTGTTTTATTTTTATCTTTCTTTTTATTGTGGTGAAAGACACGTAGTAGAAAACTGACCAGCATAACCATTTTTACGTGCACAGTTCAGTAGTGTTAATAAATACGTTCACATTGTTGTGAAGCAGATTTCTAGAACTTCCTCATCTTTTTAGTAGAGATGAAGATGAGGTCTTATCGTGGTGGCCAGGCTGGTCTCGAACTCCTGACCTCAAGTGATGTGCCCTCCTCGGCTTCCCAAAGTGCTCGGATGACAGGCGTGAGCCACCATGCTCTGCCTGCATATTGTAATCTTAAAAAGAGCAAACCTGTCTCTACTAAAAATACAAAAATTAGCTGGGCGTGGTGGCTCACGCCTGTAATCCCAGCTACTCAGTAGGCTGAGGTGGGAGGATCACTTGAACCTGGGAGGCGGAGGTTGCAGTGATCCGAGATCATGCCGCTGCACTCCAGACTGGGCAACAGAGTGAGACTCCATCTCAAAAATAAAAATAAATAAATAAATAAATAAGTAAGTAACACAATTCATAGAAACAGAAAGTAGAACTGCGGTTGCCAAGGGCTAGGGGCACTGAGAAAAGGGGAGTTGTTGTTTAAAAGGTACCGAGTTTCAGATTTGCAACATGAAAAAGTAAAAAAAAAAGTGGAATAAGAATGAGTAAGACCTACTATTTGATAGCACAGTAGGGTGACTAGAGTCAGTAATAACTTAATTGTACATTTGTTTTGTTTTGTTTTGTTTTGTTTGAGACAAGTTCTCGCTCTGTCACCTAGACTGGAGTGCAGTGGTGTGATCTTGTCTGACTGCAGCCTCTGCCTCTCAGGTTCAAGCAATTCTCATGCCTCAGCCTCCAAAGTAGCTGGGATTGCAGGCATGTACCACCGCACCCGGCCAATTTGTGTGTGTGTGTGTTTTTAGCAGAGACGGGATTTCACCATGTTGGCCGGACTGGTTTTGAACTCCTGGCCTCAGGTGATCTTCCCGCCTTGGCCCCCCAAAGTGTTGGGATTACAGGCGTGAGCCACTGTGCCCAGCCTAATTGTACACTTTAAAATAAAGAGTGTAATTGGATTGTTTGTAATTCAAAGGGTAAAAGCTTGAGGGGATGGATGTCGCATTCTCCATGATGTGCTTATTTCACACTGCATGGCTGTGTCAAAACATCTCATGGACCCCATAAATATACACACCTATGTACTCACAAAAATAATAAAAAAGAGAGCTGACTTTTACGTGGCTCTCTTTTCTGGTTTATAGATGCTCTTTTTAAACCATTCATGCCAAGAGTAATAATGGAAAGTAGGCTTTGCTCTTTTACGATTCAGGACGAGAACATGGGAAGAAGTAGCCCCCACCGGCTGTTTGTTTTTTTAAGTGGTGTCATTTTTGGATGGGTGAGTGGATGAGGGAGATTGTTCCCAAAACAACCGTTGGGGCTTCACCTTTCTCTGTAAGTGTCATGAAGTTTTGGAGTGGAGAAAGACTTGGTGTGGAAGAGGAAGGGGTATTCTGATTCAGGACTTTGTCTTTAGGCAAGGAAAAAAACATTTCTTATTTTCCAGAGATTGCTAAAGAATTCTAGTGCAAGCCATCTGTTCCCCTAATAGCCCATTCAGTCCCCTTTTTGGGGAATGGGGAGCATATTTTAACATTTCTGAATTTGCCATGGGAGTGTCAGGGTACCTCTTACTGATTTCTTTAGTAGATTGTGGGATTAATTGTTCATTCCATCTTATTTCTGTCACAAATCCAGGAACTGTATGCTAAGTGCCCCATTCACTCAAACTGGATACACTTTACACAAGTACATTTGGTGATTACCTAATAAGAGACAAACTTCAGGTCCTTGTGGAGTGTCTTAGTCCATTAAGTGTTGCCATAAAGGAATACCTGAGGCTGGGTAATTTACAGACAATAGGTTTATTTGGCTCTCAGTTCTGCAGACTGTATAAGAAGCATAGTGCCAGCATCTGCTTCTGGGGAGGGCCTCAAGAAGCTTCCAATCATGGCAGATGGTGAAGGGGGAACAGATGTGTGACGTGACAAGCGAAGGAGCAAAAGAACTAGCAGGATCTTTCAAACAACCAGTGCTCTCCTGAACCAACAGAGTGAGAACTCGCACATTACTGTGGGGAGGGCAACAAACCATTCATGAGGGATCTGCTCCCGTGACCCAAACCCCTCCTACCAGGCCCTCCTCCAGCACTGGGGCTCACATTTCAACATGAGATTTGGAGGGAACACACATCCATACTATGTCAGAGCTTTGTGGTTTATTGGACAATACCCTGTGCTTTTATTCTTTCCCTTCTGGTATAAAAAACTAGTCATTGTAGTTGAAGACAGTAACCAGTTCATCCCTCATGTTGGCGAGGCTGGTCTTGAACTCCTGACCTCAAGTAATCTGCCTGCCTCAGCCTCCCAAAGTGCTTGGATTACAGGCATGAGCCACCATGCCCGGCCTGTGATTATGTCTTATATCCAATCTACAAGTGCTTCTCACACCTGAATGTGTGCACGGTTCACCCCGGGAGCCTGTTAAAATGCAGATGATGATTTGGCAGGTCTGGGTTGGGGCCCAAGACTGTATGTGTCTCCCAAGCTGTCAAGGTGGCTGATGCTCCTGATCCATGGAGCCCCCTCGGGCTAGCTGGGGGTGGAGGGTGCAGCAGTGTGGCAGTAATGGGACCTCACAGTTGGAAGGGTCCTTGGAGGGTCTGTGGGCCAGTGCCTGGCAGGTGGCGCGTCACACTCGACTTTCTGATGTTCTGATTTAGGAGGCTTTGGGTGGAGCTTAGACGTCTGTATTTCTAAAAAGCTTCACCGGGGCTTTGTCTGCATGGCCAGGCTTGGCAACCACCAGTTTGTCCAGCTCCCCAGCCGTGGTTTGCATCACCTCAACATCTCCCCCTAGTGGTTGTGTTGTGACTAGGGTGTCCTGGCTTTCAAAGCTAGCTCCACAGCCGTCAGGCTTCTGGGGGACCCTGGAGTCTTACTGGGGAGTGAACTGGTTTCCTAGGGCTGTGGGAACAATATATCACAATTTGAATAGCTTAAACAACAGACATTTATTGTCTCAGTTCTAGAGGCTAGAACTTTCTGGAAAGTAGTTCTAAGATTCTGACCTCAAGATGTCAGCAGGGCCATGTGCCTCCTCAAGGCTCCAGGGAAGGATGAGCTCCAAGCCCCTCTCCTAGCTTTTGGTGGTTCCTTGGCTTCTAGTAGCATAACTCCAGTCTTCCCGTAGTATTTTCCTTGTGTGCCTGTCTCTGTGTCCAAATTTCTCCTTTTTATAAGGAAAAAATCATATTGAATTGGGACCTGCCCTAATGACCTTATCTTACCTCGATCATTTACAAAGACCCTGTTTGCAAAAAAGGTCACATTTATAGACAACATCTTTTGCAGGAATGCAGTTCAACCCATCACAGGGAGATAGGGCATCGATTGCAGGAAGATTAATAAATAAAAGACAGTAATAAAAAGTTAGGCCTGGCCAGATGCGGTGGCTCATGCCTGTAATCCCAGCACTTTGGGAGTTTGAGGTGGGTGGATCACCTGAGGTCAGGAGTTCGAGACCAGCCTGGCCAACATGGCGAAACCCTGTCTCTCCTAAAAATACCAAAATTAGCTCGGTGTTGTGGTGCATGCCTGTAGTCCCAGCTACTCGGGAGGCTGAGGCAGGAGAATTGCTTGAACCTGGGAGGTGGAGGTTGCAGTGAGCCGAGATGGCGCCCCTGCACTCCAGCCTAGGTGAGAGAGTGAGACTCTGTCTCAAAAAAAAAAAAAAAAAAAAAAAGGCAGGCCCCATGCAAATAAAGAAGGTTTGCATGGAAATGAATGTCACAAGTGGGTAATACCTGATAGGGTCAGATATAGCTGGCTAGTCCCGTCAGCAAAGTTGTGGGCAAAAATTCAGAGAGCGACTCTGTGACATGTTCCTCCTTCTGTGGGCGCTGTCTGCGTGGCCCTCACTCAGCTAGCTCTTTCTGTCCTTTCCCCCCTGTATGTCCCTCCCAGGCCACTTAAGCATGAGCAGATCATTGCCTTGTACCTGGTGCCTTGTGGAGTGGCGTCAGCCACGTGGAGTGTGCACATTCCTAGGGAGGTGTGGCCCCAGACAACTTACTGTGTTTGCCCTGCCTCTAGCCCGGCTGGGCCTCCTAGTGTGCTCTGATGAACTAATCAATGCAGGTTGGATTTTTGGAGGGGAGAATTCTTTGTTCCTAACCAGAGAAAATTGATTCCATAAGAGGGTTATTGCTGCTGTGTGCAATTCTCTAGAGTTATTGGATTGCAGAATCATTAGCTTTAGAAGTAAATGAAATAGATTTGGGATATTGTTATGTTTCAGATAAACAAATGGCCTTCCTCCTTATTCATTTAACATTCTGCTTCCAGAAGGAAATGTCAGATGACTCAGAGCCTGATAAAATACTTTGTGGCACACAGGAATGGTAACCAGATGCGGTGAGACTTCACCTTTCTCAGCCCCTGTAAAAGGCGTTGCTTCACTGCGGTGATTCTCACATTTGAGAGTGCATGAGAATCCCCTGGAGGTCTTGCGGAAACACGGGTTGCTGGGCCCACCAGAGGCCTGGAATGGGGCCTGATAACTTGCCTTGCTAACAAGTTCCTGGGTGTTGCTGATGCTGCTGGCCTTGGGGACCCCACTTTGAGAACAGCTGCTTTGCTGAATAAAACTCGAACTCCTGGGAAGCCTGTGGATTCAGTGTGCCTGGGCTTTACATGTATCCCACAACACCCAAGGGAAAGGAATCTTATTTCTTGAATTTTCTTTTTCTTTTCTTTCTTTTTTTTTTTTTTTAAATGTCTGAGTTCCAATAAAGCTTTATTTACAAAAACAGACTGTGGGCCGGGTTTGACCAAGCCCCTTCAGGTCTCATGGCTACTTCTGTGCCCATCCTGGGGTGGCTGAGTTTGTTCTGCCCATGCTCTGTGCAATGCAATGCTACAAGCAGCTTTCAAGGCCGTTCTGCTTCATGGGGGAAGAACAGGGGCAAGAGCTGGGTTTTTTTGCTGCTGATAGTGGCAATTCGATGGGCCTGCCTCCTGTTTCTCTATTTCAATGTGGCTCTGAGGCTCCCAGAATCACTCCACGATTCCAGCCCCACTCTGAGCCATGAGAAACCTGAGGCTACCCAGGTCCTCTCTGCCTGGTTACCCCTCTGCTGGCACTTCTCTGGAGCTTGCCACCCCCCTGAACAGCACTCAGGAAAGGGGTCTAGAGGGCCCCTGCTCTTAGATTCCCAAATCCATCTGGGGATTTCACAGATCCCCACTTCCCTTGGAGCCTTGCCCAGATGGTGAGGGCAGATCCCAGGGTTCCCTTTTCCTTAGTAACTCACCAGCTCTCAGCAACCCCTCTTTTCTTCCGACTTCGTTCTCACCGTTGGGCATCTTTATGGAGTCTGGGTGAAGAGCCTGGCTCTGATTTGAAAGAGAAAATTGCCCACAGCCCATCACTCAAAAGGTACAAAGGGATCTGTGGTGAAAAGTCTTTCTCTCACCTCTGTCTTCTGGTTACTTATTTTATTTCCTCAGAGGTGACCACTTGTAACCAGGTTGTTTTCTGTATTTTTCCAGAGGTGCTTTCTGTCTCCCTAAGCATGTAAGTGTAGATATATTAGTCTGTTCCATAGCCTGATTTCACCACATCTTGGACAGAGGAGTTCCATCTTAGCACATCCATATATGTTGCTTTATTTAAAAACAAAAGCAAACAACAACAACAACAGGCTGGGCACAGTGGCTCATACCTGTAATCCCAGCACTTCGGGAGGCCGAGGCAGGTGGTTCACTTGAGGTCAGGAGCTTGAGACCAGCCTGGCCAACATGGTGAAACCTCGTCTCTACTAAAAATACAAAATTAGCTGGTTGTGGTGGCGCTTGCCTGTAATCCCAGCTCCTCAGGAGGCTGAGACAGGAGAATCGCTTGAACCTGGGAGGTGGAGGCTGCAGTGAGCTGAGATCGCGGCACTGCACCCCAGCCTGGGCTACAGAGTGAGACTTGGTCTCAAAAAAAAAAACAAAAACAAATAAACAAACAAAAAACAACAACAAAAAACACCCTGGGTACTATTCCATCAAATGAAGGTACTGTGAGTTATCTAATCAGTTCCCTGTTGAGGGGCATTTTGATTGTTTCATGTCCTTTACTCTTAGGAACAGTGATGCAGTGAATATCCTGGTGGATATTTAATAGACGTTCTCTGAGTTGACCTTGCCTGGATGGAGATGCATGGATAATAGACACTCTGTGTTTCTGCTGCCCATTATACTCCAAACACTTGCAGCCCTGTCGTCAGTGCAACCTGAGTCAGTTGTTCATTAATCCAACTATTTATTTTAGCTGCACTTGCTGCCATCATTTGATTTCATCAAATGTTATGTAATTTTAATGAAAGTTCAGATTTGAAGAGATTTGCTAACATTGAATCACCAAATTTCTGTCAAATAAGGCATAGTAGAGACAGCTGTTAAAAAAAAAAAAGACTTGGCAACGAATTAGAAAAATGGAGATTCTATTTCCAGATTTCTCCCCAGGTGTCTTTAAGTCTTTCCACCACTTTAAAGAAACAAAATCTGAAGATTGTAAATGAAGTATTACGAACAAGGTTTTTGCAAAATAGACGAAACAGAACTTTTATCAGTTGACCGATATGGACGAAAGAGGCCTCTGATTTACATCATAAGATTTGCAAGTGAATGCACATTTATTTGCTTGAAATTAAAATTACTTTTGGGGGGAGATTCTTCCCATTTTCCATGTTTAAAATTAACCTATTAATGACCAGTTTGGACCACATCAGATAGAAAGTAGCTACCGTCTGTATTTGAGTCCATGTGAACATATCTATAAAACTAAGTTTCTGAAAGTGGGATTATACAGTGGATATTTGTGAATTTTCCCTTTTACAGAAATTCTCAAGTTGCCCTTCCTTGAGCTTATACTGATTTATACTTTTACCAGCAATGTTTGAGAATGTCTTTATCCATACCCCATCCCTATAGGGTTTTAGTAAAATTTTTGATTTTTTGTTAATAGGAATAGGTAAAAAATGGTATTTCATGGAGTCTTCTTTGTTTAAAAAAAAAAAAAAATTTTAGAGATGGAGTCTCACCATGCTGCCCAGGCTGGTCTCAAACTCCTGGCCTCAAGCAATCCTCTTGCCTTGGCCTCCCAAGTGGCTGGGATTACAGATGTGTGCCACTGCTCCGGCCTACAGCTTTGTCTTATTAGTCAGCTTAGCATCTTTCCACGTGTTTCAAAGCTGTTTGTATTTCCCTTTCTGTGAAGTGTCTGTGTCTTTCTCTTACTTTTCTGTTCCATGGTTGGTCTTTCCTAACTCATTATTTTGGAGCTCCTTGTGTATTCAGAAAATTATCTGCAATATTATTATAATTCTTTTCTCAGTTGGTCACTTGTGAGTCTGTTTATGGTGCTTCCAACCATGTAGATTTTTATTTAATTTGTACCTCTTTGAACTTAGTCTTTTTTGATTCATACTTAGTAAAGTCTTCCTCATTCCAAGAGGATTAAAAATACCTATTTTTTTTCTACAACTTGGTTTCCTTTTTTTTTTTTTTTGCATTTAAATATTTAATTCATCCAGAATCTATTTTGGTATACAAAGTGAGATAGGGATTAAAATAATCTATTTTGGTATAAAAAGTGAGATAGAGATTAAAATGTATGTATTTCCAGATGGCTCTCAGAAGTCTTGATACCATTTGTTGAATAATCCATCTTTTCTCCGTTAATGTAAATGCCAGCTATAAAATTTACTAAATCAGAAGATGTATTTACGTATTTGCTTCTGGATTTTTGTAGTCCTAAGGTGAATAATAAACTAGCCATTTAGCCAGCCATATGTGTGTATTGAGTGCTTGAAGTGTGACTAGTCCAGATTGAGATGGGCTATAAATAAAAAATACACAGTGGATTTTGAAGACTTACTAAAAATATATATGTATAAAATATCTCATTACCAATTTTTATATTGCTTACCTTATTGAAGTGAAACTATTTTGGATATATTTGGATAAAATAAAATATGTTATTACAATTAATTTCACCTGTTTCCTTCCCCTTGGTGATTGTGCCTACCAGAAAATTTAATGTTATATTTGTAGCTCACATTCTATTTTTTTTTTTTTTTTGAGATGGAGTCTCCCTCTGTCACCCAGGCTGGAATGCAGTGGCATGATCTCAGCTCACTATAACCTCTGCCTTCTAGGTTCAAGTAATTCTCTGCCTCAGCCTCCATAGTGGCTGGGATTATAGGCACCCACCATCATGCCTGGCTAATTTTTGTATTTTTAGTAGAGACGGGGTTTCACCATCTTGGCCAGGCTGGTCTCAAACTCCTGACCTCTTTGATCCACCCGCCTCAGCCTCCCAAAGTGTCGGGATTACAGGCATGAGCCACCGTGCCCAGCCTCACATTCTATTTTTATTATATGGTGCCGCTTTAATCTTTTCAGCTCTGCCTCTTCAGGTACTATTCTGTTTCAGTTGCTGCAACTTCACGTCTTATCATCTATTCGTCTTCTGTATTACTTGTATTACGTTCCTTTTCAAAAGTTTCTTGGTTATTCTTACAGCATATTTTCCCATGTGAACTTTAGCATCAGCTTGCGAATTTCAAGAACATCGTCTAGGTATTTTTTTTTACAAGCTTTGTTTCAAATTTCTACATTAACGTAGGCAGAAATGACAGGTTTATGACGATGAGCGTTTCTGCCTAAGAACAAAGCTCACCACTCCATCTATCCAGGCTACTCATCGCGTCTCCCAGTAGCATTTTAAGTTTTCTTCATAAGGACTTTTCATGTTTAGGGTTGAATGTATTCCTGGGTATTTCATTTCCTTTTATGAGTATTACAGACGGGGTCTCCTATTTCATGACATATTCCATCTGGCCGTTGTTTTTGCATAGAAAAGCTATTGATTTTGTCTTGAGCCACCACTAATTTTGTCTTGAGCCACCAAACAAAATACCTTTTTTTGTTAATAATCGTTCTTTAGATGATTCTTTGAGATTTGTACATGTACAGTAATATCTTCATAAATAAGCACCTGGGTCCCGCTATTGTTGGTGGGAGTTATAGATGCAAATAGGATGTCATGGTCTTAACAGAGCAGGGTGGCTGGGGACAGGAAGGGTGGCTGTCCCAGCTGGAGAGCTGGTGTAGGAATCAGTGGATCCAGCAGCAAGTCGTGGGAGAAGGATGCACCATTTTGGGGAGGTCATGGGAAGTGGGTGTGCTGCTTTGGGGAGCAAGTCATGGGAGGGGTGCTTGCCGCTTTGGGGAGCAGGTTATGGGAGGAGGGCATGCTGCTTTGCCTCCATCTACCTTGGGCAGTAGCATAGGTTTGAGACTCTGCCAGCTGCATCATCTGAGGTCTTGGTTTTCCAGCATGCTACCTGTTATAGGCAAGATTTGTTTTGGGGTCCTGTGTTGGAGGGAGGTGGGTTAGTGTGAGCTCTGCAGAGCAGCCTCCTTGCAGCTCAGCTGGGTAGGGACAAGGCAGGGGCCTGAACTGGCTCGATTTTCTGTGGCGCTTCACACATCAGGACCCAAATTTTCCCTTTTCTAGAAATTCTCAAGTTGCCCTCTCCTGAGCTTGTACTGATTTACACTTTCACCAGTAATGTTTGGGAATGTCTCTATCCGTCCCTCATCCCATTGCCTGCTCTGCTTCTCAAGACAGGTGAAGACAGACAGTATTTCCATGGATCAGATGTGCTCTCGGAGTCCAGGTTCCTCTCAGCATAACTGGAGTGAGAATTATCTGTCTCACTTACATAGCCCCTGTATTAGTCTGTTTTCAGACCATTATAAAGAACTGCCCAAGACTGGGTAATTTATAAAGGAAGGAGGTTTAATTGACTCACAGTTCTGCGTGGCTGGGGAGCCCTCAGGAAAGTTACAATAATGGCGGAAGGTGAAGGGGAAAAAGTAGCTTCTTCACAAGGCGGCAGGAAGGAGAAGTGGCAAGCGAAGGGGGAGGAGCCCCTTATAAAACCATCAGATCTCGTGAGAACTCACTCACTATCACGAGAACAGCATGGGGGAAACTGCCCCCATGATTCAGTTGCCTCCGCGTGGTCTCTCCCTTGACACGTGGTGATTATGGGGTTTACAATTCAAGATGAGATTTGGGTGGAGACACAAAACCTAACCATGTCAGCCCCAGAGCAAGGGCCTTCTTTTTTATCTTTGTAAAATTATGTTTCTGGCTAGTCAGTCACCTCATTGAAAGCAAGACCCAGACCTCATCCTTCTTTGTATCCCAGGGCTGAAGGCAGGGCCTTACCAGAGTTGGCGTGCCCTAAGTGTTCAATGATAACAGAGATGATTTGTTGTTTCCTTTCGTTCTCATGAACAAGTGCTGTTGGCACCTTTCCAAAAAGGTCTTGTGGACCCATCCTGTCCACTCCTTTCCACCCCAGCCTAAGGCATTACTGTCTCTGTCCCAGAACCTGGCCTCCTGACTGGTCCCCCTTACTCCCTCACCTCCACTTCCATGCTCCCCACAGTCTCCCCACCCCCTTCTTAGAAGCTCCCCAAGCCCTGTCCCACCTCCCGGCCTTTGCATCTGCTATTCCTTTTCTCTGAAACAGAGTTCCCGAAGCTCTGTGCGTGGCTGCCTCAGTGCAAATGTCTCCTCCCAAGCTCCTCCCTGACCCCCCACAATGTGCGTGGCTTTCTCTGTTTATTTCCTTCCTAGAACTTGTCAGCAACCTTCCTTATCCAGTTTGTTCGTTTGTATATTTTTTACTTCTTTATCATCGGTTTCCCCACCACAATGTAGGCTCCTTGAGGACAGGGACTTTGTTAGGCTTGTTCTTGGCCGTGTCGCCAACACCAGCACAGTGACTCACAGGGAACAATGCTCGGTAAATATCTGATGAAGGGAGGGAGGGAGCAAGGGAGGAAAGAAGGGAAAGAGGAAGGAAGGAAGGAAGAGGAAGAGGAAGGCAGGGAACGCCTAAGGGCAGGGAAGAGGGCTGTGGTTTGGGGTTTACAAATGGGGCCCAGACGACAGCCCAGATTCTCACTAGAACCTCCCCGTACTTCCCCTGCGTTCGCAGGCTGGAGGACGGCCTGGAAGATTCTCAACGACCACCCTGGCTAGGAATCCAATGATAGAGAAGCTTGCTCGGAGACTGACATTTTGCTGGTTTTTCTCTGGTGACCCGGTGACTCACTGCTGGTTGCTATTCCTGTGGCTTTGTGGGTGGGAGAGGCTCCTGGGAACAGGTGCCGATGCAGTCGGTCTCCTGGGCACCTTCGCTCTCCCAGGCAGCTGGTGGCTGGCCGTGCTCTCCAGGCCACCTCGGTACTTTACTGCTTTATTGAATAGGAAGCATTCATTCACTTTGGGAGCCGTTACCCTTTGGATAATATCACTACCGTTTCCCCAAACTCATTGTTGCTGTGTGGGGGTGTTTCTGTTCCAGCCCTTTGTTTGTGTGTTTTATGGAAGGTGCTAGCACTTCATGGTTCTTTCCCACATGTCCCTAGTCCCTCTCTCTGCTCTTTGCTCTTTCACTTTCTCTGATGCTTTTTCAGGTGGTTCATCTAAACTTGTCCCTGGTGTATCTCACCAGGGGTGGGGGTGTTCTCCCCTTGCCTCTGATATCCAAGACAGGTTTTATCTGCATGAACTAGGGCCTGGGGACACGCTCCTTTTCCTGCCCTGGTATTTTAGTTTTCTCTTGCTGTGTACAAATGATTATAAGTCTAACAGCTTTAAACAGCACCCTTTGTTAGCTCAAAACTCCATAGGTCAGAGGGTTGGGAGCACGTGGGTGGGTCAGCCGGTCGTGTTCTCATCTGGATTTCGGAGTCCCTTCCAAGCTCCTGTCTGCTGGCAGGATACAGCAGGGCTGCGGGAGTGAGGCCCCATGTCCTTTCTGGCTATTAGCCAGGGCCTCTCTCCACTCCTTGGGGCCGTCCACATTCCTTCCCATGTGGCTCCCTGCTTCTTCAGCCAGTCATGGCTCAGGCACTTTCTCACTTTCGAATCTCTCTGACTTCCCTTTCTGCCTTCACTGGACACAGCTTTCTGCTTTTCAGGGCTCCTGGGACTAGGTCAGGCCCAACCGGGTAATCTTATCCTAACGCAAGCTGTGACTCACAACACACCACAGCATGGTACTGATGGCGTGTCATAGTCATAGGTCCTGGGGATAAGGGCAAAACATCTTTGGGGGCACCATGTTAGAAATTCCCACCACTCCTGTCCCTTTGTAACATTGGTTACAATATATAATCCTGAGACCTAACAGAGACATTTCTTTTTTTCTTTTTTCTTTTTTTTTTTGAGACGGAGTCTTGCTCTGTTGCCAGGCTGGAGTGCAATGGCACGATCTCAGCTCACTCCAACCTCTGCCTCCCGGGTTCAAGTGATTCTCCTGCCTCAGCCTCCCGAGGAGCTGGGATTATAGGCACGTGCCACCATGCCAGGCTAATTTTTGTATTTTTAGTAGAGATTGGGGTTTCACCATGTTGGCCTGGATGGTCTCGATCTCCTGACCTCGTGATCCGCCTGCCTTGGCCTCCCAAAGTGTTGGGATTACAGGCGTGAGCCACCGCGCCCGGCCAACAGAGACATTTCTGTGCCTTTCTGCAAATGAGGATTTTCCCCCTCGGTGTCATTTTCCCAGCAGTGGTTGTTGCCCATTGATGATTCATACTTTCTCTAACATTTCAGTTATCACTCTTTTTCTTTTTAAGTGGAAAATTGGAATGGAGGGTGAGTGTGAGACCTAGGGACTGAGTTGTTGTTTGCCATGTCTTTATCCTTTTGTTCATTTATTAAAGAGGTGTGATCTTAAAGTGGTAGTTCTCAAAGTGTGTTTGGGGGACTGCCTAGAGTTTCCTCAAGATCCTTTCAAGGGAGCTGAGAGGTTAAAATAATAATAATAATTTAAAAATTCAAATATTAATTTTCATAAGAATGCTAAGACATTATTTGCCTTTTTTTTTTTTTTTTTTTTTTTGAGATGGAGTCGCGCTCTGTCGCTCAGGCTGGAGTGCAGTGGCATGATCTCGGCTCACTGCAACCTCCTCCTCCCAGGTTCAAGTGATTCTCCTGCCTCAGCCTCCCGAGTAGCTGGGACTACAGGTGCCCGCCACCACGCCCGGCTAATTTTTTGTATTTTTAGTAGAGACGGGGTTTCACCATTTCAGCCAGGATAGTCTCAATCTCCTGACCTCGTGATCCACCCGCCTCAGCCTCCCAAAGTGCTGGAATTACAGGTGTGAGCCACCACGCCTGGCCTATCTGCCATTTTCATTCTTGTTTTCTCAAAGCCTCAGTCCTTCTTGATACCTGCTCTATACACCATACCTGCTGTAGCCTTACTACCAGGACTTTTACCTAAGAAATAATACTGGCTAAGAAATAATGGTCTATTGTACTTCAGTCATTGTTCGCTTTCTATCTTTGTTACAGCAGCTGAACTGATACCCTACTGTCTTAGTCCATTTGGGCTGCTATAACAAAATAGTATAAAGTGGGTAGCTTATAGACAACAGACATTTATTTCTCACAGGTCTGGAGGCTGGGAAGTCCAAGGTCAAGGCAGCAGCAGATTTGTGTCTGTGAAAAGCTCACTTTCTGGTTCATAGAGGGCACCTTCTCACTGTGTCCTTACATGGCGGAAGGGGTGAGGCAGCTCTCTAAGACCTCTTTATTTTTAAAATTTATTTAATTTATTTTATTTTTTGAGATGAAGTTTTCACTTTTGTTGCCCAGGCTGGAGTGCAATGGCACAATCTCGGCTCACTGCAACCTCTGCCTCCAGGGTTCAAGTGATTCTTCTGGCTCAGCCTCCAAAGTGGCTGGGATTATAGGCATGCACCACCACACCTGGCTAATTTTTTTGTATTTAGTAGGGACAGGGTTTCACCATGTTGGTCAGGCTGGTCTCAAACTCCTGACCTTAGGTGATCCATGTGCCTTGGCCTCCCAAATTGTGAGGATTCCAGGTGTGAGCCACCGCCTGGTCTAGGACCTCTTTATAAGGGCACTAACCCTGGACCTAATCATCTCCCAAAGGCCCTACCTTCTAATAAAGTCATGCATTACTCAACGGTGGGGATACATGCTGAGAAATGTCTCATTGTTCAAACATCATAGAGTGTACTTACCCAAACAAAGATGGGATAGCCTACTGCACACATAGGCTGTAGGGTGTAGCCTATTGCTCCGAGGCTACAAACCTGTATAGTATGTTACTGTGTTGAATGCTGTGGACAACTGTAACACAATGACAAGTATTTGTGTATCTGAACATAGAAGAGGTGCAGTAAAAACATGGTATAAAAGATAAGAGGTAGTACACCTGTCTAGGGCACTCATCATGAATGGAGCTTGCAGGGCTGGAAGTTGCTCTGGGTGAGTCAGTGAGTCAGTGAGTGAGTGGTGAGTGAATGTGAAGGCCTAGGACATTACTATACACTACCGTAGACTTTGTAAACACTGTATACTTAAGCTACACTAAAGCAATCAAAATATTTTTCTACAATAATACATTGGCCTTAACTTACTGTAACATTTTTACCTTATCAGCTTGTAAAAACGTTTTGACTCTTTTGTAATAACACTTAGCTTAAAACACACTGTAAAGCTGTAGCTGTACAAAGGTATTTTCTTGTTTGATATCTTTGTTCTGTAAGCTTTTTTCTATTAAAAAATTTAAATTCCTTTTTACTTAATTTTTTTTTTTTTTTTTTGGTACAAAATGAAGATACAAATGCAAACATTAGGCCGGGTGTGGTGGCTCACACCTGTAATCCCAGCACTTTGGGAGGCCAAGGTGGGTGGATCACCTGAGGTCAAGACTTAGAGACCAGCCTGGCCAACGTGGCAAAACCTTGTCTCTACTAAAATTACAAAAATTAGCCAAGTGTGGTGGCGGGCGCCTGTAATCCCAGGTACTCAGGAGGCTGAGGCATGAGAATCAGTTGAACCTGGGAGGTAGAGGTTGCGGTGAGCCAGATCGCGCCACTGCACTCCAGCCTGGGTGACAGAGTGAGACTCCATCTCAAGAAAATAAAAAATAAAATAAGCACGAATGTTAGCCTAGGCCTACAAAGGGTCAGGATCATCCAGATGTCACTAGGCAATAGGAATCTTTCACTCTGTTATGATCCTGTGGAATCACTGTCTTATATGTCACCCACTGTTGACTTTCATGTCATCATGCACACAAGACTGGACTGTCACCTCGGAGCTTAGGAATCCACTGTATTAATTTTGGGAGGACACAAACTTTCAGACCATGGTACCTACTGAATCACTTACTGGCCAGGTGCGGTGGTTCATGCCTTAATCTCAGCACTTTGGGAGTCCGAGGTACGTGGATCGCTTGAGCCCAGGAGTTCAAGACCAGCTTAGGCAACATGGTGAAACTCCATCTCTACAAAAAATTTTAAAAAATTAGCTGGGCATGGTGGCACATGCCTGTGATCCCAGCTACTTGGGAAGCTGAAGTGGGAGGATCATCTGAGCCCCAGAGGTCGAGGCTGCAGTGAGCTGTGATTGTGCCACTGCACTCCTGCCAGGGTGACAGAGTGAGACCCTGTCTCAAAAAAGAAAAAAATCCACTTATCCTTTTGTCTTTCTAACAGAACTCCAATTCTGTTTGATCTAGCAATGTGCCTACCTATAATTCCTAGACCTACAGCCTCCCCTGCAGCCCAGGGAAACCATGTGAGGTCAGCAAAAGTCATCAGGGAGGTTGTCCCTTCTCATCTTCTACTTGCCCTTCCTTCTCCTGGAAACAGCAGGGTGGTCCTTGGGGTGCGACAGCCATCACTCAGGTGACAGAGTAGCCTGGTGCCCCCCCGGCAGTGCTGGGGCCACTGTACCCGCTGGATGGCTGACCCTGGTCCTTCTGCTGACCCAGACAAATAAACCTTTCCTGTGTAAGTCGCTGCAGTAGGGTTTTCTATTTCTTCTAATCAAACCTAATCTTAACTAGTTGTTTGAGCCAACTTTTATGCAAGGAAAAGATGGTTTCCATAATTTTTCTATGTTATTGTTTGTTCACGTTTCCTAAGGAAAGGACAAGCAGAAGGCAGCTTGGGGTATTTATGGTGGGCTTCGTGGTGTGCATGTGGGCACAAAGGGCTCAGCTGAAGCCTGTGTGGTCGCTGTCCAGGAGCTCGGTTGAAGGAGCTGGTCATGGTGTCCAGCAACCCACAGCATCCTTTTCCTTCCTGCCTGACCTACCACAGAGGTTGGTGTTTATTTTTGAGACCTGGACAAATTAAAAAGAATATCCAACAGGAGGGTTGGCCAAAACTTGACCTTGGCAGGGAAGGTCAGGACAGGAGGCCAGACAACTAAATGTGATGACCACAGTGATTTCCACGGGCAGAGCAATATCCTGTTTCTAAAGCCGGCTCCAAGAGGCCTAGTGAGGGCTGTCTTTGGTTGCTACAGTCTGGGAAGAGATCCTCATGGACCCCAGGAAATAATCTGTGTTTGGCAAATAGAGAAGAACAAACTTAGAAACAGTGACCTTTTCTTTGTAAGCTTCTCGGAGGGTTGTAATGATGGAAAATAATTATTAAGTCTCCGTTGGCTCAGGGCCCCTGAATGGAAATGGGAGAGGATATTGATTAGCTCAATGGCTCTTTAAAGAGCTCGCTGTGTTTGCCCTCATGCCTCATAAGCAGACAGCCTCTTTTCTGTCTCCATACTTATTGGATTTTAGATGGCAACGCACACAAATACTGCTTTCACTGAGTAAATATTAGGTTTACGATTGGATCGGGAGACCACAGAACACATCTATGAAATGGAAGGGTGGGGCGGTGATGTGTATTGCAATGCCCTTACCTGGCTGGGCTGTGAACACTTCATCTCACTTCCCACCCACTGATTTGCATCCTTGGCTCTCTGGACATGATGGGCCGTGATGGCTGTCACCCATGGGGAAGGGAGAAAGCGGTAACACCAATAACTATAACGTGTCCTTTTCTATTCTGTGGGATATGCTTTTATTCACTTATTTAGATTTGAGTGGCTGTGATTTTGTTACAGCAACGTTGAGACCGTTTTTCTTTCTCCTTCTCTGTTCCTTCCACTGCTAAGGTAGTTCCAGAATAGTATTTGGTTTAATAATGATTCTGGTGATGATCACAGTTCATATTAATTGAGGGCTTATTACATGCCAGGTGTCCTGGAAACTTCACACACACTGTATTCTCCTTCTAGAGAGAAGCTCGGGTCCCAACAGGTTGTAAGCAGAACTTGAGTCTGCAAACCGTAGGTGCTTTGTAGATAAAACCTGTCTCCCCAGATGGCTCATTTGGAATCCTGCGCCCCTCCCACCCAGCCCCTGAGTCTTCTCCTTTTTAAACACACTACAAACCAGTTTTGGTGTTGTAAGCCCACTTGTGTAGGTAGACTGTGGGGGTGGCATCCCGGTTGCATATGCTAGTAACAAGGGATACAGTTTGGTAGTCCTCCTGGGGGGCGGCCCGGCCCCAGCTGGGACAGCCAGGAGCTGCTGAGACCCGCCTTCACGTTGGTGCTCTGCTCACGGGGAGTCAAGCTTCCTCGAAATGCTGTTGATCACAAGTGCTGATGGCAGACTCTCTCCTGTGGATTTTATGTTTGCTTTCCATCTGGATGGGAAGTGGGAGAAAATGCATTCCCAGTCCAGAGGGTTTTGGAAATAAAGGGCTGAGATTTTCATTAAAATCGGGGGGCGCTGTGCCATTTCCTGTGGGAGGGGAAGTTGAGCAGTGGGCCCAGAGCTGCTTTCTTGCCACCTGAGAAGTAAACTGGTTTTTCAGAGAGAGAGAGAGAGAGAGAGTGTGTGTGTGTGTGTGTGTATGTGTGTGTGGAGGGGGTGAGCAGTGGTGCATACAAACCATGATTATTTCTGTAAGCAGATTTAGAGGTAACCGGCTACCAGAAATCTCATTTTAGTTCAAGTTCTCAACCGTTCCCAAATCTATCATCAGAGATGGTCATAGTAAATGAGTGGTTATTTGCATTTTATCGTCTTCCTTCTGGGTCACTCGTATGGTCAGCAGAGACTGATCAGAAAGCAGGGAATTGGAGAAACAAGAGGTCTGGGTGATTCAGAGGCAGGACAGTCAGCCTCTCCGATGTAACATCCGGCCGCATAAGGAAGGTGCTGCTGCGATCAGCCTGTTTGTGGGCACTGGAGGAGTGGTGGGGACACCCAGAGCCCCAGACACCCAGCGGAGGTGCCGTGCAAGGGGAAGACAAGGCAGGGAGCCCATGAGCCAGGCTCTGAGGACACAGTGCCCATGCGGCCAGCTCGAAGGAGCTGTCTAAGGAGAAATAAGTTTTCCACTGTTTCTCCACTTTTCTTTTGGTGGGGAGGCTTCCTCTCATCCCCTTGGGGGGCTGTTAGAAACCCAAGGTGACCCCAGGATCCACTGGCCCTTTGACCCAGGCACTCCTGGATTGCCATTTTCTTAGCCAGTCCTCCAGCCACTTTTTAAATAAGCATAAAATGACAGTCTTCTGGGCAATTCCCGGTGCATTACAGCTGACTTAATTCTCATCAGTGAGTTTGCCCCCAGCAAGATGTCAAAAGCTTGGTTTTTTTTGTGTGTGTAGCTTTAAGCTGATGGGGCTTATTATATGTTTTCTCTTACTAGCAGCTTTGCTTCCCTGCCTCTCTGGCAATTCAGCAGCACATTTGCTCAGAATTCCCTTTGTTTCAGACATAAAAGGGAAACCCGTGTTGGTGTGATGTGGCTGGTTGCAGAGCGTTGCTGCATCTGAGGGCTTGTTACTTGTAATAAGCTCTTGCTTCCCGGCTCACATAAATAGTATTGCAAACGTGAAGGTGTGAAAAGTTGTGACCATGAGAAGCAGAAAGTTCTAAGCTAGGAAGCTGGTTCCTAGTTCAGAGCAAAAAATGAATTTGTTTCTGGAGGGAGGCAGAGAGTGTGTACAGATTCTGCTGATATCTTTTCTCTAACTCCACCAAATGACCGTGACCTGCTTATTGATGATTTTTCTCCAGACTTATTTTGGAAAGACTGACCTTTTAACGGTTGAAAGATGAAAGTCTAAATGGTTTGGGGACTATTAACATTTTTTTGGAACAAAAGATAAGTGCTCTGGGGATGCTGGGAAGCATCTCGCTCAGGTATGTGGAGGTGGTGCTGGGACTGCCGTTGGTGTCTCTTTCCCTGGGCTTCGGTCCCCGGACCAGCCTCACTGCAGGAAGATTTCATTTTAGGAGGAGGAATCTCTGTTCCAGGGGCTGGCCTGCCAGGCTTGGGCAGAATATTTTAGAGGCCATTATATTCTGGGATGAACCTTCCACACTGTGGCCTGTGTCATAATTTTTTTTAAATATTAAAGAGAAAACCAACAAGCTCTCTGCCACCCATCTATTTTAGTGTTGCCATCCGTTTCCCTAGTAACCAGGGAGATGAGTTGGGTGTGTTTCCTTCTGGATTGTCTGCTGTGTATTTATATACATAGGTTTTGAAAATTTATATACATAATGTAGAGGAAATATTAGAGGTGTGTGAGTGAGAGAGAGAGAGAGAAAGATGGGGAAAAGGGGAGAAGGGGAAGGGAGTAGGGGGAAGAGGATGCGAGAGAGGAGGGAACAAGAAGGAACGTGAATGCCATATTGTTGGCATCTCAAGGTTCCTGGTTGGTGTCCATAAGGCATGACACAGAAGTGGTTTTGAACTCCGGAGATGCCTTGGTTTTTGTCCCCAGGGGCTTGTTTTAGTGGAGAATTGAAATGGATCCTGTCCCTCTTCTGTTGGTCCCACCCCCTTTTTCCCTCTCTCCTCTCTCCCCTGAATCTGGCTGTCCTCTTCTGTAAGACCCTGTTCTCCCTCCGCACATTACAGCCCTCCCTGGAAAGTCCTCTGGTGGGCGCTCGGTGTCTAGCTGCTGCCAATGAAGCTGGCTTCATTTTGGTCTCCTTGGAACCAGCTGGTTTTCCCATCCTTACCCTAGGCCTGGGCCATCATGTTTAAGCTCCAGTGAAAATGTCAAACCCTGTAACCTTCCTGCAATATGTTCCCTGAGGGCAGTGTGACTCCTTAAGTTGAGGGAATGTGTCCCAGACATGGGAAAAGCCTCCGAGAGCCCCGTGCCTCCAGAACACGGGACATCGTGGCCTGTCCTTTGATGGCATTGGCTTCCCATGGTAGACCTGAGCACGTGCATCAGAGATGGGTGAGCCAGAGGACCCTGGACTCTGATCTCCTACTCAAGCAGGGGACGGTGTAGGCGCAGGGCACAATGACATTGGCTTGGGAAATTAGCCAAAAGAAAAAAAAGAATAAAAAATAATTCTTTCCTTTCAGTTAACTCTGGGAGGCCCAGGGATTGTGTCGTCCGCACGTGTGTAGAACCTTCCTTGGCCGAGAAGGATCGTGTCTTGCTCTTTGTGAATTCTGTGGTGGCTGCATTTTTCTTACACAGGAGTCAACACCACGCTTTTTTCCTCTGTCCTTTGTGTAGAGTTCTGTAGCCTGTAGGTGCTGATGGGCGGTCGGGGAGGATTCTGCCCAAATGCACAGGTGTGTGTGAAGAGCGAGGCCTCTGTGGTCACTCTGTCCCTTGCTGCTTAGTCCACCACCTGCACATCAGGCTAGTTCCCACCTTGGGCAGAAGCAGAGGGACAGTGGTCTGACTGGGTTGGGGAAACTGAAAGACCATTAGTCACTTCCTTCTGTGTGACCTTATGCATGACCTGTAGCCCTTCAGATTCCCAATGGGTTTCCTCCACACAATTGTCCTGGTCTTAGGAATGGAGAAAAAAAGAAAAAAGAGAGAGAGAGAGATCGTCATGCAGCTACTTTGCTGTGAGTTGGTCTCGGCTCTGGTGGAACCTGGGCAAACTCTTCTCTGTTCTCTGGACTGAGTCTCAGGCTCTCCATAGTTACCTCGCAGATGCCTTCCTTTTAAATTCTAGAACTGATGTCTTCCCTTCCTGCTTTCCCGCTTAGCTCATGGGGTTTCTGGGGCAACAGCTAATTTTCTGGACATGCATCAGCTCCTAAAACCAAAAACAAACATTGCTTTCCAGGCCCACAAGGGAACACAATCTTTTCTCCTTGTTGCTCCCAGGCCGGGATGCAGGATGATGTTACAGGTTGGATGGGGGCTGATGCTGTCAGGAGGTGGAGAAGAAGGAGGCTGGGGTCTGGGGTGGAGGAGAGGGGGTGGTGAATGCTATTAGTTCTCCACGTGTAGACAATTGTAACAACCGAGGGTGGAAAAGAACTGAGACTGCAGAGAGGAAAGCGCCCTCCTTAGCTCTGCTGTTAAGGGGCTGGGCACAGTTATTAACCTCCCTAGTTGATCCCTCATGTCCTGGCAGTGATGAGCTCTCCAGCGGCTCTCAACATTAATCTGAGGCTGATTTGCTGGCCTGGAGCATCCACTCTGAAGGTGCACAGTGCGAATGCTTTGTGCATTGCTCCAGCTGAAGATACATGTCAGAGAAAAGCAATCAGTACCTTTTGCCTCTGATGGGTTTGTGTTTTTTGCAAAGCACTCTCTCCTCTGGCTGTTGGAGCTTTTCGTCACGGATTATTTTTCCTGCTTGGGAAGGGATGCTTTTGATTTTCCTAGCTTAAGTTAGCCCAACCCTCCAGGGACCTGTGGACATACCACCCTCTTTTGCCTGCTTCCTGGGCGGGCACTCTGGTGTGGAGGCTGGTTTTAGGATGGCTCCCAGGATATGCTTAGGAGCTGGTCTTCTAGATAAAAGGAAAACACACACACACACACACTCTCTCTCTCTCTCTCTCTCTCTCTCTCTGAGCATGCTTATATAGCATTTTCTTCTCATGAGGGTGTTTTCTTATAATAAAAAGGTATAATATCTCACTCTAGCATAGTAGTCCCTAGCCTTTTTGGCACCAGGGACCAGTTTCATGGAAGACAATTTTTCTACAGAGCGGGGGATGGATGGTTGTGGGATGATTCAAGCATATTACACTTATCGTGCACTTTATTTCTATTATTGTTACATTGTAATCTATAATGAAATGATTATATAACTCACCATAATGGACAATCAGTGGGAGCCCTGAGCTCATTTTCCTGCAACGAGGTGGTCCCATCTAGGGGTGATGGGAGGCGGTGACAGATCATCAGGCATTAGATTCTCATAAGGAACGCGCAACCTAGATCCTTTGCATGCACAGTTCACAATAGGGCTCATGCTCCTTTGAGAATCTAATGCCGCTGCTGATCTGACAGGAGGTGGAGCTCAGGCAGTAATTCCAGCAGTGGGGAGTGGCTGTAAATACAGATGAAGCGGCCGGGCGTGGTGGCTGACGCCTGTAATCCCAGCACTTTGGGAGGCTGAGGCGGGCGGATCACGAGGTCAGGAGATCAAGACCATCCTGGCTAACATGGGGAAACCCCCTCTCTACTAAAAATACAAAAAATTAGCTGGGCGTGGTGGCGGGCGCCTGTAGTCCCAGCTACTCGGGAGGCTGAGGAAGGAGAATGGCGTGAACCCGGGAGGTGGAGCTTGCAGTGAGCAGAGATCGCGCCACTGCACTCCAGCCTGGGCGACAGAGCGAGCCTCCGTCTCAAAAAAAAGAACAACAACAATAACAAAAAAAAACAGATGAAGCTTCCTTTCCTCAACCCCCTGCTGCTCACCTCCTGATGTGCGGCCCGGTTTGTGACCTGGGGATTGGGGACCCCTGCCCTAGAAGATCTGTTAATTTCTGAAACTACTATCACTTCCAGAACATTCCCATCTTTCACCTGAGTATATGTGCTAAGCCTCCCTCTGTGGGGGGCGGTAGTAATTCTCAACAGATAATCTTTGTAGGAGGAATGCCCACACCCGAAAGAGCCTGGGCCGGCTTGCGTGGAGGTCACAATTTTCTCAGTTTAAACCTTCACCTTTGCTGAGAGTTCTTCCTCTCTGGAACCCACTGGATGTGATGTTCCCACAGGGAACCTCTGACTGAGAAAGGCAGCACCACCCAGGCCAGCAGGGGTGCCAGCCTGCGCCTCCCTTGGATGCCCTGTGGGTTTTCAGTGGCTGCGTTGCCCTCAGCTGGGCCTGTCACCCTGGTTCAGCAGAATGAAGACCTGCCTTGCAGCCAAGGGCTCTTTTCCTCAAGGTGTGCTACGACTTCTACAAGTGGCTTGGAAACTTATGGGGAGGGGTTGGAGCCATTTTCTCTTCCATGGAATGGGAGTTGGTGTCTTTTTTTCTAGAAATTTGTAGGTTTGTGGATGGTTTGGTATAGAGCAGGCTTCAGGGACTATTCAGTCTGAATTCCCTAGTTTTATGAACAAGAGTTGAAGTGACAAGGTCAGGTATCTAACAGCAGAACTTCCTCTCTGTTCAGATTTCTCAGCTGTTGGCATGGTGTGGCACCTTGTATCTCCCTGCATGATTTTCTGGTCTTCCATCCTGGTATCTTTTCCACACATTAAGCCTCACCTCCTTCCTTTTGGAGATACTCCTTGACTTACAGTGGGATTACATCTCAATAAACCTATCATAGCTGAAAATACTGTAAGTCAAAAATGCATTTAATACACCGAACCTGCTGAGCATCATAGCTTAGCCCAGCTACCTTAAACGTGCTCAAAACACCTACATTAGCCTGCAGTTGGGCAAAATCATCTAACACAAAGCCTAGTTTATAATAAGGTGTTGAATACCTCATGAAACTTACAGAATATTGTACTGAAATTGAGAAACCGAACGGTTGTATAGGTATTCAAAGTGCAGTTTCTATTGAATGCATATCACTTTTGCACCGTTGTAAAGTCAAAAAAGCTTGAAACGCCAGAAACCAGGGATCGTCCATACTTTTATCCATCTCAGCATTTTTCTAGTCCCATATTTCCTCCAGCTTTTTTTTTCAACCTTTAGAGATGTTTTATTCCAGTTTCTTTTTTTTTAAATTATACTTTAAGTTCTAGGGTACATGTGCACAAGGTGCAGGTTTGTTACATATGTATACATGTGCCATGTTGGTGTGCTGCACCCATTAACTCGTCACTTAACATTAGGTATATCTCCTAATGCTTTCCCTCCCCCCTTCCCCCACCTCACAACAGGCCCCGGTGATGTTCCCCTTCCTGTGTCCAAGTGTTCTCATTGTTCAATTCGCACCTATGAGTGAGAACATGCAGTGTTTGGTTTTTTGTCCTTGTGATAGTTTGCTGAGAATGATGGTTTCCAGCTTCATCCGTGTCCGTACAAAGGACATGAACTCATCCTTTTTTATGGCTGCGTAGTATTCCATGGTGTATATGTGCCACATTTTCTTAATCCAGTCTATCATTGATGGACATTTGGGTTGGTTCCAAGTCGTTGCTATTGTGCATAGTGCCGCAATAAACATACGTGTGCATGTGTCTTTATAGCAGCATGATTTATAGTCCTTTGGGTATATACCCAGTAATGGGATGGCTGGGTCAAATGGTATTTCTAGTTCTAGATCCCTGAGTAATTGCCACACTGTCTTCCACAATGGTTGAACTAGTTTACAGTTGTTGGCATACTCTACCTGGTTTCATACTAATGGCCAAGTATCTCACACTAGCACTTACCTCAGAACATTGAGTGTCACGCCCATTCCCAATTTACAGTCTTTTACTTCAATTTCTTCTTTTTCCTTCTTCCTTTGTTTTTAAACAGGATGATAATCCTATTGATATTGCTGATAATAGTTTTATGCCTGTTTTCTGGCATTTGAGGAGGATTTTAATTGTTTCATTTATACCCTTACATCTCCCTGGAGGCCATCAGCTTACAGCTGTTAGGTGGCTGATGCGGACCGGGAGGCCAAGGTAACCATGGATCCAAACAAAACTACGCAGCTCATCCAGGGACCACATGTGGCTTCATTAGCCCTGTGTTTGTAACTTTAGGTTAATTTGTTCTCATTAAGCAAATTAGCATATTAATTCTGTCCTGCAGTGGTCTGGGAACTATCTTCATTTGTTGCTTAGCCCAAAGGTCAGCACTGGAGGATCAGAGTCTTGACTAAAGTCTCTTTCTGAGACTGGCTCAGGTGCCCTTTGGAATAGCCATGGCACTTGCATCGTACGAGGAAAACTCGTGTGTACCTCGGGGGGCGCCACTAGCAGAGCCACCTTTGTACTTTTGGGGGTCCTAGCAGCTTTTGCCTTTCTGGGCTCCTTTCTCCACAAAAAAAGACTAAAACTTATATTTTGCAGCTGTGTTGGTATAAGGATGAATATAATCTAGGCTGGATTCATTATCATGTAGTTGTTATTTTTTCTTCTGATTTGAGAAGAAATTAAAACTGTTCATGGGTCCCTAAAGGTGGGCTACTGGACATTGCGTCTCCTGTGCCTAATGCTGCTTTTGCCCCTGAGGCCAACACAGATATCTTCCCTGGATGGCTGAGCTGAAGCCTTTGCCAGGCAGAACCTCAACTATATAATGACTTGTTGTCATTTATTGATGTATCAGAAGAAATGGGATTCCTCCTATGAGTTTGGAGCTTTGATTGTAAGTTTGTGCCATAAAAAAATTGGTGGAGCGCTACATCTTATTCATAACACATGGCTCCAGAATTAGTTTCCTAAGGGTACATTTAGACCCTAGAAATGTCAACGTGCTAGAAATGTCAGGGAGAGAGTTTTTTCTAAACAGATATGTGGTGGTAGGTGGAGATCTGAGATGGCCCTTAAGAATTATACCCCACAGTGGCCGGGCGCGGTGGCTCACGCCTGTAATCCCAGCACTTTGGGAGGCTGAGGTGGGCGGATCACGAGGTCAGGAGATCAAGACCATCCTGGCTAACACGGTGAAACCCCGTCTCTACTAAAAATACAAAAAATTAGCCGGGCGTGGTGGCGGGCGCCTGTAGTCCCAGCTACTCTGGAGGCTGAGGAAGGAGAATGGCGTGAACCCGGGAGGCGGAGCTTGCAGGGAGCTGGGATCGCACCACTGCACTCCAGCCTGGGGGACAGAGTGAGACTCCATCTCAAAAAAAAAAAAAAAAAAAGAAAGGAAAAAAAGAATTATACCCCATGGTGTGTGTGCCCTAGAAGCCCCTCCCTGTGATGGGAATTAAGTCCCATTAAGTTACTGATCAGGTTATCAGTCTCTTGACTTGACTCCATGGAAAGGGAGATTATCCTGGGTGGGCCTGGCATAGTGAGGTGAGCCCTTAAAAGAGAGAGTGGGCCTTCCTTGAGGTCAGAGAGACTTGAAGTGAGAGAGAAGTCTCCTGCTGGTCTTGCAGAAGCTAACAGCTGTGTGGCTTATAGTCATATAGCCAGCTCTTTATGGAGCTGACTCCCCGTAGAGGCAGACACTTGTCAGGAACCTAAGGGCTGGCCGGGCCCGATGGCTCACGCCTGTAATCCCAGCACTTTGGGAGGCTGAGGCGGGTGGACCACCTGAGGGCAGGAGTTCGAGACCGGCCTCACCAATGTGATGAAACCCCGTCTCTACTAAAAATACAAAACTTAGCCAGGTGTGGTGGCGTGTGCCTGTAGTCCCAGCTACTTGGGAAGCTGAGACAGGAGAATTGCATGAACTCGGGAGGCAGAGGTTACAGTGAGCCAAGGTCGGGCCACTGTACTCCAGCCTGGGCAACAGAGCAAGACTTCATCTCAGAAAAAAAAAATTAGCAAAAAACCCCCAAAACCCAAGGGCAGCCTCTAGGAACAGAGAGAGGTCACCAGCCTGAAGCCAGCAAGAAAATAGGGACCTGAATCCTTCTTAGTTGCAAGAAACGTAATTCTTACAACAGCCAATATGCTTGGAAGAGGACCCTGAGCCTCAGAGGAGATCAAAGCCCCAGCCACTGTCTTCATTTCAGCCTGTGGGACTCTGAGCAGAGGACCTAGCTGCACCGATCCCTGGACTCTGGCCCCATGGAAACGGTGGTGAAAAAGGAGTGTTGTTTGAGGCCTCTGGACTTGTGGTAATTCTTCATGCAGCAGTGACAATCTTATCCAGGCATGGTGTATGTCTCAATTTGGTTATTTGCTTTGGAATTTAGGCTTAGAAAAGAGAGAGAAGGGAAGATGCCAGTCTCCACATACCCACAGCAGGAAGCAGAGAAATGTTTCCCTTAGAAGCAAGCTGCTTCAGTACTTTCTCAGCTCTCAAGTCCTCATCAAGCCCAGATAAGTTTAATAATGAATTCTGCTCCAAGTTGAGTGATGCCATGTATAAAGCCCCGTTAAAGAAACATTGAACACGTTCTTCAAAGCCACAGCTTTTCTTTTGAAGTAAGTTAGGTACCATTTGCATACTATTTCTTTCTTTTTTTTCTTATTATACTTTAAGTTCTAGGGTACATGTGCACAATGTGCAGGTTTGATACATAGGTATACATGTGCCATGGTGGTTTGCTGCACCCATCAACTCATCATTTACATTAGGTATTTCTTTTAATATTATCCCTCCCCCAGCCCCCCACCTCCTGACAGGCCCCAGTGTGTGATGTTCCCCGCCCCGTGTCCAAGTGATCTCATTGTTCAATTCCCACCTATGAGTGAGAACATGCGGTGTTTGGTTTTCTGTCCTTGTGATAGTTTGCTGAGAGTGATGGTTTCCAGCTTCATCCATGTCCCTGCAAAGGACATGAACTCATCCTTTTTTATGGCTGCATAGTATTCCATGGTGTATATGTGCCACATTTTTTTAATCCAGTCTGTCATTGATGGACATTTGGGTTGGTTCCAAGTCTTTGCTATTGTGAACAGTGCTGCAATAAACATACGTGTGCATGTGTCTTTATAGTAAAATGATTTATAATCCTTTGGGTCTATACCCAGTAATGGGATTGCTGGGTCAAATGGTATTTCTGGTCTAGATCCTTGAGGAATCACCACACTTTCTCCACGATGGTTGAACTAATTTACAATCCCACCAACAGTGTAAAAGTGTTCCTATTTCTCCACGTCCTCTCCAGCATCTTTGTTTCCTGACTTTTAATGATCGCCATTCTAACTGATGTGAGAATAGCAAGCATATTTCTTTCCAGCCTTATCCATTGTCCTAATACTCGGAGGTCTCACCAGAAGGTGATGAGAACAGGCCTCCTGAGCCATCAGTCCACTCTGTTTGGTGGCTTGTGACTGTCTTAGGCTCGCTCTTTCATGCTGGCTCTTTTGTGCACACACTCTCTCTCACCCTCGTGTTCCTGGAGTCAGGAAAAATCATTTTATGGTTGCCAAAGCTATGAAAAATGTTGATAAGCCATACTTTAACCTTTTTTCCTCAGCAGTGCTGAGATAAAGATCTCTTTTCCAGGATTGGTAATAGAAGCGCTGGTGTACTTACTTTTATTTTTATAAATTGTGGTGAAGAAAAAGGAAGGGTTTTTTTTTTGTTGTTTGTTTGTTTTTTGAGACAAGGTCTCACTATGTTGCTTGGCAGGAGTACAGTGGTGCGATCATGGCTCACTGCAGCCTTCAGCTGTTGGGCCCAAGCGATCCTCCTGCCTCCCTAGTAGCTGGGACCACAGAGATATGCCACTATACCCGCTTTTTAATTTAATTAAATTTAATTTAATTTTTTACTTTTATTTTTTGTAGAGATGGGGTCTCGCCATGTTCAGGTTGGTCTCAAACTCGTGGGGTCAAGGGATTCTCCTGCCTCAGCCTCCCAAAGTGCTGGGATTACAGGCGTGAACCACCACATCCAGCCTGAGGGCTGGGTTTTATAGAAAAATTACCTTCTTGGTTTTTGTAATCTCCAGCTGGTATGACTACAAGAGGCTATTTATCTATCTATCTGTCAATCTATCTACCTACCTACCTACCTACCTACCTATGTATACAAGAGGCTACCTATCCATCCATCTATCTATGATAAATGCTACTGAATCATTTTTATCTATTTATCTATCTATCTATGATGAATGCTACTGAATCATTTTTTAATGATGGTAAACAAAGACATTTATTTGTGAAAGTGATAGACATTTTGAGGCCAAGGGTTCCAGTGCCTTTTCCCCTGGATAAATATGACCATGCTGCTGTGTAAGGAGAAATATTTTGCTGAGTATTCTGCTCATTGAATACAGAATAGAATTGCATTAAACACTGTCCCCTAAAAGTTCATCTGCTGAGTATGAATAGGCTTTATATGTGGCCAAATAAGTATGGGAAATATAGGATTAAACAAAACCCTGTTCTTTACTGCGGGATTTCTCAGAATCTTTATCTGCTTATGAAATAGACCTCACCAAACATATTTGTCTGCAGAATCTTTCCCTTGGAGCATCTCACGAAGCAGGGAACTCTGGGAAATTGTGGTTTAAGACAGAATGAGGAATTAAGGAGATTTTGTCCATGTACAGAGGTACACATGGACTCTTGGCTCCTACTTTGACCACTGGAGGCACAGAGAGTGGTGACTTAAATAGTTTTTGTGATTTTTGAGCTTAGAAGAATCATTGTTAGGTTCTCAATATTAGTATATATTTAAAAAAATTTTTTTCCATAGGTTATTGGGGTACAGGTGGTATTTGGTTACATGAGTAAGTTCTTTAGTGGTGGTTTGTGAGACTTTGGTGCACCCATCACCCGAGCAGTATACAGCACCCTGTTTGTAGTCTTTTATCCCTCCTCCCTCTGCCACCCTTCCCCCCAAGTTCCCAAAGTCCGTTGTATCATCCTTATGCCTTTGTGTCCTTATAGCTTAGCTCCCACATATCAGTGAGAACATATGATGTTTGGTTTTCCATTCTTGAGTTACTTCACTTAGAATAATAGTCACCAATCTCATCCAGGTCACTGCGAATGCTGTTAATTCAATCATTCTTATGGCTGAGTGTAGTATTCGATCATATATATATATATATATATATATATATATATATATATATACACACACACACACATACATACACCAGTTTCTTTGTCCACTCATTGACTGATGGGCATTTGGGTTGATTCCATGATTTTGCAGTTGTAAATTGTGCTGCTACAAACATGCATGTGCAAGTATCTTTTTCATGTGATGACCTCTTTTCCTCTGGCTAGATACCCAGTAGTAGGATTGCTGGATCAAATGGTATTTGTACTTTTAATTCTTTAAGGAATCCCCACACTATTTTCCATAGTAGTTGTACTAGTTTACATTTCCAGCAGCATTGTAGAAGTGTTCTCTGATCACCACATCTATGCAAACATCTACTTTTCAAAATTTTTTTTATTATGGTCATTCTTGCAGGATTAAGGTGCTATTGCATTGTGGTTTTGATTTGCATTTCCCTGATCATTGGTGATGTTGAGCATTTTTTCGTATGTTTCTTGGCCATTTGTGTATCTTCTTTTTTTTTTTTTCTTTTTTCTTTTTTTTAAGACAGAGTCTCGCTCTGTCGCCCAGGCTGGAGTGCAGTGGCACATTCTTGGCTCACTGCAACCTCCGCCTCCCAGGTTCAAGCAATTCTTGCACCTCAGCCTCCCGAGTAGCTGAGGTTACAGGTGCATGCCATCACACCTGGCTAATTTTTGTATTTTTAGTAGAGACGGGGTTTCGCCATGTTGGCCAGGCTGGTCTCGAATTCCTGATCCCAGGTGATATGCCTTCCTTGGCCTCGCAAAGTGCTGGGATTACAGGTGTGAGCCACTGTGCCGGGCCATCTTCTTTTGAGAATTGTCTATTCATGTCCTTAGCTCACTTTTGGATGGGATTGTTTGTTTTTTTCTTACTGATTTGAGTTTATTGTAGATCCTGGATATTGGTCCTTTGTCAGATGTATAGATTGTGAAGATTTTCTCCCACTTTGTGGGTTGTCTCTTTACTCTGCTGATTGTTCCTTTTGCTGTGCAAAAGCTCTTTAAGTCCCAGCTATTTATATTTGTTTTTATTGCATTTGCTTTTGGGTTCTTGGTCTTGAAATCCTTGCCTAAACCAATGTCTAGAAGGGTTTTTCCAATGTTATCTTCTAGAATTTTTATAGTTTCACATCTTAAAGTGCTTAGTCCATCTTGAGTTGATTTTTGTATAAGGTGAGAGATGAGGATCCAGTTTCATTCTCCTATATGTGCTTAGCCAATTATCCCAGCACCATTTGTTAAAAAGAGTGTCCTTTCCCCACTTTATGTTTTTGTTGGCTTTGTAGAAGATCAGTTGGCTTTAAGTATTTGGGTTTATTTCTGGGGTTTCTATTCTGTTCCATCGGTCTATGTGTCTATTTTTGTTGTTGATGATGTTGAGACGGAGTTTTGCTCTTTCGCCCAGGCTGGAGTGAAGTGGTGCAATCTCAGCTCCCTGTAACCTCCTCACCCCTCTAGGTTCAAGCGATTCTCCTGCCTTAGCCTCCTGAATAGCTGGGATTATAGGCGCAAGCCATCACGCCTGGCTAATTTTTGTTTGTTTTTTTTTTTTGAGACAGGGTCTCCCTTTGTCGCCCAGGCTGGAGTGCAGTGGCACCATCTTGGGTCACTGCAACCTCTGTCTCCTGGGTTCAAGAGATTCTCCTGCCTCAGCCTCCCCAGTAGCTGGGACTACAAGTGTGCACTACCACGCCTGGCTGATTTTTATATTTTTAGTAGAGATGGGATTTTGCCATGTTGGCCAGACTGTTCTCGAACTTTTGACCTGAGGCGATCCATCTGCCTTGGCCTCCCAAAGTGCTGGGATTACAGGCATGAGCTGCGGCGCCTGGCCGAAATTTTAAAAAATCTGTGTAAAACTTTCAGACCTCTAAGAATGTATCCTTGTGTCCTCACTGGAGAAGCCCTATTTTAAGTGAATGAGATTGAGTTTGTGGGTTTAAGCTAAAGCAATTGTTTCTAGTCTGGATCCATGGAGAGCTGCAGGGAATTCCTGGGGTTCCTCATATTACACACAACATTTTGTATGTCTGTGCATATGTACTGCAATAAATGGCAAAATAGCCACAAATTTCCCCGTCAGCATCCGTACCTGACAATGTGACATTGCAGGTCCTCCCAACAAAAAGTACCATTGATTCATCCAACCCTTCAATGTGGATACCCATTTACTTGCTTTGGCCACTGGGATGATGCTTTGGCCTCTGTGATGTAGAGACTTGAAAAGCATTTGACATTGGATGCTGAGGTTAGCGTACGAATGAGCTCCATCTAGTCTGCTGGAAGATGACAGGCCCCACCAAGAAGAATCAGTGTTTTCCAGTCAACTCCTGGCCAACTGCCTGCTGGCTGCCAGGTGCATGTGCCATCTTAGACCATCCAGCCCCTCGATGAGCCACCAGCTGACCTCAGATGCACCAGTGAGCCCAGGTGGATGAGCAGCCATGCCCAGTTGACCATAGAACAATAATAACCGGCTGTTTTTTTAAACCACTAAGTTTTGGGGTGTTTTGCTACCTAGCAATAGTTGTGCGATACATACACATTTTTAGGAAAGAGAAATTGTGGCTTTTGATGGATTTTTGAAGGCATCTAATATCCTCCAAAAGGATAACATAGGTCAGAAAAACTTTATTGATAAACACCAGCTGGAGGTTCTCAGTCTGTTGAGAAGCCAGAAAAAGCTCAGAGTGGATTATATGGGTGCATTTTAATAAAGTCTGGGACTAAGTCTAGGATTAGATTAAGAGTGTTGGATAATCATCGAGGATTAGAAAAGAAATACTTCATTATACTTCGGTTACTTGTGTTCTTTTGGATTTCTGTTACTGTTTTAAGGAAAATGATATTTTTGAGCGAAAAGAAAAAGCATAATGCTTTGGAAAACTCTGCCAAGCTCTACCTCTCTGTCAGCCGTGCTAGTAGGAGACCTAGCTCTTTGGAATACAAGCTCAGGGCTGCTTACCTGGAATGGCTACTGGAGGGCTATCTGCAGATTCTCATAGAGCTGTGTCTCTGCAGAGCTGTGTGATGCTTTCAAATCTGTTTTATGTGCTTAAATACGCTTGATTTTGAATAGAACTTTGGCATCAGGACTAGGAAAAGGTTTTGTCTCTCACAAGATAGTTTGAGTAATGGCGTACTTATGTAGCTTAAATATAGCTAGAAGTTCGTAATTAACTTCCACCATTGTGAAGTTTCATGTTAAGGTCATGAAGGTGATGGGGACGAAGCTGGAAGATGTGGCATTGGAGGGATCGTGGGCTTCAGGGTGGAAAGATCTTACCTTAAAAGGGAGTGAGCTAGGCTGTCCCACTCTGACTATTTATGCCAGAAAGGAGGATGGAGATGGAAGCTTTCACTGGGGAGTCATAGGATAGGTATCTACCCGTCCTCATGTGGTCGCAGGGCTGATATTGATTATCTTAATCATCAAGAGGATAGACGGCAGGGGTGGATGGAACGTCACGCTTTTTGGCATTAGCTAGAAAATCGTTAATTCTTTTAAGCCTTTTCTTCCCCTCTGTGCACCAATCCTCTCTTTTCTCAGGGCCTAACCACTTGTGGTTACCCTAGATCGGTATGTTCTGTATTATGCAACATTTCCCTCTTATTTTGGAGCCTCTGTCATTTAGTTCGTTCAGATAAATTAATTGAATTATTGAACACAGACCGTGTGCTGGGCCCTGACAGTAGGGCCGCGAGACACAGCTGCCATTTTGAGCCTCATGGCTTTGAGATGCTTAAGAAAACTGAAAAGTCAGCTGGGCGCTGCGGCTCACGCCTGTAATCCCAGCACTTTGGAAGGCTGCGGAGGATGGATCACTTGAGGTCAGGAGTGTGAGACCAGCCTGGCCAACATGGTGAAACCTCATCTCTACTGAAAAAAAAAAAAAAAAAATTAGCCAGACGTGGTGTTGCGTGCTTGTAGTCCCAACTACTCGAGAGGCTGAGGCATGAGAATTGCTTGAACCCGTGAGACAGAGGTTGCAGTGAGCTGAGATTGCACCACTGCACTCCATCTTGGGCGACAGAACAAGAAAGTCTCAAACAAAAAAAAAAAAAAAAAAAAGAGAACTGAAAAGTTAAAGCCTATTCAGGATACCAGGGGAGGATGGAAGGGAGTACATTTGATCCATACTAGGTTGAGTACATCTAGGAAGGCTTCCTGGAGGAAGGAGCTCAGGCTTCTTTGGCCAAGATTTTAAAAACCTCAAGTGTAGAATAATTCAAAGCTTGAAAACCTGCCTTGCTGTCCACTGATTGGATATAGCATTATTACTGTACAAGGAATGAACTGAAGCTGAGTTAGAGGTACAATCCTAGTGCTTTGGACAAGGCAAGAATTGCATTAAAAAACCAGGAGAGACCAAGTACTTAAACCGTCATCCTCCTTGTCTTTAGGGATTCTGACTATGACCCATGATCCCTGAATGTATAGGTTAACCAGGGCAAAGAAGACAGCGGTGACCTGCCTGACACCCGAGGCAGGACTGTACCCTCTGCCTCAGTGTCTGTGCCACTCTGTGTCCCTGTTTGCTTCTTAGCTGGCTGCTCATCACCGGGAGCCAGCCTGGCCCTGGGCAGCTGCCTGGTGCCGGGCTCCCGAGGAGAGAAGGTCATGTGTTATGTAAGCACCATCCATATTCTGACTGTTGATCAGGGGCGACATTTAATTTTTTTTCCATTATGTGGAATAATTTAAAAGATTGTGTTACGAGTGTCATTATTATGGCAACTTCTCAGTAATAAAAACAGCATCAATTATTGAACGTTGCCTTGTGTGTCTGGGGTTAAGTGAGGATGGCAGGAGGCAGAGGCTGGGGAATGGGAGGAGGCAGCACCTATGCTGGGCCCCAGGCAGGCCACCCGCCAGCCCCTTCCCTGGCAACTGCACGTCCCAAGCCCCTTGGGTGGCTCCTCTTGAGATCCCTGTACCCTTTTCCACTGGCGTGTAACACTTGGCTTCCATGTAGCTGTAGCTGGCAGGGGGCACCAATTAGTCCCCTGACCTTGGCCTTGGCCTTTCCTCAGGGAGCTCTGACTTGTTGACAAGCTTCAATTAAAGAGACTGCCTTCCTCGGATCACTTGAGGTCAGGAGTTTGAGACCAGCCTGGCCAACATGGTGAAACCCTGTTTCTACTAAAAATACAAATATTAGCCGGGCATGGTGGCGGGCACCTGTAATCCCAGCTACTGGGAAGCTGAGACAGGAGAATCACTTTAATTAGGGAGGCAGAGGTTGCAGTGAGCTGAGATCACACCACTGCACTCCAGCCTGGGCAACAGAGTGAGACTCTGTCTCTCAAAAATAACAAATACAAAATTTAAAAAAACGAAGAGACTGCCCTTCATGGGCCAGCAACGTGCAGGGTCATCACAGCCTTAGTTGAATGAAACCTCAGAACAAAATGAACAGAGCTCCCCCGTCCTGAATCCGTGCGATAGAAGGTGTGTGCGGGTTTGGCGGAGGTCAGGTTTGCCTCCCAGACGCTGACAATCATCACAGGTTGCTTTGTTTTGCCATCCTCAGACACGGTTGTTAGTAGCAATGACTCACCCCAGTGAGGAAGAGCCAGAAAGGAGGTGATGGGACTTAAGACCTATTGAAGGTTGGTACTGGGACCTGGAGCAGATGCACCAAGCTGCTTGCAGCAAGGTTTGAGGGCTGCAGGGTCTGCGGTTCTATGACACCCAACGTGCTTTGTAGGGGGGGCCTTAGTTCGCCCTTGTAGACTTAATATGCAGGTAGCTCTGTCCCTTCAGTGATGCTCTGGCCTGTTTCTCAGGTGACTTGTTTCTTTTGGGGGGCTCTGGAGACATCAGCCACTAACAGTTGCCCTCCTCCTGCCTGGGACAGCAGGCCACACTGCACAGCCCCAGGATTTTATTTCTTGAAGGAGATATACATATTGTTTTGTGCAGCCTTTTTGGTTTAATGTAAGGCAAGTTGCAGAGCTGCTTTCCTACCTCCTGCCCCCTCACCTCCTTCACATTATTTCATCATCTTTCTTTCTTTTTCTCTCTATTTCCTCTCTTTTTGTTCTGGAAAGTGCTATTCTTCTTCTTCAGCTCCTGCCTTTCTGCATGGCCTTTCCAAAGTGGGTGGAAGTTGCTCTGTTTATTCCGAGCCAGGGATTGGCCCCCCACCAAGAAGAAGAATCATTATGATAATAATTCCATTCTAAGAGGACAGGAGTCTCAAGTTCCGTGGCCCTGGGTGGTGGGTGGGTGGTACCTCATGCCTCCATTGGCCCACACCCTGCTTTCTGTACTGAGCTGGGTTTGGAGTGGGTGGGGATGCGGGAAGAAGGACAGGGAAAGAGGATCGGGAGAGGGAACAATGGAGAAGGAGAGGGGGTGACCTTGCAGCTGGAGAAAGAGCCCTTGTATTTGACACCTTGACATTTGGGAGCTGCAAGGTGACACAGCACACTTGAACTATTCAGAGCCCCAGAGGCCTACCTGAAGCACTGTGTGTTGTGGAGATGGGAAAGAGTGACTCACTGACCCTCTGATGGGCAGCAGAGCAGACTGTCGGGGCTGCTGTGGAAAGTCAAGAACAGCTTGCGTTGGTCACGTGTTTGCCCTAAGAAGGATCACGCTCGCACTTTGCCGACCTTGCAGGGCTATAAGGATTGAGTGAGGTAATATGGATAGAAAGGCATTGCAGAGATGAAAACCAAATCAAACCAAACCAAACCAGAAATGTAAACAACAATATCAAGTAAAGAAGAGAGGGATGTAGAGAAGGAATTTCTCCCTGAGGGCCTTGGTTCCTCATGCACGGGCCAAGGCTGTATTTATTTTAGGTGTCCTGGTAAAGAGCTCCAGTGCCCTCAACCTGCAGTCCCCATGCCCAGTGAGCAGATGGGGCTCCATGGCAGCAGGGGGGTGGGGGATATGCGGGGCATGTCAGCCCAGCAGGTTGAGAGCCACTTTGCCACAGCAGGAGCTTCTGACTTTCCCCCACCGCCAGGGACGCTATGATAAAGCTAGCAAAGCGAGCTGGCCTCTCCCTCCATGCTGTTTCTTGAAATTCAGAGGGATGTATTCCTCTTCCCTATCAATAATTGAGAGTTGGAGGAATGTTGAGAATCCTGGAAAGGTGTCTAAAAAGAGCCCTGGGAGGCCAGTGCCTGGGATCAGAGGCATGTGGAGGTTTTGCCAGGTATGGAGATAGCGAAGGAGCTGTCCTTGGCATTACTCCGGAGATACTTTCTGTAGCTCCCACGCTGCATAGCTGACCCTGGTTGTTCTGAAGGCTAAATGTTGGAGGGAGCACATGGGGGAAGCGGGGGGTACAGGCGGGAGTGGGTACAGGTGGAGATAACGGATCTCTGTCTAGCTTTTAAAAGGGCAGCTTCTAAGTGAAGTTAGGGCGGGATTTTCTTAGTGCTCGTCTCCCTGCCCCGAAAACGCCGAAATAAAGCAATGCAACCCACAGAATATAGATTGATAGAAAGGTGAAAAGAGATGGAGGGGAAGAGGGAGTCAGTGTTTGAGCAAAAACCTGAAAGTAAGGGAAGAACAAATACCATCTTCCCACAAAGACCTCTCTTGGCATCTTCCCTAAAGGAACACTGTCTTTACAGTTAATAATGGGCTAGTACATGTAAAATGCTTGGAACATCACCCGGCACAAACCAGAAACCAGCCTGTATTATATGGGCTAGGTTCTGGTTTGTGCCAGGCAATGTTTTGGATGGCTGTGAATTACAGATATGGCTTATTTTTCTTTTGGCATTATCACTACCTGACACTCTTATTTTTTAGTTTATCATGATGGGTTTATTATCATCTGTCTCTCGAAGGAGAATGTAGGATTCATGAGGACAGGAGACTTGGCTTTTTTGAATTGCCAGTACCTGGAGCATCTCTGATACAGAGTTGACACTTAACAGAAATCTATGGGATGCGTGAAGGTGAGCAGGGAGTCTTCCTAGAGAAACTAGCGAAATTCTTCTCTTTACAGTAAAAAGAGGGTCTGTGAGTTTCCAGCATTACAGGGAGCTATGGCGTCCTGATTGATCATCGTAACTCTTTCTAAAGCAGGTATCTGAAGCTCAGCACTATTGACATTTTGCTGGCTTTTTTTTTTTTTTTTTGCAACAGGGTCACTCTCCGTTGCCCAGGCTGGAGTGCAGTAGTGTGATCTTGGCCCACTGCAGCCTCGCCTTCCTGGGCTTAAGCAGTCCTCCTGCCACAGCCTCCCAAGTAGCTTGAGACTACAGGCATGTGCCATCATACCTGGCTAATTTTTTTTTTTTTTAAGAAATGGGGCCTCACTATGTTGCCTAGGCTGGTCTCGAACTCCTGGGCTCAAGTGATCCTCCCACCTTGGCCTTCAGAAGTGCTGGGATTATAGGCATGAGCCACTGTGCCTGGCCCTGGCTCATTCTCTGTTGTGGGGGCTGTCCTATGCATTGTTGAATATTTCATAGCATCCGTGGTCTCTACCCACTAGAGATATCAGCAGCATGCTCAGCCCCCCAGTTATGACATTCCAAAATGCCCAGTGCTCAGTGTCTTCTGGGTGGGGGGGACAAAAATCACATAATTGAAAACAAATGTTCTAAATGAAAACCAGGGTCTCTGTAAGCTGCACCTTACCAGATGGGCTTCAATCAAATACACAGTTGCAGCTTAATGCGTATTAATGCTGCGGCATTTCTTCTGTAATGAAATGGTTCTCCTTTTATTCCTTCCCCCAGTTACGCATCAATCACATTATAAAAAGAAAGAAGACAAAGGAAGGAAAATCAGCTGACATACTTTCATAGTGAAACATATCTTTTATTGCTGCAGTGATTCCTCGGATGTCAGCAGGAGATGTAGAATTAGAAATAATTAAAGCATATAAACAAACAAAGAGCTGTGACTCCATGGCCCGTGGCATATCACACAGACACCAGGTGTCAGCAGGGTTAGGGAGGGGGGTTTCTACAGAGGGAGAGACCGGCCTTCCCAAAGCCTCTCTGTTCCCAGGATTCTGGCCATCTGTAGGTCTACCTTAACCGTGATACTGCAGGGCAGCTGCCTTTATGTGACAGAAGAGGTGGATACCCAAAGGGGACTGAAAACTTGTACAAGGGTAGCTCAAACAGGGGCAGGAGGCTTTTTTGTGTGTGTTTGTTTAGTTGAGACAAAGTTACATGGGGGTGTTGGCACCTTTATTAAAAGACATTCATAGAGGACATCGCAAATAAGTGATGACAGTAGCGATGTCTAGACAAATGAGAATAGATGAGAGGAAGGGCATATGTGTTCATTTTCAACATTTGGTTGGAAGCAGATAATGAAATAAAAGATCTGAATCATTAGGTTCTCTTTCTTAACTCTCATCATCATGACAGTGAAAAAACAAGAAGGGGTGTGTGTGTGTGTGTGTGTGTGTGTGTGTGTGTGTGTGTGTGTGTCACAGCAGCCTGGTATCCCTTTTGTGAGATTCCTTCATGAAAGGAACTTATCCAAGAAAATTGTTTTAGTATTTTTTAAAATAAATGGATGCATTTATGTGATTAGATTTTAAGCCTTCTCCTCTCCCGCATTAGAGACACATGTTTTAAATGAAAACTTGTGTTTGTTTGGACCTATTTCTGCTTGGTGCTGTGGCCTGAAAATGTTTGCATCCCCTCAGAATTCCTATGTTGAGATCCTAACTGCCACAGTGATTGTATTAGGAGGTGGGACCTTTGGGTGATCATTAGATTATGAGGGTAGAACCCTCATGAGTGGGATTAATGCCGTAATGAAAGACGTGTGAAAGAGACCCATTGCCCCTTCCATAGCTAGCCTGTGCCGTCGTGAACCAAGAAGCAGGCTCTCACCAGTCACTGACTGTGCTGGTACCTTGATTGGAATTTCCTGCCTCCAGAAACTGTGATACATTTCTGTTGTTTAAAAGCTGGCCGGGTGCAGTGGCCCACACCTGTAATCCCAGCACTTTGGGAGGCCGAGGCAGGTGGATCACTTGAGGTCAGGAGTTTGAGACCAGCCTGGCCAACATGGTGAAACCCTATCTCCACTAAAAACACAAAGATTAGCCCGGCGTGGTGGTGAGTGCCTGTGATCCCAGCTACTCGGGAGGCTGAGGCAGGAGAATTGCTTGAACACGGTGGGGCAGAGGTTGCTGTGAGCTGAGATTGCACCACTGCACTCCAGCCTAGGTGACAGAGTGAAACTCTGTCTCAAAAAAAAAAAAAAAAAAAAAAAAAAAAAAAAAGCTGCCCAGTGTATGGTATTTTATTTTATGGCAGCCTGAACAGACAGAGACACCTAGGTTTCAAGAAATATCTACTATTTTTTGCCAATTGAGATGATTCTGCCTCCCTTCCCTTAGCTTTGAGGTGTTTGGATGAAAGTGGAGGTGCTTGTGTAGTTGGTTGAGTCTCTCCTCTGCCTTGTTGTTCCTGTTGAGATCCTGTGCATTTGTAAGTGGTCAGTGGGGTTGGGGCTTCCAGATGATGCCTTTGGAAGAGAAGCTTACCACCCCATTGTGGATTCATTTATTTACTCCCAAGCGGAACACAAGCTTCAGAAGAACCGGGACTTTGTCTCTTTCACTAAATATACACAGAGTTGGCAGTTAATTAATATTTGTCAAATAAATGTGAGGATCAAACGCACGATTTTGCCTGGTTAATGCGAAACAGTCAAACTGATCAGTGCTTAACTAGTTAGGACAAAGCTGAAGAATGACATGATTGTTTTAAGGTCATCTGGAGTTAACTCTAAATATGTGTGCATTCTCTGCAACTCGCACTGCTTCCTTCCTTTGAGATGGTTTTGTTTGGATCTCCTCTTTTGATCTCATAAGACACGTGAAGATGTGGAGATGGTGAATTCCAAATAAGTTGACCGTGGTTCCTGTACTGAGACTGCCATTCACGTGAACCTGCCATATGGACTTCTTTTGATAGATCAGGAACCAACTTCATTGCTCATTTGCCCGGCAGTGATGATGCTTGCAGTGGGGTTTTGTGTGCGTGCGGCGATGACGCTTGCAGTGGGGTTTTGTGTGCGTGCGGCGATGACGCTTGCAGTGGGGTTTTGTGTGCGTGCGGCGATGACGCTTGCAGTGGGGTTTGGTATGTGTGCGGCGATGACGCTTGCAGTGGGGTTTTGTGTGTGTGAGGCGATGACGCTTGCAGTGGGGTTTTGTGTGTGTGCGGCGATGACGCTTGCAGTGGAGTTTTGGTGTTTGGGTCCCAATCTTTCCTGGTATATATTTTCCCCATTTTTAGGATCAGCACTGACTTTTTAGATCGTGTTGTTTTTTTCTTTTTTGTAACCACTAAAGTCCTATACCTGGAAAGTTTGTCATCTTCCTGAAGACCCAGCATGGCCTGGCAACTGGGTTGGCCGGAGGACTGGCTCAGCTGTGGCGGTCTTGGTAGAGACTGGCAAGTTGCCTTGGCGCCCGTGAGCCAGAAGCATCTGGGGAATTAACACAGTAGTGGTGCTCTAGTGATGTTACCGCTTCTTGTTTCAGGGTGCAGCAGAAGACCCCCAGACGACCCTGGCACTGAACTTCGGCTCTACGTTGATGAAGAAGAAGTCTGATCCTGAGGGTCCCGCGCTGCTCTTCCCTGAGAGTGAACTTTCCATCCGGATAGGTAGAGCTGGGCTTCTTTCAGGCAAGCTCTTTGCTGCAGACACTGAGCTGAGTCAGGCAATATGGACGTGGGGGCTGGTGGTAGGATGAATAGTGAGAGAAATGCCAGCACTGTCCTATCCCTCCGAATCACTCACCCTACTACTGCATGGAGCTAAACTGGCATCTGGCCCAGCACCTTCATTTCTCATTTGTTGTCCAAACCACATGCTTAGTCTACAGAAGGTAACGGTACCTTTTGATCATCTTTTCGACTTGGACAGGTGGACAGTGGGGTCACTCTGATGGTGATGGGGCTGCTTTGGGTTAGAGAGTACCAGCATTTGTCCCTCAGTGTCCCCCTCTCTGATGAACCCTGAATACTCCTTTTCATTTGTGTTGTAATTTACATCTTTTTGATTTACCTGGGGAGACTGCTGTGGATTTTTTTTTTCCCCCCGAGATGGAGTCTTGCTCTGTCGCTCAGGCTGGAGTGCAGTGGCGCCATCTCAGCCCACTGCAACTTCCACCTTTCAGGTTCAAGGGATTCTCCTGCCTCGACTTCTCAAGTAGCTGGGACTACAGGTCCATGCCTGGCTAATTTTTTGTACTTTTAGTAGAGATGGTGTTTCACCAATTTGGCCAGGCTGGTCTTGAACTCCTGACTTCAGGTGATCTGCCTGTCTCGGCTTCCCAAAGTGCTGGAATTACAGGCATGAGCCACTGCACCTGGCCAACTGTGGACGTTTCTCTCACTGATTCAATTTGGAGCCAGAAAAGCTAAAGATGCTGACAGCATAGTCATGCCTTTTCTCTGAGTTAGAGGGAATGCGTCCCTCAAGAGGAATCAGACAGCAATTACTGAAGCTGGGTGGGGAGAGATGCAGAGTGGGCTGTTGCCCTTTGAGAAGTTGTTGAAGATGGAATGCAATACATTGTTTTCCAGCCTCGGGGTCAGACGCCTCTCCTTCTTGCCCCTCATTGTTTACTAAGGACACTTGGCTAGTTTAAGGGCCAGTGAGCATGAGGAGAGTTGGATGCCTTTTTTTCCCCTTTGGATTTATATAGAAGTTCCCCATTTAATCCTGCAAGACCCCGGGGACGAAAACCATGCCAGGATGCTGTGGAGAATGGGCCCCTCCTCGCTTATGTGGAGTGCTCTCCTGAGTGAATTAAGGAAAAACAAATTGGTGACCAGTCACTGTGTTCACAGGAGTGATTTCAGGGAGAACAGTCCTTTCCCATTTCCATGCTGGCATTTTAATTGAATCTTTTTGCCATCTCTATGCTAAGATGATCTCTACCCCTTAGGGAGAGCAAATGTACAAAAGTTAAAGCTATGCTGCAGCCAGGGCTCTGGTATCTGTGTTCAGATTATGTCCTGCATGAATTATTCATGGAGAACTCAAATGTCTTCTCCATTTGGGTTAATCCTCACTGCCGCCCACAACTTCCTACGTGGGATGGAACCAGGAAATAAAAATTTCATCCAATGTGAGCTTAAATCATAGAGGGTTAGAATGACAAATCTTCCTCCTGCCTCCAATCACACTTGTCACTTATACCCATCAGAACGCTTTAGGTATCATCTTCTCTTTTTACTGGAACATAGTCAAGGACTGTCTGGTGACACAGTAGAGCACTGTATTCAAGTAAAACTTGTCATTTTTCATGCTGAGTTCTGAACACAAGGCCACAGGCCTTTTCTGTCTATTTTCACTAACATGACTGCGCTGGGCTCCTGGGTTCCCCTTTGAAGACCTTATGATCCTGATTGTGAGTCTTCTCTAGGGTATAAAAGTTGGCCAGACTTTATCTGATTTTTCTATCTTCAGGGCCATGGGCTGGTGGGGTCGGGGGAAGGTGGTACAGTGAATTCAGTGCCTGTCAGTCAAAAAAGGTAAACATTGGCAAGCCCTTGGATGGACATTTTCCAATGGAGTCACAGCCGGGACGGGGTCAGGGGAGTTGGCTCTGCAGGACAGCCTCTGGGTACTGCTGGGTCTTCTTGGCCAACCCAGAGTTAAGTGGTAGCGGAGTGAGGTGTGTGGGAGGGAGATGTAACCCAGTCCCCCTGCTCAAGAACACTAGGCACAGCCTGTTACCGGGTTACCAAGCAACCCTTGTAACCGTTGCTAGCTGTTCAGCTGCAAAAGCAAATGCAGCTCTTGGGGAAGCACAGAGATGATCTCCCAGCCATCTCTTGAAAGGTCGCTGTTCTTCTCACCTGGACACACCTGTGGGTGTCAGGCACCTGAGGACTCCAAAACTGATAATGGCTATTTGATAACTGGCTTCATGCAGATGGAGCCTGAATATGCATTATTTGTACCATCTGGATTTGCCCTTAAGCTTGCTGTAAATGGAGCAAGGAGATGGGTTTAATGGGTATTTAGTGAATAACATTAGCCTTTAAAACATCATATTGGTGCTGCTGTTGTAATGTCCCATAATTGGTTCGACCAGAGGAAGAACTAGAAAGGCCACACTCTGGGAGAGGAGTTCAGCTGCTCTGAGGAGCAGCAGCAGTGACGGCAGCCTGAGCTGGGAAAAGCATTTATGAGATACTTTCCTATTTAGGTCTTAGTGTGCAATGTTTTCTGATATCAGCTATTCTCAAGGCTGGGGATATTTTGGGACTTAGGTAGGCCAGAAGAAGTTCCTTTAAATCTATCAGTCTCTCTTTCTTTCATTCTCTCTCCCATCCATCCATCCATCCATCCATCCATCTCCAATTAGCTTTCTTTTAATTAAAAATATAATGACATCGGTTAAAAGTAATTTTTCTTCCACCTTCAAATCCCTTATGGTCTAGTCCCCCCATCTCAGACACAAACATCGTTTCTAGTTTCTTGTGCATCCTTTCAGAATTATCATGTTTCTATAATCACACCTGACCCATTGTTCTGTATCATATGTTTTTGCACTTAACGGTACCCTTGGGTGTTTTTTTCCTGAGGTGCTCATAGATCCATCCCATTCTTGTTATTGGCCATGATGCTACCTAATTAGCCCTCTCTGGATGCCCATGGGGTTAATTCTGATGCTTTGCTATTGCAAAGAATGTGGCACAGAGCATTTTAGTATCTACATCTCTGTGGACAGTTATATTGTTGAGTAAATTCTAGAAATGAGGCCAGGAGTTCTTTATGTCTGGGCTCCATGCATGAGTACCAAAGGACTCACGAGCCTCTTGCATTTTATGCAAAGTCTGTGTGTGTGTGTATGTGTGTGTGTGTGTTTGAAAGGCAAGGGACTATAAGTTATATTTCATCACACCCCAGATGGCTGCATACACCCAGTGTTGTTCAAGATCTTGGGCTTCTCTGTCTCAGTTGTCCCCACTCAGCTGTCAAGTTGAGTTTTTTTTCTTTTCTTCATAGCATCCTCTGTAGGCTAAAGAGAAGGTAGTTAAAAGTGAATCAGTTGATTCTCTTACTAATTGTTAATTTCCCCATTTAAATATGCAGTATGTTCTGGGGGAGGAAGTTGAAATGTTACCAAGCATCAGTGGGCTTGCTGCCCGATGCACACAGAGGCCAATACCGTGGCACTGGCTTTTGAGAGAAGAACAGCTTTATTGGGAGTCAAGTCAACTGGCAGGGAGACAGGAGGGAATGCCCAAATCTGTCTCCCTGAGCTGGGGGTTGGGTTGGGTTTTATAAGCATAAGTAATGAGGTGTGATCTGATTGGATCTTGCAATGAGGTGACGTTAGGAGGCATTATCTGATTGGATCCTGTCATGGGGTGATGCCAGAGTTCAATCTCATTGGATCCTGGATCCTGCCATGTGGTGTCTGCTTCTTAATTCAGTCCCACTCCTCTGTCCCAGCACTTAGGTTCCCCCTGTGGTTGTACACTTGGTTCATCTGAGCATGCTTAGGTTACATGACCTGAGGGTCCATGGCAACTGAAAAGCAGCTCACAGCTTTGTTACATAAAAGTTGAACCAGATTGGTCTGATGCAGTTATAGATACTCTTCACTAGTGAACTTTGTCATCACTATTATTATTGGTGAATTTCATCGGTCTATTAGCATAGGAGAATTGCCTATCATTTTGTGTATCTGTGGAAAGACCAGGAGAAGGCATTATTTTCTGGTAGAGCAAGAGGTGGATTTACTTTAGGAGATTATTCAGTTGTGAGGTGCCATCTGTGCATTTTCTGTAAATCTTTCTGAAGTGTTGGGGGAAAAAGTGAATGGGTACTCAAGTCAGGGAAGCGTAAGCCGTACGACACTCAGGTAAGAAACAGATTTTTCTCTTAATGCCCTATTCTTATAGGAAAATTCACTTGGCAATAAGAATTCTGCCTACACAGCCTTGCAGATCTGATGCAATTATCAAAGCCATGTTTTGCAAAATGAAACTGATGCCAAGCTCGTGTCAAGTGGATTATAGATTGTAGAACTGCAGTCACTGGCCATTAGCTGAGTGTCTTTGTTTTCTACTCTAAAATCTTGAATTCCTTATTGGTTCTGCTTCTGATGTGCTGCGTGGCACTCTTCCTGTGGAAATGGTCTTGCAGGAGATGATTTTCCTTTCTAGCTCAAGCTTCTCAAGTGCCCAACCCCGGATCAGCAACCCCAGGGCTTGTCCTGTTCGGGAACACGATGGAGTTCAGTTGCTCTTTGATCCCCTTCTTCCACCTCAAGACACTCTCTCTTCTCCAGGTATCACAGTGTCCTCTTTCAGTCTTGTATTTGGAATCATCCCTTTCTCCCATTTTCCCTGTTAAACATCCTCCCTTAGGTGCCTTTGGAAAAAGATTTGATGAACTGAAGAACAGGGAGGTATTGGCCCATTGACTTCATGTTTTACTACTGCTTACGTGTTTGTCTGTTGACTGGGAACGGTTTCTCTAGTTCAACAATGAACCCAATAGGTGGGTTTTCACACTGGCTAGGCTTTGGAGGATTGCATTTTTTTAGACATAATGTGTGGGGCTTAGGGAGGGCAGCCAGGCAGTGTGGGATGCAATCTCTTCTCTGAAGCAGCTGGTTCTCGCTATAAGCTCAGCCACGTACATTCCACTCCCAAGTTTCCTTGGCGCTAAAACTGCTTGGAATAGCCTAAGCCTACGGAAGCAAAGATGACTTATTTAAACAGCTTCATGGTTCCTATTACCTTTCTTTTTCTGTATCTTCTAACTTTCCATGTCTTCCTGAAGGACATGTTCCTTTTGTCACTGATATTTCCAGTCAAATTTAGTGATCTTAAATTTGATCGAGAGTGAGGTGTAACTCCTAGGAGAAATTCTGAGTGTTTATAACTAGGTTTCCGAAATAATGTGTTTGGGGAAGTCTCTGAGATGTTATTAATTTTGACTTTTTATTGGTAAGATCTCTAAAAATGAAAGAGTATTTTCACAACAGTTCATGTAGATATAATTTCTTGGCATGTGGTTTTGGCAATCAGAGTTTTATTTATTTATTTTTTTCCCTGTACCTGCTTGGTTAGGGGAGACTTTAAAATCTTGTCCTGGCCCAATTGAGAGGAGTTATCTAGGAACTGAAAAATAGGTAGGCCCTGGCTGCTACCTCCTTTCTGGGCTAAGACCCGTAACCTGGGTTTCTTCATTTGAAGTGTGAGAATGCACGTGTAATCCCAGCACTTTGGGAGGCCGAGGCAGGTGGATCACCTCAGGTCAGGAGTTCGAGACCAGCCTGGCCAACATGGTGAAACCCCTGTCTCTACTAAAAAAAAAATAATAATAATACAAAAATTAGCCAGGCGTGGTGGCACATGCCTGTAATCATAGCTACTTGGGAGGCTGAGGCAGGAGAATCACTTGAACCCAGGAGGCAGAGGCTGCAGTGAGCTGAGATTGTGCCACTGCACTCCAGCCTGGGCGACAGAGTGAGACTCTGTCTCAGTAAATAAATAAATAAATAAATAAATAAATAAATAGAATGAAGCAAACCAGCGTTAAAATGTGCCGCACAAAAATATTTTGCAGGAGGGCAAAGGGCTCAATAATAATAACTGCCAGAAGCTTTTTCGCATCTGGATATTAAATAAACAATGCAGAGATACCTTCTTGGACAGGGATCTGTGCAGGCAGCATGAGACCGTTAGTGTCCTAGCTCATGGGAACATTATCAGGGTGGGTACGCTTTATAGAGTCTTTTGCTTCTGAAGAGTGTTCTATTTGGCCTAATATGGAGCACTCAAATAGCACTTTATCTGCTTCTGCCTTTTAAAAAAAAAAAAAAACACAGTCCTGATTTTCTAAGCCAGGCAGTAATTTCAGAGCAAATTTTCATGTGGCATGAGGCTAGAGGCAATTTGGCACTCACATGTGTTTGCTAGGGCTGCTGTAGCAAAATACCACAAACCGGGTGGCTTAAACTGCAGAAATTTATTTTTTTCACAGTTCTGGAGGCTGGAAGTCCAAGACTAATAGTTGGCAAGATTGGTCGGTTTCTTCTGAGGCCTTTCTCCTTGGCTGGTAGATGGCTGTCGTCTCCCTGTGGCTTCACATGGTCTGTCTTTTTATCGAGACAGAGTCTCACTGTGTCACCCAGGCTGGAGTGCAGTGGTGCGATCATGGCTCACTGTAGCCTCAACCTCCTGGGCTCAAGCTATCCTCTCACCTCAGCCCCCGGAGTAGCTGGGACTACAGGAGTGCGCCACCACACCTGGCTAATTTTTGTATTTTTTTGTAGAGATGGCATTTTGCCGTGTTGCCCAGGCTGGTCTTGAACTCCTGGGCTCAAGCTATCCACCCACCTCGGCCTCCCAAAGCGTGGTCTTTCCTCTGTGCCTGTCGGTGTCCCAATCTCCTTTTCTTATAAGGACACCAGTCATATTGGATTAGGGCCCACTCTAATGACCTCATTTTAACCTTATTAACACTTTAAAAATCCTATCTCCCTTACAGTTACATTCTTAGGTACTGGGCGTTAGGACTTCAACATAGAAATTTGAAGCGGGGGACGTGATTCAGGCCATAGTTGCGCTGAACAATTTTTTGAGAAGTTGTCTTCCAGAGATAGTAGTTAGCTTCAAGGAATTCCAGGTGTCAGGAGAAAGGAGTTCTCTTTGTTTCTGCCTTCTAGATTCTCTCACTGCATGGCTGCCTCCTTACGTTAGCCTCATACCTGCATGGGCTGGGAATGCAGACTATGCAGGATGAAAAAAGAGTAGAATGAAGTTGAAAAGTTACTCAAAGAGTGCAGCGAGAAAGAAAGTCAGGGCCGGGCGCAGTGGCTCACGCCTGTAATCCCAGCACTTCGGGAGGCCGAGGCAGGTGGACCACCTAAGGTCAGGAGTTCGAGACCAGCCTGGTCAACATGGTGAAACCCCGTCTCTACTAAAAATGCAAAAATTAGCCGAGCGTGTTGGCACATGCCTGTAATCCCAGCTACGTGGGAGGCTAAGGCAGGAGAATCACTTGAACCTGGGAGGTAGAGGTTACAGTGAGCTGAGACCACGCCATTGCACTCCAGCCTGGGCGACAAGAGCAAAACTCCATCTCAAAAAAAAAAAAAAAGTCAGATGGCTCTAAGTCTGATCTTTTAAGACTGCTGGCAGGTGTACATCTATGCTATCATGAAGTTAAAGGGATGGCACCGTTAAAGGGATGACCGCTTCCACTGTCACCTGAAACAGTCGGCTCAGTTAACTTCTGGGGAAATAATTGCAATACACATCTGAATGTGTAGAAGTTCTCTCCTGACTGTGTAAGTTTCCTGTTGCTGTCACAACAAAGTACATATTGAGCATCTCAAATCTGAAAATCCAAGATCTGAAATGCTCCCAAATCCAAAACCTTTTGAACGCTGACATGATGCTCAAAGGAAATGCTCCTTGGAACATTTTGGATTTCACATTTTCAGATTTGGGATGCTCAACTGGTAAATGATGCCAGTAAAATAATGCAAATATTCCAAAATCTGAAAAATCTGAAACACTCTGGTCCCTTCAGAGAAGGGATGGTTATCTTGTACTATACAGAGCTGCTTAAAACAGCAGAAACGTATTCCCTTACAGTTTTGGAGGCCGGAAGTCTGAGATCAAGGTGTCAGCAGGGCCACACTCTCTCGAAAATTCTAGGGAAATTTTCTAACTTCTTTTGGCCCCCAGCGTTTCCTGGCTTGTAGCTGCATCAATTCAATCTCTGCCCACATTGTGACCTTCGTCCCTGTGTGTGTCTGTGAAGTGTGTCTATGTCCAAAACTCCGTATCCTTTGTCTCATAAAGACACCAGTCATTGGATTTAGGGCTCACTTAATCCTGTATGACTGCTTCTTAACTAATTACATCTGCAAAGACCCAATTTCTAGGTAAGGTCATATTCTTTTTTTTTTTTCGAGACGGAACCTTACTCTGTCACCAGGCTGGAGTGCAGTGGTGCAATCTCAGCTCACTGCAACCTCCGCCTCCCGGGTTCAAGCAGTTCTCCTGCCTCAGCCTCCTGAGTAGCTGGAAACAGGTGTACGCCACTACCCCCAGCTAATTTTTGTATTTTTAGTAAAGATGGGGTTTCACCATGTTGGCCAGGCTGGTTTCGAACTCCTGACCTCAGGTGACCCACCCACCTCGGCCTCCCGGAGTGCTGGGATTATAGGCGTGAGCCACCACGCCCTGCCTAGGTAAGGTCATATTCTGAGGTTCTGGCTAGACATGAATTTTGGCGGGGGACAGTATTCAGCACTGTACATTGACCAACCCCATACTCTGATCACTCCGTGACCAGACTTCAGGAGCTTGGTTCGTCTGAGGCGCCATGTTTGTCTTATACAAAGGAGGAAGATGGATAAAATGAGAGGAAGCAAGAGGACGAGTCCTGGCAGTAATAAAAGTCCACTTAATTCATCTGGAGCCCTTAGAGCAGCTGCTGGGGTGCTTTGTTTGAAATATTCATTAAGTATCTACTGAGGAGTTAGGGATACAGTCTCCTTATGCAAAATTTAACATTTGCTTGGTTAGCAGGTTCTATCATATTTATAAGCATTCTGACACATTCATTTCAGCTCATAAGTCTATTAAACTGGAAAATGTGTTTTTAATGTGCTTTAGGGAAACAGAAAGAACAGACAAGTGGCTTGGGTAGCAGCAGCCTTCATTAGGATATTCCTGCCAGGCTTTTATTTGTCGAAGATTTAAGAGTCTGTGCCTGAAGCCACACAGCCTGGGCGCTTTTCATATTATTATTTTGCTTTGTTTTGCAGCAGTTATTTTTGCAGAAGCTCCTTCTGGGGATGCAACAGGGTGGCACGTTGGTTTTGAGTGCTTGGGATCTTTAGGAGTCCTTTGCATTTATTCACTCCCATGTCAACCTTTTGCCTGTTACTAAAAGTGCCTAATAAGGAACAGAAGGCTGGATTTGAGCCTGTGAAGCTGGGAGGAAATTGACAGCAGTTACTGGAATAGTCAGCCTTCGAGAAGGAAAGGGTTAGGAGGAAGATGTGGAACTGGGCTTTGAACCTGCGTGAAGTACAGAACAGCGCTAACCTTTGGGATGGGGCCCATGTAACACTTCCCTAAAGAAAGGAATCAGGGATATGCTCCACTCGACCTGCATTTGCTTTTTCCTGTTCAACCCTCCGTCTCCTTTCTGGGTGGCAGGTATGCTAGCATTCTGTTCTGCTTTCTTCTCTCTGGTGTATTTTCCCTCCTGAGTCCAGAGAAAGAAAATAGCTCTGCATATCTGAAAATTAAATCAGTTGTCTCAAGGAAACATGATTTTCAGAGTTGCAACGTGATTTTGAGGGTCGTAACATTTTGAAGCTGGATGTTCAGGGATTTGCCAGCAACTCCCAGCTTAGGTCTCTGAAACAGAATTCACTCTCTCTGTCTGCCAACTTCTTGATTACACAAACTCACCATGAGCTTGTTGGGAGGCAGAGGCATTCCGGGAGGATGGCAGAGGAGAGAAGTGCATGATATGGTCTCTTACAGCTCTTAGATGTGGTGAGCCAGAAGTCTCTGCTCTATTCCCCCAGGAGACCAGGCTCACCTAGCGGTTTCTGCCTTGGTGAGGTTTGCTCAAGTCAATCTTAGTGAATTGGTTGTGCCCTTTCCAGTAGGGAAGGCCCTGTCGTACACATAAAACCAGGAGACACGTGCCTTCAAGGAGATTCAGCCCTCCTGGGGAAACAAATATGAGGTCGTTTTGTATGGTCCAGCATGAAAGCTATATAAACCACTAGCAATCATATAAGTGGGTCCCACCACTGTGCTGGCCTTAGTGGGCCAGCTTTCCTAACTCCTCTGTAGCGCAAATCATGCCTTTACTGCCTTACAGACCTTCTGAGGCCAGCTGGCCAGTGAGATTTATTATTTATTTATTTATTTTTTGTTTGTTTGTTTAGACGGACTCTCTCTCTCTGTTGCCCAGACTGAAGTGCAGTGGCGCAATCTCGGCTCACTGCAACCTCCGCCTCCCAGGTTCAAGCGATTCTCCTGCCTCAGTCTCCGGAGTAGCTGGGATTACAGGCATGCGCTACCATGCCCAGCTAATTTTTGTACTTTTTTTAGTAGATACCAGGGAGGGGGGTGGTTTCACCATGTTGGCCAGGCTGGTCTTGAACTCCTGAGCTCAGGCGATCCACCCGCCTCGGCCTCCCAAAGTGCTGGGATTACAGGCGTGAGCCAATGTATCTGACTGCCAGTGAGATTTTATTCAAGGTATGAGGATGAGCAAATATAGTAAATAACAAAGAGAGAAGGATATCAGCTGACCATGGCAAAGGCAGCCCTCAGAGCCCACTGGCGCTTGCTAACCTCTTGGGACCCTCTACCGCAAGGGTCCCCAACCCCTGGGCAGCAGACCAGTATGGGTCTGTGGCCTGTTAGGAACTGGGCTATGCAGTGGGAGGTGAGTGGTGAGCAAGTGAGCATTACTGCCTGAGCTCTGAGTCCAGCCAGATCAACAGCAGCATTAGATTCTCACAGGAGCGAGAACCCTGTTGTGAACGGCACACGTGAGGGATCTAGGTCGCGCCTTCCTTATGAGAATCTAATGTCTGATGATCGGAGGGTGGAACGGTTTCATCCTGAAACCACCCCCTACCCCCCACCTCCTATGTGTAGAAAAATTATCTTCCATAAAACCAGTCCCTGGTGCCAAAAAGGTTGGGAACTGCTGTTCTCCAGGGAGAGTCCCTGTCTGGCTCCAGGGCTAGGTTCTTACTTAGTTCCATGTCTTTAGAGGCAGAGTTTGAGGTTTGGTTTTTCTCAGGTCTTCAGATCTGCCTGCCCAGAGAGAGGTCATTTCCACCACCTTGGATAAAGAAAGTGAGGCCCGGCCAAGACTTGCCTTCCAAATTTCCATTGCCTTTCCTAGGATCTCCTGTTTGTTCCCCGGGTAATTGCCAGGGGAATTTTTTTTTTTTTTTTTTTTTTTTTTTTTTTACTTTTTTTCAGATGAGATACTGCCATAACCTGTAGTTATACCCTGTGGTCTCACCAAAACAAGGATGCCAGGATTCATTAGTTCATTAGTATAAGCCACACTGCACATTGGGATCATCTCGGAAAATGTGCAACTTGGTCTCAAAAACCCTGTGAAATACAAATTGTGACAGTCCAAGCTCCCTGGTCATTTCTTTTTTGTTTGCTTGTTTTGGAGATAGCATCTCACTCTGTCGCCCAGGCTGGAATGCAGTGACGTGATCTCGGCTCACCACAACGTCTGCCTCCTGGGTTCAAATGATTTCCGTGCCTCAGTTTCCTATGTAGCTGGGATTACAGGCGAATACCACCACACTCAGCTGATTTTTGTATTTTTCAGTAGGGACAGGGTTTCGCCATGTTGGCCAGGCTGGTCTCAAACTCCTTAGCTCAAGCGATCCCCCTGCCTTGGCCTCCCAAAGTGCTGGGATTATAGGTGTGAGCCACTGTGCCCAGCCTTCATGGCCATTTCAAGAATTGCTGAGGTGATAGCCAGGCACAGTGGCTCATGCCTGTAATCCCAGCACTTTGGGAGGCTGAGGCGGGTGGATCACGAGGTCAGGAGTTCAAGACCAGCCTGGCCAACATGGTGAAACCCCGTGTCTACGAAAATACAAAAAAAATTAGCTGGGCATGGTGGCGCGTGCCTGTAATCCCAGCTACTCAGGAGGCTGAGGCAGGAGAATTGCTTGAACCGGGACCCGGGAGGTAGAGGCAGCAGTGAGCCAAGATCGTGCCACTGCACTCCAGCCTGGGCTGCAGAGCGAGACTCTGTCTCAAAAAGAATTGCTCAGGTGATAAAGGACATGAATATTTTTAAAAATTTATTCTTTAAATTAATATATCATAAAGCTCATTCTTTTGGAGTACAGTTCCACGAGTTTTTAAGAAATGCACAGATCTGTAACCATCACCATAGGAGAGTTCCATCACCTCCCCATATTCCCTTGAGCAGCCTCTTGGCCCCTTGTAGTTAAACCCTACCCTCAACCTATCCCTGTTTCCCTTTTGTTTAACCTCTGGTGACCTCTGAGCTGTTCTCTGCCCCTATATTTTTGCCTCTTCCAGAATGTCACCTAAATGGACTCATGCAGTATGTAGCCTTTTGGATCTAACTTCTTTCTACTTGGCGTCATGCATTTCAGAGAACTTCATTATGTTGCAAGTGTCAACAGCGTGTTCCTTTTTAAGGCTGAGTAGCATTCCATCGTGTGGATACACCACAATTTGTTTACTTTCACCAGTTGAAGGACATTTGTGTTGTTTCCTGATTTTTCAGCAATTATGAATGAAACGTCTATCAATATTGGCATACAGGCTTTTGTGTAAACATATGTTTACATTTCTCCTGGCTAAATACCCGGGAGTGAGATGGCTGGGTCATGTGATAGGAAACCTCCAAACCGTTTTCTAAAGCGGATAAGCCGTTCTTCAGTCCCAGCAGAGTTCTAGTTGCTCTGCACCCTCACTAGCCCTTGGCCTCATCACTTTTTTGTTTTGTTTTGTTTTTAAAACTTGAGCCATTCTAATGAGTGTAGTAGTGGTCTCTGGTGACTTTCATTTGTATTTCCCTAATGACTAATGATGTCGAGCATCTTTTCATGTGCTCATTTGCCATCTGTACATCTTCTTTGGTGTCAAAATCTTTTGCTTGTTTTTTAATCCATTTGTTTAATTATGGTAGAGTTTTGAGAGGCTTTTTATTTTGAGATGGAGTGTGGCTCTGTTGCCCAGGCTGGAGTGCAGTGGCGCAATCTCGGCTCACAGCAACCTCCGCGTCCCAGGTTCAAGCAATTCTCCTGCCTCAGCCACCCGAGTAGCTGGGACTACAGGCACACGCCACCCTGCCTGGCTAATTTTTGTATTTCTAGTAGAGACGGGGTTTCACCATATTGGTCAGGCTGGTCTTGAACTCCTGACCTCAGGTGATCCACTTGCCTCAGCCTCCCAAAGTGCTGGAACTACAAGTGTGAGCCACTGTGCCCGGCCCCGAGAGTTCTTTTTCTGTATTCTGCATAGAGGACCTTTGTCAGATATGTGATTTGCATTTCTTTTTCTCCCAGTCCCTGGCTTGCCTTTCCCTCTTCTTAACAGTGCCTTTGGAGATCGAAAGTTTTTAATCTTGATGAACTGCCAATTTATCAGTTTTTCTTTTTTTTTGTTTTATGAATTGTGCTTTTGGTGTTACGTCTAAGAATTTTTTGCATAACTTAAGTTTGCAAAGGTTTTCTCCTATTTTTTTTTTCTAAAAGTTTTACGTTTTACATTTAAGTCTACTATCTATTTGAAGTTTCAAAAAAATATGGTGTCAGGTAGAGTTCAAGGTTGAGTTTTTTTTTTTCATATGGATGTTAAATTGTCCCAGCAGCATTTATTGAAAAGACTGTATTTTCTCCATTGAATTAACCTTTCGCTTTTGTAAAAAGTTCGTGAGCCATATTTGTTTGGTTCTGTTTTTGGACCCTTCATTCTGATTCATTGGTTTTTGTGCGTATCCTTTCTCCTTTCACATTTTAGAATCAGCTTGCCAATATCTACAAAAAATCCTAATGGCACCAGGCGTGGTGGCTCACGCCTGTAATCCCAGCACTTTGGGAGGCTGAGTCGGGTGGATCGTTTGAGGTCAGGAGTTTGAGACCAGCCTGGCCAACATGGTGAAACCCCATCTTTACTAAAAATACAAAACTTAGCTGGGTTTGGTGGTGCGCGCCTGTAATCCCAGCTACTTAGGAGGCTGAGGCTAGATAATCGCTTGAACCCGGGAGGCGGAGGTTGCAGTGAGCAGAGATTGCACCCCTGCACTCTGGCTTGGGCGACAAAGCAAGACTCCATCTCAGAAAAACAAATCCCAATGGGATTTTGACTGGGGTTGCACTGAATCCATAAACCAATTTGGAGGAAATTGACATCTTAATAAATATAGAGTTTTCCATTTTATGAACATGGTATATTCTCCAAAGTCTTTGATTTCCTTTATCAGTGTTTTGTGGTCTTCATCATACATACTCTACCGTTGGTTAGATTTATACCTCTAAGTGTTTTATGGTACTATTTTAAATTATACTGTATTTTAAATTTCTAATTGCTCATTGCTAGTATATAGAAATATAATTGACTTTGTATGTGCTAGCCCTGTATCCTCCAACCTCACTAAACTCATTTATTGGTTCTAAGAATTTTTTGGTAGATTCCTTGGAATTTTCTGTCATGTCTATGAATAGTGACAGTTTTATATCTTCCTTTCAATCTGTATGCTATTAATTTCATTTTCTTACCTGATTGTACTGGCTAAGACTTGCAGTATAATGTTGAAGGGAGGAGTAAGAGCAGACAGTCTTGCCTTATTTCTGATGTTAGGGGAAAATCATTGAGTGTTTCACATTGAGTGTGATGTTACCTGTAGGTTTTCGGTAGATGAACGGTATGCATATTTGAAAAGCCACCACTGTCCTGAAAGATGTCACAATATAGAAATGGTATAGATTTGGAGTTCAGAGAATAAGTTCTGGAGTCAGACTTACTGGGTTTGAATTCTGACTCGACTCCTTAGCGGCTGCTAGATGTTGGAGTTTTGGGAAGATAGGCTAAGCGAATACATGTAAAATGCTTAGAATGGTGCCTAGTATATTGTATGCTCTCAATGAATGTTAGTTGTTATTCTGTTTGGACAACAGTAAAAATAGCCAAAGAGCTCATGGAGCCTGGATGTAGGAATTTTTTGGCCCAGACCGTGGGGATTTTGATGCCCATATTGGAAACTTTGGAGAATGTTTTGGTTCAGGTGTGGATTCTTATTGAGTCATTGAGCACATTTGGGTCCGAACACTCTCTGAATCAGGGATATGGAGGAATCCATACCAAAAGAACAGGTTGTTTCATAGAAACAGGGAGGGGAACATCACACACCGGGGCCTGTGGGGGGTGGGGGGTAGGGGAGGGATAACATTAGGAGAAATACCTAATGTAGGTGACGGGTTGATGGGTGCAGCAAACCACCATGGCATGTGTATACCTATGTAACAAAACTGCATGTTCTGCACATGTAACCCAGAACTTAAAGTATAATAATAATAATAATAAAAGAACAGGTCATTCTTCAGGTAGAAGAGGAAAGATAAATCCCTAAAGAAACTGGATTTAAATTCTGACTCAGCTCCTTAGTGGCTGCTAGACGTTGGAGTTTTGGGAAGATAGGCTAAGTGAATACATGTAAAATGCTTAGAATGGTGCCTAGTATATTGTATGCTCTCAATGAATGTTAGTTATTCTGTCTGGACAACAGTAAAAATAGCCAAAGAGCTCATGGAGCCTGGATGTACAAATGTGAGGTTAACGAAAAATATACTATAAAATCGATGTGATAAATTATAGAGAATTGCAGTGAGAGGTGTAGAAGACGTGCATGTCTGTGGTGAGAGCAGGGCCTGGGGTTGGGGGTTGAATCACAGCATATGGTAGGAGCATGGCTCATGGTTCACTAGTCACAGTGGACTTTGTTCATCTTCCCCCTTGCCTCTACCGAGTTGTAGAGCAAGATCTTAGATCAGAGAATGAAAGCTGAAGTCGTAAGCATTTGAGTCATGCAGTGGGCTGAGCTCCCTGTCACTGAAAGGATTCAAGCAGAGTTGTGGTGACCAGTGGTCAGGGAAGTTACAGAGAGGCTTGTTGTGCAGTGTGAAAGTTTGAGTTGAGTAACTTGCTAAGACTTTCGTCATGTTCCAAGATTCCTCAACCTTGAACCAAGAATAAGGACACCTGGGGAGGGGGCCGGGCAGCTGAGCCCATGGCTCCCCAGCCTCCTCTGTCTATCTGGTGCATTTGGGAAGGGATCATGTGACACAAAATTTGGGGCAGCGGATGAACGGAGAGCGGGTTCTGGGCTGAGATCTTGGAGATGGGGAGTGGGAGCTTGGGCATAGCCTTCGAGGCACAGTCCCACAGGTGAACAGATGCAGTAGCAGGTGAGGCCATTGGCGGCTGCAGCTCTCTTGGCTGGGCTCACTCAGCTACACAGCCTACGCTTTCTGCAAGGTGTTGCCATGGTAACCTTTTCCTCTCGCTTCTGCAGTCCACCAGTACTTCTCGACTTGGTTAACAAGGCATCTCTTCCTGTTTGGTTTCATCTCGTCTTGTCTTTTTTCTTGCTCTCTCCATTTCTCTTGGTCTCTTTCACTCACTCCTTTGCAGCTCTCTCTGTACCTCTCTTTTTGGGCCTGTACTCCTCTTTGTCTTCTGTTTCAGGTGATCTGCCCCTCTTCCATCTATCCAAGGCTGGAGTGAGGTCCCCCAGCCTCTCTCTCACTTCTAAGCATCAGCAGCTCCTTGAAGAATTCTCTCAGGCTCTCTTGGACCCAGGGCTGCCACGTGCAGCCCCAGTGCAGCATTTCCTGGGTGGTTGGTACCAGGAATTGGAAGAGCTCTTCTGGGGCCCTGTCTTCTTTCTTTGTATGGAGACCCATGTGGGTAGATGCCACCCTGGGGTCCTTCCCTCTCTTTGGAAAACGAGATCTGGGTGAAGTTCTCCTCTAGGCTTGGTTTAGGTTGACTTACACAGTGGAAGCCCATTAGCCTACAGTGCTAAATAAACTCAGCCACTGGTCTGTTGCTAGGGCCCCACCATACATTCAGGATGGAAGTGACCAGTCTAGATGCTTCCGTGAGATTTATTATGGAACACAAGCCTCTCCTTGAGGCCACCCTTCTCAGTGCCTCTGTGACAATCCTTCAGCCCCTCATCCAGCCTGCTTGATTAGAGTTATTAACCACTTAGTGTCAAACTGTAGTCGCTTCTTCTGTGTGTCTCAGCCAGGGAGTAAAGAAGATTTGCCATCTTCATTTTCTTTTCCTCAGAACCTTATGTTCCAGTACTACTCAACTTGAGGATTCTTAATGGTGCTGCTCTTCCCTTTGCTGCCGTAGACCTGTCTCAGGCTGGACAAGAACAGTAGGATGAGGGTAGAGACTCTGTACTGGTATCTGACAGGATCCTATGATCTGACCAAGACTTCAGAGCCTGTCTTTGCTAGTTATGGGATTAAGCAGCCCCTGTAGCTCACCAATTTATAGGACTGGGCCAGTGGAGGAAAGCATTTGCGGGTGGAACTTTAACAACAAAGCAAGGGAACAGGAAGGGCTACAACTGGAATGTAATTGAAACAGCTCTCCCAGAACTAATGAGCTGCCCTGGCTTCTCTGCTGGCCTGCTATGAGGGAGTAATAGGGCTCCAGAAGCTTGTTTAAAATGCTGTATGCAGAGGGCTACACAAAGCAGGTTTTGATCGTATATTTCAACCTGCAGAACAGGACATTTCAACTCAGAAACTGTATTTTAAAAGTCAGGAGATTTCTAGGAAGGGGCTACAGAAGTTCTGTTTTCCATGCCTCTACTTTGGATCCCCATTTAATATCCTCGCAAAGTCAGGGACATTTCAGTGTTGCTTTCCCCTGGGTACATTGAGGCAGACAAACACATTGTCTTTCCCTGGAGGAAACTCTTCAGTACCATACATTTAACACAGCGATGTGCCCTGTTTTCTAAGCACAGTGTCTTCTTAGAACCAATTGGCAGTTCTTTTCTTTATTCTATAGAGTGCTTAACAAAAGTTAAATCCAGTTTCCAAGGGTAGCAAGACCCCCGGGGCACAACTGGAGAGGTCTGGAGGGGAAGGGAGTCGTCTGCTATGACTATCAAAGGGCCTTGATTCCTATTTTTCTCCCTTTAAGAAAAAAAATTTGCACCCTTAATCTTAAAATATGAAGTTTCAATATTTGGGAATTTTTTAATTGAATAGAATTGTTGGCTGACAATTGGGTAGCAGATCTTCCAAGGCTGCAGCGATGCCTGTGTAGACTCCGTGAAGTGGCTGCTCACTCCTTCCTTATTTGGGCTCTCACCATGATGACCCCTGGCCTGTCATCCTTAGCACATTGACCTTGACCGTTTTGTGGAAAGGAGACTACCCGAGCACCCGATAAAAACCACACACTATTGGGTTATTGGCATTTGGGGCGGGCCAGTTCTTTATGGGGTAGCCATGTCTTGTATATTGCAGCATGCTTAGCACTGCTGGTCCGCAGCCCCTAAGTGCCTGTAGTACCCCCCGTCAATGTGTGCATGGGGCAGAAATGCCCCAGACACTTCTGATGGTCGCTAGAGGGCTGTCTACAAGGGAGCAGATAGGGTAGGGCAGGATGGGTCTCTCACAAGGACACTGGACCCAAGGAGTTTGAATTCCAGCTGAGATTCTGCTGTGGAGTAGACAGCCTGGGGCCAGGCTGGGTCTGTGTAGAGGAAGGGGTACCTTTGCAGTGTGCACTGGGAGGCTCTGTGGGTTCGCTCTGCCCCTGGCCATCACCCCTGGCTACAGACTGTTGCTGGAGACCCTTTCCCCAGCAAAGCACACCAATGCGGGTTCACAGGCATTTAACATTCGACTTCCTACTGCTTCTGGGCTGGCCCAGTGCAGTGCCTGGCATGAAGCAGGTGCTCAGGGCATGTCTGTTGACTGAGTGAAATGAATGAAGCCTACCTGTGGTTTTGTCAGGGTCCAAAGATCCTTGGTGATGAAAACTCTTGCTCGGTTCCCAGAGGCACGCACTTCCCTTTGTTTGTATCACCTCTATCTAGAAGCCTTTTCAATCTTGCTCTAATGCTTGAGGTACGGCCAGGGAGGTTCAGGCTGTGAGAGTCTATTGACGTAGACTCAAAGCAGGAGAGTGAAGGAGAGAATCAACTATCAGGGCCCTGGGAACCTGGAAATTCAATTTTTTTTTCCTTCAAAGCCACAGCCTACACTTCCTGGTTGTAAGATTTCAGTCTCCACTTTTTCCCACCCACTGCTCTGTTTTCTTCCATTCAAATTCTCATGTCTTCCTTACCTTCTTAATATGACATTTTGGAATTATTTTCTCTTTTCAGAGCTTGGACTAAATGAAGAATTCCTGATGGTCCCTTTGTTTTCTTGTTTGCTGGCAGGTGGGATAGAATCAGGATTGGTACTACCAGGATTCATGGTTTTCTTTCCTCTTTCTTTGGTACAGAACTTACGTGTTCTTTTTTTCATTAGTTCATTTGTTCATTCATACTTCATGGAGCCAACTGCTCTCCTTGGCTGAATCCAATTAGTGAACTTGGTCTCTGCCTTCACTAAGCCCAGGAAGAGACAGACATGTAAAACCAACAATTACACAGTAATTACAAATAGTCATCCTGCTATTTTGGATACTTGTTTTCTTTTATAGTGTCCAGAGGGTGGTTACAGTTGTCTAGAAAAGAATCCAATCGTTAGGCCTGGGATCCTCCTCTTTGTAGGAATTTTATCTTTTTTTTTGGAGCAATCAGTGTTATTTGAGCACATCAAATTCAGCCTTATTGAGAGTGAGATGGTTTCTTCCTTTATTAACCCTTTATTAACCCATGTACTTTGGACTGTGCTATATGGCTCAGGATGATACTACAAATGTTCCCTTTTCATGAATATTTCCTGTGTGTGTGACCTTGACTGTTGAATGTGGGCTTTCCAGTGTGTGTGTGTGTAGTGTGTGTGTGTATGTGTGTGTGTGTGTATACATTTCCTTCTCAATAGAACTGATTATTTTTGCATGTAAGAGATGAAATCACCTATTGATTTCACAAACCATCTGAGCCCTGTGCTCTTTTTTCCTGAAATTCTATGGGAAAATGAAAGGTAATTATGCATTGGAAGCACACACTAATAACATGCTTGTGGGTGGGGAGGCGTGATTGCAACATGGAATTGGCATTCCTGCTGGTCCTTGTCTTTGAATTTTCGCTACTGAAATATTTGAGATACTCCAGGTAAGCCTTATAATCACCGGGAGTTTTTTGTTTTAAAGCAGCATCAGTGTTTCTGAAACTCATGGGATGGCCTTCCATTCTACTGAACATTGGCAAGGTCCTTTTTAGAATATGTGTTGAATTTCATATACCTGAAGGCACAACAACAGGCTTGGAAATGCTTCAGTGAACACTGGTTCAAATCCAGGGCTGGGACTGGGCGCAGTGACTCATGCCTGTAATCCCAGCACTTTGGGAGGCCAAGGTGCGTGGATCACTTGAGAGGAGGAATTCAAGAGCAGCCTGGCCAACATGGCGAAACCCCATTTTTTTTTTATCTCTACCAAAAATAAAAATAAAAGTTAGCTGGGCATGGTGGTGTGCGCCTGTAGTCCCACCTACTCGGGAGGCTGAGGCAGGAGAACTGCTTGCACCCAGGAGGTGGAGGTTGCTGTGAGCTAAGATCACACCACTGCACTCCAGCCTGGGCGACAGAGGGAGACTCTGTCTCAGTAAATAAATAAAACAAATCCAGGACTGGGCAACCGGACATTGTCATCTGTAAGAGGCATTTTCTTTCACAGCTCTGTGTCTGGTGCTGTTCAAATCAGGGTAGTGGTCTCTTTTATTCAGTAATTCCCGTGCAAGGTCACGTGGGGCATTTATCTGTGAACAGAAGACTTTGAGTCTGCTTCTCACCTCAGCTTGATCCCCAGGTGTCCCCCTGGGGTCAGGAGCAGAAAGGGCCACTAAGGCCTACCAGTGCCTGTGAGCTCCATTCTGAGGTGCTCGGGAATCCCTTTTTGGGGTCAAAGATAACAACTAATTAAAACGTAATAAAGCTGGTATGTGAACAAACACGGCAGAACTCATCTGGCAAACGAGATTGGGCTCCCTGGAAATGGTCAACTTGGAATGATGGCATTATTCAAAAGACTTATGGAAGTCTCTTAGAAGGCTTCTCAGGGCTGGTTTATAATCAAGTTTAAAAACAAAGGCAATCTTATGTTTTTCTGGATGGACATCATTTTAGCAACAACAGCAACATCCCCAGAAAAAATATCTTCCCCCAAAACATTCAAAGCAATTACTCCGAAGTCAGAGGAGCCTCCAGTCATTTTTCCCTGAGGGGCAAAAAGGACTTCACAAGACAAACACAATCCCTGATATTGCATTTTCAGACATTTTCTCATGTCCATTTGGCCTTTGTGGCTTTAGCTGACTTTCTTTTGGTCTCTGGAGCCAACAAGGTTAGGTGAGAGGCTACAGTAAGAATGCAGTGAGAAGAGAGATGAGAACAAACTCACTCTCTACATATTTGTCATTCAAAGCATGGCTGGTTAAAAGGAAATTATGATTTGATTTTTTAAAATTTCATTGTTAATACTTTCACTGTTAGATGGCTCACAAAGATGATGGAATTTACTCAAAAGTTGAAGAAGCATTTATATGGAACCAATTGAGCTCTATGTCTCCTTCCCAGGAAAGATGAGGATTTAAAAGCCTGAGGGCTCACATGGGACCCCAGGCATATTCCTTGCATTAGATTGTGTATTGCTAAGAGTTTAAGCATTGATTTCAGTTGTCTGGGTGGAACAGGCTGCTTAAGTCAGCTTTGCCTCACAGCAAGGAAACCTCAAATCTCAGTGGTTTGCCATCCTGAAGGTTTATTTTGCTTCCAAATAACATGCAGGCTGCAGGTTGGCTGTATCTCTGTCACATTGTTTTCTCCTTCTGGATTCCAGGCTGAAACAGCAGCCCCTGTGGCCATGTGCAATGTCATGGTGGAGGGGAAGAATTAGAGAATTGGTGGAAACTCATGACGTCCTTGAAGAATTCTGCTTGGATGTGGAGTGTTCACATCCATTCACATTCTGTTGCTTAACAAATCATATGGCAAAGTCTGACATTGTACAGGGAAGTATGCTTGGCCAATAGGCAGGTACTGCAATTCCAGGTGGGGACATAAACATCTACTAAGGGGAGGGAGACATGAATAATTGTGAATAGAGTAGGCCTTCTGCATCCGTGGTGAGGAACACACAGATATGAAGAGCTGGCTCAAGGGACTTGATCAGCAGATCTTGGTATCTGTGGGAGGGAGGAGGTATCCCTACGGATACCAAGGGATGACTGTATAATACAGTCTGCTACAGTCTTCCCTCCTGGTCATAAATAATCATCTTATATATCATTTTGTATATTTATATACGACATAAATTCATTTCTGACTCATGGAAGATACCTAAAAATTCGCATGTAATCATGGAATCAGGTGTGAATTTCAGGATCTCATGAGATTCTATCAGCAGGTCTGGATTTAGTTGCTGTTCATCTAGAGAGCTGTGAACCAAAATAAGTGACCTGGTCCACATGTCCGTCGTGGAAGAACAGGAATAGGCCAACCCCAGTGAGCACTTGTATTTCAAAAGAGAAAGAAGCGCATCCACATGGCCATCCTGAAATTCCACTGGACAGCATGAGAGGCCCACCTGCCTTGGGATAGGGAATTCTCCTCAAATGAGAAGCTCTCAAATCCATTGTTCTCTATGGCTTTTTTTTTTTTTTTTTTTTGAAATGGAGTCTCACTCTGTCACCCAGGCTGGAGTGCAGTGGCACAATCTCGGCTCACTGCAACCTCTGACTCCCAGGTTCAAGTGTTTCTCTGGCCTCAGCCTCCCGAGCAGCTGGGACTACAGGTGCACGCCACCATGCCTGGCTAATTTTTGTATTTGTAGTAGAGACGGGGTTTCACTATGTTGGCCAGGCTGGTCTCGAACTCCTGACCTCGTGATCCACCCGCCTTGGCCTCCCAAGGTGCTGGGATTACAGGTGTGAGCCACCGTGCCTGGCCTCTCTCTGACTTTTGACTTCTCCCTCTGGGAGATTTTTCCTTTTTGATCATCCTGTTCGGACACACCTGAAAAAGTATTAGAGAATATATCTTCATTGGGGACTTGGTAGCTTTCTCAGGCTACTTCCTGCTTATAGCAATTTGGGGTGCCAAAAGTTGTTTTAGGTCCCCTGTGGTCACAGTCTCTTTTAGACCAGGCTGGTGTCTCTTTTGGGGATATCATTCATGCTAAACAATGATCAATTTTTATTTCCATTTGATTTTAGTTACTCCCTGGGCCAGTAGCCACACCTACACCTCTTTTGAGGTAACTATTTACCAGACATATCTCTCCTTCTGGATTTAATTACAGGCCACTTTGAGCTTATCAGGTTTCTGTGAGACCATGTCACTAATCACTTTTCCTGTAGCAATTTTGCTCAACTAAAAGGATTTACTAGGGTTAGGGTAGGGCGAGGTGGGGGTGTCTTAATTCCTTTAGAGACTTTAACGTGCCCTTAGTTTTGTCTGTGTCCTGAGGCTAGGTCTTAATCATCTTTCCTTAAAAAAAAAAAAAAAATTTTTTTTTTTTTTTTTGAGACGGGGTCTCACTCTGTCACCCATGCTGGAGTGCAGTGGTGCCATTTGGCTCACTGCAGCCTTGATAGCCCGGGCTCAAGTGATCCTCCCACCTCAGCTTCCCTAGTACCTGGGATTACAGGCACACGCCACTGTGCCTGGGTAATTTTTAAAAATTTGTTGTAGCGACAAGTCTTCGCCATATTGTTTGGGCTGGTCTTGAACTCCTGGGCTCAAAAGATCAGCCCGCCTCAGCCTCCCAGAGTGTTGGGATTATAGGTGTGAGCCACTGCGTCTGGCCCATTTTTTTTCTTTATTTATAGGAGATGAGAAATCATTGTATCTTGCAATTGTTAAGTCCCAAATTTCCTAATTTTCTTTTTTTCCCGCCTCAATCCTATTGGAAAACCAGCTAACTCTTTTCTGAGCTCGTCTCTTTATTGTAGTACTTCGTCAAATGGACCTAATAGTAACCAAATCCCCCTAGCAATGTTCTGTTTTGCGACCTTGTCACCTAAAGCTACACATTCGTTCATTGCAACTCCTGCCTTCGAAGTGATCACAGGGGCAGTTTTACTAAATGTGTTACTGCTGGATCACGGGTCACTATTTCTCTATCCTGTAGTGACAGTTTCCATACCTTTCACTGCCCAGCTCCAAAGCTTATGCCTTGTATTTTATCTGTTATGGCATATCCCACTTCTGGTACTAATTTTTTGCATGCAATCCCACATCTCAGTGGCTCTTTGTATATATGCAGGCTGCAGGCCATGGTTCTGCTTCATATGCATTGTAATTCTGAGACTCAGGGCCAGTCCACATTGGCCATACCTGTTTATGATACTCCTTAAAACTCCTGCTTGGATGTAGTGAGCTTCACATCCACTGGGTCCTATTGGCCCATGCAACTCACATGTCCAACCCTGACCATGGGGCAGGGTGGTCCATAGCCCCACACAGTGTATGACATTGTGCAGGGATGTATAAGTCTTACAGCAAAGGGGAGGATTGAGTAATTGTAAACAGCTATTACAATCTACCACTAGGCTTGTTCAGTGTTAGATAGAAAATGACAAGAAAGAGCTGACTGATAAGATAAAATCACACCCAAATCACCATACAAAGCAAAATTGGGGAGAGTGTGGGGAGAGGGGGTTTCGTATTTTCTGTGTGTTTTTTTTTTTTTTTTTTTTTTTTTTTTTTGAGAAGGAGTCCCACTCTATCACCCAGGCTGGTGGCGCACTCTCAGCTCACTGCAACCTCCGCCTCCCGGGTTCAAGGAATTCTCGTGCCTCAGCCTCCCGAGTAGCGGGGACTACAGGTGTGCACCACCACACCTGGATAATTTTTGTGTTTTTAATAGATATGGGGTTTTGCCATGTTGGCCAGGCTGGTCTCAAACTCTTGACCTTAAGTGATCTGGCCACCTCAGCCTCCCAAAGTGCTGGGATTATAGGCATGAGCCACCATGCCTGACCAGGGTTTAGTGTTTTCTTGGGGTGATTTCTTTCTGGTTCTCTCCTGGCAGTAGTTCTACTCATTGAGCTCCTTAAAAGCTCCTTAGGGAAGTGGCAGCATATCCTGTTTGTGAAGACATCCAGTGAAATGGTTATTTTTATTCCTCGAGGCCTCTTTCTTCTCACCCTGTAGCATGTGCACACATGTGCTTATGCACACATCTCAACCCCAACCTTCCAGGACCTGCTTTCGTCAATCCTTTGATAATAGGGATGTGTTTTAACATTGACAAGGAATCATGCACCTTTTGTTCCTAAGTTCCCCTTTCAACACAGAGCACTATATGTTCTGGATCATTAACTTCCACTTAAGTAGTTTATTGAAGTGAGAGGGAGCTATAAAGTAGGTGAAAGAGCAGAGGCTCCTTAGAATAATAAATGTGAAACTGTCTTCGGGAGATTTGGAAGTTTGTTTGAAGGATTGCTCCAGACACAAGCTGGGTGCTTCTGTGATCATTTGATACCCAACTCTCATTACCTGTCTGTAGCTTGATTGTTTAGAGGTTCTTGTTCTGTACTTCGTTATAAGGTCTGCCGATGTGGGAGCCATATCTTTGCTGGGAGGTGGTGTGCTGGTGTGGAGGCTTTCAGACAGACCTAGGTTGGAACTCACCTTGGAATTCTGGCTTTGTCTTCATTTGTAATTATAATTGAATAATAACATTTTTCACACTAGGACTCAGATAACATATGTAAAGGGACTAGCAACAGAGCTTGACATATACTGTTATTTGTAGCTTCTAAGCCTCACATCGTTTTGCATTTTTAGCATCTCTGAAATTAGCATTTGCCTTACAACCAATGGCATGTCATAGCGGAACTGACATGCTGCATAAAATAACGCTGTGTCTTGGAATTGTTGGTGTCTTAGAATTTGGTGAGATATGGTAATAGGCACTTAATAAATGGATATAAGTGGAAATAAAAGGAATTAGGGCATTCTTGTGTAAGTTAGCGTTCCTCTAACATTTCGATCAGGGGCTATTTTGAGAAGCTGGTGAAAGTTATGGATCTTTATTCCAGCAATATGCATATTCCTGCAAAATTCTGCATATGATTTCAGCATTTCATAGAATGTCCTCAGGCTCTTCCTTAGGCCCAGTCTCTTGGGAGAAGGCACAGATGTCATGCATTCTTCATACTATAATTATTCTTTGCTTTTCTTTTTCTTTTTCTCCTCTCCACTCTGATCTGCTCACTGAGGCATGCTTTAGGTTGTAGCTGTTTTCATTTTCTAGGAAATATAATAGTCTTTCTGTGACAAGTGTTCACCCTACTAGTCCCATTCACTTTCCTTGCCCTCACTGTCTTCTGATTCAGTATCACCAGTTGATCCCCCCGTGGAAGAACTCTCGCCTTCGGTGTCACACTCTCCAAATCCTGACCCTAAGTGCAGCATCAGCAGCAGGTTCTCGTGAAGCATAGTCCTATGGTTTGTTAAGCCAGGTCATGGGAAGGAGCAAGATGCTGGGCTTGTGTTCTTACTTTTTCATTCATTTCATGCAGTTACCAAATTCTTAAGTGTTTCCTGGCACATTCTAGGCACTGCACATTACTGTAGTAGCCAGCCTATCAACCAACCAACCGAACAAACAAATGCAAGAATAAGAACAAGAAATGAAAGTCCCCTCTCATAGAGAGCCGACATTCCAGTGGAGGAGACAGAGAATGAGTTCTAAATGAGCAAAATACATAGTGCGTTAGATGGTGTTGACTGCTAAGGAGAAAGAAACAGCAGATAAGGGGGTAAGACGTATGCATGTGTGTATGGGGTGTAGATGTTGTAGAGGGGGTGGGAAGTGTGCATGTTTGTATGGGGTGTAGTTATAGATAGGGTGGGAAGTGTGCATGTGTGTATGGGGTGTAGGTGTTGTAGAGGGGGTGGGAAGTATGCGTGTGTGTATGGGGTGTAGTTGTAGAGGGGGTGGGAAGTGTGTGTATGGGGTGTAGGTGTTGTAAGGGGGTGAGAAGTGTGTTTGTGTATAGGGTGTACATGGTGTAAGGGGGTAGGAGGTGTGTGTGTGTGTATGGGGTGTAGTTGTAGAGGGGGTGGGAAGAGGGTGTGTGTGTATGGGGTTTAAGTGTTGTAAATTTAGGGAGCATGGTTAGGGAACATCTGAGAAGGTGGCATTTCTATAAGGACCTGAAGCAGGTGAAGGACCAAACCAGGCAGATATTTGGGGAGAAGAGCATTCCAGGTGGAAGGCCCAGCAGGTGTCACTGCCTGGAGGTGGGGCAGAGCTGGCATGTTCAAGAAGAGTCAGAAAGAGGGGTTGCCCAAGCAGAGAATGGTAGAAGAGGAAGGGGGAAATAAAATGGTAGCCAGCTTGCACAAGCCTTCAGAAGTCCTAGTAAGATCCTGGCTTTTGTGCTGAGGCTTCCCGTTTGAACGTGACCTGACTTCAGTTTAAAGAGGATCACCCTGGCTGTTGTGTTGGGATAGATTGCAGCAGGGAGGACATTTTCCCTTATCCCCCTGTTGAATTTCCACTTATGTCTAAAGTGGTTCTGGCCGTGTTTGGTGGACAGAGAAATCATAAATTTATTAAATGTTTAGCGAAAGCACAAAAAGAGGAGCCCTTTTGAAAACGGCCACACCAGCCGAATCTATTGAAACTGCAGTTTCTCCCAAAAGAGAAAGCAACCCAAGCTCTAGCTGGCAGTCCATTGATCTCAAACATCATTCAGGCAATGAATTTCCGCAGTAATAAAGGCATTCGAAGAAGTCCTTGAAATTCATTGTGACCACGTTTGTGCTTGTCCACCCGGCTCTCCGAAAGTGAATTCCAGCCAGAGCCTGTGGTCCTAGCAGGGCACTGGGGTTAACCAGAGCATCAGAGATGCAGCTGTGGTGGCCGTGCTGCCCGACCACCCTGGCAGCTCTGTCTCCACCCCACGCGGGGTCATCATCACAGGCAGAGGGTTCTGGCTTCTCTTCCCTTGGGTTTCCTTCTTTTTTTCTTTTTTTTTTTTTTTTGACGGACTCTCCCTCTGTCGCCCAGTCTGGAGTGCGGTGGCACGATCTCGGCTCACTGCAAGCTCCACCTCCCGGGTTCTCGCCATTCTCCTGCCTCAGCCCCCCGAGTAGCTGGGACTACAGGCGCCCGCCACCACGCCCGGTTCCCTTGGGTTTTCAATTCCTCACCTTCTCTTTACTTCTGGGAAGCAGATCAATTTCTCAGCTCCCCACATGCTAGGTATCATCAAAAGCCCCTCTACGCTATTCATCGTTGTTGCTGTGGTCCAAGTTCTCTCCCTTTCTCTTCCCTGTCTCTTTCTTCACCTTTATGATCATGGTAAAGTGGTTTGCTTGGTTATTTCTGTTTTTTTGTTTTTCCAAATGGCTTACCCATTTCCTATTCTATAGCTTTATTATTATTATTATTATCAGCAAGAGTGGGCAGAGACTGTCTTTCGGCACACTCTTCTATGCCCCAACTTTTCAAGATCATGCTGTGGCACATTAACAAATGTATAACCATGCTCCAGAATGAATCACGTGGAGAGGCAAATTTTATTAAACCAGGTTTGGAGGTCCGAATTGGGTTATGAGCGTGATTTATTTTTATTTTATTTTATTTTTTGAGACAGAGTCTCACTGGGTCACCCAGGCTGGAGTGCAGTGGTGCAATCTTGGCTCACTGCAACCTCAGCCTCCCCTGTTCAAGCAGTTCTCCTGCCTCAGCCTCCTGAGTAGTTGGGATTATGGGTACATACCACCACGCCCAGCTAATTTTTGTATTTTTAGTAGAGATGGGGTTTCACCATGTTGGCCAGGCTGATCTCAAACTCCTGACCTCAAGTGATCTACCCACCTCAACCCCCAAAGTGCTGGGATTACAAGCTTGAGCCACTGTGCCCAGCCTCGAGCATGATTTATAAGGCTGGCCGGGGGCCCTTCTTTCTTTGGGTTTGAGGTGCTCCGCAGGCTGACTGTTGCTGGATTATAAATGTGTTTTATAACAGTTATTTGTCATCTGTGCAGCACAAGCCAAAGGCAGAGTTTTGGGAAAGCTGGGGCCAGTTGAGAGGGACATTCTTTCCTTCCTTTTACCCTTCTTCTGATGCTGGTTGTAATAGACTCACTTTCCTCCCAACATTTCCTGAGAGCACTGTCTTGCGCCAGGGCTCTGGCTGAGACTGGGTGGGTGCAAGGTGTGAATCAGGGACATTAGGAGTTTAAGTGGACCTTGGAAATCATCATCCAGTTCAGTGCTCTTTTCTTTTTTCTTTTTTGGAGATGGAGTTTCACGCTTGTCGCCCAGGCTGGAGTGCAATGGTGCGATCTTGGCTCACTGCAACCTCCACCTCCCGGGTTCAAGCGATTCTCCTGCCTCAGACTCCTGAGTAGTTGGGATTACAGGCATGTGCCACCACTCCTGGCTAATTTTTATATTTTTGGTAGAGACAAGGTTTCATCATGTTGGCCTGGCTGGTCTCGGACTCCTGACCTCAGGAGATCCACCCGCCTCGGCCTCCCAAAGTGCTGGGATTACAGGCGTGAGCCACCACGCCTAGCCAGCTCAGTGCTCTTACATTACAGGTAAGGACAATGAGTCCTGTAGAGGAGAGATAATAAGCACCAGATGGCCCACGAATCTCGTAAGTTCAGCTCGTTAGGTTGCACCCTGGTCTTTTTGTTCTGCCCCTGGCAGGTAACAGTGCCGATGAGGTGAGGTCTTTGGATCCCATTAGTTTCATTCTGTTCCTTGGCCACCTATAGCACCTAACCCCTCACCTCATCAGAGACCTTCCTGCTGTAGGTAGCTGGTGGTCACAGAGGAGATGGAGTCTGTTCAGATGAATCAGCTCAAGAATGTCTTCTGGAGAAAACAACGCAGCTCCTTCACTCATTAATCCTGACCTACTGATAATAACTCAGTTGGACACTTAGCATGTTAGATATTTACATCACAGTGGTTCCTGCCCACTTTTATTTTGTACACAGCCCAATAAAGAGCAGCCAGTGGATTTCCATGACGTCCACATGTCACAAGGGCCCTAGTTAAATTGTCAGGCAAATGAAATTTTTTTCTTGGAATGTCTCCTCCCTCCTCTTGTCCATCTTTTTCCATTTCTAGACATTTCAGTGTCTTGCATGCTGCTTGCTGGCTGTGTATATCTCCCCTGTTAGCTGCTCTGTTGAGAAGTGGTCATGCTCTTTGTCCCTCACATGCTCCAGGTGTTCCCAAATCCCCCCTCACTTCTTCCCTCTAGTGATTTTCCCCAACTCGCAGTTTCCTCCCAACTCCATTTAGGTAGGAGCATTTTGCCGCGAGATAAATCCCAGAGAGCAGGGATCCAGCCTTCCTTGCCTTTGAATCCACAGCCCAGACACAGTGCTTGGCGCCTGACAGATGCTTAGCAAATGCTGGGAAAGCAGAATGATTTCAGGGCCCAACCCCGGAAGTGGAGAAGAGAGAAGTGGAGAAGAGAGTGTGTGTTAACCACGTGTGTGCATCTTGAGTTGGCAGGTGATGGGAAACAGCTGTGTTTGTTATGAACTGGCATTGGTATCTCAATGGAATGTGGACCTATTCTTCCCCCGCTGGGTGTCCTTTTACCAAGCGGTGGACCACTTCCTATCTGGTCACTGAAGATAGAGTGGTCATCCCCCAGTAAATCATGACGTTTGTACTGGTCCATTCCTTTCTGTTACCCTCTCCAACTTCCTTTTAATTTGCAAATGTTTTCAGAAGTGTATGAATTGCATCACAGTCTTAATTAAAGTCTCCCTATGTGTGTGGAACGTGTGGGTATTCCTAGCTTGAGCTTGAGTCTGCTAGAGGGATTCAGCCCTGTCTGGGCATGTTTGGTCAATGAGTTGGGTGGGCTTGCCATGAATTGAGGTGCGGAGGGAGATGGGGAAGCCTTTTGGGAGAGTCCTTGCCTGGTAAAGAGGAATAGGGTATATATGGACCCAGGAATGTGGCTTCAGTGGCCAGAGGAAGGCTGGGATGTATCTCTCGAACTTGGCCACTGGTGCAGTTTTGACTGTTGGGTTCCTGCCCAAGTACTAAGGCCAGGATGGTTGGGGGGCAGGGGAAGAGAGGGTTTGTGAAACAGAAGGAGGATGTAGGCCTGGTGGTCCTACAGTGACATCCTGGAAAAGTGGCAGCAGTGCCCAGCTGCTGCCATGGTAACAGCTGGGTGTGGCTGCCTCCCATTCAGAAGAGGACCATAATAGACATGGAAGGGACCGCGTGCAATGGACTTTGATGAACTCCTGGGACTGGCCCTGAGGACTCCCAGCTGTGCTCATTGGAGGAACCGTGTAAGAGCCTGCCCGAGCCAGTGTGGCAAGAGTTAGGGCTGTATGGTTTCATTTATGCTTAAGGTGATCAAATAGTGGTTTAAGGTCTCTTTTTTCCCTCTTGACAGAAGGTTTCAAGTTTGTGTGTTTGTGTGTACAGATATATGTGTGTGCATGTGTAACGTGCCTGTGTGTGCGCGCATTTCACTGCTGTGAGGGCAGCTCACAATGTCGTGTCTTGGAGGTGAATGCAGTGCTGAGATTAATGGAGTGCTCAAATGCAGTGAACTCCAGCATTTGCTCATTAATTGAGCAGAAGTTCTCTTTGTTCCAAAAGATGGAGCAGCTCCACACACAATCCCTTCTTGTAAAACAAAAGGCCAGATCTCCTTTGTGTACTCGAGTATTACTGGGTACGGCCAGACGTGTGGATGTGTGTTTCAGTAGATGGCACCAGACTTTGGCATATGGTTGTGTGGGTGTAGGTGGCTGGTTTCTATTTACATGAAAAGAAAGCGAAGGTTCCCTAAAAATGTCTACTTAGCAGACTTTTGAAAAAATGGATTCGGGGACATTTCACTTCATAGCAGTCACAAAGGTGTGAATATAGGAGCTACTGGATGTGAGCTGCTCCAGGCTGACGAGGCGTGGGACCATCTGGGCCCCTGGTTTGTGGTTATTGTCAGACTGGCTCGGCTTTCGCCCACTGCCAGGATTCCCAAGGTGCTAGCATATGAGCTAAACACCCGATGACAGGTAGCAGGGGAAAGGCTGGAGAAAGGCCAGCACGGTTGGGATTGGGAGTGGGATGTCTCACTTGTATCCACATGATTTTAATTTATGGAGGTGAGGATGTATGAGTTGCATTTCCCAAGAGAAGGGGGCACACTGCCATGTCATGCCAGGCCCACGTTGTACCACACAGGCCACAGGAAAGCACCAGGAAGCAGAAGAGTGAGGGGAAAGCCGGGACTAGAGCCTTTGTTGGGATTTTCTCAGGAAAAGCGAGGCAGGGCAGGGTAACAATTAGGTAAAGCATTAAAACGAGCTAGTTTGAACAATTCTGGTGGGCTACAGGGGTGTCCCTAGTTGACTGGTACCTGGGCCTGGGTGGATGGTGGGCGAGAGAAATAGTGTCCCGGTGTGAGCATTTGATAAGGAGGTGGTTGGCTAGCACAGGAGAGGCATCTTCAGAATAAGCTGTTTCCTCTCTTGAGGAGTTACCTAGCCCTGGGACAGGCAGTCTCCCCCTGGGTCTGTAACATGATTAATACGTGGGGTGGGTATGACAACAGGTTCTCAAGGTTGGGTACAACTGAGATACCCGGGAGGCTCCGGTCAGGACAGCGAACATCCATGAATAAAAAGAAAATCCATTTTTTCCCAATGAAAAACAAAGTGGCCCCAGCCTGTGCCACTAAAGCAGAAACAGGGGAATGACTTGATTGGCAAAAACCAAAATCAAAACCAAAAACCACCGCAAACAAAAGGCACAGATATTCAATTTTATTTATTTATTTATTTATGAGACAGAGTCTGGCTCTGTCGCCCAGGCTGGAGTGCAGTGGTGCCATCTCAGCTCACTGCAACCTCCGCCTCCCGAGTTCAAGTGATTCTCCTGCCTCAGCCTTCCAAGTAACTGGGATTATAGGAGTCTGTCACCACATCTGGCTAATTTTTGTATTTTTAGTAGCCATGTTGGCCAGGCTGGTCTTGAACCCCTGACCTCAGGTGATCTGCCCACCTCGACCTCCCAAAGTGCTGGGAATGCAGACGTGAGCCACTGCACCCGGCCTATTCAACGTTTTATACAACTGTCCCTCAGTACCTATGGGGTATTAGTTCCAGGACCCTGTGGATACCGAAATCTGCAGATGCACCAGTCCTTGATGGAAAATGGCATCATATTTACATATAACCTATATGCACATCCTCCCATATTCTTTCAGTCATCTCTAGGTTACTTATCATACCTAATACTATATCACTGCTATATAAGTAGTTATATTGTTTCTTATTTGTATTATTTTTATTATTGTATTGTTATTTTGTATTCTTTTTTCTTTTTTTTTTCCCCCGAGATGGAGTCTCGCTCTGTCGTCCAGGCTGGAGTATAGTGGCACGATCTCGTCTCACTGCAAGCTCTGCCTCCCGGGTTCATGCCATTCTTCTGCCTCAGCCTCCCGAGTAGCTGGGACTACAGGTGCCCGCCACCGTGCCTGGCTAACTTTTTGTATTTTTGGTAGAGACAGGGTTTCACCATGTTAGCCAGGATGGTCTTGATCTCCTGATCTCAGGTGATCCACCCACCTCGGCCTCCCAAAGTGCTGGGATTACAGGCGTGAGTCACCACGCATCACCACACCCAGCCTTTTTTTTTCTTTCAATTATTTTAAATTCATGGTAGGTTGAATCTGTGGGTTCCGACTCAGAGGGCCAACTGTATGTGGATTTCTTTTTCTTTGGCAACTGCATATTTTAACTTTCTGATGCTGATATTCAGAATTTTTGACATTTAAAAATTACCGTTGTCAATGGGAACTGGAGATGTTTGAAGAATATAGAACAGAAGATTATTCTGTTGCATGCAGACTGAGATACAGAGTCTATCAGATACCCTGGTTCTCTGATAAAAGAAGTATCTTGATTTCTGGAGAACTAGCAGATAACCCCACCATGCCACAGAGGGTCTTCATGTCAAGTTCATGGTCCGCAACCTCAGAGGAGCCTTGGGCGAGTCCTCAGACCTCTAACATACACTTGCTGTGCTCTCATTTGTTTCCCACGGTGATTAGTCCAAATCTCTACCTCTCTCCCCCTACCCCCTACTTCATCCTTATCCTTTAGGCCTTTCCTTCTCAACAGATGATGTCATCTCTTATTTCACTGAGCAAACTGGGTATCCCAGGAGGAGACTCCATCCACTTCCTGCCCCCTTGCCAAAAATGTATCTTGATTTTTCCTTCCTCTTTACTTCCTGGCTGCCTGCCTTCAAGGAAGTCAGGTCCCTCCCTTTCTCCAGGATTAATTTCTCCAGCTCATTCTTGATTTTGTCCCTGTCTCTCCAGGGAGCTTGCCTCCATGATTAGCTTCATCCTTTGTTCCACTTATGACAGTGTCCGCTGTGTCGACTTCTTTCATTCAGCTTATAAAGATGCCCAAGGCTTCCCATTTAAAAAAATTAAAAAAGGATTTTTTTTTTTGCCCCTACACCCTCCAATTTCTTTCCTCCTGCCCTCTTACCTCCTATCTAACTTTCTCTAGTCTACACCAGTATATAATATGGCATATTATATTCTGGACATTTGGCATTCAGAGTATAAATCAGGACTTTTTAGAAATTGCTGGAAACATCAGGATTGTTTTATTCCTACTTTAATACCCAAGCATATTTAAAAAAGCAGAAATGGTATATATTTTGCTACCGTCCTGACACCACATCTGGGGAAAGCTCTTGGGGTTCAGCTGTCTCTCGAGTCAGCACTCTTGAGCCGATTGCCAATGGAGCAAGAGGGATGGGGAGAAGGTCAAAGAAGGGGGCGCAGCTCAGGGTCTGGGCAAGGAGATGAGCAAGTAGGGCTGGGGTGTAAGATCATGCCAATTGCTGACATTTTGATTCCATCTTCTGCCTTCTCCATGTCAGCTTGTCCTTGGCACAGGCAGGACCAAGTGAGATGCTCTGCTCTGGTCGATGCTTCTGGTCCGGTGTTTCCTCCTCACCCCCGTACCCTCAGGTTCTCCTCCGTCAGCCTACTGAAGTTGCCACCATTAAGGATCCTGTCTTGCACCTTTAATGACCTTGAGCTTGGTGTGGTGGCAGGCTCCCAGCTCTTTGGGAGGCTGAGGTGGGAAAATCACTTGAGCCCAGGAATTCAAGGCTGCAGAAAGCTGTGATCATGCCACTGCACTCCAGCCTGGGTAGCGGCTCAAGACCCCCATCACTTAAAAAAAAAAAAAAAAGATATTGTCCTAAGAATGTAAATAATGTTAACAGCCACTTTCTCTTCTGACTTGGGGCACCACCTTCTCCAGATTCCCCTGTTGCCTTGAGGTCTTCTGTGTGTGGCTTCTGTTGTAATGCCTCCTGCTTGGTGGGGACTGCACTAGGTCCTCTGTAGACATCGTGAAGTTCCAGCTCTCCAGGCTTCTGCAGGGTCCATATCATAGGATTGGACTGGCTAGAGATGAGGAGATTGGGGCTCAGAGAGGCTTACTTAGCTGCTCATTTATTAGCTAGAAAAACCAGAGGTTAAACCCAGGTCTGGCTCTCTTCAAACCTCCTCCTTTTCCTTGGTGTTGGCACGCTCCTTGGGTAACATCTTTCATGCCTGCAGCACCAATGCCCACCAGGAGTGTGCCTGTGCATCCCAAATCCCATCACGTTGCTCAGAACGCCTTCTTGAGCACCAGCCCTGCATTTTCAACTGCTTGTTAGAAATTTCCAAACTGGGCCAGGCTGCAGTGGCTCACGCCTGTAATCCCAGCACTTCGGGAGGCCAAGGCGGGCAGATCACCTGAGGTTGGAAGTTCAAGACCAGCCTGGCCAACATGGTGAAACCCCATCTCTACTAAAAATACAAAAATTAACCGGACATGGTGATGTGTGCCTGTAATTCCAGCTACTCGGGAGGCTGAGGTGGTAGAATTGCTTGAACCCGGGAGGCAGAGGTTGCAGTGAGCTGAGATCACACCATTGTACTCCAGCCTGGGCTCAGAATGGTTGAGGTGGGGTTTGGTTTTGTTTGATGTGCTCAGGGTGGTCTTCACAGAAGAATCAGAATCAGACTGCCTCTCCTAGGAAGGACAGAAGATTGCCTGGGCGAGCGGAAGGAGAACGAGGAGGCTGACAGGAAAAGGGAGGTCGGGAGGGTAAGGGCACTCCAGACAGGACCCAGCAAACTACAGAGATGCAGATGTGAGGGAGACCACGAGATGTGTAAAAAGAGAACGTTTTTGTGTAAAGTTTTTTTTTTTTAAATTATACTTTAAGTTTTAGGGTACATGTGCACAACGTGCAGGTTTGTTATATATGTATACATGTGCCGTGTTGGTGTGCTGCACCCATTAACTCGTCATTTAACATTAGGTATATCTCCTAATGCTATCCTTCCCCCCTTCCTCCACCCCACAACAGGCCCCGGTGTGTGATGTTCCCCTTCCTGTGTCCAAGTGTTCTCATTGTTCAATTCCCACCTATGAGTGTTTTAAAAAACTGGTTCATCTCTAAATCCGTATGGTGGAGGCAGCGATATTATTTTATTTTATGTGTACAGGGAAGGTCTATTTATAAAGGTGTGATTACTCTGTTACTTGTTTTATAAGTGGGTTTTAATATGTATTAAGCAAGAAAAAAGAACCTATACTGAGTTGTGAGTAGAAGTCCCACGGAGGTTCTGGGCAAAGTGTGGTGCTATGGTTGGTATTATTCTGATGCAAAGAACACTCTTTTTTTTTTTTTTTTTTTTTTGAGGTGGAGTCTTGCTCTGTTGCCCAGGCTGGAGTACAGTGGTGTGATCTTGGCTCACTGCAACCTCTGCCTTCTGGGTTCACGTGACTCTCCTGCCTCAGCCTCCTGAGTAGCTGGGATTAAAGGTGCCTGCCATCACGCCCGGCTATTTTTTATATTTTTAGTAGAGATGAGGTTTCACCATGTTGGCCAGGATGGTCTTGAACTCCTGGCCTGAAGTGATCTGCCTGCCTTGGCCTCCCAAAGTATTGGGATTACAGCCATGAGTCACTGTGCCCAGCCTTTTTTTTTTTTTTTTTTTTTGAGACGGAGTCTTGCTCTGTTGCCCAGGATGGGGTGCAGTGACACGATCTCTGCTCACTGCAACTTCCATCTCCCAGGTTCAAGCGATTCTCGCACCTCAGCCTCCTGAGTAGCTGGGATTATAGGCGCATGCCACCACGCCTGGCTAATTTTTGTATTTTTAGTAGAGATGGGGTTTCACAACGTTGGCCACGCTGGTCTCAAACTTCTGACCTCAAGAGATCTGCCTGCCTCAGCCTCCCAAAGTGCTGGGATTACAGGCACGGGCCACCGCACCCGGTTTCTTTTACTTTTTTAAAAAAATAATTTCAACTTTTATTTTAGATTCAGGAGATACATATGCATGTTTGTTATATGAGTATATCATGTGATACTCACTGAGGGGTATGAATGACCCCACCACCCAGATAGGGAGCGTAGTACCCAACAGGTAGTTTTTCAGCCCTTCCCACCTCCCCTCTTCGTAATATCAGCCTTGGCAAACAACTTACGACTAAAAATGTTGTGATAGAATTGAGGAGATCTGGGTTCCAGTCCAACCTTCTGCTGTAACTGCTATAGAAAGTTGAGGAGGCCGGGTGCGGTGGCTCACACCTGTAATCCCAACACTTTGGGAGGCCGAGGTGGGTGGATCATGAGGTGAGGAGATCGAGACCATCCTGGCTAACACGGTGAAACCCCGTCTCTACTAAAAAAATACAAAAAAAAAAAGTAGCCGGGCGTAATGGCGGGCGCCTGGAGTCCCAGCTACTCGGGAGGCTGAAGCAGGAGAATGGCGTGAACGCGGGAAGCGGAGGTTGCAGTGAGCCGAGATCACGCCACTGCACTCCAGCCTGGGCAACAGAGCGAGACTCCGTCTCAAAAAAAAAAAAAGAAAAAAGAAAAAAAAGAAAGAAAGACAGTTGAGCAAACTGGCTCTGCAAGCCTCTGTTTCCTGATTGGTGAGTGAGGACTTTGGCATAAATCAACAATTCTTCACCTTGGCAGATACAGCCCTGTTGGGAACCTGTGGAAGCTGAGGATCCTCTTCCCTAACAAAAAGACACAAATAGACAGTTCTTTTTTTTCCTTAGGATTTTGGACAGTTCCTGAATGTCTGAAGCCCAGCTTAAGAACCCCTGGACCAGTTCTTTCTTCGTAATTTTCCAGTTTGCTTTCTCCAGAGCGTGTTGCATGGAGACCCGTCTGATGGGTGCTAATAATGAGTGGTCAAGTGAGCTTGGAAAATGGGATTCAAGTCAATGTGTTTCTGAAGTGCAAGACCCCTCTAAGGTTAATTTGCTAACAGGCAACGTGACTCTCCCCAGAATCGCATTCTTCATACCTACTGGACCAGTTAGAATTTTCCAGAATGGGTGGGATGCAATGGCTGACGCCTGTAATCTCAACACTTTGGGAGGCCAAGGTGGGAGGATCGCTTGAGCCCAGGAGGTTGAGGCCACAGTGAGCCATAACTGCCCCACTTTACTCCAGCCTCGGTGACAGAACAAGACTCTGACTCCCAAAAAACAACAAAACAAAAAGATTTTTCCAGAATGCACTCTGAGGCAACCTGCTCTTAGGAAACGGTTCTCTGAGATTATTTCTGTTGTCTGAAAGGTATGGTTTTGAGATACCTCTGTTTAGCTTTGGGGTTCCGTTTGAATGTGGATGTTGTTGGTTAATCTTTATATCCTGTGAGATGACCAGGCTTGGCTCCCGTGCCTTGGAGAGGGAGTGGAAACATCCCTGGTCATAGTATAAGATCTGGAACCTTCTCTGGCCAGCATCCTTGTTTGACTGGGGAGATACAGTCATGCGTCAGCGTGGGGCAGTTAAAGGTAATTTCTACCCATCCAATTGGGATTTGCCACCCTGGCAGTTTGGGGTGAAGGCCTCACCCATATAATGACACCATGCTGGGGTCCTTTGCCCTCTGGTATTTGGCATGCACCTAGCATCACCCCTACAGCATGCCCGTCTCCTCCCTTACTGACTGGTGGTCACCCCATGGGCTGTAGACGCTTCCTCAGAATCCTCCTAAAGAAACCCATCCGCCTCGATGGCCTGTGTGACCTGTTTTCATGGAGAACCAGCCTGGCAAGCCGGGGCTCTCTGGACAGTTCTCCTGCCCTTGGCAGAGACGGCACGGTAGTGTCCTGTCGCAAGTCACATAGTGTCTTGGTCAGATGCAGCCGTGTTGTTTTGGCCCCGAAGTGGCCAGCCTGGCCCTGTGTGTGTGGCTAGCAGGTTGCAGCAGCGATTTGAAGGAGGCTGTAAGACTTTACCTACCCCCAAAATCTCTCTCCCAGGATTGCTCCCTGCCACCAAAAGAATACTGATAAAATATTCTTTATCTGAGAAAAAGTGGAGGCCCCCAGCCTCAACCCATTCACACCTGTGGATTTATTAGGCTGGCTGGTTAACATCCCAGGAGGCAGAGAGCACCTGGCCTGGACGCTGGCTAAAGAAGCCTTGGGTTTCAGTGAGGACGGCCACTGAAGGGACGGGCCCTGGATGCCAGAACATAGCCTGATGTCTCACTTGTGGCACATGCAGAATAAAGGGACATTCAGGGAGAAGGAGGAACTAAGGCCTACATCATAGAAGGCTTGGAGTGCTCCCATGAGAAGACAAGAGCCAAGCTGTAAATAAGTGATGTATCTGTCCTCTCCTCTGTGCCCTGCCCCTGCTCACCTCAACACACTCTACCCCTTCCCACGTCCAGGAACGACCTGTCTCCTCCTTCCACTTCTCCCCTACGCCCCGCTTTGGTGACTGCCCCATGCTGTGCACCGCAGTCTGTGGCGTGGGATATGGGTGCAGACTGTTTCCCTGCAGAGTTCTGTGGGTTTCATGTGTCATGTGGTTGTTGGCTTTATCTGCAGTAGGAGGTTCTGCATGGACCCATTTAAGGGGAATGGAACTGGATCACCTGAGTGGAGTGGGATGGAGGTGGGCTGGAGTAAGGAGCAGTTGACTCTGTTTGTTGTTTCTGGGGAGGAAAGCGAGAAAGGATGACTATTTCAGAACTTCTGTGAGGCAGGAAGATCTTTCAGGTTCCCACTTAAGTTCTGCCCGCTCCACATGGGCAGGAGGTCTCATACCATCTTCCTGATTCACTCATTTATTTTTGTTTGTTTGTTTGAGTTGGAGTCTCGCTCCGTCACTCTGTCACGTGGACTGGAGTGCCATGGTGTGATATCGGCTCACTGCAATCTCCGCCTCCTGGGTTCAAGTGATTCTTGTGCCTCAGCCTCCCGAGTAGCTGGGATTATAGGCACGTGCCACTGTGCCTGGCTAATTTTTGTATTTTTAGTAGAGACAGGGTTTCATCATGTTGGCCAGGCTGGTCTCGAACTCCTGAGCTCAAATGATGCGCCCGCCTCGGCCTCCCGAAGTGCAGGTATTACAGTTCTGAGCCCCCGCACCCAGCGCGTGACTCATTCATTTCTGATGGTGTTTTCCTTGTGCTCTCCAGCAGGACAGGAAGAGATATGAGCAGGAGGGACTCGCTGTGTGAAAACACAGGAAATATCTCACTGCTTCCTAAATGCCAGCTCTCTCTTCCCACTTATCTCCTCTGGTGATTGTGGGACTTTAATCAGCCCATTTTCCTTCTTCTGGGATGGTCAGTGCCTTATGCTTTAGTGGAATTGGCTGTTGGAGCCTTCCAGGAAGGAGCAGATGCTTTGATTAGGCAGCCCTGATCTCCGGTGCAAGAGCTGGCCCAGGAGCACTGCTGGCAGGATTTGTGACTTGAAGGGTGGTCTCCATGTTCTCGTACACTTTAACAAGGCAGGTTTCCAGGTGAGTGTAAGCAGGTGGAAGATAAGACACATCATAGTGATCTATGAAGTTTGCTGTCCAGGGAAAGCATCATTTGAAACCTAAGTGTATTTTGATTTTGGGCCTTTAATCGGATTTGTTTAAGGAAATTCTGCCAGTGGATGTTATGCTGATTTGTCCATTAAAGCCCTGTTTCATTAAACAAGGTCTGTTTCAGGTGAGTTGCCTTCTGTCATCAGTTGGAGTCAGGAGGATTCAGTGTATATCTCTCACAGCAAGGCAGGCCAGCTGAAATACCCTTGGCCTAGGCATCATTCCAGGTGCTGGGTCAGGAGTTGCCTGCATCCACCTCCCCAGCTCTCTGTGCCAGCACTTGTCCACTGTTTCCAACTGTGTGCACAGACCCAGCCAAGCCCCGTTCTGGTTTTGGGTAGGAAGGAAGCCCAGGAGGAAACACTGCCTGCAAAGGCACAGGTGTCCTTCTCACCCGTGGTGCCCACGTCTCTCAATCCTGACTATTTTAGACTCCTTGGCCTGGCTTCCTGGCCATTTGTGGCTCAGACCTCTGGCTGACTTCCTCCTCTTCTCCCGTGGACTCCTGAATGGGGTCTGGTCACCTGGCCGCAGCCAGTTTCTCATCTGCTTTCCTTTGCCATTGTGGAGCTCCTTGGATCTGCCCTCTCTCCCATGTGACTTGTAGGAACTTTTGAGGTGTTGTCTAACCAGACTCCTCATTCTGGCCCTTTTGCTCTACTCTAGCTCGTTGTGAACCCAAAAGAGCGTCAAGAGTTGGGGTCCTCTTTGGCCGAGTGTGGTGGCTCACGCCTGTAATCCCAGCACTTTGGGAGGCCAAGGCAGGCGGATCAGGAGGTCAGGAGACTGAGACCATCCTGGCTAACACAGTGAAACCCCATCTCTACTAAATATACAAAACATTAGCCGGGCGTGGTGGCGGGCGCCTGTAGTCCCAGCTACTCAGGAGGCTGAGGCAGGAGAATGGCGTGAACCCGGGAGGCGGAGCTTGCAGTGAGCTGAGATCACGCCACTGTACTCTAGCCTGGGCGACAGAGCGAGACTCTGTCTCAAAAAAAAAAAAAGAGTTGAGTTCTTCTTCATGCCAGGAGTGGCAGTTGCAGGGGTCAGGGTTGACAGTAGATGTTGGGTAGAGCCCACGAGGTTAAGGCTGCCGTGAGCTGAGATTGCGCCACTGCACTCCAGCCTGGGTGACCAAGAGAGACCTTGTCTTCTTTTTTTTTTTAGAGACAGAGTCTTGCTCTGTCACCCAGGCTGGAGTGCAGTGGTGAGATCTTGGCTTACTGCAACCTCCGTCCCCCAGGTTCAAGCAGTTCTTCTGCCTCAGCCTCCCAAATAGCTGTGATTACAGGCATGTGCCACCACACCTGGGTAATTTTTTGTGTATTTAGTAGAGATGGGGTTTTACCATGTTGGCCAGGCGGGTCTGGAACTCCTGACTTCAGGTGATCCGCCTGCCTTGGCCTCCCAAATTGCTGGGAGTACAGGTGTGAGCCACTGTGCCTGGCCTAGACACTATTTAAAAAAAAAAAAAAATAGGAAACAGAAACAGAATCCATCCAGCCACAAAGCACTGCTATTTTCATACTGGTCATTCTCCAGGAGAATCATGGCCTGTGCTATCTTTTTTTTTTTTTTTTTTTTTTTTTTGAGATGGAGTCTCGCTGTGTTGCCCAGGCTGGAGTGCAGTGGTGCGATCTCAGCTCACTGCAAGCTCCGCTTCCCGGGTTCATGCCATTCTTCTGCCTCAGCCTCCCAAGTAGCTGGGACTACAGGTGCCCGCCACCTCGCCTGGCTAATGTTTTGTATATTTAGTAGAGACGGGGTTTCACCATGTTCGCCAGGATGGTCTCGATCTCCTGACCTCGTGATCCGCCTGCCTCGGCCTCCCAAAGTGCTGGGATTACAGGCGTGAGCCACTGTGCCCAGCCGTGCTATCTTTTCTTGAGTAAAGAAATCCCTGCTGATGGGACTGGTGAGCTTTTCCAGGAGGGGGAAAGGTTCTGTAATGCAGCCATGCCCTCCTGCCCACCTTCGGGGACCACATTTGTGAGAGAATCACTTATATCACAAGGCTTTTCATGCCTATGAAGTAATTCTCGCTCTGAGATCCTGAATCCCTTGGCCCGTCAGTGCCACCTGAGAAGGAAAGAAACAAACCGGGGCCCAGTTAGAGCCCAGAGGGTTCCTCAGGCCAACTCAGGATTCCTTCAGTGGCAAAGGCCTGGGGTGCTCTGGGACCTTCCTTGTTGCTGCGAGGCGAGCCCTCCCTTCACCACATTCCTCAGAGTGGCCCTGCACCTGCTCAGAGTGGCTGTGTCTAGGTGACAGACTCTTGCCATGCAGACCAGAGTGAAGCTGATAGGATTTGCTTTGTCACCACCAAAGAGTGTCTGTGGCCGCTCTTCCTTATTTTGGACACTGTATGGTGAAAATTCAGTGGAGACTGAACGTGTTGGGTTCCTTTGCCTGAAATGCCCTTCCCCTTTATTACTGGAAAATCGTCCCCAGGCTTCCAACTCTGGGCTCACCTCTTTTTGTTTTTTTAGAGATAGAGTCTCACTGTGTTGTCCAGGCTGCTCTCGAACTCCTGGGCTCTCGAACTCACATGTTCCTCCTTCCTCAGCCTCCCAAGTAGCTGGGACTGCACGTGTGTGCCACCGCGCCCGGCTTGGGCTCACCGCTTTTGAGGGAGTGTCCTCTGTCACTGCAGTTTCTGTGTCATCTGCCCTCCCTAGCAGTAATGACTACTGAGGAAGGAGGCCCTAGCTGTGTTTTCATCTCAGGGTTCCCATGTATACAGCACAGTGCCTGGCCCATGTGGAGTGAGTGACCAGCATCTGTTCCCGTCTTCAGCACTATTAAGAGTTTTAGCAGGAGGGTGCAGACTTTTTTTCCTGCCCAGGAGCTCACTTGCTCCTGTTATGCATATAGCAGGGTGAGAGGGAGGTGGGGCATGGTTTTAGGGCAAGGGCAGTTGAGTTTTCCGGTTCTGGGAGGAGGCTGGTTATTGAGACCTCAGGATATTTTGTCTCCCAGTCCTCTAGGCAGACAGACCTTCCTAGACAAATAAAAAGACCAATCAAGCCCGATTACTTTGAAAAATTCACATTGATTTCCTCCATTATCTTCTCTCTCCACCTCCCCCTTCAAATTTAATGAACAAAACTAGGAAGATAAATGACCTGGTGCTCATGGGCTGTGAGACTTTGTGTCTGCTCATTACCCGGGGGCTTGGCTGCCCCTCTGTGCTCTGGCTGGGGCCTCTACGGTCACAGTGCTGCAAATAAACCTTTGAGAGAGTCACAGTGGCTGGACCTATTGCAAGAGGTCACTACAGAGCGTGAGCAACTTTGATTATTTTTCTTATGTCTGAATCGGGGTCTTAGGAACTAGCGAGTATTATAGATGGAGTTGTGCCTCAGAGAGACCCAGCATCAGGGGCTGCAATGGGCTTTTGTTGTTGAAGATCCATCCAAGAAGAAGAACTTGTTTTTCCTTTGGCCCTTTCTTGTTTATTTTGATGGAATTTCTTTTTTTTTTTTTTTTTTCTTTTCGAGACAGAGTCTTGCTCTGTTGCCCAGGCTGGAGTGCAGTGCCCTGATCTTGGATCACTGCATCCTCTGCCTCCCAGGTTCAAATAGTTCTCCTGCTTCAGTTCCTCAAGTAGCTGGGATTACAGGCTCCTGCCACCACGCCCTGCTAATTTTTTGTATTTTTGGTAGAGACGGGGTTTCATCATTTGGTCAGGCTGGTCTCAACTCCTGACCTCAGGTGATCCACTTACCTTGGCCTCCCAAAGTGTTGGGATTACAGGCATGAGCCGCCGAGCCCGGCCTATTTCAATGGAATTTCTTAATGACTTTTTTTTCTAACTACAATTTATCATCTTTGACTAAGAAGAACAAAAAACAAAATAATTCTGAGTTTCCCTTATTTGCAAGGCAAGATCCACTCTATAATAGTTCTGTAATGGTGCTGGAAAAAGGCCTTGGGACTGAGTGTTCCTCCTGGGCAGAGGGGTACCCACTGGAAGAAACCAGAGGGGTACCCACTGGTTGTTAAGCTAATTGTACACCTGGTTTACCTCCACCAGCTGCATGTTAAGCCTATTGTTTCCCTTGCTGGTTTTCAAAGTATGTCCGGTTATTCTATCTATAGATATTTGCTCTTGGCATGCTGGTATGGACCAGCCATCTCTTTGTTGATTTGTTTATTCATTTATTCTTCGCTTAGCAACTGCATTCATTTCCTATGGAGTAGTTTGCTGTTAACAAATTACTACAAACTTGGAAGACTTAAAACCGTAGAGATTTATTTTCTCAGGGAGACCATCGGTCTGAAATCATGGCGTCAGTAGGGCCACCCATGCTCCCTCTGAAGGCTCAAGGAGAGAATCCTTACTTGCCTCTTCCTAGTGTCTGGTAGCCCCAGCTATTTTTAGCATTCCTTGGCTTGTAGCCGCATCACTCCAGTCTCTGCTTTTGATGTCGCCTGGCCTCTGTGTGTCCTCTCCTCTTCCTTTTTTTTTTTTCCTTTTTATTTTTTTTGGAGACAGAGCTTCGCTCTTATTACCCAGGCTGGAGTGCAATGGCATGATCTCGGATCACCACAACCTCCACCTCCCAGGTTTAAGCGATTATCCTGCCTCAGCCTCCGGAGTAGCTGGGATTACAGGCGTGTGCCACCACGCCTGGCTAATTTTGTATTTTTAGTAGAGACGGGGTTTTACCATGTTGGCCAGGCTGGTCTCGAACTCTCGACCTCAGGTAATCCACCCGCCTCGGCCTTTCAAAGTGCTGGGATTACAGGTGTGAGCCACTGTGCCCGGCCTCTCCTCTTCTTATAAGGATACCATCACTGGCTTTGAGGCCCACCCCAATCCAAGATGGCCTTATCTTTATGACCTCTGCAAAGACCCTGTTTCCTGTTCCCCAGGGAGGCCCTAGCTGTGTCTTTATCTCAGGGCCCCATGCATGCAGCACAGTGCCAACATAGGTTGGGTGAGCCACCAGCATCTGTTCCCATAATCAACCCTGTTAAGAGTCTTAGCAGTGTTGAAGAGCAGAATTCAGAATCTTAGAGGGGACCCCATTCAACTCACTGCCACTGGTGTTTATGCAAAAGCTTAATGGGTGTTAGGCATTCTGCTGTCTGCTGGGAATATATTTAATTCTAGTGTGCACTGGCGGACATGGCCCTGCCCTCCTAGAACTTGTAGTCTGCTGGGGAAGACAGTGGTGAATCTTCACACAAATATCCAGTTATAGTCCAAACCCGAGCCTCTCTCCTGTGGTCTGCCTTCCCGGCCCATCCAGGTGGGTGTTTTCATCTGTACCGTACCCAAATCTCTACTTCTTATGTACGGAGACAGGACACACCTGATTTTATATGTTTGCTCAGAGCTCAAGAGGGCAGGGCTCTGTTGCCAGTCCCTGCCTTCCACCCACAACCCACGCCTCTAATTGTCTTAGGATTTAACACTGAGCCACACACTGACTATCTCCAGGATGCAGTGGGCCTTCGCCTCAGCAGGGGCCTGTGGGTCAATGAGCAAAGCCCTTTTCCTGGAGTAGAGACGTCCATCACTTCCCATGCGCTCCAGCTCCCGCAGTCCAGGCCCCTGCAGTGGAATTCCAGCTGCCGAGGCCACCTCATTGCCTTTTGGCATTCGTTTTCATAAATCTACCAGGAGAAATATTTCTCTCTGACTTCACTTGGACACGATTTTTCAGTTTAACAGCATTGCTGATATTCTGATGGGTTTCCTCAGCGTTGCAACCTCCTGCAACATAATCCTTCTGGAGGGCAGCATCGTGTTTTTTTTTCGTGTTTTTTTTTTGTTGTTTGTTTGTTTGTTTCCCTCTAATAGGCACAGGCATGCAGGTGACCTTTTGAAGCTCGAATTTTGTTTCAGAAAAGGAAGATGCTAAAAACAAGGACCCTCACTGTGCTGTCGCCTGTGAGATGCTGAACTCTGTAATTGCTGCTGTTTCATGATTAGTGTCTGCTTTCCCAGCACAGTGACTCGGAAACACCTGCAGCATGGATGCCGTTGTTTGTTGTTGTTGCATTAATAACTGCAGATGCTGTTGAAGTGCTCACCCATCAATCATTCCTAGTTACTTACCACTATTTCCTCTGCCCTGGAGGGCGCGCCTGCCCCCCTCACAAATCCCTTTGCCCCCACTCTTTCCCTCTTGCAGTAAGGTCTCCACCCAGCAGTCAGTGACTGTAAAAGTGCAAATCAGATTGTGTCAGAGCCAAGTCCAAGGACCTAACCATAGACTTCCAGGATCAGGGTCCTGGCTGCCCCTCTGGACTCATTTACTGTCACCCCAGCCCGCCCCCTTCATTCCTCTTTCTCTTCCTCACTGGCCTCCTTGCAGATCCTCATACATCCTCATAATCCTGCATCCTCATAATCCTGGCACCCTCCTTCTCAGAACCCTGATGCCTGCCCTTCCTTCCCTCCAGATACCCCCACGACTTGTTCCTCCTTTGTTGACATCCTTGCTCAAATGGTATCTCTCTGGGAAGTGAGCTCCTTCTCCCAAAGGCCACTTTCCATCTCCTTGCCTTGCTGTCTTTTTCTTTCTTTCTTTCTTTCTTTCTTTCTTTCTTTCTTTCTTTCTTTCTTTCTTTCTTTCTTTCTTTCTTTCTTTCTTTTCTTTCTTTCTTTTTCTTTCTTTCTTTCTTTTCTTTCTTTCTTTTTCTTTCTTTCTTTTCTCTTTCTCTTTCTCTCTTTCTCTCTCTCTCTTTCTTTCTTTCTCTTTCTCTCTCTCTTTCTCTCTCTCTCTCTTTCTCTCTCTCTCTCTTTCTCTCTCTCTCTCTTTCTTTCTCTCTCTCTCTCTCTTTCTTTTTTCAGAATCTTGTTGTGTCACCCAGGCTGGAATATAGTGGTGTGATCTCGGCTCACTGCAACCTCCACCTCCCAGGCTCACACAATTCTCCTGCCTCAGCCTCCCAGGTAGCTGGGATTACAGGCACCTGCCCCCACGCCCGGCTAACTTTTGTATTTTTAGTAGAGACGGGGTTTCGCCATTTTGGCCAGGCTGTCCTCAAACTCGTGACCTCAAGTGATCCGTCCACCTTGGCCTCCCAAAGTGCTGGGATTACAGGCATGAGCCACCGTGCCCGGCCCCTGCTGTCGTTCTCTCCCTCAGCATTCTGCTACATGAGTTTTTCCTTGCTGCTGTCTCCTTTCCCCAGTTCGTTGATTTGCCCATTGCTATAATCCTGATGATGAGAATAGCACTTTATAAGTGGTGAATGTGGCCGGAGAGGAATTGTGGTGTTAGAGTAATGAGGGGAAATGAGACAGGCCATCAAGTCTATCCGACCCTTGCCTTTCCATAAGATTCCTTCGCTCCCCACTTCAAATGATGATGAAACACAAAGAAAATGGGACTTAAGAGGGTAAAAAAACAATGTAAATAATTACGATTGTTGGTTTCAGGATAGGAAATTTAAAGTGGGCTTCAGTCTGTAGTTGGGTTTGGCAGGTGGACTCCTTAGGGCCTTTTTTCTTACCCTGTATTTCCACCCCAGCAAGAGTGGTGGCAGGGGAGGGGCAAGGTGGGGTACAGCAGGGGCTTGGGGTGGGGGTTGCTGCTGGGGAAATGGAGCTGCCCTTTTACCGAGCCTGGAGACCTGGGCAGGATCTAGCCCAGGCATCCTTCAGCGCAGCACAGCTAATGTCCACCTCTGAAAGTCATCACGTTTTCTTTTGTTCCTATTTGGGTTTATTAAGAGCCAGCGGAGTTCCTGCATAAAGCTTAGGAGAGTGCAGCCGAATTACTTGGGCTGATGGGGGTCGGTCAAGTGGCTTTTACTTAAACAGTTCTGAACACTTGGCACCCACTTCAGGCTGAGTCTTGCATAGTCCCCGAAGGGTCTCCTCCTGCTCCAGCAAGAGCATCTGCTTCCTCTTGGCAGTCGCCTCCCTGAGCAACTGCTGCAGGGGAAAGAGTGAGGGTTCTGAAGTCAGGAGACGTGGGTTCTTGACCTGGTTCTGCCGCTGCAGAAAAGAAAAGAGAACCAGGGTGGTGTTATGTATGTGCACGTGTGTGCACATTTTGCATAATGTATGAATATCTATATGAGTGTCTACGTGAGTGTATATGCACAATGCATGTATACATGTATGTGCATGCATATATGTGTGCATGCCCATGTATGCACTGTGTATATGCATGTGCTTGCATGTGTGTATGACTGGGTGTGTGTGTCTTTTTTTTTCTCTGACAAGCTGAAGAGTTTTCAATGAAATCAGAATCCCTGCCTCTATGTCACAGCAGAAGTTTTTCACCATTTGTTTCACTAAGATTCTTGGGTCTGGTCCTGTTCAGGGGAGAAGCCCAGAAATTCATGCCTTCCCTCCTCTGGGGACCAGCTGGGGGCTGTTCTAAAGTGCTAACATGGTCAACAATACATTTCCTCCCCAGTAGCAGCGGTATAGCTGAGTGGATGCGCCGGGAGGCCTGAAGCGTCCTGATCAATTCTCTGTGTTGCTCATGAACTCGGATGCTCCAGCCCCTTGAGGAGCTCCCAGTGTATCCTTATGTCTTTGGGGGCGGCCAGTTGAAAAACAAGCATTTCCTTCCACGTGTCTATGTGCGCAGGTATCTTTCCACCATCTGTCCACTGGAACTGGTCTTACTGAGGTGGCCCCCAAATTGCCAGATGCACCAGACACTTTTTGGTGCCTTATTAGATTTCCTGCTGCATTCAGTTCACTTGGCTCTTCCCCCTTCTCTTCATCCTGGGCTTTACTGGTGACACTTTGTTCCTGTTTCTCCCCATCTCCTTCCTGACTGGGGTTTTTCCAGACTCTCCTACGTTTCTGTGGATCCTGTTCCCCCAGCCGTCCTGTACCTGTTGCTTTTACCCCTTCCTCCAGGTCTCACCTTCCACCCCTCTTCTCTTGGGTAATCTTTTCTCTGTGAGATACTTTAACTACCCTCAGTATACCACTGACTCCCAACTCTGGGTCAGCCGCCCACACTTCTTTTAGAACTCCACACCGAATTCCCTTGCCGCCTGTTTTTGTTTTTGTTTTTGTTTTCCCTCTAATAGGCACAGGCATGCAGGTTAGCTTTTGAAGCTTGGATTTTGTTTCAGAAAAGGAAGAGGCTAAAAACCAGGACCCTCACTATGCTGTCGCTTATGAGATGCTGAACTCACAAGGATCCTGACATCACCATGATATTAGACTTTCTTCAAACTCAGCTCATCCCAAACTCAACCCATCGGCTCCTCCTAAACCCGTTGCCTCTCTGGCATTTCTTCTGAATTAGGGGTACCAACGTTCAACTACTTATCTCAAGCCCCAAACACTTGGCTCTGCTGTACAGTAGAACTTTCTGTAATAATAGAAAAGTTCTGTTTGTACCATCCAGTACAGATGCCACTAGCTTCACATGTCTATCAAGCCCCGAAGTGTGGCTAGTGCAAGCTGAGTTCATTTCAATTTTAACATGTTTTAATGAGGTTATATTAGATGACTGCATGTGGCTTGTGGTTCTCATATTAGACAGCACAGTGCAGATGGCTTCCTTTTCCCACCTCCGATGTCCAGCAGGTCACTGTCTGTCCCCACTGGGGTCCTCTCAGTTCAGGCCTTCATCATCTCTGCCATGAATTACTACAGGAGCTCCCAAATTGGTTTCCATGCTTCCTGGTCCTTTCCAAATTTCTGTTGTTGGAGTGCTCTCACTCACCCTTGAGGACTTTTCTGTTTTTCTGTTTGTTTTTTTTTTTTTTTTTTTGAGACAGAGTCTTACTCTGTCGCCCAGCCTGGAGTGCAGTGGCATGATCTTGGCTCACTGCAACCTCCACCTCCTGGATTCATGTGATTCTCCTGCCTCAGCCTCCCGAGTAGCTGGGATTATAGGTGCCCGCCACCACGCCCAGCTAATTTTTGTATTTTTAGTAGAGATGGGGTTTCTCCATGTTGGTCAGGCTGGTCTTGAACTCCTGAGACCTCAGGTGATCCGCCTGACTCGGCCTCCCCAAATGCTGGGATTACAGGTGTGAGCCACCGCACCTGGCTGTGAGGACTTTTCTTAAGCGTCATTTCCCATGTCCCTTTCCCTCACTCCCTGGTACAGGCAAAATTGAGCATTTTCTCATCTGTGTTTCTCTTCCTACTTCTGTCATTACAATGAACAAATGTGTTATAAATATTATTAAAAATAGATGTGCATCCCCCTCTGTGAACTCTTTGAGGAAGAACAGCCTTGGTCTTTCTTCATCTTTCGGTACGCTGTTGGGGTACAGCACTAACAAATGTTTACTGAGTGAATAAAGGATTAATGTAGGCCGGGTGCAGTGACTCATGCCTGTAATCCCAGCACTTTCGGAGGCTGAGGCGGGCAGATCACTTGAGGTCAAGAGTTCAAGACCAGCCTTGCCAACATGGTGAAACCCTGTCTCTACTAAAAATAGAAAAATTAGCCGGGTGTGGTGGCAGGCATCTGTAATCCCAGTTACTCAGGAGGTTGAGGCACGAGAATCACTTGAACCTGGGAGGTGGAGGTTGCAGTGAGCCAAGATTGCACCACTGAACTCCAGCCTGGGTGACAGAGCGAGACTCTGTCTCAAAAAAAAAAAAAAAAAAAAAAAAAAAGGATTAATGTGAACAATCCCCAAATGTTCTCTTTTTGGTTTTAGATTACGTTATACATTTTTGAAAATTTGTTGTAAAAATCCTATCTATTACAAAAATCATATAACCAGAATGCCGTTTTCATAGTAATATAAAATAACTTAAATTCCCTGAAGACTATTGAGTTTAAGATACTGAATCATACATATGCACACCAAAAAAAAAGATTAAAAATAATCTTTAATAGGGCCTTGGGATTATGTGCACTTTATTAAGCGCTAATTCTTTCAAAATTGGCCATTTGTGTATGATCTATATTAGCAATTTTCATTTAACTACAGTATTTGGTTAAATAAAATACCCCTTTCCAACTATTCTTCACAGAGAAGGAGTTTATTGAACATTCTCAACTAGAGTTTTGCTGAAAGTAATGGAATTTTCTTTCCTTGAACTCAAAGAATAGAAAATAGAAAATTGAAAAAGAGAAAAATAGAGAACTCACTATGGATGGTGGAGAACTGGCAGCTCAGATGTTTGCTTCCCTTTAGGGTAAGGGTGGCAGAGGCTCTTCTTGATATAAACAGCATGTTTAGAGGGTCTTCATTCCATTTAGTGGGATTTTTTTTTTTTTTTGAGACAGAGTTTTTGCTCTTGTTGCCCAGGCTGGAATGCAATGGCACTATCTCAGCTCACTGCAACCTCCGCTTCCTGGGTTCAAGCAATTCTCCCGCCTCAGCCTCCCATGTAGCTGGGATTACAGGCATGCACCAGCATGCCCAGCTGATTTTTGTGTTTTTAGTAGAGATGAGGTTTCACCATGTTGGCCAGGATGGTCTCGAACTCTTGACCTCAGGTGATCCTCCCACCTTGGCCTCCCAAATTGCTGGGATTACAGGTGTGAGCCCGCGCACCCAGCCATTTATTTGGTTCTCAAAGCAGGATAGGGCTGTTTTCTTCTTCCTGTGCACTAACATCTCAGGAATGATTTTCCAAGCTGCCTTCTCCCATCGCACCAACCCTGCTGCCTCCCAGCCTTCCCTGCCCGCTGCCTGTTCTGTCACATCCCACCTCATCCCTACCAATGCGACTAGCACCCACCAATGCGACTAGCACCCACCAATGCAACTAGCAATAGCTACCTTGAAGTAACCAAAGAAACATTCTTCTGTTTTAAGTTAATCAATGAAGCAAATCAGTTTCTGCGTTAGTTTCTGGGGAAACAGTGGAGAGGAGGATGAACACTGCCCTACCTTCACAGCACCACCCTGGTCAGTTCCTGCTGCTTATAGGATCACATAGAAAGACGGTCTCCCAGTCCACCTTCAGCCCACCATCCCTGGGTGCATCTTCTACAGCACCATCTCTCTAGGCCCACACTGAAATTGACCACTCCACTGGAGATGTTTCTCCCATTGCCTAGCAACCTCCCAGGTCTTATTCAATACTTAGATTAATTATTCCCCTCTCTGAAACGTTTCTGACTCATTCAGGTTGAGGTACTGGCTCCTTCTAGGTTCCCTCTAGAATTTTTTTTTTTTTTTTTTGAGACAGGGTCTTGCTCTGTTGCTCAGGCTGGAGAACAGTGGCATGATCTCAGCTCACTGCAACCTCTACCTCTTGTGTTCAATTGATTCTCCTGCCTCAGCCTCCCAAGTAGCTGGAAATACAGGTGCGTGCCACCACACCCGGCTAATTTTTTTTTTTTTTTTTTTTTAGTAGGGATGAGGTTTCACCATGTTAGCCAGGATGGTCTCCTGACCTCGTGATCTGCCCACCTCAGCCTCCCAAAGTGCTGCGATTACAGGCATGAGTCACCGTCCCTGGCCTTTTTTTTTTTTTTTTTTTTTTTTTTTGAGACAGAGTCTCACTCTGTTGCCAGGCTGGAGTGCAGTGATACCATACTGGTGTGCTGCAACCTCCGCTTCCTGGGCTCAAGTGATTCTCATGCCTCAGCCTCCAGAGTAGCTGGGATTACAGGCATGCGCCACCACGCACAGCTAATTTTTGTGTTTTTAGTAGAGATGGGGTTTCACCATGTTGGTCAGGCTGGTCTTGAACTCCTGGGCCCAAGTGATCCTTCCACTTCAGCCTCCCAAAGTGCTGGGATTACAGATGTGAGCCACCATGCCCAACCCCCTCTGTAATTTTCTATTTATCATGAGCATTGGTTATTTTGCATTGAACTTTATCAGTTTACATACTGATCACACTCACTGCTTGGTTCTAAAGGTTCAGACACTATACAGCACCTGTCTGTATATCCCTAGCACTTAGTACAAACAGGGCCTGGTATATAGCAGACATCGAGGAAATATCTAAAAGGAAAACAATATTTTTATTGGGGTGGTAAGTGCCTTAGTCACCTAGGAGAACTCACTAACTTTCTCTCCAACAATGGGACTTATCCAGCCTCCTTGGTGTCTTTAGCCCTCTTCTTCCTAGGACCCTATTAGAATAGTGACATTATCATGGTCAAGAACCAGATCTTCTTTTGAACTTATTCTAACCTTGATTTTTCTCATGTTGTGTGTTTTGGGTTTTGATAGCAAATTAAGGCCCTCCCTAACCCCCCATTTTTTTAACCCTAAATTTGGCCTGCAGACTCGGGAAGAGCATTGGTTTTCCAATGAGGATTCTCAGGTGATTTAGCAGGAATGAGACTTAAAGAACAAATTGTACAATATAGATAGCTAAGGAACTCACTGCTATATTGAGCTTCTGTGGTCCGTATCTATATATATATATTTTTTTTCCCTGAGACAGTCTTGCTGTGTCGCCCAGGCTGGAGTGCAGTGGCACGATCCTGGGTCACTGCAACCTCCACCCCCCATTTCAAGCAATTCTCCTGCCTCAGCCTCCCAAGTAGCTGGGATTATAGGCATGTGTCACCACGCCTGGCTAATTTTTGTATTTTTAGCAGAGACAGGGTTTCACCATGTTGGCCAGGCTGGTCTTGAACTCTTGACCTCGCAATCTGCCTGACTCAGCCTCCCAAAGTGCTGGGATTACAGGCGTGAATCACCGCCCCGGCCCCTGGTCCATATGTTTTCATTCAATAGTATTGGGCTTCATTTTCCTTTTTCTTTTCTTTTCTTTTTGGAGGGAAGTTGGTAGTGGGTATTGTTTAGTTAGAACTTAGTATAAATGATCCTTTTGACAAGGGAACAAAAGCCCTCATTCTGATTGGCACAGTATTTGAAATCAAAGTCATAGCTATCATTACGAAGACCTCATTTCCTGATGATTGATTTAACATAATTGCCTCTTGGAGAACCTACCCTGGAAAATACATGGATGCTGGCAATGAGTGACTAGCTACATTCGTTCCCTTCCCTCACTCCCTCCAGTTTGTCTTTTGGATCCAACAAGTCAGTTGGAGGAAGGAGTTATGCGGGAAATGGCTGTCAAATCTGAACAGTTTCTCACTGCACTCTTTCTAAAAAACTTCAGAAATTGTCTATTATCCAGTTTACTGGTTGGATTGTGGACCAATTGTTTCTGCGTTGTGTTATCTCACCTAGAATCAACAGAAATTGATAGCATCTTTTAGCCCTGGAACCAAGAGATTCAATTTTGTCTCCTGCTCATTTGGAAAAGACAGGCAAAAAATAACCCCAAATCAGTGGGGAAATAGACTCTTGAATTTGAAACGAACCATACAGTATTATTTAATCTATTTATCTTTATTCTTTTTCTACCCCAGAAAGATAATTATCTTTTTTTTCTAAGACTCTCAAGAGGAGATTCTGTGTTTCTCTTTGACATCTATTCTGGGCTCTAATAAGATTTTTTTTTTTTTTTTTTGAGATGGAGTCTCACTTTGTTGCCCAGGCTGGAGTGCAGTGGTGTGATCTCAGCTCACTGTATCCTCCACCTCCTGAGTTCAAGCAATTCTCCTACCTCAGCCTCTTGAATAGCTGGGATTACAGGTATGCGCCATCACACCTGACTAATTTTTTTTTACTTTTAGTAGAGACAGGGTTTCACCATGTTGGCCTGGCTGGTCTTAAACTCCTGACTTTAGGTGATCTGCCCACCTCGGCCTCCCAGATTACAGGTGTGAGCCACTGCGCCCAGCCTCTAATAACTTTTTATAATTAGACAAGAAATTATTAATGTTTTCCCTTATATTGCTAGGGAAGTTCATTTCATCCTGTGCAATCCTTGGGGAAAAAAAATAGTCTTATCTCTACCTTGGCTCTTCATAGTATTCATTCAGCACATCTTTATTGAGCACCTACTGTGTGCTGGACACTGTGCTAGGCCCTGAGGCTGCAGAAGTGCATAGCACAGAACAGTAATGCCCCAGGCTCATGAGTTAGTGGAGGAGAGTTTTTTAAATTTTAAAATAATAAAAATTATTTTACATTTTTAAAATAATTTTAAAATTATGTTTTAAATAATTTTATTTAAATATAAAATAGTAATAAATAGTAATAAAATCATTTCTATTGGCTTTATATTATATATGCACTTATATGTATGTATCTGTGTGTGTTAATATATATCTATATCTATATGTGTAATAATGCCAAGTAGGTTTAAAACCAAAGAGGGAAGTAAAAGCGAGGTAATGGCCGGAGAGAGAGTGACCAGGGAGTATTTTTGATAGGATGTTCAAAAAAGGCATTGAGCAGGGACCTGAATCATGAACTGAGGGGAGAGAGTGAGGATAGAACCTTCCAGACTGGGGAGCAGCAAGTGGGAGGCTATGAGGGTGGGAGATTGGAAAGGCAGCTGGGGAACAGGATGATCTGAGGAATTTTCTTCAGGTCCTTCCAAGTCTTTATTTTCTCTGTTTTTTTGAGAGGGTAGAGAAGGTTGGCAGGGGCGTCCAGGCAGGAGAGCAAGAGTCCAAATCACCTCCCGGGTTCAAGCGATTCTCGTGCCTCAGCCTCCTGAGGAGCTGGGATTACAGGCATGTGCCACCACGCCCAGCTAATTTTGTATTTTTAGTAGAGATGGGGTTTCACCATGTTGATCAGGCTGGTCTTGAACTCCTGACCTCGGGTGATCCACTCACCTTGGCCTCCCAAAGTGCTGGGATTACAGGTGTGAGCCCAGCCTCATATGTCTTTTATCTGGAAAAGTCTTCCCTCCGCCCTGCCACCCCCCACCCCCCAACCTGATATCCATTTTGTTTTCTTATGTTTTCAACAAAGCTTTGGAAAATACAGGTACGTGAGAGCTATTTGCATTTCTTCACTTTCCACCCCCTTGTGATCAGCGACCCACTAAACATCAAATCCAGTGGAAAATCATGACTCATGATTTTGCTGAAATTCTCAGTATATTTGCAGTGCTTAATCATTCTCATCCTTCCTTTCTGGTGACATCTTACCAGTCCCCCTTTGGGCTTCTCTTTCTTTGCCTATCCATTAAATTAGTTTTCTATCCCCCTACATTTCATCAGCAGTCCACTTTTTCCTGGCATTCTCTCCTGGAATCTCACCCAGACTCACAGTTCTACTTAGAATTTAGGGGCTCAGGCTCCCAAATTGATTCTCCAGCCAAGCTTTCTTTCCTAAATGTCAGAATGAAATCCCCCTGCTCTTGCCAGATAGCTTACTTATCTGTCCAACAGCCACTTGTATTCAATGGGTCTAAAATAGAATACATTACCTGATAGCTTTTTTCTCCCAGTTCAGCTTTCTCTGTCTCCTTTATTACTTATACCCAGAAGAGTTGAATGGAACCAAATCTACTCAGTCACTCAAGCCAGGAACCTCAGCATCATTTCTCTCTTTTCCTTTTCTCTAATCCCCCAAATCCACTTAGTTACCAAGCCCTGCTGATTTTGCTTCACAAATGTTTCTTGAATCCCTTCCTACTATGACTGGTCTAGTTGAATCCCTAGTTATAACTTGCTGGGACCATACCAACGGACTCTTTTTGCATTCCTCTGCCTCTGGTGGTTTTTTTTTTTTTTGTTGTTGTTGTTGTTTGTTTGAGATGGAGTCTCACTCTGTCACCCAAGCTGGAGTGCAGTGGCGCTATCTCGGCTCACTGTAACCTCTGCCTCCTGGGTTCAAGTGATACTCCTGTCTCAGCCTCCCAAGTAGCTGGGATTACAGGCACCTGCCACCATGCCCAGCTAATTTTTTTTTTGTATTTTTAGTGGAGACCAGGTTTCACCATGTTGGCCAGGCTGGTTTTGAACTCCTGATCTCAAGAGATCTGCCACCCTCGGCCTCCCAAAGTGCTGGGATTACAGGTGTGAGCCACCATGCCTGCCCTGCCTCTGGTTTTGTGCCATCTCTCACCCACCTAACTCTATGCATTTTCTTGCTTCCAGCCCTTCACTGGATCAGAGTCCATTGCTCCTTACACGATACTCAAGCCATGCTACTCAGTACAGCACGTGGCTTCCTAGTGCAAATCACTAATACTCCTATAGGATGAATACAAACAATGAAAAAACTATTGCCGTGCAAGTGAGTCTTTGTGGCTCAGGATAAAATTACTGGTGACAGTATCATGCAGATTATGCAACAGCCAAATCTTAATTTAGATGGAAGTAAAAATTATGTGCTGTTGAAAATTGATAAGTCAAGAAGCGTTTCTTGTGAATGCAACAACACTAGCATCAAAGAAGCAGAGATTGAATCAAATTGTTTTGTGAAATGTCAGAATGTATAAAAGCAGTATTTGTTATTTAACGTATTTTTTTTTTTTTTGAGATGGAGTCTCCCTCTGTCACCCAGGCTGGAGTGCAGTGGCACGATCTCAGCTCACTGCAACCTCCACCTCAGCTCACTGCAACCTCCACCTCCCAGGTTCAAGCAATTCTCCTACCTCAGCTTTCCAAGTAGCTGGGATTACAGGTGCCCGCCACCATGCCCAGCTGATTTTTGTATTTTTATTGGAGATGGGGTTTCACCATGTTGGCTAGGCTGGTCTCAAACTCCTGACCTCAGGTGATCCATCTGCCTTGGCCTCCCAAAGTGCTGGGATTACAGGCGTGAGCCACTGCATCTGGCCATGTAATATATTTTATATAATATTTTATTTTATTTTAAATACACATCTGTAACTAAATTAATGGTTTAAGTATGGCTAATAGATATTTGGTATCCATATCTGCATCTCTAAACGTTTATAAATTCACATTGATCGAACCTCCCTTTTAAAATGGGCAAATAGAGATTTGCCCTGTATTCAGAGTCAGAGTTTATTTGGGCAATAGTAGAATTTTGCTTGAGTCTGAGGCCTCTTTATGAACATGTTTGACCTCTGCACACCATGTCTCTGCAACTGTATCTAGTTACTCCTGTCTACACTTTCGTTTTTTCTTTTCTTTCTTTTTTTTTGAGAGACAGGGTCTTGCTATACCACACAGATTGGAGTGTAGGGCCACAATCATAGCTCACTGCAGTCTTGAACTCATGGGCTTAAGCAATCCTCTCTCCTCAGCCTCCCAAGTAGCTGAGACTACAGGTGCACGTTACCATGCCTGGCTAATTTTTTCATCTTTTATCGAGATGGAGTCTTGCTATGTTGCCCAGGCTGATCTTGAACTCCTGGCCTCAAGTGATCCTCCTTCCTCAGCCTCCCAAAGTGCTGCCATTACAGGTGTGAACCACAACACCTGGCCTCAACACTTATCTTGGATGAAATAAGCTTAGAGCTGATCGAGTAGGCAAAATGATGTTGTTGCATGGGACTCTGAAAAGATCATGCCTTCTAAAATGTTTAGAAGCGTCTCTATTTAGGTCAGGGAAGAGGTTCCAGAAGGCCTTTTGGGAGATAAATGCAGGCAACTGTTGACAATCAACCACTAACCCCATCTGTTGGGATCAGGTAGAGCCATGTGTTTAGGCTCTTTTGAGTGGCTTTGTTCAGATCTATGAAGGTTCCTGGATTGAAAATTAATACGTTGAAAGTTCTGTATGTTTGTTCTTTCCTTAGCACTGTGGCAAGATACCAAAGAAATAGAAGGCATATTTTACATCTTCAAGCTTCTTATAATTTATTCGAGCTTAAAATGTGGAACAAAATAAGTTTAGACTCAGGGTTTCATTTTGAGTATGAAGGTTCTCCACCTCATGCACAGTATGTTCGTCCTAATATCTGTGGAATAGTTATTCAGTACTGACTCATACGACTCTGGGAAGAATTTTCTAGCTCTTGAGACATCTCAAATCACAAAAACAGAAAAATGTGTGTTTCTTTTTGTTGTTTTGTTTTTAGAAATAATGACTTGAGTGTGAGAGAAATGGAATTTCCAAGGCAGGATGGGAGCAGTGGGGAAAATATCACTTCGAAATTCTCATTGAAAACAATTGAGAAGTGGGGAAGAGTACTTTTCTTCACAAGCACATTCACACTTAGGGTTTAGGTTTGTATTTAGTTAGGACTGAGAGAACAAATAGAAGCAGAGATCTGCTGAGGAGAGATGGCACTTTAATAAGCAATTTTTTTTTTCGTTTCTAAATTTGCTGGAGTCCAGGCAAGCATGTACACAAATAGCCACAATTTGTAAATTGTTCCTGACATATTTTCTGCTCTTTGAATTCCCTGAATGCCTGCAATATAATTAGAAATAAGCAATCTTTTATATCAGTAATAGGAAAAAGGACATGGTTTCAGAATGCAAATAAGATGTTACCTAAACAGAAAATTATAGCATGGCTGCGACTGTTCTCGTTATGACGGAAGACGGGAAACTGTTGAAAGCAATAAGAACTGTGCAGTGTTGCATTCTGACATTTGTCTCTGCCTTTCAAAGCCACCTACTGCATACACAGGCACAAGAAAGATGATGCAGATGAAAGGGGAAGAAGGCAGAGCCCTCGGGAGAAGTGCTCCTCATCTTTGCGGCTGTTTCCTTAGTGTGGTTGAGCCCATTGGCTTGAAAACGGAGTTTCGATGCACTTTCTCTGTCCTGTTGCATAGCCCCTTTCTGATACAGACTGGAGGAGGTAGACTTTTCCAGGGGTCCAGCTTTCCACTGCGGTTGATAGCCAGTTGATCCATTCCTTCATTCATTATCTGATCCATTTATTCATTCACTCACTCATCTGATGGGTGTGTGATTCGTGCTATCCTGAACTCTGGGATGACATCAGTGTACCCAAAAAGACAAAGCTCCTGCCCTCACAGGACTTTATAGTCCAGTGGAAGAGACAGATAATAGACAAAGATACATAAGGTAATGTTATCTGGCTCTGCAGGGAAAAAGAAAAGCAGGGTACTGGGATGAAAGTGTGACTGGGCTGTTATTTTAGATCAGGCAGTCAGGGAAGACCCCTGTAAGATGATGGGTTTTGAGAAAAGACCTGAAAGATGTGAAAGAGAAAATGCCAAGAGTGAGTGTGAAGAGATTATCCTGGTCAGAGGGAGCACCCTAGGAGGGAGCACTCCAGTCAGAAGGAGCATCCGGGTCACAGGGAGCATTCGTGAGAAGGCCCTGGAGCTTGTAGGTGCTTGGTGTATTTGAGGGACAGTCAAGAGGCTGGTGTCCAGCAAGTGTTCCAGCGGGCAGGGACCACTAGCACTTTCAGATCTCAATTAGAGTATGACAGGAATCCATCAGGAGGTTTTATTCAGGGGAGTTCCATGAGCTGACACACATTCTAAAGTATTGTTTGGGTGGCTATGTGGAGAAGAGATTCTGGGAGCTGGCGGACAAGGGTGGAATCCAGATCAGCAGTTTGGAGGATGCGTTTGTAGTGGGGGAGGATAGCTTGAGCTGCAGAAAGAGTGGCGGAGTTGAATGTTGAGCTGATGGGATTTGCGGATAGGTAAGGACTCTGAGAGAAGGAGAAAGGAGGAGGAGGATTCTTAGCCTTTGGGATTGAGTGATTTACAGGGAGTGGCTGGAGAAAAACAAGTTTGGGTTGGAAGAACAAAAGTTCTGTGTCTGAGATGCCTCTGAATACTCAAGTGGTAACGTCAAGTAGGCAGATGGATTCATGACTTTGGAGTTCATGGAAGACATTGGGGTTGGAGATATAAATTTGGGAATGACGAAAGTCATGAGATTGGTTGAGATTGCCCAGGGGAGCCTGTGTAGGCAGGAGAGCGAAGAGCACTGAGGACCGAGCACCAGGGTCCTCCATTTGGAAATCGGGAAGTGGAACAGAATCCAGCAGAGGGAACTGAGCAGAGGTGTTGCCAGTGAGGATGCAGGAATACTGGGGGAGAAAGGTTTCTTGGAAGCCAAATGAGGGATGTTCAAAAAGAGGGGAATTGACTAGACATGTGAAAGAAATGCTGAAAGGATGAGCAAGCTGAGATCTGAGATGGGAGCACTGGATTGGGCCACATGGGCACCAGTGGTGACCCCGACAAAAGCAGTCTCAGTAGAATGGTGGAGATGCATCATGGCAGTAGGTTTCTCTCCAATTACATTCAACTCTTTGGCGACAAGTGCAGAATAGATGGAGAGTCGGCATTAAGTAGGCATATGTGTAGGTATTTGCTAGAGGGTGGCTCTAGCGAGGGCCACTGCTTGATGAGGGGGGAAGTGTGGACATAGGTGGGAGGTTGGAGTAAAAAGGTGGCTGGGCCAATGGCACAGAGGTGCCAGTGGTACTAAAGAACTGGATCCAGCGTTCACAAGAAAGGAGCTGGAAATAAATATAGCAGGCAGGTGGTTCAACACCTGGAATGCCTGCCATTGAGATTTTAGAGGTAGATCTGATAAGTAGTGCCCTTGGGATTAGTTGGTTGAGATGGTGCACAGGACAGGTTCATTGGAGGTGAGGCAGATGGCTTATCTACATGAATAGTGGCACCTGAATAATGCTGCTGGAATCTTCAGTGAATGCAGGATGGGTCTAGGTGGGAACTAGGTGATTGCAAGAGGTGAGCCCGTAGCCTACAGGATTAGAGAGTTGTAAAAAATTACTAATCAAATTATTACTCGCTTTGGAATAGACTCAGCTGCACAGAACCAATGCTTGATTTGCAAAAGTATGAAACTGGAGTTGAGTATGCAGAAAGCGTTGACGTTCCAAGCTTCATAGGAAGCTGTTTAATTCCAATATAGAGAGGAGGCAAAAACTGAGGAATAGCTGTCTGGAGCTGCAGGGAAAACCTATAAGCTGATTTTTAGAATCCAAATCCTAGTCCACAGGAAATCTTCCATTTCGATAACCTACAAGTATCATCAGAAGTCCTTGACACAAGTGGATAAGAATTGCTGTGTTTTGATGGTACTCTAGAAACATAGACACAAATCATTCAAGTGCTCCAGCCCCTTTGTCAAAACAGGCCTTTTAAAGGGATGATAAATCTGAAGAAAGTTAAGTATCCTACTGCAAGAAAGACTCATTTAATATTACCACTTTATATTTAATGATGAGTTCCTCTCGTTATGCATTTTTCTTTGTTCAGAAGAGCTTTAGAGTTCCCTTGTCCAGTTTTAGAATTCTGTTGTGATTTTGAGTGGAATTATGTTAAAGCTATCCATTTGAAAAGACTTAGTAGCTTTAAGGTTTCCAGTCTTTCTATTCAAGAATGCAGAATGCTGCTGCAGCGATTTCCTATTTTATATTTTTCAGTTTATCTCATGCCTTCCTTTTTATTAAACTCTAATGTTCAAGATAGATCCCAGAGCTTTCCTGCCAGTCTGCCTCACCATAGTAATATAGTCTGGTCCTTAAGATACTGAACATGATAGTTTAGAACCAATGACTACCTGAAAAATCCAAAGCGAGACACAGCGCAGGTAAATTTAATGGGGTGACTGTTTCTTTGTATTGAACATTAAATAAAGCCAAGAGGAGATTATTCACCTCCAGGTAGTCATAATTGCTGCAGTTTTAATGGAGCTAGATGTCTTCCAAGCTAAAGACTTTCTGAGCCACAGCCTTGCACTGCAGTAGATAACAGAATGGAAGGGATGAACGCTCTGAGGATTCATTGTTTGAAATGAAATTTAGAATAGTGCACTGGCCCTGCAAATGGCTGGGCAACAGTACAAAGACCAACATGGCCTGAGGCCATCCACAGTGACAACGCTGCTTTTGTGAGCCAAGCTGTGGGCAGCCTAGCAGGCCCAGGGGCACTGTGGTCCTTTATAAGGTTTCTTTCTTTCTTTCTTTCTTTTTTTTGGAGACAGAGCCTTACTCTGTCACCCAGCCTGGAGTTTTGTGGTGTGATCACAGCTCACTGCAGCTTTGACCTCCCAGCTCAAGAAATCCTCCCACTTCAGCCTCCCAAGTAGCTGGGACCACAGGTGCACGCCACTATACCTAGCTAACTTTTGTATTTTTTGTAGAGACAGAGTTTTGCCATGTTTTCCAGGCTGGTCTGGAACTCCCGAGCTCAAGCAATCCACCTGTCTCAGCCTCCCAAAGTGGTGGGATTACAGGCTTGAGCCACTGCACCCAGCCCAGATTCTCCTTTCTATGGGCAGAATTGGATTAAAGACCAGGCCCTACTTGGGCCCAACTTCAGTTTTCACACTATGATATTATACAGATTGCATCCCCTTCCCTCCACAATAAGGAGGGATGGAGGTGTGTATAATAGCCATCTTCATGGCTTTCCCCTGGACCAAGTCTTTTTGATGAGACAAGAATACATTTTTATTGGCTGTTTCTCCCTTACAAATGAATGGGATTCCTCGGTCATTTCTCAGTCAAGCCTCAGAAATTGTAGTCACCTGACCCTGAATCAGACACAATCCACCGGGAGAACAGAGACTAGAACCTGCCTTCCCAGATTCCGTGTAATTAACTGGCTAGCTTCTGCCACCATGAAACCTTGAAAAGCTTCAGTACTGGCGATGCTTGAGCATGTTTTGCATCATGTAAATACTACCCAGGAGGTACCTCAACTGGTTCAGTCATAAAGATGGCGCTGCACTGGGTCATCTCTGTGATTTTCATCCAGGTTTTTGGCAGCAGCCATCTGTGGTTACAGAGGATTTGAAGAGGAAGCATACTGAGAAAACAGAGCTATAGTAACATCCAGGCCTGTGAGGGTAGGTAGACTCCAGTGCACATGTGTTAACAGTAGGAGGCCTGCTCTGCGTAGAATATGGACTTGGCTGTGTTTTATGCACTTTCCACTCACATGCGCCCATGCTTATGTTAGGCCAGTATGCCTTAAGGATGCAGGACTGCGTGATGAACCCTCATGATAATTCCACCTAAAAGCATTTTCTCGGCCTGGCACGGTGGCTCAGCCTGTAATCCAACCACATTGGGAGGCCGAGGTGGGCGGATCATTTGAGGCCAGGAATTCGAGACCAGCCTGGCCAACATGATGAAACCCCATCTCTACTAAAAATACAAAAATTAGCCAGGTGTCATGGCACACACCTGTAATCCCAGCTACTGGGGAGGCTGAGGCAGGAGAATCGCTTGAACCTGGGAGACAGAGGTTGCGGTGAGCTGAGATCGCGCCATTGCACTCCAACCTGGAAGCTAGAGTGAGACTCCATCTCAAAAAAAAAAAAAAAAAGAAGCATTCTCTCTCCCTCAAGCAGGTTGTGTGAGTTTAATTGAGAAAAGCAGTTGACCCAATACTGCTGAAGTCAGGTGTTACTTTCCTTGCCAATGATTAGAGTTCCAGATGAAACTCAAGACTACTAGGTTAAACAGTTGCATAGAGTGGCTTTAATGAATAAAGTAGCAGAGCGGGCCAGCTGAATTCTATGGTTTAAAGACAATCTGTGTAGGGCTGCAACTCTTGGATTCGGTCCTGAAGTAGTCAAAGAAAATTTGCAGAGAGCCAGGAAGTTAACAATGTTCTGTGATAGTTGCTGAGTTCAGAAAAAGCTTCCTAATCATCGTACTTGGATTTTCTGAGCATTTCTCTTCTCCGTGTCTTGGATTGTGCATGCGTGTGGTGTGTCTCCTAAAGAAAGTTGAAAGAGCATTTTTTTTTTTTTTTTTTTTAGATATAGGAATATGTACATTCTGATATCTAGGCTGGAGTACAGTGGCACGATCTTGGCTCACTGCAACCTCCACCTCTTGGGTTCAAGCGATTCTCCTGCGTCAGCGTCCCGAGTGGCTGGGACTACAGACGTGCACCACCATGCCTGGCTACAGTTTTTTGTATTTGTAGTAGAGATGAGGTTTCGACATGTTGGCCAGGCTGGTCTTGAACTCTTGACCTCTGGTGATCCACCCACCTTGGCCTTCCAAAGTGCTGGGATTACAGGTATGAGCCACCACACCGGCCCGGCCGAAAGAGCATCTGTTTTAATTGGTTCCCCAGAATGTCATATTCTGGAGTGCTCAAGTAATTTAGTAGCATTATTGTTAACAGTAACAACCACCTCTAGCAGATGTCATGGGATGGAGAAATAAAACAGACCAATAAATCCTGGCCAACACCTTCATATTTAGTAAAACTGAAGAAAATAAATAAGCCTGATCTGTGGCTGCCGAAGAAAAGCTAAAGAAATTCTGCAGCCTGTGAGGCAAACATACACATTTCTTCAGGCAACTGGGATGTTTTCACATATGCTACAGCAGATTTTATAAATTGGGGAGCTCTCTTGTTTTGAAGACAATTTAAAGGTGTCTTCTTGTCATTTGCCACTTAGAAATGTCCAAATCAAGAACAGATTTTGTCGTATTTTGCAACGTGTTCCATGGGATGCCAGCTCTATGAACTACTTAGTAAAAAAAAATAAAAATTTTAAAAAGGCTTTGTGGAAGAATAAGTTTGGGAAATGACATATATCATATTCTCTTTTGGTAGAGTAATAATACCCACTTAACATTTAGAGGCTCTGGAAATCCTACAGAAAAGAAACTTACTTAAAATTATTTAACCCAGAATTTTTCAGACATTTTAAATAGCTTTAGTGAGGTATGATTGACGTACAAAAAGTGCACATATTTAAATGGTACAATTTTGATAAATTTTGACATATGTGCATACCTGGGAAACCATCACTGCAATCAAGTTAATTTTTTTTATTGCTAAGCTGTATTTTGTTTATGGATATACCAAATTTCTTTATCCATTCACTTGCAGAACAGACATTTTGGCTGTTTCCAGTTTGAGGCTATTACAAATAAAGCTGCAACAAATATTTGTGTACAAGTCTTTGTGTGGACATATGATGTCATTTTTGGGGGATAAATACCAAGGAGTGAAATGGACCGTATGGTAGGTGTATGTTTTAACTTTTTAAGTAACTACCAAACTGTCTTCCGAAGTGCTTTTGGCATTTTATATTGCTACTAGCAGCATCTGAGAGTTCCATCTCCTCCATATCCTCACCAACACTTAGTATGGTCAGTCTTTATAATTTTATCTTAGGCCGGGTGCAGAGGCTCACGCCTGTAATCCCAGCACTTTGGGAGGCCGAGGTGGGCGGATCACAAGGTCAGGAGATTGAGATCATCCTGGCTTACACAGAGAAACCCTGTCTCTACTAAAAATACAAAAGATTAGCCGGGCGTGGTGGCGGGCGCCTGTAGTCCCAGCTACTCAGGAGGCTGAGGCAGGAGAATGGCATGAACCCAGAAGGCAGAGCTTGCAGTGAGCTGAGATTATGCCACTGCACTCCAGCCTGGGTGACAGAGCGAGACTCTGTCTGAAAAAGAAAAAAAAAAAGCCATGTATCTGAACTTGGGTATCTCTGTTTTAAGAGGTGAGAGGCAGTCCCCTCTCCCAATTTTTCCCTTGCATTTACTTGTCTCCTCTCTGCAATACCAAGTTCTTTTCTTTTCTTTTCCTTTTTTTGAGACAGGTCTGGAGTGCAGTTGAGAGATCTCAGCTCATTGCAACCTCTGCCTCCCAGAGCTCAAGTTATCCTCACACATCAGTCTCCCAAGTAGCTGTGACCACAGGCATGCACCATCATGCCCAACAGGTTTTTTTTTGTGGGGGAGTAGAGACAGGGTTTCACCATGTTGCCCAGGCTGGTCTCAGACTCCTAGGCTCAAGCGATCCATCTGCCTCAACCTCCCAAAGTGTTGGGATTACAGGCATGAGCCACCATGCCCAGCCCCAAGTTCTTTTCTTCTTCATAAACCCCATGAAGAGTGGGGCGTACTTTGCTGTCCTCTGTCATTCCCCACATCGTGATGGATGATGGATGACAGATCATGGAGCCCCTGCTATGTGCCAGGCAGTGTGTGAGGAGTAGGGAGCTCTTAGGATGCTCTTAAACCCATTGTGCAGTAACAGACCAACACACTGAAACAGCAGGAGTTGCAGCAGAGAAAGAGTTTAATCATCTCAGGGTAGCTGAATGAGAAGATGGGAGGAAACCTCAAATTAGCCTCCTCAAGAGGTTTGAGGATGGGGTTTTTAAGGAGTCTGGACAAATGATGGGGTAAAATGTGGGGGTCACTGATTGGTCAGAAAGTGTAGGGTGAAGTCATGGGACAGGGAGCTGAAGAAACCACATTCTTGTGCTGAGTCGGTTCCTTGGCGGGGGTCTTCAGACCAGGTGGCATTTGCCAGTTTCACTGGAATTTCTGAATTCCTGAAGCAATTCTTGGGTAAAAAGGTCTAGGGTGAGAGATTTATCTATAGAAACAATGGGAGGGCAGGTGGTCAGCATGCTACCTGTCACTCAGCAGCTGCAGGGAAGTGGGTTGAAGTACACCAGGGCACCCTGGTCATGCCTAACTATAATCCTGCCTAAAGCCTGGCTTGTCATTCTTGTTCACCCTGTGAGGGTGGTTTTAGTAACACTACGGCAAAACAGACAAAACCTCCTGTCCTCACAGAGCTTGTGTTAGCTTTGGGCAGCAGAAATGATAATGAAGTAAAAAGAGCATGTAGAAACTAGATAGCAGTGAGTGATACTGTGATATTGTGAAATATATAATTGGTTTTCCTCCGGCATTCTAGCATACAGTTCCTAAAACCCATGGAATCTCTGGAGTTGATAAGAGAATCTTTTGTATGAGTGATAAGAGTATCTTTTGTATGGAAGCGAGATGGCTGGTGGCTGGGAGCCCCTAGATAGCTTCAGGATGGAGGCTGGTGAAGAGAAAGACCAGGGCATGATTAGAAGGTTGGGACTTTCAATCTCACCTCCTGACCTCTGGGCTAATGACTTAATGATTCAGGCTTAAATCATGACGCCTCCATAAAAAACCCAAAGGGCAAGGTTTGGATGAGTTCCTGATAGCTGAACACTTGGAGGTTCCTGGAGGATAGTGTGCCTGGAAAGGGCGTGGAAGCTCCACGCCCCCTTCCTATATAACCTCCCTATGCATTGCTTCCATTTGGCTGTTCATCTGTATCCTTTAAAATACTCTTTGTAATAAATGGTGAACATAAGTGAAGTGTTTCCTTGGGTTCTGTGAGCCATCCTAGTAAATTAATTGAACCCAAGGAAGGTCTAGTGTGAACCCCAATTTATAGTGGATCAGTCAGAAGCATAGGTGACAACCTACTACTTGCAATTGACCTGAAGTATGGGCAGTCTTTTGGGACTGAGCCTTCACCTGTGGGATCTGATGCTACCTCCAGGTAGATAGTGTCTGGATTGAATTGAATTACCCCCACTCCATGTTGGTGGGGAGAAATCCCCATACAGTTTGGTGACCAGAGGTCATAGAAGTATTCTGTGTTGATTTTTATATGAGAGTAGGGAAAAATATTATGGGATTTTATTCCTATATATAGTACAGGTATGGAGAAAAATACAGCAATAAAGGGGGTGTAGGGGATGTTGATGTTTTAAGTGGGATATTGAGACTGTTCACTGAGAAGATGGCATGTGAGTAAGGTCTGAAGGATGTTGGCCAAAAGCCGTTATGATGGGAATGTCTAGAGGAAGAGAATACCAGGCCAAGAGAGAAAAACAGGAACAGAAGCCCAGAGGTTGGAACAAGCTTGGTGTGTTCACAGCAAGAAGGCCCCTGGGGCTGGGGACCTTGTTTATTTTCCTAAAATACATGAAGACAATACCCTAATGGGCTGTCTTTTTCTGGAAATCCCCAAGAGAAGTGAAACATCCAGATACCCTTTCCAAGATGGTAGCAGAAGGTGACAGTGTCGGTTGACAGAGTCAAGGTCCCTCTAGGGACGGACTGCCCTGGTTCTGGAAAGGAGAGATCCCCTTGTGCCATTAAGAAAATGTGGCACATATACACCATGGAATACTATGCAGCCATAAAAAATGATGAGTTCATGTCCTTTGTAGGGACATGGATGAAGCTGGAAACCATCATTCTCAGCAAACTATCGCAAGGACAAAAAACCAAACACCGCGTGTTCTCACTCATAGGCGGGAATTGAACAATGAGAACACATGGACCCAGGAAGGGGAACATCACGCACTGGGGCCTGTTGTGGGGTGGGGGGAGGGAGGAGGGATAGCATTAGGAGATATACTTAACGCTAAATGATGAGTTAATGCGTGCAGCACACCAACATGGCACATGTATACGTATGTAACAAACCTGCATGTTGTGCACATGTACCCTAAAACTTAAAGTATAATAATAATAATAATAATAAATAAAAATAAAAAAATAAAAATGAAGATGAAGGCCAGTGCCATCACGTGCTCTGGACCTGAGGCGCCAGAGTAAAGCACGCTGTCCCCGGTCTCTCCAAGTCTGTCGTGAGACCATGGACCATGTTCAGCCAGCTCCTAATAGGGACATCAGAATCAGGCAGCTAGAGAAAGCCCTTTCACTGGGAAAATTGCCTGCAATTTCTCTGTCTCTCCTAGCTTCAGATTTTTCTTCCACCTTGATTACCTCTCATGAGCAAATGGGGGGAAAAGTAATTGGTAGGTTTCAATCAAGCATCGTGAACTGATTGCGAAAGAAAGGTTGAGGCCATTTTCCCCGCTTTTTGCCCATTTTAACGTGGCACTGGCCAGAATGAAAAAATTGTGTTTGAGGTTCTAATTGCCCACCCTTCAAAGGAGTCAGGAAAATGGGCTGTAATATAAAGCCGCCAATAATTTTGCCTTGTGAATTACTATTCAGAGACCCAGTGTCATGAATGTTCTTGAAGCAAAGAGAGGTGAGAGAGAAAGGCAGTTAGATTGGAAAGACAGGAACATTTGATCACAAAGCCTTTTCTGGCATTTTCCCTCCAAAGCACACACCTAACACACACCATCATTTTTTATAACTTGAGGCTTACAATGATCTAAAGAAAAGGGAGTGTATGTGTGTGTGTTGGTGCCCTTCTTTATAGAGATGATGATTCTTTTGGCTCTTTTGATAAGATGATGCTTAATTAGATTTTATCTAACCCAGGTGGGACACTAACCTACATTATGCATTTTTTCTTAGCCTACCTTGTAGCCAAGGACCTGCATTTGCTGGGTGCCTGGCTAGGGCCTGGGAGCTTATTTTGTGGTTGTGGGCACAGGGAAATTGGAGTGGTTTCTGTAGGCTCTAAGTGTTACTGAAACCAGGGGTTTGGTCTAGGTCTTGTTGCTTGCTGCACAGAAAGCCAATCACTGAAACAGTGGGTACTGCCAGGAAAGGCCTTAATCAGGTGTTGCAGCTGAGGAGATAGGAGGTCAGTCTCAAATCCTTCTCTTCAACTGACTAAAATTAGGGGGTTTATATAGCAGGGAAGAAATGGAACCATGTGTGGGGAAACAGGAATTAGGGAGGAGTAGAGGAGTTGGTCAATAGGAAGCACATGATCAGTTAGGTGATCATGACAGGTGAGGGGTTTCATTGTCCAGATGCAGTGATTGGTAAGTTTCAGCTCCATGATACTATCTAGGCACTAGGTGGTTGGTTTTCTGAGAAAGGAACTCAGATAAGACGAATGTAACTTTCTCAAGTTTTAAGGCTGGGAGGGTCCATTTCTGTGTTTATTCAAAAGAAACCATAAATATCAGTTTCATGCAACAATTAGGCCTGTTTCATAAGTTCCTGTGATTGTGATCTTGCTAGCACTATGTTCTAACAAGCAGAGACAAACTTTTGGAACTTAACAACATGCTTCCTTGGCTTCTTTGTACTTGACTTTGGCTTTGGGGCCAGGGGATATGAAGCATTTGACCATTGCCCATTTCTCCCCTAAGTATTCTACAATAGCTCTTTATTTTTTATTTGACCACCATAATCCAATTTCTGTTTCCACCCATTGATCTTGATGGAGGCTTTTGGGCATGGCAGAGCATGGTTATGTCCCAAAATCACAAGAAGGAAACATTCCAGGTTTAACTTTGACACTCCCATGACTGGTCCCACAGAGCAGGGCTACCCTATAAGGCAGTGTGACAAGAGTAGCAGCTCAGGGCAGTTTTGCAGTTATATTTATAACCTACTTTTAATTACATTTAGATTAAGGGGCATTATATACAGAAAATCCTAGGAAAAGGGTGGCAGCTTTTGGGTCATTGGGTCATTGCCATGGAAAGGGGTGGTAGCTCCAGGATGTTGCCATGGCAGTGTTAAGCTGATATGGCACACTGGGTGGACATGTCTAATAGAAAGCTGCTTCCACCCTGCCCCTGTTTTAGCTAGTCCTCAGTTTGGTCCCGTGACTGAGCCTCGCCTTTGGAATCAAGTCCCACCTCCTTCCTCAGAAGGAGGGTCTGACACAGTAAGCATTGAAAGTGCTCTAAGGGAAAAGAAAGAAATAGATTAGAAAAGAAACAATGACTCCGAATTAGATCATCGTTAATAAGTAAATGCATGCGAACTGGGAAATCAACCAGAGCCACATGAATGTAGGATGACAGACACACGCATAAACATGCACAGCCATGGGTGCCTTTGTGGGAGATGAGGAAGGGAAGGGTGGACAGATTGTTGGAGCATTTGGCATCAGTGGGTTTGAATAGCTTTTCCATAAAACTCTGTCTCACTTTGCAAATTAGCTGGACAACCTCAGGGGGTTCCAGAATCCCGCTGGCTTCCTGGGAAGTCCTCAGGTAGGTAACAGCTGTGTTCAGAAAGGTGGCTGTCACCCTGGCCATTATGAAAGCTTCATCTTTCTCCATTGGCAGTTCTTGGGGACATGAAAAATGCTCCACTCTGCCTCGGTATAATTAAACTTTGGGCTGAAGTTTTACCCTTAGCCTTGCTGGCAAATTCAATAATGATGAATTAATTGGAATATTTACAGTGTTAATGTGAACAAGATTTAAAATAATATACACAGCTCACTTCCTTACATTTCTTGTGACTTCCTCCCCTTTGAAAATGTTATTTCTGCATCTAATTGCACCAGTTTTTTCTTCCCAAAATAACCCTGTCTCCTCTTTTTCTCTCTTTGCTGTGATTTACTCCCTGTGTTTCTCTCGTGCTGTGTTTGAGATATATTTGCCCATCTGAGTGTTTTTGGTTCTGGTCTCTCCCTCCTTTCCCCCAGTTTATTCAACCTGCAGCCACTGTAATATTCTTTAGCTTCATTTGGGGTACAAAATGTATTCCACTCAGTTTTCAGTGGGAAAGAACGAGGAATGACTGGGTCCCAAACTCTACAATCTTTGTCTTATTTCCTTTGTCCACAGTTGGGTTGGAGGCCCTGGCTGTGCTTTCTTCTTAGAGCGGGACAGGGGAATGGGCTTTTGCTGGCTATGGCCAATACAGACAAAACCCAACATTGCTACCACTTCCTCCTCTCCATCAAGGATACTTCTGCTCATTTTTCAGGGCTCGCTCTTTCCTCTCAGGGTGTTCCCTGATGATTTCTTTGGAAGCAAGGTTTTGAAGGTGACAGGAGACAGGAACCTGCATTTTCTTTCTGGACCGATAACTTCAGGCTCCTATACCAGGCTGTTCACCTGCAAAATGGGAGAAGATTATAGGACCTTGAATTACCAGCAGCGGGGTTTTCCCCTCCCTCCTGGTGTCAGCTTTGCTCAGCATCCCTGCGACAGCCTTGCAGATGGACGCCTCAGCTTCTTGTCCACAGAGCATCCATCCTAGCTGAGGATGGAGCTTTCCCACAAAATCATGAGAGGGAACTGCATGTCCGGGGTGGGAGAGAAGGAACAGAGACAGTTCTACATCGGGCAGGAAACCCAGAGTGGACTCTGGATTTTCTCTTTGCTTTGGAGCAAAAATCATTTATGCTCACCAGTCCCAGGTGATTACTTTCCCTTGGCAAACATTTAAGTGATCATTTCTTACCTTGTCTCCTATTATACTGTCAACCATTAAGACTTTATTGCAACTGTGGTTTTGTCTTCATCAAGGAAGGGTGCCTGTGGTTGGAAGGGAGTATATTAGTCGGTTCTCACGCTGATATTAAAGACATACCCAAGACTGGGTAGTTTATAAAGGAAAGAGGTTTAATGGCCTCACAGTTCAGCGTGCCTGGGGAGGCCTCAGGAAGCTTACAGTCATGGTGGAAGGCACCTCTTCACAGGCAGCACAAGAAAGAGTGAGAGCTGAGCAAGTGGGGGGAGCCCCTTATAAAACCATCAGATCTTGTGAGAAGGAATCACGAGAATAGCATGGGGGAAACTGCCCCCATGATTCAGTTATCTCCACCTGGTCCCACCCTTGACACATGGGGATTATTACAATTCAAAGTGAGATTTGTTGTGGGGGTGGGGACACAGAGCCAAACCGTTTCTGGGAGCGAAACCCAGTTCAGACCAGCTAAAGGAGGAAGGCAGAATATATTCCAAGGAAACAATCCAAGGGCAGTGTGCTAAGTTGAGTCTCATGGGGTGCTAGAGTCAGGGGGTGGGAAATTGAGGGCACGTGTTCACATATTCTCCTTTGCCTCCCACCAGGGTCTCTTTTTTCTGTTTTCCATCAGCTCTCTTCATTCTGCAAACCTGCTTTCTTAGTGCAGTTGACTGATGCCCAGAAAAGCCAAACACTTAATGGCAAGAGTTGCAGAAGAGAAAGAGTTTGATAATTATAGGGCCAGCCAAGTTGGAAGGATGGGAGATGTATCTCAAGTCCTCCTCCTCACATATTTGGAGGCTAGAGTTTTTCAAGGGTAGTTTAGCAGGCAGAGGGCTAGGAAATGGATAAGGTGATTAGTTGGCTCAGGGATGAAATCACAGAGGGTTGAAGCTATCTTCTTGTGCAGAATCAATTTCTGGGTAGAGGTCACAGGACCCAGCTGAGTCAGTTTCTTGGTATAGGTTTCCCATCCAGGTGGTGCCAGCCGGTCCATCAGAACGTGAGGTCTGAAAAACACCTCAAATACCAGTCTTAGGTTTTATAATAGCGATGTTAAGAATAGGAGCAACTGGGGAGGTTATAGATCTTGTAACCTCCAGCTATATGAGTCCTGAACCATAATTCTTTTTTTTTTTCTTTTTTTTTTTTTTTGAGATGGAGTCTTGCCCCTGTCGCCCAGGCTAGAGTGCAGTGGCGCGATCTCGGCTCACTGCAAGCTCCGCCTCCCGGGTTCACGCCATTCTCCTGACTCAGCCTCCGAGTAGCTGGGACTACAGGTGCCCGCCACCACGCCCGGCTAATTTTTTGTATTTTAGTAGAGACAGGGTTTCGCCATGTTAGCCAGGGTGGTCTCGATCTCCTGACCTTGTGATCCACCTGCCTCAGCCTCCCAAAGTGCTGGGATTACAGGCATGAGCCACTGCACCCGCCCCTGAACCATAATTCTAACCTGGTGGCCAATTGGTTAGTTTTACAAAGACAGTTTCAGTCCCCACAACGGAGGGGGTGGTTAGTTTTGGCAAGGGACTGTTATCATCTTTGTTTTAAAGTTACACTAGAAACTAACTTCCTCCTGTAGCTAGCTTGGCCTATGTCCAGGGATGACAGCTTATGAGGTTAGAAGCAAGATGGATCAGCTATGTAAGATTTCTATCACTGTCATAATTTTCGCAAAGGCAGTTTCATCAGCTTTTCGGTGCCATAGCCAGTTAGGAGCTACGCCACTGCCCCCACGTTGTTACATCCTTATTTCGAGAGACCAGTTGAGTCTGAGAATCTGGCAGAGTTGGGTGGGTTGTACCCGTCTGTCGAATCTGAGAATCTGGCAGAGTTGGGTGGTTTGTACCCATCTGGCCCTGATGACCTTCCAACGCCCCTGGGGATCAGAGTGGAGCTCAGCTGTATCCTAGGGTTTCCCATGTGTGAGGATGTGGATGCGCTGTGGGTGGCAAGCTAGGGACACACCCCAGAGGGTCTGTAAATCCAGGGATGTGGGTCTTGGCTTCCAACTCCCTCCACTCCTGGGACTTTGCTGGGTTGGAATCACCTGCCCTCCCCAGGCACTGGGACAGGAGCAGACACCATCATAGACATTACTCTCTTTACCTCTTGTATAGGAAAAATCATTGCCTTTATACTATCACTCAACACAGAACGTTTCTGTGACCAAATGTGTGCAGTGTTCCTACACCAAGCAATTCTCCAGTTTTGTAAGGACACCAGCTGAGTGTCCTACAATTGAATTCAATTCTGCCACTGTGTACCTGGAGACAGCAACAGGTCCCACAGATGAAGGGCTACATCCCACAAGATTGCCCCCACTTCAAACAACAATTACAGATCCAGGCTCTCACCCATCCAACTGGAGGGTAAATCAGAGGTCCCCACAACCCCCTCCTCAAGTTTGATCATTTGCTAGTATGGTTTATAGGACTCAGGAAAACAATTTACTTACAGGTAATCAATTTATTATAAAAGGACCCAACTCAGGAACAGCCAGGTAGAAGAGACACACAGGACAAGGCCTGGGGGATGGGGCACATGTCACCCTTCCAGCACCCCACATGTCCAGCCACCAGGAAACTCTCTGAACCCCGTCCTTCTGGGGTTTTATGGATGGGTCATTATGCAGGCATGATGGATTAAATCATTGGCCAATGGTGATCAACTCAACCTGTAGGCCCTCTCCTCCTCCCCAGAGGCCAGGTTTGGGTGTGGGGCCCAAATTCAACTCTCTAATCTCATGATTGTTTCCCCTGGCAAACAGCGCCCCCCATCCTTAAGGGCTTTCCAAAAGGCACCGCACACATGTAAACTTAGGTGTGATTGAAAGGGGCTTGTTATAGGCCGGGTGCAGTGGCTCATGCCTATAATCCTAGCACTTTGGGAGGCTGAGGTGGGTGGATTGCCTGAGCTCAGGAGTTCAAGACAAGCCTGGGCATATAGTAAAACCCTGTCTCTACTAAGATACAAAAAAATTAGCCGGGCATTGTGGCACATGCCTGAAGTCCCAGCTACTCGGGAGGCTGAGGCAGGAGAATCACTTGAACTTGGGAGGCGGAAGACGCAGTGAGCCTGGATTGCACCACTGCACTCCAGCTGGGGCAACAGAGAGACTCTGTCTCAGAAAAACCAAAAAAAAAAAAAAAACAAAAACAAAACAAACAAACAAAAAAAACCAAAAACCAGAAAAGGGCTTGTTATGAATAACAAAAGACTCTCCTTTATTCCTTTATTGTTCCTATCACTTAGGAAATGTACAAGGATTTTAAGAGCTCTGTGTCAGGAATCAAGATGAAGACCAAAATATGTAATTCTTATTCTATCACAGTATCATACCTCTCCACCTGCAGATCTCTGACTGATGGCCCTTAACATTGCGGCAGCCAGGGAAGAGGGGATTGCCAAAGATAATTAGATGAAGGATAACATAGGCTCATTAGCAGGCAAACCTTTTCCAGTTAAAAGATAAGTAAGACTGCAAAAGGATGCTTGAGGCAAATCCGTAGCAACATTATCTTGGAGCTACTTACCAATTGGCCACAAATCTGCAGGAGAGCGTGGCCTGTAGAGGAATGGGGAGAGGGGTCTCTGCATCTGGAGAGCATCTGGGGCTGTATGAGACCAACACCAGGTCTTGGCTGCTTGCTTTGCTTTGGCAATGACCTAAGATTGAAAATGGATGAGTGGCAATTTGGGAGTCTAGCGAAGATGCTTTGCAAATGAACACATTGCCGCAGGGCACCCGTTTTCAGCAGTGAAGCCAGGAATAATTTTCTATCTCATGCTACCTAACTCCTGGAAGTTATCATGAGACCCTTGCAGGTGGATAAACACAGTCTGGAGAGGAATATTTCTCCATTTGTATTGGGACAGCATACCTAAATCTGGGATGTTCAGAGATAATCTGGGCCTCTGCTTGTTAGGGAGAGGAAGAGGACATTCCCAAGACCTTAGCATGGATTGGCATAGAAACCAGAGAGTTCCACATGCATACACCTGTCTCAGATCAGGGTTTCTCAGTGTGGTCTGCTGACCTCGCACATTAGACTCACCTTAAGCACTGATTAAAAATGGGATTCCTTCCCTGCCTTGAGCCTAGTTAAATGAATGAGGTAGTTTTTAAAAATGCAGATGTAGAAAAATCTACAGGTTATGCTAAACAAAAAAAAAAGAAGAAGAAGAAAAAAAAAGCAAGCTGCAAAACTGGATACGATCTAATTCCTTTGGGGTAGAAATGTTGAGAAGGACATATGCCCTGGTATTATAATATTTTTTTTCTAGAAGAATACATTAAAATCTGTGACCAGTTATTTGTGGGAAGAAATACTTGGGGGTAGGGGAGAGACAGTTCTGGTTTTTATTTCAGCTTTTTCTGTTCTATTTGCATTTTAAACACGAACATGTGTTACTTTCGTGCTTTCAAATGTCAGCAGGGATTATCCGGGCATGGGGATTACATGCCAGTTTCTTTTCTCTATGTGCTTTTTGTATTATGAAAATCAATTTTTAAAAATTCACTGGGCGTGGTGGCTCATGTCTGTAATCCCAGCACTTTGGGAGGCCGAGGAGGCCGAGGTGGGTGGATCACCTGAGGTCAGGAGTTTGAAACCAGCCTGGCCAACATGGTCTCTACTAAAAATACAAAAATTAGCTGGGCATGGTGGCGGGTGCCTGTAGTCCCAGCTACTTGGGAGGCTGAGACAGGAGAATTGCTTGAACCCGGGAGGCAGAGGTTGCAGTGAGCCAAGACCACACCATGGCACTCCAGCCTAGGCAACAAGAGCGAAACTCCATCTCAAAAATAAATAAAAATCCATCAATCAATAAAAATGCATTTCCCACTTATTCGTAGTACCAGATTCTCTGGGGAAGGAGACCATGCTTCCGTATTTAACATGCACAAGGTTTGAGAAGCTGACTCTGTCCCAGATGCTTCCAGATGGACACCTTGTCAAAAGCTGGGGCCTCCTCAGTCAGCAGATGTTCTCTGGGCTTCTTGTTACTTTCACTGGTGCCACTTGGGAAGGACAACATGGGGGGCTCGTTTATTTGGGGATGTCCATTTCAAAGGCTCATGCCTGAGCCTTATTCCCAGAAGAACCTCTGACTTCCTTTCAGAGATCAGCTGGAGAAAGCTCTCTCTTTTAAAGATCTCATGGGATTAGGTCAGGCCTACCTGGCTAACCTCCCTGTCTTAAAGTCAGCTGAGCTGAGTTTCGCAGCAGTGAAATTCATCCTATCCATGGGGATTATGCAAAGTGTGTACTCTAGGCAGGGAGAGAGGCAAATGTTGGGTGCCATCTTTAGAGTTCTGTCTATCCGTGGAACTCTAAAGCGAACATTTCTACATTTTTACCATTCATATAATACTTACTGAAGATTTTTTTTTTGTTTTTGAGACAGGGTTTCATTCTGTCACCCAGGTTGGAGTGCAGTGGTGGGATCATGGCTCACTGCAGCCTTGCCTTCTGGGCTCAAACTATCCTCCCACCTCAGCCTCCCAAGTAGCTGGGCCTGTGGCATGTGCCACCCCACCTGGCTAATTTTTTCTTTCTTTTTTTTTTTTTTTTTTTTTTTTTTTTTTTGTAGAGACAGGGGCTCACTATATTGCCGAGGCTGGTCTTGAACTACTGGTCTCAAGCCATCCTCCTGACTTAGCCTCTCAAAGTACCAGGATTATAGGTGTGAGCCTCTGTGCCCAGCCTTACTGAAGATTTTCCGTAGACACATTTTTGATAGATGCTATTATCCTTTTTATTTCTAGCAGTTGGCATCTATGTTCTTAAGTTAGCATGGCCTAAAACTTATTTCTTATGTTACATTCCTCTGGTTTGAATATTGTTGCTTTTATTATTTTTTCCCTCTGAATATTAAGGTTAAAGTTATACCAACCTCATCCAGATCATGCAGAGTTGGGGAGTTTTACTTATTTTTCTTTCTCTCCTCATTTTTCTATTTATTCTCTGGAATAGTTAGCATGGGATGGGGATTATTTGTTCCTCTATAACAAGACGGTCTTTACCAATGTTAAAAGTTAAATTTAGGCACATAAAAACTTTCAAGAGTTTATTTGAGCAGCGAACGATTCATGAATTGGCCAGTATTAAACCACAAGTGATCAGGGCTTTGCCCAGGGTGTGTGAGTAGGAAAACTTCTATAAGGTGTTCCAGGAAGCAAGACTAAGAAAATATCTGATTGGTTAAAGTGGAAAATCCCTAGTTAGAGGTTAGTTGGCAGTTTCTGATTGGCTAAGCTTCAATTTTGTTTTACCATTTACAGTGAGTTGGGTTTTGGTTTGCTTATGTAGGATCCCAAGGCACTAGGGTCATCTCAGCCTAATAGTGTTTCAATTAATTTTTTTAACACTATTAATACCATCTGGGTCTAGTGTGTTTGTGCATAGGTGTGTGTGCGTGTGTGTGTGTGTGTGTGTGTGTGTGTGCGCGCGCACTTCATTCAACACACCAGGGGCTGTCTTGAGGAACAGCCCTTTCTTGTGTGTGGGTATGGCCTGGCTCAAGATTTATACTCCTTCCTCGTATTTTATTTACCATGCATTTTCTTTTTCCTTTTTTAGTACTTCAGTGGATTGATTGATTTTTATTTTCCTCTTTTTATCCCCCTTACGCTTTATTAATTTGGAAGTTTTCAATTCAGTATCTTGTCTGTGTCTCCCTTTCCTTTATTTGTTTGTTTGTTTATTGAGATGGAGGCTCACGCAGTCGCCCAGGCTGGAGTACAGTGGCGCGATCTCAGCTCACCGCAACCTCCGCCTCCTGGGTTCAAGCAATTCTCCTGCCTCAGCCTCCCGAGTAGCTGGGATTACAGGTGCATGCCACCATGCTCGGCTGATTTTTGTATTTTTATTAGAGACGGGGTTTCACCATGTTGTCCAGGCTGGCCTCGAACTCCTGACCCCAAGTGAGCTGCCTGCCTTGGCCTCCTAAAGTGCTGGGATTACAGGTGTGAGCCACCACTCCTGGCTTCCTTTTACTTTCTTTAAACTTGCCTAGTTGACCTAATAACGGTGTTTAAAATTAATCTGCATCTCTCCCCTCCTCCCTACCAATCAGAGGACCTTAGAATGCTTTAATGTTACTACTTTTCCAGTATTTTAGTATCTCCCTTTGTTTGATACCTCCCAAATGAGTTGCTAGTATTGTTATTGTTTTTGTTCGTTTGTATTTTACAATCAATGGTTGCTTCCATTTTCCAACATTTTTGCTAATATCTTTGCTCACCATTGCTTCTTGTGTGAAATTGATTGCCTTTGATTTCTCTTATAATATCTCTTCACTTAGAATCTATGGGGGATTTTAGGATCTGTGAGGGGCTTTAGTTAGTTAGCTAAATAAAGTATTTAGCTCTGACTTTTGAAAGAAAAATCAAATTGCATTTAAATGTGTAGGTTAATAGAAATGTCCATTTCCTTTGGCACTTATTATTCTAATTAGTTGGCATTCATCCATCTGAAGATTTGTGCTTTGCATTGCATTCTCTGTAAGCATTATAAAAATGCACACAGCAGCAGCTTCATTTCAAGTTTTTGTCTTTCTCTCTGGTTGTGTATACATTTTTTTTCATTTGTCTTTAGTGGTTTTCAGTTTCAGTATGATGTGATTGTGTGTGTGTTTGTATGTGTGTCTATGTATTATTTATCTTAAGATTTGGTATACTACTTTAAAGTGAACACTTGTCTCGTGGAAAACAATTTTTTCAAAGACCTGGGGGTTGTGGGGGATGGTTCTGGGATGATTCACACACATTACATTTATTGTGTACTTTATTTCTATTATTGCATTGTAATAGATAATGAAATAATTATACAACTCACCTAACCTAGAATCAGTGGGAGCCCCGAGCTTGTTTTCCTGCAACTAAATGGTCCCATCTGGGGGTAATGGGAGGCAGTGACAGATCATCAGGCATTAGATTCTCATAAGGAGCATGCAACCTAGATCCCTCACATATGCAGTTCACAATATGGTTCGTGGTCCTGTGGGAATCTGATGCCACTGGTGATCTGACGGGAGGTGGAGCTTAGGTGGTAACGTGAACGATGGGGAGCGGCTGTCAATACAGATGAAGCTTCAACTGCTTGCCTGCCGCTCACCCCCTGCTGTGCAGCCTGGTTCCTAACAGGCCATGGACGGATACTGGTTCATGACCCAGGTATTGGGGACCCCTGCTTTAAACTGTTCTTGATATTGTCCATCTCTTCCTCTCTCTGATTTAGATTTATCCTCCAGCTCATTGGTTAGTCATTGAGCCAATATCCGACTATCTAATTTGTCTGTTGAGTTTTCAATAGAAATGACTGTGGATTTTATTTTGTAGTTGTTCGAGTGGGTTCGTCTGTTTTTTCTTGGTTGTATGTGGTTATTTTGGTTTTAATTTCTTCTTTTAGGTCTTGAATAAGGTTAGGCTGTTTTATATTGTTTTAAAAAAGAGCTATTACACAAAGGTTCTGCTTCTCTCTGTCGGTGGTGCCTGCTGACTCTCATGCATGGAGTGCTGATTTCTCTTAGACCTTTCAGCTTTTTAACGTCAGTCCTTCTCTGGTGGCTGCATTTTTCCTTGAGGGTCTTCAGCGTCCTGGATCATGGGAGCGTATTTTTTTTTAGAGTAGGTTTGCATTTGTTTCTGTAACATCCTTTGAGAGCCTCGTTACCCTGGAACCAGCTTTTATGTTGATGTTTATGGTGGGGTTTTTCTAGCCAATGTAGAAAGTAGAAACTCATACCCTGACCTTTGCAAGGTGTAGGCCCAAAGTTGTTTTTTTTTTTTTTTTCGAGCAGTTTTTTTCTTCAGAGACCACATAGAAACATATGAGCATCCTTTTTGTCTCTCTCTGTTGGTGCATAATTTTTTCCCCCTATTTCACCTGTCTGCATAGGGGCAGAATTCCATGAATCTTGCATTTGTAAAATTTCAGCCCCTGGTGTGTGTGTTCCAGGGCCTCCCCTTTACCTCCATGTGGACAGTAACACCCAGGCCCCTGTTCCTGGGACCCATATTCACCCCAAGGCAACCTCTGAACTGGTTTTGGTGTTTAAGGCTCCGGTTTCTAGTTTCTCATCATTAATGATTTCCTTCCTTTGTTGCAAACTTGTACCTGCATTTAAAACATTTTTTTGTTGTTGCTGTTCATCTCACCCATCATTTCTAGGTGTTTGTAGAGGGAGATTTTGGTTTATCTTTATCCTTCATCTTGCTGGAATCAGATAGATGGCTAGTCAAAATTTAAATTTGCAAAACAGCCATGCTTTCATCTTTACTCCCTAGCTGGGTCCTTCGTGTTCTGGGCTCGGCCAGGGAACAGCCTTTCTTCTGCATCATGTCCTGGAGCTTCTTGTATCTTTTTCAAGACTTATAACTTGACATTTCCACAAATTCCACAATAAGATGAAAATACAAACAAATGTTCACAATCACCCAGACTGACAGGGAGCAGCGGGTTAGGACTTCTGTTGGGCTCTTAGGCAGGGAGGGAATTTTTTAGTGGGAGGACTAATTTTATAAGTGGTGAGTTCATCAGTGAATATTTTTGGATTACGAGCATGTTTATTTTCCTGTTCCACCTTGCAGAATGGAGAAATAGTGGCTAGGATCGACCCCAAGACACGTTTTCCATGTGTATCTATGGTGTTCAGAATCGTTATGTTAGGGGACTCACGACTGCAGTAACAGGGGACCCCGGTTAACCCTTTCACAGCCCATGGCTTATTTGGTGAGGCCATTAGATGTCCACCTTTAGCTGGGCTCAGCCTGTCCTATGAAGGACAGATCTGCAGGTAAAGCCCAAATCGGTTGGTCTGCATTTCTCACAGGGTGGATCTGGCTCTAGACAAGATCAGAATTCCCCGGGTTGCTAGGAAAAAAAAAAAAAAAAAGCCGATGCTTATATTCTGTCTCTGATTTGCCTAAACCAACTATCTGGTGGATGAGGCCAGGAAATCTGCATTTTATGCATTTTGTCCATATATGCATAGGCAAGGAATATGCATTTTAAATCTCCAGGTAATTCGTAGTCATAGTGTGAGAAAAGGTGGCCCCGGTGAGGTGGTGATGGCAAAGCCAATGCAGTCTTAAGAATCCTTTGGGCAAACAATTTCTTTTGAGATGGATTGGCAGTGAACAGAGAGAACCTAGGCGTCTTGGGTTGCTTTTTGCTTGAGTATGGTGAGAGGAGAGGGTTCAGTCTCAGTGGTTTATACAGTGACTCAACTTTAGAGATGTTTTATGGGTTTTCCCCTGTTTTTCTGTTTTGGTGGCAGAGAGGGATGGTTAAAGTCATTTGGTGACGTGAATGGAAAGGGGAAAAAGGAGGCAGGAGAAAATCTAATTGAGCATTAACTTCCTTGAGCTTCGTATTAAGACATTGCCTGGATTTCAATTAAGTAAAGCACCTTCTTTCCCATCCCTGGTTGCTCGTGCGTTGCCATGGCAGCAGGCACGCTGCAATCTGTAGCCCACCCCTACCACCTGCCTCTGGCATGGGCGATTCTACAAGGCTTACTGAGCCAGGACCTGACTGTCTGCAGACTCTGGTCTGCAGTGGCAAAATAAGGGACAGATGTCAGTGAGGAGGTCAGAACTTGCCACTTGAGGTGGTTTATGGGGTAGACTCTAATATTAAACTTCAAGAAAACGTGACAGGCGGCTGTGTCTGGGTGGGATATTGGGTTCCTGCTCACATACTTTGGACTGGATTTGGGAGCCTTATGAGTAGAACCATCACAGGTTATTCCACACTCACTCTCCCAGTGTCTAGGGTCTGAGTCCCTCCTTGGGTTTCCCTTGGGTCCTCCGAGAACAGAGTTTGTCAGAGTGAGTTGCATATGCTGACACTTGCTCTTGTGTTGCTCCTGGCTTGGTAAATGGGGGAGATTATGGAATCTGTCATCCTAAAAGAGATTCCAAGAAGAGGAACATGTTCTTGGCAAAAGGTAATTTGCTTCGTTTGGGGCAAGGTGTGTAAAATGAGAGTATAATGCCCAAGTGAAGATCCCCACTAAACAGTTAGCAAGAGGTCCGGGCTCTTGGGAGCCCAGCTTAGGAGTTTATTTTTAATGGGTTTCCTTTGTGTTTTCCCCTAGATCTATCTTCCTCCTCTGAATTAAGTTACCTGGAGTAGCAGTCAGACCTGCAGACTCCCAAGCCCTGCCTGGGTCTACTGTGGAGTCCAAGAATCTGCACTTTGCTCAAGCTCCCCAAGTGCTTTTGTGGGGTTTTCTTGTCGTTTGTTTTGTGTTTTGTTTTTGCATGCTCAAGCTCAAGAACCACTGTAAAATATCGTTAACTTGGGCTGGGCTCAGTTCCAGTCTTCTACCATACAGCTACTCACAGTCTGCTCCCGCATGCACATGTGGCCTCAGCTTCCCACCTTTCTTTGTGTAATAGGAGCCACAGGGTTGAATTGAGGATAATTGCCTCTTCATCTTCCAGCCCTGTGGTCCTTTTTTTTTAACCTTAGTGGGCAGTACTCATCTGAACACTAGGACAATCTGTATTTCTCAAACCTTCATTTTTCAGCAAGACATGTCTGCCCGTAGCTGAAATGGAAAGAAAACAAAGCTCTCAGCAGCCACCTTGCTCCTTCTCAAAACCTTTGCTGAATGGCATTTGTTTTCCATTAGGAACTAAGCCATTCTTTGTGTGTCCCTGTGGTCCTTGTCTAAGTAGGAACAGGATGGGAAAGGATGCTCCCAGCCTGGCAAACGTTTCTGCTCTGCTCCATTAATTCTTAGGGTTCACCAAGCAGGGTCCATTCTTGAACATCAGGGCAGCCTCCTTTGTCCTCATATTGATTTCACTAAGTCCCATGCTGTTTGATTTCTGATTTATTTTTTTCCTCCTGTCTCAGAACCAACGTTTTTCTTGGCTCTGTTAGCTCCACGCAACCTCAGGTCAGCCTTTGTCTGTCAGCCTCCCTTCTGACCCAACACTTCCATCTCAGAAAGCAGAGGCTTCAAGAATTTAGCCTCCCTGCACTGGGAGTCTGTGTGGAACCTTAAGTCTCTTGGGCATCTTGGCATAGCACTAATTGGATTCATTAAAAGAAGACAGCCATCTTTTGAAAAGGCAATGGCCCCTGACTCAATAAAAAAATGGCAGAGAAAGAGATGTATTTCCCTTGCTAGGAGCTGCATTTGAATGGGTTGATTCATGGTTTTGGTTTTTGTTTTTTTCAGGAACCAGTTTTCCTCCTGACCATTTCCTTTATTATCATTCATTTCATATGGACAAATCCATGGACCACAGAGTGGTGCTTGTTCTTCCTGGCAATTAGCTGTCTCATGCTATTTCATTAAGTTTCAATGTCTCAAGTGAATTTCTAAAAGTCATATATATATACAATTTTTGAACAAAAATCAGCCTGAAAATAGAAATATAATGGCTTAATGAAATAGCATTGGATATATATATATATATATATATATATATATATATATATATATAATCTCCAATGTGTGTATATATATATCCTATATATATCCAATATATATATTTTATATATATATATATATATATATATATATATAATGTGTTGTATATAGATGGTGCATGTATTTACCCATGTATCTGTGTGTATATATCTTATCCATCTGTCTGTCTGTCAATCTGTCTATCAAGCATAGTCTGCTCTGGATAACCAGCCAGCCAGCATGCTTTAAGGATGCTAGCGACCTACTTTATTCCCATCTTCCTGGCTGCAACATTTTTTAGGAAGTGCAAACTTGTGTCAGTGTTAGCCTAAGTAAACGACATGAGAGGAGTGCATCCACTATTTAAAAATAAAAAACACAAAGTGACTTCATATTCCAAAGCAGTGTAGACTATCTTGAAGGGCAGCAGTCCCCTCCTTTTATTGATGGAAAATCTCTATTATCTTTAGCAGTGGGTGATCCTTTCTGAAGGTTGAAAATGTCAGCGTGAACATGGAATTTTAAAAAGTGTTGCTATTATAGCCAAGGCATGCTTTCACTCTGCTGACATGGAGAATTGGCATTTGATGGTATTTGAAAATTCTGCACCAAATCTTATCATAATCTAATTTTTTTCTCCTCCACCATGGGCCTCTTGCCCTTTTGGATTTAAGTTAAAATGGATTAGGTGTACTAGATGACATTACTCTTTCTTTTATATTTTTATAAGTGCAATACTAGTTCGTGGCAGAAACTAGAGAATGTGGTTTGTGTTGTACGTGTTATGTGCTAGATGGGTCCTATACCTACTCTCATCCACTCTCCACAACAATCCTGTAGAGTGGGTAATACTATTACCCTCGTTTGGCAAGTGCATAAACTGAGGCGCAGAGGGTATCAATGAGCATCCCCAAAGATGCATAACCAGGAAATGGTCGCCCTGATGCATGAACATGTATGGGCAGAAAAACAGCTGCTTTACAGTGAGTGAATGCAGTTGGCCCAGGTTCTCAGTCCCCCAGAATCATTGTTCCTGCTTTCTTTGCAATGACACCGATAGTCCTCCTTGTCAATACCTCAGAGAAAAAGGAAAAGAGAGAATCCTGAAGAAGTAAGAAAAGAGGAACGTGCACCAAGCCTGGTACGGGTTTTTCGCTTGTCTCCCTGAGCTGTGCCTGCTGGGAGGACTGGTTGCCTTTGTCCAGCATGCCAGCAACTTAGGTTGTCCCCACCTGTGCCCCCACCTGCCTGCACCTACCATCCTTTGATTTGATTGACAATCCCCAGGAGAGGAACTGGAGGAAATGACAGACTCATAAACTGTGCCCAACTTTTAATCTGCATGTGGGCACATACATGTGTATATTCTGTCTCGCACACATACACACACAGAATGAACATTCAGAAGAGATGAGTAAGGGGAAACTTCTGGGACTCACAGCAATTGTGGCTTTCTACCCTGGTACTCCTGGTGAGGGAAATGGTGGATCCCATGTCTGAATCACTTTTGCTGATCCTGTGAATGGGAAGATGGTGGCGAGACTAGCAAACTAGCAGGAAGCAAACATGATCTGCCAAGGGCACCCATCGTTGTGCAGGACTACTCTGTCATAGTGCTGCCTGTGGGTTTTTCTTTCCATGCTCCACTACCCACCTTCAACTCAAACCTTGGCAAAAGTTTGCCACGATCCCATTTGATTTGTGTTCTCTTTCTTTTCTTTCTTTCCTTCCTCCCCTCCCCTCCCCTCCCCTCCCCTCCCCTCTCCTCGTCTAGTCTCTTTTCTTTCTTGATGGAGTCTCACTCTGTCGCCCAGGCTGGAGTGCAGTGGTGCGATCTCTGCTCACTGCAAGCTCCACCTCCCAGGTTCATGCCATTCTCCTGCCTCAGCCTCCCAAGAAGCTGGGACTATAGGCGTGTGCCACCATGCCTGGCTAAGTTTTTGTAGCTTTAGTAGAGACAGGGTTTCACCGTGTTAGCCAGGATGGTCTCGATCTCCTGACCTTGTGATCCGCCAGCCTTGGCCCATAATAAATATTTTAGTTATCTTTCTATGAAGTTTTCTTGGTCTCCAGTGGAATCTTCTCCTGCCCTGGGCTACACGTGGCCCATGTAGCACATCCTGCATAGATTTTACATGGAGATGAATATGTGGCTGCTCTCAGGGTAGAGTGCAGTCAGCTTGCTCAACTCCATAGAACCTGGTCCCTAAATTGGGTCTGTGGAGCAGGAAGTCCTGGTCTCCCTTGTCCCTGCCTGGGTTCCCAAGCGGGATCTGCAGCTCCAAGAGGAGAAGTGCCCCTTGAGCCCCTCAGGGGCTCAAGTAGAGTTGTCAGTTCAAATACAGGTTACCTTGCTACATTTGAACTTCAAATAAACAATGAACACCTTGTTGCATAAGTAGATCCCATGCAATATGTGGGAATACTTACACTAAAACAATCTTGGTTTTATCTGAAATTTAAACATAACTGGGCATCCTGTCTTTACTTGCTAAATCTGGCAACCCTAGCAAGGAGCCTGTCCACAATAGGTGCTTTGTATTTGTGTGCACTGATTACAAAACTCCTGTGTTGTTTACAAGAATTCCCAAGCTATGAGGGAAAGAAGATTAGAGAAGCTCTTGTACATCCTCTTCTTTTGAAAAGAGTGATGCTTGTCATGCTGAATGGGGAAAAGGTGGAAGCAATTCCCTTGGAAACCAGAGCAAGACAAGGCTGCCCTCTGTCACCACTCCTATTCAACATAGTAATGGAAGTCCTGGCCTAAGCAATCAGTCAAGAGAAAGAAATACAGGGCATCCAAATAGGAAGACAGGAAATCAAACTATTCCTGTTTGCATATGGCATGATTCTATATCTAGAAAACTGTATAGTCTTGGCCTAAAAGCTTCTTTAGCTGATAAACAACTTAGGCAAAGTGTCAGAATACACAAAGTGTCAGTATACAAAATCACTGTACAAAAATCACTAGTATTTCTATATGCCAACAATAGCCAAGCTGAGAACCAAACCAGGAACGCAATACCATTCACAATTGACCCCAGAAGAATACAATACCTAGGAATACAGCTAACCAGGGAGGTGAAGGATCTCTACAAGGAGAATTACAAAACACTGCTCAAAGAAATCAGAGATGATACAAACAAATGGAAAAACATTCTATGCTTATGGAGATAGGAAGAATCGATAGTATTAAAATGCCTATACTGCCACAAAGCAATTTACAGATTCAATGCTATTCCTATCAAACTACCAATGACATTCTTCACAGACTAGAAAAAACTATTTTAAAATTCATGTGAAACCAAAAAGGAGGCCAAATAGCCAAAACAATCCTAAGCAAAAAGAACAAAGCTGAAGGCATCACATTTCCGAACTTCAAACTATACCATAGGACTACAGTAACCAAAACAGCATGGTACTGGTATAAAAACAGACACATAGACTAATGGAACAGAATAGAAAACCCATATATAAGGCTGAACATCTACAACCATCTGATCTTCGACAAAGCTGACAAAAATAAGCAATTGGGAAAGGACTTCCTATTCAATAAGTAGTGCTTAGATAACTGGCTAGCCATATATATAGAAATTAAACTGGATCCCTTCCTTACACCATATACAAAAATCAACTCAAGATGGATTCAAGACTTAAGTCTAAAACCCAAAACTATAAAAACCCTGGTAGACAACCTAGGAAATACCATTCTGGACATAGGAACAGGGAAAGATTTCATGGTAAAGATCCCAAAAGCAATTGCAACAAAAGTGAAAATTGACATATGGGATCTAATTAAACTTAAGAGCTTCTACACAGCAAAAGAAACTATCAACAGAGTAAACAGACAACCTACAGAATGGGAGAAAATTTTTGCAAACTATGCATCTGACAGATATAATATCCAGCATCTGTAAGGAGCTTAAACACATTACAGGAAAGAAACAACCCCATTAAAGAGTGAGCAGAGGACACGAACACTTTTCGAAAGAAGACATAGATGTGGCCAACAAGCATATGAAAAAAATCTCAACACCACTGATCATTAGAGAAATGCAAATCAAAACCACAATGAGATACCATCTCACACCAGTCAGAATGGCTATTATTAAAAAGTCAAAGAATAACAGATGCTGATGAGGTTGCAGAGAAAAGGAAATGTATACATTGTTGGTGGGAGTGTAAATTAGTTCAACCGTTGTTGAACTAAAGCACTGTGGCAGTTCCTCAAAGTGCTAAGAACAGAACTACTGTTCAACCCAGCAATCCCATTACTGGGTTTATACCCAAAGGAATAGAAAGCATTCCACCATAAAGACACATGCACATCAATGTTCATTGCAGCACTATTCACAATGGCAAGGACATGGAATCAACCTAAATGCCTATCAGTGACAGGTTGGATAAAGAAAATATGGTACATATATACCATGGAATACTATGCATCCATAAAAAAAATGAGATCATGTCTTTTTTGGGAACACAGATGGAGTTGGAGGCTATTATCCTTAGCAAACTAATGCAGGAACAGAAAACCAAATGCCAGTTGTTCTCACTTACAAGTGGAAGTTAAATGATGAGAACTTGTGGACACAGAGAAGGGAACAACAGACACTAGAGCCTGCTTGAGGGTGGAGGGTGGGAGGAGGGAGAGGATCAGAAAAAGTAACTATTGGGTACTAGGCTTAGTACCTAGGTGACAAAATAATTTGTACAACAAACCCCCGTGACATGAGTTTACCTGTATAACAAACCTGCACATGTAGCCCTGAACCTAAAGTGAAAGTTTTTTAAAAAAGAATGTGGTGGCTTACGCCTGTAATCCCAGCACTTTGGGAGGCCAAGGCAGGTGGATCACCTGAGGTCAGGAGTTCAAGACCAGCCTGGCCAACATGGTGAAACCCCATCTCTACTAAAAATACAAAAATTAGCCGGGTGGGGTGGTGCATGTCTGTAGTCCCAGCTACTCTGGAGGCCGAAGCAGGAGAACTGCTTGAACCTGGGAGGCGGGTGTTACAGTGAACCGAGATTGCGCCACTGCATTCCAGCCTGGGTGACAGAGCAAGAATCTATCTCAAAAAAGAAAAAAAAAAAGTTTTAATATTGAAAGAGACAATTGCCTGAGAAAATTAGCTTTCAGGATCATACTACATAGTTCCATAAGGAAAGCAGGTAATACTTTTTTTTAAAGCCCTATAATGTCTTGAGGAATCTCAAAAAGGAATTTTAAAATTTGAGGCTAAAACTCCAACTTGGCCAAGTGGATACGTCTGTCTGATGTATAATAATACCTGCTACTCCCAGCTAGGTCTCATTGACAAACCTAAGCGGATCACAGGAAAATTACCAGTGTCTGTAAATAATTAGCTAATCATATTACTGTTATTTAAAGAGGCCTCATTTGGGCAGCAGGCATCTTTCAAAAGAGGAAAGAAATATGCCTGAAATTGAAAAATGTTCCACCTCACTTGTAGTCAAAGAAATACCCATTAAGAGAAATGTCATTTGCCCCATAAATAAATATACTTATTTCAAGATGAGAAATACCAGGGCTAAGAAGCGGCATAATGAGAACTTGCAAACTCTGTTCATGGGTAAGTGACACAGCCTTCCTGGAAATTTATTAGGGAATTGTATCATGGCCCTTTGATCAACAGTTCAACTTCTGGGAACTTTGTCCAATTTCTGATTGTTTATATACATTAAAGGTTTTACAGTGATATTTATAAGAAAAAAAGTCTAGAAATAGCCAAAAGTTCCCATCATATGAGAATGTAAATAATAATTTGTGTTACCTGAAACTAGACTGATTCTTTGGGAAACAAGAAGGCAGGGACAATATAAGTTGATCCCCTTCTATTCTGCTTTTTTTTTTTTTGAGACGGATTCTCGCTTTGTCGCCCAGGCTGGAGTGCAGTGGCGCCATCTTGGCTCACTGCAAGCTCCGCCTCCCGGGTTCACGCCATTCTCCTGCCTCAGCCTCCCAAGTAGCTAGGACTACAGGTGCCCGCCACCACGCCTGGCTAATTTTTTGTATTTTTTAGTAGAGACGGGGTTTCACTGTGTTAGCCAGGATGGTCTCGATCTTCTGACCTTGTGATCTGCCCACCTCGGCCTCCCAAAGTGCTGTGATTACAGGCGTGAGCCACCGCACCCGGCCTCTATTCTGCTTTTGATTGGCCTTTGGTTTTGTTTGTGTATACATACTACTTAATGAATATATGTTGCTGGCCACTCTTCATTTTGTTTTGTAACAGGGGTTTAGAAAGAGTTTTTCCAGGGATTTGATGCTTTCTGCACTTAACAGATGACGATTTGCCATTTGTGCTAATCCAACCAAATCATCTCCAATAATACCATGGGAATGTTGTTAAAGCTCTCTTGGCTAGTGTTCTGTTAATTAGCATTGCCATATTCATCGGGGGCCTGCAATTCCATCATTGGGCCCATTAGATTTAGCCGGTTACACCATCTCAGGGACCACATACATTCTGTGTTGCTGGTGTGATTGGGCCCGTGGGCTATGAAAACGGAGGTTAACTTGGCATTTATCTAGCAAGATGTTCTCAGTCTGACGTTCTTGAATCCATAAGGACCCGACAATTATTTCAAAATGGTCTGTGTATTTTTTGCTGGATTGTAACTTTCGCCGTACTTTCAAAGGCGGTTGCTGATCCAAAATGGTTTGGGGCCATTCACTAGAGGACTTCAGAGACTTCCACTCTGCAGGGAGGAAGCCAGACCTTGAAGGGCAGGGGCTTACCTGGGCAGCAGGGTTTGCTGATGGCCCCTGGGCTTGTGCCCGCAAGACCCGTGTCTGCTTTTCTCCATCCTATGATGTTTTGTGGCCACAATCATGTCCTTTGTTTTGGGGAAGAGGAAATCAGGGAAGCGGATGCATCAGAAAAGATCACCTGGTGATTCCGTGGGAAAAGTGAGCCTGGGACTTTTCTGTCTGTTTTATTGTCGTCCTCACCCTTTCATGTAGCACTGTGGTTCTTTTCCAGGAAAGATGGAGTGGGAAGGATGAGAGGCTGAGCCCTGGCAGTGGGTCCTTTCTTTGTGTGAATTCTTAGATGCTCAATTATAAGTTAAAAAACAAAATTTTAATGATGGGCAACTTTTTTTTCCTAACAACAAAGAATCTTCATTCTCCTTCCCAAAAGAAGTATAAGCCTGTGTTGTGGGCTTAGCATGGGTAAATATTTTCTGCTTGCAATTACTTTATGCTTAGAAATAGTAGGTCTAATGGGTTAACACATACTACTATCATGAAATGTTTCAGGTTTGTCTGCAAGTAAGAATGATTATAGATACGAGATTTCTCCTGAGTCTTTCCCCACTCTGGTCACAGGCAATGAGAGCTCACCAGACTCTCCTTCTCACGGCAGCAACTGCTCCCACTACCTTTTTTGGCAAGCAATGAGCAGTTCAGCCTTTTCTCCACCCCCACCCCACCCCCCACTTCATCCCCAGTCAACCATGAGGCCCTAGTTAAAAGAGGGGCTCCTGGAGGCAAAGATGCTGAGTCGACTCCTGAGTCCACTGCAGACTGGCTGTGTGACCTGGGACCAGTTACTCTGCCTCTCTGTTCTTCAATTTACTCATTCGTTAAAGGGGATTAATCTCTACTTCATGGGGCTTTTGTAAGGATTGAGGACTCATTGAAGATAAGTTCCCAATATTACCTATTAACCAGTGTCTCTGATGTTGTTTTGCTTCTGAGTTTGACATTGACTATTTCATCCCTAAATGAAATAGTCCCCCCTCTACTCCTCCTTCCCAAACTCCACTTCAAAAGTGCCCAAACCTTTCCAATTTCAAGAAACCTCACGAGGTTCTTGTCACTCTGGCACACCCTCACATCCCACAAGGTGCTTGGCAATTGCCTCCGCTAACTGATCATCCTTTTCCCACGCACTAGCATTTTACTTGATGGGTGTGATGGTTGAACTAGCCTTACCAGGAGCGGCAAGAAGATTCATTGCTCACGACGCATCATACTCTGTAATGATTTATTTGGACTAATCTTCCTTGTTGCAGACTCATTAGTGGCTGTCACCAAATGGTGGCTTATTTAACTTTCACAAGGACGTGAGGCATTCACACCCTCCTGTTTCCTACTAGGGAAGGCACTGACGTCAGTTTTCACACATTGGAAGCCTGGGGCCAGGCGTGCATTTTTATTTTGGTGAAGAATTCTTTATGCTCCTTGATGTTCCTATAAAACACAAGCAGAACGCTAGAATTTGCTCGTGGTGCGTCCGAGGTCTGTTGCTCTCTGTGCGGTATCTGCAGGAGATTCAGAGTAGGATCCTTTTGTGACATTGGCAAAAACAAGCGCAACTGTCGGTGATTGTTAGAGTGTGTGTTTAGCCCCTTAGATTTGAGGGAATTTGTGTGTGTCTTCTCTGTCTGCCCTCTCTTAAATTATAAAATCCCCAAGGGGCAAGGTGCAGTGGCTCATACCTATAATCCTAGCACTTTTGGAGGCCAAGGCAGGTGGATCGCTTGAGTCCAGGAATTCAAGACCAGACTGGTCAATGCAGCAAAACCCTGTCTCTACTGAAAAAAAAAAAAAAAAATACAAAAGTTAGCTGGCCATGGTGGCGTGCACCTATAGTTCCAGCTACTTGGGAGGCCGAGGTGGGAGGATTGCTTGAGCCTGGGAGGTGGAGGCTGCAGTGAGCTGAGATTGTGCCACTGCACTCTAGCCTGGGCAACAGAGTGGGACCCTGCTTAATCAATCAATCAATCAATCAATCAAAAGTCTGCAAGAGAAGAGATTTTTCTTTTGGCCCCTATCAACTCTCACTGGAGAGCATCTAGTGCAGGCCTGTATGCTCAGACCAGGCACAGGAAATCAGGAATGTTTGCTGACTGATCTAGGAGAAAGCTGAGGACCCTCCACCATGACCCAGGTTAGTTCATGGACAGCTCTCAGGGACTGCTTTGCTTATGTCTTTAGCATTTGTGAGCTTGAAATCCCAGATGTTTAGTTCAGTTTCTCAACCAGCATCTGCAGCCTGAGTCATCTACATATTGTCTACTCAAAATGTATAAAACCCCTTCCCCCAATGTGTGCACAGAAGTGCACACATGTGCATACATACACGAAGGTGATCTAATATCTCAGGATGGTACTGAGTAGCAGTTGTATGCACCCACACGCACATACACATGCACACATGCACACACACACGTACATGCATACACATGGTGTGGATACCACACAATGAGTGTGGAGCTTCGCCTTGTGTAAATACTGTCTGGGAGGAGTTGCTATCCAATTGAGACAGCTGAATTCTCCACAGGCTGGTTATGTGAGTCAGGGCTACTGACCAGTGGAGGACTGGCATCCTTGCGTTGTGGAGGACCAAAGACCCCCCTTTTCCTAATGGAACTGAGATTCAGCTGTTAGTAAGAGAGAAATGATTGGGAGCTGGGGAGGAGTGAGTCTACCTGCCCTGTACTTTCTTACTTTTCAATCTGTACTTGTAGGATTTGAGCAAATAAATACAAAATGATTTTCTTTCTTTCTTTCTGTTTTTTTTTTTTTTTTTTTTTTTTGAGACGGAGTCTTGCTCTGTTGCCCAGGCTGGAGTGCAGCCGCGGGATCTCGGGTCACTGCAAGCTCCGCCTCCTGGGTTCAAGCCATTCTCCTGCCTCACTCAGCCTCCCGAATAGCTGGGACTACAGGCGCCTGCCACCACGCCCAGTTAATTTTTGTATTTTTAGTAGAGATAGGGTTTCACCGTGTTAGCCAGGATGGTCTCAATCTCCTGACCTCATGATCCGCCTGCCTCGGCCTCCCAAAGTGCTGGGATTACAGGTGTGAGCTACTGCGCCTGGCCACAAAATGATTTTCAAAAGAAGTTTTTTTCTTCTAATGTTTTTAAATTTATTTAAGCATTAAAGGCTTCGTGAATTAGGCAGCATTCAAAACTAGAAGACATTCAGAGAGCTCCGTGTTTTTTGAAATTCAAGCAGGAAATAAAGTATAGAAATAGCTTAATTGGTTACAGTTAGGCATTTACCTTATTTGGACTTAGTCTGATCAGTTGGCTGCCTCTGGTTGGCTGAAGCTTGGCTGCCTGTGATTGGTTGAAGCTCAGCCGCTTGTGATTGACTGAGATCTAGCTATCCTATTACAAAAAATATATACTCCTAATGAGATTTTCATTTGTATACATACTAAGTTAGGTTGTAGTTCACTGCGAAGCAACTCAAAGTACAGCCTCAGACCAATGGCCTTTTGCTTATTTAATTTAACAGACACCTGAGTTATGCTTGCTGGGTTTTCTCTCCCAATAAAGGGACCCTTCATTCTGTCTGTGCCATCACGTGTTTAAGATTCACTCAAGACCTATCTCCTCTAGAAAGCCTTCCCCACAAATCCATCCCATGCTGTGAACTGAAAGCTGGATGCTCTCTCCCACTCTTGTCCTCCCAATTTCAAATCCACACAATTTGGCTCCATTATGAATAAACAAATAGCCCAGGGGACCATGGATATTTAGAATAAGGTTCTAAGAATGACATTCTTCCAATATAAGCCAATTTGTAAAGGCATTTTTAAAAGGAAGGTTTGCTCAGAAAACCCAAGGGCTGGGTGCTACGGATGGCCCATGAATGTCTGTGGCACGTGGGCTGCAGTTCTGCCCTTCTCTCTCCTGTCTAGCTGCATGGTTTCCCATCTCTGCTTGTTGATGTATATCTGATTCCTTCTGATTGTCTGTCCAGCCGCTTCCCTCGTTCCATTGTGGCAGAGCTGCTCGCGCATCACGTGATTTTTCAGATTTAGCTTGCACGTTGGAGTGGCCAATTCTCCCTGGAGAGGGATTCTGATTGGCTGAGCCAGGCGTCTGAATTGGTTCCCATAAATCAGTGTGACCAGGAGAGCAGGGTCACATATTATGTAATTCTGTACGGCTATGGGAGAGGGAACATGATACTAACAATAACCATCAATACAATCAGCACTTAGTACATTCTAAGTACTTTCAGACATTGTTGCATTTAATCCTCACAAAACGCTTGTGACATAGGTAATGCTATTATTCTAGTTTTACGAATCAGAAAACCACTGCACAGAGAGGTGAAACAACTTATTTGGCACTACACAGCTGGCCAGTGGCTGAGTCAGGAAGGGAAGCAGGCAGCATGGTTCTGGCATCTGTGTCTCTAATCATGACTCAACATTGCTTGTCTTAAACAGGCATTGCTAGGATACCACATCTTCATCTTTTTTATCCTTCTTGGTACCTATGCATTGGGCACTGAATGCCTGTTCAGTGATTTTTTTTTTCTTTTTCTTTTTTGAGACAGGGTCTTACTCTGTCACCCAGGCTGGAGGCCAATGGTGTGATCACAACTCACTGCAGCCTCAACTTCCCGGGCTCAAGCCATCCTCCCATCTCAGCCTCCCAAGTAGCTGGGACTGCAGGTGCATACCACCACGCCTAGCTAATTCTTTATTTTTATTTTTTGTAGAGATGGGATTGTGCCATGTTGCCCAGGCTGGTCTCGAACTCCTGGGCTCAAGCCATCTGCCTGCCTCAGCCTCCCGAAGTGTTGGGATTTCAGGCGTGAGTGACCATGCTCAGCCTAGTCAATGAATTGTTCGCTGAATGAATGGATGCCTGAGTGAATGAGAGAACACACAGAAGCATGCATAGTCTACAGGAAGTTTGGAATGGGCAATTGTGACGTGGGTCCTTTTTGGAGAGGAGTGAAGATGGCAGTCCCAGCTACTTGGGAGGCTGAGATGGGAGGATGGCTTGAGCCCGGGAAGTTGGGGCTGCAGTGAGTTGTGATCACACCATTGCCCTCCAGGCTGGGTGACAGAGTAAGACCCTGTCTCAAAAAAGAAAAAGAAGCTTCTTCCTGCTGTAGCTTGCTGGAGAGTTAACGTGCACATGTTCAAAGCGCTGTCTTTCCCCATCTCTCTTTTTTTTTTTTTTTGCTCAGACAAGAGTGAGAATGGTGAGGCATATCAGAGAAAGAAGGCGGCAGCCACTGGCCTTCCAGAGGGTCCTGCTGTCCCTGTGCCTTCTCGAGGGAATCTGGCACAGCCCGGCGGCAGCAGCTGGAGGAGGATCGCACTGCTCATCTTGGCCATCACTATACACAACGTTCCAGGTGAGGTCTTGCCCGTGAGCGTGACAGCCACTGCCTGAAGGTAAAGTCATTTGTCAGCACAGTTGTCTGGCTGGAAAAGGGGAAGGGGCAATTGTGACGTGGGTCCTTTTTGGAGAGGAGTGAAGGTGGCAGTACAAATCTTTCTTGGCTTTATTTTTTGATCGTCATAGATAGATCATCATATGTGAAAACTTCCCATTCCGGTTAGTTTAAACAACTTCTACTTCCTTTTTGTTTACATATTTGTTACCAAGTTATTTGGAGCATAAATTCATAACTGTTACATGATTGCTGTGGAGGGTATCTTTTATAAATACTGGGTATCTCTGGTTCTGCTTAATGCTATTTGAAAACATAGTTGACCCTTGAACAACACAGATCTGAACTACGTGAGTTCACTTACACTCAGATTTTCTTCCGCCTCTGCCCCCTGAGAGAGCAAGACCAACCCCTCCTCTTCCTCAGCTGACTCAATGTGAAGAGGATGAGGATGAGACCTTTATGATGACTCACTTCCACTTAATGAATAGTAAATATATGTTATCTTATGAATTCCTTAATAACATTTTTTCTTGAGATTGCTATATTGTAAGAATACAGTTTATAATACATATAACATACACTATATGTACTAATTGACTATGTTATTGGTAAGACTTCTGGTCAACAGCAGGTTATTCATAGTTAAGTTTTGGGGAAGCCAAAAACTCTCTGCAGATTTTCTACTGCGCAGGGAACCAGCATTCCTAACGTCTGCATTGTTCGAGGGTCAAGTCTATTGAGTTCAGTATAATTTGGCACTGATAATTGCCTTACCTGCCTTCTTTATGTGGGCATCTTTCTGAAATGTTCTTACCAATCCTTTCCTATTTAGCATTTTAGAGTAATTTCTTTTATGTCTTTTTTTTTTTTTAAGACAGAGTCTTGCTCTGTCCCCCAGGCTGGAGTGCAGTGGAGCGATCTTGGCTTACTGCAGCCTCTGCCTCCTGGGTTCAAGTGATTCTCCTGCCACAGCCTCTTGAGTAGCTGGGATTACAGGTGTGCACCACCATGCCTTGCTAATTTTTTGTATTTTTAGTAGAGATGGGGTTTCACCATGTTGGCCAGGCTGGTCTTGAACTCCTGACCTCAGGTCATCCACCTGCCTCGGCCCCTCAAAGTGTTGGGACTACAGGCGTGAGCTACCACGCTGGCCTGTTTTATGTCTTTAGATGTATTTTAATTGGAAAAAAGGACATATTAATGCCTTATTTCAAAAACAATGAATGTTTCTTTTAGAGCAACTAGAAAACATGATTAAGCATAGGAAATGATAAAGATATTTTTAAAAATAAATAAACTGAGGGAACCTGAGCAATTTGGGATGCATTTTGAAATTCCAACTCTCTCACTTCCTAAGGAGGTTATCTTGACGAATTGCTTGAACTCCCTGAACCTTGGTTTTCTCATCTAAGAAATGGGGATAATGCCACAAGTGGCTTACTTAGAGAATTAAATGAGATGCTAAATATACATACAGCTTTCAGTACAGTGCTTGGGACTTACGAGCGCATTGTTGGCATCGATGATACTCCTGCTGCCTTTTCAGCCATGATTTCCTCGATCTTGAGATCTTAAACATGCTGACCCACCTTTTGTTGTTTGGGAATTCGAGTTTGAGCAATAATCTTCCCCAGGGAGCATCCTTGGGTGATACATTTTCTGAGTCCTTGCAGAGTTCATGGTGCCAATCTGTTACTCTAATACAGGAGCAAGAACTTGGCTGGGCAAAGCTTTCTAGTCATGACATTTTTCTCTACAAAGCTTCTGCAGATGTTGATCCCTTGTCTTCTGGCTTTAGTATTGTGGAAGCAAAAAGCATGGCCAAAGTGAGTCTGTTCCTCTGTATAACTTGATATTGTTTTGCTTGCACAATGAAGACTTTTTTTTGTCGTCTTTAAAGTGTGAAAATTCTAATACATATTATATATTCTAGTATATATTAAATCTGCCGAAAGCACTATGTGTTTAATTACTTTTTAAGCTCAGATATTTCTCTAGATAAGAAGCACATTCCTCTGTTATTTCTATCCTAATCTTAGGAATGTCTATCATACGATCATAGGTAGGCCAGTTTTCCCAACATTTTCATCAGTTTATGTGTCTCCCTCATTCCCCTCTTGACCCTTTTCTTTGAGTTATGAATAAGCTTTTTTTAGTTGGTTTTCCAATTTTTTTTTTTTTTTTTTTTATGAGACAGAGTCTCGCTCTGTCGCCCAGGCTGGAGTGCAGTGGTGCAGTCTCAGCTCACTTCAATCTCCACTTCCCGGTTCAAGCAATTCTCCTGTCTCGGCCTCCCGAGTAGCTGGGATTAAAGATGTGTGCCATCATGCCCAGCTAATTTTTGTATTTTTCGAAGAGACGGGGTTTCACCATGTTGGCCAGGCTGGTCTTAAACTCCCGGCCTCAAGTGATTAGCCCACCTCAGCCTCTCAAAGTGCTGGGATTACGGGCATGAGCCACAGCATCTGACCCTGTTGGTTTTCTAGATCTTGGTATTCAGTATGTCTTGAGATAAAGATGGGGTCTTATATGGACCTCACTGCACAAAGATGGCCAAAGTGGGTTAGCCTTGGTGGAAGACCCTGCTCGTGCCCACCCCGTATCTTAAAGAGGTCATTGAAAGACCCCTTGGTCCCCTGCAGAGGACTACTTAGGAGCCCTGACAGCAACTTGTAGCCTGTTAAGTGCTAATAGTTAGAGAAGAGAGGTTACTTGTTTTTCATTCATAATAGTAGCTGTCTTTCTGCCATTTATGACCCCTTCTTTAGCCAATTGAGGAAGAGTAAAGATCTGCCCAGTGGGTTTAGTGTTAAATAAGGTAACTACACTGAGGTGTATTACGGCAACTATTTCTCTGAAGAACAAAAATGTGGTCTAAGGTCCAGACTTTATAGCAATGGAATGAGTATCCAACTTTCCTCTAATGGACCCTTTTATATACCACACCTGCCACTGTACTTGGGTGATTCATTATGCTCAGCTGGAATTATTTCCTGGCTCATCCCAATGGAAGGCCAGGATGGTTCAGAGTTTACTTTCTCAAATGTTTGTTGACTCCAGTGACAACTTGGAATAAAGCCAGAAACAGGAGGAAGATGTGTGGAATGACAGCAATATTTGATGATCTTAAATGAGCATAAATTAAAATCTTACTTCTTCCCTGACAGGAGACCCTATTCTGTGTCTTTGGAGTTTCCAAGTCTAAGTTCAGCCTTTGTCACTTCTATGGTGATGCAAAAGTATTTTTTCAAATAAGGATTGAGGCCAGGTGCAGTGGCTCATGCCTGTAATCCCAGCACTTTGGGAAGCCAAGGTGGGCGGATCACTTGAGGTCAGGAGTTTGAGACCAGCCTGGCCAACATGGCGAAACCCCGTCTCTACTAAAAATACAAAAATTAGCTGGGAGTGGTGGCACATGCCTGTAATCCCAGCTACTTGGGAGGCTGAGGCAGGAGAATCACTTGAACCCAGGAGGCAGAGGTTGCAGTGAGCCAAGATCATGCTACTGCACTGCAGCCTGGGCGACAAAGCAAGGCTCTGTCTCAAAAAAAAAAAAAAAAAAAAAAAAAAAAAGAGAGAGAGAGAGAGAGATTCATTGGTTTGAAAGATGGATTCTCTTATCTCCACACTCCATCCTGGGTGACACAGCGAGACTCCGTCTCAAAAATAATAGTAAAATAAAAAATAAATTGAAATGAGGATTGAGTGCCTTCCAGGAATCTCAATTGAGTTAGATTTCACCAGAAGCATGGTGGTAATAGTCACTGGTTTCAGTAAACTGGAGGACAGCTGGCTTGACTGGATGGAGAGGTTTGAAGGGACATTTCTTTCCCAGTCTTGTCTTTTATTTATTATATTTGAGTATTGTATTCCATGTACTTGGGTTATATCAGTACTAAAACAGACCAAGATCTCTGGCCTTCTATAACCAATATTATAGCAAGGTGAGATAGTCGATGAACATCATCATAATAAATGAATTTTATATTGTGTTAGAAGGTGGTTAGTGATTTAAAAAAAGAAAAAGTTCAACAGGGCAGAGGAGACGGTAGAGTGTTAGAGGAAGAAATTGCCATTTTAAATAGAGTAGGTAGGGAGGGGCTCCTTGAGATGTCCTTGAATTTGAGTCAGTCATGCAGATCTCTGGGAAACAGTGAGTGTTTTAGGCAGAGGGAACAGCCAGTGCAAAGGCCCTGAGGCAGGAGCATGTCTGGCCCCCACAAGGAGTAGCCAAGAGTCCACTGTGGCCACAGCAGGGTGAGCAGCAGGGAGAGAAGTACAAGGTGAGGGCAGGGATGTCAGCCCCTCCTTTAGATGGAACTTGGAGGCATAAGAATGTTTGTTTTTGCTCTGTGTGTGATGAGCCATTGCAGAGTTTTGAAGAGGGTGTGTATGACTTGACTTGAGCTTTGAAAGTTTGTTTCTCTTTAGATACTGAATTGAGATGGGACTTAGGAGAGGTAAGGATGGAAGCAGGGAGGCCTATGTAGAGGCCACTGCAGAATCCAGATCAAAGATGATAGTGGTGCAGACCAAGGTGGTCGTGCTGGATGTGGTGAGAAGGGATCCCTTCCTGGGTCCCGATTGAAGGTGGAGCCAATGGGATTTGCCGATGGATTGGATGTGGGATATGAGAGAAAGCGAGGAGCCAGGAGGGACCCGGAGGTTTCAGGGCTGCCCAGCTGCAGGGATGGAATTGCCATCAACTGAGACGAGGAAGGCTGCAGCTCCAGGGGCTTTAGGGGGACTATCAGGAATTTGTTTTTTGATTGTGAGGTTTGATTGCCATTAGACATTCAAATGGAGATACTGACTAGACAGCTGGATACATGAGTTTGGAGTTGGCTTGCAAAGTCTAGCTAGAGTTATAGATTTCTGAATCATTGGCCCATGAATGTTTTTTGTTTTTTTGTTTTTTGTTTTTGAGACAGAGTCTGCCCTGATGCCCAGGCTGGAGTGCAGTGGCGCAATTTTGGCTCACTGCAACCTCCACCTCCTGGGTTCAAGAGGTTCTCCTGCCTCGGCCTCTCAAGTGGTTGGGACTACAGGCGCATGCCACGACACCTGGCTACTTTTTGTATTTTTGGTTGAGGCAAGATTTTGCCATATTGGTCAGGCTGGTCTTGAACTCCTGGACTCAACTGATCCACCTGCCTTGGCCTCCCAAAGTGCTGGGATTACAGGCGTGAGCCACTGCGCCTGGTCCCTTGGCACATGAATGTTACTTAAACCCCTGACACTGGATGAAGCCACCAAGGGTCTAACTACAAATAGATGTGTCTCCAAAGACCCACTGTGGCTCATTCCTCAAGTCTTCAGCTCCTAATCCTGTCTAAAGAGAAGTGAACTCCCTCACCATCACTGTCAAGCAGCTTCATGTCTTTGATGAGGACCATTTTAAGAGCCTGTTTGGAGCCAACTTACCTTTGAAAAGGTCTCTTCTTTAACACTATCCTTTATAGTGTATTAAAAATTTAACTAGAGCTTTGACATTCCCTGAGACTCTGGGTTTTTAAGACAGACTTTTCACAATGACTAAATGGAGAATCGATTTTTTTTTTTGAAGTTTTTTGTCTTTGCTATTTCAGTTTAGTATGTCCTGAGGATGACATTTTGCTAAAAAAAATTTTTTTTTGGAGTAGAAGGAAAATGGAAGGCTTGTTAATAGTAGCCTATCTCCCGGAGGTATCCAGAGTGTGAGGCCACACCCGAAGGCATATGCACACGTCTGGGGCTCTTGGGTTAATATTTAATACACATGTGCAAGGTCAAATAGTTCTTAAGCTTCTGTGGTTCACAGTTGTCCTGTGAATCTGATAAGAGCTATACACCATCTCACAAGAGGATGTTGTACACATGTCTTAGTCTGTTCAGGCTGCCATTACAAAATGCCATACAATGGGTAGCTTAGAAACAACAGAAATTTATTTCTCGCAGTTCTGGAAGCTGGAAGCCTGAGATCGGGCTGCCAGCATGGTCGTGGTCAGGTTCTGGTGAGGGTCCTTCTCCGGGTTGCAGGTGACTGTCTTCTCGTTGTATCCTCACATGGTGGAAAGAGGGCACTCTCTGGAGTCTCATTTCATGAGGTTGTTAATCCCATTCATAAGAGCTCCATCTCACGACCTAATCACTTCCCCAAGTCCCCACCTCCTAATACCATTCATTCCCTAAGTCCCCACCATCCTAATAACAATACCATTGGGGATTAGGTTTCCAAATATGAATTCTGGGGAGACATAAACCTTGAGACCACAGCCACACACAATATTTTGCAGACAATTCTGGGTGTTTAGACTTTATGGAGTCTATCCACAACCCTAGAACAGGAAAGAACCCCTCCCCAGGCCGGGCGCGGTGGCTCACGGCCTGTAATCCCAGCACTTCGGGAGGCTGAGGCAGGCAGATCACGAGGTCAGGAGATAGAAACCATCCTGGCCAACATGATGACACCCCGTCTCTACTAAAAATATAAAAATTAGCTGGGCGTGGTGGCACGTGCCTGTAATCCCAGCTACTTGGGAGGCTGAGGCAGGAGGATCACTTGAACCCAGGAGGCAGAGGTTGCAGTGAGCCGAGATCGCACCATGGCACTCCAGCCTGGAGGCAGAGCAAGACTCCATCTCAGAAAAAAACAAATAAGCAAAAAACCCTCCCCTTTAGAGGACAAAGAAAAGTATAGTTGTGCAATTGAAATGTCTTAGGAAGAAATGGTAATGACTGATGCAGACCAGCAGATGCAGGCAGGCGCAGTAAAAAGAGCACTAAAAGGCAGACTCCAGAAACAGAGTGCAGACACCACCCGCCTCCTTCTAAGCTACTTCCGTGGCGCCTGCCTGGGTGCATCTGTGGGGGTGGTCTAGGGTGTTTGTGTCTGCTGCAGAAGGACACCCTGAGGAAACAACATGGTTTTTTAGAAAACCAACCCGAGACTGCAGCCTTTTGAGCATACTGTCTCTTGAAGTGCTGTCCATGCAGTATCATACAGATTGAAGGGCTCTGAGCCTTCCAAAGATTCCTGGCCCTTCTGTTTTTGAATGGCATTAAAAATCACCTAGCAATTGAGTTCCTACTAATCACTTATCATGAGTACCTTATGGTCTCAACAGTGAACTGCACCATTGCTTTGTATGGGAGAAAGTTAAATTGGAAGCTTAAAGAGATTCTAGGGGTTATCTCATTCAAACATTCATTCATTTGAAAATTTAGGGGATTGTGGTAAATTATTGTTATGGCTCCTTCTAGCCTTAGCATTGGATGATAACTGTGAAGAATCATAGAAATATTTATTATTAATTTCATTTATTTAACAAAGTTAATCACTCCTTCCTTTGTGCTGTCTTGCTGTATCCTTTATCTTCTGTTACCATAATTATCACTCTGACTTACAATTACCTGTTTGTGTGTTTTATTTATTTATTTATTTTTAATTTTTGTCAGTAACATAGGTATGTATATTTATGGGGCCATGAAATACATATGCGCGTGCGTGCACACACACACACACACACACACATAGTTTTTTGAGACAAGATCTCTCTCTGTCACTCAGGCTGGAGTGCAGTGGTGTGATCATGGCTCACTGCGGCCTCAACCTTGGGCTCAGTTGATCCTCCCACCTCAGCCTCCTGAGTAGCTGGGACTACAGGTGCATACCACCACACCCAGCTAATTTCTTTTTTTTTTTGTATTTTTTGTAGAGACAGGGTTTTGCCATGTTGCCTAGGCTAGTCTCGAACTCCTGGGCTCAATAGATTCTCCCGCCTTAGCCTCCCAAAGTGCTAGGATTACAGGTGTGAGCCACCTCGCCTGGCCTGCATGAAATATTTTGATACAGGTATGTAATGCATAACCCATCAACTTAAGCATTTATCCTCTGTGTTACCAACAATCCAGTTATACTTGTAGTTATTTTAAAATGTACAATTATTATATTATTGACTATAGCCACCCTGTTGTGCTGTCAACTACTAGGTCTGACTCATCTATTTTTTTTTGTACCTATTAACCATCACTACTTTCCCCCGACTCCCCGACTGCCCTTCCCAGCCTCTGGTAAACATCCTTCTCCTCTCTATCTCCATGAGTTCAATTGTTTTAATTTTTAGCTCCCACAAATAAGTGAGAACATGAGAAGTTTGTCTTTCCATGCCTGGCTTAGTTCACTTCACATAATAACCTCCAGTTCCATCCATGTTGTTGCAAATGACCGGATCTCATTCATTTATGTGGCTGAATAATACGCCATTGTGTGTATGTACCATATTTTCTTTATTCATTCAACTCTTGATGGATGCAATTACCTGTATTTAAACATGTTTATTTGCCCCTGATAGATGGAGCTTCTTGCAAGAAGTTCTATACTGCGTTCTTTTTGGGGGGCCCAATGTTATAACACATACTGAAGCTTTGATGTATTCAATATGTATTATATACTTGAGCACCTAGAAGAACTGGTGCATTGGGTACCTGCCCTCCATTCTAAGAGAGGAGGGGCTGTTTGAGAGTTAGGTGTCCTAATTTTTTATTTTTTATTTTTTGAGACGGAGTCTTGCTCTGTCACTCAGGCTGGAGTGCAGTGGCGCCATCTCAGCTCACTGCAAGCTCCGTCTCCCAGGTTCACACCATTCTCCTGCCTCAGCCTCGCCAGTAGCTGGGACTACAGGCGCCCCCCACCACGCCTGGCTAATTTTTTGTATTTTTAGTAGAGACGGGGTTTCACCGTGTTAGCCAGGATGGTCCTGATCTCCTGACCTTGTGATCTGCCTGCCTCGGCCTCCCAGAGTGCTAGGATTACGGGCATGAGCCACTGCACCCAGCCAATTTTCTTTCTTTTTGAGATGGAGTCTCGCTCTTGTCACCCAGGGTAGAGTGCAGTGGCGCGATCTCAGCTCACTGCAACCTCCGCCTCCTAGGTTCAAGCTTCTCCTGCCTCAGCCTCCTGAGTAGCTGGGATTACAGGCACCCACCACCACGCCCATCTAATTTTTGTACTTTTAGTAGAGGCGGGGTTTTGCCATGTTGGCCAGGCTGGTCTCAAACTCCTGACCTCAGGTGATCCGCCCACCTTGGCTTCCCAGAGTGCTGGGATTACAGGTGTGAGCCACCACTCCCAGCCGCCTAATTTTCTTTCTACATTGTCCAGGTGGGCCAAGGGAGGACATTGACTCATGTGGGTCCTGATGATACATTGGCAGACTCTTGCTGCCTTTTGTGTTTGAAATTATTTTAAAGGTCCAGAGAAGAGGGTAGGTGAATTCCATGCTTTTTATTTTCCTCTCAATAGTATCAAGAGCCAAGTTTGTTTTGCTGGTTGTTGCTATGACATAGAGGCCTGGGGACCACTGTTTGTGTTGCTAGAACCACACAACAGTTGGTTTTGGTCATGTGGCCTGTCCTCATTGCCAGCTCCTGATAATGGCTTTCAAAGAAATGCTTGGGATTTTAATCCAAAGTGATTTTTTGTTTCAGGGAACAGGAACCCAAATTTAGACATGAAAATGTTCACAGTGGTTGGTTATTCCTGGGTGATAGGATTGCAGATGACTTTTATTTTCTTCCTGTTTTTGTGAGATTTATAACTAAGCTTTCCTGTAGTAAATATTTATGACTTGCGATCAGATAAAAATGCTTTTTTGGAAAGGTGAAATTCTTGCCTTTTTTAAGCTTGCCACATTAAACGTTAATGTCTGCAGCACCACGTTGGCGTGGTTCTCACTCCAGCTGCATCAGACTCAGTTCATCAAGGAGTTACCATCACCTAACCACTTCAACACCTCAACCCTCAACTTATGCACAGAAGTAGAGAGATGTTATTCCTTTATGCTAGAGATCATCTTACTGGGGATGTTTTAATATTTAGACAAGTTAGAAGCAGAATGAAGGACTGCCTTGGTTTTCTTTGGCTGGTGTAACCAATTATCACAAACTTAGTGGCTTAAAACAATCCAGATTTATTCTCCTGCAGTTCTGGAGGCCAGAAGTCTGACATCAGTTTCACTGTGATAAAGTCAAGGGGTTGGAAGGGCCGTGTTCTTGCCGGGGGCTCTAGGGGATAATCCATTCCTGGCCTCTTCCAGCTTCTGCAGGCTGCAGGCATTCCTTGGCTTGTGGCCACATCACTCCAATCAGTACCTCCAGGATCACTGCTTTCTCTTCTGTGCCAAATCTCCCTCTGCCTTTTTATAAAGATTCTTGTGGTTGCATTGAGGGACCACCCAGATTATCCAGGATAATCATATCTGAAAAATCTCCTTTGTCATGAAAGGTAACATTCACAGGTTTCAGGAATGAGGACCTGGATATATTTGGAGCCATCATTTGGCCAACCACAGAGACCAAAGGTATCTTCTGAATGCAGGCCAGAGATTCTTAGCTTGAGTTCTGAAATGTCTTCAGCAGCCAGCATTCCTTTATAAGTCTAAGCCTGGCTCTTATGGAGTCTTAGTCTCACCCTGGGACTCCCATGGGCTATCAGCTGTGTCATCCTTATTTCCCATCACTGGCTTTCTGTGTTTGAGCCTCTAAAGAATTCCTAAGTCTTAATGAGCCCATTCAGCAACTTACTCCCCTGGTCCTTCATCAAGTGAGAGTTTTGGGGTGTTAGTAAAAGACGACGTAATATTTACTTAGCTTATACATGTGCAGTGGGGATGGCAGGGAATGGGGGAGAGTGCTGCCATCCATATCTCATGGGCCCTTTTCCCCTGCCTGCCTCCACTGCTATCATAACTCCATGTTATCCCTCAGTTCTTCGTGATGAGCCAATTCACAGTGACAGACGTTTGTGGCTTGTGATTATAGCTGACATTCTTTTTCTCAAGGTCAGTGGCATATTTAAATGGTTACTGACCCTACTCCATCTCACACATGATCTGTCGCTCAATCTCTCTCTTTCTCAAGCAACTTTATTGTGTGGCATTTTCTCATCCCCACGCTCACTGGTAGTTAGGAGGTCTGTCAATTACACTTCCACACTGAGGAAAGAGTCCCTGTTAACTTTTTTAAAAGAATGTGATATGATTCACATACCATAAAATTCACCCTTTTAAAGTTCACAATTCAAGGCCAGGCACAGTGGCTCATGCCTGTAATCCCAGCATTTTGGGAGACTGAGGTGGGTGGATCGCTTGAGCCCAGAAGTTGGAGACCATCCTGGGCAACATGACGAGACCCCCATCTCTACGAAAAATTAAAAAACTAGCCAGGTGTGGTGGTGCACGCTTGTGGTCCCAGCTACTTGGAAGGCTAGGGTGGGAGGATTGCTTGAACCCTGGAGGTCAAGGCTGCAGTGAGCCGTGGTTGTGCCACTGCACTCCAGCCAAGGTGACAGAGCAAGACCTTGTCTCAAAAAAAAAAAAAAAGAAAAGGAAAGAAAAATAAATTTCACAATTCAGTGGTTTTAGTATATCTGAAAGGTTGTGCAACCACCATCACTATCTTTTTAATTTTTAATTTTAATTTTTTTCTTCCAGTAGAGACAAGGGTGTTGCTGTGTTGGCCAGGGTGGCCTCGAACTGCTGGCCTCAAGAGAACCTCCTGCTTCAGCCTCCCATAGTGCTGAGATTATAGGTGTAAGCCACTGTACCCAACCTACCACTATTCCTGAATACTCTCATCACCCTGTAAAGAAACCCCACACTCTTTGAGCAGTACCTCTGAGGAAAAAAAGAAACTGCATGCTTATTAGCAGTCACTCCCCATTCCTCCCTCCCTCCAGCCCCTGCACTAATCTACTTTGTCTCTACAGTTTCCCTAACCGGGACTGACTTTCATTTAAACGGTATCATGTAATATGTATGTTTTTGTGTCTGGTTTCTTTCACTTGGCATGATGCTTCCAAGTTTCGTTGATGTTGTAGCATGTATCAGTAAGTCTTTCTTTTTCTGGCCAGATAATACTCTATTCTATGGATACACCGTGTTTTGTTTACTGTTTCATCACTTGATGGACATTTGGATTGTTTTTACTTTTTTGGGTGTTGTAAGTAATGCTGCTATGTGTGTTTATGTCTTTGTATGGACCTGTGTTCTCTTGGGTACATACCTTGGAGTAGAATTGCTGGGTCATATGGAAACCTTTGAACTCTTTGAAGCCAGTTCTTTTTGTTAAGTTCCTTCCCATTCATTCCATCCAGCAGAGTCCTTTGACACAAAGGGATAATCTCTGTCCCACCTACCATGGCACTTGCTTGGGGTGTCTATGAGTCCTGCTTTTTTTTTTTTTTTTTTTTTTGAGCAATATACATTTTTATAGTACATTTTTAAAAAATCTAGTGAATTTTCCTCCAAGTCAATAGACAGGAGAAAAATAAAGTTGTTTTTTGAGCCCTGCTTTCCAACGAGGTGGCAGTTGCTGTGGATTTTGATTTTGTGTGGAATATGGAGGATCTGTTGGAATGCTGAAAAGTCTGCGGACAGCTGCAGGTGGCCAGGGAGGCTGCTGCTGCTGACATTGGTGATGTGAGCCTGGACCTTCAGCTTGCCCTTGTGCAGTCTCCCCGTGCTGCAAAGGGTGGCTTTGGAGGGGCAGCAGTGCGAGACCAGGGCCCCGACTTGCAAGAAAGGAGCTACTAGCCATGAGAAAGAACATGTTGATTTTTCATTTTCCTGGGGTAAAGACTGAGCAGAAAATTCTACTGTTAGGTACAGACCTTTCCAGGAGAAACCGTGATGCAACAGCTTCTGCTTCACATTGCTCTGCTTCCAGAAACTGGAGGGGCCTTCTCAGTAGCCGGCGACTCAGGCTCAGTTAATGAGGAAGCAGAACACCACACAAAGGCATGCATCATTGACCATAATAAAATATACCAATAATGCTAAAGGCTGCCACTTACGGGGGCCTTTCAAGGTTCCAGACGCTGTATAAAGTGCACCACATACATGATTTAGATATTTGCGTCCCTGTTTTACATTTTAGAAACTGAGACCTAGAAAGTTTAAAGATCAAGCCCAAGACCAGGCACGGTGGCTCACACCTGTAATTTCAGCACTTTAGGAGGCCGAAGCAGGTGAATCGCTTGAACCTGGGAGTTCAAGACCAGCCTGGGCAACGTGGGGAAACCCCATCTCTACAAAAAATACAAAAATTAGTGGGGTATGGTGGCGCGTGATTGCAGTCACAGCTACTCGGGAGGCTGAGGCAGGAGAATCGCTTGAGCCTGGGATGTGGAGGCTGCAGAAAACTGAGATCGTGCCGCTGCACTCCAGCCTGGGTAACAGAGCGAGACCCTGTCTCAAAAAAAAAAAAGCCCGAGGCCACACAAGCAATGATGGGTACAGCTTAACTCACACTCTGTCTCCGTGTGTTGTGTCTCACTGGTGAGCTCTGTGTTTCTTTTCTTCCCGTGGATCACACTGTTTTTCAGAGAGAGTTACAGAGAAGTTCAGGAAATGCTTCTTGCTTTTCTTAAGCTTGCCACATTAAATGTTAATGTCTGCAGCACCACGTTGGCGTAGTTCTCACTCCAGATGCATCGGGCTCAGTTCAGCAAGGAGACTTGGGCAGGGAAACCTGGGCAGGAAGCCTCACCGTACACAGGGCCCACCACTGTGGGTGCTCTAGGAGATGTGTAAAATGAATGCCTGTGAGGCCCCTGCACACCTATCACCACCACTGATGCTCCAGGACCCAAGCAGGTGGTCGCCCACAGGCATAGGACAAGCACAACCTTTAGAGCAGAAAGGCCAAGACTTGGATCCTGGAGCCACCAAATGCTTTACTAGGTAGGTAACCTTAGGTGAGATCATGAGAGTCTTAGCTTTCCCAGCTGTAAAATGCAGATAATAGCTACTTGGCAGTTCATTATTGAGACGACAGCAGTAGCAACAAGCAGGGCCACCCACTGTGTTATCTGCTATTCAGAGTGTATCGTTGGGAGGCCGAGGCATGCAGATCACTTGAACTCAGGAGTTCAAGACCAGCCTGGGCAACGTGGCAGAACCCCGTCTCTACAAAAAATACAAAAATTAGCTGGGCGTGGTGGCACATGCCTATAGTCCCAACTACTCAGGAGGCTGAGGCAGGAGAATCACTTGAGCCCAGGAGGTAGAGGCTGCAGTGAGCCGTGCTTGTGCCACTGCACTCCAGCCTGGGTGACAGAGCAAGACCTGTCTCAATAAAAAAATAAAGAGTATTGTGGTTCCTAGAACACAGCAGGACCTGGAAAACATTAATTCCCCTCCACCTCCTCCTCTTCCCCCAAACTCTACCACCCACCTACTTTTGCCTTCAACTTGCTTTGATCCTCAAAAATTGTCTGGTTCTGGTTGTGGAGGTCTTAAATGGGGACGTCACAGATGGCTTTAATTTTCATCTCCAACAGGTTACATTTGAAGATGCTTCTCATTTACTGCAGGAGTTTGAAAACATTGTAATATTCTCCTTTAATTATCAGTATCTCAGTGGGAAGCCTGACATTATAATTAGCACAGGCTCCTACATGGGATGACATTTTGCTCAACATATCATGTTCCTGGTGTGCACTGAGGCAGAAGCCGGTAGCACACTTCTAAATGACGCTGTTGGATTTGAGCATGAGAGTTGGCACCAACGCCCAGAGGGCAAAATCACAACTCTGGGAATCCTCCGTGATCCCAAATAAAAGTGGCAGGGAAACTTTTAGACATTCTGTCATCTCCTGCACAGGCGACAGACGCGCAGATGCCTGAGCCCTACTTTCTGGCCTTCAGATCAAGGAAGCTACAGCCAGAGTGAAAGTCTAATGCTGCGCTAGGATTGGGGTTAAAATCAAGACTCATTTCCACGTCGATTGTATTATGCCATCCTCCTACCTATTATGTAAATTAAAGAGAAAACTAAAGCAAGAGAATTTGAATACATTTTTGTATTAGGAAGCAAAGTTTCCAATAACTTCCAGTTGTCTTTCTCCCATGGCCAGGTATTGGCTAGAACATGGTTTAATACAATCTTTTATTTTATTTTATTTTATTTTATTTTATTGTTTTGTTTATGGAGTTGGAGTCTCACTCTGTGGCCCAGGCTGGAGTGCAGTGGCGCAATCTCAGCTCACTGCAACCTCCGCCTCCCAGGTTCAACCTATTCTCCTGCCTTAGCTTCCTCAATAGCTGGAATTACAGGCGTGTGTCACCATGCGCAGGTAATTTTTGTATTTTAGGTAGAGATGGGGTTTCACCATATTGGCCAGGCTGGTCTCAAACTCATGACCTCAGGTGATCCACCCGCCTCAGCTTCCCAAAGTGCTGGGATTATAGGCGTGAGCCACCGTGCCCAGCCTAGTAAGATCTTTTAGACTTGCTGTGTCCAATTCCATAGTCCCTGGCCACCTGTAGTTCTCTAAATTTACATGAGTTAAACTGGAATAAAATGCAAACTTTAGCTCCTTAGCATGACTTAGCCACACATCAAATACTTGTATCTAGTGGCTACTGTGTTGGACAACACAAGATGTAGAACGCTTCCATGATCACAGGAAGTTCTACTGGATGACACTGCACTAGACCCTTAGCAAAAAAAAGTAACTTCACAAATTGTTTGTTGTGTAGTGCCTACCCAAGCTTGCCTTGGGAGGAGTTCCATTTCTGGAAGACAGTGTAAGAGAGCTGTTCTCAGTCATGGGGTATGTCCTACATATATTGTGAATAAAATAATTTAAATGTCAGCCTTTTCACATTGTTTCTGATAAATTCAGGATGCTGCAGAGTCATCCTGTGATACCATTCTCTTGCTCCTGTTGGTTCTGAGTTTTTTTCTTATTTCCTGAGTTGGGGACTGAAGTGGGTTGCGAGTTGTGCCGGGACTTGTGTAGCAGGCTCGAGAGCATCATGATGTCTGATGTCGGGGGATGGAAGGAGCTGCACAAGGGCTGAAATAGTAGCTCATCATCTTGTCCTCTGGTGTTATGTGTTATCTGCCAGTAGACAACCTCTCCTCACCCCAGCCCAAGCCAACATCATTGGTCTATGTCAGCTTAGCCCCTCTCACAGAACAGCCTCCTGTGACTTAACTCAGGTTTGAAAGAAAGGATGTTAACCGTCAGATGAAAATCACTGGAGTCTTTATTGTCAGCTTTCTGCTAGAGCCATTGTCCTGTTCATCCCCCAATGCCTCTAGATAAAACTTTTAGAATACACTGCCTGGAAAAGCTTTGCCTCCCTGTGGGAATGACAGACATTGATCGTGTAGACCTTTTTTTATTCTTTGGCTGCTAGGAAGCACAGCACTTCATTTGCTGCTTTGTGATAAGGATAAAGTGCATTCTTAAGGTCTGAATATCTGAATATCTGAATTCTTCTTCCATGTTATAACCTATTGTTGTACTGCACTTTAATCCATTTCAAAAGAGGACGGTTATTAATAATCGCTACAAGTGATTTCATTCCTGTGTTGCCAGTTTTCTTCATTTTGTTTCCTGGCCACAGACTATATTTCTAAACCAGATGCAGTGCCTGAAAAGTATTTTTATTTGATTATAATGGAGACTGGAGACCAGGCAAGAGGGAATAAAGTAATCTATTTGTAGCTTGACAATGGTCTTGATTAAGGTCTTGATTGACAAGGGCTTGATTTATTTTTGCTTCACTGTAAAGAAAATTGTAGCTTTTCTAAGATTTTTGTTTCTTGAAATACCTGGCTACTTTGCAAGCAGGATGGACCACCAAGGAGCCATCTCATCTGCTGATGAGTCTCCCTCCTCTGTTGAGGTGGCCCCATTTTTCCCAAAGCCCCAGCAAATAACAGGTTTAATTAATTGATCACGTTTCAGTTGCATACCTTATAATGGTCCCAGCTTACTCATATTCATATATGCGAATTTTAGTGCACATTAATTATGTATTTAATAAGTCCCTGTTTGTTTTGTCTCCATTCCCTTGATAGCTGTTATGGTGTGGAGTTGAAAATAATTAAAATGTTTCTAGTTTTCTGCAAATAACCATTAACCAAGGTTGGATTCTGAAATCAAAATTCCATTTTCTTTTTCTTTCTCTGGTTAAATACAGTGGGTGAAATGACACCTAAATGTACTTCTAGGTCTATTCCTTGCTCTGTTGTTTGTCCCACTTTTCAGTGTGGTAATTGCCAGCTGAGTTCTCCATTTGGCATAGATGTGTCATGACTTGACTTAAACAAAATGTATTACTTTTGGCTGTCATCTTCTCCTTGACACGGAGATAAATTCAGAGGCGATGAGCTCAGCATGGCGGTTTGGGAGAGGATAGAAAAAAATAGGTTGTTCTCCACAGAATATTCGAGGGGGTAGAAGTCTGCAAAATCAGTATGTGTGTGAAGCCCCTAGGGGGCTCGTGACGAATCCAAGCTCCCAATAACACCTAGACTTCCAAGCCATTTCAGACCACCATTTCTTCAGTGGTTCAGCTCTTTGGAGAATAGACAAGTGTATGGCTGCATGTTTTGGGTATTACCTGCCCTAAGGGACAGCACCACATCCTCATTCACGGCTCATCCTAATTGTTGCTTTGTCTACTAATGCAGTAGTTAGTAGCCACAGGGATTATACGCTCGATCCCATTTCATTTTGTCTTATATCTTGTACCAAGGTTTGTCATATGCCAACATCTTGCAGTTTACTAGAGCATGGTAACTTCCCCTATTCTCCAACCTCCTTCTCCTCCTCTTCTTCCTACTACTACTATTACTACTTATTTTTCATAGTTCTATCGGCGTCTTTAAGAATGGCAATTAATCTTTGCAGCCCATCTGCGTAACTTAAGCTCTACTCTCAGCCATGGAGACTGTTGCTTCCACAGCTTCAGCAACACAGAGATGGTAAATGGAAATCAAATGAGGGCTCAAAAATGAATTCGGATGCTTCTTCTTAATAATTCTCTTTAAGAGAGAATGAACAAGGAGAAGAATCTCAAACTGATCTGTTTTGTTGATGGGCTACTGAAAAAATTTAATTAGAAATGAACTCAAAGCTCATGGATGAAATAAAGTTGGGAAATTGCATTTTTACGATAGCAATTTAGACCATCCACATTTTCCAGAATCAATGGTAAGTAAGCATTGGGAGTCAGAATCTATAATTCCTGTCTTATTTTGAAAATCACCAAGTAGGTGATTGTAAGAATGACTTCTCCAAGTTGTGATATCACTGGCTTCACCAGGAGATAAATAATTCCAGCTCCACCCTCTGCTTCACAGGTGATTTGAGGATAAAATAAGGTCATGGACACGAGCCTGCTTGAGAAATAAAGGTACCAGATAAATAGCAGTTATCCTGACTATTGGATGCAGCAGTTATGAGCACTGTTTGTCAGCTCCTTCCACTTCCAAATTCCATTTCCTTTCTGCTGCAGAGCCTTGTACTCATCAGCTCTCTTCTCTCCCTCTTATTAAAGTTCAGAGCTGTCATTCCCAGAGAGTTTGTTCATTTATTTCTCTTCTCTATATTCTCAGAAATTCTTTCTGTCTCAGAGATGTTAGGGAAGAGGTTGGGGCATGCTGATGGGAGAAAAAAAAAAATCTCTGAATCCTGTTTGCAGGTGCAAACAGTCTTCTTAAATGTCAACATAGCAATACAGGCATTTTCCCTCATTCTCTTTTAATCAAACACTTTCCTCCAGGCTCCTCATTTTTCTACAAAAATCACTAAGTCTCAGTGACGTTCTAGATTTCCTTCTCTGTGCCCTGTTCTCAAGGGTCAGCCTCCTCTTCACACTAGAGCCATGTTGGGCTTTCCTGTTGGGAGTGGGGATGTGGGAGAAGTCACCTGATAGACTGAGTCAGTGCCCCCATGGAGCCGACAGGGGAATAAGCCAATGGGTTGAGTGTGGAGAGGTGGAATTTCAGGCACTAAGGAACTCAGAGGAGTGCCAGGGTATGCATGGGGTTTGATGAAGATATTTGGGGCCACGTACCTTCCCATGGGCTCCTTGGGCTCTACCTTGCGAGGGACCAATTGCTCTGCCCTGATTTGTTTAGTCCTAAAAGACTCAGGATAAGCACTGGGTTTTGCCTCCTGGTAGTTCCAAAGTGTGCCCTGTTGCTTAGAGACAGGGGATGGTGCCTGGAGTGAAGATAAGGTTGTAAAGGAAACCAAGCCACAAATTCCCTTGTTTTTGTTCAGGTTGCTGGACAGAAGAGTAAAGGATTTTTGCTCTGACAGTTGGAAGAAAGTGTTTTCTTTTCTGTGTGTGTTTTTACCAAGTTGATGTGTTATCCAAGACACAGCCGAGTTAGTACCCACGTTGACAAACAGTGTTGAGTTTTGCATGGCTACCTTCCTCTTAATTCTGGTGTTCCTGATTTAGGAAAAAAAAAAATACACAGTCATCTTCAAGGGATTCTTTGTTGAAGCTTCAAATGATCACATCTGCTCTATGCTAGCGTATCAGTGGACAGAAGAATTGGAGGGGGCGATATCCAGGAATGGTACTTGAAATGCTCCTTCCCAGTGGGGAGTTTAAATTTTTCATTTATCAGTGGTAGCAATTTTAGCTCCTGATGCTGGAAGCCTGCTGGGAGCTTGAGGAATCACATGTGTATGCATGTGTGCATGTCTGCATTTCCTCATGGCCTCATACCTTCTGTGAGTCTGTCTCCTCTCCTCTCTCCTTCCTTCCTGCATATTCATCATGAGTAGCATCACAGGTTTTCTGAAGCCCTCTGACCTGTTTCTCTTCCCCATTCCCTGACTCTGCACCGATCCCCTCCTCCCCTAGGTCAACTTCCTGAACACACTCAGTTCTGTTCCTTTACTGAGTCCGGGGGCATTTCAGCTGAGTGGGGGGCTCAAAACACACCTTTGAGGGGAACAAGGTGGCTACACTAGTGACGTGGAGAAAACTGCATCAGGAGCAGACAGGAGGGGACATTAACTGGGTAGGGGTGTGAGTGCCATGGGGGCCCATGAGGATGGGGACACCAGGGTGGTTTATACAGTAGAAGAGACAAGGGATTTTAACAGATGGAAAGGGGGAAGAGAGGAGGGACCCGGATCTGTCCGGAATCCCAGACATGTACTTTGGTTGGCCCTTTGAGCATGTCTGCCCTAATTCGGCATGTTTGTTTTCTTCTCAGCATCCTCCCTTTCCCTCTGCCTCTAAGTTAAAGTCCTGAACTTCTGCCCAGCTGCCCTTGAGCTGGAAGGCCCATAGTTGTCTTAGCTCTTCCCTGTCCCTCATTCTCCATAGCTAGTTGGTCACCAAATCCCACTGATCACCGGCTCCCATCTCCCCCACCTCTAGTTCCCATCTCCCTTTTCCAGCCCCACTGCTTTGTGAGGGGGCCTTTTTTTTTTTTTGAGACAGAGGCTCGCTCTGTCTCCCAGCTGGACTGCAGTGAGGCAATCATGGCTCACTGCAACCTCCACCTCCTGGGCCCAAGTGATCCTCCTGCTGCCTCAGCTTCCTGAGTAGCTGGGACCACAGGTGTGCCCAGCAAACCATTTCATTCATTTGTTGTGTGGAGACAGGGTTTTGCCATGTTGCCCAGGCTGGTGTCAAACTCTTGTGCTCAAGTGATCCTCCCACCTCGGCCTCTCAAAGTGCTGGGATTACAGGTGTGAGCCGCCGCACCTGGCTGAGGCCCATTTTTTTTGTTGCTTCGTTTTCTCCTCATCCATCTGCTCTGCACTGTGTTACCAAACCTAACTTTTGAAAATAGAAATGTGCTTTCACGCCAGTCTTCATCTTACGTGAGAAAGAAAAATATAAATGTCTTTAATCTCCCCACACACAACCCCCAGTCACTACTCTCCGATGCTTGACTCCTGTGAGTTTCATCAAATCTGTGGGTGCAGAGCCCACCAGGGTGGGAGCCTTTGGAGGAGACAGTGGAGCGGTGTCAGAGAGCAGTGACAGCACAGGTCCTGCTCCAGCAGCACCTGGACCAGGGTGGGGCCATATGGTGTCCTGGAAACGTGGCACACAACCTCCACCTTGCAGCGTGTCCACCTCCCCGGGGGCACCCATGGCCCACAGGTGCGAAAACCCCCCAGACTCAGGCTGCGGAGACTCCTCTCAAACAGGAACTCAGCTCACCAGGCTGGAATAGTCTTTTAGGGTCCTTAGTTAAGCACACAGGCTCTGGGGTCTATTGATCTAAGTTCAAATCCCAGTGGCCCCTCCACTTAATAGCTGTGTGCTTGAGACAAATACCCCTCTCTGTGCCTCCATTTCACTCCTACTGTGGCCATGCTTTCTGGAAGCTCTAGGAGAGAATCAATTTCTTCGCCTTTTCCGACTTCCCATGGCTGCCTGCCTTTCCTGGCTCATGGTCCCCTTTTCCCCTGCAATGCCCAGTTGAATCTTTCTTGCATTGCATTACTCTATTGCTAACTCTCCTACCTTCCTTTTCATTTTAAGGACCCTTATGATTACAGTGGGATCCTCCAGATAATCCAGGATAACTCCTCTCAGGGTCAGCTGGTTAGCCACCTTAGTGCCTTCTGCAGCCCCAGTTTTCCCTGCCATGCCACACGGCATATTCAGATTCTCGAGATTAGGACATAGACATTTTAGGAGGTCATTAATTTCCTACCATAGCATGTATTATTTTATTTTGGCACAGTTGTGGCCAGAGGACCACTATCAGAGACCTGAGTGGATGGGACCACTTTAGCAGCTAGCAGAAATCCATGTATCACTGCCCAGTGTGTCTTCCTTGCCCACGTGAAGCCTCAAAGCAGCATTGCCGTGGATCTGCCTGATTGGGAAAGAAACTGTATTTCCCTCTTGCTTTATTACAGTTCTCTCTTCTATGGACTTGGGCACCTGTCCCACAGTAACCTGGCCAGGGGTCTGTCTGCGAGTGCCTGTGCTACAGTGTATTCAGTCTTTCCTCATCATCATGGAAGATAGTCTTATGCTAACTTCCCCAGTCTCCATGGGAACCTCCTCTTCAGTGCATTTAAAGACAGTTATTCCTTCCCTGGTTGAGGGATCTGTATCCAAGGGTGAGAATGAGATGGCTGAAGGCAATAGCATTTTTCCTTCATATCAAACTCATGTTTTCCATGCACCCCTGTTGGTCCCTTCCCAAAGCCTTCCTGGTGTCTCCCCACCTGGGGTAGAGGAGTGGGCCACTTAGATGGAGAATAGGCTCACATATTCTTTTCTTTTTTCTTTTAATAACAGCTTTATCAAAATGTAACTCACACAGCCTACAATTCACCCATTTGAAGTGTACAGTTTAATGATTTTTAGAATATTCACAAAATTGTGCAACCACCACTATAAATTTTAGAACATTTTCATTACCCCAGAAGAAACCCCTACCCATTAGCAATTATCCTCCATTTCCCTCCAGCTCCTCCCCCACAAACCCTAGGCAACCACTCATCTACTTTTGTCTCTATGAATTTGGCTATTCTGAACATTTCATATAAATGAAATCATATAGTATGTGGCCTGTTGTATCTGACTGCTTTTAATTAGCACAGTGTTTTTAAAATTCATCCATGTATCAGTATTTCATTTCCTTTTGTTGTCAAATAATATTCCATTATATGTCTATACCACATTTTGTTCATCCATTCATCAGTTAATAAGCATTTGGGTTATATCTACTGTTGGACTATTATGAATAGTGCTGCTCTGTACTTTCATGTACAAGTTTTTGTATAACGGCATTTTCATTTCTCTTGGGTCTAAACTTAGTAGTGGAATTGCTGGGTCATTTGGTAACTCCATATTTGCCCTTTTGAGGAAAATGTAAGACTGTTTTCCAAAGTGATGCACCATTTTTCATTCCTATCAGCAATATAGGAGGGTTCCGTTTCTCTACATCTTCACCAACACTTGTTATTATCTGCTTTTTTTTATTATAGCCATCCTAGTGGTTGTAAGTGGTAGTTCTTTGTGGTTTTGATTTGCATTTCCCTGATGACTAATAGCAGTGAGCATTCTTCACGTGTTTATCATACCTTGTTGTAAGTTAAGTGTCCACAATAGTAGTTCTTACTTTGGGGGTTACGATCGCCATGTATATCCAATCAAGCTTAAGGAATCTTTCTCTAACTTCCTGTGATATGCATAATTATGATATATTATATAAAATGTCAGGAAGTTTATAAACAGCCTGGATCTACAGACTCCTGATTTTAACCCTTTTCTAAAGGGTCTCTCCCTTGTTCTGAAAGAAAGTATAGTTCCAATTAGCTTAGAAAAAATCAGGTTTTAATAAGCCCTTCCCTAAAGGAAATCCAGCTGTATTAGTCCATTCTCACATTGCTGTAAAGAACTACCTGAGACCGGGTAATTTATAAGGAAAAGAGGTTTAATTGGCTCACAGTTCCACAGGCTGTACAGGAATCATGGCTGAGGAAGCCTCAGAAAACTTAAAATCATGGTGGAAGGTGAAGAGGAAGGAGGCACATCTTACATGGCCAGAGAAAGAGGAAGAGAGTGAAGGGGGAGGTGCTACACACTTTTAAACAACCAGGTCTCATGAGAACATATTCACTATCATGATAACAGCAAGGGGGAAGTCCACCCTCGTGATCCAGTCACCTCTCACCAGGCCTTTCCTCCAACACTGGGGATTACAGTTTGATATGGGATTTGGGTGGGGACACAAATCCAAACCATATCATTCCATCCCTGGCCCCTCCCAAATCTCATGTCCTTCTCACATTTTAAAATACAATTATGCCTTCCCAACAGTCCCCAAAGTCTTAACTCATTCCAGCTTTAACTCAAAAGTCCACAGTACAAATTCTCATCTGAGACAAGGCAAGTGACTTCCACCTATGAGCCTGTAAAATCAAACCCAGTCAGTTACTTCTAAGATACAGTGATGGTACAGGCATTGGCTAAATACTCCCCATTCCAAAAGGCAGAAATCAGCCAAAACAAAGGGGCAAATCCAAAACCCAGCAGGGCAGTCATTAAATCTTAAAGCTCCAAAATAATCTCTAACTCCATGTCTCACATCCAGTCCACACTGATGCAAGGGGTGGAATCCCAGGGCCTTGGACATCTCCGCCCCTTTGGCTCTGCGCGGTACAGCCTCTTGGCTGCTTTTCCAGGCTCATGTTGAGTGCCTATGGCTTTTCCAGGCACATGGTGGAACTTGTCAGTGGATCTACCATTCTGGGATTGGAAGAACAGTGACCTCTTCTCACAGCTCTACTAGGCAGTGCCCTAGTGGGAACTCTGTATGGGGGTTCAAATGCCACACTCTCCTCTGCACTGCCCTAGTTGAGGTTCTCCATGAGGGCTCCACCCCTGCAGCACACTTCTGCCTGTATATCCAGGCATTTCCATACATCCTCTGAAATCTAGGTTGAGGCTCCCAAGCTTCAGCTCTTGCCTTCTGAACACCCAAAAGCTTACCACCACGTGGAAGCCACCAAGGTTTATGGCTTGCACCCTCTGGAACAGTGGCCTGAGATGTATCTGGGGCCCTTTTAGCCATACCTGGAACTGGAGTGGCTGGGATGCAGGGAGCAGTGTCCCAATGTTGTGCAGGGCAACAGGGCCCTGAGTCTGGTCTGCAAAACCATTCTTCCCTCCTAGGCCTCCAGGCCTATGATGGAAGGGGCTTCCACAAAGGTCTCTGAAATGCCTTTGAGGCATTTTCCCTGTTGTCTTGGCTATTAACATTCGGCCCCTCTTTACTTATGTATATTTCTGCAGCTGGCTTGAACTTTTCCCTAGAAAATGGGTTTCTCTTTTCTACTGCATGGTCAGGCTGCAAAGTTTCTAAACTTTTTGCTCTGCTTCCCTTTTAAATATAAGTTCAAGTTTCAGATCATCGTTTTGCTCACACATATGACCATATGCTGTTGGAAGCAGCCAGGCCACATCTTTAATGCCTTGCTGCTTAGAAATTTCTTCTGCTAGATACCCTAATTTATCACTCTCAAATTCACAGATCCACAGGTCACGAGAGCAGGGGCCCAATGTCAGCAGTCTCTTTGCTCAGGCATAGCAAGTGACCTTTACTTCAGTTCCCAAAAAGTTCCTCCATCTAAGACCACTTCAGCCTGGACTTCATTGTCCGTATCACTATCAGCATTTTGGTCACAAAAATTTAAAAAGTCTCTAGGAAGTTCCCAACTTTCCCTCATCTTCCTGTCTTCCTTTAAGCCCTTCAAACTGTTCCAACCTCTGCCTTTTACCCAGTTCCAAAGTCACGTCCACATTTTCAGGTATCTTTATAGTAATGTCCCCACTCCCGGTACCAATTTACTATATTAGTCCATTCTCGCATTGCTATAAAGAACTACCTGAGACTGGGTAATTATAAAGAAAAGAGATTTAATTGGCTCACAGTTCTGCAGGCTGTACAGGTAGCATGGCTGGGGAGGCCTCAGGAAACCTTCAGTCATGGCAGAAGGCAAAAGGGTAAGCAGGCATGTCTTCACATGGTGGAGCAGGAGAGAGAGAGAGTGAAGGGGAAGGTGCTACACACTTTTAAACAATGAGATTTCATGAGAACATATTCACTATCATGACAACAGCAAGGGGGAAGTCCACCCTATGATCCAGTCACCTCCCACCGGGCCCCTCCTCCAACATTGGGTATTACAGTTTGATATGAGATTTGGGTGGGAACCCAAATCCAAACCATATCACTGGTTTATGTATAAAAGGGAATTTTATGTTTTTTTGTGCTTTTATTTTAAATTGAATACAACTTTGGCATTGAAAAAATTTTTCTGAATATGGAGACTTGGTGTTTTTCTCTTCTTCGTTCTTTCTCACCTAGAATCCCATCTATTCATTACCAAGTTCAAGGATCTACGCTTGTTTGCTCTCTACAGGTTTCCATTTAGCTGCAAGAAACAGCACTGTATTTTTCAAAGCACTAGAAAATTCTGTGGCCAGTCCAGAAAGACAAAACATAGCACCAGTGTGGCAAGAAGTGGAGCTAATGCAGCATTAATGATCCTGGATGTTTCTGCACTTTCTTATTAGAATTTACCATTCACCTCTAAGCTTCAGCTCTGCAGTGCCCCCTATTTGGGATTATTGAGCAATGTTTAACGGGAAAGAAATGATGTCTGTTCTCCAGCCAGTGACTCTGAGTAATGATATCAGGTGTTGGTGATCTCAGAACTGAAATGGAGCTCATGAAACTACTTTGTGGCTTGGAGGGAGGCAAGTGGATGGATGGCTTGGACGGGGTTGTTTTAGGAACATATGCAGCGTGGGAACATCTCTCAGTCTGTGAATTTGTGCCACTTTAAAGACTGCAGGGTTTGTGCCTGGCTGCTGTTGCCAGATGAGTTTAGAGAGATTGATGCACGGAACCAATGTCTGGAAAGCCCACTGAAGGAGATGGAAGATACAGGCTACTGAGACAGTTTACTTCAGAACCTGCTACTTGGATATTTACCCTAAAATCTGGCTCCTGGCACTCTGGGTAAGAGAGATGGGAGTAAGAAGACTCATGCCTCAAGGTCAAAGTTGGGTGACCTAGAAGGACTTCTCTTTAACCCTGATTGCAATGAAAGTAGTTTTCATCCACAGAGAGAGTTCTCACGGTATTTGTTGATTTTTCTTCCATTTTGTCTTGGGGCAGGCACTGAGTTGAACGCTTTTGGACTCACCTCTTCCTGCCTTGTCCCAGCTTTTCCTTTATATGTGTTTCAGGCATTTGAAAGTTTAGGACCAGGCACAGTGGCTCATGCCTATAATCCCGGCACTTTGGGAGGCTGAGGTAAGAGGATTGCTTGAGCTCAGGAGTTTGAGACCAGCCAGGGCAACTGACCTCACCTCTACAAAAACAGGGCAAGACCTTGCCTCAACAAAAAATAAAAAAATTAGCTGGGTATGGTGGTGTGTGCCTGTGGTCCCAGCTACTTGGGAGGCTGAGATGAGAGGATTGCTTGAGCCCAGGAGGTTGAAGCTGCAGTGAGCTATGATCGTGCCACTGCACTCCAGCCTGGGTGACAGAGCAAAAAAAAAGAAAGAAAAGAAAGAAAGAAAAAAAGTTTAGGGTTGGAAGTGTTTGCCACTTATTTCCTTTGTCTCCTGTCCTCTTTCCCTGTTTCAACCTCAAATCACCCTTCTCTCCCTGGTGAGAACGCCTGACCAGGGGCATAGAGTGTGGTGAGCAACAGTTTCCAGGAAACAAGTTACTCTGAAAATTGACACCTGTTTCTCTCAGTTGTTGTGCACTGGCCACGTGAAGCTGAGGGCATAGGCCCTCCAGACCCGCCCCTAATATTTGCAGAGCTGGGAGCAAAAGTACAAATGGAGTCTTATATGTCATATGTCTAGAAAATTTTAAGTCATGAGTCAAATTAACAGATTGCATTTAGATAGATCTCTCTCCCTCTCTCTCTCTATATATATATTCTTTCTCTCTCTCTCTCTATATATATATTATATCTCTCTATATATATTATATATATAATCTCTCTCTATATATATTCTCTCTCTCTATATATATATAGTATGTGTGTATAGTATGTATATAGTATATATATAGTATATGTGCATATAATGTGTAGTACATATATGAGTACTCTTTTTCATATTGTCTCCTACTCTGACAAAGACATCTTCATAGGGACCTGGGAAACCAGGTTCAAATTTTCAGCCTCCCTGGAGTTTTGTTGGATGTGGCCGCCCAGGGAGAAATGGCCCCAGCCAGTCCCATTCTCTTCCTGTCTCCAGCTGCAGCTTGCACATCAGGAGACCTGCTTGCCAGAAGGTGGACCTGTTTGGACCCTCAGTGTACACCAATGGCTTGGTCTCCCACAGGGGAATGGACCCAGGGAAGAGGACTATGCAGGCCCTGTCAGTGGAGTGGGGATTCCACTACTTTGGATGGAGAATTCCAGAGGGCTGGGTATCCAGAGTGTGGTCACATCCCATGACCTGTGATCCTTGCCTCATGAGAAGGGGCCCGTCTGTGAGGCCTGGCCTCGGAGTCCCTTTTGCCTCAGTCTGAGGGAGATACTGAGTTTCTCAGATGAAAACATCACCAGGACTGTCTTTCTTGAGTTGAACTTGATCTTTTAAATTCATTCCTTTGAGTTGTACTTAGCTAAAATGTGGATATCCCTATACATTATATTGTTTTGACCTCTAACACTGTGCTGTGTGTATGTCTTTTCAGATTTTTTTTTCCACAAAAAATCTGTTCAAATTCCCCACCCCCAACTTTTTTTTTTTTTTTTTTTTTTTTTTCGTGACAGAGTCTCACTCTGTTGCCCAGGCTGGAGTGCAGTGGTACAATCTTGGCTCACCACAACCTCCGCCTCCTGAGTTCAATCGGTTCTTGTGCCTCCGCCTCCTGAGTAGCTGGGACTACAGGTGTGCATCACCATGCCCAGCTATTTTTTTTTGTATTTTTAATAGAGACGGAGTTTTACCATGTTGGCCAAGCAGGTCTCCAATTTCCGACCTCAGGTGATCCACCCTCCTCAGCCTCCCAAAGTGCTGAGATTACAGGCCTGAGCCACTGTGCCTGGCCCAGATTTCCCCTTTTTATAAGGACCTTGGTAATAATGGACTAGAAGCCCACCCTACTGCATGATGATCTCATTCTAACGTAATTAATTATACCTGCGAACCACCCAGTTTCCAAAAACCTCACATTCTGAGTTATTGCGAGTTGGGACATCTACATATTAATCTGGAGGAGAGACCATTCAATCTGCAACACCCTCCATCCTGGGAAGACTAGGCAGAGGATATTTTACCTGCAAACAAAAACAAAAACAAAAACAAAAAACCTTATAATACGGCAGACATTCCAAGGCCCTGCTATTCTGTATTCACCTGCCATCACCCTAGTAACCCAGGAAGTGCTGGGGGGACCCTGTGCTCTGACTTGCTGGGAGGCAGCTGTACCCCCATCCACATGTTTCTCCTCCCTTTCCTCCTCTGTCCCCCAGTTTCTGCCCCATTCTTTTCACCTGGCCGGCTTCTGCCCGCCCGTTAGCACCCAGCTCCAGGGCATCTTTACGGGAAACATCTCTCATCTCACCCCATGCCTGCATAGCGTCCATCGTTTGCCTTTCCTTGTGTCCCCAGCACTCTGGCTCCCCCAACACTGTGCCCCCAACCCTGTTCCATAATGACTTTTTCCTGACAAGAGCATGGGCTCTTTGGGGACAGAGTCTTGCTGAGCTCTGCAATCCCAGTGTAGGATGTGCCATGTAATAGATCCGCGGTGGCAGGAGAGAGAGGGTGCTCCTGTTGAAGGGAGGTTGTGAGGGTGCTCTGAGCTGCAAAGGCTCAGCAAAGGAGAGAGGAGAGGCACAAGGAAAATTAGGGAGGGACTGGGAAGGCCTTAAAGATGCTCTTGTTTCACTTTGCTTAAGACAGCTACAAATGTATTCATGAGGATGGGACATCGCAAGAACTTAAACCAGGGCTCCATGTGACCCTGGGGGCACAACAAAATTCAGTTATTTGGAAGACAGTTTCAACATCCAGAGGGGAAAATAGTCAAAGATCATTTTCCCACAGGCAGTTTCTCCCATACCTACCTTTTCCAGCAGGCAATGGTACCACTTTTATTACAATTGTCCATAGGTCACATCACCCAAGACCATAGTCAGTGACCTTCCCTCTTAGTGTAAACTGACGGAAGTCACAGAAGTCACTTGTTTTCTGGCTTTGGCGTGCTCGTTGTCAATCGGAAGGAAGCCTTTGTGCCTGTGCTGATGTCTCACCTGCCTTCCCTAGAGTCCTGTCCCCTTAAGAATGTGTAGAGGCCCAGAGGGAACACAGGGCCTAGCATGAATTGACAGGATTGAGTTTGGGGACAGCACAGAGGAGCACAGGTGGTGTGAGCTTCTTAACACAGAGAGGGAGTCATTGTCTCTGGGCTCTCCTTTGGAGTTGACCACTGTCTAGCTTCATTTCCTTGAGCCAGTTTCTGATTTGAGAATAATTTGTCTTCTGCAAAATGGAAATAATAACTTCTGTGCCACCTACTTCCCAAAATGGTTTGGGATCCACCAAGAGGCTGTTGGAAAAGCCTAAAATGCATTCAGTGTACTGTTGAATTGTTCATGTGATTGTTATTGTCATAGGCTGTTTTTTGGGCTTCTAGAAGTTCAAAATCCCAGAGGGGCTTTGCAGAGAGTGGCTCACCTTCACTCGCTCTTAGTGTTACTTTTGTTCCTGCCTGAAGTAGAGAAGGACTTTGCATGGTTCCCTGCTGAGCAGAGAGGTGGGATTGGCCATCTGCCCCCTTTCCTTTCATATTAGTTTCTTAGGGCTTATGGAACAAATGGCCACAAACTGGGTGGCCTGAAGAACAGAAGTTGATTCTCACACAGTTCTGGAGGCCAGGCATCTGAAATCAAGGTGGCCACAGGGCTGCTTCCTTCTGAGGGCTCTGAGGGAAGGATCTGTTCCAGGGCTGTCTCCTTGGTTTGCAGATGGCTTCTTCTCCCTCTGTCTCTTGACGTCATCTTCTCTTTATGTATGTCCGATTCTGTGCTCAAATTTCCCCTTTTTATGAGGACACTTTTAATATTGGATTAAGGGCCCACCCTACTCCATTATGATCTCATTCTAACTTAACTAATTATATCTGCAAACCACACAATTTCCAAATAAGTTCACATTCTGAGTTATTGCGAGTTGGGACGTTCACATATTAATTTGGGGGAGAGACAGTTCAATTTATGACACCCCTCCATCCAGGGAAGACTAGGCAGAGGATATTTTACCTGCTTTTTTTTAAAAAAAACCTTATAATAGGGCAGACATTCATTTTTATCCAGTTTCTTCTCAAAGTGAAGATAACTTTTTGTAAATGTCCTAAAGTCATGTAGAATGTAGTAGCTTTCTGTTCACACTGTACAAATAAAAAGGATGGATCATTCTACAACTGACATTAAAAAAACTTGTAATATGATTATAAGCCAAATATAATCTAATTAATTGCTCAGATGAGTATACTGGTGAGATGACAATCTGTAGTTGACATGAGCCTGGGAGGGACAGGTAATTTCTGGGATGACTGAGTCACTAAATCAAAGGATCTCAACAGACTAGAATTCCTATTAGCTTAAACAAGGTGAAATGAGTAGACACAGGGACCTAAGTAGAGTCCAGAAATGAGGCCCCCCAAAGAAATGATAAAAGTATATTCAGAAGTGGGAAAAAGAACATAGGTTTTAAATCAATAGGCTTAATCTTTCATTCAGTCATATATTGATTCAAGAAATAGTCACTGCTTACCTCCTACCTGCAAGGTGCGAGGTAGCCTGCGAGTCTAAGCCATCCTTGTGAAGTCATTCCTCTCGGAACAAGCTACTTCATCTGCAGGTGCTTGTCCACACCTGGAGGAATGCACCCTCCAGATACCTCTCCAGGTGTCCAAGGAGCTACAAGATAGAAGAGACTGCCACAGCCTGGGGCTTTCAGACAAGAACCTCAGCAGGCTGGACTGGAAACTAAGCCACGGGAGCAGTGGCTTGACCTTTCGGGTCAAGATGATTGGACCTTTCAGGCTGGACAAAAGAAGACACAGGTGATATAAACTGCTTTATGTCTTGAAAGGACCCCTGATATGGTTTGGCTGTATCCCCACCCAAATCTCATCTTGAATTGTAGTTCCCATAATCCTCATGTGTCGTGGGAAGGACTTGGTGGGAGACAATTGAATCATGGGGGCGATTACCCTCATGCTGCTGTTCTCATAATAGTGTGTGAGTTCTCATGATATCTGATAGTTTTATAAGGGGCTTTTCCCTCTTTGCTTGGCATGTCTCTCTCCTGTCACCATATGAAGAAGGACGTGTTTGCTTCACCTTCTGCCATGATTGTAAGTTTCCTGAGGCCTCCCCAGCTGTGTGAAACTGTGAGTCAATTAAACCTCTTTTTTAAATAAATTAGCCAGTCTTGGATATGTCTTTATTAGCTGCGTGAGAATGGAATAATACAGACCACCATGGGGACAAGAGTTTGGGTTTATCCTATGTTTACTCCCAGGCTGGAAATAGGACCCAGGAGTGGAAGGTAAAGGGAAATAGATGCTAACACAGTCTAAGGAATACATTTTTCACAATTAGAACTGTGTAAAGATGAAATACTTTGTTCGTCTTGGGAGTTAGTGATGTTGTCATAGCCATCATCCATTGAGCGCTTCCCATGGGTGTACCTGCTGTGGTTTGGATGTGGGTTTTTTGGCTCTGCCAAATCTCACTGAAGTTTCATTGTTGGAGATGGGGCCTGGTGGGAGGTGCTTGGGTCATGAGGGTGGATCCCTCATGAATGCCTTGGTGCCATTCTCCTGGGAGCAAGTTCTCACTCTTAGTTCCAGCAAGAATTGGTTGTTGAAAAGACCTTACACCACCACCTCCTCCTCCTCCTCCTCCCCCTCCCCCTTCTTTTCCTTCCCTCCCTCCCTCCCTTCTTTTCTTCCTTCCTTCCTTCCGTCTCTCATGCTTCCTCTCTTGCCATTGACCTCTGCACATGCCAGTTCCCCTTTGCCTTCCACCATGAGTGGAAGCTTCCCGAGGCCCTCATCAGAAGCACATGTTGACACCATGCTTCTTGTACAGGCTTCAGAACCATTGGCCAAATAAATCTCTTTTCTTTATAAGTTACTCAGCCTGGGGTATGTATTCCTTTATATCAACACAAATGGACTGAGACACAACCTGTTCTTATTTAACACTTTCTAGGGAAAGAGGCCCTAGGATTTGCCATAGCAAACCATTACTGCATCTAATATCAAGCACCCTGGAAGTAAGAAAATAATTATGATCAAGCTGGCTATTTTATTTCCCAGACCACAGAGTCTGGAAGAAACTATTTGCATACATATTAATGGATCAGAAGTAAATTTTACTTTTGGAAAAAGAACTCTGTTCTTTATCTCTCTCCCATTAAGCTTGGGCCTGGGCTATGGTGTATGAAATCCAATCTCCAATACCAGGAAATGATTATTTATTTGAACGCTCCCCTAAAACCCATTAAGTGCTCTGGAGTGTTAGTTTGGGATGACAGATTTCGTAGCTGGGCTACGGACACCTGGGAGAGCTTGGGTTTGTTGTGTTTCATATGAGCCTTTCTCTGTGCATGACCAGCTCTGAGTGAGGGGATTAGGAGCCTCCAGCCGTGGTTGACAGACACCTCTGCAAATCTGGATCACCCTCTCTGTTAGCCTGGGACGTGTTCTATGACCCTGTTGCTTTCCTTAATGTGTTGGCTTTGTGCTTGGAGATAACTTGCAAATGTTCGTCAAGCAGTTGTGCCACAGCTTTTAAATGTTTCGCTTCTAATTAAGAAAGGGAATTGGATGTGCTCTTGCCTGGCTATGTTTTTTTTTTCCCTGGCAGGAGAATGAGGGTGGGAAGAAAGAGCAAAAGAAACAGCAAAGAGATTAGAAAAACAACAACAACAGAACTCTCTGATTCACCAATGATCAAAGCTGTGTCTGGAAGTTCATTGCTGTTACAGCATCCTGTTCTCCCCAACATGTAGGGATTCCTAAGTTCAAGTCCCATCTGAAGAATATAGTCATGGAGCTGAAAGGACACTCTACAACTGGGCAACCACCTTCAGGAACTTTCCTCAGCCTACAGAAATAAGGACAGATGATTTAGAATGAAGCACATAGGACTTTGAAAACCAAGTTCAACTCTCCGCAATGGATTCTGGCTTCTGAGTTAGGATAAGGGATTGGCTGCATGTATAGAATATCTGAAACAATGTTATCTTTTCTCATATAAAGGAAAGCTAGAGACAGGCATTCCAGCACAGGTACAACAACAACAAAACACTTTTAGGGACATCAGACTTTTTGAGACACAGTTTTACTCTGTTGCTCAGGCTGGAGTGCAATGGCCCAATCTCGGCTCACTGCAGCCTCCACCTCCCAGGTTCAAGCGATTCTCCTGCCTCATCTCCCAAGTAGCTGGAACTGCAGGTGGCCACTACCACATCTGGCTAATTTTTGTATTTTTAGTAGAGGCAGGGTTTCGCCATGTTGGCCAGACTGGTCTCAAACTCCTGATCTCAAGTGATCTGCCTGCCTTGGCCTCCCAAAGTGCTGGGATTATAGGTGTGAGCCACCACACCTGGCCCTAGGACATAAATCTTTTTTTTGAGACAGAGTTTCGCTCTTGTTGCCCAGGCTGGAGTGCAGTGGTGTGATCTCGGCTCACTGCAACCTCCACCTCCTGGGTTCAAGTGATTCTCCTGTCTCAGCCTCCCAAGTAGCTGGGATTACAGGCACCTGCCACCATGACCTGCTAATTTTGTATTTTTAGTAGAGACAGGGTTTCTCCATATTGGTCATGCCGGTCTCTAACTCCTGACCTCGTGATCCACCTGCCTTGGCCTCCCAAAGTGCTGGGATTACAGGCATGAGCCACCACGCCCAGCCTCTCCTGCATTCTTTCTGGAGCTTTCCGAGTCTGTAGGGTGAAATCATAACAGCTTGATTTTCTCATATCAATGTCTTCCTAACCTGTTCTGTTGGCTCTCCCTTCCCTTCCCCTGGGTGATTCCATAGACAGCTACATTTTCCTGTAAGTTTTAGGTATTGATGAGCAGATTCATTGTCATATGCAATCCCGATGGACCAGTCTTAATAGAACTTCAGCATCTCCTTGAGTAGAGCATTCTTTCCTTCCACCAATAACTCCTGGGTTGCTTTAGCCTTGGCAGCCTGCAGTGGACAAGATGTGGGTGGTTTGCCCCTTCCTTAGTTTTTTACCCCCTACCCTGCTTGCCTTGCCAATTCCTTAGGATTGAAGGAAGAAAGAAGTGAAGGATTGTGTTTGGGTGGTGAGTGACAAAAGGCCTTCCCTAAAGGTTACAGTTATAATTTAGTGTTGGTGTCCTTGAAGTAGCAGATTCTCAAGTGTGGACCATTGTTCTCATGGGGTCCTAATTGTGAGGGCTCTTCAGAGCCTCTTCATGGAAATATACACAGGGATGGGCAGGATGCATTGTGGATGACCTCTTGGGGTCCCCCCAGCCCCAGGTGATCCTCTCTGCACAGATGCTATTAGAATCAGTTTGTCCTTGCAGGCTGATCTCTCGGGTTAACCTTTATAGCTTGTTTGTACCTAGTCACCTTCTAAAATGTCACCTTGGCCCTTTGCCTCTGGAAATGCAGGCTGCTTCCAGGGCATCCCCCTCTCCTCTGATGGCTACTGGAGTTCTCTCAGGCACCTTCTCACCTCGGGACTATTCCACAATGTGTTCAGAGCCCAGTTCTCCAGAGGAGCATGCCAAACTCTGCAAGCATGTCTCTTGCAGTGGCCCTCATTTGGCCTGAGTATAGAGGAACTCCTCCATCCTCAGGGTGAGCTCTGACAACTCTCCAAGGCCGTTCTTGGTATGGTCGTTCTTGTCTCTCCGCCTTCCATGGGACCACTGGGGGCCGAGGGCACCATTTGGGAGGAACTACTCCTTCTCCAGTTCTGCAAGAGGGTCAGGTACTTCTCAGTAGAGTAACACTGTCCTGTAGAACTTTCTGCAGTGATAGAAATACTCAGTATCTGCACGGTCCAGTATGGTAGCCATGAATCCCCTGGGGCTTTTGAGTACTTGAAAGGTGGCTGCTATGACTGAGGAAATGGTGTGTAATCTTGTTTAATTAATTTAAGTGTAAAAAGCCGCATGTGGCTACTGTATTAGACATGCCGTGTTGTTCTAGAATGTAGAATGAGAGGGTAATGTCAACAGTTTTTCTCAGCAACAGTTCTGAGACCGGATAAGTCCCATTATATATCTTGCTCAGCTCTCTCAAGAAAGCGGTTCTCATGGCCTCCTAACCCATCAGTGAGTAGCGCTGTCAGTGTCACGTTTTAAATGTTGCTTCACAAAAGCACTCTTACGGAGGTAGACTCTAGCCTTCATTAGTGGAATATGCAGGTCCTTCTCTGCCGCCTCCCTCTGCCCCATCCTGCCTTAACTAAAGGCGTTTTACTCTTTTGAGGGTAATATTTGAAGTCTTAGCTCCTGGCGTACTTTTGTACCACCTGCTAAAAAGCTCATTGCTTTCCTGGCAGAAGTGCCCCTGGCAGTGCTATGATGGGCTTTTGGCTGAGAGGCAGAGTGATCAACTTCTGCTTTTCTCTCCGGAGAACACTTGGTAGATTGGATGCTGCCAAGAGTTCCACAGCATTCTGATGATGACATCCATGATTATAGAGGAGGATAGAACTAGTCCCAGGGTCTGATCCATGAATGTATTTGCCCTTAGTTCAGGCTCAGCTTCATAAAGAACCATGGTATTTTACCAGGTTAATCAAGTACAGTCTAAGGTAGCAGAAAATTAATATTATGCTTTAGAATGTGCAGTAGCTCTGCTTATTCTAATTAGAGAAAATGGGTGTCTTAATTAGACAAAAATATCGAAATTTTTAGAGCACTTTAAACAAATTCGGTTTTATTACTTCAAAATACAAATTAAAATCTGACAATGGGGACCAGAAAAGAGTTCTCCATCCGTTAGGGTTTGTTGGTTGTGAGCAACAGATGTCATCTCTGGCCAGCTAAAGCATATGAAGAAGTTTTTCAAAAGTATAAGGAGTAACTCAGAGAATCTAAGGAAAAGCTAGTCTTTGGAAGACCAATAGCAAGGCATCCCAAAACCTGCAATAATAGACGGGAGCTATGGGCAGTCTCTTCAAAGAGCTGACGTCAGAATGACTCACGAACAACCATTTTCTGCCCCTGTGTCATTCAGCTCAACTTTCAATTCTGGAAGAGAAAATCGGATTGGGAGAATCCAGGTCAGGTTGTAGAGGCCAACACTAAGGGGCGGGGAGGAGCTTGTTCATCGGACTGTGTAGGATGGAGGCAGGGAATTTCTCAAAGAAAAGCGGGATGCTATCACCAAAAGAAGCAGTAAGGATGCTGAGCTTATGAAAACTAAACCCCCCCAAGCACAATGCCTTCTTAAATGACATCGAGATATTTATACACAAGAGGGAGTTACAAGAACGAACTTGCTATTTATTTGTCATTGTAGTTTTCATCCATATATCATAGAATGTTAAAGTTCACCGTAAAAAGACGACTTTGGAAATTATTCAGTTTACCCTAGTATGTGCACTTTTCAAATCAAGAAACTGGATGTCTTGTCCAAGGCTGGGTAATAGCAGAGGTGGGACCAGAAGCAGATGTTTTGACTGTGATATGAGGCCCCGTTGCTATTCCATTCTGCCTTGCTCATCAAGAATTACTTTTAAGTTGCTTAAAGGCACATTATCTTCTTGTGTGGCTAACCATTTCTTTTGCAATCTGAATGATGCAATTAAATTGCCTAGACATCTTTGTTATACATTGTATCCAACCCTAGACTCTAGATTCTAAATCATTCAAATGTACCTTAATTTTTATTGTTGCTCTGATTTCAAATAGAAACCAAAATGTCTAGGATACAGCAGTGATGATTCTTAAAGCTGACCCTGGGAGAAAATCTACTAACGGATAAAGTTTGCCAGCCCATCAGGTTGACTGCCCAGATGCTTGTCTTCCCTCCGAAAGGATCTCTGGTTACACTAACATGACCTTGGGGAGCAGCTTTCTCTCCAAGCATAATAGTATCTTATTTTTTCTTATTTTTCTGGCCAGAGAAAATATAATATCATTTATACTAAGGCCAAGTTTTTGTGGGGGAGACAAAAAGACAGTTTATTTAGTGATTCACTAAGTTCATTGGTAGAAATAACTCTCTCCAAAGCCTTGTATTGTTACACAGCTTTGCTGATAGGATTTTTTATTGTGGATGCAATTTCATCACTTTATAAATATAAGGCTTTGCTTTAGATTCACTATTTTTATGGCAAAGTTACATTCTCATCTAATAGCATGTGTTATATTCATTGCACTAAGCTAGTTGAGTATAAAAGACATTGGTGATGTGGTTCCCTTATCATCTGGTCAGTAGTAGGAGGATTAAGAGCAGAGAAATCATGTGTCTGGTTGAAAGGGAGGAAAGAGAATATTTTTGTTAAATAAAAAACAAAACCAACAAACTTTTCCCAAGTGGACAAAGAATTTTAGAATTTGGATGAACCTGAAAGATAATATAGTTCACCTCTTTGTTGTAAGAGGAAATTGAAGCTCACAGAAAGTGTGACTCCTCAAAGAGCACACCACTGATAGTAGAACAGGGAGAAGAAAGACTAAGCTATGCATTTTAGATACAGCATCTCAGTTACTGCATCTCTGACAGGCAAAGATGCCCAGCCTCTCCCTTCTGAGATCCAGGTGGATTTCTGATTAGGTAGAACTTTTACCCTGGAAAACTATTTTTCCACAAAGCTTTAAAATTATAAACAGTGATTGCCATGGCCTGAATGTTTGTACCCCCAAAATACCCAGTTTCCAATGTGATGGTTAGGAGGTGGGGCTGTCAGGAGGTAATTAGGTCATAATGGTGGGGCCCTAGAGACTGGATTAGTGCCCTTAAAAGAGAGGCCCCATAGAGTTGCCTGACCCTTTCTACCATGTGAGGATACAGGAAGAAGTTGGCAGTCTGACACTCAGAAAATGCACCCTCCCAGACAATGAATCTGCTGGTGCCATGAATTTGGACTTCCCAGCCTCAAGAACTGTGAGAAACAAACAATTGTTGTTTGTAAGCTGCTCAGGTATTTTGTTATAGCAGTCTAAACAATGTTTTTTTTTTTTTGCTTTTATTCAAATCAAGTTTTAACATATATACAGTAAAACAAATCTTAAATATACAACTTAAAGAATTTTTACGGGCCAGGCATGGTGGCTCACGCCTGTAATCCCAGCATTTTGGGAGGCCAAGGCAGGCAGATCACCTGAGGTCAAGACCAGGCTGGTTTGAGACCAGCCCAGCCAACATGGTGAAACTCTTTTTCTACTAAAAATACAAAAATTAGCCGGATGTAGTGGTGTGCACCTATAATCCCAGCTACTCAAGAGGCTGAGGCAGGAGAATCGCTTGAAACTGGGAGGTGGAGATTGTAGTGAGCCAAGATCATGCCACTGCACTCCAGCCTGGGCAACAGAGTGAGACTTTGTCTTAAAAAAAAAAAAGAATTTTTACATATGTATATCCCATATAACCACTATTGAGATCATGATACAAAATACCCTAGCAACTCAGAAGCATTCCTGATAGCTCTTCCTAAGCAGTAATTTCCTCTAAGAGATAATTAGTATTCTAATTCTTTTTACCATAGATAGGTTCCACCTGCTCTGGAATATCATTTAAATGGAATCATACTGCACATTCTGTTCTGTAGCCAGCTTCTTTTGCTTAATGTGACATCTCTGAGGTTCGTCTGTGTGCATTGCAATAGTTGATTACATGTTTTTTACTATGCAGTATTCTATTGTATTTATATGCTACTATTTGTCCATTCTTCTGTGAATGGATGCTTGGGTGTTTCCAGTTTGGGCTATTAGGAGAAAAACCACAATGAGTGTTTTGTATTTGTGTTTTGATGAACACACACTCATTTTTCTTGTATATGTACCTAGGGGTAGAATTGTTGGGTCATAGCATAAGCATGTGTTAAGCTTTAATAGGTAAACCAGTAAGTACTATTTGAGAATTGGGGAAAGATATTTTCTTAAGAGAGTATTCAAGTATTATTATTACTAGAGTTTTCTTCATTTTCTTTTCTTTTTTTTTTTTTTTGTTGTTTTTGTTTTTGTTTTTGAGACAGAGTCTCATTCTTTCACCCAGGCTGGAGTGCAGTGGCATAATCTCAGCTTATTGCAACTTCTGCCTCCTGGGTTCAAGCAATTCTCCTGCCTCAGCCTCCCAAGTAGCTGGGATTATAGGTGCCCACGCCTGGCTAGTTTTTGTATTTTTAGTAGAGACGAGGTTTCTTCATGTTGGCCAGGCTGGTCTCAAACTCCTGACCTCAAGTGATCTGCCCACCTCAGCCTCCTAAAGTGCTGGGATTACAGGTGTGAGCCACCACGCCCAAACTCTTCGTTTTCAATTAAACAAACAAACAAACAAAATCTGAGGCTTGGGATAGTTAAGCAGACCTTGTTTAAATGTGGCAGATTTTAACACATGCATTTCTGCTGCTTCCTAAAATACCGTTAAAATGAAAGTAAGAGTCTCTCTCTTTTGGACATACCTTTTTAATGCCATACTGTTACTCCAAGATGTGATGAGTGATGAGAGGTCCTCAGATATTTGAACCATGGATGCAGAAATGGACAAAGAGTAGAGAAAGATGGAGTCCAGGTGATTGCAAAAGGGAAGCCACGAAGAAGCAAGCTGAAATGTCCTGCATAAACCCTAGGAAGTGTCGAGATCCTGAGGCTCCAAACTTGGAGTAGAGATGGGATCGCAAACAGGATGGTTGGTTGTGATCTGTATCAGGAATCCTTAGAGCTCATCCCACACCAAATAACAGAACAATTGCCGCTCCTGTACCACGGCAGGAGAAAAATTTGTTATCCAGATAAATGAACCAAGAGAGGTATCTGGAGAAAGTGAATCCCAGGAGAAGGTGGGCCTGAGAGGGCAGAAAGAAAGAGAGAGAGAGAGAGAGAGAGAGAGAGAAAGAAAAGAAAGAAGATGATCTAAGCCGAAATTGGGAATAGTGAAACCAAGATTATATCCTCCGGGGAAGAGAGGAAAAGACTGCTGGACTCTGCTGCAGGATCTTAGAGAAATAATCTCCAAACTGTAACCACCCAACATGTTCTTCTTGCCCACAGCACAGATAAATCCAATCCACTGAGATAATGTTGTTTCAGTAGAGAAAGAGTTTAATTAACATAAGGACAGCCAAGTGGAAAGAGAAGACAGTTTATTACTCAAATCTGCCTCCCTCAGAAGTTAAAGGCTAGGATTTTTATGGATAATTTGTTGGGCAGGGGGCTTGGGAATGCATGCTGCTGATTGGTTGGGGATGAAATCATAGAGGTGTGGAAGAGTCCTCATGTGCTGAGTCCGACTCTGGGTGGGAGCCACAGGACAGGATTGCTTAGGAATCACAGATCCAGGTGGGGTCAGTCAGGTGCCAGAATGCAAAAGTCTGAAAAACATCTCAAAAGACCAATCTTAGGTTCTACAATAGTGATGTATAGTGTTATCTATAGGAGCAATTGCAGAAATCACAAATCTTGTGACCTCTGGCCACACGACTCCTGAGCAGCAAGGGATTATAGAAAAACAAGCTAGTGGACATTTGCTGGCTGTCATTTAGCTATACCTACATTTTAGCAGAATTCAGGCCCCTCCCGTAATCCTAATCTTGTAGTCTGCACTTAGTCTTACAAAGCCAGTTTCAGTCCCTGAACAGGAAGGGGATCAGTTTTAGGGAGGGACTATTATCATCCTTGCTTTAAAGTTAAACCATAAACTAAATTCCTTGCCTGCACCTAAGAATGAGCGAGGGCAGCCCACCTGCAGGGCTAGAAGCCAAGATGGAGTCTGCCATGTCAAGCTTCTCTTCCTGTCATATTCTTTGCAAAGGCAGTTTCAAAACATTGATATTTGGAGGTCCACCTACCAAAAAGATGACTGGAGGCCCAATCCCCCTAGATGGTAGTTCCCCACCCAACAGGCCCCTTCTATGCATATGAGCCTCTGGTCCATTTCTTAATGCTTTGCAATTAAATATGACCAGTGATAAGAGAAACTCCTGTTTTCCCAACACTCACACACAGAACTTATGGCCAGCAAAGATGTGGGTATTTTTTTTTTTTCCTGTAACAACCAATTCTCTAGTTTTCTGAGAGCACCAATTTGGTGCCTTACAATTTAACTCAATTCTGACAGTATCCACCTGGAGATCGTGTCAGATCCCACAGGCTAAGGGCTCAGATCCCTTACTTCAGATGCTAAACACCAATCTAGGTTGTCAGCTGGGCTTCTCACCATCTGGCTGTAGATCAGGGGTTCCCACGACCCCCTCGTCGGGTTCAGTTATTTCCTAGAATGGCTCACAGAACTCAAGAAAACCATCTACTTGCAAAATTACCACTTTATCCTAAAAGGATACAACTCAGGAACAGCCAGATGGAAGAGATGCATTGGGCAGTTATAGGGAAAGAGGCATGGAGCTTCCATTTCCTCTCCAGGCCCACTGCCCTTCCAAGCACCTCCGTGTGTTCACCAACCTGGAAACTCATCATATCTTCTTGTTGAGTTTTTAGACGGCTTAATATCCAGCCTCCTTCGAATCCCCTCTAGGAGGTCAGTGGGTGGGGTTGATAATTCTAGCCTTCTAATCACTTGGTCTTTCTGGTGACCGTGACCAGCCCACCCTGAGACTATCTAGGGGCCTACCTCAAGTTAGTCACCTTATTAGCATAAACTCGGGTGTTAACAAAAGGGGCTCATTATGAATAAACAAAGACACTCCTATTCCTTAGTTAATTCCAGGAGTTTGGGAAGCTCTGTGCCACCAGACACAAAGACAAAATATGTTTTGTATTATACCACAACTGGATAGCTCTAATTCCTTAGACTTTTGAGGCATGCCTTCGGTATGAAAGATAAAGACAGAAAAATTAATTTGGAGATAACAGAAACAATGCAGAGGTCACAAGGAAACATAAAACAAAAGCAACAATGAAAATGATGAATATCCTCAGAGGGAGAAGAAGAGGATGCTATCAATAATGAAAAGGCACAATTAGATTAAGAAGGAGCTCTTGGAAATCAAAAACAAGATAGCTAGAATAAAACAGTAGAAGGATGAAAAGATGAAGTTGAGGAAATCTCTTAAAAATAGAATAAAAGACATGTAGATGCAAAATGTGAGAAAAGAAGGTAAGGAAATGAGAATATGAATCCAGTAGGATCTACTGGTGACTCGTCAGCATTCCAGAAAGAAAGAGAAAATGGAGCTTAAAAAGCACAAAAGTGAGGCTGAGCACGGTGGCTCACGCCTGTAATCCCAGCACTTTGGGAGGCCAAGGCAGGCAGATCACCTGAGGTCAGGAGTTCGAGTCCAGCCTGGCCAACATGGCACAACCCCGTCTCTACTAAAAATACAGAAATTAGCCCGGCATGGTGACGGGCGCCTGTAATCCCAGCTACTCAGGAGGCTGAGGCGGGAGAATCACTTGAACTTGGGAGGCGGAGGTTGCAGTGAGCCAAGATCGCACCACTCTACTCCAGTCTGGGCGACAAAGAGGGACTCAGTCTCAAAAAAAAGTGCAAAAGTGATACAATAAAAACTTTCCCAAACTGAAGTACCTGAATTTTCAAGAGTGGGAAGGCCCCCTAAGTGCCAGCCCACTATATAAAAAAGGGACCGTTGCCAAGATACATCAGCATGAAATTGTAGAATGCTATCGTTAGAGCTTCCAGAAAGGGGGAAATAGTTTGGCAGAAGTGCTTCAAAGGTCTCCCCAGCAATAAACAAGGCTTTTAATTTCCCAAGCTTCAAGCTTTCAAAGTTCTGAGGAAAAATAATATTAAACCTAGAATTTTCTATACTCACATTCACTCAATGATGATTCATAGAATAAAGATGTTTTCAGACTTGTACCCTTCCTTAGGAAGCAGTTGAAGATTGGCTAGGAAAAGTAACGGCTGAGGGGGCGGCCAGGATAAACCAAGAAAGAAGATAACAAGATCCTGTAAACACCCTTCTGCCTTCACTAGTCCAAAAGGATCTCTAATTATAACTGGAACAGGTCTCTCTTCGTTTCCCAGCTTTAAAGTCAGGTTGGTTGCAAATTAACTGTAAGCCACCAGGTGCGGTGGCTCACACGTGTAATCCCAGTAATTTTAGGAGGCCAAGGCAGGTGGATAGCATGAGGTCAGGAGTTCAAGACCAGCCTGGCCAACCTGGCAAAATCCTGTCTCTACTATAATACAAAAAAAAATTAGCTGGGCATGGTGGCAGGTGCCTGTAGTCCCAGATACTTAGGAGACTGAGGCAGGAGAATTGCTTGAACCCAGGAGGCGGAGGTTGCAGTGAGCCAGGATCGCCCCACTACACTCCAGCCTGGGTAACAGAGCAAGACTCCATCTCAGAAAAAAAAAAAAGAAAAAGAAAAAGAAAAAAAAATTAACTCTGAGCCACATCTCCTGGCTGTCACTGTTTGCACTCAGGAGGACCTCACAGCTGGTCTGACATTCCTGACAAGAATTGATCAGGTAAGATACAAATCCAAGCCCATGGACGGAAGGAAGCAGAAACTGGAGGCTGTGTCTCACTGATCCAGGGCGGGAAGGAGCGCCACCAGGCCTCCCGCACTCCTGAGTATAAATCTGCCTTGACAGCACATCTGGCCACAGAAGATCGGGCACTGTAGGTGGCCAGTTCCACATGCTAAGTGCAAAGTCTGCTGATTGAACAAGTGGTGTCTCCTGCAGCCCAAGTTCACCCATCAATCTCCCTCATGCTTAGCCTCCCGAGAGCCCTGGGATGCATTCCAAGCAGGGGCAGTTGTCGAGAGTAGGCAAGCTTGAGCTACTATTCCTTCTGCCTGGAGGTGGGAGGCTGGAGGCTTGTTCAACAATTCCATCAGGATTACATAGGATGGAAGTAGGGGGTTTCTCAAGGAAAAGCAGGATGCTGTCACCAAAAGAAGGTAGAGATCCAGAGCCCCCACCAACCCACATGCCTCTTTAAATAGTACCAAAATATTTACACACACAGGAGGGCGGTATAAGAACAGACCTGGTATTTATTTATCCTTACAATTTTTCATCCATGTGTCATAGAATAGTCATGTTCAGTGATGGAAGGGGACTTGGGAGATTATTATTATTATTATTTGTGAGATGGAGTCTTGCTCTGTCACCAGGCTGGAGTGCAGTGGCATGATCTCGGCTCACTGCAACCTTCGCCTCCCGGGTTCAAGTGATTCTCCTGCCTCAGCCTCCCGAATGGGATTAAAGGTGCACGCCACCACGCCTGGCTGATTTTTGTATTTTTAGTAGAGACGGGGTTTCACCATGTTGGCCAGGATGGTCTTGATCCCCTGACCTCGTGATCCGCTGCCTCGGCCTCCCAGAGCACTGGGATTACAGGTGTGAGCCACTGCGTGGCCGGGAGATTATTTAGTTTACCCCAATGTGCCCACTTTACAGATCAAGAAACTGGATGACTGGTCTGAGGTGCCACAGCTAGGTCATGGCAGAGACAGGACCAGAAACGGATTTCTTGACTGCAGTTTGAGGCCCCGCTTACTATACCACTCTGCCTTACTCATCAACAAATGCTTGTATGTTGCTTGAAAGCACATGGTCTTCTTGCATGGTTAACCTTTCCTTTTATAATCTTACAGGCACAGTTAAATTGCTTAGGTATCTTTGTAATAGATCATATCCAACCCTCGACTTTAGATTCTAAATTATCCACATACTCTCTACTTGGGTGGGGAGTGGGAGGGAAGAGGGATGTGTGCTCCCAGCAAGGGTTTCTATCCTCCTCTGGCTGTGTGCTACCTGAGCTTTCTAGGACATTGACCACTGGGCAGAACTCCCTATGGGATGCCAGGGAGATAACAGTGGTTCCAGATTCCTAGGACTTTGCATTCAAATGGGGACTTGGAATAAAAATGCATCAAGATAGTGTTTACATCCTGGCTAACATGGTGAAACCCCGTCTCTACTAAAAATACAAAAAAATTAACCAGACGTGGTGGCGGGCGCCTGTAGTCCCAGCTACTCGGGAGGCTGAGGCAGGAGAATGGCGTGAACCCAGGAGGCGGAGCTTGCAGTGAGCGGAGATCACGCCAGTGCACTCCAGCCTGAGCGACAGAGCTAGACTCCAACCCCGCCCCCACCCAAAAAAGATAGTGTTTACAAAGAAACGTAGAAACAGGTTTAACAGCTCTGGCATAAACATAGGGTATTCATGTGTAAGAGTTTGTCTTGTGTGGAAAGTTGGTAAGAGTGGGATATGACGGATGAGGGCTAATAGGAAAGCATCTGACCCGGAAGCAAGAATACCTGAATTCTGCCCTCACCTGGATGTACCTGCTTCTCTTCAAGGCCATCCAGGGAGAATTAGGCCTAGGGGATGAAGGGAGACTAGTCCCTTATTCTGCCGAATACTGATCAAGGGGGTCTGCTCTGTGCCACATGTGAGATGCAAGTCAGAGAAAGCAAATGTGACCTGCCCTCCAGGAGCTGAGAACCTGGCTGGAGCGGAGTCATCTCTCAGTGGGACTATTTTGAAGTGCTTGAAAGGAGAACCCTGGAAGGAGCCTCTCTTTGGGGGCTTTAAATCCTTCACGCCATGAGGGAAGAGGCATGCTATAACTACATAGAGCTCAATGGTCCACACAGCCTTCCCCCACTTTCCCTAGAGTAACCTGTTTGGGCCTCAGGCAGGTCCTTTGTACCTCCTGCGTGTGGCATTTCATGCCTTTGAACCACGTGCAGATTCTGGGAAAGGTATGGGTTTGTGCGTTGTTTTATGTAGAGACAGGGACACAGCCGGCAGAGTCTGCCTTTGGGGTCATTTACCAAGCCCCTGGCTGGCTACAGGCTGGATGAAGTGTGTGGCCCTATGGCAGCACCACGGGCCCAGCAGTCAGTAAGCATTTCCTGGCAGCGCCAGAGGGATGGGGCTGCACTGGAGATTCACAACAAGGGCAGGAGGCGAGGGGGCCCAGTTGCCTCAGAGGCGCGCATCCATGGGGTTTAAAGCAGCGCACTGAGGATTGAGATTTAATCTTCTATTTGGGAAACCAAATCCCGTCTTTGTATTCTACAAACAAGAAAGCAGGACGTTCCGTTTTTGTTTGATAGAAAGGACGGTGGGTTTAACAGGGCCAAGAATCACAAGGCTGCATGCTTGCCCTTGAAGGTCCAATAGGACAGGCTAGCTGGCTTGTCCCCAGCAGGCAGAGGGACTCCATGGACGTTTCCAGCCTGAAGGTGGCTCCCAGTCGTGTGCGATGGGGACTTTCCATAGTTTTGACACATTCCCTGGGCTCTGGAAATAAAACCAGCTGACAGATAGGGGCAGCCTCTTTTTGTCTCCTGGCTTCCTCGAGGGCACCTACAAAGACCTACTGGTTTACAGTGAGTGGCTCTCTACTGTCCAGCAACTACAAATGGCTTTTCCAGCCCCTATTCCCCACCACGCCCCATACACATGCCTCCCTTAGTATTGCGTTCCCTCCCTTCCCTTCCCCACTCAAATTAACCCATGTGATTTTCTTTTCTTTTCTTTTCTTTTTTTTTTTTTTTGAGATGGAGTTTCACTCTTGTGGTCCAGGCTGGAATGTGATGGTGTGATCTCAGCTCATTGCAACCTCTGCCTCCTAGATTCAAGGAATTCTCCTGCCTCAGCCTCCCAAGTAGCTGGGATTACAGGCGCCCGCCACCGTGCCCAGCTAATTTTTGTGTTTTTAGTAGAGACGGGTTTTCACCACGCTGGTCAGGCTGGTCTCAAACTCCTGACCTCAGGGGATCCACCTGCCTCAGCCTCCCAAAGTGTTAGGATTACAGGCATGTACTACCGTGTCTGGCCACCCATATGATTTTCAAGACAAAGTTCATCCCTGGGACCTGCAGGCCTTCTCTTGGGCCACAAGAAGTGGAATCAATCTGCCCTCACCTCCTTCCTGGGCTGTGGGATATTTCATTGCCAAGAAACGTGTCTGGGTGCACATCCTACCCAGGCTTTGCCGTACCCCGGAGATATCACACAGGGAAGCCAGATTCAGAGATGGTGGGATTCATTCCCTTAATCCCCTTAATCAGAGCTGCGCTGCATCGAACCTTCTGTAGGCCAGGGAATGTCTTACCTTGTGCCATCTTCACAGTGATTCTACGGAACTGTTATTCTCGTTTGACAGATGACTCGGTATATTTTTGAGTTGTTTTAGTCTAAATGTACTGCAACCCTATTATAGAGTGTTTTGTCTGTGTCATAAAGTTTTAAAGTTTTTTTATTGTTTTAAACAACTTTATTGAGGCATAACTGACATACCATAAAATCTACCAGTTTTTATGTACGATTTTATGATTTTTAGTAAATTTATAGAGTTGTGCAGATATTTCCATAATCCAATTATAGAACTTTTATCACCCTAAAAGATCCCTTGTTACTCATAGATATACATAGTAAATTTTTCTTTTTTAAAATGCCATCCTGAAGACAATATACATAGTAAATTTTTAGACAGCTTTGTTGATTTAATTCACATACCATACAGTTCAACCATTTACAATGTGCAATTCCATGGCTTTTAGTATATTCAAAATTGTGCAGCCATCACTACAGTCAATTTAAGAATATTTCATTGCCCGGCTGGGCGCAGTGGCTCATGCCTGAAATCCCAGCGATTTGGGAGGCTGAGGCGGGAGGATCACTTGAGGTCAGGAATTCAAGACCAGCCTGGCCAACCTGGTGAAACCCTGTCTCTACTAAAACAAAAAATACAAAAGTTAGCCAGGTGTCATGGCACATGCCTATAGTCCCAGATACTCAGGAGGCTGAGGCAGGAGAGTTGCTTGAACCCAGGAGGCAGAGGTTGCAGTGAGCCAAGATTGTGGCCCTGCACTCCAGCATGGATGACAGAATGAGACTCCGTCTCAAACAAAAGAAAAGGAAAAAGCATATTTCATTGCCTCCAAAACAAATCCTGCACCCCTTAGCCAGCATCCCCCAACCCCATTCCCTCTCAAGCCCTAGGCAGCCACTAATCTACTTTCTGTTTCTCTAGATCTGCCTCTTCTGGACATTTCGTATAAATAAAATCATGTCGTCTGTGGGCTTTTGTGTCTGGCTTCTTTAAATTAGCCCAGTGTTAGCAAGACGTACCTGTGTTGTAGCATGTATCAGTACTTCATCCCTTTTTGTTGCCAATTAATATTCCATTGCATGGCACATTAGTTTTAAGCATATTTGAATGACATGATAGAAATATACTAATAATTATGGTACCTCACTTTTCTACCTTTTTCATTCTGTCTAAATTCTAAGCAGTCCATTTCATTAATAGAACTGACTTGGAGCATCTTCCCTTCCCCAAACTCTGTTTTCTCCCTCTCAATTCTCTATTTGCGAACACCCTGCTTCCTTTTGAGCCATCGCTCTCTGCCTCTCTCCTTAGTTTACCCACAACCTCTAGTCCCCTGCCATTTAAAGAAAATGGTTTTACTGAAGGTGTCCAGTGACCCCCAGCCGCCAAGTCTCTTGGCTGCTTTAAAATTCTTCTAAGTCAGCCAGGCACAATGGCTCATGACTGTAATCTAGCACTTTGGGAGGCTGAGGTGGGTGGGTCACCTGAGGTCAGGAGTTCAAGACCAGCCTGGCCAACGTGGCGAAACCCCGTCTCTACTAAAAATACAAAAATTAGCTGGGCGTGGTGGTGTGTGCCTGTAATCCCAGCTACTCAGGAAGCTGAGGCAGGAGAATCGCTTGAACCTGGGAGGCAGAGGTTGCAGTGAGCTGAGATTGCACCACTGCACTCCAGCCTGGGCGACAGGGCAAGACTCCATCTCAAAAAAAAAAAAAAAAAAAAAAAAATTATTGTAGGTTTCCTGGTCCTTGTGGAGCATTTTATGTAGTTTGGACCTTCTTTGCATTTCTGGAGCTCTCTCCACCTATGGCTTCCACTTTGAAGTATCCTTGGTATTCCTCCTGCCTCAGGGATGGAGGTCCTCTCACTCCTGCCTCTTGCATGTGTCTGTGCTGTCTCTCACATAGACATGTATTGGGGGAACCTGCCCCTAATATTTCAACATATGTTCTTTCTATTTTCCATAAGTGTCGGCCGGCTGAGAAACAAAGAGAGACAGTACAAAGAGAGGAATTTTACAGCTGGGCTGCTGGGGGTGACATCACATATCAGTAGGACCGTGATGCCCGCCTGAGTCTCAGACCGGCAAGTTTTTATTAAGGGTTTCAAAAGGGGAGGGGGTGTAAGAACAGAGAGTAGGTACAAAGATCACATGCTTCAAAGGACAAAAAGCAGAACCACTGATAAGGGTCCAACAAAGATCACAGGGCAAAGGGCAAAAACAGAACCACCGAGAAGGGTCTGTGTTCAGCGGTGCACATATTGTCTTGATAAACATCTTAAACAACAGAAAACAGGGTTCGAGAGCAGAGAACCGGTCTGACCACAAATTTACCAGGGCAGTTTTTCCCCACCCTAGTAAGCCTGAGGGTACTGCAGGAGACCAGGGCGTATCTCAGTCCTTATCTCAACTGCATAAGACAGACACTCCCAGAGTGGCCATTTATAGATCTCCCCCCAGGAATGCATTCCTTTCCCAGGGTATTAATATTAATATTCCTTGCTAGGAAAAGAATTTAGCAATATCTTCCCTACTTGCACGTCTGTTTATAGGCTCTCTGCAAGAAGAAAAATATGGCTTTTTTTGCCCGACCCCACAGGCAGTCAGACCTTATGGTTGTCTTCCCTTGTTCCCTAAAAATCGCTGTTATTCTGTTCTTTTTCAAGGTGCCCTGATTTCATATTGTTCAAACAGACATGTTTTACAATCAATTTGTACAGTTAACACAATTATCACAGTGGTCCCGAGGTGACATACATCCTCAGCTTACAAAGATAACAGGATTAAGAGATTAAAGACAAGACAGGCATAAGAAATTATAAAAGTATTATTTGGGAACTGATAAATGCCCATGAAATCTTCACAATTTATGTTCCTCTGCCACAGCTCCAGCTGGTCCCTCCGTTTGGGGTCCCTGACTTCCTGCAACAGACATGCATGCAACCATACATGTGCACACTCACAGACACACACACTCACGTCCAAGTGCACAAGTCAAAACCTTGCCAGCTCCTCTCCCCTCCTCCACCAACCCATGGTCCTCTTCTTCTCCCTATCTTTGGCCTTCTTGTGCCCTCTCAGATTTTCAGCTCTCTTCTCAATTCTCTACATCTGGGCCTGCCTTCCTTCCCAAAGATGCCACTCATGATTTTCCTCCCCCAGCTAGATGCTGACAGTTTGCTCTGGACTGAATGCTTGTGTCCCTCACCCATTCATATTGTGAAGCCTTAGCCCCCAGTGTGATGGTATTTGGAGAAGGGGCCTTTGGGAGGTGATTAGGTTTAGATGAGGTGAGGAGGGTGGGGCCCCCTTGGTGAGATTAGTGTTCTTATAAGAAGTGGGACAGGCTGGGTGTGGTGGTTCATGCCTGTAATCCCAGCACTTTGGGAGACCAAGGTGGGTGGATCACCTGAGGTCAGAATTTCGAGACCAGCCTGACCAACGTGGTGAAACCCCTGCATGGTGGTGGGTGCCTGTAATCCCAGCTACTCGGGAGGCTGAGGTCGGAGAATTGCATGAACCTGGAAGGCAGAGGTTGCAGAGAGCTGAGATCGTGCCATTGCACTTCAGACTGGGCAACAGAGTGAGGCTCCATCTCAAAAAAAAAAAAAGAAAGAAAGAAGTGGAAGAGACCAGAGCTCAGTCTCTCTCTCTGTTCACCATGTGAGGACACAGTGGAAGGTGGCTCTTTGCAAGCCTGAAGATTACTCACCAAGAACATGACCATGCTGGCACACTGAGCTCAGACTTCCAGCCTCCAGAACCGCTCTACACATTTCTGTCATTTAAGCCCCTCCGTCTGTGGTACTTTGTTATAACAGCGTGAGCAGACTAAGACACATTTCAATATACTGGGGCATTTCACACTCAACACACATAACCTGAAGTTGCCTCCTCTCCTCCCCACCAGTAACCCTACTTCTCCTAGTGATACACCCATCTCCACGTGCCCAAACGGGAAGGCTCAGCATGATTCCAGCCCTCTCCTTCCAACATCTGCACTCACTAAGTCTGTGGTCACGTCTGTCCTTTCTCCTTTTCTCGTCACTCCCATGAGTGCATGAGAGAGAAACCAAGAGCAAGACATAGCCTCCCTGGGTGATAGGAAATGTACTCCTAGGCTGCCAGATGCTAGATGCAAACTCCTTCTTCTAGACTTCCCCTTCAGCCTCATGGGTCAGTGCCCCCCAGCACGAAGCATCCCCCAGAGGCAGCATTAGGAAGTGGTTATGAGCACATTGGAATAAAGGATCTGGGTCCAGGTTCTGGCTGTGCCACCTGCGAGCTTAGATTGGACACTTGATATCCCTAAACTTCAGCTCCATCCTCTGCAGAGCCGGGCCACGATGGTGTGCATCCCGTGAGTTAGTGGGGTATTAGACGAGGTAGTGCATGTCAAGTGCCTGGCTTGGTAGATGAGGCTGCTGGTATTAGAATGTGTGCACCACAGTCAATTCGCCCTCCTCAACCCTTTACTTGGCCCTGTCTTCCATTATTCCCCCAAGCAAATAGAGCCTTTCCTTGCCAGTACCCCATCTTTTAAATTAGCCCTCATCTAATGCTACCTTCTTCTTGCCTGATCATCTTCATGGAAGATGGAAGGAGGAGGAAGGAGAGACACTCAAGTGCCTTTACCTGCCAGTAGTTACTCTATTCCTTATCTTAGTCAGTGTTCCTACAACCCCATTTCACAGATGTGGACACTGAGCCCTGCAGAGGCTCCGTATTGCCTCCAGCAGTAGAATAGATGGGTTGGCATTCCTCAGGGACATGGCTACTATTATTTATTATTATTAACACTAGCATAGCCTCTTGAGCTGCTTTGGATGGCGGGTATTTGTGCACAAGTCTTACATCCTCAGCAAGATGGTAAACCCCTTGTAGGTAGATTCTTGTTTTGTATTAGGCACATTGAACATGGAACAATGTGTGAGATACACGCTCCTCACACACAGGCACTTTCAAGCTACAACACTGTTGCAGGAATCACGAAGTTCAAGCTCTGACTCCCTCAGGAAAGTTCAGGGACGGCCCCATCCTAGGGACAGCTCCCTTCTGACACATGCTGTACACATCACTTCTTTGGCACTTGCCACCTTGTATTGCATTCTCGGTCATCATTTCGTCTGTGTGTTATGCCCACAGGTAACTTTGAAAATCAGGGCTGGGTTGTCACATCTTCTTGCATACTTAGCACTTCACAGTATCGAGCATGTCAGTGAAACCCCTGCGTGGTGGTGGGTGCCTGTAATCCCAGCTACTCAGGAGGCTGAGGTGGGAGAATTGCACTTAGTCAGTGCTAAGTCAGCATCGAATTTGAGGTGGTGATGCTGCTGGATTTGTGTGTGTGTGGTTTGCTCTGGGCACAGCGTGCCCCCTCCAGGGCCTAGGTCTCGTTTTTTCAGCTGCCTGTTGAAACGTGCTTTCTGCTCATGATTCTGTCTTCCCTTTCCCCTCTGTTCTCCTTTGCCACTCGCCCTTCCCCTCACCTGGCATGCCCTGGGCTGTGCCTGCAGGGGCCAAGCTCAGACTGCTGTGTGGTTGATCCTGGAAGCCCAGCTCCACGGGGAGGGTGTATTTCCAAGAATCTGTAGCAGTGGTCTTGGGAATAGGAGCGCAGCAAAAAGCCCTCCTTCTCATGCATATAGAGTGACCCCACCAGCAGAAGCCAGGAAAAACCTACTGGCTGGCTTCCCTGGGTGCTGTTGATGGGAGTGTGTGGATTTGAAGCCTGTCGCTACCAAGAGGACGATGAGAGAAGCCTCGCTTGATAAAGGAGATGTGACTTCCCGGCTCTTCTGTCTCGTGTGTTGGAAAATAGGTTTTCTGTTTTACCAGCAGCCTGCTGAGCCAGTCTAAGGAGTTTCCTGCTGCCTGAGGCTCAGCCCAGGGCTTCATCCTCATAACTCAGAGTATGTGAGCTGCAGTCCTAGCAAATGGAGGCTGGTTGGCCTGCTGCTCTGAATTTGTATTTCATTATCTTAGCATTGCACTGTATAAAAATTCTTGCAATTTTGACCTCTTTGTTGTAGTCATTTTCTATATACTATTTCTTCTCCCCCCAGTATTCTTCCCTCTTTCATTTGTTATTTGCTCATTTGCTTATTCATCCAATAAATATCTCTTGAGCCCCTGTTACATACCAAATGGTGTGCTATTCACCAGGGATATAGCTTATAATAGTCCTTGTCTTCCTGAAGCCTTGGATTTAGAAAGAGAGACTGATAGTACCCTGCAGATTACACACATAATTGGTTAATTGCCTCTGTGACAAGTAGTAAGAAGCCGAGGCATGGTGTGCTATGACCACTGAGCCACCTCACAGGGAATTTTGAACTCTTCTGTTGGGAGGATGGGTGGTTTTAATAATATGTCCAGAAATCTGTTAATATCATCCCTTCAAGAAATAGAGCAATAGAGCCTAATTCTCCTTCTCCAGTGTGTGCTAGACTTCTCAGTGGTTCACTTCTAACAAATAGGAAAAAGCAAAAGTGATGGTGTGCGACCTTAGAGTTGAGGTCAAGTGAAGTCTCTGTGGCTTCCATCTTGGTTGCTCTGTTGTGCTATCACTGTCTTGCTCTCTTGCACTCTCTCTCTCTCTTTCTCTGTCATGTCTTGCTCTGTGGGAAGCCAGCTGCCATGTTATCAGCAGCCCTGTGTCTTTAAGGCAAACCTATGATGCCAAGGGACTGAAACTCCAAGCCAGCAGCTGCACAGGTGAGCTTGGAAGTGGATCCTTCAGCCCCACTCAAGCCTTCTGATGACAACAGCCCAGGCTACTGTCATGACTGAAGCCTCATGACAGACCCCGAGCCAGGGCCATCCAGCTAAGCCCCTCCTGGATTCTGAGTCTCAGAGACTGAGACCATACAGGATTATTGGTATGAGCCACCAAATTTGCAGGGAAGATGTTATACAGCAGTAGATTGTTAATACAGGGCATGAGGGAGATAAATTATTTGATACTCTGCGTACCTGAAAATGTTATCATAACTTCACTTTGGGCTGATAACTTGACTGTGGATAGAATCTTCTTTCACAGTCGGAGGTCCTCTGCCCTCAGAATTCTGGTGGCATTCATCCCTCATATCCAGTGTGGATGCTAATGTCGTGGATGTTGACAGGTCTTGTGCCTTTCTTTCCCCATCCCTGACCCACAGAAACAGTGTGAGATAGTCAATGTGTGTTGTTTTGAGCTGCTAAATGTTGGGTACCTTGTTATACAGCAAAAGATAATTAATTCAGAGGGGCAGAGAGGAGGCACTTGCTGGAGGAAATGAAAGTCACCCTGGGACTTGAAGGAAGAGAATAAATTGGCCAGGTGAAGAGATGGGAAGAGGGAGGCGAGTGTCCCAGGCTAAGGGCATAGCACACACAAAGCCCTGCACAAGTAAGGTGCTAATGAGATGCAGGAAAAGAAGGGAGGACTGGACAGTTTGAGTGTAGAGAAGGAGGGAGCAGGGAGTGGCTTGGACACAGCTGGGGATATAGGCAGAGGACAGGACACCGGGGCCTTGGGGACCATGATAAGCACTTTGCACTTCATCTTTAGAGTGATGAGAAGAAACGAAGGCTTCAGTCAGGGGAACAATATTATCAGATTTTCTCACTCAATTAGAAAAATGATTGGCTGGGACCCAACAGAAGGATTGTGGAGTCAGTGTGAGTCCTCACCGCGCTCGCTGGCTTGGTGGGGGCTGGTTGCCTCTGCTGTATTCTCCAAGGCTTTGCTGCCTTTTCTCCAGCAAGCTCCTTTCTTATGATGGGTGATTTGTACTCATGGACTGTGTGATGGTGATGAGCAGGAGCTTCTGAATTTCCTTTCTAGGTGAGAGCAGGTGCTGGGACCCATTGTGAGCTGTGTACAGTGACTGTTCCCAGGCGTTCCCATCAGCTCCAAGGTGCAAAATCTCATTTTCTCAGGATGGGTAAAGCTTCTCTCAGGAGAATGCCACAAACCTCAGGCAGAGCCTGATGCTAACAATGGCCTAGATTTTGAAGGCTGTTATTACAGTTAGAGGCAGGACTATGGGTCCCTCAAGCTTTCTTTCAACCTGAAGACTCTTTGTTCTTCTCTGTATACTGGCCGGTGTGGTATCAGCTGTGTCATTTGTAACCCAGCCTTGCTGTGAAGGGGGAGAAAGGATACAGGAGTCAGGTTCTGCAACTGCCAAGGTACACTCCCCTAGCCTTAATCTTAGAGAAGCAGAATTTGTTGATCATTGTTATTCATTTCCTTTCTGGGCACTGTATTCCATTAATTCAGATAGAACGATGTGCACATCAAGAGGCATTTTCCAGACTGGGTGTGGCAGCTCACGCCTGTAATCCCAACACTTTGGGAGGCTGAGGCAGGAATATTGCTTGAGGCCAGGAGTTTGAGACCAGCCTGGGTAACATAGCGAGACCCCATCTCTGTGTTTTTAAAAAAAAATTAAAAAAAGAAGCATTTCCCTCTTAAAAGCTAGAAATCTGGTACCCTTAGTCCTTTTCCTCCCTGTCTATTTCTCTATTCCACGCAATCCAATCTGCCATCACATGTTATACATTGTATGAAAGAAAGAAAATCTCTCCCTTTCAAACATAAACACCTTAGGGTACCAGGCAATTCATGTAAACACAGCAAGTCAGCTAATAAAAGACAGTAGGGAGGGGTGGGGTCTGTGGCTAACTGGAGAATGCTTTCTCAGCTCTAGGACTTAAGATGTGCCAGCCAAAACCTGTCTGTCACCCTTGTTGCATGGCACCCTGGGAATCTGTGACCCTGCCTCTCTTCTTTGATCATCCTGCTTCTCTGTCTCAGGGTGTACAATAGCCTTTGTCTGGTGCTTTGCCATAAGCCCATCCTCATTCTAGCTTTTCCCACACCATCCCCCAGAATTATCTTCCTAAAATGGCAAATCTGCTCCTCACTCCCTGACTTACAGGCCTCTGTTGACTGACCAGAGCCTCCAGGATGCAGTCCAAACACCTTGGGAATGAATATAAAGCCTTTTGTAATTTGCCCGAAATGCTCTGTTTGTATTTTTGTCCCTCGCCCCCACCCCGCCGGCAGTAGGGAGCATCCTGAGCCTTGTTTTGATGTTATCTTTGTGTGTCTGGTCCTAACATAGTCTCTGCAAAAAGAGTCAGTGCCATATGCTAGTGAATGAATGTGTTTGTGCATGCTGCGCACAATGGGCAGTGTTTATGTCCTTATTAATTTCCAGTGGGGTGTGTGGAGGAGCTGGTGAAGGAGATGCAACCCCCATATAAAGGAGCATTTAAGTCAGTGGGGGAAGACCCCTGACCTTAACCTCCCACAGCCTCCGCGACCTGGCCTGCATATTGACCCAGGAGGGATCATGGCAGTTCTTACAGAGGTGTGCAGTGTGCCTTGATTAAAGACAGTGGGAGACAGGATAGAACTGTGATTTAAAACTAGAGCGTGGACTCTGGAGCACAGGAGCTTGGGTTCAAATGCTAGCTCTATCACCTCCTCTCTCATACTTTCTAAGGCCTGAAATTTCATGTGCTTCCTTGACACCTTGGAGCCTCACAAAACCTCAAAGACTTAGCTGCGAGTTCCCTGGCTCTGGCTAGATTTCTTCCCACCCAGTAGGAAAGGCTCCCCACCTAGGTAGTTCCACATCAACCAGACCAACTGCACCCAGCCCAGTCCTCAACTTTCTGGGTTCTACCTCACTGCCTGCCAGCAGAATTCTTCAAACAAGCCAGCCACATCCTCCTGCGGGAACTAAGGGTCACCTCACCCTCTTGTCACTACAGAACCTGCCTTGCACAGCCCCTTCTGGTTCACTGTGTGCAACCTTTGAGTGGCCCCACATGGCCTGCGATGTTCTCCTCTTCTGAGTTATGTCACTAGTCTGTGCAGCATTGCTTGTCATATGTTCAGCTGTCTCACACTATTTTCATACTATTTAAGGTGAGGGATGTCTCCCTCACCACTGCAGTGACTAAAGGGGGTCAGAACAACTTGTGAAAATGACCTAACCCTCTGTGCCTCGATTTTCTTCTCTGAGAAATGAGAAGTTATCATACTACATGTGTTAATCCATTCTCATGCCACTATAAAGAACTGCCCGAGACTGGGTAATTTATAAAGGAAAGAGGTTTAACTGACTCACAGATCTGCAGGGTTGGGGAGGCCTCAGGAAACTTACAATCATGGTGGAAGGGGAAGCCAACATGTCCTTCTTCGCATGGCAGCAGGAGAGAGAAGTGCCGAGCAAAAGGGCGAAAAGCCCCTTATAAAACCATCAGATCTTGTGAGAACTCACTTGCTATCATGAGAACAGCATGGGGGGACTGTCTCCATGATCTAATCACCTCTCACGAGCTCCCTCCCCCAACACATGGGGATTACAATTCAAGATGAGATTTGGGTGGGGACACAGAGCCACACTATATCAGTACCTTTATCACAGGTTTGCCATGAGCATTGAATGAAATAATGTCTATAAAGACTTAAAACAGTGCCTACACACAGGAAGCACTGTGGAAGTATTTGTGATTGCAATTTGCTATTTTTGTCTTAGTGCAGTGGCTGTCAAACTTTTTCCTTTGTTTGTTTGTTTTGAGACAGAGTTTCTTTCTGTCACCCAGTCTGGAGTGCAGTGACACTATCTCAGCTCACTGCAATCTCTGCCTCCCAGGTTCAAGCGATTCTCCTGCCTCAGCCTCCTGAGTAGCTGGGACATGGTGTGCACCACCACGCTCGGCTAATTTTTGTATTTTTGTAGAGACAGGGTTTTACCATGTTGGCCAGGCTGGTCTCAAACTCCCAACCTCAAGCAATCTGCCCACCTCGGCCTCCCGAAGTGTTGGGAATCCAGGCATGAGCCACTGTGCCCAGCCGGTTCTCAAACTTAACATGCATCAGAATCACCTGGAGAACTTTGCTGTGTCCCACCCTGAGAATGTCTAATTTAGTAGGTCTGAAATGGGACCTGAGAATTAGTATTTCTAAGTCTCTAGGCAATGCCGATGCTGCTGATCTGAGGCCTCCACTTTGAGAACCACTGGATTCGTGTAAATATCTGCAGGTGAGGGAGCTGGGGATTTGTCTTCAACGTGGCTAAGTTGCTACATGGATTGGCCTCACCATTTGCCTTGAAGCTTTCCTTCTTCCTTCTGCTCAGGGTCCCACTAACTGTACATGTAAATGTGATGCAAATTCAAGAAATTCATTGTTTTTGGCTGGGTGTGGTGGCTTACACCTGTAATCCCAGCACTTTGGGAGGCCGAGGCAGGCGGATCACTTGAGGTCAAGAGTTTGAGACCAGCCTGGCCAACGTGGTGAGACCCCATCTCTACTAAAAAATACAAAAATTAGCTGGGTGTGGTGGCACATGCCTGTAATCCCAGCTACTCAGGAGGCTGAGGCAGGAGAATCGCTTGAACCCAGGAGGCAGAGGTTGCAGTGAGCCATGATCGTACCACTGCACTCCAGCCTGGGCGACAAAGCAAGGCTCTGTCTCAAAAAAAAAAAAGAGAGAGAGAGAGAGAAATTCATTGTTTTCTTTGAAAGATGGATTCTCTTATCTTCTCATTCCTTGGAGAAGCAGCGCTTCAGGTCTGTCCATGGTGTGAAGAATATCCTGGCCAGAGAAAACCACCATCTGGTGTCTTTGTATTCCAGAAGGGTGCGGTTTTGTTGTTCAGATGAGCACTGCCTACTTCCTCACCATGTTCTGTTTATCCAGGTCACATGGTTTGTATTTCACATGTTTGTTTGTGGGCAACCAGGATGGATTCTTTCTCACAACCAGAAACCCCCTGGGATGACCCCCCAGCCTGGCTGGGGGTGTGTACCAGTGTGCTCTCCTGAGGACACAGGAAATTGAACACTAAATGATGCCCCCTATGCTAGTCTTTCGAAAGACAAAAATAAATGGATAATCTGCCCACCCGGCTTGTTATCCTCAGCTCCCCTATAATGTGGCAGCAGATAAGTAGCCTCCCTTGCATACAGTGCTGCTACTTCATGTCTTTGAATCCTGCAGGATTGAGTGGATTTGAGCTTTCATAGCATTCTGGCATCCCTGATTTCCCTCAGCTCAATCTTTGGCACTCCACGAGAAGTCAGAAAAACCCAGTTAAATTCCCTGCCCAAGCATCTCCACGTTTGCCAGACCAGACATGGAAGGTGAAATTGGGCCATGTTCCTGAATTATTCATTCAGATGGCAGGACACCCATACGTACCCACAGATCTTTCTCCTATCTTCAGTAAGGCCTGACTCTCGGCCTGGATATTGATGCCTGGATTTCATCCGCCCCAGGGAACGAGGTTCTATATAATAAAGAACCCTCATAATGAAAAGGTTCTTTCTTATAACTAATTCAGAGGCTTCAGAGGAAGTGTGGCCTTTAATCAGGTTGTTGTTCTATGTTTCCAAATATCAGCCTGCCCTGCACAGTGGGTGACCAATAAGTGTTTGCTGAAGTGAACTGAAGGGTGGAATCAGAGCTGTGGCTATTATCTTCCGAGTTATAGGCCTGTTCCCAGGGATGGTTCTTACCTGGGCGACAGTTTACCTGCTTTCACAGCCAATTACAAAACCATTCTTCATTTCGTGTGCCCTTTGCCCTAACAAGTACTTCTTTGACTTGAATTTTGAGGTGGCCTCCATTGTTCTTCTCCATGATAGCACGTCACAGTGCATGTGCTAAGTTAACAAATATATCGAGATTGTTTGGCCACAGGGTAAATATTACACTGCAGTCAAAGCCTTTGGGAGGCCTAGGCGGGCGGATCACGAGGTCAGGAGTTTGAGACCAGCCTGGCCAACGTGTTGAAACCCCGCCTCTGCTAAAAACACAGAAATTAGCCGGACATGGTGGCGTGCGCGTGTAGTCTCAGCTGCTCTGGAGGCTGACGCAGGAGAATCGCTTGGACCCGGGAGGCAGAGGTTGCAGTGAGCTGAGATTGCGCCACTGCATTCCAATCTGGCGATGGAATGAGACTCCATCTCAAAAAAAAAAAAAGCCTTTGTCCTCTCTGGTAACTGGGAGAAAAATGAAGGCCTCTAAGAATCTGATGCTCAAATGAGGGTCATAACATAACATTCATGCAGACAAAAGAAAACATGCTATAATGAAATCACTGGCCTTGCCACAGTACATGTCACCTGTGGTCACGCTTCAGTTGCATGGTTTCTGACAGTCACCTCCTTTTACTCCATCCATGCCTCATACTCTCCACTGACCAGTCTTAATACACAGCATCTGATCCCAGCCTTTGGGGTTGGGGCCCCTGCCTCTAGTATTGTCCAGGACTTAGGTTTAGTTGGGAGAGCATCACCTCTTAAATGTATACCATTGGCTCATGTCATCTCCATCAGTTTTTGGGTGGAGCCCCGGTGTTTGGCCATTGTAACGAGGGGCCCTCCTGCCTCCCAAAATTATGTGTGTATTATTCTTATACTCCCTTTTCTGGAGACAAGTTCTTGATCATGCCTAACCAAAAGGTGGGTTTTGAGGAAGCAGTACAGCAAAGACAGTTGGAAAATTGAAGGAAAGTACAGCCTGGGACTGCTGCCTGGTCGTGTGACATTGGTCGACTTCCTTGACCTTTGTTGCCCTCTTCTCTAAGAAATGGTTAAACACAGCTTAATCTTCAGGGACCCTCTAGATGCTAATGTCATGTCATTCTCATATGAGAAAGATCATCAGAGAAAACTAATAATGCATGGAAACAAGGGGAAATGTTGAACCCAGCTGGGACAGGCAGTGTCAGAAGGCTGTTAGGAGAGCTGGATCCAGCATGGATGCATAGCAGAGAGGCCAGATGAAGAAATTTCTGGTCGAGGGGTCCAGGATGTATGGAGTAAATACCTGGGCCTAACCAGTGGGGAAAGGATTGGCCTAGGACCCAGGGGATGAAATTAGAGGCTACCTGACTTATTAAATGCTGGGAAGCAATGATTAATAAATAAAAGTTTACTTGAACTGTGCCTACTTGAGGTGTTGAGGATTCAGTGGTTAATAAAACATGTTGACCCTGCCTTCTTGGGGATTTACAGTCCAGGGAGGAGAAGGACATTCATGAAAGAATTGTACAAATAAATGCAAATCTTCAACCCTGATATATCTACCTACAACAGAGAGGGCCACGGTGCTATGAGAGCTCAAAATAACTGGATGCGCCCAGTAAGGGAGCCCAGGGAAGGAGGGGGAGAGTCAGCTGGGGTGAATGTGCATCCCAGGAGGAAACAGAATGTATCAGAATGAGGCTTTGGGGTCAGCAGAAATGTGGCTACAAAGGTGAGTTTAGCTAGACAATGTCAGATTTTCTGTGTACTTGGTTTTTGCTACTTTAAAAATGATGTTTACCTCCAAGATTCCACAGACATTTGTTGGCTGAGTATATGATAGACTGAATAGTTAGAAAGAAAAAGTTGAAGAGAGAGAGGAACAACTGTAGAACCCCAGTAATTTAAGAGAGTAAAATTCCCTTGAAAGCCATGGGTTGGCCGGGCGGGTGGCTCACGCCTGTAATCCCAGCACTTTGGGAGGCCAAGGCAGGCGGATCATGAGGTCAGGAGATCGAGACAATCTTGGCTAACACGGTGAAACCCTGTCTTTACTAAAAATACGAAAAATTAGCCGGGCGTGGTGGCAGGCGCCTGTAGTCCCAGCTACTCGGGAGGCTGAGGCAGGAGAATGGCGTGAACCCGGGAGGTGGAGCTTGCAGTGAGCCGAGATTGCGCCACTGCCATCCAGCCTAGGCATCAGAGCGAGACTCTGCCTCAAAAAAAAAAAAAAAAAAAAAAGCCATGGGTTATAGCAGTCAAAGTGACAAATGGTAAAGACTGGTGGCATACTATTTCAGAGCCTCTTAAGATGCATTCATCCGCATAAGCTGATACCAGGTCTGCTGCACTGCATCTTAAAGATAAGGGATTGCGGCCAGGCTTGGTGGCTCACACCTGTAATGCCAGCACTTTGGGAGGCTGAGGAGGGCAGATCACCTGAGATCAGGAGTTCAAGACCAGCCTGACCAACATGGTGAAACCCCGTCTCTACTAAAAATACAAAAATTAGCTGGGCGTGGCAGCGGGTGCCTGTAATCCCAGCTACCTGGGAGGCTGAGGCAGGAGAATCACTTGAACCCAGGAGGCAGAGTTTGCAATGAGCCAAGATTGCGCCATTGCACTTCAGCCCGGGTGAAAAAGTGAAACTCCATCTCAAAAAAAACAAGAAAAATAGATATGGGATTGCCTCTCTGCCTAGAGTCTGCCTCTAGGACCCCAGTCCTCAGCATCTCTCACATATCACTGCCCCCAGGACAGTACAAGAATCCCTTAATCTCATTACCCATCTAGATGTGCGTCCCACTTCCTGCCCATACAGAAGCAAGAAGTCTAAGACAGAGCTAGAAGCTGCTGTGTGAACTCCCTGTCATTGAGGAATAGCCTGAGTGTCCTTCAGTCCTGAAAAACACCCCGGGATCCATCAGCCATCCAGATATCTTCTGCTTTTGTAACAAGCTGAACATTTGGGGGCATGGCAAGGGGGGTTTATTTTGGTATCTAGGACTACTTTCCTATCTTGATGGAAAGGCAAGATGGGGTGTATAAAATAAGACATGTATGTGGGAGGGTATATAGCACATTTGCCTTTGAAATTGGGTTGTTTACAGTAAGACAGGAAGATAAGTGTAAAATTTTGTTGGCATAGGCTGTGGGTTAATTGTCTGGAAGTGCCAGCATCGAAGATATCTGTAGTTACAGTATTAACTAAGAATAGAACTTTCCATCAACTATTCTGGCACACTTAAATTCTTCACAGAAGTTTTCCATATGTTTGTGGATGGGAAGGGTGATGTTTCCATCAGATTCCAGCTGGGTGCCCAGGCCCTGACTCCTGGTTTCCCATGCAGTCAATTGCTAAAACCCAAGGTTATGCCATAAGGCCTTAGCATATGCTTGCTACCCTATAAAGGTGTCACTAGCCTCCCTGTCGGTTTCTGATAATTTGGCCCATTGTGATCCAGAGATGTCGGGGAGGGAATCTCATCTGTCAAGGTGAAGAAAATGAATACTCAGCAGCCTGAAGGGTGGGCTTGGCCAATCAAATTTAATTTTTTTTAAGCATAAACGATCATTTCTAGCCAAGCTAACATATTTTCCTGGTCTGAGGTATTTTTGCATACCTGTATGTGAAATGCATTTAGCATCTCTGAGTGACAAGAAAGACCAGGAGGATTGAGATACATACTTAACTTACTCTTCAAGCTCTGCAAATCCAATGGGCAGGATGAGAAAAACACATGGAATAAAGAAAACGATGTATCCAGCATTTCTGTAATTGTTTCTCCTTAGCTCTTTTCCACCCTCCCGGTGGTGGCCATTTGAAGCCACCACTAAAGCCCTTCCACCTTCCCTTCCTACGTCCTCTCTGATAATTGTGCCCTGGCTTCTCTGAAAGCTTTGAGGGCATCTGGTGGAAGCATCTCCACTCTCCGCCCTCTACCTTTGAGCTCAAGTGACATCATGAACCATCTTTCAGCCCTCTCTCCCCTTCGGAGATGGAGGAGCCAAATACTGCAGGACTAATGTCTTCACGTGCTCCTGAGCTCCCTCACCACCTTTCCTCAATATCTTCTTCCCTCTCTCTCTTTCTCTTTGAAATTCTCCCGACTCTTTCTCTGGGTTCTTCCCTTCAGCCTACAAACATCTAGCCATGGAGGAGAGAGAGATTGGGAGAGAAGGAAGAGGAAGAAATGAGAGAGGAGAGAAAACCTCCTTGATGGTAATTTCCCTTCTAAGCCCTCATCCTATATCCTTGCTTCTTTTCATCTCCAAATGTATCAGGCTGTTCTTGCATTGCTATAAAGAAATACCTGAGACTGGGTAATTTATGAATAAAAGAGGTTTAGGCCTGTAATCCCAGCACTTTGGGAGGCTGAGGTGGGCGGATCATGAGGTCAGGAGTTCAAGACCAGCCTGACCAATATGGTGAAACTCCATCTCTACTAAAAATACAAAAATTAGCCAAGCATGGGGGCGCATGCCTGCGTACCTGTAATCCCAGCTACTTGGGAGACTGAGGCAGGAGAATCGCTTGAACCTGGGAGGTGGAGGTTGCAGTGAGCCAAGATTGCACCACTGCACTCCAGCCTGGGCGACAGAGCGAGATTCCATCTAAAAAAAAAAAAAAAAAAGAAGAAAGAAAAAAGAGGTTTAATTGGCCCACAGTTCTGCAGGCTTTACAGGAAGCATGGTGCTGATATCTGCTCAGCTTCTGGGGGGTCTCAGGAAGCTTATAATCATGGCAGAAGGTGAAGGGGGAGCAGGCATATCACATGGCAAAAGCAAGAGCGAGAAAGAGGGGAGGGGAGGTTCTACACACTTTTAAACAACCAGCTCTCGTGAGAACTCACTGTCACCACAGCACCAACCCATTAGGGATCCACCCCCAGGATCCAGACACCTCCCGCCAGGCCCCACCTCCAGCATCGGTCATTACAATTCAACATGATATTTGAGCAGGGTCAAATATCCGAACTATATCACCAAAGTTTTCCAAAGCAGTTTGAGGCCCTAGAAAATGCTCTCTGCAGTAATGCTGCACTACGTTGACATTCTGGTGTCAAACCCCCTGTCTTCTTAGACATCTTTGCTCTGTGTTATCTTCCAGCCCCACGCACCCCCCAACCTTTTTGTTTTGTTTTGTTTTAGAGACAGAGTCTCTCTCTCTTGCCCAGGCTGGCGTATCGTGGTGCCATCTCTGCTCACGGCAACCTATGCCTCCCGGGTTCAAGCAAGACTCCTGCTTCAGGCTCTGGAGTAACTGGGATTACAGGCATGCGCCACCATGCCCAGCTAATTTTTGTATTTTTAGTAGAGACAGGGTTTCACCGTGTTGGCCAGGCTGGTCTCGAACTCCTGACCTCAAGTGATCTTCCTGTCTCGGCCTCCCAAAGTGCTGGGATTACAGGCGTGAGGCACCACACCAGGCCTTTCCAAGTCCTTTCAAGGCTTCATTCATACTTTCTTTGCTTGTACCCCTACCCACAGTTACCCCCACATCCTCCAGTTCCCTTTCCCATCTGCTTCTACTTTTCACCCTACCCTGTGACCATGGGACAGCCATGCCCTGGGTGGGGGCTGGCTGCCCTGGCTCCTGAAAATTCCTGGCTGAGGGTGTGCTAGGGGGCATGGAGACCCCCCAGCTCCTTGGAAGTGTCAGCTTTCTCAGTTCCTCTTAATTCTTCAATCCATCCATTGTGACGTGGGCGCCTGTTAACTCTGACTATTCCCGTTCCCTCACCTTTGCAAGTCAGACTCCTGCCTGCGTTTAGAAGCTGATGTAGATCTGATCTATGGTTTTCCTCTGGACTTGTTTTCTCATCCTGGGCATTCTTCCCTGCCCCCACGGCTTCACACCATCCATACGCTGATAACTTCCAGATCAATAGCTGTGATTCAAGCTTCTCTCCTCTGTTCTGGGTCATTTCGTTTGCTGCCCTCCAGCCATCTGGCTGAGGTAGATTCATCTGAATGTTCTACAGGCTCCAAACTCAGCATGTTCAGACTTTGAACCTGCATTATTTGCTGTAATCTCAATTTCCATGAGTATGAAGGCCTTAGGGCTCAGAAGGGAGGTCCTGGCTGGTGATAGGAAGGGGCGTGTGTGATCACAGCCATGGGAGGCCTTTTCCAGCACAGCCCTGACTCTGCTCCCTGCCTGGTTGTCTCAGTCTGTTACAGCTTCTATAACAAAGTGCCATACACTGGGTGGCTCTAGACAATAGACATTTATTTCTCACAGTTCTAGAGGCTGGAAACTCCAAGGTCAAGGTGCCAGCAGATTCAGATTCAGTGTCTGGTGAGAATCTGCTTTCTGGTGAGAATCATCTGCTTTCTGGTGAGAATCTGCTTTCTGGTGAGAATCATCTGCTTTCTGGTGAGAATCTGCTTTCTGGTGAGAATCATCTGCTTTCTGGTGAGAATCGTCTGCTTTCTGGTGAAAATCTGCTTTCTTTTCTTTTCTTTTTTCTTTTTTTTTTTTTTTTTTGTTGAGACAGAGTCTTGCGCTGTCATCCAGGCTGGAGTGCAGTGGCATGATCTCAGCTCACCGCAATCTCCGCCTCCCGGGTTCAAGTGAGTCTCTTGCCTCAGCCTCCCGAGTAGCTAGCATTGCAAGTGGGCACCACCCCGTCTGGCTAATTTTTGTATGTTTAGTAGAGAAGGGGTTTTTGCCATGTTCGCCAGGCTGGTCTCAAACTCCTGACCTCAGGTGATCCACCCGCCTTGGCCTCCCAAAGTGCTGAGATTACAGGCATAAGCCACTGTGCTGGGCCTGCTTTTTTTTTTTTTTTTTTTTTTTTTTTTGAGATGGGGTCTTGCTGTGTCGCCCAGGCTGGAGTGAAGTGATGCAACCTCAGCTCATTACAACCTCCATCTCCCAGTTCAAACAGTTCTCCAGCCTCAGCCTCCCAAGTAACCGGGATTATAACTGTACGCCACCACACCTGGCTAATTTTTGTATTTTCAGTAGAGACAGGATTTTGCCCTGTTAGCCAGGCTGATCTCAAACTTCAGAGTCTGTCCCTAGAAAGTGTGTGCCAAGGGACTTGGCTAGTGAATCAGTTTCCCGCAGCTCCTGTAACACAGTACTGCAAACTGGGTGGCTTAAAACAACAGAGATGCATTGTCTCACAGTTCTGGAGGTGAAAGACCCCGGAGCAAGCTGCCTGCAGGGTTGGTTCCTTCTGGAGACTCTCAGTGGAGGGAGAATCCTTTCCATGCCCCCTCCCAGCTTCTGGGGGTGCAGCAAGTCTTGGTGTTCTTGGCTCATAGCTGCATCACTCCAGTCTCTGCCTCTGTCCTGAGATTGTCTTCTCCTCTGGGTGTCTCTATGTCTGCTTCCCCTTCTTTTCCTCTTAGAAGGACTTATCATTGGATTTAAGGTCCATCCTGATGCAGGATGATCTCACCTCAAGATCCTTACCTTAATTATATCTGCCAGGCGCCCTTTTCCAAACAAGGTCATATTCACAGGTACAGGGGATTGGGACTTGAATATATGTATGTATATGTATATATAGAGAGAGGCAGGAAGCAGGGAGGTACAGTTCAACCCACTACAGTGCAGAGGAGTCCTTTTATAAATAGAATTTTTTTTTTTTTTTGGATGGTGATGGATGGAAAGTGAAGTATTTTCTCAGGATGAAATGTACCGAGAGTCTGTTATTTAAAAATTAAAGCGTCTTGCATCTGCTCTTTTTCAAGAATGTTAGTAATAGCCATTCCTCTGCCCTTCCTCACCCCAACACGAGCTTGTATTAGAAACAAAATAAGGACCGGGTACAGTGGCTCACGCCTGTAATCCCAACACTTTGGGAAACCAAGGTGAGCAGAACATGAGGTCAGGAGACCAAGACGTGGTTAACACAGTGAAATCCCGTCTCTATTAAAAATACAAAAAATTAGCTGGGCATGGTGGCGGGTGCCTGTAATCCCAGCCACTCGGGAGGCTGAGGCAGGAGAATGGTGTGAACCCAGGAGGTGGAGGTTGCAGTGAGCCGAGATCGCGCCATTGCACTCCAGCCTGGGCGATAGAGCGAGACTCCGTCTCAAAAAAAAGAAAAAAGAAAAAAAAAAAACCAAAAGAAACAAAATAAGACAAAATGATGGAAATGTCAAAGCATTTCCAAAGAGGTGGAAGTGAAGGACAGGTTTCAGTAAAATAAATTCTCTCCTGAAAGTTCTGGGAGGAGTTCTCTGAAGCTGGTTTTCTTGACGTGCAAGGAATGGAGCAGAAGAGGAGAGTTTGAGAGGATCGTGGATTCATGGGGCACCGTGACCCTGAGAGACACCTGTTGAGTTTCCCAGGTTTTCTCATGGAACTTATAAATATGACTTTATTTTAAAATGTTCACTTTAGTGATGGTAAAATAAGTGAAGCCCAGGAAAGAGGAGAGAGACCGAAGGTGCCAGACAGTTTGGGGATTAGAGCTCAGGCTGAGATGATGAGTGTGGACTGTAAAGAAATAAGCTGATTTGGGAATTACTTATTTATTTCTTTTTTTGAGATGGAATTACACTCGTGTTGCCCAGGCTGCAATGCAATGGCGCGATCTGAGCTCACCACAACCTCCGCCTCCTGGGTTCAAGCAATTCTCCTGCTTCAGCCGCCCAAGTAGCTGGGATTACAGACGTTTGCCACCACGCCCAGCTAATTTTGTATTTTTAGTAGACACGGGGTTTCTCCATGTTGGTCAGGCTGGTCTCAAACTCCTGACCTCAGGTGTTCTGCCTGCCCTGGCCTCCCAAAGTGCTGGGATTAACAGGCATGAGCCACCACGCCCGGCATGATTTGGGAAATATTTTAAAGAAAAGAAAATGAATGCTGACCTAATAGAGAGTGGAGAGCAAAGCGAAAGAGCAGTTATGGTCTACATGGAATGATGAACTTGTCAAGTCCCGGAATTGCTCTGACACAGAGCAAGTTCAAGATAACAAAGCAGACACACAGTTGTGCCCCCACCCGCCCCCCATCTTCAGGGCCCTTAGCACTGTGCGGTGCACGTAGTAGACGTGGAATTAATACCCTCACATTGACTACTGCCTCTTTCATCCCGACTATCAGCTCTGAAATCAACATTGACATTGACGAGTGCTTCTGGGCCCCTCAGGAAAGATGTATTTCCCCTCCATGTAGTTATGATCAGCCCAGAGACATGAAAATCAGCCCCCAAACCAAGAAGAGAGGCCAGGGTGTTTACACCAGCTCTCCCTTGGGAAGTGTTTTCAGAGAAGGCCTTGTTGATCCAGCTCTTGCCCTTCAGCTAGCTCAGTTTCTCCTCACTGCTTTCTCTGGGCAGTGCTGGCCCACTTGGAACTCTTAATCAGCTCTTCCCAGCATGCTTAGTCCACAGACTGCCTGAGTTGAAATAGAAAAAGAAGGGCTTAGTTCATCTTTGCGTTGGCTACTTGGTGATCCTTGAGTACACTGACCAAGGGGATGGTCAATGCTTGACCAACACAATTATGAGTTCCCTGCAGGCCTTATATGTGGGCCTCCAGTCACTGGGGAAAGAATCCCTGGTGCCAAGACTTTGAGAGTAGAAGGGGGTGTGGATTACAGATAGGGGTTCCTCATGGGTGCCACAGACTCCTTGCCCTATTGAAAAGGGAGTTGCCAGAAGAGACCAAGAAAGGGGCCCTTATAAGGGCAGGGCTAAGAGCAAGCCTGGTGGCCCCAGTCTAAAGGCAGTTGTGGATTCAGATGTTCCTCTCCACAGATGTAGGTGCAGCTGAGAAGTCCGGGGATCACAAGTTGCAGCAGAAGCGAGCTAAGTGAGAATAGAGACCAGAAGGTGTGAATTTCCCCTTCAACTTGAGATGCTGCCATGAAAATGTTGAATGGGTGAAGGTGGAGGTTTTTGGTAGCATTCCCTTGCCCTAGCAGCTGTAACAAAGAGAGCGATGGGTTAGCACGGTCAGGTGAACAGCGCTTGTGCTGGGGAAGCAGAAGCCAGGAAAGGATTTATCCTACACCTCTCATGTCCCAGGATGTCTGGGAGGTCCCCTAAAGCCAGCCCCCTCCAAATGCTCTTTATTTTTTTATTTTATTTTATTTTTATTTTTTTGAGACTGACTCTCACTCTGTCACCCGGGCTGCAGTGCAATGGTCCAATCTCGGCTCACTGCAACCTCCGCCTCCCAGGTTCAAGTGATTCTCCTTCCTCAGCCTCCCAAGCAGCCACCACATCCAGCTCGTTTTTGTATTTTTAGTAGAGACGGGGTTTCACCATGTTGGCCAGGCTGGTCTCGAACTCCTGACCTCAAGTGATCTGCTGGCTTCCGCTTCCCAAAGTACTGGGATTACAGGCGTGAGCCACCGCATCCAGCCCCAAATGCCCTTAATGAGGCCATCCTGCCAACTGGAGAAAACACAGGTGGACACTAAGTGAAAATCTTTTTCTTGTGCTGGAGCCTCATCCAACGTATTCCTTGCCCCAAAAAGTGGGTGTTCTTCAGTTCGGCAGGATCAGGGCAGGATGGTAAAAGCTCTTGTGTTGTGAATGCAGCTGGGCTGACAGGGATGTAGGGGAGAAGAGAAACCAGAAAACTCAATGCCCTATAGCACATGGACTGGATCCATAAAAGAACTCCTTAACAGTCCAGAATACTGTTTATTCTGAGTCTCTGCCGAATTCTAAGAAATTTGGTTATCTACTTCCCCAACCTTTATTAGATTAGGGGAGAAAAACCAAATGTAATGTGGAAGGGAAAAGGTCTTGCTCAGCGTAGGGACAACTAAGAGATAGCAAAGCAGACGCCGTGATGACAGTGAATCAGACATAAAATCAATGACCATATGTCATCCATAGAGACGCCACTACCGTGGACAGAGCAGCTGGTGGTGGCTCTAATGAAAGCCCTGACATCCCCTCCTAGCTCAAGATGTCTCAGGCCATCATCATTTTGTGTTGTCACACAGTAATTAATGTTTCTGAAATGCTTCTGAGTCATCAATACAGAAATTAAATTAAGGAAGCAGGAAAATGAGTATTGCCTTTGAAAACAACTTCTTTGAAAATGAAGGAAAATATCAGTGCTTAAGGGTGAACCCTTCACTGTAGGAAAAAGCCACACGAATTAGACTAGCTGGCTCCCCTGATTGTGCCGGCCGAACAGGAGAGGGCAGAGGCAGTCCTGCGTGGCAGTGTGGTCCAGGGGCTGAGACCGGGGCCTCCTGATCAGAGCATGAATCCTGCTGCTGCCTCTGCGGAGCTGAGCCTCTGTGGTCTTCTCTGTGAAATGATGGTTCTAATACTGCTTCCCCCATGGGATAAATGAGACAATGGGCCAGGCCTGGTGGCTCATGCCTGTAATCCCAGCACTTTGGGAGGCTGAAGCGGGTGGATTACCTGAGGTCAGGAGTTCAAGACCAGTGTGGCCAACATGGTGAAACCCCATCTCCACTAAAAATACAAAAATTAACCAGGCTTGGTGGCAGGCACCTGTAATCCCAGCTATTCAGGAGGCTGAGGCAGAAGAATCACTTGAGCCTGGGAGGTGGAGGTTGCAGTGAGCCGACATCGCACCACTGCACTCCAGCCCGGATGACAGAGCAAGGCTCTGTCTCAAATAAGTAAGTAAGTATGTACGTACATACATACATACATACATACATACATATATACATACATACATACATACACACAGTGTACGTAAAGCATAGTGCCTGTCTCAGAATCTTCCATTACTATGTTTATTCATTTCCTGGGGCTGCCATAACAAAGTACCACAAACTCAGTGACTTAAACACAACAGAAATGTATTCTCTCACAGTTCTGGAATAATCTAGAAGCCTGAAGTCAGGGTGTCCACAGGGCCATGCTTCTCCTGAAGGCTCTAGAGAAGACCTTTCTTGGCCTCTCCTAGTTTCCTAGAGTTACCAATAATTCTTGGTGTAACTTAGCTTGTAGATGCATCGTTCCCATGCCACCTCCATCTTCACATGTACTTCTCCCCTCTGTATCTGTATGTCTCTGGGTTTCGGTTTTCGTTTTTTATAGGGACACTCGTCATTGGATTGGGGACCCACCCTAATCCAGTATGACCTCATCTTGACTGTTTACATCTGTAAAGACCTTATTTCCAAATAAGGTCATGTTCTGAGGTTTGAGTAGACATGGATTTTGGGGGGATACTGGTCAACCCAGTATACTATTCCCTGGCATGATTTACAATTTTCTGAGAAGAGTTCCTATTAAATAGGTAACTCCCTTCCTGCCCCAGTCCCCTTTGACCTGGCAGGCTAAATGAGACCTGAAGCTATGATCATAATGCCCTTTTTTTGGTTTAGAGCTTTGTCCCCTCTTAAAATGCACATAGTTCGATAGGGATTTGTTATTGTTGTTTTAAGTCTTATTAAACACTAAAGCCCGAGTGTGAATACGTTTATTCAGGCTCCGTCCCAGATCCCAATGATAACAGTGCAGTTTACGAAGCAGGCCCACCCTTGACCTCAGCCAATCCTCACGGCCCCCCAGGAAGGTAGGCAGATCATATGGCCCCCTCTTATGAGATGAAAAAAGTGAAGTTGAGAGAGGTCATTTAGCCATGAACTGCGAAAGTCAGCTTCAAAGCTAGGGCCCCCAGTGACTGCTCCGGTTAAGGCAGGAGGGGACTTGGTGAGGGGTGGGGATTCGATTTACTGTGGACCAGCTGCTACTTTTGGCAGGTGACTTCAGCTGTCCAAACCACTATTTTTCTACCTGTAAAGTGGAGTGGATAAGATCCTTGGAATGCTGTTGTGAGGATGAAATCAGACCAGACCACGGGTATATATATAATGCCGCTAGAAATGTCCCAGTAAGCGCTAGTCTCTCTCTTCCTCTGTCTAGCAGCTGGATTACCAACAGCCTGTCTTCTGTTTTTTTTTTTTTTTTTTTCCATGCAAAGTATTTTATTTATAAACAAACATAATTAAAAACAAAATAGTCAATATGAAACGAAAGCAATTTTAAAAGACAAATTAATTATTTTGATATAGAGAATAATTTGTATTTCAACATTTTGATACAGATTTCAGTAAAAGCAAAACTAAAATAACACAGATAAGTATAATAATATAAAGTCAAGCATTGCAAAAAATTCAAGGCCAATACTGGAAAGTGTATAGAATATTTGGCAAAACAATTTATTAGGAGAGTAACAAATTGTTTGTAAGAACTTTAAATGCTGTCTTCTGGTTTTGTTCAGTGCTTGCCCTGCATGATCCTGGATGGTTTACACTTGGGAAGCATTGAGTGCCGTCATGGGATGGGGAAAGAATGGAGGCAACGACCTGTGAGTCCCTGCAGAATCTAAACATCTGTCTGGAGTGGGCACAGAGCAGACTTCTGGGGTGGCGCCTCCAATCCGCCATCTGGCACTTGAAAGCAGAGTCTCAGGCCTGCTGTTTGTAATTGCATCTCCCCCAAGCAGGGGGTCTGCCCATCTGTATTCCCCAATTCTTCCTGGACCAGCCTGATCCAGGGAGAGGGAACATGTGGCAGGCTCTATGGGATCTGTTTGGAAAAGAGATTTTCAGAAATAACTCAGAGCTGTAGAGGGACCTGAACAAGAGCCAGTGGAGGAGTTCTGTGTGAGTATCTGCAATAGTTCAGAAATACGTGCAGATACGAAGCCGGCCGGGGCCAAGTTCTCAGCAGCAGAAGAGTAAGAGCTAAAATCTTATCCCTAATTTCCAGCCCAGCTCTGTGGTAGGTTCTTCAATCGCTGGACCCCAGAGAAGGGAATCTGCTTGGTCCTTCCAGGTAGAGCAGGAAACATGCCTTATGGCAGAGGCTGGCCTTGAGCATAGCCCTGGGTGATTCTTGTGTCTTGAAGCTTGAGAGTCACCCATGGAAATTAGCTAGTGCCTTGTAGCCTGGCTTTCTGCAGCTGCTCCTGAATAATCTGATTGCTACGTTGCCCCCAAGATTGTCTCGCAGCATGCAGTCCTTTAGGAGAGCATGTAGATCTTCTCACTGAGTTGCACCATTTGTTAGCTCGGCTTTCTACTCTCTACCTTGCAGCCCAGTCACCTTGTCTAGTTGTGCCCTGCACCTGACTCCCCAGTGCCTCCAGGAGGCAGTGCTAGAATCAACCCGCCCTACTTGTTATAAATAATACAACATCCCTGTCCCTATTGTGTTTCTCTGAATCCAGGTGTGTGTTTCGAGGAGGGTCACAGATGATGCTGATGCAGCTGCCAGCCTGAAGGTTGGACCCCAGGACAGTGGCCAGTGGGGCACCTCAGCAGCCTGGAAACTGGGCTGCAAGGGGGTCCTCAGTGGTGCTCTAGGCTTGGGACCACAGACGCTGTTATAGAGAAGAAGGTGATACGTTAGCTGAGTGTCACAGTGGGAGGTCTTGGGGCCAGAAATGGGGCTGCTGAAAGCGAGCAAAACAAAGAAAAGGGCCAGGTGTTGGGGGAATGGGTGCTCACAATATTAGCCAGCCCTCCAAATCAGAGAGTTTCTGCTGGTGAAGTGGGTGCCACGAGCTTATTTTTTTTTTTTCTTTGTAGCCAGACACCATTACTCCCTTGACAATGGGTGCCTGAAAGTTAGACAGGCATGAATCAGAAGATGAAGCCAAGGAGAAGGGAATAAGGAGCTGGTATTCTCTGCGCTCCAAGTCATCCTAGACTAAAGGGGATGTATCCTTGACCTTGACTTAGAAAGAAGAGTAAAGCAATCTAGCCTAAATGGCAAATGTATGTAGCTAGATCCCGGCAGATGAGAGGTGCTCTAACTAGAAGCCACTATTTCCTCTTCAAATAAGTTTTTTAATTTTTTGAATAGCAAATGGGGCCCATTTGTCAGCAGTAGATTGGGTCACTGCCCGGCTGATTGAATTCTTAAGGCCAACTGACATGCCCAATTAATGCAAGATCAGAGTCCCCCTCCAGGCATGACTTCAGACGAGTCTGTTTACCTTTATTTGGTGAACAGTGGTGTTAGCAGGGTCCTGTTGGGCTCAGGTTATTCCAGGGAGGTGAAGCCTTCGCCAGTTTAATTACATGCTGCTCTGGAGCTACTGTTTTGTAAAATGAAGCGCGGGTTTGTAACTGAAGACCTGTTATTTGGTTGCTTGGAAACTAGTGCATTTACTTCCCAAAGTTGTCACCAAACCCTTCTAGGGAGGCAAGGTGAGCTGCCACAAACCCTCCCAAGCCATTAATTTCTCAGGAGCAAGACATAAATCAGTGCAGCCAGAAGATAGAGAGTTTGGTGGTCACTGTCCCATTAGACACACCTTGAGTCCCTGCAAGGGCCATGAGCCTGTCTGCTCCGTGCCTTCCTCCCTGCTTCTGGTTCCAGCTGTCCATTATACCAGCACACCATTATTCACGTACATTTCCATGGACCACATCACCAGTGTAAGCACAGCTACTTATCTGGAGAAATCAGGAGTGATTCAGTGCCATTTTGCAAACAGAGAGACACGGAGGCCCAGGGCAGTTAATTGGAAGCCCAAGCAGCTTTAGGCTTCAAAGTTGCCCCCATTAGCACGTCTGGCTTCGTTAATGCCATGTCTTGCTCTTTGGTGTAAGAGGAAACATAGATGCTTCCCAGTCCAGGCTCATCTGTGGGACAGGCTGCTCCCACCAGTTCAGGAACTCTGCAGATGGTTGGTGTTTCGCGCTTCAGCCCCTGTTCCTCCTTGTCTGTGGCTAAGCCTGAATATTTTTTTCTAGGTCTACAGGTCAGTGAAGATCAAGTTATTTATGTTGTATTTTAATGGTCATAGAAATGGTCAAGAGCTATAGTCAGCCTGATACCAACCTATGCTTTTGGAAGCACTGCAATGACACTGATATCCTTTATATACTGGGTGTGTGTGTGTGTGTGTGTGTGTGTGTGTGTGTAAGATGGTCTCCCCTGTATTAGTCTGTTTTCAAGCTGCTGATAAAGACATACCTGAGACTGGGTAATTCATAAAGAAAAAGTGGTTTAATGGACTCACAATTCCATGTGGCTGGGGAGGCCTCACAATCATGGCAGAAGGTGAAAGGCACTTCTTACAGGGTGACAGTAAGGAGAAGAATGAGAACCAAGAAAAAGGGGTTTCCCCTTATAAAACCATCAGCTCTCATGATACTTATTCACTACCATGAGAACTGGATGGGGGAAGCCACCCCCATGACTCAATTATCTTCCACCAGGTCGCTCCCACAACACATGGGAATTATGGGAACTACAATTCAAGATGAGATTTGGGTGGGGACACAGCCAAACCATGTCACCCCTGTCTATAGAAGATACATTTCAGAGTGGTGAACCAGGCTGTGGCTAAACCATGCCTCTCTGGAAGTCAATTTCAGGACAATTCATTTGTGTCAAGGCATAGCCTGTCTAACCAACTCTTCCAGATCAAAGAATATCTGTGCATTTCTTTTTCTTTCTTTCTTTCTTTTTTCTTTTTTGAGACGGAGTTTCACTCTTGTCGCCCAAGATAGAGTGCAGTGGCATGATCTCGGCTCACTGCAACCTCCACCTCCCAAGTTCAAGTGATTCTCCTGCCTTAGCCTCCCGAGTAGCTGGGATTACAGGCACTCGCCACCATGCCCAGCTAATTTTTGTATTTTTTTAGTAGAGACAGGGTTTCACCATGTTGGCCAGGCTGGTCTTGAACTCCTGACCTCAGGTGATCCATCCACCTTGGCCTCCCAAAGTGCTGGGATTACAGGCGTGAGCCACTGCGCCCAGCCTGTGCATTTCTCTCTTTCCTCTCTCCCTTCTCTAATCTTTGGATCCTCCTTTCTATTCATTTCACTCATTCATTTCTTTATTTGTTCAGCACTTATTTATCACACATCTGCTGTGTTTGAGCCAGGCCCTCAGCTGGGTAGCAGGTGTGCAGCGATGCAACAGGAACACGCCTACAGGAAGCCTATACCTCCTCCACACTTACCTTCTCTTTCTGTCACTCTCCTTGGCTGACTCCTTCCTGCCAGGTGGGAGACAGACAGCATTTTCTTAAGCAGGGTCAGTTATTCTGCTCATGGGCCTGAGCACTCACTATGTGGCTTCCGGATTAACGGAGAGATAGAAGATGCCCAAGGCAGGCCCATGGGCCCCAACCCCCAGTAGTTTAGTGACTTGGTAGAGGAAGTGGAGTTATGCATATAAAACATCGAGATAAATAAAGGGTGCAGATGTGCGCCACTGTGCTAAACTTGGAGTCACTGGTGGGCTGGACAGTCTCAAAGGCCTTGAACAGGTTGGACGTGCCAGCAGTGGCACAGAGTGCTCAGGTATGAAGAGGAAGGCACAATTGTAGCGTGAAGATGGGAACCCCAAAGACTGCCCTTCCTGGGGTGGAGGGCATTGCTCAGCCCTCCTGAAGATTAGTCCTGTAGCAGAGGATTGTTGGGCCAGCCTCTCCTGTTGTCCAGGCCTGGAAAGGACTCTGGGAAGGAGGGAGAGCCCCAGGGATATCACCAGGTTAGAAGAATGAGGAGTGTCTGGATTTCTTGTTTCAATGATGGAAGGGAGGCAGCAGAAGTGACAGGTTGAGTTGGAAGAAAGCCACACCCTCTGCAGGAAAAGGAGGGTTGGTGGTGGAAAGAGGCTCCCCTCTTGGAGAGAAGAGGGAGGGCAGCCTCTGTGCCTTGCCCTTCCTTCCCCACCCCAAGTCTTTAACACCATCTCCATTTCTTTTGCCGATCACTGGTTTGTTGCATTATTTTTGAAATCAGCATGATGTGAGACGTTGCATTTTCCTTGATCGTTTGACATGTAAAAGATAAAAATCATTTCTTTGTAAATCACACATCGTTTTTTCTTATAAATCCTCAATTGCAGTTGGCCTCAGCGTGGCTGATGAGCACATTACCGCACAGTCTTTTTTTTATTAGGAATCTGAGCCTGTGCACTTTATCACCCATTGTCCTGTCTTGTCCCTGCTGTGTAACTAGAGATGGCCCCAGGAAACTTTAAAGGTAATCCATCCTACCATGGAGCTTCTCAGCTGCAGGCTCTCCTCCTGCAAGGTGAGCCTGGAGGGCCAGGTATGCTGTAACCCCCCCATTTCCTCCTCTGGGTCAGCTCCTATAGAACACGAGGCACGAAGTGACTCTCAGTGCACACCTCTGCTCATGGCTCCTCGTCATTCCCTAAAATATGGGGCTGTTTAAGGATTTTTTTTTTTTTTTTAGATAGGGTCTCGCTCTGTTGCCCAGCTCAGGCTGGAGTGCAGCGGCACGATCTCGGCTCACTGCAACCTCAGCCACCCAAGTAGCTGGGATTACAGGCATCGCCGCCACTCCCAGCTAATTTGGTATTTTTAGTAGACACGGGGTCTTGCCATGTTGCCCAGGCTGGTCTTGAGCTCCTGACCTCAAGTGATCTGCCTGCCTCAGCCTCTCAAAGTGCTAGTATTAGAGGCGTGAGCCGCTGCACCTGGCCAGGATTTTTTTTAAATAAGCAACACGCACATAAAAAAAAAAAAAAGTATAGAAATGGTACCTGGCATGTCGTAAATGCTAAATGATGTTGCCTATTACTTTTTAACATCATTAAGATTCATTATAACCAAAGTGTGTCCTAGAATAACCTCCTACGGTTTACTCGTGTGCAGAATGTGGATGAGAAGGCCTGCCTGCCTGCCTCAGAAGTGCAAGCTGTGCATGTGTTCACCATCAGCAGGAGCTTATTACACATGTATTGAATGACTAACATGGGCTGTCAACTGTAAGCCCTGACAAATTCGAAGGTGTTTGTTGCTGTGCTTCCGAATGCATAGTGCTGGTTCTAAATGTGCTTGTTGCCTTGCAGTGCATTTATTGGGCATGTTGCTCTTTTGGCCTATGTGGTGATGTTATCAGCCCAGGTCCTCTGAGAAGCAGATTCCAAGAAGGGATTAGACCTGCATGAGATGAGATTGACTGGGAGAAAGACCTGAGAAGGACCAAGGGGAGGGAGCAGGAGCTGGCAGACTGCCGTGCAGGTCTGACACCCGTGAAAGGAGAGGGGGAAGGAAGGAGGCCTGGGAAGAAGAGCCGCCAATCACAGCAGATTTCTAAGAACATTAGGTCAGGCTGAAGGGAGGCCCATGAGCCAAAAGTGTCCTCTAAAAGGAGTGCCACATCCCACTGGAATGGGCCTACAACCATCAGCACTATCTGGCTCCCGAACTTTTTTATCTTCCCAAACTGAAACTCTACCTCCATGAGACACCAACTTCATTTTCACCTTCCCAGCCCCCTGGAAACCAGCATTCTACTTTCTGCCTCTATGAATTGACTACTCTAGGAGCCTCACATAAGTGGATCAGACAGTATTTGTTCTTTTGTGTCTGGCTCATTTCACTTAGCATAATGTCCTCAAGGTTGTGAACCCAGAAAATCTGAGACAGATCTCAGTTAATTTAGAAAGTTTATTTTGCCAAGGTTGAGGACGAGCCCGTGACACAGCCTCAGGAAGTCCTGATGACATGTGCCCAAGGTGGTCAGGGCACAGTTTGGTTTTATACATTTTAGGGGGACATGAGACGCCAATCAATAGATGTAGGAGGTATATTGGTTCAGTCTGGAAAGGCAGGACAACTTGAAGCAAAGGCAGGGAGACTGGAAGCCAGGGGGAGCTTCCAGGTCACAGATAGGTGAGATACAAACAGTTGCATTTTTCTGAGTTTCTGATTGGCCTTTCCAAAGGAGGCAATCAGATATGCCTCTAATGGCCAGGCTCGGTGTAATCCCAGCACTTTGGGAGGCCGAGGCAGGCAGATCACAAGGTCAAAAGATTGAGACCATCCTGGCCAACATGGTGAAACCCTGTCTCTACTAAAAATACAAAAATTAGCTGGGTGTGGTGGCACGCACCTGTAGTCGCAGCTAATCGGGAGGCTGAGACAGGAGAATCACTTGAACCCAGGAGGGGGAGGTTGCAGTGAGCCGAGATCGGGCCACTCCACTCTGGCCTGGCAACAGAGCGAAACTCCATCTCAAAAAAAGAAGAAAAAAAAAAAAGATGCATCTATCTCAGTGAGCAGAGGGGTCACTTTGAATAGAATGGGAGGCGGGTTTGTCTTAAGCAGTTTCCAGCTTGAGTTTTCCTTAACGATTTGGGGGCCCAAGATCCGTTTCCTTTCACAAGGTTCATCCATGTTGTAGCATGTTTCAGAATTTCCTTCCTTTTTAAGGTTGAATAATGTTCTATTGTATGTAATGCACGGGTTTTTAAAGGTCATTAACCTCCACTTGGTAGATGAGTGACAACACTGTATATGAGTGACACGTTGGAAAGAAAGATGAGTGCCGTGGAAGGGTAAAGGGCTGTTAACTGTCATGGACTCTGGGGTCACCCCAGGTAGGATTAAGGCATTTTCTTGAGTCAGACAGAGCCACTGGCTAAGAGAGTGAACTCCAGGCCATTGTGAGAGGGTGGTGAGCAGAGAAGGGTGGCCTGGGGGAAGTCGTTTGTTAAATGTGATCTAAAAGCCAAGAAGTTGGCTGGGCGCAGTGGCTCACGCCTATAATCCTAGCACTTTGGGAGGCCGAAGTGGGTGGATCATGAGGTCAGGAGATTGAGACCATCCTGGCTAACACGGTGAAACCCCATCTCTACTAAAAATACAGAAAATTAGCCGAGCGTGGTGGCGGGCGCCTATAGTCCCAGCTACTCGGGAGGCTGAGGCAGGAGAATCACTGGAACCTAGGAGGTGGAGGTTGCAGTGAGCCGAGATCACACCACTGCACTCCAGCCTGGGTGACAGAGCAAGACTCCATCTCAAAAAATAATAATAATAATAATAATCAAAATAAATAAATAAAAACCAAGAAGTAACCTTGCTCATTTGCACCTGGTTATCTCTTGGAGACTTGGCTAGATTCGACCACAGCAAGGACTGTGCCATATGCCAGTCACATATGAGATAATGTGGGGCCCAGAGGGTGGAGTTGCCAGGTCCAGTGTTAGGAGAGGTGGAGAAAGCAAGCCTCGGTTCCTGCCTCATATGTACACACAGCCCCTCATGGGATGGTTGCTTGGGTCAGCTTCTGGGAGGCTACCCTCTGCCTCTGGGGCTCTTCCAGTCTGCCTGGTGCCCTGTGCCATTGAAACTGCCTTTGCAAAAATGACAACAATGAGAAGATTATGGCAGTGAAAGAGATCTGATCTAATCCACCTCACTATCTTGCCTTTTCCTTAACTACTCCTGGGCTTTTGGGCTGAGCTAACTTCAGAAGACATTTAGGTTATAGTTTAAATGATAATAGCCCTTCTCCGAAACTCAACTGCCTTGTGAGGCTATTGAAAGGCCGTCAGGCTGGAGAAGAAGAATCTGAATTCTGCTAAAGTGTATACATAGGTTGCCAGCCATTCCTGCAGATAACACCACTATTGCAGATTGGCCCTTTGAGATATCTTTTCAGGTTTTTTGCATGTCTGAAACCCATAGCTCCACCTGGACCTGATAGCTCCTGTGGCCCCCACCAGGGAGCAACTCAGCTTAAGAGGACAGCCTTGACTCTCTATGATTTCATCTCTGCCCCAACCAATGAGCAGCAAGCCTAGCCACCCCCACCCCTTCACCCAAACTGCCTTTGAAAAAAACGCATAACCTAGGAGCTTTGGATGCGATTGATTTGAGTACTAACTCTGTCTCCCAAGTGGTATGGCCAGCCTCGTGTCTATTAAACTCTTTCTTACTCCAATGCTTTGGTCTTTCTTTGTACAGCAGGTCTTTCTTTGTAACCCCTGGGTGGTTACAGCATGGTCACCAGGATCCTTGAGGGCAATGTCGTTTCATCTGCCCATTTATCCTGTTGTGTGCTAAGCATTCACTTTGGTGCTGGAGATTTGTAAGGTAATGAAGGGAACGTACACAGGCATTCCTTAACCACAGCTCACAGTCTAGTGGGCATGACAGATGCTCCACCCAGTCACCTCCTGTGTGAAGCTCTGCTGACCAACTCATGGAAGGTTGCTCTCCGTGGAGCTGTCTTCCAGCTCTGCAGTATTTTTCTTCATGGCACTTAGTACCACCTGACATGAAATTCTGTCTCCATTGATTTTGTCTGCTCTGTCTCCCCTACAAGAAAATGGGCTCCCAAAGGGCAGGCACTGCTTTGCTTATTGCAGTCTGCCCCAGCCCTCACCCTGTGCAGCCCTCACCTTTTCCTTTGAAAGGAAGGTGCCCAGCACTGTCCAGCCCAGCTCCCTGGAACTTCTGGGACCATTTCTCTGAAGGCTGTCTCTCTAGTACCTAGAATGATCTCTGGCCCCCTGTAGGTGCTGAGTAAATACTGAGAAAATCAGCAAAACAAAATACTACAATAAACGTGCAGTTCCAACAGTAATGAAGGACTAGTTGTAAGAGTTAAAGAATGAGGAAAGAAACACAAAAAGCAGCTCAACAGTCAAAGGTTTATTTTGGAGAATAAACCTGAGAGGGGCTTCTGGCCGATTTTGGTCAGGAGCTCTCTCTCTTATGGACAAAGAATATTTATTGGTGAGAGAGCTTATCACAGGCTTGGAATGTTTCTGTGTCGGGGAGAAGTTGGGGGAGAAGTGGGGTTGGAATGTCTCTGGTCGGAGGGGAGGTTATCTTGAGGGTGACATCTCTCCAGCTGGAGGGGAGGTTATCTTGGGGCTGGCATGTCTCTGGTCAGGGAGGTGTTTGGAATGTTTCTGGTCAGAGATGTTATTTGTGGTTTATGGTCATGCCAACCTTAGCCATTAGGCTGATGCCCTTTGGATTTAGGCAGCTTTTGGTCACAGTGAACTTTAAAAAATGACAGTGCTTGTCCAAGATGGCAATGCTCCTGCTTTGTCACTAGTAAAAGAGGGTGGGAGAGCAAATAACAAGCAGAGTATCTGACCCAGTTTAGAGGCCAGGAAAGGTTTCTCTGAGTAAGTTATATTGAAAACTGCGATCTGAGAGACAAGTAGATGTTAGCTACTCAGGCAGAAAGGAGAGAGAAAGAGCCACTAGCAGAAGAAGCAGTGATAAGTAGGGCCCCAAGGCTGGAGGGAGAAGGACTATTTGGAAAGTCCAGGTGGCTACAAGCCAGGAGAAGGATAGGCATGGCCAGATGGTACAAGGCCTTGAGGTGGTGTGAACACTAACTTTCTCCTGTGTATAGGAAAACCACTGGAAGGTTTTAAGCAGAGATGAGAGGTGCTGAGATCTATGTTTTTAAAAGGTCCTGTTGACCCAGCAATTCTTCTTCTAAGTATATACCCCTTTGGGCGATGGTTTCTTCCAGACTAATTGTCTTTCCACCCATAGCGCAACTTAACAAGGGATGACAGTGACAGCCAGCATCACACAGTGCTGTGTGATTGGGGAAGCCTCTCCCTTGTAACCATCTCACTCCATCCTCACCTCCACCTTGTGGGGTAGGTGTCATTCTCACCCTCCCTGGTCTAGAGCTGGGACCCTGCAGCAATAAGTGATTCACAGAGGGACGAACATTCAGCTGATGAATGATGCTTGGCATCATTCTCACTCTGAAATTCACATCCCACGTTCCACCATAAGCTCTTGCGGCCACTTTTGCCAACAGGAGCTGCTAGCAGCTCAGCGATTCCTGCCCCAGCTCTATCCGCCGACTGTAGATCATTACTCAGCTGGCCCCTGGAGGAGCCTGGCCATGCTGAGAGCTGTCTGGGCCCTTGAGGTTGTTGAAAACTTTCCCATTATCTTGCAGCCAGCATTGGGCCAAGTTATAAGTCAGACGGTCCTTTCTGAATAGGGGAAAAGAATCTCTCTTTGGGGCCACATTAGAACACAAAGATGAAACTGACAAAACATGTTGTTACCAGCTTGAAAAATAGCCACCTCGCCATTGACCTGATTTTAATAAGTTGTGGCTGCGAGGGAATATAGCTAGTGTTTTCCTTTGAAAGGAAAGTGCCCAGCACTGTCCAGCCCAGCTCCCTGGACCTTCCTGGACCAGTTCTCTGCATGCTGAAGGAGAGTACCCCCAGGCAGATTTATAGCCATAGATGAACTAATGGGTTCATTTTGCCTGCTGCCCAGATAAAGCCAATTTATCAAGATGAGGAAATTAATTCAATCGAGAAAGAGTTTAATTCATGCAGAGCCGGTGGAATGGGAGGCTAAAGTTTTATTATTCCTTAATTCAGCCTTTCCAATAATTTGGAGGCTAGGATTTTTCAAGGATAGTTTGACAGGCAAGGGAATGGGTGCTGCTGATTTGTTGTGAATGCAATCATTGGGGTGTGGAAAATGGTCCTTGCATGCTGAGTCTGCTGCTAGGTGGGAGCTTCAGAACCGATTGAGTCAAGAGTCAAGGGTCCAGGGAAGAAATGTCAAAACCAGAAAAGACACCTCAAAAGGCCAGTCTTAGTTTATTTGCAGGAGAAACTGGGGAAGTCGCATATCTTTTGACCTCTGGAAAGATAGCTGGTAGTCATTTATGTCTACACTTGGCAGGATTCAGGCTCCTATCATCCTCCTAATTTGATGATCCTTCACTAGCTTTACAAAGGTAGTTTAGTTTGGGGGAAGAGCTATTATTTAAACTATAAACTAGCTCCCAAAGTTACCTTGGCCCAAGCCCAAGAATGACTAAGGGCAGTTTGGAGGTTGTAGGAGAGATGGAGGTTGGTGAGATCACTGCCATGATTTTCTCACTGTTATAATTTTTTGCAAAGGTGGTTTCAGATTGGTCTACCTCCACCATCACTGGATGGATGACTTTTTGTGGTTGGTTTTTGGAAACGTGCCTGAACTCCCCACCAGCACTGATACTCATTTTTCTCTCCTATTGCTGGGCTGCAAAATTGCAGATGTGTCATATAGCTTCCATAAGGTATAGAATCACCCAACCTCCTGAGCTGGGAGCACAGGACTTCGATAACATGGCCTGTGGTGTGTCTGAGTTTCAGTCTGCCCCAGCCCTCACCGGGTGCAGCCACAGCCATCGGTGGGCTGTCTCACTGACCATGCCGTGTAGGTTTTTCTTATTGCATGAGTCAGAAAGAGGGTCACTGAAGGGGTACACAAGGCCTGGAACTGTAGGAGGAAAACTGTCATCCCCCTAAGGACCCAGTGCCCCTAACCAATCCTACAGTTACCCACCATGGGGAGCCACTTCAGTTATTATTCTGATGAACCAAGGGAAATTAGGGGTGGGGAGACATCAAGCTATATAAATACCCCTGTGTCCTTGCCAAGCACAGAAGAGCTTTGCCTTGTCCCCACCACAGCTGAACCGCTAGGAAGGCCCAGGATTTGAAATCCAAGGGACAGAGCAGCACACAGCTCCCTGAGCCCCCAGGCTGTCTCCCACCTCCCCAAAGGTCAGCCATTAAGATGGCTCCTCCCTCCGCCACAGGGAACTTCCTGAGCCAGATACTGAGTGAGGCCCGGGAAGAGACAGGCTGGGAAGAGTTGCATGAAAGAGGCCTGTGGTTAGTGACCCTGGGCCTTCCCACTGGACTCTAACTTCAGAGTGCCTGGCAAAATAGCAGCCCACAGGAAATCAGGCACTAGATCCAAAAGCAATTGGATAAACCGAGCTTTATTCGGGTACTCAGGAGAAGACAAGTCAAGCAGAGACCGTGGAAGCCATAGATGCAAAGATCCTGGGAGGTAGGTGCTGAAAATGGAACCGGATATAAGCAGGTGAGCTGGGTTCATCTGGATGGAGTGGGCACTGACCGTTAGCTTCATGTGCTGGAAAATTTCTTTAAGCTCCAAGTCAAAACTCAGTTTTTCCATGAAGCCCTTTCTGGCTCCTTCAAGTGAAGCTGGTCGCTCCATCTTAAAGGGCCCTGTTTCCTTTGTCAGAACACTTGGGTTTCAGTATGTCCCCAATTCTAAGCAAATTCCTGGTACAGAGGAGGTGCTCGATAAGTACTTATGGATGGAATAAATGGGTAACCTACATGGATGGGTGAATTTTATTTTATTCAGATACAGTCAAGAGATGGTGGAGGATGAGTTTGTGAACAGCTCTTAATTATTTTGAATTCTTTCAGGCAGTATTTCCTAAAATACAAAATACAGGTTCTGTAAGATGTTAACAGGTGTTATCTAATAAAAGGGTTCCGTTGTCAAATACATTAGGAAAACAAAATTATACAGGTGTCTTTGCTGCAGGGAATTCTTCAAGCCTATAAAATGTGATGTCGGTTCTGGGTCTTGAAGAGTATTTAAGATTTCTAAAACTCATTAGGTTGGACCATAGGAAATTCCTGTTTTGTAGTTTTTTAAACATTGTTAAATAGCAGCAATTTTGTATGGTTTAACCTAATATTTAACTGTGGAACTCTTTTAAATGTTACTGATGTTCCATGGAGCTCAATTTTGATCTCTAGAACATTGGTTTCATTTGGGAGGCAATGAGGGAGAAGGGGAGGAAGGTGGAGGGTTCGTGGATGAGAATCTAAATCCTGTTGGGAGCTTCTCCTGTCCCAGGAGAGTCTGATGTGCTTTAAGGTTGTGGTCAGGTGGTCTTTAGGAAATTAACTCCTTGAAGATTCAGGTCTAGTTCTCTCTGCCTCCACCCCATGGCAGCCAATTGGAAACCACAGTTTAGAGGGAGAACTCCAAAAAGGACCAATGCTCACATGCTGGACATCAAGGCCTATTTCCTCATCCCAAATGGTCTACGTGGGTCTCAAAAGAAGAGTCACAGCAAGCAGTAATGAACATGAATGAGCACAGACATGGGTGAGAGTGGAACCGCCTGGGCATTCTGCTTGTCTGCCTGGAGCTGAGAAAGAGTTCTGTTTGAGTAGGAATCGAATGGGAAGGTCTGCCATGGGTCTGAGGAAACAAGGTTAAGGAGGTACGCAATAATCCCATGAGGGAACCCTGATGTTACTGGAAAGGGGTCCTGATCCAGACCCCAAGAGAGGGTTCTTGGATCTTGTGCAAGAAAGAATTCAGGGCGAGTCACAGAGTCAAGTGAAAGCAAATGTAATAAGAAAGTAAAGGAATAAAAGAATGGCTTCTCCATAGGCAGAGCTGCCCCAAGGGCTGCTGGTTGCCCATTTTTATGGTTACTTCTTGATTATATGCTAAACAAGGGGTGGATTATTCATGAATTTTCCAGGAGAGGGGTGGGCAATTCCCAGAACTGAGGGTTCCTCTGCTTTTTAGACCATATAGGGTAACTTCCTGGTGTTGCCATGGCATTTGTAAACTGTCATGGTGCTATTGGGAGTGTCTCTTAGCATGCTAATGCATTATAATTAGCATATAATAAGCAGTGAGGACGACCAAAGGTCACTCTCGTCACCATCTTGGTTTTGGAGGGTTTTGGCTGCCTTCTTTACTGCAACCTGTTTTGTCAGCAAGGCCTTTACGACCTGTAACTTGTGCCAACCTCCTATCTCATCCTGTGACTTAGAATGCCTTAACCTCCTGGGAATGCAGCCCAGTAGGTCTCATCCTCATTTTACGCAGCCCCTATTCAAGATGGAGTTGCTCTTGTTCCAACGCCTCTGACGCTGACAGCAGCACATCCAGACTCCTGGGTCCTTATCAGAAGGTCAGGCTTCGCCAACTCATTATCTCTCGTGTACTCTAGACTCGCCTAAAACTCTGTCTATACTTGCTGTCCCTCTCTGCTCATAACTGACCCCAGAATGGGGCTCTGGTCCCTGATCAGCAGTAGATTCCCTGTATTCTTTCCTCCTCTTTATGGGAATAGCATGACCCTGCATGCCTTTCTCTCACTTTCTCTTTGCTCTTTGATGCCTGTTGATCTGAGCATTGCATGTTGCTCATTAGGACATTGCAATTGGCCCATAAATAGAAATCTCTTTCCCTGGGAATGTACAGTGATGGGACTCCTGGGCCAAACCCACACTTGATCTTAGACAAGTGAAAAAAGAAAAAGTTTGGGCTTGACAGACACGGTTCAAAACGTTGTATGACCCAGGTTGCTTAGCCTCTCAGGGATCAAGCTTTCTTATCTTTCAAATGCAGACATTGATTGTATCTCCACCCCATGGTGGCTAGAAGGATTATGTTTGAAAATGTGAAATAAAATGGCTAAAAAATAGCAAGTTCTCAAAAGACATCACCCTCCCCTTTCATTACTGCTGACGTTTGGCATTATGTTTGAGCTCTTGCACTGAAATGCTTTAATAGAACTTAAAAATTGGGAGGCCTGGGCTGGGTGCATGGCTCACATCTGTAATCCCAGCACTTTGGGAGGCCGAGGGGGGCGGATCACCTGAGGTCAGGAGTTCGAGACCAGCTTTGCCAACATGGTGAAAATCCATCTCTACTAAATATACAAAAATTAGCCAGGCGTGGTGGCGGGTGCCTGTAATCCCAGCTACTCAAGAGGCTGAAGCAGGAGAATCGCTTGAACCCAAGAGGCGGAGGTTGCAGTGAACCGAGATCATGCCACTGCACTCCAGTCTGGGCAGCAGAGCGAACTCCATCTCAAAACAAAACAAAACAAAAATTGGAAGGCCTGGGGTGGAATTTGATGAACATGCTTTATTTTGCTAAATTTAGCTGGGGCGTGCACTCTGCTGTTTACCTTGTTCCATAGATGCGGTCAGAGTCCTGGGGAACAGGTGATGAGATGGCTGTTGGTTGGATGGCTATGTGGTTAAAGGGGCAGTAGTGCCCACAAAGGGGATTCTAGCAGAAGGAACAGGCAAGTAGGAAGTTGAGCAGCTGCCTTGGCCAGAGGATTTCCCTCCAGGCGTTGCCCAGTGGGGTGGCTGGAAGGCAGATCAGACAGTAAGTGACATCGGAGGTGGCATGAGTACACAGCCTTCCATGGAGAGCAGTGATTTGAGTTGCCTGCCGAGCTGGTTCTGAGATGTCTGTGGGGATGGCTGACTTCCTTGGTCGTGAATATCTGTTCTTAATAAAAATGAAAAGGATGCCTTCTGTGTTTACCATGTCAACCCCGTTGATACACCAAGGTGTCCTTTAAATGGTTTCCCAGTGTTGGGGGAGGTCTGTGCTGAGTCACCCACATGTTCTCAGCACTCCTCAGGGTAGGAGATGGGGTGTGTAGGTGGTGTGGGTTGGAGATTGGCTTGGCTCAGTGGCCGTGGGATTGTTCAGTGTCCCACACGGAAACCAACGCCACCTCTCTGTTTCAGAGCCCAGGGTCCAGCCTCATCAATAGGAGGGAGCAAAAGGCTCAGATGGATCATACTGGCTCTCTACAGGAAGCAGATGGTTTTCTTGGATGTCTTTTCTAAATAGCCTATGCTAAAATATGCTCCACAATGGCTGGGCACAGTGGCTCACGCCTGTAGTCCCAGCACTTTGGGAGGCCAAGGCGGGTGGATTGCCTGAAGCCAGGAGTTCAAGACTAGCCTGACCAACATGGTGAAACCACTTCTCTAGTAAAAAATACAAAAATTAGCCAGGCATGGTGGCACGTGCCTGTAATCCCAGCTACTCGGGAGGCTGAGGCACGAGAATCACTTGAACCTGCAAGGCAAAGGTTGCAGTGAGCCGAGATTGCACCACTGCACTCCAGCTTTGGTGACAGAGTGAGACCCTGTGTCAAAAAAATAAAATATGCTTCACAAAACCTATATGTGACCTGTGAAGAAAAAAAACAAACAAGATTCCATGACCTAAGACATTTGGACATCTGCATACCCAATACTTCTCTGGGTATCACAAGGCAGGGGGCCCCGCACAGGTAACTAATTACAAGACAGCGCTTCCTTGTTTGGAGCCCAGAGCTGCTCACCTGTCTTCTCTTGGTTAGTTCTTTATACCTACATTAAGAATCTTATATTTTTCTTGAATACTAGATCTGAGCTAAATGTTTTAGCTCATTTTCCACCCATGAGAATTCTATGTCTTGTTTATATCAAGTATATTACCTTTGTTTTCAGCTTTGTGCTTTTCTCATGAATTTTTTATGTCTCCTCTAGAGTTGTTGATGTTAAGATGGAATGGACAATAGCAATGGCCAAACATGTGGCTTATCTCCTCCTAAGATTGCATAAATTCATTAATTTATACCCACTGAGTAGCCACTCAACCAGTTATGAATTCAGTTAACTGAACCATGATGTTACTGCTTTTAAAAAGCTTTTTCACATGCTGTCATGACAATCAAAAGCTTTAAGGAAATCCAGACACGTGATTTTTAAGAATCCTTTGTATTCTCCTGCTCTACTAGTTAAAATTCAATCAAAAGAATTTTGTAGTTTGTGTGAAGTGAGTTATTATTAATGAATCCACCCTGGTTTCTCTTGATCACCACTTCCGTTCCTTTGCTCATTTGTCTGTTTTAGAAATTCATGAGCCAGACTTTTAATGACCTCTCCTTGATTTTTTTTTGGCTCCACAAAAAAACATTTATTTGGTTTATATAGTCTATCATCTTTTCTGCATATTGAAAATCCAGCCATTTTCTGCTATCTGGTATCTGTATTATTTTCTGTAATTGTTTTCCAAGATTATTTATTATTATTATTATTATTGTTATTATTTTTAGATGAAATCTCACTCTGTTGCCCAGGCTGGAGTGCAATGGCACGATCTCGGCTCACTGCAACCTCCGCCTCCCGGGTTCAAGAGATTCTCCTGCCTCAGCCTCCTGGGTAGCTGGGATTATAGGCATCCACCACACCCGGCTAATTTTTGTGGTTTTAGTAGAGACAGGGTTTTGCCATGTTAGCCAGGCTGTCGCCAAGATTATTTATAATTGCTGTCATCCATGGGTCATCTCAGTCCTGTGTAGAATGTTCCGGTTGGCGTATACAAGTTAGGAACACTCTGGCTGCAAGTATCAACCGATCTGGGCAGCTGTGGCTTCCACAGGTGGGGATTTCTGTGTCTCACACAGTGTGAAGTCCGGGTGGCTGTCAGTTCTGGGCTGCTCAAGTGACCAAGTGCAGAAGCCTTTGCCATTGTTTATCTCCTGACCTTCCCAGTAGTTCATGGTTCCAAGCATCCCACCCGTGTTCCAGGCAAGAAAAGGAAAAGGATCTCCCTTTTTTAACCTTTCTTCAGGATGGGTTGGAGTCTATATTAGGGAAGGAAAGACTTTCCAGGAAACCCTTAACTGCGGTATCACTGGCCTGAACTATGACAATGGGCTACCTCCTGCCACAAGAAAGATGGGGAAACTGAATATTTTTATCCAGGCACATTTCAATACCGAACAAAATGAGAATTCTGTTAAAACGGGTAAAGAGGGAATGTTGATTGAATAGGGGAACTGCCAGAGCATGCCACATGTAGCTAGAGATTGCAATTAAAGTAACCAAGTATTGTCTTATTGTCACATTTTTATTAAACTCCTTCTTGACTGTGTCTTCCAGACCTTTCTTATAATCATTATCTTTGACTGACTAATTGATCCAATCCATGATTAACTTTACTTATTCAATAAATACTAACTAAAGACTGGGAGCAGTGGCTCACATTTATAATCCCAGCACTTTGGGAGGCGGAGGCGAGTGGATCACCTGAGGTCAGGAGTTCCAAACCAGCCTGGCCAACATGGTGAAACCCCGTCTCTACTAAAAATATAAAAATTAGCCAGGCATGGTGGCACAAAACTGTTGTACCAGCTACCGGGGAGGCTGAGGCAGGAGAATCACTTGAACCCAGGAGGTGGAGGTTGCAGTAGGCCGAGATCACGCCACTGCACTCCAGCCTGGGAGACAGAGTGAGACTCTATCTCAAAACAAAAACAAAAACAAACAAAATACTAACTGAGCACCTCCTAGGTCCCCAGGCCTGGTCTAGATCCAGGGGACACCACGGTGGATACACTCAGCAAACACACAATAAGGTGAGAATATTTAACAGAAATCCTAACCCAGACTAGGGAGCCAGCGATGGCTGCCTGGAGGAGAGGACTTCCAGACTGAGAAATGACGCATGAGGAGCCAGTGACCAGGGGAAGAAAAGTAGGCAGGAAGGGATAAAAAAAAAAAAAAATGTGCCAGACAGAGAATAGAGTGATGGCATGGGCAAAGGCCCCATGGTGGGAGTGCCTGCCACTAATGGTGGCATAAGGCAGGTTTCATTGCCCTGGGAGACAAAAAGCCGTCCCACAACCGAAACTGTCCTCTCGACCATAGGCAGCCCCAACCCCTGGACCATCCTTACTCAGCAGTGATGCTCTAGGAGAGCATGGGAGAGACTCAGCGCCCACCTTTCCCACCACCAGGAAATAACTGGGAGCAGCTCTGAAGGAGAAACTCAATTGAGTCATCACAGCATCCTAGGGGGCCACCATCTTCAGGGTCATTGAGTCAAATTCATGTCCTGGCTCATGGGATTCCTGTCTTTACTTGAATCGGGTCTTACCTGTTCTTACCCCTAAGAGTTTAGTGCGAGCTCCCACTTCAGGCCTTGAACCTTGAACCACTTTTTTCTTTTTATTTTATTTTATTTTATTTATTATTTATTTATTGAGACGGAGTTTTGCTTTGTCTCCCAGGGTGGAGTGCAGTGGCGTGATCTCGGCTCACTGCAACCTCCGCCTTCTGGTTTCAAGCGATTCTCCTGCCTCAGCCTCCTTAGTAGCTGGGATTACAGGCACCCGCTACCACGCCTGGCTAATTTTTGTGTTGGTTTTTTTTTTTTTTTCCCTAGCAGAGACTGGGTTTCACCATGTTGGCCAAGCTGGTCTCAAACTCCTGACCTCGTGATCCACCTGCCTCGGTCTCCCAAAGTGCTGAGATTACAGGCATGAGCCATTGCACCCGGCCATTGCACCACTTTTAAACCTTAGCCTTCATTTTAGTTTTTTTTCTCCCCAAATATTTTAATTGTGGTAAAATACTCATAACAAAATTACCATCTTAATTAACTATTTGTAAGGCTGTGGTTTTGGATTATTAAATACATTTATAATGTTGTGCAACCATCACCTCCATCCACCTCCAGAATTCTTTCTATCTTGTAAAATGGAAACTCTATACCTATTAAGCAGTATCCACATGCCCACTTCCCCCAGCTTCTGGCCACCACCATTCTACTCTCTGTCTTTAAGCATTTGACTAAGTACTTCACGTAAGTGGAATCATATAGTATTCGTCTTTTTGTGATTGGCTTATTTCACTCAGCATAATATTCTCAAGGTGCAGCCATGTTATAGCATGTGTCAGCATTTCCTTCCTTTTTAAGGCAGTATACTATTCCATTGTGTGGATATACCACATTTTGCTTATCTGTTGATCCATCCATAAACACTTGGGTTGCTTCCAGGTTTGAGCTGCTGTGAATAGTGCTGCTGTAAATGTAGGTAGGCAAGTATCTCTTTGAGACCCTGCTTTCAGTGCTTTGACGGATGTATCCAGAAGTAGAATTGCCACCTCCTTGTGAATCAGGACTTCCCATAACAGAAATATTTGGCAGAGACAGAAAACGGAACCTCAGGAACGTCACAACTGCTATCACCATATGGTAATTCTATTTTTAATTTTTTGAGGAGCCACCAAACTGTTTTCCACACTGGCTGTGCCATTTTTCATTCCTACCAACAGTGCTCAAGGGTTCCAGTGTCTCCACATCCTTGCCAACACTGTTATGTTTTTGTTTTCTCGAGAGTAGACATCCTAATGGGTGTGAGGTGCTAACCTCCATTTTCAAACGTTACCCATATTGGGATTGGAACAGCGTCAACCTTTGGCTCATTCCCCTCCACTGTCAGCCAACTATTAGCTCCCGGCTCTCCAGAGCTACCCTAGTTCAGTTTGGCATCTCCCTCCCAGAAATCACAGGGTTGCATCTACCAGTGGGGAGAGCAGATTCCACGTGGTGGCAGCTGAGGAGAGAAGCACCCTGTGTCCTGAATTTTGGGGCCTGGTGGTGAAGCTTGTCAGGGAGGAGGCCAGTCCCACAGGGCGGGATTCTCTGAGCACCTGCCTGCCCATCTAGCCTGAGAATGTCTTGGATCAAATCTGACATTAATTAAAAGAAGGCCTCTAGGCTTAGAGCACCTTGCTGCCTGAGTTGCATATTTTATTTATATTTGGCATTTATGCCTGACTTTAAATTTACCAAGTGTTTTGCAGTGATTTATGAGATTATCTTGCCTGCACCCTTGCTGGATGGTACCTTGATTGTCGGCTGTTATTGACCTGTTGCCGGTGTCTATGGAGACCCATGGTCATCCTCCCAACTCCCCTGGCATTGGCATTTCCTGCTTTTGTATGTGGGTTTTAAAGACACTGTTGCTCACTCCTGACAGGCGTAGCCCTAACTTGCTCCACCTTCTCTGCCCAGTCCCTCCATTGCTATATGGCCTTCGCCTCCTGATTTCGTTGCCCTTATTCACTCCTTTGCAATCTGACTTTGATCCATGTCTTCACTAGCACTTTACTTGCAAAGGTTTCCTTCATTTCCAGACAAATTCACAGACCTTTCCTCATTTCACATCTGTGATCCCAGCAGCTGTTTGAAAGCCGGGTTCAAACCACCTCTTAGCAGTTCTCTCTCTTCCCTCACCATCCCTGTTCATGGGCCACACTGAGCTTGACATTCCTAATCAGAGACCAGTCCTGGAGTGTCCCCGTGACACACTGGCCCTGCCTAATTGTTAGGGCTATCCTGTGGATACAAAAAGGCAGGTTTCATGTAAGGATGGTCTAGTGTTTCAGGACTTAAGAGACTGATTTAGACTTTTGTTTTTGTGTGTTTAGAAGGCCATCTCCAAGTCTCTTTCTATGCATGCTTGTGTGGGAATTTGTGTATGTGCATGCACACTCACACGGGCATGCTTGCATGTGCACACTCCCTTTTGCTCACACCATCACTGCATTCGTGTACGTGTCTGAAACCACACCTGCACACACTCCTTTTCTCTGCATCATCACTGCATCCTGTGTGTGTCAGCATTGGTCTGCTCCCAAGGTTGGCTCTGCACTTCCTGCTACTTGCTCCTGGCATGTGTCACCCCGGCTGCGGCCCGGCACCCCTGGTGTTTCTGCTTAGGAGGGAGCCACATAAGGAATCCACTGTCCCATCATTCCAGTGCTGTAATGGTGGAATCTAAATACCCACAGCACCTACCTTTATGATTCCCACACTCTTTCCCTCTCTTCTTTCATCCTTCCTCATCCTCTGTAGGCCAACTGCTAAGTTGAAGCTATAATCTTTTTTTTAAGCTTTCAATTAATTTTTTAAAAAAATTCCATAGGTTTTTGGGGAAGCGACGGTGTTTGGTTACATGAGTAAGTTCTTTAGGGGTGATTTGTGAGCTTTTTGGGCACCCACTACCCGAGCAGTATGCACTGAACCCAATTTGTAGTCTTTTATCCCTCACCCCCTTCCCACCCTTTCCCAAGTCCCCGAAGTCCATTGTGTCATTCGTATGCCTTTGCATCCTCATAGCTTAGCTCCCACTTATGAGTGAGAACATATGATGTTTGGTTTTCCATTCCTGAGTTACTTCACTTAGAATAATAGTCTCCAATCGCAACCAGGTTGCTGCAAATGCCATTAATTCATTCCTTTTTATGGCTGAGTAGTATTCCACTGTGTGTGTGTGTGTGTGTGTGTGTGTGTGTGTGTGTGTGTGTGTATGTGTATATATATATATATATATATATATACATATATACATATCACAGTTTCTTTATCCACTTGTTGATTGATGGGCATTTGGGCTGTTTCCACATTTTTGCAGTTGTGAATTGTGCTGCTATGAACGTGTGTGCAGGTTTTTTTTTTTTTTTTTTTTTTTGTATAATGACTTTTCCTATGGGTAGATATCCAGTAGTGGGATTGCTGGATCCAGTGGTAGTTCTACTTATAGTTCTTTAAGGAAATACTTTGAAGTGAAATTTCAGAGTTGTCAGGGAGGCCTGTTAGGGAAACAGACTTGTACAACCCTGGAGAATGCCCTTTCCAACTATCGTCAATGTCAACCCGCCTCCCTGAATGTGCTCTGAAGGTAACAGATCCCCAGACACCTGAGAAAAACCCAAAGAATGAAAAAAAGGGACTGAAGTAAGTAGGACAACCTACTCTGGAGAAAACAGGGAGCCCAGGAGACAGAAGAACATAAAAATTCAAAGCAGTATGTTCAGCTGGAGATTCAAGAGCATATTTATCATGCTCATAAAGCAAGAACTGACTGTGATAAAAATGAATAATCAGAGAATAAGAAAGAGTTCTTGAAAATTAATCATATCGTATAATTGCCAGAATTCTTTTAGAAAGTTAAATGGATAGATTCATTAGAATATTCTGAATGAAAGGCCAAGCAGGTTATCTGGAAGGTTAAGTAGAAGACAATTCTCCAGTTCCCAAACACAAAGTCAAAGATGTAAGGTATGTGTGCAGGCATGTGGGGAAATTTTTCCTGAGCTGAAAAAAAGCACAACCTTGTAGATTTAAAAGACCACCTAATGCTGAATAGTGGGAATGGAGAAAATACCCCACTCAGACATATCTTGATGAATCTCAAAACTCTGAAAACAAGCAGTGGCTCATGCCTGTAATCCCAGCACTTTGGGAGACCGAGGTTGGAGGGTCACTTGAGTCCAGGAGTTCGAGACCAGCCTGGCCAACATATGAAGACATGGTCTCTACAAAAACTAAAAATAAATTAGCTGGGCATGGTGGCATGCATCTGTGGTCCCAGCTACTCAAGAGGCTGAGGTGGGAAGATTGGTTGGGCCCAGGAGGTCAAGGCTGCAGTGAGCCATGATGGCACCATTGCACTCCAGCCCGGGCCACAGAGTGAGACCTATCTCAAAAATCAAAACAACACCACCACCAACAAAAACTCCAGAAACAAAGATGAAATTGTTGAGAGCTTCCAGAGAGAAAAGTCTTCTTAAATACAAGGAAATGAGAATGGAATTAGCATCAGACTTTTCAGCAGCAGCATCAGATACTGGAAGATGATGGAACAATACCCTCAAGACATTGAGCAGGCCAGGCACCATGGCTCATGCCTGTAATCCCAGCACTTTGGGAGGCCAAGGCAGGAGGATTACTTGAGCCCAGGAGTTAGCGACCAGCTGAGGCAATACAGTGAGACCCTGTCTTAAAAATAAATAAAAAGAAAAAAGATACTAAGGCCCGGGCGTGGTGGCTCACACCTGTAATCCTAACACTTTTGGGAGGCTGAGGCAGGCAGATCACCTGAGGTCAGGAGTTCGAGACCAGCCTGGCCAACATGGTGAAACCCCATCTCTACTAAAAATACTAAAGTTAGCTGGGCGTGGTGGTGCGTGCCTGTAATCCCAGCTACCTGGGAGGCTGAGGCAGGAGAATTGCTGGAACCCGGGAGGCGGAGGCTGCAGTAAGCCAAGATCACGCCACTGCTCTCCAGCCCGGGTGACAGAGCGAGACTCCATCTTAAGAAAGAAAAAACAGAAAAAAAGATATTAAGGAGAGGTAACTTGGGATGCAGCACTTTCAAGTCAAGCTATTAAGTCACAGAGAAAAATCAAAATTTTTCTTTTCTATGTCAGGGTTCAGAAGTTTATCACCCACACATCCCGTAGGAGGTTAAGGAGGCCCCCTGACAAAATGAAGAAGGGACACAAGGGGATAATATGACATAAGAAAGAGGGCATCACAGATACTGTGTGAGTCCTGCTCTGCGAGACACCTGAGGAGTCAGTGGCACAGAGGCAGGAAGTAGAAGGATGGTTGCCAGGGGCTGTGGGAGGGAGGAGGAGGAATGGGGATCTGGGTTCAGTGGGTGGAGAGTTTCAATTATGCAAGATAAAAAGAGCTCTGGAGCCGGGTGCAGTGGCTCATACCTGTAATCCCAGCACTCTGGGAAGCCAAGGCAGGCAGATCACTCGAGGCCAGGGGTTCGAGACCAGCCTGGCTGACATAACAAAACCCTGTCTCTACCAAAATTACAAAATTAGCCGGGCATAGTGATGCATGGCTGTACTCCCAGCTACTGGGATCACTGAGGTACAAGAATCACTTGAATCCAGGAGGCGAAGATTGCAGTGAGCTGAGATCATGCCATTGCACTCCAGCCTGGGCGACGGAGCAAGACTCTGTCTCAAAAAAAAACCAAAGAGCTCTGGAGATGGGTGGTGGCGATGGCTGTACAAAAGTGATTGCACTTAATGCCAATGAATGTACACTTAAAAATGAGGAAGATGCTCAATTACATGTTATTCATTCACATTTTATCACAATTAAAAATGGTAATAAGAAAGGGAGGAAGGAAGGAAAGAACCTAATTAAAACCTAGACGATGAGAGGATGGGGGCCACGATTCTTAGAACTGTCTTCTTCAAATGGGAAGAGTTTGAAGCTTTAGGATTGTTTTTCCTTACCTTCATATAGCAACCTGATTATATAATCATATGTTAGCACACCAATATTGTACGCTCACTTTTTTGTTTTGAGATGGAGTCTCACTCTGTCGCCCAGGCTGGAGTACAGTGGTGTGATCTTGGCTCACTGCAGCCTCTGCCTTCTGGGCTCAAGTGATTCTCATTCCTCAGCCTCCCAAATAGCTGGGATTACAAGCGCCCACCACCACGCTCGTCTAATTTTTGTATTTTTAGTAGAGGCGGGGTTTTTGCCATGTTGGCCAGGCTGATCTTGAACTCCTGACCTCAGGTGATCCTCCCGCCTTGGCCTCCCAAAGTGCTGGGATTATAGGTGTGAGCCACCATGCACAGCCTCCTGCCTTCTCTTTGAGCTAAGCCATAATGCCAGCTTCTCAGACATCATCTTGGCATGACCAACAAGGCCATGACCACACGGGGCCTATCCCAGGGCGCTGACAGGCTGCCGTCTGACACCTGAAGCCTGACAATTGCTGAACTGGGATGTGTAAGGAAGGCAGTTTTTTTTTTTCCTCCATTAACAATTGAAATACTTCTGCTTGTAGGAAAAAATGCCCCTCCCTCCCTTGGATACATACGTTGTGGTATGATGCCTGCCCTCCATGTAGCAAAACATACTAGTGATCTGAGACTTCAGAATCTTTTTCTTGCCTGGATTTTAGAAATACTTTGGTGGGAATCACATGTGGGGAGTGATAAATGAACCTGTATCTTAGGTTATTCATCATCCTGAAGGAACTGCCAGAGTCTAATTTTGTTCGAAAGTCCTCCAAGGGAATTAAAAAAAAAAAATCCTTTCCTCCAGTTTTTTTAGGCCCTCAAGAACATGCAAATTACAAAAACATAAATAAGTCCTCCCCACCCCCCACCCCACCTCCAGAGGTATTCCATAGTCAAGTGTGTGCTAGAGTTCATGATGCCCATGTACGGCCTGTGGGATGGGGTGAGGCTCCAATCACAGGCGATGTGGTTGTGGTTCCGAGGTATCTGGCCCTAGGCTGCCTTTCCCTTTGACAAGGCAATCGGGTCCAACCTGGGACCCAGACTGCACGACCTCTTCATGTGAACTTGGGGGAGGAATAGCAGGGATCAGTGGCCATCCACTTCCTGGGGATGTGAGACCCTCTTGTGGGATAATTCCCAGGGTGACTCTCTTGGCTCCCAAGGGGCACAGAATGGGCGCCACCCACCTGCTGCAGAGGTTCACCTGATTCCTCGACCCATCTGGCTTGTGCCTTGCCCCAGGAATCCCCAGTCTCTTTGTGGAGAACTCCTGGCATTGATCTTTTCATGAGCCAGGTGAGAGGCTGGGCCAATGGAGCCTGTGTCTCTTTGTGCGTGTGCTCTCAGCTGCAGGCCTTCCCAGCCAGGAGGGATGTGTGGCTGAATTCCTGGTACGACTTCCATCTAGTGTTTTACGAATCTGAGCCTGGAGTCATAGAGGTGCTTTCAGCCATGCTTTCCCCTCTTCCTCCTGGAATGGTCTACCCACCTCAGAGGCAGCATTTTCCTAGGATCAAGCAGAGAGATCCCTGTGACCAGTGATTAGAGACCTCCTGCCTTCGGTGTGCAGTGTGGGGCTGGGGACTGCTCCCACTGTCTAGGGTGGGGTGGCACTTAGCAAAGCCTCCATCTGCAGCCCCGGTTTCCCAAGGGGACCAGAGAGCCTGCCCACCTCTGCTGCCCAGGGCCCACTTATCACAAAATAGGCTTGTCTTGGGAAAAATAATTCCCGTCTGACCACACTACTCATTGCCTCATGCTTCCTTCGTCCTGTGTCCTCATATTTACAGAGCTGCTTAGGTTGTCCCTGCTTTCTAAGCCTCCCAGACAACTTTGTTGTGAATATACAAGGTTCCCCAGAACATAAGCCTGTCCACTTTCATACAGTGAATCTGTCAGATCCAGACACTTCCCTGCCTGCCGTGGACTTTGGACGTAGGGAGAGGAAGCCCAGTGGCCAGGTGATTGATGAGGCTCTGACTTCAGAGTCAAGGAACTTTGCTACCGGGTTGCAAGCTTTTCTACACCACGGCTTCATTGGTGGAACAGAGTGTTTGGGAGCAACAGATAGCAGCCCTCCCCACTCAAAGGGCACAGGGATTTCATGATAATTCCCTGCTGGGCAAAGCAGAGGGAATCTTGAGTTTTTGTGTCTTCCAAGATGGCAGCTCTTCTGACGGCAGGTTCCCCCACTGAGTCAGAACCTACCTCACCTGCCTCTTTGCTTCTGCTTAGTCCCTTGACCTCAAAACTAACAACTCCCTTGGTTATAAGCAATTATTCATTAAATAAATAAATAAAAACCAACAACTGTGTGTGCTCAGCTCGGCAGAAAGAGGCCCGGAGGGTAGACTGCGGTGCCCTTTCTGGCCCCTCTCCCGTACTTGGTCTGTCCTTGGGCCTGCAGATATACTTCTTCAGATTCAGGGCAAACCCAGGTGTGGACGACCATGGTGCAAGGTCAGGGGAGTTGGCTAGAGGCATGCATCTGGGCATGACACGGAGCTCGTTAGTTGGAACAGCTCGGAATCTTCAATGCCAGTATAGGCATTCTCTCCCTTTTTCTCTGAGGAAACACAGAGATCTGATCTTTGTCTGGTTATTGAGAACTAAAGCAAATTGAAATTGACTCCGAGATGTGGGTGTTTAACCAGATGCCTTCACCTGTTGTTTGAAGATGTGGCTGTCTTCAGTCATACAAACGAGGCGCTGCCTGTGTCTTCGCAGTCTGCTGGAGTCAGGCTCAACTCTAAGTCGGCAGCCATGACTGGAGAATAGCATTTTCTGGGTCTGTCACTGTTCAGAGGGATCCCAACGTGAAACAATCGGATATGCCAAAAAAGCACACTTGTCAACATTAATTAGGAAGTAGTTATTTTAGTTACAAAGGGGATTCATGTTAGAGTATCTTCAATTGTCAATATTTCTTAATAAACAATAGGATGTGACTTTATTGATAAGAATTTTTTTTTTTTGAGATGGAGTCTCCCTCTATTGCCCAGGCTGGAGGGCAATGGCGCGATCTCGGCTCACTGCAACCTCCACCTCCCGTGTTCAAGCGATTCTCCAGCCTAACCCTCCCAAGTAGCTGGGACTACAGGCTCCCACCACCACGCCCAGCTAATGTTTGTATTTTTAGGAGAGACGGGGTTTTCCCATGTTGGCCAGGCTAGTCTTGAACTCCTGACCTCAGGTGATCCACCCGCCTCGGCCTCCCAAAGTGCTGGGATTACAGGCGTGAGCCACTGCACCTGGCCTTATTGATAAGAATTTGATTTAAAGTCAACTTTTCTAGAACACTTCTATTTTTCATCTTTCCCCACATGTATCTTTTTCCAATATAAATAGCAGGATTAGTAATCCACACTGGAAAACTGCATCAAACTACTTTTTCAAGAAAATAAGTTGGTAAGTTTCCATCCTTTATACAGCCTCTAACAGACTCCACAGGGATTCCTTGGCAATAATACCTGGCTGGTTCTACCAACATTTGGTTTAATAATTGTGTAATATGATCAGAGTTCCTGCCTTCTTGGTTTTGCTTCCTGCTAGACCTTTGCAACCAAAGACACGCCATGCAGGGTTATCAGCAAATCATCAGCCAGCTAGTCTCCCCAGAAGGCTCAGCTAAGTTTTGGGGCTCAGAGTGAGAATGAAGACAGCAGCCCTGCCCCATGGTGTGTCTAAGCCTGTGAGTCGGCTCTCCTGATAGACTGTGGCCAGGAAATCCCTGCTGCAGTGTTACGTGACGTTGCTCCCGTCCCTAGTGTGTTGTCCTCTCCCAGTTTAGTGACACTTCCCAGACAGGCTGGGACAGACAAGGAATCAAAGCCGAGCTTGTCCTTGGCCAGGCGCGGTGGCTCACGCCTGTAATTCCAGCACTTTGGGAAGCCGAGGTGGGCAGATCACCTGAGGTCAGGAGTTCAAGACCAGCCTGGCCAACATGGCAAAAACCCCGCCTCTACTAAAAATACAAAAATTAGCTGGGTGCAGTGGTGTGCACTTGTAGTCCCAGCTACTTGGTAGGTGGAAGTTGCAGTGAACTGAGATTGCACCACTGCACTCCAGCTTGGGTGACAGAGCAAGATTCTGTCTCAAATGGAAATATTAAATAAATCTGAGCTTGTCCAGCACCTCAGAGGCTCCTGATGCAGCTGGAGGTGGGCACACCCTGTCCCCAAAGCCCCCATTGTCCACTCCAGCAATAGATGTTTCAACATGTTTTGTTTTTAGTTTTGTTTATTAAATTAGAGCCAGAGTCTCGCTCTGTCACCCAGGCTGAAGTGCAGTGGTGCGATCATAGCTCACTGCAGCCTTGACCTCTTGGGCTCAAACGATCCTTCCTCCTCAGCCTCCTGAGTAGCTAGTACCACAGGTTCATGCCACCATACCCAGCCAATTTTTTTGTGTGTGGTAGAGACAGGGTCTCACTATGTTGTCCTGGCTGGTCTCAAACTCTTAGCTTCAAGTGATCCTCCCATCTCATCCTCCCTAGTAGCTGGGACTACAGGTGCACACCAGCACACCCAGCTAATTTTTATTTTATTTTATTTTATTTTGAGACGGAGTCTTGCTCTGTCACCCAGGCTGGAGTGCAGTGGTGTGATCTCAGCTCACTGCAAGCTCCGCCTCCTGGGTTCACACCATTATCCTGTCTCAGCCTCCCGAGTAGCTGGGACTACAGGTGCCCACCACCACGCCCGGCTAATTTTTTGTATTTTTAGTAGAGATGGGGTTTCACTGTGGTCTCGATCTCCTGACCTCATGATCCACCCACCTTGGCCTCCCAAAGTGATGGGGTTATAGGTGTGAGCCACTGCACCTGGCCAATTTTTTAATTTTTTGTAGAGATGGGGTCTTGCTATGTTGCCCAGGCTGGTCTTGAACTGGGCCCAAGAGATCTTCCTGCCTCAGCCTCCCAAATTGCTGGGATTACAGGTGTCAGCCATCACACCTGACCCCTCAACGTGGTTATTTTTCTGTCCTTTAATGAGTGCCTTTTGGGACCTGAGAATGTACATGTGGATGTTCAGCCTTGCTCCTAGAACTGAGCCTGTATTTATTGGTGAAGTGTCATCTGGCCTGAGGGATGTTATGAGGCTACCTGCCCTGTTCTTCCTAACCCACCTTCTCTCCCCATCCCAGTCATCCCTGACTGAGGAGTAGCTCCCACCTTCAGAGAACACTCCTCATGCAGAGAAGGACACCCTTGACCTTCCTTCAGTTTCTTTATCATATGTTTCAAAGCCCTCCTCTCTCAAGCATAGTTTTGCCTCTTGCCTAAATCCGTCTAACTGTAATTTAAGTCATTTTTCTCTTACTCTGTCTTTAGGGGAGATGGAAATGAATAAGCCATCCCATAACTCGTCATTTCTCCACCTTTGGGGTTTGTTGGTGGTGGTAGTGGCTGTGTTTAATATTCATTAATCCTCCACAGGGTCTTATCTGCTTATCTTAATTTAAATACTTTTTTAAATCAAGGAGGAAAAGTCGTAGCATCACCGCTTATTTTCTGCATGGCCTTTGCATTGATATTTTCTAGACTTCTTCTGGCTATAACTTCTAAAACTGATACTATGAGTGCTTAAACCAGAGGCCCAGTTGGAGAACAAATGGCGTGGAACAGAGAGATTTAGTGACATCCATATAATGCCCTAAGAGACAAAGAATTAATGGTACAGGCACAGGGCGGAGAATAGTGGCTTCACAACAGCATACAGGGAAAGATTGAGCTTTCAGTTAGCCTGTGAGCCCAGAAGGGATCCCCTGTGAGAAAACCACCCAAGAGGAATGCATTCATGAGCTTCCATGAGGTCTGGGTCAAGTCCAGAACAAGGGGAATGACAGCCCTGGAGTTCCTACCCCTGGTCTGACCACCCTGAAACAACTGTATCCTATTTAGAAGCCCCTCTCATTGCTGAGATGATCTGACAGCTGGGCCCATATCCCAGGGACCATAGTCTGGCAGGAAGAGAAGAATGTCCCCACAGCACCTCTGAGTGGGCCATTTCTGCCCCAGCAGCGGGCTCTGCCAAACCAAGGTGATTGCACTTCTCAAGCTACCGTGTACAGGTGCCCTTTCCCATCCACTCATTACCAATGCCCATAAATGTCAGGTGCTGTGGTCTCAACATTTGTGTTTCTCAAAAATGTGAGGCCAGGTGCAGTGGCTCATGCCGGTAATCCCAGCACTCTGGGAGGCCGAGGCAGGCAGATCGCTTGAGGTCAGGAGTTCAAGACCAGCCTGGCCAACATGGTGAAACCCCATCTCTACTAGAAATACAAAAATTAGCCAGGCCTGGTGGTGCGCACCTGTAATCCCAGCTACTCAGGAGGTTGAGGCAGGAGAATCACTTGAACCAGGGAGGTAGAGGTTGCAGTGAGCTGAGATTGTGCCACTGCACTCCAGCCTGGGCAACAGAGCAAGACTCCATCTCAAATAAAAAAGAAAAGATGTGTATGCTGAGATGCTAACCCCCAATGCGATGGTATCAGGAAGTGAGGCTTTGGGGAGGTGATTAGGCTTTGAGGTTGGAGCCCTCATGAGTGGGATTAATGCCTATATAAAAGAAGCCCGAGAGAGAGGCCCCCTCACCCTTCCTATCATATGAGGACACAGCAAGGAACCCCCAGTCTGTGAACCAGGAAGCTAGCCCTCACCAGACACCAAATCTGCGGCCACCTTGATCTCAGACTTCTCAGCCTCCAGAACTGGGCAAGAAGACTGCAAACTCCACCCCATGCCCTTAAAAGTAAGAGCTGCTTATGGCTCCATTGAAAAAGAAAACACTTGTTTTTTATTGTTTGCTTTCCTAGCACTGACTTAAACTCTAAGAATGTTCTATTAATATAAGAGTTTAATTTTTTTTTTCTGTAAGTGTCCCTCATTGGGAGAGAAGAAAAGTAACATTTGGCAACCTCTGAAGACATCTTTGTCACAACTGGGACAGGAGGTGCTACTGGCATCTAGTGAGTAGAGGCCAGGGATGCTGCAAACCACCCTAGAGTGGCCAGGATAGTCCCCGACTACCAAATGTCAATAGTGGGGAACCCTGAACAGGCCTGTCAGGTACATTTCATTGAACACAGCCATCCTGTAAGCAAAGCAGTGTTATCCCCCTTTCATTTTTGCAAGAACCTTAAATAATATACTAAGATTTGAGCCTGGGTTTATCTCAACCAAAGCCCATGCCCTTTTTGTTACTGTTTTCCGCAGAGGAGGCCATGGAGGGATGGAGTTGCAAGGGCAATGGGGAGGTGGAGAGAGGCAGGCAGAGCCGCCTTCCAGCCCCAGGAGGAGGTTGGAGCCAGCTCCTTCCGCTTTGGTGCTTATGTTCAAGTTTGTCTTCCAGACTCTGCCTCACCCTGCGTTCAGTCGGACTTACTAACCCAGGCCAGGCAGTTCATTTTCCCTGAGCTAATGGCAGTAGCTGTGTAAAGGGGCAAGAAGTTATTCACAGTATGAGTTGGGTTTCTTCTATTTGCACTCGAGGTGGGACACTGGGGGCATGAGCATCAGTCAGCATTTTTCCTCCTTTCCTTTTCCCCCCAGTGAGTTCTTTCTACCGTCTGTTGATCTTCAGTGTCGGCCTGAATTCTCGTTTTGGTGTTCCTTCTGCATGCATAACTAACGTGTCCTGCCTTCTCATGAGCTTAGCTCTCGGGGATCACCTCTGTTTTCAGACACGGTAACAGATACATTGTCTTCCCCCAGGACCTCTTCTTCCTGTTTCGCTTTCTAAATCCAGGGGGAAAGTGGGCTGATGCCTCCTAAGGCAGCGTGGAGTTGTGGTTCTCTCCCGCCAGGGCCACTGCAGACCTGAGAGGAAGGACCTGCTCCTTTGCAAACCATCACAGAATGCTCATTTGTGAACTTTTGTCCCCTGCTACTGGCCTGGCCTGAGGTACAGGATGGGCCGGAGGGAAAATGCATTCCCTTTGCTCCAAACCTCTTCAGGGTACAGAGACTCAGATGCCAGTGTTCACTACCCATGGGGCCATGTTGTAGCTGGGGGAAAGCTGCAAGCAAACTGGGCAGCAGAGGACACTTGGGGGCAGGAAACAATGAGAGACTGCGGTTTACGGCCCAGCTCTAGCCCCCCCAGCTGGGTCACCTAGGGCAGGCCCTTTTCTTCATCTGCTCACTGGGTGCTCCCTTCCCCAATCTCCCAAAGCTGCTGTGAGCATTTATGTCACAAGTCAGCAAGCTCAGGCTGTGAGCTAAGCTACTCCAAGCGATTGTTTTGCTAATTAGCACAGGTCCTAGTGCTCTGGGCTGCACTATTATTTGCATTAAAATGACTAATTAGAAGAAAATTTTGGGGACATTTTGAAAACATGGCTTCTCCTTTGGCATGTTTAATTGTGATATCTGACAGATATCCTTGCGGTTTAAGATGACACTTTTAAAATAAATTCTCTCCTAATGATGACTTGAGCCCTGCCACTCAATGGGAGAATCAGCAGAACCTGTAGGATCTTATTTGGAATTGACATTCTCTATTGTAATTTTATTCCTGTTTATTTTTAAATTTTCTTTTTGTTTCCCTGGAAAGGAAAGATGATGCTCAGTTTTAAACATTAAAAGTGCACGAGTTGTCTGTTACAATAAAATTAAATGTGTACACAAAGGAAAAAAAAGGAAAATTTTTAACAAAAGAGTCAACCAGCTGTTGTTTATGGTTTTAGAAAGTGAATTTTCTCAAAGGGAGGGATACGCCTGTCTAGTGTCAGGAAATAGTTTGCTTGGTTTCTCCCCAAGGATCCCTGGTGAAGATCTGTGCCTTGCAGACCCACCGTTACTGATGGTCTCCGGTGTGTTAGTGCCAAACAAGGTTGAGAACAGCAGGCTTGTAAATCCTGGACTCCTCAAAGGCAGGACACTGGCCAGGTGGCAGCAGGTCAGATGTTCTCGAAGTTCATATTCTCATGACCATGGACACGGGCAGCTCCCACGACTCGGGCTGCAAAAACGAGGCTGCCTCCTCCCTAACGGAAAGGATGTCAGAAACCCTTAGGCATACCCATCGCAGCCTGCCCTGAAATTCAGCTCTCACCAGTGTCAGCCACCTCACGTAGGATACTCTTTTTTTTTGAGATGGAGTCTCACACTGTCGCCCAGGCTGGAGTGCAGTGGCGCGATCTTGGCTCACTGCAACCTCTGCCTCCCGGGTTCAAGCGATTCTCCAGCCTCAGCCTCCCTAGTAGCTGGGATTAAAGATGTGAGCCACCATGCCCAGCAAATTTTTTGTATTTTTAGTAGAGACGAGGTTTCACCATGTTGGCCAGGCTAATCTTGAGCTCCTGATCTCAAGCAATTCACCTACCTCGGCCTCCCAAAGTGCTGGGATTACAGGCGCGGGAGCCACTGTGCCCGGCTGGGTACTCATTCTTGCTTACCTCTTTTTGATGATGTTGCATCCATCAGGCAAACCTTAAAATATTGAACATGGATCCACACCCCTTTCTGATACTTGAGTTATGGCTTTCATCATATATATTCCTTGAGTAATGAAGGACCAACACCCTGGGCCTCGGACTCAGAACCCACCTGTGTCTCTCAGACCAGCTCCCATCACCTTCCCTCTCTGATCTGTGGACTGGAGGTGACAGTTCCCACCTATATTTGAATTAGTCATTTTAATGCAAATACTAGTGCTCCACATTAGGCCTCTAGGCTCCAAATTAGGCCTCCTCTTCAAGATCCTAACGTCTCTGTGATTCTTTGCCTCGGGAAATGGGGGACTGGTGGCCCTTTGTATGCTAGACACTGGGCTATAAGCCTTATACCTGCAGTGAAATATATGTGTCGATACTAGTCTAGTCTATCATTGATTACTGTAAAAATACACAAATTATAAAAAGTTAAAATTTATCAAAAATTATACCCACAAACACAGATCATATATGGTGCCACTCACAGTGAAGAGAAATGTAAGCAAACGTAAAGATGCAGTGTTAGCCTGTATTCTCAGCACTTTGAGAGGCTGAGGCAGGAGGATCGCTTGAGGCTAGGAGTTCAAGATCAGCCTGGACAACTTAGTGAGACCATCTCTATGAAAAACTTTTTTAAAAATTAAAACATTTTGTAAACGATATATTAAGTCATAACTACATAGAATTAACTACAGCCCACTGTACTACTGTAACAATTTTGTAGCCACCTCCTGTTGCTGTTGCAGTGAGCTCAAGTGTTGCGGGCGTCTGCTTAAAAGGCCTTGTTGGGTGGGGCGCAGTGGCTCATGCTTGTAATCCCAGCACTTTGGGAGGCCAAAGCGGACAGATCACCTGAGGTCAGGAGTTCGAGACCAGCCTGAGCAATATGGAGAAACCCCGTCTCTACTAAAAATACAAAATTAGCCGGGCATGGTGGTGCACGCCTGTAATCCCAGCTACTCGGGAGGCTGAGGCAGGAGAATCGCTTGAACCTGGGAGGCGGAGGTTGCGGTGAGCCAAGATTGCGCCATTGCACTCCAGCCTGAGCAACAATAGCAAAACTCCGTCTCAAATACAAATAAAAAATAAAAATAAAAAAAGGCCTTGTGACACTGAGCATCTCCTCATGAGCAGTTCATCTCTGCAGTGAATTGCATAGTCCCGTAAAAAGTGATCTCTCTCAGTTCTTACGTAGTTTTCGTCATGTTTAGTGCAATATCGTAAACCTTGAATAACAGCACGGGACCCACACAAAGTACCATTAAGGATGCTGGAAGTGCTCCCAAGAAGCAGAAAAAAGTCATGACGTTATAAGAAAAAATGAACTTGCTTGATATGTACCATAGTTTGAGGTCTGCAGCTGTGGGTGCCTACCATTTCAGACACACAACTCCTCTTTATAAACAGACAACATAAACGTACGGTCTTGATAAATACAGTACGGCACTGTAAATGTATTTTCTCTTCCTTATGATTTTCTTAACATTAAGAAATTCTGGCCGGGCGCGGTGGCTTACGCCTGTAATCCCAGCACTTTGGGAGGCTGAGGTGGGCAGATCACGAGGTCAGGAGATCAAGACCATCCTGGCTAACACGGTGTGAAACCCCGTCTCTACTAAAAAATACAAAAAATTAGCCAGGCGTGGTGGCGGGCGCCTGTAGTCCCAGCCACTCGGGAGGCTGAGGCAGGAGAATGGTGTGAACCCAGGAGGTGGAGCTTGCAGTGAGCCGAAATGGCGCCACTGCACTCCAGCCTGGGCGACAGAGAGAGACTCCATCTCAAAAAAAAAAAAAAAAAAAAAAAAGAAAAGGAAAGAAATTCTATCTAGCTTGCTTTACTGTAAAAATATAAGAAGTGTTATCTAGCTTACTTTCTTGTAAGAATACTGTATATAATATATATAGCACACAAAATATGTGTCAATTGACTTTATGTTCTTGGTAACGTCAATATTAGACTATTAGTAACATTTCTGGGGGAGTTTAAAGTTATATGTGGGTTTTCAACTGTGCAAGGGATTGGCGCCCCTAATCCCTGCATTGTTCAAGGGTCCACTGTAAATAAAAAATAATTTTTAAAAATGCGTATCGATTTTAAAGCCTGGTTGCTCTGGTGGTGCTGACTCCAGCCAGCCACCTTCAGCCTCAGAGCTGTTAAAGGGAGGGTTTTGGAGCCTTCTCTGTGGGCTGCTAAGGTGTGCACGTGCACGCTGAGAGGCCGGGCCCAGAAGGCTTGATGCTGCTGTCTGGTTTTGGAAAGACCTCCCTCTGACTACCTGGCTTCTGAATCTGACAGTGGCCCAGGAGTCACAGTGGCTGATCTCTGCAGTTTCCTCCACCTCTGTTGTCCTAGGACTCCGTGTCCTGACATTGGTTGTTATAAAAATTCTTATAACTGGAAAGATACTTGGTAGGGAATCAGAATCCCAAATTCTCACTGCGTGCAGTGGCTCATGCCTGTAATCCCAGCACTTTGGGAGGCTGAAGCAGACAGGTCACTTGAGGTCAGGAGTTCAAGACCAGCCCGGCCAACACGGTAAAATCCTGTCTCTACTAAAAGTACAAAAATTAGCTGGGCATGGTGGCGCATGCCTGTAGTCCTGCTACTTGGGAGGCTGAGGCAGGAGACTCACTTGAACCCAGGAGGTGGGGGTTGCAGTGAGCCGAGATCGCACCACTGCACTCCAGCCTGGGCGACAGAGTGAGACTGTGTCTCAAAAAAAAAAAAAAAATCCGAAATTCTCAACCTGCAGCTTACAGTGATCACAGCTATCCCATCAGGACCCCGCAGGAGATCAAGCACAAAAGGTAAAATTAGGCAAAAAAAAGAACACCTTATTCCTTAGCAGGATCTTTGGGCTCCAGACCCCATTGCGGACTCTTGTTGAGCTGGAGTGCATCACAGGTGAGCACTTTCACCTGAACATGGGATAAGTCTCCGCTGCCTTCTTGTCCCCAGGTGTCTCCTGGAGTCAGTGTCACAATTCCAGCATCCTGGACCCACTTCAAACAGACAGGACACAAGAAAGAAATGCGCTGTACTAAGAGGCAATGAATCAAAAGAAAACGAGTTCCTCTCATTCAGTCGATTTTTATGTCTTCCCTCTTCTTAAAAGAAAGTTCGAATTTGACCCCCAAAGCCCTTGGCCTTGCTCCTGAACAGTGGTGGTAATTCAGTAGTTCTCCTTCGTGTTTGGATCGAGGGGAATCATCGCCCTCTTCACAGATGTCAGAAGCGCCCTGATGCTGTGCTTCCACTCCTTTGGTCCGTGGCCACTGGATCAGGTCCATTTCCTTCCATGACCCTCGCTGCGCCATCAGATACACGCAGACCAGCATCATCCTCCCACATCTGATCCCTAGGCGAGTGGGTGGTGAACTTGGCAAGCCCATGTACCACAGGAAAGGACGTGAAAACCCATCTTGTCTAGCCCCACGCTGCACACTCGACTCCAGCCACCCCATCAGTGTAGACCGCATCTGTCTGCACCATATGAGGGTGGTTCCTTTGAAAGCTGGAATGTTCTTCAAAGAGCAGTCATATAAAAATGCTTGCTTGGCCAGGTGCGGTGGCTCATGCCTGTAATCCCAGCACTTTGGGAGGCTGAGATGGGTGGATCACGAGGTCGGGAGATCGAGACCATCCTGGCTAACACGGTGAAAGCCCGTCTCTACTAAAAATACAAAAAATTAGACGGGCGTGGTAGCGGGCGCCTGTAGTCCCAGCTACTCGGGAGGCTGAGGCAAGAGAATGGCGTGAACCCGGGAGGCGGAGCTTGCAGTGAGCTGAGATCATGCCACTGCACTCCAGTCTGGGTGACAGAGCAAGACTCCGTTCTCAATAAAACATAAAAATATAAAAATAAAAATGCATGCTGGTGGTGGTGATCACGCCACCCCTCCTCCTTTGCTACTGACAAGACCCCAGTTTATTCAGATGGTGGCTCCCTTGATTTCAGGGAGCATGGGCAGGGTAGACTCTTTCCCAGCCCCAGAGAGGGATTGAGACTGGCCTCAATTGGTCCTGGAGTCTCAGTATTTGGGGCCTGAGGCTGCGATGGATCTAGGGATGGGCGTTTGCTCCTGTTCTGGCCGAAGAGGTATGAGGGATGCTGGGAAAGATGTTCCTTCCAGAGTAATGAGACAAAGACTTGTTAAAGAAAGGTTTCTACCTTTCTACTTTCTTCTTGCCTAGGATGTAATTGAGATGCCTGGAGGTAGCACAGTCACTTTGCAACTATGAGGACCTAATGGTGAGAATGAAGGAAAAAAAAATGAAAACTAAAGACACCTATGTCTGCAGTGACATCTTTGGGCTGCTGTATCAACCTTGGACTTTCTGTTGCATGAGCTAATAAATAAAGCCCTGTGTGTTTAGGCCAGGGGTTATGAAAGTTCCAGAAAGTAAATATTTTAGATTTCAGGCCATACAGTTTCTGTCCCAACTACTCAACTGTGCTCATGTACTATGAAACCCACCATAAACATTTCGTCAGCCAATGAGCATGGCTGTGTGCCAGTACAACTTCATTTACAGACACTCAAATTTGAATTTTATATAAATTTATTTTTATTTTTTTTTTTTTGAGACAGAGTCTCACTTTGTCACCCAGGCTGGAGTGCAGTGGCACACTCTTGGCTCCCTGCAGCCTCCGCCTCCTGTGTTCAAGTGATTCTCCTGCCTCAGCCTCTCGAGTCGCTGGGATTACAGGTGTGCACCATCACGCCCTGCTAACTCTCGTATTTTTAGTAGAGATGGGATTTCACCATGTTGGCCAGGCTGGTCTCGAACTCCTGACCTCAGGTGATCTGCCTGTCTTGGCCTCCCAGAGTGCTGGCATTACAGGCATGAGCCACTGTGCCTGGCCAAATTTTACATAATTTTCATGTATCATGAAATAGTCATTGTTTTTTCAATTACTTAAAAAATACAAAAATCATTCCTAGGTTGCAGGCCATAGAGAAGAAGGCAGCAGCCATTTGGCCCCCATGACTTAGTTTCCCTGGGTTTAAGCTGCTGTTACGATGATTTTCTTTGACTGGCAGCCTCATGCAGTCCTACTTAATGCAGTGACAGTGATGGTGATGTTCCTTATGGGGAAATATTCCTAACCCCTCTTGCTTTTCTTACATCTATTTCAGAGGGTCTCGCTGTTGGAGTTGGATTTGGGGCTATAGAAAAGACGGCATCTGCTACCTTTGAGAGTGCCAGGTAAGCCAGCATCCTGGGACCCTAGAGCATGGTTCTGCACCCAGGGGTGCTCTGGGTGTGCGTGTCACCTGGGTGGGCTGTCTGTGCATTATTGTTCAGCACCCCAGCCCCACAGGACCAAGACTGATGGAGGCCACATGGGGTCCGGTGAAGGCCATCCCTGAGAGAGGAGTCTCCTAAGAGAGGAGTCTTTCAACTGAGCTATTAAGTGGGTGATGATCATTTTGGAAACAAAGCATGGATAGAATCGCAAGCTGTACTCTAAGCACTTCAAAGGTGTGAAGACTAATGACAAAAAACAAAGGCAGCCGCTGACACTCTTCAGGCCTTTCCTTTTTGAAGCCCTCCCTTTGTCTTTCTTGATGCTAGGGTCCCTTCGTTTCCCTCTCTCTTTCCACCTGCTCCTGGAAAGGCCCTTTGGTGGTGGGCTTGTCATCCTATGGCCTGTTCTTAAGAGGTGATGTTCCCAGGGACCTGTATCCAGAGCATCCTTCCTTCTCACTGAACACACCATTTCTGGGCAATCTTCTCCGTCCTTGTGACTTTATTTTCCATGTGTTTGCTGATGATACCCAAGTCAAGCTCCAGCTGAGTCTTTTGTCCTGAATATGTTCCTATATTTCTCCATCTGCTGTCATGTAGAACCTGCCCCTCCTCCAGGGTTCCCTGTCACCGCTGTACCCAGTTGACCAAGCCAACCCTGCCGTCACTCTCAATGCCGCGTTTTCCCTCACCTTCCATACAGAAGCACTGGGCCTTGTAAATTCTTTGCTCTTCTACCTGCCTGGAAATAAACAGGGCATAGGTAAGGTCACAGCCTTGGGATCACATGCTGTTCTCTAGACATCGTGCAGCTGTGGTTTCCATGGTCCACCCAGGCCCATAAAGCCATAAATGCCACACTCTGCAGGATGGAGCCTTCTATCTGAGGGCAGCAAACTCAAGTGGCTTCAGGGGACTAAAAGATCATCAAAATGGGTGGAGACAGTCAGGTGAAGACAGCTGGGAACCATGAGGAATAAGGCGAACTTTAAACAGCACGCGCACTATCTAAAGGTACTTGAATTCACAGTTATTTTAAAACATAACTCAGTGCAGTGGCTCAAGGGCGACTGGTTTATCACTCTTGGAGCTCATTCACTGTCTTCAGACTGATGCAGTCCCAAAATATTCTCCCTGACTCCCCCAAGGAAATAGCACTCCCTCCTGCACCCATTGATCGTGACTGTCAGAAACGAATTTCTCACATAACCCCTTTTCCATCCTTCCCTGGTTACCAAGCCTGCGTGGGGCCTGTTTATGCGCCCTGAGGACTGTGTTCAGGCCGCTTCCTTGCATCTGTTTCCCCAGCTGAAATGGAGCCCCTGTGTGTTAAATGTAGTCATTGCTGGTCGCTGAATTCTAAGGCTGTACGTTAAGAAGCGTGCCTGCTCCATGAAGCCCCGAATATGTGCATGGGCTGGAATGTTCCAGGGCGAAACTTTTCTTATTCTCAACTTCATGTTCCTGCCTCTCAGACTCCCAAGTCATTCATTAAAATGATGCTTATGGTGAAAATCACATGAGATGGTAGACAAGGAGGGCAGAGCCTTTAGAATGTAAGAAATGTCACCCAAAACAAGGGCTAATGATGACTCGTCACACCCTGCAGACTGCTCTTCTAAGCGCGGGGCCTGGGGTGGGGGCATGTAGCTCTTCTGCCCCTGGCACAGCAGTTTTGATCCTGACTCCACTAGACCACAAGAGACTTCAGAGTCAAGCAGTATCCACGGGGCTGAAGAGCCCAGAGGGTGTGACCTTATAAACATTCAAAGGCCAAGTCCTCCCAGAGCGCAGGAAACCGCACACGCTGCAGAGGTCTGTGCCCAGCAAGTGACAGCTGTGCCCCAGGCATGGAACTCACAGGCCAGGCTCTCTGGTGGCACCACGTCCCCCGCGACATCATCATGTCAACTCCGATGTTCTTCTGTTCTGTCACCTGCACTTTCTGCCAGTCTTTATAAGTATTTTGGAAGAAAGTGGAGCAAAAATATTTCCAACTCAGCTCCTCCCTTCCCCGGACCAAACAGATTCTCTCTCAGTTACAAAAGCCCTCGACAGGATCCTCTAACTGGGGTGGAGTCGGGGCAGCAGGCCTTGGTGTTTTCAGCCTCACGAGACCCTCTGCTATACAAGCATCACTGGAGGGTCCATATGCCCCCACACCTGACCCATTATTGTCACAGCCTGAGGGGCAGGAATGATGGAGCTGTGCTGCCATTGCCACTATGTCCACAGAGTACTGGGGCCAGGGGACCCCTGCAATGCAGGCTGCAGAGAAGGAACGAGGGAAGAACATTCCCTCAAGCAGACCCTTCAGCCCATTCTCCCCACTTTGAAAAACGTGTAGAGTTTGTGATTCCCTCCTCTCTAAATGTCTGGCATCTTCTTCTTGGGTGGCAAGATGTAGAACAGCCCCTGGGCCAAGACTTGTTAGCTTTCTCTGCCTTTAGTTCACACTACACATAGGATTTCATGGGAGGATAGGGACAAAAGGATAGTGGAGAGTGAGGATTTCCCACTTGAGTAGCCATGAGGGAAAGGTATGTGCTGAACTGTAGCCTGGACAGGCAGAGCCTACCACCCTGCAAGGCTGTAGAATGCTCAACTCATAGCAGGTCGGGGCCAGTGTTGTGCCTGTTGACACAAGGAGGTCAAGGGCTGCAGCTTCCAGTTATCTCATAATGCTGGGGCTTTCGAACCAGCATCTGTGCTTGTGTGTAGAGTCCAGAGAAGCCAGCCCTGCAGAAACAGCCTGCTATGGGGTTCATACACCAAGGCAGTATCTTGCCTTAGATGACCACCTGCAATCCAGGATGAGACTTTGGCTTGATCAATTGCACTAAATCCACCCACACTCATTCTCAGTTCCCTCTTTCAAGAGGGAAAAGAAAAGGCACTGACACTGTAAGATGATGAAAGTAGAAAGTGAACAGGCAACCCTGTTGGATGAGCCATTGGTGAAATCATGTGGTCCTCAGCATTGAATAAGGCCGCATGAGGCCAGGACCACTGTGACACAGAGTGCCAGGCAGGGGGACTGTGCACCAGCCCCTGCCTGCCCGGAGTCTCCCAGACTCAGCCAGTCCAGCCTCCACGGAGGCTGCAGATGCTTAGCTTATCTTCTGAGCAGTCCTGGTCTCCACTCATTCATTCATTCATTCATTCATGCACCCGTTCTTTAGTGAGTAGTGGTATATGTCTCATATTTTGCTAGTCATTGCAGAAAACACAATTTGTATGAAAAAACTCTTCCTAGAAGCTGAACATTTGTCACTAGTACTTCCAGTAACATGGTGAGATCAGCTGACATGGATGTCCCACCACAAACAAACAAACTAGTAAACATGGTTTTTACTACACAGCCAAGGACTAAGGAGAAAGAAATGCCAGATGCTAGAAATAAAGGGAAAAATCAAAGACACCGTGGTAGGTGGTTTCAGATCCTCACAGAGCTTCAAAGGATTGAGGGTTGGACCTCTTGCCTATGGAGCGGATGGAGCCGTGCCCTTGCCCTTGGATGTCAGGGAACTGAAACAGCCCAGCCTAAAGACCAGGGCTTGTAGGCATTGCCTTCTGTAAAAGGGACTATAAAACTCCACCCACTGGTCCAGGAACTTGCGTGTGCAACTTGTCCTCTCTCCAGGATCTTGGACAGAGAGATGGGGTATAGGGCATAGTAAATGATGTGCAGGATAGGAAAACCCTAGACCTGCATCACACAAAGGGTGTATGGTACAAACTTTTATACTCTATCTTGTACCAGAAACCTCAAATAAAGAGCATAAATACTGGCCTAGGATAATAGAAATCTTTCAGGCTCTAGCAGGAACAAACATAAAGTCCTTACCTACACAAAGCCCTAACTCTTCCACTAACCAGCCACACCAGATGCCTGGGGGCAAGGAGGAGGACTCTTAAGTACGGTTGCACTTACACTCAAATAGAAAATAAAATACAGACAAACCACAGAGGGAAACATGCCGCTGCGCAGGAAAGATAGCACTCACAAAACTAGAAATAACAAAACTGCAGGAGAAATGCATCAGACAGACCCGAACCGAGGGACAAAATACCTGACCAGCCCTCCTCAAAACTGCCAAGATGGTCCCAAAACAAGGGAAGTCTAAGAAACAGTCCAGAGAAGACGAAGGAGACTAAATGCGAGGCGCTGTTCTGGATGGGATCTTTGTACAGGAAAGAGACGTTAGGGAAGAACTAGTGAAATCTGAATACACTGAATATAGTGTAGTTACTAGTGAAATCTGAATATAGTGTAGTTAAAAGTAATGCACATGGCCAGGTGCCGTGGCTCACGCCTATAATCCCGTACTTTGAGAGGCCGAGGCGGGCGGATCCCTCGAGGTCGGGAATTCAAGACCGGCTTGGCCTACAAAACCCTCCCATCCCTACTAAAAATACAAAAATTAGCCGGGTGTGGTGGTAGGTGCCTTTGATCCCAGCTACTTGGGAGGCTGAGGTTACAGTGAGCTGAGGTCTCACCACTGCCCTCCAGCCTGGGCAACAGAGCGAGACTCTGTCTCAAAAAAAAAAAAAAAAAAAAAAAAAAGAAAAGAAAAGAAAAAAATAAAGAAAAGAAAAGGGCCTGTAATCTCACCACTTTGGGAGGCCAAGGTGGGTGGATCACCCGAGATCAGGAGTTCGAGACCAGCCTGACCAACATGGTGAAACCCCACCTCTACTGAAAATACAAAAAACTAGCCAGGCGTGATGGTGGGCACCTGTAATCCCAGCTACTCAGGAGCTGAGGCAGGAGAATCTCTTGAACCTGGGAGGTGGAGGTTGCAGTGTGCCAAGATCGCGCCATTGCATTCCAGCCTGGGCAACAGAGCAAGTCTCCATTTCAAACAAACAAACAAACAAACAAACAAACAAAAAAAGGAATGCACCAATATGGGTTCCTTAGTTGTAACAAATGTTCCATCCAAAGTGAGATGCTAGCGATAGGGGAAACTGAGGGCAGGGTACACAGGAACTCTCTCTACTATCTTTGAGCTTTTCTGTAGACCTAAAGCTAATCTAAAATGAAAGGTTTATTTAAAAAAAAAAACTGCATAAGGTTGCACAAATGAAAGCACTTTTTAATACTTAATAATGGATAGATTTATAATAATATAATAGTTTTACAAAAGACACCAAGGAGGAAAGCCGCCCCCATGATCAAATCACCTCCCACCACGTCCTACCCCCAACATTGGGGATTACAATTCCACATGAGATGTGGGCGGAGACACAGATCCAAACCATATCCACCAGGGACTGGGACAGAATCTGGAGATACCGGAGGCAGAGACGGATTCTCTACACAGAAACGACAGTTCAACTCACAGAAGATTTCTGAGCTCTAATTGAAGACAGGGGAATGCTGTCTTCAAAGTGCCAAGAAAAAGTAACTGCCATTCTAGAGTAGAAGCTGCCAAACTTTCTCTTAGAATTCCAGATGGCCTGTGGGCCATATAATCTCTGTCACAACTGCTTGACTGACTGTCGTGCAAGTGCCAAGGTAGCCCTAAATAATACGTAAAGAAATGGGCATGGCTGGCCGGGCACAGTGGCTCACACCTGCAATTCCAGCACTGGGAGGCCGAGGCGGGCGGATCACCTGAGGTCAGGAGTTCGAGACCAGCCCAACCAACATGGTGAAAACCCGTCTCTACTAAAAATACAAAAAATTCGCCGGACGTGGTGGCGCACACCTATAGTTCCTATTGCTCGGCTGAGTATAAAGATGGGAGACCCCATCTCTATAAAAGAGAAAAAAAATCATCTAGGCATCATGGTGTGCATCTGTGGTCCCATCTACTCAGGGGGCTGAGGCAAGAGGATCACTTGAGCCTGAGAGGTCAAGGCTACAGTGAGCTGTGATTGCACCACTGTGCTGCAGCCTGGGTGACAGAGCAAGACCTTGTCTCAAAAAATAATAATATGCTAGTGAATCTAAAAGGACAACTACTAATGAGAGAGAGAGGTATAGGATGGAGGAGGGAAGTGAGAATGCATGAACGAATAAACACTGGGAAGAGAGATGGAAAATCAAAGTGAAATAATTCAGCCGTCAGATGGTGGAATTCATCTCTTCAAAGAGGTTTTGCTTTTTAAATGTTCAGTTCTAAGTGATTAATAAGTGGCACACCTAAAATATGACATGGTAAAGTTGAAAGGAAGAAAGATACAAGGCAAACGCTAATCAAAAGAAAGCGGGTATTACATTTTTGTCTCAGACAAACCAGACTTGAAGGCAGAAAGCCAGATAAGGGATAAAGGTCAGTACTTAAGGAAAGGGGAAGTAATGTACCAGAATGACATCCTGATGCTGCGTTTGTAGGCGCCTAGCAACATAAGCCTCGAACTGTTTAAAGGAAAAATCATCAGAATTGCAAGGAGAAACACAGTCATGGTGGGGGAGTTTAATGTCCCTGTCTGATACTTGTAGATGACGCAGATATTAAGTTAACAAAATGCATGCAGTGGACATATATAAACTGTAGCCCAGTCATTAGAAAGCTTACGTTCATTTCAAGCCACGTGAGGGTTCCTAAAATGGATTAGAGTGCTCTGCCACAGAGAGAGTCAGAATACATACCCTAAGATCAATGCCATTCAGACCGCATTGTCTTGATTTCGATGTGATATAGTTGAAAGTCAATAGCAGAAAAGATACCCATAGTAATTTATTAATCGACAGTTAAGCCCATAGGCGGCATAAGATTAACACAGTCCAAGCTCCAAAGGGCTTGATCCAAGCCAGACCAAGAAACCAGTAGAAGACAGGCAAGCTTTTTGCTCCTCTCAAGGGCTCTTCATAGAATGGTCTACATTTCATCAGGAGCATAGGGGTGGTCTGCTTTGGTAAGGGGATGATAAGGGCAGGTAGTACTCTGAGCAAATGCCAAGGTAGGTGCCAAGGTTTTTTCAGGGCTGGTGGACAAACCGATATGACTGAGATAGAATTTTCTGGTGCTTTAGAGAAGGTATGTCTAAAGGATTGGATTGGCTGGTTGCAGTGGCTCATGCCTGTAATCCCAGCATGTTGGGAGGCTGACATAGGTGGGTTGCTTGAGCCCAGGAGTTCAAGACCAGCCTGGGCAACATGATGAAACCCTGTCTCTACAAAAAAAAAAAAAAAAAAAAATATATATATATATATATATATATATATATATATATATATATATATATATATAAATAGCCAGGTGGGGTGGCATGCACCTGTAGTCCCAGGTACTCTGAATCCTGAGGTGGGAGGACCACCTGAGCCTAGGGAGGTTGAGGCTGCAGTAAGCCGTGATCGTGCCACTGCACTCCATCCTGGGCAATAGAGAGACTGTGCCTCAAAAAAAATAAAACTAAATAAATAAAGGATTGGATTGAGGCAGGAAAGAAACAGGTGCATTACTCAGCAAAAAGTTGGCAACTATGGTGGGTTCCGATGCAGGCAAGAGACATCACCCAAGAGGTAACTCAAACATGCATCTGGCTAAGATAAAATAATCTGGGAGAGCAGGTGGGGAGATAAACCAGTGTGAAGAATGCACCAACTGAAAAAGAATATTTACAGCCCACCCCACTGCTGTGTGTTTTAGCAGCAATGAAGAAGATACTGGATGTTGTGATGACCATGAGAATGAGGACTGATCCCAGGAAGAGCTGTTGCGTACAGAACCCACAGACAGCGTTTGCCAGCTGATTTTGTTGTCGCGTGGAAGGGAGAAGGGAGAATTTGAGTCCAAGTGACAAGGAGACGTAGGTTAATCTCGTGCCGTGGAGTGAACTGAGAGGGAAGAAGGACTCCATTTACACAGATTGGGGAAAGCGTTACCCAGTACAGGCCCAGGGTACACGTGCACCAAGCTAACTGAGCCAGATAGTTTATGACTCCTTTAGTGGAGGGGTTGGCAAACTATGGTCTGCGGGCCAAATTTGGCCCAACACCTATTTCTGGAAATGAGGCTTTATTGGAGCATACGCGCACCCATTTGTTTACATATTGTCTTTGGCTCCATATGTGCTACAGTGGCTGATCTGCATAATGGCCAGAGAAATCTTAAGGCTGAAAAGCTGGAAATACTTACTATCTGCAAAGCTGAAAATATTTACTATCTGACCTCCCTGTTCCTTTGTTCCTTTCCTTTCCCTTTCCCTTTCTTTTTGACAGGGTCTCACTCTGTCACTCAGGCTGTAGTGCAGTGGTGCAATCATGGCTCACTGCACCCTCGACCCCCTGGGCTCAAGCGATCCTCCCACCTCAGCATCCCTCCCAAGCAGCTGGGGCTACAGGCACATACCACCACACCCAGCTAATTGTTGTATTTTTTGTAGAGATTGAGTTTGCCCAGGCTGGCCTCCAACTCCTAAGCTCAAGTGATCTGCCTGCCTCAGCCTCCCAAAGTGCTGGGATTACAGGCGTGAGCCACCACACCTGGCTATCTGACCCTTTTCAGAAAGCGTTAGACCCCTCCTTTAGTGGACACAATCCCTGTTTTTAGCCCATATTCATCATTAAATACTCTGAGGCCAACTGTCTTTTTTATGACCTCTTGCTTGTGCCCTGTCTGTTGAAGCAGGAGGCTTCATATAAACGTCGCCTGTGGCATTATAGCCACCCACAAGAAAAGGAACTATTCCAAGAAGGCACTGTCTTCAGTTCCCACTTCAGGGGTTTCTGACCTGGGAAGAAGACAGGCAGGCACCTCGCCTATCATGTGTGTGTGGCTGCTGCCATCTGGTGTACAGATGCCGTTACTTCCTCACCTTCCTGGAGCCCTCCCCAGCTCCTTCCCATCTGTCCACCTCCCTACCTGGCCAGGTCAGCTTGCACCAAGGTGTTCATTCAGAGGTCATTGTCTCCTGAATTAGGAAGACTCTCAGCCAGCAGAGGGAGGCCTGTAGTTCAAGGGAAACACAGCTTGCTTCTTTCTTTTTTTTTTTTTTTTTTTTTGAGACGGAGTCTCACTCTTTCACCCAGGCTGGAGTGCAGTGGCACGATCTCAGCTCACTGCAACCTCCACCTCCTGAGCTCACACCATTCTCCTGCCTCTGCCTCCCGAGTAGCTGGGAGTACAGGCACCCGCCACCACGCCTGGCTGATTTTTTGTGTTTTTAGTAGAGATGGGTTTCACCGTGTTAGCCAGGATGGTCTCCATCTCCTGACCTCGTGATCCACCCGCCTCGGCCTCCCAAAGTGCTGGGATTACAGGCGTGAGCCACTGTGCCTGGCCCCAGCTTGCTTCTTTCTGTTCTGGTCCCATAGCAGTTTCTTTCTGTTTCAATCACAGAGGAATTCTTCAGACCGTATGTGCTTGGGGAATTGCATGCTTAAGCGGTTTTCCTTTCTGCTGTATCGTCACTTCAAAGAACATGTTCTCTGGAGAGGAGACATGCCCTCAGCTCCCACTTCACTCAGTGGCAGGCATCATTCAAACCAGCAGGGAGAGTAAGACTGTTTATGCTTAAACACTCAGCTTCACATACCACTTCCTGTTTTAAGCTTTGACTAAGCACGCGTCAAGAGACGTTTGTAGTCTGTGGACCTGCCTTGACCTACAGGTGCAGCGGCCATCCCAGAGCAGGCTGTGCACAGCAGAGGAGGCTGGCTGCGAACTTTAGTGTGCCATGGATAGTCCACAAAACACATCCCCAAGATATGACCGGACCAGCTACTGCTAATCAACACCCAGACACTTGGTAAAGGAGGCATGGTTGATTAGTCTACATTTGGATGTAGTATAGCCCATTAAATTACACATGGAGGCATCAAAACCAATTTTAAGATATATGTTTGCCTCTCTGATCAAAGAGGAAAGATCGTAAGTCAGATAAATCCTTTCCCCTGGCTTATACATATATATGTTGATATATTAACAATTATTTAAGACAGCAGCCATTAGTTAACAAAGCAACCCTTTATTTAGAAAGAAAAGTGGCATATTTTGACATATTTTCCTGGTCATTCATCAACATTAGCTAGTAGATGAGCATGTCTGTATGTGTAAGATACGTTACATGTGTGTCTACCTGTCCAAGCAGCCCCTCTACTTTTGCTCCAGTAGATTGTGTGTGTGTGTGTTTGTGTGTGTGTGTAGACAGGATCTTGTTCTGTTGCTCAGGCCGCAGTGCAGTGGCACAATCATAGCTTGCTGCAGCCTTGACCTCCTGGGCTCAAATAATCCTCCCTCCTCAGCCTCCCAAGTAGCTGGGACTCCAGGTGTGCATCCTGTAGATTATTGAAAGCATGCTTGCAGGTTACCTGTAGAGAAGTTACAAAGGAGACTTCATTGTTGTGGCGGGGAGGAGTCTCGGAGAACTCACATGGAAACATTTTAATTATAGTTCACTCTAACATCTTTGAACAAGCAAGCTGTCTTCACTGGCTCCCTCCAAGCCTCCATGCAGCTGCTCTTGCAATGCCTAGACCTGCCCCAGGCAGCACTCAGTCTCCCAGACTCGTGGAGCATCCTAGGGAGACCCTTACTTCCTCAAAGTTGCTGATCTTAACCTCCTCCCTGCCTAGCAACTTGGGTCTCAGCATTCCCAGCCTGGTCTCCCTGGAGAGTGGCTTTTAGCCTGAGAATTGGAGACCCAGCCTGAGGACACTAAGGTACTTGTGGAGAAAATACTTTGACATCTTGATCCCACTGTCCCCACCCTTTCACAGCAGAAAAATGCCCCTCCCACCCTTGAGTCACTTCGGCACAATCCTGTTCTATTCTTTATCTGCAATCGCACATTGTGCTCTCAATTTTATTTTATGCAGGCAAGCTCTTCTCTTGAACCTATCACACTACCCTGTCTGGAATTCTAGAGTGATCTATTGGCAGCTCCTTCTCTTCAGTTTTCCTGGCTCATCCTGCCACACTACACAGCCTCACCTTACAAAGAGACAGTGGAATTTGAAAGTGCCGGCTGGCAGCGGTGGACAGACGGCGCCACCACGCGGTAGCTTGGTAGCATAGGTTGCTAGACACAGTACCAGAAGGAAAAAGTTTGACCAGGAAAGGTGACTGTGTGTCGCTATCCAAATCTATGTTCGGCTTGTACAGAAGGTGTATCTGCAGAAGGCTAAGGACCATATATGTAAGTTACATGTAACTTTGGACATGTCCAACTTTGCTTTGGATATTTTTCAAAATAGTAACATCCTTATATTCTGGCTGTTATACCCTGATTTTTCACCCCCCATTTAATTAAGCATTTATAAAGCTCGTTATTGTCTTATTTTCCCATGTTGGGAATAAAAGTATAGCTTTTATGTGACCCTACGTAGAGGGGTAGAAATGTGAAATGGGCCAATTAAAGTGTCAGAAGCTACTCCAAGCTTTTGATGGTCTACCCTAGCAGGGGAGCATAGAGGTGCGAAAAGTCCTCACTTCCAGACACCCAAAAATCAGTTCAGTTTTTCTTTTTGCCATTTGGAGGGGAGAGGGTGACATTTACTTTTCTAGTGACTTAAAAACATAATGTTATTTATTGCATGCGTTCTGGGAAGTGAAGAAAGTGGGCCAGGCCAAGGAAGTCCACCGGATGCATGGGCAAAGCCAGACCAGGATCAAACAGGTTCTCACCATCCTATGTAATTTGCCATCAAGTCATTCATCAGTCTGTCCATCCATCCATCCCTTCAATCCACAGAGATTCACTGAGCACAGGATTCATCTTTTTGGAGAGAGAGAACTTAGAATAGTTATTTCATCAACTGCAACTGGGAAAACAGGCTTGAATTTGTAGGACTGGTGGGCTGGACATGACTTTGAAAGATCATCTTGCCTCTTAAGTATTTTTTTTTTTTTTAGCAGTTGAGCTTTTGGAACAAGTTCCTAAGCGAACACTCTGGATGGAATAGATACCACCCTTTCCATGAAAGTTCCCCTCTGCACTTGGCAGAAAATCCCTGATCTAGCCCAAGTCTCTAATGTTATAAGTGAAGAAACTGAAGTCTCAGAGTGGAAAAGGAAGTCATCAGGGATGACTCAAGTCAGAGCTCCTGGTTCCTGAACCCTGGGGCTCTTTCCTCCCCTCTAAGAGCTGATCTGTCTGTAGCTGGTCATGTTTCCATTTCAGAGGGTGGAGGGAACATCCAGGATGTCTCAAAAGGTCTGCTTTCCTCATTGTCTCAGCTTCCCCTCTGAAGCTCACTCCCCCCCACCGCTTTCTTGATGTTTTTTCTCTTGTCCCATTTGAACTGCAAGAAGTGCCCCTCCCATTCTTGGACCACCTGGAAGCTTTTGAGCAAGCTTTTGGAAAATTATCTGTTTTGTGCATTGCAATAGAAAACTCAAATGAAAGGAGCCAGATGGGATTGAGGGCTGGGAAGCGAACAGGGAGAAATGAATCATCTTGGGCCTCATCTCCAGAGTCCTTGTCCAAACCTGGGCAATTCTTATCCCCCTCTGTCCCTCTCTTTCCTCTCCCCTTCTCCCTTCCCATGGCTTTTTATGATAATGCTTTTCAAGCTCCCAATAAGAGCAACGTTTTACAGAAAAAAAAAAATAAAAGGGACAGTGTTTTGCCAGTAAGATGTGTGTTCCCGTGTTAGCACCACTGATCGCCCAATAGTTGCACGTCTAAGATTTTTCTTTGACTGAGAAATCCTACCAGGGAAGAAGAACTACTCCTTGGAGACTTTGTCCTCCACATCCCCAGTTCTGTGCTGACAAATACAATCCCGTCGTTACCTGGAAACCTGGTGATTTTCCAGAACACGTGGAGGAGAATGAAGAACTTAATAGCCATTTGCCTGCAAAATATGCCATCATGGAGCCTGGTGCTTGTGAATCTCTGGGTTGAATTGGATAAACAGATGGACAGATGGGTGAATGATCTGATTACCTGCTAACCTGAGATTGCCCACAAGGTTCCATCTTGGTCTGGCTTCGTCTGTGTCTGGCAGACTTTTACGACCCACTTTCTTCACTCCCCAGGACTGATGGAACAAATAACATTATTCAACGGAAGTCATTCGAAAAGTAAATGTATCACCTCAAAAATGGCAAAAAGAAAAATCTAGTTGATTTTGGGGTGTTCTGAAGTTAGCACTCTTCACGCCTGTACTTTCTTCTCCTAGCACAGACAATCCACATGTAGGGTGATGGTTGTGTGTGTTTGGGGTTGGCCTCACTGGTATTACAAATCCAGTTACTGTCATCCATCTCTTCCTGCTACTACTTACTCTGAAAGATGGTTTTCCTTTGAAGGATGGAGAAATTCTCTAATCCAGACCTCCTGACAGCTAGGCTGCAAACACACACACACACACACACACACACACACACTCTTACACTCCTACAAAGACAAAGAAAATCCTGGGAGGGATTTTAAGACACGTGCTCATTTCAGCACTCTGTCCTCCTGGTGACATCTCTCTATGAAGCATCTGGGACTTCACCTGACAAGCACCTGACAACCTGACTGAGCACTCGGCCCTTACTGTATGTGCCTCAGTTTCTACGTGCATCATGTGAGAAAGGCAGATTGTATCCATGGCTATGAGACTGTTGGGCTTTGTTGGACAATGAAGACGTCCCCCAAATATGTAAAGACTGACAAACGACGGCCACCCTTTATATTTTTCAAAGTGAAGGCATTGAAGGAAAGATGCAATCGTAGACCGCCATGGTCAGTGAATTATTTTATGAGAGATCACCCTTCTAGAAAGTGCAGCCAGGTGCAGTGGCTCATGCCTGTAATCCCAGCACTTTGGGAGGTCGAGGCTGGTGGATCACTTGAGGTCAGGAGATACAGACCGGCTTGGCAAACACAGTAAAACCCTGTCTCTACTAAAAAATACAAAAATTAGCCAGGCTTGGTGGCAGGCACCTGTAATCCCAGCTACTCGGGAGGCTGAGGCAGGAGAATCGCTTGAACCCGGGAGGCGGAGGTTGCAGTGAGCTGAGATCGTGCCATTGTACTCCAGCCTGGGCAACAGAGCGAGACTCTGTCTCAAAAAAGAAAAAAAAAAGTGTTATTTACCACCAGAAATTAGTTCATGAAATCAGGAGCTCAGGATAAAACAAAGTCCTTTCTGTCTTCCAAACAGAAAGACCAAAGACCTTCCAAAGACCTTACTTTTTCCCTCCCCCACCCCACCCCAGTTCAAATTCTGTAAAACAATATGAAAACCTTGCATAATAATACCTGGTTTGTCATTATGCTCTTGATACAAACTAATCCGTTTGAACTCCATTGGGCAATGCGACAAGATGATCTGGACTCTGCAATTTATTCTGCTACTGTTTTCATCTGTTGAAAATCTAGTTTCTTGAAATTGGACGGTGTATTTTTAAAATGTGTTCCCTTGACTTTTGCTTCCCTGTTGTCTTTCCCTGTGTGCAGAAGCCATCAATGAGAGGAGGGCAGGGAGGGAAGGGGAGTCTTTTTGAGAGAAGGAAGTCACAGCCCTAGGAGGGATCTCGATTCTTGAATTCCTAAGTATTATCCCAAAAGAGAATCATTAGCATGGAAAAGAAATTGATACTGGAAGATACTGAATTCCTTTGGATTGACCTTTTTTTTTTCTTTGGCTACTTCATGGAAATGGGGGCCCTGGGACAGAATAATATCCGAGAGAAAAATAATTTTTTAATTCACAGCTGAGTTACAGGGTATACTTTTTTTTTTTTTTTTTTGAGATGGAGGCTTGCCTGTTGCCCAGGCTGGAATGTAGTGGCGCCATCTCTGCTCACTGCAGCCTCTGCCTCCCAGGTTCAAGCGATTCTCCTCCCTCAGCCTCCTGAGTAGCTGGGATTATGGGCATGCACCACCACATCCAGCTAATTTTTGTATTTTTAGTAGAGATGGGGTTTTGCCATGTTAGCCAGGCTGCTCTCAAACTCCTGAACTCAAGTGATCTGCCTGCCTCGTCCTCCCAAAGTGCTGCGATTACAGGCATGAGCTACCACCCCCAGCCAATTTTAACTTTTAAAGTTCTGTTTCTCAAACACAGAGCATCATCATGACAAGGGCCTTTCTCAGGGCCACATCCTGCATCTTGGTCCATGGACCACAGTAATGATGAGTGTTATGTAGGGGAGCTCTGCTGAGTGCTTGTTGTGTGCCCAGTCCTGTGCTGTCTTTTACCTTCATTCTCTTGAATCATCACACATGGACCCAAGATGAGCCCTGTTTTACAGATGTAGAAAATTGAGGCACTGAGATGCCTCTCGTCCACAGCCCCGTAGCTAGTAAGGGCAGCAGTCAAGACCGGACATGGTGGTTCTTGCCTGTAATCCCAACACTTTGGGAGGGTGAGGTGGGCAGATCACCTGAGGTCAGGAGATCGAGACCAGACTGGCCAACATGGTGAAACCCCGTCTCTAGTAAAAATACAAAAATTAGCCGGACATGGTGGCATGCATCTGTAATCCCACCTACTCAGGAGGCTGAGGCGGGAGAATCGCTTGAACCCAGCAGGCAGAGGTTGCAGTGAGCCGAGATCGCGCTGCTGCGCTTCAGCCTGGGCAACAGAGCAAGACCTTGTCTCAAAACTTAAAAAAAAAAAAAAAAAAAAGGCGAGGGACAGCAGTCAAGTCTGTGCCTAGTCTAGTCTCTGGCCCCAGAACCTACCTCTTTTGGGGTGTTCTAGGCTATGAGGCGACCTGGCCAGGCAGGAGGAGAAGCTAAGTGGGAGAGCCTGGGGGAGTGGGTGGGTCTTGTTTCCTATCAAGTTTAACTTACTGCAGACCCCCTCATACCTCATTGTATGTGTTCGGGGGATGAATAGGCACTATTGATGCTATATAAGACCATGGATTCTGGGGCTTGACTCCCTGGGTTCAAATCCTGGCTCTTTCATCAACTGGGTCTATGACCTTGATGCGTTGCTTTTCTTATGTGCCTCTGTTTCCTAATCTGCAAGATGAGAATAATAGTATCTACCTCAGTGGATTGTTCTGACCAATGAACTGAATTTCTCTAGGAAAAGCTCCCTGAGTGGAGCCTGGTGGATGGTAGGTAGCACTGTCCATGGTGAAGCTACTGCTCTTGCTTCCTGGCACACCCATGACACATCCTACAGCTAGATGGCCAGCCCATTTCTATTTCCACTCAGGTCCAGGACAAGCACTCCCCACTCCCTGCCTCCCCAGGAGAAGAACTGTCTCAGAAGTAGCTTCCACTGTCTGCAGGGAATTGACATCCAAGCCTCGGGGCCCAGGTCCAGGAGCAGGGTCTCTGAGTGTGCCTGGCTACTCGGAGCCCAGGTCCAGGAGCAGGGTCTGTGAGTGTGCCTGGCTGCTCTGCCCTCCCACTGCTTCTACTCCTGTTTCTAGAGCTCCGTGCTTTATAAGGGGCCTTCACATCCTTTGCCCTCTTTCCCCCGAGGCCCTCCCAGGCTGACTTCGTCATCTTATCACAGCATGGACTGTGCATGCTCATGAGCCCTGGCCCTGGTACTGCCCAGCCCTTGTCCCCAGCCTTCGTTGTGTGGTGTTTTTCTCTCTCCTGTGTCCTCCCTGGGAGCAGAGCCTGGGTCACCTCTTTTATGCTCTGCACGGGACCCAGAACCAGGCAATGCGTGGTCAGCTCTGTGCTAGGGGTGTCGACGGCAAGGGTCGGCCCCTCCAGACCACACAAGCACACGAGCTGCTTCCCTTTTGCGCCCCAGTTTCCTGGACTCATTTGGGGGCCCCTTCCATCTAACCACACAAGTCACCTTCTCAGAGCAAAAAGGAAGATGACAGTGCTGCCCCTCCCCCATCCGCCGGGCAGCAGCGTCTCCTCCATGAGCAGCACAAGGGGCTTTTATGCTGCGGCCCTTTCCTCCTCTGCCACTGCCCCCAGCCACCCCCACCCAAGTCCCTGGCGACAGGGATTGGACATCTTGGCACAGGAAGCTATCTCTGCACAACGTATACTCTGTTAGCCTGGAGCAGACCTTGGGGGAGGGAGGGCCCCGTCAAGCTCTCTGAAAATGGCAGTGTGGTTTCCTTGCGGCTTTCCCGGGCACTGGAGATGACGCACACTTCTTTTCTCTTCTCCGTTCCCACTGCTGCCCTGTCCGTCCTCCCCAACAGCTTGTTACAAGCGACTTGGGGAAGAAAGCAATTCTGTCTTCCAGGGCAGCCTGCTGAGGAAGGTCAGGCCACTACAGAGGGAGCTGTGGGTGCGGTTTAGTTCTGGGGGGCAGGGTCTTCATTTTAAAACATTCTGCTTGGTACGCCAAGAAAGGCAGCTCAGGAGCACTGGTGCTTGTGTCGCACTCGTGGGGACATGTGGCACTTGGTGCTGCTTACATGCATTGCTCAGTCCTCGCTGCCATCCCAGTATGGACATGTGGCCACGGGGCCTCGGGAGGCAGGGGAAATGCTCAGAGGTCATTCTTCTGGTAAGAGGCAGATTCAGGATTGCTTTTTTTGAGATAGAGTCTTTGTTGTCCAGGCTGGAGTGCAGTGGCATGATCTTGGCCCACTGCAACCTCCACCTCCCAGGTTCAAGTGATTCTCATGCCTCGGCCTCCCAAATAGCTGGGACTACAGGCATGTGCCATCACACCTGGCTAATTTTTTTTTTTTTGTATTTTTAGTAGATTCGGGGTTTTGCCATGTTGCCAAGGCTGGTCTTCAACTCTTAAGCTCAGGTGATCTGCCTGCCTCAGCCTCCCAAAGTGCTAGGATTGCAGGCGTGAGCCACTGAACCTGGTAGATTCAGGATTTGACTTACTTCTGTCTAGCCAGGCATGGTGGCTCATGCCTGTAATCTCAGCTACTTGGGAGGCTGAGGCAGGAGGATCACTTGAGGCCAGGAGTTCAAGACTTACTTCCATCTGATTCAGAAGCCCACGAATAAACTTCCTCTGCCAGCCTCTAGCAATCATGGAACAATCAAGAAAGCTGGAAATTATCATTCCCATTTTACAGAAGCAGGCTGTGTCCAAGAGCACACAGCAAGTGAGGGGCAGCTGCCATTGTACTTTCTGTCCCTATGAATTTGACTCCTCTAGGATTTGAACCCAGGTGACCAGCTCCAGAGCCTGTGCTCTTAATTATCACTCTGCTGTTAAGTGACGTGCCTGGCTGTGACCCCAAGGTCTTCAAAACTCTCCCCCAAAGTCGTGTGGGAAATGGGGTCAACTCAGTTGTGAAAATGTCTAATCTCCCATTATGAATCCTTTGAACATTGACTATAGTAATTCCAATTTGTCAGACACTTTTTTTCCCCTGAGATGGAGTCTTGCTCTGTTGCCCAGGCTGGGGTGCAGTGGCCTGATCTCAGCTCACTGCAACCTCCACCTCCCAGGTTCAAGCGATTCTCCTGCCTCAGCCTCACGAGTAGCTGGGATTACAGGCGCCTGCCACTATGCCCAGGTAATTTTTTTTTCTCTTTTTAGTAGAGGCGGGGTTTCACCAGGTCTCAAACTCCTGACCTCAAAAGATCCGTCCGCCTCAGCCTCCCCAAATGCTGAGATTACAGGCATGAGCTGCTGCCCTCAGCCCAGATGCTTCTTTAAAATCAAACCTCATTTGGCTCATTACGAAATGCAAGCCTAGGTAAAAAATCCACAGTGAGGGACAGATAGAGATTTTGTATTCGGTGTTAACTGGAAGCAAATATTTCTGTTAAAGATGGTTTTGAGTGTTGCTCCAGATGAGTGTTACTTTGGTAAGAACCATAACCCTTGCCAGTGCCGCCCAGCAGTGAGATACCGGGGGCAGGAAGGGGGAAAGAAGGGAAAACTCCAGACAGGTGGTACTGAGGTGATCTGGTGGCCTTGCGGTCATGACTCACTTCTCCAGCCTCACCTCCTAGACAGCCGATGTGCAGGGTCACTCCGAGGGAGAGCTACAGAGCAAGAGTGACCTGTCCTGTAAGTTCCAGAATAAGGAGCGATGCTGAAGTCATGCACCCCAGAAAGGTATGGAAGTCTTAATCCCCAGGACCTGTGACTGTAACCTTATTTGGCGGTAGGATCTTTGCAGATGTAATTAGTTAAGATCAGCTCGTACTGGATTAGGGTGGGCCTAAGTCCAACATGACTGGGTACCCTTATAAAACAAGGAGGGATGACACATGCGGAGAGGACAGTGCCCCGTGGCCACACAGGGACACGTGGAGGGAAGACGGCCTTGTGGTAGTGGAGGCAGAGACTAGAGTCATGTGTCTAGAAGCTGGGGAATGCCACCAAGTGCCAGGGCCACCAGAAGCTGGAAGAGCCGAGGGAGGATCCTCCCCTAGAGCCTTCAGGGGGAGCATAGCCCTGCGGACAACTTGATCTTGGACTTCTGGCCTCCAGGGCTGTGAGAACAAATCCCTGTGGTACTTCATCACAGCAGCTGTTAAGAAACCAGGGCATCGGGTCTCCCTACCTCCATCGGCGTCTTCTCTGTCCCTGAGGTCCTCTCTTAGCTTTCTCCACTTCCTCTCACAGTTGGACGCAAAGCCCCAAGGCCACTTTTTTTTCCTCTTTTTAAATTTTTTAAAATTTTTATTTTTATATATATGTATATACATATATATACACATATAAGTATATACATATATACATATATACATACACATATAAGTATATACATATATACATATACTTATATGTGTATATATGTATATATGTGTATATATATTTTATATGTGTATATGTGTGTGTGTGTGTGTGTGTGTGTGTGTGTGTATATATATATATTTTTTTTTTTTTGAGACAGGGTCTCCCTCTGTTTCCCAGGGTGGAGTGCAGTGGCATCGTCTTGGCTCACTGTAACCTCCACCCCCTGAGTTCAAGCAATTCTCATGCCTCAGCCTCCTGAGTAGCTGGGATTACAGGCACCTGCCACCACGCCCAGCTAATTTTTGTATTTTTTGTAGAGATGGGGTTTTACCATGTTGGCCAGGTTGGTCTCAAACTCCTGTCCTCAAGTGATCCGCCCACCTCGATTTCCCAAAGTACTGGGATTACAGGCGTGAGCCACCACACCGGGCTCTGAGGCCACTTTTTCATCCATATTCTTCTCTGTGCCTCTGCATGTGTGTTCCCCATCCCTTTGGTAACTTCTATTTTTTATTTCAGGAGTGGGTTAAAGTTTCCGATTTTTTTTTTCCTTATACTCTCTCAGTTCAGTCTGGACCAACTTGGAGAAGAGCGGCGGCTTTCCCTCCCTTTTTCTGTGGCCGCCTTCAGACGCTGGCCCATGGGAGAGTCAGGGCTGTCCCCCGTATTGGAGCTATTAAACTGTCGTAAGAAAGGGGCCTTTGTCACGGGAAACACGTTACTCAGCTCAGTCATAGAGACAGACTGTGCCAGAAAACAAACAACAAAAAAAAAAAGGTTCAACCACAGCATTCTTTGGGACTTCAGTCATCCGCCTCCCGCTTGTTCTTAAAAGACGAATTTCCTTTCTTCCGTGTAATTCCATCAGATAGGTCGTCAGGTTTTCATTCTGTCCAGAATGGAGTGCTGGGGGCCCTACCCTGCCATCTGCCAGGGGCCTCTGCCCAACACCCCGCTTGTATGACCTCATGCCTGCAGGTTGGGAATGCAGGGGGGCTCCCTTGGGCCTTTTTGGGGTGGGTCAGGGAGGGTGCGAGGAGAACGAGGGCGGGAGTTAGGTATTTTTTCACACTTACCATGACCTGTCTGTGCACTTAAAAATTGATCAAGATGGTACATTTTGGCCGGGCACGGTGGCTCACGTCTGTAATCCCAACACTTTGGGAGGCTGAAGCGGGCGGATCACTTGAAGTCAAGAGTTCGAGTCCAGCCTGGCCAACATGGTGAAACCACGTCTCTACTCAAAATACAAAAATTACAGGTGGCACATGCCTGTAATCCCAGCTACTCAGGAGGCTGAGGCACGAGAATCGCTTGAACCCGGGTGGCGGAGGCTGCAGGGAGCCAAGATCACAGCACTGTACTCCAGCCTGGGTGACAGAGCGAGACTCCACCAAAAATCAAAAATAAAAAAAGATGGTACATGGTATGTTATGTATACATTAATCATTAGGCACTAACTCCCCATTCCTTATCTCCCCCCAGCCCCTGGCAACTGCCATTTTCTTTCTGTCTCTATGAATGTGACTCCTCTAGGGACCTCATAGAAGTGGCATCACACAGTATTTGTCCCTTTGTGTCCGTCCTATTTCACTTAGCATAATGTCCTCAGGGGTCATCATGTTGTAACGTGTCATAATTTTCTTCCTTTGAAGGCTGAACAATATTAGGTTGCACGGATGCATCATTTTGTTTGTTCATTCGTCTGTCCATGAACACTTGGGCTGTTTCACCATTTAGCTCTTGTGAATAGTGCTGCTTGTGAACATGAATGTAAGAATATCTCTTCAAGACCCCACTTGAGGTTCTTTGGGGTATATGGCCAGAAGAGGCATTGCTAAATCATTCGGTAATTTGATTTTTAATTTTTTGAAGAACTTAGTCATGGTGCATCTTATCTGCCTTGTAACATCGTGCCCTTGGGCAGAGGGGTACTTCCTGGAGGAGAGAGCCTCTCGCGGGCTCCCGGGGCCCCTTTCGTGGCTGGGTGCATGAGATGTATGCAGCCAACCCTTACCTCCTCCTGAGTGCAGACCCTGGGATGCTGCACTGGTCGCACACCCGTGGAGTTGGCCCTGAGTGAGAATAGACATCACGAGAGGAAAAATTGTGAGCGTGAAGGGGCTACATGGATGCAAGATGCGAGGTGAAGTGGTTTTGAATATGTACGTGTAAAGATCCTTGATTCCATGCTTTTCCACCAACTGCTGTTTAAACAAATGAACCTCTCACTATTAGCTTCACAAGTACGGCCACGTTCCTTCTTCAGCCAGGCAGGTGAAACACTCCATGAACCCAGATCTGAAACAGGGCAGTCCACAGGAGGTGAACAGCTGCAGACCATGTCATCCGCCTTCCTGACAGGTTTGGGGACAGCCCCATAATCACAAAAAGGTGGTGTTCTCTGGTCTTTACCAAGGAGGCTCAACACAGACACGGTGTGCAAACTCAAGCTCTTTCTCCTTGTTAAGGATCAGGTTCCTCATCTGTAAATGGGATTTCCTGAAGGGGTAAATGAAAGTGGAAGGAAAGCCCTTGGGTGGTACTGGTTGCGTAGCAGGCACTCAGCAGGAGGTGGATGTTGACACTGTCAGCAGCAGGGTTATGAACTTGGCTGCTGCGCTTCTTACCTGCTTCCTTCCTTTTTTGGCGACCCATTATTGAACAGTATTAGCCTGGTGCAAAAGTAATTGCAGTTTTTGCCATTTCATTGGCAAAAACCGCAATTATTATTATTTTTATTAATTTTTTTTTTGAGAGAGAGAGAAAGAGCCTTACTCTGTTACCCAGGCTGGAGTGCAGTGGCGTGATCTCAGCTCACTGCAACCTCCGCCTCCCAGGTTCAAGCGATCCTCCCGCCTCAGCCTCCCAAGTAGCTGGGAGTACAGGTGCGCACCACTACACCCAGCTAAGTTTTGTATTTTTAGTAGAGACGAGGTTTCACCATGTTGGCCAGGCTGGTCTCGAACTCCTGACTTCAGGTCATCCACCCGCCTCGGCCTCCCAAAGTGCTGGGATTACAGGCTTTAGCCACCGCGCCCGGCCTGAGCCACTGCACCCAGCCAAAACCCACAATTTTGCGGCAAACCTAATATCTATGCACGGCCTTTGTGGTGGACTGTAGATCTAAATTTGAGGTCCCTGACGTTATTATTTACCAGCTGGGTGAGCTTTGAAATGTCATTTCACTTCTCTGGGCCTCAGTTTGCTTTTTTAAAATCTGTATAATGGGCCTATGAATGGCTCCAGGGTCAAAGTGTTGGGGGATTCAGCGAGAGTGCACTTGAAAAGCATCTAGCACAGCCCTGGAATGAGAGAAGTTATAGCTGTTATTATCACCCTCAGATGAGGGATGGCAGGGAGGTGATGGAAGAACATTGCAGGGGAAGGATTTGGTTTTACCATTTTGTAAGTATAATAAAATCAGCTAGACTTGGGGTCCAATTAGATATAGGGGTTGAGAATGGCTAGAAACCCCTCCCAGTTTTTTTTATGTGTACAGCTAGTTGGCTATTAATACCTTTCGGAGAGATTGGGATCCAGAGGAGGAGGAGGAAGAAGAAGAGTTTGATGACTGAGTTAAGGGCAATGTATGAGAACCCTTCGGGTTTCACTCTGTTGACCTGGCAGTCACTAATCTGTATTAAGGGTAATGTGGTTTGTCTAGGACAGTGGTGTGGGGCTGCTGCCTCCCCCTGGAAACTCTCCCATCTACACCCTGGCTGGGAGTGCAGGAGGAGCTCCTGCTTTGTAAGATGCGGGCCCACTATCAAGGTGACCAAGGGCCTTTGTGGATGGAGAAACAGGGAGATGCTGCTGCTCACCTGTGCTTGGCTCCCACCTCGTTACCCAGTTTCTGACCCAGGCTTTAGGACTGTGGCTCCTAATCTTTCAGCCGAGATTCTTACCCTGTTACAAACCTGGTCTGTGGATCCAGAAGTCTCCACCACGAACTCCACGGGCTAAGTCTTATCACCCCGGGCTTCAATGCCATGTCTTGCCTGCTCGAACCTGCTTCTTCCTGTTTACCTTCCCCTGTACCTGGACTCTTAGGACTGTCTTGTCTGCTTGAATCTTGAGCTGCTAATCCATCCTTCCTTATTGGCACTGACTTTTCCATTGCCCCCTCATCTGCAGGGTCTTGAACTTGGTTTCCTGCCCTGGACTTAACCTGCCTTCCTGACACCGACTGACTTCACCTCTCCCCATGCCCTCATGTCATGTCTTATCTGTTCCTATTGTGGATCCGGGATTCCTTGGCCTGTCCCTTGGCCTGCTGCTGATCATATCTCCACTCTGACCCACAATATAGATTTTCAAGGTAAAAATTTTTTTAAAAAATGTTTCACTCTGTTGTCTAGTAAAATACATGAATGTGTATCCTTTGACTAAGGGTCTTTGTGGGTGAGGAAACAAGGAAGCACCGCAGCTTTCTAGGGGAGGGTTACCTTCAAGCTTCGTGGAAAGTTCCTCATGTCGCCTGGCAAAGCACTGGACACCTTTCAAAGCACACTGAAAATTCTAACATCAAAACTCACAAACACTGCTTTCTGGTAAGGCCATCCAAAATTTTAGGTGGATCCAAGACATCCTGCAAGTGTTCTCTCCATATTGCCTTTCAGATCACCTTCTATTAAAAAACAAAAACTCTATTAACTGAAACTCAGTAGAAGCTTTCAAAAAAAATAAAGGGAGGGTTGACCTTTGTTGTTATTTTTCTTTGGTCTTTCAAGATGGAGTGAGAACTGGCCTCTAGTGTTTGGTAAATACCTTACGCTGCCCAGCAAGGTTGACTGTGTTATCCCCCGGCAGGCTAGCTCAAATAGGCAGGCAGGCCCTGCCACAGGCAGATGAAAACAGGGAGAAGAAGTCCACATATGTCACATGTCTTTGGAGCCTGTCCCCTGTCTGTCTTCCTTCTTGAAGACCCAGTCCTTTCTCTATAGGTCTCTGGCTCAGCCCATCTGCTCCCTCTCAGCTTAATGACAACAACTTTGAGTCTTCTGAAACAAATGTGCTTGCATGGGGAGGCAACAGTCTTTGTCCCACCTCTGCCAGCAGACCTTGTAGGACAAGGCATCAGTCTAATCCCTCACTAAGCCCTGTGCTTTGCAGCCTTCATTTTAACTGCTTCTGTTCAAGGTACAGAAGCATTTTCTCAAATTAAGGGCCTTTCCATCAATCTAGAAAGCAGGAGACAGAGAAAGGTTCTTTTCTTGCACAAGTCTGTTCCTTTCCATTTCTGGCTGTTCATGTCTTTCGTTAGAATTTTCTAAAAGTGAGCACATGCCACACTTCTGAATTTTTCCTACAGAAAAATTCCCCCCAGAGCTATGACCATCAAGGGGCAGCCAGGGGAGATGTCACTCACGGTGTTGCTCAACCTGATGGGAATCTCCAGCTTTGCAGCCTAAATGTTCCTGTGTCCCCACCGCCTGCACTCAAGGGCTTCCAGGAAGCTGTTGCCCCATGGTTAGGTCTTGTTACTTGCAGTACTTCACTTACAGTGCCAGTTCTGTAGTATTTAGAATATGGGTTTGCTCTTTGTAACAGAATCCAAATTTATAATGGTATAAATAAGAAGTTGATTTCTCTCTCACCTAGAGTTAAGTAGCATGACACCACGGTCATCTGTGACTTAGATTGTGTCTAGATTTCTACTTTACCATCTCTAGCCCCTTGGTCCACAGTGGTACTCGGCCATCATTTCCACATCCCAAATAGTGGGATGGAGGCAGAGGGAGTAAAGAAGAAATACACTTCCCCCCTTTAAGGACCTGTCCGGAAGTTGCACCCGTCTTTTCCCCTTCACATTTTTTTGGCCAGAAGCTTAGTTACATGTTCTCACCTAGCTGCAAGGGAGGCTGTCTTTATTCCATGCAACCATGTGTCCAGCCAAGGATCAGGGATTCTTTTCCTATTGAGGAATGGATAAGGGAATAATGAGCAGAGCCTGCCTTAGGCAACCAGGCTGAGTCCTGAGGATTGCATAAGAATTAGGCAGGCAGGTGGGGAAGGAGGAAAGGGAGAGGCTGCAAAGGTAGGCAGGACCCACATCATCAGAGGCCTTGCATGCTGTATGAAGGTTGTGCAATTCTGTCGCAAGAGCAAAGCAGAGACACTAAAGGGCTTTAAAAGGGGGAGGGAGGATGTGATTGGAATTGTATTCTAGAAGCTTCACTTTGGGCCATTTGGTTTAAAATAGCATCTTGCCAGAAGCCCTGTGTGAAGACATTAAAATGATGAAAACTTGCTCAACAATGCTAAAAATAAAGACAGCAACATCTGGGCAGAATTTCCCCTAATTTTAAAGCCAGTAGTGGAGGTGGAGGAAGAAAAATCAAATTCTCATTCAACTAAAATAATCTAGGAAGACACTACGTGGCTTCTTGGAAATAAAATCAACAATTTATAAGATTTATAAGGTGGAGATTGTCTTAGTTCATTCATGCTGCTACAACAAAATAGACAGGGTAATTTATGAATAGTTGAAATTTATTTCTCACAGTTCTAGAGGCTGTAAAGTCCAAGATCAAGGCACCAGAAGATTCTGTGTCTGGTGAAGGGCTTGCTCTCTGCTCCACAAATGGCACCTTGTTGTGTCCTCATATGGCAAGAGGGCAAAAAAGACTTGGGTGTTCCCTTCAACCTCTTTTATAAGAGCACTAATCTCATGCTTGAGGGTGGAGCCCTCATGACTTAATCACTTCCCCAAAAGCCCCACCTCTTAATACTACTGCACTGGGTCTTTGGTTTCAACATATGAATTTTGGAGGGACATACACATTCAAGCCAAAGCAGAGATGAAAGAATAACAGGATGTGATTCAAAGAAAACAAATCAAGGTGAAAACAAAGGTGGGTGGATTTAAAAAATGAGAACCACAGGGGAACTGAAATCATGGTGCCAGAGTAGAAAGTCACTGGCAGGAGATAAGAACAGCACTGGCATTGTAGAAAAGCATGCTGGCTGTATGAAAGAAAAATGATATATTCTCCCTGTAAGCAAAGGACGAAGAGGGAAATTAAGAGAGACAGGGGAAGCAATAGGTGTGGTTGGCAGAACAGATGACCCAGAGACTTCTGCATGTTCCTCAAAGAGCAACCAGATCAATTTGAACAGGAGCAACAATCAAAATTATAATTGAAAATAAAACCTCTGGAACCTGAGGGGAAAATAATCTGAGGATGCAGCTCAAAAGAAATCAACCACATTTTAGTTGAATTTAATGAAAAGAAAATTGCAATGTGACATATCCTGGGAAAACTTTTGAGTTGCAGATACATAAAATATCACAAAACCATCCAGATAGGAAAAGCAGGTTACTTATAAAAGAGTTAAGTTCAGGTTGATCAGCAATTAGAAGTGAAAAGGGACATTCACTGAAAGGATACAGGAAATAGGGGCAAGAAAATCTTCAGCTTCATGAACTGAAATTGAACCTGGAAAGTTCTCTCTCTCTCCCTGTCTCTCTCATACACTTACGTGCACACACACAAACTTCCTTCATCATTTCTTTGCCCAACAGCCATTGTCCATTGAATACCTTTTTCTTTATCAAGTTTTAATTAAGTGAGAAGGAAGATATTTGGCTCAGCTCATCTCTGTTCAAGGAGAAACCCTCAAGCAATAGGTGAAAGAGCAGCCTATACATCAGATCTCTTGAGGCAGGTGTCCACACCTGGGCCAATTGGTGAGCACACCTATCAAGAAAGAGCTCAAGCCAGGCATGGGGACATGCACTTGTATTCCCAGCACTTTGGGAGGCTGAGGTGGGAGGATCACTGGAGCCTGAGCAACATAATGAGACCCTGTCTCCACAATAAAAAAGCACTCAGCTATTTCCTCATCAGGCAAGTGAGTTTAAAAAGAAAAAGGCTTGGCCGGGCGCGGTGGCTCACGCCTGTAATCCCAGCACTTTGGGAGGCCGAGGTAGATGGATCACGAGGTCAGAAGATTGAGACGATCCTGGCTAAGATGGTGAAACCCTGTCTCTACTAAAAAATACAACAAAAATTAGCTGGGTGTGGTGGCAGGCGCCTGTAGTCCCAGCTGCTCAGGAGGCTGAGGCAGGAGAATGGCATGAACCTGGGAGGCAGAGCTTGTAGTGAGCCGAGATCGCGTCACTGCACTCCAGCCTGGGCAACAGCGCGAGACTCCGTCTCAAAAAAAAAAAAAGAAAAGAAAAAAGGCTTTGCCTAGGTTTCTCAGAAAACAGAGCCAAAGGCAAAGTTCATGCGTTATGAGTTGTGAGCAGTGTGCTGCCGCAGAAGCAAAAGTGAAAAGGAAGTGAACAACACAGGAAGGCAAGAAAGCAAATCCAAGGCTTATCATTGAGCTAGCTACAGCTTCTCAAAACAAGTCAATCTTGATGCTCAGTCATGGGTTGGGAAGAATATCTTCAAGGAGACTGAATGGAACTGCTGAGTGAACTCTCCTTGGAAAGGGCAGAGAGATTGTAGAAGAATGGAGAAGCAATGCTGTGGCCATGGGTCTTCCTGAACTTGGGGGTCCCTGAGACCATCCCCGATATTAGGAGATGAGGTAACAGGCTGTAGGCAAGAATGACATGATGTACCAGTCAAGGTTCTCTGGAGAGACAGAACCAATAGGATGTGTATATATAGAAAGAGATTTGTTACGAAGAATTTGCTCATGTGATTATGGGAGCCAGCAAGTCCAAATTCACACAGTGGGCTGGCAGATTCAAGACCCAGGAGAGTTGATGGTGTGGTTCTAGTTCAAAGGCAGTCTGCTGGAGAGTATTTTTCCTTTTCCTACTTGGTGGTGGATCAGTCTTTTTGTTCTATTCAAGCCTTCAACTTACTTGGATGAGGCCCACTTAGATTCAGGAGGGCAGTCTGGCCTACTGTACCAATTAAAATGCTTATCTCATCCAAAAGCCCTCACAAAAACACCCAGAATGTGTGACCAAATATCTGGGCACCTCCTGGCCCAGTCAAGTTGACACATAAAATTAACCATCACACATGAGAATTGCTGGGGCTGCTCAAGCAGGATACAGGGCAAGTGGCCAATGTCCAGAGTCCAGGAGAACCTCGGAACTGGAGTGGAGCAGTCTGGTTCTGTACAATGGACTTGGCAAGCAGATTGACTACCATGTCTGGTACAAAATTATTATAGTGTAGTTATTGTTCTGCAGAAATTAGAATTGATTATGTGTTTATCTTTAAATTCTATTGACTTGCCTCTTACTGATAAAACCCTTATCGTTTAAACTGGTTGTCCTTTGAGGATATTTTTGCCATGCTTGAGAAGAATGGATAAAAAGAGGCTTCAAGGCTGAACTTTGGCTTTTGCTTGGCAATTATTATTCCATGCCGTACGCTTTGCCTTCCTAACCGTTTTCTCTTTGGTGGAAACAAGATGAACCCTGACTTAATATAACAGAACAAGGATGTGTACCCATGTGGATGTAGGGGTGCCAGAGGGAATGATCGGGACTTTGTGCAACTCGTAAATGTGGAGATGATGATGTGTTCATAGTTGCTTGATGACACAGGAGTTCTTCAATATTTCTCCTCCTTAAGTGATCTTTATTTGCTTTCCTGTCTGCCCTGCAGTACCACCAGTGTCTCCCTGCCTATACATGTATACATATTCTCACTTGGGACAGGTCCACATTGTGTCAGTTGTAATCAATATAGCAAAACTTATTTTCTTTGTTGTTTTTGAGACATCTGTCATTCGGGGTCTCTTTCTGTCTTGCTCTGTCATCCAGGGTAGAGTACAGTGGCATGCTCATAGCTCACTGCAACTGCCAACTCCTGGGCTCATATGATCCTCTCACTTCAGCCTCCAAAGTAGCTGGGATTACAGGTGTGGACCCCTACACCCAGCTACTTAAAGAAACATTTTTTGTAGCAATGGGGGTCTTCCTATGTTGCCCAGGCTGGTCTCTAACTCCAGGGCTCAAGCAGTCCTCCTGCTTCAGCCTCCCAAAATGCTGGGATTACACACATGAGCCATGATGCCCGGCCTAGCAAAATTGCTAATGAGATAGTTTACATTCTCTTTTTCATACTAACTCTCAAAAATCCACTGTATATTTACATTTACAGCACATCTCAATTTGGATTCACCATATTTCAGGTGCTCAACGGCCACACATAACCCATGGCTACCATATTGGATAGAGCCCGGCCCTAGAGCAGTGGTTCTAAACCTTGACTACACGTTGGAATCAAGTGGAGAACTTTCAAATACTGATGCCTGGGCCCTGTTACTCAGTGATTCTGTTTGAATTGTGTTGGGCTGGGGCCCAGGCTCTTCAGGTAGCTGTTGGGCAGACAGGATGAGAACCACTCTTCCATAGGGAGCACTCCCTGGGAAGGCAGATCCTCTTCCCTACTCTGGCCAGACCTCTCCCCCTTCTTCCCCATGAGACTTACATTGTAAACAGAAATTAAGCAAGCTCTAACTTGGGTCATGAGGGGAAGAAAAACAGAAGCAGGGTGGTATTAAATTCTTTCTGACAGGCAAGAGTGAACAAGCTGAATTCACTTGTCTCCTTGGGTCTGTTTACCAACAGGCTCAGTAATTATTTGTTTTGCCACTGCCCTTTAAGCTTGCAATGTGTTTCCCATTCTTTCTTTGCCAGAGTGTTCTTTGAGAATTGAGAATTCTTTAGGAACACTACAGAGTTGGCAAGACACGCCCCTGTGCTCCACTGGGAGTTTCCAAAGGGAAGGAAGGCATTCCATCAGGAATCCTGATTCCTGGAGAGAACTAAAGAAGTATATGAGACAGAAAATCAAGGATACTGTGACTTGTGTACAACCCATTTTTCTTTGCTTTAGACAAGCAAACTCCCCTTCTTCTCAAATAGAAACCAGTCCAGACAAACCGCAGAGACTCAAGTTTCTAAATGCATCTAGAAGAGATTGTTTCAGGGAAGTGCACAAATGAGACATGAATAATTCAATCAGAAGGAAAACAAACACGATGACACCCCACATCTGAAACCCAAGGTGTCGGCAGGCAGCTGTTTGCCGGTTCCAGCAGGTCCCAAACACCTGAGGCTCCATCTGGCCAGTTGGTCCCTCACACTTAAACTTCCCAAGATGGCAGAGAGCTGGCAGCCACGTGTCCTGGGGACCAGAAAATAGCTGAAAGTTTTCTGGGGGCCTTGGAATAAAAAATGTACAGAGAATAGAACCATTGGGAGGAAGAAATGTGCTTCCTTGATCTTTACTCTCTGGATCCAGGATTAATAAAGTAAGTAACTGGTCCAGGCAAAAGATTTTTGCTGTAGTGAATGTCGCACATTCACTACAAAGAGATGGAATTGTACCCGTTGTCGACGGTAGGCTCACAGTCTGATCCCTGGAGCTCAGAATGGAGCCCCAGCTGAACCACATGGACTGAGAGGTGAAGAGGGTTCCCCCAGGGAACTGCTGGGTCACATTAATGTAAGAGCAGGGACCTTCATACTCTTGGTCCTTCATGGTTGATTCCAAAATCCAACCTCCGCCATCGAGTTAGGTAGCCCTCTGTCTGCTAGGGTGCCACACCTTTGATGTTGACCTTCAGATGGAAGAGATGGGCCAACCCATTCACCCTTAATCCAGCCTGTCACCCAGATCCCATCGTTACAAGTGGCCAGCTGGTGTCAAGGGTACATTGTGGCTGTGGATGAGAGAATTGATGCAGCTGGGTAAATAACTTACACAGGAACCAATTCTATGAAATTACTGATAATAGTTGCAATCAGCTGTACTTATTAATATGGAACATATAAATTCAACCACATTCCTCATGTTCTACAAAAGTTTACATTCTCCTTTAAGATAAAGGTTGGGGGAGAGGGAGCAGGACCTTGATAACCGCCTTTTCCCCACTGTCTTCACTATAAAAGTATCATTATAGTGTACTTTTGCGTCTCCTTTAATGACATGTTTCTAGTTTTCATTTATATCATTTGCAAGACACAGAAACACAATTCATATTGTCCTAAACTAAAAAGAGAATTTACTGGTTCATGGACCTGAAGAGTCTGGGATGCTGGTTTCAGGCACAGTTTGGTCCAGAGGCTCAAATTATATCATCAGGTCTCTGCTTATTTTTTCTCTCCCTCAGCTCTGCTCTCTTCAGCATAGGCATGATTGCCCATTTCTAATGGTGTTAAGATGGCTTCCTGCTAATGACTCCAGCCCTATATCCTCCCAGGTTCAAGTCCAAACAAAATAGACCGTCTCCTCTCAATAGCTCCCTTGGAATCCTAATAGACCAACTTGGGCCACTTACTCCCTCTTGGACCAATCACTGTGGCTAGAGAGATGGAGTTGCACCCATTGTTCAGGGTAGGGTCACAGTTTATCCCTAGAGCTTGGACTGGAGCTCCAGCTAAACCACATGGACTGAGAGGGGAAGAGGACCCCCCAGGGAACTGCCAGGTCATGCTAAGGTATGAGAGGGGACCTTCATACCCCTGGTCCTTCATGGTTGATTCCATTGGTTTGTGGATAAAATGCACACAGATGGCGCTTTGGCTTTTTTGAGGGACAGCATCACTTTATGCATAGAGTCTACCATAAAATTCAGGGCCTTGCAGGACCCACTGAAAAGCGTATCAAATAAAAGGGATTTGTCAACATACATCCTCATCTTTACTGTTATTCCTTAGGACCAGTGAATCTAGCCGCATCTTTGACTTCTTTAATCTAAATGATGGGAAAACTGGGGAGCTGTTCTCCAGAAAGGGAGCCTAGCACCACATTAGAGCAAGGACCCTGAAGTCAGACTTCCTAGGTCCAAATCGAGGTGCTGCGATTTACTAGCTACATAGTCTTGAACAAGTGAATCGAGATCTCTGTACCTTGGTTTCCTCATCTGTCAGTGAGGGATGATAATAGTTTATCTCCCATAAGAAGATTACATGAACTAGCAAGTTGATATGTCTAAAATGCTCCATACAGTGTTTGGGCAAATAGCAGGTATGCTCTGGTAAAAATAATAGTTGTTGTTGTTTTGGAAAGAGTCTCACTCCGTCGTCCAGGCTAGAGTACAGTGGCATGATCGCAGCTCACTGCAACCTCCACCTCCCAGGTTCGAGTGGTTCTCATGGCTCAGCCTCCCAAGTAGCTGAGACTACAGGCGCATGCCACCATGCCCGGCTAATTTTTGTATTTTTAGTAGAGATGGGGTTTCACCATGTTGGCCAGGCTGGTCTTGAACTCCTGGCTTCAAAGGATTCACCCACCTCGGCCTCCCGAAGTGCTGGGATTACAGGCATGAGCCACCACCCCCGGCCAACAGTTTGTCTTATTTTGAGGTGGGTTCCTCTGTTTAGGGATCATCAAACAGAGAAATTAATTTCTAAGCCTCTCCCAAAGAGACACTGAGATAGAAGATAGCTAAACATCTCCTATGTTCATTCAGGTTCTTGGTTTCTGAAAACTCTGAGTTGATCTTGGTTGGCCATGGATGTTAACAGTTTTCCAAAATGGATTTAAGGACTGAATCTGTCTGGACTTCAGTTTGGCCATGGAGAAACAGATCATCAGAAAAGTGGGGGCAGGAAACCTTACTCTGTGTGTTTCACGGGCATATTGTCAAGACAAAGAATGTGGGTGACATGCTTGGAACCCTGTGGGGTATCGCCCCCCAACCCCCCATGTTACCTTTACCCCAGCAAGAAAATGCCCATTCAAAGGTGTTCTTTTGCTTACTGTGTCTCCTTATTATAATAGTTCTCCTATTTCTCCCCACACGGAACTGCTATAATTAAAAGGCCATCAGCTTTGCATATCATTACTTGGCTATAAAAATTTCTGCAAGTTGGAACTTGAGTGTAGAGGGATTTGGCTTTGATGCACAGGGTTTATGTTGCTGTCTTTCTCGCTCCTAAAGCACATACACACCAGCACATCAGTCCCACATGCAGGACTTTTCATTGCCTTGTGGTTTGGAAGGGATCCACTCCTGATGGAAACCCCCTAATATCTCAGGAAAAGCCTATAAAATAAACCCAAGTGGGAGGAAGAGGCAGACAGATGAAGACCTGCCAACCGACAGCTCTGGTGTCTGGTGATGGGGCGGTAAGGGAGCTTAGGAGATCAGGCAGCCCATTTATGTCTTCTTTCTTTCTGACTCCCAACCCCACAAAGACAGAGGGAATCAATTTTTTTTTTCCTTTCTTCCATTTTTTTTTTTTTTTGGTGAGATGGAGTCTCACTCTGTCACCCAGGCTGGAGTGCAGTGGCGTGATCTTGGCTCACTGCAACCTCCACCTCCAGGGTTCAAGCGATTCTCCTGCCTCAGCCTCCTGAGTAGCTGGAATTACAGGCATGCACCACCACACCTGGCTAATTTTTGTATTTTTAGTAGAGACGGAGTTTCACCGTGTTGGCCAAGCTGGTCTGGAACTCCTGACCTCAAGTGATCCACCCGCCTCAGCCTCCCAAAGTGTTGGGATTACATTTGTGAGCCACCATGCCTGGCTGGAATCCACTCTTAAAATTCCCTGGAAAAGAGGAATTCCCATACTCTCCCATGGACCCTTCCTGCTTTTGTGCAAATATGACTGCTAGAACTTGGCACTGTCGTGTACTTTGATGACTCATTTGGTAGAGTGGAAGACCGTCGGTCTCTAGAACTTGGCACTGTTGATCATCTGGTAGATAATTCTTTGTTGTAGGCGGGGGGTGCCCTGTGCATTAGCCTCTTCCCACTAGATGCCTTCCCCCTAGTTGTGACAACCAAAAATGTCTGCAGACATTGCCCACTGTTCCCTAGGGGTCCAAATTGGCCTGGTTGAGACCACCACCCTAGGTAGTACATGCTTCAAGCACTTGAAGGCCTACTATGTGCCAGCCACTGTGCTAGGTGCTGCCTAAAGAAAAAAACAGTAGCCTCCTATCTTTGGACTCAGTAGAACACAGGAAGATAGGGTTAGCTTGCGAGTTTATGAGAGCATGTGGATTGGTATATCCAAGGTTAGTGATCTGTCCACCCTGAGAAATGTCTATGTTCTTTTTTATTTTATTTTATGGAGACAGAGTCTCACTCCATTACCTAGGCTGGAGTGCAGTGGTGTGATCACAGCTCACTGCAGCCTCCATCTCCCAGGCTCAGGCAATCTTCCCACCTCAGCCTCCTGAGTAGCCAGGACTACAGGCAGGCACCACCACAGCTGGCTAATTTTTAAACATTCTATAGAGATGGGGTCTCTTTATATCACCCAGGCTGGTCTCAAACTTAACTTCTGGGCTCAAACAGTCCTTCCACCTCAGCTTCCCACAGTGCTGAGATTACAGGCGTGAGCCACCACACTCTGCGTGTCTATGTTCTTTTTTTTTTTCTTTTCCTTCCTTCCTTCCTTTTCTTTCTCTTTCTTTCTTTCTCTTTTTCTTTTTTTTTTTTTTTTTTTGAGACAGAATCTCCCTCTGTCTCCCAGGCTGGAGTACAGTGGTACAACCTCGGCTCCCTGCAACCTCCGCCTCCCAGGTTCAAGCAATTCTTGTGCTTCAGCCTCCCCAGTAGCTGGGACTACAGGCATGCACCACCACACCTGGCTAATTTTTGTATTTTTAGTAGAGACAGGGTTTCACCATGTTGGCCAGGCTGGTCTCGAACTCCTGACCTCAGGTATCTGCCCACTTCGGCCTCCCAAAGTGCTGGGATTACAGACATGAGCTACCATGCCTAGCCAGGTCTCTGTTCTTTAAACTGCATCACTCACTATCTCTTGAAAGAGCTCTTTCTGGCCCCACAGCCTTCCTGCTTAGCATCGCCACACAAGGAGATGGTCCCTCAACACCACGTCCTTGTGTGCCCTCCTCAGTGGAGAGCGGAGCTAGTTTTTGTCCTCCATAGATCCCCACTTCTGAGGCTTGATCAGCTTCCTCCACACCTCCCTCTCTTCAGGCGAAATTCCAGGTCTTTAACCTCCTGGAAGGCATTGTTGGCAGTGCCAAAACCATGCCAAACATCTGGGTGAGAACTGCAAAATGAGACCAGTTCTTCCAAAGTTTCCCAGCTCTGCCACTGGGATGGAATGTGATGGAAGGTGAATGTGGCCCCCAAGCACGTCGTCCCATCTGAGCTTGGTGGAGCTTCAGGCTGCAGGTTGTGCAGGGCCCACGTGTACCACGTGTGTCAGCCTGATATGGCTTGGCTATGTTCCCACCCAAATCTCATCTTGAATTGTAGCTCCCCTAATTCCCTTATGTTGTGGGAGGGGCCCAGTGGGAGATAATTGAATCATGGGGGTGGTTTCCCATATGCTGTTCTCATGGTAGTGGATAAGTCTCAGGAGATCTGATGGTTTTATAAGGGGAAACCCGTTTCGCTTGGCTGTCACTCTTCTCTTGTCTGCCGCCATGTGAGATGTGCCTTTCACCTTCTGCCATGACTGTGAGGCCTCCCCATCCACGTGGAATTGTGAGTCCATTAAATCTCTTTCTTTTGTACATTGCCCAGTCTTGGGTATGTCTTTATGAACAGCGTGAAAACGGACTAATACACAGCCCCACCTCTGTCTTACCCCTTTCTTGCCCTTGCCTTGGATTGCTTGTTCTGTCTCCTTCATTAAGGCCTGGGGACCCTGGGGGCAGGGCTGTGCATTCTGACTCCTGTGTCCCTTCCCTGGCAGTCCCCAGCCCCGCCTTTCATGGCGGTGTATCTTGGAGATGTTCAGAAACCACTGAATACATCCAGATGTTGGCTGTTGTATATAAAAATAGTTAAATGTCCTCCTGGCATTTTAGGTTTCCTTCAAACTGTATGTGATTCAGAAGCAGCTGTACTTACTGCCCAAAGATTAGATAGAAATGACTTTATGATTCTGAGATTTAAAATGACCGCTCCACCCCAACTGTTAATGGAAAACTATTAAAAAATAAAATTGCAGTCAAGTTCTTTGTCCTGGTAGAATGCAGTAGAACAAGCACAGGATGTGAAATACGGATTTTAACAAAGATGCTGACCCAAACTTTGCCCATCTCCCGCCAAAGAAGCCAGCAGCATCATGTCCCTTCGCCCCAGGCGCACGATGGCAGGCTGACTGGCAACCAAGATTACACATTCAACCTTCGTCTCCCAAGAGCTTCTGTTCTTGCAGAAACCCCTGATCTATCTTGCCATAAGTCAGGTACCAGAAGTACCACTCTGGAGGAGGCCAGCTCCTGTGTTGAGGTTTTTCGTGGACTGATTTTTTTGGTGTGGGTCTCTACCAAACCCCAGATGCTGAAAAGGGCCTCCAGAGGGGCGGATGTAGGTAGCAAACCCGAAAGCTAGTGATTTCAGGATTTCAGCTACCCATCCCCTGCCAAGTAAGATGAATCACATGCGGTGGAGTTAACAGCACAGAGCAACACAGAAGGCTTTGTCCCCTGGTCCCTGGCTGACAAATCCACAGCCCTGGCCGCCCTTGCCAGCTCTGTCTCAGGGTTGCTCTGTCCCCAGAGATCTTTAAATGTGGGATAGGCAGGCATCTATCCCAAGTGTTTACAGCATGGCCCCAAGGCAAGGAGTGGATTAAACTCTTTCTAGAAATATGTTTCAGCCTTAGAGGAGGGACAAGGAGGCAGCTGTTATTAATGAATGAATGGATAGACCAGCACACATTGCAGGGGCTTCCTGAAGCTCCTCTCCCTCCATCTGAGCTGCTGTAGGGTGCTTAAGAGTAACAGACTGGATAGATTCCCAGGCCAAGCCAGGGCCGCTCCTCTTTGCCCCTACCTCCCAGCAAAGTCTACAGCAAGCTTGCCCAACCCATGGCCCACAGGTCACATGCAGCCCAGGATGGCTTTGAATGCAGCCTAACACAAATTCATAAACTCTGTTAAGACATTATGAGATTTCTTTGCAAAATTTTTTTATTTTAGCTCATCAGCTGCCTTAGTGTTAGTGTATTTTATGTGTGGCCCAAGACAATTCTTTTTCTTCCAGTGTGGCCCAGGGAAGCCAAAAGATTGGACACCCATGGTCTAGAGTGATTTCGGTCCCCTCCCAAAGAACCAACCTCCGGCCAGGCGCTGTGGCTCACCCCTGTAATCCCAGCACTTTGGGAGGCCAAGGCGGGCAGATCACAAGGTCAGGAGATCGAGACCATCCTGGCTAACATGGTGAAACCCCGTCTCTACTAAAAATACAAAAATTATCTAGGTGTGGTGGCGGGCGCCTGTAGTCCCAGCTACTCGGGAGGCTGAGGCAGGAGAATGGCGTGAACCCAGGAAGCAGAGCTTGCAGTGAGCCGAGATCACGCCACTGCACTCCAGCCTGGGCGACAGAGCGAGACTCCCTCTCAAAACAAAACAAAAAAAGAACCAACCTCCACACCCCAGAGCTACCCTTTCACTGCTGTGAAAGCCCCTCCAGGTATTCACACTGGAGGAATGTTTGTACCGTGGGGATAATGCCAGTTCCACTGGGGCAGGGACTTCTGTCTTCTCAGTAGCTAGAAGAATATATGGCACAAATAAATATTTGCTGAATGAATAAATAAAAGGAAAGTGGCTTTAAGTCACTGTTGTTCAACCAAAGTACTTTTCTTTTTGTCTTTTCTTTTTTAAACCATGTAACATTTTAAGCAAACACCCAAAAAGGAGAATACTAGAATCATAAAACCCCATATGCTCATCACACAGCTACAGCATATATTCAGACCCAACTGCCTTTTTTTTTTTTTTTTTTTTGGTTTTTATTATGGAGACTTGTAAATATACATAAAAATAGGAGAATACCATAATAAACCCCGTATGTGTGTTATCCAGCTTCAACAATTATCAACAATAGCAAACCAACTTTACCACACTGAAAATGCAATAAACGGTTTTGGAGAGTAACCACATCAGTTTAGTTCTGAGCTATTTAGAGACAAACCTAACATCTTATAATTACATTCAACTTCCTTTCTGGAAAGAGATCCAGAAAATGGCTTTTTCTTCTCCCTTTAACTTGCAAAGCAGTCCCCCAATTTCAGCCTGTGCATAAGTAAAAGTAGACGTGGAGACACATATAGAAAAGTACCCCACCTCCAGCCAGCTATGATCTGTGTTTATCTTATCAGGATAATACTAAACCAGGCCCGCGTAGAACAAGGCGTTTAGTCTTTGCAGATGGGCTTCTGTTCCTAGCCACCAGTTCAGTTTATAAATCCACTGTCCAAGGCGGAAAACAATTTGAAAGGCAACATTGTTCCTGGACAAGGCTTTTACTGTGATAACGGAGCTTGTGTGGCTCCTGTCTACTTCATAAATTGCCCAGCCCTGGGGTTACAGCCAGGGGGCATTGGCAGGAGTATTGTGTGGTATCTCATCCTTCCTGAGCCCATCCACGTGGCGAGTGTATCAGTCAAATCAGACATAGGAGCATTTATGGAGCCCCTAGGATCATGAGGGTCGGGGCGGGGGTGGGGGGTTCTGCTCTGAGGGGGACAGAATGGAGCAGAGGTCATGGTCCCTGCCAGGGGATATGACTCAGTGTTTCTCAGAGGGAGGACTTAGCTGCCACTGGTGATCTGATTTTCAGAGCAACCCAGGGATTTGCACTGTGGCATAGCGAGCTCATTGTTTGGAACACTTGGATTTTGGGCTTCGTTGAGATGGTGTGGTGGTGATGGGCACTGATGGAGATTGTGGGAGATTGGGTGAGACAGAGCCTCTCCCCAGAGCCTCCACCCTCTGTCCCTGATCTTACTGGGAGCAAATTGAAGATAGACACCTTCATCTGGGGATAATCAGGAAAGTTTTTGCAATAAAATGAAATATGTGCCAGGGGCTTGGTGGCTCACACCTGTAATCCCAGCACTTTGGGAGGCCAAGGTGGGCAGATCACTTGAGTTCAGGAGTTCGAGACCAGCCTGGGCAACATGGCGAAACCCCATCTCTACAAAAAATACAAAAATTAGCCAGAAGTGGTGGCGTGCACTTGTAGTCCCAACTACTCAGGAGGCTGACATGGGGGGATCACCTGATCTCTCGAGTTCCAGGTTGCAGCGAGCTGTGATCAGACCACTGCACTCCAGCCTGGGGGACGAGTGAGATCCTGTCTCAAAAAAAGAAAAAGAATAAGAAATATGTAAAAGTATTTTGCAAAGCCGTGAAAATGAAACGTCTGGTGTTATGGCTATTAGCAGAAAGAAACAAGAACATTGTGGGCAGAATGTAGTAGAACACATTGGGCCCAGACACATAATCAGCAGTCTCGGGCCAGGGTCCTAAGTTCTGTCTATAAAACGCAGCTGCTGAAGCGTATCTCATGAGGCGCTTGTAACCGCAAGCTGATCATACAGGCCAAGCCTCTAGCACAGAGCAGGACACATAGCAGGGCTCAAAAATGGTAGGCAGTAACAATGTCACAATTGTATTTTTTTATAATATGATTTATAATACACTTTATAACATAATTATTAAAAGCAGGTTCATAAAGGTGCTAAAAACAGGTGAGTAGGTCTGTGTGGATACATTGGAAGTTCCCTGGTGGGGTGTGGCAGTAGATTGGAAGAAAATTTATATGGAAATCAGAGAGATAGGGGGCCCTGAATGCTTCTCTGAGGAGCGTGGGTCTCATATGTCAGACAGCAGACAACACCTGGGCGCTTTTGAGCGAGATGGGAATGGTGAGGAGAGTCCATTAAGCCCAGCGGAACAGGAACAGACTCCGGGATCAGATCTCGGTTTAAACATGGAAGAGTCACTTACCCTCCCTGAGCCTGGCTTCTTTGATCTTAGAATGGGGATTAGTATTAGCCACGTCCCCTCTTGCAGCTGTCCTGGTAGGTACCTTGTAAATGGCGACTGCTATTATTTGTGCTTAGAAGGATCATCCCTCCTGTGGGGTGGAGGACAGGGGAAGGAGCAAGTAGACTCAGAGGCCGGGGTAAGGAGCCAGGTGGGGACTCAGGCTTTGCCATGCTTTCCGATCTCCACCTTGGACCGCAACTGAAATGCCAACTCCTGCCTTCCCCTCCCCCTGCCCCATGACTCCCAATCCCACCTGTTTCCTTCCGAGATCTTCACAAGCTGTAATTATATACACTTTTTTCCTCGCTTAATTATTGTCTGTCTCTCCTTGCAGACTCTTTGCCCCATAGCGGGGTCTGTTTCACCACGCCCAGCATCCAGGTGTGGTGGTGCCTGCCCCTGCATTAGTCTCCTGTGGCTGCCTAACAAATTACCACAAACTGGGTGGCTTAGAACAGCAGAAGTTGATTCTCTCACACTTCCCAAGGACAGAAGTTGGAAATCAAGGTGCCAGCAGATAGCTGTGCTCTCTGCAGGCTCTGGAAGGAGGACCCTTCCTTGCTGCTTTCCAGCTCCTGGTGGCTGCAGGCATCCTTTGGCTGGTGGCCGCATCATTCCGGTCTCTGTCTCTGCCTTCACTTCACGCAGCCTTCCTCCTCCTCTCCTCTGTGGGTCTCTCCTCTGGTTGTCTTTTCTAAGGACACTCGTCATTGAATTCAGGGCCCACCTAGATAATCTAGAATGATCTTATCTCTACCTCCTGAAGTTAATTACATCCACAAAGACCCTTTTTTTTGTAAATAAATCATATTCCTAGGTTCTAGGACATGGCTATCTTTTGGGGACTACCATGCAACCCTCTGCACCCTCTTCTGTGTGAGATTTCTCCCAAAGGAAAGAAGTTTTCAGTCTATGGCCATAATGCCCAGTTAGTACTTGGATGGGAGAAATATTCAGCAATAACAGCTTGCCAGGAAGCACCCAGGGGGTGCAGCGCCCTGTTTTAGGCACAGAATCCAGCTGGCTGCAGCCCAGGCAGCTCCTTCCCTCATGGAGCTTATTCCCTGGATGAGCAGATGCATGTGGACATGTCAGGCTGTGGATACTACGTGCCGGGAAGAAAAACTCAAGCCAGGAATGGCTCAAAACTCCTGAGAACATGATAGGGAGGAGTGGGGGTAGAGAGGGTTCTGTTTGAGGAGGAGACACTGAGGCAGAGACCCAATCAAGGGAGGGACAGAGGCCTCTGGGAGATGAGGTCAGAGTAACTCAAAACAGACTTCCCGTTTCTACCCTTCTTGGCATTTCTGACCTTTGTGTACCCCATTCCCTTGATTTCCAAAGAGAACCAAGGAACTGCATACCAGCAGAAAGAAAGGGGCAGCTGCTTCTTAAAGGGAGGAGATCACAAAAGAAGGGTCAAGGGAAGGTCTATGCTCAACTAAGGGCAGCCATGCCCACAGCACCTGCCTGGCCTCGGTCCAGAAAGATGGAGTGAGAGACAGAGACTCTCCCGGGGAGGAAATATCGTAATGGATGTCCATGGAGGCCACCAGCATCTCCAGTTCACAGAGCCAGGACAGGAGCATCTGCAAGGCAAAGTAGCCTGGGATGACAGTCAGCAGACCCCAGCCCCAGGTCTTCTCTCTGGTGGCCCAGGGTTTGTCAAAGGGAAAATGCTATTTTGGATTGTGGTAGACGGACCCTGAGGGGACCACCCCACCCTGCCCACAAGGTTCCTCCACCTTCGTATTCAAGTTTTGTCCGTCATCTTCTGGCCACCATTCCTTAGCTTGCCGTGGAACCACTGGAGGTGACCCAAAAGGAATTTCCAAACCAGCCCTGCTACAAAACAAGTCCCGCAGTGGTTGGGGCAATGGAGGGGAGCCCCACAGAGCCGCCCTGCAGACAGCTGCACAGTGGCGAGCAGCTGAGATCCGGGTATCGTGATGTCTGAGACCAAGGAGACAGTTCTTCCAAAGTCTCTGAAACAGGAGCCAGAGAAGGAAGCCACGATGGGTACCAGGGCTCGGGGAGGTATCCTAAGGAGCCAATTCTAGCTCTCCTTCCTGAAGTTTAATAAAGAAGAAAATCACATGAGCTCAGAATGAAGCACCATCTTTGGTTTTCATTTACATGTTCCACAGCCCGGTGGCAACCTCACAGTGGATTTTGTGAGACCCCCTTCTCAGGAGTCCCCATGCTCAGCAGAGCCAGCATGAGAGAGGGCTCGGGCCACCCTGCCTCACCCACCGCTGGCTCCACTTCCCCAAGACTGTGTCTGCCAGCCATGCTGCAAGCTGGGAAGCCCAGCACAACCTCCTCTATCTTCCTCCTCTTCTTCCTCTGGGACTCCCTCAGTCCAGCCCCAGACTGAGCAAGGAGAGGACTCTGTCCCCTCGGGAGAGTCAGGGCAGGGAGGTGGGTGCTTTTTCTATAAAGAGCTGGGGGCTGGGCTCGGTGGCTCACCCCTGTGGTCCCGGCACTTTGGGAGGCCGAGGCGGGTGGATCACGAGGTCAGAAATTCGAGACCAGCCTGGCCAACATAGTGAAACCCCGTCTCTACTAAAAACACAAAAAATTAGCCAGGCGTGGTGGTGGGCGCCTGTAATTCCAGCTGCTTGGGAGGCTGAGGCAGGAGAATCGCTTGAATCTGGGAGGCAGAGGTTGGAGTGAGCCGAGATTGCGCCATTGTACTCCAGATTGAGGAGTGGCATGGCCATTTGTCCTCCAGGAAGTTGATTGTGGCAGCTGCGGGCTGCTGTTTCCTTGGCTGTGGGTCTCAGGTGCTGTTGGATTCTGTGCTGCTGAGCGTGCAGCGGCTTTCGTGAGATCTGCCACGCTTGGAAAGCAAGATGCTTACTATTGTGCGACCGCCCAAGGAATGGACAGTTTATTGATCTAATTTTTAAGTAAAACATTTTAATAATGTTTAAAGGCTTTTGAGCTCTCCTGGCCCAGCCCTACCCGGCATCAAGGCAGCTGCCTGTTTAAAGCATTCTAAAGAGAGGGCAGCACTGCCAGTCTGAACATCTGTTTTGATTAAAGATGGGGAGGAGAGAGGAAAGGAAGTTTCCCAGACCGTGAGCTTGCTGGCTGGTCAGTGTTCCCTGCAGCTTTGTAGAAGTGGGGGCACCTGAGGAGCATGTTCTCACACAGCTTCCTGGGACAAGAGGACAGTGGGAGGGTGGGTGGGCCCAGGGGAGGGGGGCCAAAGGGCATGTCTTCATGAGGGCTCAGCCTTTTGACCTAGATTGGAGGCTGCCTTTGAATTTGAGATTCATTATTTTCCCTTTTGCCTTCTATTTTTGTCTTGGGACTCTAATTTCAAATTGATCCAGATGTTTGGTTTATAAGAAGATATTTGGCATCCGATAAAACCCCTAGAATGCTGATAGTATTTAATATCCTTTTAGTGCTGGGTGTATCCAAATTGTGTATAATATTAGCACTTCTTGGCAAACAGGTCTTGTCTAAGAAAGCAGACCCTGGTTAGGTCTGAGCCCCGTCCAGATGAGAGTGAGTGCTTTGATGAGGTGCTGCTGAGATCCAGCCATGAGGTTTCAGCTCCATGCTCTCTGCCCCTCCTTCTTTTTTCCAGTCCCAAGTTGTCCTGTGTGTACAAGTATCTCATGGACATTGATGTGAACACATGAACAACTTTCTTTACCTCTCTGTTCTCATCCCCACCCCATCTGATAGGGTTTGGCTGTGTCCCCATTCAAATCTCAGCCTGAATTGTATCTCCCAGAATTCCCACAAATTGTGGGAGGGAACCAGGGGGAGGTAATTGAATGATAGCAGCTGGTCTTTCCTGTGCTATTCTCGTGATAGTGAATTAGTCTCATGAGATCTGATGGGTTTATCAGGGATTTCCACTTTTACCTCTTCCTCATTTTCTCTTGCTGCCACCATGTAAGAAGTGCCTTTTGCCTTCCGCCATGATTCTGAGGCCTCCCCAGCCATGTGGAAGTGTAAGTCCAATTAAACCTCATTTTCTTTCCAGTCTCAGGTATGTCTTTATTAGCAGCATGAAAACAGACTAATGCATCACCTCATCATTGTAGGATTTGAGCAGTTTAATAAAAATGCGCTATTTTGGTCGGGCGCGGTAGCCCACGCCTGTAATCTGAGCCCTTTGGGAGGCCGAGGCGGGTGGTTCGCAAGGTCAGGAGATCGAGACCATCCTGGCTAATGTGGTGAAACCCTGTCTCTACTAAAAATACAAAAAATTAGCCAGGTGTGGTGGCAGGCACCTGTAGTCCCAGCTACTCAGGAAGGCTGAGGCAGAAGAATGGCATGAACCCAGGAGGCAGAGCTTGCAGTGAGCCGAGATCGCGCCACTGCACTCCAGCCTGAGTGACAGAGCGAGACTCCGCCTCAAAAAAAAAAAAAATCCACTACTTTGAGGTAGGTGGGGGAGGGATTATAATCCCCCTGTTTAGGCACAGGCTCCCAGGTTCAGCAGGCGAGTCCCGTTTCCTGTCTCCTGATTCCTCAAGGACAGAGGTCACATATCCTATATAGTGCTAAACCTCCTATTTGGCACTGTTGACCAAACTTGGACAGTGTCGTAGCTGGCAGAGAAAGATCTGATCCAGAAATCTTTATGTTTGCAAGGTTCTGGGAATGTTTTAGAGAAAACATTCCCAAATGAAAGTCATCTACGCATGGGAATGACTCCAGTGTGAGTCAAGAGCATGCACAAGCTGTATTTTTATTTAGTTTCCACTTATGAATAATTCTCCAAAATGCCACAGGTTCACAATTTCCATGTTAGTGGAATTCATCTCAAACAGCTGAAATTATTTAATGTACTGTTTTTCATTGAAAATACCTTTTGATCCAGCCACTGAACTGTTAGTGGAAACAGCGAATGAGGACGAAACCGTCAACTCTTACATTTCTGGCACAAAGTAGGTGTTCAGTAAGTAACTGTCAAGTGAGTAGATGAATCTGTCTGCTGGAAGGACCATTAGTTATCAGGTGATTACACTGGCTAACCATTTTTTTTTTATATACATGAAATAGATCTCAGAGGGGCTGGACCAAGGGTAAGGCCGGGTCTACACTTGACACGGAAAGAAACAGGTGCAGAGAATTTGGGGGAAAGAATAACTTGCCCAAAGTCACCTCTAGGAAATGCCTGAGCCAGGATTGAGCTCAAGATTACTCCAAGTCCCTTCTCCCTGCACATGGTCATCTGTGAGGATTGCACTTCTGAATCACCCTCGGGGTTGTTCAGTAGGCCTCACCTCCAGAGTCAGCATCTGTGTTTGGAGAAAGCTCCCAGGAGGTCCCCCACCCCTAGTCTGCCCTCACCTGTGCAGACTCCATGTATGGAATCATTCCTTTGAGCTAAGCCTTTGAGAGTCCTCCTATAAAATGGTGTGGCCCTTCTGAGACTTTCCCCTCCCCAGTGTGGCCACTTCCTCCCTTGTACAGATTTGGGAAATCTGGTCTGGTTTATCTACTCTAGACGTTTCCAGGTGACTGCCATTCCTTGGAGCTGTGTTCTCCTCTCCCCTCCCAGCCCTGCACTGGACCTGGTCTTGTTGGTCTCGGGCACACCAGGAGCCCTGCTGTGACCTTCACAAGTGCTTGATGGTCTTATGAGAGAGGGTGGAGTGGAGTCTATAGAGTGGGCCTCCCTTCCCTGAGACTCCACCACCTCTCTTTCCTTCCATCCCACCACCACAGGGTGCATCTGGTGTCTCCGATGTCACTGAAGGATTTGGGGGAACCAAAAGGGCATTATAACACAAGAAGGAAGGAGGTTATAGAACTGTTCACAAAATACTCTCTTACATGTCCATCTCATTGTGTCGATCCATTCATAAGCTGATGGACATTTGGGTGGTTTCCACCTTTTGGTGATGTGAATAATGCTGCCATGCACATGTGTGTACAAGTACGTGTTTATCTGTTTCAGTTTCCCTTTTCATATCCCAAGGGAAAAGTACCCGAGAAGCTAATCCTCCAAACCCCGTGTGAGTACCCCCAGCACTTCAATATTCTCCCTTCTTCTGAGAGCCAGGAGCCCCTTGGGGAATTCTCCGACGTGTATCCTCTGACTCCTAACTTGTTTTTAGGAAACCTCACCAGGACGTCCCCCTGGGAGGAGGTTTGGTTTCATCCCCTCTTCCCAGCTGTCAGATCCCAACACCAACACAGGCACATGCCTTCAAAGTTTCAGGAAGTCCTGCTGTGGCAGCTTTGGTACCCCCATCCCATGGGACAGTCTCACCTGGGCTCTTGAGCCCCGCCACCAGCCTGGGTACAGATGGGCCTCGCTTGCCCCAGCGCGTCACTCCTGGATCACACACGCTCCCCAGAAGGAGGAAGGAGAGTATTTCCTGGCTTCCCTGCAGCTTGCAAGGCCCCCTCCCAGTGGAGTGTATGATCCCCTCACACAGCGCTCGGTGGAGAGGAGGCTTTCTTTGAACATCCCCCACTTTGGAAATTTTCATAATGTAAAATTAGCCACTTGGAAGTGAACCATTTATTGGCATTTAGTACTGTCAATGTTGTACAACTGCCACCTCTATCTTCCAAAATGTTTTCATCACCCCAAAAGAAAAGTCCATACCCATAAGCAGCCACCCTGTCTTCTCCCTCCCCCCACAGCCTTTGGCAACCACAAATCCATCTACCGTTGCTATGGATTTGCCTGTTTGGGGCATGTCATGTCAGTGGAATCGTACAATATGTGACCGTTCGTGTCTGGCTGCTTTCACTTAGCATGGATGTTTTTGAGGTTCATCTGCATTGTGGCATAGATCAGCACTTCATTCACTTTCTCGGCTGAATAATATTCTCCTACATGCCCACCACGTTGTGTTGACCCTCCATAGGCTCATGGACAATTGGGTTGTTTCTACCTTTTGGCGATTGTGAATAATGCTGACATGAACAGGTGTGTGCAAGTGTGTATTTAAGTCTCTGTTTCCATTTCTGTATGGTGTATACCCAGGAGTGGAATTGCTGACTTATATGGTAATTCTGTGTCTCTTCTCCCCACTTTTCAAAACTGCCCCATCGGGCCTTCCATGACCTCTATAGCTGCACATAGACCCAGCTGAACGCTTTCAAACAATTACTTTCAAGGGGCTGGTTAATTTCTTAGAAAAGGCAAATCCTCCTCCCTATCTTGGGAGAGTGAGCGGAGGTGAGATTTTATCTTCTCGACTGCATTTAGAACCACTTATTAACGCTCTAGCATGAAACTGAGTACAGTCGAGCATCGGGCCAGCCACCTACAAGGCTGTCACTGTGCAGAGGACACCAAATATTTACCGGATTTTTGATTGGCAAGGGGCTCGGGAGGGGTCCATGGCACAGGAGACAGGACAGGGATGACTGGCTGGCCCACCTCAGGTACCTGCTCCAAGAGGGGCCCTGGGCAGTGTGGGGGGAAACAGAACACCAGTTGTCTTGGGGAGTAGAGGTACCCAGAGCCTGCGGGGTGTGAATAGACAGATGTCACAAATCACCTTGGTATTTGCACCTGTTGAACAAAGTCAGAGCTAGAGTAGCTGCAGCCATATTTCTGGAGTCCCCAGAGTCTACCCACCAGGGGGAACCTGACCTTTCTCACCTCTTCTTGGACCCCTCTACATCAGAGACAGCAATTTGGTTCCAGGGATTTGCACAGACCAGTTGATGCCCACTGAAGCGAACCCTTTCCCCTGAGGTCCTGCTGCTACATTAAGTTTGCCTGGAACTATCCCTTACCCTATGTGAAGTAATTTGACGACTGGAAACTACTGTGAAAAGTATATGTGAACTGCTCATGCCCTAAGGATCTCCCATTGCCACCTGAAGTCCTGTTAAACTTGGGGAGCCATGGGGGACACATGGGGAGCAGCCACTGCATCCTCCACTTCCTGAAGAGGATCGCTCAGAGGAGGCATTTGTCCCCAGTGGAGGGCAGCTGAAGGCACACATGGTATGGCCTGGCAGTCGCCAGTTGGCCTCGCCTGGACTGAGGGGGTTGTCCAGCATGACACGGCTGCAGGGTTTCCAGGTAGAGAAGCTGCATTATTTGCCTGGAAAATATTCACATCTCTCTCCTGCCATAATGCTTGGCCACTGGGCCCCCTCGTAGCCTGGCACCAGCTTCTAGCTCCAACAATGACTGTATTTTGTACTTCCTCTGTGCCCTTCATTCAGGTATCTTAGGCCCTATTCTTGTTCTGCCGGGTGCCTGCAAAGTACAGCTTCCTCATTCAGAGCAGAAACGGGCCTGTACAGGCCCAGGATAGCTCTGTGGCATCAAAGCACACTTGTCTTCCCTGAAGTTCGTAGTCGTTAATCAGCCCAGAGCATTTGACAGTCAGCTCAAGTGGCCTCCAGAGCTGCTGGGTTCTTTCCTGTTTGTCCCCGGCTTGGGTCATTCAACTGGAGTCATGCAATCCTTACATACAAAGGGACCCTCTGGTGTCGTTGGCTGTCAGTGGGGCACTCCGAGGTTCAAATTATGGCTCTCCAGGAGGTGTGTGGCCTTGGAGATGTCACTGTATGCCACAGAGCCTCAGTTTCTGCATGTGAAAAATTGGAATAATTATGCCTACTTGGCAAAGATTTTGCAGGTTCAACAATAGAACCTATAGAGCATCCAGCCGGGTCTTGGCATATGCTTGTTGGTCAAAGGCGGCTGCTGCCAGGATTTTGTCAGCTTCAACACTATTAGCATGATGGACCTTCCCTACTCCATGCCTCCTCCTCACAGGAGTCTATTTGCCCCACATCTTAGGATCTCTGTATTTTCAGCAATGGTTTTCAAACAGCCTCCCACAGAGTTCTACAGTTTATGGTGGGTGTGAGGAGCAAAGCTTTGCTCTCATCTGTTTTCAATATTATGCTCCTGGCCAGGCGCGGTGGCTCACGCCTGTAATCCCAGCACTTTGGGATGTCGAGGCAGGTGGATCAAGAGGTCAGGAGATCGAGACCATCCTGGCTAACATGGTGAAACCCCATCTCTACTAAAAATACAAAAAATTAGCTGGGCGTGTTGGCACGCGCCTGTAGTCCCAGCTACTCGTGAGGCTGAGGCAGGAGCCGGAAGGCGGAGGTTGCAGTGAGCCGAGATCGCACCATCGCACTCCAGCCTGGGCAACAGAGCGAGACTGTCTAAAAAAAAAATGCTCCTACCCAAGAGTTTGCCAGCCTGGGCAACGTAGTGAGACCCTGTGTCTACAAAAATTTTTTAAAAAAACTAACCAGGCATGATGGCATACGCCTGTAGTCCCAGCTACTTGGGAGACTGAAGTGGGAAGATGGCTTGAGCCTAGGAGTTTGAGGTTATAGTAGCTGTGATTGTGCCACCAAACTCCAGCCTGGGTGACAGAGCATGACCCTGTCTCAACAACAGCAACAAAATTAAAACACTTAAAAAAAAGGACTTTATTTGAAGAAAAGAATTCCCCTCCTGATTAATTTGGAAAATAGCTATTCGGAAGCCTCTTGGGAGTCTGTATATTTCTTTAGCATGTCTAGGTGATGACTAGCAGGTGACACAAGCATGCTCTTCCTTTAATGGCAAGTGGCAGAGGGATGGATTAAATGACCTGTGGTGGTCCCATTACGCCCCTGTTTAGAAGATACTCTAATTTAAATCTTTTACTGCAAGGGAAGCCCATTTAATAGGGAATCTGCTGGCAGTCTCTTTTTTCATAGGCCCCTTATAAACTTGAACATATGCCCTGATTCCTGCCTGTGGAGCACACGCTGAGGCTAGCATGTCGTTGGGCCATAGCTGGGCATTCACAGCAGCAGGTTGGGGAAGAGACGGGCAGAGGCCTGGCCCTGAGACTCAGCCCCCTCACTGGACAGAAGAACAGTTTTAGATGTTGAGAGGGAGCTCCACCTGCCAAGCAGAGGGGGGTCTGGAGGGAAGGGCCCAGGCAGGGTGTGGTGCACCTGTCTTTACTATCACGAACGAGCCAAGAGCCATGCTGGGTAAGGAGACGGGTGGAGCGGGACAGCAGTGGGATCCCGAATCAGGCACTGTTTGAAAGTGCAGGCAGACCCCAGTCAGCTTCTGGAAGGTCTGTCGCCACATAGCAAGACTCCTGACACTGGACGATGGCTCAGAAGCAGGGATGAGGCTCCAATCCTAGGAAAGCACAGCATCTGGCTGGAAGCATGCCAGCAACAGACCTGGGGGACAGGGACTCGTCCAAGCCCAGGAAAAAGGCAGATAGAGATACTGTTTGCAGAACAACAAAGAACAGATGTTGAGTGTCACATTATGGGTTGAGGAAAACCCCTAAGTGTACCTTGTGATAAGTCCAGATTGGTCCTAGGGACAAGACCAAGCCTGCAGATGGAGGTCAAGGGTCAAGAGGTCCACCTGTCAATAGATTTTTTTTTTTTTTAAGACAGAGTCTCAGTCACCTAAGCTGGAGTGCAGTGGTGGGATCATAGCTCACTGCAATCTTCATCTCCTGGGTTCAAGCAATTCTCCTGCCTCAGCCTCCTGAGTAGCTGGGATTATAGGCGTATACCACCACGCCTGGCTAATTTTTGTATTTTTGGTAGAGACAGGGTTTCATGTTGCCCAGGCTGGTCTTGAACTCCTGACCTCAAGTGATCCTCCCACCTCGGCCTCCCAAAGTGCTGGGATTACAGGCATGAACCACCACGCACAGCCCACCTGTGGATAGATCTGATGCAGAGGTTGGAAATTGGGCTGTTTCAAAATCAGAAAATGTCCCTGTATTCCTAAATCATTCCCTAATCCTAGATGACCATGTTGCATCTGTGTGTTGCATGGAAAGCCAAAGAAAAAGTATGAGGGGGACCTGGTAAAAACCCAGGTCAGATGAAAACTGACCTTTGCCACGTTCCTGAGATGAATCCTTTTGGGGCTTATTGTGTTTGAAGTAAAATTCAAGTTCACTCTCCCCATCACTTACTAGACTCCAGATACACAGGACTTCAAGTTTCTTGAACACACAAAGATCCTGCCCATCGCTGGGCCTCGTTCTTGTTCTTTCCTCTGCACAGAAAGTTATTTTGCCCTCAACCGCCCCTCCCCCTTTAATTCTTCAGATCTCAATTTCAGTTGCAGTTGCACCTTTTCAAAGAGTCCGCCTCTAAACACCCTTCCTAAACGAGGTCCTCCCCTGAAATTCTCCATCAGCTCCCAAAGGTGGCCTCCTTCGTAGCATCGGAGCAGAGTGTCCAGCGTGGGGGTATCTGTTTGCATACCACCTGTCTGCTCCCAAACTTCCTAAGAGCCTGGCCCTGTCTCATTCACCCCTGTGTCCCCGGCACCCAATTTGGGCCTTGGCATGTAGGAATGCTTAATAAATTGTTACCAACTAAATGGACGAACATCTACTCAGTGGAGTTGAATCGATGATCATTTCCCTGCTCAGCACCATTTGTATCTTGTGTCTGGCCCATTCTGAATTGGTTCAGCTGGGATCAGACGGAACCAAAAGTTCTGCAGGATGATTGCCACATGGCCTATGAGCTTAACGTGTCATCAGAACCCCCGGGGGGCCTGAGACAAACTTGTGTGCCCAGATATGCTGACAACTTCAAGCCATTGGGCACCCACACAGAGCACCAACAAATGCAGAGCCAAATGCTTTCTCTTGTAGCTACACTCTGAGGAAGCTCACCCCTCCACTCCCCAGCTCTCTGATGACACCGTAGTCCCCTTCTGCAAACAGAGTGAGCCTCAGTCAGGGACCACATCTGTGATTTGAAGCAGGAGAGAGACTCACCAAAGTCATAATCATGGGGGTGGATGATAGTGGTGGCCGCGATAAACCAGCTGCCAAATAGAGTTTGGGGACAGTGTTAAGGTCCCTTGATCTGGGGAGTCTCTTGAAAGCCTCCCAAGGTTTACAGTTGCTTCTTGGGGTCTAGAGGAAAGCACGATGCGTTATCCTTGGTCACTGTGGTCGGTGCTAGCAGGGCACGCCTGCCCAAACCTGGGACAGTGGCTGTGTCAGTTTCCCTGGTCGGAGAGAAAGGTCCTCTGTCCTGGCTTGTAGGCTCATTAGTGTTTGCTGCTCAATTTTATGATGTGTTACTTACCTTGTAAATTGTCTGCCTGTCCCACGAGCCTGGGCAAAGCCTCCAGGCCACAAGCTGGACACTTGTACCATTGACTTTACTAGGCTATGGTGCTGTAAATGTGCTGCTGACCTCTGGTATGGTGAGCCCAGGTGCCTCCGGGCAAGGGAGTGGGTTACGGGAACCCAGTCTCTTGACTCATGAGCTGTCCAGGGAGCCTACGGATAATCATCGTAAACTGCTAACAGACCTGGGGAAAGAGCCCTGTGGCTCCCCAGGGGCCAGAAGGAGAGCAGAAAAACCTCTCTGGTGAGTCACTGCAAATATTTACCCTTGAAAGTTTGATTGCAAAATCTTCTAAGCACTTGAATAGCCCTTCCCCTGGGACTTAAAGAGCCCCTCCACTAGCAGGAGTCAGATGGGTAGTGTTGGAAAAGGGTCAGGCAGGGTGATTCCCCCCTTTCAAAAACAGCCTGGGAAGAGCCCCAAGCTGCCAGACTGCCAAAGGAACCCAGGGGCTTAGACTTCTCTAGGAAAATGTAAGTGATGGAGTCCCAGGATTCCCAGCTCTCTCGGGGGACCTGTCTAAGAGCACATCTGACTTTGAGCTGCACTTTGGTTTTTTGGCTCTGTCTTTAGCTAAAGAGTTTTCTACGAGATCAACCCTTTGACTCTTGGTTGGAGCTTTTATGGCACAAGTATTGGGTGTGTAATCCCCTGTTGACCTCACTACTGCCAGAATCAGCCTCAGGCCAGGCGCAGTGGCTCACACCAGCACTTTGGGAAGCAGAGGCGGGAGGATCACTTGAGCCTAGGAGTCCGAGACCAGCCTGGGCAATATAGTGAGACCCCTGGCTCTACAAAAAATTTAAAAATTAGCCAGGTGTGGTGGTGTGTGCATGTAGTCCCAGCTACCCTAGGGGCTGAGGTGGGAGGATCCCTTGAGCACGAGAGGTTGAGGCTGCAGTGAGCCGTGACTGTGCCACTGCACTCTAGCCTATAGGAGATGGCGAGACCGTGTATCCAAAAAAAAAAAAAAAAAAATTAGTCTCAAGGAAATGGGGCAGCAAAACCAATGCAAATCATGACATTGGATCTATTTCTTCCTTCTTCCATGGGGGTGTATACTTTATCCATTTTTCGGTTCATCCTTCCTTCTTTCCTTCCATAGAGGATCTATTGAGAACCAGCTACATGGGAAAGTCTGAGTGGGCCTTTTACCAACAGTTACCTGTAGTAAATTAGAATGTAGGGGGCACCCAAAACATTCTGCATGAAGCAGCACCTTCAGAAGCCACTGATACCTTGCCACATGACAGTAAAGGTGCTGTGAGTGACAGTTCCTCTTGTAGATGCCAGTTTGCAGGAGGACTCAAAAGAGGTGCAAGTGGACAGTTTCCATTTTTCTTTGGTTTGCTGGCATTTTTGTTTTTTGTTTGTTTGTTGACAAAATGGGTGCCTCAAGATAATGTTCTAGGTCTTAGATTATTCAGATGGGAGAAGATGTGAACTTTTATCCTGTCCTAAAGATTGACTCATAAGTCAGACAGTTATATAAATAAAGGACTGATAAGAAGATAGTAGAGTCTCCACGTGAATCAGCAGCTTCCTTTACAGTGGAAACCACTTCATGATTGGAGGTGAAGAGCTGATGGTTACAGGACAGCCTCCCACAGAAATCATGGAGGCTTGGAGCTAAAAGAGACCATGAAAAGTTTTTTTTGTGGGGGTCAGTGAGTTTCTCATAGTCCAGCTGGGAAGAAGTTCAAAACCACCTGTCTTGCCCACAATCAGCTGTGCTTACCAGCTCACTACATTGACCCTTGGATAATGTGGGGCTTGGGGGCACCGGCCCCCTCCCCACACAGTCAGTTCCATTTAGTCAATTACACGTATAACTTTGGACTCCCCAAAAAATTAACTGCTGATAGCCTACCGTTGACCAGAAGCCTTACCAATAGCATAAACAGTCGATCAACACATATTTTTTATATGTATTATATACCAGCAGTCTCCAACCTTTTTGGTACCAGGGACCGGTTTCATGGAAGACAATTTTTCCATGGACTGGGGTGGGGGGAGGGATGGTTTCGGGATGATTCAAGCACATGACATTTATTGTGCACTTTATTTTTATTACAATCACATTGTAATATGTAATGAAATAATTATACAATTCCCCATAATGTAGAGGAGCTTGTTTTCCTGCAACTAGACCGTCCCATCTAGGGGTGATGGGGGACAGTGACCGATCATCACAACGTAGGTCCCTTGCATGTGCGGTTCACGATAGGGTTCGTGCTCCTCTGAGAGTCTAATGCTGCCGCTGATCTGATGGGAGGCGGAGCTCAGGTGGTAATGTGAGTGATGGGGAGTGGCTGTCAATACAGATGAAGCTTCGTTCGCTTGCCTGCCGCCCATCTCCTGCTGTGCAGGCCCAGTTCCTAACAAACCATGGACCAGGTCAGGTCTGTGGCCGAGGGGCTGGGGACCCCTGTTATATACTGTATTCTTACAATAAAGTAAATGAGAAAAAAGAAAATATTATTAAGAAAATCCTAAGGAAGAGAAAATATATTTACTATTCATTAAGTGGAAGTGGATCATCTTCACACTGAGTTCGCTGTGGAGGAGGAGGAAGAGGAGGTATTGGTCTGGCTGTCTCTGGGGTGGCAGAGACAGAAGAAAATCCACATGTAAGTGGACCTGCACAGTTCAAACCTGTGTTGCTCAAGGGTTGTTGTTCAACCCCTCGTTGTTTCAGAATGTGAAAATGTCTGCAGGGAAAATGGTTATTTCTCGCTTGTGGCTAGATGTCTGCGGCTGTGATAGGGAGAAGAGCAGGAGCAAAAGAGATGAGGAGAATGCAATTCGTGACTTCTCTCCTTCCCCCTGCCACCAGCCTCCACTGGTCTCTCTCCTGGACTATTGTCACCTCTGGCCACTCCTGCTTCCCTCCAACTTTCCACCCACAGCAGCTATAGCCAATGCTTAGAAACACAGTTCTAATCATGCAGCTCCTCACTTACATGGCCTCTAGCTGCTCCTATGATGCTCCTAAGCATGAAATCCTTAGCCTGTGACTCAGCAATTCCACTCCTCAGAGTAGGCCCAACATCACTGAAAACAGGCATTCAAACAAAAACATGTAGACCGGGTGCTGTGGCTCACACCTGTAATCCCAGCACTTTGGGAGGCCGAGGTGGGCGGGTCACCTGAGGTCGGGAGTTCAAGACCAGCCTGGTCAACATGGTGAAACCCAAAAAAATTACCTGGGCATGGTGTTGTGTGCCTGTAATCCCAGCTACTCATGAGGCTGAGTCAGGAAAATCACTTGAACCCGGGAGATGAAGGTTAACAATGAGCCAAGATTGTGCTACTGCAATCCAGCCTGGGCAACAGAGTGGGACTCCATCTCAAAAAAACAAACAAAGAAACCGAAAACGTGTACACCACTGTTCACAGCAGCATTATTTACAATAGCCAGAAGGTAGAAACAACCCAAATGTCCATCAGTGGATGAATGGATAAGCAAAATGAGACATACCCATACAATGGAATATTGTTCAGCTGTAAAAGGAAAGAAGTACTGATACAAATACATGATTCAATATGGATGAACCTTGAAACATTTTGCTAAGTGGAAAAAGCCAACACAAAAGGCCACATGCGTGTAGTTTTATTTATTGTATTAGTCTATCCTCACACTACTAATACAGACATACCTGACATTGGGTAATTTATAGAAGAAAGAGGTTTAATGGACTCACAGTTCCACATGGCTGGGGAGGCCTCACAATCATGGCGGAAGGCAAATGAGGAGCAAAATCATGTCTTACATGGCAGCAGCAAGAGAGTGTGTGTGGGGAAACTGCCCTTTATAAAACCATCAGATCTCATGAGACTTATTCACTATCATGAGAACAGCATGGGAAAGACCTACCCCCATGATTCAATTACTTCCCACCAGGTCCCTTCCGTGACATATGGGAATTATGGGAGCTACAATTCAAGATGAGATTTGGGTGGAGACACAGCCAAACCGTATCATATTCATGTGCTGTCCTGAGTGGGCAGATCCATAGAGACAGAAGCAGAGTCATAGTTGCCAGGAGCTGAGGGCGGTAGGGGTGGGGAGTGACTGCTAATGGGTATAGCATTTGCTTTTGGGTGATAAAAATGTTCTGGAACTAGATTGTGGTGATGGTTGCACAACACTGTGAATATACACTAAATACCACTGAAATGTACACCTCATAAATGGTTAAAATGCTGAGTTCTATGTTATATTAATTTTACCACAATTCTTTTTTTTTTTTTTTTTTTTTTTTTTTTTGAGACAGAGTCTCACTCTGTCGCCCAGGCTGGAGTGCAGTAGCTCGATCTTGGCTCACTGCAACCTCTGCCTCCCAGGTTCATGTGATTTTCCTGCCTCAGCCTCCCAAGTAGCTGGGACTACAGGCATGCGCCACCACGCCCAGCTAATTTTTGTATTTTTGGTAGAGACAGGGTTTCACCATGTTGGCCAGGATGGTCTCGATCTCTTGGCCTCGTGATCCGCCCACCTTGGCCTCCCAAAGTGCTGGGATTACAGGCGTGAGCCACCGTGCCCAGCCAATTTTACCACAATTCTTTAACAAATCCTTAACGTGTCCTCTAAGCCCACCTCCCACCAGGCCATCCTCCACCTGCCACCCAGCCCAATCAAGATCAATACCTCCTGCAACATGTCTCTACACACGTTGGCCCCTTTGCCTCCAGTGGGTCTTCAACTCCTTACCTGGCCAGCTTCCTCCAGGAGCCCTTGAAGAAGCCCGAGGTGGGCGCGGCTGTCTCTATTCAAGTTCCAATAGCTGCTGCCTTCCTCCTGCAGAACAGGTTCCCTGGGGGGTTAGTGCCTTTCTCTGTGTCTGCGCATCTCAGACTCTGAGCAGCCAGAGGACAGGGATTCAAGCACTATTCTTTTATTTTATTTTTAATTGATAGGTAATTGTTGTCTATATTTTTAGCATACCTGTAGACACTGTGTAATGATCAAATCAGATTAACTGAGATACCCATCACAGCAAACGTTTATCTTTTCTTTGTACTGGGAACATTACAATTCTTCTCTTCTACCTATTTTGAAGCATACAATAAATTACTGTTAACTATAATTTCCCTACTATACTGTCAAATACTAGAATGTGATCCTTCCATCTTACTGTATTCTTACTGTACCCCTTAACCCACCTCTTGATCACTCTTCTCCTCTCTTCCCTCCCCAGCCTCTGGTAGCCACCATTCTACTCTACCAGCATGAGATCAACTTTTGTAGCTCCCACCTATGAGTGAGAATGTGCAACCATTGTCTTTCTGTGCCTGGCCTATTTCACTTAACATAATGGCCTCCAGTTCCATCCGTGTTGCTGCAGATGACACGATCTCATTCTTTTTATGGCTGAATAGTATTCCATTGTGTAAATGTACCACATTTTCTTTATCCATTTTTCTCTTGATGAACACAGGTTGACTCCCTGTCTTGGCTCTTGTGAACAGCCTCAAGCACTATTCTTTGTTGCACCCTGGATGTCGTCTCTGAGAGATTAGGAGCTCAGAAATTATTTGTGAATCGATGAATCCCTAAACTGCTTCATGATTGCTACCCCAAGAGCATGAGGCATGCTCTTGGAGTTTCTCTCTTTTTTTTTTCTCGTCCAGGCTGGAGTGCAGTGGCGCAATCTCGGCTCACTACAACCTTTGCCTCCTGGGTTCAAGCAATTCTCCTGCCTCAGCCTCCCGAGTAGCTGGGATTACAGGCGCACGCCACCATGCCGGGCTAATTTTTGTATTTTTAGTAGAGACGGAGTTTCACCATGTTGGCCAGGCTAGTCTTAAACTCCTGACCTTGTGATCTGCCCGCCTCGGCCTCCCAAAGTGCTAGGATTACAGATGTGAGCCACCGTGCCTGGCCATGTTCTTGGAGTTTCAAAGCAAGGAGAACATCCCTCCAGCCTCCACATTTCCATCTCTTACACATTTCTTTAGTACCCTCCTTCTCGCTGTTCACAGGGAAGGTATTTTCCCACAGTGGGGGAAAAAAAACACGTTGTAAATGGTGATTCAGTTCCTGAACTCCCCCACAAGCTTTACATAACCCACAAGGCACTTAAATACTTATAAACTATGCACACTTGAGTTAAATGGGCTTTTGTGAGCGGAACGGGCATCCAAACTGCCATTTATGGCAGCCCTTTATGGGAAGCTTTGCTGTGAGCTCAGGAAAGTTATAAATTTTTTGTATGCCCAAAATGCCATTGAAACATGGACCCTCTGCTTCTGTTTGTGGGATATTAGTTGATGAATGCATTTGACTGTCTTCCGAGATCCTCAAGGGAAAGGGCGCTCCTGCCAGGTTAAGCTTGGTATTCAAACTAAGAGGAGAACACGGGAGCACTGGATGGGCTTGTAGGTGGTGACGTTGTTTCCAAGACGACCTTGAGTATCAGGGGAAAGGCCGTCGGTAGCCTTCTCTCCCTCCCGCATTGTGTAAATGTACCACATTTTCTTTATCCTGCCCTCTACTTGCAATTCCTGGCCCTCTACTCTGCTGTGTTCTAGTAATTCTCTAGGGAGGAGGACCAAAATTGAGGGAGTCTTTCTAGCTTCATTTTCCCAATACCCCAAGTGTTCCTGGATACTATGCCTGCCGGGGAGGGGCCCACGGTCTGTGCTTTAACAAACCCTCCAGGTGATTCGGATGCACACTCGGGTTTGAGAACCACTGCTCTTGGTGAACCTCACTCACAAACCCTCATTTGCCCTGATGTTAAAAACATGCCATTTAAAGATGGCCGCGTCACTTCCGGCTTTAAATTTGCTCAGTTCAGGTTACAGATGCATTCAATTTGAGATTCTCCCACCCTCTTCTCTTTTTTCCTAAAGGAGATCTGGGTTCTCAGAATGTCCCATCTCCTGACCCGAAAGGAGTGGCATCTGACCAGATGTTGGCCTTTCTCCTTGCAGCATCTGCTGTGATGTAGCAGGGCCCAGCTGGTGTTGGCCATGGCCTCCTGTGTGCCTCTTTTGCTGGTCCCTGTGTTCCCACTGTCATCTTTGGCCCTGGATTTTATGTACTTAGCCTCTTCCAACCCCAGCCCTGCAACTCCCACCCCACTAGGGTCAGGAATGCTGGCTGCCTTCCATCCACAGTGCTAGGATGTGATGGGTTCTGAGAGAGGCTTCCCTTAGGTCCAGCCACCTGACACCACCCTCAGCCACTGCGGCTGCTGCTTGTGCAGTGGCTACCCAAGGCACCCAGGTTTGGTGATTTTACAAGGACTCACAAGACTCAGCACATAGTCACAGCTGAGATGTATTCTAGTGAGAAGCTACAAAGCAAAAGCAGCAAAGAAAAAAGGTACCCAGGGAAAAGTCCGGAAACCACCAGCACAAGTTTCTAAGAATCTTCTTCCAGGGGAGTTACACCAGATGGGCTTCACTCCTCCAACAGTGAGGTGGGACGGCACACGCACAATACTGTCGACCAGAGAAGCTCATTCGAGAACCAGTGCCCGAGATTTTATTGAGGGTACTGGTCACATAGGCACCCTCTGCCTAACGTATACCAAAAGTCTAGACTTCCATAAGTGAAGCGAGCATTTGACGTAAGCAATATTAGTTGCACAAACTGTTTAGGTACAGCAAGGCTCTCTTCTTATTTAGGGAATTTTTATATCTGTGTAGGGAACTGTTTACCATTCAAGTTCCCAGGAACTGCCTAAGGGCCAACTTTGTAAGCAGACATTTCTAAGGACAGCAGTCTCACACCTGCTATGTTTACTCTTTCTGCATGCTGCTGCTGATTGTGATGACGATAAGAAGTCTAGCAGTAGCATTTATTGAGCATCTAGTGTGTACCAGCTCTTTCGATGTGCTAATTTCATCTACTTCCCAGGTACCATATTGAAATGTTGTGATCATCGAGGTTACAGATCCCATTTGCTCTTGGAACCACCCTCTCTCCATCTGCCTTCAAAAAAATTATCTAAGATTTCTGTTGAAGGCACCCTTCTGGGATTTTTACTTCAGAAGGTATCAGGGGCTGGGGTCCCTCCCTGGACATCCCGCAGTGTCTAGGTTTCCATCACATCCATGCCAGCCCTCTATTTCTATTTTGCTTTCGACATGTTTACTTTTATAATTATTTCCTGTTTCAGGCAAATAAGGCAGGTGTTTCTTTATAGCCATATTACCATTTTATTTGAAAAAAAGAGAGTTGCTTTAATACAGCAAGTGTGTGTGTGTGTGTGTGTGTGTGTGTGTGTGAAACATTGTGAGTTGAAGGAGAGTGACAAGGGCTTGTAACCCACCTTTAGGACTTTGGCTGGGCAGGATCCTCAAGTAAATTGGGATATCTGGGCCGGGCACAGTGGCTCACACCTGTCATCCCAGCACTTTGGGAGGCCAAGGCAGGTGGATTACCTGAGCTTAGGAGTTTGAGACCAGCCTGACCAACATGGTGAAACCCCATCTCTACTAAAAATACAAAATTAGCCAGGCATGGTGGTACGTGCTTGTAATCCTAGCTAGGAGGCTGACGCAGGAGAATCACTTGAACCCAGGAGGCGGAGGTTGCGGTGAGCCGAGATTGCGCCATTGCACTCCAGCCTGGGCAACAAGAGTGAAACACCATCTTACACACACAATTGGGACATCTGGCGCCGGGCATCACACACTGGCAGCACTCACAGAGCAACGACTAGAGACCCAAGTTCTCAGCCAGTTTGCTGGGACTCCCAGGGCTGTGCTCAGCCTGTTGGCAGCTAAGGTCTTCCAAGAGTGTCTTGTCATAGAGAAGCCACGAAGGCAAAGGAAGGGGAGGTTGGGAGATTATGTTGACTGTTGCTACATGTCTTAGTCCATTTGGGCTACCAAAACAAAATGCCGTAAACTGTGTAGATTACACACAACAGAAATTTATTTCTGACAGTTCTGGAGACTGGGAAGTCCAAGAACAAGGTCCCAGCAGATTCAGTGCCCGTGAGGACCCACTTGCTGGTTCGTAGATGGTGTTTCCCTGCTGTGTAGCCTCACATAGTGGAAGAACTAGCTAGCTCACTGGGGTTTCTTTTATACAGGCACTGATCTCATCCATGAAGGTGGATCCCTCATGACCTAGTGACCTCCCAAAGGCCCCAGCTCCTAATACCATCACAATCGTGATTAGGTTTCACAATATGAAATTTGGGGGCACACACACATTAGACCATAGCGCTATGGAAGGGAACATAGTAGCCTGTTGACAACTAGCTCTTTGTGTATGGAAGCGGGGGGCAGTTGTTCTCTCAGATAGATGGATAAACTTTCTCTCTCTCTTTCTGTCTCTGTGTCTCACACACACACACACACATACGCACACACACTTTTTTTTCCAATGAACGACTTGACACTTCAGGATCCTTCTCATCTATGTATATTTCAGTGGCATCTTTTAAGAATAAGGACATTTTGATAGAAAAATTGGGGGAAAGATGTGACCAGATAATTCACCAAAACACGTTTTAAAAATCATCCTCAAGCAGATGAGAAAAACGCTGAAACTCACCTCCTCATTATAAACATGCTAGTTGTAACAACACTAGGACACCATTTCTGACCTATCAGTGGGGAAAATGTAAAACTGTGAAATTATACTCTGTGATGAGGATATGGAGAAATGGCTCTCTCATACCTTGCTGGTGGGCATGCAAATTGGTACAACCCTTCTGGAGAGAAATTTGGCAATATCTAATAAAAGTACATACGCATTTCCTTTTTGATCCAGGAAACCCACTCCTAAGAATCTACCCTAAAGATACACCTCCAAGAATATGAAACTACGTAGACACACAAGGTAATCCATTACAACATTGTAATTGCAAAATATTGGAGGCAACCTAAATGCCCATATGTGGGAGAGTGGATGAGTAAGCTATAGTGTAGCCACACCATGGATTAGTATATAGCCATCAAAAAGAGTGGGAAGATCTCTGTGAACTCATTTAGAGGAGTTTTCAGGATATACTGTTAAATGAAAAAAGCTAAATACAAATGAGTATCTGTAGTATACTGTCACTGATGTAAAAAGGAAGGAGATATAAGAAAATACACATATATCCACTTACTTGTGCAGAAGATACTTGGAAGGATAAAACAGGACCAAAGAAGACAGATTACCTAGAGAGGGTATGTGGCAAGGGAGGGAAGGAGGGAGTAGGGGTGGGGAACAAGGGTGAGGAGGAAGTGACAGTTGTCTATACAAGTCTACCTTTATTTATTTATTTTTTTTAAAGACAGAGTCTCACTTCATTGCCCAGGCTGGATTGCAGTGGCACGATCTCAGCTCACTGCAGCCTCCTTCTCCCAGGTTCAAGCAATTCTCCTGCCTCAGCCTCCCAAGTAGCTGGGATTACAGGCCCATGCTACCACGCCTGGCTAATTTTTGTATTTTTAGTAGAGACAGTATTTTACTATGTTGGCCAGGCTCATCTTGAACTCCTTCCTGACCTCAAGTGATCCGCCCACCTCAGCCTCCCAAAGTGCTGGATTACAGGTGTGAGCCACTGTGCCCGGCCAAGTTTCCCTTCTTGAATAACTCCGACTGTTTCTTACAGAAGTGTTTCACATTGCCCCAAATCAATAAATAATTAAACCAAAATATGGGGGAGCCCAAATGGAATACAAGCAGTAACAAATGAAACTAAGTTGTATTACAAATGAATTACATAACCACACCAATCTCTTTGGAAAACAGTCTTTTGAACAGATACTACAAGGCTAAAGGCAAAAAGAAAAAAAAAACTGTGCAAACATTGTTCTCTGGATGGTAAATCTTTTTCTCACAGGAATTCTATTACCACCTGATGTGCAAACTATGATTAAATAAATAAGATACATTGTAGATACAAGAATCTCATCCTCAGTGTTGGCAAAAGAAGATACAAATAGAGAAAGAGGCCGGGCACGGTGGCTCACACTTGTAATCCCAGCACTTTGGGAGGCCGAGGTGGGCAGATCACTAGGTCAGGAGTTGGAGACCAGCCTGGCCAACATGGTGAAACCCCGTCTCTACTAAAAATACAAAAACTAGCCAGGTGTGGTGGCACACACCTGTAATCCCAGCTACTCAGGAGGCTGAGGCAGAACTGCTGGAACCCAGGAGCTGGAGGTTGCAGTGAGCTGAGATCATGCCATTGCTCTCCAGCCTGGGTGACAGAGTAAGACAAGACTCTGTCTCAAAAACCACAACAACAACAACAAAAAGAGAGAAAGAAGGAATCCTAGAACAGGGGCCCATAAACTGTTTCTTTTAAGGGCCGGGTATCTTCAGCTTTGTGGGCCATAAAGTCTTTTTCTCAACTATTCAACTGTGCCTTTGAACAAAAACGGCCACAGATAATATGTAAACAAATAGGTATGAGTGTGTTAAATAAAACTTTATTGAAGCAGGGTTAGGCGTGGTGGCTCACACCTGTAATCCCAGCCCTTGGGGAGGCTGAGGTGAGAGAATCATTTGAGCCCCAGAGTTCAGTTTATGGAGATCAGCCTGAGCGGCATAGTGAGACCTTGTCTCTACCAAAAAATAAAAAAAATTAGCTGAGCATGGTGGCATATTTCAGTGGTCCCAGCTACTCTGGAGGCTGAGTAAGAAGATCACTGGAGCCCAGGAGTTTGAGGCAGCAGTGAGCCATGATAGTGTCATTGTACTCCAGCGTGGATGACAAAGCAAGACCCTATCCCAAAAAACAAATTAAAAAACAGACAAAAACAAAACAAACAGGAGGTAGGCCATATTTGGCCCAACGGCCACAGTTCACTGTCTTTTTAGGTTAAGATGAATCTTATGGTGCTGGTCGAGAATGAGAGTTATCCATGAAATCATGATTTTGTTTTTTATGTTTTTATTTTTGAGACAGAGTTTCACTCTGTCACCCAGGCTGGAGGGCAGTGGCATGATCTCAGCTCACTGTAACATCCACCTCCTGGGTTCAAGCTACTTTCATGCCTCAACCTCCCAAATAGCTGGGACTAGAGGTGCACGCCACCAAGCCTGGCCAATTTTTGTATTTTTAGTAGAGTCAAGGTTTCACTGTGTTGGCCAGGTTGGTCTCGAACTCCTGGCCTGAAGTGATCCACCCACCTCAGCCTCCCAGAGTGCTGAGATTATAGGCATGAGCCATGCGCCCAGCCTGAAAACATGATTTTGTTTTGTTTTGAGTTTATATACATATTTATAGTGAAATGATTACCACAGTCAAATTTGTTAGCATATCCATCAACTCACATAGTTACCATCTGTGTGTGTGTGTGTTTGTGTGTGTATGTGTATGATGAGAACATTTAAGATCTATTCTCTTAACAGATTTCAAGTTTACAATACAGTATTGTCTACTATAGTCACGATTCTGTGTATTAGATTCCCAGAGCTGATTCATCTTATTACTGAAAAATTTTACCCTTTCACCAATACCTCCCTATTTCCCTCACTTCCCAGCCCTTGGCAACTACCATTCCACTCTCTATTTCTATTAATGCAGCTTTTTAAGATTCTGCATATAGGTGATATTGTTCAGTATTTGTCTTATGATTTACTTATGAAGTAAATAGCTATAGAAACAAATATAGCTATTTTTTTTTTTAGACAGTTTTGCTCTTGCTGCCCAGGCTGGAGTGCAGTGGCACGATCTCTGCTTACTGCAACCGCCACCTCCTGGGTTCAAACGATTCTCCTGCCTCAGCCTCCTGAGTAGCTGAGATTACAGGCATCCACCACCATGCCTAGCTAATTTTTGTATTTTTAGTAGAGATTGAGTTTCACTGTTTTGGCCAGGCTGGTCTCGAACTCCTGACCTCAGATGATCCACCTGCCTTGGCCTCCCAAAGTGCTGGGATTACAAGCGTGAGCTGCCGCAGCCAGCCTAAATATAGCTATTTTTGTATGTGTGGTTTAGTATTGTCAACCTAATAATATAATGAATTTATTGGGGAATAAGCAAAAAAGATTATAATCTGGGATGCACAGCTATGGCAAGCCACAGATGCACCTGCAGAGGAGAGGGTAAGGGGAAGCTTTTATTGGCAGAAAGGAGAAGTTCACATAAGCTACTTGGAAACAGAGTTCATTGGTTCTGGGAGCTCAAAGCCAGAGTTTGTGTCAGTTCATTGGTGGAGATGCTGTTACTGGGCAACTGTTCTTTTGAGAGCATCTTATCTGAATTACTGCAGTCCTAAAGAGGGGATCTCTTGTAGGGTTATTTTAGAAAGCCCTTGAGACAGTCCTTATCTCAGACACACATCCAGGAGCTCTCTCTTTTTGTGCTTTCCTGGCTTCAGTTTGTTTGGGTCTGACAAACAAGGTGATTTCATCCTGGTATCTGCAACTGTCACAGTATGTGTACGTATATTTCATGGAACAGTGATACCCCAGTAACAGTGAGCGCCTCTGGAGCCCGGACCTTTGTTCCTAAACACCATTCCTCAGCAAAAGGGACCAGAACCTCTTGGGGAAGTAGTTGATTCAAGGACTAGGGAGTGAAAATACAAGATGAGCCAGAAATACTTGGGATGCCAGAAGGTAAGTACATCTTTCCAAAAGGCCATGTCAAAAGAACATATCAAAACGCATCTTTTGACCTATCAAAAGAACAAGGGAGCCATCCTGAAGGAGCTCCCAATGGCCAAAGCTGGAACAATTGGAGCAACAAAATAAATAATGATAGTAGTGGATTATGATCCATCGAATAAAGACTCTGTACAGTCATATTGCTACAAATAAATAATTGAATAGTTTTCTTAAATGGAAGAGATGAAACAGATCTTGCTTATAGATAAATTTCAATTAATAAATGTAGAAGGAAGGGAGGAAATGGAAAGCCCTCACTAGAATACCACAGTAATAATTGCTGTAGGCAAGATCCACCAATGAGAACTAAGATTACTATGAGAAAATTTAAGGAGAAACAGGATATTTGCATTTTTTTTTTTTTTGAGACAGGGTCTGGCTTCACTGCCCAGGCTGGAGTGCAGTGGCACAATCACAACTCACTGTAGCCCTGACCTCCCAGCCTCAAGTGATCATCCTGTCTCCGCCTCATGAGTAACTGGGACCACAGATGTGTGCCACCATGCCTGGCATATATATATATGTGTGTGTGTGTGTGTGTGTGTGTGTGTGTGTGTGTGTGTGTGTGTGTGTGTATATAAAATGTGTGTGTGTGTATACGTATCTCTACAAAACAAACTATATATGTACAAGTATATATATGTGTGTATATACATCTATACGTATATATATGTGTATATACATCTATACGTATATATATGTGTATATACATCTATACGTATATATATGTGTATATACATCTATACGTATATATGTGTATATACATCTATACGTATATATATGTGTATATACATCTATACGTATATATGTGTATATACATCTATACGTATATATATGTGTATATACATCTATACGTGTATATGTATATATACGTGTGTGTGTATGTATACATATAGTTTGTTTTGTAGAGATGGGGGTCTCCCTATGTTGCCCAGGAGGGTCTCCAACTCCTGGGCTCAAGCAGTCTGCCCCCCTCAGTCTCTCAAAGTATTAGGATTACAGGCTTAAGCCACCGCACCTGGCTGATATTGGCATATTGGTATCTCCCTTCAAATTTTTACTAACTATAAAAGGGAAATGATGGCTTCATAGTGGAGAAACCCAGCACAAACTACTTTATGCAAGTGATCAAGGTTGGCATCACCAGGAATAAGACACATCGAGTTTTCCTGTGCCCTCTGACTGATGTGGACATATCACTTCTGGATATTCTTGCCAAAAAAGGATAACCTCAATGTAATCATGAGAAAATATCAGAGAAACCCAAATTTGAGAGACATTCTACAAAATAGCTGGCCAGCACTCTTCAAAGTCATGAAAATCAAGGAAAGACTGAAACATTATTGCAAAGTAGGGGAGGCAAAGGAGACATCACAACTAAATGCAACATGGGATCCCACACTGGATCCTGAAATAGCAAAAGGATGTCAGGGGAGAATTGATGAGACTTGAATAAAGTCTGTGGTTTAGTTCATAGTGTCGTGCCAATGTGATTTCCCAGTTTTGATCATCGTCTTACAGTTACGTACATTTTCGAGAAGTCTTGAGGTAGAGCAACCTATATAACTTTGAGAAAAACAAAAACAAAACATTCTCCTGCATAACTACAATATGGTTATCCCATCCAGAAAATTTAACATTGATATAATAAAATTATCGAATATACTGACCCTGTTCAGGTTTTCTTAACATTCCCAATGTCCTTTATGGATTTGTTAGTTTGGTTAGTTGTTGCTATTGTTTTATGTGTTTCCCTTGTATCGTTTTATTTGTTTGCTTTGGTTGTCCCATCTCCTTAATCTCCATTAATGGAAGACAGGTACCCTGCCTTTTCTGTCTCACATGACACTGACATTTTTGAAGGGCCCTGAGAACTGGCTGTCTTCCATAGGATGCAGTTTTCAACAGGGGTAGAAGACCATTGCTATAAACTCCTATTTCCACAGATTAGTTATTAAGTCTCAGCTCTGAGTTGATGGGCTCTGAACACTGTGTGTCTGTGAGTGGCTCTCCAGGTGGGGACCAAGCAGTTGTTGCATGATTACACTTTCTTGGCCATGTGGTGGACACTGGTCCCAACTTTTCTCCTTCCTTCATGCCCATTCATAGCTGTGGTTGTGCTCTCTCTCCTCACTTTGAACTTCTCATTCCTTTTTTCTACCCCTCTGCACATTGCTGAGTTATCCCTCAGAGGTCTGTGCTGTTTGCAAAGTCAAAACCAGCTTCATAGTCCCTCTTGCACAAACCAGCACACAGAGTTTGCAAACTTCAGTGGGGACTGACCAGCAAGAGCTACAGAGATAAAAGTATTACATTGGCTTCCTCCCACCCAGAAGACCGGAGTTTGGCACCTTGGGAATATTTCCTGGGGCATCCGTCAGAGCCAGTTAAACTCAGCATCTAATCAGAGCTAGGGAATTTTTTTTTTTTTTTGCTTTATAGTTACTGACTTGGTCAAGAGAGAAAAGCCCACCAGGTATGTGCTAGAAGCCAGTGAGTCACTGAAAATACTGGAAACTTCTTTTTTTTTTTTAAAAGATTCTTAAACAGCATTAATATTTATAGCAAACAGCATTAATATTTATAGAAATCTTTCACATTGTCTGTGTCAGATTCCACCCCACAGAGGAAAATTGGCAATACATGATTTCATGGTACAAAGTATTGCTAATAATCACAGGCTACCCTAAACCAAGATTACAGCAAGATCCACCCTCACTCTGCACTGTTTCTGCAGGAATATGGGAGGCAGCATGGCCACACAGGGGAAGCCCTTGAGCTCTGGAGTCAGCAGACCTGAACTGAAATTTCAGCTGGGCTGCTTACAGGCTGGTGAACTTGGGAGAGAGTACTTAACTTCTGTAAGCCTCAGTTTCTTCATCTATAAAATGGGTTGGTAATATTTTCTGCATAGAGCAAGTGCCAGAGAAAAATGAGAAGATGCATGAACAGTGCTTAGCATTGGGCCTGGTGTAGGGCAGGGGCTTAGTAAGCAGTGCTGGTGTTCCTGCCATGGTTGCTATTGGCCTGGTGCCTCTGCAGTCTGCACCAGGCATTCCTGGAAGAAGTGGCTCTGGTGAGGGTGGTTGCTTTGCCCACCATCTTCATAGCATTGGTAGCATATGCAAAGCAGCAGGTGCTGAGCCTCCCAGCTGATGATATCCCCAGCCACCCTACTGGCACTGGCGTCCTGGCCATGCACCCTGCACTTGCCCTCAGCCATCCATACTGGGAAGCCAAGAAAACACAATTGTTTCCCAATGGCAAAGCACTGAGTCCCTGGCTAGCTAGAAAGCAAGTCCAAAAATACACAGTGCAAGGAAGGAAAAGATTTCTCTTTTGTTCCTTTTCTTGCCAGCTTCTCGCCTGGTTTTCTAAAGCGCCCCCTGCACCTAGAGTCAGCAGGCCATGTGCTTTCCATATGGTTAGGCTTCAGGGTAACAGCAGGAGTCTCACCTCATAGAGTGTCCTGAGTCATACGGAGATGCCGCTGTTTGAGGGTGAGGGTCCAGGGCTAGACTTCAGGGCTATTAACTTCCTGCATCTTGCTCCTGCCTCTTCACCTACACCCTTCAGGGAGGTCTAGAGAATGACCCTAACCCCAAGGTCTCCATTCACCTTTATTCTCCCCTTGCAGGCATCCCCTGCTATTCACAAGACATTGACTCAAAGGCTCTCTATTGCCGCTTAAACTTTCCTGTGCTCCAAAGTGTCCTCCCCAGCAAGCCCTGGACATTATCAGCTCTGAAGGTGCAAATGGGAAGCACCCCACATTTCAGGACATGCCTCTCGCTCTCCCTGCACTGCATAAATTCAATGCCCCTGAAACCTCAAATCATTTGCAAAGGAATAGGAATAATCATTCCTGTTTGTTTTGGAATCCCAAGCTGGTTGTCAAACAACAAGACTACATACTGCCAGGCAGCTTTCTCTTCTCAGCCACGGAGGGAAGGGAGCATGTTCTAACTGCATGCAAATAGCCAAGGATTTCTCACGAGCCCTGAAAACTCCCCCTTTAGTTTGCATTAGGCGTGCAGTTCAATCACTCTCCCTGAAGGAAGAGGAGGAGCAGGTGGTGTTGGTGTTCAGCTTTGAACTTGGGCCACATGCCCCAAGGATAAGTGAAGGTATAGATCCGTCTAAACAAGGGGGCAGTGGGGGAGAAAGCCCCCTTCTGTATGTTTTGCATTGGCCAGGAGCCAGGCAGAGAGCAAAGTGACAGAGACTGCAGTCGAAGCCTATTGAGAGCGTATGTTATTCAGCGGCAAAGCATTCAGCTCCTAAGATTGTGCCCAGAAGATTGTTTTGCGGGTAGAAAAGAAAGGAGCCCTTTCAACCTTTCTCATTTGGCCTCCACTGCCGTTTTGCTGAGCAGCCGTTTTGGAGTTTCCTCTTGGAGTGGTCGGTTTATGCTGTCCAGATGTGCACAATGCGATGGTTTTGCTTTTTGGCTTTCCAGATGTGCACGGAAAATGGACAGGAAAATGAGCTTTGGCAAAGGCAGAGGCCTGTCTCTGCAACCCCTGGAATCTAGAGAACCCACAATACCCTCGTTGTTTAGGGATCACAAAACGTAGGATCTGGAAAAGAACTTACGGGTCGCCCAATTTAACCTCCTTATTTTACAGCTGAAGACACCGAGGCCCAGAGAATTGTGACATGCTCCCTGCTGATTGATTACACGCAGCTGGGAGCAGACATCAGACCTGCTAGAACTCTTAGACGTGCATCTGCACACATGTCTGTTTCATTGCTGTATGCACCTGGCATTTGACTATGTGCTTGGGATAAATCAGTGAACAGAGAATCCTAGCTTGTTTGAGTGTGAGGTCAGGTGTGGGAGAAAGAACAGATAATAAACATAAACAATTAATACCTTATATATAGTAGGTTAGGAGATAATAAATGCTATCAAAAGGAAGAGAGAGAAAAGAAAGAGAAAGAAAGAAAAAGAAAGAGAAAGACTAGGTTTTAGAAAAAAGGTAGATTTCATTGAGAAGGTGACTGTATTAGTTACTTATTGCTGCGTAACGGAATACCTCAAAACTTGGTTGGGTGTGGTGGCTCACACCTTTAATCCCAACACTTTGGGAGCTGAGGTAGGAGAATCACTTGGGCCCAGGAATTCAAGACAAGCCGGGGAAATATAGTGAGACCCCCATCTCTATAAAAGTAATTTTTAAAAAATTAGCTGGGCCTGGTAGCACATGCCTTGGTCTTCAGAGGCTGAGATGGGAGGATAGCTTTAACCTGAGAGGTCAAGGCTGCAGTGAGCCATGATCATGCCACTGCACTCCAGCCTGGGCAACAGCAAGACCCTGTCTCAAAAAAAAAAAAAAAAAAAAACACCTCAAAACTTGGTGGCTTAAACCAACAAAGATTATCTCAATTTTTTTATGGGTTAAGAATCTGAGAGTGGTTTTGCTGAGTGGTCCTGGCTCAGGGTCTCTCATGAGGTGGCAATCAAGAGAGGTCAGCTGGGGCTGCAGTCACCTGAAGTCTTGACTGGGGCTGAAGGATCCATTTCCAAGATGGCGCACTCCCATGGCTGTTGGCAGGAAGTCTCAGTTCCTCATCATGTAGGCACCTCCACATGGCTGCTTGAATATTCTCACAGTATGGCAACTGGCTTCCCCCAGAGCTAGTAGTCCAGAGAGAGAGAAGAGAGAAAGAAGCTACAAGCCTTTTATGATCTGGCCTTGGGAAGGTCCTGTGGCCTTGCCTTCAAAGAGTTGAAGAAATGAGCCACTGATAACTGAGAAGGAATGTTCCAGTGAAAATGCCCCAAGGTAGAAGTAACCAGGCATTCTGGAGGAACAGCAAGGAGACCAGATGGCTGGTGTAGCTGGAGCTAGGAAGAGATCAATAGAAGAAGAAATCAGAAGAGAAGAAGAGAATGGAGGGAGAAAAGAATGGAGAGAAGAGAGAATGGAGAGAAGATAAATCAGAAGAGAAGAAGAGAACGGAGGGCATGAATGTGTAAGTCATTACAGGCCAGCAGGGGATGTGGGCCCTGGCCCTGAGTGGAATGGGGAGCCACTGCAGTGTCTTCAACACAGGAGCAGCATAATCAGACTTAGCAAATTTGCAGAGAATAGAGTTTATAGGGGCAAAGGTGGAAGCAGGGAGACTGGTTAGGAGGCTGTTACTGTAGCCCAGGAAGGACATGATGGAGGCTTGCACCTTAGTATAGCCATGGAAGAGGGGAGAAGTGGCTGGATTCTCATCAGATCTAAAGGTAGATCCCCGCCTCTGGTTTCCCTGGCAAATTGCATATAAGGTGTGACAGAGAGTAGCCAAGAATGGCACCACGGTTTATGGTCTCCTCTTCCCCAAAGCTGCCACTGACCACTTTCCCTCCCTGCCTTCTGCAGTTTTATGTGGAGCAATGAGGTATGGAAGAGGGCTTGGCATCCAGCATCCTTTCCCTCACTGCAGGGACCCACGGCGTGTCCTTCAGTCCATGGCTTACCCTTTGTGGACCTTGGTTACTACATCTACAAAATAGAAAATGGACCTCCTCTGTCATAGAAATAATAACTGTTTATAAAGGCACTTAAAGCTCCTTAGAAGAAAGCACTAAGGATGTGAGGGCAATCTGGCTGTGACATCTGTCACTCCATTGATTGCCAGGGTTGATTCGGCTGATCTGGCTGGCTAGGCGGGTGTCCCTTTCCTCCCTCACCGCTCCATGTGCGTCCCTCCCGAAGCTGTGCACTTGGTTGAAGAGGACGACCATCCCCAATAGAGGAGGACCGGTCTTCGGTCAAGGGTATACAAGTAGCTGCGCTCCCCTGCTAGAACCTCCAAACAAGCTCTCAAGAAGAAAGCACTAAAATTCTGGAAACATTGTTAGTGGTTTGCGATAGTATTTTGAGAGCTGGGGAACTAAATGTTTTGGTTGCATCTCCTCCCCTGATGTGTTTGCTGCAGATGGAGAGGCTGAAGCCCTCCGTGAATAAGAAACTGGAGTGAGAGATGCTTCGCGGGACAGACGTTCATATCCTGAGGCAATACCCCACACGGATGTCCAAACTCATGATCTAAGGAGACTGTCCACATGCCAGGTCCGCAGGAAATGAGACTGAGGCCCTCATCATTCAGACCCCCAGGCGATCCTCTTCTGGGGCCTTGCACTGCTGCCTCAACTATCTATATAAAGTTCAAAATCACATATAACTAGGCTCTGCTGTTAGAAGTGAGGATAGTGATTCTCCTTCAGGAGAGGCCCATGAGGAGCAGGAGCCCAGGATTGAGGGGGTCTCAGGGTGCTGGTGATGTTCCGTTTCTTGATCGGGATGTGGGTTTCATGGGTTTGCTTAGTTTCTGAAACGTTATCCTGTACAACGCAGGCGGATCTGCTCTTTTCTGAACATACATTCAACTGCAGTAAAATATCTTTTTAAAAAGGTAATGGGAAGATACTCTTTTCCCAAAAATATGACTCCTCCCTAGGAACTGAAATCCTACCTTTAGAGAGTTGTCGGTTTCTGCTCAAACGTGTTGTTTGTAAAATTTCAAATATGTTAAGGAGAATTAACAAATTAAACTGCCAATGGGCTAATGGCCATTAAATTAGTAGCTAAGAAGGCATAGCTTGGTTGTGCCTGTTTGGGGACTTTGTGTAAATAGGACTGTACAACACTTACTATTTTGTGTCTAGTTTTTCTCACTCAGAATTGTGTCTGTGACGTGGCTCCAGACTCACACAGAGGTATAAACCTTTCATTCTTATTGCCACACAGTATTCCATTGTGTGAATAGAACACAAGGAATAAAATGAGTTTATTTTACTCATTCTGTTGTAGAGGGGCACTTGCATGGTTTCCAGTTTATGACTATTATTGATAGCACTGCCATGAATAACAGCACTCCCAGGATGTGTGTGCCTGTCTTTCTTTCTCTCTTTCTCTTTCTTTCTCTCTTTCTTCTCTTTCTTCCCTCCTTCCTTCCTTCCTTTCTTTTCTTTTCCTTCCTTTCCTTCCTTTTTTTCTTTTTTCTTTCTCTCTCTCTCTTTCTTCTCTTTCTTCCCTCCTTCCTTTTCTTTTTCTTTTCCTTCTTTTCCTTCCTTTTTCTTTTCTTTTTTCTTTTTCTTTCTCTCTTTCTTCTCTTTCTTCTCTCCTTCCTTCCTTCCTTTTCTTTCCTTTTCCTTCCTTTCTTTCCTTTTTCTTTTCTTTTCTTTTTTCTTTTCTTTCTTTCTCTCTTTCTTTCTCTTTCTTCTCTTTCTTCCCTCCTTCCTTCCTTTTCTTTCTTTTCTTTTCCTTCCTTTCCTTCCTTTTTCTTTTTTTTCTTTTCTTTCTTTTTCTTTCTTTCTCTTTCTTTTTCTTTCTTCCCTCCTTCTTTCCTTTTCTTTCTTTTCTTTTCCTTCCCTTCCTTTTCTTTCTTTTCTCTCTCTCCCTCTCTCTTTCTTTCTTTCCTCTTTTCTTTCTTCCTTTCCTCTTTTCTTTCTTCCTTTCTTTTCTTTCTAAAAAAAGGCCTCATTCTGTTGGCCAGTCCAGGCTGGACTGCCATGGCTCCATCATAGTACTACAGCCTCAAACTCCTGGGCTCAGGCAGTCCTCCCACCCATCTCCTGAGTTGCTGGGATTACAGGCGCGAACCACTGCGCCCAGTTTAAGATGTGTCTTTTGATGGCTACAGAGGCACATTGCTCTCAGATGTGTGCCCCCACCACATTGTATGAGGCAGCCTCATACTTGGCTAGCCCATAGGATTGGTTTGCTTTGCTGGGACACTTAGCAGGTGAAGGTCTTCAGAGCATTCCTCTGGGAGTCAGTGATCCCATAGAAATGTGGGCGGTTTGTCTACACTTCTGCAGGGAGAAGTGCACAGTGGTGGCCTGAATCACCCTCAGCCACCACCCTGCCTTCCGGCTGACTTCCTTGGGCTCTTCCTCACCCCCTCGAAGGAAGGCAGCAGACTGTAAGGGAATGGATGGGTCATCTCATCTCGCCAGCCTGCACCAAGAAGTTTCCGAGAACTGCACCAAGAGGGTGGGGGAAGATCCCTTGCGTGCTAAGCCAGCTCCTCTGAGCAGGTAGGGCCGGGCAGCCCTGCGGGGAGTACCCAGCCCCTTCCCACCTGCAGGCTCATCAAACACCTCGACAGGCTGCCCTAGTGGGAAGCCGGTGATGTCATCTCCAGGCCTGAACAATCAGGCCTTTCACGGCAAGATGATAACAATCAAAACAGTATGTAAGGGCCTGCCACACAAGAACACACACGCTCATCGCACATGGGAGGATCTGAAAGCCGGGGTGAAGCAGGGCTTGTCAGGGATATGCCATTCTCCTTTCATAATCAACCGGCCAGGGAATATAGCCTGGAGAGCAAGGCTGCAGGTTGCCGTCCCTTCGCTTGCCAATTCTCAGAGAAACCCATGACTCTCTCCACTACCTCTCCTGAGAGCGTGCACCTCGAACCCCAGAACTACACCCCAGGCTGAGCAGCAATCTGCGCTCAAGCAGGAGTGTCCCACTGCACAACTCCAGGGGGCGCCATGGTCAGAGAACACAAGGTGAAAAGTACCCCTGGAATTGTGCAACAGTGAGCTTTGAGAGTGACCACTGGCTTTGGACTAAGGGAGCTGAGGCCTGGTGGTTCTCAAAGGTGGTTGCTCAGCCCCAAATCTGTCGTGCCATAGCTAAGTTCCCTAGAAGCCTGCACTCCACTGAGGCTAGAAATTCTCAAATGAGATGCGTGAGATCAGGTGTTCTCCACACTCAGTCTGAGCAGTTTTTGTCGTCCAGCTATTTGCTAAGGAAGCAAGCTCATCTAACATGTTTACTCAAGGTCAGTGGGTCTCAATCAGGGTTGGTCCCCTCCCCCTCCCCGGAGACATTTGGCCATGTCTGGAGACGTTTTGGTTGTCACAGCTGAGAGGTTGTTGCTGGCATCTAGCAGATAGGAGCCGAGGATGCTGGTAAGCATCCTACACTGCACAGAACCAGGCCCCCACAACAAGGAACTCACGGTGTGAAATGTCAGTAGTGGTGAGGTTGAGAAATCCCGCTGTGGATGGCACGTTCCACTCCATTAAACCCTGCAGGTCTCTGGCTCGAAACCCCCTGAGTCTGGCCTGCCCTCCCTGTTGACCAGAAGAGGCCAGAACCTCAGCTCACTAGCCAAGTGGGTGTCGGGCAGCGTCCGCCCCTATCTCCATATGGTTCGATGGGTCTGCATGAGGCCCAGAAAACCCGGTATGTGTACACAGTAGCAGTTAGGAGGCCCTGCTCTGTCACTTCCCAGCTCCACAACCTTCAGGGCCAGTTATTTAACTCCTTGAGCATCAATTTCTCCATCTGTAAAATGGGAATAATGGTGAAAGCTGCTCATGAGGTGGTTGAGGGGCAAGGCATGTTGTTACATGTAATATGCTTACAAGCACGCCCAGCACGTAGTAATACTCAATAAATAACAGCAGTGGTTATCGTCATTTTTATTCTAGCCGGAGGACCTCGGGCTGCCTCTGATGGGTGCGGTAATGAAAGACTTGAGCTGGTTTCAACCGCAGGCGGTTGCAGTGGGGTCTCCAGTGCTGTGCACAGCTCCTGGCACATGCTCTGTGCTGCTGCTGACACGAGCTGGAAGCATTTCCCAAGCTCAAGGCCTGAGACATTGAGGTTTGAGTGGAGATGGCTAATAAATGAATTTCAAGGGAACACCCCTGAGTAACTCACTCAGCACAGGCATCTGCCTCCCAAAGATAGTATAGGGACCCCTGGGGTGGTACTTCGCACTCCGGCCTTGGAAAACACCTGAGGTATGGCTGGGGTGTTTAACACTCAGGTTTTCCCTAAAAATCCAGCAGGTTCAGCTAAGAAAGAATCACAGAGGGCCAGCCATGGTGGCTCAAGCCTGTAATCCCAACACTTTGGGAGCCTGAGGCGGGCAGATTGCCTAAGGTCAGGAGTTTGAGACCAGCCTGGCCAACATGGTCAAACCCTGTCTCTACTAAAAATACAAAAAAATAAAATAAAATAAAAATTAGCCAGGCATGGTGGTAGGTGCCTGTAATCCCAGCTATTTGGGAGGCTGAGGCAGGAGAATTGCTTGAACCCGGGAGGCAGAGGTTGCAGTGACCCAAGATCGCGCCACTGCACTTCAGCCTGGGCAACAGAGCAAGACTCTGTCTCCAAAAAAAAAAAAAAAAAAAAAAAAAGAGTCACAGAGGACACGTGTAAGAGAGATAGGCCTTGGCTCGAATGCATGTTTTATTTTTGTTTGTATGTTGGCTTGGACTTGGAGAAGGGGAGAGAAAGGAAGACCTAGCTCACCCCGCCAGATCATCTCACATCTTTGCTTTCTCTGTTCCTTCTTTCTGGATGAAATGCATTTCCCCATCTTTATCTATTAAAATTGTCCCCATCCTTCACAGTCCATCTTGGATGTTGCTTTCTCCACAAAGGTTTCCTGGATCATCTGTCTCCGCCAAAATCATCCTCGCCCCTAATGCTCTGTGCTAGATCTTATGGCCTTTAGCAAGTCCCGTGCTGTGCTGGAGTCATTTGCAGGCAGGTCTTTTGCTGTGTATCAGATTATAAGTTCCTTGAAGACAGGGACCTTCCAAATGTCTTTCTTCATATGTGGCATGAGCTCTTGCACATGGCCAGGGCTTAGCGGTTGACTCTGGAGTGACTCCTGAGAAGAGGCTTCCAGGTGGCCAAGTTGCCACTGCAGGACATGGTTCTGCCCAGGAGGTCGTATAATTGAGAAGGCTAAGGCACACCCTTTGTAGAAGAAATTGGTGTGTGGCTGGGAGGTCACCAGTCTGGGGGGAATAGGAGGCTTCAGTGCCCAGCTCATCACCGCCTCATTCAGCAGCCTCGGGCAGTTTTAACAGTGGCTGCTATTTAAAGAGCACCCACTCTGGGCTCCGAGATAAGCCTGGCACTTCACAGTGATCATTTGCCATCCACACAAGAGCCCTGTCGGTGGGGGAGTTTTATGCCCATTTTTCAGTTAAAGGAAAGGCTGAGTGATCTGTAGCTTGCACTGGGTCCCACCTGTGCACCTGGGGTCCCACCCAGATGTGTTTGACTCATATGTTTGACTGGCACTACACATCACAGGGCCTCCAAAGGCATTGTACTTGTCTGCATCTCCTTTTTCTACCTTAACAATCTTAACAATCAAGGCATTGAGCCAGGCGACCTCCAAGGGCCCTAACTTTTAACATGGGTGATGGGTGGGGGGTAGTAGGAGGAGGATGCTGGAGAAGAGAAGTCAGCCCCTGGGGCGAAACAGGGTCAGGCCTCTAAGAAAAAGCAGAAACAACTGCCCACCGGGGATGCCTTTCTTCCTGTTGCCCACTGCTTGGGATTAGTGTTCCCTGAAGATACGAGGAGGGAGGCCCTTCTTACCTAGCACCCGGATGGGACCCTGGCCATTGGCCCTCAGCCTCTACCAGGTTGGAAGAGCAAAGGATGAGAGACCTCTGGAAAAGTACCTCAGACTGTCCGCCTCTGCCCCTGCATCCAGCCCACGGAGAGGCCAAGCCCATGAATGGGCACCTTTCCCCCGCCTACACTCCCTTGGCACCCCTTGTGGGCCCAGCCCCCCTCCATCTTCTAGGATTCATTATTTGTGCTCAGGCCCAGCGCCTTCCCCACTTCCTTACAGGTCACCTCTGGGGGTTTCCTAAGCAGCCTGAATTGTTTCTTTATGTCCCTACCCAAGAAAGCAAAGTGTCTGCTGCTGTCCCTACAGGGAGGCCATCCCTTCTGCTTCTGCCGTGCCTGCCCAGTTCCTGGATGCCACTCAGGGCTGGGCTGGAGACAGCAGCCCGCAAGGACCCACCCAGCATCAATGGGGCTGGTGAGGGTTTCAGGGAAGCTGGCTCTCTAGAGGGCAGTAGATCCAAGGGGCTAAAAGCGGTCAAAATTTGCATCAGACCATTGCGAGTTTTAGGTAGGGCTTTTTACTTTTTCAAACATCTGCTTAGCTTGTAGGATTCTGTATATATCCCCTGTGGAAAATTAAAATTCTTACCCTAGCTTGCCTCTGCCACCTACCCTGTTTCTGACTACTTCTGAGGGTGACCAACTCACATCAGTTATCTGGGGACTGTGCCAGGTTTAGCACTGAGTAAGTCCTATATCCTGGGAAACCCCTCAGTCCCTGGTGAACCGGAATGGTTGGGCACCCTAGTTCCTGTCCCAAAAGGGACACTGTATTCAGGGAATTCTGACCTCTTAACATATTGGCCTGTACATTCTAATGAGGTAAACCATTGCTACTCACTCCTGCCCAAAGTCAGGGCAGTCAAGTGATCTTCTGTAGTCTTCCTTCTTGCCATTCTCTCTTCCATCTCTGCTCCTCCTTGATGTTTATTTTTATTTATTTATTTATCTTTTGTTTGTTTGTTTGTTTGTTTTGAGGCAGAATCTCACTCTGTTGCCCAGCCTGGAGTGCGGTGGCGCTATCTCGGCTCACTGTAACCTCTGCCTCCCGGGTTCAAGCGATTCTCATGCCTCAGCTCCCCTGGTAGCTGGGATTACGGGCACCCACCACCATGCCTGGCTAATTTTTGTATTTTTAGTAAAGACGGAGTTTCACCGTGTTGACCAGGCTGGTCTTGAACTCCTGACCTCATGATCTGCCCACCTCTGCCTCCCAAAGTGTTGGGATTACAGGCGTGAGCCACCGTGCCTGGCCTATTTATTTATTTTTTTGAGGAATGATTTTGAAATATGCCTGATAATTGTGTTCTTTGCTGTTCTTCTTTTTTCTCTTTTTTATTTATTTTTATTTATTATATACAGACAGGGTCTTGCTATGTTGCCCAGGCTGGTCAAACTCCTGGCCTCAAGCAGTCCTCCTGCCTCAGCCTCCCAAAGTGCCGGGATTACAGGTGTGAGCCACCATGCCCGGCCTTCGATGTTTAAAAAAAATAATAAAAATAAACATATAATAGGAAATGAACTTTAAAAATAAACCCTGATTCCCCCAATGCTGGATGGGACCCCCCTTCCTCGCGGTTCTCTGGTTTTGTCCCTTCCTAGCAAATTCTGATTCCTAAGGAAAAGGAAAAGAGAAGTCTGGATGCCCTGAGGCAAACTCTGCCTCCATGAGGCAGCCCCTGCAGACAGACCTCCCCGGGAGAGGCCTGTCAGGGCTGCTCTTGTCCTTGCTGGTGCAGCCCAACCCCAGGAGTCATCCTCCTCCCCAATGACTCCCTGCCCTGTCGACCCTCCCTTCCCGCCTCCCCCGTCTCCTTCCCTTTCCACGCTCCCTCTCTCCTCTCCTGTCCCACTCTACACACGGATGCCCCTCTCCTGGCCCTTCTCGAGAGATCTCTGCCTTGTTGCTCTCAGTCAGGCTCCGGTGACAGGTTGCCATGGGACTTGGCTTGTCACGGAAGGGACAAGGGACCTTGTCAGGGGACAGCCTGCGGTTTCTTTTCTAAAAGAGCCCTTCATCTCCACTTCCCTCTCCTTCCCATTAATGTGTCGTGGTCCAGACTAGTAATAGTGTCTTTGTGCTACTGCTGGGGAGGAACAGAACCCAGAAGACAGCAGCTTCACTGTCTTCAGAAGGGCATGGGTTTGTATTTTCCCCGTGGCTTTTGAATGCTGTTTTGAATTTTCATGGCCCATCCTGGAAAGGAAACCTCTCATCTGACCTTTCCCTTCCCAGAGCGTAAAGGAGGGAGGGAATGGCCCACCAACCCCACCTGCCCAGGATCGTCAGCTCAGAGTGTTTAGTTAGACTGAAGGCCTTGCAGGAATGCACAGCAGGGCTGCAGGAGGGGAGCTGGTGAGCCTGGGGCATCCTCCACGCCACCAGCCCCCCGGGAGGCTGCCCTTGTTCTTCTTCACAGTTTCCCATCCTCCAGCCAGTCTAGGCCCCACAGCTCCTAAGTCAGCTCACGGCTCACCCCCTACCACTGAGAGACTATCCCTGCCACGGGGTCCTCAATATTCTCTGTCACTTCTGTTATGCATCCATATCCCCGAATACCACCTGCTTTGCTGCTCCTGCCCTCAGTTGCTCCAGATCTCCTCCAAAGCTCCCCAGATCAGATCTTGTATATAGTAAGCACCCCGGTTGCAGGCTCCTGATGCATTCAGTAGTGGCCACAGGTGTCCTCGGCTCCCAGACTGTGTTGGGAATTCGAATAGCAGGGAAGGGGCTCCTGGGAGGGAGGCGGGCTTGGCCTCCATCCTCATCCTCACCTCCTCTGACACCTGCTTAGGCCAGTGGCTCTCAACGCCCTCGCACACTCTTAAAATCTGCACACAGGGGGCCCAATGCCACGGCAATAAACCGAGATCTCCAGGGCAGGGCCGAGGCATCGGCATTTGCCGGTGCTCCCTGTGACTGGCATGTGTCGTCAGGTCTGAGAGCCGTGGATTCAAATCCCACTCTGGAGCTGATGCAGGTGATTGAAGAAGAGGAGAGGGCTGGAAGGGACTGTGTCCTCCACTGGGCCACCCCCACCAGTGGGCCTCTGACCAATGCCCAACAAGCAGCGGGGCGAGGGAACTTGGATGGGCCTGTGCGTGTGCACGGGTGTGTGGAGGAGAGCCCAGTTAGGCAGTGTTGTGCATGACAGGTAGGAAAGGCAGAGAAACTGTGGTGCCAGCCCCTGCTGGGGAGCAAAGGAGCCCAGGAGTGTCAGGAGGGACTCTGACCGCCCAGCAATGCAATGCCCTGCTGAGAAAGGCCTGGCAGGATCCAGAGGGCATGGCAGCTGTTTGGGCTGGCAGCCCCGTGCCAGGGCTGGGGCAAGGCAGAGGTAACGAGGCTTGCCAGGGATGGAAGAATGGGGTTTCTGTGCTGCTTATCAGGATGGTGGCTCCCAGACAGGATGTGGAGGAGGCTCCCACAGCCCGCCGGGCGATGGCTGTAGTCAGCGCTATGTCACGGCGAGGACTTTGGATGGGGAGCCCCACCTCTGATTTGTCAGTGACATTGGGCTGGTCACTCTGCGGCTACCTTCGTGTGCCTGCCTGTGAATATGAGGTGCAGGCAATGGCAGCGGACTGAGAGCCAGCCACCAAGTGCCTGGCAAAGCCCAAGATATCAGAAGCCTTGGCCTTCCTCATTGGAAAGAAACCTTGCACTTCGGACTTTGCAAAAGGTCAAGGAAGCTGGTTGTATTCACTCAACCATTTTGAGGGCTACAAGGAGATGCTGAACAAAGTCGCAGGGAAGGGGCCCCCCTGAGGGTCTATCTGGGAAGGCGGGGCAGGGGCTTATGAAATATTGGCAAGAATTTATCCTTAAGAATTTGTCCTCAACATAAATATATTCACATGTCTCCAACTCCTGGAATAGGAGCTCAGGGTCAGCTTGCACATGAAATTGGTAGCAGAAGCTGCGAGAACAGGCCGCATTTCTGCCCAGGGCTGGTTAGAACACGCTTGTCAGCATCCTATAACTGAAGCAACGTTCAACAGTGTCTTCCAAAGCTAGCTTTCGAGTCCTAGGCCTGGGGCCCCAGAGGGAAGAAGTGAGGCCATTAACTCCGATCCTATACCCAATGCCAGAAGCGGCACCCATCACCCTCCCTGGCAGAGCAGCAGAAGAGGGGAGCCTAGGACCTTTCAAGGTGAGGAAGAGAGCTCCTGACCCTTTTGTCCTGCCCCTATAGACTGGCTAGGAAGACATGTTAGGGACCCAGAAAATAAGGAAAAGCAAGATGGCTAAGCAGGGCCACCCGCTCACTCCCCATGCCCCACCCTTCCGCACACACACGCACATTTTAAACACAAGGGACCAGAATGACACCTTTTTCCTAAACATCTGTAGCTAGATTTCCTTTTTCATCCTGTCTCATTTCTCCAAATCCTTCTCTCCTGTTGAACTAGGACAGATCAAGACTATGTGGAGGATATGTAAGCTACAGTTGACTTCCTGCCCAGGGCCTCACCTCCTAGAAGCACTTCTCAGGGAAGTGTAAAACTGTCCCCAGCTGCCCAGGACAAAATCTTCAGAGGTGACCCCCAGGGCTCAATTATCCAATGGAGCTTTCCATACTTTAAAGTGCAGCAGGCCGGGTGAGGTGACTCACACCTGTAATCCCGCACTTTGGGAGGCCGAGTCGAGCAGATTACCTGAGGTCAGGAGTTCGAGACCACCCTGGCCAACATGGTAAAACCCCATCTCTACTAAAAATACAAAAATTAGCTGGGCGTGGTGGTGGGCACTTGTAATCCCAGCTACTGGGGAGGCTGAGGCAGGAGAATCGCTTGAACCCATGAGGCGGAGGTTGCAGTGAGCTGAGATCACGCCACTGCACCACTTCAGCCTGGGTGACAGAGCGAGACTCCTTCTCAAAAAAAAAAAAAGAAAAGAAAAGAAAAGAAAAACCAAAACAAAAAAAAAGGGTGCAGTGGCTCATACCTGTAATCCCAGCACTTTTCAAGGCTGAGGCAGGTGGATCATCTGAGGTCAGGAGTTTGAGACCAGCCTGGCTAATATTCTGAAACCCTGTCTCTGCTAAAAATACAAAAAAAAAATAGGGGGGTGTGGTGGCACATGCCTGTAATCCCAGCTACTCGGGAGGCTGAAGCAGGAGAATCGCTTGAACCCCAGAGGTGAAGGCTGCAGTGAGCTGAGATCGTGCCAGTGCACTCTAGCCTGGATGACAGAGCGAGACTCCATCTCAAAAAAAAAAAAGAAAAAAAAAGCGTGCAACAGAAGAGTCAAGCCCACCAGGCTCATCAGAATGCCCCCTACTCCCTTCCAGCAGCTCTCCCCTCCTCTGTGCCCAGGGAAGCGTCCAGCCTCCAGACATTTACTGGGGCTCAGGGGGGTCTGGAGGTGATAGAAGGAATTCTTCTATATGTGCCAGCCTAGGAGAAGCAAGAATCCACATCTCCCGGGAGTTTCTGTACAACCCAAACAGACCAAGCAGTATATAGGAACACAGTATCTGAAATGCCTTCAGGTTGCACAGTGGTTCTCACCAAAATCTTACAAGTGATGTAAAAATCTCACACAAGTGTCAACAAGAGCAAATGAGTGAGTGCCGATGGAAACTCAAGCATAGATGAGCCATAAGCAAAACAGCCAAGCCAGGTCTCTTTGAAACAGAGCTTTGCAGAGGAATGAGTTTTGGCTTTAGGGTAGAAAATCTTAGTCTCTCTTGGAAAGAGGACGCATGAGTTCTTGGAAAAGCTTTAAGTCCCTGTCTCTGTTATTTCACGCTGCAACCTCAGTGATAACACTCACCCTCACCCCAGGACAGGCATTGATTACGTGCTTACTGCATACTAGCTCCCGTGTGCTAAGGGCTTGAGAGGGACCATCCCAGGTAATCATATCAGCAACGCTGTGAAGTGAGGGTGGGTATTGTTCTTCAAATTCTGCAGTTGGAGAAATGGAAAGTAGCACAGCTAACAAAGCACAGACCCAGGATTTGGACAGAAGAAGTCAGACTGCAAAGCCCAAACTTCAACTACCACATGCATGGCCATGAGAACATAAGAAGAGATAGGGTCTGCAATGCCCAGGGTCTGTGGTTTCATCTTGCCAGATCTTTCTGCAGCCACTGAGCTATCAGGGCAGGGGTCAGCAAACTGCAGCCCATGGGCCAAATCTGGCCCCCCACTCATTTGTGTAGATAAAGTTTTATTGGAACACAGCCACACTCAATGGTTTATGTACTGTCCATAGCCACTTTTGCACCTGCAATGTCAGAGTTGAGTGGTTGCAACAGAGACTCAGTGGACTGCAAAACCTCAAATATTTACTATCTGGCCCATGACAGAAAAAGTTTGCTGCCCCCTAGATCCAGGGATGAAGTTGGAGCATGTTTGAGCCCCTCTCTAAGGAGTCAAAGGAGAGCACAAACTTGGGTGATATAGACAGGGATTTGGGTAGACTCGTGGGAAATGCTGAGTGATGCAGCTTTTGTGGACATGTCCTGGGCTGGTGTGGTGGGGTGTCTTCTTGTCTGTCCACTCCACTTCATGAACAGTTCTGCCTGCAGGTTGGAGAGACAGGCTCAATGCTTCTGTCAGTCCCAAGAGACCATAATATTTCCTTTATTAAGGAACTGATCAGTTTTCGGATGCTATCACTTTTCAGATGCCCCCTGGGGAAGCTGCTTTGTCCCTCTTCACAGTTTCCCACCCCCAGCCAGTCTAGGCCCCACAGCTCCTAAGTCAGCTCAGGGCTTCTTCCCCCAACCCCACCCTAGGGGGACCATCCCTGCCACGGGGTGCTCACTATTCTCCATCACTTCTGTTACATATCCATGTCCCCTAATGCCACCTGTTTTGTTACTCCTGTCCTGTGTTGCTCCGGATCTCCTCCAGAGCTCTCCACATCAGATCTTGTATACAGTAAGCACCCTGGGCTGCAGGCTCCTGATGCATTCAGTAGTGGCCACAGGTGTCCTCGGCTCCCAGCCTGTGTTGGGAATTGGGATAGCAGGGAAGGGGCTCCTGGGAGGGGGGTGGGCTTGACTGCTTTCCTCATCCTCACCTCCCATGATGCCTGCTTAGGCCAGTGGCTCTCAACGCTGTTGCACACAGGGGCAGATTTTAAGCTGATGGGTAGATGCTGAGGGGCTCATTGTAATCTTGTCAAAAAGGGATGGGCACTAATTCTATGAACCACATGTGAGCTAAGTGGTGACAGGTATGAGATTCTGTTAGGGCTGGACTTTTCCTAAGAGTCTACTTGACTGGCAGACTCGAGGTGGGGGCTACTTCTTCCTGAGGTATCTGGAACTACGAACCTCAATGAAACATGTGCAGGAGTTGGGGGATAAAGGTAAAAAAAACAGGGTAAAGGCCAAACCCTGAAACAAAATGGAGGTCAGATGCTAAACTGGGGATTCGCCTTGGTGTTCTTTGTTAGAGGCTGGAACTTGGGCCTCAGCCGGATCAGGCCTGACAGGACCTTCAGGGCCACGAGTGTGTCCCAGTCCCGGGAGCCTGGGGCAGGTCATAGGCAGGGGTCCCAGCTACCAGTCTACAACACTCCCTTGCAGCAATGGGTAGATTCCTATTGGCAGCAAGATGGATGGACGTGAGCCAGTTGACCTGAAAGTCGGTGATGGTGGAGTTTCTCTTCTCTATCTAATCTACCCACAATTCCCTCGGGCCACACACCAGCATTGCTTGCCGAGTGGCACCCTCTTCTCACGCCCTTTAGATCATTGTTGATCAGATGGCCCTTCATGGAGGGGCTGCTTCTTGGAACTGTCCGGCCAAGGTAGAGTCTCACGTGCAAAAGGGCCTTCCTAAGGCACTCGGACTGGCCCCATTTCCCTCCTCTGCTTCCCTCATGCCTCTGTTTCCTGTGCAAGTTGACTTTTGGCTGATTTGCTGTAGTTTGCAGCATCCACAATAAGGGTTCTTCATGTACATGCCTGTGTTGTCTCCATGGCTAAATACTAAGCCCCCTGAGGCCAGGCATGTGGTCACAGATTGCATTTGTACGCATCCCATTTTGCTTCTCCCTCCTCTCACACTCCAATGCCTGGTTTGTGCAGAAAGCAGCTTCTCAAAGACAGGCATCTATCAGCACAGCCTGTCACTGTCCTGCAGAGGCAGGAGGTGAGAGGATCACTGTGAGCACCACTGGGGCCCAAAGAAATGCAGCGATGGTGCCAGACCTGCAGAGCCCACGGAGAAGCTGAGCCCAGAGCCAGATCTGTGGCACCATCAGCGTCTGCAGCTGCACTTCCTTGTCCCATTTCTGAAGTGGCCTCTGAATAAAATGTGATATACTCATTTCTGTGCTGTAACAGAATAGAAACCAAAATGCATTAAGCACCTCTCTATGCTAGGATGTGATAGGCATTATTGGGTCACTGGGTCACTCAGCAATCCTTTATGGTAGATATTGTTGTCCCTAAATTGTATACAAGAAACAGAGGTGTAGGCTGGGTGCCGTGGCTCACGCCCATAATCCCAGCACTTTGGGAGGCCAAGGCAGGCAGATCACTTGAGGTCAGGAGTTGGAGACCAGCCTGGCCAACATGGTAAAACCCCATCTCTACTAAAAATACAAAAATTAGCTGGAAATCACTTGAACCCGGGAGGTGGAGGTTGCAGTGAGCCGAGATCATGCCACTGCACTCCAGCCTGGAGTCTCCAGAGCGAGACTCCATCTCAAAAAAAAAAAAAAAGAAAAAGAAAAAAAGAAAAAGAAACAGAGGCGTAGAAAGTAAAATGAAAAGTGCAGTTATACAGCCACGTGGCAGAACTCAGGGCACCCTGAGAGCCAGCCAGTGTGTTCTGTGCTGTAGCAAAGCATTGTAAGGACAGAGCCTGCCCAGGACCCAGGACAGCATGATGGGTAGAGGGCTCACGTCACTCCCTCCTGCAGCCCCTGCTCTTTACCTAGACACACGTCCTGACCTTTCTCCTTCCTCTCCTACTGCAGGTCACAGGTCTCCTCCTGGCTTCCTAGCACCCACGGAGGTCTTGGCCTCGGCCAGGGACTCCCATTGTGTGAGCACCTATTCCAGACAGCAGCCTTCATGTGCTTTCTTGGTTTTTCAGGAATTTGGCCATTGGAATCGGGATCCAGAATTTCCCCGAGGGCCTGGCTGTCAGCCTTCCCTTGCGAGGGGCAGGCTTCTCCACCTGGAGAGCTTTCTGGTGAGTGCTGCCCAAGGGCAAGGCCATGTCACAGCATCCTCCATGTGGGCTTCTTTCAACAAAACAGTGATGTGCTTTTGCACTGCCATGCTCAGATATGACGTAGAATGGCATGCATCCATGTGCTAGGGTTGAGCCAACAGTCTGGGCACGTGGAGTGTCTGCTTGCCTCCCCCTGCGGTGGTAAATGTCTCTGTTCTCTCCTTAGGTATGGGCAGCTGAGCGGCATGGTGGAGCCCCTGGCCGGGGTCTTTGGTGCCTTTGCCGTGGTGCTGGCTGAGCCCATCCTGCCCTACGCTCTGGCCTTTGCTGCCGGTGCCATGGTCTACGTGGTCATGGACGACATCATCCCCGAAGCCCAGATCAGGTTGGAGAACCTTCCCTCCCTGTCTGTCCCTGTCCCAGTCCCAGCTGGGACCCCAGCCTTGGGATATGCTCTTTCTTCATTTGCCTTTCCTTTCCTTATTCCCTCCCCCTCTCTGCCCCTTCCCAAGATCATCCCCACTGCCTCCTCAACTGTGCTCTCTGAAACTAAAAGAAAAGAAGCTAAGGGCATGTGGGTCAAGAAATGAGGTGACACCAGGCAGTGGCATACACACCTGCCCCCCGTCCCTTGATGCAGTAGACTATCGTTTTTGTATATTCTCTCTCATCCTGTCTCTCGATTCTCGGGCTGGAATGAAGGGAGAGGTGAGCTCTAAAATGTCAGTGAAGGTGATACATGCATGTCTTCACTGGCTAGCTATAGGCCAGGTGTCAGAAGGTGGGAGTAAGGGTTTGCTTTGTTCCATTTTGTTGTTGTTTTGTTTTGTTTTGTTTTTCTTTTTTTTTTTTTTTTTAATGGCAGAGTCTCGCTCTGTCACCCAGGCTGGAGTGCAGTGGTGTGATCTCGGCTCACTGCAACCTCCGCCCCCCAGGTTCAAGTGATTCTCATGCCTCAGCCTCCCAAGTAGCTGGGACTACAGGCAACCACCACTACGCCCAGCTAATTTTTGTATTTATAGTAGAGACGGGGTTTCGCCATGTTAGCCAGGCTGGTCTCAAACTCCTGACCTCAGGTGATCTGCCTGCCTCGGCCTCTCAAAGTGCTGGGATTACAGGCTTGAGCCACTGCTCCCAGCCTATTTTGGTTTTTATAGAAGAATAACTCTGAGGCTAGTTTAAAAGGCCAGATTAAGTAATATCTTTAAGAAATAATCACCCCTCTTCATTACTCACACATGGACCACAGAACGATCATAGGTGACCTTGGGCAAGTAACTTCTCTTTGCCTCAGTTTCCCCACCAGTAAAATGAGGATAATTATGATACTGACCTCATGAGGTTGTTGTTTGGGGTTCCATGGTTCATTAGTTTGCCTGGCACATAGTAAGCCCCAGTAAATGTTACCATTATTAATGGTAGTGTGCTTTCTCTTGGAATTGGACATTGCAGAGGATGCCTTCAGCCTAGCCGTGGCCTCAGGGATCATTAAGGTCTTACTTTTCTTCCTGTCCTTCTCTTCCAGTGGTAATGGGAAACTGGCATCCTGGGCCTCCATCCTGGGATTTGTAGTGATGATGTCACTGGACGTTGGCCTGGGCTAGGGCTGAGACGCTTCGGACCCCGGGAAAGGCCATACGAAGAAACAGCAGTGGTTGGCTTCTATGGGACAACAAGCTTCTTTCTTCACATTAAAACTTTTTTCCTTCCTCTCTTCTTCATCTCATTATCCTGATTGACTCTGATTATAATAGAACCATTTTTACTTTGCTTTGAGGGAGATTTTTGATTTAATGGGGAATTTTAAGGTGTCATGGAAATACAGATTCTTTGTTTTGGCCACTGAATGGACTCTCTCTTCAGTGGGATTATCAAGGAACTTCAGATCAGGGAAATCTCCACTTCGGGACCTTCTATCTGCCTCCCAACTCCTCAAGGTCACCTATAGAAGCGAGCTACCAAAAGACGTCTCCTAAGCATTTTGGTGGCCTAGTGACTCAGGGCAGAGTGGCCAGCACACCTCTCATCCGCCCCTCCTGCTCCATCACTGCTGAGCCTCTCCCCATCTAGAATGTTGGAACTGGAGCATCATAAAGATAGCAAGCTACCTTCCAAGGCCGAGCCAGCCCAGAGAGGAGCATGTCTTCCTTTACCTCCCCCTAAGGAGATACTACATGGGAGGGGGACACAGAAAAAGGGAAGGAAATTGGCTAGTCTGGCTTTTTTTTTTTTTTTTTTTAAAGGCAAAGATTGACATTATTGAAGGAAAGGGGATGAGGACAACTGTGAACTCACAGTGAGCCCTGTGGAAAGAAGAGACAGACAGAGTGTGGGTTTGTTCGGAGGCCTCTGCTGTCAATGGATTCCAGGAGCAAGGCCATTTGTCGCGCTTTCCAAATTTCTTAGGCATTTATTTTGATAAGTTTATAGCCATCATGTTTCTAAGAGACTTGGAGACACCAGCAAACTGCTAGAACTCAAACTCTTCAATTACTCAAAGAAGGAGCCATTTCAGTTAACTCAAGTGAATGAAAGAGTTTTGGAATCTGCTGTGGGTCCTTCCCTGTTGACCATTTGGTAACTTATAATCTGACAAAAACTCTTGAGCTGCAACAGGCCTTGCCAGAGGGCTCAGGATGGGAAAGGAAGAAGGGGATAGGAAAAGAAGAGGTAATTTTACATTTCCCCTTTAAAGTAAATTTTAGCCAACTCATCATTCTGAAATGTCCCTATAAAGAATGAGTCGAACTAGACCAGAAGCCAGCCTACTCCTTCTTACATAGCTTCTCCAACAGGGGTAGCAATGACCTGTCCACTTCAAACACAGATAAGGCCTGCCATCCTCATTGGTTAAAGGCACACGTGAGACTTTCAGTGGGCTCTGCTGAGAAGGAAGGCAGCCCAGGAGTCAGGTATGCAGGCATTGCATTGTCAGTGTCTGCTCTCAGAGTTTACACATTCAATTGCTTCCAAGGGTGAATCTCCTGCTCTGTGAATGCTATCAGACCCCAAAGGCCAACCTTGGGCTGGGTCTATGTACGTTCTTCCGAAGCACTGATGATCAAAATTGAAGACACATTCAGAGGTTTGATTGGTTGAGATTAACTGGTGTGGTGGTTGGTGTATGTATGTTTTATTTTTATGTCTTTGTATGTAGTTCTACATAATGCAAATTGTGCTTTCTGATGGACAAGACCTCATAACTGTGATTAATATCAATAAAAAGGGGATGTTGTGGATGACCTGTGTTACGTTCAGTACTTCTCAAAGCTGCTTCTTTGCAAGGATGATCATAAAAGAGCTAACTAAAGTTGGAACTAACACCTCCCTGATCCAACACTAGGAGAGGCAAAGGAAAGAGCTCAGATGGGAAGGGCTAGTCAGATTCTTGGTTGCAACAACAGCATCCAACAGCAGCTTACTTAAACAGAAAAGGAAATGAGTGGAAGCCTGTTAGGGAATTCACAGGCTCTTTCGGAGAATCGGGCTTGAAAATGGGTTGGATCCAAGAAAGCCAGAGGTCTGGGGCCATGACCCAATCACACCTGGAGAACAGCTTGGTTTAGATGCCATGGTCCCCAGAGCTGGTCCCTAGATCCTGGACACCACTAATGAAACTGCTGTACCTTGATGCCACCACCACTGCCGCCACAAGAACAAACTCTACACTGAGCTGGATTCTTTGTGTCCTGGCTCCACATTCGAAGTTCTAGATCAGAACATCCAGCTGCCAGAGCTTAGATCCTGTGCCCATGAACTAGCTGATCTTGCCCCTTCCCAAGACTCGCAAAATAGTGGATTTTCCAAATTTGGGAATGAGTTCATATGGTGCAGAGCCAAAATAGAAAAAAAAAAAAGGGTCTATTAAGTTCATTACAGCCTTACTCTTTTGCTGTTCAATATCAACATATACTCTAATTCCTCTAGTTTTACTTAAAGAAAAAACTCTTGCTTAAAATATGTAGCTATTCCTCATACAATCAAAACTTCTTTCATTCCCTTTCCAACGGGGTTACCCCAATGTCTTTCAACTCCTGTACTCAAGGTCTGTGAGTAATGGATACCCCACCTCCGTGGGATAACAAGCCCATCTCATTATTCTGTATCTTTGAGCTGAAGTGTAAAGTTAACCATAACCGTTCATCCCATATACAATAAAACGAATAACGGGAGAGGAAAGAGAGGCAATGAGTTAAAATAGGATACACACAACACAGGAAGTACAAGTAGAAGCTACAGCACCCATTTCCTGCCCTAGAGAAGAGACCCTGGATGATGTTTAGGTTTCCCGCTTCCAGTTTCCATTCCAAGTCCATGCTGTCTTCAGCCAGTACCTTAGATGACTGGGGTGTGACCTACTAGCCGTGACCCTATTCCTCTTTCCTAAGGGCACAGAGACCAAGGAGGCCCTGCCCATATGCATGATGGTAACAGTCTTCCCTTAACTCCCACCGCTGGAGGAGGAGGAGGAGGCGGCTCCTGAGAGAACCACTTGAGTTTCATTCATAGCCTCCACCCTGGCCTGTCTCCCGTGGTATAGCAGCATTTTCCCAGGACTAGTCACTGCAGCCAGCCTTGTCAACCCACTTTTTTGACCTAATGGCATGTGAAATTCCAGGTGGCCAGCCCACATGTCCAGACTATTGCTATATCACTCTTTTTCTGTTCAACATCTATATTCACTCTAATTCCCCAAATTTCACCTTTTTAAAAAATGTCTGCTTTAATGGAACCATCACTCATACAAACACTTTATATCCCCTTTCCAAAGGGAGCCACCCCAACGGTCAGCTGCCTCAATGGTGCAACCTTCCTTTCCTGGGAATAAAATCGCTAATTGGTGGAAAAAAAGTTGAAGAGAGTGAGAGTCATTAAGTAAGATGGAAGTTGCACCGTGCCTACTTCCCCTTCCTCCAGACCTGTTTAGTCTGGCTGTGGGAGAAACGGCACCACGTGATGTTCCCTAGTTCAGAACAAACAAGCATCTTAAAGGACGATATTTCAATCTCCTTAGGTATGATCGTCTCTCAGTCCTGAAATGAAATCTTCAATAAATCATGTCACAGCTGAATACAGATGACTGCTTCTGGGTGACAGGATCCATTGACAAGGGTATCACCCACTGCTTTCCCTCTTTCACTGTAAAGTGAATTCCGTTGTCAGAAGCAATTTTGTAGAGCATGCCATGATGATCTACAGGCAGAGAGGTCAGTTCCAAAGTCAGACATGAGCCTGTTTCAGTGAAAAGAAATCACTGCCCTTTCCATAATGGAAGAGGTCCAAAGTCATCAGTCTGCAACTAAGTAGTCCATGGTGTCCCTGGAGTCTGGTCAGTTGCGGCATTCAGGGGTGGTCACTGATAACCCTGTGCACCCAGGGGCCAGGTCTGCATTGATAATGGAAAGCCTAAGTGATTGAATCCATCACAGTTCATGTGTTGCCAGCAAAGACTCTTCTGCTCATGAATCAGTTGAAGCAATGATGTGCCTGGAGAAAGAAATCATTACACATAAGCAGATGGCCTGGTTCAATTAATTATTATTAGCTTTTGCTATAGTGGGTATTTTGGATGATGTTTTACTCAAGAAACAAACATTTTCAAATTTGGCCCATTCTGAGAAGTGAAGCCATGTATGTCTTCCCACACCTCTCCTCTGTCATTAAACCTCCAGTCATTCTTCTTTCAAGTTTGTGACCTGTTGAACAGAACCCCCCATCTACACTGCTCAGAAGTTGGTGTAGCTTCTTGCATCAAATTTTCTTTGCTTCCAAGCAAAGTGGACACAGAGTTATGTGCTTCAAATTCTCCTCCCCAGGAGGTTCTCCCTCTCACCTGCTATCCTCACTGAACTATAACATCACAGTCACCTATTTAGAAGGTAGGGCCGGGTGCAGTGGCTCACGCCTATGATCCCAGCACTTAGGGAGGCCGAAGTGGGCGGATCATGAGGCCAGAAGATAAAGACCATCCTGGCTAACACAGTGAAACCCCGTCTCAACTAAAAATACCAAAAATTAGCTGGGCGTGGTGGCACCCACCTGCATTCCCAACTACTCGGGAGGCTGAGGCAGGAGAACTGCTGGAACCCGGGAGGCAGGGGTTGCAGGGAGCTGAGATCGCACCACTGAACTCCAGCCTGGGCGACAGAACGAGACTTCGTCTCAAAAAAAAAAAAAAAAAGGTAGGCAAGCATATGGTGTGAAGCTATCTGTAAATGAGGATCAGTGGTTTTTCCTCTCTTAGTCACTAGCTCTTGGGAAACCCCTTTGAGGCCGGTGTTAGATTGATGAAAGGGTCAGGGGTAGGCACACAGGGAATGATCTACCTATGCATATAATGCACTTGTGCCTTCAGTACCTGGTTAGGAGCTAGTCCCACATAAACCATTTCCAGTTGGTAATGGGATTTTATGAGTGTGTCAGATGGCCCAGTACATGACGGACAGCTTGGGTTGCAAATGACATGTAATACATTAGGGATAATCACTTGGCGTCCAGTGGTCAGTCCAGCTCAGAAGTCACTCCCAGCTTCTCCTGCTAGCACAGTCAATCCAGAATCTCTGCAATGTATATCAACAACATCAGACCAGTGTAAAATGATACCTTTCCACCCATTTATTAAGCACCCTTAGTTAGGAAAATCCCAAAATCATGTTGGTTTCTAATCTTGATCCTCGCTGGTTTGAGCTTGCCATTGTCCTTCTTTCTGAAGTGCTGGGATCTAACTGTCCATTCTGGAGACAGTCGAGGGTAATGCATGAGAACTGGCTTGCTCTTGCAGTGAGACTGCAAAGGATGCAAAGAAATGGCAGTGTCGTTACGAAGTGTGTCAGAAGACTGGAGAAGAGGGTTTCCGCTGACGAAGGAGGCTCTTTGAGGACTGGGTGATTCAGAGAACTTCAGGTTTTCCAAATCCTCTCATTTGTCTCCATTTGGATTCTCTGGGTCTTATCCCTTCCTGATCAATGCTTCAGCAAGGCCATGATTTTACCAGTGTAGAAATGTGGCCAGTCCTGTGGATCAAATTTTACCTTTGGTTTTCCCTTTTTGTTGTTGTTTTTTCTTTTTGAGACAGAGGCTCGCTCTGTCACCCAGGCTGGAGTGCAGTGGCACGATCTCAGCTCACTGCAACCTCCGCCTCCCGGGTCAAGCAATTCTCATGCCTCAGCCTCCCGAGTAGCTGGGACTACAGGCATGCGCCACCATGCCCGGCTAATTTTTGTATTTTTGTAGAGACGGGCTTTCACCATGTTGGCCAGGCTGGTCTCAAACTCCTGACCTCAGGTGATCTGCCTGCCTCTGCCTACCAAAGTGCCAGAATTACAGGCACGAGCCACGGTGACTGGCCGTTCTATTTTCTCAGTTGTATGGACTCAAGAGGGAAGAGGGTATTTCAGAACTGTCATAGGAAGCCCTTGGTTTGGTTTAAGTCTCTTCCTTCAGCTGGTAACTTCGGGACTTGAGCTTGCCAGTGTCTTTTTTTAAGCTGTGTGGCATGGCTTAACAGGACTGCCTGGCCGGCGCATCTGTAATCCCAGCACGTTGGGAGGCCGAGGCGGGCGGATCACGATGTCAGTGGATCGAGACCATCCTGGCCAACATGGTGAAACCCCGTCTCTACTAAAAATACAAAAATTAGCCGGCGTGGTGGCGTGCATCTGTAATCCCAGCTACTCGGGAGGCTGAGGCAGGAGAATCACTTTAACCCGGGAGGTGGAGGTTGCAGTGAGCCGAGATCACGCCACTGTACTCCAGCCTGGCGACAGAGTGAGACTCTGTCACAAAAAAAACAGGACTGCCTATTGGGCCTCATATGCTTGACTGTTTGATGGCAGAAACAACTCATTGGCTACAGGCTTTGCTTTGAATGGACCCTTCTTCCAGGTGACCGGTATGATGAGAAGTAGAGAGGTAGGGGCAGGTGTCAGCGTCTGGATCTTCTCTGGGATCCCAACAGAAGACATTTTCGTCCTGCTGTGCTGAAGACGGGACCGGAAGGCCATTGCTCAGGTATTCACTCTACCAGACGGGGCTTTACGCTCCCACCACTTCCTCGAATCCCCCGTGAGGTAGATATTATTATCCTGACTTTACCTGTGAGGACAGGAACGCAGTGGCGGGGTGGGTTCTCACTGTGCGTGGAGGCAGCAGGACGCAGAAATCGACCTCCCCCACGCGCCTCGCCAGCAGCTTTCAGTTTCGTGGCCCAACGCCCTGCACTGCACGCCTCTCCTCTGGGATAATTGATAGTTGAATCTGTGTAAGCTGGAAGCAAATGAGAGCCCAGCGGCTGTTCTTTCCCATTCCTTTTAGATTGAGGCAAAGGGACAAATCTGCGATGTGAATAATACAGCTCCAGGAATTTTTATCAGCGCGCCCCACGCCCGGCCCTGCCTGAGGGTCTTTCTAAGCCACAGGCGTCCCTTCCCAGGTCTTGTCTCTTCCCTTCCGCGAATGCCCTCGGCTCACCCAGCAGGCAGGTGTGATCCGGCTCCGCGCTGGGGCCAGGTGAGGCCGGGCTGCCTGCCCCGGTGCACGTTCCCAGGGCGCGGCGCCCAGTCGGCGGGGCCTGCGGGCTGGGCCTCCCCGGGGCGCCGGGCGTGGCGCCGGGGGCAGGTCCCCGGGCTGCCCTGCAGGGCGGCCGGCCGGCGGCCAGCGGCTGTTTACCTGTGCAGGGCGAGGCGAGACTCGTGGCGGTGCCGGGGCTTTGCACGCAAGGGGCGATGCGCCCCGGAGGGGGAGGGACGCAAGGGGCGACTACTGTTACCTCGCTTGGAGATACCAAGGCCGGTCGGACCCCCCGCTGGCCGAATGTGGGTAGGCTGCCCCCAGTTTGTCCCTTCCCAGGGTGGATCCAGATTTGGGGGCCGGAAGTGTATACAACGTGGGGAGCGCCCTTTGGGAAAAATAATACAGAAGTCCCAGTACAAGCTTAGGTGCAGGGCTTTTTTGGAAGGGGGCCTGTGAGTGAGGGTCCCCGAAGCCCAGGCTTCCTTGGCTTTTAGGTAACCTCACCTCTGAATCAGGGCAGGGAAGCCTGAGGTGCTCGGGGGTTTAGAGGCTTTCCAGACACTGCAGGAACCCTATTTAGTTAATTCACTTTTCCTTCATCTTCCACACACCCCAGCCCAGCACCTGGGAGAAGGGATGGCGCTGTGTTCAGAGGCAGGAGGAACCCAGCCCACAATTGTGCTTCTCTCTCCTGCCCTGGGAAGAACTAAACCCATCTTCCTCCTCCTTCCAGTAGAATGCGGGAGGCTGGGCCTGGCCATCCAGGGCTGAGCAAAACAGTAACCCTGAACCTACCTCTGGATTCTCTCCCGCTCTCTGACCTTCTAGCTCTCAACCCAGTGAAAGTGTCTGGACTCTGCCAGTGGCTTAATAGGGAAAGCGTCCTGGGGAGCCACCGTCTGTCCCCAGGGACTGTCACTGACCCCTCAGAGGTCCCCGATGGGGCTTCTGATGGAGCTGCTCGGACCCCAGACCTTCAAGAATCCTCAGGGTACGAGGCTACTGCCCTCTGCCCCAAGACAGGGAAGATGTGTGTGGGTGGAAGAGCTGGAAGTGTCAGAGGCATGTGAACCAGAACAACTCCATCTTAAATAGGAGCTGGGTAAAATGAGGCTGAAACTTACTGGACTGCCTATCCAGGCAGTTAAGGCATTCTAAGTCACAGGATGAGATAGGAGGTCAGCACAAAAATATGGGTCATAAAGACCTTGCTGATAAAACAGGTTGCAGTAAAGGAGCTGGCCAAAACCCACCAAAACTAAAATGGTCACGAGAGTGACCTCTGGTCATCCTCACTGCTACACTCCCACCAGCACCATGACAGTTTACAAATGCCACTGCAATGTCAGGAAGTTACCCTATATGGTCTAGAAAGGAGAGGCATGAATAATCCACCCCTTGTTTAGCATATCTTCAAGAAATAACCATAAAAATAGGCAACCAGCAGCCCTTGGGGCTGCTCTGTCTACAGAGTAGCCATTCTTTTATTCCTTTACTTTCTTAATAACCTTGCTTTCACTTTGCACTTTGGACTCACCTTGAATTCTTGCGGGAGATCCAAGAACCCTCTCTTGGGGACTGGATCAGGACCCTTTTCCTGTAACAGAAGAGCAACTGCTTTGTGTGGCCCAAGGAAAGATGTGTGATTCTTTGTAGAGGGTGAACCTATGGACCTGTATCCCAGCATCCCCACAGCCCGTGATCCTCCCCCAGATTAAAAGATCAGCTTGGAAATCATGCGGGGTCTTTTCTGATATAGTCTCCATTCTCTGGTGCACTATGAGCCACAATGATACATTTCTCATTGGCCTCCCTCCTCCTGGCAGGGAGCGAGCAGATCCAGCCTGTTTGGACGTGGTGAGGACCCAGCCGTGGGGTTTAAGGCCAAGTTAGCCTCTCCCTTCACTGATTACAAGAGCCATTGTTACAGGTGAGTCTTTGTCCTTAAAGCTCCCAAGATGGTGGCGAGCCGCTCCCATGATGGGGCAGGCAGCTCCCGAGATGGCGGCAAGCCTTTTGTTCTCCGACCTGAGGTTCTTGGCGTCACCGATTCCAAGGAATGGAACGTTGGGCCATGCGGTGAGTGTTATAGCTCTATTAGAAGCCGTGGGTCATGGAAGAGAACCATGGAACCCAGTGACTAGTGTTCAGCTCGATTAGGACGAACCCGGACACTTAGCCACGCAGGAACAGTGGTAAGCCTCTAGCCCGAACGGGAGTGGCAATGGGCGCCTCACTGGATCAGGAGCACAGCGGACACCCTGCTGGATCTGGAGGGGTGGAAGTCAGCAGTGGGTCTACGACAGTGGCAAACAGCAGTGGTGGACGGCGAGTGAAAGCTCAACTCGAGCCGTAACAAACACAGACCAGAAGAGTGTGCAGTTGCAAGATTTAATAGCATGAAAACAGAGCTCCCATACAAGGGAGGGGACCCAAAGGGGGTTGCCTCTCCCTGCTCGAATGCCTGGGTTTATATCCCTATCATCGTCCCTCCCCCGGTGCTCTCAGGCAATATATGATTTGAGTATTTCTTTACCTCCTGCTTTTAGCCTAATTTGTATTTTAGTGAGCCCTCTTTACTACCTGATTGGTCGGGTGTGAGCTGAGTTACAAGCCCCATGTTTAAAGGTGGGTGCGGTCACCTTCCCCAGCTAGGTTTAGGAATTCTTAGTCGGCCTAGGAAGTCCAGCTAGTCCTGTCTCTCACCATGACCTCCAAGAAGCCCAGGATGCATCAGGGAAAAGTGGAAACGTGGGGCAAGCCTGGGGAGCACGCAAAGAGGGGAGGCCCTTAGCCAAAGCTTGGGTTCCACTTTGTAGTTGTGCAGGAAGGAGGTCAGAGGTGTACCCTTTCTCTGACCTTTGCCTTTTAGGGTCGGGTTCAATGTGCACTTGGGTTTGCAGACTGCATTGGTCACCACCATGCCCTGGAGTGTGTCCCATGGAAAACAACAATGAACTGATTTAAGATTAGTAAAATTTAAATCTTTTCAAAGTTTGTCTTCAATTAGAACCAGCTCCCTTTCTGCTGTTTCAATGAAAATGCTTACTGAACTTATTATGTGAAAGTATAGAAATGTAAATTTTTGGCCAGGAGTGGTGGCTCACGCCTATAATCACAGCACTTTGGAAGGCCAAGGTGGGTGGATCTCATGAGGTCAGAAGCTCCTGATCAGCCTGGCCAACATGGTGAAACCCCATCTCTACTAAAAACACAAAAAATCAGCCGGGTGTGGTGTTGCGCACCTGTAGTCCCAGCTACTTGGGAGGCTAGAGTGAGAGGCAGGAGAATCACTTGAACCTGGGAGGCAGAGGTTGCAGTGAGCCAAGATTACACCAGAGTACCCCAGCCTGGGCAACACAGTGAGACTGTCTCAAAAAAAAAAAATGTAATTTTTTTCAGTTCCTAACAAGCCTGTAACACGGTTAAAAAACAAAGGACTGCACTTGAATAGATGATGTATGAGTCTGTACATTTCTTCCATGTGAACATTTATCATATTTGGTAAGTTGGTGGGAGACGGTCGTTGTATTCATTTTCTATTTGTGTGTGACAAACTACCACGAATCTAGCAGATTAAAACAACACGTGATTATTTCAGTTTCTCTCGGTTAGAAATCTGGACACAGTTTTAACTGGGCGTCTGTTCAGGGTCTCACAAGCTGCAATCAAGGGGTTGGCCTAACTATAGTCTCCTCCAGGGGCTCAAGTGGGGAGGAATCTGCTCCCAAACTCACTCCCATTGCTGGCAGTATTCAGTTCTGGCAGGTATGGGTTTAGGGACCCTGCTTCTTGCTGGCTGTGAGCTAGAGGCTTCCTTCAGCTCCTAGGGACATGGGTTTTTCCCAGCATGGCTGCTTACTGATCAAACCAGCAAGGAGAGCCCCTCGACTGAGTCAGCTAGTAAGTGAGGGTCTTATGTAATATAGCATAAGCATGGCCATGACATCCCATCACCTCTGCCATGGTCTATTGGCTCATAAACCCAGGTGGCAAGAATGGCTTCCATAGGTTCGTGGGCCTCTTTTTCATCCACCAGGATAAGCATGACACAGCAAACTACATGTGGCGATGATATGATTTTATTCTCTCTTTTGCATATTCTACACTTCAGAGTGGTACAATGAATGGATGAAAGAGATGTGTGAGCAGGGAAGGTACTGGAATCAAGGATACCCATCTGGACGGATGGGCTGTTCTGGATGAGCCCTGGGAATCCTGGCCTTCTTGCCCTCTTCTCCCTTGCGGGGTTACCACGGACCCATCTCCCAGAACTCTGGGTCAGGGCTGCGGCCAACTCTTGGTTTCTTCAAGGGCTTGAGGAACGGCATCCACATGTCCACTCTGTGTGCCCCTTTCTCTCCCACCCTGTCTGCTCTCATCAGCACAGTGGGGCTGGGCACAAAGAAGCTTCAGATTCAAGTTACCGTTTCCACATCGATACCCACTGGGAGGTGGCAGAGATGACTTCATTTTGGTCACCACCTTTATTTTGGTCCAGGAACTTTTTACAAATCAACTCCCCACAGGACCTATTCTGTGACAATGGCTATGAAAGCCTCAGTCATTGCTTGTTCTTTGCAAGAAAAAAATGGGACGGAAAGGGAATAGGAGACTTGGGGGAGACGATAACCAAAAGCCAGGATCCCACTACGATATCTACAAGAGGATATGGACCTACATGTCCCCCAAGGCTTTCAAATCTAAATATATACATAAATATTGATATACACATTTGAATATACATGTGTATAATTTATATATACATTAAAATATACTTTATGTATTAAAATATATGTATAATTATATATTTTAATATATAATTACATATTATATAATATATAATATGTATTATATGTTATATTAAAATATAAAATATATTAAAAATACATAAATATGTATGTAGTGAATAACATATATACACACACATACTACATAATCAAAACTTATAATAAAACAACAACAACAATCTTCTAAGTCAAAATTAAGCCTTAGTTTTCTTGCTTTGGGACCCAAACTTTACTAATAAGGGAGATATTGACAGAATAGATTTTTAAGTCCTCTGGCGGAGATTAAAATGGATCGTGCCCTGGAAACTAGCAAGGTTCACGAACCCCTGCCATCCGCCTTCCTGAGCTGTTTCCTTCCCCAGTGGGTTATGCCTGCTTGGGAGGAGGGGTGATGTAGGCGTGTGTGTTTGTTTAGTGTAGAATTCTTGGCAAACCTATCATGCTGGCAGGTGCTGAAAAGTAAAATCCTCTTTTTCCAATCCAGAAAAACTCCGATGCCAGCATGCCCGTTTCCCATCATCTTCCTCACAGCTCCACCAGGCAAAGAGCCATCTCTCTTAGTCCTCGGGAAACAGTGGTGGTATCTGGCTGAGTGATAGCGCTCGCAAGGTTAAAGGGAGGGTCAGGTTTGGGTGTTTTCCTCTGTGGGCTCTGTCACTGAAGATTCATTTCCCAACTGCAAAAGACAAGAATGAAAACGGGCAGATGGTTCGGCCTCCTTCTGAGGCTCAGGGTTGGGGTAGAAGAGGTGGGCTGAGGAAGCAGGAGGGAGGGGAGGTAGCGGGCATGCAGCTTGGCATCCTGGGCATCCCTATGGTGGTGTTGCTGCCACGTGCCTGGATGGACAAGCAGCATGGCGCTGGGAAAAGGCAAGATTCCTCAGGGGATCATCCTCAGAATTAGAGGCACTCAATGTGCATCTGTATAAGAGATGACAATGCCGATAGCATGGCAGATTATGATCAGCCTTGGCAGGGAGCTGCAGGCAGGGCTTTGTGGTTTGGAAAGCTGCAGCAAACAGGTAGGGCACAAGGCGCCCTCAGAAACACACCCTTCTCTTCCCAGGGCTGCCACCACCACCCACACCCAGCTTCCTCCCACCGTGAGCTCAGCTTCCATTTCCTGCCTCCTTTGACTGGTCAGGGAGGCTGGTGCCACCCATTTTGGGCCCTGAGAATATTACCCGTAACACGTGGTGCCCAGCTTTTTGCGGGCCCACTGATTTCCTGTGTTGCCCACGGCCCATTGATTGGTCAGCATCATTATCCACTTAGATTTTCTTGGCAGGTGTAGAAAGGAATTGAGCCAGCCCCGGGTGTTCGATGCTGAAATCAATTGAGAAGTAGGTTACAATCTTGCCAATCAGAAGGAAAGAGCATCTCTGCAGATGGATGTGTCTGTTACAATTCAGGTTCTGAACTGGTGGTTTTGATATTACATCTCTAATCTTAATCTCAACCAACACAACCTGCTAAGAACCAAACTAGCCAGAGGAAAAGATTAAGTAGATAACATTAGCTTGAACAATGCACCAGCTAAAAATGGAATTACGGCTCTCTCAAATAACATACAAAAGTAATAAAAATATCCTTGAGGTTTTTGGGGATGCTTTACCTTAGGGTACCAGGTGATTAAAAGAGATTGTTGCCAGCCATTATACCTGACCAGTTTGTCCTTTTATTTCTATTTTTTATTTTTTTGAGGCAGAGTCTTGCTTTGTCACCCAGGCTGGAGTGCAATGGTGTGATTTTTGGCTCATCACAACCTCAGCCTCCTGGGTTCAAGCGATTCTCCTGCCTCAGCCTCCCAAGTAGGTGAGACTACAGGTGTGCACCACCACACCTGGCTAATTTTTGTGTTTTTAGTAGAGACAGGGTTTTGCCGTGTTGGCCAGGCTGGTCTCAAACTCCTGACCTCAGGTAATACACCCACCTCAGCCCCCCAAAGTGCTGGGATTACAGGCAAGAGACACCACGGCCGCCAGGCCCAGTCTGTCCTTTTAAAACATACCTACTGCCCTGATCAAACTGTATCCCGTTTCAGGATAGTCAGCCTCCCATCTGATCACTAATTTTGTTAGACATAAGTCTGATACTACAGCAGATATATTTTGAGAGTAAATGTCACTAGGTTTTGCTCTGGAATCCTACCAAAAACGGTGAGTGCCAGCCTGGGCAACAGAGTGAGACCCCATCTCAAAAACAAGAACCAAAAACCAGTGAATGGTTTATTGTCTGACACCCACAGGAGCTCCCTCACCTTCTTACTGTCTGGTTACAAAAAGCAAAACCAAATCTGTTTTAGCCACTACAATTTCAAAGCAAGGCCAGATCTGATCATTTGCATGCATAAGTTTGTACACTCACTGATTTATTCTTTATGCTGTCTTGATCTTTAAACTGTGTTTTTGTTCAACCTTATATTATGGAGAATTTCAAACCTATGCTCAAACAAACAGAATGGTGTCATGAACCCTCATGTCCCCATCACACAGTCCAACAACCATCAACCCTTGGCCAGTCCTGCCCTATTCACTTCCCTCCTCCTCCTTGTTATTAAAAACAAACAGGCTGGATGCGGTGGCTCACAGCTGTAATCTCAGCACTTTGGGAGGCCGAGGTGGGCAGATCAGTTGATGTCAGGAGCTCGAAACCAGCCTGGCCAACATGGCGAAACCCCATCTCTACTAAAAATACAAAAATTAGCCGGGCGTGGTGGCACAGGCCTGTAATCCCAGCTACTCAGGAGGCTGAGGTAGGAGAATCGCTTGAACCTGGGAGGCAGAGGTTACAGTGAGTCAAGATCGTGCCACTGTACTCCAGCCTGGGTGACAGACTGAGACTCCGTCCCCCAAAAAATTAAAAAAAATATATAAAAAAACAAACAGACATCTTGTCATTTTATTCATAAACAGGTCAGTATGTATCTTGAGAAGGAATGGCATTCTTTTTTACATGACTCCAATACCATTATCACACCAAAAGAAGTGATACTATATAATTTACTATATAACTATAATTTACTGTATAAATTTACTATAATTTACTCTATAACTATAATTTATAGAATTTATATATTGCATATATTTTATTGCTTTCCTTTAAGTTAAACAGTGACCTTTGCCCAAAAACAACAAAATCTTACTTGATATTATTTGGCTCAAATATTTTGTATTTCTAAGGGAACGTTTGCTTTTCTGAAAACTCATTCACTAGCTCATTTCATGCCCATAATTAGGCTTGTAGGGAAGCCTAGGGAATGAGACCGAGGGACCATGGCTGAATCAGCACTAATTGTAGCTCTGAACTTGCCTTGCCCCGGTAGCGAAGGCAGATGGTGCCAGTGACCCCTCCCCAGGGGACTGCAGACTTTGAACACACACTCGTCTTCTGTCCCCTCCCTCTGTGTCGAGTGCCAAGGTCAGTCTAGGTGTCTGCAGAGGAACGGTTGTTTGCCCAAGGAAGACGCTTGTGATATTCCTGGCCTGGTGACTGGCAGTCACGTGGTGGGAGGGTGGAGGCAGGGAGGAGGTGACCGAACAGAATAGGACAGCCCAGAGTGGTTTGCAGGATGCATCAAGAAGTGCACACAATAACCTTGGCAGCATCCATGGAGGCCGCTTCCAGGTTCTTTTTGGTCACAAAATCCCCTTGCTTCTGTAAAGCCTGCCACCTTGCTGGCTACGAAGGAGGGGCGACCCTTTGCAGGCGGTGTTGCATTTGTAGGGAGTCTGATTTGGGAATTCATACTTCCAGTCTCCCTCATCCCTGGTCTGTCCCGTATGCGGTCGGGCACATGAGCCAAGGGCGCGCACTGCACTGCTTCGGTGTGTATGGTATTTGCTAAAGCCATCAGAAGAGCCCGCTGCCAATACGGGAAATGATTTTTCCTAATGCAATGCTCTCCTTGGGCTGTTTTTATGAAAATGATGTGTCGGAGTCTCTGCGGCCCCTTCACTGGCTCTGGTTGGCTTCTGGGAATGAGAGCTCAGTGGCCCCCTGGCACGGATCCCCACCCCTGGCTTTTAGAAGGCTGACTGACACATTGCGTGTCAGTTAATGCTGCCTGCTGGAAGCCTGGGGCTTTGCCGGGGACTGTGGATCATAACTTGCATTGTGTGCATCAAGGGCCCTGACAAGTGCTGATGGATTTGGCTTCCTTGCGGCTCCTGAGCCCTGGGCGGGGACAAAGGGGAGCATTGTTTGGCAGGGCAGGCCTCTGCCTGTGAACCCACTCGTTTGCCTGACGGTAGAGACAGGTGTATCACACGCTCAGCATGCCAGAGCTATGCTGGATGATCAAGATCTAAGTTTTGTTCCCCAGGGCCAGGCTTAGAGAAGCAGACATGGCCCAAGGAATGGCCCGTGGTCACTCTTCTCCCTGAAACCAGCCCCTGACTTTTCTTTTCTCTGTTTGCTCTTCTGAGCTCTGCTCCTAAAATAAGATCTTGTTAGGGAAAGAAAACAAATCTGCCCCAACTTCCTGTCCTTTGTAGCTCAGGAGGGCTAGCAGGATGCTGAGGACCCTCGCTGGGGAAGGTAAATGTGGACCACTGTTGTGCCAAGGCTGTGTCTCACCTCCTGGTTGTGCTCCACGGTGGCCCCTGTGGGAACCATTTCATGACCCTTCCAGCCTGATGCAGCCCGGTTGGGGGAATTGCATGGGTAGATCATTTTCTTGCACGTCCTAGTTTATTGCTATAGGTGCTCCAAACTATTATCATCACTTTTAAATTAAAAATTGATTTTCATTAGGCATAATAACAGATAAATGAAGTTTAGTAAGTCAAATGGCATGAAAACCATTTTTGAAGGAAGTCAGCCATGCTCTGCCCTCTACTTCCCCAACTCTGAATCTGCTCCCTGGGGGCACCTCTTTAAATTCTGACTTAGATGTTTCTTTTGATATTTACCTCCTACTTCCCAATACCATGCTCATCCTGGCATTTCTCCTTGTTTTGGTTTTAAACATTATCTATTGAATTCTTACCTGAAAACGTGAAAGTTTCCTTGGGCTTACACTGGGCTTCATGGAACTCTAGCCTTGCTAAAGCAGCTTAACCACATAAGGGTAGATGTCTCTCGTGTAACTTGAAGTACAGCAGAGGTTCAGTCTGGGTTTGGAGAAGTGACTCTGTGGTACCACTGGGGACCCCTGCCTCCTCCCATCTTTCCACTCCATAATCCTTAGCATGTGTGCCTGCCTAAATTCACACTTCCCTTCATACTAAATAAAATGACCCGGGTCAGGGACTGTGGCTCATGCCTGTAATCCCAGTATTTTGGAAGGCTAAGACAGGTGAATCACTTGAGCTCACAAGTTCAAGACTAGCCTGGGCAACATGGTGAACCCCCATCTCTACAAAAAATACAAAAATTAGCTGGGCCTGGTGGTGTGTGCCTGTAGTCCCAGCTACCTGGGAGACTGAGGTGGAAGGATGTCTCAAGCCCAGAAGGCAGAGATTGCAGTGAGTCAAGATGGCACCACTGCACTCCAGCCTGGTCGATAGAGCCAGACTTCGTCTCAAACAAAAAAAGTAAAATGACCCAGATTTTATACCAAGCTGCAACTATATCTACTATGCCCAGTATAGTAGATAGTAGGCAGAATAAGGGTCTCCTAAAAATGTCTATGTCCTGGCCGGATGTAGTGGCTCATCCCTGTAATCCCAGCACTTCAGGAGGCCAAAGTGGGAGGATTGCTTGAGACTGGGAGTTTAAGGCTGCAGTGAGCTACAGTTGCGTTACTGTGCTCCAGCCTGGATGACAAAGCGAGACCCCATCTCTATTAAAAATAAAAATAAAAACAAAAAAGATGTCTGTGTTCTAATCCCCAAAAGCTGTGATTGTCTTATGTTACATGGCAAAGGGGATTCAAGGTTGCAAATGGAATTAAGGTTGCTTACCAGCTGACCTTGAGATGGGGAAGTGACCCTGGATTTTCCCAATAGACAGATGTAATCACAAGTGTCCTTGTAAATGGAAAAAGATGGCAGAAGAATGTGAGTCAGAGTCGTACGAGGTGTGAAAGACTCAACTGGCCATTGCAAGCTTTGAAGACAGAGGAAGGAGCCATGAGTCAAGGAAAATAGGTGGCCTCTAGAAGCTGGAAGAGATAAAAAAACAAATTCTCCCCTGGAGCCTCCAGAAAAGCACTTGGCCCTGCCAAGGACACCTTGATTTTAGCCCAGTGAGACCCACTTCAGACTTCTGACCTCTAGAACTGTAAGATAATACATTTGCTTTGTTTTAAACCACTCTTCATGGTTATTTATTACAACAGCAATAGGAAACTAATATACCAACCTAAAAACTGTATTTCCCAGCCCATTGTAGCTACAGGGCGACACAATTCTGGCCAAGGAGACAAAAGCAGTAGCCTGCTGATAATTTTTCTAAGAAAGTTTTGTTTTTCTGAGGTAGAGGCTGTTCTTTTCTCATTTGCTGCATTCTTCTTCCTGCCTGGAATACAGATGAAAAGCTAGAGATGGGACAGCCACCATAGCACCATGAGGCAAGCATGAGGATGGAGTCTGTACACCAGCTTTGGTAATACAAGACAGACAGTCAGCACTGGGCACATTGGGATATCACGAAACTGTTGCGTTGTGACTGCTCCCACCGGACTTTTGTATTTGAGCACAATAAATGTCTCTTTGCTCATGGATCTGTTTTATGCCACCCTAGGCAATCCCTGAATGAAATACTCTGCTGCCAGGCTCTCCCAAATCTTCCTTTTTCTTGATTTACTCCCTCATTCTGATGGAGCATATCCTTCCATAGTTTTCTGTGGAGGAAAATTTTTTGAGAACTTGCATATTCTAAAATGTTTTTGTCACACTTGATTGATAGTTTGTTTGCTACAGACGTTTAGGTGGAAAATCAGTTTATCTTAGAAATCTGATATTATTGCTCCATTACCTTCTCATCTTGTGTGTTGCTATTGAGTTGTTCCATACTCTTCAGATTCCTTCTCTTTTGTATATGAAATTTCTCTCTCTCTCTCTCTTTCCCTGTCTCTCCTTTCCTCACCTCCTACTTCCCTCCTTTGAAGGTTATTTTATGTCTAATGAGCTGAAGTTTCATGACACAGGGTCTTGGTATGGGTCTCTTTTCAGTCATTGAACTGGGCCCCTGATCATCTATTTCAATATGGAAACTCATGTTCACTTTCTTATTTATTTCACAATTTCCTTTCCTCAATTTTTTTCTGTTCTTCTTTTGGAATTCTTATTTGTTGGATCTTGGAACCCCTGGTTTGATCTTCTTTTTCATCATTCTGTCTTACTGTTTCTCTTAAGGAATAAGAGAAACTTAGTAATTTTTAAAAGCTCTAGTTGCCATAAAATTCCTTCTTGTGGCCTTCTGTTCTTCTTTCCTGAAGGCAATTCTTTCTTCTGTCTATCCAGGGATAATAATGAAAGGAGGTCACCGTTTTTCTTTTTTTTTCTCTTTTGCTCCCTATTTTCTCCAGGTTTCTTTCTCCTTCCCTGCTCCCACCACCCCCACTGCCCCACACTATTTTCTTATTTTAGTCTCTGTCTTTCCTACTGGGAATTTTCTCCGACTGCCTGATGATGCTTGCCTCATTGAATGCTCTGGATGTAGGGGTGGAGGTGGATGGGACCAGAGAGCTGGTAAATCTCGCTGTAGGGCACTTAGAGAGAGACTCCACTTTTCACTGGAGACTCTTAAATATCACTATGTTTAGGGTTTTCTCTTGGGATGATCTATCTTACCACAGAGAAATCCAGACCGTTCTCATGGGTGGATTGTAAGTTGGTCTCTAACATTTGAAGAGCAAACTAGGTGAAGGGGCATGTAGACATTTCTTTTTTACCCCTGTCTTCTGGTCCTTGTGCTGCCCCTGCCCTATGCAGTCTCCACATCTGGACTCTCCCTGGTTCAGTTTTGTCTCCTGTTGTGGCGGATGAGGAGTTGCTTGGTGCACAGGGCAGGGATGTGCTGGGGATCCGGGAGCTCCGGTAGCTTGGTACAGATTCTCAAGGAAGCCTGCTGTTCCCTGCCCCATTGCACACACTGCTTTGGGAGACAATAGGTGACTCCATCCAATTCCTTGCATCCTGGTGTGTCAAGGTGTGGGTCGGCTACCTTGCATGGCCTCTTCCTCTGTAGTCAGTTGTGCTTCACCTTTTTTTAATCAGCTAAATCAGTTGCTGACACTTTTTTTTTCTTCTTTTTTTTTCAGGCAGTTTTTATGGTTTTGTTTAAACACAAATAAGACATGCACGTGAGCTGTGTATTCCTGTTCTTCGCTGTGCAGCCTGGCCTTGGGGTTGGTGGCTCTGAGAGCAGCTGGGCTACTCTTTCCATGATGGCTTTGCCATTTTTGGAGGAAACATTGTGAGCCATCTCAGCACAGTAAGATTTGTTGCACATCGGCAGCACTTCTAACCCCCTGACATTGTGGACCAGGAACTTCCGGAAGCCACTGGGCGGCATGTGCTTTGTTTTTTTGTTACTCCTATAACTAATGTTGAGCAGCCCTTGAACTTTCTATGAACCCTGTTGTCAGTACCTCTGGGTTTCTGCCATTTACACTTAATTTTGACATATGGATCTGACTGGTGCCAGATGAACTTCTTGGTTCTGTTTTTCACAATCCTGGGCTTCACGAGGGGTCTGAGGGTAGCCACGACGCTGAGTAGGAGATGGCTGCCACCTCCGTAGGCAGCGCCAAGGAAGAGAGAAGAGAGAGCTGCTGACTTTCAAAACCCTCTCATGTCCTCTCATCTCTCATTCTCCTTGTATTTCTGACTTTTTTTTATCTTTTAATTTTGTTTACTATCATTTCAGGGGCTTAGGGAAGGAGTGGAAAGGATCATGTTGTATTAAGCCATTCAAGCGTTGCTATAAAGAAATATCTGAGACTGTAATTTATAAAGAAAAGAGGTTTAATGGGCTCATGGTTCTGCAGGCTATACAGGAAGCGTGGTGCTGGCATTTACTCAGCTTCTGGGGAGGCCTCAGGAAGCTTACAATCATGGCAGAAGGTGAAGGGAAGCAGTCACGTCACATGGCCAGAGCAGAAGCAAGAGAGCACGGGTGGGGGGATGCTGCACACACTTAAACGACCAGAACTCATAAGACCTCACTCACTATCATGAGGACAGTACCAAGGGGGACAGTGCTAGACCATTCATGAGAAACCCACCCCCATGATCCAATCACCTCCCACCAGGCCCCACCCCTGACACTGGGGAATTACAATTTAATGTGAGATTGGAGTGGGGGCACACATGCATACTTCGTCTACCACGTTGAACTGGAAGCCTTCCTGATCTTTAATGGCCTATTATTCCAGTAACACTCCAGTAGCCCAGGCCCAACAAATCCCTGTATTTCACTGGTAGAAACTGAAGCTTTGTAATATTTAAAGTAGCTACTGACACATAACAAATATTTGGTTGATTACTCTGGGCCCACAAATATTAATTACTGTATATTATGTGTCATATGCAGGAGATATGAAAATAAGTAAGGCAAAGTTGCTGCTGTTAGGTAAAGAACAAGGAGTGTGAGTGAATTATTGAGTGTGTTATCTTGTGTATTCCTCAAATAAAGTTTTCAAAGAGGTTAGATAAAGTTTAAAGGCATGAGAAAACTCTTCTGGGTTTCCCTCCTGAAAGTGACAGTGGCCTGGAATTTAAACCCAGGTCTGGGTGACTCCACAGCCAATATGAACCATGCTGTTTTTATTGCACTGACTCTTTCCAGACCTGACAGCTCATGGCTCAGCTCAGAGTCTTCACATTTAGCCTTTGATGTCTCTGCCTTTCTTAGCTTATTTTTGTCCTCATGCTGCCCCTCAGGCTTCCGTGGCTCTGTAAATCATGTCTGATATGATTTGGCTGTGACCCCACCCAAATCTCATCTTGAATTGTAGTTCCCATAATCCCCACGTGTCATGGGAAGGGCCTGGTAGGAAGTAATTGAATCACGGAGGCTGTTTCCGCCATGATGTTCTCATAATAGTGAGTAAGTTCCCATGAGATCTGATGGTTTTATCAGGGGCTTCCCCTTCGCTCACACTCATTCTTCTCTCTCCTGCCTCCATGTGAAGAAGGATGTGTTCGCTTCCCCTTCCGTCATGATTGCAAGTTTCCTGAGGCCTCCCCAGCCCTGCAGAACTGTGAATCAGTTAAACCTATTCCTTTATAAATTACCCAGTCTTGGGTATATCCTTATAGCAGCATGAGAATGGACTAATACAATGTCCCTATCTGTGGTGGGTTGGATAGTGTCCTCCACCAAAATCCATGTCCACCTGGAACCTCAGAATGTGACCTTATAGAATCTTTTCAGAGGTAGTTAAGGATTGAGATGAGATCATATGGGATTAGAGTGAGCTTCAGTGATTGTGTCCTTATAAGAGACAGAGAAGGACACACAACGACAGGGAGGAAAAGGCCATATGAAGACAGAAGCAGAGATTGGAATGATGTTGTCCCAAGCCAGGGAATACCAGTGTATTCATCTGTTCTTACGCTGCTAATAAATTGGGTAATTTATAAAGGAAAGAAGAGACTGGGTAATTTATAAAGGAAAGAAGTTCAATCAACTGAATCAACTCACAGTTCCACATGTCTAGGGAGTCCTCACAGTTATGGCAGAAGGTGAATGAGGAGCAAAGTCACGTCTTACATGGCAGCAGCAGGAGAGCAAGTGCAGGGGAACTCCCCTTTATAAAACCATCAGATCTCATGAGACATGTTCACTATCACAAGACCAGCACAGAAAAAACCTGTTCATGTGATTCAGTTACCTCCCACTTGGTCCCTCCCACAGCACGTGGGAATTATGGGAGCTATAATTCAAGATGAGATTTGAGTGGGGACAAAGCCAAACCATATCAGCCAGGAAGCACCAGGAGCTGGAAGAGGCAAGGAAATTTCTCTCCTAGAGGCTTTGGAGGGAGTATGGCCCCACTGACACCTTGGTTTTAAACTTCTAGCCTCCAGAACTCTGAGATAATAAGATCCTCTTGCTTTAAGCCACCAGAGGGTGGTAATTTGTTAGGACAGCCCTAGAAAATGAATGCACTGTCCAATGCTGGAAGAAGAGGGGAGGCTAGTACCAGCTGCATGCCTTCTTTTTCTCACAAAAGCCTAAGGTTTCCTAGAAGCATCTGAGCTGACTTCCTATAGCATCCAACTGGTCAGAAAGATGTAATATGGCCTGGGAAGTCTGGAAAAACAAAAGTAGAATTTAGTTTTTCCAAATGTGGCAGTTCTGAGTTTCAATAACACTCTATCTGCTCCAGTTGTAAAAAGGACCAGGACACACCAAGAAGTCAGCTTATTGTTCCCAAAGGCAGGAGATAAGGGAAGGTCTTCCTCATCTCTGCCTTTCCCTTCTTTTCCGACGACTTCCTTTCTTCTTATTTTCCCCTCCCTCTCCAGCTGCCTCCAACTGTATGTGACTCAAAGGATGCCATGAATAGTAAAAAGGCAATATGCAATGAACTCACCCAGTAGATAGTCTGTGCTCAATAAATTATGCAAGGAGGATGCTCAGAAAGCTAAGATTAGATATAAAAAAAGAAAGTTGAGAAAGCCTTTCTGAATGCTGAGGGAAATGCATGCAGCCTTAGATATGTTTAAGAATGGAAAAAAACAGCCGTGTGTCTCACCTTAGCAAGTGCTGCTGTCCTGGAGGCTGGGTCAGGATTTGGATCAATACTTCTCACACTTGAATGAAAAATCACTCATAGAGCTTACCAAATGCAGATTTCTGGATTCCAACTCCCCATCCCCGCTCACCAGGTGGTTCCAGGGCTCAGCCTAGGACTCTGCATGTTTAACAAGCCCCCTCGTGGAGTCTAAAGCAGGTGGTCCATCCACTGCCCATTTGCAATCGGGCTCCTGAGATTCGTTCCAGCCCCGAGATTCTGAAATTCTGCAAGAGCTGCCTGAATTGATTTCCAGATACTTTTGGAAATAAACAGCATATGGCTTTCTGGCTTTTGGGAAGCGACTTTTGCATAGCAGGCCTGCAGTCTCCCAAGAAGTTTCCATCAAGAGAACTCCCTTGTGTTTTCAGACTGCCTTGGGGCCAGGGGGCATACAAGGAAGGGCAGAGCGTTGCTTGGTTGTGGCAGAACAGACGGGAAGAATCATCTGTTCTTATAGGTCCCATAAGCCCCCAAGGGCGTGCACACAGACTCACAGACACCTGCTGGAACAAAGGGACAGGAGGCTCCTGCAAGGGCACCTGGACCTGCTTTCTGAGCACATGGCTCTAAGGAAGTGGGGGAATGATGCAGGTTAGAAACAGGGTTGGGGCGTTGTCACCTTTTAACACTCCAGCAGGGAAGGTTTTTCTGCCTTCTCTGTCAAGACCTGAAAAATGTTATACTGTTGAGTGAATTCTTCCATCTTTCCCACCACGCTTCAGATACATCTTCCCCCCTCACTGTGACCACTGCTGAAACTTTCTTTTACATAAATAAGACACTACAGAGAAAGCACATAGAAAGCGCTGGATATGCAATGGTCACTCTCCATTGTCCCATGCTGCCCGGACACCCCTCTCGGAGACCTTGCTCTCACAGGTCCTCCTCCCAGCCTGTTCCGCGCTGCTCCTCTCACCCACCCTCTCCCCACTGCCATTCCCAGCTCGGCAGGGTCTGGCCCTGTTTTATTGCCAGCCCATTTCCCGGCTACACAAAGGGGGCCTTTGTAACAGCTCCTTCCAGATGTTGAGTATTTGGAAAACATTCCGATCAGAAGGTGCTTGTCCTCTAGATGCCCTCGGAAAAGGAAAGAATCTGGGACAGGGATTTGGGAGTGGCGGTCCCAGGTCTCAGAGTGGGGCTTCCCTGAGGGAACTGGGGGAAAACTCGGGTGCTTTAGAGCATCGTTACTACCATCCTCATCAGTTTCATCCCAGTCAATTCACTCACCACTTAACCGATGTTCGGGCAGAGACTCCACACCTCACCCCCTCCTCTGCGGATGCCTGCGTTCCTTCCAGGTGACTGATGTGGTTGCATTCCTGCCTGATTTGATCCTCCTGTACAAGGCAAGAATTGTGATTCACACTCAAGCAAGACCGTAGCTTTGAGATGATGGGTGACTTTTAAATAGCAAATCAGGACTGGAACCTGGTGTTCTGATGCCAAATCCAATACTCTTCCATTACAACATACCTCCTCTTTGTGGAATTTCTTTGAGAAAAAACTACCAAGCCACTCTTTTGGGGTTCACCTGCAAGATGGCCAGATAGCCTACTATGACACCTCCTTTCTCTAGGGAACTCCAAGGCTCCGTTTCCCAGTGATTCTTGGAAAGTCAGGCAGGTCATCCATAAACAGAGAAATGGAGGCCCAGGGAGGTTGAACAGCTTGCCCTGGGCCACACAGTGAGTGAGTTAGAGCCCAGTTCAGGATTGGAATCCAACTCTAGAGGGTCAGATCTCATGGGCCATTTCCCAAAGCTTAAGTCATGGGAGATGGGAGAGGCTTAGTGCTGAGGTTCAGCCATTCTCAGCCAAGCCCAGCCCAAGCCCAGGCAGCATCCTCCTCCCTGGCTCTCAGGGCCTCCTCCTGGTTACGGGTTAGCCCCTCTGTTTCCTGTGTCTACCCTTTGTTTCAGGCTGGCCCCAGTATTCCATATACCTCATTGGCAGATGTCCCCCTTAACTTCTCTGGGACTTGGTTTCTCCCTTTACAGAGAGAAACTCATTCCCCTTTATAGAGGTTTGTTGAAATCCATAAAAAATGACAGCTAGATAGGAGGAATATATTCTAGTCTTCTATAGCACTGTAGAATGTCTATAGTTAACAGTAATATATAGTTTCAAATAGCTGGAAGGATAGTGAATGTTCCTGACAGAAAGAAATGATCACTGTTTGAGATGATGGATACACTAATTACCCTGATCTGATCACTATACATTATATGTGTGGAAACATCACCATGGACCCCAGGAATATGTACAATTATTATTTGCCAATTAAAACATTTTGTTTTAGGCTGGGCATGGTGGCTCATGCCTATAATCCCAGCACTTTGGGAGGTCAAGGTGGGTAGATCACTTGAGTCCAGGAATTTGAGACCAGCCTGGGCAACATAGCAAAACTCCATCTCTACTAAAAATACAAAAGATTAGCCAGGCATGGTAGCACACACCTGGAGTCCCAGCTACTCAGGAGGCTGAAGTGGGAGGATCACTGGAGGCCAAGAGGTAGAGGTTGCAAGTGAGCCAAGATCATGCCACTGCCCTCCAGCCTGGGTAACAGAGCAAGACCCAGTCTCAAAACAAGATAAATTGTTTTAATACAAAAAAAATAAAGACCAGGGAGACCTCAAATGAGAAGGACTTTGGAGGCAACAGGCATGAGAAACATATGATAGGAGAGAGCTGCTTCAATAGGGTCAGGTTTGAATATTGGCTACTCCACCTACTGTCTCTACAGCCACTGAAAAGTTGCTTTTCTCTTCTGCAGAGTGGGGCTAGTCATAATGATGATATCTGGCTGGCAGCCATTGGGAGGATCTCCTTTAGTACTCAAAATAGGGAAGATAAACCATCCCTATTTGCCCAGGTTTGAGAGGTTTCTTGGGATATGAGACTTTCAGTACTAAATCCAACAAAGTCCCAAGCAAATAGGGATGAATTGGTCACTTTGCCTTAAAACAACCCATGTTTTTGATGGGTCAACTATGAATGAGAATTTACAGTGGGGCTATGATAGCTTGGTTTATTTTTTGGTTTTATACACACACACACACACACACACACACACACACACACACACACACACACACCCTTTCCTGCTATCCTTGCACCGTGGTGTTGGCCTTGGCCGTGTGATGTGCTTTGGCTGATGGAATGTTAGCAACCACACCAGGAGTACTAGCTGCCAGGTACTTGTGCACTTTGGCTTGGTTTGGGCTCCTGTGGTCACCTGAAGAAGTGTGTGTCCCAGGTTACAACAGGCCCTTCAGTCTTGGCTTGAGAAAAAACATGAGTCGACTAGGGCCCGAATGTGCTAGACTGTGTTAATCACCTCCCTGCGCTGCCCCCCACCAACCAAGGAATCACACGGACCTCAATTCATGGCCCTTTGCAGTGTGACGTTGCCACTTGTGTCATCAAGAGCGGGAGTCTATTTCTCTACCATCCCACACCTGGGGGCTGCCTTGTGGCTTGCTTTGGCCAATAGAATGTGGCAGAAGCAAAGGGTGTGGGTTCTGGAGCCTAACCCTTGAGAGATCTTGCATGTTGGACTCCCACCCTTTTGGAACCCTGGGTCCACCATATTGTGAGGAAGTCTGTTTAGCTTGCTTGAGAAGAAGCCACGTGGAAGAGAATGGAAGAGCCCCAGTGGGTAACCAGCACCAAACTGCTGCACAGGTGAGGTTGTCTTGGACCCTACCCACATGAGCGAACCCAGGCAAGATCAGCAGATCAGCCCAGGCAACCCAAAGAATCATGAGAAAGAAATCGTAATTGTTGTTTAAGGTACTAAGTTTTGGGGTAGTTATACAGCAGTAGATAATGGATACCAACCCATGGCTTGGGATCCAAGCTCCGTCAATAGGCATACTCAAGCTAAGCTGCACATTGAGTCCATTGTAGATCACAGAACCACAGTCAGCCTTGCAGGACTGCAAATGCAGGATGAAATATCCCTTGTTTTAAGCCACTGAGTGTTCCAGTCATTTGTTTGCAACAGTCTTGTGTCAACAGCTGATTGACACGAGGGATTCAACCCTAGGAACGCCTGACTCCAAAGCCTGTTCTTAGCCTCATCACAATACCGTGCTGTTGTCCCTTAGGCCATGAAACATCTAAGACATATTGATCTCAGTTCCCAACTATTAATACATTCCCAGGCTGTTCAGAAGTGCCCAGAAACCCTTTGTCAAACATGGGTGCCATCATTGTAGAGCCTTCCAGATTGTTAGAAAAAGAAAGGAGTGGGGATTATGTGCTGAAAGAGATGGACAAGGAGCTATTTTGTAAACTCTATAACATTTGGCAAAGAATATATCCTTAAATACAAATTAAAATAGCTTAGGTCATACCTAGGAGTGCCGAGGCAGAGAGAGAACACTGGAGGAGCAGGGAGGAAAATATAGAAAAACATGTTCGTGACTTCAGGGTAGGGAAGTTGCAGACTCCATATAACATAAATATATTTTTATGAAGTTCAGAAATAAAGCTAAGCATGTTATTTGGGGACATGTACATATGTATTAAAACCACAGTGAAAATAAAGGGAGTAATAAAATTCAGCGTGTTTGTTGTTCTGGGGAGAAGAGAGAAGGGCAACTGAGGCCGGGTGTGGTGGCTCACAGCTGTAATCCCAGCACTGAGGTCAGGAGTTTGAGACCAGCCTGGCCCATCTGTACTAAAAAATAAAAAGATTAGCCAGGCATGGTGGCACGCACCTGTAGTCTCAGCTACTCGGGAGGCTAAGGCAGGAGAATTGCTTGAACCTGGGAGGCGGAGGTTGCAGTGCACCAAGATCGTGCCACTGCACTCCAGCCTGGGCAACAAAGCGAGACTCCATCTCAAAAAAAAAAAAGAAGAAGAAGAAGAAGGGCAACCTGAAGGACTGCATAAAGAAAGTCAGAGTGGCCAGGTGCAGTGGCTTGTGCCTATAATCACAGTACTTTGGGAGGCCGAGGCGAGAGGATCATGAGGTCAGGAGATTGAGACCATCCTGGCTAACATGGTGAAACCCCATCTCTACTAAAAATACAAAAAAATTGGCCGGGCGTGGTGGCAGGCGCCTGTAGTCCCAGGTACTCGGGAAGCTGAGGCAGGAGAATGGCGTGAACCCGGGAGGTGGAACTTGCAGTCAGCTGAGATCGCGCCACTGCACTCCAGCCTGGGTTACTGAGCAAGACTCCGTCTCAAAAAAAAAAAGAAAAAGAAAGTCAGAGTGAGGCATGGATCATCTTCTAGATCTTCAGTTGGGTGGTAGAGTCCAGGTTTTCATTTTACCATTTTATATAAGGGTAGCATCCTCATGGGTGGGGTATACTGTGATGCTTAGGTGTGTGGACGCTGAGTCTGAATCCTAGTTTGCCACTCATTAGAGTCTTACACATGCAACTTAACCTCTCAGTGCCTCAGTTTCCTCATCTGTAAAACAGGTGTTGATGGCAACAGTACCTACCTCGTAGAGTTATTAGGAGGAAGTGCTTGAAACCGAGCCTGTGAGTTACATGTTATTAAATATATAGCCACCATTATACAATAAAATTGATTGAGTCGGGAGAGGAGACTCATCTGTGCTCCTTCATTAACTCAACACTGATTATGTATCTGCTCTCATCGGGCATAGGTGCTCACATGCCAGGAGAAATAAGCTGGTGATTTATGTGGCACAGCACCATCGATCGACCTACAAAGGAAGCTTCAGTGCAGCCGTGTTGCTATACAGACCTCTCTCACCAAGGCGTCATGAACTGAAGGGCTGGGAGAGGCCTCGTGGAGGAGGAAGAGTTTCGCTCAGCTGCTTGGGTGTGGGACTGAATGTGGTTCCAGAACTGGTCGCTGCCTTCACCCGCTGACTCTGGTCTCGGCGATGACAGTGAGTTCCTTCTTGGCGCCTTCAATGGGAGGGATTGTCGTGCACTTGGGGAGGAGTTGGCTGTGGAGTTCAATCATTAATTTGCCACAATTAAACCAGAGACTTCTGTCTCCAGCAGCAGATAAGCAAGCAGAGAGCTAACAACGAGGAAGGGCGGGGCGGTCTGACAAACCGGTTGTGAAGGGCAGGCTAGGCTGATTGAGAGCTGATAGGGGACTGTCATTGCTTTATTGTGGCAATAACGCCGTCAGGCATCTGGGGAATTAGGAGGGAAAGCCTCAGCTGGCATTGGCTGCAGGCACAAAGGGGGAAAACCCCAGCCAGACTTTTTCAGTCTGCTGGGCCACCAGAAAATGTTTTGGGGTCCCCGAGGTACGTGTGAGGCTGAGAGTTGGTGATCAGCTCCCCCGGTTCCTTCCTGGCTGGGCTACATGAACCGGGGACAGCTGGAGTGTTGAGTTTTGACATTCCCAAAGACAAGCAGCTAAAGTCAAGAGGACTGTGTCACACAGAGATGGTGATCAGGGGAATGGAGTCCCTCGGAGGCAGGGAAGGAGGCAGGCAGCCTTAGGTTAGACTCCAGGAAGAACTGTCTCCTGAAGCAGTGATAATTGGAACAGGCAACATCTGTGTGCTTGCTCTGTGCCCAGTGCTAGGTGCTTTCCATGAATTCACTAATTCCTGAAACCCACAGGTAGGTCCTTTTATTGCCCCTCTACAGAGACGAGAAAAACTGGGTCTTGCTGAAATTAAACATCTTGCCCAAGGTAACGTAGCTCCGAAGTAGCAGAGACAGGAATTGAAATTGCAGAGCTTCCTCTCGAAGCCTCTAGATGCTAGCCTACGTCTTCAAAGATGCCCATCAATCAGAGATGTAGGACAGTCTTATCTCTGGAATCTTCCTTGGTCTTCTTGTTCTGGCATTGATCAGCTGGTGTGTCATACACACACACACAGGCACACACGTACACACACACATTATATATATGCATACATGCCATGCATACACATCACATACAGGTACAAGCACACGCATATGCACAAACATTGCACATCACACACATCTACACACACATTACATACATGCACATGCACATCACATACACGCACACACTACAGATATAATCCCTCCCCAACTCCTCCACAGCCCCCCACCACAAACCTTTAAGGTACTGACATGACTGTAACAGAGTCATTGACCCTCAGTGGATTCTCCACCCCTGGACAACTGTGGAAAGACCAGTGGCATTCCTGGGAGTACTTTGACGGTTGTACAGGGCCCAGCAACTCTTGGCTGCCACAGCCCCCTGAAAAACAATGGCCTTGAAGTTGTCCACCCTCACTGCGCTGGGCTACACTCATTGGGTCATGCTTCATTTTTGCAGAAGGCCCTTCTGTGAGTACTTTAAATTCCTGAAAAAGCTCATTACATTTTGCCATGGTCCTGAGATGGTGACTGGGGACTGTCCCTGCTCTCATTGACTTGACTGAATTGAGGTCCAGATTAAGCCATAAAACAAAACCCAAAATGCAACCTCCCAAGCCCCCAACATGCCAAGACTGGCAGAAATTCTGAGACCAGGTAAAAGATGCTGCGCCCCCTCAAGTCTGTTCAATGATCAGGCGGGGACTAGGGAATGCTGGTTTGACTGGTGGGCTCCTCCCCTGCCTTCTCTGTTGGGGGTCGTGTTTGCTTTGTGTTCTTGGCCACAGGGTTAGCAGGAAGGAGATCACCAATGCATCGTTGCATGTGCTGTTCTTTGATTTTTCTCCATTCTTCACCCTGGAAGAAGGAGTGAATTTATGGACCTGTTATGGACTGACAGATGCCCTCTGCAGAATTAGAGGCAGCCTGGGATGGAGGTTGGGTTCTGAGACTTACATCTTGAGCAGGATTTCTCAGTCTCAGCACTGTGACATTTGAGGCTGGATCATTCTTTATTATTATTATTATTTTGAGACAGAGTCTTGCTCTGTTTCCCAGGCTGGAGTGCAATGGCTGGATCATGGCTCACTGCGACCTCCACCTCCTGGGTTCAAGCGATTCTCCTGTCTCCACCTCCCGAGTACCCGGGATTACAGGCGCCTGGCACCACACCCGGCTAATTTTGTAATTTTAGTAGAGATGGGGTTTCACCATGTTGATCAGGCGGGTCTTGAACTCCTGACTTCAGGTGATCCAGGTGATCCACCCATCTCGGCCTCCCAAAGTGCTGGGATTACAGGCATGAGCCACCACACCCGGCCTGGATCATTCTTTATTACAGGGTTTTGTCCTGTGCCTTGTAGCGTGGTGAGTAGCATCCTGGCCTCTACCAACTAAATGCCAGTACCACCCTGGCTTCCCAGTTGTGACCATGAAAAACCTCTCCAGACGTTGCCCAGTGTCTCCAGAGTAGGGGGAGGGGCAAAAGTGTGTGGGTTGAGGAGCACTCATAGAGACGACTTCAAAGTTTTGGAGCACGACTGACTTCCTGCCAACAGTCACTCTGCCCCTCAGTCCCTTTGCTTCTCTCTCCATCCTTGCCCTTCCCATCTGTTCAATGGGCACTTCGATGGCCATGAACTAAACCATTTACTCTGTGAGTCAGGAGGAAAGCAAAACCCCAGCCACATCTCACGCTGGAGAAACAGGACTTTCTTTCCTTTCCCCTCAAAGTTCTAGTTTTCCGCAAGGTCCCCAGATGGCCAGCTGAGAGCCTCTCGTCCACTCTGCAGGCGGGGACAAGCAAGCAACACAAACACCCTCTGTCCTTCCTCCAAAGGGAGAAAAGAGTTTTCCTCCCTCCCTCCATCCTTCCCCTCCCCTTTCAGAAACTCTTGGGTTGTGTTCACCGCCACCCCCGCCCCCGCAACCCGGCCCCACTCAGTCCGCTTACACTGCCGACCCCTCCCCAGCCATTCCCCGTTCACTTCCCTCCCCTTCCCCTGGTACACCTGACTTATTTATTTATTTATGGCTGGAGTATTTGAGCTCAGGGTTAGTTCGAGTCTATTAAGTTTGCTCCTTTTCCTGCCTGGGAACCCGGGTAATGAGTAACCATAGCGTGCTTTGGGCAGCTGTCTCCGACAAACCGAGAGACGCCGTGGGAGCCGCATAAGGGAGCGTTTGTTCTGTGCCTTCTCAATAGTTCCTTGTGCAGGAGGCAGGGTGATGGGAGGGAGGGAGGGAGAAGGGAAGAAAGAGACAGACACTAAATCACTGCACTTTTGACAATTCCTCTCTTCTCTCCCACCACCCATCCTCCCCCACCTACACCGATCAGATCTTTGTGGTGGACTTAAGACTTTAAGACTTTTGTTGCTGTTTCCATGAGCCTGGGGAGAGGCTCCTGTGTACCTCGTGGGGGTACTTTTGGGTGAGTTGCAGACTATATGGGGCCTGAGGGCTGATTTTTAACATGGGGATGGTTTAGGTGTCCTGGATCTCTCCCACTGTGTGTGTAAATTAACACAATGCCTATTGTTCCCTAGTTCATTTAATGATCCAATAAATCTCTAGGTATCTATTCCCAACCTTGTGGCCTAGATATGCTATAAAGCTGTTTGAAAAGTGCTTTCATAAAGCAGTCCAAGTGTATTACGGGATTAGTCATATGCCCCACAATCAACATGGGACTCGTTAGGGCCTTCCTTGATTTGTATCATTATGTAGACAAGAGAGACAGGCCAAGAAATATATTGTACATACGGCTTTTGGAAAATATCCTAAGTGATAGCCACATTCATTCATTCACTGCATGGGGATTTAGCATCCACTATGTGCCAGCTGTTTGGCTAGGTCTCAGGGGCAACTACGGAAATGAACAGGGCATGACTCTGGCTCTCAAATTTGCAATGGGGTAAGGAAAATAAGAAAGAACCCATGTCCCCGAATTACGGTAATATAAGTTAAGCTGGAATATGTGCCATAAGAAAGGTACAAGCAGAATATCTAGAGAGAGGGGAGGAGGGAAGATGAAAATATTTTGGGAGCATGAAAGAAAGCTTGGCTTCAGGAGAAAAAGATGAAGGGCAGCCCCTCCTCCAGGCAAAGGAAAGGTTTTAGCCAAGAAATGAAGGCAGGCAAGCATGGGGCATATTTGGGGAACAAGGAAGGGCTGGGTTGGTTGAGACATGGGCAGATGAATCACCATCCATGCTGTGTTTTAGACAGATTAATCAGGCTGTGGTGTGTAGGGTACATTTAAAGGGGAAGAGATTAGAGATGACAGTTAGAAGTAGATGCCACCGGTCTAGTTGGAAGAAAATGAGAAAAGACAGGATGGGTAAGATGGTGGAGTGTAGGATTGTGGAGGGAGGGGGTAGCAACTGACCACATGTCGAAGAGGGCACAGTGGAGGTAGCCCTGAGGCTTTAAGCCTGGGTGGCCAGGAAGAGAAATCTGGAAAAATAGCATGACACATCATCAGGAGGTCCAAGAATGGTTCAGAACTGAGTAGCAGGATCAGTGGTCTGGTTTGGATGTGCTAGATCTGAGAGGCACCGAGGGACAGATGTCTGAAAGCCAAGTGGCAACAGAGGTCTAGAGCTGGGGGGGATGTCAGGGGCGCTGTCTCTCCCTAGCATCCCCCTCTAACGCTGGCACGAGAGTGGAAACTCACCCTTGAAACGTGAGCTGGATCTCCTTCCTTTGCCCATCCAGATCTTGTCTCCATTTCACCCCTGATCTGTGCCCCAAGAGCTGCCCTTGTAGGGATTGCATCAGCAGGCTCCCTTGGCCACTGGATTCCAGCTGAGTTCAGCAAGTGGAGCGAATAGCAGAAGATTAGAGGGTGGAAGGAAAGTAGCCTCAGTTTCTGGCAGGCTGTCCTTTCTCCGCAGCTGCTGTCTCTGGGTTCTGGAAACATTCTGCTCTCCTTGCCCCGTCTGACTTCAGAGGGTGGGGGTCATGCCTTCCCACCACTGCTGGCCCCATGAACCTGCACTCTCCCTTGTTGGTTCCTTGAACTCTGCCCATCCCATAATACATCATCTCTGTCTTAAGCTCTTTTCAGTCCCCCAAAGTGGTTGTGCTGTTTGTATCCTGTTAGGACCCTGATTCATCCAAAAACTGGAGTCAAAAGTCACACAGGGCCGGGCACGGTGGCTCACGCCTGTAATCCCAGCCCTTTGGGAGGCCAAGGTAGGCAGATCACTTGAGGTCAGGAGTTCGAGACCAGCCTGGCCAACATGTTGAAACCTCAGCTCTACTAAAAATACACAAATTAGCTGGACGTGGTGGTGCATGCCTGTAGTCCCAGCTACTCAGGAGGCTGAGGCAGGAGAGTTGCTTCATCCTGGGAGGTGGAGGTTGCAGTTAGCCCAATCACGCCACTGCACTCCAGCCTGGGCAACAGAGTAAGACTCTGTCTCCAAAAAAAAAGACACACAGAACAAATCCTTTTTCTCTTCTTTTATGCATGGTATTTCTGCTCAAACAGAGGCCTTATAATAATGGAATGGACAAATAATTATTACAATTGAGAAAAGTTTCATCAACTGAAGCAGTTTGCAAATTTTCTAGGTTTCTTCTATCATTCAGATTATTAATGTACCAGTTGTTGATCTCTTTCTCTTTAACATTTCTGGAGTTTTCTCTGTCATCCTTTGTCGGCTTCTGACTTCCCCAGGGGACTTCACATCTTTCTTTTAGTGCTGAGGTGAGTTGCTCCAACTGAAGCTCCTCTTTTTGAGCGGCTTCCACCTTCGTTCCTCTGGCAGTGCAGAAGCAGGCCGTTTGCCCTGGTGAGCTACCTCCAATTGAACCATCATCATCTGAGCATCAGAGAATTCTGAGCAGGAAAATTGAGACTTGTTCCAATTTATTGAGACTTCTTCCAAAACTTAGGAAAATGTTTAGCCGGAAGATAGTCTGTAAGTATCTGTCTGTTTTAAAATACAGGCATGCACACCATGCCATGATAGCTTTCCCGTCTCAGTAGTTGCTGTGACTGTCTTTGTGTTTTGTTTTGTTTTGTTTTGTTTTGTTTTGAGACAGAGTCTTGCTCAGTTGCCCAGGCTGGAGTGCAGTGGCGTGATCTCGGCTCACTGCAAGCTCCGCCTCCCAGGTTCACGCCATTCTCCTGCCTCAGCCTCCTGAGTAGCTGGGACTACAGGGACCCGCTACCATGCCCAGCTAATTTTTTTTTTTTTATTTTTAGTAGAGATGGGGTTTCACCATGTTAGCCAGGATGGTCTCGATCTCCCGACCTCATGATCCACCCGCCTCAGCCTCCCAAAGTGCTGGGATTACAGGCGTGAGCCACCGCGCCCGGTCATGTTTTGTTTTTTGAGACTGAGTTTCACACTTGTCGGCCAGGCTGGAGTGCAATGGGGTGATCTCAGCTCGCTGCAACCTCTGCCTCCTGGGTTCAAGCAATTCTCCTGCCTCAGCCTCCCAAGTAGCTGGGATTACAGTCACCTGCCACCATGCCCAGTTATTTTTGTATTTTTAGTAGAGACAGGGTTTCACTATGTTGGCCAGTCTGACCTCAGGTGATCCACCTGCCTCGGCCTCCCAAAGTGCTGGGATTACAGGCGTGGGCCACTGTGCCCGGCCAGCTGTGACTGTCTTTATCATGACCTCTTAATGCATGGATTGGGAGCTGCAAGGAGTAGATCCCCAAGTGGGACTAGCATGGATCCCAAGGTATTTATTGGAAGGATTATGTCAAAACAAAGCAACAACAACAATCAAGAAAGAATGAAATATCAACCGGAAGGACAGAAAGAATATAGTCCATCTTCTGGGCATGTGTGGAATGAGTTTTCTCTGCACGGAGCTTTCTTCTCTCTCTTTACAGATCTGCTTTCTTCATTTGGGAGGAAACATGAGCACCCTCTTGCCCTTGACTTTTACATCTTGCAGCTTTCACTGAGGGCGAGCTTCCCTTATTCGGTTCTAGTCAGCCAAATCTCAAGGCAGGACTCTGATTGGATTAGCTAAAGTCAGATGCCCATCCTTGGACCCGTCAACTGTAGCCAAGGGGAGGAAGAAGGCCATGCACCAACAGAGCTGCTCCTGCCAGAACCGTGGGACGAGGTGGGAAGCGTTGTTCTCAAAGGAGGAGCGGGTACCAGGCGGAATAATTTGCATTATAGGTATTCTAAAGCAGCAATTAGTTTTAGAAACAAACTTATCACATAAAGAGACTCTCAGCTCAACAAACACTATTTGATATATTCACAATTTAATAGAAGCTCTCAGTTCAATAAACAAATATATGAACTGAGTAACTGCAGTGTTGATGTAGGAACAAATCATTATTTTCTGATTGTTGATGGACATGATAAGCAGAGTCTACTACTGAGATGGGAAAGCCATCATGGCACAGTGTGCATGCCTGTATTTTAAAACAGACTGACACAGACTATCTTCCAGCTAAACATTTTCTTAAGTTTTGGAAGAAGTCTCAGTATACTGGAAAAGGTCCAATTCTCCTGCTCAGAATTCTCTTCTGTACAGTGCTGGGTGCATAGTATACATCAGAGAAATCTGCTTCTAAAGGTGATAAATAATAGGTGTGTTAAATTAGTAAATTATATTATCTACTGGAAGTTGATAAGTGCTACTGAAAAAGAAAAGGAAAGCAGAGTTGAGACAATCTCCAGTGCTGGAGGGAGGCATGGCCATTGGGTTGCAATTTTAAATAGAGGCTGAGAGCTCTTTAAAAAGGAGACATTTGGGGCCGGGCATGGTGGCTCACACCTGTAATCCCAGCACTTTGGGAGGCTGAGGTAGGTGGATCACGAGGTCAAGAGATCGAGACCATCCTGGCCAATATGGTGAAACCCTGTCTCTACTAAAAATACAAAAATTAGCTGGGTGTGGCGGCCATGCATCTATAGTCCCAGCTACTTGGGAGGCTGAGGCAGGAGAATCACTTGAACCCGGGAGGCAGAGGTTGCAGTGAGCTGAGATTGTGCCACTGCACTACAGCCTGGTGACGGAGTGAGACTGTGTGTCAAACAAGCAAGCAAGCAAACAAACAAACAAAAAAAGGAGACATTTGGCCAGGCACAGGGGTTCAAGCAGCATTTTGGGAGGTCAAAGCGGGAGGATTGCTTGAGGCCAGGAGTTCAAGACAAGCCTAGGCAACATAACGAGACCCTCATCTCTACAAAAAATTTAAAAATTAGCCAGGCGTGGTGATGCATGCCTGTAGAACCGACCACCTAGGAGACTGAGGCGGGAGGATCCCTTGAGACCAGGAGATTGAGGCTCTGGTGAGCTATGATAGCATCACTGCACTTCACAGCCTGGGCAACAGAGCAAGACCCTGTCTCAAAAAATAAAAAAAGAGAGGGGGGACATTTGAGCAAAGATTGGAGGACATGACATTTCCTCTGTTCTTATTGCATACTTCTGCTGCTTAGTTTAGTACCCCATTAAAAGTAACGTTTGGGTTGGAAATAAATACTATTTAGTAATGACTTGACCCATTATTTCTTGCTTCTAATTTGTGGCCATTAAAAGAAATGTAAACCCTTCAAGGACACAAAGAGAGAGATTTCCATGCTTCATATATTCCGGTTGAGCCAAGTCAAGTCATAGATTTTAGAACAGCAAAGAATGTTGCCCCACCCTTTCGTTTTATAGGTGAATTGTGAATGCCTGGCCAAAAGCCACATGGTGAGCTAGAAATGCAGTGGTGATTAATATGAAATCAAATGCATCCACAGAAATGCACTTCAACAGAGTGACTCAAATGGCCAAGAATGGAGAACAGACAGTCCCTTCTTATTTCCCTGGCTTATATTAAAAATTTCTAGATCTCACCATTTGCCATTAAATATTACATTCCAACTGTTTTTGATGATATTGGTAGTATTGCATTGCTATATTGGGAAACATTAAAATGACAGTGTTTTTCAAATGTGCCTTTATTCACAAGGTTCATTTGGAATGCCAGCATAAGACTAGGCCATCACTCAGAGAGTGTTTCTCCTCATTACTTACGAGCGGCTTGCTCTTCTCCCTTCTCCCTTTAACTATTTGTCTCTACTTGTATCATGTTACTGGTCTTTATTATAATTTGTAGAGATGTGTTTTTGCTGAGGGCACCTCCTATCATTTTTTTTTGAGATGGAGTCTCGCTGTGTCTCCCAGGCTGGAGTGCAGTGGCATGACCTCAGCTCACTGCAACCACCGCCTCCCAGGTTCACACGATTCTCCTGCCTCAGCCTCCTGAATACCTGGGAGTACAGGTGCATGCCACCATGCCCCGCCAATTTTTGTATTTTTAGTAGAGACAGGGTTTCACCATGTTGGCCAGGCTGGTCTTGAACTCCTGACCTCAAGTGATCTGCCTGCCTCAGCCTCCCAAAGTGCTGGGATTGCAGGTATGAGCCACTGTGCCTGGCCTCATTTTCTTAAATAACAGCTTTATTGAGATATTATTCACATTCCATGAAGTTCACCCTTTAAAATGTACAACTCAGAAAAGTCATACATTGATCACCACTGTCTAATTCCAGAATATTTTCAGCACCCCCAAAAGATACCCCATAACCATAAGCAGACATTTCTCATTCCTTGCATGCCTCAGCCCCTGGCAACCATTGATCTATTTCTGTCTTTAGAGATGTGCCTATTCTGGACATTTCATATAAATGGAATCATACAGTTAGTGGCTTCTGTGTCTGGCTTCAAGGTGCATCTATGTTGCAGCATGTATTAGTATTTCATTCTTTTTCATGGCTGAATAATATTCCATTTTACGGATATATCAATTTATTCATTCATCTGTTGATGAACATTTGAGTCATTTCTACTTTTGGGCTATTATGGTTAATGCTGCTATGAATATTTGTGTACAAGTTTAGTATAGACATACGTTTTCAGTTCTCTTGACTACATACCTAGGAATGAAATTCCTGGGTCTTATGGTAACTCTATATTTAATCATCTGAGGATCACCAGGCTGTTTTCCAAAGTGGCTGCAGCATTTTACATTTCCACCAGCAGAGGATGAGGGTTCCAATTTCTCCATGTGCTCGCCAACATTTGTTCTTATCATGTCATCTTCAAATAGAGATAATTTTGCTTCCTTTTTTTTTTTTTTTTTCCAATCTGGATGACTTTCTTTTTGCCTAATTGCTCTGGCTAGAACCTCCACTACAATGTTGAATAAAAGTGGTAAGAGTGGACATACTTGTCTTATTCCTGACAAGAAACCATTCAGTCTTTCACCCTTAAGTATGATGTTAATTGTAGGTTTTTCATAGATGCCCTATGTCAAGTTGAGGAAATCCCCTTCTATTTCTAGTTTGTTGAGTGTTTTATAATGAAAATGTGTTGAATTTTGCTAAATGTGTTTTCTGTGTCAATGGAGATGATCATGTGATTTTTGTCCTTTGTTCAGTTAATATGGTGTGTCACATTGATTTTTCTATGTTAAACCATCTTTGCATTCCTGAGATAAATTTCACTTGGTCATGGTGTCTGCTCTTTTTATATGTTGCTGGATTTAGTTTGACAATATTTTGTTGATGATTTTTGCATCTACTCATAAGGAATATTGGTCTGTGTTTTTCTTTTCTTGTGGTGTCTTTGTCTTGTTTTAGTATCAAGGTAATAATACTGGCCTCATAGTATGAATTGGGAAGTTGTCCCTCCTCTTCTATTTTTTTGGAAGAGCTTGTAAGGGATTAGAGTTAATTCCTCTTTAAATGTTTGGTAGCATTCATCCACGAAGCCATCTGGTCCTAGGCTCTGCTTCATGTGGTTTGGTTTTGTTTTAACTAATTCAGTCTCTTTTTACTTGTTATGGGTCTGTTTAGATATTCTATTTCTTCTTGACTCAAATACTTTTTGAAAATAGGTAGGTTAAAAGTCAACTTGTCAAAGTAATTAAAGAGTTGTTCTTTTCATTTGAAATGATTGCTGTTGGTAGTGTTGAACTTCCACTGTGGTTTTGAGTGTTAAAACCGTGGAATGAGAGCCCCCTGCACTTCAGGGCCTGGCGTGATGCTCCTCATTAATGTCATGCTAGAAAGCTCACTGTCTATCTCTGAATCCCAGTTTCCTCATCTGCAAAATGGGCTTAATCACATCATCCTTAAAGGTTGTCAAGGGGATCAGGTGAGACATCCATCTCATGCCTAGCATATAGTAGACCCTCAATAATGATGATCTGTTTTCTCTAGCAATATATATCTGATACTCACCCACTAGGCGCTGGGGACCCTTCTAGGGACTAAGGATACAGTGAGCAAAAGCAGAGACCCTGGTGGTTACATTCTAATGGAGGAGAGATCAAAATAAACAAACACATAGAAAGGGTCTAAGGAAGTCTTTGCCTGATTTTTAAGCCAACAGAGACATGGGCACAGCAGTCAGGCAGGTGCAGCTCCCATGTGTGATTTTTAATGATCAGAGCTAGGCTGGAGAACCTGATTGTCCTGGGACCAGGTGGGCTTGCCTGAGCTCTCAGTTCCCCCTTTCAGTTTAGCTCTAGGGACAGTCTTCTGAGGCCAAGTTAGGATCTATAGAGCAAGACTAGCAGGACTACTTCTGAGACTCAGTGTCCAGGCCTTACAGACTTTAGATAAATTAGCAGCTGACTCCAGAAACCTGGGCCCATGGCTCTTGCCCACCAGTCAGTGGCTTGTTCTGAGGACAAGGTGGAGAAAGTGGCCAGGAGCATGACTCTGTTGGGGGCTTTTCCTGTGCTCAGTGGAGGCCTCTTCCCCTATTCAGTGGGGGCTCTTATAATCAGTGGGGGCTCTTATAATCAGTGGGTGGCTCTTCCTATACTTAGTGAGGTTCTTCCCCTTTTCGGTGGGGGCCTCTTCCCCTATTCAGTGGAGATCTCTTCTCATACTTGGTGGCGGGGGTGGGGATGCGGGTTCTTCCCATAGTCAGTGGGGGGCTCTTCCCATGGTCAGTGGGGGGCTCTTCCCAAAGTCAATGGGGGGCTCTTCCCATAGTCAGTGGGGGGCTCTTCCCATGGTCAGTGGGGGGCTCTTCCCAAAGTCAATGGGGGCCTCTTCCCATAGTCAGTGGGGGGCTCTTTCCATGGTCAGTGGGGGGCTCTTCCCAAAGCCAATGGGAGGCTCTTCCCATAGTGGGGGGCTCTTCCCATATTCACTGGGGGGCTCTTCCCACAGTCAGTGGAGGGGGGCTCTTCTCATATTAACTAGGGGGGCTCTTCCCATATTCACTGCGGGGCTCTTCCCATGGTCAGTGGGAGGGCTCTTCTCATATTAACTGGGGGAGACTCTTTCCATTCAGTGGGGGGCTCTTCCCATGGTCAGTGGGGGGCTCGTCTCATAATCAAAGGGGGGCTTTTCCCATATTCACTGGGGGGCTCTTCCCATGGCCAGTGGGGGGCTCTTCCCATAGTCAGTGGGAGGGGTCTTCTCATATTAACTGGGGAGGCTCTTCCCATTCAGTGGGGGGGCTCTTCTCATAATCAAAGGGGGGCTCTTCCCATGGTCAGTGAGGGGTCCCTCCCCTCTTCAGTGGGGGTTTCTTTCTCTTTTCAGTGGAGATCTCTTCCTATACTCAGTGGGGGCTCTTCTCTTGTTTCTCCTGTATCCCAGTTCACAGGGCACTGTGTTAGAAGGTGACAGGGAAGTGGGAGGCACCTTTTACGGCATGGTGGGAGAAGGCTCTTCTAGGGAGGTGACACTGGGCAGAGAACCAAGTGGTAGGAGTGAGCCAGACATGCAAAGCTCCTGGGCACAGGAGGGTGTCCCAGGCAGAAGTGATGCCTCATTGGTACATTTGAGAAGCAGTAATGGTCTTATGGTCTTTTCTGCCTCCTTTACTCCCTCCCTGTGTCTTTTTTTTTTTTTTTTTTTTGAGACGGAGTCTTACTCTGTCACCCAGGCTGGAGTGCAGTGGTGCGATCCCAGCTCACTGCAACCTCAGCCTCCCGGGCCCAAGAGATTCTCCTGCCTCAGCCTCCCGAGTAGCTGGAATTACAGGCACCCACCACCACACATGGCTAATTTTTGTATTTTTAGTAAAGATGAGGTTTCACCATGTTGGCCAGGCTGGTTTTGAACTCCTGACCTCAAGTGATCCACCTGCCTCAGCCTCCCAAAGTGCTGGGATTACAGGGGTGAGCCACCCCGCCCGGCCTCTCCCTGTGTCTTTTTACTCAACCTTTCTAAATCTCATGCAGACTCCGTCTTCCTCAGAGCCCGCTGGTGTTGGGAGAAACAAAACAACCTGTGCTTTCCAGCCTGTGGCTCCTTAGAGACAAAATCTCTTAGTCAGGTATGGAGCCCCGAGTCCTTGAGCTCCACTGCCGGTTGTCCAAGACAAAAAGCTTTAGAGGCATCAAAGACCACTTCTTTGCTGAGATGGATCAGAATTGGCCTGAAAACCTGTTTGCCTTTCCAGAGAGTTTTCTTTTTGGTTTATTTAGTGGCTAGCGGCAGTCTCTCCAAGGGAAACCACTGGATTTATTAATGAGAAAATGAAGGCTTGTGTTTAAGCCTCGTCTCTGGTAAGTTGCGTGATGCGGAGGGGCAGATGTTTACAGTGGCTCCCCGAGGGTGCAGGCCTCGCCCTGGCAGGTGGCTGGGTTTCTGCCATGCTACGGTCCTATGCTCACCTGCCATGTCCTCTGAGGTCATCGGATGTGGCTTAACCTCAGCTTTCAAGGACAGAAGGCAACTCTTCTAGCACCGGCCATGACCCTGACATTTCCTGCTTCCCGGAACCGTCTGTGCTTCTCTACCAGAAGAGCTCTCTACCCAGGGACATGTCAGCCAGGTGGAGGGGTCAGGCAGTGATCTGCAGGGCGAGAGGGTTAGTCCCTGGGATACCCATCAGGTCCTATTCCTGGGTAATCTGACTAAAGTCTTATTTTCTTCGGATGCAAAATCTCACCTGGGCTAGGACAGATTAGCTTGAAGATCTGTGGAGGTGCAGCTTCTGGCACCAGAACTTTAGATGCTGGATGAATATTGACAGGGACTTAGTATGGAGGGAGGTGTGTTATCTTTAGTGCTGGGCTTAGGAACTGGGCTCACTAAAGTGAGGGCTTCAGCAACAAATTGGGCTGGTCATCTCTGTAGGACATCTCCTGCAGGGTGGCTGATTTCTGTCAAAAGCTCAGTGGCTGATTCCTCTCCCCAGGGAGACCCGCAGTAGGGCCCCATAAGCAGGTTTTGGCTTCCTGGCTTAGTTGATTTAGAACAGGTCTATTAGGTTGAACTGAATGACATGTCCTACCTTCTTTGGATAGCCTGGGCTGCTGATAGGCCCACTGTCAGGCAGGCTACCCTAGGTCTTGGTGGTTGCTGCTGCCTCGCTGTGTGACCTTGGGTGAGTTGCTTTCCCTCTCTGGGCTTCACTTTCTACCTCTGTAAAATGAAGGGTTGGATAGATTTCTTAAGAATGTGCCTTTCACTTCTAGGCTGAAGGATCAGATCCTTATTATCTCTCCCTGCCCTGGGCCTGACACCTAGAAGCCTCTCAATAAACCTTTCATTGAATGAGTGAATGAATAAATGAATAACAATGTGATGGTTTGTTATTTTTTTCATCAGCTGTGTTTTTTCTACAGAGCCCATGGAACAGACTTACGGCGTATGACCTCATCGGAGACTTGTACATGGGGCCAACCCCCATTTTCCCACAGGAAACCCACACTCTAATTAAGGGCTGACCCTGAACTTGAATCTGAGTCTTCTCTTTCTTCAACAGAGAGCCATCTCTCCAGCCCAGCTGGCAAGGAGACAGGTGATGTTACAGGAAAAAATACACAGCTTGTGCCCTTGGAATTACCAGAGTTCAAAGCCTGTTCAGCATCTACCCACCATGTGACCCGGGTCGAATTCTTCAGTTTCTCTAAGCCCATTTTCTCATCTGTAAGATGGGGAAGTGTAATCAGTTCTGAACCCACATATACCTCACTGGGCTTGAACAGGCCTGAGCAGGCATGTGGGGCTTTACTAGCTAGCCATCCTTTCTGCCGCTCTCCCTCATTCTCCTTCAAGCCCCCCAAAGTCCTTGGTGGAGGAGGAAGTGGAGACAGAACGTTTGGTGTTGGGTGAGGTACGTGAGGAGGCTGATTTCAGAACCTCCAGGAAACAAAGCTTTAGTGTTCCGAGGGCAGTGCCCGCCTGTGCCTCCTCCTCACAGGGGGTAGTAGGAGTGGGGTGGGGCCGAGGCATTTCCCAGCACAGCTCAATCACATCTCCTGCGCCTGCCCTTGTGACCTGCTCACTGGAAAGGAAGAAATGACCGAGGGAGAAGGGAGGGCATTTGAGGTGAGTGCCTGAACTGATGTCTTGGAGAATATTTGCATGACAAAGCTTCTTGCAAAATCTGGGTAGGACTTCCAGTTAACCCCCTGGAGGAGGCTTGGGGAAGTTGTGCTCTGAACCCACACACACCAGGTCGCCTTTCTGTGTTGCCCTATTTGGTTTCGCTAGTTCTGCCACAGGGAGAAGGTGTGTTCTGGATGGGTCCCCTCCCTCTGTCACCTGGTGCTGGCACTTCTGGGTGTCTGGGTCTTTCTGAAGCCATTTCATTCACGTTTCCCCTGGATGTGAGACTGTGTTGTGTTTGTTCTGACTGTCCTCTTGTAGAAGAGACGGTAGCTTTGCTTTTCTCTCCATCATACCCCTGGAATGCACTTCTTTGCCACACTCCAGCCTTTGACTCAGTCACCTCCACATCACCCTTTCACCAAACTTCTCTGTCTGCTTTTAAAGCCAAAGTCAACTTGACTAGACCCTTTGCTGACACTGCCATTTGCTGAACTAGCTTTGAATTCCAGTTATTCCAAGGCACAAACTGTGGATTTTCCTTTTCTTTTTTTCTTTTTTTGATACAGGGTCTATCTTTGTCATCCAGGCTGGAGTGCAGTGGCACAATCACGGCTCACTGCAGCCTTGACCTCCTGGGCCCAAGCAATCCTCCCACCTCAGCCTCCCAAGTAGCTGGGACTACAGGCACATGCCACCATGCCCAGCTAATTTTTATATTTTTTTGGTAGACACGGGGTTTCGCCATGTTACCCAGCTTGGCCTCAAATGCCTGGGCTCAAGCGATCTGCCCACCTTCGCCTCCCAAAGTGCTGGGATTACAGGCGTGAGCCACCACGTCTGGCCAGATTTTCCTTTAACATCACCTGCCTCTCCGTCACTTATATGGGTGTGATGGATGTGTATGTACCAGTGTCGGATGATCTAGTTTTGATCAGTTTCATAAGTTACCCCTTCTTCAAGAAGCCTCTTTTCCCTCTAATATAGCATAGGTTTATGTCTTCCCTTGTTCTTACCACACTCCGCAATAATTTAATTTAGTTGTTTACTTATTTATTCCATCTCCCCACAAAAAAGAGACTTTGACTCTCACCTTTGATATTATATCCCCAGTGCCTAGCACAGTACCTGGAGCTTACCAGATGCTAAATAGATGTTTGTTGAACAAATGAATGAATGGTCACCACTGTTCAATCTAGAGACAGAAAGCTACCAATTCACATTCTTCATAGCACCTCTAGGACAGACACTATCCTTTTTATATCACAGACCATCAAGAGTATTGACTGGTAGAATGATGTTGGCACGTAGGTGCAGGCTAATTAATTCCACCGGCTTGGGCGGCTTGCTGTAATACCAAGCTTTTGGTTAGGACTTTGTGGGTGAGCCGTCTGGAAATTGATTCAGCACAGTTTGGGGAAGGAATCCGTTTGTCCACATTCAAGAGCACTATTTACCTGCATTTGCTTTGTTGGCAATTTAACATTATCAGTCAAATTAAACCAGCCAATGTTGACTGAGCCCCTGTTAAAAGGATTAAAAACAAAAAAAAAAGCAAGCAAGAAAGCATATGTGATATACTCCTTGATCCCAGAACACTTAAAATTAATGGGAGGAGCCAGAAATGTACACATCTTAACAACCACTGGTGAAAGACAGTATATCTCAATGTCAGATGAATGGAGTACATGATAATGTAAGGGAAGTTCTGAGAAGACAGCCATCGCGGGGGTGGGTTGGGAAGGAAGGTCATCCCAGGAGTCTGAAGTACCTGCCTGGCACAAGGCAGGGCACACAAGAGGCACTCTGCAAGGACAAGCCCAGCAAAGTCCGAAAAGCATTTCTGGCAGATGGGATGGTGTGAGCAACGGTGGTGGTGGTGGGGTCATCACAGTGTGAGGTTGTAGGACCTGCACCAGGCTGGGAAGAATGGAATAATGGAAATATTAGACATTTGAAAGCCATGAGTCACAAACACTCAGAAGGGTGAAGGGGATGGAGCAAAAGAATACAGAATGTGTCTAAGCTTGGAACCCTGATGTCTGGGAGACTTAGAAAAATCACAGGCCTCAGCAAAGAATCCAGCAGGAAAAAAAAATGATTTGTGATTGGTATCTTATTTTGGATTCTTCTCGAGGCAGAGAAACGTTTGTGTGTAACTGGATTTGTGAGTTTATCTTTGGAAGAACAAAGAGAGAGAATTGGGAGGGAGAAAAGTCAATAAAGGGTGGCGAATGAGAGGTTATGCTGTGGGCATACAGGGCTGAATCTCACTGGGGACCCTCCAAGCAACTCAATAAAATAAACTTCAGAAGTGCCAAATCAGGCCAGGTGCAGTGGCTCACACCTGTAATCCCAGCACTTTGGGAGGCTGAGCCGGGAGGATCCCCTGAAGCCAGAAGTTAGAGACTAACCTGGGCAACATAGCAAGACCTCATCTCTACAAGACAAATTTTGAAGTTAGCTAAGTGTGGTGGCATGTGCCTGTAGTCCCTAGTCCCACTACTTGGGAGGCTGAGGTGGGAGGATCACTTGAGCCCAGAAATTCAAGGTTTCAGTGAGCTAAGATTGTACCACTGCACTCCAGCCTGGGTGATGGGTGACAGAGACCCTGTCTCAAAACAAAAACAAAAACAAAAACAAAAACAAAAACAAAAAAAACCAAAATTGCCCAATCGAAGGATGAAAAAGATGGAATATTTATCTAATGACTCCCTTCCTTGAGGGTTGTCCTTAGACAGGGTAAACCCCTGGCACTTCTGAGATGCTTCTGCAAGGAACTAAACAAGGCCAAAGAACAGCAAGAAAAATAAAAGAAAGAAAAAAACAAGAGTCACAGGTGGCTGAGGCAGGAGGTGGCCACTTGCTGGAATTGTCCACTGTGGCTGCAGGGCAATTTGGTAGCAAGGGGCCATTGGGTGGGGCATCATCAGTGGGTAGTTATAGATGCTTGTTCTTAGACAGCCTGGGTTTCAGCTGGTGTAGACATGTCTGATGGGCAGTCAGGAAAGCAGACCTGGAATCGAGCCAACCACTTCGTTGGCAGGATTGGGTATGAGAGGGAGCAAGGTACTGAAGAAAGGAGACCTGGGGACAGCTCAGGACTGGAGCCTGGGATGCATCCTATAGGTAGGGGGCGGGAAGGGAGCATAGTCAGTGGGCAGAGACCTCGTGCCTGGCACACAATGGCAAAAGCCATGGGAAAAGGGGATTTTGGGAAAAGAAACTGCAGAGAACAAAACTAAGAAGGCTAGAACCAGCACCCTGGATTCGGTGGTTAGTGGTTAGCAGGTTTCTGGGACCCTAGAGAAGAGACTGGTTTTTTTGTTTGTTTGTTTTTGTTTTCATTTTTGTTTTGACATGGAGGCTCACGCTGTCGCCCAGGTTGGAGTGCAATGGTGCGATCTCGGCTCACTGCAACCTCCGCCTCCCGGGTTTAAGCGATTCTCCTGCCTCAGCCTCCCAAGTAGCTGGGACTACAGACATGCACCACCATGTCTGGCTAATTTTCATATTTTTAGTAGAGACAGGGTTTCATCATGTTGGCCAGGCTGGTCTCGAACTCCTGACCTCAAGTGATCCACCCTCTTCGTCCTCCCAAAGTGCTGGGATTACAGGCGTGAGCCACTGCGCCCAGCTGAGAGGACACTTTTAATGGCATGGTAGAGGTAAGTAAGAGTTAGAATGTAGGGACTCAAGAGATGAGATGTCCCCTGGAGGCAAAGAAGGATGAGTCCATTTGATGAAGCCAGGAGGAAGGAAGGAGGAAGATGGCGGAAAGGGCTGCGTGACCCTGTGCAAGTTACTCTGAGCCTCTGCTGTCTTATCTGTAACACAGCAATAATCATCTTTCCTATCTCTTAGGGTTTCAGTGAGCATTATAGGTTTATAAGTGCTTAGCACAGAGCTGAACATTTAGTAAGTGCTCAATGAATGCTTTTTATCATTTATTATTGAGGGGAGAAGAAGAGGATGGAGAAAAAAACTGGATCATCTCGTGACATGGAAAGAAAGGTCTGAGCTCTGACGATCCCCTCACGTGATTATAGGCATGAGGACTCACTCTTCGAATTGTTTGAAAATTGAATGGACTGGCTCACACCTTCTGAAATTTCTTGGAAGCTCTGGAGTAACTATTCCACTAAAGAACAGCGTGTTTTTGGCTGAAATCTGTGACTGTTTGTTTTTGAGTTATTTTAATCTCTGTGTCAAGCATGAAAACCTCAGCAGCCTGGGATTTATAATTAGATCCCACTGGCATGCCCTCTCACCTCTCAAACATGCCACAGTGCTTTGGCTCTCTCCTTGTGCAAACCTCCCTTTGATATTTTTGGATATCGATACCAAGTGTATCTGCATATTTTAACCAACTGATATGCATATCCTGTGATCTGAGGCATTCGCTCAATGTGGGGCATCAGGCCAGCTGTGAACTTCCTTTAAAATTTATTTTGTGTCAAATGATTCCCTAATGCTATAGCTCCCTTGAACTGCTAGATTTATGAAAATTCTGCACAACACATAGCTCAGAGAAAAAAAAAAAAGAGTGTTGCAAGACCAGATATAGGATATCATTTGATTTGTTTAAAACACTCTGTCCAGGGGGTTTTGACTTGCTAATTTAAAAATAATTCTAAAATTAGGTACAGTTGACCCTTAGTATCCATGGGGGATTGGTTCCAGGATGCCCTGTGGATACCAGAATCCAAGGATGCTCAAGTTCCTGACATAAATGGCTTAGTGTTTGCATATAACCTACTCCCCTCTTCCTATATACTTTAAATAATCTCTAGATTACTTATAATGCCTAACACAACGCCTGTGCATCACTTCATTCATGTGGATTCAATGTAGTACTTGGTGTGAAGAAAATTTAAGTCTTGCTTTTTGGAACTTTGTGGATTTTTTTTTCTGGAATGTTTTTGATCTGCAGTTGGTTGAATCCACAGGTGCAGAACTATGGACACAGGGGGCTGACTATGTATATTTATATCCACTTGCAAAATTAAGAATAAAAATAATGTGCATCAGCAGGTGCAGATTCTGATGCTCGGTGGACAGTATGAAGTCTTCCATTTTTAATGAAGTCTCAGGCGATGCTGCTGTTGCAGTCCTGTCCAATAGAATGTTCTGTGATGGTGGAAAGATTCTCTATCGGCTCTATCCAATACCTAAGCCACACCTTTCACACATGGGGGAGTGGGATGGGCAATGGAAGAGCCCAGGCAGGGTAGGGAGGGGGCAGAAGGAAGGACAGCAGCACAGGTAGGCTTACTAAGATCCCTAACATTTATTTAGTGCCTGTAATGGGCAAGGCAGTGTGCTGGGTGCTTTACACCTGTTCAGCCACATTCTTACATCAGCTTGTGCAGAGCATTTACTCTTCCTGGAACAATCCTCGGTGCAGCGGGTACAACAATGTAAAAAGATCCAGTCCTTGCTGCTGGGAAATTTATAGACACGTTAACTGAAACTGTGGAGTAGGATGAAGTTTCTGAGAGAGGAGTCTGCATTTTTACCCTGGCCTTTCTATTTCGTCTGCAACATTAAGCAAGGTGCTTCATTGCTCTCAGTTTCGATTTCTTTGTTTCTAAAATAGAGTTAATCATAGTACCTACTGTTGGCTTCTTGGGAGATTATATGATGAGATACATTGTAAAGGTTCAGGACAGTGTCTGGCACCCAGCAAGCTCTCTGAAAAGACCAGCACCTATGATGGTATTGGTCCTACCCGTGAAGACAAGTGTATGCTGGCACCAAGAACTCTGATCCAAGTGCCATAGTTAATTTCAAAATACCTAATAAGCCTCAACTATGTGCAATACTTTAAATGGTGGAGACGGGAGGATCGTGACAAAGGGGAATAAAATGGAAGACCTCAAGAAACTTACTTTAGAAAGGGACTCAGAGTGCTTGGTGGTTTAATGGAGTTCTCTCAGTTACTGGGGATCTGGGAAGTCTTCATGGAAGAGGTGGTGTGTGAGCTGCCCCCAAAAAGCAGATAGAGGAAGAGTACAAAACTCCATAAGCAGAGGCAAAGGGCCTTCTGGATAGAGGAGGCTCTGGAAGCCACAGTGAGGACTAGAGGAATTGAGGTCTTTTTGGAAATATTAAATATTCCAGTTTTCCTGGAGCACAGGACAGGGGTTGTTGGGGAGCACAGGAGAAAAGATTGAAAAAGTAGATTAAGGTTAGGCTGCAGAAGGCATTGATGCCAGGCTGTTGAGTTTATATGTGAATTTGTGGGCAACGAGGGGCTTCTGAAGTTATTTTTCCTCCGCAATTTTCATTTATTTTCACCTGAAATGTAATATGCTCATTTTAAATTTAATTGTAAATGTAGAGGTCTATGAATAGTTAAAAACTCTTGAAGAAGACAAAGTGAGAGAAGTTCCAAATAAGGTGTAAGAAATGAATGGGCTTTGCCTGGCAGCTCACGCCTGTAATCCCAGCACTTTGGGAGGCCAAGGTGGGCAGATCACCTGAGGTCAGGAGTTCCAGACCAGCCTGGCCAACACAGCAAAACCCCATCTCTACTAAAAATATAAATATTAGCCAGGCACAGTGGCACACGTCTGTAGTCCCAGCTACTCGGGAGGCTGAGGCAGGAGAATCCCTTGAGCCTGGGAGGCAGAGGTTTCAGTGAGCCAAGATCATGGCACTGCACTCCAGCCTGGGGGACAGAGCGAGATTCTATCTTAAAAAAAAAAAAAAAGTATTAGAATTAAGACACCATGATAATGGTACAGAGTTAGAAAAACTGACCAGTGGAACAGAATAGAGAGCCATGAATCTACTCAAAAAAGGAGAAAATTTGATACACGAGAGAGGGTTGATATTGCAATTATTTTTATCACCATATATATGCATATTTATATTAAATACATATGTAACTTTTAAAATAACATCTCAATTTTAGAATAGATTTACAGAGCCATTGCAAAAATAGTACAGAGAGTTCCCATATACCCACTGATATGGTTTGGCTGTGTCCCCACCCAAATCTCATCTTGAACTGTAGCTCCCATAATTCCCACGTGTTGTGGGAGTGACCCAGTAGGAGATAATTGAATCATGGGGGTGGTTTCCCCCATACTGTCCTCCTGGTAGTGAATAAGTCTCTGATGGTTTTGTAAGGGGTTTTCTCTTCCGCTTGGCTCTCATTTTTTCTTGCTGCCACCATGTAAGACGTGACCTTGCTCCTCCTTTGCCTTCCACCATGATTGTGAGGCCTCCCCAGCCACATGGAACTGTGAGTCCATTAAACCTCCTTTTCTTTATAAATTACCCAGTCTTGGGTATGTCTTTATCAGCAGCGTGAGAACAAACTAATACAACCACACTCAATTTCCCTTATTATTACATCTTACATTAACATGGCACATTTGTAACAATTATGAATCAATATTGGTACATTACTATTGACTAAAGTCCCACACTTTATCAGATTTCCTTAGTTTTACCTAATGTCCCTTTTCTGGTCCAGGATTCCATCCAGAAGACCACGTTCAGTCATCAAGCCTCAGCCTTCTCTGAGCTGTGACAGTTTCTCAGACTCTCCTGGGTTTTGGCGAACTTGACAGTTTTGAGGGTTATTGATGAGGTGTTTTGTAGACCATCTCTCAGTTGGGGTCACTGTGTGCAGCCAACGCTTAAGAAATGGGGAGTTATACTCCACTTCCTGGAGGGCAGTGTATTTACATACATTTTTTGAAATTCTTCTGCACAGATTTCTTTTCCTCTGTGTATTTATTTTTCCAATCACCTAATTATATCAATATGAACTCATGAATTTTTTTATTACTTTGGTTATAATCTAATACCACTTTACTTAAGTTGTTGTTCAAATGGTTCCCCCACTTTGGCGATTAAGAGCTCTTTCAGTTGGTTTCTATGTCCTTCTCTCGTGGCCCCACCATTGTATGGTGTGTATGCTTGTGTGTCAGTGTGTTTTAGCACTTTCTTACTTTCTGACACTACGAGGTGCTCCAGGCTCATCTTGCATATTTCCTGCCCCAGTCCTAGAATCAGCTGTTTCTCCAATGAGCTCTGGTTCCTTCTGTTGGACAATAGTATAAAAACAAACCTAGGTGCTAAATGATCGCTTAGATCCAGTGCTCATTGCTACTGGGCTGCCATTGCTTCTGGACCCTCTTAGCAGAGAGAGAAAGGAGATATATGTGTGTGTATGCTAATGCATGTACACATACAATTCTTATTTTTACCTCTATCTAGCTATGTATGTATGTATGTTTGTATCTGTCATCTCTATGTTATGCTAAACATGGGTTTATACCTCTCTGGATGTTTTAGGAGCAAGGAAGAGACATGATTCCAGCTTTACCTGGGGAAAATCAATCTCACAGCAATGAGAAGAAATAAATGATGAGTTAAAATTAATTTCTATATTTTTCTAATTATTCAAGTGACTAATGTTTGGTGTGCAGAAATTTAAGAAGACTGAGGACTAGAATGAATTATAACGCAGGAGAAAACAATAACCATGCATAGTCAGCAAGAGGCACTGATACCATTTTGAGACGACTGGATGCCCTTTCGTATGCTAGGAATATGCAGCCCGTGTTCTGGAAAGTGGGGAGAAGGTCAGGCGGCTCCTAGCAGCAAAGCTGCGTTATCCTCAATATCCTGTAGGGGAGGGTTTAGGGAGTTCGGATATCCCTGCCTTTGACATTCATCTTGGCCTCAGTTTTTCTCTTACCTGGAAGCAAGAGAGGAGTTGATTGTGAGTTCAGAGTGGAAATGGTGGCCAATCCAGACCCTGCACTGCCACTGACTCTCCGGGAATGTCAGCGCCAGGTGAGAGCCAGGATTCCAGGGCCAGACCTGAGCTTGTCCATAGCCTGGGACTTGAATGGGGGGAAACTTGGGCACAGTGGCAGGTGGAAAATCAAGTCTGTGCTTCAGGGGCATCTAGGAATGCCCTGTCTATCTTCTCCCCTCCCCAACCCCATTTACCCAGGTGCCTCCTGTTACTTTCAATACTAATGCCTTCTTTTTTTTTTTTTGAGACAGAGTCTCACTCTGTTGCTCAGGCTGGAGTGCAGTGACGCAATCTCGGCTCACTGCAACCTCCGCCTCCCGGGTCCAAGCGATTCTCATGCCTCAGCCTCCTGAGTAGTTGGGACTACAGGCATGCACCACCACGCCCACCTAATTTTTTTTGTATTTTCAGTAGAGATGGGGTTTTGCCATGTTGGCCAGGCTGGTCTCGAACTCCTGACCTCAGTGGTGGGATTACAGGCATGAGCCACCACGCCCAACCTGATGCCTTCTTTTTCTGACCATTTCCTCTCCAGCAATCCCACCGTGGCCACAGGAAAACCTGGCCCAGGAGATTCCAATGTTCTTGGCTTCCCCTCCTGTCACAGCCTCAGTGATTTTGTGATTTCATCTTGCTTCTCAGGGCTTGCTTTTATCAAAAGGGTTGGTTAGTCACAATGGCTGTTAATAGGTGCAACAAGGCATAGAAGACCTGTTAGGGGTTGAACTTTTCCCCCTACAACTCCAAAATATTAATATATTGCAGTCCTAATCTTCAGGACCTCCAAGAATGTAACCTTATTTGGAAATAGGGTCGTTGCAGATGTCATTGGTTAATGATGAGGTCGTACTGGATCAGGGTGGGCCCCTTATCCAATATGACTGGCATCCTTGTAGAAACACCACAGTGTGAAGAGACAGAGATTCACGCAGAGGGAAAACTATGTGAAAAGATACACGGAGAAGACCGTGTAAAAGGTGGAGGATGAAGGTAAGGCAGTTGCAAGCCAAGGAACGCCTAAGATAAGGAACGCCTAAGATAGCCAATGACCACCAGGTCTCAGAGAGGCCCGGGACAGATTCTCCCTCACTGCCCCTAGAAGCAAGCAACCCCGCTAACCCCTTGATTTCGGACCTCTGGTCTCCAGAAGTGGGGCCCAGCTGGGATAACCTGACTCTAGGGCCACCAAGGTTTGTCATCCTGGGCGGCATTCGGGGCTGGTGTGACCCACCTTATGCACAAAGGCCAGAATAGACCTAGCGGCATTGACAATAGGACTGGAATGCCAGCTTTGTCTGTGAAGGAAGGGCGCAAGGGAGGACAGCTGTGGTGGGCAAACCCTAACCATTTCCATCCTTGTTTAGCTTTTGTTCTGACTACGACAGGACTACGTAGTCGAACTACGACTCCCAGGAAGCCGTTCGGCCTTCCCCACCCCCTCCCCGCCCACCCCGCTCCGCCCCGTCCCGGCGCGGGTCCGCCTGGTATATAAGGGCCGAATGGCCCAGCCGACTGCAGGGCGCGCAGGCGGCGCGGGTGCGCGGTGCGGCGCTGGTATCCAGAGGACGCGGTCACCGCCTCTGGCATTTGTCGTTCTGCGCTTCTCCGCAAGGACCCTCTGTTAGGCAGGCGCCCACCGTAAGCCTCCCGGGCCTTGTGAACCTGCAAACCCAAGTCTGAGAGACGATCCGCCTTCAGCGCTTTCCAGCTTGGCAGAGAGGCTTTCCCGGCGGGGATCTTTGGTTGGCGCTGGCGATGCGCGGGGAAGAAAGGCGAGGAGCGGCGTCCAGGCTGGGTGATGTCCCAGCACGAGTAGGCGGGATGCGCTCGCTTGGTCCTCCGGGCGCCCGGTCCCTGCCCGCGTCGCGCGCCCACCCCTGGGGACGAGAAGGCGGCCGCCTGAGGACCCCCGCCCGCGACCTCCGCGAGTCTGGAGCGCAGAGGACAGGGTCTGGCTGCTCTTTGGCCTTGGATGGAAAGTGGGGAATTGGGTGGGGGGCTGCGGACCCCTTAACGTGGATTACTTGGTGTGTATCAGCTGGGCTCAGAAGACCCACGACCTCTTCTCCATCCGTGGATTGATTTGTTCTGCTTAACAGCTGGGTCGCCAAGCTGGAGGTAAGTTTCCCTGCGGTTCGGGGAAGGGATCTGATTTACTTTCTTTTCTTTCTTTCCTTTTTTCCTCCGCGTCGTTTTTCGAAGGTCTCGAGATTCCGGGTTGAAATTTTTGTTCTTGTAATTGACATCTTCTTGGAGGTCATTTTAGTCATCCCCCTGCCTCCAAGCGGAGCTGATTCACCTGGGACACGGTGGTCAGCGACCACCCCATCCTGGGCGTTCTCGGCCGTTGTCCTTCAGCCTCTAGCGCTGCCAAGCCTTGGCTGCCTGGAGGGACCGAACCTCAGCTGGGGGAGACGCCCCCGCGTCCTCGGCGCACCCGCTCGGCCCCTTGCACTTGCCTTAACGCCTGGGCGCCCTCCGGGCTCCGTTACTTCGGGAGCGGTGCCGCCTCCGTGAGCTCCTGGCGTCCGCCCACTGGCGACCGGGGACGCTGCTGGGGCGCAGCGGTTGGAGAACGCGACTCAGCCGAGCCCCTCTCACCGTTGGGGCTAGGGGGTGAGCGGGGGCGTTTGGCAAGCAGCTTTCCGGCGAGGACTGGGCCACCCGTCAGGCTGACGCTGGTACGCGTTTGGCCAGGGTGTGGACGGGCTTTCTGAATAGGTGGGAGGTGGCAGGAATTCAGTCCAGTGAGACCACCCGCCACCTCCCCTTTCCGGCGCAACTTGCTAATGGAAGTCGTTTCTTGGCCAATGTGGGGAGAGGGCTTACGTCTTGAGTCTGGAACTGAAAGCATACCGCTTCTGTATCCATAGCTTCCTCCTCCCCTTGTTCTTTTGTGTCTGCCCTGTTTGGGGGCAGCGCGATGCCTGTCACTGAGTAGGCACTGAATAGATGTTTGTTGAATGAATGACTGAGCGACTCCACCCTTGGCGTGCAGATTAACCAGGGTCCTCCTTTTCCTTCTCCCTCCTTGGCGATTGTCCTCACCTCCAGGACCTATCTAGGTTTCCTGAGGATGCTTTCCCAGAGGTGGGATTCCCTCCTTCGCCCCTCACCCCTCTCCTGCAGCCTGTGGGTTCGCATTTAGAACCTGTCGGTGATCCATTTCCCACCCAGCAGTCCCTTCTGCATAGGAATCTGACGCTGTCAGGGATCACTCTTGGTCAGTGCTCAGGGTCCCAGCGTCTCCAGTGAGCACTGCTCCAGGAGCAAGAGAAAGTAAAGCAGCACCGGAAGAAGAAAAGGCAGTGCATAGTGGCACGACCCCCTACCCTGGGAGCTGGGGCCCTCGGTGCCCCTGGTCCCATGCAGGGTTTGGAACTGCCCAGGTTGACACAGCACCTTACCTGCGGCCCTTCCCCACCCTCTGCCCCCACCCCAGTTCTGTGCTTAGACTGACTCCGGGAGAGGAAAGGTTGAAACCGCCAGGCAAACTGATAACCAACCCCACCACTCCTCCTCCCTGTCTGATTTTAAAAAGTAATCCATGCTCTTTCTCTTTCTTTTATAGAAAACTACACAAAAGTGCCCAAAGCAGGAAAAACATCCAATTCACACAGTAATGCTGGCAATTTGATATATTTCCTCACTGGTGAAATCCTGCAATGTATACAACTTTTTCTCCTCCTCTTTTTTTGTGTAATTTTATTTGAACGTTTCCCCCATGTCATGACGGCATGGTAACTGTATTCTGCTGCAGGCGTTGACTCATAATTGGCTTGGCAATTTCCCTATTGTTGGATACTAAGTTGTTTCCAAAGTTTTACCATTAGAAGTAATACAGTGAGCATCTTTTGTACATAAAGATTTATCCACATTTTGTATTATTTTCTTTGGAAAATTCCCAGAAATTGCTATATTTGCTTTAAGTTAGAGTTATGTCTAAAGCAAAGGAATAACTCTATTTCTGGATATTGCCGAGATGGGCTTAGAGGAAAAGATACCACTTACCCATCAGATAATACTGCATCTTGGAGCGGGGACGCAGAAGGGGCACAGAGTGAATGGCTGCTGAGGGAATGAAGTGTTTTGTTTTGTTTCTTTTTGTATCAAAGAGTTGATCAGCATTGGTATGAGAATAACTTAAAATTTGTCATCAGGATTATGATGTAAAATTTTTTTTTTTTTTTTTTTTTGAGACGGAGTCTCGCTGTCGCCCAGGCTGGAGTGCAGTGGCGCGATCTCGGCTCATTGCAGGCTCCGCCCCGCGGGATTCACGCCATTCTCCTGCCTCAGCCTCCCGAGTAGCTGGGGCTACAGGCGCCCGCCACCTCGCCGGGCTAATTTTTTGTATTTTTAGTAGAGATGGGGTTTCACCTTGTTAGCCAGGATGGTCTCGATCTCCTGACCTCGTGATCCGCCCGCCTCAGCCTCCCAAAGTGCTGGGATTACAGGCGTGGGCCACTGCACCCGGCCGATGTAAATTTTTTTTTAGCAATACCATAAAGTAAGATATATCAGGCAGCTAGATTTAACATGCTGTCTTTTTTAAAAACTTAACTTTTGATTTTGATATAAATCTAGATTTACAGGAGTTGCAAAAATAATGCCAAGGGTTCCACTATATCCTTTACCCTGCTTCCCCAAATGCTAACATCTGATATATCCATGGTGCAATGATCAGACCTGGGATACTGGCACTGACACAACACGTTTAACTAGTCTACAGGCCTCATTCAAATTTATCCATTTGTCCCACTCATGTCCTTTTTCTGGTCCAGGGTCCAATTTGGGATCCTGTAATGGGACCTTGTAAAAAGTGGGAACCCAGAGGGGTAGAGAAGACAGCCTTTGTTCAGGAGGAGGTTTGAAATTGGGACGTCATTTTCATTTTCCTCCCCAGGTGAATTTGCCCTTCCTCTACTGACGGTAGCAGAGCCGTATCAGGCTTCCAGGGCCTATGGGAGCTTGCCCATAAGTGGGGAAAGCATCTCTGTGTACCCCCTCCCTCCTTTCCTCTCCCCAAACCTACAGTGGGAATGTGTCATTGAGTGAAATTGGGTTATTAGCCGGTCTGCCCTGACACGTCTTTTTGGGGGTAGACGTTTGCCATCTGGTGTGCGTGAGAGCAAGCTGCTGAGCCACTGAATCCGTGGTTGACAAGTACACCGTGCAATGCCTGCGTGGGTGACTCATGCCGGCTGGAGTAGCAGGTGTGTCGGGAGCTAAACGTGCAGACCCAGCAGGTACAGCATTTCCTGGTTATCTGAGCAGATTGGAAGGAACACGGATTTCTGCTCTGAACTCAAAATGGATTTAGGGTATTGTTAAGCAATTTTGGGTTAGGAAGTGATTCTCCTTTTCTTTAGGGGACTTTCTTCCAGGAGAAGATTTGGGGTGAGGAGAGCTAGCCCGAAGGGATTTTTGGAGGTGGCTGATATGGATGGAGGCTAGCCCAGGATCTTTGCATAAGAGTCCACTTGTGTGAATTTGAAGAAACCCAGGAAAGGGGCCCTTCTCCTGTCCTTACAATAAAGAGACCGCATGGTCAGCCAGTAACGCACACGTGAATTGAGGCTGTCTGCTTTGAGTATCACTGTGTCTTTTCTGACTTGGAGTGGTTGCCTGCATTGAGCGAAGGCGATGTTTGTTTGGGATAAGGAAGTTTTGACGTTACTTAAATCTCAACAAAACAGATTTCTGTTGTCCAGACAGAGTTTCTGTGTTAATGTTAGGGTCTGGTTGCCTAGACTTGATTTTTCTTTTCCTTTTTGAAATGCTCCCAACCTTCCTACTGTAGCTTGTAAACTGAAGGATATTCATGTCTTTCTCTCTCCTTGTGAACTGGTACAGACGTTTTCTGTAACTAGCCAGCTCCAGTGAGGATCATAACAGGAAGTCTCGCGGGGAGAGGGGTTGCGGCTGTTGTGACTAAACAGTTCTGGAAGGCACCTCTGTCTACACCTGCCTGTCCCTGTCCTCAGCGTCTCCTGGTGGGTCCTCCCTACTCAGACGCTGCAGCTTTTCTAGAATCTACTCCAGTGCAGTGCAGACTGTTCACTTTAGGACTGCCCCACCTGTCCCCTGGTGTTCAAATTGTGGTTTGCATAAGAATGAATTGCTTGCGGAACGCGTTATAAATGAATATTCTCAGCACCCACCCCCGTCCAGCCCCTCACCTTCAGTGCTTGGGGGTCTGCATTTTCAACAAGCCACCCAGGCCATTCTGACACAGGCACTTTAAGAAAACAGGAAGTTGACTGACTTCTTGGCCAGATAAAGCCTTAATTGAACATTTTCCCACTGAAGCTTACCCAACCACAGTGTTTTTTTCTTTCTCCTCCTCCAGGAAGCCTTTCTGGTTTACCTCCACTGGTCTGGGCCCCCGCATGTACTTGTTTGGTTTGTTGGTACAGGTTTTTACTTAGGAGCCTTGAAGTCAGATGCCCTTTATACTTGGTTAAGACAGGAGTGGCTGCATTTGGGTGAATGATAAAGGAACTACAGCTCTGGGCATTTTCTCCCCTCAGGTAGGCAAGCTCTTTGGGAGCTTGGAACGTGTCCCTGACCAGGCAGCATCCTGGCACATTTGTTTGTGTACCCACACAGACCACTGCTGCTTCTGTCTGTGGCCACCATTGTTCTAGACAATGTCACTGTCATCATGGAGCTGGTTGGGGTCCTCCACACCAAGTTAGCATCCCCTGTTCATGTGATTGATGCACCCAGCTCACTTCACAAGAGGACAGGAATGATCCTGGATGAATTGTTTTCAATTATGCTGTTGGCGAAAGACCCCTTGTTCAAAGTCAGCTGGTGGTGTTCCTGCCTTACAGACGAGGCCTGTGCCTAGAAAAACATCTATACAAAACCAATCTTGGTTGATCACATGATATTCAAAAGGCCCGGAGGAATCGTGCAACCTAGAAGAATGCTGAAGTGGCAAGTTTCTGCCCAAGAATTCTTTTTGTAATGTGAATCATCATCATCTCCTCCCATATTTGGTCTGTTGGTACAGGTTTTTGCATGGACGTCTTGGAAACCAGGTGCCTTTGTATGTGATAAACAGATGTGGCTTCGTTTAGGGGTTTGACCAAGGGACTGCAGTTCTGGAGCTGCAGAAATCAACCAGACCTTCCGACCCCCAGGTCTGTGAGGCTCCCCCAAGGTTTGGAAGATGCCGATTGTTAGGGTCCAGTTTTAATGATTTACAGACTTACCTCCTTTGCTTCAAAAGTGGTCATTTTACTTTAGCAATTTACTTCTTTTTGGTGTTTGCTGGACTGGGAAGTCCCAGTAGGATAGGCCAGGAAAGACCATGCCCGCCCGCCCAGCAGTCCCTTCTGATGATTGAGTGGGGATTTCAGGGCATGCTTTTTGAGCTAGCCATGGAGTGTTCCTTCTCTAATGATAGATGTATTTCCAATCATTTGCCTATGGACTTCCTCTTACCTTAATTCTACAAATATTCAGTGCCTGCTGGATGCTTTTTTAGGCATTGGTGCAGCCGCTTTGGTTCTTCAGCATGTGGGCTGTGGTGGTCTTCGGCGCCCATCGGAAGCTGATTTGAAGATTTAGCAGCCTGTGTGGAAGCGGGGGTTCTGTTGCGCTTTACAAAGTGAAAGGAAGGTGTCTGAGGTGCTGGCCTTTGGGGACAATTTCACTATGTGAGTAAAACCCTTATTGAGCTTTAAGTGACGAGAAGGTTTCTGCAGTTATGCCTTCTTCACTTAACTACTTGAAAACTTTATTTTATTTTATTTTTTTCTTTTATTATTATACTTTAAGTTTGAAAACTTTTAAAACATTTCTACTTTTCTCTTTTTTTTTTTTTTTTTTTTTGAGATAGGGTCTTGTTTTGTTGCCCAGGCTGGAGTGCAGCGGTGCGATCTCAGCTCACTGCGACATCCGTCTCCTGGGTTTAAGCCATCCTCCCACTTCAGCCTCCTGAATAGCTGGGACTACAGGCACCCACCAGGATGCCCAGCTAATTTTTGTATTTTTTGTAGAGATGAGGTTTCGCCATGTTTCCTAGGCTGGTCTTGAACTCCTAAGCTCAAGCAATCCACCGGCCTCAGCCTCCCAAAGTGCTCGGATTACAGGCATGAGCCACTGCACCTGGCCCACCATTTTTATTATGATAAAATATACACAACATAAAATTTACCATCTTAACCACTTTAACGTACACAGTTCTATGGTATTCAGTACATTCACGTTGTTGTGCAACCATCACCACCTATTTTCAGAAAGTTTTTCTTCCCAAACTAAAACTCTGTACCCATTCAGTACGAACTCCCCATTCCCCGATCCTCCCAGCCCCTGGCAACCACTGTTCTACTTTCTGTCTCTATGAATTTGGCTACTCTGGGTATCTGATAGAAGTGGATCATACAGTATTTGTCCTTTTGTGTCTGGTTTATTTCTTTAGCCTACTTTCTTCAAGGCTCATCCATGTTATAGCATGTGTCAGAATTTGCTTTTTAAGGCTGAGTAATATCCCACTGTATGTTTATATTGCGTTTTGTTTATCCACTCATTTCTCTGTGGATACTTGGGTAGCTTCTACCTTTGGCCATTGTGAATAATGTTGCTAGGAACACGGATGTGCAATGTTCGGGTCTCTGCTTTCAGTGCTTTTAAGGATATACCTAGAAGTGGAATTGTTGGACCACATGGTGATTCTATTTTTCATATTTTGAAGAAAAACCATACTGTCTCTTTTTTTTAATTTTAACTTTTTAAAAAATTTTTTGACACCAAGTTTCACTCTTGTTGCCCAGGCTGGAGTGCCATGGCGTGGTCTCGGCTCACTGCAACCTCCACCTCCTGGGTTCAAGTGATTCTCCTGCCTCAGCCTCCCTAGTAGCTGGGATTATGGGTGCCTGCCACCATGCCCGGCTAATTTTTGTATTTTTATTTTTATTTATTTATTTATTTATTTATTTTTGAGATGGAGTCTCGCTCTGTCGCCCAGGCTGGAGTGCAGTGGCACGATCTCTGCTCACTGCAAGCTCTGCCTCCTGGGTTCACGCCATTCTCCTGCCTCAGCCTCCCTAGTAGCTGGGACTACAGGCGCCCGCCACCACACCCGGCTAATTTTTTGTATTTTTAGTAGAAACGGGGTTTCACCGTGTTAGCCAGGATGGTCTCCATCTTCTGACCTCGTGATCCGCCCGCCTCGGCCTCCCAAAGTGCTGGGATTACAGGCGTGAGCCACCGCTCCCGGCCTAATTTTTGTATTTTTAGTAGAGATGGGGTTTCATCATGTTGGTCAGGCTGGTCTTGAACTCCTTAGGCTGGTCACCTTAGGTGACCCACCTGCCTTGGCCTCCCAAGGTGCTGGGATTACAGGCACGAGCCACTGCACTCAGCCTGCCATACCATCTTCTATAGCATCCATACCATTTCACATCCCCACCAATGGTGCACAAAGTTTCCATTTTCTTGCCAAGACTTGTTTTCTTATTCTTTTATTATTATCTATTTATTTATTTATTTTGAGAATAGCCATCCTAATGTGTGTGAAGTGCTTTTTGCTTTAAGAAAGCCATCTTCACGAAGAGTGAAGTGTCCAGGAAGTGAGGAGCGGCCGAGTTGGTGGGGGTGGCGCCCAGCTCTGAATCTGCCACAAGTATTCTTTCTAAATGAAAAGGTTTGATGACCTAGCACGTTCCGTAGGCCCTGATTCTTTGAACTGGAGTTTTCCAATTGCTTTTGTGCCCATATGCCATGTGATAGTACCTTCAACCTGGTGAAATGATCAGGTGTCATCCTGTTTTACAGGAGGGGCATTAAAGCACTAGTCAGTGAAATGACGTGGATAGGTACTGACCTTGTGGACCAGCCCTCCCACTCTAACTCCTAATCTGGCACACATAGTGAAGAGCGAGTATTTTGGAAGTGTTGGTGTGGAGACGGAGGGATGGGAGGATAGAGACTGGACTCACTGTTTAGGAGAATTCTAGAGTGAATCCTCCCTGCTGCTTGCCCTGCGGAGTCACGCTTTCATATATAAAGTTTGCTGGAAGTGGAACTTTTATTAAAGTAGAGAACACTTTTCTGCACAGTTTGAGGTGCTTAAAAAGTGCCTTTTGAGGCCAGGCGCGGTGGCTCACGCCTGTAATCCCAGCACTTTGGGAGGCCGAGGCGGGCGGATCACGAGGTCAGGAGATGGAGACCAGCCTGGCTAACACGGTGAAACCCCGTCTCTACTAAAAATACAAAAAAATAGCCGGGCGTGGTGGCGGGCACCTGTAGTCCCAGCTACTCGGGAGGCTGAGAATGGCGTGAACCCGGGAGGCGGAGTTTGCAGTGAGCAGAGATCACACCACTGCACTCCAGCCTGGGCGACAGAGCGAGACTCCGTCTCAAAAAAAAAAAAGTGCCTTTTGAGCATCATGGTGGATGTCAGAGTTCGGTGGCAGCTCCCGTGGGGACCTGGGGTGTGTGGCTGGGTGAAGACGATCACCTCCCTTCTGTGGTTTTATTCCCCAGGCTGAGTTTGAGCCCCCAAGGCTCCTGTCGGTTCTGGTTTGTGATTGGCTCCTCCGTGCCCCATGCGCATGTCCAGCCGCCAGGGAGATTAGGCGTTTGTAGTAAGTGATTTCACTGGCCCTGGGGGGACAGATGGTAGACAGTGTTTGATCCCAGTCTTTGCAGGGCTCTAGCCCCTCGCAGCTTCTGCACCTTCTCTGCATGGACAGGAAAGTGGCCTTGTCACCTCAGAGCCACCAAAAATGTGGCTGTTTTCCATTTTAATTTCTTCACGGTGATATTTCTTTATATTTTTAAAATTAAGCAGTGGCTGGGCGTGGTGGTTCGCTCCTGTAATCCTAGAACTTTGGGAGGCCAAGGTGGGAGGATCGGTTGAGCCTAGGAGGTCTAGGCTGCGGTGAACTATAATTATCCCACTGCACTCCAGCCTGGGTGACAGAGCAAGACCCTGTCTCTAAAAAAAAAAAAAAAAAAAAAAATAAATAAAAATAAAATAAAATTAAACATCAAGAAGCAAAGTTGTTGTTGCTGAAGTTGGGGTGATAGAACAGGGTCGCCCCTGCCTGGAGGCTTTCTTCTCTCTGGGAGGGGTGGGGGTGCCCCCCAGGACCCATTCTCCATGACCCCTGACTGTGACCTCTTCTTCATGATTCCTGACCGTGACCCCCTCCTCCTTTGGTTTCAGACCAGACTTCTTTAGGGGATCCAGGACTAAGCCGAGGAAGGTGTTTCTGAACCTCAGGGAATCTGTGGCCACTGGCAAGCCAGCGGAAAATTCAGGTGTTTGGGTTTTTAATTAAATTTCTAAGTGGAAACCAGGAATGCGGTTAACCAAGGAGCTGAAGCGGTCCGGGTTTCTCATTCCACCCTGACTGCTGGGCGCTTTGGGCTTTCCTGGAATTGCTTTCCTCATCACCTTCGCTGCCTTCTTTTTCTGCTGTCCCCCTTCCCTGCTCGCACCGTTGTGATCGAACCTGAATGGTTTTCTCAAACCTTTCTCTGGGCCCTTACCATCCTAGGTATCTGTTTGTCAGGTACCAACTTAGGGGGAGGATGCCCATGCGCCTGCATTCAAGGTTCACCGCTCAAACTGGCCATTGGGTGATGTTGCTTGTCCCCGAAATAATGACCCGGTCCAGTGACCCAATTCCTTGTACCAACCCTGTGTAAGGATTCAACAGATATGATGATCCCTGTATTAGTCCATTCTTATGCTGCTGATAAAGACATACCCGAGACTGGGTAATTTATAAAGAAAAGAGGTTTAATTGACTCACAGTCCCACATGGCTGGGGAGGCCTCACAATCATGGCGGAAGGCAAGGAGGAACAAGTCACATCTTACATGGTGGCAGGGAAGAGAGACCTTGTGCAGGGGAACTCCTGTTTATAAAATCATCAGATCTTCTGAGATGTATTCACGATCATGAGAACAGCATGGGAAAGACCTGCCCCCATGATTCAATTACCTTTCACTTGGTCCCTCCCATGACACGTGGGAATTGTGAGAGCTACCATTCAAGATGAGATTTGGGTGGGGACACAGCCAAACCATATCAGTTTCCAACCAGCCCCTGCTGCCTGTCAGTGGGGCAATGTCCAGAAAGAGAGGCAGCCCTGCGGCAGGCTCGAGAACGTGCTTCCAGAGTTTTTACTTCCCTTAATCCTCAGAGCCCTGGGATGTTATGATCTCCAGCATTTGAGGCTTAGAGGCATGAAGGAATATCCTTAAGGTCTCATAGCTTTGAAGGATGGAGCCACAGTTCAAAATCAGGTCTTGGCCCAGGACCATCACTGGGCCCCTGTCCTGCCCCAGTGCCAAGTGTCTGTATGACTTTGCACATGTCCCTGGGCCTCTGTCTGTGGGCCCAATTCCTATTGGTCACTTTTAGTTGGAGGTTACAGAGAAACCAACTGTATCCAGCTTAAAACAATGGATGTTTTGGTTGTTCACATAACTAAGAAGTGTGGGGGTTGTGCTTTTGGGGTGATTTGTTGGCTCGGTCTCTCTCTCTCTTTTCATTGTCTCCCCTTCTGTATAAAGTTTCATTCTCAAGTTTACTTTTCTCATGTGGGCAGGCCTCCTGACTCTATAGATCTAGAGGGAGAGAATGGCTTTGTGGTGGCCTTCCTGAGAGCTGACCGTGCAGTAATGCTCACCCCTAGACCCACACCTCTGGCCAGTAGCTTGGGTGCGGGGGGACACATTGATTGACTCTCCCCTGGTCATGTGCTTCACATCTGACTCTGTTGTGAGGTTCCCCAGAGCCACCAAGATTCTGCAAATGGAAATTAGCGCCCTTAGGAAGCACAGGTACATGCAGGGCAATACCACCAATTGTTCACGATGAATGAATTGGACTCCTGGGATAATAAACCAGAATGTGTGCTTGCGGGGGCGGGGAATTAGTTTTGCTTACCTCTGTATACCTGGTATCCTAGGAGGGTGTGGGGGGCATATTAATGCTTAGCAAAAGTTGACAAATGAAGGGACCTCAAAAGTTCTTTCCTCCTTTGAATCTCTAAACCCGAGAGTCTGTTTTTGCATGGGACATCATCTTGTTCCATCAGGGAGCTGGCGATTTGGCTCCTGGGTCACTAAATCCAAACTTGTAGTTGATCACCCATGACTGGGTTCTCATTGACCTGCACGAAGAGTTGTTACTGGAATAAACACTGGATGCTAGAATGCCACCTGCTGCCTGAGATTTCATCAAAGAAAGGGCAACACGTTCCCTAGCTCTGAGCATCTCTAGGCCAATGGTGTTGCTCCCAGTCTACCTTGGGAGGCAAGTTCTGTTCTTCTCCTGGTATGAAAAGCCTGACGATGTGAGCTAGAGGCAATGGATTTGTGCAGACTTCTCACAAGGCTCCTGTGTTTGGCAGCCCAGTGGGGAAGACTGAGAATACAGGGAGGCCAGACAGAGAGCTCGTCCAGAAGCAGCCACACAAGTGGATTTATGTAGAGGGCTCCATTGTGTTCACACATTCATGTGCCAACTTGGAAGCAGATCTTCTGGGTGCTCCATGTTCGAGAGACAGCTTTGATCTCCAGGCTGTTGAGCTCAAGGTGGGAGACTCTGTTTTGCTTACTTTGTTCACACATTACACAGGTAGGCTTTGTTTGAGGAGCAGTGACTCACGCTCATGGGTTGTGTGAGCTTTGAAAGGAAGCCATGCGGCCCTGGCAGGTGCTCCCAGCTGTCCTCGTTTGCCATTGTCAGAAAAAAATCTTATTGTCATGGCGACAGATTTTTTTCTACCTAAAGCTTGAGTATGAATAGCCTTTTTTGATAGGTGATGAAGTGGGAGGAGAGGGGGTAGGTATCATGTATTAAAGGTGCCGTATGTCCTGTGGAAGTGTAGTTACTGTTGCCCCCATTTAACAGACAAGGATGCTGAGGCTCCCAGAGCTTATGTCAGTTGTCCAAAGTTACCGTGCTGGTCTGAGGTGGAGCTGGAACTTGATCTGCTTCCAACTGGACACGTGACTGCATCCATCCAGGCTTTAGCTGCAAGCTGGATCCTGTTTCTCTTGGAAAGTGCTAGAAGTCACAAATCAAATGGTTTTCACATTATATATTTATTTAGAGACAGAGTCTTACTCTGTCACCCAGGCTGGAGTACAGTGGCTTGATTGTGGCTCACTGCAGCTTCAACCTCTGGGGCTCAAGCAATCCTCCTTTCTCAGCCTCCTGAGTGGCTGGGACTATAGGCATGCACTACCACATCTGGCTAATTTTTTGATTTTTTTGTAGAGACAAGGTCTCCCTGTGTTACCCAGGCTGGTTCGTGAACTCCTGGGCTCAAACGATCCTCCAGCCTCCACCTCCCAAAGTGCTGGAGTCATAGGCATGAGCCTGGCCTCATAATACTTCTATCGCTATGATTCATCCTTCACTTCTTCCTCCTAGTAACCCACTGACAGCTTTAAAACAGTGCTTCTCCTTCCCTCTGCTCATAGAGGTGAGACATACATCCTTTCAGGAGTGTAGCTGGAAATAGACTCCTCCCTTCCCTACAGATGGGACAGTAAAGTCAATGTTAAGGTCATTAATACTAAGATCAGCTGAGAGGTTGGTTGACCAGTTTTCCCTGATGAGAAACTCTCATTCAGTGCTGCCAGGTTCTGGGCTTTTCCTCCAGCTCTGCCTCTTCTCTCTTGCTGTCCTCAGGTTTCTCTCTGCAGACGTTAAATCTGGTTTGGAGAGCTAGAAGTGATGTTCGTCCTTAAAACCAGTACGTTTGCCCACAGTACTGTCCTGACTGTATTTGCTTAGGAGATGTGCATGTCCAAAGCATGCGTCAGCATCACGGATTCCCCTATTGTTGAAATCCCATGAAGGATGCTGAAGTCAGGGCACGCTTAGTTGAAATTCTATCACATTTTCCACCTGTGATCGTTGGTGTTTAGAGGGATGATTCTGAGGGGCAGGGGGAAGGGGTGTCCCAGCATCCTTGATGAAGAAGGTGTGTGAGGTTGGCTGCACAGTGGGACAACGGAACAGCAGACGGATCCATTATCAGGGCATTCACTGGAAGTGTTGAGTTCAAGGGCTGTAACTTTCAGTTGACCAGGACATTGCTGTGCATACCTTATTCCTTGAGCTCAAAGTTGAGTTTTCAGAGCAGACCTATTGGTAGGCTCACTCTTCGGATGTTATGCTTGGAAAGCGGGAGTGCTGCCCCGGGCTGTACCTACATCACCTTCCAATGGGGTAGGGGGCCTTGTGAGAAAGCCTTGCCCCATCTGAGCTGCACGCGCATCAGCTGCCATGCACTCTGTCCTTTGCACAAAGAACCTCTTAATTGACATGATTGGGAGGGTAGAGAATGGAGCCTCTGTGTGGCCTTGAGGTTGGGGGGATGGGAGGATGGGAGCTGTATGTCTCATTCACTGGACTAGGTACACTGAATCTTTCATTCCTCCTTCCACATATTTCCCTCCCTTCTTGGCTTAAATCTTATGTCCATCTTAAAGAAATGGACTGGCTCCTTGGTTATATCTGTGTGGGCTGTGGTTGCATCTCTGCTTTGATGTTGCTGGATTTAATTATGGAAGATCCAATTCCCTTTTAACTTTTTTTCTCAGAAGTATAGAACTTGGGCTATGGTTTCCATTGGCTTAACTGAGATGACTTATGTGAAAGCTGTCGTATACTCTACTGTGCAATGCAAATCTAATGAATAACCAGCCCAGGAATCTCTGTTAGCTTGAGTGGACAGACAGGAGTGGAGTGGGGGCAGAGCAGAGGAGAGGAGTGGCAGCAAGGAGGTGCTTCCTCAGCGCTTCCTCCTTGGGGTCCAGAATGGGCTCTGGTCTCAACTGGTTTTTCCCTGTGACCTGCTGGGTGCTCCACTCCTTCTGGGCTGTGTCCTCCTCTTCTTCCTTCCTTATTCTCCCAATGCATGGTTAGGGATACCTGACTTGCAGCTGACATAGAATCCAGTATTCGTGTCCACTCTTAGCCCAAGTTATGCCTGAATAAACTCATCAGTGGGTTGAGTGCTAAGTCTGTTTTTGCAAACTTTTGTTTTTCATCCAATTTTTCTTTTCTTTAAACTTCCATAATACTGACAGCTATAATATCATATACTGCCATGATGGTTCCACATACATGGATCTTTTTTCTTCCGTATAGTCATAGGTGTGCACTCTGATTTCATAGCACCTGGCCTCATGCTGACTCTAGTAAAGACTTAATACAGCGGACCCTTGAACATTGCAAGGGTTAGGGATGCTGGTCCTCCGTGCAGCTGAAAATCCACATGTAACTTTGGACTTCCCTAAAACTTAACTGCTAATAGCCTCCCGTTGACTAGTAGTCTTACCAATAACATAGTCGATTAACACATATTTGGTAAGTTATATGTATTATATATTGATACAGTAGATATGTATTATATACTATCCTCTTACAATAAAGTGAGCTAGAGAAAACAATATTAAGAAAATCATAAAGAAGAGGAAATAGATTTACTATTCATTAAGTGGAAGGGGATCATCACAAAGGTCTTCCCCATCGTCATCTTCACAGTGAGTAGGCTTGGAGGGAGGAAGAGGAGGGGTTGGTCTTGCCGTCTCATGGGTGGCAGAGGCAGAAGAAAAACCACGTATCGGTAGATCCACACAGTTCAAACCTTGTTCAAGGCTCAACTGTATATACACGGCGACTCGGTGGGTTGAAGGCCCACACTGGTCTGCCATTTGATGTGGCTGTGGTGACAGTGGTGTCTGGTCAATGGGTTCTGGCTTAGTAGCCTAACCATATGGCATTGCAGAAGCAGCTTTCAGAAGATGGTATTGGTCTTTCCTTGGAGTGGTCCTGAGAATTGCAGACTTCTATCCCCTGTGGGTGGTTTTCTGTCCCCAGGAGTCCTGGTTTTTACCTAGTCTTGGCCTCCTAATTTGCCTCATGGCTTTGGGCTCATTACACCGCGTATTGGGGCCTCAGTTTCCTCTCTGTGTATCTCAGAACTACATGATTTCTTGATTACTTGGAGCAGGGAGGGTGTCTTTTTGTTTTGTTTGCCGTTTTCCACAGGTGACCTTGAGCAAGGTAGGTAAGGAGAGATGCCAGGTTGTTCTCAGTGGACACACGGCTTCCAGTTCTTTCTGCAATACAACTCGACTTCTTGGAGAAGAACTCAATTCAACATAAATGAAATCAAAATAGAAAACAGTCTTGCTGAGCAATCTTTAGAGAACATCATTTGTGATAGCTATAGCTGGGAATGTCTATTTTGTTGTGACCTTGTACCCAAATAAATTAGAGGAGTAATTGACCCTTTTTCTCCCTGAGGTTTGAGATAATTTTATTTATTTAAGGGCTTTAGGGCAGTCTGCTTGCCCCTTTCCAGAGGGGGACAGCTGGACTCAAAATGCCTTCAAAGGATCCATCTTTTAGGGCGCCGTGGCAGAGGCCCTTCACTTAGGTAAAAGTGAGATTCTTTCCTGCATGCTGGTGGGCTCCCATCCTGGATTTGGGAGCTGCAAAGCACACGTTGGTGGGAGATCCGGCTGGGAGGAGAATTCCGCTCTGCGGGGCTGCTGACCCACTTGTCACTCACTTGCTGTTAAGGCATAGAGACGCCTTGTTGTAACTGGAATTGTTCTGGGGAATGAGGAGTCCTCGCCACTCCCCCTTCTCCTTCCCGCCCTAACCTCCCTCCCCTCCCCTTAGGGGAAAAAAAAATTCCTTCCCCCTTTTCAGCATCTGTGTCTTTAAGAATTCCCTCCACTGTAGCCTCAGGACAGAGACCCTTCTGTGAGAGTGTGCTGGAGGCCTGTCCTTGGTGACACCCCGCCCCCCATATTAAAAGACCATTGGAACAAGCTCCCCATTCTCCTCTGGAGAGGGTCCCTCTGTCCCAGGCCAAGCGACTCTTAAGGGAGCGTTTATCCTGGGACACTCAGTTTACAAAGACTGCTGCAGTGTCAGATAAACTCACTCAGCCCTTCGAGGGGGGAGGGGGAGGAGAAGAACAAAACCCCCTTTATTTTCACCCCTGCAGGGAGACCAATAAAGACTTTGTGCTGGAGAGCGGGGGTCTGAGCAAACAGAAGAGGGGGGTCTGTGTGGTACTGATTTGGGGAGAGCATTATGAGTTATTATCTTATCATTTTATTTTTAGGGGAAATCTTAGCATGGGGCAGTGACTCTCGCATGAGTAAATGGTCCCAAATGACCTCCTCTCTCCTCTGCTGGCCACTGAGATGCTCTATGGCAAGTTTGTCTTGGTTTGCCAGAGAGAAGTCAGTCCCTGGTATTTTTTTCTGCCACCTATTTGGACAGGGAAATACTCACCCACTCCGCGGACTGGGCTCCAACAGTGTGTGTGTGTGTTAGACGATTTTTAGTCTAAGGGACTTTGGGTGGCTCTGCCTCATGGGATGCATTTGGTCATCTGTGTGTGTGCCCCTTTGGAGGGGGGTGTGCGGGGACCCTCCTGCCTCTGCAAGTGAGTGTCATCATCACTATCTGGAGTGGCCTTTACTGTGAATGGCCTCGAGTTGCCGTAGGTCATGTAAACCAGAGATGCCCTGTGGTTGGCCACTGGTGGGAGGAGGGATGGGATGAATGTTTGCCACTCAGTGCAGTGAGGTGTGTCAACATCTCACTTAATCCTATGAGGTCTTTGAGGAGGTAAATGGTCTCATCTTACCTGGAATGCAAGGCTCAGAGAGGGAAAGTGACTTACCTAATGTCTCCCAGAGGTGGGATGCTTGAAGTTCCAGCCCTGGGGTGTCTGATTCTAAAGGTCCTGCCTGCCGCAAAGCTGGAGGCCAGGTCGGGGGGCCCAGGGTGGCTAAAGGGGGTGGGCTGGGCTGAGGGTGGAGGTCACAGCAAGACGAAGGGCATTGCCAGGCCCTTGCCTTCCAGCAGCTGGTTAGGGTTTTGTCCTCATACCCCTGCCTTTCCCCCGGGCGCTGCTGGGGCTCTGGCACTCAGGCTCCGGTGAGGGATGGTGTGTGCTCCCGCTGGCCTGTGTCCCTTCTGGTTGTGTGTCTTTGGAGGGCTCAGTGCTCACCTCCAGGGAGGAGATGGCAGAGAAAGGCCAGAGTTTGTATAGCCCTTCACTCTGGGCTGGAAGGGAGGTGCCTGGCTGCTTCGGCAAACAAGCAAGATTTAGAAACCTGGCTGGAGCTGTGGTCAAGGGGGACCCTTCCCTGCTGGTGCCCTGGGGAGAGGAACCCTGATGCGGCTCCCAGCTGCCAATTCCTGACCCTTCTCCCATTTTCTTTCTCCCTGGAGGAGTGTTGGGCCATGGGGATTGATCTGTGTGTGTGCTGGGGGAGGAGATTGGAGAGGGACTGGCCCCCTGGGTCCCACCTCTGTGCAGCCCAGCTCTGCCTACTTCAGTTCCAAGTGTAAGGGGCCTGGAGAAGGGAGGGTGGGAGTCTGTGCTGTGGCAGGCGAGAAGGGCCTTCCCAGGCCAGCTTTACGGCTGAGTTCAGAGTTCTTGTTCACAGAGCACAGCTGCGGGGGCTGTCAGGGGCATGGACTCCCTCTATGGGCAGGAGGATATGGGCCTTTCCCCAGTCTGGCTGAGCCCACCTTATCCCATTGGAGGACTTGAGGTCCTTCCAATAAGGCCCTGCCTATAGAGTGTGAACCGGGACCATCCGAGGGGGTGATGAGATTCATCCTAAAACAATATAGAGTGGTGGAGGAGAGATGTTGGTGAAACTTGACCTCTTGCAGAAAGGGGAAGATTCTGGGCTCTGTACATGGACAACCTGCAGGAGGAAGGGGGACCCAGTCTCTGAAGCACAGTGCACTACCGAGAAAAGATGCTTCCCTGTCCGTGCAGGCACCTGGGTGCAGCAGAACAGGTACGAGGAAGAGTGGTTTGGGGAATTCAGGATGTAGCTTAAAGGGGGCTGAGTGGGAAACAAGGCATGTTCCATTCCAGTTACGTGCAGCCACAGGCACCAGTGACATGGCACAAAGGAGGGTTAAGCTGGAAGGTTTTGGGGGACAGGGAAGAGCAAATGAGAGAAGCCAGAGGTCTCGATGCCTTGGTGTGGTGGAGGCAGCAGAGGGCAATGGGGATGGGAGCGTGAGATGGGTGGTGGTGACACTAGACTTATTGGAGAAACAGCAGCAGCCCCATCTCCGATAGTTAGAGGGTGGGCTCCTGGACTGGACCAAGAGAAGGATTGACTGACTCTGTCGAGGTCCCTGCCAAGCATGGGATCCAGAATAATCCCCATGGACACTTAGAGCAGACGATGTCCACCCAATGGGGCCGACAGCAGATGGGATGGATGGGGAGGGTTCTCACTGCCAGTTCTCCCCACAATCCCTCCAATCCCAGCCACTCCTGGCAGGTGGCTGCCTCTACAGGTGTGTGCTGGCCATTTCCTTACCTTTCCATTCTGAGAACCCTCATTTCCTACAGGTGAGTGTTCAGGACCCACTTATGGCATTCTATAGAGGTTCAGTCCCGTCAGCAATAGATTGGTGATCTACAGGAGGAGGATGAGAGGGCACTGGATCCAGGGTCAGAGAATTTGAGTCTCAGTCATAGCCTCTTATTTCTCAGATCAATGATTACTTACTTATTTAATAAGAATTAATTTATTTTAGAGACAGGGTCTCACTCTGTTGCCCAGGCTGGAGTGCAGTGGTACGATCTCCACTCACTGCAGCCTCGACCTTCTGGGCTCAAGTGATCCTCCCACGTCAGCCTCCCGAGTAGCTGGGACCACAGGCATGCACCACCATGCCTGACTAATTTTTAATTTTTTTGTAGAGATGGGATCTCTCTCTGTTGCCCAGGCTGGCCTCAAACTTGTGGGCTCAAGTGATCCTCCCACCTCGGCCTCTTGGGATTATAGGCATGAGCCACTGCACCTGACTGATGATGTTGAGCAAGTTTCTCTATTTCTCTGTGCCTTTGTTTATGTCATAGGCAAAATACCAGGGATGAGTATTCTGAGGTGCTCTCCGGCTCTGTAAATAAACAACCACATGCTGTAGGCTGTACATGCCTGTGTCCTTATGAGGGTTTGGGGAGGCACGTGGACTTGTCTCCTGGTTCTTCATTTGCACCTCCCTGTGGCTCAGCTCAATACCCCCCTGGTTATAAGTCATTCTGACTCTTTGCCCTTGCCTGGAGGAGGATGGGACTCTTGCAGTGGTGGCAGTGAAAACTTGGAGAGTGTGTTGCCCCTTACAACCTCATCGAGGGCAGCAGGGGACAGGCAGAGTCAGGTTGGGTTCAGAAGTCATGAGGCCCAGAGGTGACTGCTTCCCCCCAACATCAGCCCCAAGGGGTGGCTCATGAGCAGCAGTGCTGAAGGCGAGGTCTGGGCTTGGATCAGTTGGTCGGTGCAGAGGTTGGCGGCTGCTGTCTCTTTCTGGTTTATTTCACCCCCGACAAAAGCTAGAGGCTCTGGGGAAATTGGTTTGCAGATTCATGAGCTCTGCAAGGTCAGAGCAATCCACCAGTCCCCGTCTGGACAGGATGACACACGTTTCTTGTTGCTCCTGCACACGGGTGCATCTGCATCCCACATCCAAATACTTTGGCAGAGCAAGCCCTTCTTATGAGTGATCAGCCTTCCTCGTGCGCCAGCAATCCCCTCCCAGAGCACATCTGAAGAACCTCATCAACTTGACCAGTGGGAAAAATTCAGTCTTTCCTGGCTTAACCCATTTATGCCTGAGGCTGCCATTTTTTTGAATTTCAAAAATCAGGCCTTGGTGATGACCTTGAGCAGTAGGATATAAATAACACCTACATGCTTAGCGTTCCAATAATGGAACCCTAGGCATAAATGGCTACCCCCTTTTCTATCCCTTTCATCGTTGACTTTTTCAAGGGGTGAGGAGAAACCTTCTTGATGAAAGATGTGTTTTGAAAAACTTACTGAACATCCTTCTGTTTTATCATCAGCACTGTTAATCGCCACCTTAGTATGTTCCCTTCAATTCTAGACCTGAGCCAGAGGAAGAGGCTGGGACTGTTTAAATTGGCCACCTATGATGCTGCCTCTCTCCGGGTGGAATCTTCACCTGATAACATGTGGAGGGGGGAGGCCCCTTCAGACAGACAGGTTTCTCTCTCGCCTGTTCTTTCATAGCAGAGGGAGCCGCTTAGCACAAGGGACACTTTAGATGATCCTAGGGGGATGGGAGGGCTAGTGAGTTAGTGGCAGGAGGTGGGGAGCGATGTCATTTATTAGGTCTATGAAAACAATACAGGGTTTGTCTCCTGGGTGCAGTGGTGCCCGGGGGGGCAAAGCCAAGATGGGGCTGAGTAGAAAGAAAACAAGCACAGGTCTGACGAAAATGTGGTGACCCCGAGGAGCTGGGGAAAAAAGCACCTTTGTTTAGGGAGGTCAGGGCAATGGGAGGCATTTGAGGAGGACTCTGGGAGATTTGCTGCCTCTATTCTGGGAACCTGGGCCCCGAAAAGAGGCTTGAGAAGACCAAGGAACCGAGGCTGATGGAAGTTTCCAGGGTGGCTGATCCAGCTGCTGTGCATTTCTGGGGCAGGTTTAAGGTTTAGAGGAGCCACTTCCTTATCAGCCCTGTTCCTTGAGGGTGGCCCGAGAGAGGATCACACTGGAGTGTCCAGGGGGTGGGGAGGGAGGATGATGGAGGGGACTGTTCTGATGTGGGGGCTCCTGATGGGCTATGGTTTTGCTTCCTGCTAAGGCTGCCTGGATGATCTGGCCCTGGGGCAGGGAAGCCCCAAGAGCCTTGAGTCAGGCCCCATGAAATGTGGGGTGAAGGCACTCACGGGGTATGGTGCCCAGGACCCCCTCCCCTGGTCACACTGTATCCATGGGCGAAGGCATTCACAGGTGCAGTGCCCAGGAGCCCTTCCCCTGGTCACCATGGACCCTGCAAGTGAGTGGAGGCTGCATGAGGAGGCAGACACCTTCCTGCTGGAGTGCTTCCTTCCTGAGACCCTCAGAGACCACCTTCTGAAAACACCCCACATTTTCACTTGGCCCCTGCTGTCCCCTGTGGATGTGTGTCCCCAAACCCAGGGACTCACTTTTACTTCTTTTTTATCAGAAGGGCTTATAGGTGTGTGTGTGTATGTGTGCTGTGTGTGCTGGGATGGTCTTGGAACGCGGAGTGTGCCCATCGGTGCCTGCCACTTGTCTCTCTCTCTCTTTTTTTTTTTTTGAGACGGAGTTTTGCTCTTGTCACCCAGGCTGGAGTGCAATGGCACAACCTCCGCTCACTGCAACCCCCACCTCCCAGGTTCAAGTGATTCTCCTGCCTCAGCCTCCCGAGTAGCTGGGATTACAGGTGCCCGCCACCATGCCCGGCTGATTTTTTTGTATTTTTAGTAGAGACGGGGTTTCACCATGTTGGCCAGGCTGGTCTTGAACTCCTGACCTCAGGTGATCCACCTGCCTCAGCCTCCCAAAGTGCTGGGATTACAGGTGTGAGCCACTGTGCCCGGTCCACTTGTCTCTTTTTGGCAGAAACGCTGCCCTCATTGGCCGAAGCCTGGAGTCCTTGGTGAATTTTTCCTTGGTCACATGATATACACTGATAAGGACTGCGCCAGGCATGGCACCCGAGGGAAGAGTGGCACCCCCACCTTTGGTGAGGTTCTCCATGCAGGACGGTGCCCTGAGTGGTGTAGGAGGCCCTGTGCCGGGTGAGCCTGCCAGCAGGAGTCATCGGACAATGTGGTTGCCAGGTGTGGCCGCTCAGCTCCGACCAACTCCGAACCTGTGTGGTCAGAATCACACAGGACAAACCAGGGGCCTGTTTAGCCCCTTCAGGCTGCCTCTGATGGGAGAGAGGCTGGATGCATATTCTGAGAAAGTGGTTCTGTGTTATTGAGGTTGTTATGACCTAGGCTACAGTTGAAAGTCATCTCTAAGCACTTATAGTAGTATTTGCTAATCACAGTATTGCTAACACAATAGCCCATTCTGTGTTCCAAGCACTATCCCACCAACACACGGCTCACGTACAGACACACACGCACACATACGACACTCATTTTTTTTTTTTTTTTGAGATTGAGTCTCACTCTGTCACTCTGTCACCCAGGCTGGAGTGCAGTGGCGCAATCTGGGCTCACTACAACCTCCGCCTCCTGGGTTCAAGTGATTCTCATGCCTCAGCCTCCCGAATAGCTGGGATTACAGGCGCCCGCCACCACGCCCAGCTAGTTTTTGTGTTTTTAGTAGAGACGATGTTTTACCGTGTTGGCCAGGCTGGTCTTGAACTCCTGATCTCAAGTGATCAGCCCGCCTCGGCCTCCCAAAGTGCTGGGATTATAGGTGTGAACCACGGTGCCCGGCCCTACAACACTCATTTATTCCTCGCAAGGACCCTAAGAGGTAGGCATTATTATTATCTCTAATTTACAGATGAGGAAACTGAGAGAGGGCAAATGACCTGTCACAGAGCACACAGCTATTAAATGGGCCACTCAGCCCCAAACCCAAGCCCTTGGCTCCAGGCTGTGCTCTCACACAAGGCAATGTTGCCTGTGACCATGCAGGGCTGCTCTGGGCCCCACGTTCCGTGGTCTCGCAGGTGTTCTGTACCTGCCAGGGTTCGCTGTTGGGATCCTGTTTCACAGTGGCAGAGGGGAGGCCTACAGAGTCAAATGACTTGGCTCAAGGTCACCCTCTGCCTGGCTTGGCTGCATCAGCTCTGCAGCCGGGGACTCCCTTCCACAGCCTAGTGGTGTGGTCCCTGCTACCTGTAAGTGTGCCATCTTGCCAGTTTCTAGACCATCCAAGTTGCATTTTGTTGCATTTGCAGGAGAGCCTGGAGAAGTCAGCAGATCCATCCTCATTTCCCAGCCCAGAGGGTGGTGGTCTAAGGGGGCTGTTCTTCCCGGTCTGGGGAGGGGGCTCTGTGCGCTGCTGCTTCTCCCCTCTCCCGGGCGGCTCAGGCCCCACGGCCTCCCTCCCCAGCTGGCCGTATTGACTCTGGCCGCCCGCCAGCCCCTCCTCCTGGGCATTGTACCACCGGCTGATGCGATTTTCCTTTTCCTTTTTTCCCCACCTCATTTTTCATGTATGATGACCCTGGAGGTTTGTTTTCAACATCAGGCTCACGAAGACAGCCCACTTAGGCTAAGACAGATGCCAGTGGGACCTTTTTCTTCCCTGAAGGAAACGGCCCTTATCTTCCCTATTAACTGTTCGGGGTCTGAGCCCCTTAGCTGGGGCCTCCCGCATTGTTTCCGAGGGGGACTCAGAGCCGAGGAGGGAGGAAGGAGAGTAGATGTTGCCCTGGGCTAGGCTTGCCATCTTGAGCTGTGGAGTCTGGGAGGTTGTCTTTTCTCTTTTTTCTTTTTCTTTTTTCTTTTTTTTTGAGACAGAGTTTTGCTCTTATTGCCCAGGCTGGAGTACAGTGTCGCGATCTTGGCTCACTGCAGACTCTGCCTCCTGGGTTCAAGCGATTCTCCTGCCTCAGCCTCCCAAGTAGATGAGATTATAGGCACCCGCCACCATGTCCAGCTAATTTTTTGTATTTTTAGTAGAGATGGGGTTTCGCCATGTTGGCCAGGCTGGTTTCGAACTCCTGGCCTCAGGTGATCCACCTGCTTTGGCCTCCCAAAATGCTAGGATTACAGGCGTGAGCCACCGTGCCCGGCCGGGAGGTTTTCTTAGGGAGATGGAAACACTGTCTGCCAGGCGGTCTCTTCAGGCCCCTTTGCGGTCAGTGCTCCTTCTGCAATGCACACTTTGCTTTTTGTTAGGGTGTTCTCCATCCTGAATGCTCTTCCTCTTCCTCTTGCCCACCCATGCGTGGCTCTTCCTCCTCAGGGAGGCCATCACCTAAGGGTGACTGAGCACCTGCTGTGCACCAGGCTCTGTGACACTCAGAAGTTCAAGATTAGCCTGGGCAACATGGCGAAACCCCATCCCTACTAAAAATTAGCCCAGGCTGGTCTTGAACTTCTGACCTCAGGTGATCTGCCCGCCTTGGCCTCCCAAAGTGCTGGGATTACAGGCGTGAGCCACCGCGCCTGGCCTGATCAGCTTTCTGTCTCTATAAATGTGCCCTTTCTGGAGATTCCATAGAAATGGAATCATACGTGTAGTCTTTTGCGTCTGGCTTCTTTCGCTTAGTATAATGCTTCTGAGAAAGTGACCGTCACCAACTTCTCATGGAGCCTTCTCTGTGTGTCCAGACTGTTGCATTCTTGGTAGTGAATGGGTTAACCAGAAACAAAGGTGAGGCTCCTGTGTGTGTGAGGGGGACTGCCCTTGGGGGGGTCTTCAGCCCTTCCTGCCCAGGCCCCTGACCAGGCTTTTCACCCTGCCTGCCAGTTTTGAAGGACCTGGCCTCCTCCTTCCGGCTGTTGTAGCTTAATTAAGTTATAATGACAGACAGAGAAGGGTTGTTTCCTGGCAATTAAAGTAAGTGGAAGGTTGGAACATGGTCCAGCCCTCCTCCCGGCCAGGAAGGACTGGACTCTCCCCTCTCATTGTTCCTACCCACGCCAACCCCCTAGATGGGTTCTGGGGTGTGTTGGCAGGGGGGTGTTGGGAAGTTCCCTCCCCTCCCCAAGGCTTCCCATGCTGTGGCTGATTTTTCTCTTCCCCAGCTGATTTTGTAGGCTATTGGTTATGAAAAATGAGATATGCATTCATCTAATTTTGAGGCTTCCTCCTGACCATCCCAACCTCAGTCGAAGGAGACAGGAAGGGAGAAGCCACCTATTCATTCAGCAAACCCATATCGAAGGTCTGATGTAGGCAGAGGAGGAGAAAGTGAAATTGACATAGCCCCAGGCATCCAGGGGCTCATAGCCAGGAGTTGGGAGAGAAGGTGTGAGATAAACAATCCAGCGATTCACTAACGAGAACAGAATGAATGGACCACAGCTCCCAGATAGGGAAGACCATGGTGGTGCATGAGATGATCAAGAAGGTAGATGTGGAACCTTGAGGGACAGCTGTGGGGAGGGAGGAAGGGAGCCTCAGAAGAGAGGACTAAGGCTTGGGCGGAAGAGTGAACAAGGGTTGCTGGGGTGCAGTGCGGGACTACAGCCATGGTGTGGCCAGAGAAGCTGGAAAGCTCAGCTTGGGGCAGGCAGTGTTTAGATCACCCGTCGGAGGCTGCAGGGGCAGTGCCTGCTCATAACCCATGGTCAGGGGCAGGAGGAAGATGGCAGGAGATGCTGATTCCACACTGTAGGTTGATTTGACAACGGGGCTTTGGTTAAGCAGGCTAGACCCTTGAACGTGGAGATGCAATGATGTTCTCTGCTGCCATCCACTGAGGTCCTCTGAGAAGTTTCTCTTTCGATTTTATATTGCTATTGGAGGTATATTTGTTATTCCAAACAACTTTGCATTTAAAAAAGCCTGTTGTGCATTTACACATTTGACGATCTCTTTTATCTCTGGTCTGTATTTGAGTTTTGCAGAGTCATGATCTTAGAGCCTGTCATGTATTTACACATTTGACAATCTCTTTTATCCCTGGTCTGTATTTGAGTTTTGCAGAGTCATGATCTTAGAGCATGCAGTTTGATTCCCACCATTTAACTTAATCTTTTTGTTTTTGTTTTTCCTCATGCCTGTGTCCTTGTCTTTGTGTTGATTTTGAATGCCTGTACACTATGCTGCAAAGCAAATATAATTTGCTTAAGATTGCTATTGAGGAGTAGGAGAATGTTAACTTTTAGTTTAATCTTATGTAAGTAATACCATGAAACTTCTTTTTCCCTTCCATTTTTATCTTTCGGCCAAACTGGGGGTTTTTGTAACAGGACAAAAGCCATACCGGACAGCGGTGTAGTGAGTGAATTCTTTAGCCAATGAGTCTCAAGGGTGGCCGGGTACCCTGACTAACAGGGTAGCAGGGCTTGGCCATGAAACTGTCCTGGTGCAAGGAACTGGGGCTGTGCTGGTGAACTCCTGGCCTCTGATCTCTTCTCTTCCTCCACTCTCAAACTCCACATCCTGGAAATCCTTGAAGACTCTTCCATTCTGCTCTTGGACCTGCCTGGCACATGGCTGCTGCTTATGGATGATTTGTTCCCTTGAGTGGACTTCCAGGCTCGAGTTCCAGTGAAGAATTTTTGGGAGATACTCAAAGGAGAAACGAATCTCTAGGCTTGCCCAGTGGCCCTGGGGCACCCTCTTTCCACGCCATCCTCCATCCCCAGCGATGCTTGGCTGTAGTCCATCTTCCTCTTCTCTGCCCCTGCATTTCCATCCCAGGAGGACCACTGGGCACAAGGAACATCAGAAACCAGGGAGCAGTGTGCATTGGGATTCCTTCCAGACGCTGAGAGCTGAGAAGTCGTCCCCCTTTCATAACCTTGCTCAGGCTCAGGAGGTCTCAGTGTTAAGCAAACAGCCCTTGAAAGAGAAAAGCCACATTGTCCTCCCCATGCTGATGGCCTGGCCTCAAGAGCCACCAGTTGCTCTGACTTGAGAATGGTTAAGTGGAACTGCCGAGTGTTTGTGTGTGTGCGTGTGCACACGAACACACGTGTGGTGGACGGCCCAGCTCTTATTCCAAGAGCTCTTCTTCTTTTTTTTTTTTTTGTTTTTGAGAGGGAGTCTCACTCTGTTGCTCAGGCTGGAGTGCAGTGGCATGATCTCGGCTCACTGCAACCTCCGCCTCCCGGGTTCAAGTGATTCTTCTGCCTCAGTCTCCCAAGTAGCTGGGATTACAGGTGCCCGCCTCCATGCCCAGCTAATTTTTTGTATTTTTAGTAGACACGGGGTTTCACCGTGTTGGCCAGGCTGGTCTCGAACTCCTGACCTCAAGTGATCCACCCATCTCGGCCTCCCAAAGTGCTGGGATTACAGGCGTGAGCCACTGTGCCTGGCCCAAGTAATTGCTTCTGTAAAGGGAGAGAGGGGACGGGAAACATCAGGGAGGTACGCAAGTTGCAAATGCATAATGCTAAGGCTGTTATGGTGGTCTTGGTGTGAAAACAGTGGTAGAAAATTTGAAAAGTTGACAGAGGCCTAGAGATGAAATACATTTGTTATCTTCTTGAAGCTCTGGACCAGATGTTCATATCGCGTTGGCAGGATGGAACCATTCCATGGATATTCTACGTATCTTCCTTCTTTCACTTTATAATAAGACCAATTTTCTATGTTGCAGCCTACATTGATAATTATCTTCAATGGTGCTTGAGGGCCAGTGAGTCAGTGGGCCATTGTTTCCTTAACCAGTCCTTAACTCTTGGCCTTTGAGTTCCAGTTTTTCACCACAGATTGCACTTTTGTGCCTTGCTTTTTTTTTTTGTTTTTGTTTTTTTTTTTTTTTTGAGATGGAGTCTCACTCTTTCGCCCAGGCTGGAGTGCAGTGGCACTATCTCGGCTCACTGCAAGCTCCACCTCCCGGGTTCACGCCATTCTCCTGCCTCAGCCTCCCGAGTAGCTGGGACTACAGGTGCCCGCCATCACACCCGGCTAATTTTTTTCTTTTTTTGTATTTTTAGTAGAGATGGGGTTTCACCGTGTTAGTCAAGATGGTCTCGATCTCCTGACCTCGTGATCCGCCCACCTCGGCCTCCCAAAGTGCTGGGATTACAGGCATGAGCCACCGCGTCCGGCCTTTTTTTTTTTTTTTTTTTTTTTTTTTTAAAAAAAAGGAACATCTGAAGTGACTTGAGTCTCTGATCTGGCAGTCATAACCCTTATCCCGTTCCTTGAGCCCCAGGGAGGTTGGGAGAGGGGGAAAAAAAACAACTGTGCTATCCATTCTGGGTCCTCTTAGCCAGGGGTGTGGAGGCTGGGGAGTGAAGGGCGTCTATGGGATTGGTCAGTGGGCAGCGGCTTCCAGCTGTGGCGAGGGAGGTGTCAGCTTGCTGCTCTTGCTGTGGGTCTCACACTCTTCCTCCATCCATCCCCCTGAGCTTCGAAGAAGAGCTCTTATTATTAAAGCTGTCCTTGAAAAACTCTCTGCTTCTTGGGCATTGAGGAGCAGGTCCAAATGGGTCATCTTCTCCCTACCTTCTCCCTGTCTGTCTTCTCCCATCTGTGTCTTAGCCTTTCCTTCTTCTCTCCATACCTGCCCTTGGTGGGTTGTTTACCCCAGTTTCTCATCTTTTCTCATGAAGGAGGAGGAAGCACCCAGCAGCTGGCGTTTGCCAGAGCTGCAGGTAAAAGGGACCAGGTTACCACCAAGACAGGAGAGACGGGGCTTTCCAGGCAGAAATCCCTGAATCCCCTGGTCTAAGTGCTGAGTAAGCACTCGACTCCCTGGGGCCCTGAATGATGGAAGAGAGGGAGACTATTAGGGCTGACGCCAGACAGAATGCACGCTCGCAGGTGGATCTGACTTTTTGTGTTTTGTGGTTTAAAAATGTGCTTGCCTTCTGTAATCCCAGCACTTTGGGAGGCCAAGGTGGGAGGATCACTTGAGGTCAGGAGTTCGAGACCAGCCTGGCCAACATGGTGAAACCCCGTCTCTACTGAAAATATGAAAAAATAGCCAGACGTGCATGCATGCTCATGTGCACACATATGCACACCCCCCACCTTGCCTTTTATAGAGCCATGAGGCAGCAGATTCAACCGAATACCATGTAGCATGAGCCACAGACGTGTATGGGAACATTTATGAACGCTTGCCTATAATCCCAGCTACTTGGGAGGCTGAGGCAGGAGAATCACTTGAACCCGGGAGGCAGAGGTTGCAATAAGTCGAGATCACACTATTGCGCTCCAGCCCGGGTGATGGAGTGAGACTCTGTCTCAAAATAAATAAATTAATAGGTGGGGCGTGGTGGCTCACACCTGTAATCCCAGCACTTTGGGAGGCCAAGGCGGGTGGATCACGAGGTCAGGAGTTCGAGACCAGCCTGGCCCAATATGATGAAACCCTCGTCTCTACTAAAAATACAAAAATCACCCGGACATGGTGGTGAGCGTCTGTAATCCCAGCTACTCAGGAGGTTGAGGCAGAAGAATCGCTTGAACCCAGGAGGCAGAGGTTGCAGTGAACCGAGATGGCGCCAACTGCACTCCAGCCTGGTGACAGAGCGAGACTCCGTCTCAAAAAAAAAACAAAACAAAAATAAATAATAAAAAAGCGTGTGCCTGCTCATTTTCAGTTCTCAGCACCCACATCTCTTACCTAGGTGAGTGCTTGGAGCTGAGGTTTGTTAACATAAGTCATAGAGGTTTCAGCTTTCCTTTATTAGCACTTTCATGCCCCTAAGGGGAGAAAAACCAATGGAAGGTAGCAGGCAGTGTGTGTGTGGGGGGCATTATTCAGCCATAGAAAGGACCAAAGCATGGACATGTGCTACCAACATGGAGGTACCTTGAAAACCTGAGGCTGAGAGGAGCCAGACACAAAAGGCCCCCTGTTGCACATCCCATTGCTATGAAATGTCCAGGATAGGCAAACCCACAGAGACAGGAAGGAGCTTAGTGGCTGGCAGGGGCTGGGCTGGGGTCAGGGAGTGGACAGTGGCTGATGAATGGGGTGGAGTTTCCTTTCAGAGGGGCTGATAGTGCTCTGGACCTAGATGGTGGTGATGCTTGCACGACACTGTGAATGTGCTGTCATCGTACACTTGAAACAGGTTAAAATGCCGAGTTGCGTGGTATGTGCATATTACCATAGTCAATAGAAATGGAAGGAAATGCAGTGGAGTCTTGCACTAGGGTTTGTCTCAGGAGAACGGGGAGAGTTGCATCTTCCTGGTTTTCTGCTGTTACCCAGCTCTCCACGCCCATTCCTGCCTGGCCCCGGGGTTGGATAAGAACCTTTCCTAAGTGGACAGAGTTCTTAGGGTCTCATTGCAGCTGGAAGCACCTTGGGCCATGTAGCTGTGCTCTGGCAGGTGCAGTAACTCCCCTCTCAGGGCCCACGAGAAGGGGCATCTGGCTTTGGGGGGCTGTCTATGGTGCGGTTGTCAGTGTACCTCGGCTGTCCCAGCTCAGGAGTTCTGGAAACTTCCCGGGCCACTCTAGCCATTCTGACTTTTGCAGGTTCTGGGCAACTTTGCCCTCTTGGATCCCTTCCTACTTAAAAAATATATTAAAAATGTCAAATATTATGATATATTAAAACATTTTTTTTACCTAAAAGCATGTGTTCTATTTTTTTTTCCCCTGATTTTAAAAGAAGTTAAAACATTTTCATGGGCCCTTCAGAGTATGGCGGGCGCTGGTTTGTGCCTCATGGATGGTCTGATGGGGACGTCAGCCTGGGGCTGTGTTGTCCTGGATCTGTGTGTCCCAAGAACCTCCTCCTGGTTGGTTCCATATTCATGGGCCTCCCTGACCTTCCTCCAAAACAGCTGCAGGGTGGCAGAATCTGCCCTGGTCACCGAGACTGAGCCCTTCAGTCTGAGATAAAAAGTCCCCAAAGAAGGGTTACAGCTCACCCCCAGGAGCTCAGCCCCATGAGCCCTCTCCCCACCACCATGCCCAGTGGGTCTCATGAAGACACCCATGCAAGTGGTCATGGGAAAGAGGACTCCCCCATACCTTGCTCCAGCACGGACCTTGCTCCAGCACCGGCCCTGCTCAGCCAGATTTTCAGAACGAGAGGGATATTCTCATCTGTGGCAAAGAATATTCTCTATATTCTGTATACATCATTTGAGACTTAAATGGGTTTCAACAGATCCATTCTTCTTGTAGATGTAGGAAAGTTTGACATATGATTGTTCTCTGCCAAATAGCCATGTTCGCGGGATTCCTTTTGATGGAAATTATTTATTAGGACAAAAAGGGAATAAGTGCAAAAAACTTGAGCAAGACTAGAAACAAAATAATTGATGGCTGCCTCTGTGGTGCCATTTTTGGATGATGGCTGTGTCTGGGGAGTCAGGCTGGGTGTCTGGGAGGGCCACACTCCCTGTGAGCTCCGGGACAGGTAGGTTGCCTGGAGGTTTCCTTTCTGGTGTCACCCTGTAAGCGTCTGTGGATTTGTGCAGGGTGCCTTGTCTCTCCCTTGCATTTTCCCGGTGGGTCTGGGGCAGGACACGGCTGGGGACAGGGGTAGAGGACTGGCCACTGTGGCCAGAATGAGGTGCAGGGAGGGACAGGCAGGTCCCTCATGGCCCATAGTGCCTCTAGGGGGTGCATAAATGCATATATATGTGCACATACACACGTGCATGCATACTCATGCGTACATATACACAGCCCCCCACCTTGCCTTTTACAGAGCCATGAAGCAGCAGATGCAACCGAATACTGTGCAGCATGAGCCACAGACGTTTACGGGAAGAACCGGCAGGAGGCGCCGGGAAACTAAAGGGCTCCAGCTCTCTGAGTGGTGGCTTTGCCATTGTGGCTGTGCGAGCTCAGCCTCCTGGAAACCCGCCCTGAGCTTGGTTAACAGCATTCACTCCAGGTTTAGCCCAGCTCCAGGTTATCGCAGGCAGGACTCCCGAGAACAGGTTCATGTTTGCTTTTTGGGAGGTGCTGCGCTAAAGTGGAAAACCACCCTGGGCCGAGTGGGACCTCCCCAGCTGGGCGGCTGTTAACCAGCCAGGATGTCTGACCCTGAGAAGTCACCGTGCACTCTTGGGACTCATTTTTCTCATCAGCAGGATGGGGTGATGGAGCTGGCCTTACTGGGTGCTGGGGATGATATAAAGAGGTGGCGTGTGCATGTCTGTGTGTCTGTGTGTGGGCGAACATGTTTGGTAAGTGATAGGCTCTGCACACGTGCACGGCACCATCATGGTTCCCTCCCTGCAGCACTTGGCACGCAGTGGGGGCTCAGAGCACAGGCCGACTGATGGCCTGGGGTTGCAGCCCTGCTCCGTGTGTCCCTGGGCACTTGCTTACTGACCACCCCACAGGTGAACACGGGCAGGTGGGTGTTTGGAGGTGTGAGGCTGAGGAGGGTCTGGATCTTGCAGCTCTTGCAGCCTGGATAGTTATGGGGTCTGGAGGGGGCTTTTATTGCGCCTGGTGCTTCCTGCTCAGGGCCAAGTCTGGGGCTGCCTGACTCTTGGGCTCTGGTGCCCTCTAGTGTTCAGGTTATATTATTGCAGGTGCAGGCCATGTACACATTTACCAGCAGCCTAACTGGGTCTCCCTTCTCTCACCCCAATCCGACATGGATGGAAATAGCTTTAGAAAACTCACATGTCTTTGGCAGACTATTGAACATACCTGGTCTATCGCCAAAAGGACTTAAGGCATTTAATTTAAAATGTTATTTTCATAAGTAAAGGAAATAAAGGCTGGGCGCGGTGGCTCATGGCTGTAATTCCAACACGTTGGGAGGCCCAGGTAGGAGGATCCCCTGAGCCCACAAGTTTGAGACCAGCCTGGGCAGCATAGTGAGGCCCTATCTTTTCAAAAAACAAATTAGCCGGCTTGATGGTCCCGGCTACTTCAGAGACTGAGCTGGGAGTTTGAAGCTACAGTGAGCTGCGATCACGCCACTGCACTCCGGCCTGGGTGACAGAACAAGACCCTGTATCTAAAAAAATAAAAATAAATAAAGGAAGGAAAAATAAGATAAAAGCCACGGGGAAAGCTGGGATAAAATATTCTGCTCTAATCCCTATATAATTGCTAGGGGTGGCAGGGCTATGGTCCGGTGTAGGCTAGTACTTTCTGGGTCAGCTCTATCAATTCTTATTAGGTGAAGTTATCCACGGGCTGCCACTGTGCAGAGAGATGCGTGGGCTCCCCAGGAATGCTCTGTGGTGGACGCATCCTCTTCCCACAGGAAATTCTGAGCTTCAAGGATCTTCTAGGTTCTTTCCCCGCCACTTTCTACTAAGGAGGCCTGTGACATAAATACAAAAGTGCAGGTCTGGGCTGGGTGCGCTGGCTCACGCCTGTAATCCCAGCACTTTGGGAGGCTGAGGTGGGAGGATCACCTGAGGTCAGGAGTTCGAGACCAGCCTGGCCAACATGGTGAAACCCTGTCTCTACTAAAAATACAAAAAATTAGCTGGGCGTGGCGACAGGCTCTGTAATCCCAGCTACTCGGGAGGCTGAGGGAGGAGAATCCCTTGGACCCGGGAGGTGGAGGTTGCAGTGAGCCGAGAGATCATGTCATTGCACTCCAGCCTGGGCAACGAGAGTGAAACTCTGTCTCAGAAAAACAAAAAACGAAAAACAGCAGGTCTGTAAAGGTCACTCTGAGGAAGGCCAGAACAGTGCAGTGGCTGCTGGGTTTGATGAACCGTACTCCTCAGAGCATCTAGGCCCGTGGTTTTTCAGCTGGAGCTCATCTGAGCCCCTGTGGGGGGCTGTTTAGGACACAGATGGCTGGTCCCACCCGCAATGTTCCTGATTCAGTTGCTCTGGTGCAGGGCCTGAGAACCTGCATTTCTTGTAAGCTCCCTGTTGATGCAGATGCTGCTGGTCAGGGGACCCTTGCTCTAGACTCCTGGGACTCCTGCTCTAGGACCCCTGCTTTCTGGAGCCCTGGTCTAGAAAGAACGGATTGAACCCTGGTTTTTCTCTCTCCCTCCATGAAGTGCGTGTTGGCAGTGGAGCTTTTGGTGACGATGAGCTGGCACAATGTGGGGAGTTCTGCTCTGCCAGCCCCCTGGAAGGCAGCTCTTCTGTACAGGTCGTAAAGGCTGGCACCTTCTAGGGAAAATCCGGGGACTCATGGGTGCCACCCTTTCCTGGGAGGCTCCATCACCCTCCTATGCTACAACATGACTGTTTCCAGAAAACACTTGAGTCTGTCTCATATAAACACTTGAGGGCCTACAGGAATAGCATGCTCTGCTGGAGTGTGCAAGTCCTCTGTCATTATAGGGCTGTCACATTTTAGCCTAGAGAAGGTTTTTAAGGCAGTAGATCCTGAACATTCACTTTGACCATTGGAAAAACCAAACTCTCAGGAACGGAGAGAGAAAACATTGCAGCTTTGCCCACATGACTTTCCTAGCGGATCCTTTGAGGTCTGGGTGCCCTCAAGTCCTCCCTAGGTAACAAGATGGCCCACTATGGTGGATTCTTGGAAACCAGTTAGAGGTGGAGAGCATCTCCCATGAATCGAGTCTGTAGTTTGGAGGAATCTCTAGTCTTTTCTTTCGTAGCCTGAGTAGATAGCAGGGCACCTGTTCATTAGGACCTCTTCTAGGCTTGTCATGGTAAGCCCGTGTTGTCTTCATATACAAGAATTGTATTCTGTTGAATACAGAGGACTGGGGGCAGGGTAAATACACTCCCTCAAGGGGTAGAAACAACAGCAAAAAGTGCCAGACATTGATGAGGCTCTGATTCAAGTGACTTTCAGCTATACATTTAAAAATCCAGTGGGCTTAGCCCTGCTCCTGTCTCTAGGCCCTAGGTGGGGAAAGTGAGGACCACAGCTAAGCCACCTGCCCAAGGTCACATAAATGGTAAGTAACAGAGCTGGGATTCAAACCCAGGTAGTAGGGATTACAGGCTGGAGCATCTGAGGTTTAAAAGGTGGGAGACCAGGACCCAGGTCTGTTACCCACACTGGAAATTGTTAGCATGCTTGTCAAGGCCTGTAGCCCCTGACTCCCCTAGGTGAATGTCAGGATCCCTCCCAGGAGTATGTGTGTGAGAGAGTGTATGTGAGTGTGTCTGAGTGTATGTGTGAGTGTGCATATCTGGTGTGTGTGTGTCTGTATGTCTGTGTATGAGTGTGTGGGTGTGTATCTTGGTGTATGAGTGTGTGTGCCTGGGTGTGTATATGAGTGTGAGTGTGCATAAGTGTGTGGGTGTGTGTATGATTGTGTATATCTGGGTTTCTGCCTGTGTGTGTATGAGTGTGTGTGTGCGCGTCTGAGTCTTGTGCGTCTCTGTGTGTCTGGGTGTATGAGTGTGTATATGTTGTGTGTGTCTGCGTTATGTGTGTCTGTGTTGTGTGCGTGTTTGGGCGTGTGTCTGAGTGTGTGTTGTGTGTCTCTGGGGAGGGGTGTGTGTGTGTGAGAATGTGTGTGGTGTGTGTGTGTCTGGGTGTGTGTGGTATGTGTGGGTGTGTGTGTGAGTGGGTGTGTGAGTGTGTGTGTGTTGTGTGCGTGCCTGGGGGTGTGGTCCTATGTAAAGAGCTCTGCCGGTTTCTGCCAAAGGCCGGCGAAGGCACAATCTGCATTGTTCCTAACAGATAGACCTCCAGAGTTATAACGGTGCTTGAGGGAAGTGGCTCGCTTCTGTCCTCACAAAAATCGTGGCCAGGGCAAAGGCATTAACTCCTTATAACCAGCTGTGCCCAGCAGGGAAGTCAGGCGAAGAGCAGCACCTGAGCTCAGGCAGCTCCTCTGGGCCCGCGGGCATCTCTCCTGGATATTGCTGGGGTCTGTCGCCACCTCGTGGTTATTCCGTGTATCGGCTTTCAAATGAAGCTCTCACTCCAGCATCTGGGACCATGGACCCATGGACAGAGACCCCTCCCGGAGGGTCTTGTGTCTTGCAGGGCACTGGGGCCTGATAGAAAGAGGTGGTCGCTCTCTACGGTTCCAGTCTCGGAGGGGCACAGTGGGGCGTGTGGGAAAGAACATGGGCTTTGGAGCCAGCGCCGGATCAGGTGCACACATGAATGTGACTGTCAAGCGACTGAAGCGCTCTCATTGCTGGTTTTCCATTCACGGGGAGGCTCCTGTTCATGGCGTTTTGTGAATTAGCGACAGTAAAGCACCTGGCACCGGGTAGCTGCTCTAATTCTAAAAATTAGGGGCAGGACGCAGCTGCCTATCGCCCGTAAACTGTATACAGCTTTGTGACATCATCCCATTGTATGACACAGGTTGCGTTATTGAAGATTTCCACACATTATCCACTTTCTGGAATACTTTTGGATTTACGGAAAAGTTTACAGAAAATACATTTACAGAAAATGAGTTCCTGGGCTGGGCGCGGTGGCTCACGCCTGTAATCCCAGCACTTTGGGAGGCCGAGGTGGGTGGATCACGAGGTCAGGAGTTCGAGACCAGCCTGGCCAACATGGTGAAACCCCTGTCTCTACTAAAAATACAAAAATTAGCTGGGCGTGGTGGTGGATGCCTGTAATCCCGGCTACTCAGGAGGCTGAGGCAGAGAATTGCTTGAACCCGGGAGGCAGAGGTTGCAGTGAGCCGAGATCGTGCCACTGCACTCCAGCCTGGGCGACAGAGCAAGACTCCGTCTCAAAATAATAATAATAATAATAGGAGTTCTGATATATCTCTCACCCAGTTTCTCTTGGTATTAACATCTTCATACTATGTTATATGCATACAACAAGCATGTCAACATCATCATAGTGCGTTTATCAATGCTAAGAAATTAACATTGGAAGCATGCTATTAACCATAGAGTTGGTCTCTGTTGATTAGTTTTTCCACTAATATCCTTTTCCTGTTCAAGGATCCAGTCTGGATTCCACATTGTATTTAGTCTTTTCTGCTCTGTGATGTTTCCCTCAGTCTTTTCTTGTTTTTAGTGACGTTGACAATTTTAGAGAATGCTAGTCATGTATTTTGAAGGATGTTCTTCCATTTGGTTTTGTCTGACGTTTTCTCATAATAAACTGGGGTTTCAGGGAGAATACAGCAGTGAAGTGTTCTCATTGCATCAAATCAGTGGGTACGTGACGTCAACAGCGTTCATCACTGGTGATCTTGACCTTGATCACTGGTCTAAGGTGGTGTCCGCCAGTTTTCTTCACTGTGCATTTGCTGTTTTTCCCTTTCTGTACCCTTCATTAGAAGAGAGTCACCAAGTCCAGCCCCTTTATATCAATAGGAGGGGACATAAGCTCAATTTCCTGGAGGGGGAAGTGTCCAAATACACTATTTGGAGTTCTTCTATCAGGACATTTTGTCCCATCTCCCTCGTTTATTTATTTATTCATTCACTCACTCATTTATATCAGTATGGGCTCATGGATACCTATGAAAGTGCATTTTCCTTGTCTTGGTCCTGGAACAATTTTTTTCATGCTTGGAAAGATATTTCCTAGTTTGAGTTTGAGGTGTTGAGTGAATAGTCCTTTGTCATTTCTTTTGGCTCTGCGTTTTTGGAGCCTGTAACAATGAGTATGTTGAATTGCTCGCCTGGTTTTGGGCTAACTGGGGGTCTTGGGTATGGTGAGAACTAGGTTTTGTGGTGAGGCTGCATCAGGGCTGTGTCTGTGGTCGGCCACGGTGATACCTGTGAGCACTTGTCACTGTCTCCTTTGCGAGAAGCAGCTGGGCTTGGCCTCCAACCTGGCGTGGAAATCCTGGTGCTGCCACCCTCAGTGTTCCTTTGGGTGAATCAGTGCCCCGCCCCCAGCTTCATCATCTGTAAAGTATTGATTCTCACCTTGACAAGGTGGAGGTCATGCGTGTATTCTCCCAGGCAGAGGTCTTTATCAGTACTTAGCCGTCAGAATGATCTGTAAGGTGAGTACAGCCACTGATATCTTCAACTGCTCAGTACCATCTCCAAGGTCATGGCCAGGGCATGGTGGGTTTGGATCTGGACCATCTGGATCTCACACGGTTCAGCCCAAATGATTTCTGTGGTGTCTGTAATCGTGGTGTCTTGTGAGGACTGATGACCCCAGACGTGCAGGGCCACCCTTATCCCTTCCCCTCCCCTTCTCCTGTCTTCTCAGCACCCCCAGGGTTACATGGCGGTCAGGCTGAGAGGCAGGGGTGACAGGATGGGGTGGGAGAGCTCCAGAAGGGTCGGAGACCTCACTCTGGTAACTGTCATTCTCTAGGGTCTGGGAATTGGTCTTGGAGGTGCTGACTCATCAGAATTGGAGATGCCCAGGCTCTCTGATGACAGATGGCTCTGGAGGAGCACAGGAGGGGTGCACCCATCAGATGTTGATGTCTCTTTCCAGCCGCCCTTCTTCAAGGGGGTACTGCCAGGAGCCTCTGGCTGAGGCACCTGCGTCCTGGTTTCAAGGCATCCAGGGGGTCACTTGATGATCTGGGCTGTTGCCTGCTGAGCGTGGGATTCGAGATTAGAGGAGGTGGCTCTAGTCTCTGAGTGTCAGCGTCTTCCTCCTGGATGGAGCTGACTGCACACTGCCCTGGTTTGCTCTTGGAATCTGGGGCGAGTGTGAGGGTGTGTGTGTGTGCATGTGTGCCCAGGTGTTTGAGCATGTGGATGGGTGCACGTGTGGGGTATGTGCATGGGGTGTGTGCAGGTGTGTGTGTGCATGTGTGCCCAGGTGTTTGAGCATGTAGATGGGTGCACGTGTGGGGTATGTGCATGGGGTGTGTGCACGTGTGTGTGTGCGCCCAGGTGTATGAGCGTGTGGATGGGTGCACGTATAGAATGTGTAAATGAAATGTGTGCATATGTGTGTGTGTATGTGTGCCCAGGTGTATGTGTGGATGGGTGTGTGTGGGATGTGTGCATGGGTGTGTGTGTGTGTGCATGTGTGACCAGGTATATGAGTGGATGGGTGTGTGTGGGGTGTGTGCATGGGGTGTGTGCACGTGTGTGTGTGTGTGTGCCCAGGTGTATGAGTGGATAGGTACACGTGTGGGATGTGTGCACATGTGTGAATGTGTGCCCAGGTGTATGAATGTGTTGATGGGTGTATGGGAATGTGTACATGAAATGTGTGCGTATGTGTGTGCATGTGTGCCCAGGTGTATGACTGTGTGGATAAATGTGTGGGATGTGTCCATGGGGTGTATGCGCGCGTGTGTGTGCGTGTGTGCCCAGGTATGAGTGTGTGGATGGGTGCACGTGTGGGGCGTGTGCACATGTGTGAGTGTGTGTGCCCAGGTGGATGAGTGTGTGGATAGGTGCATGTGTGGGATAGGTGCATGTGTGGGATAGGTGCATGTGTGGGATGTGTGCATGGAGTGTCTGCACGTGTGAGTGTGTGTGTGCCCAGGTGGATGAGTGTGTGGATGGGTGTGTGGGGGGTGTGCATGGGGTGCGTGCACATGTGTGAGCGTATGTGTGCCCAGGTGTATGAGTGTGTGGATAGGTGCATGTGTGGGATGTGTGCATGGAGTGTCTGCACATGTGTGAGTGTGTGTGCGCCCACGTGGATGAGTGTGTGGATGGGTGTGTGTGGGCTGTGCATGGGGTGTGTGCACATGTGTAACTAGATGTATGAGTGTGTACATGTGCACATGTGTGCGTGCATGTATCCACATTTGTGAGTTGTGTGCACAGAGGCTACTGCCTCCACAGGTGTCTTTTTCACATGCGTCAGCGTGACCTGCCAAGACTCACAGTTCCACGCGTCTGGGGGCGGGACTTTCTGTCTTTATCTGCTGGTTTAATGAGTTTGACTCCTTATAAGAAACACATTTTCTTATTTTTTTCCAAGTGTTTAGTTGGGCACCTGCTGTGACCCCCACCAGGGGTCACTTACACCAAGGTCGTCCCTTCCCGCCTTCCCATCCGTGTTTCCCTGTGGCTAAGGTTTCACTTCCACTCAGCAGGGATATGAAAGCTGCTCCTGTCTCTTGTGATTGAGTCGTAAGCTGGGGGTGAAAAGGAGACAATTTTTACTGGAGTTGGATCTCAGGAGGTGAGGGGAGAACTGGGTTAAGCGGGGGCTTTAGCCATGGAAAGGAGATTCCCTTTTCCTAGGGGTTTCCATGACAACCTGCCCAGAGGTTTATGGGATGGCTGGGTTGATGATGCTGTGGACACTTGGATGTGCCTTTGGAAGGTTTACTGACACCTCAGGAATTCTCTGAGAAGGGACTTCACCTCACTCAGTAAGGAGGAAAGAAGGAGAAGTGAACAGTTTACACCTGGGAGTTTTTATGCAGCTGGTGGGAGGGGGAATTGAGGCATGGCTCTTTGGTTTATTTAAAAGGAGAAGCTGCATCTGACAAAGGGCTAATATCCGGAATCTACAAAGAAGTTAAACAAATTTACAAGAAAAAAACAAACATCCCCATCAAAAAGTGGGCAAAGGATATGAACAGACACTTCTCAAAAGAAGACATTTATGCAGCCAACAGACACATGAAAAAACGCTCATCATCACTGGCCATCAGAGAAATGCAAATCAAAACTACAATGAGATACCACCTCACACCAGTTAGAATGGCGATCATTAAAAAGTCAGGAAACAACAGGTGCTGGAGAGGCTGTGGAGAAATAGGAACACTTTTACACTGTTGGTGGGACTGTAAACTAGTTCAACCATTGTGGAAGACAGTGTGGCGATTCCTCAAGGATCTAGAACTAGAAATACCATTTGACCCAGCCATCCCATTACTGGGTATATACCCAAAGGATTATAAATCATGCTGCTATAAAGACACATGCACACATACGTTTATTGAGGCACTATTCACAATAGCAAAGACTTGGAACCAATCCAAATATCCATCAATGATAGACTGGATTAAGAAAATGTGGCACATACACACCATGGAATACTATGCAGCCATAAAAAAAGATGAGTTCATGTCCTTTGTAGGGACCTGGATGAAGCTGGAAACCATCATTCTCAGCAAACTATTGCAAGGACAGAAAACCAAACACCTCATGTTCTCACTCATAGGTGGGAATCGAACAATGAGAACACTTGGACACAGGGTGGGGAACATCACACCCTGGGGCCTGCTGTGGGGTGGGGGGAGTTGGGAGGGATAGCATTAGGAGATACACCTAATGTAAATGACGAGTTAATGGGCGCAGCACACCAACATGGCACATGTGTACATATGTAACAAACCTGCACGTTGTGCACATGTACCCTAGAACTTTAAAGTATAATAATATAAAAAAATAAAATAAAAGATCGGGTACAGGGGCATCTTGCTATGTCACCCAGGCTGGTCTCAAACTCTTAACCTCAAACCGTTCTCCCAAAGTGCTGGGATTACACGTCTGAGCCACCACGCCCAGCTCTTGGCACTTCTGATGCCTCAACATGCTTCCAGAATAAAATCTGAAGTCTTCAGAGCAATCGTCAAAGCTTCTCAGATGACCCAGTTCAAATCTATGAGGACACATTTCTCTGCTGCCATTTTCCCCATTCTGGCCTCTCAGAATATTATATTTATCAAGTTAGTCTTCCATGTCACTTTATTATAGTTGGTTGTCTATTTTTTTGGTCTTAAAAAATGTGCTTCCATGGTGGCGGGCGCCTGTAGTCCCAGCTACTCGGGAGGCTGAGGCAGGACAATGGCGTGAATCCCGGGGGGCGGAGCCTGCAGTGAGCCGAGATCGAGCCACTGCACTCCAGCCTGGGCGACAGCGAGACTCCGTCTCAAAAGCAAACAAACAAACAAACGAACAAAAAAAATGTGCTTCCTCAGGGCCAAAGAAGCCACAGAGAACATGTCCCGCCTGCCAGTCAGCTCTATCTGTGTCCATCTAAGGCCTCATTTATTATTTATATGGAGTATGGCTCTCCAATCACAATGTGCTTTATTTTTTAATTGGGGCGTTAGCGGCCAAGAGAACTCTCTTTTCCATACTTGAGCAAAATAAATAAATTCATCAGGAAAAAAAAATGTAAAAGGAGAAGTCGGCCGGGCGTGGTGGCTCATGCCTGTAATCTCAGCACTTTGGGAGGCCAAGGCAGGTGGATCACCTGAGGTCAGGAGTTCGAGACCAGTCTGACCAGCATGGTGAAACCCCGTCTCTACTAAAAATATAAAAATTAGTTGGGCGTGATGGCAGGTGCCTGTAATCCCAGCTACTCCAGAGGTTGAAGCAGGAGAATGGCTGGAACTCGAGAGGCAGAGGTTACAGTGAGTGGAGATTGCACCATTTCACTCCAGCCTGAGTGATAGAGCAAGACTCCATCTCAAAAAAAAAAAAAAAAGTTTGTGCGCAGGTGGGACTGTGGGAGTAGACCTTAGGGATGGATGTCATAGCATCGCATAAGGCCACTTATCCAGGGTGACACATGGACTTCTGGGCTGAGGAGGTTAGGAGAGTGTTTAGGGATGATCAGTCAGGGCTTGGCCGACAGTGGAAATGCCTCAGGGCCTGCTGGACAAAATGGCATGGAGCCACCTCTCAGACGTGAGTAAGGAATTGCCCTCCTTGTCTCAGTGGGACAAGGCTTGAAGCTAATTGGAGGAGGTGGAGAGAAATTTAGAGGGGGTCCTGGTTAGGGTACCCATAAAAATAGAGATGCTTGGGATGTTCTGAGCAAAGGAGCCAGAATGCAGAGAACAGGACCACAGCCCTAGTAGCTAGGGGGGGAGTTTGAGATGCAGCCTGGGGGTGCCCTGCCTAATTTCAGAGACTTAAGGGCCAGTGTCAGTGACAGGGTCAGCAGGGGTGGGTGAGAATCTGCTAGGCCAAGGGGAAGAGTGAGACTTAGAATCTACACAGCCATATGGTAGTTTATGGGGGAAGATTTGGTGTACAAAGTAGATTCTTAGGCTCAGCTTCTGCTTAAGGCTAGGCAGGGATTGGGGGTGGTGTTGGGAGAGCCCTCCATGCTGAGTTATGGTTTTGGCTTTGATGTTGCTGGTTTTAGGAGGCACCAACAAAGCTATGGACAGGAGGATTTGGGAGAGATTTACTTACCCACGGTATGTAAGAGAAGATTGGGGATGAGGAGTGAGGAGAAGGCTGGAGACCAGTTAGAGGCTACCGTAGCAGCGTAGAGAGGCTGAAAATCTAACTAGGGTGGAAGCAGCCAGGCAGGCTGGTCCTAATGTTGGGAGTTGTTCAGATCTGGTGGAGAGGTCATTACTTATAGAGTTATTAATTTATACCCCACCTTAATTGCAAAGAGATTCAAAGCAGTAAGCCATCACTTTAGAATTTAATGTTCTGTTTTCCTTTTTATTTACTCATTCAGCAGCTATTTCAATGCCTGCTGTGTGCCAGGTGCTATTCTTAGTGCTTTACTTGTTGTATGTGTTATCTAATGCTGTGTAACAAATTACTCCTGAACTTACCAACTCACAACAACATTTATTAGCTCACAGTTTCTGTGGAGCAGGGATCTAGATGTGGCTTAGTTGGGGTTGCTGGCCTGGGGTCTCTCCTAAGGCTGCAGTGAAGGTGGTGGCCGGGGCTGCAGTCATCTGAAGGCTCTAGTGGGGCAGGATCCACTTCCAGGCTCACTCAATGGCTGTTGGCTAGGTTTAGTTCCTTGCAGTCTATTGGATTGGGGCCCTAGTTCCTGGTATATGGCCTCTCTATAGGGCAGGTCACCTTGTGGCAGTAGACACCATCAAAGTCAGAGAGAGAGAGAGAGAAAGAAAGAAAGAAAGAAAGAAAGAAAGAAAAGAGGGGCCAGCAAGATGGAAATCACAGCCTTTTATAAGCCAGTCTTGAAAGTGGTAGCTCATCACATTTGTCCTACTCTCTGTGTTACATGTTAATTTCTAGGTCGAGCCCACACTCCAGGGGAGAGGAGTATACAAGGCATGAATGCCAGGAGGTGGTGACCAGTGGGGTCATCTTAGAAGGCTGCCAGTTACATTTGTATTGACTCATTGAATTCTTGCAACAATGTTAAAAGTGGGCAATATTAGCCCCATTTTACAGATGAAGAAACTGAGGTAGAGAGAAGTTGAATCAGCTCTCAAGGCCACAGCACCAATGAGTAGTGGCACTGGGATTCAAACCCAGGCCCCTGGCTCCAGGATTCCACCCTTAGCCATGACCTGAACCCTTGTCTGTAGGCCCTTATAGGTCATACTGTGGACCACCTCACTCCTTGAGGCCAGAGCCAATTGAATAGATGGCTCTTGGTGCCTGCGTTTCTGGAATGCTTTGTAGCCAGACTGGACATTGAAGGTTCACCTTTTGATGGCTTTAAATTTATTTTTATTATTTTATTTTTTTTTTGAGACAGGGTCTTGCTTTGCCTCCCAGGCTGGAGTGCAGTGGTGTAATCATACCTCACTGCAGCCTCGACCTTCCAGGCTTGAGTGATCATCCAGCCTCAGCCTCCCAAAGTGTTGGGATTACAAGTGTGAGCCATTGTGCCTGGCCTGTTTGTTTTTAAATAGGAGTAATTAGTATTTGCCATATAAAAAATGTGGCTTGAGCAAGATGTACTTCCTGAGTGACCCTGGGCAAATTATGTAAGTCATCCATGAAATGGAAAAAATAACACCTATTTCTTGGGGGGGGACTAAATAAAAGCGCTCTCTTCTGAGGCTGTGGTGCTAAAATCCTCTACGTTGGCTCATTGGATCCTCATGTGTAAAGTTACTTAGAATGGACGGTTGTCATAATGAATATGTGGTAAATATTTAATTCCCTTCTAGAGTGATGTGCTGGGCCTTGGGAGGTAGAGAGATGAATCGAAAGGGAATCCTCTGTCTCAGGCTCAGCTTCTGCTGGAGGGGGAGGCAGATATTTTCATGGATTATTACATTCGAAGGGTGATATGGTTTGGCTGTGTCCCCACCCAAATCTCATCTCAAATTGTAGCTCCCATAATTCCCCCGCATTGTGGGAGGGACCCAGTTGGAGATAATTGAATCATGGGGGTGGTTCCCCCATATTGTTCTTATGGTAGTGAATAAGTCTCACAAGATCTGATAGTTTTATAAGGGGAAACCCCTTTCGCTTGGCTCGCATTGTCTTATCTGCCACCCTGTGAGACGTGCCTTTAGCCTTCCACCATGATTGTGAGGCCTCCCCAGCCACGTGGAACTGTGAGTCCATTAAACCTCTTTCTTTTGTAAATTGCCCAGTCTTGGGTGTGTCTTTATCAGCTGCCTGAAAACGGACTAATACAGTGGGTGCGGGTTAAGGCTCAGCTTCACATAAGGAATGGGGAGTACTCAGAGGTAGGAGGGACAAAAATGAAGCCGCCATCCTCAGGACAGTCCCAAATGCAGGGAGATGGCCTGCAGCCTGCGGGGTGCATGGGTGCTCTCTGTCCTGAGAGTCTTGGCCTGAAGAATAAATACGGCTGCAGCCTCTGGGACTTGCAAGGCTTTTGTAGGGCTTGTGGCTTTCCACTTTGTGGAACAGAAGGAGGACATAGGTTGAAAGACCTACCTTCCTTCTATAAAAATCCTGCCTTACGGGTGAGAACCTCATGTTCTTACCCACGAGTGATCTTACCTGGGCAGGGTACAGTGTCCAAGCCCACAACACTTAGGGGCCTATGAAAATGTTTTAATTTCCTTTAAAATTGGAAGAAAAAATAAATATAATAATAAAGAATATATAATAATGTATCCAGCCCGGATTATCATTATATTGTCTTTATACCAACGCAGTCATAAAATATAATTTAAAAATACTTTTATGAAGGCAGGAGCCCAAAAAGAAAAATGTGTGTCCACAAGCATCAAATGTAGTTCTGTGAATGCATCCTAGGCCATGATATAGTTCCAGCAAGTTTAGACATTGACAAATTCCAAAATACCGAGAAAGAATATTCACAGCCTTGGCATCCTCAGGGAGGATCTCGGGGAAGATTTCTCTCTTGGGCTATTTGGGCTGTGACAACAAAGTCCCTGGGTGGTTTATACATAACAGAAATTTATTTCTCGGCTGGGTGCGGTGGCTCACACCTGTAATCCCAGCACTTTGGGAGGCCAAGGCGGGAGGATCACTTGAGGTCAGGAGTTCGAGATCAACCTGGCCAACATGGTGAAACCCCATCTCTACTAAAAATACAAAAATTAGGCATGATGGTGCACACTTGTGGTCCCAGCTACTAGGGAGGCTGAGGTGGGAGGATCACTTGAACCTGGGAGGCAGAAGTTGCAGTGAGCTGAGATTACACCAATGCACTCCAGTCTAGGTGACAGAGCGAGACCCTGTCTCAAGACAAAAAAAAAAAAAAAAAAGGCCGGGTGCAGTGGCTTATGCCTGTAATCCCAGCACTTTGGGAGGCCAAGGCGGGCAGATCGTGCGGTCAAGAGATCGAGACCATCCTGGCCAACATGGTGAAACCCCGCCTCTACTAAAAATACAAAAATTAGCTGGGTATGGTGGCACATGCCTGTAGTCCCAGCTACTCGGAAGGCTGAGGCAGGAGAATCACTTGAACCCGGGAGTCAGAGGTTTCAATGAGCCGAGATCGCGCCACTGCACTCCAGCCTGGGCGACAGAGCAAGACAGCAAGACTCCATCTCAAAAACAAAAAAAAAGAAAGAAAAAAGCAAACTCAGCAAATGGGAAATGTGCACGGGGCAGAGTCCGGAGCAGACCAGGTGCACGTCCTGAGAGTCTCTTCCCAGCAGAGTCACACCTCACACACTGCTCAGTACGGCAGCCACAAGCCACACGTGGCCTGAGAGCATTTATTTCAGAAGTGGCTGGTGTGAATCGAGATGCGATACAAGCATAAAATGCATAGTGGGTTTCAAAGACTTAGTATGAAAAAATAACACAGAATAGCTCATGAATAATTTTAAAAATATTGGTTGCTTGTTGAAATGATGAACAGTGGAATATATTGGGTTAAATCGACTCTATGATTCAAATTACTTTCAGCTGTTTCTTTTTAGCTTTTTTATGTGGCTGTGAGAACACTGAAAACTACTTTTGGGGCTCACATTAAGCCTCTCTTGGTCAGCGCTGGCTCATGTCAGGCAGTGTACTTAGTCATTTGTCCTCCCCACCCGCCAAGGGAGATGCCATCATTATCCCATGGTACAGATAAGAAAGTGGAGACACCCGGAAGTGATGTAACTTCACCCACAGCTGGTAAAGGATAAATAGGGCCGGGATTTGTGCCCAGGGTGTCTGGTTCCAGAACCCAGTTTTTTTTTTTTAATTTTTTATTTATTATTATTATACTTTAAGTTTTAGGGTACATGTGCACAATGTGCAGGTTAGTTACATATGTATACATGTGCCATGCTGGTGCGCTGCACCCACCAACTCGTCATCTAGCATTAGGTATATCTCCCAATGCTATCCCTCCCCCCTCCCCCCAACCCACAACAGTCCCCAGAGTGTGATGTTCCCCTTCCTGTGTCCATGTGTTCTCATTGTTCAATTCCCACCTATGAGTGAGAACATGCGGTGTTTGGTTTTTTGTTCTTGCGATAGTTTACTGAGAATGATGATTTCCAATTTCATCCATGTCCCTACAAAGGACATGAACTCATCATTTTTTATGGCTGCATAGTATTCCATGGTGTATATATGCCACATTTTCTTAATCCAGTCTATCATTGTTGGACATTTGGGTTGGCTCCAAGTCTTTGCTATTGTGAATAATGCTGCAATAAACATACGTGTGCATGTGTCTTTATAGCAGCATGATTTATAGTCCTTTGGGTATATACCCAGTAATGGGATGGCTGGGTCAAATGGTATTTCTAGTTCTAGATCCCTGAGGAATCGCCACACTGACTTCCACAGTGGTTGAACTCGTTTACAGTCCCACCAACAGTGTAAAAGTGTTCCTATTTCTCCACATCCTCTCCAGCACCTGTTGTTTCCTGACTTTTTAATGATCGCCATTCTAACTGGTGTGAGATGGTATCTCATTGTAGTTTTGATTTGCATTTCTCTGATGGCCAGTGATGGTGAACAGTTTTTCATGTATTTTTTGGCTGCATAAATGTCTTCTTTTGAGAAGTGTCTGTTCATGTCCTTCGCCCACTTTTTGATGGGGTTGTTTGTTTTTTTCTTGTAAATTTGTTTGAGTTCATCATAGATTCTGGATATTAGCCCTTTGTCAGATGAGTAGGTTGCGAAAATTTTCTCCCATTTTGTAGGTTGCCTGTTCACTCTGATGGTAGTTTCTTTTGCTGTGCAGAAGCTCTTTAGTTTAATTAGATCCCATTTGTTCAGCAAAGTCTCGGGATACAAAATCAATGTACAAAAATCACAAGCATTCTTATACACCAACAACAGACAAACACAGAGCCAAATCATGAGTTAACTCCCATTCACAATTGCTTCAAAGAGAATAAAATACCTAGGAATCCAACTTACAAGGGATGTGAAGGACCTCTTCAAGGAGAACTACAAACCACTGCTCAAGGAAATAAAAGAGGATACAAACAAATGGAAAAACATTCCATGCTCATGGGTAGGAAGAATCAATATCATGAAAATGGCCATTCTGCCCAAGGTAATTTACAGGTTCAATGCCATCCCCATCAAGCTACCAATGACTTTCTTCACAGAATTGGACAAAACTACCTTAAAGTTCATATGGAACCAAAAAAGAGCCTGCATCGCCAAGTCAATCCTAAGGCAAAAGAACAAAGCTGGAGGCATCACACTACCTGACTTCAAACTATACTACAAGGCTACAGTAACCAAAACAGCATGGTACTGGTACCAAAACAGAGATATAGATCAATGGAACAGAACAGAGCCCTCGGAAATAACGCCACTTATCTACAACTATCTGATCTTTGACAAACCTGAGAAAAACAAGCAATGGGGAAAGGATTCCCTATTTAATAAATGGTGCTGGGAAAACTGGCTAGCCATATGTAGAAAGCTGAAACTGGATCCCTTCCTTACACCTTATACAAAAATCAATTCAAGATGGATTAAAGACTTAAACGTTCAACCTAAAACCATAAAAACCCTAGAAGAAAACCTAGGCATTACCATTCAGGACATAGGCATGTGCAAGGACTTCATGTCTAAAACACCAAAAGCAATGGCAACAAAAGCCAAAATTGACAAATGGGATCTAATTAAACTAAAGAGCAGAACCCACTCTTTCGACCACTGCACGTTACTGCTTTTCAAGATATCTGCGCTCTCAAAGAGCGCACCACTTAGCCTGGGAGACAGGAAAATAAATACTAATATCGTAGGGTTCAAATAGTGCTGTGACTGGAGTACTCACAGGATGCACAGAGAATTGATCCTGAACCATAAGGGGACATCCTGGAGGGCTTCCAAGAGGAGGTGACATTTATCCTGGCCATTGAAAGTGGTTAGCAGAGAAACGGGTGAGTGTTCCAGGTGGTGGAACATCATGTGTACAGGGGACATGGAAGGGAGAGGGTGTCTAGTGCCATGTTTTGGGGAATGCAGGTAGTTTGGGATGTCTGAGCAAATCCTGCAGGGGGTTATAGGGGAGATGAGGTGGGTACATGGGCAGCAGGGGTCTGATGACCCCAAGCTTTGTGGCATGGTTTGAACTTCATACCCATGGAAAGGGGAAGACATCACAAGGTTTTAAATGGAGAAACTGCATGATCTGAGATGTGTCTGAGGAGCTCACTCTTTTGGAGAGGAGGATGGGTTGGGGGCAGTGGGGAGGCGGGGCCAGGAGAGACACCCAGCATTTAGGAGGCTGTTCAGGGACCCAAGAGTGAGATCAGGAACTCCCGGACCGACGTGGGAGAGGAGGGTGGGGTCTGAGGGAGAGTCTTGGGGGATGATGGATTCCAGGGCCATGTTTCCTGCAGGGGAGGCTGGATTCAGAATGAATCCTGGATGTCTGGATGCTGAATCTGAATTGCCAGTGGTGTCGTTCAGAAACTGGCAAAAAAGGGAGGAAGGCAGGCTTGATGGTGGTGGGAAGGGCACTCTCAGACAAGATGCATTCCTCAGAGGGATCCTGGGTGATCTGATTCTGCAGACAATGAAATATTAATCTGGTGCGCAGGACAGATTGATGGATTGGAGCTCAAGTCTGACAGGGACCCTCAGCAGTGATCCGGGATCCCTGCTTTGGGGCAGGCATCCTATTAAACATACTAAGCACAGGATCTCATTTAATCTTCTAAATAACTTCTGATGTACAACCCCAATTACACGGAAGAGAAAAATGGGCTCTGAGAGGGTGACCCGTTTGCTGATGGTTACACGGCTGTTAACTGGGATTCTGGGACCAAACCTCGGGTCTGGCTGGCTGAGAGGCTACGCTCTTTCCTGTTCTGTGCTCACCTGCGGGTTTTAGGAGCAGTCCACAGAAGATCCACTGATGAGGAACACAGACAAAGTGGGGCTGGACGGTAGGAGGGAAGCCAGGGGATCGTGGTGTCCTGGATGCTGGGAGACAAGAGGCTTCCAGGAGTGCAAATGTCAGGGCTGCAAATTCCTCTTGGAGGGAAGCACTGAGAGCTCTCATTGTACCTGGCAGTTGGGCTGTCATTGAGTGACCTTGAGTCAGAGCAGTTTCAGGGGCAGGGTGGGCGTGGAAGTCAATTGCAGAAGCCAGAGAAATGGCTGTGAGGGGCAATGCGGAGGAGTGTTTCCAGAAAGCCAGCTCCTGGGCAGGGGGCTGTCTAAAGAGCAGGGGTGGATCTACTGTGGAGATGAGGCAGAGCCCCTCCCCTACACAGCCCTCCCTGACTGGCCTCAACTGTGTATTTACAACTTCATATCTTAAAGAGGCTGCCTCTCCCTCTAGAAAACATGTATGTTTCAGGTCTCACAAAACCTGGATCCACCTACGGCTGGGGGTTGGGGGATGGATGGAAAGATGGGATCAAGGAGTGTAAGTGAAGGAGCTGGCTCTCAGGCTCTGACTCCAGGCCAGGCAACCTTGAGTGAGTTTTTGGACCTCTGGGTGCTTCCATTTCCTTTTCTGTAAAAAACAAACAAACAAACAAACAAACATCATAAAAAACTCATGTCCTAAGGTCGTGGTAAAGGTTAAAGAAGATAAAGTACAGAAGGAATTCGCACAGTGCTTTGCACAGAGCAAACGCTCTATGCTTTTCCTGTAATTTCCTGTTATAGTGTTCATATTAATATGCATATTCCTGATTGGTGCTCTGAGAACTTTTCCGTTGCTGTGTTGGGTTCCTCCAGTGGTTTGTGGATGGAGATCATGGGGTGTGTTAGTCCATTTGCATTGCTATAAAGGACTATCTGAGCCTAGGTAGTTTGTAATGAAAAGAGGTTTATTTGGCTCAGGGTTCAGCAGGCTGTACAGGAAGCATGGCCCTGGCATCTGCTTGGCTTCCGGTGAGGCCCCAGGAAGCTTCCAATCATGGCAGAAGGTAAACGGGAACCAGCATGTTACATGGCAAGAGGGAAAGCAAGAGATGGGGGAAGGTACCAGGCCCTTTTAAACAATCACATCTCACATGAACTCTTTTCTTTCTTTCTTTTTTTTTTTTTTTTTTTGAGATGGAGTCTTGCTCTGTCACCCAGGCTAGAGTGCAGCGGCACAGTCTTGGCTCACTGCAACCTCTATCTCCCAAGTTCAACCAGTTCTCCTGCCTCAAGCCTCTCGAGTAGCTGGGACTACAGGTGCGTGCCACCGCGCCCAACTAATTTTTTTGTATTTTTAATAGAGATGGGGTTTCACCATGTTGGCCAGGCTGGTTTCGAACTTCTGACCTCCAGGGATCCACCTGACGTGGCCTCCCAAAGTACTGGGATTACAGGTGTGAGCCACCATGCCAAGCTCACATGAACTGTTCTAGTGAGAACTCACTCGTTACTGTGAAGATAGCACCAAACCATTCATGAGGAATCCACCCCCATGATCCGAACACCTCCCACTAGGCCCACCTCCAACACCGGAGATCACATTTCAGTATGAGATTTGGAGGGAACAAACAGCCAAACCATATCACGTGCTCTCTTCTTGAGTCACCCCATAATTTGTACCCAAAGACCAGGGGGCATATGGGATCACGTGCTGTTTCCAGGAGAGATGTGTTGTAGGTTTGTGGGCCTTGAAGGGCTGTGGGCAGTGATCCCGCCCAGATTCTCTAGACACATGTTCCAATGGTGTCCGCTCACAGACATGGACCCCAGATCTGCGCCATCCCCTGCAGGATGCCCCAGAGCAGCGAGATGCCCCCTTTGCTCTGGCGCCACTCTCTGAGAACCAAACCTTTTAAACTGTGAGCAAGTTGCTGGAGAAGAGAATGGGCCTGGGACTGCAAAAGTAACCTCTCTCCCGAAGGAGGAGACAGGATTCCCGAACATCCTCTGGGGCAGCCCTGGGTGGTGGAGTGCGCCTGGACAGCTGGTGTCCGTCTGCAGGCTCCTGCCTCAGGCCCTGGAGTGGCAGCTTGGCAGGTCCAGACCCTTCCCCAGGGACAGTTGCGGCTGGGAACCCTGGACCTCTTCCCTGGGCCTGAGCCGCTTCCCCGTGCGGCCGTTCGCCGAGTGGCCACTTGATGGCGCTGTGGCTCCACCGGGCGCGGGCGCGGGCGGAGCGGCGCGTCTGCTTCCAGCCGCCGGGCCGGTGCTGCCGCGGTCACCCCCGGCGCCTGGCTGTGCCCGGCGCGTCCGCCCTCCCGGCGCGCGGCTGGTGGGGCGCAGCCCTCGCGGCCGGTTCTGCCCGAAGCACAAAGCCACTGCTCAGAGCCAGCGCCTCCTGCTTGCAGCTCCCCAGTGAAAGAAGTTTGGGTCCTTGGTGGTGTTTTTCTCCCTGGCCTGGATGGTCCTGCAGAGGCCCCTTGCCACCTAATGACTTTATTCTTCTTAAAACATGTTTCTTTCTTTCTTTGCTTCTTGTTTTTGTTTTGATTTGTTTATTGGCCTGTACTCCGTTTCTGCCGTCTTACCAATAGCTCCTGACCAAGCCCGAGGCCTGCTAGAGAACTGTAGTTTAATTTAACCTCCACCGGCCAGGCTGGTCTGTTTCCTCTTTTCAAGCTTCCCTGCGGTTCTAACTTTGCTCCAGAAGATTCCTCCTGGAGCTTTTGCTTGGGAGAGAAAGGCGTTTGAACGCAGAGTTCAAGCGAGCTGGCCAAAATGGAATGCAAAAGAAGAAAATTTAAAAGAGAAAAGAAGGAGGCTTCTCAGAAATGAACTTTTCATCTGATTCCAAACATTCTGCAGTGCAGTTTTGTAAAAATACCAGAAAACACAAAGAAGCAAATAAAACACATCCATGATTTTGCGTCTAGAAATGGCTTTTGTATTTTAATATGTCTTTCCACGATTTATTGTCATTGCATAGATATACGTTCCCTTTCATCCCCCCGATTGGGTCAGTTTACTCATTTAGCTGGGTCGCCTGCTTTTTCATTGAACGCACTGGGAGCGTTTTTCCTTGGCAAGCTGGTTTCTGCAAGTTTCCCTCAAGTTTCCCTCAAACTCTTGAAGTTTTGCATGCAGGTCACTCCCAGGCAGGTTGCTGTGTGAGATAGCCTCACTGAAGCTGGGATTTGGACGTTTGGAAGAGGATGATTGAATTGTAGCTTCCAGGGAGGACAGAATTGTGAGCTCTTTTTGGAAGACCAGAGTTACCCATATTTGTTTAGCAAAGCGAGCAGGCCCACTTCAAGTCAGCGGTTCTCAAAGAGCCTGAGCAGGGTGCTGAATTCAGGCCTCTGAGCTTTGAGCGCCCCTCCCAGAACCCCTAGGCATCTGAATGTAGGTCGGAGGCTTCCCAGGCTGCCTGAAGTCTGGGGACTGAGAGGCGGGGCTCAGGGGTCACTGAATCAGCCCCTTCCTTGTCCCTCTGGAGGACCCCGGGATAAATGCAAAAGGCGTGTGTGTGTGTGTGTGTGTGTGTGGGTGTGGTGGGGGGATTCGGAGGTGGAGAAGGCAGATCAGGCCGCTTCTCTAGGTCTGTCCTCCCTTTGGGACAGGAGCAGTGTGGCTGCCAGAGCTGACCGCCTTCCTGCAGCTCTGAGCGTGCCGAGCCTAGCAAGCTTGTGCTTCCACCTAGAGCTGCAAAGGGCAGCGGGCAGAAACCGGGCTGGGGCTGGCATTAGCTTTCCCTCCTCCCAGTTTCTCTCCAGCGCAGCAGGGCACCTCTAGCCCAGAAAAAGAAAACTAACTTTCTCTTATTTCTGTTTTCTGCTGCTGCTAATCTCCTCCTGAAGGGTTGTGTGGCTTCTTGGGACTCTGGAAAGAAACTGCAGGGGACGAGGACAAAGGAAACAGCTACTGTAGTCACTGCAGCTATGCAGGCTCTGTGCTAGCCCTGGAAAGGCCTGGACGTTCAGGTCTGCTGTGCCGGGGGTAGGCCCCAGAACAGAGCGGTGGGCCCATCGCTCTGCAGCCACAGCTGCCAGGGCTCAAACCTTGGCTCTGCCCTTACCTGGCTTTGTGATCTTGGGGGATGCACAGGACACTCTGTGCCTCAGTTTTCTTATCTGTAAAATGGGGCAAATACCTACCAAGTCATAGGGTTGATGTAAAGTCTAGTTGAGATAATGGAGGGTAATTTCTTTTTTTTCTTAAGCTTAAATTTTGGATCCATTTTGTGTTGATTTTTGTATATTGGGTGGTAATTTCTTAGAAGCTAGAAAGTTATTAAATGCTGCTTATGAGCCAAATACTGTGCCAAGGGCTCTGTCCAGATCATTCCAGTTAATCCACCCAAGACCCCAACAGCACAGGTGTTGCTATATTTTTGTGGTGAGGAACTGAGACCCAGGGAAGTCACGGTACTTTGCCCAAAGTCACCCCGATGTCAAGCGTTAGAGCAAGAATTTGAACCCCAGAGCTTAACTCTTAACCATTTTGCTAACTGGCTGTCTCTCCAGGCCCCCATCACCCTTTCCATCACCCTCCCCTGCCCCAGGGGCATCCTATCAAATGGCAGTTCCCCCCTCGCTTGCCTCAGCATCTCCAATTTAGAGCTTCATGGATCTCCTCCTGTTGAAGTCATGGGATGGATTTCCCATCTCAGAAACTGCACAAGAAACAACCTTGGAGTTTTGAACAAAGGATATTCAAGGAGTATTCAAGAATGAATCTTCATAATCGTGGTCATGAGACATGAGAAAAAAGGTGTCTACCACGTCTTGTCTCTACTCATAAAGAACATTGGCCAGGTGCGGTGGCTCACGCCTGTAATCCCAGCACTTTGAGAGGGCAAGGTGGGCGGATCACCTGAGGTCAGAAGTTCAAGACCAGCCTGGCCAATGTGACAAAACCCCATCTCTATAAAAATACAAAAGTTAGCTGGGTGTGGTGGCAGGTGCCTGTAATCCCAGCTACTTGGGAGGCGAAGGCAGGAGAATTGCTTGAACCCGGGAGGCGGAGCTTGCAGTGAGCTGAGATCACACTACTGCACTCCAGCCTGGGGTACAAAGGGAGGCTCTGCTAAAAAAAAAAAAAAAAAAAAAAAAAGAAAAAAAGAACATTCCTTTGAAGGATGTATGTTTTGCGGGTGCTTGTGTGTGCATGTATGTGTGCACATGTGTGTAGAATCCTCACTGCTGGAGGTGGAGAGAACACAGGAGCTAGAAGATGTGACTCAGGGCATCCGATGGGGGTGATACAGAAGACAGTACCCCCCAGGAAGGCGGGGCTGGGGGTGGAGTGGAGAGAAAAGGAGGAGACAGCTGCCGAGGCAGGTGGGAAGATCTGGGGTGACTTCTTAGGCCCCCCACCTAAGTGCTTCTGTCTGGATGCCGCTTCAGTTCCCCAGATTCCTTTAAAGAAGAAAAGAGCCTTTCACTGGACACTCGGGGGGCGAGGCTTAGCAGGGCAATGGCTGAGGTGACACTTGGGTGAGAGTGAGTTTCAATGAAAGTCTCATCCATCAGCCGGGGAGCAGCAGGGCTCCTCCGGCCCTTTCCATGTTGAAGAGGGTGAAGATGGTGATGAAGGATTGCTGCCGGGTGGCGGCAACGGGAAGGCTGTCACGCAGCAAACCTGGGACCTGATTTTGCTATGGTGACAGCATTTACTTTCTACTGGGCCTGATGTCTGTAGGGATGGACTTTGTGATGGACAGCTGTCAGCTGTCAGCCATCTATTTCCTCTTTAAGTCTGGCTGACTTCATTGCAGGGCTGCTGTCCTTAGGATTTGCTCACTGAGACATCTTCTAGGCTGCACAAAGCGTGACAGCACAATTTTGGAAGACTTCACACACACACACACACACACACACACACAGAAGTTGTTAAGGAGTAGACCGCCAGTCGAGATGGGTGCCAGTCATAGCCTGTGAAAGCCAGAAGTGACCCCAGGCAGATGGAGATGACCCATGTTCCATCCAAGGTGAGGTTACCCGGAAATCTCACAGACCCCGTCCTCCCCCAATGTCCCCACAGAAGATCTGTCCTCAGTAAGTGGTGGTGTTACCCTAAGTCTTATTATGCTGGTGGCTGGCTTGTGTATTTATTGCCAGGACAGGAGATACCGGCCCTTCATTGAGCTCTAAAAATAACTCCGTAGGGATATTGATATGACGTATTTCATCAAGCGGGGAAGCTTGATGAAGACGGTCCTGGGAGGACCTTGGCATGTATTGATGTATCGGGGCAATTACTGTCTCAGGTGAGACTGAGCGACAGGCTGCGTGAGCCCCACCGTCACAGGCAGGAGTCTGTGCTGAGACCTCCCTGCATGCTTGGAAGTGTGTCATCATATGTACATCCTGCCTGCAGATAGGGCAAAGTATTCCTGATCATCCTGTTTGTGACAAGCCTGCGCTGAGAACAGCCCTTCATAGGGAACCATGGAAGACCCTGCCTTCGGAGTGTATTGTGAGAACATACAATGTAAACACTAGTTTCCATGTATTGACCGCCTACTATGCCCAGAGAGTATTCTGCACATGTGTTCAGCACCTTCCACAATTCTGGAAGGGAGGTATCATTTATATCTTATGAATGAAGAAACATGTTCAGAGAGGTTAAGCTACATGGCTGAAGTCACGCAGGTTATTGGTAGCAAAGCTGGCGACCTGACCAGGTCTGCCTGCCTCCCCAGCTAGTGAGTGCACTTCCCGCCTGGCTCCACGTGACACCAAGCTCTGGAGGCATAAAAAGCCACCACTCAGGGGAAGGGTAGGATAGCACGCAGGCATGTCTCAATGAAACCAAATGACTGACTTGCTGTCTGCCCTTTTGTGAGCCTGACCCAGCTGAAGATGCCCCATTGGAGTGGCAGAGACAGCCCACCTGCCCTGCTCCCTGAGGCTGCCTGGGGATGCCCTGGGGGGTTTGAAGAGCTCTCTAGACAGAGAGGCTGGAGGAGATCGTAGCTTTCTTCTGAGATTTGACCTCTATTGTCTGGCAGTTGTTGAAGAATCAGCTGGACAAGGTTGTGCTGTGGACAGACCCCTCTGAGGTTTCTGTGTCCCCAGTAGGATTTCCAAGCAGAAGGGCATCCAGGTGACCACCCCCTGACTACAGGATGACAGCCACGTGCAAGTTCCTGTTCATTCATCTCTGGATGGAGCAAACAAGGGGAGCTCACTGTCCTTGGTCTGAACACACTTTAGCCCTTCTTCTCCCACCCTGTCGGCTTGGCCTGGGGTTGTTATTATATCACGCAGACAGCAGCTTTTTCTCCTGATTGGGAAGCAGCTGAGGAATCTTTCCTTGGATTGATGGACAAAAGACCAAGATGAACCTGCTTGGGTTTAGGCCTAAGCCTTAGGTGAACATAGTTAGGCCTGCACCCCCACCTTTTCCTGAGATTTTTAGAAACTCACTTTCTGAAAATAGAGTGAGAAGCAACATAGTTGTTTGCTTGCGTGGGCAAAAAGGACAGTGGATACATTTGCTTAAGTAAATTATGGGCTGAACATTTGTCCCCTCCAGCTGCCCTGTGGTTGAGATGTGTGTCTTCTACTTGTAAACATCTGTACCTGAAATAAATTTTGATATATGTATATGATGTTTTTATTTAAGACCTCTTATCTGTAGATCTTCATGGGAGAAATTTATTCATTTGTTCATTTATTCAACAAATATTTGTGGAGCATGTACTATTAACCTGGCACTGTGCTCTGTGCTGGGGATAAAAAGATACAGGTAGACAAATGCCCTCACCGACAGTTCCCATACAGTGAGCAGACAGACTTGTCAACAAGTAATTATAATAGTACGTGATCCATGGCTGAAGAGAAGTTGACTGTTAGGGATACCCTGAGGGATGTGTGGCTCAGTCCGTCTGAGGCTGGTAGGGAGGCTTTGTGAGAGACATTCAATGGACATTGAAGGATGAGGGGTTCAAAGAGCATTGCAGGGTGGGAGAGTGGGGAAGGGTATCCCAGGGAGAGGGAACAGCATATGCAGAGGCACAGAGGCATGAAAGGATCTGTATAGGAATCTTGGAAGTTGGGTGTCTGCTGGAACAGTGGCTTTTTTATGTCAAGGACAAATTAAGAAGAATCTTGAATAGAGTGCTAAAAGATGTCAGCCTTATTTTAATGAGAGAAGGAATGAAAAAAGAAATTTCTCTCAAGGGTCTTAGATAGTGAGTATATTAGTCAGGATAGTTTAAACTATGCTGCAGTAACAAACATCCCCAAATGTCACTGGCTTAAAACAAAGGTTGCTTCCTCATTCGTGTTATATGCATAATATGGGTTGTGGAGGAGGGAGGCTGTGCTTCAGGAAATTAGGATGACAGTGGCTCCATTTTATACCACCTCCATCTGAACCTATGATTCAGGGTTATTGCAGCAGGGAGAGACGGGAGAACTGCTCACAGCCCATTGTCCACAATGTGCTGGGTGTACGGCCCTGTCATCTAAGAGGGCCAGGAAGCATAGGTGCTCATGTGGACTATTTGGTTTGCATGGCTGTCTCTGCCTGTTTGTGATATGATAAACTTTTGCAGGAGATGGATGTGGAAGGGGCCAAAGAGTTAGGTATCTGGGTCTAAACAGTTTATTTTCTCCTTTCTAGTAGGGAAGCTGCAGCTGTAGCTGGGGAGCCCTGTGTGGTGCTTGTCAGGAGTGGCCAGGGGAGCCGCTGGTCTTAGGCATATACTGTCCACCATTTGCTCATGGTGAGGACGTGCGCTGACCTGGGATATAACTGAATTTGTGTCTTGTTGGGGCATTCCACATGGAGTTTTATTGCCCTTCAAAATGGGGCATTTATTTATTTATTTATTTATTTGAGACAGAGTCTCGCTCTGTCACCAGGCTGGAGTGCAGTGGCGCAATCTTGGCTCACTGCAACCTCCGCCTCCTGGGTTCAAGTGATTCTCCTGCCTCAGCCTCTGGAGTAGCTGGGATTACAGGCGCTAGCCACCACAGCCAGCTAATTTTTGTATTTTTAGTGGAGACGGGGTTTCACCATGTTGGCCAGAACAATCTCGATCTCCTGACCTCGTGATCTGCCCACCTTGGCCTCCCAAAGTGCTGGCACTACAGGCGTGGGCCACTGTGCCTGGCCCAAAATGGGAGATTTTAAGAGACCTCTTTTCTGCTGGGCTACCGGCTGTGGATTTGGTGGGCATTGAGTAGCCCCAGGATGGTCCCACAGAAAGCTTTCCTGCAGAATCCAGTAGCATATTGTACAGTGGGTGTTTGTGGAGGACTTTGATTCTTTAAGTGGAATTGTTCAAGAATTGGCATTCAGACCGCCCTGTTTTCTTCCTGTGCAGATAATTTTTCAGCCACTTCTCTTCAGGCCAAAGGGAGGAGAAAGCTGCCTTGGTCTTGTCAGGTGAGACTCGTCCAATGCCTCCTTCAGGCCACTCCCGAGGAGGAAGGACTGTTTTGGGCCTCTTCTGTTTGGCTTTTCTGCTTGCTAAAGGCCGGGATATGAATGGGATTGGAGAAATCCTGGCATTGGAAGCTAAGCACTGTGTCCCAGGACATTGGATGAGAAGGCCGTAGAGTTATGGGGTGATGTTAGGGCTTGCCTTTGTCACAATCTATCTCAGAGGCAAAAGTATACCTTTTTTTTAAATTTTTTTGAGATGGAGTCTCGCTCTGTCCCAGGCTGGAGTGCAGTGGCATGATCTCAGCGCACTGCAACCTCCGCCTCCCAGGTTCAAGCTATTCTCCTACCTCAGCCTCCCGAGTAGCTGGGATTACAGGTGCACGCCACCATGCCTGGCTAATTTTTGTATTTTTAGTAGAGACGGGGTTTCACCATGTTGGCCAGGCTGGTCTCGAAGAGGCAAAACTATACTTTTGATTTGCTTTCAGGCTGGTTGGTAGGAAAACATCCCAAAAGGGTTAAAACTTGACTGTTACAGATGGATTTGTTTTGATACGTGATGAACTCTGTAGTGGTACACGAGTTTGGGAAAGGCTTGTGGGTACCATTTAATGCCTAGTAGCTGTCCCTGCCTGCGGGCCCATGGTTCCTCGAGTTCAGCAGTTCTGAAACTAAATTACTGCCCGTGTTATTCAAACCTATGTTTCTGTTACCAATTTCTATACAGCAGTCCAAACATAATTGTCTCGGCTGGGCGCGGTGGCTCACCCCTGTAATCCCAGCACTTTGGGAGGCCGAGGTGGGTGGATTACTTGAGGTCAGGAGTTAGAGACCAGCCGGTCAACACGGGGAAACCTCGCCTCTATTAAAAATACAAAAATTAGCTGGGCATGTTGGTACATACCTGTTGTCCCAGCTTCTCGGGAGGCTGAGGCAGGAGAATTGCTTGAACCCGGGAGGCAGAGTTTGCAGTGAGCCAAGATCGCACCACTGAACTCCAGCCTGGGTGACAAAGTGAGACTCCATCTCAAAAAATAAACCCCTCAAAGTTAAAAAAAAAAACCACAACAACACACAATCGTCTTAACTCTCCGCTTTCTCTCATCCTCTGCATTTAAATTCTGTTCAGTCCTGTCATCTGCAACTTCCTTAGCTTCGATCAGATGATTTATTTCTTAGGCTGTTGCAATCGGTCTCTCTTAATCTCTTCTGTCTTATTTATTTCACCTTCCATGCTGACACTGGGATTATTTCACTGTTAAGAACCTCAGTTTCCTCATCTGTAAGATGGGCCTCATTGTACATCCCTCAGAGGCTGTGGGGGAAGGAGATATGAGATAGTGCATGTAAAATGCATTGCTCAGTGTCAGGAAGTAGCGCTCAAAAAAATGTTAGCGCTTACTATCTTTCTGATTACCAATAACGTCACTTCCCTCTTCTCCCCGGCCAGAATGTTCCTTTTTTTCATTTCATATCTTTAATTCCGTATTTCTTCATGATAAAAGGAGAAACTCTATGATGACAATAGTTAAAGGAAAACTTGACATTAACATGGTTTTGGTGGCACTTTGGATATTATTGTGGACATATATAATTGTTACTTTGAACTGATATGATATGTTTTGAGAGTGATTGTCATTTAGTGTGGATTGAATTGATGGCTGGAATTTGAGTTTCGGAGACATGGAATTATTAGGATAACCAGTGTGTTTGGTGTTAGAAGGGCATTTGTTTTTTTTAAATTACTTTTCATGCCTGCTGTGTTTTTATGTATGCTGCGTTTAGGCTAATGACCCCTCAGAAGGAATTTGGCTACATATCTGGGAGTCTATAGCGGTTGCTTTATTGGGAATGGTATTGAGGGATGGAGGAGGCCAGGGTGGGTGATTTTTAAAGGGGAGGCTGAGGGTGAGATTTCTAACCAAGATGCCTACGTCATTGTCTTCCTTGAAATGCTCTTCAAATTTTAACATGAAACACCCTCTGAGGATGGTTTGTGTTTGTTTTTGTTTTTGAGACGGAGTCTTGCTCTGTTGCCCAGGCTGGAGTGCAGTGGCGCGATCTTGGCTCACTGCAACCTCCGCCTACCGAATTCAAGCCATTCTCCTGCCTCAGCCTCCCGAGTAGCTGGGACTACAGGCATGCACCACCACACCTGGCTCATTTTTGTATTTTCAGTAGAGATGTGGTTTCACTACGTTGGCCAGGCTGGTCTTGAACTCCTGACCTCGTGATCTGCCTGCTTCGGCCTCCCAAAGTGCTAGAATTACAGGCTTGAGCCACCACGCCCGGGCTGGGGACAGTTCTGACACAGAAGTGAGCTTATACTCCCGAGAGCTCTAGAGCTTTGGCCTGGACATTTCTTCCCAGCCTGGAAATTTCTTGGAAGTGTCCTTTATTCATGCTCAAAATTCCTGGGAATGCTGCAACCTCTTCCACCATGAAATGATAGCATTGCAGACTCTTGTTTTACTGCCCTCTTGTTCTAAACTCAAATATCCCTCAAGAAATTACAAAGGGTACTCCCTTTGCTGGCTTCCCCTCTGTTAAGCTGTGGGTACAGACATAAACCCTTGCCAGCCAGATGGCATTTTCTTTTTCTCCCGGTTGGCCTCTGTGTGCTCAACAGAAATGTTCCCACCCTTTGGATAAAGCATGGGCTGCAACCTGCAACATTATTGCAGGCTTTGTTCTTAGATTATGTGCCCCAGATAGCTCCAGCCAGGGATTTTTTCATAAAGTTGGTATGTGGGCGGAAGGAGAGGACTTGGCGTTTCTTTTGTAAGGACAGAGATAGGAAGAAGGGAGAGGCCAGGAGGTGATGTACTGGAAGATCATCAAAATGAAGAAAGAAACAAATATGTGGAGAGACAGTTACTTGAATATCAATGGTGTTTGTTTTCTGTGGATTTTCTTTGGGCTAGCGGGGAGGTGATATTTTGAAGTACAAAGGACCATCTAATCTGGTGCATCTCTTGGCATATTCTGATGCCTCTGGGTCTACAGCAATAAATCCATCATATCATTAGGAATATTTTGTCTGTCCCTCATCCCCTCTCCTGCGAGGTTATCTGAACAAGATGCACGAACTACCAAGTGGTTGAATTTTCACTTAGTGGGTTGCATGGATTGCAGGCGATTCCTAAATAACAGAGCAGAGACCAAGAGAGATACTGTCATACTTTTAGAGAAAGGCTGCTTCGGGAACAAATTTTTGAGGCTGGATGTTCTCTTGTTTTCCCTCCATTTTCCAAATTCTTAGGTTAATTAAGAGCAAAAGGAGTAAGCTATTAGAATTTTTACTATCCACACTAATTTGTGTGACTTTGAAAGTCGATTGAGTTGATGAGCGGTTTATTTTTAGAGTGGTTTTGGAATTGAAAATGTGAAGCTTAATAGTTTTTTTTCTTTTAGGGACTGTGAATGGACTTATCTTTAACTGGGCTGTATGTACATACAAATAAATCTTGATTTTCCGAGAGAGAGAGAGAGAGAGAGAGTGTGTGTGTGTGTGTGTGTGTGTAAGTGTGTACCTGGACCTGCACTTCCTGGCTGGTGTATCTATGTGTGCACAAATATATGCAGGACTATAAATAAAAACCGCAAATGAATGCCTTAGACTGAAACATGAGGGCTGCTCTTTCTATTTTGTGCAACAAATGAGGCGTGCAGATCTCCTTTGGAGACCAAGTCTTTAGGAGAAATAGCAGCTCCGGGAAGAGCCTGGCACCTTTGCTCTCTGGGTTTCTGCACCATGCCATCTTGTGGTTAGCAGGGGAGACAGTGCGTTAGGCCTGGGGATATCCTGGTCCCAGCTCCAGGGCTACCCCTGGGCCTCCCTTTCCCCAGTGGGTGTCTTTTCCTTGTGCTAACTTTAAGGATAAACCCTGATTTTGATGTTGCAAGGTAATGTGGTATAGGCCTCAAAGACAGACTATTGATCTTTTTATGTAGTTTCCTTATGGATGATACTTGTCGGTTTATAAGGCTAGCGGAAGGCCTGTGTGTGTGTAGGGGGGTGGGGGGTTGGAGTTGGGAGTGAGCTTGGTGAGCAGGTATGGGGATACCAGGGCAACCTGAGAGGTAGGCCACGTCATCACCATTTATAATAGGCTTCCAGGAGAGTGAAAAAGTCATCAGCGTCACCTAGACTGAAACAGAGCCAGGGGTAATAACCCAGGATGGTACACTGCAAGCCTACATCTATCCATTGTTATTTTCCATCCTTCAAACAAGAATAAATACTAAAAAAGAAGTTGAATGAATGCCGATTGAATGAATGAAATATTATAGAAGATACCTGGAAAAGTCAGAAGACACATACACCCACACCCATACACACATACACCGTACTCCTCAAGGAGTTGACCATCTAGACATTTAGCCATGTACCTTTAGGCAAGTTACTGAACCTCTCTGTGCCTCAGTTTCCTCATCTGTAAAATGGGCAGACTAAAAATAATGAGCACATACACTGCAGAGAATTAAATGAGTTAAGAATTAATTGATGTTTGGGACAGTGTCTGGTACTTCTGTGCACTCAGTGTGTATCAGCTATTATTGGGATGATGGTTGTCATGGGGGCAGAGTAGAAGCCTCTAGGTAGTGCTGGGAGAGACAGCATGCAGTGTGAGTCGAGAATGGCCCCGGGGGATGCTATGGGCATACAAGGAGGGCATCACCAGCTGATGGGTGGCTGGTGTGGGCTGTATCAGGTCTCCAAGGAGGAGGGATGATGCGGGTGAACCATGGGGCCAGGGACAACATGAGGTGACAAGAAGGAGACTGGCCTTGACAGAAAGGTCCAGGTTGTAGCCTCCAGGAGAGTGGCCACCCCGGGGACAGGCGGAGAATTGAGATGGCTGCTTCTCCATGAGTTGTCTGGGGTGGTAACAGCCAGGAAACCATTTGAAAACCTCGCTGGGGTTCAGGGTGGCATGCAGGGAAGAGGCGGCAGAGAAGACCAGATGAATGTCTCTGAGCTGAAGAGGCACAGAATGAATGAATGAATAGCATGATAGGTGGTGAGGGGCAGTCAGAGATGATGAGAAAATGGAGTGCGGCATGAGGAGAGCTTAGTAGGAACCCACGTCCTGGAGCACTAAGCTTGCAGCATCGTGCTCCCTTTATGCAACAAGGCTGGTGCCTTCCAGGGAGGTGGACATGGGGTGGGAGAAACGAGGAGATGGGAGCACCTCACAGGTTAGAATGGCGAGTCAAGCTGCCCAGTGAGACCTGGCAGCCTCTAACAGCAGTGCCAGCCCTAGCCCGCGTTTCCTCTCGGTGCCTACTCACAGCACCAACTCTGAACCTCATCCCAGACTCTGACCCTGTCAGTCACGAGCCAGAGCTGGGAATCTGTATCAGACACGAGCTTGCAATGCCCCAAGGGCTGGCGGCGACCCATCCCAAGGATGATGACTCCATAAATGAAAGTGTTAAATTCCTTACAGGAAGAAGGAACAAGACCAGTGGGGACTACAGGGAGAGGGGAGGAGGAGGAGAGTGGACAAGGCTGAGAAGACACTTCCTAATTGAGTGGCAGGAGGATGGTGGTGACATTGATAGGATGGAGAAGGGGTATCTGCTTACCTTGCTCACACTTTTTTTTCTTTTTTCTTTTCTTTTTTTGAGATGAGTTTCACTCTTGTTGCCCAGGCTGGAGTGCAGTGGCGTGATCTCGGCTCACTGCAACCTCCACCTCCCGGGTTCAAGTGATTCTCCTGCCTCAGCCTCCCGAATAGCTGGGATTACAGGCATGCACCATCAGGCCTGGCTAATTTTTTGTATTTTTAGTGGAGAGGGGGTTTCTCCATGTTGGTCAGGCTGGTCTCGAACTCCTGACCTCAGGTGATCTGCCCACCTCGGCCTCCCAAAGTGCTGGGATTAAAGGCATGAGCCACTACGCCTGGCCGCGCACACTTTTAATAGTTCTTTACAGTTGCTCAATGCTATGGTCTGAATGTTTATGTCTCCCCCAAAACTCATGCCTTAAAACCTAATCCCCAATGTGATGGTATTAGGAGATGTGGCCTCTGGGAGGCAATTGGGTCATGAGGGTGGTGTCCTCACCAATGCAACAGTGCCCTTATAAAAAAGGGCATATATGGAGCCAGGACAGTGAGAGGATCTGAAAACCATACTATGTAGAAATAGTTGTCAGATTTGATAAATCTTGTGTGTTGAATGAATGAATAGCCTGGATGAGAGGTGACTGAGAATAACAACTAATTTTGGTGTCTGAAAGGCTGCCATGGCAAGAGAATCTTTGTTCCATGTTATTCTGTAATGCAGGAATGAGACAACCTCATAGAAGCTCTTGAGTGACAGATTTCAGCACGATTCAGGGAGAGCTTGATTGGCAAGAATCTCAGTTACTTTTGTCATTAGTTTCAATCTGCTGCCTTGCAAAACCCCTCCAAACGGGAAATAAGCTCCTCGGACTGAGTTTCCATTATTCTCCTTTATCCAGAGGGCTCGTCGGTGGAGCCAGCTTCCATAACCGTGTGGCGGATTCGGAGAGGAGGTGGGAGTGCAGGTGAATGAACTCACTGTGATTGGGGCCCCTTTTTACAACCAACTTGGCTCCAGTTGGGCACAACATAAACCTGTGGCAATTTAAAAATTATGTATGTATGTATGTATGTGTGCGCTTTTTGCTGAAGAATAATGTTTATAAAGTACACAAATCTTAGGGACAGCTCAATGAATTTTTACGTATGTACACATCCACGGAACCACCATCCAAACCAGGATACCATTGAACATTGCCGTCAGTCTGGAAGCTGCCATCTTGTCACCTGTCAGTCAGCAGTTCCCTCCCGCCTTCTCCCCTAGGTAACCACAATATGGAGATTGTTAATATTGTAAAGGGAAGGTTTACTCTCCCACAGCTAAGGGTCAAAGACAAGCCCACGTGACAAGAAAAGAAGGGATATTTGCTTGTGGAGGTTTTTCTAGGTTTGGTTTGAGTTAAAAATGCTGGGCAGGCATGGTGGTTCACACCTGTAATCCCGGCACTTTGGGAGGCTGAGGCAGGTGGATCACTTGAGGCCAGGAGTTCGAGATCAACCTGGCCAACATGGCGAAACGCTGTCTCTACTAAAAATACAAAAATTAGCTGAGCGTGGTGGCACATGCCTGTAATCCAAGCTGCTTGGGAGGCTGAGGCAGGAGAATTGCTTGAACCCAGGAGGCAGAGGTTGCAGTGAGCTGAGATTGCGCTGCTGGACTCCAGCCTGGGCAACAGAGTGAGACTGTCTCAAAAAAAAAAAAAAGAAAAAGAAAAAGAAAAACAAAAACCAACTTGGTAGATCCTAAGATCTTTTTCTCACTGAAATATTTAAGCACTGCATTTTAAGAAAACTTCCTATTCATTCGTAGACTTTTATCTGGCCAGATTTCCACTCTGAGGGCTTTTCTTTCTAGTTATCTGACAAACCATAAATTTTATTTCCTTTAAGGGCAAAACCAACCTCCAAGCACATTTATGGCCCATGTTTTAAGAGCTGGCCGCCCTTTCTATCCTGTATCTCTGGTTAAACGTGTTTTCTTTTTCTTGGAGCAAATTTTTCAAAGAGGGGCTAAAGCTATGTGTTCCTCTGGAGAGAACTCCTGCCTACCCAGCAGGAAAGAAAATGCCAGAGAAGCCTCCGACCTGGGTTCTGCCCCTGGTAGCCAGGTCTCAGGCTAGAAGCCTTCTTTTTGGTTGCATTGGAGTCCTTCTCTACCTCACCTTTATTGTTTCTTCCTTCTTGGTTTTTATGTATTCTCCTCTGCCTCCTTTAAAGAGTGGCAACTTTTTGGACTTTGGACAATTCCTGTGTAGCAATCTGGGCTGATTTTAGAGAGTCCTTCTGTTTCCTGCTTTCCAGTGAGCTGATTGGTTGATCAGCTGATTTTATTTACCTTCCCCTGGAGGAAGTAGAGTCCCAGGATGCTGGGGAGGCCCGCTGGGGACCCCTGAATGCCCTTTATGTTGACCCCTTGTCTTTTTGTTTGGGTTCCTAGGGCTATGGACTGAGAGGCAGCATAACTTTGAAATGGTATCTATTGAAGGAGTCTCTTTCTGCTTCTCACCATATTGGGAAGAAGGTGGATTAAAACATTTATTTACTCTTAATTGTGGTAAAATATACATAACATAAAATTTACCATTTTAACCTTTTTTTTTTTTTTTTTTTTTTGTCTGAGAGGGAGTCTCGCTCTATCGCCCAGGCTGGAGTGCAGTGGCGTGATTTTGGCTGCAACCTCTGCCTCCCGGGTTCAAGTAATTCTCCTGCCTCAGCCTCCCAAGTACTTGGGACTACAGGCGTGCACCACCACGCCTGGGTAATTTTTGTATTTTTAGTAGAGACAGGGTTTCACCATGTTGGCCAGGATGGTCTCCATCTCCTGACCTCGTGATCCACCTGCCTCAGCCTCCCGAAGTGCTGGGATTATAGGCATGAGCCACCGCGCCTGGCTTTTTTTTTTTTTTTTTTTAAATAGAGGGGGTCTCACCATGTTGCCCAGGCTAGTCTTGAATTCCTGGGCTCAGACAATTCTCCTGCCTAGGCCTCCTCAAGTGCTGGGATGACAGGTGTGAACCACCATGCCTGGCCCCCATGTTAACCAGGTTTAAGTGTACAGTTCAGTGGCACAAAGCACATTTATACTGTTGCACAACCATCATCACCATCCATCCACAAAACTTTTTTATCTTGCAAAACTGAAACTCTATCCCCATGAAACAATCATTTCCCATTCTCTTTTCTCCCCAGCCCCTGGAAACCATCATTCTGCTTTTCATCTCTGCAACTCTGACTGTTCTATGTGCCTCATATGAAAGATATTATATAGTATTTGTCCTTTGTGACTGGCTTATTTCACTTAGTTTAACATCCTCAAGGTTCATCCACATTGTAGCATATATCAGAATATCCATCCTTTTTTTTTTTTTTTTTTTTTTTTTTTTGAGATGGAGTCTCGCTCTGTCGCCCAGGCTGGAGTGCAGCGGTGCAATCTCGGCTCACTGCAAGCTCTGCCTCCCGGGTTCATGCCATTCTCCTGCCTCAGCCTCCCGAGGAGCTGGGACTACAGGCACCTGCCACCACGCCCGGCTAATTTTTTTTTTTTTTTTTAGTAGAGACAGGGTTTCACCGTCTTAGCCAGGATGGTGTTGATCTCCTGACCTCGTGATCCACCTGCCTCAGCCTCCCAAAGTGCTGGGATTACAGGTGTGAACCATCGCGCCTGGCCAGGAATTTCCATCTTTTTAAGGCTGAATAATATTCCACTGTATGGATGGACCACATGCAGAGCATAGAGTTTTTAATGCGTGTATATCATAGACCCTAAGTCTTCTGTATTTCCCATGTATTGGGCACCTCCTATATTCCTGACCAGGGACTTGTTGTCTTGTCTGGGGACTTCCAGGTGTAGTTTGTATTTTAGATGGGGAATTGTGAGGGTGGATTCTTTAGGCAGGTAATCTTGTGAAGTTCCTTATTTCTAGTGTTCACTGCACAGAAAGCTTTGAGGTGTGGTCTAATACTTCAGTGCTTTTGGCAGCCACCATTCCTATATTTCCAGAAATGTGATTATGATTGTTTAGCCAGGGTTTAAGGCCACGAATGGTGACGTGGTTTAGACATCAGCTTTTGGCAAGGCTGAGGGGACATGGGGTGATTTCATTGTGTCCGAAGTTAGCATCTGAAGGCTTTCAGTGCGATGTGTAAGATATATTTTTCGGGAGATTTAAGGCTTTAAAACACCATCTTAAGAGAATAGAAAATATCAAATAAGAGAAACAGATTGAGTGCTCATCTCAGCTTTTCTATTCATTCATTGCAGACCTTGGAATAGCTTCTCATTGTCTCATTTCCTTGGTTTTCTTCTTGGTAACGTGAAGAACCTGCCCCCACCTCCACAACCACATCACAGAGGTCTCTGTCAGGAAAGATGGTTCAAAGCCTGGAAATGCTTTAACATTATTATTATTATTACTATTTGAGATGGAGTTTTGCTCTTGTCACCCAGGCTGGAGTGCAATGGCACGATCTCGGCTCACTGCAACCTCCACCTCCTGGGTTCAAGCGATTCTCCTGCCTCAGCCTCCCGAGTAGCTGGGATTGCAGGTGCCCACCACCACGCTGGGCTAATTTTTTGTGTTTTTAGTAGAGACAGGGTTTTCCCATGTTTGGGCAGGCTGGTCTTGAACTCCTGACCTCAGGTGATCCGCCTGTCTCGGCCTCCAAAAGTGCTGGGATTACAAGCCTGAGTCACTGTGCCCAGCTTATTGTTTTTATTTTTTTGAGGCAAGGTCGGACTCTGTTTCCCAGGCTGGAGTGCGGTGGCGCGATCTCAGCTCACTGCAACCTCCGCCTCCTGGGCTCAAGCCATCCTCCTACCTCAGCCTCCTGAGTAGCTGGGACTACTGGCCTGGCTAATTTTTGTATTTTTCTGGAGAGATAGGGTTTTGCCATGTTTCCCAGGCTGAACTAAAGTGATCTGCCCACCTCAGCCTCCCAAAGTGCTGGGGTTACAAGCATGAGCCACTGCGCTCGGCCAAACCTGAAAACTTTTAAAATGAGGTTTCCATCCGTGAGAATGGGACCCCCAACCCATCCCCATCTCTTGTCCCACATAACAAAGTATGTGCTTATTTTATAGGCATTTACCCATCGAATAGCTTCTTTGAAAAGGCTTGCCTCCCAAATTCATCCCTCTATTCATCAGTTGCTTATTGACTCCTTTCCCTGTGCTGGGCCTTGAATTAAGGTCCTAATTCAGACATGAAATGCATGCTGATCAAACTTATTTGGGGGAAAAAGGAGGATTCTGTAAAATCATACCCACAAAAAAAAAAAAGGAAAAGAAAAAAAAAACCATTGAGTTTGATTCTTAACAACTTCATTGCTCCTGGATGAAGAGGGTCAATAAGCTATTGATACTCAGGACATGGTGGCGGTGATTGTGGGAGGGAGAATGGCTTTTGGTAGATCTGGTCTGGAGGTTCCTGCTTTCTGAGGAAGAGACTGCCTGAACCTAGACATTCCAAGTTCATTTTGTAGATGGCACTTTCCCTGCAGGACCAAAACTGCGACAGCCACAGGTATTTCCTAAACCACCAGTCCTGTATTAGGTGAGACTCACATGGTGGATAACCAACAGGTGGTCATAAAAGATGTACTTTTCAAGGCTGAGTGTGGTGGCTCATGCCTATAATCCCAGCACTTTGGGAGGCCAAGGTGGGAGGATCGCTTGAAGCCAAGAGTTCAAGACTAGCCTGGGCAACATAGTGACACGCCATCTCTTTTTTTTTTTTTCTTTTTCTTTTTTTTTGAGACAGAGCCTTGCTCTTGCTGCCCAGGCTGGAGTGCAGTGGCACAGTCTTGGCTCACTGCAACTTCCACCTCCTGGGTTCAAGTGATTCTGCTGCCTCAGCCTCCCAAGTAGCTGGGATTACAGGCGTGCACCACCATGCCCGGCTAATTTTGTATTTTTAGTAGAGATGGCATTTCACCATGTTGGCCAGGCTGGTCTCAAACTCCTGACCTCAGGTGATCCACCTGCCTTGGCCTCCCAAAGTTCTGGGATTACAGGTGCGAGCTACCGTGCCTGCCTAGACCCCATCTCTTAAAAAGAAAAAAAAAGATGCACTTTTCTGAGTAGGAACAATGATTGAATCCTGAAAGTAAAGAAGAAGGGCAGAGATTTATGTAGAGGAACCCTTTCGTGAGGTGATTTCTGGACTGGGTCAGTAGGATACAAACCTTATTGATGTGCTACTCATAGAATAAGAAGACCTGATGGGCCTCATAGTGTAGCTCAGAGAGTCCTGAATGAAGCTGTGGGGAGACCTGCCTCTTGTCGTCTTTCACCATGGCTGTCTGTACATCCAAGGCAATTCTCCAACCCCCTTGGGCCTCTGCTACCCCACTGGTGAAATGAAGGAGGTTGACCAGATGCCCCTGTGATTCCTTGCAGGGGCCTCAGTCCCACTTCTTGCTTTTGGCAGTGTTTGCCAGCTCAGCTCTTGGGTGTACCACCCCAGGCCTGTTGCTAGGTCCCTGGTACAAGCCTTTGGGACCAGTTTCAAGAGAGTGTTTAATACACAACCCTGCAGACTCTCACAGACCTTTCTGGGTAACACTTACTTCATTGCACTTTTAAAAATGAAAACGAAAGAAAATGCAGCTTAGCCGACTCACAGTAATCAGGGCTGACAGATGTCACTCAGAATTTTATTATTTAAAGCCACAATGATTTTCCAAATAACCTAAAAATATATAATCCAACCTCAAAATAGTGTCCTGTAACAGAGGCCAGGGAACCCTATAGGAAATGAAGTCAATATCTTGGCACCTCTTGCTTGCTGGTTCCGGGGCTTTGAACACTTTTATGTCCTCTGAGAAATACAGGAACATGGAACCATATCAAGTTGCTTAGTGAGGCCTCCAAGGTCTCAGAGAGCTGGGGGTGTCTCGGGTGCTTCTCCTGGGACCTAAGCCAGCGTGACACTTCTTCTGGTCCCAACAGCGTTTCCTCCTCATTCTATGAGAGCATGGGTGGAGATATAATAGCCTTCACGTATTTTAAAAATCAAGCATCTTCCTGTCAATAGGTTGTTCTGCTATATTCAGAAGATCACATTCTGAATCTGGCCACGTGGGTGTTAAAGATAGTTGCATAAGGAAGCTAAAGTTTATTGAGTAGATACTAACATCCAGACACTGTGCTAAACCCTCATTTATTCCTTATAATTATTTATTAAATACAGATGCTTCTCTACTAACAATGGGATCACGTCTTGATACCCATCATAAGATGAAAATATTGTAAGTCAAAAATGCAGTTAAGACACTGCTCTTACCAAACACTATAGCTTAGCCTAATGTACCTTAAACATTAGTAGAACACTTACTTTAGCCTACAGTTGGGCAAATCATGTAACACAAAGCCTGTTTTATAATAAAATCTTTTATTTTTTTTTTTGAGGCGGGGTTTCTCTCTTGTCATCCAGGTTGGAGTGCAATGGCACGATCTCAGCTCACTGCAACCTCCGTCTTCTGGGTTCAAGTGAGTCTCCTGCCTCAGCTTCCTGAGTAGCTGGGACTACAGGCATGCGCCACTATGCCCAGCTAATTTTTTTTATTTTTTTATTTTTTTATTTTTAGCAGAGACAGGGTTTCACCATTTTGGTCAGGCTTGTCTCGAACTCCTGACCTCAGGCGATCTGCCTGCCTCGGCCTCCCAAAGTGCTGGGATTACAGGTATGAACCACCTCCCGGCCTATAATAAAATCTTGAATATGTTATATGATTTATTGAATTTTTTTTAGTATCTTCAAAGTGAAAAACAGAATTGTTGTATGGGTACTTGAAGTGTGGTTTCGGCTGAATTTGTTTTGCTCTCACGCCATCATAAAGTAGGAAAATTGTATGTTGGGGACTATCTGCATTATTTATACTTATATCAATGACATTAACAGATAATTAATAGTGATGTATGAATTAAAGAAGCTTGTGAAATTTACTGCCCCATTTTACAGATGAGGAAGTTGAGGCCCCGAGAGACTAAGGAACTTGCCCAGTGTATGAGAGCTAAGAGATGGCAGAACACGTTGGGTTTGCATCTGGGTGGGTGGATAGGGGTTTGGGAGCTGGCATGAATTTCATTGCTGGCTAAAGATCCTGAGCCAGCAGTCCCCGGGCCAGCGGGTGGGACCAGCAAGGCTGTCTTCCTAGGACTGAGGATTGGAGAACTGGTCTGCCTCAACGTGGGAGGGAAGAGGGGACACTTTGCGCTTGGTGCCCATGCCCCACCCTTTCCGAGGAGCTGTCAGATGCTAGGCCCTGTGATCCCAGGTGGAGGCCCAGCAAGGTACCCGCTGCAAGTTATCTTTCCAGATCGGTCTCCAGGAAGCATCTCCGTGTGGCTTCCGAGCTGGGGGAGCTGCAGGCCGGGCTGCCAGCATCTGACTGGCTGTTATTTGGTTTTCTCTGACTAGATCTTTGTTTCTGTGAAACCCTTAGCTGCTGAGGCTCTCGTGCTGCAGCTTAATCGGCGCTGCATGGAGTGCTAGCCTGGTTAAGTAAACACCGTTGGAATATTACCTGTCTGTTAACCTGTCAAAATTGCTTTACAGCCCCCTTTTATCTTCCCCCCGACGGAATTTCCCCTGGAGTTTTCTGCCTCCTCTCTGGTTCCTTTCCTCGCCTGCCCTCCTTCTCCTGCAAAGCTTCCCCACCCCCGGAGTCATTAAATATTGTCAGAGTTCCGCCTCTTATGGCTGCCTTGTTTGCTCAGTTCAGATAAATTGTTGTTGACTCTGTGATGCAGACCAAGGGCACTGGGCTCCCAGCCCCAAGGAAGGAAGCATGAGGTCTGCCAGGTGGGAAGAGGCGAGGGGTCTGGGGGAGGATGCATGGGCGGGGGCCCTGCCTCCCTGGCTGCACCTCGCTCCCCCTGGTCGCCTCAGAAGGAGCCAGTGCTCTGTCCGGCCTCACCGTCTCGCAGGCCTTCTTCCTTCCCTGCTTGCCGGCACCACCCTCTCTCTAAACAATGAGTTTATGAATTTGAGGGTCTTAGGGGAACATCCAGTTCTAACCCTCACAGCCCTTAGAGGCTAAGCCCCGACTCCGTGTTTCGGTTTTAGGCTTGGACTGAATGAGTTCTAGGATTCTTTGGAGATTCCACCTTAAAAAAACTGTGGTAAAATACATATAACAATATAACATCATTTACCGTTTTAACCAACTTAAAGTATACGGTTCAGTGACATGAAAGCATTTACAGTGTTGTGCAACCATCACCACTATTTGTATTCAGAACTTTTTTCCAAGTCCTTTAAAAATCTTTATTGAATGAAAATTGGTATGCATAAATTGTACATTGTTTAATACACACATTTTGAAGAGTCTGGACGTATGCATACACCACCCCAAAAGGAAAGCCTGCGCTCATTAGGCGGTCATTTCTCCATTCTCCCTTCCCTCCAGCCCCTGCCAAACATTAGTCTACTTTCTGGCTCTATGGATTTGCCTATTCTGAATATTCTACATAAACAGAACCTCACAATATGTGGCCTTTCGTGTCTGGCTTCTTTCACAGAGCATAATAGCTTCAAGGTTCTGGAGATCCACTTTTGTCTTCTACTTAGAGGGTGGAGACTGATCTAAGGAACGGTGGGTGACCGCTGGAGACCTGTGGGGAGGTCTTAACTTATTTCTGGCAGTAGTTCCTTGTTCTTGGCAGCCTTGAGCCTCTGATCTCTCCAGCAGTGGCCTGGTACCTGGAGAATTTCTGCTGCATATTTGGGGAGGTCATTTTGACTTTCACTGAAACCGCCAGGCCCTCCCTCTTCCCTGGGCCTCTGCCACCTCCCTGATCCAGTCAGATGCTTCTGTCCTGCCATCTCTGGGTCAGAAATCTGACAACTCATGGAAACAGTTCATCTTTGGGCACTTGGGCTCAGCACACTGGGTAGAAAAGCCTCTCACTTTTAATCAGAGAGCCGGATGACAAAATTAGGGGTGTGTGTTTTGGGGTTAGCTGGGGGTTTGAGTCTCAGCTCTGCCATCACCTAGCTAGGTATCCTCAGTGCTCCCACCTATCAAATAGAAGTGGCCGTGCCCATCTTTTAGGACTATGATGATTGAATGCACTGATAACTTTAAGTTACTTTGTGTAGTGCCTGGTGTTTAGGATGTATACGGTAATTGGTGATTGTTAATGAAATCTAGGTTAAAAAGATAATCAGTGCAGTACCCCATCCTCCTACCACCCTATCAACGTTTGCCATTCTAGAGTTTTTAGCAACTTTTAGAAACCACACAGGGCTTTAGTGCATCTTGTCACTAGATGGATTTGCTAGTTTTCAGGATTCTAGAAGGCTCCAAACTCAGATCATGGTTTGGTCCGTGACAAGGAGAAAACCTTGGTTATATGCAAGACCGTAACAAAATTTCCCCATTTCTTTTCTTTTTTTCCTTTTTTTTTTTTTTGCCCCGCCATTTTTGGAATTTCTTATAGTCTAAGATGATTCTTACTATACTCATGTTTCCATCCCACCAAACCTTGAATCCATTGAGACTCAAATGGGCTCTAGAGAGCATGAAAGAGTTAACGTGTCCCTGAGTGCCCAGTTTCTTACAGGATTAGGGGAAAAGTGACTTTATTTTTATTTGCAGCCCGACTCAAGCTCAGTGTAATTCCACAAACTGTTGAATACCTTCTACGGGAGTTCACAGGCAGTCCGTGGGGATGGTCACAGGCACGTGATGTCAGGTTCTGTTTTTGGCTGTCTTGAGTGATTAGTGAGTTGCGTAACCTCTTTGTTCACCAGGTCCCTGTCTGGGAATCATTTGCCCTCAGCCTGTGTGTGTCCTGTGGGGCGAGAGGGGGAGTGCTCTGCTCACCACCCTGCACCCGCTGCCCGGCTCTGCTTCCCACTCTTGGCTGGTGCCCCGTGGGCCTTTCAGGCGATCTGGGCGGAAGTAGGTCAGGGACCTTCCAGCTGTGGGATCCCCAGTGGGGTGAGTCCGTTGCTTTGCTTGGCTGTTGGAGCTGAACCCACTTTTGTTTCCTAAAGGAGTAGCCTTTTAGTTTTAATTGAAAAAGCAAGCACCGTACTTCTGTCAAGCAAAAAGGTGTGAATTTCCTTCTTTTTTTTCCTCCCTGATATTATATGTGTATTTTTTTCTTTAGGAAGGGTGAGCCTGTGGATTTTCTTCCTAAAGTCAGTTTTATTGAGGAATAATTTACATACAGTAAAATTCATCCTTTTTTTAGTGTTCAGTGGACTCCATTTCTTTTTTCTTTTTTTTTTTTCTTTTGAGACAGGGCCTTGCTCTGTCATCTAGACTGGAGTACGGTGGTGCCATCAGAGCTCACTGCAGCCTTGATCACCCAGGCTTAAGCTATCCTCCTGCCTCAACCTCCCGAGTAGCTGAGACCACAGGCATGTACTACCATGCCTAGCTAGTTTTTCCATTTTTTATTTTTTGTAGAGACGGAGGTCTCACTGTATTGCCCACGGTGGTCTTGACCTCTTGGCCTCAAGTGATCCTCCCATCTCGGCCTCCCAAAGTGCTGGGTTTACAGGCATGAGCCACTGTGCCTGGCTAGGATTTCAGTTTTTAATGCAAGGCTGTCTTCCTAAAATATCCCCATAATCAGATTTGGAGTGCTGTGGCTTCATCTAGGCATGCAGAGTTGAGTACCTGAGAAGGCAGTGCTTGATGTATGGTCCTTGAGATGAAATGGATTCAGGCATACTAAGAAAGTGGTACAAGGGAGACACATTAAAATGAGTTTTTACCCTTTCATTGTGAGAGTTGAATGACAATTGCTAGACATTTGCCTATGTAGTTTTAGAAAGATTCTAACTGGAGCAGCGCTTGGCTGGAGGAGGTCAATTGTATGTCTGCGGAAAGGGTTCAGACAGACTTGTCATCATTTCCTGGCGCTGACCCTGGCTCTTACCTGGAAAGCCCCTAAACCACCCACCCCAGGGATCCACGGTGCAGGGAAGGTGGTCATGCAGAAAACAACCTCTAGCGAGTTGCTCGGCTGAGGCCCTCTGTAGGTGACCTTGTCTTGCCTCCAAAAGACTGGACCTCCTTTTCTTCTTCAGTGGTAAAAGGAGTTTCTTGGTGCCACCGTGGGCTCTGGGCAGAGACTGTGCCTTCCTCCCTTTTGTGTCTGAGTCGCCCCGCATGCTTTGGCGCAGGGAGTTTGGGCCAGAGCGATCTCCAGCCCCTTCCAGTTCACTGGCTCTGTGATAAGGTTCCTGGGGATTTTGTGTCATGTTGCTTGGAAACCAGATGGAAATAGGCCAATTACCATTGAAGTGGGGCGGCTCCTGAATGTTCCAGGACCAGGAGATTTGAGCTAGGCTTGGGACCTTCTCTTTGCTGGGTCTCTCCCTGGTCCTGCCTCCTAAGAAAGAGAAAACAAGCAAATACTCTGTCTACATTCAGATACGATGCCTTACATGAGAGTAAGAGAGCAGGAGGAAACTGCTCAGCTGCCTCATTTTCCTCCTGGGGTGGAGGTGGATGATTGTCTTGCCTTCAATCTTTAAGAGGCTGAAGCCAGCCTCTGACCACCTTGGGCATGATGGCTGGACCCGCAATGTGCCTGTCAGTAGAAGGAAGGGAGATTTCGAAGGCTGGAGAGGACAGCTTTGTCTCTTCGCAGCAGCCTGTGGGCTCCCAGCCATATCCTGGCTGAGCGATAGCACATCCAGCTTGCTTGGGGCCAGGGCTGAATCACCATGAATCCCCCACAGCTTGGCAGTGGCTGCTTAAAGAGACCCAGGGCTGAAATAACAGGGGAGGTTAGAGGCTCTCGCTGGAATCAGGCTAAATGAGAGAATGGCAAAGATGAGGGAATCTATCAGAATCTACTGAGATTCAGGGATAGGCCGGGCCTGTCTGCAGGGGAAGAGATGGGTGTGGGCATTGGAGCATTGCTACAGGAAGCCCAGGGGCCAGCTCTGTGGGCTTAAGCTCGATGCCTTCATTCCAAGGGGCCCTTCTACTAACACAATTTAACATGATTGAGAGTTTTCACTTTGCTAAAGTCCTTAAAGACCTTGCCACATTTAAGCCTACCCACTGTCACATATATATTGGCCCATTTTACAGATGAGAAAGCGAGGCGTAGAAGGATTAAGTAACTACCCAAAGTCAAGAGCAGATGGATTATTTCTCCCTCAGGTTGTGTCGCTACCTTTTTAGGCCAATCCTTTGTTAGCTTGCTTGCACAATGGGATTCCTAAGCCTGGAGGAAGCTACCTCTATCTGCAGTCACAGCTCATTGCTGTGTGTGCTTGATTAATGTTGGTCCTGTGTTAGTCTATTATCATAGTGCTATGAAGAAATACCCGAGACTGGGTAATTTATCAAGATAAAGAGGTTTCATGGACTCACAATTCCACATGGCTGGGGAGGCCTCACAATCATGGCGGAAGGAAAAGGAGAAGCAAAGGCGCCTCTTACATGGTGGCAGGCAAGAGAGTGTGTGCAGGGGAACTGCCCTTTATAAAACCATCAGATCTCGTGAGACTTATTTACTGTCATGGGAATAGCATAGGAAAAACCTGCCCCCATGATTCAATTACCTCCCACCAGGTCCCTCCCATGACATGTAGGGACTATGGGAGCTACAATTCAAGATGAGATTTGGGTGGGGACACAGCCAAACCATATCAGGTCTCCTTCCACTGGACTGGGGAGCTGGATGTTTTTGTTGCATATTTTATCTCCAATACTTGGCAAATTAGACTCTTTAATTGTTGAATGTGGCCAGGCATAGTGGCTCATGCCTGTAATCTCTGCACTTTGGGAGCCTGAGGTGGGAGGATCACTTGAGCCCAGGAGTTCGAGACCAGCCTGGGAGATATAGGGAGACCCCATTGCTAAAAAAAAAAAAAAAAAAAAAAAAAATTGGCCAAGCATGGTGGTGCATACCTGTAATCCCAGCTACTCAAGAGGCTGAGGTGGGGCTGAGTGCAGTGGCTCACGCCTGTAATCCCAGCACTTTGGGAGGCTGAGGCGGGCAGATCATGAGGTCAGGAGATCGAGACCATCCTGGCTAACATGGTGAAACCCTGTCTCTACTAAAAATACAAAAAATTAGCCAGACGTGGTGGCGGGCGCCTGTAGTCCCAGCTACTAGGGAGGCTGAGGCAGGAGAATGGCGTGAACCCGGGAGGCAGAGCTTGCAGTGAGCCGAGATTGCACCACTGCACTCCAGCCTGGGCAACAAGAGTGAGACTCCATCTCAAAAAAAAAGAAAAAAAAAATGAGGCTGAGGTGGGAGGATTGCTTGAGCCCAGGAGGTCACAGCTGCAGTGAGCCGAGATTGTGCCACTGCCTTCCAGCCTGGGAGACAGAGTGAGATCCTGTCTCAAAAAAAAAAAAATGTTGAAGATGTGAATGAATGAATGACCCCAAACTCTTATGGCTAACTTTTTTGCCACCTAGTAGACTCCAGCTGCTGCTAGGCTGGGTGTGTGTAGAATAAGGCCCTGTGAACACAGACATCCCTCTCGGGAATAAGAGCTGAGCAGTGCACTTCACGGTCCCCAGGCGGCCCACACCATCTGTTTGCTGCAGCAGGATGGCTTGGGTGGTCCATCCAGGGCCCTGCCCAGAGTCTCTTGGGGCCAAGGCTTTCCCACCCTGTCCCTCTCACTGCCCACCTCCAGGTAGGCACAGTAGGGAGGGCTGGCAGGAATGACCCAGGAGTGAAAGCAATCCTCTTGTCTTCTGGTGGGAGGATGGAGGGGCCAGGGCAAACTGTGAACCAGCCTTTGGACGGGGTACCCACCCACTTCCGTGACTCTCCTTGCCCCCCTCTGCTGGGCTCTTTAGGGAGCATCGAGCTCTCATGTTACTTTAGTGGTTGAGGCCACCCCTGGATTTCCCTCCTGAAGTGTCCCGTGTTGCAAATGGCCCTTTGTTCTTTCTTCTCTAGGGTATGGGAAATGTGGTGGCTGCCCCAGGTCTATGCAGCAGGGGAACCTGAGAGCCTCCTAAGGGAGGAGGGGCAGAGTTTTCTAGAAGCTGGTGTTCATGTAAATAACCCTGGGTGCTTCAGTGATTAGTCCCAGCTAGGAAAGTAGACAGAGAACCAACCCAATCAAGTTGTGAGAAATTGAAAGCACTCCAGCTTTCTTACAGATATTTTCTTTTTCTTTTTTTGGTCAGGGGGACGGAGTCTCGCTGTATCGCCCAGGCTGGAGTGCAGTGGCTTGATCTGGGTTCACTGCAACTTCCACCTCCCAGGTTCAAGCAATTCTCTGGCCTCAGCCTTTCAGGTAGCTGGGATTACAGGCGCATGCCACCATGCACGGTTAATTTTTGTAGTTTTAGTAGAGACAGGGATTCGCCATGTTGGCCAGGCTGGTCTTGAACTCCTGAACTCAAGTGATCTGCCTGCCCTGGCCTCCCAAAGTGCTGGGATTACAGGCGTGAGCCACTGTGCCTGGCTGATATTTTCTTTAAAATGAAATAAATATATAATTGGAGGGCATTACAGGTGATGTGAAGGTAGCAAGGCAGCTTGTGGTTTTTAAAGGAGGAGGAGTGTGGCTGTCCCTCAGTGACTCCTCTAAGTTCAATGACCTGGAGACCAAGAGAAGGGGACATTTGAGGATCTCGACCTTGTCCTTCCAGCAGGTGCTCCCAAGCCACCTCTGGGCCTGAGAATAGGCATCACATGACTCTGTTTAATCCTCCGACACAGCAAGGAGTGGCATTCTGGATCCACACTGCCTGCCTTTGAGCCCTGGCTGAAGCCTCTCTGATTCAGCCTCCTGAAGGACTTCCAGGGACTTCGCTACTTTCCCTGTCCCCTCTCACCTCCCACTATCTGCCCCCAGAGGTGTGGCTTGAGTCACCTCCTTAGGAAGTTTGTCTTTTATGTTGGATTTCTATGTAGCTCAATTACACCATGGTTATTCCTAAATGTCAGGCTTAATTTGTTGCAAGTTTTACTTGATCCCAACAGTGTGTTTTATTTACAGTAGGGAAGTCTATTCGTATAACCTCCCTCTTTTACAGTTTGTGCTTACAGAGTATGCATAACTATTCCCAATTAAAAGAAAACAAACACACACAACACTGTTGGAGTATTGCTTATAGCGCGGGGCTTTGGTAAAGCCTCACATCAGTGTGGTCCCTTTTCTCAAATTCTGCTTCATGACAAAGCCCACATACGTACACTTACACACTCCTTCAGAACGCTACAGTCTGATCTTGTAATGGCTTGGGTTTCAATTTAAGGTTGGTAGGTTGAATCACCTAAATTTTACAGATCTCCAAATAGGTCTAAAAAAGCTCCCATTCACAGAAATGTGCTTGCTTCACCCTGGAAGATACACGCGGAAATAACAGTGCTTTGGTTTTCAAGGCTTTCGTTTCTCTTTGCAGTAACTTGCTCCTCCTGTACTTAACGCAATACTCCATCAGCTAACAAGAGAAAGCGTCTCTTTTGTTTTTTTGTCTCTGCAGCTTTATTGAGGTGCAGCTGACTAATAAAAATTGTATTTATGTATTCATGGTATGCAACATGATGATTTGATATACATTGTGAAATAAGTTTTACAATCAAATTAATCACAATCAAATTAATTAGTGCATTCACCACCCCACATAATTACCGTGTGTGTGGGGTTGGGGGTAAGGACACTTAAGATCTACTCTTTTAGCAAATTTCAAGCGAGCCATGTTGTATTATTAACTATTGTCACCATGCTGTGCTTTAGATCCCCAGAACAAATTCATCTTGTAGCTGAAAGTAATCAGGTTCTATATGTGGTCCCTGGACTGAAGTCCTCTCCTCCCTGGTGGCTGGGAAACCATGTAGGACAAAGGGCATGAATGTCTTCTGGGCAGATGCTAAGTCCCTGTAACCAATTAGATTTTTCTCTTCCGTGGACTGATCCTCCTGTGGTTTCTGGGCAGAATTCAAAGTGAAATGGGTTCTACCAGCCACTCAACCAGACCACAGAGGCCCTAGGGAGGCAGCAAGCTCAGGATGGGTCCTGGGCATTGTTTTGCTTGGGGAAGTGAAACTGGCATCCTTTGCTTCAAAGGCTTCATCCCTCCTGACTTGAAGGTGTGGCCTTGACCAGAGTGACAAGATTGCAAACACTGGGGTGAAGAAAATGTATCAGGTTGCAGCCTTTTTCCTTCCAGAATATTCTCAACTTCCTGTTGCTTTTTCAAATCAGTTACATTTTCAGAAGAGACTCTTAGTTTAAAGCAGTGCCCCTCTTTAAGAGGTTGTGTTGTGTATTAATTCAAGCTGAGCTTGGCATGGAAGAGCATTCCCTCTGACCAGTAGCTTGTTTTTTTTTTCTTTCTTTCTTTTTTCTTTTTTTTTTTTCTTTTTCTTTTTGCAAGCCAGAATGGCGCTGAAGAATTCCCCAGCATGGGGTAGGGCTCAATTTCTCGGAACCTTCCAAGCCGCCTTTTTTTCCCAGTTATCCTAAATATATAGCGTTTTATAGTGTTTCTAAGCATGGGGACAAAGTGTTTTGCACCAAAGAACAGGAGTCTCAAAATAAAATATGGGCTTCCTTTGGACAAGGAACCATGGCCGCAGTTAGCATGCTGGGCAGGTTCCTGGTTCAAGCTCAATTTGAACTATTTCTAGATATGCAAGCAGTTTTATAATCTCTCTCCTTCCCCCTATTCCTTTCACCATTAAAAAAAAACCAGGCTTATAACTTTGCTGACTATCAAATCCTTTGTCCTTCCTGTTACATGCGTTACCACAGGAGCCTGCTCAAAGCTTTTCCTTTAGGGAGTTTCAATAGACACTACAGAGAGATGAGAAGGAAATTAAACTCGGTGGGGGTTGCCCCTGTACCCCGAAAGTAATTCCATGATTGAAATGCCAAAAGCCCGAACATCTCTTTCGCTGTCAGACCCAGAGAGGAGAGTGAGACAAACTTGAGTTGACGAGAATGGAACTTTAATTTCTGGGTGGTTGTTCGAAATCATCAGTCTGGTTTTGGGGAACATGACTGTCTCGAAAGTCCTTTAACTCTTTCCAGTCCCATAGCTTTTTCTTTCGAGGGTAGTGGACAAGTTAGTTTACCAGGGAAGTCATTTATTGTCCAAAATGAATTTAAGTTAAAGCTACTCATTTATTGGTGGTAAGGCAAATGGGTTCAGGCTTTCTGGAGGAGAATAGCCAAATGAATGAAAAGCCTTGAATGGCATATTCTTGACATGCTATCAGTGCATTTCTAGAAATTTCTTCTGAGGACACCATTGATAAGTTTGCCCATCCTGTGTTTATGAGACAGTGAAAAATGCAAACTGTGGAAACGCCCTTCAGGAGCAGAGTATCCCCATCCATAGAGTGGAATATTAGGGAGCTATTGAAAGTGGTGCTATAGGCTGGGCACGGTGGCTCATGCCTGTAATCCCAGCACTTTGGGAGGCCGAGGTGGGCGGATCACCTGAGGTCGGGAGTTCAAGACCAGCCTGATCAACATGGAGAAACCCCATCTCTACTAAAAATACAAAATTAGCCAGGCATGGTGGTGCACGCCTGTAGTCCCAGCTACTCGGGAGGCTGAGGCAGGAGAATCGCTTGAACCCAGGAGATGAAGGTTGCGGTGAGCCGAGATCACGCTGTTGCACTCCAGCCTGGGCAACAAGAGCGAAACTCCATCTCACACACACACACACACAAAAAAAAAAAAGGAAAAAAAGAAAAAAAGACGAGAGAGTGGTGCGTGATGCTATAGACTTATATTTGTTGATTAAGAAATCTGTCCATGATATATTGTTGTGTACAATCAATTTGTTTTAAAACCATATGAGTGCCTTACAATGTGATATCCTGGAACAGAAAAAGACATTGGTGGAAAAACAGGAGTACTCTGAATAAAATCTGTAGTTTAGTTAAAAGTAATGTACCAATGTTAATTGCTTAGTTTTGACAGATGTCCTGTGGTTATGTAAAATGTTCACATTAGGCAAAGCTGAGTGAAGGAACTCTTTGTACTATCTTTGTCAATTTTCTGTAAATCCAAAATGATTATAAAATAAATTTTTTTTCCAAAAGGCATATAAACACATTTAAGACTTTTGGAAGGATTTTAAACAAAAGATTAACCCTCTGAATGCTGGGATTATGGGTGATCTTAATTTTGTAGTTTTCAATGATAATTTTGTTAAAAGCCAAGAAAGCTCATTTGTTCTGTGAAAAGAAAGTAGCCTATAAGTATAATTTCGTTGTTCAGATACTAGAGCCCATCTCTCCATCACAATTCACAGTTGTTTCTGGGTTGAAGTCTGCCCTTCTGGGTACAGCCAGGCATGGAAGAGAGGCTATGATTAGAGCAGGGACTTTGGAATTGGAGAGACCTGGGTTTGAATCCATCACTTGCCAGCTGTGATTTTGGTTAGTTACTTTGTTTGTGGCCCATTAAAAAAATATCTGTACAATGTGTTTAATGACGCTGATCTCATAAGGCCATTGCAAGAATTAAATGAAGCAATTTAGTGCAACTAACAATGAATGCTTCCGTCACTTAGGGGAAGAGCCTGGAGAACTCTGTCTCCAGCAGATTCTGGTGTTGAATGTATCTCACTCCGAACACATCTTTTCTGAAAACTTTTATGCCAGTCGTTACCACTTTTGTGATAGAGGAGAGTGTGAATTCTATTTATTTGTTAATGCACTGAATTATGGGCTGTTAGGAGCTGTTACTGAAACATGGAGTATTTAAGAATCATTTTTATGCCCTTCTTATTCCCATCTCACTATTTCATGCCCTGTGCCCCAAATAATCTTGGTGCAATGTGTTTGTATAGCTTATGTCTGCATTAGGCCGGTTAAGAGAAAATCCTTCATAGGAGTTTTTGTTTTGTTTTGTTTTGTTTTGTTTTGTTTTGTTTTGTTTTCTCAGCCAATATCCTCACATAGAGGTCCATTGACCTCACATGTCCTTGCTCTCCTGGATCACTGAGTACTTGAGAAGTCTCGCGAGTGTCCTTGGGGAGATGGCCACTGCCATCATCCCTGATGGACGGTGACTGATAAAATATGTTTCTGTAAGCTCTCTTGTGTAGGAAGGGTAGCCCTGGGGTCATTAACTCAGAGCTAAAGCCCATCGCTTTCCGGCCCAGAGTAGAACATTCTGCACGTGGACCCAGAATCCAGGCCGCCTGCATTCTGATCCCAGCTGGGCCACTGCTTACCTCTGAGAGAGGTCGCTAAAGCCCATCTGAGCCTCCCTCCTCCTTGATAGGTGAGTGGCTGCTTAGGCTTCCTGGGTCTCATGTTGCAATTTCAGAACATTTGGCAAGAAAAAGCATCATCCTCACTCACCCTTTCGAACACAAAACAAGACAGAACAAAAAATCCCAACATCAGAGGCCTAAAGGCTTTGAACATACCATTAAAAAAAAAGTTTATTTAATATTGGATAAAAATATACTGCCTTACCTTTGAAAAAACTAATTAAATAACTAGCAAGGCTTCAAAGCATTTCCTCTTCCCTCTGCTTTCCAGGAGGAGAAATATTTTTCAAAGTCATTTGAATATTAAAGAGCTGGGCCCAGAAGCCCTCCATGTCCAGGATGGAGATCTGCAAGTCAATCAAGTATTTTTTAAAACGTTGGTTTTATGCACGGTTTGAAGCGGAGACCCTTTCCCTCCCGCCCCATGGTGCTTCCTTCCCCGTTTCTTTTATTTTTATGTGTGTGTGTCAATTCCGTGTGTATGCTGAGAAACTTAATCCATTTGTTTCTGATTCATTTACACTTAACTCATCAAAATGCTATTTAGTGAGAGGTATTTCAAATTCGAGAAGTGCTTCATCTCGTGGAACAGGAAATTGCATCTTGCTGTGGGTAACGGAATGCAGACGCAGGCCGCTCTGACTTTGGCCTTAGCTCAGACCCCAAGTGCATCTCTACATCAGGTGGCTTTAAATCCAGCCCCGAGTGTCCCAAAGGCCTTCTCTTCCCTTCCTCTCTCCCGACTCCCCTTGATTTGTACACTAGGGATTTGTGTAAACCCCTCTGAAAACTCAGCATGTCAGTGTTCTTTTCACACGAAGCCATTTGGGATGTTCTTTGCTCCTTCCACCCGCCAATATTTTATTATGGAAATTTACAAATATACAGAAAATGGAAAGAATTTGACACCAGCACCCATATACCCATCATGTAGATTCTACGGTTGACTTTTTTTTTTTTTTTTTTTTGGAAATGGAGTCTTGCTCTGTCGCCCAGGCTGGAGTGCAGTGGCACCATCTTGGCTCAAGCTCCACCTCCCGGGTTCACGCCATTCTCCTGCCTCAGCCTCCCAAGTAGCTGGGACTACAGGCACCTGCCACCATACCTGGCTAATTTTTTGTATTTTTGGTAGAGACAGGGTTTCACCTTGTTAGCCAGGATGGTCTTGATCTCCTGACCTCGTGATCTGCCCGCCTCGGCCTCCCAAAGTGCTGGGATTACAGGTGTGAGCCACCGCACCCAGCCTTTTTTTTTTTTTTGACAGAGTCTCGCTCTAGTCCCAGAGGCTGGAGTGCGATGGTGCAATCTTGGGTGCAATCTTGGCTCACTGTAATCTCCACCTCCCAGGTTCAAGCGATTCTCCTGCCTCAGCCTCCCGAGTAGCTGGGATTACAGGCACGTGCCACCATGCCTGGCTAATTTTTGCATATTTAGTAGAGATGGTGTTTCCCCATGTTGGTCAGGCTGGTCTCGAACTCCTCAGGTGATCCACCTGCCTCGGCCTCCCTAAGAGCTGGGATTACAGGTGTGAATCTCCGCGTCCGGCCCACAGTTGACTTTTGTATTCCACAGTTGACTTGCTTTATCACTTACCTGCTCTTCCAGCCTCTTTCTGTCCCATGTTCTTTGATCCATTCCAAGTAAGTTGCAGACATTAGTATTCTTCTCTCCAAATACTGCGGTGTTCAGATCATTCACTCGAGTTTAATATTTGATGGCAGATATTTTTTCTTTTAAAGTAAAATTTGCATGCACTGTACTGCAACGAATCTGAAGTGTACCATAGGTACAGAATAATACCAGTGCCCTGCAAAGTGTCTTCATGGTCTTTGCCAGTCCACCCTCACCCTTAGACCCTCCCGTGATGGCGGAATGATATGGTTTGGTTGTGTCCCCACCCAAATCTCATCTTCAAGTGTAGCTCCCAACCCCGTGGGAGGTAATTGAATCATGGGGACAGTTTCCCCCATACTGTTCTCATGGTAGTGAATAAGCCTCATGAGATCTGATGGTTTTATAAATGGGAGTTCCCCTGCACAAGCTCTCTTCTTGCCTGCTGCCATGTAAGACGTGCCTTTCTCCTCCTTTGCCTTCTGCCATGACTGTGAGGCCTCCCCAGCCACATGGAATTGTGCCTCCATTAAACCTCTTTTTCTTTATAAATTACCCAGTCTCAGGTATGTGTTTGTTAGCCATGTGAGAACAGACTAATACATCTCCATAGCAACACTTCTGATGTCTTTCTGCCTAGTCTAATTTTGCCGTTCTAGGAGAACTTCATATAAATGGAGTCACACATGATCCGCTCTTTTGTGTAACTCTTCTTTCACTCAGCAAACTTTTTGAGATTCCTCCATGTTATTGCCTGTATCAGGCTCCTCCTGACTGCACAGCAGTGTCCCACTGTGTGACCGTCCCACAGCTGTGTGTCCATTTCTTCTCTCACTGGGTGCCTGCCCTGCTTCCAGGTTTTGGCTGCTTCGAATAAAGTTGCTGTGAGCATTCTTGAACAAAACTTCTGGTGGACGCATGTTTTCATGTCTCTTGGGTAAATAACTCGGAGTGGAATTGCTGGGTCATAGAGTAGGTGTATGTTTAATTTCATAAGAAACTGCCAGACCTTTTCCAAAGTGGCTGTACCTACTTACACTCCCACCAGCAATGTCTGAGAGTTCCAGTTGCTCCAGTCCTCATGGTGGAGGTGCTGACACTTTGTAAAATTGCAGTCATTCTGGTGGGTGTGTAGTGGTATCTCACTGTGTCCTTACCTTATTTTATGTGTGTTACCTCTGTCACTGCTGAGACCAAGAGTCACATAAAATGGCAGGAGAGGAATTCTCACATAAAGTAGGATGTACTGTGCCAAGTTAGCTCAGTTTGACTTCTTGTTTTTTTTTTTTTTTTTTTTTTTTTTTGGTGGGGAGGAGGGGGGTCAGGGTCTTGCTCCCCAGGCTGGAGGGCAGTGGTATGATCATAGCTCACTGCAGCCCTGACCTCCTAGGCTCAAATGATCCTCCCGTCTCATCCTTGTGAGTAGCTGGGACCACTGACATGCGCCACCATGCCTGGCTCATTATTTTATTTTATTTTATTTTATTTTTTGTAGAGGTTTCTTTTTCCTATGTTGTCCAGGTTTGGCCTCCCCAGGTGCTGGGATTACAGGTGTGAGCCACTGCGCCCAGCTAGTTTGACCTCTTGAGGACTTTAGAAACCCCCCTTTCCCTTAGACTATTAGAGATTTTTAATTCCATGTTTTTCCCTCTCTTGTGGATCTGTTCTCCCCTCAGAGGATACCCAACTCCATGGCAGAGCCTACTACTTTCACGGTCATGTCCCCACTGCCTGGTTCTGAAGGGAGCACGTGAGTGCTTTGCAGGGCTTGGTATGGGTGCAACTTGTTTCTGTGATTCTGGAATCAGCCTCACCAGACTTGGCCCATGAGGCCAGGACCTCTGATTGACCACCTGGGTCCCATGTCCAGCAGAGTGAGAGACGTATAGTAGGTGCTCAATAAATATTTGAACAAAGGGATAAGTAGAATTTCCCTTTTTCTCTCTTACAAGTCATTTATTCAATAAACGTTGTCTCAAGGTTATACGGTGCTAAGGAAGGCACTCAGAGCACTTTAGGAGCTCTGATAGAGATAGAAGGTGAATACGAGCTTGATTGCCGGGTAGAAAGAAGGTGGTAAGTGCTGCAAGAGACACAAGGGAATGACATGCACCCTGAATCAAGGTCTGCACGCTGTCACTTGGCAGCTGTAGGACCTGGTCATGTTGCTTGTCCCCTAGGCCTCCATGTGCCCATCTGTGCAATGGGATAGTAGTGGTTTGCACTGTACAAGGTGGTTGTAGAAGTGAGAGCCTCTGCCTAGAAAGCCCTTAGTATAGTGCCTGGTACGTAATGACTGCTCAAGGAAGGGGGAGCTTTTAGTTACAGACATGTACGATCTGAAGAAATGAAAGGCATTGAACTTTGGTGGGTAAATTGGGTCTTTTCCAGCAAAGGTATAAATCCTTAAAAGCCAAGATCATATTGTTTGATTTCTCTGGGCTCTCTGCTGGATACAGTGCCAAGTCCATAACTGTATACCCCATGGACACTCTATGTTAAATGGAGATTAATGTGTAAGAGGTGTTTTTTTTTGTTTTGTTTTGTTTTTTAATTTGGAAAAGAAGCTTAAAGACCACAATGGGTGTGGCATTGGCTCGACCCACAGATCTGCTTAGTCTCAGACAGGCACTTTGAACCAGTCTTTTAAAATTGCGTCACAACAACTGGTGCTTCATAAGGATTTGATGATATTCTTGGACATAGGATATGGAGTTCTCTTCCTGTCCAGCCTCGGGCTATGAGGACTAACCCTGCTAAGTCTGATCTCTTCTTAGGAAAGTCAGGAGGATTGCAAATAATCACCATGACATGCCTATAGGGGACTAGCCTGTATAAAAGAGAGCGTCAGAGTCTTATTTCTAAGAATAGGAACGAGGAGGGAAATGGTGAGTGGATGTGAACTAGACAGGTCACCCGGCAGTCGGCTCTTTCTTCCTAGAATGTCCAGTTCACGTCTGTGTCGCCTCTAAGGGCTGCATGGATCAGAATCACCCAACACTGGATCCTCACCTACCTGGCCAAACCAGTCCTGACTTTGCTTCTTGTTCAGGGACCCACAGCACGATGCTAACAGCTGGACCTGATGTCAGAGGCGGAGAACTGTCTGGATTTCCCTCCCAGCCTCCTCCTCCAACGCCCTTTTGATCCAAGATTGAGTAAGAGACATTGGCAGATGCTGAGAAGGACAACCCAATTGTTTTAACTTGCAGACCGAGGGGGAGATGGGTTCCAGTCTGCACATGACTCGTGCACAGTCCCCCCACCCCACCCTGACTTAGAAAATTCCAAACCGACTACAAGACCAGAAACAAACCACATGCCAGTCGCCCCCTTGTCTGTACACACATGTGGAGTTCAGAGCCACCCTTGGAGAGAGGCTGCTCAGGCTCAGCTCCCTGTGCTGGGCTTTCTAGATCTAGCTCTGTTCGGGGGAGTTCTTAGCCCGTTTTCTGGGGTTGCTGCCGTTTGGATGCAGGGTGTGATTCTTAGGGGTTAGGGAGAGGACCACCCTGGTAAAAAGCCAGGTTAATGGGACAATCTTCCATGCAGCTTGGCCCCCTCCATTCCCCTGTAGCTCCTCGCTCAGCCGCACTCTGAGAACAGCTTTTGCTCTGTTTCCTGGTCTCTGAATGCGGTAGCTGTGTCCCCGGCCTGCAACGAGGGCATATCATGTAACTCCTCCCGGCTTCATTCCTATGCAGGACAGGTAGGCTGCAGGCTCTAACAAGCCGCCAGCCAGGCTCCACTGAGGCCTCGGCACCGGTGGAAATTTAAAAAAAAAAAAAAAAAAAAGAGCAAGCAGTGGGGAGTGAGCGAGTGAGGGAGAGAGGGATTATTTTGTTTCAATGTGTTTGAAAGCGGGATCTGTGGCCAGTTGGGGTTTTTTTTTCCTCCCCCCGTTATTTACACAGTCTGTTCGGAGACACACTAGGGCCTGTTTGGATTGGGTGTTTGCTCCGGAGACAGGCCAAGTATTCCAGCACTGCGCTTTGGCACTGCCACCTCGGCGGCACCAGGAGGCCCAGTCGGTCACAAGACCTCACGGGGCCTCCTTGCTCTCTGCTTATCCTCCTTTCACCTCCTCTCCCTTCCTCACCACTGATCCCAGCCACCTTGGGCGGCTGGGGAGCGAGGCTGACCGCTAAGTGGACCTGACCTTCAGAATGAGGGCTTTCTGAGGCAAGGGCAGGGAGGGGTGTGGCTCGTGGAAGACAGAGAGAAGGGTTGGGGTAGGGACCCAGGGATAGATCTCTAGAAGGGTCTGGATTCCCTAGGGGCCTGCGATGAAACTTGCACTCTGTGGAATAGTTCCAGGGTTGAGGAGGTAAGCAGAGGCCAGACCGCCCTGGAAGTTTGCGTAAGGGCTGTTCTCCTGGGGGTGCTGAGCTGGGAGAAGGCTTGCCTGGGGAGGTGGCGGGGCCAGAGCTAGCCAGAGCTGTCCTGCAGGTCCCTGCCATGCTGAGGGTGATGCAACACCAGCATCTCTTGCTAGAAATGCAGACTCTCTAGCCCCAGCCAGACCTACGGCATTGGAATCTGCATTTTAACAAGGGTCCCAGGTATTGTGTGTGTACATTAAAGTTTGAGAAGCACTGCCTTGGGCCCACGTATCCCACAGGCAGTTAGTTTCCTGGCATCCTCATGATGTCTTGAGATGCTTTTGGACAAAGGGATTCTGCAGACCAGTACATTTGGAGAATGTTACAAAATGTACCCCCCACCCCTTGGAAATTGATTTGCTTATGCTTGCTGGTGAAGTCTGTGAGAAGTTCCATAGGAAGAATCCATCTAGTTTGGTTTAACTCAGTGTTTCCCACATTTAACATTTATTTATTTATTTATTTATATTTTTATTTCTTTCTTTCTTTTTTTCTTTTTTCTTTGAGATGGAGTCTCACACTGTCACCCAGGCTGGAGTGCAGTGGCATGATCTTGGCTCACTGCAACCTCTGCCTCCTGGGTTCAAGTGATTCTCCTGCCTCAGCCTCCCAAGTAGCTGGGATTACAGGTGTGCACCACCATGCCTGGCAATTTTTTTTTTTTTTTTTGTATTTTTAGTAGAGATGTGGTTTTGCCATGTTGGCCAGACTGGTCTCAAACTCCTGACCTCAAGTGATCCACCTATCTTGGCCTCCCAAAGTGCTGGGATTACAGGTGTGAGCCAATGCGCCTGGCCCTTATTTATTTATTTTTAAATGGACACATAATAATTGTAGATAAATGTATGGGATACCTAGTGTTGTTTTGATATATACAATGTATATTGATCAGATCAGGGTAATTAGCATATCCATGATCTCAAACGTTTATCCTTTCTCTGTGTTGGGAACATTCAATGTTCTCTCTTGTAGCTATTTCAAAATATATATCATTGTTAACTGTAGTCATCCTACAGTGGTATAGAACACTAGAACGTATTTCTCCTGTCCATCTATAATTTTATAGCCTTTAACAAATCTCTCCCCATCCTTCTTTTCCCCCTGCCCTTTCCAGCCTTGAATAACCTCTGTTCTACTCTTTACTTCCTATGAGATCTACTTTTTCAGCTTCCACATGAGTAAGAACATGAGGTGTTTAGCTCTGTTCCCAAATTTGACTGAGATCATCTCCTACCATTTCCCCCCACCGAGGAGTGAGCGTTAATGTTCTGTAGGGCTGGTGGTGTGTGGCTTCTGATTATTTATTTATTTATTTTTTTGAGATGGAGTCTCGCTCTGTCACCCAGGCTGGAGTGCAGTGGCGCGATCTCAGCTCACCGCAAGCTCTGCCTCCCAGGTTCACGCCATTCTCCTGCCTCAGCCTCCCAAGTAGCTGGGACTACAGGTGCCTGCCACCACACCCAGCTAATTTTTTTGTATTTTTAGTAGAGATCGGGTTTCACCGTGTTAGCCAGGATGGTCTCAATCTTCTGACCTCGTGATCCGCCCGCCTCGGCCTCCCAAAGTGCTGGGATTGCAGGCGTGAGCCACCGCGCCTGCCGGCTTCTGCTTTGAGAAACACTGTTCCTGTCAATCAGTTTACTCTTGGGATTTTCCAGGGAGCTTATCTTCACTTTAGATAAGAGGTCGAGAACATAGTGGTTAACAGGTGGATTTTGGAGCTAAACGAACTGGCTTCTGACCCTTTCTCAGCCCCTTAGTAGGGATGTGACTTTTGCCAAGTTATTTAGCTGCTTTGTGCCTTGGTTTCCCCTCTATAAATTTGGACTTATGATAGCACTTACTAGATGGAGTTGTAGCGAAGTTTAAATCATATGATACGAGGCTGGGCGTGGTGGCTCATGCCTGTAATTCCAGGACTTTGGGAGGCTGAGGCAGGCGGATCACCTGAAGTCAGGAGTTCAAGACCAGCCTGGCCAACATGGTGAAACTCCGTCTCTACAAAAATACAAAAAGTATCCGGGTGTGGTGATGCATGCCTGTAATCCCAGCTACTCAGGAGGCTGAGGCAGGAGAATCACTTGAACCTGGTAGGCAGTGGTTGTGGTGAGCTGAGATTGTGCCATTGCACTCCAGCCTGGGCAACAGGAGCAAGACTCCGTCTCAAAAAAAAAAAAAAAAAAAAAAAGTGATATGGATTTAAATTAGGATAGTGCCCAGAGCATAGAACCCTCTTAATAAATACTGGTGAGCTAATATTTTTGAGTCTTACTCTTGTGGGGTCACTGCCTCCCTTGTATTCTAGATGAATAATCTCAAACCCACTGTGCATCAGAATCACCCGTGGAGCTCTTTTGGAAACACAATTTCCCAAGGCCACAGGCCAGGTCTATTGAGTCAGTCTCCAGCAGGAAAGCCTGTGAATCTGCATTTTGAGAAGCTTCTTGGATGGTTCCAAGGTAGCCAACCTGACTTTAGATGGCAAGGGAGCAGCTGCTCTAGAGCCACTATAGCTGAGAAACACCTGCTCTGATTTCCCACACTGGTTTCAGTCACATAACTCAGAAGGGTCTGTGCAATCAAGCCTAAGGCTCTGATGTTGGTGGTAGAGCCTTCCTCGCTTTGCACTTCAGTTTCCTTATCTGCAAAATGAGGCAGCCATGCAAAGTGTAGTCCTTGGACCAGCGACATCAGCATCATTTGGGAACTTGATAGAAGGCACAATCTGTGGCTCCATGCCAGACCTATGGAGTCAGAATCCACATTGTAACAAGATCCCCAGGAGGCTCTTGTTAAACAGAAATAGCACCTCTCTAGAAAAGGTTGAAAAGAATCAAGTTTGCAAGGAGGCAAAGGCAGTAGTCTTCTTTCTTGATGAGAGGAGAACTCAGTAAGGCTGAGGAAGGTGCAGTGTCAGTGGATATTGGAATAGTGACCAGCTGTTATCCATTCATACTGGACAAGAGGAAATGAGCTTCAGGAGCCTCAGGGAGTATGGTCAGATTTATGAGAACATTTCCTGACATTGAAGGTTACAAGTTTCTGGGAAGGTTTGCAGGAATAAGTAAGCTTTGGATACGCTTCTCTAGAGTCCATTAAAATCAGATTGATAGCTCTGCATCCGTTTTACAAATGTTTATTTAGGTGCCAACTATGTGCCAAGCTTGGGCACCAGTAGCTTGAGGGAGCACTTGCAGATGGCAGTGGCTCTGTATGGCTTCTCTTTATGTTCACACTACCCATCACCAAGGATAGACATATATTTGCCTGTGCACAGAGCTTTGCATGATCCCATTGTTGGCATGGATCACCAGGGCACTCCAGCACAACCCATGGCCTCGTGGAAGTGTATCAGTTATCTGTTACTGAGTAACAAACCATCCCAAAACATGGTGGCTTAAAACAGCAACTGTTGTATTTGTCCATGATTCTGGGGTTTGGTCTAGGCCTGGCTGGGTGGTTGTTCTGCTCATCTGGTCAGTGGTTACTCATAAGGCTTCATTCTGCTAGAGAATTGGTTGGGGAACTGGGCTCCGCTGGGCCACTAGGACACTAGGCCTTTCTCTCTTTTTTCATATCATTTAAGGGCTTCTCTTTCTCCACGTGGTCTCTCAAGCTATCCTAGAGGATAGCTTGACTTCTTTTTTTTTTTTTTTTTGAGACAGAGTCTCGCTCTGTCGCCCAAGCTGGAGTTCAGTGGCACGATCTCGGCTCACTGCAAGCTCTGCCTCCTGGGTTCATGCCATTCTTCTGCCTCAGGCTCCCGAGTAGCTGGGACTACAGGCGCCTGCCACCACACCCGGCTAATTTTTTGTGTTTTTAGTAGAGACGGGGTTTCACCATGTTAGCCAGGATGGTCTCGATCTCCTGATCTCGTGATCTGCCCGCCTTGGCCTCCCAAAGTGCTGGGATTACAGGCGAGAGCCACCGTGCCCGGCCTAGCTTGACTTCTTAGATAGCTGCTAGACAGACTTGATATAGCTTGGCTGTGTCCCCACCCAAATCTCATTTGGAATTGTGGCTCTCATAGTTCCCACATGTTGTGGGAGGGACCCATTGGTAGGTCATTGAATCATAGGGGTGGTTTCCTCCATACTGTTCTCGTGGTAACGAATAAGTCTCACAAGATCTGATGGTTTTATAAGGGAAAACCCCTTTTCCTTGGTTTTCATTCTCTCTCTTGCCTGCTGCCATATAAGACATCCCTCTGCTCTTCCTTTGTCTTCTGCTATCATTGTGAGGCCTCCCCAGCGATGTGGAACTGTGAGTCCATTAAACCTCTTTCCTTTACAAATTACCCAATCACAGGTGTGTCTTTATTAGCAGCATGAGAACAGACTAATACACGGCAGAAGGCTTAGGCCTAGAACTGGTACAGCATCACTTTCTGCCGCATTCTGTTGACTGAAGCACGTCACAGGGCCAGCCTAAATTCAAGGGTAGGGGATTAAATGAAGGCATGGATCTCAGCAGGTGAGTTTCACTGGGAGCCACCAACATAGCAGATTACCATGTGAAGTTGCCACTGCTGCATCTCCTGAAACCTGGCTGATGGGAGAGGTCTCATTTTGTGTCTGAGAATGTCCAGGTTGTCTGCAGACCACAGCACTGATTTCCCATTAGCAGTTATTATTTCCTGGCCATTTCTTCCTGAAGGTTTTGTGGTTAAACTCCCTGTCCTCAATATTTTATCAGCAGTAGGGCTGTCATTCTTCTGGTTATCAACCTCTACATTATGAAGTAAGGTTCAACCCTTCTGCTTTTCTCAGGCCCCCAAAACGGTTCCTATCCAATCGAACACAAAAACGGGTATTGAGAAGGAATTGGCAGGGCTCAGTGGCTGTTTCCGTTGCTCCTACCTCATGGAGACTCTTACTCATGCTGGATTTATTGAGAGAACTTCTAACTGACCACTCACCCCCACCCACTCTTATGCAGTCTGTTCATTCCTGAAAACACCACTTTCATCCCTCCTGCACACAACCCATGAGGGATTGCTACTTCCTACAAGATAGATTGGAATCCTTGGATAGAGATGAAATCCTTCCTCGATCCCGTGCAAATACCTTTTGAGGTTTACCCCTGTCTGCTATGAAATGGACTCTGTTTTATCCACGGTGGTCCCCTTGGTGCCCCTCAAGCTTGACAAGCTGATTTCTTACCTCTGCACACCTGATTTTATTGTCTCTCTCTCCCTCCTTTCCTGCTGATGGGAATCAGTTCCAGCTTTTGAAACCTAGCTGAAGTCCTCCCTTCTGCATGAAGCCAGCTCTGAATACTTGCATCATGGTGTTAAAATCTTTCAACATGTACGATCTTTTTTTTTTTTTTGAGACAGTCTCACTCTGTCGCCCAGGCTGGAGTACAGTGGTGCAATCTTGGCTTGCTGCAACCTCCACCCCCTGGGTTCAAGTGATTCTCCTACCTCAGCCTCCCTAGTAGCTGGGACTACAGGTATGGTCCACCATGCCCAGCTAATTTTTGTATTTTTAGTAGAGATGGCGTTTCGCCATGTTGGCCAGGCTGGTCTCGAACTCCTGACCTCAGCTGATCTGCCTGCCTCAGCTTCCCAAAGTGCTGGGATTACAGGCCTAAGCCACTGTGCCCGGCCACTTGTATGATCTTTACTAGGCATTTGGTGCTACTCACAGTCTGCATTATTCTTTTCCTTTCCTTTTTCTTGTATGAAATTGCAGCCTTTGAAGCAATGCCTCTGTCTTGAAAAAGAAAGAAGCTCTTTCTCACAACACTGTTTAGCGCTTTGCTTTATATATGGAAGATACATCTTAAATATATTTTGCAAGGCCGGGCATGGTGGCTCACACCTGTAATCCCAGCACTTTGGGAGGCCGAGGTGGGCGGATCATGAGGTCGAGTGATCGAGACCATCCTGGCTAATATGGTGAAACCCTGTCTCTACTAAAAATACAAAAATTAGCTGGGCGTGGTGGCGCGTGCCTGTAGTCCCAGCTACTCGGGAGGCTGAGGCAGGAGTAGTCCTTGAACCAGGGAGGCAGAGGTTGCAGTGAGCTGAGATCGTGCCACTGCACTCCAGCCTGATGACACAGCGAAACTCTGTCTAAAACAAGCAAATAAACAAAAAAATCTATCTATGTATATTTTGCTCTGTTGGGGAGAGAACAGATTTTTGTTCTAGATCTGGATCTGTTCTCTACATTCTGAAGTTTCCTAGATGTTACTGAAAGGGCAGTTAGTTGTTCTACCAGGAAGCAGCTTATGTGACATTAATGGCTTTGAAGCCTCAGAATGGAATGGTAAGGAAGGACAGGGGCTGTTGAGGCAGACTTGCTTGTAGGCAGGTGCAGATCCTGGCTCTGCCCTTGCTTAAAAAGCAGTGTTTTTCAACTGGGCTGATGATGGCATTTGGGTGGGAAAAGACCTGAATGATGTAGATCTCCGGCTTTCCTGCCCCCTGCCTACTACATTTCAGCAGTCACCTGTGTGTTGTGACAACCCCAAATGTTCCCTCACCTTATTCCTCCAAGTTCCCCCTTGGGAACCTCTGAGATTAACTTGATAAGCTCCTTGGGCAAGCTCTTTATCCTAAGATTCCTCAGTGAGCCTTATAGAGTTGCTGCGAGAATTACATTTGTTCATGATGTCAAGTGTCTGATATGTAGCTAATGCTTATTGAACACATAGTAATTTATTGAATAATTGTCATGATCACTGGATGAGATATAGCCACTGTGGAGGTAGGCACACCAGGGTTTTAGAGGCTTGGGATCTTGCAACAGGATTTTCCTCTTGCCTCTCCAAACTGCCCTTTGCCCAGATGGCTTCAGCATCTTTTTGCATCCCTGTTTCCTTGTTTGGTGAACACCTGTCTCAACCTGTCTGCAAGGCGTGGTGAGATTCTACATCCTTGGTAAGCACTCATGTCACTCCAAAACAGCTGTTTGATGCTAATAGCACACATGAGGTCTTGCAAATTTGTCTGAGGAACTACAGGACATTGGAGAGATATTTATCAAACACTCACTACATGCCTGATACTTAACTAGGAACTAGAAAGTGGGTGGTGAAGACAAGTGGAAGTAAATGCAAACCTATTCCCATATATGTTTGTCGCTAGATTGTTCCCACCAATTCGTTCTTGGAATTGATGAATGGACGTGTGTGTGTGCATGTGTAAGTGGAGTGTGTATGCGTGTGTGGTATTCTGAGGGCAGTCAGGTAGAGGGAAGGAGGGCAGAGGCAGAGAAATGGTATTTGTGATTATGGGTTGGGGAAGAAGTAGAAAGGAAGAATTAAGTAGCCCATTGACATTCATGTGATTGCAGCCAGCTTCGCTGAGTAAAATGTTGAAAACTCAAGCATGAAGATTGAGCTGATTGGAAACAAGGTCTGATTTGCTAAAGAGAGTGTCTTCTCATTGATGACTTCTTGGTGGGTAAATCGTTTTTCAAGTGCTGCTTAGCCGCTCCAGGTGTCGTCAACTCAAATGGATTCTGCCTTGAGAAATGAGGGCTGGGGGCAGAGGCAGTGACCTGCAGTCATTATAGGACACATAATGGCCAGATGCAAAGGAAAAACAAAAAAAAGACTCAGTTTTCTTCAAGTGTGAGGCACCTTGTCTGAGGTGTTCATGATCCGAAGGGCTCTTTATTTAATGATGTCGACATCGAGGTAACAAAACAGGTCATAGTTATAGAGGGAGTTTCTCCATGTAAGAGAGAGAGGGGATTTGGAATACACTCCAAGCATCTGTGCTCTCCAGAGTTGGTGTTCAGTTGCTTTCTTTCATGTGTGCTCTGTGCAGTCATAGAAGACCTCTCTCTCCTTTGAGCCTGAAATGCTGAGTCCTTCCAAATTGGAGATGGTCAGCCAGTGGTTCCTGGGCCAGATCTGATCCATAGATGTGTTTCACCTGGCTAACAGTAGTCCATGTTTAACTTCTTAAAATTAGTTGCCAACAGCACAAATTGCAATATCTTATTAAAAAAAAAAAACGTTTTCTAACCTCCCTTGAAAAGCCAGAAAATCTGGCAATAATGGCCTCTTTTTTCCCATATGGCAAAAATCAACAACCTGAGTAATAAATGTCTCCTTAAGACTGGACATTCGCTCTCAATTTATTCAAATCTCCACCAATCCCCACCTCATCCCCTCCACACCTGGCCCTCTTGGCCTAATTTAAGTGACTGCTGATTCTGGAGGCATTCAGGCCTTATGATAGGGCTCCAAATGCAAGCCATCCCCTCTCAGATGCTGGAGAAAGTGGTGATACTGGGTGAGACGCTAGTGTTGGCTGCTGGTTCCCTGGGGCCAGTGGTGCTGGCAAAAATGTGTGATTCTCTGCTGCTGGGTCAGAAGGCCAAGAGTTCAGATGCCTTGTCCCAGCTGTGCCCTTGACTTTCACAATGACCTGTCAGCAGTTATTTAACCCAGGTCAAGCCGAGTGGCAAAATGCCGAACACCAGGGTCTTTATAGATCTTAATACCTCTGCAGTAAAGCGGGGAAATGCCTCCATATGAAGTTTTACGTACATCTGTCTCCTTACACTTCTTATCCTTTCCCAGTGTCATGCCTTTGGGGTAAAAATTATTTTGAGAGTTCAATTAAAAATTATTGTTGTCAGTTGCTGTGGCTCATGCCTGTAATCCCAGCACTTTGGGAGGCCAAGGTGGGAGGATCACTTGAGTGCAGGAGTTAGAGACTAGCCAGGGCAACATAGTGAGATCCTGTCTCTACCAAAAAAAAAAAAAAAGCTAGATGTGGTGATGTGCACCTGTAGTCCTGGCTACTCAGCAGGCTGAGGTGGGATGACAGCCTGAGCTCGCGAGGTCAAGGCTACAGTGAGTCATAATGGTGCCACTACATTCCAGCCTGGGTGGCAGAGTGAGACCCTGTCTTAAAGAAAAAAATCATGCTAATATATTTTGCAGTCTCAGCTAAAATTAAACATATTCATACTTTATGAGCATTAATATATACCCACAAAAATGTGTTCATATTTCACCAAAAGATATGTACTAGAATGTTTATAGCAGCATTTTTTTATGGTAGCTCCAAATTAGAGAGTACCCAAATGACTACCAACAGTAGAATGGATAAATGAACTGTGGTATATTCCTTTAACAGAATATTATACAGCAATGAAAATGAATAGCTATAGCTACACACAAGAGTATAGAGGAATCCCTCAAGCATAATGTTGAGTGACAGATAAACAGATAACAAAGATCACACCTAGACCGGATAAAGACTATGCACTGTATTACTATATTTACATAAAGTTCAAAAAATAGGTAAAGTTAATCTGTGGTGTCAGAAGTTGGGAGAGTGACTGTCCTTGTTTGGTGGTAAAGACAAAGTGAGCAGGAAGTGGACTTCTGAGTGGATTGGTAATGATATGTTTCTTGATGTAAGTACCTGTTACATGGTTGTGTCTATTTTTTTTTTTTTTTTTTTTTTTGAGATAGAGTCTTACCCTGTCGCCCAGGCTGGAGTGCAGTAGTGTGATCTCGACTCACTGCAAGCTCTGCCTCCCGGGTTTACGCCATTCTCCTGCCTCAGCCTCTTGAGTAGCTGGGACTACAGGCACCCGCCACCATGCCTGGCTAATTTTTTTGCATGTTTAGTAAAGACGGGGTTTCACCGTGTGAGCCAGGATGGTCTCGATCTCCTGACCTCGTGATCCGCCCACCTCAGCCTCCCAAAGTGCTGGGATTACAGGCATGAGCCACTGCACCCAGCCGGTTGTGTCTATTTCATGAAAATTTGATGACCTGTACTCTCATGAAATGTGCATTCTTCTATTGTATATGTTATTGCCATAAAAAGTTAAAATTAATGAAAGCAAAACAACACAAAAACCAATTGAACAGACATAGTGCTGTATAACTTCCAAACACCAGTGCCAGGGTTTTTGTACAGGATCCTATATCCATCAGGGTTCTTGTTTGCAAGCAACAGAAATCACCTTTGGCTAATTTAAGACAAAGAGTGGTTTATTAGAAGCAGATTGTGGCTGGGCATTTGGTGGCTCACACCTGTAATCCCAGCACTTTGGGAGACTGAGATGGGAAGATTGCTTGAGGCCAGGAGTTCAAGACCAGCCTGGTCAACATAGTGAGACCCCCCATCTCTTAAAAAAAAAATGCAGATTGTATAGCTTAGCATCTCCATGAGGGTAAGGAAGCCAGGTTTGGAGGTTCTGCTGCCAAGAACATGTCTCAAGCACAGAAAAGCTGGTCTGATGATGATATCATTCCTACCGGTGGGCACACCCATCTTAGCCTACACCACTGACACTGGGTGTAGGAGGCTTCACTGGAATCACTCTCTCTCTAAGCAGGCCATTGCTTAGAGAGACACCAGTGCTTTGCCAGAATTCCTGTACACCATAGCTCCTGCCACTAGTGTTCTATGAGCTAGAACGTTCATAGTAGCACTTTTTGTAATAGCCTCAAATTAGAAAGTACTCAAATACTTTCTGCTGTTACCCCAACCCTCACCAGAGTGGATCTTTCAGGGCTTCTGCTGATTCCAGCTCAAAGTTGGGCATAGTTGTGACTGACTAGGGAAACCTAAGCCTGGTGTTCTTGCCTTAGATGCAAGGGAGGCTGGCAATAGAAGGGCCTGGCATTGTCAGCCTTAGTAGCAGGTGTCAGCATCTGTTTCATGAGGTGGGGCATTCCCCAAACTCAGGAGGTTGACAAATGTGTGCAAGAGACATGATCTACCTGGTAATGGCTAACTGGTTCTCCTGGGTGCTGGTGGGAGAAGCATTCAGTGTGATGATCAGAATTTTGCTGGTCTTTCCTAGACCAGAGGGAAAGTATGCAAACAAAGAGAATCTATAGGCTAAATTCTCTTCTTCTTTCCTTGCCACAGCCCCAAAATTCTCAGCCAGTATGAAAGAGAACATTCAATCCGAGTGTCATGAAGAGGTAGAATGTGAATGGAGATGCTGCTAATGTAAAGCTCGTGCCAAAGCTTCTCCCCCAAATTCTAGGGGCAGGGGGTAGATTCCAGTGTCAAAGCAATCGGTTCACCGAAGAGATGTGTTGGCAGGGTTCTTGAAGGTCACCTCCCCCAGCCTTCTACCCACTGCAGGAATTTTCTGTTTATTTGATCACATTTCATTGTGCCAAAACTTTTCCTGTTGTTTTAAAAATAAGTATATGGGTCCCCAATCTTATTTATAGAGAAAAAAACAAGGATATTTCTTCAGTGGTCCTAATTAATCTGCTCTATATTTGCAATATCTATGTTCTAGTGAGTTAAAGTTTGATGTGGTTGCTTTTTTGTACTTGTGCTTTTATTTTGGCTCATGTAATGGATTCCTTGGGCAAAATAACACATTCTAAGCATCCTTTTCCTCCTCTGTAAACTGAGTATGATAAGATTGTTGAGAGAATGAACATGATGAAGCTTGGATAACTGTGAACACTGGGCAACATGGTGCCTATTCAAATTAGTGGTGATAATAAATAGATTAATGATCTGGACCTTGGAGAGTTTGAAGATAAAATGAGAGCATGTATTAAAGCATCAGGTATGGATTGTAGTAAACACCAAATAAATTAGAATAACAAGAGCTGTTATTATTCACAGATGCAGAATACAACTGTCTGATCTTAGTGACAGAGTAATAGACTAATGGATCAGTGAATGTCAACCCCAACAGACTGTGAGAACACGCCTTCATCCCAAGACTCTCCTTCCCCCAGCCGAAGGCATATTATACAGATGAGGAAACCTAGGTTTTAAAAAATCTAGTAGCCATGGAGCTAAAACATGATATGAAAAATAAATGAACCCACTGAGCTATGTCACAGAGGCCAGGCAAGTAAAACCAAAGCCTCTGACCATTGCAACATGTGCCTTTCCAGGAGTGTCGCTTTGCAAGCCCTATCTAACCAGAGCAACAGAAGATGAGCAGTTCTGTAGTTTGGTTTCAGGAAATGCCTTGACTGTATGCTAATTTACATGTCCATAACTTAAAGTCCAAAGTTTGGAAGTTGCCCGATTACCCTCTAGCTCTCTAGTAACTGTCCTGACTCTTTCACATTGGGCAGAGCTGGGAGAAGCACCTGGCTGGGCATTACATCTGCACAGCCAGCTCTGCCGGCTGGAAGGATCGACGGAGGGCAGAAGCCTGTGGATCTTATGGCCACAGTATAAACAGGATGGAAGGCAGGGTGCTTGGGGAATGTGATGTGGTGCTGCTGTTCCTCTCTATCCCCTCCCTTCGTCTCCTGTCCTGTGGCTTATGCCACACTCCAGACAGGATGACAGCCTCCTGTTTCCAAGGCTGGGCTCCTGGACAGGAAGATGCCTAACTGGAAGAAAAGGCTTTGCCAGCAGTCCTGTACACCTGAGCTGGGCCCAGCAGGGAAAGCTCTGTGACTGCAAGAGGTTAAAACTTGCCCCTGTGTTTACTTTTGTTGGCTGCCACACTGCATAATAATCTGTCAGCACGTCAGGTGCGGATTTATTTGTGCATTAAAAATTGCCTAGAGCGGGCGGATGCAGACGCTCTACAGCACGCTGGAAAATGTGCCTCCAGCACAAAAACAGCCTCTCCAAATATTTCACCCTTTTAATAAGTGCATTTAATTAAAGTCATATAACTTTTTTTATTATATTAAAAAAAGCCCTTTGCCTGCTGAAGCTGCAAGTAAACTTTCAAACACAGGAGAGGGAGTGCTTTGCTCGTCCCTATTCTTTAAAATGGAAAACTCATCAACTCGTGTGCTCTCCTGCCCTTTCCATGCTGACTTGAAGAAGACATTGTGATGGTGTGGGTGGGGAGGAGGAGGCTGTCAGTGTGGTCTAGGGGAGTGTCCCCAGTCAGCACGGAGACAGGTACAGATGGTGTTTGGTTGTATGTTTAATGTTGCTTGTCGAAGGCGTAGGTGTGAACTTGACTGTGCATTCACCTGTAGGTTAACTGCCCATGCACCTATACAAAGGAGGAGGCTGTGGCATCAGCCCTGTAGACATAGACAGAGCATTTTTAATGTGTATTTTGAAGACAGTCCTACCCAAAGACAGAGGGATAGATGAAATGACCTCTTAAAACTTTACCTTCTAATAGTGGGATTTGTGATTATTGGAGGGGCAGGGAGAATGGCGTGGGATGAAGAGGGCAGGATCTAGATGATAGACACAGATTAGTCTGAGCTCTCTGCATTTTCCTTTTTCCCACCAAAGCTTGCAAAGTCTCTAAATGAGTTGAGACTAAGTTTGGCTCCGAGGTGGTGACAGCAGGGTTCTGTGGACTTGCTCTGCGTTTGCCAGAGGATTAGGAAACGTGTCAATGTGAGGGGTGGCAGCAGCCCTGGAGCTGCCGTGTGGGGACCCACAGTTGGTGAGGTGCGGCTGGGGGAAGAAAGGGTGGGGACGTGTGTGGACTGGCGGTGGAGGTGGCGCCGGTGAGGAGGGGGCTGCAGGGCTGTGTTTGGAGCGGGCAACCACAACCACATGGCGACTGGAAGCCTGCTAATTATGCAGCCTAAGGGAGCAATGTCGACCTGCCAGAGCCGCCCGGAGAGGTGGCACGGAAAACCTCAGAAGGGGTCTTGTGTATGCCTTGGGTCTGACCAGGAAATAGCCTCAGGGGCCGTGATGCTGGGCCCCAGGGCCGGGGGAAACAGAACTGGCTGCTCTGCATGTCAACAAGAATGGGTTTCAAAACTGGCCTCCCAGAGGTTCTCCATGCAGGAGGGAGCAGAGATTCAGAATCATTCCTCCTGGGTGCCAGGCTGGAGGTCTCTGGAGCTTCTGAAAGCCAGGATGCCCATTCCAGAAATTCTTCTGAACCAACCACCTTGGTCTTTAGCATTCTGGCGCTCGTTGGCCCCCTGGAAATGCTCATTAGCTTATTTTTACGGCTGCAGAAACAGAAATCTCAGAGTTGGTTACTCAAGGCCACCCAGCATGAACAAGGTGACCAAAGACCAGGCAGTTTTTTCTTTTTTTTAAATTAGTCTTTTCTTAGCATCTTCTAATGATATGGGAGCATTGCTATTTATGATTATTTTTCCTGTTCACAGAAAGTAAACAAATTCAAGCTTCCGTTCTCAACCTTCTCTTAGATGTTAGGACTCCTCACCTCCAACCTGGGTTGAGTTTTATGGCTTTCCCAGCATCTCCTGTGGCTTAAAAAAGAAATGTTTTAATTGAAATCATCGTACGTTGTTGTCGTTTGAGAATTTAGTAGCTCTTCCACTTCCCAGAAGAAAATAGATTCTATTTTAGGAATCAGGTTATTCTACATTGAAGCCTAAGGTGTACTGTAAATGTTGTTCTTTGCGTGGTAGAAAATAATATTAAATATAAGCGTTGATTAAATGCTATATTTGTGTAGGTGATATATATATATATTACATACTTTAACATATATATATTTTATGCTCAGAAATATATATGCATGTATATTTTAAAGTATGAGGCTTTTTGTTAAGCAAACAAACATCCCTCCAGCATGACAGGGAGAGGACACTAATGCTAAGCCAATTAGTCATTGTCTGTCTGTGAAAAACTATTTTAGGCCACCTGAAAGAGCTAATAAGCACCTACTATGTGTTAGGCACTGTCTACAGACTTCCTGAGAGAGTCTAAGTGGGGCAAGACCTGAAATAATTTTGAAAGCATTTCTTTACTATTCATCTATGCATTGTGTATTCTAGAAAATTAGAACCCCCCCACCCCAAAACATGAAATAAAATCACCTGTATTTGCCAGAGTCTTTTACAGTCTGACTTCCCCCTACTTAACAGTGTCCTGTAGGTATTTCCTCTAGTTGTTAAATATTCTTCTACAATGGAGATTCTGAAACATTTGGTCTCAGGACTCATTTGCATTTTTTAATTAGTGAGAGCCTCAAAGAGCTTTTTTTTATGTTGGTCAGAACTACTGATTTTTACTATATTAGAAATTCAAATTGAAAAATTAATAAAAAATATTTATTTTAAAATAATGATAAATCAATTGCATGTTAACATCATATTTTTATGATAGATAGCTATATTTTCCAAAACAAAAATTGGTGAGAAGAGTAAGATTTTTTATATTCTTGCTAAATTCTATATTGTCTGGCTTAAGAGAAAATAGCTGGATTCTGAAATCTGTGTCTGCATTCCATCTATAAAGACATGTTGTTGTAAAGTATATGAAGAAAATCCAGCCTCAATCAGACATGTATTTGGAAGAAAGAGAAGTATATTCATAGCCTTTTCAGATAATTATGCATTTTTTTGATATTTCACAAAAATTTGACAAATGGTAGTCTTTTTAAAGGTGGTTGCAATGTAAACTTAAAAAAACATTTTAATGAACTTTCTTATTCTGTTACATTAATATTTATTCAGCCTTGCACTTTGAATGGATCTTTTACCCATGCCAGATTTTGAAACATCATTTATTAGTCATTTGGAAAATGTTAATTCAATTAAGTTATACAGATCTTCCAAATATAAATACATTTCATTTTACAATGTCAAAGAATCACATTCTTTAACCTCACCCTCGATATCAGAGAGGTCTGTCAGAACTGGGAATCTGTCAAGTTCATGGTGATGAAGACAAATTTTTAAAAATTATAATTCTTTATTGTAGCTCAAATTGTATCATCCTTCACCGTTATTATTTCCCTTGAAATGGCAGGCTTTCTTAATTCATTCTCGAGCAAATGTCTGCCAGATACCCAAGCGTGAATACCCAGAATTTGTCTGTCAGTTCTTTCAAGTAAAAATGGTGTTCAGTGAAAAATGCAGCTGGTTTTGCTGGCAGCTTAATACTCCCCTAAGTGCTTTCTCTTGAGACAAACATCATATTCCACTATGTGCCAGGAACGTTTTATGCACACTTCCCATTTTGTCATACAGAGTATTGAAATAAGAGACATACTCAAGGGTCAAGATTTATTAAATTGACTATTTTTATTGCATCACCAAGGATATTCTTAGGTGAAATTTGCATTAATATATATTTATTGTGAGTGTGGGGTAGCAGTTTGGCACCACTGCCTTCATTCATGCTAAAGTGTTGATAATTATACCTGCCATTTTTTTTGGACCATTGGTGCAGATGTACTCCGTGAAAAAGGCAATAACATCTTTTTTTTCCTTTTTTTGGTCGGTGTGGGGGATGGAGTTTCGCTCTTGTTGCCTAGGCTAGAGTGCAATGCGCGATCTTGGCTCACTGCAACCTCTGCCTCCTGGGTTCAAGCGATTCTCTTGCCTCGGCCTCCTGAGTAGCTGGGATTACAGGCATGTGCCACCACGCCCAGCTAATTTGGTATTTTTAGTAGAGACGGGGTTTTGCCATGTTGGTCAGGCTGGTCTCGAACTCCTGACCTCAGCATCTTGATATTATTATGAAAGTAGTGTTTATCTTGTAGACTGCCCTCCCTGCCAGAAGAGGGTACAGGAAACTCTCAGGGTCCAGGGACCGTGCATAGAGAACTGCTGTCCTACAGCATTTTCAATTGCCTGGTATTCTATCGCATGGTGTACTTTAATTAATTTAAATAATCCCCTGTGGTTGGACATTTAGATTGTTGAAAGTAGCAAAAATTAAAAACGTTGCTGCAATGGCCATCCTTGTAACAAAACCTGTGCGTATATCCGTGATTATTTTGTTGAGATAAATTTTTATAAGGAGAAATATGTTTCTTTCTTTCTTTCTCCTTCTTTCTTTCTTTCTTTCTTTCTTTCTTTCTTTCTTTCTTTCTTTCTTTCTTTTCTTTCTTTCTTTCTTTCTTTCTTTCTTTCTTTCTTTCTTTCTTTCTTTCCTTTCTTTCCTTTCTTTCCTTTCTTTCCTTTCTTTCCTTTCTTCCCTTCCTTCCTTCTTTCTTTCTTTTCGAGATGGAGTCTTGCTCTGTTGCCCAGGCAGAAGTGCAGTGGTGCACTCTCTGCTCACTGCAAGCTCCGTCTCCCAGGTTCACACCATTCTCCTGCCTCACCCTCCTGAGTAGCTGGGACTACAGGCGCCCGCCACCACGCCCGGCTAATTTTTTGTATTTTTAGTAGAGACAGGGTTTCACTGTGTTAGCCAGGATTGTCTCGATCTCCTGACCTCATGATCTGCCCGCCTCTGCCTCCCAAAGTGCTGGGATTACAGGCGTGAGCCACTGCGCCTGGCCATGTATATTTCAATAGTCCTTGATACAGATAGATGACACCCCAAATAGATAGATGGACAGACTTCAAAACGGTTATCCAAAATTTCCCCAGCCATATGTTAACCTTGTGCCTACTTTCTCAGCACTCCTTGTATGTTTTATTTTTAAGTTATCAACATTTAATCTAATTTGAATCTCACAATTCTATGGGGTAGGTAGTGCTCTTCTCATTTTACAACTCAAGTTCAGGACAATGAAACCACAATGTATGGCTGCTGTGTGGCAGAGCTGGGATTTGGATCCAGGTGTATGTGATTCTAAAGCCTCTGTCCTTCCCACTACTCTCTCTTCCCATGTGGATCCCCAGGGAACTTCCTTGCAGGCAGCAGACATTCGCAAAGTCCCTTGTCTAAGCAGGACTCTGGACAAAGTCTGAAAAAGACTCAGAGAACTGAAGGACGGAGTCCCTCACCTCAGAGTGCTTACAGTCTAATACAGGGGTTGGCAAACTACAACTCATGAACCAAATCCAGCCTGCCACCTTTTGTAAATAAACTTTTATTAGAACACAGCCACTTACATTCATTTGCATACTCTCTGTGGCTACTTTTGAGTTACGGCAGCAAAGTTGAGTAGTTTCGACTGAGATCGTGTGGCTGACCAGACCAAACACATTTACTCTCTGGGTTTTCACTGAAGAACTTTGCTGATCCTGGCTTCGTATTTGGACAAACTGACCAGGAATGAAAATAGGGGTGCTAAATTGTGGGTCACCAAGGTGGGCTCCTGGATGGGTGTGACTGGTGGTCCTGCCTACGTTCTGGTTGTATCATCATGATAGCAAGAGAAATACCCCTAGGGTGCTTAGAAACATTGACCATTTTTCATGCCAAAGTGTGGGATTTGGAGAACCGTGGGTTCCAAAACTTTGGCTGCATTAATTCTTTCCCAGGGGATAGGCGTTGCTGGGGATGGGATCTGGCAATGCTGAGAGGTATAGGGAAAAGCTGGGTAATGAGTGGGATCCTCAGAAGAGGTTGTGAGGTAAAAGTGTTTGCGAATGAATGCCTTCAGCTTCAGGATAACTGGGGAGGATAAATATTTGAAGAATCTTGGGTTGTCCAAGTTGACACCTGATAGGGTTTGGATCCGTGTCCCCACCCAAATCTCATGTTGAAATGTAATCCCCAGTTCTGGAGAGGGGGCCTGGTGGGAGATGATTGGATCATGGGGTGGTTTCTTATGGCTTAACACCATTCTCCTAGTGCTGTTCTTGTGATCGAGTTCCCACAAGATCTGGTTGTTTAAAAGTGTGTAGCACCCGCCCCTTCCTCTCTCTTTCTTCCATCTGCTCAGGCCATGTAAGTAAGACAGGCCTCCTTCCCCTTTGCCTTCTGCCATGATCATAAGTTTCCTGAAGCCTCTCCAGAAGCTGAGCAGATGACAGCCTCCTGCTTCCTGTACAGCCTGTGAAACTGTGAGCCAATTAAACCTCTTTTCTTCTTCTTTCTTTCTTTCTTTCTTTTTCTTTCTTTCTTTCCTTCCTTCTTTTCTTTTTTTCTCTTTTCTTTTCTTTTTCCAGATAGAGTCCCATTCTGTTGCCCAAGCTGGAGGGCAGTGATGCAATCTCGGCTCACTGCAACCTCTGCCTCCTGGGTTCAAGTGATTCTCCTGCCTCAGCCTCCTGAGTAGCTGGACTACAGGCGTGTGCCAACATACCCAGCTAATTTTTGTGTTTTTAGTAGAGATGGGGTTTCACCATGTTGGCCAGGCTAGTCTCAAACTCCTGACCTCAAGTGGTCCACCCATCTCTACCTCCCAAAGTGTTAAGATTACAGGTGTAAACCACTGCACCTGGCCTAAACCCCTTTTCTTTATAAATTACCTAGTCTCAGATATTTCTTTCTGGCAATGTGAGAACAAACGAATACAGCACCCAGCAGTACCAAACAATAATTTCATTGCAAATGGCTGTTCCATTCATCTGAGCCTCAAAGTCCTCATCTCTAGCACCGGGACCATGATGCCCCCTCCTGAGGCTGGCGCTGGTGAGTGGGAAGGTAAAAGGATGCCTGTGGAGTGTCCAGGGCGGATGCCCCTCTCATGGAAGTGTTTCATGACTGTTTTTACTGCTCTTCCTCTTGTTATTAGCAAGGGAGGCACCCTAGCTCTTTTTGGAACTGGTAAAGAGTTAAGAAACACATGATCCAACCTTTGTTTTTACTGAGTTTTTTCTTTTTCATCTGCCTGCCCAGGGAGGGATGCTAGTTGGTCATCTCAACCTTTTCTGACTGTCATGGCGACATTCCGGCTGTCACTACTCCAGCGTCATCATTTTATGCCATTGCTGCCCTTTGTGTACAGCTGGGGCAAAAGGCACCTCGCAGAACAAATAACAGGTCTTTTATAATGGAGATAGCTTTTATAATTGGGATGGCTGTCGGACCAACACCTGAGATGTCACTTCCTTTATTGGCTGAGTTCTCCATGGGAAATGTGATGAGAGATGGTGGATTTTGGTGTGTGTGGTACCATTTCAGCCTAAAGCAGATGTTAAAATGTGCTCTACTTAGAGGTATCCCTTCCCCTTCCCTAGCAGAGAGGGGCTCATTTTGTTCTTTTCTCTATCTCTGGAGGGAAGAGCTTTTTTTCAGACATTGTCCCCGGGCCAGGAAAACAAAATGGTGAGTCGGCAATTTTTAACTGGAAGCTCAAAAAAAAGAAGCCACCATATTAATTAGTTTTGTAAGCATTCCAGACAAATGCAGACTGAAGTGCAAATAATATTTTTGGCTTTCTTTGGAAGGACAAAGTTTCTTTAACATTTTCAAATTCTCCTGCTACTCCAAATTCTGTCTCCTGTTAATGTTCCCTGCATCAAAATCTTAAAAGACTTCTGTTTACTTATTATCCCAACCTCAAAAAGTACCATGATGTTACTAGCACATCTAAATCTTAGGAAAGGGTGAAGAGGGAGGGCCCCATTTGTACCTTCTGGAAAGACCAGAGCATGCTCTATGGCCAGTTATTGGGGGTCCTGTTGAGCTTATCTGGGCTGAGCTACCCATCGACCAAGGAATGTCATTCCTTTACACGGAGGTTTCTTTGGTCTGGAGTCCCTAAAGAAGAGGTCTTGTTTGTGATGTCAACGTTATGAATATCCCCAGGTGCAGGGATGTTGCAAATCTCAGTGTTGACCATCCACTTGGCCAACACTGGGGAGCATCAGTTTGCTCCTCAGCATGACCTCTGCCTGTTGAGGAACCATCCCCTTCCCCAAGTGTTCACCTACTGTGCCTCTTAATTTGTGTTTCTTTAAGAAAGTGCTAGCAATGGGAGATGTAATAAATGATGTTAAAACACTTATTAAAAATTTAGGGGCATTTCAGGCAATGTGCTTTATTTATCCACCAGGAGCACAGGAATTTCCCTTCAGAGAAAATTCCCATTTTTTTTTTCCCCAAAAGACAAATCAGGGTAGATTTCTCAGGGGGGTCAGTGTGATATGTGTAAAAATCCTTGGTAACCCAAAGGGAAGATGCAGGGAGTTTTTTTATTTGCAGAAATGCTCCAGAATTAGGATATAGTAGCATGTTCTAGACTATCTCTGCTTTTGAAAATATGGACTATGACTTCATTCATCCAACCAGATATTTATGTATTTATTTTTCGAGACTGAGTCTCGCTCTATCGCCCAGGCTGGAGTGCAGTGGTGCGATATCAGCTCACTGCATTGTCTGCCTCCCAGGTTCTAGTGATTCTCCTGCCTCAGCCTCCCAAGTAGCTGGGATTACAGGCACCCACCACCATGCCTGGGTAGTTTTTGTGTTTTTAGTAGAGACATGGTTTCACCATGTTGGCTAGGCTGGTCTCGAACTCCTGACCTCAAGTGATCTGCCCACTTCCGCCTCCCAAAGTGCTGGGATTACAGGCGTAAGCCACTGCGCCTGGCCCCAACCAGATATTTTTAATAGCTAACTATATGCTAGGCATTCTCCTTGCTGGAGTTTTAGCAGTAAATAAGCAAACACGCCCCTGCCCTTAAGGAGCATATATTCAAATGGGAGAGATAGATAATATCCAAGTACACAAATATAGAATTTGGAGGCTAGAAGTCCAAAATCAGCTTGTCAGCAGGGCTGTGCTCCCTCCAAAGGCTCCAAGGAAGAATCCTCCATTACCTCTTCCAGCATCTGGAGGCCCCAGGCATTCCTTAGCTTGTGGTGGCATCACATCAGTCTTCCCATGGCCTTTTCCTCTGTGTGTCTGTCTTCTGCTCTCTCTTTTATAAAGGACACCTGTTATTGGATTTAGGGCCTCCTAGGTAATCCAGGATGATCTCATCTTGAGATCCTTAATTTCATTTGCAAAGACCCTTTTTCCCATAAGGAGATAGTCAAAGCTTCTTGGGATTAGGATGTGGACATATCTTTTGGGAGCCACCAGTTAACCAGGTAAAATATGGAACCTGGGAGAATAACTTCAACAGCAGGTATTAAATCAAAATTAAATGTGGTCCCTGAGTGGAATCCTGGAGGACCTTACCTGCAGCCACGTGGCTGTGGACAGCTGCATTTCAGTGGTGACAAGGAGGAAGCAGCTGTGAGATGCATGGTGCAACAGGGTCTGGTTACTGCATTGTGGTAGTGTGGAGCCACTGAGTGGCTGGGGGAGGCTACCAGCTCAGCGGGCTTCTGGTAAGACTTTGCAGTGGCAGCCACTTCCAAGGAGGGAAATCATAGCATCAAGATGCAGGGCTGTGGGTCTTTGTGGGAGCACCTTGTAGAACAAATGACAGGTCTTTTATAATTGAGAAATTGAGAAAACACAGACCCAGAGGAACAGAGTAGAATGAGTTCAAGCAGAGTGGGGAGAAGAGGCAATCTCATTCTCTTTGCATATTTCATAAGCGTAGGGTGAGCAATACTGATGGAGGTGGGAGATCTCCCTGGACTTTTTGATGGAGGTTGTTTGCAGACGTCAGCAGCTTGGGAAGCCAGGACCTCAGCTCAAGAGGAGGTGTTACTGCCTTGTGCAATTGTCTCTTCGGGGAATGTCCTCAGTGGGGTGGGCAGGTGCACCTGATGTGGCTGTGGCATTGAACCTGCCTCCAGAGGGCGGTCACTCTGCTCTAGGACTTTATTGCTTAGTCTTTTCTCACTCAAAGTCTTTTGCCAGAAGAAGGCAGGGAGGAGCAAGTCAGTATGCCCAGAGCCTGCCCAAGTTGGGGATGATGTTTGCTCAATTCTGTGCAACCCCAGCTGTTGCTCCAGGTGCTAAGTTAGACACTTGGTAATTAGCGGGACTAATTGATTTAATCATGTTTGTGCTGTTTTTCTTCTCCCTGTTGTTCTTCTTGTCCTGATCCTTCAGGTTTTCCTGGATTCACTCCCAGGTGCGTTGGAAGGTAGTGTTGAAGGAGGATGGATACTCCTGATGCCAGAGATTAGAGCAAGCTCTGGCTTGGTGGTGGTGGGGGTTGGAGGATACTGGTCTCCTCCATATTGTAGATTGGAGTTTCTCAGCCTCGGCACTATGGGCATTTTGAGCTAGACAATTCTCTTTGGTGGGGGGGATGTGTAGCAGCACCCCTGGTCTCTATTCAGTGGATGCCAGTAGCGTACACCTTCCCCATTGTGACAACTAAAAATGTCTCCAGATGCTGCCAAACGCCCGTTGGAGAGGGGGTCAATATTTCTCCATTGAGAACCCCTCTTCTAGATCATACCGACCACTGATATTTAACTTGGACATTTTGGATGAAAATACTCTTCAAAGTCCATGCAGTGGGCTGGGATGATGAATGTCCTCCTTTTTCTTTTTCTTTCTTTCTTTTTTTTTTTTTTTTTTTTGAGACAGTGTCGTTCTGTCACCCAGGCTGGAATGCAGTGACATGATCTCAACTCACTGCAAAGTCCGCCTCCTGGGCTCAAGCCATCCTCCCATCTCAGCCTCCTGAGTAGCTGGGACTATGGGGACATGCCACCACATCTGGCTAATTTTTGTATTTCTGGTAGAGAGGGGGGTTTCACTATGTGTCCCAGGCTGTTCTCGAACTCCTGAGCTCAAGCACTCTGCCTGCCTCGGCCTCCTGAAGTGTTGGGATTACAGGCGTGAGCCACTGTGCCTGCCCATGAAAGCGCTGCTGCTGCTGCTTTTTTTCTTTTCTTCTTTCTTTTTATTTTTTTTGACAGAGTCTCACTCTGTCGCCCAGTCTGGAGTGCAGTGGCACGATCTTGGCTCACTGCAACCTCCGCCTCCCGGGTTCAAGCAATTCTCCTGCCTCAGCCTCCCGAGTAGCTGGGATTACAGGCACCCGCCACCACGCCCAGATAATTTTGTATTTTTAGTAGAGACAGGGTTTCACTATGTCGGTCAGGCTGGTGTCAAACTACTGACCTCAGGTGATCTATCTGCCTCAGCCTCCCAAAGTCCTGGGAGAATGCCCTTCTTAACCACTTCCCATTGCCTTCTTTTGGGCCTGCCATAAACCAAAGCTGAAGGCCAGTGAAGGTGCTGGGTCGGTGGCCAGGACCTGACACCCCATCTCCTCAAACACAGGGTCTTCTCTCAAAACCATACAATCCTTGTGTCAGAAGGGGGAAAAAAAAAAAAAAAGCTGTGATCTATAGAAGGACAACAGGTGGCAGGGTTAGCGTCACCCGGAAGATAAGCAGAACCAGAAAAGCCACTTCTCTGTGGAAGGTGAAATGAAAACTAACCTTCCCCGGCTGCTCAGTTGGAATCAGTCCAATATGGCAGCCGAGGCCTGGGAGAAGGCTTCGCTGTTTCTCTGTCAGTGGGAGCCCTGGGGCTGGCTCTCTCAGCCTTGCTTCTTAAGGGGCCTTGTCAGGTTCTTCGGAGCCTTGGCCTCCTATCCAAAAGTCTTATTTTCATTTGGGGGTCTCCTATAGATGTCAACGTAGTGCTTTGTGTGCAGAAAAAATTCTGCACGCAAATTGTCTTTGGCAAATGAATGAAGATTGATATACTCATGGAAAGGATCCAGACAATCTGAGGAGGGTCTGCAATCCAGGGCAGGAGGGAGGGTGGAAGAGAGAGACCAGCTACCCAGAATCATCCACCTACAGTAGTGCTGTCCAAGAGAAATAAAACGCAAGCCACGCAGGTGATTTCAGACATTCTGGTAGCCACACCGAAAGGAGGACAAAGGAAACAGATGAAGTCAATTTCAGTTATATATTTGATCTCTACCCCAGTATATCCCCAATCTTACTGCAACATGCAATCGATATAAAACAAAGTATTAGGGAGATGATATGCATTATCGAGAAAATATACGTTATGTAGAAAATCAGGCATGTATTTCACACTCAACAGCACATCTCAGTTTTAGACTTGCCATGTTTCTAAGGCTCATTGCCCAGAGGCTTCTGTCCTGGACCGTGCTGGTCTAGAGAGGAAGTTTAAATGATTAAATTTTGGAGATGAACTCCTCATGGTAGAATAGGAATGAAAAATGAAGTTAAGGACTTGTGTGGAAAAGATTTCATCTGCAAATGCCCGTGACTGCCCTGACAAGTGCCTGCCAAGGTAGCGCCTCCGTCCCCCCACACGAGGTCTGTTCGCAGGAATCCATTGGCTGCCGCTCTCCCCTCCCCCTGACCCCTTTGTAGTTCCCTCTATTCGCTTTTGTTTCAAACGAATGAGCACACAAAAAAGGGCTCTGCATTCCACCGGGCAATCTTATTCAAACACGGCATGGTTGTGTTTTTCTCAATTAATCAGCCCGCCCCCGCCCCCCACCTCACTCCTCTCCTCTCCTCTCTGGTTTTCTCTGCATCTTAATCAGGGTCCCAGCTGGACTCCAACTTCAGGATAGTTTCAGAGGCTGCACAGACACCTGCCCAGGTAAATTAAAAGCAGCCCAGGCCTTTTCAGGTTTCTCTTTCCTCTTAGACTGACAAACACTAGGAGGCTTTTCCTTAGGAGGGACAAACGGACACCTTGGGAGAGGAGGAGTTAACCACGGTGAATAAAGAAGGACTAGAAAAGAAAACAGCAGTGAGACAAGCCATCTCCATTCAAAGGCAAGGACTTTGGAAGTGGCCCTTGGTTTCTCTGAAACGTTTGAGTCCGGCTTTGCCTTCGACGTCTCCTTCCCCTGCCCCTGCCAAGGATTGAGAGCTCTGGAAACCTGACTTTGCCTTGGCCTTTGCTTCCGAGGTAGAAGGGCCATTTTGTTCCCTCTGCTGCCTCACCTCGAGGTCTCCAGAATGCTCTGTGATCAGAGTCTTGCAGGCAAACCTGGCCGGGCAGCTGCCCAGGTGGTTATCTGATGGGGCTTCAGAAATGGGTCCTCCCGCTCTCAGCTCTGTACCAACTTCTGCCATTAGATCAGTGGTCTCAACCAGGGGCAATTTTGCCCTGCAGAGGACGTTTGGCAATGTCTGGAAACATTTTTAGTTGTGACAGCTTTGTGGGGAGAGGGGTGCTCTGGGAATCTAGTGGGTAGAGGCCAAGGACGCTGCCAACCATCCTACAGGGCCAGCCCCCTCAACAAAGAATGGTCCACTCTAGAGTGTCAGTTGTACCAAGATGGGGAAACCCTGCATCAGAGCATTTTTCCTTTGAATTTGCAACATTTTTTTTTTTTTTCTCAAAAAGAACCTTCTCTTAGCCTGCAGAGGTCCCTGGGAGGAGTTGTATACACTTAGGCAGATAGATGGTTAAATGACTGCCTTGATTATCAGCTAACACCTTCCAGGGCCTTGTGGGCAGACCTGGATCCAGGCTGGGTACCTGAGGGAGGGTTGAGCAACCCAGGAGGGAGAGAACGGGAGCTGAGAGCTCCCAAACTAAATGTCTGAACTCGAGTCTTTTAAGGGAGGGGGTGCGCTTCCCCCGTAAGGGTCTCATTTCATTCTCTCCAAGGCCTTCCCCTCTATGTGAGCAAAGCTCGGGTTAGGGTCCAGTTTAGGACCTAGTACTTATATCTCTAAGGCTAGTATAATGAACCAGCCTTTCCCGATGTTGCAAGGTAAGTTGCCTTGCAACTTCAAGAGGCAAAAGTGAAAACTTGGAATTTCCCATTGTTTTTAGTAGGGTCAGAGGCAGTCAGCACATTTTCATGGAAGTTCCCATGGAGAAATAGGAAAAAAAAAAAAAAAGAGAGAGAGAGAGAGAGAGAGAGAGAGAGACCAGCCTACTGGTCTACCAGGTCTGAGATGTGGGTTGGCCTTGAAGTTTACTCAGGGTGGGTGGAGCCCTTTTGCCAGGTCACCTGGTCTCAATTCTATCTTCATACAGGCTCTCCCCGGTACTGTGAGATTCTCACAGCTCACACCAGGCTATACTCTTCAGAAATCCTCATTTCACTTCCAGCAAACTCAGTCAAATGGCCACAGGTGTCTGTCTGGCAGTGGGGGTGTGTGTCCTGGATCCACGTGAAGCAACACACAGACCCAGTCCACAGAGACCCTTCTTTCTGAGCACCTGGGGGTCTGGAGCCTGAAGACCACAGCACAATCTTGACTTTGCCTTGTCTCACTCAGAGAACAGTCCCAGAGGAGCCATCTGGGTTACTTGGCCGCTGGGGAGTTTGTGCAGAGGGTCTCTGATGAAGTTATGGGCAATCTGGAGTCCATCATGCCTGACAGTCTTCCGCCCCAACCCTCTCCTCCTTGTAGAGTTGTTGCAAAGATTAAAAGGCATTTGGGGCCTGAAGGGAAGAGAGACAACATAATTTTGGGATGCAGAGGGGGAAAAAATATCTTGTTGTTGAAAAGAAAAATAAGACCTAGCAGGATACATGCTTGGCTGTTTCTCAGTGTTGTCTGAGAAGTACTTTCAAAAATTCCATTTGACCTTTGCATCTTTTATTTTAACCATGGATATTGCATTTTTCTCTTTTATATTTTTTTTTCCTCCTTTCCTTTCCTGGTCTCCTGATCCCAAGCAACCTGGGTAGGTATCGTTAAGTAGGAATAATTCTAGACTTGGAGTAAGAAAAACTGTCACTAGCGAGCTGTGTGACCTGGCCCAAGTCATTGAACCTCTCTGAGCCCTAGTCCTTTGTTCATAAGATGAAGTCATACTAACCTAGAAGAAGTTGTTAAAAGGACCAAATGGGCTCATGGCTATGAAGGAGCTTTGTGAAGTATGACAAAGAAGTGTTTTATTTTTGTAATTTTTATGTCCATGGGTTATTGGGGAACAAGTGGTGTTTGGTTACATGAGTGAGTTCTTCAGTGGTGATTTGTGAGTTTTTTTGCATCATCACCTGAGCAGTATACACTGCACCCAGTTTGTAGTCTTTTATCCCTCACTCCCTTCCTACCCTTTTCCCCGCGTCCCCAAAGTCCATTGTGTCATTCTTATGCCTTTGTATCCTCATAGCTTAGCTCCCACTTATGAGTGAGAACATATGATGTTTGGTTTTCCATTCCTGAGTTACTTCACTTTGAATAGTAGTCTCCAATCCCATCCAGTTGCTGCAAATGCCATTAATTCATTCCTTTTTATGGCTGAGTAGTATTCCATCATTCATATATATATATACGTATATATTCATACATATATTCATACATATATGTATGAATATATACATATATACATATATACATATATACACATATATACATATATACATATACGTATATGCGTATATACATATACGCATATACGTATATACGTATATGCATATACGTATATGCGTATATACATATATGCATATACGTATATGCGTATATACATATATGCATATACGTATATGCGTATATACATTATGTATATACGTATATGCGTATATACATACATATATTCATATATATTCATATATATACATACATATATTCATATATATTCATATATATACATACATATATTCATATATATTCATATATATATTCATATATATTCATATATATATTCATATATATTCATATATATTCATATATATATTCATGTATATTCATATATATTCATATATATATTCATGTATATTCATATATATATTCATATATATTCATATATATTCACATATATAGTCACATATATATTCACATATATATTCATATATATTCATATATATGAATATATATGTGAATATATATATGAAAAAAATATATATATATATAAAGTTTCTTCATCCACTCATTGACTGATGGACATTTGGGTTGTTTCCACGTTTTTACAGTTGTGAATTGTGCTGCTATAAACATGCATGTGCAAGTATCTTTTTCGGATAGTGACTTCTTTTCCTCTGGGTAGATACCCAGGAGTGGAATTGCTGGGTCCAGTGGTAGATCTACTTTTAGTTCTTTAAGGAATCTCCACACTGTTTTCCATCGTGGTTGTACTAGTTTACATTCCCACCAGTAGTGTAGAAATGTTCCCTGTTCACTACATCCACACTAGCATCTATTATGTTTTGATTTTTTTATTATGGCCATTCCTGCAGGAGTAGGGTGGTATTGCACTGTGGTTTTGATTTGCATTTCCCTGATCATTAATGATGTTGAGCATTTTTTCATATATCAAAAAAGTGTTTTTTATTATTTGCGTTGAGGGATTTTTTACTCTCTTCCAGAGGAGACCTTCTCATAGTCCAAGGCAGGAATCTTCATCAACAGGCATGTAACTTTCAAGCCCTTCTCTCACTTTCTAACCTCTTGCCTCCAGGGCTCAGGGTGATTACTTATTGGAGAAGACAAGTGGGAGGTGGGAGCAAGAAAGGGTAAGCATGTGGGGTTATTACAGTGGTGTCTGATTATAGATCCTGGTCCCCATTAGTCCCAAAGCTGTGTGCAAGGAGCAGAAATCATTTGTGTCTCCCTTATGGGAAGCCATTCTCCCATCCCCCGTTGGCCACTGTGCACTGCATTCTGATTCTTCACCAGAGGTGGGATAGTTCACTTTAATAAGTTTCTTTCCCCAATAAAAGCCAGGTGGGTCCTAGGAAATCCCACATCTGCCAGTCCAACCTCTTCAGTCTGAAGATAGCTTCCCTCCTTCTGCCAACTTCACTTGTTTCTTTTGTTCCTAAACCATTTTATTCTACCAGTAGCATCCTGCCACCTGGACACGCTGACTCTCCCTTGGAGGAGGCAAAGGCAGAGGCAGAAGAGGGTGAGCAAACAAGGGGAGGAAGAGATTAGAAGGAAGGGAGAGGCATGGCAGCTCATTAAAGAGGAATAAATTTTGCAGAGGGGAAGCGAGAGGTCCCTCCCTCTGTATCTGTAAATCATCTTGTTTTATGGACGGGATGCAAAGTGCAGTGGAGATGGGCTGGCCCTGATAACTAGGGTCATTTCTCCTACTTATGTCTGTCTGAATTTTAGGATGTTCCAACAGAGAACAACTTCAGGCTGGAAACTGCTAGGACTCCTCTCTTTAATTTATTGTCGTCATTATTACTCTAAAATCAGAACCGGACTGACTTAAGGAGGGCACTTTAAGGGTTTCATTAGAAAAACATGACTGGTTTGTTTCTGCTGCCTGTTTTCCCCAGAACACTCTATATCCCAAGCTGCTGTCTGGGCACCATGGATACAAGAACTGGATTTGTGTAAGTTGTTTGAAATCACCTCAGTTTTAGAAAAGTGACATCGGCCGGGCACGGTGGCTCATGCCTGTAATCACAGCACTTTGGGAGGCTGAGGTAGGAGGATCACAAGGTCAGGAGATTGAGACCATCCTAGCTAACAGGGTGAAACACAGTCTCTACTAAAAATACAAAAAATTAGCCAGGTGTGGTGGCACGTGCCTATAATCCCAGCTACTCAGGAGGCTGAGGCAGGAGAATCACTTGAACCTGGGAGGTGGAGGTTGCAGTGAGCCGAGGTCATGCCAGGATGACAGAGTGAGACTCCCTTTCAAAAAAAAAAAAAAAAAAAAAGAGAGAAAGTTACATCTTATTCTATAAAGCTTCTTTCAGACCCAAGGGTCACCATAACCTCAGGATCTCAGACCTTGCATCTCTGTCTTATTAACTGCTCTCTCAACCAGAAAGACATTCCTTAGGGGCAGAGTTCACAAACCAACAGTCCAGAGGCCTGGGTATGGGTGTGTTTTTTACTGATACCTGGCGCTAAAATGGTTTGAGTTAGCTGCCACTTTTGAGATGGTAGATATTTCCTATGAAGTTTTGGATCTCCGGCTTTGATTGAAAAAGTGGGCCCATTGAGGACTCTGAGTCAGGGTTTTCCCTTGGCTATGGACTTTGTGAGTTGCAAAGTGCCTTGGGTTCATCATGGTTTCTCTAACCTTCTAGTTAATTCTTATGTCCAGCCAGCTTCATTCATTTCTGTTTGGTAACTGGTTCCTGAAGCTACCTGAAGCTACATTCCTGTTTGCTACCTGGTCCTGCAGACTGCTGAGTTTGAGACCCCTCTACCTTTGAGGAGATCTTGAATGATCCACTGAGGAACATGAGGCAGGTGATGGAACCCATGGTTGGAAACTGGGGGGAATCCCTGGTTTGTGCAGCTTCTTCTCTTCTGTGTGCTGCAGGGCCTCTCCCTGGGATGTGGCCTTATTTGGCAGGTGTAAGTGCATTGGCCAGTTTGGAGGGAGATCTGCCCCCTACTAGCTGTGTGACCTTGGGCAAATTGCCTTCCCTCTCTGGTCCTCTCTCTTCTCTTGTATAAGGTGAACTGGTTGGAGTACACTGATAGTTTAGTTAAAAAAATTGTAGCCACTTATTTGTGCAACCATTTTCATGTAAGATTTTGTTTACACGAAGGGACGGCAAATTGTAGCCATCCCTTTGTGTAAACAAAATCTTAAGTGAAAATGGAATCTGTGGGACGTCTGAATGGTGCAGCTGAAGGGGGCCGGAGAGTCCTGAGAGGCATGCCTCGGTTTGCTATCCTTCCTGAAAGCCCCTGGGGGAAGCCTCCAGATGACACACTGTTAACCACCAAACTAGATGCTCCCTAAGATAGTATGAGTCTTACCTGATGTGAGCAAAATGGGGGCCCTGTGGCTTGCCAGGTGGTCACTGGTAAATTGCACAAGGCTTACTCCAGTGGTGACTGGGTGGGGAGAAGGGAAGCGCACTTATATAGACTCATGTATAAATAGATACTTGTAATATACGAGCATCTGCTCTGTGGAAGATGTTTTTTTCCAGGCCCAGAAGTGTAAGATCCGGTGCCTATCTTCAGGCGGGTGGCAAACAAACATCACATAAAGGAGAGTGTCTGGCTTGTGTCTTCTGGGTACGTGATCCCCCTGACTTCAGTGTGAGAATGTGGCCAGAGCGTCTGGGGAAGACAGGGAGAGTTGTCAGAGAGGAGTTTTGAGGAGGCCCTGAAGGCTCGCCGGCTGTTAAGGCCTGAGCTGTAGTGGGCAAGAAGAGATGGCCAGTTCAGGTAGAGGAAGCCTGCTTTGAGCTGAAGACCGGAGGTGAATCTGGACAGGGCTTCCCAGGACCAGTAAGTAGCTGGGTGGGACTGGAGCCATGGGGGTCACGGAGGAGATGGGGTTGAAATGGTGGGTGGGGCCAAGAAGGGACAGGGTTTCTACAGCTGGCCTGTGAGTGTGGGAGGCTTGGGAAGCTTGTGAGTTAGGAATTGGCCTGGCCTGGTCCTCTCGGAGCAGGTTAGGGAGGGACAGATGGCGGTGAGGGCTGGCTGGTGGACTGGAGGAGCAGCAATAAGGGCCCAGGCCTCAGCAGTGGCAGAGACAAAGCGGGGATGAAAGCAGGTGCCACTGGGAAGGTAGAATTGACAGCATGGGGTCAGAATGCTTGTGGGGAAAGAGAGGGTGCACCCGAGATGATGTCGGAAGTGTAAACCTGAGCTAGACAAATGGTTATTCTTTCCCTAATTATTTAGCACACACTTCTTGACTGTCTCCCCTGTGCTAAGATCTGGGTGCAGTGAATAAGCTGAGATGGAGGACACAGGAGGGGTTCTGGTGAGTTCCTGGAATCGCCTGAGTCTTTTGCTTGGGAAAACGTCTACTTGACCTCTAGAGATGGGGATTTGAGGTGAGGCGGAGAGGCCAGGGGTGGTGCTTTGTTTATTTAAACAGTGGTGACCGGGTTCCTACTGCACATCACATAATACCAGGTTGTGGGGATAAATGCAGGCATGGAGTCTTGCTGATCAGACATGTGTGAGATAAGCATATGAAGAAATTACAGGACAGTGTCAGCAGTGCTGCAAGACAGGTAGGAGCAAAGGGTGGAGCTGGACCCAGGGTTGGCCAAAATCTTTGTGCCAAGGGACTGGGGGTGTGTATCCACACCCAGCAAAAGATGGAGTCATGGGATGGGTCCATAGTGGGAGAGCTGGGAGACTAAGGAGAGATGGATTCCTGGAGAACACTGCAGTGTTTAGGTGCGTGGAGGCCAGTGGGGATCAGGGGACATGGGAAGCACAGTGGGACTGGGGAAGGAAGCCAGGAGTGTGCAGCATGGCGCAAAAGGGGAGGAGGGAAAGAGTTTTACAAAGAGGATGAGGACTGATCATAATCATGAATATTCATAACAAACTGGTTGACTGCACACTGTGTACCATTCAGTCTTCAAATGCATTCTATGCATTGCTTATTTTAGTTCGGAAGACAGCAATAGTAGGCATTATTTTTTATACCATCTTGCCACACCCAGAGTGGCAAGAAGAGGTGGTCGCTGGCTTCTGAGGTCAATGTTTCTTGCACTTTGGAGACTCATAGTCCAAAGAGTTCCTTTCTGATCTGGGTGGAGGTCATCAGTGCTGGCTGAAGTAGAACCAAAGCAAGCAAGCACCCCTTCTGAGAGTCTTGAATTGAATTGCACCTACCCTTTTCCACCCGGCCTCCCCAGGCCTTCCCACACAAACAGGGAGAGGTAGGGGAGAACGCTGTGTTAAAAATGTACTGTCTGTTTAGTTAGAGGACTTGGACTGTTCAGACAAGCCCTGTTCGCCCTGGCATTTCTCACTGTCGGAAAGGTGACTTGGTCTCTCTGCCTTTGGTCTCAGTGGGAGGAGGCGGGGAGGTGGAGTCCTGCAGGTGTGGTCGCCGGCCAGGGTTTTATATGTTTTGCTGCTGAGGAGAGAAAGCACACACAGTTCAGGGCTAATGACAGGGCACCGCAGGTAGGAACATGACTGAGCCCTACAGCTTGCACATGTGTGGTTGGGCAAAAGACAATTGCAGATGTTCCTGGAATTCCCAAACCGGATACAAAATCGCTAGCAGGATGCAGAGAAAGAGGAATGAGCCAAGTGTTTTACATAATGAGAAGCTTGCCTCCCGCCTGGTCTCTCTCTCTCTCTCTCTCTCTCCCTCCCTCTCTCTCCCTCTCCCTCTCCCTCTCTCTCTCTCCCTCTCTCCCTCCCTCTCAGTGCCGTGGCGGGTCGGGCCTCCTTTTCCTGAAATCCCAAGGATTAGGAAACCAGTGTGCGTGTCTGGAGGGCGGAGGGCGGCTCCAGCAGACGGCCTTGTCTTGCTTTGGTCGGTTTATATCCAGGATCCGTGCCTTTCCACCGGGTGTGGTGGGCCCAGAGGCAGCCAAGGAGTGTGCTCTTCTGTCCAGATGAGCCTTGGTGCCCAGAATGGAAAAGAAATCAGGCATCGGGCCTAAGAGGAACTGAAAGCAGCCACCCAACTCTTTCCCAGGGCCCTCATTTTGAATAGAATTCTCTCTGGGTGGCAGCAGACTCAGCTCTGGGACATTTTGCCTCCAGCCTGGACCTTGGAGGCTGACAGTGGGGAGGGCTGGGCCTAGAGGAAGAGCAGAAATGGGGAATATTTGGAAGCGGAGGCTGCTGGACGCAGAGACCTCCTGTTGGGGGTAGTACGTGGAGACAGAACCCTGCTTCTGGGCATCCTGGGGTAGTACTCACAGGGGCAGGGGGCCCAGGCATCTGCCAGAGCCAAAAATAATGAGCCAAGGCTCACATCCCTGCAGTTGGCTTCTCAATCACCGTTCAGTACCTTCTATGACCCCCAGTACAAGGTGGCCCTTAACCATTTGTCAAATGCATCCACTCTCCTCCCTCTCCCCAGTTCTAAAGGGTTCTTGGAGTCCATCTGAGCTGTGTTTCACTTGAGCGAAATGTTTAGGAGTTGGGCAGGAAGACTACTCCTTCATGGTAGCCTTGATGGAAGGTTTTTCTGAACAAGTGATATAAATCCCATGGGGTGGCTCCCCAGACACCTCCTTCTCATCACCTCCTTAACATACAGGAATCTGTGTTTTTAAGGATGCTGAACCCGTGCATCCCGTATCTCTGTCTGGAATTGCACTTCAGGTTCCAATCCTTGCTGCAGTGAACCTGGTGAGTTAATTTTCTTCTCATCAGTTTCAGTGACTACCTCCACAAAACACAGAGAAAATATTTACCTGTCTCATATGTTAATATGAGGATGAAAAGCCGTTTTTCCATGTCAAGTTCTTTCATGGAACAAGTGCTCAATACATGGGAGCTATTATCACGATTATCATATTCTTTTCAAAAGAAAGAGCTCTCTCAGGGTTTCCATTTAAATATTTGATTCTAGACCAGGAGTTGGCTAACTACAGTCTGTGGGCCAAGACCGGCCTGCCACCTGTTTTTGTACAGCTCGTGAGCTAAGAATCCTTTCCACATTAAAAGTTAAAATCAAAAAAAGGAATATTTTGTGACATGTGAAAATTATATGAAATGTAAATTTCCAAGTCTATGAATAAAGTTTTATTGAGACTCAGCTATACCTGTTCATTTGCTTATTGTCTATGGGTGCTTCATGCTACAATGGCAGAGTTGAGTAGCTCCGATGGAGATGTCATGGCCCACAAAGTTGAAAATGTTTACTCTGTGGTCCTTTACAGAAAAAGCTTGCCAGTCCCTATTCTAGATGACTGATTATTAAACAGGGAGTGTAGGAGTAGGTACCTAGTACAAAAATTGCTGGGCTTAATGCTGATTGGAATAGAGTTCACTAACAGTTGGAAAAGAAGAAAATGCAAGTATCTTTGGTATTTTAAAATAACAGAAGTAAAAAGGAAACAGGGACTGAGTTTTTGAGAATCCTGTACTGTTGATGATGTCACTTTTTCAGAAGTAATCTCTAAGTTTCAGTACACAGGCTGTAGGTATTTGCAGAGGGTGTGTGTTCTAAGATTCCCTTAAGCAGGGAACTCCCTAGGCTGTTGAATGGGTCAGGGTGGGGGTTGACAGTGGGGAGTGGAAGGGGGAGGCTTGACTCATGTCCACCCTCCTCATCCCTCTGCCTTTCCACAAGTGGGAGCTGCCTGTAGAAACAGAGCATTGCTTAAGAAGCTCAAGTTTTATTTCACCTGTTGGGTGTATTTGTCTGTTTATACTCTGCCTCATTCCACTTTCTTCTAGAAAGGATTTAAGGCAGCCAGGACCCTTCAGTGTCAAAAATCCCAGATCCTAGAAGAAGCAATGCCTAGGGGCTGTGTTTGAGGGGAGTACGCAGAGTGAGGTGTCACTGATGATTTCAAAGAGGTGACCCTGGAGCTGAACTGTTTTTCAACGAAGGGAACATTCTTTTCTTGCCTTTATCTCTCTGTCCCCTGTCACCCCGATCTCTGCTCCCACTCCCAACTCCTCAAAGGGCAAATTGTGTTGCCTTGGGTCTCATGGAGGAGAGAAGGCAGGGACAGAGAAGAGTCTGCCCGAAGCAAATGCCAATCCTTGCAGAGTGCCGAGCGAGCTGGGAGCAGCGGTGAGCTGGGTTGAGGGGCAGCCATAGGAACAAGCGCAGGGAGAAGGCTGAGTAATGGACGGGAGGCACAGTGGGTGACAGGGCTGAGAGCACAATTTATGAGTCACCCCGAGCAGCTGCTCTTTGCCCCAGGGGAGCAACTCACACATTCCCAAGGGAGCCAGTGCCTGGGAGACGTGACGTCGTTGTCACTGGGAGAGGAGTTTCAACCATGTGTGGCTTCGGAGGAGCTTGTTCCCATGGGTAACACCCAAGATTCTCAGGATGCAAAATCCCAGCCAAAAGGAGATGGGGCTCTAAGACTTCTTGTGCATGCTTGTATGTATGTATGTATGTGTGTGCAGGTGTGCATATGTGTGTGTGTGCATGTGTGTGAAAGAATGTGTCTCCTCCATGCTGAGACCTCATTATTAACTGCTGATCTGTGCATCCAGGGTGGTAAGAACTTTCATCGTTCATGGAGGAGGTGGTGGCTCTGTGACTAATAGCCCGCCAGTCCGTAGCCATCCCAACATTTTTCTCAAGGATGCTCCCTCCACAAAATCCTGCTCCAAACCCATGATTTGCATGAAACATTCCCTGTTCAACCACGACGGCTCCTCATCTGGCATGTACATTTGGATCATGGTTAGAGGGGGCTGGCCACCTCTGATTGAATTCAGAAAGCCAGCCCGGTGCCGCCCACTGACTCTCTCCCAGGCATCAGCCTTAAAGTTCTGGCAGCTATTCCCAGCTAAATGGGTGCATCAGGCCTTCTTACTGCATAGATAGTTAATAGGGGAAGGAAGAGAGCTCACTCACAGCCTCTCACTGCTGCAGTTTGTTTTATAAACCTGATAGGCACACAGCAAACCCAATGACCAGATACAATGGAAGCAGCCTTTCCTTTTGCACTGTCACCAGCCGTGGCTTTATAAAACCGTTGTTTTTCCTTACCTGGGAAGCCCTTGGGCTGTCCCTTACTTCCTTGATAAGCCAGGCAAGGACATGACAACCTTTAAAATATTGTATCTCTGTGGATAACTGAGCCCAAGAAGAGGAAGGATCTAGTGTATGCCTCCTTAACAATGAAATGAAAAACACAGGGAGCCAAAACCAAGTTTAAATGAGGGTCAGTGGATAACGCATGAACTGGGAACACAATTTGGTTGGGGAAGCTTGTCTATCCGTGGTGTTTTCTGGATAGCTGTTTTCCAGCACACACAAGTATACAACACTTATTTAAAACAGGCCAAGTGCGGTGGCTTACACCTATAACCCCAGCGCTTCGGGAGGCCGAGGCGGGAGGATCACTTGAGCCCAGAAGTTCAAGACCAGCCTGGGCAATGTAGTGAGACCTCATCTCTACAACAAATTTGAAAATTAGCTGGATGTGGTGGCACACACCTGTGGTCCCAGGCACTTGGGAGGCTGAGGCAGGAGGATTGCTTGAGCCCTGAAGGTCAAGGCTGCAGTGAGCCATGACTGTGCCACTGCACTCCAGCCTGGGAAACAGAGGAAAACCCTGTCTCAAAGAAATAATAAAAGAAAAGAAATAAAACAGACTTCCCCAAGAATAGTAAACCACAGTTACAAGTTCATATTTGTAAGTTTATTGTTTTATTGAATCTATTTTTTGGGGTGGATACTTGTTGATAGTCCCTGTGGGTACCTGGGATGTTCCTCCTAGCATAGACGGCAAAAATTTCCAGTGAATTCCTCATTTCCTCCTGTTTCTTTGTGAATGCCCGTAGCTTTAAGGGCCTCTCACCTCCTCAGAGGCAGAGGAGGTTTGTGGACTGGGTGCTAAGCTAATACCCAGGAACTGAATTTTGTTTTGTTTGCTCCACCCACTCTTGGGTAGAGGTGCCGATAGGATGGCCACACTGTGGCCACAGCAAACAGAAATGACCAGCACTACCCAGATAGGAAGCACACGTGCCCAGCTGATCCTTCGGTCCTGGGGAGCTACCTGAATCTCATGGGAAACCCACTTTCCTTTTTCCCCACCACAGACTTGGCTTTCTGCTTCCTTTCTGCTCTGCTCTTTCTGAAAATGCAAATGTGTGTTGGGCAGATCTCCTATGCAGGGAGATTGGCAGAGCCCCTAGGGACACTTGACTGACCAAGGCTTCTTCGTGGAGAGCTGTTTTCTGGTTTATTCTGTCTTGTGATCGATAGGAAACACTGGCCAGGCTTCTTATTTTCCAAGGCTGCTGCTTTCTGACAGGCTTTAAGGGATTAAGGGTTGAATACAGGTGGGTTTCTTCCCCCTCCTGACTCTGTCACCTGGACATTGCCATGGCAATAATCCTCCCTGAAACAAAAATAAAGGGCAGAACCGGTTGGACAGAAAGTGTAGCCGAAAAGTCTTCCAGGGACACTGAGAGTTGAGGGACTTTGAGGCCGCATGGGGCTCCATAGAGCAGCAATCCCCAACCTTTTTGGCACCAGGGACTGGTTTTCTGGAAGATAATTTTTCCGTGGATGTGGTGGGGTGGGGTGGGGTGGGGGTAGTTTCTGGATGATTCAAGCACATTACACTTATTGTGTACTTTATTTCTATTATTATTACATTGTAATATGAAATAATTATACAATTCACCATAACATAGAATCTGTGGGAGCCCTGAGCTTGTTTTCCTACAACTAGACAGTCCCATCTGGGGGCGATGGGAGACAGTGACAGATCATCAGGCATTAGATTCTCATAAGGAATGCACAACCTACATTCCTCACATGTGCAGTTCACAATAGGGTTCTCGCTCCTATAAGAATTTGATGCCATCACTGATCTTACAGGAGGTGGAGCTCAGGTGGTAATGTGAGCAATGGGGAGCGGCTGTCAATACAAATGACACTTTGCTCACTCACCCACCACTCACCTCCTGCTGTGCAGCCTGGTTCTTAACAGGCCATGGAGCAGTAATGCGTCCATGGCCTGGGGGTTAGGAACCCCTGCTATAGATCATGTCCACAAGAGCAAGGAGGTAAAAAAAAAAATGAGTGGCCTTGGTGTTAGGGAACACTATACATCAAAGTGCCATCAACTTGTGCTTTAGAGAAAAGCTGCAGTTTGGTTCCTTCACAGATGAGGTGGAATGATTTTCTTTCTGCAGCCAGCAATCCTGTCTGGTCTCCCTCCACCCATGGAGGGTTCAGAGCAGTAGCTCCATAATCTGTCACTGGAGTTTAGCTGGTTTGTGATTCACGAGGAGGAGAGGGAGGCTGGGGATTATAATCTGTTCTGCAAAATCTTGTGGGCTGTGCAATGGTTGAGGTTTTTGGCTGCTTGAAAAGCCCTGAGGTTTTTTAGGAAGGCAGATTTTACTATGTCAGCACTGAAAGATTGGTTTTGGAATTTAGGGAGGAAAAACCCACAATAGCTAGAAGAAGAGAGGTGAATATTATTCTCTGCTAAAAAGAAAAAATTCTTTTATCAGTCTCCTGGAGAGAAGTGGGACTGGCTTTTGGTGGTTACAGGGTGGGCTGTCAGGAGTCACTTTTCTTCACTTCTCTCTCTCTCTCTTTTTTTTTTTTCTCTCTTTTAAAGTCCTCTGTGGAATGTTTGGAAAAGATTGGCAGATTCTAAAAGAAAATGCTGTTGGCTCCTGGAATTGTCTCAGTGGCAGCACAGAGTGATGACCCTCTGGGACTTGGTACCAACAGGCATCTCACTGCCCTGTTTCACTGGAGAGAGAAGGACAGAAAGGGAAAGAGAGAGGAAGGGAAGGGGTGAAGAGGGGAAGGGAGGGAAGGGAAGAAGGGAAGGGAGAGGAAGGAAGGAAGGAAAGATAGATTGAGATCTGCATGGGGTAGTTTTGCATGCAGCCTCCCTTGGGGCAGGGAGGTGGTTTGGCAACCTGGCTGACCTTTCCAGGACTTCTCTAGCCCTGAAAGACGAGGCACACACATTGTTGGGTGACGTGTACAGATGAACGTGGCAGCTGCTCGTCCATTCACCCAACAGATATTCACTGAGTGCCTACTAAGTGCTGGGCGCTAGTGACCAACAAAACAGAAAAAAACCTTTGCTCTCCCTCACTAGAGTGAAGACAGACTCTAAGCTGATAGACAAATTGATCTGGAAGTGATAAATGCTGTGGAATAAAAGAGAGGGGTGAGGGATAAAGAGTGATGGAGGGCACAGTTAAGAGTGTGGCCGGGGATGGGCGCGGTGGCTCACGCCTGTAATCCCAGCACTTTGGGAGGCCGAAGCAGATAGATCATCTGAGGTCAGGAGTTCGAGACCAGCCTGACTGACATGAAGAAACCCCGTCTCTACTAAAAATGCAAAATTAGCCAGGCGTGGTGGCGCATGCCTGTAATCCCAGCTACTCGGGAGGCTGAGGCAGGAGAATCTCTTGAACCTGGGAGGCAGAGGTTGTGGTGAGCCAAGATCGCACAACTGCAGTCCAGCCTGGGCAACAAGAGCCAAACTCTGTCTCAAGAAAAAAAAAAAAAAAAAAAAGAGTGTGGCCAGGCTGGGCACGGTGAATCACGCCTGTAATCTTAGCACTTTGGGAGGCAAGGAGGGTAGATCGCTTGAGCTCAGGAATTTGAGACTAGCTTGGGAAACATGGTGAAACCCTTTCTTTGCAAAAAATACAAAAATTAGCCAGGCACGGTGGTGCATGCCTGTAGTCTCGGCTACTTGGGAGGCTGAGGTGGGAGGATCATCTGAGCCCGGGGAGGTTGAAGCTGCAGTGAGCTATGATTGCACCACTGCACTCCAGCCTGGGTAACAGAGTGAGACCCTGCCTCAAAAAAAAAAGAAAAAGAAAGAGTGTGGCCAAGAAAGGTTTTCTCAGGAGATAACATTTGAACAGAGACTGGGCAGATACTTGGGAGAAGAATGTTCTAGACCAGTGGTCAGCAGACTGTGGCCCTTGAGCCAAATCCAGTTGGCCACTTGCTTTTGTAAATAGAGTGTGATTGGAGCCCAGCCACACCCATTCATTTCCCTGTCATCCATGGCTATCTTCTCACTATTGTGGCAGAGCTGAGGAATTTTGACTGGGGCCTCCTGACCCATAAAGCCTAAATAGTATCTGGCCCTGGACAGAGAAAGTTTGCTAGCTTCTGATCCAGACAGACCTGTCCATTCCCCCAGTGATGGACACCTACATTGTCCCAAACTCTTTGGCGCCACGAGAGACAACTCTTCAACAAACATCCTCCCCAGGTCACGGGGTTTACCTGTGTGGGATTCCAGGAGTGGAGCTTCTTTGTAGATTTAGGGTGAGCAGGAGAGCGGAAAACTGCCGACAGGCGATTTTAATCAGATTATAAAACCTGCCTCGTCCCATCCCACTGTACAGCACTCTTTTCATACAGGGGCTGTTGATTCTCTCGGGGACAAACATGGCTCATCTTGGCTTTGTTTAGGGCCTGTTATACCCCTGATTCCTTCATTCTCAGGGGTTTCCTGTGTCATCAAACATGGAGAATGAATGAATCAGGCGTCTGGGACCAGGGACCACATTTACACAGGCACTGAGAAAACCAGAAAGGCCTGGGAAATGTCAGGGATGGGGAGGGGAAGTGGTGCTGTTCTGAACTGCGGTGTTGTAACCTCTCCGTAGTATAGATTTTTAGAATTTTTGTTTATTTTTCATCTTCCTTCAAGGTCCTCCAGTCTAGCCCCGAAGCTTCCTAAGAGCAAGATCCATCTTTTATTCCTCCCTCTATTCCCAGGGCCCAGCAAAGCACTGACCCGTAATAGGGACGTCGCAGGTTCTTTTTGAATAAAGAAATGCCACCTCCTGTCAAGCTCTTCTAAGTGAAGTAGAAATTTGTTCATTTAAAAACAATCATTTACGTTCTAAAGCTGAGCAGAAATGAGTTCAGGTGTTGTTGTTTGTGTGTATGTGTGTGTATCTGTTTTTGGAGGGGGGTGTGTCACACTGAATAGACAGTTGAGAGCCTCCCGGACGTGCTTATGGCATAGACCTGACCAGCGTTTCTGTCTGGGCTGCAGAGGACATGAACAAGGGCCTGGAATTCTGTGTTCTTGCCTGGTGGTCTTGGATCCTCTGTGCAGATCTGTGTCTTTCTCACCATTCCAGGCCCAGCTACACGTCTCGGCTCTTCCACAAAGCAGCTTCAACTCTCAGATTTTTCTCTGGACTTTATAGCATTTAGTAACTGTGCCATTCATCAGCAATCAATCACGCATCGCCCTGTGCCATCTCTCTAAGCTTGTGTGAGAACACTGGGTTCTTGGTTAGACCGTGGCTCCCATGCCTGGCTGGTCCCTGCATGGCTAACTCTGGGATTTTATGTGGCAGGTTCAGTGAATATTAATTGATTGATTGATTGATGGCCCAGACCATTGATAGGATCGCAATGATAAGTTGCCTTGTTAATATCTGTCCGTAGCTTACCTGGGCTTGGCTTTCCAAACTACAAAGTAAGGATCTCCAGGCAACGTTAGCTTTGCTTATAGGGAAGCAGCATGTAGAGGGGGTAGCCGTATAGGCTTTGGAACGAGCAAATCTGGTTAAAGCCTCAGTCCACGGTCTTGTCATTTACGGTATGTGTGACCTCCAGGTTTCTCATCTGAACACTGGGAATAATAAAAGTTGATTCCTAGAGTGTCTTTGGAAGTGCACAGAGAGCCTCTACTCCCACTCCAGAGAGGGGACCCTCAGAGACAGGGCTGGAGGACAGTGAGCATGTTTTGCTGAAGGCCCCAGAAGCCTCTTTTGTGGTTGTGATTTCATTTAGAAGCCTGGTGCTGGTCCCTGAGACAGAGAAGTACTTTGAGCCATGCTGATACCAAATCTTCAAAACTAGACTTTATTTTCTCTGGCGTCTATTTAATGGACAGTCTTAACTTTGCATGAACCAGGAAGTTTGGCAATTTAACTTCCTTGTAATCTCGGGAGAAGGAGGTGTGGAATGAAAATGCCAGAGGGGACCGGGCGCGGTGGCTCACGCCTGTAATCCCAGCACTTTGGGAGGCTGAGGCGGGTGGCTCATGAGGTCAGGAGTTCGAGACCAGCCTGACCAACAGGGTGAAACCCCGTCTCTACTAAAAATACAAAAATTAGCCAGGCATGATGATGACGTGTGCCTGTAATCCCATCTACTCAGAAGGCTGAGGCAAGAGAATCACTTGAACCGGGGAAGGGGAGGTTGCAGTGAGCTGAGATCGCACCACTGCACTCCAGTCTGGGCAACACAGCAAGACTCCGTCTCAAAGAAAATGCCAGATAGGAGAGGCAGAAGAAAGGAAAACATCCCGTGGAAAGCCGGACGATAGGCATGCCAAGGAGCCTCTGATAGCAGCTGCTCGTAGGCATCCGCCCGTTGGGTGCTGGGGGCTTAGCAGGTGATGGAGCAGGCTGTCCCCCTGCCTGCTGGGTGGCTGCCAATGCAGATTTTAATTATTTCATTTGTGTAGTTTTGCTCTTGCTGAGTTTTAAACGTCAAAAGCAGCATATGTGTAAGCCTTTGCCTCCTATTTTGAGTATTAGGGCAGTGACATTTTCTTTAGCCTGGGGATTGCCATGCACAGTGTGGTGTTGGAGAACATTAATACTGGAGGAAGCCTTGAGTTCTACGCCATGTTCTGTTACAGGCTGCATCTGTCCCGGCACACATCATAGAGCCTTTCTTCCCGGGCCTCAGTTTCTCCTTTGATAAGGTGGAAGAAAGGACTAGATCTTTCTTGTAAGGCCCTTCTGGGACTTAACAACATTCCTGAATGGGCCCACCCTTGTTTCCCATTGATCCCCCGTGAGCCTCCTTTCTCTGGCCTCTAGGCAGTTGCTCCAGCCATGACAAGCAGGTGTCCACTGAGACCTCAAGATCTGATAAGCAGGGTTTGACACCAGGGAAGGGGCCTGGAATGAAAATTGTTTCCAAACACCCTTGTTTATGACTTCCAGAAATGGTTAAAGCTCTTCTAATCAGCCAGCACAGATAGGACCCCTGCCGTGAATGGAGCCACTGGGATGATGGTATTTGGCTACGAGGGCTCCAGAGCACAGGCCTGCCCTGGAGGCATTAGATCGTGACTCAGGAGCTGGAGCAGACATGGGCGAGAAGGACTGCTTCTCTGTTATAGGTTTTCCTAAACTGGAGCCATTTTAGTACAACCTTACTATTTAACACATTTAAGTTTTGTTTTTTTGTTTTTTAGTGAATTGATCTAAAAGCAGTAGTTCCTAACAGAGGAGGTGTTGGGGGTTGGGGTTTATCCCCCAGACAGCACTGGGCAATGTCTAGGGACATTTTTGGTTGTCCCAGTTGGGTGGTGGAGGGATGCTCTGGCATCTGGTGAGAAGAGGAGGCCAAAGATGCTTAGCATCCTGCAAGGCACAGGACAGGGTGATCAGCATCCTATAAGGCACAAGACAGCCTCCACCACAAAGAATGATCTGGCCCCAAATGCTAATAGGGCTGAGGTTGAGAAACTCCAATTTAAAGAATCATGATTTTGGCCAATCACGATGGCTCCCACCTGTAATCCCAGCACTTTGGGAGGCCGAGGTGGGTGGATCACCTGAGGTCGGGAGTTGGAGACTATCCTGGCCAACATGGTGAAAACCCATCTCTGCTAAAAATACAAAAATTAGCTGGGTGTGGTGGCAGGAGCCTGTAATCCCAGCTACTCAGGAGGCTGAGGGGAGAGAATCGCTTGAACGTGGAAAAAGAAAAAAAAAAAAAAAGAAATGTAACTTTAAAGTGAAATGTAGTGAATCAGTATCACTTCTCATAGATTCAAAGTAATTATACAAATAATGAGCACAATGAAATCAAAACAATGTTTATAAATTCTAGGTAGCTACAGTTGTCTGCCGAACCTTTGAGTTTGAGGGAGGTTATTGCTCTGTCTATAATGAAGGGAAATTGGCCAGGGAGAGATGGTACAGACCTAGCAGCACCAAATGGAGACTTTCTCCTGAAATGGAATCAGTAGGATTAAAAGAGAATTGAGAGGCAGGTGGATCACCTGAGGTCAGGAGTTCAAGAACAGCCTGGTCAACATGGTGAAACCCCGTCTTTATTAAAAATACTAAAATTAGCTGGGTGTAGTGGCACATGCCTATAATCCCAGCTACTCAGGAGGCTGAGGCAGGAGAATTGCTTGAACCGGGGAAGCAGAGGTTGCAGTGAGCCGAGATCGTGCCACTGCACTCCAGCCTGGGCAAACAGAGCGAGACTCCATCTCAAAAAAAAAAAAAAAAAGAGAATGGAAGAGGGAGTCGCTTTCTCCTTCGGTGATTACACACTGTTCTGTGCTGTCTGCCCACCCTCTAAAACCAACCCATGCACCCCCCCATGATGTTCCCCATCCCAAACTTTGGGAAGCACCGTCTTAGTGCCAGGGGCACAAGTATGAGCTGCCACGAAGTCAGTGCCTCCCTGCCCCTCTGGCTCTGTATGAGAGCTAATATTAGACCTAGATGGGAATCTTTTTTCTCTTTTTTCACAGGTAGTTATAATAATAATAGCCCCCTTTAGGCACAGGCTTTTTAATCTTCAAAGCGCTTTATAAACATGAGCTAATCTTCCTGCTCCCCAGTGAGGTCAGAAGTCCTGTCTTTTACTGGATGGTGCCACCAAGGCAAGAGAGATGAGTGAGTCACTGGCAGTCCTGGCTGGGAGTTAGGCGAGGTTAGGGTTGGGATTCAAGTTTACAGTTGCTGGACTCCTGGACATGTCCTTCACCGGGCCACACCTTTCTCTTGGCCAGCCCTGTCTTGGTATTTGTGCCAAACCTCAAATTCAGGCGGGTCTGGAGAGAGCAAGGGTGACATTTCTTTTCCCCTCCCCTCCTTGGGCTGCTCTTACAGAAGCTCCTAATGCTTTCCTTTTCTTTTTTTAAAAAATTTCCCCTACGGCAGGTAAACCCCCGCAAATCAGGGAGTTACTTTAAGAAAATATTCTCCTTGTGGACCCTGGGTCCCAGGATGGCGGTGGGAGCAAAGCTGAAGCAGTGTTTCTTTTCATGGGCTCTGTTTGAAGATGTCTGTGGCTGGCAGAGCCAGAGCTGTAAGGACCAAGGGTGTCTGGCGGTGAGCCGTGACCGCTTCGACAGGGACCACCAGGGTGCACGCAGCCTCTGGGTGCCTGTGGGCGCTGGGGCATTTCCTTTGAGCCCATCACACTTCTGAACTTGGCCAGGAGGGGAGCCAAGGGGAGGTGTTGGGAGAACCCATGCAGTGGGCTTGGGAGGCAGATGCTGCAAGGATGACAGCAGCCATTTCATACCATTTCCCAAGAGTTAAAAAAATAATAAAGTAAAATCCTCAGGATTCAAGCGACATTTAAATCGGTTCCTGGAACACCACGGGTCTCTGAGTCTTGTGGTTTCAGGGGAGCTGACCCCATTGGAAGTCTGTGGGGTCCTTCGGCACTGGGCTTTCACATGCTGTCTACTGCAGGATTTAATAAATCAAGGCAGAAAATGTCCTTAAAGCCGGAGCTTGAAAGATGGGCCTGAGTGTGTGTTTTTGTTTATGTTGGTTATGCCAGCGGTCCCCAACCTTTTTGGCACCAGGGACCAATTTCATGGCAGACAGTTTTTTTCATGGACCAGGGATGGGGTGGGGTGGGGTTGGGGAGATGGTTTCGGGATGATTCAAGCACATTATATTTATTGTGCACTTTATTTCTAGTATTATTATGTATTACATTTTAGTAGTATATAATTTATTACATACATTAGTATTATTACATATTACAATTATTTCACTATATATTACATATAATAGTGAAATAATTATACAATTCATTGTAATGTAAATCAGTGGGAGCCCTGAGCTTGTTTACTGCAACTAGATGGTCCTATGTGGGGACGATGAGAGACAGTGACAGATCATCACTGACAGGCATTAGGTTCTCATAAGGAGCACACAACCTAGATCCCTCACATGCATAGTTTACAATAGGGTTCTCGTGCCTATGAGAACCTGATGCTGTCACTGATCTGACAGGAAGCGGTCATGCCAGTGATGGGGAGTGGCTGTAAATACAGATGAAGCTTCACTCACTCCCCAACTGCCCACCTCCTATTGTACAGCCCAGCTCCTAGCAGGCCATGGGCAGTACCAGTCTGTGGCCCAAGAGGTAGGGACCCCTGGGTTATGCCACCAGTGTGGGTTGAGCCAATTTCCTGTGGCACCACTGTGTGCCTGCCATCAGCCATGGGACATTCTGAGTTGCTCTAAATCTTGTCCGTGGAGAAGTGGACACTCAGCTCACAGCCGTGCATTTTCCTAAAGACTTTGCTTTCTTTTCCTAGCTTGGGCTGCTATAACAAAATGACCATAGACCAGGCAGGTTAAGCAACCTTATGTCTCATGGTTCTGGAGGGTGGGAAGTCCAAGAATCAGAGTGCCAGCGTGGTCAGATTCTTGGTGAAGGCCCCCTTCTTGGTTTATAGATGACTTTCTTCTTGACTCACAAGGTCAGGGTTGGGGGTGAGGGAGTGGGGGAGCGAGAGGAAGCTCTCTCATATTTCTTCTTATAGGGGTACTGATCCCATCATGGGGACTTCATGACCTGATTATCTCCCAAAGGCCCTATCTCCAAACACCATCGCATTGGGGATTAAGGTTTCAATGTATGAATTTTGGGAGAGACACAAACATTCAGCCTGTAGCACCTTTCTATGGGATCTTGCTCAATCATAAGTACAATGATGGGGATGGCAGCCATGAAAAAGAATGAGTTCATGTCCTTTGCGGGACATGGATGAAGCTGGAAGCCATCATTCTCAGCAAACTAACACAGGAACAGAAAACCAAATGCTGCGTGTTCTCACTCATAAGTAGGAGTTTAACAATGAGAACACATGGACACGGGGAGGGGAACATCACACACTGGGGCCTGTGGGGGGGTGGGGGGCAAGAGGAGGGAGAGCATTAGGACAAATACCGAATGCATGTGGGGCTTAAAACCTAGATGACGGGTTGATAGGTGCAGCAAACCACCATGTCACATGTATACCTGTGTAACAAACCTACACGTTCTGCACATGTATCCCAGAACTTAAAGTAAAATTAAAAAGAAATAAGAATAAAAATAAAGCACTGGGGATGGATGGGGAGAAGAATGCAGAATCATTCAGTCAGATCCAAGAGCAGCAGCAGAGTCTAGGTCAGGTTCCTCCTGCATTTGTGGATGAACTTCTTTGCTTCCCGCTTGTAGGATGCGCAGGACTGTGAGACCTGGCAGGAGGGGCTCCAAGAGCCCCAGAGCCGGTGCAGCATTGGGAATCTAGGCTTCAGTTATCTCTAGTCCCCTGTTTTACCACAGGCAGCTCATTTGTCCCATAAAGGGCAAATCCGGTTGTTGGAACAGACTGCTGCGGGCTACCTGTCATCTCACCCTTTGTTCCTAAGGGATCTGGTTCCCCAGAAAACAGAAGTGTGGCCTCGTGGTGGCCTGGTATCCTCCTAATATTTCAATCATTTCTTCAGGCTTCCTCATTACCATGGTTTCTAACTAAACACAGGTAAATGATATGCAGATAGAATGGGGTGAGGACAAGGGACGGGGCTCAGACTGGAATAAAAATACCTCTCTCAGGGCACATTACCTGGCTGGTAGCCTCCTCCCTGCCCTTCTCCATGAAGTGCAGGCTCTTCCTGCCTTCCTCCTCTAGCGACTTCTGTGCTGACTTTCCCTGATCCCTCTTAACCCCTTACTCCCCAAATCACAAATAGAGATGAGGTCACTGAGGAGCACAGCCTCTCCAGTTTGTTTGTGCCTCCTCCTCACCTTGACTCTTTTCAGACAATTTCTGACATTGATTTTGCTCACACTCCCCGACCCCATCCCTCCCAAGCAGTTGCTGCTTAGTTCTTGCCCAAGTCTTGGGTTGTGATTCTCTCCCCAGCTGAGCCCAGAGAATTGTGGGTGCAACTGAGAATTGATATGAATCATTACTCCCTCTCTTCTCTCTGACCCTCTGTCTGTGATCCTCTATAAGGGCCTTTATTAGCTTTAAACTTATCTTGGGCACTGCCCTTTAATATTTTCCTTCCTTCTACAGAGAGGTCGGGATTTCTGGGAATCCTCTATCTTATATTAACCACTCACCTATTCCTTCTTCTTGGAAATCCAAGTCCAGCTTTTATGACCCTGTGGTTTGGTACCCTGCAAACCTCATCAGATCTAGTTGCCCTTCCTTGGTCCTTCTTCCCTGTGGTTGCTCAGCTCCTGATGGTTCAGTACTGACTACCCACAGGCTCCTGCAGATCCCACCTCCTGCTCTCTAAACAGGGATGAGCTTGGGCTCTTGGCCTCTGCTCTGAAGTCCAATCTCCTGCCGTGGTTTTGACCACACCCCTCATAAAAATCACTCCCAACCTTGCATCTGAGCCCTTGAGATTTCTCCAAGTGTCAGCTCTGTGTGGCCCCCTGTACGTTCACTTCAAGTCCATGATCCTTGAAGTCCAGCATACCCCTGTCCTCGTTTCCAGGCTGGGCTCTGCTCTAGGCTCCTGCCTTTCTCATTAGGGTAAAATAATGTGTCTGGATGTCAACATTAAACTCTGTTTTTATTCCTTTACCTTTTTGCTCTTACTCAGCTTGTCACCATGATTTAAATGCCTTACCTGTAACACTAGCTTTTAATTTATTATTATTATTATTTTGAGACAGAGTTTCACTGTGTTGCCCAGGCTGGAGTGCAGTGGCGTGATCTTGGCTCACTGCAACCTCCACCTCCCAGGTTCAAGCTATTTTCCTGCCTCAGCCTCCAGGTAGCTGGGATTATAGGCGTGTACCATCATACCAGGCTAATTTTTGTATTTTTAGTGGAGACAGAGTTTCACCATGTTGGCCTGGCTGGTCTTGAGCTCTTGGCCTCAACTGATCTGCCCAACTTGGCCTCCTAAAGTGCTACGATTACAGGCATGAGCCATAACACTAGCTTTTTAAAAATAAGAGCTTTACCTTGTTCCTCTCTGTACTTTCTCAGAGTACATTACATGCTGCCATCTTTAGGTGTGTTCTAAGTGAACCAAAGGCATTGTTCTCCTACCTGGACAGATCTCCATGGCAATGCCCTGGCCAGGAGGCTGAGACCTCATCTCCAGAGCTGCTCACTCTTTTGAACGTTGAAGACCTGTTTAGTACTACATTGTTTCACAGGCTCCTATTGACTAATGATTTAATATTTTATCTAGTGAATATTTGGAAAATAGTGGTCTGTAGGAGTTGGAAAATACAACATGTTTGTGTAAGAAATTACATATTCAATCTTCCAACAATGCTTAATGTGCCTTGGGTCTTGTGGGACCCTAATGTCAGTGCTGTGGCCTCTCAGGAATTTATGGCTGATATTTGGTGACCACCCACCCAGACTTTTGCAGCGGTTCCCGATTGCCTGTCACTGCAGTCTAGCCTACATACCTGTAGGTTATGCATATGTTGCCTCCTGCTAAGAGGTTTTCTGCTTCCACACCAGACTGTATCCTGAAAGTGAGCTCCTTGACCTGGTACCTGGGTCCACCCCTGGCTCCCAGTCTCTCTAGCCTTAAAATCAATTCCCTTTTGACATATAGAGTCCATTCTGTGCAGTATTTTTTCCCCCGGCAGCCATGGAGGCTCCAGTTGCTTGATGCTGGTTCCTATTGTTAGAGTTAAAAGCCCAACCCTTTCAACTCTTAAGAGCGCCCTGTCTCTCAGACCCATGTTCAACCTTTCTGACCTCTCTAATCAGTGGTACTCCCTCCTTCACCTCCGAGTGGCTTGTGCCACAGATTTGTACTTAATGTGTGCTCATGTGCTGTCTTGCTTTTATACACATATGTGCGCGTGCACACACTTTTTTTTTTAAACTTTTACTTTGGAAATAATTTTAAACGTTATCAAAACATCACAAAGAACATTCATAACCCCTTTACCCAGATTCACCTGTTATTAACATTGTACGCCATTCACTTTTTCAATTTATCTTTCTTTATCTCTTTCTGCAGTTTTTTTCCTAAACGGTTTGAGGGTAAGCTCCTACAACATGGGCCTTTACTTCTAAATACATTGGTGTATATTTCCTAAGAAGAGCGATTCTCTTATAGAACCGTAACTCTGTTATCGCCTTTATAAATTTACATTGATGCAATTATTTTACCTAATCTCCTTCCGTGTTCCAGTTTTCTCAGTTGATCTAATGCTATCCTTTATGACACAATTTCTCTCCAGTACAGAGTCCAGTCTAGACTGGATAAAGAAAATGTGGCACATATACACCATAGAATACTATGCAGCCATAAAAAAGAATGAGTTCATGTCCTTTGCAGGGACATGGATGAAGCTGGAAACCATGGTTCTCAGCAAACTAACACAGGAACAGAAAACCAAATATTGCATGTTCTCACTCATAAGTGGGAGTTGAATGATGAGAACACATGAACACAGAGAAGGGAACATCACACACTGGGGCCTGTTGCGGGGGTGGGGGGCAAGGGGAGGGAGAGCATTAGGACAAATATTGAATGCATGTGGGGCTTAAAACCTAGACGATGGATTGATAGGTGCAGCAAACCACCATGGCACATGTATACCTATGTAACAAGCCTGTACTTTCTGCACATGTAGCCCAGAACTTAAAGTTTGAAAACAAAATCCAATGTAGAGTCAGATATTGCTTTAAATTGTCATGTGTCATTAGCCTCCTTAATCTGGAAGATTTCTATAGCCTTTCTTTGATTTTGATGAAATGGATATTTTTGAAGACTATAGTTTCTCCTCCATTTTTTTAAATGGAAAATTCCCCATTTGTGTTTGAAGTTTGCTTTTGATTAGATTGAAGTTATGGATTCTTGGCTACAACGCTGCATAGGCGATGCGATATCTTTCTCAGTATGTCACATCTGGAGGTACCCAATGTCCATCTCTTTCTGATGGGTGATGTCAGTTTTGATTACCCATGTAAGATGTTGTCTGATTTCCTCACTGTACAATTAATGTGTTTTTCCTCCCTTGTAGCTAATAAGCAATCAGTGGAGAGACACTTTAAGGATATGCAAAGATTCTCATTCTCAAAGACTGCCTTTCAGATTTAGCATCTGGTGATGATTCTTGCTTGATCAGGTCTTCACCATGATGGTTGTAAATGATTTTCCAACTCCAGTTCTCCCTCAATATTTACTGTTTGGCTCTTGGCATTCCACTGTTAGCAAGAGACCTTTTTATTTGTATCCCTATTTATTTGTCTGTATGTCTGTTCATTATTGGTATGGGCTCATGAATTCCTAATTAGTCAATGGTTCACCTATCACTACTTTGCTTAATTATTTTGGTGCTCATATTGTCCCAGATTTGGCCACTGGGAGCCCCTTCAAACTGGTTCCCATGCTGTTAAACAAACACACCTTTGCTCTATTGTAAGCCCCTTGAAAGATTATACGCCTCTTGAGAACACATTAGTATTGTGACCCACATATGGTGGTAACTCAAATGTGCGTGTGTTGGGAGGTAAGATGTGTTTCTTGGATACTTTCTTGGCTTCCTTTTTGCTATTGTTAAGTAACATCTATAATGCAAAGCTCTAAGCCACATCCAACCAAATTGTTTTATGGTTAGGACCTTCAACATGTCAAAGCACCAAAAAGTTTTACTGATTTGCACTGGGAAATTCTAAGAGTATTGATCATTGATATTAGATTCGCTTTTATCTGTGAGGCTCTTTTTACCAAGCTGTGTTGCATATTCATATCCATCTTTGATATTCACATGAGAAAGATCAAACAAGAACCTTCAAGTGAAGATGGTTTTTTTTTTTTAACCAGGAATTCTAAACTCAGATGTCTACAAGGTTCAGGAAGAAGAGCCAAATGAATGAATAAGGCCAATGCTTTAGCATGATGTGGATTGTCGTACACTGGAGAGCACACACGCTTCCTTAAAGAGGTAGCAGCTTCTCAGCTTTAGTGATTTGCTTCTATGTAGGAACACAGGTGCAGGATTGCCAGATCTTCTCATTTTTTCAAGACCATCCAGGAATCCAGATTTTTATGTAACATCTTAAAATGTTTTACATTTTACATCTAGTCTTCACATCTCATCACCTAATTCCAAAAATAGAAAAGTACATTTCAGTTCTACAAGCTGAGCCAGCTCACTGAAGGGCTTGTAGCCCCTAATTACATCAAAGTACAGAGTCAGAGAATTAAAAGTTGACCTTCCATGAGTCTTTCTGAGGATAGAATTTGATGATTCTATGATTTCTTATCTAGAAGTGAAAGCCTTTAACATGCCCTTTAAAGTTTCATTCAAAACACAAAACAAGATGAAAAATCCATACATATAACAGCCAAACCATTTTCTTTTCATGGTAAGTTGCAAGCATATAGCTAAAGACCCCCCCAAAGCCACAATTCCCAGTAGTTTTCCAAGTTTTCACCTGCGTGAAAATTGATTTGGACCCCTCTCCAGAGCACCATTCATAATCCATCCCTCTTGGCCAGGGGGGTCACAGTGTGTCCTCTGGCAACTCTGGCTAGAACATAAGACTGTAGGAGGAAAGTGCTCAGATTAGAAAAAAACTGAAAAAAGTCCTATCATGAGATCCATTTCTCGTATCATTCCTACAGAAACAAGACACAGAGAGATGTTCAGAAAAGAAAGCAAAGGGTCAAGTGTAAACTGATAGGTCTACTTCAAACATGAACCAAGAGGTTTATTTGATTGTATAGGTCAAAAGACTTGTGGGGCTTGAGGGCCTTTCAAATCGGAAGTCCAGCTTATCTATTTATAGCAAGAAAGAGGACAGAAAATACCATGGGCATCTGAAATGTACTGTTTTATAAGGTGGCATTTGTGATTTTTCTTTAGAAGAAAAAAAAGAGATAGAGCTCTAGGCATAGTGTTTGACTGAAGTGGAATACCACATGTGTTTTTTTTGGTGTGTATTTGCTTTAGCAAAGTAATAAAACAAAAATTTATAAAGCGAAGGTTTTCTTGGTTACAATTCAGAGGAAATATTTGTGAAGTCTTGACCAACTGCACATACTGAAGATGATCCCCCCGTGGAAATGACTTCTTAGCAAGGGGGAAAATGACAGTCTGGGCATATATGTTAACAAGGGGACAGTGGTCCTTACAATCCATCTTTGTTCAGTCCCAGAAAAGAAGATAATAATAATTTATCTCCAGACATTGGATCAGTAGTTTACCTGATCCAATCTTCATCTGCAAGATGAAAAATGGATCTTATAATTGCAAGTTATATACGCAGTACATTTCTCAGATGTGCGTGGTATTTTCTGTCCTTCCTCTTGCTATGGATAGATAAGCTGGACTTCTGATTTGAAAGGCCCTCAAGCCCCACAAGTCTTTCGACCTGTAAAATCAAACAAAACCTATTGATTCATGTTTGAAGTAGACCTATCAGTTTACACTTGACCCTTTGCTTTCTTTTTGAACATCTCTGTCCTGCTTCCGTAGGAATGGTACCAGAAATGGATCTCATGATAAGGCTTTTTCAGTTTTTTTCTGATCTGAGCACTTTCCTCCTATAGACTTGTGTTCTAGCCAGAGTTGCTGTAGGACACACTGTGACCCACCCTGGCCAAGAGGGATGGATTATGAATGGTGCTCTGGAGAGGGGGCCAAATTTCTGCACTGTAAACCTTCACCTACATTTTCTAGTGGACCTCTACATCTGTTGTCTGCACCAAACAGCATCCCTACCTTTAGGAAAACTATCTCCCGGTGTCTCATGGCAAAGGGCAAATGAGTCTCTCTGAGCCCTGGTTTTTGCAGACTCAGCCTCACAGGACACAAACCTGAAACGCAGTTGCTCACACCCTGTGTTTACTTTTATTTCCAGCCACATCTGGAGGCCAAAATTCATAAGTTTGTTGCCAAGCCTTACAACAGTTTACTGAGTTTGTACGTTAAGGGAAGGGGGAAAAAATGCTCTCCTGACTTGTCGAGTGTAAAATGGATGGAGGAATCAGTGGGCAAACCCTAAACCCCAACCATGTTTATTAACATCTGCGGCCTGCCGGCAGACGGGGAAGGCGTGAGCGGGCTATGTTTGTCTTGGAGGTTTTAGCTCAGAGAGCTCCATGGTGTACGCTCTCCATATATATACAGCCAGGCATCTTTTTAACCCACCAGAGACCAGGAGAGGGAAACAAGGGCTGTTCAGAAGCGGAGGAGCCCAGGTCCGATAGGGGAAGAGCAGGGATGGGCACTTGGCCGTGTTTACAATCAGGGCAGTGCAGTGGGTGGGCCGATTCTTGTGACGTACTTGAGGCTTAAAAAACGATCATAAATCTAATGTCTGTCAAACAGGGCTGGCATTTTCTTTTCCTTTCACAACTACGTTTTGTATGACCAAAAAAAGAAAACCAAAAAAAACCCACTTTTTTTTTTTTTTTTTTTTTTTTTTTAACAAGGAACCCTCAAGACTCTCATGAAGAGCATCTCTCTATCTAGTGTCCACAGTTGGGGTGGAAGCCCTGCCAGGAACCCATTGAGTGTTTTGGTGGAGGCCGTAATCTCTCTCTGCTGGAGGAAGGTGTCGCCATTCGTGTTTATTTATTTATTTATTTATTTATTTATTTATTTATTTATTTTTGCATTTTCACAGAGACATTGGAGTGGGAATGGCCACACCGAATGGGCCAAGACCTGAAGCCCTGTGTTCAACAACTTGGTTTTTACCAGGGATTTACCCAGTTTGCTTTGGGTCAGACGGGAGCACCCCGAGCAAGCCAAGAGCTCCTTTAGTTTACTGTCCTTCTGCCATGAATATAGCAGGAACCAAGGGGCAATTCTGTAAGGCCCCAGGATGGAGGGAGGATGTGCTGTTTGTGGCCGCCAGCCACAGACCCTCTGCCTAGGGAGAAATGTGCTGGGGATGTCCTTTTAGCAGACGGTTTGGCTCTCTGGTACCTCACGTCTGAGGTGAGCCCGCCAAAGAAAAGGGCGCTTTTTGTGGTCAGAGCCCAGGGCTTGGACGAAACCCTCGGACAGAGGCAGTATGTGCCCGGGGGAGGCGTGGCCTACCAAGAAGGAGAAAAACCCCCCTGTCTGTGAGGAGCGTGGCTGCCAGGCCTCTCCACTCAAGGAACAGTGAGTGACTGTTGGAAAGCTTGGCCTGCCCCGACGTCCAGGTGTGCCTGGCCAGTCAGGTGTGTCATCGCATGAAAAGCACGAGGCCGTGTGTCCGCCGGCCCCATCGCCACCCACCTCTGCCCACCCTTGCCAGAGCTTTCCAGATACCCTGGGAAGTTGACCCTCTGCTCTTACGCAGGCTGGGTGGGGTCAGGGCTTCCCTCCCCCACCACCCTCACTGTACCAGATCTTCACGTTCCATTTTCCACAGTGGGCAGCGTCCCAGCCAAGCTGTGAGCTCTCGGATCTGAAGAGCTCACTGCTTTTCAGGGCTTTTTTCCTGGCCCCTGGCCACACTTAGCTGCTAGGTTATTTGGGCAGGATTGTTCAAGGGTGTGAAACCAATGGGGCCAGAGTGGGAGGTTGGGGCTCAACCCAGTGGGGTGAGATTTCCCTGTGGGCTTCGGGTTGGGGGCACTGACACATCCCCAGCAGGGCCTCCTGGAAGAAACCCAGCCGCTGAGATGCCAGTACTTTTCCATGGGTGGGTGGGGCGGGGAGGAGGAGGACTTTGAGCCCCAGTGACCTGGCCGCCCAGGGATTTTCCAGGCTTGCTTTGGGGAGGTTATCCCAACTAGGGACTAGGAATCAGGAAGCCTTCATTTTATTTTGTAAAATTGTAACCAAGCTTCGCACTTATGATAATAAAATGCTGGGTGGACGTACTGGAGGTCCTCATCAATGCCTTCCCAGAACCCTCAAGACCACGAGGGGTAAAGGTGCCTTAGCAAGATGAGTTATCTGGTAAAGGCAACATCTCATGATTTTTCCCTTTGCTTCAAAATGTACTGTCGTGTTACTGAGCTCGGTGGAAGGTGCTAGAACAAGGACTGCTCTCCAGGGCTCTCTGTGTTTCTCACCTTACCTCGAGGTCATGCCTGCAGTTTGTAAAAAGGAGTGTTCCCCAGCCTGTATCCTCATGGGTCTTGTGTTCTCCCGAGTCTAATTATTTTTTTAAAACATTTTCAGAATTTCCGCTTTCTACGGTGCGGCTTTGGAGCTGGGGTCCACCCCAGTTCTGCCTGGGGTGCAGCCAGCACGCAGCTCCCTAGGTTCATTCATGCAGCTGACTGTATCTGTGTCAGGCATCTGCTTCATGTCATTTTCTTGGAGGGGCCTTTGCAGTTGCTGTGATGCTGTTCCCACCCCCATATCATTCTACTTTGCAGAAACTTCATGATTTATAACTGAATGTTTGTGTTTACTTGTTTTGACCTGTGTCCCTCTGGAATACACACCACACAGGCAGAGGCGAAGCCCTAGCTCCCAACATAGCATCGGCCACGCCATCGATGCCCCATCAGGATTTGAGTTAATACCTCCAGAGTGGGAGATGTGTGGCAAATTAAACCCCAACTGCTGTTGGGAAGTTCTGCATTTTGGATTCCTACATCCCTGCGACTCTGATTTATACTTGGCTGCTTCTAGGGAAAGGAGGATGAAAGGGGATTGACATTTAACATTGAAACCTGATTATTTACCTCTCAGACTTACAGCATGCTCAGAGCTGTGGGATTATGGAGTATTTATTTATTTTTATTTTTCATTTGTAAAAAAGGTAGAGGCTGGGCGTGGTGGCTCACGCCTGTAATCCCAGCACTTTGAGAGGCTGAGGCGGGCAAATCACGAGGTCAGGAGTTCGAGACCAGCCAGTTTGAGATCAGCCTGGCCAATATGGTGAAACCCCATCTCTACTAAAAATACAAAAATTAGCCGGGTGTAGGTGGTACGCACCTCTAATCCCAGCTACTCGGGAGGCTGAGGCAGGAGAATAGCTTGAACCCAGGAGGCAGAGTTTGCAGTGAGCCAAGATCACACCACTGCACTCCAGCCTGGACAACAGAGCGAGACTCTGTCTCAAAAAATAAAAAAGAAATAAGGTAGAGACAGGGTCTTCCTATGTTGACCAGGCTGGTATTGAACTCCTGGCCTCAAGCAGTCCTCCCACCTCTGCCTCCCAAATTGCTGAGATTACAGGTGTGAGCAAGCGTGCCTGGCCTTATTTATTTTTAAATTTTTATTGGTAAATTTATTTTAGATGGAGAAAAGAAATGCAAATAGGATCATGTGTTCTCACTATTGGTTGTTATTGTTATTGGCAGAGATGAATAATTAATTATGGCAGTATTTTTCTTAACCAATAAATTGCGGTCTTCTGCTTCTTGGCAGTGTCTGAAAGTAGTAGGTTCTGATTTGGTGTTAGTATAAGTCCCCAGTTCCTTCTGCTGTTGCCTGGGTGAGAGGTGGCCCCGGGCACCTCAGAGGCTACTCATTGTGTGACCGTGTCAAGTGGACACTTTCTGCAGATGGGCTCAAAAGGCTCACGTGTTTTGTCACTCATCACAGTATCGCTTTAAACTGAGAGCCTGGTTTTGGTTATGAATTCTCAAATGCCTAGAGGTTGGGAACTTTGGAGTCTTCTCTAAGTATCTTCTGGTTGAAGGGCCTAGTTGGTATGAATGTCTACACAAGAGGCCCAGGACATTTTTTGGGAGGACAGTATGAATCTTGCAGGCCCTGAGGTCTAGAGAATAATGGCTGGGCTGGGAGTTTTAGGCTTGGCTTTGCTTCCACCCCAAGGCTTTCCTTTACCCCAAAGTTGGGCACCCATATTTCACTGATCCTACGTAACCATAGACACACACACACACACACACACACACACACACACAAAACCCAAGGTACAAATATCCAACGTATACAATTTGTAAAGATGTAAATAAGGCAAGTGTCTATCTGAGGCTCCTAAGCCATTTAGTGGTCAAAGTTACAGCCTTCAGTTCTCTCAACAATCTCTTGACCACATGATGTGAAGTTTTGCCCGTTATTTATTGGAAACGGCCTGGCAGAATTGGACTCTTCTACATCTTTCTACATACAAGATGCTGGAATAATCTCCATCCCTATACTAAATGGAGGATATTTTGGGAAGTGAGGTTTCTTTTCTTTTTTTTTTATTTTTTTTGAGATGGAGTTTCGCTCTTTTTGCCCAAGCTGGAGTGCAATGGCGCGATATCAGTTCACTGCAACTTCTGCCTCCCAGGTTCAAGCGATTCTCCTGCCTCAGCCTCCTGAGTAGCTGGGATTATAGGCACCCACCACCACGCCCAGCTAATTTTTTGTATTTTTCATAGAGACGGGGTTTCACCATGTTGGCCAGGCTGGTCTTGAACTCCTGACCTCAGGTGATCCACCCACCTCGGCCTCCCAAAGTGCTGGGATTACAGGTGTGAACCACGGAGCCCGGCTGGAATGGGATTTCTTAAGGTGAAACTCTGAAATGTTTTACATTCATCTCACAACAGAAAAAGATACTTAGTTCTGGACCATGCCTTCAAGAGGCACCCATCTTAACAGAAACAGAAACATAGGCCTACAAGTTCTTGTAATACAAACCCAGCTAGAAACTTACAAGCCATGAGAGTTGGAGGCAGACGATGTGGATCTCTGAACAGCCCGGTAGAAAGAGTTGAATGTATACTAAATGATACTGGAAACCAATAGTCCTAAGCTTGAACTGATGCCTACATTAATTTGAAATTCTACCTATTTTTTTTTTCTGAAACATTTAAGGCAGTTAGCATACCCAATCTCCGCCTCCTCAGTTATAAACTTGAACCTTGACTTGTGTACATTCGTAAAACTTTGCTTGCACGTGTCTTGGTTTCATGCATGATTCTACAGCCTGTATATGTGCACTGTGGAGTTGGGCTATGCTGAGTTTCTGCATTTGACTGTAAGCCCTTGGAGGCAAGGCATGTGTTTATTCTTTGCTCCTTTATACACATGCCATAGTGTGCAAAGTGATACTCCTCCTCAAGAGGCTGTTTAACCACATGTTTGGAGTTTCTGAGACTTTCGGGAGGAGGGTCAGACCTCTTTTGCTTTGCTCCCCACCTTCTTCCTCCCTGCCTTCCTCCCTGGTTAATCATGTCTGTTGGGCTAGCAGGTGTGCAGGGGTACTGACAGGTCCCATGTCGGAAGCCTGGAATGGGATGACTGAGGCTCCCATCGCTGTCTTTATCTCAGACCTTGGGTTTAAGTAACTTTCTGAAAACCACAGTCCCACCACAGCACAGAAGCCAGTGGGGTGACACGAGGAGCAGGCCTGGGTTCCCCCGGTTGCCTGGTTCCAAGAGGGGCCCGTCGTCCTGTGCTCTGGGGTGGCCTTGGGATTAGGAGAGCCCAGCTAAACAACCTTCCCATCAGGCTCCTGGTCACAGCACGAGGCTTTAACGTCAGCCGAGCCTGGCAAAGAAAGTGTCATATTATGGGGCTTTAGGATTTCCGTTTAGTATTTCAGAATATCTGCATATTCTTACCTGGTAAATCATTTCTTTTCTGTTAGGATTTTCTGATAAACCCAAAGACGCCTTCAACCATTGCCCATACATGGCTTCCACAAGGAAAAGAATCATCCTTTTACCTCCTAGCTGGCTTTCCTTCTGCAATCGAAGATCTTCAACCTCTCCCCATCCCTTGACCACCGCCCCCCAACTTGGTTCTTCTGTACCTCCAGACACCCCAGAGAGACAGGAAGGAGGAGGAAGGATGGTTCAGATCTTGCCAATGGAGATGATAAAGCAGTGTAAATGCAGGCCCGAGGCCACGCGACCCCTGCACTCCTGGGAGCTCCTCTCACTTACTCGTCTGACTTTGAGCACAGCCAACTACCTCCCTGTGGCCTCATTCACATACCACCTCTGCCAGGCTTCCTCATTTTCTGTCCTTGGTGATTAACTGATCACTTATTATCTGCCTGCCTGGTGGTGTGCATGCCTTAAAAAGCTATAAAAACCTCGGTGTCCAAGATGGCACAGCTAGAGAATACCAGAGTTGCCATTCATACTCAGACATACCCAACAGCTTTCTTTCCAAGTTAACCCTTTGGCAAATGACCCTGTGGCCATTTCCTTCCTCACCAGCTCAGACGCCCCTGCCCCGATAACCCAGGGAGGTGGGAGCCACCTTCTCCCCCAGCCTCAGTGTGCACATGGAGCGTATTCTGTATATTAATGTATACATTATATATAATATACACAAACATAGATAATCCATATCACAAAATATAAGTGTTAGTTGGTATCATCTTTCTTAGTAGATTTCCACTCTGGAAAGCCTGGAAGCTCCCGTCTCTTCTTTGCATTTCCGGTGCCTGGTCTAATCCCTGGCACATAGTAGGCGTTCCATCAATACTGAAATACCTTATGGTGTGCTGGTGATTGTAGAGAGAGGTCTTTGCTCACTAGTTTCTTGTCTTTTGTTGTTATACGGTTGCCTGAGGGCTTAGTGATTTTTTTTTCCTTAAGAAAACTCCTTCTTCCCTAAGGGCTGTGTGGTTGCTGCTGTCTGTTTCCATTAGGCTGCTTGGCTGCAGTGTTCTCCCGGTGGTGATGCGCTGGGGGGGTGAGTGTGAGCCTCCATGAAAACCTCAGGCCTCCTCCGGCTGCCCATCTGTCATTAGCCATTTGCCGCCAGACACAGGGGGTGGGGGGACACCTGGAGAGGGAGCCTGGAGTGCTCCATGTGGCCTTTCCAGGAGAATGCGTTTGGCTTTCCATAAAAGACTTCTTGCCATGGGCAGGCGTGTGTGTGTCCAGTAGAAAGCTGAAGATGGTCAGTCCTTAGAATAAGCAGTGGCTTTCAAACCGTGTGCTCTAGGACTGGCTGGGCCTTGGAGAGGCGTCAGTGGCGCCCTGGGGAAACAGGGCACCAGAGCAATGGGTGAGGTCCAGCCTGTCCTGCTCACGTCAGCCAGGGCACATCCAAGTCTGTTGTCAGTTGACTGTTGGGTTCCTGGATTAGAGTTTGTGAGGGACGAGGGAGGTTTTTAAACCCACACAAACACAGCATTTATTTTACTGCAGATACTGTTTGAAGTGCTGTATTAGTTCGTTTTCACGTTGCTGATAAAGACATACCAGAGCCTGGGAAGAAAAAGAGGTTCAATTGGACTTACAGTTCCACACGGCCGGGGAGGCCTCAGAATCATGGCGGGAGGCAAAAGGCACTTCTTACATGGTGGTGGCTAGAGAAAATGAGGAAGAGACAAAAGTGGAAACCCCTGATAAACCCATTAGATCACGTGAGACTTATTCACTATCATGAGATTGCACGGGAAAGACTGGCCCCATGATTCAATTACCTCCCCCTGGGTCCCTCCCACAACACTTGGGAATTCTGGGAGATACAATTCAAATTGAGATTTGCGTGGGGACACAGCCAAACCATATCAAGTGCATTACAAATATTAATTGATTTCACCCTCAGAACGGACTTATAGGTAGATACTATTATTATATCCATTTTGACAGATGAGGAAACTGAGGCACAGAGGAATTAAGGCATTTGTCCAAGGATGATAAACAGTGGAGGCGGGATTCATACTCACAGAACTGGCTTGACTCTGAGCTCTGCTGCTTTGAAGAACTAGGTTGGAAAACCACCAAGGGTTTAGTCCACTCTGCCCCCAAATCCTGAGTCTGCTGAACCAGCACCACCGCCTTCGGTGTTGGTTCAGGAAGTTGCCCTTGTCTGGTAGGGAGGGTGAGCCTCTGAAATAAGGGTTGGGAGTCATGCAGTGTGGCCTTGGTCCCTGGGGGGGGTGTTAAAACTCAAGAGAAGGGGGAGGAAGGGCTGGGGCACTGCCCTGAAGCCATTTCCCTCCTCACCAGCCCAGACACCAACCCAGGGTGGCGGGAGCCACATTCATCCCCAGCCTCGCTGTACAGCTATTAAGTGGGGATTTGCCAATCAATAAATCAAGGCACCTGAAAAATGAACTGGGGAACCACACTGACTTTCCCCCCCTTCTTGATTAAAACAAACAACATTGTGAAATGTCAACCTGTCAGTCGTTTGGAAAGTTTGCGGCATGGAAAGGCAATTACCCAAATGACTTTTTAAAAGTATGAGAATTTGCCTGGCTGAACGTTTTTTAATTAATGCCGTGAGTTAACATTAATAACTATTCATAGCTTAGTGAGCTGGGCTTGAGGTGGGTTTAGGAAACATTTGGTATCTCTGGCAGGGACAGATGTTGACCTGGCCGGTCGGCAGCTTTTACAAACCTAAGGACTTCAGGGTCCGGTTGCGCATGAGGACCGGGGAGGACAGAGCTGTTTGCAATAGGTGTGGGCTTTTATAGCATTGTGAGCATTTCACGTTAGCGTAAGTGTTGCTGCTGTGCAGGTGGTCTCTGGGGCTTACAATCTTCCCCAATGTTCTTCCCCACCCCTCCCACCATTCTGGTGAACAAGCCTCTTGGGATTCTTTGAAAAAAAAAAAAAAAAAAGTTGCTTGGGGTCACACCATTTAAACTTACCTCCCTAATTTTCTGTGATCTCATTTTTCCTTAAAATATCATTGGAAAAGTGTTTTTGAGTGGAGCATTTTATTTTCCATTTAAACATGGTGAAACCGAGACATAGGGGCTAAGGCTTGGCGTGAGGTTGGTGGACCTGGGCCTAGGACACCTTCTGTGGTTCCGCCTTCACAGGCTGGGAGCAGCGTTCAACCACAGTGACATCATGATCCCTGCCAGGGGATGCTCGGCCTCTGTGGCCTCTGCTTTGCTAATGGGTACGGACACCGTATTCAATGGGTATCCCTAGGGGCAAAGAAGTGATTTTAAAGGAGGAAACCCCCGATGGGCTCATAAACTTTTGATTTTCTTTTTTTTTAAGCACAGTGGGTTGGGCTCCATCTTTAAGTTCAAGTTAGTGACTACTCTGCTCTAGGAAGACCCAGGAGAGAGCTGAAACTTGGACAGTCATTAGCAGCTCCAGATGGAGGTGGATTGGGAAAGACTGGAGGGATGGACAAGCCACCAAGAGCAGAAAGTCCAGCCCTTCTAGTTTAGCAGTCTCCAGAGAGCTCTGCCGTTGCGGAGGTTGTCTGTACAGGTTGGTGGAGGACCACAGACCACAGAGCGAGGGGCATAGCTTGCTCTCAGTTAACCAGGGCTACTCGTACGAATGAGTTGTGCACTGTGCTAGGCTCTAGGAATTCAAACACATGAGGTCTATTACCCACCCTAAAGGAATTTAAGGTCTTTTTGGAGCAAGAGGATGGATAGCCTTTTTCCCATTATCTTATTATTATTATTATTTTGGAGGCAGAGTCTTGCTCTGTCGTCCAGGCTGGAGTGCAGTGGTGCGATCTCAACTCACTGCAACCTCCGCCCCCAGGGTTCAAGTGATTCTTGTGCTTCAGCCTCGGGAGTAGCTGGGACTACAGGCACACACGCCACCACACCTGGCTAATTTTTTAGTAGTTTAGTAGAGACGGGGTTTCACCATGTTGCCCAGGCTGGTCTCGAACTCCTGAGCTCAGGCATTCTACCCACCTCGTCCTCCCAAAGTGCTGGGATTACAGGCATGAGCCACCACGCCTGGTCCCCCATTATCTTATGCTTACTGCTAAGCGTGGGACATAGGCAGTGAACCCTAAGGCTCAAGTATGAGCCTTCACCAAGGGCCAGAAAATCAGGAGGCTTTCTGTGGGTGGTGGGACTTGGGGGTGGGCTTCAAGGGAACGTATTGCAGAGAGGCAAAGCGGGGAAGGTGTTACAGGTGGTGGGGAGCAGTGAGCTTTAGTGTGTGGGGGGGGGTAGATATGAGATAAGATGACTATAGGGACATCTTACAAACAAGGCTGGAGAGGAAAGAGAAGGGGTCAGAGTACAGATGGCCTCTCATTTCAGGCAGAGAGGTTGGGTCTGTACATGGAAGGCAGTAGGGAGCCCTTGACAACTACTGAGCAGAGATTGGCAGAACTAATTGGTGTTTTAGAATGAGCAGCTGGGAAAACTCCGTAGAAGGGACCAGAAGAGGCAAGTCTGAAATCAAGGAGCCACATGGGGAGTTGCTTTAACAGTAGAAGGTCACTCACAGCTTTACCCCTGTGCAAAGAGAACCTTGGTGCAAAGGTTGACACAGCCACTTACCAGCCATAGGACCTTGAGCCAGTTTTAAATCTTCCTGTACCTCCTTGCCGTATCTTGCATCTAGGGATGCTCGTGTTCATTCATTCGTTCAACCCTAAAAGGGCCCGTTTCAGGTGCTGATTATAAAATGGAGAATAAAACAGACAAGCTATCTGCACTCAAGGATCTTAACAATCTTGTGGGCAGAGACACAAACCAAAATGAAATAAACAAATATGATTTCAGATTAGGCTCTGAAGTGCGGCCTGAGTGGAGACTTTGAAAGTTAAGCAAAATGTTTCAGGTTAAGGAAACAGCAAGTGCAAAGACCCTGAGGTATCAAAGATCTTGGAGATTTCCAGCATGGAAATAGAGATAGTGAATGGAAGAGCAGTGTACAGGGCAAGAAATGATGCAAGATGAGGGAGGATTGTCAAGGAAATTAAGTAAAGGAACATATGTAAAGAGATGAGTCCAGGTGCGGTGGCTCACACCTGTATTCCTAGCCCTGTGGGAGGCTTAGGTGGGAGGATGGCTCAAGCCAAGAGTTTAAGACCAGCCTGGGAAAAATAGGGAGACGCCATCTCCACAAAATATTTAAAAATTAGCTGAGCCTGATGGTGCAGGTCTGCAGTCCCAGCTACTTGGGAGGCTGAGGCATAAGGGTTGCTTGAGCCTACAAGGTTGAGGCTGCAGTGAGCCATGTCAGGCCACTGTACTCCAGCCTGGGTGGCAGAGCAAGACTCTGTCTCAAAAATAAAAATGAAAGAAAGCGACAGAAGGAGTTGGGGGGTGGGGGCGGCGGAGAAGGAAGCAAGCAAGAAAGGAAGGAAGGAAGGAATGAAAGAAGAGACATAATAGACAAATACATGACATTATTATTATGGGAATATCCTAGACCTGAGATTAGCCATTCTCATGGTCATAGGAATATAAGAGAAGTTGGATCATGAACAGCATTAACAGAGGTGCTTGGATCCAGTGATGAGCTTTATGGGAGGGGAGGGCATCCCATCTGGGTGACCAAGAGAGTAAGGTTCAGTTCCCTGAAATGGGGAGGTATTGAGAGGAGCCTGGTTCAGGATATATGGAGATTTGTTTGGATGTAGTGAATTTGAGATCCTGGCTGGAATCAGTCATCAGCCTGCCCTGTAGGCATTTGGCAAAATGGGGCTTTAGGAAAAAGGTCCGAAACAGGGGTTTGGGACGTCTTCAAGGAAGAGGGCAAGCAACAGGAATTAGGATGGGCTGAGGACTGTGCCTCGGGTTCCCCTTTGTGCTGGACCTGGGAGGAAGAAGGGGAGCCAAGAAAGTAGGGGGGAGCGTCTGAGCTCTGGGCACTTGAGCGAGGCCCCCTTGTCACCTGCATTCCCACCTTCTTGGGAGGCCTGGAGAGTTGGAAGATGGACTCTGAGGATCAAGTCTACTCTTGCTTTCCTGGGCTCATGTGGGGCTGCAGACCCCATATTTCTGGCATGGCCTCTGCAGGCTGTCGTGGAGCTCGCCCTCTGCTCCCAGCCTGGGCTTGTGTAACAGGCGTGGGGAAGTGCAAGGGGCTGTAGGTCCTGAACCGAAAGGCGGGTGTTGTGAGAACCGTCTGTCTATAATGGCACAGGTATTTGGGAAATGCCACAGAGCAGGTCTGTTCAACCCTGTGGCCTGCAGCCTGTCAGCTGGGTTAGGATTCTCAGTCAGGTTCACATTCAAGCCAGTATTGACTGTATCATTCAGTGGAAAGAGCTGTCCTCCCATCCCTGTAACTGACAGCAGAACTTGCCATCTGGGTGTGTCTGGCTCTTGTCTCACTTTGGGTCATGTCAGTGGTCCCAAGAGTACCCTATTGGGGGTACTTTTTATCCTTGATTTCTAAGCCATTTCTGATTTAGCAAACAAGTCTGTAGCTTCTATTTTTACTGTTTTTTTTTTAAGTACACTTAATAGTTTTATTTCTAGTTCAAAACAATGAATGTCCATCTTATTTTTATTATCTTTTAAATACCATGACACTTTTGTCTTCACCAAACAATGCCTGTTTATTTTAGACATGTAAAAATAGGAAAACAAATAAGTCTTAAACTGACTACCCAGAGATAACTAATGTTAACCTTTTGCTTCCTTCTTCCAAGTTTGTTTTTATAACCCATGCAATTCTATAATTTTTTTTTTTTACAGTATTAGCAATAGCTAACATTTATGGATTACTTGCTATGGTGCAGGAAATATGCAAAGCAGGTGAATACACAGTTTAATTTAGAATTAATTATATATATAGAAATAAGCAATATAGAAAAAAGCATAGTCCTGTTTTACATCCTCAAATTAAAATAACAATTATGGTTGTAGAGGGTTTATAAGGGGCAAGAAGTAGTCACTACAGCTATCCCCAGTTTTCGGTTGAGAAAATGGACACCCAGAAGGTGTCTAGACTAAGCTGGGCGCGGTGGCTCACACCTGTAATCCCAGCACTTTGGGAGGCCAAGGCGGGTGGATCACCTGAGGTCAGGAGTTCGAGACCAGCTTGGCCAACATGGCGAAACCCCGTCTCTACTAAAAATACAAAAAATTAGCTGGGCGTGGTGGTGGACACCCGTAATCCCAGCTACTCCGAAGGCTGAGGCAGGAGAATCACTTGAACCTGGGAGGCGGAGGTTGCAGTGAGCTGAGGTTGCGCCATTGAACTCCAGTGTGGGCAACAAGAACAAAACTCTGTCTCAAAAAAAAAAAAAAAAATGTCTAGACTAAGATTTTAGTTTGCAACTCTCTGCCTCTAGAACCCATGCATGTATGACATGATTTTGATCATTTAATAATATGCTGAGATTGTGTTTTCCTTGTGTCTACAGCATTTTTACTGACTGCTTGGCATTCTTTTGCTCCTCATCCATGGCCTCTATTCATACCTAGAATGGATGGCTGTTCAGAATGAAGCTGGCATCACTGTGTTCACCATTCAGGAAGAGGGATATTTTTCTTTGCTATCTCTCAGCTCCTTATGAGACTCCTCAATGTAGCCTGCACGGAGTGGGTGTTTATCTCCTTCCAAAAAGTGCACACTTGTCTCACCCAATTTGGAACTGGAGTTTGCGATTTGGCTAGAACTCTACAAAGATTGCACTCCAGCTGATGATAAGTTTGCACGTTCTAGTCTCTCTCTCCACCACCTCTCACTGGGTCACCTAGAATCCCTCTGGGTGAGGCACAAGAAAACAACATTTTCATTGCTTTAAGTCAGAGGCAGTTGTTTAGAACTGGTTTGTTTTTCCATAAAGTCATTGTCCTTGAAAAAAAAATATATATATAAAATTATATAAATATAAATATAAATATAATATATATATATATATGCACACACGTGAGCACACACACATACACACCTCTGCCCGTGTATATATGTTTTTTTAGGTGAGGTTCCCACATATGATAAACCTTAACCCAAAGTGGAGGAGTTTGGTGCCCACGCCAGAGCAAAATACTGTAACCCTCCACCGTTAAGCCTAGAAAAGCACAGTTTCTCTTTCACCCAGGTCAGTCTCAGAGAGAGGCACTTTTTAAGAATTTTGTGAGCAGATCACATGGGTATTAGATGCAGGGAAGCTTGCCTCATTTATCTGACAGACTCACATTTTCTGTAGGCTAAAAGTGTGAATGCTAACCCTCTATATTGACTGGAGTCTTGTCTTTCAAGCTCTGGGTGTGTGGTCATTGCAGGGCTGACTTGGGAGTTTGGGTAGGGAATGATCTTCCGCAGGGGAAACCCCCAGGAAGATAGAAAAAGAGAGGAGAAAACTTGCCGGCCTGCCATCAGGTTTGTTTTTGTTAGATGAAAGATAATCCTTGCTTGGTGTCAACTTGTCTTGGTGTTGCGGTAACAATACTTTGGTGATCTAGCTCTTTAATGAGCATAGGAGATGAGTACCGACTCCTGTTAATCACTATCTCCTCTGGAAAGACTCCTTGGAAAGGGAGAGCAAATGAAAGAGAGAAAGAAAGAAAAAGGTGTTTGGAGAAATGTGTATATGTGAGTGTTCTCCAAGTAAACATTTCAGAGCCGGGCCAGAATAATTAGGAGGTACATTGCCATCTGGAAATGTTCATTCTTTTGTTTACCTTGTATTGAGTTTGTTCCAACTAGTGAATCCCTTGATATGGGATGCCTGACCTTCTCTTCCTTATGAAAAAAAAATCACACGTATCTCCTAGTTGGTGCTTTCTTTGATTTTAGCTGAGCTGGGTTAGGTAGTGCGTGGGAAAGATCACCGGGCAGCTTGCTTATCGAAAAGCCAAGCCTGGATACAGTGGGGAGGGGCGGGCAGGAGAGAAGGCCTTCCACCCTCCTGCAGCAGGAAAATAAAGGAGATAAATAAACCCTAATCCTGACCTGGGGGCAAATCCCAATAAAGATCCAGGTTAATTTTTCCTGCCGATCCAACCCTGGAATTCATTGTGAGAATTAGACATTCTGCGGCACTAATTTGCCAGATCAGATTGTGTAATTATCTTTTATAGGCCTGGGTGTGATGTATCCTCCGTGTTTATGCTGCAGGGGGCTGAGTGTGTGTGTTTGGACTTCAGAGTTGCTGCTCCGTCCTGCCAGACTGCACTTCTCACACACAGGCGGGGGTGGCAGCTGTTGGAGCTTCTGCCTGGCCAGAAACAGGCCCAGGGTGCCGGGGCCTCGGATGAACTTGCCTGGAGTGGGTCAGAAAACTTTCAGTAGAGCCCAGAGTAAAAAGGATGTACCTATGGGAGGCAGGTGGGGATGGGTCCCCTGGCTCAAGTGGGGGTCTCCCAGAAAGAGCTTTCAACAAGGGGTTTCAGTAAAGGCTGACAAATTTGGAGACTGGAAAAAAAGTAGGTAAACTCCGAACCAAATGGTGATGTTCATGATCTTTGGCACTTTTGTCTTCCTAGGCCCCTTCCTCCATAAAAATAAAACATTAAAAATTGTATTTTACGGCCGGGCGCAGTGGCTCATGCCTGTAATCCCAGCACTTTGAGAGGCCAAGTCAGGTGGATCACATGAGATCAGGAGTTTGAGACCAGCCTGGTCAACATGGTGAAACCCCATCTTTACTAAAAGTACAAAACTTAACCAGGTGTGGTGGCTTGTGCCAGCTGCTTGGGTGGCTGAGGCAGGAGAATCGCTTGAACCTGGAAGGTGGAGGTTGCAGTGAGCTGAGATCGCGCCATTGCACTCCAGCCTGGGGGACAGAGTGAGACTCCATCTCAAAAAAAAAAAAAAAAAAAAAATTGTATTTTACAATTACAGTGATACAAGGATGAATAGAATCCAGGCTGGATTCATTGTTATCTAGGCATTCATATTACCGTCATTGTATTCATTCTTGTTTTCAAAGGAATTAGAACATTTTCTTGGGCCCCCTAAAAGTATTGGGGGCCCAGTGGATGTGTTGGCCTTGGGTAGGTTTCTAGAAGTTGGACCCAGTGGTTTGGCTTCTTGACTACTTGGCATGTTTTGTTGAAATCACTCCGCTTTGATTTTGGACCCATCAAGAATGTCCAAAATTCCCCCAACCTGCAACTCTTATTCTGGCCAAAGAGGGGGCTCTAGCTCATAAAGTGTTGACATCCCATTTCCCGTTCCAGGTATTTTTCCCTCTCCACCCTGGTCTTCTCCTGTAACGTGTGGCCGCCTTTTCCAGCACGGCCTCCTGCCTTCCTGGTGCACTTTTTGGAGAACGTGGTGAGTTTGTGGGACTGGACGTATTCCAGCCTAATGTCTCCTTGTGGCCTCACCTGCTGGGCCTTTTATTTCTTGTTTCCTCAGTCTAAGGTGTCCTGGAGGAGAGGGCTCTTCTATCTTGGTTGGAGGTGCCTTATTGCTGGTGTTGAGCTGGGAACCACTAGGTGGTGTATGGCTCCAGGCATCCCCGGGAATGTCTGGAAGGAACCGGGAGGGGTGGGGCCGGGGGTGCAGAAGGCAGGGAGGGACCCTTGGGGGCAGGTTGTGGGTAGCCAGTTGCAGTCTGTGGCCTCCCTCAGAGGTTTGGAGTCGGGCGTGGCATGCTGCTGTTGGCCTCTTTCCGAGGGAGTGCCATCCACTCCCTGTCCCACCGCTGTCCGCGGTGAGGACAGTGAGGGCAGTGCTACGTGGTGGGGAGGTGTGTGTGAAGCCACGGAAGGGCTTCACAGGGCAGATGCCAAGGCCAGTGGGCCCCGGACAGAGTCAGGCTCCCTGGGCGGCCTTGTGTCTTGGTGGCCCTGATCATCCTGCCAATGCAAAAAGCCAGCAGGCAAGAGACCCCTACTCCCTTTAAGGACCAGAGCAGAAACAAACCATTGTGCTGAATGCAGTGATCCAGGTGCACTTCAGGGTACAAGGTGGACTGCTTGGAACAGGATTACAGGAAAGGGGAAAGGGGGCAGCTGTCTCTTGGGACATGAGTAATGTCTCTTACCCAGTTGGCACTCGAGAAGTCAACTGGGCATGTCTCTGGGGCCTCCTGGAAAAGAGTTTTCCACCCCAGAGGAGAAAGCTGTGGCTGGAGGTAGGGATGTGGTCAGCTTGCCTGAGGTTCCTTGGGGGCATAGGAGGGCAAGAGGGGATACCTCTAAGTCCCTGCAACTCAGAGTGTTCTGAGGACCCCCAGTGCTGGGTTCATCCAAGAGCATTTTAGAAAGGCAGAATCTCAGGCTGCCACCCCAGACCCCCCGAATGCAAATTTCAGCAAGACGGCCAGATGATCCTCAGAGTCTGCTACTTATTAAACTTACCTGGGGAACGTAAAAAAAAAAAAAAAAATCCTAGTGCCCAGGCCTCACCTGTAGCAATCAGAACCTCTGGGGGTGGGGCTCAGGCTTCAGAATGATTTTCCAGCTGCCCAGGGGAGGGGGCAGGGATTTCCATGAGTAGCCAGGTCTGAGAGCCTCCACTGTAAGCCTCTGCCTCCCCTCTTTCACCTACTCCCCACTGTAGGATTTCAAAAAGATCCCTCTCCAGTGTCCCACTGCTCTCTCTCCCCAATCTCTGCCATTATTAAATTGGCAGAATTGAGGCTTCACGGGGACAGGGTGAAGAGTTAAGACTGAGTCAGGATAAAATGCACATCCCCCATGGAGGGGTAACACTGAAGCTATGTCCATTCAGCTGGGCTTTAGCTTGAATGAGTTTATTGGATGCTTCCTACCTAGTAACAAACTGAAAATGGGTTGCGCATGGGGGTGGCTCTGTATAAAGTAGAAACAGGAACCCGTTCCAGATGCGGGGGTTGGAGTTGGTGGGTCTTGTGGAGTTTTGCTTGCTCTGTTGTGGTGAGTTTTCTAGCATTTGCAGGTTAGGTCCAGCATCGGCCAGTTAGGTCCCAAGTGTTGCATGATTCATTGGGACTAAAACTGTCAACCTCCTTTGCCCTGCAGTCAAGAGCCTGTGCATTGGAGGTTGGTCCTGGGTTAAGTTCATGGGTGTGGTAGTGGGAGGCAGGCCCAGCAAACATGTATTGCTGCTGTGGGCTGTGGGGGTGCTGGAGCCCAAGGGGACCTCCCATCTGATCTGGTGGTAGGTGCTGGTTGATGGAGTTGGCCACAGGGTGCCAGCCCAATCCTGTCCTCAGTAACTCAGAAACCACCGGAGTGATCATGTATAATGTACACCCAGCAAAAGAACAAACACCAGCCAGAGACAATCCTTTCTCTTGTGTGTGAAGGTTACAAGTTTTCTGTTTCAAATCTGATGGTATTCTTTTTCCCTTTTTTCTTTCTTCTCTCTGTTTTCATTTGCCAACCTAAGGGTCTAGAGTGATTTCTTTGAGCCTAATGATGGGGAAAGGTAGAACGGGGCTATTATCTTTAAACACCTTTTGAAATACTACTCTTCCTGGTGTCTGAATTAGATTGAACAGAGGTTGGGTTTAAAGATTAAATATCTATTTTAGCAGCAGCAAGTATGCTGATATCTGTGTACGTTTGTTCAGGAACTATATGGGTGGAATGAAAGAGAAACCCACAACAGGAATGTGTAATTAATAATAGTATAGCTGATGTTTATTGAGCGCTTAATAGGGACCAGACATGGCACTAGATGTTCCTCATATGTCATCCCATTCAGTGAATTCAGACATATCACAAATTAGAACATATAAACATTTAGAAATAGGATCATAGGAGTAAAAGACCCAATAAAAACAGAACAACTTGGCACTGTGGCATTAGGTTGTTTTGTAGTAAATGTCCATTGTAAACTTAAGTATTTTTATAACTTGAAAACAATTACTATCCAGTGTAAATATCCATTTACATCTTAGTTTACTCTAGGTCAAGTTTGTGATCATAATAAACTGTATTTCTTTGAAAATATTCTTCAGTCTGCTATATCCATAATTGGGATAGGAAATGAATTACTCCCCTTTTTCTGATGAATGTAGTTTTAGTCTATATGGAAGAATAAACAGCTATTAAACTCCTATGTGCTTGCGGGGAGCTGTCTGGCACTGAGGAACCACTCCGTCCACGTTTAAGCTTCAAGATGAGTTTCATTATCTTGCTTCCTGGTGTAACTCTTCCCTTATTTTTCTAGGTGGAATCAGAGGTTTCTGGCTGACTCGGTGGGTGCTTTGAACCAGGAAAGGACAAGAAAGAGGTGAGTTGCACTTGGCAGTTATAGTACAGCTGCCTGCCTGTGGCTCTTCTTGCTTTGAGGTTTGCTCCTTCTTCAGTGCAACCCTTTGCCCAGACATCCCTAATGCCCCCAGCTCAGAGCAGCAGTTGGCAGGCAGGAGCTTTGCAGTTAGCCATCGGAGAGCCCCACAGACAGGGGTTAATAAGTACAAACAGTCATCACAATTAATTCAGGCCAGGCTGTGTGCTCCTGGCTTTTAGTTGAATCAACTCATTTTCACCTCTCACAACTCTAGCAGTCAGGTCCTGTTATGCCCAACCTACAGATGGGGAGACTGAAGTTTGGTCACTCGCCCAAGGTCACACAGTTAACTAGTGAGGGAGCCAGGCCTAGACTGTTGCTGGGATCTATTGCTGTTTTGAGTGACCATGAATTTTCCCAGCTCCCCGGGGCACCATGCAACAGCTCCTGCTACCTGCCCTGAACACGCCGAGTCTACTGCAGGGCACAGAGGTCTCGCAGTTTGCAGGGAGAACATGAAGCAGGTGACTCAAAGCCTGCGGGTCCAGGAGATAAACAGGTGGATTGCACCTGCTGGCCTTCAGGAGCGCAGAGACTGTCCATGGGGTTAAATGGGATATCAGGGCTTTCTGGCATGCTGCCGACTGAAGTCTGCTCCCAATAAAACAGGATGTGGAACAAGGGGCCGCTCTCCTACTGCAAGGGCTGGGTTTGCCCAGGGCTGTCTAGATTCCACCATCCACAGCAGTTACAGCACTGGGTGTAAGTCTCAGTCGTAAGTACTAAGCAACAGATCATCTCTACTAGTATGAAGCCTGGGAGAGGGTTGTCCCCGCTGCCTGCAGAGCCACCAGGGGTCATAATGGCAGATAGCAGGCCCAGCAGCAAAAAAAAAAAAAAAAGAAAAGAAAAGAAAGGGAGTGGGGAAAATGGGTAGGAGGAGAGAGGGAGAGAGAGCAAATGCCCCCTTCCTCCTGTTCTGATGCTGTTAGGGCATGAGGGGTACAGAGTGCAGGGAACACCCAGTGGGGACATTATCATGCCATGGAGCAGCTAATACTGCTTGAGTTGCTGTACAATGCAAACACATTTTTGGAACTAGACAGATTATGTTGCAAATTTGTCACTATCAGGCTAGTGTAGTGGTAGAGTGTGGACCCAGATGCCCTGGGTTCAAATTCCATTTCCACTGTGTCTTTGCTTTGTGACCTGGGGCTGGTGACCTTCACTTTTCTGGACTATGCTTTCCACATTTATAAAATGGAGATCATAAAAATAATCTCTTCTATGTTTTGAAGTGAAATGAAAGAATATACAGTTAAGTGCCTGGGATGTATTATGCATTTACAATGAATGTCAGTGGTTTTCTTCTGTGTTTTACAATCTCCCTAGCTCTGGATATGATCTTGGGTAAATTACAAAGCCTCAATTTCCTCATCTATAAGATGCTGATGCTAATACCCTGTCCTCAGGGGAGACTGAGAATTGAATGAAATAACCAAATCCAAAGTCTAGGTCACAGCAGATGCCTATTAGTTCCCTTCCTTATTTATCTTTATCATATTCCACATGGCTCAAGTAGAAGGAAGGTGGACATTGGTTTTAACTCCCCCATTCACTAGAATACTAAGTCCTGACAATGACTCCACAGCAATTTTCCATTTGATCCTTTCCCTCCCTTCTCCGAGTCACCCCTCTCGTGTCGGCTTTTGTAGAACAAGCTGGGATAACCACAAGGGGCCCCAGCCTTTGGATTCCAAGTCTTTCCTCCCCAAAGTAATCCTATTGGTATCTTCCCTAAGCCTCTTTCTGAAATCCAGCATTGGACATGGCATTTTCTTATTTGAAAAAACCCATCATGGCTCTCTGTTTATTGTCCCAGCAACCAAATCTCACTGGACGCTCCACCTCACTTCCCATCACTTCCCACTCACATTTGGATCCTTTCAGCCCAGCTCACCTGGTCTGTATCCCACCCCAAGACTGGACTTGACTGTACCCTGCCACTGTGCTCAGCACACCCCCTCCCTGTGTCACCATCTGTGTACCTCACCTGCTTAAAACCCCACAGCCATGGCACCATGGGGCTGGCAGCTCCTTTACCTGCCCACCATCTCACTTTCAGAACTTCATCTGCAGTGTTGCCTCTGCCTTCCAGCTAGAGCCTTGAGAGTGGGATGAGGGTGGGAGGGGATCTCTTTCATCCCCCGCCATCCTTTCTTCACTGCTCATCCTGGGATCCAAGGAGCACACGGTAGGTGCCCAGATGACTACATGCACTCACCGGTGGGAGCGTGGGCCTGGAAAGAGAGTCTATGGTTGAAGTTACTCTTCAGCTACTGTTTGGGTTTGGATGTGTATTGGGGTGGGGGTTAGTTAATGAGTGATGCCAAGGGGATTTCCAGGCAAACTTCGGGCACTGCCTTTCTGGAAGCAGCACCTTCTGCCTTTGCCAGCCCTCTCCCCCACTCCCCAGGGAACCCCACCCTGAAGACCAGCTCATTCCATGAGATGCATAGCCCCCTCCCCATGAGTGGCAGTAATTCCACCCTTCACTTGTTCATCGATCGGTTCATTCATTCATTCACTCATCTAATAGATATTTACGGGACTGCTGGCACTGCTCTAGGCAGAGAACAGACACTGAACAAAACAGGCTCTGTCCTGCTGGCATGGAGCTTGGCTTCTAATGGGGTATATTAGTCCATTTTCATGCTGCTGATACAGACATACCTGAGACATATGTCTGCTGATACAGACATACCTCCTCCGCGTGGCTGGGGAGGCCTCACAATCATGGCGGAAGGTGAAAGGCATGTCTTATGTGGGGGCAGGCAATAGAGAATGAGAACCAAGCAAAAGGGATTTCCCCTTATAAAACCTTCAGATCTCGTGAGGCTTATTCACTACCATGAGAACAGGATGGGGGAAACTGTCCCCATGATTCAATTAACTCCCACCAGGTCTCTCCCACAACACTGGGAATTATAGGAGCTACAATTCAAGATGAGATTTGGGTAGGGACAGAGCCAAACCACATCATGGGGCCAGGAAAGATGAGAAGCATTGGGTCAGCCATCATTCCTCTTTTGTCTTTCCTGTCCTGCATCCACACTGGCTGTCAAGGTGGGGCAGGCTAAACAGTAAAAAATAGTTAGTATGTAAATTATCTAGTATGTAAGGAGGTGATAGTGTTATCGAAAAAAAAAACACAGAGGCAGGAAAGGCAGCTCCAGTGTGCAGTGCAGGGAGAGAGGTGGAGGGCAGGTTGTAGGGCTGAATGGAGAAGGTGACATTTGAGCACAGACTTGTAGGAGGATGTTTTGGGGAAGAGCCTTTGGGACAGAGGGAGCAGGTACATTGGGGCCCAAAGCAGGCAGGAGTATATGGTGTGCTTGAGAATCAAGCTCAGTAAGTGCTGAGCGCCGAGAGGGGCGGTGACCGTCAGACCAGGTCAGGCCCAGAGGCCTTGGGCCTTCCCTCTGAGGGACCTGGGAGCCAGGCAGGGTTTTGAGCAAAGCATGCTGTGATCCGACTCATTGTGAAAAAGGCCTCTTTACAGGGAAGCTGAGAGCAACAGGGCGGCCAGTGGGAGGAGGGGATGGCAGGGGAAGGGTCCAAGCAGGAGGGGTATCGAAAGTGCCTGTTTGTGTCCCAGGCACACAATGGCACACATACGTTACCATAGAATGACATCGATGGTGGTGATAATGTCAAACGCCACGGTGCCACATCTCAGGGACTGATTCTGAACAACCGTGACTCCCAGATTCAGGATAGCCTCTTGCATTGGGGTCGTGGCTTCATATGAGGGTCACTCTCCTCACCCTGCTGCCTGCAGAGCCACCAGGGTTCACACTGGCAGATTGCAGCCCCAGCAGTAAAAAAAAAAAAAAAAAAAAAAAAAAAAAAGAAATGAAAGGGAGTGGGGAAGATGGGTAGGAAGAGAGAGACAGCAAATGCCCCCTTCCTCCTGTTCTGATGAAGTTAGGGTATGAGGGGTACAGAGTGCAGGGAACACCCAACAGGGACATTATCATGCCATGGAGCAGCTAATACTGCTTGAGATCATTCTTCGTGGTCTCCCTGATGCTCTTTGAGGGGTCCCCTTGTTGTCTCGCAGCCTCTTAGCACCCTCCCGTCTTCCTCCTCCCTCCAAGAAAGGACAACTTGACAACGGCAGGAATGAATGGGTCGGCCGTCTTTCCTCTTGTCTTTCTCGTCCTGCAGCCACAATGATCCTCCAGGCAGGACAGGCTAAGGGTGCTTCAGAGCTCGCAGAACCAGCGTGTCTTTCTAAGAATGCTTCTGGGACGGCCCCGTCTTGGTGGTGATTAGCAGCTGTCCCGTGATTGCACGTAACCTGAAAACAGAACCTATAAGGGAAATGAATGCCTGGTGCCCTTGGTTGGGGGACCTTGCTGTTCATGCACACGGTGGAGAGCTAGCTGGGGGCCACGCCAGAACCCCCTTCTACCTGATAAAGCCTTAGAATTGTGGACATATTGCAGTCTGCTGGAAGCGCTTAGAGCAGGAAAGGGCAATGGGAGTGGTGGGGTCTTTACCTGTGTGTTTCTCCCAAGGTTGAGTGTGTTTCTGAGTGATCCCGCCAGGCTCCTGGGCAACATGGACACTTTCCTCCCCAATGCCTTGCATTCTTCCGCTCCCAGACCAATGGCCCAGGGAGATGGAGCAAGATGGTAGCCTCATGGCCAGGTCCCTGGAGCCAAAGTTTTAAACAGTGATATTACAATGTTACTGCCTTGTGTGGATTTCACATACTTCCTTTTAAAGAACTGTCACATTCCCTACCATATAGCTCCAAGAGCTTCTGTGGTGAGATCATTAGGAGGAAGGACTGTTTTTAAAGGTGAAAACTCTGACGCTCCAGGAGGACACGCTGTCTCCCCAGGTCCATCCATCGTGTGTGTGTGTGTGTGTGTGGCGGGTAGGGGAGAGGTGCTGCGGCTCGAATGTTGGTTTCTGCCATAACCATAATTGAGAGTGAAAAACCCGGGCCCTGGGAGAAAGAAGCCAGTCCTGGTTCTGAGTGTCAGCGGCAGTGCAGATGAGCTCACCCGGGGACCAGAGCCATTTAGAGGATTTGCAGATGGAACTTCCCCTCGGGGTCCAACTGTGAGTCACTGTGGTTCCTGTCCCTGCAGCGGGCTCCATCTCCAGGCCTCCCACTTCACCCTGGGACATTATGGTCGCTGGTCAGACCTCATGACTCACTTGGACTCTTGAGCCACCTCTGGGGGTGGAGTCTCTCTCCTGGCATCTGGACCCTTGGTGCTATCGACGAAGCTTGGCTGGCGCTCTTAGCTGCTATGTGCAAGACGTGTGTCCCAGGGAAAGCCCCTCTCTCTCTGCAGAGGTCAAGTGAAAGCCACGGCCGCAGCCAACAGAGTTCAAAATGCAGGCTTGGAAAGTCCAGGGGGCTCTGTGGAGGTGAGACAGCCACAGGCTGAGCTTTCTGAGCCCTTGGGGTGAGTTTGGCTGTGATACCTGAGAGATGGGGGAACTAACAAGCGCCGGGTTGCAGTGTCGTCCCATGCAGAGGAGCGAGCAGAGTTCACCCAAAAGGCCAACGGCTGGCAGGGTGTCACGTTTCCCACCACACCCGGGGCTCAGCCTCTGCTGTCATTTCTCCTCCTTGGTTTTCATCTTCTAAGGGAAGAAATAGTGTCATCTTTTCTCAACCTGTCAGTCTCACACCTGCCTGGAGCCCCTGGCAGTGAGACACCCAGTGCTGTTTAATCTGATGTCATCTCTGTTGATTGTCTGTTTTAGAAACCAGGTAGCAAGAGGGACTTTCTGAGGATTAAAAAAAAAAAAGTAAATCCCCAAACTATTTCGGGGAGGTTTTTTTTTTTTTAACCTCCTGTTTTTTAGTTTCATTATTTCTTTTTCTCTTACATACACTCTTTTTTAATTAAGAAAAATTAATTTTTTAAATTAAAAAAGACCAAATGCACCCCTTGGGTTGAGGAGTTATGAGAGCAATGTTTAGGGTAAAGGTCAAAGGTGAGATGGATGTCACTGGGTCTTGGGCATGGGTACCCACCTGCTGGCAAACATAAGAGAGGCCATACGAGAGTGGGGAAAGAAGGGTTACTGAAAAATGCATATGAGCTTGTTTTCTCTAATGATGTTTATTTGTTGTCTATCAGGAGATTAGTCCTGAGAGACTGACACCAGAGCCACCTGACGAATGTGGGTGCTCAGAGCCTTGGACTCGATGACCTACCTCTCCTGCCTCCCACCTGACTCCTGAAGTAGGGGAGTGTATTAACAGTCACAGGCCTCAGTTTACCTGCTTTCAGCCTCTGCCCTTCCCGAGAGGGTTGAAGCTGACTTGCTGCATCGCAGTTTTGTCCTTTAGTTCATCAGCTCTGGAACTTTCCACTTCTGGTGTTTTTGGTTTCCAAACAGAGGATTGAGGACGTATGAGAGCAATGTTTAGAGTAAGGTCAAAGATGAGGTGGATCTAACTGGGCCTTGGGCATGGGCGCCTACCTGTCAGACTCTGTCCTTCTCAGACAGCTGCCCAGGCAGGAGCTGCCTCTTGGGACAGTGAGTGGGCCATCTCCATTGAGAGAGTAGGGGGACAAAGGGAAAAGGCAGGGACTGGGTCACTCCTGGGGATGCTGTTTGACATAGACCATGAGGGTCAGCCCCACTGGGCCTGGCTGACCTGGTAGATGGGTAGGTCTAGGGTATGAACATGGATATTAGTTGGCCAGGGTGTGAGAACTTGTGTGAAAGGGTCGGCCCCTGGGTGACTCAGTCTCCTAGCAAACTATAAAAGGGAAGTGACTCATTTCCAGCCCTGAACAAGAACTCCTAAGGCTAGGCCGCCAGCACCTGTCTGGGACGTGGTTAGTTATTAACGCTGCCAGTAAGAGTGTCATGGGAACCAAACGCAGGCCTAGATGCCTGGAGGCAACTTGGCTTTTCACAGCTTGCAACTGTCCACTCACCTTCCCTTGCTGTGGCTCCTCTCTGCCTGACCCCAAATGCAGAGGAGCCCCTTGAACTCTTAGTTGCTGGTGGCTCCCCAGGTGCCTCTTGAGGGTGCAAATTCCACAGGGGTTGGGGAAGGGGGAAAAAGAAATGGGTTGGTCAGGGGAAATCACAACTTTTTTTTCTTTTTTTGTCCTGTTTAGAAGATCAGGTTCAAGTTGCCAGCCAGACTCTGGGCTTCCAGGAGGAGTGGGCTGTGGATGGCCTGGCCTCATTTGCATGTCCCTCTCCTCCCGGCCCTGCAGGTGCCACCTCCTGAGTCCTGGTTCCTGCGGCTCCGTCGAATCTGCAGTGAAGGCCTTTGGGAAGCGTGGGTTATGTGGGTCCAGGGGTCCCATCCTCCCGTGGAGGCCCTTGACCTGAGGATCACTAACTCACACCCCACCGACTTCCGGCCCCCAACAAGGGCAGTGTTCCTCTTGCTCCATTCTGCTCTGAAGTCCCCCAAACCGCTTCCTGGGGCTGCTTAGTGAAATACAAGGCTCATCTCTGAGGACCTCTACAGGGCTGGTGAGTTGAGCCAGGAGTTCAAATCTGCTCTGCCTTCTCCTTTCTTTCTCCACGTCTGGAAAAGTACAGAATGGGCAGCTTCTCCTCTCAGATCCCAAAAGGCATGTTTTACTGCTCCTGGGGGAGGCTCAGCCTGGGCACAAGCTATGTCTACTCCTGCCAGGGCCCTGCCCCTCCACTTCCAAACTGTCAAGCAGGAGGAGGGAGGATGATTGAACAGAAAGACACAGGAGTTTTAGTGAGTCAGGCTCCCCAGTGTCCAAAAAGGGACCCAGGGCCCAGGGGGAAGAGACATCCCTGGTATTTGTTGCCACCTTTGTAAAACCCTCAAGTGCTGGCAGGCAGCACAGAGGGAGTGGCGATGCCACTTGCCTGCCTAGTCTATGGGAGGAATTGGGACATGTGCTCCCTGGGTGGCCCTGAGCAAGCCATCGAACTGCTCCCCCAGAGTTTTCCCCATCTGTAAAGTGGGAATAATAACAACACCTGTCCTGCTTACTTGACAGGGTTTATGTGAGGCCGGCTGAGATCACTGAGCATGTGACAGGGCTTTGGGAGTGGTTAAGGGCCACCCAGATCGGGGTTGAGGCACCGGGGTGCTTATGGTGATTAGCAGCAGAGCAAGGCCTGAGGTCTGTGCTCCCCAGGGAGGGTGGCTTTACAGGCACCCACCTGCGGCTTAAGAGCTTCTTGGGCCTCCCACGGCTGATAAATCACCACCGGGTGGGTGTGCTTTGTCTGGGCTCCAGCATGAGCAGACAGCCTGCCCTTGGCAGCTGCAGAGAGCAGCTCCTCTGCCTTCTCTCCCTTTCTTAGTGGGTTGGGCAGGCGCAAAAATAGATCCCAGAACCCCATCTCTTAGGTTTTGCCAAGGGACCCTCCAACTGCTCATCTAGACATTCTGGTGGCATGGAGTTCCTTTCTCAGGTCACATAACCATTGGGGGTGCTGATTTAGGTGTCTCCTGGCATAGGATTTGCCCTGGTTTATCACCTGCTGCTTCTGCTGCTGCTTTTTAAAAAAATTGAAGATGGGGTCTCACCATGTTGCCCAGGCTGGTCTTGAACTCCCAAGCTCAAGTGATTCTCCCACCTCAGCCTCCTCAGTAGCTGGGATTACAGGCTCATGCGACCATGCCCTGCTTGTCACCTTGCCATCAAAGAAGAGAGACTTGCAGAAGAGTGTCAGATTCTATCCCATAGTGCAGTATACCAAGGAGGTGGTCTGCAAATGGCCATTGAATATACAAATAGTCTCAGACTTAGCATTTTCTTTCTCATGGTTTATTTTGCTTTGTATAGTTCCATGCATTTGTTGAAAGGAGGAAGATTGAGATTTAAAGGAACATCCCTAGTGGGATAATACCCATCTGCTTAGTGCCTTTTCAGTGCTCAGCACTGTGCTAAGTTATTTGAGTACAGTCTTTGTTCTCATATTTAATAAAATCAGACTCTTTTTGACCACCTCATTCCATCTCCCATTCAGACCCACAACATCCTCCCAGCCTGTCCAGATAGGTGCTTTCTGCTTGGACACTTTAATGATGGAGAATTTTATCTCTCCTGAGGCCACCCATTCTAACATTGGCAACTGCAGTTGTTGGGAAGTTCATCCGTTTAGGGAGTGTCCATCTGCCTTTGGATACTTCCATCTGTAGGTCCTGGGCAATGAACAGGGGATGAGAGTATGGCATTATGGCTGAATTGTGGGATGCAGACTACAGAAAAGTTCTGTGAAGGGATGGGACCTGGAAGAATCAGAGAAGACCTCGTGGAGTTACTGAAACTTAGAGAAAAAAATGGACTGAAATAGAGAGAGAGCAGGGAGGCTGGCTATGGTGGCTCATACCTGTAATCCCAGCACTTTGGGAAGCAGAGGTGGGCGGGTTGCTTGAGCCCAGGAGTTCAAGACCAGCCTGGGCAACATAGGGAGACTCTGTCTCTACAAAAATTAGCCACACAGGTAGCTAATTTTTGTATTTTTTTGTAGAGGATCCTGGTGGGAGGATCACTTGAGCCCAGGAGGCGGAGGTTGCAGTTAGCCAAGATGGCACCATTTTACTCGAGGCAGGCTACAGAGTGAGACCCTGTCTCCAAAGAGAAAGAGAAGATGAAGGCTTTCTGTAATAGTTTGAGTAGTGAACTTCCAAAATTCATGTCCATCTAGAACCTCAGAATCTAACCTTATTTGGAAATAGGGTCTTTGCACATGTAATTAGCTAGGATCTTGAGATGAAATCATCCTGGATTCAGGTCCTAAATCCAATGACACATCCTTAGAAGAGAAGAAGACAGAGAGAAAGGCACTATGAAGATGGAGCAGAGATTGGAGTGGTGCATCCGCAAGCCAAGGAATGCTGAGGATTGCCTGCAGAAACCAGGAGAGAGGCAGGGGGCAGATTCTCCCCTAAAACCACCAGAAGGAATCAACCCTCTCCATACCTTGATTTTGGCCTTCTGGCCTCCGGAACTGTGAGAGAAGAAATTCCTGTTGTTTTAAGCCATCAGTTTGTACTAACTTGAAATGGCAGCCCTAGTAAACTAATACACCACCCAACCTTGAAAGACAGATAAGAGTAAGGAGGCAAAAATAACCATGCTTTGAGGGTTATTTTTGCAGCCCAATTCCCCAACCCCCCACCTCAAGTCTGTATTTCTCCCAGACTTGAGGTGGGGGGTTGGGGAATTGAGCCGCATGGTAAGGAGACTGGACTCTTTCATTTGTTAGCAGGCAGGGTCTGCAGGCCAGATGCCTCATGGTGCCAGGATGAGGTGTGTGTAGAGGAGAGTCTTTTTGCCAGGAACCTTGGAGGTTTTCAGAACCCAGAAGGATGCCAACTCTGGACCTCCTGCTCCGTTTGACTTCCTCTACTAAATTTCCACCAGTTCCTGCATCTTTATTCATAGAAAGGGATCAAACCATCCTTAACACTCATACCACTCTGCAAATAAACATGTAACTTATACAATGACAGAAGGAATTATAAGATGCTTACTATTAGAAAAATGTATAAAAGCAAAGGAAATAGGAACCATATTTAGTTATAGGATGTTAATCTTTTATCATTAAGTAATAGTTCAATATTTTCTTGATTGTTTAGTATTTCATTGTAGGAACATGTGACATGGTTATTTTTTAATAGTTTTTTTATGTTTCCAACATTTTTTTCCCTTTTGCTGTGAAATAAGGCTCTGATGACAATCCTTGCAGCAAACTTTATTTATATCTGTACTAGCTTCCTGAAGCTGATGTAGTAAGTTACCACAAACTTGGTGGTTTAAAGCAACACAGATTTTTCTCTTGTAGCTCTGGAGGTCAGAAGTCTGACTGAGACTTCTGGAGCTAAAACCAAGTCATTGTCATCAGGGCAGGTTTCTTTTGGAGGCTTCAGGGGAGAATTGTTTTTTGCTTCTGATGACTGCTGGCATTCCTTGGCTTGGAGCCACATCACTCCAGTCTCTGCCTTTGTGGAGTTCTCCTCTCTGTAGTCAAGTCTCCCTCTGCCTCCTTCTTATATGAACACTTACAGCTACATTTAGGGTCCATCTGGATAATCCAGGATAATCTCCCCATCTCAAGACCTTTAACTTAATTCCATCTGCCAAGTCCCTTTTACCATATACCATAAGGTAACATTCATACATAGCAGGGATTAGAACATGACTGTCTTTTGTTAGGGAGTGGAGGGGAGCAAGAGTTTGTGCCATTATACAGCTCATCACCATATTCATGACTATTTTCTCACAATAAATTCCTAAAAGTGGACCTAGAAGGAGAAAGGGCCATCCTTAGGTTGCATGAAATATTCAGTGGTCAGTAGATAGAACTGGCATCTTTTTGTTGCTGTTCCTTTAAGAGCCTTTCTTAGCTCTCCTAAGAGTCAGATCGGATGGGGAGGTGGGGTGTACACTGAAACCCCCATTACAGGAATCATTTAAAGTTAGCCTCTAGGAAGCTCGGGGCTAATGAGATAATTCCCATTAGGAGAGGAAGGAAATGAAGGTGGCCTGACATCCTTTCTGTCTCTAATTTATATGATTCACTGAAACCTCCCCCTCTTCCCCCGCACCCCCCTCCTTCGGCCGCCCCTTTGAATTCTGGTTCCCTGTCCACCGCCTCTGCCAGCCAGGGCTCTGGTTTTCAGCAAGCCCCAGCATGCCTGGGAGCCCAGGAGGGTTGCCTTCCGCTGAGATGAGGCATTTGGGCTCTTTTCTTGGCAGCTGTGCCAGAGAATCTACTCTTTGCCTCCTTCCTCTCTTTTCCCAGAGCCTTGCCCAGCTCTCCCCACCCCCACCCCTGCCCCAACAGGGATGGAACTGGTGGCTATAGGACCGCAGAAAAGAGAAAGGCTGTCAACAGAACACTGGCAGGCTCAGGGGACTTAGGGGCCAAAGCTGCAGAGAGGTTTTGTTTGCTTCCTTCCCCTACCCCCCAGTACATTTTAGGGGGAGGAGAAAGAGAGAGAGAGGGAGAGAGAACAAAAAAAAAAACACACAAGAGAACAAGAGAGAGATCATTCTCTTCCTGTTTTGCTGTGCTGCCTACACTTTTGCTCAAAGTTCTCTGCAAACATGAAAATCCAGTTTGGGTCTTTAATTAGAAAAGTGTGAAGACTCCCAAAAACTTTAGGGTTTTTGAAGTTCAGACCAAACCCTGGAAACACATTTAGGGGCTGGAGAGAGAAAGAGAGAACGACCCCGAGAAGAGCAGAAAGGGAGAGCCCAATCTCATCTGCTCATCTATCGTATTGCTATCAGCTGTTACCCGTTTCATTTATTGGACACCGCCTTTCTTGTCTCAGACCTGCTGGGAGCAAATCTAATACCCACCAACCCCGTGCCCAAGAAGGGTCTCTGGCATTCAGAGGGCAGCATGGTTCTTCCTAGCCCCTGGTTTACTTCTTTTCTTCCTCTCACCCTCCCAGAGGGAGGCCATATGGTGGAGTCTTCCGAGTCAGGGCCAAGGGCCAGAGCGGCTCTGGCCCTGGGGACAGTCCAGCAGCCCTGATGTGCCGTGTGGGTGGCCTGTTCTGTGAACTTGCTGCCTGACCTCCCTGTGCCTCTGAGAGTCCAGCTGCAGCCTTGGGTAACAGCCTGGCCCCATCGTGATGGGAGGGTGCCGAGGCCCAGCTTCCCCGCTCACCTTGGCACAGATGCCACAAGCTGGCCAGGCCATGTGGGGCCAGGACCAGGCAGAACAGACAGAGCCCCCATAAGCATCCTTTCCAGTTGAGTTGGCCTATCTTGGCTCATAAGGCCGTGGTGTCTCTAATGAGAGTGAGACAGAGACAGACAAACCAGGGGTTCAAGGAAGAGAGAACACAAATTAGAAAGATGAAAGATACAAGGGAAAGATACAGGAGTTGGATTTCTATGTAATGTAGCATGAAATAATAGCCAAGCTAGAGTATGGATTAGTCTTAGCTGTTTTGGAATAACGCCTTTATCAGTAGCTGAGCTAAATCATTCATGGTGAGGGTGTCTTAAGTGCCCTGCTCATGACTCCTGCCTTCATTACCTCCTCCCTGCATGTGGACACAAGTTCTCAGAACTTTTAGGGGTGGTTGAGGGAATATAGAAGGAGGTGAGGTAAGGGTTAATCTAAATGTTACAAACAATTTTATTGATTTAAAAAGGAAAAAAAAGGAGTAATGGAAGATGGATCTGGGCTTTATTGTACACATTTTAGGAATGGTTTATAGCAGGAAAATAACCACGGAAGTGGCTTAATGTCCTTCCTCTTCAGAAATGTGCTGACTGTATTTTTGAAATGGAGATAATGCCATAGGGAAATAGATTAATAAGAACAAATAGGCCGGGCACGGTGGCTCACGCCTGCAATCCCAGCACTTGGGGAGGTCGAGGCGGGCAGATCACGAGGTCAAGAGATCGAGACTATCCTGGCCAATGTGGTGAAACCCTGTCTCTACTAAAACTACAAAAATTAGCTGGGCATGGTGGTGCACGCCTGTAGTCCCAGCTACTCAGGAGGCTGAGGCAGGAGAATTGCTTGAACTCGGGAGGTAGAGGTTGCAGTGAGCCGAGATTGTGCCATTGCACATTGCACTCCACCCTGGCAACAGACAGAGATTCCATCTCAAAAAAAAAAAAAAAAAAAAATTAACTGAGTCTTTAGTACTTAACTCAGTCCTCACAACAAGCCTAGAAATTATCCCTGTTTTACAGATGGGTTCAAGAGATTTGAGGTAACTTGCCCAGGAGCCTACGACTCCTAAGAGGCTAACTAACCCAGGACTGGAACCCTGATCTGACTTCGTATCATTAAGCTGTGGGATCTCTGAGAATTGCCACCTGAAGTGTTTTCCTGTTGGTAGGAATGAGTGGGTTCATGTTCTAAGGGCCTCCCATGCTTTAAGATGACTAGCTTGTGCTGCTAGTGATCCATTCATTTATTCATTTGTTCATTCATTCATTCGTTTGCCTCTTCTTTGCCAGACAGTGAGCTTGGTACCCTCAACACAAGAAGAAAAACATGGCTGCTACTGCAGCCTGCAGCCTGCAGCTGACCGGGTCGACCTACACTACTGGGTTGGGGAACATCAGGAGGCGAGCAGGCTGCTGGCACCCACAGTCTGGGGACACATGCTCTTTCTCTCCCATATCAATGGGCAGTCCTGCTCGGTGACCCAGATCCAAACAACTCAGAGGTCCCACTGTGTCCTCACTGCAGACTGACCGCTGGCTCTCAAACATCTGGGTGGGCAGTAGAGGCCAACAGGGAACTTTAGGGACCAAGGGAAGAGGACTCAGCAGTTTATCCCTCATGAGGAGAGAGTGGAATCAGCGACTGTCTCTCTGGAACCTCACTCCTGGCCTGATTGCCAAAGGGGAGAAGAGCTCCTGCCTGGTCTCAAAGTCACTGTTTCTCTCTCCCCCTCGATCCCCATTGTTGCAGCAGGGCCAGGACTCTGTCCGGCCAGGTCCCCGACTTGTTCTAAATGGGTCATCTGCAGAAAGAGAAGGAAAGGCCTTATGATTGGCTGTTGGATGGCCCCTGAGGGACGTAGTGCATGAGAAGGAGAGGGAGGGCAGAAGGGAGTCTGGGACTGGGGTACCTATTATCTTTAAAGTCCATCTTTTGGCACAGTCCACCGGGACAAACAAGGGACCAGGTCGGCTGGTTCGGGAGGGTCTTTGATCTACCTATAAGTTAATGCTTTTCAATGGAGAACCGCAAAGCAGCCCCACCCAGGGCCTCGGAGATAACAGGCTGGTGCAATCACAAACCACCGGCCTCTTGATAATGCCGGGTTTTATTGAGGTCTGGTTTTTGCCCATTGGGAACACATCCGGCAAGCATCAAAGGGAGCAGGCGTCACCCTGTGCAAAGAATCGTGGGCCCTCAGGTGCGTGCACCTTGGGTTGCGTGTGTGGCTGTGTGTGCACAAGCTGGCCCGTTGGCAATTACCTTTCTGTAGATCAGAGGCCACCAGCCCCAGAGGGGCCTCGACAACTCATGAACTCTGTTCCCGCATTCTGGATGGTCCAGCTCCTAAGATGTCCTTGAAAATGGTAACTTAGCATCTTAAGTAGGAGGGTCACTCTTGTGTCGTTGAGTCCCTGACTCGACATCCCAAAGGCAGTTGGTGTGAGAAGTTTAATGGTGAGGTGAGGTGGACACTCAGAGGAGACAAAACCTAAAAGCTTATCAGACTTGTTCCTTTGCAGTCTTTTGAAGGTTTTTGCGTGGAAAGTTGCCCTTTGGCAATGGAAGAGTTAATGGGTGAACTGGGGGAGCCGTGGTCCTGGGGGAAGGGTCATCCCCACTCACCCCCAGGCTGTGCCTCTTGGCTGCCTCATATTTTATCTGGGCAGTCAGGATGCTGTGCACTGCGTATTGGCCTCTGGAGACCAGCGCAGAGAAGCACCACAATACAAACAGAACATCTGGAAGCTTTTTAAGGTTTGTTTTTTAACACTTTTGCAAGAGTCAGGACATTTGCACACGGGGTTTACTGGCTGGAGGGAACCCAGGGACTTGAGTCAAGTGGGAGATCTCTGACTTTGTGAGGAGGGGGTGGTGAGGGTAAGGAAAGGAATGTGGGCCGGGTGCAGTGGCTTACGCCTGTAATCCCAGCACTTTGGGAGGCCGAGGCAGGCAGATCACCTGAGGTCAAGAGTTCAAGACCAGCCTGGCCAACATGGTGAAACCCCGTCTCTATTAAAAATACAAAAAAAAAAAAAAAAAAATTAGCCGGGCGTGGTGGCGGGCGCCTGTTCTCCCAGCTACTCGGGAGGCTGAGGCAGGAGAATGGCGTGAACCCGGGAGGCGGAGCTTGCAGTGAGCCGAGATGGCGCCACTGCACTCCTACACTCCAGCCTGGGTGACAAGAGCAAAACGACGTCTCAAAAAAAGAAAGAAGAAGGTGGGAACACTGGAAGCAACAAGGTCCGATATTCTTCAGACTCACTTGTTGCAGTGACCTGTTGGAAATCCTTAGGCACAGAAAAGGAACCTGGAACAGAATCCTGGGTTCCTTGTCTTTCTGGTCTTGCTGGTATGGAGCAATTGGACGTCTTCTTCCTTGTCCCAATCAGCTGCAGTAAAAGGACTGAAAGAATAGAAGGCAAATCCCTTGGGAAAGAATGGACATGCTGGCCCTAAGGCCTCCGGGAGACATGCTTTATAGACTGGTACCTGTTCCTTTATCTTTCCATCTGGGCTAGCCAGGTGGGGCTGAAAACGTAGAGTGCAGGGAAGCCATTGATCCTGGTCCTGCAGTGACTTGGTACACCTGAGAGAGTGAGAGCCGGTTGGCTTCCTCCTTTTCTCCTCCTCTTCTCTACACCCCCTTGCCTCCCCATACTGACATCCTGGACTTAATGATTTAAGCCAAGGGAAACAAGGAAAAGCTCGGCTCAGCATTTTAGCAGAGCAGGCTGGGAATGAAATAATGAAGAAAAAAGTCATTCCCGGCAGGAGAAAGAATTTATACGGGACTTAATCTTTCTTTTTAAGGAGAGGGCATCTGCTTGTTCATCCCTCCCTCATTCTTGGTCACTGGTTTCTCGTTTAATTCTTCCTTCTCCACTCCACCTCCTTTATGGCCCCATTGCCAAGCTTATTGTCAGGGCTCCATTAAATATATGTGAAATCTGTGCTTGCTCAGAGAGTATCCTTGTGCCCATGGAGTTTATCTTGAAAGAGGCTCACGGTCACATGGCTGCCTTTATTAAGACAGTTCTTTTCGTGGGATGAGCTAATGCTTAGCACCTCATGGGAGCTGGCTTATTGTTTGCTGCTTATTAGGGGAGAAAACTGAGGCTTTGTGTGGTTATTTATGTGAGAGACTGAAAGGTGTCCACCCTGTTCTTATGGGAAATGAGGTGACACAGCTGCCAGGAATTCCACCCCGTCTAGTCACCCATCTGGCAGGTACAATGTTGGTTCCCAGGTCTACCCCAGCCACTCTTATTACAGTTTTTGCTTTGGAACCTCTTATGTCCTGCTCACGATCAGGATTCAGTACCTTCACCAGCTCGCAGCACACAGTTCCTCTTCTGGCTGGCTGCCCCTCTGCAATGAGCGATTCTTAACCTTGGCTCATCATTGGACTCAGCCAGGGAGTTTTCACTGCTGTCTCCCTCCTGCCCTCATAGATTCTGCCTTAACTGGGTTGGGATGAGGCTGAGACAGTGGAATTTTGAAAAGCTTCCTAGGTGATTCTATAGCGTAGCCAAGGTTAAGAATTACTCCTTTGGGACAGTGTTTCTACACTGGGGACACTCTTACTGTCCGCTCCCCCAATCCCAGGCATACCCCGATGTCTGAGACATTTTTGATGATCACGCCTAGGATCAGGTTGCGGGGGGCTCTGGCATCTAGTGAGTAGAGGCTGGGGATGGCACTGAACGTCGCACAATGCACAGGACAGTTTCCCACAACCAAGAATTGTCCCACCCCAAGCATGCCTGGTTGAGAAATCTTGCTCTAGACTAGTAGTTCTCACACTTGAGTTTGCATCAGAATCACCTGGAGAGCTTATTAAAGCAAATTGCTGGGCTGCACTCTCAGAGTTTTTTATTCAGTAAATCTGGAGTGGAGCTCAGGAACTTGCATTCCTAACAAGTTCCCAGGTGATGTCAAGCCTGTTGATCAGGGCTACAGTTTGAGAACCATTGTCTTTGAGTGACTCTGAATCCTACTTGCCTATATCTGTGCTATATTGTACCCATGATGATTACTAAAAATCCACAACAACGGGCTGGGCACGGTGGCTCACGCCTGTAATCCCAGCACCTTGGGAGGCCGAGGCAGGTGGATCACTTGAGGCCAGGAGTTCGAGACCAGCCTGGCCAATATGGTGAAACCCCATCTCTACTAAGAATACAAAAATTAGCTGGGCATGTTTTACACACCTGTAATTCCAGATACTCGGGAGGCTGAGGCAGGAGAATCACTTGAACCTGGAAGCCAGAGGTTGCAGTGAGCTGAGATTGTGCCACTGCACTCCAGCCTGGGTGAGGCTCTGTCTAAAAAAAATAAAAAAATCCAAGACAACACAACAATGACTTAACTAAGACAGAAGAGCATTTCTCTCTCACATAGAAATCCAGAGGGAGGCCATTTAAGGCTAACGTGATAGCTGTGGAGTTGTCAGCCATCTAGGCTCCCATCTTCCTGTTAGACCATCTGACTGCATGCCTTCCATTTTCCATGTCCCTGAGTCCAAGATGATTGCTGGAGCACCAGCCATCATGTCCTCATTGAAAGCAGAAGATAGTAAAGGCAGGCAAGTAAAAACTGGGCTCCTTCCAGCACCTTTTGAAGCAGCCTCCCCAGAAGTCCTGCAACACTTCTGCTTTAATCTCCTTGGCCAGATCTTGGTCACATGGTCATATCTCACTTACAGGAAGGCTGGGAAATGTAGTCTTTTTACTCTGATCTGCAATGTGTGAACTCCAAATTAGAGTTCTGTTACTAAGAGGAAAAGGTAGAATAGATACGGGAGTGGCCAACTAACAGATTATGCTCATCTGTGCACACCTACTCTTTCCTAAGGGTTGTGGTGTATTTGGCATCTACCATGTGCCAGCTGCTTTTCATGTATTATCTCATTTAATCCTAAGAGCTTTGCAAGGTGGATAATAATATCTCTATTTTGCAATGATGAAACTGAGGCTTTCAGAGATGAAGCCACCTGCCCAAGTTATCAGTCAGCAAATGGTTTAATTTAACATTCCACTTCGAAGCCAGGGCCACTTCTTGCCTTAGATGCTCTCACAGACCTGCTCTTTTCTTGCTGAGGCTGCAGGGTGTTGGTTTGAGCTTTCCAAGCCAAATTCCAGCTCCCACCCCTTTTGCCCAGCTCCCCTTCACTGTTACCAATATCTCTCCTATGATACTCTCTTCAAAAGGCTCTCGGAAAATACACTGTATTGACAAGATTAGTTTCTTATTGCTGGTGTGATAAATGACCACAAACTCAGTGGTCAGAATTGAATTGGAGAACACCCAGCAGGTGTCCGCAGCTCCGTGTCGGGGGGATAATCCCCACAGATTTGGTCACCAACATCTTCTGTGTTGATTGTTGTGGGGTGAGAGCAGAGGAAGAGCATGGTTGGAGAGAGTTTTCCCTGCACAGTCACGATGAGGGCTCAGAGGGACTGACAAGGAAGAAGATGGTTCTCCAGCTTGAAGAACTCAGAGAAACACGTTTAGTGGTTTATTCTAAAGGCTGTTACGAAGGCTACAGGTGAAGAGATGCATAGGGTGAGGTGTGGGGGAAGGGCTGTGGAGCTTCTATGCCCTTCCTGGATGCTCCACCCTCTAGGAACCTCCATGTGCTCAGCTATCTGGAAGCTCCCCAGAGAACCCTGTCCTCTTGGGGTTTTATGGAAGCTTCATGACATCAGCATTCCTTCCCCAAGGGTATAGGGCGGGTCCTGCTCTGGGGAGGGTCTCAAGACCTATAGTCAGAAAGGTGGGGAAGATTAGTCCTGCCTTCGGGAAGGGTAGTGGCTTAAAACAACACAAATTCATTCTTTCACAGTTCTGGAGACCAGCTTCACTGAGCAAAAGTCCAGGCATCTGCGTGGCTTCCTTCTGGAAGTTCTGGGGGAGAATCTGTTTTCTTTGACCCCTTCCTTGAATCCTTCCAACCTCTTGCTTCCATTATCACACTGCCTACTACCTCTCTGGGATCAGATCTCCCTCTGCCTCTCTCTTATAAAGACACTTGTGATCACAGTTAGGGCCTACCTGGATAGTCCAGGCCAACTTCTCAAGATCCTTAATCACATCTGCACAGGCCTTTTTGCCATATGAGGTAGGATTCACAGCTTGCAGGGATCAGGGTGTGGATATCTTTGGGGGCTACTATTCAGCCCCCAACAGGAGCCCTCTTGCTACTGTTCTTCCATTTCTTGTCCCCATCTTTTTTTTCCAAACACAGAATGTACATAGATTTCACTTCTGTCTGGGGTTTTTTTAAAAAGGCCAGAAACATGGTCTACAGGGCAAGGCGATGTGTTGGGAGGGTTTGTCTAATCAACTCCCAGTGGCCATAGCAACAGACATGAAAATATTCAAGTGGAAAGGGACTGGGGGTGGAGGGGAGGGTATGGAAGGATCCTGCCCTAGAGGGGCCTGTGTCACCTCAGTCAGGTGACTTAACCTGTGGAGTGATGTACGATGGAGAAGCATAATCAGTAGCTATGGTAGTTCCGTAGCGAGCTTTGCAAAGCTTCCCTGTAATTCTAGGGGATCAGATCTCTAGATGCCTTCTAATTCCTGCTCCTCCTATGGTCTTTCTCTAGGCTAATAGAGGTGTGTCTTTAGTGGAATACAAATGCCATATCTAGAAGAGTTTGATTTGTGGGGAGGAGGGAGAGTTAGGATCTGCTTATGGCCTAACCTCATTTTCCTCCCTTGTGTGGATTCCCTCATCCCCCCACACATCCCTTGGCTGGGCCAGCCCTGCTGGGATGAGAGTCTGTGGTGTTGTATGTTTTGCTTTTTATTTTATTTTGCAAATGCCTCACAGCATTCCCCTCTGTGTTTAATGTCCCACTGCCAAGTGCATGCAGTTGCCCGGCAACAAGAAGGAAGTCCCTGGGTGATTCACCCGGCTGTTGCCAATTAATTTGCGAGCTGCATGCATCTCCCAGGGGAAAAGGGCTCTCTCCGAGACAGCTCAGAGGGCCACTAACCAGGTGGAGAAACGAAACCAGAGGAAGGTCAGCAAAACTTTGGGTTTGTGTGGGGTGTTTTCAGGTCCAAATGAAAGGGTGTGTCCAGAGGGCCCTGGCAACACCTGTGGCAAAGACTCCTGGCTTCCTTCTTGGCCACCAATCAGAGAGCTGCCTGGAGCACACAAGCACTTCTGTGTCTGCACATTGGTTGCCTTTTTGATTTTTCATCCTTTTATTTTTTAGTTGACTCTAAAATGCAGACTCTCCTGTCCCAGTTCATCTGCAGAGAAATGTCTTGAACCGTTTTTCTTCTTGTCAGTCCCTCTGGGCTCTCATTGTAACTGTGTAGGGAAAACTCTCTCCAACCGTGCTTTTCCTCTGCCCTCACACTACAACAGTCAACACGGAAGACATTGGTGACCGAATGTGTGCAGGTTTCTCCCTGACACCAATTCAACTCTGATACCATCTACCTGGAGATAGCATCAGATCCCATGGGTTGAGGACTCAGTACCCAAGACTGCCCCCTCCTCCCCAGACACCAGTGGCCAGTCCAGGCCTCTGGAACTTCTCACCGACCAGCTTTAAGTTGGGGTTCCCATGACTCCCCTCTTTGGGTTCAATTAATTTCCTGGAGCAGCTCACAGAACTCAGGGAAACACATTTAGTGGTTTATTCTAAAGGCTGTTACAAAGGATACAGGTGAAGAGATGCATAGGGTGAGGTGTGGGGGAAGGGGCACTGGGCTTCCCTGTCCTCCCTGGATGCTCCACCCTCCAGGAACTTCCATGTGCCCAGCTATCTGGAAGCTCCCTGAAGAACCCTGACTTCTTGGGGTTTCATGGAAGCTTCATGACGTCAGCATTCCTTCCCCAAGGTATAGGGCAGATTCCTCTCTGGGGAGGGTCTCATGAGTCAGAAAGGTGGGGAAGATTAGAGTCCTGTCTTGGAGCAGGTGTAAGGAGGGCAGGAGAGGGATTCTGTTTCCTGAGGCCCAACATTATAGCAAAAGACTGTAACAAGGGCTATGGGAGTTATGAGCTAGGAACTTAGGACGAAAACCTGTGTGTGTGTGTGTGTGTGTGTGTGTGTGTGTGTGTGTGTGTGTGTTTATCAAATAACACCACAGTGTCATTATCTCATCTCTGGCCACTGGTGCCCTTCTCTCTGGGTTTCCTGGCCACTGCACACATCCCCACCAAGGCCTCAGCTAGAGCCCTCATGAAGGAGAATTCCTTTGCACCAGGTTGAGTGGGGCCCCCAGGTCTTTTGAGGGACAGAAGGGGGCCTGTTGGTTTCCAAATGCCCCCAGAATCCATCGTGCATTTCCCTCAAGGCCTTGCTGTCCTCTGGCCCCATACTTGCCTAAGGAAACCTTTGATCCATGTTATGTCTCCATTATGGCCTGTGAGGGTGGGGTTTGCCTGTCTGGCTGATTCCTGTATCCACAGCATCTAATCCAATATGGTACTTGTGAATGCATGGATTTGTGGTTGCCCAGGTATTCCTTGTGGATTGATAGTGATTGCTAGAATCAGAGACCCAGAGGGCAGCCTCTTTCATAAGGCCTATGTTATCTGTATCTGTGAATAGGCCTGATATGGTTTGGCTTTGTATCCCCACCCAAATCTCATCTTGAATTGTAATCCCCATAATCCCCAGGCGTGGAGGGAGGAATCTGGTGGGAGGTGATTGGATCATGGGGGCGGGTTCCCCCATGCTGTTCTCATGATAGTGAGTGAGTTCTTACAAGATCTGATGATTTTACAAGTGTCTGGCATTTCCCCTGCTTGCTCTTCTCTCTCCTACCGCCATGTGAGAAAGGTCCTTGCCTCCTCTTTGCCTTCCGTCACGATTGTAAGTTTCCTGAGGCCTCCCCAGCCATGTGGAACTGAGAGTCAATTAAACCTCTCTCCTTTGCAAATTACCCAGTCTCAGGTATTTCTTTATATTGGTGTGAAAACAGACTAATACAAGGCCCCTGACTTGCACTGCTAAGACTCATCAGTTTTAAAATAGGGCACTCTCCTGAAGGCATTTGGTGCTATTCAATATATTTGTTACTCAGTAATGGAAGGTAATGTTGAGGGGTGAACATCAAGGAAAGTATCGTGAGTCCAACTCCATCTTAATTTATTTGCTATCAGAATTAGGGAAAAATAAATATATTTAATGGTGTCTTACCATTTCCTCTGAGCTATCCACTCTGAGTAAGTTCCTAATTTATTGTTAAGGGTGTTTCAGAAGCAGAGAGAAGTTCCTAGTAAATCCTAAACATTAGGATTAGGGACCAGAGCCCTGCTGTTCTGTAGCAAGAACACCGGCACCCTCTGTGCCTCGGCTTTCCACTATAAAGTGGGTGATCTACCACCCCCATGCTCCCTGCCCCATAAATCACAGAAATAATAGTGACCTGCTGAAAAACAGAATTTTCCACTTCCTCTGGACTGGCTGCACTCAGTGGCATTTTAAAAAATCAGCTCTGGATTTCGTAGTGGGATTTGTGTAGGAGGGTTCCTGGTGATGATTCAGTGGATGGATAGTTCCTTGAGAGGTATAAATAGGCTTTCCCCCACCCCCACCCCCGACACTTAACTAAAATACTGCTTTTTGAAGTATATGTTCTGTTCAACAGCTAAAGCATTATAAACCAAAGACAGTAATGTGATGCTAGCCCCTGAAAGGGCAGAAGCTAGAATCTAATTCTCATGCTGTTTTTTGGTCTACAGGATGGGAAGGACTGATCCACATTCCCACCAGGAAGTTTAGCAGAACCCCCGCGTGCCACCTGGACCCCTTGGAAGGACCTGGCTCAGGCTGGACCACCTCTTGAGAGGCAGGAGCTCTGGATTTGATCAAGAATTCTTTGCTGAGCATGGTGCCTCATGCCTATAATCCCAACACTTTGGGAGGCCAGTGTGGGAGGATCTCTTGAGCCCAGGAGTTCAAGACTAGCCTGGGCAACACAGAGAGACCCCATCTCTAAAATAATAATAATAATAAAATAAAAAATTAGCAGGGCATGGTGGCATGTGCCTGTAGTCCCAGCTACCCAGGAGGCTGAGGCAAGAGGATGGCTGGAGCCTGGGATGTTGAGGCTGCAATGAACTGTGATTACCCCACTGCACTCCAGCCTGGGCAAAAGAGCGAGAGACCCTGTCTCAAATAATAATAATAATAATAATCTTATTTTGGAGAATAAAGAGACCTCTGGATTTGAGGTGCCATTTGGGTAGAAAGAAAAGACGTTTACACCGAGAAATAGTCTGTGTTGCCCTGAAGGAGCAGAGGGATGCATCGCTGGAGGTGACCTACAGTTGAAGAAGACTCATTATGACAGACCTTGTCCTTCTTCCTTGTGGAAAGTGTTTCCTCTGCTGCTACTGCTCATGAGACTCTTCCCCCTCCCTGTCCCAGGGAACCAAAGGGCTTTCTACCACACCCTTTCTTGCCCCCCGCCTCCCATGTCTGCTGTGCCTTTGTACTCAGCAATTCTTGTTTGCTCCATTATCTTCCAGCCGGATACAGAGTGAATAGTTAACCACACTTAGGTCAAATAGGATCTAAATTTTTGTTCCTGCTCCGTGTAAAGAGGCCAGTGTTTGTGTGTTGCAAGCAGCCTTGGAATAGTAACTCTTCTCATTTGTTTGGGATCTGGCCACCAAGTTCCAGAATGATACACGGATCAGTGCAGAAGTTCATCAGGCTCTCGGACCTTAGGGCTGTTGGAGAAGGCTTCAGCAGCAGAACTGATGGTGAAGGCTCGTGTTCTCCATCCTCAACTTTCTTTGCTTCGATCATACACAAGAATACATTTGGAAGGGCAAAAAATGAACACTGTCGTTCATTGCAGCCGTGTTTTGTGACACAGATGCACAGTCTGCTGTGAAGACCTTCTCTCAAGTGGCATTTGGGAGTCCATGCCAGATCATGGTGCTTCATGAGAGACTGACAGCTATCAGGGGTTGTGGCACTTAGTGAGGACTCTCCTCCCCCAGTGTGTGCTGATGACACATACACACCTGACAATAGCTTGAGTCTTCTCTGTTCCTTTTACTCTGTAGCCAACATACACATGATTTAAAACCCTTTCTAAATATCTATCATGGTTCATCCTTGTCCAAATGCAGAGTCAGAGCTATTTGTACTTCATTATTATTTCCAAGGCGAATAGTTGGCTTTCTTTTTGCAAAAATAATTAAAGTTTTTGTATGTTGCAGTTGCTGTGCTTGTATGACCATTTAGTGAATTTGGTGTCTTCTAAATAGAACAGTGGAGTCCTTGTGGACATCTCAGATTCATCACAAAATGATTGAGGAGAACCTCTTGAAGATGTTTAGAGCTATTGAAATTTACAGATTGTTGATGGGTTTTCACCTTTTCCTTCCTTTCTTGACACACAGTTACAGGCATTGTATTCCTTGGATTCCTACAGGTGTCAAGGAACAGAGATCCACTTACGTTACCTTCATAAATCCTGGTTTATTCAAAAGTCACAGTAAGGTAGACAGGAAATAGTCCCAGCCACTGCCTAGCTAAGCCTTTTCAAAAAGCCCAAGGTCATTCAGCAGATGCAGAAGCACTAGTTGGTTTTCAAAGATAACAAGAGCAATACCATCATGGTCGTTTTGATCCTCTGTTCAGCAGCAGGGTTCGCTGCCCCTGACTTTAGAATTCTGCCATCGTGATGAGCTGAAGGTCACCAACGGTCCCAGTTTGCCCAGGACTAAAGGGTTTCTTGGGATGAAGGACATTCAGTGCTAAACCTGGGACAGTCCTGGGCAAACTGGGAAAACTGGTCACCCTCCTGGGTGACTCAACGACCATGCCTCTACTTTGTTACTTACTATTAACTGACTGATGCTGTTGACTGGTTTAGCCAATCTGCATTCAGAGCTTTTGCGTCTGGTTACTTCGTTGGCCTTCAGGCAGCCACAGATGGATGCTATTGGATCAGGCACCAATGCTGACCAAATCAATTGTTTCCAGGATGGTAGGGTTGTATGAAGAACCAACTGAGACCATGTCCTTCTGAGTGTTGTGGATGGTGGGCATGGCAGGCCTTCAAGGTATCAGGGATTCCTCTCCAATACAGCCTTACTTACAAAGGAGAAACTAACTTTCTCATGAAAAACAAAACAGTTCATTAAGAAACAAAACTAACACAGCCACTGGGAACTGAGGAAGAGAGACTGTAACATGTGTGCAAGCACACACACACACACACACATGCATACACATGCTGTCTGTAGAATCATGAGCCAGGATTCCAAATCTGCATCTTTGCTAGACAGAGATCAAGAACTAAAACCTTTGGGATGGTGTTGTCTGGGAAGCAAAGGAGTTGGCTAGAGGACTTCCTGAAATTCCTTTAAACTCTAGAATCCTTTAAAATATCAAGGGTGTGTAAACTGGGGCTAAGTATGTACATTCTCTCTAAAGGCTCCTAGATAACCTTTGAGTTCAATTCAGTGTGGAGTGGGGCCTCCCAGCTTATACTTACCTTTCTAGACACTGACTTTTATCTGGGATGAGGGAGCAGAATTTGGAGGTGGTAGTCAGGGCGGGGGTAGGGAGGGGAGTGGGTAAGGGATAGTTGCACCAGCCCAACTTTTTTGGTCTTAAGAACAACCTGAACGCAAATTACAGGGTCTTTTGTGGACTAGAAAAAGCCAGGTTTTCAGGATCACGTGGCGTCCTGAAGTTGTTGCTGCTTGTCAGGGCATCTGACCTCCATCTTCTCTGCTGAAAGACAGGCATGAGTGTTTGCAGTGCCGGAACAGGGGCCTTCAGATAATTTCATTCATCTGGCATGGCAAGACCACAGGGAGGGAATTACATGCTAGGGTAGAGATGAACTTATGGACGTATCATGCACCTTGGTGTTTGCCCCTGTAGTGATTCTCACTACCTTCGCTACCATTGGAGGGATGCTCACCCACCTCCTTGGGTGCCATTTTTCTTTTTTAAAAGATGAAGGCATTTCAGATGATCCCTTCATTTATGTTCTACTTTCATTCTTTGGTTTCAAAAGAAGTCCTGATCTTATGTCAAAGGCAACAATCTCTTCTCTCAATCTCTCTCTCTCTCTCACTCTCTCTCTCTGGCTCACTCTGTCACCCAGGTTGGAGTACAGTGGCATGATCTCAGCTCACTGCAGCCTCGACTTCCTGGGCTCAAGAAATCCTCCTGTCTCTGCCTTCCGAGTAGCTGTGATCACAGTTGTATGCCATCATGCCCAGGTAATTTTTTTTATTTTTATTTTTTTGTAGAGACAGGGTCTCACCATCTTGCCCAGGCTCGTCTTGAACTCCTGGGCTCAAGCAATCCTCCTGCCTTGGCCTCCTGAAGTATGTGAGCCAATGCGCCTGGCCCTCTCTTTTCTTATCTCCTTATCCATATGCAATCACAGAACCTGAGAGGCTGAAGTGGTCTAAAGCATCACTCTTCTCTAGATTTATCTCTGACTAATGCAGGAATCCCCTTTCAAATCAGGCAAGGGATCGTTCAGCCCAGGGGAGAGAGGACTATGAGAGAGGCTGAGTGATACCCAGCCTGATGGGGAAGCAGTTGAATTTTAAAGAGTGTTTCATACACTATCAGGTGGCCATGAATGTCAATTTCTTAATGAGATTTTGTGCTAAATGCTTTTTGCCCTCTTCCCCATGTTTGTTCTGGTTTAAAAAAAAAAAAAAAAGCACAGTGCAGGGAGGCAGAGAGACCTAAGTTTTTGTCTCAGAAAGCTCCTCATCATCTTAATTCCTTCCGTATAAAATGAGGGGTTTGGGCCACACGATCCCTGGAGCCTCTTCTATTAATAGTTCTGACATCCACGATGCTGGCATATTTGATGGATAAGCTATCAGCCTTCTAGGAGTCCATGTCTTAAAGTTTTGCTGGGGTTTTAGGTCTCATGTTAGAATAGTACGTTAGACATTGTCCAAGGTGCAATGTAAAGTGATTTCATCTTGCCTTAATTTCATTATGAACATAACTATTTCAAATTAGCTCCCCGACACCGCCCCCACCCCCCAATTTTGTTCAGCCTCGCCTGTGAGATTTTCCATGGCATTGGAACTTGATCCACAGGAGAACTTTGATCCTCTTCAAGCGGCCCTGGAAACCCATGTGGGAAAATATTAGTCATGTTGACAGGAGAGATAGGAGGTTCTCGTGGTGAAACAAGTCCCTCTGCTCAGGAGGCTGCAGTTTAAAGGATTTCAAGGTGACCTTGGAAGTGGTCACTGACCTTGGATAAGACCCTTATATGCCAGGCTGGTGGAGAACAGGTGGAGGGAGGCCTGAAGACAGCCCTAAACTGAGGGGTCTGGAAACCTGATCACCGGCCCTGCCCTTGGCTTCAACTAAGTCCGGGTCACATGTGAGTCACTCTAGCCTTTTCTCTGGGTCTCAGTTTTCTCATCTATAAAAGGGACAGAGAAGGGGCAGGGGTTGGTCTTGACGATTCTCTGAGGTTCCTGCCATGCATCAAGTTCTCAGCCTTGCCTGGCCCAGCTGGTTCCTGACAAGCAGTAGCCCTTTCTCCCTTTGCCTTTGGCTGTGCAAGTCAAAAACAGGGCTGTCCGGGAAGTCCATTACCAAAGAATACTTCAAAGCTGTTTGCACGCATTGTCAGTTGCACTGAACATGAGTTTGTTGAGGGAGAAGGTAAATAGACATACAGGCTGATGACAGGAGGGGTGGAAGGGGGACCACTATTTACCCCCAGGGTGGCTGGGAGGGGAAAAAAAAAGAAACCCTGCCTGCCGTTTTGACCAATAAATAAAAACTGGGAGCTCTGCGTGGCTAAAACCATAGGGGATTTATTAGTTTGCTTAGTGAAAGGCAAATATTAAGTCTTAAGTTGACCCGTCCTGGGACCTGCCTTTTGGCTTTTGTATGCCGTGCGGCACCGATCACTGGGCCCTCGGGTTATCGAGTTCTGTTGGAGTTTTTTTTTTTTTTTTAATTGTTTTCCATCTCCGTCTTTTCTTCCTCTTTCACCTGCCCCCTTCCCACTATGTCCCGCCTTTTTCGGTAACTTAGGTCTGGGTTTTGGAGGGGTGAGAAGGGCAAGGGTGAAAAACATGTTCTGCTTGTAGAACTGTCTATGCCCAGGGCTCTGGCCAGCCCAGGAATTGCCGATGCCCGGGATGTGGTGGCTCAGGGTAGTGACTCCAGCAGGTGGTCCTCCTGGGTCCCTTCCATCCTCTCTCCTGGACTATTAATGTTAGGTCCCAGGTGTAAGGCAAAGGCCTTGTCCCTCACGAAAATGAGCATAATGACAAGCATTGGAAAAGAACAGAGCACGCCTATTTCTAAGTTTTAACTTTCCTATCCCATCTGAGTCTTCATACCCAGCAGATGATTTCAGCCTGAAAGAGGAACTGTTCAAGGTGGGGCTGTGTCCATTAGGGTCTGACCAGGGCTTGTGACTCACCATGGAGTGAAATATCGGGACAAGAGGGGCTGGATGGCCACCGAGTCTATTCAGTTTTCAAGTAGGAGATGCAGTGAAACTAAACTAGATGGAGCATTGTTTATCCTTTGCTTTAAACATCCACAGTGTAATCCAGGCTATTCTAAAACATTGCAGTTTGTGGGTGCTACGGTCTCATGGGTGGTGCTTGCTAACAGCCACCCACTGTCATGTACAGCACAGCAGGACACACTGCTCCATGCCAGACCCTAAGTGCCCATTTCCTGGTCCACCCCAGTGACTGTCCAGGATGCATCTTTTTTTTTTTTTTCTTTTGAGACAGAGTCTTGCACCGTTGCCCAGGCTGGAGTGCAGTGGCGCAATCTCGGCTCACTGCAAGCTCTGCCTCCTGGGTTCACGCCATTCTCCTGCCTCAGCCTCCCGAGTAGCTGGGACTACAGGCACCTGCCACCACACCCGGCTAATTTTTTGTACTTTTAGTAGAGACGGGGTTTCATCGTGTTAGCCAGGATGGTCTTGATCTCCTGACCTCGTGATCCACCCACCTCGGCCTCCCAAAGTGCTGGGATTACAGGCGTGAGCCACTGCGCCAGCCCAGGATGCATCTTATTAATCTACGTGGGGCACTATGGCTTCCCAAATCACTACTCACATTCTAGAACTGCTTACTTCAGAAAGTTTCTTGCACATTCCAGTAATTATTTTTTTTTTTTTTTGAGATGGGGGTCTCACTATGTTGCCCAGGCTGGTCTTGAACTCCTCCACTCAAGCAATCCTCCCACCTCAGCCTCCCAAAGTGCTGGGATTACAGGTGTGAGCCACCATGCTTGGCCCAGTAATGATTTTTTATTGAATTCAGCACGATCGTTAATCCTTTGGCAATTCTTCACAGAGGAGTATTTTTTAAAGGATAGACATCGGGCATCCAGGGTACTGAAATCCTACGAATGCTTCGAGGCTCATCTCAAATGCTTCCTTCTCTCAGAAGCCGTCCTGGATTTCTCCTTCCCTCTCAACCAGTTGTGACCTCTCCCTCACATATTCTGACATAGGTACTCAAAAAAATGTCAGTCTTCCTTCCTTGACCATAGCACTTTAGTATCTCATTTACTGCACTTACAATGGACTTGTTTTGGCACCCTCTTCTCTCCCAACTCTCTTTCTCTCTCTTTTATAAGAATAGGGACTGAGTCATTGTTTACTCATTGAAATTTATCGTTGAAATGCTCCCAAACGTCCATGGTCACATGGGAAGCACTGTGATGGGCATTTCATATACTTCTCATTTAATCATCGGCAAACAAGACTTTACAGTAATCAATTGCTTTGACCAAGTCTTTTATGTGAACTTTGAGATTCAAAACCAGGGTCATGGACAATCTGAAATTCAGAGCTTGTGAAGTTGCAGCATGATGGCTTTTACATGGTAGGATGTACAAAAATGATGTTGAGTTGACTTTTCCTATTACCAACCTGTTATTGTGTGTACCACCAAATTTGCCTTTTTTTTTTTTTTTTTGCTTGCTCAGGAGTAATCAATAAAGTGTTTTCCACTTTGGGAGGCCAAGACAGGAGGATCACTTAAGCCCAGGAGTTTCAGACCAGCCCGGGCAACATAGGGAGACCCCCATCTCTACAAAATTAAAAAAACAAAAACAAAAACAAACATAGCCAAGTGTGGTGGTGCATGCCTGTAGTCCCAGCTACTTGGGAGGCTGAGGTGAGAGAATCGGTTGAACCTGGGAGGTCAAGGCTGCAGTGAACTGTGATTGAGTCACTGCACTCCAGCCTGGGTGACAGAGTAAAACCCTGACTCAAAAAATCAATAAAGAAAGAAAGTGTTTTCCAAACAGCAGAGAAATTTTGTTTGTTGCCTGATTGGTTGGTTTCCATGTAGAAACTCTTCCTGAAAATAGAATTATGTCTGATTTTTGCCAGTTACCCCATGAGCTAGTTTCATTTTTAGGGTGGGAAATAAAAATATCAGTTCAAAAGTTTAGATCAAAATTTCTAGGGTTTCGTTCACCCTGTCTAATAAGGAGAACTTAAAAAAAAAAGGATCTTCCCATTAATATCCAAATAATTTCACTCTGTCTAATAGGGAGAACTACAGAAAAAACAAAAGGGACCTGCCCATTAATATCCAACCTCACAGGTAGAGACCTTCGGTGTTAATAGGCAGATCCCTTGCCATGAGAACTGGACCTAGGTTCAAGGTCTTACCACCTGAGGACCAAAGGCCAAGGGAGAAAAGGCACCACTCAGGGGCAAGCAGGCCCTGGGAGGAAAAGTCTGTCTCCCTTGACTCCTGATTTCTCCTCCTGGGGGTTTGTGGGGGTGGGGGTGGGGGTGGTGGTATGGGGGTGTGTGGAGCAGATAAAGGAGGATTGAAGAGAACTGACATGTAGGGCAGAAGCTTTGCCTGTTTGGGAGACGAGAGACACTGAAAGCTCACCCCATTCTTAATTCATACACACCAATAAAATAAGAGTTTGGACCAAGAGGTTGTCATCTGTGAACCACAGTCACTAGGCACGGCTTCAGACATGAGAGAAATGATATAACATTCAGCCAAGAAAGATCAGGCCATTCAGGAAATAATGAAGTTCAGTGGTTTTATGGGACTTTCCAGTTTTCAAGCTCTTTGTAAATCTTCTCCTTGGAATCTCGCAGTGGCTTTGGGAGAAGGATAGAGACCTTGTTTTGTGGGCTGAGGGAGGTGTACTGACTTGCTGTAGAGACCACCCATAGGCCCCTGTCCCTAAGGGCAGTGTTGTGGTTCTCTATGTATCAGTCACCAAAGGCCGCTGCAACAAAACACCTCCATATATCAGTTCCTTCACTTGACAAGTTTTTCTCATTTACACATTAGTTAAATGTGACTTAGCAATAGTAGGGACCGGAGGCTCTTTTTCATGCAGAAATTCAGGGACCCAGGTTCCCTCTGTTTTAGGATATCACTACCTTCAGAGGCATCCTCTTCTACCAGTGAACACAGAGAAAGTGCTGTGAGAGGACATGCACCTGTTTGACCATCTTGGCCTGGAAGAAACACCCATCGCTTCTGCTCACTTTCCATTGGCAGGAATTGATCCCAAGGCTCCACTTGGATGCAAGAGAGCTGGGAAATGTCCAACTCCATGGAAGGAGGGGGTGGAGAACAGGAGTGCTGGGGAGGACTTGCAGCTCCTGCCATGCAAACTGAACCCCCTGTGGGGCTACTGAGGTGCAGCTTATTGGCCTCTGTTGTGGCCATTGAGGCCCGTGGGTCTGGCCTTCTGGATGCCCCATTGTCACAGGCCTGGGTGTGCAGGCTTAGTGCTTTTCTACTACCAGGCTCAGAGAGTTGAGGACTTCTGCCCAGGCTTACTGGCTCTCAAAGGGAAGCAGGATGGAGTCATGGTGGAGGACGACAGCTCTGGCCCAGAGTGCCTGGGCCTGAGCTTCTTCACCAGCCCCTAGCCGTGTAACCTTGAGTGAGTGACTAAGCCCCTCTGTGCCTCAGTTTCCTTCCTTTAAACTGCTTCCTTGGGTGATTGCAAAGTTTGGCCGAGATATTACAGGTGCAGCTCCTAGGGCGGAGCCAGGAGCACAGCGCCCAAGCAGTGTGGCGTCGGAGCTCTCTCTATACTCTGAACATGGCGCCATCAGGGCCCGTCTGCCATAACTCTGCCTCAGATGATCTCTATGCCCAGATGGGAAGAGGAAACGTCAAATGTGAACTTCTGCCATTGCGTCTCTGTTGTCCGGCTGTGGGAAGGTGTCGCTGACTCTTGCTGGCCGTGGCGGTTTTATTTGGGATTGGGGACAGAGCTGAGCTGCAGACACTGGCACTCAATGGTCTCTCCTTCTGGTCACCATGCACACCACATCAGTCTCACGTGACTTTAACATCAGTCAGGCGTTTTCCTAAAGGCCAAGTTCTCTCCAGAATCTGTCAGTTTCACCTACCGACTGCAGAGACCCTGCAAAACACTCATGAGACATATACATTGGGTGCATGAAGCCCTTCCTGTTTCTCCCTCTACTGGGGCAGAGAGAGAGCTGATTCCAAGCCTCGGGGGAGCTCAGGAGGCAGAGAACCTTCTCCCCGTTTCCACACCTAGATTTCAAATCACACCCTTCCCTGCATACTGCAGAGGCCAGCAAGGCCCCCTTCCAGACCCCCTGGCCTGGGCCTCGGCTCTTGTAATTGTAGGACCTGAGTGGCCCAGGATCCTGGCACCAGCTCCGCCTGTTTGGTCTTTGGCTCTCCTGGCACTGCCAGAGAATGGAAAAGCTGGTCTGTTTACAGGACATGGGGCCAGAAGCGCATTAAAAAATAAGGAGCAAATAAAATGTCATAAACAAATTTCCTTTCCAGTAAGGAACGTTCCTTTCCCTGTCCTCCAACAGGAACCATTTTTTCTCCAGTGTTTGGATAAACTTCCATCCTGTGTAATTACCATTCCCAGGGAGGGGCTGCCTATTTCCGCTGGCTATTTATTTTGATTTTGATCATTCCTCCCTCTTCTGAGTATAACACACTTAATAGTAAAGGAAATATGTTTCCTATTGGCGCATGGGGCACAGCTCTTTCCTTCCCTCCCGTGTCTTCTTCCCACTACCCCTCACCTTCCAACTTCCCATGAGCCTGTGGACACAGAGCCCCAGGTGCGCTGGCTGGGGGTTGCTCCCCTCCAGCGTGCAGGAGAGTTCGGAGCATTGGTTGACTGAGAACCAAGGGGCAAAGTGGTGAAGCAGAAGGGAGAAATTGTTTCCAATAAAAGGTGGCACAGATCCAGAGGGGTTGTATGTGGGTGACCATCTCTCTGTGGAGGGTCGAGGGGGGCAGTCTTCAGCCTGACCCCCTGTGTGAGTTTTTGTGTGAGCAGAAAGCCACTGATCTAACGTTTCCTGACCCCAGCAGGTAGCTTATTGTAAAACAGTTCATCCAGAGGGGGAAAAATACCTTGTTTCAGCATTTAAGTTTTCTTCTTGCTCTGAAACAGACTGGAGAGGAAGGGAATAGAGAAGAACGGATATTTCCTAGCTCAGAAGTGCATGACAGGAGGCAAAAAACAAAGCCGAAAAACCGTCTTTGAACAAGTGTTATTCTTGTTTATGAATGGATTGTATAATCCAGGATTCCTGTTTACACACTTTAAGCTATCTCTCCAGTCCCCTCCTTCCCCTCTTCCCTCTATTTTCTTTCTGTGTTGGGATGGCGAAGGAAGGAGGTATACCCCATAGTTAATTTCACTTTCTAAACTCCTTGCCTCTGCCTGGTTGGGTGAACGGATATCCTGGAGGTGCTGACCTCAGAGAGGCCATGAAGAGCAGGGTGGTACTGACTCATTGACTGGTCATACAATCAGTTTGGCTTCAGATTCCTTATGCTTTAACTCAGTGGAGGCCCCAGGAAGTGGGGATGGAGAGGGGGGACTCATGACTTCCCCTTGAGTCCTCCCACCTCTGCTTGCCTACCTCCTCCCTTCCAGATTGCCACCCCTCCACCCTTCTTCCAAAGATGGTCCAGGGCTGTCACAGGGCCAGCTGGCCTAGGCTTGGTACCTGGGTTGAGTTGGTGTCATGGTGGTAAGAGAAACCACCAGTCACTCTCCCCTTTGGGAGCCCTGTCTTTTGAGGACTGAAGGATAGGATGCTTATTCCAGAGGGTGTGAGAACCTCATTAATAAACCTGGCTGGCATTGGAATGATTCTTGATGTGTGTGTTAATGGGTGAAATGCACAGAACCAGGTGTGTGCCATGGCTGATTCCAAAAAGCTGCTGCTGGCTCTGCACCTGGTGGGTATGAGCTTTGGGTAGACTTTTCCAGAATCAAGGAGGAATGTCAAGGGACCCACCCCCAGACTGATGCTCAGGCCCCCTTGAGAGCAACAGGAGACTCTAACTTAAAAATTATAACCCAACACTCTAATCCTGTGAGAGAGAGCTGGTGGTCCTAGTTCTCAGACCTCGGTCTTGGGAATGCTGCGGTCCAGTTGGGTTAATTGAGCCATCCAGTCTCACCAGGCAAGTTATTGGAGAACTCTGACTGCTGCAGAACTTTAAGTCCTCACCTGGAATAGGATCCCCTAGATGCCTGTAAGGGCAGATGCAAGGAGAGGAGACCAGAGAAGGCATCTGGGATGCCTGGGAGGGAGGAAGGCTCCAGCCCGGGCAAAATGCTGCAGAAGCAAAATCCATTTGTGGTAGCTTTGTGCACTCAGTCAAGGTCGGGTGCTCCCGGGTCAAAAATGCTTTGAGTAAGAGGCACTGGGGGTGGACCAGCCTCCATGTGAGACGCTGGGCTCTCCAGGGAGGGGAAGACTTCATCCGGGCTGCGGCCCCATGCTCAGTTCCGCTCTATTTAGAACACTTTTTTTTTTTTTGTAGAAAGCAGATCGCTGGGGAGGAACGCATCAGGGCAGCTGAGGGAAGCCGATTCTACTGCAGCTTTCTGAATCGTGGGTTGGGGAGATGGAGAGGGAAAGGAAAGGGCTTTGAGCAAGACAGACCAGGTAGGCTGGTGTCACCTTTCCCTGTCTCTCCACTGCCCATAACCATCCCCCACGTCCCCACCAGCTCTGCTCAGCAGCCCATCTCTGGGGAAAACTTAAATGGGGCAAGGTAGAAGCAACTGAAACCATTTTTACTTGTTCAAGGTGAGATAGGCAACTGAGATTTTAAATTCCACAAGTCCACCCAATAAAAATCCCCGGCGCAGTGAACACCTGCCGCCATAGTGTGCATTGTTGAGTGAGACTCGGGACACAGCAGGTCAGGCTTCCTGGGTGCACAGTGGCATACGATTGTCCTGATTCCTAGACAGCACAGTGGTGTGTGTCAGTGAAGACAGCATAGGATGTGGTTGATGCTTTGCTTACAGGATTTGGGTAATCTTTACCCTCCTCCACCAAAGGGATAGCATTGCTAAATACAGATTAGGTCACTGCAAACTCTGTAAGCCAAGACCGTTGTGGGTGGTCAGAGGATTTCTGGAAACAGTGTCTTTTACAACTCTTCCCTATGTTAGCCTTTGTCTTGCAAGAGGAATTTGAAGTCTGAGGAGTGGCTTCCACTTGCCCTATGTCAGGCTCACTCTGGAGCTCGTGGGACAGGTGGCTGTGTCTCCTGGACCCCAGTTGGCATCCTGGATGTCTCTTCTCCTCCTTAAAATGCACCATAGTCAATGGCCCCTCTGGACAAGGCAACTTTGAGACCAATGGAAGCAGCCAGAGAGCTGTGTACTTGCACATTGACGAGCTCTGTTTTTCTGGCCCTCCTAACAAATAAGATCCTGGTAGTGTTGGTCCAGGGGCCAGTGGATGGCTTCCTGCTGGGGTCCTTTTTGTGCACAGCCATTAGTGACCTGTACATGCTCAAATGCATGAGATGCCGCATTGCTTTCCAGCTGGCTGGCTGTCTAGCCCTTCTGAGCCCCTACAGAGAGCCCATGGATGCCTTTCCAGCTCAGGATTAGACCCTTCCTAGATGCCTTTCTAATGCTCAGAGGAAGGAGATGGGATAGCATCTCAATTCCAGCCCCACCTTGTGTTGGTTGTGTGATTTAAGGCTGTTTACTTCATATCTCTGCATCTCAGCATCCTCCTATATAATTTGAAGATTGTAGTAGTACTGACCTCACTGGTTTTCTTTTCTTTTTTTGTGGGAGAGGGAGGTATGCATTAATATATGTAGCTCTCAGAGCACAGGACCTGAGTCATACATCCAGCTCATGTGTTAGCTATTGCTAGTGTTACTATCTCCCTGATAAACATTCCCCTAACCTTCCCCAGGTAGAAGTAATCACCCTTACTCCTGGGGAAGCACTTCCTACATATCTTTTATAGAATGGGTCCTGATATGGTTTGGTTGTGTCCTCACCCAAATCTCATCTTGAATTGTAGTTCCTGTGGGAGGGACCCGGTGGGAAGTGATTGCATCTTGGGGGCGATTTCCCCCATGCTGTTCTCATGCTAGTGAGTGAGTTATCACAAGATCTGATGGTTTTATAAGCCTATGGCATTTCCCCTGCTGGCTCTCATTCTCTCTCCTGCCACCCTGTGAAGAGGTGCTTTCTGCCATGATTGTAAGTTTCCTGAGGCCTCCCCAGCCATATGGAACTGTGAGTCAATTAAACCTGTTTTCTTCATAAATTACCCAGTCTCGAGTATTTCTTCATAGCAGCATGAGAACAGACTAATACAGGTCCCATGGAATTCCAAATAGTGACACAGTTAAGAGTCAAATTGTAGGGTTAGGCAGGTCTGAGTTTAATTCTGACTCCTTTGCTCTTGCCCTTGTGATCTAAGTCTGTTTCTTCACTTATAAAGTGAAGACAATGAGAGCAACACCCACTGCCCCAGGTTGTGAGGCCCAGGGCTGTTCTTACTTCTCACTGGCATTCTGTACCTAGGTCAGAATCTGAAAGAACATTTGTTGAACTATTGAGTTGACTCAGTCAAGTGTTCCTCCCTCCTTCAGTAGACAAATCCTCCATTGAATAAAACCCCATCATGTTATAGCTCACTCCATGGAGGTTCCTGGCTAGCCTATCTGGATTGCGGTGGGCCTTGAAGGCTTTCTTGGCTGGCAATAATTGCTTTAATGACCGACGGCCTTAGTAGACATCTACAGGTTTCGGCCTCTGTTTTCGTGGTAAGAAGGCTCAGGGCCAGGCATGGTGGCTCACGCCTGTAATCCCAGTACTTTGGGAGGCTGAGGCAGGTGGATCGTCTGAGCTCAGGAGTTCAAGACCAGCCTGGGCAACATAACAAACCCCATCTCTACTAAAAAAATTACAAAAATTAGCCTGGCCTTGGTGGCACATGCCTGTAGTCCAAGCTACTTGGGAGGCTGAGGTGGGAGGATCGCTTGAGTCCGGGAGACTGGGGTTACAGTGAGCTGAGATTGTTCCATTGAACTCCAGCCTGGGCAACAGAGTGAGAGTCTGTCTCAAAAAAAAAAAAAAAAAAAAAAAAAGAAAAAAAGAAAAAAAGAGAAGGCTCTTGTATTTATTTCTGATTCTTATTGGAGTCGTTTAAGGAGGACCATTGAGAAGACCTCTCCCATAAAAGCCAAAATGCCAGCTCTTCTGTGCAATCCTGTGCGTATGGTCTTGCTCTCAGTGCAGTCCCAAGCAGAAACCCACTGGACTTGGAATTGGAAATCTGAGCTGAGTATTGGCTTTGTCCATGTGGTAGACAGAATAATGGTCCCCAAAGATACCCATGTCCTGCTCCCTGGAATCCATGAACATGTAATCAAGTTAAGTTTCTTGAGACAGGGAGATAATTCTTGGTTAAGCCCAGGGTAATTTCAACAGTCCCTTTAAGAGAGAGGCAGGAGAGTCAGAGATTTGTAGATGCTGTAGTCCTGGCTTTGAAGATGGTGGAAGGGGCCATGAGGCCAGGAATGCAGGTGGCCTTTAGAAAAAGCTGGAAAAGGCAGGGACACGGATCGTCCTCTAGAGCCTATGTAAGAGTACAGCCCTGCTGATGCCTTGATTTTGACTCACTGAGACCGATTTTGAAATTCTAATCTCCAGAATTGAAGATAATAGGTTTGTCCTGATTTAAGCTGCTAAGTTTATGGCCATTTGTTGCAGCAGTAAGAGGAAACTCATCCGGACCCAAACAGCTAGCCACTGTAGACTTTCTTTTCACCTCTCTGGTCTTCTGTTCTTCAGTGATACGAAGAGAGAGGATGAGGACAACTGCAAAGGGTACATTCTAGCTGAGTCATCGTACAATCAGGGCTGCGGTTTACATAATGCCCACAGGTGCCAGGCCAGATGGGGTGAGTGGGGGTTGAAATCCATCCCCAGGGGTTACGATACTAGACTTGTGGCCTCACACGGGGCTGCAGCTTCCAGGCAGATATGGTGTTTCCTGCTGTCTCTCCACTCCCCCTGCAGGAAGGCACCTCTACTCACCCATCCTGCACCCACAGAGCCATACATGCCAAAGGTGGGCATGGGGGCTCTGGCACATCCTTTCATTGTTTTCTCCCCGACTGCCAGGAGTGCAGAGCGGCCAGAGGCCCTGGAGGGGGAAAACAGGCTACAGTGAGAAGTGCCGCAGAATGACAAATTCTAGGCCTGCAGTACAGATGCTGAATTAGCCTCAAATTTTGCTTAGGCCAAGCCCTAAGTCATGGTAAGCCATCTCTCACTGAGAGGAGCTATGCCCCATATTATAAACCAGTGGTTCTCAAGTGGGGGTGATTTTGTCCCCCTACTCCCATCCAGCGGTTGTTTGCATGTCTGGAGACATTTTTGGTTGTCCCAGCTAGGGGCAAGTGTCCTACCGGCATCTGGTAGGTAAAGGACAGGGATGCCATTAAAAATCCTACAGTGGCCAGGTGTGGCGGCTCAGGCCTGTAATCCCACGACTTTGGGAGGCTGTGGCAGGTGGATCACTTGAGCCCAGGAGTTCAAAATCAGTCTGGGCAACGTGGCGAGACCCCATCTCCACGAAAAATACAAAAAAATTAGCCGGGTGTGGTGGCATGCACCTGTAGTCCCTGCTACTTGGGAGGTTGAGGTGGGAGGATGGCTTGAGCCTGGGAGGTTGAGGCTGCAGTGAACTCTGATCACACCACTGCACTCCAGCCTGGGTGACAGAGTGAGACCCTGTCTCAAAAAAAAAAAAAAAAAGCAACTTAGAATGCACAAGGCAAGCCCCCACAACTGTCTGGATCCAGCCTTCAAAGTTGGTAGTGCTAAGGTTGAGAAATTGTGTCTTAAACCTCTGCTGCAGCATTGAACCAAGTCCGAACCCTAATCCCCCCACCTTCTCCCCAACACTTTATTTACCAAAAGGTAAGGGGGGATCTGTTATTTTTTCCAAGTACGTTTCTCCCTGTATCTTATCAATAACCACCAAGTTCAGCACACCCTTGATTAGTCACTTCCATTAACAGTGTTTATTTTGGGGTTTGTGTTTATTTTTGAAACGTGGTCTCCTTTTTCCTCCTCACTTCCTTACACACTTAGGGGGATGGGGCCAGCTTTCTAGTATAATCTAGTTCACACTTTCCTTGCTCATCTATAAACTGACTAGGCCAACCCTTGAGAACATCTCTTCTCCTTCCTTTCCTTCATAGGAAGCTGTCCACAGCTCTGAAGCAGACCATTGTCATCTTCTTCCTTATGCTTTAAAATCCTTTTTAGGATTTTAAAATATCCTAAATAATATAGCAGCAACTCCGTTGACCAACTGACTCGTGACAAAGCAGCGACTTTATTCCTAGCTTTCCACGTTCCATGAAACAAAGACATTTCAGTGGTTCTCGCCACTGAACCAGAGACAAGGAGATTTTTGGACTTGTGGGTCTCCCTCTCCCACTTCTCTCCACCCCTCCCCTTCTCACTGCAGGAGTGAGAACTGCAGAGTCTCGGAACTACATTTAAGCGTTTCTGACTCATCAAATAACTGATCCCTGTTCCTCTCCACCCACCAAATGGTTCTTAGCTCTCCCTCCCTGGCCAGAGGAATTTAAAGGCTTATGGTTGAGTAACTGGGAGTTACAGAGAATCTCCGCGCATGTTTCAAAGATTTTCATCTTTCTTTCTTTTTTTTTTTTTTTTTTTTGAGACAGACTCTCACTCTGTCACCCAGGCTGGAGTGCAGTGGTGCGATCTCGGCTCAATGCAACCTCTGCCTCCCAGGCTCAAGTGATTCTCCTGCCTCAGCCCCCTGAGTAGCTGGGATTACGGATGCCGACCACCATGCCTGGCTAATTTTTGTATTTTTGGTAGAGACAGGGTTTCACCGTGTTGGCCAGGCTGGTCTCAAACTCCTGACCTCAAGTGATCCACCTGCCTCTGCCTTCCAAAGTGCTGGGATTACAGGCATGAGCCACCATGCTGGGCCAGATCTTCATCTTTGATTGGACACCATCCATCCCTCTGCCTCCTCTTTCCTGAATTCCAGTGACGGCAAACTCTCCCCTCACCTATGCTGTCCCTCTATGTGGCCCTGTGCATAGCAGTGGCCCAAGGATGCTCTGTGGCAGGCCAGTGGCATAGGAGGCCCAGGAGTCCCCCTCCCCCCATCCTCCTTCCTGGGCCATTTATTTGAGTACCACCAGGGAGTGGGTTACTTTGGGGTATTTATTTGTTTAAACATGGGTGGCTCCTGAAAGGAGGGTGTCGGGTTTCAAGGTTAGAGGCCCCATGCAAACAGAGAGTGGGTGGCCTGCAAAATAGTGAGCAAGGTTGGAAGTGAGGAGCCCATGTGTCTTTTCATGTTTGTAGGTGGAAATGCTGATGTATGACACTATTTGTGACCCAGCTGTCTCTATCTATGACATAGAGCGACTTGGGGCTTGTGTGTGTTCAGACTCTGAGACAGCCCTCTCCTAGACTGTTGGAAGAGAGCATTTGGAAGTGGTTAGGCAATTCTTTAGGGGCAGTAACTCCTATTAATTTATCCCATGAGCGTTGGCGGCTATCCAAGTACCTTGGGGAGGAGCAGAAGAATACAGACTGAATTGGTACTAACTGCAGCCCCACCTCAGGGATTCTGGAAGAGTCCTAAAAAGCTGGGTGCAGGCTGGGCACAATGGCTCACTCCTGTAATTCCAGCACTTTGGGAGGTCAAGGAGGGAGGATTGCTTGACGCCAGGAGTTTGAGACCAGCCTGGGCAACATAGTGAGACCCCATCTCTAAAAAAATAATTAGTTGGGCATGGTGGTCTGCACCTGTAGGCCCAGCTACTCAGGAGGCTGAGGCTTCAGTGAGTCATGATTGCATCACTGCACTCCAGCCTGGGAGACAGAGCAAGAACTTGTCTCAAAAAAAAAAAAAAAAAAAAAAATCTGGGTGCAGTAGTGGAATGGTCAGCCTCTTTCTCAAAAGATCTTGAATTGTTGATCACAATGAGTGATCCTGCCTTGTGTCCTAGGGCCAGCCTCCTTTTTGGGTTGACCTAGCCAGAAAAATATCTCTTATTAGAGTTCACATCAGCCCTGACAGGGCTTGGATTTTTGTATTAGACAGGTGCTTGTCAAAAGAAAACCCAAGACGGAGGGAAAGCCAGATGTGTAGGTGAAATTGCTGCACCCTGACCGATGATATGCCAAAATTCAGAAGCAAAGATGATATAGCATCCTGTCTCTCAGGCCCCTTTAAGGCTGTTGGCTGCAGAATTGATAACTACAGTGGGAGACTCAGCTTAGTCTCTACAAAGGGAACATGGAAAGACTGTAGAGTGTTTTGCCTGGAGATATTTCTTTGGAGGAAAAACACCAGGGAAGGTTTAGGAGACATGGCTAAAGACACTTAATGCCATTGTTAACTAAATACTAAGAGATAGAATACAGACAGTGGTGAGTGACTGTTCTCTAATGTCTTAGCTACTGTCCCCTCAGGACAGAGAGATTGTCACTAGATTAATAACTCCTGAATGCCCAAGGTAGGATGTTGGGTTCACAGCCCAGGAATCAATTACAGACCTTGTTAAAAATTAATGATGTGCACACTGAAGTGTTTAGAGATGAAGTGTCCTAATGCCTGCAATTTACTTTGACATGCGTTGAAAAAATGAGTTGGATTGATGGATAGATAAACGGAGGATAAACGCATAGATTTGTGATAAAGTACATGTAGCAAAATCTTGACAATCACAGGATCTGGGTGGTAAGTATGTGGGTACAACATTTCTGTATGTCTGAAATTTTTCAAATAAAACGTTGGGGAAAAGTACCAATCCCTGGGCTACCCAACAATGATTTTGATTCAGTGAGTTGGTGATGAAGTCTAGAAATTATTTTATTTTACTTTTTCTTTTGTCTTATTTTTTGAGATAGCATCTTGCTCTGTTGCCCAGGCTGGAGTGCAGTGGCGTGATCATGGCTCACTGCAGCCTCAACTTCTTGGCCTCTAGCGATCCTCCCACCTCAGCCTCCTCAGTAGCTGGGACTACAGGCAGGTGCCACTACACCTGGCTAATTAAATTTTTTTTTTTTTTTTTTACAGACCAGATTTCGCCATATTGCTCAGGATGGTCTTGAACTCCTGGGCTCAAGTGATCCGCCTGCCTTGGCCTCCCAGAATGCCAGGATTACAGATGTGAGCCACTGTGCCTGGCCTGAAGTCTAGTAATTTTTAAAACTTTGCATGTTATTCTGCTCATGAGCCAAGTTCGGGTGCCTGTGGAACAGCTATATTCCTCAAACTAGATATGCACCCCAGTCCCTGGGGATTCTGTCAAAAGGCAGATTCACATTCAGCAGGTCTAGGGTGGGGGGCCTGACATTCGGCACGTCTCACAAGCTCCCAGGCGATGCTGATGGTGCTGGTCCCTGGACGCCCTCTTGAGTAGTAAGGAACAAAAGGACTCTCCCCTGTTCTTTTCAGCTACGTAGCCCAGTGGTTCTCCACTTAGGCTTCACACTGGAATCATCCAGGGAGTTTTAAACTATAGTGATGCCTGGCGGTGTCTTACTCGCAGAGCTTCTGGTTTGATTGGTCTAGGTTGCAGCCTGGGCAAGGAGATTTAAAAACTTCTCAGATGGGCCAGGCATGGTGGCTCAAGCCTGTAATCCCAGCACTTTGGGAGGCAGAGGTGGGCGGATCACGAGGTCAGGAGATCGAGACCATCCTGGCTAGCACGGCGAAACCCTGTCTCTACTAAAAATACAAAAAATTAGCTGGGTGTGGTGGCGTGTGCCTGTGGTCCCAGCTGCTCGGGAGGCTGAGGCAGAAGAATGGCCTGAACCCGGGAGGCGGAGCTTGCAGACAGCCGATCGTGCCACTGCACTCCAGCCTGGGCGACAGAGCGAGACTCCGTCTCAAAAAAAAAAAAAAAAAAAGGTTCTCAGATGATTCTAATATGCAACCACTGACTTAATAGCATGCAGTGAATCTGTGGAATATTAAATTGTAGGAAATAAATTTTTGCACAGAAAGACACTGCCAGCCCTCATTACTCAGGTGTGCAGGAGCTTTCCAGTAACAATAGCAGTAACTAACAGTGAAAGGCTCAAAATTACCTCCCCTCAATTCTACTTAATTCTCCTCATAATGAGAATGATTAACAGCCAGCATTTATTGAGTGTCAAGCACTTTACATTCATTAGATCATTTAATCATCACAGTAACCTGGTGAGGCAGGCATTATTATCCTATTTTACAGATGAGGAAATTGAGCTTGATTGAGTTAAGTGACTTGCCCAAGATGACAGCAGTAATAAGTCTTGGACAGAGATTGGAACTGGGTTTGCCTGACTTCAAAGCCCATATCCTTGAACCATTATATCATTCTGTTGTCTTCATGATCTACGCCAGGGGTTGGTAAAATATAGCCCATAAGCCAAATCTGAACAGCTGTCTGTTTTTATAAATAAAGTTTCGTGGGAACACAGCTATAACCATTGATTTATGTATGGTCTGTGGCTCCGTTCATGCAACGGGCAGAGCTGCATAGTGGCAACAGAGATGGTCCACAGCGCCTGAAATATTTACTCTCTGGTCCTTTACAGAAACAGCTTGATGGATTGCTGAGGCAGAGTGCACCGAGCAAGGGTTCAGTCCTCCATAGAGCTCAGAGCAAAAGGAATGACCCAGCCGGGATGAACTTGAACCTATGGCCACCTAGCTCTGGTTTCTGCTTGGACATTTTATTTCAATCTTATGGCCTGCCTTGCGCTCCAAGGGTTACTTATTTCCTCTGCACATATTTTATTTTGATGCCAAAATTTCAGATCTGTTTTCTTAAGAGCAGAAGGTCTTGACCTCAAAGCCCGGGCCATCACACAGCTCTCTGTGGAGTGGGGTGAGGGAGGCCAGCTGCCGGTCACCTTCTGCTCCAGCACCGTGGGAGGCCTGAGTGGCAAAGCTCCAGCCCCGCTGCTCCCGGGCGGTGTCCGCAACAAGAGGCTTCCGCCCCATCCCACCAGCCATCCACGGAGACGCCCTCCCCAGAGGTCAGGAGGGTAGCGGGGGAAGGAAATGCCAATCAATCCATCAAAGCCCCGCCCTCCCGGGGCTCCTAGGCCCCGGGAGCTGCGTCTGCGCATCCTTGACCCACTCCTGGGGGCCAGGAGCTGGGCGAGCCGGGGAAGTGCATTTGGTAATGATTCTCGATTTCCTGTTTGGTTTCTGTCCAGGGGGCTTTGGGATAGGCTAACTCGTATTATATGTGTACACATGCACATTTCATTCCTCCTTGTCTGTTTTTTTTTTTTCCTTTGCTACTTTTCCTCCTCTATGGCTTGTGTTTTTTGTTGTTGTTGTTAATTGGTGTGGCACAGTAGTGGAGCGAGTTCCCAGCCTCCTTTGGCGAAATGTGTAGAAAAGTGGAGGCAAGAGGTAGGAAGAGGCCTGGAGGCTCTGTCTGGACTCCTGGGATTTGGCCTGTCGGCCAGGGAGATTCTCTCCCAAGACATGGATCATGATAAAGCTGTAAAGAATCTATTTAGGTAAGCAAACATTTATTTAGTGCTTACTGTCTGCATGGGATACAAAGGCACGAAAAAAAGCTCAGTCTTGCCTTCTAAGAGGTGAAAGAGAGAGAAGAAGAGGGGCAAGGAAAGAGAGGATGTCAAAGTAGTTTGGTAAATGCGATGGCAGAAATAGGCTCGGATAGAGATGGGGGGACATTGTGTGGTCACATAACCTTTGGTTCAGCTCTCTCTTCCATGCAGGACCCAGCCTTAGTTATCCAAGATGTTGAGGGCACCTCTCACCAAAATAACAATCCAAGAAATAAACCCAGGCATCACTGCCAAGCCCCTCCCCACCCCCTCAACACACCATCCTGCTGCCTGTGTCTCCAGCCTTATGTGGTCTGGCAAGGTTGGGCTACTTCCGGCAGCCACCGTTTGCTCCCTAGGATGCAATCTTAGCCTCCATGGGGCTGGCCTGCTGGAATCTGGGACCACGTGAGCCTATGAGCCTCAGGGAGGCTGGGATGCCAGGGAGGAGCCAGCACTCCTGGAGGCTCTGTGATCTGCTCTGGCCACATTAAATAAAGGCTTTGATCCCTCCAATGGGGAGAAGGGAGAGCTCTCCCTTTTCAGCACCTTCTAATATCCTTCCCCCTTGCTGTGCCCGGCCCCACTGTCACCTCACCGAGGAGGAGACAGGATGTGTTTCCAGCGGGGCCTTTTTTCTTCCCGATTTAGACTGGGAGTGAATGAAGCTCATTAAACTGATTGTGGTTGTAGCCACATGGCTCAGGTTTCACCTGAAAGCATCAGGTGGTGGTGGGGAGGGGAGGACAAAAGAGGGGAGGACAGCCAGAAGGCCCTCATTGCACCTCCCCTTACCCCTTGCTCAGCTGGTGGCTTGCACCTGCAGACCCTGGAGCCCAGGCTGAGGTGGGTTGTGGTGGAGCCGGGTTAGGGTCTCAGCTTGGCCTGCTCCACGTGATTCCATTGCTTCTGAAGATCCCCCACCAGACCAAGCTGCCTGCATTATTCAGCCGTCGCCTCTGAGTTTTGAAGCTGGGGGAATGGGGAGGGTATTGCGATCTTTTTATCATCTTCCTTTCCCTCCTATTCTCTCTCACCTGTTGTTCCAAGAACTAGGTGGTTAAAAACAACAACAACGACAAAAAACTCCAGCAAGATGATGTGATGCTGGTGTTTTTGATTGGTGCACGAACTCCCCACCTGAAGCTTTTTTAGAGTTGATAAAAGCTGGGCAGCCTGAACCCTCTGAACCAAGGGGAAGGTAGAAAAATAAACGGAGGGCCAGGTGCGGTGGCTCACACTTGTAATCCCAGCACTTTGGGAGGCCAAGGCGGGCAGATCACTTGAGGTTGAGAGTTTGAGACCAGCCTGACCAACATGGGGAAACCCTGTTTCTACTAAAAATACAAAATTAGCCGGGTGTGGTGGCACGTGCCTGTAATCCCAGCTACTTGGGAGGCTGAGGCAGGAGAATCGCTTGAACCCAGGTGGCAGAGGTTGCAGTGAGCCAAAATCGCGCCATTGCACTCTAGCCTGGGCAACAAGAGTGAAACTCTGTCTCAAAAAAAAAATAAAATAAAATAAACAGAGTTCTCCTGTGATGAAAAGCAATGCCAAGTTAGAACTTGGAGCACATCATGGAGGCTTTTGACCCTCTCCTCTGACCCCCAGCCTGACAGCACTTCCCCAGACCAATGGCTGCTGGTGATCTCCTGCCAATGCACGAAGGAGCCATGCTATAGGTGCACTGGGCTCTGTAGCTAGAGAGAGTCCAGCAAAGCTGGGCACAGAGAATCTTCTGAAAGTGCTGGGGTTTCCCCCAGAAATGAAAGGCTCTCAGAAATGATTTCTCATTGCTTTCCAATCCATCAGCTTATTATCTCTGAATTTTCCATCACACACAGTCTCTTTCTCTGCCTCAATCTTGTACAGAAGGATGCTGGATTTTATCATTTTGCCAGGTGGAGGTTTTTTTTTTTTTTTTGAAATGCGAATAATTGCCTCCCAGTTTATCTCTGGAAAGTTCATGTATATGGATGTGTGTATGTATATATACTTTTTGCACTTATATACACAGAATGTGTCAAGAATTTTACAAAGGAGTAAGACCCCAACATAAAATAGCTGCCCCCCGCCCCCACCACTTCATGCATACTCAGTAGTTGGTAGGGTGGCCACCTTGTCCCGTTCACCTGGGACTGCCTGACATTAAACCTGAAAGTCCTGGGAACCCGTCCGACCTAGACAAATGGGGAAGACTTGTTACCCTAAAGCTAGGCATTTTAAGTCCATTATTTCAAGCCTTCATGATGACACTGTAAATTAGATGATACTTTTATAGATAAGGAAACAGATGTTGAATGAGTTGCTGAAGGTCACGTGGAATCAGTGGCTAAGTCTTGTACTTAGGCCAAATTCTAAGAACATGTGTTTTCCATCAGAACACCTCAGACCTTGCACATACAAATAGGAAAAGCTCTCCTGAAGGCCCCAAACAACCGACAGTGGCTACCTGAGGTTGGAAATCATCAGTTTTCAAAAGGGACGGGGAGGCTAGGAAGAGAATGTTCCTAAATGTCATCTCCTGGCTGGGCTTAGGCAGCTCAGAGATCTCCAGCTTTGGGTTCTGAGGGGGCCTTGCCTCCGGTCCAGTTAACCTTCCACATGGAACGCTCACCTGGTACACCTGAAACTTCTGGTGTACTGGGTCTGGTGTTTCTAGGCCTCTCTCTGCTATTAGACTCCCTAAGGTAGTTCCAGAGGAAATGAGACTGGGGATGTGGGAATTTGCCAAGAACTACCCCCGGAAGCTTGGAGACTGGATTCTTCTTCCTCCTGTCCCTTCCCCCCTCACCCCATCCTCTTCTCCCCCAGTGGTTTCCAAACAGGTTCTCCTCGCCCGTCTGCCAAACATGCTCGGGGCTGCTGAGACAAGCAGAAAGATGGAGAACTAATTACTGTTTTCTCTTTCGCAGGCCCTGTAGCTCTGCCAGACCGGGATTCCCATTCCGTAGAGACCCCAATCCCGTGCTGGTGCCTGGAGGTGTCCCAGGCACAGATTCCATCTTGCTCATTATCATGGGCCTACTTCCAAAACGTTTTCACTCCCCCAGCTCTCCTGCCTCTCCCGCCATGCACACCTCTTGTGCTTTCTATTCCACCTTGCTTCGAGGCCACCTAGAAAAAGGGATGGTTGGGTTTGACCTGCGGCTCTGAACGGCCAGAGTTGAACTGATAGGAAACCAGGCCGGGCCATTTCCACCCATGAAGCCGGGAGAGCGGGGGCCCTCTTGGGAGAGTTCTGTTTTAAAAAGAAAAGGATCACAGAGGTCTGGGGTTTGAACTCCCTGGAGGACAGAGGGCCATCTACTCAGTGTTTCACGGGATAAGTAGCAATTACAGAGAACAGGACAGCCGGCAGGAATCACCCTGGGGAGCGTTTTCCCTGGCTGCTGAGTCCCATTCTGAGAGCAGAGCACAGCTCTCACCCATGCAGCTGGGTACATGGGTCTCCAGCACCCCCTATCCCAGCCCCACTCAGCCCCCATCCTGCTGTTCCCATTGAAATAATCACAGGGTAGGCCCAGCCTGGCTGCGTTGCCAAGACAACTGCTCTAATTTCTTCTAATCCCAGTGTTCCTTCCTAAAGGGACCTCCCCCAGCCCTCACTCCCCCCTGCAACGTGTTTTAATTGTAATAACTCCTGGGTTTTCGGGAGGTAATGACCATGTGTGGGGAGCCGGCGCTGGCCTGGCTCCATCCCTGAAGTTGCTCGCCCAGCGGCGCCAGGCAGCCCTCCGGCCCCCAGCAGGAGTCCTCCAGGAGCCCAGGGCAGGCATAGGCAGGGTCTGCCGAGGGGGTCTGCGGCCTCCGTGCTAATGAACGCAAGCAGCGAGTGGGGGGCTGGGCCCTGCAAAGTTTATGTCCTCAGGACATTTTATGACACACCACCCCTTGCCCCCATCTTTCCGCCCTCCCCCTGCCTGCACACTCACCTTTAAGAGAATCCACGCCCCGTTGCCCTGCTCCAGGCCCCAGGCAGCTGCTGCTTCAGGGATGTGACCTTTCTTCCCCTGCCGGCTTCCAGCAGGTTCCTGTGTCCGTGGCATGGATGCCAGCCCTTGCATTGACTGCAGACAGGGAGTTTGTATTACCGGTAGAACAAAGTTTTACAAAACCATGGTATTAGTAAAATAACTTTCTTAGGCTGGCTTCCCTCCCTCCCTTTCTTTCCTTCTTTCCTTCCTTCCTTCCTTCCTTCCTTCCTTCCTTCCTTCCTTCCTTCCTCTCTCTTTCTCTCTTTTCAAGGTCTTGCTTCGTTCCCCAGGCTGGAGTGCAGTGGCACGATTATAGTTGACTGCAGCCTCAACCTCCTGGGCTCAAGTGATGATCCTCCTGCCTCAGTCTCCCGAGTAGCTGGGACAACAGGCACACACCACCACACCTGGCTAGTTTTCAAAACTCTTTTTTGGCGAGAAGGGGGTTCTTGCTATGTTTCCCAGGCTGGTCTCGAACTCCTGGCCTTCAAGGATCCTCCTGCCTTGGCCTCCCAAAGTGCTGGGATTACAGGCATGAGCCACTCTGCCTGGCCAGGCTTTCTTTTTTGAGGAAGTAAAGGTAACTGCAGAAATCCAGAAGACACAAACAAGCTGAAAAAGGAGAAATTGACCATAATCCCCAACCCAGAGGGTCATATGCAATCTGCAAGTTGGAAAGGTTATTCTAGGCTACGGGGTGGGGGAGCTTCTGAGACTTTCATCCTCACGAGCTAGCGGGACATACGCTATAATGTGTACTTGGATCACTGGGGGTCTTGTTACCATGCAGATTCTGAGTCAGTAAGCCTGGGTGAGGCCTGTGATCTTGCATTTCTAACCAGCTCCTGGGGGATGCAGAGGGCCTAGCCACAGAACACACTTTCAATAGCAAGGGTCTAGGGCATCCCTGTCCAATAGAACTTTCCTTGGTGATGGAAATGTCTCATATCTGTGCTATTGGATATGTTACGTCGCCACTAGCCTCCTGAGGCTATTGAGCTGTTGAAATGTGGCTCATGCAACCGAGCAAGATAATTCAAAATTGTATTGAATATTCATTCATGTACATTTAAATAGCCACATATATGCTGGTGGCTACCATGTTGGACAGCACAGAAGATTCCATTGGTTCATACAAGTCCAGGTGCAAGCCCTCTCTCCCTGCAAGGAAGATGCAGACTCAGATGCAGATGGCCACCTGGTCCTCCATCGTGTGCCCTGAATCTGCTGCCCTGACTCTCCCCTCGTACGAACCCTGCACTGGGGAGACCCATCCGCTTGGTATTCTCCACACAGTGCTTCTTTCTGGTTACTATCCTGCTTAAAAGGGACTGCTGAGAAGTGAGCATGAGATCGATGGCCTGGCTTAAAAATAAGAGCTTACAGCCTGACCAAAGCCTGCAAAAGTCTGCACACAGCCGTTCTAGGAAACTAGCTGCATTCAAAGCAGTGCTGAGCATCCAGGGGCCACTACGGCCCATCAGATACTGTATCCTGACTGCTCTTTCCCTCCTCGTAACATTAAGAGACAGTTTTGGGTCGATGCAACAATGCTGCAGAAGCCCTTGGGTCCACGTCTGCTCCTACCAAAGCCCTCCCGGGCAGTGCCTTCCCATTCGCACGCTGAAATATTAGATGTTCAGTCGAGAGTCCAACAGCAAAATAGTTCTGAAATTGTGTGTGCTTTTTTTTTTCTTCTAATTTAATGTGCCAGACAAGCCTCCCTGTAATTAAAACCAGAAACAAGGACCAGACTTAGACAGAGATTTGAAGGCTGTAAAATTCTAGGACAGGTTTATGTAAAGCAATTAAAAAGGGAGTTAAAAATTGTTAAAAAATTAAACACTAATTACTTTTTTTTCTCCTCTCATTTCTGCTGAGCTGTTCTGGCCATGGAGCTCAGAGAAAGATATAAAAAGGAGAAAGTTTTGCCTCGTTGCTGTAAATCATGTTCAACAAATGCTTCTCTGCATTTTGCAACCGAACCCATCTGCTGTCAATTAGTCTAAATCATGCCTTTTCAATTAAAGTGGCTTAGGGAAGTCTGGTAGTGAAACGGGTGTGTGTGAGTGTGTGAGTGCGTGTGTGTGTGTGCATGCGCGTGTGTGAGGGGAGGGGGCTGGCCTGGTGGTTGTGAGGAATGGGAGAAAGGTGAAGTCTGATTTCAGGCTGCGAGGTGGAAATATCTTTTAAAAGGTGTGATCTTATTTTAGTGTTTTCCATATAAAATGCGGTATTATTTGCATGCTGTGGGGAGTGGTGAAGGGTGGAAACAAAGCTGAAGAGTTGAGGCTTGAGAATTGGATGCAAACTCGTTCTGGTGAGCCCCAGCTTGAGTGGAGCTTGCTGCCTGGATGGCACCCATGGGTGTTGGTTGGGAGCTGCTGGAGAGGGGGTGTTCCGAGACCACCGTGTTACGAACATCTAAGAGGGGGCAGGAATCATGGCTGCAACATGGGGTCTTCAGAGTACGCAGACAGACGCTTCCATGGAGGGAGAGTGGGTTCAGTATTAAAACTGAGATACCTAGCTGGGCACGGTGGCTCACGCCTGTAATCCCAGCACTTTAGGAGGCCAAGGTAGGCGGATCACCTGAAGTCAGGAGTTCGAGACCAGCCTGGCCAACATGGTGAAACCCTGTCTCTACTAAAAATACAAAAATAAGCCAGGTGTGGTGATTCGTGCCTGTAATCCCAGCTACTCGGGAGGCTGAGGCAGGAGAATTGCTCGAACCTGGGAGGCAGAGATTGCAGTGAGCCGAGATCGCACCTCTGCACTTTGGCCTGGGCGACAGAGCAAGACTCCATCTCAAAACAAAAACAAAAACAAAACAAAAACTGAGAGACCTGCAAAAACTCTGCATTCTGACCGAGGCCAGTGGGGGATTAAAGAGGAAAAGGTGCTGTTGTCTTTCCAAATACAGTGGACTTTCAACATCCCAAGATGGTCTGGGTGCGACGCAGGCAGGAGCTATAAGAAGGGTCCAGTCTCTAGGGACCTGAAGAGGATCTGATGCCAAGTTCTTTTTTAGAGTCCCCCAGGCCATGTGGGCCCTGTCCTGGGGGGAAGTTCAGATGGTGGCGTGGTTCACCCACAGGCCAGGGCATTTGAGCTGAGGAGCCATTGGACAGGAGTGTGCATGTGTCTTTGCATGGAGAACCCCTCTGTGTGCTCCGTGCCCACCTCTGGCTTCCCAGCCTGTGATGATCTGTTTCCCAGCTCTTAACTCCTCCCCAGGTGCATCAGGTGGGGCTGCACCTGAGAGATGGGGCAAGGAGGTAGTTTGGGGTGCTTGTGTTTGACTTCACGTGGTCTCCTCTCCTCTGAAAAAGAGAAACATGCTTGCCTTGACTCAACTTAGGTGGAGGAATCTGTGTTCTCTCCCCGCTGCTCCGCTCACAGTGGGAGGGGTGGGAGATGAAGTGGGTGGTCTGCTGAGGAGTGTTTATTTTCAATCACTGAGCCCCTCCTCTCTTGCTGGTCTCACTCCCTCTGCAGAGCTGTCCTGAGGGATCTGCAACCTGCTGGGAAACCTGCTCCTTGGTTGGGGTTTAGAGGGAGGGGATTTGGTAAGGGAAGGCCTGGTGCCACCAGCTGGGTCTTTGAGATTCAATATCCATACTGATGATAATAATAATAGCTAAATATGCGAAACACTTGCTATGTTCCTAAACATTATGCAGAATCCCTCATTTCAGACACTTGCCCAGTGTCACACAGCTCATAGGTGCAGAGACAGGACTCAAAGCTGGGTTGCATGCTTTTGACCCCCAGACTACACCACCTTATATAGCGAGGGGCCTCCAAGAGCTTCCATGCTCTCTGCTGCTATGCTCCTAAGTTGGGGTTTGGAGGAGGGTGCCGGTGAGGAGAGGCCACCTCCGCATTATTAATGGGTGGACTTGGGTGTGACTGGTGGTGTACTGATCGATCTTTGAGTGAGGCACACCTGGGTTTGCATCCCAGCTATGCCACCTGCTGCTTATTTAAACCGCCCCCAAATCACTTATCGTCTTGGTCCATTTGCAAAACGAGGTTCAGCCCGACCTCCCTGGACAAGGGCCACATTGCATTTGCTGAGTGTGCCCAGCATGGAGAAGACACTCCATAAATGTTGGGCTCCTTGCCTTTCTTCCTGGTGGCCTGATTCCATGAAGCTTGACCTGGTTTCTTTCTGGCTTCCAGCCTGTGATTTCCTGCAGGATACAGTTACAGGTCTCTTTCCAAGTGATTCACTCTAAACAAGACCCGGGTGGGACGCTGTCCGCCAAGCAGGGCAACACCCCAGTGGGCTGGGCCAGAACACCCCATCCAGGGGCTCCAACCCCTGGGAAAGGCCACCTCCAGCTCCCGAGGAGCCCTGCCCTATGTGGCAGCTGGATGGAAAGGTTGAGGCCAACTCAGCTTCTGTTTTCTGTCCACAGCTCCTTCAAGCTGCCTGGTGCCCCACCGGCCAGCCCAGAGGAAGGAAGGGCTGCCTGGCTTTGCTCCAGGGGAGCCCAGCAGGCCCAGCCGTGCAGGCTGTCCTCACTCTGAGCCCCTTTAATCCGACGGCTGAGTGCAGTGAGCCATAACCAGGGCTTCCAGGAGCCTCCCTGAGCCAGGCACCAGTGTTCCCAGCCACCTCCAAGGGGGGTGGAGAGGCTGCTGCCTGGCTCCCAGGAGCTGGCAGGATGTGGGATATGGAACCTGGGGGCCAGAGGCTTTAGTTGGGTGCACAAAGGTGCCTGCCCCCTGGGAGGTCCTCTCTGCATCTCAGAAAGGAGGTTCTGGTGAAGACAGCTGGCTGAGATAGGGAGCTGTATTAGTTTATTTTCACACTGCTATAAAGAAATACCTGAGACTGGGTAATTTATAAAGGAAAGAGGTTTAATTGACTCACCGTTCCACATGGCTGGGGAGGCCTCAGGAAACTTACAGTCATGGCGGAAGGGGAAGCAAGGACCTTCTTTACATGGCAGCAGGAGAGAGAAGAGAGTGAGGGGGGAAGAGCCCCTTTTAAAACCATCAGCTCTTGTAAGAAGTCACTATCACAAGAACAGTACAGGGGAAACCACCCCTGTGATTCAATCACCTTGAACCAGGTATCTCCCTCAACACCTGGAAATTACAACTCAAGATGAGATTTGGGTGGGGACACAGAGCCAAACCATATCAGGAGCCCACTCTCCAGGTACCACTTTCTTCTTCTTGTGGGCCCTCCATCATCCTCCCCATACCCCAAGCATGGTGTCCCATGGCTGAGCTGAACTGACTGCATTGAAGAGCCTTGTCCCAGCTCTCAGCTTCCTGTCCCTGTCCTCTCTCAAGCTCTGTCCCTAGGATAATTGGAAAAGCTTTCCTTTTTTTTCTTTTTCTTTTCTTTTCTTTCTTTTTTTTTTTTTTGAGACAGAGTCTCACTGTGTTGCCAGACTGGAGTGCAGTGGCACTATCTCAGCTCACTGCAACCTTCACCTCCCAGGTTCAAGCAATTCTTCTGCCTCAGCCTCCCAAGTAGCTGGGACTACAGGTGTGTGCCACCACACCCAGCTAATTTTTGTATTTTTACTAGAGATGGGGTTTTACCATGTTGGCCAGGATGTTCTCGATCTCTTGACCTCGTGATCTGCCTGCCTTGGCCTCCCAAAGTGCTGGGATTACAGGCATGAGCCACTGTTCCTGGCTGGAAAAGCTTTTCTATCTAATTGAAATGGAGTAAGTTGGAAGAGGTGCTTTCATTCAGGCCAGATTATGTCTCAGGAGAGCAGGGATGCTGGGGTCAGACACACCAGCCTCTGAACTCAGTGCTATCACTTGGGCTGGGTGGCCTTAGGCAGGTGACTGAGCCTCTCCAGGTCTCGTTTCCTCCATCTGAAAACTGAGAACAAATCATACTTTTCAGTGTGATTCAGAGGATCTGAACTAAACCATGGGAAGTACCTGGTAAAGCATCTGCCACATGTAACAAGCAAGGAGTAAATTGTCTCATGTCCTGCAGATCCTCCCGCTCCCACCAAGAAATTCTGTGCTTTGCATCCACGCACCCCCAGGCGGTTATCACAGACCCTCTTTCATAAGACCGTATTCCACAGGACTCCTTTGGAGCCAAGTGACCAAGTTATGTCTGGTCTTCCCCTGGGAGAAGTCTGGCCTGGGCCTGCATTTAGTCACAGGATCAGGTTGAAAGTCAAGCCTGTTGCTCCTGGGTGGCTGGCTGGGGCTGGGAGGTGGCCCTTCGCCGTGTGCAGACACATTCTCTGGGCACAGCTGAGCCTTAATGTGATGGTGGAGGGAAGCTCAGCCTGGCGTCTGGAATAACACCACAGGCCTTGAGGTTTGCACTGTCTCATCCCCTGGGAAGGTCGCCAAGCCGAGTCGGCATCTCGCTCTTTGCAGGCCTGGAGAGCTGCCCTTTGGTGGCTTACTTGCTTGTCCTCATGCCCCTGCCCGCTGAAGGCCACTGTGTCCCGAGCGGCCTGCCTCTGGGGTTCACCCTTCCAGCCATCACCTTGCCTTCAGTGAGGAAGACTCTCATCAGAATTCTCCCTGCTCACTGGTTCTAGGGAAACCTTCACCCCTACCCACACCCCCAGCCCCAGGAGAAAGCCACTTACTTGGGAATGGGGTCTCTGGAGGCCCTTGTAGTACTCCTAGGAGCCTTGTAGTACTCCTACTGCACCTAATGAACTTGGACAAGAGTTTCTGTCCCTTGGGCTGACCCAAACTGACCCAGCAGAGCCCCGGTTGGACACAGGATGTGAGCCAGGTTTTAAGATTCTGTTCCCACATCACCTCCTTTCTAATGTGTGGATCGGAGGGGTCTTAGTTTGGCTAGAACTCAGGAGGGCAGGAATGGCTGTGGGTGGAAGGAGTGGATGGGCTATACGAGTTAAACACATATAAACCCAGGCTGGATTTTATGTGTCTTTTACTTTTTTTCCCCCTCTGGGTTTACAGTTTTACCCTGTGCTTTCCCTAATCGTATGAATCAGTTTGAATGGTAATTGTTTTCTTGACTGTCTAGCCCACCAGACCATGAGCTTCTTAAAGGCACAGACTCTGTCCCAGGTGCCAAAAACAGCCCTTGGCTGGTGGGGAGAGGATGATGTGGGTCGGGGGAGGGGATGGACAAATGTCTGCTGAATAGATATGTGGAGAGGTCATGGTGAACGGTCACCTCGGTGGACACGGCATTTTAGAGATGAACCAGGTCCTCTGAATGTCCTCAAGATGCTCCCCATCTAGCAGGCAGAGTCCTGTGTTTGCTGCATGGGTCTCAGGTGTCTGGGAGGCTTCCCTGTGCTGGGAAGCGTCCGGTGGGTAGAGTATGCCACAGTCTGGCTCTAAGAGATACTTCGGGATGCCCCTCCATGAGACGCCCCTCCTTGAGACGCCCCAAACTGGGGGAGGGTCCAGAAGCCGCATGGCAGCACCAAGACCCAGTTTCTATGTCTGGAGAGAAGGGGAGAAGGGGGCTTAGTCTGTCTACACAGCCCTTGGCCCACCCTGTCCGGAGCTCAGGAGGGCAGGACTGGTTGTGGGTGGGAGGAGCGGATGGGTGGGTGGCCACACCTTCCAACTCAGCTAGCCATGACTCAGCCTCCCGGTCTACTTTAAAGGGCAAAAATGAGAAGCATAGTTTAAGTTACCAGGTCTTAGACATACAAACACTATTTTGGAGTCAAGAGCTTGGGCAATTTGGGGCCTCCTGCCAGCAGGCCTGGGTCCCTGGTTTTTTGTATCCTGAAGTGGAGGATGTGAGCTGGTAACTCTCTTGCGAGGCTCAGTCCACAGTGTGGGAGAGCCAGAGCCTGCAGGGGAGTCAAGAGAGGACCTGGGTTCAGAGGCCTGGGGCTAGTGAAGGCCTTGCCCCTGCTTCGCTGTGTGGCTTTGAAGCAGTTCCTTAACTTTTTTGAACCTCACTTATTTTTTATGTTTTTAAAATTTTTTTTTTTAATTTCACTTTAAGTTCTGGGATACATGTGCAGAATGTACAGGTTTGTTATATAGCTATACATGTGCCATGGTGGTTTGCTGCACCTATCAACCCATCATCCAGGTTTTAAGCCCCGCATGTATTAGGTATTTGTCCTAATGCTCTCCCTCCCCTTGCCCCCGACCCCCGACAGGCCCTGGTGTGTGATGTTCCCCTCCCTGTGTCCATGTGTTCTCATCATTCAACTCCCACTTATGAGTAAGAACATGCGGTGTTTGGTTTTCTGTTCTTGTGTTAGTTTGCTGAGAATGATGGCTTCCAGCTTCATCCATGTCCCTGCAAAGGACATGAACTCATCCTTTTTTATGTCTGCATAGTATGCCATGGTGTATATCTGCCACATTTTCTTTATCCAGTCTATCCTTGATGGGCATTTGGGTTGGTTCCAAGTCTTTGCTATTGTAAATAGTGCTGCAATGAACCTTACTTATTTACTGCAATTAAAGTATTCTGCCTCATGTAGCTTCCAGAATCAGAATGACAATCAAGTCAGGTGAGATCTAGTTGAAAGTGTCTTCTGAAAAATACTCTAAAAATGTCAGGTGCTGTTGGTGTTTGTTTCAGGGGGTGCTCAGCCGGGCTCACATGAGCTCAACCCTGAGACAACCCACTTTCCCCCTTTAGCTGGGTTCTCCGCAACTTCTCTAAATCAAGATGTTGGGGCGGTGGCTCATGCCTGTAATCCCAGCACTTTGGAAGGCCAAGGCGGGTGGATCATGTGAGGTCAGGAGTTCAATACCAGCCTGGCCAACTTGGTGAAACCCTGTCTCTACTAAAAATACTAAAAATTAGCTGGGCGTGGTGGTGGGCACCTGTAATCCCAGCTACTCTGGAGGCTGAGGCAGGAGAATCGCTTGAACCCAGGAGGCGAAGGTTGCAGTGAGCTGAGATCCCACCAGCCTGGGTGACAGAGAAAGACTCCGTCTCAAAAAAATAAAAAAATTAAAAAAAGGAAGTTGTTTTCGCTTATTTGTTTTATCTTCTGATAAAGACAGAAGGCCTCATGAGAGGTAGAGAGTCTCCTGACAGCCAGGCCGATACCCAAAACTTCTGACCTAGATACTGCCTTCTGGACGCCAGGGCTCCGGTGATCATCAACACCACATGTGGTTTCTCTGCAGAAAGTGGGGACATGTGAAGTTTGGCAAACTGTGCTACTGACCCTTCCAGCTCCTCCTGGAAAAAGCCTGCTCCATACTTCCAGGGGCAATCTGGTCCCTTTGAGCTGGGCCAATTTCTAGTTTTACCTGTGACAAAGTCCATTTCCTAGCTTGTTCCGTCCTAACCCCGCTCATCATGAAACACCACATAAGCCAATGGCGTGTCTCTCCAGGGCTCTCTGACTTATCCTAATTCCTTAATTTTAGAGCACGGTCAACTATTTATAAAAGAAATCTTGTTTTATACATTTAACTTGAGTGTCCACTATAAGCAAAGATACAGAAAAGGTTGATGGGTAAGTTAATGGAAAAGTTACGGAAAACAACAGGCCTATGTTCCATTGCAGGGATTAAGAAATACGAACTTGAACACAAAATGTAGTGAAGCAGAGGGCTTGTAAGGCAAGGCTTGTAAGGATCCATTTTGTCCAAACTCATTTTCGGAAATGAGTAGCCCCCACTTTGGGAGGCAGAGGCAGGCGGATCACCTGAGGTCAGGAGTTCGAGACCAGCCTGGCCAACATTGTAAAACCCCGTCTCTACTGAAAATACAAAAATTAGCCAGGCATGGTGGCGTGTGCCTGTAGTCCCAGCTACTAGGGAGGCTGAGGCAGGAGAATCACTTGAACCCAGGAGGCAGAGGTTGCAGTATGCCGAGATTGTGCCACTGCACTCCAGCCTGGGTGACAGAGTGAGACTCCATCTTAAAAAAAGAAAGAAAGAAAAACGAAAGAAAGAAAGAAAGAAAGAAAGGAAGGAAGGAAAGAAAGAAAAGAGAGAGAGAGAGAAAGAAAGAAAGAAAGAAAAGAAAGGAGTAGCTCCAAAGTTTTCTTATTTTTGGAGGGCTCACCCTTCATTTTATCAAAAGCATTAAAATATACCCATCATAAATTTCATCATAAGATGAAATTTTTAAAAATTTCATCTTATGGGGATGCAGAAATGAGGGAGTCTTCATAATTTTTGTAACTTTGAGATTTAAGAAAAAATAGCTACAGTTGGCCTTCTCTATCCATGAGTTCTGTATCTTCAGATTCTACCAAACTCATACCACAGATAGGGAGGGCCAACTGTATTCTTAATTGAAATTTTATATTCACTGGTAACTACTTGAGGATTGAGTTAAATTACCATTGGCTAGTTAACAGTGTTATTTTGTAAATATTTAACTAAATATTTGGTGAAATAGGTTTTGTAGGTTTTTTTTTTTTTTTTTTTTTGAGACAGTCTCACTCTGTTGCCGGGTCTGGAGTGCAGTGGTGTGATCTCAGCTCACTGCAACCTCCGCCTCCCAGGTTCAAGCGATTCTCATGCCTCAGCCTCCCGAGTAGCTAGGACTACAGGTGTGTGCCACCAAGCCCTGCTAATTTTTTTGTATTTTTAGTAGGGACAGGGTTTTGCCATGTTGCCCACACTGGTCTTGACCTTCTGAGCTCAGGCTATCTGCCCACCTTGGCCTCCCAAAGTGCTAGGATTACAGGCTTGTGTAGTTCTTTATGTCCTGGAGTCAGTCCTTTGTTTTGTTTTTGTTTCTGTTTTTGTTTTAAAGGGTTCAAATGTTTTCATGGGCCCTTAAAAACCTATAGGCTTTAGTCACTGCCTATATGACCATAAGTCTTGCTGGAGTCGGAGGCGTGAGTTTGATTGCTGGTTTTTTCCAGACCAAGTGTTCACTGTGTGATCCCTTTAGTCTCGCTTCCTCCATCTGTAAATGGGGCTAATTTGCTCGCACTGTTCATATAATTGTTGTGAAGATCATCTGAGATAATGAATGAATGGTACACAGCCCAGTGCCTCACTCCTACGTATAAAGTTATCTGGATAAATACATTCACATTAAAAAGCAAATTAACAAAAGACATATGATTCTAGAGTGTGAAAAAAGAAACGACCTGAATTTGGATGATTTTCTCTTATACCCAAGTAAGATCCTGCAAGCTCAGATTTTTTTTTTTAAAAAAAGATTGTAATTATCAAGGATTTCATTCATTAAGAATTCAGAATAATTTCACCCTGTCTTAGGTTCACCTTTATTTTTTTTGTGATAAAACAGTTTGTCCAGGGAACTAACGATGTAAACAATATTTAATGGAGAGGGGGAGGTTTTTGGTCTACTCAAGCAAACAAGCTCTTCAAGCCCTTAGAAACATCTACTTGGAAACAATTAGCGTGTTAATTAGGGTGGATTCTTATCAGATCCCACAGAACCTCTTCTTGGCCACGCTCTCTCAGCCGAGGTACTGCGTACTTGGAAATCAAACAGACATCCCTCTCTTCCATAGCTTTCTGTAGCTAAGGGTTTTACCAATTCACACCAGCCCTCCTCACTGAGTTTGACCTCCGGAGCATGTGGAGGTGGGGTTTGATGGTTGTCATGAGGGTCCCCAGGAGGCCTTTCCCCAAGTACAAGATGAACATGAACGCGCATGTGACGTGAGTCATGCCTGAATGACTCCAGGTAGTTTTCCCAACACAATATTTTGCAGTCATATTTCTTGTCTTTCTAATTGGAGGGGCAAAGAAGTGGACTGGTGAATGGCAAATTGCAAGCTGGAAAATATGTGGGCATTTCAGAGGAGGTGCTAACAGCCACATGGCGCCACTTTAGTGGGGCCAGTTTCTGCTTCAAGGCCATGGTCTCTTGGTACACTGTGCACACATTAGATTCTTGATGATGGGAAAGCATTGAGATTCAGGACATCTACATTCCAGCTTGTGTTCTGTTAATAATAAACTGTATGACTTCAGATACGTTGCTATGACCATGGATTAGTTAGGGTTTATAGCATATTGAGTTCAACAAGAATGATATATTGGGGGAAATTAGATGCTTTCAAAGAGTAAGCACTAAATGAATGAGGTTTTACTTGACTTTATCATCTGGTTAACAGAGTAAATGTGAGCTGGTAAATGGTCTTGTTCGACAGATTCCCAGAGGGCTAAACAACCATACCCAAGGTATCAATCAAAGGCTCATTTCAAATCGTAGTTGTGCTATCAGCCTTCATCCTGGTCTAAATCTGTATCGGTGACTTGCCCAAAGATCTGGAAAGGCCAAAGATGCCACTGGGCTAGGAGCGAAGCTGATACGATGGATGTAACATCAGGATCCCTGATAATCTCTGCAGACCCAAATGCCCAGCCAAACCCAGCAAGAGGGAAGACTTTCAACAACTGTTGTTCAGTTTCATGTGGTTTCAAATTCAGAAGCACAAGAACTAGATTAGAGAGCCCTCCGTTGGCAGCAGTTCACAAGAAAGAAATCTGGAAGTTTTAGTTGACCACAAGCATAATACGATCCAACAGTGTGACTGTTGCTAAAAATGCTAAAATATATGTAGGCTGTCTTCATAGACATGTGGTGTCCAGATCCAGGGAGGTGATGTTGCTGGGTCTTCTGGCATGAGCAGGCCATGTCTAGAGGGTAGGTTTAGTCCTCCTGAGCATCACGTTTGGGGAGAACAAGCATGACCCCTGGGGGCATGTCATGGAGGAGCAGTTGGAGACATTGAAGTGGATTAACTGGTCTGGTGGAGACCAGCTGGATGCTCAGCATTGCATATTCTCTTCCTGGGCATGCTGGAAGTCGGCATTCCCCAGCCTCTCCTGGGGTTAGCTCGGACCATTGGACTAGCTTCTGGCTGATGGAATATGGGCAGAGCCGGTCCACTCTGTTTCCAGTGATGCTTCATGCTGCCCTTTTCCTGAGAGTCTGACAGGACAAGATGGATGGAACGGGGCACCTTGAATCATTTGGAATCCCACTTGGAAGGCTCCCTCCCAAATAGCCACTTAGACTGAGACAAGAATGAAAAAATAAACCTTTATTGTGTGAAACCACTGGGATTTTGTCATGGCAGCTGGCAGGAATGACTCTCATACAGTGGTGGAAAAGAAAACCCAAGGAAGATGGATAGTTAAGTACTAATTATATAAACTAATTATATATGTGGCAGACTTTTTTTTTTTTTTTGAGACAGAGTCTTGCTCTGTTGCCCAGGCTGGAGTGCAGTGGTGTGACCTCGGCTCACTGCAAGCTCCGCCTCCTGGGTTCATGCCATTCTCCTCTCTCAGCCTCCCGAGTAGCTGAGACTACAGGCACTCGCCACCACGCCCGGCTAATTTTTTTGTATTTTTGGTAGAGACGAGGTTTCACGGTGTTAGCCAGGATGGTCTCGATCTCCTGACTTGTGATCCACCCATCTTGGCCTCCCAAAGTGCTGGGATTACAGGCGTGAGCCACCGTGCCCAGCTAATCCACTGAGATACTGCCTTGGTCTCACAACTACTGGGCACTAAAGAGAGTAGAATGGTGATTTTATCCTCCTGGAAAGATTATTGGGAAAATGGCTACTACTGGGCAGTTATAACCCCTCCCTAAACACCCCCTCCAGTGATAGTTTTTGGTTTTGTTTTCAATGGTCTAATCAGACCTCCCTCACTTGCTAGTTATATGACCTTGAGCAAGTTACTTGGCTGCTCTGTGCCTCAGTTTCCCTATATATGAAAAGGTTATAATACCAGCACCTGCTTCGTGGAGTCTTTGTGATGATTAAATGAGTTTATCATACAACATACAACAGTGTCAATATGTGTTCATTTTTTTTTTTTTTGGATTTTTGTTTTTCTCTGCTTAAGGGGCTGTCCTCAAGAAACTTGTCACTTAGGTCTTTGGAAGGTGAGCTGCCGCACTGTCCAAGCTCCCCACAACTGGGGCAGAAATAAGATTTTTTTTTTCTTTTTTCCGTAGATGATGAATTCCTAGTTTGGCCTGAACTTCCATGCCTAGTTTAGGGTGGGGGGTGTATGTGACTGCAGGGATTCTTGCAGGGAAGAGTGGTGGCAGGAAGAGGCTAGATGTTCATATGGAGAGGTGGAGCCAGGGGAGGACCCAGTGAGAGAGGTGGTATCTGACCCTGGGGAGGGACCAACACTGAAGCTGGTGTTATGGAAACTGAAGATGGAGGCTGTGATCTGGAACACAGCAACCAGACCTTCCTGTCTGTTCCAGGGGCCACGGGAACCCCGGGGTTTGGAGAGAATGTCCGTAAACGGCACTCTTAAAAGAGGCTGGGGATTATCTGGCATGGGGCAGATCAGTCCACAGTTACAGGGAGACTGTTGTTGAGGAGCCCCGTGTTCCCTCCATCTCTGCTTTGTAATTGCTGTGTGCCATTGGAAGGGCCACTTAACCCCTCTGCATTTTGCCTTTTCCATCTGTAAAATGGGAATAACAATATCTACTCTGTCATCTTCAAGGAATGAAAACAAGCAGGGCTGTGGAAGTGGAAGATTTTTCATACTTCTCAATCAGTCACAGAGAACTACCCAAATGTCAGCGTCTTTAGCTCCGTTTTGGCTAAGAAGGAACTTTCTAACCTCTAAAATAGGAGTGAGGTGTTTCACGAGGCAAAAGGCACCTGGGAATCAGATGTGAGGCCAAGAATGCAGGAGAAATGGTCTTACACAAGTGAAGATGGAACTAGACACATGCCAAGGGGACTGTTTTCAGGCAATAGCTCCCGAAAGAGGTCATGGTTCTGGGAGGACAATGCCCATGCAGCTCTGTAGCTGTTGGATTTTCCCAGCCTTCACCTGAAGGTGGAATTGAGACACCCTCCAGCAACCAGTGGGGTGGCCCAGGGGGATGGGGGAGAGGAAAGCCTGACACCTGAGCATCTCACTCAATAATTCAGGGCTGGTTAGAGCCCAGTGAGGTGTTTCACACTCTGCAAAGGCAGATAATGAAGCATTCTTCCAAAATGAGAGAATGTGCCTTTTCTTTTCTTCCCGCCTCTTTCCTAATAAAATCATTAAACCAGGATTTCCAGAGGCCTGCCACCCCACCCACCTTGGCTGTTTCTGTGGGGAGGGAAGGGTACTTGAGTTTTGGTAGGGGTGGGGAAGCTGAGCTAGGAAGGGGGCTTGGCTGGTGACAGAAGGAGAGCAGTCCTACTGAGAAGGGTGTTGGGGTCTCAGAGGGCAGGGGGAGGGGGCCTGCTGATTTCTCACCACCCCAGATGACATATGACTTAGCACGTCCCCAGGTCTCCAGGGCTGCAGCCGGCGCTGTGCTTTCCACATGTGTTTAGTATTATCGGTGTTTTTACAATAATAACTGTGGTCTTGAAAGGGACTAAAATTAATTAAAATGCCTGGCTGGAGAGAACCTCCTTGGGGTAAGTGCAGGGGGTATGGGCGGTCATCTTGTCCATCCCCCTGTCTCTGGTTGGGTCTGGACCCCTGTTGGCCCAATCAGCTGGTCTTAGAAGATGCCAGTGTGGGAGCATCTGCAGTCTTAGAGGTTAAAATTCTTTTAGGGAAATGTTTCTTGGTATTTAAACTACAGTAAGAAAGGAAGAGCAAACACTTAGATGTTGTGTTTGCAATTTGCAGAACCGCACTGAGAAAGCCCCCACTGGTTGTATTTATCAAACTCTGCTGCGTGCCCTCATCCAAAGACCCCTGTCTGAGAGCATCCCTTGGTTCAGAGAGGAACAATTTGGCTCTTGATTTAGGGCAGGGTTTCTCAAGCTCATTGCAGCACTGTTGACGTTTGGAGCTGAATCACTCTTTGTGGGCAGGGGTTGTTCTGTGCACTGTAGGATGTTTAGCCATGCCCTTGACCTCTACCCACTAGATGCCAGTAGCATTCCCAGCCTCACAAGTGTAAAAACTAAAAATGTCCTCAGACGTTGCCAAATACCCCTGGGGAACCAAATCGCCTCCAGTTGAGAACCACTGATTTAGGGCAAGGCTCTCTGGCATCTCAACCACCTCCCCCCATTCCCACCCCCCCTACTCCCCTACTCCAGGGAAGCAGTGCTCATCCAGGTTGTCATGACATGCAAATGTGTCACCATCACGCAGGAGAACAAGTGACGGGTTATGAATAACACCCTGAGGTTTGGGAGTGATTCACTTTTTAAAAACAAATCAGAGCAGGTACTAACATAGCAACATCCCTTTCACTCCCTCGCAGTCCAAGATGATTTTCCGAGTGGCCAGAGTTGCCCATTGCTCCTAGCCTGTCTCATGGAGGTCACAGCCAGGATGAGGTTAGCTGCTTTTGCTAATCAGCTGTGAGTAGTCTGGCGATGACATGTTATTGCCATGTTTTATTGCCTCATCACATTTGGGTTTGTCTGTGGGATCATGCTGCACACAGATCACGTTGCTGTTCTCGAAGTTCACTTGGAGGAGAACTGGACATCCAAGACTCTGTTGGCCCTGTTGGCCTCATCTCCTTTTCCTCTCTCATCTCTCAACACTGTGCTCTATTCAGTTGCTTCTTCATGGACCTCCAATACAAGTCTTCCTTCCTACACTGCCTGGAGCCCTTTCCCGGCTCCTCTGAATATGGCTGGCTCCTCCTCCTCATGTCTCAGCTCACACATGCCCTTCTCAGAGGCTGGGTGCACCTGACATCTAGCGAACCCGGCCCTCTTCTAGTAGTGAGTCAGCCTCTGTCCAGGGGCTCTGTTCTTTTCCCATAGCATGTGTCACTACCGACACTCGTGCTGGTGTGTATGTCCCCCGCATACCAGTTGGGTTTCCAGGAAGCCAATGCAGAGATGGAGTTATGGGTTTATTGGGGGAATAAGCAACCTATGAGGGAAAAGAGGAGGGAGCTGGATTGGGCAGGGGGAACCATCAGAACGTGAAGGCAACCTGGGCAGTCTCCAGGAGCTTTGGAGCAGAGACTGCCCATTGGAGAAGTCCCATGTGGGTAGAAATGGGTTGGCCCTTGTGCCACCACCTTGCATAGTCATTAGCTAGGGCTGCCTCAAGAACAGCATGACCTCAGCCTGAAAACTGACGAGGACCTCGAAGACACCAGTGCAGTGGCTGTCAGCCAGTCAAGCTCCTCTCAGTCAGGCAGCAAGTCCTTTTTGAAGGATCTGAGCCATGCATCTCCATGTCTACCCTTCCGGGGTGGAATGGACACTCCCTGAGAGCAGGAACCCTGTAGATCTTGCTTATGCCTGATCCCATTCCCTACAGCAGAGCCTGGTGCATGGTAGGAGATCAAACCTGAGCTGATTTTAGTTTTCAGAGAGTAATTTGGTTGCCCTGGTTGCCCTAAACTCAGATTTCTGAGTTTACAAACTCAGAAATAGAAATATTGTAGGCTGAGTGTGGTGGCTCACACCTGTAATCCCAGCAGTTTGGGAGGCCGAGGCGGTCGGATCACAAGGTCAAGAGATCGAGACTATCCTGGCCAACATGGTGAAACCCCGTCTCTACTAAAAATACAACAATTAGCTGGGCATGGTAGCGTGTGCCTGTAGTCCCAGCTACTTGGGAGGCTGAGGCAGGAGAATCGCTTGAACCCGGGAGGCGGAGGTTGCAGTGAGCCAAGATCGCGCCACTGCACTTCAGCCTGGTGACAGAGTGAGATTCCGTCAAAAAAAAAAAAAAAAAAAGAAAAGGAAAAGAAATATTTTAGAAAGACAAACATGTGCTGCAGGGGGAAATGGCAGAGAAACACTGCTGCAAGGTATCTCAAACCATGGTTCACCCTGCAGTACTTCCAAGGTTTTGAAAGCTAAAAAAAAAAATCATGATGTTGGGGCATCCTGTAACTTGCCTCTTGTAGGGTTAGAAGATGTTAGCTGGGTGACATCTCTCCAGCCAGGTGAGAAGGGGGGAACAGAAGCTCGGGGGATCTCAGAGGAAAAGGAAAACAGAACTATCTGGTGGGTCAAAGGCGCATACCAGGGGGCCGTGGGTGCCTGTCAAACCGGAATGGTTATCTGGTCTGGCAGAGCCCAGCATCTTGGGTGGCCAAACAAACCTCAGATACAGTGTTCCCAGAGATGGGGGGTTGGAGGATATTATGCTTTCCCTTTAGCCTGTCTCTTGCCTCAGTATCTACCTCTGCCAGAGGATCTGAACTGGGATGGGCTTGTCACCTTGGCTGCTGTCCTTTGATGGGGCAGGTCAAAGTCCAAGACTCCAAGAGAACAGGTCTGGCTGTGCAGAAGCCTGCATGGGTGCAGTAGGCAGGGGGGTAGAGGAGTCTTCTGGGTGACAGAGATACCCACGGGGCAGGTGCCCAGCAGCCTTGCAGTGAGGAGGGGAGGGAGCAAACTCTATGCACTGTGTGGAGAGGGAGCGGGTGGCAGAGATCTGTCTCAGGGAGGTGCCTGACTCAGAGAGCCAGCATGAACCTCAGTTTACAAACTCAGAAATGCAAGAAATAGAACTCATATTATCTGATAACTCAATTGCAGTGGGGCATTTCAGATCCTTCCTACCCTTTTCATGGGTGTTGCCTCTAAGTTCAGGGAACAGGGAAGGCTAACAATGCTCTGGCAATTACGGAGTGGGACAGTGTGCTCTCTACATCACATGTCTGCACTGGGCTCATCTGAGACCTCCAACAGGCTGCTATGGGTTCCTCAGCCGTTCATTCACCCTGGGCACTGCCGAGTAGTCTTTTGATCCCAACCAGAGGACATGCCTGTCTACTTATTCAGAGCACCCTGGTAGTACCCCTGACTCAGTACCTGGCATATCATCTCAGTACTCAGCAGTACCCCTGACTCAGTACCTGGCATATCATCTCAGTACTCAGTAGTACCCCTGACTCAGTACTTGGCATATCATCTCACTCTCTGCTTTGAGCCTGGCTCCCTTTGCTCCCCCAACACGGAATCTCTCAGCTTTTATCTAAGGGCCGCTTCACTAGACCTCAGCACATGTTCTTCCAAATCTGTTGTATTTGCAATACCTTTCAAAAACCTTCTTTGAAACTCAAAAACCAGGGTGTATTATGCTATTTCTTTGATTTGGGGGTGTTATCCACACTCTAATGCAGCAAATTCAATAGGGCCTCACTAACTAGACGAGGAAAGACCAAGCAGTGCAAGGAAATATTGTGCTGGGGGAGACAGAGGTGAACATTGGTTAAAATACAAAAAGCATCCTCCCAGCACACTTGCTTTGGGGAGCTTTTCTGCCCAGAGCCCAGCTCCTCTCCTGCCTCACTTAAAGGCTCTTCCCCCTTGTCATACAGGTTGCGCTGGCCCAGCCAGGAGAACTAAGCAGTTGGCACTGTCTTCCATTTCCAAGGGCAGCAAAAAATGTATTAATCATCAGGCACCAATGGGAGGTGAGGGAGGCTGGGTCTCTCCATTTCTTTCCATAAGCAAGTCCTTCCTCTGCAATGTGGCTGGACCTCCTTGCAGGCAGTCAGGAGGGCAGGGAAGCAGACCCAGCTCTGGGAGGAACGGCACAGCCTACAGAATAGAAACAAACCTAACGACTGCCATTTTGAGACCTCAAGAGTCATTAAACCCAGACTGAAGTCAGTTTATCTGAATCCTCACCTAGGTGGTGTGTTGATGTGGGCGGGCCTCCAAGGCCACCAAAGTCAGAGTGACCCAGGTTTAAGTATTAGCCCTACAGGTTAGTGGTCCTGATAAACACACTTCATTTCCTTTGCCTCCATTTCCACATCTTTAAATGGGCATGATATTTGCGATGATTCAATGCAATAATGTTTATAGAACCCTTAGAATCCTGCTTGGCTGTCTATTCATTCTCAATTAATGTTAATTCTATTCCTTTCTCTTAGGAGGTCCACAGATGAAGAACAGCTCTCATCTCTATGGTCCCCAGCATTTATTTAAAGCTAAGAATTCACAGGTCAACCAAATCACTCCCTGAAAACTAAAATCAACCAAAAGCAGAGGAAGAATCACTGAGACCCTCCTAGCATGTCTTTCTTAACTCTCATACCTGAAAGGATGGGTAATTGGGTGTTTCATATTGGCATGGACCCTAACATGGTGTGACTCAATCTCTTGCAATGCTGTGCATTGCTAGGGCACTGATTTCATTGTTGAGAGTCTCTCACTGGTAAGAAATATTTCCTTATTCAGTATCAATTTCTTCAGCTGATTGGCTCTATTCCACATCCCATTGTTATGGCTCCTCACCTAAGTACAGCTGCAATGCTTGAGAAAAAAATGCCCAGGAAAATTCTTGCCTTTGAGCAGGCCCACCTTATATTGAAACCAAAAGTCTGCAAGAAAAATGGTAGGGAATGACCTTTAAGCCTTGGAGGAAGAATTTATGAGCACAACTATAGCTTCTTCTTGGCATAAAGTTGTGTTCTGTATTCTTCAAAATTCTCAGATTTTGTGCACTGTTGGTTCAAGGTCACAACAAAAAGCCCCTATGCTCTGAGGACAGAAGCATGCTGGGATTTCAAGGGCATGGCCAGATTTGAGAGAAAGGAGACCTCAGAGCTTACGACTTGGAAAGGCAGAGTCCAACGACAATGGGTCATTCTCCTGTTTAGGATAAGGGCATGCAAATAGCATGTGAATTGCACATTACATTTCTCAGATGTGAGTATTTGGTTGAGGAATGGGGGCTGTTGGCAACACTTCTGGAAATTGAACTATCTTTATCCTGATTCACAGAGTTGTAGCTGAGCAGGGCATAGAGGAGAAAACAGGGCACTGAAATAGGTTAAAAAAAAAAAGAAAAAAAAAAAGCTCTGTTACTACATTTCCCCACTTACCTGCCTCTTGTCTGGTGATGATGAATCAGCAATACCGCCTGTCAGTTCAACAGGGTAGATTTTACTTATTTTCCTTGGGTTCTTCCAGTGGGGAGCCCAGGCACAGACAGTGTTAAGAACTGGCCCACTTTTGCAGACCTGTTTTGCCTTCTTTGTGCCAAGTAGAAGAGGCAGGATCTGCACAAAGACCCCTGCAGACTCATGACCTGTCACCAGCAGTTTCCAACCATAGAAAGGCTCAAGGCTCAGGTAGAGGGCTAGACTCGAGAGTTATGGCCATTAGAGCTGGAAAGAATCTCGGAAATAATTGGATTCACCCAGTACCCTCATCCTATGGATCAAAAAATTAGGGGCCCAGGACTGGAGTGGGAGGGTGCCCAAGAGCACAAAACCAGTTTGAGATGAAGTGGAGCGCAGACAAAATACATACGCATAGCCAAATGGGAGCGTAATGTTTCAGCCAAAAATCTAGCTGTGATTGTTCATGGTTTTTCTCATTAGAATGGCTGCTGTGAGTGTGGATTTCCCTGCTTGCCCCTCTCTACTCTGCCCTACCCTGCTCTGTGCTCCAGGAGGCTAACCTGTATGAACTGCATCAACACTCTCCCTGCCCCCTAGGGCTTCTGGTTGGTTTTGGAAAATGGTGAACTTTGGTGGGAGATGGGAGAGAGTGAGGAGAGTGAGGCTGCGGTGTTCATTGTATTAAGGTTCTCTAGAGGGACAGAACTAATAGGACAGATGTAGATATGAACGGGAATTTATTAAGGAGTATTGACTCAGACGATCACAAGGTGAGGTCCCACAATAGGCTGTCTGTAAGCTGAGCAGCAAGGAAGCCAGTCCGAGTCCCAAAACCTCAAAGGTAGGGAAGCCGACAGTGCATGCAGCCTTCAGTCTGTGGTCGAAGGTCCAAGAGTCCAAAAGCTGAAGAACTTGGAGTTCGATGTTTGAGGGCAGGAAGCATCCAGCACGGGAGAAAGATGAAGGCCAGAAGACTAAGCTAGTCTAGTCCTTCCACGCTCCTCTGCCTGCTTTTATTCTGGCCGCACTGGCAGCTAATTACATGGTGCCCACCCAGATTGAGTGTGGGTCTGCCTTTCCTAGTCCACTGACTCAAATGTTAATCTCCTTTGGTAACACCCTCACAGACACACCCAGGAACAGTACTTTGCATTCTTCAGTCTGATCAAGTTGACACTCAGTATTAACCATCACACTGTCCCCTCCCCATTCTTTTTTTTTTTTTTTTTTTTTTGAAACAGAGTCTCACTCCGTCCCCCAGGCTGGAGTGCAATGGGGCAGTCTCAGCTCACTGCCACCTCCACCTCCTGGGTTCAAGCAATTCTTCTGTCTCAACCTCCCGAGTAGCTGGGACTACAGGTGCCTGCCACCACATCTGGCTAATTTTTTATTTTTAGTAGAGATGGGGTTTCACCATGTTGGCCAGGCTGGTCTCGAACTCCTGACCTCAGGTGATCTCCCGCCTTGGCCTCCCAAAGTGCTGGGAGTACAGGCGTGAGCCACTGCGCCCAACCGTCCCCTCCCCATTCTATCCCCCTGTGTGGTCACTTGCAGCTGCTCCCTCGAGGGCAGTACTGGAGCCCTATGGGTGGCACTGTCCTGCATGACACACCTTGTACGATAACCCCTTTACTAACTCACCTCAGAATCACCTAACTTGAGTGTGTCATTTATTTCCTGCCAGGACCCTAAATGATACCATAACTGAAGGTTCAATGGAAAAATTTTAGCATTATGATGGTATTTGCTAACAATCTTGCTTACACACTCCTTAATAGTAAGCTAAACTTTTGACAGGCACCACCCAGGAGAATTTGGAGACTAGAGAAGATGGGACAATTCTGAAGTAATGACAGGAACTAGCCTAAGTTTACTCAGTTTCTTTGTTTATTGTTATTGTTGTTGTTACTGTTATCTAAAATCATATAGATGACATGTGACTACATTCTGGTTAGAAACAACAGGATCGGTATATATAGGTTGACTAATCCCATCTCTCTTGCCCCACCACCCATCTCACTTTCCTCCTCTGGGTAACCACTAGAACAGCCTTGTATACTTTATTCTGGTCTTCTTTCGGGACACACATACACACAGTGCACACAAACACACAAGTGAAGATAGAGCTTAAAGGTTTGGCTTATAGTATGCTATAGTCTGGATGTGTCCTCCCATAATTCATATGTTGAAATTCTAACCCCAAGGTGATGTACTGGGGGTAGGGCCTTTGGGAGGTGATTAGGTCATCAGGATGACACCCTTGTATATGGGATTAGTGCCCTTATAAAAGAAGCCTCAGGAAGCTATTTCCCCCTTTTGCCATGTGAGCACATCACAAGGGGTCAGCAGTCTGCAACCCAGAAAAGGACCCTCACCAGAACCCAACCAGGCTGGTGCTCTGACCTTGAATCTCCAACTTCCAGAACTGTGAGAAGTAAATTTCTGTCATATATAAGCCACTCAGGCTATGATATTTTGTTGTAGTGGGATGAACAGACTAAGACGTAGTATATGCATAGTTCTGCCATTTCCCCATCAGTGTATATGGATACCTTATTCTTTTGTAACTGCAGTATGATATTCCATAGCATGTGTGATATCACATAGCATATGTGATAAGTGATGTAACCATTTGCTACAAGTGGATAGCCTCTGGTTCAACTTCTACATATAGTTGACTCTTGAACAATGTAGGAGTTAGGGGTGTTGAGCCACCAGGTAGTTGAAAACCTGTGTATAACTTTTGACTCCCCTGAAACCTAACTAATAGACTTGTATTGACTGGAAGACTTACCAGTGACATAGACATTATTTTAACACATACTTTGTATGTTATAGGTACTATATACTGTATTACTACAATAAAGTAAGGTAGAGAAAAGACAATGGTATTAAGAAAATCATAAGGATAATTACCATTTGACCCAGCAATCCCATTACTGTGAAGCAATCCCGTTGCTGTGAAGACATTTTGTGGATGTCATTAACATCAACAATCAGTTGACCTTGAGTAAAGGAGATTATCCTTGGGAATAAGGGTGGGCTTCATCCAATGAGTTGAAGGCCCTAAAAGCAAAATCTGAGGTTTTCTAGGGAAGAAGAAATTCTCCTCAAGAGTATACCATCAACTCCTGGCTGGGTTTCCAGCCTGCCAGCTTGCCCTACAGATTTTGACCTCAAGATTGCAACATCCACAATTGCCACCCTATTGGCCTGCCCTCCAGATTTCAGACCTCCCAGTGCCTACAATTGCTTGAGCTAATTTATTAAAATAGATTATCTGTCTATCTATCATCTATCTGTCTATCTATGTATCTATCTATGTATCTATGTATCTATCTATGTATCTATGTATCTATCTATGTATCTATCATCTGTCTATCATCTATCATCTACTATTAGTTCTGATTCTCTGGAGGACCCTGACTGATACAGAGATTTAGTACCTTGCACATGTTTCAACTTTAAGAATTGGGGCTGTAAGACTCAGGCTGCCGAGGCTGCAGAATAGAATCTCACAAAGCCATTCCAGCCCAGGTCCTGCCTGCTGCTTCCAGAGATACCTCACTGCTCCTGCTCCTACGCTCAGACATATCTGGCCTCTGGGTTTCCTAGCTGACTGGTCCCTGTCCTCTGTCAGCAACAGAGATCTTCTCCAATCCTTCCTCATGTCTGTTCATACCATCCCCACGACAAGTCAGTGTCATTGTTTTGTGATCCCGGTCATCCGCGGACAGGCATACCTCCATGGGCCTGCCACTTCTGACTCCCTCCTTCCCAAGCCATCAGCTCCAGGAGCCTGCCCAGCTGTCTCGATTGGGTCACCTGCTGGAATTCCCCACTAGTGACGACTTCTCCTCGCAGGTGCTTGAGGAAGGCAAGACCTGCACAGGTTGCATTTCGGGAAAATCACTCATGATCGATCCTCATTTCCCCATTGAACCATCAGAACACACACAGTTCCCTATCACAGCAGCAAAACGAAAGGAAAAAGAAAAGTGCTTTGGAAAGGATTTGTCCTCTTAAAAAAAAGTAATAAAAATAAGACCTCTTAGGCTATTCACCTTTGGGGTGAGGAAGAGGTGGAAACCTTGCCAGAACAGGTCTCCAAAGTTTCCTGTTTTCAGGCAAGCGAGGAGCAGAATGCAAACATCCTTCTTCATTTACGGTCTTTGTTCTTGCTCAGTCAGTGTGCTGTGCAGCAGGGTGGCCTTCCAGGCGCATGCTCCCATCTGCGTTATCTGCCTCAGATCAAAAGAGAAAATGCATGAGAATGTGCTCGGAAGGCCTGGATAACGCATACATGCCAGCTATAATCATAATCATGAGTGCGTGGGCTGGGACCTCTTGGGGAATCTAAGACTGTGTCTCTTTCTCTTCGATCTGTCTCCTCTGGTCTAACACTCATTGCATGTTAATGGGTCAGCACTAGGCTGAGCACTGGGTGAGGGGCTCCTCTCCGATGGGTCCGTTTATGAACCAAATCGAAGGATGAGAGTTTCCGTTTCTCCCAGAGAACATGATGACTAAAGAATTCATTCATTCAGCACCTTTGAGCATCCACTCTTTGGATTCTATCTGTGAAATTGCCTCTGCCTTCTCCCCAAAGATCTAAGAAATCCATAGTCATTTGCCCAAGACAGTCCTAGTCGGAGAGTAAACCCTAGGGTCTCACTGTTTATTGCCCCTCTGGGCAGCCCAGAAACAGCCAAGGACTTCTCCTAGGCGCTAGTATGAGGCTTGGCACTGAGAAGCATGCTTGCAAAGAAATGCTGTTATCAAATGAATTTGGCTATTTGATTATCTAGGGAATTTGAAGCTGATGTAAAGTACAAGGCAGGGATCTGGGAAGGGCTGTGTTTGGCTTCCCGTACAACCCTCACCGAGTGGTTGAATGTTCAGGAAGAGTAAGCAACCAGTGATAGATGGGGGTGGAGTTGGGGACAATGTCCTTATACCAGGAAAAATTAGCCCCAGCTTTTAAATCCTAGCAGCAAGGTGCTGGGGATTCAGGTTAAGGTCTTCATGGAAGAAATTGGGCTTCAGGGCAGTGGCCGAGTTAAGTGAATAAACAAGTGTGGAAAGAATCAGTCTCTGAGCCTGATATTTTGGGCAAGATGTTGCCACACGCCTAGTGGGCTGGACGGCTAGGAATACGTGTCATTTATTTAGAATTTGGCACACTGGGAAGTATATTTGCATATGTTCCTGCTTAGGGCTCACAGCATTGGAAGGTAGGAAGGATAGGTACTCTCATCCATGCTCTGTTATTTTTGAGGATGAGGAAACTTTTCCAAGGCTGCACAACTAAAAGGCAGCAGAATTCAGAATGTCGGTAAGCTCGACTTGAAGCCCAGTGCTCTTTTAACCTCGTTATCACGGAGGCCATTTTTGAGGACTGGCAAAAGCACTTTGCATTCTGACAGAGAGGCTTGGCACTCTCTGCAAAGTGAGTTTGCTCATGGAACCAAGGTTGGGGTTTTGCTGCAGCAGTATTGTACTGTGAGTTGGGAGATGGGGGCAAAGCGGCTGTCTCAAAACTGATGTTCTAAGGGATGGTGCTGGCTGATTTTCCTTTCCAATTTGCAGGACTCCTGCCCAGCACACAGCCAGGGGCAGGAACCCATCCCTGGACACGGGGAGCAGAGGCCAGCCATGCAGGCTGTGTGCAGCGTGGCGAGATCGCGGCAGGGCTGGCTTCCCACTACGTGATTGGGAGCATGCGGAGGCAGGGCGGTTGAACTGCGGGTGACCCCGCGAAGCAAGGAGGCTAATTAAAGCTTCTCTTCCCCACACTTCAGTCACAAGCCCCTCCTGCCCTTCCTCCTGATGGTGCGGCTGATAAGGAGGGATTGAATTTATGAAAAGCGATGAAGATGTTTGGATAAGCCCCGGTACCAAGGCAAGCCGGCCGAACGAGTTAGGGCCTGACAGAGGCAGCAGGGTGGCTGAGAGCGTCCTTAGGGGCAGGCGAGGCAAGGAGTAGAGGGAAAGAGAACCAAATGCTAAACGTGACAGCCCGCAGGCCTGGCCTGGGACTGCACACCTTGGCAGTTCAGGTGGAAATGGACTTGCTGAGAGCTGGCTCTGCTGAGATCGCTGGGCTTGCAACCGACAGCTCTCAGACCTGCCACCAACTCTCCTGAGAGTAAACAGGAGGATGTGAGGCTGATGAGTGGGAAAGCGGGGAGACTAGAACCTCCTGTCCACAGGCACAGAGGTTAGACAGCTGAAGGGAAGAATAACGAAGATGACAATAGCCATCTTTTAGGAGCACTTACCACGTGCCAGGTGCTGTGCAAAGGGCTTTCTATGCAATATCTTACTTAACCCTTTCTCATGAATGGTGTGGTTGTTCTCATGACCATTGCATGGATGTGGAAAGTGAAGGTCAGAGAGGTTAGGTAACCTGGCCAGGGTCACACAGCTGTAAGGGATCTAGGAATCAAAGCCAAACAGTGAACTGAAAAAAAATAAAAAATCAAGCAGTGAAGTTAACCTGCTCCAAGTCAGTCCATGGTGCCACATGGCGAGATGGGTATCCTGGTGCGTCTACCAGGATTGCAGGGTAAGATCTAACTTTTATCCCAGGCGGCCTCGATGCAGCCATTGTCCAGGTGGCTCCTTACCTGCCCCTCTCTATTGGCCCCTCTGTCCTTCTGCAAGGGGTTACAGGGAGCAGGTGCTATCTGCAGACCCGGAATTCTCCCACCCCAAACTCTCAATGTTGGCTGTGGAAGCACCAGTTTCCAAGGTCTTTAGAAGGGAAATGCCCCAACATCTGCCCAACCCCAAACACCCATGCCATGCTGTCCCAGAGGAGCCCTGGGGTTCTTACGGCCACCCGGTCTCCCGGCCTGGCCCACCTGGCCCCGCTCAGGGCTCCTTGCAGCTTCGCTCCTCCTAGGTGCTGCCCACTCCCAATCCTGTGCGTGATTCCTGGGTAGATGATGGAGGCAAGTGGCTGCCTCTGGTGTCCCTGAAGCTGGGGGTGGGTCCACGAGGAAGGCAGGCTAGCTGGCACAAGTATAATGTCCTATGAGATGCATGTGTCACTAACCTCTAAATTAAAAGGGACACCCCCAACCCCAGCATGCTTGGGAAGAAGGTAAGGGCAGAAGCAGGAGTGAGTGTCCTCAGCAGAGTTTCCCTAACTCGAATCTCCTGGGTTGTGACTTTCTCCTGCCTCTTAGAAACCAGCCTTGGAGTGAGGCTGGTAAGCCGCACCTGCAGAGATGGGTCCTCCCAACATGGAGTTGTCTTCCTCCCCGGCTTGCTCCCCTTCCTCCCCAGCGTTGCTCATTCATAAAATGAGGACTCAACCCATTTGAATTAGCCAAATTTCATAGCATGCTCATTTCAGCCAACTCCAAAGTCAAAGTCAAACGTGCTCATTAATACATTATTTTGAACACCAGATTTTCCATCCATTTCCCAGTTTTTGGGAATGCATTTTCACCAAGAAGGTAACACTATGATCCAGATAATTAAGGCCGGGACCATCTGGTTTGGTCTGGTCTGATCCAGTTGGGGCTGGGAGGTAGTCAGAAAGAATAAAGCCAGGATGGAGGGAATGTCTGTGCATTTTGATATAAAATACCCACCATTCTGGTTAAATGCAAGGCACGATGTATAAATCAGCCTGAGTCATTTAAGTGAACAGTTCAGACTTGGCTTTAATGTTGGTCATGGTGCCCACGACTCACTTCATTAGTGTCAGTTTAACAGTTGGTTACATGGGCCAGGGGTAATATTAATGATTACTTATTAGTTAAGTGGACATGGAGCTTTTACATAAAATGCCAGTGGCACAGAGACCTTTCCAATGGCCGTGCAGGCTGTGATGGGCAGGGTAGGGCTGTGGGCCTGGGAGAGTTGGAGCTCCCAGGAGGATGGCTTACAAAACATCCCCTGAACCCCAGCAGGTCTGGCTGGGCCTCACCTGGAGCTCAGCCCAGGAGGCCCCTGGAAAGGTGAGCTGTTGCCCCTTTGGGGCCGAATCATTGTCCGAGCAAGAGCTTTCTCTGCAGAACCAGAGACCAGCCCAGGAGGCAGCTCCCTAGAGCCCAGAAGAAATGGAGAGAACGGCCCCTGGGCCTCCCTCCTGGAGAAGAAGCTGCCTGTGCAGTCTGGATTGGGTTTTTCTTGTGCCAAGAGGGGAATGCACACCGATGATTTACGCAGACATTTATAGAAAGCATACGGCTTTGCTCATTCATAAAATGGAAGAACAGTGTGTTTTCTGCCCTGGCTGGGCTCTGGGGCAGCTCTCAGGGTAGTGCGGCTGATTGTAATCGTTTCTGGACATGCCCTGATTTGCCTGCGGGGAGAAGGCCAAGGTTGCATGGGAACAGGCCACAGATGGAGCCCCAAGTGCGGGCAGCCTGCCCCGTGGAACAGGGCCAAGTTGAACTGTTAGAAGGGTCCTCTCCAGGTCCTGCCGTCCCTCCAGCCCTCCACCTTCCCACGCCTCCTTCCACTCCTCCATCTTCCAGAGCCTCCTGACTGCTAGGAAGGCAGCAGCCAGGGTCAAGTGACATGAAGACATGGGGTTGGTGGCGGGGGCGCCTTGTGAGAATGCAAGGGAAAGGGGATTCTTCCTGGCCTGCCTGGTCAGTCAGGTAAGGGGCTTCTATGCAGCCTGAACTGATGCTGGCTGGCAGCCCCATAGGAGCCAAGGTCGGGTCTTCCTCTGCCTAAGCAGCCAGTGTCTCAGGTGAGCTGACTGTTGACTCAGGGTTTCAGCATCTTCTCCACATCTGGCCCAGCAGCCTTGCCCCCCAGTGGGTGAATGGCAATAGAGAACTAGCTTGTCAGAAGCCATGGACCAACAGTGAGGGATTTTATTCAGTGCTGCTCTGACCCCCAGCTCTGATGTCAAGGGCTATGGCACGGGCTCTGGGGAGGGATGTGTGTGGTGCTAGTGGATCTGGACTGCGGTGTTTTGTTTTTTTTTTACAGAGTTTCACTCTTGTCTCCCAGGCAATGGTGCAATCTCGGCTCACTGGAACCTCCGCCTCCCGGGTTCAAGCAATTCTCCTGCCTCAGCCTCCTGAAGTAGCTAGAATTACAGGTGCCTGCCACCATGCCCAGCTAATTTTTTTTTTTTTTTTGGTATTTTTAGTTGAAACGGGGTTTCACCATGATGGCCAGGCGGGTCTCGAACTCCCGACCTCGTGATCCACCCGCCTTGGCCTCCCAAAGTGCTGGGATTACAGGTGTAAGCCACCACACCCGGCTGATCTGGGCTGTTTTAAGTGAACGCTCGAGCTGGGCAAAATGAATAGTGGTGTCTTTTCTGTTTTCCACCCCCCTCTTTCAAGCCAAAGGCTCAGGAACTTGGTCAAAGAGGTTGGAGGCGTGGGCTAGATGACCCGTCCCAATCCCATCCCCTGAGGAGTGAGTTCCAGCAATGCTTCACCGTGGGCCGGTTCTGCAGGCTGGACACCCAAGGTCGGGGTGTCTGCAGGTTTTTTTCTTTCCTCCTGAGGCCTCTCTGTGGCTTAAAAACTGGGTGCCTTCTCCCTCTCGCTGCGTTCTCACCTGGTCTTTTTCTCTGTGCTTGCACATGTCTGTGTCCTAATCTCTTCTTCTTCTTGTTATTTTTTCTCTTTGTTTTCTGTTTTTTGTTTGTTTGTTTGTTTTTTGTTTTTTTTTTCGTTCCAGCTGGTCTCTTTTTTTTCTTTTTTTAAAAGTCAATTTAATTTAATTAAAAAAAATCAACAAATAGTAACTGTGCATATTCATGGGGTACATAGCGATGTTTTGATCCACAGACTGTATAGTGATCAGATCAGAGTGATCAGCATAGCCATCATCTGAAACATTGATCTAATCTCCTCCTTTTATAAGGACATCAGTCGTATTGGAAATGGGCTCACCCATATCACCTTGTTTTACCTTAATTACCTCTTTGAAGGCCTTTTCTAGAAATACAGCTGTGCTTTCAAAATATCGAGGCTTCTTCTGGTCACTGGGCTAAGCACAAGTGGAAAATACATTGTCTAAGTTCAATCAATCCTCAGGTTATGATACAGGATCAAACTCTACCTGAAAAACAGTTCAAAAGCTATGGAAACACATTATTATATCCTTGTGGCCCATGTTTATTAATTGTATGTTGTAACTTTAGCTCTAGTGATTAGCACTCATTTGCATTAAAGAATTATAAGGACAGGTGAGCTTAGAAAAAAAAAAAAGAAAAATACATTGTCTAATTTAACCATAACACAGCCCTGAGATGTCGGTATCATCACCCCCATTTACTGAGGAAACAGGCTCGTGGAGGTTAAAGGAAATTGTCCCAGATGGCTGATTCCAAAGCCCCATCTCTTAAGCAAAACAAAAATGCAAGGATGCTGGAGGGAAAGCATCCAAGAATAAGGGTTATGTGGTGCCTGCATCAGAAACCGCCCTGCACACTCTGCAGCCCTCTGGCCTCCCCATTTTGCTTAGGTGGAAACCACTGTTCTTTACAGTCCTGTTATGAGGGGCCAGTGACTCTGGTGTCCCCTCTAACTAGCACTGCCTGACCCATGTGGAAGCTGATAATTTCCTGTCCCTGGAGAGACCTTAAGGCAAGGCTTCTGAATTGGGGGAAACTCAGTGTCACCATATGTACAATGGGAGTAGAGAAACCTCGCCCAAGTATTATTTATTAGAAGATCAGCATAGGGGGATGGAGTAACCCAACAAAGAATTGGACAGCGCTGGCACCAAAAATGAAGATGGTCATAGGGACCCTTGTGTCCAGGCTGTGAAAAACTGCTAAGAATGTGGCATGCAGAGCTGCACTGGTGGAAGGAAATCATATCTTCACGTCTCTGCCTTGTGCCTCTACGTCCTTTTCTTTTGGCTCCAAGAATCTGTTCCGAAAGGGAACCAGCAATTTCCATAGAGTTGATTCTTTGAGTTTCTTTGTTTCTTTTATTTTTTCTTTTCTTTTCTTTCTTTCTTTTTTTTTTTTTTTTTTTGACACAGAGTCTTACTCTATCACCCAGGCTGGAGTGCAGTAGCGTGATCTCGGCTCACTGCAACCTCTGCCTCCAAGGTTCAAGCGATTCTTGTGCCTCATCCTCCTGAGTAGCTGGGGTTACACCACCATGCTCAGCTAATTTTTGTATTTTTAGTAGACATGGGGTTTCACCACATTGGCCAGGCTGACTTCAAGTGATCTGCCTGCCTCAACTTCCCAAAGTGCTGGGATTACAGGCGTGAGCCACCGCACCCGGCCTAGGAACAGGATATTTGTATCATCTTAAAGTGTGTCCTTTCTGACTGCTTATTAATTTGCAAGGGAAGAGAAAACCCCACAAAAGCAACTATTATTTGTGGGAAAACTGGGCAATATCTTAAGCAGGGGATCAAAAATATAATCACCCAAGAGGGCAGATGACATCTCGTGCCTCCAGAAGGGACACCATGAGGACATAGCATCACCTAGTAGCACAGCTGCCCGGAATGTACAAAGTCTATTTGTTCACCAGGAAACATCAGACAAAAGCCCCAGGTGGAACAGTCTATTAAAGGAAAAGAGGTGTAAGCTGGGACTGTGTTCTTTAAAAACGTGATTGTTATAAAAAGGTGAGAAAGCTGTGCAACGTTTCAGATTGGAGGTGGCCAAAGAATCAAGGCAGCTTAATGCAACGCCAGTCTCTAGATTGGATTCTAAGCTGGAGGGAAACCATGGAAGAAAGGAAAGTATTGCATTAATTGACAAAACTGGAACATAGATGGAGATTAAAGTAGTTTATCAATGCAAATTTGGGAAGGTGGTAACTGCACTGTGGTTATATAGGAGAATATTGTGAATCCCAGAACTCTGGGAAGCCGAAGTGGGTGGATTGCTTGAGTCCAGGAGTTCGAGATCAGCCTGGACAACATGGCAAAACTCTGTCTCTACACACACACACACACACACACACACACACACAAAGCTGGGCATGGTGGCACATGCCTGTAGTTTTAGCCACTTGGGAGGCTGAGGTGGGAGGATTGCTTGAGCTGGGGGGAGCAGAGGTTTCAGGGATTCGTGATTGTACCACTGCACTCCAGCGTGGGTGACAGAGGAAGACCCTGTCTCAATAAAATAAAATGTTAATAATAGAAAACCCTAGGTGAAGGGTATACAGGCATTTCTTTTACTATTTCTGTAACTTTTTATAAATTTGAAATTTTCCCAAATACAAGGTTTAAAACATGGCCCAAAAGAGAAAGCATGCATTGCAGGAGCGCCACCTAGCATTCTGGTGTTCCGGATCAATTTTTCTTGACACCGTGAAAGGATCAGCATCCAGTTGGTAAAATAACCAAATCCTGCCGCTCTAGTCCACCTCCTCATCCCTGCCAGCTGCCTGGTACCAGCTTCATTCCCAGTGTCTGGCTTTGGCTTGTTTCTGCTGTCTGCAATGCCTTTCCCTCTTCTTTCTGCCTTCCTGGCTCTTGTCTATTCTTCAGAGCCCGTTTTGAGCCCATCTCCTCCATGAAGCCTTCCTGGACTGCTGCAGCTCACAGTGTATATTCCCCAAAGACACAAGACCAATTTTACATGTCTTTGTGTGATAGTCATTAATGCTGCTGCTGAATATTTCTAGCTTTCTGATTATGGTGAGTTAGGACTGTACTTCCTGGCCCTTGTTGGGGTTGGGTGGGGTCATGTAACCAGTTATGGCCAATGAGTTATAAGCAGCAGGGTGTGTCACTTAAGGGCTGAGCCCTCCTTTTCATCTTCGCTGGTGACCAGCAATAATATTGCAGTTGTGGCTGCTCCATCAGCCTGGGTCAGAGAGTGGCCACAGCATGGAGCAGAGTCGCTAGCTGACTTGCAACGGACATGTAGCAAAAACAAGCAACAGACCTTTGTTATCTTAAGCCATGGGGATTTGGAGGTTGATATGGTTAGGCTTTGTGTCCCCACCCAAATCTCATCTCGAATTGTAATCCCCAGGTGTTGAGGGAGAGACCTGGTGGGAGGTGATTGGATCACGGGGGCAGTTTCCCCCATGCTGTTCTCAGGATAGTGAGTGAGTTCTCACAAGATCTGATGGTTTTATAAGAGGCTCTTCCCCTTTCACTTTCTACACATGCTCTCTTACCTGCTGCCATGTAAGACATGACTGCTTTCCCTTCCACCATGATTGTAAGTTTCCTGAGGTCGCCCCAGCCATGTGGAACTGTGAGTCAATTTCTTTATAAATTACCCTGTCTCGGGCAGTTATTTATAGCAGTGTGAGAACGGACTAATACAGGGGTTATTCATTCTCTTATCTAACCTATCCTGTCCTGCACTTATATGTCATACCTTTACAAATGTTGTTCCCTCTACTTTGAATGTTCCCCCTCCTTTCACCTGGCAAGCGATCATTAATCTTCCAAAGCCCCGTTCGAGTATCACCTCTTCGCTAACGTCCTCTAGAGTTAGAAACATCCTTCCAGGCACTGCTTCTGTTTGGTCATCCAACATATCGTGTGTTTACTGTATAGCAGGCGCTATGCTAGGTGCCGGGTTCATACAGCCTCCATACAACCAAGCCCCTGCCTTCCTGGGGCTTCCATAGGGAAGATTTAAGTTTACAGCCTCAGTCTCCTTCTCTTGATATAAATGCCACGAGGGTAGAACTCAGACCTAGTCATGTTTGTATTTCAGCACCTGGCAGAGAGTAGGACGCCAGTAACTATTTATTAAAAGTCAGAGTTGCACCTCTTTTTTTTGAGCAAACCCAGCCCTCATCCATCCTACTCGTGTATGCAATTCACACATGTTTACATGACCCCTGTTTTGTCCCCCTTCCTGGATCTCGGGCCCTTAGGGAGTGAGGCTGTGCCTTACCGTTCTGTGCGTGTGTGAGTCAGAGCTGCTGGTCCAGGGAGGCCTGAACACACGTGAGCTATGCAGCAGATGTCTTGCTCACAGCTCATAGAAATGGGGATGGAGACCATCATAAACTCATTCCAACAATGACATTACTTATGCAGAAAGCGGCAAACAGGTGACATTGAGATCGAAGGCTTTCCATCTGCAGGTGCTGCTACTGTGTTGTGGGCTTGTCCTTGGGAATGAACAGTAGACTGGAGACAGAGTCCTAGGCATAGCCCCAGAGTCACTGGTGACTCTGTTGGTCATTGGGCTGGTCCTGTCCCTTCTCTGGGCCTTGATGTCCACTTTTCCAAAATGGGGAGTGGATGGGGGATCTTCACTTCTCTGTTTCCTCAAAGGCAATCTAAGCGGGTTCATGTGGGATAACCCCAGAAAGATCCCAGGAGGAGCATGTGGGGGAACCTCCTTTTTATGCATAGTTTAAGGGGAGGGAGAACAGCTCTGGCCTGGTCCAAGCCATTGCACACACTGTCCTTGTGGCCTGGACTCCCGGGAACATTTCTGGCATTTGGGGGGAAGGTTTGAGTTTGCTATTTTCCAAGCAGCACTGCTTCCCCGTCCCAAGAGAAAAAAACTGGCAGAGGAGAGCCGTGCCCTCTCACCCCTCCTCTCTGCATGGTGGTAACACTTCAGTGGGCTCTCTAATGAGCCTGCACCCCTCCCTAAAGCCATGGCTTGTTTGCTTCTCCCGGGAGCCTGGCACTGAGCCCTAGATGCTGTCATTGTCTTGGGGACAGACTCCCCTCTCCCCAGCTCCTTACGTGGCTCACACCACTAGGTTGGGCAACTTTGTCCCGAACCAGGCTCGCACTCTGGAGATCCTTGAGCGGTTCCTCCATCCCCGGTGGCTGCTGAGAGCAGCACAAATCGGCTCAGCTGGTGCTGTGTGCACGTGTGCGCCTTTCCGTCTGGAAAGTTCTCAGGCTGGGCGAGGGGGGCCGATCTGCAGACATTTCATTCACAACTTGTTGTTGGTCAGTATTTCTCTTCCAAGGGAGGCGGAGGTGTGGTTGCAAAATAAATCTTAGTTTTTTTTTCTCCTCCCCAAAGAAATCATTGTGTTGTAATGCGGGGAGAGCCCGAGACGATGACATTTTTATGGGGCTGCCTCTGGTGAAGACTGTAGTGTCTGCTCCGGCCATCCAGAGGGTCCGTAGATCTCTTTCTCTCTCCCATCGCCATCCCCCGCCCCCTTTCTCTCACAGTAATACAACTTCAGTTCAATACTTGTCTAGAATTCTCAGTGGGGCTACCTAGGCTAAGAGGGGCGGGGGCGGGGGAGATGACATCATATCCTCACCAGCGGATTGGCTGCTTGCAGGCTTCAGGAATGATATCATCTCGGCTTGTGCCTCCCCACCCCCCTTTACTTCCAGTCCTTTCCTGGCCGGGCAAGGCCCCCCTCCCCAGCACCCCACCCCAGGATACCCCGTTGCCTTGGAGACCACAGTTTTCCACCCCGTTGTCTGAAGGAATAGCAATTCATTATATGTGTGACGTGGGGGTGAAGGGTGCAGGGAGACCCGGGCTGGACGGTTGGGAAGGAAGGTCGTGGACAACAAAGTAATGAACAAAAATATGTTTCACGCATGAGAAGCTGTCCGAGATGGCAGTGAGGGAGAGGTCATGGCAAACGGTGTTTATGGCATGGAAAAGTGAAGATTCAAAAAAAAACCCAAGGAGAGGCCAAGATAGTGTGGAAAATATCCACCCCCTCCCAGAGACAGCTCATTAGGAAGGTTTTGGAGGGAGACTCGCAGGAGGTCAGGGGCTGCTGTGTTATCTTTGGAGGAAAGGCCATCCCTTCTCTTCCCCTCCGCAGACGTATCCAGTGAGACAACTCTCTCCCCAGCAAGCTTTTCTCAGGGAGCAGGCAGTTTCTTGAAAAAATGAACCAGATGAGGATCCACCCACCTCCAGAAACAAAGACTGTGGCTGTCTCCAAGAATGAAGCACCAGTCTCTTAGTTGGTATCCCCAGGAGACCAAGGTGGGAGGGAAGCATTGCCCATCGAGGTTGTATGTGGTGTGTGTCTGTATCTGGGTGTGTTTCCATGATCTGTGGATGAACTGCATATGCCAATCATATTCACTAGGGAATATTTCAATTCTTATTTCCCTGGGACAGGTTAAAGACAGCAGCTCACAAATTCCCCCGGGTCCTGTCCTACCTCCTTGCACGCCTTCCCCACTCTTGTCTCTTTCCAGAGGCACTCAATCTCTCTGCTTGCACTGTTCATATGTGTCTATTTATTGTATTTCTCTAGGTGTGTTTAATGTTGATTTTCTTGTCCAGGGCATTCTTTAGATTCAGCAATTCAAGGTTTGAGGTTTAGAATATTGGCGGGGACTCCTGGCAGGGATTCTGCTTTTTTGGATCCCTAATGATGTGTCAACCCCCAACTCTGTCTCTTCTTGGCCTCTCATAGGCTGCCTCTGAGGCTGTTACAGGTGATTCTGAAACTACAGCTTTCTAGTTAGAAGGAAAATAAGCACATGGCAAAAAGAGATGTTAAACAGGTACCCGCACGTACCTGAGTGTTGAAGAATGTTGGGTAATAAGGAGAGAGCCAATAGATGCATTTTAGGAACAGATTGTTTTAAAATGTGTGTGCAGAGATTGGTGTATATTTTTTCCCTATGTCTACAACATACTAACAACTCAATAAATGTTGGCTATTGTTATCTTCTTGTTTATTCTTACAGATTTTGTCAGCTAAAAGTGCATTTTTAAATACCAGCTAAAATGGATGAAAACTATATACACTATACACAAACATACACATACATGTGCGGGTCTGTGTGTACGTGCATGTCTCTCTCTATATATACATATATGTCTCTGTGTGTGGGTGTGTGTGTGTGTCTTTGTGATTGCATTTCCTTATTTCTGTTTTTGAGCTTTCTCAAATGTTTTGCAGTGAGTAGGTATTACAAATATAATCAGGGAAAAGAAGCTATTTTAAAAAATCGGTCATTGGGCAGGATGTTCCAAAGGGCAGATGAATGTAACTTCCAAGATGAAGTAACCGGATGTCTGTCAACTCAGAAAACAAGGTATGCGTTTGTCCCCTGTGGGGTGGTGACGTGAACCTCTCTGGAGTCCTGTGGCTCCTCTTCATTCTGCCTTGGCCTAATTTCTCTGCTTTAGAGTAAACGCAGCTCCTCTGAGTGCCAGGAATGGAGGTGATCTCGGGCAGCCTTCTAATCCATCCTCCTCCCATCTAAACTGAAAAGTGGATATTAATCCAAGATTTCCACAATCCGTCACCTCAGAATCCACACGCCCAAAACCAAAGTCATAATTTCTGAAACTATCTCCTACCACCCCCTAAAGTTCCTGTGTTTGCCCCAAGAACTACTATTTTTATCCAAGCCAAAACATGTAAAGTCATTTTTGATTACTCTCCGTATGTCAGTCTCTAAGAGTCACCAAGAACAGTTCATGTTTCCTTCCAAGTATGTCATTGCAGTCATCCTTTCCACTGTCCCACTTTTCTAATTCAAGCCATTTCTTTCAAATTCCAGCTTAAATGCCTTCTCTTCCATGAAGACTTCCTTGATCACTCCTGTCTTTACAGATGAACGGCTAACTGGAATACCAACAGAATAAACAGACTTTAGTCCTGCCATCTGCCCTGGCCCATGCAGCCTGGCATTGTTTAGGGGATCATACCTGGCTTCCCACCCAGGCCACATGACTCTAGAGGGCAAGACTTAGTAAGGTCACGTAGTAGGAGCTCAATATAATTTATTGGTTAGACAAGAGGAAACCACTTCTTCTCTTGACAAGCCATGTTGGTATTTTACCTTCTTCCTTTTATAGATATACCCTCCCAAACACCTGCCCTGAATGCCTACCATTTAATTTAAGCTAGCTTTTCTCTCTCTTTCCTAGTCTAATTTCTTACATGTTCTTGTCCTTTAAGATATTGATGAAACTCTACCTAAACTCCACCTTTAGAGTTTAATTATTCTCCCAGTAAGTAGTTGATTCTCTTAGTTGATTTAAAAGGCAGGACAGTCCAAGGTTTAAGGGTGTGGATTCTGGAGCCAGACCACCTAGATCCAGGGGGTCTAATATGGTAACAACTAGCCACATGCACCACGTAAATTTAAATATAGTTAAATAAAATTTAAAATTCACTTCCTCAGTTACACCAGTGACTTTTCAAGGACTTAATAGCCACATGTAGCAGTGGTGACCCCACTGGAAAGCATAGCCATGGGACATGTCTATCACTGCAGAAAGTCCTAATGCAGAGCACAGGCTAGATCCACTGTGTGTGCAACCTTAAGCAGAAATACCGTATTTGACTTTCTGGGCCAATTTCCTCATGATTCCTACCTCGTTGAGTTGTTCAAGCCTTAAATGAGTGAATACACATAAAATACTTGGAATATGTCTAGTGCATAACCACCACTCACTCATAGTTAGTTGTTACATTCTGCACAAGCTTGTGTTCTAGCTATCAATTCATCTCTGTGACCTCATCATGGGTCTGTCTTGCATTTTTTGGTAACAGCATTCTCAGGGCCTTCTGCCAAGGGCCCGCTTTGATCTCCCTTAAAGGACAGCATTATCTGACCAGAGGTATTCATGGGGCCCACCTTCCTACTCAGTCCCATACACATTTCTTTATAAAGCCATCAGCGCCCCCTTAGAAGTAAGAAGTGCTCCGTGTGGGAGCTGGGGAGGGGCTGTGAGGTTGGCAGTGAGCCCCTGTGGCTTTCAGGATGGGCTCCTTGTCTTGGTCACCACCAGGCCATGGAAGCTCTGTTTTCTCCCCGGGACCCGGGGCAGCGAGTAGAGAAGCTGGAATGATGTTTAATCAGCCTGGGCATTCCTCACTGGTGACCTAATGAGCCGGCATGACTAAATGACCATTAGACGGAATGTTTGTGTGAACTGCAATAGAAAAGTTCCTCTCAACTTCCTGAAAAGGAAGATAATATATCTAAATAGCTTCCTGTCTCTTTGCTGCCAAGCAGCAGCCGCAGCAGCAAAATAGATTCTGCAGCAGGGAAATATTTAGCACATTGGGTGTGCTCAGCCCCTCTCTGTTTGGAAGGGTGAACCCAGCAGGGAAGTGAGTGGGGCAGGAGACATTCCCAGATGCTTGTGATGTTTGGAGAGATGATTGACGATTTGTTTCTGGGGTGGAGATTAGGAAGACACAGGCCAGGTATAGAGGGTATTGAGGAGCATAGGACAGAGATGGGGTAACCTTTCAGGATCTTGTTGCTCACCTTGATGTGGTGTTGTCAGGGCCTGGAGCAATCTTTGCTTTGGTTCTTAGAAACCTCGGTTCATGTTTTAGCAGGAAAGGGAAGGACAGACTGCTTCCTGCCTGCCAGATTGCTTCCAAGCCCCTATGCATGTCTCTTTGGAAGACCTTGCCATTGCTGTTAAAAATATGCTTAGGGGCTTTGTTTTGAATGGAAACTGCTACTTTACGCAGTCAAACCACAAAACACAATCCAGAAAATCCCATCTTCCATTTGCCATGGCTCAAGAGGGAGGAGGAAGCACGAGGTGTGCCTGTCTGTGCTGCCCTGGCTGGCAGTGTCCCTGAGGACCAGCTCTTGCAGACTTAGCCAGGTACCTGTGGGCTCAGCTTTGCTAGGACTGTCCCAGGTGTGGGCCCTTCTCTCCACACCCCTCCCCAGACCTCATTTATCCCTTTCTCTAACCACAGGCTACACCAAGCCCTATTAGCAGCTGTTCTTGGGATCCAGACCAGAGATTGGCAAACTTTTTCTTAAAGGGCCAGGAAGCAAAAAAATCCTAGGCTTTGTAGGCCAAGAGGCAAAGTTAAGGCTATTAGGGAGGTACTTATATAATCATTTTAAAATAAAAGAACGCTTTTTAGTTAGAGGGCCATGCAAAAGTGGGCAGTGGGCTGGATTTGGCCTGTGGGCCGTAGTTTGCTGACCCATGATATAGGCTGTAGACTGATGAACAATTTCTGTTTCATGGATGGGAAATATTCATTGAGAAGTTACTATGTACTGGATGCTGTACTGAATGCTGGGACATAGATGAAAAACAAAACAAAACAGTGGAACACAGGCTGTGTCTTTTCTAATTGCTCGCTTTCTCATGGGATGGTAGATTTATTAAGAGGTTGCTTCAATACTAGATTGTAGGTAAGTTCAGGGGCACACATGTTCAGAGGGATGGGGTTGGAGAGGAGTGTGTAGCCCAGCTACAGCATGTGGGGTGTGTGTGCGTGCAAGAGAGCGAGGAAGTGAGCAAGCAAGAGCTTGCCATATGTGGCTATTTCAACTTCAATGAAGTAAACTCGAATTAAAAATTCAGTGCTCGGTTGTACCAGCGACACTTCAAATGCTCAGTTGCCATGTGCAGCTAGTGGCAGCCATAATGGAAAGAGAAGGGGAGAGAAAGAGAGAAAAAAAGAGAGATGACGAGAGGGGAACATGGTATAACAAGAGAGGGGAAGATGGGATGACAGAAGAGGGGGAAGATGGGATGACAGGAAGGGGGAAGATGGGATGACAGGAGAGGGGAAGATGGGATGACAGGAGGGGGGAAGATGGGATGACTGCAGAGGGGAAGATGGGATGACAGGAGGAGGAAGATGGGATGACAGGAGAGGGGAAACAGGCTTTCTAGCTCAGAGCTCAGAAGATTCCCTATTCTTTAGGTCCCTTGAGATTGATCAGGAATTTTCTTGGCCAAGGCAAGGCAACCAGAAGGGCAGGGATTCCAGGCAGAAGGCATGACATAGGCAAAGATACCAAAGTTGAAAGTGCATGGAATTCTGGGAGCAAAAAACGCCAGCCAAGGAAGAGCAGGAGATGAGACTGGAGAGTAGGCAGGAAGGCAGAGCACCAGGTCTGCCTGTATTTGTTATTCTCTGGTGGAAGAGGTCACTAGGGGACTCGGCATCCATTGCCCTTGCCTCAAAACAACAGTGAAGTGCACTCTTGTGATTGTCTCTAACGTTACAGAAGAGGGGACTGAGGATCAATTTAAGTGATGCCCAAGGGCACAGAAAAGAGAAGATAGGGCTGTAGTGAAATCAGGACCTTTGTTTGTGCTCCTTATACCATCCCATCCTCTGTCCCTCATAAATGTCACCGAGCCACCCAGATGCTACTACTGTGCCCTTGGTTGCCCTCAGCCCACAGAGGTTTTGACAGGAGCTGTGGCTCTCCAAGCCACAAGCTCTCTGTGGCTATTTCAATTTCCATTAATCAACATGAAATAACATTTAACACTCAGTTGCTCATTTGTGCAAACCATATTTCAAGTGCCCAGTGGCCCCGTGTGGCTGGTGACCACCATATTGGACAGCACAGATATGGGACAGTTCCATCATCACAGCGAGTTCTGCTGGACAGCGCTGGTCTAGATTCACCAAACTTGGGAGCAGAAATCTCTGTTCTTTGCTGGGCTTCGGGAAGCTGTGAGACATGAAAAGAAGAAAAGAAAAGAAAGCTCAGCTCTTCTTCACAAATGGGCTGTCCCTTGCAATGTGGGAATGTGTCACCACCCCTCAGTGCAGTGACCGAGGGAGAGGAGGCACAAAATGGGGCTGAGGTGGGGACTTCGTGTTTTCCCCAATATTACTAAGCAACCGCGTCCTAAAATCTCCAAAGCCAGCCACAGAACTTTGTTTACCAGGAAGAAAACACTTGAAAAGGAGAGTATTTGGCGGAAATGCACTTGAGATTAACAGGTCCCCCTCCCTTTCTTTTTCTTTTAATGCTGTTTTGTTTTTCTTCTGGGTTGTTCAAGGTAGTGACCTAGCACTCAGCCCCTTTTGCCAAGAAACTCTTTCCCTGCCTAATTAGCCTGCGGTATTGTTCCTGGGTTCTGGGAAGGGAGGGGAGGGGAGGGTGGAGGGAAGGAGGGCAGGGCTGGGCAGGGCCAATGAGGAACTGGAGAGAGGGGGCGCTGGGGCTGGTCATTAGATGCCGAGGTCTTGAAAATCTCTCTGTAATTAATTTTCTCCTGCATTCATTAGAGAAATGTTGGAACTGGTGGAAGAGGGAGGGATTTGTTGCCCCTGGGCTGCTTTTCAGGGCAACTTAAGGGAAAGATGGTAATCTGTTGGAGAGTTGGACTGAGGACGCCGTGGCCAGGGTTTGCAGGAGACTCTCCTGCCCATGATAGGAGAATACAACTCAAAACAGGGGCTACAGGGAGGCACGGGGTTCATTTCAACTCGAACTGGGTAATGGTATACAGCTCTTCAGAAACCTGGAGTGTGTGGGTTCGAGTGTGTGAGAATGTGTGTGCTTATATGTGTGCGTGTGTATACACACACACACACACACACACACATACACACACAAATCACTGCTTCCCAAACATTCACCCATGGATTCTGAATATACAGATTTAGGACTCTCTCTCTCAAGAGCTGCTTCTCCCCTCTTCCTTGTCCCCAATCTTACAAATACAGTCGCCTTAAATGTAGATTGAGCGTTGTCGGCTTGCATTCCCTGAAACGATTCCATTTTAGTCTGAACAGATGTGATCATTTTCCCCGTGCTTTTTCTCAATTATTAAGAATTCATTGTGATTACTTTCTTACAATTCAGTTTCTAGCACTGTGGAAAAGAGTCCCAAGAAAATTCCAATAAACGCTTCAGGAACCTGCCAGCCCACAGATGTCCTATCCTGAGACCCCATGTGTTGACCATGACATTTGGAGGCTGAAAGTCAGCACACATTGAGAATTCAATGCCGATTCCCTGGTCCTGTTGGCCACTTTTATGGAAATTTGAGTTGAGCCCCATGTTTTCTAGATTCTGGTACTGTATGGATTCTATCAATTTGACCAGTGGCTTAGTAGGTTTTTATAAGTGGTGGTCCACATCCAACAAGCAGTAATACCATATCTTTAAGCTTGTCTCCAAGGCTAACACCTTCCATTTACAATTCAATGAAGTTCTGTCCAAAGAGGGAGGCTCAGCCTATTTGATCCTGCTACTATTTTCAAAGTGGTCAAACCAGTGAATAAGAAGTATGGGTTTAAGCTCTGGGATCAAATGGTGTCCTCTTCACTGATTGTTAGCTAAAATTAATAGATCTCTGGTAGAAAGAGGTCGCACGGGATGAACAGGCTTGTTAATGGAATAGAAGATGGCTGGTTCACCTGGGACAAGTGCTTTGGCTCCAGCTCTCTTCTGCTATTGGCTGGGCCCAGGCAGAAACAGCAACGCTGGCCCTCTAAACGCAGAGGCACAGCTCCCAGACACTCCATCTGCAATCCCTGTTGCCTGGTGAATGCCTTGCTTCCCTAAGCCTTTCAGGCCAAGGGTGTTCTTGGTGGGACAAAGGCCCTGAGGACCACCTCCCCAGCTCTACCCACTGGCCATCACCAAGTCCTCCAGCAGTGGGAAGAATCTGACCCATTCCACTTGAGCACATGGCTCTTATTTCCTTTGATGGAGGGATTAGAGGAGAGAAGACACAAAATAAATGAGAAGAGTATGGGGTGCATGCCCCTGGTAGGAAATGGGGCTGGGAATGAGGGTGATAAGAACGAGATGGAATCTACTATCAGTACCCCTGGGAAGCTGTCCGTGCCCTCTCTTTTCTCTGGCTCATCCCTACTGCATTCTTCCCAGCAGCTGTTTCGACTCTTCTCCTCCTTCCTCAGGCCTCCACATCCACCCCCATCATTCACAGAAGATGACTTCACCTCCAGCTCACTGAGAGGACTGAGCCATTGGTCTATACTGACTCCAAGTGGCCCACAAGTCTGGCTATGCCATTGGAAAGACCTGGATTTCAATCCACCTTCTGGCATTTTTACAGTGGTTTATGAGCAACTTAATTAACCTCTCTTGGGCTCAGTTTTCTCACATATAAAATGGGGCTGTTGTGAGGATTAAACAATGCAGAGAACTTGCATGTAAACAAAAAGTAAGGTTAACCATTCATTGTTACTACTAATGATGTTATAATACTACTACTATAGGCACCACCACCTGCAGCATTCACTCCCTCCAAGTGCAGCCTCGCTTCCTTCCAGAGTCCTACCTCTTGTCTAAGGATGGCCTCTCCACTGGAGCAGAAGCCATCTGTTCCTACCTTATTCCAAATGGTTATCTCTGGCAACTTCACACCCCCTCTTCTTGCCACTGTCTTCCTCTCGGTGTTCAAATATGTTCAACTTCCACATTTAACTTCCCAAATGCTTCCCTGCCCCCTCTTTTTTAAAAAAATTATTCCCTCAAACCACAGTCTCATCTCTTTCCTTCTTTTCACTAACAGATTTATCCAAAGAATCATCTGTACTTATTGACACCACTTCCTTACCTCCCACTCCCTCTTCAACCCACTGAATTTGCCTCTGCCCCACTGTTCTGGTGCAATGGAACTTTCAAAGGTCTTTCCCATTGTCCTCTTCCAACCTACTCACTCCTGCAGGAGCGTCTGGCTCTGTTGATCCTGGCAGTCATCCCCAAACCTTCTTCTCCACAGGTGTCCATGAGCCTGTTTCTCCCTGAATCTTCTTTTCTTTTGCACAAGTCTCAGTATCATCTCAGTGTACCCTCACTGTCATCTTTTTGACCCTCTCCCTGGGTGGTCTCACACCCTCCCTCTTCAGCCATGATTGTCCCCAGGATTCTGCCATCTGCCAAATCCACATCTCCAGCTCTGGCCTCTTCTGTGCTCCAGATTTTCATTGCCAGCTCCTTGCCCTCTTACACAAGAATGTCCTGCTCAGCCTGTCCAGTCCCCATATCTGATACTAAACTGTCAGTCATCTAGTGGGTCTGCTTATTTCTTTCTCCATCACTCGTCTGGTAATCAATCGGTCTTGTTGAATCTGCCTTCAAATTGGTACTTTGATCTAGTACTTTGCCTTCCCATGAGTTCTCTGCCTTTGGAAGTCCCTACCTCCTGCTTGGATAGTTGATATGGCCTCTGAATGGCTCTCTGGTCCAGCCTCCTTTTGCCCCTGGTTTCTGTGTCCCATGGACAGCAGGGTGATCTAAACTGAGAGTGATCATGTAATTCTTCATCTAAAGGAAAGTGCTTTTATGAGTGAATGGGGGTTCCATTGATAATTATGCCAGTGGATTATCCTGGGCAGACAGAGATGTGTGTTCACTGTGTTAAAATGATGTTCTGATTACGTAATTTCCTGGTCTGAGAATCTTATGCGCCCCTCCCCCATGATAACATGTAATCTTGCTCATATTTGTAATCTCAGTGATTTGGGAGGCTGAGGCAGGAGGATCGTTTGAGGCCAGGAGTTTGAGACCAGCCTGGGCAATATAGTGAGACCTCTGTCTCTATAAAAATAAAAAAGCTTATCCCGGCATGTTGGTACATACCTATACTCCTAGATACTCAGAAGGCTGAGGCAGGAGGATGGCTTGAGCCCAGGAGGTGGAGGCTGCAGTGAGCTATGGTTGCACCACTCCTGCCTGGGCGACAGAACGAGGCTCTGAGTCAAAACAAAACAAAACAAAAAAGAAACCATGCAATCTCAGCACTGCATCTGTGGCTCTGTCATGATCTGGCCTCCTTCAGTTCTTTAAGCCTCACTCATTCTGGGCTCTGTCTGCACCTGACTGTCCTTAATGCTTCATCATTTCCTGAAATGCTTGTCCCCTCCTGTCTTCAGCCTGTGCTCTCATGGTTCCCTCCCGGAAGCCCTGGCTGTTTCTCCATCCTTGTCCTTCAAGGCTCAGCTCAAATGCCACCTCCTCCCTGAAGCCTTTACTAATACTGGCTGTTTGGATGAATTTCTTCCTCTTTGTTCTGGCAGCACCTTTCACAATGTGCCCAATATTCTGAATTACCTGTGTACACAAATGTTTTCCCTGAAGACTCAGCACTTGGGGGACAGGGCTGGGTAACATCCTTCTCTGCAACTCTGAGAGCTATTAGCATGGTTTCTTGCTTCAAGAATGAAGTGCGGATGGAATGTTCTAAGCACCTTCCCTGTGACAGGTGATCACATAGCCCCTGTTCCAGCTTCACAGCCCTGCATGATGGAGATCATATATATGCCTCCCACTCCCACCCTGTTCCTTTCTCTTTTTTATTTTTTATTTTTTGGGACAGAGTCTCACTCTGTCGCCTAGGCTGGAGTGCATTGGTGTGATCTCGGCTCACTGCAACCTCTGCCTCCCAGGTTCAAGCGATTCTCCTGCCTCAGCCTCCTGAGTAGCTGGGATTACAGACATCTGCCACAAAACCCGGCTAATTTGTTTATTTTTAGTAGAGACGGAGTTTCACCATGTCAGTCAGGCTGGTCTCGAACTCCTGACCTCAGGTAATCTGCCCACCTCAGCCTCCCAAAGTGCTGGGATTACAGGCGTGAGCCACTGCGCCTGGCCATCCTTTCTTCCTTCAAATAGAAGGAAGATAAGCCTGGAGAGATGAAGTAATCCACATAGTTGGGGAGTGACAGAAATGCTTTTCAAACTGAGTCTTGTCTTCTACAGAGAAAATGCCTACCATGTGGGAGCATGAATGACTTCTAATCCTATGGCCTTCCTGTCCACCATGTTGCCCCTAATGATTGTTTATTGAACAAGATTTCATAGAAAGATGGTATGGACAGTGAGATTCACAATGGGCTCTCAATGTACCCTTCCTCCAGCAAGACAATCACCAAACATTTCTATGCAGAGGAAATTAGAGTAAAATATCCATTGAAGTCAATATTGAGCAGAAAAGTAAGTCACAGAGCAACCGCCTAACAGAGATTGTAGGTAGATGTGAGCGTTGGGTACAAATGTTTTCTGCCTTGGTTATGGTGTGAGAGAGCTTTCCTTTTTTTTTTTTTTTTTTTTGAGACGGAGTCTCGCTCTTTCGCCCAGGCCCGAGTACAGTGGCGCTATCTTGGCTCACTGCAAGGTCTGCCTCCCAGGTTCACGCCATTCTCCTGCCTCAGTCTCCCGAGTAGCTGGGACTACAGGCGCCCGCCACCACGCCTGGCTAATTTTTTGTATTTTTAGTAGAGATGGGGTTTCACCATGTTAGCCAGGATGGTCTTGATCTCCTGAACTCGTGACCCGCCCACCTCAGCCTCCCAAAGTGCTGGGATTACAGGCGTGAGCCACTGCGCCCGGCCGAGAGATTTCCTTTTAAGCAAAATGACCTATTGGAGCTTTTAATTTTTAAAATGCAAAGTCTCCTTGTTCTCTTCTCTTTCCTCATCACTGTTTAACAGGATGGCTGGGTCTCTAAGGAAAGTTGAATAATGCCAGCGCCTGCCTCTTGGGTGCAATAGAAAGTATGATAGTAAGATCAAACCAGTCAGGGGAATCAAACCCAAAAGCCAGAAGAGGTCATTGGGAGGACCCCTGGATGAGTGACTTGTCTTGCCACGTGGGCCATTTTCACTTGGTGGTTCTCAACTTTGTATTTGAGGTGTTTGTAGGGAAAAGTGACAAGGAAGTAGACGCCTTTGGAATGCCACTGTCATCCTATAACTCTCTCACTCACCACCTGATATGTGGGCTGCTCTGAGATGTCATTTCTGCCTCCTGGACAAGGCCTCAATGTCTAAAATGGTTTAAACAAGGGGACTCTACTGGAAACATACAAAAAGAATTGGAGCAGGAAAGGGAAGGTGGAGAAGGTAGAAAGGCTCCCTACCTATACTGGGTAATGACCTGTGCATATATATATATGTATATATACACACATATGCATATATATATATACACATACATATATACATATATATATATACACACACATATATATGTATATGTGTGTATATATATATATTTTTTTAAGATAGAGTCTCACTCTGCTGCCCAGGCTGGAGTGCAGTGGCGCAATCTCCACTCACTGCAAGCTCCACCTCCCAGGTTCATGCCATTCTCCTGCCTCAGCCTCCCGAGTAGCTGGGACTACAGGCGCCCGCCACCATGCCAGGCTAATTTTTTTGTAATTTTAGTAGAGACGGGGTTTCACTGTATGAGCCGGGATGGTCTCGATCTCCTGACCTCGTGATCTGCCCACCTCGGCCTCCCAAAGTGCTAGGATTACAGGTGTGAGCCACCGCGCCTGGCCGACATGTGCATATGTTAAAGTGAGTGATATAAGACTCCACTCTCAACAAGAGAACTTTCAAAACTTTGTATCATACACATATACTTATATGTTTACATAAGTTTATGGTGCGTCCTTGCTGTGAGGGTTCTATTTGTCTCTATAATATAAAACTTTCCCCACCAAAAAACCATCTTATGGACCCCTCGGAGCAATGCCTGGGATGCAGCACACTTACAGTTCATCCTTTGTCTCTCTCCTTCTCCTCCTCTGGAACACAGTGGCCAGAAGGAAGATGGAGCCACAAACCCAGGAATCTGGAAACCTCATTGTTGGTATTGTGCTGAACCCCTGTCAACTCCAGTGGGGATGGCACCAGGTTGAAGAGGCTGGAGACGAGACCCAGAACCAGCAGATGAGACATGGGCTAGGGACTTACATACAGGGAAGAGAGTCCAGTGGTGGTGGGCTGGGCAGGAGCTGCTTGCAAAGAACGTGCAGTTTATGTAACATTTTCACTTAGCACCCTTCCCCTGACAGTCTCCACCTGGCAACATTTACTGAACCCCCAAACAAAGGGCCTCGATCCCTGCATGGCCCATGTTCTGCAGGAAGGGCTGGGCATTCAGATGTTCCTCATAGATAAAAAACGAATCTCTGCATTGGCTCCTCCCAGATTCCTTAGCTTGGAACTCTGAAAACACAGTCAGGTGCATCGGCCATACAGCCTTGTTCTCGGTATGCTTAAGTTATTGCTATCATGTGCATTTACCACACTGTTGGTAGAGAAGGGATATCTCAAACTAGCCACCAACTGTTCCAAGTCTCTGCAGCCCCTTTCAGTCATCACTGGGGTGTTTGGCTTTCTTCACCTCCTATTATGTCAGATGGGATAAGGGCTGCAGTGGGTGGTAGCAAAGGAAGGACTTGGAGGGGACACTGATGAGCAAGAAGAGGGAAGACCCATGCAAAGAGGCGAATACTGATCAGCCTGGGAGTTTTGGCCTGTTTGGTTTCTGACCGGGGCCGGTTCACCCCTCCTGAGGCAACCTGGTGGCCTCGTGCTCTCAGGAGGTCACTATATTGATCATGTTGATGGTGAATTTAGTGCAGATGTCTGGTCGGCCCAGAACTCCTGGACCCAAAGATCCTCTTATCTTAGGCACACGGGAATGAAATAATGTCTTTTGCAGCAACTTGGATAGAGTCGGAGGCCATTATTCTATGTGAAGTAACTCAGGAATGGAAAACCAAATATTGTACGTTCTCATTTATAAGTGGGACCTAAGCTATGAGGATGCAAAGGCATGAGTGATATCATGGACTTTGGGGACTTGGGTGGGGATAAGGTTGGGAGGGGATTAGGGATAAAATACTGCATGTTGGGTACACTGCTTGGATGAGGGGTGCACTAAAATCTCAGAAATCACCACTAAAGGACTTATCCGTGTAACCAAAAGCCACCTATATCCCCAAAACTATTGAAATAATAAAAACAAAAAGAAAGAAAGAAAAAAACCAAAGAGGCGAATAAAAGCCTGTGAGAAGTGCCCTGGCTGACTGCTTCTCAATACATTTCAGAAGGATTGACTCACTAGGAATATGGAGACAAGAACCTTACTTCACCCCACCCTTCTAGAAGTTTCCCCAACTATACTTGTTTGAGACTATACATAATTTGGGCCAGGAGAGATTCAAATCATCTAGACTAGGTGTTGGCAAACTAAGGCCATGGGCTAAAACTGACTTGCTGCATATATATATAAAATTATATATATAAATATATATAACTATATATATAATTATATATATAGTTATATCTATATAATTATATATATAATTATATATATATAATTCTATTAGAACACAGCCATGCCCATTTGTTTCCATATTATCTATGGCTGGTTTTGCCATACAACAATAGAGCTGAGAAGTTGCAACAAAGACTGTATGATCTGCAAAGCCTAAAATATCTGCTATCTGGCCCTTTCCAGGTAAATTGTAACCACTGAAAGTCCGCTGTTTCGATTCTGGGCAAGATGCTATGGCAGAACAGGGACCATGATGAACTACTTAGAAAAATACATAAGGCCATGTGAGCTCTTAAACAAGTTTTTTGGTTATATAATTGTAAAGTAGAAAATAAAGAGCCACCCCTAATTCTATCACCCTCTAGTAAGAACTGTCAATATTTTGCTGTGTTTGCATGTAGCTGTTTCTATGCACATATAAAAATATAAGTATATATAATTACATAATTAAAATCCTACTGTGTTTAGTTTTGTATCTTCTATATGTTTGTGTTTTACAGTTTTTGGTGACCATTTTAAATGTCCTTGAAAATTCCTTGTTAACAGGACTTTTAATAACTTTTTAATATATGTCACGACACCGTAATATATGTCACGACACCATTTGACTTCTAGGTAGTTTTTGGTTATTCCTAATTCAAAATATTGTTTGCTATATCAAACAGCATGAACAGAAATTTTTGTCTGATTCTTTGATTATTTCCTTGAGATAGATTCCCAGAAGTGGAATTACTGGGTGAAAGGGTAAGGACAATTTTCAGGGTCTTGATAACATATTGCCAAATTGCTTTCCAGAAAGATTGTACCAATTTATGTTCCCACCAGCAATGTACGAAATTGCCACCTTACCCTACTCTCACCAGCACTGTGCACTATCATTTTAAAAAGTTACCAAATTGATAGGCAAAAATTGCATTTTGTTGTTTTGATTTGAATTTCTTTGATTACTGGTGAGGTTAAACATTTTTTTCATATGTTAAACACTTCTTCGTATGTTTATGGCCAAAGGGAATCTTAATAATGGTCTTCAAGTGTGCAAAGGGGTTATTTAGTAGATTGGGACCAGCTGTTCTCAAAAAGAAACTGGAAACATTTAAACTTCAGCAAGAAAGCAATAGGCCAAAGGTCCCTCAGTGAAAGATGGTCCTAAGAGTGGTCAAACCCTACTGAAACTTATGATGCAGCTCAGCATCTCTTTACTCAAGGTGCAAGGAGAACCAAGAAAAATAGTTGTAAATTGTTGGGTGCTTGTAAGTGCTAGAGATACTGCTCACGTTTACATACGTTTGCATTTAAATGCTCACAAAAGCCCTATGAGAAACATGGGGCTTAGAACTAATTTATTATTAATTATCCAAAGTAGGATTGAAATCTTCACCCTAAAATCCTGGATTCATAACCATTTTGCTATACTGCCTCTGAGAGAACAGAAAATGAACTTTTTTGGCTCAAAGGTTTTGTAAATTCTTCATAAAATGAAGGAAATGTGAATTCATCTCCTAACTCCTCAGCATGACATCTTCTCTCCAGCACAAATCACAGCCTAGTTGTTTGCTGCATAAACCTTTTGTTGGCTGCCCTTTCCTTAGGATGAGAGCAAAACCTTCAACTTGACCTGTACCATCAGCCTGGGCTTTGCTGATTCCTGCTCTCACCTCTAGTTTGCTTCTCTTCAGCCCACCTACTGGACTAGATCCCTACCTATCTCAGGACATCTTGCAAAAGTTGTTACCTTTGCAGAAACTGTCTCCTTACCACCAGCTTCTAACCACCACATGTGTGCATGCATGCATACACACACAACAACATACATAGTTCTTTTGATATGTCTTGTATTTTTCCTTCAAAGAAATAATGTGTGATTATTTGATGAATGCCTGTCTCTCCCACTGGGACCATCAGCTTAGAAAAGAAATGATGTGGATGTGCTCACCAAGTTATTTGCAGAGCTTAGCAGAGTGGGATAGAAGAGGTATGGAACAAATATTTATTGACTGAATAGATGAATGAGTGAGTGAATTAATATAAGCTCCCTGCTGCTATACCTGGGCTGTGCATGTTCTCAGTATTACATCCAACCTGGTCCTGGTTTTTCCCTCTGCCTATCCTATCCCTCTATTTACCCCTAACCAAACAGATTTCCTAACCTCTTCAGCCCATCCGATTGTCAGCTCATTTGGAAGTTCATGGAGGGTAGGAACTGCCTCTCATTTATTCAGTGGCTGTCTCAGCATCTAGCAAGGGGCCATAGACTTAATCAGTGCCCAGCATTATCATTGAGTGAATTCATTTGGACAACTGGTGGCTATCAACCTGCCTCCTTCTTTTCACAGACCCATGCAGGAGACCTCTCCAGGTACACATATTTCCTGCTACTGAATGGCTTAGACTGGGATTTGCAAGGAACTACGAAGTCCAAGACCTTTGCCTTTCTTTTAGAAGAAGGCACCAGCTGGTTCTCCAATGTTGAAGGTCTTCTCCAGAGATGTGAGTTCATTGTAGGACCCATCCCAGCATTTAGACATAGCTCTGACCCTTTGTTCAGGGCAAGATAATCAGATGGTCAGTGCAGAGGATGCCCCATGATACCAATTCTGGCAGTGGCTGGGCAGGGTTTGCTCTTGTGATCAGACACAAGGTGAACCTGGGCAGGGATTTTTGGGTGTTTTTATTTAAGGATATCCCAAACCCTTTGAGCAGTGTCTGGCACATAGCAGGTACTCAAAATTGGATGGATGGATCTATATATTCCTGGGCCACAGGGGCATGCAGAAGGAGTGAAAAAACAAGAAGGAAGACAAGGAAGACATTGTTTTGGCTGCTGACATTTCCTGAAAGATCTGAGGCGTCCCCTTCACTTCGGGCATGGGACCCAGACGGCTGAGTGATGGGTGGGCAGCCCTTTTTCTCCAGCTCTGCTTGCCTCATTCCCAGCCCTCTATCCTGAGCTCCAGGGAAGGCCCTCATGCGATTTAGCATCAGAGCTCTAATTAGATGACTTTCTTACCCTGGGCACATGTCTGGACCTTCTGGGCCACTGGTGGAGGAATAGAGGAAGAAACCCCAGCCCCTCTGGTGTGTGGTAGTCTGGGCCCCTTCAACATGGCCGCTTCCATATCCCAACCGCAAGCGCACCTGATCACCATATCCCTGTTACTCCCATGGAATGACTGTGATGGTACCTGGGTCAACACATACATTTGGGCATCTACACAGCGCCACATTGTTTTCCATTTATAACTTATCTATTTTGTTATCCATCTAAGCACCCGTTAATCACTCATTCATCACAAGGCCTCTGAGACTATACTACATTTTAATTATGTTTCTAGGGAGGAAGGATGATACAGACCTGAATGAGACACCTCTGTAGCATTTGGGGCTTCCCTGTACCCATCCTCATTCACTGTCCATGTCAGGGAAGCAGGGAGGGTGGTGTGGAACAGGGACTAGGGCCAGACAGCTCTGGATTGGAATGTGGGTCTGCCACCTGCTCTGTGACTCTGCAGCTTAGAGAGGTTAAAGGACATTGAAACATACAGTTGATAATAGTACCTACCTCATGAGGTTGTAGGGAAACACAGAGAAAGCCCTCAATTAAGTTAATGGTTGCTATTTTTATTTACAGACCTTAAGGTGTGGGGAGATTACAACTTGCTCAAGGTCTCATAGCTAGAAGATGTCAGAGTGATAACTCAAACCATGTCACATGACTCTAAGCCCAAAGCAGCCTCTAGAAGGTTGTTTGATCTTCTGATGGAAGCACAAATCACCATTCCAACATGAAAGATGGAGAAACTTAAGTCTAGAGAGATTTAAAGGACTTGTCAAAGGCAATGAAACAAGTGGTATGTGAACTTAGGTCTCCTGGCTCCCAGTCCAATGTTCTTCGAATATGATTTTGGCAGTGGTCTACCCAGCTAGTACACAGAGTGTGCAGCCACTCTTCATGGGAAGTTCTGGGAGGGGTTTCAACCAGCACACTCACTCCTGCTGGTTGTGACCAGCAGGACAATTGCTGAGCCACATTCTGAGCACCTGCAGGTGGAGGTGGGATCTTATAGAAATCTAGGGCATAAGGGAGACAGGGAAATTAGACCCTGGCTACTTTAACATACTCACTTTACAGATGAGGAAACTGAGGCCCAGAGAGGATAAATGACTTGCTCAAGGTTAGCCAGTTGGTCAATGGCAAAGATTAAACCAGAACCCAGATCTCCTCTCTCCAGCCAGAGTCTTCAAGCAAAGTCCCTAGGAGGTCAAGCCAACTCTTGCTGCTGCTGCTAATCTAAGGACAGATGTGGCCACTTTCTCCAAAGGATCTCAGAGAGCTAACTTTATGGCGTTTTACAGAAGTCCTATCTTTCCTTCAGGGGAACCCCATTCATTTGCAAGATGGAAGGCTATTTTTAGCATTGACTTTTATTTTCTCCTAAGTGACTTCCTCTCTCATGTACCATTTGGCCTTCACAGTGGCTGAAAAGACAGTTCCTAGGAAAATCTAGAACATTTAAGCTTGCGTGTGTTGCAGTTCTTAGTGAGTGGAAGGGCAGAAGCCCATAGTGGGTGGTGTTTCGACTGGGAGGAGGGAGATGCTGGAGCCAGCCAGGGAGTGAGGTCTAGGTATGTTCCTGTCAAGTGGGATTTGTTCAATTGCAAGTGAGAAGAAAACTAAACTTAAACTAGACTTTTAAAAAAGAAATCTATTGGCTCATTTAAGAACTACTGCAACTCCTTCAGGCACAGCTTGATCCAGAGATCTAAATCATGTTGAATCATTTAAACTACTTTATTTCCCTCCATCTGTGGTGGAGACTTTCGGGGTTCATTCTTGAGTAGTTCTTACCTTCTGCGCCACATTGGACAGCCATATTTCCCTGCCCCTTTGAGTTTAGGTGAGTCACATGACAACTTCTGACCAATAAAATGAGTGTATTATGTCTCTATTTCCTACTTCAGGAACTCTGAAAGCCACATGTTGAGATGGCCCCATTACAGGATGGAGAGCACCTGAACCCCCAAGTTATGGACTAGAAGAAGACAGTTGCCCTGGAAAATCATCTGACCCACATTGGACTTTATGTGAGGGGGAAATAAACCTTTATTATGTTAAGCTACACAATAATAAATAACAACAATAATTGTGTTTATTTGTTACCTCAGCTTAGCATGGCCTTCCTACCTGACACAACATCTCTGGGTTTTGCTCTTCTCAGCATTGGTTTAATTCTCAAGCAGGTTCTCCCTCCGGGCTCCTGGGCTCACAGCCCCATGTCCAGCAGAATGAGCCACCTCTCTAGCCATGTGCCCATTCATGAACCAATCCCTACAGCCTGAGGGATGTGCTGACTGGCCAGGCATGAGTCAGGTGCCCTCCGGGGCAAGACTGATACTGGGTCTTCCAGAGAAAAATGGGGACAGTGGTACCAGAAGAAAGGTGAACATCAAAACCAAGATGTCCACACAGGTCTGGTGAGTCCCCACCTCAATGATAGTCCCCCTGCACCACCATGGATGAAGGTTGGCCTGGCAGCTAAAACCCAGGCTCTGGAAGACCATGCTTCCTGGTCCTCAATCACTTACTATAGGTACCACCTTGAGCACATAGGTGAAACTCTTTAAGACTCAGTTTTCTCACCTGTAAATAGTAATAATAATGGCACCTAGTTTATCAGGTTTTGCAATGACCTGAGCAAGGCTAGCTGGCTCTTGAGGGCAGCAGTTGAGCAGGAAGGGGAACTCTACGTGGATTCCTGTGAACCCCAGGAATGAAAGCCTAGGACACACCAAGGTGCCTCTGATGATCACAATTACTACCCTTCCTGAACAGGGAAGTATTTTAAAAACAAATCTTCCTTCTGTAGACCTTTGAGCCCAGGGGAGCACAGAAGTTTGCAGGTTTTCAGCTCGTGCTTCTCTTCTCCAAGCCTGTCTTTTGCACTTAAGGTAACTGCAAAGCAAGATAAGGTACTAAAGTGAGCACTCTTGCAGGGTATTATTTATGGGCAGCAAATGGGACAGAGACTATTTCCCCTTCCAGGGGGCTCAGGGTCTCTGGTATAAAAATGTAGGACTGGGGTGGTGAGAGTTCAGAGGGTGGGAATGGTGATTGGCTTCTGAATTTGCAGGCACAGCCAGATGGTTCTGATGTCGACATTACCCTTCCCAGGCTCACTGCCATCACTTGTGGGGAAACGCCAACTTGTGTGCATTTTGAGTGTGTCTTTGCAAACATCCTGCAATCACATAAATAACTGGGCTTCATCCGCCCTTCGCCTCCCATTTTGTACCCACATTTCCCATAGCATTCCACTTCTCCACATTGTCCCACTGTGGAATTAAAATGCTCCTTTCCAGAGCAGCAATTAGAGAGATTATTTGACCGGACCAAGACTAGGGACTGGTACTTCTTCCAAAGAGACTACCAGGCACGGGGCTTAGAACTTTGAATGTTTTATCTGATTTAATTCTTGGAAAATTTCAGTGAGGTGGATATCAGTTTCTTCTCCATCTTCTGCAGGCAAGGAAGCGGAGACAAAGAGAATCTATAGACGGGAGCCTGAAGCTAGCAAAGAGTTGAGACAGGGCTTCAATTCAGGCGACTAGAGTCCAGAGCCCCTGTGTGTAATCCCAAAGCTCTGTCTCCTACATCCATTCAGAGTGGCTTGGTTACTCTGTTGGGCAAAAGACAAGACAGAATTTGGGAATCCTCTGAAACTCCCAAATTACGGTGCTCCTGTAATCATCTCCCATGAACCTATCCCTCACATTTTGTGGTGAGGAGAATGTGAGCTTTGGCTTCCCAGACCTGGATAAGAAATCCCCTGGGTTTTTTTGTTTTTGTTTTTTTGAGTAACTGTGAGACCTGCACAGGTCCTCTGATCTTCCTTATCTTGACTTCTCCTTGGAAACCAGGTGATACGGTTTGGATCTGTGTCCCTGCCCCAATCACATGTTAAATTGTAATCCCTGTTGTTGGAGGTGGGGCCTGGTGGGAGGTGATTGGATCGTGGGGGTGGAGTTCTCATGAATGGTTTAACACCATGCCTGCGGTGCTGTTCTCGTGATACTGAGTGAGTTTTTGTATGATCTGGTTGTTTAAAAATGTGTAGCACCTCCCTCCTCGCTCTGTCTTCCTCCTGCTCTGGCCATATCAAATGTTTGCTCCCCCTTTGCTTTCCACCATAATCATAAGTTTCCTGAGGCCACCCCTGAAGCCAAGCAGATGCCAGCATCATGCTTCCTGCACTGCCTGTCGAACTGTGGGCCAATTAAACCTCTTCTCTTTATAAATTACCCAGTATCAGGTATTTCCTTATAGCAATGTGGGAACAGACTAATACACCAGGCATGGCCATCCCTGATAGGGATCTGGTGAGGCTTAAGTGACAGCAACATGGGTTGCTCAGAGGCCAGCCCACAACTTTCCCCTCCTTCCTCTGCTTTTGGGCTGAGTGGCAGTGCCAGGGCTGAACACACTCTAGACATCATTGAATCCAGTCATTAGACCTGAACTCCCTGGGACATTGCCACCTGGATCTCGTTTCTCTCCCTCTTCCTCCCTTATTTCTTTTCTCTTTGTCATTATCATCATGGTCGAGTGCCCTCTTTGAACACCCTTCCTGACGCTGCCAGTATTTGCCAGGGTTTAGAAGGACCTAGATGAGCTGCAGCTCCCTGCCCCCTACCTCCTGTAGGTGTGCTGGGCACACACCCCTAATCTCTCCATCCTCCAATCATGGTGTTTCTCAGCTCTCCTAGAACAGCATTGCTTAAACTTTCATGTGTATAAAATCCCCTGGAAACCTTCTAAAAATGTAGATTCCAGTCCTGGCTCTGGGGTGGGGCTTGAGAGACTCCACCTCTAATGAGTTTCCAGGTGATGCCAATACTCCTGGTCCACAGAGCGCCCGTTGAGCCGCAATGCCCTGGAATATTGTCTCCCATGCTATCTGACACATCTCTCAGGAGAGAGATTCTACAGCTCCTCCACAGTAGTCATTGTGTCTAGAGATTCTTTTGGTCCAATAGACCACTTTAAAAGGGAAATACGGGCCCAGTGTGGTGGCTCCCGCCTGTAATCCCAGCACTTTGGGAGGCCGAGGCTAGTGTATCACCTGAAAGTCAGGAGTTTGAGACCGGCCTGGCCAACATGGTGAAATCCCGTCTCTACTAAAAGTATAAAAAGTTAGTAGGGCATGGTGGCAGATGCCTGTAATCCCAGCTACTCGGGAGGCTGAGGCAGGAGAATCACTTGAACCCAGGAGGCAGAGGTTGCAGTGAGCCGGGATTGTGCCATTGCACTCCAGCCTGGACAACAGGAGTGAAACTTTGTCTCAAAAAATAAACAAAAATAGGCCAGATGTGGTGGCTTACACCTGTAATCTCAACACTTTGGGAGGCCGAGGCAGGTGATCACCTGAGTTCAGGAGTTCGAGACCAGCTTGGCTAACATGGTGAAACCCCATTTCTACTAAAAATACAAAAACAAAAAACCAAAAACAAACAAACAAACAAAATTTGCCAGGTGCGGTGGCCCATGCCTGTAATCCCCTACACGGGAGGGTGAGGCAGGAGAATTGCTTGAATCCAGGAGGCAGACGTTGCAGTGAGTGGAGATCATGCCAGTGCACTCCAGCTTGGGCAACAAGAGCGAAACTCCATCTCTAAATAAATAAATAAAAATAAAAGGGAAATACAAACATGCTTGGGGTGCAGACTTCGAGGCAGGGAGGCCCACATTGCATCTTATTTACCAATTACAACATATATGCTTTGGGGTCAGTGGTTCTAACAGTGTGGTCCCTGGGAGCCACCTGAGTATCACCTGAGAGCTTGCTGAAAATGTAAACTCTGTGACCCACCTTTAGACTCACTGAATCAGCCACTCTGCAGGTGTGTCCAGAAATCTATGTTTCATGAGCCTTCCAGGTGTTTGAGAACCACTCCTTGGATAATTCTTAATGTAAGGGGTCTCAGTTCTGCTGACATGTAAGGGTCACTTGGGGTGAATTTTAAAAACATAGACCAATTATATCAGAATCTCTGGAGTGTAGAGAATGGGCATCCAAAAACAAAAACAACTTTTTTGCAGCCCAGTTTGAGAGCTACTGGCTTCACCTCTCAGATGCTATTTGGCCATATCTGAATGGAGATACTAATTCCTAATGCCAGTGCAGTAGAAGGGAAGACACAGGGGTTAGCAGATGAGAAGCACCTGCCAGGGAGAACATTCCAATAAGAAATAACTTCTGTGAACCTGGCCCCAACTCCATTCAGATGGAGACTTGCTTTTTTCAAAGAGGGCACTTGACTCTGACATTAATAATGACAGAGGGAAAAGAAATGAGGGAAGGAGAGGAAGAGGAACAAACAAGATTGGGTTTGTGGCAATGCCCCAGAGACCCGTGATCTCCGTTGTTAGCCTACACATAGAGGGAGAGGTATTGTATCTCTTGATCTCTGCCATCTCTGCTTCACCTTCTATTGGGAAGTGGCTGTTGGTTTTCAACTATAAAGTTCCCTTGAGTGTTGAGGTTCCTAATCTAGTGTTTACAAGGCATCTCAAGAAAAAACAGAAAACTATTAGATCACCTTTCTAGCCCTGGACCACCTACCAAGAACCCATCCTCTGCTCTGATGTTTTTGCTTTTTTATTTTTGCTGGATGCATGAGCGTGCAGGACTAGAGCTTCAGCTTCCTTCCTTCTTTCCTCCTCTTTGTCTCATGTCCACACTCTGCTCTGGAGGAGCCACAGATATCAGGTGTGTGATTCATTCCAAGCTGTCATTTTCAGCAGTGCATTGGCCAGGTCCAGATTTTCTTTCTTCCTTCTACATCCTCCCCTCGCGGTGGGGATGATGATCGGGGTAATGAAAACCCTCCACAGCCCTCTCTCTTTTCCCCAGCTCTCCTCTCCACCACTCAATAGGAGCTTTGTCTTCACAAAGAGCAAACCTGAAACCCATCCGGCCCCAGCAATTGTTGTCTGCCGGCTCCTGTGCTATTTGGATCCTGACTCTGTTAGAGATCTTGTAATTTAAACTTCAACCTGCTTATTAGAAATTTGAAAGAAATTATCTAATAATATTTAAAATATCAGGAAAAGCAGACAAAGACTCTTCTCTCCCATCCCCCTTCCTGTGCTTGTCTTGCGCCCCTCCTTTTGGGTCATTCTGAGACCTAGGCTCACTACATGGTGCTGGGAATTGATTCATCTTAAACAAATGTCATGAATCGCTCACCTGTTTCCAGGGTTCTAAGGGCGAGATGTGGCTGGCTGGAGTCCTTTTATTTTGGGGGAGGAACTGAAAGTACAGCTCTGGTTTTTCTGTCCCCTTGGGTTTTCAGCTGAGAATTTCAGCAGTCTCATCTTCTAGATGCTTGGAACTGTTTATTCTGTGTGGTCAAAATTGAATTATTACTCTGACTAGTGTTGCTGCAAAAACAATGAGCTTTCATCTTCCCACTTGCCCATTTCCTACTCCCTGACTCTTTGGAGAGCTGGCCTTTGTGAACCCGTGTGTGTGTGTGTGTGTGTGTGTGTGTGTGTGTGTGTTTAGCAGGGAGTGGATTGAGGGAACTGCTATTCTTTGTTCATTTCCCCTTGAGATGATAATTCAAATATTGTCGTTCCAGGAATGGGCTTGATCCTGCCCTCCTCACTCTGAGTCAGAAGGTACTTGTGCTGCCTTGAACAAGGAAGGGTAGCTTTACTATTATGGGAAGAGTCAAAAGGTCTAGGTCACTATGGCTCTGCCCAGGCTTGCTGTGCGGCCTTGAGAGCATGGCTTCCACCCTCTGGGTTTATGTTCTTTCTTTTTATGGTAAAGGGAATTTGGCCACTACAGCCCATTCCGTCTCCAAAAGCCTGCATTTCCACACTAGTGAGCATCTCCAGAGTGGCGAACAACTTGCGTTTCCAGAGTCAGTGCCTAGACCCCTTGGCCCTTCTTCCCCAAATCTCAGATCCACCTTCCCAAGCTCTTCCATTCAGCTTCGTCTCTTACATGAGGAGTAGAGGGGAGATCTAGCGATGGCCATGGGTTTGGATGTATGAAGGATAGTTAGTTCTCTAGGCAGGTGGAGCTCCAAGAATGGGGCAGGACCAGTGGGATTTGCATCACTGGGGAACTTGTTGTAAATGCAAACTCTTGGGTGAATAAGACATCTCGGGGACGGGTCCCAAGAGTCCGGGTTTTAACAAGCCCTTTAGGTGACTCTAATGGATGTTCAAGTCTAAAGCCCACTGTTTTGGCCTCAATTGGAAGAGGTCAGCAAGGGAATATAGACACAGCCTGCATCCTTTTTGGTCCATTACATACTGGATCCTTTGTTCTCCCATGGACAGGAGCAGGGCCATGTCCTTCTGGAGAAGTCTGACATTCTCTACATGGGCCCAGGCTCTCTAAATGTCTTTTTTTTCCCAGAAAAGTTGACTTCTTCCCCCTCTGAGTGTGGCAGCCAGATTGTTTGGATTTGGGAAAATGGCTAAAAGTGGGAATACAAGAAAATAGATCAAATGAAGAAAATGTAGTTTTCACTTGGGCCACACATTCAACATCAAGTGACAACTTAGTGGTAATCGTCATTATTATTCCTCTAACATGTATTATCTGAGAATCCACAAGGCATAGCTGAACTGCAAGGCAAGTAGGTGCAGAAGAAGACATGCCATCTGATCCACAGTTCAATGGTGGGGCAACCTGACTCTGTTTCTGGCAGTGAGATGACATATGCCAGGAAGTTCCCTTCCTTTACTCAAAGCTAAAAACTTCTCTCCCAGGAACTGAGCTTCTAAGCAGCTGACTGTTGGGTCCTTAATAAATTAAAAAAACTATTTATTAAATATTTACCTGCATGTGTCTCAGTACTGAAAATTTCTAAAAAACAAATAGTCTTTCAAAGCTAATCAGTTTTCTGTACTATCCAGAAACCATGCTCCCAGATATTTATCTCACTCATTTGAACACTGTAGTCCACAGAAAATTCTACACATGAGTGTTTATGGCAGCTTTATTCATAATTATCCAAAACTAGAAGCAACAATGATGTGTTTCAATAGCTAAATGGGTCAGGACACTTTGATGCATACATATGATGGAATACTATTCAGTGACACAAAGGCATGAGCTATCAAGTCATGCAAAAACGTGGATGAATCTTAAATACATATTGCTAAGTGAGAGGAACTGGTCTGAATGAGTACATGCTGTGTGATTCTATTTATATGATATTCTGGAAAAGGCAAAAATATAGACAGCAAAAAACCCAGTGGTTTCCAGAGGTTCTGGAGGGAAGGAGTTGAACAGGTGTTGTGCAGGGGATTTTTTAAGGGCAATGGAATTATTCTGTTTGATTCCGTAATGGTGGATACAGGACACTATGCGTTTGTCAAAACCAATAGAACTTTATGGCACATTGAGAATCTTAATGCACGCAATTTAACAAATTGTTTAGGAGATTGGGAGATCACAGAGTGGAATGAAGAATGTGACAAAATAATCTAGATATATTATAGTTGTATGAAGCAAGCTAACTGAAGGGGTTGGTGGGAAAAGGTGCTGATCTAAGCAACTTTGAAATGAGGGGGGTAAGACTAAATGCAAAGGAAATGCCCGCAAGCACTCTACTGTAGCTGATAAGGTTGTTTTCCATGGGGGTATGGGTCAACAATTCTGATACTGCTATCCACATAGACTGCAATTGAACAATCCTGTAAATGGATGGTGAATGGTGGGAAGCTTGTTTTTCACTGTGGGAGTGGGACTTTAAAGCTCAGCAATGGGAGGAGTCTAGGATGATCTATGTGGTAATGGATTAGAGTTGGAAAAATATCAGTATAAGTTTATGTTTAGCTTAATAGAGATACAGATGATTACATATAGAAACATTTGTAAATACATGTGTGTGGAGAGACATGGACTAGTATATGCACATACCTTTCCTTGCTTTGTCAGCTGGAAGGGCTTAGAATTAACCACACCCTAGTCACAATGAGCACACTGAGAGCCCAGATCTTGTTTTCTAGTACTATTCTGCAGTAAGAAGAACTAGAGCTCCTTGGAGAAATAGCTGATTCTAGAGGTAGGGCAGGACATATCCAAGATAAGCCTGGAACATCAGTAGAGCCAGAACGTAAGGAAATGCTCAAAATACAAGCAAACAAAATTACAAAAACTAACAGACACAATGATGGGGATGGGTCAAAGGAACACTGGCACCAACGGAAAGAACTCCCAATGGCCAAAGCTGGAACAATTTGAATAAGAAAATAAAGCTAACTAGATTATAACCCAAAGTATAAAACAAATACCCATGAGTCCATACTGCTATAAAGAAATGATTGGATCAATAAATAAATGAGAGCTAGTAGACAAATCTCCCATGCAGAAGAATTCAAAATAATTTAGGTAGATACTCTGCCCACAAGGAAGCAGGATCTAGTAACATCCTTTCAGAGAGTACAGTATGAAAATGCTGGAAATCAAGTAATGCTCAGTGGAGAAAGCAAGAAACACCAGTTCAGCCAGGTGATCAAGGTCAGTATCAGCAGTGATGTCATGTTTTATCTGCACCATTGATACAAGATGATAAGAGTGGCACTTTACCTCTGAGATCTTCTCTCCCAAAATTCATTACGCCTGTCTAATCAGAAAGACATCAGACACATCCAAATTGAGGGACATTGTACAAAAGACTTGACCAGTACTCCTCAAAACTGTCAAGGAAGGTCATGAAAAACAAGTGTGAAAACTGTCACAGCCAACAAGAGCCTAAGCAGACATGACAGGTAAATGTAACGTGGTATCCTGGGTGGGATGGGATCCTGGAATAGAAAAAGGACATTAAGAAAAAAAACTAAGGGACTCTGAATAATGTATGAACTTTCTTTAATAATAATGTATCAATGTTGGTTTCATTAATTATGACAAATATACCATATTCATGTAAGATATTGACAACAGGGGAACTAGGTGTTGGATATATGGGAATTCTCTGTACCAAATTCACAGCTTTTCTATAAATCTAAAATCATGCTAAACTTCAAAGTTCATTTTAGAAAAACAAAACAGAGAAGGTTCTTGTCCTTAGAGATTAAAGTCAAGATCAAGGACACTGATAAGGAGTCATAATAAAATACTGAGAACAGATTCGATATTGAACTGTCTGTGAATGAAATAAGTGGTAAAGTGAATATATTTTCTGCCCAGGCAAATATGTCGGCTCCTGTAAGCTCCATGAAAACAAGGACTTGCTTAGGTGGTGAGGGGGATGGAGGAACTTGGGGATGGTGGAGGGGCTGCAGTTTTAAATAGCGTGGTCAAAGAAGATTGGCTAAGAAGGTGATATTTAAACAAAAAACAGAAGGAGGAAGTAAGCCAGGTATCTAGTAGGAGGTGGGGTAGGGAAGGTTGAATTTAGAACTCTGGAAATAAAAACATCATTCATCTAAGGATACCAGGGGGTGGAAAGGCAATACTGCATTTAAACAATAAGTGTTCTGCTGTGTGTGAATGACCATAATTGCAATAGAATTTGAGCAAAGGGTGAAATGAGTGGGGTTTGGAGAGTTAAAGAAGGCTTTGGAGGAGGGACGCTGAGCTTGCACTGGGATTGGAGGAATGGGAGGAGGTTGGAGAGATACTCTGCATGTCTGAAGGCACTGAGCATGCAGTGAGAGAGGAGGGATGAGAGGAGGCACGTGCCTACGTACTGCAGAAAGCAGAAAGTCAGGCTGTCCACAAGAGAGGGGATGGGGATCAGGCACTTGAAAGGCAGGAGAGTTCTTGACCTTGGTATATGGAAGATGAGAGTGGTGTCCGGGGAGTGAAGCCCCAACAGGAAGAGGTGGAAGGATTGAAGGAGAGAGACGAAAGATTAGGGTCCAGAGCTTTCTTTAGAAATTGCTGGGATCTCTGGGTGAATGATGAAGGGTGCTTTGCCTTGGAATTGGCAGTGGGGATGAAGAGAAAAGAGTATATGGAGGAATGAACAATTGGATTGGTGACAGGTGGATCAGAGAGTTGCTGGAGAGGGAGCAGTCACAGATAAGGCCAAGGCTTCTGCCAAGGACCCTTGAAATTGGCAAGAGGAGGACAATGGCCATACATACGTTCAGTCCTTGGAATCCATGACACAGCCTGTGGGCTGCCCCACCTAATGGGAGTGTGCACGGACTCAGTGGTGCATTCTTATTTACCTGAATTGGATTGGTGGTTGTTACTGAGTAGAAAAAGAAGGAAGTTGGATGTTTTTGTAATAAGAGCTGTAATTCCTTCAGTCCCTACTACAAGCCTCACACTGTTCTGAATATTATTCTATTATCAGCAGCTCTCAACTGGGGACATATGGCCATGTCTGGAGACAGTTTTGCTTGTCATGACTTGGGAGAGGGGTGCTCCTGACATCTCGTGGGAAGAGGCTAGAGGTGCTGCTAAATGTCATACGATGCACAGGACAAGACCCCCATGACAAAGAACCATCCAGGGCAAAATGTCAATGGCACTGAGGTTGGAAAATGCTGCCTTCTATACACCTAAAATCTCAAGTCCCACCTGGGCTTGGTGGCTCACGCCTGTAATCCCAGCACTTTGGGAGGCCAAGGCGGGTGGATCACCTGAGGTCAGGAGTTCAAGACCAGCCTGGGCAACATGGTGAAACCCCATCTCTACTAAAAATACAAAAATTAGCTGGGCGCAGTGGTGCCATGTCTGTAATCCCAGCTACTCAAGAGATTGAGGCAGGAGAATCGCTTGAGCCCAGGAGGCGGAGGTTGCAATGAGCCTAGATCGTGCCACTGCACACCAGCCTGGGTGACAGGGCGAGGCTCCATCTCAAAAAAAAAAAAAAAAAAAAAAAAAAAAAAGAGAAAAATCTCAAGTCCCTCATAACCTAGGAGGAAGGATAATGTCTTTCTCATTTTAGGAGTGAAGTTAATGAGACTCACAATGATTCAGGGGTTCCCACCTGGACAGGGCACCACCCCCTAAGGGGTGTTTGGAATGTGTGGGGTGATTGTGGAAGTCCCCGATGCCTGGGGGGAAGTGCAGCGCCCTGCTGGCAGGGAGTGGGTGGATGCTAGGGGGGTGGAATGTCCTGCCATGTGTGGACGCCCCTGCCGATACTCCTCCTATAGAGAAACCCTGGCATGGAGATGGCCAAGGCCTGATGGCTGCAGGAGGCAGAACCAGGCTTGGAACTCTGGCCTGTCTATCTCTTTCTCCTCCAGGATGGGTTTCCTTGGCTCAGAAGAACTTACGGCTCCCTGGCCCTCCCCTGTCTGTTAGCAGAGCCCTCCTCATGGGGGCTCCCTGGCACACCCTCTTTGCACCTGATTTTTCAGCCATCTTTCATGACTACTGTACAACAACTAATGCCTTTGTATTCTCACCTATAAAATGGTGTAAACATCCAACTCATTTTGTTCCTCGGGGTGAAATGAGATAGTCCAAGTCTCAGTCTATTGCTTAATGCAAAGCAAGCATGGAAAATCCGGGAGGAGGCCATGTTCATAGAGCTTGTTGCAGAATATGTGCTGGGAGCCCAGCACCTTGCAAAAACCATGTGAAATTATCCACATCTTCAACTCTGCGAACGTCCCCTGCAGGACACCAGGGTTCACTAATATTCGCTAAAGACAGCCCTTCAGTATAAGCTGTTATTGGTGAGTGTATTCACTTCCAGGGAGGGCTTAAACAGCAGTACCATAAACTGGGGCGCTTAAGCAGAAATTTATCATCTCCCAATTCTGGAGGCTTGAAGTGGAAAATGAAGTGTCAGCTGGGTTGGTTCCTTCTGAGGGCTGTGTGGGTGAATCTGCCCCAGGCTGCTTGCCTAGCTGTGAGGAGACCCAGGCGTTTCTTGGCTTGTGAACGGCTTCCTCCCTTTGTCTTTACATCATCTTCCCTCTGTGTGTGTCTGTCTAGTGTCCAAATTTCCCTTTTTTATAAGGACACCAGCCCTGATGGATTAGGGCCCATCTATATGACCCAATTTTAACTTGGTTACCCCATGTAAAGGCCCTCTTTCCAAAAAAGTCACATTTTGAGTCAATAGGGGACTTCCATAGATCTTTTTTTTTGGGGGGCGGGGGTGTACAATTCAACCCACACAGTGAGACAATGAGAAGGCACAGCTGAATCACCTCCCCTTGCTGTCAGAGGGAACCCCAGGCCCTGTGATTAGTAACCCCTAGCCTGTAGCTCCTGTTTTTTGGGCTCTAACATTCCCCATAATTTTTTAAGTTTGGAAGGAATAATAACCCAACAACACTCGTCTAGCATAGAAGGGTGAATGGGAACTTTTTTTTTTTTTGAGATGGAGTTCCACTCTTGTTGCCCAGGCTGGAGTGCAATGGCATGATCTTGGCTCACTGCAACCTCCGCCTCCCAGGTTCAAGTGATTCTGCTGCCTCAGCCTCCCAAGTAGCTGAGATTACAGGCGCATGTCACCACACCCGGCTAATTTTTGTATTCTTGGTAGAGGTGGGGTTTTGCCATGTTGGCCAGGCTGGGCTTGAACTCCTGACCTCAGGTGATCCACCCGCCTTGGTCTCCTGAAGTGCTGGGATTACAGGCGTGAGCCACTGCGCCTGGCTGGGAACCTCCTATCAGAAATCACCGCCCTTCTCAGTCAACCCGATTCCTCTTCCTGACATTCGGAGACACACTCTGATGCTCTGATAGTCCAGCCTTGAGGCAAGCACATCACAGCCTGCAGTCTGGCTCCTCCATGGCCAACGACAAGGCCCGGAGCAAAGCAACAATCCTGCTGCTATCCTGGAAAGCAGAGTCACCTCACCTAGAGAAACCAGAACTGTGCTGGGCTGTTTTGCAGATGACATGTGCAGTGAGAGCATGCAAATAGTTTTGCATCGGGCATTCCTCGGCAGGAACATGGAAAAGCATATTTGGTTAAGCAGTGTCTGCACCGTAATTATTACCCACCGCCTTTTTGCTTCAACATCTTACCTCTAACCCTAACATGTTCCTGCTTTGGGACGCTCTTGCTATGACATCCTGTGGTTTCTGTTCTGTTACAGTGAATTCCTTACTATTCCTTACTGCTGTTATCTCATGCAAATTCACCAGGGACGTGGAGGAGCATAACCTGGTGGGAAATGGTGGTACCGCCGCAACTTCCCTGTTCTCTTTGCTCTGCAGTTAATCTGTTGATAAAAAATGAACAGATGGAAGAGTCAAAGGCCAAGGGAGAGCCACTATGTGGTCAGTCTGAGTTGTTTCCACTGGATTCACAGAGGTCAGGAGCTGCTACGAGTGGTTCTGGGCATGCAGCAATAATGCTACCTTCGAGATCTGCCAGAGTGACGCTTTTCGGATGTTACTGGGTGATCCTGCTACTTCCCAACTCACATGGAGGAGCATAGTCTCAAGTCTTGCCCTGGTTGGGGAAGTTTTGTCCCTCATTACCTCATTCTTCCCCATGGTCACCTGCCTGAGCCTCTGCTGCAAACTTCTGCATTTCTTGTTCCCACTGCCTGGAACGTTCTTCTTCTAGATGGTCTCATGGTTGGCCCTTCATGTGGGTGTCTGCTCAAATGTTCTCTCCTGGTTGGGTGCAGTGGTTCCTGCCTGTAATTCCAACACTTTGGTAAGCTGAGGCAGGCAGATCACCTGAGGTTGGGAGTTCCAGACAAGTCTGGCCAACACAGCAAAACCCTGTCTCTACCAAAAATACAAAAATTAGCTGGGTGGGGTGGTGTGCACCTGTAGTCCCAGCCACTTGGGAGGCTGAGGCAGAAGAGTTACTTGAACCTGGGAGGGGGAGGTGGCAATGAGCCGAGATCACACCACTGCGCTCCAGGCTGGATGACAGAGTGAGACTGTCTCAAAACAAACAAAAACAAAAATGTTCCCTCCTTAGAGGGAGCTTCCCCAACCCCTCTATTCAACATTGAACCCCAGCTGTCCACCAGCCCTTGCCCTGTTCTCTTGTTTCTCATATTTATTTGTACGACCCAACTTACTTCTCTCTCTCTGCATTGTCTGCATTTCCTGCTAGGATCTGCACCAGTGCTCCTAGCCTCTGTCTGTCCAGTTACTGCTGAGCAAAGTCTGGCCCAGAGGAGGCCTGCAATGAGTGTTTGCATAAACAGATGACTAAAACTTGCTTTACAATTTATGGGGAGCTTTTGTCCCCTACAGTGGCCCAGGGAGGAGGGGTGTTTGCTACGATCACAATTGCTGCTGTTATTATTATGACTGCTCCCTTGACGGGTGTCTTTGGGCTGTTGAGGCAGTTGAGGGTAAGCTGTGAGATCCTCTGTCTTCTCATCTTACATCTCTTCCACCAGCCCATGGAGGGTTCCCAGTGGCAGTGTGTGGAGTAGAATGATGCTACAGCAAGCAGGAAGCAGCTCGTAGATGACCCAGACATGCATACAGGGAATCATGGTCCCTAACTGCACATACTTAACCTGGCTTTATGGCGTCCCTGTTCCACCAGATTCAGTAAATACACTGCTGTTCTGTTTCATTTTTTTCTAGACTTGTCCAATATAAACTCTCATAAACTCTCCTCCTTTGCTTATTTCCTGCTGCATTTTGGATCATCACACTTGCATGATTTCCTTCTCTCCCCTGATCAAAATTGTTTTGCATCACAGATATTTTAAAGCCGGCAACTGTGCCTCAGTGTCCTGACCCTGGCTCTGACCAATCCAGAAGAGATGCTTGTGCCTCTGCAGTAGGCTGCTGGGGATGGCTGGGAGGGGTGCCTTTTGCCAGAGGCTGGTGATGATACTTTCTCTAGGCTTTGAAGCTTTAATGTCAACAGACAAATATACTCTCACTTATTTCCATTTGTCCTGGCTTTTCTTGGGAAGATTTGGTATTTGCTTTGTAAACCATGTCTGTAGGTGGCTGGGCATCTTAGTGACAGTCTTCGTGTCATTCATCTGTCTTAGTGATAGCTTTTGAGGAGGGAAGGAGGCCCTGGTGGGTGAGGCTCTGATTCCCGCCTCACTTCCACTGTATCATCTTGACACTGTTTTGCTTTATTAAGAGGGCATTCACATAGAAGTGTTTGAAATTCTGCAGCTCATATTTTAGAAAATCGCCATTGTATATTTCTATGATTTGGAGCACTTTTCTGAGATTTCAGTGTACAGTGGTGTAAACATCTTTTTCCAGAGAAACACATCTCCAAGTCTTACAATAAATGGCCTCTGAGAAATAAACTTTGGTCCTTGGAACTGTGCTTAAAGGAAACTTTCCAGGAACGGAGGTGCTTCAAGTGGGATACTCACGTAACAGGCTGGGAGTGGTTTGGATAGATTCTGCTGCATTCTGTTTTCATTATAGCATTTATTTATTCATTTCTTCAACACATATTTATTGTTTACCCATTATATGCTAGGCATTAAGCATATAGCAGGAAACAAAAGAAACCAAATTGGTGCTCCAATGAGCACCAAGGGGATTCACTGTTATTATTCCCCATCAAATCAACAGGACATTTTCCCCCAAAGCCCCACAAATACACACATCCCAGGGCAACTGAGCATTTTGGAGAGGGCTCAGTGGGACTCTAGTGAGAGAGGCAGATAATACATTTGTACCATCATGTTAGACAGTGACATATGCTATGGAAAAAAAACAAAACAGGGTAAAAGGATAGATAAAGAAAACACAGGGCTGTCTCAGGTAGAGCGGCTGAAGAGCCTCCCTGGAGGAAGCAGAGCCTGCAGGAAGTAGAGAGAAAGCCACTGGCAGGTCCGCGGGAAGAACATTCCAGACAGAGGGAACAGAAAATGCCATGGCCCTGAAGTGGGAATATTCTTAGCACATTTGAGAAACAGCAAGAAGGCTAGTGTGGCTGGAACACAGCAAATGAGGCAAAAGGAGTACAGCATATGTTCAAAAAAGGAGGTAGAGAATCAGATCACATAAGGTCTTACTGGTCAGGGAAAGGAGGTTGGATGTTACTGTCATTTAAAAACATGTCTATGGTGGGCAAGGTGGCTCACGCCTGTAATCCCAGCACTTTGGGAGGCCAAGGCAGGCAGATCACCTGAGGTCAGGAATTCAAGACCAGGCTGGCCAACATGGTGAAACCCCGTCTCTACTAAGAGTACAAAAATTAGCTGGGCATGGTGGTGCATGTCTGTAATCCCAGCTACCAGGAGACTGAGGCATGAGAATAGCTTGAACCTGGGAGGTGGAGGTTGCAGTGAGCCGAGATCGTGCCACTGCACTCCAGGCTGGGTGACAGAGCGACACTCTGTCTCAAAACAAAACAAACAAACAAAAAGCATCTGTTCGTCTGTTATCCTTATGGACTCTGCATTCCTAGAAAGAAGAGAGTATGGCTTCTTTGTTTGTGTATCATCTGGTATCTAGTATCATCGGGGGATAGAGCGGGTGTTTAGTAAACGTATGTCAAGTGGCCTCTTCTGCTTTAGTGTTAAGATTCAAATGGATCCCTGGTCGGTCTTCCTTGTGGTCCCAGAGAAGGAAGGGGTGTGACAGTCATTGATGAAACAATGCAGAGTGTCTTGGGGGTCCATTTGTGTGGGAGAATCTTATATCCCTGCTGTCTGTTTTTTCCTGTCCTTTCCTCACAACGAGGTCAGTAAATGCAGATGGCCCACTGAGACCTCTCCAAAACGCTCGGTTGCCCTGGGATGTGTGTATTTGTGGGGCTTTGGGGGAAAATGTCCTGTTGATTTGATGGGGAATAATAACAGTGAATCCCACTTTGTTTATGTCCAGCAGTTTTTAAAGAACTCTTATTGACATTGTCTAATTAGATCCTGGCTTCTAGTACGTGTGTCTGTGTGTGTGTGTTGGTAAGGGGATGAGTGGAATTGAAATAAAGGCATAAAACGTGCCTAAGGGCTGAGTTTGCATGAAACAGCCCAAATGATAGCTGAGAAAGCACAGTCAGCATAAAGCATTTTCCTTCTCAAAGCCTCGCAGGATCTTTCAAAGCCGGGTGAATGCAGCTAGGGAACAGTCATTTCCCTGGTGGTGCTGGGTGGAGATGAGATGGGCCAGGGGAGAGATGGTGGATTTCTCTCCTGAGTGAATCCAAGAGCCAGTGAGTCTCAGCCTCTGACCAGAAATGGAGATTTATTTCTCACTGGCTGGAAGAGCGAGGTATTTCAAAATCTTCTTCCTCCATTACAAAACTGCCCCTGGGAACGCGGTTGGCTAAAACTGCCAGTCTTGGTTTCTCAGTCTTTTCTGCATCTAGAGTTACATCCTAAAAATGAAGGTTTGGGTTCTGGAAGGGCATTCCTCCTAGGCAGGCTCGGGGTCCCAGCCATCCCTGTAGCTGGCAGCTGCCCCTCTGGAAACGGGGTCCCCCTTCAGGTGCCTCTGCCCCCCAACCCAGTTCTTTTTGTGCATGTAGATAAATATTCACTCTCAGCCAAGAAGCCGGCAGAAACAAATCTCTGGTAAACGTGTAGAGGAGTTTTGTTTGTTTTTCTCAAAATGTTTTCATTTTAGGTTTTGTTTTTGTTTTGCTTTGCCTAACTCTCACGATAGAATGCTCAGCTTTTAACCACAAATAACTATACTTGAGCCCCAGGAAGTTAGGGAGTCCTGGGGTGAAGGAGCTAAACCCTCCACAGGGGAGGCGTCACCACTGGCTGCATCAGCTTTTGAATGGTGACCAACACTCATGTCTCTGGGTTCACGTGGTGTCTGTGGTCCTATTTGTTATTCTTTATGGCGTTGGTCACCATCTGAAGGTACCATATGCTTCCTTGGTTGTTTATTTTTGTCCTCCTCCCCATCCCTGTTAGCACGTACATTCTATGAAGATGGGGATTTTTCTGGGGTTTCGTTCCATGTTTTATTTCCAATCCCCAGAAAAGAATCCATTCAGAGCAAGTTCTCACTAAATGTTTGGTGCAAGGACAAACAAGTGAGCAGTTGCTAGTAGCCAGGCACTGAGCTGGACACTTAAAAACATTATCTTAGTTTTCCCTTTTTCCCCCCATCCAAAATTTCATCACGTGGGTACACTCATTATTCTGAGGTGGATGAGGAACCCGAGGCTTGGGAAGGCGGCAGCACCTGTCTAAGCCACAGGGCAGGTAAGTGGCAGAGGGATTTGAGGGCTGTGGAAGGTCCAGGACCTGCCTGCAGTGCGTGGCCCTGGTGTGGGCACCTCCTGGTGCTTGGGGCCTTTGGCACTTACTGGCCTCCCCCGACCCCTGCCTGGCCTGGCTGGGCCACTGAAAATCTGAGCGCTTCAGCTCAAGGTCTGGCTCTTGTGGAGTGATTTTATGCACGCGCGCACACCCACACACTCTCCAACATACATTTACACACCCACACACACCAAAAGACGCACACACTCATATATGCACACACCCACACACTCACACTGAAACACACACAAACATGCACACACCCACACACTCACACTGAAAGACAAACGCACTCAGACATGCACACACCCACACACTCACACAGAAACACACTCACTCAAACATACATGCACACACCCACACACACTCATACATGCACACACCCACACACTCACACAGAAACACACTCACTCAAACATACATGCACACACCCACACACACTCATACATGCACACACCCACACACACTGAAACACACTCAAACATACATGCACACACCCACACACTCACACTGAAACACACAAATACACCCACACACTCACACTGAAACACAAACATTAAATGCACACACCTACACACTCACACTGAAACACAAACACAGACATGCACACACCCACACACTCACACAGAAACACACACAGATATATACATGCACACACCCACACACTCAGAAACACACACTCATGTATGCACACACCCACACACTCACACTGAAAGACACTCAGACATGCACACACCCACACACTCACACTGAAAGACACATACTCATACATGCACACACCCACACACACTGAAACACACTCAAACATACATGCCCACATCTGCACATTCACATTCAAACACACGCACACACCCACACACTGACACACACGAATGCACACACTTAAATACACATGCACGTAGTCACACTCAAATACATATGTACATACACATATGCTCATACATACATGCGTACACCAACACCCATGCTAACAAGTTCATACACCCACATGCACACACACACATACTCAAACACACATATACACACACCTAAATCCTCACACACATGCACACACTCACATGCACCCACACCTGCACATTTACCTACATATACACTCTCACACTCAAATACACATGCACATATTCACATGCTAACACAGTTACATACATTAACACATGTCCACACACACAAGCACACTCAAACATGCATGTACACACGTGTATGCACAGGTACACACACTCATATACATGCTCACACACACGCACACACTTGCCCACATACACACTCTCACAGTCACAGACACACACACAAGCATACACATACACGCACACCCCAACTTTAACAGAGATCATGGTATTATGGTCCGATTTCACTGGGAGCCAAGAGATGGACATAAAGTCAGCTACTGTCCAAGTTTACATCAAAAGTGAGAAAAATGACTCCTCTGGGCCTGGGGGCTGGCTTCTGGAAAAAGCCTTCCACCTGATTGAAACAAGATTTTCTCCAGCCAAGCCCCAGAGAGCCTCCTAGCAGTGGCTCCCAAGCCTGGATGTCTGAACGACCACCTGGAACCTCCTTAACAAAACCCACCCACGGGCCCCGCTCTCGGAGAACTGAATTCATAGTTCTGAAATGGGACCTGGAGTCTGGATTTCCACGAGGCTCCCCCAAGTGATTCTGATGCAACCAGTCGGTGGTCAGCCAGAGCTGGGAAACCGCTGGAACCGGGTGAAGGATGTCTCCCTAAGGACAGAGCTGGACATTAGAATCCAAGGGGAAAAAACTTGTGACTTGTATTTCTTGCAACTGAAGGCAGGTATGTCTGAATCCCTGTTTAGCTCTAACATCATGTTCATAGAAGATCAACCATAAATACCTTTTGAAGTTATTTACCATCAGAGGAAGAGGCAGGAGGAAATTCTAAATTGTTACCAGCTCTGTAAGAGCCCAGGATTTCCCCAGACATTTCCTAGACCTTAAGAGCATCAAAACCCATCGACGCCTATGCTTACTTTCTTACTGAGGTGAGCCCACATCAGCAATGTTGAAAACTCCCCAGCTGATTCTAACATACTACTAAGGTCGAGAATCACTGCTCTAGGCCAGGGGTTGGCAAGCATTTTCTGTAATGGGCCAGGTTTTGAGGGTCATACTATCTTTTTCATAATTGCTCAACTCCACCGTTGTATTGCAAACACAGCCATTGACAATATATAAGCAAACAGGCATGTGTTCCAATAAAACTTTATTTACAAAAATCAAGCTGCGGGCCAGATTTGGCCCATGGACTGTAGTTTGCCAATCCCTGTTCTAGAGGGTCCTAGTCTTAAAAAGTCATTGTCAAAATCACCTGAAGAACGTCTTAAATTGCTAATTTCCTGGCCCCCTTAGAGGATCTTTTCCTCAGTCTGGGTGGAGCCCTAGGAATCTATATTACAGAGAAGCATCCCAGAATTTGGAGCTGCTCTGATGTTGTGGTAGGGGGGCCAGTGGGCCAGACTTTTAGAAACATCGGACAACCATCTAGCTACTCAGTGACCCCAGTATCTCTCCAGGCATCTACCCCTCCTGGGCTCCAACTTGACAGATCTCTCAGGCCAACTGGTCTGCTCACCTTTTCTTTCTCTTCTCTGTCTGTTCTTTCTCTTTTTGGCTAAGTCCTTCTCAGATGTGGGCTATCAGCTTAATGAATTTGAGGGCACAATGTGAGTCCTTTTGGCCAGAGAGGGTGAGAGTGACATGGAAAAGCAAGGGGCCTCCTCCTGCCTGCCTATGAGGATGGCCGGGACGTGGCTCCAGTTGAGTCTGCTCTGATGGTGTTCTCATCGCCCCTCCGTGCACCATCCACAGGCTTTGCTGAGCATCCTGGTGGTCATTGCTGCCTTGTTTTCACAGGTGAAGGTGATGGCCCTTCCAGCTTTCTGGTTTGTGATGAGATGCTTATCTCCTTGGCCCTCTCCAAGCTCAGGGGTGACGGCCCTGCAGAGACCTTGGCTTCTGCTCAGTTGTTCTTAATTAAATTTGAAATCAACTAGAACAAGAGGGCTTTGGGAGCTTGGTGGGCTGAGGGCCAAGGGCCTGAGCAACTGCCACGGACTAGCACCACCTCCCACAGTCCTGATCCCTGGGACATGTGTACAGATTACAGAGAAATCCCTCTGCAATGAGGTTATGTTAACTCTTTAGCCTAGGTGCTGGGTTTCAAAAGCAACCAGAGACCAGGGGCAGAGGACCTTGCTTTTCTTGCTGAATATTTACAGCTAGGGATTATTTGGAGCAGTAGAAATCCAAGTCCCCCAGAACTCTCAGGGTGACAACTAGGGGTCCCTAAGTTCTGATGCATGATCCCTGCCCCCACCCTGACCCCAGCTGTACCTCTCAACCTTTATTAGAGGGTTTTCCCTTAAAGCAGCCCAAGGAACTGGCATATCCAGAATAGCATGTTTGGGGATCAGAGGAAGAGTATGGAGCCAGAGACTGGGGGGATGCCTGGGTTCTGTGAAGAGGAGCAAGACGTTTGGAGCTGATTTTGGGTCAGCCCAGCTAACATGCGAACCACTGGGTGACCATTTTTGAATGTCTACATATGCATCACACACCAATAGGTGGTGAGGAACATTTGTTATCTGTTGTGCACATAGGAAGCCGTTGGAGTTATCCATTGTAAAGTGGTTAATAATAACCACCATTTGTTAAATGCACACGTTTTACAAATGCTGTTATCTAATCATTGCAATAACCCTGTGAGTTACCATTATCTCCACCTACAGATGAGGAAACTGAGGCACAGAGAGGTGAAGTAACAATTTGCTCCAGGCCATATGGGTGGTATGTGATAGAACAGGTACTAGATCTCAGGTCAGCTGACACCAAAAGAACTTAGACTATACCAAAGGTGACAGATTACCCTCATCACAACTAGAAAATATTTTCAAGGCAATTCAAGAGCAAAGGCAGCATTCGTGGCACGGTAGGCTTTGGAGGGAGTTAAATCTGGCAAAAGGTTATTAGGGGGACTGAGTGCTCTGGGAAATGGAATCAGTAAACAGACCTCCCAATTCTGCAAAGCCACCTTCTGCAGGTGCAGAGGGCCAGCTTGCTCATTTCACCTGAGAGATGAAGGTCAGGTGCAGAAGGAAATGGTGGTGTCCCCATTGCAATAGCCATATGAAGACAGGTCAAGGGCCAGGCTCTGAACCCCACCCTGGGCACTGTGGTAAGTGTGCATCCCTCTCCCTGTCTCCCTGGGGGCTGCTGAGATTTTTCTGTCAGTGCCCTTTTCTGACATTCAGGATCTGTTTCTCCTCAAGCCTTTCTCTGTCTAACTTCTGTCTCCAGGAAAAAGACTGGGTAAGTGTTATGGGTTGAATCGTGTTCCAGTCCAATTCTTGTCCTGGAGTCCTAGCCCCCAGCCTAGTATCTTTGACTGTGATGTCATTTGGAGAGAAGGTCTTTTACAGTGGGAATCAAGTTAAATGAGGTCATTAGGGTGGGCTCTAATCCAAATGAAGTGTGTCTTTAAAAAATGGGAAAATTTGTTGAATTTTTTTTTTTTTTTGAGATGGAGTCCTGCTCTGTCACCCAGGCTAGAGTGCAGTGGTGCAATCTCGGCTCACTGCAGCCTCCGTCTCCTGGGTTCAAGTGATTCTCCTGCCTCAGCCTCCCGAGTAGCTGTGATTACAGGTGTGCGCCACCATGCCCAGCTAATTTTTGTATTTTTAGTAGAGATAGGGTTTCACCATGTTGGCCATGCTGGTCTCAAACTCCTGACCCTGTGATCCGCCCACGTCAGCCTCCCAAAGTGCTGAGATTACAGGCATGAGCCACTCTGCCTGGCCCAAAATGGGAAAATTTGGACATGGAGACATGCATAGAAGGAAAACAATGTGAAGAGACGCAGGGAGAAGATGCCATCCACGAAGCCAGGAGAGAAGCCGGGGACAGATTCTTCCCTCCAAGCCTTCAGAAGGAAACAACCCTGTGGACACTTTGATTTTGAACTTCGGCCTCCAGAACTGTGAGATGAAAAATGTCTGTTGCTTCAGCCACCTTGTCTGTGATACTTAGTTATAGCAGCCCTGGCAAACAAATGCAGTTTAAGTAATTTATATCCTAGCATGAATCAGGGTTAAAACAATTCCAGGAGCATTTTCAACTTAAAAGAATAGGAAATATACCAAAGAAATGTGTTTTAAAGGATGGTATTTAGAATACTCTGAAATTTGGGGCTAACGTTGGGGGCCACAGATCTCTGCAGGCTCCCAAGTGTTAGTTATTTCACTCATTCTGTCCCCAAGGGCATGGGAGGCCCGTCCCCAACAGACGCATGCATTTTCCTCTGAGTTCCTCCTTCTCTGAGACCCTGGTGTCTGTTTAGCTGCTTAGCTTTGGTATCCTGGAGACTGAGCAATGCTAGTGCCACCACCCCAATCAAGCAGGGCTCTCGAGAGCTGTGACTTTTGAAAACAGACTGTTCCTGGTTTCCATAAGGTGAAAACAACCAAAAAAACAAAAAAACATTCTCTGGGATTCCTTTTCTCCCTGGCAGCCTACGGGCAGTGTCCAAGCCTCATAGGAGTTTTGCCCTGCAGTTTCCCAGCCTGGAGTGTTTGGCGTGTGGTCCATGGGGAAATCTGTGCATTGAAATGTAGCGGAGGAATAAAGAATTTGGGCACGATTTGGGAAATCTTTGCTTGGGTCTTTCCTTGTGTCTTTCCTGGGACAAGCCTAATTCACCTGTTCAGCACAAATGTATTAAATATGTACTCTGTGCCAGGAAACAGTACTGGGCAAGGTGCTGGGGAGACTGTCATGAATAAGTCTGACACTTGTCACCAGGGAGCTCACAGTCTAGGAGGGAAAAGCAACAACGGACACATGTTTTCAGAGCTGATGATTGTTCTGAAAGGGGAAGTGTCGACTCCCCATTCCCTGCCCTTGACCTGTTGTCTGTATCATTGTTTGTGTCTGGTTCTATCCAGCTTAAATTATAAACTTTGAGGGCACAGTCGTGTTGCTGGCATAATTTTTTTTTTCCCCAGAGGTTTTTTTTCTGCTACAGGCACAGAAGAGGCGTTTTAAAAATCAAACTGCAGCGTGCGATAATTACACGGGGGAACTTGTTAAAATGCAGATTCCCCGACTCTGCCCTCAGAGGTTCTGAATTCGTGGACCAAGGGTAGGGCCGGAGAATGTGCATCTTTAAACCCAAACACTCAGGGACTGTGGTTCTGGAACTCTGTATGCCACACTTAGAGAACACTCTCCTAGGATTGGGGCTGCTTGCTGGTGTTCTTTTATTCCCACAAAATTAAACAGAAAGCAGAAACTTGTGAAAAAGTGAAACTGACAAAAAGAAATGTCAGGGAGAAGACATCTCTTTTTGTGAAATTAACAAATCAGGTAAACACTGACTGAATTGAGCAGAATTCCTGCTACGATAGGTATTCCTTGTTTGTTTTAATTAAGTCACTTAGGTAGATGATATAGTACTTAAATCAGACGTTTGAGTCCCTTTCCCTTTCACTGAAAAGGAACTGAAAGAGCCACAAGCCTCATAATACGTGACTTAAAAACTTTCCGGCTGGGGGCAGTGGCTCACGCCTGAAATCCCAGCACTTTGAGAGGCTGAGGCGGGTGGATCACGAGGTCAGGAGATCGAGACCATCTTGGCCAACATGGTGAAACCCTGTCTCTACTAAAAATACAAAAATTAGCCAGGCGTGGTGGCACATGCCTGTAATCCCGGCTACTCGGGACGCTGAGGCAGGGGAATCGCTTGAACCCGGGAGGCAGAGGTTGCAGTGAGCTAAGATCGCGCCACTGCACCCCAGCCTGGTGGCAGAGTGAGACTCCATCTCAAAAAAACAAAACAAAACAAAACAAACTTTCCATCACAGATGTGTGTTTTCACAATTGCTTGGATTTCTTTGATATTTTAGGAATGAAGGCTTGTTAATCACAGATCCTAGACCCTAAGTGGAACAAGACAGTAAGGTAGGTGTACTGAGATTGTCACGATGGCCACTTCTGCGTCCATCGCATGGCCCACAGGTGACAACTTGTCAGCATCCCTACTTGAGAGTTGGTCTCTGCTGGGTTCGTGCACCAGATCTTCTGCACTGCCCTTGCACATTGTTCTGAAAGTCAAACAAACCAACGTCTTGTCAGCCAACCAGGGAGCTGTATCTGTGTGCCTTAGACAAATCCTGTGCCCTCTCTGAGTCCTGGCTTGCTTATCTGCAAACTAGCCGTTCCTGAGAGTTCCTGCAACTCTGATAGCATATGGTGTGACCACATCAAAAACAGGTCATCACCCTTGCCTCGTCATCCCCACACCACCTACCCTGGCCCATTTTTCAGCCCAGCTTCCAGAACAGAACCTGGCACAGAGGAAGCTCAAACCACATCGGTAGAGGGCTCTTTGGTTCTCAGAGTGGCCCTGGACTTGACCACTCTGTATCTGGCATATTTTGGAAATATCTCAGTAGGAAGAAAGAAGCTGGAGATGGTCATATTTTTTCCCTTAAAGCTCCCCTTCCTCTTCCTTCAGCCTCATTCAGTTGCTGACATTCTGGGCCCTGAACCTAATGCCAATTTTCCTCCCACTTCTTCTGACTCATATCTTTCATCATGTCTCAGGAGAGCGGCGTCTGTCACTCCCCTCTCCTGGCAAACATGAGGGGCTTGGGAAGAATGTCAGCCACAGCTCAGTGCAGCCAGGACTGGGCCTGATCCTGGAGCAATCGGTAAAGCTGGGAGGTCGGCTGCCTGTTGGGGTCTTGCACACTTAGGTGGAGGCACTTTCTTTCTCTCTCAGCCATATTCCTCCCTTCCCCCTTGAAGCCTTAGAAAAGAGAAAAGCATACTTGCTTCTTTTCCCTGGATCCTCTTTGAGTTGTAATTTTGAAGGACACTAAGTATCATTTACTCTGTTGGGAGTGAAGACTTCTGCATTTTTTGCTGGCAGCATCAAACAGCAATGGGCACACGAGGGGATGGTCCTGAAGTTAAGACCACTGGGGTCTCACCTCCCTCCATAATTCTAACCTTTTTTCCATGAGATTTCCAGAGAGAATCTTAGCTGAAAAATCCAACCAGAACCCTTGCCAGTGTGTCTGGGAGAGGAAAGCTTATTCTTGCAAGGGCTTTCCAGTGCCTTCCTATAATTACAGCTTGATTCTAAATGGTTATTATTATGAAGCCAATGCAATCACTGCCAAGGAGATAGGAAAGATACCACATAAGCCACACCAACACAAGGTTTAGGGAAATCAGGGTTTTTACTGGATTTCAGACTAAGGCATGGTGCTGAGAACCAAAGAGAGGAATCTTTAGCTATGTACACAAACTCTCAGATTCTTAGGTAGAGAGAGGAGGAAGACTGAAATGAGATGGAGGAAAGAGAAAATCTTAGGACTGGTGGCAAAGAGAGTAGTGACTTAGAATGCAGAGATCCAAGGTCAGATCAGCATTTGTAAAGATTCTGGAACCTATAGAATGCTATGATGTTGAAATGTGTATTTCCCCAAACTATTACTCATTTCTAAGTGTTTATATAGCTCACTACGTGCCAGGCATTGTCCCAAGCACTCTCTATATATTAACTCATTTAATTAAATTTCCATTGAGTTTCACAGTTTCTAGATTTATGGAATTTTCACCTAGAGACATTTAGCAAAAGCTGTGATCACTCCTTATCCAAAGAAGCTCTTGGAACTGTGACAGATCATTCTAGATTCCAACCCACACTTTCCCTGTTAGCACCTGCATCTCTGTGGCTTGCCTTCTCCAGTCCCGGAAATGTTTTAACCCTTTGTCTGCTCGAGGGGACAAGGACTAGTGAACAGGACTGGGAGAGGGAGAACAGCCTAAGAGAATGGGTTGGGGGAGGAAGACGGTAGGATGAGGGAAAGGCCCAGGATTAAAAGGCAAGCTCAGAGAAAGCCGCAGCCATATCAGTGGAGGCTATTTTTCTTAAGATCTACCATCTAAGCAGCAAGAGGGAGATCTGTTCAAACCGGTGAGATGGTCTGGCATAAGCTTCTGATTCAGCCACTCCTTCCCCTTAGCTCATCCTGTGCAAGCTCATCTTGCGGCAGGGTGCAAGGAGGTTCTGATGAGCTAATGCTCCCAGAAACTCTGGGTAGGAGGGAACCATCTTCCTTGTCAGGGTATTACCCCATTCTTTGAAGGATTAGAAGAGGGACCAAAATCAGGGTTGATGCAACATAAATGGGCCACATGGTGGCTTTGCTTGGACACTGTGGCATGCATGTCTCTACCCCTCTCAGGGTTTCCTTTCTGTCCCTCCTTCTTTGTTTGACACCACTCAGTGTTGGCGGTGCTGACTGTAGGGAGGTGATTGTGACATTCCTGATATGTTGGCTGAAATTCTTCCCAGGAGCCCTTTGTTGTAGTGGCCAAATCAATCCCTCCATCTGGGTAAGAAATTGGTTTTGAGGACTCTGGAGCTGGGTGGAAGAGCCTTGGAGCAAAGGCAAGTCAGAGGTTCTTAAGGAGAGTCATGGATCAAGCTCTGGGGAGGTCATATCTAAAGATCCAGAGGTAGGATAGGAACCGGAAGACACTGTGGATGAGTTTGCAGCTGGGTAATGATTGGGAGGGGACCTGGTTCAGAAGAAGTGAAGAGCACTCAAGGCCACTGCTGGGAAAAGTTTTGGGAGGTCCATGCTTCCCTTCTTTGGGGTGAGCTTGGGGATAGTCGAAGGCAGAGTGGACAAGTTTCCTTTTCTCTCTTAGTTTCCTTATCAACAAATGCAAAGATCCACTGTGAGCGTTAAATGACACAACTCATGTAAAGTGCCTAATACAGTGCCTGATATATTGTCAATATTCAATAAATTAGCTTTTAGGATTTTATTTTGCTGAACAGTCTTCAGAGGTCATAATAAAATTTGCTGCTGTTTGCCTACTTACCAACAACACATGGTGATATTTGCTTAAGAGCATAGGAAAAAGCAGGGAACGTGCTCTCAGTCCTGGCTTGACATTTTTTTAGGATCTGTATCAGTAGGTCTGTGTCAGTTTGCATAGTACATAAACATGCACTGTTGAGTTTGGGGAAAGATGAAAAATCTAGTTTCAAGTCTGATCATTTGAAAGAATTCTCCAAGAAGGTAGCACTTGTCTGGCTATCCGCACACAATAGTTTGATACACATCTCAAGAAGGGAATGGAAGAAGCCAGATCCTATATTTTTGAATGCTAGGATGCCTTGGTGGGCATGGGAAAGTGGGGAGTGATAGGAGGAGTGTGAAGAGGGGTAGATTGTGGGAAGATGCTGTCCATGAAGTCATCCATTACAGTGTTCCTTAACTGCAAACCGCCCCAAATTCTATTACATGGTTAAAACATTTTGGGAACTCTTGCTCAATAATAAGCAGCAGCATGATAAAAAATTTTTTCTTGAAGCCATTTCTCGCTTATCATCCTCTTCAACCTGGATTTGTTCCCATGTGCTTCTCTGGAGGCCCAAAGAAAGCAATGTGTCTCAGAAGCTGGAAAACTAGACTGGAGTCAGGGAGCAGCCCTCCCTGGCTGGTTGCTTGTGTGTGCTCTTGTCTCCCCAGCCCAGGCTTGGCTTGTTGCTAAGTCACATACCCAAGAAGCTGTGGGCAGGAGGGGCTGAATGGGTCGCCCTGGCCCCCAACTCCCATCTACAGTGGACTGAGGCATTTGCTGATTCTTGCCAAGACCAACAGAGAGCATCAGTGGTAGGAAATATGAAGTCATGGTGGAAAGGGTCCGTGGAGCGGAAACTAAAGGCACAAGTGGCTTGTCTGCTCTCTGGGGTATAGACGCATCTGCTCCAGGAACCGCAGTCCAGTGGCCAGATGCTCAAGGGAGAGGCCTTCATTCCTTGGGTGGTGGGAGAATGGGGTCAGAGGTCTAGGAGGCTTAGTACACAGTGAATGCTTCTAGAACGTGGATGTGGAGGATGATTTGATATCAGCAATCCTGCACTCTAATAGGAACTCATGTATAGTCAATGGTCTTCTATTAGGTTGGTGCAAAATAATTGTGGTTTTTGCCATTAAAAGTAATACTTACAGACATCCATGTTAGTTATGTAATTCAATATGTAAAATAATTTTCCTAGATAAAAACCCTTGTATTTGGACCTGGTTGCATTTATTGATGTTGTTCCTTTTCCTTTCCTTCTACTGGTACATTTGTTTTAAGTGATGAATGCTTAAGATTAAAGACTAGGAGTGGCCATGGTGGCTGTAATCCCCAGTACTTTGGGAGGCTGATGCAGGAGGATCCCTGAAGCCCAGGAGTTTGAGAACAACCTGGACAACATGGCAAGACCCCATCTCTACAAAAAATAAAAATACTATTTGGGCATAGCAGCACACACCTGTAGTTCCAGCTGCTTGGGAGGTTGAGGTCCCAGCTACTCAACTCACTGCATTGAGGATGCAGTGAGCTGTGATCACAAACCACTGTACTCCAGCCTGGACAACAGAGTGAGACCTTGTCTCAAAAAACAACATAATAAAAGACTAGGAGTGGTGTTTCTTCTTTTATTTCATTTATTCATGCATTCATTCAACATAATTTTATGAGCACTCACTATACCTGAGTCTAGACCCTTGGAAGACAAAGTGAAAGAAAGTAGGTTCCTCCCTTGGAGAAAAGAGAGGGGAAGATGAACACCCTTTAATGGAGTTTTGTTTGATGCCTAGTGATAGATGAAGACAGAAAGACGAGGAGCTCCAAAATTTTCCAGTGTGGTCATGAGAGATTTCTCAGGAGGTGAGATGCTTGAGCTGAGACTCCCAAGATAGGCAAGGGGACATGGGGAGGGAAGTGGGAGTGAGAGATAAGCTATGTCAGATAGATGAAAAGCCACATATTAAGGCACTGAGGTTGTCAGAACACAGGCTATTCCAGGATGGTGAGTAATTATAGATATGAAGTGTCAGAGGCAACAGAAACCATGATGAGAAATGAGGCTACATAGGAATGAAGGTGTCAGATCACAAACAGTCTTATATGCCATGCAAAGCAGGGTGCTTTTTATCCTATCAGCATTAAGGAGCCAAAAAATAATCTTAAGTACATGGCAATGGGATGACCGTATTTACATGTTAGAAAGATGACTTTGGTGTCATGCAGGGGACGCATGGTAGGGGACTTAGACTGGAGCCAGGAAGACCAGTTGGGAGCATTTGCAAAATTCTGAGCTAGGAAACTGAGAGCAGTGTTATGCAATGGTGATGGAGAGGGGGCAATTAACTTCAGAGATTTGGGAAGGTGAGGTCAACTAGACAATTTTTAATTATATGTGAGTGTAAGGAAGGGGAGCATTTGGGGTGGCTCTTGGTTTTCTGACTTGGGCAAAAGGCTATTGGTGGTTCTAGTCTCAGAGACAGGGAGATCAAGAAAGCAAGCAGCTGGGAAGAGTAAAATGTTTAGAAGTTTTGACATGCTAAGTCTGCGATGCCCATGTGAGGTCCACGTGAAAATGTTTAGCAGGTAGCTGGGTCTATGAGTATGGAACCCACGAGAGTAGTCTGGGATATGCCTGTCACTGAGAAGTCATTAGCATGTGGATGTGTGGATGGAGGTTAAAGCGTCTACATGACTGAGATGCCCATGGGAAATAATGTAGAGTGGTTAGAAAACAGAGCTTTCGGAAACACCAAGATTCGAGAGATGGATAGAGAAAGAGAAGTTCATGAAAGGAGGAGCAATCAGAGGAGAAGCAAGAGGATTTGAAACAATGGAGAGTGTCTGAAATGGAATTAGAAGAACATTTAAAGAAGGATATTGTAGGTAATAGGGTAAACATAGAACAAATAAGACGATTGAAAAACACCCTTATGTTTGGGAACTAGTAGGTCATGTGTGACTTGGTGAGAGCTGTGTTAGGACAGAGAAGGAGGAAACAAATCCAGTGAGCTGAAGGATCATTGAGAGATGAGAAAGAAGATGGCTTGCTGGGTGCAGTGGCTCACACCTTTAATCCCAGCACTTTGGGAACCCAAGGTGGGTGGTTACCTTGAGCTCAGGAGTTCAAGACCATGCTGGCCAACATGGTGAAACCCCGTCTCTACAAAAAATAAAAAATTAGCTGGGTATGTTGGCGTGCACCTGTAGTCTCAGCTACTCAGGAGGCTGAGGTGGGAGGATCACTTGAGCCCAGGAAGTTGAGTCTGTAGTGAGATTGTGCCACTGCACTCCAGCCTGTGCAACAGAGTGAGACCCTGTTTCAAAAGCAAGCAAACAAACAAACAAGATACCTTAAATGTAGGTTACACTTAAGAGAAATAAGGTAGTGTGAATGAAGAGAGAAAGAGAATATTATTTACAGGACATGGAAAGTTAATAGACTCTTAAGGTAGAAAACACTTGAGGGTGTTAATAGAATGAGAGAAAGAAGCCAATGGAGAAAGAGAAAAACATGCAAGACATATTGGGGTCAATCGTATTCAGGATGTTTTGGAAGAAATGGGCAAGACTGCATGGATTAATCTTGGATACAAGTGAAGGTACAATTTGTGTTAGAGACCTGGGGGAAAAGGCAAGACTGCAGGTAGGGTTGGGCACTAAGTGAGGACGTTTACATCTGATTGCCTCTATTTTTTTTTTTTTCAGTGAAATAGAAAACAAGATCATCTGTATCAGGAATGATGGCAGAAGACGCTTAAAATTCTGGCATTGCCACTGAGAAGAATGAAGGATGGAGCTGATTAGAAAATTGTAGGATTGCTGAGCACTGTGAGAGGTTTGTCTGAAACTGGCTCTTGACACTCCGTACCCTCCCCATGTGTAGGGGTCTGTGAGCAGACTAGTGGTATGCAGCCACTCTCATATGGGAGGGAAGCAGACCTTTTGTTGGCTTGGTCCATAAGTGCGGTTAGAAGTGGAATGATGGGAAGCACTGTTAGAGTTATTGGCATAAGAATGACCATGGTCAAATGGGCTGGGTTGGGAAGAAAATGGCACTAGGAGTGAGGTGGCAAATTTAAACAAAAGGGAGGGGTCTAGAGTGTGGAGATGATAATGAGGTGAGAGAATGGGCATAGAGAAAATGCTGGAAAGATAGGACATTGAGTCAGAGACCTCAGATTTTAAAAGGTCAGAGGTAGGACTATTTTGGGTGATGAAAAATCCAAGACATGCCGTGAGAGTGAGTTGGGAAGAATATAGACAGCGAAAAGCATTCAAATAATGGTCAAGGAACCAGAAAGTCTTAGTGTTCATTGGACATTGACCCCTTCTAGGATGGTTGCAGAGGTTGGCTTCGAAAGAACCCATGAGGCAGCAAGTGTGAGACGGAAGAACCCAAGAGCTCAGAGATAACACTTGTTTTAGGGATGAAGACTAACCCAACTCTCAAGGTAGAATTCTTGATAAACACGGTCTCCTAGGCAAAGAAGATGAAGGGCAGGGAGGGTCTGTTCCTCTTTGTTTTATTACCAAGTTATGCTAGGCCTGAACTGGTGGAACTCGGCTTGTTTTAACAGTGAAGCGGCAAAGTGAGTTATTTTCAGTATACAGAGAAGTGGAAACTTCGACAAGAAGAGTGTCAATGACTTGCCCAAAATGACACCATCAAAGTGCTGGCCTCAGTTTGTCACTTCATCTCCCTCTTCCTTCCCCTTGGCTGCTTTTCTTGCATGTAACCTATTACAGCAGAGCCCGATCAGCATGGGCCTCCCTGTTGCGTGCCCCCTGGAGCTTTGGCATTTAGATTTGATGCAGGGAGGTGGAGGGGAATTTTCCCATTTGGCAGAATGTGTGAAAATCAGGAGGGAATGTTATTCCTGCACAGCAACAAACAGTATCAAATCAGTACTTCTTTCTTTCATCGGACTCTGTTGCTATTTATGTAGATTTAACAGTTCCATAACAATACCTTTCGCTTGGAAAGGTCCTTCTCTTACCAAAAATGCAAAAAGAAACCTGCTATATTTTTCATTTCAGAAGTAGACACCACAGGGCCAGGCGCGGTGGTTCATGCCTGTAATCCCAGCACTTTGGGAGTCCAAGGTGGGTGGATCACGAGGTCAGGAGATCCAGACCATCCTGGCTAACAGAGTGAAACTCTGTCTCTACTAAAAATACAAAAAAAAAAAAAAAAAAAAAAGAAAAGAAAAAAAATTAGCTGGGCTTGGTGGCGGGTGCCTGTAGTCCCAGCTACTGGAGAGGCTGAGGCAGGAGAACGGCGTGAACCCGGGAGGCGGAGCTTGCACAGTGAGCCGAGATTGCACCACTGCAGTCCAGCCTGGGCGACAGAGCGAGACTCCATCTCAAAAAAAAAAAAAAAAAAAAAAAAAAGTAGACACCATTGATTCTTTTTCTACTTTTATCATTATTTTTAAAATAATGAACTACTTGTGCATTTACCTCCCACCAACCTGACTCCTACCTAGGTGTGAGGTCCTTAAAGATTGAAATTCTTCTGTGTCTTGATTGTAGAATCCTCTAAACTCTTCCAGTTCTTAGCACATGGCAAGTGTGTTTGTTGAATGAATAGGCGAAACTCTTTTTCCCACCACTCTAAAGTGGGTGCTTTGAGGCTTTTGCCTAACTGTGGCAGGGATGCTTCACACTAAGCCCTTGTCTCTTGCCCATGGCTCCCTGTGATAAATGCAACAGAGATGGTAGAAATAAAAAAGATCAGGGCCCAAGACACCCAGGTTTAATCTTGGCTTTACCACTAGCTATGTAGTGTCAAGTAAATCTTTCAATCTCTCTGAACCTTCATGTGCAAATGGAAAGAAATAATATGTCCTTTGGTTGGGAGGAAGATGAAATGTGATTATATGTGGCCTGGTAACTGATATATAGGAACGGATCAATTAAGGAGAGATTCCTTCTTGACCCGCATCCATATATTTATCCATCTACCCATGTCCCAGGGCATGTATCTCTGAGATGTTGAACTAATTAAAAAGTGTCTCCTGAAGCTGTGGAACAGCTTTCTGCTTGGTACAAAATTAACCTGCCATTGATTTTGTAAGTGGGACCTAGTACAAGCCATGTAGCTCAGATGCCCATGGGTGAGCTGAGGTGGAGGAGAGCAGGGCATCCATAAATCCTAGCCCATCCTGTCACTAGGCAGCAGGTTGTTTAAGAACACAGCGGTGAGAGCCTCTTTTCTGAAAGGGGTAGTGGTCGTGGTGACCAGGAACCTTGACTATCAAGAATGAGGACAGGAAAGACTTTTTTTTGAACACTCACCATGTTCCAGGTACTGCTCCAGTTGTTTTCTACTTGTGACATATTTTAATCATTCAATAAAACCCACTCAGGCTGGGAACGGTGGCTCATGCCTGTAATCCCAACACTTTGGGAGGCTGAGGTGGGGGGATCATTTGAGGCTAGGAGTTTGAGACCAGTTTGGCAAACATGCTGAAACCCCATCTCTACTAAAAATACAAAAATTAGCCAGATGTGGTGGCGCATGCCTGTAATCCCAGCTATTCCGGAGGCTGAGGCATGAGAATCGCTTGAACCTGGGAGGCGGAGCTTGCAGTGAGCCAAGATCACGCCACTGCACTCCAGCCTGGGCAACAGAGCAAGCCTCCATCTCAAACTCAAACAAAAACAAAAGCTCTTCAAGGATTTGAGAGGGCCGGAATTTCAGAGAAAAGAAATTATGGGTGTGCCAGCTTTAAAACTACCCCTGAGTCAAAAAATATATGAGTATAGATTGATTTGTTCAAAACTGCTTTATGCAAGAGAAATGAAAGAAGCTGGAGCCACTGTAGATGGATGGAAGGGTTCCAGGGCAGCCTCTGGACTAACAGTAGACTGTAAGCTGCACCAAAGCGGGGGTCCCATCTGTTTGACCCATCCTTGCACACCTATTAACAGACAATAGGCGCTGGATACAGGATTTGATGTTTGGAGCTACAGCGGCCGTTAGGAAAAGTGAGGAGAATTTCAGGAACCATGATACAGAGCCCTGACACATTTGAGCTGCTATTTGATAAATTAATTCAGCCTGGAACCACCTACCTTCAGATTTCTTGCCCTTGTTTTTAAAAGTCTTTTTTTCCCAATTTAAAAAAAAATGCACAGAAGCATCCTAACAGAGCTTATCACTCAGTGTGAGCCTGGGCTTCATTTCTGCCCCTTGGTTGGATTATCTGAATCATACTCCTTGATAGGGCAATGCCTTATGAGGCTGGTGGCAGTACCTATTTCTGAGGGCTAAACTATAAGATATGCTGGGACCCTTGGGTTGCTCTCCCCCACTGCTAAACAAACTCAAGCATTTCACATGAGCATTGGATTCCCAGCAGTGCAGGTGGCGGAGAATGGGCCTGGCAGTTTGGTGTTTGATTTGTCAGGGTGCCACATGGAGCCAGGTGCCAGGGCCGTGTCACACGATCCGAGCATCTTGCTGATCTGCCTGCTGCTGTGCCTCATGGCAGGCCAGGGTTTAAGAAGCATAGTTTGCATTCTTCCCTCTACTGGAGAGTTTTATGAAGAAAGACACTTGAACTGGTCCACTGGGCATTTTCCCCTTCTTTTTTCTGTGGGATCTGCTGTCTCTCCAACCTAAACTGGGGTTGGGGTAGGGGGAGGCCTGGGTGTGTTCTGAAACTTTATTAACCATTCATCAGGGGAGAATGTAATTTGGATGCATATATGCTTAGGTGAGACACTCAGGAGTATTTGTGACTCTGGTGTGTATACATCTGTATTTCATGGAGCTGCAGAAACCCAACATCTATTCCTCAAACACAGTATCCTGACATGGGGCTGGCTGCCTGGGAAGGGCCATTCCATCCAGTAGCTACTGGATCTCCCCTTTATTTTCTCTGTGGTGACCCAAAGTAGTTGGCATAAAGTGATTAGATAGGAAGACCTGAGAGGTGTCTAAGCAACGGCTCCTAGGAGAAGCAATTGTCCTGTTAATATTGGACAAATGAGAGCTGCATTTTCAATTCATTCTCTCAGAAGAAAGAAACTCTCCCTGCTCAGGCTTTGTCATTGCCCAGTGGGCTGAAGGTCATTGGGTTCCACAGAGAGTAGCAGGTGGTATGCAGGTAGCAGAGACAGGGAGATACAGCACCCGCAGGTGCACCCTGGCTTGGATGAGCACATTGGAGGGAAGCAAAGCAGCAAAGTCTTCCCCAGGAATCACCTGTAAAACTTAAGGCATAAGCATAGTGCCCAGGAGCAAAAGCCCATCTGCACTGAACCAGTACCAAGACAAGTGGCTTCACTTCTTTGATTATCAAATTTCACAAGCTTTTTGGGGGAGAAGAAGCAGGGCATCATCTTTGGAACCTTCAATATCTCCTCCACGCCTCATTGACATGAAGTTGTACAGTGAGTCTGGAATTCTCAATTGAACTTTGGGTCCAGCCAACTGTAATCAACCTTCTTGTCTTGATAGAATTCCAAGATTCAGTTCCCCCTTGGTTACTACTGGATTTGGATATCTTCATCATGTCCACCACCCAAGTCTTTTTTATTTTTTAGGTTTTTATTTTGAAACAACTTCAAACTTCCATAAAAATCGCAAATATGGTACAAGGAAATTTTTTCATGAGCCATTTGAGAGTGAGTGGCCCATGTGATACTGCATCCCTGCAAAAACATTCCTGTGTAATTCTACAAATGGCATAGCTTTCTACAAGGCAACATAGCTCCATCCTACATGTCTATAATGCAGCCATCACAACCTGGAAATTAACGTTGATAACTTATTGCCACTTAATATTCAGAGCTCAATCACCTTCACCCATTGTTCCAATAATGTCTTTTGTAGCAAAAAGATCCAGTTGTCGTTTATTCATCATGTTTGATTTGAATCATAACAGTTTCTCAGTCTTTCCTTGACTTTCATGGCATTGACAGTTTTAAAGGCTGTAGGCCAACTATTCTTAGGATATCTCTCAATTTCAGTTTGTCTGATGATCCCTAATTATTAGATTTAGGGGATGCATCTTTGGCAGGGATGTTACATGATGCTGTGTCCTTGTTAGATTCTGGCACATGGTACACAGGTGGGCCTGTCTGAGTCCTCCATCATAAAGTTATCCCTTTCCCCTGTGTCATTAGTAAACGTTTTTCTTTTGGTGGAGAAGTATTTTGAGACTATGAAAATGTTCTGTTTCTCATAAAATTTTCAATTAATTTACATCAATATGTGGACTTGAAGATTCCTATTTTCTTCATTACCCATATGCCATTACTTCATTATTAATTTTGTTGCTCAGATTATCCCAGATTTGACAAGCAGAACCTCCTCTGAGCTGACTTTTGTGCCTTTTTTGACGTGTCCTCATCATTTCTTTCTTTTTTTTTTTTTTTTGAGATGGAGTCTTGCTCTGTCGCCCAGGCTGGAGTGCAATGGCGCGATCTCAGCTCACCGCAACCTCTGCCTCCCTGGCTCAAGTGATTCTCCTGCCTCTGCCTCCCGAGCAGCTGGGATTACAGGCATGTGCCACCATGCCTGGCTAATTTTGTATTTTTAGTAGAGACAGGGTTTCTCCATGTTGGTCAGGCTGGTCTCAAACTCCCAACCTCAGGGGATCTGCCCACCTCGGCCTCCCAAAGTGTTGGGATTACAGGTGTAAGCCACGGCACCCAGCCTGTCCTTGTCATTTCTGAGCAACTCCTTGATTTATGGAACAATGATCCAGGTTCATCCTGTACTTTCCCTGCCCCAGCCCGGAAATCAGCCATTTCTCCAAGGAGCCTTGGTTCCGTTTAGTGGAGAATAATACATAGGAAACACATCTGGGAACTAAGTGTGCTCGTTTGCTGTTGGGATGTTGCCGCTCCCAGGCCCTCTCTGCAGAATCGTGGGCATAGACCTATGTGGAAGTGTATGCCACACACACACACACACACACACACACACACGAACATACACATACTGACATTTACATCTATATTTATTTCTGTATTTATCTATGTGTATTGAAAAGCTCACATTTACATTATCTTCATTTTCAGTCCAGCACCTGGGTTTCATTCTCATTTTCTCCCTTCCTACAGGTGGTACTCCTTTCCCCACAGTGAGGAATTTGTCTTTTGTTATCTTTAGTCCATTTACTTATTTAGTTAATCCCCCTGCAGATAACCCAGTCCCTCATCACTGTGGTCACCTTCTGCTCCACTCGGATGCCTCTTCATCCTGCACAGGCTCCAGTACCCATGCTGGGCCCTTCCCCAAGTGTAAACACCTTCCTCACCCTTTGAGCCTGACACCCGACCTTGGGTCACTGTGGCTCATCCCTGCCTTCCAGTGTGGACAGCTACACTAATGGCTTTCGACCTGATGTGTTCCAGAAAGGAAGAGGAAGAAGGAAAGAAAAGGATGGAGAAAACTATACGTGGTCTTTGCAGTGAGAATTTAGTGCCCAGAGTATAGGAAACCATGTAGGCAGTTTGGTCTATTCAATCTATTTTAATGAGGCATATTTTTGTTGGACTGAGCTATATTGCATTAAGATCACTTGTAGTTTCTCTCCGTCTTCTCTTCGCTTCCCTCCCCAAATGACACTGTGATTGCCTGAGGTTCCTCTACCCAAAAGCCAGGACTTGCTCCTTACTTTAACTCACTGTCCACTCAGATTAGGGTTTGGAGAGTCTCCTTTGGTGACTGGAAGGGGAAGACAAATCCCTAGCGGCAGCTTCTGTGCCTCCCCCGACTCCTTTTTGGCAGAGTCTCCCTGTGCCTTCCACTCCTCTATGGCCACTTTCACAGGCTGAGTTTCCAGCTCTTTGCCCACCCTTTCCCCTTTGGAAGCCCCATTCTGTTTGGGAACAAAATGCCTGGGAGTCATGAGAAGCAGGATGGGGAAAGCCAAGGCCACCCCTGATCCTGGCCTGGCTTGTTTAATGCTGTGGGGCCACATTCCTTCTACTCCCTAGGCCCAACCTCATTCTCCTGAGGTTGGGAAAAAGAATAGGGCCCACTGCCTGGTCACTGAGAACAGGCCCTCTGATGCCCCTGGAGGATTTGGGATTAGCTCGCAAAGGCAAAGGGCCATCTGACTCTGCCACCAGAGCTATTTCTACCCCGTGACACCACTCGCCACAGCCTCCCAATCACTCTCAGGCGTGGCCACCGTCTCTTTTCCCTGACCCTGTGTCAAGGTCTGTTGTCCATTCTGCTGTTTGGTCCACTGGGGGAAGGAGACAGAGATGTCAGCATGGACTGATGAGTAGGCAGGAAGGCCCAGAAACAGGGAGCTGTGGTGCCAAAGAAAACCACCCATTTCACCCCAAAGGATGTAGGGACAAAGGCCAGCTCTGCATGTCAGGTTTGGGTTTTATGTGTCTCCATAGGTCCTGTTTGGCTGGAACTTTACATGACAGATGGGGACAGCTAGTTTTCTTCTCTGAGTCATGGGAGAGAAAGAACACGGCTCCTTGGGGACTTCTAAATGCCGGAGACAGAGAACTCAAAGATGGCTTTCAGAGACATGCGGGATATTGGCGTATTGGTGTTTCCACCTCGGCTCCATTACGTCCCTTCCCTGCTCTAAGATTCTTGAATGATGTGAATCCTTCCCTAGAGAATGCAGTGGCCTGGTCATAACTTGTTAAATGCCGTAATTAAAATAGTTCTCTTATTAACTTGGTGATAACGCTTTTTTCCCTCCTCCTCTGAAATTACATGTTAGCATTTTGTTAATTAAATTTCCAGTTCCAACAGAACTGCCATGTGGTTTTCACGGGGCCCTCTTCCTGGGGGGGTGGGGCGGGAAGGTGGATGAGCAGGTCAGACTGGTTCTCATCTTTTCTGGGGCCAAACGCCTCTTCTGCAAGAAGAAGATGGAGAGAAGAAAACAGAACCACTCTACACCTATACAAGGTAGCCAGATTTAGCAAATAAAAGTAAAAGACACTCAGTTAAATTTGAATTTCAGATAAACAACCAATAATTTTTTTAGGTTTAATATGTCCCAAAGATTGCATGGGCCATACTTATGCCAAAACCATATCAATTATTTCTCTTATAGTAAGACTCAGGCATCCTGTATTTTCTCTGGCAATGCCACATCTACATCTAAACCTTGACTCACAGCTCAAGAGAAGAAAAGAGAAGAAAGGTTTTCTACTCCAGAGAAGAAAGTGTATAATGATTCTTTAATTATTGAATTAGCATCAGGGGTGGTTTTTATTCCTTTAGTCAGCTCCTTATTCTCATACTCTCAAAATATTTTACAGTTATGTGTTTTATTAATACTGGTATGATGATCAGTGTGGATCTATTGCTCTCTTAATCATTTAAATCGTATCTAGGATGTACCAGGTACTGTACAAGAGGCTGGAGTTACAAAAGTTAATAAGACAGACTTTCATTTACAAAGCCAGATGGTGGCATTGTAAATAAAACTTTATTGAAACACAGCCACACCCATGTATTTCCTGTTTATGGCTGCTTTCACCTCCAGTGCTGAGTTGAATAGTTGTGACACAGACTGTGTACCCTGAAAACCTAAAATGTTTACTTGCTGGCCCTTAACAGAAAGTTTGCTAACTTGACCTAGAAGAAGAGGTAGTCAAATATGCTAAGAGAGATGTAAGCAAAGTGTGTGAGAACCACAAAGGGTACTCAACTCTTCTGTGCCACTGTGAATGTATCAGAGCTGACATTGGAGCTGAATTTTAAAGGAGTCATCAGCAGGTGGGAAGGGGAGAGGGACTCAAATCCGAAGGGGAAGAAACAGCATCTGCAGAAGCACAAAAGGTACTTTGGGGCTACGTCCTGGGGATGTGGAGGGTGTGCGGGTGAAGGGTGGGAAAATACCTCCTTTCAAGTTCTTAGTATGTCAAATGTTTACACATATTCAGTTCTATAATGTACACAGCAGATCTTGAAGTTGAAATTCGAATCCATATTTTATACAGGAGTCACTGAAGGCTCAGAGAGTTGAATTTAATTGTCCAAAGTCTCAAAGAAGGAAGGAGAAGGGTCATGATACTAACTCAGAGTGGACCTGTCTAGAGCCATCATTCCCAGCAACCTCTATGCCAGCAGTCCCCAACCTTTTTGGTGCCAGGAACCGGTTTTGTGGAAGACAGTTTTTCCATGGACCCAGTATGGGCAGGGTGTGAGGTGTGGGATGGTTTCTGGATGAAACTGTTCTACCTCAGATCACCAGGCATTAGATTCTTATAAGGAGCACACAAGCTAGATCCCTCACATGTGCAGTACACAATAGGATTCATGTTCCTATGAGAATCTAATGCCACCACTGATCTGACAGGAGGTGGAGGTCAGGGAGCAATGCTCGCTTGCCCGCTACTCACCTCCTGCTGTGGGACCTGGTTCATAACATGGTATTGGTCCATGGCCTGGGGGCTGGCGACTTCTGCTCTATGCTGCATTGCATGATGCACATGCCCATTGTGACCAACCAACCAAGGGTTCCTGGAGGACAGGGAGCATCTCTCACTCTACAGCAGTGCCTCACAACTGGGGATGAATTTGCCCTCTGAGGGACATTGGGCAATGTCTAGAGATATTTGGGTTGTCACATTTTTGAAGGGAGGTGCTACTGGCATCTCGTGGTTAGGGGCCAGGGTTACTGTTAAATATCTTAGAATGCACAGGATGGCCCCATAACATGGAATGATCCACCCAAAATGTCAATCATGCCGTGATTGAGAACCTTGCTCTACATCCCTATGCCCAACACAGGCAAATAAAGGGGCACTTGGTAAACATTTGTTGAACTGGAAAAAAGAAAAGTGTGTTTAGGGAATGGAGAAAAGTTTGGAGTCATTGGTGAGAAGGGTGTAATGGTAGAAGATGGTGCAAGAATATAAATTAGAATTGAATTGCAGGCATGCAAGGTTTGACATACAGGAGTTTTAATTTATTCTAAAGGAGGGACATTTTACTTTAGAAGAGTGACATCATTAGGTGTGCATTGGAGGGTTACACTGACTGTATAATAAAGAGATTTGAGTAGGGAGAACTATCAGGTGGCCTCAACTAAGGCAACAGCAGTGGAAAGACAGAGGCAGAAACCATTTTGCAAGAAGTTAGAAGGTAGATTTAGCAGGAGTTGGATGTGTGAAGCAAGAGGGAGAGTCACCAAGGTACTTGTTTGAACAATTACGACACTGATTGAGGTAAGGGATATAGGAGGGGGTAGACCAGGTGTGCATGCATAGGTGGAGGTGGGAGGGATGATGATGTTGGATTTGCTCATTTGGAGGTGGCTACAGAATTCCCTGTTCCCATGCGGCAATTTTCAGTAGGCCGCTGGAAATTTGAATCTGAAAACTGGAAAATAAGATTGATATGAAAGTATTGATTAATGCATCTATATTTTTCCCACTGATGTATATCCTTCCTTACATAGTTTTGCCTGTTCTCCTTGCCAGACCATAAGTCCCCATTGTCAGAGATGGTGTAGAGGCGATGAGCTCAGACAGGATGGGGTTTGAATTCTGGCTCTACTGTGTTCTAGCCATGTAATACCAGGATGTTATTTTGGTTTTCTGAGCCATAAAATTTCCTTATCTCTAAAATGGGTGTAATATTAGCTACCTTAGGGGCTCTTATGAAGATTAGATGCAATTTTCATTGTAAAGCATGTAGGATGTTTTCTGTAAAGGTAGCAATTTATTTTATTTTTTTATTTTTACTTTTGGTGGGTATATAGTATATACGGTAGGTGTATTTATTTATGGGGTATCTGAGATGTTTTGATACAGGCATGCAATGTGAAATAAGCACATAATGAAGAATGGAGTATCCATCCCCTCAAGCGTTTATCCATTGAGTTGCAAACAATCCAATTACACTCTTTAAGTTATTTTAAAATGTACAGTTGTTTACTGTACTTACTCAATTGTTTCTTTAATATTTTACTCTCTAATCCCAGTGTGCACATGTGCATGAGCACATACGTGCATGCACACACATGCACACACATGCGCACATGCATACACACGCGCACACACGCACACACACATGCATACACAGCCTAGTACAGGATTCTGTGAAGCTTGATGTTGTCTCTAGAGGCCAACTGTCTTTCCCCATTAAACTAAAATGAAAAAACTCATTGTGAAAACTCATTAAGCTTTACACGTATGTTTTATGCATTCTTTTTCTGTATGAATGTTGTTTTAATACAAAGCTGAAAGATGAAGAAACTGAGGCATGAGCAAGATGAAGGAAGGAAATTACTAATCACATTGTCCCCATGTCCAAATATAACAGAACGTCATCAAAACTCTCCTTCAAAGATTGGCCCAATCCTAGCTGCTTCTCAACACTCTTTTTCTTTAGGAAAACTTGTCTTGGCTTAGTGTTTCTGTCTCTATTGGAACAACAGGACTAGAAACCAAGTTATGGACTGTCAGGACCTCTCTTGGATAATGGAATTTCCTTGATGTATCAAAATATTATTATTATTAGTTTGTTTCTTAGGGGGTGATGGGCTGGTCATTGAGAGGTGAGATGGTCAATTCAGTTTTGGATGCTGGCTGGACGGATAGACTCATTGTCATTTAAAATGAACTTGTGATGGACTGGGAGAAATATATATGCAACATACGTGATAAAAGACTTGTATCCAGAATACATAAAGGATTCTTACAGTTCAGTGAGAAGGCAAACAACTCAATGAAGAATAGCAAAATATTCACCAAAGAAAATATACCAATGGTAAATAAGCACATGAAAAAAACCCTCCAAACCATTAGCCATTGATCAGGAAGGAAACACAACTTACATCCCTGAGATACCACACCCACTATAAGGGCTAATATTAAAAAAAGGAAAATCCTAGGCCGGGCACTATGGCTCATGCTTGTAATCCCAGCACTTTGGGAGGTTGAGTTGGGCGGATCACGAGGTCAGGAGTTCGAGACCAGCCTGGCCAACATGGTGAAACCCCATCTCTACGAAAAATACAAAAATTAACTGGGCGTGGTGGTGTGTGCCTCTAATCCCAGCTACTCGGGAGGCTGAGGTAGGAGAATCGCTTGACCCCGGGCGGCAGAGGTTGCAGTGAGCCGAGATTGTGCCACTGCACTCCAGCCTGGGCGACAGAGCGAGACTCCATCTCAAAAAAAATGAGAAATCCTGATAACATCAAGTGTTGGCAAAGATGTAAAGCAATTGAAACTCTCATACGTTGCTGGTGGGAATGCAAAATGGCAAAGCCACTTTAAAAAACAGCTTAGCTGTTTCTTATAACATTAAACATACACTTCCCATACCACTCAGTAATCCCAGTTCTTGATATTTACTCAAGAGAATGAAAACATGTTCACATAAAGACTTGTACTCAAATATTCATAGCAGCTTTATTCCCCAAATTGGAAACAACCCAAATGTACATTAGCTTGTGGTATAACTGACCATGCAAGGAAAAACTACTCAGTAATAAAAAGAAACAGACTTCTGGTACACATAATGACATAGATGACTCTCCAAAGCTCTTTATGCTAAATAAATAAGCCTGACCCAAAGGACGACATACTGCACGCTTCCATTTAGACAAAATTCTAGAAAAGGCAAAGCTATAGAGTCAGAAATCAGCTCAGTGGTTGCCAGAGACAGGCTGAGGGATGTGGATTGACTGTAAAGGGCACAAGAGAACTTTCTGGAGCAATGAAAAAGTTCCCTATCATGAGTGTGGTGTTGGTTTTGCAACACAGCTGTCAAACTCATCTAGTTGTAAATTTATAACAGAAGGCTTTGACCGTATGTAAATTATACCTCAATAAAGCTAATTTTAAAAAACAACGCATGACAGTGACAACCTCCTGCCTCAGGACACGTCATTCTTGTTACCTGGAATGCCTTCCCCTTCTTGCACCTTTTGAGCCTGGCTCCCAATCCTAAATTTCCAAATCATTCTTTTTCTACTTCCTTGGAATTGTAAAATTTCATTACTATAAAATTTTTGGTCCATGTTAACATGTTGCTTTTTATAATTTTGCTGGTTTCATCAGCGCATATCTGACATTAAACCAATCCATTGATGATTATACCACTATCCTTAATTATTATTATTGATGGAAATAAATATCTTCAGTGCACACACTATAAGACATGACTCATGGCTGGGCACGTTGGCTCACACCTGTAATTCCAGCACTTTGGGAAGCTGAGGCAAGCGGATGGCTTGAGTTCAGGAGTTTAACACCAGCCTGGGCTGTAACATGGCAAAACCCCATCTCTACAAAAAATTAAAAATTTAGCCAGACATGGTGGCATGCACCTGTAGTGCCAGCTACAAGGGAGGCTGAGAGGTGGGAGGATTGCTTGAGCCCAGGAGATCGAGGCTGCAGTGAGCCAAGATCATGTCACTGCACTCCAGCCTGGGCAACAGCGAAAGACCCTGTCACAAATAAAGACACGACCCAGAGTGGCATGGGTGCCACTATGGGGTATGGGGACTGTAGCATGGACTACCTTCAATTCCCTTCCCAGTGGCTGTCCTGGCCCATTTTGTACTCTAACCCAGAAAGTTTTACAGCACACCAAGGTACAGGGGTTGTGGCTTAGAGCATAAGCCAGTCACCTAGCTGGCTTAACTGTGGGTTAACTTCTTTCCCATCTGTAAAATGGGCATGATATTAGTACCTAGGGTGGTCAGGATTTAAATCAATTCCTATGTTCCAACTGCTTTAAAAAATGCCTGGAACAGAGAGGGCTCTATGTAAATGTTTTATTCAAATAATTTTAAAAAATATATTATTTCTAACATTGGAATGCAAATTCATATTTAGCTGTTCACTTTTTTTTACTCTGATATGAACTTATTTAAGAGTAAGGACTCCTTAAACAGTCCCTGTGTAAACCTGGTGTGCTCTTCTAGCTTAGCTCCAATGGCATGGTCTGAAACTCTTGGTTGAAGTATTGCCCTTCCTTGTAGATTTCTCCAGGGCAGGGTCTTTGTCCTAGTTATTTGCGTCCCCAGTACCCAGCACAGTTCTTTGATTACAAATAGTACCTTGGTAGTGAGGGTTCCAACTGAGGTTCGGTGACATGCTGAGGTTAAACAGCTTTTAAGGGGCGAACTGAGGCCTCTTGAATACCAGTCCAGAAGTCTTGGGAGGGTGGACTTTCTCTGATTATTTTAATCAGCAGAGAATTCAGAAAAACAAGTCAGTTATCAGTTTTGAAACACATGTACTCAACTCTGAAGATAAATTCATGGTTACATATGTTTCCTTGAGCTGTGAAGTTGAGTTCACACTCCTGAAGTCTATTGCAACTGGACTGTGATGGGAAGTGGCAGGTCTGAGATATCAAACTCCTGCAAGTGTAGTCAAGAGTTAATCAGGTCTCACCTTGGCCTTGGCTTGACTGTCTTCAAGGCTGGCCTTTGGGACTCTGGACACGTGGAGCCCACTCTAAGCTTTGTTCCTGACTGACTCATCTTGGAAGACATATGTTCCACCCAGCAGGTCCACTTCCTTTGGTTGGTACCATGTCCCTGCTGTAACACAGGGATGAGCCTGCTTTGCATGGTTTGCTTCATCTCATGCAAACTTAGATGAGTTTGACCACTGTATTGCAAATCCAACACCACACTCATAATAGGGAACTCTTCCATCACTCCGGAAAGTTCTTGTGTGCCCTTTGCAGTCAATCCACATCCCCTAGCCTGTCCCTGGAAACCACTGAGCTGCTTTCTATCTCTATAGCTTTGCCTTTTCTAGAATTTTGTCTAAATCTTCTCAGCCCAAGATACCTACCCACCTACTTCTGGACTCCCCTAGTTACTAACCATTGATGTGGCCTCCTGAACAGATGCTTCCTGTATCAACCTGACTAAAGCAATCGACAAAGGAAATCTGCTGAAACAACTTACGGATTTCAAAGTCAAACTGGAGTTACTTTTTAATTCACCCTTTAACACTCTATATTCTCCTTGATATGATGATAGTATAATCCAGAAAAGGGCAGAGTAGGTTACCTTGGTGTGATGGTATATTAGTCTGTTCTCATGCTGCTGATAAAGACATACCCGAGACTGGGCAATTTACAAAAGAAAGAGGTTTATTGGACTTACAGTTCCACATGGCTGGGGAGGCCTTGGAATCATGGCAGAAGGCAAGGAGGAGCAAGTCACATCTTACGTGGGTGGCAGCAGGCAAAGAGAGAGCTTGTGCAGAGAAACTCCCATTTTTAAAAACCATCAGATCTCGTGAGGCCCATTCACTAACAGCACAGGAAAGACCCGCCACCATGGGTCATCTCCTATCAGGTCTCTCCCACAACACGTGGGAATTATGGGAGCTAGACGATGAGATTTGGGTGGGGACACAGAACCAAACAATGAGGCTGAGATTTGGGTGGGGACACAGAGAAAAACCATATCAGATGGTTAATATTAGGTGTCAGCTTGATTGGATTGAAGGATGCCTAGTTGGCTGGTGAAGTATTGTTTCTGAATGTGTCTGTAAGGGTGTTGCTAGAAGAGACTGACAGTTGAGTTGGACTGAGAGAGGAAGACTGACCCTCAATACGGGTGGGCGCCATCCAATCGGCTGCCAGTGCAGCTAGGATGAAGCAGGTGGAAGAGGGTAGGATAACCTTGCTTGCTGAATCTTCTGGCTTTCATCTTTCTCCCATGCTGGATGGTCCTCCTGCCCTTGGACCTCAGACTCCAGGTTCTTTGGTTTTTGGACTCTAGGACTTGCACCAGTGGCTTGCCAGGGGCTCTTGGCCCTTCCATCACAGTCTGAAGTCTGCACTGTCAGCTTCCCTGGTTTTGAAGGTTTCCAACTTGGACTGAGCCACTACTGGCTTTTCTCTTCCCCAGCTTTCATATGGCCTATCATGGGACTTTACCTTGTGATCATGTGGGCCAATTCTCCCTAATAAACTCCCTTTTATATAGACATAGATCCTATTAGTTCTGTCCCTCTGGAGAACCCTGACTAATACATTTGGTTTAAATCAACAAATGTTTATGGAGTACCTATCATGGGCCAAGTGCTGTACTTGTTTTTCCCTCAAGATTCTCAAGAAGTGACAGCAGCATCTGTCTTATCCCTGGTACTTAAATAAGACATCTCCCGTTGTCCTGGGAAGATCAAGCCATTGAGCATTTATGTGTCTCTGCCCTAGAGAGTTCCTAAGGCCAATCTTGAATTCTCCCCTCTCCTAGACTTTCAGAAGGATCAGTTTAGGAGGCAGGGCACTGCAGAGCTATAGGCCTCCTACCTGGACACCCTGTGTTGTCTGTTCAAGCAAGGAGGCTCCCCTCTAAGCCTGCAGGCTCCTTGCTGTCTGACCCCAGCCATCTACCCTTGCTTCAAATTACAAGTAGGACTAGAAGCCAAGAGCCAGCCCAATGCATCACGGTTCTCACTAAGGAGACAAACCAAGCTGCCAGCCAGCAGGGCTTGGCTACAAAAGCTCAGGATGCAGCAAGCTTATCCAGAGAAGGTGATTTTGTTTCTAAATGCAGCTTCTCTCTCTGCAGAACCTACACATTTCTTCCAATTGCTTTTCTGTTTAAAGATGAGCAGTCTTGTTGGGGGTGCCATCGGGCTGTGTGTGTGTGTGTGTGTGTGTGATGGGGCATGCAATTGCATAGTAATTTAACTGACTTCATTTAAGATAAGGGCATGCCATTGGTTCAGTCCCCGTTAGGTTCTAATTAACCTGGCTCTATTCTGGAGCCACAGAAGACACTGCTGATCCAAGAAGACGCTCTTACAAATGAACCTTCATGGTCCAAAATCTTCATGGTCCACGGGGAGGCAGGATGTATAAGAGGTGCATTTGCAACCTTTACTCAAAAAATACGTGAACAGCTTCCCTCCTCACCCTGCCCCCACCATCCTCCCACACAAAGGACACACACTCGGCTTATAATTTGGTTTGTCAGCTACTTGATAAAAATTCTAGTAATGGGCAGCGGAGTGACTCCTTGGAGAGGGCCCTGCTAGTTCTTAATCTCAGCAGAGGTGGATAGATCTGGGGACCTGGGAGAAGCTAGGCTCTTGGAGATGCAGCCTTTGCTATTGGTTATTTTGTTGATGTGGATATACTTTGGAATCCGGAAACTCTGAAAGGAAAGAGTTGTTGATTCCCTGATATTGCATTCATTCATTCATCACACATCCATTGAGCCCCTCCTGGTCGGGACAGGCACAGTGCTTCCCGTGAGAAGTATGTTAGTTTCATAGGCAACCCTGGGAGGGTCCACGGTCATTTCTGTAGAAAAGCCTTGGACTGGGAATCAAGAGACTGAATCTGTCCTGAGTCTTTTGCTCATTTGTTGGGTGACCTTGCGCAAGTCACTTCCCATCCCCGGGATTTCAGGTTCTCGCCTGAGCTTCCCTCCAGCTCTGACGCTCTGCATTTCAGCTTCATAAAGCAGGGAGGACCCAGAAGCATGTGCCCGGACAAGCCTCCCTCTTCCCTCTGCTCCTGGCTAACTCAGAGGGCCAGGCTGGGTGTGGCTAGCTCTTACTTTCCCCTCAGGCTTCTCCTCAAGGTTTTCCCTCTTCTTTATCCTCGCTCCCCACAAAAGTAAGGGAGAGATGAACAGAGGAATATGGATACAGAGAGAAGAATAACCAAAAACCAAAAAAAAATCCTCAAGATTTCCTGTAGCCAGCAAGGAATATCAGGTTTCAACCTGAACAAAAACGTGCTGTTGCACTGCCTGGCTATTGCCTGACTTTGGAACCCAAATGGGTGTTCTCTGTCAAGTCAGAGATTGTGGTTCAGAGTGAAGACTGACTTATATACACATTGCCATGGCAACGTTTAGGTAAACTGGCTCAGAGGCCTGAGGATGGATATTATGGGATCGCTTCCTTTCTTCTTTTTTTTTCTTTCCTCTCAACACTAGCCTAAGGTAAAGAACAGCTGAGCTGGGTTAAGTGATTCCTTTTTGGAGATTTCTTACCTTTGTACATATTTGGCTCTGAATTCATCAGTGAAAACTCAGGGAGGTGTCAGCTGAAGGCATGCTGGGGTCCTTGAGTTTTATTGATAACTACATGATGTCATTGATAATTCATGTTGAATGTGACTGATTATGTTGCTAAGGGGAGAAGGGAGCTACGTGTGTGTGTGTGTGTGTGTGTGTGTGTGTGTGTGTGTGTAAACTGGATGGGGGATGCTGGTTGTGACTTTAACTTGAATGTCTACCTTCTCCATTCAGATTTCATCTGCCCGTCCCAGATTCTCTTGATAATTGTCGTATCCAGTGACACCCAAGTTTTCTTTTGTTTGCTTGCCTGAATTTGAATCATTGTCTACCTAGTGCCTGATAGTCACACACCAAGTAGGGCCTTGAAAAACTAAAATAAGCTTCCTCCAGGGAGACCCAGAGCAGATGCAGAAGACATCCTTGCCTCTTATCTCCTCTGGGGGTTGATGCTGGAGACCTTCAAAAGCCTATATAGAGAGCAATGGAGGTCTTGGATTCTCCTGGCTATTTTATTGTATTGCTTTTCTAACTTGGACTTCTAGGCTGCACACTTGAGGCATCAAACTTACCTACATGCAGAAAGATTGGCCCAGTGAATACCCATACAGGGATTTCTGGAGCTCTCCTAAAGAAGGACAGGCAGCCTTTAAGCAGGATCAGAATCTCACTTGTCAGAGTTCTGTGAGCCACACCAAGATGGGAATTAGGAAGGGAATCCAGAAGGTAACGCTGGTGGAATCTGATGGAGTCAGTTCTCCACTAGTCAAGTTCTCCACTCTGCACTTCTTCACAGTCTCTCTGGACTAGTAATACGTTTGTGAAATATAAACTTTTTTTTTTTTTTTTTTTTCAGACAGGGTCTCGCTCTGTCACCTAGGCTGGAGTGCAGTGGCATGATCTTGGCTCACTGCAACTTCAACTTCCCAGGCTCAAGGGATCCTCCTACCTCAACCTCTTGAGTTCCTGGGACCACAGGCATGCACCACCATGCTCTGCTAATTTTTTGTATTTTTGGTAGAGATGGGGTTTTGCCATGTTGCCCAGGTTGGTCTAGAACTGAGCTCAAGAGATCTGCCTGCCTTGGCCTCCTGAAGTGCTAGGATTAGAGGCATGAGCCACCACGCCCGGCCTGAAATATAAACTTAATTCTCTTATTGAGTATAATCAAGACAGGGTATTCTTTTCCAAAGATAAAACGCCAGAAAAGTTACAACTTCTGTAGATGTGTGTCTTACATTTACAATAGACAGGTGCCAGAAATCCATGTGTATAGGAAAAGTTTGAAGTTGGTGAATTTTAATTATATTTGGTGAAATTGTCAAAGGAAATTCTTGATGATTTCTCTGTAAAGTGCTCTATTTCTTCAAATGTTTCTGTTACTGAGATTTTTCTGCCTTTGGTTGGCTTGGAATTGAGTGTCCCCATAGCTTAGAACAAACAAAAAGTGAACTGGGCCTAGGGAAAAATCTGAGTAAGCAAAAAAGATCTTTGGCCTCAATCTCTTCTTTTGAGATTTACTTAGCATATTTGGGATATGTGGATACCCTTTCTCCTGGTCTTTAAAATTGCTTAGGTCATATTTTTTCTTTAGAAATAAAATGCTTTTGTCAGGAATTCTTCATTTTTCTTTCTTTTTTTTTTTTTTGGAGACAGCATCTTGAGGGCAGTGCCACCATCGGAGCTCACTGCAGCCTTGAACTCCCAGGCTCAAGCAATCCTTCCCACCTCAGCCTCCTGAGTAGCTGAGACGACAGGAGTGCGCCACTATGCCTGACTATTTATTTATTTATTTTTATAGAGATGGAGTCTCACTATTTTGCCCAGGCTGTTCTTGAACTCCTGGGCTCAAGTGATCTTCCCACCTCGGCCTCCCAAAGTGCTGGGATTATAGGCATGAGCCACCACGCCTGGCCTATTTTTCATATTTTGGAAGCATCTATGGCGCAGAGACAGCTAAGAAACAAAGAGTTTCTATAATTACCTTTAAAAAGCATTTTGACCCCTATTTTTTGAGACACTCGACTTCTTTGCCAGCTCTGATAATAAACCCCGTTTTTGACATTCAGGGAGCAACTCAACAGGAAGAGGAAGCAGGAACTAACCAGAAGAAGACTGTGGGGATACTGAATGCAGAGGGAATAAATCCATTGTAGGTGGCCCAGGACCTTCTGACTCCAGGTTTGAGTCAACATGGAACTCCCAGGATGCTCCTCACTTAAGGAACTAGTGGCACTTGTTCTTTTGTGGGGAGAGGGGATAAAGAAGAGGGAAAACCTTCTCCTCTGGTCCTTCCTAGGCTCTAACCGATTTTAATATAACTCCATTCCTGGCACTATGGTCCTGGAAGCCAAAAGTGAACTCTTTTCTACTTTGATCCTTAGGGAAATTGGAGCAAATCAAGTTGCTTATTTAAAAAAAAAAATGTCAAGGGTGAGATTCCCTAGGGTGCGGTGTGAGGATTGTACTGGAAAAGGAGGAACACAGTCCAAGCAAACACTGCTGAGAAAGTCTTCCAGCTGGTTGGGTTCCTAATAGTTTCTCTGGGCAAAGGGGAGATCCACTGTCAGATAAAAAGCAACTCATCACCCTCTGAGCAGCAGCTGGGCAAACGGCCAGGCTGGGGAGAACAATGATTTCCTCGCTCTTAAATTTGATGATTAGTTCATATTTATTGGAAGCCTGTGATGCATTTAGCCTTGCAGCCAACGTGCAGAAGGAGGCAGCCCGATGGGATTCATTTTTTCCTATTCAGTTTTTCCAGTTTTCATCAACTGAGTCAGCATCTCCCTAGTTAAGAGGTGTTGAGCTGAATCTCATCTGATCCGCCTATAGCTACTAAAATGGCTCTTAATGCCTTCCCTCTGATTCAAGCCCCCAGATCAAACTGGCCTATGCATATCCACCCTCCCCAACAGCTCCACCCTTTCCTGCATCTCCATCAATGAGATGAAATGGCCTATTTCACTTAAAATACCTCCATGATTGTGGGTTTCTCATTACTGCCTGTAAACAGACCTCTCTAGTGTTTAACACGTTACTTTAATTAGCTTTAGGGATAGAAGGAAAAAGAGAGGGTATCAGGGTCGGGGGACAGGTTTTCCTTTTTGTTTTTGTTTTGTTTTGTTTTGTTTTGTTTTTTTGAGACAGAGTTTCGCTCTTGTTGCCCAGGCTGGAGTGCAATGGCGCAATCTCGACTCACTGCAACCTCCGCCTCCTGGGTTCAAGCGATTCTCCTGCCTCAGCCTCCTGAGTACCTGGGATTACATGCGCATGCCACCATGCCCGGCTAATTTTTGTAATTTTAGTAAAGATGGGGTTTCACCATGTTAGCCAGGCTGGTCTTGAACTCCTGACCTCAGGTGATCCGCCCACCTCAGCCTCCCAGAATGCTGGGATTACAAGCCTGAGCCATTGCACCCAGCCTGTTTTTATTATTTATTGAGTGTTACTGTCTGTTGGACTCCATGTTGTGTAAATTCTCTTGCTCACTCCTCACAGCTTCTTTATGAGATAGACCATCTTATTGACTCAATTATACAAATGTGGAAACTGAGGCCGAGAAAGCCTCCATGGTTCCTGGGAGGAACCACTCTGGTACTGCCTCTGTGGCTTCGGGTCCTAGCCACAACTTGGTGTCCCGAAAGGTCAAAAGCCAGGGGAGAAGTACTAAGGGGTACCTTTGGTGTTTGTTTAAGAAAAGAACTGGGGAAACTGATCATAAAGCTCAGGTTTATAGAAATGTTTATAAGGCCAGGTCTGACATGCAAGGCATCCTGAAGCTTGAGCATCCATTTAAAGCATGCATGCTTATGTTTGAATTTGCTCCTGAGACCAAATTGTGGCTCTCTTATGTTCAAATTGCACTTTTCACCAGTGCATTAAAACACCAGTTGCTGATAAACTCAGCCCAGATGCTCCCAGGAGAAGAGCTGCTTGTTCACTTGTTGAAGAAGCTAGTAGGCCGTCTGGAGGTTGGGCAGTCTTACCTGGTCAGATGTGTTGGTGACTCTCCCTGGGGATTACTGGTTCTGGTGGTCTCTGAGGTTGACCCTAATGCGAATTGTTTCATCTCCTCTATTTTGCCCATTAGATGAGCTCTGGATGAAATGATTTGAATATGAATAAGCGCTACAGGGGGTTTGCAAATGACGCCAAGATTTTTGCAATCCATTGCTGTTTTTCCTTCTGGGGATAAAGTGGGTGGTGGTTTACAGCCAGGTGCAGTGTAGTTTATAGACTGCCAGTAGTAGTGGAGGCCAAGAGTAGAGGGAGCTGATAATAACAAACAGTATCCTCTGGGGAATTTCATGGATGGTTCATGGATGTCCCTGAGAAAGTCAAAGTAAAATGTAATTAAATCAAGTTTCCAAATAAAACACTCTGGGCCCAGAAGAGATTCATGATCTCGGAAGATTAATTAAACACATTGCTGGGTCCTGGGTTAGTACTGGGCATTCAGGGGGATCTGAAGGGAAAGTTTGATCCTGGTGGAGTGATTTCTCTTTTTCAGAAGAATTAGAATCCTGGGTTAGGGCAGCTGCTGAATGATCTGGAGGGAGTTACGATTGCCCAGAGGGTCATTTCGAGGTAAGCCCTTCCAAAAGAGCACTTCAGTGCAAGATGCAAGCATCATTAGGTTGAAATCAAGAGCGTAAGCCAGCCAGACCCCAGATGCTCTGGGATTCTAGTGGGCTAGCCAAGCAAGCGCATTTTCCCCTGCTCTGTGTCCCAGGAAGCTGGGCTGTCAGGACACTATCTAGAGGCTGCGTTGCCCCTGGGCTTCCAGTGGGGCTCAGCCAATGACAGTGAGGGGAGGAAAGTGAGGTAAGGATATTTCATTCCCCGAACCCCATCTTTCAGGAAGACCTTGTGCTGGCTGCATCTCGCCAGAGTTCACAGCTACTGTGGAGCTGCATCATTCTTCCTCTAAGATCTTGTCCCTTCAGGCCTGGATAATGATAGTCCCCACTGTTTCTGGTCCTAGGGTACTGCACTGTTCCCTTCTACTTCTCGACATCTTGCCCACTCATTTGTAAGTAGTTCCTTTATTAAACTCTCCTGAAGTTACTCAATATAAGGGTGCCATCTGTTCCTACCTAAACCCTGAATGATACAAAAGTAGCTACTAATAGGATCCCCATTTCACAGGCAAGGAAACTGCAGTGTAGAGAGATTGAACAACTTGCCAGGGGGCCATACCTTGTAAAAGGCCAAATTGGGATTTACATCCAGTTTTGTCTGATCTCAGAGCCTACTGATTGATGACTACCCTTCAGCACTTCTGCGGGGCTCCTTATGGTGTCAGCAGTCTCTGACAAAGGCCACTAAGAATTCATCAGCCACTGGCCATTGCTCTTGAGGCCTTTCCTGCCACCCTTTCTGCCTCCTACGAGGTGAAATTGTGCAGATCCACCTGCTTCCTCATTCTACCACTGTTGGGACAAAGGGCATGAGCCTGTATGGTGGATGATCTGGACTTGGATGCAGACCACACAGCAGTGCCAAGAGGCCACTTGAGGAGTAACTGAGCTTGGCTTTACTGGCCCTGTGTCCCTCATCTGACACCATATGCAGTGCAGGGACACAGCAGACAGGAAATGCTTTGTGGGACACAGTAATTACAGAGCTACTCACTTAGCACTGGGGTCATTTCTGAGCCCATAGATTCACTTCCAGGAGGCCCAGAGAGTTGGCTCAAACCTCATCCTGCACGTCTCCAGAGACAGGTCATAGAAAATGCAGGTGCATGTGATCAGAAAGATGCTAGATTTTCACCTGGTTTTGTGCATTTTCATAATGAGCCCTCTTCCATTGGCGCTTAGATACTAACAGGTGCTTAGATACTAAGTGTAATTTACGTGGTTCATATGCCTGACATGCAGTAAGCTCAGAATATTGTTGGAAAAAAAAATGAATGAATGGGCTAAGTGATCATACTTTGGGAGATCTAAGAAAGTGGGGGATGGTGCTTATAAAATCATTTAATCACTTCCTATCCCTGTTTCAGACCACCAATTAAGGTCAAGGCTGAAAGAAGAAATTTGCTGGGAAAGGAATAATGCTGAGAGTACTTGGTAGGAAAATAATAAGTGATAATAACTGTCATTTTAAGCATGTGGTATGTACCAGGCATCCTGCTTAGGTTTAAAATGCACTATCTCATTTATCTTTCCAACCCTATGACATTGATGGAATTATCCTCATCTCGCAGATGAGCATCAAGCCTCAAAGAGAAAATTTATATTGCCTCCAAATTTACATTTCTGCTAAGTGGCAGCATTGGGATTAAAAGCCAAATCCATCCTCAGACCTCAGAACTTTGGTTAATTATTCAGAGCTCTGGGTTGGATGCCTGGGAGTTATGGCTGCAAATCCAATCTTGTGGTTCAGAGCTGGATACCACTGTCACAGCCCACCACACCTGTGGTGTGGATACCTGTGGATACCACTGTCACAGCCCACCCAAAGAATTTCTCTCCCCATATGATTCCTTCTCACCTTGTCCCCCCTCTTCGGAGGTTGCTTTCTTGACAGTTTCCTCTTCTCATTGTGAAATGGTTTTCTCTCTGTTGCTGCCTGTTCCAGCCCTTAGGCGGGAGGTACTGAAACGGATTCACTAGTGTTTGCCCTGACCTGTCTGTCGCATCTCACACCGCACCAGGGGATGCTGTGCCTCTTAGCTTTGTTAATCATTTCAATTTGGCATTGTGTGTGTTTTATGGTCTTATTTCCGCCCCACTTTGCCCCCATTCAATGATGTTTACCTTTTAAAGCAACACTGGAAGGGAAAAGCTATTTCTACTGCCAGATGTTGAAAAAAAGGAGAAGAAAAGAAAAACACTCCTCCCCCCACCGCACACATTTCTGTTCTGCCTCCAGTTTTTTCTCTGTAACACACACAGATAAATAGGAGAGGTGAGCAAACTCCAGCTCTTTGTTTGAAATAACGAACAGCAGGGATCTTGTCCTTGGGTACGGAGCCCCTGAAAGCAACGTGTCTCACATTTTAATGCACATGTGAACCATCTGGGGGGGTCACGTGAAGATACGGATTCTGATTTAGTAGGTGTGGGTGGAACCTGAGATCTTGCATTTCATGCCAGGGAGTTGCAAGGTGATACTCTAAGTGAGGCTCCTAAGTTTCCCCCGTCCCCTTCATTTCGGTCCTCTATTTCTCTGTCCCTGATGTGACTCTCACTCAGGGAAATGTGCCCTTGTCTCCGGAGCTCTTGTGGGCTTTCCAGACTGCGCCACATCTCCCACGAATGCTGCAGCTTGCTCAGTGGCATCGCCTTTTATGGCTTAGGTTGGAGTCTGTCTGCTAAGCCCTTCCAAGGATAACAGTTAGTTGTCACTGGCTTGGAGACAAAAGAAATGCATTTTGCTGGAGCCAGTTTTCCCCGAAACACTAATGGTACCTTTATCTCGGGTAATTAAAGCTCTGACTGATGAATGCGTAATTACGCATAAGCCCGTCTAAAATGATCGCCTTGGTCTTTCATCTTGAGCTCACCTCATTTAGAGAGGTAACAGTCTTTGGGTGTGCTTTACAGAGTAGCAGTTCTGAGGTGTCTGAGTTGGGTGGAGTCACTTGGGGGGCCGGCCACCTCTACAATTACTGCGGTTGTGTGAAGGCTGGAGCTCTCTTTGTCTCCGTGAAGTAGTGGCTTTATGTGGCTGAAGAGGGCACTGGGAAAGTCGAGAAATGTGTTGGGGTTTGCCAGGCTGGAGGTTCAAGCTGTGGCCCATGGGTCTGTTCCAATTTTGTATCTGAGTGCTTTGGGGTAAAGGGGGTGACAGGCCCGTGATCTGTCTTCTGCCCTTGGGCCACTGGCCACCTCTTCACCCTCCCTGTTTAGAAACAGGCTCATTCTTTTTACACTGGCTACCATTGACCCTAGCTGTGCTAGTATCACTGTCATCCTGTGACCCTCCTTCCCCAGTCTGAGTCGGGGCTGATGTTAGTTTTTTTTTTTTTTTTTTTTTTTTTTGGCCTCCTGGTTGAGTGCTCATGGAAGTACCCCAGAGTGCTAGGTCAATTTCTCGGTCTCAAAAACACTGAAGCAGAAAGAGGCCTAGAGAGTGGTGGCAGATCACATGAGTTCCAGACATAGATGAGCTGAAAACCCTCCTCTCCCTCACATGAGAACTGCAACAAATGACAACTGTTAAGCCCTTCTGAGCCTCAAATTTCTCATGTGTGAAATTCTACTAACATCATGGGATGGGTTAAATGAAATAAAGCCGGTCCTGGCTTAGCACATGGTCTGGCTATTGTATTGGCTTAGCACATGGTTTGGCTATTGTATTAGCACAATACAATTGTCTGGTTATTGTATTGGCTTAGCACATGATCTGGTTATTGTGTTGGCTTAGCATATGGTCTAGCTATTGCTTTTGGTATTTCTGTTACTTGGGAGGCCCATCATATGCTCTGCGGGTTCTGTAGACCAACAGAAACTATTCAAGTCACTACTTTTGAGCATTCTCTTCCTCCCTGATAGGTCTACTGTACAATCTGAGACTCTGCTGTACAATCTGACTGTACAATCTGCTGTACAATCTGAGACTGCTGCTGTACAATCTGAGACTCTCTGGGATCCCAAGGGACTTAAAAAAAAAAAAGGTTGGGATGGGCTTACCTTGAGCTCTCATCTAATGTCCACAAACACAGGGGACACTCACTTGAGGGGCTATTAGATTGGTATAAAAAAACAGCATATATCAGGAAAAATAATCTGAAGGCAACAAAAAATAATAGATGCTTAATGGGTCATTACTACCCGCCATGCTCTGTGCTGTGTATCTTCATACCACATTATTTTTGCAGTGATCCCACATGGTAGATAGTATCTTCACTGACTCATGGAGATATGATGGCTTAGAGGGGTGGCTTCCTCCAGTTTATATCTCTACCAACTAACCTATACAGGACCGTCCTATTCCATTAAAGATGGTGACACTATTGTCTTCTGATGCTGATCTTCTAGCTACTTTTGAATGGTTTCAGTTCACACTCAAGTTTCTCAAATGTACCTCCCTTCCCCTATAAGACATTCATTCTTCAATCTTCTGAAGCTAGGCTTCCCGCTCCCTGCCTTGTAGTGATATTGTCACCCAACGGTCAACAATGACCTACTTCTTCAGTGCCAAACTCAAACATTTTCTTATTTATTTTTCTTCTTCTCTGGCACATACCACAGTTGATGAAAGCTCTTTCCTTGGACCCTAGGATGATATACCATACTGATTTACCTTCTTCCTCCTAATCACCGCTTCTCTGTCTCTGCTGCCTCTTTTCTTTTTTATGCTTACAAATGGGTCTTATTCCTATATCATATTCTCTGAGAAACTCATCTAGTGTCAGGATTTCAACCCTCTCCTGTATGCTTACCACTGTCTAAACTTGTATTTTTAAGCTTTGCATTTAACAAGCTACAGGCATGCATATCTATCCTGGCTGTATCTCTCTAGATGTAGTGGCATGATCTCTAGCTCCACAAGTCTAAAATAGAAGTCTGTGTCCCTCTTTGATATTCCATTCATCTTTTGCTTTCTTAGCTTTTGCCAATGTCCCATGCCTCTTCAGGGAGAAATCTCAATTACTTTTGACTACCTTGTATTCCCACCCTCACAATTGACTTAATATCCAAGTGCTACAGCTTCAAATCTTGACCACCCAGTCCTGCTTCCTTTGTGAGACCCTGAACACCTCACACCTGGCTTATTGGAGTAGTTTTTCAAATGTTTTCACTCCTTCATCAACTTTCCAGACTGTGATACTCTATACCACACAGCCTAAGTATTCTGGAAATGCCGCTTGCATTATATTGGTCTACTCAGAAAGCCTACGAAATAGGTGACACAGGCCTTAACTTGACTTGAGAAGTTCTCCATGATTTCCATGTCTTCCCAACCTGTTTTTCCCACTGATACCTATGAAAACTCTTGGCTTAAGTCAACATAAACTATGTGTTAATTAGGATTAGGTTCAATTGCCAGTAACAGTATAATCCAAAATAACAGCGACTTAAATTGCACAGAAGCTTATTTCACTCTTGTTTTAAAAACCAGGTATAGGCAGCCCAGGACAGCAATGCCAGTTCTGCTCCACCAAGGGCTCAGAGACCCAGGCTCCTGCTTTCCTGTTGGTCTACTTTGGGTGACCTCCATTCCCAAGATCACCTTCATGATTGGCCAATTCAGATCCAGTTAACAAATCCACAGTACAGCCAAAAGAAGGGGGGCAGGAGTGAAGAAGGACACAGTCCTTCCCTTTAAGAACATTTTCTGGAAATTGTAGATATGGCTTCCATTTGGATCTCATTGGCCAAAATGTAGTCACATGACCACATCCAGGTGCAAAGGAGGCTGGGAAATTTCTTTCTTTCTTTTTTTTTTTTTCTTTTTTGAACTGTGGTTGGCCATGTTTGTATCTGGCTGAGATTCAGGGTTTTATTACTAAAGCAAGAAGGTGACAAAGGGTATTGGGAACAACCAATAACCACTGCTACAGTCAACTATTTTTCCTCACAGGCTATGGATATTTTTATCACTGTGCTATGGTGCATACTTGCCTCCCTTGCCTGATATCTCATCTAAATCTCTAAGAAACTTGTCAGAGAGACGTTATCACAGAGTTGAATGAACACTGACCTTGGAGTCACACAGAACCAGGTTCAGATCCCAGCTTTACCACCCACAACTTGCTGTGAGACCTTGAACTCACAAAACATCTTTGAGCCTCAGTTTTCTTCTCTGCAAAATGGAGTAACAAAACTCATGTTGCAAAGTTATTATGAGGATCACATGGGGCAGTTTGGATTAAGTACATACCCCAATGTGTGGAATAGCATATATACTTCAGAAAGGAAAGTTACTTATCTTACCAATAATCATGATAATCAATATATTACCTCAAAAGACCCAAGTTCTTTTCTTTCACAGAGAACTTCCTCTCTGTTCCAGTTTGAGAGAACAATTCCTTGCTTTGAACTCTTTTATTAATAAACACTCTATTTGAGACACTGATGATAAAATTAATACATGCGTTTTGTGATTTTTTTAAGAAAATTTTTGAACCTCCAGAAAAGTTGAAAGAAAAGTACTTTGACTTTTCTTAATTGTTACTTTAAGTGATCATGTTCATATGCCCTGTTTTCTCAACTAAATAAAATATCTCTTGAAGGCAATGACCATGTATTAAACAGGAAGCTTCCTTTGTTTTTGACCTTTTTTTTTTTTTTTTTTTATCCTCTTAGTACCTCCAATACTGCTTAAGAAAAAGTTGCATTTCACATCCCTCTGTCTACTCCTGTATTTGATGATTTTTCGTGGATGTCCACATGGCTGAAGGCAACAATGACTATGTAGGATAAGATTTATAAGACTTGTCAAAATTGTCTATTATTGTTTTAAGGGTGGTGATATGGTTTGTCTGTGTCTCCACCCAAATCTCATCTTGAATTGTAGCTCCCATAATCCCCACATGTCATGGGAGGGACCTGGTGGGAGGCAATTGAATCATGGAGATGGGTTTTCCTGTACTGTTCTCATTATAGTGAATAAGTCTCATGAGATCTGATGGTTTTGTAAAGGAAAGTTCCCCTGCACATGATCTCTTGCCTGCCTCCATGTAAGATGTGCCTTTGCAGAAAGTGAAGGCACCTTCTGCCATGACTGTGAGGCCTCCCCAGCCATGTGGAACTGCAAGTCCATTAAACCTTTTTCTTTACAAATTACCCTGTCTTGGGTATGTCTTTATTAACGTGTGAGAACAGACTAATACAGGTGGGCTCCAGGCAGATATTCCCTCCTCTCACTTCTTTGTATGCATCATAACCTCCAGTGGTATCCTTCAAACAAACAAACAAAAACAAAAAACAGTTGCTATATGAGTGAATAAATGAATGCTTAGATAAATGAATGGCTGTAGAGATTCAACTTAGGGTGACCGGGAAGTGACTCAGATGGTCAGTGAGAGACCACAGACTCGGTCGTACATAAATCTAGGCCTCTACACTATATACTGCAAACAACAATGATCAGAGGCAATGAATGATCCTGAGGATGCTTCCTATTTTCTCCCCGTTTTCCTTACGGAGGTATAAATTAACTAATTTTGATGCCACCTGGCAAATCCCCTTTTAAAGGAATTATATTACTGAGATATAATATACCCTCTGGGGCTCTGTAATAATTTGATTGATAAGAATTCATTTTCTTTCTTTCATGGGTACTACAGGGGGTTAAGATGGCTTCCCAAAGGCAATCAGAGAGAGCTAATCCCCTTCGGCAACTTATCCCCTTGGCATGGTTCCATCCCATCTATTTTGCAGTAGGTAGAAAGGATTATCTTGGAGGCTTGGACAAAATCACTCTCCAACTGCATACTTGTAAATGATAAACCGTTGGTCCTACCATGTGCAGTGTGTTGGGTACATACATTATCTCCACTTTTCACAAAACCTCCACAGTAGGTATTGCTCTTCCATTTTACAAATGAATTTACTGAGAGTCAGAGAGGTTCACATGACTCAAAGGGGCAGAGACAAAAGTTGAACTCAAGTTTGTCTAACTCAAACCTTATTCTACTGTGGAAGACTCTCTGTGAATATTTCATTAACAAAGAACATGTTTCAGAAAACATAAAAGTAAGCAAGTTTGCTCCAGCAGGTCTGCAAGCAGGAAGTAAACATGCAGTAATGTCACATTTCAATACTAATCTGGGCGTTGTCTTGCCCCATCTCTCTGCTACCCATTGAACTTCCAGAAAATAAACTCTATGCTTGATGTCCAGTAGAGTCTTATTACTGCTCTTTGTCCAGGCTCTTGAAGACAGGAATTAGTATAGCCATTTATTATTATCTTAAAATTATTTGGACTTCATGAAATGGCCTTTTCTCAAATATCACTGCTTGATTTAACATGAGAATCACAATTTTGGTGCAGAAGACCAGCTTGCCTCCGACAAAGCAAATGCTCACTGAGTCAGATCGTTTACACTCTCTCTTCTCTCTCTTGGCACATATTATATATATTTTACAGTCAGTAATATACACGTAGACCTATGACACACACACACAATAAACTGCGCAGATAAAGTGCCTTATTATGCCTCGTCTAGATCACCAAATAATGTGCCGGCTGAACAAAGGCTTTTAGCAGAATGATTGCAGAGTGTACTCTCTTTTGTCTTGCTTTCTTCTCCTCTTTTCTTCCTTGCTACCCACCGCCCTCCACCTGCCCCTCCTCCCCTGGCTCAAAGCACTCCATGCTGGGGCTACAAAGCATCACATTCCTCAACAGGTTTAATCTTTGTAACATTCTGGCATGCAAGTTATTAAGAGGAGATGGTGAGGAGCTGTGAGGATGATTTGATGGAGTCTTTTCCTGGATAAAAGGTTCTTGCCTGGGATTATCTTTACTTTATTTGCAGTAATCCCACTCGTCCCCTCAGCTGGGTTTGTGGTTCTTGGGCTGGTGGGCTGGGGGCAGGTGCACCTAGAGTGATTTGCAGGGCTCAGCAGGGCCAACGGGAAGGTGGACAGCCTTGTTGGAGTAAAATGGGGAGGGGTCCAAGAACTCTACCCTGTGGAGAGAGTGCAGAGTTTGACAGGGCCCTGCTGAAACAGCCTGGCTTAGGGGAGTCTCTAATACTTTTTTCCGAAATGCAAAATTAGGCAAAACCACTTTATTGATTGGGAGTTTTCCATTAACAACAGGTTCTAACACACTAATGGGTAGTGCCCATGTCTTAAACAGGCAGTGCCTACCTCCCTGCCACCACCTTTTTTTAAAGCCCTTTTCATGTTTTTCTCTACTTGCTACCTCCAATTTTGTCTAAAAGAGACATGCATTTCACTTCTCTCTTTTCCAAATTATATGATTATTTCCATTAATGTTCAAATATATATAGGCAATGATATATATCCAAACAGATTTTAAGGCACATTGAATGTTATTTGTACCTCATATTAATGGGGAAGCTGGAAATCACTTTTTGATAAGGATTTTAGATGTCAATGGAAGATTTCTTTTCCATGAAAAGCGTATAGTGATAGATACTTAATAGTGTTGTATTGGCTGGGTGCAATAGCTCACACCTGTAATACCAGCATTTTGGGAGGCCGAGGTGGGAGAATTGCTTGAGCCCAGGAGTTCAAGTCTACCCTGGGTCACATAGCGAGAACCTGTCTTTATAAAAATACAGAAATTAGCCCGGTGTGGTCCCAGCTACTCAGGAGGCGGAGGCAGGAGTATTGCTTGAGCCCAGGAGGTTGAGGCTGCAGTGAGCTGTGTTTGCACCACTGCACTTCAGCCAGGGAAAAAAACAAACAAAAAAATAGTGTTGTAACAGGCACTGAGCAGATAGCTGGCACTTGGTAGGCAGGAAACAGATGGGGCTACTGTGGCTGATGAGGAGATTGTGGATGAACCCAGAACATGCTGTGATTGCAGAGACTTACTTGCTTTGAGTGGCCACTAACAGCAAATGGGTCATAGTTTCTGACCATGTCAGAGAGAATTTATTGAAATACAGTGTCCAGAGCATCTGTTTTTGTTTTGTTTTGTTGTTTTGTTTTCAACAAAACAACTGAAGTGGCACAGCCTGGTATAGAAATCATATGGATGGATTGGAAGAGGGAATGACTAGGGCCTTGGAGTTAGACGACTGTAAATTCAACCAGAAGGGGTAAAATCTATTTCATCTATATTGGTAGCAAATAGAAAGGGAAAGAAAAGAATAGATAAACATTTCAAAGAAAAAGGGCATGTCTTAGTTACTTATTGCTACGAGAAGTGAAAAGGAGAGGGAAAAAGTTCCATGCTTTCAAAACTGAGTACCCAACAGTATGGGAATGAGGAGGTGAAAAAAATGTAAAATGGCTTCATGGACTGATATAGGGAAATTGAGAGGGGAAGCTGGTTTGAGAGAAGACAACCTGGATATAATAAGGTTCAGAGGAATGTTTAGGGACTAATGAAAACCACCCAACAGGCAGCTGGGGTATGAGGGATGAAGCTCGAACAAAAGTTTAGAACTTGACTTATAAATATGGGAACCACCAGTCCATAGGCCATAACTGAAAGCTCTGAGGATGAAGAAGCTCTCCCAGGGCTGGAGAGAAGAAAAATCCCATTACTAAACGAATAATCCCTACTTAAGGTATAAGCAACTCATCAAAAGCAATGAAGTAAATAAATAAAGCCATGAAGAGCTCAGCTGTGAATCTGTGAAGGCACTGAGTGTCCACTGTGAGAGATCAAGGGCAGTGTCTCTTGTCAACTCCAGGGCATTCCCATGGCCGTACCAAGTAGTGGAAGTTACCAAGTAGACTTGAATGCTGCAACCAGAGGCCTGTTTCCTCTTGGCCCAGAGACCAGGTTTGAGTATCTAACTCAATGTCTTCCTCAATGCAGGACCTCTGGCTCATCAAATTTCCTCTTTGATGTCTTTCCCCGAAATATGCAGTCCTCATTTCTGCCCTTCCCTAAAAATCATGGGATTTGAAATCCCCTACTTTGGGAATATTTGCAGATACCTTTGGCTCATGGCACTTATATATAGAACCATTTTTTCTTCTTTAGGCCAAATGTTTATTGGAGTCCATGCTTACATTCTACTTAAGGGACTTCAAACTGGAAGAGTTGTATGGTGTTCTATGTTCAGAGACCAACCACCTAATTTACCTCAATCCCTGTTTTCTTATTTAAATAGCAGAGGTGGTCGAACGAGATCTTTCAAAGGCCCATCCATCACATTCTTTTTGAAAATGCTGTTATCATGTTTCTTCATATCTGATTTATCTTTGCATCTTCCATTGCCCATTATTCATATTGAATACTTAATAAATGTTTGTTGATTGAATAATTGGGGTACAAAAGCAAGAGTAAAGTAGAATAGGGTTTACTCCTGAGCACTGACTGGACTTCCTTCCTTCTCTTATAGTGCAGTGTTTCTCAACACATGTTCCTCAAGATCCTAGCTCTGTAGGATCAGATATCACTGTTAAATTAAAAAGTGGTAGGCCGGGCACGGTGGCTCACGCCTGTAATCCCAGCACTTTGGAAGGCCGAGGCGGGTGGATCACGAGCTCAGGAGATCGAGACCCTCCTGAATACATGGTGAAACCCCATCTCTACTAAAAATACAAAAAATTAGCCGGGCGTGGTGATCGGCGCCTGTAGTCCCAGCTACTCGGGAGGCTGAGGCAGGAGAATGACATGAACCCGGGAGGCGGAGCTTGTAGTGAGCCGAGATTGTGCCACTGCACTCCAGCCTGGGCGACAAAGCAAGACTCCATCTCAAAAAAAAAAAAAAAAAAAACGCAAAATTAAAAAGTGGTAGAATGTGTTTGTGTGTATGCAGTTTCCCATAGAAAAATTCTGTCTTCTGCTTACTTTGGGAAATTTTGTGTTCAAATTAGTGATGAGCTTGGCTGTCTTCTGCAGGACTTCTCAGAGCATTCACCACACTAATGTATATTGTGAATTTGCTAAAACTAGTTCTGCAGAAGCCCCTCCCCATCCTTTTAAAAATAATATTTTGAGGAACCAATTTTTAGATTGCACTTTGGGAATCCCACTGTGGTTGCTATAAAGTAAATTAGTTCAACCATTGTGGAAGACAGTGTGGCATTTCCTCAAGGAAATAGAACTAGAAATACCATTTGACGCAGCAATCCCATTACTGGATATATACCCAAAGGATTATAAATCATTCTGCTATAAAGACACATGCACATGTATGTTTATTGTGGCACTACTCACAATAGCAAAGACTTGGAACCAACCCAAATGTCCATCGATAATAGACTGGATAAAGAAAATGGGGCACATATACACCGTGGAATACTATGCAGCCATAAAAAAAGAATGAGTTCGTGTCCTTTGCAGGGACATGGATAAAGCTGGAAACCATCATTCTCAGCAAACTATCACAAGAACAGAAAACCAAACACTGCATGTTCTCACTTATAAGTGGGAGTTGAACAATGATAACACATGGACACGGGGAGGGGAACATCACACACTGGGGCCTCTTGGGGGGTGGGGGGCTAGGGGAGGGATAACATTAGGAGAAATACCTAATGTAGGTGACGGGTTGATGGGTGCAGCAAACCAGCATGGCACGTGTATACCTATGTAACAAAACTGCACTTTCTGCACATGTACCCCAGAACTTAAAGTATAATAAAAATAAAATAAAATTGCCAGAATACATGTATTAAATAGATACCTACATGCTAGAACCAAAATTCGTTGAGATCTTTCAGGATCTCAAATATGTGAAGGGGACATTTAGAGAAGAAGTGGAGAGAAAGGCCTCTAATATGTGGGCCATAGAAATAGGAAATGTCAATATCTATATGGATCTTTGAAGCATGTTTCATCCCATTCAAAACCATGTTTGTACTGCAGGTTTGAAGCTCCTGTAAAGAGAAGTTAAATCAAACTCCGGCACACCCTGAGTGCTATAAAATTACTCATGAGAAACTTGCTATCAATTACCAGAGTAAAACAATAGGGTGTTTTTTTTTTCTCTCTTTATTTAAAATACCGCTTCTCAGCAAGCAGTCATGAGAGTGCTGTCAAGGGCCGGATGTACTGTTTCCCAGCAGGATTAGACAGGTTGCTAGGGCTCACCCAATGGGTGAATTTATGGCTTAGCTGGCTTCTGGGTGACACCAGACAGTCTTCTGAGGAGCTTAAGAAGAAAGACTAAGTGCATGTGACTGGTCTAATACTCTTCTTAAGATGGTGCCAACTCCTCAGGCTCACAGTGGTTGTCTGCACCCCTGCAGATTTCTGTTCTGACCCTGGTAGCCTAGGGGCTATGGCTTTTTGTGCTACCTATTACTGCCTGCTTGCTGTTAGAGTGGAATAGAGGGTTCCCAAAGGACAATGGGAAGCGGCCCTATTGATTTCTGGGGCAAGCTGCCGTAATGATTTCTGGGGCAAGCACTGTTCTTCTGTGCTCTCAGGATAAGTGGGAAGAAAATGAGTTGGCAATGGAGTTGGGGTTTGTTCACTGCTCAATCCAAAGGGCAAATGGGAGTGTCTCAACAAATCACCACACAGTAACATTTATAATGTTACACCTGAGACTGTATTCTCAACTAGGAAGGGACATTAGCCATGAGACCCATGTTCTGGTCTTGACTATTTAAGTAACCATTTGAGCATCATTTCATCTCTTGGGTCTCAGCATTCTCAACTGAATACTGCCAACGCTTACAAAGTACCTTCTGGCACTGAGTAATCTTGCTCACATTCCATAGGTATGATGCTCACATTGAACATCAGTATCTGTGTCATACGCAATGGAGAAATTGGGATCAGAAAGCTTAAATGGTTTGCCCAAGGGTCACATTGCAAGTGAAAGAGAGATTCAGGAACTAAACCCAGTGTATCACTCCAAATTTGGTGCCTATGAGAGTCCATTCTTGCATTGCTACAAAGAGCTACCTGAGACTAGGTAATTTATAAACAAAAGAGGTTTAATTCGTTCATGGTTTTTCAGGCTGCACAGGCTTTTACTTCTGGGAAGGCCTCAGGAAACTTACAATCATGGTGGAAGGTGAAGGGGAAGCTGGCACGTCTTTCATGGCAAGAGCAGGAGGAAGAGAGCAAAGGGGGAGGTGCTACACACTTTTAAACAATCAGATCTCATGAGAACTCACTATAATGAGAACAGCTAGGAGGAAACCCACCCCCAAGATCCAATTGCCTCTCACCAGGCCTCTCCTCTAACAATGGGGATTACAACTGGACATGAGATTTGGGTGGGGACACAAATCCAAACCATATCAGTGCCCTTCTTCCTCATGATACTGAAGAAATTGAACTTGACCATCCGCAGGTCCTTTCAGCTTTTAGCGTGACCTTACCATAGGACCCATGACTGCTTGAGGGCCATCTCCTACTCATGGCAATTGTGGAATTTAATGTTTAAGAGGGCTATCAGGAGTCAATCTCAGCCTTTCATTTGGATAATAAATTGAGTTCTCTCTTCTAATGCACTCTTGGATCATTTGATCTCATTTTTAATCAACTTTGTTTTTGGTGAAGCACCTTTCTCGGTACATTTCCTCTGCTCTATCCCTGCTACAGCTTAAGCTTAACTCATTGGAGCTTAATTACATGGTCATTAGCTCAATAAATGCTATCTATTTCTCATCCAAGAAATGGGATGCATAAGTTTCAACAGCTAGTACTGACTCTCCCACCTTTAATAAGACTTACTTTCCTTTTACTCTCCTCATGTGTGGTTTCTATCTAAATCTCTCCTCCCCTCCCTCCTTCAGATTCCCCCAGGTCAGACACTGACATAGCTACAAGGTCATACTATTTGATTAACTGCATCAGATCCCTTGAGGTCTCTGCCTTCATACTTTCTGACTCCCCCTCTAGCTCTCTGAGTTGTCTATCAGCTTTTAATCTTCCGTTTTGCCTCTATCACTTTCCCTCTTCCTGTCTTGGTGTCAGTTCTCAAGCCTACGTGCAGAGAAGAAAAGTGAAAAAGTTAACAGTCGGAAATCTGATGCTCCACTAACCTGTCTAATCCTGTTGCCTGGTACAGCAGGGGCTGAAATACCTGCATCACAGAATAATAACCACAGGACATGAAAAGAGAAGAGGGGGAGATGGGCACCCTCTCCTTTTCATTTATCCTGGCAAATGCTTGTCAACATCTACAAGGGTGCCTTAAGGTCAGGAGGCCAAGGCACTTCCAGGTTATTATTTCTCTTAGTATAGCTTGGGAAAGGTGCTTCTTTTACTTGGAGAGGGGTGGCCAAAATGGCATAAGCTAAATAGAACCTTATGTTCTGGGAAGAGAAAACAAACCCAAGTTTCAGTGATGTGGATTATAATTGTGGACATATCCTCAATGAGGTTATGTGACCATGAAAGAATCACACTTGCTGTTCACTTTATCACTCGAATCACATAAATAATAATACTGTCACCATGAATCTCACAGATTGTAAAGTTAAAAAAAAAAGTAAGAGATGTGGGCTAGGTGTGGTGGCTCACACCTGTAACCCCAGCACTTTGGGAGGCCAAGGCGGGCCGATCACATGAGGTCAGGAGTTCAAGACCAGCCTGGCCAACATGGCGAAACCCCGTCTCTACTAAAAATACAAAACTTAGCCAGGTGTGGTGGTGGGTGCCTGTAGTCACAGCCACTTGGGAGGCCAAAGCAGGGAAAATCACTTGAACCCGGGAGGTGGAGGTTGCAGTGAGCTAAGATTGACCCACTGCACTCCAGCCTGGGTGAAAGAGCGAGACTCCATCTCAAAAAAAAAAAAAAAAAAAAAAAAAAAAAAAAAGAGATGTGAAAAGGCTTTCAAATGATAAATACATCATGTGAATGATGGGATAGTTCTTTGCCCTGCAAGCATTGCTTTGTTGGTGAAGTTCTTCCAAGGATGTATTAAACTCTCATGGGTTTCCCTTTTGGTGATATTACTTTGCGGTTCTATTTTGTGTAACCTATTCATACCTGTTTAAAGATGTGAGAATGATCAGCTGCCCGCTGATCACAGGTTTTATTTGAATAATCTGGCTGGCTAAGTGAACTTCCCCACCCCCCACTTCTTTTGGTTAAATGCGCAACTCTTCCACGTCTGTGAGCTCAGCTGAGAAGAGCATTCATCCTCTGCAGAAAAGACTAATTTTTCCATCGAGTGATGTGAGTAGCCAGCCCAGCCTTTTCTGATAAAACCCTTACGTCTTGCTTGTTGTCACTTTGCAGCAATGTAACATATCACACAATAGGGGAACGTCCAGGGCTCTTTTAGTTGTTACTTTTACTTCTATTTCATGTCATCATGAGAAGTTCAAGGTAAGCTTTGTTCACAGAAATAAAGACTCTGAAAAGCCACCTCTCAATTATCAGTTTGCAGTGGGATAAACTAGGGAGAGATTAGGTCATCAGCATTATCTAATTGTAACTGTCACTACCCACCTCCAGTGGATAACTTACATCTGTTCATACTATACTGTTATTATACAAGGAAGTCTCTGAAAGGAATCAAATACATTTTAGAACAAAAATTCCAGGTTTGTTCGGTCTTTTTTTTTTTTGAAACAGGCTCACTCTCTCACCCAGGCTGGAGGGCAGTGGTACAATCAGAGCTCACTGCAGCCTCCATCTCCAGGGCTCAGGTGATCTTCCTGCCTCAGTCTCCCAAGTAGCTGAGACCACAAGTGCACACCAAGACACCCAGTTAATTTTTTTTTTAAACTCTTAGTAGAGATGAGGTCTCACTATGTTGCCCTGGCTGGTCTTGAACTCCTGGGCTCAAGCAGTCCTCCTGCCTCAGTCTCCCAAAGTGCTGGGATTATAGGCACACACCACCACACTCAGCCCAGGGTTATTGTTTTGAAAAGGGACAAATTCTACACCATGTGAACAGAAGGAACGTGCATGTAAGACTAGATGGGCCATCTCTAAGAAAATAACAGTGATGCTTGCCTTGGTGAAGAAGGCTTGCTTCTTAGGAAACTTGTAAGCAAATCAGCTGCATAATCCTACTAAAGAGGGTTTAACAGAAACTTGAGCTCCCACCAGCTTCCCTACTCTTAGGACTCACTTTCTCCAGAGTTTTCAGACACATGTGGGTAAGATGCTTCATTAGCACCCAGCAGGATGCTAAGATTGCAAGGTACAAAATAAGTAGGGAGTGAGGGGAAGGGTGGCTTCCCTGAGAAAAAAAGTGTGGGATCCATATTGGAGGCAACCATTGATAAGGAAGATGAGGAGTGGGAGACAGGTTAGGAGGAACTTGAAGACCAGCAGTGGTCGAGAGATTTCCTGGATGCAGGAGACATAAAAATGAATTCCAGGATTGCTTCCCCTCATTGGTGAGCTAGGGCTCTGAGACAGAACCAAGGACCATATCCCATACAGATCATGTATGCATGATATGTCCATGCTGTGTCCTTCATATTCAGGCTGTGTTCTTTTCTCATCACTTCTCTTTTCCATTCCACAGGTAATATGAGATTGAGGAATACACAATACGTAAATGTGAGCCAAATTGCCTTAGGTAGGAAGGGAAAGCAATGGCAAAATAAAGCATATTGCGTTCATCTCTAAAGGAAATAAAATATCTCTTTATGCACTCTTAGTGCAATTCTGTTCAGGTGGATAATTATGAGTAGCCGTTCGATCTCCATGTTTGAAACTGGGGTGTCTTTCTTGGTCTTTTGTTTCTGCATGGTTCTGCCAAGATTTACAAAGACATCGAAGGCAGCTGTGACCAATGTCCTTTCCCTTTTCCATGGGTCTCTGGGACCTGCCGCAGTCGTCAGCTGGGCTTTGGTCACTATTCCAAGAGTTACTTCCCTTCGTCTTAGAGGATGGGACTGGTTGAGCTGGTTATTGCCAGCTTTCTTGAAAACATTTCCAGATAGGAATGAATGTTCCTGCCAGGTGGTTGGAACAGGAAGAATTTCTAGGGAGGAGTTCCTGTTGGGTCTAGTTCTCAACTCACTAATTAAAATCTCCAGGTTACTAATTTGTTGGTTCCTTGTACCATATTATTGTCTTTGAGGAGGTTGTGCTAGTGTTGCCTTTGTCTGATTGGGAGATAATGGTCTAGTCATGATCCTCAGAGTTGTCTCCTCTCTTGTGTTCTTTTTTCCTCTGATCAAAATTCTGATTAAGAGAGTTGAGAATGACCCTTCATCTTGGATCCCTAGCCATCAGAAATCCAAGCCAATCTGAACCAAGTTTCTCTAAATTTAAGCAGAAGAGAATCACCACTCACTGAGAACACTTCCTTTCCAAGAGGGGAAGTCACAACACATTGCCATCAACCTGCTTGCCAGTCAGCTTTGCAGGATGTGGGACCAGGTGGGAGAAAAATGCTGACTCTTATTTTTTATAGAAGACATTAGGGTGGAAAATCTGAGCACTGGGCTTGGTGTCAGAAGATGGAGTCTGAGACTGGGCACTGTCATATGAATCTAGGAAGGTCATCTGAATTCTCTAAACCTCGATTTCTTTATCTGCAAAATTGGAGTAACAATACCCCCCTTGCCTCCTTCAGAGAGTTATTGATGGGGAGAAAAATTAAAATGATTTTTTTTGTGTGAAAAAACATAGAAAGTGAAAAGTGTAAAACATAGTGGGATGTTTCAATTATTCAAGGAATGAGAAGCCAGAGCGTGTTATAAATTTAATCCAAAATAAAAGATGCACCACCCCGCAACTCACTCCCTGATAAATCTTCTCATCTGAAGCAACCCTCTGGGAATCTTTGCTAAAAATGTTGACTACTGATCCAGGAGAATTACAGAGTGGCTCTTGGTTTAACACTTTTGCACCCACCTGCTGTACAAAGACAGCCTTGTTTGCTTCATAGACAATCTTCCGTTGGCTTTTTGGGTGCCTTCATTTGAACTTGGATGTTTCTAGAGCATGTAAGGCTCACTCTTTAATTCGTTGTTTTAGGGACTTCAAACGCCAGTGTCACAGCATGAGTAGCTTATAATAAGACATTTTCCAGAAGCTCAGGGCCCCAGCAGTGACTATGGTAGAAAGGGAGGCAGATCTCAACAGGCTGATGAGTGGGCCGGTCCTACACCAGCCACAAGAAGAACCCCAGGCCAGCTGCCAAGTTTCAGCCAGGAGGGAACAACTCTCCTGGAGTTTATAACCCTGCAAAGGAGGGAGTCAATAAGAAAAACTGCTCCACACCCTTAATACCACAACATTACTCATGAACACCTTGCTGTTAATTAACAGCGGTAAATACCACACTTATTTCATTTTGCTTACCATTTTCTCAAATAGCAACTCTCAGACACCCGGCAGTGGGATGGAGGGGGCAGTTTATCCCCATAGAGTTTTGGAGGCCTTGCCAAGACTGGAGCTCCAGTGGATTTGATGGGTCTGTCATCAAGGGGCAAACTGAATCCTGGTTTCCCTGCCCACATTCTTGTACCAAATCTAGGGTATATGGCCATGACTTCTTTAGAAAGTTCAAGCTGGGACCTGCTGATCTTTGAATACTCCACCAAGTGCTTATCTGATAAAAAAAAAAAAAAAGAACAAGTCTCCAATTGCCTGTGACCTTCCATGCTTCCTGAGAGGGCCTCCTGAATGTTGGGGTAGCTCTTAGCCAGTGTTGACATATGGTCTTCCCCCTTTCCCATTGCTTGGAAGCTCTGACTCAGGGAGCAATTTTCAACTCTGTACAGCAACTCGGTTTTCTCCATACAGACATACCCCCATCCCCACTGGATGTTCCAATCTGACATATCATGTAATGGCCCTTTAACAATTTTTTTTATCCAAAAATCATGTATTGAAGACTTCATGACAGGCCCCGAAGAGATAAGGATGAAGAGGGCAGGAACGTGGTCTTCAGGAACTCAGAGTCAAGAAGGGTAGAAGAATGGGTAACAAGTTCAACCACTATGTTAACTCATATTTTCAATGATGGTAGAGGGTAAGGGTGCTATGGTAATCCATGAGGGAAAGTAGTTATTTTTGGAGGTAAGAAATGAAACGAAAATTAAGTTTTGAAAGTTGAATAGGAGTTTTCCAGGAAAAGAAGTTTTGGCATTTCAGGGAGAGAGAAAAGCACATGCAAATATCTCGAGGTATAGAAGAACAAAGCATATTCCACACAGTGAAAACATAAACTTGTCTTGTTTTCTCTTCTTTTTTTTGAGAAGGAGTCTCACTCTGTCACCAAGACCAGAGTACAGTGGCACGATCTCCACTCACTGCAACCTCTGCTTCCCTGGTTCAAGTGATTCTCCTGCCTTAGCCTCCCCAGTAGCTGGGATTACAGGCACGCACCACAATGCCCGGCTAATTTTTGTATTTTTAGTAGAGATGGGTTTTCACCATGTTGGCCAGGGTGGTCTCAAACTCTAGACCTCAAGTGATCCACCCACCTTGGCCTCCCAAAGTGCTGGGATTCCAGGCGTGAGCTACCACGCCCAGTCAAACTTACCTTGTTTTCTGATTCTTGCTTTCCTGCAGAATGTATATTAGGTTTGCTTACATATATTATAGGCATATAATGAATTGCATTAAAGCTAACATGTTTGTGCTAACATGCTATGCATGCTTAAAACATTCTTCTATCATACCACAACAATACTGAACACAGAAACTGAGTATTCTATTTCTTTTATGTTTCATGCCTTCCTGCTCCTTACCTCCAATATGGGGCTCAATCTTGACTCAGCACTCATAATCTCCATTTTTCCCAGGTCCATTGTCTTGGAAGGGAATAATTTTAAATTCTTTTCTTTCAGAATTGACTCCTATTCTCCCCATTTAACTAATGTTTGGGAGTGGGGTTGGAGGAGGAAGGGATGTGGACTCAGTGTTTTTTCTCTAGCCCACAACTCATTTCTCTCCTTCCTCCCTCATGGGGCAGCTATCTAGGTCTTCCAGTGGCCGGTTCTCCTGTTCCATGGTCTTCATTTAGATTCCCACTCCTACCACCTCCACCTCATGTCTGACCTCCATGCTCCAATGGGAGTGCATTGTGTCCTTGGTGAGGTTAACATGAGGAGCTTGAGGTGGTGAGATTTCTTGGCCAGAGTTCCATGGGACTTCAAATTCCATAAAGTGTTTCTGATTCATTCCTTCACCAGCCCATTGAGCTCCAGGTCCTGTGCTATGTGCTGGGGTTGCCACGATGCACAAGAAAAATGGCACCTGCCTCCATGCACCTTACAGTTGCAGGGTCCTGATCAGGGACACTTCTGTTGTGGCCAACAGTCATGCTCAGATCTGGGGATCTGGGTTCCCTAGTATCTAAGCCACCTTTCAAAAAGGGCACGCAATACACTGGAAAACCACATTTCCTTTTTGGAGGAGTTAAGGAGCCACCTTTGAGAACTTGGAGAACATCTTGGAGAACTCCAAGATTCCAGCAAGGGTCAAGGTAGCCTCTGAACTGGCACATAAGTTCCGGCGAGCAGGGCTGCTGGGGAGAGAAGATGCTCTGGAGAGTTTTGGATGCTTTGGCTCCAAACAGCTTCAGAGTGAAAATCTTATTTAGGCAAGATACATGGAAATCCAACCAGCATCTGAGTCATCCTTGGAGGCAATGCATTTAACGTTTCTAAACTTGGACCCCATCAGTCACAGGCCTTCACATGTCAGATGTCTAATTCCCAGTAGTAGTTTATGGGAAGGGACAAATGAAATGAACAGACAGCCTTTGAACAGACTGGCTGACCCGGTCACCAGACTGGGGCTCCACTAGTGTAGATATCTACCACCAGACCTTGTCCACAAGCTGTTTAGAACCTCTCACCTCTCACTTCTGTTGGGGCAGGGTGTCTGTTTTGTTCATTGCCATCTCTCCAGTGCTTAGGGGAGTGTCTGCAACAGAGTGAGCGTCCAAGAGATGTTTCTGGGCTGAGTGGCTGAATGTTCATTTTGACCCAGACACAACCATCCAGCTGCCAACACCTTGTGAGAAGGAAGGCCAGGTGCTTGTTCTTCTTTGGCTTAATGACAGTCTGCAGGTACTGTTGTCTTTTATATGCCTGCTTAGCTCATTGTGAAGGCCCCATAAATATTAATTGATGGACAGGGAGCTCTGGGGTTTGGCTCCAGCCAGATCCAAGTACTATTTTTTGAGGAAGTTTATAAGAACAGAAGAAGACAGGATATTATGTTGTGAGTTCTGAGACTCTCAGGACCCCCTCCTACTTCTCTCAGACCCAAAGCCTTAGGAGAAGTGGGTGGAGAGGGAAGGGAAGCACCTAATTATATTCATGAGTTATATAATTATGCTTTCAGGTTCTCACTGGTGGTGGGTTTTAAAGGAGCTTTGAATAATTTCCATTTTGAAATGCTTTGTTTCCTCAGGCTTTGTTTTATTCATTCTTTATTCATCATCCTTTGTCCTTCCGCAGTACCTTCCAGGAGAAATTATCTGACTATCAGCCTATGGACTTGGTAACTATCCACAACAAAACTGAGATCTGCATGGACTTGCCAATGGTTTAACAATAGGATCCAAATACCCTGAACCAAGCCCAAGCTTCTTAGCCTGTTGAAGTACCTTTCATGGTAGCACCTCCCTATGCACAAAAATAGTGGTTCTCAGTATCTTCTCCCCAGAGCAGCAGCCTCAGTATCACCTGGGAACTTGCTGGAAAGGCATTTGCTTGGGTTCCACACAGAACTCCCAGAAACTCTAGGGTGGGACCCAGCAATCTGTGTTTTTAATGAGCCCTCCAGGGTTTCTGATGCATGTTCAAGTTTGGAAGTCACTGCTTGAGGTTCTAGAGCCTACAATAATCCCAGCTAAGGTGGCTGTGCATAACGGCCATCTAACTAGATCCCACCTCAGACCTACTAAATTAGAATCCCCAGGAGTGTAGACCAAGCATCAGATTATTGTTTATTTATTTTAGGCTCCATACAGGTTCTAATGATGCATGGTCATGGCCAAGTGCGACTATACTAAAGCAATTACGTGTTAGGGGCTGTTCCCATGAGCAAGACACCACATGAGAGGCAGCTGTGGGGACTAAGGTATGGACCTCATAGATACTGCCCAAGAACATAACCAGCTTTTGCATGTTGTGTACATCATGCAGGGCCTGACTGCAGCCAGGTATGCTGCCTACGAACATGCAGAGGCTGTGATTTCCCCTGCTTTCAAGACCAGCTGAAATGGTTCTTGTGACATCTCAATTTGTCAGTTTGGGCAGAGAAGCCTGTTTGAATCTGCAGCTCCCTGAGGGGAAAGGCTGACATAATGAGAGACAAAAGGACATCCAGACAGAAGCACAGCTCAGTTTTCACTCACACTCAGCCTTGGTTGGTGTTTCTCTGGTCTTCCTCATCAGTCAGGACAGGGGTTCTCCAACTTTGGTGTGTAGCAGACTCACCCCAGGGAGCTAATAAAGACTCAGAGGCCCAGGCTCATGGAAGTAGGAGAGGGCCTGGGCTTTTGCATTTTTACAAAGTTCCCTGGTGATTTAAGAACTACTGCTGTAGGCCAGGCAGGCGTACGTTTTCTGGAAAGAGCCAGATAGTTAATGTTTTAGGCTTTGCAGATTATGTGGTTGTTGCAACTACTCAGCTCTGGCATTGCATCAGGAAAGTTGCCTTAGACAAAATGTAAGTGAGTGAGTGTAGTTCTGTTTCAATGAGGCTTTATAAAATTGGATGATGGGCCATTTAGCCCATGGGCTGTAGTTTGCCAACCCCTGCTCTAGACAATGGATCTCAACTCTGACTACACACTTAATCATTGGGAAAGTTGTGGTTTTTGTTTTTTTTTGTTTGTTTGTTTTTGGTTTTGATTGTTTTGCTTTTGTTTTTGTTTTAAATCAATGCCTTGGCCCATTCCCAAAGACTGGATTCAATTGTTCTGAGGTGGATCCCAAGAATTATTATTTCCTTTTCTTAGTTAAGTCCCCTTTGATTCCAATGTGCAGCCAGGATCAAGAACCATGAACTTAAGTATTTATTTAATAGGTAGCCATTGAATAATTCAGCCACTGAAGAATAATTCAGCTTCATGTGCTGTGAATGTTAAAATATGAGCCAGATCATATTACTCTTTTATGCAACGCTCCCCAGTGCTTTCCATATGACTCATAATAAAACGGATGTCCTTGTCATGTCTTGCAGTGTCCTTCAAGACCTTGCCACTAGTGACCTCTTTGACCTCACCTCCTACTGCTCTGCTGCTTATATTCTCTGGTCGATCACACTAGCCTCCTTACCGTCTCTAGAACATTTCAAACATTATCCTGAGTTAAGGTCTTTGCCTTTACAGTCTTCTATCAGAGAAGCTTCCATCGCAGCTATCTATTGCTGTATTACAAATCATCTCATCACTTAGTATCTTAAAATAGCAACAAGCATTTATTTTGTTCATGAATCAGAAAACTTTGCAGAAGTGGGCAGAGATGGCTGGTCTCTGCTCCACAAGATATCAGCTGGGGTGGCTCAACTAGGCTTCACAGAAAGTTGGTGCTGGCTGTCAGCTGGGAGCTCAGCTGGGTCATTGATCTGCATCTTCAGTTTCTCTTCACATAGGCCTCTTCCAAGGGCTGCTTGAGCTTCCTTACAACATGGCAGCTGGGTACCAAGAGCAAGCATCCGATAGAAAAGAAGTGGAAGATGCTATTCTCTTAATGCCTGGGCCCAGAGACTGACAAAACATTAATTCCACCATACTCTATTAATCAAAACAGTTACATAGCTCTCCCAGATTCAAGGTCAGGGGACATAGACACCACTTCTCAACAGGAGGAGTATTCAAAGCGTTTGGGCCATCTTTTCTTTAACGCAGCAACTTTACATATATATTCATGACTCACCTACTCTGACACTTCCTGCAGGTCTCTGCTCCCATGCCACCATATCAGAGAAGCCACCACATGTAGATGGCAGCCCTAACCCCTCACCTCGCCCCATCACTACTATATCCCCTGGTCTGCTTTATAGCTGTCAACAGTGCTGAACACTATTGGCCATATGGTGTATTTGTTTATAATGGACACTTACTGAATTACTTGTGGTTGATGCTTAGATGGCTAGAAGAGAAACGTAAGGCACTATTTTTGACCTCTGGAAGCTTTTGATCTAGCCAAGGAGAAGAAAAAGAAAAAAAGAAAAAGCCTCAGATGAAACAGATACAGAAATATGATGGCAAAAATAATGTAAAAATGTTTTTAGGCCTTTGATTGTCAATTGCACACAGACATTAAATGCTCAGGGTGGGGAGGCCCATGATGTCTCCTCAAGCCAACTCTTGGTGTCCCTACTGGCACAGACTTTAGATGTCACTTGGTGCTTTGCACAGAGATTGTTTTCAAGGCCAAAACATCACTCTCAAAATCCTCAGTTTTTGTTGTTCTTGATGTAGAGCTAAAGTAACATGGAAGGAAAATTTTGAGAATTCAGTTGAACAAGTAGTTATGGAACATTATTTTGTTCCAGCCATGTGGTAGGCTCTGAGACATACATATGGTGCCTGATATTGACGAGCTTACAGTCTAGTGGGGAGACTGACATTTAAACAGATGATTTTAATAAAACATAGTAAATACAATATAAAGGCAATCCTGGAGGGCATTTTGGAAGTGGTAATATCTGTTGGGTTTTCTTTTTTTTTTTTTTTGGAGACAGAGTCTTGCTCTGTCCCCCAGGCTGGAGTGCAGTGATGCGATCTTGGCTTACTGCAACCTCCGTCTCCCGGATTCAAGTGATTCTCCTGCTTCAGCCTCCTGAGTAGCTGGGATTACAGGCACGTGACACCATGCCCGGCTGATTTTTTTTTTTTTTTGTATTTTTAGTAGAGACAGGGTTTCACCATGTTAGTCAGGATGGTCTTGATCTCCTGACCTCGGGATCCACCTGCCTTGGCCTCCCAAAGTGCTGGGATTACAGGCGTGAGCCACCACACACCCGGCCCTATCTGTTGGGTCTTAAAGAATGAATAGAAGTAATCTAGATGAAAAAAAGAAGGAAGAGTGGAAGATGGAGTGGGTATAGAGAACAATAATATTTCAGCAACGAAACAACTTGTATAAAATGAGAAACAGGACAATGTGTTGAGAGAACAACAAGCAGTTTATCTTGGAATATCAAGGGAAAGGTAGAAGAAGCGGGCTATGAAGGACACGAATAGTAAGCAGGGTTTGGTCATGAAGGGGTCCTGCATCTTTTATTAAGAAGCTTGAGGTTTATTGGATGGGTTTTGCACTGAGGATTGAAATGGTCAGAGGTGTACTTTAAATACCACGTTCTTGTTGTAGTATGGAAGATGACTTTGAAAGAGGAGTAGGAGGTGGAGAAGCTGGGACCATTAGAAGTCTATTGGGGCAATGCATGGTGGCTTATGCCTATGATCCCAACACTTTGGGAGGCTGAGGTGGGAGGATCACTTGAGGCCAGGAGTTTGAGATCAGCCTGGTCTCAAACATAGGGAGACCCTGTCTCTAACAAAAAAAGAAAAAATAGCCAGGTATGACGGCATACACCTACAGTCCCAGCTACTCAGGAGAGTGAGGTAGTAGGATCACTTGAGCCTGGGAGGTTGGGCTGCAGTGAGCTATGATTGCACCACTGCACTCCAGCCTGGACGACAGAGTGAGATCCTATCTCAAAAAAAAAAAAAAAAGGCTATTGCAAAGTCCAGGCATGAAATGACAAGGGCCTGAAATAGCAGCAGGGATGGGGAAAAAAGGACCAATTCAAGGCACATTCAGGAAGCAATATCAATAGGGCTTATTGATTGATCAACTATGGAAGAAGGAGGAGAATTAGCTGACTTCCAGGTTTCTGACATGGTGGCCCAAGTGTCACTGGCTCTGGATATAAAAGAGAAGGGTCCATATGTGGGCCCTAGAAAGTAGAAATTGTGGTGCATTTTGGCTGCTGAGTTTGAGGGGCTTTCACGGTACCCAGAAGACATGATAACAGCCAGTTAGGCGGATATCCAAGTCTGAGGACAGAGGGGACCTGAGTCCTGGAGACATAGGGCTGGGCTTCATCATCACAAGATTTGACCATGAGGCTTTGTTAAGTGAGCAGATGAGACAGACATTCAGAGGACATCATGTAGGCAAAGCAGGCTGTGAGTGAGTCTAAGGAGGAGGTTCGAAGATGTAGGAGCAGAGCCAGCACAGATGAGTGTCATGGAGAACAAAGAGGCAGAGGATGTCAAGTCTGAGGGCACTTCGGGTGAAACAGATACAGAGCAGTCAAATGCAGTGGTGCCCTTGGGTTTGGCAACCATGAAGTCACTTCTAGCTTTATTAAGACCATTTCTGTGGACCGTGGGGAGACGCTTGCTCCCCCTGGACTGGGGGTGGCCCAAGCTTTCTTAAGCATGGACTTTCTTCCCCTAACTCCTACTTTTTACCCTTCAGGTTTTAGTGGAAATGTCACCTTTTTAGATAGACCACGCCAATACCAGGTAGATGACTTGGCAAACAATAGGTGCTCGGAAAACAAAAAAAAAACATTAAAAGAAAATAATTTTCGACTGGGTGCAATGGCTCATGCCTATAATCTCAGCACTTTGGGAGGCCTAGGCAGGCAGATCACCTGAGGTCAGGAGTTCGAGACTAGCCTGGCCAACATGGTGAAACCCTGTCTCTAGTAAAAATACAAAAATTAGCCAGGCATGGTGGTGGGCACCTGTAGTCCCACCTACTCAGGAGGCTGAGGCAGGAGAATCGCTTGAATCCAGGAGGCTGAGGTCGCAATGAGCCGAAATCGTGCCACTGCACTCCAACCTGGGCAACAGAGACAGACTCAATCTCAAAAGAAAAAAAATAATTTTTACAAGGCAGACTTTGCCTCTGTGAGCATTGTTGTCATGGGCTTAGGCTGGAAGGAGATTTCAGTTGCTGCAGAATTCCGAGGACTAGGAAAGTTGACAGAGGGGGCAGTTGGGGAATAAATGAGAAAATCAACCTTCGGCAAGTTGCTCTGCCTTCCTGAGCCTCCGTGTCCTCACACCAATGTGACCAGGCCAAACACATTCATCTTCAAGGATGCAGCTAGCTCTACAAAACAGTGGAAGATCTCAAGTGCTTAACTCCTCATTGTCATACACATTTATTGAGTTGTATTTCATGCATTCTTCCTACTTGACAACACGTGCCAGGAGGAGGTACTAAAGCCCTCAGAGATGAGATGAGAACACAAGACTGATGGGGCTAAATCACTTGCCCCAAGATCATGCAACTGACAGGTTTCACAAGAATTTTGGTTCTTCCCCTGACACTGGCTTCCAGTGATTCCCCACCCACTTTGGTAAACCCCACCTTTTGAGTGTGGGCTGGAGCCAGCAACTCCTAACAAATAGAAAGTGGCAAAGTGGTGGGGTGGCACTTCCAAGATCAGGATACACAAAGGCTGTGCCTCTCTCCCTCTCACTGTATCAGTCAGGGCTCGCAGAGAAACAGGATTAATATGGGGCGTGTATGAGATAGAGAGAGAGAGGGAGAGAAACAGAAACAGAAAGAGACACAGAGAGACACAGACAGAGACAGAGAGACATAGAGAAAGTAATAAGAGAAAGAGGGACAGACAGAGACAGAGAGACCATAGAGAGAGACACATAGAGAAAGAAACAAAGAGAAACAGAGGGATTGAGACAGAGAGGCAAAGAGACAGAAAGAGACAGAGACAGAGAGAGATACGGAAAGACACACGGAGACAGGAACAGAGACAGAGAAAGACATGGAGAGACAGAATGAAACAGAGAAATGCACACACAGAGAGACACAGAGAGACAAACAGAGACAGAAGCAGAGAGACACAGAGATATACAGAGACAGAGGTAACAAAGAGAGACAGACAGAAATGGAGAGAGAGAGAGATTGATTTATTTTAAGGAATTGGCACATGTGATTATAGAGGTCTGGTGAGTCCAAAATCTGATGGGGGAGGCCAGCAAGCCGGAGACCCCTGCAGGACTTGTGGTTACAGCGTGAACACAGTTTGCTGTCAGGACTCCCTCTTTCTCAGAGGAGGGCAATCTTTGTTCTACGCAGGCCTTCCACTGATTGGGCGAGGCCCACCCACACTGTGGCAAGTCATCTGCTTTACTCAAAGTCTGCCAAGGTAAATGTTAATCTCATTCAAAAAACACCTTCACAGAAACATTCAGCATAATGCTTTGGCCAAATGTCTGAGCACCATGGCCCAGCCAAGTTGACACATCAAATTAACCATCACCCTCCCTTGTTTGAAGGAAAGTCGATTAAAGGGTTGTGAGTTGCAGCGGAGAGGCCCATGTGATAGGGAACTGATGGAGCATCAGGCTAACAGCCAGGGAGGATCCGAGGCCCTCCATCCAACAGCCATGTGAGTGGGTTTGGAAGCTCACCCACCCTGACCCCACCCCAGCTGTGCCTTGAGATGACTGCAGCCTGTGAGGTTCACAGGGGCAGAGGACCCCACTACACTGCACCCAGATTCCTGACCCACAGAAACTATGAGATGCTAAATGTTTGTTATTTCAAGCTGTTAAGGTTTGGGGTCATTTGGACATTAGCAATAGACAGCTAACATGTATGCCTTGTGGCTTAAGCTGGCCCTGGGATTTTTCCCCAATGTTTTATCTTAAATATAGGTATGTGTGCCGGGTGCCTAGTGTAGAGAACTGGCTTGTGACCCATCCAGCATTCTAATGGGATGATGCAGTCAGTGATTGTATTAGTCTGTTTTCACACTGCTGATAAAGACATACCTGAGACTAGGCAATTTACAAAGGAAAGAGATTTACTGGACTTACAGTTCCATGTGGCTGGGGAGGCCTCACAATCGTGAAAGGCACATCTCACATGGTGGCAGACAAGAGAATCAATGCCAAGCCAAAGGAGTTTCCCTTTATAAAACCATCAGATCTCCTGAGACTTATTCACTACCACGAGAACAGTATGGGGGAAACCACCCCCATGATTCAGTTATCTCCTACGGGGTCCCTCCCACAACACGTGGGAATTCCAGATGAGATATGGGTGGGAATACAGCCAAACCATATCAGTGATTATTTTACCGCTCTCCCTCCCTGTTCTTATTTCTTCCTTGAACAGTTTTTATCCAGTTTCTAGATTAGGAAACTGAGTTTTGAAGTGACCAGTCCAGAATTGTGGAACGACATGCCTCCTGGTGCTGGAATCTGCACTTGGAGCTCCTCCACTCTGTGGATCAACAATCCTCACGTCAAAAGCACGACCTTCCTTCAGCAAGGAGGACATGATCACATTCCACATTGAAGTGGAGACTTATTGCATCTGGGGACGGAATTCGCTCTGCTGAGCCCAGCAGCAGGGCCCTCTCAGTAGGCAGTCCATCCATGTTAATAAATGTCTCACCTACCAGACAGCTTCAATAAGGTGAACTGTGCAGGAGGGGTCATGCTTGTCAGTTTAGTTTTACTGAGACATGGAGGGCCTGTCTGATGAGGCTCTGGGATTCAGCTGTTGTCCTGGAGGGAAGACAGACTGGCAGTTTCTTCCCCAAGACCTGGCCTCCTCCCTTCCCAGACACACTCTTATTTCATTTCCATTTTCGAAGTCCAGGGACTGCTGGGTTCACATCGCCCTGCGTGTGTATGTGTTGTATGTGCATGTATCGCACTCGTGTGTACAATTATGTATAATGTATGCGAGCTTTGTTCTATGTTAAAAAAAAAAAGTGCTTCCATAGCAGCTGTCTCAAATGCTGTCCCAATAGGTAAGCTGTGCAGGCATTATTTTCCCCGCTTTGCAGGTGGGTATAACTGAGTCTTAGAAGGTACCTGGTTCCCTCGAGGTTACCCTGTAAAGGAGGACTGCTTATCCTCAGCCACTAGGATTCCTGGTGGCTAATCCTCTGAGAGGCTGTGTCCTCCCGTTAGACGTCATATCTCTTTGCATCAACTGCAAAGAAATTCACAGGACTCAGGAGTTTCCTAGGGATTCTCAGAGTGTCAGAATTTCACCAAAGGAGGTAAATGGCAAAACAGCCCAAGCTTGGGCATCCCCCTGTTCCACAGGAAGGAAATGGAAGGCAAAGCAGAACAGTCCAAGGTCAAATTTGACAACATGAGGGAATCCAGGAAGCATTTGGGTCAGGCCCTTCACTTAACAAACGAACAATGTGAGCCTATATGGGGGAGTGGGTGCCCAGAGTCAGAAGCCAGGGCAAGATGGAGACGTGGGTCTGACACCTGTGTTCCTGCTCCTGAACCAGAGGTTCTGACGGTCTGAAGGAGCTGCAGACGCAGCTGTGTGTCTGTGCTGGTGATGAATCCCCTTCTGCTTCCTATTCCCTCTCCCCAGGAGCAGCTTCCCCCTTAAACTCAGCTGAGCCAGCAGGGTGAGCTCCTCCAGAGAGCCGGCTGTGTCAGTCTCCCCTTCCCACACCTGTGCCCCCTCTCCATCTCCGCCCCGGATTCTCAGAGGCTGCACCTGCCGCATTAGGTCTCTCTTCTTCTCCGGGGCCCCTCCTTCTCTCTTTTGATTCTGTCAGGACATGAGTAATGGGCCCTCTCCTTCAAAGAGGAAACAAGATTGATGACAGAAAAAAAGGCCAGTGAAGATCTCCTGCTCCAGCAGAAAACATGCTTGTTCCGTGTGGATTTATGAAGTGGTCACATCTCCCCTTCCAGATAAAGCTTGGCAGAGACTCGGCCACCCAGGGTCACATTTCCTCTGCAGCCAAGCGCAGAGGGAAGATTCTCCAATGTGGGTGTGCAAATAGGACCACCAGTGGGGAGCAGAGGCCGCTTTTCCAGACCAAGAGGAGTCTAGACTATCACTCACACATTCCCTGGTCATCTGGGGCCGCCAGAATTCTGAGAGTGCTTCAGTGGTCTGAAGGTGAGGGCTGTCTTCTTTTACGTTTTTTCGATTACAGGTAAAATCCTGCTCCAAGAAAATAGGATATTTCTTTTTTTTCATGTTGCTCTCCCTCTCTTCCTCCCTCCCTGCCTGCCTCCCTCCCTCCCTCCCTGCCTGCCTCCCTCCCTCCCTCCCTCCCTCCCTGCCTGCCTCCCTCCCTCCCTCCCTCCCTGCCTGCCTCCCTCCCTCCCTCCCTGCCTGCCTCCCTCCCTCCCTCCCTCCCTGCCTGCCTCCCTCCCTCCCTGCCTGCCTCCCTCCCTCCCTCCCTCCCTGCCTGCCTCCCTCCCTCCCTGCCTGCCTCCCTCCCTGCCCCCCCCCCCCCGCCTCCCTCCCTCCCGTCCTGCCTCCGTCCCGTCCTGCCTCCCTCCCTCCCTTCCTTCCTTCCTTCCCCAGGCTTCAGTGCAGTGACATGCCTGGCTAACTTTAAAAAAATGTTTTTGTCTGTGTGTGTGGAGATGGAGTCTCCCAATGTTGCCCCAACTGGTCTCAAACTCCTGGGCTCAAGCAATCCTCCCACCCTGGCCTCCCAAAAGTGCTCAGATTACAGACATCAGCCACCCTATCTGGCCAAAATGGGATATTTCTGCCCAATGAGGACATGTGTTCTCCTTCTGGATTTTTTCCCCGTATGATTACCTCTACCTGAAGATACTGTTGACAGATAAGATATAGGATGCTCAGGTGCATTCAAATTTCGAATAAACGACCATTTTTTTCTTTAGTAAAAGTATATTCCAAATACTATGTAGGACATGCTCATACTAAAATAACAAAAAGTATTCCTTTTTGCTAAATTGTGCAGCCTGACCTGAAGAATCATTTTGCTTGTATGTGTTTGTTCTTTGTTCTAATGATGAGTTTAAAAGCACTCTGGAGGAATAAATTCCTGAAACTCTGGAAGCTGAGGGCCTCCTTTTGTATTTCCTTTCTTGCTACTTGCCTTGGGCCCTGCTTGCCCTTGGCCATGCTTGACTCTTGGCCACTGAATTGGAGAGGCAAAAGGCAGGAGATTTGTAGAACAGTGGTTCTCAACTGGGGACAGTTTTGCCCTCGGGGACATGTGGCAATGTCTAGAGACATTTTTGCATGCACACACACAAATTACCTAGCCTCAAATATAAATAATGCTGCAGGTGGGAATCCCTGGAGTAAAGGAAGAAAATGCATATTTAAAATAAAGGGCCTGAGGCTCAACTACAAACCCACCACCTGAAAGTTCTCCCAAGTCCGCCGGGCAAGGTAGCTTATGCCTGTAATCCCAGCAGTTTGGGAGGCCAAGGCAGGTGGATCACCTGAGGTCGGGAGTTCGAGACCAGCCTGACCAACGTAGTGAAGCCCCATCTCTATTAAAAATACAAAATTAGGCGGGTGTGGTGGTGCATGTCCGTAGTCCCAGCTACTCGGGAGGCTGAGGCAGGAGAATCACTTGAACCTAGGAGGCAGAGGTTGAGCTGAGATGGCGCCACTGCACTTCAGCCCCGGCAAGAGCAAAACTCTGTCTAACAAAAACAAAAAACAAAAAACAAAAAAAAACCCCAAGTCATCAGGAATTGGCACAGACAGCTTGGAAACTGCAGTCTAGCCCCCTCCTCCACCCACAGCCCTGAGGCCCTGTAAGACCTTCCCTCCAATTTCCCCTTGAAGGCTGCCCCTGAGGTTAATTTTAACCATCTTTCATGCAGACAACAATGTTGGGGGATGGGCGGTCTCCGAGTGGTGCTTAGGCCCTCTTTTGCATCTTCCTGCCCTTCCCTGCCACCAGCCTTCCCTGGCAAGGCTCTGCGATGATCGTGGCAACAGCTTTCCAAGGCGCCCAGATGTGTCCTTTCTGCCCTGGTGGAGACTGAAGAAAACATGCCTCTTTGCTTGCTGTCCAATGGGAAATGTGAAAGCACTGAAGAGGCAACAACTATCAAGACCCACCTCTTCCCCCATGTCCTTTCTTCCACTGGCAGCCAGGGTCTCCAGAAAAGAGACTGGCAGAATCAGTATTCATTCCTGGGTTCCTACAGCAGGAGAAATAGACTGAAGGTTACCCCAACAAAGGAGAAATAAATGTTCATCTTCAGCAAACTACATCAGCTCTCCATACCCTAGAGTTCAGGGAGGTTTGCAAGCTCAGCTTTCCTGCATGCCCCTTCGTCCTTGTGTTTTCTCCTATGTACTCCTCAGCGGAGATGGCAGCGAGCTGAGCATCCCCCCCACTCAGTGGTCTGCTGAGGATGGAGGTATTGAAAACGACCCCATCAGCTTTTCCAAGAGCCCTCTGTGTGGTGTGGGAGAGCAAAATCCAGTCCTTTCTTTGGACTGAAGAACAAACCATCAAAACAAGACAGAGGCAAAAATAAGCAACAAAAAAGCGGGAGGCTTTTCCTTCTTAAGTAAAATCCTGGGACAAGTAACTTTGAACTTGTTTTTTGAACTAGAAGGGGTAAACAAAGTTCAAGTCTTACAGCTTAGATTTTGTTTCCCATAGTCTCTCACATTTTTATCTATGGCTGGAGAAGCAAAATAGTTTATTTTATGGGACCTGTGATTTTCCCTCCACCAAGTGACATGAGCCAGTGGCCGCCTGTTGGGTTGCAGTAGAGAAACTCCTCTTAGCAGCCCTGGCTCATCTCCTCCCTCCCCTGCTCTTTTTCTGTCTGCCCCTCACTTTGGCTCCCCAACTCCCCGCCCCACCCTTTCCAAAAGATTTATAGAGCCAAGTGGCTTGAGAACAAATGAGCAGACTTCAGGCTGATGTATTCTGCATACTAATGACAAGATACTGCTTCTGTACCTAGGGGCAAAGCCAGGTCAGGCCAGTTTAACCATAAACTTTATTTATGGGCTTATAACTTTGCAGCTGCGGTAGCTCTGCCCAATCTTCTGAGATCTGCCTCTCTCTATAGCTTCATACATATTTTTAAAACAAATTTGGTGGGGGTTGGGGAAGAGAGTGCTGGTAGCTCTCTCTTTATGATCTCCTGAGTAATTCTAGTAAGACGTTTAAGCCAAAGGGAAAAAAGGGGTCAGAGAAGGAAATAGTAATAGTAATGGTAGTAGTAGTAGAAGTCATCGAGTAGTAGTAATTCTTCCTCCCAGGGAAAAATAAAGCAATAATAATAATACTTCCCCCTAAGGCAGGCATTTATTCTATCTAGTACTTCTGAGTTTTCTACAAGTTAATCTTTAGAACCACCAATCTGGAATCTTGAATCACAAAATGAATTGCCTGCTTCAAAATGGCTCAAGACCCTTCCTTCCTGCCAAGGATCTTCTACATTTGAGCATCTTTAATTTATCAGTGAACTGGTCTCTCCAGTCCAGATAGTGTGAAGCTCAGAGCTCAGCACCTGCTTACCTTGCCTCCTTCAATCCTCACGGTGCCCCTCCTCCATTCTGGTTGTATGTTATAACCATGTTTGTGTAAGTCCGTGTAGCATGAGAAAGAGTCCATCCAGGATTGTAAGTTCAATGCCATGAAAATGGATTGATCTTGCTTGGCCTCTGTGTCATGGACTTAGCTCAAGGACAGAGGTGGTGTAGATAGCTTCAGTCATTCAATAAAGATGTATTGGTCACCTGCTATGGGCCAAGCACTGTGCTTGGTGTCAGGACACCAGAGTGAACAAGATAAAATAATCTCCTGTCTGGAATGAGTTTGAAGGATGTAGGCAAGTCCATTCCCACTGCTGAGAATGCATTTTAAAGCATGCATTGGAATGCTTGTGGCACCTGGCCCATCATTAGTAAACCATGCCAGATCTTTTCCAAGGTGAACAGCATTGGATGGGTGATTGGAGATCAGCCTTAGTATCATGGGGACTTGGGTCATAATCTCTGCCCATGCATGGAATAGTTAATCCATTTAACCTTTCTGCCCTTCAGCCTGCCCTTCAGAAAGGATCTAAGACATTAGTGGGTGAAGAGAGGGAAGAGTTTGTGAACACCTGTGACCTTCAACAAAAGCTTGAAAAAACAAGGTCACCATTATTGATTACCACTTTTCTCTGGTTCACATGTGGGCTGTGCCACTACTGGGGTCAGAAGTTGAATGAGGACATTCTTTGAAACTTGCTCAGAGCAAGTTTCCCCTCTGGGGAAGGAGTCTAGCCAAGTGGTCATGAGATGCCAGAGTCTTCTTCTCTGACTCTTAGGAACCTACTCTTTCTATTCTACATGGTTAGAGAGAAAGGATTAGGGCACAAGAACTTTGGGGACATGACAATAGCAAAGGAACTGTAGGCTGGTGGACAGGCCTTGTCTTGCCAGCTTGTGTGACCTTGGACAAATCACCTTACCTCTCTGAGCCTCGATATACAAATCTTTGAAATGGGTATAATAATAATTCCTGTCCTAGGTACCTTGCATGGTTGATATATTGTGAGGTCTATATAAATCTACCACAAAAATGCTACAAATAATTAGTTAAGTGCTCCAAAAATGTTAGTTTTTTTAAATGGCTACTTGAACAGTGGAAATCAGACACTGATGAGGATTTGTTATATAAATGAAAGGCATGAATAATTGAAGGGTTTGAAGGCTCCACAGCTTTTTAATCACACTCAACCAATGCCGGTGTATATAAATCTGTATAGAAATGATCATTTGTCTCACTGCAGTTTTTAATGGATTCATTGACTTTCCTTGTAGGGCAGGGGTATGTGAGTTCCCAGGAGAGCATAAGGTTCCTGTGGGCAGGAAGTAGGTCTGTCCCTTTGCTGATGTCCCTGTAACACCTGCTGCAGAGGGCTGTGTCCTCAACTGAAGTCACTCCCCTGGCTGACCAACTGATTGACTGACAGACTAGGGTTAGGGATAGACATTCACAGACATGGAAAGATGTTTTCTAGTATTGTAACGTCTATGATACTCCTTTGACATCCCTGGAGATGGGCATCTATACATGCTGACTGAATGAAAGCCAGGAGCTATACAGCATCTTGTGCTATTTGCTGGTGCTTGATGCAGCTGGAAGGTGTGATGTAGAGCAAGATTCTTCTTCCCCAGGACAGTTAGCATTGGTGTTGCTACTTCAAAACAAGGAGATCTTAAGGAAGTCATTTTGCTATCTGATTTGGTAGTTTGCAGAACTACAAAACAGGAACGCTAAAGGCTACCTTGGAGCTGTTGTGTGGATTGGTGTATTCTATAAAGACACTCGCACAGTGCCTGGAACATGATGGTGGTTAATATTATTTCCATATCGCTTTAGTACTGGTGCAGACACGACTCAAGACTACATTTGCTAAGTGTGAAAACGAGTGCGTGGTGTTATCTGACAGCTTTTTTTACGAGAAGGACCTTCCTTCCCATACATCTGCTGCTAGCCACATGGCCCATGCATCTGTGCCAGTTGTCCCTAGTTCTGTTTCCATAGCTCCTGAGGATGTTACTCCTGCACTTTAGCAGACCTCAGAGTAACTGTTTTTTCTTCTCTCTTACATAATTATTATTGTTATTCTTTTTTTGAGACGGAGTCTTGCCCTGTGGCCCAGGCTGAAGTACAGCAGCACAATCTCAGCTCACTGCAACCTCCTCTTCCTGGATTCAGGCGATTCTCGTGCCTCAGCCTCCCAAGTAGCTGGGATTACAGGTGTGAGCCATCGTGCCCAGCGCCATAATTTATTTCATATTTCATCTATCAAATATTTATTAAAAACCTCCTATGTTCCGGTTGCTATAATGGACATTGAGATACTTCTAGGCCAATAGTACTGAGCTTAGAACATAAACACAATGTAAAACAAACAAACAAACAAACAAACAAAAAGCCTACTTCTAAATTCAGCCAGAGAAATCTGGATAATAAGGAAGGTTACTATTGATTCCCCACCCACTTCCTCAAAAGAAGAGTTTCTAACCCATTGCTGAGGCTCCAGATGTTCTTATTCCTCTTTTAGAGGATGTTTTCTTTTCCAAAGTCCATGAGGAGAAGGAGATCGTAGAAAACAGGATCACAGAAAAGATGCTCTGCGATTTGAACTCTCAATTGGGGGTCATCAGGCTTTTTCTGTAAAGGCCCAGATAGATAGTAAGTGTTTTAGGCTTTGTGAATAACATGGTTTCTGTCGCAACTAGTCGAGTCTGACGTTACAGCATGAAGGCAACCACAGATAATATGTAAAAAAAAAGCATGACTGTGAACCAATAAAACTTTATTTACAAAACCAGGAAAACTACAAAATTCTGATTAAAAATACAAAAATGTAATAAGTGGAGAGATATTCTATGTTCATGGACTGGAAGACTTGATATTGTTTAGATATCATTTCTTCCTAACTTGTTCTGTACACTCACCACAATCCCAGTCAAAATCCCAGGCAGCTATTTTATAGAGAATGACAAACTGATTCTAAGGCTTATATGAAAGGGCCAAGGTAACATAATACTGAAGAAGAATAACAACAACATTGCAAGATTCACACTACCAGATATCTCACACTAAGGCTATACTAATCAAGACAGAGTGATATTGGTGAAAGAATAGACAAATAGATCAATGGAACAGAATAGAAAGCCCAGAAAGAGACCAACACAAACACAGTCAGTGGATCACTGACAAAGGAGCAAAGGCAATTCAACGGCGAAAGGATAATCTTTTCAACATATGATACTGGAGCAATTCGATATCCATATGGAAAAAAAAACTAGACACAAATCTTACACTTTACACAAAAATGAACTAAAAATGGACATGAGCCTAAACATAAAATGAAAAACTATAATATTTCTTGAAGAAAAAGTAACAGAAAATCTACATAACCTTGGGTCTGTGACAAGTTCTTATAACACCAATAGCACAATTGATGAAAGAAAAAATTGATGTCAGACTTTATTAAAATGGAAAACTTCTGCTATGCAAAATAGAATCACATAAAAGTGAAAAGACAAGCCACAGACTGGGAGAAAATGTTCACAAAACATATATCCAAAAAAGACATGTATCCAAAATACACAATCTACAAACAACTCAATTTAAAAATGGGTAAAAATTATGAACAGACTCTCACCAAAGAAGATACATAGATGGCAAACAGCATATGAAAAGATAATAAATATCATTTGTCATTAGGGAATTGCAAATTAAAACAATGAAATACCTGTTAAAATGACTAAAATTCAAAAACTAACAATACCAGCTTTTGTCAAGGATACAGAGCAACAGGGACTCTCATTCATTGCTGGTGGGAATGCAAAATGGTACAACCACTTTGGAATACAATTTGACCGTTTCTTATAAAACTAGTCTTGCCCTACAATCAAGCAATCACACTCCTAGATATTTGCCCAACTGGTTTGAAACACATGTCCACTCAAAATTCTGCATGTGAACTGAACATGGTGGCTCACGCCTGTAATTCCAGCAATTTGGGAGGCTGAGGTGGGTGGATCACTTGAGGTCAGGAGTTCAAGACCAACCTGGCCAACATGATGAAACCCTGTCTCTACTAAAAATACAAAAAAATTTAGCTGGGCATGGTGGCACATGCCTGTAATCCCAGATACTCAGGAGGCTGAGGCATGAGAATCACATGAACCCAGGAAGCTGACATTTCAGTGAGCCAGGATCGTGCCACTGCACTCCATCCAGCCTTGGTGACAGAGTGAAAATCTGTCTCAAAAACAAACTGCATCTGAATAGCAGTTTTATTCATAATTGTCAAAAGCAGGAAGTAACCAAGACATCCTTCAATAGGTACATGACTAAATAAACTGTGGTACATTTATACAATAGAATATTATTCAGCAATAAAAGAAATGAGGCATGAAGCCATTGAAAGACATGGATCGATCTTAAATGTATACTGCTAAGTGAAAGAAGTAAGTCTGAGAAACTACATGGGGTAAGATTCCAATTATATAACACACTGGAAAAGGCAAAATATAGGTCTCATTGCTCTGTCAGTTAAGAGAACCTAGAGTTGGTAAAGAGATTGTTGGTTGCCAGGGGTTCAGAGAAGAGAGAAGGATGAATAGGTGAAACACAGGGACTTCTTTAGGGCAGTGAAATGATTCTGCATAATATTGTAATGGTGAGTATAAGATATTAGGCATTCATTAGAACCCATAGAACTTTACAGCAGAAAAGTGCACCTTAATGTCTACAATGTTTTAAAAATATTATTTAAGAGTTTGAGGGATCCCAGGGTGGAATGCAGATGTGACAGAAGGATGTAGAAGTCTTACAAATGTATGAAAGAACATCAATGAATGAGGTCAGGGAATAAGGTACTGACCTAAGTAACTTTGAAAGTGAGTGAAGTCTGTAAGACTGAAAGAAAAAGGAGCTGTAGGCCTGGCACGGTGGCTCATGCCTGTAATCCCAGCATTTTGGGAGGCCAAGGCGGGCAGATCACTTGAGGTCAGGAGTTTGAGACCAGCCTGGCCAACATGGGGAAACCCTGTCTGTAACAAAAATACAAAAATTAGCCAGGCGTGGTGGCGCACACCTGTAATCCCAGCTAGTCGGGAGGCTGAGGCAGGAGAATCGCTTGAACCTGGGAGGCAGAAGTTGCAGTGAGTCAAGATCACACCACTGCACTCCAGCCTGGGTGACAGAGCGAGACTCCATCAAAAATAATAATAATTATTATTATAATAATACTAGAAAAAAAGGAGCTGTATACAAGCACTGTATTGGCATTTCTACCCACCCCCACACACACTTTTTTGTGGGGAAGATAAGGGTTAGCAATTCTGAAACCATTATGCATAAAGGCCAGAATTGGACAGTTCAGTGAATGGATCAAAGATTGTGGGAGCCAGGTTTTTCATTGCTAGAATGGGAGCTCACAGATAAGCAAGGGGAGGAGATGGGAATGATCTGTGTGCTAATGGATTCGAGTTGGAGACATAAGTACAAATCCATATTTAGCTTAATGTAGAAACAGATAATTACATGTAGAAATATTCATTGATCTGCATATATATACAGGTTAGCACACGTATATATGTCTCCTTGCTCTGTCAGTTGGAAGAATCTAGAAGCACTAACACTCCAGTAACAATGAGAACACCTAGTGCCTGGTCTTAGTTCCTAAAACCATTTGTCTATAGAAAGAACCAGGGCTCATATAGCTGACTCTACTGGAGCAGGAAATGCGCAAAACGAGCCAGGAGCCTCTCGTAGTGGCAGAAAGTAAGAAAATGCTCAAAAACCAACACCAAAACAAAATGAAATTTAAAAAAGCAAAACGATAAAACCCCCACATGCTGGGTGCGGTGGCTCATGCCTGTAATCCCAGCACTTTGGGAGGCCGAGGCGGGAGGATCACAAGTTCAGGAGATCGAGACCATTCTGGCTAACATGGTGAAACTCCATCTCTACTTAAAATACAAAAAAAATCAGCCAGACATGGTGGTGGGCACCTGTAGTCCCAGCTACTCAGGAGGCTGAGGCAGGAGAATGGCGTGAACCTGGGAGGCAGAGCTTGCAGTGAGCCAAGATCATGCCACTGCACTCAAGCCTGGGCGACAGAGCGAGACTCCATCTCAAAAAAAAAAAAAATAATTAAAATAAATAAAGTAATATTCCATATAACCCCCAAAATATAAAGTAAATACCCATGATTCATAATGATAAAGATAAATGACTGGGTAAACAAATGGAAGAGACCAGACACATCTGTGCAGAAGGATTCCAAATAATGTATGTAGCTACTCCACCCCTGAGAAGGTGGAGCGTAATTCCCCCCTCCTTAAGTGTGGGCTACACATAGTGACTTTCTTCCAAAAACTAGAGTATGGAAAGGGAGAAACAAAGTGCGAGAAACCCAGCAAACCCTACCTGAGCCAGGTTAATATCGATATCAATAAATCTCATTGATAGCATGGATGTTTTTTTTTTTAATGTCAACAAAGGACTTTCACATAGACATGTAGACAAGCACTTTTTTTTTTTTTTTTTTTTTTTTTGAGACAGACTCTTGCTCTGTCACCAGACTGGAGTGCAGTGGCACGATCTCAGCTCACTGCAACTTCTGCCTCCCAGGTTCAAGCAATTCTTGTGCCTCAGCCCTCCAAGTAGCTGGGATTACAGGTGCGCAACACCACACTCGGCTAATTTTTGTATTTTTAGTAGAGACGGGGTTTTGCCATGTTGGCCAGGCTGGTTTCGAATTCCTGACCTCAGGTGATTCACCTGCCCCGGCTTCCCAAAGTGATGGGATTACAGGCGTGAGCCACCACACCTGGCCAACAGCATGGACTCTTGATGTGATGAGAGTGGCACTTTCCATACTTACCTGGCAGGGGAGATACCATGATCACGAGAGTGGCACATTCCATCTGTGGTCTTCCTCCCCAAAGCTCATTATCCCAGTCTAATCAAGAAAAAAAAAAAAACCAAAAAACCAAAAACAAATCTCAATTGAGGAATCCTCAACAAAACGCCCCACTAGTATCCCTCAAAACTGTCAAAGTCATCAAAAACAAAGAAAGTCACTCTGAGAAGTTATCACAACCAAGAGGAGGCTAAGGACTTACTATGACTAAATGTAGTGTGGTGTCCAGGGTGAGGTCCTGGAATGCAAAAAGGATATTAGGGCATAATTGAGGAGATTTGAATAAAGTATGGTCTTTAGTTAACAATAATTGATCAATATTTGTTCCTTCATCGTGACAAATGTGCCACCATAATGCAAGATGTTAATAAAGAAAAAAAGGGTGTGGGGTATACAGAAAAATTCTGTATTCTAAATAATTTTGAAAACCTGAAATTGCTCTAAAATTAAAATTGTAATTAAAAAAAAATACAGGCAATAGGCTGAATTTGGCTCCTGGCTACAGTTTGCTGACTTTACCCGAGATCAATGTTTTCAAACCTGGCTGCTCATTTTACAAGCTTTATTTTATTTTATTTTATTTTATTTTATTTTATTTTATTTTAGACGGAGTCTCGCTCTGTTGCCAGGCTGCAGTGCAGTGGCATGATCTTGGCTCACTGCAAACTTGGACTTCCTGGTTCAAGTGATACTCCTGCCTCAGCCTCCCGAGTAGCTGGGATTACAGGCATGCACCACCACACCCAGCTAATTTTTGGATTTTTAGTAGAGACGGGGTTTCACCACGTTGGCCAGGATAGTCTCGATCTCCTGACCTCGTGATCCGCCCGCCTCGACCTCCCAAAGTGCTGGGATTACAGGCGTGAGCCATCGCGCCTGGCCACAAGCTTTATTTTTAAAATAGGTAATTTACATGTTTGAGAATAAAGACATCATGAAAGTTTTTTTCTGTTTTTTTTGTTTGTTTTTTGTTTTTGTTTTTTTTTTTTAGATAGGATCTTGCTCTGTCACCCAGGCTGGAATGCAGAAGCATGATCACAACTCACTGAAGCTTCCGTTGATCCGGGTTCAGTTGATCCTCCTACCTTAACCTCCCGAGTAGCTGGGACTACAGATGCATGCCACTATGACTGGCTGATTTATTTTTTTTTTTGGTCTTTCTGTAGAGGCAGGTTTTTGCCATGTTGCCCAGGTGGGTCTCAAACTCCTGAGCTCAAGCGATCTACCTGCCTCAGCCTCGCTAAGAGCTGGGATCATAGGCATGAGCCACTGCACCCGGCCCTATGAAAAGTCTTAATCTTACCCATTTGGAAAGTATTCCGTCACTCCTTGTTCCCTGTTGTCACTACTTGTATTATTTTTATTTTCTCCCTTTTTCTACATAAACCATAGTACCCTATAAACACTGTTCTACCTCTTGCTTTTTTTTTTTTCTTTTTCTTTTTTTGGTATGTATTCAGGAGATTTTTCAATATTAGCGCAGAGAAATCTTTCTCATTCTTTTTAACTGATGCATAGTATTCTAAGTTAAGAGTTTACTTAGCCAGGCTCCTATGAGGGTTGCCTCCAGTCTTTGCTATTACAAATTATTCTGTAGTGGACAATCTTACATGTCTGGAGTTAAAAGCTTGAGGAGGTCTGACTTTGATGTCTGCACTCCACTTCAAGTGAATTAAATCAGAAATTCTTAGGGTGGGTCCTAGGCAGCCTTATTTTATTTATTTATTTACTTTTAGATGAAGTCTCACTCCGTTGCCCAGGCTGGAGTGTAGTGGTGCGATCTCAGCTCACTGCAACTTCCATTTCCCGGGTTCAAACAATTCTCCTGCCTCAGTCTCCCAAGTAGCTGGAATTTCAGGTGCCCACCACCACACTCGGCTACTTTTTGTATTTTTAGTAGAGACGGGATTTCACCATGTTGGCCAGGCTAATCTCAAACTCCTGACCTCAGGTGATCCACCCGCCTAGGCCTCCCAAAGTGTTGGGATTACAGGCATGAGCCACCATGCCCAGTCGGCATCCTTATTTTTAAATAAGTCCTCCAATGAATCCTAACATGAATCCCAGACTGAGCAGCACTGCTACAGAACAAACACGTTCTGGAAGGTTAGCGGAAAATGGTTCTCAAGGCAGGCAACACATCAGATCACTGCAGCGCTAGATAAAAATCTATACAAATATCCATGTACAAGGCTCACCTCAGAAAAAACTGGATCATAATCAATGGGAGGAGTACCCAGTGTATTATTTTTTAAAGCTTCCTATGTGTTTCTAATGCACAATTAGGGTTAAGAACCATCAATCTAGGGCAGAAGTGCACCTTGTTAGAGGGAGAGCTGGAGAACTGCCTTTTCTTCCCCTGGATCTTCCAGTCCACTCTCTGTCTCTCTATCCCCTCCCTACACCTGCCTTGGAAAGTCGCTAGGAAGTAGACCCAGGACAGGATGAACGGCAAGTCAGGGTGAGTGCCCACAATGCAAGAATGGGGTGGTGGGCTTTTGTCAGCCCACGGGCAGCATGAACATGAAGGGAATGCTCGCCATCAGAGGGTGCGCATCACTGCCCATCCGTGAGCTCCGGATTAATATTTTGCCAGCCCTTGATGGACTTTTGTTTCCTTCCGGCAACCTCTCTTTGCCGTCGTCAGAGCTGTGGTGAGCTCTGAGGATATGGGTGTACAAACCGAAACTTTTCTTTCCTCATCTTTACTTAATTTCAGTGAGTTGGCTTGAAATCTAAGCCATGACATACTTTGGGCACTGCTTCCTCATTGTGTCATGGGAAAAGACAAGGGGAAATGAAGTTTTAAAGAAAGGAATATCCCTTAGTAATTGACATGTGTTGAGTGCTTACTCATGGTACTCTTGCCCCAGATGTATGACATTTTATTTTACAATGGGAAACTGAGGCACAGAGAGGTTAAGAAATTTATCCAAGGTAACACAGTTGGGTAGTGTCAAAGGAAGTGGATCTCAAAACCAGGTTTACCCAGCTCCAAAGCCTAAGCTCTGTGCTATCCTGCCTTCTTCCTATAGAGATGGAAAATTTTCTCCTGATCTCTGTATATCCTCAAGGACTGTCATCTTCAATGGAATCCAAAATGTTGGTGGCCTCCACCTTGAGGAAGCATAAAAGGGATCTATCTATCTATATATATATATATATATATTCTGCTCGTATTCCAAGGTTAACTTTCTGCAGGAGGCAAAAACAATTGCTTTGCATCTCCAGTGAAGCCATAGGGCTTTGTCATAGTCTTGTACTCAAGGGTTCTTCAAAAAGTTCCTCCTGGAACTCCACAAATACCACCTGCTCTAACAACCATTACAGTAACCATTAGGGTTTCCAGGCATATAGAAGTCTTACCCTCATTGCCTCATTTAACCTACATTCCACCTTATTAGATAAGCAAACTGGGGCCCCAAGAACTTAAGTAACCTGCCCAAGGTCACAGCACTAGGAAATATCACTGCCAGTTTCAAATTCAAGTCTCATTTGACACCAGAGCTTGTGCTCAAGCACTGCCCTGCCCATTCCAGTGTATTTTCTAGGGAAGCTTTCTTTTTCACCCCCTGGTGAGTCTTTCCACTTTCCTCTTGCTATCCCTAAAGACATTCAAAACTTTTAAGTCTCTTTCTCTTTCTTCCCCTACCCAAGCGAGGGAGAATTAGGCCACAGTGGATGGATTGATATGTGGAGTTAACCCATGTCTTCCCCAACCATGGCCAGACAAATTCCAGACATTAGAATCAGGGGCAAGGAGCTGGAGTGAGAACCCAAGGGTTAATATTGCTATAGTGGGAAAGTTATCTGCTTTGTTGTAAAACACAGCTTCCCAGCACTACAGAAGGGGCTATTAGCATGCAAATGTACTTTGCCTCATGCTTTTTAATGTTTTACTTCTGTTAATTGCTGAAACCGGTTGTAATTTCTGGGCACTGCTGGCTTCAGGGAAGCAGTTTCCTCTAAAGGGAGTTATCATTGCACCTGGAAAGATTTGAATTCTAATTTTATTAACCAGTTGGGTGAGGCATTTTCACTACTTCTCAAAGGGAAAAAAATAGTTGGTTGAAGTTAGAAACCTTCTCATTGTACTTAGTTTCCTCTGAGTTCTTTGGTTTGGAACCTGGTGTTCTCCGTAAGAGATCAAGAATCACATATGAGGCCAGGCACGGTGGCTCATGCCTATATTCCCCAGCACTTTGGGAGGCTGGGGCGGGTGGATTACAAGGTCAGGAGATCGAGACCATCCTGGCCAACACAGTGAAACCCTGTCTCTACTAAAAATACAAAAAAATTAGCCAGTCGTGGTGGCGGGCACCTGTAGTCCCAGCTACTCGGGAGGCTGAGGAAGGAGAATGGCGTGAACCTGGGAGGCAGAGCTTGCAGTGAGCCGTGATTGCACCACTGCACTCTAGCCTGGGTGACAGAGCGAGATTCTGTCTCAAAAAAAGAATCACATATGAGATTTGATAAAGATAACAGAGAGTTTGTTAAAGACTTTAGATATCAGACTCCCAATTATAAATTTGCACTGAAAAATATTTCTAATTTTTTTCTCATTCCAGGGACAATCTAGATGAGTAAATTACTTCTCAGGTGACTTACAAATCTAAAACTCTACTATCTATGAAGTAGAAATGACTAGAGAAGGGAACCCCTGCTATGGCTAGACAAATTTGCTGCTAGCACCCAGCAAGGCCTTCTCAGCCAGTTTAAGGAAATGACTTCCCACCTTATCTCCATCGACACATACATCACAATGGAATTGTTTTTTCTTTTCAGCAGTGGATGCAGAGATTCTGAAACTGGGCAGAGGTTCCAGAAGACAAGTCATTTTTCTAGACCTCCCATAGACGCCATCGTTGATCAAGCCATTTTCATTTTCACGAAGTATTTTATTATGGAACTCCTAAAGACCATCAGCCCTACCTGGCACTGGCTTTCTGGTTGAAAAGCAGCATTGTGGAGCCTGAAACATCATCAGAGGCAACTGCTTCCCCTCCCTGTGGATTTAGGACCGCTATGTGCAGAGGTCTGTATTAGAGAGCCAGCTAGAGTAGCCAGCAGTGACATAACTATGTAGGGAGAAGACACAGTTGTCACCTTGACCCCACTGGATACAGAAATGTCAATGGAAAAACAAATTCTGCATCTGCTGAATTGTTCTGTCAATGCTTGCACTTTCTTGTCATTTACTATATAGAAAGAATTATTAGTATCTTTTATTTGTCAGTTATTGATCCACCTTTTTTTTTTTTTTTTTTTTGGTGGCAGTTCTCCTGTTTGTTAGTTTGCTGTCCCAGTTGAATTCTGAGTTTCCGGGAATCCCTAGTGCAATGAGAAATGATGGAGAACCAATTCTCATTATCTGATGAAGGAAAGAGCCATGTACCTACAACAGCAAAGGCTCAGACAAGCCTTCTCCTGCCTTGGGTTCATGGTCACGTGCTGTAGGTGTCTTGTCTTCCCATGTGCACCTGTCTGCATCCTCATGGTGCATCCTCAGGATGTCCCGTACAGTGTCTTACCTATGGTTATGCTTTTATAACAATGTGCTAATAAAAGCATGGATTACAAAACAAAACAGAAGATATGGGTTTCCTTGTTGATTTAGATATGCCCAAGCTTTCTGGGTTGGAAGACTGTAGTGTCTGGACTGTCTGGAGTCAAAGCAGTGTTGAATCTATAACAGCAAGAAACTATTTCAGCAGAGCCAGATGTCAGGTTCTGGGCTGAGCTTTGATGGAAACTAAAGACAGGACAAGAGGAGTTTGCTTCCCATGCAGAGGAGGCTGGAATATTGTACGTGAGTGAAGTGATGAGCTTTAAAGATTCATCCGTGCTGTTAGCCCACTGTATCAAATGCTGGATTCTTTCATTTTGACTTTTTAAGTTTCTTTTTAGTGGTAGTTGGGAGTGGAGGTGGCTAGTGAGAAGAGAAAGACTTTTTCCTTTTTGAGCACCTCTTTGGACCATTTACATTCATTGACAGCTCAGAAGAATCCAACAGGTAGGTTTTATCTCTATTTTGCATTAAAAAGAAATTGAGGGTTAGAGTCCCACGGATGCCCCAAGCTACAGGAGCAGTGAGAGTCCTAGTGCTAGGATTTACATCGGTTCTTCCTGATATTAAAACGTTCCCTTCCACTGCCCCTCCCCAGAACTGCCTTCCAGAAGGACCAGACTTGCCCATTTGCAGAAACTGGCAGTGGGGAGGGACAGTTCGAAGGCAGCCTTAGTAGCAACTGGCCGAGCTCTGCTTCCCAGCCACCCACCAGCCCTTCCCCTCCCCGACAATTTCCACTTGTTTCCTTCGGAGGAAACATGACTTTTCCCATTGACGGAACTCGCAGGCCAACAATACGCCCATGGCATGCCCCCCTTCCCTGGACCCGGCTTTGACGCTGGCATGTCCCTCTCCCCACCTCCCACCCCACCTGCCCTGACCTTCCCTTGTCGGGGACGTTCTTCATAACAATGTCTGGTCCGTGCTGCCCGGGGCTGCCCTTCTGCTATTAGCACCTAATGAAAATGTAACCGTATTTAACCCCCCACAGTCCTGGATGGCGAGAGAGCCCAAGTGGGTTTAATTCCTTTGTATGATAAGCATCCCGCTCTCCACTTGCAGGGTCCATCCCCTTTCTCCCTGGAGAGGACGCGGAGCTGTGTATGGCTAACTCGGACCTCTCAGCTGTCCGGGGCACAATGGGGAAAGTATCTTTTGTGGCAATAACGGCTTTGGGGAGGGGAGAGGGGAGGGTCCGGGCTGGTGGGGAGGGGGTGCAGTTGAAGAGGAGGAGAACAATGTGTGAGAAGCTGAGGCTCTGGGTTTCCCACACGGACCAATATGTGCCCCCACCCCCCTCTGGGAGAGACAGATCTGCAGCGACCAGCCCACAGCTGATCCCGCCTTGATTGGCTTTTTTTTTTTTTTTTTTTCATTGTGCTCTCAAGGGACGAAAATCCTTTTGTGGCGTGAAAGGAGAGGCGTTCCTGCCGTCCCCTCCCTCGAACTGATTGGCTATGTCACAAGATGGCCAAATCCACCCGGATTAATGTGCGGCCGGTCGGGCCGCGGTGTGAGGACGTCTGTGTCCGCCCCTTTGGGAGAGCGTGTCTGCTGCCCTGGGAGCAAGGGAGGGGGACATGGAGGGGCAGGCCACCACTTTCTTCATATTTATTATCCCCCCCACAGCCCCCAGCCCTGCAGGGATGTTTATTCATGGGCCACATCTGCTGGCTGGCAGGCAACATGTCTCTTGTTAGAAGGAATGCCTGGGAGTCCCCAAGGAGCCGGGAAAATGGGGCGCATTCCATAGGACCCGCCTTTTCGCTTTGCTCAGAGTCCTTCGGAGCTTTCCCAACCCACCTGTAATCTTAGCCTTCCCCACCGACCAGCTTCCAGCCCTTCATGGGGGGTGGCCCCAAGCAACTCACCTGGGGATTCTGGGTTCTCTTATCTCCTGTCCCCAGTGCTAGAAAGAAGGCACCTTCTCCCTCTGCTCTTTGTACCTTTAGTCCCTGCTACCTGAGCCACTCTTCCGCTGCCTAACTTCTTGTATAAATCAATCACAAGCCTTTAAGACTCGCTCAGATTTTGTCTCTGACTCTCCTGATGGGGAGCCCACTCTTCTTTCTCTGAGGTCTCATATTATTTTTGCACCTCTTTGATCACATTTACCACTTTTTACCCTAAATAATTATGGTTTGAGGGCATGCCATGCCTCCCCTCCCAACCTATAAGGTCTTATACTTATAGGTTGATACTTATCTCTGGTCCATCCTTGTCTAACCACCTGCCCCCAACTAATGCTGGTCATAGATGTGTGTCCCTGGGAGGCATCGCTCACCAGCTGTTGATTGAATGAAATGGGTGAATGCATGGAGAGAAGCATGTGGCTAGACCCACAAGTCTTGGATCTCTGTCATGGATGCTGGGATTAGTCTAGAAGGTATATAATGCCTCTTTCCCCTACTTCTAAAATGGTGCAAAATTTGCTCCAACATAGCTTCCCATGTGTCTGTCCTGTGTGCGGCTTTTAACAGTACCATGCATTTCAAAAAAGACACTGCAGAAAAGGATGGTCCCAACGCAAAGAGGACAGAGAGACCTATGCCCAGATTTGTGGGGACAAGACATCCCATTGAGTCGTTCACAGGCCAGTCTGTCTATAGGGTCAACTACATGGCAGTCAGGCTAATTATTACTTTTGGATTGGCAGCTGGAAATGTCTTTGCTGTTTTCTAATATAATTGATATTGACTTTTGGAAAGGGGACAGCCTGCAATATACTTAGGAATATGGGACTGGGTGTGGTGGCTCACGCCTGTAATCCCAGCACTCTGGGAGGCCGAGGCAGGTGAATCACCTGAGGTCAGGAGTTCGAGACCAGCCTGGCCAACATGGTGAAACTCTGTCTCTACTAAAAATACAAAAATTAGCTGGGTATGGTGGCGTGCGCTTGTAATCCCAGCTACTAGGGAGGCTGAGACAGGAGAATCGCTTGAACCCAGGAGGCGGAGGTTGCAGTGAGCTGAGACCACTCCACTGCACTTCAGCCTGGGTGACAGAGCGAGATTCTGTCTCAAAAATAAAATAAAATAAAATGAATATGGGCAAGGAAGAAAAATAGAAAAAATGTGGAAGAAATTGTGGTGTTTTTATGGATAAGCCAGGTCAAGGTTTCACAGGTTTTAAGTGAAGAAGTAACAGTAGACGAAGTTATGTTGGAGTTGTATAATTTTACCAGTGCTAGCAAGAGTTCCTGTGAGACCATGGCTTGTTCTGGTTCTGAGTGGGGGCATGTCAGTAAGTCTGTGGCAAGGGATGGGTGTGGCTTCTAAGTGGGTTGACCAACTTTTAGATGATGAGTAGGACATCTTTCAGGTACATGGTTGAGGGCCTGGAAGGCTCCTTCTTCCGGGAGAAACTGGAGAAGTGGAATGCGATCACAGAGACACTTTCACCTGTGCTATTAAATATTGCTTAACTGGTTGTGTTTCAGCCACTCACACTTTGGCATGAACTGATTCAATCAAATTGCCTCTCTTTTAAATCTTAGCTGATATTAGCTTCTCTAGGTAAAAGAAACTTGATTACTAGGGGTAGACCCAGGAGAAGCTGAATGAAAGTTTAGAAAACCCCAATACCCTCTGAAAAAGAACTCTAAGAGGGAGAAAAATGCAGAAAAGGAGGAGTGTGGTTGTCAAGCAAACTTCTCCTTCCTGCTCTTCCCCCACATTTTGCCTAAGATCATTCCTGTCTGGGAAACAAACTGGCAATGACTTCTTACTTTTCTATCCTTCTACTCCCAGAGCCCGGCATCCCATAGTTGGTGCTGAGGTTGTGCTCCCTTCTAGGTTAAATAAGGAGGCCTAAGAACCCAAAGCACCATTCAAAAAGAAAGAACAAAAAAGCCACATGAGTTCTTAGTTCCAATTAAGCTTTACAAAGTATTATTTGGAATACAATCCTTTCTCAACCTGGGATCAGTGCTTAGACTGGATGTGGGGAAGTGAAGTGAATTGGGGGATGGAGGAAGTGGCCAGGCCTCTGAGGGCATCTGATCCTTCTTGCTGGATTAGTGCAGAATCCACGGGGTTATACATAGCATGCATCTAGCATACATTTCAATATGTCAGCCAATGTGGTCCTGCATCAGTCTCTTGGGGTGTTAAAAATACAAATCTGGTCCCCCAGCCCAGACCTGCCTTTTCAGAATCTCTGAGAGAGGGCCCTGGGAATCTGTGTTTTAACGAGTACTCCAGGTCATCCAAGTAGACACGTCTCACTGTGAATGAGTAGAAGAGCTAAATGCAGACCCACTGTGGCTCTCTCAGAGCTCAGGCAGCATCTATTGTGCCCTCCTGAGAAGACGTTTAACCAAGAGGAGGTTGATGGTGATTTCTGAGTTAAGCAGCCTTAGGAGTGGTTAACACTTAAAATCAAACCTTGAAATTTATTTTCAATTCAATTTATTCTTCCAAGAGCCTACTAATTTTTCCTAAAAAGGATTAGTGTTAATAGAGAAAAAAAGTTAATATTCAAATATGAGGAACCACCTTTCCAAGACATAGGAGGTTAGAAGATGGTTTTGAAAAAGTGACAGGAAAATGAAAATTTTGAGAAAATGTTCTTTTTAAAGTGCTTGTCAGCTGGACATGGTGGCTCACGCCTGTAATCCCAGCACTTTGGGAGTCTGAGGCGGGCCGATCGCAAGGTCAAGAGATCAAGACCACCCTGGCCAACATGGTGAAACCCCATCTCTTCTAAAAATACAAAAGTTAGCTGGGCGTGGTGGCACTCGCCTGTAGTCCCAGCTACTTGGGAGGGTGAGACAGGAGAATCGCTTGAACGTGGGAGGCGGAGGTTGCAGTGAGCCAAGATCTCTGCACTCTAGTCTGGCGACAGAGCGAGACTCCGTCTCAAAGAAAAAAACAAGAGTGCTTGTCTATGTGTCTATGTGAAAGTCCTTTGTTGACAGGAAAAAGTTGAGTGCGTCTCTCTAAATAGGCTTATGCAAATTTCTATGCATTTGTTATCTGCATATGTGCATAGATAATACATTTATTCATTCCCATCCTTCTAAGAGCTCAGACTTAAAGACATAACTTTGTCTGAGAGGGAACTTGGCATGAATTGGCAACACTCTGGACATATAAGTCTCCATTTATAACTGAAGGTTGGATTGGGCTTAGAACTGTTGGGGGAAAGGCTGAACAGGAGATGGTCCAATGTTTATTAAAAAAGGACATCTCAGATAGGTTTTGGTTTATCAAAGGGAAGCATTAAAATGAGTATCGTTTTTCTAAAGTTAATCTGTCCTTTTATACCTAAAAATATAATTTTTTCTTGAATCAAGAAGAAACAACTTCAGCTCTGTTCTTGGTCTTAAGAAAATCTGCTGCACACATTTTATAAATGTCGAGTTAATTAGCACTGAGTTAGTGATGTCATAATGAATTATTTCTCATCAAAGCAGATGGGTCAAGAACAACTTCCTAGGACAAACAGTTTTCTAAAGCAAACATGTTAACAAAGTAGTTTCCTATAACATTCTTTGCCTCAAGTTTTCAAAACAGCAATATGGAGCCAAAATGTTAGAAACCTCAAAGTTGCTTTGTGAATTGTATATGTTTTCCTATTGATTGTTTTCATTTCATTTTTTATCATAGTTACCCTAGTTCTCTGACTTTTTTTGAAGTATAATAACATATCTATGGAAAAGTGCACAAATCATAGGTGAGCAGTTTGATGAATTTTATAAACTGAATATACCTGTGTAATCAGCGCCTGGATCAAGAAACAGAACATTAGGAAAAGTCTCTGTCTCCTCCTGATCTCTTTCAGCTACTCCTCCTCCTTCCCCAAAAAGGGAAGCCCCTGTCTTAACTTTGAACACCATAAATTTATTTGGCTTATTTTTGAATTTTATGTAAATGAAATCACATAGTATGTATGGTTTTGTGTCAGGTTTCTTCTTCTCAACATTCAGTCTGACTGTTGCATAAAGTCCCAGGTTATTTATTCACAGTTTGGTAAAATATTTCATGGCATGGAAATACCACAATTTATTTTTTTATTCTACTGGAGGTAGATATTTGGGTAGTGTCCAGTATGGGCTATTATGACTAGAACATACATACAGTTTAAAATCTTTTTTAAGCCATCTGACAAAGCTTGTGAGATGAATACAGTTTTGAATTGCTAAAATCCTATTGATTTTTTGACATATGATGCTAAAAAACCCCACAAATTCCCAAATTGTAAACATGTCATTGTGCTAGGTGTTCTGATAGAAAACACAAATTGTCTAAAACTGACAATTTGTTTTTGACAATAAATGAATTCAGTAAAGCTTGCAGAATGTTGCAGGAAACAAAATCAACATGCAAAAATCTGTAGCATTTCCATATGCCAACACATATCAATCTGAAAAAGAAATTTAAAAAATAACCCCATTTAAAATAGTGAAAAATAAAATAAAATACCTAGGAATAAACTTAACTAAAGAAGCAAAAGATCTCTACCATGAAAAATATTCATGCAAGAAATTGAAGAGGACACCAAAAAATGGAAAGATATTCCATGTTCATGGATTGGAAGAATCAATATTGTTAAAATGTCCATACTACCCAAAACAATCTATAGATTAAATGCAAACCCTATCAAAATGCCAATGACGTTCTTCACTGAAATGGAAAGAATAATTCTAAAATATATATGGAACCATGAAAGACCCAGAACAGCCAAAGCCATCCTGACCAAAAAGAAGAAAACTGGAGGAATCACATTACTTGACTTCAAATTATACTACAGAGTTATTGTAACCAAAATGGCATGGCACTGGCATAAGAATGGAGACATCGACCAATGGAACAGAATAGAGAACCCAGAAATAAATTCATTCATCTACAGAGAACTCATTTTCAACAAAGGTACCAGGAACATGTATTTGGGAAAGGACAGTCTCTTCAATAAATGATACTAGGAAAATTAGACATCCATATTCAGAGGAATGAGACTAGACCCCTATCTCTCACCATATACAAAAAAAAAAAAAAAGGGATTACAGACTGAAATCTAAGACTTCAAACTTGCATGAAAGTACTATAAGAAAACATTGAGGAAACCCTCCAGGAATTTGGTCTGGTTAAAGATTTATTGAATAGTATCCCCAAAGCACAGGCAACCAAAGCAAAAATGGACAAATGGGATCACATCAAGTTAAGAGGCATCTGCATGGCAAGGAAAACAATCAACCAAGTGAAGAGACAACCCACAGAAAGAGAGGAAATATTTGCAAACCATCCGACAAAAGATTAATAACCAGGAAATATAAGGAGCTCAAACAATAGGAAAATATCTAACACTCTGATTAAAAAATGAGCAAAAGATCTGAATAGATGTTTCTCAAGACATACAGGTGGCAAACAGGTCTATGAAAAGGTGCTGAACATCATTGATTATCAGAGAAATGCAAATCAAAATTACAATGAGATATCATCTTAACCCAGCTAAAATGGCTCTTATCCAAAAGACTGGCAATAACAAACGCTGGTAAGGATATGGAGAAAAGGGAACCCTTCTACATTGTTAGTGGGAATGTAAATTAGTACAACCACTATGGAGAACATTATGGAAGTTCCTCAAAAAACTAAAAATAAAACTGCTGTATGTTCTAGCAATCCCACTGCTAGGTATATACTCCTAAATAAAAGAAATCAGTATATCAAAGAGGTATCTGCACTCCCACCTTTATTGCAGCACTATTCACAATAGCCAAGATTTGGAAGCAACTTAAGAGTCCGTCAACAGACAAATGGATAAAGAAAATATGGTGCATATACACAATGGAGTGCTATTCAGCCATAAAAAAGAATGAGATCCTGACATTTACAACAACATGGATAGAATTAGAGGACATTATGTTACATGAAATAAGCCAGGCACAGAAAGACAAACTTCACATGTTCTCACTCATTTATGGGAGCTAAAAATTAAAACAATTGAACTCATGGAAATAGTAGAATGATGGTTACCAGAAGCCAGGAAGGGTAGTGGGTGGGGTGGGGAGTAGGGGTGGTTAATGGGTACAAAAATATAGTTGGATAGAATAAATAAGATCTAGTATTTGATAGCATATCAGGGTGATTACAGTCAACAATAATTTATTGTCCATTTTAAAATAATTAAAAGAGTATAATTGGATTGTTTGTAACACAAAGAAATGATAAAAGCTTGAGGGGATGGATACTCCATTTACCCTGATGGGATTATTATGCATTCATTGTATGCCTGTATCAAAATATCTCACATATCCATAAATAAATACACTACCATATACCCATAAAGTTTTTTTTTTTAAAATAAATAAAACCATGTCTGTCTGCCACTATAAAAAAGAAAAAAAAAAAAAAGAAATTGTCCCTGATCTCCTGACATTATCATATAAAATAGGCCAGAGCATTAGCCTGAGAAAGTAAGTACATGGAGGATGTGAAGGTACTGAACGAGCATGGCACAATGACATAACAAGCGTGGCACAATGACATAACATATTGAAATGTTCATACTTTGCGCTTTGAAGTTTTTATGTAGAATTATTAATGTAACCTGTATTATTAGTGCCTGTGTTTCATGTGCACTTGGCCTGATTTACACAGAGAGCCTAGTACTGCTGGGCCCTGCGAGAATTGAGGGCTGAGCCTGGAAAGTCTTATCAGCTGGCCTTTCCATCTCTCCCATCTCTTGGGGGCCAAATTGTCTCTTATTTTCTGCTTTTCTCAATCTATCTGCTTCCCAATCCCTTTTCCAAATTGCTCTGCTGCATTTCCTTGTAGTTTCTGCTACTCTATAACGTTGTGTACGTGACTTTGGTTGGCCCCACGCTGAGCCAGGAGGGCACTCTGCTTTCTCACCTCATTACTGTACTCCACCAGCTGATTAGCAACAAATCTTTATCTGCATTTTCTAATCCTTAAATGCCCAGGGGTGGAATCTGCTGGGTTCAGCTCATCTTTTGTTCACTTGGTGAATTGAATTGCTTGCCTGAGGGTCGGGGGCGATCTACTTAGCTATCATTTGTGTGGTGGGCACAGACTACCTGACTGTCTAGTGCAGGGGGCTGTGGGTGAAGATTCTTCCGAAAGGGAGAGTAGGTGGACTTGTACTTGGATGTCTAGTAAGGCTCCATGTTTTCCCAACTGCCCTTGAATTTCTCAGAAACACTTGGAAAATAAGCTCTATCCTGCTCCATGTTATTTTGGTTGGGTTTTGCCCTGAAGGAAAGATTCCCTGCACATGGTCCTAAGGAATGTCAAGTACATTCTTTAGACACTCATTTAGTAGGCAGTGTTACATAAATGCAGGACCAAAAAATGTTTAATGCCTTGATATTTGCCTCCACACTTTAACACATTTAGGTTTGCAATATCTGCACAACTGTGACAGATATTGCAAAAATATTGCGAAGACTACTTATTAGCGTGGTTTAGAAAAGTTACCTGTATCAGATGGGCTGGGAAGCTGGGACTGGATAAGCTTTAAGGTCACTGCTGACCTGGGAATTCTGTGAACCCAAGAATGAAGCTGGAGCCCTCCAATTCTGTCTGTGGCCAGGGATGAAGAAGGCCCTTCTTTCACTTGTTGTATGGAGATAGCTTCCTTAGCATTCATCACTGTCATCATTAATTTTGATATTGAAGTTCACCAATTCATTCACTCATTTTACAGTTTTATCCAAATGCTACATTTTCCTCCACGCAGCCCAGAAACAACGAGCACTGTCCTGCACCACAGGGATGGTGAGCACAACAGGTTGGGGCAGTGAACCTGCAAGCTGTTGCAGAGCCCTGTTTAAACTGGGACCAGGGAAATGAATGCAGGTGCCCAGGGGCCCCGCTCTAAAATGATGGTACTTTTTAAAGAGTAGCAAACACATTCTTGATTCTAACTGGCTTGGGTAGGTCCTTGGCTTTTTTATGGGGAAGGTATTCTGTGATTAAGAACACTTTTTCGGCCGGGCGCGGTGGCTCACACCTGTAATCCCAGCACTTTGGGAGGCTGAGGTGGGCAGACCACAAGGTCGATAGATGGAGACCATCCTAGCCAACGTGGTGAAACCCCGTCTCTACTAAAAATACAAAAATTAGCTGGGCATGGTGGTGCACACCTGTAGTCCTAGCTACTCAGGAGGCTGAGGCCGGAGAATCGCTTGAACCCAGGAGGCAGACGTTGCAGTGAGCCAAGATCGTGTCACTGCACTCTAGCCTGGACAACAAAGCGAGACTCCGTCTCCAAAAAAAAAAAAAAAAAAAAAAGAACACTTTTTCTTAACAGAAGATGTCTGTACTTTAAAGCACTGTTTTCCCAAATCTATGCTCCTCTCTCTTCCTATTGGCTCTGATGACTGCTTTTTCAAAAAGTTATATACGTACATGTATATATGTATATTCACATACATGTCTATATACACATACATACATATATGTAGGCATATAATTAAATGGATGGCATATATACAATACTTATATACACGTGTGTGTGTGTGTGTGTGTGTATGCAGCCATGCATCGCTTAACAACAGGGATACATTCTGAGAAATGCATCATTAGGAGATTTTTGCCATGGGAACTTCATAGACTACTTATACAAACCTAGATGGTGTAGCCTACCACACACCTAGGCTATAGGATATGGCCTATTGCTCCTAGGCTACAAATCTGTACAGCATGTTGCTGTATTGAATACTGTAGGCAATTGTAACACGATGGTATTTGTGTATCTAAACACAGAAAAGGTACAGTAAAAAATACAGTATTATAATCTTATGGGACCTCCATCATTTATGTGGTCTGTCCTTGACTGAATGTTGCTATTCCAGGCATGACTGCATACATAATTTTATTAAAAAGCAAAGTGGTCACAGAGCCAATATGACTTGCCATCCCTATGAATCCCTAGAATGTTGGAGCTGAAGACACCTCTTTGTTTCTATAAAGAGAAACATAGAGAGTGAAGATGATTTGCTCAAGTTGGAAGAACAAGTGAGTAAGAGGACTGAGGGCTAGAACTCTGGTGTCCTCTTCCCAGGCCAGTGTACTCTCCCCTGCTTTCCCCCCTGGCTGCTTCCCCTCTGCAGTGAGGCAGGGAGGGCTGAGTTAACAGGGAACAATTGCCACGCTCCCCCCAGGTGGGATGTGTGCAGGAGGGGGCCTGGTGAGGCCGTGTCTGGGACTCTTCTTACCCTTGGGAGGAGCAGGTGATTCTGAGAGGACCGACCAGCTAACATGCCCAGGTGCCCATGATGAGCACGCCGTGTTTTAATCCAAGGAGAGAGGCATTTCTATCCCCTGCGTATTTTCAGTGCCTGTCTCAGTGCATGGGACAAAGCAGAGTTCCAAGAACGTTTGCAGAACCAACTTTCTTGTTTAATTGACTTTCAAATGTAAATAACTGTGGGACCGGGCTTGTGTTTTAAACCTTCACTTGCCATCTATCCTGCGGCAGAGATGTTTGAATGAATGTTTGGAAGACAGGTTTTATATCAGGGAGAAGGAGATAGTGTGTAATCACTGGGTTCTGGGAATGAGGGTAAAATGAGGAGTTAGAAAAAGTACGGACCAGGGAGACAATAGCACCAAAGACAAATATCGAGTTATTTTACAGTTTGCACCAAGACCATCCTGCCCCCAGGGCCATGGCACCCATCAGAGAGGCCTCTCCCTATGGCCGAGCCAGCACCCTGGAGGAAATCAGACCACGTCCTTCCCTTCCTGGGTATTTGTTCATAATCTGTTTCCCCTGTTGATAGATGTTTCCTGTCTCTTCCTTTCTGGCTTTAATCTCATGACTGGTCATTTGAGACCAATTTTTAGCCTAGCATCCTTACCTCTTGAACAGTCACTGCTATGGTCATTGCTGCCAATCTTACCCCCCTATACCCTGGCATGATTCCTGTGGCCCTTCCCATCCTTTGATCTGTTTCTTAGTCCTAACCTCTGTCCACCCACAGTATTACCATTTATCTCATTATACCAGGCTCTAGATATGTGTGCTTATTTCATTTGATTCTCATAATAGTCTTGTGAGAGTTAAAGTACATATTTGCCCATTTTACAGATGAAGAAACTGAGTTTTCCTATTCAGTAAGTGGCCAAGTTGGAATTCAAACTCTCAGTTGTCTGACTTTAAAATTTCTGCTCTTTTAATTACATCAAATAATTGTCTTGCACCATGAGTTCTTAAATTCTATGCTCTCCATTAATGCCATAAAATGATCACTGGTGGGTCTTCAACAATCCAGTCTTATTCAGGTCTTTTGTTCATTCTTCCTTCCACCTTTGACGTATCCTTAGCGTTCTGGCTCCATCACGTCCATAGCATCTGGCCAGTTGTGCCACACTTCTGCTGTCCTGCCAGTCATTAAGGTACATCAACAATTTTGTGAAGTCTTTTCTTTGCTTTTATCAACATCAGTTAGAAATTCATTAGTTTTAAGAGTTGAGCTGGCATTTTAAAATTAAATGTGGAAAAAGGGATTTGATGGTACTCTGATGTCGTTAAACAGGATTTAATTGGGGGTAGAAAAAGTCTTGGTTGGCTGGGCAAGGTGGCTCATGCCTGTAATCCCAGCACTTTGGGAGGCCGAGGCGGGTGGATCACCTGAGGTCAGGAGTTCGAGACCAGCCTGGCTAACAATGGTGAAACCCCGTCTCTACTAAAAATAACAAAAATTAGCCGGGTGTGGTGGCGGGCACCTGTAATCCCAGCGACTCGGGAGGCTGAGGCAGGAGAATCACTTGAACCCAGGAGGCAGAGATTGCAGTGAGCTGAGATCGTGCCACTGCACTCCAGCCTGGGCAACAAGAGCGACACTCCATCTCAAAATAATAATAATAATAATAATAATAATAATAATAATAATAATATAAAGAAAAAGCCTTGGTTTAGGGTGTCCACATCATTCATTAATTCTTCACTCATTCATCCAACCCATCAGAAATATTAAAAATCCACTGAAGACGGTTACTGAACAGAAATTGGGGATACCAATATCAGCAAATCCCAGTGGCTTCTTTCCAGGGTCTGAGCCCCCCAGTTCCCAGCCTAACAACACTGTCTATAGTGCCTCTCACTGAGACAACTTAAAAGAACTCTGGAGAAAGGTGCAGAGGTCCTTGTCATCAAATGCATTTTGCAATCACATGGTCAGATTAACCCTCCTGCATTTAACAGATCTCCTTCTCAGTTAGCACCCCTTGTCATTTCTTGGATCTATAAATAGTGGTGGCAAGCCTGGAGACATTTCTGCAAACATCAAGGGCAGATTTATACTCCAGGTTATGAGAGCAACACAGCAGCTTGACCTTAATTTCCAGAGTACTGAAAGCTCATCTTTAGGCAACATTTCTTATTGGTCAGTCCTGCCAAGTTTCAAGAAGGTAAAGGAGGAATAAAAGATAGCCCAAAAAAGAGCCAAAAAGATGGAACTGTTTCTGGAGGGTTATTTAACCTGGAGCAGCATGACTTGAGGAGAGTTAATGCCTACCTTTTTACCTGTGGAAGGAAGAAGTAGGAAACTAGCACCCGCAGAGTATGTATCATGGGCCACGTATTTCTGCTCCAGCTTCTGCTATTCCCTATTATATCCCAGTGAAATTGATATTATTGCTAGACTTTCACACATGAGGAAACTGAGGCTTGGAGAGGGCAGGTGACTAGCTCCAGTGGCTCAGTCTCTTAGCAGCAGTGTTAGCTTTGGATCTGATTGGGTCAGCACCTGAATCCATGCCCTGTGCTCCACGACAGTGAGGGTTATCCTCTGCTGATGGTAGTTGGATCTTGTTCCATTCTTCACTAGCACTGAGATACAGAAGAAGAAAAGGTAAACTTTGCAAACTGAAGACTTTTACATTTAAATTGAGAGTTCAACTGAGGAGAAAAAAATCCAGGAAACTTACTGATCAAGAGCTTAGCGAGGAGACAGACTTGAGTTCAAATCTTGGCTCTGCCAATACTTTTCTGTTTATTACTTATATGGCCTTACGGGAGTTTTGAGTCTCATTTTTCTCATCTATAAAATAGGATTGGGGGATTAAATATCATAAGTATAAATTGCAAGCCATCCTTAACACATAAGACAAGCCCCCGTATTAGCAGGTATTATTGATATGAGGGTCTTTGCCACATTTGGGCTCTTGATAGATTTTCTCATTTTAGGCATATACTTTTGGGCCAACCTTGGAGTGACGATGCACTTGGCATGTTCACACGCTGAGTACACTCAGCTTCCTTAAACAGCCTCTGCAGTTGAAAACCAGTCATTGGAATAATTCTGCTGCAAAGGACCCTGATCATTTTCCCTCTGGCTTTCGGATCTCAGAGCTGGAGCTGTAGAAGATGGTCTAGGAGTTCAGGCCATGTGTTCCTCCACTCTCTCCTTCAGAAAAAAATAGCAGAGATCTGCAGATGCAGGTGCATCTCCTTGTGATTCCAGTTGGTGAAAGGCATGATGCAGAAGATAATGCAGAAAAAGCTTCCCTGTGCCATGCCATGCAGAAATGGGATCATGCAGGCAGGGATCATGAATGCTGACGACTGTCAGTGAACTACCCACAGATTCCAGGTCTGACCCAGCCACACACAGAGAAGGGAAGAGCCAGAATTTCTCAGCTGCAGCAACAGGTTCCCCCTAAGAGCACAAGTTCCCTAAAGCGTCCCTGTTAGAGACCCCATGACACCTGGAGCTGCAAGACTGTCCCAGGCAACGACTTCGTTGATAGAAAAAAAGGAAAAGCATTTAAGTTTGAATGAAAACCAGGACCCCTCAGAATTTGAGGGGTTCCACATGTGCTTTTCTTGAGGATCCCAGTATATTAAAAATATTTACAAATTCAAGGTTGTAATAATTTGGTATTTTTAAAACATTTATGTTGAATAAATGCACGCTCATTTTCAACAACACTCAGAATCGCAATGATGTATTCTCATGTGGAGATTAAGTCAAAACCCTGAACTTAAGGGTGCTTTGGACATAATGCCCTGTCTTGCTGTAGGATTGGCTGGGTAAAGGAATTCTCCTGACATCACGATCTTGCTAATGCTGTAGGACTCCTGGTCCTTTATTAGCCTTAACTATGATCCAAGAGAAGTTCTAAGGCTTGGGGCTCATGGTCAGGGTGAGGTTTTCTAGGAGTCCAGCCCAAAACTCCAATCACTGGGACTTGGCTGGAATGAAACAAGAACAGCAAAATCTGACTTCCCAAATCCCAAATTTGGCCTTCAGGACCCCCTCATCCTTGGACCAGATCCCTCCCTATTCACACCTCCCACCCCCACCACCCTGACAGCAGCTGGAGTCTGTGCAGCAAATTCCCCCACACTCCTCCTGAAGCTCTCTGGATGCTGCCCCAGTGGGCTCGGGGCTTTCGATGAGATTTGATTTTCCCGATGGAGGTGAAGTGGCCTTTGAGGCCCCGTGGGAGGGGGTGGTGGTGGGGAGGCGGGCAGCCCGGCCGGGACTGCTGACTGTGTGAATGTGGCAGGCTCATTGTTCCTCAGCTTTATTCTTCAGGCCTCGATGGGGCTGATTTAGAAATCCTAATCAGGGAGCTCTCAGGGCTTCCCGGGTGTGACACAACTTGAGCGGCTCTGGGGGATTCTTTGTTCTCTGATGACAGCTGACTTGGTCGCCAGTGGGAACAGTTTGAGCATAACTCGACACTGCATGTGCTGGCAGCTGCGGCCTTAACTCTTTGTTACCCACTCCTGAGTTCCCTCCACTTGCCCGATCCTTCCTCAGAATGGCAACTCTTAAAAGTACCTTTCTGTGGATGGATGAGGAGGGCGGTCAATGCTGAATAGGGGAGGGGCACATTGTGTCCCACAGCAGGGACATTCTTGGAAAATCAAGAGTGTCCCCACCCCCATGCAATTCCACTTTGCCAGCAGTAAAGGCTGCCAAACGATGACCATTCACCGTCCACCCAGGTGCTCGGGTAAACTTTTTTTCGGCCTGGCAGAAGCGACAGGAGACAGAGGGACAGGGATCTTCAGTGCTCACGCTCTGAGGCTTCTTCTGATCTAAAAACAGAGCCAAGCAGTTCAGGATGTCTGCTGAGAAGGCTTCAGAGCAATAGCAGAAGGGGATTGGATTTGGAGCTGGGTAATCCTGCACTGGACTGCGGCATCTCCATTTGACCAAACCCTGGCCAAGTTGTTTCATCTCTCCAGGCCTGGGTACGTTCATCTGTCAAAAGAGAGCTGGCTATAATTACAGCGCGACCCCATGGAATTGCTGAGGATCAAAGGAGATAGTGCGTGTGAAGGTCTGTCACAGGCGTTACTAAATGACTGCTGCTGTGGCTCTGATGCCGTAAACTCTCTCCAAACAGAAGATGCTACTGCTCAGGAGACACAGAAGAGGTGAAAGCTGCAAATGTCTTTGAAATCAAATCGTTATGTAGTTTCTCTCTCGGGTTCTGAGCTAGGAGGGCAGCCACAAGAAGTTTATTAGAAAGTGATGTTTGGTATCATATTCGTTATTAATTCGACAAACTTTGAGCACTAGCAATAAGCTAGGTTCTGAGGCTAACAGAGATAATTAAGACATAGACCTGACTTCAGGGAGCTGTGACAATAAAAGTGGGTGCATAGTTAGGATCCTTGGTTGCAAATACAAAAACTGGAGCTTCAAGCATGATCAGGTTCCTCTTTGTGGCCCTGCTTCCACTTCTCTGTGTTTATTGGCTCCATCATTCTGTCTCATAGGAGGTTCCTGTAAAGCATGGTGGACAACAGAGATTGAAACCATTCCTGAGTTTGGCATTGCATAGAATTCCTGGTAAGGGGCTGGGCATGGTGGCTTATGCCTATAATCCCAGCATCTTGGGAGGCCAAGGCGGGTGGTTCACTTGAGGTCAGGAGTTTGAGACCAGCCTGGCCAACATGGTGAAACCTCATCTCTACTAAAAATACATAGATTTGCTGGGTGTGGTGGTGGGCACCTGTAATCCCAGATACTCAGGAGGCTGAGGCAGGAGAATCGCTTGAACCCAGGAGACGGAGGTTGCAGTGAGCCGAGATTGCGCCATTGTGCTCCAGCCTGGGTGAGAAGAGCGAAACTCAATAATAAAAAAAAAATATTCCTGGTAAGGAAACTCATTGACCCAACCATGGTCAAATGCCCACACAGAACTGGGCGATTCTGGCCATGGGGCAGGTTCATGTTCTAACATGGTCATCTCCTCTCAACCCCTGTGAATGGGGACAGGGTGATGTGGCCAATTTGCAAAAGAATTACTGGGGAGACAAGAGTACAGGAAACCAATACAGGAGCAAGAGCCAGATAATAAAACGAGTCTGGATGTTATCCCTAGGCCAAAGGGAATCACTGAAAAATTTAAACTGAGGAATAAAACAGCTGTGTTTATATTTTTCAACTGTAATGTTAAGAGCAAATGGATAGGAAGAGGTGATTTGGGAAGTAGAGAGACCTATCAGCAGGCTATTGCAATAGTCCAGGCATGAAATGGTGAGGGTCTAAAGTGGGGTGATGAACAACAGGGATGGCCAGAAGGTGACAAATACAAGAGATATTGAGGAGGTGGAACCAGTATAACCAGTAACTAAATCCTGGAAGAAAGAGTGAAATATTAAAGGCGATCTTCAAGTTTCCATTCAGAAAACAAGTTTTGAGATACAGATTATAGCAGTTGTCCTGGACTGCTTTGGTCTGATAAATTGGTGGGTCAGTGAAATCCCCAGATATTTTCATATCCATTTTAAAATCTATCTATCTATCTATCTATCTATCTATCTATCTATCTATCTATCTATCTATCTATCTATCTAATCTATCTATGTATCAATCTATCCATCCACCCACCCTATCTATCATCTATCTATCTATCTATCTATCTATCTATCTATCTATCTATCTATCTATCTATCTATCTATCTACGATATGAGGGGATTGGTTTGGTCCCTTGGAGAGCAATGAGGAAACAAGGATAGGTAGCAAACAGAATGGTGACCATTCCCTAGCTTGGCCCCAGATGCAAACCTGATTCCCTATAGAAAAAGCAGCTGCAAGCAGAAGTTCAAAGTCAGAAATGAGGTATATCTAGGTGACATTATGAGACCCAGTGTTGGGGTATGGAGAATTTGCTCCATTGCTTTGAGGCTATAGAAGTGACAATAGCCCAATGAGGACTAAGGGACATCCTTTGGCATCTCCAAGTTCTCCTCTTTCTGCACCAACTCGGCAGCCTTCCAGAGAGCACCACCAGCAGCAGCAGCAGCAGGAGTGAGGCCTCAGCTCTAGGGTACTACATTGGGTGCAGTCATAGAGCAAAGCATTGCTGGCTTCTATACTTAAATTCCAGCATTATCCAGAGTAACTTTGCTTTCTTCCATATTAAGATTTCAATGGGAACAAAGGGTTCCACTGAAATAGTATCCTATATGAACATACACTTCTCAAAAGAAGACATTTATGCAGCCAACAGACACATGAAGAAATGCTCATCATCACTGGCCATCAGAGAAATGCAAATCAAAACCACAGTGAGATACCATCTCTCACCAGTTAGAATGGCGATCATTAAAAAGTCAGGAAACAACAGGTGCTGGAGAGGATGTGGAGAAATAGGAAAGCTTTTACACTGTTGGTGGGACTGTAAACTAGTTCAACCATTGTGGAAGACAGTGTGGTGGTACCTCAAGGATTTACAACTAGAAATACCATTTGACCCAGCCATCCCATTACTGGGCATATACCCAAAGATTATAAATCATGCTGCTATAAAGATACATGCACACGTATGTTTATTGCGGCACTATTCACAATAGCAAAGACTTGGAACCAACCCAAATGTCCATCAATGATAGACTGGATTAAGAAAATGTGGCACATATACACCATAGAATACTGTGCAGCCATAAAAAATGATGAGTTCATGTCCTTTGTAGGGACATGGATGAAGCTGGAAACCATTATTCTCAGCAAACTATTGCAAGGACAGAAAACCAAACACCACATGTTCTCACTCATAGGTGGGAATTGAACAATGAGAACACCTGGACACAGGGTGGGGAACATCACACCCTGGGGCCTGTCGTGGGGTGGGGGGAGTTGGGAGGGATAGCATTAGGAGATATACCTAATGTAAATGATGTGTTAACGGGTGCAGCACACCAACATGGCACATGTATACATATGTAAGAAACCTTCACGTTGTGCACATGTATCCTAGAACTTAAAGTATTAAAAAAAAAATAGTATCCTATTTTCTTATGGTGGAGGAAAAATTGGAATTCAGGACATCAACTTAGAAGCAATTGATACCGTTTAAGGGAGAAGTTAATGAGGCCCTAAAGTAGGTGGTGGCAGTAGACATGGCAAGGTGGGAGCTTTATGAAAGACAACGAAGAGGTGGGCTCTTAAGGGCTTGCAAGTTGCATGAGGGGGGCAAATGAACAGTGAGGAGCAATGATGATTTCTAATTTGGAGCCTTGGCAAAGGAAAATGGCATTTCTGTTAACAAAATTAGAGGAGTCAGCAAGACGACATGGATTGGTTTGGAATTCAGTGAGTCTAAGACACATACAGATCTTTATCTGAGGAGGAAAAAAATAATAAAACATAAATGTATTAGATCCTGGAACAGGTAAGGCCAAGATACTAGAGGTAGTCTCTTATCATGAATCTTTTGAGGTATCTGTGAGCATAACAATTATAGGGCCAGGGCAAATGATAACTGCTATTGGAGAATATGTTTGGGACTAGAACTGGAGACTTCCTGCTTTGGGGAAAAATGTTTAGGACTAGATGGATTAGTGTTATTTCCAGTGACGGCTCCACCTAGCATCTGTCTATTCATCCATCCATCTACCCACCCATTCATTTATCTATCCACCTGTCATCAACCCATTCATCCATCTATCCAGCCAACAAAATAACCATTATTTCTTGAACACCTCATATTTTCTTGACTCTGCACTTTTAGAGAACCGAAGAACAAAGTACAACTTAATTTCTGGATTAGGGGAATATAGCCAATAAATCATGAAATCTTCAAAAGGAACATTTGGCATCAACTTGTCAGTACTTTTGCTCGTGTAACAGGTCAGAATAACTAGGAAGTCTTTTTGCAGACCAATCATCTAGTTCATGCTTTGTTTTAGCTAAATGGCAAATAGGTTAATTCCAATAGAATGCCTAAAATTCTCTTAGCAATTAGTATTGGGATTATTTACATTTAAAATATTCATTTAAAATTTAATTTCCTTACCATTTTCTGTTTTGATCACATAGCCACCCTTGACATCTGTCTTTCACAGTGGTCTACACTTTATGCTCAGAGAATGCAAATTCATTTTAATACCAGCTTTAGCCACATATAAAGATGAATCAGTCTTCCAGAGTGTATATAATACATTGCTGTTTCCTCTGACATTTCCCCCCATGCTTCAACAAGAACCACTAAGAGTTGATTGTACTTCAATACCTTGGACAATATAAGCCTGGCAGGACAGTTTTGTGGACTCCTCAGCCTATACTTCTCCAAAGAGGAGATTTCATTTTTCATCTCAGTCTCCAGGGCTCCAAAACTTACTTTTGTTAATCATTAAGAGCAAAATTGTCAAACAGATGACAGTTTGGGTAAGTATACTGGTAAAGATCTTTAATTATTTAAAAAATTGAAACCATTTACTAGGACTTATTTTTTAAAAAATAAGTAAACAAAAAGATAGCCTACCTCAAACTGGCTTAAACAATGCAGGGGGTTCATTGACTTACTCTACTGGAAGGATAATGAGTAACGTGGAATTCAGGGTTGGTTTGCTCCAAACAGATCAATGAAGTCATTAAGGACCTGTTTTACTTTCTCTTTGCTTTGTGTACATTGGTACCATCTTTATCTTCAGGCCAGTTTTCTTTAGAGTGGCAACATGGCTAACACTCTACGTTTATTACCATCAAACCACTCCTAGAGTGAGAAGGTTGGTTTCGGTAGCTCTCTCTGACAAAGTTAGAGACTTACTTCCTCAGAAACCCTCCAAAATCTTCCCTCAGGAGTCAGATATGGAAATGCCATATGTTGATTGGCACAGACTTTACTTATTGCAAACCAATCATTATGGCAGGAGGACAAGAATCCAATCTCTGATTGGTTCAACCTTGCTTCTGGGTGGGGTCAATCTCCATTTAATCGCATGACTACTACACAATTGAGGAAACATAGAAGGATTGCTGGGGCTTCAACTCTAATTTCTACTACAGTAAGGCTTTAAAATTTCTCAGTATTAAACCAACCAGCATGAGTGCCTTCTATAAGCAATGAGCCCCTGCTAGGTTTTTGGCAATTGACTCCAAAAATCATTGTCTTGACCTTTATGGTTACTGAAATAACAAAGCACTGATCTGAAAGCTTAGAGTGACAGGCTGTCCTGTAGCTTTTGTGGGGTGATTGTGGAGAGTGGCTTGTTATAAGACTTATGGCAGGTACCTAGAATTTGAACAATGCAAATGACTGAGTTCCAAGGCACCTAAGTAGGAACATGTCATTTGCATTAAAAAGAAGTAGGAGTGATTGAGAAGTTTCTTTCCTCCCTTCCTTCCATGTGTATGTCTGATCACAGTTGTTTGGGGAAAATTATGTCCACTAGACCTGTTGGGCTGTGGTACAACTCCAGTTAATATTTGACCATTGGCTTCCTGTTGCCCAGAAAACTATTAGTGAGGAATAAACCACAATATAAGTTGTCTCCCTTTTTCTCTTTCCAACTTTTGGGTCTCTGCCCTTTTAAAGAGATGCCTTTCTGCCTATACATTTGGAGGATATGTTCACTGCTTGTCCTAAAGGGAGCAAGTGGGAAAAAATCCTGTGATGGTAGTTGGGCCTTGTCTACTTTTCTTTTCTTTTTTTTTTTTTTGAGACGGAGTCTTGCACTGTCACCCAGGCTGGAGTGCAGTGGTGCAATCTTGGCTCACTGCAAGCTCCGCCTCCCGCGTTCCCGCCATTCTCCTGCCTCAGCCTCCCGAGTAGCTGGGACTACAGGCACCCGCCACCACGCCCAGCTAATTTTTTGTATTTTTAGTAGAGACGGGGTTTCACCATGTTAGCCAGGATGGTCTTGATCTCCTGACCTTGTGATCCACCTGCCTCGGCCCCCCAAAGTGCTGGGATTACAGGCGTGAGCCACCGCGCCCGGCCCTTGTCTACTTTTCAAAGTGGTTGAAGGAGAAGGTGCAGGTGACTGAGTCTCCCAATCATTCTGCCTGGTTTCACGGCTGCTTGAGCATATACCTAGCTGTCCATCTTAGAGGTTATCCAGGATTGCAGGCGAGGCAGGTGAGAAAATTAGGAATGGAAATTGAAAAGAAAAGAACTTTGGTGTGTGGGATCAACATGTATCAGACTGATGCAACTCCAATTAGAGAGAAGGGAGGCCTCTTGTCCTAAGGACAAAACTGGTCTGTTTGCAACTTTGACCCCAGTTCCCCATCTCACATCCTTTCCCCTTCGGAACTTGGATGGATTGAAGAATCTTGTTGGCATATCGATTCTCTGAGCACCTGTGTCCACCGGACTGTCCTTTATGGCTATTTCCTTATCTCCTGGCTTTGGTTGGCTGGTGTCTCTGTGGTAATGGAGAGTGGGGAGGGGACGTGGTAGCATTTCAATCCATTTGTCATATCAGTTGCCACTGGTTTTTTTTTTTTTTTTTTTTTTTTTTGAGATGAGTCTCGCATTCTCACTCTGTTGCCCAGGCTGGAGTGTAGTGGCATGATCTTGGCTCAATGCAACCTCCACCTCCCAAGTTCAAGCGATTCTCGTGCCTCAGCCTCCCAAGTAGCTGGGATTACAGATGTGCGCCACCATGCCCGGCTAATTTATGTATTTTTAGTAGAGATGGGGTTTCGCTATGTTAGCCAGGCTGGTCTCGAACTCCTGACCTCAGGTGATCCACTCGCCTTGGCCTCCCAAAGTGCTGGGATTACAGGTGTGAGCCACCCCACCTGGCCAGTTGCCACTGTTTTGTGCCGCCTGGTGTGTACTCTCAATTGTGTCCTGGAGAAGGAGAAGCAGAGCAGAGGGATTCAGCTGAAGGGCTGCCCCCACCCTCTGAAACTGGGGGTGGGGACATGTCACCGATGGAACCGGACAGCCAAGGCATCTCCAGCCAAGGCATGGAGATGGTAATAGAATGCCCACCTCCCCGGAATTATTCTGTAATTCAGATTTTATGTTTTAGGAGGGAGCGTGGCATTTGTATCAGCCCAAAGGCCTTTACTTTATTGTTGAATTAAGAGGCAAGTAATTCAGATATAACCATCCCATAATATACTCTAAGATGTGATCTTTCTTATTCGGGGTTGGAATTTTACTTAAAAATCGTTAGAGCTACCACTGTGCCCCTGCCTTAAACAGAGCATGAGTGTGCTCCTTGTTTTGTTTTGGGCCCCATCCATATGCTGTGCATTCATTTCCATCATTCACAAAAACACTGGCCCCCTACCCCCCAATGTCAGGCTTAAACAGGTCAAGCCGGGAGTTCAGTGGAAACATTCATTGCTGGCCAGGCCTGTGAATGCCACTGGTTGGGGTCTGGTGAACCCTTAGTTTTGATCTACTCCTACCTTTGCCCTTCGCAAAGGCTCAGATGAAGTTCCTCCCAGATTCATGAAACGCTAGATGAAACCCTCTCTTTCATTCCATGAGGAACTCACCAGCATGGCCCAATTGAATAGCTCCTTCATATTTGCACTATTTGGCCTCTGCATCCTTTACAACATCACCCTTCCTCTAGAACTTCTTCTCTTTGGCTTCTATTGCAAGGAATGCTGTGTTCTCTTCCTGTCTCTGCTGGTACTTTTTGGATCATCCTTCTTGGTTCTTTTGTTTCCTCCCACTCTTTAAAAGGTGGTATTGGCCCCTCTTTTCATATTGTTCTTCCATGTCATCTACTTCTACAGCTGTAACTGAATTCTCTCTCTCTCTTTCTCTCTCTCTATATATATTTAAATATATATACGTATATAAATAAATATATATATGTGTGTGTATATATCTATATATATAGAGATATATTTTTTTTTCACAGCTCCAAATGACCATTGAATGTAACTGTGAATTCTGAAGTGGAATCTCAAACCTTGCCTCTAACCCAGATCCCTCTCCTAAGCAACCAGCTCTGAGAGACAGCTGTCTGGATGGGTACAAACTATTGAAAAACAAATTTGAGTTTCTCTTAAAATTTCCGCCTGCCATTTTCTCTGGCTTTGACGGCATCTTTATCTTCCAGTTGCTCAGACTCCAAATCTTTGTATCATCTTTAATGACTCCCCTGTATGACATAACTCTCATCTTCCTCCTCCTCCTCTTTTTATTTTTATTTGTTTATTTTTTTGACATGGAGTCTCACTCTGTCACCCAAGCTGGAATGCAGTGGTGCAGTCTCAGCTCCCTGCAACCTCCTACTCCTGGGTTCAAGTGATTCTCCTGCCTCAGCCTCCCAAGTAGCTGTGACTACAGGCACGTGCCACCACGCCTGGCTAAGTTTTTGTATTTTTAGTAGAGATGGGGTTTCACCATGTTAGACAGGATGGTGTCCTCCTGACTTCGTGATCCACCCGCCTTGGCCTCCCAAAGTGTTGGGATTATGGGCATGAGCCACCAAGCCCGATCTCCTCTTCTATCTTTTCCTCATTCTTCTCCTCTTCTCCACTCCTTACCCCCTACTTTGTCCTTCCTGAAGCCTCTGCCACTTCTGGCCAAGTCATCCTGTACTCAAAAACTTTAATACCTCTTTAATCCCTAGAAATCAAAGTTCACTTTTTGCTTACTGTCACACAAGTTTCCCCCAGACATGGCTTGCACTCTGACTCCAGACCTCCTCTTCTGCTAGTGTGCCCTTTGACTGAGCTTTCTGTAGCTGGGACTATTAAAAGGGACATCCTAGCCGGACGCAGTGGCTCACGCCTGTAATCCTAGCACTTTGGGAGGGTGAGGCAGGTGGATCACCTGAGTTCAAGACCAGCCTGGCCAAAATGGCGAAACCCCGTCTCCACTAAAAGTACAAAAATTAGCCGGGCATGGTGGCAGGTGCCTATAATCCCAGTTACTCGGGAGGCTGAGGCAGGAGAATCACTTGAACCTGGGGGGTGGAGGTTGCAGTGAGTGAGTCGAAATCATGCATTGCAGTCCAGCCTGGAAGAAAGAATGAAACTCTGTCTCAAAAAAAAGAAAAAAAAAGGCACATCCTTTGGTGAAATACATTGAAAACTGTATTAGTCAATTTTTACACTGCTGATAAAGACATACCTGAGACTGGGTAATTTATAAAGAAAAAGAGGTTTAATGGACTCACATTTCCATGTGGTTGGGTAGGCTTCACAATCATGGTGGAAGGTGAAAGGCACATATTACATGGTGGTAGACAAGAGAGAAATGAGACCCAAGTGAAAGGGGTTTCCTCTTATAAAACCATCAGACCTCGTGAGACTTATTTACTCCCACGAGAACAGTATGGGGGAAACCACCCTCATGATTCAATTACCTCCCATTGGGTCCCTCCCACAACATGTGGGAATTATGGGAGCTACAATTAAAGATGAGATTTGGGTGGGGACACAGCCAAACCATATAAAAAACCTTCATGGTGTGTTTGGACCAAGTTATTCCACTTCCAGGAATTTATCTTAAGGAAATGATCAAACATCTGCACAAAGATATGTGCAGAAGAAGATTCATTACAGCATCATTTGCAATGACTAAAAAATGAAAACAGTATCAGTGTCCAATAATATCAATACAATGGAATACTAGGCAACCATTCAAAAACAATACACACTTATTTCCTGACATGGAAAGATATTTCCAGCATTTTTCTATGTTCTAAGGGAAAAGGAAGTTATGGAGTAATATATATGATGCTTGCATATAGTATTTGTATATGTAAAGGAATAAAACAACTCTAGAAGGAGATGAGAGAGATCATAAGGCAGCTCTGAAGTCTCCATGGAGTTACCAGACAGGCTGGCTGGCTCAGGATGTGGTGTTTTCTTCATGAATTCTAGAGTTAAGCATTGCTTTGGAATTGCTGGAAGGAACAGGAAGTGCTATAATACATATACATATCTATCTCTCTCTCTCTCTCTATAGATATATTTAAACAATTTCTGCCATAACTGTGGACTAACAACATAACGGAATGAATAGTTAAATTTACAACGTGCTGCCGGGCGTGGTGGCTCATGCCTGTAATCCCAGCACTTTGGGAGGCCGGGACAGTCGGATTACCTGAGGATGGGAGTTCGAGACCAGCCTGACCAACATGGAGAAACCCTGTCTCTACTAAAAATACAAAATTAGTGGGGCGTGGTGGCACATGCCTGTAATCCCAGCTACTCAGGAGGCTGAGGCAGGAGAATCGCTTGAACCCAGGAGGCAGAGGTTGTGGTGAGTCGAGATCGCACCATTGCACTCCAGCTGTGCAACAAGAGCGAAACTCCGTCTAAAAAAAAAAAAAAAATTTACAATGTGCTGAGGCAAAGCAATTTATTTATTTGTTTTGAGACAGGGTCTTGCTTTGTTGCCCAGGCTGAATACAGTGGCACAATCATGGCTCACTGCAGCCTCAACTTCCTGGGCTCAAGCAATCTCCTACCATAGCCTCCCAAATAGCTGGGATTACAGGGGTACACTACTACACCCTGCTAATTGTTGTATTTTTTGTGGAGATGGGGTTTCACCATGTTGCCTTGGCTGGTCTCAAAATCCTGGGCACAAGCGATCCACCCGCCTTGGCTTCCCAAAGTATGGGATTACAGGTGCGAATCACAGAGCTCGGCTGCAAAACAATTTTAAAAAATTCTTAAAAGAAGACCAGGCGCGGTGGCTCATGCTTGTAATCCCAGCACTTTGGGAGGCCAAGGTGGGCGGATCACTTGAGGCTAGGAGTTCGAGACCCAGCCTGGTCAACATAGTGAAACCCTGTCTCTACTAAAAATAAAAAAATTAGCCGGGCGTGGTGGCAGGCGCCTATAATCCCAGCTACCCGGGAGGCTGAGTCAGGAGAATCGCTTGAACCTGAGAGGCAGAAGTTGTGGTGAGCCAAGATTGCCCCATTGCATTCCAACCTGGGCAACAAGAGGGAAACTCCATCACACACACACACACAAATCTTAAAAGAAAACATCCTCCACTGTTTTGCCCCTTGCCTTTGTTGACCTCATCTTTGTGCCTAGAAGGCTTCATTTCCCCATGTCAGTAAAGCGTTATCCATTCTCAAGTACAGTTAAATTCCCTCTGCAGGGGAGGATCGAAGGATCTGGAGCTGGAGGTTCCAGGTTTGTATCCTCCTTCTGCCCTTTACTAAGCTGAGTTTCCATCTCTGTAAAAGAAAAAGGGGTCATAATGCCTCATTCACAGGCAAGGCATGAGGACTGAACAATGTATGTAAGAAGCATTTTAAGAACTGCAGAGTGTCATGCAGCAGTCAGGGAGTGTGATTCATGATTATTATGAAGGCCCTGGGGTTTAACTCTGTGGACCGAATTGCCACACGAGCAGCTGGCGCCGCTTCAGCCTCAGCCTTGAGCCCAGTGTGGATACAACCCAAGCTTCACATTGGTTGGAGCCCTGGTCCCGACAAATAGGCTGTGTGGGTGAAAGGGGGTATGATTCCTCCCCACATGTCCCCAGCATTTCCTGTTCCTTCCAGTGTTTCCAGAGTGATGCTTAACTCTAGAAGTCATGGAGAAAACGCTGTGTCCTGTCTGAGCCAGCCTGTCTGGTCACTGCATGGAGACTTCAGATTTGCCTGTTATCTCTTTTCTCTTCCAGTCCTGTATTCAGGATCTGAGGAGTTGAGTGGTCCCCAGGAGCTGGAGGCCCTCAATGCTACCCACTGCGTGGATGATAAAGAGGCCTCCATTTCCCATCATATCCCTGGCTGGAGAAGAGGCTGGAGGCACTGTGTGTGTGGGGGTGTCTCTGTGTGTGTGTGTGTGTGTGTGTGTGTGTGTGAGAACTAGTTTAAAGTCTTCTCTGCACACACACAAGATGATTGGGCCTACTGCATGCTTTTTAAAGTGAGTCAGGACTCCAAACCACCTACTCAGGTCCGGAACAGTTCGAGTGGGAAGGAGAGACTCTGGGAAGAAGTAAGGAGGGACCAGAGGGTGATGCCAGCCTCTGACGAGATCATCATGACGTGGGGCATGGAAAATAGGAGCAGTCTTATTTATCCTGGTCTATGCATTTGCCTATGGGAGAAGGGGTGGACTCCAGATGATCTGCAGGGACTCTCAGAGGTGAACTGCCATCCAGAAGAAGGACTTGGAGGGATAAGGGGGTGCGAAAGCCCGAGACCATTTGTCTTGGCCTGGTTGGAAGCTGTTTGGCCAGCCTGACTGAACCTGTCAACAGCTAGAAAGTGAGGTCAGCTGGGCTAGAGGCATCGTTAGCTATCACCACAGCTTGCATCTCAACCTCTTGAATCATCCATGATGAAACTCTTTATCAGCCTGGGAGGAGGCAGCCCCAGAGAACAAGACTCCTGGAAAAGGCTTGATTTTGAGCAAGGCTACATCCGGAAGGACTGGCCAGGATGAGTTAGCCCCAATCCACACTCCAAGATAACCAAACAAGTTGACTTGCTGAAGGGAGTTATTTAGTATTCTCCATCTGGGATCAGGGGAATGCCAATCTTCTTCTCCCAAATCTGGGCTGACTTAACCCTCAAGGTCCCAGGCAGCGGATTTTCCAGGCTTTATCATCTTTCCCTCTGAACCTCTACTCCCACTCTCTGGAGGGATTCCAAAAAAACCACCAGCTAAGGGATCGGGCATGGAAACAGTTTTACTTCTGGAGAAAGATTAGGGCTTATTATGTGACAGGGAGTGATAACACCAGGGGACAATCAGGAGTTTCGTCAGCGATGTTCTGCTAAAAAGAAACAACTGCAGTCTTGAAGCAACACATTTGAGAGATAGGAGAGAAAAAGAGAACATCTTGTACCTCCCCCGACCCCTGGGCCTCTAAATGCTTCAAGGCTGCTCCAAATTGCAGTGGGGAGAGGCTGGCTTCGGGAGCTGTCTTCTGAATGACAAGGAGGTCCTGCCTGCCTGAAATGGTAATCCTGGGGTTAGAATCAGGAGGGAGGCTGGAATTTTTAGTATAGCCTTGAAAGAAAATATCAGCCCACCCCGCCCCACCCCTGGGATGGGAATAGGGTAGGAGGCTAGCAAAATAAATAAAATCTGCTGTCTGTCCTGACCAGGCATAAATTGTTACTTGATCGGCAAAGGAAAAAATGAGCCAGATATTCTTCCTGGGCTTGTTTTCCATCTTCTCATCCTCTCGTCCCTTATCAATGTGTTTCTAGAAGAGTCCCAAAGGGAGCAATTGCATGAGAGTTACAAGAAGGTCAGTCCTGGAAAATAAAGTGTGGAGCTGAGAGGGGCTGAGCAGAGAAGATGGGGGGTCTTGCAACACCCTCAGGGCAGCATTCCCACACTGGGAGACCCCTCGTTGGCTGACAATGTCAGAGTGAGGACTGGCTGTTTGTATTCAGTGCCAAGATTTCCCCAAAACCACCCGGGGAACACACCACCAACTGAAAGGAGGAGAAAAGTGCACTGCACAACACCTCCATTGACCATGTGTGTTAATGCTTCAAAAGGAAATTCAGTTATCATGAAAGTAACCAGTTTGGGCTGGGCGTGGTGGCTCATGCCTGTTATCCCAGCACTTTGGGAGGCTGAAGCGGGTGGATCACGAGGTCAAGAGATTGAGACCATCCTGGCCAACATGGTGAAACCCCGTCTCTACTAAAAATACAAAAATTAGCTGGGCATGGTGGCACATGCCTGTAATCCCAGCTACTCAGGAGGCTAAGGCAGGAGAATTGCTTGAACCTGGGAGGCAGAGGTTGCAGTGAGCCGAGATCGTGCCACTGCACTACAGCCTGGCGACAGAGCAAGACTCCATCTGAAAAAGAAAGAAAGAAAGAAAGTAACCCAGTTTGCAGTTCTGGGGAAGTTTGAATTACCCTCCTTTGAGCTTTAAGACTGCTGTTCTTTTAAATTTTTTCTATGTTGACTTCACTGGGAATCAAGGGGGATGATTGAAGCTGATCCCTTCACCAAGCTCTTCAACCCTGTTGCTGCCATAAGCCATCCATGGTGATGGCTGGCTTGGGTGTTTTTGTGAATGTTGATAATTTCATTAGAAAGTGATTTCATAGGCCTGGCATAGTGGATCACACCAGTAATCCCAGCACTTTGGGAGGCCAAAGTGGGGGAATCACTTGATCCCAGGAGTTCAAGACCAGCCTAGGGAATATAGCGAGACCCTATCTCTACAAAAAATTAGCGAGGCATGGTGGTGTGCACCTGTGGTCCCAGCTCCTTGGGAGGCTGGAAGGCTGAGGTGGGAGGCCTGCCTGAGCCCAGAAGGTCCAAGCTGCAGTGAGCTATGATTGCATCACTGCACTCCAGGCTGGGTGACAGAGTGAGATGTGCATTAAAAAAAAAAAAAAAGAAGAAGAAGAAGAAGAAGAAAGTGATATTGTTATGCTCTCAGGCCAATGATAAGAGCCAGGCAAGTCACCTGAAAGGTGCATTCATTCGTTTCAGTGGTTGCCATAGTGCTGCCAGATATCTAGGCAAATGAAACTGTGGTGTGCTGGGACCACGCTGGGTGAGCTATTGAGATGGGTAGTCTTTGCTTGGGCTCTGGGGGCACAAAATGAAGAGAGGAGTATGAAACGGGAAGTACTTGACTCCTTCCACATAAAGACAAGTTGGGTGCTCCTTGGAGCGTGGCCGTTGGAGATGTCTCTTAAATTGTCTCAGTACAATTTGCCTGAACTTATTAGACAAGATGTGGACTGAGACACAGGTGGCCAGCCCTGGGAATGAGTTAGCTGTGAAGGCTCAGAAAAGTCAGCTTTGTAATCTGGGTGCTGCCTAAACTTCCTGTGTTTTCTTTGTTTGTCTTCCTTTTGGTTTTCTCTTCCTAGTCTCTCCCACACTTAAATTCCAGTCTCTCATATGGGCTAAGGGAAGCCAAGAGAGAGAGAGCTGGCCACACTTGGGCCAGAGCTCTGAAGGACAAACAGTAATTCACTCCCAGGCTGACATAGCTGTGGATGTGAGAGTCAGAGGGAGAGATGGGGGAGGGGAAAGCAGAAACTCAGGTGCCATGTTGACATTGCTGGCAACCCCCATCTCCCCACCTGGAGAATCAGCTTCCAGTTTTAAAGCCTTGGGGACTTTGTGTTTTGTTTGAATAAGGGAAGCTGTTTCCCTTACATCCTTTCAAAAATAAATAAATACAAGACTGTCATATCATTTTACAGATGCTGCTACCAACAAACAAAGGGTCAGAGCTCTGGCCAATTTCTACAAACCAGAAGATCAGAAGGCAAGGAGTGCAATGCAAGGGAGGATTTTAGAGACTGAGAAAGCCAATTAGCTGGTCTATCTATGTTTCATGTTACTCCCACCACTGCTGCTAGTAACAAGAGCATGCCTCCATTACTACCACCCTCATCACCATCATCATTACTACCACTATCACCACCGTCATCATCACCACCACCATCAACACCACCATCACCATGAACACTACCACCAGCATCATTACTGCCATCACCATCACTACTACTGCCACCACCATCACTACCACCATCATCACCACCATTGCCACCACCATGAACACCATCACCACCACCCCCACCATCATTACCATCATGATCACCATCAACACCGTCACCATCACCACCACCACTACCACCACCACCATCACCACCACCACCACCATCATCACCACCACCACCATCACTACTATCATGATCACCATCAACACCACCACCACCAACACCAACACCTCCATCATCACTACCACCATCATCACCACGAACACTACCACCACCATCATCATTACCACTATCACCATCACTACTACTATTACCACCATTATCATCACCATCATTGCCACCATCATCATCACCACTATTGCCACCACCACCAACACAACCACCACCATCATCACCAGCACCACCATCACCACCACCACCACCATCACTACTATCATGGTCACCATTATCACCACCACCACCATCACCATCAACACCACCACCATCACTACTATCATGATCACCATCATCACCATCACCATGAACATCACCATCACCATGAACACTACCACCACCATCATCACTACCACTATCACCATCACTACTACTATTACGACCGTTATCATCACCACCATTGCCACCATCATCATCACCACCATTGCCACCACCAACACCACCACCATCATCACCACCACCATCGCTACCATAGTGATCACCATCAACACTACCATCACCATCACCACTACCACCACCACCATCACCATTACCACTACCACCATCAATACCACCACCATCGTTACTACCACCACCTCCACTATCACTACCATCACCACCACCACTATCACCATGACCGCCACCACCACTGCCACTTTTGGTCCCACTCTCTCTACCACAATTACCACCTCCAAGTAGCTCTCAGGAACACCAAAGTTAGGGTCAGCTGACCTTAACCAAAACAATGCATGCCAGATTGTTGAATCAGATGGGGGCCACTGAGCCTACGGATGCATTATTCTAGCTGACGGGACTGAAAAAAATAATTTATCTTATAAAGGTAACCCTAAAACTACTGGACAATAGCAGCAACCTGATGTGAAGTTTCCAGTCTCAGAGCCAGAAGACCTAGGTTCTTGTTTTTGCTCTGCCATCTGCCAACTGAGTGACCTCGAGCAAGTCACTTCTCTTTGGGGACTCAATGTCTTACCTATAAAATCAGGATCATCAAAACCTATGGTCTTACAGAGTTTAAAGAAGAAAACACATGAAAACACTTATTATCAGACTGACAAAAGGTGCTAAAAATCCTTCCCTTCATCCCTCCCTCCCTCCTTCCCTCTCTCTTCTCCTCTCTTTGTTCTTCCCATTTTCCCTCTTATCGTTACTCCTAGATCTGAGATCCTCATCTGTCCCCAACCTCAATTCAAACTCCAATACACAGTCATCAATATAGGACACTAATAAACCTTTATAACTACTCCTCTAGTTCCTAACATCCTATTCACAATGTGCGTTTTCCCCAGAGAGGAGAAAAGCTAGCCCCAGTACCCAGGCACCCAACATGTGAAGGACGGATGAGGAGCAGGGCAGGGGAGTGGAGAGGGGCGGTCCAGCTCCTCCAGAGAATGAGGTCAGGCCCTGTGCGAGGGCTAATTAAAAGGTCAGGCTTCATTTCTTGTGTCTTCCAGGGGAGCCCACAGGGTGAGCAGGCGGGGGAAGGCCAGGCTTCCTGAAAATGCCTGCCAACTTTGTATTGCAGCTGCTTGCTGGAGAGCTGGCTCAGGAGAGCTGTTTGCTTTGGCCAGATGCGCTACACGGAAACAGTAGTAGGACAATGTTGGGGGAGTGGTAGGGACTAAGGCAGAGGGGGCCCTGTGCATTTTCAACAGAGAGAAAAGTTTTCTTTGCAGGCGGTGTTACGCCTCAGGCTGCCTCAAGGAACCAGCTGTGACTTGGGTTCAAGAGCCTGGCCAATAGGGATGTCAGATGATGGGGCCGTGTGTGATGGGAAGAGCATCTGCGCCTGTTCGTGAAGAAGCGGGTTGTGTGCCTCATGGAAATCAAGCGAGAGTCTGAGGAGAGTCAGACTTTGGCTTATTCTTGCCTGTCTCCCTTTGGGTTGAATTCTCATGAGATGATAAAGAGCTTGCAGCTAACGGGCATGTGTGCTGTCAATCCAAAGAAGAGATGACCTTAAGCTGGGTGGGGGACAGGAGCAATGTGGTCAGGACATGTTACCAGTAGATGTGGCAGATCCAACAGGGGCTTCCAGGTGTCACTATTACCAGTCTTAACTTTTTTTTTTTTTTTTTTTTTGCAATAGTAAAGTAAGATTTCTTGGGCACTACTTGCCATTCCAAGTGTTAAGTGCTTTACATACATAACCTCATTCAATCTTTAAAAAATAAATTTAGAGATGACAACCCTACAGCTCAAGAAGTTCAGATTGGTACATCACACAGCCAATACAAGTAACAGATAAAATTTAGACCAAGATCTGTCTGCCTATGAGCCTGGGTTCTTAGTAGCCCTGTGATGCTGGACCAGGTAGTGATAACTCCTTCCCACCAAGTTTTACAACTTACCCTAAGGACCACCCAGGGATGAGACTGATAAAAGGTTGAGGATTTCATGGATGATAATATAAAGGTGAGAAGCCGAAATGAAACCAACTGTAATCCCAGCACTTTGGGAGGCCAAGGCAAGAGGATTGCTTGAGGCCACGAGTTCAAGATTACCTTGGGTAACATAGCAAGACCCCATTTCTCCAAAATAAAAAAATATATATATATATGGTGGTACATGTTCACCCCGGCTACCCTTTAAAAAAGAAAATTAGAGGCAGGGTCTTGCTATATTGCCCAGACGGGAGTGCAATGGTGTAATCATAGTTCACTGCAGCCTCAAACTCCTGTCCTCAAACAATCCTCCCGCCTCAGCCTCCTGAGTACCTAGGATCACAGGCATATGCCGCTGTGCCTGGTGATCTCCCTTTCGTGACTCTGGGAAAAAGTAGATGATCCTTCAGCATTTTCCAGAAGCGGAGTCTCTGAGAACCAACCTTAATCTGCAAGAATAATTTGATTTCTTTCTACAGTGCTAGGACTGGACAGAAGAGAAGGTTGAGCAGGCTGACAGATGAAGACAACCTTATGCCTAGGAGAATTGCAAGGGCAGACTTGAATCTCATGCTTCGGTCTCCTGAGCAACTTTGAAGGGCAAGTGTCTTCCGCACGAGCTATGTCGACTGAGGAAACCCCAATGGAGTTTCCAGGGTCCACCATGGCACCTGCTCCTTCCTCCAATAGAAGACAACTGATTTTTCCTGGTCCCTTGGTCCCATACCTTGTTGTGCTCTGGTGGGGAATAGATACCTAGTAAGGATTTTTCTACATATTTTGCTCTCTCAGAATTCAAAACATCTGGGATGGGAAGCAGCAGTGCTTGACTGCTGGGGTTGTCTGGGGGCCTCAGAACTAGTGAAGAGGGATTTGGAGGAAGAATCAGCTACTTCATCATTTAAGGAGAACCTCAACTGCGTCTGTATCCTCTTAACTTCCGGTCACCGCAGTGGGTCCCTCCTGCCTGCTCAGCCACCAGTCGGTCGCTGCAGAAGAGCTGACCACCCCCACCCATCCTTTGTCCGGGGAGGAAATTTGGACTCGAAGGCTCTGGCCCAGAGCCTGACCCCAGCCTGCTGCTGCTCTGCTGTAATCTCCTCCCCCTCCTTCCTCCTGTCTGAGTTTCTCCATGTCTCAAAGAGCAGGTTTCAAAAATAAGAGGCTAACACACCCTTGGCAAGTGCTGGGAAGAGGGAAATGTGTTTGACACATGCTCACCCAGAGTGCATGGAGGGCTCCCAGCAGGATACAATTAATGATCAAGGGGGAGGAGGGGATTGCAACAATACGTTTTTTTTTTCCCCTCCCCATATCCCTAGTTCCTGGAGTTTGGCAACATTTCATGGTGGAGAGAAAAGCATCCCAAGGATCTGTACATAAATAGCTGGTGCACATCGGTCTCAGGTGTAAACAGAAGGAAGTCCAAGGTATGTTGCTCATCCTATAGTACAAATGCAAGGATTTGCAGGAAAACTGGGGCGTAAACTGGAAACCAGCTAGCTAAAGGGCATTAGGAAATTTTCCCCCAAGTTTAATCTTTTGAGCCTTCAGGCTAATTTTGAAAAAAAAAAAAAAGAAAGAAAGAAATTAGAGAAGTGAAGCAGGATAATTAAAGTTATTAAAACCTGTCTATAGTTAGGCTAAGAAGTCCACAGGCACCTGAGCTTCATAGGGGGTCAGCATCAAAAATGGGAACGGAACTTTGTGTTCCACATCTTTAGAAGGCCAGTTTGGTTCCTGGGCATTTTAAGACTAGAGAGCCAAAAACCTCCCTCCTAATGAGAAAATTTTATTTTAGAATGGTTGAATCTCAGAGTTTTCTTAACACAATGAGGTAATGATGCAATGCATCTCCCTCCTCCCACGCGGAGTAGGCCTCTGTAGCCTACCAGCTGCCGAAGAGGCTGCATGTGACAGAAACACTCCAGGAATCCCCAGTTCCTTTCCTCCCAGATGCCCCAGGAAAGAAAAATAAGGAAATAAAAGAAAAAAATCAAGTAGATTATAAGAAGTTTAAGGGAAATCAGATTTAGAATTATTGGAGTAACTTGGCCAGGTGCGGTGGCTCACGCCTGTAATCCCAGCACTTTGGGAGGCCGAGGCGGGTGGATCACGAGGTCAAGAGATCGAGACCATCCTGGCCAACATGGTGAAACGCTGTCTGTACTAAAAAAAATACAAAAATTAGCTGGGCATGGTGGCACACGCCTGTAGCCCCAGCTACTCAGGTGGCTGAGGCAGGAGAATCGCTTGAACCAGGGAGGCAGAAGTTGCAGTGAGCCGAGATTGTGCCACTGCACTCCAGCCTGGTGACAGAGGGAGACTTCGTCTCAAAAAAAAAAAAAAAAAAAAAAAGAATTATTGGAGTAACTGTGTGTATAAACCAGTTGGAAAAAGTATTAGGAAAGTCTGTTTTTCCAGGGATGCCTTCGTTTGGGGTAATAACAATACTCAATGCCCATCTAACCCCAGTAGGCCCCTGTGTGATGCCCTTTGTGATTCTGGACTATCTTTCAAGGATAAGCAGGGCAGACTTTAAAATCCCAATCTTATAAAGAAAATAAAGCAAACAAACTAAACCCCTTGAGAGTTCAAATGACTTGAGTAAGTTGCACAGCTTTCAAGGGTTAGGGTTAGGACCCCATACCCCTATTTTGGCTTTGCTTATTTGTTTCACTCCTGTCCACATTTCCTTCCCCTTTAGCATGGTGCACAGGTGTAGGGAGATAACCTGGATGATTTTATAAGATCGAGTGGTTGGCATGTAGAGGAAACCAAGCCAGGAAGGTTTTAGGGCCCATCCTCTCTCTTTCCAACCCCTCCTCCTGCCTTTTCTCAGGACAGGGTTTTCCAGGACATTTAGGGCACCAGGTACTCAGCTGTAGAAATCAGAAGCATATGCTCTTTGCATATATTGAGGAAACTGGGGAGAAAGAAGCAGAGATGTCGGATACTGATGGCCCATCCCCCTTCATGAGCATCTGCAGGTTTGCCTGCTCTGCTCTTCGGTGATTATTACCCATCGTATGCTCTGTGATCTTGCTTGACACAATGCAGAAACTAAGTTAGGCGATCTGGGTGTGGACTCAAGAGAGCTTGGGCCAAGGCAACTTCCTCCAAGCCGAAAACCATAGGACATTTCAAAGACCAACATTGGGAGTGCCAACCATGGGTGGAAAGGCCCTTTTGGAAGCGCCTTGTGTTGAGCCTGACATCGAAAGTTGGAAAGTGACTTTTGACCAGTGCCAACGAGTGAGTCTCTGTGCTTGTGTCTTACACAGGGAAGAGGTACAGCTGGGCTGGACATTGAGAGAGGTTTGTAAGTGTAGGGCTTTTAACAGTCCCATCCCTGCTCCCTCGCTAGCAGGGGGATGGTGGTGGGGCTGATGGAAGAATTCCACATTCCTTTTGCCCATCCCTTCTCCTGGCCAATCTAGTCTGTCTCTTCCCTTTCCCCATGTGACAGTCACTGTCACAGAAAAGCTTTCAACAAATATTAGCACAACCTGAATTTGGCTGCAATCCATCTTGTTTCCAGTGCCATCTCAGGGTTTGCTGAGGCCAGTCCTTTGGTGCCTGGCACCCTGCAGAGATTTATAGAATTCCAGAACAGGGAGCAACCTTACAATTCTTATTGTCCAACCTCCCCTCTTGGGAGAGGGCTCCCAGCCCTACACACGCCTCCTCTATCCTGCGCTGGTATTCCACCATAGCTTGTGTGCTTTTCACCTTGGCCAGTATATAAAGAGCGATTTTAGGTGTCCTGAGCTGCTAAACAGCGGAGGGGGAGCAAAACTACCGTGGGGGTGACAAATCCCCAACCTTAATCTTGGCCCTTGAAGTAAGGGCCGCTTGAATACAACGTGCTGTTTATGCAAATCCCATGCAAATCAGGGCAACTGGATTAACTGGGGGGAAAAAAATCCCATGGTCTTTCTGAGCCTTCCCAGCACTCAGTGTTGGCCTCAGAAAGGATGAGGTTTTGTTTTGTTTTGTTTTGTTTTTTTAAGTGCTGTTTTGTTTTCGAAAGGTTTCTGCACTGGTAGCCTCAGCCAGTAGAGAGTCAGTCTCCCAACTTGGCTCTTCCATGCACCAGGGCCTGTGTGTGAACAGGGAGGTTTGTTTTAAGCTCTGTCAACAGGGGCCTGTTGGAAGTGACCACACCTTAGCCAGGCTTGCCAAGATCCCTGTAGGGGGTGAGCATGGGGAAGTGGCTGGCAGTGGCCAGGGGATAGGGAGGGTCCAGTTGAGGGACATTTGCTCAGCTAAGAGATCAGTGTGTCTCCCCATCACCAGGAGAGTTGAAGATCCTTCTTTTGGGTGGGAACCCTGTGTTTGTAAGATCCTGAATATCCTATTTGAAAACACAGCCCGTTGCCATTTGACATCCTTGGAGACTCCAGCTCAGCCACTCAGCTTGCATATTTATGCAAAACAAAATGCAAATGAGCCCACTGAGCCCTTTGTCTATATCCTGCCAAGCTGGGAACCTGAGTCTCCTGACAGACTCCTTCTCCATGCCTTTATCCTCTCCAGAAAACTTTCCTAATTAGGACATGTAGTCTCTGAAACTTTGCTAGTATAGTGAAATTCAACTCAATAAATAAGCTTTCTGAACTCCTACTAAGCACAAAGTATTATGTTAGGTTTCTAGTGAGTTGCAAAGAAGAAAAGACATTAAAGTTATTGACCTTGACAAGCTCACGATGTCTTTCATGAGATCTCCAGTTCTGGTTAGTCTGTCATTTAATTATTCATTCAACAAATGCATATTGAACACCTACTATGGGCCAGTCCATGCACTTGGCACTGGGATGCACTGAGCTAGTAGGAGAAGGTTCTTGCACTCATGAGTTTCCATCCCAGTGGAGAAGAAAGACAAAAAGAGGTAGTGACCCATAAAATAACAAGATAATTACAGATTGTGGTAATGGCTGGGATAAAATAAACAGGGTGACATTTTATTATGACAGAAATGCATTATGGCCTGGTTTGATGTCTTTATAACAGTTACATCTATTTTTTAAGTGAATTAAAAGCAGCCACAGGAAAGGCAAAGGGCAGAAGGCGTTTTTGCTTATCACCTGCATCTTTGTTTGCTTTCATTAGAATAATGATGTTCCATTAGTCAATGAATTCCATAAATATTTATTGAGTGCCTCCTTGAAACAGGAGTGTTCTGGACACCAGGGATTCATTCATAAACAGAACAGACCAAAGTGCCTGTTCTCACGGGCTCATCCTGCAGACCCTATGCTAGTCTATGAGACATGTGTTTGTGTGAGGTGGGAGGATGGAGTGTCATGAGGTGGGGCAGTAATAGTGGCTGTAGAGTGACAGGAAGGTGGTGAAGGTGGCACTACAATGAAGTGCAGCCCAGGTGCCAAGGGCAGCAGGAGGAAAGGATCCATGAACAGGTTCGAGGGGCTGGTGTGAAGTCAGTGAAGGAGACATGGAATGAGGCGAGCCTGTCAAGGTAAACGGGAAGAGGATGGGCCAACGGAAGGTGTTTAGAATTGATCATAAATGTGGTGGGAAATGTTGGTGGATTTTGAATAAGGAAGTGATCTGGTTAGATTATGGTTTATAACAGGTCACTTGGTGGTGGCTGAGCAGTGATGAGACAGGAGAACAAGAGAAGAAGCTGGAAATATGGAAGATTGTTGTAGTAGTTTGGGCAAAAGTCGGTATTAGTTAGAGGGACAATGGGAAAGACTGAAGGGGACAAATGCAGCTGTCTTTTGAAGGTAGCGCTCACCTGACCAGTTGATGGATTGGATTTGTGTGTGGCAAAAACAGAAGAGTCAAGAACGACTCCTAGGTTTTTGTCTTGAGTGACCAGGTGAATAGCAATGCTGCTGTATTCTTTGTGTAAGGCTGGGAGGAGTGGTTTGAAGGGAATGAAGGGTTGTGTTGAAGACATCTGAAGGTTGAGATGCCTCTTGGACATCCAGTTGAAGGTACTGAGAAGGCAACTAATGTAAGTCTGGAGCTTAGAGTCCAGTTAGTTTACAGCCAGCATCTTAACCCTTCTTCTGACCTATATGCAAGACTTCATAAAGACACTGGATGAAGTGAAGTGAGTCTTTGCAGTTCATGGGAGGGAATGGAAGGGGCTACTCTTGAGGGTTAGGGACCATGTGCATCCTTTGCACTTTCCTGGGGCAGGAACAGGGCATGGCATCCTCAAAGCCTGTTCATTGCCAGTGGTCCTGACCTTCCATGGATTACCAGGCTTGTGTCAAAGAGGTGACTTCCTGGAGACAGAGTGGGGGAATTGTCCTTCTAATCTGAGGGAGGGTTCAGAACCCCAGATGTTCTTTCCTGAGAGTGCCTGAAATGAGGCCAACGAAGAAGAAAGCAGCCTTGTTTTTCAGGCCATAGCAGCTCTTGGCATTGCAGGTGAAGACACTAAAGTCTGCAGAAGAGACATGGTTTGAGCAAGTCTGCACTGTTCAATTTAAATGCAGAGCTGGGCCTTGAACCATGGGTCTCATTTGCTTCTCACATTCCTTTATATAGGGCTTTGCAGACAGTACCAGCATGGATGAACTGGCCACAGGTGTGATGTAAGAGAGGGGCAGGCTCCCTGATAGCCACCTTTTGCATCTTGACACAGTCTCATAAGAAGTCTGTTAAAGATGAGTTAACATTATCTGAGTGTTATCTAGATATGAATTAATATCATCATTATCTGAGTGCTCCTGCACTCAGATAACCCATCTTTCATGCCTTTGCGTGTTGCCTGCGTTGACGATTCTATTTATCAGCTCACCTGTGAACAACTTCTGAACACAAAAATATCAGACCATTAGAAAACAAAGCAAAACAAAAGGGATACACCGCTGTTGTGGTGACAATAAAGTGTTTTCATTTGCAGAGGTTTTCGTTTGTAAGGCTAGATCTATTGGTGAGTAGGTCATGGATGTTTGTGCTGGTTCTCTGTGGACACCCCAACTACCACCCATAACAAATCTCACTGTGTGTATTAGGAGACATCTTTAGATATAAAACTTAGAAACTTGAGTTTTCTGGGTAAGAGCTGGTTGTGCATCAATTAAAAGAGACTAAATACTAAATAGTTTTAGTAAACACGTGCAATGAAACTTGATTGGTTCCTGGTGAGGTTGCTGGGCCATCCCAGTTTGCCTAGGAAAGACTTAGGGGAGATGTTTCTCGGACTTTCAGGGCTAACACTGGGACATGTCCGGGCATACTGGGACGGTTGTCATCTTACTTCCAGTTCAGAGGAAAAAACAGAAACAAAAATGAAAACAAACAGCTCCAAAAGACATTTTTAATACATCTGGGGGCTTTTAATGTGGGCTAGGTAGCAGATGATGATGGCAACCATTGTGACTTTCTTAGGGGCATCAGTGGTAGGTGGTTACCCAGGGGATCACTGATATTCTGGACATTTGAGAGGCGAAGTATCCTGCAGTCTGCAACTTATCATCAAATGGTTCAGGAATACAACACAGCACAACATAACACAGCAATCCAAAATCACACGCGCACATATGATAAATAAAATATGACAAAAAATTAATAATTACTCAGGGCTAACTATACGGATGGTTCCTATGCTATTCTTTCAAATTTTTTCTGCGATTTTGAAAATGTTTATAGCCAAAAGTTGAGAAAATGCTTTTGAGTGGAAAGGCCGCTACTGCCTTCTTCTTAAGGATAACATTTTTTGTAGAAACTGAGATTTGGTAATTCAGCTCTTTGTCACAACTCTGTTGTGAAGGTTGCTAGATGCTATGAGAATGCCGTTATTACAGTTATTAATTTTTATCTTTTAGTAGGTTTTTTTTTTTTTTTAATAAGCAAAGACCTATTGAGGTTATTAATCAGAAGTGGGGGAAACTTAAGACAAACCTCCACCCAATAAAGAAAACAAAACAGGCCGGGTGCGGTGGCTCACGCCTGTAATCCCCGCACTTTGGGAGGCCAAGGTGGGCAGATCACCTGAGGTCGGGAGTTCAAGACCAGCCTGGCCAACATGGTGAAACCCCGTCTCTACTAAAAATACAAAATTAGCAGGGCGTGGTGGCGCATGCCGGTAATCCCAGCTACTCAGGAGGCTGAGGCATGAGAATCGCTTGAACCTGGGAGGAGGAGGTTGTGGTGAGCTGAGATCGTGGCATTGCACTCCAGCCTGGGCAACGAGCGAAACTCCATCTCAAAAAAAAAAAAAAAAAAAAAAAAGAAAAGAAAAAGAAGGAAGATAGGAGGGATTAGATTCTGGGAACAACTTCTAAATGAGAGGACAGACTTTCAGGGTTCATGCAGTCGGCAGAGAGACCCAACACAACTCAAATTTCTCTTCATGCTTCTTCCACATGGACAGTGATGGGCAAAATCAGAGAGAGAAAGGAGCTAAAGTGTAAGGAAATGAAGCCATCAGTGAAGGTGGTGGGATAGGGGCCTGAGTAGACACAGGAATGATCACCTTCCTTGAAGGAACTAAAGAAAGTATTATAAGAGCTTTAAAACAATTGCAATGGCTTTTTCATACCTCCGTGGAAACTTAAACAAAAATGCTAGCTAAAACATTTAATTAAGCAGACTTGAATCTCAAGGTAACCAGAGAAGTGTTTGACTCTCTAGACAGACTTGCAGAGAAATCTCCTTACCAAGTTCAGGCCCAAAGGTGAGGTCAGTATGAGGGGGGGCTCAGGGATGAAATGTTAGTAGGAAAATTTCCAAATCATATCTATTTGGGTGTTTCTTTAAAATGATATGCTTAATCCTTTTATTGTCCTTGCTGTTGATTAAAAGTTTGATTTGAATTAAAAAAATAAAAGGTGAAAACATGTCATTTGGGACTTATTTTCAGATTAAAATCAGGATAGCCAATCAATAAATCTTGAAATGATTTTCTCAGACTGTGAACAATGTAGACAAGACATCGCTGCTCTCCTGCTTGTGTAATTTTGCAGTGTAGACAAATAACCTCAAAGAGGGATAACGTGAATTTGGTTAAGAACTAGTTCAAGATCAGACAGACATGTGAGGGAATCCCAACTCTATTTGCTCACTGCTTGTGTAATCTTAAACCAGCTACTTAAACCCCTCTAAATTTCAGTTTCCTCATCTGTAAAATGAGGTAAGATAATAGTACATTCTTCTTAGAGTTTGGGAAGCTTAAAAGCGTCCATGCAGATAATTAGCATGATATCCAAAATATAGTTCGCTTTCAGTAAGTATCTATTATTATGTCACTTGCTGCCAATAAAATAGAAATAGGTCTGATGAACCATATTAAACTTGCTTCCTTATACATATCTCCCTGCCCCAGAATGATCTCACCATGACAGGGAAGTGAACTAAACCCAGAAAAACTTACTTTGAGGACCACACTTCTACAAGACTTCTTTAGACACATGCGGCATTCTGGGACTATGACCTTGGTTAAATAGTTGGCTCTTAACACACAGTACTTTTTTTTTTTAATGAAACCACATGCTCTCATTTAGAAGGACTTGAAAATGTCCACGGTCTTGGAATTTGGGGTTAAGTCCTGGGAATGAGGGGAATGAGAAGGCACGACTGAAATGAAGGGAGTGCAGGATGAGAAAAACAGAGAAGTAATATTCTTCCCCTGCTCAGGAATACCTGGCCCCAAGCACTCACTATGGAGGGCAGGTGAGCAAGGAAGGGCTCCGGGACACTTTATGGAGCATAATAACCATTGCAGCTGTGCAAGCAGAGATCAAAGATCAAATCAAATTTCAAGCTGCAGGGACCTCAATCCGATCACCTGCAGAGGTCAGGGAAAGGAATTTTTCTTCCCTGAAGAGCCCCAAGATTGGCTGAATTCCCAACAGGGGGTTTGGCACTGCCTTGAAGGATCACATTACTGGCTACTGCCCAGAAGCAAGGGGACGCGGCCTTGGGGTTGATGGGACTGGTGGGGCCGTTGCTATTGTTCCCCCGCAGAGTATCTGCCAAACCAAATGGGAGAAACTCAGAGAAAGCCAGGGCCTGGTATCCAGGGGCTCCAGCTTGGTCATTGCTCAAAAGCCTCCTTTTGAATGTCCACTCTTAAGGTAGGTACCTTGAATGCTAACTGTTGAGGCTTTTGTTGGTGTTAGGTTGGTTTCTATTGCATCCTCCTTTGAAAGGAAGCATATAGTTGATGAGCCCAGGCTGAGATGGGACTTCTGCCAGAAGGAGGATGGGCAGTTGACTTGCAGGGCCATCGACTTCCAGGGCCATCTGCACTGTTTGCACATCCACCCCATTTTCCCCCCGTGCCAACCCCAACACACACACAAAAGAAAGTAGCTGAAGCCGGGAAGCTCAGGTCTGTGCCCAGCTTTGTGGATACTGGTTCAGTATGCTCTGCTGGAGACAATTCCATCTGGTCAACACGAACACCCTGGCATCTCTGCACAGTTGGAGAGAAGCAGGTGGCCTCCAGCCTCGGCTCTGAAAAGCTCCATGGAACTATCTGAACTTGGATCTTCAACTTCAGCCCGCTCTCTTTCCTTGCCTCTCTCCACTCCCATTTGATGACATTACACAAGGCCGGGGGAGGGGGGGGATTAGGAGGATTTTTTGCAGTGGTGGGAAGATTTAATTAGATGATAAAGGGAGAACAAAATTTAGTTCTAGAAAGATTCAGTAGATTGTTTTTAAATATCCCCAAATGGTATTTCGATGGTCTTATCAGAGGACGCTCTTCAGGGTGAGAAGGCAGTGTGTATAAAGCACGGGGAGGAGTGGCTGGTGGGTGGAATTAAATGTATTATTAAGTGAATAGGGAGAACCAAGTGACGGTGAACTTGGCCACTTGGCCTGTGGATGTCAATCAAACTAATGTGTTGGGGGAAGGGGGGAGGAAGTTTGTCACCCGTTTTAATATCAGAAATTCCTTTACGTGGGTGGTAACTGGGGAACAGCTGCAGGTAGCTGAATCACAGCCCAAATCCTTGCAAAAACGCTGGTGGGACCCCTGCCAACAACTGAGCAATGGCTTTTCAAGCTGGAATGGAGCAAGTGGGACTAAGTGAGGCGAGGTTGGGGGGACAGGGGGTGGTGCTGGGGGTGGGGAAGCAAGTTTTTAAAAAGCTGAGTTTTGAAGCCGGTGCATATTTAATAGGATTAGAACACATGAGTTAGAGGCTGAAAATTCTCAACCTGCCTCGTTAAACAGCCAGCCTGCAGGAAGGCCCGGCTCTCAGAGCAAAGGCAGAGAAGCAGGGAGGGAGGGAGGGAGGTGAAACACCTGGGCTTTCTCCAGGGGTAGCCAAGGCTAAAGGAGACAGTTTGGAAGTTCTTTTCTCTCCTGCACTCTCTGTGCAGCCTCGGAGAATCCATCCTTCCCATTCTAGCCCCACTTGGTCCATTAACACACCCAGTTTGTCAATAGTGCCTTCAGGTGCCATGTCCCTGTTTGCCTTGGCCCAGGCTTGTCCACCCACTGCCTTGGTCAGCCCTGGGAGGAGAAGCATTTGCTTTTGCCTCCTCATGAGAGGTGAGTGGGCCCAGCCCCAGCCTCAAAGGTCTCTCTGGATTCTGGCTGGATGTGTCTCGGGGCAGTTCTGAGTTTTGGGTTTTCAGGTGACAGGTGGTGCGGAAGGGTTAGGGTGGGCGGAAACATTTTTCTTCTTCTAACTGTGGATCCTTATTTGCTTTCCTGATGACTTTAGCCCGTGGGTGACAGAAGGCTGTCCTGGGCCCTGAGAATTTAGCTGAATGGCACGTGATGCTGAAAGAGAGCTGGGGTTTCCCTGGCTTCGGGCTCTTGCACTAACTCAGGGAATGACTTCAGATAGGAACTCTTACTTCCTGGGACCCCAGTTTCCTTATTTTTCATCCAGAGACCACAGGTTATTCCAGCCTTTCTTAGGACAACTTTCCATGCCACTGAAATGAGAAACACATCCCAGCAATCCTACAAATATTTGGTCCAAGACACTATGCAAATCACATTGTGAGGGTCAGGGATGACAAATGTAACCGTATTTACAAGATTGAGGACCTACTGGGCGCTTGCCGCTGCGGCCCAATGTGTGTCTAAATCTGAAACCATCAGCTTGTTCTTCACAGCCTCCTAGGTACTGTCCTTAGCAGCTGAAAGAAATGCAGCCTCCCTGAAAATAATTACTAGAAGTTGTCGAAGCTTAAGTACATGAATAACCGCCTTCCTTGATTTTTCATTATGCAAACTGTCCTCTTCCTGATGTTCTAAATTAGAAAGAGGAGAGTAGTTTTGCTCAGAAGAACAGGAAGTGTTTCCTTGATGTTCTCTCTGCCTTTCAGTCTGGAGTGCAGTGACACGATCTCAGCTCACTGCAACCTCCGCCTCCCCGGTTCAAGCGATTCTCCTGTCTCAGCCTCCCCGGTAGCTCGGACTACAGGCATCTGCCACCACACACAGCTAATTTTTATATTTTTAGTAGAGACGGGGTTTTACCATGTTAGCCAGGCTGGTTTCAAACTCCTGACCTCAAGTGATCTGCCCACCTCGGCCTCCCAAAGTGATGGTATTACAGGTGTGAGCCACCACGCCTGGCCCTCGATATTCTCTCTTAAAGGTAGGTGAGGCTGGAGCATAGAGATCAAGAACCTAAGTTTTAGGACTGGATGGGTTTGGGTTCAAAAGCTGGCTGCCACTTATTAACTGGGCCAACTTGTGAGAGGTATTGAGTCTTTCTAATTTTCAGTTTTTTCACTCTAAAAATCAGTCAAAAATAGGATTACATGCAAACAAAAACAACACCTGCATGTAACATACTTGGTAGACAGGTACAAACTTCATGTACCTGGAACAGAGTTTTACCAATGGTTATTATTAATCGTAACCAACAATAAATGAGCTTTTTGCACGGGTCAGGCATGTTGGTCAGTGTGACACCCTTCATTCATTTGCTATCCTCAGTCCAGCAGCCTGCTCGGCCAGACTATCTGCCTTCTTGGTTCAGGCAACTTCCCAAGTCTTCTTTCCTGACTTGACACTCAGGCCCAGGACTTGGCTTAGATAAGGACCTGGCCCCTGCCTGGGGTGGTCCTGGAGGGCCCCTGTCTTTGGACAACCCAGGGGAATTGTTGAGCCCCAGAACCCGGATGCAGGGGCCTCAGGAATCCAGGGAAGCCAGGACCATTCCGACAGCTCTGGGGAGCCCTGAGTGAACAGTGTGTGTCCTGCCGGCTGTGTAAACACAGTAACCAAATACACTGATGGTTTCCAGGGCCCACCAGATGGCAACAAGTACAGTGGGTGATGCAGTTTCCGTTGCTTTTCCTCCCTTCTGATTTTCATTTGCTCCTCGTGCCTTGGGGTAGGACAATGTGAGATGCCCAGGAAGCTTTGCTGTAATCCTGAATCTTTAGGTATTTGCATCTTCCTTCACGTTCTTTCAGGACTTTCTTTGTTCATGTGGCATCTTCTCACTGTAGGCTGCTTGGACCCAAATCAACCAACTCCCAGTATATCTTATACCCTTTCCAATTGTCTTTCTTCCACAGCACTCACTATCTGACATCTATAATTTTAATTACTCCAGTGTTTTTTAAGGTTTTATTTTATTTTTTTTTTGACACAGTCTTGCTCTGTCGCCCAGACTGGGGTGCAGTGGTACGATCTCTGCTCACTGCAACCTCTGCCTCCCGGGTTCAAGTGATTCTCATGCATCAGCCTCCTGTGTAGCTGGGATTACAGGTGTGCGCCACGACGCCTGGCTAATTTTTGTATTTTTAGTAGAGATGGGGTTTCACCATTTTGGCCAGGCTGGTCTCGAACTCCTGGGCTCAAGCGATCTGCCAGCTTTGGCCTCCCAAAGTACTGGGATTACAGGCATGAGTTACCATGCCGTATCTGTTTTTTTAATTTTCTGATTCCCCTCCCCTGCTCCAAAAAGCAAGTATCTAGAAGAGAAGATTTTTTTTTTTTTTTTTTTGTCTTTTTGTACATGACTGTATCTCAGAGCCTCTAACAGGGCTATATTTTTTGAATGCAGGGTCGTGAATGCGTTTCTCCTGGGCTAGGCTAAGCATGAAGCTGAGTCCTGCTGAAATATTTGCTGGAGTCTTAGGGAAGTAAAATAATTTATTTTCAGACTTTTCTAGGAGACTTGGGCATCACAAGATCAAAACAGAGACCTTCACACTCAAGTTTTTAAGACAGAGAAAAGTTCCTTGAGCAAATGCAAGAAACAGTGAGTATGCTGGAGTCTAGCAAATTGGCTCTGTCACCCCCCGACCTCCCTGTTTGGGGTGGTCCAATGGGTAATTTATGGAGAGATACAATGGGGGCTAAGGATATAGTGACTCCAGCCGTTTTTAAAAATGGATGCAGAGTCTCCTGACACATTCAGTCCACCCCAAGCATCCTCTCCACTCAGCTCTTGCACTTACCAGAGACAGGAGCTGGTGCCTGGCTCTCTAGCTCCATTCTTTCTTGGAGAACAGCCTGCAGCTGCTGGCGGCTGCAACCCAGGCTCTCCCTTTAATGCTTGAATCCACTTTCCCTTTCCTAGAAGTGAAATATGCTTTTATATTTTATTGTACACATATTGTTTTAATTGCTTTTGGTGGTGAGAGTGAAGGTAACAACAGTGGCTGGTGTCCCTGGATGGTCACCAACTGTTAGTATTCCTGGCTCTGTCTCCACTCAGCATGGGCTCCTCAGAGAAAACAGAGCAAAGAAAAGGAAACTGGTCTTGGGACAGATGGAGTCATTTGATAGGAAAGCTGGGAACTGGGGAGAAGGGAGGAGAGGAGAAGTGAGGAGAGAGGAGGGGAGGAGAGGGGAGAGGGGAGAAGAGAGAGGAGAAGGCACACTGAGGTTGGGCTTGTTTGTGTGTATTGGTTTGGTTGCAGGGGTGACAGCCTGAGCTGAGTCTGAGAGTTTTAATCTTCCAGCTACCCTTCCTGTCACTCCAGAGAAATAAAAGTCAAAGCTCAAAGTGATTTCCAGTCCATTTTAGGCTTCTTGCCATTTTTATTCATCGGATGTGCCCAGCAGCTCCTCTTGGTGGAGTCAGCCACTTTGCCAACGTCTCTGTCATTCGAGTTCAGGCTGCAGTTATGTAATAATATAATGAAACAGTGAAGGCCATTTCTTTTCATTGTTTTTTCCTCGCTTGGATAAAAAATTCGTATCTCACTGCTCTATTTTCTTCTTCTCCTCCTCCTCCTTCTCCTCCTTCTTCTCCTCTCTCTCTCTCTATGTGTATGTATATGTATATATACACCCACACACACAGAAAGAGAATATATATATGAGATCATATATATATGATCATATATATATTTCCTCTCATATATGAGATCTCAAGGGAGGGGCACAAAAAACAGACAGTTGAGGAGATATTTAAGGAGACTGTTTAAACTGTCACAAATTTCATTGTATTTTATGATTTAAAAGCTAACTTGAAAGAATTTTCCAATGCTGCAAGCTTTGAGTGTTCCCTAAACTGCTGTGGTCCCTACTCCTAGACCAAGGAAGGACACAGACAAAGACACAAGCGCACATGCTATACCCTGCAGATTCTGTAACTGACTATAGAGGTGATATGCAAGGTAGGAGAAGGGATGAGGCAGGGTTAGTGGGTGGATGAGGGGCAGCTTTTTGGAGTTTGCCTGGCAGTCAAAGGGAGGAGGGTCATTTTAGGCTGGAAAATATCTCCACAAAGGTATTGAGGGTGGAAAGAGCATGGTACTTTTGGGGAGCTGATAGTCATTGTATGTGGAAGGCATGTTGGGGGTGAGGCCTGAGGAGGTGAATGTGGACTTGGGATGAGGCTATAGGACTGGCAGGGGGCCAGGCTGTGGCCCCCTGGGTTTGCCACTTTAGCACATGGGGCTCATTCTGTGGGTAACTGTAAGGCATGGGAATAGTTGCAGTAGTTAAATAATGCAGCCAAGTGTGTGTTTCAGAAAATGAGTCTCACCAATTCAGAGGATGGACCAGAGGGTATGTGAGAGTACAGTGGGGAGACTCATTTGTTCACTTACTGGTAGCAATTTTTTTTTTTTTTTTTTTTTTTTTTTTTTTTTTTTGTAGACAGGGTCTTGCTGTGTCACCCAGGCTGGAGTACAGTGATGCCCAAGCCATCCTCCCACCTCAGTCTCCCAAGTAGCTGGGACTACAGGTGTGTGGCACAACATCCAGCTAACCTTTTGTATTTTTTGTAGAGCTTGGGTCTTACTATGTTGCCCAGGCTGGTCTTGAACTCTTGAGCTCAAGCAACCCACCCACCTTGACCCCCCAAGGTGTTGGGATTACAGGTGTGAGCCACTACATCCTGCAATAGCAAATATTTATAGAAGAGAAAGCCAATGATTAATATATATAGGAACTAAATGTGTAATATACATGAACAAAATATGTGATATATGTATCTAAATATATGATATAACTAAACATATGATAAATATATGATATATAGTTATATGTAGATATGATATATATTTATATATAAAGAAATACAAAGCCAATGATAAGTATTTTATATATATGAACTAAATGTATGACATATGTGAACAAAATATGTGATATATAACTATATGATATATATTTATATATAGATATGATTTATATTTAGTTACATATAAATAAAGTTTGCTAAAAGAAAACGAGGTGGGTAAGGATAAAGAGTCACAAGGAGTCACATTTTAAATCAATTGACCAGAGAAGAGCTCTCTGAGCAGGTGGAATCAGAGCACTGAGTTGGATGAAATGATGGATCCAGGCCTGCCAATATTTGGGGGAATTGTAATAATATTTTGAAGAGAATAAGCGTGGCCCAAATTCGATGGCAATGATGGGGAGAGATAACAGAACATTTGCAGAGGTGAAATTGAAAGTTCAGCTAGCTATGGCAAGTGAGAGAAAGAAAAAGCCTCCGGGGGTGGGGGGACGGTTCCTGTTTTTGTTTTTTTGTTTTTGCCTTGGTCATCTGGGTGGGTGGTGGTACCATGAACTAGGACAGAGAATGAAGGAGAAAGAGTATTTCTGGAGAGTGAGATAATGAATGTGTTGTCCTTCAGTGGCTAGTGGCACATCCTGGCATTTTCTTCCATTTTTCTAGGCATTGTTCTAGATCTTGGGAAAGTTTTATATAATATTCATTCTCCTTTAAGAACAGGAGGGAAGATGTCAACCCCAAACATCAAGAGTTTAGGAATTGGTCTCATATTTTACTTGGCTTGTTTTCTGTTTTCCTCCTTCCCCTTTTTTCATGTCTTTTCTTTTTGAGTCCAGCCAATGAGACCACTTACCAGACAAGGTCAAGTCTTCTTAGACCTTCAGAGAATGTGATTCAGACAATGTGTTAAAACAAGACTATTTACCTTCTTGGTGCAAGGCTTCTACTACTCAGAATCCCACAGTGCTGCCGCAAGCCTGAGTTTAAAACCAGTCTATGCATATCCTGCATTTTTAAGACTAACTGGAAAAGGTCATTGATGACAAGGGAGAAGGAGGTGACAATGAATTTTCTGAGCTGGATTCTGGAAGAAGTTTTCAAACCAAAGGTTTGTTATGGTTTAGAGATTTCTGAAAGACATTTGAAAAATTGCCAATAGGGTTAGATGTTCGAGTTTTCTCCTTCATCCGCACGTTAAGGGCTATTCCAGTGTTCATTTAAGGGACACTCTAGTGGCACTTGAATTGCTTACATATTTCCCTATCATTTTGCTAATTACACTGTGGCTTAGTTCACCTTCTGTGCTGTTATTGTTCAACTGGAAAGGGTGGCTGTTGGTAAAGCTACCTTCCCATGGGGCAGGGGCTGCTACCTGTGTTGGGGCTTGCAAGGATGGTTGGCTAAGCCGTGGCTTGGCCTGAGTGAGCATGTGCTAACTCCTCAATGGAATGGTCCATTGCCCATCTCAGCTTCTAAACACAGATATTGTGCCATTTCCCATGTTTCCATGGCTGACTTCTGAATTGATCACCTTTGTTTTCCAGCCATGCTAAGATTCTGGTCCAGACTGGGAACCTGGGCTCTTTCTAGCTCTCTCATTGCTGACTCTCAGACTCTGAACACCCACTCTGTCTTCTTTACGAGGGGCGTCTGGTGTCAAGGAGCTATTGTGAGTGGCGTAACATGAACGACCAGCTCTAGTTTGGGGGAAGGACTTTTCATGTGGATGGATGTAAAAAATTTTAGTTCAAACCAGAGGGGTGTGTCCCTTCTGGAAAAGGTGGGACCCATGGCTCCCCACTGTCCCCAGGCTGAATACCAAAATCCTTGTGATGGCCTCTGGGGCCTCCTGACCCTGAGGGACCAACCCATGCCTGCCTCTAGGATTCATCTTGTGCCTTTCTCTGCCACAACAATGAAGCTCTACCAACTTTAGCCCTGTTATTATTGTCCATCTCCCTGTCTAGACTGTGAGCTCCATGAGGTCAGGGATCATGTTCCTCTGCTTATCTGGTTTTGCTGGTTGAATGAATGAGAGGTTGTAGATGAGTGAAGGAATGAATGAATGACTTGGGGAGCTCAAAGTTGGAAAGCTACCTTGGCACTGTATTCAACAGTTCAGCCTTCCAAGCTGGGGCTCAAAGAGGCGTCCTTTTCTAATAAACTACCCAGGACAGACAAGGGCCTCGAACTCTGGGGAAGGTGTTATTACTCTGAAGCCACTTGTGAATGTGGGTCTGAGTCTCAGGCTAAGACCAAATGATGCTTCCACATAAACCTGTACAGCCAAGAAGATCCAGGTTTTTAAAGCAGGGCATGCATTCTTTAGAGCATGGAGGTGAAATGTCAGGCCAGTCTTTAGATGGGAACTCCGGGAATGATTTGACAGTTGATTTTTTAAAAATGTGACCCAAGTTTCACTTTGTAGATTTAAAAATGAGCAAACTAAAAAAAAAAAAAAAAAAAAATAGTAAACTTGCCACCACTTCTGCAAAAAGAAAAGAGAAATAAAAGCAGGTCAGATGTTAAGCCCGCATCACCTTGACAGAGTGTGTTTAATATGTGTAGAAGCAGAGGGAGGTTTAGGCAGCCGATTTTCTTCCTTTGGGAGGCAGATACCCTGTGCTGGCTGGGGAGAAGCTGAGTGCAGACAGGGTTGGGAAGGCAATCCTGTTGATCCCTCCAGAGACAGGGAAGACCTGGGGTTTACTGCCCTGTAAAGAACCACTTAGCAGTGCTGACTTCCTCCCAGCAACTTTCATCTTTTTATACTATTTGTCTTGCAGTTCCTTAAACCTTGGAGTGGAAAGGCAAATGCTTCAAAAGATAGGATATGCTTGCATTTGGACTGGAGAAGCAAGGAAGGGGTAGTGCCTGCTGTCAGAAGAACTCAGATCAGACATGGTCTATAGGCAGTGGAGGTCAAGCATTGGAAGTCAGTTTTGTAGACTCTCCAGAAATTGCCAGAACACATGCAATGTGTTTGGCTCCCAGGATCTTGCCTTTTACCTCTGCTTCCTACTTTGAACTTTCTTTAGGTCATCGTTGCTATTTTTATCACTGGGCTCTACCTGCTATAATAACCCCTAAGAACCCAGAGAGGAGTGAGGAGCGCTGATGCCTGTGGAAGCAGTGGCAGGAGGGACTGGACATCAGTTGGCCATCTGGGAATGTGTGTGATGCCTGTGGTTGTGGCATGGTGTGTTGGAGAGGATGAATGCAAGCCTGGCTGTACCCATGGCCCAGCAATGTGAGTAACTCTAATTGGGGCACTTCTTCCTGGGTCTCAGGTCTTGCATCTGTGAAAGGAGACAATCGGATAGATGGGCAGAGTCATCACTTTCAAAGTCTTTGAGATGGTTCTGTCTGTGTTGGGAGACAGTTCCGCGCATAAGGCTCCTGAGAGCCAGGAGTTTGCTTTGACCCTTCCATGTCAATTGTCTCATGGAAGATCCTTTTGAAAAAAAGCCACATGTCACTAGTGTAGAGGGGTGTACCAACTCAACCACCTACAGAGTTGTGTACATGTGTGTGTGTGACACACACAGAGGAACAGGGGATGAAAGACAGAGCCTCTATGACCAGAGTCCTGGTGTGCATGTTAGGTTTACATCCAGTGACTGAAAAACACCAGGCTGGGCGCAGTGGCTCACGCCTGTAATCCCAGCACTTTGGGTGGCCAAGGTGGGTGGATCACCAGGTCAGGAGATTGAGACCATCCTGGCTAACACGGTGAAACCCCATCCCTACTAAAAATACAATAAATTAGCTGGGCATGGTGGCACGCACCTGTAGTCCCTGCTACTCAGGAGGCTGAGGCAGGAGAATCACTTGAACCCGGGAGGCAGAGGTTACAGTGAGCTGAGATCACACCACTGCACTCCAGCCTGGTGACAGAGCGAGACTCTGTCTAAAAAAAAAAACAAAAAAAACAAACAAACAAAAAAAACACCAGATCCTAGCTTGGGAGCTTGGGTAACAGCCTAACGCAGAAGATAGGAGGGGTGTATGGCCAAAGGGAGGGTCTCAGTTTGCTGAGAAATCAGAAATGTCCCTGTTTGCCCTTGTCACTGCTCCATCCCTTACCCCCGACCCTTGCGTCGCCTCTCCTGTGAAGTGGCAATGTGGAGCTCTTGAGCCTGACCTTGCTTACTGCTACCAGCTCCAGGGCCACTGTGACTTGGGCACAGCCAGAAGGCGTGAATTAAGGGCTGTTACTGAAGCCAGAATGTTGCAATCAGGAGTTGGCTGGTGAGGCCATGGGTCACCAGAAGGGTCACTGCTGACTTATTTCCATGTCCCCTAGTCCTGCCAGGAGGCCCGTGGAGGCACAGAAAGCAAACACAAGGGGGGGCTCCCGTCAGAAACAGCCTGTGACCTTCCCTGGCCTAGCGACTTCACAACAGTCAAATCCTCCTGCAGCTCCCTTGGGATGGTGGAGGTGAAAAGTTTGCATCCGTGTGCCTATGGGGATGTCTTTGTACTTTATGCATTTCTGCAGATGCATGCTAATCTGTGCAAAACATGCATGCATTGCGTGTGACCATGCAACACTCACGGGAAGAGAGCTTTCAGGGGATACAAAAGCCTCTAAAAGTCTTGCGTGTGGTGCCAGCGGGTTCAAAGTGACCAGTCTCTCTGGCTGTGTCTCAGTGTCCCCGGCTCTTTTGTTAGAAGGCTTGAAGGAGCCATCCTGAATAGCGTGGCTAATGTACAAGCGGATCAGTCTGCCCTCCTGTCACTCAGTGGATTTGACCAATCAATCAGTATCAGGTCTGATCAGTATGGGAAGGCGATGAAGGAGAACTGTTTTGAATACAGCCTTGAAAGGGATGGGGAGAGCAAGCAGCAGCCGGGTTTCTGTTTCTCTCTCTGTTACCGCCTCGCTGTCCCTGCTTCATGCTTGGTGACATTCTTTGGCAGCAATGTTCTGTCTTTGACTATCAGATTCCTTTTGGAATGGAATGTCCCCTGCTAGTTTTATGGGCCTCTTATGGGTCTTTTGGAACTGTTGTCCTGTACTTTTAATATGCATAGTACCTCACCTATTGACTTCATATAATGGTTCCAATTTACATGTTGCTTTGCATGTGATTTGCATTACATTAGGTCAGTCCCCATTCCAATGAATATTTATCAACAGTCACATACCATGGAAGATGCTATATAATGAGAACGAGGACTAGGGATACAAAATCCTCTAACTAAATCTTTGAGGCTTTTCACCAGCAGCCTCTAGCCCTTTCCAGTCCGCTAATCCATCTCTCCACCTACTTTTCTTTGACAGTTTCTTAATAAGGGTTGATCTTCTTGGGATAATCACTGGTTTGGCTTCTTAGAGTTTAGTCCAGCCTGAAATATGTACCTGAAGAGTCAGAGCATACTAAAATTGTACACGGATGTGGTTCTTTCAATGATTTCTACCAATAATGTTGTGGATTTCTTGGGCTCTTCCTTTTAGACGCATTGAGGGACAGCGACAGGTTTAACTCCATTTACATTGAAGGAAAGAAGAAACTGAGACAGAGAATTTAGGAGGAATTTACCAAGGACTATTATACCAAGTTGAAGCCCAACCTGAGACTAGACTAGATTCAATTCAACATGTATTTTTGGGACCCTATAATATCTGAATACTGTGTTTGGTGAAGACAGACGCACAAAAGAAAAGTGTTCTGTCCAGAGTTCGCAACACATCTTGCTTATGCACATGAAATCCTGAATTCATTTTGAAGTAGTTTCACTGGCTTGGATGTTCTACTGGTCACAGTGAACCTGTGTAATATTTGGCTCCCATTGCTTCAAAGATCCTCCACTAGAGTATCAGGGACCCTCTTTAAATGGGATCTTTGTAGAAGTAAGAGTACTTTAGGTCATGTTTTAGTAATAAATACACTTGAGAATATCAATTGCGTAATAATTCAAAAAGATGGCAGTCTCTCCTCCAAGGGATGACTCAAAGATCCTGGCTCTTTTTGTCTTCTCTGGCTCGGTCATTGTGGAGTCTTTTGCTTCTGGTCACAGGGACAGGAATATGCAAGATATTTCAGGGGTCCAGCTGAGAAGTGGGGGGAATTGCTTCTGTCTGCATTCCGGAACTCAATCACATGACCAACACTACTGCAAGGAAGACTAGAAACTATGAATATGCACATGGGTGTGGATGAACACTAATGATCTCTGCCAGAAACACTTAGCTGTGGGCCTCAGACAAGTCACCTGTTTTCTCTAATCCTTACTTCCTTATCCATAAAATGGGGACAATATCCCCTTGCTTGTAGAATTCTTGTGAGGATTAAATACATATGAAGGTATCTACCAGCACAGTGCCAGGTACAGAGCAGAGGTTAAAGGAATGTTCTCCTCTCATTTTGATCTCGTCCATTCTTTCTACTAATTGTTTCTGAGAGGTTGTAGGAAAAGAAGGGGCAGGATGGTCTACATATGGTTTTCACTGGATAAATCAGGATGTGAGAAGATTCTGTTTGTATTCTTTGCTGATCTTCTCAAGGTAAATGAGTAATAGCTAGTTGTTTGGAAAGAAGAGGTCTTCCTAGCCCATCTCAAGCCCTTCCTGACTGTTTTGGTGGTTGTGTTTCCAAGCTCTGTTAGAAAAGATAATAGATACTGCCCATGAGCCCTAGGACACTGAAATCTAAAGCCATAGCAGTTTTCTGGCTTTTTCTTGTGAGTTGCACATAGAGAAAGGCAGATTGCATGCCCTCCAAATTATTAAGACAGGTGCTGAGAGCTGACTCAACTATACTTTGCTTACAGGATAAGCTGAAGGTGGGTGGAGGCTATGTGTACAGATGGGCTCTCTCTCTGACTCAAGTCTCAAAGGTGTTGACACCAAGGGCACAGCTTTGGGAAATGCTCTATTTAGAAAAGCTTGGCCTATGTCCTGGGATGTGTTCTCATCACCGAGAATATGTTAGAAAAGTCAATCACATTGGAAATCTGGCCTTCATCTCTTTGTGTCCATACTCCCATTTAGGCTAGCCGGTATGATACACTTTTTTTTTTCTCTGTGACCCCTTGACAGTTTAAGCTTATTTTAAAAATAATTTTTTGAATATCCAATTTTAATAAATTGTGGAAATCAGTATGGGCCCATTGCCTAAAAGAAACAAATATTGTAGTAAGGTAAATAACTGCTTTAGAGATACTGTGGGTTTCGCTGGGTGTGGTGGCTCATGCCTGTAATCCCAAACTTTGGGAGGCCGAGGCAGGCAGATCACTTGAGGTCAGGAGTTCGAGACTGGGCTGGCCAACATAATGAAACCCCACGTCTACTAAAAATAAAAAAAATCAGCTGATTGTGGTGGCATGTGCCTGTAGTCCCAGTTACTTGGGAGGCTGAGGCAGGAGAATCGCTTGAGCCTGGGAGGCAGAGGTTACAGTGAACTGAGATAGTGCCATTGCAGTCCAGCCTGGGTGACAGAGACTCTGCCTCAAAAAAAAGAAAAAAAGAAAAAAACACTTTGAGTTGCAAATAGTAAAGTTCAAACAACACAGGTTTAAAATTTTAATTGCCTCACAAGGAGGTCTGGGGGTTGGTGGTACAGGGTTGTTTTCGTGCTCAGTGATGATCAACAAGTCCATGCTTCCTCTACCTTTCTACACTTTTCTTAACTTACTACTCTTTCTAAACTTAGCTTAACTTGTTGGCTTTTCATCCTTATGGATGTAGCCTCATGGTCACAAAACAACTTCTGCAGCTCCAGGCATCACATCTGCATTCAAGGCAAGAAGAAGAAATAATAAATAAATAGCCGTAGCTCTATCTGTCTCTTTTATCAGGACAGCAAAAGTTAATCTTAAAATACACACTAGGAAAAACAATTATCTCCAAGTAAAGCCAATACCACTTAACTTTAATTCCAAATTTTTTGGTTCATTTGTATTTCTGGAATCTCCCTTTTCTCCCTTACTTTCCTCATAAAGGGAACCCTAGTCCATAATTTGGGATTATATTCATCTCTTTTCCTCTGGCATATCTCTGAAAGTTGGAGAAAGAGACTTCCAAAAGGAAGACAAAGAGAGATAAAGTAATATCCAGGACATTGAGAGAGGTTTTTTGATCTATTTCAATCAATGTAAACAAGTACAGTTCATATTGTTTCCCCTCACCCCACCCTGCCAATCTTATTGATAAATTATTTTAGGGAGACAAAAAATGAAATCTTTTACAAATGTAGAAATCGGCTTTTTCCTCTTTGTCTAGGACTGGATCTAGTACTTGGAGAGGGGATTGTCCCTACCTGCTTTAACATATGTAAATCAAAACTGACTTCAGACACCAGTTCGTTCTAACATTAAAAATAAACCAATATTAGTTCTTCCTTCTCTTCTCCCTTCTATATTCAATGGCAATGAAAATGAAGGCCCAGGAATTTTTAGGAACTGTTCAAAGATTCCTTGGAAAGATTGCATGTAAAAACTAGACATTTCATTTCATACTACTCAAGGCACATATCCAAGGCCAAGCTTATGGCATTCATTGCTAATCAGTCACTGTCAACTTCCTCCCCCACATGGCAGACATTGATAATCAATCACAGCCAGCTTCATGCTGATTTGTCATTTCACAATACTTTTTTTTTTTTTTTTTGACGGAGTCTCGCTCTGTCACCCAGCCTGGAGTACAGTGGCGTGATCTCGGTTCACTGCAAGCTCCACCTCCCAGGTTCACGCCATTCTGCTGCCTCAGCCTCCCAAGTAGCTGGGACTACAGGTGCCCACCACCATGCCTGGCTAATTTTTTTGTATTTTTTAGTAGAGACGGGTTTTCACTTTGTTAGCCAGGATGGTCTCGATCTCCTAACCTCGTGATCCGCCTGCCAGGGCCTCCCAAAGTGCTGGGTGGCGTGAGCTACCATGCCAGGCCTTCACAATCCATTTTAGTGGAGTCCTTCAGGAACCTACCACAAGCCTAACAGGGTTGATTGTTGAGATGCAATGAAACGTATTTGTCATACATGTCACAGACATCTTTTGTTGCTTTATTTGAATAGATCTAAAAACCAGAAGACTACCTTATTTGTTCAAGTAAACTCTGTTTAATTTTTTTCTAAGATGAGAAATTTCCATGCAAACTTATTCTATCCCCATATCCCAGCTTTTATGGTTGTTACCCTGGACTATACACAGCTGGCCTTGGAGATGCTCCTATGGAGAGATATCAATTTCTTCTACACAGGGAGCTCCTCCAGAGAGGAATAGTCAGTGGGTGAGGTGGCATGCAGCCTCTTATCTCGTCTGAGCTTCCAGCTCTCCTTCCCACAGCTAGGAACATTTGCCAGTGGATGAGGTATCTTGTATAAAGGGGCTTCTCCCTGGAATGAGTGATGATAGCATATCCTTTTTCCCACTGGCCTCTAACATAGCTATAGCCTGACACCAGGGAATTGATCTCTACAAAGCTTGGCTGAAAGGACCTGAGAAATATAGATCTTTAGATTATGCAAAAAGAGTAGTGAAGAGCTGATTTGGAAGAGGAGGGACAGAAGGGTTGATATTCCATTGGTGGTGAGGGTAGCCAGGTAATTACAGAGTGGCTGATGTTGCTAACTATCCTCGTTGACCAAAGAGCAAGTTAGAACTTGGCCCCAACTAGAAAGTACTAGCAAATGGATAACCCTGTTTGAAGCATATCTTTCTTCTCAAGGCATTTGTTGTTGTTGTTTTAGTTACGTCTTCAACCCTCACTGGATGGGTTGTCGAGTCTGGCTTTAGAGGTGAGAAATGAGGAATTTGAAATTTGCACATGTTTGGCTGGGTGCTGTGGCTCACGCCTGTGCTCCCAGCACTTTGGGAGGCCAAGGCGGGCGGATCACAAGGTCAGGAGATTGAGACCATCCTGGCTAACACGGTGAAACCCCGTCTCTACTAAAAATACAAAAAATTAGCCGGGTGTGGTGGCGGCCGTCTGTAGTCCCAGCTACTCGGGAGGCTGAGGCAGGAGAATGGCATGAACCTGGGAGGCGGAGCTTGCAGCGAGCCGAGATCGCATCACTGCACTCCAGCCTGGGAGACAGAGTGAGACTCCGTCTGAAAAAAAAAAAAAAAAAAAAAAAAATTTGCACGTTTGTATAACATAATTTTCATTTGCAAATTACTGTCACTTGATAGAGACTCTTTGAGTTCAGAATTGTGAATACACACGCAGTGCTTTTGATCTTCTCTGCCCCAAGGTGGACATTCTATAGGAGGTAAATTTATTCTTACAAATTAATATCAAAATAGTTGCTAATATTTATTGAGTTTTTACCCTTGCCAGACGTTGTTTTAAGCATATTATATGGGGATATTTTATCCTTCTAACCCTTTAAGACAACTATTATTATCAACCCTATTTTTAGATGAGAAAATAAAACCCAGAGAAGTTAAGAAGTTTCCCAGGGTCATACAGCTAAAAAGTGGCAGAACTTGTATTTGAACCCAAATAATATGGCCTATGACTCCCAACACTTTACTGTCCCTTTCGCCTGTGAAATGCACTGATTATGGCTCAACATGTGTTTCTCTTGAATAAGGTGAAGCGATTTCCTCTCTAAGGAGCAGTACTGGTTCTAGACATCAGTCTCCACCTTAGCTGGTGTTTTCTGCTTCTTTACGCGAGGAGAATGCCCCAAATCCTCAAGGCATCAGACTGGCTTCTGGATCTTTCTATTTTTTTCTAACTTATTTAAATGTAGCCCTTCCTAGTCTTTCTTCCACTTCCTGATGATGTCCACTGGGCCAACATTCCAAGGGCAGCAAAAAACTTTAGCCAGGGAGACCCAGTTGTTGTTGTTTTTCAACTTCCTTTGATCCTATTTTGTGGTTGACTTGGCGAAAGTCCACATCTGTCACCAATGGGCTTTAAAGCCCATATCGGATTTGACTTCAACACACCCAGTTCTAAGGCATCCATTTCCTTTCAATATTGGATGAATAAATGGGGTTTCTCTTATTCCACATTCATCTTTCTTGCTTTCTGTCTCTCTCTCTCCTCCCCCTCAATAATCCTTCAGACTCAGGAAGGACCTTAGCATGTTTCTGTTGCTGTGCAGCATATGTTGTGTTCTAATCCTTCCTGTGTTTGCTGTAGGTATGGCGGCTCTCCAAGACAAATTACTGATGTTGTTGAGGAGGTCAGCAGGGCATCTTTCTGATGGGGGATGGGGAGGAAGATGTCTCTGGCGATACACTCTTGGGGCCGCCTCCGCCTCTTGGCCTGACTGGTGCTTGTTTGACGCTGAAGTGCTAGACCTTGGGACCCCAAGCTGTGAGCTGGCAGAAAGGGAAGGAAGAGATGAGTTTTACCTACTGGTCTTGTCATTTGATGAAGGAGAAGCTTGTATGAGGCAGGCCTCGGGCAACAGATGTTGGTGGAGGATCTGCCAAGACTGGGTTGAGGCCGAGGGAGTGATGCATATGTTACTTGACAAGGGAGGATTAGGGAAACCATGAGGAAGCATGCCTGGGCCCTTCACACCGTGACACCTCGGGGAAGTGAATTATGAGGACAGAGCAGCACAGTCCACGCACACACAGGGGATGATGGGTTCAGGGCAGGCAGCTTGAATGATGCCTTTGCTTTTTTCTCCCCCACCAACGGCCCCCCCACTCCCCTGCTGGGACGATTGGCAGGCGTAGTGTGATGTTTTGTGTGAGTTGTGAAATCTAAAGCAGAACTCATTTGATGGAAGAGCTGCCTTCAGGGTTGTCTTCCGTTGTTCCGCTCTGTTAGTCTTCCCCGCCCATCTCCACATTGATAAGGGGTTCTAATGCCACGCCCAGTCCTTTTTCCTGGATTTTGCAAATAAAGTCGTATGGAAGGTAGCCAGAGGGTCCAACCATCCGTCTTTGTTGATGGCACAAGGGGGCATCTAGGGAAATGAAAACAATTCAATGGGCTCAGGCCCTCAAAAAAACCATGCAACAGGGACATTGGACATTTAAGACTGGGTTACATGAGAACCAGGTAACAAGTGGGAAGGAAATGGGTTAGATCCCACGGTTTCTTCTTTTTCCCTTTGTGTTGTGGTTTCTTGGGTCTCTGCATTCTCCTGGTGGAGCTAGAGGCAGCAGAAGATGCAAGCACTTGTCTGCCTCCCCCTATCTGTGAAATTGTGTGTGTAGGGTAGAGGGTGGTGGGGAGTGGTGAGTAAAAGAAAGAAAGAGATGATGGAGGCTGGGTGTGGTGGCTCATGCCTGTAATCCCAGCACTTTGGGAGGCTGAGGCAGGCAGATCACAAGGTCAAGAGATGGAGAACATCCTGGCCAACAGGGTGAAACCCGTCTCTACTAAAAACACAAAAGTTAGCTGGGCGTGGTGGCACACGCCTGTAGTCTCAGCTACTCAGGAGGCTGAGGTGGGAGAATGGCGTGAACCCTGGAGGCGGAGCTTGCAGTGAGCTGAGACCACGCCACTGCACTCCAGCCTAGGCGACAGAACAAGACTCCGTCTCAAAAAAAAAAAAAAAAAAAAAAAAAAGAGAGAGAGAGATGATGGAAGACTGGCCTAGGAAAGACACATTTTGGTAATGAAAAAAGGCTTTTGGAAATGATCCCAGGATCTCAGTTTCTTTTTTTGTGCTATCGCACGTCTGGAGGAGGCGTAAGAACAACCCTACTGAAGTCCATGGCTGAATTCAGTGACCTCTACTAGAAAAAGAGGTCAAGGTTTATTTCCATTAAACGAAGCAAGCCTCTCAACCAAGTCTTGGTTCCCTTCTGTAATTCCAACCTGTTTGGAATTGCTAGGGCTGTCATTGCAAAGTGTCACAGGCTGGATGGCTTAGATCATTTTCTCATTGTTCTGGAGGCTGAAAGTCTGAGATCAAGGGGTCTGCCATGATTTGTTTCTTTGGAGACCTCTCTCCATGATTTGTAGATGGCTGTCTTTTTTTTTTTTTTTTTTTTTTTTGAGACGGAGTTTCCCTCTTGTTGCCCCGGCTGGAGTGCAATGGTGCAATCTCGGCTCACCACAACCTCTACCTTCTGGGTTCAAGCGATTCTCCTGCCTCAGCCTGTCGAGTAGCTGGGGTTATAGGCATGTGCCACCACGCCTGGCTAATTTTGTATTTTTAGTTTCTCCATGTTGGTCAGGCTGATCTCGAACTCCCGACCTCAGGTGATCCCCCTGCTTTGGCCTCCCGAAGTGCTAGGATTACAGGCATGAGCCACTGTGCCCAGCCATGTAGATGGGTGTCTTTGCCTTGTGTTGTCCTCACACAGTCGTTCCTCTGTGTGTGTCTGCATCCTAATCTTTTCTTACTGTAAAGATAACAGTTATATTGGATTAGGGCCTACCCATAAGACTTCATTTTACTTTAATTACCTCTTTAAAGGCACTGTCTCCAAATACAATCACATTCTGAGATACCAGGGGTGAGGACTTCAGCATATGAAGTCACAGGGAAGGAGGGAATTTAGCCATGACAGAGGAGTCCACACTTAATTCTTTTTTTTTTTTTGAAACGGAGTTTCACTCTTTCGCCCAGGCTAGAGTACAATGGCTAGATCTTGGCTCACTGCAACCTCTGCCTTCCAGTTTCAAGCGATTCTCCTGCCTCAGCCTCCCGAGTAGCTGGGATTGCAGGCGACTGCCACCACGCCTGGCTGATTTTTGTATTTTTAGTAGAGGTGAGGTTTCACCATGCTGGCCAGGCTGGTCTCGAACTCCTCACCTCGTGACCCACCCGCCTCACCCTCCCAAAGTGCTGGGATTACAAGCATGAACCACCGCGCCCGGCACAAGCCTAATTCTTTATCCGCCATTCAGAGTTTAGCAGGGATCTGAGAGCTGGCTGAGAACAAGCCCCACGGGTAAGGAAAGCCAGGCTCAGGGGAGTTCAATAACTTGCCCAAGGACACAAAGGAAAAATCTGGAATTTCAACACAGGTCAGTGGGACTGCAGTGTTCACTCTGTTTCCATCACACAGAGAAAGAGAAAAGATGGAGGGAGTGTGAGGGTGGGATGTGAATCTGGAAGGAGCCATTTGGGCTAAAGGAGAAGCAGCGAGGCTGAGGATGCATGTGGATGGGACCTCAATTCCTGACTCATCCCTGACTGACAGTGACCGACACCATGCTGTCATTCCTGATGGCAGTCACTCTCACAGCCTGTGACTCTCCAGCCCCACGCCCCTCACCCATTTCTAGTTTGAAAACATGCCCAGCACTGCAAGGTAATAAACAAATCAAGTCTCTATAACATGCCTGTGCTTCTAATCCTTCCAAAGGATTTCAAACTTTCAAGGGTGCCGTATACAAGCAGCACTGAGTAATTATAAAAGTTCACAAAGTCTCTCTTCCATCACACACAGACACATATACATGAAAGTTTTTGTGATGGTTATTTTTTATAGTTTCAAATTTTGTAGTTTCTGGAAATTTCACATCTCTAGTGATTCTAAGTAGAAATGAATTGAGCTCTGGGGTTTATTTTAGCACATGGTTTATTTTAGTACCGAGTACTGAAGTATAAAGGGGGTCGACTTTGGTCTGGGCCATACCATGGGCCTAGGCAAATAACAGGGATCATCACCGCTATAGCATCTGCTATGCAATTGACACAAAAGTTAAGCATTTTGCTTATATTAAGCCATATAATCTTTCCCTTTGGGACACACTCTCTTTATTATCTTCATCATTTCCATGTTACAGATGAAGAAGCTATGGCCAGAGAGTCTGAGTAACTCCCCATGGTGCAGAGTTCCTGAGAGGAAGGGCTGGGGTTAGATCTGGGCAGTCTGTGTCCAAAATCCCCTATAGTTGAGAACCACTGGTCTGCACCCTTTGCCCTGATAGAGTACTGAGTACGGAGTCTGAGCAGTATGCCCTCCTGTGATTGAGACCTCTCTATTACATTCTCCTCTGAAGGTTTCTTCCCCCGAGACAGCAGGTCCGTCTTGAATTCTGCTAATCATACAACCAGGAAGCCTTAAGAATGGGGTTACAAGGCTTTGATCCCAATCCTGAGTTTTCAATGCTAGTACTGTTATTATTAATTAATAATAGTTATCACATGTGGGCGCAGTGGCTCACGCCTGTAATCCCAGCACTTTGGGAGACCGAGGCGGGTGGATCACGAGGTCAGGAGTTCGAGATTAGCCTGGCTAATATGGTGAAACCCCACCTCTACTAAAAATACAAAAATAATTAGCCGGGTGTGATGGCACGCACCTGTAGTCCCAGCTACTCGGGAGGCTGAGGCAGAAGAATCGCTTGAACCTGGGAGGTAGAAGTTGCAGTGAGCTGAGATCATGCCACTGCACTCCAGCTTGGGTGACAGCAAGACTCCATCTCAAAAAAAAAAAAAAAAAGTGATAATAGTTACCATTTATTTAGCATCTCCTTTGTTCTAGAACTTCTGTTAGGCATTTAAGATAAATTGACTTCTGTCTTCTCAATAACCCTGGGCATGATTATTATCTATTTTTTATATATATATATATGTGTGTGTGTGTGTGTGTGTGTATATATATGTGTGTGTGTATATATATACACACACACATATATATACACACACACACACACACACACATATACTTTTTTTTTTTGACAAGGTCTTGCTCTGCTGCCCAGGCCAGAGTGCAGTGACTCAATCATGGCTTACTGCAGCTTCAACCTTCTGGGCTCAAGCAATCCTCCCATCTCAGTCTCCTGAGTAGCTGGGACTACAGGTACATGTCACCACACCTGGCTAATTTTTTTATTTTTTGTAGAGACTATGTCTCCCTGTGTTGCTCAGGCTGGTCTTGGACTCCTGGGTTCAAGGGATCCCCTGCCTTGGCCTCCCAAAGTGCTGGGATTACAGGTGTGAGCCACCACACCCAGCCTATTATCTGTTATTATCTTCTGTTTACAGATAAGCAAAGGCATACATTATTGAATAATTTGCAATAGGGAAAAATTGGAAACAAACACGTGCAAATTGCAAATTTCTTACTCTTATATGAGTTTTTGTGCCCTTATATGAGTTTATTTTAGTCTAGATTCTGAGAACTTGAAGAATGCATATTTGAAATGACAAATATTGCCATGTTGCCCTACAAAGGACCATAGTTATTGACTCACCCACTGTTAGTGTATGGGGGCACCTGTCTTTCCACACTCTCTGCCATGCTGGGTAATGCCAATTTTTTTAAAGTTTTTGCGAGATATTTGGAACAGTGTTACCTAACTAATACAGTAAGCACTATGCATGTATGGCTATATAAGTTGATTAGAATGAAATAAAATAAAAAAATTCAGCTCCCCAGCCATACCAGTCAAATTCCAAATGTTTGATAACTGCACATTGCCCTAGAGGCGATCATATTAACAATGATCATACAGAGCATTTCTGCCATCACAGAAAGTTCTGCCAGACAGTGCTGCTCTTGCACAAAAAAATGAAATCTCATTGGTGTTTCATGCCTGTTCCCGATACTAGTAAGATTGATCAGCTTTTCATAGAATGATTATAGGAAACTCTTAGGCACACCTGCTATGTAACAAGCATTAATCTAAGTGCATGATGCAGGTAATCCACTTAATATATTGATTGACCTGTTGTTTGAATGCAGACAAGAAGGCTCAAGAAGTGAAAGGGAGTTTGAAGGTGCCCCGGAGAGAGGACTAACTGAGCCCGCAGGTCCCTGGGGAGGATTTGGAGCAATTGGTCTTTGATAGCAGAAGGGACTTGTTTTCCCCTGAAGCATCAGGGAAGGAGGAGGAGAAGATGACTAAAGTGGGGCTGCATCTGTAGGTTTAGTGGGGATGGCTTCCATCTTCTCTGTGAAATATAAGGCATGATCATCACCCGGAAGGGAAGGAACAGGGGACATTTCCAATGGGAGGGTCAAGGAAAGCAGAGGTAAACCATAACCACTCACTCATGACAGCAATGTAGTTATAGATCTGATTTTCTTTCAGCAACTATGCTGGCATTAAACTTACAGCAAGGTGTGCCCTCTGAGACTGAGTTTTCTCAGTGTGGAATGCTTAGCTTCTGAGAAGCTTAGATGAAAGCTCCTACGTAATGGCTGGGGGTGCTGCCCAACATTCAGTAGAGCCCCAGGAAGTTTCTGTTGAATGAATGAATGAAGTAGCTGTGTTTTTCTCCCCCCTTTTCCACTTTCTGCTCCCACCTCCAAGCAAATTAGTGTATGCGTCCTTTCAAATTTGGTCAAATACCTAAAACAATGTGAGCAAATCCTGGTAGAGTGAGCTTCAGCAAGTGCATGTCCTCTAACCAAAATTAAGAAACGTGCCACCAACATGGCACATGTATACATATGTAACAAACCTGCACATTGTGCACATGTACCCTAAAACTTAAAGTATAATAATAATAAAAAAAAAAAAAAAGAAAAGAAACGTGCCACCTAGCTCCCCAGGCAAGTAACCCTGTCCAGCCCAGCCCAAGGTCCCTGAGGGGGTCTGTCCTTTCTTTAGCTCTTAGCTAGTCCACAGCCATCCAGGCCGTTTCCTCTTTGTCTTGGCTTGGAGTTGAATGGACGTAGCCCTCCCTTCGGTTGGAGGTGTAAGCTGCAGTAATGTTGCCTTCCTGAGGTCTCTTCAGCCTCTGACCCCTGACAAGCAGGTAGAATGAACTTCTTTAGAGAATTATATGCACCTTGGAATCTTCATAATGAGTTCCCGACTAACCAATCAGAAAAGAAAATGCAGCTTGGGAAGTGAGGGTGAAGGGAATGGGAATGTCTCCTCAAGGATTTTCTCCCTGGGCCTAAAGTATTTACATTCAGATTTGCATATAATTTGCATATAATTTGTCTGGCTACAAAGCCTTTCTGTTGTTCAGATAATGTGTAAGCTGCAGTTTATTTCTACTGTGTCCTTCTCTGCCCCTGTCTTTCCTTACCTCATCTACTCAAATGTGTGGTAGAAATGTCAGGACTGTCAGGGACCAGTTTGGTGTTTGGGACAAGGGTAGGCTCTGGGTCACATTCTTTCTGTGTTAGCAATGCTGCATGATATTATGCATTTTATTGTTGCAAAACATTTTGGACAGCAAAAGAAACCAGAACGGGGCTGCCTGGAGTAGGGTTGGAAGCAATAAGTAGAGGAGTGAACTTGGCTCAATTAGAAAGGGGAGTAAGTCAGATAAACCAAAAAAAAAGGTGAAGTCTGGGAAAATTAATTAATAACCCTTGCTAACATTTTATTTAAAATGCTTACAGCATACCAGACATCGTTTTCAGCACTTTCAATGTATTATGTGTTTAATCATCATAACAGCCTTGGGAGGTGTGTAACAATTGTTACCTCCTTTTTATAGATGAGTAAACTGAAGCACACAGTGTAAGTAACTTGTCTAAGATTGTGCAGCTAGAAAATAGACAATCAGGATTTGAACTCGATCTTCAGAACCTGGAACTGTGCTTTAAACTAGTCTAGTGTGCTGTGTACAGAACAAGAAGGCATAGTTACAGAAGTGAGAGCGAGTGCCAGCTCTTAACTTTAGGCTGCAGGGATCAGATGCTCAGGCCAGTAAAGGGTTAGGGACAAAGTATCTGGATATCCATGGGGTGGAGAGGTGAAAAGAGGGTTTAGAGGCTGCGCCTACAGCACGAATGAGCTGTAGCTCTGCCGTCACCTCCTTCTGGCTTGGTCTGAAGCCACCCTTGTTTGCTCTTTCTCTTGGCTCTTGGGTTAGAGTTGACAGAGGACTCGCTTCAGGGTAAAAACTGGCCTCAGCCGGTGGCAGTGGCCTGGTGGCTGAACTTAAGCCTGCTGATGTGGATAAGCAGGAATACTTGGTCAGTGGCCAGGACTAAGAGGTCGGCAGGACAAACAATGGCAAGGATGAGTCACTGCTTTATAGTCAAACACAGAGGATCTGTCTTATCAGGGCCCGAGTGACCCACAGGAGAATGCTGCTTGCCGGAGAGAAGAGATGCTGCTTGGAATCTTTCCACAATGGGAAAAGGGAACAGAGGAGTCGCTGCTCCGTGGAAGCCTGGAAATTACTTGGTTTCTCTGTTTAGTCAAACTCTTCGTTTTCAGCATTGATCTGAAATGTAACTTTTCCCCTGGTTTTGATTCATTTTTAAAAAACATTGTATTTTGTTTATGGCGATGATGTTGACTGTTCCGGGATGAAAAGGAGCCAACAGCAGCTGGGAAGTGAAGGGGGATGTAGCTGAGAACAAACCTTGCAGGAGTGAAGGGGAGAAAAATAATTATGAAAGATGGCGTAGAGGCCGGTTAGTATTGGCTGAGACAGTGTGAGAAACTTCCTTGTGCTGGGGCAGTGTTGTCGAGGAGAGAGTGTTGTCATCTGAATTAATTTGCATGACAATAGGCTGAACCCTTATTATGCATAGGGATGCTAATGGGCACCAGCCACAGTGCATTTCCATGGGAAAAGCCTCTTCCTTTGAGGAGACAACCTCTTCCTCCTCCCCTTCCCCACCTCCCCTCCCCCTTCCTCCTCTCCCGACCTCTCCTCCTCCCCTCCTCTCTGTTCTCCCCTCCTCCCCTCCTCCTTTTCCATTTTTCTTCCCTCTTTTCCCTCTTCTCCCCCTCCTCCTTCTCACAGTGGAAGCCCCAGCCCCTCTCCTAGTGGAATATACCCTTGGGGTGGCCACTCTTAATGGGAAGGAGAAGGTTCTATGAGGTGGAAGGAATGAATGCTTTCCAAAACCTCTCCAGACCTCTTACGAAATGACCAAGGAGGAGGTGTGAGTGCGTGTAGTATAATCGAAAACAAATGGATCCCAAATATTGCCAACCTAGTTGTCATTGGAGATGTTGGGGGAGAAGCCACCGTGTGGGAGCAGGTGGGGCAGAAGATACCGAGGTTTAGGGTGAGAGTAGGGCCCAGGAAAAAGGGCAGAGACAGCCTTTATTCAAGGACTTTGAAAATGTGTTCGGTGCAAGCCGTTCTCTTGTAGTGTTTCCATTGCACGCCCTTGAAGAAAGACTTAAAACTTGGCACAGTGGGGCTGCTCTATCTCACTTCCAACACCACCACACTTGGGGAGGCCGGAGAATTCAAGGGCAGAGTCTGGATCCAGATTATCTGGGTTCAAATCCCATCTCTGCTGTTTACCAACTATCTGATACTGACTTTTTGACTTAACTTTTTGTTGCCCTAGTTTCTCCACAGGTAAAATTGAGATATTAGTGCCTTTTCCCCATCAGGCTGTTGTTTGGTTGAGACAAGGCATGCGAAGTGCCTAGAACATACCTGGCATGTTGTAGATACTCAAGGAATGTTAGCTATTACCATCTTCCTTTCTTCTCTAGATAGTTCTCCTTCCACTCCGTTGTCTCTTGTTCCTTTAGAAGATCTCTTCAAGTGTTAGGTGACTGATGGCTCTGACTAATCCCCCAAAGCCCTACATGCCTCTATCCCTGTTCCCCCTGCCCCCACCCCCCACCCCCCCATACAACCACCCTGCTGGTGGCAAAAGAAGTGAAGACCAGGCTTCGTGGGACTGGACCGCTCATGATCACATTGTGTCCTTGGGAAGGGTCTGTCCCTGCTTTGTCACACGGGAAGATAAAAGGTCAGCTGATGAACCTGATTGTACTGTGGGTGCTGGGAGTTCTCAGCAGCTTATCTATAAAATGCCTCATGGTATAAAGTGTTCTCTTTTGTCCAGAACAAGATTTGATTGTCAGAGATGAAATAACTGCCTCTTAAGTGATTTTGACTTGCTTAGCTTTGCCTCACGGTGTCACTGAGGAGGAGAGATAAAGACATCTCATTAATGGGGCTGCTGACCTACCCAGAGGCTTGAAGGGTGAGACTTGGGCACTTCAGCAGCAGTTCTCACACTTTTTTTTTAAAGCTCATGTTTGAGAAATATAAATATTTCTATATTATCATTTAATATCTCAAAATAGATATTTTCACTAAATGTAATTAAAACAGGTGATAATTCTAAATTTTCTTTTTATAAGGCCTTGATTTGAGGGTGTGATGAGGACCAATCAACAGTCTGGTATTAACTCATAAAGCTCTAGCGTGATACCTGTGTCAGAGGCGTTTGAATCAGAGCAACTCCATCTTGAATGGGAGCTGGGTAAAATAAGGCTGAAATCTACTGGGCTGCTTCTGAGGCAGTTAGCCATTCTAAGTCACACGATGAGATAGGAGGTCAGCACAAGACACAGGTCATAAAGATCTTGCTGTTAAAACAGGTTGCAGTAAAGAAGCTGGCAAAACCCACCAAAATCAAGACGGTGAGGAGAGTGACCTCTGGTCATCCTCACTGCTACACGCCCGCCACCACCATGACAGTTTACAAATGCCATGGCAACGTCAGGAAGTTACCCTGTATGGTCTAAAAAGGAGAGGCATGGATAATCCACCTCTCATTTAGCATATCATCAAGAAATAACCATAAAAATGGGCAGCTGGGTGCAGTGGCTCACGCTTGTAATCCCAGCACTTTGGGAGGCTGAGGCGGGTAGATCACGAGGTCAGGAGTTTGAGACCAGCCTGGCCAACATGGTGAAACCCCGTCTCTACTAAAAATACAAAAATCAACTGGGCATGGTGGTGCACACCTGTAATCCCAGCTACTCAGGAGGCTGAGGGAGGAGAATCGCTTGAACCCGGGAGGTGGAGGTTGCAGTGAGCCGAGATCGCACCACTGCACTCCAGCCTGGGCGATAGAGCTAGACTTCATCTCAAAAAAAAAAAAAAAAAAAAAAAAAAAAAAAAAAAAAAAAGCCAACCATCGGCCTTCAGGGCTGCTCTGTCTATGGAATAGCTATTCTTTTATTCTTTTACTTTCATAATAAACTTGCTTTCACTTTACTCTGTGGACTCACCCTGAATTCTTTCTTGTGCAAGATCCAAGAACCCTCTCTTGGTGTCTGGATTGGGACCCCTTTTCGATAACACCTGGTTGGTACCCATGACAGGGTGGAGGGATTTGAGGCAGATATCAAGCTTCTTTACCCTTGTGCTTAGGATGGCTGCCATATCTTACAAACCTTTTTTGACTGTTCAATGCTATTAATAGAAGGGTGTTAATGTGAGGGAACATCTTCAGGGGAAGATCATTTGAGTTCTACTTTACCATGGTCCTACTTAGCACTTTAATTTAAAAAAAATTAGATGAAGTCATAAAAGAAATGCTTCTGAAATGTGTTGATGATCAACAGTTATACAGGATAACCAATATTGATAGTATTACCAATAAGAATTAAAAATGATCTGAAGAGTCTGGTAGCCAGGCATCAAAACAAGCCAAATGAAATTCAATGGGGTCAAAAGTGAAGTCCTGAGATTTTTAGTTTCAAAAATCCATTGCACAAAGATCATGATGACGAAGAACAACAAACGTGGAAACAGTTTTGATGGGAATAAAGCAGGATGTTTGGGTTAATGACAAGTTCAGTAAGAACTGAAGGTATTGAGAAAGCAGCGAGGAATACTGACTCCAATCTTCTGGTTAATTAACAAAGACATGTGGCATCTCCACTTTAAAAAGAGACTCTTTCCCACACCTTCATTTGCAACCTTGTTGTTTGGAATTTGGAATGTATTTTTTTTCCCCTAGAAACACTGTTTTAAATGAACCAGGCTTTGATAAAGCTTCAGCTAAAATCTAGCAGAACAACGGTACAGTAAAAATAATCACTTTGATTCCAATTTGCAGACAGAAGGACAACCCAGGTCTCATTACCTCCAGGCTGTATAGGTGGTTTGCTCTTAGTTTCCCCAGACCCTGCTCCTCAGCAATCAGACTCCTTTTCATGCAGCATGTCCCTCTCGTTCCTACACAGCTGGCTGTGGGCAGCAGGAAAGGGGGTTACCAGAGCTGCCACCGCGAAGAAAGATCAAGAGTGTGAAGCAGGAGATAGCAAAATTCAAACATCGCGCAGGCTCCATTTTGGGAAAAGCCTTTCTTAATTGATTTATTCAATGCCTAGAATAGTAACCCCAGGTAAAACGTTATTATGTGGAGCTATATATTAGGTTGGTGTAGAAGTAATGGGAAAAACCGCAATTACTTTCCCTCACAGAAGGCTCAAGGCCTAGACTGCATTCTGCGGGCATTTCAGGACTTGACAATTTTTTTCTGTATTTTTCAGAGAACTTTGTTAGATCTCACTGCTCATATTGTCATTTCCAGACAAAGGGAGAGAAACTGTAGCAACCTCATGGGGGTTTCCAGTTTTTAGATGGTTAAAAATTTCTTTTTAATCAGGAAATTTCAGTGTGGCTTATTTTATTTTCTCCTCTTTCTTCTCCTCCTTGTCCTCCTTCTTCTTCTTCTCCTCCTTCTTCCTTCTTCCTTCCTTCTTCCTTTTCCTTCCTTCCTTCCCTCCTCCTCCTCCTCCTTCTTCTTCTTCTTCTTCTTCTTCTTCTTCTGCTTCTGCTTCTGCTTCTTCTCCTCCTCCTCCTCCTCCTCCTCCTTCTTCTTCTTCTTCTTCTTCTTCTTCTTCTTCTTCTTCCCCTCCTCCTCTTCCTCCTTCTTCTTCTTCTCCTCCTCCTCCTTTTCCTTCTTCTTCTTCTTCTTCTCCTTCTCCTCCTCCTCCTCCTCCTCCTCCTCCTCCTCCTCCTTCTTCTTCTTCTTCTTCTTCTTCTTCTTCTTCTTCTTCTTCTTCTTCTTCTCCTTCTCCTTCTCCTTCTCCTTCTCCTTCTCCTTCTTCTTCTTCTTCTTCTTCTTCTCCTTCTCCTTCTCCTTCTCCTTCTCCTTCTCCTTCTCCTTCTCCTTCTTCTTCTTCTTCTTCTTCTTCTTCTTCTTCTTCTTCTTCCCCTCCTCCTCTTCCTCCTCCTTCTTCTTCTCCTCCTCCTTTTCCTTCTTCTTCTCCTCCTCCTCCTCCTTTTCCTTCTTCTTCTTCTTCTTATTTTTTACTTTCTATTTCTCCACACATCTCAGTTTTGAATATGGTTAAAATAATGATGTGTCACTAATGAGGTCATCTCATAATAAGAACCCTTGGCTTGGGTACAGGGAAGTTGAAGTATTTCCATCAACTCTCCCAATCTTGCCAGGATGAACCAGATGAAAGCTAGCTGGGCAAGAGTCCTGACCCGTCTTGGAGCATCGTGTTTTCCTTCTGAATCTTTGGAAGTAGTAGGAATCTTAGCAATTAGGAAATAAAGCATTCTACCAAAGTTTCATATTGCCCCAATGACATTTACAAAGTGACAAAAAAAAAGCGGGGGGTTGGGGCTACTCTTTATTCTGGTTGCACATGCAAATAAAATAAAATACTGATCATTATCACAGAAGGCTCAGTCTCATGAGAGAGGCAGGTATGAGAAAAGATGATTGCAATGTAATGTGGTAAACGGTAGGAGGAGAGAATAAGAAAGTGGTCTGAGAGTGCAGTGGAGAGGCTGACACAGCCCAGGAGGAGGGAAGGCTTACTCTCAGCTAAGGCTTAGAGGATGAGTAAGCAGGAGTACCCAGGAGAAGAGATCAGAGGATCAGCACAGAGGATCACTCATGTGCAGCCACAGCTAGGGGAGATACAGCAAGGAGCATCAAGGGGTACAGCGTTGCTTTCTCCTTAAAGAGCAAAGAAAGGAGAGGCAAGAGATAAAGCTCTTCAGAGTAGAGAAAGACCATATAACCAAGAACTTTCCAGGCTGGATTAAAAAGATTGGACTTTATTCTATAAGCAAGGGGGAGGCTTTGAAATATTTTAACCTGGGAGATTGGTACAATCAGGATTGTTTTAGATTGATCACTCACTGGACAAAATGGAGTATGAAGTAGACAAGTGTAACCCTTGAGTTGGTGAAACCCATAAGAAGGATGATGCAATAATCTAGGAGAAAGGATTTCTAACTAGGACGGTGGTTGCAGGGAAGAGGGGTACGGGTTAAAGGAATGTTTGGTACGTAAAATCAGGAGGCCTTGGGGATTGATTGTAAAGGCATGGGAGTAGGGAGAGTTGAGGATGCTTTGAGAATTTTTAACTGGATGGTGTTGAGACCCCTCACTCTAACAGAAAATAAAGACTTGGGGGACAAGATGACTTCAGTCTTGGACAAGTTGAAAAACTGTATGCAGATGAAGCTATCTAGCCAGTGTGTCTATTTGTTTGACTACACCTCCGTGTCCTCATTAACATATTAGTGGTTATGGAGTGCCTATCACATACTGTGTTTAAGGCATTGTTGTATTCATTCTAGCTTTATCAGGGTGAATTGAACATGACTTTTGCCTTCAAAGAATGTACAATCTAATAATAGGAGAGAAGATATAACCACAAAAAGTACTACTCCAAGAAAAAGTTCTTATTGCCATAAAATGGAATTCAGGGGTAATAACAGAAGGCTTTATAAAAGAAGGAGGTAACACTTGAGATGAGATTTGAAATCCAAGTAGAATTTGAATATATAGAGATTTACAGTTAAAAAGAAAGGCATCTCAGATGGAAGGAGGAATATTAGCAAAAGCAGACCCAAGAGATTTGGGGATGAAAAAGGAAAGGCAGAAGGGGGAAGAAGAAGAGGAAGTAGGAGGAGGAGAAAGAAGGAGGAATAATAAGTTATTTGATGTGAATGGAGCATAGAATGGTTGAAGAGCAGGAGAATAGTAAGATACCAAATCAGCAAGGTAAGTTGAGCCAGGATTATGGAAGGCTTTCTTGTTTGTCTTTTATCTGTATTAGTCCCCCACCATCTTGGCTCGTGAAGTCTGCGCAATAATCAGTCTCGCCCCACACTTTCATTGGAAAGACACATGCATTTACTCTGGGCATCACCCATCACGATGCTTGGCTATGGTGCTTCTCTTCTGAGTTGGTGGCCACGGCCCCAATGCCAAGGATGAGAGACCTGCTCCGTGCAGCAGTGTTTCCTTCTACTTTGCTACAGAAATAATCTGTAGACTCTATGATTCATGCCAGTGCCCTCAGCCACTGACAAGCATGTTCACTTGGCCATTTTGCTATTTGCCCCTGGTAAGTATCTACTTGCACATCAATTTCCAGGGACAGAGCAGACTACTAAAAATCAACAGGCTGGTATCTTGTAGGACTTACTTGCATAGCTGCTCCAAAAAAGTGATCAGGGTGAAAAAAAAAAAAGTAACTGGTGCTACTGTGTTGACTTATAACCTGTATGAGCATCTGACATGTGCAGAGCCCTCCTTTCTGGTAGCTGACTCTATCTCCCCTTTCAGAGTTCCTCCTGTCTCCACGGCTTCTGAGAGATTCTAGCTCTGAGAGTCAAGGAACCTTTCTAAGCTTTCGTTAATGTAAAGGGGTTTGGACATGAACTTGAATGGCTATTGAACTGATTTTCCAGCTGACAGGAGATGGTTAATTGTATGCTGTCTATAGGAGTCTTACAAATCTGTCTGGCCATGTTAAAAGCAGTTTGAAATTTATGGCTTGAGACCACTGGGGGTGAAAATGAACTCAGGGCCCAGCAAGGGTAATAATCCCTTAGGTGGAAAATAAAGTCCAGTGGGCAGATCCCAGAGCCCTATAAAGAGAGATGATCAAAAGTAAACATGGTGCAAGTTCAGCAGCTCTGGTGGTATTATGTTCTCTCTTTCTGGGATATCATCTGTCTTTTCAGAAGCATATACTGTCAGTTGAGAGTGTGACTAAGAATTGGGGGTTATAAAATAGTCTGCTTACATGCTATAGGGATGGGAACTCTGCATCCTTTCCAGGAATCACCTCCTCCCTGATATAGTTTTTGATTCGAATAATCAAAAGGCAAGAGAGGCAATTATTATGACAAATAAGTGGATAGATTTCTTTTTCTCCCTTGAATCCTGAGTCAAAATGCAATAGTGACACTCATAGAAGGAAGAGACCCGATCTCTCTCTCAGGGAGAATACGGGGAACTTTTCCAGAGTTCTTCTGTTGAGGGATACATTCTAGTGTCATTTTTGGGAGGAGGCAGTATCTGCCGTGGTATGAGCTGCAGCCCCGCTGCCCGGAAGCTTAGGGTCATAGGTGAGGATCTGATCTGTGTCGTTTGCTGCCAGCTCCTTGCTTTCTGGTCCTAGTTTGGTTTTCAGGCCTACTCTGACTCTCAGTGTCTCATTAGTTCCTCTGACTGCTGCTTCCTCTTCTGTATACCTAGAAAGTAGAGCTAAAGGGCCCTATCTCACAAGGTCATAGTGCGGATCAAAGGAGACAGGTGCACAGCACAAGGAGCTAAACAAATAGAAGTCCAATAAATGGTGTTGCCTTACTTCTCGTTTGCATTTGCAGGGCACACAAGCAATGGAAGGGACACATATGCAGTGGTTAGTGGAGGTTTCCACTGGGAGCTGGACAGCAGGGGTTCTTCCAGTTATTTCTGTGTATCTGTAATAAGGTGTTCACAGCATGCCTGATATCTTTATAGTTAAAAAGGAAAGCCTAACTGCATTCATAATAAAGAAAACTGAGGGTCTTTTATCATGCTCTCCACACAGTGTGGTAGCTAAGGGGAAATATGAATAGTAGTTACTTGGACTCACAGAGTGTATGAGAAAAGGCAACAGCTGTGACCGTAGTTTTCAAGGGTTCTCTAGCTCATGGGCTGAGCCAGTCCCATCCCTTCCTTCAGCATCCATGCAGCCACCTCAACACAGATGCACACAATATATTTTAATCCATTTGAGTGATTCCCCCTCTCCCGCTCCATGAGATTGCACCTTCAACTACAAGGAGTGTATTTGACCAAAGGCCTGAGCATCTGCTCTCTGAAACTCAATGCCAAGCTTGCTCCAAAGCCACGCCTCCCATAGGCTGCTCCTGACCAATGGTTGAGTGCAGCAAGGATGCTGTGCTAAGGAAGACCTGTTCTTGGGAGATTCAGCTTTGGCTTGACAGTTCCCCTGTGGCCTTGGCCAGTGGTCTAGGAGGCTTTTACCCAACCTTCTCTCCTTAACTCAGGGTCAGATTTGCATTGAGGTCTGATGTCCTTCCCAACTTTTCCAGCTCTCTCTACCCCCTGCCCCATCCCCCTGCCCTCACAAGCATTTCCTTTAATAAAATTTTCACTTGCCGGGCGCTGTGGCTCATGCCTGTAATCCCAGCACTTTGGGAGGCCGAGGTGGGCGGATCACCTGAGGTCAGGAGTTCAAGACCAGCCTGGCCAACATGGAGAAACCCCATCTCTACTAAAAATAAAAAATTAGCCGGGTATGGTGTCGCATGCCTGTAATCCCAGCTACTTGGGAGGGTGAGGTAGGGGAATTGCTTGAACCCGGGAGGCGGAGGTTGCGGTGAGCCGAGGTGGCGCCACTGCACTCCAGCCTGGGCAACAAGGGCGAAACTCTGTCTCAAAAAATAAATAAATAAATAAATAAATAAATAATAAATAAATAAAATAAAATAAAATAAAATCTTCACGTATGAGACTGGGCACGGTGGCTTATACCTGTAATCCCAGCACTTTGGAAGGCCAAGGCTGGAGGATCACTTGAGGCCAGGAATTTGAGACCAGCCTGGGCGACATAGCAAGATTCTGCTACTACAAAACCACTGAAAAAAGAAATTAGCCAGGCGTGGTGGTGTGCACCTGTAGTCCTAGCTACCTGGGGGACTGAGGCAGGAGGGTCACTTAGGCCCAGGAGTTCTAGACTGCAGTGAGCTATGGTTGCGCCACCACACTCCAGCCAGGGGGACAGAGTGAGACCCTTCACAAATAAAATGATAAAAAAATAAAATCCTTGCTCATTTAATCTTATCTCAGCATCTGCTTCTTAGCAGGCCAGGCTAACACACTTTGGTTTGTTGTTTGCTTTTTATTTATTTGCTTTTGTTTTCCTATCTGCAATCTCTAGGAAGCCAAGTGGGAAGATCCTTGCTGGTTTCTCCCTCTGAGGAAGAAGGAAAATGCCATGACTCCCACTATGGCCTCTCTTGGAACCATATTTTGAGGTACCCTACTTCCTTCTTGAGTGTCAGCAGAGCAACTGTGGGACTGGCATGAGATTTGGTCATTTCTAGGAGAGCGAATGCCTTTTGCCTCTTTGATGAGAAAACTAGACGAGACATTGTTTAGAAATTCTTGAGCTCAGACTTTGGCATTATGACAACGTGCATTCAAATCTGCCCCAGCCACTTGCGAGCTGGGACCTAAAGCCGTGAGCTTCTGGTTGTTTATCTATAACAAGCGGATCCCAGTACCTACCTCATAGGGCTGCTGCGAGGATTAAAATAAAATGCATCTATCAGCCAGCTTGCAGTGTCTGCACTTAGCAGGTGCTCAGGTGCAATACCTTGATAGTTTTGATAGTTTGTGATGTTTATTCTGTTCCTCATTAGCATGCATATGTGTCTGTATCTTGTCAATATAAGTCAATATTTTAAAATGTGTGAGTCAGGGTTTTAAAAATATTTAAGTACACATTTTAAACTATAAAACCTAATGAATTTAATATATAAGGATTCTTTAGGGCAGAAATGCTTTTCACTCTTACTGTCATTTTTCCATATTCATATGAATGTATACTGATGTGTGTTTGTGAATATAGCACCAGCACTATGCTAGGATTGATAAGAAACACAAAAATTGATCTGTTAGAGATCATGCCTCTAAGAAGATGTCAGTTCCGAAAGGGAATGCACAGTAACTACGATCCGGGATAGATGTATAGGAAAGATCAGGTGTCAGAATATATATTTATCTCATTGATTTTAAAAAGCACATTTTGTCTTTCAGCCAATGGCATCTTAGATTTGACCAAATACAAGTTCGTGCAATATGTTTTGGTAGTTTAGAGGAAAGAAAGATTCTTTTAGCTTAGGACAAGCGTGGAGAGGACAAGGCTCAGGAAAGCCTTGAACTTTTGGGATGGACAGAATTTGGGTAGAAGGCAATGGGGACAAGCACTTTAAGGGAAAGAATAGAATAAACAAAACATACAGGCCGTGAATGGGAGTAGAGGGGAGAGAGGTGGGAAAGGCAAGGTGGGATAAGGAAGCTCAGGGGTTTGTGGATTTTATTATGCAAATCAGAGAAGGTCAACAAAACTCTTGCATGGGAGGGTGGGGAAGCTGCAGTGAATAATTAGGGCTGTGTTTCAGGATTTGATTTGACAGGGGCACAGAAGGTCAATGGGAGGTAGAGCGTGAGGTGACTTGGAAGGCTATTATGACAGCCTGGTGGAGAAGTAATGGAGAGAAAGGGAAGCCCAATTCTTGGCCCCATACAATGCAGCAGTCATTATCTCATGTGCCCTTTGAAATGACCTTGGAAATTGTTGGGAAAATTAAATGAATTGACTCTGTCTTCCTTCTCCAGCTTCAGTTATCCGCTTCAGTCCCACTGCAATCTTGAACAGACCTTGCCTCAACTCTAATCCCTGTGGCTATGCCTTATGGGAGGGGTGGTGAGAGGCTGCCCATTTTGGTTGCTTTGTTTTCATGCCCTCCACATGTTTGGCAATGGTGTGCCTTCACTTGCATCCTGGAGGTGGCCTTAGTTCTTCAGTGTTTGGATGGAGGAGACATAAGGCCCTGGCTTTACTTGTAGCAGCTCCTAAGTGTGTTCTACAGTGTGGGGGAAGAACTGGAAACACAGAAGCCATAGCTTTTGGTGCGTGACTGTTGCATTTAGGGAAGTTTTCAAACTGAGGTCATCAGAAAGAAATCTTTACGTCCAGGCCCAAAGCCAAGGCCACCTGGACTTAGGCTTTCTGATGATTCTAGTAATTTGGGAAGCAGGTGCCAGTAAGGGCACAAAGGAGTACTTGGATCAGGACAGAAACAATTTAGGAGAACTGCTCATTTTCTAGTTCTACAAGAAGTCATTTGATATCTTTCTTCCCTCTCCCCTTCCCTCCATTGCTCCCCTCCTTCCTTCCTCTTTTCATTTCTTCCTTCTATTCTTCCCTCCTGCCACTGATGTTTATTGAGGGCTTACTACGTGCCAGGTACTCTGAGATGAGTGCAATGTTGCACAGGTTGCTAAGTGCTACAGGTGGTACCTAAGAGGGAGGAAAGCACAACTCCTGTGGTCCAGATGCTTGAGAAGTGTTGCTGTCAAGGAGACAAAGCCGTATAAAACAGTTGGGAAGCAATGACAACACAAAATACAAGAAATAGCTATATAACACAGGAACAAGACATAGGAACATAGAACACACAGCTTAATGGTGACTAACTCCAGTTCTTTGGAGGAGATGACTCAAGTCTTCAAAGTTCTAAACAAGGAGAGGTAATAGGAGGGAGTATATCCCAGACTGAGGATCTTGTGAAATGCAGCCATAATTATTCACCACTACTTCCCCACCCTCTCATGCAGGGGTTCTCTTGACCCTCTCTGATTTGCATAATAAAATCCAGAAATGCCTGAGCTTCCCTATGCAACCTTGCCTTTCTCACTCTCTCCCCACCACTCCCATTCACTACCTGTATGTTTTGTTTATTCTATTCTTTCCCTTAAAGTGTTTGTCCCCATTGTCTTCTGCTCAAATTCTGTCCATCCCACAACTTCGAGCCTTTCCTGAGCCTTGTCCTCTCCACTCTTGTGCCCAAGCTAAAAGAATCATTCATTCCTCTAAACTACCAAAGCATATTGAACGAACTTGCATTTGGTCAAATCTAAGATACAATTGGCTGAAAGACAAAATGTGCTTTTAAAAATCAATGCAATAAATATGTATTCTGACACCTGATCTTTCCTATACACCTATCCCAGATCGTAATTACTGTTCATGGGTTGTTCTCCCTTTCTGAAATGCCGTCTTCTTTTTGTTTGTTTATTTTTGTTTTTTTTTGGAGACCAAGTTTCGCTCTTGTTGCCAAGGCTGGAGTGCAGTGGTGGGATCTCAGCTCAGTGAAACATCCTCTTCCCAGGTTCAAGTGATTCTCCTGCCTCAGCCTCCCGAGTAGCTGGGATTACAGGTGCCTGCCACCACGTCCATCCCGAGTAGCGGGGATTGCAGGCACCCACCACCACATCCAGCTAAGTTTTGTATTTTCAGTAGAGATGGGGTTTTGCCACGTTGGCCAGGCTGGTCTTGAACTCCTGACCGCAGGTGACCCGCCCACCTTGGCTTCCCATGAATGCCACCTTCTTAAAGGCATGATCTCTAACAGATCAACTCAACTGGGGCAGTTTTCCTTCTCCCCCCAACCCAACCCTCCTCAATCCAAGGACATCTGGAAATATCTGGAGACAATATTGGGTTGTTGAAACTAGAGAGGGGTGTTATTAGCATTTAGTGGGTACAGGCCAAGGTGCTGCTAAACACTTATAATATACAGAACAGTCCCCCTAAAACACCTATAATATACAGAACAGTCCCCCTGCAACAAAATGCCACAAAATGCAGTTGTGCCCAGGCTATGAAACCCACGTGAATCATCCCACAGTGCAATGGGGCGTGGGACAGATTATCCAGAGAGGTGGCTGGAGATGGATCCATTGAGGAGAGGTGTGCTTGAAAAAAATTAGAAAGTTTCACTTGACTCAGAGTGGTCCTTAGGATCCCATGCTGTTGGTTCCCAAACAATCCAGAAACAAGACAACTGGTGTTTCCAAATGCTTGGATGACAGTATAAGTGAGGAGACAATGGCACCAACTGTAGCCTGAGCTGCAATAGCTTTTTCTGGGTGGGTGGCTCTGGAGAGACGCACTGGGAAGGAAAAATGAACAGGACATGCAGACTTACTCCTGCTCCATAATGAAGGAAGAACAGTCTTCAAAAGTTCAATTTTGGTACTTTCATGTGACCATGTCTTCAGAGACCTAGCTTTGAACTTGGGGCCATACGGACTTTGCCTTTTGTTTTAAAAGTGACACTGTTTCACTCCATCTTGAGGGGTAAGTTGCTCTATCAATTAGTTTCTAATGTTTTTCTTCAGCCCAAGATCATTTGTCTTAGGTTTTCTGGACTTGAGATAATTTGCACTGCGAGCCCTGTTTTGTGTGTTTGTTTTAATAAGTTGAAGTAAAAACAGAAACAAAACAAAAAGTCCTCCTCGGAAGAAAACCTGTTGTTTTCGTGAGAAGCTTTTGCTCCTGTATCCGATGCTCCTTCCACAGAATGCTCTTCCATCAGGGCTTTCTGAGGACACCGCCTCCTCCCCCAAAAGGCCGCCTTTCCTTTCAGGTCCCTGGAGTGTTGCTGGGTGGGTGATGTTCACTTCTGGTTCCCATTCATTGTCCTAAAAGGAGCTTGTGGGGTCTGGTGTGGAGTGTGTGTGCACGCGTGCATGTGTGAGCTTTGCTTCTGGGAACAGGCAAAAGAGCAAGAGAGGAACAGATGGGCCCCCCGAGCTTCTCTTTGGCCTGAAAAATGAAAGGCGGAGAAAATTGTAATAAAAAACGGAAACAGCTGTGGCAGGACAACAGCAGCTTGTGGGGTGGGCCCAAGCCTGAGGGGGGGTTGCAGTCTGTCAAGATTCTGCTCCTCAGCTCGTTGGGTATCACCAAAAAGAGTATCCGGAGGTCATCAGATGTGCCCTGTGGCCTTCCTCCCTCTTCACTCTCCAAGCCAGACTGTAAAAACAGATATTGAATGATTTTTTAAATATATCAGAGAACATGGACAAATAGGCCCCATAACTGCCATTGAACCTATTCGTGCAGCATGACTGTTCTTTCTTCGATCTCATGTAAGTTCCCCCAACTTTGTTGAAACCTGTTTTTTGTTGGGTTCTTGGCACATAAAGTCAGCAGCAGGTTAAGATGGCATTTTCCAATGACCGATCGACCAGGATGATTCACTGAATAAGCAGAAAAGACATTTAGTCATAATCATTGGCTCTCATTCAAGAACAACTGGACTCTTTCTCCAGAGAGACTTTTAGGTCGGGTAGCTCTCAGAAATGAAGACTGAAAATGTGACAACTTGAAGGAAGAGTGCAGATATCATATCAGAAGAGACAAAGAGTTTCTGAGAAAGTGAAGAATTTGCTACTCCTTCTCTACTTCCCACCATCAATAATGAATAGTAATGATCATTTCAGTTGAATCACTAATGCAGTAATAAAGTATAATCTTGCTATGTAGAGTAATCCAATTGGTGATCAAATGACAAGTGGCTGTACAAATCAGGATATTACTTTTTTTCAGGTAACCTATTTATTTATTCAGGAATCTTTTATTTTTTGTTTGGTATTTAAAAGCAACACACGTTTAGATGATGAATTTTAGAAGTTAGGGAACTCCTGACCATAAGCTCTTTATTTGCTTAACTCCCTTGACTATGTTTAATGAAGAAACATAGATATCCATAATTTATTAACATCATTTGTTTAACGTTGGTCTCTTCTTACTAGGTGTGGGGTCCCTCTGTCCTGTTCACCTCTGTACCACTAGCTTCTAGCATGAGCCTGTCAGGTAGTAGATGAGCAAGAAACATTGGTCGTCTTGACGATTATGACTTCCTGGGCAATGCGGCTGGATAGACCTGAGCATGTCAGTTCTTTCCACACTGTATGCCCATGAGGACGGTTTTGATGAACAGCTGTGGGCTCTGGTCTCTAGCCAGAAGCTGGATTTTATTTGGTCTCATGTCTATTGATTGACTACTATGCATGGCTGATGTCTGTTATGCTGTTGGCTCAGGTTGTGTTCCTGCCGTCTTAATTTTGTTGTCTAGCATGAGGTGCAAGCTTGGTTCTCATAGTTGCCTACTTGCACTATGGTAGAATCAAAATGATCAGATAACACAGGTGAACATTGGAGGGAAAGGAGTCTTGGTGGGAATAGGGGCTCAAGGGGCAGGGGCATTGGGGAGAATTAAATATGCCATGTCATTTTTTTTCCCCCTTAAATCCCAGAAAACAGCTGTAGGTGGAGAATGGGATAGATTTCAAGAATTCTCCATGGAGGCAGGGGTTCACATAGGGGCCAGCTGGGTGATGAAATCCACTGAGAGGTCAGATGTGTGCTCATGTTCAGTGAGGACTTCAGAAATTTCAGGGACTTTCAAAATTGGCTCTGGAGGGAGGCAGATCTGTTGACTGGGAAGGACACACACATGATGATTCTGAGACCCAGGGGCTTCAACCAAGAGGGAAAATGAGGACCCAGACTCCTTCTAGTTCTGCTTTGGGAAACCCTTGAAGAGAAGTGTCTCTTTTCTAAATTTACAGAGATGTAGGACATTCAGAATAGGAGCAAATCTTACCCTTTCCAGGGGCTTTAAGCTATAAAGTGCAGAAGTCCCACAAACATTGTCTTTCTAAAGGTCCTTTATTTGCATAGAGGTGGGTCAGCTCCTCACAGTTCCAGGAATTAGACCAATTTGCATAAGTGCCACCTAGAAGGCCAGATGTTTATTTGGGCTTTGACTTTCCCCCCTTATCCCTTGATTTCTTCCACCTCCCAAGCTGCCTGTAAGTGAGCCTGAAAGTCTCACATTAGACACTCCTGAATTCCCAGCCTTATTTGTCACCAGCTGGACCTAGAGGACCAGCATAATCAGCTTCTTCACAGAGCTTGGCACGTCCCCACATGGGTCTAGCTAGATTCATACAGTGCTGAGGCAGGTGCAAAAATGAAAAGTCAAAAGAAAAACGGATATCTGAACTCCTCCTATCTAAAGAAAGGAAATAAACATCTGGGTTCCAAAAGAGTATCAGGGTCATCAGATCTGATGTCTCTCGAATTCTGTAAGGCCAAACAGTGTGCAAGGGAACTGGATAGGGCAATGAGGAAGAAGAGTGTTGGAAATGTAAAGTGAAAGCACGAGATACCATTTTACACCCACAAAAGTGGGTGTCGCAAATACGAAAACTGACAACAGATGGGAGTGTTGATGTAGAGGAACTGTAACTCTCATTCCCTGCTTGTGGGAGTGTAAAATGATTTAAGCACTTTGGAAAATGCTTTGGCAATTTTTCGTAAGGTTGAATGTTTATCTATTCTATGACTCAGCAATCACATTTCTAGGTCCAGGAGAGATTTATATCAGCTTTATTCACAATAGCCCCAAACTAGAAAGAGTGCAAATGTCTGCCAGCAGGAAAATGGATAAACACATTCTTGTAAGTTCATGCAATGGAGTACTAGTTAGGAAGAGAAAAGAATAAACTACTGATACATGCAATGACATTGAGAAATCTCAAAAATTATTTTAAGCAAAACACGCCAGATACAAATGGGTACCTATTGTATAGTTTCTTTCATATCAAGTTCAAGAACAGGTTCTAATCTAGGGTGATAGAGATCAGACCAGTGGTTGTCTATGGAAATGAAGATGGACTGAAAGAGGGAATGAGCAAACGTTCTTGGGTGATTAGTTTGTTCTCTAATTTGACTGGTGTGGTAGTTGCTCAAATGTACGCATATATCAAAAATCATCAAGTTGCACAATTAAGACCTATGCATTTCACTGCATGTAAAGTTTTTTAAAAAAACAAAAAACAAACAAAAAACAACCCACAATAAAGCAGGACAGGAGTCCAAGAGGGGAAAGGAAATCTGTAAAGATGCTTTTTGAAGAGTTTTTTCATCAATGGATACTCATCCTCCCTTCACTGGGGAGGTATGGTGTATTATCTATTATCCCAGGTTGAGTAAATGGGGCTTTAAAATAGGTCACTTGCAAAGCTTTGAAAAGAGTTCTTGCAGTTCAGAAGCATGGAGAACTCATGCTTGCCTTGAGAATCTAGTTATCTACGGTAAGCTGTGAGAAGTGTTGACTTTTCTTGGGTGAGGGAGGGATATGTTTCCATTGACCAAATGTGGGTCCCTATCAAAAAGAGAGAGCAAACGTGGCATCATCGTGGGTCTTTTTTAGCAGAGTGGCCTGCAAAGGTGAGGAGACCTCCACAGAAAGAGGCTGGAGGTGTTCTGAGCATGCTCTGTGGTGGGAAAGGCAGTGAAACTACCTGTCTAATAGTGATGTATCTGCCTGGGTCAAGACAGCCGCATGAATGAGCAGTTCGTGAAAGTGCCCAAGGGGAAATAGTGCAGCGCTGCTCAGGTGCCTGGCCCACCAGGAATACCAGCCTTAACCATCTACTAGGACTGGAGAATTTGGCACCATCCATATAAATACCCCTTTCTCTTTCTTCTCCTCCCCGGTTAGCCTCATCCTCTTTGACTCTGTTGGGCAGACAGGAAAAAGCAGCCAACTAGTGGGAGAGAGGAAAACAGGGAACATACAGAGAGGTGTACAATCACCCTCTTCCCCAGAGTGGGTTTTCATCCTGGAGCATTTGTGAGTTGAGGAGGAGGGAAGATTTGCTATTAAGCCAATTTAGACATTTCCTGGAGGGACATTTCAGTTTACTAAAATGAGACTTAAACAAAACATAAGCGGCCAGGTGTGGTGGCTCACATCTGTAATCCCAACACTTTGGGAGGCCAAGGTGGGCAGATCACCTGAGGTCAGGAGTTTGAGACCAGCCTGACTAACATGGTGAAACCCCGTCTCTATTAAAAATACAAAAATTAGCCGGGCGTGGTGGTGGGCACCTATAATCCCAGCTACTCAGGAGGCTGAGGCAGGAGAATCGCTTGAACCCAGGAGGCAGAGGTTGCAGTGAGCCGAGATCACGCCATTGCACTTCAGCCTGGGTGACAGAGCAAGACTCCATCTCAATAATAATAATAATAATAATAATAATAATAATAATAGAAAAAAAGTAAGCATAGAAGTTTTTTTTTTCCCTATCATTCTGAGAATGATAGGAAAATTCATGCCTCCCTCCTGTCCCACCCCCTCTCCTACTTCCAGTGAACACTCAGGGCCAAGGGAAGATCCAGCTTCTCAATAAAATCCAAAGAGTCAATGAAGGCAAGTAGAAAGTTGCATTTTGATCACAATCCACATAGGTTACATGTATTTCCAACTGACTACTAAGCATGTCCAACTACATTCCTATATTCCACGATTTGTTCAAATGACACCATCTCTTCCTCTGCCACTGAAGGTAGGGCATAGAAATTAGCCTTGATGTCACCTTCTGAGTAGTCTACATATCACCAGTTCTCAACCCCCATCACTTCTAGCCATTGAGTCCTCTCTTAGCCATCCCATCCTCTCCATTCTTATTCCCACTGCCTTGGCCTTGGCTCAGGCTTTATCTCTTCTGTGATGGACTAAACTAGAGACTCCTAAGTGGTCTCCTTAATGACCTGGTTTCCTAGATTTTGACAGCAAAGTCAAAAGTCTGGGTTGGAGCAGGGGGAACAATGTCCACTTTTAAATTTGTATATATATTTTTTGAAATAGGGTCTTGCTATGTTGCCCAGGCTGGCCTCGAACTCCTGGGCTCAAGGGATCGTCCCGCCTCAGCCTCCTGAGTAGCTGGGATTACAAGCGCAAGCCACCGCACCCAGCTAATGTCCTCTTTTTTGAAACACACAACAACTCCTGCCATTTCCTGGTTCAAATCCTTCTAAAGTTCACTATGATTCTGCTTATCTCTTAACTAATTTTCTGCTATTTATCTACCCATATCGAATACTAGTCACAGTGAACCAACTTACAATTGCCCCAAAGCACCAGCCTGTTGAATATTTCCATGTTCTTGCACAGTCCCTCCTCTGTGCCTTAGTGTCTTTCCTTAGCTGGACAATTTCCCCCTCCTCCCTCTCCTCTGCATTCTTTATATACATCTCTAACTCAACGCTCAACAATCTTGTCTGTTTAATGTCTTTATCTTCACCCTTCTTTTTGTGAGCTCCTTATCTTATTAGTTTTGAAGCCCAACTGCTACCTGGCGTATAGTGAACATTAATCAAATGTTCATTTAATTGATAATTTAATTAAGGAGTAATTGATTTTTTTTTTTTTTTTTTTTTGCCTTCTAACCCCTAATACTTGATTCCCATCTCAGGATCTGGGAGAATACAGCAACTTAATACACCAATGAATTCATCAATAAGTGCTTACCGAGCTCCTGTTATGTGTCAAACACTTTCCCAGGTAATGGAGATAAATTGAGAACAAGACGACGTTCAAAGCCTTAGCTGGAGGAGACAAACACGTAAATGACAAAGATTATTTCAGGAAGTGATGGTGTTACAAAAATGGAATAATGGGTTAGTGAGGATTGAGGTGACGGCAGTGTGGACTACTGTATCCAGGATGGGCAGGGAAGGTCCCTTGGACCAAATGGCCCTTTGGCCCATTTCAGCTGATATCTGAAAGATGAAAAAGAAATAACAGGGAAACTCTGATGAAAGGTTGTTTAAGTCACGAAAGTAGGAAGTGCAAAGGCCCTGAAATAGCAAAGAGTTTGAGAGATTGAGAATGAGAAAGAAGGCTGAGGGGTGGGGCATTGGGAATAAGGAGAGTAGTGGCAACAGATGAAGTCATAGAATTAGGCAAGGGCTACCTTGTGTGGGGCAGCAGTCAGCAAATCTTTCTGTAATGGGGCCAGCTAGTAAATATTTTGGGCTTTGTTGGCTCCTGTCTCTGTTTCAACTACTCAAGTCTGCCATGGAACAGAAAAGCACATAGACAATCTGTACTAATGAGCATGACTTTGTTCCAATAAAACTTTATCTGCAACAATAGGAGGTGGGCCAGATTTGGTACGTGGGCTGCGGTTTACCAACTCCTGGAGTAAGGCAGTTGAATCCTATGGTAAGGAATTTGGATTTTATTCCAAGGATAGGTAGCCATTGAGAGGTTTTGAACAGGGGGTCATATGGTCAGATTTTGCTTTGAAGAGGTTCCTGTAGCATAATTTACCACATAAGAATTGTCTTTCTCCATTTATTATTTCTTTCCCGTTATGAACTCTATTTCTAATTTTCTTTTGAAAACTGAGAGGATGGGGGGAGCCTCTGGTAGTTGCCTATGCCATTTACCAGTCACATAACCTTAGGTCAATTGCTTAATCTCTCAGCCTCAGTTTCCTTCTTCATAAAGCTGTAATAAGAATACCTGTCTCAAAGGGTTGTTAAATAGATTACGTGAGATCATGTATATAAAACATCTGTCACAGTGACTGCGAAAGTAAGGGCTCAATAATGCAAATCCCTTTGCCATTTTTTTTTCTTCCGTTGGGCCTGTATAAGTCATACGCCAGTCAAAACAGGAGGATATGTAAAACTTGGGTTGAAAAATCAATTGCACAATTACAGGATAGGTAAGAAATTACTTAACGTAACATAACTGGGTGACTTGGCTGCTACAAGAGCTAATATGATTTTAATGTAAATTAATAGAAATATGATTTCTGATGACAAGAATGATGAGTCTATTTGTCTTCCGTGTTAGCCAAGTATTTGGAGTCCTGGAAAAAAATCTGAGTGCACTCATTTGAGAATACTAGTAAGTGAAGTACATTCAAAGAAGACTGTCAAATATAAAAGGGTTTTGGAACCCTATCACATGTAAAATGTATTGGAAGTGTTTAGATTGGGAAGAGTAAAAGAAAACTTTAAAACTGCACACATAGTTGAAAGGCTGTCACTTGGAAGAAAGATAAGACACACTGTTCTGCTGTGGAGGTGGGCCACCTTGGACCATCGCGTGGAAACTGCAGAGGTAAGATTTTTCCACAATTAAAGATCTCCATGGTGGATGTGAGCTCTCAATCCATGCAGGTATTCTGGAGGCAATGGAGGAGTATTCAATAGCTGAGATAATGTATAAGAGATTTTTGCAATGCAAACACAAATAAATTAAAAGACCTTTCTTTATACCTTCCTCATTTCTGATTCCTTCCTCATATCTGCAGGGTACATTAACCAAATCTGTAGAGATCAAAAGGCCCTTTGGATACTAGGGACTGGATTTTTCTCTTGGGATCTCTGCTATAAAGAGGATTGTGAGATCCATGAATCCATGGTTCATTAAGAGGTAGAGAGACTAATAGAGGGTTACTGGGGGGTGGGGCAGAGGGGCAGGAGGGAGTGGCTAAGGTAAAAATAGAGTGGGTTCCCTTTATGTAAATGGAGTCAATTTTATATCACTGAAAAAGAGATGAAGATCAGGAGAGGAAAAATGAACTCAGCATGTTCTCACCAAAACCATTTCCAAATCCATCAACTCCTCCTTCCCTGTGCCTGTTCTCCCAGTTGGCTCTAATGAGTTGCATTTTTTCCCCTATGGCATGCAAACAAGGAAAGACCAGGAAGTACTATTTATTTGCGCCCGCCTCCTCTTCATGAAAATGTAAGCTCCATGAGGCAGTCTTTCTTGTTCATGGTTGCGTCCTAATCAAATATTTATGGCAAGAATGAGGAGTGGGAATAATTCTAGAGTGGAATATGACAGTGGGAAATAATGGTGATCAGATGAACCTCCATATAAAATCCTGAATGCTCAAGGGACATGTCTAACAATAGCTTCAAGGAACTATTGCCCCAAATTTAGCCTGGTTGTTTTCTGAGATTACCTGGCCCATGTTGTATCTGGTCAAAAAAGAACGATTCTCCAGAAATTCGGAGTAAAATAGTTCTAGTCTGTGCTTGATAAAAGAGGAAAAGCTCAATCAGGGCCCAGCAAAGTTTTCAGCTGTCAGAGTCAAGGGGAGACTGAGAAAATGCAGAGGAGAGATGGCAAAGAAAAGAAAAAAAGGAATGAGCAGGAAGAGGAAAGGGAAAGAATAGGAGGGCAGGTCATTGCATTTCTTGTGTGCAAGAAACCTGTCTTATGCCCGTAAGTGAATGTCATTTGAGAAGCAAAAATTCATTTGACTCTCAGAGGGATGAGAAACTGTGTAAGGACAAGTGGTAGAGTGTTATTGCAGAGATTCCAGTGTGTTCTTTGGCAATACCGTCACGTTCATGGATACGATGGAAGGTAGATATTTGTTTAGCACCTACTATGTTTCAGGCACTGTTGAGAACAGAAAGAAATGTATTCTGCTATCTTCTATGGCAGCCTCTAATGCTTCAGTTTACTGGCCAATAGGTGTGATCAGGGGCAGATCCAGCTTTTGTGTGGCATGAAGTTTATGGTTTTTTTTTTTTTTTTTTTGAGGCGAAGTTCTTTAAGAAAAAGAATTTAAATTTTAAAAATTCAAGAATAAGTCCAGAGCCTTAAAAGGAGCCTGTGCTTTTGAGAGGTGCTGAAGCTTGAGCTTTGTTTGCTTCATAGTAAATCCATCTCTGGCTGTAGTGATAGTTCATCGATTACTTTAATATAAACGTGCCACCATGCTGCCTCACAAACGTTCATTTTGGAAATCAGGGAAGGAAAGGGATGGGATGGAGCTGAAGTGGGAAAGTCAAACAGCTCCAGTGAATCCCCATGGCTCTAATTTAATAATAGAGCAAAAGACCGATTCTTAAATGAGTTTATTTTTATTCCCTTTTGCTAAAAATTTCAGTTTTGTTAAAATGGTTAGAAAAGAAAAGGTTTTATTTTAAGTGCAAACAAACAAATAACCCTGGATCTACATACAAACTCTTTCCGGTGTGGAGGACTCTCCTAGGTTTCCAGTCAATGTGTTGCTGTTGCCAGGGTGATAAGCTCTGTGCTTCTGGTGTTAGACTAAAAATTCCTCCAAAATATTTTATAATCTGGTGATATTGGGCTTTGACTAGATCTGATAGATATGGGGGTGAGCGGGATTCTGAGGAATTCTCTCCCAGCACTCCTGTGTCTCTTGCATTTTACTGTGTATCAGAGCCACTTGGGGAGCTTATGAAACTCTTTTTCCTGGCTATTACTCCCAGGAATTCTAATGCAGGGGGACTGCTGTACAGACCAGGAGACTCCAATGCAGTCAACTCCCAGATTGCTCTGGCTAAAATCTCCTCTATTAACAACCCTGCTCTATGTAGGAGGAATTATAAACATACTCAGCAAAAGGGGAAAGTGAGGCACGGGAAAGCAAAACAACTTGCTTCAGTTCCCTTCACAAGTTTATGTCCGAACAGAATATTTTGGCTTCAAGAAGTCCTGGCAAAGGCCACATACTGGGAAAAAGAGCATATTTCTGGAAGGGAGAACAGTCTAGCAAACATACAGATTTGCTAGGGAAGGGGGTAGTCGCAGTGGAATGGTGTGTGTTGATTTTAATAGACAAAGGGATTAGAACGAATAAGGTAGGCAAGAATTAGTGAACACCACAGAGACTTTTAAAAAGGACTTTGTGAGTGTTGGCAAGAGAAAAAAAAAATAGAGATTTTGTAAGAAGGGAGGGCCTCAGCGCATGGAAGGCTATGTCACAAACAAGGAACAGAATTTGATGTCTGAAGGGGTAGGGAAGGATTTGCACAGTCCCCCGCAGATCACAGGCCCTCAATCAATGTTTGTCGAAGGAATTTGCAAAGGAGGCCGAGTACTAATGTTGCCTCGATTTGATAACTACCATTTTCCTGGTTGCCATGTTCCTGGTGTGGGATGTCAGCCAGGAATCCAATAAGCAGAAACAGACAATGTGAGGTAATGCCAGAGAGGTTGGACTCTGGTTAAGACTGCCAGAGACACAGGCCCAGTAGTAAAACTAGCCTGAGAGGGTGAAGGTGACTGACTCTTTAGAGACACTTCTCCAATCATCTGGGGTGTGGGAGTGGGGATGGGGAGGTGTGCCCATGTGAGGGAAGGAGTGATTTCATCTATTTAATGAAAAATGACCTGAACGTTTCTCTGAACCTGGAAACTCCCCATCTAACTGGGGCCAAGGAAAACAGGATTAGGTCTTGTTTCTTCTACAATGGCTTTGCGTCTGCTTAGAATGAGTTAAACTGGAGGGAGCAGAAAAATCATCCCCTTTCATTGTCTCTACAGAGAAATCTGGAAGGCTCTGAATCATTTAATGGGTTAATACGACAGGCTTCTCTCTGGTTCCCTGTAGACACTGATTTTCTCTGGCTTCCTTTGCTTTTTAAGTGGATACTCCATTTCTTGGGTATGTGTTCATAGGAACGGAAAGTTTGCCATATTAAAACCAGATAAGCAAGTCACCCCTCTGGCATTCTGTCTACTGACAAGCTCCTGATTTCAGGTCTAATATTCCCTGTGACCTCCACAAGGGACAGCTTTTGCCCTGAAGCATGAGGTCATGAAAACCACAACAAACATTTTTGCCAGAGTGAGCAACTACTGACATGTAATTTTCTGTGTGATCTATTGGAGTGGCACTTTTCAAGATTTTTCTGCCTAGATTTTTGGAGATACAGTCTTTTCCTCAGCTTGTTTTCTAGGATTGCCAAAGGTGCTGATAAAAAACAAAAACATCACAGCAATCAGCACTCCACAATGTCTTTTGTGCTCAAATTTGCCAAATCATCCAACAGGAGAACTGGGTGAATAAATCCACAGGGCCACTTTCTTTTTAATGCAATGTATATTTATTGTAAACAATAATATACAAAAAAAAAAAAGAGAAAGAAAAAGGGAAAGGTAAGTTTCACGGAGAGAACAAAAGGTTTGGGGCTGGGAGGGAAACAAGTGAAACAAACAAAACACGAACACAAACCAAAGCTTTTACCTAAAGACAAAATATGATTTAAATGCCAGGTTTCTTAAGTTACAGAAGTATCTTTTTAAAAAGATCTGCTTTTATACAGAAATTGAAGGATGCCATATTATGAGTGCTTTAAGATTTTATTCTACTGACTTCTAAAACTGTTAATATATCTTTTTTTAAATAAAAAAAAAAGTTTGCTGTCTTTTTTAAAAAGCAATCCTCAAACTCTCTAGCCACAGCAGTAATTAAGATTAAGGTCTGTCAGTGGGCTGATCCCCTCCAGGTAGCCTCCCTCACTCCAAGAGAAGATGCAGAGAAATATGGATGACACATGCTTGCATTGTTTTTGTGTCAAAACACACACACACCCACACACACACACAATATAAGGCAGCCCAAAGGTCTGTGGCAGAAAACACTGCAAATGACTCAGTGATACACTACATTTGCAATCTCTCATTTATACAAAAAAAGAAACAAGTTTCCAGTTTGTTTTCAACAAAAACAACAAAGAAAAAAGGGATGGACAAAAAGGCATTTATACAAATCTAGGGTGAGGAATACAAAGAAACTTGCTTTTAATAATAAAAAAAGATTAAAGAGATAAATAAAAAAAAACTGGTTACAGTTAAGAACATAATTTAACAACAGATGACCATACCCTTTGAGGAAAGCTCCAACAACCTATTTTAAAGAAGGTAAAATTGGAAAAAAAAAAAAAAAAGAATTTTTTTTTGTTTTAATTAAAACCTCTCCTTACAAAATAAATAATTTTAGCAAGTGGAATGTCTTGAAGGTTAACTGCTGGTGTTCTGAGAGGCACAGGTGACAGAGCGAGCAGGCATCTGCCTTCCACATGGGGCCCAGGCAGGCAACCGGGGGCAGTGTGCTCGGGCACTTATTGGCTGCTGAAACATTCCCAGAACAGATTTCATCTCCTTTGCTTGCCTTTTACCTCTTTCTTAAGACTGCAGTGAACAAGCAAAGGCAGGAGGAAATGCACTAAAAGAGTGCAAATGTTTCCCAGCAGCACCGTTTTAAGGCTCAAGGTGTTTTTCTCTTCTTTAAAAAATATATATATGATAAAGCTTACCAAATGCTTCTCTAGACTATTGTTTACTCCCATAATTGCAAAATAAGGCCTTTATTTTTTTTTAAGGCAGCTCCTCCTTAAATCGCAAAGCCTGAGGAATTAAGCAAAGTTAACCCCCAAAACTGATCACATAACACAATTCTGTTTTTAAATGTTAATACAACAGGATTTTTTTTTTCTTTTTGTAAGAGAAAGCAAATCTGTACAAAAATACTCTGGTTGCAAGAAAAGCTAGGGCACACTGTTCAACTAAGAGTAGTTTAGCTGTTGGAAAAATAAGAGCATTTAATTTTATCTAAAAATATGTATAAATCCCCTCAAAATGGTAATGAATCATACACAGTACATACTAAAAATATTTAAAATAGAGAATATTCCTCACAGAGGACTTTTTTCTTTAATTACTGCTAAAAAAATAATTACAAAGTCCAAACAGGCAGAGAGATTTAGCACACTGATCACACGATTCTCCATCATCCTCCACGCTTGCTCTGAAGAGGGTTTAAAAAGTCCAGTTTCTCGTTGATTTCGCTGCTCCATTTAGCCAAGGTTGGCCTGGCCACTGATTGGCCACAAGTGGGTAATGCGCTTGGATAGGTCATGTTTGTGTCTTGGAAATTTGGGTACGAGTTGCCTTTAGCTTAAATGTCTTTAAGGAAGAAGAAGAAGAAGAAAAAACAAAACAAAATAAAAAAACAAAAAAACACAAATGTCCAAAGGGAATTCTGGTTGGTCCTCTCTTTCTTCGGTTATTTTTAGGATCATCTCGGCCATCTTCGCCCTTCGTGGGAGGCCTCCTCAAGGTCGAGTGAGCTGTGTGTAGACGGGTTGTTCCCAGTGCTGGGGGCTGTGGGTCTGCGGGATGGAAGGGACCCCAGAGGTGTCGGCGATGGGGGTGTACATGGGGCGCTGAGCGGGGTTCATGTAGGTGAAGGTGGAGTAGAGGCCGGTGCCCTGGCCTGCCGCGTGGCTGTAGTAGGAGCTGGAGTTCTGGTGGTCGGTGTAGTCGTACTGTGAGCGGGTGATGGGCGGGTAGGAGGGGCTGTAGTGTGGGAGGTTGAAGGGGCTGTAGGCGATCTGTTGGGGCGAGTGCTGCTGCTGCTCGCTGTAGTGGCTGGGGCTCAGCTGCTCCGTCTTGATGTGCGTTCGCTGGGACTGGCCCGGCTCGCTGCTCAGCGTGGTCAGCGTGTGCGCCTGTGGCTGCTGCGGGGGTGCCGCCGGCTGCTGTGGGGGCGCCGCCTGCGGCTGCGGGGGCGCCTGCGGGGCCGGCGGGGCCTGTGGGGGCTGCTGCGGGGGTGGCGGCGGCGCCTGCTGCTTGGACATCCACACGTGGCCCGCGCTCGCCGGGGTGGCCGCGGTGCTGCTGATGCCGTAGCTGCCCGTGTAGGTGACCTGGCCGTGCGTGGCCGGCACCCCCGGGTGGCCGTTGGGCGGCAGGTACTGGTCAAACTCGTTGACATCGAAGGTCTCGATGTTGGAGATGACGTCGCTGCTCAGCTCGCCGATGTCCACGTCGCGGAAGTCGATAGGGGGCTGTCTGCCCCCCTCTGGCAAGGGGCGCCCCTCTCGCTTCAGGTCAGCCTTGCCCGGCTGCACGTCGGTTTTGGGGGTGGTGGGTGGGGTCGGTGGGCCCTGGGATTGCCCTGTGGACAATAAAAGAACAAGCACGAGAAAATCAACAAGGGCTGTGCAGACGCCCTAGTCTTAGGCACCCTCCGGGGACCCTCCCTCGCTGCTAAAGTGTAATAAGGGCCCGCACCCGCGCAAGAGGCGCGCTGCACCGGAGATAAGTCGCCCAATGATTAACCCGCCGGTACACACTGGACAGCCCCCTTTTATCAGGGGAGGGTCTGGGGCCCGGAGGGTCCGGAAGACCTAATTGCTACTTGTGTAAGAGCCCTGTGTGTGCTTTTGGGGTGGGGGAGCAGAGAAGAAGGGAGAGGTCTTGTAAGGCTGTTAAGGGCATTTTACCTCCCAATAAAAAAGTTAATCTCTTCGGATGCTGGGATTGAGTTGGGGTGTGTGTGTTTGTGTGTGTGTTGTTTGGATGCCTCTTAGGCTCTGGGTAGAGAGGGGAGCGGGACGGGCGCAAAGGGCAGTGTGTCCCTCCCGGGAAGCATAAAGTCCCCACGAAGAATCTCCCAGGCGGAGGGCAGGGGGTGTGCCAGGCGGGACGGAGATAGCTTGTCCGGTGGGGTCGAGGGGCGACTCACCCGAGTGCTCGCCGGGGGAGTGCACCTCGCTCATGCCGGAGGAGGAGTGTGGCGAGTCGGCCTGCAGCGCCTTGAAGATGGCGTTGGGGGAGATGTGCGTCTGCTCCGTGGCCTCCTCTGCCTCCGCCTGCCCGTTCTTCACCGACTTCCTCCGCCGCGGCTGGTACTTGTAATCCGGGTGGTCCTTCTTGTGCTGCACGCGCAGCCGCTCCGCCTCCTCCACGAAGGGCCGCTTCTCGCTCTCGTTCAGAAGTCTGCTCGGGGCGGGGCGGGGGGCACAGAGAAAAAGAGGGAGAGGGGTCAGTGAAATCCGCCAAACTGTCAGGTCGGCGGGGAGGAGGCGGCGACCCAGACCACTCGGCTTCCTCTGCACACAACTCCATCTTCCCTCCTGCCTGCAACCACAGCTCATAACTTTTCTTAAAAATAAATAAATAAATAAGTTATTGCAGTCTGACCTGAGCGGTCACTCCCCGCCCCCTCCCTCCCCTCCCCTTCTATTTCTATTTTGGAAACGCTGGAGATGAAAACGACTCCCGGTGCTGCCCCCTAAACGCCTTTGCTGCTCGACTTACCGCCCCCAACCCCAACCCCCTTTGAAAACTTTCCCCCAAATTACTTAAGCTGCAAGAAGGTCCCCAATTCTCACCCCCCACCATACACTCCCACCTATTTCCAGTAGCCTCCCTCCTCCCGCCTCCCAGTTCCTGCCAAGGGTCTCCTCCAACCTCGGTTTCTCCCTTGCCCCATCTCCGTGGACAGTGGGGCTGCACGAGAGAGTGCAGTTTTAAGAGGCCGGGTAGGAGGGAGGCAAGTTTCACTTCCCCGCCCCGATTGAGCTTCCAGGCGACTGGAGAGCAGGCTGGCAGCCCCCTCCTTCCGTCTCCCACCAGTCTTCGTCCATCCTCCAGCTACCTCCCTCACCTCTTCCACTTACCACCCCCCTCCTCCGCGTCCCCGCGAGCAGCCCAAGAACTTTGTCAAACTCTGAGCCACAGTTACACCCCATTCCCACTCCCAACCCCATCCCGCCGGCTCCCGGAACGGCAACTCCCGGGCGATGGGAGGCGGGGCGGGGCAAATCAGCCCTGACCAGCGCCCCCAGCCGCCGCGATGCCCACCCTGCCGCGCCGCCCCCGCCGGGTCCTACCTCCAGAGCTTGCCCAGCGTCTTGCTGAGCTCGGCGTTGTGCAAGTGCGGGTACTGGTCCGCGAGCTTCCTGCGCGCCGCCTGCGCCCACACCATGAAGGCGTTCATGGGCCGCTTGACGTGCGGCTTGTTCTTGCTGGAGCCGTTGACGCGCACCGGCATGGGCACCAGCGTCCAGTCGTAGCCTTTGAGCACCTGGCTGACCGCCTCGCGGATGCACACGGGGAACTTGTCCTCCTCGCTCTCCTTCTTCAGATCGGGCTCGCCCTTGGGGAACGTGTTCTCCTGGGGCCGCGTGTTCTCGGTGTCCGAGCCGGAGCCCGACGGGCAGGGCGAGCCCGCGGAGTCCTCGGACATGGTGGGGCTGGGGGCGCCGGACAGGCCCTTCTCCTGCTCGTCGGTCATCTTCATGAAGGGGTCCAGGAGATTCATACGCGGGCCCGGGGCAGGGGGCTGGTGGCCGGGAAAGGCGAGAAGCCGCGGCGGCTCGGGGACTCGAGGCGCGGGCTCCTCTCCCCTCGGCTGCCCGGATGCGGAGCAAGCGGCTCCCGGGGAAGCTGGCGCGTCGGCCGGCTACCGCGGCGAGCACTTAGGAAGGCGCGGGGTGGCCAGTTCACAGCTGCCCGCTCCAAGTGGGGGGAGGCGAATTGGAGAGGAGGAGGAGGGGAGGAAAAAGAGCAAAAGTGGGGGCGCTTGCACCCCTTCTCTTCTCCTCCTGCAAAGAAAAGTTTCCGGGGTTGAAACTGGCGAGTCTCCGCGCCACTGAAGTTTCCAGTCAGTTTCGAGCTCCGCTTTCGGCTCTCCAACTCCCAGCCCAGGGTCTCTTTAATAAATACTCCGCCTCACCTTAGAGCCACCCGCCAATCACAGCACAGCAGTCCCAGGGTTGGCAGGCAGCTGATTGGACCCGATTTTGGGGAGGGAGGAGGATTGTGGCACTGGGCTGGGTGACGAGGCGGGAGGGGAGGAGAGGGGAGGGGATCGCAGCCAAAGGGCGGACGGTAGGGTGGGGGGGCGGGGGGTGCTGCGGGGAAGGCGGGGGACCCGGGACTTCCAAGTGTGTAAGTTTGTCGTACTCTCGGAATGCCAGAATTTTAGTGCCTTCTCCGCGCGAATCTTGTGTGTGTGTGTGTGTGTGTGCGCGCAAGTGTGTGTGTCTAGACTAGGATCTACCCCCACCTCCGACATTTCTTTTCACTGCTCTCTCCGCGGCACCGGGGACTTAGCTGGAGTTTGCAGTATTCGAAAAGCAGCCGCTTCTTAATGCGTAGCCGAGTTTACGCGCCTGGAGCGAGCCTGCCTGCCTGCAAAAGTGCTTAGAAATAGTCTTTTGAAGCAAATGTTTTGGTGACTCAACGCCCGCTGTTCCTCCGTAATAATCCATATAAATAGATTAACATGCTCGGGTTCGCCGGGGCTGGTGCGGCTGGTCAGGATTCTGCTGCGCTTTTGCAAAGGGAGTCAATGGAAAGCAAAGCTAAGTCCCCGCGAAGGTTGGCAGCGGCGGCCGTGGCCACGCAGGAGCCCGGCGCTCTCGAGGCCGCCCCGCGCCACATCGACCTTGAGCTCTGACAAGTCATTCTCCAGCCCCCTCTACCCGCGACCCTGCCGACGCTCCTCAGTAACAGGGCTACTGCTCTGACGTTTTGGTCTTTGCCTCCTGGCCGGGTCAAAAACGTCAGCCGAGTCGCCCTGTCTGGGGGAGAGTTTGCTAACTGCTCTGGCTTTGAGAGATAGAAGTTTGCCAATGCGGCTGTCCCGGGCCGCGAGGCCCAGGCCGGTCACTTGGTTTGTAAAAGACCAAACAAATGGGCACCACCGCAGACAAAACGCTCCACTCTGGCGGAGTCATGCTGCTTGCCTGCTTTTGCTGGCATTTACGAAACACCTGAAGGGGTGAAGCGCCGGTGCTTCTGACTCTAGTCCGGTCGGTTCAGACCTGCATGTAGTTGGGAGTTCTGGGGGAGGCATTGGTGGTGTCTCTCATGTATTTCAAGTGTGATTTGAGCACAACCTTTGTGTTTACACGAAATGCTTAGAGCCAGGTTGGGTAAGTGCGGAGCTATCTGCTCTGGGATAGAAGAAAAGTCTTGGTCGCTTGCGGGTTCTGTGCTTTCAGAATCCCAAATAAACGCACAGCATTGGGAAACTCTTAATTTTAAACTCCCCCCCCCCCCCCACCCTTTTGGGCTCTTGCAAAAATTCGCCTCAATTAAATTATTGTTGTGGTGAATCGGCCCACATCATAATAAAAACTAGTTTTTTTTTCCCTTTCTAATTTGCGAAGTGAGGACACTATCACAAGATCCAAATCAATGTCCTTCCGGGAGAATTTCTTAAAATCTTGTTTTCTCTCGTTGTCTTCGGAAGAAGCCCGACATTTCTTATAGGAAATGGAACTCTTCATAAGGTAGTAAGTTACAGCCTTGTTCAACAGCATTTTTTTTTTAACGAATGTAACTTCTTCAAATGGGATGTTTCTGGTGCCCTATAGCTCGTTTACAAATTTAAGAGATTTGCATACAATAGCTTCGTATCCAGGGCTCTGTGATTACTTTCAGAAAGTGTAAGAACAGCATCGTCCTTTCCTAGGAGAAAAAAGTCCGCGTAGTGTGGACCTATTTCTGTGTCCCGGGTAGAAGGGCATTGTGTGTACAGTATAACTGTGTAATTCTCAGACACCTGATTCAGGAGACTCGGAGACCATCGGGCAGACATTTTAGCCAGGTCGTCTGTACTTAGTTGTATGATATTGTAATTACCATGTTTGCTGGAATAAAGTCAGTGAAGAGGGCTATGACTTTAAGATATTTTGGAATATTTCACTAAATATATGTCAAGATATATACGTATATGTATAAATATACTTTTAATGCAATTATGCAATAAGATACTAATATGTAGAGTTTTACATCATAAACGACGGGGATTTATACATTTCCCGTTGATTTGATGCAAGCATTTTTGAATTTTACATCTTCCTGAAAACTTATGAACAGGCGACTTAAAAATGGACTGCAGTTTTCATCTGTATCCAGAGGGGGCGCCAAAAGCCCAGAAACTGTTTCCAACTCCGAGAACCAGGGAAAACTTGGATGGTGGTGGCTGGGGGTGGTGTGTTCCAGTCAATCTGGACTGCTTTGCTGCTGAGATTTATATTTGCAGGAATTCCTACGCGATATTCCCTCCTGTGCGGATCCACCTCTGCGCAGCTCAGTGAGGGAACTTGTGTCTGTAGAGATCCGGGTGAAAAAAGAGCACTTGAGATGCCAGCCGTTCTATTCTGCGCAGAATTTGGGGACTGAGGCCAGGAGAAGGCCCCTATCCCCCAGGTGCCAAGCGTTGCCACCGTCAGGCCAAGTCTAGCGCGTGGCATTGTCAGCTCGCGAGTGGATCGGTCCTGCATTTCTGCAGGGGCCTCCTGGTGTCCACTCCCCTTTCCCCATTCAGGGGCTCCATTCGCTTCGTTGTGTCTTTCTCAGGTCGCCCCGACCCCTCCTCCCTGACCTGGGAAGACGCGCGCAGTCCCCGACCAGAGGACCTCAGACACAGGTAGAAGGAAAGGAACCCGCTCCTGATGTTCAGGTTACAGATCTGGAAACTAAGGCTGTTGACCCAGTGTTGGCTAGAGCATTTTGCCAGGGGCGAAAGGAGCCAGGGTCCTCCATCTGATGCGGTGAGGGAGGGAAAGGGCGCAGGTCACGAGGCAGGAGACGGAGGGCGCTTCTCCGTGTTCGGGACGTGCTTTCGGATACCCGCTCTTGAGCAAGCGCCGCGAGGTCTGCCGCCGGGAGCGGAGACACAGAGGTGCGAGTGGCTCCCCAGGGAAGCCCTCGGGAAACCGAGGTCTGGGATCTCCCCCTTTCCCCCTCTTGCACGTCCCGGACCGGCGCCGGGCTCAATTTCCCCAGCGGGGGCCGCCAATCTCTCCTCCGCGTCTACGCGGGAGCTGAGACCGGAGCCCAGAGTTGCTGGCGCAGGGCGAGTTTCTCGCAAACACTCAGTGCTCAGGATGGGGGTGAGGGATGCGAGCTGATGGGGTTCCTTTTACCTGGCGAATTAAGGACCACAACCTCCCTATCCAAACTTCCTTAGCAAAAGTGGGGACGGTGTTTAAATCCGTTTTCGGTAGGGACGCTTTTCTGTCCCTAGGGAAAGTTTGGTGGGGTGAGCAGCGGCGTCCCCCAAATATCTCAGCCCCGGACAATGTTCTCATTAGAGGTGATGGGAGAAGGGGTTACCCCTTGTCTATTCCAGTTCCCCAGGCCGGGTCCCTTGCAGGTAGAAGACTCCTATCCCTGGAGGGACAGGTCCCCGTGTCGCGGGCTCCCAGCCGCTCCTGTAATTAGTACATTTCGCTGGGCTTGGAGAGTGTTTATCGTCCGCTCTTCACGCCGGACACGAGTTTCTTGTGGAAGGGAGCGGCCGGTAAGCCCGTCTCTGGACTGGCGCTGGGCTGGACAGCAACAGCTAAGGGGAAAAGGAAAGTACCAGATAGCGTCGTAGGTGCGCAATAAATATCTGTTGACTGATCGAATAGATGTCACCTGTGGACGTGTTGCCCGAGTGAGTGCATGTCCCATCACAGCCGCCAGACCTCCCAGCGACAGTTGCGAACACGCGATGCTTGTGCATTCCTGCGTGTGTATTTCTCCCCACACGGGAGCCCGACTTTGGGAAGTTGACCGGCATGTGCCACTCAGGGCTGTGGAATCCCGACTCCGCTAAAACTGCAGACCAAGAGGCCCGTTTCAGTTTTCTTCCCTTTCCTGTTTTCGAAAAAAAGAAAGATGAGGTGGACGGGAGGTGTCGGGTGAGGGGGCGCGAACCTCCAATCTGCCCTGGTGACCTGGCCGGGTCTGGGGGCGTCGGGCGGCTGTAACACAGCAGGGCGCCCCGGGGGTACGGACCGGAGCCCAAGTCAGAGACCAGACCAGCTGGCTTGTCGTGGAGCTGCGGAGCCGATCAGGGAAAAAGGAGGGGTGGGAGTGGAAGGCCCCAGTCCCAAAGGGACAGCGCTCCCAAAGGGAGCGTGCTCTTTTTTCATTCTGGGTTTTGCGAAAATATCTGTCCTTAGCTGTGGCACCGGGGAGCCGCGCGTCATGCGGCTTCCCTCAACTCATCCCTAGAACGCCCTGCGGAAAATTTCCTAGGCCATCTCTTCCCCCTAACGCCCACTCCCACTATTTTAAAAAGTCTTTCAGGCATTTTTAGCTGAAGGTGATTTTGCCTTGGTGATTTAAAAGTAAAGATACAGTAAGCGCTCAACGCAGTGGTGCCTCCTTTGCGACATACTCGGCCGGGGCCACTTCGGCCCCAAGAGCTTCCTCCGCACGAGCAACTGCTCCTCCCCTTCGATCACCTTTCAGTTTAGGTCTATGCAGTCTCAGGTACCGACCAAAGAGGGCTGAGATTCTCAGGATGGTTTTGTGGGGTTTCCCTAGGGGAGGGCAGGCTCAATGGCGATGATTGCATCTCAGCCTGGAGGGATTCTAACCAGCGCTTCCCTCTAAGAGATCCCATTGGGTGGGTGATTATTCCGGATCTTAATCAGAGAAAGTGTCCCCATCAAGCCACGGAAATAGAGGACATGCTTGTAAGGTGCAATTTCGAAGGTAACGGTCAGAGTTAAAGACCAATTATCCTGTCTTCCCTGCGATCCTTTCCGTCTCAACAGGACCCGGGAAGTCCCGGGCAGAGCGCATCTCCCTGGCTCCTGCAAGCTACGGCTTCACCCAGCTTCGTGTTGGGCTCCGTTTTGGTTTTGGAGCGGCGTGAGGGAGTCTCGGGGGCTGGGTCGACTGCCACTGGCCTGAGCTCCGGACTCCGGGGACAGCGCGTCCTGTCCCGAGGGCCTCCCGCCCCCCGGGAAGGCCAAGGTCATGAGGTCAAACCCCAACTTTTGGGCTTCCGCGAGAGTAAAGCCCCCGGATGGTCCTCGGAGCTGTGACGTCACAAAAAGTGCTTGGGGTAGGCGGACCCACGGCTTTGTTAAACAGCCCAGGGGCTTCGGGGAGGAGTGGGGGCCCAAAGCAACTCAGGGACCCGTTGAGCTTCCTGCTTTGTCATTGTTTATTTCAAATTAATTTCATGATGCCTGTCGCTGACTGCAAAGGCTGCAGGAGAGACAGGCTGCCCTCGGGGTCTCTCCCAGCCTAGATAGGCAGACCAGGGATTTTTGAGAAAGCAGAGATTTTTGGTTTTCTTTCTTTCTTTCTTTTGTTTCTCTCTGTGCCATCTTTCTCCCAAGGCCCTTTCTCTCACTGATGTAAAAGGAAGAAGTGGAATAGTAAATGTCTTCTTTTTCTGTCTTCAGCCTTTTGTTTTCCGGATGGGTTGTGAAATTTGGACTGGCCTAGGAGAGGGGACAGTATTCCCCTTCCAAATCATTAAGACCCGGAAAATATAACAGTGTTCCTGTCACTATCTTTTGGATCACATGTGTTTACCCCCACGAGAAAGGGCAGGTTGATTTCTTCCACAGAGTTCTAGGACTGGAACCTGTTACTTTTTCTTCCCTAGTTTCCAGGTTGGCTAAAATGTGAGGGAATCCTGACAGAACACAGACAGAAGGCATCAACTGTATTACAGAAACTGGTCCCCTTTGGGGTCCCCCTAAAGCTCGCAAACTGTTAGCTTTGGTTGGCAAAAGAAGACTTTTTGTCTCATCTGCCTTAATATCCACAGGCAAAGCAGAGACAGATAAACAGTTACTAGTATAATTTAGGGGTAGGGTCACTATAGATTCAAGTATATGGGCATTTAATCTTTCCCCTAAATACTCATTTTCTTGGAGCAGTGGAGACATCTCATAGGTTGAGATGTTTTCCTCAGCAGCCAGGAGAAAAGGTGGTGTCTAACCCTGACGGAGGGGTTGATACTGTACCTGGAAGGTATGCTTTCTACCGTATGATTGGACAGAAAGGCAGAGTAGGTTTGCTCAGATATTCCACCCAGGCGTTCACCCCATCCCCACGCCTCCAGGGTCCACTTCTCCCCAGGGACCTGGCTCTAGAGTTTTCCTAGGGAGCTCCCAGTAGAGCATTAGTTTGAACCCCAACTATATTAAATATATGCTGTATCATGGGCGGCAAAGCAGGCTGTTGCGGGTGCTTGCAAATTTGCAAAGTATGGACGAACACGAGGCTGGGCAGGGATGGGGGGAATGGGGTGGCTACATCTAAATCTTTCTAGGACTCCAGATGACAGAGTAGAGTTCTGGGTAGAGGAAGTACAACGTGGTGGAGACACCATGTCCTTTCCATCCTGTCTTTCCCTGTCACTTGTCATGTCTCTCCCATTTAGCCCAACGTCAAATCATTCTGATTTTTGAATAAATCAATTCAGTGAATATTGCCTGAGGGCTGACAATGTGCCTAAACTTCTGAAGGAGACAAGATTTCATCTCTGCTGTTGTCTCCAGGTCTGGTTTCCCGCAGAATCCAGCCTCTGTCCACGTGAACTCTGCTCTGTCCTCTGGGCTCATAATGTTCTGAGACTCTTGCTGCCTCTTTCATGGATTCCCCTTCTATTTCCCTGAGACGACTCACAGGTCACAGAAAGCTGCCTCCCATCCTTGCGGCTCCATCAAGGTGCTTTGGAGGCAGGTAAAGCGCAGGTAAGGAGTGGCACCCCAAGCTCCTGGCTTGGTGGCAGACTCAGTCCCATCTCTTTCCTCTTGGCCCCAGGAGCCCTGCTGATGCTGTGTTGCCCTTTGACTGGGCCATCTTCTTTCTCCGCCCTCGCCCCTTCTTGGTCCAAGCCCAGAAATGCCTTGTAGTGTGTGGTACGCTTCACTCTCTCTTTGGGGGACATCTGCCAACCAGCACAGTGGTGATGACAGTTTCCAGATGATTTTCCAGGAGCAAAGAAATGTTCTGGGGGAGGAGAGAGTGGCATTGGCCAAACACTGAGTGGGCTGAACATTGTGGTTCCGGAAGAGGCCCAGGGAGGTGGAGTTTCATGAGGCTCAAAGATTTCTTTTTCCTCTTTAGATTCTGCCTAAAGCAAAAGTCACTAATTGCTTTGTATTTTCCTGGCACTTAAATGGTTCTCTGGTTTCTGACTCTCCTCCAGGAACTTAGGTTTTAGGAAAGCAGGGCTTCAGGGTGATATCAGTGGGGACATTTGCCTCTAAGCTCACCTTCCTCAGCTCAGCTAGGCCCAAGGCCTACTTCAGCCAACTCTTGGGTTATTATAGGATCCTCAGCCAAGTGGACTGCACAGTCTGGGCAGAGGATAGAATACAAACTCACCTATTCCCTTCTCCTGTCTCTGGGATTTGCCACTCCAACTTCACTTCTGCTCGAAGCATTTTGATATTTAGTCAGGCAAACCAGGAAGTGCTAGTGAAGTTGTTTTGGAGACTTAAGAATGGGTTCAGGCCAGGCGCGGTGGCTCACGCCCATATTACCAGCACTTTGGGAGCCCGAGGGGGACAAATCACTTGTGGTCAGGAGTTCGAGACCAGCCTGGCCATCGTGGTGAAACCTGGTCTCTACTAAACATACAAAAATTAGCCAGGCGTGGTGGCACATGCCTGTAATCCCAGCTACTCGGGAGGCTGAGGTAGGAGAATTGCTTGAACCCGGGAGGCAGAGATTGCAGTGAGCTAAGGTTGTGCCATTGCACTCCAGCCTGGGCGAGAGAGTGAGACTCTGTCTCAAAATAAATAAATAAATAAATAAATAAATAAATAAATAAATAAATTAAAATAAAATAAAAGAATGGGTTCAGAGAAAAGAATTCAGTTCTCTCTTGATTCTGAAAAATCTTGGATTTATATGCTATACCTCATCTTCACTTTTCTTTTTCATATACTAGGAAGGCTTTCTTTCAGTCCTTTCTTATAACTCTCCTTTTCAGGGAAAGCTGTCTCTCCCAGATAAAAGCTGCCCGCACCTATCTTACCTTGGGAAAGATGTGAGGCTTATTCAGACTATGGAGTAAATGACTACTAAGGCTTCATATGTTCTCAGTCTAAGAGGCAGTGAGACTTAAATAAGGGGTAGAGATCTAGTTTAAATGCTAACCCCTCTGTGAAGATTTGAGGACTCCCCAGGAAAAGCTATTGGCTCCCATCTCTGTGTTTTTATAACATTTTGTTCAGGCCTCTATTGTGCTGCTGTCTTTGTGTATATATGCTCCACAGCTGAAATGTGATCTCCTCGAGGAAAAGCACGTAGTGTTATCCTCTTTGTATCCTCAGTCTGTGTGCCACATAGACTCTGCTGAATAAACGTTCATGTAGGGAATGAATGCTAAAATATAGCCAAAGCAATGAATACCTAATGGTAGAATTTCAGCCATTAGGCACACAGTGGGACATCTTGATCACTTAGATGGAATGTCCTTAAAGCTCCCTTTGAAATGTGACTGGCAGATGGCTCCTTATGCCACTTACAAGGAAATCTGTCCTTGTCTTGGTACCTTCATATAAATTTCCTGCCCTCTGATTTTTTTTTTTTTTTTTGAGAGAGGGTCTCATTCCCATCGCCCAGGCTAGAGTGCAATGGTGTGATTTCAGCTCACTGCAACCGTGACTTCTTGAGCTTAGGTGGCCCTCTCACTTCAGTCGCCTGAGTAACTGGGACTACAGGTGTTCACCACTATGCCCTGCTAATTTTTTGTATTTTTAGTAGAGATGGGGTCTCACTGTGTTGCCCAGGCTGGTCCCAAACTCCTGGGCTCAAGTGATCCTCCTGCCTGGGCCTCCCAAGGTGCTAGGATTATAGGCGTGAGCCACCGTGCCTGGCCTTGACTTCCTTCTATAAGAAAGAGTGTTGTAGACCTCCTTTGGAGAATATTTGTAGTGATGGATATAAAGCTTTCAGACTGCAAGCTTTATACATTTCTGGTCTGGATTTACAGGTTTTGAGAAAACAATCAAACCGCAAACTGAAATCATTATTAACATATCAGGACCTCTAAAACCCCCAGACCTTGCTGCCCAAATATACAATGAAAATAACTTTTTTTCTTCCTGGTTTTTTTGCTTGCTTTTCTAAGTTCAATGCACAGCCCTTTCACAGATGAGCCCTGGTGGTGGTGTGGCTGAATGGTGAATGAATGGTGGGCGGAGATGGTGGTTGTGGGGAGTTGGTGCCTACGAGACGATTATGACCTGGCCTTTCTCTGCAGCTCCTCTTGGGAAGGCATTTTCTTCTTTCTGCAAACCGTGCTGCTGTTTGTTTGGAGAAGGAGAGCTGTGGGTATGGAATTAGCGGGTGTCATGTGGGTTGCACGTGTGGCTGGAGCTACCTGAAATCTGTAGGCTAATCACTCCCAGATGGCCCCAGGGACTGCAGTCCCCAGAGCCCCAGAAACACAAATCCCTTCCCAGCCCCTCCTGTAGAAGGGGAGGGGTGGGAGTTAAAGGGAAAGCGAGAATGGCAGTGAGTGTACACAGTGTGTGTTGTCTGCATCATTCGTGCCTCTGACCCTGCATCCTCTGACCCCGGACGTTGGAGAAACAAAATCACCCACCACTACTCTTGCCCCTAATCCAAACTGTGATTTATTTGGAAGAAGAAGGAGGAGGAGTAGGAAGAGGTGAAAAGGAAAATGAGGACAGGAGGAGGAGAGAAACATTAGCTTCAGGAACTGTTGCATTGGCTTGGGGGTGGGGAAGGATGGGCGGGGTTCATTTCTACAGCTATTTACTTAGTTATTAAATGTCAAAAGTGCCGTAGCTTTTTGCTGCTTCTGGGTGAAACCTGTTGCTCAGATGGGTGGGGTGATGCACTGAGGGGTCATGGGAGAGGCACTGTCTTCCAGCCCGTGGGCAGCCACCACATGTAGGAAGTGTGGGGTGTCGGCTTGGGGAGGAGAAGCCTTGGTTTTGGCCCCCTGTCTGTTTAGAGCCTGTATTCTCTCTGTTTTGTCAGCTTCCACCCACAACTGTGGCTGCTATGCCTCTCCCCTGCAACCAGCCTTTGCCTGGACTCAGTGATCACAGCTCTATGCAGTCTCCCCTGAATAAACACCCATTCGCACACTGCACCATCACTCATTGACGTGGGGGAATCCTGGGAGGACACGCCTATTCATTCTCTCCCTCTGTCTCTCTCATACACACACATGCGCCACTCCAAAGCACACATATTCATATGCTCTTGTTCCTTCTCAAATAATTCCATCACTAATACACATTCCTTGCTGCTGCTTCCTGCTTTCGCTTTTGAAGTGCCCTTCCATCCACTCCTCAGCTCTATTCCCTGCATATCTCTAGGAGGCTGTGAGGGGAAGGAATTATTCTCTTTGTTTTCCACCTAAAGAAACAGAAGCTCTGGCAATAGTCGGCTGCTTGCTCAAGGTGACACAGTTAATGGAGAGGCAGATCTCTGGATGCGGCGTCTCAGGGGCCACGCCTGCCTCCCCCGCCGCCGCGCGCATACACAGAATTCCTCATGCTGCTGCTATCACGGAACTCAGGGTACGGGTGCACCCCGCAAGCCCACTCCTCCACAGTCTTCTTGTTCTCCCTGTGCTCTTGTTCACTCTTTTTTGGGTCACGTGGACAGACTGGGACTCCACTATTTTGTGAAGTGCATCTCTGATTTTATCTCTTCCCCTCTCCCCTAATCAGGGTTTGGCTGACTTTGTCTACTAGGAGCAGAGAACAAAGTGTGACTTGAACCATGCACATCAAACGTGTCCTCCATTTGTTTAATTTCCTTTTCATGAGACCCTTCTCCCGGGTTTGTAGGAATGGTGTGTGGGTTGAGTTTGTTTCACAATGATCGTTACTTTATTTTACTCCGCTATGTGCTGGGATTTCTTTCTTCTCTATGGGATGTGGCAGCCTTTTTATATCTTGATCCAGATTTTCAAAATCATTTTACTCTACGAAGCAGAAATTGGATGCCACCACCCTCTTACACCTGGAAGAGTCCTCATCATTTTGGAAGTGCAGGGCCCTCTATTGTTACCCTGTCCTTTTTCTGCTCCCGGAGGCATTTCTTTTTTTTTCTTTTTTGAGACGAAATCTTGCTCTGTCACCCAAGCTGGAGTGCTAGAGTGCAGTGGCGCCATCTCAGCTGACTGCAACGTCCGCCTCCCAGGTTCGAGCGATTCTCCTGTCTCAGCCTCCTGAGTAGCTGGTATTACAAGCGCACGCCACCACACCCGACTAATTTTTGTATTTGTAGTAGGGATGGGGTTTCACCATGTTGGCCAGGTTGGTCTCGAACTCCTGACCTCAGACCTCAGGTGATCTGCCCGCCTCGGCCTCCCAAAGTGCTGGTATTACAGGTGTGAGCCACTGTGCCCGGCGTGACATTTTTTAATAAAAGGCAGTGCTTGCACAGCCCTTTGTATGAGCTTGGTAGTCTGCTAAGGGCTTTACCTGGATATATTACCTTGTGTGCCCCCAGGAACCTTTCGTGGTGGGTTCTTGTTATTTTCCTTATTTTACAGACGGGAAAGATGGGGTGCAGAGTGGTTAATTACTTGGCTCAAATCTCACAGCTGTAGGTGTTAAGGGGTAAAAACCAACACTAACAACAACAACAATGAAACAAGAAAACAATAGCTACCAAATTTTGGAAGCTTATTATGTAAAAACTCAATACAAACTGGGATGGCTACCCTGTTATCATCTCTGTTCCACATCGGGGGAAACTGTGTTTACCATGGCCTTGTTTCTTTCTGGCCTTGCCTTGTTTTCTTTGGACTACAGATTTTGTGGGACAATGTTAGTTCACATTTAGAGATGGCAGTCCCTGAGCCAGGTTGTCAATGGAAGAGAGTGGGTTAGAAAGGAAGAGGGGCCGCTGAGAATTTCTTTTTTGAGACAGAGTCTTGCTCTGTCGCCCAGGCTGGAGTGCAGTGGCGCAATCTCAGCTCACTGCAACCTCCGCCTCCCGGGTTCAAGATATTCTCGTGCCTCAGTCTCCCAAATAGCTGGGACTGCAGGCACGCGCCACCATGCCTGGCTAATTTGTGTGTGTGTGTGTGTGTGTGTGTGTGTGTGTGTGTGTGTGTATATATATATATATATATTTTTTTTTTTTGTAGAGATGGAGCTTCACCATGTTGGCCAGGCTGCTCTCGAATTCCTGACCTCAGGTGATCCACCTGTCTTGGCCTCCCAAAGTGCTGGGATTACAGGTGTGGGCCACTGTGCCCTGCCTGCTGAGAACTGCTGAATCTCCGTAGTTGTCTTGCATTTTGCATAGGGCATAGCAGGTGTGGTACCCAAGTGGTTTCTTCTGTTATCTGCATCTCCATTGCTTCAAGCTGTTTGCCCTTGTGTTCATTCTCCCCACCTGCCCAGAGTTCCCAATTGTCCCCTAATGCTGAAGGAACATGTACAGGAAGGGCACATTCTTTTTGGGGGAAATTGAGGTTAGAACTGTCTGGTTCAAGCCAGGTCTGAATGATAACACATTTCCTTGGTACAGCAAACACTGGTGCTGAAAACTTGCTCATGCAGAACAGGTGGGAAGAGGGTTGCTATATGCTCCTTTAAGGAAAAAAGAGAGCAAAACACAGAGGGGGTGGTTATGACTTGCAGAAAACCATGACGTAGATAGGGTTAGGGTTCCCTGAGTATTTTGGTGTCCTTTCCATTGTTCTTTAACTGTTTTCTCCATGAAACAGCCAGATTCCAATTCAATTGGGGTTAGTCTTTTAATTTTTGGCAATTATTCCTGTATAATTGGTTAGAGAATGGAATGGATGGGGTGAGGGCATTGCTAAGTATTGACTCCAGTGAATATAGACAGAATGAGGACAGGGGACTTCATGAAAATGACAAAGATCAGTCAGTTCAAGAATATATTTTATTGACTTTCCCTGAGCTCAGGCCCCTCTCCAGGGAGCTAGGAAGGCTGAGGGGAGTGGGAGGGCAAGAACAATGAAAAATTTAAATGTTAAAACTCCTGCCTTGGGAAGCGTCCAGTGTGTTCTAACAATGACAGCGTGCTCTTTAAACAAGCAGTGCACATTCATTCCACAAACATTTCTTGAACGGCTAGGAGAGGCCTGGCTGCGTGCTATCCGACTACCCAAATTTACCAACCCAAGGGCAACTTCATTCTTAATTCAGCATGTCAGGCAGTGGTGCTTTTCTAGCTAAAGCCCTTGTCTGTGTAGCCCTTTGCAAAGAAATGCCACTTTTGGGACCTGATTAGGAAAAGAGAAAGCAACACATTCATGCCACATAGCTGGACATTCGCGGATGCCTTCCCTGTTTCTGACACTTGGTCATAGCTGTGTTCTAAGTCTGTGGTCACAAAGGTTTCCATGGATAATTTAAAGTGCTTTGTGTGTCGGAAACTGTGAATAAAAAGGTAAGGGGGGAAAGGCTAAGCAGCAAGCTCACCCAAACCCTAAACCTCAGACTCTTGGAAAGAATCAGCTGCATAAAACAGTCCCAAACTGCAAACATGCCGTCAGCCAGGACGACGAAGGAGACGTTTCCAGAGACTGGTGGTTCTGCAGTCTCTGGAGGCCTTGGCTGCACACAAGTCCACACTGAGGAGTGGAGATCCTTTTTAAGTTTCGGAAAGCAAAGCACTTTCTCCCTGAAGCACCTCTTACTTTGCTCCCTTCTGATGGTCCTGGTCTTCTCTCCAGGGTGCTCCTGGCTGACCCCAGGGCTCACACAAGCCTCCCCCTTGACAGCTGCCACCTCTCCTGCCAGCTCTTATCTGGGAGAGCAGGAATCCTACCTTTCAGATTCCCCACAGTTTCTGAAAGAAGGTATTGTTATTTTCTCCATACTGCCCAGGTTAGGAACAAAGGCAGATTCTGGATCTTCTTTAAGCAGGATAGAATGGAATTGGCATTCCTTTAAAATGGCTTGTTATTACAGCTGATTTCTGCTAACAATTACCTGACAATATAGAAAGAGGATCTGACTCCTTTAGGGTGTTGTTGAGTTTTGCTTTTCTCATTTTCTTTTTTGTGGAGCGTTAAAAAAATTCGTGTGTAGTTGGAGTTTAGATTTAGACAGGTCTAGTATATTTACATCAGTGATGTGTAAATCCTACTAGGTAAATTATTATTTTATAAAAATGTGTGTGTGTGCTTCCCAGAGAAGAGAAAATGGGATATTTTATTTCCTTTGATAGTCAAGTTGTCTCTTGAGAACAGAATTTTGTAGGAAAAAGGATGAGTTGCTGACTTTTGAAAACGTGTCTATGAAGAGTATGAGACGGTTTGTTTCACAAGTGGGCTCTGTACTTTTTATTATTTGATTTGAGCAAATGCTTTGCACAAAACTGATACTCAACAGATATTTGTTGAAAAGAATTGTGCCTGCTTTGCTTGATATGCTGAAGTAGAAGGAAGTCCCTGCTCTATGCTGGAATGGGAGATTGGAGGGTTGAAGACTGTCCTGCAACAAAGACTGGGCAGATGGGTAGGGCATCTGGTTAAACCTAAAAGCCAATTTTTGTCAATACAGTACAACCTCCATAGATCTTTCAGGGAGTAATTCCAAATCAGGAGTGCCTTAGACCAAAAATGTGACCTCTGTGTTTCTATAACTATGTTAATGTGACCTGTAAAACAGTTCACTTCTCAACAAGTCAGCTTCCTCATATTTAAAATGAGAAGTTGTCTTGAGTTTCTAAAGATGTTTAGGCTGCATTGTCTTGGGCCTGCTCAGGATTTTGACCTCTGAGATAAAAGCTGGATTTAAAAAGCCAATCCAAGCCAAACACCTGGCATTATTAGCATTGTTATTCCATCAGATCTGTTTGTTTGATAAAGAAGCTGGGGGTGGAATTGGTGGTGCCTTAAATACCCTAGCTTGGTGCAGAGGTAAGATACTCTGTCTGGGCACGGTGGCTCATGCCTGTAATCCCAGCACTTCGAGAAGCCAAGGCAGGCAGGTCGTGAGGTCAAGAGATCGAGACCATCCTGGCCAACATGGTGAAACCCCGTCTCTACTAAAATTACAAAAATTAGCTGGGCGTGGTGGCACGCGCCTGTAGTCCCAACTACTCGAGAGGCTGAGGCAGGAGAATCACTTGAACCCGGGACGCAGAGGTTGCAGTGAGCCAAGATCATGCCACTGCACTCCAGCCTGGGCCACAGGGTGAGACTCCGCCTCAAAAAAAAAAAAAAAAAAAAAAAGATTCTCCTTAAATATCATTGCAGCCTGACAGCCTGACATACGTCGGGAGCTCAGTAGACAATCAAACAAAAATTCCCTGAATACCAGAAGATTTGGCTGTTTGGGGTTGAGTGGAAGCTGCCTTGGGAGTTAAGATGGGCTGTAGCTTTTCAGAGGCAATTTGTCAGGAGGACTCATGTCCACATCATATTCTTCGTAATGTGTGCCTCATACCAAATACGTACAATCCCTCCAACCCCCGCCATTTTTTTAAGAGACAGAGTCTCACTATGTTGCCCAGGCTGGCCTAATATTCCTGGGTCAAGCGATCCTCCTGCCTTAGCTACCCAAGTAGCTGGGACTACAGGCACACGAGACACCAGCTACCAGAATCTCTTTTTGATGAGGATGGATTTATGGCAGATAGATAGGTTTTTGTTTGTTTCAAACAAAACTAGATGTCACCTTCCCCTTTCACCCTTTGTTCTCACCTTCTTGTCTCCCTCTTGCAGGCCCCACACATTGATTTTAATTTTCAACACTTAGCACCTGACTTAGTGATCTAAGATCACTGACTCAGAAAACAGGAAAGGTCAGTCTGCCTAACACCTCACCCAGCGTCCTGGGATTAGCATCCAAAACAAACAGATCAGAGATGGGATGCAGACTCCCAAGAGATGATTCCCACATGTGAGAAAGCCCAGGAGAAGCGGATGGCGGATGGCGTTTCTCAAGCTCGCTGACGTCACTCAAGTTCATGATCCAAGGCTTCACCCTACTGGGGTTGGGGGGTTGGGTTCTACTGGAAGAGTGAAGCTGGTGGATTAAGAAAAGTGGTGGTAGGGAGAGGGAGGGAAAGGAGTTCTTTCTGCTAGTCAAAGGAGAAACCAAATAAAATGAATGAAGTCCAAGAAAAATACAACTCTATTGTTTTGGGGGCATAAGAGGCTGGCTTGGAGGCTTCATTGAGTAATTCGAGTCACACCCTTTCTCTGTGGGCCTGAAGGAATGTTGGCTGTTTCTCTGCAGCCCAGGTGGGAGGTGGGTAGACAGGTCTATGGAGATGAGAATTTCTTGGAGCTGTTAACTCTCTGAACATCCCCACGGCCTTGCAAGCTGGGAGGCTGGGACACAAAGAAGCAGGAATGCAGTGCTGAATCAAGGCCAAGGAGCAGCGGCCATGGGAGGGGACGGCGGGAAGAGAAAAAGGCGGAAGAAACCTAGAAAACAGGGAAGGAAGTGACCCTGTTCTTTTTCTCCTCTTCTGAACAGGGGCTTCTCTGTCCTCAAGAGCCCCTTGGCTCCCTTTCATTAAGCCATAGGGCGGATACCCAGGGAGAGGTGGCGTGTCTGGGTCGGGGTTGTGATGGGAAGCAGGAAGCACCAGTCATTTCACAAGAAGGCTTGACATTGGAGAGGGAGCCAGCAAAAACTGGCAGACCCCCAAGGTGGGGTAGGAAAGTCTGGCCTAGCGTGAAGAACACTTGGCTCCACAGAGTTCTGTGGGTTTGTTAAAAAACAGGGCAGTCCACAAAGTTGTGCTGCCAGCCCACCGAAAACATCCCTTTCTCTCCTCATCCTTGATTGTTTCTCTGCAATGACACATCTACCTCTGGTGGTGAACTTCCACAGCCCAAAGGAGGATTAATGTGACCAGATGTCTTGCCAGGATTGTCCGTCCCAATAGGAAGTCCTTAATTATAATTGTCAAGAATGTATGTGGGCTCCTGGTGGATCCTACTACCTTATCTCATCCCTCTTCGCCTTTCACCCTTTCTTCTCTTTAGATTTCAGCAAGAATCATATTTGTGTACGTATAGCTCTGGAATTGCCTGTAACTCTCCTTTGGGGAGAGTTTCACTGTTGGATCAGTCAGTATTCTGTTCCTTCTGTAGCTGTTTGTCCCTTTCCTGGACTGGGAATCTTTTTCCCAAACTCTAGCCTCAATACTCCCCAAATTCCAGCTTGTATTCTTTAACTATTAATGGTGAAGATGCAGGATATACCTCTTCGTTCTTATTCTGGATACACAATTTATCCGACTCATAAAGTGTCCTGTCTTGGTGTATCTGAAACTTCATCCCCGTGAGAAAGATGATGTTGTTAGGGAGCTTTCAATTTTTTTTTCCCCAAAACACTTGTTCTACAGTTGGATTTGTTTTGGTTCCAAGGTCTCTGGACTTAATGCTAATGGAAATTATTACTGATCTAATGCACAGTAGCACTCTGGATTCCGAACTCCTGGGCTCTCTCTTTCTTTTGACCAACTTGGTCTGCGACTTTAGAAAAGCTATGCCACGTTCTCTGTGCTTCAGTTCTACCTCTTGCTCGAAGAAAGTTCCTCATCAAGATTCAGTGTCTGCTCGCCCTTTCTTTGTCCTTTTCCAAGGCCAGGATACTTACTGTAAAGACCTTCGACAGGCTTCCTTGTGGGAGAGTTTGTTTAGAGTGAGTTTGGAGGAGCTTAGGATGAAGGAGGGGTTGGAGGCAGTCAAGAGCTTTTTGGGCTGAAAGATGGTAGTCCATTTGCTTTTAAGGAAACCATACCTCACCCTAGAGAAGAGCTAATCATCTATGGGGCACCAGCCCCAGAATCTTTAGGGTTTAGAATTTGTATGGCAACCACTGTGGAAAATATCTTTGAAGTGAACAGAAGAGGGATGAACCAGTCTGGAAATATTTTCACCATGCCAATAGCCATGTTTACAGTAGAGCATATGGACAGAGTTTAGAGTTGATATATTTCCATCACTTAAAAAAAAAGATGATCCATCCAATAAAGCTTTACCTTAGTGCTTGTGTCTGAATTCTGTTTATCTGATATGACGTAGAAGTACCTAATGACAGCACTTCAACATTTCCCATTATCACAACGATACCATGCAGTGTTCGGAATTAAAAATCAGAACTCAAAGCAGTGCTTTGCAGAAGAGGCTTTGCCAGCTACACAGAAGATTGCTGTCCAAATAAAGCCTTGGTTTAGGGGTGCTGCCATTAGTGCTAGGCCACTGATAACAAACTCAGATGCTAAAAGAATGGTGTGTAGAAGGCCAGGACAATGAGAAGTGCTTATTACAGTCTGTGTTCTGTATGACTGTGTGCTGATTGGGTGCCCTCTGCAAAAATGTTGCCACTATTGATAAGAATAATCCTTGAATTCTTTGTTGAAAAGCCACTATGAGTGAAGGCTTTGTGCTAAGTGTGTCATAAACACTCTGCGTGCTTCCTACAGCACCACAGGCAGTAGGCTTGGGTTTCCAGCCTGATTATCTACAATGGAGGATAACACTAGTGCCTCCCTTTGAGGTTACTATGAGGATTAGAGCCCCTGGGTGTCATGTGGAAGAGTTCCTGGCATCTAGTAAGTGCTCACTACAGGATAGTTGGATTGGCTGTCATGCCCACCACCATTTGAAGGCAAGCTCAAGCTCAGAGCAGTAAAGAAACACATCCAGAGTTTAGCTAGGAAGAACCCCGGTCTGTCTGTAACTGAAGCCTGGACTCTTCTCATCTCTGAAAGAAAACCGAGAGAAGCCCTGGATTACAACTTGAGCAGCCATGTGGGGCACTGACATCCCATGCCACATGTTTCCCACAACAGGTATCTTGAAAAATGTTACTTGGAGGAAAGGAGAAGAATTCAAGAGCCATTCACGAGAGAGTAATAACTTAAAAATAGATCTCAGGAGTGGTTCAGATTTTCTGGATATTTGAAAAATTGCATAATAAAATGTTGGCAGAAAAAAGTATGGTGTAATGGAAGCAAGAGAAGGCTAATTTAGAAGGCAAGAAGGCCTTTGCCCAGTGTTCCAAAGCTCAGCACTTTCTAAAAGAAAGAAGGAGCAGCAGTGGCCTGAAGCTGTGAGCCCCTGGCCTGGGGGGTGGCCACGGAGAGTTGCTTGGCTTGACTGGGAGGACATCTACCCTAGGTGGAAGATAGGTTCTAAGGAACAAAAAGCCACTTTTCTCGAAGCCTTGCTGATTTCCACATTACATAATGTAGAGTTATGTGTCTGCTGTGGGGTTGGCAGGAGCCTGAATGTGATATGTTGATAACACATGGAGTCTTGCATGCAAACTCTGTTTATACACTAGGCCCTCCCTCCAAGTCCAGGGGCGGGTAGCTGGCTGCACAGCCTCCATCAGAGTCTGGAAGAGTCAGTGTTTTATGGCCACTCATGTTTATTTTGCTGTCTAACTATGTTAGCCATTGTGAATTTGGTTAAAGCAAAGCACCGTAAAGAAAATGGAGAAAGCATTCTTTGATATAGAGGCGACTACATTTCCATACGTATCTTCCCTGTCAGATGACATCCCTGTCCAGAGAGAAGGGGCCACCCAGGGTCAGAAAGGAGACTGGGGACCTGTTTTGAACCTTTAGCTACTTTCCTAAAAATTATGCTCCGACGTGAGTGTCCATTTAGATATTCAACCAAGTTCTATGTCAAAGTTGGCTGTTGGCTGCTGAGAACGGAGAACTGGCATTCCATCTTTGAAGGGATGGCAGAGAGATGCATTTCACTTTGTCACTTCCAAGCCATCTGATCTGAGTGATCAGAAAAGAGATCAGCCCTTCTCAAGAAGACTTCACCATCCCAGCCAAGAGAGAGCTCAGGCCTCAGGTTGAGGCAGGTTCCCATGAAGCAGCCAAATGTTTGCAAAACAAGCACCGAGATGAGGAGGCTCAGTCTGCAGAGACATCTCAAGGTTGCGACAGTCTTGGAAGATGTTAGTGAGCTGATGGAAGAGCCCTGGGGAGCCAAGGCTGGGAGACAGCTGCCTGGGCAGAGCTGGGGTCCCTTCCAATCGCTGCCTGAAACGCAAGTGTGCTGAGCAAGGAAGGGCTAACTGGCTGCTGTAATTGTCTGGTGTTTATATTTGAAAAGGGATACTACACTTCCAGGATAATTCCCTCCAGCCTCCTCTAGGGCTAAGATTTCCAACTGGTCTAGAGTCCTGAAGAGAAATCAGGGGCTGATTACCTGGCCGACTGGGCTGCAATCACACCTTTCAATACTAATTATCTGCTCCTTGAGTTCAATGACATTGAGCGTCCAGGCTCTGGCTGGGGTGAACCTTGCTCATTGGTTTGCATCACTGGCTTAAGACAATGATTTGAATGGACAAAGTACCCGCACTGTGCCTTGATAAGCAGGAAATGAACGCTTGTTTGCAAATAAGATTGGGAAATGTGATCAGCTTTTTGTTCGGCATCTGTCTTTGGCTAACAAGCCTGATAATACTAATACAGAAATAATATGTTAGGAGACACCAGTGATGGAGCCTTTTTTATAACTACCCCCAACTTTCTGTACCTGAAACCATGGAAGGAGAAAAGGGGATGCCTTCTCCCCCGCCACCCCTGAAAGTATTCTAGTTTGAATTTTTTTTTTTTTTTGTGGAGGTTTGGAGAAACAGTTCCCAACTTGATACAAGATACCTTTACAGTGTTGCAGTGTTGGTATTTGTTCATATATGTGGCTTTTTCTAAATGCCCGCCTCTATTCCCAGCCATCTGTGATTCCCTCCCCCAAGAAAGCCCTCCTTCATTGAGTAGAATATAAATTTTACTCCTACTTGGATGCAACGTAATGGAGGTTCATTAGTCACATAAACAGCTTTGGTGCAGATTCATTCCAGTGGCATTTCTTGGTGACGAGAATGTATACTGAGTGTTTGGCAGCTCATGGAGGAGTTAGTTGTGGGCTGGGTGAAGAGAGAGAGATTATAAGCCAGTATCTGGCTTGGAACTGCTTGTGTTGGTGTCCAGCAAAATGTATTGTTTCTGGTGAAGGGACACTGGGGACAAGGAGTACATCTTCACGGTCTTTAATCTTTCAGGAATGTTACTTTCAAATCTTGACCCCTTGATCATAAATTACAGAAGCCCATTGTCATGGGTTGAATTGTGTTCCCCAAAAGATGTTGAAGACCTGACCTCCAGGACCTCATAATGGGACCTTACTTGGAAACAGGGTAATTGCAGATATAATTAGTTAAGATGAGGTCATACTCATCTTTGGGTATAGCTCAATTACCCCAGCCAGTAGGGTGGGCTTCTAATCCAATATGACTCATATCCTTATAAAAAGGGAGAATTTAGACACAGCCATATACAGAGGGAAGATGCTGTGATGAGATAGAAGAAACCCTATGAGAAGGTGGGAAATTGAAAGGAAGCATCTATAAGCCAAGGAATGACTGAGGCTCCCAGAAGCCAGGAGAGAGGCAGGGAACAGAACCTTCGGAGGGAACATGGCCCTGCTGATACCTTGATTTTAGACTTCTATCCTTCAGGACTCTGAGAAAATACATTTCTGTTATTTTAACCCCCTCCCCACCTACCCCCACCCCGTTTGTGGTCCCTTGTTATTGCAACCTTCGGAAACTAATATATCCAGCTTCCACAGACCCAGATAGTTTGGAAAGGAAGAGCAGTATCGGCTTACCTAACCCAAACAACACTCATGTTCTTTTGTTTGCCAGCTTGGGCACTGGGAAGTTCTCAGGATCCTTGGTTTGGTTACCACTGGGGTCTCAGCAGTCCCAGGCCTATCTTGGAGGTGGTGAAATGTCAGGGGACTAAACCAACTGCAAGCACACCCCTGGCCACATTACTAAAAGGGGTCAGGATGTAATTGAGACAGCTCTTTGGTATGATGGACTTGCACTTTGAATTCCTATTTCATCCTCTTAGCTTCTCTTCCTTCAACCTGGAAGGGCAGGAAAGAGAAAATGGCTTAGGTACCAGAGCTTAATTTATAGGCAAACATGGTCAAAGCCAGAGGCGGTTTTAATGGATTTTCTTACCACGCCGTCCAATCTCAGGGCCTTTTGTGATAGACTGGATTGTTCCCTTTAATACGCCTCCCATGCAACTTGCCCCAATATAGCTGGAACCTGGAAAGAATGGAGACCCTCTGGGCTGAAAATAGCGCACTTCACCTTTATCTCTTTGACACTATTCTGAGGATCATTAAGTCCACTAGGTCCTGATGTGATTGTCTATTTGGCTTCTGCCCTTGATGAGAAAGACAACCAGGGAGGAGTTTCCTTTGCTCCAGCCTCTCCCCTTTGCCGTGGTCATGTATGATGCCATTGAACCATAGAGCTATAAGGACCTTCAGCGATCAATATTAAAACTTCCTTATTTTTACTTGAAAATGCTGAGATCCAAAGAGGGAATAGAACTTGCTCAAATGCTCTTGCCTTGGTGGTACTGGGCTGCATGCCCAAGTGTTCTGAACCTTGCTCTTCATTTCTAACCATGGCCCCATTTCTTCCTCTTGAGAAGTTTTTGGGTTTGTTTCCTGATTTGACAATTCCTCAGTGCTCTATTGATAAGGTTTGGCTGTGTCCCCACCCAAATCTCATCTTAAATTGTAGCTCCCATAATTCCCACGTGTTGTGGGAGGGACCTGGTGGGAGTCACTGAATCATGGGTGCAGTTCCCCTATACTGTTCTCATGGTAGTGAATAAGTCTCATGAGATCTGATGGTTTTATAAGGGGTTCCCTCTTTCACTTGGCTTTTATTCTCTCTTGGCTGCCACCGTGTAAGACGTGCCTTTCACCTTCCACCATGAGTATGAGGCCTCCCCAGTCACATGGAACTGTGAGTCCATTAAACCTCTTCTTTATAAATTACCCACTCTCTGGTATCTTTATCAGCAGCATGAAAATGAACTTCCCATTTGTCTTCCCCAAACTCCCATTTTTCTGCCACCAGACCACTGAAGAGTTGCTTTCCCTGTCTCCATGCAGCCTGTCCACTCCCCTTGGGCTACTTTTATCAGTAAGTAAAGAAGAATTGGTATTTTTTGAGCACCTGCTGTTTGCCATGGCACAATGCTGAAATGCTTCCCCAAATGCTAGCAGAAGAGGGGAGTGCGGCTCACAGAGGTCAAAGTCATGCCCAAGGTCATGTGGCTATTAAAAAACAGAGCTGGAATCCAAATGTCTCTGGGGAGGCTCTTTCTCCAGCTCGAGAAAGGGGACCACACCCATGGTACCATGCTTGGATGTAGCAAAGGGAGGGCAAAAATGGCACCTCTGTGCTGTTCTTCCAGCCTCTGACACATTCTTCCAGCTCAACTCTTTCCACACTAACAAAAGCATTTTAATTCAAAAGGAGCAATGCCTGCTATCTATAAAAGAGGTGGTTTATATCTTTTTTTCCTGCTCTGCACTTTTCTAGCATAAACAGAACACCCTCTGGTGGTAGCAAACACAGACTCCCCCATCTCACACTTAAAGGCCGAGCATCAGAGTCAAAGCAAATCAACACATATTTGGTGGGCACCCACGATGCCCAAAGTGAAAGGGTGATGTGTAAGCTCCTCTATTTGAGTTGGTTACAAGCCTTGAGGGGGATGACTCAGGTGCTGCTCAGCAAGTCAACAGGCCAAAAATAAGGGTGTTGTATGAGGTGGCCGCCGGCCACCCTCCGTCCACCTTCGAGCGTTTCTTGTCACGTCTCTGCACTCCTAGCCTAGTTTGGTTGCTACAGCCACTGCCACATCCTGCTCACTCGTTTTGGTGCCCTGGCTGAGATGTTGCCCCACCTCCTTCTAAAATGGCCTGGGTGATGTAGTGGAAAGACTGGGAGCCCCGGCTCCTAATGTCCTGACCCTCCTCTCCTGCAGGAACTGGGTGAGGGGGTGGGGAACACTGGGCTCCATTTTCTGCATTTGTAAATAAGTGGGCTATGTTTAATAATAAAAATAATCCTTCTTCCAGTTCTAAAACGTTATAATTTTTTGGTGCCAATCTCTGTTCAATCACTCTCTTCAAGACCTTGGCCAAAACGCTTTCTTTTAATTTTTTCCTAACTAACTCTAACTCACTCTGACCTTCAAAGCACTTAACCAAATCGTTATTGTAGACTATTTTATGCTTTTTTAAATAGGTCTCTGGAATGGTTTAGAAATTTTGTATTTTATTTTCTGAGCAAGTTTTTCAGCTATCAAGTGTAGAATCACATTTGTTTGTAATCCAAGGCCCTCAGAAATCTGTATTGTACGATAGAACTTAATTGTGAATTCCTATGTATTAACTTGTCACTGACAGTATTTTTTTCATCCAGTCTGCTGTTAAATTCTTAGGTGGTTTAGATGTTTTTAAGTCAACACATTCATTCAGGTAGGGAAGATTCTCAAGCAGAAATGGGTGGAAATGCCCAGTTGGTGTAGTATACTGGCCCCATATTATAGAACACACAATAAAAAATTTGCATTTTTGCAATGTCCTTTCTGGTAATAAGACCATTAGTGTTCTTGGCCTTTTTGGCTATGCCTCTTTCTGCCACTGCCATTTATTGTTCATCTTACCTCAGCTGGAGATAAAATTGCCCACAGGGTCAGGGATTCTGGGTTCTAGTGGCTGTTATTGATCTCTCCCTTGAACTAATTAAGCCTGCACAAAGTAATGGCATTTATTTATTAATTAAACAGATTTTGATTGAGCCCCTGTCTAATTCTAGGCACAAATTCTGCCACAGCAGAGAGCAGCCCTCAAGGAGCTTAAAATTTGGACAGGAAGATAGAGCAAATAAAAATTATTAGAAATTGTGATAAATATTCAAAGAAATCAAACTATATAGAGAACAATTATTGGGGTGAGGTAGGATGGGGGCTCTCTCCTGCATCAGGGGTAGCTAGGAAAAGGCTCCTGGAGAAGATGACATTTCAGCTGGAACCTGGAGGATGAGGGGCGTCATTCACAAGGAGAGAGTGAGAGGAGAAGGGACGGGAGAGGGCATCCTAGGCAGAGAAAAGAGCACATTCAAAGGCCCTGAGGTAGAGAAGACTGGTATGTTGGAGGAGCCAAAAAGAATGCTGACAAGGCTAGCATGCCCTGGCACCCACTCTCCAGGCCTGGGATAGGCATGTTATAAGCTTGAATTCCAATTCTCGCAATAACTCTAAGAGGCAGGCATAGCTTTCCCTGGGTTTCAGATGTGGACCTTGTTTCAGGTTTTCAAGCCCACACCCCTAGAATGTGGAGAATCTGGGTTTGTGCTCCTTCCCACCCGCCATGCTTCAAGGCTTTCAGTTGGCTTGGGTGTGTGGCTCAGTAAGGAAGTCAGAATGGATCACCTGTCAGAACTGGGGAGGCTGGGGCTTGGCTGGCAGGATATGGAGTGTGTGTATTTTCTGTTTATTCTTGAAGTTTCCTTCCCTGCAAATACATGCCTAGTTGCCATGTGCCTTTCACAAGGAAGCCAACGCCAGCACTCCATCGCTCATGAGCAGTCCTGCAAAAACAAATCCATATCCTTAATGCAACCCTAGGTGCCAGCAAGTCAGGCCTGCACTGGCCAGGCAGCCTGGAGCTTAGGAACAATCTGGTCCTCAGGAAGGGAGGGAAGAAAAACAATTTCAAATTCCAGGCACCTGGGGCCTCTTACAGACGGCCATTGTCGGGAGAAGGGAAAACTAAACTGTGTAAAGGAGCTGGTGGCGCCTTTGGGAAGGGTAGAGGATATTGAGGTTGGAGGCTGCTGCTCAGGGTGTGTGCACAGTGGGCATGGGATGGGGTAATCTGAAGAAAGAGCTGAACAGTTCACTTGTGTGAGCTTGGGCAGCTTGCCTTTAGGTGCCTCAGTTTCCTCATTTTAAAATGATGAGAAGAGTAACATCTGCCCCGGTTCCCTCAAGTTGGGCATACAAATGTGAATAGGCTTAGAAAAGGGTGACAGACTCTTTAGATGTCAGGGATTGCAGAAGAGGGCTGCCTCCCTTTTTAATTATTCTGTTGATTAGGACCTCTGGTATGTCTTAGTAAGTTTCCCCCTCCTGGGAATAACCACCTGAGAAGAGCCCTGTAGTTTCCTGTTGCCCAAGATGAAGGTGGTGGTTGGATGCTCTTCAGGAGTGATCAAGGTTAGGTTAACCCTCAAAAGGCTTTGGTAGCTGCAGAATGGAATGAGCATATCAAGTTTTAAAGCACCAGGAGCCACCAGAGAAAGATGCAGCAGGGCTCTTGATACATATTGATGATGATGATGACAACAATGAAGATGGTAACAGTGATCATTCATTGAGTTGACTGAGTACACTGCATGCCTGGTAAGTAGCACAGGGCACTTCATTCTTATCATCTCATTTGATCCTCACAAGACGTCCATCAGGCAGGTGCTAGGATGATTTCCACTTTGCAGATGAGAAGGTTGGGGCACAAAGGGGTTGATAATTTGCATAACATCATACTGCTAGTAAGTGGCAGCGCTGATACTCAAAGCCGCATATATCTGACTCCAAAAAGAATAATCTGCTAATATTATACATGGATTTTTTTAAAGAAATGAACTTTAAAATTTGCATCGTTAATGTCTGTCTTCCTAGAAGACTTGTATAATATAAGCATATATGAACTATATTTAACATTTATTGGTGAAAAATTATTTACCATGTGAGGTTGCTTGATTTGTTGTTTTGTACATTTTTGGTCTCTGGAGCTTCAGAGAAAGAAAATATTAATACAATGCAAAAACTGTCCGCTGACAGCTGGTACTGTTTGTTTTCTGTGATATGCTTTTCAGTCCAGTAACAGTTAGCCAGAGAATGGATGGGTGGGGAAAATATGTTCCAGGTAGAGGGAACAGCATGTGCAAAATCCAGGTATAAGAGAAAACATGGTGGGTTCTGGGAATGGCAGGTCAGTAAGATAATTAGAAAACAGAAGGCCAGTGCAGGTATGGGATGGAGTGAGAGATAAACCTGGGGAAATAGGCTGCGGTCAGACCAGAAAAAGCCTTCTCTGCGATGTTAAAGACTTTGCAATTCATCTAAAACCAATGAATACCATGAAGCTGAAGACAGACGTGATCCAATTTGCATTTTAGAATGAGAATGCTGGGTGGAATGCACCACTTTTCTTGCTGCAGGCCTAGAACCATATATTTCCCCATTCAAATGGCAAGAGCAGTTGAATGTTTTTATGTCCTAGCTCAGTACTCCAGAAGGCTCCTTGAAAGCATACAGCATTTTCTTCTTTGGTGTCAGGGAGTCCAGCCAACCATAGCTGTTGCTGCAGCCTGGCCCTAACCTCAGAAGACTGCATGCTTTCCCCACTTTCAATATGCTTTCTGCATTTATTTTTCTCTATGAGATACTAAAAAGACAGGTGCTGAGTTTTGGGGCTTTCTGCTCACTGTTAGCCCTTATGCTGTGTTGTGCTGAATGCTCAGCTGAAGCTACCTGGAAGTGGGTACGTGCTATGAGTTCCTGAGCGACCATTTACCTTAGCTATAAGTCATTCTGCACGCCAGGAAGGAGCAGGTTGATAAAGAGTGGTATTTATTTACTTAATAACAAAATAGAAATGTTGTTTGTATCCTACTAGCACTAGAATCCCTAAATGTTGTCTTCACCCACCACAATGGCAGGCTGGACAGTGACAGGTGAATAGAGATTTAAAAAAATCTGCTGGCCTCTCTCCTTGACATTGCTCTTCCCTGAAGTCAAAGACACCAGCATCTCTTTGCTCAGTCTTCTCTAGAAGCTGCAGATCAATGTGGAGAGGCAGGAAGAGAGGAGTGTAGTCCTGGACTTGTTTTAACCTTGGGAGTTCTTGTTGCTTTTTCTGATTCAATTGTCCAATTCATTCAGTCCACTAAATACATATTTCATGGGGCTCAGTTGCTAGGGTCAACCAATTGGGATAGAAGATCACAGGTAATGACTGCCAGGAAGCAGAGCCAAGAAATTCCTTCCTTGCTGCTTCATAGGTGACAGGTCTTCAGAAGGTGAAGGACTGTTGTTTGCAGGGTGGACTTCAGTGACCTGCATGGAGCTTGGGAAACTTCACAGTTCCACTTTGAACTCCCCTGTAAGAAGTCAGAGCAAACATTGGAGGTCAATGACCAAATCATGGCTTAAACTCTTTCCATGGGAGTCAAATTCCACTCCCAGCTGTTTAACCAGGACATCTGGAACCTGGATTTGAACATTTTGACCTCCATTATTGAAAGGCAGTCTATCAGTTGATTACCTACTACCACCTTTTGGCCAAAGAGAGAAAGAGAAGAAATAAAGATGGCCGAATGTGTTGTGTAGCCTTTGACTTAGTTAAATGGTTCAGCAGCCAAAATGGCATATTTGAAAGTTGGTCACTAAAATATTGATTATAGTAACAAACTATAGATCTGAGCTTCTCTTTTCTTACAAGCACAGTGGAGAAATAATTTAAAATGTGGAGGCACCATGAATATCACTGTGGATATTTTCATTAACTCTGTAAAAATCAGTCATCTATGCCGGAAGAACATGATGACAGACAGACACGTTTGTTCTTGGCATTTCCTTTTTTTTTTTTTTTAAACAGGGTTTCACTCTGTGGAGTGCAGTGGTGCAATCATAACTCACTGCTGCCTCAACCTCTCAGGCTCAAGTGATCCTCCCACCTCAGCCTCCCAAGTAGCTGCAACCACAGGCACTCACCACCATACCTGGCTAATTTCTGTATTTTTTTGTAGAGACAGGGTCTTAGCAGGCTGCTCAGACTGGTCCTGGGCTCAAGCAGTCCTCCCGCCTCAGCCTCCCAAAGTGCTGGGATTACAGGAGTGAGCCACTATGTCTGGTCCCCGACTTTTTTTTTTTTCATTTTCTCTTTTTAGTTTGATAGTTGTATTATTACCAAAATTTATTAGTACATTTGGAGATTATGGATAAGTATGAAACCTTATGTCAGGCTCTGCAAAGAGGACCTCAACTCAGTTTATTTTCTGTAATGGGGATTTATTGCAAGATTGGTGCATGTTGAGGGGGAGAAAGGGATGCTATCTCTCCGGATCCTAGTAGCCAGGACTGTGAGGCATAGCAACCTTCATAGAGAACTGGGCTTTAGAGACCAATCTTGTCTTGGTTTGCTTAATATTCATATTTCCTGAAAGAGAGGAAATTGGGCTTATCTGCCACCATTCTACATGGACAACCTTAGTGGGCAGAATTTAGGATAGCATATCCCAGAAATAGTTAGCCTTCTTTGTATCTGGTTCTGTGACTTCTCAGCCATTCCCTAAGGTAGTCAGATGTGTGGTTAGAGAGAGCAGGGTTGGTTTATCCACACGACATGGGAGGAACTACATCATGTTTGATATGGTTTGGCTGTGTCCCCACCCAAATCTCATCTTGAATTCCCATGTGTTGTGGGAGGGACCCAGTGGGAGGTAATTGAATCATGGGGGCAGGTCTTTCCCATGCTGTTCTCATGATAGTGACTAAGTCTCACAAGATCTGATGGTTATTATAAGGGGAGTTTTCCTGCACAAGCTCTCTGTCTTTGCCTGCTGTCATCTGTGTAAGACGTGACTTGCTCCTCCTTGCCTTCTGTTGTGATTGTGAGGCTTCCCCAGCCATGTGGAACTGTAAGTCCAATTAAAGCTCTTTCTTTTGTAAATTGCCCAGTCTCAGGTATGTCTTTATCAGCAGCATGAAAAGAGACTAATACAATGATATATAGGAATAAACCATGTTAGTCATTTTCCTTATACTGTGTTTGGACAAGTTGGGCATCTGATGATTTTGAGGTTTTTCCTGTAGCCCCTTCTTCATATTACTTTCATCTTGTACAAAGTCTTGGAGTATAATTTTATTGTTATGACATTTACGAATGCACTTTTTTTTTCTAATGATAAAGTTTTGTCTTTATAGGTTCATCTCAAAGATCTCTCTTTGCATAATGTGTGTGTGGACCTGCCTACAGATACATTGGGTGGAAGCCCTAGGAGCCTCAAGCAAGTCTGAAGATTGGCCCTGAGAACCACTGTTCTCATTATCAGCAAGGATTTTATCCAGAGACCTCTAGGAATACATTCACTAAAATGTGACTGTGGTCCTGTGGTTGTATGAACTCTGGCTCTTCTCGTGAATTACATTTCACTGGAGTCAGGTGTTTTCTGTAAACATCGTTAAACCACGAGACCAACTGCATTGAACATTTTTTGCACTACATTGTTTTATTTCTTGCTCGTCTTTTCCTTGCAGAGCTGGGGCTGGGGTGAGGTGTGTGGTGTACCTAGCACTCAAAATGTAAGGATTCTCAGAGTCATACAGGTGCACGGTCAGCACCTGAGAGTGAGCCACCCTTTAACATTTTGCCTTCTAGGTGCTTCACTTGCCTTGCCCAAGCACTAGCCCTAGATTAAATAATATGTTTCTATTAGTTTTTTAAAATTATAATATTAACAATAACTAGCACTTATTGAGCACTCCCTTATGTGCCAGCAAATGTGACTTACATGTATCTGCTTATTTTTCCTTACATGAAACCCTCTGAAGTAGATACAATGGGTATCATCCATGTTTCTCAGACAAGGAAACTAAAACACTGGAATGTTAAATCAGTATTTCAAGACTCATCTAGGAAGTGCCAGATCCAGGACTGGGACCTGGGCCATCTGATTTTCAGCACTTGATCTCAAACTTTCCACTGTATACCTCCTCAAGGACATTTTTGTCCATGTGACAAGTAGAAAAATTCCACAGCTAGTTTACTGACCAGCCAAGTCAGAGCTTCCCTGACACCAGTGTAATCATAACACATGGGGTTTGAAACTGTGGTCAAGAATTTTCAGACTAGCTCTCCAATAAGAGAAACTTCAAATATCAAACCCCAGGGCAGCTCGTTTTCATCAGGGTCTTTTAAATGACTGATTCTTGGACCAGTCCATTGATACATTCATTCAACAAATATTTATCGGGCCCCTCCTGTGTGCTAGATATCGTTCTAAATGCTTAGAACACAGCTGTGATTAAATTAATGCCCCTATCTGCATAGAGGTTACATTCCAATAGTGGGGACAGATCATAAGGAAACAAACAAACATACAGTTTGATGTCACAAAGAAAATAAAGCAGATCTCGAGGGAAAGTGAGTGTTGGGTGGCCAGGAAAGACTTCTCTGAGAAAGTGGCATTTGACCAGGGTCTTGAGTGACATGAGCAGAGAGAGAGAATGCGAGCCTCACATAGCAGTACTGTAGCTACTTTATAAATAAATTTTTCCTATTGTGTGTTTGACTTGACATTTTAAAAAAGTACAAGATCAACATTGACAACAATGTCACGAGAATGTCACTCACCATGGCTTCATGAGCTATTTTCACCTCCTTGCTGTGGCAGGAGGGAGTAGGTGGGGTAGATGGCCCATGAAACGATTTGCTCCACGGGCAAAATCTTCTGACTGGGGATTTGAAGTCCGCTGAGTGATGCCCTGTTTGTTCTTCTGAATTAAATTAGAATTGGGCAGTCTCCATTTTGCGGTTTTCTTCTTCAGCCTCTGGTGGACCAGAGCATCAGCCAGTTTTCATTTGTGTTGATTTCCTTGGAAGAAAAAGTTGTGGCAGAGGCTGCCCCATGTGTGCGAAAGACCACCGTTCCTGGGCTGTGGCTGCAGCCTCTGTTTCCGTTAGCCTTTCCGTACGGCAGTGTTGTCAGGTCACCGATTCCAAATGTCAAATGACCCAATAGTGAGCACGCAGTGGATTTGTCAGTGCTACCTAAGGCTAGGTCAGGACAAAAGCTGCCATGACAATGTCACGTGTCATTCATTGTGCAGGTGAGTGTCTTAGGTGAGGCTGGACTCTTCCTCCGAGAAGATCTGAAATGCAGTGAGCACTTTTGCTTGAAGACAGGGACTGATTTTGGTAGCATCCTTTGGTCTCTTCTAGTCTGGGAGTCAGAGAAAGTTTGCATCAAAATGTCATCAGGGTAAGTGCGAGTGTGAGTAAAGGTAGATGTTTTTAGGGCATCTCTGGCCGGAGGTAACATTTTAACATTTCAGAGCCAAATTTTTAGTTTTGGCAAAAACATGTTTTGCAACTCAAAACTTCTCTTCCTGCTTTACCCTGATTAGTTGCTAGTTGAAAACGCTCGGTATCTCAACTGTGTCCTTCCCTCCCTATTGCCACCCCTTCTCTCCAGCTGCTAACTTGCGAACTCAGGGCTGTGCCCAGCGTAGACGTTTATAGCAGTTGCAGGGAGGTAGGTGGGAAGAAAGGAGGGAAAGAAGACAGGGAAGGAAGGTGGAAGGGAAGAAAGAAGAAATTCATTATCTATCCACTTTTAGACTTGGAGATAACATTTTTCTCCAGGACACGGTGCAGGCCTGAGCAGTTAGGACAGTCGGGTTCAAATCTTAATCCCCCACTGAAAACACTGTGTGACGTTGGACAAGTGACAGAACCTTTCTGAGCCTCAGATTTTCCTCATCTCTAAAGGAAGAATGTGAGGGATTGATTTCAGTGAAATAGCTCCCGTCAAATGCTGCTGCTACCATGTTTAGCAAATTGTTTAACACATAATAAGCATTCAACCTGAGAGTTTTATTGTTACTTTATTTGGGTACTGAGACCTCTGTTTCTGGGGTGGCACTGCCTGACCTGGGGTGGAGTTACACCGTGTATCCTAGGTCCACCAAGTCTGTGGCTTTACATAGCTAAGAGGTTTGAACAACCCCAGAGCTTCTATCATACAGGATTTCATAGAGATTCAGATACCAGCAAAGCCGTTGGAAGCTGTGATGGATAAGTTTATGTGTCAATTTGGACAGGCTGCAGTATTCAGTCATTTAATCAAACAATAATCTAAGTGTTGCTAAGGAGGTATTTTGTGGATGTTAACATTGACAACCTGTTGACTTTAAGTAAAGGGGATTACCTTGGATAATGTGGGTGGGCCTCATCCAATCAGTTGAAGGCCTTGGGACCAAAAACTTGGAGGAGAAATTCTGCCTTAAGACTGCAGCCTCAGCTCACACAGGAATTTCCAGCCTGCCAGCCTGCCCTATGGATTTTAGACTTTCTAGCCCTGAGAATTGCATGAGCTAATTCCTGAAAGTAAATAAGCTAATAAATACTTGTATATTATGTTATTGTATTATTTTATATAATACAATATATAAACTATATCACACAATTATGTTGTGTGATATATAAACTATATCACAATTATGTTACCTTTGTAATTGATATATAAACTATATCACACAATTATGTTACCTTTATATAATATAATAATTACATGCTATTTCTAATAAAATTTCTATTACATTATATATTCTATATTATGTTATGTGCCAAATTATAAATTATAAATACATGTAAATTTATGTATAAATACTAATAATAATTTATAATTTGCTATATAACATAATATGGAATATAATGTATATATTCCATATTATGTTATATATTATATTACATATTATGTTATAGATTATATTCCATATTATGTTATACAGCAAATTATAAATTATTGTTTTTTCTTAATGATATGAAATATATATATATAAATATATATATAAATATATATATATAAATATATATATATAAATATATATATATAAATATATATATATAAATATATATATATATAAATATATATATATATATATATATATATATATATATATATATATAATCTATTCTTGGTTCTCTTTCTCCGGAGAACCCTGACTGATACAGAAGCTTCTAGCTTAAGTGTGTATATGGTATAGACAAATTTTAGCAGGACTCTTTCTTCAGCTCTTCTGTAATAGGAATCCAGACTTGAATTCTTAATGAAAACCAAAAAGAGGACAAAGGCAGGAGCTTCTGGCTAGGTGGGGACCAATGTGGGGATGGATTTCCTAATCCTAACCTGAAAAGGGAATTTCAGGGTAGAATGGATGACATCCCAAACCCCAGACCAGTGTTTAGTCCCTGAAAGGCTCCGTGGAGAAGTAAACAACTTGGGTGGAGTGCACAGTTTTGTCTGTTCCGTTGCAGAGCTTTCCTGGGCCTTTTCCCCAAGCTGGGTTGTGGTGGTTTAAAATTAGTTCTTGTTTGGCCTGCGAGGGAGGAGGGAATTTGCGGAGTCTGGGCTGGACTCAGCCTTTTGCTGTGGAGGTTCTGAGGGCTGTGTCTGTGACTTGTGCACATTGAAAGTGGAGAGACTTGGGCTCAAGACCTCCACGTGACCAAACCTCTGTCCTTGTCGTCAGAGCTGTCCAGAAACCTAAATGGAACTGAAGTCCACCACCCTGGTCTGATCTGGGAGACACCTCTCCTGTCCCAAATAGAGCTCTCTACCTACCTCCCTCTCTGAGATACCTGCGATCTGCAGGAGGAATTACTCCTTTTGGGCATGACCTGTAAGCAACTGCTCCATTGCAAGTCTCGTTCCCAAACCATTACTGCCCATGAGCACAGTGACATTTAATTTCATCTTTAGGATTCATTTCCATCATTTCAAGCAGGGTCATCTTGGAACAGGACACAGGATAGGTAAGCTTTGGTGGGGATGGGAGGAGGAAGGTTGCAATGCTAGTTGCCTATTTAGGAAAGAAGCCCTAGCTCACTGGGATGAAAACATTGGGGGCTGGCGAGCGGATGATGCTGATTGTTCTATCAGGGGATAAAAGAGCAGAAAAACAGACATTCATTCTCTTTACAAGTGTGTTTTCAGCTGGCATGACACCTCCTTTGACTCTGGAGTTGTTTTCCCTGAATATCTTTGCTTTCCCCTTTTCGGACATTGATTCCAATGTCAGCGTAAAGCTAAACATGGCTGACTACACATCTGGCCTGGTCCTTGTGAAAATATCTAAGCTATTACTGAATTCAGAGCTATTGCTGATTGGTTTCTTAAGTGGACTTGAAATGTATAGCTTTATTCAAATAATCATATCAACAAGCCATATTGCTAACAGGTCAGCATGGGTAGTTGATGACTAATACCACACACACACACACACACACACACACACACACACAGATACATATGTGCACACACACCACTTCACTTCATTGTGAGCTGAATTTAGTTATAATCATTCCAGTCTCAGTAATGTTTGATTTATTTGTTTTATTTTGTCTGATAAAAACAGAAGTGATGAAAGATGATCAGCTTTAGTTGTTAATACTTATTGATACATATTTAGATCTTTGATTGGCAGTTCAGTCTTATGACCACTAAAAAAGAGAGACCCTTGGAGGAAAGATTAACTTTATAAGAATGTTAGGATTTTAATAGCTTAGATAAAGTTTTTTAAAAGTTGGAAACTAGAAAATTTGCTTTGAATTTAATTTGTAAAAAGGACTTCCAGACCTCTGTCATATAGACAGTAGATTTCTGTTCCAATTGCAGATAACTATGTAATCTGTTATTCAGTTAAGAATGTTTATATAGTTTGTGTTTAAATAGACATATTTAAGCAATGAAGAAAGTATTGTAACTAGGCAACTATTGATTATCTACCCAGTGTGTCCATTCCTGCTACTCCCTTCCTAGCAGAACCTTGATTAGGTCGAGGTTTAAACAGCAATGTGTCAAGGCAGGTGGACCAGGAGGATCCTAAGGGAGGGAACTTGATTGATCTGGGCCAATCGTAACACTCTTGAACATCCCTTGGTCAGCAATTGGCTTAGAGGTGGGCATCCTAAACTTGGCATATGAGAAAGACAGTAGGAATTTGCTGGGCGCTCTTGGGAAATATTGCATAAAACAATTCATCAAAATTGGCCTTTCCTTTTTGCCTTGACTTGCCATGTAAGAAGTAATGCCTAATGCTGCGACAGACAAATTGCAACCATCAGGGAAAGCCAGGAGACTCTGAGAGAGACCAATTATTGAGCTGATGAATGAACCCTTCCTGAAGCCACCTACTTCCTCACTTATTGGTGTGTCCTTACTGTGTAAACCCCTTTTAACTGGGTGTTTTGTTTCTTGCAGCCAAAAACAATCCATTGATACACTTGGTGACATTAATTGAGAAAAAAACAATATGGGTAAGATTTAGTCTTCATATTTGTTTTTTGTCCTTAGTAAGGCATAATGTAATTAACCAAAAAAGAATTGATTATACTTTTTGTAACTCTTGTAGCCATTGTCAAAAGATAAAGTGATTTGGAAAACATGCACATATGCATGTACACACACACACACACACACACACACACACACACACACACACTCTCTTCAATCCATTCTTGAGGTTGATATATTAGTTTCCAGGCATTTGTTCAGTATTTCTATATCTAAAAATTTGTGGAAGGATCCGAGAGATCCAGATTCAGTTTTTATAGCTGTTTGCAAGTATGCTAAGTTGGCAATGCATAGATGTGTAGAGAAGGAGAGTAAGAGACACAGGGAGCAACGTGAGTGAATAATCTCAAGGGATGAACAGTTCCCAGCTTTGCTGGGACTTCTTTAGCCATATCACATCACATGCTTAGAAGTCAAGTTTGCTAGGTGTGTTTTACAGATAGAAAAGTCAAGGTGCAGATAAGTCAGGACCTGCACATAGAAATTCAGTGATCTGAGTTCCCAGTGCCCCCAAAGGATTTTCATTACTGCATATTACCTCTGTTTTATTTCCTCTTATGAAAATGCACACAAGCTCAACCCTCTGAGGACCTGTTGCCTTTTTGTGAACTTGAGTAGAACAGAGATCAAGCCACTTTGCTGTGGCTGTTAGACTGGAAACTCAGAGTTGGTCATGAGAAAAATGGTTTTCATTTCCGTGAACCCAGCCATCTGAACTGGTCAGGCTCTAATAACCAAGTTTAGGGAAGCTCATTTGGAAGAAATGAATTTGCTTTTGGTATTTTGGAAAGGTCTCAGGGCCTTGCCAACATCAGCTGCTGATGGAGTTCCTGACTGTGTGTGACAGGTCTCAGCGCCCTGCTTCCAGGTTGCTCGAGGTACCCACTCCCTGGTAATCACCTCTGATTTTAAACTTCCTAACAGTCTGGCCATGGAGGCATGGTATCCGTAACATCCCCCAAAGGAGCTAAAGAAGAAATCCACAATTTACCATGAGCATTTCTCGTCTGAAGATTGCCAAGCGATTCCTCCAGGACATTCCTCAAGGTGTGTATGAAAAATAGTGTCCACCAGGGACTGACGTGGTTCAGGTACCATTGCTGCTTTGGGGTGGAACATTTCTGTAAAGTGAGAACAACATAGGGTTAGGAGCTACGTGAACAAACCCCCTATTGACTAGGAACAAGACATAAAAACTTTCTGGTAGACGCAGATCTAGTGGGGAGGACATGGCAGAGTCAACGCCCTCCAATTTTCTATGGATTACATCCCATCTCCCTCTCAGTGACATGGCTGCAGTTGTGCTTGGCCCATGAGGGTGCTGTTCTCCTTTCCTTATGGAAATTGGAGAATGTGGGAAGAGGAGACTTTGTTTTTCTTTTTAAGTGTTCTCTTTTTAAAGAAAAACAATTGGACTATATTTTTTAGAGCAGTTTTAGGTTCACAGCAAAATTGAGCAAAAGGTAAAGAGAGTGATTTTACTTTTTGTAACTCTTGTAGCCCCCTGCCCCCACACACATGCACAGCCTCCTCCACTATTAACACGCCCCATAGAGTGGTACATTCCTTACAACCAATGGGCCTGCACTGACACATCATTATCACCCAGAGCCCATAGTTTCCATTAGGGTTCACTCTGGGTGTTGTATATTCTATGGGTTTGGACCAATGTATAATGACATGCATCCACTATTATAATACCATACAGAGTGCTTTCACTGCCCTAAAAATCCCCTTGCTTCACCTATCCATGCCTCCCTTCTCCCACCTTCTGGCAACCACTCACCTATTTACTATCTCCAATGTTTTGCTTTCTTTTCAGAATGTCATATAGTTGGACTCATATAGCATATAGCATTTCAGATTGTTTTCTTTCACTTAGCAATAAGCATTTAAGTTTAAGAGACTTTTTATTTTGTTCTGTAAGATAGCCTAACATTTTTCAAAAGTAGGACTGTTTTTTAAACAGATTTTTATCAGAAGGAAGAAATAATATGTGGACACTGTGAAATGGCTGTGTTTATAAAAAATAAGTTTTAGACAACGAAAATATACCTATAGAATTGCTGATATTACCAACGAACTTTTGTCTTCATCTCTCTGGCTTCCTGTCTCTGTGCCATCTGGTCTCTTAGACTGTTTCACTCCTTATAAACTGATTGGCCTGACCTTCCTGCTCTTGTTGAAGTTACATTCAATTGATATTTTCTTATTTTAAATAAGCATATTCCTTAGGGTCTATTCTATGAGGACCAGGATTGTGATTTAGAGGAAAAATCTTGTTCTCTGTGTATTTATGCAGTGCTATATAATTGATATACCTTGTACCCAACAAAGGCACAGTGTCTTCCTATTTTTGCTTCTCCCTTGCACTGCTATCTGAATAATTCTTCAGACAAATCTGCCCCTTCATTCTGGGGGCTTTTCATTTAGAGACTACAGGAATTTGGTAATTGCTGCAATGTAGAAAGGTATCACCTTCCAAAATATTGGAAGGTATCCTGATATTTCATGTTCTACCTAATAACACCTTTCAGGACTCATGTTCTTAGGCAAATGCTTTGGGGAATGTGGCAGTGATGTATGTGCTGGGGAAACACAGAGGCAAGCATGGATGAAAATCACTGTGGAATATTGAAGAAGGCTTCCAAGAGGAGGTGACATTTGAGCTTGATCGTGAACACGAAGTAAGGACAGAACTAGGAGCTCAACTAGAGGAAGAGGCAAATGGTATACTAGTGTAGACTGTGTTAATGTGTAGACAACTGAAAGAAGTGGCATATTTGGGAAGCTTTAGGATGTCCATGGTGAAAAGTACCTACGAACAAGAGGTGAGAGAGATGGAGGGAAGAGGGGCAGAGGATGAAATTTCATCAACATTGCATTGTATTTCTTCCATTTGTCCTTTCAGATCAATTTCTGTTCATCCACCTTGTCCTGGGAGGGACATCAATGGGTTTCCATGTCCTTTGGCTTCTGGTTGAGTTCACTCAGTGGAGAACCCTGGCAAGAGGCAGGAAAAGGGGAGGAAGGTAAGATCAGGGTATTTTCTCCAGTGGCTTCCTACATGAGAAGTCATTTTGGGTTGGCTGTTTCCCCCAAGTGAAGATCATTGACTCTCTAAAGCTGGCCAACTCAACTTGTCCTTTTACTAATTGGATCAAGTAATTGCTACCTCTGTTTGTCCTTTTGAGTCTAAAAATGGCAAGCCCCAGGTTACTGCATTGTCTTTTGTGATTTCCCTATACCACACCTCTGTAAATAAACCTTTCTTAAATCATCCCTTTTTGAATGTGCCATCTGCTTCCTGTTGTGGCTCTGAGCTATATAAATATGATGTGAAAAACCTAGGACACAACGTAGATCAAAGAGTGCCTGGAAGAATCTTTTTTCCCCCTTATTTTATTTTATTCTTCCCATATTTACCAGTGAGATATCTTTATATTACCCCTGAGATCTGAAACCGTAAAACATAAAACATAGAAGTGTTTTTTTTAAACATTTTATTTTATTTTTTATTTATTTAATTTTTACATTTTATTTTATTTTAGGCTTTATGATACATGTGTTGAATGTGCAGGTTCGTTACATAGGTAAATGTGTGGCATGGTGGTTTGCTGCACCTATCAACCCATCACCTAGGTATTAAGCCCTGCATGCATTAGCTATTAGTCCTGATGCTCTCCCTCCCCCGCACCCCCTAGCAGGTCCCTGGTGTATGTTGTTCCACTCCCTGTGTTCATGTATTCTCATTGTTCAACTCCCACTTATGAGTGAGAACATGCAGTGTTTGATTTTCTGTTCCTGTGTCAGTTTACTGAGGATACTGGCTTCCAGCGTCATCCACGTCTCAGTATAGGACATCATCTCATTCCTTTTTATGGCTGCATAGTATTCCATGGTGTATATGTATCACATTTTTCTTTATCCAGTCTACCATTGTGGGCATTTGGGTTCATTCCAAGTCTTTAATAAGGGTTTGGTCTTACCTGATTTATGTTAGAAGGAAACCATTTGTTTGGAATGAATAGAGTAAATCTTTTGGGAAAATAGAAAAAAAGATTATTTTAAAATCATGTGAATATTTAGGTCTAAGAGTTGTCCATGAATCCTTAGCTCAGTGTTCATAGATCCCTACAAACAAGATCTATGAATAGAATTCTTGGAATCCTTAAGTTAGGATAGGAAAAAATTACATCTTTATTTTTTCTAACCTCTATTTGAAATGTAGTATTTCTTTCCATCACAAGTGTATGTGACAAGACACAATAGTGTTGGTCATTACTAAGGCTTTATCACCGACAAAAATCATAGGTATTTTTATATCACACTGCAGTGTTGTAAAAATCTCAAGATATCATCTATACTCTTCACTGCTTCGAAATTATGGTAGTTGGTAGACCCACCTTCAGGTCTTGTTATTGGCGGCATTAATAAGGAAGTGTATATGTTATGTTTCACAATTTTATTTTCTAAATACTTTCAGATTGCAACTGCATTTCCATATAATTTATTTTATAATTCGTTGTGTTTCAAGTTATGCATTTACACATGTAATTCTAAAAAGAAGTCCATAGACTTGACCACATTTCCAAAAGAGTTCACAGTAAACAAATTATTAAAAATCTCTGTTAATTCATAGATACTCATTCCAGAAAATACAGCAATGGCTGCATATCAGGAATATCTTTTTCCAGAAAAAAAAATATCCGAAGTTACTAGATATTCTGTAGTTTCTGTATGTGGAGTTTCTGGGGTAAATCCTTTGAGTTCAATATGTTGACTATGTGCTATGTCATCTCAAATATTTGACCTTATTCTGTTTTTCTTCTCTGGGTCATTGTATGTTTTGTAACTAGATTTCCTATTTGGTATTTGTCTCCCAAATTTTAAGAGCAAAACTTGTCATCTATCGCCTTATTTTAATTCTCACTATGTAAACTTGTAAGAACTAACTCACAACTTGGTGTCTCATAACTCACTTCTGAAATATCCAATAAAAAACTGCCAAGTTATTCACCATTGTTTATTTTGGTCCTAGTACACTGTCCATGCCCTGGTTGAATATCTCGCCAAATTTCCTCCAATTTATTGCAAAACCAATTGGCAGAACAATGAGGAAACCTGTCTGGGGCCAATTTCAGCAATTGATGGTGCCGCCTTCTCTCCCCACCTCCACTTTCCACTAATCCATCAAGTTTCTTCCAGATCTAGCCATTCTTAATGGGAATATAACACCTTGGCATAGCTCCAAACATGAACAAAAAATATTCTTCCTGTCCTTACTCCGCTGTTTCCCTCCCCTCTGCTTCTCATCCTTTTCTCAAAACTGACACCCTCCAAGTACTTCTTCTCCCAGCAGAGAGGATGGCCTACCTGGCATTGCAACATTTGAGAATGAACCTTATTTTGAAAATAGGTGATCATGCTCTTATCAATACAGGAAATGGGAGATTTAAAGCTCTTCCCATCAAGGTGTGAACCTTCCACAAAGCAGCAGCTCTGAAATATTTCCTGTGTGGTTGGCATAGGTGAAAGAACTGTTTTGCAGAGCCTATTGAGATCAAAACTAGGGAGTGTCTTTGCAGCCTGTTGTTAGTCAAAGTAGTTATGTATTGCTGATGGTGCTTTTCTAACATAGACCTTAAAGCTCTTTTATGTGGGCTGTCTTTTTGCTGCATTTTTAAGACAGAGCAAGAAGCTGAGATTATCTGCTCCCACTGTGGTTTCAAGACTAGAAACTCAAGGAGGTTGTAGGCTTGTCCAAATAACTTTGGACAAGTATACTTTGATACTTGTTCAATGTATACTTGATACTAGTATTTCACTAGTATCAAAACCATAGTGAAATACGTGAATTAAACTCTGCTGCCATTTTGTTTTTTGTTTTTTTATTATTATTTTTTAATTATACTTTAAGTTCTAGGGTACATGTGCACAACGTGCAGATTTGTTACATATGTATAAATGTGCCATGTTGGTGTGCTGCACCCATTAACTCGTCATTTACATTAGGTATATCTCCTAATGCTACCCCTCCCCCCTCCCCCCACCCCACGACAAGCCCCAGTGTGTGATGTTCCCCTTCCTGTGTCCAAGTGTTCTCATTGTTCAATTCCTACCTATGAATGATAACATGTGGTGTTTGGTTTTTTATCCTTGTGATAGTTTGCTGAGAATGATGGTTTCCAGCTTCATCCATGTCCCTACAAAGGACATGAACTCATCCTTTTTATGGCTGCATAGTATTCCATGGTGTGTATGTGCCACATTTTCTTAATCCAGTCTATGATTGATGGACATCTGGGTTGGTTCGAAGTCTTTGCTATTGTGAATAGTGCTGCAATAAACATACATGTGCATATGTCTTTATAGCAGCATGATTTATAATCCTATGGGTATATACCCGGTAATGGGATGGCTGGGTCAAATGGTATTTCTAGTTCTAGATCCTTGAGGAATCGCCACACTGTCTTCCACAATGGTTGAACTCGTTTACAGTCCCACCAACAGTGTAAAAGTGTTCCTATTTCTGCACATCCTCTCCAGCACCTGTTGTTTCCTAAGCATTATGTTGAGTTGATTTTCAGATTTCTCCCTTAGGTAACAACCAGAAAGAATTTTGGGATATTGTGTTAGTTAAGGTGCATGCAGGAATACAGAAAGCACATTAGGTGTTTCAACAGAGGGGATTTAATTTAGGAAGTTGGTTATATATATTTCAGCCTTTTTGGAAGGCTGAAGTAATGAAATGGGAACAATGAGATAACATAGAGATAGTAACTTCAGGAAGAAGCTACCCCTACCAGGGCTGGGGAATAAGGGAAAAGATTAGGTCTATTGCAACCTAAAGGATCAGAGGAAGGGTCTTGAGGAGTTGAAGCCCAGCCTCTGAGGGGGAGGCCCTATATGGCTGCTGATGGCATCCCAGGAGATTGAAGGAGGAATCTTATAGAGCTGGAATTCAAATATCTAAGGAAGGAGCAATACTGACTTCCTAGAGCTTGTACCTCTGAGAAAGCACTTTGAGGCTGACTCTAGGAGATGGGGGCTGTATCCAACTGCTGCTGTAGGGATGAAGTATTGCTGCTAGGTAGCACTGGCGGGAGCAGCAAGTAAAAAAAAAGTGGGGAAATGCATTCTGCCTTCTCCTGATTCCAATCTCCCTTTACTGCCCCCTATTGCCAGAATCTATCTATTAGGAGCAACTAGCAAAGGAAAAACATGATTTACAGAGACTCTTTTAGCGTCCCAGAGCAGGGTATTGGAGGTTTGGGAGCTGGGAGACAGTAGCTTACTACATCACACAGGTATGTAGGACATTTTTGGATTACCAGAGGATGTACCAGTCACCCATAAGGATGTTTGGTATCAGGAAGAGGATGATTTAATATGAAGTCTACAGGTCATATATGTATGCCTAGAGCTGGCAGGTGAGTCACTGGGACTTGAGATCCTAGGCCTTCTCTCGTTTGCATAGTCATCTTGCTTGGGGCAGAGAGAGTGGGGTTGGTGTGGGAAGAAGATTGCAGCATGCAGGGTTGTGGGTGGTGATCCCAGTGTCCCTTGTCCAGCCATGCAGGTACTAGAAGCTTCAGAGCAGTTGGGCTGAGGCTACGGTCAGGGATTAGGTGGGGAGGTACCTGGCAGAATATCTGAAGGACCACACCAGCATTTTCTTGTAGAGCAGTCAATGTATTGGTTTAGACAAACATTTGCACCCACTTAAGGCCCCAGTTTCTGGAATTATAAGGAGTGGAAAGAATCTTGATTATAAAAATCTACAGATTAATGTGCTCATCGAATAATTATAGAACATCTAGTATATACTACCCATTGTGCTGGGACCAGGGAATGTGAAGATGAATCAGGTAAAGATGAATCTGCCTTCAGAGGAGCTCAAACATTAACAGAAAATTATAGTCACTTTATTTCTGGCAGAATGGGAACAGAGTTGAGGGAGAGGCAACTTACTAGGGCACATTAGGGACAGCTTCACCCAGGAGCATGAACTGAGTCCTGCTATCAGGAGGGATGTTCAGTAGATGGCAAGGGTCGGGGGACAAAGGGCCATGGAATGATGAAGCAACGTGAACACAGCCCAGAGGTGTAGCATAGATTGGTGCCTTTGAGAAAGTGGGAGGGACAGCAGGTAGAAGGTCAGGGTCTCCACTGAGGCAGCAGCTTCACCTGCCTTCTCTTTCCAAACATTCTATCAGCAGCCTGACCGGTTTGAATTTCACCTTCTGTTCACCTTGGATGAGAGCAGTAATCATCACGATCCCAGGGAACAGCCAAAGGAAGAGAAAAGGCAAAAGATTTGGACAAGACTCATGAAGACTAACAGCTCTTGGATAATTGAGAGAAGGCAGCTGCGTGAACAGTTTTGATGCAATCATGAAGGCAGGGCCCAGTGCCTGTGGCATCTGCCTTTTTCTGGAACCAATCCATATTTCCTTGTGGTTTTCTAAGGTGCAGAGAGGGCACATTGGGAACTTTGCTTGGGGTCTTTTTCACATCTTAGAGGGAAGGTCCCTCAACATCTGCATTGGCGGAGTGTGATCCTCATGTCCCTCTGAATGATCTGGACTTGAGGTAACCAGCCCCTTCCAGGAAGCTGTCCCATGAGTGAAGCCTCAGCAGCAGCCTCTGTCAGTCCCTCCCCCACAGAACCTTTGGCTTCCATTTGACCAGCCTTGACATCCAGTGTCCAAACACCGATAAAATTGATTCCACTAAGCGTGGGAAAGTCCTGGAGCATCGATTGTTTCCTCCTCTGCACCCCCGATACCCTGGCATTAGCACTCTCCCAGAATGTACCTTGCTTGTTTGATTGGAGGAGGTCAAAGCCCTGATGAAGAATGAGTGGAATTCCACAGGATTGGAGCAGTCTTGATAAATGACAGCAGGGGATGGTGTGGGGAGGGGAAAGGATCAGAGGAAGTGTGGATAAATGAATGGCTTAAAAAATAATCCACCTTTGCCTCCCCCTTTTCTACCAGTCTGTCTAGTGCTTCAGGGTGAAAAAAAAAAAAAAAAGCTTGCCTTTCTAAACATTTGGAGTTTCAGAAATGATCTATAGAGCATGTTTAGTTTTTCAAGTTAAAAATATTAAAAGAAAAAAAATGTTTGAGGGCTTTACTGCTTTCCCGCAAAGAGCTAGAGCCACCCAAGCAGGATTGACTGTCATTGGTTTGAGGTTTCTGTTTGCTTTGAGGCTATTTTTTCCTTAGTGCTATAAACTAGATCAGTCCATTTTTAGCTGATAACCCTTTCCAATTTCGCTGTGAAATGAGGGGCTGGTTGGGTGGTTTTTTTTTATGTTCTTTCCAGCGTTGACTTTTATGGTCTTTGATTCCAAGGTACCTCGTCGACTCTGAAGACGAGAGATGGGTAGGTTCTAACTCCAGATGAGCCACTGCAAGATGGTACCAGGATGAGATAGAGAGTCTCTGTACTATCTTTTATATGTTCTCAAACCCAGCCAGGGATCAGAGTGACAATATAACATGGGGAATCATAGAGATGTTTATGGTAATTCTGCTATGAGTCAACTGAGATGTCCCTTATGGAGATAACTTCCCATACTATAGGCAGTTGGACAAAGATGTAAATGCCTTGTTTACAAATGCTACCCAGATCTCCTAATTAGGACCACACATGCGGAGAACCCAACAGCTTTTGGACTTATCGGCCAATGGTCTTCTTGGGAAGGTCTCTCCTAGTCATGGGAATTGTCTTTTTATTGTTCAAGCTTTTGCATAGACCTGGAAGAGGCATCCATTGCTGTTACCCCTGAGTTTATAATCATGCTGCAAGTCCAGTGGGGAACTTTGGCACAAAGCATTGAATGAGATGGGACTGCACTTATGTAGCCTGCATTTCTTGAGAATAAAGATTTCTGTTCATTTAGTGCAGTGGTTATCATCTGGGGGAAAACCAGTGAGTAGAGGCCAGGGATGCCACTAAAATCCCTACACTGTGCAGGAAAGCTGTCAGCCCTTTGTCCCACAAGAGATTAACTGGTTCCAAAAGTCAGTAGTGCTGTGGTTGAGAAACCCTGTTTACCACCTGTAGGTTCCAGAGAGCTCGGATGGTGGTGGTCATTGTGCTAAGTTTCAAATTCAGTATTTAGGTTTGGTTTTTAGCTTATAGGCAACAAATTGGCTGACTATGGGGTGAAAAGGAAGCACCTCCTTTATCAAGATTGGCTTCAAAAGATGTCTGCCTCCCCTTCTGGTGGGTCCTGTGTCCATTCACAGTGTGAGAAATGGAAAGGAGGTCACTAAGAGACTTGCAATGGATGTAATAACTGGATGCAGAAACTCTGGATCTGAAGGGAATGTTCATGACTATTTCATCCCTCCTGCTGCCTTGGAGAACCAAACGCAGGAGCCACCCAAGGTGAGACTGGGGATTATGCAGTTTTCAACGTTGCTTCCCATGGACTACTTCTCCTTCCATCATTTGCAGATTTTTTGGTGTCTTTTTTCTTCTGGAGACTCTCCCCTTTTCTCTGAGCAGTGTTCTGGCTATTTCAGATCTCTGCATCTATGGAGGAACACATGCTAGTTTGTTGTTGTGTGGCCAAATGCCAGCAAGTCATTGCATTGTGTTACCACTAGCAACTCTATTAGCCTTTTTAAGTGAGGTTCTTGAAAAAAAATAATGCGTAGCTCAATTTTCCAATGGTGAAACCGTAGGTATCATAATACTTTAAGGAAGAAAACACTTTTGGTTGCAGGTCTCTTTTACTGCTTTTCAAATGGTTGTGTGTAAGCAATCATTTACTCTTAATATCTACCTTATCCATGGTAATATTCCAAGCAAGATATTGTATACTCTTCCTTGGAAACACCCTTGAGTATTTAACAAGATAGAGTCCTCTAGATAACATAGCCCTACTTGCCTAAATCTAAACTCTTGAATATAATGAAAAGTCTCCCATCTGGACCATCTTGGAATAGTCATGGTTTATAGCTGTTAAACTCCAAATCAGTTACGTCTCTTGGCATTAAATACGATTTGCCTTCCAGTTTGTCTCATTAGCACTTTTCAGCCCTCTCTGACTTAGAGTCCCAGGCCGTTGATGAGGGCACAGGTGGGCCGTAGGGTTAAGCAGAAGGAAGGAAGCCACCCCCTGCCTGCCATGCTCAGTGATGGACCACTGGGTCCTACCCAATCTATTTTCATCTCCCAAGGCCTTTTATGACCTTGCTTTAGAGAAAGAAAACCGCCCTTCAAAGGCCTCGCTCTGTCAATTTCCCCCACCATATGTTCTTATTAAAATGTTTATGACACTCTTTATCTTAGGCTTATTATCTTAGGATTGGTATTGATTAATAAAACATGCTACAAACTAAAACTTACTATTTAGATTTTAAAAAGTGGGAATAACAATAACACATATATGATTTTAATCATTTTCTAAGCAAATGTTTCTAGATGCAAAGTAGTCTCAATAGCAATGGAGAACACTATCAGGGCATATTATTTTCAAACTAGAAACACATTGAATATATATTTGTTTGGGTCATATGCCTCATGATTTTTTTTTATGAGACTAGATAAAGTATATTGCAAGGCCGATAGCAGCAGAGCATTTATTGACATATTTTAGGTGTTTTCCTATTGACTGTAGTTTGTCTTTGTTTGACAAATATAGCCCTGTCAATTCCTTTGATGATGGTGTTTTCGCAAAGTACTGTATGTTCAGATATTAGCATTAACAGCATATGGTAAATAAGCTGTTTATATTAAAGATTTTCATTGTCTTATTATAAAAGTAGTTATGCTCATTGTAAAATTTTGGAAAGCATAGAAAAGAGTAAGGAAGAAAATAAATATAATTCATGATCCCACCACCCATTTATAACCGTAATTTTTTAATAAACATGTGGATACATTAAGATACAGCTATACTGCATACATACACACATATAAACAAGTAAAATATATAATTATTTTGGTAACTCTATTGCATAACCAATTTTATATACTTCTACTACCATTTTACTATGAACATTGCCTATCAGGACAGAATTCTTTATAAACAGTTTTAAAGGCTCTGTGGTAAAACATTATGAGGGTGCAGCATAATGCTTACTCACTCTTAGCAGTATACAAGAAGGCTGTTTTCAATTTTTCACTATGATTAACGATGCCATAATAAGCAGCATTGTCTCAATCTCATAGATTTTGTGAGAGGTAAATGAGATGGTTCATGTGAAGTTCCTAATATAATAGTGATAGATGTTCAAAATGCCTTCCTCTCCAGCTTTCTTCCTCTCCCTCCACCTATGTTTCTCCTTTTCTACCTTTAATGCATTTTTTTTTCCTTAAAAATAAGACCCTAGAATTATAGCTACTTGGTGAACGTATATACACTTTTTTTTAAATTTGTAGTAATTTTTACTTCCCCATCAAATGCAGTTATGTGCATCTAGTTCTTGATTGGCTTGAGATGCCTTGTTAACCTCTGTCCCAGTCTCAATCCCATGTTAAAATATAGAAAGGTGGGAATGAAGGTGTGCTCTGAAGTCAGTTATCACGGGTAGGAGGGTCTGTGAGTACATTTCCAAGTCCTTGCTGTCTTCCAGTCTTATCTAGCTGAAACCATCAGCCCATTTGGTTCCTGGGCGTACCCAGATAGAATGGTGATGCTTTAAGAGTTCCATCTGCACTAGGCATCTAGAATTTGATTTGTTGTGGAAGGTAAGATCCAAACACCTTCTTGTCCACAAAACCCATTGAATTGTGCCATATTTATTCCATTCATAAGATTGGATCCTTTCTCCCATTTCTGATTTATATATACTTTACCTCCTTCTTGCAATTGTAATCCTGTCCTACACACTAGTCTGTTTGGCTGGGCTTCAAGCTTCTGTCTGGTTCCTGCCGACTCCTTACCCCTGGGGAAATGCAGTCTGTTTCCAACTGGACAGGCCATGTGGAAGCATATTGCTACCACTCTGCCAGGTGTACTTAGAAGTTTTTGCTCTCCTCTTTCACCTTCAAGAACTAACTAATTTCTTTGAGCACTTATAGAATTCCAGATCAAGGCTAAATTTCCCATTCCTCTTAGGTGTGTAGACCATCTCTCTTCTCAAAGCACTGACCCTGGGGCTGATCAGACAATCAGTTTTGAGCTCATCCGTCCCAGAATCCTTCCTTCTTCATGGCATTGGCAAATGCCACCAACTTCTCAGCCTGCTCAGGGTCAAGCCAGCTCATGAAAGGACACCCTCTGGTGTGCTTTCTGGCTGTTTCAGGACCACAAGAAGAAGCAGCAGCTCGCAAGAAACATGTTGCTAAATAGACCTGGCTTCTATGGGAATCCCGGAGTTAAGCATTCCCACCCCTTTGGGCCACCTTTCACATTTGATTGATTTTTTTTCGATTGGTTGTTTGCCTGACCTGATCAGAGAGTTTGGACAGGAGTTTCTGTTGACACTTTATTTCACTTTGGGTAAAGTTTAAACATGACTTATCACAACCCTGACACATCTGGAAGGCCATATTTTGCCCCCCTCCTGTTGTCTACCTCTTTCAATGATGAGAATATAGGGCATAAAGGCCTTTTTTGTACACGAGGAGAAAGTTCATTGCCTTGGGTCCTTTTAGAGGTAAGTCTTAGGCCGTCTAGGTTATAATCACTGCTAGATGATCCTTCTCTTTTTTCCCATTGTTAAAAACCTTCATACTTACTTTATTTCCCACAGGTGAAAACCATCCATTTCTTGGAGAAGTGCCACGGTGGGGTTGCAAGTCCCAGGATCAAGTTTTCGATGTGTCTCTTTTTCCCGTAAAGTGGCTGAAATCTGAAGCTGAATCTGCAAGTGTCATGGAGTCATTGAATCTCACAGTCTCAACTGATAAAAGTTATTAAAGGTCGTCTGGTTCAGCCTTCTACTTGATGTGGAAATCCTTTCTACAGTAACTCTGTGTGGGAATCACAGTTCACTTAGGGGCTTAGTCTCATAGTCAAAATGTCTTCTTCCTAAGTGGGAAATTACTTCCAGCTTCTATTCATTCAGTAGTTGTTTAATACTATCTCTCTCTCTCTCTATATATATATGTATTATATATATATATATATATAAAATATATAATGTGTATATATATCTATATATGGATATGTATACGTATATATACATATATAGAGAGAGAGAAAGAGAGAGAGAGAGTATATCTCCATCTAAAAGCAGAAGCATAAAACATTATACCTTTAACACCAAGATCCAGTTAGGTGTGAGCCCCACAGGCATGCTGCTGGGCCCATGGGACCTTAAGTTTAGTAAATTCCAGAATTTGCCTTTAATAAGTTCAGAGTCTTAATATCTAAATATATATTTTAAAAGATGTCTAAAACAAGTTTCCTACTAAAAAGTGACTTATAGTCTAGAAGGCAAGGAATGACAGTCACTCATACTTTCTTTCATGTGGTAATCATAATGGTAATAAGAATGATACCTTACATGCATTGAATGCTTTCTCTGTGCAGGTACAGTTTTAAGTGCTTGACGTGAATTAACTCATTTAGTCATCATAATAACACTGCAAGGTAGGTAAGCACGTTCATTAACTTACCCATTTCACAGAGGAGAAAACCGAGGCACAGCTGCTCAAGATTATACAACTAAGAATAAGAGGATCCAGGATTCAAAGTAAAGCATTTTGCCTCCTGAGTCTGTAGACTGTACTGGTATGCTGTTTAATCTCTTGCAAACAACTAAGATGTTTGGTAGAAAGAGAGAAATGCCATGAAAGAGAAAGGGCAGACTCTTGTGCTTGGAAAAGATGACCTGTTTTGATGCCTTTGTAGATGATTTATGCCTGGTGTCGGCTTCTCTCGGGCATGTTTCTAGGTATGAGGGAGAAGGGAGTCACTGGCTTAATCTGTTGGTTACCACCTGTAATTTACAGCAGCAGGGTTCACACTCAACTGGAACTTGGTGTTAAAATGATAATATTTTATGCTTTTGCTTTTAGTGGGTGACAATAAAAAAATCAATGGATTATAATTACAGGACCTTGAAGTTTAGTGTTGCCCCAGACTATAATGAAAATCCATTTGTGGTATGACAACCACAGATTAGCAATTTATCTCTCCTGAAATAGCAAGGCAGTTTATTGTGTTGCTGGTTTGCTACCACTTGCAGAAGGGACCAGATAATGTGCCAGGTTGCCCTGTGAGTAATAACCTGGTTTTATTATACAGGATAAATCAATCACATAGCTTCTTGCATTGGCTTAATGAGGTTAGATTAGCATGCACAGAGCTTGGGAAATAGTTATTGGTCAACAGCCTCCAAGTGCTGACAGAGGACCCTCAATGGGCTGAATCTGGAGTGAATACTCAGCAATTTGCTTTGCAGGAGGGTGATAAGAATCTGAGACTTGGTTTGGGAGTTGGTTTTCAAGAGGGCAAGATTTCTTTTTCTTTCTTTATTTTATTTTATTTTTTTTTTTGAGATGGAGTCACCCAGGCTGGAGTGCAATGGTGTGATCTTGGCTCACTGCAACCTCTGCCTCCCGGGTTCAAGCAATTCTCCTGCCTCAGCCTCCCAATTAGCTGGGATTACAGGTGCCTGCCACCATGCCCGGCTAATTTTTTATATTTTTAGTAGAGCTGGGGTTTCACTATGTTGGCCAGGCTGGTCTCGAACTCCTGACCTCATGATCCACCTGCCTCAGCCTCTCAAAGTGCTGGGATTACAGGCATGAGCTATGATGCCTGGCCAAGAGGGCAAGATTTCTAAAATACAGTTGAAACTGCAGACAACTTTTGTAGATGAGTAGATCAGTAATGAAACAAACAAAAAAACCCCCAAACAATAATTTTTTTAAAAAAAGAACTGGCAGTCTTTGTCATTTCCCTTTGGAATGATGGATTTACTTAGGAGAGGACATACATAGAAGGGGAATGGATTATAGAATATCACACTAGCTGAGGGCCCCAAAAGGAAAGCATCCTGCCTCTCTATGGCTAACATTGGTTGGGGTGTGGGAGTTGTTTTGGCACAATGTCTAGTGACTCCCTGTCTTTCCAAGCTCCCTTATGTCACAAGTGCCACCTTTATTGCTTGAGCTAGGTTCGTGGCAGGGGAAAGACATTATAGTTCCCCTCTGCCCTTTGTACCCTGGCTTTTCTGTAGATGTGTTAGAGCCTTCCTTTGAATATCTTTCAGACATTTGCCAATAAGAGCAAGCTGAAAGTAATCAAGACCTTCTCCCTTGGGTGAGCCTTCCTCACTACATATCTCTCATGAAGCTAATATCTTAATTTGCCCCCACTCTGTGTGTACAACTAATAAGAGTGCCATGCATTGGGCCAGGCACGGTGGCTCACGCCTGTAATCCCAGCACTTTGGGAGGCCGAGGCGGGCAGATCATGAGGTCAGGAGATCGAGACCATCCTGGCCAACACGGTGAAACCCTGTCTCTACTAAAAATACAAAAAAATTAGCCGGGTGTGGTGGCATATGCCTGTAGTCCCAGCTACTAGGGAGGCTGAAGCAGGAGAATGGCATGAACCTGGGAGGTGGAGCTTGCAGTGAGCATGAGATTGCACCACTGCACTCTAGCCTGGGTGACAGAGTGATACTCCGTCTTAAAAAAAAAAAAGAAAAAGTGCCACGCATTAAAAATTAACCATAAGGAGTTGTGTTGTGGGATCTGGAAGAGGGAAAAGTAGACTCAGAGAGAGGGTTCAGGTGAGGTCCAGTATTGGCATTCTCTATTTCAGGGTCAGTCATGTCTTGCCTTTTGTAATGAAGCCATAATCCCTAAGGAAATTCTAGACAAGGCAGATTTGAAGACTTTTTGCCTCCATAATGCATTTCATGTTTCATTTCAAATTTCTGCTTTGTCCTTTCCATTAAGAGACTTAGACTTATCAGAAAAAACAAACGTTTTAGTTCTCATATCTCAGAAGATAGAAATTTGTTGACATTGAAGCAGAAGGGGGATAACTGAGACATAAGAAAGCATGGTATAAAAGGGACCACGATGGTGTATCAGTCAGCTTTGGTTGCATTAGGGTGTGGTAATAACCCTTAAACATTTTGTAACTTTTTCATGTCAAATAAAAAGATACAGAAACCCACACAAAACAAATATTTATCATATTATTAGAAAGCTAATGTCCCTGTAACCAGCACTGGGGTTGGGAAATAGAGCATAGGTAGTCACCCCAGAAATCCCTTCATAAGCTTTGTCCTTTCTCTTCCTTCAAAACTAGCTGTCTTCCTCACTCTTATGGCAATGACCCCATATCTTAATGGATTAAGATAATGAAAGTGTATTTCTTACACTCTGTATCTATCACCAGAAGCTGAGGTGATAGCCCGCTTGTCATTGTCATCCATATTCTGGGACTCAGGCGGGAACTTTCTGGAATATTGCCAGGGAGCATGGCAGAGGGGCACAGTGCATTCTGGGGGAATGCACATTGGCTCAGCCTGGGTAATGAGTGATATACATTACCTCTGTTCACAACTCATTGCCCAGCACCAGTCACAAGGCCCCACCAAATACCAGAGCCCAAGAAATGTAGTCCTGTTGATATGGTTTTGCTGTGTCCCAACCCAAATCTCATCTTGAATTGTAGCTCCCATAATTCCCATGTGTTGTGGGAGGGACCTGGTGGGAGGTAATTGAATCATGGGGGCGCGTCTTTTCTTTGCCATTCTCATGATGGTGACAGTCTCATGAGATCTGACGGCTTTATAAAGCGGAGTTCCCCTGCACAAGCTCTCTTTCCTGCTGCCACGTAAGACATGACTTTCCTCCTCATTTGCCTTCTGCTGTGATTGTAAGCCTCCCCAGCCATGTGGAACTGTGAGTCAATTAAACCTCTTTCCTTTATAAATTACCCAGGCTCGGGTATGTCTTTATTAGCAGCGTGAGAACGGACTAATACACCTGTGATGTGCCCAGAAGGTGGGGCTAAGGAGGGATCAGGAATATTTGGCAAATAGAAGTCTACCACAGTTCTGGAACTGAATGCTGGGTTCAAATGTTAGCTCTATCAGTGGCTAGCTGTTGCTTTGGATGAGTAACTTGAAATACTCAGTTATGTCATTTTAAAAATGAGAGGAAATTCACAGGGTATGATATGGTTTGAATCTGTGTCCCCATCCAAATCTCATGTTGAATTGCAATCCCCAGTGTTGGAGGTGGGGCCTGGTAGGAGCTGATTGGACTATGAGGGTGGATTTCTCATGAATGATGATATGGTTTGTCTCTGTGTCCCTCTAATCCTGAATTATAATCCCCACGTGTCGAGGGAGGGACCTGGCGGGAGGTGATTGGATCATGAGGGTGGTTTCCTCCATGTTTTTCTCATGATAGGGAGTTATGAGATCTGAATGGTTTATAAGTGGCAGGTTCTCCTGCTCTCGCTCTCTCTCCTACTGACATGTAAGACATGCCTTGCTCCTCCTTTGCCTTCCACCATGACTGTAAGTTTCCTGAGGCCTCTTCAGCCATGCAGAACTGTGAGTCAATTAAATCTCTTTTGTTTATAAATTACCCAGTCTCAGGTAGTATCTTCAAAGCAGTGTGAAAACAGACGAATACAAATGGTTTAGTACCATCCCTTTGGTAACATCCTCATGATAGTGAGTGAATTCTCCTAAGATCTGGTTGTTTAAAAGTGTGTGCACCTTCCCCTCCGCCTTGATCCTGCTTTAACCATGTGAAGTACAAGCTCTTCCTTCTCCTTCCACTATGATTGTAAGTTTCCTGAGGCCTTGAGCAGATGCCAGCCAGCATCATGCTTCCTTTACAGCCTGCAGAACCATGAGCAATTAAACCTCTTTTCCTTACAAATTAACCAGCCTCAGGTGTTTCTTTATAGCAATGCAAGAACAGGCTAATACAGGGTCCTTGAGATAATTAAATGAATTGATGTTTGATACAGTTTGGCTGTGTCCTCACTCAAATCTCATCTTGAATTGTAGCTCCCATAATTCCCATGTGTTGTGAGAGGGACCCTGTGGGAGGTAATTGAATCATGGGGGTGGGTCTCTCCTGTGCTGATATCGTGATAGTGAATAAGTCTCATGAGATCTGATGGTTTTATAAAGGGGAGTTCCCCCGCACAAGCTCTCTTGCCTGCTGCCTTTGCTCCTCATTTGCCCTCTGCTGTGATTGTGAGGCCTCCCCAGCTATGTGGAACTGTGAGTCAATTAAACCTGTTTCCTTCATAAATTGCTCAATCTCGGGTATGTCTTTATTAATAGCGTGAGAACAGACCAATACAATGCTTTAAAGTCTTAGGGCATAGCCTGGCCATCATAATATTTACTGAGATGAAGAATGTTTAAACATTCCCTATTCAGGTAAGATGTTCAAGATTGAAAGAGATTCCCTCTGACCACTGTCTAAGATGGCGTGGGGGAAACCATCAGGTGACTTTTACAGTCTGCGTTTATGTACCCCATGTGTAAACATGAGGTAACAGAGTGATGGGCCATTTTTTGAAGCACCTTGGAGTCTATTTTCCACTCCATGGCCTATTAGTTTGAGGTGGAGGATGCGGGGAGGGAAGGAAAGACGAGACGTTCCCATTGCTAGATACCTCTGGGGTTTCTATTTTGTTGTTGTTATTGCTTCAGAATGTTGATCTTTCACTCTTTTTTGGATGACAAGAAAGTGATTCATGTTCAAGGGGTGGGGTCCCATCCTCTGTTTCACCGACAGCGAAACTGTCAAAAAACCCATCCTTATAAACACCAACCTGGCAAATGAGACCAAGCCTCCATATGGAAAATCAAAGTAAGGGATTTGGCAGGGAGTTGTAAAGATGGTTTGAATCAGAGGCAGAGACAGCCCATGGATATTGGGGTGGGGGGTTGGGGGCTGTCTGCCCCATCGTGCCAAGAAGGCTGGGAGCTTGGGCCAGTGAGTTTTCATTCTTGGGAGAAGGCAGGCCCTATTTATGGTGGAAGCCAGATCATGGCAGTTCTCTGGTTTAAATTCAGCTCATTGGAGGGTCCTCCAAGCTAATTGGGAAGGAGCCGGCTGTATTTTCTTTCCTGCTTAATAACAAGGGGGAATTGCTTACAGCTCTGGACTTTATTAGGGGGGAATTTGACATTGTTTTGTTGGACAGAGGCTCCATCCAGGGAGCTAATCTCTCACACCTGTTTGGCCTTGTTAAAGAGCCAAGGGGCCCTGGCTTGTTTGCTATTGGTTATTGCAGAGACTGATAAAAAGGGAAGAAACAGACCAGAGAAAGGATGCAGATTTTCCTCCTCAATCTTAACTCTAAAAATCTAGACCTAAAGATGATACAGGTGCCAGTGACAGAGTTAATAAGTCCAATATCAGTGTATGAATTAGGTCCATTCAAAAACGCCAGTGCCCAGGTGTACTGACACGTGTCTGTAGTCCCAGGTACTCAGGAGGCTGAGGTGGGAGGATCCCTTAGGCCCAGGAATTCAAGGCTGCAGTGAGTTAAGATCCCATTACTGCACTCCAGCCTGGGTGAAAAAGATCCCATCTCTAAAAACAAAAAAACAAACCTACAAAATATCCACGAAGCCCCCCTCCCACAAAAACGCCAATGCCCTAAATACTTACAAAGTATCTGTCATTTGCAAGGCATGGTCCTGTGCCAGTAACTTGTGAGTTAAGCAGAGCTCCTACCCTTTGGGGAGTTATACGTTAGTCATCCCAAGAAAACATTGGAACATGTCTCAGGATTCTAGGAAGTTGGGACTCTCAGGAAAAGGGATTCCTTAAGGAACTGATACTGGCTCTTTGCCTAGGCTTTTTCTTTCACTGGAGTAATCTCCAACATTATAGGCTATTTCATAAGTCTGGGGAACCTGGCCCTTTATCCTTTGGGGGAAATTTTACCCTAATTAGTGCTCTTAGAATAATGATTAAGAGAACCTGAAGAAAATACAAGGTGAGCATAAGACACCTGGAGGGAATGGAAAATCCCTCTTCCTGTGGGATGAGCGCATGACAAACCCTGGGGCCTTCTGGTGACCAGTCACACACATTTCCTCTTCTTGTCATGTGAGCTTTGAAGGAGGAGTCCACCAATGCTGGAGTAAGGAGCTCTTTGAACAGCTGAAGGCATAATAAAAAGGTGCTGGCTCTTAGGGATTGAAGAGCAAGGTGTCTTGCACTTTGATTGGTAGCTCCATCTCTGGACTTGAGGTGTCTGGGTTTGTATTTCAACCAGGGCCAGGCCCACATCATTTGTGGGGCTCAGTGAAAAATGCAAATGCCAGGTCCTGGCCAGAAGTCAGCAAGTCATGGGTTCATAACCCCCATCCACAGTAAACTGGAGACCCCCAAGGGGATTGCAACTTCCATCCCAGGACACGCTCAGAACCAGGACTGGGATTGGGTAGAGGCTCCCTCAGAGGTGGGATTGGCTGCTGCCTTCCCCATCTGGAGATATCACAGGGTATGCGTCTGACCCTGAGCCTCCATGGATCTGTGCCCAGCTTCACCACTTACAAGCAGTAAAAGCTTGAGAATGTTACCTAACCTCTTTATGCATCGATTTTTCAGTCACAGTCATGATGATGACAGCAGCTGTCTCAAAGGGATATGGTAGAACATTTAAAACCCTAAGACACTTGAAGTGCTCAGAGCAGTGCCTGCCTCTTAACCAGCAGTACTGTTAACCATTATTATGGATGCAGATTCACCAGTTGCTTTGCTGTGGTAGGGTGTATGCTTGGAGCTGTATATTTTTTTCACCCAGTTCTCCCAAAGGGCTCCGACTTGTTCTCTTTGCTCTCTTATAACCAGTGGCAGGATATTCTAAGATATCTTCTCCAGGCTTTAGGAGGAGAACCATATTAATATAGAACGTAGAATCCTCTGCCCCCTCAATACACACACACACGTACACACATACACAGGCATACATAGTCTTACAACACAAACACACATACTCCCCTCAATAGCATTAAATGCTAAGGTGAGGTTTTTTTTAAAGGGCCCCAAGGAGATGATGGTTCTTTGGGGGTGCTTAAGGGTCCCCATGAGAAGCCAACAGGAGTAACCAACCACTGTCATCCCACCATTCCCATTCAACTACAGAAACTTTTCATTTTCTGTGAGTTGTATTTTACTGTTTCAAATAGAATTTTGCTGGAAAACATAGAGTTTTGCTATTCTGAAAAAAAGTATGAAAACCAGCACTCTAATCAATGATGCTGTAGGACCTTGACTCTGCCATAGTTATTAGTCTATTGAATTTGATTACTCTGGCCAGGGATGCAGTGGCTGAAGTGGGCACACAGTTCAAACCCTGGGCTCTGATATTAAATGCCCTTTACCCAAGGAGGTACAGCCAGTAAGCTTGGTTGGGATTGACAACATGGCTTTCAGATAGGCTCTCTCTCCCCACTGGACTGCCTCCTTGCTTAAACTGAGGTCTAAGAGGGATAGAACTTGCCAGAACAGCTGTTCCAAAAAGTATTTTGACTTTCTCATGAGAATCAGAAGACCTGGGTTCTGTTCTTATCTCAGCCATTCTCCATTGTGTGACTTTGGGCAAACTATATAAGCCTTTTGAGCCTTAATATGCTCATCTGCAAAGTGGTACTATGCTCTGGTTCGTTTTTCCTACAAGAACGTCACGAGGCTCACACAATATGGTTTGTAGAAAAGTCCTTTTGGAAACTATAAAACACTACGCAGATGTGTGAAAAATTTAAGAGTGTACTCTTGCCTCCTTTGTCTGTTTTCTTTTTCATTAAATTTTTTTATTTGTATAAATTTAAGGGAAGCAAGTGCAATTTTGTTACATGGACATATTGAGTAGTGGTGAAGTTTGAGCTTTCAGTGTAGCCATCACCTAATAATATACATTGAACCTATTACACAATTTCTCATCCTTCACCCCCCCCTTCCACTCCCCTACCCTGCCAAATGTCCAATGTCTATCATTCTGTATTTCATGTCCATGTGTACACATTATTACCTTCCATTTATAAGTGAGAACACACAGTATTTGTCTTTCTGTTTTTTGTGTGTGTTGTTTCTTGCCTGTCCTTTGATGAGTCTTGTTCTTGGTGACCCTGATGAAACTTGTAGAGCAGGTAGAAATAGCTCATGTTGCTTCATTTTTCTACCAATAGCCTTGTTTCTGTGTTTTGTGATCTGCCTCTAACCCCAAGTTAAATGATGGATTAGACATATACGTGCATGCACATATGCACATACTCCTATACCTCTATTTAATTATCATCCTATAAATTATTCAAATTACCCCCTTTCCTTACATATAGGTACGCTATTGGACAGTAGTGTGATGGTAACTTTTTTGAAATGGGGCCTCACTCTGTTACCCAGGCTGGAGTGCAATGGCATGGTCTCAGATCACTGCAACCTCCGCTTCCCAGGTTCAAGCAATTCTCCCACCTCAGCCTCCTGAGTAGCTGGGACTACAGGTGCGTGCCACCTCTCCTGGCTAATTTTTGTATTTTTAGTAGAGAGAGGGTTTCATTATGTTGGCCAGGCTAGTCTTGAACTCCTGACCTAGTGATCTGCCCACCTCTGCCTCCCAAAGTGCTGGGATTACAGGCGTGAGCCACTGCAGATGGTAAATATTTAACAACCAGCTCTCAAAAAAAATTCATGTTTATGTGGACATAAGTTTACTATAAATTTTATTGATATAAAGGATGTGTAGCACACAATTTGCAAATAATTATAAAATATTAAATATCCCTTATTATAAATTCCATATACCTGCTTGATTCTCACAAAAACATTTTACTGATTTTTTTCTTTTGCAGTTGGTGAAAAAGTATAGTTCCAGCATAAGTGCTGGTTGATATTTTCATGTCTGTTGAGAAATGAAAGAATGGCAGGGCACGGTGGCTCAAGCCTATAATCCCAGCACTTTGGGAGGCAGGCAGAACACTTGAGGCCAGGAGTTTGAGACCAGCCTGGCCAAACTGATGAAACTCCATCTCTACTAAAAAATACAAACATTAGCCAGAGGAGGTGGCACTTGCCTGTAACCCCAGCTACTTGGGAGGCTGAGGCAGAAGAATTGCTTGAACCTGGGAGCCAGAGGTTGCAGTGAGCTGAGATCACATCACTGCACTCCAGCCTGCATGACAGAATGAGACCTTGTCTCAAAAGAAGAGAGAGAGAGGAGAGAGAGAGAGAGAGAAAGAAAGAGAAAGTGAGAAAGAAAGAGAGAGAGAACCCCAGCTACTTGGGAGGCTGAGGCAGAAGAATTGCTTGAACCTGGGAGCCAGAGGTTGCAGTGAGCTGAGATCACATCACTGCACTCCAGCCTGCATGACAGAATGAGACCTTGTCTCAAAAGAAGAGAGAGAGAGGAGAGAGAGAGAGAGAGAAAGAAAGAGAAAGTGAGAAAGAAAGAGAGAGAGAACCCCAGCTACTTGGGAGGCTGAGGCAGAAGAATTGCTTGAACCTGGGAGCCAGAGGTTGCAGTGAGCTGAGATCACATCACTGCACTCCAGCCTGCGTGACAGAGTGAGACCCTGTCTCAAAAGAAAGAGAGAGAGAGAGAGAGAGAGAAAGAAAGAGAGAGAAAAAAGAGAGAGAGAGAGAAAGAAAGAAAGAAAAAGGGAGAAAGAAAGAGAAGGAAAGGGAGAAAGAAAGAAAGGGAGAAAGAACAAGAAATAAAAAGAAAGAAAAAGGAAGAAAGGAAGGAAGGAAAGAAAGAAGAAAAGAAATGAAAGAATTAAGATGTATATTGGAAGGTCAATTCTTAGTCAATCATGTAAGTGATTTCTTCTTTCAATCAAGGAGTAGTTTTTGAATACTGGAAGAACATTTCCTTAACTTCTTTTTGGTTGTTATTTTGCTACTCACAATATAAAAACCCTTGACATGATTTACTTTTATGTTTAATCTGTATTATTAATATTTTCTTCATGCCTGTCTCAAGTCTAGACAATTACAAAACTATAAAACCATGATTTATGGCATTTTTAGATTTCCATGGTGTCAGTGTTCCCACCACGGCCTATTTTAAGCTAAAAATGTGACATAATTGAAATAAGAGCAGGGTAGAGTTGCATGGTAGTGACTAGGACACAGTATTTCCACCATATAAACACAGCAGATGTAAACAACCTCCAGAGTATAGGTAATAGCAAAATAATAAGGAAGTGATGAGCTCATTACCTTTGTTTTTAATACAATTTATTTCGTTTTAAGTTTATAGAATTTAACTTTTAATAGTGGCCGTGTTTAACAATTGGCTCAGAAAACTCTCATAAATTTAATAATTGGCTCCTGTGAGTGGGTGTGGAACAGCTCCAGCATACCACTGTATATTTGTTTTCCTCTTCCTCGTGTATCTGGAATTTTTCAACATTCGGAGAGAGTTATTGAGTACTTCTATGTGCTAGATGTTGGGGATTCAGTGACATAGTCCCTGTCTCATGGAGCAAATAGTCTTATTGAAAAACAAATAAGCAGTGATTTAGAGCAGTGGTGTAAGTGTGTCTTTGTGTTTTATTTACAAGAGAGCAGAACTCCTGTTTGGTGTTAAGGTGCACACTTGTTCCATTCTTTTTTTTTCTTTTTTTTGAGATGGAGTTTTGCTTTTGTCGCCCAGGCTGGAGTGCAATGGCGCCATCTCAGCTCGCTGCAACCTCCGCCTCTCTGGTTCAAGAGATTCTCGTGCCTCAGCCTCCTGAATAGCTGGGATTACAGGCGTCTGCCACCACACCCGGCTAATTTTTGTATTTTATAGAGATGGGGTTTCATCATGTTGGCCAGGCTGGTATTGAACCGCTGACCTCAGGTGATCTGCTTGCCTTGGCCTCCCAAACTGCCGCTTGAGCCACTGCACCCGGCCCCTTGTTCCCTTTTTGTTTCCCAGTTGTCTTGTACAGGTAGCTCTTTGTGTCAGGGTTTTCCAGTTTTCTGACTAAAAATTCTTCCTCTTAATAAAAAGTTTGGCTAAGGAGCATGACGCTAAGGATGATGAGGTGCTGTCTTGAAGTTGCCTCTTGAAGGCTGATCGTATTAACAGGTGTGGCACCTGCCTAATTTGGAAGAAAGGCCCTCTAAACACCTTAAGATTTGTATGGACCCAGGAATTCCTTTTCCTTCACTGTCAGAACTGATTGCCATGCCTTCTACCCTCTAACCTGGGCAAGTGCAAATTCTGGATCCCACGCAAAAATAAATACATGAATAAAAAATTTAAAATGCCCACATGCCCTTTGTTGAGAATAAAAGAGAGTTGATGTTGAGAGGGCCTCCTCATTTTGTAGGTTCCCCTGAAATCAGAGGATTTCCAAGCGATGGTTACACCTCTGCTTATGTAAAAAGGTGTGGGGCTTGATCACTTCATCCAGACACGGATGCACCTGTGCAGGTACACGGGTCTGCACCCACAAGGACACACACACAAGGAGAAAAAGGCTCCCTTCTTGTCTTAACAGAGATTGTTCATCAAAAAGGGTTAGCAGCGAGTTCTCTGTCATCAGGTGTAATGTCCCCTGAAATGACTTGGAAAAGTTTAATTATGTGAGCGCCTTATTTTCAGCTCCTGTTATCTTTTGAACTCTGGGAGGGTGGGGGGGATGGGTTACCCCGAAGCTCAGGCTCTTTCTAAAGAGCCTTTGTTTTTCTGCCCAGGTATTAGGTTGGTGGCGCAACAATCCCAGGTACATTTGGTTCACTTTCCTCCGCCCCGGCCCTACCCCCAAGCGCTATCCTGGGTCTGAATGTGGGCCTGTGTTCTGGCCCACCATCCTCAGGCCTGTACAGGGGACCGAAAGAGAATGGGCCACAGGAATGCACCCAGAACAGAGCCAAATTGTTCAAGCTGCGTGAAGAAGAAAGAAAAAACGGGAGGAGGGTGCACGGGGAGGGAGAAGAAGAAAAGCTTTCCTTGTCGGTTCAATTTCTCCGGAGATATTTGGAGGATAACATCGTAATTTTTCAGGAGGGGCTGCAGGGGGAGCAGAAAACGAGAGAGCCGAGTTTTATCGGCACAGTGGCCCATACAGAAAGGTGACATTTGAGAGAACAATTGCTAGGTTGTTTGGCCACATTTGCTTCTATGAATGAGGCTTAAGAAAAGGTGTCTTTGGATTGCTACTAATAGTCATCTTCATCATTCCTGCTCTCTCTCTCTCTCTCTCTCTCTCTCTCTCTCTCTTTCTCAGTTCCCTTATGAAATAAGGGCACACAGGTAATAAACAAAGCACTATAAAAGATCAGATTGAGGTATTCTGTGGGCTCATTCAATGTCTGGAGCAAGCTTTCTGCACTCCACTGCCGGTGCTTTCTGGCTTCAAAAGCAGCTTCGAGACTGAGGAATAGTAGACAGGATTAGAATAAGGCCCGGGAGTTCTACAACTCTGCTGAATTCAAAAGGACCATGATCTTGGTCAGCTAAACCACACCCGATGGCCAAGGGGCAGAGGAAAAGATGGCAGAGTAGAGACTCTTGGACTTACTCATTTGGATTTTGGAGTTTTACCTGACTTGGTCAAGCCTCATGCCAGATCCAGGTGAGTAGCTGCCTGGGCTAAAAAGCTGTCAGTCGAATCTCGTTTCTGCCAACCTTGACAGATGATTCACTGTGATCCTTATTTCTTCTCTTTTTGCCTCGATGTAGGCACTAGGGGTGACTTGCAATCTCCCAGCAGAGTCTATTCTGGCCACCTGCTGGGGGAGAAGCTGGCCAACCTCTACAAAGGAATTGTATTGATGTGTAGGAATTGGGGGAAGGGAGTTAGGGAGGATAATCAGCAATGGATTGATGGAGAGGTATGAATGACTCTTCTCCCAAAGGGCAGGCTTTCTTGCCCCAAGTCTTCTTGCTCCTGACCAGGCCTCTATCCCCTGCCCTTGCCTCCTGTATACTTCTTTGCTCTCAGTCTGCATGATTCCACATAAGCAAACAAGGGAGCTGTTGGAAAGTGTGAAGGGCCCCTGCCTGGTTTCCAACACAAGAAAGTTAAGTGAGTGAGCAGCAGGCACGGGCTGTGGATCGGATTTCCTACAGCATGTTGGTACCCAAGGCGCTTATCTAGAAAGTTCATCCACATGAAGGTGCTGCTGAGCTGGGTTCCCACAGGCCAGGCCTCTGGGCTGACAAGTAACTAAAGATGAAAGGGGGACCCAAGGGTTTTGGGGCTGTATGTCTCATCAGAGCCTCAATATTCTTTACTCTGTTCTCCTTCTCCTGGATTACAATAATCATTACTGGGTATAATCAAGTAATAGACCTTAATGGAGTTATATCCGTTTTGCAGAGAGGAGTACGGGGTTTAAATGGGCTTGTGCCCATGCTTGTATTTGCACAGAAATGCCCACCCGAATGTGATATATATACTTCAAATATTTGCTTGACAAAGCCTTGAAAATGCCATATTGCTTGTGGACAGTAATTGTATCAGTTGTTTAGTTCTAGGCATTCCGAGGAGAAAATTCTTCTAGTAGCTATATATTCCCATCTATGTTATGACCAGTGAATAATGCCAGAGAGTGGTCTGATGTATACCTTCTATAACACTAGATTCTCCTATATCTACACAATACATTTAGCCTTAGGATTTTAGGTACTTTCCAAATGACCCATTTATTATTATTATTTTTATTAACCCTCATTTTGTGAGTAGAGAAAATGAATCATCAGGGGTTTCAGTTATCTTCCAATTATTACACAGAAGTCTTTCTGAGGTTTAACTAAAATCTTACCCTTCCCAGATGACAAACAGATTTGTGTGTTTAAGTGTATGTATTAGAATGTACATCATGGGAGCTTTATACAAACGCAGCGGGTATATCGCTTGTTCTGTTAAGGTATGTGTATGAGAATAAATAATGGAGAATATTGAGTCATTGTAACTTGGTGACTTCGACTCAGGCTCTAGACTTTTCAACAGAGACTTTTCTGATAGCCTGCTGTGTGAGAAATGAGGCTGAACGCTGCAAAGACATGGTATTAATTCGTAGGAACAGGGTTATATTTAATACCTCATAAATGTATTTCATAGACGCGTACAAAGTTTAACATAGGTCTTCCCAATAATGAACAATAGATGCTTGAAAGCTCCCCCAATTTGCCATCACATAGAAAATTACCTCTTTATTTGCTCAGCTTCAAGGCTTTTGTTTCCTTTGCTTGTGTTTCCTAAGCGGTATGAATTTCTCTAGAAATAAAAGAGATTTTTAACATGGCTACTCTAAAATAAATCAAGCCTCTGGTTTTAACTGTGCCAGGAACATAGTAGAGAATCAGTAATGGTTTGAAGATTGAAGGAATGATTGAATAGTTCCCTGAACTGTAGGTATTGATTTATGTTAATGTATACCTCTATATTTATTTACACAGGCATGTGCTTTCTTAAGTGGAGTAGTCAATGTTTTGACTCAGTTGACAAGTTCTTATCTTAATGTCTCATTTAATTGATCAGCGACTTAAATTCAGTCAGTTAATCGGTTGCTTTGGTATTATGTAAATATATTTAAAAAATTTTGTATCCTTGAATTTTTCTTCTTTGTATTTCCCATCACCATCTATATTTAATCAATATACATTGAGTAGTTTAAGATAAGACCTCGTTTCTCTGAGACTACAGTTTGAAATACGCGTGCAGTATAAGTCAGGTATACCAAATCCTGGAACAGAATTTAACTTCTTTTCTCATACTTCCTGATGGGAGACCTTGAATGACCAGCAGAGCTAATGGTAGCACAGGGGTCAAAAAATTTATTCCTATAAGGTGACAGAAGGAAAAAGCACATCGTTGCTTGAGAATTCTATAATTAATGCTAACTACAAGTCACAATCTATGGTTGTGTTCTAAGAAGCATTTTGCCCAAACAATGCTAGGTGAAGCAGTTGCTAGTGTTGTCTGGACCGGACACCTGCTTTTTACAGACTTATGGGGGCATGGGGACCTAGGGCTCAGACACATGCATTATTCACTGTTTCTTTCTCCGCTTATTAGCCTTGTGGGTAAGGGCAGCATTAACCACCGACCCAGCAGCCTTTGAGAACACCATGGCCAAATTCAAGAAAACACACAGTCTTGTGTTTGGGGCTTTAAGAGACTCTAAGGTGACTTGGTGCTCAGGAGGATTTGAGAACATATTGGCTTATAGCCATTACTGTTGGCTAATAATTGCACTAATCTTTTTGAGGTGGGGGTTAGTATTCCCCCCTCCCTCAATCTCCAAGACAGAGAACAATGGGAGAATTGTATTTCTGCACTATTCCATGAGATAGGGTCGGGACTGCAACTGGGTGGATATAAGGTCTTCAGGGGATGACCCACCAGGTGTTAGCCCCAAACCATTGTTAAGAAACCCAGGACCTGAGCATTACAGCTTTGGCCTAATGATAGGGAAGCATTTCCCTAGCTGAGCCATTTCAACAGCAGCTGTTTTGGGGTTCTCAAAAGTATCCTTTGGGTGCTCAGAAGCAAGTGCAGTGCTTGCTGGAAGAGAAAGGGGAGTGAAAGGGTGTGTGTGTTTGACCTGCACATGTCTGTACTTGTGTGTGCTGCCTTCTATCCTTTTTTCTCTTGCTTATAATTCACTTAGTAAAACCATTTTGTCTTCTTTAGCATGGATGACATTAAATTGAAATTTGGAATTGCAATGCCACGTGGAGATACCTCTGTAGAATGAATTGTGAGTGTGTGTGTGTGTGTGTGTGTGTGTGTGTGTGTGGTTGTTGGTGGTGGGGGCCATATTTGTCTTTAATATTAAAGTCAAGTTATCAATTCTACTACCAGGAGTTAAAATAATCTACAAGATTAATCTATGCAGAGGGTGTATCCTCTGATGTAGAAAGTATCATTTAAATGTAAAGTTGTGATAAGCGTGCATCCTCTAATTTAGAAAGTACGTGCACAGTAGAAACTCATGCCTAGAAGGTTCCACTAAGAAGTTCAAGGGTTCTTAGATCCAAGGGGCAGGTAAACCTCAGAATATATTTGTCACAGTTCGTCCTAATCTCCTTCACTTTTCCCAAAACGGGGCCCATGATCATTTTAAACATCTTAAGCCTACCCGTTCCTTTTAGGGAATTTCCACGGGCTAGTTGTTCAAATGTGGGGCACTGAGAAAGCCAGATCCTTGCCACATACCGACTGGGATAGGTGCAGAGCATTTTATTTCTCCTCTGCCTCTCCACCCAAGGTTTCCCTCGTGCTTGAGAGTTCCAGCCCTTTCTCCATCTGCCGCCTGTTAAGCAGCTGCTGGGTTCAGCAACAAGGAGGCTGGTGTGGCTGGTGGACGGAGAACACTGTTAGTGTAACTTGGCAGGAGGTTGCACGCTGGCACAGAGGGGCGGTGAAAACGAGAGGAGGTGAGAATGTCTCCACGGGGTGGGGGGCGGAGGACAGAGAAGGGGGACGACCACTAGGAGACCCACTGCCCCCGGTGGCTGGAGCTCATAGGGAGCGGCTGGTCCAAATTGGATGGGGATCCAGCAAAGGCACAGTGTCTCCCCTCCCAGACCCCAGGAGTTCTCCAGCCTGCATTTTCCAGCTCCCCACGAACATTTCCAAATTAAAAAATAAAATAAAAATACGTGTGGAAAAATACAGTAAAAGTGACAGCGCCTTCCCGGTTTCCGACTGTTCTGTTTTGACTTCACAATCAGCCAAACTGGAGCCCCTGAGTAGCCAGCTTAATTTGTCACCTTGAGTTATTAACCGTTTCCCTGCCTCTCTCGGTGGGTGTCCTCCTGGCTCCTCGCCCTGGCTGGCTCAGTGACCTGTTAATCTTGTGCCCTTTCTCTCGGGCTTATGGCTCTGCCTGGAGAGCCCTGTTTCCCTCTTGGAGTCAAATTTGAATTCATTTCACAGTCACCACTTAGCTGGTTTTTGCCAAGTGGTGGCTGAAACAGAAGGGTGATGGGAAAATGCAGGAAAGAATGGCTCCAGAGGCAGCTCTCGCGGGGTCCCCCGTGTCCTTTAGAAGTTCAACAGTTCAGTCTATTTCTCTTGGTTAAGGGCCAAGAGGCAGAGGGAGGCTCACTTTAGAACTGGGATGATATAGAATGTAGTCTATTGGGAAGCAGAGGAGAGCTAATCCTGATACATTTTTTATGTCAGCAAAGTTAGTATGCATGGTATTCTATCTCTCTTTCCATTATCCCTCTGGTACCTCATACTTTCATGTCTCATGCAGGCTTGGGACTTTTTTGGACAATATCCCAAGAACACCACTATCCAATGTTCCCTTTTTTCTGAAGACTTACATACCCCTAATACCATTCATCCTTGAAGCCTTGTACTTTAGGACATCCAACTTATGAATACAAGCAATGAATCCAAGTTAATGAATTCTTTGGGGGAGCTACTGGTTTAATGTGTTACTCAGAGTACTAAGGTGTCTTTTAGAAACAAATGTAAAATGTAAATTAAAAATTCTTTTTTATTCTTATAAGATGTAAATTTTCTTATATTTAAAGAGGTAGTATGGTTGCATGAACTATAATTCAAAATATAGAAATCAAACCACCTCCCCCAGCAACTCAAGTCCTTTTCTAGAGGCAACTGCAATGATTAGTTTATTGCTTATCTTCCCACAGATGTTTATGCACATGTGGGCAATTATAAAATCTCTACCGGTTTTGTTTTTTTTTATTATTATACTTTAAGTTCTAGGGTACATGTGTACAACATGCAGGTTTGTTACATAGGTACACATGTGCCATGTTTGTTTGCTGCACCCATTAATTCGTCATTTCTATTAGGTATTTCTCCTAATGCTATCCCTCCCCCAGCTCCCCACCCCATGACAGGCCCCAGGGTGTGATGTTCCCCACCCTGTATCCAAGTGTTCTCATTGTTCAATTCCCACCTATGAGTGAGAACATGCAGTATCTGGCTTTCTGTCCTTGTGGTAGTTTGCTCAGAATGATGGCTTCCAGCGTCATCCATGTCCCTGCAAAGGACAAGAACTCATCCTTTTTTATGACTGCATAGTATTCCATGGTGTATATGTGCCACATTTTCTTAATCTTAATAATTAATATTAATTATTAATAAATGCTATACTTTAGACTAGTTTTAAGTTTAAGGAAAAGTTGTAAAGATAATGACAGAGTCTCCATTTACTGCATCATCCAGTTTTCCCTTTTGTTAACGTCTCATAGTTTTGTGGTACATTTGTCACAGCTGGGGAATCAACATTGGTATATTAGAATTAATTAAATTCCACAGTTTATCAGGTTTCGCTAGTTTTACCCCAGTGCCCCTCCTTGGTTCCAGGATCCCATCTTAAATTGAGCTGTCATGTCTTCTTAGACGCCTCTGATCTGGGACAGTTTCTCAGACTTTCCTTGTTTTTGATGATCTGGACATTTTTGAGGAGGGCTGGTCAAGTATTTTGCAGAAGGTTCCTGAATTTGAGTTCGACTGATGTTTTTCTCATGGTTAGACAAGGGTTTTTGAGACAATGACCTCAGAGACGAAGTGCCTTTCTCATCATGTGATATCAAGGGTACGTACTTTAGTATGACTTATTGCTGATGATGTTAACCTTGATCACCTGGCAAAAGTAGTGTGTGTCAGGTTTCTCCAGTGTGAGGTTACTTCTCCTCGCTTCCATACTGTAATCTTTGGGAGAAAGTCACCAAATGCAGTCCAAACTCAATGAGTGGAGAGTTACGGTCCCTCTCCTTGTGGCCCCTTTAATTTTCAACAACATGACAACATACCCTACGGGCTTTGCCTTTTTGTTTGAAACAACATATTTAAGAGATTGTCTCATGTCAATAACTCAACAACTTCCACATTTTCTATTAATTTGCATTTATTCTATGGATGTATGAATACCATAATTGAGTCAACCAGTGATGCCATTTGTGACGGGCATTTAGGTTGTTTCAATATTTTGGTCTTGTAAACAATGCTGAAATAAATAACCTGGTACACGCTCAAGTATACCTGCAGAATAAATTTCTGAATGTTAAATGGCTACTTAAAAAGGTGTGATTTGTCATTTCTTTTTTTTTTTCTTCTTCTTTTTTTTTCTGAGACAGAGTCTCGCTCTGTCACCCAGGCTGGAGTGCAGTGGTGGGGTCTCGGCTCACTGCAAGCTCCGCCTCCCTGGTTCACGCCATTCTCCTGCCTCAGCCTCCAAAGTAGCTGGGACTGCAGACACCCGCCACCACGCCCAGTTAATTTTTTTGGTATTTTTAGTAGAGACGGGGTTTCACCATGTTAGCCAGGATGGTCTCGATCTCCTGACCTCGTGATCTGCCCGCCTCGGCCTCCCAAAGTGCTGGGATTACAGGCTTGAGCCACCACACCTGGCCTAGTGATTTGTAATTTCATGAGCTGTTGCTGTATTGCCTTCCACAGACAGTCAATTTATAATCCCTCAGTATTATATAATCAGGAAGATTCAGTGAATGGAATTTTGGGTTGGTGGAGGACATATTTTTTAATTGGTAGACCACTGAGTGCTTTTGCAAATCTCCTTAAATCACATTACAGCAGGAACAACTATAGAAAATACAATTATTTAGGAGCAACCTGATCTGTGAGCTAATTTAATGAGTGGAGCCCAGCCTACATGCTGAAGAGCTCACATGCCTCCTACCTAGTTCCTTAACTAGGTTTTCACTCATGCCCATTTTGTCATACTCTTGAAACCTTCCTATCTTTGCATAGAACATTATTCTTTCCACTCCCACCTTCTTCCCCAACCAATCATGTACCTGTTGAAAGTTTGTATCTTGGCTAGGCCTATGTGACTCATTCTTTGCTGTTGTAGCACAAATTCACTCCATCTACCTTATATTTATTTGCACCTGTATATTGCTACATTCAGCCTCTTACGTCATTGTTATACTGAAGACACTTTTGCCTCACATGTACATTATGAATATGCCAGGGTAAGAGGTTGTATCTTCTCTTTATTGCATCATTCCCCAAAGGCTCTTGAACCCAATGTGAAGAAAGTCCACATTGCTAGTAGACTGCTGGCTGCTCCTCTTCTCCTCAGTTCGCCTCCATCACCTGCTACAAGAGTCACCTGGGAGGAAACCATTGCTGTGAAGATGTCTGCCTATCCCTGGCTTCTTGGTGCTGAGACTCCTTACTGAAAATAACTTGAGAGGGACAAATATTTTATTTGTGGCTAAGTGACAATTTCACAGGGGTAGTGAGGAATAGCTATAAAGATCACCAGAGAGAAGTGAAATTATCCGAAACCACTAGAAATCACGGTGGAGTAACTTTCTTTTTTTTTTTTTTTTTTTTTTTTTGAGACGGAGTCTTGCCCTGTCGCCCAGGCTGGAGTGCAGTGGCACGATCTCGGCTCACTGCAACGTCTGCCTCCTGGGTTCAAGCGATTCTTCTGCCTCAGCCTCCCAAGTAGCTGGGACTAAAGGCACGTGCCACCATGCCAGGCTAATTTTTCTATTTTTAGTAGAGATGGGGTTTCACCATATTGGCCAGGCTGGGCTCCTGACCTCATGATCCACCCGCCTTGGCCTCCCAAAGTGCTGGGATTACAGGCATGAACCACTGTGCCCAGCCCAGAGTGGAGTAACTTTGGGCCACAAAGGCATCGTGGATGGTAGGGACCGTGGCTTCTCTGCTGTGTTGGTGCTGGCTGCCTTGAATTTATTTACTGCAACTGGGTGGGCTGGCAACCGAGAAGGTTCTCCCTCTTGGCCATTCTGGTATTACACTAGCTGTTTTAATCTGTTCTGGCTGCTATAAGAGAATATCACACGTTGGGTGGCTTAAAAATAACATAAATTTATTTCTCACAGTTTTGGAGGCTGGAAAGTCCAAGATCAAGGCATTAGCAGATATGGTATCTGGTGAGGGTCCACTTTCTGGTTCACAGATGAAGCCTTCTCTCTGTGTTCTTATATGGTGGAACGGACGAGGACTCTCTCTGGAGCCTGTTTTGTAAGGACACTAATTCCGTTCATGAGGGTTTCACCCCTATGACCTAATGATGCCTCAAAGGCCCCACCTCAAATTAATATGATGGTTAGAATTTCAATATATTAATTTGGGGGAAACACAGATGTTTAGACCATAGCGCTAGGGTTTTTTTACTTTTTATTTTTTTCTGCAAATCCAAGTTGAGACAGACATACTCTGCTCTAATGTAGTTGTCTTTTGTCTACGTCTCTGAAACCTAGCCTTCCTGAGATCAGAACATTGAGAAAGTCAGACATCTTGCCTTTGGGAACGGGCTTCTTCTTCTTATTATTTTGTCTAGTGAAACATCCTCCATTGCACTTCTGCTTTGTAACCCTTTTAGCCCATACACACATCTATGGAGATAGTTTATTCATTTGGTTCTTACTCATTCAATCTGTTTAAATGATGGGATTTTAGAGTTAGTAAGGTGTCTTGGAACCCCAAAGGGAAAGTCTCTCTCAAGGTCACAAAGCTGGTTGCAGAAGTCCAGGGTCATCTCAGACAGGTCTCTAACACCCACGAGTTAGTTTCTCTCTATCAGACTCCTTTATTTACCGAGTATCAAATAATAATAATAACAACAGTAGTGATTAATGGCTGGCACTTACTGAGTACTTTCCATGAACCTATGATACGATAAATGCTTTCCATGTATTGTTTTCTTTCTTTCTTTCTTTTTTTTTTTTTTTTTTGACAGAGTCTCACTCTGTCACCTAGGCTGGAGTGCAGCGGTGCAATCTCAGCTCACTGCAAACTCCACCTCCCGGGTTCAAGCAATTCTTCTGCCTCAGCCTCCCGAGTAGCTGGGATTACAAGCACCTGCCACTGCGCCCAGCTAATTTTGTATTTTTAGTAGAAACAGGGTTTCTTGACCAGGCTGGTCTTGAACTCCTGACCTCATGATCCACCCGCCTCGGCCTCCCGAAGTGCTGGGATTACAGGCGTGAGCCACCGCGCCCAGCCCCCATGTATTGTGTTCTTATAACCACTCTTTAAGTCAGGCAACTATCATTATCCCCATTTAGCACATGAGGAAATTTAGGAAACAGTGACTAAGTTACTTGTCCAAGATCACAGGGCTAATAACAGGTGAAGTCAGGACAGTCAGATTGCTGAGCTTTCACACTTATCCTTGCTATGATGCCTTTCTGTGCTACATTACAGAGCAAAGTGGCACATGGAATGCAGGAAGGACATGGCAGAAACAGTCTCAGCCTTTGAGGGTTTCCATTATAGCCCGGGGGGCAAGATGTGGGGATAGGATTGCCTATAAAATACAGAACACCCAGTTACACTTGAATTCTGGATAGACACTGATTTTTTTTTTCTTGAGTCTAAGTATGTCTCAGATATTGCCTGGGGCATACTTATCCTGAAAACCATATGTGTTGTTAATCTGAAATTCAGATTTCACTGGGTATCCTGCATGTTTATGTGCTCAATCAGGCAAGATTTTATGGGGAAAATAAAGCTTATAAGCTATACACTTTTCCTTTTCCTCGACCCCAGATGATCTTCTCTCTGTTCTCCTTTCCTTCTTCTGTACCTCTTGCTATTGGGCCCCTCTCCCTGCTGTGTGCACTCCTTCCAAGATATGCAAACTTGGGACACAGCAGTAGGTTCTAGAGCTATGTACCAGGCTGCCCAGCAGTCAGTGTGAAAACATTTTCCCTTCTCCCTGGGAGCTCAGCCCTGGGGTGTGCCCTGTAACGCCCGAGGCCTTGATGCTTCTGCGGGAACACTCTTCCTCTTGGCTCTCTCCATTTGCTCTGCTCAACCTATACGCCACCCCAGACATATTTTACCAGGGTTCCCACCCCGTCCAGTCCAGTGGCTTGCACTGATTTGCATCAGGTCACTTGGTATTCATTAATATTCACCTACATCCCTGAACCCAAAGGGAATAAGGCAGCAAAGGAGCCTGGCTGCTTCTTTGTTCTCTCTCTGAGATAGGCTTTCATGGGAATCGGATGAGCCGTTGGGGTGGGGTGGGCAGCTGCTCTGAGCACACTAGCTGCAGTCACTGCCTGTGTACTCTCTGGGATGGGGGCGTTCCACTGGCTATTTTAAGGCCAGACTGGTGAATGTTAGGTTCCCCTTCGTTTACCTAGGCTTTCAATATTTTCCCTGGCACACGCTAAGTTGGTCACAGAATGTGGGAAACCAGGCAAGGGAAAAAATTAATGCAGTGTGCTGACGCCCCTGGTAGCTGCTGCTAGATTCCATGGAAAAGATGGGGGGCTTGCTATCTGTGTCCATGGGGGCCTCCTAAAGCTGTTAGCTGTGTTGGCACCTGCTCAACTCCAGAGATGCTGGAAAAGGAAAACTGGCTGCAAACTTGGTCCGCAGCCTGCCTGGTAGCCCCAGCTCCACCCATTCCCGTGGAGTGGCTTTGCCCACTGTGAATGCCCCTTTATCGTCAGTGAGCGATAATGACTTTTCAAAAATACTGTGTAGGCCTTGTGTCCCGGATGCCTGTGGTACGAAGGCTCTGCTTCCCTTTCAAGGGTGTTGGCTTAAAAACTCACCCAGAAACCTGAGAAAAATATCTCCACTTGGCAGCTCAGGAGGCTGACACCAGCCACCTTCTGTGCTTCAGCCTGCTGGCCATGAGCTAACTAGCGGACAGTTATTATAAGGGAAGGAAGCAACTTCAGTACAGAGAATTATGCAGCAGGCAAATGATAGTTATCTAAAGTCCCACAGGGAATATTCCCCGTGTCACTTAGACCTGCATGGTGAGGATTTAATTCAGAACCTTCCCTGAGCTGTAGATTGGCTTTGCAGGAATGTCCCCTCTTGGCCTCCTGCAGTCCTAACCTCTTGGTTAGCACTGTGTCATTACAGCCTATAGTGGAAATCAAGTCCTCCTGTGGGTCTGAAGTTGGGTGTGTAGTTGGGTATTGGTCTTTCCCGTGGGTCAAACATTTGTTAAGTGCCTACTGTGTACTAGGCACTCGACAGTCACGTAATGCTGTGTACCTTATGTCTATCAACCTGCATTCACAACAACTCTGTGTGGTAGGTGTCATTGGATCTGCTGTACAGATGCCATCTTCAGTAGCTTGACTATGGTCACCAGACAAGGTCAGCCTGGAAGACCTCCTGTGCAGTGTCTTCCTTTACACAAAGGCTCCAAAATAGCAGAACTTTAATCTTGAGCATGCATTTTTCCATCTAGTTGCAGCTTTAGTCTGGAAAAATAGGTCATACCCAGAGGTGATGGGTCCACTTGAAGATTTTTATTTTGGTCATTTATCACATATTAGCAACTGAGTTCTATTCAGATACAGGTAATATAATTTCATTACTTTTTAATGACTGATATGGTTTGGCTCTGGGTCTCCACCCAAATCTCATGTTGAATTGTAACGTTGGGAGAGGGATCCAGTGAGAGGTGATTGGATTACGGGGGCAGACTTTTCCCTTGCTGTTCTTGTGATAGTGAGTGTGTTCTCACAAGATCTGGTTGTTTTAAAAGTGTATATCACTTCCCTTTTCACTCCCTCTCTCCTGCTGTGCCATGTGAAGATTGTGCCTGCTTCCCTTTCACCTTCCATCATGATTGTAAGTTTCCTGAGGCCTCCCCAGCCAGGATTCCTGTACAGCCTGTGGAACCATGAGCCAGGTAAACCTCTGCTCTTTATAAATTATCCAGTTTCAGGTAGTTCTTTATAGCAGCGTGAGAACAGACTAATACGGTGACATCAAGTGAAAAATGCCTCAACCCAAAGCTGTTGTCTTTCTGTCATGTCTGAATGGGTTCTGTTGACTGGAGGACCTCTTACATCCTCAACTGACCAGAAGATAGAGATGGTTCAATGTGGTCTCCAAATTGACTCACACTGGTCACTGAGATGTCAAAGGCAAACTCTTCTATTAAGAATGTGAAATGCTCCATATGAGCTTTTGTTCCTGCAGAGGTAATGCCCAGTGTGTGCACGTTAAGTGTTGCTAACTTACTGGTGGAAAGTGAGCATTGGGAAAGTGCTTAGAGTCCCTGATGTTTGACTCAATCCAGGTAAAATCATAATCACGGTTTTATTGATTGTTTGGTCCTCAGGGTGATCCTAATCCCTTGCCCTCCATGAATGTTACCCTCCCTGACTGTGGTGACTATGGGCTAGCCTTCATTTGGAGAGTCCCAAGAGCATGTATAAGTGAAATACCTGTTATTAATATCAGTTATGATTTTAAATTAAGTTCTTGACAGCCCAAAGGATCACAGCCTTCTTGTAATAGGCAGACCCTCTCCCTCCCTGGAAGACAGGAGTGAGCAAAGCACAAATATCTAGAAAAAAAATTCTATTCTAGTTCTTACCTCAGAAGACATAAACCCAGCTTCCTGGAAAGTATGGAGAGATGGCCAACCCCCCAAACCTGCCTGTCATTCTTCCTCCCATGATGAACATTTAATATAACATTATGCAGATTTGGGGGCAAGTTGGTTGTTTACTTTTACTGCTTAAGCTTTTGCCAAGCTTTCTACATGTTCTTTATATTGCTCATCAAAGGCCATTCATTCCATACCATTTCCCAAGAACGTGCTGTGGACAAATCCCTATGCTTGGTGCTCTGAAGGACATAGATGGGGTCAAGGGTAAACAAGGGAGACTAAATGACCATACTAAAAACAAGCCAACAACTGTCAGGCAACAAACAGACTGTACAACCATGGTACTGACACTGTATCGCAAACCATACATTCTTCTGCCAAAACAATCAATTAACACTCCTGGAAATGAATTAGAATAGTACACTGTTTTCCTGCAGATGCCCTAGTTTGCTGAGGATAATGGCTTCCAGCTCCATCCATGTGCCTGCAAAGGACATGATCTCGTTCCTGTTTATGGCTTCATAGCATTCAATCGTGTATATGTACCACATTCTCTTTATCCAGTCTATCACTGATGGACAGTTGGGTTGATTCCACGTCTTTGCTATTGTGAATAGTGCTGCAATGAACATACACATCCATGTATCTTTGTAATAGAATGATTTGTCTTCTTTTGGGTGTATTCCCAGTAATGGGATTGCTGGGTCAAATGGGGAGGGAGAGCATTAGGAAAAATAGTTAATGCATGCTGGGCTTAATACCTAGGTGATGGGTTGATAGGTGCAGCAAACCACCACGGCACACGTTTACCTATGTAACAAACCTGCACATCCTGCACATGTACCCCTGAACTTAAAATTAAAATTAAAAAAAGTACATTCACTACTTCATTCTGATATTCACTCAACAAGTACTTCTTGAGGGTCTTTAATGTCAAACTTCTGCATTAAGCCCTAAGAAGAAAGTAGAATGGTGAAAGATAAGCTCCGCACTTCTAAGAGCTTATAATTAGGCCGATAGGAGAGATTATAAGTAGGTCTTTCTTATATTGTTATTGTGTAGGATAAATAGGGAGTCTGTTGTTTACGAGGAAATTTATGGTTGAAATGCAAACACACAGGTCAAATTCAAACAGACATCACTCTTTTTTAGGCACCCATACATTAAAAATTATGAAAATTTAAAATAAGAGAGAAGAAAGTTTGACACTAAAGTGAATGATTTTTAAAACATTTCTCTGTGATAAGATCTCCAATTGATGAGGAATGTGTAGATGTACAGGAAGGGTATGGTCATGGAGTGTATTTCATCAGGGCAACAAACCCTCCTGTGTGGCTTAGATTCAAGGTAGCTTTAGTAGAACTTGAAGGTGACAGACATACCTCCAGGAAATGGTGGGGCTTAAGCAGAGTGGAAATAGGGAGAGAGGAAGTCCACACTGTGGTGGGAATGGAGGACAGGAAAAGATTCTCCTAATGTGAATGGAGGAGCAAAGCTGTGGGGTAAGGAAAGAGAAGGATAAAGGGAAGGAATAAATGTAGGGTATGAGTGCTAGCTAGACTGAGGTCTTCTGTTTTAAATCAAAACAAACTTTTGTATAGGTTAAATCTGTGCATGATACAAAAATCAAAGGGTCCAAGAAAACATATTGTGCAAAAATTCAGTCCCCTCCTGGCCTTAGCTCCTAGCCATCCAGTCCCCTACCCCACAGGCACCAGTGATGCTTCTGGGTATCCTTCCAGGGATAGTATGTGCGTTTATTCAAGCACTAGAACAGTGGTTCCCAAACAGGGGTGATTTTACCCTCCAGGGAACACTTGGAAATGTCTGGAGACTTTCTGATGGTGATGATGGAGAGGGTGGTGGTCTGTGGGTGGGGTGCTAACATCTGGTGGACAGAAGCTAAGGATGTTGCTAAACATCTTATAATGCACAAGACACATACAATCTAGTTAGAAAGGTTATAGAGAGGAAGGAGATAGATTGTCAACTGCCCATACTATTAGGCACTTTGACATTTTTAATTTAAAATATAACTTGGAGACCTTTTTAATTTAATTCAACACACAGAGAATGGCTTGTATGGATGTAAAATACCGAAACACAGACAGCTGTCTTTGTAAAGCTCCATAATATTCTATTATATGGCTATGTCATACATTTCTTCCCCCATTGTTGGACATTAGGTTTTTTCTCACAGTCTTCTGCATTATTCCGCACAGCATTAGAGACAATGCTTTTACATTCACCTTTCTATAGATCTGGAAGTATATTTGTTAAGATTAATTCCTTGAAGTAGAATTGCAGGGTCAAGGAGGGTGTATGTTGGAATTCTGATAGATATTTAGACTAATATTAAATTTGCCATGATCAGGTTTTTTTTTTTTTTTTTTTTTTTAGAAATTACACCTGCTGTTCTTTGTTTTAGTGTTTTAGATGTCTGGAGATATGTTCTGGTACTGTGGGCAACAGAAGCAGATAGCACAATGCAGTGCTTTCTCAACTTACACAATCTTAGGAAATACTTAGGGAGCTTGTTAAAAATATAAGTTATCTGCCCCTCTCCCTACACCAAGAAAATCAGAATCTTCAGAAGAGGGGTCTGGGAAGCAATGTGAACAAAGCCAGGAAATGTGGGCAACTGTCAGCATGACAAGGCAATGTCCCAGATCTTGATGTGGGGCTCAGGGTAGATGTAATTCAGAGTCATGGGAAAGTTACAGGAAATCCTTATAGCACAGATACTTGGGAGGGTTAATGAGCTGTGTTAGTTTCATCCTCGGAAGTATTTCACAAAATCCCAGGTTCTTCCTGTTGGGAAAGGTTAGGCAAGATCTGCACAGAGGCAGGTGGCCAGGTATAGGGGGTGGGTAGAGGGTTGGGAGGTGACAGTAGATTAACAGGCCTCTGTTTCATTTCTCATTCATGTACTGCGTGACCCTCTACCTATGTTTTATATCAAAAGTGTTCCTTTTTAAAAGTTAGGCAATATCTGTATGAGGCAGGTGGCCAGGTATGGAGGGTAGGTAGACGGTTGGGAGGTAGGGGCAGATTAACAAATTTGTGAACTTCTACCTATGTTTTACATCAAAAGTGCTCCCTTTTATAATAATTATGCCAGCTAATGACTATAGAGAACTTTCTGTGCCTGGCCCTCTGCTCTACTGTTCACATATATTGCTTTTACTTCTTATAATGGTGTGATATAGTAGGTCACTTCTTACTTCTTCATTTCGGATATGGAAACTGAGGGTCCTCAGGATTAAGTGATATGCCCAAGTTAATCCATTCTATCAGTAGTATAGCCAAGGACTGAAATTCAGGTGGGTTAGATTCCAATACTATGATCTTTGCAAATTCACTGTACATACTTTTAAAAAGGGAGTAGGAAAAACCACAGAATAAACAAGCCAGTACGGAAAGTCTATTTACACATTTTTACCTTGAAACTAATGAAACATTATTTTAGCACAGAAAGTAAAATTTGCATTTAGCATAAAGATAAAAATAGGAGATACAGAGATGTATATTGTCAGCTGGCCACTTCCAGACCTCCAGAAATCTCGCTTCACTTTTCTCTTAGGGTTTATTTAGTTACAAACTTTGAGGAATACTGTACTCTATTCAGTCACTGACATTCACGTCTCAGTTTGTACACTTAACACAAGACATGCCATGAAAAACATTTGTACCTTCAAAACAGCGTGGCATCAAAACACGTAAAGCAAACACTGTTAGAATATGCAAGAACAATTTGGGCAGAAAACACACTTGCAAACCTAAACAAGCACAAAACCACAAAAACAGCAAATGGAGTAACTTCTGTTGAAAAGTTCTCCTTCTTGAATATCTTTTTCCTTCTTTTCTCAGGTAAAAATGGTGCTACCCTTGGAAATCCAAGAGCAGCTTCAAGAGTCAACTATACCAGCAATCCCTAAAGCTGGAGAATTTATGCCCATGGAAAAGTCTGTAGCGTTTTGCAAACTGTGAGGCTGAGGAATAGACCTAGTTCCTGCAGCAGATCAAAATGGTAGCCCCTTTTCTTTCCATGAAAAGAATTTCTACGGAGACAGTAGGTTTCCCATTGGATTGTTGTCAGATGAATTGACCTTATCTCTTTTCAACCCTTACTCTCAGAAAGATGCAGAAATGCAGCAACTATTGCAGGGATTCCGTGAGACCAAGGACCTGTCTCCATAGCAGGGTGATGTTGCCTTTAGTAATAATTATAATGATAAAAATATCATCTGATGTTTATGGAACAATGCCAAGTACTAGAACAGTGGTTCTCAACCAGGGGCAGTTTTAGCCTCCCAGGGGACACTTGGAAATGTCTGGAGACATATTTGATGGTGATGATGGAGAAGATGGTGGTCCGTGGGGGGGGTGCTAACATCTGATGGATAGAAGCTGAGGATGTTGCTAAACATCCTGTAATGCACGAGACAGTGTCCCTAACCTCCAACAAAGAATGATCCCTCACAAAATGAAAAGAGTGTTACAGTTGAGCAACCTTTCAGTAGACTGAGGCTTTTACACATATTTAGCCTTCAAAATAACCCTATAAGACACACAGTTATTGTCCCCACTTTACAGATGAGCATATTTAAGCTTGAAGGAACTAGCTCCAATTGTTTTGACCTTTGAATGCTCTCAGGTTTCTTTGTTAAGATCTATTTGGTTCTATGGCCATAGCAGAACATTTAGGTTTGTTCAGTGGCTGGGAATTGGTTCCCTCAAATGTCACCATGGAAGTTATTCAGCTTAAGCTGACCCAGTCCCTCTCCCATTCTGCTGACTAACAGCTGGTGGCTGGAGCTGCGGGGAGAAGATATTATATAATGTCTACAAAAGTAACGAAAAGTTGATTTAACTGCTAAGATAAGCAACCAGCAAGATAGAATTTACACTGATTTAAAAATATGTTTGCTGAGCATAATATCTAGACTGCCCCCCACACCCTCTGTTCTTTATTCCTGACTTCTGATAGTGCTGTGGCATGTGCTGTTGAGAAATCAGAGGTCTCAATGCCATGAGAATCAGACAAGAGGCAATCTCCACACTGCAACCATACACAGAATTAGGTCATTGAATTCCAAGAGTATTGGGTCCTTTGGAAGACAAACTCTGTTATTCTTTTTTTTTTTTTTTCCTTTTTGATAAATGCCTACCTCCTTTTAAAAATATTTCCGACAGGAAAATCAGACTTTTTCTTTTGAATCATTTCTCTGCATCTGGGTTGGATGTTGACTACTTCTTCTCTTTCCTCTGCTCTTTTTCTATCCTTTTCGCTATTTTTTTCAACCTTTTTCACAGTTGTTTCTATTTCCTTCTTCTCCCCTCTCCTTATAATAGCTCCCACTGTGCACCAGGCAAATCAGTATGGTTGGGTCAATAAGGGCAAAGACCTCTTTAGAGTGGTGGGGAGGCACCAACTTTGAAGTCTTTGGTAAATGAATAAAAACCCCCTGAAAGTTTTTGAAACCTAAGCTGGGTACAACAGGGTACAAATAGAAATAATTTTTCCCCTCACAATTTTCAAAAACTTTCTATCCTAACCAGCTATCTGCCTTGTCCTACTGCTCATGCACATTTAAATGTTATTATCACTTCAACTAACTGATTTCAATGAAACTCAAAATACATGTTAATTTAACAAACATTGATTAATCATGTTTTATGGGTCAGGTTGTATATTATGGGCTGTGAGAGGTAGCAGGATGAATATGTTGTAACCTCTGCCTTGTAGGAACTTTACACTTTGGTGGGGAAAATGAGTAAATAGACATCCAGTTGTCACTATAGGTTGAAGTATTCATTATCAATTGCTGTAGAACAAATCACCCCAAAAACTTTGTGGCTTAAGATAACACACATTTATCATCACACAGTTTCTGCAAGTCAGGAATCCAGATATGGTTTTACTTAGTCTTCTCATTTCAAGGTTTCTCATAAGCCTGCAATCAAGGTGTTAGTATAATATCTGTGGTCTTATCTGAAACCTCAACTAGAGAAAGGTTCACTTCTAACCTAACCCATATGATTGTTGGGAGTATTCAGTTACTTGACAATTGTTGGAAGGAAGGTCTCAGTTTCTCACCAGCCATTGACTGGAGGCCACCCTCATTTCCTTGCCACATGGGCCTCTCCAACACTGCAGCTTGCTTCTTCAAAGCATACAAGCTGAGAAGGCAATTGAGAGAGGCTGTGAACAAAACAAAAGTTACAGCTTTGTGTGAACTAATTTTGGAAATGACAGCTCATCACTTGTGTGTATTCAATGGATTAGAAGAAAACCACTAAGTCCAGCTCACATTGAAGAAGAGAGTATTCCATCAGGGCTTGAATACCAGGAGGGGAGATGATTAGGAGCTGTCTCAGAACTGCCTACCTATAAGGTTTAAGAGATTGTTAAACAGAGGCTCAAAAAGCTGTCGTTTGCTAGGCGCACTGGCTCATGCCTGTAATCCCAGGACTTTGGGAGGCCGACGTGGGCAGATCACGAGGTCAAGAGATCGAGACCATCCTGGTCAACATGGTGAAACCCTGTCTCTACTAAAAATACAAAAATTAGCTGGGCATGATGGTGTGTGCCCGTAGTCCCAGCAACTCAGGACGCTGAGGCAGGAGAATCTCTTGAACCCAGGAGGCGGAGGTTGCAGTGAGCCAAGTTCGTGCCATTGTATTCTAGCCTGGCAACAGAGTGAGACTCCATCTAAAAAATAAATAAGTAAATAAAAAGAAGCTGTGATTGCGTGAAAGCAGGGAGTGATAAAGAAATCTTATTTTTAAAAGGAGATTGTTTTACTCTGCTGATACTAGACTTCTCTAGAAGGTTTGCATCTACCCAGTGATTTGTGGAATAATCCCAGACCTCCAGAATTTGCGATTGGAGTGTTGGTGGCTAACTACTTAAGGTATTATATCTCTAGTCATGATGAAACATGAAGCCGCAACAGTGTCCCCAAAGCCACATTTATGGTTGTTCTATTCAGGCTTTGTCTCAAGGAATTTTTTGTAATCAAAAAGTCATTCAGTTGTTTATAGTTGTTATTACAGTTGACCCTTAAACAATGCAGGGACTAGGGGCCCCAACACCCCATGCAGTCAAAAATTGGCATGTAACTTTTGACCCCCCAAAAACTTAACTACTAATAGGCTACTGTCTTATTGGTAACAGAAACAGTTGATTATACAAGTTTTGTACATTATATGTATTATACACTGTATTCTTACAATAGACTTGAGAAATGTTATTAAGAAAATCATAAAGAAGAGAAAATATATTTATTATTCATTAAGTGGAAGCAGAACATCATTAATGGTCTTCATCCTTATTGTCTTCACATTGAGTAGGCTGAGGAGGAAGAGGAAGAGGAGGGGTTGGTCTTGCTGTCTCAAGAGTAGCAGAAGCAGAAGAAAATCCAAGTGTAAGTGGACCTGCACAGGTCAACCTATCTTTCTTGTTCAAGGGTAAATTGTACATTTATATGCATTTTTTGTATCAGTTAATGCTAGATAGTTAAACTCAAGGATGAATTACCTTTGAGGGATTAGATAATAAAGCTCAAAAATTAGTAAGATTTACCTTTGAGGGCTTCTCCTCTGTCAAGACCAGGAGTTGAACTATGTCCTTTGGGTTAAATCTGTCCCCATCTCATCTGTTTTTGAATGGCTAATGAGATTAAAAAAAAAAAAAGATAGTTTTTATGTTTTTTAACGTTTGGAAAACAAATAAAAAATATTTTATGACATGAAAACGATATGAAATTTAAATTGCAGTGCATATAAAGTGTTACTGGAATGGAGCCATGCCCATTTGTTTCCATATTGTCCCCTGTAGACTGAATGTCTGTGTCCTCCCAGAATTCTTATCTTCAAATCTAATCCCCACTGCGATGGTATTTGGAGGTAGGGCCTTTGGGAGGTGATTAGGTGATATTGTTTTGCTGTGTCTCCATCCAAATCTTATCTTGAATTCCCATGTGTTGTGGGAGGGACCTGGTGGGAGGTAATTGAATCATGGGGGCAGGTCTTTCCCGTGCTGTTCTCGTGATAGTGAGTAAGTCTCATGCGAGACGATGGTTTTAAAAATGGGAGTTTCCCTGCACAAGCTCTCCCTCTTTACCTGCTGCTGCCCATGTAAGATGTAACTTGCTTCTCCTTGCCTTCTGCCATGATTGTGAGGCTTCCCCAGCTACGTGAACCTGTAAGTCCATTAAACTTCTTTCTTTTGTAGATTGCCCAGTCTCAGGTATGTCTTTATCAGCAGCATGAAAATGGACAATACATTAGGTCTTGAGGCAGGAGCCCTCATGCAGGGGATTAGTACCCTTATAAAAATAGATCCCAGAGGGGTCCCTTTTCCCTTATGCCATGTGAGGACACAGAGAGAAGACACCACCTACAAACCAGGAAGTAGGCTCTCGCCAGATGCGTAATCCACTGGAGTCTTGACCTTAGACTTCTCAGCTTCCAGAACTGTGAGAAATAAATGTCTGTTGTATATAAGCCACTCAGGTCACAGTATTGTTTAATAGCAGCCCAAACAGACTAAGACATCATCTATGGTTGCTTTTGCAAAAACAGCAGACATGAGTAGTTGCCACAGAGACCATATGACCTACAAAGCCTAAAAATCTTTACTATCTGGCACTTTTAAGAGAACATTTGCCCCCTTTGGTCTAGAGGAAGATGGACACTCAAACAAATGATTATTGCACTGTGGTAAGTGGTGTACTGGCCTTACAGACAAAAGACATCAAGGAGCACAGAGCAGGAGTCTGCAAACTTTGTGGAGCTCTCCTTGAGGATAAGTAGGAGTTTTCCCAAAATGGGAGGAGAAAAGACAGAAAAATTGATCTCAAGAGTTTGACCCACTTACGCCTAGTGTTCCATTATTGGAATGCTAAGCATGTGGGAGTTATTTATATCCTACTGCTCAAGATCATCACCAAGATCTGATTGCAAAAATTGCAACCTCAGGCATAAATGGGTCAAGGTGGTAATCACATACTCCTTAGAGAGTGAGCTACTCCCTGAAATTGCTGGCAAAACCCTGTGTTTATGTACATATGTGTGCTTTTCCCACCTTAGGGATAGAGTTTATCTCTTTCAACAGGTTTTCAACAGCTTAAAAACCACTACCATGGGCGGACATGGCAGCCCATGCAAAGTCACAAAGGTGTAATGTAGAGAACAGCACACTCATGGGGTCAACAGTGAGATCAATGAGAACACAGAACAGATTTCTATGGAGGACAGTGGGAAATGAAGCTAAATAAATGTCACCCAACATCAGAGGGAGCACCCAGGACGGGGGGTGGGGCAGAGGTCTGAGGCTGATTCAATACAGCATAAAGGACTAATTAGTACAAGTATAGTGAACAACATCAAGTTAAACAGATGTGGACTTTGCTCTCAGGTGGCTACTCCATCAAATGCAGTTGGTGGACAGGCAAGAAGAACCCAGTTAGCCTGCAGAGAGGCTGTGGGTTGGCAGTTCATTGTGTTAAGAATAGAAGGGCTGACCAGATGGTCAACTCTTTTTTTTAATCTTTGCTTTTTAAAAATTGATCCAAATATTTGTACTTATTTATGGGGTAGCTATTATATTTCGTTACATGCATAGACTGTGTAATGGTCACATCGGAGTATTTGAAGTGTCCATAACCATTAGTCTTTATCATTTCTATGTGTGGAACATCTCAGGTCCTCTCTTCTAGGTATTTTGAAATACACAATACCTTGTTAACTATAGCAAATAACCAGCTCTTTAATCATTCCTTGGTCAAATCTCCATTTCATATACCCCTCCAAACCAAAACAACATTGACTAAATCTGCCTCTGGCCCTGTGAAAGGCCAGCCAAACAGCAAGAGGCCAGCACAAGACATAGCTTCCTCTTCTAGAGCTGAGAATTCACTTTTGATTGTACTGTGGGGCACATAGAACAACATCGAACTCCCAGGTGATGGGAGGGAGAGTTCCTAGGACTAGGGAAACAGGGCCTATGGATGTGAGGTGTGTGAGGAGGTGGGGTGGGGAGGTAATGGTTTTCACTGGATTCCTTTTTATATTTTATTTAGATTAAGTTCTGCTCAGCAGGGTGATTTCTTAATTAGAGCTGCCCAGCCAAGCAGACCTCCAGCTCAAACCCCTGTGCTGCCTTCTAAGGTTTCATGAGGGACCTTGTCCTGCCTTATTTCCTGAGTTCTAATATTTGAATAGTATGCAGTGGATTTCAATGGGAGGAAAAGACATGTAATTTAATCATTGTTATTAGATTTTGCCTGTGGATGGGGAGAGGAGGGGGAAGCAGGAGGGACATGGGTCCTTTCTTTGTTAATTTTCTTTTTCTTTTTCTCTACCTTTCTTCCAGTGGTCAAAGGAAGAGGAGGATCAATGGCCTTTTTTCCTCCCCCCAACCTTTTTTTTTTTTTTTTTTTTTAAACAAAGAAGCAAAGTGAGAACATTAAGCCCGAAAGAGAACTGTGTTCATTGCAGGACTTTTTGAGGTCTGGTTAAGCCATTTATATAAAGAAATTACACAGTTCCTCTTTGGTAACCTCAATCCTGAAAGTTAGTGTGACAGGCCTACAGCTTTTTGTTCTCTTCATCACTCCAGAAGTTGCAGACTGCGCTCAGCAAGACCTCACAACATGGAGGAAAATTAAAGAGATAAGTGGTCCATGGAGTATCCCCTTACCCCACCATAAATTGGCATAATTTTGTGCACAATCCAGGGAGAAGAAAAAGAAGACCAGAAGCTTGCAAACCATTCGAGAGAAGGAAGGGAGCTTTGTCATGTTGCCATCTGAGGCAAGTATACTTGGGATGGGACAGGCAAGCTGAATAGGAATGAAAAAGAGCACTTGGTCAACAAACACACAAATCTATTAAGGTTTTTCAAGAAAGAGAGACAAAATTCAGCATGGTTCACCAAAAAGAAAAAGAAAAGAAAAAAATTATGTCCAGAACTCTCCCAATTGTCCTGCTAAATACACACACACACACACACACACACACACACACCAGCCTATAATCCCCCCTACCCCGCCCCCCACCTCATGCCCCTATCCTGTTGATCTTTCCTCACTTAAAAATTATCAGAAAAGAATTTATTCATTTGGGAGGATTCCAGGCACTACATTTATGTTGCGTTCAGATGAAATGGGATCCAGACTTTTCAAACCGTACTGTTTTACAGATAAAACACAAAGGCAGAACTTCATTATCTGGAGACACTGCCCTTTCTTTTTTCTCCTGCCTTTTGTTTCTGAGCAATTTTAAGCTTGTTTGGAAAGTATCATAACAGGGGCAGAGCGTTTTTTACCACATCTATTTCAGGAGGGTTTTTAATACAGAATAATAAAATTATTGCTAAACAGATGGAAGAGTTTTACTAAAGCTGGAAAAGACACTTTTGCTAATACACCCTATAGGCTGATCTCAATTCTCTCATTGTTAAGAATGCTTGGTCTAAGAGAGTCTTATTTATGTGCCAAATGGCTTTATTAAATCATTATATTAACACAGAAAAAGTCCTATTACAATGGCTGTCTCTGTATGATCAAAACTTGTCCGTGATCCTGCTGATAGCCTATTTATTCTGAAATTTAAAAAGGTAACATTCCAGTACAGCCTAATGTTTGGCCAAGTTTTACAAAATTCATTATAATATGGCTGGAAGGGTTACTATGTCCTAGCCAGGGAAGGCCTAAGTTTTATCAGGGCAGTAGTCCCCTGACAAAAAGAAAACTGTGAAAAAGAGACCTCTCATCCACTCATAGAAATTAATCCCTGGCAACATTGTAATGATTTCACCTGTAGAAATACAATGGGTCTGTGATTTCTACTTTGATTAATAAAAAAGCAAACAAAAACAAAAACGCAGGGTAATCTCAGTGCTTTGGGAGGCTGAGGCAGGAGGAACACTTGAGGCCACAAGTTTGAGACCAGCCTGGGCAACATAGCAAGACCCTGTCAATACAAAAAAATTAAAAACTTAGTTAGGCATGGTAGCTTGTGCCTGTAATTTCAGCCACTCAGGAGGCTGAGGTGGGAGGATTGCTTGAACTTGAGAGTTTGAGGCTACAGTGAGCTATGATCATGCCACTGCACTCCAGCCTGGGTGACAGAGCAAGACTCTGACCCCGACCTACAGCCCCCCGCCGACCAAAAAGAATCCCAGTGGCAAATTCAAAGGCAAATTAATTGCACTGGTGAACCAGGACTATGGCATGTGAAAAGAGTTTAAAAAGCCAGGAGAAGCAAAGTTTGTTGTATACTGGATTTTGAAACCGAATAAACACAGACGCACACACAATTTTTGAATGTAAAATTAATACATGTTGATTGTAGAGAAAAAAAATCACTCCTAAGCCTACCACTGAGAAAGCATATGTGTTTTGGCTGCCCAAGATTGATTTCTGCCTTCATGTGGAAGTAAGCTTTAAAGGCTCTGTGTTAGGGCATAGTCTAGAAACATGGGGCCCAAGGGCACCGGGAAAACTTACAAAGGGAAGAGATGGAACTGGGAGGGTTCAAGCTACCAGTTCCATCTCTCCATGTTTTAGAGAATTGGGGCACTAAGTCAGCCAGGTAAGGTCAGGTCAGAGGAGGGCCCGGATGAAGCATGAGATGCAGAGGGACAGTGCGTGAATGGAGACCTTGGGTAGCACCAACGTGTAGCGGCAGAGGTGGGGTGGATGTGGCTGATGTCAGGGAGAGAATGGGGAGCATGCACAGGGCTCAGTCTTATACATACATTGAAAATCCTTTAGCCTTTCAAAGATTATTAACCCAAATCACCTTTCTTGCTTACTCCAGATGCCTCAGCCTCTGATATAATTGCTAAGTATCTGCCGTGTTAAAAATAAACATTTGAGAATCAAGGGTGATTTTTCTCTTTTCTTTTGAATTGTAATTGCGATGTACTCATGGCCTGCCATGACGTGAGGTCTGGCTTAGATTAGCCCCTGGCTGAGAGACCCATGCTAATTTAGTGCCTGCAATTATGCCTGCCTCTAATCGTGTTCTGCTCTTTGTAGGATGTACCCTTTGCAATAGAAGCAACGGTTATGCTGGGTCATCTATACTTTCTTGCCCCAGGCCGCTTGTGACACACATTGGTGAGACAACTGGCCAGGATTAGGGGTATGATCTGTGACCCTGAAACAGAGTGAAATTGATTGGCAATGAGGGATGAGGGGGGTGATCCTATTAAAATTATAAGCACCGTAAGTATTCTAATATCTGACCCCTCACTGTAATGGATGTGCACCTACCTCCCAGCCATAAAAATGCTTCCAATAAAAGAATCAAAAACGAAAACATGCAGAAAAACTTTTATGTATGAGTGCATTTGTCTGAGGTGTCATCCAGCTGTAGCTTCAGAGTAGGGGTGCACATGTCAATTGAGAATGATCAGCCTTTGCTTTCTGTCTGCAGAGGCTGGCAAAGGGGAAACAAGCTGCATAGTTTAGTGCTGGCAAAATAAACCACTATGCAGTTATAAACAAGAGTGGGTGGGTGAGTTGAAAGATGGGTGGATGGGTGAGTGGGTTGGTCCCCTTCCTGATGTATAAAAACAGAACTCCTAGGTTTGGGGTTCATGTTACAATTGGACTCCAGGAAAACAGACTATACATTCAAAATCTAAACCAGTTTTAAAGTATAAATTAAAAAGTATTTTCCCTCTAGCACATTTAGATATTATTGTTTACTAAGAGAAAGAAGAACAGGCTACATGCCGTCTTCGATAGCTCCCTCATGCTCCTAGATCCACAAATGATACCAGGGAAGCCACTGCTTGCCTCTGTGCCTTTGGGGAGGCGGAGGTTGTAGGGGGAAGTCTGAAAGCTCACCATCACGGAGCTCCAACTCCTTCTTCCTGGGATGCGGCACTTGCCTGTGAAGCCACAGGAGGCTGGAGGGGTAGAGGCTGGGGGCAGGAAGAGGAGGAAGTGAGGAAGGGGGCGATGCCCGGGAGGGCTCTGGGAGAGTAACCAATTCCTTCACTGGGGGCAGGCGGGAGTCTCCAGGGTCACTATGGGGCAACCTGTGAAGGGAAGGGAGGAAAGGGATTTCCGGAAGTCTCCCGCTCTCCCTCCTGCCTGCTTCCCTCCTTCCCCTAGCGGTTGATTGCGAGGAGCAGCGGAAGGAAGGATGTATCAAACCGAAAGAAGAAAGAACCCCTGCCAGTCGCCCCCATGACATCCGACTCTGAACGGCAGCGATCTAGAGGCTGTGGCGTGTTGCAGATTAACAGCAGCGAGGGCAGGAGGCAAATCAGATGCCGCAGGAGCTGACTGTTTTCTTTAGCCCTGAGAGCTGACTGTAGGCACAGGTTGCATATCAAAGGCAACGGGAATCAGTCTGTGGCAATATTACATCAGGTCCTGGACTGGTGGTGGTGTTGGTTGCGGGGGTGGGCGGTGGGGTCCAAGTCCTAAAAGATGTCAGTCAAACACCAGCTGAGCTTCTAGACCTCCTTCTGTGGCCCTTCTTCTGATCAAGTATGCAAATAATAATACAGTCAGGCTCTACCTCCTGCAATTAGCACAGGGGAGGGCTGAGTAACTGGGAGGACTTAGCCTTCTCCCTGTGGTTATCTTGTAAGGCTTTGAAGTGTAACTTTTGTTTTGTTTTGCTTGCTTTCCCCCTGCATAGAAATTTCCCTTAAGGGAAGGGTGGGTCTAAACTACCTTTAAAATGAGTTTCCACTCCCTGAACAAGGCTTGTAAAAGCTTGAGAGAAAATGCCAGGGGAAAGCATGGAAACTTTCTGGGGATAAACTATGGGTCTCCACCTTTGCACTTAATCAGGGGACAGCCACTAACCCCAGTAGCTGCATGCTTTCTGCCACCTTCATCTACCTGAGCAAAACTTCAAGGACATGTTTATGCTGAATCTCCAGAGAGAGCAATAGAAGCCCAGCTTGAGGGAAATGACTGGACCTTGATTACTTAGGATAAAAAGAGATCAATTTATGGTAGGACTATCTATTTATGTCTGCACATTCATCAGGTTTGCCTAGGAAAGGAGTCTCAGAAAATGTGTTGGAATTGGGCACTTCTGATGTCTATCCTATTCCTTGTCTTGGTTGATAACACTTTCTCCAGTCCCCAGATCTCATTTTAGGAAATGAGACTTGTTATCAGGCATCCTAGAGCCTCCATATTTTTCTGAGTCTTTCTGTGTCTGCCGGCACCATTGACGTTGTTACTATTGCTGGTTTTCCTCTTATATTTTCTGTGAAAATGCTTAGGAGCTTTTAAGAACTGGTGGCCACCAGAGAGGTTAAACATTATAAACAATATAAAGCAAAGGAATCTTAGTGTGCTGTCTTTGGGGTGTGTCATTGCTGTACAGCTTCTCTTTTTTTCCTAAAAAACCCTAATCATCTTCTGTGGTGGGAGGGGTTGGAGTTGAAGGGATGGCTAGTTGAGGTGGGGGCAATTTGTGCTGTACCTGTCTCTGACAGTCTTTTAATTTTTCATTCGTCTATGCAAATTTATTGTAAAAGAGGTATGGCTTTTTCATTCTTTCACTCATTGACTTAGCCATTCAACAAACATATATCCAGCATGTGCCTTGAGTAGGACAAGGCTGAACACTGTTTTTAAAAGGTATGTTTCTGTAAAGATGCACTCTTCCCTGACCACCAGACCCTGCCAAACCTTTGAGAGAGTGTCTCTGAGAAGGAATGAGCAAGGGAAAATATCCCATTAGAAGGGAACTCTTGGGTCCTCACCCCTCCTGAGATAGAGATGAATAAGGGCATCTTCTAAAGCACTGAGAACTGTTAAGCTGTCCTTAAGCGGGTGAGGGATATGACTTTTGAAAATAATAGTAAAAACAGTTTATGTGGGGATAGTTTATGAGAGTTCACAGAACCCTTTCATGTGTGTTACTAGAATGAGTGTTGGGTTGAAGATTAGGCAGACATGCTCCCAATAATACTTTTGAAGCGCTGGACACATGCTGTGTTTCACCAAGAAGTTAGCAATTGTTCATAGTTGTAGTATCTGTGACACAGGTCCCAAATGTTCAGATTAGCTAACGTGACCAAAGAGGAGAGGCTTGACATCTCTTTCGCTTGGTTCCATCTCCTTATTTTGTCACTCAACCTAGTGTGTGTGGTCATCCGTTCACAAAACAAAACAGAGATGAAAAACCAACTTAAAAAAACAGGGCTGGGCACGGTGACTCACGCCTGTAAACCTAGCACTTTGGGAGGTCGAGGCAGGCAGATCACGAGGTCAGGAGATGGAGACCATCCTGGCTAACACGGTGAAAACCCGTCTCGACTAAAAATACAAAAAATCAGCTGGGCGTGGTGGTGGGTGCCTGTAGTCTCAGCTACTGGGGAGGCTGAGGCAGAAGTATCGCTTGAACACAGGAGGCAGAGGTTGCAGTGAGCCAAGATTGCACCACTGCACTCCAGCCTGGGCAACAGAGTGAGACTCTGTCTCCAAAAAAAAAAAAAAATGTATATATAATATATATAAAAATATATACATAATATATAAAATATATATTTTATATATTTTATATATAATATATAAAATACATATGTATTATATATTAAAAATATACATAAATATATATAGAGAGAGTGATGATTTTAGGGAACAAGTCTGATTTCAGGATTTTGGGTTGCTTCTGTTCCTCTGGGTGTTTTCTTGGACCCAGAGTCAATATTTAAAACAAAACAAAACAAAAACACCTACCAATTCTCAAGTTTTGACCCTTGTGTCATTTATCATCAGAAGTCATGGGATGCACAATTATAGGACCCAGGATTGAGTTAATCTTTGAGGGATAAATTGTGGCACATTCTGTTTTTGAGGGCTGTTGCAAATCTAAATATCTTTGTCAGTGATTTATGATCTTCTGTGATTGTTTATTTAGTTTCCTTGGTCAAAAAAAAAAAAAAAAAGGCAGCTTTTAGGGTCAGCCTTCTGTGAACAGCGGCTGGACATCTCAACAGCCTCAGCCCAGCCTTGGGCTTCTGCTGAGATGCAAGCATAATGACCAGGAATGTGATCTATCCCCAGCCAGATGGTCAATAGCTGGAAATACTACTCCCTCCACGGTAATTACAATCTAGGGGAGGTTGAGAGGGAGGATCAGCAAATCTGGTTGATCTGAATGGATTTCCACTCCACGTTCAAGCATTTTGGGTTTGAGAAAACCCCCAACACTTCGAGCCCTGGGCATTTTTTCCATTAATATTTTAAATTGATGTTCATGTCAAGGGAAATTTAATACATAGGTTTCTGATTCATTTACACTTAACTCATCAAAATATTGTTCTGTAAGAAGTGATTGGTGTCCAAGAAATCTTAAGAGCCTTTTTATAAGCTTTTAAACTTCTTTTAAACGTTAAGAAACAGAAGTTACAGTCTCCCCAGTGTAAACAGGAGTGAATCCCTGGTTGAGGGGGAGGGAATGCGGGAGGATGGAGAGAGTGGATATAAGGCGCCAAGACACACTGACCTCAGTCCTTGAGGGACAAGAAAGTGGAGCCCAGGACTTTCCAGTCCCCACCTAGTGATCAACGTCTCACCCACGGTCAGGGGAGCAACTGGTGGTTCTACTTTTTTGAATTCTGAAGGCAAAGGCAAGCTTTTTTTAGGGGTCCTGCTGTTGGCAGAGAAAGCTCCCAAGAGTTCTGCAGAGAAGAAGGATATAGACTCCAAAATTTTACTTCCAGGCAAGGCCTCCCCCCACCCTCTTTTTCCCCTTCAAAGAAAGTGCTCATAATGTATCCTTTCATTTATAATTTTATGAAGGTCTCAATTGAACATGTAAAGAAAGTGGAAAAATTCTAAGTTGCCATGGATGTTTGGCATTTTTCCTACTATACTAAAATCTACTTTCTGCCCCAAGCAAAATGGTTTCAGAGATTCCAATAAAAGGGGGTGGAAGACAGTGAGAGCAGAGGTCTGGAATCAGAGTCTTCATGAAATGTATTTGTATTTTAATTATTTGAATATGATCGACTTCTGTTTCACCCTATTTCACTTGGCTTCCTGTGGTAAAATACAGCTCCTTTGCATTTCATAAAGCTTGTAACTTCTGTAAATGAACACTCACGTGTTTTATCTTGTTTTACTCATCCTTCTACAAAATGATAACTGTAGCAGAATTCAGCATCTATGGCTTAGGTTTGTTTATTTGTTATATATTGTTTTTATTTTTCCTCTTTTGTTTTCTTAGAAGAGGGAAAGCTTGAGAATAAATCAGCAATGATAAAAATTTTGTTCTGTTTTTGGAGTTTTCAAAAATTCTCATAATTTTAAGAAAATGCAGAAAGCATTCATATTCAGAAAAGGAGCCAAGGAATAGTGTTAGACACCACTTCAGATTTATCCAATATAATATTTACAAAGTGGTGGCTTTTTTTCTTAGTGTAAGTTTTAATCTATTGGTATTAGCAATATCTGCTTTTCTCCTGCCTTGCTTTACACAGATTCATGATTTTCTAAAAACTGATGTTTTACTCAAATTGAGGTAGGTTCTTTTCTACTGTCTTACATAACTTTGGGTGCATAGACCAAGATTATTTATACACTGTAGAAGTCGATGGTATTAAATCCGCTCAAGAAGTAAGAGAAGTCAGAGGCTAAGTCACGAAAAACCTTTGTCAAAAGACTGTAGGGTGAATGTGGTTTTTGCATCCAAAGCTTTACCTGTGGGTCTAATATAGATTCTGTGCATTCATCTTCTGCAGGGACCATTTCAGTAGAGCCTTTTAAGACACATGTTTTGGAATACAGTCAAATGCGTGCTGCTGTATGACCAGCCTATTTGGTAAGGATTGCCCAAAACTTCTGTCTTGTCAGATTTAGATGTGGAGATTTTTTTGAAGAAATTGCATGTAGAAATTCTTCCATGAGTTCTGATAGGAACATGAAAAACATGCTTCTGAAAAACAGGGTAGACGTCTGAGTACTTTGAGACACTCATCTACTACTATTGTTGAAGTGTTTCTTTTTTTGAATAAAATTTTAAATAGTATTACTATTACCCTAATTATACTATTTATTTCACAGTTAAATTCTTTGCATCTTTTTTTTTCTTTTGAGAAAAAGCTAATGTGATATATATCTTCATAACTGCTATTGCCTTTTTAAAAATCTCTTTTTAAATGATGAATTTTACAACATCCCTGAAAGCTTAGGTTTGAGGTGTGTGCCTCTTACTAACATGAGGTGTCAGTGCTGATCTCTAACGTTGCTTTTGTGCTACTTGAATTATCAGTTGGCAAAGCAAATTCTTGTCCATGCAGGGTAGGGCTACACGTATTTTCAGCAAGGTTTTAAATTTTTTTCTCTGTTGAGTTAAAATTATGTAAAAAGAAAAATCAACTGATGTTAATAATGCTGACACCTATTAAATAATTACTTTGGTTTTGTGATCATTCCATTTAACTGTTGCAATTGCCCCAATTCATAGTTGAGAAAACTGTGACTTTAAAAAGTCATGTGATGCAGGTATTGATTAGATAAACCAGTACGGCTCCTTGCAGTGCTGGGTAACTTGAGCGTGTTGGCTGGATGATCTCTTTGTGATGATGTTTGTGTTAACGGCCCAGCATTAGAGTGGGGACTTAATTGACAAACAGAACTGTTTACATTTTCTTTGACGTAATATGTTTTAAGTTAGAAGAATAATTTTTATACCCAAAGCCACATTTTCTCATGTTAATTGTGTAGGTATATTTCTAGTTATTATTTGTTCATTGATACACTCACTTAATGAACGCTGACTCTTAGCTGAATAAGGCTGGAAATAGGCAAGGCACCTGGCTTTGCGTATATAATCAAATAGGGGAATTAATACAGAAATAATTAGAAAATCATGTAAGAAAGTCTAATACAAGTATTTTACAAAACAACTAGCTTTATCATATAACTTTCAACTTGAACATGACTTCCTAGTTAGGAAACCATTTTACCAAGAATGCAGGAAGTTAAGCCTTCATAATATTTACAAACACTCCAGAGTTAACTTTTTTTTCTGCCCTGTAAATATCACCTCAAGTATTTGGTTTTGCCACAAAACATTAGATAAGCCCAATTTAAACTGTGATTCCTAATTCTGGAAATATGCAAATGCTACTAAAAGATAAGCTTCATTTTCAGTTCCCTCATGGCTGTTAGTCACCAGAAGAAGGGAGAGTCAATTTCCAATTTATTTCCAATGTTAAAACCTTCATTTTGAACATTGTTTTTCATTCTAGTTATAGCTACATCTTACCTCTTTGCAATGGTGGGAGACCCTTCCCTAAATTGCCCTCTTCTTTATGGACTGTTAAACTAGCAGAAAGCGCTAATTAAATGATCATTAGCTTGAGGATGATTGATTACACTTAGATTTACATGTTGCCTTTTATGTTCAAAGAACTACTTAAGCATCAACTAATTAATCTGCAAGTGAAGAATACTTCCAGCATTACTCTATAATTAGACAATCTCAGGAGGAAACAAGAGGATTTCAAAGGGGAGTCAGATGGTTTCGCAGACCGCTACATCATTTATTTTTTCATCACTCAGGTAAAATGGCCAGACCTGAATCCAGTTGCCAACTCATTATTCTTATTTACAAATAAGTTCATTTTTAAAAGGCCAAAGTTGTATAACAGATGAGGAGTTGGAAATAAAAACAAATGAATAACCAAAAGTATTGCCTCTCATCTCAGCTGTTTGGGTTATTTTTAACACTTTATTCCCCATAAAGAGTGAAATTAAGCAAGTCTGTTTCATGACATGTGGTAGACTATCCTTTCTCTCTTTTCTTTCCCAGCATACTCTTATTTGCAAGTTAGTGCTGTATACGTGTGTGTTTGTAGGTAGACAGAGAATTGGTACTTCTTTTGGGCTTTGGTTTCCTAGGTAGTAAGATAGGACAGATCCAAAATATATATGATGGGGCTGACAAACAGAATTTTATAAATATTTTTGGGAAGCAAATGTTTGTGACCATAAGAATGATTGATTGATAGAATGTTGGGAATCTGTTTGGTGTAATAATGCATACATTGAAGTAGAATACATCTTTATAAATTCATCCCAAAATTATATTTAAAACCATAATGACTTTTTCACCAACCTAATACACATAGCAAGGACCTTGAATAGTAACAAAAGACAATCGTCTTACTCAGGCATCTCATCTGTATGTATGGGTCAGTAGGCCAGCTCTGACCTATACATACAGATTAGGTATGATATTAAAATGATACTAAAATGTCAAGCTTCTGTTGGTCAGATGGTTGTTTATCAAACTTTCCTTGAAGCATAAGCAGTCTTCTCAGCTTTACAAAATAGAGGGATGTAGCAATAAGCAAATTCAGTTCAAGTTTCTGTTTTTGGTTGGTTTCAGATGAGCTTGTGTCGAATGCTAAATTTTCCCTAATTCAGCAACTAGCTTGTATATGAAAATTAAGTGTTTGTGGGGGAAACTGCACCATTTATTTTTTTGAAAACTTATAGCTATGCATTGATTTGTATTAACTTCTCTCCCCCACTTCATCACAGTAAATTAAAGTGATGATCTGTTTTTAGGTTATGATTTGTTAAGTGAGTGTCTTTGGGAGCCGTCACTTGATTTCCTCACCAGGAGTATGCCGTTTCCAACCTGTCAAGGACAGCCTAGATTTACCATGCCACACAGGCATTCTGATACGAAATTCAAAAAGTTGGGATTGTTAGAAGAGCTAGAAAGCACAGATTGCACTCAGTTGGACAAAGATAAACAGAAAGCTTGCTTTTTTATGAAATTGGAGATTAAATGAGTTGATGGAATCAAGCCTAGACAGCCACATAAGCCAGAGTGGAAAATTATAGACTAAAATGCATCTGATACTGAAGAGAATGACTCTCTCCAAAAGCCCTCACTTTTTATTTGATTCAAGGAGTCTTTATAAGCTCAGCAAACCCTAAGATTTTAACAAGAAAAACAAAAGCCTCCAAACAGCATGGCTTTCATCCAGCGCTTTTGTGATTTACAAATGACCAGATTTAAAACTTTAATCATCTCACACCTAGGGATTTTTTGGATTTGTTTTAGTTTGTAAGGCATGTCCACAGACAAAATGACTCACAAAAAACAGAATCAGCCTAAACCCCCAATTGGCCCTATTCCTCTGTCAAATCAAGACAGTCAGTTTTGCCCTGGGATTTCAGAGTGTCCCCAAGTGGCCCTTCTATTGACGCAATGTTCATCTTGCAGCTATAATCACTGGTTTCTTTTGAAGTGTACTTAAGCTCTTGCTTAAGTAAATCCATTCATGGACAATTATTTAAGAGATTGGAAAATTCTTTGTTCACGTGAAACCTTTCTTCCTGAGCTTCCTTATAACTTGAGATGATGACTTCTTTGGTCGACTCAATGCCATGCTTCCCACTCTGTGAGCCTGTTTTATAGAGGCAGTATAACAGGTGATGTGAAGCCTTGATATACATTTGGAAGGTATGTGGAAGCTAAGAAAGTGCCCTTTGAGAATCCCTGGTCACTTCTGAAATTGTAATTCCTAGGAAGTTACTGGAGCTAAGACTTCTTTTTAGAGGGAAACAGAAAAAAAATAATAGGACTATGAAGATCAGGTCTTGATCCTTTCAGAGTTGCTAATGCTAATGTCACTGTTCTTCTTTTTTTTTTTTTTTTCCTTCCAAAGATAGAATGACACTAGTTAGAAAAATAAAAGTCTGTTATTTAACATTTCAGATTATGCCTCCAAATCCTACAGAAGTATAACAACCATAGAACAGACAAACACCAACAGCATCAACAACAGAGAAACTCAGTCCAGGAGGATATGAAACCCTTTGTAATAAAGAAAGCAACATCCATGAACATTTGTGTACATGTGTCTTTATGGTAGAATGATTTCTATTCCTTTGAGTATATACCCAGCAATGGGATTGTTGGGTCGAATGGTTCTGTTTTTAGCTCTTTGGGGAATCATTACACTGCTTTCCACAATGGATGAACTAATTTACACTCCCGCCAACAATGTGTAAGTGTTCCTTTTTCTCTGCAACCTGCAAGCATCTGTTTTTTTTAAAGTTTTTTATAATAGCCATTTTGACTTGTGTGAGATGGTATCTCATTATGGTTTAGATTTGCATTTATCTCATGATCAGTGATGCTGAGCATTTTTTTGTTACGCTTGTTGGCTGCATGTATACCTTTTTTTGAAAAATGTCTGTTCATTTCATTTGAAAAGTTTCATTTCATTTCCTTTGCCCACTGCAGCACTATTCACAATAGCAAAGATAGGGAATCAACCTAAATATCGATCAATGACAGATTGGATAAGGAAAATGTGGTACATATACACCATGAATGCTGCACAACCATAAAAAAGAACAGGATCATGTTTTTTGCGGGAACATGGATGGAACTGGAGGCTATTATCCTTGGTAAACTAACACAGGAACAGAAAACCAAATACTGCATGTTATCACTTACAAGTGGGAGAAAAATGAGGAGAACTCATGAACACAAACAGACACTGGGATCTACTAGAGGGTGGAAGGTGGGAGGAGGGAGAAGAGCAGAAAAAATAACTACTGAGTACTAGGCTTAGTACCTGGGTGATGAAATGATCTGTACATCAGACTTCTGTGACACAAGTTTACCTATCCTGCATATGTACCCTTGAACCTAAAAGTTTAAAAAAAGAGAAAGCAACAGCTAACTTAACCCATTCACTGATGTGCTACAACTTTCTCCCATAGGAAGATGCTCTCCCTAGCTTGTATCTTATAGTGATTTAAAAGCACAGGTTGAAAAATCCCTACTGGCCTGTCCAGACTTGGGACTCCTCCCACTTCAGTTCTTTACATTTGCAAAATGGAATTGAGCACCTTCCTCATGGAGGGTGACCAGCAGTCCCAGCTTGCCCAGGACACTCAGTTATAGCCAGTGATATGGTTTGGCTGTGTCTCCACCCAAATCTCACCTTAAATTGTAATCATCCCCACGTGTCAAGGGTGGGGCCAGGTGGAGATGATTGAATCATGGGGGTGTTTTTCCCCATACTGTTCTTGTGGTAGTGAAAATCTCACGAGATCTGATGGCTTTATAAATGGGATTTCCCCGGCACAATCTCTCTTGCCTGCCACCATGTGAGAAGTGACTTTGCTCCTGTTTTGCCTTCCACCATGATTGTGAGACCTCCCCAGCCATGTGGAACTGTGAGTCCATTACACCTCTTTTTCTTTGTAAATTACCCAGTCTTGGGTATTTCTTTATTAGCAGCATGAGAACACACGAATACAGCAAAGTTCCAGGGAACCCATCAGTGGTGAGCAAACTGATATGTTTCGTCACCCTGTATGAGAAAGAAATTAGAAAATGTGTGCAATATATATAACACAGTGCCTGGCACATAAGAAAAGCTCAGTTTATGTTAGCTATTATTACATGGATTGGAGGGGGTCAAACTTGGTCTTCTTCCCCCCGCCCCAACATATGCATTTTATAAAATAAGAAGGAAACACAGCTTTCCATGACCAGATGTCAGATTGGGTCACAATCTTCCTTATGACCCTGAGGGACTTGGAGCAGTGTGTCATCCATCCAGGGTAGAGTGTGGAGTGTAGACAGGATGGGAATTGAACAGCCACATGAACAAGGGCATTTTGTTTTTCTCATTTTCTCTGTGCTATGCTGATGTGGATTTCATCTCAGCCCAATTCTTCCTATGGATAATTTCAGTCCTAAGCTTCTGAGGTCCCACATTTTCAACTTTATAAGGTTGGTGCAAAAGTAATCACATTTGCCATTAAAAGTAACAGTGGCCAGGTGCAGTGGCTCATGCCTGTAATCCCAGCACTTTGAGAGACCGAGGTGGGCAGATCACGAGGTCAGGAGATCAAGACCATCCTGGCTAACATGGTGAAACGCCGTCTCTACTAAAAATACAAAAAATTAGCTGGGTGTGGTGGCGGGCGCCTGTAGTGCCAGCTACTTGGGAGGCTGAGGCAGGAGAATCACTTGAACCTGGGAGGCGGAGGTTGCAGTGAGCCGAGATCACGCCACTGCATTTCAGCCTGGGTGACAGAGCGAGACTCCGTCTCAAAAAAAAAAGGTAATGGCAAAACCACGGTTACTTTTGTACCAACCCAATACTTTTCTTCATCATCAAAATAGCCAACACATGCTCGACCTTTTCTTTGTCACAGGTGATCTTTAATCACTTTTTAAATTTTTACATGTATTAACTCGTTAAGCCTAACAGCAACCCAGGAAGTAGCAACTGTTGTTTTCCCCATTTTGCAGATGAGGCCATACAGACACAGAGATGGAGAAACTTCCCCAGGGTTTAAGAGTTTAGTTGTCAGGAGACAAGATGCAAATCAAGGTGGGCTGACCTCCTTCAGTCTTACTTTCCTCACCCGTAAAAATGGCCCAATACGAACTGCTCACCTTGTTCACAGGGCTGTTGAAACAACCAGATGATTTAGTGTACGGGAAAACACGTTAGTTTTCACGTATTAGGCAAATATGACCTCATTATTTTTTCATCACACTTTTATTTGCCCACTCTTGCTGTATAGTCTGAAATGACAAACATCTTGAGAGATAATAGACTGCCCCGATGAGATAGATCCTTTCTGTAATCAGGGACAAAAAGCCTTATTTCTTTGGAACCCTCCCCTTGGGGATGAAACTTAGAACAAAGAATTGTCCCAAACTTAGGTCAGCGATGGCCCCACCTTTCTCCCTCTTTCAAATAGCTCTTGTTGCTACGAGACACAAAACACAAAATGAGGTCCCCGGCATCACCTTTGCTCAGCACAAAAGTGGACCATGCCGCTTTGAAGATGGGAAACAGATGATAAAGTTTAGGCAGGTATTGAGTTACCATGCTGCAGCCTCAAACTGCAAACTAATTAGAATTCAGGCCGTTTCTAAGAAGCCAGCCAAATAACGATGTCCTTAGAACACATAATAAAAGGAGCTGATCATTCGAGCTTAGGTTTGCTTTGGATGAGAAAGTTCAGCAGAGACGGTGTGTGTGCACTGTGCAAACTGTTCACTATTCTCCAGTCCCTGTTTGCACACACCCACATGACACTCACTCTGATTAATGAAGGCTATATATGCACACTGACATCGGCATTGGAGCTCCAGAAGCATTCGAAATTTCCCCAGGTGTAGCTAGTTTATTTTCAGGTGTGGACAGGATGGTCATTAAAAACAGAGCCAGATTTGGTCTCCTACCTAAACTCAACACCTCCTCTTCCCCTCCCCTGGCAGCATTTTTATGCCTGTGGAGCCTGTCTTTTCCTTGTTGGGCATGCAAACCTTTCACTCATCAGAGGCCCAGAGTTCTTTGGAAGCCTCGGATATGTCAGTATCAGTAAACTAATGGAAGCCATGTGTTCACAGAATGGAAAAAACCTGGCATCCTAAAGCCCCAGACATGTCTTACCATAAACGGGTCTAAAGCAGAGACTCCTTGAGTCCTTTCCTCTTCATAGTAGGTTGTTGGCCACCCTGCTGATTAACTGTTGATAATGCTATTTCAAATGATTCCATTCCTAAACATGAAGCTCTCATTCTCCAAGGGCAATGGAAGCAGCTAAGATTTATTGAATATATATTAGGTGCTATGCAATTTAATAATTTAATGATGAGCACAATGATTACATCACCTGCTGTGTATTCGGTGTGTAGACCTGCTAAGAGCTCTATGTTGACTGATTTATTTAATCCTGACCCCAAGTTGGGAGGTAGGTATTGTCATCTCATTTTATGGAAAGGAAACCCTTCCTCAGGAGGGTTGAGTAATGTGTCTGCTGGTGGTCAGGAGTAGGTTGGGAAAGCCACTATATGTGGTGTACTTCTTTTCCTCCCTGGGGCACAATAACTTGGAAAGATAGGAATTATGGTGCTAATTTTTATAACTAAGCTGAAATTTAGAGAGTTTGAATAAATTTTCCAAAAACATGTGACTGGCTGGTAAATGACAGCAGAGAGGAGATACTCACATAGTCTACAAAAGTCAGTGTATTCTGCTGTGCATTGCCACAGGGCAGAGTTTCTAAGGGGAGAAGGGTTAGATTTCCCAATAGTCAGACCAGGTGAGGTGCATGCTTAATGTACCACATCATACCAGAAGCATAAAAAGAGAAGTTTTTAAAAGAATTTGGTTATTCATGGAAATGCCAAATTATCAAAGTAGTCATTTTTGAAACCGAAATCTTTTGGACTTCTTGGTTAGGTATTTTATATTTTTGTATCTTCAGTAAAAAACAACATCAAAATCTCAGTGGCTGAAAATAACCAAGATGGATTGTTTGCTTATACTACATATTCACCATGTGATATTGTTAGGCTTTGTGTCCCCACCCAAATCTCATCTTGAATTGTAAGCCCCATAATCCCCATGTGTCAAGGGAGAGACCAGGTGGAGGTAATTGAATCATGGGGGTGGTTTCCCCCATGCTGTTCTTGTAATAGTGAGTTCTCAAGAGATCAATAGTTTTATAAGGGGCTCTTCCCCCTCCCCGCCGCTGAGCACTTCTCCTTCCTACCACCTTGTGAAGAAGGTGCCTTGCTGCTTTTTTGTCTTCCACCATGATTGTAAGTTTCCTGAGGTCTCCCCAGCCATGCTGAACTGTGAGTCAATTAAACCTCTTTCCTTTATAAATTACCCAGTCTCAGGCAATTCTTTACAGCACTATGAAAACAGACTAATACACCATGGGTCAGCCAGCAAGAGTATGGCATGACAGGGTAAGGTAAGGTGGCTCTGTGCCACTTTGTCCTCATCAGGGGAAGCAATATGGAAGACCTTCCACCAACTGGAATATCCCTGGCCTCAGTGGCATAGAGGAGGCAGCATGGGAAGGTTTGCATTGACTCTTAGTCTTCTGCCTGAAAGTGTCTCCTCTCTTGTTAATGTTCCCTTGGCCAAAGCAAATCTCATGGCATACCTGACTTTGAGGAGATGGGGAGTGGCATTGCCCCCATGTGCATGGAAGGAGAAAAACCAGCATATTGAGGAACAGCCTCACAATCACCATTTTGCAGATAGACAGCGGGGTGAAGAAGATAGTAATTTTTTCCAGTGCTCAGAGCCCTCAAATGTGTTAATCCTTTCCAGACAGGGAGGAGGGAAGGCTGGTAGCTCCCCCTTGCATTTGAATAAATGCAAGCAGTAAGACTACACAATCCTTTCTCCTTCTCCAGACCCCATGATTCCTACATTTCTCCTTCAAATGTCCTACCTTGATCCCAACTAACAAGGACCGGTGTTCTCACTGCAATAGAAGCTGGGTTTATGGCCTTTCCCACCATACACTCAGGGCTGCTTTCTTAGGGAGTTTTGTACTCAGTCTTGACATCTGGATTGTCTTCACAGTGAATCCTTGCTACTCTTGGCATGAAAACAGCTCCAAGCATGGAGCTGATCCTCTGCAGGGCGATCACCCTGGCTGTTAGCTTCCCTTCCTGTCCCCTCTTCCCCAGCCCTTGTTGACCATCTCTTCCCACGCAGCATCTGAATCCTGGGGAGCAGACTGAGGGTGGCCACTTTGGAGCCAAGGGGTTCTAAAGCCTCCCAATTAAAAGATGCCAAGTGAAACTTAGGAGTTATCTGAGGGTTTCATCTTCTCTCACTAACTTATAGGACATCCCTCTTTGCTTCAAATGCCTCATTATAAAAGCCAACTGCCCTCCCAAGGAGCAATCTGCTGTCCAGTCAGCCACAGTTAGCTCACAATGCAGCCTGGTCCCCAAGGCTCCAAGACCGCCTCCCTCGGGCCCATATCACTAGCTTTTACCAGCTTCATCCTTTTTGGGATGAAAGGCTGGGTCTGAAAGGTCAGTTCTGATGAGCCTAAGCTTTTTAATTAAAGTCACCTGAATTGCTCACTCCTTTATTGCAGTCATCCTATGGCCTGGTTTAGCTAGGACATACTCCCAAAGGAATAATTGACATTTCTTTAAAAATTCGCTGCAAACTGAGCTGTTTTCAAAAGTAAGGTCTGATTTAAAATTTAAAAAAAAAAACAAAAAACTTTTCCTTTTGTGGTTCATTATCATCTTCTACATTTCTCTTTCTTTTTCTCTCTCTTAAAACTAGAAGTATTTCACCCTGGCTTGCCAAATGATTTTTATCTCAGTAGAAAAAGAACTCGCTATTTCCTGAAAATCTACCACTGCCCCCATCTCCTTTTTAAAATACATTTTGTGCTGGGAATCAAAGTCAGGTAACTTGATAAGGAGTTAATGAACACAAATTAATTCTGTCTGCATTTGAAAGAGGGACAGCCTGGCCTCACAGAGTTATCTTATTTGCTTTTCTGGACATGACACTTTCTGGTTGGAAAATCTAGGTACTTGAAGGAAATAAATAAAGGCATACTATTTTCCCCCTGGAGTAAGGTGATTATGTATGTGTAAATTATTCAGATAATTTTGGGGGGTGGGTGGGAGAAATTTCATTCCAACACATCTGGCTAATTGCAAGTAAATTGTCATTTTGACCCTCTGTCATGTGGACAATTTGCATTAAATCCTGGGATAGGGAACGGGAATTTTAAATAGTGTTTGTGTGACAGCTGCAAAAACAGTATTTTAATCATCCTAGGTCTCTCCTTCTGGAACAGGCTTGTACAGCCACAGAAGAGGTCCCTGACCTTCACTCTTCTCCGTTTTCTAAGGCTTATGTTCCCAAGGACAGAACACACTTACTCCATAATCTTTCTGGACTTGGAGAAAGACTTCCCAGTTTGAGGAAATATGCGTTTTTCAAAGCTGACAACATTCTATACTCTGTACCACTATTGAATGATGTTGCTTTGAAAGTGACATAGAAAAAAGGGAGTATGGGGGGATGGGGATAAGAGGCCACACTCTATTTTTTATTATACTTTTAAGTTCTAGGGTATATGTACATAATATGCAGGTTTGTTACATAGGTATACATGTGCCATGTTGGTGTGTTGCACCCATTAACTCGTCATTTACATTAGGTATTTCTCCTGACGCTATCCCTCTCCCTGCCCCCCACCCCATGACAGGCCCTGGGGTGTGATGTTCCCTGCCCTGTGTCCAAGTATTCTCATTGTTCAATTCCCACCTATGAGTGAGAACATGCAGTGTTTGGTTTTCTGTCCTTGTGACAGTTTGCTCAGAATGATGGTTTCCAGCTGCATCCATGTCCCTACAAAGGACATGAAGTCATCCTTTTTTATGGCTGCATAGTATTCCATGGTGTATATGTGCCACATTTTCTTAATCCAGTCTATCACTGATGGACATTTGGGTTGGTTCCAAGTCTTTGCTATTGTGAATAATGCCATAATAAACATACGTGTGCACATGTCTTTATAGAGGCCACAATTTTATATCTGGTCCTGTTAACTCATATAACTGTGTCTTTGAGGCAGGAAGAATCAGGGCAGTTCTGTGGACATCACTGTTGTGTGGTGTATGGCAGGAGTGACAGCTGGTGGTCTAGGACTGCCAATGTCATACTTGAGGGTTTGCTCTTAGTATTGGCTTCCAAAGAATATCAAATCATAATGTAGAGATGACCAGAGGTGAAAAAGTGACATCCCAGGAGACTTGTGTAGTTTCTTCTGGCCAAAAAGAACTAAATAAACATCAAGACACTTCTCTTTTTTTTCTCCTTTTCTAATTAATTATTAGCAGCTCTTTCTAATGATGTTAGCGAGTGGGTGATGCTAGAGGAACTGGAGGGTGGAGGGAAAGTTGGAGATGTGTCTGATACCACTCCATTTCTTTGTCCAAGTGCACTTTCTCTCTTCCCTTTATTTTCCTCATTGGAGAATGAAGCTATGCTTTTTTAAAAGAATCAGATGAACGTCTCAAGTCTCTCTTCACCTACTTTCCAGGTTCCCTGCTTCAGGACAGTCTGGTATTCATGGAGTTACCATCTCCCAAGAATGGAAAGCATCTTCATTTACCAGTGGTGACATATGAGAGCATCATTTTCATGATAAACAAATTCAGGTTGCAGCAAGTTAAGTGACTTTCTTCCAGGGCAAATAAAAAGTATTATCGGAGGCTGGGCATGGTGACTCACGCCTGTAATCCCAGCACTTTGGGAGGCCAAGGGGGGGTAGATCACGAGGTCAGGAGATCGAGACCAGCCTGGCTAACATGGTGATATCCCGTCTCTACTAAAAATAGAAAAAATTAGCCAGGTGTGGTGGCACGCACCTGTAGTCCCATCTACTCAGGAGGCTGAAGTCGGAGAATTGCTTGAACCTGGGAGGTGGAGGTTGCAGTGAGCCGAGATAGTGCCATTGTACTCCAGCCTGGGCAACAGAGTGAGACTGTCTCAAAACAGAAAAAAAAGAAAAAGAAAAAAAAAGTATCACCCGAATGAAGGCCAGGTTTTGGGTCTTCCTTAATTCCTAATATGTTTCTATATGAGTTAATTGTGTTTCACTGTATGCTCTTTGCATGTACGTAGAGTATAACTTATCAGTGGAAGGTTGACCTGCCAGGAATCGCTTTGTGCAATATCTAGGACTTTTGAAAGGACTCACCAGAAATCAAGAATGATATAAGCAAAATAAGATAATTTTTGTTCTGAGTAGCATCTCTCAGAACACAAGACCAGAGTATAGCTGTCCTCAAGAAATGATGAAACTAGGCTCGATAGCTTATAAATACACTCCTCTCCATACACTGAAGCTTGCGTGTGCGTTTGCAGATTCTCTTTCTCTTTGTTTCTTTCTTTCTCTTTCTCTTTGTTTCTTTCTCTTTCTCTCTTTCTCTTTCTTTCTCTTTTTCTCTGTTTCTCTTTCTCTCTTTTCCTCTCTTTTCCTCTCTCCTCTTTCTCTCTTTTCCTCTCTCTTTTTGTCTCTTCTCTTTCTCTCTCTCTCTCTTTCTCTTCCCCATTGATGCAGCTTCCTCCACACACTCCTTGGAACTTAGGCTTGAGATGAGTTTAAAATAAGTACTCAAGAAATTATGCTAACTTAGATGGAAAGTCTCCAGCTGCATATTATTTTTATATTAAACATTCTATTGAAATTTAAACAGTAAAACCAAAAGACATGACGGTGTCTCTTTTTTACAAATATTCTTTTCAACAAAGGTGAATAATTTACCAAATTTTCTTTAGCATTGCATTCTTGGTGAGACCAATTATAATAAATGAGTTGGATTATTTCCATTTATTTGTTGCCACTAACATTTGGGGAATGGATTTGTATTTGTGTGCACATGTGTAGAAGTCTGGGTAGTCCTTGCAGAATTTATCTTAAGCTCAGCTAGAGATGTAAAGGCTCTGGCAAGCTAAAATGCAATTATTAGGCCAAAACCGAAATATCGACAGGAATTTCTAAAGTGAACATTTCTCATCAATTGTATTTTGAGGATATTTCCCTAATCATTTTGCTTCTTTATGGATCTCATTCTAGAAAGTGGAGGATGTGCATTCTACTTCTTTATGATCTCAGCTGAAATGTTACATACATGATTTCACCTTTTTAAGGGTTCCCTCCATGTGTTGGGTAGCTATCTATCAGCTCCAGCAGAAACCACCTGAATCTTTCTCCAGCTCGGGATGTTTTGAATGAGGTGACTTGGAATGGGGATGGATCTGTGGTCGGGTCTCGCAACCCAGCAGAGTACAAGAGTTATTGGCCTCAGGATTCTGGGGTTTGAGGTGCTTGGTCAAGAATGACAGAGCGTTGAGATGCTTGGTTGAGAGGTGCTTGGTTGAGGTCTCTTGGTTGAGAGACAGAAAGGGGCAAACCCAGGACACCAAAAGGATAATGCTGGCAATGCTGGTGGAATTCAGATGGGTGGGGAGTGGGGAGGACTCCAGTGTGCTCCAAATAAGGCTCCCTTAAAATAACTGGGCAGTTGCCTGTCTTGAGTTCCTGGATTCCATTCTCAATATGTATGCTGAATCATTTCATTTTCTTCCTAAGGCTTTTCAATTTGCCTTCCAGGATTACAAATTGATTTTATCTGCTAAGGCAGACTCAGGCTTGTTGGTACCAAGGTTATTCAATGTTGCCAAGTGGCCATGAGATCTTCAGAAAAGTGCAATAGAGAATTATTGAAGCATTGATTTGTCATCTAAACCAAAATTCTCCTTCTCCCAAGTATCTAGCTATCTTTGGTATTTTTTTCTGCGTTATCGGTGAGTCAGACACCCGGGATTACCTATTGATGATGTGACTTCAGCTATAAATAATCCAGATAAGTCTCTATATTCCTTTTCCATGTGCTAATACAACATACTTTCTTGTAGCCTATTTACTAAATGCATTCTCTTTGAATTCCAGCCAGTTTTCATAATAAGTAAGAATTAAGGTTAATGACATGAAAAAATTAGGATAAGACAGTAGAGGACTTGAAATCAAGTTTCTGATTTACTAATAACCAACTATATGACCTTAGAAAAGCCATCTAACTTTTCTGAAGGTCTGAGATGTTCAATGGGAATTGGATGGGCTAAGACACTGTGTTGGAAAGCCAGTGGAAGGTGCCACTGATTTCTATGTCACCCTTGCTTAGTTCTTTTTGCAAATATTTTTTAATAAAAGAGTTAATCACACTCTAGCCATGACATGGAGGTGAGAAGGTATAATCTCTTAGGGGCAATGGTAAATACAGGTAACCTAGAGATGGGATTTAAGATTGCCCTATCACAGCAATCTATTTCTTCCCTAACACTCTTCTCCTTCCTAGACTATTCTTGGGCTTCCTTGACATTTTTTCATTTGGATGAACAAATTTCTTTCTCTGGAGCCTTCTGTGGTTGCCTGTATTAGTTTTCTATAGCTGCCGTAACAAATTACCATAAACCTAGTGGTTTAAAACAACACACATTTATTATCTCCTAATTTCTGTAGGTAAAAAGTCCAACCTGGGTCTCACTGGGCTAAAATCAAGGTATTGGCAGGGCTGTTTCTTACTAGAGGCTCTGGGGAAGAATCAAGTTCATTCAGATTGTTGTCAAATTCATTTCCTTGCGGTTACAGGATGGAGGTCCCTGTTTCCCTGCTGGCTGTCAGCCGGGTCACCTGCACCCCTTGGCTCCTGTCTCTCTTGCTCCTTCTTCAGAGCTAGCAAGTCAAGTCAAAATTCTCATTTAGACCTCCCCTTTGGCTTCCTCTCTTGCACATACCTCTGCCTTCCTCTTCTTTTAAGGGCTCATGTGATTACATTGAGCCTACCTGGATGATCCAGGCTAGTCTCCCTACTTTAAGGTCAGCTGATTAGCAACCTTAATTGCATCTTCAAAGTCCCTTCACAGAAGTACCAAGGTGAGTGTTTGAATAACCAAGGGACAGGAATCTTGGGATGAAGAAAAGGATCTTTACAATCCTTTGTACTGCACCATCCTACAGGGTGTATTAAGCCATTATCAGTCACTAACACCTTTGTGGAATTAGCCTAATGGGTGGATTTCCGGTATTACTACCAGCTAAAAGGAGTATGATGATTTTTTTTTAAATTGCTACATGAGAAATTACATGGGAGATTAATTACTTCAGTGTTTGAGATGGTCAGGGGTTAGAAATTTTTGGCAAGAGCACATGAGGGCAGTGGGGTTCTAAGCTAGGTAGCATAGAGGGAGAAGTTTTCCATAGAGAAAAACAAAATGAGAGACTTTTTCCAAAGGGAAAAACAGTCATTACTTAACATTGGTCTGATATGTTTGAGGTTGAGAAGTACCTCCTGATTTATAAATAATAAAATGCTATTGAAACATACATTGTCTTCATTTGAAGTATAGCTTTTAAAATAGCTTTTAAAAAGTATAGCTTTTTAAATAAAAATTCAGTTTAAGAAAAAACTGAATTTCTTAAACATTTGAGAAAATATTTGAAAACAATTTGCATGAGCTGGGTATAGAAGAAATCCTTTTCTTCTCCCTTTTCCCTTTCTTAGTTTTAAAAGTTGAATTCAATTACAATTTAATCCTAGCCACATGAAATGTACTCTTTGTAGTATTGTGCAAGTAGCTTTATAGATACAGATAATGTTAGCATATAATATCTGCTGCTTCAAAATATCTGCAGGAGCAAAAATTTACTGCCTTCTTTGATGATATAACATACATAAAACATGCATAAAGATATACTTTATGTATATTTCTATTTGTCCATATTTCTACCTACAGAGACATATTTCTGTCTCTCTCTCTCTCTCTCTATCTCTCTCTCTCTCTCTCTCTCTCTCTATATATATATATATATATATATATATATATATATATATATATGTCAAAGTCTATATAATATATGCCATGTTATTATATGGACATAAATACAAGACTTTGCATTCTTGAACAAAAGCAATTGCAATATTACATAAGTATTGCACAAGTAACTGCAATATTACAAGTTTTATTTTCACTCAGATTCCATTATTACATGACTCTTTTCTTAATTCCCCTTGGAATGGATGTAGGTCTCATCCAAATACCCAAACAGAATCACTTCCTAATTGCAAGTCCTTTCTATGGCAATGGAAAATATATTCTTCTTACATGTTTGTTTTGTGGTCATCAAGGTTTCCCATCCACGGTCTTTCTGTGAATTCCCTTTGGGCTTAGTTTGGCCCAAAGGAGTGTTTGCAGGAGTGACTGGAAGACAGGCTCACTTTTGATAAAGGCATATCATTTCATCAGATTTGACACATTCAGAATCCTACCCACCCTCAGTACCTGGGGTTTTTCAAATCATATATTAATCTGTGTCAAGTTGACTATTGTCCGGTATTTTCAGGCCCTTGACTGGAAGTAACAGGGCTGAGAGAGAAAAGAAATCATATCCTGTCAATAAGCGCTGAAAATATTTAGTGTGGCAAGCTCTGTGTTTTCTTTCTTATGAAAAGCTGATTAATATTCAGTGGTTGAAGGTTAATACTCCATTCATTTTATTCACTTTACATCCTGCACACAGCAGTGACTGTTCCAATTTCAACCCCTAATTCATACAAATCTGGTTCCAATCAGGAGATTAGTAACTTACTGCCTAAGCAGAAACAAATCACACAATTGCTAAGCTTATCTTTCTACCCATGCACAGACACGTACATGTGCTTGAAATGGACTCATTCATGGGCAGATGCAGATTCATACAGACAGCAAAGCTTCATCAATGTGGATATAGCTAGGAAATTTCATTTGCTGGCACAACATGTGATAGGGACAGATACATGAAACTGACACGAAGAAGGCATTGTCTACATATATTCAGATGTGCCCAAGTCTCGAAACTGATTCAATAATTGTGCCCCTATTATGTCTTCTATATCACAAATATTTCTGTACTGAATCATATTTTAAACATATTAGGATGAGTCATTAAAAGACTCCCTACACTTTGTTCTTTCGCAGACTATGGCTTTATTCTGTGAGTTAACTACCACGGCTCAGTATGTTTGTTTACAAATTCATTTTTATGTTCAAAGGGTTTCCATACAATTGGACACCACTTTTTTTAAGGAGGTGAAATTGCAGCAGGATGAACCTGACAGTAATAATAAGCGAAGTTTTTCTGATTATATACGTAAAACTTCAACACAAGTCACCAAGGTAGGAAGAGAATTCACATTTCCTGAATATTTTTTGAAATCATATCTCATTTGTCTGGAAAGGATTAAGATCAGCCCTGCAGAGGTCTGCTCTGAGGCTCCTTGTTTAGCGAGTCTGTGATTTAGGGATATCTGTCCATAGTCATTCTGCAGGAAAGATGAGGGTAGGTGAGCATCTGCACTCAGGGTAGGAGGGAAGGTAGGGTAGGTATGTGAAGCAGTTTGCTCTTTAGATGATGGCACACAGAAGCTGACCTAAAGAACAAATCATCACAGCGACTGGCCATCAGATGGCGAGAATAATGGTGATTGTTTTGTTGTTTTTAAATATTGTGTATATTTTTGCTCAACACATATGTTATGCTGCTACAAAACGGACACAGTGAGACTAAAAATATGTCTCAGTGTTTCATACTACCAGTGCTTTATTTAGGGGACTTGATTTTGATTCCTTACTGAAAAGGATGTTTTCCAAAGCCTTGGAGAGATGGGAATGAACGCGATGCTAATACAGCTTTTTTGAAAGCCTAAAATCGATTCATCACCTAGAGACCTCTAGGGTTTCATCCTCCTTTCCTTTCCTTTTTGACTCCTATATTACAGAAAAAGGCAAAGTGCCAGATTTAGAGCTTACAAAACAAATACAAAAGCAAAAAACCCACAAAAATCACCACCACCATCACCACTGAACAACCGTGTCTTAGAATCATATCTCTTTCACTTGCTGGTTAAATGGCCTTGACTTCTCTGAGCCTCTTACTCTAGATGGAAGATGAAACAATGCAAACATGATGCTTAGAACATCACAGGACCTCAATGGTGGCCATTAATTACAGGTTTGATGTGAGGACTATGAATTCATATTTGTGAAAATATTTGGAAATCTATGCATTGTTAAATTATGCATCGTTACTATTTCTTGGTGTAATTATATATACATTTTTTAACCTTTAAGTTCAGGGGTGCAAGTGCAGGCTTGTTTCATGGATGAATTTGACACATGGGGGTTTGTGGTACAAATTATTTTATGACCAAGGTATTAAGCCTTGTACCCTTTGGTCATCTTTCCTGATCCTCTCCCTCCTCCCACTCTCCACCCTCCAAAAGGCTCCAGTGAGTTTTATTCTTCTGTGTCCATGTGTTCTCATCATTTAGCTCCCACTTATAAATGAGAACACGCAGCATTTGGTTTTCTGTTCCTGTGTTAGTTTGCTAAGGATAACGACCTCCAGTTCTATCCATGTCCCTGCAAAGGGCATGATCTCATTCGTTTTTATGGCTGTGCTGTATTCCATTGTGTATACATACCACTGTTTCTTTATCCAGTCTGTCTTTGGTGGGCATTTATGTTGATTCCATGTCTTTGCTATTGTGAATAGTGATGTCTTTATAACAGAATGATTTATATTCCTTTGGGTATATACCCAGTAATGGGATTGCTGGGTCAAATGCTGGTTCAATTTTTGTCTTTAGGTCTTTGAGGAATCACCACACTGTCTTCCATAATGGTTGAACTAATTTACACTCCTACCAACAGTGGATAAGCATTCCTGTTTCTCCATAACCTTGCCAGCATCAGTTATTTTTTGACTTTTTAATAATAGTCATTCAGACCAGTATTAGATGGTATCTCATTGTGGTTTTGATTTGCATTTCTCTAATGTTCAGTGATATTGAGCTTTTTTCATATGATTGTTTGCCACGTGTATATCTTCTTTTGAAAAGAGTCTGTTTATGTCCTTGGTGCAATTATATTTCAAATAGGTGAATTTTTACCTGTCTGTGTCTACCTACTTGATATGGTTTGACTATGTCCCCACCCAAATCTCATTTTGAATTATAGTTCCCATAATCCCCAAGTGTTGTGGGAGGGACTCCATGGGAGGTGACTAGATCATGGGGGCTGTTCTCATGATAGTGAGTTCTCATGAGAACTGATGGTTTTATAAGAGGCATTTCCCCCCTTCACTCTGCACTTCTCTGTGCTGCTGCCATGTGAAGGATGTGTTTGCTTCCCCTTCTGCCAGATTGTAAGTTTCCTGAGGCCTCCCCAGCCCTGCAGAACTGCAAGTCAATTAAACTTCTTTCCTTTATAAATTACCCAGTCTCGGGTATTGCTTCATAGCAGTGTGAGAATGGACTAATACACTACTCTCCCCAACCAAGCTTCAGCCCTAGCCTACCACCTGCTGTATTCTCTTTGAATTGGAGGAAACACCATCACCTTCATTTTTAGGTAAATCTTAAGCATCTTATAGCTACTGCTAAAGGCCTGGGTCAGCAAGCGCCTGAGGAGCCGGGGAAGTTTCTATCAGCAGGAATTGCAGTTCTGATGAAATTCATAACATGCCTGTCATACAGTGCTTGAGAATATGGAGGCCCAGATCTCAGATTAATACCCAGAAAGCCACATTTTATTCATGAATGCCAAGTCACACTAACCTGGGGAAGTCCTTGGAGTCTTAACTGGGACTTTCCTGACCGCTTTCTGACCTGCACCATCTTTTTTTTTTAACTGTGGTACAATATACACACCATAAATTTATCATCTTAACAATTTTTAAGTGTAGAATTTAATGGAATTAAGTACATTTACATTGTTGTGCAACCATCACGACTATTCATCTCCAGAATGCTTTTCATCTTATAAAACTGAAATTCTGTACTCACTAAACACTAATTACCTATCTCTCTTCCCTCAGCCCCTGGCAGCCACCACTCTAGTTTCTATCTCTATAGATTTGTCTACTCTCAGTATCTCATATAAGTGGAATCATATACTATTTCTCCTTTCGTGACTTATTTCATTTAGCATCATGTTCGCAAGATTCATCCTTGAGACATGCGTCACCCCTTTTTGTGTGAGGAGGAAGCGGCAGCTACACCCCTAGAAGCATTTAGGGGGTGTCGAGGAACCAACACATTGAGTCTCCGTGAGGTCATTGGGTACTGACAACAATCCAAGGTGAGATATCAATGCTAGCCTTACTTGTAACTGGTGATGATAAACCACGATCAGCAGCTCTTGACATTCCAGGGGTTCTGAAAAGAATTCTAGGAGAGAAGGACTCCCAGCAGAAAAGCACTGGGAGGCAGCTCTTACGTGCAGGCAGTCACTACATGGAAACTTGTGGTAGGGTTTCTCACTGCAGGGGAAGGCTCACTATAGCAGCACTTTCTCTCTCTATTTCACAGATGCCATCAGGAGGGATCTTTGGCTTGGGGAAACACTGTTTTCTCTTCCTGCCTTTGGGTGACTGTACAAACTTAAAAAAAAAAAAAAGAAAAAAAAAAAAAGAAACCCTCCAGCTTCAGCACAGCTCCACACAGGGTGTCTAGCCAAAATGCAAAGTTTTACCACAGTGCACAGGCAGACAGTGTTTTTCAAGTGCGGGAACAGAGTGAGGTGCCTTTCAGCACCTTTTTCGGCACTTCTTTAAAAAATGATTTAAATTGGAGGCAATAGCACCAAATGCTGAACATCTGACACGCAGACAAGACTTAATGAATCATACACTTTAACAACATCACTCTTCTCTAGCCACTTGACTTGGCGTCCATGGTTGTTGGTTTTTTCTCCCCCACAAAAACATTTGTTCTGCAGACTATTTGCTAGTTAGAGTGTCCTGGGCAACTCTTCATATTCATGGCAGGGAGAACTGGCCCAGGAAAACCTGCAGACCTGAGTTCCTCTTAGAGTCTTCTCTTTCTCTCTGGATCTGAATTTCAGAGAGAAAGGACAGCAGTGCTCCTTAGAGACTGGACTTAGAACCACCTTTAGTCTATCCCCAGCTTAATCTCTTGCAGAATATTCAAGTTGCACAACCAAATGTTTTCAACCCTACAACATCCAGCATGATCATGACTGATTTGAATCAAAATACTAAAAAGCACGTCATTTTGTAGGTAGAAGAATTCTAATTCAGAGGAAAAGACAGTAATTCTGAGTATTGCGTTGGAGTGAATCATTATCCTTGGTGTCATAAATTAAACCTCACTTGGCAGGGGATGGTAGTATAGCTCATAGCTTGCTGATAATTGCCAAGGGCACAGGCAGAGTGGACAGAGGCTGCCCAGCTTTGACAAGGATTGTGCATCAGTGTCTCACCTGCCTTTCTGATGGGTAACTGTCTGATCATTAGTCTGCTGGCACTCAGCACCATGGGCAGGGAGGATGATGAGGCCATTCCTTCTGTGACGGCAATGCATGCAAACAATTTAATCTTCCACTCCAATTCTTAATGTAAATGTTTAATATAAACCTGATGTTAACATGATGTACATGAATTTACTGGCAGGCAAAGCTGGGATTTACATTATGCTGAAAATCAGATGTTCTTTACAGCCGGGGTTGGGAAAGCCCTTAGAGATGGCAAAGATTTCTTTTTCGGTGGCAGGTGTACCATGCCCATGGCATCATGGGGGACCAGCCACTCACCAATGCTGACCCTGTGACTAGCAGGTAGAATTTAGCTAATGTCAAAAGAGTACAATGGTTCAGTAAAAATATGAATTTCTATGTCTAAAATTTTCTATGTCTTCTTCTGACACAGAAAATGTCCACTCTTGGCTGTGTGTGGACATTGGATGATTATTGGATCACCCCACACCCAAATCCAATAATTTCTTTGCAGACTGTTCCATGAATAACAACCTAGACTCTAGACCACCAGCTGACAAACTAAAGTCCGTGGGCCAAATTAGGCCCGCAGCCTGTTTCTGTATGGCCGCAAGCTAAGAATAGTTTTTACATTTTTAAATGGTTGGAGGAAAAAAACAAAATATTTTATGGCATGTAAAAATTATATGAAATTCAAATGGCAGTCTCCATAAATAAAGTTCCATTGGCACACAGCCATACTCATTCATTTATGTACTGTCTATGGCTGCTTTTACACCACGATTGCAGAGTTGAACAGTGGTCACAGTGACTATAAGCCCACAGAAACTAAAATATTTGCTATTTGTCTCTTCACATAAAATGTTGGCACAGCCTTGCTCTGGATAGCCCATACACTATGATGCTGTTGATAACAGTAGCTAGCAACTGCTGATTGCTTTTTTGTACTAGGTGTATATATTGACTGCCCCATTGGCACATGTAGTATACAAAATCACTTTTAAAAAATTAAGTGTTTATAGCATTGTCATCTACCTTTTTGTGCTCCTTTAGATTTAGGCTCTTCTACATGTTAATGCTTATTGGGAAGGAGATTTGTAACAATCCTTCAAAGTTTACCATATTCCCAGATGTTTGATGCTTTATAAATCAGGTAAGTATTTCACAAAACTGGCTGATCATCAGTATTACCAGGGGATCTTAAAGGATGCCTGTGCTGGCCTGGTGCAGTGGCTCATGCCTGTAATCCCAGTACTTTGGGAGGCCGAGGCGGGTGGATCACCTGAGGTTAGGAGTTCGACACCAGCCTGGCCAACATGGTGAAACCCCGTCTCTACTAAAAATACAAAAAATTAGCTGATGTGGTAGCACACGCCTGTAATCCCAGCTACTCAGAAGGCTGAGGCATGAGAATCGCTCAAACCAGGGAGGCAGAGGTTGCAGTGAGCCGAGACTGCGCCACTGTACTCCAGCCTGGGCAACAAAGTGAGACTCCATCTCAAAAAAACAAAACAAAACCAAACAAAAGCCTGCGCATAATGAAGCAGGATCTGGGGATGGAAACGAAGACTTTTGTGTGACTTTTATAAGTCCCACCAGTGATGCTAAGAATCAACCTGATTTGGGAACAACTGGACAAGCTACAGTCATGCACCATATAACAGCTTTTTGGTCAATGGCAAGCTGCATATACAATGGTCCCATTAGATTATAACGGAGCTGAAAATTCCTATCACCTGGTGACATTGTAGTCACCATGCGATAAGATATTCCTCACGGGTTTGTGGTGATGCTGATGTAAAGAAACGTACACTGCCAATAATATAAAGCTCTAGCATGTACAAGTACATATGGTACCTAATACTTAATAGTGACAATAAACGACTGTTACTGGTTTATGTATTTACTATACTATGCTTCTAACACTATTTTAGAGAGTACTCCTTCTACTTACATTTTTTTAAAAAGTGAACTGTAAAACAGCCTCAGGTCCTTCAGGAGGTGCTCCATAAGGCAGCATTGCTATCACAGGAGATGACAGCTCCATGCATATTATTGCCCCTGAAGAGCTTCCAGTGGGACAAGATGTGGAGGTGGAAGAGAGTGATATTTATAACCCTGATCCTGTGTTAGGCTTAAGCTAACGTGTGTGTTTGTGTTTTCGTTTTTAACAAAAGTGTTTAAAAAGCAAAAAATAAATAATTTCAAAATAGGAAAAAGGCTTATAAAGTAAGGGCATAAAGAAAATATTTTTGTACAGCTATACAATGTGTTTGTGTTTTAATCTGAGTGCTATTACAAAATAGTCAAAGTTTTAAAAAATTGGAATGTTTATAAAGTAAGAAGTTATAGTAAGCTAAGGTTAACTTGTTATTGAAGAAAGAAAAACTTATTTTATATATTTTTTTGAGACAGTCTCGCTCTGTCGCCCAGGCTGGGGTGCAATGGTGCAATCTCAGCTCATTGCAACCTCCGCCTCTCGGGTTCAAGCAATTCTCCTACCTCAGCATCCTGAGTAGCTGGGATTATAGGCATGTGCCACCACGCCCAGCTAATTTTTGTGTTTTTAGTAGAGACAGGGTTTCGTCATGTTGGCCAGGCTGGTCTTAAACTCCTGGCCTCAGGTGATCCACCCGCCTCAGCCTCCCAAAGTGCTGGGATTACAGGCGTGAGCCACCGTACCCGGCCCGAAAAACACTTTTTAAAATAGATTTAGTGTAGCCTAAGTGTAGTGTTTATAAAGTCTATAGTCATGTACAGTAATGTCCTAGTCCCTCACATTCACTCACCACTGACCCACAGCAACTTCCAGTCCTGCAAGCTCTGTTCATGGTAAGTGCCTTATACAGGTGTACCATCTTTTTCTCTTTTATACCATATTTTACTGAACCTTTTCTATGTTTTGATATGTTTGCATATACAAATACTGGTCATTGTGTTACAATTGCCTACTTCATTCAGCACAGTAATATATTGTATAGGATTGTAGCTTAGGAGAAATAATTCTCAGAAAGGATCTCTGTCATTAAATGACACAGAACTATAATTTTATGTTTCAGAGAGTTATGTCATGTATTGTAGATAGCACCTAATTTGAAACTCCTTCAGAGAAGCTGACTTCCCTATTAAAAAAAAAATCTCTAGCCTTTCAATCTATCTATCTATCTATCTATTATTATTATTATTATTATTTTGAGATGGAGTCTCGCTCTGTCGCCCAGGCTGGAGTTCAGTGGAGCATTCTCGGCTCACTGCAAGCTCTGTCTCCCAGGTTCACGCCATTCTCCTGCCTCAGCCTCTCGAGTAGCTGGGATTACAGGCTCCCACAACCATGCCCGGCTAATTTTTTGTATTTTTAGTAGAGATGGGGTTTCACCTTGTTAGCCAGGATGGTCTCGATCTCCTGACCTCGTGATCTGCCCGCCTCGACCTCTCAAAGCGCTGGGATTACAGGCGTGAGTCACCGCGCCCGGCCTTCTAACCCTTATTGAAGTAGCAAGATAGGACCCTGTATACAGAGTGCCTAAACCTAGTAACTTGAATGACTAGATAGCATGATTCCTGATGACATGTATTGACTCCCTTCCCCTTCTTATGAAAGAATTCCCCTATGCAAACAACATTGCACCCATAGAACACTGAATTCTTAGGTGAAGATATTACAGCAGCCTAGGACTTACCTCATTAGAGCACTCCAGCACTCCTTCTGTTCCCAGCCAAATTTTCACTAGAGAGCCAGATTGATCTTAATTGAGAATGAAATTTTCTACCTGGTCTTAGTGTAACCTCCTAGGAAGGTGAGGTGAAATTATCAACAAATTCAAAATCTGCACTTTCATGATGGGAACCTAATTTTTTCCTCTAAGCTTTTAGGATTAATTTCTCTAGTTTATAGGCTGTATGGAAATGTCCCAAGGTCCCTTTGGCTCCCTGAATGAAATAATTAGCTGCACATGCTATCCAACACTCTTCTATACTTTGGCCCCTCATTAGTTTCAAATCTCAGTTTAATTTCCAGGAGAAATAGTTCAGGGTTTCCTGAGACTTAGCAATTGAATCTGGCTGACTGCAGGGGGTCTCATATCCAGACTGCCTTTTTCCTGATTCTCCACCCACTTTTCGCCACCTTTTTCCCCCAGTCAGATCTCCGTAAGATGCAGTTTTGCTGCCTCTTGCGTGTGCAAATGGGACAGACCAGAAATTGTTTCCTGAAAACCAAATGCTTCTGTTTGCTCTCTTTCTAATTACTCCTGGAGTTTGATGTGAAACCAGTAGCTTTCTGGCCTAGGTTTTCTTAAGTCTATCCCCGGTAAACTGGTGCAACCCTAGAATCAAGTGGTTAAGCTGTTAACTAAGAAAAATGATGCGAATTCATGTCATTTATTCATTTGATGTGAATCATATGTAAATACCAGGATTTTTTTTTTTTTTTTTTTTTTTAACATTGTAAACCTGAACTCTATGGTTAGTGCTTTTTTGGTTTCAACCTTCATATGCATGCTGTGGGTTTGACCGGCCTAGAGAAAAATGAGAGGTTAGATCTCATCAGGGCGTTTTGAATCCCGTTTTCAGCACCAAGTCAAGTACATAGTAGATCTTAAATAAGACGAGACTATTTTAAGATAACACTCTGTTATTGTTATAAAGTTTCAGGTTTTAAAAACTACCTCGATTAACTCATATATTACTCTTCCTGGAAATGTAACAAAATGAAAGGTATATTCCATATATTCTATTACTTTGGGTAAAAGTTCTCAAAGTTCTTCCCTGGATGATTTGTTAGCTCAGATGTTAGATTGATTAGGTTACTTTTAAAAAAAATGTTTGTTTATAGAGACAGGATCTTGCTATGTTGCCCACGCTGGTCTTGAACCTCTGGGCTCAAGCGATCCACCTGCCTTGACCTTCCGAAGTCCTGGGCTTACAGGCATGAGCCACCACACCCAGCCGCAATTAGGTTTTCACTGATGACTTTGGACAAATTAATTTCTCTGATACTTATTTTTCTCATCTATAAGATGGGAGTAGTAATACCCTAAACTAGAGGGTTCAAATGAGAATGAAATAAAAACTTATTTAAGTACAGATTTTGGCACACAAATATGTTTCCACTCGTCTGTACCCCAACTCCCTCCATCCCATGTCTTCATTCCAGGAAAACAAAGTTTTAATGGGAGACTTCTAGGTGACTTTACCCTAAGTTATGCATTCAATTCCTGGGAATCACCTCTGCTCCAATTTACTTTTGTATGATGGCTTGAAGAGTTGGGTTATTACAACTATGTCTGGGCAGGTAAACCCTTGTTAGATGCGCTGAAGGCAGACTGCAGATAAACTGGGCTGAGTTCTCCCATATACTTATTTTCATCGGTCACATGCCTTACCAAATCTTTCTCTTAAATTGTTAAAGAAAGTTAATGTGATGGCTAATCCAAGATGGTGTTTAGAGAGCCTACTTTTCCTCTGGATTTACAAAAATAAGCAAATAATGTGGAAATTTTGAGATGTTAGGAAGCCATGAGAGATAATATATAAGGAAGAGATATAAGAAATGGTCTTGTACTATTTTGCAAAATGATATTACACTGGCCATTTGTCATGTCTAGGAAAATATGAACACGTCTAAAGTGCAGTGCTTTGCGTATAATTTACATAAGAAGTGGGGAGGTGAACTGGGTGAACACACTCCAGTAAGTACTACTTCTGGACATTTCTTTTGCATCTTTGATATAGATTATTTTTTCCTCCTGGCATTTGAGACCTCTGATAATTATGTTTTTGAAAAGCAGAGATACTCTGGAAAACGTGAATTTTAGTATCAAGGAGAAATAAATTGGATTTTGAATTCTGTTTATCAGCTGTTCCCGATTAGGCAAGGGTCTCAAATTTGTTGACCTTTAATTCCCTCATAGCTATGTTTTTTCCTGTGTTTGTATTGAGAATTAATGGGTTAATGTGTGTGTACACTCAGCATATACTAGCTGCTTAGTTCCATGTCAGGGTTCATATTTCAGTGTTCAAAATGTGGCCAGTTTTGTTTCAGGCACTTAAGTCTTCCTTAAGCTTTCCTGGATATATTGTAGGCTTGTATTTGCTGCCTTAGTTGTCTTTTGCTTCTGTTGGGTGGCTTTCCTCCTGTTGAATCACCTACTCAAAATGATCTTCTTACCCAAGTCAGTAACTTCAGTCTTTAGATTCATAGTCATCAATTCATTCACAACCTAGTTCAATGCCTCAATCCCCCAAAATCTTTCCTTGACCAACTGCATTTTATGACCCGTCATTTATTCATTGTTGCGTTCATACTTCTGTGCATATTTTGAACTATAATACTTTTGCTTTCTTTCCAGCTGTAATTATTTGACACATGCCTATTTTCTCGTCTCTTTCAGACGATAATTCAAAAGGCAGAGATTGTGGCCTAATGCTATGTCAATCAAAGGAATGATAGTATCTAAGACCATGCCGATCATACAATAGGCAACTACATAAGGCTTGTTAGTGTGAATTTACTTGATTTCATATGAAAAATGACTACAAAATTACTTATTGGTCTTGTCCTTTTATTGCTTGGTTTATAACCTTGTTGCTTACTTGATACTGGCTGAGAATGGAGGGTATTGGTTAAAAGTTGCCATTATTATGTACCAAGGTCAGCAAAGCAGTTAGTTCTCAAATACCCAGCTTATTTTTTTTTTTTTGGACATTTTTGTGGGTATGCGGTAGGTGTGTAAATTTATGAGGTATACGAGATATTTTGATAAAGGCATACAACGCATAATAATCACATCAGGGTACATGGGGTATCCATCACTTCAAGCGTTTCTCATTTCTTTGTGTTACAAACAATCCATTGATACTCTTTTCATTATTTTAAAGTGTACGTAATTACTATTGACTGTAGCCTCTGGTAGCCATCCTTCTGTCTTCATGAGTTCAATTGTTTTAAGTTTTAGCACCCACAAATAAATGAGAACATGCAAAGCTTGTCTTTCTGTGATGTCAGATTTATTCTGGAAGCAGAGTTTGGCTTCTTGAAGTTGAAAAAAGATGAAACTGGAATCTGGTTACTTTTCCCAGAGGTTCACTCCAGCTCCTAGCCTGCTGATTTCCACTAGAATGAAATTACTAGCTTCAGGATGACACTCCTATGCCCCATTCCTGCCTGGTAGCTTGTGGGTTATGATACAAATTGTGGGATACTAACTTGGTAAATTCTCCCCAAACTAACAGAACATTTTTGGAGTGATGTTACATTGAATTTCAGTTGCCATGGTAACTCAAGTCCCCTTTCCTCCTACATATTCCCCATTGCACGTCTTCATCTTTAATCTTCTGCAATCTTGAATCAGTGATCATCCTAGAAATGGACAAAAAGAGAGACTTGTATCAGGATCCCCTTAGGTTCAGGAAAAAAAAATTGTGACACGACTGTCTCAATAAGAAAGTTTAAGTGACACAATAAAATATCCTATTGATAGGGAAATGTAGGTTTGATTAATTCTTCAGGTCAGAGACATTCTTCAGGGACTTGGGTTCTTTGCAACTGCTTTGTCATTCTCTCTCTCTCTCTATATATACACACATACATATATGTACATACATATATACATATATAGATAATTGTATAGAGAAATATAAAATATATATTTAAAATCTATATATAAATATATATAAAAATTTATATATTTATATATAATTTTTTTTTCCAAGACTGAATCTTTCTCTGTCACATAGGCTGGAGTGCAGTGGCGCAATCTTGGCTCACTGCAACCTCCGCCTCCTGGGTTCAAGCAATTCTCCTGCCTCAGCCTCCCGAGTAGCTGGGATTACAGGTGCACACCACCACACCTGGCTAATTTTTGTATTTTTAATAGAGACGGGGTTTCACCGTGTTGGCCAGGCTGGTCTCAGACTGGCTGGTCTTGACCTCCTGGCCTCGTGATCCGCCTGCCTTGGCCTCCCAAAGTGCTGGGATTACAGGCGTGAGCCACTGTGCCTGGCCCATTCTTAGCATATTATCCTTGTCTTCATCCAGCTTTCCTGGCATGTGCAAGATGGGTCCTGCAGTTTCAAGGGTCACAGACATTATCCTATGCAAAAAGGGGCCTTTGCTTTCTAGTTCTTTATAGTAACAAGAAAAACATTCCCTGAAACGTTTCCCCTCAGACTTTCCTTATGTTTCATTAGTAAGAATTGAGTCATGCATCTTTTTTTTTAAATCAATCCCTCTCAAGGAGAAAAGGAATACCATGATTGAGTTGGATTAGTCAATATTCATCACTTTTGAGTCACATGTAGGAGGAATGAAGAGCTGAACAAGATAGGGGCAGGCCAGCACGGAAGGGTGGGGAAGGGTCAGTGATGTGGTCAATAAAGGAGAGTTGGCTGCTCTACAGCACAATGTACAATAAAGGGGGCTTATGGGATGTTTTCACTGATATGGGTAAAAACGGTTCTTCTGAAAGATGACAAAGGTTAATTAACTTAGCCAAGTATCTTTCCTGAAATACTCAGGACTGTGTGCTTAGATAAGTGGATTCTGAATTCCATATTATTTGATTGCCCTTGTCTGTCCTTATTAGACTATGGCATTGTTTTCTGGGTAATGTTACCAGAAGTGACATTGAATTCTTGCAATTTTGTCATTGACAAAGCCATAACATGGTGAATCAGTGTCCCTTCAATGTTTTGGTGGAGACCCATCTCCAATAGAAACAACAGTAGCAACACTGTGTAAGACCTGCATCAGGACTCAAGTTGGATTTAATGCCAAATCCACAAAAATAAAAGAGGAAAATATAATTGGGAAATAGATATTTAGGAGTATAGACCTCATATTGAGTTGTTTTCATTGGATGAAACTATGCATGGATTATTTTCCTCTTTATGGGACAAAACATGATGCTACATTTCTTTACAATTAAATTAAGGCTAAAGAATGACAAAGACATTATCGTTCATATGATGTATTTAAAAGATATTACTTGTGCTTTACCAGAATAGAGTGTAGAATGCCCTTACTTTGTTGCTTTATGTAATGCCAAATTATCAGGGCAAATCCTATTAAGGGGCTTTAGTTCCCATTTGATATTTGGCTTTCTTCTCTGCTAGCTGCCAGCGCATGGAGATGCCTCAGGATTCTTTAGGCTGTGGTTGGACTTAATTTAGAAATGCAGACTCTTAAATTGAGAATATTTGTCCATTAATTCTGTCAAATATCTATCACATCTATAATCATTGACTTCCTTCTTAGAATTGTCTGCTCACTTGTAATTTTCCTCCAGTAGTCTGTAAGCTTCTGGTGAAACTTGTTCCTAGTGTGTCTTCAATGTCTGACATACTTACTGAGTGATAGGGGCTTGGTAAATATTTCTCCAGCGTTTGAACTCTCAGTGAGCTTTTAATCTAGGAAGAAGATAAGACATGTAAGCAAAATAATATGCTGGGTAATATGCTGTCATAAGAGATGGACAGAGATTTATTGAAATTTTGAAGACAGGAATCACATGTAATATACTCATTCATATTTTGAAACAATTCCATCTAGTTGCTTAGATAGCACACTATAGTCCTCTATTCATAAACAAACCAAATCACTTGTTAAAAGTTCACAGAATCTAAATATTGATATTTATTGTTAGTGTTTTTTCTTCAGCTTGGTCTTTGCTGTTAATACTTCTGATTGGATTATGAAAATTGTGTAGTGAGTTTTTCAGCTGTATCAGATTACTTTATTTCTTCCTTAAAATTACTGTCTTTCAGCTCTTGTATCATTTTATTTGGTTCCTTAGATTTCTTGGATTGGTTTCAACTTTCTTCTGAATCTCAGTCATTTTTGTTGCTATTCAGATTCTGAATTCTGTGTCATTTCAGCCATTTCATCCTGGTTAAGAGCCATTGCTAGGGTGCTAGTACAGTCATCTGGAGGTAAGACACTCTGGCTTTTTGAGTTGCCAGAGGTTTTACATTGGTTCATTCTCGTCTCTGTGGGGTGATATTCTTTTAATCTTTGAAGTTGCTGTCCTCTGGATAGGATATTTTGCTTTTATATTCTTTGGTAGCTTCGAGGGTTTAACTGTGGTAAAAGTTGAGTTCAGTTGACTGTTTTCATTTCTGGATGTTATTGGGGCCCAGTGCTCAACTCTGCCTTCCAGGCTGTGTGCTCTAACACTATTACCAGGCCCACAGCTTTGTTCTCTGTTCCTCCCGAGGTAAATCACCTGCTGTGCTGAAGGGGCCAAGGTGTTCCCAGTCTGCTGGCAGCAGTGTCAGCATGCCTGCTGTCATGCCGCTGGCAGCTATGTGGTGGTTCCCATGCATGTGCATAGTGGAGGTGGTACAGCCAGGATTGTGCACTTGCAGATGGTGGTGGGGCAGCGGGCTATGCACACTTGCACCAGTGGTGGTGGGGTGGCAGGGTCTGCACATGCACACTCCCACCAGTGTCAGTGGGGCACTGGGGCCCACACATGTGCACTCATGCCGGTGGTGCGAGGGCTGTGATGTCTACGTATATGCTGGCAAAGCAGTGCGGGGAGGCTGCACGTGAATGCATGCTGGCCAAGCAGTGAGAGGAGGCTGCAGGTTAGTGCATGCCGGCCAAGCAGTTGGGAGAGACTGCTGGTGATTGTGCACCTGCCAAACAGTGGGAAGAGGCTGCAGGGGGGTGCTTGTCAGTGAAGACTGCCCTGCTGAAGCTCTCTGATTGTTAGGTGGTGTGTGCTGGGACAGGAGCTGTGGTGGTGGCCACTGGGAAGAACCTCAGTTAGGCATCCGAGGCTGTGCTGCAAATGGGCATGGCCAAGCAGGAACTCTAGGAAAGGCTGGCAGATGGGGACACTCAGATCACACTGGTTCCATCCAATGGGCAAAATAACCCTGCTCTATCCAGGTCTGACAGTCAAAAAGGGTCAAAACCACCTAGAGGTACATTGTAAGCTTTGGAGGATGGGCATCCTTGACCATGCTCTACTGCAGTCTTTCCTATGCCAAACCCTCTGGGCTCTGCACAGGCTGGAGTCCTGTCCCTGCCACTCCTCCAAGCTGCTCTCTGTCAGATCAAATATCCATGAGGGTCATGGGGTCTCCTGTAGCTAGGATTCTGGAGGTCTATGGTGAGAATGGGCCAGTCCTCACCTACTAAAGTCACCCCTTCCCCAGGAGTTGCTGGGGGCCAGGAATGAGTCTTTATGATCAGCAGCCCTGTGCAGGGCTCCTACTTTCCTCCCACTTCAGCCCTCAGTCTACATCCTCCTTCTGTTCACTCTCAGTGCCTTCCTCCTGAAGATCTGCTGAGAGTGCCTGTCTTCTTGATGGTTTGGTATCCTGGTGAAAGATGCTCTTCCTAGCTGCATCTATTCAGCCATCTTGGGTTCCTTCCCTCCATTTTTATATCGCTATAAAATAATACACGAAGCGTGTTAATTCATAAGTAAAAGAGGTTTATTTGCCTCATAGTTCTGCAGGCTGTACAAGAAACATGCTGCCAGCATCTGCACCTGGAGGACTTGAAGCTGCTTCCACTCGTGGTGGAAGGCAAAGGGGAGCCAGGGTATGCAGAGATAATGTGGAGAGAGAAGGAAGCAAGAGAGAAGGGAGGTGCCTGATTCTCTTTAACAACCAGCTTTCATGAGAACTAATTGAATGAGAACCTACTCATTACCTGAAGGCCAGCACCAAGAAATTCATGAGGGATCTGCCCCATGACGTCCCATTAGGCCCCACTTACAACATTGGGGATCAAATTTCAACATGAGATTTGGAGAATCAAATATTCAAACCCATAGCAGTGATCTCTAAAGTCTTGATTTTTATTGTCAACCTCAAAGTAGTCTGTCTCCAAAGCCTCATGGAGTCTCACCATGCACATTTGCAGCACAGCCCTTAGTCTTGTAGAGAACCACACACAGACCTCTCATAGCACTCCTTACTTTCCCCAACCCATGCACTTCCACTTTTTCTAGAATAATGCCCTGAAATTTCCATTTTCATTAGTATTCCTAAACTCAGATCATGGCCTCCTCAGCTCAGCAGGACTGCTATGCTCTTTGGGTTCTACTTCCATGTGCCACAGTTGGGAAATTGTCCCTGGCAGAGAGCCCAGGTGAACATGGGGTTTACTTTATCCATTTTCCTTATTTCAAGAATCTCACCTGTAATCCCAGCACTTTGGGAAGCCGAGGCGGGCAGATCACGTGGTCAGGAGATTGAGACCATCTAGGCTAACATGGTGAAACCCCATCTCTACTGAAAATACAAAAGATTAGCTGGGCACGGTGGTGGGCGCCTGTAGTCTCAGCTACCTGGGAGGCTGAGGCAGGAGAACGGCGTGAACCCGGGAGGTGGAGCTTGCAGTGAGCCGAGATCGCGCCACTGCGCTCCAGCCTGGGCGACAGAGCGAGACTCCGTCACCAAAAAAAAAAAAAAAAAAAAAAAGTCTCAGTAGAGGGCTGTCTAGTTTGCTGTGCCTAGAAACAGGTGCCTTATTTGTGTTGTTCAATTTTATCATTGTTTACAGAGGAGAGCAATTCCAATACCAATTATCTATCAGAGCTTGAAGCAGAAGCCTTCTCTCATTATTAAAAAGTTAAAAGCAGATGACTATGCTGTAATAAGAAGACTAAGCATGTACAAATTCTGAATAATTAAAGTGAGGAGAGCTCAGAGCCGGCAGAGCCTGGGTTTGGTTCTCTTTATCACATTCTGTAGTGATTACTGAAGCCCTCTACACTCGCCCAGCCTGAAATAGATGCTTTGATGGGAGTTGTGATCTTTTCAGGATTTGAATGATGGCTCCTAGTTAGAAGTCAATATATCATCAAGAAATTCCAGAGGATTATAATTGATTAAAACTCACCATAACATATATCTGTTAGATAATTATTTATTTATTTATTTACTGGGATGGAGTCTTGCTTTGTCACCCAGAGTGGAGTGCAGTGGTGCAGTCTTGGCTCACTGCAACTTCTGCATCCCAGGTTCAAGTGATTCTCCTGCCTCAGCCTCGCAAGTAGCTGGAGCTACAGGCATGCATCACCATGTCCTGCTAATTTTTGTGTTTTTAGTAGAGATGGGATTTTGCCATGTTGGCCAGGCTGGTCTTGAACTCCTGACTTCAGGTGATCCGCCTGCCTCAGCCTCCCAAAGTGCTGGGATTACAAGTGTGAGCCACTGTGTCTGGCCATCTGTTAGATATTTAATGACATGTCTCTACCTACTCCATGAGAACAAACATTTTAAAGTACCTTCTAAGGGCTAGGTCATATACTAGATTCTAAAAAAAGAGAGAAGAAGGCACAGCCCCTCAAAGACTTCATAGTCTAAGAAGAGAAAACAGACATGTCAAAAGAATATTATGATGTGAAAAATCTGATACGTGAGATTGGACAAGTTGGAAAATGCCTGAGGTAAGCCTTTACTGGTTAGTAGCAATTTATCACACAGTAGGTCCATGTATGTATGATGGGCATTTCAGGCAGAGTAGAGCACCTGAGCAGAGCCAACCAAGGAGTGGAAGGAGAGCACGTGCTGTATGCTTGAAGTTGATAAGCAAGAGGTAGTGGGGGAAGAGACTAGATTGGCACACAGGGTACAGCTCATGAAAAACCTAGCAGAATATAATAGGGAATTCATATTTTACCCTTAAACAATGAGAAGCCATTGAAGGACTGTTGAGAAGAGAAGTGATATGATCAGATTTAGATCAACACTTTAAATTAGCAAGCTTCAATTGAGTGGAAGGGATTGAAATCAAGAGGGGTAATCACTGTGGTGCACAAAGAGGGATCTTTCAACTAAGGCAGTGACCCAGAGGCAGTGGGGTGGGGTTAGATTTCAGAAATACTTTAGAAGAGAATTTTTGGGGATAATTTTATAATGGGTTTAAGTAAGAGAAGTACCTAGGATGAAACCTAACTTTTTGGTTGGAGTAATTGGGTGAATGGCAGCAACATTTGCCAAGGTGGCGGAAAAAGGGGGAAGAACACATCTACAGGGGAATGATGATTCATGGATTCATTCACTCATTCATCTGTTCAACACACATTTAGTGAAGGCCCACTACGTGCCAGCACTGCTCCAGCGTAATATTAACTAAGGCGGGCAAAGTTGCTGCTGTCGTTGGGGGGAATAAAGCATTTTTAAAAGGAATAAGAGCTTTTGATGTTGAAGATAACATAAATAAGATAAATCAGGGTACAGCAATAGAGAGAGACAGGGAAAGAGGAGCCTGCAGGACAGGAAAATCCTCTTGGAAGAGCTTCCTTTGAGCTGAGACTTGTGTGGTTATCAGAGCACAGATATGCAAATATTAGAGAAGCATCTAGAAAGTGAACTGCAAATGCAAAGTCTTCCTGGTTGGAGTGATCCAGACTTGTGAATGTAATGAAGGTCCCATGTGCTTGGGGCAGAGTGGGTGTGAGGGAGGGTGAGAGAAGATAAGGAGGGATCTTGCAGGATATGACAGGAAAGGGTTAGGGCTTGGATGTTACTTGAATTGCAGACTCTCCCTTAATATATATGCCATGGGGTTCTAATTCCCCTTGTGAAGCAGTCTTCGGTTTGGCATGAAAGATAGTAAGTTTGAGGTGCTTGTCAGACACCTAAGTGGGGATGTTTACCAGACAGTCAGATGAACTTGTAGAATTTTGCAGAAATAAAAGAACTGGAAAAAATAGATTGGAGAGTTGTCAACCAACAGCATACAAGTGACAGTTAAAGCTGAGGGTGTGCATACATTTTCATAGCATGAGTGTGTAGAAGCAGAGAATCTCAAATTAGCTGCCTCATACGTACAGTGTGAAGACAGGCATTGTTTAGTGTTAAAAGACAATGCAAGATGGCCTATCTTTACTTGCAACATAAGTAGCTGGGCATCTCTCTTTTATACCTGGTTTGCTCTATGCATTTAAAAGAAGTACACATCCTCTGCAGGCATTTGTGTTTGATGAAAAGTAAGGAAGAGAAGCAGGTTAAAAATGGAGTGTTACTGTACACATCGCAGACTGGCCAGACCCTACATGATAATCTGGTGTGAAAGTTAAGTAGTGCATATATTCTAAATTCTATTTTACCACTTTAATAAAACAATTAATGCCTTACTCAGACTGTAAATTGCCTGTCAAATGTAGCATCAGATGGGTAAAAAAAGAAGCTAGCTTCTGTGTACTATATAGCTTCAGACAGTAGTCTTAACACATGGTGTGTATCTCAGCAGGTTATTTTCCTTAATTTTTGCAGGCTGTTGCTGAGACTTTAGCATTGATTCCATGTAGCTCTCTTACAGCAAAATTTCAGCCAAGTTGCTTTACTTTGGTAAAGGCTTCTTTAATTTATGTTCAATGTCCCACCTCTATGGAGTACTAATGATCTGTTTGTATCACTATATCCCTTTCCTTTCTTGTGTGTACGTGTACACACAATTATAAAAAATTTCCTAATTAGATACTTTGAATTTTGAGATAATAAACTCAATTGCAGATTTTTTTTTAAAGTTCTGTTTAGTGTTATCTTTCAATGTGTTTCTGCTGATGTAGTGGGAATTTCCTCTAAGCCAAACAACAAAGCCACACTGTGGCTCCAGTAACTTGGAAAGACCTGGAAGGCAATCTGGTTTATTCATCAATCCTGATTGATTTCTTTCTTCAACTCATTCCATCTAAGGAACATGTTTCTCATCCATTTAATAGATGTAACACACCAAATTAAATCAAGCTTTCCTGTCTTAAAATTTGCCTTGAAGTCTGTGATGGTGATCTTTTAGGTTTTCATGTATTCTCTTGAAGACTGAAAGTTAAGGAAATGTAAACAGAGAAAGCAGGATGTCAACATATAAGCACATTTAATAAAGGAGGATGCCTATCAAAGGTGATGATTTCAAATAGTATTATAGACTAGACAGATTCTCCCATCTTAAAAAGTGGGATAAATAATACATAAGCACTCTGCCATGAGGGGTGGTGGATTCTGACTGGTTACAAGTACAGCGTCTCTAGGGTCCCCTGGTTGATAAACACAGCATCCTCCTGCAAGAAGCATGTTGTATTCAGCAGGTTGAGGGAGTGGTCTGGGGGACATCCTGAACTTTCCACTGGGAGCTCTGTTATTGATTCTGGCATTTAGGCAAATTCCAGTGGTATCTCAGGTCCCCAAGTCTGAGAACAGGATGCTGGTAGGGACTCTAACTGCCTTTGGCTATGACACACCCTTTGGCAGACGCTCTCAGCAGTTGTCAGTTTCAGTTTCAGTGTGGAAATAGATGATTTATTGTCCCTTGAAAATTGGTGGTGGTGGAGGGGGGGGCGTTGGCATTGAAGGGGACCCTGAAAGACAACTCTCTGCAACTTTAAGAACATGGACTGGGCTTGAAGGTGAGAAAGCGTGCCTTGAGCTTGCTTCTAAAAAACAAAAAAAAGTTTCATTTCAGAATAATGGCTTTTTAGGGGAGTAGAAGACATAGAGAAATAAATGAAATATGAAAGTATTATGGGAAAAATACACAGACCAAAATTGTTTTGTGCATAGTATGTGCTCAATGTTTATTTGTAATACGAGGACTTGAAAATGGGTGGGAATGACCTTTACGAGAAAGAGACTGTTTTTATCCTCTGAAATTTGTACATTATCTGATAGAATTCAATGTAGCTAAAAGTTTGTCCACATAGAAATGCCTTCTTTTAGTTGTGAATTACATGGCATTGTACATAGTGAGGGCCCCATCTGTAAAATCAATTGGAAGAAAGTTCAGGAAAGAAATATCATTGATTTTTTTACTGTCTTGAATGATAGAAGCAGCCTGTGGAAAGGAAACATTGGATCAGTGGATGTTGGTTACTTGGGGTTTGCAAATGAGTTCCATGAATTATAGAAATCCATTTCAGAAATTTAACCCTAGATAAACAGTCTTAACAAGGAAGAACCAGTTCTTTTTATCTTTGAGCCATATTACTCAGCTGGGGGTTGGGGAGGTGGGTCAGTGAGAAATGTCAAATGACTAACTGCTATGTTGTGGACTAGATTCAGATGATCTTAATATCATTAAAATCCAGAACTATAGAACTTTAAGAAAAGAAATTATAGTCCATCAATTATTATTTTATATCTTATAGCTTCTTGGATTCATTACGGGTAAGAGAAGAAATTTAAGATTGTGAGGAGAAACAAAAGGAGATACTCCACATTCCACTTCCCACTTTCCCAGGATGTTTCTGGACTTCCTTGTGAGACTGATGAAGTATTGAGTCCATAACATAGAAACCAGGCTTAGTGATGTCCTTTTAGAGGTCTCAACATGAATGTAGTATGAATCTAGTATGAACTCATGAATTTTATGAATCGTGAATGTTGTATGAAAAACAATTAAGAGGCAGAGAGAGCATAAAAAATATACAAGAATGCGTGAGTTTCCCGCCTCTTTTTGTTTCCAGACCCTTCAATTTGCTATTGGAATTGGGCTTGTGGACTGGAGAGTTCCACAACTGGAGGCTTCTAGGTCCTGTGTGATGAGATTTTTCTAACTTGGTTTAGACTTCTTGAAAAAGTTACCATCTTCTCTCTGCACTTGACAGAACAGATGGAAGTAGATGGATGCATATCTACAAGAATCAAAGTACAGATGGAGAGTGGAGGAAATAGGGTCTTCATGTTATCCTCCACTACCAATATTGATAGAGTCAAGACAATAGGACCATTTATCCCATTTTTGCGGAGGGGCTACAAAAATGTTGCTCCCTTTGAAGTAAGGTTGAAAAAAATTCTGCCTGGGATCCAACCATTTCATCTTTGACTCTGCCACTTTGAAAGACCTAAGCACAGGCTTTGGACGCTGTCACTATGGATGTAAATAATTTTGTGTCCAGGTTCCCAGGCAGGCTGTGTCTTTAATTCTTAAGGTGAGTCGTCTTTCTTGGATGTTGGTTCAGAGGAGGATGTTGGCAACCCAACATGGATGTAAATGGAAGGTTCATGCGTTTTTTTTTAGTAGGGAGCTGGATGGGTGTTTGGGAAAACCTGGTCTTTGTGATATTATCCTCACCAGAGAAGGGGCTTAGATTCTGAGCTAAACTATGCCACACTAGCTTCAAAGAACTGCAAAACTGTCCTAGGATATTGGTGACTCCACTGTGTGGTTACCGTCAGGACAAGCCAGAACAGCACCCATTGGGAAGCTGGCTCTCCCAAGTGTGATGCTTGGGAAGCACCCTGCAGCCCCAGTGTGAGGCCTTCCTGAGCTTTTTGAGGCCTGACACCATCACAGCCCTTTGCCACCACATCTGGGCTGTGATGGTGTCATGCCTCACTCAACAAGCTTGCCTAGGCTAGGGGATACTTGAATAGGAGACTTTCAATGAATTTTTTAGAAAAAGATGATTTTGTTGAGGGCAGATTGTTCTTGACACACCCAGTAGTCTATTGGGGAAGGCAACAGAGGACAGTCAATACATCCCCATCATTCCTGCTACTGCACAGTTTTATTTATGAGACTTTGGGTCATATGAGGCTTGGCCAAGAAGACGTCTGATGGGTGGAGTGATACTCACCTTAACCACACCTCTGCTATGCTGAGACACCTCAAGGAGAATGTGTGTGTGGAGAAGGCAGGCAGGGATGCCACACCCTGAGCCTGCTTTCCTCCTTGCTGTGAGAACCTAAGGAAGAGCTTCTAGAAATCATTCCTGTTTTCCCAGAGGTCTGCCACTGCCTATCTTGGGATATATTTAGGAGGGAGAGGAATGACGCAGAAGAATGTTGTTCTGGGGAGTTAAAGCCTTTTTTTTTTTTTTTCTCAGCAGATATTTATCTGAAAATAGTTGAAGTAGTTCAGATTTCATGGGGCTTTGAACACATTGGCATATGTGATTTGGGCAATAAAGTGTTGGTTGTTTTGATGAGGATCCCATTAACTGCTCTGTAAATGAGATATGTTTTCAAAGGGCATCTCCTCTCTCTCTCCTGTCTTCTCTCTCTCTCTTTCTTTTGATTCTTTTTTCAGACTTTTGATTCTCTTTTTAGACATGAGTTGAGATAATTTGACAGACGAGTTCTCTTTTTGCTTTCTATCTCCTGGACAATCAAATTTGGCTGAGAGGTAACATTTGTAAGACACTCATTATATACTGGACACGTCCCTAGGCACTTGACAAGCAAATGTTTTTTATCCATTTTATGAGGCGCGTGCTGCAATTTTCTCCCTTTGACAAATGAGGAAATCGATACTCAGAAGTTCAGAGTTGCTCATGATCACTCAGTTAAGAAGAGATTGTATTTGTAAGAATAAACTAGGTTATACTGTAGTAATCAAAACCCACCAATAACCCTCAAAGCTCACCTACAACCCTCAAATTATATGGCACGACGCAACAAGTTTATTGTTACTTACGTTACACACCTAGACAATTACTCCAAGGCCCAGAATAAGGGAGGCCTTACTATCTTGAAACGTCACAACCTGGGCACATAGCCCCATGGATGCCATAGCAGGGAAGACAGTGCTGGGAAGTCTCACTAGCGGTTATATTCTGGGAATGACACGGATCACTTCTGCTCACAGCTTATTGGCTGAAACTAGCTGCATGGCCCCAATGGCAAGCTGGTAAGCTGGTACTCCTCCCTCGCCTTCATGAGGAGGCAAACCAAAATGGCAGACTAATAGAAATTCCTACGTCTGAGACAGACTTTGAGCTTTTAACCACTACGTGATACTGCCCTTCAGAAAAATGCTTTCATACCTGACTAGAGATACAAAATAGCTGTGTGGGGCTTCATAATTCACTTTCTCCCATCCCATTTTAATGTTACCACACCTGCTGCTGGATCCCAAGGGGGCATAGATAGTACCTCCTTTCAAGGGTCCTTCTGGCCCCCACCTAGCTGTTGTGCTGCACAAGACCAATACTCAGTGCCCTGTGGCCCGTGTTTAACCTTTGGGATTCATGTAATCAGCACCCACACAGGTAGGAATCACTGAGTCACAGGCTGAGTCGCTGCTTGCATCTTCTGTGCCTGGAAATGAGATCTGTGGGGAAGAGTAGCTCTGCCTCCTACACCCCTGGCAGGTTCCCATGGCTCTGTGCAGTCCTGCTGCAGAGTCGTATGGGGTATATCTCTGACATCTCAGAGGAGCACTTCACAAATGTCACCATCTGTAGATCACAGCATACAGTAGTGTTAGACCTGGAAGTCCATGAACATCTTGGCAGGAATCTTCATCGTGTTTCTGGAGAAGGAGTTGGGGAATGTGTTCATTAACCTGTCCCTCTATAATTCATTGATTTATGGGTTCATTTACGTTTTCAACTTACCCTCCAGTTAAGATGCAGTTTCAGTCAGTCTGTAGGTGAATGGTGAGAGCAACTAAGGGAAATCCAAAGGCAGAAGCCACTTGCAAACACTCCTGAGAGACATAAAAGTCTCTTCCTTCCAAGAGAAAGAGAAAAAAAGTCAGCATACTTATGGGAGAAAAAAGTCTACACTAAGCAAACTACTTTACCTTGAAAACTGAAAGAAAAAGTATACTTCTGGAAATTACTTTCTATAGAAAGGAATATAATTCAAAAAAGAAAAAAAAACTTTGTCAGTCTTTTCATTTTAACCTGTTCTTTCCTCTTCTTGGATTTTACTTTTGGTTTCATAGAGTCCAATCATTCTTAATTCCTCTGAGTAGAACAAAGTCAATAAAGAATAAAAAGGAGTTTGAAGAGAAATAGAATAACTGCAAAGAAGCAGAAGTTGTAATGTTAGAAATGATGGGCCGGGCACGGTGGCTCACGCCTGTAATCCCAGCACTCTGGGAGGCCGAGGCGGGTGGATCATGAGGTCAAGAGATCAAGACTATCCTGGCTAACAGGGTGAAACCCCGTCTCTACTAAAAATCCAAAAAAATTAACCAGGCGTGGTGGCGGGTACCTGTAGTCCCAGCTACTCGGGAGGCTGAGGCAGGGGAATGGTGTGAACCTGGGAGATGGAGCTTGCAGTTAGCCCAGATTGTGCCACTGCACTCCAGCCTGGGTGGCAGAGCGAGACTCCGTCTCGAAAAAAAAAAAAAAAGGAATGATGTTTGCCTTGGAGATGGTAAAGAGTGGAATTCATACTGTAAAAAATGTAATCAATGATATGAAGGAAATTTAAGAAACTCCCAGACTGCAGAGAGAAAGGTTAAAAATAGACAAGACAAAAAGGAAAATGATCAATATGGAGGGGAGAAAACAAAGACCCAATAAAAGAACTATGGCCATTTTTAAATAGAAGGAAATAAACGGTTCTTTCATTAACCATGGTGGATGTAAAAATCACACAAAAGATTTGCATAGATATTCCTGGGTCAGAGATTAAATGATTAAGTGTATATATTACTCTTCCATTATGTTATGATTTAAATAATGTTAATGAAAATCCTAATAGTGTGGATCAAGGTGATTCTAACTTTTATCTGGAAGGAGAAATGGTAAAGTAGCCAAGGAAAATTTTTAGAGCTATTATGGTAGATTATAATCAAAACAGCATGGTGGTGGTAGAAAAAGTGATAGGCAGAGAAATGAGCAGAGATGTCCCTGCATCATTTAATGATTCTTTCTGCTCTAATTTTGAATGCCAAATGTAATCATAAACTCATTCTTCTTTGTATACTAAAGTCTATTTTTGGGATAAGTGGTTAAGTATTTGAAGTAAAGTTGGCATCTTTTCTCAAAGCATACACCACAATATAAAGACCAAAAGGACTAAATAGTCCAATGCACAAAAAGAAACCAAAATAAAGCATAGATGGATAGATCTCTGATCTTGAGTTTGGATTAGTTTGCCTGTGTATGATGAGATGGAGAAAATTGTATTCACCTCAATTCCACTTCTACTTATGAATGGAACTCATTTGTTAGAAAAAGTTCCAGTAACTAGAACAGGAGGCAACTAAGGGGCCTGAGTGTGATAAACTCTCCCTGCTGGAGACAAGGAGAAGAGTTTGCTTGATACTCCAATAAGGAAGGGAGGAAGAAGCCCAAAAGAGAAGCAAAAGGAAGGAAAGCAAAGGAGTATGAAGACATGTGTGTGGAGGGTAGGTGGAAGAAGTGACAGGGAAGAGCAAGATATTGAACTATTACCAAGTACCACATTGGAGTTTGGGCTGGATTTCACCAGTCTCCACAGAGCAGAAGCTGCCTCTCAAGTATCTGGGTTACATGCATGTAAAAGCAGTGGAAAAAATCTCAAAGAGGAGCAATTGGTGGGTTTTCTAACATAAGAATTAAAAATTGTTTACATCAAGGCTCTGCAAACTATGACCCACAGCCCAAATCCAGCCACACCCATTAGTTTTTGTATCATCTAGCCTTGCTTCCCAGCTACAATGGCAGGCAGCACTGAGTAGTTGTGATAGAGAACATATGGGCCACAAAGTCTAAAATATTTACTATCTGGCCCTTTACGGAGAAACTCTGCTAATTCATCTTTCCATGAAAAGCATTATAAAATAATTAAAAGGCAAACAGCAAACTCAGAAACAAAACAAAACACTTGAGACAAATATGGCAAGGGGAAGAATGATATCCTTAAGTATCAAAAAGGTCCTTCCAAATTTATTGAAAAAACTCTGAGTTGGAAATAGGCAGAGGGTATGAATAGACATTTCACTGGAGAAAGCACAAAGGTATCAACATATGAACATATAGAAGTTTAGCTTCACTAGTTAGCAAAGAACAGCAAAATAAACCAGAATAATGTAACAGTGTTTGGAGTCAGGGTGTCTTGATTTGAACAGCGTCATATACTGTTGGTGGGGAGTGTTCATGTAAAACAATTTGTCAATACACATTAGAACCTTAAAAAGAACAAAAGGTTATACCTTTTGATCTAGAAATAGCACTTCTAAGAAGCTATCTTGAACAACTATTTAGAGATACAAATATGTAAAGGTGAGAATATTCTCTGAAATGATACCTCTAGATTCACCTCTTATTAGCTAAGGTGACTGTATAAGTTACCAAACCTTGCTAAGCCTCACTTACCTCATTTTGTAAAATGGGAATTAAAAATTCACCCAGTCATAGGAGTGTTATGTAGATTCAACATGTTGACATGTGCAAATTTTTAGGAAGAAGATCTTTGGCAAATAGTAGTAAGGTATCAAGAACTATCAACTATTTTACAACAGTGAAATAATAGGGAAATAGTGAAATAAATTCCTCTCGTCTAATTTCAGGTTAGTGCCCATGCCATTTTACAGAGGAGAAACCAAGGCCTAGAGAAAGTGCTGCAGATGGTTGAACAGAACCAGACCCTGAACCAAGCTCATGGCAGTGACCCTAAAGAGCTTACAACACTAAGTCCTCTGTCTCCCCTCTCTTTTTCCTACCTCTGGTGGTTGTGGGAGAATTCAGAGAATACCTCATTAGAAAGAATGAAGTTCCTGTTCTAGGGACATAGGCACCAAAGAGTCATCTCTACTTCCAGTGACAAGGTTTAGGGGACAAGGGAAAACAACAGAAGGGAAGGCCTGCTGAGAACCTGGCCCAGAGATCTGGGTTTCTGTCTCCCAAGCCAAGAAACCAGTTACCAGATGGGAATGGCATTCCATCATCCCAGCCTTGGGTCAAATTTGAGACCCAGGAGCCTACAGGCAACTGTCTTTGGGACATGCTTCCCTGATTAAACCATCATGGCATCCTTCTGTTCCTATAAGTGTGGAGAGAAGGAATGTGTCATGGGGACTTGGTGAATGAATCTTTTTATAGCATGACATTGGATGTGAGAATTTGAATTCCTGAAGACTTAACAACTTTTTAGTAAACACATATCTTCAATCAAGAGCCTCCTAAATGCCACCCATGTGACATGGAGGAAACAGTCTCAAGGAACTGCAAAGAGCTGCACTGTGTGTAGGCAGAGGGTAGGAACAGTTTGTATCACTGCTGAGGACAGAATAAAAGCAAGTGGGTGGCCAGGTATAGTGGCTCACGCCTGTAATCCCTGCACTTTGGGAGACCAAGGTGGGTGGATCACCTGAGGTCAGGAGTTTGAGACCAGCCTGGCCAACATGATGAAACCCAACCTTGGCTCTACTAAAAATACAAAAAATTAGCCGGCCGTGGTGGCACACGCCTGTAATCCCAGCTACTCAGGAGGCTGAGGCAGGAGAATTGCTTGAACCCGGGAGGCGGAGGTTGCAGTGAGCTGAGATCACGGCACTGCACCCCAGCCTGGGTGACAAGAGTGAAACTCCGTCTGGAAAAAAAAAAGAAAAATGCAAATGGACTCGAGGGGTCAGAAGGCAAGGTGGGCCAATAGGAGCTGTAGAACCTGTATGATCCACTGTCGTTTTTTTTTTTTTTTTTTTTTTTTTTTTTTTTTTTGAGACAGTCTGGCTCTGTCACCCAGGCTAGAGTGCAGTAGCGCCATCTTGGCTCACTAAAACCTCTGCCTCCAGGGTTCAAGCAATTTTCCTGCCTCAGCCTTCCGAGTAGCTGGGATTACAGGTGCCCACCACTACACCAGGTAACTTTTGTATTTTTAGTAGAGATAGGGTTTCGCCATGTTGGCCAGGCTGGTCTTGAACTCCTGACATCTGGTGATCCGCCTGCCTCAGCCTCCCTAAGTGTTGGGATTACAGGCGTGAGCCTGTAAAAAATAAACCTATTTTTAAAACATAATAGTTCCTGCCATTTTGGGAACTATTTAGGGTCCCTTTTAAAGGCAGAGGGCTAGATCCTTCATCCCAGTGAAGGATCAGGACCAATATGGGTAATATACCTTAATTTTATATAGAAGAGAAGGAATGAAACAAGGAAGTTAGTATTTATTGATTGTCTGTAATGTGCTAGTCACTTTTCAGTCATTTTCTCATTACATCTTCCAAGCCACACAATGAATGTACTAGTATTATCTCCTCTTTGCAAAGGAGCCAGATGGGGCTCAAGAAGGCTAAGGAGTCCCACAACCAGGGAGAGGTAGAGAAGGGAAATGGACCACAGGGCTTTGAACTCTTAAGTTATGCTGAGAACAAGGACCACTCCCTTATATGCTCATCAGTATGATTATGTTATAAAATTGAATATTTTCTTAAGGGGAAAAATTAAGCAAGAAAGCATCTTCCTGCTTATAGTTTACCTGCCAAGCACCAAGTACCTTTCCATAATTCTGACTTACAGGTGCTTGTATGGCTTTCCAGGCAAAGAGCCTGGAGTTTGTATAACCTTATGACCACCTCTGCTGAGGGTTTCCTATGAGTTTCACAGATGGGGTCATGATCACCTTCAGCCTCTATTGACTGCCAAAGTTAGCATCATATCAGGATGACTACCTGTCCTCTGTCCACAGGTAGGGAGAGAAGATGTCTTGACATCAGGAGTTCATGGAGGTGCAGTCAAACTTGCTGTTTGATGTCCGTGGTCCTGACTTTCTCGAAGAGCTCTGGGCTTTGTGGTTTCTTTTACAGGTTGTGACTTGTTGAAGCTGCATTTTGCCAACAAATGCGAGCCATGAGGTGTCTTGTGCAGCACAGCTGTTACCCTGTCTATGTGCTCTACAGCCGGGCCCCTGAACCTGGTGTTGACCTCAGTGGCAAACCACTGTTAAAAACAATGGAGGCAGGCAGTGAGGAGGCAGCGAGGAGACAGATTCACTAATGCTGATTGTCCCTGGCATAGGAATATCCTGTAAGTGGCTTCAGAGAATTAGCTAGACTGGGAAATTCTCAAAGCCCTCATAGCCATCTTGTTTTGTAACTCATGTGTACAGGCAATTATCCATACATATGCTTGTGGGTGACCAGTGGGAATTCAGCCAGGGTTATCCAGACTGAAATTTATCCTTCTATATTAGTTTCAAATAGATGCTGTAACAGATGAACACAAAGTTAATGGCCTAAAACAACCTGAATGTATTATCTTACAGTTCTGGAAGTCAGAACTGAAATGGGTCTCCGTGAGCTGAAATCAAGATATTGGCAGGGCTGTGTTTCTTTCTGGATTCCCTGGGAAGAATTCATTTCCTTGCCTTTTCAACTTCTAGAGGCTGCCTGCGTTCCTTAGCTGCTGGCCCCTTCTCCATCTTCAAAGCCAACAATGGTGGGCCAAGTCCTTCTCATGCTACCATCTCCCTGGCTTCTAAAGCAGGCAATATTAGAACATGGATCAACTAGCATGCTCTTTTAAGTTTTATCTCTACCCAAAGTATTAAGAAAAAAGGAAGAAAAATATACATCCTTTGATGCACCAATATTTACCCAGTCTGGTACAGCTGCTGCAGTCCTCTGTTAGTTACTCTAAGTCCTAAAGTTCTTTTTCTGCCAGGAACTACATATTTGGCTACAAAAAGGCAAGTTACTTAACTGCAAACCACACAGTTTATTCATCTTTATAATGGGCATAACCCCTCTGGTCCTGTTCTCTCTGACCATTGGAATGGTAAATGAGATAATGAAAAAGGGCCTTAAAAAGCATGTTGTTTAATCAAGCATTTTCTGTGACCTCACTAAGATAGTCAGAAGCGAGGTCTGTGTCTGCTCTCACATGCTATGCAACACTCCTAATACACCCCACTTATTTTATTTTATTTTATTTTATATTTTTTGAGATGGAGTCTCGCTCTGTCGCCCAGGCTGGAGTGCAGTGGTGCGATCTCGGTTCACTGCAAGCTCCACCTTCCAGATTCACGCCATTCTCCTGCCTCAGCCTTCCGAGTAGCTGGGACTACAGGCACCCGCTGCCATGCCCAGCTAATTTTTTGTATTTTTAGTGGAGATAGGGTTTCACCATGTTAGCCAGGATGGTCTCGATCTCCTGACCTCGTGATCTGCCTGCCTCTGCCTCCCAAAGTGCTGGGATTACAGGCGTGAGCCACCGCGCCTGGCCACACTCCACTTATTTCTTACCAAGCTTATAGGTTGCTTTGTTAGATTTCTTTTTTTACTATACATATTTGATTTACATATTTAATTTATAGCAATGCTGCATAGTAAGGAGGCTATCAATTGCCACTCAGTGAATATTTAATGAATAAAAAATGAACAAAGGAAAGCAAAAAGAAGAGAAGGGAGGAAGTAGAATGTGGAAAGTTGTACACTCTCTCCTCATTGCTCTGGCAGAGGAAGCTCCATTTCCATTCTCCTTGGGAGATCTTGAACTTTATCTCCAATCTGGACCCTTCCTATTAGAAAGAAGGGGACAGTCTTGAGGGAACCATGTGTACCACCAAAGGTAGGTCATGGGGGTCAGAGGGCCACCCCCAATGCCCAGCCCCACTTGGTACAGAGGAAAACACATACCTTATGGCCTTTGTTTAAAAAAAAAAGAAAAAAAAAAAGCCCTGGTTTCTGGGAATTAGTTCATCAATAAGGCACTAAGTTATTTCAGGCTCACTTACCAAATGCCTCTCCATTGTTCAGTAGTAACTAGCACGTGCATAGTAGGTCCAGAAAATAACATTTGGCGTTTTGATGAAGGAATGAGTGCAGGAATGATGTGTTGCTAGACAGCCCAAAGAAACACCAAGAAAACACCAAAGCAAATTTAAATAGTATAGCACGATCATTTTTTGATGATGGATGGCCTCAGTACTTTAGGCCATTCAGCAGCGTTACCCTGGGATTTTGCTCTAACCCTGTTCTCCTGGCCTTGCTACCAGGGCTCATGGGGGTAAATCTGGTCAGTCTCCAAAAGAAGGAGCTGATCATGCAGATTAGGCGCGTCGTGGGACCTGCCTGCTGGCCAGAGCCACTCGGCTTCTGAAACCTTCGTGAATCAGGAAACCAGCGCTCGGCACCCTCTGCAACTGCCCTTCTGGGCTCCCTTCCATTGCTCCTCCCAGCCTCTCCCTGGAACTGGGCAGCGCTGCTTCTGGCCAGGAAAAAGGAACCTCCTCTGAGTCAGAGCTGAGTGAGTAGCAGTTGCTTCACCCCCAGCCCCCAGGGCTTGGAGAGAGACCTGCTTTGTCCGCATGAAACTGCAGGCTTGGGCCAGCGCAATAGTTTGATGTGAATAAGCAAAAAGAAAAACGACCAAAAAAAAAAAAAAAAAAAAAAAAAAAAAACAAAAAACAAACACACACACACACACACACACACACACCAACCAAAAAGCCCCCCATGTTTCTTCAGATTAGATTTAATTGAAAACAACCATCCACCCCAACCACTTTTCGTATGTTGAGCAGCTTCTCCAGTTGTGGAGTCCAGGGTCTGAGTCTGAGTCAGAGAAGGGAGCAGAGGTTGTCCCCCACCAAATCCAGAAGTGGGGGGCTGCAATGCAAGAGCTCAGGACTATAAGTCTGTAAAACGCTGTGGGCCCCTGCACAGCCAGCCCTGTCAGTCTCCCTGCATCCTCCACTGAAACGAAAGGAAATAGAGAGCCGAGCCAAGCAGAGGTATAGGGGAGCCAGGAAGCCAAGGAGGGAGGCCAGCGGCTCTCCTGCCTCAGCAGACACCCGCAGGCTGAGCGAGAGAGCTTCCCTTCCAAACACTGCAAAGAGTCTCCGAGGAGGAAAAGGATCTTGCAGAAGAGCCAGGAAGCCAGGATTGAAACTGTTGCCGGCATTGGCAGGGCCCGGGCTGGAACTGTCTGCTCTCCTATCCTCTGGCTCAGTGGGAATCCCATCGCCTCTCTGACATCATGGATGAAAATCAGCCCTGGCTTTCATGTGTTGGGACCGCCCCACCCAGCTCAGTCCGGCCAGCTGGACCCTCCCAAAACGGGTTCTCTTTTGTCAGCTGCCTTTTATAGAACTATAAAACTAAAAGTTCAAGTACGAAGCCCTTACATCAGTCATCAAAAAAGGCAGACTTCGCCTCCCAGACTCCTTCTGCCTCTTTCCCTGCATTGTGGCTTCCTGCTCTCCGGCAGAGCTGCTAGGCTGCTGGCTTCCATTTCTCAGCCTCGTAAAGATCCTATAACACCAAATGGGGCATTAACCTGCCTAGGAGGGGGTTCTGGATCTGTGCTTTGGAATTAGGGGAAAGGGAAGAGAAGGGGGGATCTTACGCTGCAACTATGTGGGGGAAAGGAAAGATACTTCTGTAATAAAGTGAAATGGCATAGAGTTGGAAACGGGAAAAGAGACAACACAGGACCACAGTCGATGAGGCAGAGTGAGACTTCCGCCAAATAACTGTGACCTTTGAAATTTCAAACTGCCTCTCTAGGCATTTGAATCTCTTGGCCAAAGCATAAGTGAGTAGGGTGGTGGAACACCAGATGATCCTATGCTCAGCAGAGTTTAAAAGGGAGGGAGTATTAAACATGTTGGAGCTTGAGAAGAAGAGTGGAATTCTCACCTCCTCAGCTCAAGACCTGGGCCGTAGTGGGCACTAGATTAATCATGGCTGCAGAAAGAAGTGAATGGCTGACCTCAATCAGTTTCAATGCCTTAACAAAAGATTGGACTAAGATTATTGATAAAGGTCTTAGTGATTCTTGGATCAATGAGATGACTTCTACGGTTTAGGAAGCTCCATGTACACTCTAAACACATAAGAAAAGTCAAAGCCAAATGGAACTCACCCAGCAGTCCAAAATGGTGGCTGGGTCAACAATGCTGCACCTATGGGATCATCGTGTTCCCTGGCTTTACCTTTGAAGCGTGTGGTCTAGCTGCAGCTTAAAGGATTAATGTGAAGTGCAAGGAAATGTGTGTAAGTTAAACCATTCTTTGCTCAAATTAGATCAGTTATCTTGACCTGATAGACTTTTTTTAAAAGGTCTAATACACGGGACCTTTCTTCTCTTGGCTTGAGATATGAATGTGCATGTTGAGCAGCAACATTCCTGTGGGTCTCTCAGATTCTATCGGGCTGTTATATAACTGGCATTATAAGATTGGAAAGGATCTTAAAGATAAGACCTGGGTCAAAGTCTTATTTATGAATGAGGTCGAGGGAGGTTAAATGACTTATGCATTGTATGTGCTTACATTTATTCATCCAATCAAAGATGATTATTCCTATTGCTCCTTTTGTTGCTATTTAGCACCTGTGCACACCAGGCATTAGTCGGTGCATTGGGAGTCAGTGCTGAACAAAGGGGGTAGGAGACAATAGTTTTTGTGGACCTTATAATTGGAGAAACTAACATTAAGCAGATGAACAAGTGTGAAAATAATACCTTTTTGGAAAATGATGAAAACAGTGAAGGAGGTGGCAGTACATTAGGCGTGATGGCCAGGGAAGGCTTTTCTAAGCAGGTGGCCTCCAAGATGAGCTCTCTGTGATGAGAGAGAGCCAGCCATGAGAAGCTCCGAGACAGAATATTCCAGGCAAAGGGATGACAAGTGCACAGGCCTTGAGGCTGGGACAGCCTAGGTACAGATCGAGCATCCCTTATCTGAATTGCTTGGGACCAGAAGTGTTTTGGATCTCAGATTGTTTTCAGATTTTTGGGCTATTTGCATACATATAATGAGATCTTGGAAATGAGAACCAAACCTATACACAAAATATATTTATGTTTTATATACACCTAGCCTGAAGGTAATTTTGTAAAATATTTTAAAATGTTGTGCATAAAACAAATTTTGCATTAAGTACTTAGGTGTGGAAGTTTCCACTCGTGGCCTCATGTCAGTGCTCAAAAAGTTTTGGATGTTGACGCGTTTTGGATTTTGGAAAGATTAGGGCTGCCCAATCTGTAGTTTTCTGAGGCAGAGATAGACAAGTGGAGCTGCAGTATAGTGAGTAGAGGGAACGGGGAGAAGAACAGTGTAAGTTCCTCTGCCCTACCACCACACACTTTCTGCAAATAAGGCCTGCAGACGTCTGTTCATCCTGGAATTAATGTATCCTTTCTGAGCCCACTGATCCCCTTTTATAATACCATTCATCATACCCTACAAGCTCTTGCAGAAAGCATCCTGAGAAAAAGGGTGTTGCCTACCCAAAAAACCATCGAGACGCATCCCGTTATGTATTACATTGCAGTTGACCCTCTAAAGTCTAAGCCTACAGAAATGTCTCTGGTCACTCAGACCTTGTTATGGGCTTAATTGTGTCCCCCACAAGATATATGTTAAAGTCCTGACCCCTAACACCTCAGAATGTAACCTTATTTGGAAATAGAGTCTCTATAGATGGCTGTGGTCTGAATGTCTGTGTTCCTCGAAAATTCATACGTTGAGACCCGATAGCCAATGTGATCATATTAGGAGATAGTCTTTTAGGAGGTGTCTAGGTTAGGAAGGTGGAGCCCTTATGAATGAAATTTGAGCTCGTATAAAAGGAACCCAGTGGAACTCACTTTCCCTTTCCACCATGTGGGAATACAATTAGAAGGTGTCCTCTATGAGGAAGAGGGCCCTCACCAGGCACCAAACCTGCCTGAGCCTTGATCTTAAACTTCACGTCCACTAGAACTGTAAGAAATAAGCTTCTGTGGTTTATATGCCATTCTGTTTATAGTATTTTTATTCTAGCAGTTTGCATGGACTAAGACACAAATTTAACCAAGTTAAGATGAGGTCATGAGGGTGAGCCTAGTCTAATATGACCAGTGTCCTTATAAAAAGTTTAGACACAGACATGTCCAAGGAGAACTGTGTGAAAAGACACAGGTAAAACACCCTATGAAAACTGGGGTAATGCTGCCACAACCCAAGGAACATCCAGGGTCATCAGAAGCTGGAAGAGGCAAGGAAGTTTCCCCTATAGGTTTTATGTATTTATTTTTTTTGAAACAGTCTCATTTTCCACCCAGGCTGGGGTGCAGTGGCACGATCTTGGCTCACTGCAACCTCTGTCTCCCAGGTTCAAGTGATTCTTATGCCTCAGCCTCCCAAGTAGCTGGGATTACAGATGTGTACCACTACACCCAACTAATTTTTGTATTTGTAGTAGAGATGGGTTTTCACCATGTTGGCCAGTCTGGTCTCAAACTCCTGACCTCAGGTGATCTGCCCTCCTCAGCCTCCCGAAGTGCTGGGATTACAGGCATGAGCCACTGCCCCGGACCCCCATAGGTTTTTGAGGGAGTACAGTGCTGCTGACACCTGGATTGCAGAATTTTGGCCTCCAGAGCTGCAAGACATTAAATATCTGTTGTCCTAAGCCACAGAGATTTTGGTACTCTGTTAGAACAGCCCTAGGAAATAGAGACCTTTATCATCTTCTAGCTCTGTCTATCCCCTAATCTAGTAATCCTCCTGTATTAGTCGGTTTTCACACTGCTGATAAAGACATACCCGAGACTGGGCAATTTACAAAAGAAAGAGGCTTAATTGGATTTACAGTCCCATGTGTCTGGGGAAGCCTCACAATCATGGCGGAAGGCAAGGAGGAGCAAGTCCCATCTTACATGGATGGTAGCAGGCAGAGGGAGAATGAGGAAGATGCAAATGCGGAAACCCCTGATAAAACCATCAGATCTTGTGAGACTTATTCACTACCACGAGAACAGTATGGGGGAAACTGCCCCCATGATTCAATTATATCCCATCGGGCCCCTCCCACAACACATGGGGAATTATGGGAGTACAATTCAAGAAGAGATTTGGGTGGGGACGCAGAGCCAAACCATATCACCCCCCTCCCCATCCTCTGCTCCCTCAGAATCCTTTCACTGTGCCCTATAGCTCAGAGTTGCTCATCATCAAAATGACCCATATCCTCACCTGTTGCTAAGAATGTTCTCTTCAAATGCCTGCTGCAACTAAAACCAGTCATCCCTGGAGGTCTTGGCTTCCCTTCCAGCCTTCTGAAGCTATGACTTTTCTTTTTCCTTTATGGACACAGGGCCTAGAAGGTGATGATGTGTCATGCTTGCTTCACATCCCATCCTCCAGACCATTTCTCCATCTTCTACCCCATACCCAACCTCAGCTCCTTTGAAGCTCACAGTATTAGACTCTATGCCGTAATACCCCCTGCTTTGGTGAGTTAACCCGGACCTTCCTCTTACCTACAAAAGACTTTGTACCTGGCTCACTTTCACCATAAGCACCCCACCTGTCATCATCCACAGTTGTTTCAATAATCACATAGGTCTTTCACTCTTCAGGCCTCTCAGTCCCTTATCTGTTCTCTTCCAAGGACCTTGTCTTCTGTGCTTCCATAGCCACTCCTTCTAAGGTCCTACCCAACCATTCAGTGACTGTTCTTTCTCCCAAATCTCATTCTTAAGGATCTCCATCTCCAACAACAACCAACTATCTTCCAGAGGATTCTCTCTACGATGCTGACCTCAGTGATTCATTGACCCTGCCAAGACCTTTAAGTCATTGTCCCTTCCCTTTGGCACTGTTCCCTCAACTCCTTCATGTCCTCATTGCCGTCTTTCTTTTGTTATAATCCCTGCCTTGCATAAACTCTCAGCTTCCATCTCTTCCCCCCGCCTACAGAGTTGAAAATCTACCATACATCAGCCTGACTTTTCACCTCCTCTGCTCCTGCAAAGTACTTGGATCCGGCTGGAGAAAAACAGAAAGTGGGGGCTGTCTGGTCACATGTTGATTTTTTACCACAAACCTCACTAGGGCCCCCACACTGCCTGGCAGTCCTACTGCATTTGCCTGGTTGATTCACAATCCTGTTCTCCAGGGCTACTGTGTCACAGGCCCTCCTGACATTCACTTCCTTACTCTCAGTTGATGACCTCACCTTCAATTCACTGAGAAAACAGAAGCAGGCAGAAGAGAACATGCTCATCCACCTACAAATGAGTCACCCTCTACCTCCTTGGGTACCCACATATTCTGCTTTTCCTGCAGACTGCACCTGCTCCCATTAGAGGCCTACTCCCTTGCTGGTGGGCCAGATCCACCCTGAATTGCCTGCTAGAGGACTTTGCTCCAGCCATGATCTCTTCTCTCCCCTGTACCATCTTTTCCCTCTCATGTCTCATTCTCATCAGCCTGCAAACACACTGGGATCTCTCCCATTCTAGATAATCTCCCCCTTTCCTCATAGCTTCTTCCCACTACCACTTCATTCTCTTTTTGCCCTATAACAAAACTCCTTGAAATCATCTATAACTTCTGCCTCCCCCTCTTCACCTTCACCTTATGAGCTCTTCTTGACTCTGTCCCAAAAGGCTTTTGTTACCATTGTTTTTGTCTTGTCTCTGCCCTTGGCCAGATTTAAGGACCAAGTCTGAGTCCTTATCTGGAGCTTGCAGCAGCGCTGGGAATGGCAATCTTTCTTCACTTGGCTTCTTGGATGCTACCCTCTTCTGGTTTTCCCATTGCCTTGATAGATTCTCTTTCTCAATTTCTTATGTTTTGTTTCCCCTCTTTTTTCCCCATCCTCTAGTAGTTGCTCACACCAGGGCTTAGCTCTTGGCCCTCTTCTCCCCAATATTTATACTCCCTAGCAGAATTCATCAGCAGGATCATGACTTTACATACCCATCTATATATTGATGACTCACACATTTTTTATCTTCAGAACCAATCTCTCCCCTGAATTCCAGACTCATATATCCAAATGCCTGCCAGGCAACTCCACCATGACATCTAACAGATATGTTAAATATAACATGTCCAAAATGGAAATCTTGATTTTTCCCTTCACTCTTCTCCTAAAATACTCTCCTCCCACAGGTTTCCTTGTCTCAGTAAAGGGTGTCACCATTCTCCTGGGAGCTGTTCAGGTATCAAGTAGAAGAGACATCCTTGGCTTCTCTCTTTTCTTCCTATTGTACAGACAAGTCTATTAAGTATGTCTACAATGCATGTTAAGGGAAGGAAGTGATCAACGCTATGAAGCAGGGTGTGGGGATAGAATATCAGAAGGGAGTGAAAAATGGAAGTATTATTTGTTAATCATGGTGAAGGATAGACTCTTTGAGAAAGTGACATTAAAGCAAAGAACTTCCTGAACTGTAGGAAAGCACATGCTTTAGCAGGACCTAGGGGAAGGGCATTCCAGCAGAGAGAACCACACTGTGCAGTTCTTGAGGCAGTCAAAAATACATCATGTCTGAAGAAAGCAAAGCTAGAGTGCCCGAAGCCGATTGAGGTGTGCATTAGCTCCGGCTGCCATAACAAAATACCATAGAGTAGGTGGCTTAAACAACAGACGTTTGTTTCCTCATAGTTGTGGAGTCTGGGAAGTCTAAGATCAATCGAATCTGGCCAATTTGGTTGCTAGTGAGGGCTCTTTTCCAGGCTTGCCTATGGCCATCTTCTTGCTGTGTCTCACATGGCCTTTTCTGGTGTGTGCAAGAAAAGACAGAGATCTCTCTCTCCTTCTCTTTTAAGGCCCCCAGTCCTATTGGATTAGAGTCCATTCTTATGGGTTTTTTAACTTTTATTATCTCCTAAAGACCCTGTCTCCACATGTAGTCACACTGGGTGTTAGGGCTTCTATGTATGAATTTTGGGGGGACACACACTTAGGTTCATAACAAGGAGTTACAAAGGTAGACAGAGGCCAGATCTTATGAAAGATCTTGGCCTGCAAAAGCCTGATGTTTGTGTTTTATTCTAATTTTTTTTTTTTTTTTTTTTTTTTTTTAGGCGGAGTCTTGCTCTGTCACCAGGCTGGAGTGCAGTGGTGTGATCTCGGCTCACTGCAACCTCCACCTCCCAGTTCAAGCAATTCTCCTGCCCCAGCCTCCCGAGTAGCTGGGACTACAGGTGAACACCACCATGCCTAGCTAATTGTTTGTATTTTTAGTGGAGATGGGGTTTCACTGTGTTGACCTGGATGGTCTCGATCTCTTGACCTCATGATCCACCCACCTCAGCCTCCCTAAGTGCTGGGATTACAGGCGTGAGTCACCACGCCCAGCCCTTTTATTCTAATTGTTATGGAAACTAGTGGACAGTTTTGAGCAGGAGAGTCTCATGACATGGGTTATGTTTTACAGGTAATGCTAGCTGCCTGGTGGAGAATGGATTTTAAGAGACCAAGAAAAGGAACCAATGTGTCCAGCTAGGAGCTTATTGCGATATATTTTAGAGTAGGGGTGAGCAAAGTTTTTAAAATCATGGTTTAGATTGTAAATATTTCAGCCTTTGCAGGCTGTATTAGTTCGTTTTCACACTCCTGATATACCCAAGAGTAGGTAATTTATAAAGAAAAAGAGGTCTAATGGACTCATGGTTCCACATGGCTGGGGAGGCCTCACAATCATGGCAGAAGATGAAAGCCGTGTCTCACATGGTGGCAGACAGGAGGGAATGAGAACCAATGGAAAGGGGTTTTCCCTTATAAAACCATCAGATCTCATGTGACTTATTCACTACCGTGAGACCAGGAAACTGCCCCCATGATTCAATTGTGACTTGATAAAGTAAGATTGCTATTGATGGAAAAATAAGTGTCCAGTTCACTTAGTGGGAAATAAGGCAAATTCCATCCAGAGGGCCTTGATTTTCTGTGGAAATAAAATATTGTCTTTAAAGCCAATCTTCTATTCCCATCCTACTCAATGGCTCATACTGAGGAGTGTGTAGAGTGATGGTGGGACTGGTTCTCTTAGATGGAGAGGAATCTTTCAGCACTGAAATTGCTTAGACTCACCAGTGCAAGGTGCCAATATAAAACAATTGACTCTTAATTGTTTTCACAATTACTTTTTTTTTTTTAGAAGGAGTCTTACTTGGTCACCCAGGCTGGAGTGCAGTGGTGCAATCTTGGCTCACTGCAACCTCTGCCTCCCGGGTTCAAGCAATCTTCCTGCCTCAGCCTCCCAAGTAGCTGAGATTACAAGCATGCACTACCATGCCCGGCTAATTTTTGTACTTTTTGTAGAGACAGGGTTTCACTGTGTTGGCCAGTCTGGTCTTGAACTCCTGACCTCAAGTGATCCGCCTGCCTTGGCTCCCAAAGTGCTAGGATTACAGGAGTGAGCCATGGTGCCCGCCTGTTTCCTCAATTACTTTTAAATTCTCTACTTGCAATTCACCTTTTTATTCCTGTGCTCAGGGCAGATGCACCCACTCTCCTCTGCTCCCTCTGTACATCATTGTCCTATCTGTCCCAAGGAAGCAATAGGGCCTCTGACTCACACCTTTGCATGTAAGTAGGGTGACACTGATACTTGGTCCTCATTCCACCATAATTGTGTGTGTGTGTGTGTGAGGTTAAGAACAAACTCCTATTAGGGAAGAGAAAAAGGAGAAGGACAAGAGAGTGATAGAAAGATACTCAACAGTCAAGGAATTGGTTGGATGCCAGGAAATATCTCCATATCTTAGCATTTGCCCAAGGACAGCAACCAATGGATACGGAGTATTAAATGACGGCAACTGGGACACTTTATATCCTGCTGCCATGAGCAGAATGCCTGAGAGAGAACCCAAAAGTGTAGCCTCTGTCCCCTTCAGCTTTCCCCTCCGTCTTTTTTTTGTGCCTGTCCAGGTTGCCTTCCCCTGGCTGGGAACACCCTGTGGCGGGTCCGGCTGCACAGCACTCTCTGTGTAGTAATAAAGTGCACACTTGTAATGTTGGGCCGAGTGACAAGAACAACATGAAACAACACTCTACCCACCCACTGAGAAAACCGAGTGTGTCACACGCCTCTGTGTCATGGTTTTAAAAATATCTCCACTGACGGTCCAAGTCTCAGGTTGGGCTACAGGAGTGTTTAATGCCTAGCTGTGCCAGGTGGAAAATGTTTTCATCAGAATCCCAAGGACCCCAGTGACGGACGTTTGTTGGCTTGGTGTGTGTGTGTGCACGCGCACGCAGGAGCATGTGTTTAAGAAAAATGGGGCTGGGTGGCGATTTCTTTGCTCTCCCCCCTCCCCTTTTTCTTTCCTTTTTAATTACATGTTCCTGACAAAGAGGTGTGGTCCCTGGCATTGCTGCCCAGCCTCTCTGCCACCTCTAACCACATGGGGAGAAGAATACTGTGGGCTTCTCAGCACTCAACATGGTTCCCAGAGTCAGTGGAAACATAAACCCAGCGACCCACAAAGAGCTGAAACTTCTGCAGAATGAGGGGTCTAGAAGCCTGGTGAATGTCTGGAGAGAGAGAGAGAGTGGCTCTTGCAAACGGTTTATCTCTTGATTTCCCCCTACCTGGCTTCTTTGTTTAAGAGCACAGCCAAGCTCAAGTCTACTGGAATTTTGTCACAGAGGAGGGGGTTTCAAGTAACAGGGAGAACCATTTAACCCCTTTGTGGTTTATTCTTATTTACTTTGGAATCTCCAGTACTTACTAGCAGGGCAACTTTGGCAAGTTGCTTAACCTTTAAGCCTAAGTTTCCTGACTTGTAAAAGGGGATAATCATCGTACCTACTTCTTAAGGTTGTAGTGAGGACCAGATGATGTGACTGCAGGCAAGCTCTCAGCACAGAACCTGGCACGTCACAAGCCCACAAGAAATGTTAGCTGTTTTTGTAGCTTCAGAGCTTTACAAGATATACACATGAGAACATAAAATCTTTTACTTGAATCTCACAAAGGGAAACATGTATGTGGGACCCTGTGTGTTCTGGTCCCCACCTTCAGTCTGGAGGGGGCTCCACTGACCTCCTGAAATTTCTTCATCCACATCAAGCATCTGGACCTTTACATCTGTTGTTTCCTCTGCATGGAATATTCTACTCTTATGTATCCTCATGGCTTGCTCTATCGCAATATTCTGATATTTGCTCAAATTTAATTTATTGGAGAGAGACTTTGCTTTCCAAACAATTTAAAATGGCATCCCCACCATCACAGTCACCTTCTACCCACTCTCCTGGTACTTACTTATTAATATGTTTATTATCTAGCTCCGCTACTAGAATGTAAGATTATGAAAGTAGAGGTTTTGTCTTTTGTTGTTCATTGCAGGATTTCTAACACCTAAAACGGTGCCCAAAATACAGTTAGCATGCTCTAAATATCAATTAAATGAATGAACAGATAATACATCTACGTAATTCTCTGCCTCCCGGGTTCAAGTGATTCTTCTGCCTCAGCTTGGGATTACAGGTTCATGCCACCACAGCCAGCTAATTTTTGTATTTTTGGTAGAGATGGGGTTTCACCGTGTTGGCCAGGCTGGTCTTGAACTCCTGACCTCAAGTGATCTGCCCACCTCGGCCTCCCAAAGTGGTGGGATTACAGGCTTGAGCCACCACGACCGGCCTATAACTTTTGACCCGAGATAACTTTCAACTTAAATCCATGAAATTCGCGTCTGAATCATTGCAATCTTTCCCATCCTGGGTATTTTCAGCCCATGTCATAGTATATTTGTTTGAAGATATTCCACCAATGTGTATGGAAAACTTTAAGGTTTTTCTTTTTCTATGGACCAGATTCTTCTTATCTGTATACTTCCCAAGGGCCTCATGGCTTTTATAAAGCTCCCAGTCATTAGCAGCTCTGACCTTGCACCCTCAGCCTCCCTCAAGGTCACCTTATCTGAAACAGAAGGCAGCCTCTCGTCTATAATTAGGTCTTTGTACAGAACGCTTCATGCTGAAGAGAAGAGATTTTTCTCACCAAGGCAATATAGTGTCCTGTAAATTGCATGTATAAATATCCCTCTTGACCTTCTAGGATTTCTGTATAAAGGAGTATATTATGCCAATTCTTAAGTCTGGGAAAATGCAACAAGAGTAAACCTTGGCCTGTGAAAGTTGTTAAGTAAGATACTGCAGGACTAGATGAGTGAATGAAGGTATCTGCTTGAAGCTCTGAAGACACATAAGATTATTATCATGTTGCTCATTTGTTTCTATTCTGCTTGAGGATGGCTGACTTGGCTGAGTATGATTCTCACTACCATCAAATGCTAAAAAGTAAACTCCAAGGCCATCATTGGAAAAACCCAACAGGAAATTGGCTAAATGCTCACATGTCCACAAATCATCCCATGCTTTTGCTGTGGATAGCAGAGTTCAGCTCTGGTCCTCACCCACAACTAACCTAATTTTGAATGTACATAATGTTTCTACTTTCCAAAGGACTCAGCTAAGGGTCAGGTACTATAGGAATATTTTACAGTTTAGTTTAGATTCGTTTAGAAAAGGAGCTTGCTTCACTTCGCTCAGGGCATAAGTGTTCTCAAGACTTTTGGGACCTGGTGGATTGAAGACATGGTTTTGCTGGCTGTTTGATTCCATTTTGGACACAGTAAGTCATTTTCTCATTATATCTGAAACAGAAACCTGATTGTTTTATGTCTGCACAATAGAACTTGTGATCCTTCAGCAGCTTGGCTTTTTACAATGACCTGTGGGCATTTTCCTCTTCCATTTAACTCATATGTTATAGGAAAGAAGTCTAAATCTTCACCCCCTAGTTCATATCTCTTCCTACTGCTGGAAGCGTTTAGAATGTGTCACATTCAAAAAAAATAAGTAGCAATCGGGATTCCAAAACCCAAAGATTTCATTAGGAAACTACCTTGAAGGCAAGTTTATTTCATGGATTCTCTTGTCACTCATCCACCTCCCAAATTTCCCAAGCCCATTTACACCATGGCATCTTTGCTAAGATCTACAAAGAACCCTCCCTCCAGTGATGATGGTAGACCAAGAGGCTGCCATCTGGTGACATCAGACCTATTGGCAGTAACTACATGGCACTTCTGACAATATGCCAGGAGTTCCAGGAGCCAGGCATGAGGTGGGTAATCCAAATAACCATTTCTGCTCAAGCTGCCCTCTGCTGGGACAACCCACTACCAATTAAAGGCCATCTGTTTAGACCATACAAGCCATTCTGCCAGAAGCAGGCAGATGTCAGCACATTACTCCAGTCCCTGAACCTCTCTTAGGATATTAACATGGATTATTTATGGATGGGCTAAAGTGGTTACCCTATATGAGCCTCCTTCCTGGTACAAGACTTAAGAAATTTCATATATATATATATATAAAATGACAGCACCATTAGTTTTGGGTCTTGCCAATTCCAGACATACATGATCTGTAGTGGAGTTCTGGGCCCAGTTCAACAATAATAATTTTAAAAAACACTCCAACATCTCATTTCTCTGTGTTTTCCACGGGCTCTACTTAAGTACAGATACGAATACTCTCTTCATGGGGAGTCACTTGGCAGTTCTTACCAACTGTCTGTGAACTACTCTCTCTCTTTCGATTAGAGAAGGGTGCCAAGTGACTTCTTTTTTTAAGACTTGGAAGGGAACTGGGGACCATCATTCTTGATGATGCTGTATTCTCTTTGCTTATCTATAAGTTGCAAGTTGAAATGCTTGTCTATTCAAAACAGGTGCTGGGCCAATCATTTTACCCCACAAAGCGAAGAAAATTGAATGAACACAGAACTAAATCATGAGAACTGAATTCTAGTCCTATCTACATGTCGTGGGAATTTGGTCAAATTGCCTCTTGCTTTGTAGGTTTCAGACTCTTCTTTTCTATATTCCCAAACTACATGTCTTACATAGAATGAATGTCAACAATTAACTTTGAAATGAATATACATTTTTAATTAAAATATGTTAATAGATTGAATAACACCTATTTGCATTATGAAATATAAAACAAAAAAAATTTGAAAAAAGTTAACTCTACATTGATCTAAGGCAGCAGTTCCCAACCTTTTTGGCACCAGGGACCAGTTTTGTGGAAGACAATTTTTCCATGGACAGTGGGAAGTTGGGGGTGGTTTCAGGATGAAACTGTTCCACCTCAAATCATCAGGCATCAGATTCTCATAGGAGCATGCAACCTATATCCCTTGCATATGCAGTTCACAGTAGGATTTGTGCTCCTCTGAGAATCTAATAGTGCCACTGATCTGACAGGAGGCAGAGCTTAGGCAGTAATGCTTGCCACTGACTGGTACATTGGGAGATGGGGACTCCTGATCTAAAGTACTGATATTTTTAGCGTTTGTCCTACCTATCTCAAAAGAATGTTGCAAAGAGAAAGTGAGATAACCTGTGCAATTTTGACTAGATATATTTTAAAAATGGCTGTCCCAGGGCAAGATGTTATGTTTTTCATCTTTAACTTTTTTTCATGCTTGTACCATTGCAACCCAATAGCCAAGAGCCCCAAACTTCATTTATACAATATCTCACCATTACCACCCAACATCGAATTGTTATTAGATTGTCTAGACTGATAATTGTCAACTTGGGTAGTACCACCCCTGACAGCGTGGTTTGAAAATGACTGTGGGCTTTGTGGGTGTCACAATAGGAGAGGCACTGGAGATACTACTGATGTCTGGCACATTGGGGTCAGTGGCGCTATCCGTTTTGCAATGGATTGGCCAGAGCTTCACAGCAAACAATTGTTCTGAGCCCCCACACAACCCTTCAAAGATGTCATTGAATAGTCATATAAAAGTTGCTAATAATTATCTGAGCTTACAAGCTTATTCTGCTTCACACGTAGTGCAGTTCTTTATGTTTTAATATTCCATGAGTATTCCAGAAATGCAACTTTCATGTAAATTGAGGAAAGATTATATTATATATATTTTATATAGTATATATATACATATATATAATGAATATTACACACACACACACACACACACACACACATATATATATATATATATATATATATATAGTTTTTTTTTTTTTTTTGAGATAAAGTCTTGCACTGTCACCCAGCCTGGAGTGCAGTGGCGTGATGTTGGCTCACTGCAAGCTCTGCCTCCCGGGTTCACGCCGCTCTCCTGCCTCAGCCTCCCGAGTAGCTGGGACTACAGGCACCCACCACCATGCCCGGCTAATTTTTTGTAGTTTTAGTAGAGACGAGGTTTCACCATGTTAGCCAGGATGGTCTCGATCTCCTGACCTCGTGATCTGCCTATCTCGGCCTCCCAAAGTGTTGGGATTACAGGCGTGAGCCACCTCGCCTGTCCCAAGATTATACTTTATATTATTTGAAAATTCCCCAAGAGTTGTTAGCAATGAAAAAAAATCATCAGGAATGGAAACACCACCCTCGTACTTGAGCTGCCAATAAATCACATTTGTATTGGGGCTACTACCCAGGGTTGTGCATTATGCATGGTCCTATTTGTTTTTGTCTGTAGTTGTAACTGGTGCATTCACAGGTACACTTATCGGACTAGTTCATTTTGTTGGTAGTGGAGTTGTGTCTGAGTATTTCTATACTAGAACAGAGAGGGCTGGCTTCATGGATGTGAATTCTGCTCTTGGTTGACTGCTGTATTGTTCTTAATAATTTTTGAACAAGGAGCCCTCAATTTTACTTTGCGGTCACGCACATTCTGTAGTTATTCCTGGCAGAGCTTAGCAATAGTTTTCTGTAAAGGGCCAGATAGTAAATACTTTATGCTTTGCAAGCCAGTAACTTATGTGATTATTTAAAATATAAGCATTTGATATGGTTTGGCTGTGTCCCCACCCAAATCTCATCTTGAATTGCAGCTCCCATGATCCCCATGTGTTGTGAGAGGGACCTGGTGGGAGGTAATTGAATCATGGGGGCGGGTCTTTCCCATGCTGTTCTTGTGATACTGAATAAGTCTCACGAGATCTGATGGTTTTATAAAGGGCAGTTTGCTTACACATGCTTTCTTGCCTGCCACCATGTAAGATGTGCCTTTGCTTCACTCTTCATCTTCCACCATGATTGTGATGCCTCCCCAGCCATGTGGAACTGTGAGTCCATTAAACCTCTTTCCTTTATAAATTACTCAGTGTTGGGTACGTCTTTATTAGCAGCATGAGAGCAGGCTAATAAAGTGTTTAAAAATGAAACAATGAACAATATAAAAATAGGTGGAAAGTTGTGTTGGGTCTGTTTAGATTTGTTTAGAATGGGAGCTTGTCTCACTCTGCTAGGGTGTAAGTGTTCTCAAGACCTTCAGGACATGGTAGATTGAAGACATGGTTTTGCATTCCATTTTGGACACAGTCATTTTCTCATTATATATTGCCAATTTTTATATTGTGCATTTTTATCATAGACAATATAAAAATAGGTGGAAAGATGTATTGGGTCTGTAGTTTGACCCTCATAGTAGAATGTAAGTTTTATTATTAAAGGAATTATTTTTTATTTCTATTACAGTTAGAGTTTTTTACTAAATTTCCTAGAATTATGCTTACAGGATGGTTATATTCTCTGAATTTCATTTCAAGAGAGTAAACTAGCCTTTACAAAATCTAGGTACCAAAAGAGGGTTTTAGATCTGATAGTATTGTTCTAGACCATTTCACTGATGGTCTTGTCCTCACCCCAATTCATCCTACACATTGCTATCAGATTGATTTTTCTCAAAATGCAGCTTCAATCATACCACACCACCACTCGAAAATCTTCCTTGCCACATTCACTATTGGATAATTTGTAGACATTTCCAATTTGAATTGAAATTTCTCTGTAAAAATTAGCCCTAAAATATTTTTCTGGTCTTTATGTCCCAGTTCTCTATTATGTCCCTTCTTATTCAATATCCTTTGAGGCATGTTTTCGAGGTTGGCTCTGCTAGGGAAGCCTAGTTCTGGAGCCTCATGGCTCTCTGTATCTTTTTCAGGGTGCTCCTCACCTCCTGTGCTTATTTAATTCCCTCTATTATACTGGAAGCACGTTGGAGGCAGAGGCTCAGTGGTCCCCTGGAATCTTCAAGAGTGTCTCACTGATTAAAAAGTATTAAATACATACTTGTACAATTATACTGAGTTATAATACTTTACAAATCCAGGGTATAAGCCTTGAGATGATCTGTTGGATAAAACCACTAATCCTCAAGTTTCTGTTCCAAATTCCCTTAACTGACATATAGTGTGGCAGACACTGTATGCATTTTTAGCATTCGGTTTACTGTCTTCCTTTCTAAAAATGAGACAGACATTGAAAGCCTGATTTTGTCCCTGTGTCTTCCCTACCTCCCTCTAGAGGGCATTTTGGGTAAATCTAAATCAATCAGGTCTGGAGTTGGCAGATAAAATACAGGATGCCCAGTTATATTTGAATTTCCGATAACCAATGTTATTTGTAGTGAAAGTATGTCCCTAATATTGCATGACCTTCCTTAATTCTTGCAGACCAAAAAAGGAAAACTTATGTTTCGTGCTTTGGAAAGAGATTTTTCTTTCTTATGCTAGGCCTGAGCAAGGGAGCATGAAGCTACTTGCAGCCATCTGGTGACCATCAGTCTTAAGCTATAGGAGATATTGAGGGTGGAAACACAAATAAAGATTTGTGGGGTTTTTTGAATGGGGGTCTTGCTCTGTTGCCCAGGCTGGAGTGTAGTGGCACGATCATAACTCACTGCAGTCTTAAACTCCTGGGCTCAAGCAGTCTTCTCCCCTCAGCCTCCCAAGTAGTTGGGACTATAGGTGCATACCACCAGGCCTTGCTAAGTTGTTCTATTTTTGTATACATGACGTCTCACTATGTTGGCCAGGCTGGTTTTGAACTCCTGGCCTCAAGCAATCCTCTTGCCTCAGCCTCCCAAAGTGCTGAGATTACAGGCATGAGCCACCACAGCTGGCCAGAAAATAAAGTTTTAACAAATCAGTTTTTACATATTTTTCGGAACCTGCCCTGTCTTTGCATTCCTAGCTAAATAAATTTCCTTTTTATTTCAGCCATTTGAATGTGGATTTTCTTTTACTTGTAGGCTAACACATCCTGATAAATTTGCTTTTATTTTGGTTCTGTAGCAAACAGCTATCCCAAGTTTCAGTCTCTGATTATTCACAATTAGATTACAGGTTTAATTCCCATAAAATACAGTAGACACTGCTGTTCCCTGTGACCAAAAAACTCCCCAGCTAACTCCTGTTGGCTGCTCTTCGGTAGGAACCAGGCAAGGGAACCTGTCTGAATACAACAGTAGAAAATCCATTACCTACCACTGAACACATAACTCCAAGTTAAAATCCTACCATGGATTTTAGGATGTGAAAATCTGTTTGCAACTTCTAATGCCCCAGCTTTTCTGAGTCTTTTGCCAGGTATCTCCTTTTATTTTTCTCTTTCCTCCATTCATACCTTTTTTTTAGTAGAAAGATGGTCTATTTGCCTGCTCAGTTTCCATTCTCTCTGCTTCAAATAGCAACATAGTACTTCCATTTTCTCTTGGAAAACTACTTTTGAATTCCCAGACTCAGTGTTGGGATTGGAGCAGAAAAACACCACTCTGTCTAGCTCAGACTAATTAACATGTACATTTCTGTAGGTCACACTGATTAGTTCAAAGGTGAGCATGTCATCATGTTAGTCTAATGAGAGTGAATTCTGAGATTTTTGATAGAGCTCATGGGAAGAAATTTTTACTCTATTTTTGAACTAGTATACTGTATTAGTCCATTTTTGCACTGCTATAAAGAACTATCCGAGACTGGGTAATTTATAAAGAAAGGAGGTCTAATTGAGTCATAGTTCTGCATGGCTTGGGAGGCCTCAGGAAATTTACAATCATGGCGGAAGGTGAAAGGGAAGCAAGGCACAACTTACATGGTGGCAGGAGAGAAGCTGGGGGTGGGGGGAACTGCCACACACTTCTTCTTTTTTTTTTTTTTTAGAGAGAGTCTCACTCTGTAGCCCAGGCTGGAGTACAGTGGCACGATCTTGGCTCCCTGCAACCTCTGCCTCCCGGGTCCTGATTCAAGCAGTTCTCCTCCCTTAGCCTTCTGAGTAGCTGGGATTACAGGCACGTGCCACCAGGCCCAGCTAATTTTTTTAGTTTTTATTTTTAGTAGAGACGGGGTTTCACCATGTTGGCCAGGCTGGTCTTGAATTCCTGACCTCGCGATCTGCCCGCCTCGGCCTCCCAAAGTGCTGGGATTACAGGCGTGAGCCACCGCACCCAGCCTGCCACACCCTTTTAAACCATCAGATCTCATGAGAACTCACTCATTATCACCTGCTGTGCTAAACTATTTGAATCCTTTCTTTGCTCAATCCCTCCCAAAAATATTGTGCACGTGATAGGGGAAGAATGAAAACTCAGAGAGTTTGGCCAGCTAAAGTCACACAGCTGCAGGACTCAAACTCAGATATGACTTCGAAGCCAGTCCTCACCACCAAAGCCTTCAGGTGTTTGATTAACTCCTTATAATAGCAAACTCTCATGTAGGACATTCTGTGTGCCAGGAACTGTTGTAAACACTTGACACATAAACTCATTTTATCCTCACAAAAACCCTCGTAAGCGGCAGGGCGTGGTGGCTCACACCTGTAACCCCAGCACTTTGGGAGGCCGAGGCGGGCAGATCACGAGGTCAGGCGATCGAGACCATCCTGGCTAACACGGTAAAACCCCGTCTCTACTAAAAATACAAAAAATTAGCCGGGCGTGGAGGTGGGCACCTGTAGTCCCAGCTACTCGGGAGGCTGAGGCAGGAGAATGGCCTGAACCTGGGAGGCGGAGCTTGCAGTGAGCCGAGATCACGCCACTGCACTCCAGCCTGGGCGACAGAGCGAGACTCTGTCAAAAAAAAAAAAAAAAAAAAAAAAAAAAAAATACTCTTAAGCATAATTACTCCATTTCATAAATGATAAAACAGAAGTATCAACTGACGAATTAAGTTTCCTGAGATTACACATGTAGTCCATATATGAGCTAGTCTTTGAACCCAGATCATCTGACTCCACAGCTTAAATTCTAAGATAATTCAGTAAACTTTCTCTCTTGGATTTTCCAGATGAATTAACATGGTTCAGTAGCAATTTCTTTAGACATAAAGGGCTTCACTTAAGCCTTGAGATTATCTGCTGGATGAAACGAGTCGCCCTCAAATTTCTGTTCCAGATTCCCTTAACTGACATCTAGTATATCAGATACCGTTTGCATTTTTTTATTTTATTATTATTATTTTTTTTGAGACAGTCTCGCTCTGTCACCCAGGCTGGAGTGCGGTGGCGGGATCTCGGCTCACTGCAAGCTCCGCCTCCTGGGTTCACGCCATTCTCCTGCGTCAGGCTCCTGTGTAGCTGGGACTGCAGGCACCCGCCACCACGCCCGGCTGATTTTTTTTTTGTATTTTTTTAGTAAAGATGGGGTTTCACCATGTTAACCATGATGGTCTTGATCTCCTGACCTCGTGATCCACCCGCCTCAGCCTCCCAAAGTGCTGGGATTACAGGCGTGAGCCACCGCGCCTGGCACTGTTTGCATTTTTAGCATTCAGTTCACTTTCTTCCTTTCTAAAAATGAGACAGACGTGCAGCCTGATTTTGTTCTTGTCTTCTCCCTACCTCTTTGTAGAATGACAACCAGAAATCAGTCTACCTGAGGCCAAGGAAATTTCTGTATCCTTTCAAGATGAATATCTCATAATCTCATTGATGTGACTTTGAAGTACTCTCAAAGAGATGAATAAACCAAGGGCTATATTTAAAAAGAGGTGACACTCACCTGGCCTAGATATTTCTTCCTGGTTTTGTGCTACCAGATGATTTCTGAGAGAGAGGCCCTGAGGAGGAACAGCCTATGAACCCTGTACTCCAACCACACTGGTGAGCTAGCAGAGAAGGAGACAGAGGAGATGTGGTTTCTCCTGAATGGCATGGATATTTATGCATTGTTCTGAAAGTCTCTCTGCAAGGCTTCTTCTTTATGATGTTTTCTTGTTTGTTAATTGTTCTTAAGCATTACAAATGGCATGTCTAAAATCTAACATTTATTGTTAACCCTGTACCAGTGTGTTTTATTTCTTTTTAGCCAGCCTACTAAAGGGGAGGCACAGTCTTAACATGAACAATCTTAGAAAACACAAACCTTCTCTTTCCGTGGGCCACTTGTGTTAGGGATAGGCTATTATGTGGAGTAGCAAGCATTGCCAACATTTTGGTAGTGTGACACAGTAAAAGTCTGTTTCTTGCATTTTTAAAGTTCACTTCAGGTCCAAGCTATTCTGCAGGACAGCTCTCTTCCATTGGGAGCTCAGCATTCTAGATGATTTCAATGTTGTGAAACCTCTACCTCCACCCATGTTATTGTTTTCCCTTTTTTCATGGCAGAGGAGAAGAACATGGACAATCTCTCACCCCTCAAATCATACATATAACTTGTGCTTACTTCTCCTTGGCCATAACTAGTTACATGGCCCTTCTTAATGCAAGGGGACACAAGGAAGTGTCATTCTTCATATGTCCGAAAAGAGAGGAGAAGAAGATATTGGTGAATAATACTGATGTTTGCTATCTGCCAACTTCGAAAGGACCTGGAAGGGCGAAGGATTACCATTCCTTTGACTTTAGAGCAACAAAGCGTCCAAACAATCCTACAAAGTTTAGACGGCTAACACGTAAGAAATTGCAAAACCTCCCTTAGTAATCATTACAACATTTTAAAATACTGTAATTTATTGAGGTTAAATTCATAGAACATAAACATTTTAAAGTGACCATTAAGTAGCATTTATTACATTCACAATTGTTGTGCACTTTTTTCTAGTTCTGTAATATTTTCATCACCCCAAAGGAAAACACGTTAAGCAATTATTCTTTATTTTGCACTCCTTCTATCCCCTGACTATCATCAATCTGTGTTCTATCTCTATACATTTATCTATTCTGGATGTTTTATGTATTAGGTAGGTGCAAAAGAAACCACAATTACTTTTGCACCAACATCATATATATATGCACAAAAGTTTTGAATATATATATATATAGCATAGAATCATACACTAGATGATCTTTTGTGTCTAGCTTCTTTCATTTAGTGTGTTTTAGAGGTTCATCCATGTTGTAGCATGTGTCAGTACTTGATTTGGCTTGGATTTGTGTCCCTGCCCAAATCTCATGTCAAATTACAATCCCCAGTGTTGGAGGAGGGACCTGGTGGGAGATGATTGGCCTATGGGGGTGGATTTCCCCCTTGCTGTTCTCCTGATAATGAGTGAGTTCTCAGGAGATCTGGGGTGTGTGCGTGTGTGTGCGTGTGTGTGTGTGTGTGTGTGTGTGTGTGTGTGTGTGTGTGTTTAGCAACTCCCCCTTCTTTCTCTTCCTCCGGCTCTGACCATGTAAAACATGCCTGATTGAAAGTTTCCTGAGGCCTCCACAGCTGTGCTTCCTGTACAGCCTGCAGAACCATAAGCCAATTAAACCTCTTTTCTTTATAAGTTACCCAGTTTCAGGTATTTCTTTATAGCAGTGTGAGAACGGTCTGGTACAGTACTTCATTCCTTTTTATGGCTGAGTAGTATATGCATTTATTACAATTAGTTTTTTCATTTATTCACTGATGGACATTTGGGCTGTTCCACATTTTGACTACTGTGAATACTGCTGCTATGAACATGTGTGTACACATATGTGTTTGAGCTTCTGTTTTCAGTTCTTTGGAGTACATATACAGGAGCGAAATCTCAGGGTCATATGCTAATTTTATGTCTAACATTTTAGGAACCAACAAACCATCACAGGTATATTTGTAAAATGAACCATTTTACATTCCTACCAGCAATGTACAAGAGTACTCCTTTCTCCACATCCCCACCAACACTGGTGGAGATTCTTTTTTTATTACAGCCATTTTAGTGGGTGTGAAGTAGTATCTCATTGTGGCATTGATTTACATTGCCCTAATGGCAAATATGTTAAGCATATTTTCATGTACTTGTTGGCCATTTATGTATCTTCTTTGGGAAAATGTCTATTCAAGTCCTTTGCCCATTTTCTGTTGATTTATCTTTTCATTGTTGAGTTATAAGTATTTTTAATATATTCTGGATACTTGATTCTTATAAGATATGTGATTTGTAAATATTTTTCCCATTCTGTGGATTTGCTCTCCACTTTCATGATAATGTCTCTTGATGCACAAAAGTTTTGAATTTTGGCTAGATGTGGTGGCTCACACCTGTCATCCCTGTGGGAGGGTGGCTTGAACACAGGTGTCAAGACCAACATGGGCAACATAGAAAGACCTTGTCTCTACAAAAAAGAAAGAAAGAAAGAAAAAAAATTAGCCAGGTGTGGTGTGTGGTGGCACACACCTGTAGTCACAGCTACTTGGGAGGCTGAGATGGGAGAATCACTCGAGCCCAAGAGGTTGAGGCTGCAAGTGAGCTGCAATAGAACCACTGCACTCTAGCCTGGGTGACAGAGGAAGACCCTGTCTCAAAAAAAAAGAAGTGTGAACTTTGATGAAGTCTAGTTTATCTGTCCTATCTTTTGTTGCTTATGTTCTTGGTATCATATATAAGAATCGATGGAGAAATCCAAGGTGATGAAGATTTAACTCTATGTTTTCTTCTCAGAGTTTTATGGTTTTAGCTTTTATATTTAAGTCATTAATTCATTTTGAGTTAAGTTTTGTATATGGTTTGAGGTAGGAGTCCAAGTTGATTTTTTCACCTGTGGGTATCCAGTTGTCCCAGCACTTCTTGTAGAAGAAACTATTCTTTCCCGCTTTGAATGGTCTTGGCACCCTTGTCAGGGATCAATTGGCCAGAAATGTTTGGGTTTTAGTAGCCATTTCTAACATATAATAAGCCTTACAATTATAAAAATATTTCTTTATATCATACTTATACAAATATTTGTTTACCTCATTCTTGAATCTCTCAGCCCTCAGTTTAAGACATTTTCTCTTCTTGTAGTCTTCAGAGAAAATTGGGGAAAATTGGCCCTCTAAATATATGTAAACTATAACAGTTATAATTACCCAAACTGACATTCAGCTAACATTTGTAGGCAGCCTCCTAAATGAAAGTAATGTACTTAATTCTGGGGGATAAAATGTGAATAATACATAGTTTCTGCCTTACGGAAATATCACAATCCCATGGGGGAGAAAAACATATATGAAAATAACTATGCTTGTCTTTTACAGGGGCAGTAAGGAAAGAATGATTCATTTTGACTGTGATTGCTGGGAAAGATATCTTGAAATGGAGACTGTGAGTAGTAAGTGTTATAGCATGAGTATCTTGGGTAACATGCAAAAAAACTTTTTCTGATGATTTTATTTTAAAACTCTAAAACAGGTTATGTTATGCTAACTCTCACCTTAGATGCTATTAAAATGGCTAAGTCACTAAATATTTCAATTGTCGCATCCAGAATACAGTTATTTTATTGGTACATAAAGAGTTAAATCTTTCAAAGTTTTCTCCTGATTTGAATATTTCAGAAAAAAAAAAACGCTTCAGTATAAAAAGAAAACATATTTTTAATAGTACATTTCTCTTGATGTTTGTGTTATGAGCATGAGAAAACAAAACTTTGACTTGTAGCATGGATCTAGGTGATTTCCAGGTGACTCTAAGATGGAGATTTGCTTACATGTGATTTCTTGGAGAAGGCTCATGAGGCTACCATCTGTGAAGGAGTGAGAAAAGCAGAATTGGGCAAAGGGAGGAACTGGATTGAAATGTAGTTATCAGCTGATCCCCTGGGGATCTAGAGCTGGGATAGCACTTCAGAGATCCCAAATTCAGGTAAAAAGACTGGATCTCTGTATGTTACACACATCAGTCTTTGTATGTGGGCTATTCTTGGTAAGGGTGTATAAGCTTGGGCAAGGTGATTGCTTTAGGCTGAGGGCAATTCCTGGGGACAGACTTGCCTATGAGCTGTCAGCAGGCAATATTTCCTTGCTAAGTGTGATGGCTTATGCCTGTAAGACAAACTAGTTGGGAGGCTAAGGCAGGAGGATCACTTGATCCCAAGAGTTCAAGGCTACACTGAGCTATGATAGCACCACTGTACTTCAGCCTGGGTGGTAGAATAAGGCCCTGTCTGTAAAACTTTTTTTAATTAAAAAAATTAAAAATAATCATTTCCTCCACCTAGAAAATAATTATCTTGGTCTTGAATGGGAGTCTGAGCCATATATTACAGCATTCACTACATCCAGTATGGATGTAGCCATACACTAGAGCATCCACTAAAACCAGTATTATCACAATTACCATTTTAGATGAGGAGAATGAGACTCAGTAGTTAACTGTCTGCCTGAAGTCCTACATCTATGAATGGCAGAGTTAGTACCAAAACTGAGGTCTTCTAATTCCAAGCCAGATTATTTTTAAGCAACATTATTGTCTCTCAAAATGCACAATACCATTTCATCTCAAAAATATTTAAATCCAGTTGAACTTCAGTCAGTTAGATTTCACAACTCACACATGGGATTCCCCCTTTTCCTTCCAAAACAAAATTCAGTTCTCAACTTGCCTGTGTCGAGGAATTCTTCTGAACCTCTAACCCTAAAAATGAGGCAGTCCTTTTTTTTCCACACAAACACGTGCACTTATGCAAACTTTGAAAGAGGCATATAGGATGAAAGCAAAATATTTTTGGAATTATTATTAAATTAATGGAACAACACAGCATCCAGACATCTATGCCATTTTCAGGCTACAGTATAAGAAAAAATATATGTGTGTGCATGTGTATGAATGTGTGTGTTAACAAAGGGGGATATGCATGAAGACGGGGGGAGACACGCACAAAGTGGTCACAATGTCAGCTTGAGGCAAGAAGTAACTGACTGGAAAGCCAGAAAGAATGAAGCGTTTCCAAGCAGTGTTCCCTTTGTTTCTGAAAAGCTGCCCTGAGAGCCAAGAGGAAAACAAGGCAATACTTTGCCTCCAAGGGCCTGAAAGCCAGTTCCTGGCTGCTTAAGTTCCAGCCCCTGAGAATCTCTCATGTTGGAATTTAGAAGATCATTGCATTGTACTTGCAATCAGCATCTAAGCACGTTAGAGGACAGTAGGAAACAGTACCCAAGGATGAGGACTTAAAAAAGAGTTTGGATCTTTACTTCACCACTTCTTAGATGTATGACTGGGGCAAGGGTGGGTTGGGTTGCTTGAACACAGGAAGTCAAGACCAACATGGGCAACATAGCAAGACCTTGTCTCTACATAAAAAAAAAAAAAGAAAAGAAAAGAAAGAAAGAAAGAAAGAAAGAAAGGAAATTAGCCAGTTGTGGTGTGTGGTGGCACACACCTGTAGTCCCAGCTACTTGGGAGGCTGAGGTGGGAGAATCACTGGAGCCCAGGAGGTTAAGGCTGCAAGTGAGCTGTAAGAGGCTGCAGGTGTCACTTGAAACAATGAAGATTTCTTTTTTTGTTGTTTCAGTTAATTTAGAAAGTTTATTTTGCCAAGGTTGAGGATGTGCGCCTGTGACACAGCTTTCAGAGGTCCTGCTGACAAGTGCCCAATGTGGTCAGAGCACAGTTTGCTTTTATACATTCTAGGGAGATATGAGACATCAATCAATATATGCAAGATGAACATTGGTTCCGTTTGGAAAGGGAGGACAACTCAAAGCAAAGGTGGGAAGACTCGAAGCGGGGAGGGGGCTTCCAGGCCATTAGGTAGATAAGAGACAAATGGTGGTATTCTTTTGAGTTTCTGATTAGGCTCTCCAAAGGAGGCAATCAGATATGCATTTAGCTCAGTGAGCAGAGGGGTAACTTTGAAAACTAAGATTTCTTATTTATAAATGGAATGATTGCAACAATTTCATAAGGTTATTATAATTATAACTTTGATGTAATATGTATTAATGTCCTTGTACTGAGCCCTTATGGTATGACTGATTTAGTACTCTGTTAGCTCTAGGGTATATTTTATTTACATATGTGTGTGCATGTTCATTGAACTTAAAAAGATTGGAATATATTATGATAGCATTTTAGAGCAACAATGTACAAAGAAACTTTTTTGGTGATGGTAATATTCTTTATCTCTGCTGTCCAATGTGGTAGACACTAGCCATGACATTATTGTCCCTCAAAATGCACAGTACCATTTCATCTCAAAAATATTTAAACTATTGTTTAAATATTTTTATTTTGAGTGACTGTTGAACACTTGAAATGTGGCTGGTGTGGCCTAGGAACTGAATTTTAATTTAATTTAAATTCATTTAAGTGTAAGTTTAAATAGAAGCATGTAGTAGCAGCTACCACAATGGAGCATTCAAGATGGAAGATATGTTAGATATTATCTAATCCAAAGTGATCATTAACAGGGGAGAATGTACATATTTCAGAGAGATGTGAAGTAACATGCTCAGAGTTTCACAATCCCTAAGAGGGCAGAGCCAACATTTGATCAAGCTCCAGGATTCTAGATCCAAGGCATCACATTGCCACATGGCGTAACAAAGTTAATAACTTAAAGATATGGGAAGGTTAACAGCAGATGCAGGGCTAGGCCTTCCAAACATCAAAAGTTATAATTATCATCAGTACCATAATCATGTTAACTCTCAATTTCTGAGCATCTACTCTTTGTTTCGCAGAGAACAGCCAAGACTGTTGTCTTGACCTCTGTGCTAAAATGCCTCCCTGCTGGGACCCTAAAAGCTTTACTGACGTGGCAGGTCCCTGTATCTCTGTAGGATTTCCCGCTTATCCTGAGAGCATGTGGATCTTACCATGGCCTCCAGTGTGCTGGTTATTTCTTGATCATCTGGTCTGATTAGCACAATGTCATCAATACCATGGACCAGTGTGTAATTCTATGAACTGTCTAAATGGCCCAGATCTCCTCAGACTGTTATGACAGAGGGTGAGGGAGTTAACATAGCCTTTGAGCAAAACTGTGAATTTATTATGTTATCCCTTGAAGACAAGCAAGCTGTTTCTTTTTCTTTTCTTTTTTTTTTTGTTTTGAGATGGAGTCTCGCTCTGTCACCCAGGCTGGAGTGCGGTGGCATGATCTCTGCTCACTGCAAGCTCCGTCTCCCGGGTTCATGCCATTCTCCTACCTCAGCCTCCAGAGTAGCTGGGATTACAGGCGCCCACCACCATGCCCGGCTAAGTTTTTGTATTTTTAATAGAGATGGGGTTTCACTGTGTTAGCCAGGATGGTCTGGATCTCCTGACCTTGTGATCTGCCTGCCTCGACCTCCCAAGGTGCTGGGATTACAGGCATGAGCCATCATGCCCAGCCAAGCAAACTGTTTCTAACCTTCTTTTCTAATAAAAGAGGAGCAGAACACGTTCCTCAGGACAATGACCACATACCATCTCCAGGACCCATGTTAATCTGCTCTAGCAAAGCTACCACATTTGGCAAAGTAGCTGCAAATTGGGCTACTACTGGTCGAGTTTGTTGTAGTTCACTGTTAACCTCCAGGATCTGTCTGTTTTGTGCAAAATGCAGACTGGTAAATAAATAGAGAAAAGATGGGGACCCCTCTTTAATGTAGAGCTTGGCAAACATTTCTTGTAATGTGCCAGCTAGTAAATATTTTAGCTTTTGTGAGCCAAGCATCAAAACAGAAGTTATTACGTAGGTACTTACATCATCACTTAAAATGCAACCATTCAAAAGTGCAAAGCTCACACATAGCATGCCAGGGTGGTCTATAGTTTGCTGACCCCTGATTTAATTCTTTAAGTCTTTAAAGTTGCACTAATTTCTGCTGAATTCGTTAAAATAATATATTCGTTTTGATTTATTATCTTGTCCAGGAGGGCGGTTTCAGAGGCTTCTACCTTCGCTACTTCGATGGCTCTTGTCTCATAAGTAAAGAACCCACTATGAGAATTTGGGCCAAATACCCAGTGTATCTATTCCATTCATACATTCAGGGACTGGAGAAATGACCGCAGAGTTAGGCCATTCTTGCATTGTTGTAAAGGAATGCTTGAGACTGTGAATTTATAAAGAAAAGCGATTTAACTGGTTTACGGTTCTGCAGGCTATACAAGCATGGCACCAACATCTGCTTGGTTTCTCGTGAGGGCCTCAGAAACCTTATAGTGGAAGGCAAAGAGGAAGCAGGTGTGTTACATGGCAAGAGCAGGAGCAAGACCAAGAGAGGGAGGAGGTGGCACACACTTTTAAACAATCAGATCTTGTGAGAATTCACTATCAAGAGGACAGCACCAAGCCATGAGGGATCCACCCCATGACCAAAACACCTCCCACCAGGTCCTACCTCCAACATTGGAGATTACATTTCAACAGGAGATCTGGGTGGGGACACATATCCAAATCATATTAACCAACCAGAGATGCTGAAGACATCAGTGAACCCTTTGTTACCTGAACTTGAGCCAGGACCATACTGATTTCCTGGTCCCCTTTTGCTCTTATTCTGACAGTGGAGGCCATGAGTCTGTTTCAGATGTGTGGATTATCTGTATCAGCTCAGACTCTATGTCCAACAATCCTCAAAATGTGTGGGGATTCCCTTTTCTCCTGTGTACAGTGCCTGAGTAAATGGCAATAGGCTCCTCTGAGGAAGAACTGGGGGAATCATTACTGCATACACTTGTAGTGGTGTTGCAGCATCTTTCCTCCTGGGGATCCCACTTCTTCCTCAATCTATAGGTTCCACAGCCCCAAACCGGCTCAGATTAGAAAAGTAGGCAAGGGATTTTGACTTTTTATGGGGCAACTGGCCTCATCTCATCAGCCATGTTTGATTTGTTTTTATTATAAATGTTGAGTATGCTCTTGTTGGCCTCTCCTTTCTTTTTCCACGTCCATCAGTTTCTTGCAGTCTCTATAAGCTAGGGCACCTTGGCTGCCCTCTCACTTTGCTGCTGATGATGTTAATTGTATCCACCTGACTTCTGGCAGCTACGCATTATCACTTGGCCTCTATTGTTTTGTAGTCTTATCTTCCTATTGCTATTAGTATGCCCAGTTTTGAATCAGCATCTGCTCCCATCGTCCCTGTCCCACAGGGAAGAGTCACCACTGAACTTCTTAGAGAGGCTGGTGTCCATCTCAGCAAAGCATTCCTCATTGCTTTGAAAACGGTTATTCTTCTGAGTTGTTTCATGAACATTGTTCCCTGGTTGGACTTTCAGCCACTTTAAGGTGCCCCCTTCTCTGGCTGTTTATCTCTTCTTCCAATGCCTGCCATGGCAATTCTGGCACTTCTACCTCACTCAGTGGGGGGCCATCACTTTCCCATGCACCTGGGAGCCATACTAACAATGCATTCATGCCATCTCCCAGGGGTCCTTGCATGGAGTTAAATCCTATTTTCTGAAAGAGTACACCCATACCAGTAAGGCAGGAGGATTGCTTGAGCCCAGGAAGTCAAGACCAGCCTGGGCAACATAGCAAGACCCCATCTTTATTAGTTTGTTTTCACACTACTAATAAAGATGTACCCAAGACTAGGCAATTTACAAAAGAAAATGGTTTAATTTGACTTACAGTTCCACATGGCTGGGGAAGCCCCACAATCATGGCAGAAGGCAAGGAAGAGCAAGTCACATCTTATATCGATGGCAGCAGGCAAAGAGAGAGAGCTTGTGCAGGAACCACCCCCCCCCACACACTATAAAACCATCAGATCTCATGAGACTTATTCACTGTCACAAGATCAATATGGGAAAGACTTGCCCCCATGATTCAATTACCTCCTGCTGGGTCTCTCCCACAACACATGAGAATTCAATATGAGATTTGGGTGGGGACATAGCCAAACCATATCATTCCACCCTGGTCCCTCCCAAATCTCATGTCCTCACATTTCAAAACCAATCATGTCTTCCCAACAGTCCCCCAAAGTCATAACTTGTTTCAGCATTAACTCAAAAGTCCATAGTCCAAAGTCTCTTCCAAGACAAAGGAAGTCCCTTCTGCCTATGAGCTGGTAAAATCAAAAGCAAATTAGTTATTTCATAGATACCATAGAGTTGCAGGCATTGGGTAAAAATACAGCCATTCCAAATAGGAGATATTGGCCAAAACAAAGGGGCTACAGGCCCCATGCAAGTCTGAAATCCAACGTGGCAGTCAAATCTTAAAGCTCCAAAATGATCTCCTTTGACTCCATGTCTCATATCCAGGTCACACTGATGCAAGAAGTGGGTTCCCATGGTCTTGGGCAGCTTTGCCCCTGTGGCTTTGCAGGGTACAGTCCCCCTCCCGGCTGCTTTCACGGGCTGGCGTTGAGTGTCTACAGCTTTTCCAGGTGCATGGTGCAAGCTGTCAGTAGATGTACCATTCTGGGGTCTGGAGGATGGTGGCTGTCTTCTCACAGCTCCACTAGGCGGTGCCCCAGTAGGGACTCTGGGGACTTCTACCCCACATTTCCCTTTCACACTTCCCTAGCAGAGGTTCTTCATGAGAGCCCTGCCCCTGCAGCAAACTTCTGCCTGGACATCCAGGCGTTTCTGTACATCTTCTGAAATCTAGGTGGAAGTCCCCAAACCTCAGTTCTTGACTTCTGCACACTCACAGGCTAAGCACCACATGGAAGCTGCCAAGGCTTGAGGCTTGTACCCTCTGAAGCCATGGCCCAAGTTCTATGTTGGCCCCTTTCAGCCATGGCTGGAGTGGCTGGGATGCAGGACACCAAGTCCTTAGACTGCACACAGCCTGGGGACCCTGGGCCTGGCCAACGAAACGACTTTTTCCTCCTAGGCCTCCAGGCCTGTGATGGGAGGGGCTGCTGTGAAGACCTCTGATATCCCTGGAGACATTTTCCCCATTGTGTTGGGGATGAACATTTGGCTCCTCGTTACTTATGCAAATTCCTGCAGCTGGTTTGAATTTCTCCTCAGAAAATGGGATTTTATTTTCTATAGCATTGTCAGGGTGCAAATTTTCCAAACTTTTATGATTTGCTTCCCTTATAAAACTTAATTCTTTTACCAGCACCCAAGTCACCTCTTGAATGCTTTGCTGCTTAGAAATTTTTTTCTGCCAGATACCCTAAATCATCTCTCTCAAGTTCAAAGTTCCACAAATCTCTAAGGCAGGGACAAAATGCCACCAGTCTCCTTGCTAAAGCATAATAAGAGTCATCTTTGCTCCAGTTCCCAACAAGTTCCTCATCTCCATCTGAGACCACCTCAGCCTGGAACTTACTGTTCATATCACTATCAGCATTTTTGTCAAAGTCATTGAGCAAATCTCTAGGAGATTTCAAACTTTCCCAAATTTTCCTGTCTTTGAGCCCTCCAAACTGTTCCAACCTCTGCCTGTTACCCAGTTCCAAAGTCGCCTCCACATTTTTGGGTATCTTTTCAACAACACCCCACTGTACTGGTACCAATTTACTGTATTAGTCAATTTTCATGCTGCTGATAAAGACATACCTGAGACTGTGAAATGTACAAAATAAAGAAGTTTAATTGGACTTACAGTTCCATGTGGCTTGGGAAGCCCCACAATCATGGCAGAAGGGAAAGAACAAGTCATATCTTACACAGATGGCAAAAGGCAAAGAGAGAGAGCTTGTGCAGGGAAACTGCTCCTTGTATAACCATCAGATCTTGTGAGACTTATTTACTATTATGAGATCAGCATGGGAAAGACCAGCCCCCATGATTCAATTACCTCCCACCGGGTCCCTCCCACAACATGTGGGAATTCCAGATGAGATTTGGGTGGGCACACAGCGAAACCATATCACCATCTCTATATAAAAACAAAACGCCACAACTCTCTTTTATCTAAATTTATGTTCTGCTCCCTTATTCTAGCACTCATCTTCCTGTCCCAGAAGTCCTCTTTTAACTCTTGCCTGGAGATATTGATGAGGTCCTAGAATGCCTTTAGCGTATAGTCCTTTTCCTCCCTCAGCAGGTTCAGTACATCTCTGGCTGGGTTGTGCTGTGACTCTACCCTAGTTATTAACCCACTAACCAGGACAGGAGGGGGGAACAGATCCTGAATATTACACATGCTGTCTTGCAGGAAAAAGGCCTGGGAATTGCATTTAAGCAAGGGAAGGCATTAGCCCATTGGGAAGAGTGAACAACTTCTTCAAGTTCAAAGGGTTCAGGGGAACCTGGGCATCCAAGATTTGTGAGTATCATCAACCCAGATGTCCTCATCTTATGAGTTGAGGCCCCATTCTTTCCAACAGGGGCTGGGGCCATGGCCTTGGCATAGCCACTCTGACTTGGTTGGGAATTAACCGTCTTTGGCCTGGTGTTCTGCTTTCTTTACCTTCTTCTAGAGAGAATGAGAGCATCTTTTGATGTGACCAAGGAAGTCCTCTGGTTTTCCCACTTAGCTTTGAATTGCTGATTCATCACACTCAGTTTTTGTTGTTGTTGTTGTTGTTTTCTGGAGTGTCAGTCAAGTAGAGCAATGGCCACCCAATTCTACTGTCCTATGGTTGTCCCTTTTTAAAGGCCTCATACATTGCATTGGCTGGCATAGTCCCTTCCACCGCTACACCACCCCAGTCCACCAGTGGTGAAAGTTCAAAAATCGCTCTGCTCCATGTGCCAGGGCTACCTGTGCTTCACCTGTCACCAGTGAAGGGGTCCTCACTGCCAGTTGGGTGAAAGGGGATCAAGTTCCAAAGTCTCATCTTAGTGTCTGCTATCTCAGCCCATTCTTGGCACCAGTTGTCACTGGCTGAGTTCCTTGGGAAGCAGACTCCAAGACAGAGATCAGAGTGCAGGACAGGCATGACAGAGAGCTCCTGGGATCAGCATCTTGTGACCAAAAGGGGAAGTGAGGACGACTGGGCAGAAGGAAATGCTGGGCTGCAATGCAGAAGTAACCGCAGGAAGCTCTGGAGCTAGAATTGCCATCTGAATTGTCCAGGGCTAGTGGGGAGGAGGTTGGGCCTTTGAACTTCATGTTGATGAGTTGCCGGTATGAGCTGCTTTGGGAGAAGGCACAACCTTCAGTGAGGCAGCTTTCTCCAGTGGGGGCACTTCTGGAAGAAGGCTGACAGCTGAGGTCCATCCCAGCACAAACTGCAACTGAAGAAATCAAGTTTCCATTCCTGAAGGGAGGTCTGAACGGCACATCACAGCGTCCACTTCAGATAATTCTGAGGAATTACTGGCATATTTCATTTGTTAATAAAAATCTAAACAGAGAGCCACAGCGTCCACTTCAGATAATTCTGAGGAATTACTGGCATATTTCATTTGTTAATAAAAATCTAAACAGAGAGCCACAGCGTCCACTTCAGATAATTCTGAGGAATTACTGGCATATTGCATTTGTTAATAAAAGTCTAAACAGAGAGCCTCAGTGAGCCTGTAATTTGGACTGTGACAGGCCCAATCAGCAGTGAACACTGCCCTGGAGAGGAAAGAAGCCTTTTGAGCAAAAGGGTCAGTTGACAGAGCATGGAAAAAGGACACAGGACATGGAAAAAGTTTTATAAATCAAACAAAGGGAGAGGAGGTGTGGAGAGGAGGTGTGGAGAGGAGGCGGGAATGAGGGTGTGTGTGTGAGGGTGGGTGGGGGAATGTAGCCTACAAACCACTATAAAGAAATCTTTTTTACAGCAGCCCCAGGAAACTTATTGAGACCTCATAAAATAAAGAGAACCAAGGAAACAACACCCAATGCTAAGTGTCTCTTTCGCTGTTTTACAGACTGGAGTAGGATTTTATGAGCTATTTGACTTTCCCTTTGGATGCCTCTTTAGGAGAAGTTCCTGGTTCTTTAGCCAGTTATTTTAACTTTTGGCCAGGGAGTGAGAAGGCTTCAAAATAGGATAATAACCATTTAGGCTTTCTGGTAACATTCTTCAGTTGTTGACCACAGCAGGCACTTAATTAGCCCACGTGGAATATTTGAATTTGCCAACATGAGACTTCTATTCCTAGGTCCCCTTGGATAGGAAGATAAAGTCCAGTGGCTATGGGAATATGACTTTGAGGGGCTCCCTCCATTCTTTCAGTGAGATCCAGCACTAAAGAGCTTTGCTTACAGACAAGTCAGCAGACTATATTTACAAGCTTCCTAGATGCTGAACCAGCCTCAAGATGGGAAGTGAAGTTGTAAGCTCTAAGAACTTAAAATCCTCCTCTTTCAAAATGATTTGGCCATCAGAATTGGCTTATTCTATTTGGCCAGGCAAGGAGGAAAAGAGAAACCCACTTCCTTTCTCTATCTACACAAAGAAAGAAAGCAATGGTGTTTTCATGAGAAATTCTTTAGTTTGTTCTAAAGTGATCCAAGGCATAAAGGTCTCTAGTTTAAAAAATTTGAGGGTCATTTTGATCTTCATTGTACTTCCTCTGTTGTTTAACAATTTCTGGCCAGGCATGGTGGCTCACACCTGTAATCCCAGCACTTTGGGAGGCCGAGGTAGGCGGATCATGAGGTCAGGAGTTCGAGACCAGCCTGACCAACATGGTGAAACCCAGTCTCTACTAAAAATACAAAAATTAGCCAGGCATGGTGTTGCGTGCCTGTAATCCCAGCTACTCAGGAGGCTGAGGCAGGAGAATTGCTTGAACCTAGGAGGCAGAGGGAGCAGTGAGCCAAGATTACGCCATTGCACTCCAGCCTGGGCGACAGAGCAAGACTCTGTCTCAAAACAAACAAACAAACAAACAAACAAACAAATAAACAGAATTTCCAAAGCACATGGGTCACCAATACTCTTTTTTTTCTTTTTTTTTTGAGACAGAGTCTCACTCTGTCGCCCAGGCTGGAGTGCAGTGGCGTGCTCTCGGCTCACTGCAACCTTTGCCTCCAGGTTCGAGTGATTCTCCTGCCTCAGCCTCCCGAGTAGCTGGGATTACAGGCACATGTCACCGTGTCTGGCTAATTTTTGTACTTTTAGTAGAGACAGAGTTTCACCATGTTGGTCACGCTGGTCTCAAACTCCTGACCTCGTGATCCGCCTGCCTTGGCCTTCCAAAGTGCTGGGACTGATACTCTTAGATAATGGTTTTGCCATTAAAAACATCAAGCAAGTGTGGCACATTAGCACTTCAAAGGGTAAATGAATCCTAGACCTAGTTTTGGGCCCTCACATTAATTCATTTTCCCCACTTAGATAGAATTCTCTGTTCATGGTCACAGATAAAGGAATCCATATAACTCTCACCTCTGTTCATCAAGATATCACACAATTTCCTAGATCAAAAACTGATCTCAATCCCTTTTTCACCCAGAGATATTCTGAGTTTATTCCTAGCTTCAGGAATATAATATTTCCGTGACCCTGGGCAAACAGGACTTGACAGTAGCTAAAATGTCTAGGACATTTTTAATGACATTCAAAGGGCTCTGTTATCACTTGCCAAAAGGGCCTATGGAAAGATTCTATTCTCATCATTTAACTTTTCCTTTTTAGTTTAGAGATAGGGTCTCAATATGTTGCCCAAGCTGGTCTCTAACTTCTGGTCTCAAGTGATTCTCCTGCCTCAGCCTCCTGCCCAACATTTAACTCTTCTAGCCTCACTTCTCTACATCACTTCCTAACTTGGACCAATGCCTTTTTCACTATAAACACCACAAGATTTTTTTTTTTTGGTGCAGATCAAGTGATTTTTATGTTAGGTGGATGCTAACATAAGTTATCATTTTATTACCACTCCAATCACTTGATTTGGCCCTGGGTTTTGAATTGCAAAACATAAGTTTAATTCGAAAAAAAAAAAAAAAAAGAAGCCTTTCTTTTAAAAAAAAAAAGTCAATGAAATCTCCATGCTCAATGTGATTTTATTACACTCTTCAATGGCTTTGTACCATCAAGCATGAAATCGATTGTATGTCCAATTCTGTATGTTTCTCTGCTCTGCTTGCTACAAGGTCTTGGGCTGCTCAGAACTGAAAGCTACAAGGAGACGGTATTTGTGTAACTTTCTCTGGATAAGATCATTTACACACTGATTTTTGGAAGAATATATTTGTTTTAAAAAAGATTTATTTATCACATGCTTTTTATGTTTATTTTTAAAATCCATTGTATATGTGATTTGGGTTCAAACCTTTAGGGGAAAAAAGCCATTCTAAACAATTATATTTAATTAAAAACACACAAAGAGATCACAAAGGATGACAAAGTTGGAGAGGACCTTGGGTATTATTTAATTTTTTTTTTTCTTGGAGAGGTAAAGCAACCAAGAGCTGTTAAGAGGTATTAAGACCAAGCAACTGTTGAGTAGCAAAACTTTAGGTGGAAACTTTGCCTGTCTTATTCACTGCTATATTCCTAACCTGTAGAGAAGCAGTTGTCAGCTGGGGCCATTCTGCCCTGTTGAGGGACATTTGGCAGGGTCTGGAGACATTTTTGGTTGTTACATAGGAGAATGGGGGATAGAAGTGCTACCGGCACCTAGAGGCCAGGGATGCTGCCGAAAACCCTCCATCGCACAGGACGGCACCTACAACAGAGAATTGTCTGTCCCAAATGTCAATGGTACAAAGGTTGAGAAACCCTGCTTTACGGAGGATGAACAAATTCATTGTAGACACATAACCTGACTCCCAGGGACTAAGGGGCTGGCACATGCATTCTCAAGAGGGGGGATAAATACTACCAAGCGGACAAAATTTGGTTCTTTGTGAATGAGTGTAAAAACATATATAACCATTTTTCTGTGGCATGACATTTCATGGGGAGGTAGGCAATGAGGGGAAACAAATCTACAAGGTTTTCTTGGGAGGGAGGTAACAAAGGAAAAAAAAAAATCTGGGAATACTGAGAAAGCATGATTGCAAGCTTGAGTTCTCTTCCTCCACCCTCTGCACTACGACTGGCATTTGAACAAGTGCCACTGGCATGCACGTCCAGCTCCACTTCCGGGCTGTGCTGTCACTAGAGTGCTGCTCGTTCTCTATTTCTCCGCCTGCTGCTCTGCATCTTAGGAGGCAAAGAAACATTTTCAGGTTATTCTTTGACTGCCTGTACGTTTGTTTTCTGAGAACTAAAGATAAAAAGATACAGAAAACAGGGAGAATAGGGAGTGGGAGTGAGAAGGGGCTTGCAGTTACAGTATTTTGGCCACCTCCCCAATCAGGACACATAAGGAAGTGAGGCTGCTGTTTTCTGCCTGGTATGACTCTTGGGTCCTGGGTGGTGTTGGCCAATGGTTGGGCTGGTCAGTGTGCACAGCGGCTTCGCAAGATGACTCGGGCATGCTTTTCATTGTTTTATTTTCTCAGTCTATCTGTAGAATCTCATCATTTTGGGGCCTTCAGGAATATTTGGGTAATACTGAGAGTCTTCTGCAAAATGCTACTTGAATGTTTTAATTTTTAATTGAGATTTTAAAAGTTTGTCTGGGTGGCAGAGCAAGACCCTGTCACAGACAAAAAGTATGCTTGGATTCATTTTGGATTTGTGGGTAAACTCAAGCTCCCCTTTTGTTTGAAATGATTAGCATAGTTTTGTGGCTTCTAGAACAAAGTTTTGGGCATCAAGTATGCAAATCTGGGTTTCTTCAGATAACCACAAGTGAGTATCTTGAAATCAGTCTCTTAAATCTAAGCAAGTGTCCCAGATCCAGTGGGAGGAGAGAGATGTGTCTGTGGCCATCACTGTAAATATGTTTGACTTGAGTGGTTTCCAGAAATGTATATAGAGTATGTTCACATAGAGATTTAAGGGTGGAGAGGGAATGTTGAACGGACATTCTTTTTCTGACATTCCCTCCCCCAACATGGAACCCGTGATGAGTTTATAAATAGCAGAGCCTATTAAGCCACAAAAACCTAGAGAAACAGGGCAGTAAAAAATAATGAAATGCAATATTCAGAATACATGGAAAAGCCATGATTTACTTTAATCCTTGGGACCAGGAATAATACACCTGCCTTGGAACAGGGGATGGCATAATGTTGGCATAACATCAGGGGTTTAATAATTTTTGACCACATTTTATAGACGCTTTCCTGCAATTAATGCTAAATAAAGTCAACAACTTCTCCACCTGCTGCTGTGTTTGGGGCTTTCATCAAGTGCGTCCCACTCTCCTTCATTACCCCAGGCTATCACAGTTCCTGCTGAACTTGTTCATTTTTCGTTCTTTTCCCTCGATAATCCCCAGGACTATCACATGCACTGCTTGTGGTATATACGGCTTTCCATTCTTTTCTTGCAAGAGTTAAGCTAATTGAATTCAGCACCACTATTCTCTTTGCTGGGATCATCAGGCCACCTCTGCAGAGGCAGCACGTCTGTATCTTTTTTCCGATAAGGATTGGGTATAATTTTTCTCTCATTTTATTTTTTAATGAAAACAAATTAACATGATATGGTGGGAATGCAGATATGTTGGTCAAAGGGTACAAAGGTCAAGTTAGACAGGATGAATAAATTCTAGGAGTCTACTGTATGACATGGTGACTATGTTAGAGGCGTTGGAACCAGAGTGAACAGGGGTTCCTGTTTGAGGTTCCATCTTGAACAGGGACTGGGTAGAATGAGGCTGAGACCTGTTGGGCTGCATTCCCAGCGGATTAGGCATTCTTAGTCAGAGGATGAAATAGGAGGTCAACACAAGATCCAGGTCACAAAAACCCTGCTGATAAAACAGGATGCAGTAAAGAAGCCAGCCAAAACCCACCAAATCCAAGATGTCAAGGAAAGCAACCTCTGGTTGTCCTTGTTGCTCATTATACAGTAATTATAATGCATTAGTTTGCTAACAGACACTCCCACTAGTGCCATGACAGTTTACCAATGCCATGGCAATATCTGGAAGTTACCCTATATGGTCTAAAAAGGCCACAGGTGGTGGTGGGGTTCCCCTCAGTTCTGAGAATTGCCTGCTTCTTTCCCAGAAAACTCATGAATAATCCACCCCTTGTTTAGCGTATAATCAAGAAATAACTATAAATATAGCCAACCAGCAGCCCACAGTGCTGCTCTGCCTATGGCTTAGCCATTCTTTTATTCCTTAACTTTCCTAATAAACTTGCTTTTGCTTTACTCTGTGGACTCTCCCTGAGATCCAAGGACCCTCTCTTGGAGTCTGAATTGGGACCCCTTTCTAGCAACTATGCTGTTGTTATATTGTATACTTGAAAATTGCTAGGAGAGTAGATCTTAAGTGTCACCACCACACACACACACAAAATGATATTGAGGTGATGGACATGTTAATTAGTGTGACTTAATCATTTCACAATGTGTGCATCTATCAAAACAATCATATAGGACACCATAAATATTGACAATTTTTACTTGTCAACTATATCTTAATGAAGCTGGGAAAAAAATTTTTTAAAAAATTAGTATGATAGGCTTCACACACACACACACACACACACACACACACACACACACACACTGCTATTCTTTAATTCCATCTCTCCACTTTCTTAAGGGAGTCTTTAAAAGCACTTGGAGTTTATATTTTGAACCTCTCGGTTTTAGGCTGGAGATTTTCTCAGGAATAAGATTCTCTGACTGTCTTCATGTAAATTGTAGTCATTTTATCACATTGATGTTTTATTTCAATAACTACTTGACAATCACTTGAAGGCTGGGGTAGAAGATCTCATGATAAAATGAACACCAGGTGGGTTATAAAACATATGCCTTCAATTTTGAAAAAAGACTATCATCCTCATTTCAGTCTTTGTGTCTCCAGAGCCATGTTGGGATGTTTAGGTGCAAGAGATAAAAAATTTCATTTTGCAAGACCAAGTTTACACAACTGAGACTCAACCATTGCTTTCCTGAGGGATGTGTGTGTGTGTGCGTGTTTGCTTTGGATGGAGGGAGTTGAAAGTATTAGCTATAAAAACCATTAGCAATTCCTAGTCGATCTAAATCAGTCTAAACATTTTTCAAAATCTCGCCTAGATTCTTGCACTATTTTAGCCTGCACCAAGGCGATTAATTCACACAGGGGGCTGTTTATTTAATTGTAGTAACAGCATATAAAGCCAAGACACTGTCTAATCTCCTATTCTTGAGTTTTTAAATCCCAAATGGTGAATGGCAAGTAAGGCTGCTAGTTTTATAGCTTCATGAATTAGTTCAGCTGAAAAATATTTTGTCCATTTTCATTTGGGAGACATTGGGTGCAGGGAGATGTAGGAGGGGTAGAGTAGGATTTGTTAGCCAGCACTAATCGGTTCTTGGCCTCTAGCAATTCTCTGTGGCAGAATAAAGGGAAGAGATAATTATTCTCCTTAATCACTGCGTCAATGACTGCATTTAGAACCCTCTGCTTAAAGGCAGACCAGATTTCCCAGAGAATATTCTCAACCTTTCACTGATCTGATTTTGAAGTGAATGAATGTTCTGAAAATATCTGTTAGCCGGGCCTTACTGGTTTGCCTGGGATTCATAGAGACAAGGAGCCTCCAGTAGCTTCAGTTGGGTGACCTTTCTCATATCCGTCACCAGGCTGTTAATGAGAGGGTTTTTGCATCTTTGCAATTTGGTGTCATGGCAGAAATCACCAAGGAACAGGATCCAAAGACTAATTGCCTTTACCTCTTTTTCTCTCTCCCACTCCTCAACACCTCCCTTTGCTGCTATGCCATTTTCATCTGAGTCATAGATTTGTGACTTTAGGAATGGATAAGTGGGAAGAAAAAGGAAAAACGAAGACAGCACACAGGCCCCAATGGTTACCATTTTCCTGAAAGGACATTGGAGTCTTTGCGGATATATGAAAATATGTGCAAGGAAAATGTGTAGTTCTTTGAGTTAATTTTTCTCTCTTTGATCTATCAATACAGGAAGGTCAACGTCTTTTGGTTGTGTGGGGATTGAGCCGAATTTTCCTGTGACTTTTGCTCAGGAGCTCAGTTTTGCTCTTGAAAAACATACTACTCTACCTATAATTCCTGTTTCCCCCATTCTTTCTTCCCCAGCCTTACCTGTCCTTTAAGATTTACCTCTTCCAGGAAGGCTGTCTGACTACCCTGCCATGACAGGTGACTCATTATCCTGTTTCTTTGTGGTGAGTTTGCTGAACAGGCCCAAAGTTTATCCTGCCTTGCTTGCTTATATAAAAAATTAATTTTTTTGATTATAAAAAATATATTAACATATTTGCTTCTAGAGAAACTGGAGCATTTGTAAAGGTGTAAGAAATAAAACAAAAGTGAAAACCCCCCTTCCTTGGTTTCATAACCTGGAGGTAATATGAGAAGAGTTTTGTGACGCTTCAAGTTTAGAGACTTTGAAAACTGCTTGGAGTTGAATCCTAACTCTGTGACTTCCCAGCTGGGTGACCCTCGGTAATTTACCTGACCAATCTCTGCCTGATACTCCCCTGGTAGGTTGGGGATGATGACAGTGCTTACTTTGTAGTTTATCATGAGGTTAAATGAATTAATCTATATGGAAAATTCTTAAAGCATTGACGGCCACATCACATAGTAAACCCTATATGAGCATTAACTGTTATTACAATGATTTTGGTTGTTGTTATTAATAAATACGTGTAATATCTGTCTTTTCTCTGGATTGAATGGCAGAATTCATAGTTAAAGATGTGACGTACAGCATTTGATGGAATGAATTGGGTGCATGAACATTATTCCATTCTTAATCTTGCACCCGTACTTGCCATTTTGTAAGTATTATTTTTCTAACTTATTTGAAAGCCTTTAGGATAGTATATGCCACTTTCTGAAGTGTCTTTAAGTCCTTTTTTAAAACCAGGTGAGGTATAAAATCATAAATAATCAACCTTTTAATTTTCAGGGATCATTTTATGGGCATACTTTTCCTCTTCTACCACATGGTGGCAATTTTAAGGCAAGAAATCATATTTTAACTTCATAATGTCCCCCACAGCTCTTTGAAATCCTTCTTGCATGTGGTAAGATTCAGCAATTTGTTTGCTGGATGTTTCTAAGCACTTCTCGTTTTTTATAAACTTCTGTCATAGATATGTTCTGTTATAGAATGCAGCATCTATTGCCCAGTGTTCAGCATGTGGATAAAAAAAAAAAAACTTGCATTTTGCATGTCATTTTGTCTCATTTCGCTAGAATTGAATGCAAAGACACAAATGACAATGGAATCCTTTAGGCCTAGCCCAGAGTTTGTTTAGGACTTAGGTTTTGTCATAGTATTGATGGCAAGAGTTCTTGTCAAGCAATGCACGCAGAGTATGAATTCCACAGTCATTTGGAAAGAAACTTCTGGTTCACTTCACTCAGCTTCTTTTTACGAAAGAGAAAGCAGGCCTAGAGAGTTTGTCATTTCTTTGGGGTTGATCAAAAACTTACAGCAGAGCTAGAACTGGATTCTCCTTATTTTAAGTCCACTCTTCTTGCCAGGAGGTGTTGACTTGAAAATGTTCTTTTCCTTGGATTTAGGTTCTATAGTAGCATTTCTACCATATTCCTAGGAATTACCCACGCACATTTATTAGTAAGGTTAAAATCTCTCTTTTGAGGAGGAAGGGGCATGAATGATGTTTCTTACTCTCAGAAAGCATTTCTTTCTAATTGCCTATGTCAACACCAAAGCTGTGAAAGTTGCATATAAGGAATATGCATTGCAGATCCATTCATGGGAGTGAGAAATTAGAAACAATTGAAATGTCTATCAAGGATGAACTAAAACAAATCCTGTTACAGCCATAATTGCAACAGAATAGTTTGCTGTCATTAAAAAAAAGACATAAATCTATATTCATTGATGCAAAGACAAAAACACTGAGCATTTATTATGTTTGGGTACTAAGAGCCTTACAGAGAATATTGTATTGAAGCCACAGAACCACACCAGCGACTGGTTGTACTTTTACTGGGGCTAAAAACATTGAGAAGTTTTCTCAGTTAACTCAAAGTTGTTTTTTTTTTTCCTGAGAACCCATGCACTTTATTCTTATGCTATCCCAATTTACATGGAAATAAATCTCTGATATAATATATTGCTGTGAAAAGCAAAACAAAGCCAAAAGGATAACTATTTAAATATGATCCCATGCTTATTCCTGTGTGGTGTTTGTGTGTGTGTGTGTATATATCAGGGTATAAATACTTTAAAGTTTTGGAAGTATGCACACCAAAACCATTAGCCTATTATCTGGCCAGTGGGCTTATGAATGATTTATCTTTATATTTTCTACATCAGAAAAATTGTTTTATTTACGTATTTTTTTTTTTTGAGACAGGGTCTGGCTCTGTTGCCCAGTCTGGAGTGCAGTGTTGTGATCTTGGCTCACTGCAACCTCTGCCTTCCATGTTCAAGTGATCCTCCTGCCTCAGCCTCCTAAGTAGCTCGGACTACAGGCATGCACCACCATGCCTGGCTATGTTTTGTATTTTTTTGTAGAGATGGGGTTTTACCATGTTGCCCAGGCTATTCTCAAACTCCTGGGCTCAAACGATCCACCCACCTCAGCCTCCCAAAGTGCTGGGATTATAGGTGTGAGCCACCACACCCAGCCAGAATAATTGTTTTATTGTTATATTATCAACGTATGTACATATGTGTACATGATTTTTAAAGTTAAAATGTTAAAGTTAAATAAAACAATAACATTAAAAGCAGCCAGGAAGCTGCCAGTTGGGAAGTGAAACCCTCCATCAAATGAACTATTAAGACCTTCCCTAAGTAGATCACCTGAGGTCAAGAGTTCAAGACCAGCCTGGCCAACATGGCAAAACCCCATCTCTATTAAAAATACAAAAATTAGCCGGGTGTGGTGGTACACGTCTGTAATTCCAACTACTCAGGAGGCTGAGGCAGGAGAATTGCTTGAACTTGGGAGGCGGAGGTTGCAGCGAACCGAGATCACACCACTGCACTCTAGCTTGGGTGACAGAGCCAAACTCTGTCTCAAAAAAAAAGAAAAGAAAAGAAAAAAAAGCACCCTAAAAACCTTGACTTTCTGAATTCAACTTATATTTCCTTTTCTATTTTTCGAAGTAGCCTGTGGGGACAAACAGAGGCTTCAGACACCACCCAGCCCTTCGAATGTGGTATGGAGACAGGCGAGCCACTGGGTGCTGGACCTCTCTGAAGACCAGTTCCTGAGGTTCTCTTTATGACCCTGGTTCAACCTGCCTTGATTTTCCACAGGGAAGCCGATGTGGAAATTACTCTTTTGGAAAGGGATTTTCAAAGTAGACTTCACTCAAACTCGGCAAATAATTAACTTTTCATCCTTTCATAAAATTGAGACTGTGGCTGGTTCAAAGCCCAGGACCCCGGGCCTTAATTGAATTAACTCGGTTTTCCATCCTTGTGAAGGATCCTTCCAAACCATAACATTTAGCAAGGGCTGCCCTTCCTGGCGAGAACATAAGCGCCCATTGAAGGAGGATCGCCGAGTCAGGGCTGTGGCCTGAGTGGAAAATGGGACACTCTCCGAAGGGGACAAAACACTTTCTGTTTCCTACACTTTAAAGTTCAGTGCGAATGTGTCTCCGCACAACTTTATCTTCGCCAAAGCAAAGAGAACAGCTAGCCCACTCGGCTTCCCAGCCGTCACGCACACCTGGCTCATTCTCACTTCGTGTCTTTGCATCTATTACCTTCTTCCCTTGGAATGAATGCTTTTCCTCTCTTCACAGCCCTACTCCTGCCCGTTACCTCCTTTCTGACCTAACTTGCCACTGCTCGGCACTCTCCCTCTCCTTTGCTTCTGCTCACTGATTTTGGCTTCACTCGTGGACACATATGCATTTGTGTCCCTCACCTTACAAAATAAACATCCTTGGGCAACTTCATGTAAAAAGTTGCAATACAGGCCGGGTGCATTGGTTCACACCTATCATCACTTTGAGAGGCCAAGGCAAGAGGATCACTTGAGGTCAGGAGTTTGAGACCAGCCTGGGCAACATAGTGAGACAGCCTATCTCTACAAAAAAATAAAAATAAGAAATAATTAGCTGGGTGTGGTGGCACACGCCTGTAATCCCAGCTACTCTGTAGGCTGAAGTGGGAGGATCACTTAAGCCCAGGAGTTCAAGGCTGCAGTGAAATATGATGGCATCACGGCCCTCCAGTTTGGGCAACAGAGCAAGACCCTGTTTCAAAAAAAAAAAAAGTTGCAATACAGATAGTAAGTTCCAGTGATCAGTGATTGGAGTCATCCTATACAATTGAGATGGGTCAAGTGATAAGATTCTTCTGTTGTTTGATTGTATGTCAAACAATTGTATGTCCAGAAGAAGTAAAATAATAATAATTAGAAGACTACATGAAACAAAGGGCTTCCAATTAAACTGGAAGTCCACTGAGGGCAGGCAGCTCTTCCCTCTTTATCGTGTTCTCCAACTGCCTTTGCACATTGCTATGCATAACTCAAGATCCAATAAATACTTGACTGATGACACGTTGTCTGCAAAACAAGAAGAGGACATCTCCCATGTCTGAAAGCTGGCACAATTTTGATACAAAAATATGTTTTAAAATAATTTTAAGCTCTTGAAAGCTAAATTATAAAGAAGTAGAGAGTGTTTTTCTTTTCTTTCAAAATATTTCTGGTCTTGTATTGAGAGTCTGTTGCATTTGAGGTAATCTCTTAAAGACCACTAAAATCTACTCAACCACAGAACATTTAGGCATGCTGAACCTTGGAATTAGTGATCCGCTGAAGGAAATGTAGAATTAAATTCTCATATTGAAGCTGACACTTCGGCTTCATTTCTGGGACTGTACAGGGAAAAGTCTCTCTGTGTGGGATAAGAAAAATAATTTGTGATTCCACGTCAGCAGAGGAAACCCCCGGGTTGATTTTAATTGGATTTTTCTTCCATAATGTTGCTGATCTGAGTTTTTTATTGGCAGTGAATCATGTTGCCTATCTCTGTGAACCCTCTTTTGAAAGACACTGTTTTGGCATACGAACTCTTTGGAAGTGATTCTCCAGTTTGTACGAATATAATCAGAAGGCTATGCTTATGAATATATAATAGTGGTGATCCAGTTCTGCACCAAAATAAAGTGCCTTCCTTGAGCAGGTTGGGTTAACCTCCAGAAACTCAGGCAGGCTCTCTGAGTTTCTTTTCTTTGTCACTTTTCTTTGTCCTCTTCCAGTTGCCTTCTTCTCCAGCTACAACCCCTTGTGCTTCTGTGTGAGTCTCCTATCGTTATTCCAAGTTAAACATCTTTCCTTCCAGCTCTGATTTTTAAGAACTGTGTTTTGCCAGCCTACATCTTTTCCCCCAAATTTTCTTCAACAATTTGGTCAATTGGTTTTAAAGAAAAGCATTATGAAAATAGTATGTTGAAGATGGCAACCTGACATGTTATAGGGGGAAAATAGATCTTTAAAGGAGTTGGTACCTCTGCCTCAATATCAGATAGCAGAGTGTGGGTGGCTGACATGCCAAGTTAGGAGCTATTCATTGTTTATATTAAGAAAAAAAAGGAGTTGAGAATAGCTGGACCATCAGAATTCCATTCTTTCTGCTTCTACTTCAGATGAAAAAATGATGAAAATAAGTTCATTCGTCATTGGCCATATCTGAAACTGAACAAGGTTGGTAAAATATTTTAAAAGCAAGCAGGAAAGCCAATTCTCTCTTACTCACCATAAGCCTGTCCTGCCAACTCTGCAAAAATAAGAGGCTGTGACACTTTGATATATGAAGCAGGTGAAAAGGAAAGTCTGCAACATGTATCATAGATGCTAAAAGGGGGATGGACAGAACATAATAATACTAATAAAAATAACAATAACTGTCCTACATTGAATCCTTTTGATGTTCCAAGCTTTCACTTGCTTTATCTCATTAAATCCAGATGACAACCCCATTCAACAGGTTCTGTTCTCCCTAATTTCTATAGATGAAGAGAAAAGTCAGTTTTCCAAGTTAGAGTCTGGATTCACAGCCAAGTCAAGCTGACTCAGAGTTTATGTTATTATCCAAGATGAAATTTAGAGAGCCCACTGCAACACTGCTTCTCCTCATTTTTTGCTTCCAGTTCTTATTTTTCTTTTACGTATACTTTTCCACCTTGTATTAGGGTTCTCTAGAGGGAGAGAAGTCATATGATATGTATATATATATTATACATATATATACATACATATGTGTGTATATATATTATACATATATATACATACATATGTGTGTATATATATTATACATATATATACATACATATGTGTGTATATATATTATACATATATATACATACATATGTGTGTATATATCTATAGCAATATAGATATAAATTATAGTGATCAGTGATTGGAGTCACATGTATAAAAAGTGATTGGAGTTTATATATATTTATATATATATATATATATATATATATATGTAAAGGGGAGTTTATTAAGTATTAATTCACATGGTCACAGGGTCCCACAATAGGCTGTTTGCAAACTGAGGAGTAAGGAGAGCCAGTCTGAGTTCCAAAACTGAGGAACTTGGAGGTCGATGTTCGAGGACAGGAAGCATCCAGCATGGGAGAAAGAGGTGGGCTGGGAGGCCAGGCCAGTCTCTTCTTTTTCACATTTTTCTGCCTGCTTTTTATATTCTAGCCATGCTGGCAGCTGATCAGATAGTACCCACCCAGAGTAAGGGTGGGTCTGCCTCTCCCAGCCCACTGACTCAAATGTTAATCTCCTTTGGCAACACCCTCACAGACACATCCAGGATCAATACTTTACATCCTTCAATGCAATCGAGTTGACACTCAGTATTAACCATCACATCTGAACCAGATTCTTTCCCTCAGGAATAAATGTATGGAAACCTAATTTGGGAAGTGATGAGAGTATGTTGTGGCTCAGGCAGCTCTTCCCATGAACAAGGGTAAAAAGGCAAAATGCCTGCAGACAGCCTTGCCCAAAGGAATGGTGGGGCTTGGTCATGTGCATTATCTTCCTAAGCTTCACAATGTATGGAGAGTCACTTAGGATTTTAATCCTCTACCTCCCCAACTCTCCAGGAGAGATGATGTTATTAGAAATATTTCTCTTCACCCTGGTTAGCTAATATCCTGTCAATCTGAGATCGGCATAATTAAAACTGGAGGGTATTTCTTATTTTTCCAGTAAGGGAGATTGTACTGGGACAAATACCCAGTCTTGCCTAACTTTCTAATGGTGTGGTGCTCCCTTAAGAGTGGCTGGGTTTAGAGTCGTGGAGGCTTGGGTTCAAATCTTCATTTCCATAATTTACTGGTGACATATTCTTTGAGCCTTGGCTTATAAGTGAGTCCACAAATGAAATGTAATAATAACTACTTCAAAGGGGTCTTAGGAGAACTAAATGAGATTTTAATTTTGTTGCTACTGAATTTTCTGGTATATCACGGGCACTCAATGAATGTTATGAGCTATTATTATTATTTGTCATTAATACTATATTCAGTTAAGCTTAAGGGAAACATGTGGAGATGGTGTGATGGTCCTTTAAACAAGGTGATCAATCTGGAGCATGAGTTACTTCAGGAGTAGGAATAAACAACCATCACTGACAAATACATCATTTCCCATCCAAGAGGCGACTCTGTATAATCTGCCTGGCTGCTGTGCAGACTGAAACTCCAGCCTTTATATGACAGATGCGTTTTTTAGACCAATGGTAAATAACCAAATCCATTTGCAAGCACTGATTCCAAGTTAATAAAATAACTGCCGTTCCGCCCTTGTTAATCCTCGGCATGTACCCAAATCTAACTTTTCCCTGGACTTTTATTTTCTGAGATTGATTATTTTCAGCAGATGGATGGGGTGTCTGTGGCAAGGCATTGCTCATTGTACCCACAGCTCATATTTCAGTAGATAAATATACCACATGCTGTAATCCAGGATTCCAGTGGGCACCCAACCCTAGAAGAAACTTGGAGGATAGAAGTCAATCAACTCTGAGGGAGGGAGAATCATAGACAGTGGATTTAGTGTTGTGAGTGAGTGCATTGCTGGGAGACTTCTTTGTTTATTTACTCAGATATTAGACAAGTGGAGAGTCAGGCTACCCATTTAATTACTTGTCTCCTCTAAAATATCATGGAATCTGTACAGAAATAATCTTTAGAAAGAAATAAAGCATATGTGCACTTTTTAATAGTCAAGGATAGATAGTAGAAAGAGGGTGAATGATAAGTGCTTAGAAAAAATTCTTAAAATTGACACACATTCTTCAAGTGTCCAAGTCTTTATGTCTTTTTCAGGTATCCGGAGGTTTCTTATAAAAGGAAGCTACATTGTTGATATTTCACTCCTTGGCTCAAGTTGGATCCCAAAAACTGTGCCATGATAATGTTTGTCTTACTCAGTTGCCTCATCTTTGTTATCATTGTGGAGAAAGAACAATGATTAGGCAAGCAATTGTGTGTGCACAAGTACATATGTGTGCACATCAAGGCTAGAGATAGTTGTAAGTACTGGTGTGTCAACAAATTAAAATGAATGCATGGGTTCATTTCCAACAGAGAAATGCTACCAAACCTTAATGTTCTTGTCACATAAAAATCTCAAATCTATAAATAAACCCCAAGTAACAGAAATATAGGCAAAGGGAATTGAACAGACAATTCACACACAAAAAAACAAATGGCCAACAAACATGGAAGACATCCAATGTTAATGGAAATGAAAGAAATGAAAATTAACGTGATATTCTGTTTTCACCAATCATTGATGATTTTTAAACGATTTTTTAATGTCAATTTTAAGTTCAGGCTGGCTGCAATGTGATGGCCAGTTGTCTGTTCTTGCATTGGTACCTCTTTTTAAAGTTACTATGGCCCAGTGATACATTGTATTACCTGGTAGTTCTGTCCCCAAATTGTTTATATCTGTTTTCGAGAAAATTGTTGGTTCTTCTTGCACATCTCCCCTGCCCACCAGATAAACTTTAGAATCATTCTTTTAAGTTTCAAAGCATACTTTTGGTGTTTTGATTGGGCAAACATTAACCACCTTGATTAACTGTAGATTAACTTAGAAAGAAAAGACACATTTACAATACTGTCTTCCATCTTCAAAGCTATACTGCTTGTTTGTGTATTTATTGGTCCTTCATCTCCTCATATCATCCAGAACAAGGGACACCTTATGGGCAGGGGCACTGGAGATGGAGCTCTTGTGGGGGTGACTAGCACATCTTAGTAAATAAATCATTGTTAAATAAATAAATTTGGCTGGGCGCGGTGGCTCACACTGTAATTCCAGCACTTTGGGAGGCCAAGACGGGTGGATCACGAGGTCAGGAGTTCGAGACCAGCCTGACCAACATGGTGAAACCCCGTCTTTACTAAAAACACAAAAATTAGCCGGGTGTGGTGGCGTGCACCTGTAATCTCAGCTACTCAGGAGGCTGAGGCAGGAGAATCGCTTGAACCCGGGAGGTGAATATTGCAGTGAGCCGAGATCATGCCACTGCACTCCAGCCTGGGTGACAGAGTGAGACTCTGTCTCAAGAAATAAATAAATAAAATTCATAAATGAAGGAATGATCCAAGCAACAAAAAGTGAACTCATCCCCACTGAGTCACCATCTAGCTTGTACTTAATCCTGGCCCTCCTGCCCTTCAGCGATCTGGGCACCCTGTGCCCTTCTGTTCTTATACATGTCGGGCTCTCCTACTCCCCTGAGCCTGGGTACCTGTTATTGCTTTGGCAGAAGAACTCCCCTCTACTGCCTCCACCTGCAGCAAACTTCATTTATTTCTCTTATTTGACTATCAGGTCATACATCATGGTTATTTCCTCCAGGAAGCCTCCACCCCACAGCCTCAGTAGTTCCCCTTTGATCAAACAACACCCCCGCCCCTACTTTTCTTTCTTTCTCTCTCTCTTTCTTCCTTTCCTTTCCTTTCCTTTCCTTTCCTTTCCTTTCCTTTCCTTTCCTTTCCTTTCCTTCCTCCCTCCCTTTCTTTCTTTCTTTCTTTTTTTTTTTTTTCCCCAAGTCTCACCCTGTCGCCCAGGCTGGAGTGCAGTGGTGCGATCTCGGCTCACTGCAAGCTCTGCCTCCTGGGTTCTCACCATTCTCCTGCCTCAGCCTCCCGAGTAGCTGGGACTATAGGCGCCCGCCACCATGCTCGCCTAATGTTTCGTATTTTTAGTAGAAACAGGGTTTCACTGTGTTAGCCAGGATGGTCTCGATCTCCTGACCTCGTGATCCGCCCGCCTCTGCCTCCCAAAGTGCTGGGATTACAGGCGTGAGCCACCGCATGCAACATCTCTCTCTTTTCTTTTCTTTTCCTTTTATTTTCTTTTCTCTTTTCTATTCTTTTCTTTTCTTTACTTTTCTTTTCTTTTCTTTCCTTCCTTCCTCCCTCCCTCCTTTCCCTCTTCCCCTTCCCCTTCTCCTTCCTTCCTCTCTCTCTCTTTCTTTCCTTCTTTCTTTGTTTTTCTTTCTCTCTCTCTCTCCTTTCCTTTTTAATTTTTTTGAGACAGTGTCTCACTCTATCCACCAGGCTGGAACTGGAGTGCAGTGGCCCAATCTGGGCTTACTGCAACCTCCGCCTCCCAGGTTCAAGCAATTCTCCTGCCCCAGCCTCCCGAGTAGCTGGGATTACAGGCACGTGCCACCAGGCCCAGCTAACTTTTGTACTTTTAGTAGAGACAGGGTTTCACCATGTTGGCCAGGCTGGTCTCGAACTGCTGACCTCAGGTGATTTGCCTGCCTCGGCCTCCCAAAGTGCTGTGATTACAGGCGTGAGCCACCCCGCCTGGCCCTCCCCTCCTTTTCTAAAAGACAGCCAAGCACTATGACTAAGAGATGAAGCTTGAAGCTAAGATGCCTGGATGAACAACACGGTCTCTTCATGTGCTAGTTTCAGGACTTTGGGGAAAACTCCAGTCTTCTCATATAGAGGAGTACAACAGGGTAATAAGAGTACCTTTCAGTAGGATCGTCATGAAGTTCAAATACATAAACATACATAAAATGCTTAGAACAAAACTTGAAACTTGGCATGTAGCACAAAAACTGCTTACTATCATTACTTGTACAAACCATCCTTACACAACCTATTCTATTACAAGCTACCAGAACATAGTCCATTTTATTCATTATTTTATCCCTAATGCCTACAGCCATGCTAGGTATATAATAAATATTCAATAAACATTTGTTAAACTAACGTCTTGGTGTATTAGCTCTACATCATCTCTGCTCCCATTTAAGGCAATGTTTTATTTATTTAACAGATGATTTCTTCATTTAACAATCCTGGTAAAATGCCATTTTGTATTCTTGGTAACTTGTCTATTCTGTACATTGAAGTCGAGTTGGAGACTTTTTTTTTTCTTTCTTATTGCTCTTCTGGATTGCAGCTTTTAAAATTCAAAGCTGCCTAATGGGCTGTTTAGGAGGTAGTGAGACCTCTATCACTAGAGACATTTAAACACCTGATAAGGGGTTGGACTGGATGACCGTTTCCAAGTCTGCAATTTGTGATTCTATATCCTGTGTTCTTAGAGCACTTAATAAGGGCAGTTAAATGAAACATTTAGTTTAAACAGTTATCCACTTATAGCCTATATTAGGCTAAATGCATTTTGCATATGTTTAAGATGACTCTTACTATGGTAAATAAAACCTTAGCATTTTCCTGATGCTCACAGGAGATTTTGTGACAGCAGGTACTGGAAATGCATTTAAGCTCACTCGGCAATTGTTTGGTGCTATACCACGTATTTTACCAGTCATTTAACTTGATCAATTTTTAATAATACAAATATACTGTAGAAAGTGACACTGCAATTTAGACAAGGGCACATAATATTTTACAAACCTCAAATCTGGAAAAGATAAGGTACCTTTTTCCCCTTGCTACCCACAGATACAAAAATAAACGCTTTAGCAAGGATTCCGGCAAGGAATCAGGAAGCCTGAGTCCTAGTCTTGGTTCTTCTATAGGTAAGAAGGACTGAGGGCTTTACATTTTGCTCTGTGTATGGAAATTCAAGGTGCAAAATAGTAGTATAATTTAACAGACACCAGGAGCTGGGCCCCTCTTGCACAATGCCATTCATAGTAAACCTATGAGGCATCAAGGGGCTATTAAAATAGTTCCCAACCCAGCACAGAGACCCAGAGCTGGAAGGAACATTCTGACTATGCAGATGAGTTCAGAGCCTGGGAGAAAACAGGATGTGGGCTCCTGAGAATTGCAATAAAGACTGAAAGCATGTGCCTCCAGCTTCAGGGCTTCTGGGTGAATTTCTGCTTCAGTCACCTGATATCCCTTCACCATGACATAAGCAAAGAGAATTCTTCCCACCTGATGGCAGAAACTCACTGATAGTTACTCCATGGCTTTATGGTAGCTGCCTCATGTTGACTTCCAGTTCAGAAAGCCTCTGTCTACTCTCTCTTGTTGATTCTGTTTTCTCAGTGGAATCCTGTATCCCATTTACCTGGAGAAAAAAAAAAAAAGGTACTTTCAAACAAGATAAAAATTAAAACTCCAATGAATCAATCAACCCTCACTCCTTTGCTCACTCAGATTGTCTTTTATGTCACTTTTGTGAGATTTTGAGTGTGCAATGGAAAATAAGGTTTTTGTAACAAGTTCAGACCTTTGCTGATATCTTTCCCCTTTCTACCTTACCTAAATTAGGTCCTTCCACTTTATGATGTCACGATACCCAGCACTTGCCCTTCACAGTACTTGACACATTTGGATGACTATTTCCTGAATGACTTTCTCACTCTCTAGATGAAAAATCTGTAAAACCAATGATCATGCCTCTCTTGTTTACCAGCTTTTATTCGCCCAGCAGCCAGCATAGTGCTTAGAACAGTAGGCACCCAGGAAGTATGTGGTTCAGACACTTATTCTGGCTTGTGTTTTATTTCAGCATACAGCAGTGTTGGGTTAGGTGGGGTTGGTGTAGTCATCTGGTGATGTGGTTTACTTAAGCAGTCAATGAGAATGTTCTGATCAAGATAAGACTTCACACTTCTCCCACTGACTTATTGATATCAAGTAAGTGCCAATTTTTTCAGAATTCCTGTCTTGTAATTTGTCTGCTAAGGTAAATATGGATGAAGAAAAAACTGTTATAACAATTATACAGTCAAATGCATTGAGGAAAAAAAATGTACCATGCCTAACATTTATATCCTCTGGTCATGCAGTAAGTCTCAGTGTGCTACTGACAGGTCAGTTTTTGAAAGTCTCCTAAGAAAACCAAAGAGATTTGGAGTTCATTTTGAAATGAGTGGAAGAGAGCTTACAGTGGGTTCTTTTATCCCTCTCAAGTTAATTCAATGTGCTACTTGTAGCTTGGGTTTGATCTGAGGTATGAATCATTCATTAGGTAAGCGGCTTAAAGGTGCTGGATCTAAATCATGCACGTTGCACTGTGGTTGGTGAAAATATCAGGTTCTTGGCGATGATTGGTGGAAATAAATCACCTCTTTCTTGTATCATAATGTAACTTTATTTTTTCTTTTTAGATGGAGTTTCACTCTTGTCACCCAGGCTGGAGTGCAATGGCACGATCTCGGCTCACTGCAACCTCCGCCTCCCGGGTTTAAGTGATTCTCCTACCTCAGCCTCCCGAGTAGCTGGGATTACAGGCACGCACCACCACACCTGGCTAATTTTTGCATTTTTAGTGGAGATGGGGTTTCACCATGTTGGCCAGGATGGTCTCGATCTCTCGACCTTGTGATCTGCCCACCTCGGCCTCCCAAAATGCTGGGATTACAGGCGTGAGCCACTGTGCCTGGCCAGTAATTTTTATTTATTTCTTTTCCTCTTTTCTACCTCTCCCCACTCCTCTTCCCCACTTCTCCTCCTGCACTCCCTACTCTTTCTTCTTCTTTTTTATTCCCTTTCCCAACCCCTGCCTCCTGAGTTGGCCTTTTCTGGCTGTGTAGGACAAATACTAGGTAATATTCAAAACATGCTCTGAAATATTCTACAATTCAGAGACTTGGTCACATCAATTTTGGTCATTTTTGATCAGGATGGCGGATATTAAGTTTCCAAACTCAGAATGCATTACTAGGATAAACCTGTGTGGAGTCCTTTAAATTCCTTAAATAGCCAGAAACAGGCAGTTAGATCTTTCTTCCTTTTTTTTTTTTTCGTGCAAGTGACTGCAACCACCATGCTAAACTAATCATATCATTTTCTAATTTATTTGGAATGTGTATTTGTACAGCTATATGTGTATACATATCTATCTATACTTTTAAGGAAAATGAAGTCAGTAGTCACCAGTTTTTCTTTTTTTTTAAAGTCAAATAATCCCAAATGCAGTAGACCTTTTCCAAATGCATAAGAACCTGAGAAGGGTAGATTTGCCTGTTCTGAGGATCTGATTTTCTAGCTCGCTTACTTCATTCACTTCACCTCCATCTCGGGGCTCGGATCATTCCTGATAAGGCACTTGGACAACTGGTTCTGGTTTCAACTGAAGTCTTGTAGCCCTACTTTATTTATTTAGATTTTGTTGTTGTTTTTAAATATTACAGTCGGCTAATGCCAGTTTCGAAGATGAGGTTTTTATTTTCCAGGTTTTCTGTCTTTCATCTTCTGTGGTCTACAGCTTCACATCGAAGAGTTCTCTTGAAATAGGGACTGTTTTGTGCCACTAGCAAATACACTGATAAATGCTAAACGGGGCTTGCCATGAATCATTTGGTCACAGGATCTTAAGGAACCGCTAGGCATAATTATTGTCTACAACTGGTCAAGCCTGAGACATTCTGTTAACATTCCTTTAAAAGATCAAGACATGGAATAGTGTAATGGATATAATCGCTCTAAAACGAAGTTCTTTTGTCATATTAGAAACAAGGGTTTATTTTGAGGGTAGAAACCAAGATAGTCCTACTTGTGTTGTATTCAGCCTTATAAAAGATTTTTTATTTCTTTAAAAAACAACCAAGCCATAATGACTCCTTATTTTCTTTCCATATTTGAAACAACTGGTGATCAAGAAACAGTTTAACCCAAATTCCAAATCTTTGAACACATATAGGAAATGTACCACTTCAAAGGGGGCTGGGCAGAATTCACTGGGCCGTAAGGAGCCTATATTCTATTTCTCCCCTGTCTTTCCCCCTCTATCTCTATCTATCTCTATCTCTATCTCTATCTCTATCTCTATTTCCATCTCTATCTCCTGTCTTTTCCTTTTGTTCCCTACTATAATGAGGAAGAAGGATAAAAAAAGTGATTTGGCTGGAACAGATCGGAACTGAGTAAAGTTGAATGAACACAAATCTTCCACAATGAAATGTAGATTTGTCTAAGCTATAATGCCAAATATGTTTTTTTCTTTCCTTCTCAATGGTAGCAATAACAGAGAAGCAGATTGGCCTCATGATCAAGAGGGAACTTTGCCCAACTCCTGGTCTTAATGAAACAGAGACTTGAAAAACAACAGCAAGCCTCACATGGTCTGGCAGAGATTCAGAGTCTCAATCTGAGCAAGGCTTCAGGAAACCTCTCTACCCGCTTTGCTCTGTTTTTTTCTTTTCTTTTTCCTATTCCATCCTTTATCTCCCTGTACCATCAGTGTTTTCTGTGTGAAATTTTCTTGATGTTTCTTAATAAGGGAATCAATTTGACTTGAGACTGCATCAGATCCAAAGCATAAAGAATGGTACCCCTTGGTCATATCCACTTTGATAAGGTTACTCAAGAGTTTCCCTTCCATGAAAGGTGGGTGCAGGAAGTTCTGCATTCTCATTATTTGTGTTTGATCTATATGCTCCCCCTCACCTCCACCCAGGAGTGAAGCTGAGAGTTTTGCTTTGAGAAAATGAGGTTTTGCATCCTGATGAGATGAAATGGATCAACAGACCTGGGCAATTACACACCTGGATCATGTACCCTACTGCATCCTGTATTGGGTTTGCTTGTATCTACTGAGCTTGACCGTGAGAAGACCCTATGGCCTGGGTGGTGTTGGTTAAATAGAGCAGGCATTTCTCTTCTTCCTCACTATACTCAGAATGTTGAAAGTATTGTGGATTTGAGGCATCTGGTTGTTTTGTTGAGGAACATGGAACATAGGACATTGATATCCCAAGACAGTGCCAGTGATTTTCAATGTTTCTGAAGTAGCAGATCCCTCAGCTGTGTTTTTAAGCCCTGGAACACCAAAATCCAGTGGGCTGTTGTGGCAAGATATGGGTAGATGATGGAATAGAAATGAATACAGGTCACTGTACGTTGAACTGAAAGCCCTCTGACATGAAATTCAAATAATCTTAGGAAATAAAGCATCATTCTGGTTATCCCTATTTGTCCAGTGAGAATTTTACCCAAATCATTACAAGTGAATAATTATTTAGTTTTCTTTAGAAGTAGTTCTGGAAAAAAACAAATCTTAGGATATACTTTGGACACCCTTCTTTGGAAATGTCTCTTAATATGAAGCCATTGGCCTTTTGTAGCATTTTTTCCTTCTTTCTAAGTGAAAGATCTCATGTTTTAACACTTTATTTTTCCCCTTAACATTGGCTTATGACAGCTGATGAATTGGCTTTCCAAAATGCTAATTCAAGCTTACTGTTCCTTCCAGCCATCAGTCAAGCTGCATTAGATTTTCCCAGTTGATAATTTCCAGTTCCAGTTCTGTGAATCCAGTCTTCTCAACCTGTCATCACCTAAAATATTAGTTTTAAATTGAATAATAAAGCACATTACATCTCCATCAAATGCAGATAAAATAGCGTGACACCTAATATTTTTATAGTTCTCTATGTGAAATGACTTTAAGAAATTTTCCAAAATCATTTTCTCCTCAAAACATGAATGGTATGAGTCACTTGAGATCACCTGAGTCATCTTTTAATAACATAAATTATGTCCAGCTTTCCGGGTCTCTGTTTACCTATTGGACTTGAGTCTACAGTCTGTGAGATATCTTCAGTCCCATCCTCTCCACTCAACAAGCACCAAGTTTCACAAAATATGTCTTCTTAGACTGCATGAATTGTTTCTACTTTTCTACCCTGTTCTCTTTTCTGGGGCAGAGGTTGGAGGGAAGGAGGATTTACTTCAACTCTTGAAATTGGGGCATAAGTTCCATTGGGAGTTTCTCTTGTATGTTGTCACTATTTCGGAAAGCCATTTGCAATGTTGGCTGAGGGTTATATGGGGGAGAGGGAGAGAGAGGGTTGCAGAAGGAGATGACTCTGACAGCTCTATTCATGAATAGTATTGGCTAGTAGAGAAAGAAGGCCAGACATAGATATTCCAGAAAAATTCACTTACTTCCTGAAGCTAAAGCTATGGAGCCAGCATAGTTAAATACCTAGTATCTTTCTATTTGAGATGCTGCGTAGCTGTATAGTTATGATACTATGATACTAGCTTTGAAGCCAGACTGCCTGGCTTCAAATTCCAATACTACTTAACAGCTGTGTAATGTTGAGTAAATTACTTAACTTCTCTGTGTCTTACTTTTCTCATCTGTGAAAGAGAGTTAGTCTCCTACCTTTTAGGGTTTTGTGAGAATTAAATGTTAATACAAAGATATAGTAGCCTATAATGAGGCGTCAATAGGTGTTAGCTACTCAGGATTGAATAGAACTTCTTCGTTTCACCTTCCAAGAGAGCACTTCACCCCAATTTGGTATCAACCTGCCAAATGCAGAAACTAACTCCCATATCAAATAGTCTGATCTTAATTCATGTAACTGAATGGTCTCATTGATTTTATTTCCCCAATGAACTTAAAATTGGACACTTAATGTGAAATATGGAACTTAGAAGAATTAAAGATTTGAGTTATATTAATAATCCATCCATCTACTCATCCAATGAGCATTAGTAGATGATCTATTTTGTTTTGAACTCTAGGCCCTTGGGGCAAATAAAGATCAAACAGGCCAGGCACCTTTAATCCCAACACTTTGGGAGGCTGAGGTGGGAGGGTTGCTTGAGCCCAGGAGTTCGAGACCAGCCTGGGCAACACGACAAGAATCCCATCTCTACAAAAAATACAAAAAATAGCTGGACATGGGGTGCATGCCTGAAGTCCCAGCTCCTCAGGAAGCTGAGGCAGGAGGATTGTCCTGTCAATGAAAAGAGTCAAACTCTGTAAAATATCTGAAGAGATTTATTCTGAGCCAAATATGAGTGACCATGGCCCATAACACAGCCCTCAGGAGGTCCTGAGAACATGTGCCTAAGATGGTTGGAGTACAGCTTGGTTTTATACATTGTAGGGAGGCATGAACATCAGTCAAATACACTTAAGAAACACATTGATTTGGTTCAGAAAGATGGAACAATTCAAAGGTTGGGGGCAGGGAGCTTCCAGGCTATAGGTAAATTCAAACATTTTCTGATTGACAATTGGTTGAGTTTGTCTAAAGACCTGGGATCAATAGAAAGGAAATGTTCAGGTTAAAATAAAAGACTGTGGAGACCAAGGTCCTTTTGAAGTCTTATAGTGGCAGCCCTTGGAGACAATAGATGACAAATGTTTCCTATTCAGACCTTCAAAAAGTTGCTAGGCTCTTACTTAATCTCTTCAGGATTGGGAAGGCCCGGAAGAAAAAGATCTAACTAAGTTAACACAGATTATTTATGGATACACATTTTCCCCTACCAAGGACAGCTTTTCAGGGCCATTTCAGGATATGGCAAAGAAACATGTTTGGGGGGAAAATATTTTGATTTTCTTCCTTGTCTCATAATGTTATGCCAGAGTCAGATTGGAAAGTAGGACACAATATATAGGGTTTAGTAAAACCCATCTAGTGAGAATTTATGGTTTATAGGGCCTGACTCCCTGGACCCCTTAGATAGGAATTTGGGCAAGATCAAAAACAAAGCAAAGCAAAACAAAACAAAACAAAACAAAACAACAAAACAAAAACAGAGCTTAGTCCTCAGTCACAAAGGTGAGTGATGAGTATCAATGATGGAGTTGCCAGAGAAAATACAGGAAACTCTGTTAAATTTGAGTTTCAGATAAACAATGAGTAATTTTTTAGTATAATTATGTCCCAAATATCACATGTACTTTTGGATGATCTGATGTCTCCTAGTACCCTCTTCCTCTCTTCCTTAATCTCTGACGCCACTGTTGGCATTGGTAGGACCAGCAATGCCAGATGGACTAATTTAATTGGAGCCTCAGATAAGCTTCCTTCCTTGTAAGTCAAGAACACCTTAAAAAAGTTTTCCAAATCCTAGACCACAGTTCTGTATGTGGCAGAGAGTTTGTCCATTTACAAAATCTGCTGGACATTCTTCCCCTACACATAAAAATTTTAATCAGAGCCACTTCCAGTGGGGGGGGGAAAAAGGCTTTCTAGAGTAAAACTATTTCTAAGCTTTTCACCGATTCTCTATGGAAATCCATGGGAAATCTACATGGTCTACATGGAGCAGAGCAGCAGGATTTATAAAACACCTTTTAGATCTACCCGGAATATTTGCATGCATACACACACACACACACTAAGTAGCATTCATCTCTTGGAAAAACAATGACTGCATGTTCACTTCTTAGGCAGGGTGTGATTAACTGTAACATCCTTTGCTGCCTTGAAGATCTTGCACCTGAGTGTGTGTGCTCTTTTGGGATCTAACTGAACCTTCCCAGACTGGGTGGTTTCCTGTCTGGGCTGAACTCACAAAACAAGGGAGCTGCCGGAGCTGAAAATAGCACTTGGCCTGATGGCTCAAGCATTGACCAAAACTGGAAAAGTTCTGGATTTCAGGGGGAATAGAACACCCCAACATCAACAAAGTACTTAATGGACTCACTAATGATGTCATAAACCTAGAGAATAAGAGTTGGAATTTCTCTGTTTAGCTCCTTCTCTTATACCACAAAGGTTTCATGATTTAACCTGTCTTGTGGTTCTTCCACCTCCCATGCCCAACCTTGTCAGCACCGACTGCCAGCAACCTTAGTGCTGTGACACTACTGCTAGAAAAAAAATACTTGATTTGACAATTCTAGGAAGTTCAATGCCTGCATACAGTTAGTGTTCAATAACTGTTTGTTGAATAAGCTGCAAACTAAAGAGTCTACCACTATTACTAGTCTGTGTTGGTCAAAGTTAGATATTATAAAAATGAGAAAAATACCATTAAATGTCTTAAAACCAAGTGGGAAGAGTCTCACTTAACCCATATTCCCCAAAGAGGAGGAACTTATAATGTATGACAAATCTATTAGATGTATTCTGCTACTTTTCTAGGTGGCTTAAACAAAGGGATGTCTTTCCCCTCAACATGCATAAGTGGCTTTTATCTGTTCTAAAAAAGTTTTCATGAAATTTCAGTGTCCCAGTACTCTCCTCCAAATATCTGTCCAAAGAAATAATTAGGTTCAGCAAGGTTTTGCTGCAACATGGGGTAGAACTGCCTTGTGCATGTGTTATGGGTCCTAATTGATTGTCACTTGTAAAGTGATTTGTGGTCTGGACAAGATATTCCATAAGTATATATGTTTTTTTCTTCAACGAAACTTTCCACTGAGTAATGACTAACCTTTCTATTTCAGTGGAGCCACTGGTAACTGATGAAATGCGAAGCAGCCAAGGCTCGCAGCCTAGATTTTGCAGCTATGATCTTGAGCTGCTTCCATTTCCTTTTTAGAAACATCAGGCTCCATACTTTTCTGTGTCTATTGAAAAACTCCAGTTTGTCATTTCTTCTTTCACCACTTCTGGGTTATTTTTTCTTGGCTGCAATTGAAACTTTTTCATACTAGGCAACATTGGAGGTAATCAAATAGTTAAGATGCAGAGAGAAGAACAATAGCTTATTTTCACATGGTAAAGCGAGTGACAGGTTGTAATTTGGGAACTTTTGATGTAATAGAGGAAATGATTATGGACTATCAGGAAGTCTTTAAGTGTGCATACACTTATGGCAATTTATCAATAGCTTAAAAATTTTTTTTCTTGCTGTGCATACTTATTTACGTAGAGAATATCCAGATTCGCATGGACCAAAATATAAGCTGAGTGCCAAAACTCTTGACAGTATGATAAAGACAGATAATAACAAATGTTGGCAAGAATGTGAAGATACCTAAAGCCTCCTACATGGCTGTTGGGAATGCAAAATATTGTAGCCATATTGGAAAATAATTCAGCAGTTTCTTAAATGTAAATGTAAGTTTACCATGACTCAATAATTTTACTTCTGGGTATTTACCAAAAAATAAATAAAAACATATATCCACATAGGCTTACATGTAAATGTTCATAAGAGCATTATTCAAAATGGCCTCAAAATGTAAACAATCCAAATGTCTATCAATCGGTGAATGGATAAACAAAATGTAGAGTATCCCACACAATGGAAAATTATTTGGCAATAAAAAGGAACAAAGTACTGATATATGCTGCAACATGGATGAACCTTAAAAATATTTTATTAAATGAAAGAAGTCATATGCAAAAGACATGTTAAGAATTATAAATATTGTATCATTCTATTCATATGAAATGTCAAGAAAAGGTCAATGTATAATAATGGAAAGTAGATTATTTGTTGCCTGATGCCATGCATAATTATTATTACTTTCTCTATAAACTTTGAGATACTCCTCTGTTGGAGTTTATGAGCCAACAGGATTCAATTAATAGATGTCTAACTTAATGAGCTTTTTGGATGTTCCATGTTTCTGAAAGCTTAGTGGGTCAACTCTTAATAATCAATTTACTTTGCACACCTAGGGCTTGATGAGATTTGCCAAGTAAAAGAAGAAGAAAACACCTTGCTAATATAAAATAACCCAAATAAATTTCATTGCGATCTGACCAGATATGGGGCTTTCCCTGATGGACAGATTGCTTGAAGGCTGTGTGGTCTTTTATTCACAGCTGGTGGATGGATGTTCAACCTATCAGGAATGGTAACAGGCAGGTTTTTCTAGGAGCTGTTAGGCAATGCCTATGTCAGCAGCTCCCAGCATTTGCTATAGAGGTACTCAGATTTTTTCCTTTAGAATAAATTCACAAAAAATTAGGCTAATTAGGACAAGCATGCTTAAACAATGCAGGACCAATATACCATTTATCTAGGAATTTGGGGAAAAGTAGTCAATTTTCCTCTTGACTTCATTATTTCCATGTGAACTTGACCTATGGTTTCAACAGCATCTTCATGGTTATTGTATTTTACATGTCACACCTTATAAAATAGCTGGGAGGTGACATAGTGTGACCTAAGGGGTTAAGTTTGTTTTACTAATATGCCTTCATCATCACAATGTCTTGTGGGTGTTTACTGTCTTCACCATGGGACCTCTGGATGAACAGTCTAAGTGTCTTCACTTCAGCAGGTGGGAGGCACTAACAGGATTAGAAAACCCTGTTCACGGTCATGGTTCCTTGTAGAAAGGGCGTGTCCTGGGACCTTTTTCCTTGCCATCGTACTATGAACTCTGCCTTTTGTTCTCTACCCGATCTAAGTACTCCTTGAGATAATCAATGGGGTTTCCATCAAGTGGAGAACGGTTTTGCAATATGATCCAAATTCATGGAGAAGTTCCCAAAGGTCACAATTCAGCCTTGCCTTAAGGATCACAGTTATTTCATCTGCCCTTTCTTCTTACAGAGGAAGATATTGAAGCCCAAAGATTACCCAATTATCAGTTACCAATTATCAGTTACCCAATTCACCAAAACAATAGAAATGTCTGGTAGAAACAGATCTATAATTAAAATTTTCTAGCCTAACCCAGTCTTCTGTTTCCTGTAAACACTACTTCCTAGTCTTCAAGGTTACTGCAGGGATTATTTTGTTTAATTTCAGAGCTTTGGGTACTCTTGTTCTTCAGCATAAACTTCCAAATGGTATGCTTTTTTAAAAAACACAAGAAATTACTTCCGTGGCCTCGGTACTACTGAGGGGCTGTATGTTTGTTTCAGTAACAGAAAATTGGGAGTCACAGTTCTGTTCGTAAATGCTAACTGTAATGTTTAATATATAACTGAACTTCTACGTGAGATCTTTCACTTGTACTATAAAAAGTCAACCATTTTCCAGAAAATTAAGTATTCTCTGTGTTTCCAGGCTCACAGTAGTCATATTGTAAATCACCAAACACAGGTTTTTAGAGTTCTTTCAATGAATGCCTTCTCAAGATGTAATCCTGTATTAGCTAATGGCATTTCATGTTTTGACAGAAATGCACAATTCTAGTACACAATTCTAAAGTTCTAATTAGAACTTTAGAAATCCTACAGTTAAAGTACAGGTTGTCAAGGACACCATGTGCTTCAAAGTCAACAAGTACTAAATACAAAATAGACAGGTTCTAACTTTTCTTAGAATGATTAGTTATAACATTGTTCAGGTAGAAGTTTTGACTAAATTTTAACCATATTCTATCTCCTATGACGTGAGCCCATTCACATAAGATTTGCCCTCATTGAAAGCTGCAAGAGTGCTTAGTTACAATAAATGCTTAATTTATTCTCATTTGCAAAAAAAGCAATTGAAGAAGCAAATAGTTCTTCAACTGGGAATGGATCTTTAGGGGAGCAAACTTGGAGGAAAGGAAAATTGATAAAGAACTAAGTCAAGAGGAACTCAAGAAGATCCTGTTGATCCGGCAGGTGTTGCCAAGAGCAAGAAATGAAGGAGTCAAGAGAATCTTCATCATATACTCTGGTTTCTGTAAGACTGTGCTGGGAAACATGGCTCACTCAACAGTTTTTGTGAAATAATTAGGTCTGAAACTGTGCTAGATTGCTTGCAAGTTACAAAAATAGATGAGACCAAGGGCCTATCCTAAAGGAACTTGCAGCTCCTTGAGCAAGGGATAGGAGCCCATCAGGAGCTGAATGATGTTCCCCACAAATTCATATGTTGAAGTCCTAACCTCCAGTACCTCAGAATGTGACTGTATTTGGAGATAGGACCTTAAAGAGGTAATTAAGTTAAAATGAGGTCCTTAGAGGGGCTCTACTCCAATATGACTGGTGTTCTTATAAGAAGTAGAAATTTGAACCCAGGCGCATGCAGAGGGAAGGCGATGTGAAGACAGAGGGAGAAGACGGCCATCTGCAAGCAAAAAAGACAGTCTTCAGAGGAAACCAGCCCTACTAGCAGCTCGCTCTCAGAATTCTAGCCTTCATAATTGTGAGGAAATATATTTATGTTGTTTAAGCCCAGTGGCATTTGTTATGGCAGCCTCAGCAGACTAATATGCCTCCAAATAACTACAGTGCAATGTAAACATAAGGGCCATACTAGAGGCACTGAGTTAAGAAGAGGGGAAGATGATGTCCTTGTTTGAAAATCCGGAAGGGCTGCATAGAAGAAAAGGCATTTGAACTTGAAAGATAAATAGCATTTGAAATGAGAACATGTGGGGAGTAGGCATTCTAAGCAAAAGAGACAAGGTTTTAAACGTTTACACAATTCTGCAGGATATTTGGAACAATCCAGATTAGCTGGGATGTGTGCTTATGAAAGAAGGAAACCAAAGAGTGGGAAGAGGAAGATGGTACTGAAAAGGTAATTTAGACTACATTGCAGATGGCCTTGGATTCTAAGCCAAGGAACACGGAGTTCATATAGTTAGTGTGCACTGAATGTCCTCAGGTTTATTTTTAATTTACTAGTTAACAAATATTTGTTAAGTGTCTGCTTTGTGCCAGGCCCTGGCCTTAGTAAGCTTGGAGTACTTTAATAAAGAAGTCAGACATCTCTGCTCTTGTGAAACAGAGACAGGCAATAGATCATCTACATAATAAGTGACGTGTTTATGATACAAATTAACGTATTATTTCAATCATAATTATATTAAGCACAATATATTTTATAGTATGTTGGAAGAAATCAGTTCTATGGATAAATATGTAGCAGTGCATGGAGTATCAGGGATGCCAGGAGTGGAGGGATGTGTTGTAATTTGAGTAAAATAGAGCAGAAGATAAGGTTGAGATTGAGAAGATGGTATTTGAGCAAATCTTGAAGAAGGTGAGGAAACTTACCATGATGCTACATGACAGAAGAATATTCCAGGCAGTCAGTGAGAAGATAAAAGCAATCTGTTGTATAATGGGACTAGGCATGCCTGCAGGGGATTATACAATAGCTGTCCATTGACAAAAATCGATGAATGCTGATACTTTTGTCAGAATAATAAGTCATTTTTACATGAATGCTAAGCTGCATTAATTGTGACTTCTGAATGCTTTAAAATTGATGCTCTTAACTTTTTGCCCTTAAAACAACCCTGTGAGGTTGGGAGGAGCAGGTAGAATTATTTCTATTTTGTAGATGGTAAAATGGAGTCCCAAGACTTTATGGGATTTGCTCAAGGTCAAAACAAGATCTTGGAGTCTCCGTACCCAGGGTAGAACAACGCCTCTCTGTTGGTCCTTAGGGCCTCTCCAGAAGGGGACATAATGAAGTTCTCAGACAAAGAGTGGGAGGATTCCTATAAAAAATAGTGACATGACGTCAGGACCTCAGGAAATGCCACCTCCACCCCATCCCATGTTCCCTGCGTGAGTTACATGAAACTACTGACTCTCTCCTTAGGAACCTCAAGTCCTCTACTGGCATCCCAAATGAGAACAGTTGTTCCTCACACATAACGTTCTTTTTTCTTAATGTTGATGAATGGTGGAAGGAAAGAATATGATTCTCTGATCCTTGAACGTTGGTGTTTGCCTGGCCTTAGGGCCAAAAAATTATTTAGATGCCCAAAATGGTGAATCCTGTGCTTATCTGAGTAAGGAATTTGCTTTTATTTAATGATCCTCCTGCAGTACCTGAAGAGAAGATAAGGAATCTATGGGAATGTGTAATGACAAATGAAAACCATCTGAATACACAGAGCAATGCACAGACACACATTCCCCTGGGGTAAATGCTATGACAGGTAAGCTGCTCTAGGCCTCACACTGGGGGAAGGTCCACACCCTTCTAACCACCCTGAGTAGCAGAGTTCTCCTAAAACTGTCAGGCAGTATGCCATCTGGAATTGGCCTTTTGGAGATAGAGCAGCATGAGTTTTTGTTTTTTTTTTAACTGAAATATGTAAAAGTTGAATTAGTGAATATGGGTTTAAAAAGAAATCATTGGCTAGGGAAGGTGGTTCATGTCTGTAATCCCAACACTTTGGGAAGCTGAGGTGGGAGGATCACTTGAGCCCAGGAGTTCATGACCAGCATGGGCAACATAGTGAGACCTCATCTCTTCAAAAAAATAGTAATAATGAATTAGCCAGATGTGGTGGCATGTGCCTGTGGTCCTAGCTACTCGGAAGGCTGAGGCGGAAGGATGACTTGAGCCCAGGAGGTTAAGGCTGCAGTGAGCTCTGATTGTGCTACTGCATCCAGCCTGGGTGACAGAGTGAAACCCTGTCTCAAAATGAATGAAAGAATGAATGTATTTCCTTGTAATTTATCCTTAAAGCTGTATCTATTGACCTTTTATCAATCATAATTATTGTTTATAAGCTATAAGAACTCTTTGGTTAAAAGAAATAAAGTAAATACATTTAACTGTATTCTGTAGTGTGTTTTGTCAAGTTGGCTAGTGACAAGGGCAAAATAAATAATTAAAAAGCATTACTACTAACAACTTGATGGAAAAGGATCTTTTATTTTCTTCCCTTTTCCCCCATGCCCAGCCTGGTTACTGAGACCAAGTACATTGCCTGGTGTCTATCATGTAATTTTCTTGTATGGGATGTATAAAAAAAGAAATTACTCCAACATTTTTACATTTTCCTCACAAAGAAAGGCTCAAATCTCTTAGTTCTGCTTTAATTATCTGCCTTATGACAAGTCCACAGATTCCCCAAATAACTGTCTCAAATTAGATTAAGATTTTAATTCCACGTTGGAAGATTGAGTCAAAATGCCTCTGGCGATTTCAGGGTCCCTTCTTGCTCTATTCTGAAGACAGCTCCTACGACACTAATTCAAGGATCAGTGGCTGGATTCGAGAAAAAATGGAAAACGGTTGTTGCAAGGGTGTCAACTGCTTGGAATGCTGCCGGCAACCGGGTTCTGAGGTTGGTAACCAGTGCTTGTGAGCAGTGATGTGCTTGCACTTCGGGGAAATATCTCCAAAGGAGCCACCTCATCTGTGTTGGGATTGAGTTGCATCTAGAACAGACTCCTTGGCCACTTTCTTCTGTATGGAACCATGATAGGCCAAAACGTGGATGGCTTTGCAGGATCTGGGCCACACTTTGTTGTTGTTGTTGTTGTTGTTTGTTTGTTTGTTTTGAGACAGAGTCTCGCGTCTTACTCTGTTGCCCAGGCTGGAGTGAGTGCAGTGGCGCAATCTCTGCTCACTGCAACCTCTGTCTCCCAAGTTCAAGCAATTCTCCTGCCTCAGCCTCCCGAGTAGCTGGAATTTCAGGCATGCAGCCACCATGCCTGGCTAATTTTTGTATTTTTAGTAGAGATGGGGTTTCACCATGTTGGCCAGGCTCGTCTTGAGCTCTTGACCTCAGGTGATCTGCCCACCTCAGCCTCTTAAAGTGCTGGGATTATAAGTGTGAGCCACCGCGCCCGGCCCACACTTTGTATTAAAGCAACATGGTCATTGTTGAACTTCCACCAGCAAGCTGCTGACGTTTTGTTGACAATTTACCCTCTTCCTCACCTACTCTCTCCCACTCAGCCTCCAAATTCTCAGCGTTACCTGTTCACACCCACTTTCCTTCTAATCTGCTCTCTGGATGTCTGGGAGTGTGGCCCAAGGATAGGGAGTGATATCAGAGGGTGGGAAGAGGTTGCAGACTGAACAGGGAGCTGTTTGTGGGCTAAAAGATGTTAATGTGTGCTCACCAGACTCCCTAGGCTTTCTGAAAGCATCTGAATGTCTGTCCAACTGCAAGCTACGTCATGGAAACAGGACCGCCCTGAGGGGCTCTCCAATATGAATGCCAGGGCTGCCAGATTCCACAGACAAGAATAAAGGGCATCCAGTGAATTCTGAATTTCAGAGAAGCAGCATTTTTTTCATTAAAAGTAAGTCCCGTGTAATATTTAGGGCCTATTTTTTTCCTAGTGTATGTTCCTATGTAAATATTTGGGACATACTTTGATTTTAAAAATTCATTGTTGATTTGGAATTCAAATTTGGGCATCCTGTGTTTGATTTGGTGACCCCAATCCAGACCCTGTATTCAAAAGGGAAAACACAACAAAATTAAACAAAAGCCTTGTTTGAAATCTATAGCAAATGGCTGTGAAGAAGTAAATATATATTTGTAAATAATATTTACAGGAAATACATATAATATACATCTTATAATTATATATATAATTATATATCTTATAATTATATATATAATTATATATCTTATAATTATATATATAATTATATATCTTATAATTATATATATAATTATATATCTTATAATTATATATATAATTATATATCTTATAATTATATATATAATTATCTATCTTATAATTATATATATAATTATCTATCTTATAATTATATATATAATTATCTATCTTATAATTATATATAATTATCTATCTTATAATTATATATAATTATCTATCTTATAATTATATATAATTATCTATCTTATAATTATATATAATTATCTATCTTATAATTATATTAATTTATATTATTTATATATTAATTAGATTAATTTATATTATTTATATATTAGATTAATTTATATTATTTATATATTAGATTAATTTATATTATTTATATATTAATTAGATTAATTTATATTATTTATATATTAATTAGATTAATTTATTTTATTTATATATTAATTAGATTAATTTATTTTGTTTAATATATGATATAAAGTTAATATTTAATAGATAATTAATGCATAATATATTAATTATATATTAATTACATATTTCTATTTAATATATATTAAATTATATAATATATTAAATAGAAATATGTAATTAATATATTAAATTATATAATATATAAATAGAAATATATATGTTAATTATATTTATATATATAATTAATTTCCAAAGTTACTGTGAATTTTTAGTGGTTCTTTAAAGTGTTCTCCACTGTCCCTCCTCAGAAATATGGAACTCCATGTGACTTTTCCAGCAGTGGGTCCCATTCACACTCACACTCCATTTCACAGAAGGTTTGCTCTTCTGAAGTCCCGTCCCTTCCTCCTTGTGGCTAACGTAGAGCCTAGGGTTAGCCAGTTGGACATTGCTTCTTCGTTCCCTTGTGAACTCAACAAGTTTTCTCATTCTGTCACCAGCAATGGCCACCCAAGTAAATGAAGGCAATTAGGCAGGGTGGGGACTGCAGCAAATTGTTGAGTTCAAAGCCCTAAGTGTCTTCAAATTCAGGTATATATATATGATATGCAGCATCCAGGCCAAACAAGTTTCAGACCCCCTGTGGCTCTAAGGCTGTCAATCTCCACCCAGCTTCTGCAGTCCCCATCCCTTTGTGTTCCCATGCAATCCCATGTTTATTTGTATTGCAGTACTTGCCAGACTTGATCATATTTTGTAACTGGTTAGTTTCCTCCTTTTTTTTTTTTTTTTTTGAGATGGAGTCTCCCTCTGTCACCAGGCTGGAGTGCAGTGGTGGGATCTCAGCTCACTGCAACCTCTGCCTCCTGGGTTCAAGTGATTCTCCTGCCTCAGCCTCCTGAGTAGCTGGGATTACAGATACGTGCCACCATGCCCAGCTAATTTTTGTATTTTTGATAGAGACGGGGTTTCACTATGTTGGCCAGGATGGTCTTGATCTCCTGACCTCATGATCCGCCCACCTTGGCCTCCCAAAGTGCTGGGATTATGGGCATGAGCCACCGCACCCGGCCTAGTTTCCTCCATTTTACTGTGAAGTATTGAGGACAGGGACCCTGCCTGAATCATCTTTGTATCCTAAGAGTAGGACATGCTTGCTTGGGATCTAACGGGCTCAATGGATGGTTGAGTAAGGAATTAGCTTATATCTAACAATCCTCCAGCAGTACCTAAGGAGAAAAGAGGCAATCTATGAGAATGTGTACTGACAAATGAAAACCACCTGAACACACAGAGCGATGCACAGGCACACGTTTTCCTGGGGTAAATGCTGTGACAGCTGCAGAAGGTCCACACCCACTGATAGGGTTTGGCTGTGTCCCCACCCAAATCTCATCTTGAATTGTAGCTCCCATAATTCCCATGTGTCATGGGAGGGGCCTGATGGGAGGTAATTGAATCATGGGGGTGGGTCTTTCCCTTGCTGTTCTCAGGATAGTAAGTCTCACGAGATCTGACGGTTTTATTAAGGGGAGTTCCCCTGCACATGCTCTCTCTTGCTTGCCACAATGCAAGATGTGACTTTGCTCCTCCTTTGCCTTCTGCCATGGTTGTGAGGCCTCTCTAACCATGTGGAACTGTGAGTCCATTAAACCTCTTTTCTTTATAAATTACCCAGTCTTGGGTATGTCTTCATTAGCAGCATGAGAACTGACTAATACACCCACCTAACCACCCTCAGTAGCAGAGTTCTCCAAACACTGGCAGGCAGTATGCCATCCGAAATGGGCTTTGGAGATAGAGCAGCACGAATTATTTTTTAATTGAAATATGTAAAATTTGAATTAGTGCATGTGGACTTCAATTGCAGAGGATTCACTGTGTTTTCTTCTGATTTATCCTTAAATCTGTATCTAATTACCCTTTTATCATAATTATTGCTTATAACGACTCTTTGGTTAAAAGAAATAAAGCTCAAGACTGAACATGTAGTTTGAGGAATAAACTCTGGACTCCGTCCATTTCCATGATTGCTTCAACTCTGGAATAGGGGGAGGTATGAAGGAACCATATGGGGTCTCCGTACTTAATAGGCCCCGACTTCCTCATATGCTTGTGTGTGCATGTACACATGAAAGCATCCTTACTCTGAACCAAGAGAAGAATAAGAAATGCTCCAGATGTAATATTTCTTTTTCTTGGGGATAAAGAAAGGGCTGTGTGAAAATGAGCACAAACACCCACGTTCTTCTCCTCTCTTCCCACAGAAACATCTGTAGGAATGTGTTCATCTGAGTCTGCATGGGCCCTGGCTGTCCATCGTCCTATTTTGTTTAACATTTATCTTGTTGTCTTTTTTGCACCTTTCTTTCTTTAACAGACAAGGTTTAACTCTGTCACCCAAGCTGAAATTCAGTGGTGTGATCACAGCTCACTGCAACCTTGAACTCCCAGGCTCCAACAGGTGCACACCACCACACCCAGCTAATTTTTAAATTTCCTGTACAGCTAGGATCTCGCTGTGTTGCCCAGGCTGGTCTTGAACTCCTGGTCTTAGGCAGTCCTTCTGCCTCAGCCTCCCAAAGGGCTGGGATTACCGGAATAAGCCACTGCTCCTGGCCTTTTTCTGCAACTTCAGTAAGCAGTCAGAATCATAATCCAGAAAAGTGTAAATTTGTTTAAATACTTCTCATTTAAATTCATGAAAACATTTCACATTCAATTATGCAATACCTTGCTTGTTTGTATTTCCACTCTCCACAGTGAGAACTTTGGCCACCTTTTGGTGCTAATCAGGACCAAGGCACAGGTTCAATTCTTGTTTTTGCCATTTGGATTGCATGGGGAAATTTTCTGGGTTGGGGGCCACAGGGCAAAATCTGAATATTGGACAATCTTCTTGGAAATGCATCAGAAGGAGAGTGTGCATGACTCAGTGCTTTGGCTCTGCTGGGAAGCAGCTGAAAAGTAAAGCTGCTCTCTTGGTATTGGTGGTGAGGATCAGGCACACAGGCAAGAATGGAACACGTTTTTGACCCAACTGGCTTGATGTCATGTGCTCATTCCAAGGCAGAGTATAAAATGTGCCCTCCGCAGACTCACCCCAGAGACTGACCCAAAAGGGCCCCCAATCCCTTTTGTTGTGTCTTGCCTGTGATTGGCACCTTATGCTTCAATTTAATGACTTGATGCTTTAAATCTTCCCTTGTTCCTTAGCCTAGGGTGGAATACACCATTCATTCATTCACACAATAATTTACTCCACCAACTAATGATTTAGCATCTCCCACATTTAGACCCAGAAGAAGACGCCTTAACAAATGAGACAGACACAGTTCATATTGTCAGCAACCTGTCATTGCAGCAGCAAGAGACAAAGAATAATTGTACGAGCCCATGCAAATGTATTCACCAGATGGAGTTAGGTGAAAAAAAGAAAGGCAATTCAGAGGAAGGGGATATAGAAGGAGGACAGGGTATTGTTTGGGGAAAAGTACAGTGCCGGGGTTAAGTACGTATGTTCTGAAACTAGACTGCCTAGGTTTGAATCTTGTCTCAATATCCACTAATGTGTGACCTTAGAAGAATTAACTTGCTTGTGCCTCTGTTACAACATCCATAAAATGGGGCCAGTAATGATACCATTTTTTTGGTTTCTTGTGAGATTTAGATGAGTAAATATGCGTCAAAAAGTGAGAATCAGGTCTGGCTCTGTGAGTGTTAGCCGTTCCTTGTTCTCCTTGCCCTCTGCCTACTCTGCTCAACATGGCTGTGGACCCACAGGCCCATTTCCTACATAATCCCAATTTATCTAGAAATAATTGGTTCTTTCTTGAAATAAAATTCATTTTAGATGCCTACGGAGGAGAAAATTATTTCTAAGATTTCCTTCCATGCCAACAGTAGGGGAAGATAGGATTTAGCTTTGAAGATTCCTTTTCACAGATGATTTGGAAAGTAAGAAGGGAGATTTAAAATGTTGTCTAACAATTTTTTTTAAAAAAACGATGCTACAAAGCTAAACTTTGTAAAATTGTTGATATTTACTGTTGGCCTAAAAACTCAGCAATTTCACATGGCTAAACTCATTACACAAGCAGACATTAGGCTGGATTTCTTACTTTTCAAACAACTGAACATCTCATGGCATCAACCTTATTTACTCACTTTTGATAAATAAGTACTGACTGACCTTTCCCCGTGCTCTATGCCGTGACTCACAAGTGAAGTTAGGTTCAGTAGTTTTTTGTGAAAATATCTTTTAAAAATTCGCTAAGTCCGCATGATGCATTTTTCTTAATACAATTATTTTCCATCTTTAACTTGCACTTGACTTTCATTGGGGAGCCATTAATTTATTTTCAAGTACAGATAAAACTGCCAAAAATACAATATTAGTATCATTGCCCATGGGAAGAAATGTTAGTGTACTTTTTTTCTACATTATAGACTAGGAATAGGGAGGGAGGGAGGTAGATATGTAGGTAGGTAGGTAGGTAGATGATAGATAGATAGATAGATAGATAGATAGATAGATAGATAGGGAGGGATGTAGGGGTTGTTACATCTTTAACTTCCACTCCAAACCTTGTTATCCTAATATTTAATTCTACCTTTATTTCTTATAATCTTTTTAAATCCTTTGTCATAAAGAAAAATTGCTTATACTAGTCTGGAGCCAATTTTTTAAGTCAGGTGAGCAAGAAAATGGGATGCATGGTTTCTAGATGTTTACACACAGCTAGATACACTAAACTAATAGATTGTTGCTTAAGGACATTTCACTTTTTGTGTTTATACATGTGTGAGAGATACTTCAGTGAAAGGCTGGAAACTTCCATCCCAAATCAGCTGTCTCTGGCTCTTGATTTCTCTGGTTCCAGGCCTTTCAGGATCTCTTTGTCTTTGCCACTGTTTCTCTGGCTTCTCCTACTCCTCAAAATTCATGATCGGAAAACCTCCAAAAGGTTAGAGACTCATAGATGGGCGGTTGGTGTGTGAGCATCTCTGAGTCAGAGTGGCAGGAAGCGTGACCAAACAATTCATTACCTTGGCATCTCAGGGGTCACCTGGGTTACCTGACAGCCCCTAATTAGTGGGTGTGAAACATCTTTTCTCCCCCAGGCTACTGAGCTAAAGTGAAGACTTCATTCTTGCTAGAGATTGATAGAGAAAAGTGGGTCCCTGGGCACAGCCTGTCTTGCAGACAGCAGAAAGCTACTTTGGAACGTCCCTCTGGAGGTCGTGCAAATGTTTTTATATCTGGAAACAGTCAGTGTTTTTTATGGAAACAGAGCCAGAGCTGTGATTAAAATAGCCATGGAGCTACTTTCTGTTTCAACCAACTCAACAATCTTAAAACCAAACAATTTTTAAAAAATAATTTTATTTTAAATTTGAATAAGATACAAATCTAGTTTCTTTAGGAATGAATTTTTCTCCCGTTGGGCATTTTAGATCTTTATTAAAAAGAAAGCATAGACATTCTCAAGAAAGCCTATCCTTATATTTTGAACAAATAATTGATTATTTAAAAACTCTTTCAGCGAGCATTTATTGAGTTCTTACTGGGGGCAAAGTGCCAGGTCAGGCCTTGGTCAAGTTCCTCCCTGCAGCAGATGGTATGGTGAGTGGGTTTTCTTTTGGCGTTGTTTGTTGGGTTTAAATCTGTACAGCTCTATCTCATGTTCAACGATAATGTGCTCCTGAAAAATTGTATGTAAATCGCATTTTTAAAAATGGAGTCCATTTAGAGTAATAGTAATCAGTTTGCATTTATGTGACTTTTCAGTTATTGAGTTAATGAACTATATACTGAATGGTTAAAAGTTCCTTTGGAGTTTCTCAGCTTTGGTACTGCCAATATTTTGGGTTGACAAATGTTTTTATCTTAGGGGCTGTCTTGTGTACTGTAAGATCGCTAGCAGCGTTCCTGGCCTCTACCAAAAATGTCTCCCGACATTGTTGAATGTCTCCTGGAGGGCAAAATCATCCCTAGACAAGAATCATGACTATAGAATAAAGTGTATGAATTTTAAAAGAGAGATTTAGGTTAGAGAAATATTCTTTTAGTGTCTTAATTAGTAAAATAACTCTCAATTGCCAAAATTTTCTTTCACTGTAATTAAATAAGTATATATTCATATTTCCTCAGTAACTAAGTTCAATGATAGCAAAATCAGTTTTTATTATGATTAGACAGCATCACCCTTCAATTTCAAAAACATTCAGTAGTTATTAGAACAAATTACAGCCATGTGTCTAGAATAATTGATCGTCTAATAAAAACAAAAACTCCCTCCATATGTCATCAATTTTATCACTCAAATAGTCACAGCCCAACTGTAAGAAATAATGAGATTTTTAGTTCCCTACCATGCAACTTTCTGAGTGGCTTGGAAAGTAGACTTACACTGGAATGAGAGTTGGTAGCAAGGGCCCTGTGCATAGTCTTATTCCTTCTCCTGTCTTCCCGCATTTGACCTTTCATAACCAGAACTTCCTGATCCCTAACTCCTAAGAAAATAACATTTCTTCTTAAGATTAAATGGTGATTCATTTGATGAATCAGAAAACTCATCAAAACATACTGTTATGACTATGAAGAACCTAGGAACTACCTAGTCATTTGGGTAGTTTACCAAGACTCAGAAATTGCTTGCATTTCAAATTGCCTTTAATTATTGGAGAACTACCGCAAATTTTTCTCCTAAACGAATACTCCATTATTACGAGACACCTGGTAATGCAAGTTTTAATATGTTTACTATAGGCAATGAAGAAAGTGAACTCTATAATACCCAGCTTGATGGAGCTAATGGCAGAAGACCAGTTAATAAAACTAACACATTCCAATTGTTTGATATAAGAGGTTGTTGGGAGTGTGACTTTTTTTTAAAAAGCCATTTAATTACATACCCTGATGTCTTCACTCAGCCATTCCCTAAAATATATTTTCCCAATTTCAGCATATACCCCTTCTCTACTCTCAATTAGCTATTGCATTGGGCCTTTGCTTCCAAGCCCCATAAGTAATAGTAACTTAATTTTCCAAGTCATAAATCAGGTAAACTTATGCTGCATAGCACGTGTTCCATTTGTTTTTAATCAGGGGCAGCCTGGTACTCAGAGGTCGGAAGCTTTAATTCAATGGGGTCCTGTGTCTTTTTGGAGGGAGAAATCTTTTGGCTTCTTAGAATTCCCTTTGTGAATGTTTTAAGTATCCTTTTGGCAAAAGTTTGAATATATAAAGTATCTCATATGGAATCCTTTAATTCACTCACCTATACACACTCCCTTTTACTTCAGCTCTAAGATTAAAAGAAACATTTAACGACATTTTTATACTCCTGTATTCTCCTGATTTTATCTATTGTACTTAAGAAAAATCATACATTTAGCTGCTGGCGAAAGAGACACAAGAGAAGAGAGTTAAGAGATGTTTGATTTCTAGAAATCATTTCAAAGAAATAGCTCTAACAAACAGCAACATCACTGATATTGTTTAGGTTCCATATTGTCTTGAGAAAAAAGAAATGACCACATAAAAACCTTTAGAGTTTCTAAAAACTCAGAGTCCCTAGCACAACATTTTATGACTGAAAATCATCTTGGAGGTACTTCCTATAACCCTCTCATTTCACCCACAAAGACAGTGATACCTAGAGCGGTTACAAATCCAGATAGTTGTCACAGCCTATTAGTGCCAAGCTAAAATCAGAGCTCCATTCTGCTGTTATTCTATGCCCTTTTATATTGTACCTATTAGTAAATAATAGCTAGTAAGTATGTATTTAGTTATTCATACACTCATCTAATATAAAACATCCAAATATTTGAAAGTTTCTTAATTATTTACCAATCTTTACTATTTCATCTAGACATATTGCAGTAAAATTTTAGAACAGAAAGAATCAAGAGAAAAATCCCAAAAGCTATCAGATAAGAAAAAAATAAAGATTACCTATAATAGAAGAGAAATCATATTGACATATGAGTTCTCATCAATGTTAGACAGAAGAATACAGTAAGCACTTTAAATGCTGGAAGAAATTTAAATTTTAAAATGCTACAGGAAAATTTATTTTAGCCCATAATTCTCTACCTAGTGATATTATTCGAGCATGAGCTTGAAAGGAAGATAGCTTTCTACATATGAGTAATAAGACAAACTCCTGCAAACACTCTGAAGGTATTATAAGAAGTTATATAACAACAAGAAAGATGAATCCAAGAGAAACTAATGAGATAGAAGAACTAAAGGTTAGCAATGAAACTAGGAAAATTTGATGTTAAGTTTAATAAGCATTCATTGAAAAAAATCTGGAACTACACTTTTAGAAGCTATCTATTAGAATTTATTGAAGCATAAAATGGGAGTATGAAAGAGTAGAAAGATTGAAGTAGCTACATTTGTAAACCAATTTGTAGGGTAAATTTGTAGAAGTTATTAACATTTAAAATGGACATTTCCTATGAACTAGCAGCTCTTTTTCTCAGGTGTTGCCATTAAGAAAAACATGCATATGGCCAGGCGCATTGGCTCACACCTGTAATCCCAGCACTTTGGGAGGCCGAGGCGGGCGCATCACGAGGTGAAGAGATCGAGACCGGACTGGCCAACATGGTGAAACCCCGTGTCTACTAAAAAAATACAAAAATTAGCTGGGCGTGGTGGCACACGCCTGTAGTCCCAGCTACTCAAGAGGCTGAGGCAGAAGAATCGTTTGAACACAGGAGGTGGAGGTTGCAGTGAGCCAAGGTCGCACCACTGCACTCCAGTCTGGTGACAGAGCGAGACTCTGTCTAGGAAAAAAAAAAAAAGAAAAAGGAAAAGAAAAGAAAAACATGCATATGTGCACAAGGATGTAGAAAGCCCAAGGATTTCATAGCAGCAATTGCTCCTAATAGGAAAAAAAAAAATTTTTTTAAGCTGTCTTTCAGCCAAGGAGGATAGCTAAAAAATGGGGTATATCTTATCATTGAATCCCTAGTAGTGATTAGAAAATCAAAAAGGAAAACCAAAACAACACAGAAAGACCTGACTCTGAAAGACCTTTGGGGCACTTTTTTTTTTTTTAAACTGAAACATTCAAGTTGCATGCATGTGCCCACAGAATATATAAAGTAATGAATTTGATGTGTATCTGTACATTTGTTTTTACATGAACTGTACTATTTTACATATGTATGTAAATGCACAGAATTACATATGGATTAACCACTCTTTAACACTTTCCAAACCAAGTGTGTTTTTCTTTAGGGCCACTGAATGAGGCATTTGTTTATGAATTCGTTCATTTTCCTCTGATATGTATCATATTTATTGAATATCTTTTATATGCCTTGTCTTACACTGGGACCTAAAAATGCGGTTTATGCTCACCTTGAGCTTACTTTATATTACAGGAGCCAAACTAATAGCTAAGATAACAAGAGTTTACAATAGGATACATATAGGCAAACATCAAGGAAAAGAGGAGAGGAAGAAGTATCTCTATTTGAAGGCTTACGGAAGACTTTACAGAGCAAATGGTCAAACAGGTTGGCCTTTGAAGAAGTAACACTTTGTCAATACCAGAAATGGAAGAACGTCCGGAAGGAGAGTCATATAGACCGTGTAATGGAATAGTGACATGGATGTCCATAGCCTCGGTGGGAACATGTGAATATTCTAATGTCTGTGAAAAGCGTGTGTTTAAAATTTCATCTTTCATACTACAGAGCAGGGCTCCCCGACCTTTTTGGCACCAAGAACTGGTTTCGTGGATGATAATTTTTCCACCACTAGGCATTAGATCTCATAAGGAGCGCACAACTTAGATCCTTCCCATGCATGGTTCACAATAGGGTTCGTGCTCCTATGAGAATCTAATGCCGATGGCCACTGATCTAACAGGAGGAGGAGGAGCTTAGGCAGTAATGCTCACTTGCCTGCCGTCACCTCCTGCTGTGCGGCCCCGGGGGATTGGGGACCCCTGGTATAGAGAATAGGGAACCACTAAAGACAAAAGATATGAATATAATTAGATGTTTGTTTGCAGAATGATAACTTGATAATATGGAAGACAGGGATATTAGAGGAAACTAGAACATGGCAAAGATTTCTTAAGAATCCAGGTGAAAGTGTCATGAAATTGGAGAAGAAATTGATGCAATTCATACTTCAGAAGGATGAACTTGAAAGAAAAAATGTTCCCCGGTAATTTGGGGACAGTTTTCAAGTGATTTATCAATTTTGTTTTTTGTGTCTACTCTCTCATTTTCCCTATTGTCCGAGTTTTTTTGGAGGCTGTGGTATCCAGTAGATTAAAGAAATTTTACTGTGAGAATAATGAGTGGCCCAAAAGCCTGAGAGATACAGTTGTAGATTTTGGTGGGAGGGAAGGATCACCAGGAGCAAATGCCAGCTTGAGTAAGATGCTTTCCAGGTTTCCTGGGGAGCCCAGTGATCTCTAACCCCAGCTGTAACAGCATCCAGGGAAAAACCTCCCCTCCTCCACACACAGATGCCGTAGACACAGGATGGGGACTCCTGTAACTGGTTATATTTGGCCTCCAAGGTCTCACTGCAAGTTGGCAGAGGCTGTGTCACACACATAGAAAGATGTGTCTGTGGCATGATCCTCTCCAAAGCCCTCATCTCAATGCGGGTGGTGGTGGCTCAGGGTGGAGGGCTTATGCGGGAGCTCTGGAGTCACCAGGAGGAAGCTTTTAAGGGATCTGAGGTTTAGTTTGTGTTAACACCCTCAGTTTTGGCTACTGTGGTTACTTTACTAAACCTCAAAAGGGTGAATTAGAACGCTGGAAATAGTACAAGAAGAGACCTCCTGTAGATGTAGCTTCCCATTCCTCGCCTGTACGCACAGACCCTGATCTGGATGTTTTGAATTTCTTTTGTGCAGTCCCAACTTCTGGCCTATGTTGTGCCTGAACAACATGGAAAACATAAAAATAAAGCTATTCTTTATTAACACACAGAGAATCAGCTGAATGCCTTATAACCTTTTAACATAGGCCAAACAATTTATAAAAAAAGAAAAAAGAGGTCAGTTATTGGTGCTGCGTGTATTTTGTTTCTGCATCCCAGGAATCTTGCTCCCCTCTGGCTGTCTTCCTTTGCAGGGGAAGAGGGGGAGCCCCATATGTGTGTCCATGTGATGTCTCTGCAAGCATATGTTCCCTGTGCATGTGGCTTTATGTCAACACATTGGCCCCATACTAGGGATGATGCTAGGGTCCAGATGGGTAACAGGGAGAAACAGCTAACAGGGCAGTCATCCCACCGACTTAGAACTCACTTTCTCAGCCGGGCGCAGTGGCTCACGCCTGTAATCCCAGCACTTTGGGAGGCCGAGGTGGGCAGATCACGAGGTCAGGAGATCAAGACCATCCTGGCCAACATGGTGAAACCCCGTCTCTACTCAAATACAAAAAATTAGCCGGGCATGGTGGCTCATGCCTGTAGTCCCAGCTACTCGGGATGCCGAGGCAGAGGAATTGCTTGAACCCAGGAGGCGGAGGTTGCAGTGAGCTGAGATTGCGCCACTGCACTCCAGCCTGGCGACAGAGCAAGACTCCATCTCAAACAAACAAAAAACTCACTTTCCCATGGCTCCTTGATCCTTTGCTGTCAAATACACTAACACACTACTTACTTCATTTCTTCCTTCCTTTCTCCTCCTACTTCCATTTTTTTGCATTTCCTGTTGCTTGCTTTTTTTTTTGACTTTCCTCTTTCCTGCCTTCCCCGTCCCCTTGGTGTAGACACTGGAAGAGTATGGATGACCTGAGTAGTGCGTCGATTTCTGTTGCTTACCGGTGTGTGGGTTTTAAAAAGAATATGTGAGTTAAAGCGTGTGTGTGTGTGCATGCATGTGTACAAGAAAGAGATCACAAGAGTGTGAGTGCTTCTGAGAGATGTTAAGTAGAAAACAAAATATACTGTTAGAAACAACCTGGGCATGGTGGCTCACGCCTATAATCCTAGCACTTTGGGAGGCCAAGGCAGGCAGATCACGAGGTCAGGAGATCGAGACCATCCTTGCTAACACGGTGAAACCCCGTCTCTACTAAAAATGCAAAAAATTAGCCGGGCGTGGTGGTGGGCACCTGGCGTCCCAGCTGCTTGGGAGGCTGAGGCAGGAGAATCGTTTGAACCTGGGAGGCGGAGGTTGCAGTGAGCCCAGGTCGCGCCACTGCACTCCAGCCTGGGCGACAGAGCGAGACTCCATCTCAAAGAAAAGGAAACAAAACAAAAGGCAAATGGTCCTACTGGCAGTTCCACCTTCCAAGGGTGCTCATATTATTCACGTTGGGGAGATAACATTCCATATCATTCCTCTTTGCTTACAAAGACTGCTGGGGAAGTTGGGCCAGCCTAAGAATTTGACCATGGTAGAAAGTAACACCACCTTTGTTTTCTAGAGCCTCCTGAATGAGTGTTGGGGCAGCTAAAGTGGGCCAGGTGCCTTTGAGGTAGGGAATGGAGGGCTGTAGTGTTTTGCAGAAGGAGTGAATGGCCAGCCATGAAGAGGAGGAAGCTGGAGGCTGGCCATGAGAGAAAGAAGGAAGTCAAAATCAGAGGCACAAGGCAAAGAGACAGCCAGTGAGAAACTTCCTAATGTGGATTGGCCAATGGAATTTTTTTGGTTTTGTTTTTGAGATGGAGTCTTGCTCTGTTGTTCAGGCTGGAATGCAGTGGCGTGATCCCGACTCACTGCAACCTCTGCTTCCCAGGTTCAAGTGATTCTCCTGCCTCAGCCTCCCGAGTAGCTGGAACTACAGGAGTGTGCCACCATGCCCAGCTAATTTTTGTACTTTTAGTAGAGATGGGGTTTCACCATGTTGTCCAGGCTGGCCTTGAACTCCTGGCCTCAAGTGACCCACCCATCTCGGCCTCCCAAAGTGCTAGGATTGCAGGCGTGAGCCACTGCACCCCACCCCCCACCCCCCACCCCCCACCAGCCAATGGAATTTTAATACAGTGATGTGCTCCGTGGGTTACTCTGATACCCTGTGATGAAACCACTTTGTTTCACTGTTTATTTGCAAACTTGTTTAACTTCAAACTTCTTTATGCACTGATCATACAGAGCTGGCTCCGGATAGTGGTATTTGGAGAAAGTCAAGTCAAGGGGTATTGGTTCTAGGTTTATATTGGACGGGGACAAGAGAACACCCATATGAGACGTAAATGAGAGGGAACGTTCTGCAAGTTCAGGAGCTTGGAGAAAGAAGTGACTATAAGAAGCTTACATTCCTTTAGGAAGCACATATTTTAAGAGCGATGTCCCTTGCCTGTTTCTGAAGATAGGGGATCAAGGCAATGTATGTAGATAATCATGGAAAAGTTGGCCTTATACCTTTGTCACAGTTGACAAAGCTGAAGGACTTGGGAGATCTGGGAGTCTAAGGCATAAGCCTGCCTCTCTCTCTCTCTCTCTCTCTCTCTCTCTCTCACACACACACACACACTCACACATTCTTACTAAACAACTGACCTGATATTAATGAGGAGTCTTAGTCACTGTTGCCAAATAAGTTGATTCCTGCTGCTACTCAACCAGAAATGCTGATGTGTACAGAGTTGCAGAGTTAAGAGACGACGCCACTGGATACTAAGGACTGGGAGTAGAGGCTGCCCCCCAGGACTTCATATTTAGGGTTATATTTGACTGCGTTGGTTGTGTTGTCTGTTCCTGGCATCTTAGTAAGGTGTGTCTCTTTCCATCAGATTTTCAGAGCACTTCCCGCTACATGTCTTAGTGTATGTTACAGATCCCTCAAAGCAAACTTGATTAAATCTAACTATTTGGGGGGCTTGAAAACAAGAGGAAAGAGGTTAGATTGTTTTTCTAGATTTCCTTATATAATTTTTTTTACCATAATAGTAAGAAAGTGAATGAGAATTTAGTAAAGAGAAGCCACTATCAGATCCCTCTGCCCACTTCCAAGTTCCTAACCTCTTGCATGCCTGAATCTTGTAGGTGGATGAAGTTTTGTGTTTGCTCTACTGACCTGAAGTGAGGAACAACCACATACATCTTTGTCTTCACTCTGTCCAGCTGTCAACTGCATTGTTCCCTCACGTCTTCCTGCAAAGTACCATTATTTCCACACCTTAAGAATTAAAGAGTGAAGAGAAAACGACAAAATGTTCTTGTTTATCAGGAGATGGGGGTGAGCTGAGCTTTCCACAAGGTCCTGAATGGATGAGAAGGACCCAAAACATATGGAAAATATGGAGAATAGGGTATAAGTAATAAAAATAAAAATAAAATAAATAAAATAAATTGGGAATGCCAGTTTCTGGTAATGATTTGTTTTCACAGTAACTGAGAACGCCCATAAACCTGCGATTAATCACACATTTATGGTGAGGGTAAGCTGGGAGAATTAGGGGGCTCGGTGGGACTTGGGTTATTAGCGCAGCTGCTTTTCATTGATGAGATCTGAGTTCAAATCTCAACCAATGTTACAAATGAAAATGTCATTTTGAAAGTTAATTAGCTCCATGCAATAAATACTGGCTGCTTGATTGATGTACCTAAAAATTCACTACCCAGAAAAAAATTATATATATATACACATATATATCTGGCCTGTTAAGAGAGTCAAGTCAGTCAAAAAGTCAGACATTATTTAAACAATTTGCTTTTCTTAATAGTCCAACCACCTGCAAGTAAATAGAATTTATTAAAAGAAGGTGGAGCTTCTAGTAGAGCTGCGAAAGAATGTCTGAACATAGTAAGAACTGTAGAATTTTAGAACTAGAAACAAAATCTTTAAAAGCCATCTAATCTAATCCTTGGTTTTCTTTAATAGAAGAAGGAATAAAAACGGGAGGTTAAGTGACTTGCTTAAGTCACACAGTTAACTAGCGGGGAAGCAGGGCTGGACTCCAGGTGTCCTGGCAACCCTGTGTTCCCCCTGAATTAGTCTTACGGACTCTGAACATCATCCTCCCTTCCCTGCCCTGGGAGCTTAGCCTCTCTGCATGGCTCATCCACATGGCCTTTTCTCCAGTGTGTTCTGTGCCTCAGAAGGTTCTGTCTTCTCATTATCAAAAAAAAAAAAAGAAAAGAAAAGAAAAACTTACTTCTTTGCACCTTTTTTAAAAAAATGAAGATGCTTCCATCAGAGTTGTCATCTCTGCTCTCACAGGTAGAAATACATTAGCAACACACACAGATGTGTTACCTTTTATATCAGACATGCTAAAATTGAATTCAGAACTCAGAGGGAGAATTAGGAGGCTCCTGCATGAATTTAATAAAATTAGAGAAGCAAGAGAGCAGACGGCTATTCCACCTGAACCAATACTCTGTAAGGACTTTTGTCCAGGCCAGTGAAAAAGTCAGCCATGAAGAAGTCCTTGGTCACTTTATTTATCTGTTTACAATTTAAGCTGCTCTTGATCTTGAGATAATGCCTTCTATGTAGCATTTCATTGGGTGGCAACATAGCTTGACTAAAACCATTTAAGGTGATTCTGGTGAACATTCAGGAAGAAAAAAGGAGATATGGAGGAAGGCTCTGTCATCTTAGACAATACATCTCTCACCATGCATGGGATGCTGGTAGAAACATGGATGGTAAAGGCCATTCTGGGGAGATCTCAGATGGAAATGAAGAATGCATTTTTGGAAGCTGGAGGAAAGGCAGTTTTCCTTGTGATAAGTTTCTCCCACAGGTAGAGAAATATTAACAACCCACACAACTGTGTTCCCTTTACATCAGACATTCTAAAATTGAATTCAGAATTCAGTGGGAGAATTAGGGGACTCCTGTGTGAATTGGATAAAATTAGTAAAGAGAGCAGCCAGCTATTCCACCTGTACCATAAAGTGGTTATAGATGTCAACAGACTTGGCTGAATCGTATTGTCATGTTTTGCGGAAGGTAAAACTTGCAAGTGATAGAATTGGGTATTGAGCTGAGGAGATTCCTAAGCAAAGTATTGGATTGGCTTTGTTTCTCCTTACTGCTTAGAGGAAAATGTGAGAGGGGGGAGATATATTGAAAGGACTGTTAGGCAAAAAGGAGCCAGTACTTGAAATTTTGGAAGACTTTCAGCCTATGTTGCAGAAAATGACGGAGCATGTTCTGAAGAAAACACTAAGGGTGTGGCTAAACAACCATTTGATAAGGATATTAGCATGGCTGTGACCCACAGGTCTAAGCAGCCATTGCAGCCGAAGCCAGAAAGAGATGCAATCATAACAGCAGAGAAACTCCAGTTGGAACTAAAAAGGACAGAGAAAGTGAAACAGAACAAAGGGAGGCAGTTGGACTTCTGGGATGCTACAGGACAAGTCCGTAGAGCTATCTGGCTTTAAACATGCATTGTCCTTCAAAAAAAGGGAAGAATGACCTTTAAGGCAATTCAGAGACCATAGGACTTCCACTGCTCCTACAGGCCTAGGGGTAAGTCTGATTCCTCCTTGGCTTCAGTGGGCCAGGTGTGGGGTTGAGGCCTCCTTGCAGAGCCAAAGGGGGTGGCTGTTCTATGGAGCCAGTGGGGTGACACTGCCACTCCAGTGGTACCGGAGGGCAGAGCATAGAACCAAAGAGGATTATTCTCAAGCCTCAAGATCTAATGGAATTTGCCTTGTCAGGTTTTGAACTTTCTTGAGTCCCATCACCCCTTTCTTTCTTCTAATTTCTCCCTTTTGGAATGGAAATGTACATTCTATTCCTGTCCACTACTAGATTTTGGAAGCACATAACTTGTTGGTTTCACAAGTTCACAGCTGGAGAGGAATTTTGTTTGCCTCAGGATGAATCGTACCTTGCATATTTGCTTCAGATGATATTTATTTTTATTTATTTATTTTTTGAGATGGTGTTTCGCTCTGTCACCCAGGCTGGAGTGCAATGGCACAATCTCATCTCATTGCAACCTCCGACTCCTAGGTTCAAGCGATTCTCCTGCCTCAGCCTCCTGAGTAGCTGGGATTACGGGCACCCACCACCACGCCCGAGTAATTTTTGTATTTTTAGTAGAGATGAGGTTTCACCATGTTGGCCAGGCTGATCTTGAACTGCTGCCCTCAAGTGATCCACCTTGGGCTTCCAAAGTCCTGGGATTACAGGCATGAGCCACCGTGCCTGGCCAGATATTTAGATGAGACTTTGGTCTTTACACTTTAGACTTAATGCAGGAATGAGTTAAAACTTTGCGGGCTGTTGGGATAGAATAAACATATTTTGTATGTGAGAAAGTCATGGATTTTGAGGGCCCGGGGCAGAATATTATACACTGAACATTTCTGTTCCCCGCTAAATTCACATGTTGAAACCCTAAGTCCCAGTGTGGCGATATTTGGAGATAGGGCCGCCAAGGAAGTAATTAAGGTTAAATGAGGTCACAGTGGTGAGCCCTTTGGTGTTCTTATGAGAAGAGACAGCAGATCTCTCTCTCTCTCTCTCTCTCTCTGTCTCTGAAAGAGAAATGAGAAAGGTTATTGTGAAGATAGCAAGAAGGAGGCCATCTGCAAACTGGGAAGAGAGCCCTCACCAGAAACCAAATTAACCAGAACCTTGATCTTGGACTTCTAACCTCCAGAACTGTGAGAAAACAAATTTCTGTTGTTTGACCAATTCTTCTGCCTTCCCTTTCTACTTGTAAGGATTTATATGATTAGTTTGGGCCTACCTAAATAATGCAGGATATTCTTTCTATTTTAAGGTCCATAAGATTAATTCTATTTGCTGTGTTTCTTTTTCCATGTAATGAAACACATTCACCAGCTTCAGATATTTGGGTGAGGATATTTCTGGGAGGTTATTACCCTGCCCACCACAGAGATAAATATCCATTACAATTTTACTTCTTATGTTTAGTAATTATCTATAAAATAGTTAATCTTGCATGTAGTTCTGCTCAATTACAGACTACTAATAACTGTAAACATAACTTAGTCCAAAAAAGATTTATGGTCACAGGAAATAAAACGTTCAAATTTCTATTTAAAATTTCAAATTAGATACATTTTTTTTGGTTGTTGTAGACAAGCTTCCAAAGACAACCAATACAATGGTAGAAGCATAAAATATATTAGGATAAAAATATAGAAAGAGGGATAAAATATAGACTGAAAGAGAAAACAAAACTAACTTTCCATATCCTAAAGAAGAGGCTTTCATGCATGAGGATGGATATCAAATAATAATTAGATTTACATAACACTAAAAAAGTGAAAGAGAAATATTTGTATTTTTAAATGCCAATACTTAAAATATTGCAGCACTTTAAAGTTACAAAAAAAAATTGAAATATGAAAGCATTTACAATTTGAAAGCATTTATAATTTCAGAAAGTTGTTTTATTGGTAAATGAGCAAAGAATTATAAAATTATTGCTTTAGAGCACATATTTTCTTCCATCTTTACTAACACTTAATAGATTTTAATTAAAAAATTTTTTTGCCAGTTTGACAGGCAACTATTATGTGATGCTGACATAGTTTCTAGTTTTTCTTTTGTTATTTACCTGATCATAAGCTTTATCTACTTTTCAATGAGATTATTTCTTACTTTTTATGTTGTCCCTTTAAAATGTACATATTTTTGATGTAAATGTTTAAAATTTCAATGCATTCAAATATATCTGTACTTTATTTCATGGCTTTTGCTTTTTGTTTCTGTTTTACAAATAATTTTCTTATCCTAAAGTAATATTTTAACACTTCCATTTGTTTTTGTTTTCTTTTTTGGGACGGGGTCTCACTCTGTCACTCAGGCTGGAGTGCAGTGGTGCAATCTCTGCTCACTGCAACCTCCACCTCCGGGTTCAAGCAATTCTCCTGCCTCAGCTTCTCTAGCCGAGATTACAGGCACCTGCCACCACGCCCAGCTAATTTTTGTATTTTTAGTAGAGACGGGGTTTCACCACCTTGGCCAGGCTGGTCACACTTCCATTTGTTTTAATGTTAAAACATTCAATCCTTTTAAATTTACATGTTCAGGTTATGGGAAGAATCTTACTTTGTTTTCTATCCCTAATGACTAGTCAGTTATACCACAAACCATTTATTTAGTAATCTACCCTTTCTCATTGTTTAAAATACTTTGAATACCATGTATATTCTGATTTCCAGATGCATACTTCGAGCCCAAGTCTCTTTCCAGAGATCCAGGCCTTAATAGCCAAATGCCTTTTTCTCTTTCTTTCTTTCTTTCTTTCTTTCTTTCTTTCTTTCTTTCTTTCTTTCTTTCCTTCCTTCCTTCCTTCCTTCCTTCCTTCCTTCCTTCCTTCCTTCCTTCCTTCCTTCTTTCTTTCTTTCTTTCTTTCTTTTTTTCTTTTTTTTTTGAGATGGAATTTTGCTCTTGTTGCCCAGGCTGGAGTGCTGTGGCACGATCTCTGCTCACTGCAACCTTCGGCCTCCCAGGTTCAAGCAATTCTCCTACCTCAGCCTCCCGAGTAGCTGGGATTACAGGCATGCACCACTACACCTGACTAATTTTGTATTTTTAGTAGAGACGGGGTTTCTGCATGTTGGCCAGGCTGGTCTTGAACTCTTGACCTCAGATGATCTGCCCGCCTTGGCCTCCCAAAGTGCTGGGATTACAGGTGTGAGCCACCATGCCTGGCCACCAAATGCCTTTTAATTGTCCCCTCCAGGAAGTTTGCAGACATTTTGGAATAAATATGTCTAAACACAATGGACCATACTCCCAAGGAACACCTACAAGATGACAGTCACATTAGTAGACATTCTGTCCAACATTAGAGGTGTAATTTCAGAGAATCATCACAAGGCAGGTCCTGTTATTATCATTTCCATTGTACAAATGAGGAACCCCCAAACCATTTGAATGTTGAATATATTGATGCAAAGGGGTTGAGATGGGTTTGAACCTGGGTGGTCAGAGCCAAGGGAATGTTCTCTCTCAACCACAGTGGTACTGACATTTACCTGGGGACCTGTTCCTGCTTCAGGCCACCCTCCCACTCTACCCCCAACCCAGGGTTCATTATCTCAGAAAATGGCACCACCATTCAGCCACCTCAAACAATGGCCAAGCATCAAAGATTCTCCCTCCCAAATGTCTCTAAATCACTTCCTTGCTCTCTCTTGTTTCTACTTAAAACCTTGGGTTGCTTCTCAATGTTGTCAAGATGCAACCCCTAATTGCTACAGGAGTCTACTCTACCCTGTTGACCTGGCCTCTTCCTCTCTCTCTAATGAGATTCTGAGGCTACTTTCCTTTTCACTTTCTAAACTCTAGCTCCACCTGCCTTCATTTCTTCCAGAGTATCAGGCTCTTCTGTGCCTCAAAGACTTTACACATACCTTTTCCTTTATTCTTACCTCTATGGATTTAAATAACCCCTACACTTCATTTGGATCAAGTGACCCTAACCTACAAGACTAGTTTATGTCCTCTCTTATGCTCTGATAGCACATTGTATTTAATACTTGCATCAAAATGACAGGAATTTGCCATGGTTTCCCTAGTGCTGAACGATAATAGCTGAACAATAGTCACACTCAGCAATGTTTCTTGAACAAATTAAAGAATATATGAAATAAGTTAATGAGTGCCTTGTAAAATCAACAGGATGTGTCTTTGGTGTATAGGTATATTGATTCTGAAGAGAAAAAAACTAGGTGAATACAGATTTCCAATGAGATCACTTTTTTCCCTCAATTATTATTGTTTTCTAAAAACATTATTGCACTACAGACAGAAGGTTGATTAATTCTGTCTATTTAAAATGAATTCTCCCCACATTTTTGTTTCAATTTTTAATTGAATCATGTTTACATAAATAATCACATCATCCACAAATAATCATACCTTTGTTTTCTCCTTTTACACATTTGTACCTTTTACTTTATTTACCTAGAACTTCCAGTATGATATTAAATAATAGTGACACCCTTTTCTTATTTCCAGCGTTCATGAATGTTTTTCTAGCCAATCTGGATGATGTTAGGTATTGATTTGGGGACATCATTCTTCAAGCTGAGTAAATGTCCACCTATTTCTAAATTACTTTAAAAAAATCAAGATGTAATGTATTAGTTCATTCTCATGCTGCTAATAAAGACATACCCGAGACTGGGTAATTTATAAAGGAAAGAGGTTCAATGGACTCACAGTTTCACATGGCTGGGGAAGCCTCACAATCATGGCAGAAGACGAAGAAAGAGCAAAGGGACTTCTTACATGGTGGCAGGGAAGAGAACTTGTGCAAGGGAACACCCATTTATAAAACCATCAGATCTCCTGAGACTTGTTCACCTCCATGAGAACAGTATGGGGGAAACTGCCCCCATGATTCAGTTATCTCCACCTGGCCCCATCGGGGATTATTACAATTCAAGGTGAGTTCTGGGTGGGGACACAGCCAAACTATACCATGTAATACTGACATTTATCAAATATCTTTAAGAAATATTTGAAGATTACTTTTTTAGCTTGTTTTTTAAATTTATGGACTTGATGAACACTATAACAAACAACCTAACCTTAAATCATCTTTCTGTTTTTTGAATAACCCCTTACTGCTACATAAATATTTTAAAACAGAGTCACGTTTGACTGTAGCTTAAATTTCCTTTCAGGGACTGATTCGATGTCTTGATTGAAAATATTGGAAGAAAAGTATTGACTTTCCATAAAGGGAAATCTTTACTATTGACTTTTATAATAACTCCCTGTTGGCAAAAGCACATTCTCAACCCTTCTTCCTTCACTCTAATTTATTTACATATAGGCTTGAAGAGATTTCTCAAATTTTGTATTCATATTAAAATGAATTATTTCAATGAAAATGTTTTTTAAAAACTGTTTTTAAAAAGTGGTTTCAGGTCTAACTCATTGAGAACTAATTACCTTCTAGGTTTCAGGTGAGACTCATAATACCTGATTTGAGGTCTGTGTGAGTTGTTCACTTCATCTGGGAAGAGGTTTCCCTTTGCATAGAAAATCACCTCCCCTAGTTTCTGCATGCTGGGAACTCTACCTGATGGTATGATGTGTTTTTCTGTTCTGTGGTGTTGCTACCAACGATACTCTTTTGAAGAATGAGCTAAGTAGTTTCTAGAGTACCTATGACAAGTGGACAATCTCAGAAGTTTGTACCTTGAGAGAAATAAGGCTTTGCTTAAAAGAAACGAGGCTGCTGATTTGAATCGAAATTCAAAGTAAACTCATGATACCTGAAACTGTATTAGTTTCATGCTATACATGCTGTCTAATATCACACAAATCATCTAGATCATTTGTCTCCCTCATTCAGATTCCCGATCAAGACACATTTCCTGAGTAATTGCTTTCTACTCAGTTTACCCCCGTAGTATTAAGTATCGTTAGGTCCACTAGCTTATAAGTTATTCTGCTCAATCTTAAATATGCCTAAATCTCTCCAGTCCTCTCCCTTCCCAGTGCCACTGCATTAGTCCAGGCCAGCATCATTTTTCCCTTGGATTATTGTAATTGCCTCTATTCTGCCTTAACTGCCTAAAGTCTCATTCCTTTCCCTGAACCCCTTTCAATTTATTTTCTACATTGCTTGAATAATCTTTCTTAAATGCATGCCTGAGCATGTCATTCCCTGCTTGAAATCCTTCAATTACTCTCAATTGCCTTCATAATGCAATCCAAGTTCTTTAGCAACAGCCACTTTCAATCCTTTCTGGAATAAGGTGGGATGTATATACAAACATGGACACATGCTTCCCTGAGCTGCTTAGCGGGACATATAAGGAAGACCCTTTGGATGCTGGCCTCTTCCTCTTTGGCTTTATCCTTTGCCGTTTCACCTCTCACCCTCACACACTCCAGGCACCCTGGTCTGCCTGCCTTCCTGTGGATAGATTACGCTGCTGCTCCCTCTGTGTGGAATTCACCCTCCTCCATCTTTCAAGCCTTAGCTTATCCTTAGCAGGATATAGCCTGCACTGCGGAGCCGTCCCTGAGAGTGTGTTTGAAACCCTCTTCTAGACTCACCTAGCATTCTGCACATTTCTCTATTAAGCACTAACCCTATTCTTGTTCGTTTGCTTGTCAGTTACCAGATTGTGCATTTATTGAAAATGAGAACTAGCAGAGCATTTGGTGTTTGTTAGGCACCCCAATCACATAGACAATTGTCTTATTTATTTTAAAATACCGTATCAAATGTTTCAGATCATGAAAAAAATAAAATGCCATATCATTTATTCCAGGCTGTGGCTCATCTACAATAAATCAGACGTTGCTTCTCAGAGACTCCCGAATAAAACCATGTAGACCCATCTAGCCCAGCCCAGCCTTCCAGTCCAGGAACACTTCCTCTAATCTGTGGGCTGGTGGCCATCCCACATTTGATGATGCCATGGCCTGAAGCTACTACATGTTACCATTCCTAGAGGGACTGTGGTGACTTTTCATTGACTCTACTCAGTTGTTTGCTGAAAGTAGCTTGGGATGTGGGTAATCTAGGGCTTTTGCTCTTCCAGAAGTGTTGACCATGGACTTTTCCCTATGGCAGAGTAGTCTGCAAACTTGTGAAATGGTTAAAATAGGTCTTGGACAATTGTTTAGTTCTTCTTTTAGTTTTCTTGATGTGTTTTTTTTCTCCTCCCTAGATCTCCGGTGCCCTGAGCTGCCCCAATTTCTTTACTCTCACTTAACTTCTTACCACTTGGTCACTGCATGGGGTTTATATTTTCACTTCCTGTAAAAATTGTCCTTTATTTCCTTGGAAACATTTAGAACAGGATAATTCATAGCAAGTAGTTGATGATTAATAAGGATTTAATGATTTGTCTGTGTGCTTTTTGCATGTTAGTCGATTTTTTTCAACCGTAGCCCCCCCCCCCCCCAAAAGAAAACCTTGCAATGATGGATTTTCAGACAGCAAAAATGGACTAAGGGGGATTTTACAGGTGATAAGACCAAGAAAGGTTATACTTCTCAGCTTCCCTATTAAACACGTCACCTAGGTTTTCATCTATTTTGTGTAAGTATCGATTTGTTACACAGAACAGTTCAAAGTAGGGCATCTCATAGAGCAAGTTCAAGCCTACTGTAAGCTGGTGGCTACATGCCAGGGTCTAATCTGGTGGAATAAGCATGGCAAAGAACTATTTGAGGAGTAGGGACACTCAGGTAGTAGGTAGATACCTCCTGGCTGTCGGGATCCCCCCAGGATCCAGTTTGGGATCCATCAGTGATAATGACTTATAGTGGGAAAAGGAGCCATATACAACCAAGAGGCTGTTAAAGATCTCAGAGGAGGTTTTGCATTTTAGCCGTCTGTTGATTCAGATGGCAAGACTCATCTTTAAGAAGAATTTAAACATTTTCCCTTTATAGATGTTTTACAGTCTGCCCCTTGGATTCTCTGTACAGTGTCTTCACTGTAGCTACTTATGAAGTGATTTTCCACACTGATAGGAGCTCAGGCAGAGCTTCCCTTTCTGGTTGCCAAGACCCTGAAGGCTCAACTACATCCTATTGTCTCTCTTCCTTAGAATGGTTGAGGGAGAGGCTTCATAGAATCCTCTGGCTGGGTTGGGACAGCAAGACTCATTCCTGGGCCTTTGTTTCAGCTTGAAATACACCACAAATTAATTGGGTTGATGCAGGTAATTAAGACAGTCACTTAGATTGTGTGCCTTTCCTCTGAAAAATTTCCTTAAGTTGCCAGATCTAAGCTTAGTGTATTGAAATGTTAATGATTCATGGCTTTTAAAAGAAAAATTTTTCCTTTGAATGGGATTCAGGGCTAAGAAAATGTTCAGACTGATTAGCACCTATGCTGTAGACTTACATACTTCTCCCTATAATTGTACGTCATTTGCCATAACATATGTCTGAAGGAATTCAATGCCAAACTTTCTGTAGATTCCTGCTGTTATAATGACAAGATTTCTGGTCTCTATTCTCAAATGGTTTTGTAGCAGAGAGAGAAATATTCTGGGATATGTTCTCGATCTGCAGTCAGAGAAGACTCAACTTTGAATACCAACATAGTTTGAGTAAACACGGGCAACTAACAGTCAGTCAGTTGGAAAAGGAGTCACCAGTAAAGAGGGCAGGATAATCCAAGTCCTTTAGCATTCTCTGCTGGCAGTTAACATTCTTTAGCCTGACCATGTTTGTGCTTATAGGTCTAATAACTTATGATATTGTCCCTTCTTCTACTAGGAAGGACAAATGGTATTTCTGGTCTTCATTGGTCACAGATCTTCTGTGTTTTTCATTTTAACTCCTTTTTGATATGAATGCTTCATATCTCATTCTAATTTTGATGCTTCTGATCATGAGCTAGTTGCCTGATCCTTACTCCTCATAGGTCCCTGATATGGTTTGGCTGTGTCCCCACCCAGATCTCACCTTGAATTGTAATAATCCCCATGTGTCAAGGGCGGAACCAGGTGGAGATAATTGAATCATGGGGCAGTTTCCATCATACTGTTTTCATGGTAGTGAATAAGTCTCATGAGATTTGATGGTTTTATAAATGGGAGTTCCCCTGCACAAGCTCTCTTACCTGCTGCCATGTAAGATGTGACTTTGCTTCTCCTTTGCCTTCTGCCATGATTGTGAGGCTTCCCCAGCCATGTGGAACTGTGAGTCCATTAAACCTCTTTCCTTTATAAATTACCTAGTCTTGGGTATGTCTTTATTAGCAGTGTGAGAACAGACTAATACAGTCCCTTAGATTTAGAAGTTAACTTGGGAATGCACCCTACCTGACTTTGCAGATTCCCACCATAGTAGCACGGCAGAGACCCCTCATCTTCTTCTGGCAGCTAAGTGTTCTTTAATTGTGCACCAAAGCTCTTCGGTCCTCCCTTAGAATTCAGATCACTCTTGGTTGGAGAAGAGTATTAGCATAAACATTTAAAAATAAACATTGTTGAATTATATTTAATTACAATAAATCACACTTATTTTTCCACTTTTTAAAAAAATCTTCTAAATGGTTCAGTAGATGGAAATGTGTTGTGGTGAAACATTTAATAATAATTTGAGCTCAGCAGAGCAGCCTACTGTTACCTTAAGACAGCACTGATATTTGATATACAGTTTGGGGATTTTTAACAAATTTATATATTCATGTAAACATTACGCAAGTCAATATACAGAGCATTTTCATCTAAGAAAATGTCTATGTCCCTTACCAGCCAATCCTGCTCCAAGCAATTATTGATCTGATTTCTATATAATGGATTAGTTTTGCTTGTTCTAAAATTTCATACCATGAATTCTTTACATCTTATTTTAGCATGAAGATTTTGAGATCCCTTTTTGTCACTGTATTTGAAAGCAGCTTATTTAAATTGCTAAGTATATTTCATTGTATGAATATAAACAATTTGTTTACCCATTTACCCACTGAGGAACATTTCTGTTGTTTCCAAGTTAGGGTTATTATAAAGAAAGCTGCTATGAACATTCATTTATGTAGGAATCTTTTTGGAGATTTATGTTTCCAGTTCTCTTGGATACACAGCCAGGAGTAGAATTCTTAGATCACAGAGTGGGTACATTTTTAAATTTTGTAAGAAACTGCCAGTCTATTTTGCAAAGAGACTGACAGTTTCTTGTAATTTTTTTTTCTCCTCCCAGTTGCCAAGACCCTGAAGGTTCAATTACATCCTATTGTTACTGTCTCCCTTCCCTAGAATGATTGAGGGAGAGGCTTCATAGAATCCTCTGGCTGGATTGGGACAGCAAGAGTCATTCCCGGGCCTCTCCTACATTGTTGTACGTTGCCACCAGCAATGTAGGAGAGTTCTAGTTGCTCCAAATCTTTGCAACATTTACAACATTTGGTATTGTCAGTCTTTTACATTTTAGCCATTCTAGTATGTGGTAGTAACTGTAAAGTACTCCTTCTTTGTTTTCATTTGCATTTCCATTTTGTCTAATAAGCACTTTTGTATGTGCTCACTGGTCATTTATACATTTTTTGTGAAGTGGCTGATCAAATAAATTCTCCTTTTTTTTTTTTTTTGAGATGAAGTCTTGCTCTGTCCCCCAGGCTGGAGTGCAGTGACATCTCAGCTCACTGCAACCTCCATTTCCCGGGTTCAAGTGATTCTCTTGCCTCAGCCTCCCGAGTAGCTGGGCTTACAGGTATGCACCACCACTCCTGGCTAATTTTTTTTTTTTTTTTTTTTTTTTTAGTAGAGACAGGGTTTCACCATGTTGGCCAGGCTAGTTTCGATCTCCTGACCTCAGGTGATCCCTGCCTCAGCCTGCCAAAGTGCTGGGATTACAGGCATTAGCCACCATGCCTGGCCAAATTTTCCATTTTCAATTGGTGTGTTTAGCTCCTTATTATTGAGTTGTAAGTATTCTTTACATATTTTGGATTGAAGTCTTCTTTCAGATATATGAAATGCAAATATTTTCTTCCAGATAGCTTGTCAATAAGTTGTTCTATCTCTGTTCTTTGTTCCTTTTTCAGATTTGTGGAATTTTACTCTAAGCATATGACCAGAGACTCAAACAAACCTCTATGCAGATTCTGGGTCTCTGCTGTATAGATTCCATCCTTTCTGATACTCAGCCACACAAATTCCAGCCACCTCTAAACTCTGATTTTTGTCTTTTAAGCTCAAGGAAACCATTGTATTTTGCTTGTTTTCAGCACCTGATTCAGAAACTGCTTCCAGGCAGAAGGCCACTGTGATCACAAGTCTCGTTTTATTTTTACTCTTTTCTCAGGGATCACAGCCATGTATCATCTCTTTGTTCAGTGTCCAAAAACTGTTTCATATATTTTCTCCAGTTTGCTAGTTGTTTATTGTAGGAGAGCTAGTCTGATACCAGTTATTCCTGCCTTTTAGGCTGGAGGCTAAAACTTTCAGATATTACTTGGAAACAAAATAAAATCAAATAGAAAAGTAGCAGATTAAGAGATTTTAGAAAATATAATTAAATGCAGCATTAGTACACTCTAAAGATATCTGCTCAAGGAACGACTTAAAGGTTTATGCTTTATTTTTCTTACAATTTAAGGAAATATTCAGCCTATGCTATTGAAAGAATTATTAGTTTTCTATTATTTTCCCAACACATTTTGTTTCCAAAGCTGATTATATAAAAACCAACAAACAAAAAAACCCAAAAAACTAAATTTAAGTACTACAATTGAGTTGACATACCTACTATTACTTTCACTGAAATGCCATTATTCCCCAGCTGAGCATAATGTGTCCTATTCCTTCATGTATCTTTCCAATTTTTTACTTTCCACTTTTCTGCAGGCCTACCTGCACCATATTCAGAAGTTGGAGAATCAATAAGGACCAGGTGTTTAATCGTGAAAGATAACATTTTTAAACTGTTATGAGGAGATAGTAACTATGCTAAGTGATCTATCTTATTTGATACTCATAACAACCCTGAGATAGAAGTATAACTTTGTGACCTTGAACAACTGATTTAATAATTGTAAGTCTCAGCCTGCTCATCTGCACAATGGGAAAATAAACAGATAAGCAAGGGTGTGAGTCCAGGCCATCACACTTCAGAAGGTGGATTGCTTGCTAATAATAATTTAGGAAACAATTCCTCTGCACCCTGACTCCTCCTTGTTTGAGCACACGTTTGAATACATATAATACAACATATAGTATGTACATTTCTTTTTTCCATCAAAACTGTACTAACATAGCATAAAACAATTTCAAAGAAAGTTTAAATCCATGAGGTTAAAAGATCAGGAAGGGTGAGGCCGGGCACGGTGGCTCACGCCTGTAATCCCAGCACTTTGGGAGGCTGAGGCGGGAGGATCACGAGGTCAGGAGATCGAGACCATCTGGCTAACACGGTGAAACCTCATCTCTACTAAAAATGCAAAAAATTAGCCGGGCGTGGTGGCAGGCGCCTGTGGTCCCAGCTACTCGGGAGGCTGAGGCAGGAGAATGGCGTGAACCCAGGAGGCTGAGCTTGCAGTGAGCTGAGATCACGCCACTGCACTCCAACCTGGGCGACAGAGCGAGACTCTGTCTCAAAAAAAAAAAAAAAAAAAAAAAAAAAAATCAGGAAGGGTGAAAACAATGAACAAGAAATTTCTTCAACAGGTAGCTAATGGGAACAGGGCAACTAGTTTGCTAAATGACTCAACAGACTGGAGGGAGCTGAAACCCATGCACCTGCAGATAAATATGTGAATTAAAAATAAGCTTGTTTATGTTAATGAAACAGTGAATTTCAAGCAGTTGTTTCGAAGGACAGAATGAAGGAAGGCAAGAGTAAAGGACATGAAAATACTAAAAGATAGCATTCAACATTTTTCATCACATCCCAAGCCTTACCCTAACAGGAGGCAGGATTTACTTTCTGGAGAACACCAAACAAAACTGAAAGCCAGGAGTGATGGTATTGCCCTATGTGGAAAACACAGGACTAGGGCAAGGCTTACATATTGACATGTCAATAGAATACTGGATGCTAAGTACATTATCCACACGCCAAGTTCCTCTAGTACCCTCAGGAGAGACAGTCAATGATTCCCTGGAAAAATAAAAAGCCCCTGAGAAAGCTGGATATGGTGATATTTGGGGGTTTCCCTAAACAAAATGGTTAGGTTCCTTCCCATTGATTCTACAATGAAGCCCATCATCTCAAAAGCCTTTCTTGCAGATACAGGAATTGATAGGCAAGGATCTCCAGGCATGGACAGAAGCCTCCACTTGGACATGAAAGACGGGGAAGAGGGTGCGGAATGGAGAAAGGGAGAGAGTGAGAGAGAGAGAAAGTAAAGTAGAGGCATAGAAACAATGCAAAGAGCAGAAGAAAATTTCAAAAATATAAATAATATCCCTAAGAAAATAGGAAAAAATTTATATGCACAAAAGGACTACATAAATAATAGAGAGTCATAAGGGGCTCTTGGATACACACACACCCTACATGATTATATATACATATATGTGATATTTTGTATACGTGAGTCTGTCCTGCAAACTCTAGCTGACCATCCTCCCCAGACAATCATATCTGTCTGTTCAACTCCCAGGAAATGCTAAGCTCCCTGGGTTCCCCCTTCCTTGTACTGCACTTTTGAGATTCTCTACAGGCAGTAGGCTGGGTCAATTATAGAGGTTTATTCTGTTGTTTTCCTTCTTTTGGGGCTCACTGTCCTTCATTGACTAATGTCCACTGTCTTTAAAACCATTGCTTCATGTATTTTTGTCCCACATTTTAAAATTTGTTTCAGACAAGAAGGCAAATATGGTTCTTTAAAAAAGGTTTATTTTATTTTATTTTACTTTATTTTATTTATTGATTTTTTTGAGATGGAGTCCTGCTCTGTTACCCAGGCTGGAGTGCAGTGGCACGATCTCGGCTCACTGCAACCTCTGCCTCCTGGGTTCAAGCAATCCCCCTGTCTCAGCCTCCCAAGTAGCTGGGATTACAGGCGCGATCCACCATGCCTAGCTAATTTTTGTATTTTTAATAGAGATGGGGTTTTGTCATGTTGGCCAGGCTGGTCTCAAACTCCTAATCTCGGATAGTCTACCTGCCTTGGCCTCCCAAAGTGCTGGAATTACAGGCCTGAGCCATGGCGCCCAGCCAAAAATTGTTTATTTTAAATTTCTGTAAGCACATAGTAGGTGTATATATTTATATGTTACATGAGATGTTTTGATACAAGCATGAAATGCATAATAATCCCATTAAGGGGTATCCATTCCCTCAAGCATTTATCCTTTGTGTTACAAACAATCCAATTCCACTCTTTTAGTTATTTTAAAATGTACAATTAAATTATTGACTATAGTCACCCTATTGTGCTATCAAACTCTAGGCCTTATTCATTCATTCTATTTTTTTGTACCCATTAACAATCCCCACCTTCCCATCACACCCCCACTACCCTTCCCAGCCTCTGGTAACTGTCCTTCTACCCTCTATCTCCATGAGTTCAATGGTTTTGATTTTCAGATCCCGCAAATATGTGAGAACATGTGATGTTTGTCTTTCTGTGCCTGGCTTATTTCACTTAACATAATGACTTCCAGTTCCATCCATGTTTTCTCAAATGACTAAATCTCATTTTCTTTTTTTTATGGCTGAATAGTACTCCATTGTGTAGAAGTACCACATTTTCTTTATCCACTCATCTATTCACAGGCACTTAGGTTGCTCCCAAATCTTGGCTATTGTGAACAGAGTTATAAAAAACGTGGGAATGCAGATATCTCTTTAATGCACTGATTTTCTTTCTTTTGAGTATACACCCAGCAGTGGGATTGCTGTATCATATGGTAGCTCTATTTTTAGTTTTCTGAGGAACCTCCAAACTGTTCTCCATAGTGGTTTTACTAATTTACATTCTTACCAACAGTGTACAAAGGTTCCCTTTTCTCCACATCCTCACCAGGATTTGTTATTGCCTGTCTTTTGGATAAAAGCCATTTTAACTGGGGTAAGATGATATCCTATTGTAGTTTTGATTTGCATTTCTCTGATGATCAATGATTTTTGAGCACCTTTTCATATGTCTGTTTGCCATTTATATTTCTTCTTTCATGGAATGTCTATTCAAATCTTTTGCCCATTGTTTGATTGGATTATTAGATTTTTTTTTCTATAGAGTTGTTTGAGCTCCTTATATATTCCAGTTATTAACCCCTTGTCAGATGGGTAGTTTGAAAAAAATATGGTTCTTTTTATTTCATTTTGGCTAGAAGTGGAACTCACACACATGAAACTATGAAAAAATTAAAATTGCATAAAAAGTGGTCCAAGTCATTGTTAATAAATTCCACTCTCTTGTTGAAGCTCTGATGATAAAGCCTTCATGGTTTTCATGGATGAGAAACAACTTAGGTCTCTTCTAAAAATTTTACCTAGATAAAAATTTTCAGTTTCCTATTTATAGGTTGCTATTTTTGAAATAATTATCAAGTTAATCACATGATGTTGAAGATAAAGGAGACAGGGTCATTTGTCAAATGTCTACCTGGATGCTTTTCAGGTGAGGCATTTACTATTGTTTGAATGTGCACCCTCTAAAATTCAGTTGTTGTCAATGTGATAGTATTAAGTGGTAGGCATTTAAGAGGTGATCAGGCCGTGAGGGCTTCTCCTTTGCGAATGGGATTAACGCCCTTACAAAAGAGGCTTCACAAAGCATTTGGGCCTCCTGCCCTTCCTTCCACAATGTGAGGATGTAGCTCCCACCAGGTAAATCTTGCCGTGATCTAGGACTTGCCAGCCTCCAGAACCTCAAGAAAATAAATTTCTGTTCCTAATAAATCACTCTGTCTCAAGCATTCTGTTACGGCAGCATACGATGGACTAAGACAGCATTCAACCTCTTTGATCTTTAGTTTCTTCCTCTGCAGAATGAAGTTGACACTGTCTACTTTGCTCTGTTATTAAAAAGTTTAACTAAGATACTTAGGAGAAAACTAGCACAGAGCCTGATTCATAATAATTTCCAAAAACTATTAGTTAATTTATTCTTAAGCAATTCAATCAAGGCAATATGGTGATAGGTTTATTTTGTTCTACACTGTCTTGTTGTCTTAAATAATTTCCTAGTAAATATAGCTGGCTCCTGAAGCACATTATATTTCAGTACTCCATTTCCCATGAGCAACCAAGAAGCAGGACTTGGCACACAGAGAGGGCAGGCCTGTGGTCAACAGATGCGTCTGCACCAGTGATGCTTGGGGTGATGTGTTGGGCTATGTGTCTCAGACCCAGGCCAGGGTTGAGGAAGTGTACTGCTTTCTGCAGCACCTCTCAAGCTGAGGGCCTGCAGTTGTGCAGTTGGAACACATGTCCATGGCAGAAGATCAGCTGCTTTAGCAGCTAATTAGTGAGAGGGGTTATGCTTGACATTTGGAAAGTTCTTAAGTGAGCCATGCCGGAGTGAGAAGCTGAATAACATCCTTACGCTATCTGTCACATCGTTTATGTTCACTTCTTTTGGCCTGGCCTCAGCACACTGCATAAATCTACAGCTGCAGAAACCAAACTCTCATATAAAATTGAAGGATTTATTTTGAGGTATTGAAAGGTTTATAGCTGAAAAAGTTAAAATTTGCCGAATCGGCATTTGGAGGACTCTCCCTTATGCCTCACCCCTCTTGGCTTTCTAATTCTGTTCTCTAAATTTCTGTCTCCACAGGGAGACCAGGTAGCCAGGGAGAAACAGTGACATGGAAGGAATTGTCCAGACTTCACCTACTAATGCCCTTTTGTGGCTTCATATTTCAACCAGAGTAGTTCTCAGAAGCTGTCATTAGGAGCTAAGATCCCGATACAAGAAAACTATAACAATCATTCAACTCTGCTCTGGTGCCAGTTGCATTCTGGACTCCAGGAACATCAGTCCTTTTTCAGGACATATTTTGCAGGGCAGTCGTAAGTTCTCAATACCTTCTTCCCTGCATCTTGACTGCTTTCGTGGGAATCAGCTTAAGTCTTTACTTCCTGCATAAAATAAAAACTGAGTTATCTCTCCTGTATTGAATGCAGAGTTTATTAATTCCTCCTCTGGAACCTGCAGATCGTCTCTAGTAACCTACATTTCCAGCTTGAGGTCTGGCTCATTTATTGAGCTAAGAGGGATAGCTCTTCAGATAATAGAATGCTTTCATATGGATGGGGTATCAAAGTTTAAAACTCAGAAAGTAAATATACATATGAAATACCATTGAGAGCCGGGTATGGTGGCTCACACCTGTAATCCCGGCATTTTGGGAGGCCGAGGCAGGTGGATCACCTGAGGTCAGGGGTTCAAGACCAGCCTGGCCAACATGGTGAAACCACATCTCTATGAAAAATACCCAAAAATTAGCCAGGCATGGTGGTGCGCACTTGTAATCCCAGCTACTCAGGAGGCTGAGGCAGGAGAATCACTTGAACTCAGGAGGTGGAGGTTGCAGTGAGCAGAGATCGCACCATTGCACCCCAGCCTGGGCAATAAGAGTGAAACTCTGTCTTAAAACATACTACTGTGGCAGAGGGTTGGGAGACAATGCAACATTTTGGAAGACCAGTAAGTAGAAACTGGAAGTCTTTATATCTGAGACTGAGTCTTCATATCATTGACTTGTTCCATGACCTAGGTAGGGAGAAGGAGAAATATTGGCCTCCATCATTTTATTTGTAATGCATGAAATATCAAATCTGTAAGTTAATAATGGCATATACTTTGTCTTCTAGGGATGTTGTGGGAAATCAAAGAGATAATACATATAGCCTTGAAAGCTGTAAAGAGCTCTAAAAATATGCACAATGACTCACAGGAATGCCAATTCTACTGTTTGGCCGTTGCTGCTCTTCTCACCCTCTGCTCCTTCTTCCCAAATCATTCACTAACACCTCTTCCTTTTCTCTAGCCCTCTCCAAGCCATGAGATGGAAGAGTGTCCTTATATGAAGACTGCTGGAGTTCCATTGGCTGGTAGTATCTTTCTTATACATTTCTGCTGCTCTTATAGCACTTCTTGGGGCGGGACTGTTGGGGGGCATATTTACAGAAATAATTCCAGAGGTGTGTTTTTGTTGGATCAGCCCTGACTCCAGAGTGCAGTAGCAGCAGACCCTGACAAATGGAAAAGGCTTTTAATCTGCAAATGAAAAGTCTAAAACTGGCCCCTGGCTGCCCTCCTACTCCAGTGGTCTCTTCTGGGAATATGTTCACTTTTTAGTTGAAATACAACTATTTGGGCCCCTCTACAGGCTTAAGCAGCAACTGAAGTGTGCAGTGGCTAAGGAGGCGAGGGCTCACTCTTACCGTTTTGTAGGCACGCATGTCTGAACTCTGCAAAGGCTTGGTGAAATCTCCCTTATCCTGTAAGAAGAGAAATCCTTTTTACCTCTCTCTGCCCAATGCCAGTTCCAACAGCTGTAACTATTTCATTTTTAATTTGCTCCTTGCAGCCTTGTCTCTGCTTAATCCATTAAGACAACGTTGAATGTTCCCGGCTCATATATTTATAAAGGAAAAAAAAGAAGAAGGAAAAAGACTTTGAAAAATGGTATCTAAATTGTAGCCAAATGTACTCAGAACTCTCCTAGGTTAAATTGCAAATAATTTTCTTTCAAACATCACAAACACTCTCTCTAACTTAATTCAACAAATTGGACCGAGGGGTTTCATTGCTTTCAGAAACATGATTCATTCTCTCTTTTTTTTTCCCTCTCTCTCTCTGTTCTGTTCTACCCCCACCCCCCACCCTTTCCTTCCAGAAATTTTCTTCTGGTTGCTTTTTAGCCACACTGCATTGTCTCTAGGTTTCCTTCCTGAAGCTTCCATGAATAATTTGTCTGTCTGTTGAGAGAGAGTCATTTTGTAGACCAACCCTATCCTTGCATTGCTGGGGGGTGGAGGAGAGGGAAAGGAGAGAGAGCTGCTTTAAATCAATCAGTTGACACTAATCTAATGTCTAATTAGTTCTGGGTGGGCGTGTGCTTTGATTATAGGAAGTGCCTCAGGCTGTGGCTGGTGTTTGAAGGGCTGCTCCACACATATCAATCATCCTTTGACAAGATCTGGAAGAAAAAAAAAAACAACAAAAACCACCCCCCAAAAAGGGTATGTTTCTATCATCTGTTGATTATCTGTTTCCAGCGGTCCAAACCAGTGCTTTGAAACTCATCCGTTTGCTCTTAGCAATGAGTGCTTGACCAGAGAGAGAGACAAACTTTCTAAGGTCAACTGAAACTGCCAGTTGTGTCAAATAATTACTTCCTGTGTCGCAAAATACCTAATCATATTTAATAACAGTAATGCATTTCATTGTTTTTTAAATCTAAAATAAATGCAGAAGCTCTACTTGTGAGTATTCAGCTGAACCCTAAAAAGGAGTAATTCATTATTATGGAATTGTTCCTATTTATATTTTATGTTAAATGAGAGATGATGGAATAAAATAGACAAAATCTTTAATTAAAATAAGAAATTGCTTTTTATTGAAAATGGCATGTGTGCAATTATTTTCTAATTTTTTTTTCTTTTTTGTCTGTAGTTAAATTCTGTTCTTTTCAGGGGACAGATGGTTTAGAAATTTTCCTAGAAGTGCCCTTGGCAGATTTAAGTGCTTGCTGCTACTGTTACTATTTCTAGTAGAAAGGTAGGAGGCTAGTCTCATTCTCACTTGCTCTTTTTCTAAGAGCTGCTCTGCTCTAACTGTGACTCAAAGTTACAGAACGATGATTAGATCAGAATTAGTAAGGCAGTTTGATGTCCAGTAGTTTTTAAGACAAACAAAAAATTTAACCGAAGGGTTGATTTCCCTCTCGTGCTTATTCGTTATGAGATTGAAAACAGGTATTTTAAAGCAATGTTTTTATTTCAGATCTATTTGATTTGCTTTTCTGTGTGCTTTTATTTTTCTAATGATTCCAAGCTGTCGAATCTGTTGGATCCAGGGAAGTGGAATGATAGTAAAAGGTGCTACTTAAAGAGATTTGCGTGCAAAGCCTTGTATAAAATACCATAGGAGGCTCTGCAGACTATTAGGCTTAAATCCTGGCCCTGCTACTTACCAGCTGTGTGACCTTGGGCAAGGTACTTAACCTCAACGAGCCTCACCTGTAAAATGGAAAGCATGATAGTGCCTCTTTCATAGGGTGATTATGAAAATTAGATAATATGATGCACGTGAAGTGTTTAACACATGGTAAGCACTCAATAAAGTGCTCAGTGTTATTGTTGGTATAGATAAGTGAGTGTTTTCCCAACAGCCCTGGCTGAGTTTAGAAATCCATAAAAGGTGTGTTTCTCTTTGGAGGCAGAGACTGGAACAGGAAGGTCCTTTATCATATTTTATGTGAGTACCAAACGTTGATACTTCTATCATTCTCTCAAATAGACGTATTGTGGGCTCACGGACACATTGCATTATTGGATATGAAAGAAAATACTTAAGATTATTGACCCACTTTGAGTTAAGGTATTTCTTTTTTAAACACATTTCATAAGACTAAATTTTCTTATTCTATGTGAAGAAATTCTAGTTTGACAACTTTACAAGGGAATTCACATTGGAATATTCACTGAAGTTCCCATGTCCTCAATGATAACTTCAAGAAAATGTCTCCTCTCCCCTTGCCCCTCTCTTCTTCTTTAATGCAGGACAAAATAGGGAAACAATGGTGTATATATTATCAAAGGCACTAGCTCATACTTTTACCTCTAAAATTTAATGCCTTCAAGTTTTTCTCGAAATTTGAAATATATATGAAATATAAGTGACTTAACTTGAAAATATCCTTTCATTTTTACTCATGTGATACATTTTAGAAGTTTTCATAAATGTTGACATGAAAACATGCATTTTAATATGAATTATTATTGTAAACTTAAGTTTTTTAAATTTGAGAGAACGAGACTATCACGAAAGTGATTAATTCTGATTTCTTTCCTCGCAGCACCTTTTTGGTAGGTGTCTACTCACCAGTTGATTAAAAAAATTCAGTAAGGAAGTTGTCAGAAGCAGAAACTTGCATTATGTATTTTCAGATTCCTTACTGAAAGACTGTTAAGTTTTATTACTCTGAATGAATTTTGAAAAGAGCAGTTAAAGGCAATAAAAACAAGTTTTATTTTGCAGAGACATGCTATTTCATTACTTTCAATTATGTATAACAATTTAAAGTAAGATGATAGGGGATTGCCAATAAGAGGATCTGCCCTTTTACCTATTTTAAGTAATAAAAGAGTAGATAATAAAGATTTATAATTAGCGTGTTTATGATATTTTAAAGATTTGGATTCATTTTTACATATTTAATTTAGTTTAGTTTTTTTTTTTTTTTTTTACAGGAGTCTCCTATGTTGCCCATGCTGATCTCTAGCTCCTGGGTTTAAGGGGTCCTTCTACCTTGGCCTCCCAAAGTGCTGTGATTACAGGCATGAACCACTGCACCCAGCCAAGTTTAGTAAATGTTTAAATGATTTTTTCAATATAATGAAAATGAAATAATGGGCCGGGTGCTGTACCTCACGCCTGTAATCCCAGCACTTTGGGAGGCCAAGGCGGGTGGATCACCTGAGGTCAGGAGTTTGAGACTAGCCTGACCAACAAGGTGAAACCCCATTTCCACTAAAAATACAAAAATTAGCCGGGCGCTTTGGCAGGCACTTATAGTCCCAGCTGCTCGGGAGGCTGCGACAGGAGAATTGCTTCAACCCAGGAGACGGAGGTTGCAGTGAGCTGAGATTGCGCCAATGCGCTCCAGCCTGAGCGACGGAGCAAGACTCCGTCTCAAAAAAAAAAAAAAAAAAAGAAAAGAAAATGAAATAATGCAATGAATAGTTGAACAGATCTTCAGGCCAGTTTGCATCATACCATATCAAAATCTGAACTAACGGTATTGGAAGAATGTTGCTCTACTTTCCACATTGTCTTTACAACTAATTAAAATCCCCAGCAGTACCCACAAATGGCAAAAAGGAACAACTCTTGCCTTCCAAAAGCCCACATCACCTTTTTTTTTGATAAACTGTGATATAAAAAGCTCAGCTGAAATTAAGACCATGCTACAAGAAGCAATATAGAGGGAGCAATATTAAGTTGCTTTCTTTCTTCAGGGACCTTGAATGTGGTAAATAGTTCTCTGCTACTGTGGGAACATGTTTTAAAATTGCGGTGGGAGGGAGTGTGTCTAGACTGCAGAAAACACTTTCTAACCATGAGGGTTATATGTCATGGGAAAACAGTATTACAGCAGGGGCTATAGAACTTCCTGCTATGGGGATTTTATAATAAGAGCCAGGCTGGTGTCATTTCACACAAGACCTGCCCGGAGGTAGGGGAATGGATAAAATGACCTTTCCTGCCTCCTCCATAGGCTATAGCTGGTCCTTAATGAAAACCTGGTACCAAGGACTAGTTTGGTGTGGAACAATGCTTTTAAGGCCAAAGTTTAATTTCATAGCAGAAACCAGATACTACAGATGGACAGATCACTCTCTTCTGAGATGGATAAAGTGACTTGGTCTTTAGAGCTCAACCCAAGGGGGACTTTAAGGAATATTCTCTGGGAACTGCATCCTCTGCTGGCCAAAACATTATTTGATGATTTCATGGATTCTTTCCATTTCCAGGTCTTATGATGTATTATTACTCCCACTGCATCATTATAGTCTAACATTTTAGTATCCACATGGTGACAGACACCAACCAAGGCATTTGGCCATCAAACTTCAAAATGTGGTCTTGTTTCATTGCTGCACGTTTGCTCAGGACGGTAGCTGCTGTACTTCTTTCTTTCTCTCCTTTGAATTTGAGTGTGTTCTTATCATCATCGTTAAGATCTGTATGTAGAGTTATTCAGTTTCAGTCTACATTCCAAGGTGGTTGCTGTGAAAGTTTATTGGTATTGCAACGTATTCTCTTGGAAGTTAAAAGTCCCCAGTGCCCTTGATCTTTGATCTTTTTATTTTCACAAAAGTAATAGATATGGTCTACATGGGGATATCAAATATGAGTAGTTTCTTATTAGGTTGTGTGTGCGTGTGCGTGTGTGTTTGTGTAACCAATTCATATCAATAATGCTCAATGGGCCATCCAGAGAAATGATTATGTTGTTACCTTTTACGACTCTCACCTGGCATAACTCTGAAATGAGATAGGATTGCTACACTTACTATTGAAGTAGGCCAATGGGCAGGCTTTTCAGGGTGGTGGGAGAAGAGGTACAAGGAAGCTTTCTGGCTTCCTTTTTGTATGTGTTCCTGTTGAATGCCGGTGACTTTGACTTCTTTTCTGTTGCTACTGAAACAGAATAAGGTGGCACACAATGGGGGTGGCAGGAAGGGAGGGGCGGCGGGCAGGTCTCCGCAACAGGTGCAGGCAACATGGCCACCCCTTTCCCACACGTATCAGGGAGTCTCAAGTGGCCATGTGTGCTCAGAAAATGAAATCGAAATGCAGATCAGGTGTCTGCCAATTAGAAGTTGGAAGCGAAAGAGCAACAAGGGGTTGTGAGGAAGGCAGGGGCTCAGGGAGAGGGGTTGTTTGTGTCCCTCTATCTTTGTTAGCCCCATATCCAAAGCTCGCATGTGAAATCCTATCTGTGTTATTTTGCCTCCAATAATCGTGCTCCAGTGAGGTTCCGAGATGGTATCTGGATGATGAACACAGAGAGAGCTTCCATTGTTCCTCTTCTCCTTTGTGCAGAGGAAGCCGTTGGCTGGTAAGTGTCTTCAGGTGGGCCTGGAAAGTTCCCAGGGAGGCAGATACTGTAGGGAACCAGGCATGGGGCTTCCCCACAACTGGCCGTCTTCTGTGCCAGCACCTCTGCCCTCTACCTCATATATCATTCATATGTAATGGACTGATAGTGCCTGTCATATCCTTAAATCTGACCTGAAATTGTGATATTTGAGGCAATTTGAGATCAGACAAGTAGAGGACATGTTTGTGGTTAAGGAATTATTTTCAGGGGTCTGTCAAAGTATTTCCATATGAGGCTAATGCCATTTTTCTAAGAAGCACATGCAAGAGACACAATAAATATTATTTCGTTTCCTTTGGTACATTAAAAGTAAAAGATTCTGATTGTGGAAAGAAAGCATTGGCAGGGAGATTTTTGCAAGAGCAAGTAAAATGCACTGTTAACTAAGAAAGTGATTTTTTTGGGGGGTGGAAGGGATAATTTTGGGGGTCCTATTTTTCAGACTTGAGGTTTGTGTGGAGATCGCTAAGTAATTTATGTTTTAGTTAATTTTCATTTCAATTTTCTGCATAATGGGGAGAAGGAATATATTCCAGTGATTCCCTCTCCAAACTTGCTCGTTTGATCCCTGCATTATACCTCTTGCTTCAGCCACTTCTAACTTGATATATTCATTACATGTAAGAGCTTTCACAAAGCTTTGGCATCTGCTACTCTTTATGTGGGGTCCTTTTTTTTTTTTTTTTTTTCCTTTTCCTCTATTTGATGACCTCTTTCTCATCCTCCAAGACTGGGACCTAATGTCCCTTCTCGGTCAAACGTTCTCCAACCCCCTCAGGCATAATATAAGCCCCCTTCCTCTTTGTTGCCCTGAGCTTTCTGTGTGCATTAAGGCATGGCAATTATTTGTTAATATGGCTGTCTCTTCCCTGGGTGATGAGTCTGTCTGGAGCTGGGGACTTTCCTCCTTCTTTAATTTTCTCACTGTCTGATGTGGTGCTCCATAAATACTGATTGATGATTCTAGAAATGAATGGGGCTTTCAGAGGTTAGAGTGAGCTTGACTGAAAGATGGGATTCTCAATCCTCTTTAATGATTTGCCATGGATGAGCACTAGAGCCCAGAATTAGGAAGGCAGTTCTCAGATCTTCCTTTCTTAGTAATAAGGATTTTAGGTCATCAGTAAGTGTGATATTGAATTTATGGTCAGACTTCTTTATATGCATTTGCTTGTATATAACTAATGATGATAATAATTGCTGATATTTGTGGGTGTTTGACATATGCCAGGCACTCTGGTGAGCAGCTTTATGCTTACAATATCATTCTCTGCCTACAAGAATGCTATGTGGTTTATACTATTATCCTCACGTTATGTGTGAGGAACCCAAGGTAGAGGGACTTAGGTCCTCACTATTAGTAAGCAGTAAAATCTGGGTATGAACTCAGGAAGCCTGGTTGCAGAGTGTTGATACTGATTATGTTAGTATCAAATGAGGGCTATGGGAAACAGTCAAGGATGCTCCGACTGTACTGAGCAGTTGTAGGGTTTCAGTCTGTGTTTTCCTGCCCTACTAGAATTCCTAAGGCATCAAGTATTTCCTATTTTCATATTACCTGTAATTTTTCTCTGATCTTCCAGAGTTCAGAAAAATGTTAAGTGCATATCCCGGACCAGTTTGGGTCTCCAGACTGAATGAAGCCAGTCAGCTGGGATTCTGGTTGAGTCTCAGACTCAGAAGAAACTTGTGGGATTAAGTGGTTTTTCTGGAAAATATTGGCTGAAAACCACATTCACCCCAAATTGCTGTGTGAATGAAACACATGGGTTTTCTTTGTGTTTTAAATAATTCCAGTGGTGGCCTCAAGCTTCTATTTCCCTGTGTTTTTATGGAGTTAACCAAAATAGCTTTGTACAAATAACAAAAAGTATGAAAAAGTATATGCACCTTGTCATTGCTTTGCCAATTGGAAATACTCTTAAGACATATGAACAACAATAAAAAGCTGTGGCTTCAGCTTTTAAAATGCTGAAGACATGGCTTATTGCAGAATCTCTGTCTTATATTTGGTTACTTTTCAGTTTTTTTATTTGCCTATTTCAAGCATGACATTTTTCTACTTCTCACATAGAAAGTATTCAGTTATAGTCTTCAAATATATTTAATTGTATCTGATGCTCAAATGTGCCACATTCTAACAAGGAGGAGGAATAATGTTGGTTTTAAGTGGTAATATTATATTTTTGTGGTTGCCTATTGGGAAATTTCTAATGTAGTTCTTCATCTTGTACTTTTAAGAGATTAGAGGTTTTTGAAAGGTTTATGGAAATGCTGAAAATAAAGGTAAATCTCTTTCCTCTAAACATTACCAGAACTCATTCTAAAATACAAAGCAATGGTCTACATCTGTATGTCAGTTATATTTTTCTGTGGCACAATGTATATAAACTATGATAAACATTTTTTCTTATTTCTTCTTCTTATTATTATTTTCAAGATGGAGTCTTGCTTTGTCACCCAGGCTGGAGTGCGGTGGCATGATCTTGGCTCACTACAACCTCTGTCTCCTGGGTTCAAGCAGTTCTCCTGCCTCAGCCTCCCAAGCAGCTGGGATTACAGGTGCATGCCACCATGCCTGGCTAACTTTTGTATTTTTAGTAGAGCTAGGGTTTCACCAGGCTGGTCTCGAACTCCTGACCTCATGATCCACCCGCCTTGGCCTCCCAAAGTGCTGGAATTAGAGGCATGAGCCACTGCACCTGGCCTCTTATTGATTATTTACTGACTTTTTTTTTTTTTTTGGTCTGGATGGCACAGCAAATGAAACAAGAGTTACCAAGTTGCACTACCATGTTTGGTCTCAAATAGTTCTCTCCTTTTAACTATATTTAATCAACTTGGATTTAGAGAGACTATTAATAAAAAGGCAGGACTTGAACATGCCTGGTAAAGAGCAGTTTCAGAATTGTTAGAAAACATTTGCTTGGAAAAGCATTCTCGGTACTTTTATAAGCTTATTGGAAGAAAAGCACTGATGATTTTATAGAATGAGTCTACAAAATTTTGTAGAATCCTTATCTGATGTAGCTAAAGGCTTGTCCCTAGCTAAATTTTTTCAAAACCACTTGGTGATGTTAATCTATAACTTGGGCATTTTTACTTAGGTATTTAAAATACTCAAAATATTTACAAACATATCTATATCTCTCTCTATATATATCTATATCTATCTATACCTATATCTACCTATATCCGTATCTGTATGTATCTATATATCTATATATCTATATCTATATCTAGACTTCTGTGAGTTACAGGAGCCCAACATTACACTAGAATATTGCAGTATATTAAGTCCATTTAAAATGACAGGTGAATAGAACTTTATATTAGAAGATACTTTAAATAGACCAGGTGTGGTGGCTCATGCCTATAATCTCAGCACTTTGGGAGGCCGAGGTGGGCAGATCACAAAGTCAGGAGTTTGAGACCAGCCTGTCCAACATGGTAAAACCCCATCTCTACTAAAAATACAAAAAAATTAGCCAGACGTGGTAGTGCACGCCTGTAATCCCGGCTACTCAGGAGGCTGAGGCAGGAGAATCCCTTGAACCTGGGAGGCAGAGGTTGCAGTGAGCCGAGATGGCATCACTGCACTCCCACCTGGGTGACAGGGTAAGACTCCGTCTCAAAAAAAAAATACTTTAAATAAGTTGTCTTAGTCCATTTGGGTTTCTATAACAAAGTATTATAGACTGAGTAGTTTCTTTTTCACAGTTTTGGATGCTGGGAAGTCCAAGGTCAGGGGACAGGAAGATCTGGTATCTGGTGGAAGAGGGTGCTCTCTCTGGTTTGCAGACGGCTGTCTTCTTGTGTCCTCACAACAAGTTGGACAGCAGACAGAGAGAGACTCCTGTCTCTTTCTCTTTTTATAGGGGCATTAATCTCATTCATAAGGAATCCAGCCTCATTACTTAATTTCTTCCCAAAGGCCCTATTATCAAATACCATTATATTGAGGTTTTAGACTTCAATTTTTGAATTTTTGGGGTTGGGGGGGGCATAAACATCCAGTCCGTAGGAGCAACTACCTCTCACATGGTTCACCAGCTGATTGCAGATGCTTGAGCAAACCCAGTCAGAACAGCCAGGCTTGACCCAGAGCAGCAGAACTGTCCAGCTGACCTGTAGATCCTTGAGCAATAGTAAATACTTATGCTATTTTAAGCCACTAAGTTTTGAGATGGATTATTAGGCAGCATAATTATGGTAATAGGCATTTAATATAGTCAAACACTAAAGATATGATTAAAGCTATTGTAGGACACAGACATTTCGTAAACCACCTATAATATTCAACTTTACTCGGATATAGTCAAAACAGTTCTTGTTTTCAGTTGTTCATTGGTTCAACGTTCTACTGATTTGAATATCCAGGCGATTATCCTTTTCTAAAAATTCCTACAGAATATTAGTTGAAGTTGGACTTGGAAATCACTTAGTCCAACCCATTAACGTTATAGGAAAGAAATCAAGGTCAGTTGAGTTTAAAGGCATGTTTATAGCCACTCTGCCAGTTACTTACAGAGCTGGAGCTCTACAGTTTTGCCACTGTGCATTGAATGTTTTGATCTTACTCTTAATGATATATTAGAAAAAGAAAAAATATACAAATACTATATTATGTAGAGGTTATAACTAGTGCCACCATATCTTTAAAAAAAATAATTCGCCAGGCGCGATGGCTCACGCCTGTAATCCCAGTGCTTTGGGAGGCTGAGGTGGGTGGATCACTTGAGGTCAGGAGTTTGAGATCAGCCTGGCCAACGTGGTGAAACCAAGTATCTACTAAAAATACAAAAATTAGCTGCGCATGATGGTGCATGCCTGTAATCCCAGCTACTCTGGAGGCTGAGGCAAGAGTGTTGCTTGAACCTGGGAGGCAGAGGTTGCAGTGAGCCCAGATCGCACCACTGTACTCCAGCCTGGGCAACAGAGTGAAACTCTGTCTCAAAAAAAAAAAAAAAAAAAAAAAAATGGCTGGGCGTGGTGGCTCACGCCTGTAATCCCAGCACTTTGGGAGGCCGAGACAGGTGGATCACAAGGTCAGGAGATCGAGACCATCCTGGCTAATATGGTGAAACCCCATCTCTACTAAAAAAAAAAAAAAAAAAAAATTAACCAGGTGTGGTGGCAGGCACCTGTAGTCCCAGCTACTCGGGAGGCTGAGGAAGGAGAATGGCGTGAACCCAGGAGGTGGAGCTTGCAGCGAGCCAAGATTGTGCCACTGCACTCCAACGTGGGTGACAGAGCGAGACTCCATCTGAAAAAAAAAAATTAAATGTTTTCCATGCTAGTAACCACATTTAGCTACTGCTAATAGCAAAATGTCTTCAGTCTTCATGTGGAGATGTCTACTGCACTTCAACACCACGGTACGTCTGCTTGCATGTATTTTCTAAGTTACGACTGTGAGCAAATGGTGGTTATTGAATAGACGCTGCTTAATGATTTTGGTGGAGAAGTGAAACTCTTCCTTATAGATCAAGGACTTATTTGCCTTGCCACTTAGATATTTTACACCTTGTGACATCCTCTGTCAGCATGCAGTTTCTTGCATTATTCAATGACTGCAAGTGTGCATTAGAAACTCCACACCATGCCTATGAAACATGGCTCTGAGCAGTTTCCTACAGGGAGTAAACTGTCATTTTTCACCACATTAAATTTTATAAGTTTCAAGCAAATGGAAAATGGATTTTATTATTTTCTGTTTCTCTCTCTCTCTTTTTTTTTTGCTATGAATGTTTTATGGCTGCAAAAACAGAATTTGTGGTTTCAACTGTTCAAGTTTGATGCAGAAGGCTGTGGAACCTCTTATGTAACCTGATGGCCTGAATAATTATCAAAATATTTTGCTTTCCACCCTTTCTAAGCTTCAGCAGCAGAAAAAAAAAGGAGTGTGTGCAACCTTTTGACCACAAAATAATAATAATGAGAAAGCCCCTTTTACACCTACACTATAGATACTGTAATTGGGGGAAGGTCAGTGCTCAATGGGCCTGGGCCTGGGCCTGTGCCCCAGCTCTTATCAGGGACTACCTTTGCAAGGAAGGAAACAATCTATGAGAAGAAAAGCCAGGGCTAAGAATAGAAGGGATAGGCCAGGTGCCGTGGCTCACGCCTGTAATCCCAGCACTTTGGGAGGCTGAGGTGGACAGATCACAAGGTGAGGAGATCAAGACCATCCTGGCCAACATGGTGAAACCCTGTCTACTAAAAATACAAAAAATTAGCTGGTCATGGCGGTGCACGCCTGTAGTCCCAGCCACTCGGGAGGCTGAGGCAGGCGAATTGCTTGAATCCGGGAGGCAGAGGCTGTGGTGAGCCAGAATCGCTGCCATTGCACTCCAGCCTGGGTGACAGAGTGAGACTCTGTCTTGAAAAAAAAAGAATAGAGTGGATATCTGGGGCATGGTGGCTCACGCCTGTAATCCCAGCACTTTGGGAGGCCAAGGCAGGTGGATCGCTTGAGACCAGGAGTTCGAGACCAGCCTGGCCAACATGGCGAAACTCCATGGTGTGGAGATTCCAATACACATTTGCAATCGTTGAATAATGGAAGAAATTGCATGCTGACAGAGGATGCCACAAGGTGTAAAACTGTCTAAGTGGCAAGGCAAATAAGGCCTTTATCTATAAGGAAGAGTTTCACTTCTCCACCAAAATCATTAAGCAGGATCTATTCAATAATCACCATTTGCTCACATGGTCGTAACTTAGAAAATACATGCAAGAGGACACACCGTGGTGTTGAAGTGCAAAAGACATCCCCATACTACTAAATTCTACTACAAATTCTATTTTTTGGTAGAATTTTTTTGTATTCTACTGAAAATACAAAAAAAATTAGCCAGGCATGGTGGTACGCACCTGTAGTCCCAGCTACGCAGGAGGCTGAGGCAGGAGAATCGCTTGAACCCAGGAGGCAAAGGTTGCAGTGAGTCGAGATCACACCACTTCACTCCAGCTTGAGTGACAGAGTGAGAGAGTCTCTCAAAAAAAAAAAAAAAAAAAAAAAAGAAGGAAAAAAATGTAATGGAAACCACTTAGTAGAGATTTGTAACAACAGGGTCTCTTACCCCTTCTGAATAAAAAACAAGAATCACATTATTTTGATCTAAAAATATTAGAGGGTAAAAAAGTGTATGTGTTGGTGTGCACATGTGTGCGTGTGTGTTTCTTTTGGCTTACATAAATATCATTTTTCAGTGACTACTGAGAACAGAATGTCCCCTCACATCCAATATGGTATCAGCCCTGACATCTCTTAAATACAGGTAAGCCTCAATTCATGAAATCTGGAATCCAGATCCAGAACGTAATACCAGTAAGTCAAATTCTTATAATGAATGATATAAATATAACCTATCAGTTATATAAAATATTACATACAATTTCTATATATATTGCTTATTATGTATAATTATGAATTTAATCACTCTACTTTTTTAACTTCAGAAATTAACCTCCATTTAAAATTTTAAATTAGAAGTAGTTTTCAATCTATGTTTTTTCATGTTGCTTTGCCCTAACACTTCTTTATGAGGTTAAAGATCCACGTACATCAACAGGTATATGAACTATAAAGTAGGGAGTCCTGCTGTAATGTAAAAACTACCACCCACACCTCACATTATTACAACTGAAAGAAATATGGAAAAATTATGGTTTTTTTTCAATAATATGGAAAAATTATGTTTTTTTTTCAATTTCAGTTTGGATTATTTTTCGCTTGGTCACTTTTAGATTTTCATAAATGTCTTAATTATCATGGTATACTCCTTTGGCAAAGAAAAACAATCTAGCATGTTTTACTTCTACCCAGAAAACGCTAACTTGTTTGCCATTCAATCCAATTTCCAACCACATTACGTAATGTATCTGATACGTGAGAAGTGTAAAAGGCATTTACGAATGTTCCTGCCATGTTTATCAGTGGAATATAAGGTCTGTGAGAGCAGGGGCATTTTCTATCCTGTTCTGAGACTTCGATAGTGGTCTACTACCATGCTACTAGTCTGGTATGCAGTGGAAATTTAATAAATGTCTGCTGAATGATTAAACCAACACAAGCTTCACTTCTTTTTTTTTTTTTTTTTTGAGACGGAGTCTCGCTCTGTCACCCAGGCTGGAGTGCAGTGGGGGGATCTCGGCTCACTGCAAGCTCCGCCTCCCGGGTTCACGCCATTCTCCTGCCTCAGCCTCCCAAGTAGCTGGGACTACAGGCGCCCGCCACTACGCCCGGCTAATTTTTTGTATTTTTAGTAGAGACGGGGTTTCACCGTTTTAGCCGGGATGGTCTCGATCTCCTGACCTCGTGATCCACCCGCCTCGGCCTCCCAAAGTGCTGGGATTACAGGCGTGAGCCACCGTGCCCGGCCGCTTCACTTCTAATAAATGGCATAACATTAGCAAATAATGGCTTATTTTTCCTGAATTAGAGATTGACAGAAAATAATAAAGTACCTACCTTTAAATCTTTCAGGTATCATGGGGTTGTTAGGTTTCAGTAGTAGAAATGGCACTGAACTTTATTTTATTTTATTTTATTTATTTTTATTATTATACTTTAAGTTCTAAGGTACATGTGCACAACGTGCAGGTTTCTTACATATGTATACATGTGCCATGTTGGTGTGCTGCACCCATTAACTCATCATTTACATTAGGTATATCTTCTAATGCTATCCCTCCCCCCTCCCCCCGCCCCACAACAGGCCCTGTTGGGTGGTGTTCCCCACCCTGTGTCCAAGTGTTCTCGTTGTTCAATTCCCACCTACAAGTGGGAACATGCGGCGTTTTGTTTTCTGTCCTTGCGATAGTTTGCTGAGAATGATGGTTTCCAGCTTCATCCATGTCCCTACAAAGGACATGAACTCATCCTGTTTTATGGCTGCATAGTATTCCATGGTGTATATGTGCCATATTTTCTTAATCCAGTCTATCATTGTTGGACATTTGGGTTGGTTCCAAGTCTTTGCTATTGTGAATAGTGCCGCAATAAACATGTGAGAAATGGCACTGAACTTTAATTCCAGTGATTTTCTTGCAAGTTATTCAAACTCTTAAAGTCTGTTTCCTAAGGAAATGTGTACTTACTTCATGGAGTGACCCCCTAAAGAGATGATATAAAGAAAACAGCTATGTAGGATTCAGAATACAATATAGCTATACAATGTTATTATAGGACTCATAAATTCTCCTAAAGAGGACTAAGAGAAGAACATAAATGATACTAGAATTGATAACCACTACCACTTATTTTTAGCTAACCATCACCCAAGGCCTTGCAGTAGTGGCTCTTGCAAAGCCTCTGTAGGGTTTTAGTAGCTGTATTCAGGCTATTGAGTCTGACAGATCTGGCATGGACTTGCAGCTTCACTAATTTAAGAGCTCTCTGAACTTGCATGAGTTAGTTAATATCTTCATGCTCCAAATTCCCCACCTACAAGTGATAAGAATATTTCCCTTTTGAAATGTTTGCACATATGGAGTGACAATGTTCATATAGCAGAGTGATTTTAAATTGTAGGTAGTGGATTCAGGTTATCTGGGTTCACATTCTGACTCTTTTTTTTTTTTTTTTTTTTTTTTTTGAGACGGAGTCTCGCTCTGTCGCCCAGGTCGGACTGCGGACTGCAGTGGCGCAATCTCGGCTCACTGCAAGCTCCGCTTCCCGGGTTCACGCCATTCTCCTGCCTCAGCCTCCCGAGTAGCTGGGACTACAGGCGCCCGCCACCGCGCCTGGCTAATTTTTTGTATTTTTAGTAGAGACGGGGTTTCACCTTGTTAGCCAGGATGGTCTCGATCTCCTGACCTCATGATCCACCCGCCTCGGCCTCCCAAAGTGCTGGGATTACAGGCGTGAGCCACCGCGCCCGGCCCACATTCTGACTCTTAACAGTGGGGTAAACATGAACAAGTTAGCCAACTTCTCATGGCCTCAGTTTAGGGTGGTTTTTGAGGTGATTGAGTTAATGAATAAATAATATTTACCATTTCCTTAAACATGGGACGTGAATAAATTTTAGTCTCTATTGTTATTATAAACTATTAAATGGAAGCTATTTTAACACTTCTACTAAGCCACTCAGAAGCGGCAATTGTACTTGAAAAAGATGAATACTCTTTGTCTTTTGTTTTATTTTGTTTTCAATGAGATGCTTTGTCATATTTAGAAAATTATGCTAATGAGGGAAGTGGCTTATTTTCATGGAAGTTTCCAGAAGGTAAAGCTCTTTCAGTGCTGGGCCATGGTAAAGTTCAGCCAGGGGACCTTAAAGAAGGGACTGGTACTGGACTGAGAGATCTCATTTCTTCTTATTGGATTAACCCCATGCCCGTCAAATGTAAATTCTAGTGATTAGCCATCCATGCTGCTTTGTTAATAACAGTCCTATTCAGCTCGTATTGAGTTTGGGGGCTGATGGAGTTTCCTTTTCAAATCAACTCTTTTGGAAATCCTTCCTAATGGAACTTTGTTCATATGGCCAGAGAACAATGCGACCAAATAAGCTACCAGCTGGAGTAAAAGAGATGGCAAAGCTAAAAGGCATATCTCATTCTGGGGAAAATTAACCTCCCAATTTTGCCCAGTAATTGATTCCATCTGACTGAGGCGTTTCAGCCTCCACTGTGACTGTCATTTGGGTAGCTGGGAAGCGAAAGCCTGTAATTACAGTCATGCAACCCTGTTATCAGAGCCTGGGGAGGGCTTTCCTCTCTTCCTACCCTGGGTGATCACAGGTGAGGCTGACCAGAGAGGGAGGAAGGAGAGAGGGGCAAGCAGGCTGGTGGTTCTTTCTCCATGGGAGAGAGACCCCTAAGGCAACCCCAACCATGGAGAAAAGGTCAGAGGTCGCAGGGAGTCCTCTTGAGTTTTCATGATATGAACATGAAGAGGCCAGAGCTTCCTGCTTGCTGCAAATTCTTCTCTCCAGGGAGATGCTTTGCCTAGATAGAGCTAATAAAGAGCAGGGAGTGTGATTAACAGAGAATTAGAAGAATTCTTCTAATACCATCTATAATAGGTCGTTACAAGCTGTGTAAATAATTTTGTTATGCTCGGATAGGACCTGTGAACCAACTGCAAGAACACTGAATTTTACAGGACACTTTATGTATTTATTGCTGTTTTTTTATTTGTATAAATTTAAGGAGTACAAGTGCAATTTCCTCACAGAGACATATTTCATAGTGGTGAAGTCTGGGCTTTAAGTGTGTCCATCACCTGAATAATGTCCATTGTACTCATTAAGTAATGAGATAAAATAAAAATTGGACTTGTTCTCACCTCCTACATGTTTGTAAGCAGATGTTGTTGAAACTTATAAGGATTGTTCTGTTATCACGATAAGACTAAGTGCAACATTCCTGCTGCTTGTCAGCATAGGTATACATGCTTGTCTTGTTAAAGGTTGAACTGAGACTAGCAAAAGCGAGATTACCTTTGCTGTGGCTTGAATGTGTCCCCCAAAAACTAAGTGCTGGAAATTTCATTGCCATTTTAACAGTATTGAGAGGCGGGACATTTACAAGGTGATTAGGCTATGAATACTCCGCCCTCATATATGGATTAATGCAGTTATTGAGAGAGTGGGTTCCTTATAAAAAGATTGCCATTTATCTTATATTTGGGAAGAGTAAACAATGTATTTATTATATCAAAATGAAATATAAAGGGGTGTATGTGTGTGTGTTAGCTACTATGAATCAACACAAGCACTTCTGGTATTCGCCTAATTTCTTCTTTGGATGTTCACTATATTCATTTGTTAAAAAAAAAAAAAGGGAGAGATGAAGACACCTTGCAGGGTTGCTTTGAGTGTTAAATACGGATACACGGCCTGGCGCAGTGACTCGCATATGTAATCCCAGCACTTTGGGAGGCTGAGGCGGGCAGATCACGAGGTCAGGAGATTGAGACCATTCTGGCTAACACGGTGAAACCCTGTCTCTACTAAAAATACAAAAAATTAGCCGGGTGTGGTGGTGAGTGCCTGTAGTCCCACCTACTGGGGATGCTGAGGCAGGAGAATGGCGTGAACCCGGTAGGCGGAGCTTGCAGTGAGCCAAGATCGTGCCACTGCACTCCAGCCTGGGTGACTGCGTGAGACTCCGTCACAAAAACAAAAACTAAAACAAAAACAAAAAAACGGGTACACATGGTCTGACACACAGCTCAATAAGTACTAATTTTCCTTCTCCCTGCTCTTCTCTTTTTAAAAATTATTTAAATGTGCTATTTGTCTATCTATTCATGTTATGTATATAAGTTTGTAAGAATTTTCAACCATAAACCAAGTATTATTAAATGATATCAAAGATATAAATGTATTTATGTTTTGGACAGGAAGAACATTCACAATTCAAAAGGCACGTGAATGACATACAATGAAATTTTCTCTTCTATTCCCCTCCTGACACCCAGTTTATCTTTCCACAGGCAAATGATTTTATAGCTTCTTGTGACTCCTCCCAGAGGTGATTTAAGTGCATTACAAACTTATATATATTTATATTTCTCTATCAATATATGCATATGCATACATGTGTATATGTGTGTATTATATATGTCTGTACACACATACGTTTCATTACATATATTTTCTTCCCTTTTTTTGCAAATATAACATTTCATGTATTGTTATGTGATTTGCTTTTTTTTCCCTTTAATATCCTGGAGAACATTCCATAGCTGCATACATGACATTTCCTCATTTCTTTTTAAAGCCATATTGCTGTGTGTTGCATGGATATACTATGCTTTATTTAGCCAATCAAGTACTACCATTAGTTAGTAACCATTTTTTTCTATTACAAACTATGTTGAATATATGAACCTGCCCCACTATTTCCAATATTTCCTCACAAGTGCTATTTTATCTTCTGAAGATAAAGCCTCCTGGTTATTGGAGAGGGCCCAGGTAAACGGCCTATATGGCTATTTTCTATTTTACTAAAGGGGATTGGAAGGGAAAGCAGGGGAGAAACCCACAGAGTGGACACTAAGGCAAATTAATTATTGAGGTCGGACAGCACTTTGCTGGGATCGCTGGAAGGTTGAGTCATTGGAGTATGGAAAAATCCCAATTAGATGATTAATTTAGGTACTGGGTATGCTTTTAGCCTATGGCCATGGAGTCAGGAAAAGAAACAATTACCTCTCCAAATTGCCATGCTGGGCTGATTAATTTTTAATTGAGTCTTGTTAAAGGCATGGAAAACTCTGACATATATAACCTGGAGAAATAGGCCTTAGCCAGTGGGAGCCACTCGTCCCCACAGGAACCTACAGATTTAACTGGAGAGGAGGGTGATTTAGATAAAGCCTGGAGGCAGGGGTTGGCAGTGATGTGGAGAGGACTCAGCTACCTTGGAGAGAAAGCTGGACTTCAAAGTAAAGTGTCAAAGGGACAGCTGATCTTCTTTCTGGCTGTCTATAGCCTACCCCATGGGGCCTTGATGTGTAGAGGGCTGTTCTCATATCATTTGCTGCCTAAGATGAAAACAACTGGCACTGCATTTAATGAAGTATCTTAAATTGCATTGCTGTGTAGAAAATTTAGATGAGGCTGAAGCCCTAATCCTTGACTTCCCTTTGGCCCTGTATAATATGAGGAGAGAGAAAGAGAGAGAAAAGGAGGAGAGAGAGAATGAATGTCACATCCTCAATGGGTGTTCAAACTGTTCTAACATGAGAAACAAATCGAGTATTGGGCGAAAGGTGTAGATGTGGCACAAAACAACTTGAAGAGAAGTGTGGATTTATACCAAGATACTGGCATGCTAGAAACCAGAAAGAATCCTCAGGTGACATCTTGGAATTTTTGAGTTTTCTAAGTGTATTAGTTTGTTCTCACACTGCTATAAAGAAATACCTAAGACTGGGTAATTTATAAAGAAAAGAGGTTCAGTTGGCCAATGGTTCTACAGGCTGTACAGGAGGCATGGCTGGGGAGGCCTCAGGAAACTTACAATCAAGGCAAAAGGTGAAAGGGAAGCAGGCACGTCTTACATGGCTGAAGCAGGAGGAAGAAAGAAAAGGGGCAGATGCTACACATTTTAAATAATCAGATCTTGTGAGAACTTACTATTACAAGAACAGAAAGGGGGAACCACCCCTGTGATTCAATCACCTCCCACCAGACCCCTCTTCCAACACCGGGGATTACAATTCAACCTGAGATTTGGGTGAGGACACAAATTCAAACAATATCACTAAAGCTTCAGCTCCATTAGGTAACAAGACCTCATCTGCAATGACACCAATGTGCTAAAGGTATTGCACTGAGCCTTTCATAGGTGTTAGGCTTTCCTGGTTCCTTAGGAATCTCAGGGACTAAAGAGTGCCTGTGAATAGACCCTTAAGTGTTGGGCCAAGTGCAGTAGCTCATGCCTGTAATCCCAGCACTTTGGAAGGCTGACATGAGGGGACTGCTTGAGGCCAGGAGTTTAAGAATAGCCTGGGTAACATAGTGTGATCCCATCTCTATAAAAATAAAAAATAAAAGACTCATAAGTGCAAGTTGTTTACATGATTGTACCATATGCAATTTAATGTAAATTAATTAGCATCATGTCCCTGTTGGGAGACTTCCTCTTAAATCACTTTAATTAGTATCTTTATTATCAAGGAGATACTAATAAGTGAAAGGAGGTATTTGATGTCTGGGCAACAGAGCAAGACCCTTCCAAAAAAAAAATCCCAACAACCAAACAAAAATGATATCATCTTCATTTCACGGATGAGAAAACAGAAGTTAAGTGAGTAAGTAATTTCCCCAAGATCACACAGCAAGACAGTGGCAGGCCTGGTGGTTAGAGCCAGTTATGCACACCTCCTTTTTCCTCTGCATTTAGGTGTAATAATTTTGCTGTCTGTGCTGTCACTGTAGACTGAATCAGTCTCAGCCCTCATCTCACCGCATTTTCTTGGTCTCACATTTGGACTTTGAGAGCCAGACATATTAGTTTTGAATCACAGCCATGTTACTAACTTCTGTGTAACCATGGTAATATCACTTCATCTCTCTAATTTTCAGTTTCTTAATTTATGAAATAGGGATTATACCTTCCTTAGCTTGTTGTGAGGGTTAAATGAAGCCAAGGCAGATGATATCTGTCAAGAGTTTAGCACATATCTGTTGTACAGTAAGCATTCAATAAATGATGCCTACATTTATTGTTTTTGTTCTCTAAAGGGAGATCAGCTGAAAGACTGGTTTATGTGAAAAAAGAAGAGCTTTGAATAATGCTGTAGTTAACTAATACATGTGAATAATACACTAATATTCAGAGAGTACCTTCTAGGCCAGGATGAAACCAGTGGTTGAGTCAGAGTTACAGAAGCATGAGAAGCAGCCACAGTTTCAAGATTAGCACATGAAAAAATGTCTGAAATATTAGTAATAATAAGGTGCTGTTTACAATAAATTAGATTCTTGTTTACAAGTATTCACTCTCTTCTCTTACCTCCATGGGGAGGGTGCACTTCCAAGGAAGTTGATTTTGGGTATGACCATGGGACTTTTTGTCTTCTTAGTAGGTAAAATATACTTGTGACTCTCAATGTGTTCTTAGTCATTGACTTGTTTTGGCCAATAGGATCAGTAGAAGTGACACAGCTCACTTGCATAGTTGGAGTTTGCTTTCTTGCTCTTCTATTGCTGTGAAATGACCATGCCTTGGCCAGACCTCTGGTCTATGTAGAGTGAAAGGCACATGGAGCATATCTGGATTCAATCTGAATCCTGGGCTGCCCAGGTGAGCTTGGCCTTGAGCTTGGCCTATATGATTAACTCCCATCCCATCTGCAGATACATGAGCAAGAATAAATACCATTATGTGCCATTAGGTTTTTGTGGTAGTTTGCAGGAATAGACAACTGATAGACAAATGTTAGGTATATGATAATTGTACAACCTATGTCAGCATTTATCTTAGGTTTTATCAGCACATAATACAGATTTCATCATTTAAAGAGCGTATCTCCACATTTTCTTTTCTGGTTTGCATAAAGCTGGAGCATGCCTTGTATTCTTAGACAAGTCACCCAGGCCTTTCTATGTCTGTTTCTCCATTTGAAGAAGAAATATTTTACTTGCCACCTACCTTTCCCCAGGAGTCATAAATTAACAGTTGAAAAACTCTTTGAGATCTCCCATGAAAGTTACAATTTAAGCAGAAGCATGCCTATTATTTATTTTTATTATCCATTTTAAAATTGAATACTTAGAGCAAATAGATTTTCCAGCCACCAAAAAGGAAGTTTCTTCTATGCCACAACATATTATGGATTGGGCACTCTCCAACTATAGACTATATTTCCCATTTATAGCACTAATTTAGATGTTTATGGGTCTGTAAATGTATTCCGTTTCTCCTGGGGCTTCTGAGTACCTATAATAGTCTAATATTTTGGAACACTAAATGATGCCTTGGGCAAAATATAAAACAGGAGAATAAGAGAGGCAGGGAAAGAATTGGGTAACAATAAAGACAGTTTTTACAAAAAGTACTAAAAAGATAAATAATTTTAGACTCCCAGAATTACCCTGGAATATAGTCCAATTTGTGGTGATTGTCTCTCCTTCATGTTACAAATTATCACTATTATATCGAGTTTCTATTGAGTGCTTAGCATACAACTATTTGTGGAAGAGGACATATTTATACTAATAACTCACATTTATAAGTCCTTGCTCTGTGCCAAGTACTATGCTGGTGCTTTTAAATAACTATCTCATTTAGTTCTCTCACGAACTAATGCATTGTTAGTATTACCATTCTTGATGCTCCAAGAGGTTAAATGACTTGCCCAAGTTAATTCAGGTTCTTCTTTTTTGGAGAAAGCCCAAGCTCTTAATCATTATGCTGTACTTCATAGTGACTGACATGGTCCTTGTTTACAAGTTATGAAGATGATGAAGCCAACATAAAAAAAGCATAAGACATTTAAGCATATGTAATGAAAATCATTGTGATATCCTCAAAATAACTCTAGGGAGATAACTAGCATGGAAGAATATGGAAATTAATGCCTGCTGTGACATTGCAGCTTACCTGTGGCTTTTGTTTATTTTATTTTATTTTTGCAATCCCTGTTTTAACACTGAGGTAGATAATCAGGATTTTAGTCTAAAACTGAAGATAGTTCTGTCTTGAGCTATATGGAATTTTCTATGCAGTGATGTACAATAGATTGACTATGTAATTATTGTTCTTGCCACTTGTAATTTGAAAGACAGCATTATGAAAATTAGTTGAACAAAAATCTACTAACATAAAGTTCAGAATCAGAGGAAATATCATGGATGAGGGGTTCTTTCTAACTTGAATTTTTACATGGAACTCTAATCTATGTCAAGGTGTAAAAGTCAGTCTCTTTTCAGGAACTGAAAAATTCAAGCGACATTTTCAAAACTATCTTGGTGTTTTTGAAATCCTCAAGAGGAGGAATCATATTTTCATTACTCTCATCTATCTTATAAAATTTGAGACCTGAAGGGATCAGAGTTTGCTTCTAGGCATTGAGGTTCTGACATACTCAGAACATGGCTCCCTGAACAGTGTACCCTGGGAGGGTCATACCTTTGTTAACTACTCTTCTAGTTTTTAAGGCCTGTGTTGAAGCCAGATGGCTATGTCTTCTTATTGGGGTGTGAAACTCCAACTTTGTCAGTACATTAGATTGGCATATACCCCATCATGCTAAAAAAAAAAAAAAAAAAAAGGGAAAAACATTTTAAGAAGCATTTTAAATTCTTGTATCAATCAGTCATTTGTCAGTTACCATCTCTACACAATGGTGTATAAAGAAACAGGAATCCTCAACTCTCTTTAATGTTGGGCTTAACATTTAAGTCCTCTGAAGCAGGTCCTCTAAATCAAGATAAGGTGTGCCCCAACTTGTGCTTATAGAGGTGGTGTGAGAGAGTGGAGGGAGCTGGGGGTGTTTCCCTTCTGGACCTTAATCTCCTTCTCTCTCTGCAGCTTTCCAGCTGTGTGACTTTGGGCAAATGACTTAACTTCTCTGAGACTTGATTTCCTTAGTTATGTAGCCTGGGTATAATACCATAGAGTGGTTTTGTTGGGAATATGCAATGGGTCATTGACCACACAGGGAATGGATAACACATGCTATCTATCTATCTATCTATCTATCTATCTATCTATCTATCCATCCATCCATCAATCTATCCATCCATCCATCCACATGCTGTCTTTGGCAGCCTTTTATCAGAATAAGTGTTTAAAGAAGGTTGTGGAAAAACTGGGAGAGATAGATGTACTACTGAGGAGGTTGGTCAACTCATCACAGAGCTTTTCCATTTTTACAAATTACTTCAAGCATAAAGGATTACATAGTATATTAATATATAACTTGAGATGAGAGAACATTTTGAGAGTCTATAGAGTTTTTTTCAATGACTCCATAAAGAAGATGGGCACAGGATATGTGGATATTAACATGGGAGGAAAAGAAATCTATGTTTTCTTTTCTTCTCTCAACTCCTTCTGCTAACTGGATCTTGACTAGAGAAAGGGATTTCTCAACTATTCAATGACCTATCTAATGAAAAAATCTTCCTGTACTATCCATGGCAAGTTAGGACCTAGCTTTCCATTGACACCCAATGGGAGGTTTAAACATCTATCTCATGTGGGTGCCATTCTGTTTATGGCCTGCCAGAAGTATCAGAAAAATTTCCGTATGCTGAACTCAAGTTTCTCTGATAGTGTATACTTTTTAGTTATCTCAATTCTGTACTCTATAGCCACACAGAACTACCTACCTCCTTAAAGAAAATCTAACATCTCATAACTAACGGCAAAAGTGGCTCTTAGGCAAGAAGACATATTTATGTTTCTTTAGAAAATAAAAAATGGTACTTATCCAGATTTCTTTACCAGACACCTTAGTAAATTGTGCCTTCCAGGGGCAGATGGCTGAATCTTTTGGTGGGTGCCAGATTATGTTGGTGCCACATTGAAAACCACATGCTTCACTGAAGGGGGTGATCTAATGAGTTTATTTCCCTGCCTAGGTTCCAGCGACAGGGCTATTGAGTGACTTCACTGCAATCAGTATTGCTGACTAATGCCTGTATCAACACCTACCGCCGCCACCACCGGCGCTTCAGTGATTTTATGTTCAGTTTGATTTCTCCAGACAGAACTTTTCCACATCATTGGAACTAATTGAGGTAATGGAGAAATTATTCTGGTGCCAGAACACTCTTACTTTCTTTCACCCACTTCTCCCTTTGGTATTGAAAGACAACAATACGCACAGTCTCTCCGTGTTTCTTTACAGTCAAAAGGGGAGAACTTGATTATGTCGCTATGGCACCCAGGCTGCTTCTGGACAATTAAGGCTAGAAAACAGACTCTCACCTCCGTCTTTCTTTGCTTCCCAGGGCTGCACGTTCTGGCATGTCCCTGTGCCATGCTCATGAGCTGCTTCTCAGTGGGGATTTCAGAATCCCCTCTGTTGTTCTCCGACTGACCGCAAGAAATCTAACATTCGCTAAAACAACTAGCAGATGGAAACAAACATTTTATGAGTACATATTCCACCTTAATTATATGCATTGTCTGCCAATGTTTATAGCATCTCAGAGGGAGTTTGGAGGTAAGACTGAGCTGGCCAAGTATGGTTTTGATTACAGGGATTTGTATCAAAAGTGGAACAGTGCCTTTTACTGATTCCCCACTCTCTTTCTGCCCCACACTTTATGTCCCTTACTCCAGAAGGTTGAATGAACCATTCCCTAGAGAGGGTGGCATAGTGGAAGGGCTCTGGTTATGCCCCATGTCAACAGTTAGTGGTTCAGTTAGTATTGGGGCTTAATTATGGTAGACCACAGTGAGCCTCTCCACGGAAAGACCCTGTCTGGTTTGGATTTAGGAGACTACTCTGCAGTGTGAGAAGGTAGGATGGCCTTTCGATAGTCAGCAGAGTCTTCTGCGTGGCATAGAAATGCTGGTTCATCCTCGGGGATGGGAGGACAATTAAAGATTAATGGGAAATGTGCATGTTTATTGGAAGTTGGAGGAAAATATTTACTAAAATCTAAATAGTGATGACTTTAATAATAAAACTCAGCTTGGATGTTATACTGGTATCCCTTTCTCTGCATTTTCCTTATCTTTCCAGTTGTTCTCCTTGCATCTTTTCCCCTTATTGATTTGTTCATTTGAGATGGATAGCAGAAATGATGCAATTTGAGCAACAGATTGCAAATCCATCTGAGTTACTACTGGTTAGCCGCTTTGGTTCATGTTGGGAAGTAGTGGCTATTAGAGCACAGAGCTCATATGGGTGTTTTGCATTACCCATGGATTTTATTTCTCCACATCACCTCTGACCCCTTTTGCAAACTTAATTGAGAGTTGGCCTTTTTCAAATTGACTGCAGGAAATTGACCTTTGTGTTCACGCTATGTTAGGAAAGACCTGGATGAAGAGCAAATCAGGAGGCAAAATGGGAATGATCTGGCCCCTACAGTCATGCTATGGCACTATGTGAAATAATCACAGCATTCTTGGTGCAATTACATAGGTGATGTTGCCTTTAGAATTGTTTCCCTATAGAATCAAACCATAAATCAGAAAATCCCATTTTAATTTGTAACACAGTCTGGTGGTTCAAAAATTTAACAATCTGAAGGTACCTTTTAAATTAATGTCTAATCTGCTTATCCTGCTTTAGCTGAAGCCTGATTCTTTGTTCTTAATTATTGGTGGAGATAGCACCCTGGGGCTACTTATATGGAAATCCAATCCTTATCTGGCAGGCAAGCATATTTGTTACTTTGGGAAGATGGAAGGGCAATTAGAAAAAGTACACTCACTTTGACCTCAGCAATCCTGGGTTCAAAACTAGACCCTGCCACTTATTCCCTGAGTTACTTTAGGAACGATATGTAAAATCTTGAATCTTAATGCTTCATCTGAAAAATGAGAAGATTTGCAAGAAATGAGATTGTGTGTTTTCAATGAGTATTTTTAAGAGCTTAGTACATAGATTCTCAATACCTTCAGTTGCTTATTATACATTATGTGCCTTGTATGTGCACTAGGGATCCAATGGCAAAGAGAATAGACAAGGGTCTTGCCCTCATGAAGGTTACACTCTTTAGGGGGCTTATAGTGTTTTTACTCTTTCTGGGGACAATGAAGAACCTCGGTTAAACCAGCAATGTTTGAAATGCAATAGGAAATGAATTGTTATTTCTAACCAGAAAGCTAGGCTGTGAAATGGCTTCTTAAGACTCACAGCTGGACTAAATAATTCTGGGTCAGAATCTAGATTTCATGATCTGGTGATGAGGGCAGATGGAACTTGCAGGCAGGGTGTCTGATTCACTACTCTATACCAGACACGTAGCCTACTTCTATCTTAGTCTTTATTTTCATTTTGTTTTGTTGTTTTACCTGTAAAATTTGTACAATAATACTTTTTTAAAAAAACCCATAGGTTTATGAATATAAAATGAGATATATGTGAAGGCCACATACAATAAAATATATTCTTAGGTTCATTTTAATTTTATTAGTGAACTATGGCATGGGCACCCTACGCTCCAGGAACTTAATTATATTGACAAACTACTCAAAAACAAAACAACACTAGACAGCCCTGAAGGAGCCTGCAGATTTAAATATAACACAAATTAGATCTTGAGGGGAGGTAAAATGAAAACCAGGCATAACTTTTTAAATAAAAGCACTTGCAGGGCCAGGTGTGGTGGCTCATACCTGTAATCCCAGTACTTTGGGAGGCCGAGGCAGGCAGATCGCCTGAGGTCAGGAGTTTGAGACCAGCCTGGCCAACATGATGAAACGCTGTCTCTCCTAAAAATAAAAAAATTAGCCAGGCATAGTGGCAGGTGCCTGTAATCCCAGCTACTCGGGAGGCTGAGGGAGGAGAATCACTTGAACCTGGGAGGCAGAGGTTGCAGTGAGTCAAGATCATGCCATTGCACTCCAACCTGGGTGACAAAAGTGAGACTTCATCTCAAAATAAATAAATAAATAAGTAAATAATAAATAATTTTAAATAAGACACTTGCAGGAGGGGAGAGAGGGAAAAAGAATTTGCCTGTGGTTTGTAAAGCCTATGGCCTATTACTAACTGCATAATGGAAACAGAAGAAACTCTAGAGACACAGGAGTGAACTTAGACATGGGTTCAAATCTTGGCTCTTCCACTGTCTATTGTATCGAGTTAGCTACTGGCATATAAAAAACTACCCCAACCCAAGTGGCTTAAAACAATATCTGTGGGTCAGTTGATAGTCCTGATTTGGGCCAGTTCAACTGATCTTGGCTGGGTTTGCTCAGGGGTCTATTCTCAACCAGGGTCAGGCTGGTGATCTAGGTTGGCCTCACTCCCATGGCTGATATCTAATGATTGGCTGGCTATGGCCTGAGTGATGGATGTGGCTGGGCCACTTTGTCTCATCATCCTGACTTTGTTGACTTGTTAGCAGAAGAGCTGCAAAGAGAGAGTAGAGGTGTGCAGAGGATCTCAAATCTCAAGCTCTGAGCTGTTATTTTCTTTGGCCACATTCTTTTGGCCAAAGAAAGTCATGAGACTAGCTCAGATTTGAGGGATGGGGAAATAGGCTCAACTTCCTGGTGGATTTTTAAAAGTTAAACGTCGGCACATTAAAACATTAAAGAATTTATTTGAACAGACAGTGATTCATGAATTGGGCAGCTCTAGACATCAAGCAGGTCAGGGCTGTGCCAAAGCGGCACCTGGGGAAGACTTTTAGAGGGTGAATGCAGAAGCAAGGCAAAGAAAATATTTGATTGGTTAAAGTGAAGCAGTAGTCTTATTTGGATCATTCTAGTGGAAAGTCCCTAGTTAAAGGTTATTTAACAGTTGTGCTTGGTTAAACTTAATTTCATTTTATCATTTATGCTAAGTTGAGTGTCACTTTGCTAACATGGGAACCCAGGATACTGGAGTCTCTTGATAAATTATTTCAGCAGGAGCTGCAAAGTCACATTGTAAAGGGTGTAGAAATAGGGAGGAACGGAGAATTAGGTTGCTTTTTAATCTACTACATTTGTCTATGTGCTTAGATAAATTCTTTAATTTCTTTGAGGGTAAAAAGTATCTCATAGGACTGTTATGAGTATTAGTGACAAATGTAAAACCCTGAATATAGTTTAAAACTTACAGGTAAATACTAAAAATGGTAGCCATTATTATATTTCCCTTTATTTTTAGTTATACAAAACTTACATTTTCCATAACACACATCATTACAGATTTTTTTTTTTTTAATTTTTTTTGAGATGGAGTCTCACTCTGTCACCCAGGCTGGAGTGCAATGGCACAATCTTGGCTCACTGCAACCTCCACCTCCTGGGTTCAAGTGATTCTCCTGCCTCAGCCTCCCAAATAGCTGGAATTACAGGCACATGCCACCACGCTCAGCTAAATTTTATATTTTTAGTAGAGACTGGGTTTCACCATGTTGCCCAGGCTGGTCTTAAACTCTTTACCTCTGGTGATCCACACGCCTCAGCCTCCCGAAGTGCTGGGATTATAGGTGTGAGCCACCACACCCGGCCTACAGAATTATTAAAAATACACATAAGTAGGCAAAAAAAAAAAAGGAAAGAAAAAACAAAAATTATTGAAATCTCACTCTCCCTATCTAAGCACTGTAAACATGTGAGTAACTTAGATTTTTCTCATTATTAGCTATCATCATTCTTACTAGCTTGAATATATTGGTCTTGCTTCAGGTTGTACTGATAAGTTAGGCTAGTAGAACACTAGTAAGTTAGCGTTCCCTATTACATATAGGTGACTGTAAAGTCTAAAACTGTATTCTTTATCTACCCACCTACTCCTGTCCTAGGCCTTTTCTCACTCACCCATCTATTACAAGTTTCTTTTATTTATTCATTATTTTATTGATTTGCCTATTTGTTAATAGACACAGCTTTACCTAGAACTTAGGTATATCTGACTCCCATATTCAAATCACTTTTCCCTCTTATCCTTCCTATGGGGTGGTGCCAGAGTAAGCAATTCTGTTGCTCAAATCTTTTAGGCACTTCGAGAGAAATGTAGATTCCCCCATGAGAAGAGTGAGCCCCCTTATTATCTTTTCTTCCTGTTTCTTTCTAGTCTCACTTGCCTCCATTCTTGGACTCTATGCTTTATGCTGTTTTCATCCCAAACAGCACAGGCCTTGTCTAACACACCATGATCCGTGCACATTCTGTATCTGTGCCTGGCAGCTGCTTCCCAGCCATATCTTCAAAGCCAGTACTCTTCTCCTGCATTACAGTTTAGCTGGATTATTACCTTATCTGTTATGTATCACCCTCCATGGAGAGAGCCACACACCCTTCTCTGGCATGCATGCAAATCTATTCTAGCCCTACTTACTAGGTATTTTGGGTTATATGAATATTTCTGTTACTAGACCCTGTGTTTAGGGGACAGAGTCAAAGTTATTCAGTCACTAAACAAGCATATGCCAAGTCTTACCTGTATAGGGGCAGGACATTTGAAATTAAAAAGAAAACGAATGAGTGATTTAATCATCTACAAACTCTCCTCTTCAGCACCCCAGAGCCACTCATCAGCAGAACAGATGGTGAGGGTTAAAATGACTGAGGCCACAGGACAGAAGGAAGCTGGTTGTCCCATGTGGACGTAATGATGCCTTCTCCTCATGATACTTTCCTACGTCGTGGAGAGAATGTGCATTGAGAGGCTCAGCCTTGGTCTCAGCAAGGCTCACCAAATCAATAATCAGACCTGAGCATGGAAAATACTCAGAGAAGCCACCTCATTTATGGTGTTGTAGTCAGTTCATGTCATATCGAATTCATTCTGTCTTGAAACAGGAGTAATTACCCTAGATGCAAATTGTGAGTGAATACAGGGGGAAATATTTGTAAATAAATACAAATTAGAATATTTACTTCTTTTAAAATAAGATTAAAAATAATGTTCAGTGCTGGCAAGGATGCCATGAAATCAGTTATTTCAGAGTGTAAATTTGTGCACTTTGACAGTAGGTACTAGTATTCTTAAATGTTCTGTAACTCTGCCATCCATATCTAGGAGCCTGTAATAAAGAATCCATAAAAGAGGCAGACAGCGGTGTATGTGCAAATTGCTCACTTATGTGAGATTGTACAATGGATTTTTGTCAGCTGGAAAAATAATGATAACCATGGTATTTTAATCAAAAAATAGCATACAAAATACATATGCATGTATATTTATATATATGCATGTGTGTATATACAGAGAGAAGAGAGAAAGAAATAGATGGGAAGAAGACAAATAAACCAATTTCTTAGCAGTGCTTATACAACTTTAATAATTGTATTTATTTTTTGTATTTTCTAAATATCTTACATAGAGAATACGTACATTGTAATGTTAAAAAATAGTTAGCAATTGGTTTAAAAGATAATTGAAGAAAATATCACTATTGTATGCAATTGAATACATTCTGCTTTTCACCCTGAAATGTAGGAACTATAGGACTATGGCTAAATATATACACAATAAGTTGCTAAATGGACCTTTGGATGTTTTGTAGTTAGGAAAAACAATATTGCTACTGCCGCTTTCCATGTAAAAAACTCCAGAGAAGTGTTAAAACACACACACACACACACACACACACACACACAACTATTAGAAACAAACAATAATATAGTTTTCTTTTAGAAACAAAACCTGTGTTTAGAATCCAAAAGCAATGTAATCACTCTGGAAACTATTATCATAAGTAATTTCATATCGATTAGTTCATGCTCCCATGTCTCCTGGACATGGTAGAGTCTAGGAGAAACAAAGGTTTGGACAGGAGTGAAAATAATCTTAGATTCTCAGCCTCATCCGGGTCTCTGGGTAAGTCACAATTGAATAGTAACAGAAAATCCTGGATAGTCTCAAACCTCTCTTATATGTAGAATTTTTTCATGACCTGTGGGTCTGCCTACACTTGTTTGACTTCCCAGTTGTTCCTCCTCTTTTGGAATCCACTGTATTTGGAGGAGTTGCCTTCTGGTCAGAATCAATTTTTACTCTGGTTCTCATTTGTTTTGTTTTGTTTTGTTTTGTTTTGTTTTGTTTTTTGTTTTTTTTGAGACAGAGTCTCCCTTTGTCACCCAGGCTGGAGTGCAGTGGCATGATCTCGGCTCACCGCAACCTCTGCCTCCTGGGTTCCAGCCATTCTCCTGCCTCAGCCTCCTGAGTAGCTGGGATTACAGGTGTGTGCCATCATGCCTGGCTAACTTTTGTATTTTTACTAGAGACAGGGTTTCACAATGTTGGCCAGGCTGGTCTTGAACTCCTGGCCTCAAGTGATCCACCTGCCTCGGCCTTCCAAAGCACTGGGATTACAGGTGTGAGCCACTGTGCCCAGCCTACCACCCATTTTCTAAATAATGTACCTTCCTTCCTCCTATACCTCATTTGAAACCCTCAGGCTGCATCAAGTCTGACAAAGGGATTGGAGGACCCACAGGGTGAGTGAAGGGGGAGAAAGTAGTGTGATCTTTGGGCATGCTAGCTCCTCCCTGGGGGGCATCCTGGCCATGCTGACCAGGCAGATCAAGCCTCCCTGGGAGAACTTCCACTTCTCTGAACTGAGAGAGATGAAGGAAGATGGAAAAAATGGCTGACGTACCACGGTGACTTCTTGGGCTAGCTGGTGGAATGTTCCTTTATAGCTCAATTACATACATGAAAAATAATAACAATAAGAGTCTTCAGTATCTTGCCCAGGAAACGATGTGCTCTTTCCAATTCTGTCTTTTAGACAATTAGTCACCATACTTTACCTTGGTTGAGCTGGATGCAGTGTGGCAAACTGAAGACAGTGTGGAATGTGGAGCCAAGTAGATCTGAGTGGAATGTTAATTCTGCCACTTAGTAGCCATGTGGCTCTGAGCATTCTGTATAACGGGAATAAAAAGATCTATTTTCTGTGCTGTTTCTGTTTTCTTCAAGCCAGGGCAGCCCAGCCATGCACAAAGTTCCATGAGTAGGCTACAGAGGGCTCAAGTCAAGGATATGCTAACTTTCGTAACCCCTTCTCTCCTGACTGGCAGGATTGAGACCTTCTTGGGACTCATGTCACCTTTCTGATTCTTACCTTGGCTTCTTATCAAAAGCCTGGTGTTGATTTCCAAGAAGTTCACAGGCACTGACCTAGTAGAGGTGGAGCAACTAGGGAAATTTTCTTAAAGCTAGTGATGGTACTGTTCTTACTTAGATGTTATGTCACAGATCAATACAAATATAACAGTTTTCTAACCTGTGCTTTGTGTCTCATTTTTTTCTTTTGTTGTGTTTACATGGAGAGGATGGGGGCTAATGATGAAAACCTGGAGGTTTAGATTCGTCCTTCCTTTCCTGCAGACTTTAAGGTTTCTGTTTCCATAGGCACTTCCTGACTCCCCTGCTATTGTGATAGAGTGCTTCTGTCTAGCTACCATTTCTCTCTCCCCAATACCTGTCAAGCCAGTCTGACTTGGTGAAATGAAGGGAATGGAGAGGAATGAATCAAATCACCCACCTTACCAATATTTTAAAGATTATGTGAGATAAAATGTGTCAAGAATGGAGAAATGGTAGATGTATTCTAAATTCTTTTTTCTTTTTCTTTTTCTTTTTTTGAAACAGAGTCTTGCTCTCTCGCCAGGCTGGAGTGCAGTGGTGCGATCTCAGCTCACTGCAACTTCCACCTCCCAGGTTCAAACGATTCTTGTGTCTCAGCCTCCCATGTAGCTGGGACTACAGTTATGTGCCACCATGCCCAGCTAATTTCTGTATTTTTAGTAGAAACAAGGTTTTGATACCCTCTATTCTCAATTCAGGTGGTAAGCAAAGAAGCACATTTCATGAAGGGAATAAATAATGATAAAATGTTGACTAATGTTAAAATTCTTTTTTTTAACAGTTCTCTAATTTTTCTTAGTAACTTTTGCTGGTGTTTATAAGGCATTGGGACTAGGTATGATCTGTAGGCAGATTGCTTCTTTATTTTGTTCCCAAGTCACTTTGTCGTCAATCAAATGCTATGAGGAGGATAAAAGAAGGGTGGCTCTTAGCAAATGTATTTGCCCATTTAGAGAAATTATCAAGAGTGGGTGTTTGAGAGAGTGAGTCAGCACTATCCTCTTCTCCTTGAAGGTCTTCTGTTATGACCAGGTACTGGAGATCAGAGAACAAAATTTGTCAAGGGGAACATGCTGGAAAAGGTATCAGAGTCCTTTTTCCAATCTGTTTGGCCTGTTTGTTTATAGTTGTTTTTCTGTAATTGATATGGTTTGGCTGTGTCCCCACCCAAATCTCTTCTTGAATTGTAGCTGCCGTAATTCCCATGTGTTTTGGGAGGGAACTTGTGGGAGATAATTGAATCGTGGGGGCAGTTTTCTCCATACTGTTCTTGTGGTAGCGAATAAGTCTCATGAGATCTGATGGAAACCCCTTTCACTTGGTTCTCATTGTCTCTTGCCTGCCAACATGTAAGATGTGCCTTTTGCCTTCTTCCATGATTGTGAGGCCTCCAAGGACATGTGGAAATGGGAGTTCATTAAACTCTTTTTCTTTATAAATTACCCAGTCTCAGGTATGTCTTTATCAGCAGCGTGAAAACTGATTAATACAATAATTAATTCTGTGACCTCAGGCAATTTGTCATGTTTCTGATTTGCATGTGATTCCATTCTCTGTCTTGTGGCCACAGTTAACCATCTTAACACACAAATCTGATCATCCTATTTTCCTGTTTAAAATTTTCTTGGGTGTCTCCTCTGGTCCAGATCCCTTGTCCTGTCATGCAAGACCTTTATACTCTTGCCTCTGAATCTCTCTTCCTCTACCTTCCCATCACATGTGCTTCCCTAAAGACAGGTTGAGTTATCTGTGGTCACCCCAAATCATCAGGCTATTGTCACTGCCAAAAATACTAAGGCCAGTTTCTACTTATATCCAAACGTACCTCAAATGTCTCCTATTGGGACTTACCTCAAACCTTACCCACTATTACCAAATCCCTGCACCCACCCCTTCTTGAGTTAGGTATTCGACTTCTTTATAGTCCTCCTAGAATACACAGCATACTATCTTAGAGCCTATCAATCATGCCATCTTGCCCTAATGATTTTGATTCCTTGGTCAAGATTCAAATTCTAAGACACCTAGAGGTTTAGCCCAGTTACTTTTTTCATTCATATTATATTCTTTATATTTGCAATTCATTATGATGTCAGATACTCTCCAGACTCTTCAAGGCTTCTTTGTCCTGAGTCAAGTGTCCATAACCACCTGGGCGACCTAAGACTCATGGGCTTGTGTACAAGGACCTCATTTAAAGATCAGGGTAGGGAGTGGAAACAGCAGCAGGGCTCTCTACCTGTACCTGAGATCGTGTAGCCATGATTTTAGGAAGCATAGTGGGCTAAGTGAAGGTTCATCTTCTATTATTTCATTGTCAGTAGAATTTATAAGGAAATGGTGACATCTATTCACAACCCCTTTGTATCTTATTCAGATAATCAATTAGCAAGTTGTGATTTCTTATATATTCCTGCCTCTAGCCCAGATGTCGACACTGCCTACAGGCCAAACAGACTTATTACTTCTTTTTGTGTAGCTTGTGCATTAAAAATGATTTTTACATTTTAAAATAGTGGAACAAAAATCAAATGAAGGATGGCATTTTTAAACGTGAAAATTATATGAAATTCAAATTTTAGTATCTATACACGAAGTTTTATGGGAACATAGCCAAGTCTGTTGCTTGTGTGTTTTGCATATTGTCTATGGCTGCTTTTGCACTGTAATGGCAGAAGTGAGCTGATGTGACAGAGATCTTGGGTCTGCAAAGCCAAAAATGGTTACTCTCTGGCCCTTTAGCAAAGACATTTGCCAATGTCTGCTCTAGATAGTACATTCCTTTAGGTCACGTTTGTGTTGTGCTTAGCTTGATGTTCCTGGAATATGGTACATGCTTGGCTCATAGTAGGTACTCAATACACATTTGATGAACACATGAAGCAATGAATACATGGGTGAGAGGTGGTTGAACTATTTTGTATTTTAGAGTCTATTCTAATTGAAGTATTCTACAAGTGTAAAGCACATGCTGGATGTCACTAGTATCTGGTCATTTTTTCTTGTGGTTTTATATTTACATTCTGATCATTATGAGCATTATTTTGGAAAGGGAGAGTTATAAAATAAATCACAATTGGCACCTCTTTAATAATGTCTTTTTTCCCTATTTGTTATTATTTAACAAGCATATTTTCTCTTTGTTTGATAAGCTGTGATCATTCAGTTTTAATATACTAGCAAATGAAAGAAGCTAAGTTATTCAAGATGGTAGGAAATGGGGAGGGAGCAAGCAGGGAGTGGAGGCTGCGGATAGAGTAACAGATATTTGCAGAATCTATCACTGTTTTCATGGTGCTACTGTTACCACCTCAGAAAGGCCCACATTTGGGACCATTTACGGCTAATGGACTTGTGTTGAGAGGTGTATGTAGGGTGATATGTCATGCAAAAGTGAAAGGTAAATGTTTGATTTTGCCCGACCAGAATGTGGACCAAAAGGGAGAATCCATGCCAGTTACTTTAAGTGCCTACACTCATAACTAACAGGTGTCCTGGGCTCATTTTGGATGTTTCTATGCATACTGAAATTTTCCCTTTGAAAAATAATTTGTCAAGAACATGAAGTCAAGACAATATTTTAAATCACTCAGGTTCTCTAGGGCCCCAGCCTTGGCCAGGAAGACAGCCACAGTCATTTCAGCTTAGATGTTTAGGCAGCCTTCCTCCAAATCTGTCTCATGATTTGTATCTGTCTGGTTCTTGCAAGTAAATTCTCATGTCTCTAGCAAGTGCTTGAAATCTAAGAATTCCTTATTTTGGCTGCGCTTTCTGGGGAAACTATTTCTCTAGACATGCCTGTGAATTGATCACTTTTGATGAGACCACCCCCCTAAGAAGAGAGATACAGACGTTTCTCCAACTTTCTTCCTCTTATGCATTGCACCGATAGTAATGGAAGTTGACTGTCTTTTTGGTGCATATTTTGGGCACTGTTCTTAGAGCTTTTCATGTACTGATCCATTCACATGGTTATCCTCTAAATAACTCACTGTATAGATACAGAAACTGAAGCATAGAGGTAACATATTCCACTATCCATTTAACAGATTTCTTCATTGCATACCTGTGATCTGCCAGGTACTGTTCTCTCAGCACTTGAGATACCTTTGTAAACAAACATGTACTGCCCCCTAACCTCATAGAGTATAAATTCTTGTGTCAAATATTACAAAGCTGGTAGAGTGGCAGAGCTAGGATTTGAACCAGGCTTTCTGGCACTAAAGTAGGCATTTAAGACCACAGCAGGGTAATGCCACTCCAAGCTAATTTACATCTGCCCATTGACTCTGTGTCATGGTGTAACGGAACTCAGTGCAATGCTGCAGCTGGCTCCAGCACAGTCCCTTGTTTATTTCAGCTGCATCCTTCTAGTTCTCTGAGGTCCTGGTTTGATGCCTTTCAACCTATTTTAACTCTTGTTAAGGCTCAATTGCAAAAATTATTTTTCTATCAATCAATTTATCATCTCTCTTCGCAATGAATATTTCTTTTTTTATTATCGTAGTCACCAGAGGCAAGGAATGAAAGCAAACAATTAAAAATGAACTCAGGTAAGTGACTGATATCAAGGTCGTTTATTCATCCGCTAGCTACCTTGAAGGGTCTGCCTCATCCTCACGCATTTAGGCAGTCCACGGCAGATGTTAGAGCTCAGCAATGTTTGCAAGGGTGTCCTAGATTCTGTTCCTGTTTCCCCAAATGCCTCTCCCTGCATTTCTCTGCTCATCCCATGCCTGCTTTTGATTCTGCCTCTGCCCTTTGGGGAGTTTGCATTTATTTTCATTGAGTTCCTACCATGTACACACCTTCAAAGACTATGGATCTTCCATTTCTCTATCCTGGTAATAAAACTAAAGCACATTGTCTCCCCTTTTTCTTCATACAGATGCTGATATAATGAAGCTTGTGCCTTTTTGAGAGCTTATACACATATCCTTCCTATGTCTTTTTGCTGAGAATGCCATCGTTTGTTGGCATCTACATTAAAGATAAAGAGTTTTTTAAAAAAAAGAGTCAGGGGGCATAAACTCTGTAATTAGCCACTTAGAAGTTTTTGTTAAAGTTTGAAGGGAAAAGTTGCTGAAATTATTGTGTAAAATGAGGCTTTTGCTTTAAAGGTTTCATTTGTCAGTGAATAATTCATTCCAGCAATTAATAGTGGCACATAATTTTCATGGAAAAGACTTTAAGGTCATTGGACTATAAACAAAAGGTCAATCCCAAGTTATATTCTTTTTTTTTTTTTTTTTTGAGGCGCTCTTGTTGACCAGACTGGAGTGCAATGGTGTGATCTTGGCTCACTGCGACCTCCGCCTCCCAGGTTCCAGCAATTCTCCTGCCTCAGCCTCCCAAATAGCTGAGATTACAGGCACCCGCCACCACGCCCGGCTAATTTTTGTATTTCTTTAGTAGAAACGGGGTTTCACCACGTTGGCCAGGCTGGTCTCAAACTCCTGACCTCAGGTAATCCACCCACCTTGGCCTCCTAAAGTGCTGAGATTACAGGCGTGACCGACCGCCTGGCCTGGAGTACAGTGACACGATCTTGTCTCACTGCAACTTCCCCCTTGGGCTCAAGCCATCTTCCCAAGTAGCTGTGACTACAGGTGCACGCTACCACACTGGCTTTTTTTTTTTTTTTTTTTTTTTTTGAGACAGAGTCTCGCTCTGTCACCCAGGCTGGAGTGTAGTGGCATGATCTCGGCTCACTGCAACCTCCACCTCCCGGATTCAAGACGTTCTCCTGCCTCACCCTCCTGGGATTACAGGCATGCGCCACCACGCCCGGTTAACTTTTGTATTTTTTGTAGAGACAGGGTTTCACCATGTTGGCCAGGCTGATCTCAAACTCCTGACCTCAAGGGATTTGTTCGCCTTGGTCTCCAAAGGGATTGGGATTACAGGAGTGAGCCACTGCACCTGGCCACATTATCATTTTAATCAGAGGTCCACACCCAAGGGATGGTTGGCTGGCAATATGTCAGAAAAAAGAAATTCCACAAGTGTATGTTGTAAGCATGTCTGTCATAGAAATCTGTGCTCAACATCAGACTTTTGCTAGTTACCAGTTTGTAAATTAGTAGCTTGTTAATCAGCATGAGGGATATTAAGAAGGGATGTTGATTTAGACTTAGAGCACTTGAGAGAGGTGAATGGGTTAAAACATTTTAAAGACCTGGCTACCCCTGTGGGTAGAGGCTGTTAGAAGCCAGCTCAGACCTTCATATGGGCACTGAGAACCTAAGATGAATATCTGAAAGGCCTTATGTCCAGTCATCTGCTTTGAGCAGGGTTTCCAAACCTTGGCACCATTGACATTTGGGGCCATTTGTTAAGATGCTTAGTAACATCTTTGCTCTCTACTCACCAGTTACAATAGCACCCTCATTCGTCTCTTTCTGGGTTTTGTCAATCAAACGTGTCTCCAGACATTGTCAAATGTCCTCTGGGGGGCAAAATTGCCCAGTTGAGAACCAGTAGTTTAGAGAATTTCTGGTTACTGGGGACCACCTATAAGGAAGACTGAGTTCTAGCCTGGCTATTATTATGTCAACCTTGGGTAAAGTTTCATAGAAGGTGGTGGCCAGATCCCCTCCAAAGACAGGGCACGGAAGCTTCCTTGAGCTCCCAGAACAGTTTCTGTAAGCTTTCTTTGTGCCCACTTGCTAATAAATGTTTATATTAATATCTCTCTGTGAGACAGATTTGATCTGACACTTGGTTTAATTATAACTGGTAATGAGTCTGTGGAGTAAATAATTAGACCTCTCCCACCTTGAGCTTCTTGGTGGCTACCATTATCCACCTCAAAGAACCTAAGAATAATGACCAAATTGCATCTGGCCAGTTCTCAGCAGGAGTGGACAATGACACATGACTGACTTAGTTGGTATGGGGAGCCAGTTAAAGCTCTAGCACAAAGTTCTAGGTACTTGCTGGCAGAGAAGCAGGGCAAGGAGACCTACGAAAGTGATGGAAACTCTCTCTTTCCCACTCCCACCCCCAACCTAACTTTGGTATAATTTTATCATTTAATGCCCTGAGCTCTTTTGCAATGGTCCTTTCTGTTTAAGCCACTTTTTACTAAGACCTGTTGGAAGAAATAGTACAATAGCAGCCTTTTTTTTTTTTTTTTTTTTTTTTTTTTTTTTTTTTTTTTAGTTGAATGTCCTTTGGCTCAATCTCATCGTTGGGTCTCAAGAAGATACAAGGCTGAGAATTTGCTTATCTCCCTGGAGTCTTTTTGGCAGAGATTTGGAGTCTTGGTCCACAGATTCCTGTGAATCTAAACACAAACTCATCGTAAAATAAAATGTCCGCAGAATTTAAGTAAGATCAAAAGGTCATCTGACCTAGACAGATGAGCGTCTGCAGCTTTGAAATGCCTCAGAGACTTTACGAAGACCCCTAAACTAAATTTGAATTGCTCCGTACTTCTTTAGCACCCCCACCCACCTTGGAAACATCCAGGAGAGGTGCTTATGTGGCTGAATAGCTTGGCTGGGCAGTAGGGTTCCAGCTGTCAGAGCAGAGAGTGCCCCCAGCCCACTGCCTCTTTGCAAACCATTCCCCTTTGCAGCAGCTCCACCAGGCGGCTCTCAGCCCGGGGAGGAAGGAGGAGCGGAGTGCTACTGTCCCTTTGCTGTTCTCTTGATGGGAAAGTTAACGATTTAATTGTGTCTATGTGGGATACATAATGAATGAGTCTGAATAATTCAAGACAGGATGTTAGTGAAGAGGACGCAGCCAACACCTGGGCTGCACAAAGATTTCTTTGGCTGCCTCAGGGGGAGGGGGTGTGCAGTCTTCATTTTACCAGACTGTATTCCCCGCTGCGAACAGTCTAAACTACAGGGACATTCTCTTTCTCTTTTGAGAAGATAACTGTGGCTGTTTGGATGTGTGTGTGTGAGAGAGAGAGTGCGTGTGTGCATAAATGCATGTGTATGTTTGTGCATATATGTGTGTATGTGTGCATCATGTACATGCAGGTGTGTGTGTACATGCATATGTGTATGTGTGCCTGTGTGTGTGTGTCCTTGCCAAGAAAAAAAGTCAGATGACCAGTCTGGCACCTTTAAAAAGATGCTGGTCTTTATCCCTTTACTCAACCTCAGACTTGGCCCTGAGAAAAGTATCAAGCAAGCTGAATTCTTTTCTAAAGTTTTATAATAATGATAATAAAATGGACCCCTACCAAGTTCAAAGAGGCTTTTCATCTGGCTACTGTGACCGGGATCTTTGCTGAGGGGAGAATGGGAATCTGCTGAAATTCCACTGCTTTGGGAGAAGACAGGAACAGCAAGATCAAGCACCTGGCTCACCTGAAATAACCCCAGAACTGAAATTATTTAATGACAGTGTCCTGGCTCTTTGTGGTTGAGGTGTTATATTTTAAGTAAGGGGCTGTATGTAGATTTTATAGCTTCTGAGAGTTCTATTATTTTGTTTTTCTTCTGTTAAATCTCAGAAAATAACAAGAGGAAGAATTCGTCTTCATGAATTGAATTGTCAGTTCTGCAGACAATTATCAAAAATTTTACAGGAACACCTTGAGAGATGTCGAAGTGTTTATTTCAACAGCCCAAAGAAGAGAACCACAATATGGACACTCTCTGTCTTCACAAATCCCCCAACGCATGTTTTATTCAACCTTCCAATTTTTAGACAAAGATTCTTGTTAGCCTCATGAAAGACCTGGATACTGGGGGAAAGATGGTATCATATTTTCAATTATGATCAACTCACCTAATCTGACGGAAGTGGTAAGAAGGAAGCTGGTGTGTATGCTGATTGTGATTTTGAGAATAAACTCTTACTTCTAAACCACTTACAAAAGTATTTGCTTTTAGGAAATGCTGTGTCTGGGTGAGGTACTAGTGGCAGTAACACCTATTGTACTGTGACAAGTATTTAATGGAATTTAGAAGTAAGGTTGAGCTAAGGATGCTCCCAATGTGGCAGGATTCACAGCAAAGTATACAAAGGAAAGACTATGAGTGGAAAGTGACTTGTTAGAATGTGAGCAGAGATGTGTCCAGAGCCTCTTCCACCTGCTCGTGTGAAACCCTTAAAAGATCCTCTAAAGTCTCTCCAGTGGTTCTGTCCAAGTGGAAAGAAGAGAAGGAATAAGGTAGAGTAGGAAAAGGAGTTCTTCATGCTTGGGAACGTGAAGAACATTCTCCTAAAGTAATGTTCTTATTTCTATTAATCAGCTGTGCATTGCTCAGGTGATTTCTGAGATGAGATGCATCAGAATCCGTGCATATCTTTTGTGGTTCCAGATAACAGCCTACTTCACTAAAAAAAATCTTCCAGAATCATTAAGAGCATTAATTTTCAAAACTGTAGAAGGACTATGGACATCTTGTGCTTTTAGAGAATGAACACACAACACATTTTCTGTTATATCAGAGCTTACAGCTTCTATCAATTAAGAAAGTATGGCTCCACTCAATGAGCTATAAAGTGATAGCACAAGAAGGACTTTAGGAATCATTGAGCTCCCTTATCTCTTTGGACAGATGAGCAAACTGAGACCCAAACAGGAGAGGAGAGGACAAAGTCTTACCCTGGTCGCCTACTGAATTTGTGGCAGGGTCAAACAACATTTATCCCAGATTCTCAACTGACATTTCCTTATACTGTCTTCATTTTGACCATTAGCTTGTCAGCTTAAAGGATTCAATTAATTCAAACAGGATCTTGTAATTAAAAAAAATAGAAAATACAAAATACAAAATCAGACTAACTTTCCGTGAGTCACTTTTCCAAAATGTTTTGTATCAATGTGTAACAAACGAGGCAAATATATGAGTTGTAGCAGGACCACAGCCAAGATTCTCAAAGTAGGGGTGGTGGTGGTGGGGGGGGGGCTGTATTTGGGAACCCCTGATACAGAAGAATCGGTTGCAGAGTCTCTTTTAGTAAATCGTTGTTTATAAGTTCCCTCTTAAAGAGAATGAAAAATTAAGACTTCATGCAAACCACAGAACAAAAGTTGAGACTTCCAGTGAAGCAAGAAAGCAGAGACTTTTAAAAAATGAGAGTGGGGGGTGGGAGGAAGGAAAGGGATTCTTAATGGTATATTGTTTTCTGAGCTCTACCAATTAGCAAACATCTCTTATAAAAGGAAGAAAGAGGGAAGGAATTTCATGCACTGAAATAGCCCCAGTCAGCTGCAAACGCTCCAGGCTTCTGCAACAAGGCTTTCATCCCCCCTCCCTAACTCTGGCCATTACATCAGTCCAAGTGCATCCTGGGGCTATTGTCATGCTGATGAGACAGCCCCTGAGACTGGATTCTCCCACTGCCCGGGGAGACATTCCCACCGCAGACTGGCTCTGGGGCTCATTCAAGCTGTGCTGAATTGCCCTGGAGAATAAAAGATGCAGCCTTAATTAACCACTGCGCTCAGCTCCCAATCACAGCTTGATTGTTTTGCTGGCTGCACTCCCTGCTAAAGAGGAAATGCCAGGGCTCCTGATGCAGACCCAGCGCTGGGAAGTAGGGCTCTCCTTAGGGAGCTGGAGTTGGGTTATGTCTTGTTTTGAAAATAAAATATCTTAGAGTATTATATCGCTGTATCACTGAAGTCCTGTTTTGCAGAGAGAAACAAACCTCAGTGTCTATTATTTCCCGGCCCTGCTCCTGGGATCCACCCTCATACATCTCCCACTAAGGGTCTTTCTTGCATTTTATAACTCTGGCAGAGATCTCCAGTTTATTCTCAGCACTGTATTTCATTTTCATACTGGAGAAAAGAAAAGACCCTGATCAATACTGGGGAATCAATACTGGGAAAAAGAAAAGACCCTGATTTTAAACAATATATATTAATACATACATGCATATCTGTATATGCATGCTTACATGTATATACATTTTTCTAATATATAATTTATACATATATATTTAGGGACTTGGGGCTTGATCTCTTTTTTGTTACTTTCTTTGCAACCTCTTCACCAAGAGGTTGGGTAGGAAATCAATAATGGTCACGTCTTTTTACTCTGTGACACTTCACCTTTGCTCCTCCCTAAAATCATAGCCATTGGCTTGATTTCTTACAGTTGAGCTCTGTTCCCTCTAATTACCGTAGAAAAAAAGGGTGTTCTTAATGGTGTATCAGAAAAAATTGAATACAGAAGTTTTAAAGATGCTGCAGCTGGTGGGGCTTACAATCTCTGAGTTCTGGATGCTGGTGACTGCGAAGACAGACAGTGGGGATCAGAAGAGGCCTCCCCATTCTCCCTGGGAGCCCAGGAAGAGTGTTGCTGGATTAAGCAGGTGGGCAACTATGGGAAGAGTCAGCCAGGCTTTGAGCAGCACTTGAGATGCTACCAGGAAGGAAGGAAAGTTGGAGTTGATTTAATTCCCCCCCTCCACCCCACTTCCACTAATTTGACTCTCAAGTAAAATGACAGAGAGATTTTGAGGGCTGGAAATGAGAGATTTTATTTTTCTGGAAATGAATTCTTATGAGCACGATTTTAACAATCAGGTGCAATTTTTAGGAAATAGAGATCATGGTGTGTTTTTACCATTTACCATCATTCTAGAGGAATTGGTCTGCAAGGCCAGTGTCAAGAAGGTAATTGTTCCCCTTTGCCTATTCTGGACACTGTAGGATATGCTGCTGTCCAGTGCGTGATCCCACGTTCCCATTCAGCCTGCAAGACTTCCCATGGTTATGGTCGAATAAGGGAAATCCTAGTATATTCCCAGTTCAGGCCTTCTTTTTAAGTAAAATAACGAAGCATTTAATAAATGATTCAGCATAAAATAGTTTTCAGTACAATGAATCACTATATATTTTTAAATGATATGCAATTAGACCAAGACCTTAGAAGTCCTGCGTTCAGCTAGGTATCTGATATGGTTTGGCTTTGTGTTCCCACCCAAATCTCATTTCGAATTGTAATTCCCACGTGTTGAGAGAGGGCCCTGTAATCCCCACCTGTGGAGAGAGGGAGGTGATTGGATCAGGGGGCGTTTTCCCCATGCTGTTCTCGTGATAGTGAGTGAGTTCTCACAAGATCTGATGGCTTTATAAGTATTTGGAAGTTCCTCCTTCATTCGTCTCCCTCCTGCAACCTTGTGAAGAAGGTGCCTGCTTCGCCTTCCGCCATGATTATAAGTTTCCTGAGGCCTCCCCAGGCATGCGGAACCGTGAGTCAATTAAACCTCTTTCCTTTATAAATTACCCAGTCTCAGGGAAGTCCTTTATAGCAGTGTGAAAATGAATTAATACAGTATCTTAGTCATTAACCCTGACCTAATGAAACTTGATATTCCTGTAGCTTGAGTAAAGTATGTGATTCCCCTCACCAAAAATCATAACCCAAATCGAAAGTTTTTTTCTGAGCTTAATACTTTAACAATTGTACCAGGCATTCAAACATGTGGAATTTATATCCATATTTCGAATGACAGAGACTTACCCACCTGTCACATTTAATAAAAAAATTAGCATGTTTTATCAAGCCATAGGATTTGAAATCACACAGCCTGTCTTCTGATTATAGCCCAGTCTCTTATGAACTGCAATTCCCTGAGCAGGCATTATTGAGATTCCAAAATTTCTTATCTCTAAATTGGGCATCGTGTCATTTACCTTGCGGTGGGGGGCGGGGGATTGTTGTAAGGACTAAATGGGATAAAAGATGAGAAAGTATCCTCTGAGAGTGGACAGGACATCACATAGGTGATCTGTAAGCTCTAGTTTCCTTCTCTACTCTCTCCTGTTTTTTTCTCATCGTCTGGAATTTCTAGAACGCTAATTGACTTCATTTTATTCTTCACTGCATTCATGAACAGAAGCAGAGACAGACAAAAGAATTCACAGAGCATATCTTTATTCTTTCCAGAACGTTCACCCTGTGATGCTGATGGTTTCCTGATTATCCAATCAAAAAGGAATGATGTTTATATCCCAAATTTGATCACAGAATTTTAGGGCTGCAGTGGAATTTAGGGAAATAGTCCAAGTCCTTCATTTCATAACCTTGCTTAGTTATTCTGTGGCAGAGGCAAAAAGAGAAACAGGGTCTTTTGATTCTCAGCCCAGAGCTTGGGCTGCTACCCCAGTTTACCTTAATACTTTCTTTCTTAAATTAGTTCCTCTGCTATTGACATTTTGCAGTTTAGTATTTCTCTGCAACAATTCAACATTGGATATGAAATATATTGGAGTAAAGTCAAGTCGATCAGAGGTACAGTTTAAAAACACACACGCACCAACTAAAATAGAATTCAACATACTTAAAATAGCATCCTAATGTGATTTAACTACCAGGCAACATTGAATGAAAAGATAGCTCAATTGTCAGAAGCAGACATGCTGACACAGCTAGGATAATGGCTTTGAACTGTGCTTTTTGGTCAGCAGAATTTTAAAAAGTGAAATGTGTAGGGGAGGAAAGACTACTTTTCTCACTCCTGGCTAGCTTTATGGTTGAGATCCCTATAGAGACCAATTAAGAAGAAAGAAAAAATGTATACACATTGATTTAATAGGAGTCTTATGTGATATGGGAGCCTTCAGAAATGAGGGAAAGCACAATTTGTCTCAAAGAGAGAAACAGGGAAACCTGTGTATTTTTACGCTGCTTCATGAAGAAGTGGATACTCCTGGAGAGATGATGGAAGGACAAAAGGGGGTGTGACCTACTGGTATTCAACTGAGGGGAACTGCAGCAAAGCCTGTTTGTTCAGATTCTTCTTAGTGTCTCTGTGTCTTTGTGAATAAGGATGTTCTTTTCCTGAGTACAGGGAGGATGCTTCTGAAATGAAGGTCTCATGACTTACTTTAGAAGAAGTCTGCTACGTTTTATGGCTTGCTTCAGGGAAGGGGTTAGGGGAAGATAAGAGTGACATTCCTGTGTCTGCTCTTTTCTGAAATGCCAAGGGGCCCTATTTGGGAACGCTGTCTCCTAGACTCCATCAAATGTTGCATGGAACTCCAGTGTTCTGGAGCAGAGGGAAAAAAGCCGCGGAGCAGAATTTCAATTTCTCTACTGTCCTATTGTTCTACCCTCATGTCCCAACTCTTAACTCATGAGGGGCTTCTGAAAGAATGCTGGGCTTTATGTAGAAAGTTGTGGTGTCTTTCCAGCTATGATGCAGAAGATGGATTGTAGATCTCCCCTCACTGCCACCGGGGGTTTTATAAACATCTTCAAACAAGGCTGTGAATTTAGCCTTATTAAGCATGAGTCAGTCCCAAACTAAGCTATTTACATAATTAATACTACTCAATATTGATAGATTATGAAGATAGGGTAAATATCAGTTAAGTATCAGAAAATTCAGTATTCAGCAACAAGTTACTCAGTGTATTTAAAAGATGGTAAAACAGATATAGAAAGATATTTGTTAGATTTAAAACATCTGATGAAGCAATTGATTACACTTTCTGTTGACTTTCAGGTAAACTCCAGGAAATAAAGAAATCAGAGACATTTTGATATACTATTTGAATTAATTAAATTGAAACGATAGCATGGGAGTAGAGAGAGGCATCCTTCCAAATTAGAACCAGAGTTTAAGTAATCAAATAGATTCAATTTAGTTAATGAGTGACTTCCAATATAACATGGTTTCCCTGTGAACTGAATTCAAACTTCAAAATTTGGGTGTGCCTGGGACTTGGCTCAATTTAGCCCTAAACATTGATCATGGTCTAGCTCCAGCTCAGCTGTCCTGTATAAATCCCTGTTGTTTGCAGTGGGCACCCTTTCCTCCAAAGAACTGCAAAATTTGTGTCTGATGGTGGTTGCGTGGGCCACTATTATTTCTACCTTGAATTACATTCCGATTTTGACTCTTTGACTTTTTAAATGAATTGTTCTTTTTTATTTTCCTTAATTCTGACTAATCCTTCAAGACTCAGTTCAGCTGTTTTTTCCAGAAGTCTCTGAATCTGTAGCTTGAATTAAGTATCTTTTCACTCAACACTCTGTACATACTTTATACTTACTGTGTTATGTTTTTGTGTGTTTTAGTCCCTGCACTTAAGGTATTACAATTCAGTTAGAAAGACAATGACCTACTCACGCATGTATATTAGTGCAGGGTCTAGAATGTAGTATGTATTCGAAAATGGCTTTTTGGAATTGTTCAATTTAACAAAAGGCACAATTCATGCATTAGACATGCTTTCTGATACGTATTTTTTTCTGGATATTCCTTTGTCAGCCAGAACATTAACAGAGTAATTTGGTTAACGGTTTAAACTCAAAATAGCGATTTCTTATAAACCACAGAAAAACTCATTTAGAGCACCAGATCTTCCCCCCGTGGAAAATTAGTTGCTCTCTTATTGTCTTTCCATAATACTTTAAATGTGCTTCTCTTACTGCTAGGGTGACTGTATAATTTACCATCCACATTGGGTATTTCCAAGAGTAATAGTTGGCCCTATTAGTCATTATATCACAACAGCAGACATGACCCAGGACTGTCCAAGTGATCGAGAATGAATGATCATCTTAGTGCATTGAGTTTGTACTATAATATTGGTATTAAGGTGCCTCTTTCTCCCTAGGCTGTGTGTTTCTCAGGAGTCAGAATGGCATTTGATTTATGCTCAGTAGCATGCTTTTCACATGCTAGAATGTGTTTCATGTGTGCTGAATGAATAAAGTTTCTCACAGCTATTATGATCATATCATTTTCTTCACCAAAGTACACACTTAATGTATCTGACTCCACACCCTCCTTATTTCAGCCATGTCATAAACAGATGTTATGTCAGCCTCTGAGGAACAAGAAAAAATTGTGTCTGAGCACATGTCAAACACTCTTGAAACCATCAAAAGTAACAGAGAGAGACTTAAAAAGGGAAAAGCTCAAGTCTACAGGATAGAACTCTTGGATCAAGGTGGCGACTGTGACTCCAGCTGAATCAAGAGACAAGCGTGGTTGTATTGAGTTCCTTTTAAATGTACTTAATCAGTCTTCTATTGAGACAATAGGTGATATGGTTTGGCTGTGTCCCCACCCAAATCTATCTTAAACTGTAGCTCCCATAATCCCCACATGTCATGGGAGGGACCCAGTTGGAGGTAATTGAATCATGGGGGCAGGTTTTTCTCATACTGTTCTCATTATAGTGAATAAGCCTCACAAGAGCTGATGGTTTTATAAAGCGTGGTTCCCCTGCACACGCTCTCACATCTGCCACCATGTAAGATGTGCCTTTGTTCCTCCTTCACCTTCCACCATGATTGTGAGGCCTCCCCAGCCATGTGGAACTGAGTCCATTAAACCTTTTTTCCTTTATAAATTACCCAGTCTCAGGTATTTCTTCATAGCAGTATGAAGATGGAATAATACAATAGTACATGAGGTGATTGTGCACTCATCCAACTGAAGCCTTAGAATTTGGGTCCTGCTGATTACAAATGTTGTGAGCTAAGGCACTTTCCTTTATCTCTCTCTGCCTGTGTTTCAACATCTGTAAAATGGCGAAATAATATTTCCCTTCTGCTTCTCTTCTTCCCCTTCTTTGTCATTATTATGACAATAATATATTTTGATTGTCCTCAAGGGCCTAGGTCTTGTTCATCTTTGTATCATGTGCACTGGAAATAATAAACATAGTAGGCACTTAATACGTTTTTGATGAATAAGTGAATAAATGAATGCTGTCCTCAATACTCTCATAAGAAATACTGTAGGTAAAACCTTGGTCACTTTTCTCAAATGCTTGACATGTGTACATATTTAGGAGCAGCTGGAAAGGTCCATTTAAGAAATAATGAAGAGGAACAGTGAGCTTTCTCAGGCTCAGATGTGGAAGATGATATTGCATTTGTATTCTCCTTCATTGGTATTCCAAGAGCCAAGTTGAGTCCGTCATAATTGTCAGAGAACAAAACAGTTTCCAACATCTCGCCAAATCAATCAGTGTGGTTTTAATGCTCTTTTAAAAGTTAAGATTCCTGCAGTATTTGGTTTATGGTGACTCAGATATTTTTAACCAAGGAAATTAAAGAAGCAAATAAATCTCCTGGGGGGATAGCTTAGTGGTCTAAGTCTCAGGTTGGAAATGGGGAGACTCCCTAGAACTGTAAAGTTCAAATTACAGCCACGTTGACTCACCCTTTCGTCTTTTTTGAGATAAATTGAGTTGCACTTAGTTTATGGTGGGAGAGTTGTTTGGATAAGTACCCTAAACTCCCAAGGTTTGTTTGCTCTGATTGGGACATTATAGAACTCCTGAGGCATTTTTTTCTTCTATTAGAAAATGGTTTGCTGCAATTCATTTGGCCGCAAATTCTGATACTCAGTTGAAATGTTGGAAAAACAGAGAATTGGCTTCTCCTATAGTATATTAGACACTTAATAAAATACAGATGATTAAGAGACCTCTTTCTGCTTCCCAGATGAGTGCTAGAGACTGGTGGGGAATAGAAGTAAAGGAATGGGGTGACAAATTTTAGGATGATTCTTTAAAAGTAGGATTTAGCAGTATGGCTAGAAAAGTAGCTCTTGGGATTTTTTAACCTATGAACACTGACACTGGAAGCCATTAGATTATTTCCAGTGAACTTTCAGAAAAAAAGCAATAGTGCTAAAGCTGTTGTATCTAGGCAATGGAACCAAACAATGGATACAGAAGTGATTTTTCGATTATTGGAAATATAAAATAATCTCCACTTTTAAAAGAGAAGCTCAAAACTATAAATAATGAGACTATTAAAAACATCCAAGTAAGATTCATATGAAAACACACTAAAAGAGGAGGGCTCATATATAAATGTACACTGACAAAATGTTTGTATTTCAAAGATTCTTAAAGATTCTCTTAATGTTCAAGCAGAAAACTTAGATTATGTACAAAGGAACAAAAGCAAGCCCTTTCTCCTTAGTAATACTTTACACTACGAGATAATCCTGGAATTCTTGGAGACTTTGGGGTGGTAATAGACAATATTCAAGTATTTCATAACATGCCATATAGCCACTCACGAGCAAAAGCAACAGAAAGATTTTCTGAAATATGGAAATATAGAGGATATGAACTCTTTGATAAAACTGCTTAGATTCAGTCTAGCAATATTAGAGGTAAGTGAAGTTGATAGAGAAACATAGTATCAAGGCTGGACATAGGAATTAGAACCAGGTACTTCTTTCATGTAATACAGATGAGGGTAGAAACTCAGTAAATTCCTTATATATGCATGTATGTATGTATGTGTGAAAAGATGCAACAGCCAAACTGAATTATTTTATTTTATTAGATACAGGATCTTGTCCTGTTGCCCAGGCCAGAGTGCAGTGGTGTCTTCATAACTCACTGCAGCCTTGAATTCCTGGGCTTCAGTGATCCTCCTGCCTCCGCCTCTTGCAGGTGCATACTACCATGCCCAGCTCATTTTTCTATTTTTTGTAGAGATGGGGTCTCACCATATTGCCCAGGCTGGTTTTGAACTCCCAGCCTCAAGTGAATCTCCCACCTCAGCCTCCTGAAGCACTGAGATTATAGCATGAGCCATCATACCCAGCCTGAATATTTTTAAAATGCAAAATAAATAAATCAGGTCAAAATTTGGAAGTGTCACGTGTATGCATGCATGTCTTTGGGATCTATTGCAGCATTTACATGAAGCCATGCTCTCCCTAGGCTACTCCCAGCTGATGGTTGAGCACAGCAGAGGATGAGAGTCGGGCCTTTTCTGCCCAATTCAGTTCTCTTTGTTCTATGGTTTCCCCATGGGCTGGCTGAGACATTTTCAAAGCTGCATTGCAGTCAGAAGCCCTTCCTGCCCAGGCCTTTCTTCCCTCTTTCCTTTTCCAGGCATCAGACCTGTATTAAAATACATTTCACTGCTTCATTTCCCCTTTGTCTTTCATCCAATCAATCTCTTGGACTTCTAGTTCTATCTTGGTGTCTGCTTCCTGGAGGACTAATATTGATATAGAGTGTTTATGTGTGTATTTGCTTGTTGTGACCTGGTGGGTGGAGAAAGTAAGTTATACTAAATTAGCATTTTTGGAGGGTGGTGTCAGAGCTTAGAGAAACTAAGAAAACCATCAAAAAGGGGTCACAACAGAAAGCATGGGATTAAATGGTTAAGATATGACCAAACCATTGGTCATTACATTTACAATATTGACCATTTATAATATTGTAGATGTAATGTTTTAAAACACAAAATTCAGCTACCTGCTCCTCATACAAGACCCTTCAAAGGGTTATAAAGGTAAACAACTAAGAAAACTGGTTAGATAATTTAATGAGCAGCCACAAAAGAGAACAGGGCAGTTGAATTCAGAGCAAGATGACAAGTAATAATTTGATAAGAATCTCATAAAAAGTTGAAAAAGTGTTTTAGAAATTTTATCAGAAGCTATAATATATAATGGAAATGAAACCTCAAATTCCAGAATGTAATCCTGGATGGCTTAGAAAATTTAAAGCTGGAGTCTTATGGTGGGTCTTGGATGAGCTGGACTCCAGTATGACTGCACACGTTGATAGAATATTGAAAAAATACCTGTTAGTAAATAATTTCTGCTGCCTATGGCTCAGAATTGCCTGTTCCCCACTGCCACCCTGGCCAGTGGCTCCTCCTTTATGATCCAGGAATCAAAGATTCAATGCCCATTGCAATAGGAGATTCCAAGATGCTACTCTAGGGTCTGTATCCATTCTGACCGGTCGATGCTTGTGCTTACCTGTTGTTAAATATTATAAATAATTGCCCCTGGTATGTTTCACTTCACTTATAATGCATAAATATTTCTAAGGAGATGTAGAAAGACAAAGTCCTCTGCTAAAATCAGTTAGATACACTGTGAAAGAAGCTTTGACTTTCATAGGTGATGATTAAGACCCTATCATACAATCGTATTAGAAGGACCACTTAGTAAAGCCATGCCTATTCATTTATCTTAGGTGATTGAAGTACTTAGGTGATTAAAATGAGCAGCATTTAAAGAGAGATTGCTTTATCATTTATTCAAAATGCATTTGTTTCTTTTTCTGCACATGACTTATATTAACTCTTCACTGATAAATTAGGCTTTTGCAGTTGTGTTTTGGGCCTGTCCATTTATATAATTCTTTACCCCTTTTAGAGGAATTACATGATTTATAAAGATATAGCAATTATATAACAAGTTGTAGATAAAATACTAAAGGCATCAAGACTTGGAGGTCATTACTCTTTGCCAGTCATGTGTCATTTAAACCAATTCAAATGTCCATTACTTTATTCAAGACTGTCTACACAATCTTTCATTCTTTCTCCTTATCCTTATTCCCCCCTCTCTCTCATTCTCTCTCTCTCTCCCCACAATCTGAGCAGCTACAAGCAAAGTCCTTCAAGATGGCAGGGCCATAGGGCAGAAGGCATCCAGGTCCCTAATTTGGAGGAAAGCTGCCCAAGACCATCTACAGTGGACTTGCAAGTGTGAGAAAAAACCTTGGCTGGGCTAAGCCACTGATATTGGAGGTTGTTTGTTTCTTCAGCCACCACTGATGGCCCTAATGCAGGTCTTAAACTTTTATTTCCTCTTTCTGTTGATGCAAATTAAGAAATAAAACTTAGACATTAATCATTTTGATTTAAATGTTACTCTCCTTCCACAGAAATATGAGATTTTATTGTTCCACTCTCCCTTTGAGAAATATAAGAATTATTTGGTTATTTTAGATGAAACAACTCTAACACCAGTTTTGTTCAATTCAATTATCCCTGCAGAATGACATTATTTTATCAGAGATTTGGGAATTCAGAAGTTAAGATTTTTTTTAACAGCAAAACGTTAGTAATGAAAATTGTCTTAGTCTGTTTAGTGTTGCTATGAAGGAATACTTGAGGCTGCATAACTTATAATGAAAAGGGTTTATTTGGTTCACAGTTGTGCAGACTATACAAGAAACATGTCACTGGAATATATACCTGCTGAGAGCCTCAGGCTGCTTCCACTCATGGAGGAAGGTGAAGGGGAGTTGGCATGTGCAGAGATCATATGGTGAGATAGGGAGGGAGGGAGGGAGTAAGAGAGAGAGAGGGAGAAGAGAGGGAGAAGAGGAGAAGAGGTACTTGGCTCCTTTTAACAAATAGCTCACAGGAACTAATAAGAGTGAGAACTCATTCACCCACAACTGCCTCAAACACCTACTAAGTGCAATTCAGGAAAGGCGTTATTCTGTTCATGAAGTATTCACCCCCCAACCTAAACACTTTTCATTAAGTGCCACCTCCAACATTGGGGATCATATTTCAACATGAGCTTTGGAGAGGACAAATATCCAAACTATAGCAAAGATCAAATTTCATGTGCAAAAATTCTTTTCCCCCAGAATATATTTTATATGAGTATAATAGACAGTTTTAGACCACTCACCACTAAATATCCAAAAAAAAAGTAAATTTAGCGGCATGAGAAGATTTATCCATGTTTTTAAATTTATACAAAGAAGGTTTGGAATATTTACTAAAATGTCCAGTTTTCTGTCAGAATTGTGGGATAATATAGACAATACTTTCAGTAGTCTCTCAGATAAGGACTTAAAACATATCAGACCACAGAAGTAATTTCATTTTCCTCTTTTCCCAGGAAAAAAACATTAGCACACAAAACATACATAATTAGCATTTTGCTCTTGTTTGGCAGGAATGTATCATTTTTCCCTCTAGAAGTTGGCCTAGAACCAGTTAACCCCCACAGAATAATCAAAAATGAGAATTCCTATTTTGAAGCATTAAGGCACTGTATGAATTACAAGAGTCCAATCTTCTCTTGCTGAAGGGAACCCCTTGAGTTATAAGCCTATGTTTGTTAGTTAAGCAGAGTTGCATCCCACTGGTTGCTTCTATAGGTAATATTTCTATTCTGTATGTTTGACATAGAGACACTTTCATCTGTTGTTTTCTCTCTCAATCCTGATGCACAGAATTGGGTGAACACCTACATGCTTTGGTAAAGATTTAGTATGTTAACTTATTTCTCTATATGATTCTGTACCAGATGGAGGTCTTGCAAGACGCTTTGGTAGAATTTGGTAGGGAATAAATATTCTTTCAATGAACTAAGAAATAAATGACTATTTGGACATGTTCGGGTTTGGTAAGTGCTATTTAACTGAAGACAAACAAAAAAACAAAACAAAACAAAAAAAACACCAACCAAACAAACAAAAACAAAAAACAAACAAAAAAACTATGGCATACCCAAAATGGTGACCAAACCTGAAGTGTTACCATTTGGAGCTTCCTGATCGTATAACAGCTACTAGCTAAATGTAAAGGTCATCTCCCCTTTTGCCATAACATTATGATCAAAAACATGAACCCATGCTTTTAAAAATAACTCCTTTGGCATCAAGTGGGACAGGAGAGAGAAAAAAGAATAAGAAAGTAGAGTCATAAGTTTCACTGCTCTTCCTGCCAATATATATAAACCCACATCCAAAACACATCTCATTTACATGCCTGTTTATTTTGTTTTCATGGCTGTCTGGAAGCTGGGCCCTTTCCTTTTTTTCTAAATTGAGACAAAGGGATATTAAGATAAAGTAAACTCTGACCCTGCTCAGCTGTGTCCATCCCCAAAATGCCTTGCCATCGCCACCTGGACAAATGTTCTTTATCACTGAGGGACTCAGTGAATGGGTAGGTGGGTCACTGGAGATTTGGAAAGAATACTGTGAATTCTTTTGTTCATAAATATTAAAAAATAAATTTTGCTCTAGGAGTTACTAATTTTACTTCGTTTCAGGAAGATTTAAGGTATATGAAAGGGACATAGTGGGAGACGAAATCATTTCCTAGAAATAGAAATTGAATTTGTAGAGATTTTAGAGTAGAATACATCATGCTTGAGCAGCAATTATTGATAAATTTTTGTCACTATTATTAACAAGCTCTTATCTGTGTCAAGCATTACTCTAAGTATTTGAGAAATATTAACACATTTAATCTTAATAACAATCCTGTGAGATATGATTATCCTCATTTTACAGATGAGGAAATAGGCTCATAGAACTTAAGACACTTATCCAAAGTCAAGTGTCTTGCATGTCTGTTTACAGCAAGTAAATTGAAGATCCTGATTTGAATTTAGATAGTATAGCTCTCAAGTCCTATATTATTCTACAACTATCAGCTCATTATCCATATTCCTTCCCTCGTGAAACTCCCTCTTTATAAACGGAATATAACTTTCCTCTTTGGATACAGGATGCATCCTTGATCAAAACTTTTCTTTAAAGTTTCTTTTCTTCCCAACACTGAGTTACTGTCATGTCTGTAGGCAAGCACTTATTGCCCAGTCCTGAGGCCACATTAGGTTAGGTTTTAGAAGTAGGAGATTTTGAGTAATCGAATCCTCCAGAATTCAGTTCCCTATTTTAGAGCACACGGTTTTGTCTCATAGAGTTAGTGATTCCTCTCTGTTTCGTCTGATTTCCAAGGGCTGCGTTCAGTTTCCAGTCCACCTTTCAGAACTAATTTTTCCATTCTTAACTATTCCCTTTCTATCTTAAATGAAAATGGTCAATTTGATGGTGGTAGAAAAGGCTTTCTGGAGAATAACAGCAAGGAGGTTCAGCATTGCCTCACTGAGTGAGAAAAATATGCTGGTGAAAGATTTTCTATTTTTCAAAGAGAATAAGAAATCTCCACATAAATCTCTGCAAACTCAGTCTGGACCATAAAGTAGAAAGGAGCTTTGAAAATGGGCTGTAAACCGGGCATAACCAACAACCTGTGCAGGCAATGATTCATTCTGGAATTGTTCTGCTGAAATGTAAACTCAAGGGCAAAATGGATGCTGCATGCTTTGAGTTCTTAGCCATGTCACCTCCATGGTCTGGAAGAGGAAGGCCGTGAAGAAAACGATATGAGTTGTAAAAATCAACAGTTTCTAAGAGCTTCCAAATAAAACAAGCCCTTTATTCTCTAGGTTCACAGCTCCCCAACATCCACAGCACATACTACCATTGCCTACCCTTAGTAAACAGGGTCCCTTCCTTGGCTTTTTAGTGCCCTTAAAGTACATTGATTCAGATTTTCCGAACCCTCATGATATGACCACTACTGATCTATGTCATCCTTTGCAACTTTTTTTTTCTTTTCTCAACTTTTATTTTAGATTCAGGGAGTACATGTGCACGTGTGTTACATGGGTAAATTGCATGTACCTGGGTATGGTGTAAAAATGATTTTGTCACCCAGGCAGTGACCATAGTATCTGATAGGTAATTTTTTGACCCTCCCCCTACCCACTAAGTAGGCCCTGGTGTCTATTGTTCCCATTTTTGTGTGCATGTGTACTAAGTGTTTAGTTCCCACTTATAAGTGAGAACATATGGTATTTGGTTTTCTGACCCTGCGTTAATTCACTTAGAATAATGGCCTCCAGCTGCATCCATGGCTCTGAAAAATACATTATTTCATTATTTTATGGCTGCATAGTATTTCATGGTGTATATGGACCACATTTTCTTTATCCAGTACTGTTGATGGGCACCTAGGTTGATTCCTTGTCTTTGCTGTTGTGAATAGTGCATGTGTCTTTTTGGTAGAACAATTTATATTCCTTTGGGTATACACCCAGTAATGGGATTTCTGGGTTGAATGGTGGTTTCTGTTTTAAGTTCTTTGAGAAATGTCCAAACTGCTTTCCACACTGAACTAATTTACATTCCCAGCAGCAGTGTATAAGCCTTCCCTTTTCTCTGCAACCTTGCCAACATCTGTTATTTTTTGACTTTTTAATAATAGCCATTCTGTCTGGTGTGAGATGATATCTCATTGTGGTTTTAATTTGCATTTCTCTGATGATTAGTGATGATGAGCATTTTTTCATATGATTTTTGACTGTGTGGATGTCTTTTGAGAAGCGTCTGTTTGTGTCCTTTGCCCATTTTTAAATGGGATTGTTTGGGTTTTGCTTGATTTGTTACATTCCTTATAAATTCCGGATATTAGACGTTTGTTGGGTGCATATTTTGTGAATATTTTCTCCCATTCTATAGGTTGTCTGTTTGCTATGTTGATAATTTCTTTTGCCGTGTAGAAACTCTTTACTTAAATTAAGTCCCACTTGTTTATTTTTATTTTTGTTGCAATTGCTTTTGGAGAGTTCATCATGAAATTTTTGCCAAAGCCTATGTGCAGAATGGTATACGCTAGGGTTTTTTCCAGGGTTTGTACAGTTCTAGGTCTTACACTGAAGTCTTTAATCCATTTTGAGTTGATTTCTGTATATGGTGAAAGGAAAAGGTCACGTTTCAATCTTCTGCATATGGCTAGCCAGTTATCATAGCACCGTTTATGGACTACATAGTCCTTTCCCCATTGCTTGTTATTGCAGACTTTGTCAAAGATCAGATGATGGTAGGTGTTGCTTTATTTCTGGGTTCTTGAGCCTGTTTTACTGGTCTATGTGTCTGTTTTTGTACCAGTACCATGCTTTTTTGGTTACTGTAGCCTTGTAGTATAGTTTGAAGTTGGGTAATATGATGCCTCCAGCTTTGTTCTTTTTGCTTAGGATTGCTTTGCCTATTTGGGTTCTTTTTTGGTTCTATATGAATTTTAGAATAGTTTTTTCTAATTCTGAAAAATGGCATTGGTACATTGATGAAATAGCATTGAATCTGTAAATTGCTTTAGGCATTATGGCCATTTTAACAGTATTGATTCTTATGCATGAGCATGGAATGTTTTTCCATTTGCTTGTGTTGTCTCTGATTTCTTTCAGCAGCGCTGTATAATTCTCATTGTATAGATCTTTCACCTCCCTAATTAGCTGTATTTTTAGGTATTTTTTTGCGGCTATTGTAAATGGGATTATATTTTTGATTTGACTCCCAGCTTGGATGTTATTAGGGTATAGGAATGCTACTGGTTTTTGTACATTTATTTGGTAGGCTGAAACTTTACTCAAGTTGTTTATCACTAGTAGGTGCCTTAGATATAGACTATCGGGTTTTCTAGGTAAAGAATCATGTTGTCTTAAAGAGAGAAAGTTTGACTTCCTCTCTTTCTATTTTGATGCCTTTACTTTCTTTCTGTTGCCTAAATACTTTCACTAAGACTTCTAGTACTATGTTGAATAGAAGCAGCAAGAGTGGGCATCCTTGTCTGCTTCTGATTCTCAAGGGAAATACTTTCAGCTTTTGCCCATTCAGTATGATGTTGGCTGTGGGTTTGTCATAGACGACTTATTATTTTGAGGTATGTTTCTTCAGTGCATACTTTGTTGATGGTTTTAACATGAAGGGATATTAAATTTTACTGAAAGCCTTTTCTACATCTACTTAGATGATCATGTGGTTTTTGTTTTTAGTTCTGTTTATAGGATGAATCACATTTATTGATTTGTGTATGTTTAATCAACCTTGCATGTCAGGAATAAAGCTAGAATTATACTGGATTTGCTTTTTTAAATGCTGCTGGATTTGGTTTGCTAGTATTTTGATGAGGATTTTTACATCTATGTTCATCAGAGAAATTGGCCCGAGGTTTTCTTTTTTCATTGTGTCTCTGCCAGTTTTTGGTATTAGAATGATGCTGGCCTGATAAGATGAATTAGGGAGGAATCTCTTCTCCTCAATTTTTTTGGAATAATAATTTCAGTAGGAGTGGTATCAGCTCTTCTTTGTACCTCTGGTAGAAGTTGGCTGTGCATCCATTCAGTCCAGGGATTTTTCTGGCTGGTAAGTATTACTGATTTGGTTTTGGAACTCATTATTGGTCTTTTTAGGATTTCAGTTTCTTCCTGGTTCAATCTCAGGGGGTAGTATGTTTCTGGGAATTTATCTATTTTTTCTAGGTTTTCTAGTTTGTGCAGAGAGGTGTTCATGATAGTATCTGAGGGTTTTTGTATTTCTGTGGGGTCAGAGGAAATGCCACCTTTATTTCTGATTGTTTTTATTTCAATCTTCTCTCTCTTTTTCTTTATTAATCTAGCTAGCAGCCTATCAATCTTGTTTATTCTTTCAAATAACCATTTTTTTTGTTTCATTGATCTTTTGTATGGATCCCTGTATCTCAATTTCATTCACCTTAGCTTGGATTTTGGTTATTTTTTTTCTTCTGTTAGCTTTAGAGTTGATTTGCTCTTGTTTTTCTAGTGCCTCTGGGTGTGATATTAGGTTAATTTGAGACTTTTCTATTTCTTGATATAGGTATTTAGCACTATAAACTTTCCTCTCAACATTGCTTTAACTGTGTCCCAGAGATTCTGATATGTTGTATCTTTGTTTTCATTAGTTCGAAGAATTTTTAAATTTCTGCCTTAGTTTTGCTCTTTACCCCAAAATCACTTAGGAGCAGTTTGTTCAATTTCCATGTAATTGTATCGTTTTGAGAGATCTGCTTGGTATCAACTTCTATTTTTATTGCACTGTGGTCTGAGAATGTGGTTGGTATGATTTCATATTTTTTTAATTTGTTGAGAATTGCTTTATGGCCGAGTGTGCCATTGATCTTAGAGAATGTGCCATGTGAAAATAAGAAGAACGCATATTCTGTTGATTTTTTTGGGTGGAGTATTCTGTCATCACTGTTAGGTACATGTGGTCAAGTGTTGAGTTTAGGTCCTAAATATCTTTGCTAATTTTCTGCCTCAATGATCTGTTTAACACTGTCAATGAGGTGTTAAAGTCTCCCACTATTATTGAGTGGTTATGTAAGTCTCTTTGAGGGTCTCTGATAACTTATTTTATGAATCCGTGTACTCCAATGTTGGGTGCATATATATTTAGGATAATTAAGTCTTCTTGTAGAATTGAACCCTTTGTCATAATGTAATGCTTTTCCTTATCCTTTTTTTTTTTTTTTTTTTTTTTTTGAGACGGAGTCTCGCTCTGTCACCCAGGCTGGAGTGCAGTGGCACGATCTCAGCTCACTGCAAGCTCTGCCTCCCGGGTTCACTCCATTCTCCTGCCTCAGCCTCCCGAGTAGCTGGGACTACAGGCGCCCACCACCATGCCCGGCTAATTTTTTGTATTTTTAGTAGAGACGCGGTTTCACCGTGTTAGCCAGGATGGTCTCGATCTCCTGACCTCGTGATCCGCTGGCCTCGGCCTCCCAAAGTGCTGGGATTACAGGCGTGAGCCACCATGCCCAGCCTCCTTATCCTTTTTGATCATTATTGATTTAAAGTCTATTTTGTGTGAAATAAGAATAGCAATCCCTCCTCGTTTTGGTTTTCCATTTGCTTGATAGATCTTTCTCCATTCTTTTACTTTGAGTCTATGAATGTCATCGCATGTGAGATTGGTCTCTCAAAGACAGCATACAGTTGGGTCTTGCTTCTTTATTCAACTTGCCACTCTGCCTTTTAAGTGGGGTGTTTAGCCCATTTACATTCAAGGTCAATATTGATATATGAGAATTTGGTCCTGTCATGTGTCGTTAGCTGGTTGTTATGTAGACTTGATGGTATTGTTTCTTTATAGTGTTAGTGGGCTATGTATTTAAGTGTGTTTTTTTGTAGTGGCAGGTATCAGTCTTTCATTTCCATATTTAGTACTCCTTTAAGGACCTCTTGTAAGACAAGTCTGTTGGTAATGAATTTCCTTATCATTTGTTTGTCTGAAAAGGATTTTATTTCTCCTTTGCTTTTGAAGCTGAATTTGGCTGGATATGAAATTCTTATTTGGAATTTGTTTTCATTAGGATGCTGTGTATAGGCCCCCAGTCTCCTCTGGCTTGTGAGGTTTCTGCTGAAAGATCCACTGTTAGCCTGATGGGGTTTCATTTCTATGTGACCTGCCCCTTCTCTCTAGCTATCTTTAAGATTTTCCTTTTACATTAACCTTTGAATTGGATGACAAATGGAGAATTGGATGACTATATGTCTTGGGGATAATTGTCTTGTATAATATCTTGCAGGGGTTCTCTGAATTTTCTAAATTTGCATTTCAACCTCTCTAGTGAGGTCAGGGAAGCTTTTGTGGACAGTATCCTCAAATATGTTTTCTATATTGCTTGCTGTCTCTCCATCTCTTTCAGGAATGCCAATGAGTCATAGGTTTGGTCTCTTTACATAATCTCATATTTCTTGGAGGTTTTGTTCATTTTTTAAAATTCATTTTTCTTTATTTTTGTCTGCCTTTGTTGATTTGAAGGAAGTGGTTTTTGAGCTCTGAGATTCTTTCCTTAGCTTGATATATTGTTTTTAATACTTCCAGATGCATTATGAAATTTCTATAGTGAAATTTTAATTTCCAGAATTTCAGTTTGGTTCTTTCTAAAATGGCTATGTCATCTTTCAAGTCTTGGATTGTTTTACTGCTTTTCTTGGATTGGGTTTCAGCCTTCTCCTGTATCTCTTTGAGCTTCCTTGCCATCCAGAATCTGAATTCTATGTCTATCATTTCCATCATTTGAGTTTGGTTAATAACCGTTGCTGGAGAGCTAGTGCAGTTGTTTGGAGGTAAGAATACACTTTAGCTTTTAGAGTTGCCAGAATTTTTGCACTGCTTCTTTCTCATCTGTTTGAAGTCATGTTTCTTTAATCTTTGAAGTTGTTATCCTTTGGATAGGGCTTCTAGATTTTATGTTCTTTGATACTCTTGAGGGCTTGTTTGTGGCACAAGTTGAATTTAGTCAATTGCCTTTGTTTCTGGATGCTTTCAGGGGGCCAAGGCTCAGCTCAGCACTTCTGGTTTGTGTGTTGTAACCCTCAGGACCTAGGACCAGGCTCGTACCTTTGTTTTCTGGCCCCTCGAGGTCAAACACCTGCTGCACTGGAGGGGCCAAGGTGTTCCCAGTCCAATGACAACAATACTCCCATGGGGGTTGCCAACAAAAAGTGCTGCAGTGGGGCAGCAGGAGTCCATGGGAGAGTGTGCTGCAGTGGGTGGTGGGGGGGTGCTGCAGCCAAGTGTGCACTAGTGAGTAGGCTGGGGGGCCATTTGTGTGGCAGTAGGTTGGGGCCCATGGGTGTGTGTGCACCAATGGGATGGTGAGAGAGGCTGCAGGCATGTGTACCCTGGTGGGATAGTGATGGGTCCCTGTGTGTGTGTACCAGCAAGGTGGCAGGGGTAGGCCACGGTGAGTGTGTGCTGGTAAGGTGGCAGCTCGTTTCTGTGTGTGTGTGTGCTCACCAGTGGGGAAGCAGTGGGAGGCTGCAGGTGAGTGTGTGCTGGTGGGGGAAGGGTACAGGTGGAGGCATCCTGGTGGAGGTTCATCTGCAAAAGTGCTCCAACAGGAAGGTGGGGGCTGTCAGTGAAGGAGCTATGGTGGTGGCCACTGGCAAGCATTTCAGCAGGGCAGCTGAGGCTGTTCTGCAAATATGTGTGGCAAGGCAGGGACCCTGGGAGAGGCCAGCAGAAGAGGTCGTTCAGATAAGACTGGCTCCATCCCATGGGTAAGACAGCCCTGCTCTTTCCCAGTCCAGCTGCTAACAAACTCTAAACCCACCTAGAGGAGTATGGTGAGTCTTGGGGGATGGGAGTCCATGGCCATGCTCCACTGCAGTTGTTCCCGCACCAGACCCTCTGGGATCCATGCTGCCTGGAATTCTGTCTCTGCCAAGACTCTAGGCAGTTATTCCTGTCAACTCAAATGTCCACGGGGCTCATGGGGTCTCTCACAGCTAGGATCTCAGAGGTCTGTGATAAGAATGGGCTGTTCCATGCCTATTTCACTCGCCCCTTCCTGGGAGCCACTTGAAGCCAGGAATGAGTCCTGGTGCTTGGCAACTTGGTGCACAGTTCCCAGCTTCCTCCCCTTTCAGCCTTGGGATCTGCATCCTCCCTGTATCCAATCGACTCTCAATGTCTTCTTTCTGAATATCTGTTCTGAGAGTGCCAGTCTACTTGACAGTCTGGTCTCTCTTTGTGGGAGAAGCTTTTCTGGGCTGTGTCTAATCCTTGACTCTTCCTCCCAACTTTCTCCTTCATACTTTAGGATCTTTCTGTGTTTTAATTTCTTTCCGGTTCTCCTGACTCTGCTGTGTTTTGGACTTGCTATTCTGCCCTTTGAAATTAGAGCTCCTTACTGTGCTTCTGCCTCATTTTTCACACAGCTACTCCCACTCATCTATGAACTATCAACCTAGATTTTGCCTCTCTTGGAAAACTTTCCTGCACTGCCTCCCCACATAGATCAGGTGCTCCAAGTACCCTAAGCACATTTTCCCTCCCAACAGGCTTATCCTACTGCAAAGGAACATCAGTGTGGGCATTTAATTGCTCAAACCAGGACACTCTTAAGAGAGGGGGCAACTATTAATAATTATTCTGAAACAACACACAGAAACCAGGACTGTCCCAGAAAAAACTGGTCTGTCTTGTCAGTGTTTCTGGAATTTTATATTGAATTGCATAATTTCCCCACCATCAGTAGCTTATTGGCAAAGTAGAACCTCATTCCTATTTTATTTTCTGCTTTGATATGGTTTGAATATTTGTCCCATCCAAATCTCATGTTAAAGTATAATCCCTCATGTTGGAGGTGGGGCCTGGTGGGAGGTGATTGGGTCATGGCTGCGGATCCCTCATGGCTTGGCGCTGTCCTCATGACAGTTTTCACGAGATCTGGCTCTTCCCTCCCTGCTTGCTCCTGCTCTCGCCATGTGATGTGCCACTCCAGCTTCGTCTTCTGCCAGGAGTAAAAGCTCCCTGAGGCCTCCCCAGAAGCTGAGCAGATGCCAGCACCATACTTTCCATAGAGCCTGCAGAATGTGAAGAATTTAACCTCTTTTCTTTATTAAAAAATTAAACCTCTTTTCTTTATATATTATTAACTTATTAATATATTATTAATTTATAAAGAAAAGAGGTTTAATTCTTTCATAAAGGAAAGAGGTTAGTTCTTCATGTTCTGCAGGCTTTATGGAAAGCATGGTATTTCTTTATAGCAACACAAGAAATGGCCTAACCATGTGTTTATTCATTTGTTCTATCTCATTGCCTAATGCATAATTGCAGCTCAAAAATAGTACCTATTATATAAAAAACAATTATACTTGTAAATGTATAAGTGTATATATATATATGTACAACAAAATAACATTTCTATGGAGCTGTATAATAGCAAAATATAAAATAATATGTGTATGTGCCTATTGTCTGTCAGGCAGTGAGCTTATTTACCATGTTTTGAAATATTGATTTTTATAATTCTCACTTTATATACGGGAATGCTGTGGCACAAGGAAGTATAGAGATAAGATTTAACCTCTAATCAATCAGTCAGATGCTAAACCACCAGTGTGCTTTGTGATAGTTAATTTTAAGTGGCAACTTAACTGTCAACCAGACATGTCCAGCTATCTGGTTAGACATTATTTCTGGGTATGTCTGTGTGGGTGTTTTGAAAGAGGTTAGCATTCAAATAGGTAGACTGAGTAAGGTAGATTGTCCTTGCCAATGTGTGTGGGCCATCATCCAATCCCTTGAGAGCCTGAGTAGAGCACAGAGGTGCAAGAAGGGAAGATTTGCACTCTTCCTGACAGTTTGAGTCAGGAAATCAATCTTCTGCTCTAGTACTCCTGGCTCTCAGCTTTCAGACCAGAACTAGAATCTATACTGTCAGCTCTCCAGCTTCCAGGTCTTCAAAATACACCACTGGCTTTCTCATGTCTACAGCTTGCAAAGAACAGATCTCAGGACTTCTCAGTCTCTGTAATGGTGTGAGCCAACTCCTTATAAATCTCATTATTTACATATGTGTGTACACACACACACACATTGGTTCTTTGGAGTACTCTAACACAGATGAGTTTCTGGTGTGTTTTCTGCTTTTGCCAGTTTTCTCGACCACAGTTTTCAGGAGTCATCTTAACATTTTGTTCCCTTTGATGTGTCCTTTGAACTCTGCCTTGGGCTCAGTGGCCAATATAGGTCATTATTTATGTGACTTACAATTATTCCGAGTAGTGAGGGAACTGTGGAGACTCTACACACACAAAACAAAACAAAATCATTTTGGCAATGTTGAGAGAGATGTTAAAGGGAAAAACGGGTCATTCTGGCAAGGAATTGGTAAGTAGGATTCAACTACTTAAAGGTGTTCATACAGTTTTTAAAAAACACAAGTGCAGCATGTAACACTAACCATCATCATTATGACCTTATTGATGAGAGCCTTGTTAGTATGATCTGTGGAATGATTCCACCTATGGGCTGATATTTCTTTTCCTTCTCAGTTTCCAAAGTAAAATAAGTTAACATGGAATATTGAGAAATCTGAACAGCAGCACTTATGTCAAATAACTTTTACCTTTGTAGCTTTTAACTCAAGCTGATGTCAACATATGAGGATTCGATCCTGCTTTGTCTCTTTCTAGTTTGTGTTGAATGGTATTTGTTCTCTGGTCTTAAGACAAAATATACCCCCGAAGCCTCCCTTACTTCCTTTATCACTCTACAATGTTATGTACATTCCATGTATTAGGACGTATTTCCAGTTTTCACCTTTCTTAATACTACATTTCTTCTCATTGTAGCACGTCATAATCTGATTGGTAGAAACCATTATTGTCTGGTGCCAAGAATAACCAAACATAGCTCAAAACATCAGTCTGATATTATCCCAGGGCAAGCTAAGTTGTAAACTGAATACAACTGAAATAATTCTTTCAACCCAAGGAAGGTCAGTGGTGGGAGGGGCAGTGGACTGATTCCCTTAATGTCTCAGAAGTAAGAATTTGCCTATATAGATGCTATTTAGAGGGCAGTTTTGGTAATTCAACGTTCGTGTTTCACAGCTTGTAAGCCATTGACCAAGTATGTGAGTATTCCTCTATTTCTACTTTAGAGCTGAATGAAGTACAAAATATTAAAGAATAAATGACAGACTTGGGAAATTGTATGATATCTCCCAAGGATGGTAGCATATTTTAGAGTTCATATTACTTTTTAAGCAATTATACTGTAAGAGATATTGATAAAATATATTAAAGTATTTTAATTATAGTTGAAGACTTAATCACCATATTGGGATAAAAGACTAAATTTGAAGTCGTTGGAGGTTTGTGTAGTGCTGTGTTATTATTCTATTTCCAAAATAGTAGTTTTTATTTTGCGGTAGTTTAACATTTGTCTGTCTTGATATTCCAACATGGAACTGTATATCATAAGTGGGTTTTTTGGTATTATTTTTGTCAAGAGTAGAAAATTCTGGAATTTTTATGGTGAACAAATTAAACTACTTTAAAGAATAAAGGGAACTCCATGGGTATTCTGCATGGTGCTCTGATTCTACAAACTTTCTTAGTCTTTTTGCATAAATTTACCAAATCCTCCATGTAAAATTTGTCAAATATTATTTTCAGTACTTCTAGTTCCTAGAAATCCAAGATACTCAGTTTAGACATGTTTCAATGTTGATCAGAACCATGTAAAGCATTATTATTCACTTAATGCAACTAATATGAAAATTATCAGCAAAAACCAAAAACAAATTAACAAAAACAAGAATTACGAAGGCTTACCACGTGTCAAACTCTGGAGAGCTGTGGATACAAGGATGAATAGAATAGAATTTCTAACCTTGAACAATTCACAGTCTAGTGGAGAGATAAAGATACACAAATATCTGTAGCTCAATAAATGAGACATTTGCAAAGCTCTATTAGAACACAGGTGGAGAAGTGATTGATTTTTCTCAGGAAGTTGTGGAGAGTTAACAGAAAAAAAGTGAACTTTGAGTTGGACATTAGAGGATGAGTTAATTTTCCAGAGAGACTGTTGAGACAGATCATTACAGAGAGTGGAAAAATGTCCATTGAACATGTTAGGAATGGGAAGTAGTCCATGGATACTAACATGAACAGTGTACAGGGAATGCAAGAGTTCTCAGCAGGATCCCACACACCAAAAGATTTTCTTATGATGCAGAGTAGTTTAAACTTCAGGTGACCCTACCAGGTCAGGTATCATCAGATACTGAAAAGACAAAAGGCCTGGGAACCAGGCCACCTGTGTGCAAGTTCTGACCTTGCCATTAGCAAGAAAATATCCTTTGAGTCAAGTTTTTTACCTTTCTTGCCTCCAAAATGAGGCGGTACCTACAGCACTAAAATTCTAATTTATAGACTGAGGATAATGTTTTATCCAAAGAGAAACTGGGTTGAAAAAAGGAGTTTTGTTTGTCTGCAAAACCTGAAATATATTTAATTCCTATTCTAGTTGTAGTCACTTTAGCTTACATATAGAACTGAATTTATATGGTGTAACCAAGGAGAAGACTTGACATATAGGCTGATGATCCACAAATACCCTCAGCAAAATGATATAAATGAAGAAGGAGAAATTACTTCTTTCAAAATAAGAGAAGAAATAATGGCCTGAGACAAAGGATAGTTTTTTTTTTTTTTTTTGAATAGACTTAAAAGTCTTCCAATCTTTGAGAGTATCTGGCCTGTATTGCAGACTCCCTGGAGGAGCAGGAAAGGGCTTTTCTGAGATTCTTGGGGCAGGCATGTGAGCTATAGAATTGGGGAAGAGGATGGAGGAGTTGAAAGAGGCCATGTCAGTAACAGGCTAAAGTAGAGGAACAGAGGGCTTTCAGGAAACTGGAAACTCATCATCAGAGTCTTACTCCCAGGGAGCACAGAACTCAGAATTCCTTACTGCCTTTTAGAGAAGTAACATTTATTAAGCATCAACTGTATATTTGCCACCATATTACTCCCTCTACATGTATTTACTCCTCAGAAAAACTCTTAAGAAGAAAGGAAACCAACACATATTAATGCATATCAAATACTTACTAAGTCTCATAGGCTGTGTTACATGGTTTAGTGAATAGGATCTCATTGAAATCTCAGAGTGGCCCTCCCAGGTAAGTATTATGTAAGCGTGTAATTCTCTACTGCCTCTTTATGTGAAATGAAGCACCTGAGCTCCAAAAAGATAAATAAAGCTGCCCAAGGTCAGGGGGCTGAGTCAGGCTTTGAACCTAGAACTCTTCCGCTCCAAGGGCCACACCTTGCCGCAGCATCCACAGAGGGTGTTGTCAACTAATTCCCAATGGGACTGGTTTCTTGCAGGGCCATTTCTTATAATCTGCTGGAAGATTTACCCTAATAAAAACACTCCATTTGCATCTGTTCTTGCAGGTGGTAGAGACACAGTCGGTAAAAGTTGACATACGACCAGAGGAAGGGCATCCATTTTTCTTTCTTTCTTCAGTTAAAGCTCTGAATTGGATCCAGCTGTTCTTTGATGCAGAGGCCAAGAGACCCCAATATCCTGCTTTTTGTTTTCCTGGAAGTTATTGGCTATTGTTAGCCATAAAGGCTAGGTTAGAACCTCTTAAGGAACTAAAATGTTGGTCAACGGGTGCTGGGAGCAAGGTCACAGAACAGCAGAGGTGATGGCATTTCAAGGTCAAGCCTCAATTTCAGGCCTGGCCAAAGCCAGGTGTTTACCTTAATGGGAAATAGTCTAAATAAACTTTAACAAATAAGCTGACTGAGCTCTTCTCACCCTTTACTTAGAAAAAGTAATAATATAATTTTAATAATAATTCTCATCATTTATCAAGTCATTATTACATGCTAACTACTGTGCTGAGCTATTTGTAAACCCCATCATTGTCATCATTTTTATCTCGGACTTTTACTGAGCATTTATTATGTACCATGCTCTCATACTAAGCAATTTAGTCTTCACTGCCTTGTGTGGTACATGCTAATATAGTGCCCATTTTCAAGGCAAAAAATTGAAACTTTGGATTATAAGCTTTTCCAATGTGCCATTACTAGTTAATAACAAAAGTAGGAGATTAAAATAGAACTGTTTATTGAGATTCTCAGAGGTCTTGGAATGGGTTGCAATAGAATTAAAAGGAAGGGGCATGAAAAAAGCAAAATTATTGAGAGAACTGAGAAATTTGCCAGCTCCTTATACCATGCCAGCACTGCCCCTGCTGCCTCTTGTGATGCTTGTTCTCTCTTTTTATCCTCTGGTTTTGCAGCCAGAGGGGATAGACTGTTTGGATTGGCATAATCCTAGGCACATCTAGAAATGGGATTCCCAAATTTCTTACCAAAGAACAAACTCCAGTCAATACCTTTATGGATCAGCTTGGTTAGAATAAGAAACTCACCCACAAAATTAAACTTGGAACTCACAAAGGATTTTCGTCTTCCAAATGTCAGATGTGATAGAGGGTTGTTGGTGAGTCACTCCCTTTTCAAGGAACAGAGGCATAATTCCCAGTGGAATAATGAGCTTCAGCCCTCTGGCGCCCAAGGAACTCACACAATGGGCAGATGTCCGAACTCCACTGGCCATGTCCCAGACGCAAACAATAGAACACTGGCCAACTCCTACTAAAGAGAGTTTCTGAAGCCATGGTACTGCCTTGGCTGGCCAAAAATGCATTACGAGACCACAGTTATCCACAATAGTCTCACTTCATAAAGCAGGAAAGGGTTAGGGAGGGGAAGTAACGTGAGCTTACATTTTCTAATGGAGTTTGAGAAAAAGGGCTCAGAAATTTTGCCTCTTTGCCCTTTTTGGATGATGGATTACTTCAGTTTTATGAAATGCTGGAGCTAAATCCCTTCAGGGTTGGGACTACATGAATATTAATTGGTCCCTAATAAGAAGAGGGAGGCTTTGCTCATTGCCAGTCTGGGACAGTCATCATCATTGGTCTTTTCCAGACTTTGTTTTAAAGGAGATCCTTTTACGGGCAAATCCAGAGACAGACTTGGGAAGAAGATTTCTATTAAGTTTTCTACAGTCACCAGTTATTTTGTTCCTAAAAAATTGCATCATGTTATAGGAATATAAAGACATTGGATGATCTAAGCCGATCCTATTTCATATCCTCTGAAATGGATGCAGACTATAGAATTCAGGATAAGCATTTTTTTACGGTTCCTAGAATTTTGTCTATGTGTGTAGTTATGCTGTACTTTCATATACGTTATCTTCCCTCAAGATAAAGCAGGTATTGTTTTTCCTCTTTTACAGCCAAGATCAGTAATTAAATAACTTGCCATTGATAGATCACAGTGAGTGAGTGGCAGAACTGGGGCTTTAACCAAGGTCTCCTGACTTAAGCCCCGCTTTCCTTCCATTTTCTACACAGGTCCTATCCAGTCCATATAGGCCACTCCTTGTTTCTTCTACTCATTCTATTAATATAGATTGCCCTGGCCATGACAACTTTTCCATACACAGAAATAACATGGAGCATAGACAAATTGCATTTGCATAATTTACCTGCCAAGCAGTGACTTTTGCTATTGGGCAGAAACAATTAGTTTTAGAGGAGTGATTTAACTCTAACTTTTAGGGAGATAAAAAAATTATTTCCTGAGATATATTTACAGGTGAGTGTTCTCCAATGAATAGATCCCTGTCAATCATGCTAAGACAATGAAACTAGGAACTGCAGATGCATTTGGCTGGGTAGGATCAAAACCATAAAAACATTAAAAAAATCATATTAAGTCATTGAAAGTAGGTTTTATTTTTATCAGAGCCACTAAAAGTCTATACATGGTTCCCTTGGGCATAATTCTGAAAGCTAAGAAGACTTCTGCTAAATTAGAGGAAAATAAAACAGAACTCCCCCTCATCTTGCAGAATTTTCAAGCCAAGATTGAGGGTTCTAACCCTGTTGGATTTGGAATGGGGTCTAAACTTGGCAAAAAGGTGCTAGCCCCTCCCTGTTGGAAATCTCTCAAGAGAGTCAGCTCCAGTTTTCCAAAAACTTGCAGCCCAAATATGTCTGGTTCCACATCTGAACTTTGTAGTAGTTGACATCTATTAGAAATTACCAACTCCACTTCAGAAACCTAAAATCAAACTGAACTGCGATGGGCTTATGAAGTGAAACTGATAAGGTTACCATATAACTTAAGCAAACACTGAACCTGCCTTGAAAACCCATGTGAATGCTCAGTCACAGTTTTGGCAACGACTCAGAGATCTTTGGAAATATTAATGAGGAGGAAGCGGAAGGAGATCTCATTTTTCTCTTCTAATCCATTACTTCCACATAGCTACTGTATTCCATGACCTCAGAGGACAGAGGTTCTGAAACTAGCATAACCATGGCCCCTGTGAAGTCAGAGTTCTTTCAAAACAAGGTGATAATTTTTCTTAATCTGAGTTAACTGAGTAGAGCTAGTAACAGAATAAGAAAATTGCTATTTTGACTTCACCAAGGGACTGGCAGCCTGTAAGCTGGAAAAACCCGGATAGGTTTGCTCACAAAGACGGAACAGCACTTACAGATGGGATAAGATATTAATCCAATTTGGAACTCTCTAGTGAACAGAGAGGAAGTGGCCAATTAGAACGGTCTGCTGTGGCCTAAAAGCTGAGAGGACACTTAAAGTGGCTGATCGACTCTGGTTTGGTTGGTTGGTTGCTCTTTTGTTTTTTATTTTTTTATTTATTTTTATTTTTTGAAACAGAGTCTTGCTCTGTCACCCAGGCTGGAATGATGCAGTGGCACAAACTCGGCTCACTGCAACGTCTGCCTCCCAAGCGGTTCTCCTGCCTCAGCCTCCCAAGTAGCTGGGACTACAGGCATGTGCTACCATGCCTGGATGATTTTTGTATTTTTAGTAGAGACGGGGTTTCACCATGTTGGCTAGGCTGGTCTTGAACTCCTGACCTCAGGTGATCTGCCCGCCTTGGCCTCCCAAAGTGTTGGGATTACAGGCATGAGTCACTGTGCCCGGGCTGCTTTTTTATTTCTGTTAAGGATCCTATAATGTAGAAAATCTGCCTAGTCATTTTTTTGTTTCTTGTAAATGTTGAGAATTTGGTAACCTTGCAATTTATTTGTGAATGTTGAGGCTCATAGCAATGCCATCTCGGGAGTAACACATGCTGTATCCATCTGGGGCAACAGGAGTAGCAGGAAAACCCATGGATCTGGCCCAAACAGTCTGCCTCCTAAATGGCAATGTGGCCTTGGGATAAATCACTTAAATCCTCTGAGCTTCAGTTTCTTTAATAGTAAATGGTTATTATATCTTTTTCAAAGTGGTGAAAATCAAATGAAATAATGTATATGCAATCCTCTAGCACAGGGTCTATCATAAGCATAGGTTTTAGAGGTTATTTTATAAGGATATGCAAATTCCATCTCTCCTACTCTCTCATCTCTTCTACCTTCTCAAAGTATTTCTAGGAGAAGAAAACCTAAACTTGTCTCTGGAACATTATTCATAATAATTACGCTAAGTATGGGACTCCTAGGCATGTAAATAGCGTGGCTTTCCATTTTAACATCAAGGGAAAGAAGGTAAGACAGCATGTATGTATCATTCTTCCTTCTTTCTACTTATTTCATTAGAAACTCTGCCTAATGATTTTTTCCCCTTTTTTAAGATAAAGTGTAGATTGCCATGCTTAGAAGTAATGACTCTTCCTTGATTGAGTCAAAAGGTTGGGAGATCTAAAAAGCAGTTTTTGACTGATAATGTTATGATCCATCGAGACACAGATATACTGTATGTGGCACACAAAGTTTTTATAAAAATGACAGAGAATTCCCTCCCTCTCAACTCCCACATCTCCCACACTGCAGAGAGGCTGGCCCTAGCATCTTCTGCAAGTCCTGCTCTCAATAGGACAATAACATGTTTGCTTTTACTTTATCATATTTATATTTTGTAGATATCATGGCAGCAAACTGAGTAATCAGTAGCATTACAACAGTTTCAAACTACTGATGCATTGTAGTTTTAATGTGTAAAATGTAATAGCAAGCAAAAGCATTTCTTATAATACTGCTGCATTTTTTTGGGCCGTTGACAAAAAGGTAATGACAGTATTCATGTCCAGTAGATCAATGGCCATATCAGGGAGAGTAGAGGTTTTTTTTGTTTGTATCCTTATGGGATTCAGTCTTTGAAAGACAGGTTCGGGTACGGTAGCTGGACAATTAGAAGGCAGGATGGGTAGAGGTTTTTGGAGGTTTTGGTATTTGGAGTCTGACAGCCTCTTTTCCCAACCCGGGTTTGTTGTGTATTCATTGTGTGAAATTGGGTGAACCACTTTACCTAAGTCTGTTCTGTCATCTGTAAAAATGGGATTATAACACCTCCTGCTCAGAGTTGTTCCAAAGATTAAATGAGATTATGATAGATAAAACATTCGGTAAAGAGCTTAGCATTGTGTTAAGTGACTGATAGCTATTAGTGGAGCTTGAGAAACACTAGTACAGAGAAGACATTAAGGATTGGAGTGGCCTTGGACTGCAGCAGTGGCTTTCTATGTAATGTCCATGATCCACCTGTGATTTATCTGCTTTTCCCATATGATACTGCAGAGCCTGATGTAAGTGTGCTGTGGTGGGGCCATTGGCTTCCTGTTGCCTTGCCTTTCAGCGTTCTTAACGTAAAGGACCAAGTAGCTCACACATCTGCTAGCCAGGCCATAGCTGTGTATAAAAGGAAGACTGAGCCTGCATCTAGGTGAAATTATTTTAAGTAAGCTGATCCACAAGCGGTAAATGACTATATTAGTCTGTCCTCATGCTGTTAATGAAGACATACCTGAGACTGGGTAATTTATAAAGTAAGAAGGATTAATGGACTCACAGTTCCACATGGCTGGGGAGGCCTCATAATCATGTCTGAAGGTGACTGAGGAGCAAAGTCACATCTTACATAGTGGCAGATGGGAGAGTTTGTGCAGGGGAACTCCCCTTTATAAAACCATCGGATCTTCTGAGACTTATTCACTATCATGAGAACAGTGTAGGAAAGACTCTGCCCCGTGATTCAATTACCTCCCACCCAGGTCCCTCCCATGACACATGGAAATTATGGGAGCTACAATTCAACGTGAGATTTGGGTGGGGACACAGCCAAACCATATCAATGACCTTCTCTCCTTCCCTCTTCCCCTCCTTCCCTGTCCACCTCCTTCCCTGTCCACCTCCTTCCCTGTCCACCTCCTTCCCTGTCCACCTCCTTCCCTGTCCACCTCCCTGCTTTCTTTTCTATTCACTTACATATTTAACAATATATTTGAGTGCTAATTATGAGTTGTCATTTGTTGAGGCTTGATATATAAGAGCAGTAAACTGTATACTGTCCATGCTCTCCCAGAGCTGACATTCTAGTGGTGGTGGTAAGGGGGGGACAGGAAGTGAAGACATATAGAATCAAACAAACATTATGTACATAGAGGTGACAGTAAGTACCAGGGTAAACTATGACACTGGAAGAGGCTGATGGGGGATTAGGCTATGGAAGATATTTCTAATAAAGGAACATTTATGTAGGGACTAGAGGAAGGTGAAGGAGAGAGACATATGATTATCTAGGGGAAGTATTCCATGGAGGGAGCAGCCAGTGCAAAGGCCTCCTGGAAGCTCAGTGAGGAAGCCAGTGTGGTTGGTGTAGAATGTGACAGGGCAGGAGATGAGAGAGGTGGGCAGGACCAAAAGACATAGGGTGTGTGAGGCATTGCAAAGACGCTGGGTTTTACTCTGAGTTGGATGTGATGCCATCAAAGGCTGTTGAGTGGATGAAAGACACAGTAAAATGTAACTTTTGAGAAGGATCTTCTGGAGCCTATTTGGGACATGGAAGTAAACACCAAGTGAGAAAAGAGCAATCATAGGGATTGCTCTGCCTTTTCCATTGAAAAGCTTCTGCCTTTTCCATTGAACCAGTCATGTTTAGTTAAAAAGAAAGCAAAATAAAGTGCTAATATTTCTATCTACAGATGCAGCTTCCAGCTTTTCCTTCATTCTCTTTTTTCCCCCTTCCCTTCTCTGTTCTTCATATCCTTTCTTCCCTATTTCCCCTTCCCTTCTCTATTCTCATTGGTGTATGAATTATTATTCCTGATGGCAAGTGATATGGTTTGGCTTTGTGTCTCCACCCAGAGCTCACCTTGAATTGTAATCATCCCCATGTGTCATGGGAGGGACCCAGTGGGAGGTAATTGAATCACGGAGGTGGGTTTTTCCCTTGCTGTATTCATGATAATGAATAAGTCTCAAGAGAGCTGATGGTTTGGTAAAGGGGAGCTCCCCTGCACATGCTCTCTTGCCTGCCGCCATGTAAGACATGACTTTGCTCTTCATTAGCCTCCTGCCATGATTGTGAGGCCTCCCCAGCCATGCTGAACTGTGATTCAATGAAACCTTTTTCCTTTATAAATTATCCTAATTATAAATAATTAGTCTTGGGTATTTCTTTATTAGCAGCATGAGAACAGACTAATAGAGCAAGTAATTCCATTGTATCATGCATTCATTTTATGTCAATGTGCTACATAAAAAAAGAAACCCATGTCCTTTTCAGTGTTATAATCATATTTGAGATTATGTCATGTCCATGACTCAGTTTCCTCACCAGTCTCTTCTGAGAACCTCCAAGGAAAGCATCAAGAAGAATGTGTACTTCATGATGGTCAGTTTGCCCTGCATCATCTTTCCCTTCCTGTTATACCTTTCTTTGGAAAAGGAGTACCAATTTGAGAAGGTGGTTATCCTTCTTTAGTAGCAGTACAGCTACAGTTAGAAAGTGTTACCTCTGGCACTTCTGATCAATTTATAGGTCATCATTCTAATAATCAGTGATAGTATTTATTGAAAACTTACTATGTGCTAGGTATATTGCTGAATGAACAGTATGCAATGTACTAGCTCCTTTAAGGCTCACTACTACTATCATCCCATTTTGTAGATGTTAAGACCAAGTCTTGAGTTTCAGTAATTTTTGCAATGTCATATACTTATTAATTTGTAAAGGCATGACTCTACCTCCGTCAGTCTGAGTCAGTCTGTATTTTCCACAACCATGCAATATTACTTTCCAGCCATTTAGCTACTCACTCACGTAAATAGTTATTAAATGTGAAAATATTGTGCTAGGACAGGATGTGGAATGTATGTGTAGTTGTATAAATCAAATCTAATATAAAAATGGTATTTCTTAAAAATATTGGTTAATTTTATGTCCACCAAATTTTGAACCATTAAAATGGAGACTTTTTAAATAATGTAAAATTCTGCTCTTTTTTGTTATCATTAAGAGCTGGAGTACAACGTTTTAAAAAAGGATTTGTCTTACACAAAAAATATTTCAAGTACGATTTTTCTCTGATTAGAGACAGGTCCACATTCAATTACTTCATGTTAAGCACCTAGGGTTTATTTATTGTTAAAAGATTATGAATAAGATTCCATTCCTTTCCACCAAAAGAGACAAGTTTTCAGAAGGAATAAGGAATATCTCAATGGTTAAGGCCAGCACACGACAGCTTTTCCTTGCCAATGATGGAGAGCTAAGTCTTCCATTTTCAGTCAGAGCTGAAAGGTTGCTAGGTTCTGCTGGACAAAACCATAAGAAAGATTTTCTTAGTGCATGGGGATATCTATGGTGTATTCTTCTAGGATCTCTTTGCGATTTATCTTTTTATCATCTCAGTGTCACTGGGAGGCATTTGAACATTTTTTCTGTCGCAGTTACATAAGGGGAAAAGAAACCTTAGAGAGTGTAGTGAATCTATTAAGATCCTGAAGGTACTTGACAAGAAGTTGAATGTATTGGGATTCTCCAGAGAAACAGACCAATGGGATGGAGATTATGTATCTATCTTTCTATCTATCTATCTATATCCATCTATATATATCTATATATATATCTCCATACATACATACATATATATGCACATATATATATACACACATATATATATATACACACACATATATATATATATATATATACACACACACATACACACACAGAGAGAAAGAGGAATGGGCTCAAGTGATTATGAAGGCTGACAAGTCAGCTCCAGGAGCTGCAGTCAGCAAGTTGGAGACCTAAGAGAGCCTATGGTGCAGTTACAGTCTGAGTCCAAAGGCCTAAAAACTGGGAGAGCTGATGGTGTAGTTCTAGTCTGAAAGCCAGCAAGCTCGAGACCTAGGAAGAGCTAATGTTTCAGTTGAGTCCAAAGGCAGGAAAAAAAAAATGTTGTTTTAGCTCAAGCAGTCATGCAGGAGGGGGTTCCCCATGATTCAGGGGAAGCTCAGACTTTTTGTTCTCTTTAGGCCTTCAACTGATTGGATAAGGCCCACCCACATGAGGAAGGGCTGTCTGCTCTACTGATTGAAATGTTTACAACTTAAATGTTAAACTTACCCCAAAACAGTTTTACAGAAACACCCAAAATTATGTTCGACTAAGTATCTGAGCACTCCATGGCCCAGTCAAGTTGACATATAAAATTAATCATCACATTGGGTCTCTACCTTCATGTCTTATGCCGTATATATTTTACTTTTCACCCCTCCCCACATACAGTAATATAGTAGCAGCAAAACAAACATAAAAGATAAATAAACAAATTATTTTTCTAAAGGAATATCCTGAATGGCAGAATGAAATCTAAATTGAACATAAGACATTATCTAAATGATTTGTAATATGTTAATATTTATCTGAATCCTGACCACACCTAAGATTTCGACATAGACATTTAAAAAAATGGAAATGGAAATCAAAACAGGGATTGCTTGTACATTTAAATATGTCCTGAATATGAATCAATACCCTGGTAAGTTTCTGATTCATTGCATACCATGAAGTGACCCAGAGGCCTTTCAGCACTCAAAGCGCATTTAGCTTGCTTGCCTTGGCCTGAATAGGAAAACCACAGCTCACTGACTTGCTTGATACACTCTATAAGAAGGCGAAAGCGGGCTGGAAGGGAGGAAACATTCCCGGCAGCACTGACTCCATTTAGAAAGCCTCGGGACAATGAAGGAGCAGTGTGTCCTGGCATCTGACACTGTTAAATACGACCCTACTACTTTACTTTTCATTTCTCACCTTACTCAAATAGGAGGGAAATGAGAGGAAAAGAGAAATTTGGCAGGAATTCCACCTTGGAGACAGAAAATCTTATTGGAATAAAGGTACCACATTGAGGAGCCCTCATTGCAATTGCCTTGGTAACTGGCGAAGTCTTTATTAATTTGCCTACAAACACTTGGAAAAGTTGCATGGGAGGAGAGACTAGCAATGGTTAGTTTGCAAGATAAATGTAAGAGCGGAAACTGACATGAAACAAAAATCAGTGCATGTATCTGAAAGTGAATACAAGAGAGAGTGGAGTGCTCATGGTGATTGAATTCAGTGGCTCTGAACGGCCTCCTAACAGCGTCTTGAGCATGAAGTCCAATCCAGGCATCCGTAGCGTTCTCTCTCGAAGTCTGTCGCATCCTAAAATGCTTTGAGTTTGCAGTAGACCTGAGAATCCTATAGCTTCTGTCGTTCTCCTCATAGTTAAGAACATGGAGATGGATGAAGCTAAATTGAAAACCAAAAGCTTGCTTTCTGGTTGTAGCAGGGATATTTATTTACCAGGATAAGCTTATTGGACTACAAGAAAGAGAATAAAAATGGAGTTTCCGTTCCCTTCCTGAACTCTGATTAGAAGTTGAGCATTTTCAAAGACAATTGTTCCCTGAGATGGGAGCATGCATATATGTAGGTGTGTGACAATAATATGCTTAATAAGTACTAGCTAAAATGAATTCAATCTTTATTAGTCTAGTCACCAACTGAGACTGGAAAACCCAGTATAAAATGGGCTAAGCAGTTCTAGGGATCTTTCTGTGCAGCAGAATACTCTCCTAAGAGGTATAAGCACCCGCCCATAATACTCTGTTCTATCTCAAAACTTTCTCTTCTATTACTACTACCCACATCAATTGTTTTTATTTGAAAACTTATTATATGACACAAGATTTACTTATATACTGTAGGGCATTGCCACAATATAAACTTTGCCTATAAGGAGTTCTTATTCTCTACCTTTTAGGGAAACTGAGAATTATTATTATTATTATTATTTTTTGAGACAGGGTCTCACTCTGTTACCCAGGCTGGAATGCAGTGGCGCGATCATAGCTCACTGCATCCTCGAACTCCTGGGCTCAAGTGATCCTTCCACCTCAGTCTCCTGAGTAGCTGGAACTACAGGTGTGTGCCACCATGCTTACTAATTTTTATTTATTTATTTATTTCATAGAGACTGGGTCTTGCTACATACATTGCTCAGGCTGGTCTCGAACTCCTGGCCTCAAGTGTTCCTCTCACCTCAGCCCTCTAGAGTGCTAGGCTTACAGTTGTGAAACAGAACTTTTAAAATACTGGGGTGATACTTCTGTATAAATGTCAAAATATGGGTTCTTCATGATTTCCTGCAGGAGTAGGAGTTTACTAGAATAAACGTGTGTGTGTGTGGGTGTGGGTGTGTGTGTGCACATGTGCATGAGTGGAAGGTAGAAAGATCTGCTTGGGATGGGAGTTTCTAAGGAGGCACACGGAAGCAGTTCTGGTTAAGGCTGGCAGGAGCAGAAAACCAACTTTGTAATATAAGTTATTTTAAAAGAAGTCAATTCGAAAACCATCTGTGCAAACTGACTTGAGCCATGAAAAGGAAGACAGGCAGCAAATACATGTGTGTGTCGTGATGTTGCGTGGGGTAGAGAGAAAGCCCAGGGATTGGAGGAAATATAGCTGCTTGTTTGTGTTACTTTTATTTCACACTTCAGGGAGAAGGGCTGAGGCTGCTGACAATACTCTCCTTAAATGTCTTTTGGGGTGTTGAGAAAAACAAGACATAGTCTACATTAAAAGAAGACTCACAAAACATTTTTCTAGGTCTTGGTAGTCCCAATTTTAGAATATCGGGGACTAGATAGAGTGAGGCTGTGTGTCTTCCCTGGATTTTATTCATGACTCACACGTGTGACTCAATTTTTTAACTATTGCAAACTGGGGTCTGGCGAGCAGATCTTTTCTTTGTTCAACCCCGATGATGGGTGTATCTGTCTGTAACTGTCAGCCTTACTATTTTAAATGTGTGCTTTGTCACCTTTGAAAAGAGTTTCTTCTTCTGAGTGGCATAATAATATCAACAGCAGTAACAGCTTCTGCCATTAATTGAGCTTTAATTTTGTGCCAGGTGTAGCAATGAGGGGGTTAAGAATTTGGCAGTCAGCAGCTCAGACTCTGTCTTCAGGCTCCTGGATTCAAATCCTGCCTCCATAATTCACTTGTTATGGACCCAATGCTATGTGATTTAGACTGTAGTCTCATCATCTGAAAAATGGGTATGATAATATTACTTTGTAGTCTTATGAGGGAAATGGCTTTATGCTGTGCCCCACACAAGGTGAGCATTTAGTACATTTGAACTATTATATATTTTTTCCATTATTCCCAGTGTTTTATTTAAACTTCACAATAATCTCAAGGGATAGATATTTTTATCCCCATTTGACAGATTACAAAGGAGAGACTTAGAGATGTTGAGTAAGCTATTCCAACATCTAGGAGATGTTGAGTAATATCTCCTAATTGGGGTTTGAATCTGTGTTCATCATTATAGTGGTTTTTTGCCTCTAGGTAGACTGAACTACAGCCTGTTGTGTGATTTGACTTGGAAGTCAGCACACATCTCTTGACAAATCAGCACTGTGGCAAGAAAAATACTATTTCCTTACTCACAGTAATTAATTACTAAAAAGCCGAGCACTTTTCATTATTTTAAATTATTTCACAACAGTTCTGTGAAGCTGACATTCTTATCCCATTTTGGAATACACTAAAAAATAAAACTTTTGGCCAGGCTTGGTGGCTCACGCCTGTAATCCCAGCACTTTGGGAGGCCGAGGCCGGTGGATCATGAGGTCAGGAGATCGAGACCATCCTGGCTAACACGGTGAAACCCCGTCTCTACTAAAAATACAAAAAATTAGCTGGGCATGGTGTTGGGCACCTGTAGTCCCAGCTACTCGGGAGGCTGAGGCAAGAGAATGGTGTGAACCCGGGAGGCGGAGCTTGCAGTGAGCCGAGATTTTGCCACTGCACTCCAGCCTGGGAGACAGAGTGAGACTCCATCTCAAAACAACAACAACAAAAAACCCTTTAAAAATTATAAAATCTTTTAGAACATGTAGTTTCCTTGAGAATGCCTGTCAAGCGCCTGTCTCAGGGGCCTTTGCACCTGCTGCCTGGAATGTTTTCTCTCCAGATACTCACATGGCTGACACTCTTGGCTCTTTCAGATTAGTGTGATCTTCTTTGACTGTTCTATTTAAATTAGAAATGCCATCTTATCTTTATCAGTTCTTAAACCTCTTTGTTGTGTTACTATATTTTTCATAGCACTTACCCCCAAATGACATGCTTTACATCCTATATATTGTACCTATTGTTTATAGATGATCTGTGTTTCTCTGCTAGAAAGTTAGCTCCAGGAACAAAGATATTTTGTCTCCTTTGTTCATGTTGTAATCACTTTACACAGAAGAGGGCAAGGAAAATAGAAGGCACTTGAAACATTTCTTGAATTAATAAATAAGTGGTTATTACTTCACATTTTCTAGCAGTCATAAACTCTAGGACCTAAGTTTAAAATTGCTATGCCTTTTTTTTTTTTTTTTTTGAGATGGAGTCTCACTCTGTCGCCAGGCTGGAGTGCAGTGGCGTGATCTTGGCTCACTGCAACCTCCGCCTCCTGGGTTCAAGCAATTCTCCTGCCTCAGCCTCCTGAATAGCTGGGACTACAGGTGCACACCACCAAGCCCAGCTAATTTTTGTATTTTTAGTAGAGACCGGGTTTCACCATCTCGGCCAGGATGGTCTTGATCTCTTGACCTCATGATCTGTCCGCCTCGGCCTCCCAAAGTGCTGGAATTACAGGTGTGAGCCACCGTGCCTGGGCTGCTGCTATGCCAATGTTTTTACCTATTATATGACTACCCCCCACACTTAATCTTTTAGATTATTTGACAGTAGTCTTCATCTAGTCCCTTTTTAATCATTTCCACAATGCATTTTATTTTTTTCCTCACAAAAGGGTGTTGTTGAGGGTTAGGGACAGTGCACAAATAAATAACATTGTTTGGATATTTGTCCCTGGCCAAATCTCAAGTAGAATTGTAATCCCCAGTGCTGGAGGTGGGGCCTGGTGGGGGGGGTGTTTTGATCATGGGATCAGATCTCTCATGGCTTGATGCTGTCTTCATGATAATGAGTTCTCACGAGATCTGGTCATTTAAAAGTGTGTGGCACCTCCCCGCTCCTCAGTTTCTCTCACTTGCACCTGCTTTCAGCATGTGATGTGCCTATTCCCCCTTTGCCTTTCACCATGATTGTCAACTTCCTGAGGCCTCCTTAGAAGCCAAGCATGCTTAGATCCCGGGGCCATGCTTCCTGTAAATCCTGCAGAACTGTGAGCTAATTAAACCTCTTTTCTTATAAATGACCGAGTCTCGGGTATTTCTTTATAGCAATGCGAGAACAGCCTAAGAGAGTAAACCAAGTGATCATTTGAAGTAGGTCATTAAATATTTGTCATCCACACAAACCCAGGTACTTCCTATTCTGTTTCTCCACAGTGCCACATTCAAATAAACATCAATCTGAAACTGACATTCATGGAAAAGACATTTAATCTTTATTGATATCTATTTAAAATGGATATGTTTCATTCACTTACTACATAGTCCACGATTTTCTAAAATCTCCCACTCTCACTCCTTGGAGATATTTGACTCACCAACAAAAACCTCTCTCACATCTCCAAAAAACAAATTCTCCTTAAAGCTCTTCTATTTTTTTTTTCCTCCTCTGCCTCCCTCTGACCATCCAGATGGAGTCTGTTTTTCTTTACCAGTGATTCTCTTCTGTCCCCACTGTGAATTCACCCAGCAGATCTCAATTATCTCCTTGTTCATTACCATGATGATTCTTCACAACAGAGGGTCAAGACCTCTGGGAGACTCAGAATTTGTAAGAGGAAGCAAGGGAGTGAAAGTGATAGTTATCAGAATTATTTTTTTCTTCTGCCGTATATACTGAAGATAATTAAATTTCCTGAGCATTGTCTCTTTTTTCATTTAGAAGAATGCAGTAATTTGTTAGGTCTCACCCAAAGCTTGTGTCCACCAGTTGTGTGAATGGACTTCCAAAGAAAAAGACTTGGAGGGCAGGTGGTAAGAAGGTTTGAAAGTGGGAAGATGGAAAGGAGATTATTTGTTTGCTTTATAACATTCTCCCGTCCTAGAAAACTTCAAATGGTTTATGTGAGCTCAGACTAATCTAAACATTTTCAACTGTCAATCATAGCATGTTTGTTGATCTAAGATGGACAGATAGTAAGATAATTATTAGAGACAAAAGTTCTACCCTCATCTCTGTTATCTTGGCATTAATTTCCGGGTTTTGTTTTCCAACCTGGCTAAATAAAACTGAGAAAATAAATGCACTCCGATCATTTTAGCTCTTTAAAGGGCATATGTGTGTTTAATGTTTTCTATTTTTTTTTAATGGCGAGGAATCATGGCTTTTTTTTTTTTTTTTTACTTATTCCCTGAAGCAGCCTCTTTCTCTCTCCCATCTCACTGTTGGTTTTTAAGTCTATGTTTTCTAGTTAGCAGTCTCTGTCTCTGAAGTTGTCTTTGTGTGGCTGTTGCTTTTTTAAAAAGAGGGGACGGCAATTAGTTAGGAAAGTCAAAGATACAATCTCTGAATATGTTTTGAATCCTGGGATGGTCTGGGATGGAATGAAGCCCCCATCTCACGATGTTCCCTGACTGTGCCTGCCGGGCCAGAGCACCATGTTGGTGTCCCAGTAAAGATACTGGAAGCTTTCCTCATTCCCCTTGCTGATTTACCCAAAAGAGGACCACATCTTCCCATTTCTTGCCTTACTGGCGGAGATATGGGGGCCCTCCCGGATCCTATTCTTGGCAGTTTCCTCTCTGGACCAATACTGTTTAGGCTCATGGCTAGGGCGCTTGTGTACTTAACCTCTGAAACTATGTTCTAAAGTTCTAAGCTTGTCCAGCCCACCTTATTTTGTTGTTATCGTTGTTGTTCTGTTTTGTTTTGTTTTAGGCTTTCAGCAGCCTGAAGCCCATGTTCCTTACTTTCTGTCTCTAGTGATAAGTGAAAAAGAGGGATCAGGAAGGGGCTTTACTGACCCAAACAGAAACAGAGAACCCATGACTGTATTGTCTTCCACGGATACCCCTGTTTAAATGAAAAGCTCCCCGCTCCCAAAAGAAAAAACTAAGAACCACATTTTGGGGAAGAAGGAGAAACCACCTTGAGGGATGATGTAAAGGCTCCTTTTGAGGTGGTGTAGCACTCTGGTTTTCTTTTCTTTTTTTTTTTTTTTTTTTGAGATGAAGTCTTGTTCTGTCACCCAGGCTGGAGTACAGTGGCATGATCTTGGCTCACTGCAACCCCTGCCTCCCAGGTTCAAGCCACCATTCTTCTGCCTCAGCCTCCCGAGTAGCTGGGATTACCGGTACCCGCTACCACGCCTGGCTAATCCCTTTTGTCTTTTTAGTAGACACGTGGTTGCACTATGTTGGCCAGGCCCGTCTTGAACCCCTGGCCTCAGGTGATCCGCTTGCCTCAGCCTCCCAAATTGCTGGGATTACAGGCATGAGCCACTGTGCCTGGCCGTTTTTCCATTTTTAACCCAAATTCTGCCCAAGTCACAGACACAAAAGGCTTGGCATTGTCCAGTAAGAGATGCCAGTGCTGTATGGCAAGTGCTAGACTTCAAATTAGAACTGATGGATCCTCATTCCAGATATATTACCCTCTGACCACATGACCTCAGAGAAATCATTTCATCTTTCTCTACATTGATGCAATGGGACTAGATGATCCAATGATTCAATTTATGACTCACTCTATGAAATGTGAATTATATGTCATTTTCCTTGTTCTACCATGGAGGGCCTGCTTTCTCAGGAGAACACTATACACTCAGGAAGAGAAAGTCGACTATAAAAATGACTTCAGGTTTTATTCTAAAACATTCTCTCTCCGTAAAGTTTTAAGAATGTGACTGGATGCAATGCTGACCTAGACAAGGCTCTCCAGGGAAGCACTTCAGCTTGGGAGTTAAGAGAAGGTATCTGGTCTCAGTTCTGGTTCCTTCACTAGTAGTCATGTGATGAAAAGCCAGCACTTTCATCTGTGACCATCTGTTTCCTCAGCTATCTATCTCATAAAAACATTTCAGGGACTAAGTTGGTAAAATAAAGAACTTACAACAGCCTGATTTATAATAAGCTCTCAATAAATAGTATTTGTTATTTTCTGATTACTGAAAGTCTTCATGAAGACTGACAAAAGGCTAAGAGAAGGAGCAACAGGGGAATGTGCATGTAGTTTTGATTCATTCAATATATAATGAGTACTTTCCATGTGTTTTGTCTTCTGAGAGCAGTCAGAGATGCAGAGAGTACCATATGGCTTTCAGCTTCAAGGAATCAGGCAGGGAGAGAGAACAACAGGTAAAGAGCTATAGCACATAGTGACAGACGGGATAGCAGAGATATTCCCAATGGACCAGAGTGCAAATGAATGAAAAATGATTAGACACATCAACTCCCACTCCCACCTCCCAGACAGCAAGGTGACATTAACACAAAAACCCAAACTTTACCAATGGCCAGAGACACTAATACGATTTGGCTGTGTCTTCACCCAAATCTCATCTTAAATTGTAGGTCCCATAATTCCCACGTGTTGTGGGAGGGACCTGTTGGGATATAATTGAATCATGGGGACAGTTTCTCCCATACTGTTCTTGGGGTAGTGAATAAGTCTCACAAAATCCGATGGTTTTATAAGGGGTTTCCGCTTTAACTTGACTCTCATTCTCTCTTGCCTGCCACCATGTAAGACATGCCTTTCGCTTTCCACTATGATTATGAGGCATCACTAGCCACATGGAACTGTGAGTATATTAAACCTCTTTTTATATATATATATATTTTAAATATATATTTACATTTTATATATTTTAATAAATATATTTATATATTTTAATATATTTATATATTTTAATATATTTATATATTTTAATAAATATATATTAATAAATATATCTATATAGATTAATAAATATATCTATATAGATTAATAAATATATCTATATAGATTAATAAATATATTTATAGATTAATAAATATATATAGATTAATAAATATATATATAGATTAATAAATATATTTATAGATTAATAAATATATTTATATAGATTAATAAATATATTTATAGATTAATAAATATATTTATATAGATTAATAAATATATTTATATGGATTAATAAATATATTTACATATTAATATATTATATATTTATATTTATATATTTTAATAAATATATTATATATTTTAATATATAAATATTTATACATACATATATATTTATATATTTATATATACATATTTTTAAATATATATATTTATATATTTATATATATATATATAAATATATATATATATATACACACACAGACAAATTATCCAGTCCCAGGTAATCTTTATGAGCAGCATGAAAACAAACTAATACAGGCACTATGCACAGCTATGGCATTTTAAACAGCTGATTCTTTACGTCTGAAGTTAGTATTATAGGGGATTTTTCTGGAGGGCTTGAGGAAAATATGTAATGTAGTGACCTAGTATGAACTATTCAGAATTCACCACTTATTCATGTTTTACTGTTTCTCTAAAGCAAGGGTTTGTTGTTGTTGTTATTGTTGTTGTTTGGAGACAGTCTGGCTCTGTTGCTCAGGCTGGAGTGCAGCGGTGTGATCTAGGCTCACTGTAACCTCCGCTTCCCAGGTTCAAGTGATTCTCCTGTCTCAGCCTCCCTAGTAGCTGTGATTACAGGCACATGCCAACATGCGTAGCTAATTTTTGTATTTTTTGTATAGACGGGGTTTCACTATATTGGCCAGGCTGGTCTCAGACTCCTGACCTCAAATGATCTGCCCTCCTCAGCCTCCCAAAATGCTGGGATTATAGGCGCGAGCTACCACACCTCGCCCACAAGGGTTCTTAATTAAGAGTACACACCTAGACAACCCACTGTGGTTTTGGGAAAAAAAACATCCACACAGTTTATTCTCAATTCTGAAGATTCTCTTTCAGCAGGTCTTAGAGTTGGGCCCAGTCATCTATACTTTTGAAAAAGCTCCACTGGTAACTGTGGTGTGTTCCCTGAGTAAGGATCATTCTTTTAGGTCAGCCTTCCTGAAATATGGTAACTTTTAATTGGGCATCACAAATGTGTACAGTGACTGTGTACTCAAATCTCCTTTGAAGGAATACTTCCTTACCGATGACTTCTTCTAAACGGACAGCCTGTAGAAAGACATGTTTTATTATATCCTATCTTATATCCTTAGCAGAATTGAGAGTACCTGTAGCCAATATAATCTCAGTACATGAATTTCCCAATTCATGATACGATGCATTTGTAATGTATCAGCTAGGCTGAACTACATTTCCCAGAATGGCCTTTCTTTTAGAGTAACCTGCTTTAGCAAATAAAAATGCAGAACACCTAGTTAAACTTGGATTTCAAATAAACGGCAAATACATTTTTAGTATAAACATGTCTCATGCAATATTGGGAACATACTTTACTTTATTTTATTTTATTTTTTTGAGACAGAGTCTCACTCTGTCACCCAGACTGTAGTGCAGTGGCATGATCTTGGCTTACTGCAAACTCCACCTCCCAGGTTCAAGCGATTCTCCTGCCTCAGCCTCCCGGATAGCTGGGATTACAGGCACAGCCACCATGCCCAGCTAATTTTTGTATTTTTAGTAGAGACGGGGTTTCAACATTTGGCCAGGCTGGTCTCGAACTTCTGACCTCAGGTAATCTGCCCACCTTGGCCTCCCAAAGTGCTGGGATTATAGACGTGAGCCACTGTGCCTGGCAGGAACATACTTACACTAAAGCAATTTGTTGTTTATCTGAAATTCAGATTTAACTGGTTGTCCTATATTTTATCTGGCAATCCTACTTTCTTGTATGTCTTTAGTTATAGTTAAAGTTTACCCCAAGGGAGGGTTTTGGGTGATTTGGAGGGATGAAGTAGCAGTTACTTTGCAGTTCAGATACAAGCATACCTTAGAGATATTGGGAGTTTGTTCCAGACCACTGCAATAAAGCTGGTATTGCAAAAAACAAGTCACACAAATGCACTTTTTTGGTTTCCCAGTGCATGTAAAAATTATATTTATAGTATAGTGTAGTCTATTAAGTGTGAAATAACATGTCTAAATATGCAATGTACATACATTAGTTCAAAAATACTTTCTTGACAAAAGTGCTAATGATTATCTGGACCTTGAGTGAGTCACCATCTTTTTGCTGGTGGAGGGTCTTGCGTCAATGTTGATCACTGCTGACTGATCAGGGTGGTGCTTGCTGAAGATTGGGGTGGCTGTGCTAATTTCTTTTCTTTCTTTTTTTTTTTTTTTTTGTTTGAGACAGTGTCTTGCACACTGTTCGCCGGGGCTGGAGTGCAGTGGTGCGATCTCGGCTCACTGCAACCTCTGTCTCCCGGGTTCAAGCAATTCTTCTGCCTCAGCCTCTCGAGTAGCTGGGATTACAGGCACACAGCACCATGCCCAGATGATTTTTGTATTTTTAGTAGAGATGGGGTTTTACCATGTTGGCCAGGCTGGTCTTGAACTCTGACCTCGTGATTCACCAGCCTCGCCTCCCAAAGTGCTGCGATTACAGACATGAGCCACCTTGCCTGACCCTGCAATTTCTTAAAATATGACAACCGTAAAAGTTGTTTTATCAGTGGACTCTTCTTTCACAAAAGATTTCTCCATAGCATGTGATGCTGTTTGATAGCATTTTATCCACAGTAGGAATGCTTCAAAATTGGAGTCAATCCTCTCAAATCCTGCTGCTGCTTTATCAACAAAGTTATATAATATTCTAAATCCTCTGTTATTTCAACAATGTTCACAGCATGTTCATCAAGAGTAGATTATGTCTGAAGAAATCACTTTTTTTCTGCTCATCCATAAGTAGCAATTCCTCACTTGTTAAAGTTTGATCATGAGATTTCAGTAATTCAGTCACATCTTCAGGTCCACTTCTAATTTTAGTTCTGTTGCTATTGCCACCACATCTGCAGTTACCCTCCCTGAGGTTTTAAACCCCAGAAAGTCTTCCTTGAGGGTTGAAATTAACTTCTTTCAAATTTCTGTTAATGTTGATATTTTGACCTTCTTCCTTGAATCATGATTTTTTTTTTCTGTTTTTGTTTTGTTTTGTTTTTTTGTTTTATTTTTTGAGATGGAGTCTCGCTCTGTCACCCAGGCCGGACTGCAATGGCGCTATCTCAGCTCACTGCAAGCTCTGCCTCCTGGGTTCACGCCATTCACCTGCCTCAGCCTCCCGAGTAGCTGGGACTAAAGGCACCTGCCACCGCGCCCGGCTAATTTTTTTTGGTATTTTTAGTACAGACCGGGTTTCACCATGTTAGCCAGGATGGTCTCGATCTCCTGACCTCGTGATCTGCCTGCCTCGGCCTCCCAAAGTGACCATGAATGTTCTTAATGGCATCTTAATGGAAAGAATGGTGATTTCTTTCCAGGTTTTTGCTTTACTTTGCCAAGATCTATCAGAAGAATCACTAACTATGGCAGCTATAGCCTTATTTTTTAAATAATAAGACTTGAAAGTCAAAAATTACTCCTTGTTCTGTGAGCCTCCAGAATGGATGTTGTGTTAGAAGGCATGAAAACACATTCATATTGTGCATATCTGTCAGAGCTCTTGAGTGTTCAGGTGCATGGTCAATAAGCAGTAATTTTTAAAAATAATCTGTTTTTGAGCAATAGGTCTCAACAGTGGGCTTAAAATATTCCGTAAGCCATGCTGTAAACAGATGTACTGTCATCCAGGCTTTGTTTTTCCTATAAAACACAGGAACTTCAGCACAACTTTTAAGAGCCCTAGAATTTTCAGAATAGTAAAGGAGTATTCTCTTCAACCTAAAGTTACTAGCTGTATTTAGCCCCTAACAAGAGAGTCAGCTTGCCCTTTGAAGCTTTAAGGCCAGGCATTGATTTCTCTCTAGCTGTGGAAGTCCTAGATGACATCATCTTCCAACATAAGGCTGTTTCATCTACATTCAACATCTGTTGCTTAGTGTAGCCACTTCATCAATGATCATAACTAGATTTTCTGGACAACTTCTGCAACTTCTTTGTCAGCACATGCTGCTTCACCTTGCACTTTAATGTTATGGAGATGTCCTGTTTCCTTAAACCTGATGAACCAACCTCTGCTAGCTTCACACTTGTCTTCTGCAGCTTCCTCGTGTCTCTCAGCTTTCATAGAATTGAAGAGAGTTGGAGATTTGCTATGGATTAGGCTTTGGCTTAAGGGAAATGTTTTGGCTGGTTTGATCTTCCAGCCAGACCATCAAACTTTCTCCATGTTGGCAATAGGCTGTTACGCTTTCTTTTCATTTGTGTGTTCACTGGAGTAGCACTTTTAATTTCCATGAGGACTTTCCTTTTGCATTCACAACTTGGCTCTTTGACACAAGAAGCCTAGCTTTTAACTTATCTCAGCTTTTAATGTGCCTTCTTCTCTAAGCTTGATAGTTGCTAGCCTTTGATTTCCCATTTGTCCTGAGAAAAGAGCACTGGCAACGAGCTGTACTTTTTTTTTTTTTTTTTCTAAATAGGAAATAGGTTAAAGTGAGTGATGTGTGGCCCTTCCTTTCACTCAGATACTTAGAGGCCATTGTAGGGTTGTTAACTGACCTGGTATCAATACTGTTGTATTTCAGGGAGTAGAGAGGCCTGAGAAGAGGGAGAGAGATGGGGGAACCGCTGGTCATTGGAACAGTCAGAACACACACAACATTAATCATTTAAGTTTGCCATCTTATACGGGAGTGGTTGTGGTGCCTCTAAACATAACAAGAACAATATCCCAGATCACTGATCCCAGATCACCATAACAGATATAATAATGATGAAAAAGTTTAAGCTATTGTGAAGATTACCAAAATGTGATGCATGGACACGAAGTGAGCACATGCTATTGGAAAAATGATGCCAACAGATGTGCTTGATGTGGAGTTGCCACAAACCTTCCATTTGTACAGAAAATACAATATCTGCAAAGCTCTGTAGAATGCAGTGTGCCTGTATGTGGTTGCTGATCTGCTGACCTGCCCCATGGGTATGAAACAGCAGCCACACCTGCAATGACTCTACCTTCCCATGGATCCTCCTTTCATTGTCCTACTCCTAGGCTAAGCCTGTGCATTCAGCTTTGTAATGAAGAGACCTGGCTTCTAGAGGATAACCTCATCACTAAGGTCAGAGGCAACAAGAACTGGCCTGAGTTTCAGTCCCCTTTCGTGAGGTTCCAGTTCATGCTTGTGAGTTTTTACTTAACTTTGATCTCCCCCAACGTATACCCACAATCTCCTTCCCAACTGCCTGCCCAACCTCAAGCTCCAGCCCAGGACCAAGAGATAAGAACCTTACAGGGACTGCTTTACCAGCTCTGACAGTTGTGGAAAGCCAGTTTTCTGTAACAAATCAAAAATTCTCATCAGGACCTCAGGAAGAAGTCCAGGCCAAGGATTCTCCTAAGTGTTCTTAGCTATTGCCTACTTCTATTTTACATAACTGGCTTCGTGGTCCAGGAATGCTTCTTTTTCTCGACAATCACCAAACTGAAGTGCTACGAGGAAGACTGTTACCCTGAGGTCTAATGCATGTGTCTCTGAGAATAAGACAATTTTTCTTAGAGAAATGGAGCAATCACACATGGAGCCCACTGAAGTTCAACCTTCTCTTGTATAATCACATGCACTTGCCAGCCCATGTAGTCAAGCCTGTCTACCCTTGTGATTTTCTACAGATAAATGAGTAGGTCATTCTCTTCTTTACCGTGTTTATCTACAAGGGTACCATCATGATAGAAAAGATGAAAGTGGGACACAAATATGGAAGCATCCATTCACACTGCTCACCCATAAGAGATGGTGGTAAGTCCTCAAGGCAGTTTCTTTTTTTAACACATGAACATATGGTCCCTGTATCATCTCAGGTCATGTCACCCCTGTGGGGTATTGAATCCCTGCTGTTTGTTTATGCCTTATAACATTTATATGTTCAGCTTCAGTGTGTGAATTGTGTTCAGGAAAATGCATGCTTTAACACTAGAGGCATAGATGCAGCATGCTAAGAGGACACTCTGCTTTCAAACATGTGCACTCCTTTGACTATGGAGCTCTCTATAAGAAGCTACTGACTTGCTCCTTCCATTGTACAGAGGATCTCCAATCCTTCCCTCCAGCTGAAAGCTGCTGTATGTGCTATTAGTCCCTTGCTCTCCTCCAATGGCCAACTTCACATTTGCAACAGTCTTCTTTCACATAGTATTTTAAATGTCTCCTGTAGTCTGGGCCAACTCTGTATAATAACACTTGAAGGAAAAAAGATGTATAGAAAAGAAGAAAATAAAACCCACAGAGCTACCTTAAATTCCCAAGAAATCAGAAAATGTCCGTTTTCCATATAAATAGCTATAAAACCCCAGGAGCCACAATTACCCTGCAGACCTGTATGTCATTTGCTGGACCACAATATTTTTCACTCTTACTGAACCCTCTTTCTTAAAGATAAATTTTTCTGTTGATAAAGACATGAGTTATTTATCCAAAGTCTTTTTCAGAAAAACACTTTATCTTCAGGAGTTAGAGAAAATCCTAGGTAATTCTACCGTAACATACCTTTTACTCCACCGCCCGCTCACCAGCCCTGATAGAGATTGGCATCAACTTACATTTAACTCTACTGAATTTGGGAAATCATTCCTACCCAAGAAGCGAGTTTGCAAGTTTTCAGCTTTCCTTGTTCAGTTATCTAGCTGCCAGTTTGGCTTCCCTTTTAGCATTCTTTTTGATTCTGATCTTAGAACTTCAACCTTGAGTTGGGAAAGGAATCCTTTATTTAAATTTCCAGAGTCAAGTAGCACAAATATATCTTCTTGGCAAGACTGGATGTCTCTGCTTTGATTAACTCACCATTTATACTTCTTAATTAATAGGAGGGTTTTTTTTGTTTTTGTTTTTGTTTTTTTAAAAAAAAAGCCAATGTGGGCAACTAAAAGCATTGTATTCTGTTTAATTTGTTTATGCAAGGAGGAAGCTTTGAAGTAACTCTGAAAGGTGAATCCTATTGCTTTAATATGACAGAAGATTTTGTAATTTGCATTTTCTTCCTACCTAACTGGCTGTAAGAGCAAAAGAAGCAAAACAAAATCATACCCTGGAAGTGACAGCAATAAATTAAGGGTAAAGAAATGCAATAAACTGATAGAAACTACTTTTGAAGTACAGCAAAAAGATCATTTCAAGTTTCAACTACATTGGCTTGCCAGGGATTACCATTCGTGCATCTGTGTAGTTTCACTTTGACATAAGGCAGTGTCTGTGGCCACAGTCTTCATGCAGTAAGGAACTGGGAGAATGAAGGTGAGAAGAGGTCCTGATACACTGGAACTTGACCTCAGACTTTGTGGAAAAGGAAGCAAAGGAAACCCAAAAGAGTAGGCACAAAGATGAAGAGGGAGCTGGGGAGAAAGACAAGGACTCCTCGACAGCCCTCTGCTTCACATCTGTTCGCTGCCAGCAGACAGGCGGAGGGCACCCTTGGCCACCCAGAGCTATGCATGCCCCTTTCTCTTCTTACCAATGTGAGTAGAGATGAATGTCTGCGTGGAGGTGTGCCCGGTCCAATCACTGCCTAAATTATAATTGAGAAAGTTCAACTGCAAGTTTATATTTTTTTCAAGCTGGCTTTGTCTGTATCATCAAAATCAGTCTGGGTCATCCCTGCCTCCTGGGGGAGCTCCTTGGCCCTAAGAACTCATTGCACAGAAGGACACTTGATGTGATGATCACTTGTACTTCTTGACTTCATTCTTCCAAGGAAGATGCTTATGTGATCATCACATTGACAGAATCTAATTTGCTTCAATCTTGATTTAAAACATGTTATCATGTTCCATAGATGACACACATTTGTTTTTTTAATGAATATGTCAATGTAATCTCAAACTATTGTCTAAGAAATGGTCACTCACCCTTGCCGTGAAATAAGGGTTAAAGGAAAGCCTTGGGGGTTCTTAAAATGACACTAATATGGTATTTTAGCAGGGCTCATAGATATACCAGAACTGTCTTAAACCACAGCCACCAATCACCACCACTTTTCAAATATATGGATACATATGAAGAACATTAGCAAGAGTACTACTTTGCTATTGGCCGAGAGCTTTGTCTGAATTCCAGTTCATGGTATCTGCTAAGGTGGATTGTAGAATATGGTCTAAGAGACTTTTCATGTTGTTAAGCTCAAACTTGAATCCCTTCACTACAGAACATCTGATGGGATGAAAGAGAATGTAGGCTGCACTAGTGTCAAGTGGACAGCTAAGACATACTGGTAGCACTTCGACATCATTGGTGCAAGAGAAAGCCCTCAGAGAGACAATTACATCCAGATGTGTGACCATTTACACCACAGTGGCTAGATAACTAGAATTTCAGGCTCAATTAAGGCCTTGGAATCTAAGTCATAGTAAATTATCTTCACTGGGAGGAAACAGGGAGAGGGTAAAAATCTTAAAAGTCTCATGCCCTAGAAGCCTACACAGCATGGTTTCTCAGAGAATTTGCTGGATGTGATCTTTAATCAATATTCTTGTCTGTTTTGTCAATGTATAACTATTCATCACAGACAACATGACCAACACTGTGGAAAATATTTTAAAATATAAAAAATTATATGTACCCACAAGGTGTTGATTGTTTATCACACAAGTGAAATAAAATATATTAAAATTCTCATAAGCTGTATTTTGATTCTGGAAAGTCCATCTTAATTTTCCTCATTCTAACACCCTAGCAACTACCCTATATTCTTTGAGATTTTTTTTCACATTATAATTTAGCCCAGTGGTTCTGAATAGAAGGCAGTTTTGCTCCCCAGGGAACATTTGGCAACGTATGTGACTTTTCGGTTGTCACAATTGTGGAGAGGAGGAGGAGGTTGCTGCTGGCATCTAGTGGGGCAGGGCCAGGGGTGCTGTTAAACATCCTATAATGTAAAGGATAGTTCCCACAACAAAGAACTATTTGGATCAAATATCAATAGTGCTAAGGCTAAAAAAGTCAACTTTTTAGCCTATTAAGTCATCTCTCTACTGTATAGACTCTCTCATAGATAAATCTCTGGATATTTTTATTCACAACTCCATGTATTATTTCCATGGGCTTAATATAAATCAATATATATGTAAATATACCTGTATATGTAAATCTCTCTCTCTCTCTCTCTGTGTCTCTGTCTCTGTGTGTGTGTGTGTGTGTGTGTGTGTGTGTGTATGAAACTATATTGGACTTTATGTAGGTCAGGACTGTGAGATGGATTTATTTTTCTTTCTAGAACTGTGCACCAAATTTAAACTTGGGAAAGGGAGAGTAGGAACAACTCAGTTATTTCAAGGATAAATTTGAGCATTTCTAGGCATTGACAGTCTTTTTTCTTCCTCTAATCAGATGGCACAGTTTCACTAGATTTTTTTCTAGTAATTATAAAATGCTGTTTTTATTATTGTTATTTTAATTAGCACTCCCGAGTTTTCTGTTCACACATGTGAAAATCAACATTCATTCTTTGACAGAGTAAACTTAATGTTTGTCCCATCATCCTCACCTCCAGTAAAAAGAGCAAAAAGATCTGCCAGTAGCCATAAAATAAGTCCTGGCAGGCAAAAATTTTCATTTCTATTTTTAGGAACTAAATCAGCTGTCCTATGAGCTAGAAATATGCATGGAATCTTCAATTTTACTTTGACATTTTTAATTTGCCTTATTTTCATAATCTTTATTTTAAAAATTTGTTTCTACAAGCAATTATTTTATTGTTTTCAAAAAATTGTGACTGATGTTCATTATACAAATTCCAAACAGAGAAGGAGAAGTCAAGGCAGACAAAACCTGATTTCCCCAAATTCAGCATTGACTATTACACGTGCATCCTGACAACTCACCCTGCACACATACAAAGAGATGGTTGGGTGGATGCATCTATAAAGAGAGAGGGAAATTTACTATGCAGGAGATATCTTTATATAATACCTTCATTTTTCCATGAGTGTAACAGAAGAAAAACTAAAATAAAGCTTAATTAACCTCTAGGCTATGGATACCTGTTTCGTAAACACCAGTGACATCAGTTCTTAGCATATTCCTCTTAGGCAGTAGTTTTCAACCTTGACTGCACACTGGAATCGGCGGAGAACACTTTAAAACCCAGTCTGCACCCAAGAGCAATTAAATCAGAATCTCACTGGATGGGACTCAGGTATTAGTATTCCTGAAATCTCTCAGGTAATTCGAATGGGCAGCCAAGGATGTGAACACTGCTCTAATATTAAGAAAAAGGTAATTATGAAAATATTCCAGAGTTAAAAATCTGTTTATCTTTTTATTTTTGAACTCCATCAGTTGACTTGGTGCTATGTCATAGGAGATTAACAATCTTAATCCTCCTCCCGCTCTTCCCACTGCCTTCTCATTTTGTAATATTTTTACTTTGTCAGGGTTTATAAGACTTATTGTGTGTGCCAGTGAAGTTGCCCCAGTCAGGGGAGTATCACCAGAGATGAGAGAGTATATTTTAGAACAATAAAACAGTGCCTGCATTCATCTGTTCTCATGCTGCTAATGAAGACATACTCAAGACTGGATAATTTATAAAGGAAAGAAGCTTAATTGACTCACAGTTCCACATGACTGGTGAGGCCTCACAATCATGGCTGAAGGCACATGAGGAGCAAAGTCACACCTTACATGGCAGCAGGCAAGGGAGAGGATGTACAGGGGAGCTTCCCTTTATAAAACCATCAGATCTCATGAGACTTATTCACTATCATGAGAACAACATGGGAAAGACCCACCCCCATGATTCAATTACCGCCCACTGGGTTCTTCCCACAACACATGGGAATTATGGGGTCTACAATTCAACATGAGATTTGGGTGGGGACACAGCCAAATCATATCAGTGCCCACGTATACAGCGTGTATGGAGAAAGAGTAAAGAATGGCAGTGGGTTACCCATGCAGGGAGAAATCCCAAACCAGAGGCTCCCATGTGACTTCTTACTCTATAATCAATGAATTAATTATGTTTACTTTGGGAAAAAGAAAAATTGATTATCAACTGTATCTTAGATATCTTTTTAAACCATGATTTAATGATCGTAACCTGTGGATGAAAGTGCTTCTTTCAGACAGATTGTTTTCAACTACTTATAGGCCAGAGATTCTCTTAAATTTCAGGTGAGAGCTATGGGAATTCTCCTCAGGAAAACATAATAATTACCCCAATGTACAGGGTCCTGAGTCAATTTGAAATGGTTCACAGACCTCAGGTCAAGAAGAAACCCTGCTTTAGATACTCTGCCTTACCTGTTTTCTTCTCTGCTAATTCACTGATCAAACTACATTAGCAACAATGAAACCTTCCCAATGTAGGAATAGGTTTCTGATTGAGGAGGAAATGTAGGAACACATCCCAATGAATGCTACTTGAGAATGTATATCTTTTTAAATTTATTTATTTATTTATTTTTTAGTGTTGCTACCTTGTTCTCATCACAAAAGATTCAAACATACACAAAACATTGCCGGGCAGCCCAGGCAATTAGGACTACAATAAAACAAGGGAAGAGGCTTTTTCATAGGGACTAGAATACAACTTAGGGTCTTACCTTAATTGGTTCTCATGCTGCTAATAAAGACCTACCCAAAATGGCATGATTTATAAAGAAAAAGACGTTTAATGGACTCACAGTTCCACATGGCTGGGGAGGCCTCACAATCATGGTGGAAGGTGAAAGAGGGGCAAAGTCACTTCTTACATGGTGGCAGGCAAGAGAGCTTGTGCAGGAGAACTCTCATTTATAAAACCATCAGACCTTGTGAGACTTACTCACTATCACAAGAACAGTATGGGGGAAACTGCCCCCATGAATCAATTATTTCCACCTGGGTCCACCCTTGACACGTGGGTATTATTACAGTTCAAGGTGAGATTTGGGTATGGACATAGCCAAACCATATTAGATCTCAAGGCATTATGTCTAAAAAACAAAGATGGGCCACTTGAGGGAATGCCAGTTAGTCTAGGGTATTTTCAAAGCTGTGCAGGTCTTTCCTCGCGTTGGAAGAAACTCACTTTTCATGAGATACCAGTACACAACTAAATCCTGATGGGCAGAGGTCTTTGGTATCAGAATGCTGAAAGGCTTCCAACATTAATGCTACTGCCACTTCTTTTTCTTCTCTCTGATATAGTCCCTTCCATTCCCACCTTAAAGGCACTGGACAAGACTAGGAATTGACATATTTGGGCTCCATGGTAACTTCCAGAGAATTGCCCTATTTTTTTTTTCTTTGAAGATCATGCCATGAATTGATACTGCATTCTTCCAACCTTGAGGACAGTATCTTACCTTGCTTTGTACCTTCAAAGCAGTTAGTCTTTCTCTTAATAATAACAATTAAACTCATCCTTCACACCTTTATAGCATTCTGGGGTCAGTGTTCCTTTATTTTCTTGGATCCTTTGATCTCTGTTGTCTCTGTTCATGATCCAGTCCCAAGTGTGGCCACATCTTAGATCTCATCATTATCAGAGACTGGCCCACTTAGAAGGTCTCAGAATGTGAAAATTCCCTCTCAGAGAATGACCTCCTTTCCATTTGTATTTTACACTCCATTATGCATGCTAGGCATTCTATTCATTTTCAGAGTAATTAAGTCTCAGTGGTTTAACAACAGAAGCTCACTTCTCATTCACACAAATCCAGTGTGGGTTGGCAGGGTCTCCATCTGGGATCCAGTCTCCTTCTACCTTGTAACATTATTGTTTCAATCCATACATGGCTTCCAAAAACACTTCAAGAGTGGGAGATTGGGATGGAGAAGACACAGCAACCTTTTTCTGCCTCACACTGCAAGAGATGCACTTCGTTTCTGTTCCCAGTTTTTTTGAAGTGAACAAATCACCTGGCCTCCAAAAAACTGTCATGGAGAAATGCACAGAATCCAGTGGATATTTGTTGGATAGTGACTGTCTCTGCTGCTCCCATTGTGCTTTCCAGTCTCCTGAGGTCTTCCCTACATGTCTCTTTTATTCTAGCTCCACTTACCTGCTTTATCAGTCAGGACCATGTGGCTAGTCATGTCACAAAAATGCTAACTCTCATAAAAAAGCCAACAAAACTTTCCTCAGAAATTTCTCTGTCCTCGCCTTATCAATCCCATATTTTGTATCCCCAGGCAACGTCCATTGTACTTTATCTCCTCTTCCTTTTATGATTGTCCAAGTCTGGATACTGCCATAAAATCATGTTAATTTGACCCAAGGAAGATTAATTCTATGCAATTCCAGGAAGGTCACAATTCATCTCTTGTTGATTTCATATTCATCTCTAGTTGACTTTATTCTGTGACCATTTAAACCTTTTCCACATTTTTAAGATTGCCATCTAATCCATGTCTCCTCAATTTCCACACATGGATGGATTAATATTCAATGTTAATGAAAGGGTAAAAGGTCTGTGACTAACTTGGTGAGAACTTCCTCAACCCTTTTATTCTCAACATTGTATTTTCATCTGTCTCATCTTCCTTTGTCCCTATCTTTTAAGAAACAGTCTTCTTTCCTTGCTAAAACCACATTCCTTCATTTGTTCTTTTAATTTGCGTATCTTCATTAACCATATGGTGCCTTGTTCCATTAATAGTCACAATCTTGGGCTAGGCATGGTGGCTCACGCCTGTAATCCAGGCACTTTGGGAGACTGAGACGGTTTGATCACCTGAGGTCAGGAGTTGGAGACCAGCCTGGCTAACATGGTGAAACCCTGTTTTTATTGAAAACACAAAAAATTAGCTGGGCATGGTGGCAGGCACCTGTAATCCCAGCTACTCAGGAGGCTGAGGCCTACAGGAGAATTGCTTGAACCTGAGAGGTGGAGGTTGCAGTGAGCCGAGATCATGCCACTGCACTCCAGCCTGGGCAACAGAGCAAGACTTTCCAAAAAAAAAAAAAAAAGCCACAATCTTATTTAAACCTTCCCTTGCCATAGACTTCTTAGCTATACACACACTAAATACTTGCTTGGTTCTGATTTTTTTTTCTCTGATATCCCTTTAGGCTACAGCTTAGTTCTCACCTGTTTTTTAGTATTAAATATCATAATGGAGAAGTTTCTATCTGGTACTTCTTGCAAAATAGCTTCATCCCCAACCACTACCACCTCCTTTGTGTAAAAACTACACATTTAGATGGCTGTTAGTGGCTTCCTAATCACTGGATCCAACAATGTTTCATCATTCTTGATATCATTCAAACTTCAGCAAAGTTTAATCGTTTTTACCATTTAATAATTCCTTTTACCTAATTTTCATCACATTGTATGTGTAAATTTCTTCTTATGCTTTGATGATGAATTCTATTTATAATTTTAAAAAATAATTGCCTCCCTCCTTTCTCCTACTAAAACTCAGAATCTATTTGTTTCAAATAGAATAAAACTTTACAGAGTCATTATCCATACTGAGCTGTATTTCATGGTATACCTCTTATAGAGGATACTACCTAACGTATCCAATGCTTCACTGCCTGAAGCTAAATACAAATTCCTGCTCTTTCTGGTTTTTATTTCCCTGAAACATGTGGTCTCCAGCTAATTAGTAACAGTCCGAGGAAAATCCCACTATTGCATCCTGGATCTTGTGACCTTTGACACACAAGAGAAACTTTGAACCCATGATGTTTTGATGTTTGAAAACCAAATCCAAATAAAATAAAGCCAAAGTGAAGAGCTATATCTGGAGGTTGTTTATCAGCTCAAAATTGTTGGAGAGAGGTTTGTCATAGACCCAAAGTCAAGTCTATGGAGGTGAAAGGAAATAGAAAATTGGCTGTTGTGTTGAAATGTGCTAATTTGTATGATCTAAGAAGAAAAAGTGGAAATATGGATCCATTGTGACACTTTGCAGCTCCTAATAAGAGTGATATTGGCAACATTCATCTCCTTGAAGATTTTATTTATTTCCAAGCACTCGATCTGAAATTCTGATTGCTATCAGCAGAATCGTTTGTGGAATGGCATTCTTCTTTATAATTCAAGATTTTGTCATAATTTGTGCATCTGTGGATTCATTTCCATTAATATTGTTCAAAACAGGTGGAACCTGTTTAATTTCCATTTTAAGGTGTTTAGGTTTGAGTTTCAGAAAATACTATTTAATTATGGATTTGGTTAGTGCTTCTCTTGCTAGTGATTCCCCTACTCAGTTTTTTTCGTCCTTGGAAATAGCTGTATTTCTTAGCTTCGATATCTATCATCTGTCCTCTCACCACTGTCCTTTTCCTCCTTATTTTAGACAAGCTTATCAAGTTTGGTTTGAAATTACTGATTCAAAATGTTTGCATGTCATTTCTGCTTTTTAAAAGTCTACAATGCAGATTTTCATTTTGCTGTCGTACTTTTAGTTGCCATGCAATCCTTTCCTGTCTCTTCTGGATTTATGTGTGTGTCTGTGTGTGTGTGTGTGTATTGTATTGTTTGGATTTAGGCTTGTTGCGTTTGTTGCTAATTCTTTTTGTCTATTGATTTCACTTTATTTGTTAACAGTAGTCTGTCTGCTTACTTATGGATTTCAACTTTTGCCTTATAGAAGACAATTCTTGTATCCTATTGAGCATTATCTTTTGATTCCTGGATTACATCTTTTTCAGAAGCATATTTTTGTCTGACTTGAGCGTTTTTTTTTGTTTTGTTTTGTTTTTTGAGACAAGGTCTCACTCTGTTACCCAGGCTGGAGTGCAGTGGCATGATCTCGGCTCACTGCAACCTCCACCTACTGGTTTCAGGTAATCCTCCCACCTCAGCCTCCCAAGTAGCTGGGACTAAAGGTGTGCACCACCATGCCCAGCTAATTTTTATATATTTTGTAGAGATGGGGTCTTGCTATGTTGCCTGGGCTGGTCTCAAACTCTTGGGCTCAAGCAATCAGCCTGCCTTGGCCTCTCAAAGTCCTGGGATTACAGGTGTAAGCCACTGTACCTGTCATGTCCTGGGTTTTTATGAGGTTTTTCTTTTATTTTATTCTGAAGTCCTTCTACCTTTGGGCTCCATTTAGTTGTTTTTTCTTTTTATTCTTACTTGTCCTTAAATAAAGAGAGAAATACATCACTTAGTGTTTGCAGACTGACAGGGTGTATAGAATGCTCTTGTTTCCACTCCCGAGATAGTAAAGAGCAAGCTGTCAGTTGAAGACCCTGTGCATGGTAAACTTTCATCTCACACAGCTATGCTACACTGAGGTAAGAGATGCTCCTGTTGCCTGAGTCTATAGAACATATATCTTCACCTAATGACTTTGAAATAGACTTTTTCTAAAGATACTGACTGTGTTTTAATTATGGATGCGTTTTGTAGGGTATGATGAGTAAGTCAACCACTGCTGTATGCACGCTCCATCCCTATTCTGAACACTTTCCCTTGGAAATAGAGTCCCAGACAGATGGAGTAGTGTAACAGTTGGGAAGAGGGGGAAGTGGAGGAGAGACACACAGATTTCATGTTATTTCAAAGAAATACTATCTTAAAGTAAAATAATGGTTGTCTAATTTTGAAATTGGTAGCCATTTTGCTTTTCTTAGGGAGTAGTTAAAATGGCATGAATATGATATATGTATAGTCCCTCTTGTATTCAGGCAGGACTCTTCTTTTTCATGTGTAAACAGCCAGTTTTTCTTCCAATTCAATTTCATTCATCTTGTGCTTGATAAAATTTCCTTTCAATTTCAGCAAATTTTTGTCTAGTAATTTGGAGTCGTTGTATTATGAATTTACTGCTTTATTGAAGGATGGAGGTAAAAGCTGTCTTTTTTTTTAAATATATTATGACTGGGATGTTGTTAGAAACCATGCCAAGCTAAATAACTGTTATTTAGAAACTAAAGAAGAATATGCTTTCAACCAAATGATATGATTCTCTTTAAAAAGTAAATAAAGCCGGGCATGGTGGCTCACACCTATAATCCCAGCACTTTGGGAGGCTGATGCCAGTGGATCACCTGAGGTTGGGAGTTTGAGACCAGCCTGACCAACATGGTGAAAACTCATCTCTACTAAAAATACAAAAATTAGCCAGGCATGGGTGGTGGGAGGCTGAGGCAGGAGAATCGCTTGAACCCAGGAGGCAGATGTTGCAGTGAGCCAAGATTGTGCCACTGCACTCCAGCCTGGGTGACAAGAGCAAAACTCTATCTCAAATAAATAAATAAATAAAAATAAAATAAGTTATAGTTTCAAATGGCAGAATCTCATTTTTTTAATGGCTGAATTGTACTCCATTCTGTATATGTACCACATTTTCTTTATCCATTCGTCTGTTGATGGACACTCGGGTTGCTTCCAAATCTTGGTTATTGTGAATAGTGCTGCAATAAACGTGGGAATGCACATATCCCTTCATTAGACTGATTTTCTATCTTTTGGGTATATACCTAGTTTCTACTATGAGAGCTACTCATTAGAATTATTAGAATATTAGCTGGGTGCGGTGGCTCACACCTGTAATCCCAGCACTTTGAGAGGCCAAGGCAGGCAGATCATTTGAGGCCAGGAGTTCGAGACTACCCTGGCCAACATAGTGAAACCCCGCCTCTACCAAAAAGACAAAAATTAGCCACGGGTGGTGATGCATGCCTGTATTCCCAGCTACCCGGGAGGCTGAGGCAGGAGAATCTCTTGAACTCGGAGGTGGAGGTGGAGGTTGCAGTGAGCTGAGATTGCACCATTACACTCTAGCCTGGGTGACAGAGTGAGACTCCGTCTCAAAAAAAAAAAAAAAAAAAAAAGGCTGAAGGGAAGCTCCAGAGATCATTAAATCTGTCTCCCAGGTTTCTGAAACAACTCTATCTAAATTGCCCTATGTATCTCTCTATAGAAATGAGGACTCCAAAGGGACAGACTCCCTCCCAGGTAACTGCCCCATTTCCCAAGTCCCAGTTCTTTCTGGGGCTTGGTTTTAGATCTAAAATCTGTGGTCAGATAGGTGATGGTTGTGATCTCTGGAGTAACCCCTGTGGATCCTTATGCAAGGAGACTGTCCCCACCAATACCACCAAGCCTAGAGGCAGGTGAAGGTGTTAACCTTCTTGCTCCACTGCCAGCAGGCTTCCAGCTGTCAGTCTTCTGGTATTTCAATGCCCTGGATCCCAGGCAGCTTGTTATAAGGGCTGGACTTATAACTGCACCTGGCCAAGGGCTGGACCTTTCTGTGGGGTCCTCCTGGGAAAAGCCTTCAGTGGCTTTAGGAACATGAAGGATTTGCTCACAGGATCTCAGTCCTCATCTCAGTCTAACCAGGGGTCTGAGAACCAGACCCTGAAAAAATGTAACTACAGAGGTTTTATTTTCCCTAAAAAGAATTTTGTACTTTGATAACTGTAACTATCCATTGACCGCCCCCAGCACACATATTTTAAAGTAAAATTTCAATGACCTGTGAAAAGATAGGCTATATTAGTAGTAGGAGCAGGGACTTTTCTATCTCTATATCAATGTGGTGCATGTGTATGTATGTTTTTCTTCATAACTGAAGATTTCTTATAGTTTATTTAGACCAATTCTGCTTGCTTACTTTCCCAGAGGGAGAAATGATTTAGTCTGGATTAGTAGCATAAAACTTGATTTTCTTATGTTTATGTGAACCTCCTGGAGTTATAGGAAGAGGTGGTGATGTGCTGAGATTGGTAATGATTGGTAAAAGCTGTTCTGCAGGCGAACCAAACTGGGATATTCATTTCTAAGACCGAGTATAGATATAGAACACTAAGTATCAATGTTTTCTTGTGAGGAATTTGAGAAAGCACCCACGTTTCAGGTGAGGTGAGAGATGGCTTGTAGAGAACCATCACTGGGGCAGGAAGAGCCAGCACCTTCTAAGCACCAATCAAGCAGCTCATTGGCAGACAAGAGCAGCTCATGTGTGACCTGTGGAGTTGGCCTGATTCTGTCCAGAGCCCTGCTTCTTGAAAAAAAGGAGGGTGCCTCTCAATACCCTTGCCAGGTCTGGCAGGGGCTACTGGAATGCTGCAGATGAGATTGCTGGCAAAAGTGGTCCTCGGCTCATTCTCCTGTGACAAGAGAAAGTGGGGGATGGATGCAGAATGAACTTGGCCCTGAGTCATGCTGGCTTTATGGAGGCTATAAATCTTCTCTTTCTGTTTTTAGAAGCCAGGCCATTACTTGTTCTTTCTGTGTCTGCTATCTACTTCACTGCTGGTGATTTTGAGAGCAGCGTCTGAAGTCTTCTTGCATCCTAAATTGATACAATGAAGTTTGGTAAATGTAACGAGAAAATATAATCATTCACCTGGACATTAAATACTGCTTTTTGTATTCCTTGGTCTTTGAAAGTTCTAGTTAGCAAAGGTCTCAAGAAATCTCATAGCAGATAGCCCAAATATAAACAAACAAAAACAAATGAATAAACGAAACCAAAAAATAACTTTCCTACCATTTGTATCTGTTAGAAAATGTAATTTTTTAATTCATGTCATTCCAATAGTTAGACTAGTTTGATATTCAGCATGTTTTACCTGTATGTTTAAAATATTGTTTTTAATTGTATATTTAATTGACAAATTTACTTATGTGGGTATGTGTGTATTTGTATATTAATGGATTAACTGTATCCTTAATATCTTTCTGTCTCCATCCCCATTTACATTTTAAATTTAAGGCTGAACTCTCATTCTAATTAACCTCAGTAACGTCTCTTTTTTAATCCTTTCATAATGATTAATATCACTGTGCATAGGCCAACTACATTAGAGATTGAAAGAATATAGCAGATATTGTTGATTAAATACAACAACCATCTCCTACTTCTCTTTTACTCCTTACAAGCAAAATCAATTCCATTTTTCTCATCTGCTCTGATTAAGAAATGATGTGTACAATTGTGGTCCATGTGAAGTGTGAGGAAGTGTGCTAAGGAGTTTCTAGGAAGGTTGTGTGGCTAAGTAAGAGAAGGCATCACAAAAGAAGCCTCGCCTGCCCCTGCTGGTCATTGCTGTGTCTGCTTGTGATGCCTGGGCCCTTAGCAGCTGTGTGGCAGTGCTAAAGGGGACAAGCCAAGGACATGGCCCGTAGGGTGAGGATGACAGAGCAGCAAGAGGGAAGTGATCAGTCCTTGATGACATCGTTGATCCACTGAATTATTCAGTCCTGGATCTGCCCCACCTGAGACTTATTGACACATAAAATAACAAGGCTCATCGGCTTATCATTTAACCAGTTTAATGTGAAGTTTTATTTTATAAGGTTGACAACATTCTAATTGAACTGAAGAACAAAACTTACTTGTTAAGCCCTTAATGTGTGTGTGCATTCAAGTTCTAACAGGATTTAAAGTACCAAATGGTTGGGCAGCCCCTGAAAGCCAGGAAGTGTGAACATTGGACTTGCATTCAAATCTCAATCCTGAAAATATTTATTTGTCTGGATTGTTTCAATCAACTCTAGGTGCCTCAGTTGTGTCATTTGTGGGTACAGGATACTAATAATGTCTATCCTCTTCCACTTAAGTTGTAGTCACTACATTGAGCATATTAGTTCAAGAAGAAAATAACTGAATTTCCTCTTTCTGTTTAAATGCACACTGTGGGTATCATACTTTTCTTCTCTTGAAATGGAATCTCAGGCATATCCTAAGAGGTGTATGTGTGTTTCTTAGAAAATAAAAGAAAAATTTTCTAGTTATTTTGTTCATAAAAGGTGCATCACTTGGTGACTAAAATATAACATCCTGTGTAATAATCACAAACCCTTTGGCCCCAAATAGCTTATGGGGCTGGTTTCACATAGGTGAAGAAATATGATGATGCTCTTTACGTAGAACACAGCTGGGATTTTGGACTAACATGTACCCAAGACTGAGACTAGGAAGAGAAGCAGCTCTTCTACGTAGCCACTGTGCAGCAAAGCAGGTTTCTGCTGCTATCCAGGAAAACTAGGGAGCTCAAGCTAAACCATGCACTTCCATTAGCATGTGTATTTGAAAAGTGGGAGTACATTTAAGTGTGTTAGTCTTTGCAATCGGTGGGGCTCTTTCTTCTTGGGATTTCTGCAGTACTGATCTTGTGCTGTAAGACAAGCTACCAGGTGAATGACTTTTGCCACACATTGTGATATGATTTGGTTGTGTCCCTACCCAAATCTCATCTTGAATTATAGCTCCCATAATTCCCACGTGTTGTGGGAGGGACTAGGTGGGAGATAATTGAATCATGGGGGCGGTTCCCCCATACTGTTCTTGTGGTAGTGAATAAGTCTCAAGAGAGCTGATAGTTTTATAAGGAGAAACCCCTTTCACTTGGTTCTCTCTCTTTGCTTGCTGCCATGATTGTGCAGACTCCCCAGCCACATGGAACTGTGAGTCCATTAAACCTATTTTTCTTTATAAATTACCCAGTCTTGGGTATGTCTTTATCAGCAGTGTGAAAACAGACTAATATACGTTGTTAGTTGGAATTCACTATGGTAACCCACAGAGGCCCTAATAGTACCCAGGAGTTTGTATCTAGTTTCCCCAGAACAGGCGAAGTCACCCACCCCAGTTAATAATGTACCTTCCTGACTGCACCTCAGAGTTTAAGTCGCCTGTGGGCAAAAGGAATGGTTGCTACTCAAGAGTACTATGAAAATGACTGAAACTGAGGGTGAATCGGGCATTTTAGTGAAGACCTAAATCCAACTTGGTTTTACTTTTTCTTGCTTTTACTCTGCATTTGAAAAATAGTCATAACTGCACAGCTTATCTAGGAGGTCTACATAACAATAAAGGGTAAAAGACATTTGGGAACGTAGGAATCATTAAATTATTTCTCATTTAAGTGTCATAAACTGCATTCTTTTACTGTAATACTGTTCAAGGGGCAGTAATCAAATTGTGTCACATTTTCCATGGACGCTGCCATCAAGGTGTGAAATATTGCCTCCCTGGTGATTGGATGGAATTGGGGTTCAAGGTGAGGTGGCCATTATCCAAGACACCTGCCCCCACTTGAGCTGTACACGCATGAACTATGACTCACTGACACTTTCTAGTAATCATTAATCTCTTATGTGCTTTTTCTTCCTTACATTTTGGACAAATGACTTTTCAAAGAGATGGAAGGAGATGTTATCCATAGAAATAACTTGCAGTGATATCAATAACTTCATAAGGGAATGATAACCATATTTAAATGTAAAGATGATTACACATAGCTCAAATGCTGCAGAGAGTTAATTGTAAATGTTTCTAACTTATGTCCAACTATCACAGTCTTTTCAAAAGACAAAATGATGGAAACCATACAGTATTACTAAAGACGAGGACACAATACAAACACAAAGGTACAAAGCATCTTTCGTAGTAGGTTTCTTTTACTCAGTTTATTATGCTTATTTCATTGCATATAGTTGTGTTGTATTACCATTTGTCATCCCTGGAAAACAGAACTTTTTCTGCAGAGATCCTTCTTTCTTCAATTCGATATTCTCAGAACTCAGCACAGCATTTAACAAATACATAAAAACAAGATTATAAGTAAATTGTCTGGGCATGGTGGTTGACACCGATAATCCCAGCATTTTGGGAGGCTGAGATGGGAGGATCACCTGAGCCCAGTTTGAAACAAGCTTCGGCAACATAATGAGACCCCCATCTCTTCAAAATAAACAAAATTAGTTGGGGGTAGTGGCACATGGTTCCAGCTACCAACATGGTTCCAACTACTTGGGAGGCTGAGGTGGGAGGATCACCTGGGCCCCAGAAATCAAGGCTGCAGGGAACTGTGATTGTATTACTGCACTCTAGCTTGGGTGACAGAGCAAGATCCCATCTCTAAAAACAAGCCAAAACAAAATAAAATTATAAGCAAATAAATTAAGAACTAATATCACTATAGGGACCACAAATACTAACTTGAGAAGACATTTTTATTTTTCTTTGGGGCAATTTTAAGAGTTTTTTAAATCATTAAATTGCATCCATGAAAGATTCTAAGACAGGTCTATTCTGACAATATAGAACATTGAGAGGATATGTAAATTATGTAAATGAGTTATTTAAATTTGTGTTTAATTTGTACTCTTCATTGGGTTAAATGTCTTATGTGTTGTTTATTGGTGTTTCTGCTTGTTTTCCTTTTAAATGCATTTTGTATGCTTCTAATGAACAATAACATAATTGAATAAAACTGAACATACATAATTATTTTAAAAGCATTTATTATGATAATGATATGGTAGTGATAAGAAATAAGAACTCTTTTGATAAGAAAGTGAAAGTCAATAGAAATAAATGTGGTTTAGTTCTTAGCCAAGCTCTATTTGACTGAAGATTTTGTGTTGAGCTGTGCCTCATTAAAAAAAACTTCATTTAAAATATGTATTTTCAAGAGACAATGGAGGTTGAAACCTAAGTTATATGGTCACTAACACACAAAATAGCTTTACAGTTCCCAAAGTCTTTTCAGTTCCACCTGCTTGTATCGGCTTTACAATAGCCATGCAACAGAATAAGATTGGCGTTCCCTTCATGTAAGCGGTAAATGTAAAGTCAGAAGTCAAACCCTATACTTTAGTTAAATTTACAAAATATTTTCACTTTCTCTTTAGGAGTTGTCATGTTTCTTGCAAATGCTTTTTCTACTTTTTTAAAAACATACATTTATTTTGGAATTTCTTGAAATATTAAGACCCCTTAAATGGCTTCTGAATCAGGGTTGATTTGCTATCATTTTTGAGGACTGAGACTACTGCATTAAAAAAAAAAGTTGTATCAACTCATAAAAGGTCCAGCTACAAAAGAAAGAACATTTCAGCCTTTTGCTTTTTGATTACCAGCTGAAATATAGAATAATAGAATCCAATATATGTTTGAAGTCACTAATATTCAATAAATTATGCCACTGAGTTTAGATATACAAAACCCAGAAGGTTAGAAAGGGCATTGCTATGTCTCTTGTCCTGTCATTGATTCAGGGCTTTTTAAAGATAATAGTCACTAATAAAAAGGAATGCAAAGTAAATATTTATACTTCTATGTTTTCTAGAACATAGAAGTTTTGGGAATATATTTAATACTCATAAAAAATGTAAATAACTAGACAGAGATGAGTTGTCATTCTTCTTTAAAATTCTTTATGTAAAAGTGGATTTGTATGGATGAAGTCCAGTTTGGTGGCAGCAAGATAACTTTGAACCAGGAGGCGCCAGAGAACACAGCATAATTTATGTTTTTATCCATGCATGAGGAACTGGGAAAGTTGTTTGTGCCAAACCGTAACTGGGAAATGCAAGAAATATAATGTCAGGATAGAGAGGAGTAAATTGACAAGATTAAACATTTCCCGTTCTATAAGGTTTACTATGGCACATGTGCAGTAATGTACATTGCAGAGCAATGTAAATGAATTCAGCATAATGTAAGCTTTACAGGTGGCAGCTATGGATCAGGAGGCCTTGGTTTGAATTGTGGTTCGATGACTCAGTTTGTTTGAATGCTGGTAAGTTGCCTAAACCTTTTCGAAGCCTGAATTTACTCATTTGATAAATGGAGATAGAGCCTGAGGAAGAAATGCAAGGCTTGTAAAATTTTGGGTACAATAAATAATAACTATTACTATTGTTATTATTAACGTAAATACCTAGGTACTTGGGTATCAAATATGACACATTACATTTCCCTGATGGGAAATCAGTGTCGATATAGGAAGTAATTACTACCCTTTTATCACTTATATACTTGGTACTTCCATTTCACTCTAAACAAAAAACCACCGTCTGCCCTTTTAGCTCAATCTAAATGCAATGCATGTTAAAGATCCCACGGTAAGTAAGATAAGTAAGTACTGATTTAGAGCAATCAGTAAAAATCTGCCAGGTAGTAAAACCACAGCCTAGTTTCAATGGGTATCACTTGTCTAATAATTGGCCTTCAAAACCATTTGTAACTTAATCTTGAATTCCACCAGATGTTGTATGTGATGATATAACATTTTTTTCTTTAAGTATAGCCCACATACTCGGCATATACTGTGTTTCCCTTCGCCTTCCCTAATCATAACAAGCCTGTGGGATATGCAATGATAGCATAATCGAGGTTGCCCAGATGGTCTGAAATCCGTTACTCAGCATTAATTGTGGGGGAAAACAAAACAAAACAAAACAAAACACTATCGACTTTCAAAAAGTGGAAACTCCTTTCCAAAGCTAAGCAAAAAGTAAAGGAGCACAAATCATTTACTAGTTAAAGGAGAGAAGAGAAGAATGTGGCTCACTGGTCTTAGGAAACAGAGTAGCAAGAACAAACTCTGAAGTGCAAAGATGTATCTCATTTTCATATCTGCACAATTAAACTCTGGGGAACTTTTTGTATAGAATGCTCACATGTTATACTTTGATTCAAAATGAGTTTTATTTTTGCTCCAAATCATTCTCTTTTTGCATTGTTTTAGGTCCACTTGCCTTATATACCTGTCATCAGTTTTAGGAGATCTTTGCCAATATTAATCCATCCTAAAGCCCGATATTATAGTCTATTCTCAACACAGCAGTCAGCACAATCGTGCCAAAACTTCAGTGATATGATGCCACCGATGTACTCAAACCCTTGGAGACTCTCCATCTCCTTGATTGCAAAAGCTTAATGCCTGGTAATGTCTTCATCCTCTGGTCCCTGGGTGGTGTCTTATCTTGCACCCTCCAGGATTCCCTCACTCCACTCCAGCTGCTTTATCAACCCCCACACATGCTCATGGGTTTTGCCCTTGCTCCTCCCTCTACCTGGAATACATTTCTCTGGAATACTTGCTTTGCCCAACCTTCCACCCCTTTATCTTTTCAGTGAGGATGACTCTGAATACCCCATAGGAAAATGCAGTCCATTCCCCAACGCTTCCTAATCCTATAGCTAACTTTATTTTTCCACATATCACTTATCACTCTAACATATTATATATATAATATGTATTGTATATATACAATAATACATGTTGTATATATACAATATTGTATATATAGGTATGTATATTATATATTGTATATATACATATTCTATATAATATGTGTTGTATAATACATATTATTCCATGATATATAACAATACATACTATATAGAATATGCATTCATATACATATTCTATGTATACATATATACCTATTATATGTATACATATTCTATATAATATGTGTAATATATTGTATATAGTATATATTGTATGTTGGATATAAGCATACTATATATTATATATTATATATAACATATATTATTGTAGATAACATTATTGACAATAAAACATACAATATATTGTGTAATATGTATGACCAAATATATTATTGTGTGTCATATTAATATAATAATATAATTTTAATATCATATTTATATATAATATATTATATAATATACAATAGAATATAATGTTATATAATATAATTATAGTAATTATATTATATTGTATAATTTATAATACAATTAATTATAACTATATTATATTAATATTAATATATCACAATATATTAATATAATGTATTATTAAATATTGTATGTTATTCATATCATATAATATATTGTATGTTTTTAAAAATTTATTGTAAATGTCCCCCGCTGGAATCAAAGTGCCAACATGGTCAGGATTTTTATGCTTTTCTCACCACCTAAAATAGCTCATAGAAGACACTTAATACATATCTGCAGATCTACTTGATTAGTCACTTGTTCAGCCAACAAATTTCAGGGAAAGTTGTTTTCCTCCAAGTTTCCTATGAATAGGAACAATGGGAGTGATCCTTTAGGCCTGTGATAAATAGAAGTAGTGTCTACTTCCAGAGGTTTGGGGTTAAGGACCCAATGCTTTCCTCCAATCTGAAAGACTTTTATGTGGATGGTATTGATTATGGATTAGTGATCTTGTAGCTTTGTGACTGCTCATTGCTGCTGAGAAAGTAAGTGAAATTTACTGAATAGGATACTCTGTTTCCTGCTAAAGTTTAATTTTCTTCTCTCCCTTGTTATCCTCATTTTATTTTGTGCAGAAAGTTTATACTAATCACTCTTGGAATGAAAGAGGCTAGCTAGAGATGCTCTTAGATTGCCCTGCAAATGGAATTAGTCTCCTTTCTCACCCTTAACACTTACTCCCCTATTTTGAAGACACGGCCTGGAATTCAATAAGATCTCACGAAATCCATTGAAAGGTAGGCAGGAATAATACTCGAAGTCTCAGAGCCCAGACACTGTCAGGCCCACATGAAGAGGAGGAAGAATGGGGAGGTGTCATTTGAGGTACTTTGTCTATGCTTGGAAGATTGTCGGGAAGCTCCTGATGAATGAGATGCTAGACTGAGTGTGCTGCATTTCATCCCTTGGCCACGCTGCAAAACGGTGCCACATCTGGGACTGATGGGAAGCAGATGTTTAACTTTGCAGGGAGAAACCTTTCTGAAATATGGAACTGGGGACTCAGATGCCCTTTCTCTTTTGTTCCTCCTCAAAAACAAATCAAGGAGGGAAAATTACACCCAAGTAATGACCTGCAAGAGGACTTAACTACAACAGGTTGAAACCCATCCCATATTTTAAGGATTTGTGTAATTTTAAAAAGGGGGAAAAGAAGTAATATACTTTAAAGTTAAGTTCCGCCAATTGGACAGTTTTGGAAATTTTTTTAATGTCAAGTTCCATTACTGCTGTTTTCATGTTTCTTTGTCTCTGTCTCCTTATGTTAATTGCTACTGTCACTCAGATTCCCTGAACTACCTCTTCTTTTTTTTTTTTTTTGTATTTTTGCTATAGCTTTCCAAGTTGCTTGTTCACCTTTTCTTTTTTCACTACAAACCATCCCATGCTCTACAACTGATTGATTATTTAAATTCCTTGAATCTTAGCTCTGATCATGCTGTTCTCTTCCTCATAAACTCTCAGAGGCTCCCAGTTAGCTACTGGATAAAGTCTCTGTCCTGAAGCCTTGAATTTAAGTCCTTTGTCATTTAGACCCAACATGTGGCAGCTATCTCCCAATTCATTCTCAATACTCCAGTTAAACATAAATACATTTTACCGCTATGGTTTTTTTTTTGGTGTTTTGGTATTTTTGCACACTTTGGTGTCTTTTTGATGTGCTTTTGGTCACAATTGTCACCACATCTTATGAACCTTCTGTGTGTTAGTTTGCTAGGGCTGTCATAACAAAATACCACAGACTGCATGGCTTCAACAACAGACATTTGTGTTCTGGAGGCTGGAAGTTGAAGATCAAGGTGCCAGAAGGTCTGGTTGCCCCTAGGCCCCTCTCCTGAGCTTGCAGGTGGCCCCCTTGACTCTGAGTTCTCACATGGTCTTTTCTCTTTTTGTGGGCAATCCCTTATGTCTCTCTCTTTTCTTATAAGGACACCAGTCATGCTGGAATAGGACCCCACTCTAACGGCCTCCTCGTAACTTAGTCACCTTGGTAAAGACCTTATTTGCAAATATGGTTACATTCTGAGGTACTGGGGATCAAGACTTCAATATATGAATTTTGGGGAGAGACAGTTCAGTTGGCAACAATCCTTCTCATCTCTGTGCTTCCAAATCCTACCTCTCAAGAACAAAATTTCCTCCGTTTTTCAAAGCTGATTTATGTTTAGATTGTCTTATCGATGAAACTCTAGCATAGATTTTTCTTTTTCTTTTTTTTTTTTTTTTTTTTTTTTATTTGAGACGGAGTCTTGCTCTGTTGCCCAGGCTGGAGTGCAGTGGCACAATCTCGGCTCACTGCAAGCTCCGCCTCCCAGGTTCACGTCATTCTCCTGCCTCAGCCTCCCGAGTAGCTGGGACTATAGGCGCCCGCCACCACACCCGGCTAATTTTTTCTATTTTTAGTAGAGACGGGGTTTCACCGTGTTAGCTAGGGTGGTCTCGATCTCCTGACCTCGTGATCCACCCGCCTCGGCCTCCCAAAGTGCTGGGATTACAGGTGTGAGCCACCGTGCCCGGCCAGATTTTTCTTTCAACTGAATTTCTTGGTCTTGGTGTAATGCATCTTGGTCTAATGAACAGGCAGATCCTTCAGATGTGGAGGGAAGAGACTCAGAACTGGGCTAAAAATATCAGCTCTGTCACATAAATATATGTAAACATGGCCAGTTACCTGCATTCTTTGAGTTATCCTTTCCATTTTGTAAAAAGCAGCTAATAATACTGTCTTAGTTCACTGGTTATGAGGATTAGAAAGGAAATAAACTTCCTGAGGTTTTCTACCTAACACATAATAAGTGCTCAGTGAATATGGGAGGGAGCTATTACTATTGCTATTATTATTATTATGTTCATATAATGAGAACACTTAAATAAATTCAAGATTGAAATTTATTTATCTTACATTTAACATTTAAGATATAATTTTTTAATAAATTGAATATTTGTCTATATAACTATATCATGTAATATTTGCAAATCAATTATGAAGACTGTAGGATGCTTGGAGTGGTAGAACTTATTTATAATTGAGGCTCAGGATGTTACACAATTTGAAAAGGTAATTTAAAACTCACTTTGGAGTTGTGTGGCTGAAGAATTTTTAATCCAGAAAAAAACATTTTGCACCATAAATTAAAATATTTAGTAAATGGTATTTCTAAGCAACAAGATAATTGTTATTATTGATACTGATATTATAGGCATCACTATATATTATTTTATTTAGGTGTCACAGTAAGTAAGCAGTATTTCACAGGTTATCTACACGTGGAAATCAAGGCTCAGTGTGGTTATAACTACCTGCCCATGGTCATAGAGTGATAGGTCTAACAGACGTCGCTCTGATTCCTTATTGGTCTTCACCCAAACCTACACTGAACTCCTGATCTGGAATCCTATCTGCCCAACTGCAAGATGGCATCTCAGTCAGAGGCTATTTGAACTACTCCATCCTATAACATACCTTTGATTTTTTTTTTTTTTTTGAGGGTCTGGCTCTGTTGCCCAGGCTGGAGTGCAGTGGCATGATCTTGGCTCACTGCAACATCTGCCTCCTGGGCTGGAGAGATCCTCCTAAAGTAACAATTGTTTCCCGTTTTATAGATGATGAAACTGAGAGACTCACGGATTGTCACTTAAGTTTACACAAATAAGTAACTGAGCCGGGATGAGAACCCACTCTGCCTGAATTCAGATTCCATCTTCTTTCACTACACTACCTCACAAAATAAAACTTGTTTCTGTAGTCATGGGCTGAATGGGTCTTCTTAAAGCCTCTAATATAATAATATGTACTGTGAGTCTCAAGGAGGAAGCTACAGTAAGCATTGCTTCCTGAAAATAATTGCTAGTATTATTTCCCTAGGAGCATATTTTAGGAATTCTGTTATTAGGAATACACTGAAAATTGCTATTTTTAGGCAAAGATATTGTTTTGGAGTGGCAATATAGTATTAATATCTGATTTTATAGTCTCCTTTTCTTTCAAACTGTTAATGGCATGTAATTTATCAAGTTATTTGCATGTCTTTTAACATATGAATATGTGTTTGGTGAAGTCTTTCATTTTTCCCCACTGGAAAATGGCTGAGATATCAAACCAAAATATTTTTCTTTTTAGACAGTATTATCCTATGCTTAAAACTTAAAAGTTTCCATGCTAATCTTTTCTATGCTATGCTAAAAGTATTCCATGCTAAAAATGTAAAAATTTTCTTTTAAGGCAGTAGGCTGTGTTTGGCTTAAAAAATACCTAAGGTGCACTGATAAAGATTTTTATAGATACAAAGTTTAGTATGAGTTCGTAGGCAGTAAACATTCTTGTTTGATAATTTCTTCTTTACCAGTTGGATTTGGAAAATAAAACACTTCTCATGGTCCTCAATTTGATGGTAAAACTATATTCAAAAATTTTCCAGATTTTATATTTCAATGGCATCGAAGAAGTTCTGAAATATTTATTGTGTACAGAACATTATAGAAAGTCTAAGGGATATTAGAGTAAGTGTCATTACTATTCTAAGAATCTCATAGCCTGATATTTTATATACATCTAATTTTCTGTAAGAAATATCAAACAAGATTAGGTTAAACCTGACAAGAAAGAGCCGGCAACAACCTCTCATCTTAGCACTGACTATTCAGCAGTCTAACTCTCCCTGACAGAAGGTGGTCTAACATACCACCTAGGAAAGCCAAGGGTATGTTTCTCTACAAGAAAAGCCTCAGAGGATAATAAAGTCTTGAACTAACATCTCCAAACGAATGCATTTTTCAAGACATGCTAAGATTGGCAAAGTATGGGCTGCCCTGGCACTCGTGTTTGTATTGCATGGCAAATAGCTGTCTCAGTTCTACATGACTTAAAGTCCTAAACTGTTATGGTGGAAAAGAAATTTTCAACATTCTTTTTTCCAAATCCCACACATTAAAAAAAGCACAGATTCAAGACACATACACCCTGCTGGGAATCTATCCCCTATGTGTGGGCACTGACCGCTCCTTTTGGAATTTGCTTGTGTGTAGGAAGCATGCAGTATATTAGTTTTTGGAAACTTGATACCAGCAATGGACAGGTAAAGAAACACTAGCCAAGTTAACTTTTTAAAGAAGTTACTTTGTGGATGTTTTGGAAAAAGTAACGGGTTTTTTGAAACTGAATTTCAAGTACTTGGAATTAGAGTAAGCCTTGTCCTGTTTGGTCTCTCTTACCCTCATGCCTCAAGAAGCTCATAAGCATGGCTATAAATCTTGGAATGAAATAAGCACAGAATTCTAATCCCCTTTGTAAGATTTAAGAAAGAGAATTTTGTGTGTGTGCTCTCTCTCTCTGTCTCTGTCTCTCTCTGTGTGTAAACCTTATTTGTTGTTAGAATAGCCAATGTAAGATCAGAATATCTGCATTCAAATTTCTGATTTACTGTACAACCTTAGAGAAATTGCTTATACTGTACATACCTATGTTTCTCTATTTGTAAAACAGGAGTGAAAATGCCCATCATGGCCTGTGTTATAGAGAGTGGAACACAGAATCAAAATGGCAGATTTGAGACAACAGTATAATACTTTTATAGAAATCTTATGAATGAATTAAAAGTATATTCATGGACAAGAAGTGGAAAGAAGTACAGTGAGGGAAATGTGAACTTTTAGAGTGACAAAATGTGGGTGATTTTCACTTCTCTTTACAATAGTCAACGTAGATTTTTATTCTGTTTGGAACATACAAATAATTACTAGGGAATTCAACTTTCAGCAAGGCTTAGCAGCTCATATCAGACCCACCCTCTAACAGGTAACAACTAGGAATTCTTGACAATATACAAAATGTAAATACGTGAAGGGAATACTAGTGACCAAAGGCAGGCAAATTGTAAAAGGCAGAAGTTGATATATTTCTTTTTGAGACGGAGTTTTGCTCTTGTTGCCCAGGCTGTAGTGCAGTGGTACAATCTCGGCTCACTGCAACCTCCGCCTCCCAGGTTCAAGCGATTCTCCTGCCTCAGCCTCCTGAGCAGTGGGGATTACAGGCGCCCGCCACCACACCCAGCTAATTTTTGTATTTTTAGTAGAGATGGGGTTTCACCATGCTGGCCAGGCTGGTCTTGAACTCCTGACCTTGTGATCTGCCTGCCTCAGCCTCCCAAGATGCTGGGATTACAGGCGTGAGCCATCGCGCCTGGCCAGAAGTCGATATTTCAAAGATGATGATGGCATATAGGGTTAGTTTCCTATTTTTACGAGTTTTTAGGCTGAGGGCAGACTCCAATCTGTAATATAGGAGTAACTGAAGTTCAGATACACACGTCTCGGTCATATTGGCTCAAAAAGCCAGTAGGAAAGCCAGAGGAAAGGGTCTGGGTAGTCACAACATCTAGAAAGTGGGAGAGGAGAATCCTAGAAAGGGAAAACTTTGATTTTTATGTTTAAATTCTTCCCACATTTCTAACTGATCCCTGAACCATACATACTCAAGGAAGACCCCAAGTAGCTTAGCTAAAGCTGGAAAGAAAAACAAGAGTCCTAGAATTCAATTTGAAGTTTGAATTTACTCAAGTAATACCTGCTTAAGAAATAAAATTACCCTGGCTTGGTCTGTGCCTGGTCCCAAAAGGAGCTGAGTATGCTATAGCCAGGAAGGAGTTGAAGGGAGAAGGGGAAAAGAACCCATTCTGTCCTACATTGTTTTGCTATAATAAATAATGCACACACACACACACACACATACACACACACATAAATTCAATCATTATTGTACCCTGAATATATATATTCAGGGCACAAACCAAAATTACTTTACATATATATATATATTTTCAGGGCACAAACCAAAATTACTTTATATATGAAGAAAAAATGTATATGATTCCCAAGTGGTGGTGGGGAGGAAATTAATCAATTGATGGAGACTGATCTCAAGATGACCCAGAACTGAAAATAATCAGGCAAGACTTTTAAAGCAGCTATTATACTTATGATCAAGGACTTAAAGGGAAACATGGTCATAATAAGTGAGAAGATAGCAAACATAAAAGAATAATTATTGCAAATCAAAAGCCTAGATAAAGATAAAATATTAGCAATAGAGAAAAACTGGCAGCAAATTTCACATTTCTTCATCAAGCTTATTTGCAACATTATATTTTAACATATATCTGGGAATGTTTCTACAAGGTTGCTACTCAACTAATGTGTAATATCTATTGTCAAAAATATGTAGCCATAGAGAAAGAAAAGAGTAAAGTGATACAACAAAGTTAGAAGAGGTAATACTATTAATAATAAAAAGGTAAGCCTTTATTTAATGTTTTCTACATTGCATATCCCATGCTAAGTACTTATCCAATTATTCATTATCCAATTTAACATCCTAGTGTTCTATTGTTGTTCTGAGAATACAGATTAGAAAACTGAAGTTTAGAAAATTCAGATATCTCTCCCACGGTCCCATAGCCAGGAGGAAGTTGGTTCTTTCAGCCTTCACTCTCTGATGCAGCAGCCTGGTCAAAAAACAAACCAGAAATCTTAAGGAACAGGAGCAGTTCTCTCTTGTTTATAAGATTGTGCTGACTGATTGTGTCTACAAAGGCGAAGGAGACTGGGGAGAATATGATAACAAAGTATTGAATAAATCCAGTTTTAAAAAAATGGCTTCTCTACCTAAGGCTTTTGGTATAATTGTATCTAATAGAACTAAAAATCTGTCATTTCATCATTAGAGACAAAAATGAAAAGCAAATATCCCTGAGAGAGAAAACCATCTGATTTTAAATAATTTGAAGGTATAAAGCTATCTACTTTCATTCCTGGATAAGACTGTGTTAGTAACAATTATTTATTGAGAGTATGTTCTAGACCAGGCACATTGCTAGGTAATTTATAAATGCATGATGTATTTCACTCATCATAACCCTATGGAATATGCACTACTATCCTAGCTTACATAAATAAAAACTGAGGCTTAATGAGTTAAATCACTTGCCGAATATCATGGTTTGAAAATGGCAGAAGTGAATTAAAAAGTGGGCCTGAGGGACTCCCAATTCTGTATTCTCAGATTTCAACAACTGCAGAATATGCTGATGTCTAAATTTAAAGGAGGCAGAGAAGATGTAGAGAAAAGGAAGCTAGAATGTTGAAAAGGGAGATGGTGACACTGCAGACAAACTTTTCTCTCTGATAACATTTTCTGAGGCTGTGCTGTGAGTGATGTAAGCTCATATATGAAGGGCCCAGAGGAAAAAAAGGTGTAGAAAGACTTTAAAAATGGTATGACTGATTAGTGGAAACCTTCTCCCAACTTCCACATCCAATCATTCATGGATTCCTTCTAATTCTTTCTCCTTGAAGTCTTCAAATATGCTTCTTCATATTCACTTCCGTCAACATTGTCAAGGCCACCAGTATCACTACATTTTCTAGTTCCTGCCCTTCTCCAAATTATTGTTTTTATCACCAAAGGGTAATCTTTCGAAAACAAAAATCCAATCTGAGCACTTTTAGCTCAAACATTTTAATGACTGTTCAAATCCTTCATCTAAAGCTCAAACTCCTTTATGCAATTTATTGAATTGATCAGCCTTATAATGTTGGACATAAATTTTAAGTTTTTACTGTCACAGAAAACGCTTTGATGAGAATTTCTCTATACATCTTTAAGTACATCCAAAACTATGTTATTGCAGGACTAAACGTCATGCTCACTATTCAATCCACTTCGGGTACTTATGATTCCACCATCTTTAAAAATCCCTTGTCTTGGCTGAGGATCCACGTCTGGCTTGATATGATGACAGTCACAGCTATGTTTTTCTTCCCAAGACACACAGCATGATAAGCAATGGGGCCCCCATAGTGAGGCAGCAAGAACAATAACTCCGTACTCTTTGGTGCAGAAGCATATTCTCATATGGAAATGGGAAGAATATGGAGAAGGGAATGGCAAGTATGACCATGAAAATGATTCTTGCTTTGCCCTCAGGGAAATTGTCTAGGAAGACGCCAAGGAACACTGTGAGGACAGTATTTTGGAATAGATAGAGGGGTGATGGAAACTCAGAGGAGCTATAGAAGCTGGAACACAAAACTAAGATTGAAAAGACAAAGGAAAAAAACCTCACAGAATCTTAAAACTTAGTAATGAAAAGAACCTTGACCCATTTATCTTTTACAGCTTTCTACTTAAAAATGATGATTCAGCAGCCAAGGAGGTCAAGTGACTGCCTTAATGTTGCACAGACAATAAGTGGCACAGTGGGATGTAATATTAAAAAGGAACATATTGAATGCATTTTAGTTATGCTAAACTTCTACCTAGGCTGGAAATGGCACTTAGGAAGACAGCTCCTAGGAAGACTGATTGACACAGAGGGCAAGGACAGAGATAACACCTCAATTTTCTGGAAAAAAATTGCAGCTAAGCATCCCTAATGTTTCAACTTCTCTTTCTAAAACAGAAACCTCCCCAAAAGTTAAGAAATAAATAGAAGCAAAAATACCAGGAAGATGTGCATAGAATTTTCCAATCCCACACTTCTGGGTATATATCCAAAGGAATTAAAATCAGGATCTCAAAGAGATAGTTGTACTCCAATGTTCATTGCAGTATTATTCACAATAGCAAGTTGGGGAAGCAAGCTAAATGTCCATCAACAGATGAATAGATTAAAAATGTAATATATATATATCACATTATATATATGTATATATATGATATACGTGTGTGTGTATGTGTATGTATATATGTATATATATGTGTGTATATATGTGTGTGTGTGTGTGTGTGTATGTATATATATATATATATGTGTGTGTATATATATATATATGTGTGTATATATATATATATATGTGTATATATATATATATATATACGTATATATATATATATAAATAATCTGGCCTAAAAAAGAAGGAAATCATGCCAGGTGCAACAGCATGGATAAACTTGGAGGACATTATGCCAAGTAAAATAAGACAGGCACAGATGAACAAATACTACATGATACTACTTATATGAAAAATCTAAAATTGTCAAACTCATAGAAGAACACAATGGAATAGTGGTTGCCAGGGGATGGGGAGGAGGGGAAACAGACAGATATTAGCCAAAGGGTACAAAGTTTTGGTTATACAAGATAAATAAGTCCTAGAGGTCTACTGTACAGTATAGTGCCTATAGTTAACATTATTGTATTATATACTTAGAAATTTACTAAAAGTGTAGATCATATGCTAAGTATTCTTACTACTACTGATAATAAGAGAGCAAGAGCAAAGTTTTGGAGGTGATAGATTTATGGCATAGATTGCAGTGATGGTTTCATGGATGTATACTTGTCTCCAAACTCATCAAGTTGTATATATTATGTACAGTTTTGTATGTCAAATAATATAAGTAAATTAAAAAGAATATTAATTTGGGAATAAAAAATGTCAGTGATTTGAAATAATCAATGGAACATGGCATTTACTAGAATAACAATAAATAATTTTGAGAGCCCACTCAGAAGTTAGAGATGCTAGAATTTAATGATATCTAGACTGAAAAAGAAATCTAGGGCCATATCATACATTAAAGTGGAAGTCGAAGCAAAGAATCTGCTGAGATTTCAAAAAGAGGCATGCGTATGTTAAGAGAAGGGATTGAACTTGGACTCAGAAGAGTGAGGTCAAGCAAAAAATCATCCTCTGGTCTTCCTTCTTCCTTTCTCTTTTTCATTCCAATTGGTCTCCTTCGAACATTTGTCCATTCTCTTCCCACCCTCATAACATAATGTTAACTCATTCTGTGTTTTAGAATTATAGTCAGATGATTTATTTTCCCCAATAACAGACAGAAGAGAGTAAGATAAGTTTACCTAAGCTGATGTAGTTGAAAGTGATTTGCTGATTTAGAAACAAAATCAACTGACTTGGGGGTGGGGGAAGAGGCATCATTAAATCCTTGAGAAATGGAAGTGTTCTTGAATAAATGAGCTCACGTCTGAATTTTACAAGAAACTTTCAGATCTTTAAATAAGCTCTTGGCTGAGAAATGTATTCAAGTTTATGAAAAGGGCGTATTGGTTTGCAAAAGGGGAAGAATAAACAGTCTAAGGAATATCAAACACCAAATACGAAATATTTGTGGGAATATTATTATAAAGTCTAGCTGCAGTAGGTGGCAGAATGATACATGAGGCCCAAGCATTAATGAAAGGAAGATGGCGTTCTACTTACTTACTTCAAGAGAAATGGTGAAATAGTTGCAAGAAGAGAGATGGCCAGATCACCCAGGGAGCATGGACCAAGACCAGACCAAGTCTCCTCCAGAAGACAAGGAAGCTTGTGTATAAGAGTCAAGGAACTGTGTGGGCAGGACTCAGGAATATGTACTTTTTCCATGTTTCCAAAGAGTATAGAGAGAATGTTAGGAGAATAAGCTCCAATGGCCTGAAATCATAGATTTTGTCTGTTTTCCTTTGTAGAATGGGTCCAGGTCTGACTTGGAAGCCCAGGGAAGTCTTCCTAGACAGTCTGTTCCCTCTTACCACTACCCACCATCCCCATTCAGCAATTGCTAGATTCTGTCCACTTTCCTTCTTTAAAAGATTCTAAGTCTACATGACAGTGTTGCCTCTTTGAAGCCCTTGTAATTTTTCACCCATATTGATGTAATATTCACACATAATACTGCAGCCAGACTAATCTTTCAGACAAGGCAAATCAAATGAGATCTTATTGGCCTCCTGCTTAAATTTCTCCAACAATTCCCCATTGCTTTCAGGATCTGGTTTTACATTATAACATAGAAGGTGTTTTATGATCTAGCTTATACCTAATTCAACTCCCATCAATCACCAAACCTTGCCAAATCTACATGCACGTGTGCTTACACATGCATGCACATACATACACATATAGCCCCTACTACATTGAAATACTGAGCTACTTACAGTTCTCTAAATACGCTACAGTCTACTTTGTTTTAGCACATGCTACTTTTGAAAGGAAAGCTGTTACTACTGTATTCTACTTTTTAAAGTCTCAGCTTTAATATAACCTCTTCCTGGAAGCCTTATCATAGCAGAGTATCCAATGACTCTCACAGTAGAGATCGTAATCTATTAAAATAAGATAACTCATCTACCCTTCACCATGTGGCTTGAGTGTGTGGAGAACAGGGATTGCCTCTTTAACTCTCTTCACAGATTTTCAATAATTGCTATATAAAAGGCTAGATCAATGAAGCTCAAAGCAAAATGTTTTTCTTATAAATTATGCAGTTTTATGTGTGATCTAGGATTTGATCCTGTACTGGCATAAAGGGGGAGGAAAGCAATGAAGGACGTTATTGAGATTGTTGAATATGTTTTGATAATTTTGCGTTACGTAAGAGAATATTCCCGTTCCTAAGAAATACACAATACTATCATGTACAATAAAGTGGCATAATGTCTCCAACTACTCTCTAAGGTTCATCAAAATTACATAGCTGTGCAGACAGAAAGATTGGTAATGCAAGTGGGGAAAAGATAAACACTTGGTGAATATGAGTAAAGGACATACAAGAGTCCTATTCTTGCACAGTTAAAGTTTTTATAAATTCAACATTACACCAAAATCAAAAGTTGAAATAACAGTTAAGAAGGATCCTCCAAGAAACTGAGAGATAGTAGAAACCAAATGTCAAGAAGCCTGCCCTCCACTATAAAGGTGTCAATAAGAAGAAAAAGTTCATAGAAAAAAAAAGTAATGAGAAGTTCCTTAAATTTATAAGAGTGGTTTTCTCTCTTCTGTTTCTTTGATGATATTGGAACTCCTGCCTCTAATATTCTTCATCTGATCTTGTATTCCTTGACTGCACAGGCTCTAATCTTGCCTTATTCTGAACATTTCTCTGACAAGCACCTTCCCAGTCAGATCTCACCTTCTTTGCCTTCTACAAGACTTATCTCTGCCTTTGATACTGGAATTCAGTCATAGCTGAATTCCGTATAAGAACTATAGTTGCCTGTAATGTTTTCATTTCTCTTTGGTTGTTCATTTACAGTTTAATGTCTTTGAGGACATGAACTGTTTTTGGATGTTCCCACAGTGCCTAGCTTCCTCTGATGAGAAGGATGTAAGATGTGCTAGACCTTTTGAGAAACTGCTTTCTTTGTGAATGTTTACAATATTTGAGAAACAAATATTGTAAAATTGAATGGATGAGCAGTAGTTTGGTGCAGTGAAAAGAATAAAGAAAGGACAGGGAGCCAGGAGACCCAGTGGTATGTCTGTAGGTGAGTCATTCACCTCCTCTTGATTTCAATGTCATAGTTTAAAAAATGAAAATTGGACTGTATGACTACTAAGATTCAGTCTTGTCCTGAAGCTCTATGCCTACACTCACAACAAAGAAATATAATCGCAGAAAAATCATACATAATACAGTATGCAAATAAACCTTAAGGGAACAAAAACATGAATAGTTAACCGAAGTAGATAGGTACAAATGACTTTTTATTACTGCCTAAGACAAAAGAGACAACGCTTCAAAGACAAAATGCTACAGTCAGTCCATAAAAGTCCTAAGTCATCATGGATGAAAAGAAGAAAAGCAAATAATGGAAAAGGAAGGCATATGTTTATCACTGAGAAATTAGACAAACTGTCTATATTCATTCAACGAAGTACTATATAGCTGTTATTATGACTTAGGGCTATATGTGACATATTGATGACACTCAATGCTGTGCATAAATATAGAATAAAAAAGTTACATATGGATATGTACCATATCTACCATTGAAAAATACTATGTAAAAATACACACATGAAGTAAAATAATGAATACCACATTTTGGAAAGTAGTAACTTTTGGGAGAAGTGTAATAATTTGGGGAACTGGTGTGCAAGGAGCAATGTTAGAACAATTTACTACTTAAATGAAATTTGAAACAATTAAGAAAAATGCAAAGATTTCAGAATGCTGGGTAAGTAAAGGTAAAAATGATGTTTCTTACATTTCACTCTTCATTAAAACATTCTGAGTGTTTTGAATATTTCATAATGAAAGAACAAGAGGAGAGGCAGCAAAAAGGGGAATGGTGTCTCAAAGTCTTAGGGGTTAAAATATTTCAGGAAAGAGATTTTAAAAAGAGGGACAAGAAGGAATAAAGCTAGATGCAACACAGAAGTGCTCCTGCAAGTTTGCTGAAATAACCATAGATGTGCAATAAGAACGCTCCCATTTGCATTCTAAAGACAGAGCTGACATCTTTCTGTGTATTAAGAGAGAATTGAACTGTATATTTCTAATGCATGCTGTTTGAATTCAGGCATCCAGGTTTTAGAATATAAATCAAACTTTCCTTTTTCCCGTCTTCAGCAAAAGCTGCTTTGCTTAAGTTTTGTAAATAGATGTAGCCTTATTTGGGAGATGGTTTTTTCCTCTGTGGGAAATGGGAGCAAAAGTGCTGCGTGGCCATTGTTTCTGACAGTTCATTTATGCAGATGAAACAATCCATTCATTTGGTGAATCCATGGAATTAATGGCTTCCACTTTGTACTTTCTGAAAAATATACAGCGTTTCAGGCCTCTGGATTTACATTCTACAGAGTTTCTGGTATAATGGAATAGTTTCAGGTCCCTGGAGGGCAGGTATATGGCTCTGCAAGAGTGTTGATGGCTTTCCTAACACACAGGCGTGTGCATTTCTAAATGTTCTCACTTGGGGCAGATTTTTAAACAGCCCTTTGACACAGTGTGGGAGAAATGCTTCTCAGTGACCATTTCTGAGGAAAGTTGCTTAGAGACTTGGGCCCTAGTGCTGAAATGTGACCAAGTCATCTTCTCCTTCAGGCAAGAGGCTTCTAAACTGAGAGTAAGTATTATTTTTTGTAGCAATTTAATGAAAACTTTTTTTGGAACAAAAATCCTTAAAACGTGATTTTTTTTTCTTCTGTGTCTAATTTGGTACTTGTGGGAATTAGTATTTAGCACACTGAGAATTAACATAAAGTGATCATACATGAGGTGGGAGAGAGTTTATCAATTAGCCATTGCCCCACAAAAATATAATTCTCCACTATATTTTATTTCTTTATTCATTTTTGAAACAAAGTCTTGCTCTGTCACCCAGAGTAGGGTGCAGTGGGGTGATCTCGGCTCACTGCAACCTCTGCCTCCTGGGTTCAAGTGATTCTCCTGCCTCAGCCTCCCAAGTAGCTGGGATTACAGGTACCGTACACCATGCCTGGCTAATTTTTGTATTTTGGGTAGAGATGGGGTTTCACCATGTTGGCCAGGCTGGTCTCGAACTCCTGACCTCAGGTGATCCACCCACCTCAACCTCCCAAAGTGCTGGGATTACAGCTGTGAGCCACCGCGTCTGGCCTATATTTTAAAACGATGTTATGGTTGGACTCATTCTTACCTCTAATAGGAATAATTGCATTCTGCCACCGAGGTCTTATTAGGTCTCCACTCTCTGGTAGCTGTGAGTAGCCCAGCTACTTTAGGAACAAATGGACCATGATTAAACAATTAGTGACAAATCTATGGCACTTTTATTTTTATTATTATTATTTTTTATTTCAATAGCTTTAGGGATACAACTGGTTTTTGGTTACATGAATGAATTGTATAGTGGTGAAGTCTAGGCTTTTAGTGAACTCATCACCCAAATAGCGTACATTGTACCCAATAGGTAGTTTTTCATCTCATGTTCTCCTCCCACCCTCTCCCTTTCTAGTCTCCAATGTTCACTGTACCACTGTGAACATGCAGTATTTGTTTTTTCATTCCTGATTTACTTCACTTAGGATAATGGCCTCTAGTTCCATCCAAATTGCTGCAGAAGATATTATTTCATTCGTTTTATGGCTGAGTAGTAGCCCATGGTGTGTGTGTGTGTGTGTGTGTGTGTGTGTGTATGTGTGTGTACCACATTTTCTTTATCCACACATTTGTTGATGGGCACTTAGGTTGATTTCATATCTTTGAGATTGTGAATTGTGCTGTGATAAACCTATGAGTGCAGGTGTCTTTTTAATATAATGACTTCTTTTTCTTTGAGTAGATATCCAGTAGTGGGATTCCTGAATTAAATGGTAGATCCACTTTTAGTTTTTTTAGAATTCTTCAGACCATTTTCCATATAGGATGTACTAATTTACATACCCACTAACAGTGTGTTAAGTGTTTTTTTTCACCACATCTCTGCCAACATCATTTTTTTTGACTGTTTAATAATTGCTAGTCTGACTGGGGTGAGGTGATATCTCATTGTGGTTTTAATTTGCATTTCCCTGATGATTCATGGTGTTGAGCATTTTTTCATATGTTTGTTGGCCATTTGTATATCCTCTTTTGAAAAATGTCTCTTCATGTTATTTGCCCAGTTTTTAATAGGATTATTTTATCATTTCTTGATGGTTTGAGTTTCTTATAGATTTTGGATATTGATCCTTTGTCAGATGTATAGTTTGCAAATATTTTCTCCCATTCTTTATGTCGTCTGTTTATTTGTTGATCATTTCTTCTGCTGTACAGAAGCCTTTTTAGTTTAAGTCCCATTTACTTATTTTTGTTGTTGATGCATTTGCTTTGTGGTCTTAGTCATAAGTTATTTGCCCAGATCAATATCCTATGGCATTTTTAGATATTCAATATCAAGTTCATAAATATGACACATAAAAAGTAGAATGAATAACAATGCCTAGGAGGACAAATTGCAGAGTTACAATAAAGGTATTATCTAATTGATACTTTTAAATCTTCCTAGAAATTATTAAAAAGTGACTGATATCCTTTTATGAATGTAGTGCTATATATTGCTATCTTTTTTATCCAGATCATTGATATGATTTGTATATTTTATTTTGCTCACTGTCACTGCTTTTCCTTCAGTACTATTAATTTTATTCTATGAATAAATTAGTGAAACATTCACTTATTCATTCAAAACCAGAAAGTGTCATCTTATGCCAACTACTTTGCTACAAATAAGACATGCTCCCCATAGTGAAAGTGCCTTCAGTCTAAGTGGAAGGGTGATTGGGGGGGCAGATCCAAAAATTAGTCAGTACTAGACATCTATTACATTTTGATGTACACTGTATTCCTTTCTTTAGGGAACTGCTCTGTTCCCCAACCCATGTGATTTTTTGGATCTATCACCCCTGCCAAAAGTTGAGCATGTGAATCAAACTGGACAATCAGAATAATTCATGCCTTGAGACTTCATGATTAGTGCCGCATAATGCAAACGTGAACAATCAAAGCCCTTCTGTGCAACTGCTATGGGCAGAGGCAGAGCTGGGGGAAGGGGAGAGGGGGAGAGAGAGAGAGAGGAAAGAGAAATAAAGAATCTTACTTTTTGAGATCAGATGCTCGGAATGGTACCATGTGATTCAGGAGAGGCTGCAGGTTCTCTTGCTGACCTACAGAGAGATTGTGTACTACACTGAAGTGAAGTAGAGATAATCAGATCGAAGAAGTCAGGAGAGAGAGAGGAACACACTTCTGAAGACATCCTTGATAGTTACATGCCTGAAGCCAGTTCTACCCCATAGATTTCCCAGAGCCAAAATATCTCCCATAGTTTTTATTTTTTATTTGTTTATTTTCCATCTTAAATTCATTTGAGTTTGATTTCTATCAGTTGCAATCAAATGGATCTTAACTACAACCGTTAACCAGGTGGACTTTATGAGGAATGAAAGAGGAGAATGATCTGGAATCAGTCCCTTGTCTTCAGTTCCTTCAATGGAGTGGGCAGTGGGGATGGAAAGGAGAGTAGGAATTAAGCCAAAATTGAGGAAGCTAAATTTTGAGAAAAAACGAGGACAATTGTCTATCAGAAGATCAAGTATAGAAAATGATTGTCAGTTTCTGTCTAGCTGCCTTTCGTGGCATAGCAGACATGTCCACCCATCCACAGTACTTCGTAATTGTAGAGCCCCATTTGCTCAGGTGGTAGGTGAGGATCCTTTTATTTCAGGGTGAGATGCTTTTCCATTTTCAGGGGGTGAATCAGGTTTCAGGAGAAGTCCTGGTTTATACCTGTTGCCTGGTATAATTTTCAATATTTCTTTTTGATGCGGAACAGGCGGGCCCCAAAGTGCAGTTTGGCCCATAAGGGTTCTTGGCTTTGCCTAGGAAAGAATTCAAGGGTGAGCTTGTGATAGTGTAGAAGAAAACAGTTTTACTGAAGCAGCAGCTTACAGCTCTGGAGGTGTTACAGCCCTGTGACTGCTCTTGCAGAGCAGGGCTACCCCATAGGCAGTGGACTGAGAGTAACAGCTCAAGGTTGTTTCACAGTTATATTTATACCTCCTTTTAATTGCGTGTAAAATAAGAGATAGTTTTATGCAGAAATTTCTAGGGAAGGGGTAGTAATATTTAGGTTAACAGGTCATTGCTATGGAAAGGAGTGGTAACGCAGGGGGTGTTGCCATGGTAATGGTAAACTGACGTGGGCGTGGTAAACACTGGTGGGCTTGTCTTATGGAAAAGCTGCCTGTGCCCCGTCCCTGTTTTAGCTAGTCCTCAATTTGGTCCTGTGTCTGAGTCCCGCCTCCAGAGTTGAGTTCTGCTTCCTACCTCACTTTCACACTCAAAAGTGTTCTGTCTGGGATGATAAATTTCATGGTCTTTTGATCATGGCCAGACTGCATCAGGCATGGACTCTAAATCAATAGTGATTGGTCTTCAAAGGAAGACTTGGGACCTAACTCTCGTGAGTGAAACGTGAAAATGTTTCTGAGCAAAGCCTCAGTAGTGCACAGATATCTGTTTCCCTCAGAGTACTAAATTTCATCATTTAAAAATATTTGCTAATTTGATCATTTAAAATGAAAACCCTTTAAATTTGAGTTTCTCTACTGGTGCAATTGAATATTTTGTATAATATAGTGAATTTGTTTTTTATTGAACTGTATATTCACATCCTTTCTTTTTTCTATGGGAAACTGCCTCTTACTCAATTTTAACAGATTTCTATAAATTACTTATACAACATTTAGTTTTTCATTACATAACAATTTTACCATATTTTTGTTTGCCTGTTATTTTTTTTTCGAATGTTGGTCTCTTCTTTTTTTAAAAACATGTACAACATGGTTAGTGAATGTCTGAATATATATAATTATATAGAGATGGTTTATTGCTTCTACTGGAATATGTGCTTTTTTTTTTCTTTTTTTCTTTTTTTTTTTTTCTGAGACGGAGTCTCCCTCTATCACCCAGGCTGGAGTGCAGTGACATGATCTTGGCTCACTGCAGCCTCCATCTCCCAGGTTCAAGCAATTCTCCTGCCTCAGGTTCTCAAATAGGTGGGATTATAGGCACCCACCACCACACCCGGCTAATTTTTGTATTTTTAGTAGAGATGGGGTTTTACCATGTTGGCCAGGATGGTCTTGAACTCCTGACCTCAGGTGATCCTCTCACGTCAGTCTCCCACAGTGCTAGGATTACAGGCATCAGCCACCGTGCCTGAGATTTAATGGTCTAAATCAGCTAACATGCCATTTTTATTGGGAAGTATCAAGAATTAATCTTGAAAGATAGTTGCATGTATATAGAGAAATATCTTGAATACTAGGGTAAAGAATTTGTGTATAAGTTGTTGATTAGTAAATGAGGATGAAGATACTACTTTCAGTTCCAGTCTGTTTGAAGTTTCATAGCCAGAGAGACTGGAGGAGCCCTATCAGTTGGTTAAAGAGGATGCACTCCATCCCTTATCCTGGGTCCTTAAAAAGAAACCAATTTTCCACATCCTATGGGGTGATGGGCTCAAACAAGTTTTGTGAAGAAGAAAAAAAGATTGGAAAGCTTTGTGGCACTTGCCATTGGTAATATGGAGTGAAGTTCTGGAGTAGCATGAGCCATGGAAAGGCAAAATGGATGAAGAGATTCATCCTCTGCTGGAATTAATCACTCTTTACTCATGTCCCCTAAAGGAAAGTTATTTTGTAGCCTCTATGCTATAATGCCTCTTTTGCAGTCAATTGTTTACACGTTTCATTTGCTACAAAGATGTGAGCTGTTAGCTTGTGGGAAACAGTACCCAACGGGTTCAATGACTGGCTACTGAGCTGAATTGTTGCCACTATTGTACAAGGCCTCAAAAGAACACCATACATTCTTACCACCCAAGGGTCTCAATGTCCCAGAGTTCCCAATTATCTCCTTATATTCCTATAATTTACCCATGGAACCAGTATCACGCTGCTGTTTTCTTGAACACTGTAGTTCTTTTATATTTTTTAAGTATGCCATGATAGTTAAAAGGGTGGTTTCAGAAGCCCGAGTCCTTTGTTCAAATCACTGCTTTATAACTCTCTAGCTTGGGAAACATAGAAAGTTATCTTACCTCTCTGATCCTTAATTTCTTCATCTGTAGAGTGGGAAAGACAATGTTATCAACCACTTTGTACATCAGGATACTTTCTGCTGAAAGTGGCAGGAAAACCTAGGTCAAACTCATCTACCCAGTGATAAAATTGATCTCACATCAGTGGAAATCAGGAAGATAGCTTGGTCTAGATGCAGTATGATCAGTGGCTCAATAGTGACACTCAATGCTCAGATTTTTCTCTCTTCTGGGACATCTTATGATGTGGTGGCAATGAGATTGCATTAACTCAAGCTGTCACACTCAGGAATATTGGTGTGATATCAGATGAAAGATTATCTCTTTTACTCTATCTTCTTTTTAGAATACAGAAACCTCTTATCAGACTTCCTTTCCTATGTTTTTTAGTAGGTTTGGTCGCATGCCCACGCTTAACCCAACACTGAAAAAAGGAATGGCATTGTAATAATTATCATGAGATAGTCAGTTGAAATGTACTCAACAAAGCAACCACCATGACTGCTATGCATGGTTTGTTGTTGAGTATTAAATGAGATATTGCATATAAAGCACTTCAAACAGTGCCAGGCACAAGTAAGCTCTCAGTGAATCATTATCTATTATTAGCTATGGATCAATTTACTTATTTTTAATAAAATGAAAATAATAGCTATCACTTGATATGTTTCTCTGGGAACATTTTGTTCCAGTGAGCCATCAGACTTTAAACGAAAACAATATTTAATGGTGGATTTGCAGACATCAGTGAGCTGGGTTATTAAGCTATTTTGTGGGCTTGGGGTACTTTCACAGAAGAAATTCTTCAATGAGAAGCATTACATCTTCATAATTTTAGCTTCTATTGAGACAGGGAAGTTAATGAAGCTAACAGGAAGTAGAAAAAGAAAAGCAGAACAAAATTCCTCATCTGCAACTTGGTCACAGCCCCTTCCCTTTCTTTAGCATAGGGAGTTATCTGAGCTTTATGGCTATTGCAGTCCACCAGAGACCTTAGAGGCTGCCTTTTCTCCTAGCAACCCTCATGCTGTCCCTTGACATCCCTTATATTTCCCAGATCCAGAACAACATCAGATAGAGCCCTTTTAGCTTCAGGCACTGGAGGAGGTATTTCTGCAAATAATCACTATTGTTTTTGCATTGTCTCCAACTCCTTCAGAATTCTAATCACAGAATAGAGAAGGAGAGGACAAAGGCCCAAAGGTTTAAGATTGCTTGGTGAAGACTGAAGCAGGAATGTCAGTGAACTGCCTCACAAATCATTCCTGAGGAGTCCCGAGGTGCAAAAACAGATCTGCTCATAACGACTAATGAGGTGTCATGCCATGATTTTTCCCTCCTACTATACATTGTATTTGTCAAGGGGAGAAATTCTGAATAGGGAACAGTTCATAGCTTGACCTCAGGTTTCAGCTCAGGGTCCTAATTTGACTACCCACTTTAAAATACTTCATAAGCATTTTCTTGTGCAATCAATGTACAAGATTGGTTGGGACAAGCCTTAGAGCTTTTTGCATGAGCTCTCCTCACTCAGGGTCACCACTGATAAACAACCATGCAAACTTCTGGGCCTTACTCACGGGAACTTTGGTTGAAAGGGGCGGTGCAGGTGTTTCCATAACCCTTACCTCAAATGTGCCAAGGCTCTGGCGCCTTCAAGACTGGTTTGGGACTCTTACAAGACCAGCCATTCTTGGGGAGGTTTCCAAGAACTTCCTGTTACTAGTCAGGCAAAAAGAGAGATGGAGAAAAAGTAAAAACAACTTCATTTCTTTTTGGGGAGTTCAGCATAAATTTTGCGGTCAAAGAGTCAGAAAATGCCAAGCTTGCAATAAATGTCACCTTTTTGGTAGTGCTGTGGGTGAACAGATGGTTAGTGGGACTTTTGGTGGGAGAGATGGGGGCGGTACGAAGAAAATCTTTCATCAAACCTTTGCAGAATAATTTCAATAAACTATTCCTTGACATCAGCAAATGCCTATCACTTCCAAATTTAATTAGTGGCTTTTCTTTATGGCCTTGAGCTTAGTTGCATAATCATGCACTTATTCTTTCTGATATTTAAGTACCATATTAATAAAGGAAATATATGTAATACATACTTGTGGAATTACTGCTTTCAGCACTTTCTTTGGGATCTTCAAATAGAATACATAAAGATATGGTAAAGGATGTTCTTTGTTATTGCAACATCTCTTAAAAGGCTTATTACTTTTTTTTCCAGGAAGGAAAATAATTTGTTAAGTGTCTTAGCTACTGCTCGTTGAGCTGAAGTTCAAGAAGCACCTATCTTTTTTTTTTTGACAAAGCTATTCAAACTTAGAAATGAATATTTTGCCTCTTTTGCTAGCCACAGTGCTACATTTCAAAGCTCATTGGAGCAATTAATGTACAGGAGTCTCACTGTATTTTAATGCAAAAATAACAGAAGAGAAAGCCAATTCTAACAACTAGTTCAAGACAACATTTTATAGTGCATTTTTAAATGGCTCTCCTGGTAGCTTGGCTGTCTATCAGGAAGAAAACAAACCAAATATTGGTGAGCTTGTTAAACAGAAGTCTACCACCCCCTTGTCTATTTCATAGTCTCCTCCCTTTGAAACACACACACACACACACACACACACACACACACACACACACATTTTCTAATTGTAAATGAGTGGACAGTTTATTTGCAGCTGTGCTATGGTCAAACCAGATGCACAGAAAATAAATACAGAAAAGAGAATGATCCTCTGAAAAACATGTATTTATAAAAGCCTCCAGCAAAGTGCCTCAGTATGAATGTGGCTGAAACCTAAGGGCCTCTTTATCCCTGTGTAATGAAGAAATCACAAACAGTAGACTTGAAAGTATGAACTCAGGCTTCAGGATTATTTAAAATGTTATAAATTACTATAATCACATCCAATATGCATTCATTCACCTACCATACAGTAAATATATATATATATATATATATATGTTGAATTTAAAATATATGTAAGTTACTGTTCAGGAACTGGAGGTGCACAGATGAACATGCATGCTTCCTGATCTCAAGTATCTCCTAGTTTCTCCGCAGGGGTTACAGGAGAGGAGAGAGAAACCCATAATTACAATAGAATATAGCAAATGTAGTGCAGAAATAGGAAAAGTGGGCTCTCATTGTCCAGAATATGGTGAGTGGTCAGCACAGTCTAGGGGTGATAAGAAAATAATTTCTGCAGAAAATATTGTCTCAACTCTGTATTGAAGTATGAGTGAAGAGTTAGTTATACAACAGAGGGTAATAAAGGAAAGAGACTCGAAGCTTCCGGGACAATTTATGCAAAATCCTGGGGTCAAGAATAGCTTGATATGAAAAATTACAAGCAATTGAATGTTGCCTAATGGCACCCATAAAGGAAGGGGCATATTACCAGATAACAGATGCAGGCAGGAGCAGAGCTCAGAAAGTCTCTCTGTGATACTTTAAAGAGCTTGGATTAATCTTGTAGATAATGAGGAGCCACAGAATGGTCTAAACAAGTGTCTGGCATAGCTAAATTTTTGTTCTCAATGAATTATTCTCTATAGAGGTTAGATTTGAACAGCAATATACTAGCAAATGTTTAACAATTTACTGTCTGGCAACAAAAAGTCCTGATTCTAGCATTTGCCAATTTCCATGGTGTAAATACTTTCATTTTAGCAAATTTTAAGGTGCCAATTTAAAGTCACTAAACCCAGAGCTGGGAAGAGAAGAGCATAATTGGATTTTATCCGCTAGTAAAAGTTGATTCCAGCCCATCACTGGATTGGAGGAGCAGATTGAAGAATGAAGATATGTTAGGCCACTTACACAGTTTAGGCAAAAGATAAGATGGGCCTGAACTAAAGCAGAGACAGCTAATGTAAAAGAGAGAGGATGGCTAACCTAGGTGATTTTTTGGATATGGAAGGTGAGAAACAAGGAAAAAAGGGTAACTCCCTGTTTCTACCTTGAGTCACAGGCTTAATTGCTACACAGGGAGGAGGAGGAGGGAAGAATGCTTTAGGTAGAAGATGCAGCCAGGTGTGGAACATCTTGGTGGTGTGTTTAATCAGTGGTGGTACATATGATTCTGAATCCTGGACGCTAAGGGAGAGGTAGGCATTTGAAGAAGAGTTGTTGGTGGAGAGAGTTATCACTCTCTTGGTGCTGATGAAATCATAGGCGAATAAGATTGACTGGAAATGTATAGAAGTAGAAGAGTAGAGGAGAACTGTCTAGCTGTTGTGCTGCAGTATCCTGGTGTGTCTTAGATAGGTTATAAGTACACAGAAATATTGATTCCTTTAACTTTGGGGCTGCTATGGGGTGTCTAGAAATGACAGGGCAGGATTTGGGCCAGCAGAATTTCAGGAGCAATGATAATGGCCTTATCATTCCCTGTTCCTTCATGTCCTGTGCAAATGTTATCTTCTAAGTGTTTCTGGATATAGAAAAACATGAAATTCTAGCATATTTTACAACCCTTGATTATATCCTCACTTAAGGGGGAGATAAAGGAAAATAATCTTTAGAGGGAGACTCAGAGGGAAACATCAGAGAAGGTCAAGGAGAACCTGCAAAGAGTAGTATCAAGGAAACTAAATATTATATTTGCAGAATGAACCTTCTTCTCTCTGGTGATCAATTACCAAAGTATGCCGGTTCATTTTTATATCTACTATCTCCTGCATTTATTCATTCTTTCAGAAATCCAGATAATCACACTTAGGTGTCAACTCCCTGTGAAGTGTCAGGTGCCAGGTTTTTTGAACATTAGGTATTTATTTGGTTCTGACTGATAGCATAGAGCAATCTAACATTGTAGGAAGGAAGAGTACAAATTGGTCTTTGTTGTTTTAGAGACTTAGTGATCGTGTTAGTGTTTCCACTATTTGGGAGAAAGTGCAGATCTCCTCCCAAGGCAATTCACAAAGACCAAGGAGATTCTTTCTGACATTCGGCTAAGAACCCCTTTTATTATTGTTAATATTTTTGAGATGGAGTTTCTCTCTTGTTGCACAGGCTGGAGTACAATGGCGTGATCTTGGCTCACTGCAACCCCTGCCTCCCGGGTTCAGGCGATTCTCCTGCCTCAGACTCCCGAGTAGCTGAGATTACATGCGCCCATCACTATACCTGGTGAATTTTTTGTACTTTTAGTAGAGATGGGTTTCACCATGTTGGCCATGCTGGTTGCGAAATCCTGACCTCAGGTGATCCACCCACCTTGGTCTCCCAAAGTGCTGGGATTACAGGTGTGAGCCACCGAGCCAGGCCAAGAACCCCCTTTTAAATTACTTAATTCATTCAGAAATACTTGAGTACATACTGTGAGCCAGACGCTGGGTTGAGAATTTAGCAAATGAAACAGATAAAGCCCTTGCCCTATGGAGCTCACATTCTGGAAGTGGGACAATAAGCAATTAAATAATGATGGCAGATAGTATGTCAGATGATGATGAGTGATATTGAGACAAATAAAGCAGGAGAGGGGTAGGAATGGCTGGGGAGAAACTACATTTTAAATAGGGTGGTTGGGGAGACTCCAACACTTACTAAAACGTATCAGTGAAGTCTCCTGAGTCATAATGACTAAATTCAACCAGGAACCCGCACAAAAATCGAATGCATTGTTATTTTCCCAGAGGAACTTATTCTTATTTAAGAACTTATTTAAGAAGACTCAAGGGCCTGGTTTTTATATCCCAATTTTGGCTCGTGAATCCAGCTTATTTTGTATTCATATTAGTTAATGGCTAAACCTTTCTTTGCTCAGTGTTCCAGAATGAATACCTATCATCAGTCTGCCATGCGTTGAATAAATGGAGCATTGGAAGTGTCCCTAATAGTCTTTTGGGTCTTGTGGCTTTGAAAGGAGATATTTTTAATATCTTAAAATTTTAACCTCTATACTATCTCACTCATCTTGTATCCTTTTATTTCTGGAAGAAAAAAAAAAAAAGGCCCACTGGCAATTTTACTTTCTCTGTGAATAACTTTCCCCCAGAATCTGTATTTTTCCTAACTGAGAGATGGCTGAAGGCAAATCCTGATTTGCTGACTTTACTCTGCCCCAGAAACTCAGGACATGGCTGGAAAGCTGCTGCTCTTGGGAGTCTTAGGCCATGGGGCATCCGGGGTAGAAGAAGCTGTGGTTATAATGAAGTCCCTCAGGTCCTTTAAACATAATCTCCCTTGAATAGGATTCAAGACCAATTTGTATTGGACTGAATTTGGCAAAACAGATCTTACCAAATAGGTATATTCACGAAAGCACAAATGAAACCAAGTTTGATAACTCAAATCCCACCTGAAACGCTCTAAGGAAAATCACTGAGGATGACATCTAGTGAATCCTTTTGGAAAGTGAATAATTGACACCAAGTTTCTCTTAGTACAAGCACAGATTTATGTATTTGGGGTATGTCTGTAACTGCTATACCTCTAAGGAAAATTTTGAGAACACATGAATTACACACTAAACAATGTGATAATCAATCTTTATTGTATGAGATATTTTCTAGAAGAGTTGTCTCTGCCTAGAAGAAGGCTCAACATCTTTTTCTGTAAATACCCAGTGAATTCTTCCGCTTTTGGAAGTCTTGTGTCTGTTACAACTGAGAACTCTTCCATTGCAGCACAAATGCAGCTATAGACAATATGCAAATGAGTAATGTGTTGCATTAATATTTTATGAATGCTAAAATTTAAATTTCATATAATTTTTGTGTATCATAAATTTTTCTTGCTTTTTTTTCCAAAGCATTTAACAACATAAAAGATATTCCTAGTCTGTGGGCCACACAAAAACAGATGGCAAACTGGATTTGGTCCACAGGGGATAGTGTGATGATCCAAGAGCTAGAAAATTATGTTATGTACTGTTCACACATTATTTCCTCCAGATTTACATGATTATCATTCAGTAGATGTTTGGGACATTGTTTGTACGTCTGTGTATTTAATGGATAAAGTTCCAGCCAGATTTCCAACATTTCCTCTGGGCTTTTGAATGAGTTATGGGACCTTTCTGACTCAGTTTCTTTACCTGTAAAATGGGGAGAATGATACTCACCTCTGGTGGGTGATATAATAATTAAATTATATGATATTTATGAAATAGACAGCACAGTGCTTATACATAGTAACTTAATAAATAAATGTGTCTGTTGGCAGGCGTTTCATATTTCCTCTCACTAGAAACATATTTTGCTCTTGAAGTTTCATCTCTAGAGGGCAGATATGTGGCTTATGAATCTGAGGCTGAATACTAGCCAATATCATCTTTCAGCTTGATGTCATGGATTGTCTCTTTCCCGGTGGTTGTTCCTCTAGCTAGAGAGAAGATTTGTCCCTGTTGGGTATTTCTGGTCATCCCTGGCTTGCCCAAGGAGCTGATAGTACAAACTGGCCTTCCTTGTCTGTGGTTTCTTTAACTTGCCTTCCTCATTAGATTCCGAGCTGTTTAAGGAGACCTCCTGATTTGATTAGCCAATACATCAGTCAATTTCTCTTCAATAGGAACCCTCTTAGTTCCCTTTTACCAATCACAAGGCATATTAGTCAGTTCTTTCACTGCTGTAAAGAAATATCTGAAACTAGGTAATTTATAAAGAAAAGAGATTGAATTGGCTCATAGTTCTGCAGGCTGTACAGGAAGCGTGGCGGCATCTGCTTCTGGGGAGGCCTCAGGGAGTTTTACTCATGGCGGAAGGCAAAGTGGGAGTAGGCGTCTTACATGGCAGGAGCAGGACCAAGAGAGAGGTGGGAGGTGCCACACACTTTTAAACAACCAGATCTCATAAGAACTCACTCCCTGTCACAAGAACAGCACCAGGAGATGGGGCTAAACCATTCATGAGACCTCCACCCCCATGATCCAATCACCTCCCTCCAGGCCCCACCTCCAACACTGGGATGACATCTCCATGTGAGATTTTGGTGGGGACACAAGTCCAAACCATATCACAATATGGCCTGAGATTTTGGTTGCTGTTTGTCATCATTAACTTACAAAGGATATGGTTTGAAGGGCCATTTCTTCCCTGACACTTTGTTTTCTGTCTTCTACATTCCTTGAATATATACATTAGGTCAGTTTTGACACATTTTTAGATAGGGAGGAAAGCTTTTCTAGGGGGTGCTCTCTCTGGATTGGATGCAGAGAATGAATCGATGATGGACCACACAAGTCAATATAACAGCCGGGACTATAGAGAGGAACTATAGAAAATGCAGCTCTTGGCTGGGGGTAGTGGCTCATGCCTGTAATCCCAGCACTTTGGGAGGCCCAGGAGGGCGGATCACCTGAGGTCGGGAGTTCGAGACCAGCCTGACCACCATGGGGAAACCCTGACTCTACTAAAAATACAAATAATTAGCCGGGCATGGTGGCACATGCCTATAATCCCAGCTACTAGGGAGGCTGAGGTAGGAGAATCACTTGAACCCAGGAGGCAGAGGTTTCAGTGAGCCGAGATCGCACCATTGTACTCCAGCCTGGGCAACGAGGGCAAAATTCTATCTCAAAAAAAAAAAAAAAAAAAAAAAAGAAAGAAAGAAAAGAAAATACAGCTCATTCAGGAACCTAGAGGTAGAGCAAGAAGTAGAAAAGTCTGAAGATCTCATAGACACGATGACACCGGCATAAGAGGAAGCAAAGTGTTGACTGCTTTTTATCTTCCACTTCTGCAAGTGGGGTATTTTCCTAAGAGGTGTGGATATATATAGTTTGTTGCCAATATAAGATAAAAATATTACATAGAAAACAAAATACATTGTGCTTGTTATGTTAAATGTGTATATATTATAGAATATATATTATATAGAATAGACAGTAAAGCTAATACCTAGGGGTAGAATAAAATATGAAGTGCAGGTTCCCTACTGCCCAGGGCCTGGGGCAATAAAGATGACTGAAGAGGTGGAAATAGGGACTGCTGTTTTATGGCCACCAACAAGGAGTTGCTTTACTTCAGCATTCTTTCCAAGTTTGCTCACTTCTTTTTGCTGTAGAAATGATTTTAGAGCAGATTCTTGCCACTGACAGCTGGATCATAGTTAAGAATTATTTTCACCAAGCCTATACAGGCTGAACGTCTACTCTCAGACCATGGAAGGCTGTTTCAGCTTTAGTCACCAGGAGGTTAGATCCATAAGCTTTCCCGTTGTCTGTTTCTACCTTCCAGTTCAACCTGGGAAGGATGGATCAGCTGAAAAGTCCTACCTCGTTGGCACTGGGAAAAGGCTCAAGCATAATAAATGCTGAAGTTGCTGGGAAGTTAGCAAACTACCGGGCAACAGAATAATGTTTTGATAAAAGAAAAATGGCTCAGAAAATAACAAATGTTGGCAAGGATGTAGAGAAATAGGAACTTTTGTGCATTTCTGGTAAGAATATAAAATAATGCAGCTGTTATGAGAAGCAGTATGGCGGTTCCTCAGAAAATTAAAACATAGAATTGCCATGTGACCCAGCAATTCCACTTCTGGGTATATATACATCCAGCTGGAGAGCATTATCCTAAGCGAATTAATGCAGGAACAGAAAACCAAATACCACATGTGCTCACTTACAAGTGGGAGCTAAACATCAGGTACTCATGGACATAAAGATGGCAACAATAGACACCGGGGACTGCTAGGGTAAGGGAAGGGTTGAAAAACTAACTGTTAGATACCACGCTCAGAACCTGGGTGCTGGGATCATTTGTACCTCAAACCTCAGCTTCACGCAATATACTCAGGCAACAAACTTGCACATGTACCCTCTGAATTGAAAATAAAAGTTGAAAAAGTAAAACAAAATAATTTAAAAAAGAATTGAAAGCAGGACTTGAACAGATATTATATACCTGTGTTTCTTAGCAGCATTATTCATAATAGCCGAAAGGCAGAAGCACTCCAAATGTCCATCAGTAGGTGAATGGATAAACAAACTGTGGACCATGTGTACAACGGAATATTATTCAGCCTTAAAAAGAAAGGAAATGCTGACATATGCTACAAATGGATCAATCTTGGAGACATTATGCTAGGTGAAATAAGCCAGTAACAAAACGATAGATATTGTATGATTCTACTTATGTGGGGCTTCTAGGGTAGTCAGATTTGTAGAGACAGAAAGTAGAATGGTGATGGGCATGGGCTGGTGAAAGAGCAATGGGGTTGTTATTTAATGGGTATGGCATTTCAATTTAGAAAGGTAAAAGCATGTTCTTGACATGGATGGTGGTGATGGCTGTACAATGACATGAATGTACTTGATGTCTTTGAAGTGTATATTTGAAAAATGGTTAAAACGGCAAATTTTGTGTTGTATTTTACCACAATTTTTTTACAAAGCACAATGGAAGGAAGGGAGGAAGAAAGGAAAAAAAAGGACGGAATGAAGGTGGGAAGGAAGGAAAGAAGGAAAGAATGGCCCAAACCAGCAGATGTTAAGCCACAGTGGAATAGGAACCTTCGTTTCAGAACTAGGCTAAAGCCAAACTTCCCATAGAAAATTATTTCTGTTTAGTGTCTCTGTGAGCTGGGAATTAAATATTTCCCACCATTTCTCTTCTTGGGGCAGCGAGCTGAGCGAAGAGAGAAAAAACAAAAACACTGTGCAACAATTTGTTGGAATAACTTTGTTCTTCAGGACATGAGCGTGTAAAATTGCTGGGTAGAATGTAATACTGAGTGCCACAATGTATGGAACAGATGAACCAGGAAATTCTGTTCTAGAATAATGTGGTCTGCTGAATAATTCAGGACTTTCCAGTAGGAAAAGGACTTGCAAAATGCAAGCATGTTCCCTGGTGTTGGCCGCCTCTTTCTCTATTGCAAACATGCAACTTCCTCACTTCCCCTCAACAGCATAGCTATTCCCAGGTGCACCCTGCTGTCACTTGTCTTTAAGAACATTTTGTTTTATCCTGAAGATGGTATGAAATGTCAATGAAAAGGATGCAGGCCTTCATTTGTGGTAAGAAGATATTATTTTAGTGTTCAAAAAGTCTTTGATCATTTCCAGTGACTTTGACCAGTTGACATAGCCATGAAGTGCAGCCTCGCCACCAGCTTGGAAGGCAACACAGGGAGCAAAGAAGCAAGAGCGCATGCATCCTTGTGCTTCTTTCATTTCTTCCTCCTTTCTCTCATTTTTTTCTTTCTTTTTAAGGAAAGATTGGTTTAAACGACGAATAAATAAGAGTGAAAGAAATGGTGGTGAAGAGAAGGGTGAGGGTGGAGAAAAACACCAGGGTGTTTTTATTTTATTTTATTTTTTCTATAGAGCACTCTGGGAAGTTTTGAAGGGGGAAAAAAGATTTAAGAAGTGATACTTTTGAACTTCAGCCAAAAGCAAGCCATCAAAATGGGACACTGTCTCTTTAAGTGCAAGCCTGCACAAACGAAAGGAAATTAATTAAGTATCCGACGCTGGTTTGGCGCCATGGAAAGAATACACAATCTGGGTCCTGCATGCCAAATCTGAAATGAAAATGAAGGTGATCCGTCATATTTGGCTGTTTTTTTAAAGACAGAATATATATTTTTGAAAGTTGACTAAGCAATTACCCAAATTAAAGAAACTGGAAAAGCAAACAGTGGTAAAAAATGCTTTAATTTTTTATAGGGTAAATTAGTTTTCAAATGTGTGCCTTTTTTAATCTTAATATCAAAGAGAAAGAAAAAAATTAAAAACAAAACAGAGGGTTCCTTAACTCTTTAATGCCGGCATCTAGGAGACTTTATTTACTACCTCTGCCAATGATAAAGTTTCCAAACTTAACGGGGAAATGTAAGAAAGCTCAGGCTCCTTCTAAGCTCAGGAAGAGATGTTTAGTATGTGTTTCTAAATTTGAGATTTCTTAAAGGTCGTATTCCTTTCTTAAGCATGGGTGTCTATGCCCCACTAGCCTTACATGCTGTCAGCAACCAGATGGGTTCTCTCCCTTGCCACCAACTCCTACCCTCTGAGCCACTAAGCTTGGGCCTTGCCATCTGGCAGGTAGGAGCAGCTTTGCTTTGCCATGATTCTGTATTATTCTCTGGCAAAGGCTAAGAGAAGAGAAGAAAGGGCTTTAGATCCAAAAATTTCCACCCTGAGGACAACAGGACATGTACCAGGTGGTCTGTATGGTCAACTAGACTTTGGTTTTGTTCCTTCTTCAGTTAGGAAGAGAACATCAGAGGCAACGTTCCAGCAAACTTTATCTTATTCCCCAACATCCTAGAGCTGTTCATAGTACGCTAGGTGGAAGAAGTCATCAGAAAGAGGTGACTCCTGAAATAAATACAGCATTTATGGAGATTGTTGAAGACAAGGCTATGTTAGATTAGACGCTCTTACTTGCAACAGACAGAAAATCCGTAATAAATGGTCTTTGAAACAAAAGGTAGTTTACTGGCTTTTGTAAGTTGAAATGTCTACCATAAGTTTGGCTTTAACTCCGATTGAATTCAGGGCTTAGGCATGTGGTATTGACGAGAGTCTTCGCTTTCTATTTTTGCCAGTTCTTTCTCACTCTGGAGCTGTATCTTCACTCTTGTAAGGTTACTGAGAGAACGGAAAGCTATGAAACGTCAATCAAAGGCTTTGAAAATTTTGCTGCCCTTGATTGGCCTGATTGGGGTATGTGCCCATTTATGAATTCATCACCGTGTTCAGGGATGTGAGATGGGCATGCAGGATTACCCTGGTTTTATGTTCTGGAAACTAGGAGCAAAATTGTCTTCATGAAAAGTATCTGGGGACAGTGGATTTGCTTTGATTGATTGCTATAAGATAGAAGGGCATATAGTGAGTGGCAAAAGAAGATGGCCTTCTAAGTGAACTTAAACATCATTAACTGTTTTCAATAACCAACAATCACTTCACAACTAGTTCAAAGACTTAGGGATAGAGGCAAAAAACTCCTGGCAGCAAGCATGATGCAGAAGGATGGTTGTTGGAGGGAGTTTGCTGGCAGCTGGCTTAGTGATGTGGCCACCAACCCCTAATTTATTTATATTTATATATGTTTTATTTTTTTGGAGACAGAGTCTCACTTCGTTTCCCAGGCTGGAGTGCCATGGTGCATTGTCTGCTCACTGCAACCTGCGCCTCCTGGATTCAAGTGATTCTCCTGCCTCAGCCTCCTGAGTAGCTGGGATTACAGGCACCTGCCACCACACCTAGCTTTTTTTTGCATTTTTAGTGGAGACAAGGTTTCACCATGTTGGCCTGGCTGGTCTTGAACTCCTGACCTCAGGTGATCTGCCTGCCTTGGCCTCCCAAAGTACTGGGATTACAGGTGTGAGCCACTGCGCCTGGCCTACCAACCCCTAATTGAAATCAGAACACATCTGGCTTTTGTGTATCAGCTTGAACACTCTCTAGATGTGTCATCTTGGCCAAGTGACTTAACTTGTTTGATCCTTGGTTACATCACTTTTAAAACGGGGATAACAACACCTATCTTGTAGGGTGTACTAGTTTCCTAGAGGTGCTGTAAGAAATTACCACAAACTATGTGGCTTAAAACAACAGAAATTCATTCTCTTAATTCTGGAGGCTATACATTCAAAATCAAGGTGTTGGCATGGCCAAGCCACACTTTCTCTGAAGGCTGTGGGGAATAAATTGTTCCATTCTCTTTTCTTAGTTCCTGGTGTTGCCAGTAATCCTTGGTGTTCCTCAGCTTGTAGAGGGATCACTCCAGTTCCCATCTCTGTTTCAGTGTTTTTCCTCTTTGTCCACATCTCTTCTCTTCTTCTTCTTCTTTTTTTTTTTTGAGATGGAGTCTTGCTCTGTCGCCCAGGCTGGAGTGCAGTGGTGCGGTCTGGGCTCACTGAAAGCTCCGCCTCCCAGGTTCTCCTGCCTCAGCCTCCTGAGTAGCTGGGACTACAGGTGCTCGCCACCATGCCTGGCTAATTTTTGTATTTTTAGTAGAGACGGAGTTTCACCGTGTTAGCCAGGATGGTCTTGATCTGACCTCGTGATCCGCCCGCCTCAGCCTCCCAAAGTGCCGGGATTACAGGTGTGAGCCACAGCGCCCAGCCATCTCTTATCTTCTTATAAGGACATCTGACTAAATTCTTTTAAGGAATGAATTCTTATAAGGACTGAATTAGGGCAGGCCGTAATTCAGTGTGACCTCATTTTCACTTGATTATCTCAGTTAAACCCTATTTCTGAATAAGGTCATATTCACAGGTATGGGGGCTTAGGATTTCTACATATGTTTTTTGGGGGAAGCAATTCAGCTCATAACATACAGTTACATAATAATCATGTGAGATGATGCATTTAAACATCATTGTCCGCTAATGCTCCCCAGCCAGCTATTCAAAGCTTGCAGTGTTAGGATAAGACAGTGTTAAAAAATGTATTTTACGATGTATAGCAAATATATAGACACTTGCTCAAAATGTAAGTATAACCTCAAAAATTTGTTTTAAACTGAGCACAGCCATGTAAACAACACCCAGATCAAGAAATGGAACATTGCTAGGACATAGGATCATAGACTAAGCATATGTTTAGCCTCCTTGAATAAGACTAAATGGTATTCCAAAGCAGTTGTACCAATTTACACTCCCAAAGCAAGGTATACAAGTTTCAGTTGTGCAACATTCAAGAGAGAAATTTTGTATTTCTTCTAGTCTTTTCCTGTTGATGTCTGAAACATCTTATCAAGATCTGTAAGAAGGTACTAAAGAAAATCCTAGTTTAGTTCTCTCCTCTGATCAAAAATTAATAAAAATATAGGAAAATCTTGGCTTAACATCTCTTCTGATTAACAAATGAGGGATGGACTGCCTAATGTGACTTCTGGAACACAAGTCAAGGTGGTCTTTATGGACTTCTGCAAATGTAGATACTTCCCTCACATCACTATGTGGCTTATCTGGTTTCCAGGAATTTAAGGTTCTTGGGTACTTGATGTGTTGTGACATTTAATTTGGATATACATCTTTATTTAGACCTGGGAATAAGGGACATAGAATATATTAATGCATTCATAATAGATAACTTGAGGGTCTGAGGTCCACAGAAGCTCCATAAGTTGCCCAAGGTCAGCTAAGGAGTGTCAGTGACTGAGTTGGAGGCTAAAAATTTGTATGTAGCCACTGATTTTCACACTAAATGTTCATATGTTTCTATTTACTTGAGTATTTTCATATATGACCCAAGGGGTCACACAATTGTTAAGTCAAGGAAGTTTCTTTCTTTATTGTCATTTGCTAGAATAATCTATGCTGATAGTTGAAAATATAAAAGCTATCAGCACTTTGTCATCCAACACTGCTACTATTCTTTATAGCTACTTGATTCAGCATCCAGCTAATCTCTTCTTCGTTTTCTTCCAGACTCTGATTGTGTTAATCCTCTCTCTCCTACCCCAGAAACCTTATGGGGAGCAAGATTGTTTTCATCTATCTTTTCCAGAAACTGCAGGGACTTCAAAAAAAATCATGATTGCCAAAAGGACTTTAACTGTCTTGAACCATAGAAAGAACCAACAAAGGACAGAATTTAAAACAGGTCCAGTTACAGACTTCGAATATGCTCCCTCTTAAAAGTACAATGTATGAAGCCTCTGAGGCTTCTTGGAAAGGTCAATAACTTTGAAATCGATATAGCTGAGTTCAAATCCAGGATTTGGATTTGCACCTTGGACCTTTTAGAGCCTCTATTTCTATCATTTTATAATGATGATAATGTTGCAAGACTTAGAGATAGTAAATTTCAAAACTCAGCCCAATGTCTTACACTAAGCTGTAGACATCATTATTGGTATTATTACCTATTATTGAAGTAAGGTATATTCAAGACACATTCATGTACTTTATTATCAAAGTAACATGTTTGTTAAGCTATGTAGGAATTCTCTAAAACAATTAAAGAAGAAGCAAGAACAGGCTTTTTCCTGAATACTTAACACTTAATGCAATATTAGCACAGATGTTGGAGGAACCACAGCCTGTTTGTAAGTACACTTTCAAACAGAAAAGTGCCAGGGCAGTGGTTCTCAAGCACAGATGAGTCTCTTCTATGGCTTTAAAAACATACAACACTCTGAGCACTTTCCCTGAAATATTGATGCGTATTTTAATATGGTGCTCAGTTCTGGAGCCAGACTGCCTGTGTGTGGATTCCAGCTCTCCCATTACTAGCTAGGTAACTTTATGGTGTTATTTAATTTCACGGCTCCGGCTTCCCCAGCTTCCCCAGCTTACTCTGTATACGCAGGTTACTCTGTAGCATAAAGAGAACACTGGCACTTGCCCATTACATAGGAAGGACTCAACAAATGCTTGCTCTCATCAAGAGGTAGGAGTCTGTATTAAAAATGAAAAACAGAAACAAAAAATTCCCTGACAAATTTGTAGTTCAAATTTGTTTGCGAACCACTGACCTAGTGACAGAATGTAATATTGCATTTTGGGTAAAAATCTCATATCCCAGATTGTAACTTCTTAAATTCTTCACTTTTTCTGAGATCTTAAAAAAACCCCAAAACTTATGGGTATAAAACTGAATGAGATATATCTTTGTCTTGAGAAAAATTAAATTATATATATAGTTTTGAATACACACACACCTTTCTGTTTGTAAAAAGCATTGATCCATATGTACTTCTGTTTTATAATTAATTACACTGAAATTGCCTCCTTATAAATAAATAAGAATGTGAGAAACTGGGGTAGATTTCAGTTTACAAGGTCACACCTCCCAGAATCCAGAAAATGCTTTTTCCTAACAGTAGAGGTGACTTAACCCACATGACAATTGCACAAGTTTTTAGTACCAGTCCTGATCTTTGCATTAGGGATTAAAGAAGCTCCAGCTTAATATTTGAAGTATTGGCATCATGTCCTCTCTGTAGCTTGTCTGGCTCGGAACTTGTGAATTTTTTCTGATGACTACTTCAGGCTTTGTTCTGAAACAGCTCTTTCTGTGGTGCCAGATCTGGTAGACCAATTTCTAGTTCGGTTTCCATGTTTAAGTTCTCCTTGTTTCCTGCCTCAGAACCTGTAGAGTCTCCATAAATTGGTTTTCAAATTGCCAGTGCTCTTTCCTGCAGTGCTGATGGGGAGGGACCTCAATCTATTCACAGATTTCCCTGTCTGTCTGGATTTTTCAAGATTATCTGCTTACACATCCACAGGCTTCATGTTTTATCTCCAATAAAAAAAAATTTAGTATTTTGAGTTTTCTCTCTTTTTCATGTGATCAGTCTAGGTTAAGTTTTGTCAATTTTGTTGATCTTTTCAAAGAATCAACTTTAGTCTTTGTTGACTTTATAATTGTTCTATGTTTAATTTCATTTATTTCTGTTCTATTCTTTATTATTTCCTTTTTTCTGATTCTTTGGGTTTAGTTTGTTCTTGTTTTTCCAGTTACCTAAAGTGGAAGGTTAGGTTACTGGCTTGAGCCCTAATTTTTTTTTAATATAGGAACTTACAGACATAAATTTCCCCCCAAGCACAGCTTTAACTTAAACCTGTAAGTTATGTTGTATTTTTGTCTTCATTCATCTCAAAGGATGTTCTAATTTTTCTAATAACTACTTCTTTGAAACATTGGTTATTTATGAATGTGTATTTACCTATTTGTAAATTTCCCAAACTTCCATTTGTTGTTAATTTCTAATCTAATTGTATGTAGTTAGATAACATATTCTGTATGATTTCAATCTCGTAAAATTTATTGAAGATTGTTTTATGGCCTAGCATATGGAGAATATTCTGTACGTACTTGAAAAGAATGTGTGTCTGCTGTTTTTGAGTGAAAGGTTCTATTAGATCTCTTAAGTCTATTTGTTTTAGGGTGTCGTTTAGGTCTTCAATGACATTATCTTCTGTCTAGTTGTTTTACCCATTATTGAAAGTACATACTGAAGTCTCTAATCATGTCGAATTGTCTATTCTCCCTTCAATGCCGTCATTGTTTGCTTTATGCATTTTGGTGGCTCTGTTGTTGGTGAATATATGTTTATAAGTGTTATGTCTTCCTGATACATTGATCCTTCTATCACTATAAATTGTCTCTCTTCATAGCTAGTAACATTTTTATTTTAAAATTATACTTAGCCTAATATTTGTATATTAGTACATATTAGCGTATCACTTCAGCTCTCTTATGGTTGCTATTGGCATGATATATTTTATTTTCATGATTTTACTTACATCTTTGAATCCAAAGTATGTCTTCCATAGACAGCATATACTTGGATTTTATTATTGTTGTATTCCCCAGTGTGATAATCTTTGCCTTTTGATTAGATTGTTCAGTCTATTCATGTTTAATGATATTAATGAAGTGATGAACTTTAGTTCTGCCATTTAAATTTTTGTTTGTTCTGCCATTTAAATTTTTGTTTTCTACATATCTTCAGAATTTTGTGTTCCTTTGTTTCTCCTTTACCTGTTCCTTTTGCAGCAAGTGGAAAATTTCCAGTAAAAATTTTAATTCCTTTAATAATTTTAATACTATTCAAAAATTTACTTGCTTTGTGGTTGGTCTAGGGTTTACAATATATGTCTTAATGTATCAGAATTTACTTCAGACTTATAGTAATTCAATTCCAGTGAGATACAGAAACTTTACTCCTATATAGCTGGATATCTCCATATAATTATTTCTTCTGTGCTGTTATTGTAATACACTATGTGTGTGTGTGTGTGTGTGTGTGTGTTATTCAGTATATTGTTATATGTCTTTTAGAGAAGTTGAGAGAAGAAAGGAGAGCAAGTATGTATTTATGAAGTTTGTTGTAGGAACCATTTTATTTACCATTTCTGGTTCTCTTTATTTTTCTTCTGTGGATTTAATTTATCATGTGGTATCATTTTCTTACTCCAGTAGGGCTTTGCTCCTATTCACCTCCTTTATGCTATTATTGTCTGATATGCTACACTTCTCTATATTATAGTCCCAACACACTTACATGCATATTATATAATGCAATTGCTTTTTAAATCCAGGTATGATAACAAAAAAGAGGAAATATACAATAATATTGTTTTTCATAATTACCCATATAATTAGCACTACTGAAGCTCTTTATTTTTTCCATGTAGAATCAGATTACTTTTGTGTGTTACTTGCTTTCAGCCTGAATAATTTCTTTTAATATTTTTTATAATGCAGACCTACAAGAAAAAATTTCTCAGTTTTTGTTTCTGTTGAACTGTCTTTATTTTACTTTCTTGTTTGAATGATGTCTTTACTGTATAGAATATTCTTAGTTGGCATTCCCCTCCCTACCAGTACTTTGAATATACGATTCCAGTGCCTCTGGCCTTCATGTTTTTTGATGAGAAGTCAGCTGTTATTTATTGAGTTTTGTGTGTGTGGGTGTGTGGGTGTATATATAAGGTGTGTATATATAATGTGACTACATATACATATATAATGTGTCTAAGAGTGGTAGTCTTTGGTAATGATTCTACTTGGAGTTCATTGAGATTCCTAATTTTCAGATTAATGATTTTCATCAAATCTGGGGAGTTTTTAGTCAGTATTTCTAAGAAAATATTTTTGTTTCTCTCTCTACTCTTTATTTGGTACTCCCATTTCATGTTTTGAGGCTTTATTGATTTTTCTTCATATTTTTCTTTCTGTTCTTCTGATTATGTAATCTCTCTTAATCTAACTTTACATTTGCTGTTTTATTTATTTATTTATTTTTCTTCTGCCAGCTAAAATGGTGCTGGAGACATATGAGCCATGCTAGTAGCCTATCTCTCATGGGGTAAAAACTTTAGCCCTACACTGCTGATTGTCTGCAGTAAATTTTTTATTTTGGTTATTGTACTTTTCAATGACATAATTCTAATTTAGTTCTTTTAAAAAACAATTTATACTTGTTGATGTTTTCTATTTTATAAGCCATTCTCATAAAACCTTCCTTTACATGTTTAAACATGGTTCCCTGTGGTTTTTGGAATGTATTTATGATAATAGCATGAAAGTCTTTGTCTGCCAAGTCTAACATCTGGGCCCACATATATATATAGTTTCAATTATTCACTTTTATTTTCCGTGTATGCATCAGATGTTTTCTTTACATGTCTTGTAGTTTCTTTTGTTGAAATGGACCTTTTGGATACCAAACCTCACCTTGTCCCCATGGACTTGTTGTTCTTGTTTGCTTGTTTCTTTGTTTATGGACTTAGCTAGAACAGTTGCGGAAAGTAAATTTCATCCACAGCATAATGCCTCTGGTGTCACTCCACAGAGAGTGCAGCTTTGGGCATACGTGCAATCTTTCTGACCAACAGAGATAAGTGTGATTCTACCCAAGCTTTCTTTGCCTATTCCTTTTCCCAGCCTTCCTCTTAAGCTTCTTGCTGGTATGTCTATTGATGTTATATTCAGCTATTATAATTCACTATTTGCAAATTGATTGCTGTATTGTTTTCACCAAAACTCTGTGACTTAAATTGTTCCACAGTCCGATCCAATTAAATTCAGGCATCTTTTTCAAGTTAGGGTGTTGCTAGACTTTGATGTTTGCCCCAACTCCAAGCCTTCTAGTGGTCTACTGTTTCACTTACTCCTATCATGAAGCTATCAGTGTCCTCTCTATTGCTCATTACTAGTATGTCTATTGCGAGTTTCCCCATAGTCAGTTGCATATAAACTCAATGCCCTTAGGAAGAGTTTCAGAGCTCTCCGTTCTTATGGACTGCCTATCCCCTTGAGCAAAAACTGCACAACTGCTCTGGAGTTGGTAAAAAGGACAGCATCACACTTCTTCAGAAGTGACACTCCTTCATTATTATTGGAGCACTGGTCAGGTATGGTAGCTCCTGATCTTCTCAGCTTGCCCCTTCCTCTGTGAAACCTTTGCTTTATGAGCAAGCTGTGGTGGGGACAATGAGAGCCCACTATTCTTAGTCTGCAAAATCTAGAGTACAATTTCTACCCATTGTTCTCCAGTTCTTTCAACCCTTTCTGCCTGGAATCATTCTGAAACATGGTGCTGGGGGCATATGAGAGATGCCAATAGCCTGTCTCTCCTGGGGTAAAACTTTAATCATAGACTGGAGCTAAAGGGGGAAAGGAAGTCCTAACTTTATGGTCATCAATGCAGAGTAGGCTCCTATCACACTAAAATTTGGAGTTGTGGGGAGGGAGTTCATGACTCAAATGCACACATGACTCTTATTGTTTTTACTGAGATTTATTAAAGTTTTTAAATCAAATGTTTACTTTTAGAGACATTACATTAAAAATAATTTTCACCAGTTAAAAGTTATTTCTCTGAGGAGAGAGTCTGCTAGCTTTTTCTACTGCTCTTTCAGAAGTCCCAGCTCCTCTGTCTTCTTTTTCTGACATCATTGTAATTTCATTTTTGACCTGATGCTACTTATTGATCTTTGCCTGTTCTACTTTATTCTGACATTGGGAACACTTGAGTATGTGCTATAAGAATAGGAATGCTGAAGGCAACCACAGGACTGTGTATTAAACCTAATGCACATTAGGTCAGATTGCCTTCTCGCCTGAGGGAGGGGTGAGGTTTTCCTACCCCATCTCTATTAAAAGCCCAAACAGGAAATGCTTACCAACCTCCAGAGAAATATACACTTAGCACAATCTCTATGACTGGTCTTATGCTACAGGATTTTCCCAAGCAAATAGCGTCACTGAATTTCTCCAGGCTTCTGTCCATAGAGTATCTATTTTACTTCATGTTTTGACTGGCCAGAGATGGAAGGGACAGTTTAGGGGACTTTTTATGGAGGGGAGATTAGATACATGTTGTTGGAGGAGGAGTTTCATAAAGAGAGGAATCCATTGAGAAACATTTCAAAGCCACTGGCCCAGGATCACCACAGAAGGTCCAGATCTGACCTTTTTCCTCTCTAGGGAACAAAGGAATATATATATCAATATTATTTTTGTATTGATTCCATCTTCTCCAATAACTAAAAGTACAAGATTGATAAAAATAGAATTAAGTCAATGGATTATGAAGATATAGAAGTTCAAACCTGCGGGAGTATGTAATAAAATGGGTATGGGGGAGATGAAGAAAAGGAAGGTGTCAAGAATTACCTAAATGTCTATGATTGTTCAACAGTGGATCAAATTTCTTATGGAGAGAGTGTAGGGAGAAAAAAGAAAGAGCCTAGGATAGACTTTTGAATATTAACAAGGAACTAAAAGCTTCTGTTGAAGAAGATGAGCCTATGAGATAATTGAGACATGGAGAAAAGGGTGAAAGAAAGAAAATTAGGAGCTTCTGGGAAAAGATAATGTTTAATTTAAAGAAAGTAGTCGACGGTATGATTTGCTCTTAAGAAGTTATAGCAGGAGAGGCTGAAAAGGACATTTGATTCTGTGACATGGATGTCATTGGAGACCGTAGTAGAAAGTGATTGTGAAAGGGATGGAGCCGAGTTTTATTAGAGATTTGAGAAATGAATGGGAGATGACTTTGTGGAAATAGGCACGTGTAGGCAAGAGATGACTGGTGCAAACTCCTTTTTCCTTTTTAACTCAGGAGAGACATTAAGAGAGCAGAAAATTACTAAAGAAATAAGGAGATAATTCACTATGGAGAGGAAGTTCATCACAAGAAGGAATGAGGGCAAGACTAACTCATCTAGTGCATGGGACTGAGAACAGAGTAAAACACTGGAACTAGACAGACACCCTGGCCCTGGTTTTTATTACCTGTGTAACTGTATAAGCAATACACTTAGTCTCTCTGCACCTTGGTTTTCTTGTTTGTAAAGTGAGAGTAATTAAACCTATATTGAAAGGTTCCCATGACACACAAAAAGAGGGATCACAAAGGAGACCATGTATATCAATCACCAGGTGCATAATGTGTTAATAAATGTTTCTTTATCCAGTCTATCATTGATGGGCGTTTGGGTTGGTTCCAAGTCTTTGCTATTGTAAATAGTGCTGCAGTAAACATACGTGTACGTGTGTCTTCATAGTAGAATGATTTATATTCCTTTGGGTATATACCCAGTAATGGGATTGCTGGGTCAAATGGTATTTCTGGCTCTGGATCCTTGAGGAATAGCCACACTGTCTTCTACTTGTAACTTGCAACTAAGGATAGATGTTATATTGTCTCTTTTATATTTATCAAATAAATGTTAGTTGACTTGTAAAAAATAAAGTTTCTTCTTTTGCTCAACTTTGCTTACCCTATTTTCTTCCAAATGTATATGAATGTCTTACTAATGTTTTGTTTTGTGCATAAATACCTTTGCGGGAACACTGTTTATTCAATTAAAGTCATTGAGACAATACATACTATTTATTGAGCATCTAGGTGAACAAAGGGAATCTCTGAGGGGCTCACAAATGCGCATGACACAATTAGATCACATTTAAATAGAATTACTCCATCCCATTGTAGAAAAATAAAGCTATATGGGAGAGTATAGGAGCATATATAGCAGACATTTTGAATCTAGGCTACAGAGGTTAGTGTTCTGGGGACAGCAATGGCTGTGATGGAGACAGAAATGCATTGATGTGAGAAATTTTAGGTGGGAGAGTAAACAGAGGTGGAAATAAACTAGAACCAGTTGGTGAGTGGGAAGGATGAGACAAATATAATGCTAAAAGTTTTGGCTTGGGTGTCTGGAGAGGTGGGTAGTTTCATTCCCCGAGAATTGTCTTGTTGCCTCGTTGAGTGGCCACTGTCACTACAAAGCTGTATGTTGAGCAGAACAAAACATCAGTAACACACTCCATATAACTTGGAGAATTTCTGATGATGGTGCAGAACTAAGTGAACTTTTGGTGTGATCTGCACAGGAGAATATGATATATATGAAAAGGTCTATAACATTTTTAGGAGTAAAGCACTAAAGTATTCCAGAATCAATGATTGCTATAATCAGTTTCACAGAAAATGCTTCTATGAATATTGCCAATCGTGCAAAAACTGTGCATTTTGACATGTGTCACTTCTAGAAAAAGTTATTACAGGACATTAGTGGCCTTCCTCATGTGCTCTCTAAACATCGAAAGCTCCACTATGGCAACTGCCGGCAAACAGCAGGAACAACAGCAGATTCCAGCAAGTGCTTTTTCTTCTGTCTGTGTTTTGACTGTCATAGTTTCAGCTTGTAACAAAAGGAGTAGGTTTTCCTGTGGCTAAATGGACCTGGGAGGTTTGAAAAGTAAATCATTAAAGGGTTTCATGATGAGATTGAAATATATTATTGATATGTTGAACACCACATGGGTATAAAACAAAAGCAATGTAAACAGAGAATGTCTCCCCACTGACCCAAGTGAGGAATTTCCAGATGCCGTCACAGCGGGTTCCGTGGATGGAACCTTTGCTGATTCCAGAAGGTCAAACTCGTGACCTTCTCTGGACACACACACATGCACCCACACTAAACACATGAATACACACACACACATATATTCACATTCTTTTAAACTCAGCACTGTAAACTTCTGATAGCATCGGTTGCTTTTCTGCCTTGATGGAACTTCTGAACATTTATTTTGAGTTTTGCAATAATAGATGTGATTTGAAGAGACAGAGAATTTCCCATCCACCAGAAGAAGAGTAATTTCTATGTTAAAGTCACGATCAATCACACTGAGATTCTTTTTTATTAATGCTTTGTAGGCTAAGAGAGCATCGGAGCTGGAGGGGAAATCTGAGAGCACACTCTTAGTTTAACAGATGTAAAGTAGTAGAAGGTAGAAATGACTTATTATACCTAAACTCAGACAACTGGTCAGTGGCAGAGCACATGTGAAAAACAGTCTTCTTGTGCCCTTTCCATGCTCATTTTATCATAATGTCATATCTCCTTTTCAGTTTTCCTCAGTGATGATCTTACAGACAGTATGAATAATTCCAAATAGAGAACCATTTGGGAATCAGTTATTCATTCCTTTTGTTTTCTCCATAAATGTTTTATGTTGGGTTATGCTTTCTTTAGACTATTTCAGTTTCTGAGTAATCTATCATGCTGGGATCTATGTTCCATCAGCATACCATGTGGCAGAGGAAAAGCAACCCAAAATTCTTTAAAAATAAATTTTACCTATAGAGTTCAATATTTTAGTTTTCTGGGGTTAAGCATTATTATTTTTCTGTTTTATTTGCTAGAATACGCAAGCTTTGATGCATGTTCTAATGAGGGTCACTACACCTCAGAACTCTATGCTCTTTACATCATACCTTTTATTTTAAGTATGCTTATTTTCTAAAATCTACTTTGTGGCCAAGTATGTACTTTATGCATAAAAATAAAAACCCACAAGGTTGTAGAAAGAGCATGGCTTTTGTATGAGTAAACCCAGTTTCAAATCCTAGTTCCTTCACTTCTCAGCTCTGAGAAAATGATCTCTGTTTTCTCATCAGCATCATTTGTTAAAGTGTGGATCCCATAGCATGGCTATAAAGACAAAATAAAATAATGCATGTAAGGTCCTTGCACAATACAGGACATTGGTATGGGAAATAACAAAATAATTTAAACAGTTCATTTCAGTTTGCTCACTTTAATATTCCATTACAATTTTATAAGCCACACTTGGGCTCCATGAGTTTTACGTAAGTCATTCTGTTATGAGAAATTAACAATGAAAATGCTTTAGAAAAAAATTACCTACTGTAAAGGAAAATGAAAGGTGATAGTGATAGTCATTTTGGGGGCATTTATAAAACGATTACATTATTTTTCCAACATTATTCTAGTCGTGAGTAATACATATGCAAAGATAATTTCTAAAGGAATGGTAAAGCCTCCTCATTCAACTCCGTTAAACACTACAATCCTTAAAACTCATGGCTTTACAGGAGGCTGGTCAGTTCTGATGATAGCAGTGTTCTCTTCCATGCTCTGTCATGGAGAATTTTGACCAGGTAAAGGACCATGGCTGGATTGCAGAGCTTAAGACATGGTACATCGCCTGATGGTGAAATAATAGCTCTAAACTTTAAGAACTTGGCAGCCCTCTCAACTATCCAATCGAAACCTCTTATTTTACAGCTATGGACATCAGAGTGCACAAATTTCACTTTAAAAATCAGTAAATAGATTGGCATCTAGCAGAGAAATGTTCAATAAATACTTGTTGAATGACACCAAGTATATGTCTTTTGTACAAAAGTATTAGGTTGGTGCGAAAGTAATTGTGTTCTTTACCATTACTTTTGTACCAACCTAATAGATTGTTTTAAGACTAAGCAGATTAGGAAAATTGAAATGATGGCTCTTTGAGATTTTAAAAATTGCTATCTTCAGTTTTAATTTCTTTGGAAATTCACTTTCATTTTCCTTGAGTTTAACTTTCTTTCAACATGTTGATAATAGACAATTAATTCCAAAACAATACATTAAATTGTTCTAAGAAAGCTGGCTTTTTTTTTCTTTAAGTTCCTTACTGAGACAGCTGTGGCAGACAAATGCTTCCCTGTTTCTTTTCCTTTCTTTTTTCTTCTCCTTTTTATTTTTATTTTTTTTCTCTGCTCAGGGATGAGTGATTGTTTCCTTCCACAAATTAAAATGAATCTCAAGGTCAGAGCATGCATTTATTTTGTTCTTTTTCTCTAAGATGATCAGTTTCAATACCATTTGCAGTTTTTGTGACTTTTTTTCAATTATTGATTTATACAGTTTAGGATCTTGCTTTGGGTCCTTTTATGCAACAGGTTTTCAGAGTGGTCAAAACAGAAGCATAAAGGGGCTGTTTTGCGAGTATTTTAATCTTAGCCCAAAGCATTTGGAAACTTCTGAGTGAATATGTTCTGCTAAGTATTATAATCTTTCTCTAACAATTTAAAATTTTAAGCACCAGTGACGTGATATTTACACACCTAGACCTAGACTGCCTCAAAGAGGAAATGAGTATGTCTACATGTTCTTCACTGAAGCTGCATTATAACTGAGGGGCTAAGCAATTTCTATCATGTGCAATGAAATCCTGACCTGATCCAAGGTCCAATTATGAATTCTGAGTCACAGGCACACAAGTAATATCACATGAGGCCTTGTAGTTGGTTAATATTTTCTTCTTAGAACATGCTTTTACCAAAGAACTCATTCTTTTGTTGAGTTTCTGAACCAAATTCAATAAATGTCTTTAGATTTCAATAATTACTTAAAAGCAGGGTTAAATTTTAGAGACAGAAATATTTGGATCTTTCTTCCTTTGATGGTTCCAAGATCATGCTAAACAATATAGACAACCTACAGAATGATTCTTTACATGAATACTTCCAATTATTAGTGTGAATGAGATAAGTAAAATTTCTAAATAAAAGAGTGACTCTCTTAGGTAAGTTTTTACTTTTGAAAAAATTCTGTATATTAGCAATCATATAGTCATACCGATCCTACATTGGCAAAGATTTGTTTGTACCTAGGATAAATAATAAAAACCCTTGAGTAGATTAATGGATACTGTATTCCTCTTTTTTTCTTTTTCTTTTTCCTTATGTAAATTGTCAACAGTACATCCTATGAGAAACTGGAGAAGCAGTGAGTAGCCCAGAGCCAATAATTACCTTTTCTCTTTGTTTACACCAAGGTTCAGAGGGCATTTCTTTTTCTTTTCCATTGAAAAAAATCCCTCCTCATTCTCCAAAACTCGTTAATAGTAAAAAATAATCCCCAGTCCAACTAATATCGTTAATAAGAATGGAAAGCACTGGACATCAGCCCCTCTTGCCCAATGCCTTCTTTTCCTTCCCAAGTGAGGAATGTTAACTGCATTGTGCTGTAATGAGCCATGCCCAAACTACTGTTTTCTGGTCCACTGTTTATTTGATTTCTTTATTGTAATGAAACTCAGATGGTTGGTGTTTACACTAGCAGTGTGCTGGGAGATCACGCTGGGAACCATTCTAATTAGCTGCAAGTGGGTCTCAGAATTAGAATGGAGGAAAGAACAAATTTTTAGTAACGACTTTAAATTGAAGCCCTCATTTATTTTCATTATGGCCAGACCAGAAGCTAGCTAATGTTTCCCAGGTCTTTCCGTGCAAGGCCTGTGGCTCAGCTCACTGGAGAAGGATTCAGCTATTTTAGATGCACTTCAGCGTACATTGCTCCAGGAAAGAGAATGTTTAAGGTAACACTGGAGCAAGGAGCCCAGCTGGAGTTTTCAGAGCAGAAGATGAAGTGGACACAAGCAGAGAGCAAGCTCTCTGCCTGACTCTGAATTCACTTCATATAAAGGATTATGTTTCCTGAGCTCTGTTCTGAAATCACCTTTCTCTGCGTGGGTGTATTCTCAGAAATGAAATCTTTTGGTGTTCATAGCAAAATGAACAGTGAATTATGTTTTACCATTCAGCACACAACGGAGACCTCAGTCTAACAAGAAAATGTCTTGCCCTAATGAGCCAGTGTTTACATATCTTCTGGGTTTGTGGTGTTCTTTCTTTGGAAGCAACTAATTGGTCAATCATAAGAGATTTTGAACTATCTAGTCAGACTTCATGTAGAGAGTACCTCTAACACATGCTCTGTAGCATGAAACATCATTTTAATGGTTACAACATGTGGCCAGATGCATTCCATGGCTTATTTTGTGATGTAATTCTAGCATGTGAATTGGTAAAACATGATTTATAAAAGCTACAATAGTCTTACTGGAGTAATCAACAGTTCTTCTCTGTAGAGGCATCTATGTCTACGTGTTCTTGTGTGCTTTTTTTTTTTTTTAACCTACCAACTTTGGGGGTGACTTTAATGAATTTTAAAAGTAGAGTTTAACATATTTGCTGTTTGCTATATAAAAATTAAATTGTGTTTTGCAGAAAATAGTGCAGTATTTGTAATCTTGTTCTGGAAGACTTTTTTGTTCTTTTCTGTTCTTTCAAATGTGATAATGCTAATAACCTGACTTTTTTTCTGAATGGGAGAAAATACTTGGAAATCATATATCTAATGCAGTACTTTTACCTAGGGCAAGCTTGTCCAACATGTGACCCAAGACAGCTTTGAATGTGGCCCAATAGAAATTCATAAACATTATGAGATTTTTTTGGTGATTTTTTTTTGCGATTTTTTTTTTTTTTTTTAGCTCATCAGCTATTATTAGTGTTAGTGTATTTTATGGGTGGCCCAAGACAATTCTTCTATGATGTGGCCCAGGGGAAGCCAAAATTTTGGACATTCCTGGCCTGGAGTATATAAAGAATTCCTACAACAAAATGATTAAAAGACAACGCAATTAAAATGGGCAAATGATCTGAATATTTTTGCAAAATAAAAATACAAATATTTAATCAGAATATGAATGAATTTAATATATACATATTTAATTAGAACATAAATGAATTTAAACATGAAATGATGTGTGATATCATTAGTCACCAAGAAAATGCAAATCCAAGCCACAGTAAGTTATTCACTAGGACTGTCATAATCAAAAGGCAGATAATGAGAAATGTGGTTGAGGATGCAGAGAAATTGAAACTCTCATATTCTGCTGATGGAAATGTGAAATGGTGCAGCCATTTTGGATAATAGTCTGGCAGTTTCTCAAAATGTTAAACACAGAGTTACCATACAACTCAGCAATTCCACCCCAGGTACATAACCAAGAGAAATAAAAACATATGTCCACATGAACACTTGTACATAAATATTTAACAACATTAAGCACCAGAAATGTTAATCAACTGATGAATAGGTAAACATAATGTACATTCATACCATGGAATATTAACAATAAAATGAATGGAGTTCTGATACATAATATAGCATAGATGAATTTTAAAAATATTTTACTAAGTGAAAGAAGCTGGTCACAACCCATATAGTATGATTCCATTTATATGAAATGTCCAGAAAGGGCAGATCTATAGATAGAATAGAGATAGAGAGTAGATTATAGAGAGAAAGTTGATTAGTTGTTGCTTAGGGATGAGGAAGGGGATGGGGGAATTTTGGAGTAGTGATTAAAAGATTTGGGATTTCCTTTGGGATGATAAATATGTTCTAAAACTGAATGTGATTGCAGTATATCTGTTAACATACTAGGTTGGTGCAAAAGTAATGTAAAACCACAATTACTTTTACATCAACCGAATACTCAAAACTCTCGAATTGTATGCTTTGACTGTGTATAATTGAAGTGTATGTTATGTGAATTATAATTCAAGACAGTTGTGACAAAAAAATTTGATGTTTATTTGCTTTAAAATAAAATTTCATTTTAAAAAAAAAATATGAAAGAGAATAGGCCTATGGAAAAGTCCTTCTGCAAACAGCAGGCATGCAGCACTCCCTGCAATTCCAGGAGGGCGCAGTGTATTTCCTTTCCTGAAGCCTGTGCTTACCTTGTCCCTCTGTCTGGAATGTCTTTGCACTGTTAAAAGCCTTCCAATTCTCCAAAGTCCACCACCATTCCTATTTCTTCCATGAAGCCTTCCTGGATGAGTCTAGCTGGGATACTCTTTTCTTGGTGCCCTCCCAGAACACAGTAATAGCAACCATCTCCCAAGTTTTGATCAGAAGAGTAGGGTCATTTAGATATTAAGTAGTCTAAACTCATCATTTTATAGATGAGAGACTCAACACACAGGAAGACTGCCCTACTCAAAGTTACATAACTATTCGAGATAAAATCAAGATTTCAGTTCTTGATAGACCCTGAAGGCGAGAGTTAAGCACTGCCAACTTCCAAAAAAATGACCAAAAAAGGAAAATATGTCTGTTTTGTAATTAATTTTGTTACAAAATCCTTTTTGCTTTGATAGACCTACCATTCCTGGCCTGATTGTGGGATTGCAGGACTTGATATCAGAGGAAGGAGGGTCTTTCTGGGAACCAGAGGTGCTGTTGGAAAAGTCAGGACAATTTAAGGCTGTGCACCAGATTATAACACATTTCCATCCTATTACAAGTAAAGACATGGTCGAAGGGAACAGTGACAGTTTCAGGGAAATACTGAGTTTCAATGGTGGTGGTTTTCTATGAGACTTCATTCCAGTGATCTTTATGATAGCTTCTCTCTTACATAGAGTCAGAGACATGATTTATGCATGATGTGGTTTATAAAAAGAAGCCTTGGGTAAAATGAAATTTAATAGTCATATGGAGAAAACAGAATAGCATAGGCTTTATGCAAATTAAAATTTAATCTAGTTAACTATACATGTTTTGAGAGAACAAAAGAAACTTGAGGAGGTCTAGTCCTTGGGCCTGCAGGAATGAACTCATTCATCTAAATTTCCATGGGCGACAATGGGTATAAAGTAAATAGTACCTCCCCACCTCACAGCACTGTTGGGAAGCTCCAAAGGAGATACATCAACGTGGAAGACAGCGTGGCGATTTCTCAAGTATCTAGAACTAGAAATACCATTTGACCCAGCCATCCCATTACTGGGTATATATCCAGAGGATTATAAATTATGCTGCTATAAAGACACGTGCACATGTATGTTTATTGCGGCACTATTCACAATAGCAAAGACTTGGAACTAACCCAAATGTCCATCAATGATAGACTGGATTAAGAAAATGTGGCACATATACACCATGGAATACTATGCAGCCATAAAAAAGATGAGTTCATGTCCTTTGTAGGGACATGGATGAAGCTGGAAACCATCATTCTGAGCAAACTATCCCAAGGACAAAAAACCAAACACCACATGTTCTCACTCATAGGTGGGAATTGAACAATGAGAACACTTGGACACAGGAAGGGGAACATCACACCTCGGGGCCTGTCATGGGGTCACGGGGTGGGAGAAGGGGGGAGGGATAGCATTAGGAGATATACCTAATGTAAATGATGAGTTAATGGGTGCAGCACACCAACATGGCACATGGATACCTATGTAATAAACCTGCACGTTGTGCACATGTACCCTAGAACTTTAATAATAATAATAAAAAAAAAGAAATTGAAAGATTGGAAATAAAAAAAAAAGGAACTACATCAATGAAAATGTCTTATAAACAGTGACATTTCTGGAACTTCCAGTACAAAGTTTATAGGGCTTTTACTACATCTATATTTTCTCAACTTCATTTAAAATTTATTTTTCAGTTTTTACTGTGTGTTTAATGCTGGAGTAAGAGCCACAAAAACAGTGTTAAAAAATGATACAGGAGATAGTCCCTGTGTCTGAAAAAGATACCACTTTCCCTTTCTGTCTTCTGCTGCCTGCTCCAATATGATGAGCCTGCCAGGACAGTTCCTTTTTCTAGGGTAAAGGGGTATCCTGTCCTTCTCCAGTTTCATCCCCTGCAAATCAGGGGATGGGGTATAAATCAGGTCAGCCCTGCTACCCTAATCTCTTCCTTGCCAGAGAATCCTGAATGAATCAAGTTCTTTTATCTCATTTGGCCTAATAATCAATGCAGGTATTTTCTATGGTAGATAAACTCAAAGAGGAGCCTTAGATTTGTCCAAATTTGTCATATATTATGCATGACACAGGAAGGCCTCTTGGGCAAATATTCAAAGTGACATTTAGGAACTGAAGTATAACTTGGGAGAGGCAGGTCTAAGGAAAGAACTGTGGTCATCCTCGACCTGTGTGCTGCAGAAACTAATATTATGATTGTAGCTGCCATTTTAGGCACAAATTCTGGAATTAGAGGATTTGATCTGTGCTACAAAAATTAACTGAATACCATATGGGATACAGACCACTTGTGCTTGGTATTTTATTTTTTGAATTTTTGTCCTGCCGTTGACTGGGAACAAAAAATCAGGTGTTCCTAGTCACGTTCCTTTGTATCTTGTTTGTTTTTTTTTTTTTTTTTTTTTTGAGACGGAGTCTCGCTCTGTCACCCAGGCTGGAGTGCAGTGGCGGGATCTCGGCTCACTGCAAGCTCCGCCTCCCGGGTTCACGCCATTCTCCTGCCTCAGCCTCCCAAGTAGCTGGGACTACAGGCGCCCGCCACTACGCCCGGCTAATTTTTTGTATTTTTAGTAGAGACGGGGTTTCACCGTTTTAGCCGGGATGGTCTTGATCTCCTGACCTCGTGATCCGCCCGCCTCGGCCTCCCAAAGTGCTGGGATTACAGGCGTGAGCCACCGCGCCCGGCCTGTATCTTGTTTTTAACTTAATCTCAAATCAGGGACAATATTGTTGATCAGATAACCGCTGGCTTCATTGGCTTATCTCTAGATTCCTGAAGTCACCACTCCACACCCCACTTTCATCATCCTCTAAATATCTTTTGGTCTCCAGATCTCTCTGCATTGTTGATTATGACTGCCTTGGTCCTGGCCATGGTTTTCCAGGAGATACCTCATAAGGGTGGTGGAAGGACAGGGACTGAGAGGCCCTTATTATTGAAGCTGTGTCATCATCTTGAAGTGCAGAAACATCTCAGTGTAATTATTATTAAAGGGGGATTTTAAAAACCACAGCACTGTCTCCAGGAAATCAGGTTTCCTTGGAGATTTTGGAAGGAATAAAATCAGTTAAAAAATAGATTTGGGGTCGGGTGCAGTAGCTGATACCTGTAATTCCAAAACTTTGAGATATAAAGGTAGCAGAATTGCTTGAGATCAGGAGTTTGAGAGCAGCCTGGGCAACATAGAGAGACCCCCATCTTCCAATTTATTTTTAAAATTAACCAGGTGTGGTGGTGCACACCTGTAGTCCCATATACCCAGGAGGCTGAGGCAGGAGGATCACTCGAGCACAGGAGGTCAAGGCTGCAGTGAGCTGTGATTGCACCACTGCACTCCAGCCTGGGCAACAGAGCGAGACTCTATCTCCAAAAAAAAAAAATGATTATTAATGTCTACAGCTTTTAATTATGAATGTTTGTGCTATAACCTCCCTCACATCCAAAACCTTCACAGTAATCTATTTACCCCCAAAATGTCATGCTTTGGGAGGAAGAAGAAAACAATTGATTTCCATGTCTGGAGCAGGAGAAAGAAAATACCCACAAGAGGTGAGACACAAGCAAAATGAACTGTGAGGAGAAAATTCAGCAAGACAAATAATTTGCAGCCAGACATGACTATGAGAACATGAGACTCTCCGGTATTTTGCAAAAATCTTGGGGGAAAGCTAGGCATGTCTCACAGGATGTGGAATAAGGGCTCACGCCAATTTTCCTTAAATCTCAGAGGATTGGGTGACCTTAGGTGACTGCATTACAACTTTAGTTTGCTTGATGCAGAATGCCTGATGCTTATTGAGTTTTCTTTCTTTTTAGTAAGCTTCCTGCTGACCCATTGTGGTCAATACAATTCTGAGACCATCTTGGAACATTACTTCCTGGTGTGAATGTCAGAGGAGGCTCTGGAAGGGGCTGCTGATTCTAGACTGAGGGTTTTCCTTGAGGAATCCTGGTTGCATTAGAAGGACCCAGTGGAGGGTAGATAAATGCACTCTAGAATCTAGTCACCTGTTGGCAGACTCCAAATAAAGTGGACAAGGAGACCTCAGAATAACTAAGTTTATGGCAGTTGGCTGGAATGGTGTTTGAAAAAATAAATATCGCTTTCTGCCCTGGAATGTGCATTTCCTGTGTACTAGGTCATGACACTAAAGAAATTCTATTTATTTATGAGACGGAGTCCTGCTCTGTCGCCCAGGCTGGAGTGCAGTGGCACCATCTCGACTCACTGCAAGCTCTGTCTCCCGGGTTCACACCATTCTCCTGCCTCAGCCTCCCAAGTAGCTGGGATGACAGGCACCCGCCACCACACCCGGCTAATTTTTGTGTGTTTAGTAGAGACGGGGTTTCACCGTGTTAGCCAGGATGGTCTCAATCTCCAAGAAATTCTTTTATGTAAAACATTCCTATGCTGAGATCTCAGTGGTAAATGAAAAGGATGTGTGTTTGCAGAGGGTAATATCTGCTATTATTTTATAGGATCTAATGATGCCAGGTAGGTAAGTCCCACAGGAAATGTGATTGACATACCTCAGGGGTCTTCTATGAGATTGATTAAACATGTTCGATTTTATTGAGGAGGTTATGAAACCTTTAGACATTCATTTCAGTCGGTTCATTTCGCCTAGCAATTAAAAGTTCCTCAAGAGTAAAAGGAGGTGAAACAAACTTTGGCTTAGGCCAAGAAGTCCTTCTTTGGAAATTTGTACTTATCTGTGTCTGTTCCTTTTTCTTCACAGTATAGATTAGCATGAGTCTTATCTCTATGGCAGTGCTGGGATATGCTGTTTTGTATTAATAAAATTAAGTTATATTAAAAAGAATAAAGTTCCTGAATATTGAGTGAGCCAAGTGCATGTTGACGTACCTTTAAAATGTGGCTCAGGGTAGGGCCAGGAAGATTTTAAAATTCAGAAGTAGTAGCTATTCAGAAGGTTGTTCTAGAACCACTGCCGGTAAAAACTCAAAGTGAAAGGTCTGATATATCACACATTGAACTTGAAAAACTATGTTTGGGGTAAAAAGGCAATCATTTCTTCATCTCACTTTCTCTCTCAAAAATACGCGTGTGCACACACACACACACATACACGAACATACCACACGAGAACTCCCATGTTTTAGTGGCAAGAATTGTGATTGACTGTTCTGAGCAAGCAGGGTTAGTGCAGGCAGAAAGGTCTACTTCTTCATCTTCTCCTTTTTAAACACTGATGAAAAAAATAAATGATGAATTCATGCCTGAGCTATATTGCTGCTTTCCTCCCTCTTAAAGATAGCATAATGCATTTGGGCAGGTATAGTTCCAGGCATTAAATGACGCAGGAAAGGCAAGAGAGCCTGAGAGTTGAATTTACAAGGTATCATGTTGAAGCTAATACCTAGTGATAGAACCCAAAGAATTGCTCACTACTGGGATGAAATATGACATAGTGGGAGATAGGAATAGCAGGAGTATCAGGTCCACTGAGCCAGGTCCCTCTGATAGTTACCCTCCATGGGGACTTCTCAAACAACTGTCACATTGATTGTCCTATCAGACACTAAGGGATGAAAGCAACATTAGTAATAAATACCATAACCTGATGACCTATTATGTGTCAGCCTCGTGCTGAGTACTTCAAAAGTTTGTGTAACTGAATTCTTACCACCTTGTGGAACAGGAATTATTATTCCTGTTGGTCATAGCTAGACTGATCCTAAGCCAGGTGACATTACTTTTTCCTTTCTACTTGGCGTTATGGAAAGAAAACTGATTTAGAATAAGGAAGACTCATCATCTTTTACCAGCTCTGGGAGGTAGGAGAAGCACCCATACTTAATAAATTAGTGGAAGGACAACCTTGCTTGAATGTGAACGGAATTTGACTATGCCCCATGAACATGAAGGCGGCTATTCTAAAGAACAAACTTTAATCAGTGTGTTTTACGTGGTAGATGCAAGGGACATAGCAGGCACTCTCTGCTCCCCTTTGTCTTCTTTCTTTTTTTTTTTTAAATTATACTTTAAGTTTTAGGGTACATGTGCACATTGTGCAGGTTAGTTACATACGTATACATGTGCCATGCTGGTGCGCTGCACCCACTAACTTGTCATTTAGCCTTAGGTATATCTCCCGATGCTATCCCTCCCCCCTCCCCCGACCCCACAACAGTCCCCAGAGTGTGGTATTCCCCTTCCTGTGTCCATGTGATCTCATTGGTCAATTCCCACCTATAAGTGAGAATATGCGTGTTTGGTTTTTTGTTCTTGCGATAGTTTACTGAGAATGATGATTTCCAATTTCATCCATGTCCCTACAAAGGACATGAACTCATCATTTTTTATGGCTGCATAGTATTCCATGGTGTATATGTGCCACATTTTCTTAATCCAGTCTATCATTGTTGGACATTTGGGTTGGTTCCAAGTCTTTGCTATTGTGAATAATGCTGCAATAAACATACATGTGCATGTGTCTTTATAGCAGCATGATTTATAGTCCTTTGGGTATATACCCAGTAATGGGATGGCTGGGTCAAATGGTCAGACTCCTGTTTTCTCAGCTGAGTGTTGGAGGGAGTGGGGGAATGCATGAGACTGGAAGGAGTCTGGGATTTTCACTGGAACAGATTGAAATTTGAGACTTGCTCTATTTACTTACTATAAAGATTTCTGCCAATTGTTTCAACTAACACAAACTCATAGGTAAATTGGGGTATTTAATTTAGACTAGAGATAATGTATATATACACAGTGCATGTTATATAGTAACACTGTACCCATGGAAGTTCTTTTTAGTTTTATTTTGTCCAAATACTTAAGGAAGTTCTCCAAAGGACTGTCCATGATGGTAGAATTAGAATACATTTGCATAAACCATTTACTATGGATTGAGAGTCTGTACGTTTATCCATGAGCTTCTCAACTCTACCTATATTTATTCTTCAGCCACTATCTTCACCTGGGGTAATCAGTTCCTTATCTTTTTACTTAATCTGTTAGGTGTGTTTCCTATGGCCTCTCCAAAACTAGATTACCACTGCTAGAATTTCAGTCTGGTCTGTGTCTGAGCTAGTCTTAGTTTTGTAATTCTATTCTTTCAAGTTTCATCGTTCCTGATGGCTAACATTTATTCTGTCCTCAGGAATCCCGGCCTTTTCCTCTTCTACCAGTAGGTTTTTCTGTGTGAAACAAGGACAAGATGAGGTTTGCTCATTAACATCCATACTAACTTATGCTTCTCCAGTCTTTGTCACTTGACGTTTGTTTACCAGGTCCTTTAAAACTGTCTTGTTACTGTTTCACTCAGCTGAAAATTTAGATGGACCTGGGTGATCAAACAGCTTTCCAGATTACCAGTCAAACACATCAGTTTTATTGGAAATGGCCTTTGAATTTTCAGTTATGATCTAGGTTTTTGGAATCTTTTCAGTTGTGCCCATATAAAAATGGAGTACTAGTACACAAACTTTTATGAGACATAATGTGAAAATGGGCATTGAGTGCTTGATGTCAGCTCAGCATATTGCAACACCTCCATCTGTCATTGTCAAATGTTGATCTGTTTCACATGGTAAGTGCACATACTTTAAAATATTAACTCTTAAATGGAAATAAATGTAAAGTGCATAATGCTCTTACATATGTTAATAGGATTTTTCTTCTGATTAGAAAACTAATGTATATACATGATAAGCAGTTTAAAGTAAAGCATATTAAAATAGTTATGTCAGTCATAACCCACTTCTTGGATATTATACTATCCATTGTTCCATACTTTTCTCTGTGCATTGAAATATTTTTAAAGGAGGGTCTTAAACACACATTTAAAAATCTATTTTTATCAGCTTTTTGAGGTATAATGTATATACAATAAACCCACCAATTTTTGAATGTATAATTTATAGAGTTACTAAATGCACATTTTTATAACCACCACCATAATCATGATATTGAACATTTTCATCACCCCAAATTATTTCTTATATCAATTTGCAATAAATTCCCTCCCACATCCCTGAACCTTGGCAACCACTGATCTTTATTTTTTTTTAAATTTTCATTCATTCTGGATTGCATATTACTGGTGTATAGTAATGTGTATATTAAAGAATTTTTTTGTGGATTTATCGGACTTTATGTAGATTTTTGTCATCTACAAATAGACATAATCTTACTTTTTTCCCCCAATTGAGATGCTTTTGTTTCTTTTTCTTGACTAATAGCTCTGACTAGAACTTCTAATACACCATGGAATAGTGGTGCTGAAAGCAGGCATTCTTGCCTTGTTTCCGATTCTTAGAAGGACATCTTTCAGTCTTCACTATTGAGTATGATATTACTTGTGGAATTTTTATAAAGTTCATCATATTGAGGAAGATCTCTTCTAATCCTAGTTTTCTGAGTGTTTTTGTCATGAAATAGTGTTGGATTCTGTCAAATGCTTTTCTGCATCAATTGTGGTGATCATGTTTGTTTTATCTGTTCTATTAATACCATAGTATTTACGTATTGTTAATTTTACATCATAGTAATTTAAGCTATAGGATATCAAAAGTAAACATCACTCAAAGACTTTACCCCCTCTTCTGGTGAAGAGGTTAGCGTGTTTCTGGTTGTCTACTGGATAGTTATATCATATTAGGCAGAATAATGATGTTATTGTCTTAATTAGAGATTAAGTGTGGTTTAGGGAGATCTATGTGCAGGGGATGCCAAATTGACAAAGGATAGAGTTATTGATTATTAACCTTATGTGTCAAATTGAGTGGGTCAAGAGATGCCCAGATATTTGGTTAAACATTATTTCTGAGTGTGTTTGGGAGGACATTTATGGATGTCCTCATTACCTAATGTCCTACCACAGGCCCTACCTCCTGATACTACCATGTTGGTGATTAGGTTTTAACATATAAATTTGGAGGGAGCATAAACTCTGAGACCATAGTACATACCGTAAACTTGGAATAATTATTTGTTTACTTAGGTCTTCTTCAGTTTCTCTAATCAATTACATTTTGTTAGGTATATACCCTAAATATTTTAATATTTTTGCTATTAGCATAGTTGTTAATTTTTTTCACCTTTATTATTAAACATTATATTCACTGCCTTTTTTTTTTTTTTTAACTTTCAGTATTTTAAAGATGTCTCTCCATTGTCCTCTGGCATACATAGTTTCTGACCAAGAAACCTATGGCAATTCTTACTTTTATTCCCTTCATGTTGTGCGTTTTGACCATAGATTCCTTTAAGAGTCTTCTCTTCATCACTGGTGTTGAGCAATTTGATTATGAAGTACCATTGCATGATCGTACAGGTTCACTGAGTTTTTGGATTTGAATGTTTATAATTTTTATCAAATTTAGAGAATAACTGACCATTATTCTTTCAACTATTTTTTTTTTGTCTCTCTCCCTTCAATTCCCTTCCTACTCTTCTGGGATTCCATTGATGGTTATGAGACTACTTCTGTCTTTTTCCTGTCTGATATTGGATTGTTTTTGTTGCTATGGTTTCAAGTTCCCTTTTTTAACCTTCGGTGTTTAATATGCTATTAATACCACCCCATGTATTTTAGAGATAGACTTAACTATTTTAAAAACAGCTTTAGGCCGGGCATAGTGGCTCACGCCTGTAATCCCAGCACTTTGGAAGGCTGAGGTGGGCGGATCACCTGAGGTCAGGAGTTCGAGACCAGCCTGGTGAACATGGTAAAACCGCATCTCTACTAAAAATACAAAAACTAGCCAGGTGTGGTGGCGCATGCCTGTAGTCCCAGCTACTGGGGAGGCTGAGGTGGGAGAATCTCTTGAACCCAGGAGGCAGAGGTTGCAGTGAGCCGAGATGGTGCCATTGCACTCTAGCCTCTCCAAAAAGCGTGAAACTCTGTCTCAAAAACAAACAAGAAACAGCAACAACAACAAAAAAACAAAAAACAGTTTTAGATATACAGAAAATTTGTGAAGATAATATACAGAGCTCTCATATACCACAAATCTAGTTTTACTGATTATAAACATCCATCTTATATTCATAGGGTACATCTGCTAGAATTAATAACCAATGTTGATATATTATTATTAACCAATGTCCATACTTTATTCAGATTTTCTGTTTTTACCTAATGTCCTTTTTCTGTTCTAGGATGCCATCGAAGATATTACATTACATTTAGTTGTTATATATTTACAGGCTCCTCTTGGCTATCAGAGATTGTCAGACTTTGCTTGTTTTTGAGTACCAGGATGGTTTTGAAGAGTACTGGTCACATATTTTGTAGAATTCCCCTTATGAGAATTTGTCAACTCTTGTTCTCATCATTTACATTAAGGTTTATGGGTTTTGGGGAAAAATCCCTCAGAGACAAAGTGTCATTTTTATCATATCATATCAAGAGTACATACTATCAACATAATTTATTGTTGTTGGTGTTGACTTTGACCATCCTACTAGGGTAGCATTTGATAGGTTGCTCCAATATAAAATTATTCCTTTTTCCCTTTTCCATACTGTATTCTTTAGAATAATGTCACTATGTGCAGCCCACATTTAAGCAGTGAGGTTATTTTCCCTCCTTGTGGTGGACTATCTACCTAAATTATTTGAAATTTTTGTTTTTGGGAGATCTGCCTATTTTCCCCACTCCATATATTTATTTATTTAATAATTTATTTATATCAGTATGGACTCATGGATATTCATTTTATTTTTTGTGCTATAATCAATACTATTTATTTTACTACTCACATTAATTCAGGTTTGGCCACTGAGAACTCTTTGAGTTGGTTCTTGTGCCCCTTTGACATACCCCAATCAATTTCTTTTTTTCCTTTGTACTTCCTTACTTTCTGCCATAAAGAAATATTCCAAGATCATCTTGTATATTTTCTATCTCAGTCATAGAACCAGCCATTTCTCCAAGGAGCCCTAGTTTCTTTTATTGAAGTATGATATTAGAAACAAGATATGGGGCCTAGGTATGCGTTTTCATCCAAAGTATTTTTAATTTCGATTTTTTTTTTTAAATTCTCTAGGAGTTCCCTTTGGGTCCTTTTTATATTTCACATGTTTTACCTCATAATGATATGTTTCCTTTACATTCTTGAATATACAGAGTCATCTTTTGTTTTGTTTCGTTTTGTTTTGGAGACAGAGTCTCACTCTGTCGCTCAGGCTGGAGTGCAGTGGCGCCATCTCGGCTCACTGCAAGCTCCGTCTGCTGGGTTCATCCCATTCTCCTGCCTCAGCCTCCCAAGTAGCTGGGACTACAGGCGCCCGCCACTACGCCCAGCTAGTTTTTTATGTGTTTTTAGTAGAGACGGGGTTTCACCGTGTTAGCCAGGATGGTCTCGATCTCTTAACCTGGTGATCCGCCCGGCTCGGCCTCCCAAAGTGCTGGGATTACAGGCGTGAGCCACCGTGCCTGGCCCAGATCATCTTTATAATAGCTGTTTAATTCCCTGAATCTCTCTACTCTGGCTTATGGGAACATGTACTATTCTCTGCTATGTGTGGACTCTGAGAATGGTTCTTCCTACTCTATTCCAATATCTCTTGTCTATGGCATTTGTCATTTTCTCTCACATATGCACAGATTCATAATTAGCAAACTCTTGAGGGGACCCCTCTGTACCAGTGCGTTCTCTCTCTCTCTCTCTTTCTCTTTCTCTCTTTCTTTCCTTCCAGCTCCCTCATTACTTCCTTGGCCACCTTGATTTGTATTCTCTGTTCTCTTCAGTCAGTGAGACTATTGGCTCTCTATAGGTTCCCTCTCTCTGCAGTGCAGTCTGGAAACTACCTTCAAGCAGTAAGCTGGGACCATTTCAGGGCTCACTGTGCTTTTTCCTGATCTCAAGGATTGTGGTGCTGTGAGGCCAGTTGTTCAGTGTCTAAAACGCTTGTCTCACATGTTTTGTCTGATATTATTGTTGCTTATTATGAGAGGGTAAATCCAGTCCTTGTTATTCCAAACTCACTGGAAGAAATAGTCTAATAAACTATTTTAAATGTCAATACAAATTACGAGCATTTTCCATGTTATTAAATATTTTTGTGAAATATGATTTTAATTACTGTATATATTTCCATCATACACCTGGTTCAACTATTTCCTCATTTGGTCTTAGCCTCTGAACTTTAGTTATGGTGTTTTTCATAAGCAAAAATTCATATGTATATAAATATAGCAACCTTTACTTAATGGTTTCAGATTTTGCATTTATTATTGTAATGGCAAGAAAAATATTTGCTTGCTCCTTTTATTCTGGTTATTTTGTGAGTGTACTTTCTACATTAAACTCATGAACCTATCTGGAATTTATTTTCATATTTGATATGAGGAACTGGTCTATATATTTCTTAAGTAATAAAAATGAGAATATGAAAAGAAGCATTGAAACAATAAAAATCACATTAAAACCCCATATTCTTTTTCCTCCCCTTCTGGAACTCCAGTAACATTCATTTAGACCATTTTGCTTTGTATCCCACATGTCTTCTACGCTCCTCAATATCTTTTTTCTTGTAATTTTATTTTTCTCTCTGCACTTTGATCTGGCAATTTTTGCTGATCTACTTTTTATTTTACTAATCTTCACTTCTGCTGTATTGCATCAGCTCTTGAACCCATCTGTTGAATTGTATATTTTTATTGCTTTTTTCTTGCTACAATTCAAGGAAAGCTTGGTTCATTTTTCTTATATTTCAGCTCTCCAGTTAGATGCTTCATCTTACTATCTATTCTCTTGAACATACTAATCATAGTTATTATAGAGCAGGAATCTGACGATTCAAAAACCTGGATTACCAAAATGCTTATTTAGTCTTTTTTTTCCTCTTTTTTCTTATGGTCATTTGGTCACATTTCCTGGCATTTCTGATAATTTTGGGTTAAATGCTGGACATTTTACATTAAAAAGCATAGAGGCTCTAGATTAATTCCAACAAAGTGGATGTGATTTTCCAGTTGTGAGAAAATAGATCTAGGAAGATAGCCTTGATCCAGTTAGGCATTGAGGCTTCGTTTCATGTTTTATGAAGACTCTTTCCCTGTTGCCCTCACTTGTGCGGCATAGTCTTACAACGTTTCCAACTGAACACGTGACATTTCCAGGATCCATCCTCCACTGGCCACTTGTGAGGCTCTTTATCCTGATTTCCAAAGTCCTATATCCTCTGCCTCTGCCTGTGCCCTGACCATATCTTTACCATTCTCCCTCTCTACTCTTTTTGCTATGATCTCACTATCCTTTTGTTGCTGCTGCTGTTGCGTGGACACACAGGCTTATTTTTATCTTAGGTTTATTGTAAAAGCTCTCTGTTCTATCCAGCATGGTCTTCCTCATAGCATGACTGTTCCCCATGTGTTCAGATCTCACCAATGCCACATCTGCGGAGCACCCTTACCCCTCAGTGTTATCTATCTCATCAACCTAACTTTCTTCATACAATTTTAAAATCACATGATTTTTCTTTCTCTTTGTTATTTTTATAGTTTTCTGTATGTTTCCTGAAGTAGAATGTAAACTATGAAAACTGGGACCTTGTCTGTTTTGTTTGCCGCTTTGGTCCCTGCATTTAGAACTTCCCTGTCCAATACCATTGCTAGTAGCCACAGCTGGCTATTGAGCATTTGAAACATAAATAGTCAAAATTAACACGTAAGTGTAAAATACACATCCGATTTTGGCAACTTAATTTGAATAAAAGTAATGTAAACTACCATATTAATAACTTGTATATTGTATTGAAATTATAATATTTTTGTTTGAATAAAATATATTAAAATTAACTTCACCTGTTTAAAACCATTTTTAATGAGGCTAATGCAATTAAAAATGCATGTGTAGCTCACATTTGTGATCTGCATTTGTTTCTGTTAGATAACATTGATCTGTGATAATTACCAGCCAAGGAAAAGTCACCAGTTTTATTTAGCCTTATTTTCTTATTTAAGAAAAGAAAAATGCAATCTGTTAAAAAATATAATATTTTTCTCTTAGTCCAAATTTCTGCACTCTTATAAAACAAATGATGACTATTAAGGGTATAGGTTTGTTTTTGCTGCTTTAAGTGGTGCTAGACTTCAATGTTTTTGTTAGAGGTTTTGATTTTTTTTCTTTAACTGTTTAGCTTTTCTGCATTTTTTGTGTTTGAGGGTATTGACTATCAACTCTTGCTTTTTGCAATGCAAGCTTTTTATGAAATTAGCCCTTTCCTAATTATTACCACTAACCTTCCATGTGTTATGTAACTTTAAAACAAAGGTGTTTGGATGTGCACCTCAAGAACAACTTGGTACTGTGTAGACATGGGATTCTACAAAGAGTAAAGTATTCGAAGCATCACGACATTTATTTTGGTTAGCTAGAGGTTGTTTCATCCTTTATTTTGTTGAAACCTTTGGCCTTTGTTTTCTAGACAATATACTAGTAGGCTAAGAACCCCAAAATAAGGGGAGAGGTATAACTCTTATGTAAGAAGGAATGTAATGATTAATTTATTCTTCATGAGTCCATTTCCTTCAAGATATGAACCTGTTTTTGAATTTTGTTTAGTTGAAAACTTCTCAATTGGGATTTGATAAACTATGTGGAATTACTGATTATCCCAAGCAATTTTCTGTTCTGGAAACATGATTCATTGTGCAGACATTTACAGAAACAGTTATACTTGCAAATATCCACATGCATTGACAGATATATACATGAAAATTAAGGTATGTTTTTAGAAGGCAACTTAAACACCTAACAGTTTAGGGAAAGGCAGTGGAACATATGAGCTGTGATTTTATTTTTCTTAAGATTTTTCAGGAAATGGAAAATAATGGCAAATCACACCCATCAAGTTCCAGTAACTCAAAACGTTTATTCTCAGTCTACAAGGGACTAAAACAAGACCTTTTTTTCTTGGAATGACATTTAGCTGCTCTGGTCTTGTAAGAACAGCTAAGCTTTTCCTTCTTATTTTCTCTCTAATGAGAAAGTGGTACCTGGTTTTTAGACTAATTTGGTTTTGAATAGCTGCTTGGTCATATGCTGTGTGGCAGTAATATGACTTTTCCTACCTGGGGAAAGGATGAAGTTGGAAATACTCTTAGTCACAAATTATAAAATTCATTTGCTGGTTCATAGATAATTATCGCAATGTCTGCTAAACATTTAAAAGCTATAAATATTTCCCAAACTATTTATGAGGACTTTATGCAAGCAAAAATGGGGCTTGATGATTGGGTAAGAAAATATTTTCCCACTATTTAAAAATTCTAGTTTGTCCCACAAAGTGAAATGTCGAAGATTGTAAAAACAGTATCTATTTAACAACACTGTACAATTTTAATCTTTAAAAAGAGGCTCAGATTTTGATTAAGGCAAGGGTTGGGTGAGTTCTGATTTGAATTGGGAAAATACAACCCAATTAGAAAAAGTCTCAAAGGAAGGTGTGAAATAATTGGAAGTTTGAAATAACAAATCAAGTCCAGGAGGCTGTGCAAAGAGTTAGTCTTTAGCAAGACCACAAATTATCAGGGTATCAAAATATCAGTTCAGGGCGCTAAAACTGTTTAAGATGAAATAACTTGAAGGCAAAGCCTTCAAGAGCAGGGGGAAAAAGTCTGTAACTTGAAAACTAATTGCTTTCAATTCATGGTTTAGAAGGCTGGCTGACCACATTTACCAGCCAAAAGCTCCACTTTTCTAACAAGAAACAAAACTCTCTCTTTTTGAGATTACCTCTATAAGCTATATAGATTAAATATGGCCATGCTTTGCTACTTTTAAGTTAAACATATAGATTTGGTGTTTCTGAGCAAAGACATAGGATCTTAGGACTAGTCTTCTTAGTCTCAAAGTTCTGGGTCATTCTTTTTACAACTTATTCCCCAAATACCTCTCTTTTCAGAATTTACAGAGGTAATCGAAGAAACTGTTACATTGTTGTTTTGAATATATCATGAATGATTACTGTCATTTTTTACTGTCTAATGCCTTGCCATAACTATAAAGGACCTTCTTCAAATCTATCTGTTTAAAAATCAGTTAAGTCCTTGTTTTTAGATTATCTTCCATAAGAGTTCTGCAGGATTGGCACAGAGAGAAAACTCTTCAGAAAGACTTTCTTCTTAATCCCTGAGCGTGTTCTGTCTGGAGGGAATGTGTGTAGCTGCAGATCACAGAATACCCTACCAACAGTGGCTTTGTTCTCACATCACTAGAAAGTGGGGTTGATCCAGTGGCTCCATAAAAAGCACTAAACACCCACACTCCTTTCCTTTTTCTGCCCCACCATACTAAAACATCCTTCTTTTTGCCTCTTGGTCATAACATGGCTTCTGAAGATACAGACAAAGGGAAAGAGGGCAAGTTAATCAGCCCCACTTACTAGTTCATGAACTTTACCAATGAGTTCCCCTTATGTCTCTCTTTTTTTTTTTTTTTGAGATAGAGTCTTGCTCTTTCACTCAGGCTGGAGTGCAGCGGCTCAATCTCGGCTCACTGTAACCTCCACCTGCTGGGTTCAAGTGATTCTCCTGCCTCAGTCTCCCAAGTAGCTGGGATGACAGGTGCATGCCACCACGCCTGGCTAATTTTTGTATTTTTCAAGGTTTCACCATGTTGGCCAGGCTGGTCTCGAACTCCTGACTTCAGGTGATTCACCCTCCCTGGCCTCCCACAGTGCTGAGATTAAAGGTGTGAGCCACCACGCTCCGCCCCCATTGTGTTTCTTTGAGAACACTGGACCACATGGCCACCTAGCTGGGAAGGAGTTGGTTAATTAGGAACAAGAGTGAAGAGCCACCTTAGGGCAAAATGCCTACCTTTGCACACTTGCCATCCAGACTAAAATCAGGCTATGCTAGCAAGGGAGAAAGGAACAATGAACACTTGGAGGATACTCCCAACTATATTGTAAAAGTTGTCTGTCAAACATAATGGTAAAATGATGTATTGATTAAGTCTTAAGGATTTCAAATTGATAAAAAATTTTAAAGTAGGATTTATAACTCTCAGGTCTTCTATTGCCTAGAATCCCTTTAATATTTAGACATTTGGGTATATATAGGATGGCCTTTTGCATAATTCCCTAAAGTCTTCTTAAAGAGAAATACATTGAGAAAGAACCTGTCAAATAATCCTATCCCTTATAATCCCCGCCTGCTTCAAGCTAACCCTCTTGATGTTTCCATGCTTAGAAATAGTAATCAAGAAAGCAACAATGTTTCCCACACCCCTAAATCATTGAAAACCCAATAGGACTATGCCTGGGCACATAAGGTATTATAGAACTAGCCTTTCACAAATGTTATCAGGAAAAGTGATCCCAGAATTGTGGAAGACCCTTCTGTTTTTATAACCACTGTGCTTTTCTCACATTTTTATGAAGAGTTTTTCTCTTTGTTCTATTTTTTATTGCACATTTACTCATAAGTCTCTAAGTTCCCAAGCGATGAAATAACAGATTTGTAACTAACTAAAAAAATGTGTTCTATCACATCCCACCAGAAAGCTCAGTATCATTCTTTCTGGTTAGCAGGCCGTAGTGGACAGATAAGCCAGAGAACATTAGAAAAATATGGCCGTAACCTACTATATACTTTTCCAAGTCTACACTAGACCATGTGACATAAAGATAAATATTGCAACATCATGGAAAAAGTGCATGGATAGATTCAAGTATAAGGTAAGATGATTGCATTGTAGAGAAAGTCATTCTTTTGGGTTAGTTTGGTCAACAAAAGTTTTTACAGAGGATGACAAACCTGAACTGCTTTTGAAAGATTATTAAATGTGTTAGGTGAATGAAAAAGTTAAGGAGGAAATTTGCAGGTGTAAAGAAGTGAGACTATAAGGATGTGACATTCCATGGTAAAAGTTGGGAATTGAAAGTATTCTGCAATAGCCGAAACTCAGGGCACATGGTAAAGAGTTATTTAAGTTAGATTATTATATGATTTGGCTGTTTCCCCATCCAAATCTCATCTTGAATTGTAGCTCTCATAATTCCCACGTGTCATGGGAGGGACCTAGTGGGAGGCAATTGAATCATGGGGGTGGGTTTTTCCCATGCTATTCTCTTGTTAGTGAATAAGTCTCGTGAGATCTGATGGTTTTATAAAGGACAGTTCCCCTGCACACACTCTCTTGCCTGCCCCCATGTAAGATGTGCCTTTGCTCCTCCTTTGCGTTCTTCCATGATTGTGAGGCCTCCCTAGCCATGTGCAACTGTGAGTCCATTAAACCTCTTTTTCTTTATAAATTACCCAGTCTCCCGTATTTCTTCATAGCAGTATGAAAATGGACTAATACATATGAACATGTGTATGTGGAATTATAATAGAATAAAGAGAGACCATGAAGAACATTAGTCATCATATCAATGCAGTTTGACAATATCCTGTAGATATTAAAGGAGCCACCAAAGGGTTTTCTCTAGAGCCTTAATATAATAATATTCTGGTGAAATAAGAACAGTGTGAAGACCAAGGCATAGAACCACAAGCTCCACATATTTCAATCATCTAAGAATGAGATGATTAGTCTCTGGGTTAGGGAAGTAACCTGGCAATGGGGAAGAACAAAGTGGCATAAGATAAAAATGGAAGTTAAAATCAAGAGTTTTGAGGCAGATGGAGTATGAGATTTGGAGGGATTAATTCTCTTTTCTGGTTTCCATTCCTACAACCTTCTGATAGTTTGTTGTCAGAACAATCATCTTGTTTCCACACCCTTTTTTGGATGAAGCTCACACTTTTTGGAATGTCCTTATGTTATTATCTTGACATGTTAAAATGCCAAATGGATTTCAAAGGCTTGTCCAGTGACATTGCTTCTATGACATTTACCTGAAACTTTTGGAATTGCTCTCTCCCTTCGACATACTAGAGATATTCCTTGTATTTTTTTTTTTTTTTTTGAGATGGTGTCTTGCTTTGTCACCAGGCTGGAGTGCAGTGGCACCATCTTGGCTCACTGCAACCTCTGCCTCTTGGGTTCAAGCGATTCTCCTGCCTCAGTCTCCCAAGTAGCTGGGACTACAGGTGTGTGCCACCACGCCCAGCTAAATTTTTTATTTTTAGTAGAGATACGGGGTTTCACCATGTTAGCCAGGACGGTCTTGATCTCTTGACCTTGTGATCTCCTGCCTTGGCCTCCCAAAGTGCTGGGATTACAGGCATGAGCCACCACACCCGGCCTATTCCTTGTATCTTTATGGTAACGTTTATCACATTCTATTTTGTTTTACAGGTGTTTCCCGCCCCTGCAAAGAATATGTTCTGCTACTGTCTATTCTGGCTAAACTATGCCAGAAAGCTAGGATGAAATGAGACCTTACCTTTATTTGAGTCTTTCACATCCTTGAGTAGAATAAATTGTCACAGAAAATACTCAGGGATTTTATTAATTGAATGAATGCCCTCATGATAGAATTTACCAACTAGAAAGTTTTAATCAAACAATATAAAATGTCTGGTTAAAGATAGAAACATAACTTGCTATATAAAGTAAGATGCACATACTACAACTGTTTATTAGCTTTAATTACAGAGACTTCAATAGTCACATTAAAAATAACTATAATGAAAAGAAAGAATAACTTCCTCAAAAAATTTATTTTTATTTATTTTACTATTTTACCTGTTTTCTAACATTTGAGATCCCAAAATAAGTACAAGGAAGCAGAGGAAAGAGAAGCTACTTGGCCTATGCTCAAATGTCAAGTTGTCTCAAATGCAAATGAGCATGAACAGAGCCCCTCCTGGCCCCATGGGAAGGGGGTGGCAGCCTTTGCACCTCCTACACCATCACGCAACCCAGTATGTACCCCCAGACCCAAAGCATAACAGAAATGGTGCCAGCCTTAATAGAAATTGTACTGTGAGTCAGTCAGTATGAAAAAGAAAATAGAATTTTCTTTACGGGTTGCACTCTGGACCCTGAAGCACTTTGTATAATGAAAAGAAAACTGAAAAACAAGCAAAAAACCCCAGAAAACTGAAAAAACGATAGCAAAAGATTACTTAATAAATGGTATTGGGAATAAATACTGGGTAGCTTCCAGGGTGAAAATTGGATCACACCAGGCCTCTTAGCCAAAAAGACACCCAAAAATCAAAATTTGAATGTAAATAGATATGTATCAGCATAGAAAATAAAACATGGAATCATTTTATATCAATTATTTTTGAGTGGGAAGTCTTTCCTAATATATAAATTTCATAAAATTTAAAATATAAAAAGGTCAACAATTTGATTACATAAAAATTATAAAAACTTCTTATAAAAATACCATAAATAAAGTCCAATGTCAAGTCGAAAATTGGGAAAATATGTTTGTAAAGCATGTCAGAGATAAAGGCTTAATTTCTGTAATACATTCATACTTCCTGTGAATATATAAAATCTATAAGAAATGTGAAATCAGTAAGAAAATATATTTGCATTTTCTTTTATGTGCATTATCTTTTAATATCCTTTGCCCATTTTCCTGGGCTATTTTTCTAATTATTATTGTACAGCTATGTCTGATATGAGGTTTGGTACATCACTTACAATAGCAAAGTATTGAAAATAATTAAAATATCTATAAATGGGACTGGCTAAATAAATTATGACACATTCATATAGTAAAATAAGTAAAATAAGACTGTAAGAAAATAATTGGGCAAACTAATTTTTATTGATGTCCATGATATATTGTTAAGTGAAAAAAAGTTGCAGAAATGTGTGTATGTTTGTGTGTGTGTGTTTATAGTATGTGCTACATTTGTGTAGAAAAATATCTAGTCACATTTGCATCCAAATGCTTATCTCTGAAAAAGCACAGAGTAAAATGGTAACGACTGTTGCTATTGGGCAAAGAAACTGTTGCCACAGGGACTTTTCAGGAAGAAGAGAATTGGGTGAGACCACCCATAATCAAACACCTTAGCAATGTTGCAACTATACATATGAATATGCACCTTAAGTGAAATAGACTAGACCATCAATAACTTTCTATCCATTTAGGTCAGATTTTACCAACAAAGTTTGTCGAAAAGTTACAACATATCCTATTATTTCAGGAATAAAATTTGATTTTGGAATGAAATTGGATTTTTAGAATATATAAGAGAATCTAGAGTGAACTAGAAAGCTGTAATAATTTGGTTTTAATTGAATAGCAAAATATTAACCATATTCAGTAGTCAGAATATGGTTGAATAAGTCAAGGATGAATTCCAGAGAAAGTGATGATTGAGGCCATTTTGACTCTAAATAACATGCTGCTTATTACAGTAGCTACATGTTGTCCACTAAAATGAATGATAACATGGCTTGGTGATGAAAAAAAGCAATATGAAAGCAAAAAGATTGTCCCAGTGGCTTGTTAGAAAAGGTGGCTTATCCAATAATAAACCCAACCAAGGGATAATTTCAAAAGTTTAATTAGATTTATTTTTTATTACTCTGAATAGAGATTTTTTTCAAAGTCATACGGTTTATCAAGGCCTGATTCTTGGAACCAGTGAAAGAACACAATTGAAGAGGAAGAAATGAGAGAAAGGAACCAATTCTTTCATTTCACAAATATATATTGAGTGTTTATTCTTTCCAGCCACTGATCTGTGTTCCAGGATTAAAAACACACAGAGACCTTGCCTTCATAAAGCTTACAAAAATAACGAATACAGAAGGTAATTTCAGGTACTCTAAGTGCTGTAGTAAAACAGTGCAGCAAGGTAATTGGGAATGATGGTGGGAATGGTGGCTACCTCCACAGGATGATTAAAGGCTCTCTGAGAAGAGCCCAGGCTTGATGTATTGAGAGAACCAGTTATGTGAAGATCTAGGAAGAATGTTCCAGGCAGAATGCACAGTAAGTTCAAAAGATCTGACGCAAAGAATGGCCATAATCAAAAAATCAAAAAAATAATAGATGTTGGTGAGGATGTGGTAAACAGGGAACACTTCTACACTGCTGGTGAGAATGTAAACTAGTACAGCCAGTATGGAAAACAGTGTGGAGATTCCTTAAAGAACCAGAAGTAGAACTACCATTTGATCCAGTAATCCCACTACTAGGTATCTACCCAGAGGAAAAGAAGTAATTATAGGAAAAAGATACTTGCACACGCATGTTTATAGCAGCATAATTCACAATTGCAAAAGTATAGAACCAGCCCAAATGCCCATCAATCAATAAGCAGATACAGAAATTGTGTTCTCTTCAATTCTATCCTGCCTTACTCTGAAGCAGGCATGACTGTCTTCTGGTTCCTCGAACTTACTAGTGTGTTTATTCTGGCATCAGATCTTTTTTTTTCCCCCGTAGGTCTCCAATTCCATCCAGGTTGCTACGAATGTCATTTCATGCCTTTTTATGGCTGAACAGTATTCCATGGTATATATATATATATATATATATATATATATATATATATATAACATATATCATATTATATTTTATATAATATTATATATTATACAATTGCAGTATATAATATATATTATATATCATATATCATATATCTATTATATAAATATATTAAATATGTATTATATAGTTTAATATATAATTTATGTATATATTAAAAACATATTTTAATATGTATGTAAAATATATTTAAAATTATATATAAAATATATTTAAAATTATATGTATAATATATATAAATATATATTATATAATATAATATATAAATATATTAAATATATTTTATATAGAATAAGTTATATATTCTATAGTATATTATATATATATATATATATATATATATAATATATACCATGGAATACTATTCAGCCATAAAAAGGCATGAAATGATATTCATAGCAACCTGGGTGGAATTGGAGACCAGTATTCTGAGTGAAGTAACTCAGGAATGAAAAACCAAACATCGTATGTTCTCACTCATAAGTGGGAGCTAAGCTATGAGGATTCAAAGGCATAAAAATAATACAATGGACTTTGGGGACACCGGGGAAAGGGTGGGAAGAAAGTGAGGGATAAAAGACTACAAATTGGGTACAATGTGTACTGTTCGGGTGATGGGTTCACCAAAATCTCACAAATCACCACGAAAGAATGTGCTCGTGTGACCAAACACCACCTGTTCCTCAAAAACCTATGGAAATTAAAAAAAAAGAAAAGATCTGATGCAAGAATAAACCACTGGTAAGTTCGAGGAACAGGAAGACAGCCATGCCTGCTTCAGAGTCAGGCAGGATAGAATTGAAGAGAAATGAGGTTGATCATATATGGCCTTTGAGGTCAGGGGAGGGAATTTGGATTTTGTTTTAAATAGTATGGAAGCTTTTGAAGGGTCTTGAACAAGGGAGTGACTTGATCTGGTTCTTGTTCTTAAAATGTAATTTTGGCTCTTTGTAGGAAAAGAATTGTAGGTAAGAGTGAAGGCAAAATATAAGTTGGAGTCTTGTGGTAACACAAGTAAGAAAATCTTGAGAATTCTAGTGCTGGATGTGATTAGCTGAGTTGGGCTGTATTTTGAAGTTTGGAAAATATGTTTCATTAATGGACTTGATATGAGATAAGAAATAAGAGAGGAATCAAGGGTAATATGCAGACTTGTTACTTGATTAAATTGAGTGGACTGTGATCTGCACTACTAATAGGAATGACTGGGAAAAGGGCAGATGCAGAGGGGAAAAAAGCATAAGTTTTGGTCAGGTTAAAGTAGGAAGCTTCCTGGATGCCTCTCACACATTCACGTATTGGTGTTAATTGTACAGAGGGCAGACAACTCAGACCTGGGAATGCTAATACAGAAGTCATAAGCATACATAGGGAATTTAAGCCACAGGATTGTATAAAATCACCTAGTGAGGAAATACATAGAGAAAATAACAGTGGACAAAATTTATGTTGAGAAAGAGGAGGGAGGTAAAGAAGAACATTGATGAAATAGAAAATCAGGTGTCATAGAAGTCAAAGGAAAGACCACTCAACGGTACCAAACCTGTCAGAAGTTGAGTAAAATGGGACAGAAAGTTGGCCACTAGATTTGGCAACACGAGTCTTATTCTTGACCCCAGTAAGAGCTATTTTAGTAGAGTGATATTGATAATAGTTAATCGCAGTTGATTGAGGAAAGTGAAAAAGGTGATGGGGAAGAGACAACACAAATATACAACAAGTTAATGAGTTTACGTCTGAAAGGGAGCAGAGAAATAGGGCAGAGGCTTGAGAAAAGACACCTAATATTATGACATCCTAAGTCCACTGTGAAAATGTCTTGCAAGTTATAGAATAATTAGAAAATTATATATTTTTAATATGACTTCTTATAGGATGTCTGTGTAGGTGTGTGTTCATTCATGAATACGGATACTTCAGTTCATATATCCTAGGAAGAATAAGAAAGTGCCTTTGAAATTCACTCTGATGGGATGACTTTGAGGGGATGTGGCCTGAAGTTCCTATGCCCTTTGAGACTGCTGCTCTAGGTTTGGGATGTCTAGCCCGTCTACATGCCCCATCTGTTTTCTGGGACTTAGAAAACCAATGGTGAACATAGCTGTTCCTTTGTATATTTTGACTTCTTTCCTGACCCCAATTATTTCTTTTCTTTTTGAGACAGAGTCTTGCTCTGTCACCCCGGCTGGAGTGCAGTGGCATGATCTTGGCTCACTGCAACCTCCCGTCTCCTGGGATCAAGTGATTCTTGTGCCTCAGCCTCCTGAAGAGCTGGAATTACAGGCGTGCAGTCACCATGCCTGGTTAATTTTTGCATTTTTAGTAGAGACAGGGTTTCACCATGTTGGCCAGGCTGGTCTCGAACTCCTGGCCTCATGTGATCCACCTGCCTCAGCCTCCCAAAGTGCTGGGATTACAAGCATGAGCCACCACTTTCACCTTCCTGACCCCAATTATAAAACAAGAGTGTTATTTTTGATTTTTGTTCCAGTTAAAATAGCTCAGTCTTGGGTAAAAATAATTTGGGTGAAGTGGTGGGAATGAACCCTGGGAGAAAACCAACTCAAGTGCATAGGTAAAACTTTTGAATGGTGGTCATAAAGACACACAGCAGAGTTTAGAAAAAAGATTTTTCACAAGAATGCTCAGACCCTATGAATAGGTATGAGAAGTTCAAAAGCAGGGATGTAGATGAAGAACTCTACAAAATGTGTGACTTCTTGGTTACATTTTCCTTATAATATATTTATAAAATAGCAGGGGAAAATTGTCACTAAGTTGTGATTTCTATTTATTGCAACCATTTATTAAAGTTGATCATGTCTCATGTGATTTGTGTCACTGCAGCAGTAGGATAGGGAAGAAGGCTCTGGGGCAGTGAACAGGGTCATAGTCTTCTCTTGCTTCCTTTTCCACTGATGCTCAGATCAAGTGAGAATAGTCAACGGAAAGGCCAGTGGTGAGGAATAAATTTGTTAGTGTGGGGAAGAAAAGTGTGAAAAGGAACATGCTTTGTTGAGGAGCACATACTATGAGAATGACAGAAGACTACTTCTGAGATGAGCTATCCCTTTTTCCCCAAATAGAATAAAGAGAAAGTGGCAATTTCCAAGTGAAATGAAAACTGACATTGAGATTAATTATCAAGACCTCTTATCAGATCAGTGATTAGCATGAGTTAATCAGCAGCAAGGCCTGATGACCTTTGTTCTCTTTGGGGGCATGTTGACTTAGATTTGGGTTCTGGCTCATCAAACATTTACCATTTACCAGAACAATGGCCATATATGTTCAAAGTTCATAGTGTTGCCTGCGCTCGAATTGAACATGCAAGTAGATGAGCTTTATCCTACTTCCCATTCACAATTGCCAGGGTTTACTTCTAAAGATCTTCCACTTCAGGAAGGGCAGCAGAAAACGTACACTGGGTTCTTCACAGGCAACACTGGAGCACAGATTGCACTGTCTTCCTTTTCTTGGTTAAACAAGACCTCTGTTGACACTTGAATTAAGCATGATTTTCTCCAGTTGAAAATGTGAGATTCAGACAATTTAGCAGTAGACTGGTGCTGTGTTTGCCTAGTACCCTGTGACGTGTTCACTATGAAAGGCCAGCACACAGCACCTGAAATTCATAAGAACTCCAGAAGTGAGCTTGGTTGGACTTCTCATTTGTGGGATTGTCTGACCACTAAATGGTTGATGAGAGGCCTTAGTGGATGAGAGTATTGATACACTGAAATACACAAAATGCACATTTCCTTTTTTTTCAATATAAAATACCAATATACGGTCAGTGTATTTAAGAGGCTGGTAATATGAGTCTTTGTTAGTGTTTCTCTGTGTTTTATTTCCCTTTGCTTTCCTGAAACAACTAACTCTAATGAAACCTGACATCTTAGTGCTACAATATGTTGACCCTCCTTCTTATTGTGCATTGAAAATGTGTTAAATCATCTGTCTTAAAGTGTTTAGGGTGTCCTAGGTTTCTCAAAGGTGATCATGGCCCCAAGATTATTTGTTTTCTTATTGAAACATAGAGCAACCAGATATGAATGAAGGTGAGCACGATTGGACTCGATACCCAATAGCCAATTTTTGTAATAGACATTGTGATGCATGTCCCAGATCTTGTCTTCACAACATTCAGAACTAATTTGTTTCCCAGCTGGAGTTGACTGCTGATGGATCATGATTGAATTCCCTCTGAGGATGGCTCTCTGAAGAAGATAACTGCCTTGCCCAAGGTCATACCCCAAGGGGAGCCTGCATCCAAGAAAACATCAGTAGGGAAGAATAAAGACGTAGCCATCTTGGCAGAGCTGGGGACAATTCTGAAGGGCCTTCCTGTCCCACAGCTCTCTTTGAGATCAGCTGATGCCTTTGTTGCAATGCTTGCTGTTCAGCATTTTCTTCTGTTCCTGCTCCTCTCATTCCTTCAAAGATATCCCAGGAGCTCTCCAATAAACTTAGTGCATGCACATCTCCACCTTGGAGTCTGGTTCCTGAACAACAGAAGCCAAGTCAATGTTAAAATAGTTAGAAGATGATCAGGCTGTTTCTGAAGCCGTCTGTCAGAAGTATGGAATATAATTCTAAATGAGAAGGACAACTTTAACAGACCATGGTACAAGTTTCTCCAGCTTCCTATTGTAACGACAGCTAGATGGACAACTTTCTATAAACATCTCTTAAAGACCATGAAAGTTGGAAAGAAGGTGAGAGGAACTAAGATGCTATCAGGATTTCGTGAACTTGCTGAGATCCAAGTTCTATCGTTTGGCAGCAACATTTGCTTTGGATAGTTGATTGCAGCAGGACGGTGACCCAGGGCAATGTTTCTCAGACAAGGGACACTCGCTAAAAATTCGGAATCCCAGACCCTCCTTAGGGGTCAGAATCTGCAGGGCAGGGTCTGGTGATCTGTACTTAGCAGTCATTCCAGGACGTTCTTATAAATAGGGAAGACTGGGAAAATTAAACTATGACAAAAAGTCCATCCAATGCAGCTATTGAGAGAAACTATTTTTATAGAAATGAAAACAACAACAAAATCTCTGCATAGAGCCATCTTTTGTTATGAGCTGCCTTAGTCACAGTCTCGGAGGCCCAAACAACTACTTCTCCCATGTTGGTTACCAAGAAAACCACACTAATGAAAACAGTCAACAAATTAGATGTTCAGTCTTTCAAAGCACCATTTGTTCATGATGGAAATTAAAGCACCCTGGTGATAGAGCAATAGAATCCCTTTGGATTCTGGAAAGGCAGATTACTTTGTGCCTTCCCTTTGTGTCCAGGATTTGGGATAGATAATGATAAAGTAACTCGAGTCTTGGAATCTGAAGATAGGCATGGCAAGGTCATCTTCTCAGTGTTTCCTGAGGATCCTGTATTTCTTCCAGATGACCGGTGTTCTTTCTTACTTTGTTCCCTGTATTACAAAAGGCATAGTCAAATACTGGTTGATGTACTACACACATAGCCACATGCTAAGCTAATTCAGTGCTACAGAACATTATGGTATTTTTATTTGCAACCTATCAGGATAAATTATTTAGATGTTATTTCAATAGTGTTAGGTCAGAAATATCTTTTCTCCTATTCCTTTAAACTATAACAATTTTTTTAATATAACAAGTTGCTTTTCGTTAAAAGCATGAAAATAGTCATTCATGTAATTCCTGTTGGGTTTGCTAGGAAGTTAGCAATTTTAGACTCAATAATTAGATTTAGCTACTCCACGTTTCATGAGAATATTGGGACTATCAGCATTTCACCACTTTTAAATAGTGATAACCAAGAAGTCGGCAGAAAATAAGCTTTATTACATCTATGGTAATGAGGCTTGCTGTTCAGAGTCTCTAATAATTCCTTTGGGTATCCCAAGGAGTCAGAGCCAACGAAGGCAAAAGTATGTCTTTTTGACAGTCTAAAGACTTTGCAGATATTGATTTCCTATCCTTTTGACACTCGTATGGGGTTGATGTTTCCTTCATAAATGTACTTGGTTTCCCTCAGGGTCACTCAGTGGGTTTCTCTGACAAATTTACAGTTCTGGATAGATTTGTGATCACATGATAAAGTCTTTGACAAGTTTCTTTCCCCCCCTCACCCATGACTTGAAACCATTCTTTGCTAATTAAAAAGTTTCAGTCCGCTTACAAAGGCTTTATGACCAATTAAGGAAATCTCTACTGAAAAACATTTCAGAAGGTATGCTACTTAGTTTGCACAGGAAAAACGTACACCGCTCACGTTGTTGCTCAGAACTTCAGATATATATAATGGACAATTTCACTAAGTATTTGAATATTTGGGCCACTTCAAATAAACGTGTTTTTCCCCTTTGTAAGAGGATGTCTTTATCTTTTATTTATTTTTATTATTTATTTATTTTGTAGAGAAAGGTTCTCACCCTGTCGCCCAGGCTAGAGAGGAGTGGCACCATCATAGCTCACTGCAGCCTCAACCCCAGGGGCTCAAGCGATCCTCTCACCTCAGCCTCCTAAGTAACTGGAACTACAGACATGCGCCCACCACACCCAGTTAATTTTTAAATGTTTTGTAGAGATAGGATCTTAGTATTTTGCCCAGGTTGGTCTCAGACTCCTGGGCTCAAGCTATTCTCTCATCTTGGCCTCTCAAAGTATTGGGATAATAGGCAAGAGCCACCCCGACTGGTTTGTTTTTATACCTGGGTAAAAATACTTGTTTCACTATAGACTACAGCAACACACAGACATACCTAAATACAGACATACATAAAACCAATGCACATATATCAGCATGAACAATCAGATGGCTGAATCAAATTTTGCAGTGTATTTCAACCAATACTTACTATCAGCAGATCTTTGGCAGTGGAAAAGAGGGAGACATCATGTGACATGATGCCTTCAACATTTCATAACTTCTGCTTGAGAAACCAATACTTAGTATTTTAGTTTTAGGGATTCTAACATGGCATCACAATAACTGGTTGAAATGCAACGTTTATTTCCATTTTGCACTACCAAAACCAAGCAACAACAACAACTAAAACAAAATGTTTAGGTTATTTCCCCCTTTTGGATGAATTTTAATGACCTTGTGACTTTATTAAAAGTAGCAGAGATGAGGAAGGTAAAGTTGAAAGAAGTTCCAACTTCTGGAATTTGATTTGGTGACCAATGGGACAGAGTGGAACAAAACTTTCATGACGGCAAGACCTTATTTGTGCTAAATGGTGGGAATACAATAATACACAAAACAATATAAGCATTTAATATTTATTCAATAAAGAACTAATGGAAAATTTAAAAATGAGTTAGATTGGTTTATCTGAAGTTCCTAGATTGGGATTTTGAATGGGTCATGATTTTCCAAATCTATGCTGTCTAATATGGTAGCCGCTAGCCATATGTGGCTACTGAATTTAAACTAATTTGAATTAAAGTTTATTTATTAACCAGGCACATTTCAAATGTTCAATAGTCACAGTCACTAGTGACTATCCTACTGGATAGTATAGAGATAGAACATTTGCACTATTGCAGAATATTCTGTTGGACAGCGCTACTCTAAACAGATATGAAAATATTAAATAGAAGAGCAGGAATGGGAACAGCTGCCCTCTATTACAGTTTCACATTTCCAACTGCTTTCATACACGTCGTACTGACTCTGCAGACTTTACATATTTTAAATCCAAACTCAACCAAAATCTCCTCCAAATCCCTAATTTTATAATTAGCACTACCATTCTACCAGAAACCAAGGCTCAAAACATACGTGCAGTCTTTGTTTATTTTTGTAAAGTTAGATTAAAACCCTGTAGATACTTTCCCTACACTATCTGTTAGATGGATTCTTTCTTTCCCACTTCTGCTGTTTGAATGACTTGCATACTTTGGAACATACTTGATATTTGTAATAAGAGATGACCTTTTGACATAAGAGCAAGTACTCTGATTCCAGTGGGGAAAAAGATATGCAAAAAAGACAAATTTGTAATCAACCCATCCTTGTTTGATTTAGCTTGTAAATAATACTTTACATAGCTTTCCATCCATCTTTTGTACAACTTTATTGAGGAAATAAACTACATGTATTTAATTTGTACATTTTATTTAGTTCGGACACCTGTGAAACCATCAACAATCAAAATAATCAATGTTTCTATTACTCCCAAACTTGTGCTTTTTTATACTCAATTCCAATGCAACCACCTATTTACCCACTCATCCCTATCCCCCACTCTCTTTCAGAGAAAGAGACTTTACATTTAAAACATGTAAAGTCACTATAGATTAATTTGCATTTGGTAAAGTTTATACAAATGTTCATATAAAGGGGGAAAATGACACTACTTTATCTTTTTTGGACATGTGCCATTGTTCTAATGTAGTTTAGATAATATGATCAATACCTTGCAATTTGGTTAAAAAAAAATATGGATAGAGGCTGGGCATGGTGGCTCACGCCTGTGATTCCAGCACTTTGGGAGGCCTAGGCAGGCGGATCACCTGAGGTCAGGAGTTCGAGACCAGCCTGGCCAACATGGTGAAACCCCTTCTCTACTAAAAATTCAAAAATCAGCTGGGCGTGGTGGTCGGTGCCTGTGATTCCAGCTACTCAGAAGGCTGAGGCAGGAGAATTGCTTGAAACAGAGAGGTGGAGGTTGCAGTGAGCTGAGATCGTACCACTTCACTCCAGTCTGGGCAACAGAGCGAGACTCCGCCTCAAAAAAAAAAAAGTATGGATAGATGTAATTATTCAATGCCCCAACTATAGGATTTGCATAACACTGGAGATATATTAAAATATATTTTCCCCCAAATGATAAAATTTCTACATGCTGGGAGATGTTTTTGTATCAAGTCTGTAAGTTCAAGAAAAGTCACAAAAATAATAAGGCGTATTGAAGAATATGAAAACCAATAAGATAAATCCTTTCGCATTTTTAGTATGCTAAGAATTGACAGAGATGTCCAATAGTTAAGCCAATTCATGTATATTATCCTTTGCATTACTATGCTTAAATACTAATGAAAGCCAAATGTTTCCTTTAAAGATGACATAGAATCAAAAGTTTCAGGGACTTCCTCATTATTATTAACAAAAATACATGTTATGTTCAGATGGAAATTCCACAAAGTCAAGGGGAGCCAGGAGAACCTCAAAAAAGAGCTATCTTCTTTCCTGAGATATTCATTGGCATTTTGGCGTTTTGGGTGAACCAGAGTATTCAGTGAGAGAGCATCATTCACTTTTAATACATAGCTGATTAATAAAGGGTGCATATCTTGGCAATTTTAGGTATCTTTGAACCTTGCTCTTGATTGAGACCCTGGCATTATTTGAACAGTGGGGGACCGTTCACTAAAGGCACTCAGTTGTCTGAGCACCTTAGTTTCCTGCCAGAAAGCAAGAATAGCCTTTCTAAACTAGAGCCTTTGACGCCTGATGTTAAGCTCACTTGGGATCTCTCAGGTTTTAATTTTTGTAAGAATTGCAGAAAGAGCTTGTTTTAAAATTGCAGATTCCAGCCAGGCATGGTGGCTCATGCCTGTAAACCCCACATTTTGGGAGCCCGAGGTGGGCAGATCACTTGAACTCGGGAGTTTGAGACCAGCCTGGGCAAACCCTGTCTCAACAAAAAATATTTTAAAAAAAGTTTGCTGGGCATGGTGGCACATGTCTGTAGTCTCAGCTACTCAGGAGGCTGAGGTGGGAGGATTGCTTGAGCCCCAGGAGGTAGAGGCTGCAGTAAGCCATGATCACACCACTGCACTCCAGCCTGGGCAATAGAGACCCTTGTCGTGGTCAATGACTGTCTGAGGCTGGCACAAGGATAGTAAAGGAATTTGCCAAGACAATAGTGAGTTTAGAAAAGCAGATTTATTTAGAGGAAAGGGAGAGAGACATTGCAAGGAAGCAACGGGCAAGACAGCGGAAAGAAGGCTGTCTGCCAAGAGGCAGGGGCTGGAGGAGAATTTTAGAAGATCGTGCTGCTTAGGCTGAATGCTTGCAGACAGAATGCTTGCGTGCATGTGAGCCATTTGCAGTTGACCCCATTTCTTGGAACATTTGTTCCCCTCTATCCCTGTTTCTGTCCCTGCCAGCTAAGTCCATTTTTCAGTTTTCTTTTAACTCCTTAGGACTCCACAACCCTGTCTCAAAAAAAAAAAAAAAATACAGATTCCAGGGTTCAAGCCCTACACATTCTGTTTCTATAGGCCTGTAAAGGAACCATGGAATCTATATATTTAGTAAGTACCATATATAAATATGAAAAATGTGCTCTGTGTTTCAAAGATCACACTTGGGAAAGAAAATGGGACTAGCTTAGAATGGAATGATCCCAGAATGTATGTTGGGTGAAAGCTCCTTGAGGAAGGCCTGTGTGTGTGTGTGTGTGTGTGTGTGTGTGTGTGTGTGTATTTGTGTGCTCAAACATGTTTTTTTGTTTGAGAGTTGATATGGGTAGGAAAAGGTGGTGGACAAGGATCTCCAGATATATAGCAAGATGTAGCAACATATATAGCAAGATGTAGAGCTATTTCTCTGGCGCTCTGTTGGAACTTTGTTTGTCTCTGAATATTTTCTTGGATAGGGAAAAAGAGAAGGCTTACATAATACTCATTCTCCAAACCCAGTACTCAAATGGGAAAGTTAGATTTACTTAATAGAAAGAGAGAGATTTACAAAAGCCGGAGGAAATATACGAAATATGTGAGTGAGGGCAATTTTGAAATTGGAGACTCCGGATATTTCCTTAAAATAAAGAAGAGACCCTTCTATCTAGAATGGTTTGGATTAAGGATCCCTGGTACTATGGAGAAGGGAGGGAGGAATTCAGATATCTTCAGAGATCCTTTCAGCTTTTTCTCCATAATTCTGCAGGAATTATTAGTCTTTGCGGCAGTTAGCCATTAGCTGATTTTTTTTCCTGCATATTCACCCCAATACTGTTTTCACCATGAAAGCCGCTTTTCTCACTGCTAAATGTGTTTAGAAGCTGTTTGGTTTTCACTTCCTCAAGGCGATTTTTAGAACCTTTTTATTCCTTGATTAGAATTCAGTGATGTATAAAAGCTTAGTTATTTGAAATTCTGGTATACCAACTCAAAAAATTACAAGAAAGGATAGTGTGTATGTGTGTGTGTGTGTTTGTGTCTGTGTGTTTTCACATAGACTTTAATAGAGTTGATCATTCTAATTACTTCAACGATATGGACTATTATTTAGTTCTCTTATTTTTTTTAACTTTGTTTTCTATGTGACTATTTTGGTAAAATTATGTCACTTGTTTATGTGGTAGCCTTTGGTTCTTAAATGGCAAATTCTAATAACTAAAAGATTAAACAATTACTTATGATTAATTTCATATTTCCACAATACCTTATTATATTTTGTGCACAAAGCTTTTCAGGGTGGGAGAAAAACTACAGAATGTCTGGTTTTTCTAGATACTTTTACTTTTTTTTGGTTTGTAATACAGAATATCATAGTGTTTAACAGCTCGGTCTTTAGAGTATGACACACTTGTTTATAAATCTCAACCCTGACAAACATGCTTATGAAAAGAAACCATGCCATTTACTAGCTAAATGACCTTGGCAACAATTTAAACTGTCTGTACCTTGATTATCTCACCTCCAAAATGGAGAAAATAATAATACATTCTTCCTGGGGTTGTTAGGAGGATTGGATGCATTGTAACAAAGAATACTGTCCATAGTAAACATGGTAAAAGTAAAGTGTAGACTGTTATTAATATTATTAGTAGCTGTATCACCTAGCATTTTTTTTCAGGACAATCATTAACCATTGTCACATGAAGTTTAATAAAAAAATACATCTTTGCAGTTATAATAATTTTATGTGATTATAGTAATTTATTCAGAGCTGTGATAATTCTTTAACTTTGTGACAAAGTTTTTGTGTATATTTGTCATTCTATTTACTTAGGGAGCATATGAAAAATAATTCCTGTTGATGCACAATCTGGAATGTATGAGGTAAAGTCGCCTGTATGAGAAGCAGCTCTATCACAAATCTAGGCCTTAAATTTAAAACTCTGGCCTTTGACTCATTAGTATTTAAGATGGAACCAATGATCTCTTCATTTTACAATGTCTATATTTGCAATACAGAATCAGAGGAAGTAAGTCTCAAGGAAAAATATTGATTCCCCTTTAGCAAACCTGTTGAAATACACTGTTGTAGGCCTTGTTATTTTTTTAAGTGTCTGGATTTTCTTTATGAATTCATTAAAACATATTTTAGCAGCTCCGGTGGCCCAATATCTCATTCCAACATAAACTTACCACTGGAAGGCACATACCATTTGGCTCACCTTTTCATTTCATGGCTAAATAATAATGACAAATTACAGGTGCTAAAGTGAAGTTAGATGCCTTAGCTTAAGAAGTGATTCGATGCTCCTGGTATTAATCTTCTGTCCAGAGCTTCTTTATATATATGGCATCTCTCTTCTGATTGGCAATTAATGTCTTATATGCTGGAATTCCATTTCAGCAACCTGAAAATGATATTACCTTTCATAATTGGTAATAACTTTGGCTCATCATTATATCTTAGTTTTAACTTCACTATAAGATATATATATGTATATATACATATATACATACATATATATACACATACATATATATATAGAGAGAGAGAGAGAGAGAGTTTGGTTTCAAGTGATGTACATTGTGGAGCGGGCTCAATTCTCATTAAGAGAGGATGTCTTTCGTAATTTGTATTTATCTAGATATCTTGATTCTCCCTAAAGTGAATTTTCCAGCATCTCATAGTCCGTCATTCAAAGTATGTGAAAAATAGCTGTATGAAACATTCCTGCAGTTTTCATAGAAATTTCTTATATTACCCTTATATATTATGACTCTGATAAAGACACTTATTAAGTTCATATAGCTTTATTGTAGGTTATCTTTGGGAGTTCTGTGTTTGTGATCATGTCATCAGTGAAGAGTGTGTTGTCGCTTTTTTTCCAGTCTGTATGCTATTTTTTCCTGTCTTATTGCATTGGGCAGGAATTGGAATACAATGTTGAACAGAGGTCGTTAAAATGGACATATTTGCATTGTTTCTGATTTTAGATAAAAAGCTGTGAGTCTTTTACCAGTAAGTTTGATATCAACTAAAGATTTTCTGTAGGTGCCCTCATAAAATTGAGAAATATACTATTTATTCCTAATGTACTATAAGTGTTTATCACAAATGAATGTTTAATTTTGTCAAATTTATTTTCTGTATCTACTGAGTTGGTCATAGGTTTTTTTTTTTCCTTTTATTTTACTAACGTGGTGAAGCATATCAACTGATTTTTGAAAATTAAACCAATTTTACATTGTTGGGATAATAATACCTTTTGATGGTGGTACATCATCAAGTTTAAATATTTCTTAATTTAATTTGCTAAAATTTTATTTGGAACTTTTGTTTCTACATTCATGAGTAATATTGATCTACAAATCTTTCTTGCAATGTCTTTTATGGTTTTGCTATCAGTGCAAAATCTGCAAAAAGTGTTGAAGAATGTTGCTTTCTCATTTTTATCCTAAAAAAAATGTGCATAGGATTACTTTATTCCTAAATGCAGCGAGAAACAATAACAGTTCTATCCTTGATAGAATTCACCCCAAAGACATTATGGGACTTGAATCCTTTTTTGGGGAAGATATGTAATTACAGATTCAGTTTCTTTGACAGACAGAAGATTATTTACGCTGTCTGTTTCTTCTTTCATCAGTTTTGGCCAATTTGATTTTCAAAGTACCTGTCTGTTACATCTAAATATTCACATTCGTTAGTATGATTCTTTATTATACTTTTTATTATCTTTTAATATCTAAAGTATATGTAACACAGTGATGTTCCCTCTCTTAATCCTGATTTCGTTAATCTTTAGTGATCGGTTAAGGCATAAGTTTATCAATTTTATTCATGTTTAAAAATTACCTTGCTACGCTTTCATTGATTTTTCTTTCTGATTATTATTTCTGCAACTTATATTTTGTCCTCTTGTTTTTCTTATTCTTTTAAGATTCTTAAGGTGATGTGTGTATCATGGATTTTGGACCTTTCTTCTTTTATAATAGGTGCACTTAAAACTACATGTTTCATTCTAAGCATTTCTTTTGCTGTATCTCATGGATTTTTATGTTGTGTTTTCATGTTCACTTAATCAGAAATGTTTACTATAGCCAGTAATTTTTCTTCATCCATGAGTTACTTAGAAACATGTTCTTTAATTCCTAAATATTTGAATATTTTGCAGAAATATTTCTATTATTATTTCCTAATTTAATTACAGTTGTAGTTGGGAAATATGCTTTGTTTGATTTTAATCTTTGTTAATCTATTGAGACTTATTTTAGAGCCAATCATATGGTTTATCTTGGTGACTGGTTCGTGTGGACTTGTAGAGTTTGTACTCTGTGGGTTTGAAATTTATTTCTCTGTAGATATTAATGACATTTATTGATAATGTTGTAACCAACTGAATTTCCATCTATTTATCTTACCAATTAATGGGAACACTGAAATCTTTATAACTATAAACTTGTCTTTTTCCGCCTTTGTTCCATCAGTTTTGCTTCAGGTGTTTTCCTAGTTGAAAGTAAAACCACTAAAAACACTTTTACGTGTTTTGCAGTTCTTATAGAAGCTCTAATAGAACATCATCTACAGGTACCCACTGCTTCTAGAATTAGGAAAATGTCTTCCAAATTGGGTGTGTTTGTGAAGGAGTGGGTTCAGTATATGGGAGTAAACAAATCAGTGGAAGAGTCAGGCAAGAAGCAGTCATCCTGAAGGTTTAGCTCTACTTTGCAGAAACTACTAGCATAGAAGAAAGAATGAAGGTCTTAGGATGATGCTGTGTTATAGACAGGCAGGTCTTCAGTCAAGTGGACCAGGGGATCAGCAGAAGACTTTGACTGCAGGCCCAGACACTGGAGTGATTAAAGGAGGAATATTGGGGCAAAAGACTCATTCTGGATATTGGATCAGTACAATGAGAAAAAGCTGAGAAAAATAAATCACAGATGCCCAGTGCTATTCACTGATAACGCCAGATATCAGCTCAAACTGAGAACTGACTCCTGTGAGTAGCAGATGTGATATGATGAAAAGGGCACACATCTTTGAGGCAATCTTAAGTTCAAATTCTGCTTCTGTGATTGAATACGTCACACACATATCTTGTGCCTTGTGATCTTAGAAGATAAACTGCCTGTTTACTCATTTTGTAAGTTGAGACAATGTCTATTTCAGAGGGTTGTTGGATATAAGATGTAATAAAATTTAATATATAGAATAAACAGTCTAATACATAGTAGGTTTTCTATAAATGTTAGATTTCTTCCTTCCTTCATAAAGCCAGATTGAGGATGTGAATATAGAGAAGGAGATGATATGGCTCTGAGACACTTATGCTGCATTGAGATAAAGAGTTAATAACTGTGCTATTTTTCTCTCAAGAACCTCTAATGCCCAAGAGCTAGAGGTCTTGTCTAAAACATTTCTCTCTGCTGAAGAAATGAACTCTCACTGCAGGGAGAGGGTAATGTCATTTTCAGGTGAATGCCACCTACTGTGCATGACTGCTTTCTGCCCCATTTGTGACTTTTATTGAGGAGCACATAAAAGTGCTCCTCACTTTTATGACAGTGAGGACATACTAACAGTTTTGCTGTATGTGTTCCTTTGCTTATGACATTGCTTTTTTGGGAGTGTGGTATATTCCTAGATGCTTAGAGTGACTTCACGGTTACTTTTTGTTTTCCTAATTCCTTACTTTTCCCATTTAGTAGAAATTCTTATTTACCTATGCAAAGCCATATAAACTCTGTTTATAACCATTGCTTACCATATATCCTGCATTATCTTATAAGGCTGTAATTATCAACCTCATGAATGCCATTGCGTGAATCCAGTACCCATGCTTTGGGTTTATTGCCTTGCAATTCTATATTCTTGGTCTCCTTATTCATCCTCCTTTGTGGCCCCCATTTCACAACCATCTGCTTTCTACCAATCAAGAATGACAGCACATTACTTGTAGCCCTGCTTCAACCACCTCCCCTGTCCCTGAACAACTGTGGTTAAATCGTCTTTATTTTATGATTTTACCGGCTGCCAAAGACTAAAGCAATCACAACTGATAAATCCTGAAGTGCTTCCATTAACCAATCAGGGGTTGTCACTGCTGTCAAGTCTGCCCTGAGAGAGGCCATTTTTGGTAGCTTAGTATTCTTGTGTATATGTCCACTGGGGATAGGTATGTTTAGCCAGTTAAAAGGGTTTTCAACTCTGCAGTTAGTTACAGAAACTAGTTCTAGGAGCTTAAAAAAATTCCATTCTGTGCCTTTCAAAATATAAGACAGGTTTGGTAATTTTCTTGTTGTTCCTTGGTTGTTCTAGAAGGTGATTACGCTTACACATCTTAAACAGAGTGAAGAAGAAACAAGATTTAAATTTTCACACTTGGAGATAATCAAGGAAACCGGGAGAGAATTTGTAGCAATCTGAAAGCAGCAAGAAACAATAACGATTGGCAGGGCAGCAATGAGTGACACATGTTGCTGAGTGATTCTCCACCACTCAATGGCACCAAGTTTGACATTTAAATTGCAGGCAGCCCTGGGTCCATTCCAGGAGCTGGCTGTGGTTGAGTGCAGTTCTGATCACTTGCTTGAGGGGTGCAGTGGGGGTAAAGAGAGAGGAAAAAAAAGAAAAATCAAATTGTTCTCGGAAATCATGTTTAATGTAGAAATCTGGTTAATATTAAAATGCAATCTGCAGTTTTCAAGTATTCTATTCCTCAAGGAAAATATTTCCTGTTCAAGGGGCAGGGGCAGTAAGCTCTCCCTTATTACATCACTTCCTATGTCAGGCCAAACTAGCATTCAAAATGTATTACCGTATTGATAATGCTAATTTCAAAATGATGCCTTTTTCCCCCCCTTTGGTTAAAGGGTCTGGGCAAAATTCCAATCATATGGATCAATTTAGCCTTAGATGGCGCTGCCCAAACTGCTATTTCATGCACTATATAGAATATAGTTCTTCCACATGCTCAGGAATAGTAGTCCATGTCTCCTTTCTACCCATAGCATAACATTATGTTTCCAAAAGTTTCCCAAGAGAGCACCTACCTCATGGGTTTTAGAAAAGGGAATGTCATATCTTTGGGAGGGAGGGATACCACATCATTCTCTACACACAGGCAGCCTCCAATTTTTGAATTACTAGGGAGTTAGGAATTGATTTCTGGAACTCAACTTTGTGCCATGTTCAAATCAACCTGGTATTTTCCCTGTGGGCTTGGCTGGCTTTCACTGCAACTGCTCTCATCACCAGGAGGACATGCGGGTATAACCACTGGTATTTACCCCTCTTTTATCCATTTTTTTTTCTGCAATGCCTTAAAACACTAAAGCTGATGAGTTATTGGAATGAAGTCTTTTCAAATATCTGTCACCCACATAGTTAATCAGCATTCTTACCTTTTTATATTTAAAAAAAGAAAGAAATTTTAAAAAGCCACTAACAAAAGATCAATGTGAAAGCACCCAATGTTCCAGACCAGAAGAAGGCAGTTTTATTTTTCTTGAGACTCTCTATTCTTTTGGAGTCTCTGCTGGGTAGAGCTGATCATACTGACAGTGGGGCAAGAAGTGCTTGATAGATGCCAAGAGAGAAAGCTTACCTCCATTAAGGTACTACTAATTTATCCTTTTTTGTTTTTGAGAATTTCCCCCAAATAGAAAATCTTCTACTTATGTTTACTGCATTTTCCCATTAATACAAAGATACAAAACAAACATTTTTTGATGCTAATAATATGTTTAGAGTCTACGCTTTGCAATAATGGTGGCTGCCACTCAAATGTAATTTAATAATGAGGTTTTATTCAAACCTGTTTTCTTTAATTTTAAATCCTTCATAATGCCCAAAATTTATAATGCAATTTTAGTGGAATTACACTGAATAACTTGAAATTATAGAATTAGTTACATGCAGTTTCATTTACAGTTGCCCATTGATTCAAGCCTGCTAGCTGATACCAGAGGTAGTTGGTTGCACAATGCCACAGGAGGAATATATTTAGGTTTACTGGGCTATGTTTTTTTCTATGCTAGCCAATTAGGGAAAATTAAGCTATTTAGCTAAACAGTCTTATACTGGTCATTGAGGGCCAACTTGTGCTTATTTGACCTAATGACTACTTTCTTGTCTCAATGTTATGGGCTCCTTACAGTATTGTGGTAGATTAATTGGTATAATAGCTACCCCAATATCTCAGTAGCTTAACACAATAAAGCCTTATTTCTGAATTACGTAACAATCCCATGAAGGTCTGAAGAGGTTCTCTGTTCCACAGAGTAATTCAGGGATCCAGGAACCTTTATCTAGTAGCTCCATTTTTTTTTTTAAGATTGCAACTGAATCCTCTGTAGTGACTGAAAAAAAAAAGGAGAGATCGAATATGGCAAAGGCATACTTGTTCCAAGTTGTTGTTTCCTGAAAGTGACACATGCTACTTCTACTTACATTCTGTTGCTGAGCAGTGTTCATACAGAAACAATCAGATGTAAGAGAAGGGGTGGAATGTATCCTAGAAGCATAGGTATGCTGGTAAAAGTTTGACAGTTGGGTTTCCAGAGGGGAAAAAAAAAATCTCTGATCCATGGGATTTGCCATTTTCCACAGCGTAAATAACTCCCGCCATGGCCAGGTTCAAGCTTGTGATGATGTCTTGGAAAAGTAAGACTATTAAATTAGGACACCAGTGAGAAATCTCTTGAAAAAAGACCAGATAAAAATGGGGTATTGCTAAATGTGGATGGAATTGGGAAGGGATGTACACAGTCTGCTCTCACAAGCGAGCATGGTGCTGACTGAGCACATCACTGCCTAGGAATATGCTGAGTAAGAAGCAGTGAAGCTGAACATTGGTGAGCATGGCCGTTTCCATGCCACTTACTCAGTGGAAGACATTGTGTAAGATGGGGTGAGATGGACACAAGTATGAGCCTATGCTGATTGCATTTAAGGAGCTCACTGTACTTGGGAGGATTAGCATAATTATAAAAATAGCTAATATCTAATGCATGGTCACTGTTTTCCAGGCACCCTCTCAAGAGATCTATAACTTAACAACTCTATAATGTAGGTATTCTTTTTATTCTTATATTATAATCTAATGGAGACCCCGAGAGACTTAGTAGTTTGCTCGAGCTAAAGCATAATTGATTCTGATTAGGAACTATAGTAAGCCTTGTGTAGAAAGAGGTATAAGAGCAAGTCTGTGAAGAAGATTTTAATTGGAGAGTGAAAGAGAGAGGGTGTATGACTGTGTTTGGGTGGTTGGTGGGGGTGAAATTATAAGCTAAGGGAGCAGGACAGTGAATGTAAGTGAAGTGTGAAAATCTATGAGTAACAAAGCTACTCATGTTCTTTGATAACATAACCTTGCTTCTGGGAGGAATTTATCTTGAAAAAATAATTTTAACAAGACCTAAAATCATTTTATTTATATACATGAGATATTATAATATTTAAAAGTATCAGATCAGCGGAAAGAAAGCACAGGACCAACAAGAAAAATATTTTTAAAAATTCTAGACTCTCTGAATGCTGGTGATAATTATGATGATGATGAAGATGATGATGATCATTGCTATGGGCCACATCTAAGCAGAAAAGAACAAGCATGCTTTTCACCACATTGACTGGTTTACCTGACTCTTTGTTGAATTGTACTAAGTTAACAAGATAATATTATCTGCCTATTTGGAAATATGAAATATTTGTGATAATTGCAAAATCAGAATATTAAATAGCAGGTGAATTGTGCACACACATTCAAAAGGAGAGGAGGACAGCATCATGCTAAAAAGGGAAATAGCAGATTTTGAGATATGGGATTATATTTAATATTTTTCTAAACTCTTAATATTAGATATGGGGCATATATTCAATTAGAAAGGTTGATTATGTAGTGTTAGATTTGCAGACTCAATCAATGTGATTGGAATAATGGGTGAAAGGAGATTAGATAGAGTGAATAATTATGTAGTACAGTGGAAAAAGCCCTGAGTTTTGCTAACTAAGCAGATTTTAGTTCACACTACAAAGGGTGAAAAGCTATCACTCATTTCTTTGAAGAGGTGCATAATATAGTATGAACCCTAGAAACAGTGTGATGATGTCTTGGAAGAGCAAGACTATTAAGCAATCAGTGAGAAATCTCTTAAACACCAGATAAAAAAAGAAGATATAGTTTAGAGTAGCATTGGTAGGGCTTAAAGGAGAGAGAATGGGTAAATTCTAGAAATGGACAACACTTGGAAGACTTGACTGATTTGGGCAGATGACAAGGTCAGGAGTTCGAGACCATCCTAGCTAACATGGTGAAACCCCATCTCTACTAAAAGTACAAAAATTAGCTGGGCATGGTGGCAGGCGCCTGTAGTCTCAGCTTCTTGGGAGGCTGAGGCAGGAGAATTGCTTGAACCCAGGAGATGGAGGTTGCAGTGAGCCGAGACTGTGTCACTGCACTCCAGCCTGGGCAACAGGGTGAGATTTCTTCTCAAAGCAACAACAACAACAACAACAAAACAGATTTGAAGGTATAGAGGATACAAAGAAGTTGCAGGAAACTGATTAGTTAAATTTTAGGGCATATTGAGTCAATATGTCAGCAGGCTCTGTGTTTAGAAACATGCTGTGGAACTGGACACTTAGATCCAAACTGTAGAGAAACACCACAGTGGGATGAAGATTTGGGGATCATCAGATGAGAGCCGAGATGATAAACATTGAGAGAGAAAGTGGTGGGCCAGGCAGACGCCTGGAGAGCAGAAAGGAGAGCAGAGGCCTAAGAGGGGGTATTCAGCAGGGATTGAAGGAAAGGGGTTAAGACAGGAGGCAGAAGGTGCAGATGTGACAACAACGGTTTTAATTTTCTTAAATATAGAGGAGACCTTAATATATTGTGGGTTAAGGAAAAGAAGCCAGAGAGATAGGAAAATTGAACATATAAAAAGACAAAGAATGATTCGCTTGTCAAGGTCTATGTCAGAGGAGGCTAAAAGGACGGGAATCAAGGATTATGGAAAAAGGCTGAGTGCAGTGGCTCATGCCTGTAATCCCAGCACTCTGGGAGGCCAAGGCAGATGTATTACCTGAGGTGAGGAGTTTGAGAACAGCCTGGCCAACATGGTGAAACCCCGTCTCCACAAAAAAAAAAAAAAAAAAAAAAAAAAAAAAAAAAAAAAAATTAGCTGGGAGTGGTGGCACGTGCCTGTGATACCAGCTACTTGGGAGGCTGAGGCAGGAGAATCGCTTGAATCCGGGAGATGGAGGTTGCGGTGAGCCGAGATCGTGCCAGTGTACTCTAGCCTGGGTGACAGAGGAAGACTCTATCTAAAAAAATAAATAAATAATTAAAAAAAAGAATTGTGGGAAAAATTCAAATTGTAGAGGAGTGGGATCCATATTTGTTTTAAGACAGGAGAAAATGAGGAAAACATGGGAGAGACATTTGGGAGAGGTATAAAGGGGAATTGAGAGATATTTGTTATTTTCTCTGTCTTGTAAGGGGAGGCAGATTAGAGATTTCAAATAGCTGGTATCTGCCAAGGGGCTGGAGACAACACTAGAAGAATAAAGCTATTAGAAAGAAAATGCCCAGAAACATTTTTACATGATGATTTTATACAGAGGCAATGCTGTTGGAAGAGAAGAATACAATAGGGGAAAATAAAGGAAAGAGGTGACGAAGGTGAAAACAACAGAACAAGCAGAGGCAAAGAAAAGGAAGAGATATCTATTGAGAGAAGTGGTAGAGAACCATCAGCACCAATTTCCAGTTTTTTTCTGCCCATGTTCCAACTTTTGATTATATGTTGCTCTTTATCCCTTAATCCAGAATCTGCCTCATCCTTTTAAGACACTATCGTGTTAAGATGCATGGGTAGTGAATACACACAACTTTAACACACATTTACCTAGTTTGTATAGCAACTTGTTATTAACCTACCCTAACAGAGCCTGGGAATACTGAAAGTATGTCAGGCTATTCTAAATCTATTGAGATAATAACTGGCATCAATTTTATCTCTCCTCAACAAAGCTTTCTTAAAAGCTAGACAATAGTCTAGAGCAGGATTTAGCAAATTATGATCTGTGTGCCAAATTCAACTTGCTGCTTGTTATAAATAAAATTTTATCAGAACACAATCATGCTTCTTATTTTTATAAATAAAGTTTTGTCAGAACATAACCATGCTCATGCATTTACATATCTATGGCTACTTTTGTAGTTGAGCGACCACAACAATACCGCATCATCTGTAAATAGTATCATATGGTCTGTAAAGCCTAAAATATTTTTAAGCTGTCCTATACAGAAAAAGATTACTGAATCCTGTGGAATAAGCTGTGCATCAGTAACAAAGCAACTACTTACATACTCATGGAATTTCCCCAGTGGGACATTCATTTTCAAATGATGATAGAAATTTTTACATCTGTGTTCTGAGCAATTGCAAAGAAAATATCATACGTTGAAAGGCAATATCAACCTAATTCCAAACCATCAGGCTTTGATGGTAAAAGCCAAAAAAGAAACTCTATTTGAAGACTCAAGGCTTACCATCTCCATAGTACTGACAACTATGTGGTTTTCCAGATGGTTTTCATGTCCTTAGACAGCATCCTTTCTCCCTCGTAAAACAACCTGATGAAAGGGTTTTTGGTAGCATGTACCTTTCCAGTGCTGCTAGAGAGAAGATGATAGGATACAAGGTGTTCTTGGTCGGTTCCCAAATTCTCAAGAAGTTTCCATGTGGGTAGATGTGCACTGTTGATTTTTAAATTATACCTTAGCAGAAAGAATGTCAAATAACTGAATTATGGCAACCTCTTGGAAAAGAGGTTGCTAGCTGCCTCATCTCATTAAATGCTGAGAGACAGAGAGAGAGAAAGAGACAGAGAGAAAGGAAAAAATAAAATTCTTTCTCAGAATATTAGGCACTTCATGGTTTATTTTTTTATTTTTTTGAGACGGAGTCTCGCTCTTTCGCCCAGGCTGGAGTGCAGTGGCGCGATCTCTGCTCACTGCCAGCTCTGCTTCCCGGGTTCACGCCATTCTCCTGCCTCAGCCTCCCGAGTAGCTGGGACTACAGGCACCTGCCACCACGCCCGGCTAATTTTTTGTATTTTTTTTTTTAGTAGAGACGGGGTTTCACCATGTTAGCCAAGATGGTCTCGATCTCCTGACCTCGTGATCTGCCGGCCTCGGCCTCCCAAAGTGCTGGGATTACAGGCGTGAGCCACCACACCCAGGCTTCATGGTTTTAATGAAGAACCTGATCTCTGTTTGAGGCTTAAAAAAAAAACTGGGGGAGACAGTTTTCACCTTGTATTCCTTTGGAATTACACACAGACAAACTTTGCCTGACTTAGACATGTCTAGCCCAAAGGCAGAAGATGATTATTATGTTCTAATACTTGAATTATTGTCTCCGTGTATCAAAATCATGTAACTAATTAGCAGCTGAAGCAAGAGTCAGTGGATGACATCCCAGTTTTAGGCAAAATAGTGAGAAATGTCTGCATCACAGAATCACAATCATTATATTTTTCTGCTGTAACTGATTCTCTTTATACTCTAACTTCAAAATCAATTACTAAAAAAAACTTGTTATTTGTTAAAATAATAAAAAAAATGACCATCATTAGTGACCATCTACCAAACTGGGTCACAATATTTTCTTATTTAACTTCCGTATTTACAGTCAAGCAGGATGAGCTTTGCAATGAAAAGGACCCAGCAGAATTTGCAATGGGGGTTATGATAACAAAGATGGGGCAAATATTTTAGATATATCCCGAGCTGTTTTGAATGAATTCAAACTTTGGAGCCCGGCTGATTTACTTCCCGCAGTATATTGACAGCACTGGCAAGTAAACACATTAAACAGATGTCTGGTATCTGTGAATAAGCATGGAGAATAAGAAGGATGTCTGAAGTCTGAATATGGGTAAAGGTTCTAAAGCTCAATGTGGATTCTTCAAGCTATAGAAATGCTTGCCTTCAAAAGAAAGCCTCTAGGACTAGGTGTAAACAAAATGACTTTTAAGCTCCCAGAAGCATTAAGGAATGGTAACAACCAGCATGGCTTCGCTAAGAATGAGCAATGTCACACCAAACACATTTTCTTTTTGGCAACTTCCTAGACATTTGTAACAGGACAATATAACACACTTAAATGTAATGGCTCTTTATCATGACATTTAATATAATGACATGTAACACAGATGATGTTCCAGTTAAAATGTACTGAAGTTACATGTATCCATATTCATGCAGATACCCAATTAAAATACAAAGTATAAATTATTAGGTAGCTTTGTATTTCAGTCAAATACTGTGTGCATTGAGAATTCAGCTCATAGCTTTTCTTTTCCTCTTCATTCTTTCACATGTGTAAATGTGTATGTTCCTTGCCTTTCTGTACTTTACATAAATGGCAGCTTTTATAAAGCTTTCTGCTAATGGAAAGTCAGGAAAAGCTTTGTAAGTTTCTTGACTTCTAATATTGAATAAGGAGCTCAGGACTGGAGCTTAGAACCTTTTTCTTATGGAAACAAACAATAGGGGAAGTTGAAAATGTGATTATACTTTATATTTTATCAATTAATAAAATTTGTATTATTTCATTTACAACTTCTAAATCTACCATCAAGAAGGATGAGAAAATGGAAGGATTTAGAGTGAAAAATCTTAATAACCTTCACAAGATTCTAAGTTTAAGATGCGTATTTATGTTGCGTGTACATGGCAATGCTACCTCTGTATGATATAACTCATGGGCTGCTTATACTAATACTAGACAATATCCACTTTAGATTTTAATGCAATTTAAGACATTAACAATAGTGTTATAGCATAACAGTCTGAGGTTGTAGGATGGACTATAAAGTGAACTTTACCTAATATTATCTAAACACAGAAGGTTTCATTTTCTGATGGAGAGATTATAGGACTACACAACAACATAACTATTTTCTAAAATTATTTTACCATCTATAAACTTGCACAATATTTGTTTGTCATGACTTGTCTTTTCTACACAGCGAGGATGACAATAGTTCTATTTTGTATAGATTTAGTTAACATAAAAAATTAGCTAAAGAAATCTGCTGCAAGAAAGAAAGGCATTGTAGGAAAAAAAAACCCACATTTGTTAAATTACTAGGATATATCATGAAATCTAAGCAACTTTATAATCAGTCTAGAATGTACTTATATTCTTTCTGTTATTACTGCACGTGCATTAATTTTATTCAGCATAAAACAAATGGGGGAAGACAACTAGATTTTCTTTCCAGATGGTATGAAAACAGCAAGGTCAGACTCGAAGAAAGGCTGTCCCTTTTTACAGAGAACTTAAAGTTTATCACCTCTCATTTAGGTCATAAAACTTGTTTTTCATATTTTTTCCCTGGATTCTTTGGCTTATGATCCACGGGGAGCAAAATGTATGGATCCTAGAAACTGATCAGCCCTTTCTCATCTCCTAAGCATTGATGGCTTGCCTCTTCCCTTCCTTTTCTCCTAGATTTTTATTGATTTCCTTCTTTTTGGTTTCAGATTAACATGGCAATATGCTGGAATACCAAAATTTACTGGCAGAAGTGGAGAGCAAGCAGCTCATTTTTCAAAGACTTTACAGTCTGTTCTCTGCCTTCACTGACTCCAAGAGTTAGTTCTCATACGACTTCTCAATATTTTCATAATTAGCTGCCCAGAATTTTCATAATTGGTAAACACAGTAAAATGGCTGTGAGACACTTAGTATGGTAAAAGTGGAGCGGGAAGAAAGACCACCAGCTTCCTTAAACCATTTACATTTGACTTGGGGAGAAAGCTGGGCCTGTGCCCATAGCAGTTAAATGATCAGGCGCACGACTCAAAGTGATTTTTCTTGAGGTGTCAGTGCCACACACAACCACCATGTGTTCTTTCTTGGCTCAGGCTGGCGTCGCTGATCTTCCAGAACTCTGAAGGCTGTACCCCAGCCCCAGTTTTACATCCACTTTTCTCTGCCAAGGTGAAGGCGGCAAAAACCACACGTGTTTTTCTTTCTCCCCTCTCTCGGCAGAGCTGATTGCCTCCCGATGAAGCATCTTCCACATCAGCGAGCGTTGGTATTTCACCTGGCACAATGGCCAGGATGGATATGGCACACAGGGGAGGGCACAATGGAAAACAAGTCTTCGCCGTAACTCAAGTTGACGCTGCCAGACGGCAGTACCTTCCCATATTCTGAGGCCAAGCTGCCAGCTGACGCACTGAAATTTTGAGCAAGAAAATGTTGGGGAAAGCTAAGAGCAAGAGTAAAGAAAAATGGAAAAAAAAAATTATGGAGGGTCAAAAGTATGCTTTTAACTAAATAAGAAAAATAGCAAGATAGGAGAAATCTGCAGATAGGCAGAATATAAGATTTATTGATGGTTTTTCAAAATGTAGTTTCAATTTGTTCCACACAAACATATACACCTGCAGGTTAATTTAAATTAGTTATGGTTTCCAACACATTTACTGTTTTGTATTCAGTTTTATTTCTTACATCCTGCTTCTTTTCTCTGAATTATTTTGCTGAAGAGCACAGTTTAGTGACTTTAAAAAATATCTTTGGGGGTATTTATGTTTGAACATGTCTTCATTTTTGCCTCCATTCTTCACGACATAATAGTTCTTTTGTTAGGCATATGTCTTTGCATTTTTAATATTTTTTCTTCATTCTTCCAATCTTATTGTTTAGTATGATATATCTGGCTGAGGTATGTATGTGTTCTCTTCTTAAGCTACTGTACACATTTAGTCTGAGAATCTGAGGGTTTGTACATTTATTTTTCTAATGCTTTCTATTGTTGCTGTAAAACTATCTTCTCTGCTATTCTGTCTCTTTGCTTCTAGGACTTCTCATTTCATTCTCCACGTTGTTTAACTTCTTTCATATTTTTAATAGTCTCTTTATGCTCTAGATATTACTTCCTAGTTCACTAATTATTTTTTAGACTTGATCAAGACTAAACTTTATCCTATGTATTGTTTGCTTTTGTTTCACCATATTTCTTTTTATGATTTTGAATTTTTCTGTTTTATATATGTGTATTTTTATTAATATCTGCCTGCTTTTACTTCAAAAAAATCTCTTTTTTATGAATGTTTTTCACTACTTTCTATGGCTACGGATTCTAAATATAATTTAAAGTAACTTCAGCCTACTCTATTATTTGCCTTCTAGTACAGTGTGAATTCTCTTGATCATGGTTTGTTGATTATCTTTCTTAGTATGCTTTGAAATTTTAGATTGCAGACATAGTTTAGTCAGTGGATGTTTTGTTTCTGTCTCTGGATCTCTTTTTAGCCAGTAGTTCTGAGAATGACTCCTCCTGCCCACTCAGGGTGGCTCTATTATGTGATATGGGGCTAATGCTGATAGTCGCTGACTCAGCAGATGATTTGACCCAGGTCCTTGTCTATTTCTGTGCTTGTCTCTGCTCCTGCTCATGTCCCCAGGTAGTTTTCTATGAGCTGCAGTCCCAGGAAACAATCCAGCCCTTTTCCTTGGATGGCAGTACCATAGAAGCCGCTGGCTTTGCATGTTATATCTGGCATCAGTTTTCCACCTGATAAGAGACTGATTATGTCTCTATTAAGCTGTCAGTTAAGTCCTGTGTTGAAATCAAACTTCAACACAATAGTGTTATTTTTATTGCTGGAGCTCAGCGGTACTAGCTATTTATCCTCTACTTTCTGTAATGTGTTTCTGTTCTATTTCACGTTCATGGAAGTGTTCATCTAGAGAGTAAACAACCCTGTGCTGTTTTGTTTTCCTTTAATATTATTACCAATGACTGCTACATGTTTGAAACAGTGCTAGGAAACATGGTCTCTGTGTCATGAGGACTGGAAGTCAGAGCCCATCTTTTTTTTTTTTTTTTTTTTGTCATTGTCGTAAACATCTGCCTTGGATTGAGCAATGAAGTCATCCCCCTCCTGGTGTAGTTTCAGTTATGTAGTGGTATCAGAAACCAAACTATGACCTTCTTCTTTGACTTTTGCACAGTGATACTGCTCTTTGTCTACAACATTTTGATTATATCTCAACTGTAGCACTTGCGCAACTGTAATATAAGTTTCTGTGTCTTTGGTGGTTTTCTCCATTCGCCTTGGCAATTTGGGGCCAGAAGTGTATATCCCTAGAATCTGGCAGGGCAATCTTGATGAAGTCAACAAACAAATTAATAAATGGATGAAGAATTAATAAATCAAGGGATAGGAGAGTGAAGGAGTTAGATCCTTATCTCATTTTCCTCACTGTTCTTTCTCTATTTTTTTCTTTATCTCTGTGTCACCCTTTCCATGATCTGGAGTATTCTAGAGCCTTCTCATTATTCCTCTATGTTTATTTGCTAAAAACGAGACTAGAATTGGTCATCTGTGCATATTTTTCTCAATTTATTTGATATTTGACTTTTCAATTCCCATTCTATATCTTAAATTCTGGGTCTACTTCACTTAAATAATATTGTGCCACTGCATCACATTCATCAAGTTTAACAATATTTTCCTCTGAAAGCAGCTCTTGCACTTGGCTTCTGAATATCTGCCAAGGGTACTATTCTTCTCTCAGCCATGCTCAAAGTATCAGAGCCATCTCAGACACTGAGTCGTATTACATTGTCCTTTCTAATGCTTTTCAAAATTACCTATTAAACTAAAAAAACTAAACAATGCTGCTGCTGATAATAATAATAGTCAACAATACATTAACACCAATAATAGCTAAACTTCTGTCAAATGGACCTGTCAAACTTCTTCCATCAAACTTCTTCCTATGGATCAGGTGATACTTTAAGTGCTTTTTGCTTTTTAAAACTCATTTAATCCTCAAAACAGGAGGTGTCATTACTGATAGTACTATTAAGATTCTCATTTTGTAGATGAGTGAAATATGAAGCACAGTAGAACCATAGCTGAGTCTTGATTATAATGATATCATCCATACAGGAATCCTGGACTTGTTAGGTCAATGATTTGCAGTGGAAACCCTTTAGGTGTAAGGTACCTGTCCATTTCTGGGCTGGAAAAGATAAATCAACAATTTTTTTCAGTTTTGTTTTCAAATTTATGAAATAGTCAACATTCTCCAAAAGAATGAGATCTGGTATATGTTTGTGTGGGTGGAGAAGTTTTGAGGTTTGTCTACATCTTAGAAATTACATCCAGTTTTGTTGACAATATTAGGGTCACCCAGGCTTTCTTTAAATTTTGTCCCATTATGATTTCATGCTAAAACAATGGGTCATTAGGCCAGAGAGCTGAGAGATGGAACTTGTTTTGGCCTCCAATGTAGGCATTTTGCTGAGTCAAGGTAAAGGTCTATCAACAAATTAGGTGTTCCTTTTCTTAACACAATCTTTAATTCCCCCTACAGAGAAGGACCCCAAAGTCCTCTTCCATAAAGGATAATGCCTAGAATAGCTTGAAAGATGGATGCTTCTCTACATCACCAACATGTTAGTAGTCCCCCAGAATTTACAAAACAAAACTGGGAAGTCAAATGTCCAACAATGATAGACTGGATTGAGAAAATGTGGCACATATACACCATGGAATACTATGCAGCCATAAAAAATGATGAGTTCATGTCCTTTGTAGGGACATGGATGAAATTGGAAATCATCATTCTCAGTAAACTATCACAAGAACAAAAAACCAAACACCGCATCTTCTCACTCGTAGGTTGGATTGAACAATGAGAACACATGGACACAGGAAGGGGAACATCACACTCTGCAGACTGTTGTGGGGTGGAGGGAAGGGGGAGGGATGGCTTTAGGAGATATACCTAATGCTAAACGACGAGTTAATGGGTGCAGCACACCAGCATGGCACATGTATACATATGTAACCTGCACATTGTGCACATGTACCCTAAAACTTAAAGTATAATAATGATAAAATTAAAAAAAAAAAGTTGTCCAGAAGATTTCTGAGAGAGTAAGACATAGCATATCAAGCATAGAATTCAGGCCTGGTGTGATGGCTCATGCCTGTAATCCCAGCACTTTGGGAGACCAAGGCAGGAGGATAACTGGAGGCCAAGTGTTTGAGACCAGCCTCAGTGACATAGTGAGATGATGCTACCTTTAAAGAAAAAAAAAAAATTTGCCAGGCATGGTGGTGCATGCCTGTATTCACAGCTACTCAGGAGGATGAGGAAGGAGAATCCCTTAATCCCTTGAGCCCGGGAGTTTGAGGCTGGAGTAAGCTGGGATCACGCCACTCCACTCTAGCCTAGGTGATAAAGCGAGACCTTGGCTCGCTCGCTCGCTCGCTCTCAAAAAAAAAAAAAAAAAAAAAAAGGAAGGAAGAAAGTATATGGAGGTGAGCGTTGTTCCTTAGAGGATGATATCTGAATGGCAGGACAAAACAAGACACTATCAACCCCTCCCCAGCCAGAAGATGGATGGTTAATACCTGGGTCTTTTTGAGGTGAGAAAGATTATTCATCTTGTTGTCTTCTAAATTCAGTGTCTTCTGTCTATATATTATATAGTCTGGCTTTGTGTCCCCACCCAAATCTCACCTTGAATTGTAATTGTAATTGGATTATGGGGGCAGTTTCCCCCATACTTTTCTCGTGATGGTGAGTGAGTGTCACAAGATCTGATGGTTTTAAAAATGGAAGTTTTTCCTGGGCTAGCATTCACTCTCTTTCCTGCTGCCTTGTGAAGAAGGTGACTGTTTCCCCTTCAGCCATGATTGTAAGTTTCCAGAGGCCTCCCCAGCCATGCAGAACTGTGAGCCAATTAATCCCCTTTCCTTTATAATTACCCAGTCTGAGGTAGTATCCTTTTTTTTTTCTTTTTTCTTTCTTTCTTTTTTTTTTTTTTTTTTTTTTTTAGACAGAGTCTTACTTTGTTGCCCAGGCTGGAGTGCAGTGGCGCAATCTCAGCTCACCTCAACCTCTGCCTCCCGGTTCAACTGATTCTTGTGCCTCAGCTTCCCCAAAGTTAGCCTCAGCCTCCCAAAAAATTAGCCTCAGCCTCCCAAAAATTAGCCAAGAATGGTGGTGCATGCCTGTAACGATTACACCACCATGCCTGGCTAATTTAATCCTTACAGGCATGCACCACCATGTCTGGCTAATTTTTATATTTTTAGTCTACTCACCATGTTGGCCAGGCTGGTCTCAACCTCCTGGCCTCATGTGATCCACCCACCTCGGCCTCCCAAAAATGCTGAGATTACAGGTGTGAGCCACTGCACGCGGCCTCTCAGGTAGTATTCTTTATAGCAGCGTGAGAATGGACTAATACAATACATAATGGACTAATGTAATATATATTCACTCTGTGTTCCAATATCCATTGACCTATAGAGACCCTAGTCTCTCTGTGTGCAGTTGAGAAAGTCACTCCTCTGAGCCATGTCATAAAGGAAGCTTAGGACCCGTAGGAGACACTACAGCTCTTGATAAAACCTGGACACTGAGAAATTAGAATCCAGAGGAGCAATCCGGGAAACGAGCCTCTAATCAATTGACAAAGATTTTCAGCCGGACAAAACTGGCAATAGCTCAGCTCCATCCCTCATAGCCAAGGTGATCTAAAGAAGGTGCTGGTGTCCTTAACAACTTGTCATCCTTAACAGATTCTTACCCATGGCCTAGGTCAAACTTCAGCATGCATCAGCATTATCTACCCGGAGGGCTTGTGAAAACAGATTGCTGGGTCTCATTTTCTGTTTCTGATTCGGTAGATCTGCAGTGGGCTGACAACTTTTATTTCTAACAAATTTCCAAATGCTGCAGATATTGCTGATCTGAAGGTCCCGCTTTGAACACTTGATCTAGGCTACAAATAAGTGTACTTGCATTGTAGGAACTCAAGAAATCTACAACTTCTACCCTATGTGCTTTATCTCTCTTCTTTTTTTCCCCCTCAGATAACTTTGTTTTTTAAATGATGTTGTCTTATATCTTAAATTTTCCTTCCTTCCTGGTCCGTTGTTGTTATTTTTTATTTTTTATTTTAGAATGAGACAGGGTTTTACTCTGTTGCCCAGGCTGGAGTGCAGTGGCATGATCATGGCTCACTGCAACCTCCACCTCCTGGGTTTGAGGGATTCTCCTATCTCAGCCTCTCAAGTAGTTGGGACCACAGGCACATGCCACCACATCTGGCTAATTTTTTGTATTTTTGGTAGATATGGGGTTTCGCCATATTGTCCAGGTTGGCCTTGAACTCCTGGCCTCAAGTGATCCACCTGCCTCAGACGTTCAAAGTGCTAGGATTATAGGCATGAGCCACTGTGCCTGACGCTGGGCTGTTGTTTTTAATGCAAGTTTAGTTACCTGATCTTAATATTATCCTCCACATCCAAGCCATAGTGTTTTTAAAATGCAAATTTGATCATTTCCCTAATTAAAACCTTTCAAGCATGTCCCATGTGCTTAGAGTATATTATAAGGGAAGCCTTCTGCCCATCTCTTCAGCTTTCTACTTTGCTTTATCAGCTAGAATGCTCTCATTTACAAGTAATAAAAGTAACTAAATGCATAACACAGCGTCCCAACACTCAGTGTGGCTTAAAACAATTTATTATTTAACATTGATTATTGCTTATGAGTCCATGGGTCGTCTGGGCAAATCTTCTGGTCTTGGCTGGACTCACATATATGTCTGTGGTCAGCTGTTGGTTGGGTCGGCAGCTCTGCTGATTTTGGCTTGGCTGTCTCTCGTGTTTGGGTGTCGGCTAACTGTAGACGAGTCTAGGATGGCCTCAGCTGAGACAGCTCGGCTCTCTTCCATGCGGTCTTTCATTATCTACAGGCTGGCCCGGGCTGGTAGTCATGACAGTGGCAGGATTCCAATAGAACAGAGACACTCAAGGTCTCTTGTGGTCTAGGCTCAGAACCAGCACACCATTAGTTTTGTCACGTTCTATTGGATAAAGCAATTTTTGTAGTTAGAGTGGGCAGATCCTACAAAGCTGCAAGGCAAAGAGCTTGGATCCAGAAACATCATTAATTGGGACCATCAATGCAATCAACCTGCCATAGTAAACAATATAAAATTTGCTTAAACCCTACATGGATTAATTATCTCACATGCTAGGAAGCCAAGATGAAGTGTGGACTACAGAGTTGTTTGACTAAATGACTCAACAATGTCATCAAGAACGTAGACACTTTCCAAGTTTCCTCTCAGCTATTCCGCTATTGGCTCAACCTTGCACTGGCTCATTTCAAGGTCTCAAATGGCTATCAGCAATAATTGAAAAAATACACTTCAGTGTTCATATTTGGTAAACTGTTTTATCCAAGAGCTTAGAGAAAGCCTCTTCTGTGTTGCATTGGTTCAAATTGGCTTATGCCTCCCTATTTCCAAACCAATCACTTGCTTTGAAATGCAAGTTAGAGACTTCCATACCAAACGTGGCTTAAACAACTGGAGGCCATTCATATCTCATATACAAAGATTAGAGTTGTGACAGTTCCGGGATAGGTTCATCAGGTTAATAATGGCATAAGAAAATCAAACTCTTTCCATTTTTTTTTTTTTTGTTATCCTTAGGGTTGACATTCTCCCCACCTCATGCTGCAACTCTAAGTATCATGTCCTTACTCAACACCCAAATTCTGGAAGAAGGAATGTGGAGAAGAGAGTTAGTCTCATGCTTTCTCTAATTCTACCTCAAAGGTCCCAGAGCAGATTTCTCCTTAGGTCTAATTGGTTGCATTCCTACTCCTGGCCTCAAGGGAAGCTGGAAAAATGAGCATCTGTATCTGCTTTCTCTCTCGTGGGAGGCAAACTATTTCAGCATGAATGAAAAAACTAAAAATGGCTATTGTGTGTGCCAAACTTTTTGTCACACAAATTTCAACACACCAAAATGCTATCTCTTTAAATAAAGGTCTACACAACACTAATTACTTGGTGTTCATTTATTGAATTCCTAGGCAACTGAGGGTGTGGACATTTCTTATGCTATTATCAGAGAACAAAGGTATTTCTGAAAAGCAGAAAGAAATAGATATATTCAGGTATTACTGGTAGATTAGGACATCAATTTTCTTTGGAAAAAGTTTTCAGGTTAACCTTCTTATTCATTGTCTGTGACTGAGTCACAGATAAATGAGGCTAAAACACTGATCCTCTGTGAAGTTAAGTGTCCAGTGTGAAGTTAGCCTGAGTTACCATGCTCTTGCAGGTAACCCTTTCATGCATAGAACTTGTGTGTAGAAACAACTAATACTCTGTTATATGTGCATCGCACACCAGCCACTCCTGTTTCAGTTTGGTAGGATGTGTCCTGTATCTTTGTTCTATCTTTTCATCTGTCATTCATCACATATCATTGCATTGATTGATGTACAACCCTCTTCTCAGGCTGCCTGTCACTTAGTAAGAATCATAATAAATTCTAAGTTCTACAAATGAGTTGTTGAATGAATGTGTTGTTATCCTTTCCAAGTTTTCCATTGCATCTAAGCAGGCTTGTACTAAACTCGAGAACCAGATGGTTAAAGGAAGAGTTTAGGGGCACAGAAGTCATCAGATCATTGTCATATAAGAAATATGAAAAATGATACAATAGAGTTTTGGGCACAGACTTTCTCATGTTGCAAAGATTTCCAATTACATAGTGGTTTTAGCCACAGATAGATTCATCAATTGCTAAACAGAACTCTCACTTTCTTCTTGTTGGTGCCTTTAAAAAATGTCGCTAAGGGAAAACATTGAAAACTATTTGTCTAAGAGCATGTTACCAGACACTCTATCTTGCTTATTTTCCCCTAATGGAATATAAATGGTGGGTTATGAGTCACCCATCACCATTCACCATCTTAAGCTCAACTATCAAATGCTGGCTTGGAGGAATGAGAGGCATGTGGTGCAGAAAAAGAGGGTATGTCAGAGAAGCCTGGAAACAAAGGGTACCTGAAGGTCAGTCAATGCTTTTTCCTTGTTGTTTAAGCCAGAGCTTCCTCTTTGAGGGGGCTGTGATTTCAGCCTCTTCAGTTGGGAGCTTAGTTGAACAACAGGAATGATTAGTTCATTTCCCAGTCAGAGTTTATTGTTGCAGGAATGGTTTTAATATACACAGGGCTTTGGCTTTGGTTTTTGCTTTCAAACTCCAGCAAGTCTTGAGTTGTTTATTGAATTTATGTTGAGAAACAGAACACAGAGATGAAGCTAATAATTGGCAAGAGTCCCAGTCCTTGTGTCGTTATGGTCATTAATTAGGGTAAGGGTAATGCAGGGAAAGGTTGCTGATTTGAAGCACTTGTGTCCAGAGATTTTTTTGGAGAAGGAGTTATAATGAAGAGTTCAATTTGCTTTTTGTTCATAAACATAGAGATTGCATTAGAAAACAGAAATGATGCATACTTAATAGATTTTTTTTTTTTTTTTCGAGACAGTCTCACTCTTTCATCCAGGCTGGAGTACAGTGGCTTGATCTCGGCTCACTGCAAACTCCGCTTCCCAGGTTCAAGTGATTCTCCAGTCTCAGCCTCCTGAGTAGCTGGGATTACAGGCATGTGCCACCACATCCAGGTACATTTTTGTATTTTTAAAAGAGATGGGGTTCTGCCATGTTGGCCAGGCTGGTCTCAAACTTCTGACTTCAAGCAGTCCATCTGCTTTGGCCTGCCAAACTGCTGAGGTGATAGGCTTGAGCCACTGCACCCCGCCTGATATTTTGTTTCATTGGTAAATTTGCCAAATGAGAATAAACTGAGCTTTTTCTTCATTATTATTTTCAACCCCAAACCTCACTGTATTAATCAGTGGAATACTTAGGATAAGAGCATCTTCACTGAAAATTCACAGCAAAATAATTACTAGGCTGCATACTCCACTCATCTTCCTCTTCAGAAACCAGAGGCTGATGTCATAACAAAAGGCTGATGTCATATCTTCCATGGAGCACGGTTCTATTCTATTGGAGAAGGAACAGTTTCCCAGTGCCACCCAGTTCCTGGGTCCCAGTGTGCACTTCATTTTGCAGGCTTGCCTTGGGAATTACTTCCTTATTTATGTTAGCATTATTGGATCTTTCGTCTACATTTTAGATACCATTTTCTGATTTTTGTCATGAAATATGTATATATTTTATATATGCTTTATCTCATTGAGCATTTTTCAAATTTAATTTAATTTAAGTTCGGGGATACATGTGGAGGATGCGCAGATTTGTTACATAGGTAAAACATGTGCCATAGTGGTTTGCTGCACCTATAAACCCATCACCTAGGTATTAAGCCCAGCATGCATTAGCTATTTATCCTGGTGCTCTCCCTCCCTTCACTTGCGCGCAAGAAGCCCCAGTGTGTGTTATTCCCCTCCGTGTGTCTGTGTGTTCTCATTGTTCAGCTCCGACTTATAAGTGAGAATATGCAGTGTTTGATTTTCTGTTCTGGTGTTAGTTTGCTGAGGATAATGGCTTCCAGCTTCATCCATGTCCCTACAAAGGACATGATCTTGTTCCTGTTTATGGCTGCATAGTATTCCATGACATATATGTACCACATTTTCTTTATCCCATCTATCATTAATGGACATTTGGGTTGATTCCATGTCTTTGCTAGTGTGAATAGTGCTGCAATTAACATACAAGTGCATGTATCTTTAAAAGAGAATGATTTGTATTCCTTTGGGTATATACGCAGTAATGGGATTGCTGGGTCAAATGGTATTTCTGGCTCTAGGTCTTTAGGAATTGGCACATTGTCTTCCACAATGGTTGAACTAATTTACATTACCACCAACAGTGTAAAAGCATTTCTATTTCTCCACATCCTCGCCAGCATCTGTTGTTTCTTGACTTTTTAATAATCTCCTTTCTGACTGGTGTGAAATGGTATCTCATTGGGGTTTTGATTTGCATTTCTCTAATAATCAGTGACGTTGAGTTTTTTTCACATGTTTGTTGGCTGTATAAATGTCTTCTTTTGAGAAGTATCTGTTCATGTCCTTTGCCCACTTTTTAATGGGGCTATTTTTTTTTCTTGTAAATTTGTTTAAATTCCTTGTAGATTCTGGATATTAGACCTTTGTCAGATGGTTAGATTGCAAAAATTTTCTCCCGTTCTGTAGGTTGTCTGTTTATTCTGATGATAGTTTATTTTGCTGTGCAGAAGTTCTTTAGTTTAATTAGATCCCATTTGTCAATTTTTGCTTTTGTTGGAATTGCTTTTGGTGTTTTATTCATGAAGTCTTTGCCCATGCTTATGTCCTGAATGGTATTGCCTAGATTTTATTATAGGGTTTTGGTTGTTTTGTGTTTCACATATAAGTCTCTAATCTATCTCGAGTTAATTTTTGTATAAAGTGTAAGGAAGGAGCCCAGTTTCAGTTTTCTGCATATGGCTAGCCAGTTCTCCCAGTACCATTTATTAAATAGGGAATCCTTTCCCCATTACTTGTGTTTGTCAGGTTTGTCAAAGGTCAGATGGTTGTAGATGTGTGGTCTTATTTCTGAGGTCTCTATTCTGTTCCATTGGTCTATATGTTTGTTTTTGTACCAGTACCATGCTGTTTTGGTTACTGTAGACTTGTAGTATAGTTTGAAGTCAACTAGCATGATGCTTCCAGCTTTGTTCTTTTTGCTTAGGATGGTCTTGGATATAAGGGCTCTTTTTTGGTTGCATATGAATTTTAAAGTAGTTTTTTCTAATTATATGAAGACTGTCAATGGTCATTTAATGGGAATAGCATTGAATCTATAAATTATTTTGGACACTATGGCCATTTTCACAATATTGATTCTTCCTATCCATGAGCATGGAATGTTTTTCCATTTGTTTGTATTTTCTCTAATTTCCTAGAGCAGTGGTTTGTAGTTCTCCTTGAAGAGGTTCTTCACTTCCCTTGTTAGCTGTATTCCTAGGTGTTTTATTCTATTTATAGCAATTATGAATAAGAGTTCATTCATGATTTGGCTCTCTGCTTGTCTATTGTTGTTGTACAGGAATGCTTGTGATATTTGCACAATGACTTTGTATCCTGAGACTTTGCTGCAGTTGCTTATCAGCTTAAGAAGCTTTTGGGCTGAGACAATACGGTTTTCTAGATATAGGATCATGTCATCTGCAAACAGACAGTTTGACTTCCTCCCTTCCTATTCAAATACGCTTTCTTTCTTTCTCTTGTCTGATTGCCCTAGCCAGAACTTCCAATACTATGTTGAAGTGAAGTGGTGAGAGAGGGCATCCTTGTCTCGTGCTGATTTTCAAGGGGAATATTTCCAGCCTTTGTCCATTCAGTCTGATATTGGCTATGGGTTTGTCATAAATGGCTTTTATTATTTTGAGGTATTTTCCATTAATATCCAGTTTATTGAGTTTTTAACATGAAGGGATGTAGAATTTTATCAAAGGCCTTTTCTTTGTCTATTGAGATAATCATGTGGTTTTTGTCTTTAGTTCTGTTTATGTGATGAATTATATTTATTGATTTGTGGATGTCGAACCAGCCTTATATCCTGGGGATGAAGCCAACTTGATCATGGTGGGTAAGAGTTTTCATGTGCTGCTGGATTCAGTTTGCCAGTATTTTATTGCGAATTTTTTGCATTGATGTTCATCAGGAATATTGGCCTGAAGTTTTCTTTTTTGTTGTATCTCTGCCAGATTTTGCTATCATGATAATGCTGGCCTTATAAAATGAGTTAGAGATATGTCCCTCCTTTTCAATTGGATTAGTTCAGAAGAAATGATAACAGCTCCTCTTTGTATCTCTGGTAGAATTCTGCTGCAAATCTGTCTGGTTGTGGGCTTTTTTGGTTGACAGACTGCTACTTATTACGGCCTCCATTTCAGAACTTGTTAATGGTCTACTCAGGGATTCAGCTTCTTCCTGGTTTAGTCTTGGGAGGGTGTATGTGTCCAGGAATTTATCTATTTCTTCTAGATTTTCTAGTTTATGTGCATTGATGTGTTTATAGCATTCTCTGATGGTTGTCTGTATTTCTGTGGGGTCAGTGGTAATATCCCCTTTATCATTTTTTATTGTGTCTATTTGATTCTTCTATCTTTTCGTCATTAGTCTAGCTAGTGGTCTATTGATTTTATTAATTTTTCCAAAAAAACTCCTCCTGGATTCATTGATTTTTTGAAGTGTTTTTGTGTCTCTGTCTCCTTCAGTCCTGCTCTGATCTTGGTTATTTCTTGTCTTCTGCTAGCTTTGGGGTTTCTTTGCTCTTGGTTCTCTAGTTATTTTATTAATAGTTGTGACTTTAGTGTGTCAATTTAAGACCTTTCTAGTTTTTCTATGTGGGCATTTAGTGCTATAAATTTCCCTCTTAACACTACTCCAGCTGTGTCCCAGAGATTCTCGTATGCTGTCTCTTTGTTCTCATTGGTTTCAAATAACTTCTAGATTTTTGCCTTAATTTTATTATTTACCCAAGAGTCATTCAGAAGCAGATTGTTCAATTTCCATGTAGTTGTATGGTTTTGAGCAAGTTTCTTAATCTTGAGTTCAACTTTGATTGTGCTGTGGTCTGAGAGACTGTTATTGATTTCAGTTCTTTTGCATTTGCTGAGGAGTGTTTTACTTCCAATTATGTGATCACTTTTAGAGTAAGTGCCATATGACACCAAAAAGAGTGTATATTCTGTTTTTGGGTGAAGAGTTCTGTAAATACCTATCAGGTACACTTGATTCAGAGCTGAGTTCAAGTCCTGAATATCCTTGTTAATTTTCTGTCTCAATTATCTGTCTAATATTGACTATGGAGTATTAATGTCTCGTGCTATTATTGTATGGGAGTCTAAGTCTCTTTGTAGGTCTCTAAGAACTTGTTTTATGAACCTAGGAGCTCCTGTATTGGGTGCACATATATTTAGGATAGTTAGCTCCTCTTGTTGAATTGATCCCTTTACTGTTAAGTAATGCCCTTCTTTCTCTTGTTGATATTTGTTGGTTAAAGTCTGTTTTGTCAGAAACTAGGATTGCAACCCCTACTTTTTTCTGCTTTCCATTTGCCTGGTAAATTTTACTTCATCATTATATTTTGAGCCTACATGTGTCTTTGCACATGAGATGGGTCTCTTGAATACAGCACACTGATGGGTCTTGACTCTATCCAGTTTGCCATTCTGTGTCTTTTAATTGGGGGCATTTAGCCTATTTATATTTAAGGTTAGTATTGTTATGTGTGAATTTGATCCTGTCATCATGATGCTAGTTAGTTATTTCACAGGCTTGTTGACGTAGTAGCTTCATAGTGTCATTGGTCTTTGTACTTCAGTGTGTTTTTGTGGTGGCTGATGACAGTTTTTCCTTTTCATATTTAGAGCTTCCTTCAGGAGCTCTTGCAAGGCAGGCCTGGTGGTGACAAATTTCCTCAGCATTTGCTTGTCTGAGAAGGATTTTATTTCTCCTTTGCTTATGATGCTAGGTTTGGCCAGATATCAAATTCTAGGTTGGACATTGTTTTCTTTAAGAATATTAAATATTGGTCCCCAATCTCTTCTGGCTTATAGGGTTTGCACTGAGAGGTTTGCTTGTTAGTAGGATGGTCTTCCGTTAGTGGGTGACCTGGTCTTTCTCTCTGGCTGTCCTTAACATTTTTTTTCCTTCATTTTGACCTTGGAGAATCTAATGATTTTATGTCTTGGGGTTGATCTTCTCATGGAGTACCTTACTAGCATTCTCTGGATTTCCTGAATTTGAATGTTGGCCTCTCTTGTTGGGTTGGGGAAGTTCTCCTGGATGATATCTTGAGGTATGTCTTCTAACTTGGTTCCGTTCTCCATGTGTCTTTCAGGTACCTCAATCAGTTGTGGGTTTGATCTTTTTACATAATCCCATAGTTTTCAGAGGTTTTGTTTGTCCTTTTTATTCTTCTTTTCTATAATCTTATCTGCCTGTCTTATTTCAGCAAGATAGTCTTCAAGCTCTGAAATTCTCTCCTCTGCTTGATCTATTCAGTTATTGATACTCATGGTTGCATTGTGAAGTTCTTGTGTTTTTCAGCTGCATCAGGGCATTTCTATTCCTCTCTAAACTGTTTATTCTGGTTGACAGCTCCTGTAATGCTACACTATCATTAGACTAGAAACCCCAGTAATCTTGATTTTAGTTGATTAACTTTGAATGTCATGACTCATTCCAAAGAAATATTCTGCACAGATAAAACTAATGTAAAATTAAAAGAAGCATCAGTGAAGATCCAGATTCTTAGGTTCTTTGCATTAGGTTAGAACATGCTCTTTTAGCTCAGCAAAGTTTGTTATTACCCACCTTCAAAGCCCACTTTTGTCAATTCATCCGTCTCAGCCTCTGCCCAACTCTATGCCCTTGTTGGAGAAGTGTTGTGATCATTTGGAGGAGAAGAAGCATCTGGCTTTTTGAGTTTTCAGTGTTTTTTCATTGATTCTTTCTAATCTTCATGAGTTTATTTAGCTTTGATCTTTGAGGCTGCTGACCTTTGGATGGGGTTTTCGTGGGGTCTTTTTTGTTGATGCTGTTGAGATATATATTATATATATAATATATAATTATATAAATATATATAATTATATATTATATATTATATATTATATAATATATATAATTATATATTATATAATATATAATATATAATATATATAATTATATATTATATAATATATATTATATAATATATAATATATATTATATAATATATATTATATATAATATACATATTATATATTATATAATATACTTATTATATATTATATATAATATATATTATATATTATATATATTATATATAATATATATATAAATAAAATATATATAATATGTATATAATATATATTACTTGGCATAGATTAAAATCTTCAGGAAAATAAGCAATTACCTACCAGAAGTTAGAGTGACCAAACTGACTTCCTCTCATCCTCCCCTTGTCCCTTCTTCCCTTAATTGGAAGCCTATGGTTGAAATCTGAATCTTCATTGATGCTTCTTTTAATTTTACGTTAGTTTTATCTGTGTAGAATATTTCTTTGGAATGAGTCATGACATTCAAAGTTAGTCAACTAAAATCAAGATTACTGGGGTTTCTAGTCTAATGATAGTATAGCAAGATTGTCCTAGAGCTGGGTTTCTTTGGCAAACTTGATTGGACAATTAAATTATAGGGATGATGATATTATTATTAAGAAAATAATATTGTGTGTGTTGGGGGGGGTTGTTGATTTTCTGCCTGTACTTTTGTCTTGTTGCAGAAGACAGCTGTTCTGCTCCCCAAGGCAATCCTTCCTAACTTTTTCAGCAGATTCTTTCAACATTTATGTACATATCTCTAATTAATGTTTGATAATATCACTATTTAAAAAAACTTTGCTTTAAAAATTATTTCTTAAACTACTATTATAGAAGATGGAGAGTTGGCTATCTTTTCCTTACTCCTTGTCTACAGGAATCTTATCAACTCTTCTTTAGAAGGGAGTAATTTGGTAATTGTTATTACATCAACATTCATTTCTGTATGATATTATAACTATGAAAACCTTAGTCACAGCTGAGTCATATAGTATATTATAATCATTTTTCCTTTAAAAGTTTTTGTTGATGATAATTGCCTTATTCCTTTTTTGATTTCTTTGTACTGATTATTAATTCAAGCTGAATCTTTGCTTCAGCTCTGTCTGTTTCTCAGTAAGATTATAGATGTTCGATAATCTATCATTGTTGCCTTCTGACCTGGTCTTCTGAAACTTTCTAACATACTCTAGTCAAGGTGGATTGCTCTCTATATTAGCTGCACAGCTGCTGCCCTGGGATTTCTCTTAACCATCATCTTGATTTCCTTCATCTTTCCAAGCTGGTTTCCTATTTCCCAGAATTCATGTCTTATTTTTTCTGCATGGATGCTGTGATAGTAGGTATGGAGGAGTAAAGTTTTGACACCTTATACATCTAAAGATGTCTTGACTCTGCTTTCACGATGAATTGGGAATTTAGCAGGATGTATAATTTTTACTTTGGAAATACTTTTTTCTAACAATGTTGAAGATATTTCTCTACAGTATTTTGGTATCTACAGGTACTATTGAAAGAAAATATAATCATAGATTTCAGAACCTTATTATAAAATCCATTTTTCTACAAAATTATGGGATCTTAGTTGCAAGAGTAGACATTTTACAATGTTGTGTCTTGGAATAGATCCACTTTCATCCATTGTCCTGTGGACTCTCTGGACATTTTAAAACTATAAAACCTATCTTTTTTTTGGGGGGGGATGTTGTTTTGAAATTTTCATGTGATTATTTCCTTTCTATGATTCCTACTATTTTATTTGTTTTCTGTTTCTGATCTCCTCAACTTTATCCTTCACACTTTATATTGAATTTTTCAAAAATTTCTGCTCTTGTATTTTTAATTTCAAAAAGCATTTTTTTAATTCAACAAAGATACCTTTCCTCTAGCATTCACTTCTTCTTTGCATAAATACACTTCTTATCTCTTTGAAAATAATAAATTCTCTTCATTTAGTCACCTGTCTACTTGCTTAGTTTTTATTCACTTGCTTTTTTTTTTTTTTTTTTTACTTGCATATTTTGTCTCTGTTTTCAATACCACATTTTTTTCCCTTCCAATGTCTGGGACTTGTTTACTGTGATCTTCCTGTAAGTCATATCCTTGTGCAAGCCCAAATACAGTATTTTAAATCTTAATTCTTGGTGTAGTCAGGTTTCCTAGAAGAGAGACTTTCTATTTTCTATATGGATGGCGAACTCCTGGCTTCCACAGTTCTAGAATCTAAGTGGGTGAAAAATGTTGGGAAGTACCTCTTCATCAATGGGCCTTATTTCTCAGTGTGGAGTCCTTTATGCTTTGCTCTTTTTAGAACATAAATCTCTAGTCTTTTGCTGGGATGGGGGATGGAAGCTTGCTTGGCTGCACATACAGATGTCACTACCCCTCACCAAGGTGATCCTGCAGTGGGGTCAGGGGAGTTCTACTTTTGTCTTAGATTTTCAACTAATCTTTTTTCCCCACCTTTACTTTTAATACCAGAAGTAACTGATGCTGCCAACTTCTAAATTTTTGAAAACATTGTATGGTACATAAAATGCCGTTTTGACCTCTTGCTTTGTCATTTTAGGATTCAGCGCTCTCTGGTATGCCAAATCCATGACCAGTGACCACTCATTCACAATCATCTGCCTTCTAGCTTAAAAGTCTGAACTCTGATCTTTTCATCTGTTTTTTTTTTTTTTTTTTTTTTTCTGGTGTGTGTGTGTTTTGGTCATTAAAAAATTTCCTTTATTGTCATTTTATTGATTTGTTTCCAAGAAATAGTAGCACAAAATTGCAGAGTACTAATGTTAATATTTATAATTACCTCTAGCATTAGTTCAAGTCTTCTAGGAAGCAGTTGTCATGATAGAACTAGATGTGCAAGGGATATACTGGGGGAAATGCCTGTAAAGGATAAAGAGGAGAGAGAACAGGAATAGGAGGGAAGAACCTTCAGAAGTGATGCAGTTCTTATGCTTGTGGAAGGAGAGAGAAAAGGAAGGAGATTTGAGTAGGAAGAGCCTCAGGCTACAACATAGCTCTGAGAAAGGCTTGGCCAGCCAGGCTGATGGGCAGTCCCAACACAAAGGTTGTCCATTACAAATGTTGCACATTGGGCCGAAATAGTCTTGCTCTAGAACCTGTTCTATGCTTCGTCATTGACTAAGAGCAGCTCAGGGAAAGAAAGGTCTTGAGGTGAATGTTGTGGTAGATCCCAAAGATGTGGCAGATGGAGACTGTCCACAGACTCTCCTTATAGCAGAGTCTTCCTGGAAGTAATATCTGGTCATTTCATGCCCATGACCACCACATCTCTACTCTACAAAAGCATCAATTGAGTACCAACTTTATGTAGAAGAAGTATGAGTGACTGTATTAGTCAATTTGGCTGCTTTAATAAAATACCAGAGACTGAATGGCTTATACACAACAGAAATTTATTTCTTACTGTTCTGGAGGCTGGATGTCTGAGATGAGGGTTGTATGAACAGCATGGTTTGATTCTGGCAAGGGCTGTCTTCCAGGTTCCAGATTGTTGACTTCTGGTTGTATGCACTTGATGAAAAGAGAATGTGCTGACTTTCTGGCCTCTTCTTACAAGGGTATGAATTCCACTCTTATTACATAATTACCTCCCAAAGATCCTACCTTCAAATACCATCACATTGGGGATTAAATGCCAATTTATGAGTTTTGGAGGGATACAGACATTCAGTCTACAACAGTTATTATTTAATATCTTTGCATAAAAGCAAAGTGATTATCTTTTCATGAAAGAATATACAATGTAGATTAGGAGAATGACATGGAGCACTAGAATTTCTCGTGTAAGCTGTTATTGAACTCTCATTTAATTCCATAGTAAAATAGAACATCACTAGCCCATTGCAAAAATCCTGACATTAGTAACTCAAAAATACATTATGATTATGTTTCCTTGCTCCTTCTCCATTGCCAATATTATTTGCTACCTGAACTATCTGAAATAACCTGTCAACTGGTCTTTTTAATTCTTCTCCTCCTGATGACCATTCATTTACCATCTAACAGCCCCAAGTGTGAACTTTTAAAAGTAGAATCAAATCTTGTTGTTTCTTCTAAGCACACTCTGCTGCTTTCAAACTGCTCTTTACGTGGCCTGCAAACCCTCACATGATCTGGTAAGTTTCTCTACCACAATCCCAGCCCTTCTGCCTCCAGAGCTTTGTGTTGTGTTTCTTTGGTCTTTGCCTTTTCCTTGCTCTTCCCACTGCCATCTCCTTCTCATTCTCTATATTTCAAATACTGTACAAGTTGCATACATTCGATTTGGTCTGCTTGTAACCCAGGGCAAAACCAAGACCCTGAGTTTTATGATCAGCCCAGGAAGTTCCTATTACCAATACTCAGATGTCCATCAACAGCTGCCTAACCTGAATAGAGCTGGTGTTTGCTCTCTTGGAAAGGCTGAGAAAAAAGAGAAAAATTAAAGAAGCTCTTCTGTCTTAGGTTCTTTCTGTCAACAGCCTAGTCAAATATTTCCTTTGTAAATGCAGATTTTCATGCAAACTGGTAGAGTGCTAAATATGAGAAGACATTGACATTTGGAGGAATGCCTGAATAAAATGAATTGTTTACACACAGTGTGACTGTACGCTTAATTTTTTATTATAGCTAAGTATGTATCTAGACTGCTTTCAGACCGGTGACCCATAATATAGTTCCTTGGGTACAGCAGGTTCTCAATAAAGTATCTTGAATGGAACATGTAAACACCAGAAGCACAGGATTTCTACGTAGATAACTATATTTCAATTTTGTGGTACCTAGCCTGTCACAAGTTGTGAGTACAATTTATTTACATATCCTGTTTTAAAAGTTGAGTACTCATGAATATTTGAGGAATGCTGGCTTGGTGGAAAGTGAAGTGATAGACACGGAGAGTTTATTACTCCCTGCTTCACTCATTCTTTCCTGTTTTTAAATTAATGTTCTTACCTACAAAAATGGGGAGGGTGAGAAAAAAGTCCCAAAGAGAGGAAAACAAGGAAATTTCCAGTAAATCCGTTGCTCCTTTTCCTATATTCTTATTTCTTTGTCATTTTTAAAAGAGAACAAATAGGAAGATAATTTGTTCCCTATCTTGTATACCATTGATATGGTTTGGCTCTGTGTCCCCACCCAAATCTCATGTTGAAGTGTGATTCTGAGTGTTGAAGTTGAAGCCTGGTGGGAGGTGATTGGATTATGGGGGTGGTTTCTAATGGTTTAGCAGCATCTCCCTACTGCTGCTTCATGATAAAGTTCTCATGAGATCTGGTTGTTTAAAAGTGTGTAGCATTTTCCCCTTTGCTCTCTCTCTCTCTCCTACTCTGCCATGGTAAGATGTGCCCGCTTTTCCCTTCACCTTCTGCCATGATTGTAAGTTTCCTGAGGCCTCCCAGCCATGCTTCCTGTATAGCCTGTGGAATTGTGTGTCAATTAAACCTCTTTTCTTCATAAATTACCCAGGCTCAGGTAGTTCTTTATAGCATTGTGAAAACAGACTAATAGAATCATAGTGAGCAAAATATTAAGTAAATTATGTAATATTAATGCTGTGTTGATTATCTATACAAAGGATTGGCAAACTTCCTGTACGGGCCAAATAGTTAAAATTTTAGTCTTTGTAGAGTATATGGTTGTTGTTGCATCTTCTTCTCTGTCTCCACTTCCTTTTTTTTTCTTTTTTAAATAATGCTTTAATATGTAAAAACATTAGCTCATGGCTGGGCAGTGATCAGATTTGTCCTGCAGGTGACCCTTGATCTATACAATGATCCAACTCAATTTACAGAAGTCAAAATCAGAAAGAAGCTGTCATCTGAAATTTTTATAAACATAGTGCAAAATATTAAACTAAATTTATGAGAAACTTTATTATTTTAATTATATACAAGGAAAAATTAGAACATGCATTTGCACATGAACAGAAAAAATAAAACCAGAAATATACAGCAATTCAGATATAGAAGCATTTCCTATTTTCTTGTGCCTTCTCAGTGAATGTTATAGAAACTGCATTTTTAAATTTATGGTTAGAATTTCTCAATTTCCAGTTAGATTACAGGTGAGAGAAAAATATAAATGTTCCACATTATGATGGGAAACAAGGATGGGTTGTCCCCCACAGTATCTGGGGAGTGTGATTAATGGATTAACTTTCTGCTAGTCTGGGTACCATCAGGCTGTGCATACAGACAGCAAAGCACTAGTATTCACAAGGGTGTTGCCAATGGCATGATGATAGATCTGATCTCTAAAATAAAATAAAAAGTATTTGCTGCTGGGCATGGTGGTTCACACCTGTAATGCCAGTACTTTGGAAGGCCAAGGCAGGTGGATCACTTGGGCCCAGGAGTTCAAGACCAGTCTGGGCAGCATGGTGAAACCCCATCTCTACAAAAAAATACAAAAATTAGCCAGGTGTTGTGGTGTGTGCCTGTAATCCCAGCTACTTGGGAGGCTGAGGTGGGAGGATCACCTGAGCCTAGGAGGTCAAGACTGCAGTGAGCCATGATGGCACCACTGCACTCCAGCCTGAGTGACAGAGTGAGACCTTGTCTCAAAAAAAAAAAATAGTATTTGCTGATTTTTTCTGGTGTAAATACTCAAAATGTGGTCCATTTCAAGCTGTCAGTGGTTTAATAATCAGATAGCAAAATTCTTGAATATGTAATAATCAGCTGTAGGAGCTTGTTCTGAGATAATGCTGGCTTTCTGTCATCCACTTAAGAGAGAGTTTTCCAGATCTCAGATTACTTTCTTTGAAAGCTATTTATTATGATGTCAGATTGATTCATGTTCAGTATTTTTAAAGAAACAATAGGTAAAACTCTGAGCATCGTTACATTATAAAAAAATAGTATTCTGTTTCAATGGTAGACTACAACCCATTGGCTGAATCTGGCACATAGCCTGTTTTTGTACAGTCTATCAGCTAAGAGTATTTTTCACATTTTTAAAGGTTTGTAAAAGAAAGAAAAAGAGGAGGAAGGAGAATATTAAACAGCAACCATATGTGGCCAGCAAAGCCTAAACTATCTGGCCCCTTACAAAAAAATGTGTGTGATCCAGTTCTGCTTTATCATCACCAGAATTTAAAAATAAGATATATTTTAGTCTTCTATAAAAGGCATAGAGTATTAAGTAGAAATCCAAAGACAATATTATTTTCTGAAAACAAGAGGTAAGAGAGGTAGAAACATGAGTGTAATTAACAGTGATGGATGCTCATTTCTTCACTGTAGTAACCTCTTTACTATCTCTATGTATCCCATAACATCATGTGGCACACCTTAAATATACACAGTAGAATTTATTTTTAAGAAAGACATGTTAACAAAAATAGAGCAATATAAATACTCAAGTTAGATTGTGTGTTTTTTGCTTAAAGATACTTGGCATTTTAATCCCTAAGAATACAAATTTCAAATTCTTGCCAGTCTTTGGAATGGCAAAGGCATGGAGCAACTGCAAGTCTAATTCACAGTTGTTTCTTATCACATTAGCATACCCTTAGTATGTGACTCAACAAGTCTACTCCTAGCTACTTCACCAAGAGAAATGAAAACATATGAACACAAAATGACTTGTGTAAGAATTTTAACACAGCGTCATTTATGACAGCCCCAAACTGGAAACAACTCATATGTATGTGAGTATGGCAGTAAGGAAACAAATTGTGGTATATTTAATGGAATACTACTCAGCGGTAAAAAGGCCCACTTGCTATTACATGCAACAGTATAGATGAATTTCAAAAGCTTACAGTGAGCGAAGAAGCCAGATTGAAAAGATCGTACACTGTTTAATTCAATTTTCTGTAAGAAGACCGAATAGTAAGTATTTTCAGCTTTTCAGGCCATATTGTCTTTGTTTCAACCGCTTAACTCTGTCACTGCAGCTCAAAAACAGCCACAATCAATATATAAGGAAGGAGTGTGACTGTAACAATCAAACCTTATTTGTGAACACGGAGATTTTAATTTCATAAGCATTTTATCTATCATAAAATATTCTTCTTGAAAAATCATTTAAACATGTAAAAAATATTTTTATCTTTAGACCTTTACTAAAAAAACTTGTGGGTCATAATTTGCAAATGCTGTGTTGTAGATGACACTGTACTAACGTAAATGTCATAAAGCAGATAAATAGTTGCCTGACGCAAAGGACGGGGTGGGGTTGATTGCAAAGAGGCACAAGGGTAATCTTGGGGGGTGATAGAAATGTTTGCTATCTTGATTGTAGTGGTGGTTATATATGAGTATATATTTGTTGCAACTCACCAACTGTACATTTAAAATGGGACGTTTTGTTACACGTAAATTATTCCTCAATAAAATAATAAAGTTAATTTTTCACAAAAAAAGAAAAAGAATAAACTGCAAGTAGAAGTAGATGTATTTATTTCACTCTTATTCTCCCCCAAAACTTTCACTAGCTTGAATGCTATTTTACAAGACAGCAAGCCTATCTTAGGAGGTAACAGAGTTTCCTCTGTTTTGGTTTTTTTTTTTTTTTTTTTTTTTTTTTTTGCAACAGTTAGGAATGGGGAGACTTGAAGGAAAAGAAAAGAATTAACTGATTATTGAGCTCTTAACTAGTTAGTTGAATCTATGGTATCACGGTCCTATACCAGTATCATGGTTACTATACCAGTAAGATACACCACGTTTAGAATCTTTTAAAAATTAATTTGATTCAGAGCTGCTGATTTCATTATCATTAAGATATACTGTACAATCATGGAAATGTGCTGAAAAATAAAGGAAGCAAAAACAATTTTAAACATTATATTGACATAAATGATAAAGCTACATAATAATGTCAACAATCAAGCTTAATATCAATTTAATGCTAGTATTATACTACATGCTTTACCTGTGTTATCTAAATCCTCAAAACATCCTTCTGAGGTTTGATCTCTTTATTGTCTTCCTTTTTTCATGGGAAAAGTGAGACTTGTTGAGGTTAACCAGCATGCTTAGACTTGCACAGATGGAAGCCAGGCTGTCTAACCCTAGAACCTTAGCTTGATAAGACCGAGAAAAGATTTTCTTTCCCAGAAGTCTTTATTAGAATAACAACAAAAACAACAACAACAAAAGACTAGGTATCCTGGCTTTAAATCCTCTGGGGATTTTGAAGGATGAGAATATAAGGGTCTTAATTTTCTAAGTCCCATTCCTTAGTATTGCTTTACTTAGTATTTACTTTGCTTTATAGTGTCTTAATTTTCTAAGTCCCATACCTTAGTATTGCTTTACTTAGTATTTACTTTGCTTATAAGTGTGCAAAAAAAGTTTGTGGAATGAAAGAATTATTTAGGAATTGTTCCCAGAGTGTTTTGGCCTTAATTCCTTATGTAAATGTTTTCTCACCATTTAAAATTCTTTTTTATTAAGATGGAATTCACACAACATAAAATTAATCATTTTAAAGTGTACAATTGAGTGGCATTTAGTACATTCGCAACATTTTGCAACCATCACCTCTATCTAGTTCTCTTTCCCTAATTTTTAAAATAAGTATAAACTTTAGGGTCTATACATTATTTTTGTGTCTTCAAACCCAGGACAAAAATATATATTCAGCTAGAAATGTTTTTGATCACAACTGCTGTCTTGTCTTTAGCAGTGTAAACCACTTCAGATGTTCGAGGCTTCTTGGTCTGGGTACCACCAACATACTCTCCTAGCTGTTGAATGAAGAACACATTGGCAAGTCAAGACAATCTTTTCAAGATCAGGCATTTGCTGGTTATGCAACCTGCATTGCTGATATTGGTCCAGTTGCTTTTACACTCCTGGAGTATGTCATTCCTTTTTGATCACTCACAGTATTTGCTGTCTTGATGGGAAATGAGCAAGAGTGTTACACTCAACCAAAGTATGTCTGGGACTAGGTTACAATTCTTAGAGTTCTCTTCACTGTCCTTAAATAGAGATAGGGAAACCGTGATTTGAAAGTTGTTGCATGCTTTCAGATGGTTTGGAAGTCGGAAATTGTAGACACCTGGGCTGTTATATTACTCATGGGCTTGTTTTATGACCAGGATTGATGCCAGATGAATGTTGCTTGGGCAGGCTGCGGTGCTCACTCCCAGGTGAGAGTTTATAATGCCCTTCTGATAAGGAGAGAGCCACGGGGCAAATTACTGCTGGGCTCTGAAAGTTCACCAGAGATGGCGATCAACAGCAGACATCTGTTTACTTCCTTAACTTTGTGTATGAAATTCCCAGATGTGTATGCATCAAAAATGAGGGAAAAAATGAGTTACATCTTCTTTTATCAGTTGTCTATGTCATTCTACTTCTTCATAATTGTTTTTTTAACTAGAGTAAGATGTATCTGTTTGTATTAAACTGCTTTCTCATGATATTTTGGGGAACCTACTGAGTGGGAAAGGAAAAGAAGAAAAATAAGAAAAAAAAAAGAAGCAATCTTTTGGATAATCAATCATCAATCAGTCTTCCTCCCAGACCATGCACCTGTTCCTTTCAAGTTCATTGCAGAAGTGAATGAGAAAGGATTTTATTATATTGTGACCTTCTGTCTAAATTTTCCTTTATGAAGCAGTTGCAGCAGATAGTGAGGCTCCAGGAACTGCAACTGCAAGCACTATAAATACAGTTAAACAGACACATCTGGGAACAATGGTTATTTTTATGATAGAATAAAATTTCTATGTTTAAATAACACCCCATGAAAACTAATTAATCTTTAAAGTGTTAAAAATGTCCAGAAAATTATATTGCCTTGTTGCAATACATAAGAAGAGGGCATTCAAATCTGATGTCTGCTAAACTCTGTGATGACTTTTTATTTTTCTGGTGTCACTGTTCAGGCTTTGAAAACCAGATATACAATTCAAACAAACTACATAAGCAGGTGAATGCTCCAATTTCATTTTTATAGTGTGACTCAGCAGCTGTACTCCATCTAAGGCAGGTTGGACATAATAATAATTCACTCTAATTACTCCTTTCTGATAATGGGTACTCTTGGCATAATCCCCGAAAGAAAGCTTTGAAGTTGGCTCAAGTTACCAGCAGGAATCATGATAACACATTTTTATGATTCTTAGAAGTTTTTGTCCCCAGAGATCTCCAGATAGTTCTCTTTCAATGATTCATATACTTAGTGTTGCCTTATGACATATTTCCTGGAAAACTTTTAATCTCAGATGTTTTCCCTATTTGCCTAGCGTTTTCTCCTGCTACCCAGAGAGCCTCATTCTATGAAATGACACCATAGTGAATATAATACATGAACTGCACATACAGAAAAATATCACAAACTATGATGGAAATGACTTTTTCATATGACACCATTTTTGGAATATCCATGTGACTTTCTGAGTTTATAGAAATGATCAAGAAACGTATATACATCAATGGAGAAAAGATCTTTTATGGGCCTGCTATTTTTGCCTGCTGCTTCAACTACAAGTCTAAATAAAAGGAAATCAGAGAAATGTTTCTCAAAAAAGAAAAATACTGAAGATCAAAATAGTTGTAAGATGGTACAATGTTCTCCATAGACTTGACCTTAAGCATTCTGGTAGAGTGGTCATTTATTTTCTCAAGGATTTGATTTTCATGTCATACCGCTCTTCAGCAAATGCCACCCAATGTCATTTCTGTTAAAGTCCTAAATATATGCATTCTAAACCACAGCTCAAATAATATTTAATTGTTATTCTCTTGTGTTGTAATTCTATGCCAGTGAGGGGGTGGAAGAGTGGTAACTTATCACCAAGTATAGCATTTCATAAAATCTTTGAGCAGACAGAAATAACTTCCTTCAAAAGTATACAGGGATACTTTGATGTAGAACATATTTGTTCTTGCCCTCTGGAAGTCACTCATCACAGGAAAGACAGTTAATGACTTTCCCCAGATACGCATTTCTTCCTGTTTCTGTCATTCTTTAAATACTTGTCTTTTGCCACTAGCTTTTAGTCATTCATTACTGTGTAGATTTGAATAGCTGCAAATTCCAGAGGGAGTAAAATTGAATAATATCTAAACTCATATGGCCAAACATACAGACAGGGCTTACAAAGTACCTCAGTACCCAGGGTCCTATTTGCTTAAATTGTTTAGGCACCACTTGGGAAGGAACTCACCCAAGAAAAGAGTCCACAGACACAGCATATGGATAGGGGTGGTGTAGGCAGAGTTTGTGGATGGGTATGTATTTTGGTATTGGGAGAAGATAAGAAATTATCAACTGGGGCATAAGTTAAATATGTATAAGTTACATAAACTGCACCCATTTTGAGCATATACTTTGAGAAATTTTGAAAATATAACTCTGTGTAATCACCTCCACAACCTAAATATAGAACATTTATCAGCCCCAAAATTGTGCCCCTTTGTAGTCAATTTCAATTCTTCAACCTCTGACCACAGGCAACCACTGATTAGATTTGAATTTTTTGCAGTTTCATGTAATTATAATCTTAGAGTTTATACTCTCTTGTGTAAAGCCAGTGTTGTTGTGATTCATCCATGTTGTTGCATAAAAGTAGTATATTCTTTTCATTGCTTATCGTAATTTCATTTCATGGATATGCCACATTTATTTATCCAGTCACCTGTGGATGGACATTTGGGTTTTCTCTCATTTGGGCTATGGCAAATAAAGGTGCTATGAACATTCACAAACATTCATGTACTACTCTTTTTGTAGATATGTGTTTGCATTTATTTTGGTCAAATATCTAGGAGTACCATGGCTGATGGTCAGTGTATGATTATCTTGTTAGAGTAACTGACAAGCTGTTTTCCTGACTAGTTGTAATATTTCACATTCTTACCAGCAGTGTGGAACAATTGTCCTACATACTTGCTGACTCTTGGGACAGAGAAGCTTTTTAATTTTAGCCATTATAGTGGGGTTATAATGATATCTATTTGTAGTCCTAATTTGCATTACCTTGATGAATAAAGATGCTGAGTTTATTTTAATGTCCTTATGGTTATTTATACATCTTCTTTTGTGAAGTGTTGGAACAAAACATTTTTATGTAGGGTTATTTGATCTATTACTGATTTTTCAAGTGTTCTTCATATTCTAGAAATAATTCCTATACCAGATATATTTATTGCGAATATTTTCTTCCAGTCTGTTTGCTATTTCATTCTCTTATCAGTATCTTCCTTCCAAAGGGCGAATGTTTTCTCTCTTTTTATGATGAAGTCTAAGTTGCCCATTTCTCTTTTATTAGTTGTATTCTTTGTGACTTACCTAAGAAATCTTAACCTATTCCAAGTTTGTAAAGATTTCTCTTGTTTTCTTTTGAAAGTTTTATATTTTCTTTTGGAAGTTTACATCTATGTTGCATTTCAAGTTAATATTTTATATAGTGGAAGGGAAGAGTCAAGGCTCACTGTTCTGTATGTATAAATACTTATCCCCATATCATTGTGCAAAAGACTATCCATTTCTCTGTTGGATTGTCTTGGTAGCTTTGTCAAAGTTAACATATATACATAGCCACATATATGTGTGGGTATATTTCTGACTCCCTGATATGGTTTGGCACTGTGTCCCCACCCAAATCTCATCTCAAATTTTAATTCCCCTAATCCCCATGTGTCAAGGGTGGGACCTAATGGGAGGTGATTGGATTATGGGGGTAGTTTTCCCCATGCTGTTCTCGTGACATTGAGTGAGTTCTCACAAGAGCTGATGGTTTTATAAGGGGCTCTTCCCCCTTCATTCATTTGCTCTCTTTTGCCTGCCGCCATGTAAAATGTGCCTCCTCCCTTTCCACCATGATTGTAAGTTCTCTGAGGCCTCCCCTGCCATGTGGAACTGTGAGTCAATTCACCTCTTTCCTTTATAAATTACCCAGTCTCAGATATGTCTTTATAGCAGTGTGAGAACTGACTAATACACTTGCCATTCTGTTCCACTAATATATATTTCTATTTTTATGATAACAGCACACTTAAGAATAAGTAATAAAATCAGATATTATTCTCTTTGTAATTTTTTTTCCCTGCTATTGTAGGTTATTTGCATATCCATATATATTTTCAACTTAGCTTGTCAATTTTTAAAAAAATGTAGACTTGGTTATATTTAAAATATAGGCTGTTAACTTGGTTGGGATTGCATTAATTTTATAAGTAAAATTATAGAAATCTTAACAATATTGAGTCTTTTAATCCATGAACATGTTATAACTCTCCATTTTATTTAGGCATCAGCATTGTTTTGTAGTTTATGCAATGTTCTGCAGTTTTTAGTGTACAGCTCATGCTCACGTGTTGTTAAATTTATACTTAAACATTTAATTGCAATTGTAATAGTATTTTTAAAATTTTAATTTCTAATGCTTCATTGGTGGCATATAAAAAACAATTTATATTTGCATACATTTGACAAACTTACTTAGTGCCTTTTTTGTTATTTTGTAGGTTGTTTGGAATTTTTAGATAGGTAATCATATCATCTTGCAAATAAGGAAGTCTAACTTTTTTTGTTCCAATATGTATGCCTTTTACTTATTATTATTTTGTTATTGAATTGACAAGGATCTGTAGCACAATGTTGAATAGAAATGAAAACAGTAGATACTATTGTCTTGTTCCTAGTCTCAGAAGGAAATCATCACTTCTTTTACTGTTAAATGTAATGTTAGTATTATGTTAGCTTGTTTTTTCATCAAAACCCCTACGTGACTAGGGAAAATTCCTTCTATTCCTAATTTCTGAAAACATAAATAATGAATAGCTATCAAACTTTGTCAACTTAATTTCCTGCATTTTTGATGATCGTATGGTGTTTCTTTTTTATTCTGTAAATATGATGAATTTGATCTTTTGAATGTTACAGCAAACTTACTTTTCTGTAATAAATCTAAATATTCCTTAAATATTTTACAGAATTGTGTTTCAGTTCTATTGCTGCATAACCAACCACTTTAAAATTGATGAGTTTCAAACAACCTTTTTTTAGTGCACATAGAGTCTGAGTCAGGCATTCAGACAGACCACAGCAGAGATGGCTTATCTTTGCTCTTCTACTTTGTGTGCCTCAGGTCGCTAGATTCAAAGGCTAAAGTCACTTGATATCTGAGGACCAGACTCAACTCACATGTCTGGTGGTTGATGCTGGCTCTCAACCAAAAGATATATGGGTAGCTTTCCCATATCTTCTCATTGTTATATATTGGAATCACCTTTTATAACTAGAGTTGGAAGTTAAGCAGTGTAATTCTACTACATTCTATTAATTAAAAGCAAGTCCTACAATCACTCAGATACAAAAAAAAAAGAATCATATTACGTTTCTTTATGGAGTGTGACAAGGCTTCAAAAGAGCATGTGTGATAAAAGATATTAATGCAACTATATTTGGAAAATACTATTGGCCAAAACCAATAAAGCCATCTGGGACTGGAATTTTCTTTCTAAGAAGATTTTTACTTACAAATTCAGTATCTTTCATTGGCATTAATCATTCAAATTTTCTATCTCTTCATCAGTCAGTTTTCTTAATTTATGATTTTCAAGGTATTTTTTAGTTTTATCTAAGTGGTCAAATTTATTATGAAGTTGTTTGAAATATTCCCTTATTATTTTAGTCTCTGTGGCATCTCTAGTGATGTCCCCACTTTTATTCCTGATGTTGGTAATTTGATAATTTGTTTATTCTCTCTGTTACTCTCTGTCTGTCTCTCTTTCTCCCCATCTCCCACCCTTTTTTTCTCCTTTTCCCTTCTCCTCTTTCTCTCTAGAGCTTTAAGTCTACCAGTTTACTGCTCTGTAACAAGAATAAAATTTTGGTTTTATTTATTTTTTCTATTATTTGTTCATTTTCTATTTCATTGACTTGCACATTTTTCATTAGTATTTTTTCATTTCTATGTATGTGACATTTAATGTGTTCTCTTTAATCTAGGTTATTTTTCATAGTGGAGGGTTAGATCATTGATTTTAGATCTTTTCTAATATAAAATTTTAATGCTATGAATTGTTCTCTAAGCCCTTTTAGCTCTATTCCACAAATTTTGATGTGTATTTTAAAATTTCTTCTCAGTGAAGCATATTTTATAACTTTGGTTTTGATTTATTATTTTATTCATATGTTATTCGAAAAGGTGCTGCTTAATTTTCTCTTAAGTTTTGGAATGTAATTATCGTTTCCTTAATAGCTGTTCAAAGTCCTGCTAATGCCATTTTTTCATCTTCTCTATATGAGTCATTTTCTATTAACTGATTTTTGTCTTGATTATGGACAACATTATCTTCCTGGTCATTATGACTGTTTTTTGTTTGTTTGTTTGCTTTTGCCCTGATGTTTGTTGTATGTCTTTAAAGGATGTTAATGTTGAGTAGTTAGTCGAGCCTGTTCCATTTGAAGCTTGTTTTTAAGCTTTGTCATGATGGGTTTAGAGTACTCTTTACTCTAAGGCAAAGTCTGAGTCACTACTAAGGTGTGACTTTCCTGGGATCACCATCTAATGTCCAGGTATTCCATGAGGACTCTGCATTTTGGTGAATAGTAACTAGGGCATTTTCCAGCCCTGTGTGAACTCTGCTAATTGTTTAGCATATATTTCCCTGGCATTCTGCTTTATGTAACTTTTATTTCCCTGGTACACTGCCTTACATAGTTTCATAGCATACATGCATGTGCAATTTTATATTAATAACAGATTCAAAAGGACCACATTATGATTTCTGAGAGTTCTTGCTCTACACACCTTTGTCTTAGTCAACTTGGGCTATATAACAAAATACCATAAACTAGGTGGCTCAAACAACAGAAATTTCTCACAGCTCTGAAGGTTGGGAAGTCCAAGGTCAAGGTGCTGGCAGAGTTGGTGTCTGGTCAGGGTTCTGTCCTTGAGTTGTGGCCTTCTTGCTGTGTCTCTACATGATAGAGAAAGAGAGAGAGCTCTGTTTTCCCCTTCTTATAAGGACATCAGTCCCAACATGGAGACCCACCTTCATGACCTCTTCTAACTCTGGTTACCTCCCAAATGCTCCACCTCCAACATTAAATTGGGGTTAAGGCTTCAACATATGAATTTTGAGGGGACACAATTCCATTCATAGCAACCTCCTTCTTTTTTGGTACTCTACGCTGAAAATTAAAGCCACCTGAGTCTGGCTGAACATCAATCTTTACCTAACTCAGTGAAACCACCATGCTATGTTTGGGATGGTCCTAGTGATAGGTATATACTGCTATGGTATATAAACCACTTCCAGTCAGTTCTGGAAGAAAGTATGAGACTCACCTCTTTTGTGTCCCCTCTCTCAGGAATCACAGTACTGTGCTACCAGTTTTTCAATGTCTAAAAACTGTTTCCTTGTGTATTGTATTCAGTTTTCTAGCTGTTGAAGGCAGAAGATATCTTAGTTCAGGCTGCTATAACAAACTACCATAGCCTGGGTGTCTTATAAACAACAGAAATTTATTCATCACATTTCTGGGGGCTGAAAGGCTGAGATCAGGGTGCCAACGTAGTGAAGGCCCTCTTCTCGATTGCAAACCCTTGCCTTCTCATTGTGTCAACATGTGGTGGAAAAAAGGTAAGAAACTTCTACGGGCTCTCTTTTTATAAGGGCACTATTCCCTTTCATGAGGGCTCCAACCTAATTACTGAGTTACCTCTCCTAGGCTCTACCTTCTAATACTATCACATTGGAGGTTAGGATTTCAACATGTAAATTTGTGAGGGGTGGAGGTTGGGGGAACAAACATTCAGTTCATAACAAGGAATTAAATCTAGTCCCATTTTCTCCATCAGGAGAGTTTTGAATACGGCAGAGTCGATCAGTCTCCATGCCGTTGACATTGATCTCTAGGTATCCCTTATCCCTCTGGGACTGATCTTAAATATCTGCAGAACAGAGAGTGAGACAATAACAACAAAAGCAGGATTGTTAAAATCTCTGTAAGACATGGAAAGCTAAAGTTGGTTCTGCTTTGTTTCCTAGGTAGCAGGGTGGAGCCCAAGTTGGCATGGAAATTATTTTGCCTACCTTAGCATTGGTGCATGGAACTGAAGAACAATTCCTGGAATGTAGGAGGAGATTTTAGTAGCCAGGCCAGCTTTTATCTGCATGGCAACTTGGGGGTCAGAACCTAGGATGCTAACTGTAGAAGCAAAACCGAACCAAAAAACAAACAAACAAACAAAAAAAACAAAGCCAACTTGTTATTCAGTAGTCTGGGAAGAAGGTATCAGAAGCAAACCTGTAACAGTACAGAAACTTAAACTCTAGGCATACTTAGAGCTATCCAAGGTCAGGAAAACGATCTTGATTTTATACATGTAGACCTTGTCTGTTAAAGTCGTAGGGAAAAAGGCAGAAGCACTTACTCTAACAGTACTCACGGATCGGTGTGATTAATAATCACAAGCAGAAGTGGGAAGAATTATTCAGGATGACCTTAAGGATTAGTTTTTGAGCCATATGTGATACATTGCCTGGGAGTTCTGAACTAGTACAGAGCTCTTTGGGGAAAAAAAATGCTACTTTTTCAGAAGTTCCATAGGTGGTATTTTAAACAGAGATACTGTTAACATATCTTATACCTGTAGGCTCTGTCTTTGGGGGAATATACAAGACCTATTTGCTTCAAAAGTATCTCCAGATACTTTCTTTTTTTTTTTCTTTTTCTTTGTTTGAGACAGGGTCTCACTCTGTTACCCAGACTGGAGTACAGTGGCTCTATCATGGCTCACAGCAGCCTCAACCTCCTGGGCTCAAGTGGTCCTCCCAGCTCAGCCTCCTGAGTAGAAGGGGCTACAAGCATGAACCACCAGGCTCAGCTAATTTTTGTATTTTTGTAGAGACAGAGTTTCCCCATGTTGCCCAGGCTGGTCTCAAACTTCTGAGCTCAAGTGATCCTCCCATCTTGGCCTCCCAAAGTGCTGAGATTACATGCATGAGCCACCACAGTTGGACTTACCAGATACTTTCTGAAAGGGTTAGAATATGTGGCAGGATCCTAGATGTGTCTATTGTTAAGACCATTTTGAGAGAATGATTTTTTAAAATTTCACTAGGTATTAGTTTTCTACTGTTGCCATAACAAATTATCACAACCTTAATGACTTAAAAACAACTCAAGTCTATTATGTTAGATTTCTGGAAGTCATACGTCCTAAAATCAAGGTGTCAGCAGGACTGTATTTCTTCTGGAGGTTCCAGGGGAGATTTTAATTCTTTGTCTTTTCCAATTTCCAGAAGCCCCCTGCATTCCTTGGCTTGCAGCATGTTTTCTTACATCACTTTGACCTCTACTTACATCCTCACATCTCCTGCTTTGACTCTCACCCTCCTGCCTTTCCTTTATAAGGACCCTTGTGATCAAGGATAATCTCTCCATATCAAGGTCCCTGACTTCACATCTGCAAAGACTTTTTTTTTCTTTGAGACAAAGTCTCACCCTGTAGCCCATGCTGGAGTGCAGTGGCACAATCTCAGTTCACTGCAACCTCTGCCTCCCGGGTTCAAGTGATTCACCTGCCTCAGCCTCCCAAGTAGCTGGGATTACAGGTGTGTGCCCCCACACCTGGCTAATTTTTGTATTTTTAGTAGAGATGGGGTTTCACCATGTTGGTCAAGGTGGTCTCGAACTCCTGGCCTCAGGTGATCTGCCTATCTCTGTCTCCCAAAGTGCTGGGATTATAGGCATGAGTCATTGTGCCCAGTTGCAAATACTTCCTTTGATATGTAAAGTAATATATTCACAGGTTCTGGGGATTAGGACATGAATATATTTGGGGAGCTTTTTTTAATTTTTTTTGGCCTACCACACAGGCTGGCATCTCTTCAGAGGATTCTTGACATGCTTTTCCTATTTGAGGAATGTTATGAACTGAATGTTTTCATCCCATAAAACTCACATGTTGAAATCCTACCCCTCACTGTGATGGTATTAGGAGGTAGGGTCTTTGGGAGGTAATTAGGTTGTAGGGGTGGAGCCTTCATGAATGGAATTAGTGCCCCAATAAGAGATACTCCAAAGATCCCTCTTGTCCTCTTTCCTCTATGTGATGATACAATGAGAAGATGGCCATCTGCAACTTGGAAGAGGACACTCAGCAGAAGCTGACCATGCTGGCACCTTGATCTCAGACTTTCAGGCTCCAGAACTGTGAGAAATAAATTTCTGTTGCTTATAAGACACCCAGGCTATGGTGTTCTGTGATAGCATCCTGCACTCACTAAGACATGAAATTGGCAATTGAAGGATGCCTTTCTTTGGATGATCAAAAGTCATCCATTGGCTCAGGCCTGTAATCCCAGCACTTTGGGATGCTGAGGCGGGAGGATCACCAGAAGTCAGGAGTTCAAGACCAGCCTGAGCAACATAACAAAACTCTGCCTCTACTAAAAATACAAAAATTAGTCGGGCATGGTGGCAGGCACATGCAATCCCAGCTACTCAGGAAGCTAAGGCAGGGAGGTGCCCGCTTGAACCCGGAAGGTGGAGGTTACAGTGAGCCCAGATCATGCCACTTCACTCTCCAGCCTGGGTGACAGAGCTAGACTCTGTCCAAAAAAAAAAAAAAAAAAAAAAAAAAAAAAATCATCTGTGGTCCTTAAATGGCACAACAAGAGTTGTCAACTTGGGGCTTCACTTTTCTTAGATAAGGTGTTGTTAGTCTTTACAAGCTATATCCTAGGCAGCCTGGAGAATACCTCTTTGGCTGCTAAAACTGTCCACACCATGCATCATGCTCTTGTATGTATCCCAGCATAAACTATGAGACTGTGGGCACATAATGTATAATGACAACACTCACAACAATACAACTGTCTCCCTGAATACCTATGGAGGAATTTGTCACTCCCTTTCTTGATGCTTACCAATTACACAAAGAACCTGTGGTTAAAGGGTGAAAAATCTTATATTTTCCTATGTTTTTGGCCTAGACTGTGGGGTGCGTTAGGCACCTGGTTTTAATGATTATTTTAATGGCATTTTAAGCCACAGGCTTAGATTGCTCCTCTCTCTTGCCAGTTCTTACTTGTCTTTTATGTCCTACAAGCCCTGTTCTTAAAACCCCACTGGGCAGAGATAGAGCTTTCTCCTGTGAGGTGTGTGCAGTGCCAAGCAAATCACTGGCCCTCCGCAAATAATAATAGTGTTTGGGGCTGTGACAGGAGATGGAAACTGGACATTTTCTGACCCTCAGTTCCAGCGTATTCTCAGAGCACATTCATTTTGGCATATACTTTGGAAACTGAAAGCTCTCTGAGGGAGTATCAATCACTTTTATGGTGATGTCAGTAACTATATGTATGTGGTCATATGTATGCACTTTGATTACAACATCCATAACTTCATTTCAAAAATGGCTGAAGGCCTACTATGTGTAAATCATGTTGTCGAGCATAGTGGGGTGAAAGATGATGAAAGTTGCTGTAGGTCTGTTGCGTGTGTATGTAGCATGCAAGTGAACACACATGAACACATACATAAGTAGAATGCATGTACACATGTGTATATAGTAGCTTTTTAAATTAGGTTGATAATTTGATTCTTTTTATTTGAAAGAATACTTTGGAAACCAAACCTAATTTCAACTGAAGAAGTTTCTTTTTACCATTGGCAACACTTGAAATAAACAGATGACTTAGGGGCCATCAAAGCATCCTTAAAGCCACTTGTCTCTCAATATTTTTTTCACTTTTGACTCTGATGATATCAAAATGACTTAATAGTATTTAAGTTCTAGAATCTTTGGCACTGCCAGTGTTTGTTCAGCACAGATTTGAGGAAGTAGAGAGGACACGGGATAAATTTCTATTCTCTCGTGTATGTGTGCATGAGTGTGTATAGACAGTGTCCTATTTAGATGCTTCTAAGCAACAAGGATGTTCTACGTGGTGATGGCAGGTATGAGTATAGGAGTGGCTTCCTTTGGGTGGAGGCACAGACAGCAAGTTTATTTGATGAATGCTGACGGCAAATATCATCCAAGAGAGAATATATGGGAAAGGCGCTGTGATAAGAGAGCCTAGGGAGCCTTCAGGATAGATAGAAAATCTCACCAGGGGAAGACAACATGGCTCTGGGAGACTGGGAAGGTCCTCAGCCATTCAGCACCGTAAGGACGAGCTCTGCCCCATGGGCCAGTCATCCCGACAGGATATGCCTCACAAATGCTTCATAGTCGATACAACCATTGCTGCCCTCGTTCCCTGCCACCAACACCTCTACTTCTTCCTCTGTTATCTTCTCACCCAGTGTGACAAGAACGTGCCAGAATTCAACACCCATGATGGTGCCATTTCCTTCCTTGTCAAACACCTGAAGTCCTTCTACGTAATCTTCATAGGTGCCTTGGTCCTTGTTCTTGGCCACCATCTGCAGCATGGGCAGAAAGTGCTCAAAGTCCAGCAACTTCACATTCATCTCATTACTCTTGGGGTTCCTCAGAACCTTGACCACCTCAGTGTTAGTGGGATTCTGACCTAGGGGCCTCATCACATCCCCACATTGGTTGTACAGGATCTTGCCATCACCTGTTCGGTCAAACAGCTGGAAGGCCTCCTTGAACTCTGTGGTCTGGTCCTCGGTGAAGTCACACATCATGACTGCTCAGCTCTGCGGGACTTTTCCCTGCAGTAATGGCCAGGAGTGGCTTTTTGTAAAGGATTTAAACTGATATCCGCCTCTCTACCCTGCCGCAGACTTTCCTGGTTAGTAGCAAAGGGTGACTTGAGATGTAAGAAGTTAGCTCCGGCTGCTTCTGGAGACTCCTAGCCCACAGTTGACTAAATGTCACTTATTTGGAGATAAAGACTGTTCAAAAGTTTGAAGAATTCTTCTCTCTTTCCTCTCCACCCCTCCCTGGGGAATGAGCCCTGAACCACACTCCTACTCTTACACTAAAATCCCCTAATTAATCCATTTAAAAATTTCTTCGTGAGACCTTATTCATTTTCAATGGCTTTGATGTTGCTGTAACAATGGATGCAGAAATCGTTTTGGTTAATGAAATTTGACTCTCTGGAAAGCCCCATTCCTTCATTCCCCTTTGAAACATGCCTCTAATGATTGTGACAATGTACTATGGCAATTAAAAAAAAATATATAATTCCCTGTCAAACTTTTTTAAGCTCCTCCTATTCTTAACAATGTCTTGGGACTATTGCTTTGATACTTTGTCCCCACAGTAGGCATCTGCCCAATGAAGAACACCATCAAAGTAATATTTTTAAATGACGTTTTTATTTTTATTAAAACATTTTTAAGGAGACAAACTCTTACACATTTATCACTTCATATTATAACTACTTTTCTTTTTAAATTCCTGTCCATTCTTTTGAATATCTGCAATAGTTTAAAAGATTTAGAATGGATAACTGAACTTAGCAGATATATGACAACTTCTTTTGTCATCTGTATTAGCCTGCTGATAAAGACATATCTGAGACTGGGAAATATACAAAAGAAAGAGGTTTAATTGAACTCACAGTTCCACGTGGCTGGGGAAGCCTCACAATCATGGTGGAAGGTAAGGAGGAGACAATCCTGTCTTACATGGATGGCAGCAGGCAAAGAAAGAATGAGAGAGATGCAAAAGTGGGAACCCCTGATAAAGCCATCAGATCTCATGAGACTTATTCACTACCACGAGAACGGTATGGGGGAAGCAGCCCCCATGATTCAAATTATCTCCCAACAGGTCCCTCCCACAACATGTGGGAATTATGAGAGTAGAATTCAAGATGAGATTTGGGTAGGGACACAGCCAAATCGCATTGTTTCACCCCTGGCCCCCGAAAATCTTATGTCCTCACATTTCAAAACCAATCATGCCTTCCCAACATTCCCCTAAAGTCTTAACTCATTTCAGCACTAACCCAAAAGTCCACAGTCCAAAGTCTCATCTGAGTCAAGGCAAGTTCCTTCTGCCTATGAGCCTGTAAAATCAAAAGAAAGCTAGTTACCTCCTAGATACAATGGGGGTACAGGCATTGAGTAAATACAGCCATTCCAAATGGGAGAAATTGTCCAAAACAAAGGGGTTACAGGGCCCATGCAAGTCCAAAATCCAGCGGGGAAGTCAAATTTTAAAACTCCAAAATGATCTCCTTTGACTCCAGGTCTCACATCCAGGTCATGCTGATGGAAAAGGCGGGTTTCCATGGTCTTGGGCAGCTCTGTTCTTGTGGCTTTGCAGGGTACAGCCTCCCTTTCAGCTGCTTTCATGGGCTGGCATTGAGTGTCTGTGGCTTTTCCAGGCAAACAATGCAAGCTGCCAGTGGATCTACCATTTTGGGGTCTGGAGGACGGTGGCCCTCTTCTCAGCTCCACTAGGCAGTGTCCCAGTAGGGAGTCTGTGTGGGGACTCCAACCCACATTTCCCTTCTGCACTGCCCTAGCACAGGTTCTCCATGAGCACCCTGCCCCTGCAGCAAACTTCTGTCTGGGCATCCAGATGTTTCCATACATCTTCTGAAGTCTAGGAAGAGGTTCCCAAACCCCAATTCTTTTTTTTTTTTTCACATATTTTCTTTTTTTTAAAATTATTATTATACTTTAAGTTTTAGGGTACATGTGCACAATGTGCAGGTTAGTTACATATGTATACGTGTGCCATGCTGGTGCACTGCACCCACTAACTCGTCATCTAGCATTAGGTATATCTCCCAATGCTATCCCTCCCCCCTCCCCCAACCCCGCAACAGTCCCCAGAGTGTGATGTTCCCCTTCCTGTGTCCATGTCTTCTCATTGTTCAATTCCCACCTATAAGTGAGAATATGCGGTGCCAAACCCCAATTCTTGACTTCTGTGCACTCACAGGCTCAACACCATGTGGAAGCTGTCAAGGTTTGGGGCTTGCACCCTCTGAAGCTACAGTCCGAGTTGTACACTGGCCTTTTCCAGCCACAGCTGGAGCAGCTAGGATGTGGGGCACCAAATCCCTAGGCTACACATAGCATGGGGACCGTGGGCCCACTCACGAAACCATTTACTCCTAGGCCTCTGGGCCTGTGATGGGAGCCGTGAAGCCCTTTGACATGCCCTGGAGACATTTTCCCCATTGTCTTGGGGATTAACATTTGGCCCCTCGTTACTTATGCAGATTTCTGCAGCTGGCTTGAATTTCTCCTCAGAAAATGAGTTTTTCTTTTCTATCACATTGTCAGGCTGCAAATTTTCCAAACTTTTATATTGTTTCTCTTTTAAAATTGATTGCTTTTAACAGCACCCAAGTTACCTCTTGACTGCCTTGCTGCTTAGAAATTTCTTCTACCAGGTACCCTAAATCATCTCTCTCAAGTTCAAAGTTCCACAAATCTCTAGAGCAGGGGCAAAATGCTGCCAGTCTCTGCTAAAACATAACAAGAGTCACCTTTACGTCAATTCCCAACAAGTTCCTCATCTCCATTTGAGACCACCTCAGCCTGGACCTTATTGTCCATATCTCCTTAGGCTTTGGTTAAAGCCATTCAACAAGTCTCTAGGAAATTCCAAACTTTCCAACATTTTCCTGTCTTTGTCTGAGCCCTCCAAACTGTTCCAACCTCTGCCTGTTACCCAGTTCCAAAGTCACTTCCACATCTTTGGGTATCTTTTCAGTAACATCCCACTCCTGGTACCAATTTACTGTATTAGTCTGTTTTCACACTACTAATAAAAACATACCTGAGACCAGGCAATTTACAAAAGAGGTTTAATTGGACTTACAGTTCCACATGGCTGGGGAAGCCTCACAATCATGGCAGAAAATAAGAAGGAGCAAGTCCCATCTTACATAGATGGCAGCAGGCAAAGAGAGAATGAGAGAGATGCAAAAGTGGAAACCTCTGATAAAACCATCAGATCTCATGAGATTTATTTGCTACCAAGGGAGAACAGTATGGGAGAAACTCCTGCCGGGATTCAAATTATCTCCTACCGGGTCCCTCCCACAATATGTGGGAATTATGGAAGTACAATTCAAGATGAGATTTGGGTGGGGACACAGCCAAACCATATCATCATCACTATTTCTTCTTTTTTTCCTTTACAATCTAATGGGAGCTCCAGACAAGAATTACCCTTTAATTAGTTGGGTTTTTGGCTACATTATTCTTGCTTCTCCATTCACTTTTGGTTAAATGCGTTTATCATTAGTGCATCTCCTTTTCCTCCTTCTCCTTGTTCTTTTTCTCCTATATCTCCTCCTCTTTCTTCTTCCTCTTCTTTTACTTCTTACTCTTCGTCCAGACACTGCCAAGTATTTCCATGAATTATCTTTTATACCCTTTATCACAGCTCTATTATGGACGTACTATCCTATTTTAGAGATGAAAAAATGGAAGCTCCAGAAAGGGAAGACACTTTCTGAAGATCAAAAGCTAGAAGTGGTTAAAACAGGTCAATTTTTTGCCAGCCCCTAAATTCCTATTCTATTCATTCACTCGTTCATCATTTTAATTATTCTTTCATTTAACAAATACACATTTAATACCTAATTATCTTTCAAGTACTATGTTGGGTGCTTAGTTAGATACAAGAAATAAGATATAATATCTATGCTCAGGTTTGTATGCGGTATGTGTGGTGTTTGTGTGTTTTTTGTGGGATGCCAAATAAGTAAATAATCCCACTATTGCATTTCCAGTGTGATTGATACAGTGGAGATAGTTACAAAGCGTCACTTAAGTACTCACGAAGAGTCACTCTGGAGAACCAAATAAGTATTCACAAGAAGGTAACATTTGATCTGTATTTTGAAGGTTAAATTTACATTCACAAATGGAAAAGACAGGAAGAACTTTCAAAGTTATAGAAGATTACATTTTCTTTGAGGAATAAAAAGAAGTTCAGGTTAGCAGGAACACAGGGACATCATGGAATTATAGGGAAATGATTGTAGACAGTGTTAGGGATAGGATGTGAAAGACAGCATTCAGTTCAGGAAACAATAGAGAGTTAAAGGGGGAGGTTTAAGGTCTCCTGATTTTTTTAAAGAAAGATGTGAATGACATATTTTAAAAAAGCAACTGTATTTATTCATACATTTAGCCAACAACCATTTATGATGCATTTATTGTTGGCAGGCATTTTGGAAAACAATAGATGAGTAGATTATAAACAGGAATCAGATATTCAGGAAATACACTCTTTTGTGGGAAAAATAATACATACTAAAAAGCCTAGAAAGTAACATTGTAAGATGATCTGATATAAATTTTATGAACATGCTGCAGAGACAGGGGACAATGGAAGACATGTGTGACAATGAAAAGGAAGAGAAAAGAAAGAGCCACAAAGATATTACCTTCCATCCCACTAAATATTACTTTCCTCTAAGAACAAAACTAAACATAAAATTAGTGATTAGGAAAGAAATGTTTGTATCTCAGTGAAGAAGACTCATATCATACTTAGAAAAGGTTTATCCAGACTCTGACGATAAATATGACCTATATTCTTTATGCTATAATGACTTGAGGTTCCTGGATGGAACTGACCCAATGATACTCTCCCTTGAGACAATCAAAGTCTCTTTTAAAAAGACTAGCAAAGATTTATGTCATACATTTCCAGTCCACAGACAATACTCAGAGGCCAACAGGGATCCTATAAATGACGAAGAGAAAGATAAGACGTTGTTAGACTGAGCTGAGCCTTCTACTCATGATTGGTGTACTTCACTTGCAAAAGCCTCATAAAGGTTGTCCTGCTGGTGCAGTCTTTAAACATAAATATCACAAAGTCTCTTGCAGGGTTTTTGCTGGGGAGCCGGGGTGTCTATTGTAATATCCTGAGTCTCTGGGTCCAGTCCTTGACATCAGCTTCCTTAAAAATAACTCAGTTTTACTGGTTAACTTAAGGTTCTTTACATAGCCTCAAAATACACTGATGCTGCACTTATTTATGCAGAAAAGTTGCTCCCAAACTGGGGAAGCTTTGATCTTCTGTCGTCAAAAAGCCAGTGTCGGTACAATGATTATAAAAGGCTTCTTAGATCATGTGTGAACAAATAAGTATATGAAGAAAGTAGTAGTAAAGACTTACTTTTTGTTGTCCTATTTATTTTTTATAAAAGAGAATTCAATTATGGATAAGTCATAGAAACACTAAACCTTTTCTCTTCACCTCTGCTTCTATTTTTAGAAGAGAGATTTTTAAAGTTCCAGAAGATGATGAGGAAATGACCTGTGTGCAAGCTGCCATGTCTTTAATAATTAAAGCATTTTGAAAGTTAGGTGAAAAGGCAGTCTCCAGGGATGGTTATGTCTGCATGGGAACAAATAGGTAAAGTTGATAATCTCAAGAGACTTCCAGCACAATGTAAGCACTAGACTTTACTCTTCCCAGTCTTTTTTGTACGTGGGACTTGGTGTCAGACTACACTTAGGTTATAAACAACGAGAGGGCAATGTTTCTTGCCACCTGGCTTGTTACCTCATGCTTATCTATGCTGCCATAAACATTTTGAACATTATTAAATGTACTTTTGAGAATAATGGTCATGGAAATGTTACCTATTTAGAATGGAACAGAATAACCTAGAAAGAAAAAGAACAGAAACGTGTCTAAGAAGTAACAATACATTTTTTCTTACTTCTAAAGAAAAGGGATCTCACCAATTTTAAAAGAACAAAAAGATACATCCACTAATATAATATATTCTGGATTTCACTTTGAATCTCAATGAAAGCATGTCGATTCAAGTTTCCTTGCAATGTAGTGCCAATTTTATTCACTATTCTAAGAGATGGTAGTGGCACACTAAACTATAGAAACCATAAACCTCTAATCTACTATAATTCAATGGTCTCTGTTATATACTTAGTAAATAATCAGGGTAATGGAGTGACCCTTAAAACCAGAGGGCTTTGCTGAGTGGCCTTATACAGTCTATATTTTCTGTCTACCTCTGTTTCTAATTCTTCAGTCTGAGCCTCATAATTTCTGACTTCTCTTTCCATGCAAGCACGCTCTGAAGAATTGAACTGATTTCTCAAATGTAGATGCAATGGTGACTATGTGATAAGCTAACATAAGTTATCAGGGTTTTTGTATCCGCTGACAAATGCCAGGAGGATATATTAGACAATTCTCTCAACTACCTGGCTGTCCTCTCATGCCCACATCAGAATAAAAAGAAATATTTTTTGCACGGAAGTATTTTTTCCATGTTTGTATGGAAGCAGCCAAATCCATATGGTCCTCTGAGCATTTAGTAAAGGAATAATAAAAGGCAAGGCAGCCAGTTCACTGCAGGGGACTCCTGAGGGTGGAAGAAGAATTTCAAAAAATTACACACACACACATGAACATTCACACACACCACACACACACCACCCCCACACACACTTTGAACCATGATTCAATTAAGAAACTGAAGGTAACACCTTGTAGGTATATAAAGAGTAGAAAAGAAAGCCCAAGGGTTTCAGTATGTACACAAAAGGACAGGCCAGGGCAATTCTGATAAGTGTGTTTAGCTTGATTACACAGTTTCAATAATTATCTGAAATAATTAGGTAAATATCAAAAGCTCAACACATTTTTGTTGCCATCTAGATATTGAAAGAGCCATAATTTCTCTGCCTGTGAACATAGTGATTATTTTCCTATCTCTATAGGCTTTGCTGCATTCTGTGTTTTCTGACGTTAAGTAAACTCTTTTACAGTCTTTGTTAGCTGATTGTAGGCAACGAGTTTCAGAAAATTTCAACTTGTCATTCTTAAAGCACTGTTTCTGTTCATATATGATCCATCAGTAGGGGTTTAAGATATGCCAGTAGTTAATATTAGTGACAGGAACTTGAAACAATATTATGTTGGACTTTTCTCATTATTTTTTTTTCTTGTGTTTGTTCATTGTTTATGAATTATTTCTCTGGGGAAGTTGTAATTCTACAAAGGCAGAAATTAAGTCCTTATTTTCTTTGCCCTAACATACTCAGGGCTCAAAACTGATGAGTTCAGGAATGGTTTTGAGTATAAAAAGTTAATGAATTAATGTCATTAAGGCCTTTAAAGCTTTGAAAATATCACAGGGGAATTTACTGAATATAAGATGTTGTTCCAAAGAATGCACAGTGTAACATCAGGAGGCTGAAAGTGAAATATTTTAAAAATATGAGAAAAAAAACATCACGAGCATAGACCAGGAAGAGGTTTGTTGATTGATTGAAAAGGAAGGAAGAAGAAAAGTCCAAGCAAAAGACTAAATACAGTATAATTGGATATCATCCAGGCTTCTATTTCTTGAATTGCTTTAGGAGATACTTCTGTGGTATGTGATATTTGTACCCATCTTCTTTTCTGTCTGTTCAGTCTAAAACGATTTCCATGTACAGTAATTATTTATATTTTGGGATGAGGACAATAGTGAAGGACATGATTTAGACAATTTTCATGAAGTGGAATGAGGCCATTAAATCTGCTCACATTTATTACAGCTTTTTTTTTTCTTTCTCAGCATTTGATCGGATTGCACAGCCTTGCCCCTCTTGAATTTAGGCCATGAAATGGGAGTGAATGTTATGTTACACTTCTGCTGAATTCTTTTTTTTTTAAATTTCAACTTTTATTTTAGATTCAGAGGGTACATGTGCAGGATTTTTAAATGGATATATTGTATGATGCTGACGTTTGGGGTATAATTAAACCCATCACCCAAATAGTGAGCATAATACCCAATAGGTAGCTTTTCTACCCTTGTCCTCCTCTCTCCCTCCCCCTTCTTGTAGTCCCCAATGTCTACTGTTCCTAACTTTATGTCCATGTGTACCCAGGGCTTAGCCCCCACTTATAAGTAAGAATATTCAGTATTTGGTTTTCTGTTTCTGTATTAATTCACTTAGGATCATGGCATCCAGCGGCATCCATGTTGCTGGAAAGGACATGGTTTTGTTCTTTTTTATGGCTGTGTAGTATTCCATGGTGTATAGGTACCACATTTTCATTATGCAATCTGCCATTGATGGACACCTAGGCTGTTTTCATGTCTTTGCTATTGGGAATAGTGCTGCCATGAGCAAACATGTTCCGTAGTTCCTCCCCCTGTCTGGGTAATCTTAGAAGCACAAGTTGAGATGGAGCATTCTTTAACCTACATTTCTGTTTGACTGTAATGTGTAAATCCTCCTGACAGTCATTTTCTTATGCAATATGTAGGATGAGTAAAAAATATATTTTCATCCACTGAGTGTTGGAGCTGTTCTTGATGATTGAAGAATAATCTGCCTTGTTCTGACTGAAACAGGGCATTAGATAGATGATTCCCTGAAGACCACTGGCCTGCTAACATGTAAGAGGTTGGTTTGCGTACTTATTTCTGGGATGATTCCAAATTCCCCGGTGGTTCTGATCCTACTGAAGAAAAATATACAATTTACATACCAGCTGAGAAACTGAGGAAAATCATAGAAATATTTTCATTAATCGAGGAAGAAAGAACATAGGCAGTTCCTCTGAATAGCACACTCCTGCTTTCTGTGCAGTTTCGTTGATCTATTAATTTTATGTAATTTGTCCTCCTTCTTGAGTTAGTTTAGGAGTTTCCATCGAGTAACCCTACTCCAGAGCCATCCTTCTGGATCACATTTAAAACAAGAGTGGAGGAAGTGTTTGAATTCAGAGAAGCTCAGTTTCCTTCAGTATCTTTGACCTCGAGACTGCAACATGACACACAGGTAGTGCTGTCAATAGCAGAAACAATGGGCTCCTTAGCTTATGTTGGTAGGTTCTCAGCTACTGCCTTCTTTATTTCAGCAACTTCAATATGTAAGATTATCCTCTGATAATCTGTCCATGTGTGAAAAACATTTTCAATCTCTGGGAGCTTCTCGCATTCTTAGGTATTTTCCAAAATAGGTTTTTTTTTCTTTTCTTTTTGTTTGTTTGTTGAACATAGCTCTTTACCAAGGTAATTTTATTCTTTCTCTTAGAAAGCAGAAAATGGTATATGAACAGCTGGGGTTGGGGGTGGGGAGAACAAAAAGTAGAGCATGGTTTTATCTGATGTCATATTACCTATGAACAAACACAACACCAAGCCTTAATTCCTATAATTGACCAAGGAAAAATGATTAATATTTGTAATATTGTGAGTGGGTGGAAAAAAGAGTGTAAAACACACTACATAAATCATGGAACCAATTAAATATGTGTTGGGGCTGGAGGGAGGGTAAATTCACTAAGAAAATGTGTTTTCATTATTTTTTCTTTCATCTCTTTTCAGAATGACACAGTAGGAGTAGATAAGATTGAATCTCTATTTTTTATTTATCTTATTAAAATTGCTGGTGCTGAAGTTTCTTTCAGGTTAGTTCTCTGTTAACTTTCTGACGGAACACATATTTTTCATGAGTAATAGGCAAAATAACAATTTGTTCACAATGTGGTACACTTCCCAGTGAGATAATATAACAGAAACACCTAACATGCTTCCTAAATCAAAAATACGTCAGTCCTATATTTCTCAAAGTATTAAAAATTGGCTCAGCATTTGTGGGCACCTTCTACAGCGACACACCGAGTTTGAGAGTATTTGAGAAAATAGCAGAAATCATAACTCCTGCCATAAGAGAACTCATAGTTTCATATAGAAAATTGGGATTCTGCATCATGAAGGTTAATAAACTCAACTTGGGTTTGATGTTTAGTTTTCTTAGTAAGGTAAGAGAAATCTAAACCTCCAGCTTTACATTTGATAAAGGTGGAACTAGTAATGCATTTTCTATCTACCTTACATGTGCTGTGTAGATAATAAATTATTGTATAACTCTAAAAATCTCTCTCTGTGTATATATATAGATTCAGAGGGTACATGTGCAGGGTTTTTTTTATATGGATATATTGTATGATGCTGACATTTGGGGTATAATTAAACCCATCACCCAGATAGTGAGCATAATACCCAATAGGTAGTTTCTCTACCCTTGTCCTCCTCTCTCCCTCCCCCTTCTTGTAGTCCCCCAAAAATATCTCTCTCTCTCTCTCTCTATATATATATAGATATATATATAGATATATATATATAGATATATATATAGATATATATATAGATCTATATATAGATATATATATAGATCTATATATATAGATATATATATAGATATATATATAGATATATAGATATATATATAGATATATATATAGATATATATATATAGATAGATATATATAGATATATATAGATATATATATAGATATATATATAGATATATATATAGATATATATATATAGATATATATATAGATATATATATAGATATATATATAGATATAGATATAGATATAGATATATATATAGATATATATATAGATATATATATAGATAGATTATATATATAGATATGTATATAGATATATATATAGATATGTATATAGATATATATATAGATATGTATATAGATATATATATATAGATATGTATATAGATATATATAGATATGTATATAGATATATATAGATATGTATATAGATATATATAGATATGTATATAGATATATATATAGATATGTATATAGATATATATATATAGATATGTATATAGATATATATATAGATATGTATATAGATATATATATATAGATATGTATATAGATATATATATATAGATATGTATATAGATATATATATATAGATATGTATATAGATATATATATAGATATGTATATAGATATATATATAGATATGTATATAGATATATATACATAGATATGTATATAGATATATACATAGATATATACATAGATATATACATAGATATATAGATATAGATATAGATATAGATATATAGATATAGATATAGATATAGATATATAGATATAGATATAGATATATAGATATAGATATAGAGATAGAGATAGAGATATAGAGATAGAGATAGAGATAGAGATATAGAGATAGAGATAGAGATATAGAGATAGAGATAGAGATATAGAGATAGAGATAGAGATAGAGATATAGAGATATAGATATAGAGATAGAGATATAGATATAGATATAGAGATATAGATATAGATATAGATATAGATATAGAGATATAGATATAGATATAGATATAGAGATATAGATATAGATATAGATATAGAGATATAGATATAGATATAGATATAGAGATAGATATAGATATAGATATAGAGATATAGATATAGATATAGAGATAGAGATATAGATATAGAGATATAGATATAGATATAGATATAGAGATATAGAGATAGATATAGATATAGAGATATAGAGATAGATATAGATATAGAGATATAGAGATAGATATAGATATAGAGATATAGAGATAGATATAGATATAGAGATAGATATAGATATAGAGATATAGAGATAGATATAGATATAGAGATATAGATAGCGATATAGAGATAGAGATATAGATAGAGATATAGAGATAGAGATATAGATAGAGATATAGAGATAGAGATATAGATAGAGATATAGAGATAGAGATATAGATAGAGATATAGAGATAGAGATATAGATAGAGATATAGAGATAGAGATATAGATAGAGATATAGAGATAGAGATATAGATAGAGATATAGAGATAGAGATATAGATAGAGATATAGAGATAGAGATATAGATAGAGATATAGAGATAGAGATATAGATAGAGATATAGAGATAGAGATATAGATAGAGATATAGAGATAGAGATATAGATAGAGATATAGAGATAGAGATATAGATAGAGATATAGAGATAGAGATATAGATAGAGATATAGAGATAGAGATATAGATAGAGATATAGAGATAGAGATATAGATAGAGATATAGAGATATAGATAGAGATATAGAGATAGAGATATAGATAGAGATATAGATATAGAGATATAGATAGAGATATAGATATAGAGATATAGATATAGAGATATAGATAGAGATATAGATATAGAGATATAGATAGATAGATATATATAGATATATATATAGATATATATCGATATATATATAGATATATATAGATATATATAGACATATATATAGACATATATATAGATATATATATAGATATATATATATAGATATATATAGATATATATAGAGATATATATATAGATATATATAGATATATATATATAGATATATATAGATATAGATATATATAGATATATATATATAGATATATATAGATATAGATATATATAGATATATATAGAGATATATATAGAGATATATAGAGAGATATATATAGATATAGATATATACAGATATATATATAGATATATATATAGATATATATATAGATATATATAGATATATATATAGATATATATATAGATATATAGATATATATAGATATAGATATATATAGATAGATATATAGATATAGATAGATATAGATATATATATCTCTATCTATATATATAGATATAGATATAGATATCTCTCTATATAGAGAGAGACTGAGTTTTATATATTTTTATATATATAGAGTTATATCTATTTATATATTTATATATATCTATATATTTATATATATCTATATATTTATATATATCTATATATCTATATATATTTATATATCTATATACCTATATGTATTTATATATATCTATATATCTGTATATATTTATATATATCTATATAATCTATATATATTTATATTTATATATATCTATATATCTATATATATTTATATTTATATATATCTATATATCTATATATATTTATATTTATATATATCTATATATATTTTTATACATCTATATATATTTTTATATATCTATATATATTTATAGATATCTATATATATTTATATATCTACATATATTTATATATATATTTTTATATATATATATATGGAGAGAGAGAGAGAGAGAGACTGAGTTTTGCTCTTGTCTCCCAGGCTAGAGTGCAGTGGTGTGATCTCGGCTCACTGCAACCTCCGCCTCCCAGGTTCAAGCAATTCTCTTGCCTCAGCCTCCCGAGTAGCGGGATTATAGGTGCCTGCCACCACGCCTGGCTAGTTTTTGTGTTTTTAGTAGAAATGAGGTTTTGCCATGTTGGCCAGGCTGGTCTCGAATTCCTGACCTCAGGTGATCCCCACCTTGACCTCCCAAAGGACCAGGACTACAGGCATGGGCCACTGTGCCCAGCCTAAAAATGTCTTTATATTTTTACACACATTTAAGATTAATGTGTGGATGATGAGAAATATGTATTACAAAAGAGGAACGTATAGAAACAGTACAGTAAGTTCGAAAGCTACTAGAGTGGTTCAGAAACCAGGAGCTAAAATGCAATTTTAGGGCTATGTAGCGGGAAGGAAAAGAAACAGACAAATATTTGAGACACAGTAATTCTGAAGCTTGGGCAGAGAAGTTAAAAAGTGAACTAAAATATTGAGTCTATATGACTACAGGGACTGTCTTATCACTTTCAGTGACCTCATTCAGAAGGAGGTAATTCTGAAGTGGTGATAGAGACAAAAAGTTTAATGTTAGTCATGTTGGGTTTAGGTGATGTAACCTACCTAGGTCGAATATGTTTGTAATGCAATTGACAACACTGAACAAGAGCTCAGGAGAGAAACCCACATAAAATCTTGATTTACAATAATCAATGAGGTTTTTGAGAAAGAGGCCCCCCAAGAAGAAAATGCCTACAGTTTTAGCATGCAACAGATTTATTAAAGATATATTAGAGACATTAAAAACTATAAAGAGGTGGGGCGCGGTGGCTCACTCCTGTAATCCCAGCACTTTGGGAGGCCCAGGCCAGTGGATCACGAGGTCAGGAGATCGAGACCATCCTGGATAACACAGTGAAACCCTGTCTCTACTAAAAAAAAATACAAAATTTAGCCGGGTGCTGTGGCGGGTGCCTGTAGTCCCAGCTACTTGGGAGGCTGAGGCAGGAGAATGGCGTGAACCCGGGAGGCAGAGCTTGCAGTGAGTGGAGATTGCGCCACTGCACTCTAGCCTGGGCGACAGAGCGAGACTCCATCTCAAAAAAAAACAAAAACAAAAAGCTATATAGAAATACCGTGAACCAGGTGATGCCCACACAATTGAAAGCTTGGAAGGAGTGGATAATTTTTAGAGAAAAGCAAAAGTCACACAGTTGGACTCACAAAACATAGCCATGTTTAGATTAACATTAGGAAATTATATTAGCCAAAAAAAAAAAAAAAGTATTTCCTACCACCACCCTTCCCTCCAAATGGAACTGAGGCCAGATAGTTTCACAGGCAGTTTTTACCACATTTTAAAGGATCTGTAACTTATATGTCTTTTCCATGGACAATAGAAACAAAAGAAAGCCTTATATTTAAAAGCTATACAACAAAAGGAAATCTGTTAATTTCAATTCAAGAACATAACAAGGATCTCTGTTAGCAATCCTTCTGCTCAATATTGAATTAATGGTTCAAAACAAAGTAATACATTTAAAAACAAGTGATGTAAAGATTACAATACTTGTTATTATCATTTGATACGATTGTCTTCTAGAAAAATTTCATATACTCCACAAAGTTTTGGAATTTATAAGAATTCAGGAAGATTGCCAGGAGAATACTCAACATACAGAAATCATTAGCATTTCTGTATAGTTGCAATAAACATTGAGAAAACAGATACATAATGTATCTAGAAAAATATCTAACAAAATAAGTGCTAACTGAATGACAAAATATACCATGTTCATGGATGGAAAGATTCAATAATGTGAAAACATATGGTTTTTCTCCAAATTAACTAATACATTAATTTTAAGTACAATTAAAATCCCAGTTCCTAGAATTCATATGAAACAACAAAGAGCCAAAAGTGGAGGGATGATTTTGAAAAAAATAATAAAGTGGAAGCACACAACAGATATCAAGACACTCTGCCACTATAATAATTAGGCCTGTTTGATATCTGCACAAGAGTGAAAACAAATAAGTCAGTGAAATAGAATGGGGGTCCAGAGAAAGATCCGTACATGTATGGAAACTTTATGTGTTACAAAGGTAGTTTAAAATTAATTGGGAAAAAGACAAATGTGTAAGTGGTATTAGATTCTTTGGTTATTAATCTGAAAAAATATAGTTAACACAATACTATAATTACTTATAGGTAGATTAAACATTTGTGTGTGTAAAACTAATTTTTAAAAAATCAAAAGAGTATTTATGATCTCAGGGAAGGATTTCTTAAACAAGAAAAAAAACACAAACCATAATTGAAAAATATTCATAAGTGTGGCCATTTTAAACATAAAACATAATTTCAAGGAAAAAATACCATTAACAAAATAAAAAGAAAATCCATACAATTAGAAGCTATAAACAGCAGTGCATTTAGACCCAGAATTTATAAATTACTTCAAGTCCATTAGAAAATGAAAAACAACCCAAAAGAAAAACAAACAAGTGAACAAGATATTCACTAAAAGAGAACCTAAAAGTTTCAGAAGCTTAATTTTACTAGTAACCAGAGAATTTCAGAATAAAAATCAAAGAAAATTTCTTTTCATATGGTGGCTCATGCCTGTAATCCCAGCACTTTGGAAGGCCAAGGCAGGTGGATCACCTAAGGTCAGAAGTTTGAGACTAGCCTGGCCAACATGGTGAAACCGCATCTCTATTAAAATACAAAAATTAGCTGGGTGTGGTGGTGGGTGCCTGTAATCCCAGCTATCTGGGACGCTGAGGCAGGAGAATCGCTTGAACCTTGGAGGCAGATGTTGCAGTGAGCTGAGATCGTGCCATTGCACTCCAGCCTGGGTGAAAAGAGAGAAACTTCATTTAAAAAAAAAAAGTTCATGTTAAAAATTTGAATAGTTAAAAAGCACAGAACAAAACCTTCTAATTCTCAATAAGGAGGATAATGAACAAATTGTGTAATATTTATAAGACCTCATAGAAGATACAGTGAATGAACTAGAGAGCTACACATATCAACGTGAGTTAATCCAAAAGGCATTACAATGAGTTTTTCAAAAAGCAAAAAGATGGATACATTTTTTTTTGGCATCAAAACACAGAACAATTTGATATGTATTTCTCTTCTGGGCTGCCGTCACAAACTACTACAAATTTAGTGCCTTAAAACAACGTAAATTAATCATTTCAGTTTGTAAGTCAGAGGTTGAATTCTTAACCTTAATCTATCTGCTAAGTTCCTTTTTTCATGTAAGATAACACATTAACAGTTTCTAAGAAAGGGAATGTGAACATGTTGGGGGGTTATTTTGCTCTGTATCACAATTTATATGTTTAATGGAAAATATCTATTGTAAAATTACAGAAAGATGCATGGGGATAATTGGTACCCAATTCAGGATATTGGTTACCTCTAGATTGAGAAATTAGAGAAGAATTGGATTGAGAAGAAATTCAGAGAAAGACTATTGTTCCTCCATTATTTACTACTTAAAAAGATGGATTTAAAACTAACAAAATTCTAGGGTTTCATCAAGTTAAGTGAAGGAGAGGGTAAGAGAAAAGAACACTGTATTTTTTTAATCATAACATTTATATTTATCAGTATCTGAATATTTCATAATAAAAATATTTAAAAGGAAAGGAAGAAAATAGAAAAAAAACTTGTGTGAAGAATCGGTAAAATATTGAATCAGTGAAGTGGATATTGTGATAATTGAAAAGAGATAAAGCTAGAATGGTTAGGCCAGACACTTAAACCTCAGTAAAGTAACAGAGGGGGTTTTTAGCTTTGAGTGACGAAGAGATGATGATATTAGGGACTTAAAAGAATATGGCAAAACTCAAAGCAATCATGATGAGTGTGGTAAGGAGTAAAATGTTGAGTTAATAAACAGAGCCACCAGAGTAGATGGTCAACTACAACAAATAGTATCAGGCATTTAGAAACACACAGTTAAGTTTAGAACGGTCACTACAAAGAATGTGATTGAAGAAGGTTGGAAGGATAGACAAGAGCGAGTGCAGACAAGGATCGACCGAGTTAGGATCACCCACATTGGCAGTATACTCCACAGTGTTTTTCTACTTTTCTTAACACTTTTTGGAAGCCTACTATTTTAAACAGTAGGGGGGAAATGGATTATATTGGGGGGAATTTGCATGAGAGACAAAGGGATAATGGATTCTAGAATTGCAAGAAAAGCATCAAAATAGATAACTATGGGTTTCAAAATAAGGAAATAGGTAATTTTTTAAAAGGCAGATCTGAAGATGAGAAGAATTAGAACCCAAAAATTAGATGGGCCAGGATGAGCAGAATACAAAGTTAAGTAATTATACCAGATGTGGAGCAATAGGCTAGTTAAAGGGTGATTGCATGAAAATCTGAAAAACTTCAAATTTGTGACCTAACATGAACTTAACATAAATTTTGATGAAGTAGCCTTGAAAGTTTAGTGAGGTGAATGATAGTGGGCATTCTAACCTGTGAATGACTGTTCACACATCTCTCGGTTTCCTAAGACTTACTAAGACTGTATCCCTCTCCATCACAAGTCATATGGTTTGGCTCTGTGTCCCCACTCAAATCTCACCTTGAATTGTAATAATCTGCACGGTTCGTGGGAGAAATCCAGTGGGAGGTAATTGAATTATGTGGGTGGGTGTTTCCTGTGCTGTTCTCATGATAGTGAATAAGTCTCACGAGATCTGATGGCTTTATAAATGGGAGTTCCCTTGCACACACTCTCTTGCCTGCCACCGTGTGAGATGTGACTTTGCTCCTCAGTCACCTTCAGCCATGGTTGTGAGGCCTCCCCAGCCATGTGGAACTGTGAGTCAATTAAAACTTTTTCCTTTATAAATTACCCAGCCTTGGGTATGTCTTTATTAGCAGTGGGAGAACAGACTAACACAATACCCTTTTGGCGCTATTGTCTTTTTGCTTTCTGCCGTCCTTATCATGGTTTATTCTGATGATGTACCTCTTATAACCTGTATAGCAAAGGGTGTTTCAAGGGAGAAGGTAATAAAAAATAGTGTTTAGAATTTAAATCAAACTTTTTAGAATTTACCCATGCTTTTGAAGTGACTTGTATGATATCACACAGAGGCAGAAAGTGGACTAGAATGAAGTTCTTACACATCCTAGCCTAAAGTCCTTCTCTGGGACACCCCATTGTCTTTTAAAAATAAAGAAGGCACCCAGATCATGTAACAGTTGAGTAAAAAAGAGGGCTGGAAAGATAACTGGGAAGACGCTGAGCCTGCATTTCACTGGGCTTTTTCATCCTTGGATAAAGCTAGAAATCTCGATGTGATTAGTTTTATATTGTGTTTAGAATGGATATTTCTACACACGGCCAGCAAATGAAGGTACATTTCCTCTTGGTGCTAGAGGGCATTATGGGTGGGAATGACACCATTAACTGATGGTTTATTGCTTGGGAGAAATATTTGGACATCCTGTTGGCTTGATCAGCAGTTAAACCCCTGGTTGCTGTTTTGACCTTGGTTCACCCAGAAGATTATTTCTGTAAACCTAAAAACTGAAACCAAGTAAGAACACATGCACAAAAGAAGTCCAAAGGAAGAAAGTAAAATCTTTTGTTTATCTCTAGGGCGTGAACTTCTGCCAAAGACTATACTACTGTTCCCTCTCTGGAAACAAGGTGATTTGCATTTCTCCTGAGTTTTAGCTCCTGATTAACTATGTAAATAACTTTATTCAACAATGCCTTCTTTTCCCCTTGATTTTTGACCTTTAGAGCCTCTTATTAGTGTTTTTGGGAATTACTAAAAGAATATTAAATAATGGAATTTCAGAAAATAGGTGAAGGTTTAGTGAAAAATGTCATATTAAAGTATAAGCAGCTTAAAATAAACATAGTTTTATTAACAATTATGTTTCCAAATTGCTAATCATAATTATCTTACTATATGATAAATAACATGAAAATCTTTGGAGTCTAACTCCCTGCAGCTAACAACACATAAATATGAATGATAAGAGTTATTAGCAATACATCTTGTCAGATTCATGTGTTGCAGTTAGGTTGGGCTCCAGACCCCCTGCCTGAGGATCTCTAAGTGTGATAGGAAGCACCGCTTTTTGTAGAGAGCTTTATAGAGCCCTTGAACATGGTGTCCTTTTTGTTCGTTTGTTATGCTTTGTTTCTCCAAACACCACTGTTAGTATAAATATTATCCTGGATACTACTCTAATGAGGAAAATAAGGCTTAGAAATTTCTCCACAGTAGTTCAAAGCTGGTAAGTGCTGATCTGGTCTTGAATCCAAATGTTTAGACGGCATGTTTAGTGCTTTTCCTTATTAAATCAATGCAGAAGAGTTGATAACCAGTAATAATTTCATTCTCTGCCCTGTTTCTTACCTGGCTTAGCCAAAGCTCTATTTTTTATTCAACGACTGTACCACGCTTCATGTATGGAATTGCATGGACATAATAAACCAGGAATTTGCTACTTGCAACAAAGACATTATAATTTTTAGAGATATTCGTGGAAGGTTCTAAAAAAGGAAGAAAACTTTGATTTTTCTGTAATTATTCAATTCTAAGCAAGAGCCAAAGAATAGTTTTATAAGATCACTGTTGATTAACATCTGCCAAAAGTTTTCTTGCATGTCAAACAAAACAATCCAAGACAAAATAATAAAAAATAATGTAATAATAAAGCAATAAAACAACAGCATTAACACACAAGACAAAATAAAAAATAATGTAATAATGAAGCAAAAAAACAACAGTATTAACACGCAAGACAAAATAATAAAAAATTAATAATGAAGCAAAAAAAAGTATTAACACACAAGACAAAATAATAAAAAATAATGTAATAATGATGAAAAAAAAACCCAACAGTATTAACTCTCAGAATCTGCCCACCAAAAAAGAAAATAATAAGGTAGCAAAGAGGCTACTGAGTTTTAAGGTCCCTAGGTTTCTTTCACTCCAGTAAAGCTTGGCTAAAATAACACAAATCCTATAGCTTACTAATTTTTCAGGCCAATATTTGGGTATAATTTGTGTGCTTTATAGGCCTGGAAAACCCACAAGAGGCCACAAATTGCTGACGTAACTGTCTTTGAATTTAACAAAGCCCATTACCGTGTCAGTGAGGAGGACGGGTGGAAACTCAAGGGGCTACGTTTTCTAGGCACCCAGAGGGGCTTTTCATTGCAGCTACTGAAATAATAAACTCCCTTGATTTTTGGCGCTGACCAGAGTAGTTTTAACAGTTCACTTCTAATCGCAGATAATTCTTTTTTTATTATGTCATTTTAGATGCTGTTATTACACATACAGCAAATGTTGCTATGTTACTGAAAACCGTAAACTGCACAAATGATATCAGTCTTAACAAAAATGAAACTGTCTGTAGACTAGGGTTTAAGGGTAAGGGTGTGTGTGTTTATGTTTCAATCTACCCACCATTCATTTCCAGAATAGACTTTATGATGTCTGGAATCTGAGCTGAACTTTCTGTCCTCTCTCGTTTCAATTAAAAGAAATTAAGAGCTTGCCCATTATCTTTCCAGTAAATTTTCATGGAAATTCTGGAGTAGGGAAATTTCCAGCAAGCACATTTCATTCACTTCCCAGAAATAGAGATTAAGTTTGTATAGTCTGAACAGGAAGTGAAAACATGTTTTTTTTTCTTAGAAAAGGCAACTGCTTTTAATTAAAAAGAACAAAAAACAAAACACAAACAAAGAAAAACATGAGACAAACTATACTTGATGACTTCTGGAAGATTTTTATCCTGATAAATGATAATATGCTTAGTACAACTTCAAGGGACAAAAATGAACCATTAGACAAAAAAAATTGTCTTTTTTTTGTTTTGTTGCTTAAATTAATTAGGATTTACCATTTAATTTTTTATTTTAATTTTATTTATTTATTTATTTATTTATTTATTTATTTATTTATTTATTTATTTTTGAGACAGAGTCTTGCTCTGTTACCCAAGCGCTGGAGTGCAGTGGTGCCATCTGGGCTCACTGCAACCTCTGCCTCCTGGGTTCAAGCAATTCTTGGGCCTCAGCCTCCTGAGTAGCTGAGATGACAGGTGCACACCAACCACACCTAGCTAATTTTTGTAATTTTAGTAGAAACCAGGTTTTGCCATGATGGCCAGGCTGATCTCAAACTCCTGGCCTTAACTAATCTGTCCACCTCAGCTTCCCAAAATGCTGAGATTGCAGGCATGAAGCACTGTGCCTGGCCAATTTTTATCTTGAAATAATTTAATCTCACATAAAAGATTCAAGAAATAATTATATATACATTTTTACTGAGATCCATCAATTGTTAACATTTTACCACAGGTATTTTATCATCCATTCATCTGTCTAATTTTTACTTTTTAACCACTTGAGAGTAAGTTACAGAAATCTTGGCCCTTTACTTCTAAATTCCTAAATGTATATTTCCAAGAGTAAGGACCTTCACTTACATAATTACAGAACAGTGGCCAAAATAAGGAATTTTTTTCTTTACCATTGATATTGTTACCTACAAAGCTTATTTACAATCCATCAATTGTCCCAGTAACATCCTTGTAGTCATTTTTCCTACTTCTAGATCTAATTCAATATTATGCATTGCATCTAGTTTCCATCACACCACACCTTTGTGACATATGCACATACATGCACACTTCATACCTCCATAACATCAGGTCATTGTGGCACTAATATTCACCAAATAAGATCTTGGGGTTCTTCCTATACCCATCTCCCTTTTCTTCTTGGATATACAATAAAATAATAGTAACAGCAAACAAAGGAAGTAAACAAAGAAAAGATCTTGAGAAATTTATGTAATTATGTCTTTTTAAAATCCCCTTTAAAGGATGATGCTTAAGTATGGGAGACTGAATGAAAGGTGTAAAAGGTTATGAATCGTCTTCCCCTAACTCATGATGCCTCTGTAGGTTACACTCTGCAAAACTTGCACAGGAAGGCATTCAGTGCACAGAATAGTTCCAGCACAACAGGAGAACACCTCACCTGGCTGACAGGAGGTCTGTGAGCTGTGGGAAGAACCCAATCTTTACCTGAAGGCTTGAAGTCAAAAAGGAAATGGCAAGACATTGAACAAGGGGAAAGGTGAAGTCAGTAGCCAAAGAAATTGCCAAAATAAGCCTCAAACCAGAGGAACTAGATAATCAAAACAAAGGCATAAGCATGTACTGATATGTAGAGGAAGTCACCATAGAGTGTGATTTGTGAGAAAAAAAAAGAACAAAAGTAAAGAACATGTTCATTTTTAATTTTGTAAACATCCTTTGCTGGATATATATAATTAACTTGTGGCAGTGGAGTTATGAATAATAAGTGAATTTTATGCTCTTGTTTATCTTCTTAAAGTTTTACAATAAATATTTCCTTTTACTATTAAATCATTTCACATATGCAGAGACAACTAGCTAGCTAGAGACATACTACATATTCAAATAAGAACAAAAATCAGTTACCAATTGAGTGATAGAAGCTGGGTCTGAGACAGCAGCCCTGTGAATGGCGAAAGCTCAGAAGAGCGGACTAGTTCAGACTGATTTCTGGGGAGACTCCCAGAGGGACTGGGGTTTTTGAGCTCTTCAATGGACTTGGAACCACTGGAGATGCTGTTCATCATATTAGTGAAGTCACTTGTTACATGAACCCCATTTACATAATTGTATATGTGTAAATGAGTACCTTGGTTCCTTCATAGTTCCTAATAACTACTTAGGATGTCCACATGTTATTTTTCTTACCTTATAGTAGATTTGGGGTCTGGCGGATGGTAAAGATGATAATCTAAAAGTGTTTGCTAGTGTTACTCCACAACACTAAAAATCTCACCTAAATCACCCTATCTACATGCAATGTTCAACAAGGCTTCCTTTTCGGTTATATTAGGACACTCCAAACTTATATGTCTGGCTCCGATTGGGGTCTCAGGGAATTTATGGTGTTTTCCTTTGCTGAGTAAAATGTCAGTGTTGTATGTTTCATCATTGATGGAATCACCATTTTCAGGAGCACAAAATCACAGAGGTAGAAAATGAGCTGGTGAGGGAATTTAAATGTGTTTTACTTTTTATTTTTTAGCTGGAGTCAGTGAGGCTGTGTCCTTAGCTACATTCCCACCAACACCATCTGCCAAACCACAGTGAACTTGCACACATTCCTATGGATAGTTTCTAGGTGCTTACCAGTCTTTGGAAAGTGGGTATACACGTGCCAAATCATTTCCTTCTGAAAGCCAGGTACTGCGGGGTATAGGTCTCTTGGTGGCTTTGTTTCTACGTTTGAATTTGAAGTTCTAAGGGGCAACATATTAGCTGAGCACACTTACAGATGATATTTCAAGGTGGCTGTTGATGCATAAATAAAACTTAGAAGTTTATAAGGAGCAACCAGCAAATTTGGGGGTGAGATTCTTATATTATCTATTTGCTCTCTGCTCTCCACCAAGCCCTTTGCTTATGTGAAGGTAATAAAGCATTGTACACAGAAGACAAGTAATGAAGAGAAAGGAGATCTTCTAAATTCTGTCCCCAGAGTCCCCCACACTTGCTGATTGACTGATGCTGCAGTTGTCCTCCTTTGGCTCTCACTAGGCTTCTTGTTGGCTGATTGAGAAAGAGAGTCCTAGTTTCAGGATTACCCAGAAGACCATGGCAAGACTGGCACAAAAATGGGCTGGGAGTGGGTGAGTGGAGGCCACATCCTTACGCGACCTTACAGGATAGTTTGTCTGGAATATGGAAATTTAGGATGCTTCATTTACAATCAGAAGATTCTAACAATATAAAATTTCTTCTTATTTCTTATAGCTTCTAGGTCTTGAATGTCTAGTATATGCCAGACACAATTCTCTTAACAACCTCTGAAAAGCAGGAGTATTCTTGCTCTACATATAAAGAAACTGATGCTCAAATTTAAGTGGCTTTCTCAAAATTACGTAGCTAGTAGAACAAAGACACATGCTTTAAAGCTGTGTCTATCTGACCTCAAATTCCATGTTCTTTTCCGTAAATGTATTGCTATTTTATTCACTACTGATTGTCTTTCATGTTTGCTTGCTCAAAATGAATTTAATATTCTCCATTAATCAAATGATGCCTACCAGTTTACCTGAATAAAAAGGAAGGTAATCTTTGGCATCTCTGACTTTCTGTTAAAAATCTTTTTCCAGTTTTTGCCACCCCATCCTCAAATATTCCAGCCCTCTAGCACATCCCATTGTTAGCACCATCTTGCTTTCTGAGGCAGATAGAAGAAATGCCTGATCTCTCTAATTTCTCTTATTTTTCTTCCTGGTCAACATATCTGCTTTTCCTGTCTCATTCATATACACTGATAATTTAATTTATGCTGAAGTAAGAATGAGATTATAGAATGTGTTATAGCCCTCACTCAACACACACAAGATCTGTGTATAGGTGAAGGTTTCCATAGAGATAAAAATCTTAATTCTATGGGATGATTCTAATGGTGGGGACATGAGCCCCCATAGAAGATTGTGGGCATGTTATGGAGTGGCTGTATGTTTCTCTGCTCTGAGTTCATAACACATAATTGTCAGGGTTGACAGAGAGTCAGTCTGTGCATTTCTGATAAATTTCAAGTTAGCTTATTAAAATGTTTTTTAAGAAGCTATTAGATACTATTGGAGCCCCAGGAGCATTTCCCAAAAAGGGCTCAAAGAAAGCCCCAAAGATGCCCCAAATGTGCTCAAAAGTACTCAAAAATGCCCCAAAAGAGCACTTTCTTGCTCTGTCTGCATCAGAAAATAACATTCTACATATAAAAGGAACACGAGCCTCCAAAAGGGGCTGAGATTGTGAAGTCTCCAAGCTCAGTTGAATATAAGCCTGGCCAAATGTGTTGTCCTCACTCTCCTCTGCTATGTTGCCAGCTGGTAGAGTTAGTTCAGTTTTACTGTTTAAAGTTTCCTTTTGGGCTAATAAATATTTCTAAAATATTGTATTGCTTTAGCACTCACACCATGGCAATGTAAATCAATTCCCACCTCTATTATGTAAGTTTGTGATTTTTACCCCTACAAAAATTCCATGGCGATATTACAGGCTTTATATTGGCTAATAATAGACTATGGTGGTGGTCTGGTGGAAACAACTATGGGTGGGATTTGGAGGAGAGAAATGGTCATCTCGTGGGCGGCAGAATTCATGGAAGAGATGGAAGCTGTTGTTCGGTTTTCCCCTGGCTGGGGATGCCCATTTTGCTTCACGTATTCCAAGGGGCCACAGGTCAAGGACACAGTTCTTCATTTTTATCTCAACGGATAATTTGCGTAAGGTAGCATCTTTTGGGAAGGGAAAATCAGGGTAGAGAAAAAGGCCAGAAGCTTATTCATAAAAAAGGCCTGAGAAGGTTGGAAGTTTTTAGGACAAGGCCAAGGAACTGAGAGATCATAGCCTTCAACTTCATGATGATTAAGAATTTGCTACCCTTGCATGCATGTGTGCCCTAATGAGCAGTAATGTGCCTGTCTGCAATAATCATTTTATAAATATTAATGCAGCTTTATGAAATTGGTACTTGATTTTAAGTGTGACATTTTATTTGTAAGTGCATATTTTAATTATGTCCATAAAACATTGATTAATTAAAATTTGCTGCTGTTTTGTGACTTGGGAGCCAGACAGGTTTGTACTAAGGAGCAGTGTCTGAGGTGTGCTGTTTTAAGGCAGAGAAACAAGGTGGGAGACAGTCAACTAAAGGAATATCTGATTGTTCATGAGACTACATATTTTTGGAATTGAGCATTGCTCATCAGTACAGCTCAGTTGTACTATGTCTGCAACCCTGACCTATCAGAGTGGAGTTACCATCATTTTAGGAATATAAAAATTTTCTCTAGGAAGAAATCTGAAATATTTAAAGTACTAATGATGAAAACTGTATTTTAGAAGTGTTATAGAATGAGTTGATATCCCCCCCCCCAAATTTATATGTTGATGCTCTAACTCCCATGTGATTAAATGTGGAGATAGGGCTTTTAGGAGGTAATTAAGGTTAAATGAAGTAATAAGAGTGGGGCTCTAATCCTATAGGATTGATGTCCTTATAAGAAGAGAACTCTCTGTCTCTCTCCCACATGTGAAATATAATGAGAAGGTAGCTCTCAGCAACCCAAGGAAAGAGCCCTCACCAGACATTGACCCTGCTAGTACCTTCATTTTGGACTTCCCATCCTCCAGAACTGTGAAAAAATAAACGTCTGGTTTTTAAGTCACCCAGTTTATTTTGTTATGGCAGTCTGAGCTTATTAAAATAAAGTTACTCAAAGGGGAGGAGCAAAAGGTTATTAGAAATAAGGCAGAGCTATCTAATTGTAGCAGGGCATCATGCTAGGGCCTGGGCAACAATAGAATAATGTTAGCTTGGAGGAACTGGGACTTGGGAACAAGATAAGCCAGAGTTTGGGAAGTTTGTGCAAATGCAGGAAGACAAGATAATAAATGAAGGGAGGTGAGCTGACAAAGAGGGATGTGGATCTGGTTCTAGAGACACAGAAAGGATTCAAGGATGTAAAGATGATAGAATTCTCCGGTAAAGCTTGGTGAGTTATAATCCACGAGTCTTTTTTTTTTTTTTTTTTTTTTTTAACCTGTGTTACTCTTCCTGTGGGCATGAATGCCCTTAGGCCATGGACCAACAGTGTATACAGAGGTTAGCGGGTTGTAAAAGGCTTTGGCTCTGACAGAGACAGCCGCAGAGATGCTAATGTAGAAATACTTAATGTAGATGATGGGTTGATAGGTGCAGGAAACCACCATGGCACGTGTATACCTATGTAACAAACCTACACGTTCCGCACATGTACCCCAGAACTTAAAGTATATATATAAAAAAAAACACTTAATGTCCAAAAAATTGAGGAATGACTAAATGAATGTACAGTGATACATGATATTAAGAATCAGATTGCAAGAATCATATTGATATTTGTTAAGTGATGAAGTATAACCTAAGACATATCTATACGATATGAATGTGTCAAGTATAATCAAAATTATTTTTTAAAATGTATACACACATACAAATGATGAAAACACAAAACCCCTAATGAGTAAAATAAGTTATTTCTGGATGTTGGGGCTATTCTAATTTTATGTCTTGTGCTTTTAATAATTTTTTCCAGAATAAATACATCTTACTTTGAAACCACAATTTAAAAATTACTCTATTTTTTTAAAAAGTTGATAAGGGTGAAGAATGAGTTGGTTGAAGGGCTACCACAGAAGACATGGTCACTTTTGCTACAACTTCTTTTAGATTGTTTGGATATTTCTTCAGTTCCTAGGTTTACATAATGTTGCAATGGAGGGAGAGGCTAAACAGAAGATTTTAACCACTCCCTATTCCCTCCACACACACACAGAAAATTGGGTAATGTGACCCCTGTGTTTCATTAGCTCCTGACTACACACATGTAGCACCCAACTGCTTTTTTCCATATTCAAACAAGACAGAGTGAAAAACAGGACAAGGCACTGACAACAATGTAACCCTATCGGGCAGCCACAGACACCACCTCTCATATCCATATTTCTCACAGCACCAATGATATCAGGTCAGTCATTATTATCTCAATCTCAGGAAGGTCGGATCACTTATAAATCTTTAAGAGAGGAGATGGCTTGAGTGCCTTTTGCCTCATAGCTGGTGTTCTTTGTGAGAGATATAAGATTCTTGGGGTGGGAAAAAAACGGAAGACTGTGTTATTAGCTGTTGTGGGGTTGGGCAGAGGGGAGATTGAGTATATAAGAATCTGAAAAATAATTGGCACCAACATGGGATAAAAATGGATATGTTACATCCACTGAATGTAGCAACTGACTTATAAAAACATCCTAAAATAAATACTGCTGTCTACAATTGGTAAATATATGAAAAGTGGCTTTTATCTTTTTCCTTCAATCCCAGTTCTCTAACACAACCTTAGCTCACTTTGAAGGCACTTTTGCTGTATTATTTTTGTCAAGATAACAGCCTTCTGCCAAGAGTTAGTGGAGTCATGCAGTATTCATCTGTCATATATAAAAGCTGACACTGTCACCAAACCAAGAGCACCATGTCTTATAAGACTTTGTAAACTCAAAATAATGACAGTTGTCAACTCTCACAGGGCTGAGAAACTTAACCTTCTAAGATATAAATCTGAGAAGTTACTGTTTTGCTGATGTGTGATGGAGACTCATGCAGATCAGAGTTTATGAAACAAAATAATAGCTTTTTCCTCTTTTAGGCCACAGTGAGATGCAGGAAGGTTTTAGTGATTTTCTTTACCATTTCATGATGGATCCAATTTGAGAGGAATGTGTCAAATGTGGAGAAATGTCTGGTGCCCTTGCAGAAATGCTGGAAGTAATGACTCAGGAACAAACCTGGTGTGAATGAAACCCCCATCTCAGTCTTGGGAAGACTCGTTCTTTTTTTTACCAGCTTGTATTTCTAGGGAGGAACCGAATTGGTTCAAGTGAAACACTAATGGGTTCAGCCCTCAAGTAACTTGAAAAAAATCAGATGTCAATGTTGGAGATCATAATAAGGTTAAGCAAATAATGAGAAGAGACATGTTTCAGTGATGGTCATTATATTAAGAGACTAAAGTGGCTTTATTTGTTCCTCTAAAAATTTCCTGCAACATAGGATCATGGCAGCTAAAGAGCAGATTTTTTTTTTATCTCCAATAGATAAATGAGTATTTATCAGAGACTGACATTATTCAAGTCAGCTGGGTTTAACCTCCAAGTCTTCTGGTACTCTGAAAAATACTCTTAAAGAATGTTTTTCTGTTTCTTTGTTTAACCCTTTTCACCTGCCAAGTGTCCCCTGGAAATTTGAAGACTCGCCCTGTCACAACTCAGTATGTTGAGTTCCACTTCTCTCAATGATTGGTGATCTGGGGCTACTCTTGCTATGGTCAGAAGCAGACTTTTAGCAATGAAGCAATCCATCAAGTGCATCATTTCTTTTCAAAGTGCATAGGAGATTGAAAAGCAGATTGAAATCTTGCAAATTTGGAACTCGTATATGTATCACCTGTTAACATGTAGAGACATTGAAATTGTAATTTAAAATAAGCATATGTTATGTTGATGAAAATATCCTTTACTATTGCCTGAAGTTTAGTGTTTGTAACTTATGGTACTGAGGCCGAGATGCCCAGGTGAGTGCCTAAACTGAAATATGCTTCACTCACAACCTGGAGCAGATTCTGTCTTGGATCTTTTGTACTGTTGAGCTAATCCATATAAATTGAACTCTTAGATGATTCAATGGAATGCACAACTGAGACATTGTACAAACAGTGGAAGATCCGAAAGCACAGAAATCACTTGATCCTCTTCATCAGGGAAGTCAGCCTATTTTTCACATGTTTTGAAGAGCATGGGAAGATCATGGCAATCCCACTGTTACCTTCTACTCTATATTATGCTACACATGCTCAAAATCCTCAGCCTCAGGAACACTCTGGTCTTGTTCTTTTGAAGGAAAGGAAAATAGAAGAGATTTGAATTAACTGATCTCTACCAGACCTTGCAGTTAAAAATTTCTATCTAGTTAACAAGTACTGTTAGTGATGAATCACTCTGGGTACATTTTGGATTATGATTTACCTGGAGCATTCTGTTTATTCTGTAAAAATGCATTTATGTTCTTAAGGTCTGCACATCACCAGAAGAATTAGGGTTCCATTTTGGAAGCTTTATTATGCATAAAATTAATTGAATCAAATTTAGCATGTTCATCTATTTAAGAGGGACAATGCTTTCTCTGGACAAATATAGTGGAAATACAAATACTGCTTCGGACTAGAAGGTGAGGGTCTCTGTAATCACAAGTCTTGTGTTAAAAGATATACTTCCCCCATAGCATATTGTATGCACAGACATCCATAACTTCCTAACAGGAGTGTACCCTAGAAAATAATTGGACCTTTGACCTTTGGAGATGTATAGTTTCTTATTACATTTAACATGGAAAGGGAGGTTGGATGTGTATATGGAAGTGACAAAAATGAAGGTAAGTCTTCTTTAAGTATTTTGTATTATGGTTCAATTAAAATTAAAAGAACAGATAAGAGGAAACTTGACTGATAAATTTCAAAACATTTACAGTGAAAAAAACCCATGCATACCAAAAATATAAGTGTACAAGATTTACTTTGCTAAATCATCTTTTTTTCTCTCTTGAATGGTTTCAGATTTTTTTTTTAAATATAGTACAGGGACTATATATACAGTAACACCAAGCTTTTAACAGCTGTATTTTCCCCCTTTTGCTATCGTAATTATGGTCTCGTTAAGATTCCAATAAAAAGGCAAGAAAAACCTTTTTTAAAAGGAAAACAGAAGTGCTCACAGTGTCTCTCTACCAACATGCTATGCTTTTAAAATATTTGCATTTGAAATTCCTCACTGCAAATATTCTCAAACCAAAGGTAAATATAACACTTAGATTACTCCCAGAAGAACATTCCTTCTGCTATTAATACCCTGAATTCAAATCTTTTTGCAAGTCTGTATAATTTTACTCTATGTGCTTTATCCTGCAGTTTGGCAAGCTGTAAGTGTTAGGAAACTAGATGCATCAGAAATGAATAGAAGGTGGCATCTCTTGCCTGGGTGAACACTTTTTTTTTGTTTCCCATTTCATAAAGCAGCCTATTTACAATAGCAGATTCATGGGGATAGACTCTTCAGTTAGACAAGAACAAAGAGTGGTCTTCTCAAAAGAAAACATCAAGCACAGATCAGTAGATCATTAGACTAAGTTAGGAAAAAAATAAGTATTCAGCTCTCTTCTATATTATTTTATGTGTTGTCTTCTCTCTTTCAACCCATACCACCTTCTCTTCATGGCAATAGCCAGTGTTTGTTAAGCCTCAGTGTTTTCAACCTTCCTGCTATGCAATCAGGAACTCCTCACACTGCGTTATATTTAGAAACGGTTGTTTCTGACATGGGTTGGTTCTGTGTCCCCACCCAAATCTCATCCTGAACTGGAATCCCACGAGTCAAGGGAGGGACCTGGTGGGAGGTGATTGGATCGTGGGAGCAGTTTCCCCTATACTGTTCTCATGATAGTGAGGGAGTTCTCACGAGATCTAATGGTTTAAAAGTGGCAGTTTCCCCTTCACTCTTTCTCTCTGTCTCTCTCTCCTGCTGCCTTGTGAAGAAGGTACTTGCTTCTCCTTCACCGTCCATGATTGCAGGTTTCCTGTGACCTCCTCAGCCATGTGGAACTGTGAGTCTGTTAGACCTCTTTCCTTTATAAATTACCCAGTCTCAGATAGTGTCTTTATAGCAGTGTGAAACAGACTAATATACTTTCTAATCACAGATTGTTTATGTGTTGACCCATTATCTGGACTTCTATGTTTTTATAGGGTTAATACATGAAATTAATCCAAACTAAGGTATTACAGATATTATTTCAAAAGTAGTTTATAATACCTCCACCAAGAATGTGAAAATAAGGTAATTTAAGGCCTTATTATAGACAGGATAATAAAAAATGTAGAACTTCCATTCTATATTTTCTTAGTGGCTTGATGTACTCCCTATGAACAACTCCACACTTGAGCCCTAACCACAGCAAAAAGTTGGATATAGAAAAGGATGTAGCCACAGTGAGGACATGGCTTGTATTTTCCAGAGAGGTTTCCACTGCAACAATTGGGAGCAAGACCAAGATGGTGGAAATTTTGAGAGCAAATCAAAGTGAAGAAGTACAGTCAATAATGCAGATAATTAAGAAAAGTTGCCTAAGAAGACCAGGAGAGAGATAGAGAAGGGGGAGGTTTTTGCCTTGTTTTTTCAATGATGACTGATGTTTTTGAGTTGAATTGTCAAAGAGAAGGGATTGGTAGAGACAGAGAAATGGAACATCATAATTAAGGAGAAACAACTGAGTGAGTTTCCAGACCGGGAAACAGACAAGGGTCAGAGTCCACTGAACAAAGTAGAACAATTTGGTGTGATTTTGTTCTTTGATTCCATGTTTATAGTGCATTAGTATTTTATCTTTGACTATTATATACATTTATTCTATACATACATATGTACAACATATTCCCTGTTGATTTGTTTAGTTCTAATGTTTCTGGTTTGGTGTGAATATTAGTAAAATAATATTTTAATTATTAAAAATAGAATAGCAGGAGGACACCACTCCCACAGAGGATGGAAGGTAGGAGGCAAGGATGTATATGAAGATAAAATGGGTCAGAATTCAGATACTAAGGAGCTTTTACCTAAGAGACTTCATTTTATATTTTTTTCTGAAACAACTTAACTAGTTCATCCTCCAGGAGGAAGAAGTATGATACAGATAGGGAGGTGGGATAAGAAATTTTTAGAGACTGGTAATGTCTGAACTGATGACTTTTGGGCATGAGAGAGAATGATTTTCCTGGAATATATTCCCATAAGTGGGATTACTGAGTTAAATATAAGATTTTTTATGGTTTTTTATAAGCATTGCCAATTTTTCCTTCCAGAAAAGTTTTGCCATTTGTACAGCATCCAACATGAGAATGAGATGTGGTTACCTGAGCCAGCCCCACCTGGTCTGGCCCCTGCCTTTCTCTGTAACTTCCTTTCTTGCAATTCTCACTCATTGACTCTCCCCCAAGCATGCAGGCCTGCGTAATTCCTCCAACTTTCACCTTCATTCCTGCCTCATATCTTGGTTCTTACATCTCTCAACTAGATGCCCAAAGGTCATCTCCTTAGAGGGGCATTCCTTGAAGTATCCCACGTGACACTGCCCTACTCCTCAGCTAGGTCACTCTCTAACCCCTTCCTTTGCTTGATTTTCTTTATCGTACTTATCTTTATATGAGTTATACTCTTTATTTTTAACTTTCAATTTGTTTTGTTTCATCTAGTAGGATATATGTTTGAGAAAGATGGAAACTTGGTAATACTAAACACGATCTTTTGAACTACCTGAAAAATACTTGGCAAAAGGTAGACACTGGGTAATTTTTGGATAAACGAATGAATAGAAAATAATTACTTTTCATTTAACTACATTCTTACCAACACTGGATATTCTCATCTAAAATAGTGTTGCTACACAGATATTTCAAAATTTTGAACACCATTTAGGAAGACATTTGGGAAACACAGATGTATTAGAAAGAATCCTGTCCTAGGGTCAACCACTTTAGTACTCATTATTCATCAGTAATTTTTAGGCAAGCTTTTTAACTTCTCTATGCCCGTTTCTTTTCTTTTTCCTTTTTCATTTTTAGACTCAGAGGGTACATTTGCTTGTTTGCTCCACGGGCATTACATGCATCACTGTGGGGACTGGGTTTCTAGTGTACCTACCACCCCAATATTGAACATCGTACCCAATAGATAATTTTTCAACCCTCACTCCCCTCTCAACCTCCCCAGTTTTGGAGTCTCCAGAGAATATTATCTCTACCTTTATGTCTGTACGTACCTGTGGTTTAGCTCCCACTTATAAGTGAGGACGTGCAGTATTTGATTTGCTGCTTGTGAGTTAGTTAACTTAATGGCAGTAGTATTATTTGTTATTCAATTAATAGTTTAAACATATTTGTGTTTTTACTTAAACAAGTTATTTGAAGAGGAACTCCAGATCACTAACATATATAGAAAGTCAGTATTTTACTAATACCATTAATATAATCATATAAAAATTACCATTACACTGAAAGAGAAGGGGAGAAATTGAAATTGTTTTTAAAAATTATCAGTGAATATTTTTAAAACTAAAAAGAAAATAAAATGCTATTGCTAATTTCATGAGACATTTGTATTCCCTTTTATAGATTATGTCCTATTCTTTTCTCATTTACCTATTGGGATCTTGGTAATTTTCTCATTGATTTCTGTGAACTCTGTATATGATAAAGATATTATTCATGACTAACATTTGTTGCACATTTACTGTAGTTTAATATATTACCATTAATTTTGTTTACATATGGACAAATTTCAAGAGTTAGATCTATGAAATATGTTTTTATTTCTTCCGTGGTGTTTGATTTAGCAAGACATTTTATTACCTTAGGTTTGATCACTTTTTGCTTTAATTTTTTTTCCAGTGTTAAACATTATATTTTTTAATGGCTGACTTTTAATCTTCTTTGAATTTACTTTGATATACGGCATGGAAAAGGTATCAAACTAGGTATTTCCCCAAAATAATCAGACCAGTTTCCCCCAAATTTTCATTGAACTGTTTTCTTTCTCTCTGATTTTTGCTGGTGTGGCTTTGTTTTTATGGATTTCATACTATAGATTAGCATTTTATCTATGAGTATCATATACATTCATCGTATACATACATATGTATAATCTGTTCTTTGTTGATTTGTTCAACCTTTCTAGTCTTACTGACTAGCTTTAAATATTAGTACAATTCTATTTTAACTGTTGAAACATTATAAGTTTTTATTTCACACATTTTAAATAAATTATTTGAAAACCAACAATTATGCAACTTTTAATATGACTATTTTTATTATTCAGAAACTTGGTGTGTGTCATTATATAATAAGTATATGTTTTGTTTCAGAATTATAATTGTCTACATAACATTATCACAGGAGACATATCCTTAAGAGTATTTCTAGAAACTTTAGAGTTTTTTATTTGATGTCCTGTTATGAATGAAAGATTTTATCCATTCTACTTTCTGGTTTTGATAAAGATTTATATAAACGATCCTTCTGAGTCACTGAATACTTTAATTCTAATATATTTTCAACAGAACCTTTTGGAATTTCTAATACAACCAACTTATTTAAAATAATGATAAAATTCTTATTTTCTTCTTTATAATATACAAGGCTTGAATTTACAATGAAATGTATTTCATTGTCTAGGACTTCCAAAATAAAGTTAAATGTTACCAGTTGGCTCTTTGAACTTACGTAATCTGCTGACTTGACATACTTACCTGCATTAGGCATCGTGCTAATTATTGGCTTGTAAAAGTATTTCTTTATCATGTTAAATAGTATCCTGCCACTTTTGTGTTGAAGAAGAATTAGGTACTTAATCTGGTAAAATACCTTGTCATCTTTTATTTGGATAATGATGGGTTTTGTGGTAGTTCGTATTTGTCCAATTAATGAGATGTACCATATTGATAAGTTTTATAATATTAAACAATTCTTTCTTTCCTTGGTTATGTTTTTCACTCTTGAACTGGTTATTCTGGCATGATGTCTAAACAAACTGACTATAAACGCAGATGCTCAGTGATAGGAATATATGGCAGTATTGATTCCTTTGACTGCCCGAAGCTGTATGTATATTCAAAGGCAGACAAAAAGCAGAGGTTAAGCAACCAGCTGGTAAATTTGATCAACATTGACAAATAATCTTGGCCACTGAGCTCCAACATCCAGTATTTTTTTTAAGAGCATATTTTGGCCTAAATTCTTTAGCTAATTACTTGAACTTCCCTTGTGCTGATATACGGGTAAGAAACTTGAAAGGAATTCTTTCCTTATTCACCACTTTGTTTACTGGAAGTGAGGTCTGGTGTCTTTAAAAGGATAGAAATCTCTAAAATTGCCATGTTACATAAGGCATAACCTATTAAGCAATGGACCATTGATCTACCTGAAAGAATGATCATAGAGCATTCTATATATGACTGGGGTTCCAAGCAATGTTATAAAGTGAATAATAACTATTATTTCTTTATAATTTTGGAGTATTGGAATGAATTAAATTAATATTAAATAAATGTTTCTTTCTTTCTTTCCTTCTTTCTTTCTTTCTTTCTTTCTTTCTTTCTTTCTTTCTTTCTTTCTTTCTTCCTTTCTTTCTTTCTTTCTTTCTTTCTTTCTTTCCTGAGATGGAGTTTTGTTCTTATTGCCAAGGCTGGAGTGCAATGGTACAATCTCGACTCACTGCAGCCTCCACCTCCTGGGTTCAAGTGATTCTCCTGCCTCAGCCTCCAGAATAGCTGGATTACAGGCACCCGCCACTATGCCCAGCTAATTTTTGTATTTTTAATAGAGATGGAGTTTCACCATGTTGGCCAGGTTTGTCTTGAACTGACCTCAGGTGATCCGCCTGCCTCGGCCTCCCAAAGTGCTGCGATTACAGGCGTGAGCCACCACACCCGGCCTAAATAAATATTTCTAAAAAGAAAATAAAAATCACCTGCAATTCTCAAAGTTAATACCTGTTCTTTACATATTTGTTTTTCTTTCCATCAATTGAGATCATAGTGTGTTTAATGTTCTAGTACTTTATGCTTCTCGCTTAACATTTTAGTAGAAATAATGTCCCATGTTTTAAAAAATATTTAATTTAACATTTTATGGTAAAGATGGTCCATAATTTGTTTACTTATAGCGGGTGTTAGATACTTAGATGCTAATAGTATTTTAAATTATCAATAAGCTATGGAGATCACCTTTATACATAAATTGTTGTCCAGTTTGACCATTTCCCTTTGAAAGATTACTAGAATAATAATACAGTTTTAAAGATGATAAAGTACCTTAGGAAGATGAAAAGAATTAACCTTTAGAGAAACATATACTTTAAGCAAACCATCTGCCCACTCCAAGGCTTCTACTGTCACTATTTTATAACCCTATGGCATTTTGCATTAAAGGCAACTGACACAAACACATATTAGTGAATTTGCATGCATTTTAACTACATGTATGAGTTAAATAGAGAATGTACATTAGTGAAACGAAAATACGTAGAATATTCATCATCATTTTAGGGAGTAATTTTAAATTTTTATTAAGGAGTTATCAATGAGGATTTGAGCACAAAATTCTCCTTACTTCTTATATATGTTCACACATATACATGTATATGCACACAAACATACAGACACACATGGTAATTACAATATCCTTAGCAAAGTCAAGCCAGACTATAACTTGAATCTTTGGTAACCTTACCTAATTTTTCAATATTGGAGCCATTTTCATACATGTACGAAGAACCACAGTTTTTTTGTGCTATCCTGGACCCAGGTCTTTGTGAAGTCATGTGGTGGTGCCTTAATATTTTTGTCATATATCAGCTCTCTTACCTGTTCTAACAGTTTATTCTAGAGGAGGAAAATAAAAACCTACAAGGAAAGAAAGTTCTCACTGCTCTGAAAGCTGCATTTATGAAATTTAACAAGGAGACTGATTAACATTTTTAAATGCTATCAAATTTAAAATTTAAAATATGGACAGGGTCTGCATCCAACAATGAATAACAAAATTTTGTGGACAAACCCCCCTCCCCCACTCTGTGACAATGAGTAGAAAAGTCAGAAATAAAACATCTTACACTCAAAGCAACAAGGAAAGCAACTGACAGCTGACTTCTCAAAAGAAACAAACGACATAAACCTATATAGAAGAGGAAAAAGTGCAGAGAAAAAAAATCACTGTCAAATCTGAATGTTGTGTCTAGTTAGAAATACTCTTCAGCAATGAAGATAAAATAATGGCACTATTAGGGAAGCAAAAATTGAGGGAACTTTTCTGCAGCAGTCTCACATAAAGTCCGCTTTGCTATAATATACCTGAAAATGACTCATTGCTCTAGATCTATGAAAATAAATTATAGAATATTATGAATAATTTTAAGCTAAAAATTTGAAAATTTACAATAATAAAATCCCTAGAAAAATGAAACTTACTAGTACTGACATGAGAAGAAACAAAAAAGGAAATAGTCCTTTATGTATTTACAAAAATGAAATCTAGAATTTAAAAAGTCCTACACAAAAAAATTACAAGTCAGTGTTGAATGGTAATTCTACCAAATATTTAAAGGAAAAAAATATAATGGAAAAGTAAATATAACAGAAAAACTGATAATTTCCCAATTCTTTTTATGAGGTCAGTATAACTTTCATACCAAAACATGGCAAGAAAATTACAGATTAACCTCCCTTATAAATATATATGCAAGACATTCTAAGAAAAATATTAGCAAATCCATTTTGAAATATTGAAAAGGACAACATGTTATAACTAAGATGGATTTATACAGAAATAGAATATTAATTTAATATTTGAAAACCAAACCTATCAAAGTAATCACCCCATTAACAAAAGTAGAAAAAGCATATGATCATTTCACTTGACGTACTCACTTGATATAATTCTATATTCATTCATAATAATAATTTCTAAAAAACCTTTTAATAACCATAAATAGAAAATAACATCCTTAATACGATAAATGTTGCCTGAAATATATCTATAGCAAATGTATTATTTATTATTGAAATATTGAAGTTTTGGGATTGGGAAGGAGACACTATCCTCATTTCTGGAAGCATTATGCTGAAAGTTTTAGCAACTGTTATAGGTCAACGGTGTCAAAAATATATAAGAATTGTAGAGGAAGAAATAAAATTGTCAAAACTAATAGATGGTATCATTATAAATACAGAAAATATTTACAATCAATAATTAAATTTAGCAAGGCCATTGTATACAATATCAGCATAAAACTTTAATTGCATATGCAAACATTAACAAAACAAACGTTTTAATTTTAAAAGTATCTAAATTAGCATCAAAAAACTCATCAAATACTTAGGATTAAGTTTAATGAAAATGAGGAAAGATTATTAGACAAAATCCATAAAACATTGAGAAAAATTAAAGAAAATCTATTTTTCCATTTGAATCTCTATATTTCTTGTCAAAATACTGGTTAAGTCTCTATTCACAGATATTCTTTTTTTAAAATTTAACTTTTAAGTTCAGGGGAACCTGCTCAGGTTTGTTACATAAGTAAAGTTGTGTCATGAGGGTTTATTGTACAGATTATTTCATCACCCAGGTTCCAGTACCCATTAGTTAATTTTCCTGATCCTCTCCCTCCTCCCACCTTCTACCCTCCAATAGGCCCCAGTGTATGTTCCACCCTTCTATGTCCATGTCTTCTCATCATTTAGCTCCTGTGTCTAAGTGAGAACATGTGGTATTTGGTGAGAAAAAAGTTAAAGAAAATCTAAACACATTGAGGACAATGTGTTCATAATGAAAAGATGTCAACTTTCCTCAAAATGATTAATAGATTTCATAAAATCCCATAAAAAATCCATTTGGAACTGATAGGACGAATCTAAAATGTATATGAAAGTGAATAAGCTCAATAATGATTCTAAAATTCCTGTAAAGGTATGGAGCTAGAGATGATGCACTACTGTGCATAAAAACAATCTAAAACTGCAGGATTAAAAGAGTGTGGAATTGATGGAATGATGAACCAGTTGAGCAGAACAGGCAGTGAGGAGCAGGCCCATACATACGGAGATACTTGATTTTGGGCAAGGTAGCACTGCAGAGCAGTAAGTGATGTTTGGTCAATGGATAATGCATATGGAACAGAAAAAATACATACCACACCTGTTAAAAGGAAAACTTTAGACAAATTAACAGAGATTAATTGAATAAAGAATGATTTTTCAATCAGGCAGCCCCTGAACCAGAATAGGTTCAGACACTCCACCACAGCCACGTGATGGAAGAAGACTTTTGGACAGAGAAAGTAAAGCAATGTACAGAATATGGGAAGTGAGATATGGAAACAGCCAGATTGGTTACAGTTTTGTGTTTGCCTTATTTGAACATGGTTTGAGCAGTTGGCTACCTTTGGTTGGCTGGCATTCAGTGATGTGGCACAAGAGTAAGTTATAGTCTGTTTACACACCCAGTTAGGTTACAGTTCACAGTGTACAGAGAAACCTTTAGGCCAAACTTGAAATACATATGGAGGCAGTTTTAGGCTATACTTAATTTAACACACCCCACTTTGATTACCAATAAAATAAAACATAGAAAACTATAAGTGTGTGGTTGACAGAGATTTCTTTTATAAGTAACAAAAGACTATAAACCATGAATTAAAACACTGATACATTGATGACATTAAAATTAGGAACTTCTATTCATAAAAAAGAATTTAGTAAGCCACAGATTGAGAGAAAATATACAAAATGTTTGGTTTCACAATGTATAAATATTTTTTAAAAGTCAATGGGAAAAAGATAACACAATATAAGCATAGAGAAGGTACTTGAATAGGCATTTCATAAAGGGGGATACCCCAATAGTCAATGAACATATGAATAAGTGTTCAATCTCATTGTTCATCAAGGAAATGCAATCCTTTTGGAAAACTGTCAGTTTCTACTGAAATTGAGCATGTGTATGCCATATGACTCAATTCCAGGCTTAGGTATGTATCCAGTGAAATGCTTACACATGTATAGCAAAGACATGCACAGGAATGTTGATAGCAGCACTGTTCATAATGGCTTCAAATTGGAAGCAATCTAAATGTCCATCAACAGGTGAATGGATAAATACTTGGTGGTATATTCACACAGTGGAATACTACATACTATGTAAACATTTACAAACTACTTCTAGACAAAAGCTGGTGGATCTCACAAATACAATGTTGAGAGAAAGAAACCAGATAGAAAAAGTACAGACTACATGATCCCATGCAAGCAATGTTTAACAGTAGACAAAACTAACAAGTGGGTGGAATTCAGGAAGGTTATCTTATTGGGGAATGGGGGCAAAATAGTGACTTCCAGAGGGCTAGCAATAATCTAATTTATCACTTATAGATATGTTCATTATGTGAGCATTCATCACAGTGTATACTTGCAATCAGTGCACTCTTATTAGTTATACTTCAATTAAAAATATTTTAATACAAACATTTAGAAGCTCTGTCTTAAGTCCTTTGGAGGGTACAAAAATGTTAGTAGCACCCATCTTAGCCTTCAAGGAATTTACAGAGCAGTGAGAGAGATAAGCAAACATTTGATTAATTATACTCAAGATCCAAGCTTTGAAGTGAAAGAATAGAAATAAATACGTAATAAAATCAAAGAGGAGAAAATTAATTCCAAAAAGAAGCCTAGCTTAAGTTTCATGGAAGCAACAGATTTTGAGCTGAATTCAGAAAGACACGTGAGCTTTTTATAGGTAATGGCAAGAAAATAAGCATTTCTTTTAAAGGAAACAGTATGAATAAATAATAAAGGCAGAGACATCCTGAGCATATTTGAGAATGTCAGGTTGTCTATTATCCTCTCAAGATAGGATTCATATTAGCTAGAGAGAGAAAACTGGAAGGTAGTTTGGGGGTAGAGTCCATAAAGTGCTGGATGTAACCCCAAGATAATGTACCAGCAACTTTCCAAACAATGAGAAGAATGTGAGCTCTGAGACACAAACCAACTTCAGAAGCCACTGAACTTTCATCCAGGCAAAAAGGAAAAATCTTCTGAGTAATGGTTAAGCCTGTGGATTCTAGGACAAGTTTTAACCTGATTCTATTTCTTACTAGCTTTGTGGCTTTCTGTGGGTTATTTATCCTCAGTTTCCACCTTTGAATATAATAAGAGTAACAGGTGAGCCTTATAGGATTGATGTGAAGGTTAAACAAATAAATGGGAAGGTTAAACAAATTAATGGGAACACTTAGAATCTTAACTGGCACAAGGCAAGTACTTAACAAAGTTTAGCTAATATTATAATTCTAATTCAGTGATTATTATAATTACTGATATTTTCAAAGAAATAATCATTAAGGCCCAGCTAGGTTACCAATTGGAATCTTGGGAGAAGTATTTTCTAAACATAGCTTTGGGAGCAATCAGAGAAGTTTGATTGGGTTTTGAAATAAATATTAGATTTTTGCAAGCAAGTTGTACCTGGGGCACTACTTATGATATTTTTAAAAATGTAAAACCACAAATAATATTGTTGAGGTTTAGAAGCAATTTTCTGTTAATATCTAAGTTGAATATTCAAGATTCAATGTTAGATATAGAATTTTTTTCTCAAAATCTTTGAACGACTGTATCTTGACTTGGGGATAGCAGAGTATGGAATATTCAGAAGCAGTCTTTTGTTTCTGAGATTTGTGTGATGTTAGGTTGGATTAGAGGTAGTGAAAATGTTATCATCCAACCAGGTTTTTCTTGTCTGCCACCCAGAAAAAGCCAATACAGTGAGATAGCAGATGTTGCAGCAGAGAAAGAGTTTAATAATTGCAGAGTGGCCAAGAGAGGAGCATAGGAGATACTTCTCAAACCTACTTCTCTGAAAATTTGGAGACTAGGGATTTTAAGGGTGGTTAGGTGGGAAGGGGACTAAGGAATGGGTTCTACTGATTAGTTGGAGTAGGGATGAAGTCATAGGGCTGCCAAAACTGTCTTTGTGCACTGAGTCAGTTCCTGGGTGGGGATCACTGGTCCAAGTGGTATCAGTTGATCCATCAGAAAGCAAAATCTGAAAAATATCTCAAAGACTAGTCTTAGGTTTCACTATAGTGATGTTATCAATGGGGGCAATTAGGGAAGTTACAAATCTTGTGATCAGAGCTACATGACTCCTAAGCAGTAAGCAATTATAGAAAGCAAGACAGGAAACAATGACTGCTTGCTGTTCAACTATGCCTATATCTTAGCAGGATTCAGGCCCCTATCAAAATTTTAACCTTGTGGCTTTTCATTAGCTTTACATTGGTGGTTTGGTCCCCCGACAGGGAGGGAGTTAGCTTTGAAATGGGACTATTATTATCATTGCTTTAAAATTAAACTATAAACTAAATTCGTCAGTTAAATGATAAACTAAATTCTTCCCATAATTAGCTTAGCCTATGCACAAAAGTGAGCAAAGATAGTTTGTGAGGTTAGAAGCAAAATGGGGTCAATTATGTTAGATTTCTCACTGTTATAATTTTTCAAAGGCAGTCTCAAAAGGACCAGAGTACTATCAACTGCTGAAAAAAAAGCAAAGTGATCATAAACATGTTTATCTATTGAGAAAATAAAATAAATTTGATCTGAGAAAAGGAAGTTCTTTCCATTATCAGGCACAGAGAGACATTAAAATGAGATAGCAATCATGTCCTACTCTTCCTTTTAAGTTTCATCTCTTAAAATTGTTTGCTCTTGCCACAGTAACTATAAATTAACCTAATAATTTGACACCCCAGTCACTATTACCCATACTCTATGGCTTAACAAGTATAGCCAATCCCAAATCAATGTTATTTCTGCAAACCTATGAGAATTCCCGACAAACAACTTTATATCAGCCCACTCCCTGTCCACCTCTTTTGCCTTTACAGATTCATTTGTTACTGCTACTAATCAGAGTATATATTCAGGGCAATTTCAGTCTATGCTCCAGGGTAGCACTCCTCCAGCTTGGCCCAAAGAAACTCTCTACTTACGTTAATTTTGCCTCAGCTTCTTCCGTTTAGGTTGACGCTACCAACGTCTGCTCAGATTCTCGCAACTGGCTCTGTCTCCAAATAACTAGTTATATTAGTCTGCTTAGGCTGTTATAATAAATTATCACCAACTGGGTGGTCTAAACAATTTAAATTGTTTCTCACAGTTCCAGAGGCTGAGAAGTCCAAGGTCAAGGTGCCAGCAAGATAGGTTTTATTATGAAGCCTCTTCTCTTAGCTTGTAGTCAGCTGCCATCTTGCTGTGTGTTCAACATTTCTCTGAAATGAGTAGAAAAGTTGATGATTGGAGGAAAAAAGAGAAATAGTGGAACAGTAGAAACAATAGAGGCAAAATTTCAGTAAGGATTATTAACCACTTCTCTGACCCTTTATTCTTCCTACCCTTCTTAACAAAGGAGGCTGGCCAAAGGCATGTTGAGATTTCAGTGAAACTCTGACAAATATTTTTCTTTGTCTCTCTTTCTCTTTTCTTTTTTCTTTTCTTTTCTTTCTTTCTTCTGTTTCTTCTCCTTCCTTCTTTTTTTTTTTTTTTTTAGTTCATATAGTGATGTGTAACTTGTGGTAGAAAATTTCAATGTAATATTATGGCACTAAAGTAGAATACACAAAATCTTTTTAATCTAGAATTTTTTAATTTAGAAATTTTTTGTAAGTCAAGAAACGTGGACCAAAGTCAGCAGAACAAAATACTTGGATTCATATGTGTTTGTTTTTCAAACATGCAATTGATATGATGGTAATTTACAGGAAAAAAAATGATTCATTGTGCTTTCACTGTCAAACCTCATGTTTCCATCTAGAAAATGTTATAGTAGCTGGGTGCGGTAGCTCACGCCTGTAATCTTAGCACTTTGTGAGGCCGAGGTGGGTGGATCACGAGGTCAGGAGATCGAGACCATCCTGGCTAACACGGTGAAACCCCATCTCTACTAAAAATACAAAAATTAGCCGGGCGTGGTGGCAGTTGCCTGTAGTCCCAGCTACTTGGGAGGCTGAGGCAGGAGAATGGCATGAACCCTGGAGGCGGAGGTTGCAGTGAGCCAAGATCAGGCCATTGTACTCCAGCCTGGGCGACAGAGTGAGACTCTGTCTCAAAAAAAAAAAAAAAGTTATAGTAAAGTGACATTTTCATTTTTATTTACATATCAAATTATCCATGAAAAAGAAAAATATGTATTTGAGAGGCTCACAGAATTAAGACTTGAAGAAACTTTTGATTTCTGCCATTGTACTTTTCTTCATTAGACAATTCCTCCAAATAAGATACGTGTGATGCTTTTACAAAGTGTGGTGTGTTTCTCTGAGTAATAACATTTAGTTTCTGTAAAAGCAGTTTATGTGGGAGACAAGCACTTAGGGAAATAAAATTTAGTCATATTTACTAAGGGGAAAATATTTAACAGGTGAAGGTTGTTTGCAGGCCTTCCAAAATAATTTTTTTAAATAAACATACTTCTGCACACAATGAGTCTGTAGATGGGACTGTTCAGTGTTTCTGTGGGTGGTACACATACCAAAGGGTGCTTGCAGTCAGAATTTCCTAGGGAAATTATAAACAACAACAATAAAATTCAAAAACATATTCCTTAGGTCCCACCCTCAGAGACTTCATTGGTATTGGTGGTAGCATAGGGGCTTAGATTTTTAGCTTCCCAGGTGATCCTCATGCGTAGACAGGATCTGGAGCCATTGTACTAATCCAGGAGATAAGTTTCTGTCTCAGGGATGGTGGGTCTGAGAGAGTTACCACAACTTTTCCAAAGTGCTCAACACAGCACCAGAGCTCCTGGGGTTGTGGCCGCTTCCATTCTGGCTAGTCAGATCTGGCCACTTGTAGCTTGTGCTTAGTGATTGGTGCCATCTTGCATTGTGAGTGAGTCAGGTGAGGGCTTAGAAGGAACGAGCTATTTGAATTTGCCCCTCCTTTTGTTTTTCTCTCTTTTTTAATGCTGAGAGGTTGGAGGTCTTAGCTATGTCTCTAACTTTTTTTTTTTTTTTTTTTGGAGACAGAGTCTCCCTCTGTCACCCAGGCTGGAGTGCCTCAGCCTCGTGCCGCAGTCTCGTGCCTCAGTGCCTCAGCCTCCCAAATAGCTGGGATTAGAGGCATGCACCACCACACCCAGCTAATTTTTGTATTTTTTAGTAGAGATGGGGTTTCATCATGTTCGCCCTGGTCTCAATCTCCTGACCTCAAGTGATCTGCCCGCCTCGGACTCTCAAAGTGCTGGGATTATAGGTGTGAGCCACCGTGCCTGGCCTCCCCTCTAACTTGAGCATATTTCCTTCAGGAACGATGGCTTGCTAAAATGTGTTGGCTAGAGGGACTATAGGCACAGTGACAGGTTTGTAGAAAAGTTTCAGAGCCATTGGGTCAGTTATGGGTAATAGAAAATATGAACACTAGTTCAGAAGACAGAAGGTGTCTCTTCACACAGAGGGCTGACCTAAGACCTTGGCATCTGCCGCAGGTCCTAAGCTTGTAGGGTTGCCTTGCTGTCACAGGTTGTGCTTGGATTCTCTTCTGTGCTGCGTGTGACCAATTGTTGGCCTTATTCTTATAAAACTAGTAAAGCCTTCATGGAAACAAACAACAGGGTTCTGAAACGCAGAGACCCGGATTAAGAACCCAAGCTCCGAAGTCCTGGTGTTAGCAAAAGCTCTTTCTGACCCTGATGGGATTCCTAATTTGGGGAGAGTTGTCATGGTTTTCCAAATAGTTTCAGTGTAAAAGCCTCTACGTGTTTAATTTCATTTTTCAGACAGCTGAGATTTAGTGTTAAGCAAGGGACAATTGGTGTGGCCAAGTCCATGGATAACAAAGCTGAATTGCCCTAGGAAGTCTGCAGAATGATCTGGGGCTTTAGGTGTATAAATCTGACTTTAATTGATTTATAAGGCCTTATTGTCAGCCTTTATTCAGCAAAAAGGCCCACTGATTTTCTCCCATAATTTTCTGCAGTGGAAGGTTGGCCCAACTCAAATACTTTCCACAGGAATATAATTATGTCTTGCAAATAGTTTTCAAAAATCATCCAAAGATTCCACTTGTCTTGCAAAATTTGCAAGGAATAAAATCACATGTACGAATGTCACTGCCACCTCTTTTTCCTCAGTTACTTTCAAATCCTGCCATCCTCACTCCACTCTCACCATGCCACTCTGCCAAAATTACACCCAAAAAACCTGCCTGCAGAAATTGTGTTTTTAGGGAGCTTGATTAACCTAAGTAATAACAACCACAACAATAAACTCTGAGGGAGTATGGAAGAAGGAAATGTTTAATACATTGAATTTGGTCTGTCTTTTCATTTCCATTAGGTCAATCTTGATTTTTCTTAGTAGATTTTTTGACATGGCTTATCTGCACTGCTTATTTAAGAAAAAGTGGTTACTAAAATTGATACAGATTTTAAAAAAATCTCCTATCATTGAAAAACTTAAAGTTTAAAACAAAATTTAAAACAGGGTTGAGGTATTTGGGGTTTTTGTAGTTTGGGAGCAGGGTAGGGGTTTTATATTATGGATTTCCTGCAAGACTCAGGGGTCTGCAGCAGAGATGGCCACAAGCCCTATGCATTACACCTGAAGCCTCTTGTCTAATAAAAATCCTGCAGAAACTGGGTTTTAGATTTAACCCTACTAAAATTAAGTATGTGATATTAGGCAACGTACTTCACCTTTTGGAACACAGTTCCTTTTTTAGTGAGGCAAAGTAATAATACCAGTTCCACAGAATTGTTACTTTTTGACAATTAACTTATTCATCTCCAAAGAACTTTATGAGATAGTTTAGATTTTATAAACTGTATTTTACAGATGAGGAAACTGGAGCACAAGCAGATTAAATAAAATTAAATGACCCAACATTCTGTGGCAGAGCCAGGATTTAAATCTAAGGTTTTGGTTCTAGAGACCTCAGTACACTTGTAAACAACGTTAGACAATGTTTTTATTTTATTTTATTTTTATTTTTATTTTTTTTTTTGAGACAGAGTCTTGCTCTGTCACCCAGGCTGGAGTACAGTGGCACGGTCTTGGCTCCCTGCAAGCTCCGCCTCCCGGATTCACACCATTCTCCTGCCTCAGCCTCCTGAGTAGCTAGGACTACAGGTGCCCGCCACTACGCCCAGCTAATTTTTTTTTGTATTATTTTTTTTAGTAGAGACAGGGTTTCTCCGTGTTAGCCAGGATGGTCTCGATCTCCTGACCTCGTGATCTGCCCGCCTCGGCCTCCCAAAGTGCTGGGATTACAGGCGTGAGCCACCGCGCCCAGCCTGACAATGTTTTTAATATACAGCCAGACTCAACACTCATCTCGGTTTACCTCAAGGCTTTATTACCTATTTGCTCCTCTTGTTACACACACACACACACACACACACACACACACACACACACACATCCTTGATGATTAAAAAAAAAATTGGCTTCAAAGTATATTTGCTTTAAGCTATGTAAATAAGAGAAGTATATCCTGGCAACTTGTCTTTTCTTTTATATTGCAAATTTAAAAACAAATTACATCTAACCAACTATTTAGCTTCCCACTAGTGGGCAGGTTCTGGCTGGCTAGAATCTTTCTGAATGACTGTGTTTCCCTTCAAGGTGGGTTGGATAGCATGCAGAAGAATCTTGGTGGTGGTGGTGAAAGGGCGACCACACATTCTTTTTTTTTTTTTTTAATTTTCTTTTTTTTAATTATTATTATACTTTAAGTTTTAGGGTACATGTGCACATTGTGCAGGTTAGTTACATATGTATACATGTGCCATGCTGGTGCGCTGCACCCACACATTCTTAAAGTGTTGCAAATAAACTTCTGCCTCCTGAGTCATGGGACATATACAGAGGTCCTGACAGACTTCCTTCCCTTGCCATCCTGGGCTGCACACTGCTGTTTTTGTGGAACTAGTTCTGTGTAGACATCCCCACTTCTTGTGTTATCTCTAAGACCTTATAGAGACTGACACATCTCTAAGAATGTACCAAATGGATCTAGACCAGTGATTCTTAACCAAGGATGAGTCCCTCCCTTCTCACAGACGTTTAGCCATGTTTGGAGACACTTTTGGCTGTCACAACTGCAGGTTGTGCTGCCAACCATCGTAAAAGACACAGGACAATCCTTCACAACAAAGGATTATTTAACCCAAAATGTCAATAGTGTCATTATTGAGGATAATGGCAATATTGATCAAGAATACCTACAATTCCGTTTTTGTAACATACTTCTTGGGAAAGGACTACTGAATTACCATAAGTATGCCTACAAACATCTCTTAAAATTCACATCTGCAAATGCAAATTAAAACCACAATGTGATAGCACTGCATACATAGCAAAAGTGATAAAATGAAAAGGAAGGGAAATAGTAAGACTTAGCAAGCTATGCAGCCAACCAAAATTTCTTTTTCTTTGTTTTTTTTTGAGATGGGGTTTTGCTCTTGTCACCCAGGCTGGAGTGCAGTGGCGCAATCTTGGCTCACTGCAACCTCTGCCTCCCGGGTTCAAGTGATTTTCCTGTCTCAGCCTCCCAAGTAGTTGGGATTAAAGGCATCTGCCACCATGCCCGGGTAATTTTGTATTTTTAGTAGAGATGGGGTTTCAGCATGTTGGTCATGCTGACCTCAGGTGATCCACCTGCAGTGGCCTCCCAAAATGCTGGGATTACAGGCATGAGGCACCATGCCCGGCCCAACCAAACTTTCGTATAAGCTGATAGGATAGTAAGTTGATTAAGCCACTTTGAAAATGATTTAGCAGTTTGTTAACTAGCTTTGTGTTGCTATAAAGGAATACCTGAGGCTGGGTAATTTACAAAGAAAAGAGGTTTATTTGGCTCACGGTTCTGCATGCTGTGTAAACAGCATGGCCCTAGCATCTGCTCAACTTCTGGTGAGGACTCAAGAAGCTTTGACTCAGGGCAGAAGGTGAAGGGGAAGCAGGTGTGTTCCATGGCAAGAAAGGGAGCAAGAGAGAGAGGAGGAGGGTGTCAGACTCTTAAACAACTAGCTCTCATGACTAATAGAGTGAGAACTCACTCATTATTGCAGGGTGGGCACTAAGCCATTCATAACCCAAACACCTTTCAGAAAGACCCACCTCCAACACTAGAGATCACATTTCAGCATGAGATTTGGAGGGGACAAATATCCAAACTGTATCGGGCAGTGTCTAATAAACCTGAATGTATGCATACCTATGACCCAGGCAGTCTACTCCCAAGTTTATACTCATCAGAAAGATGCACCATATATTCACCAAAAGCATTCACTAAAATGCAACACTAATTGAAGTTGCCAAGAACTGGAAACAAACTAAATGCCATGTCAGTTGCAGAATGGTTAAATATCACATTGTGGTATATTCACAGAATTAGACACTATAGAGCAATAAGGGAAAAATATCTACAATGCCACACAATACTACAAATGAATCACACAAAAACAATGTTCAGTGAAAGAAGGCAGACACAGAAAGATATAGTTTATGATTCTATTTGTATAAAGTCCTAACTAGGCACAGCTAACCTATGCTATTAGAAGTCAGGATAGAGAGCATCCTTGGTTGGGCAGTCATGACTGGAAGGAGGCATGAGGAGCACACCTGGAAATTTGGGAATGTTCAGTTTCTTGGTCCTGCTGGTTACACAGGTGTGTTCACTTTGACATTCATAGCACTGTATACTTTTGATATGTTCACTTTTTTCTGTATGTGTATTATTCTTCAATAAAAATTTTTAAATGTGCAGCTGGTGTTCTGGAAAGTAGGACTGGATGTTTCTATTAATTTTTTTCCCTCATATTTTAATGCAGATTTGTCCAATGGCACCTTAAAAAGCCCGAAGAATTTAGCACTGAGGAAAGCAAAGGAGGGCAGGAGCTTAATCCTCAGGTGGCAGAGTAAAGCAACAGGCAGGCTGGGGTGCAGAGAGGAGAATTTGCTTGGGAGGAGGCCCCTGAATGAATGAATTACAAATGTCAGGGGCTTAAGAAAGACACACTGGTCAGCACTGAGTCAAGAGGACTAAGGTGACTGACATCTACAGCAGCTTCATGGGGTATGAGGAAGGATGTTTTAGGCAGCAATTGTCAATGGGACTCTGCTCATGCCATGATTTGCCTTAAATCTTGTTTCTCTGTGTGTGTGTGTGTGTGTGTGTGTGTGTGTGTGTGTGTGTGTGTGTGTGTCTGTCTGTCTTTCTCTCTCTCTCAGGCCAGATAATGCTTTGGATCAAGAATCAGTTCTTGTTTGCTTTGTTTTGTTAATATCTAGAAGACAAGTGGGTGCTGAGTGTCTTCTAGTAGTTTTTTTTGTTTGTTTTGTGCAGCTAGCTGTGTGATGCTGGGAAACTCCTGTACCTTCTCTCTGCTCCAATTTTCTTATTTGTAAAAAGAGAATTCATGTAATATTGTAAATGATAAAGCACTCTATGATATAATTATACTAAGTTCTACTACTACTAATAGCAATAGAAAACGGATTGAATGTGAAATCATGGAATCCCAAGCAAAACTTTCCAAAGTTTCCCCTTTACAGTTCTCCACTGTAAAACTACTTCTTTCCAGTTCTTTATGCCCAATTCCCTTTATGAAACCCCACTATGGGAGAGCTTCATGGGGAGTTGTTAAGCGATGGGTAGTTCTGGAGGGTGGCACCTTGCTTGGAAGCCAAGAGGGCACACAGCATCCAGTTGGTAACATCAGTGTTAGTACTGGCGGCTGGATAGAGGTTGTCATTTTAGCTCAAGAGAAAGGTCTCGCTGTTGAAGGCCAGTGTAGGCAAATAACATATTTTAAATGTTGTACAGCATATGGAAATTTCTATGACTGCAAACATTTGGTTTGGTTCTGTGCCTGTTCAACATATTGCACATTTCTAAATTAAGTGTCTTTTAAATGGAATACAGTTAGGATTCATGTCCCCTTTTGCCTGTGGGTGGAGGGCTCAAGATAGGTGTTTCACACTCGCTTTTCCAGATACACATGCATGGATCCAAATCCCAAACTTCAATTTTGTATACAAAGCCCAGAGGTAAGCTTCTGAATGGGGGTGGTGGGACTTGTGCTGTTTGTCTAATAGTATATTGGGCTTGTCAAATTCTGGCCCTTCCAGAACCAGAAGGGAGGCAGAGAACTGCAGCCCACAGTTTTTTCCCACTCTGCCAATTCTCATTTTGTAAATTTATGAGACTAATCTTCTGATGGAAAGAACTGGGGATGGGGCAATCATATTGACTTTTCATTGGTGTCTTTATATAAAGGAGAGCCTTCTTAGAGTAAGAAAAACATGTTAACTTTCATCTAATTTTCTGAACTGTTTATCATTCTTATTTTCTGATTATTAAAAAGTAATGTTTGTTTGGAAAACATGAGCGTTAAAAAGAATAAGTCAGAAGATAAAATATTTCCTGTAAGGTAATGGGTACATGGCAGGTCTTTAGACTAGTGTGTCTGCTTTTGGGACATGGTGGAAAATTTTCATTATAAAAATAATCTATACATTTACTATCCAGACTTGATCACTATTAATGCTTTGATGTGATTCCATCAAATCTTTTCCATATCAGTGTTTAATTTCTTAAAATAACAATGCTGGTACATCTCTCAGCTACTTGTTTCAACTACCTGATAAAACTTGGCAATATTTGAATTGAGCCTTCTGTGGCTTATGAAAAAGAGAATAATCTCAACTTTTCCTGGAGTAGGCTTTAAATCCCAAAATGAAAATATATGATATGAAAAATGTCTAGAATAGTAAAGTGTTCCAATGTTGTAACTATCCTTAAACACCTAGCCCATTGCCTAGTATTCAACAGGAAGTGGAACGTAGTATCTGAGCAGAGGTCAGATATGGCATGGTATCATTATGTCCTTCGACCTCATATATTTGGAGTTGTAGAGTGAATCCACATCAGTCTGAGTTGAGACGTAATTTTGCTTCTCTGCCTGAGTAGCTTTTGAAACCTGAGTTTACATCATGGAGGTTACCTAGTGATCCTCCCACTGCCCCTTCCATGAATGAAAGACTGAGTGGTTCTTAAGAGGGACCATGTTTTTATCAGGGTATGTGCATTCCTTGATAGGCCAAGATGCCATTCAGGTCCCAGATCTGCACCACTGAAAAAATTGACAAAGAAAACACATTAATCTGGGTTGCTAATGGTACCACGAGAGGATAACAAAAACCAGTACCTTCCTGTACCTTCTCACTGCTCCAATTTTCTTATTTGTAAAAATAGGATTCATCAAATATTGTAAATGATAAAGTGCTCTATGTATGATATAATTATACTTATTAACATTAAGTTCTGCTCCTACTAACAGCAATAGAAAACTGATTGAATGTGAAATCATGGAATCCCAAGCAAAATTTCTCAAAGTTTCCCCTTTACAGTAAAACTATTTCTTTCCAGTTCTTTATGCCCAATTCCCTTTATGAACCCCCACTATGGGAGGGCTTCATGGAGAGTTATTCAGCTATGGGTAGTTCTGGAGGGAGGTACCATTTAGAAATGGGCAATGTGTTGAACAGGCACAGAATCAAACCAAATGTTTGCAGTAATAGAGTTTTCCATGTCTCATACAACATTTAAAATATGTTATTTTGCCTACACTAGCCTTTGAGGACTTCTTGAAACATACTCTAGAGGCAGCAATTTCTTCTACTTTTGTATCTGTTAGAAGGAAACAGGACCAACACAATGCAGAGGTGAAGCTCACTTTACTTTAGGCCTTTCAAATTCACATTTTAGATCGTGAATTATTCCTGCAGTCTAAGTTCTAGACATCTAGAGAAAACTCAGAGATCATAAATCTATATATATATTTGGCCAATACATATGCAGTACTATATATATATATATGCAGTATATATATATATATATATATGCATATATGCAGTATATATGTAATATATATATATATTCAATGCTATTCAAATGAAAAATACCCTAACACGCACACATACACACACACACACACACACACACACACACTCATACACACATAAGCTCAACATGTGTGGGTGTCAGTTGTGAATTCAGGTAATTTCTTTCCTGGGAGGAAACAATTCCTGGTCTGTCTGTATGCAATGCCATCTGATGCTTCTCTCCTTGATAGATCCACAGAATGTGGAAAAAATAGCGTTAAGTCTCTGATTCCCTGATTGACCAAGGACAATAATGGAGGAAAACTAATTACCATTTTCTCTTATTTGGAACATAAGCACAGGCAGGTACTGAGAAGATCATCCGATCCTTTCCCTTTACAGGAAAGTCATAGGGAGATGTGAAAGATTTGGCACACTCATTGCTATAGAAAAATTTGCCAATGAGCAGGGTATTGATCAAAGTTCTGAGGAGGAGAGGTGCTTCACTGAAAGGTGCCCAGGGGTGCTTGGAGGTGGCCGCCGGCAGGACTTGGCACCAGCCACGTTTCCTCTATTCTAAGGGACCATTCATTCCTGCCTGGTGCTTCCCCACGCCTGCTTTCCTCTCCCTTTCCAGTGCCCCTTAAGGAGATGTTTTATGAACTGTGTGCAGGGATATTTTTGTGCCTACAGCAAAAATGTTGTTTTCCTAGAATCACGAATTAGAACAGATACTTCAGGAACCTAGGATCTCAGCCTCAGGAATGCAGCTGCCCAGACCCTGTGCTGGGAAGAGACCAAATATGATATACAGCATCACATCTGGAGACAGATGCTTCTTTGTGATGGACGGCACCATTCTTAGTCTTTTTCCTCTATGCTTTTTCTTTTTGAATCTTTTTTTCTCATAAATACCTGTATATATTAGTGCAAATATAAGCACAGACATGCCATTTTTGCCCCTAACGCTTGATATGAAATATAGTCAACACTATCTTTTTACTTCTGTTTCCTACTCTAACTGGAAAGGTATAATTTCATGAAAATGGATAAATTGGTGCTGCCATGGTTATACGAACAGTTACCAAAGCATAAATTTTACATGTTGATATGGGTCCATTTTTTTAAAAGTGTTACAATTGGTACATAAACCAAGCTGATGAGCCCAAACCTCAAACCTATAGCGATGTTTTCTCCACTAAAACCACCAGGTTAATGTGCTCTGATTTTAGAAAAAGTCTTTGCTACTTCTATTTTTCTAAGAATTAAAAATAATTTTTAAAATCTTTAGAAGTGAATAGGTTTCATTGGTTTCTGCCGCTAATTTACAGTAGGTGAATCCAAATTGATTTAGTTTTACAACTGTAGGCAACTTATGTTTTGTTGTTTTGAGGGTTCTGTTGTGTAGTTGTTTTTTTCATTCACTTATAACTAGATTTTCCTGAATGAATGGCCTTGTTTATATATGAAGTATATGACACGTTTATGTATTATTTATTATTCTTTAGGTATATTCTATATTATGTACAACGGAGTCTTGCTCTGTTGCCTAGGCTGTAGTGCAGTGGTGTGATTTTGGCTCACTGCAGCCTCTGGCTCCCAGGTTCAAGCAATTCTCCTGCCTCAGTCTCCCCAGTAGCTGGGACTACAGGTGCCACACTCGGCTAATTTTTGTGTTTTTAGTAGAGACGGGGTTTCACCGTGTTAGCTAGGATGGTCTTGATCTCCTGACCTCGTGATTTGCCCGCCTCAGCCTCCCAAAGTGCTGGGATTACAGGCATGAGTCACCGTGTCCAGCCATACATATATATCTTTAAATGCATGTGACATACATATCACATAGCTGTGTTTGCATATGGGCATATTTCCTGATTGATTTGAATAGAGTTGTTTATAAAAAAGTTTGTTTCTACCTAAACAGTTGAACATTTAAATGTGTAAAATATATTCTTTCTGGTTACAACTGAATTTTTAAAATTTGTTTCAAATCAGCAGAAATTGAGGTAATTACTTTAAAATTATATAATGTAGGTCGCATTCAATTCTCAGCAAATTTATATGCCCACCCCATTGAGGTCCTTATTTGTTTCATATCAAATCTCTTATCACACAATAGGGACAAAAAGCCTTCTAGCATTAGAAAAATGTTTTAAAATCCTCCCTCTTTTTATGACACAGACCTTTTATCAAAGAAAGTCTTCATAGACACTTATAATCTTTCTGATTAAATAGAGAAAAGGATGAGGAAATCCTGAGCCTTGCTCACCCTCCCTCCTCCTCCCACCAAGGAAGCCTAGAAATGGCCTTTAGAGGCCACCTGAATTTTGTGGACTGTGGTTTGTGAATTGGGTAGGATATATTTATATTAAAGAAAATTATTGTTTATCTGAAATGCAAATTCAACTGGTGTTCTGTGTTTTAATTTGCTGAATCTGGCCACCTTATTTGCAAACCACTCTCTTATTGAATGAAACTCTGTTATAAATACAAGAAGATTTTCCCATAGCAGTATGGGTAAATATCTTGGATAAGTGACAACTTGTCTAATTTAAGTTCTCTGACTACTAAAATGGGTTTAGTAATCAAGCCCCTATCTCACTAGCTGTTTTAAGAAAGAACCAGGCATTAGCCTAAAGGTTCAAGATGCATGAAGTTATCATGGTGGTTGTTTAAATTCTATTAGAAAACACTAAACTAGTAATAGCAAATCAAAGGAGTCATTCATAAGATACTTAACACTCAAGACACACTTTGTTCTCCCTAAGCTCTATTGTAGTCCAAAGTGAATGCTTTAGTAAATATTTTTAAAAGATTGAATTTAATTTCTCCACAAATTTCATAAATGAAGGAATAAATATATGTATAATAAATGGATAAGCCATATATATATTTCAAAATATACCATACGCTAATGAAAGACAGAAAGTAGCTGGGAATTCATGGCAAAGCTGTATCAAGAGAGATTTTAGTTGTTTGTTTTTAATGAATATTTGATTTGGGGTTGATAATTCTTTATTAGTTCATGTCTTATTGTAACACCTTCAGGATTCCCAAAAGGAGACCATGACATGGAACACCCTATGTGCGGTGCCATTGCTGATATGAAAGTAGATTCTAAGGCAGAAACTTAAAACCGGCTTAGCTTTAATGTCACACTTAGGCCCAGAAGGTGCTACTGTGAAGATTAAGATATAAAAAAGAGAACAAGGACAAAAGTGGAGTAGAGAACACTATCATAAGGAACAAAGATTAAAGAACCCTTGGAATGAACAAGACAGGTCCCCCACCATCCACAACCCCAGAAGCAATTTACTTCCAGATATCCCAGTGGCAAATGTAAGAGAACTGAGGCTTCTAGGTTCTGCTGAATTAAGGAAGGAAAGACTTAATTCTACTGAGTTTTGAGAGTTTACTCAATAATGCAAACAAAAATAAACCAGTGTCAGTTTGTGTGGTTCAACAACGCCTAGAATGGCGATGGGGCCAGTAATCCCTTGTCACTATTAATTAAGTACATCCTCTAACAACCCCAACTCAAGGCCGCTAATCTTCACACCTTCCTTTGGGGCCCCTGGACAGCTGCTTTGGAAGTCTTAATAAATCTCTGAGCAATCTGGGCCATGGTCAAATAGCAAAAACAACAGCCAGACATGTTATAAGATATTCTGTGAAAACATATTCAGTATTATTAGACCAGCTCTGCTGTTGGGTAGGTGATATCTCCATTCACATAAAGCCGGTAAAACTGCAATTGGCAGTCTGGCACGTAGAATCCTTCTACAAAAGGAGAAGTCAAATATTACCTAAACAGAATAACTTGACCAGTTTAGACCATGAAGTTATCACTAAAATCGGGGCAGGAAAAGCCACTCTCTTCCTATGATTCCAGCGTAACTTGGATCACTTTTTTAAAAAAGCTCTGATTTAGTGCCAAGTTTAGTAATTCTGTGTTGATCCATATTTACTTCCATTGGGAGAAAGGTCATCTCAATAAAGTCAGGGTTTCTCTAACAAGCTTTACCCTTGAATTGCAGTAAACCATGGATGGGCTTCCATATTGCCAAGATGATGAGAGATATTGAGGATTGTCCTTGATCCATGCTGGCATGTGTCCAGAAGAAGGTCATTTTAGCTAGTCCTCTGTTGACCACCCACTCAAGTCACTGCTGAGTATCTACCTCCAGGTCATGAGTCCCCTTTAGTCGTGGTGTTTTTTCCTACTCCTCTTCTGCTCCTGATGGGCATAAGAAATTCACTGGAGCCATACCTGGTATGAAGGTCAATTTTATATATCAACTTGAGTGCATCATGGTGTCCATATATTTGATGAAATATCATTTCAGGTGTTCCTTTGAGGGTGGTTTTGAGATGACATTAACATTTGATTCGGTGCACTTTGAGTAAAACAGGTTGATCTTCATAATGTGAGGGGGACTCATTCAATCAGCTGAAGGCCTAAATAGAGCAAAAACTGACCTCCCACAAGCAAGAGGGAATTCTGCCAGCAGATAGCTTTAGGACTTGATGTGAAACCTCAGCTCTGCCTTGGGCATCTAGCATGCAATTCTTCCTTATATCCATGCCAGCTGCCATAATCACATGAGCCAATCTCTTTTAGAAAATCTCTTTCTATATGTACACACATCCCATTGGTTCTGTTCCTCTGGAGAATCCTAAGAAAACTGGCTAAGAGAAACTCCAAGGGCTAAGAGCTAAGACCCTCTCCTTTCCCACTTCTTGTGCTCTTGGGCTCAGAGGCTCCTTCACCAAATCAGGTTGTTTAAGACCCCAGATGTCAAGGCACATTAGTGCTAGTGTTTTTTTCATCAGTGCTGGTGGGGTGTGGATTGATAAGGCACGTTGAAGAATAACTTGCTGGCATTTGTTAAAACTGAAAATATCTTGAGCTCATGACATGTTTACATCCTAAGCAGAGAACTGAAGTGCAAAAAATCAAAAGAGATCATTCACTGAAAATAGGTCACATAATTGAAGCAGAAGTAGCACTGTTTTGGTTTCCAGGTAACACACTTACACACAAAGGGATGAAAAACCTCCTTTCATTTTTACATAAAGCAAGATGTGGCTACAGAGAGCAGTGGACTATGCCAGCCCTTCAGGAGCTGCAATACACTACTTAGAGTGGAAGTGCAGCAGCAGTCACCAGGAAAGGCAGCAGCGTGTGGCAGAGAGAGGGGCCCCACTATGGACCAGCATCAGATCCTTCAGCCGCATCATCAGATCAGGAACAGGGATCGGGAAAGGATGAGCGTGATGGATGCCATCTGATTTTTGAAGATGAAACTTCTGGAAATAATTAAGAAAATGCCACAGGGACAATGTAGGAGACAAAGGCAGAAATCAGGAAAAAATGGATCTGTGATGTGAAAATGACCCATTTCAAGCCCAAGGCTGCTGTATCCTTGGGAAGCACCTAGCACCCTGGGAAGCATGAATCACCACAATATTAAGAAAATAAAAGCATTAATATGTAACCTGGCCCCCTCTCTTGTTCCTAGACTCCTGCATAATGGGCAGACCCTAACCGATATATTTCTTTTGGACTGGTGTTCCCTTGCACTCTGGGGAAATACCTCAATGTTTTAGAAAACAGTAAAGGACTAGAAGATATATTTACCAGGACACTTTAACTCTTTAAAGAGGAAAATGAGGTTTCTAACTGCTGTGAGCACTCGTACTCAAAGAATCCAAATTTCTGTTACCTAGCAGGTTAATAATAGCATTATGACTAGCCAAGAAGGAAGATGTGAACCAAAAACACAAACACTTTTTCTTTATTTTGTTATTTTGCTGACACCCTTTTCCTCCCTGCCAGGAAGCACAGTGACTCCTCTGTAGCAGTAACACATTTGCTGATTTCTTCCTGGGCAATGAAAACTGAAAAGTGAAGATATTTATTCCCATTTTATAAACGGGAATTTTTTTTTTCTCCAACAAAAGAAGAAAAGTCCGTTGGAGTCTTAGAGTGAATCAAGTGAACCAAGCCTTCATATTGACTCTAGTGACTATTAGATTATGCTGCATCCTTTTCCCTTATGAAATACTCCACGGATGCCAACAATTTATCTAGCATCCTTGCCACTCAGTATTTGACTTTTCACTTCCTCCCACAAGAAGAGTAGTGGAGTATATTTCTCCATTCCTTGAGGGTGGATCCAGTTATGTTCCTTGCACTGGCAAATAGAAAGAGGTGATATGACAGGGCACCTCATCCAAGTGGAGCCTTAAGTTACCTTGCCTGTTTCTATCCAGTCTCTTCCAACTCTTCCAATACCCAGGGAAGAACTACCTTGAATGCCACTTGCTTCAAGGGCAGAAGATTCACTGCAGCTGAGCACAGTTTTCATGAACAGACCCCTAAGTGATCCATAGATGCATCAGGCATCAAAACTTAATCTTATTTTAAGCCACTGGGCTGGTAATTTGTTTCATGGCAATAGCAAAGCAATGTATTCTTAAATAAATTATTATTACTTATATAGACAAAGTAAACAAGGTACATAATTGCAGAGAATATAGTGTCTTCAAATATTAAAATAAATTGTGTGTTAAAATAGTCGATCAGAAAAAATATGTCTATAAATGCGATATTTTGAGAGAGGAGAGAAAACTTTCAAAACTATTCTCTGGCTTTTACCCTTCATCTTTAAAAATTTTTAACAACTTTATTGTGATATAATTTTAATACAATAAACTCACCTGTTTTATCTGCACGATTTAATAAATTTTAGTATATTAACATAGTTGTATAACCATTACCCCAATCTAATTTTAGAACATATTCAACATCCTAAAAAGAAACCTTATGCCTGTTTATAGACAGTCTCTATCCCTACTCTTAGCCCTACGCAACTACAAATCTGCTTTCTGTCTCTAGCCATTTGCTACTTGGGATATTTCATATAAACAGGAACATAAAATATACATTCTCCTGTGTCTAGTCTTTATCTTTTTATAGGGGTGGAAAATGAAATCCCAGCAATATACAGCTATTTGATTTTTTGAAATTTAGCAAAAGCTGTTTAGGATTATGCGTGGAAATTGTTATTTTCAAAAGAAGATGAACTCATGGTTGTTAGAAAAATTTTCCATGGATGAGGGCTCTGTTGCCTTATTTTATAACCCACTGAACTATAACACAAACAATATTAAACATCAATATATACGAACACGCATTGTATAGAGTTATACTGAGACACAGCTCATATGTTTGCTAAATAATCTTTATGTGGAGGGCCAATTTGTGGCTCCTGTGTGATGGAGAGAACATTGCCTTTAGAATAAAAAATAATCTAAAAAACACAAAAATGATGTTTGTACAAAAACACCCTTGTAGTTTCTTCCAAACTCATTCTGAATTTAGCGTTTGCGTCTCATATAGCTTTGGTTTGGAGAAGAGGCACATGATATTTGCTATTATGAATACTTGGTAAAACCTGTGGAAAAAATTTCTAGACAAGGATTCAATCAATAAATACAGATGAAATTAAATGACTTCACCTTAACTTAAAAGATGCCATTTGAATCATTTGAAACAATGAGCCATCTCTGATCTTCTGATCTTATGTCATGTGAATCTGACTTGATTACCAAACACTCAAACAACATATGGCAAGCTTACAGCCCTAAAAGTCTGACTGCCCTAAAATAAGTACCCAACTTTCTAGAGAATCCCAAAACATCTTCACAAATATAATTTGTAAGGTTCAGAAACCTTACAAAGTACAACATTTCATAAGAAACACTTAAGCATTTAAATAGTTTCTGCAAATGTACCTCAGTCAGATAAAACAATTCATTAAACTCAGGATAAAGAAAGAGATTCAAGTGTAACAACAGAAGAATTCATTATACCATGATAACTTTCATAAATGCATATGGAAATAGAAGCCTGTATGAAATTAAATGAGAAAAGAATAACGTGAAAGTTCAGCTAGCATATTCGAACTCTACTCATTAAATAGCCCCGTTTAATGGTAGCTAAGAGTAGCTCCAGATGGTGTCAAGTATCAAAGGTCCTGGTCCATATGACCCCTGTGATGACAGACCAAGAACTTTGCCTTCATTGCTTTGCATTAGTTAAACATGCTGATGAAAGATGCACCTGGGGCTCTTTGGTCCATCTGCCCCATTATTTCATCTCTGAGTTCCCTGGTTCAAACTCAGGGGGTCTATCTCTGACCAGTGCTTAGTTTGGATACCTAAATACTATATTAATGGAAGTACATGTACCAGCACATTAACATAATATTTAATATGTAAAGGAATCATTGGCAGAGATTATACATTTATATTTGCAGTAGAATGGTGGGCAAAATAAATTTTTCCTTGGTACAACACATATGGTTCCACTTTCATGGGTCTGTCGGTCTCCCAGGTTAATGACGTCTCACCATATGCCCAAGAGCAAAGAGTGATGGAACTGACATGCTGCTCAAACGGACTGAAACAAGCTGCATCGTGTGTCCTCGGCCATAAAATGCCATTCAAGTGACCCCATAAGCTGACATCTGCCCACATGTTGTACACATTTGGGGCCGAGTTGCCCATTTGTTCCTTTCTGATCTAAATGTAAATATTATACATAAAAACATTTACAAGTACAATTCTCTTTCTTTTTTAGAGGCCGAGGAAAGGCCAGGTTGGCTGGGTACCAGTTGCAGCCTTACTTTTGAGGTTGGCTTTGTGATTCTTTCAACGTGTCTTGGTAAATTATATGCTTTGCTTCAAACCAATTAAGTCCCTGTAATTGACATGAAAACTAGTATGCATTTCTTTTCTCTCAAGATACAAAACAACTTTTTGAAAACATAATGTAATCCCTGCAAGTTAATAGGGCACTCAATCCGTAATTTTAAGTACTGGTTGAGCTCTGCTTTTATTTTATTATGTCTCTCTACCTTGATAGCTAGTGCTATAGCACAGGCTACCTGGAATATGATGAAGTTAGAAGTGCAGAGCTGTGCAGTTTCTTAAAATTGGCTACAAAAAAAAATCTGTAGAGGTGATGTCACTGATGTTCTCTTTATCTTTATTCAAAAGTATGTTTCCTCATTGATGATGAGCAAGAGAGTTTTACCAAAAATTCAGAGTTCAAACACTGTTGCTCATTGGGATATTTTATTTTTTGTTTACAAGAAAAATCCTGCAGCTGACATTCAATTTTTGTACTAAACTTAATTTGCATTTCTTAACATCTTTATATGTTAACCTTATTGACACCATATGTTCAAAGAAGAAAATGTGATGTTAACTGACACAAAACAAAGATATCGAACAAAAACTGAGATTCACAAAAAAGATGTGAGTTCCTCATCCCTTTTACCACCTCGTGAAACCACTGTGGCTTTTCTGGGGGGAATTATGCTATGACAAATCCACTCACTGTTTCTCCATGGAAAAATATTAATACAACTTCAGAGGAAGATAGCATGATTGTAATGCTATGCTCTGAGTGCATTCCACTGGGTGGATTGATTTGGAATCCACATTCTATGGTAGCTAGTTCAAGTGTAGACTCTGGTTGTTCACGTACAAACCAGTTTGAATAGTCACAGAAGTGATCAGTCAATTCAGCTGAAATTGCTTTACTGTTGAATGGATTGCTAAACATTGATTAACAAGTAATAAAAGCAACAGAAAACAACAGTTGACTGTTGTTGTGGTTGTTTTCTCCTGAGGCATGGTTAGAGAGCTCTATGACTTTCTACAGGAATTGGAATAAAATGCAGTCTTTCCCATGACTTAAAAAGTCCCGTATAATCTGAGTCCTGACGACTCCTCTGACCCCACTTCTTTCACAGCTCCCCATGCTCATTTCTATGGAGCTGCACAGATTTCCTAAATAAAACCCATTCTAACTCGGGCTTGCACACACTCTGCCTTCTTCCTGGAATGCTCTGCTCTCATACATTTGCAGGGCTTGCTCCCTCCATTTGGTCCCCAGTTCAGGTGTCACCTTCTCAAATAGGCTTTCCTCCTTAGCTGCCTGTTCACAACAGCACCCTGCTCACCCACTACTCTTTGTGTCCCCAATTTCTTGTGTCTTAAACTGTTTTTCATGGAACTTATTATTTTCTGACATTTATTACATCTTTATTTGCATATTTTATTTTCTTTTTTTCCCCCCACTAAGAAGAAGGCATCAGGAAGGAGTCATGTTTTGTTCACAGTATTATTTGTATTGTGTTGCATTTATACTAGATTTACTTCAGTTGTAATAAATGGGCTTTTTGTACGTGTATTGTTTACTTTATGATATGGTTTGGCTGTGTCCCCACCCAAATCTCATCTTGAATTATAACTCCCACAATTTCCAAGTGTTGTAGGAGGAACCCAGTGGGAGGTGATTGAATTAGGGGTACAGGTCTTTCCTGTGTTGTTCTCATGATAGTGAATGAGTCTCATTGGATCTGATGGTTTTAAAAATGGGAGTTTTTGTGCACACGCTCTCTTCTCTTGTCTACCTCCATGTGAGATGTGTCTTTCACCTTCTGCCATGATCGTGAGGCCTCCCCAGCCACGTGGAACTATAAGTCTCATAAACGTCATTCTTTTGTAAATTGCCCAGTCTTGGGTATGTCTTTATCAGTAGTGTGAAAATGAACTAATATAGTTCAATGAACAGTATTCATTTGGTATGAGCTAGAATATTCTGTTGCCCAAAAGTACCACCTTCTAAAGCATGGCCAATATATGCTCTTTTCATATATCAGTACTATACTTTATTACACTAAACGCATAAGAGATTTAGCTTATACAGCATTGTTATTTGGATATTGTATTTTAAAAACTGTAGTTCTTTTTTTTCTTTTCTTTTTTTCTTTTTTTTTTTTTTTTGATAGGGTCTCACTCTGTTGCCCAGGCTGGAGTGCAGTGGTGTGATCACAGCTTACTGCAGCCTCAACCTCTCAGGCTCAGACGATCCTTCTACCTCATCCTCCTAAGTATCTGGAACCACAGTCACACCACTATGTCCAGCTAGTTTTTGTTTTTTTGTTTTTTTGGGGTTTTTTTTGTATTTTTTTGTAGAGATGGGGTTTTGACATGTTGCCTAGGTTGGTTCGAAACTCCTGGGCTCAAGCCGTCTGCCCACCTCAGCCTCCCAACATACTAGGATTACAGTGAGCCACTGTGCCTGATTATAGTTCATTTATTAATCTGAAAAATGTTTATTAGACATCTAATGTATGCCATTCATTATACTAGTACTTCAATGTGTCTTCAAATGAACCTTCTAGTATAGAAACTATTATTACCTGAATTTTACAGAGGAAGAAAACAATAAAAAGAGAACTGGGATTTGAACCCAAGTCATGGGTACCAGAATCCACACTCTTAACTTCCATACTGTGTGCTTCTTCCTATAATTCAAACTAGGACATGGGGAAAGTGGGAACAAATGGAGGTTACAAAACTGAGAAACATCTGGATAATGAAGAGCATTGTAAGTCATTTTCCATCTTAGGGTTTATCCTAAGAGGAGTGGACAAATGGCTTTACTTAGGAAACAGTCACTTTAAAAAGGGCATTGTGGCTGCATTCTGAGAAAATTAGAGTAATTTAGTAATCTGGGTTACAGATGATTTGAAACTTCACTAAATGAAGAGTAGCAGAGACTGAGAATATTCAGGAGCTTTTTGTAGCAGAGACTGAGAATATTCAGGAGCTTTTTAGACAGTAAAATGGCCAGAATTTTGTGAGAAGATATCAAGGTAATACCTAGGTTCCAGGCTTGGGTGAGTGGATGGAAGAGCACTAATGTCCAATGGAATGTTCTTTAATGATAGAAATGCTGTCAATCTGTGTCGCTGAATATGGCGCTACTATCCACAGGTTACTATTGAGCACTCAAAATGTGTCCAGTGAGATTGAGAAATGGAATTTTAAATTCTACTTATCTTTAATTGATTTAAACCTTAATAGGCACATGTGGCTGGTGGTTATCATATTGAATGTCTTAAGACTAAAGATACTGGTGAAGACACATAACTAGTATATTAGAGTTACTTCATGAGGGAGGTAGAAGAATGGGAGACTGTGTTGAGAAACTGATGCGTAGGCATTGTTGTGAACTGTCCAGCATTTTTTCCCCTCCTCTTTTTAACTATCTCAGCCTTTGTTTTGGTATCTACACCTCCCTTAAGCAGCCTGTACATGGTCGGTAGCATGAATTCTATTCCTGGATCCAGGGCTTTAGATGGGTGTCTTAGACCTCTGCTAATCAATGCACAGTAGTCCAATCATGATGCAACATTCCTAGTTCTGGGGTAAAAATGTGACCCAGTTTGGCTGGGTGCGGTTGCTCACGCCTGTAATCCCAGCACTTTGGGAGGCTGAGGCGGGCGGATCTTGAGGTCAGGAGATCGAGACCATCCTGGCTAACACGATGAAACCCTGACTCTACTAAAAATACAAAAAATTAGCCAGACATGGTGGCAGGCGCCTGTGGTCCCAGCTGCTTGGGAGGCTGAGGCAGGAGAATGGTGTGAACCCGGGAGGCAGAGCTTGCAATGAGCCGAGATCGTGCCACTGCACCCCAGCCTGGGCGACAGAGCAAGACTCCGTCTCAAACAACAACAACAACAACAACAACAACAACAACAGAAGTGTGACCCAATTTGCATTGGTGACAATGAAGGCAGCCTTTTCTGGAGGGTTTTTGGGGAAAGGTTTGCACTCTCCTCCCTGGTATCGTGGGAGAATCCCAGAAAAAGATGGGATTTGACACCTAGAAGATGCTACTGTGGAAAGCAGGGAGCAGAGAAGGAAAGAAACTCAGTCCAAGAAGACCATATCGAGTCACTGAATCAATCCAACCTTAAGTCCATCATACTTATGGGCTTTCCGATTTCATAAACCAATAAATCCCTTCAGAGTTTAAACCAGCTTGAGTCATCTTTTCTTGCCTGTAATATACAGAGGTTTAGTCCATAGAAAGGATCTGTCTGAATTTACAATTTCAGAGATGCAAAAATTCCAGGAATTGTGGGTCAATGGAGATAAAAAGACCAAGCATTTGAGAAGCCAGAATGTAAAAGGGGTTGTCCTTGTCATTCATGATGATGGTAGGATTTGGGGTACAGCAGAAGCCATGAATTAGGTAACAAATATTTAGAAAAGGAAAATATTTGCTGGGATTTCAGTGAGATAATAATGAAATGATGGCAGTTATTGCTGAATGGCATCTAGCTTTTCTGTCTTCGTTTTTTTTTCTTCCTTTCTGCTATGCATGTTTTCAAAAGTTATTTAAGACAGCTTTGAAAATATACATAGCCATAGCAATATAAAAAGTGGAAAAAATCATATTGAAATGGAATATAAAGCTTGGAAGATAAGATGAAGCCAGGGGTGAAGTCAGGACACAAAATACATTCTAGACCATCTAGTGCATGTGCCAGAGCTAGCTACAAATCTAGCTCTTAGTTTTCTGTTCACTTATGATTTCATCTCTCTATTTTCTCTATATATGAAGATTTCACAAGATCAGGCAGCTAGATCAGTTGAGCTCCTCTTTAATTACTAGTTCATATTATGTGCCCAGGGTCACAGAACTAGTGCTAAAGCTTGATTTTGGAGACAAGTCTCCAAATTTTCAGCCCTGAAGCGTTCCCACTAGACCACATTGCATCTTGAACACAGAAAAATTTCGTGCTAGACATCCTTTTTCCTGGACTGCAGGGTCACAGGAAAACCAAAGCATTAGTGGAGTATTTTTGTTCGTGACTCTGTACCCTGGTGACTGAGGATGGAAAAGAGTCTGACAGACAGACCAGGCCCCTGAAGGACCCTGTCTGGACAGCCTGACCTAGGAAAGGAAGCATTCCTGCCCAGTAGCTGAGCTCTGGCGAGGCCCGGGCTAAGGCAGCAAATGTTCTACACCTCAAGATTAAGGAGGTTTGGCAGAGGCACAAAAGGGGAACTGCAACTCACCAACCCGTGCCAGACCTGGCCACCGTGTGCCCTTGGTGGTTGAAAGATAAACATCGTCTGCATCCTGTCAATGATCTCTTTGCCCACTGCCTCAGTTCACCTGTCTGCCCCTCCTCAACCTGTCTCAAACTCTAAAACTCTTGTGAAGTCCAATACCCATTTTGTCCAAGAATTCAACATTTAAGTGAGAAAAACATCTCCCTGCAGACTTCTTATTATGTTAAAAACCAAAGCCAAACTTTCCTTCTCATCTATTCATGTAATCCATGTAATCTTCCATACATGGAATAAAGGAAAGCGTCAGTGTCGATTCTGAGTTCCCGAGGCATGTGTGAGATTGTTTTGACATAGACAAAGAACAAACCTAAGTGCTGCCCTGTTTTCTTCTGGTCATATGAGTCTTCTTTAGGAATTTTTGGGTGGAAAAATGGCAGGGATTGAGCGTAGCGGCATCTTCCCACATTTCCAGCATATTCTAAAACATCAGTGGGTGATATGATTTGGCTGTGTCCCCACCAAAATCTCATCTTGAATTGTAATCTCCATAATCCCCACATGTTGATGAAAGGACCCAGTAGGAGGTGATTGGATCATGGGGGTAGTTTTCACCATGTTGTTCTCATGATAGTGCATGAGTCTCATGGGATCTAATGGTTTTATAAGCATCTGGCATTTCCCTTCCTTGCACTCACGCCTTCCTGCTGCCTTGTGAAGAAGGTGCCTGCTTCACCTTCTGCCATGATTGTAAGTTTCCCAAGGCCTCCTCAGCCATGCTGAACTGTGAGTCAATTAAACCTCTTTTCTTTATATATTACCCAGTCTCAGGCAGTTCTTTATAGCAGAATCGTAATACAGTGGGATTCCAGTCTGTTCAGTGAAGGGTGAAGACTTATCCTGCAGATGGAGGCAAACGTGCTCCTACCACAAACTTTCATGTGACATTTTGAGGAGGAGTCATGAGTCCCCTGAGAAACTCATGCATACATCACCAAAAGGACCATGGACTCTGAACGAAGAATTTCAGTTTGATGTCTTGGGCAGTATCAACTAGAAGGTTCTAAGAGTGGACTGCTTGTTTTAAAAAACAAACAAAAACAAAAAAAACCACTCATCTTTGAACTGTCCAGACACTGGGTCTATGTCCTGGCGTTATGACTTACAAGCTGTGTGACTTTGGGCCTGTCACTTTGCATCAGTTTCCTTGGTGTAAATGGAATAATGGGATAATAATATCCTCACTGCCCATCTCACAGAAAGCGAGGAGCAAGTGAGAAATATATCAGATTTTCTATATAATCTGGAAAGACCAAGATCTGAATAACAGGAGGCAAAATCTGAGTTAATTAATGTGTGAAGTTTATTCATGGCATGGGTTTCTTTTTCTTTCTCTTTCTTTCTTTTTTTTTTTTTTTGGGGGATGGAGTCTCGCTCTATCACCCAGGATGGAGTGCAATGGCACAATCTCGGCTCACTGCAACCTCTGCCTCCTGGGTTCAAGCAATTCTCCTGCCTCAGCCTCCCAAGTAGCTGGGATTACAGGTGCCCACCACCACGCCCAGCTAATTTTTGTATTTTTAGTAGAGATGGGGTTTCACCATGTTGGCCAGGCTGGTCTCAAACTCCTGACCTCAGGTGATCTGCCTGCCGGGGCCTCCCAAAGTGCTGGGATTACAGGCGTGAGCCACCGTGCCCAGCCCACGGCATGCATTTCTTACACTTGCAGCATCCCGTCTTCTCAGGTCCAGCACCAAATGCTGGTCTCCTGTTTCCTCTAGCCAGGTCAGCTTCCTGTGCCTGTGCCAAGCTTCGGATCCTTCTTGCCAGTTTCTTCCATCTTTACTGTACGTGTCCTGAATCTGTTACTATGGAATTGCGCTAACAAGGGACCATTTGAAGCTCAAAATCATAAAAGGTTTTTTAATGGTGAGATGATTAGATTAAACATTAATAATTGATTGTTTATAAAGGACAAATGTGGGTGTTAGGTGTAGCAATTGTAAATCTTCTATCCCCTCCCTCCTAACCTACGCAAACAAATACACACAATGAAATAAAGTGGATCTTCTTGAACTAGGTAAGGCAGCAGATAGTTTTTTATTCCTGCTTCAAGTTACTGCTCATAGGTATAGACCTGGTTCACAAACACAAAGCTACCCTCTCCATCACATAGGGACCTTTTATTAACGTACATTGTTTTATGACTTACTACAACAACAAAAATCCTCCTCACTGTGTCTTTAAAATGGGTGTTACGTGATGCATTTTTAAAATAAAATCATAAATGATAGTCATTATTATTATTAAATAGGCATGGCAATGGTTTACATGCATGTCTTGTACATAGAGCCCTTCATAACGATTATTCTGCACATCATCACCATGTCAGACTTGGCAGGGTACAGTGGCAGACTTGATGTGCTTTCACTTGGTGAAGAGGAGCCAACCTGACCCAAAGAAGAGGCTCCATCCACTGTTATTGGAGCTGAGGAGTTGGGAACCTCCACAAACCAAGGCCCTTACACTACCAAGGTGAAAACTGCCTCCATTGGGAGTGATTTTTGTGATCCATAAAGCAGGCATGGAAGTGACCAGAGGAACTCTGCGATTTCACATCTAGACAGAGTGTGTCCAAGGAAGCGATTGCCCTCCTCTAATTAGTCTGGGCATGCTTGGCAAATTTTTTCTTTTCCCTTCACTCTTCCCTTCCCTTCCCCTCTCTTTCCTTCCCCCTCCTTCCCTTTCCCCTCCTTCCCTTTCCCCTCCTTCCCTCCCTCCCTCTCTCCCTTCCTTCCTTCCTTCTTTCCTTCATTCCTTCCTTCCTTCCCCACACTGTGAGGAAATAAGTTTGTTTTTGTCTGTAACAGAAATCCATAACCTTTAGGGTATTATTGAATGAGTAGGCCTAGTCTATTTTTAGATCCCACCTCACATTCTGTGGCTCAGTTCTTATTTGTATCCTAGGTGAGGAATTAAGAGCCCAGATGAAAGGAAAGGTATTAAAACGGGCCCACGTTAGGTATTCTTAACAATTTAATCTTGCTTGAGGACTCAGCAGCCCTCCCTGATTTGTGTCCTTGAGCACCTACAGACCTCAGCTCTGTTGCAGCAAACAGAGACATGAGGGCCACGATGTTGCTTTGTCAATGCCATCATGGGTTGTGCCTTGCAACTTGTACAGGCATTCACTCCTATTCCTTACTGCAGAAAGTGTATTAAATCTTTAACAGCCTGAACTGAAGAATCCAAGCTTTGAGAGCAGAACATTATTACTTTTTTTTCGTCATGCAATAGTAAGGAGAAAAAATATTTTGTGCTGTAAAAGTGGAGAAATCTGAGGAGCTCCATTTAAGTGTTTTCCTCTTTTCCTTTGGAACCCCCATCTCTTCCTCCATGGGCAGCAGTAATGCCATGATGATGGGGCCAAAAATATTTAAAAACATTTTAAAGTTACCACTGAAAGGAGAAAATGGTACATTTACATTCATCTTTCTCCACTTAATGGCATTACCAGAGATGCCTTGTCCCCCTTGAGCCATAAATTGAGACATCACTCAACAGTTGTCCTGGCAAATTTTCCCCAAAAAGGCCACTTATGAAGTGACTAATCACATTGGAGCCTAATTTACTGAACATTTAAGGCCATTCAGGTGGGGGGATTAGAAGACTGTGAACCTGGGCTATGATCCATTATGTCCCCAGACTGAGAACTCATCCTTGCATCCTCTCCAAGGAGACGGGGCCATTTTTCCTCTCCCATCAAACTACAGAAATCACTGCCTGGTTGGGCAAAGCTACCACATTACTAGCTTTCGGCTAAAACATGTAAAAGCCCTGGTCTTTCTGGTCTGGAATGGACATTAACTTCTCCCTGGGCAGGTTTAGAAAACGCGAAGGTATATTCAAGGTCAGAGAGGAAATGAAGATTATAAGTGTAATGTAATAGTCATTTTCCCTGAATTTGGATAACCTAGTGACTTAAATCAGACAGACTTTAGTTCTAAACTCTACATGAAGCCTCCTTGTATTTCAGAGCTCACCTCCCTCTGCGTACTTTCTGCTGCTGGAAAGGAGCTTCGTTATAGGGAAAGCTATTAACATTCATGTTCCTCTGGAAGTGTATGTCATAAAGTAATGGGCCTGACCCTCTTTGGAAGAGGGGAGCAGATGACTGACTGCCTTTCTGGCGAGGTGTGGATGTCACCTCCATCTTCTCATGTATCAAGTAGTAATGCAGGGCTGGCAATCTACTATATGTTTGCTACCCTCTTCCATGTGCCAACTTGTTCTCTTCCCTGGTGCTGTTTTTGGTCACATGGCAGCTATGCAGTAACCCAAATCTACTTTTAGAGAGGTAGGTATGCTCATTCAATGGTTATGCACATAGCCGCTTTTTATCCACTGCAAAACTCTTAGGAATACCAATCTTGAACCAGAAAATATCCAATAACCACTCTAGACTTAAAGTGATATAAAATAAGAGAAACTTAAAGGGAACATCACCTAATAGTCATGCATTTCACTTGGTATGCACTTGAGATTGAGCTTACTGGAGCACTAGAAAATCAATTCATATCACGAGGTGACTCAGCAAATCTGTGGCACTATCTCTTTAGTAACGGACTGCTCTTCAATTTCTTGCCCCTGGATACTCAGTTTGAGTTGAGGAAGAGTGCAGCATGTTCTGTGAGTGAATTCCAGTTACAGAGAAGAGAGGAAAGAAGTGGGGGGCAAGGGGGAGGGAACAGTTAATGAGCCAGAGTGTCTATGAGTGTAAAGTCACGTACCTGAATCTTCGGCTGCCAAGGAGAATTAAAAAATACAGATGCTTTTATGCAGAAGTGACCACATTATGCAAGACAACATAACAAGACTCCTGTGCTGGTATTAAAAGGTTCTTTGAATGTGAAGTTCCTTCAAAATGACTAATGCCAAACAAAGGAAATTCTTAACTGTTTCTAAGGAATTCAATTGGTAGTCTGGGCATCATGGCCCCTGCTTGCCTCCCTCGATTAAAATTCTCAATCCAGTTTTTTTAAAGGCATTTCCAAAAACCAAGAAAACTCATCACAAAGTTTTCAACCCTATATGAAATTCAAAAAGAGGTCTGTAGTAATGATAAAACTTAAAGTTTATATTAAATCCCTGAATATGGGATAGAATCAGACAAATGCATATAGGAGTTAATAGTTGTATTTCTGATGAGCAGTAGGGAGAAAGGAGCATTTAACTCTATCTTAAGCCATTTTATTTTATTCAGCAAAAACAGTTGTGAAGTATGTGATCATGAATAAATTCCCATGAGGCTTAGAGTCTTAAAAAAAAGGCACAGATGTCCACCAAAAACTATAAGGTTGACAAAAGAATATTTCTATTGTGAGAGCACAGAAAGGAGAGTGCTTAGAGGATCAATTGTTGAAATTTTACTTTGAGCCATGTCCATACATTCAACACAAAACTGATTTATCAAATGTCAGCAAATAAAATGCTTGTTGACTGACTCTATTGAAGGCACTTCTAATAGTCATGCAATTGGTCACTAGGCTGTTCAGAGCATGGGCTCTTTCTCCTCTGGTTTAAATCTGGGCTTTGCCACTTACTAATTTTATGACCACAGGTAATTTATTTTAGATCTTTCTTCTTCAGTTTTCTCACCCCTAAAATGGGGATGACAATAGTACCTATCCACAAGGTTGTTCTGACGATTAAGTCAGTTTGTACAGGCAAAGTGCTTGGAACAAACAAGTGTTCGGTGTATTAGATATCATTATCAATATTAGCATATCAACATATGTATAATCAATAATTTTTGCTTTGAATATACAAAAGAACAGCAAAAGAAACCAAACCCAATATAAAACTCTGTTGAGATTCTAAAGGTTGATTCTGAATATTGTCCACTCTGAGTAAGGTCTTGTGAATACATACAGCTAAAATATGAGTGTTGTGCTTAGTGATAATGAACATGAACAAAATGATGTATGAGCCCCAGGAAGCCAAGAACACATCAATGTGAGATTTTCTCTTGTCTAAAGGATAGACCAGCAGCTACATTAGGAAAAAGATCCCTTCTCTCCCTTCCATCTTTCTTCCTACGTGTCTCCTCTCTTTGCTCTACTTCCTGCCCCTTCTTTTGTTCTCCTTATCCTCTCAGTGAGGGATTTCAGGACATACTTCCAAGAGGTTATAGTAACCTAACAGACATGCAGACAAACAAAAAATACCATGCAGACTGATAAAAGCTAAGTACAATGTTGATACAGTTTGGATGTTTGTCCTTTCCAAATCTCATGTTGAAATGAAAGCCCCAGTGTTGGAGGTGGGGCCTGGTGGGAGGTGTTTTGCTCATGGGTGCAGAGCTCTCATGAATGACCTGGTGCTGTCCTCACAATTGTCAATGAATTCTTGTGAAATCTGGGTGTTTAAATGTATGGCACCTTTCCCTCTTCTCTCTTGCCCCTGCTGTCACCATGTAATGTGCCTGCTCCCCCTTCACCTTCCGCCATGATCGTAAGGTTCCTGAGACCTTCACCAGAAGGAGAGGCTGGAACCATACTGGTACAGCCTGCAGAATCATGAGTCAATTAAATCTCTTTTCTCTATAAATTACCCAGCCTCAGGTACTTCCTTATAGAGATGCACAAATGACCTAACACAGAAAATGTTCGTCTAGGGTGATCATGACAATAGGAGTAGGGTGAAGACAGAGCAGAATTTGTAGTAGAGGTGACGTTTGGGCTAAGTCTCAAAAAATGAGGAAGGATTGAGCCTTCAATGAAAATGGTGCAGAAAAGAAAATTTAAATAGACAACCACTATTGTCAAGTATGTTGATATCTATTCAAACATCAAGCTCTGTTCATGTATGATAATGCAACTTCATCTTATCACTCTTGACAAGTAGATAAAGACTTCAGTCACTCTAGATAACTAAGATTGAAGAGATGACGCAGTGTCAATCTCAAATTTTATTTCAAAGAGGAATAATATGAGAAAATACTCCTTGTGAATGTCAAGGCAAATAGGAATGCGACATATTCCTCTGTTTCATCTGCCATCAATTCTCAACTTCATCTTTGCATTTTATCTACATAAAGACATTTCTTTCATAAAGGGTAATGGTCTCAATTGGAGATTTATAAGCTGGAAAGAGTTAGGTTCCCTCCAAAGCAGACATGAGGAGTTGAAGTATTGAGGGCGGATTGAGTTTAAGTGCTTTTAGTGTTTATTTGAGTAAAATAGGTCCACTTTTCGTGCGTTTATCTAATGGCATTTCAGAGAAAGAGGAGAAAGTTTATAGCAGAGAGAAATCTTACTTATTGAGGGATTTGTGTGACAGGCAGTCACTGAATCAGACAAAATAAATTAACAGAAATTTAATTAGCTTGTATCGTTCTTGTCAAAACTGACAACTAAAACATGGAGAAAAGATCATGTTTTCTCCAGAGAATGTTTTAATTTTTTTCTGCATCAGAAGAAAAACTTTGCTTATACAACTATTTATAGAATTTACATGAACTGCTGTTTCCTACATTTCAGGAAGGTCCAAGGGTTGAGTCACAAATGATCAGGGGACTTTCTCCTCACTCCCCGCCCAGGATCTATAGAACTGCTTGTCTACCTCTATATATTTTTAGCTGTCCGGTTTGCTATCCGACCTAATCTGTCTTTTATGGAGTTTCTGAATAAGAACAGAAGGACTCTCGCCTAAGTCAAGCTGTATTTGCCAACTCAGTAGTTATCACAACTTTCACTTTCTTGCTGGTACAATGGGCCTACCAGATGGTGTAGGCAAGATGATTCCAAGCAAGTCATTACAATCTACCAGCCACTTGACCTGGGGGCTCCCAACCCTTGGGGCCACCCAGGGAAACTGCTGCCTTCCCTGCCCTGTCCCCTATCTCAGGACTGCTACAATATGAGGAGACCTCGGGGGTGCCTACAGGAACTGGAACTGTGAACATCCATAGGTGCTGATAACATCACTGCTTGCCTTATGAAGGCCCTCTTTAAAGGCTATACCTCTCTCAAAGACAGAGTTTCAGAGACAAAGTTTCTACCTCCAGGAGAACGATCCCAGCAGCAGTGGCATTGCCACCACCACCAGAAACTACCCAACTGCTTCATTGTCCCCACCTGTACCCCTACAGGGAATAGGTTGTATGTGGCCCAACACCACCTCCCCCTCTGCTCCCTCAGAGATCCTGTCTCTACTTTTCCACCAGTCCTTATGTAAAGCACTCTCTTCCCCCTCTCTTGTAGGTTCTTTGTTTCCAACAGAGGACCTGATGTAGCTGAGTGAATGGAAATAGACCTACTTACAGCGGGGACAGTTATTTCTTTGCCAAAAGTGACGAGGATGTCCTGGATCCTCCAGTGGGATTTAAAAATTGCATTTTCCTCTAGGAAAATTACACATGATAGTTCTTATACTTTTGATTAATTTATTTATCTTTTGAGGCAGGGTCCCACTCTGTCACCCAGGCTGGAGTGCAGCAGTGCAGCAGTGCAATCTCAACCCACCACAGCCTTGACCTCCTGGGCTCAGGCGATCTTTCAGCCTCAGCCTCCCGAGTAGCTGAGACTATAGGCGTGCACCATCACACCTAGCTAATTTTGTTGTATTTTTTGTAGAAACTTGGTTTTGCCATGTTGCCAAGGCTGGTCTCAAACTCCTTGGCTCAAGGGATCCACCCACCTCATCCTCTCAAAGTGCTGGGGTTACAGGCATGAGCCACCATTCCCCGCCATTCTTACGCTTTTAATCTTACCATATAAGCAAACATTTGTAACTAGTCTGGAAGTTATTCTTTGAAACAAAGTAAATGGAGAAATTAAAATGTTTATTCCCATAGAGACAAACCCATGTTGAGTAAAGCATGCTAAAATAGTTCTGCAGACTCCTAAGTATAGGATGCAGGTGACGGTGGCTATTTGGCTCAAGAAAGGTCACAATAGTAATGATTATCATTTGCAAAGTGCTTGCAGAGTATTAAGCATTTGCTAAGTGCTTTACATACAGCAACCTTTGGAGCTGATTTCTATTATTATTTTTATTTCACAGCTGTTTCATAGGAACAGTAGCTTAGAGGGATTAAATAACTTGCCCCCGAAAAACACAGTTAGAAAGTGGTAGAATGTGGATACTTCTACCTCCTATCCTACTTCCCTCCCAGCTCCTGTTTGAGTTGATGGCATATAATTTCATTTTCATCTAGAGATGAGACACTTAGGAATAACCTCATTGGTTAGATTCCCCTATCCTCTACAGGAAAAAAAAAATCACACTCTTTATAATCACTCTATAATCAATGATTCTCTACTGGAGATGAGACTGTCCCCCCTCTCAGGGGACATTTGGCAATGTCTGGAGGCAATTTTGGTTGTTATAAATGCAGCAACAGTGCAACTGGCATCTACCAGATAGAGTCCATTTATGCTGTTAAACATTCTGCAACGCACGGAGCAGTTCCCACAACAAAGTATTATCTGGTACAAATGTTGGCAGTGATGAGATTTTGAAACCTTGGTATAAGTGAAAGTAATACATGGTATTTAAGGCATATTACCTAGAAAAAATTCAGGTTTAAAGTGAGTTATTTATTATGCTACTTAGTATACTAGATCCATTACGAATATAAAACTTCTTTTATGTGTGTGTGTTTTTTTTCAATTCTGTGTATATTTTGGTCCCAACATATCTGTTAGTTTTTCTTTCCAAGAGATACCGTTAACTCTTCAGGGAAGGGCCCCAACATTTTATTTGTTTGTGATCACCATAAGTTTAACACAATCTCGATCTGTAATCAGTAGTTCTGATTAGAAACAAAACTTATTTGTAAGCAGAGGTGAAGCAGCCATGTCAAGTGAAATGTCAAGGTGATTTTGAAAACTGTGCCTTTGGCAAATACCATTGAGCAGTAAAAAAGCATCTGATATAGTTTGGCTGCGTTCCCACTCAAATCTCCTTTTGAATTGTAGCTCCCATAATTCCCATGTGTTGTGGGAGGAATCTGGTGGGAGATAATTGAATCATGGGGAAGGTTTCCCCTTATACTGTTCTCATGGTAGTGAATAAATCTCACAAGATCTGATGGTTTTATAAAGGAAACCCCCTTTTGCTTGGTTCTCATTTTGTCTTGTCTGCCGTCATGTGAGATGTGCCTTTCACCTTCCATCATGATTGTGAGGCCTCCCTAGCCATGTGGAAGTATGAGTCAATTAAACCTCTTTTTCTTTTTCAGTCTCAGGTATGTCTTTATCAGCAGCATGAGAACAGACTAATACAGCATCTTATTTACATAGGTGATGGTAGGCTATAAGGTGGGAAGGGGATAACGTTTTAACAGAATGTCCTAGAGACACCAAGAGGGTTACATACTTCTTAAGAAAGAAATGATCAGTTTATATACAGGAGTAATCATCTTCAGCCTAGCGAAGCACCTAGAATATGTCATTTCTCTGACAAAATGATATATGCTGTCTTTTACTTTCTCTTCTTTCACTTGTTTTTCTTCTTTCTTCCCTTTATGGAGTAATAGTGAGCACGCACCTACTTAGCAATTAGGACTTCATGGCAAAACTTTCAAAGCTGTGCTGGGCAGAGTCTCAAAACCTACATTTGGGGATGAGGTTTTAGGGCCCACAGTGAAAAGCGGTCTGTAGAGTTTTCCCCCCTCCCCCACTGGGTGGCTTTAATGCCATTTCTAGAAACAAAAGGATGACTATGAGGGATTAGCTGGAGGAACACGACTGGGAGAATTTAACTTCCGGATTTTATTAGAATTTCCATTATTTTTCATCACCCAGCATTTCCTTTATTTAGAGACACCCCCCTCTTGGGTGGTGATTGTATGGAAAACAGTAGCAAATGCCAAATAAACTCAAAACCCTGAGTGTATTCTAGATGGTGATGGCTGCTTCCAGGATTTTTTCGTTCCATTTTAATCTTCATTTTCACCTTGGACAAGAGAAGAAAGTGGGTCCTTATATTTTTGTTTTTCTTTGTCAATGGCTTGACTCTCTTACTGACCTGTATGTGTTTTATCTGCTGTGTGGATTAGCCGCAGTTGATGTTTAATACAAAATTGTTTTTGTTTATTGAAAAACAATCTGACTTTATCATTCAAAATAACGTGTTCTTGAAATGCAAACTAAGTCTGAAGTAGGCCTATATGGTCAACCTCTAGACAACACTTCAAAGTGAGTTAAATTCCATTTGGTATTCCTTTTTCATGAGTGCTACTTTATTCTAGAGGTCTTTGTGGCCAGCAAGATCATGAGCTACAAAAAAATCATTGAGTCCACGTTTCTAATTAACAGGTGAAGAAATGGCAGTCTAGACTTATCTAAAGATATGGAAGCTAGCAGTAGGACTGAGACTCAATTTCCAGTTCAGAGCTATTGAAGTAGAAAGGTGATGACCAGCTCTTAGGGATGCATTTAAAAATATTCATTTATTAGTTACAAAGTTCTTCCAAGTCTAAGAAATTGTGACTCTAAGAAATGACTCCTGCCCTTTTCTCCTCTCCAAAGTTTACTCACCCTGATTGTTCACCTCTTAGCTACTGTCATGCTGAAAAACAACAGCTCATAGGAATCAATTTTTTATCATATGTGCCTAAGGACATCTACTTCATTCACCTATTGCTAACTCCATTTGCATTTTGTACCAAGAAATAGGGGTAAAGCAATGAACAAAACAGACAGACATCCTGGACTTGAGGAAGCTTAGATTTTTAGATCATTTAAAAAAAGTTAATTCCTTAAAGCCATCGAATCTGGAGCCCATATGACAGCCTCTATAGTGGGGGAAATTTTAGGCATAGAGAGAAAATACAGATTTTTAGGATTGGTATATTAACTTCCCAGGACCACTAACAAAGAGCCACAAACTGGGTGACTTTACCACCAGCCTTGGAACTCCAGGGGCTACCTGGTCCACCCCAGGAGCAGGACAGAGAAGGGGTAGCGCATTTGGATCTCCTAAGCTGTTATGGAGTGCTATTCCTGAGCCTGAAGAATACATACTCAGGAAGATGTATCAACTATCAAATATATATATATAATATATATAACATATATTGTATACAATATATGTTATATATAATATATATTGTATATAATATATGTTATCTATAATATGGATTGTATATAATATATAATATACACATTATATATTATATATAATATATACACAATATATACAATATATAGTATATTATGTATTATGTACAATATATAGTATATAATATATATTATGTACAATATATAGTATATAATATATATTATATATATTTTATATATGTATATATAAAAAACTGAAAACCATTATATGAGTTCTAACACCAAATAGAAAAGCTTTGTTTTTATTATACTATGCAGAGTAATCAGTCTGTGCCAGGTTAACTTTTCATCTCCTGGGGAACTTTCAAAAAGAAGATAAGTAGTATTCCTTCCTGGTAGTTCAATTTTCTGAAGGCAAGAACTGAAATAGACACTCATTAAAAAGAGGGAAGTATGAGGGTGTTTAACTGTCTCTGCAATATTCTGTCTTTTTGTAAAGACTGAAAAAAATGAATACAGATGAGGATGTGAGCAAGCTGTGGGCAGTACACGAGCATATGTTATGTCATCCACTACATTTTTCTGTATGCTTAAAATATTTATCAATATAAAAAATAATGGCTGGGAATGGTGGCTCATGCCTGTAATCCCAGCACTTTGGGAGGCTGAGGCGGGCGGATCACGAGGTCAGGAGTTCGAGACCAGCCTGGCCAGCATGGTGAAACCCCGTCTCTACTAAAAATACAAAAAATTAGCTGGGCATGGTGGTGTGCACCTGTAATCCCAGCTACTCGGGAGGCTGAGACAGGAGAATTGTTTGAACCTGAGTGGCGGAGGTTGCAGTGAGCTGAGATTGCACCGTTGCATCTCAGAAGGTTCCCAGCATTACAAGAGAGGATAGATCAAACATTTAAATGGAGAAATTCCCCTCGAAGTGAGGGATGAAACTCCTTATATGTGTAGGTGAGAATAAAGTAGGAAAGTGACAATAATTTGTATTGATCACATCACATACCCCAAATTTGTTTTTGCTACTTTTACCTCTAAAACCCCTTCATTCAGCCAGGTGCAGTGGCTCACATCTGTAACCTCAGCACTTTGGGAGGCCGAGGTGGGCAGATTGCTTAAGGTCAGGAGTTCAAGACCAGCCTGGTCAACATGGAGAAACCTCTTTTCTAGTAAAACTACAAAAATTTGCTGGGCAAGGTGGCATGTGCCTGTAGTCCCAGCCACTTGAGAGGGTGAGGCAGGAGAATCGTTTGAACCCAGGAGGCGGAGGTTGTGGTGAGCCGAGATTACGCCACTGTACTCCAGCCTGAGCAACAGAGTGAGACTCTGTCTCAAAAAAATTAATAAAAATATAAACATAAGTACAGAAAAGCTCTTCATAGTAGCGTGTGTGTGTGTGTGTGTGTGTGTGTGTGTATGTATGTGAGTAGGTATGTGTGCCCCTAAATTGTTTGGTTCTACGTGTAATAGCTGACTCCTTGTCTAATTGAAAGTGGATATAAAATGAGGAGATATGACGAGAGAGTATTGGTATTGTTAAATCAAGTTTAGCCTAAAGCTGCCTCCTTACATACTTTAAGGTTGGCCCTAAAGGTTTTCCTGTACATCGTTAACATAACAAGTGGAGGTGTAAAAAGACCGCAGCCTATAAGGCAAATGCCGAGCTGTAACCAATCTGGCTGTTTCTGTACCTCACTTCCATATCGTGTAGCTCACTTTCTTTGTTAGTCCATAAGTCCTCTTCCGCCACGTGGCTCTGCTGGAGTCCCTGAGCCTACCCTGGCTGGGAAGGCTGCCTGATTTGCGAATCATTCATTGCTTAATTAAACTTCTTTAAATTTAATTCAGCTGAAGTTTTTCTTTTATTAGTATATTTTAAAGAACAAATTTGGAGGCTTCTGTTTTTTATCTTTTTAAAGATCTTGTAATAACACAAAATAAGAATATATCACACACCATATATAACACAACATTAGGATAAAAGACAAATGTTTCTATTGAGATTAATGGGGTAGGGGAGAGTGGAACAAAAAGGCAGAAAGTTTGTGTGCACATTGCCATCAATACAGTAATTCATATTACACTGGTTTTCAAGGACAAGTTCAGGAGTCCTGTTCAAAAGCTGCCAGCCACCAAATACTTGGGTGGAAATGTGGTCTCAGCCTAGCTGGGTTGAGTCAGTTTTTATACCTTTAGCTTGACATATTTAGTCAAACACTAAGTGTAAAGACCATGTAAAGACTGTAGTTATCTTGAGGATGAGAGAAAGAGAGAGAGAGAGAAATAAAGAGAGAGATTGATTGGTTGATTTTCAGGTGGTTGTGGTACAAATGCAGCTGATAGCCAGCAAAGAAACCACAGAAAATGGTTGAGAACATTGGAAATGGGTTTGTTTCCTATTCTCAGGATGAAAAGCACCAAGGATGTGGAAAGGTGACCATGTCCAACGTCTTGTCTGATATGTAAACTTCTTTGTAATGTTCTTGGTTTAGGCTCCTATATTTTTAAGGAGGAGATGGAGGGAATATGTTAGAAAAATGAATGCGTGCTTGAAGGTCATTGAGAAATGGACATATATTTCTTTAATGCTTCAAATTTGATTATAAGAAAATAGATTTTTTTTCTATTTTATTTCAGATTTTCTTTGCTACCGAGAATATATTTTATTTTATTGATTTATATTTTTACATCAATATCTTATTTAAAGTAAACAACATGGCTTGGCTTCAAACATTTTGAAGAATCTGCAGGTAGCCCAAAATTAGTAGGTCACATTGTGTCACATAAACTAGTTGTTTTATCAAGTATTTGAGTTGGAAAATAAAGGAGGAGGAAAAGGGAGAAAAATGTGAGTATAATACACCCGCCTCCTACACAATGTGGAAGCCACACATCACACTGTGGAACTCAGTGGAATTCTAATCTGTCTGATAAGTTCTTTATAAATTCTGAGATGAGCCAAGGTCTCTTTAATAACAAAAGTATCTCAAAATGCCCCCAAAACCATGTATCTGGATATGTTTCTCAGCTGCTTCTAGTACTTGGTGCAACATAGTTGCCAGTGAGAATCCCAGACTTCTCAAGGCTATTTCTGCAGGAACATAAAGTCCACCACACAATGCAGAAGTAACTGACCTTAAGAGATTCCAGAACTTGCAGGCAGATGTTGCAATTCAAGCATCTAACAGTTTCAAATAACTCAAAAGAAGAATAGTCTATTATGTTTACCCAGATATTTATAAATTTTTGCTGTATATCTTTCATTGCTGATGTTCCAAATGTCCCTTCTGAGATTTCCAGCTGTTTTTTTTTGTAGCTTTTACTCTCAGGGAGTGTAAATGCCTGATATAATTTGTTCTCATGCTATCTTTTAAGATGTTTCCTTAAAAGAACAGGGATCCAAACAAATCAGATTTACTTCACTTGATGCCATCTACTGATCATCTCTATCATTATTTTTATTTTTTTCATTCAAATCTCATTTGTTTTTAGATTAAAATAAAGATAGGGATCGCTCTATCTCCAGGAACTAGACCCCTGCCTGGCATTTAGTAAATATTTGATAGATAGATAAGTGCATATAGAATATATAAAATGATCTTAATTTTTGGTTACAATAGGTAAATAACCCACAATTTATGCTTTTTTTGCCCAAATCACTTATTTATGGTAATAGTGTCTTTAGTGACTAGACATGTAGAAGAGAATCTTTATCCTACCATTTACCCCTGAGATGGCTCAATTGCTAGATATTAAAAAACAAGTTTTAGGATCCAGTAAACAAGTCAAAGAAAAATTGATTAGTGTTTTTGATAATTGGACAAAGTTTCAACCACAGTTTTCTTTCTTTATCCATAAAATAATTACATTAAAAACATGATTATAACATTTACTTAGTATTTTACTATGTAAATAAAAATTGGGAAAATAACTATTGTGTTGAATATTTGAATAGTTTTATATCATTGGAGTTAATTCAAATGTGGCTCTCAAAGTTCTGAATAAAATAAAGATCTGAGAAAGAAATACATTTTTAAACTTAGTTGTAGAACTGGCTCATATTTACTTTTCAACTGTGTAAGTTTCTCCATGAAGATGAAAACAAAATATTGGCTTTAATTTTCATTGCAAATGGTTACTAGAATGCTATGAGCATTTCAAATTTCAAATAAATTTCACATTTATTTTCCTTTGATTTAAATGATTGATGGCCAGTTGTATATGTCCACTTCGATTTACATGATATGATATTCAGTATTATAATAGTCTCCAGTTATTCAACCAAATCCTAATTTAGCTGTTACTGTAAAGGTATTTTGCAGATATAATTAAAGTCCATAATCAGCTGTCTTAAAGTAAGGGAGATTGTTTTAGATTAATATAGGTAGACTTGATTAAATCAGTTGAATGGTCTTAACTGCAGAGCTGAGATTTCCCAGGAGAATAAGAAATTTTCCCAGTGGACTGAAGCTTCCGTTTTCACCTGACAGTTCCAGCCTGTCCTTCTTTGTTGGCCTGCTCTGTGGATTTCAGATTTATCTAGCTTGTCTATAATTGTGTACGCCAATTCTTTGCAATAAGTCCCTTGTTATATACTTCCTACTTGTTCGATTTCTCTAGTGAATCCCTGATCGATAACACCCAAAGGTCATAAGATGCCTTATTGTAACTTCTTGTTAATTTTTAATTAACAATGAGTGTTTTCTTTTAACTCTATATTTTTCTACTTTTAATAGTCAAAAGATACACAAGACTTAATTTCTTAAAGGCACTTAGATTAAAAGGAATCCTAGAGTTTATTCTGTAGTAATGTGAATAATTGGTACCTAAATTATTTATATTCCAGCCTTGGGTTTTTGTCTACTATAGCGAGTATATTAGTTATCTATTTCTGTATAGCTCATCAGTTGAAAACTTAGTCACTTAAAACAACACACACTTATTATCTCATGGCTCTTATATGTCAGGAATCCAGGCACAAAGTAAATGGGTTCTGTGCTTCAGGGTCTGTCATGGGTTGTAATCCAGTTGTCAACTGGAGCTATGGTCTCATCTCAAGGATAAACTCAAAAATAATCCACTTCTGAGGTCACAGTTTGTTGATTCAGTTCTTTGTGGGTTGTTGGACTAAAGGCCTTTGGCTTTTTTGACAGTATCCTCAGTTCTATGCCATGTGGATGTCTCAAACCTGGAAGCTTGTTTCATCAAAGCCAATGAGAGAGAGAGAGAGAAAGAAAGCGCCTATATGCTTTTGTAACATCCTGTCCTTTTTGCCATGTTCTCCTATCCTTTTTGCCATATTCTCCTCATTAGATGCAAGTTACCAGGTCCCTCCCACACTAAAAAGGAAAGGAATAGAAAGAGTGTGAATATTAGGAGGTGGGGATTATTTGGAGCCATCTCAGAAGACTGCTCACTATACTAAGATTTCTAAAAATAAGGCAACGTTCAAATACTTCATATTGTAGGAAGCCCCAAGGTGTGCACGGATGGGAAATAGAGGCCGGTCTCTGAGCAAAAGAATATAGCACTGCCCAGAGTATAAACTTTCAATTTTCCCAAAGGCTTAAGTCTTCAGCTTTGATAATAGAAACAAAGACCTTAGGGTGTGTATTTTACTGTCCAAGTTTCTCAGCCCCCTCTACATTCCTCTGTCATTGTTAAAGACGTGACAATAAAACATAACCCAACATCTGTGGTTGAAGCCAGAGCCAAAAATTTAAATGACTGAACCCACATTAGGCGAGCACTTTAGCAGAGTAAAATAATAGATGAGAGAAGGAAGATCAAGGAGTTGAAAATTTGGATAAATACACAGTAACTCTAACTAATTAATAAAGCCAAGTAGTGTGTGTTGGCTATAGGAAAAGTGTTAGGGTGATGAAGAGGAAGCAAACCAGATGGAGTCTAGATATATTTGCCGCAGGCTCACGTATGTTGCCAAAGCACTATTTCAAGAGGTGCCAACATCAGAGAATTCCTCAGGGGAAATTCTTGTGCTGGGAAGAAGGCTGTCTTATTGTTTGTCAAAAACGCCTTCATATTTCAGGTCACAACACAGCAGTTCTGATGAAACTGGTTTGCAGAATGTAAGCCTTGTCAACCCACTTCCTTCTTGGAATTATAGAGTCTCAAAGTTACAAGGAAATCTAAATATCATGTGGTTCATCCTCTAAGCCAATGCAAGATTCTTTCTACCATGTTAATTAAAGGTCATCTACAACTTTTTGAGGCCCATAGTGATGGGGATGTCCCTGAGTCATGAGGTCATCTTTTCAATGTCAGATCTGTCTAGTTGATGCAATGTTCATTTCATAATGAATTGATATCAGCCTCTATGTCAGTTCTATTACTTGGTTCTACCTGGTTCTCAGAGGCAGCATATAACCAGACTATACCTGACTTGATGTCATTGATGACCAAATGTCAAAAATAATTTTTATAGAACTTTCAATGTCCCTTTACAACCTGCATGTCTCTCATGATACATTGCATTTTTTCAATGACTATTTATATGAAATAGCTTCCCAAAACTCTCTTTTCTCTCCATATGATGTTCTTTTTAATAAGCCCTAATTTGTTATGGCTTATCTTAAAATAGGAGCACCCTATTTGGAGACATCACTCTTAGCAAATAACTCTTATGAACTGTGAACAATAATGCATGCTTGAATTTTTGGCAGTAAATATTACATTATTTGTTCACTTAGATTTCTGAATGATGGAAATTTCTTCTAAACCTTTAAAAAATTTTAAAACAAGGCTGAATTAAGAGAATACATTATATATATTAATTTCAACTATGTGCTGCACTCTCTCCTCATACTTCATATGTATTATCTCCCTTTATGCTTCCTCAAACTCCTCTAGTAAGTAGTTATAATTTTTATCCAACAGATGAGAAAACTGAGGCTCAGAGACTTTAAATAGCTTGCTCAAATATATACAACTATTAAACAATAGACCTTGTATTTCCATCTATTGAATCCAAGCCATGTGCCTTTTCTAACAATAAACACAGCCAGACAACCCTCACACTCATAATTTAGTCTTAAGGGATTTCAGAAATGATCTGCTCAAACCCTAGTCACATTATAGATAAAGGGATTTACATCCTATCTCAAGGCCTAACTTGTCTAATTGGACTTAATGACAAGGCAAGGGCTGGAAACCAGCTTCTTCCCACAGTGCACTTTCTATTATATTATAATTGTGTAATTGATTAAAAATCTACTTTGCATTTCTTTCCATGTAACTTTCTTTTTTAGGTTTTGGTTCATCATTCTAAGTTAGTGGACTTCGTTAAATATCTTGGGGTCAGTTATGGTGTTAAATGTCCCTTCCAGATTTCTCTCATCAGCAAATTAAGTAATTATGGCAAACATATAAACATCTATTTGTGTATGTATATATGTCTGTATACATGTATGTGTATATATGCTTAAGCATGCATGTGTGTGCATGTATATGTATGTGCATATATATATATGTACACATACACATACAATACATATATTTAGTTTGTCCAAATTAATAACACAGCTGTTGAAAAGGCAGAACCAGGAGCAGAGCCCCAGGAGAGATTATTAGAAAATTCCTTACAGAATATTATTAAGTTCTTAATCAGTACTCTTAAGAAATAACTTTTCAACTAGGTTTAACTGCATTTACCCATTAACCAGTTCCAGCAGTCTTTTCTATGAGACTATCTAAAAAAACAATGGCTACGACTTTGCCAGAGCCAGTACAGATTATGTAACCTTTGTTTCTTCAGACCACACCAGCTTAGAGATACAGATTGGGTTGCATTTACATAGAAATCATGTATGCCCTCCTACATACTATGCGACCTGTGGTTCCCTGCAAAGCCCTATTCAAATCTCCAGCAAATTCTCTTTAATTCTTTCCAGGAATCCGTAGGGGTGATCTCATTGACTTTGGAGGATGAATGATCTTATATATTTCAAGTTAGATCACCCTGGGAGGTCCTCCACCGACCCAGTCCCTTTGAGGTGTGTACAGCCCAGGCATCTGGGACTTGCTAAGCCTCATCACGGCCCAACCCATCAACATGGCCCCATAACCATGGACCCTTCTGCGCTTTTTTCTGAAGTTGATTCAAGGTTCAAAAGCCACCTCTGGGAAACTATCTACCACTAGTGCTGATGCTTCTGCTAGATCAGCCTCTCCAATGCAACAATGTAATCATTGCTTGAGACCACCATGCAGCTCAAGGTACTGCTGATGAGCTGGCGGTATACACACACTCAAATTCAACTGTAATCTCTGAGTATTCCAGTGCGCAACCAGCAAATCGCCTGGTCCTCAAGTAAGAAGACTCCACTCTCACTCCCACATTACTCCACACACAGGTTTCATGATAGCACTGAATTGAGTTTCTTGCATTACTCAAAGACTTTATAAAAAGAGCTCTTTCAAATTACCTCCCAGACTCTCTATAAAAGCACTCAAAGTTCCATATGTAGTAGTGTAACCAGTTAATAAATAATATTTGGAGTTAAAGATTGGCATTCCCGTTCATAAGACCTCAGTTGTGGGTTAAAAACTTCCGTTAAATAAAAGTCTTTGCCAAAGGGTGCCCATGAGCAGAGCTTTCTTTGCCAATGTGCACGCCTAGACAAGTCTGAGTTAGAGCGATGGCCATGGCTTGGGATAAGGTGAAGAGTCTGCAGAATTTACTTTTAAGGCTGTGATGGAGTTTTTTAAGACTTGACCCTGGTATTTTTTAAACCTTAATGAAAAAAAAAAAAAAAGAAAGAAAGAAAGAAAGAAAGAAAGAAAGAAAGAAAGAAAGAAACAATGCTATTTGTTTTCTTTTAATTTTACTTTTTTTTTTTTTTGAGGCGGAGTCTCAGTCTGTCGCCCAGGCTGGAGTGCGTGGCGAGATCTCAGCTCACTGCAAGCTCCACCTCCTGGGTTCACGCCGTTCTTCCTCAGCCTCCTGAGTAGCTGGGACTACAGGCACCCGCCACCATGCCCGGCTAATTTTTTGTATTTTTAGTAGAGATGGGGTTTCACCGTGTTAGCCAAGATGGTCTCGATCTCCTGACCTCGTGATCCACTCTCCTTGGCCTCCCAAAGTGCTGGGATTACAGGCGTGAGCCACCGCGCCCGGCCTTATTTATTTATTTATTTTACATTTTTCTAGCAGTGGCTTAAAGGATCGATACTGGAATTTGAGTGAAGCTTGTCCTTCAGTATGGAGAGACCTTTGGAGAGGCTATTTTTTTTTTTTTTTTTTTTTTGGTAGGGCATCTCACTCTGTTGCCCAGGTTGGAGTGTGAGAGGCTTTTTAATCACTCAAATGTGTACATACTCAAGTATCTACTCACTAAATCACTGCAGTGATGAAAACATGATGCTTCTTATTGTGATGTTAATTATTTCGTTTAACAATGGAAAGTAGAGCTTTCACTGGAACAATTTACATATAAGCAATTTTTTTTTTTTGAGATGGAGTCTTGCTCTGTCGCCCAGGCTGGAGTGCAGTGGCGCCATCTCGGCTCACTGCAAGCTCCGCCTCCCGGGTTCACGCCGTTCTCCTGCCTCAGCCTCCCCAGTAGCTGGGACTACAACATATAAGCAATTTTTAGGGACCCTCAACAATTTTTTGAAAGACCCTGGAGACCCTTAGGGTTACATAGGATAGACCCTCAAATCTGTGTCGTTTACTTATTAAAGGCATCCGGGAAGGCAGAGAATTTGGTGAAAGTTAAGCTATAAAAATTTTTCTATTATTTACTAGTTTTGAGATACTATCCAAATAGCAAATCGATTTAGTCTGGCATTGCAATGACTGAATTGGCTCCCTGTCCCAACTTTCTCTTATACTGGCTGATTCACCATTACCCATATTTCATGCATTTATAATTAATGTCACATTTACATTCAAAAAAGGTGTGAACGGTGTGCAATTTAAAACAGATGTACAATGGAATCCTAACATTAGGCCAATTACTGAAAAGTAATGGAAAACATGGCCATCCCCCAAATAAAGAAATGATTGCTCCTGAGCTTAAATTTTATTACCTTGTCAGATAAAACAAAACGGAAGCATTAAATAGCATGTACTAGTTGCATATCCTATAGCCCTCCAGAAGAGAGACACTGCTTTGTAGCACTAAACCAATGAAGAACATAGGAATAACTACATACTACAGAAAAACAAGATGGGCAGATATATACATACAAACATATATATTAGTAAAAATAATACAACAAGACAATTTTATACAATCTAAAGCAACATAGAATTAGTTTATTTTTAAATTAGTTTATTTTTTAATTTTCTGATTTTAAACAAAGGCTTATGGAATTTAGAATATAAAAAATAGACATATTCTTAAATTAGGTTTCTAGAAGGAGTTCTAAACTGAGTTTTCTGAACCCCACTCCAGATATACTGAATCAATGCTTTGGGGGCAGAGGATTCAGGAATGAGGACTATGAAGAGTCTCTGGATGATTCTGACACATCCCTTGACTAGGTAGGCAGTTGGTACCATAGCTTTAGCTTATCATTCTCAAGTGTTGTTTCAACCCTAAATTTTGACCAGCTGTGGACAGATAATGACCAAAGACTGAAATCAGGAGACTGAGGGCATATTTAATATTTTTTGTAAACTTTTCCTACTGCACTTTCTTCCAATAGTTACCCAATCTATATTGACTAATACATATATTAAATATCTCCTTAAGAAGACATTGAAAATAATGTAAATATCAGAGGGGCTGAAGTATATTTTGCCTTTTTCCAACCACTACCACCAAAAAACCAAAAACTTTAAAAATGCCTTTTATATTCAAGGCTTAAGTGTCCTTTCTACCCTCTTCTCTCATTTGAGCAGGCAGCTTTCAATTCTTTAGGAAAGGCAATAGATGTCAAATGTTTAGGCTGCTAGCTGTCCTTACGCTCATCAGATCTTTGGTTGATTCATGGTGATTCCTTGAGCCAGTTTTAGATTATGGGTGTTGCAACTTTATTGCCTCCACAAAGCTTCCACATTCATCATTCTGAGTGCATCCCAGGTGTCAGCAAGATCAGACAATGTTTGTGGCTTCAGCTAAGGTTAAAGAGAGGCAAAGACTCATAAAGGTGATGATGCCAAAGAATGAATCAACAGTCAAATTTAACCCAAGTTCTAGCTTGTTAATACAGTGCGTGGTTCAGCTGTACTTTATTCTTCAAGTGATTGTACAGAGTAAGCTTATTAGTCCAAGTGCCCAATACTGCTGAGCTGCAGTCCAATTCTAAAATGCATTAATTCAGAAGATAAGTTTTGCTCTTCCAGAAGTCAAGAGGGATTTTTAATTTTCTTTGCACTTCTGAATAACCCAGAGTACAAGTAAAATAGGTCAGCTGGAGTGCTTTCCAAATTGAAGAGTCTATAATCAGAATACCATTCTATTAGCAGCCCCACCATCAAATTTTAAGATGAGATGCTGGTTCCAAAAATAAAGACCAATATTATCTTGCCTTTGAATGATTTAGCTATGAATCACTTTAGTATCTGGGAAGACCTAACTTTGATAAGCAGAACTATATCATATGAATATTTATCTCTGTGTCTTACAATGGGAAGAGCAACATGTTTCTGATTCCATTCAATCTAATGTGCCAAACATTAATTCAGAATTCAGTAAAGTCTGATTTCTATCGAAAGAAGAACTTAGAAAGAACTTATTTTGTAGAGATACTTAAATTAGGAAAACCATTTGTATATCAGAAACTGGATTCTAAGTTTGGATACAATAACTAAATCATTAAAAATATCATCCATTCATCAAGTAATACTTATTGAAGATCTGCTGTCACACAGACTTAATGCTAGGGACTAAGGATGCTAGAGTGAACAAAATAAATATAGCCCTGTCTCTCCTATAGATTTAATCTACACAAGACTAGAAAATATTTATGAAAATGTTATAAAAAGAGGATGTTAAGATGCTAGGTTAAGATTACATCAGAGGGGCATCTGAATCAGATTTGAAAAAGTATAGAAGATTTAGGTTGAACCCTAGAGTTTCGAGTTGGGGTTACCTTGATAAGAATACAAGTTGAAAAAGAGGTAGGGAAGATAGAAAGGATGAAGAAGTGGAAAGAGTATTTTCAAATGCTAGAAGGCAAGAGAAATCTGAACCCAGAAGAACCTGAAGGAATTAACGTCTGATTGTATTTGGAGGTGAGGATGAAAGGATATTCACTGATATTGCTGAGTTTCTATGCTGGATAAAAGGTTTGGTACTAAAGTCAGGTCTGATTTTACACAAACTGAATTTGACATCCCAGTGGAAATATGTGATAATTCCTTGGTTATATGGACCTTAATCTTGAGAGAAAATAAAAGTTAAAACTAACATACAGAAATGGGATTTATAAGCACTGAGGTGATATTTGAAGCACGTTTTTTGATGACACTGTATATAGCAAGAAGAGAAAAAAGCGTGAAAGAAAACTCAGATTAATTTAACATATAAAAAAAATCAGAGGAGTCATGGAGCTGCAAGGATCTGCTGCTTGCCAGAACTTGAGATTTCTCAATATAAAATGACCTTTTTTTGATATGATTAGGGTTATTCAAAATTATTCACAACAGCACAATGTATTTCTCTTCCATTGCCTTTCATTTACATTTCCATCTTTCCCTCTATCTCTTTCTCTCTTCTCTCTCTTCACTCTCACACTATCTCATTTTGACTTCCGTTCTACTTTTCCCCTCCTTTCTCTTTCCATGCTCTTTTCCTGTATGTTTAGTATTTGTCTCATAAAATTAAGATGAACTATAGATCGAGCTTGAAATAAAGGAACAGCTGTGCAATGTGTCATGCTGTATGGAAATGATTAAAGTAATAGGGTTCACTCATAAGCCTCCTTCTATCTCTGGTTTTACAAATTTGTAGCTATTACTTGGTATCTGTTTTCTACTAATAAAGAAACCATAGCTAAATGGATCAATTAATTAGATTAAATGGAACTAACTATTTTAATCCTTTTCCAAAGCAAATTTATTGATGAGATGTCATTGCCAAATTTGTCTGTATTCTGTTTTCTCTTTGTTTTCTTTAGATTTACTCCACATTTTTCTTGTTCTTTCCCTGTGTGTTAGGAAGCTCACTTTTATGGATTACATCATTCAAGCTCCCATGCCCCTTGCTTCCAGCTAGATTGACCAATTGGAGGCACTGAAAAAATGGGGGAGGAGAGTACAAGTGAGATAGTTAGTTCCCCATCTTCCCATCTGCTGGTCAAATGTTTGCAATGGCTGTATTTCCAACCTTAGGACATGGTTCCTTTTGCAGCATTTTCTTTCTAGAGCCACAAGTCTCTTTATTTGTGATGTATTTACGACCTATGCTCCTTCACATTTACTAGTGGTAGTGGCTCTTTGATCTTACCAGATATGAGGTGCTTATTATCCCTTTTTGGTTTTCATGAATACATTATAAATAGTATCTTCCTTAATCTCTTTTCAGTTACCTCATTTAAACATTCTATTTGCTTCAGGTACACTAATGAACAGAATCTGTACCAGACTATAAGGTCTTTAGGGGTAAAAATCAGACCTTATATATCTTCCCTTTATTTTCCTAGTGCATTAAAAAGGGTCCATAGAAGGTATTTTAAAAGTTGTAATGGAAGAATGAATATAGGAATGAATGCTACTTTTCAGATGAGTTTAGTAAAAATTACATTGAGAAAGAGGCAAAACAACTTATTAAATAGACCTTGAAATTGTGTGACCTGATTCTAATCTTGACACTACAGACAGAAGAATATAAACTGTTGGTTATTTCTGCTCTTAAAAAAATTCAAATAAAACACCACACAGATTGCAATAGCACAAAATCTACATATTGAAGTACATATAGAAAAATTAGGTGGAAAAACGTGGCGACTCAAGAGGTTATAGTCAAAGGAATGTAAACCACAGGACTCCTTCCTTGAGAAGTCAACTCCCTGGTTTGAGATTAGCTCCTGCGGTTTGGCTGGTTACATGGTAGATGTTTAGCAAGCAATAACAGACATTTCCCTTTCTTCCCCAGGCAATACGGTGCCCAAACCAAAAAAAGCATTGTTCTAGCTACAAAACAAAATAAAACACAACAAAATGCCACAAGCCCACGATGAAGCATGTTGATGCGGTATTTTCCAGTGAGAATTTTAAGGATTAAGCAGGGGCATGGCCAGAATGGTGTTTCCTTTTCATGATCTTCTTGCTGTACACAAAAGTAAAATGTCAACACACAATGAGCTGGTTTACTAAAGAAGCTGCGTACATTAGAATAGGCTTCTGTGCAGTAGAGGAGATGGAAAGGAGAGCTGTACTGAGGTGCCAAATGAACTAACCTTTTCCATTTGTGTTGTGAGAAAAGCCAGCGAGAGTGCCAAGATCACTCCTGCCTTACTACATCTAAAGGGAATAGAGAATATACCTGCAAAATATTTCTATCTTGGTTTGTTTGTCCTTTTACACAAATGATCCCATGGTTCCCAGGCTTGCTACCACTACTACTGCCATTACCCAAGTCACTACCAGTGTCGCCATCAACATCAACAAATGCCTTCACAACCACCACTGCAATTAAGAATAATAGTAATGATAAGGCCCCTGGCTAAGTTCCATTCATGTTTCTCCATGAAGAAATATGAACTATAATGGTGACTTCCTTCCTCATATTTCAATCTTTCTATATCAGAAATTTAATCTTTGTATATCAGAAATGTTTAAATACAGGCCACAGTGCTGCACTCTCACACCATGTGGCCCATGAGGTGAGCAGGCATTGTGCTCATGATCAGTCATGAATGCTAAGTGGTAGCCATCTATTCTCCTCTAACGCATTGCATGATTTTAAGCTACTTAGGAACCAGGTAAGAAAATAATTACTAAGGCAGCATTTCATTAGTATAAGCAAAAGTGCAGTAATTCAGAAGTGGAACAAAGCATTGCTTCACACACACACACACAGACACATACACATCAGGAATCTTAATAACTTTGTAATTCAATCTGCTTTCTTTGAGACTTTATTGAGATATAATTTATATAAAATGAAATTCACCCCCTTTAAGTGTATAACTCTTTCAGTATTATTAAATCCACCATATGAAAACAGTACCAAAATCTAGTTTTAGAATATCTATTTCCATGCCCAACATTTCCCTCATGCCTTTTTTGCAGTCAGTCTCTGCCACCAACACTAGTCCTGACAAATCACTGATTTCTGTCACCATTGTTATTGCCACATTTAAATTTTATCTAAATGGAATTACACAATAGCCTTTTCTGTCCAGTTTCTTTTATTTAGCAAAATGCTTTGAGTTCCATCTATGGTGTTGCTTATATCAGTAGTTTGTATCTTTTTACGAATTCTATTCCATTGTATGGCTATACCACATTTTGTGTATTCATTCACCTGTTGGTGAATCTTTGCAATGCTTCCAGTTTTGAGCTATTATTAGAAATAATGCTTCTATGACCATTACAGACAAATCTTTGTGTGAACATAAATGTTCCGTTCTATTGTGTAAGATACCTGAAAGTAAAATTGCTGAATTACGTGATATGCTTAACATGTTTTTTTCTTTTCTTTTTTTTTTTTTTTCTTTTTGAGACAGAGTTTTGCCCTTGTTGCTGAGGCTGGAGTGCAGTGGTGCGATCTTGGCTCACTGCAACCTCCGCCTCCCAGGTTCAAGAAATTCTCCTGACTCAGCCTCCCAAGTAGCTGGAATTACAGGCCCCTACCACCACACTCGACTAATTTTGTATATTTTTAGTAGAGACAGGCTTTCATCATGTTGGCCAAGCTGGTCTCGAAGTCTTGTCTTCAGGTGATCCACCCACCTCGGCCTCCCGAAGTGCTGAGATTATAGGCGTAGGCAACCGCGGCTGGCCGATATGCTTAACATTTAAACACCAAAGGTTTACAAAATTTCTGTACTGTTTTGCATTTTTCCTAGCAATGAATGAGTGTCTCATTTGATTGGAGTTTTTAAATAGTTGACATTTAATATAATTATTGATATGTTTTAAATTAGGTCTGCCATTTTGCTATTTGTTTTCTATTTTTGTCAGTTGGTTTACCTCTGTTTCTCCTTTTAATACTTTTTATGTTAAACAGAATTTTTTAGTGTGCCATTTTAATTCACCTGTTAGATTTTTACCTATATTGCTTCATGTTGTTATTTTAGTGGTCATTTTATGGTATGCAGTATGTATCTTTGACTTATGCCAACATGTTTCAAGTTAACACTGAAGTATTTCCAGAACACATAAGAAATCTGTACTGAAATAGCACACTCAACCCATGTTTATACTATTGTTTTCATATATCACACCTATAAACATTAGAAACAAAATAATAGTGTATTTTAATTTTTCCTTTAAATATTCATATATCTTTTAGAGAAATTAAGAGAAGCAAAAATTGTTGTATATATAAACAGCATAGTATATATATAGATCAATATTGTGTGTATATATAGATCAATATTTTGTATTTACACACATATTTACCATTTCTTGTGGATACAGAATATGATTAGAATTACTTCCCTTCAGTGTGAAGAATTTTCTTCAGTATATGTTGTAGCACAGAGCAACTAGCAACACATTAAATTTTTATTTGGACCTGTCTTTAGTTTACCGTCATTTCTGATGAGTTGTTTTGTTAGATATTAAATTATCGGTCGGCATGTTTTTTTGGATTTTTGGTTTTTTGTCTTTCCGGTCTTGTATCATAGCAGTGTTTTCAGTACTCCGTCATTCCTGCTGAAAGATCCTCCACATATAATTCGTTGTTTTTTTCTTGCTACTCTCAAAATCTTTCTCTTTTCTTTTAACTTTGATTATAATGTGTCTAGTCATAGTTTTTTTGTGTGTTCCTTGTTGGGTTTGTCAAACTTCTTACACATACATGAAGGATAATACATTTTCACCAAATTTGGGAAGATTTTAGCAATTATTTCTTTAACAACTTTTCTTCCCTCTGTTCGTCTCTCCTCCTGGCACTCCCACTTAAACATATGTTGTGACACTTGACATTGACCCCACAGATATCTAAGTGTTGTATAGTTTTCTTCAAGTTTTTCATCTTTCTTTTTCAGACTTGAGCTTTTTTCTTGGTCTATTTTTCACGCTCACAGATTCTTTCTTCTGCCATCTCAGATACACTGGTTAGCCTATCTAGTTCCTTTTCAACTTCAGTTATTGTACTTTTAAGTTCTAGAATTTCCATTTTTAAAAAGATAATTCTTCTCTATTGATAATCCCTACTTGTTTACTCATAGTATATTATCTTTTAACTATTTGGACATATTTATAATATTTATAATAGCCGCTTTGAAGTCTTTACTAAATACAATATCTGGACTATTAAGCACAAATTTTGATAGATTCTTTTTTTTCCCTTGGTCTAGTAATTTTTGCTTTAAAAGTAGACATTAGGCTAGGCATGGTGGTTCACGCTTGTAATCCCAGCACTTGGGAGTCTGAGGTGGGCAGATCACTTGAGGCCAGAGGTTTGAGACCAGCCTGGCCAACATGAAGAAACCCCGTCTCTACTAAATATACAAAAATTAGCTGGACATGTTGGTGCATGCTTGTAATCTTAGCTGCTCTGGAGGCTGAGGCATGAGAATTGCTTGAACCTGGGAGGCGGAGGTTGCAGTGAGCCGAGATCGTGCCACTGCACTCCAGCCTGGGCGACAGAGTGAGACCCTGTCTCAAATAATAAATAAAATAAAATTGGACACTTTAGATAAGGCATTGAAGTGACTCTGGATTCTGTTTTTTCCCTCTTTGAGAGCTGTGTTTTTATGATTTAGTCAGTGATAGACATGCATAAATACAAACTGAAAAGCTCAGTCTTCCTTGTGGTATGCAACCACTGAAGTCAATGCTCGTTTTTTGGTTTTGTCTTTTTAAGTGCTTGGTTCTCTAGAAGTCTCCCTGTGTCTTTATACTTCAGTGGTCAGCCACTGTTTTGTGCAGAGGCTATACTCAAACTCCTCCAACTGCTAAAGCTTCGCTTTCTGCCACCCAAGCTGCGTTGGGGAGTTGAGGAGCATCTTCAAAAGTATAAGACGTTTACAAGGCTTCTCAGGATTTGATTTTGCCAGGTTCTCTGGTGTCTCCATATGCATGTGTAGTTTGCATATGCATATGAATTATATCAGCCTTTCTATGGTTCTCTTGCTTCCAAAATCTCCTCATCAAATTTCTCTTTTTCCCCAGCTTTTATTTTAGATACAGGGGGTACATGGGCAGGTTTAATACATGGGTATATTGCAGCCAGATAGTGAGCATCGTACTCAATAGGTAGTTTTTCAACCCATATCTCTCTGTCTTCCTTCTCCCTCTAATAGTTCGCAGTGTCTGCTATTCCCGTGTTTATGTCCCTGTGTGCTGAATGCTTAGCTCCCAGTTATAAGTGAGAATATGTAGTATTTGCTTTTCTGTTCCTGTGTTAATTCACTTAGAATTGTTGCCTCCACCTCCATCCGTATTGCTGCAAAAGGCATGATCTTATTCTTTTTGTGGCTGTGTAGTATTCCATGAAGTAATCACAGTTCCTTTAGCCAGTCTACCATTGATGGGCACCTAGGTTGAATCCATGTCTTTGCTATTGTGAATAGTGTTCCAATGAACATTTGAGTTCATGTGTCTTTTTGGTAGAACAATTTGTTTTCTTTTGGATATATACCCAGAATGGGATTGCTGAGTTGAATGGTAGCTCTGATTTCGGTTCTTTGAGAAATCTGCAAACTGCTTTCCACAGTGAAAGGCTTTTACAGGCTGAACTAATTTACATTCCCACCAACAGTGTATAAGCATTCCCTTTCCTCTGCAGCCCCATCAGCATCTATTGTTCTTTTGACTTCTTAGTAATAGCCATTCTGACTGGTATGAGATGGTATCTCATTGTGGTTTTGATCTGCATTTCTCTGATGATCAGTGGTGATGAGCATTTTTTCATGTTTATTGGCCATGTGCATGCTTTATTTAAAGAAGTGTCCATGTCCTTTGCCCATTTTTTAATGTGGTTGTTTGTTTTTTCTTTGCTCTGAAACCTACCCAAAACCAACTTTACCACCTCTGGCCAGGGAAATTTTCATAGAAATACCCCAAGATACCCTAAGCAAGAAGCTCACAAGTTTATTGTGCTGTTATCTTCCTTCCTTCCTTCTTTCCTTTCTTCCTTTCCTTCTTCCCTCCCTTTCTTGCTCCCTCTCTTTCTCCCTTTTTTCTTTTCCTTCCTTCCTTTCCTCCTTTCTTTCTTTTTTTCCCTTCTCTTGCTATTTTCTTTCTTTTCTTCCTTCCTTTCTTTCTTTTCTCTACAATACTCTAGCAGTTTTCATGTCCTTTGGGTGTTTTCCAGTGTCCTGATAAGGTTAATTTTTAATATTTTTTTCCAATCTTCTATTTGTTTTCTGCAAAAGGAAGTTGAATGACCTCTTCCAGCTATTAGTAAATGGAGAACCAGCTATTTTGCAGTTTTTGTATGCAACATACTCCATTATCTGTGTTCTTTAGCTGACATCTCTATGACTCAGATACACTACAACAGGAGACACTTACAAACGGACGTAAGTCCAGTGAGTCTTTGATGCTCACATGGTTCTATGGACTAAATTGCTCCCCCTACCCTAAATTCATATATTCAATCCCTGATTTAATGAGACTGTATTTGGACATAAGGCTTTTAGAGGGTAATGAAGTTTAAATGTGACAATAAGGGCAAAATCTTAATCCAATAGGATTAGTGTCCTTATGGGAAGAGGAAAAGAGATATTTCTCTCTGTGTCTCTCTGTTGCACTGTACTGAAGAAAAGCCATGTGAGCACATAGCAAGAAGGTGGCCACTGCAAGCCAGGAAGAGAGAGCCCTCCACAGAACCTGACTGTGCAGGCAGCCTCATCTCAGACTTTTGGCTTCCAGAATTGTGAAAAAGTAAGTTTCTGTTGTTTAAGCCACCTGGTCTATGGTATGTTGTTAATTGTCTGAGCTGACTAATACATATGACGTTCTCATTCAGTTAATTATTGCAGCCCCATGAGGTTTTAGAAGTTTTCCTCTTCTTTAAAAAATATTTCTGTTTTAATTTATAGGAATACTTTGATTTGGTGGCCGGGCGCAGTGGCTCACGTCTGTAATCCCAGCACTTTGGGAGGCCAAGGTGGGTGGATCATGAGGTCAGGGGTTTGAGACCAGCCTGGCCAACATGGTGAAACCCCATCTCTACTAAAAATACAAAAATTAGCCGGGTGTGGTGGTGCGCACCTGTAATCCCAGCGAGTTGGTAGGCTGAGGCAGAGGAATTGCTTGAACCTGGGAGGCGGAGGTTGCAATGAGCTTAGACTGTGTCATCGCACTCCAGCCTCGGCAACAGAGCAAGACTCCATCTTAGAAAACAAACAAACAAAAAACAAAAACAACAACAACAAAAAAAAACAACAAAACTTAGATTTGGGGAAATAAAGTAATATAGTCATCTAAATACCAATAATTCATCATGGAAGTTAGAGCCCCTGATTTCAGCTGACTTAATGAAACAACTTCATTTCTAGCAAAAATAAACAGACTACTAGCTACCAAGTCTTTTGTAGCTACCAAGTCTTAGATCATCTATTATACATCTGGCAATTCCTCTTTCCCTGAGTGTCAGATCTGGCACACTGATCCTGCATGCTTCCCTGGTAGCAATCTGCAAGGACTGAGGAGATGCTGCCCCTTCAAGTGGCCATGCCCTCACACCCATCACCCGTATCGTGCACCCCTCTTGCAGCTGATCATTTTCACTCGTTGATATAAAATATTTCTGGATTGTACCTGCTACCACAGTAAGGCAACTTTTATTTGTGTTCCCACTTGAACATAGGGCCATTCTCAGCTTAAAAGAATGAATTTCCACCCATGTCTTTATGCATTTTTTCTTCTAGTGACAGTTGAAGGGATTGAATTCAGGTGTTAACAATTACATTCATTATACTTATTCAAATTCTTTTTAAAATTATACTTTAAGTCGTAAGGTACATGTGCACAACGTGCAGGTTTGTTATATATGTATACATGTGCCATGTTGGTTTGCTGCATCCATTAACTTGTCATTTACATTAGGTATATCTCCTAATACTATCCCTCCCCCATCCCTCCACCCCACGACAGGCTCCGGTGAGTGATGTTCCCCACCCTGTGTCCAAGTGTTCTCATTGTTCAATTCCCACCTATGAGTGAGAATATGCAGTGTTTGGTTTTCTGTCCTTGTGATAGTTTGCTCAGAATGATGGTTTCCATCTTCATCCATGTCCCTACAAAGGACATGAACTCATCCTTTTTTATTCAAATTCTTTAGAGAGCTGAAGACTTTGGCTCTCAGTGCCATCCATTTACAGTCAAACTTTAAATCTAGAAAAGAGGCAAATGTGGCCACCAAAGAGAAGTCAAGAGAATTCCTCCTATTTATAAAGCTTTCTGCTGTCATTTTTGCTGTAATTTATTTCTCTCTGTGCCTTTTCACTTTAGACCTCTATTACCTGAGATCTGTTTAGTGATCTGTCTAATTTGGATAAGCTTTCCACTATTATTGGAATGATTTTCATGTCTAACGTTTTTCTCCATCACTGGCACTATGCAATGTGTAACACCAGGATAATCAAGGCATCGACATATCTGTAAGATAAATCAATAATATCCATTTGCAAATCAGTCCTGTTTCATTTCCTGAAGCATTTCATCTTAAAAAGCTGTGGAGCTGAGATTTTTCTCTCTGATGTAGACGATGCTATCTTTTTATATTCTGCAAATAATACTGAGTACAACTGAAAACCAGTTGAACATACATGTGTCCTCTAATTCTGCCCTGGAGCATCCAAAACCAGAAGATTAACATATCAGGATAATAATCTCCTGGGTCTTTTTCTCGACACTGTAATTTCCTTACTTTCCCACAGGATAAGTCTGTTGGTATCTTCACCTCTGAGTTCTTAAGCATGAGTCAAACCTGTGGTGAAATAGTCCCATTGTTACTGTAACTTTAGGCATTGGAGGGAAAGCCCATCTTCAGGGGTTATTTCCAGGTAACAGCTTACTAAGAAGAACTGTCAATTATATATACATGACTGTATAGTGCCCGACACATGGAAGTCAGTAAGTAATTATTCAAAAATTTGCTGCATAGATAGACTTTTTATTCACATTGTTGTTTACAACAGTAACAAATTTAAAAAAACTTAAATTGCTAATATTTGAATATTTTTATGATTTTTTAAAGTAAAGACTTTTGTAATTATTAAAAGAACATATCAAATCTGTATGCATTGATCTGTAAATATATCTATAATTTACTGGTAAGGGAAAAGTCCAAGGTAAGAAAAAACATGCCCAGCTGGTTGGATTTTATTTTAATAAAATAGATGTAATTTTTTTTTTTTTGAAGAGTTTCTTAAACTTGGCCAGGCACGGTGGCTCAACACCTGTAATCTCAGCACTTTGGGAGGCCGAGGAGGGCGGGTCACGAGGTCAGGAGATCGAGACCAGCCTGGCCAACATGGTGAAACCCCATCTCTACTAAAAAGACAAAAATTAGCTGGGCATGGTGGTGTGTGCCTGTAGTCCCAGCTACTTGGGAGGCTGAGGCAGGAGAATCACTTGAACCCAGGAGGTGGAGGTTGCAGTGAGCCGAGGTCGAGCCACTGCACTCCAGCCTGGCAACAGAGCAAGATTTCATCTCAAAAAGAATAAATAAATAAATAAAAAATTAAAAAAAAAAGAATATCTTAAACTCAGTATATTATGATACATTTATTTAATGAAATGATACTTAAATATAACACCTGATGATTTATCTTTATGTTAATTTATCATGAAGTGCTTCCTTAGTTCTCCTGTTTTTCCCAGTGCTTTTTGTTGTCTCTTAGGCTGATCTGTCTTTTGTCCCCTGAGTATAAATAATTTCCAGAATTCTGCTATTGACTCTTTTTTAATCTCTATTTCTTTGGTGGTTTCCTCTATACCTATAACTTAAACTCTCCCCTGTAAACAATAGAAGGGCAAGTTGTGAGTAGTTGATAAGGAAATGAAGGCTTTCTACTAGAAATAGAATTTTGACCTGGAAGATAGGGAGGTGACCATTCCAAGCAGAAAGGAAAGTATAAGGTAATGAATAGTTGCAAGAAGGAGCAGGACAATTTGGAGAACAGGTCTCATCCTTAAGTATGGGCCCTGAGGCATGAAAGCAGGTTAACACTGTATTCTGCAAGGACTGGAAAACTTAGGTTTATAGACAATTGAAACTCATAGTATGGTTTTCCCAATGGGAAACTCACTTTAAGTGAAACAAGTGAGTTTCACTTAAAGAAGATTCCTATGACAGCATGATCGGGGAAGCTTTGACTGAAGAGAATCAAAAACTGAAAGGGGCTAAAGGAATAGAACGGTACAGGTTGGAAGTAGGGAGGGGTTAGGTGGGGTATAACACCAGGTATGGGAAAAGTTGATGCTCTAGCTCAGCAGTTGGCAATAGTACAGACGCTTGGACAAAATTTACCTGTGTCTGTTTTTGTAAATACGGTTTTATTGGGACACTGTCATATTCATTTATTTACATATTGTCTATGGCTACTTCCATGCTACAATAGCAGAGTTGAGTGCTGTGACAGACACTGTACTGTCCATCAACCCTAAAGCATTTAGTACCTGGCACTTTAATAAAACATAGAGGATGGAAACAAAGATGAGCCAGAAATGAGTGGGAAGTCTCAGTGCTGTTTGATTGGAAGGTCAATGGCATCAGAGGACACCACGAAGTTGGAAAGAGTAAGCAGACATCTGCATCCTTGGTTCAAAGTTCCCAGAAAATAATGGAGATTTTTAAAACCTTACTGTCTCACCTACATGTATAAGCAATGGTGTTGAAATGAGGTCAATCTATGGACCTTTTCTGCATGGTCTAAATGTCCTCAAGGCTTTCCTGATCGCCTTCCATGCTCTACTGACAATTTTTAATCTCGGCGCCTGGCCGAGTTTAAGAAACTTCGGTTCTCCAGTTTAGGATAACTTAATACCCGAGCCGAGCCTTGAATCTGATGCAATTATTTTGAGCCACCTGAACAAAGGGATAGTGAATCTTTGTTCCCGGAAGACATCTTTTCTGAAAAGATTTTAGATCACATTATCAACGTCAAAACACATTATGGCAATTTATTGTCTTAATACGTGAAGGTGTTTGTGAAAACTGCCAATCTATCAGCCTTGTTCTCAGAAGTTTTAATCAGCAATATTTTCAGTCCAGTGATTTGTATTATTACCTCCACGTTCATGCTGGAGATATTAACATTACAGAGGAAAATTTAATTCCTTGTTTTGGCCATTGCAGCTTTAATAATGTCTAATAAAATTTCATACTTTACTAAGGTGAAATTATATTTTCTCAGTGAGTTGTTAGTTTTATTTTAAATATATATAAACCTAAGTAATGTGGCAGTTTTAAAATTTTTTTGTGATGAAGATGGGAGTTGTATAGGAGAAAATTAAATGGGCATATATATAGTGTGTCGCTTCTAAGGTGATCTTTTATTTTTATCACCTGAATATTCAAAAATAATTGTTTCTATAGGAAACTATTAACATCGGCATATCATGTTCTCTACAGCTCTATCTAGAGGTTTGCTTTAACCTCAAATGCAAACATGTGATTCTTTGGAACATTAATCAGGTACTACAAGAAAAAAAAGACAGATCATTTTGTTGTGGTAGCATTTGAAGAGAAAAAAGAAAATAAATACGAGGGTGGAAAAATAATAAGGAGATTTAATCTCCTCCAAAGTAGATTCCCTTTCTAGGGTTCTTTCTGAGCTAGTATGTAAGTCTTGTTTCATAGCTCTTGGGAAAGAAGAGAACAGATTCAGAAAACCTAAAACTATAGTTTTGGGGATGATTTGATGATTTTCTGAATTTGCATGCGTAGCCTTCTCTTACTATGAACATATTCTTGTATATTTGAGCATTACTTAAACTATCAAAAAAAAAAAAATGAGCTCTATCGAACAGGGAAACCATCCCTGACAGGATAATGTTAAATTAAATAAACAGCGTCTAATGAGATCTGTTATTGCCTGCTCTTTGGTCATGCTTGGGCACGCAGTCTGAAGGCTCGTGTTTCTAAGTGCTATCATAAATCTTTCAGCCTATTTTGCTTCTGAAAATTCTAACTAATATGTTTCTTCTACTGTTGAAGTCTACATCTTCATTTAAAACTCGTTTAAATTTCCAGTGTTGAAGTCTATGTCTTCATTAAATCTTATCTTTGAAAAGATAAGAAAGTTTGCATTGCAACAGATCATTTTTAAGAAGATAAAATCCATTTGCTTAAAAATGAGACAGTATTAAGAATGCAATTCAGCCAGATAAATGAATACTTGAATCTGGTGGGTGCATCCTTCTCTTTCCATTGCTTTTTATTAACATCATTTTCATCCATGTTACCCTCAGGAATCTTTGTTTCTTGCATTCGGCTCTGTGTTGGGCGACGGAAAGAATTTCAACACCTGGCTGAGAGTCTAAGTCCATCTGCCTTGATTACAAATTGTTAGTGAAGATGTTATTTCACAGGTGTAGCTATTTCTGTAATATGAGAGAAAGGCTCTTATATAGCAAAAACAAACTGATAATAGCCTGCCTCGGAATATATCCAATTAACTCTTGCCTCTCTACATATCTATCTCATACCTGTTTTATCATAACGTTGCACATTTTGGTTTACTTCTCTAGGGAGATGTAGATTATGTAAGAAGAACATAGGTTAGGGTTCAATAGAGCTGAGGCTGATTCCTGGCTTTGATGTTTATTAGATGGATGATACTGATCTTCAGTACTGTAGGAACTTCAAACTCATTCTATCCAACTCTTAACACAGACTTGTTTTTCCTTAGGATCTGTTTCTTCTTTCGTATATTTTATCTCCATTTATGAAGCTGCCAGCCACTCTGACTCAAGTCACAAACCTGAAAATCATGGTGGGTTTTTCCTTTCTCCCTCCACTGTGATTTTTTAGCAGTTAAAACTTGCCAATTTTTCCAGTTGCTGTGTTTCTCTGCGGTGTCCACCTTAGTTTAGACCCTCCTTCACGGCCTTGTGTATTGCCAGGCCTTGAAGGAGGGTCTAAACTGAGGTGGAAGCCTGAAGATCAGACCTATACTGATCTATACTTATAGATCTAGAATGAAGACCAGGTATCCTACAGCTAATAAATATCAAAGCCAGGAATCAGCTTCCGTTCTACTAAACTCTAATCTATGTTCTTATATAACCTATATCTCCCTAGAGAAGCAAATCAAAATGTGCAATGTTATTATAAAACAGACTTATTATAAACAGATCTGTGTTCTCACCGGCTGTTCCCTCTGACTCGTTTCACCATCAATCCATCCTTCATGACGTTGCTCTTGTGACCTCTCTAAAACGCCAGGTGACCATGCTGTGTTCTTACATAAACTACTCCATGCCTCTTTGCTGCACACAGAATAAATGGCAAGTTCTCAGCACGGTCCTTACGACTCTAATATCTGGCTCTGTCTAGCCCTCAGCCCTGCACCAGAGACTCCAGTCACACTCATGTTTCCTGAAGGGACTGAGATCTTTCATGCTTACAGCCTTTCTCACACTGCTTCCTCTACCGTGAACAACTCTCCCCTACAACTTCTTGTGGGAAATAAACAATAAGTGGCTGGGCGTGATCCTCACACCTGTAATCCCAGCACTTTGGAAGGCCAAGGTGGGTGGATCATCTAAAGTCAGGAGTTTGAGACCAGCCTGGCCAACATGGTGAAACTCTGTCTCTACTCAAAATACAAAACTATTAGCCAGGCTTGGTGGCACACGCCTGCAACCCCAACTACTGGGGAAGCTGAGACAGGAGAATTGCTTGAACCTGAGAGATGGAGGTTGCAGTGAGCTGAGACTGCACCACTGCCCTCTAGCCTGGGTGACAAAGTGAGAGTCCCTCTCATGAAATAAATAAATAAAAATACTTAAAAAAAAACAAGCACACAAACTAAAATGAAGCAAACAACAACAACAGTAACAAAAACCTTGAACAGTCAGATTTAGCGCTGAGTTTTTAGGAAGTGTTACAGATCCTTTCTGCAAAGATGCATGTATGCAACTAGTAAATACTGAGAAAAGTGTCTGTCTCCAACTCTTCTCTGAAATCCTTGTCTTGGGCTTAAAATAGCATTTGTTTTATTTATCTTTGCCCCTGTCTTCTTGTTGCCTAACTTCACTTCTTACTTATTGTTCAGTCCTGAATTTCTCTTATGCACAGCTTCAATCTCACAGATTCTGTTGCAATAAAGTCTATAATTCAGCTACTATCATTTTAGTTCTGAAAGCGGTCACCTCAATAAACACCATAAATCATTCTACTGTAAAGATACATGCACATGTATGTTTATTGCGGCATTATTCACAATAGCAAAGACTTGGAACCAATCCAAATGTCCATCAGTGATAGACTGGATAAAGAAAATGTGGCACATATACACCATGGAATACTATGCAGCCATAAAAAAAGATGAGTTCATGTCCTTTGCAGGGACATGGATGAAGCTGGAAACCACCTTTCTCAGCAAACTAACACAAGAACAGAAAACCAAACACCACATGTTCTCACTCATAAATGGGAGTTGAACAGTGAGAACACATGGACACAGGGAGGGAAAGACACACCAGGGCCTGTTGAGGGGTTGGGGGCTAGGGGAGGGATAGCATTAGGAGAAATAACTAATGTAGGTGATGGGTTGATGGGTACAGCAAACCACCATGGCATGCGTATACCTATGTAACAACACTGCACGTTCTGCATATGTACCCCAGAACTTAAGGTATAATTTAAAAAAATTTTAAGTCTTTTAAGTATAGTTTATGTCTATATTTGCCCCATATTTTCATATAGGTGATAATATAATATTTAAACTCTTAAATGTCATTGGCTCTGCACTTTAGAAGCACATCCTACTACTTAATTATATTTTACTGGGGAAAATATGCAGTGTACACTTGTTTTGTATAAACATTTTGCAAAACCTATTCCTTTTATGCACAGCAGTATTTGTTTTATGAGGTTTAAATACCACAGGGTAATTTCTGTATCCTTTCTCATTCAAGATATGAACATAACACTTGCAATCATATTCTGCTTCTGTGAGAAAGATGCTACTGATTCACAAGGTACATACGCTTTGAGTCGTTTATACAGAGGTGGAAGTGAGTTGTACTAACAATGTATGCTTGCCCATATAATGTAATGACAATTTAGTACGTATTAGTTGAGAAGAAATAGAGTGATAGAGTGTGATTATTGAACAAAATGAATCAAATTGCTTTGAAAGGGATGCAGTTAGGCTGTTACTCCAAGTAAAATCTAATCCTTGGCCATTGTTTTCTGAAACATTACCAAGAAATTCTTGGTATGTTGGGGTATAATATTGCTTCATTTTTCATTGATCATTTTTGACCCTGGATAAACAAGGGTAAGATGATAGTCACCATAGTACAGAAAGAAAGATGTTAAAGTAAGGAAAAAGAACAACAAAGACTGTTGCCTCTTAGATAAGAGTGGGAAACATCTTAGGGGCTGCTACTCATCTCTTACCTCTCCTATTAACTTGGTGTGTTTCATAAACTGTGTCAGAGCAGAAATTATTTGACAATGCAAACATGGTGGTACACAATGCTATTTTATGGAGTCAATATTGCCAGACAGATCATATAAGCCATTACTGCCTACAGACTTCCAGGACATACTGAATTATCTGCATGGAATTGACATACAACAGTGAAGCACAAATCTAGGAACAGAAATCTTGCTGTCGGTATTAAGTCAACAAGTTAATATTGTATCTCCCTGGCCTTGTTATACTCTAGAATGAGATATAATTTAGTACACTGGAAGTTGTGTTGTGATGTACCAACAAACTATTTATAAATAAATCTCCACTGTACCTAGGTATATTGGTCAATTTTTCATCTTGAGACTCATGAATGCCAGGTTATCTCTAGAAAAACAAGAACATGGGTGTATTCTTATTGTCACCATCATCATTAAAAATAGCAAGGACAAGACTATTCACAGGGGACTACATATTATGTACTGAGTTAAATAATATGCAGTTACCACTGGGTTCTCAAATATAATTATAATATGGTTGTCACCAAGTCTCCTACAATGACGACACATGTGATAAGAATTCCTTTTGGGCTTGTCAGAGACACCTGTGTGGTGAAGCTTTTCTATTATTCTTTCCTGGAAAAAAGGATGAAACCTATCATTTTGGAAGATGGCTGGTCCCTTGGAGAGTCATCCCATCAGTTAAAGTGTGTTTTCCTAATCCTTGTTACCACCTTGTGTTTCTTTGCACTTTACTGGTTTATATGTATAAAAGAGCCCAGGATTCTGAGCTATGTCAAGGAGTGAAACTCATGTCTGTCTGCTCTTAAGGGAAGAGCTCTCTCTTTCCATGGCTTCTGCCCTTTGCCCAGCCTGTGAGGCATTCCATCTGCCTGTGTCTGTGAGGAGGCACACAGCCTCTGGGGCTGAACCAGTGGGGTCAAATAATGTTCTCACCATTTAGTATAATTAACTCCAACCACCCATCTGTTGCAAGCCCCAGTGCAGCCAACACAAGCAAGAGTAGGCCAAGAAGAAATTTCTCCTCATTATTAAGCCTAAATCTAAGCACTTGTCTGTCTGTAAAAACAGAGCGAAGGGAGGAAAACTGAAACCAGTGCACAGGGTCTGAGGTTTCAATAAATGTCAGGGAGCGTCAAGTCTGTTTGGATTGCAAATTATTGCTGGCTGACGGTCTTACTATTTTACAGCTAGAGATTGCTGTCATGGGGGGGATGTGGTGGGAGGAACCTCTCACATCACAGCCAGAGGGGAACAGAAGTTACCAAATACTATAACAATCATAAAACATTACAAGAGGGACTTCAGCATTTGCTAAGTTTGGTCTTTCCTTAATGAACATTTCAAGAAACAACAACCCACAACACTCTGCTCTTCCCATAGGGTTTGATGAAGTGCTGGATTTGCCAGAGATTGAGAGCTCATTTCTCTGGTTTACCCATTCTAAACTCCACTTCATCCCTTTCTTCTGCTGAGCCACTTTAAACATCTGAGAGTGATAAAGAGGCCTAAATGTTTCAAGGTGAATTAATACCTCACTACATATCCTGGAGAAATACACACCAATAATTTGAGCAGCGGTTAAGACTATTTTTCAGATGGATTAAATGAGTGGGCAATTACTGATTAAAATAAACCTAATGCATGAGCATTCCAGCCCTGTCCATGGCTGAACCCAGGTCAGCCGCTTTCTATTGGTAGAAAGACTTTCCACATTATAAAATGTGCACATGCTTCTTGGTGCTTTTGCTGAAGCTATTTAACATTTTTACTTCTTTTTTTTTTCCTGGCAAATGCTTATTGAGAGTCTATTATGTGCCAAGTATTGTGTTAGGTGCACTGAAAACCAAGAAAATGATGGTCTTCATTCTTCTTGAACTTGGAGTAGAGTGCAGTTCTTTTCACCAAGGCTGTTCTGGTTTTAAATCATTGAAAAATCCCTCAAGTAATCTTAACACCAAAAAGGGAAAATTGTTCTAAGGTACAGGAGTAGCTATAGATCCAAAAGAAAGAAAAACAGGACCTCATAAAAAAGCTGAAAGTTGGTACCAAGAAATTATTAAAGACAAGATTACTTTCTTCGAAGCTCTCCTTGCACTATCTCTTCTTTCTGTGTCTCTTACAGCTGGGGTTTATTCTTCTCCTCCTCAGGTTTCTAGGATTTCTAGCTTTCTTTTCTTGAACTTGCATAGAATTAAATAGAATCTTCTCAGGCAAGCTCTCCATTTCAGTGTCCCAGTTGAGCTTCCCATTTCATTGACAAACTCTTTTAAATCCCAACTCAGAATTTATGGAGGAGAAAAGTGGATTGTTTCAATTTGAGTCAGGTGTACACCCTTAGCACTTAATACTGATTATAGGATTTAAGGTCTGAAATATGTATCTTAACTCCAAGAAAATGATATAAACTGAGTTTATTGCTATAGTTGATTGATCTAATTCCTGTATCAATACATATTGTCCTTTAAAATAACAAAAGAATAAATTTACAACTAGAGAATGTCATAAACTGCATTGGGAAATTTTAAGAAAGAGTCAGCATTTGAAAAAAAAATCTAAGAAGGAAAAAAAATAATAATGCTTTCTGTCCCATTGCCACCTGCATTGTGAGGCAATCACCTGACAAGAGCATGACTATTTTCTTTTCTTTTCTTTTTTGAGATGGAGTCTCACTCTGTCACCCAGGCTGGAGTGCAGTGGCATGACATTGGCTCACTGCAACCTCCAACTCCCAGGTTAAAGCGATTCTCCTGCCTCAGCCTCCTGAGTAGCTGGGACTACAGTTGCCCGCCACCACACCCAGCTAATTTTTGTATTTTTAGTAGAGACTGGGTTTTCCCATGTTGGCCAGCCTGGTCTCAAACTCCTGACCTCAGGTGATCCACCCTCCTCAGCCTCCCAAAGTGCTGGGATTACAGGCATAAGCCACCATGCCAGGCCTTCTTTTCTATAATCTATTATGTCTCATAAGGATCTAGGTAATATGCCAGAAACCCAAAAATCACCTGCTGAAGCCTGACAACGCAATTCACAGGTGGCCTTGAAAGAGAGTAGGGATGTGGATTTCTGCCACTAAAGTTATGAGTATTATGTCTTTCTGTCCATATTTTCTGGGAAGGTCATTGACCTAAAGTCCAGATCTACACCATTTCCTGGGCAACAGCCAACAGTATGACCTGATGACAAGCCCCAGACTACATAAGTTTGGGTTCCCCAGGAGTAGAAACTAACTCAAAGATTTGAATAAAATTATTTTATTTGGAGGGTGAAAGAAAACATCCATGGGGGAGTAAGGAAGAAAGACAAGGAAGGGAAAGCAGCCAAGAAAGAGTGCATTGCCAAGCCAGTAACAAGTGTGGGTACACAGAGATTAATCCTATGGGGAAAACTCTAGGAATCGGAGTTTCAGATCAAATTAATAAAACCACATGACTTAGAGTCACTCCCCAAGGAGGGTGAGGTCACCGAGGGAAATCATAGACAAACTCCAATCACTTACATTGAGAGCTGCTTCTAGGGGTTTTTAATTCTCTACTGCAGTTTGCCATGCTGGCAGCAAAGCAGTCTCTACAGCAAGAAAAACCCTCAAAGAAGTGCAGGTGCCGGCAGCTGCACTGAAGTGGTAAGGAAGGTGAGATGTTGATGGGGCACTAAAGTCATCCACTAAAATCCACCTGCTCAGATCTCTGCATGCCCTGTGTTAATTTCATTCTATCCTGTATTGATTTTTCAAGGTGGTGGACAGACAGTGTTTATTAAATGATTAAATAACATACAACAGGAGGGATAGTGAGAGAAACCATTATCTGCTTCAAGTTGGTTTCAAGGCTGCCATCAATATTCCTTTTCTTCTCTCTTTTCTACCCATTCTAGACATCCCTCATCCTTGTCCATTTCCGCTAGTCTAGGATGCCTTGCCAAGTAGAAGGCTGAGACCTTTACCACGGGAGATCGAAAGGTCTGAACCTTTGGTCGCTTTGCCCTTGTCGCGCTGTAACTGCTGCAATCGTACATTCTTGCAATTGCAAGAATGCAACAAAATCATTCTGTCTAAAGTATAGCCAGGCATGGAATCAGCAGGATACGTTCAGTGAGTGTCCTGAGTTCTATATGTGCTCCTGGTTCCATTTTATAATGTTATTTCTTCATGATAATCAAAGTCAATTACTTCTACCAGTTAGGTGGCAAAATGTGCTTTGGGTGCAAGACAAAGCCAAGGCCCATGGAGAGAAGGGAAGCAGGATTTGGCAGTTTGATGTTGACAGCATTCACTGAAATAATAAGAACACAGGAATGTGAGTGAGCAGGACATTGACTGGCATCTGCTATGCGGGCACAGAGAAACATGTCATGATATTTTGCCAAATGAACAAGTAATGGATCTTAAAGATTGATGACAATAGTTTTGGGGAAAGATGTGTAGATGGGCTTCTCCATAATTACCCAATATTTAAAATTATTTTGTCCTGTATGAATATTCTTTAGAGGATCCCAATAAAGGGAATCTGATTTAAACATAGTGAGCTACTTATGGTACTTATACTGACATCTGGGGGTAGAGATAACCAAATGATCACACAAAGGCAATATTATGGCGGTCATAGAAGCTGCGTCAGACTTACATGGTGACCTGTGATGGGATAAAGCAGGGATCTGGATCCTGCTCAGGCAGGTTGTAAAGGATTCTCTGGAAAAAAGAGTTAGCAGAGGTCGAAGCCATGTATTTCCCAAAGCGCAATCCCTGGAGCAGCCTCAGCATCACCTGGGACTTGTCCTTTGCGAATTCTTAGGTCCCATCCCAGACTTACTGAATGAGACTGCCTGGGGTCTAGGGCGCAGGAATCTGTTTTGCTAAGCTTCCCCGATGATGATGATGTATGTGAAAGTTTAGGAGTTGGTATGCCTAGAACACAGCAAATGAGGAGGGTTTTGGCAGGAGAGAAGGCTGGGGAGGCAGATTATATACACAGAGCATTGTAAAGTGAGTCAGGAATTGGGGTCTACAAAGCCACTAAATATTTTAAAGTAAATGAAATGAAGTAGGTACAGGAGCAGAGGTGAGGTGACATTATGAGACTTACCTTTATTTCAAAAGATCATTCTGGGCCAGGTATGGGGTCTCATGCCTGTAATCCCAGCACTTTGGGAGGCTGGAGTAGGGGGATCACTTGAGTTCAGGAGTTTGAAACCAGCTTGAACATAGTGAGACCTCATCTCTAAAAAAATTAGTGGGCTGTGGTGGCATGTGCCTGGAGTCCCAGCTACTTGGGAGATGGGAGGATCACCTGAGCCCAAGAAGTCAAGGCTGCAGTGGGTCGAGCTTATACCACGGCACTTCAGCCTGGGCTAAGGAGCGAAATCCTGTCTCAAAAAAAAAAAAAAAAAATCATTCCATCTAAAGTATGGACAAGGGGATTGAAGAGGCAGTAGAGATTGAGATGGGACCTGCTAAGGGTGTCTAGTTGTCCAGGTGAGAAGCACTGGTGACTAGGCCTAGGAGCAATATAGAAGAAAGTAATGGATTGAAAGTCGTTTAGGGAATAAAATCCAAAAGATTTGATAATTTGGCATTGTGAGAACATAGCAACTTTAATTATTATAATGTGGCTTATATCTTCAAATTTATTTTTGAATTTATAGAATATTTTATTTTTTTATTTTTGTACAGAATCTCGCTCTGTCATCCAGGCTGGAGTGTGGTGATGTAATCTTGGCTCACTGCAACCTCCACTTTCCAGGTTCAAGGAATTCTTCTACCTCAGCCTCCCGAGTAGCTTGGACTGACTACCACCATGCCTGGCCAATTTTTTGTGTTTTTAGTAGAGACGGGGTTTCACCCTGTTGGCCAGGCTGGTCTCGAACTCCTGATCTCAAGTGACCTGCCTGCCTTGGCCTCCCAAAGTGCTGGGATTATGGCATGAGCCACCACACCCGGCCAGAATATTAACAGGAAGATATGGCTGCCAGGGCATCGGTAAATATTGCCCACCAGTCAGGGATAACTACAGTGACAAGAAAGACAATAAGTAGGTTATCATTGTGACCATTTCTTAACCCCACCAGCAGGTAGGGCTTTTCCCTTAAGAAAAAGGTCATATATTTAGAGCTACTCCAAAAATCTGAGACACTAATTTATTAATTTTGTTGGCACCCTCACGTGTAGCACTTTTGCACAGAAGTGAGATCCTCTAAAGAATGTGACGAACATTGATTTGAAGTTTACACTGAACCCTCCGAGTATGCTCCTGAGATAAATTTCACAGAACACAACCTTAAATCCAGCTAGTGTCTCCACAAATCCAAACATCCTGCTACTGGAAAACAAAAACAGAAACAAAAGTCAAAAACCAAAACTCTGTGGAGTGTTTGTTTCAGTCATGGTAGATTAGTTCTCTGAACATCTACTATATGTAAGGCATTAGTAGAGGTGGAAGACGTCGCGATAACTTGGCATGGTTCCTGCCTTCCCGTGGCTTACAGTTTGGTTAAATGATAAGAATCATGTAAATTGATGAGTGCAATAAAAAGCTAGAGGGGCTTCCAATATATCTGTACAGACATTGATTCTCCCTGGAGTTAGGAATTAGTGCTCAAGAAGAAGATAATATTATGCTGACTAGCGCAATATGAGCATTTGACAAATGAAGGCAGCATAGGGCAGGATTTAAAGACACAAGTTTGGGTTAGCGTGGCAAACATTTCTGCAAGACCCAAGCAAAGGTGTTAATGTGAGACATGCTAATATTTTTGTTTTGTTCTGTGTGTGATTTAAATATCTTATTGCCACCCCTCTGGTCTTTACACTTCAGGGCTGGTTTTGTCTCCACAATCACATCAGCCTCATTTGACAGCTATCATTAACAATATAGATGGTGATCATTGCAGCTTTATAATGTGTTGGATGATTCCCTTTGCTTTAGCCCAAAAAGTACACAAGGAGCACAAGAAAATCAACTCAGTGCACACATACCATGATCTTGTTGCAGACTGTCTTGCAGTGAAAGGACATATGGGTTTTGTATGTTCCTAAACAGCATTTTCTTTGAAAATGCATCCAGATCTGTTATTCTATCCTGTAGTGTGTCAAATTTTTTGGAATAGAAAACTGGAATGCTCCCCTACCTCTATAGAATGTTCTTTGCTTTATAAGCTAACCAAAGGAAAAAAAAGAAGACAAGAAAGGTGTATGTTGGAGTGAAAATATGTCTGTATGTCTTAACATGCACCTAGAGTGGTAAATTTTAAAAGCTGTAAGTAACAATTTTATACCAATAATGTCTCAAGATGGCCTCTCTATTTTCCCCTATGGCAAAGAAAAGCAGCCAAGTTTCCCTTGTTCGATATCTTGAAATGGGATCCATTTTGAGCCCATGGTATGTAACTCTAATGCCTGTGGAATATTGCTTAACTTGCCAAGCAATCAGGCATACCAAGTTGATTGCACTGCGTGGAGCATACCTTTCTGGAGGTCTCATCTTGGGAGAATGACAATTCAGAGTCTGTCTCTGATTCCCTCTGTTTCTTGTAAACTTCTGTTATAGCTGAAATTCCTGAAGTTATAAATCCCTTATTTTTCCTAACCTAGAATAGTATTGCAAAGACTTTTTACATATTTGAGGAAATTTAAAAAATTAGCAGAAGCAAATCACTCTGATCCCAGTTTATTTGTGGAACTTCAATAAGAAAGAAGAGAGACAAAGAAAATGAAACAGGAGAGAAAAACAGGAGAGAAATGAACATTTATTGAGCAAATACTATGTCGTGCACCGTGGTAAGCACTTTACATAAGTCATATCTTTATATGTATTTATAACTTCTCCATGGAGTTTCTGTCAATTTTCTAGATGAGTAAGCTCAGAAAAGCTAGGCAAGTTAATCAGTAGAAAGTTAGAATTCAACAATGATTTAAATGCTTTCCTTACTCTGCCACCTCACATACAAGCACAATCATACCGGCATTCTGCTCTGTTTCAAGCACCATATTTTACCAGCAGAAAAGTATTCAACCCCTGGGCATGGTGGCTCATTCTTATAATCCCAGAGTTTTGGGAGGTCAAGATGGATAGATTGTTTGAGCCCAGGAGTTCGAGACCAGCCTGGGTAATAGAGTGAGACCCCCATCTCTACAAAAAATAAAAATAAAAAAAAAATTAGCTGGGCGCGGTGGCATGTATCTGTACTCCCAGCTTCTTGGGAGGCTGAGGCAGGAAGATTGCTTGAACCTGGGAAGTCGAGGCTGCAGTGAGCTATGATTGCTCCAGTGCACTCCAGCCTGGGTACAGAGTGAGACTCTGAAAAAAAAAAAAAGTACAAATAAAAAAATAAAAGTATTCAACCTAAACACAAAATAACAAGACAAATCAATGGGCATAATGAAGACAAGTAGTTTGCTGGTGGACTGAATTAATCACTCCTTAACCAGTGGCTATTGCGTTACATACACACATATACACACAGTCGAGGATTGGCAAGGCATACCAGAGTTATCTTCTTGGTGCTGACTTCTAGCCTTTCCTCCTTTAGTGTCTCTTCCATGGCTGTTCCAGTGCCAAAGTCAATCAGTCAAATTTCCAAAGGATGCCAAGACTTTTCATTCATTCAGCAGCCTTTCAACAAGTCTTTATTGAGTTTTTTTTTTTTTTTTTTTAATCAGTCAGAGTCCTGGCAGGAAAGAGAACTCATTGCAGATGGTACAAATGAAGAGATTTTAACGAAGGGTCTACTTAATGATATGTAGATAGGGTTACAAGTATAAATCTAGAGAGGATGCAGTGCTTAGAGATTAGGAGCAGCAGGAAGCCATTACACCTCCAGGGTGGAAGGAATTAAAGGAAGAATTGCTTTTATTCGAGCCAAGTTAGAGCTGCAACCCCAGATGAACAGAATACCTGGCAGGAATTGTGGAGGAATGCAGCTACTGCTCGAGATGAACGGAAGCAATGATGGGGCAGAGAAATACCACAACCTCTCTCTCCTCCCTCCCTACACTCACTTCACAGTACCTCCCATTGGCTGGAAGCACCCAGAACCTATTTGACAAGGGATCCAGTCCAAAGGAGTCTACCTCCCAGGGCACAGAGCAAAGCAGAAGAGTAGAAGATGAATCTGTGTCCGGGTAATCCCAGCACTTTCAGAAACTGAAGCAGGAGGATCACTTGAGGTCAGGAGTTGGAGGTCAGCCTGGACAATATGTCAGGACCTCGTGTCTACAAAAATAATAATAATTAAATTAGACGGCATGGTGGCACACGCCTATAGTCCCAGCTACTTGGGAGGCTGAGGTGGGAGGATTGCTTGAGCCCAGGAGTTCGAGGTTGCAGTGAGCTGTTATCATGCCACTGCACTCTAGCCTGAATGACAGAATGAGAATCTGTCTCAAAAAAAAAAAAAAAAAAAAAAAAAAAAAATGCATCAGGGGAAGTTAGGGATGACGAATAACTTTCCCAAGTGCTAACCAGATTCCTGGACCTAATTTAGGCAACGAACAGTGAACACAGAATAGAGCCATGAACACAGCAGATTCATATTCTGCACCCACAGAGCTTACTTTCTAATGCAAAATAGAGGCAAAACAAAACAGGGATGGAGAATGAGATGTGGTATGTTCCATAGTGATACAAGCTAAGGAAAAATGAAGGGGGCAGGAAAGGGGACTTCGAAATCTGCGAAGGGTAGAACTTTAGACAGGATGACAAGAGGTGTCTCACTTCACTGAGGATTCCCTGAGATGGTAACGTTGCCAAAAAGACCTGATGAAGTGGAGGAAATTCACCATGCAGGCAGTGGGGAGAGCGAGTGTGGAGTCCAAAGAAAGTTCGGGCCCAGCATGGTCAGGTGTGGGTAGAAGGGGCTGAATGAGGAGTCATGGGCGACAAAGCCAGGAAAATACTCACTCCATAGCTTTTACATCCCTCTTAGCTAATTGGCATATTCTCTCAATAGGGGATACCAGTACTGCAAACACATGTTCACAAAAGCCTTTTATAATGAGATTTTCTACACACACACACACACACACACACACAGATATACATGCACAAATATATTCAATCCTTAAATAAATAAGGCTTACTCACTATCTATTTTTATAGTCTGCTATAAAATATATCACTCTTATCTCTCCATCACATCGCTTCTGGTTTATGTTTTGTCTCTGACCAGACTCTGTACAGAGGGATGAAAGACTGACAGCAGAACAAAAAAGAAGCTGAAAGACTCAAAGTGATTCACCCATCATCATGTAGGATGGGTCAATTTGCTTTGCTAGGCCAATTAGTGGACCACCTTCCCATTTAGTGCTTAATCATTTTGGGGTGTGATGTCCATTTGTTTTACAATCAACTTTGACCAGTGTAATGAGGGATGTGATACAGAGTATGGCAGCTGATGCATCCAATATTCTTTAAAATTCCCTTTTGAAGGGGTTGTGGCTGTTACCCACCGCTTCCCAGAGGAAGCCATGAAATCAGAAAGAATTTGATTTCATTTATCTTGTACTCTGGATCCTGTAGTTTTCCTGAACCCCTAAAATGTATTTTGTTTGTATGGACTAGCCACCATTATCTTTTACCTATACCATCACCTTTACCTATATATTACATACACACATACTACACATCTATATATTTACATACAGATGTGTGTATGTATATCTCTGAGTGTGTGTGTGTGTGTATATATATATATATATATTTTCTTCTGTTTATAAATGTCCCTCCCAATACTTTTTCCCTAAGATACTCTTGTTCAGCCATCAAGATTTCACAGTCCAGATATTCCCTTCTCTGTGACACTTTTCTAGATAAATCCAGGCAGTTTCACCCAGGCTCTTCTTCATGACCCCATGACACTCAGTTCAGATCTGTGTTAAAGAACTATTGATGTTGGCTTGTGGTTCCTCTCTTTACAGTCCAGTGATCCCAACTAGACTGTGAGTGCCATATGGTGAAAGACACAGTACGCTCTTTTGGGTCCCTGTCTTTACAAAGGGTATGATTCATTTCTGTTGCTTAGAGCAGACTATAAAGATGGACACATAGATAGATAGATAGATAGATAGATAGATAGATAGATAGATAGATAGATAGATAGATAAATGAGTAAGCCTTATTTAAGGATTGAATATATTTGTGCATGTATATCTCTGTGTGTGTGTGTGTGTGTGTGTGTGTGTGTGTGTGTCTGTAGAAAATCTCATTATGTAAGGCTTTTGTGAACATGAGTTTGCAGTATTGGTACCCCCTATTGAGAGAATATGCCAATCAGATCATAGATGGTGGTGTAAAACTGGCTGTAGGTTTCAATTTGCTAAAATACTCAAATAACTTACATCGTGAACATAAATACTTTGTTGTTGACTATAAAACAGTCACAGAATACTCAGCTTCCCTCTGATCTAATGACCTTGCTGGACTTGTCATCTGGGAGGTCTTTGTGATTTTATCTTATCTATATTTGAGCATCACAAAGATGAGTAGCTGAAGTGTGGTTAATAAACCCCAGCTGGGCATTTTCAAGGTGAATAAACACACCATTTTTTTCTACTGTTTTTTCATGTGGAAATGATGAATAAAAGTCACAATTCTTATTTTCATTATAAGTGGAAAAGTAGAAATAATATCAACTTATGATACTTGAGGCTATTATAAAGTGTTTTAGAGACACCATGAAAGTTTCAAATAATTATAACTCCAGTAAAATTTTATGGTTGCTTGTAGATTTTCATGATCAAAGAAAAAGTCAACAGAGAACACTTTTTAGGCTGAAAGATATTCAGGACTTTACAATCGTTTTTTTGGCCCTCCTTCTATTCTTAGAGTGATTAATAGTTTCACAATGTAAAAGCACCCACATTTGGGATTAAGTAACTGAATGAATTTAATTCCTGAATCCATTCTTCATCCACCCCAGGCATGTTGCATAATATATTATCTCAGTGTTTGAAAATACAACGACCTAGATACAAGAGAAAGTCCAAAAATTTTCAGCTACCCATTCTATTACATTTCATAAGTTTTAACTCAATGTTTCTTATTTTACTAAAAAGCATATTAGTACAAGTAATGAAATATGAAAAGAGGTATAGATTAGGTTTTAGTACTATTGATACTAATATGCTGATTTTAATGATTGTATGTGGTATTACAATAGAATGTCCCTGATTATAGGAAATGCATACCATGTACATGAGTAAAGGGGTAATATGTTTATAACTTATTTTCAAATGGTTCAAAAAAAATATGTATACATATTTATGGGGATATAGGCATTCATATATATGAATATGCATACAATATATGTATGTGTAAATATGCATATACACATATAAATGTGTTAAAAAATATAGATATACATGTGCATATATAGGCACACCTGTATATATGCATGTATGACGCATATGCTTATGATATACATATATATAAACATAGGCATATATACGGTACGCATACACAGGTAGTTTAACAGATGATATCTATATGTTTATGTACATATGCATGCGTATTATCCCCATTGCTAAATCATTAAAACACATTTTGCATTTTTTATGTTTTACATAAAATGTAATTGTTATGTATATTTTGTAAGTGTTAAATAAAAATTTTTACATTTGTGGAATATGAATAATACAAAAACTCTTTTAAATTAATCTTTTTAAAATTGACAAATATTGTGCATATGGTGTACACCATGATGTTTTGACATACGTGTACATTGTGGAATGACTATATGAAGCTAATTCACATAACCATTATTCATATACTTCAGATTTCTTTTGTGGTGGGCACACTTAAAATCTACTCTTTTAGCAACTTTAGAGTATACAATACTTTGCTATTAATTATAGTCATCATGTTGTACAATAGATCTCTTAAACTTACCCCTCTTTTCTAACTGAAATTTTGTATCCTTTGACCAACGTCTTCCCAATGCCTCCCACCACCACCCTCCAAGCCCCTCATAACCACCATTCTATCCTCTGCTTCTATGAGTTCACAACATTTTTAGGTTTCATATATAAGTTAGATCATGTGGTATCTGTCTTTCTGTGCCTGGCTTATTTCACTCAACTTAATGCCCTCTGGGCTCATCCATGTTGTCATAAACGACAGGAATTTTTTTTTAAGGCTGCCTAGTATTCCACTGTGTATATAGCACTTTTTCTTTACCCATTCATCTACTGACAGTCATTTAGGTTGGTTCCATATCTTGGCCATTGTAAATGATGCTGTAATGAACATGGCAATGCAGATATCTCTCTGACAAACTGATTTCATTTTTTAATGTATAGCCAGTAGTGAGATTGTTGAATCATATGGTAGCTCTGTTTCTAATTTACTGAGAAATGACCATACTGTTTTCCATAATCGCTGCACTAATTTACATTACCACCTACAGTGTGCAAGTGTTCCCTTTTCTCCACATCCTCGCTAACACTTCTTACCATTTGTCTTTTTGGTAACAGCCATTCTAACATGTGTCAGGTGTTATCTCATTGTAGTTTTAATTTGCCTTTCCCTAATGATTAGTGATGTTGAGTATTTTTTTCATATGCCTGTTGGTTATTTGTCTTCTTTTGGAAAATGTCTGTTTAGGTTCTTTATCTGGTTTTTAACTGGGTTGTTTTCTTGAGTTGCTTGAGTTCCTTTGTATGTTTTGGGCATTAACTTCTTATCAGATGTATGGTTTGCAAATATTTTCTTCCCTTCAAGATTGTCTCTTAATTCTGTTGTTCCTTTGGCTGTGCAGAAGCTTTTTAGTTTTGTGTAATTCCATTGTCTATTTGTGCTTTTGTTGCCTGTGCTTTTGGAGTCATATCCAAAAAACCATTGCCTAGCCCAATGTCATGAAGCTTTTCCCCTGTTTTCATCTGGTAGTTTTATAGTTTCAGATCTTACATCTAAAGCTTTAATCTATGTTGAGTTTTGTGTGTGGTGTGAGATGAAAATCTAATGTTATTCTTCTGCATGTAGATACCTAATTTCCCAACACTGTTTATTGAAGAGACTCTTCTTTTTCTCATTATGATTTTTTGGCATCTTCTACCTTTGGTTATTGTGAACAGTACCAGTATAAACATTTGTATACAAGTATTTTTTGAGGGCCAGCATTCAATTCTTTAGTATATATTCCTAGCAGTAAAATTTCTGGGTCTTATGAAAATTTTAGCTTTTTGAAGAACTGGCAAACTTTTTCCACTCACATTTGACGTTAGGAGCAGGATTCATAAAGTCATAATGCAGATGTAATCTCTGAATTTAAGCAGTTGATTTGTACACTCTCATGCATCTTACAAACACCTTGAGCAGGACCTGGGGGGAGTAGACAGAGCTCAGTGAAATCTCTTCCATGCCTTCAAGGAATTCTCATTACAGTATCAAGAGATTTCAGGCAAAAGGAGAGATCACTTAGGAAAGGTAGAGGCCAGGCGCGGCGTGGTGGCTCATGCCTGTAATCCTAGCACTTTGTGAGGCCGAGGTAGGTGGACCACTTGAGCTCAGGAGTTGGAGACCAGCCTGGGCAACATGGCAAAACCCCGTGTTTACCAAAAATACAAAAAATTGGTTGGGTGTGGTGGCGTGCACCTATGGTCCCATCTACTTGGGAGGTCGAGGTGGGAGGATTGCTTGAGCCCAGGAGGTGGAGGTTGCAATGAGCTGAAATCACGCCACTCCATTCCAGCCTTGATGACAGAGTGAGACCCTGTCTCAAAATAAATAAACAGTTAATTAATAAAAAGAAAGGTAAAGATAAGGGAATGTGGAATTATGTCACTGTTTTTAAAGGGCATGATACGGAAGAATAAATAAAATTAAGGATCAGAGGTAAAGTTTAAGGGTTCTACACATAATCTCTGATTCAAAAATATCCTCTACGTATTTAAGCAAAAGGCTTCTGGTCTTTATCTCAGTCTTTTTTTCTGGTTGCTCTACTTCTTTCCAATTTCTAAGCTTATGAATGTCCCAGGGTCCATCTGTGAGCCCTGTCTTTATCTATTCACACTCCCTAGAAGTCATTAAATTTCATGGCTTTAAATGTGTTGCATACACAGACAGTTCTCTGTTTTTTTTAATCTCCAACCAGGACCTCTTCTCTAAACTCCAGAATTATCTGCCTGCATATAAGACTCTTCCATAGGGTATCCAATTGACACCTAAAATGTAGTATGTCTGATACTGAACACCTAACTTTCCCTCCCAAACCTAGTCCTATCTCTGTCTTCACTACCTTAATAGGTTCACACTCACCTATCAGAGTTTAGGCCAAATATTCTGCCTTTTTCTCAAACTCCATATTTAATTTGTTAACGAATCCTGTTGGCTCTGTCTTCCAAATGTATTTATATTCTACCACTTCTCTCTATCTAAACTGACCCCTCCTTTGTTCCAAGCCATCATCATCTCTCACCCAAAATACTGCAGAAGCCTCCTAATAGGTCACTCTACTTAGCTATTTTTCTAGGTTTCTGGTCATATATAGTTTTATCAGTGAGGTCTTCCCAAATAACGCTATTTAAAGTAGCACTCCAGCAATCCCTAATTCTATTTCTCACTTTGTTTTCTTCTATAGAACTTTATACCACTAAATAAATTGTATATGGTACTTATTTATATATTTCATCTTCCCCTAAGTTAGATTGTGAGCTGCAAAAGAGCAGCGACTTTTGTCTGATTTTTATTTTTATTTTTTTTAACTGGGTGTGTATAGAACCTAGAATAGTGTTTAGGACATAGTAAAGGCTTATTTTCGGTATTTTTGTATGAACGAATGAATGACAATATATTTGGAATACTTGTACAGTCTTCCTTGTGATGAACAATACTTACCTAAGAAATCAGTTATATTATGTCTGTTTAAAAATAGATTAGAGCCTAAAGATACTCGAAAGCAGGAGACACTTATATATGAAACATTTTCAGAGTAAATATATACTTCCCTAAGAGGTTTGGATTAAAAGTTGCTGACTCAAGTTGATCTGTGGCCTTCAGCACTGAAAGTATAAAACCACTTCTAATCCTCTAGTGAAATACTTCTGGACTTAGTAGCTGCAGATCATGGTTGTAGTTGTGTTTCTGCAATACACCAATGATGTGATCACTGGGCAAGTTGCTTAATCCACTTTGAGCTTAAGCTGTAAATTGGTGATGACAATAATAATAAGGACCTCACAGGATCACAGTGAAGATCAGTCGAGATTATGGTCTTGTTTTATAAAATTCTAAACATTCTTCAGATATAAGTCTAAGGATAAGGACTATGTTTTCAAACAGAGAAAACATATACAAAGTAATAAGCTCAATGCTACATTTGTCTAACCACAGCATATTTCTTTACTATGGAATATATTTAAAATTAGATGGAAGGAATTGTTCTAGCCTGCTTGACAGAATATTTTAAGCCCTGTTAAAATATGGTGATAATTTACGCTTTACAAACGTTATTTCCAGGCTTCGTAAATGGGATTGGCTTTCTCAGCTAGACGTTAGATCGAGCCTACTCCCCTCTTCCTCATTTGGGACAGAGTCTCACTCTGTTGCCCAGGCTGGAGTGCAGTGGCGTCATCTTGACTCACTGCAACCTCTGTCTCCCGGGTTCAAGCAATTCTCCTGCCTCAGTCTCCTAAGTATCTGGGATTACAGGCATGCACCATCATACCCAGCTATTTTTTTTTTTTTTTTTTGTATTCTTAGTGGAGATGGGGTTTCACCATGTTGGCCAGGCTGGTCTTGAATTCTTGACTGCAAATGATCCGCCCGCCTCGGCTTCCCAAAATGCTGGAATTACAGGCGTGAGCCACGGCGCCTGGCCATCTTCCATCATTTTTAAACATTAGTCTAGGAAATGCCCAGCAGGTAGCTAAAGTACACACATATAGGACAGAGTGAATTTTAAGGATGTGATAGTGATTAGTGATCTAGATCTCAAATCTGCTTTGGGACTTTGGTTCACTAAAATGACCATCCCAATTGACAAGTAAACTTTATTTCCTTCTTCATTATCATAGTCATAACTTACCCAACACTGACTGTCATCTTCTGTGCCAGTAACTCAACTCAGAATTTCATATATTATTTTTTATTCTTTATCAAATCTTCATGAGGTCAGTACAGGTGGTCCCTGACTTAAGAGTTTTGGACTTTACAATGGTGTGAATGCAATTTGCATCCAGTAGAAACTGTGCTTTCAGTACCCTACAACCATTCTGTTTTTCAGTTTCAGTACAGTATTCAATACATCACATGAGATAGTCAACACTTTATTATAAAGTAGGCTTTGTTTTACATGAGGTTGCCCAATTATAGGCTAATTTAAGTGTTCTAAGCACATTTAAGCTAGGCTAGGCTAAACTGTGGTGTTTAGTAGGTTAGGCATATTAAATGCACTCTCGACTTGAAATATTTTCAACTTACAATACATTTATCAGGACAGAACCCCATCGTAAGTTGAAGAGCATCTGTATTATTATCCACATTTTATGAGGTAATTCATTAAAACTCAAGGGGTAAAATAATTTTTAAGAAGAGATGGCAGAACTAGGCTTTAGATTCAAATCTAACTTCAACACTCATGATTTTGTGACCATGTAAGTCTCTTTTATGATATCCACATTTCTTCATTTTGTGGCCGCAAGTAGATATGTAGTTCCATAAAAGCAGGTGGTCTCAATATAAAAAGGGGCAGAAGGAGAGAGAAAGAAAAAAATAACAATACAAATAAATGAACACAGCACAAAGATGAGGACTTGGAAAAGGAGGCATTTCTTCCATTTTTATCACAACACTTTTTTGGGAGTAGGCCTACTCTCACCTAGACTTGACCTAATTTCTTTAAGACTTAGACACACAAGTATGGTCCTTTTCCCTGCCCTCCTGTGGGTGCAGAGTTTAGTTGGAGTATTACTTACAAGTCCTCATTCCTATTGACTCTAGACTGTCTAAAAAATATATATTCTAAAAAAGTGTTCTCAGATCCCCTAAATATTCAATAAATAGATTTGATGGATGTACCCTTCCTTGTATTGCTTTTAGACTCTTAGTAAAACCCTACTGGGCTGTTTTCTCCTTTTACACATACAGTTCAGCACTCAGTTAAAAGAATGTGAAGCCTGTATATATCATGGCCCAGCTTCTAGCTTGCCAGTGGCCTTGCTGGTTCTTATTAATGATTCATTTCTTTTGACAGGAGCAGCAACATTTCAGGACTTCTTGGGTGGAAGAAAGTTGGCAGAGAGAACGTCCACAGTGAGTAGTTAAACATTATATGAATTAATACCCCCCATCAATAGTTTAATGGATGAAATGCATTGATTTCTTTGAGAATTATGCTGAGGTCTACAGTAATAAGCAGAAATGTCTGATTTGACTTTTTTTTTTTTTTAAATATGTCTGCAACGTAATCTACTACCAATTACACAACAACCCCACCAAAGTAGTGCTGAGTGGTCCCACTACAGTAGTAACATGTTATAAAAGCTCAAGTTTCAGTACAATTAGCTTCTGGCTGCAGTTTATTACCCCATTTGAGATTTAAAACTTTTTTTTTTTCCATTGCATTCCAACAATGCTTATGTGTCTGGGGCTAACACTTTAAAACAATAATGGAATGGCAAATATCTGTCTGGCTGGAGTTTGCCCAAGAAGAATGGTGTATTAGAGTTTTTTTTTTTTTTTAATTCAAGCAAGGTAGAGGGGACAAAACAAAAACAACCTCTTTAATTACTCAAAGTGACCAAGGCTATAATGTTTTACTAAGAAAAAAAAGTGCCTTTCTTTGGCATTTTGTAGAAAATTTAAGAAACACTTTGGGGCATGCAATCATCCCTGTTTATCTGAAGGCAATTTCCACATGATGAAAAAGCAGTTCAGTTCATCGTTCAGATCCATCCACCTACTAAATGACTGTTCACGAGATGTCTGATCTGAGATAGATGATGAATCTCTCCTTGGATTGCCTAGTACTACACAAAATTGGTAGTCAGGTTTGAGTTTTTAAATTTTTTTTGTGGTGTTGATGATGACTAGAATTTACTGAGAGTCTGTTCTGTGGGCATATATCATGCTAAAGTTTATGTGCATCATCTTATTTAATTCTCCTAAAACCTGTTGAGTTAGGTACTATTATTTTCCCCATTTTATAGATGAGGAAACTGAGGCTTAGAAAGCCTAAGGAATTGAATGGTTGCACAGCTAAAAGTAGTGGGTCGTGACCGATGCTTTGGGAATCTACTTATGAGGCTTGAAACACTGTGCAGTGCTCCATGTTGATGATGATGATGTTGATGATGATGATGATGATGATGATGATGAAGATGATGAATGGAAAACCTGTGGAATCTTCTTGCTAATCTCCTGCATGTTTTTTAAATAACTCTCTCTTTCCTCCAGAAATCTAAGTCATTTTCTTACATGTCTCAGATGTCTGTTCCCTTTATTTTAATTTCCATTTGAATCTTTATTTTAATCATAACCTATTGTTTTCTCCTCCTATCCCTCAGACTGTGTAACCTCATACTTCCTCGTGGTTATTAGGAAACTGAGCAGGGTGGGGTGAAGCAGGGGGGTGAACTCTTTTTCAATAAGTGTTCATTGAGACAGTTTATTAGCAACACTCACTTTTAGTGAAGGATGGAGTTCTAGAGATGGAGGCATTGGTGAGATTGGAATCCAAGAGTTTACTTCCCTAGAGTCAATACACAATATCATTCTTTGATGCCTTTCTCAACTCAAGATATTTAAACTTCTAACATTAGATATTGTCAAGTCTAGAGAGCAACCCACATCAGTGTGACGTGTGTAAGGCTGCAGTGAAACATAAATTTTGGCATCAGAATGTACTGACATCACTAAAATCACCTTTTTTAATCCCTTGGAATAAAAAACATACTTGCTGTGTATTAAAATATTAATATACAGGCCGGGTACAGTGGCTCATGCCTATAATCCCAGCACTTGGGAGGCCAAGGTGGGCAGATCACGAGGTCAGGAGACCAAGACCACCTGCTAACATGATGAAACCCCGTCTCTACTAAAAATACAAAGCCAAAATATTAGCCAGGCGTGGTGGCACCCACCTGTAGTCCCAGCTACTTGGGAGGCTAAGACAGGAGAATCACTTGAAGCCAGGAGGCGGAGGTTGCAGTGAGTGGAGATCGTACCACTGCACTCCAGCTTTGGCGACAGAGCAAGACACTGTCTCAAAAAAAAATTAATATACAAAAAAATTACAAAGACAACCTATGCAAAAATCAATCTGGCAGAACCAAGGTGTGTTGGCTTGTAGTGCTTTTGCCACAGGAAAGGGTACAACTCTTTTTCTTTTTCTCGTATTCTTCTGAGGCTCTTTATAGCTCCTGGCATGTTGGCTTCCCACTCTGGGATGGCTTGAAAAGCAACTTGTCATTTTTCTTCATTTGGGTAATAATGTCCCGCAGCTAAGGTCAGCTTTGGTTCTGTTACTGCAGAGGGAACCACTTTGTTATATGGGTTTATCACTTCTGATGAGCTGCAATTGTGTCTTCAGCCTGAAATGTCATTCCTCATCTCTTGAGATTGGAACATGCCTACTTCAGGAGACATATCCAATGTCACCTCTTCCCTGTAGCTTTCCCTTCTCTCCTCTCTTACCTCAGGTGGAGTTGCTTTCTCATTTGTGCCCCCTAACACTTCATACATCATACTGAACTATAAATACTTCCTCTATGAGACTGTACTCACCTCATGGGACATTCTGGCTTACTCATTTCTTGTCTTTATCCATAGCACACAGTAAAATGTAAGGTACGTATTGGGTTTATGATCAGTGGTTCTTATCCTGCAATGAGGTTTTATGTCCCTGACTGTGTGCTCTATCCATCTAAAATCCTTACAGTTTATAATATCTACTATATATACAGAAAAGTAGATATCGACCCAGGAGCCGTGATGATTGATGATTATTTGTCATTGTTCTGCAACTACCTGGGCTTCAATTCTGTCATCTATAAAATCAGAGAAGTGAATTGAATTTCTTCTATTTTCATTTATTCATTAATAATTCAAGATATATTTGCCAAGTATCTGTTTTTCCCCCAAATATTGGACTAGGTAACTTCTTAAGCATAAAACATCACACAGTTTAGTTAAAATACAAAAAAAGTTTGCATTTGTGCAGAAAATAGAGTTACTATAATAATGCTGTCTTTATTAGCTGTGCTAGTAAAAGCACAAGTTGACTCAGTTTCAAATATAACTCGAATCAAGATAACAATATTTAGTTACTAAATCCCATGTATCCTTCAAACCATACAATTAGTATCAACTAATCCTGAAAAATCAGTTCCTTCAGTGATCACAGGTTAGGATTTCTGCGATCCATGCTGGCATTTGTTTTTCCTTCTTAAATCAGTCAGGATACTGATTTAATGTGTGTTTTGTAAAGTTGAGCAGAAGTAAAAAGTCTTTGAACTAAAGGAAATCTATGTATTTGTTCAACAGATATGTATTAAGTATGTAATATACCCCTAACATTCTGATATTTGCCCAAGATACAAAAATCAAAATGGGCCTCTGTCAATAAGGGGTTTATAAATTTACGAGCGAAACATGGATGTAAACATACCAGTATTGGAAGGACTCTGATGGAAGAATGTTTAAGTACAGTAATAGCTGGCCAGAAGAAATGTGCTCTTCTTAGTTTGGGGCTGGGTGAGCATAGGATGTTTGTCAGAAAAAAACAAATAAATAAATAAACAAATAAAAACCATTAAGGGCTTTCCTGAGGTCCAGTCTTGGTTTTACCCATCAGTAGGTGGCACTTGAGGTGAGTCTCAAAAACACCTGTGTATGTCACCAGAAAGACAAAACTGGGAGGAGGGAGACCATCTCAAGAAAATAAAGTAGGATGAGCATTATCAGAGGAATATATATCTACACAACTACAAATGCATCATCATGGCTAGAAAGAAAGAGACAACCGTAGTCTCAAGGAGACCTGTGGCTGGAGAGTAGACACTGGTGGGGGTACATAGCCTGTTGGCTAAGATGCAAAAGTAGCAACTTCACCCTGAATGTAGAGGGAAATCCAGGAGGGTCTTACGCAGTAGAGCAAGATGAGCACGTTTCAGAAACCATGGACAACTTTATGTGTGATCAGAAATATTTGCTAAATCTTGAAATCTGAACTTTGAACTCAGAAATGCTTGTGTTCTCTTCTATAGGCATTTTTGCCAACTGATTTTTTTTTTCAGTGAATGGAATTACAAACTCAAATATGATTATACTATAAGAATGAAAATAGGGATGAGATCTTTCATTCTATCAAAATCTACTTTCCACATCTAGGATTAGGCCCATATTAAATTACTTAAATTGACCTTTTTTTTTGAGACGGAGTCTCGTTCTGTTGCCCAGGCTGGAGTGCAGTAGTGCCATCTTGGCTCACTGCAACCTCTGCCTCCTGAGTTAAAGCGATTCTCCTGCCTCAGCCTCCCAAGTAGCTGGGATTACAGGTGCCTGCCACAATGCCCAGCTAAAATTTTTTTGTATTTTTAGTAGAGATGGGGTTTCACTATGTTGGCCAGACGGGTCTCGAACTCCTGACCTCAAGTGATCCATCAGCCTCGGCCTCCCAAAGTGCTGGGATTACAGGCATGAGCCACAGTGCCCAGCCATCTACTCTTTACCTCTAGAAGAAAGTGATCCAGTGGTCAGAGATCACCTCTCAGTGGAGTTCCCAGCACATCCTTGGGTTTTGGCTCCTCAGGCTTCCATTTATGATCTTGAAACAAAGAAGAAAATAAATAACTAAACCATGGAGATTGAGATGGTTTTAGTAAGAAAAATAAAAGTTGGTCCACCTAATTAGATTCAAGTGAAAATGCATCTATTGCTGATTTCTGAAATGCAAAACCACAGCTCTCAATCAAACACCTATAGTTATTTGATTAGCTATGTTTCAGGGGTTATTGATATATCAGTAGTACATAGGAAACACCTTAACTGAGAGTCATTCAGAACAAATACTGTCAACTCTATTGATCATTTTTTTTTGTGAGTGTAAGAAGTTGTAGCAGGCAAACAGTTGGAAAACTTTTGAATCATTCTTCAAGAGAAGAGAAAGAAAGAAAGAAAGAAAATGTCATCATTGGGACATGCAATAATTTCCTAACTGGTTTAGTACCTGAAATAGTTCCCTGTTCTAATCTATCCTTGCCATGTTACCTACAGAGCTTATCAACTTGAAGTCACACAAAAGCCAGGTGTGGTGGCTCACACCTATAATCCCAGCACTTTGGGAGGCCAAGGCAGGTGGATTGCTTGAGCCCAGGAGTTCCAGACCAGTGTGGGCTACATAGAAAAACCTTGTCTCTACAAAAATTACAAATATTAGACAGATGTGGTGGTGTGCACCTGTAGTGCCAGCTACTCAGGAGGCTGAGGTGGGAGGACTGCTTAAGCCCAGGAGGTGGAGGCTGCAGTGAGTCAGTGCACTCAAACCTGAGCAACACCACAAGACTCTGTCTCAAAAAAAAAAAAAGAAAAGAAAAGAAAAGAAAAAATTGAAGTTACACAAATCCCATTTTTAATCTTGGCTCTGCAAATTTCTCATGGAATGAGCCTCTGTTTTCCCATCTGCAAAACTGAAATAACTGCCTATTTTAGGAGAGGGGGAGATGTTGTAAGGATTAAATGGACACCCTTAGGTATGGGGTCTTGTGCTTTGTAGGTCTGCAACACAGTTAGAGTGAGGCAATGACACACTGTGGTTAATGTTTAACTTTTCAACTAAGCTTACTATTTATGGTTCTAAGCTAATTGCCCACAATAAGATAGATCCAGGTACAAAAACAATTTTGTTTCTAATAACTGAATTGTAATTAAACCTCCACTTGTTGAACATGCAACACTGTGAATATAAATCTTCTCAGAACATCCTGAAGCTCTAATGTTTAAGATGTACACATCATTGCTTGGGGACAATTTGATGGCTTCCAAAGAGGAAAGCTTTTCAGAAGTAGAAGAAAGCACTCCTAACAAAAGTGATCACCTCAGTAGCTGTCAAGGTAAACTGGCTTTGGTTTTGATGGATTACAGTGAATATCCCTTGCCCTTTACAAAACAATATGTATTTGTTATGAAGAAACAAACTGGATTAAAAAAATGGGATGATAATCCACTTGAAACTGGGAAAATCAGTTAATACAAGATTTTGAAAACAGATGACCAATAATTCTAATTTTTATTACGAGGTCCAAACCTGATTAAGTGGTGAACCTGATAAATCATGAACTAGTGCAACAGCTCTGAGTACCTGGACAGATATCCTCCAGAAGATCCCAGAGAGCAGAAAAGATTAGAGTATCTGGATCCTTCAGTATCTTCCTTTAAGTTCTGTTATTAACACCAACATGGAGTAGAAGCAGAAGTACATCATATTAAAGCAGTGTTTCTCAAACATTTTGGCCTCCAAGCCCCCTTACTCTCTGAAAAACCACTGTGACCCGAGGGCTTTTTGTTTATTGAGGTGCTGTCTAGTATAATATGTATTACATTAGAAATTAAAAGTGAGTAATTTTTTAAAATTATTAATACACTTACAACAGAAATATTTACATGGAAGACTAATGTATTTTTAATGAAAAATGACTATTTTTTTAAAAGAGAGAGAAGATGGCATTATTTTCCACTTTAATGTCTAGTTTAAAAGAAGAAAACTGAATTCTCATGTCTGCTTCTGAAATGTTTCTGTGTCTACAGTTTGTTTCGGTTGAATTATAGAAAGAAAATATGGATGTATAAATATGTGAATTTGTAAAGGGAAGAATAATTTAATACTCTGTCAGATGATTCTGGATATTTCTTCTTTGATGTTATACCAAAACTCCCTCAAAGTTAGTATCTTTAAAGTTTAGTTGGGATGTGGAGTGTGAAATAGTGTCAGTGGGCTTTTTGTACTCTGTTACATTAAAAATCTATCAGATGGGTCTTTTAGCCTTGCATGATTTTGTAACATCCTGCATCAGTTATTTGAAGAATAATAATTCACTAAGTTATGTGTATCTTCTGAACATGGACAGGTTTCATTATATTAAACAATCACCTCTGTTAATCTTAGCACCAATCATGCCAAAAAAGTCTTGAAATATTCGGAAACCATGCCCATGGTGATGGAAACAAGTTTTTCAAAATGCTCATTTTTGCTTGAAACTTATATTTCATCATGCACAACAAATGCTACCAGTTGTTTTCCTTGAAGTGACAGGTTTACTTCATTCATTTTTGAAAAATTGTCTGCCAAATACCCAACTCTGAATAATCATAATTTGTTAGCTTTTCTTTCAAGTAAAAATGATGTTTATATTTAAAAAGTGAGTAGTTAAGCTGACAACTCAGAGAATTGTAAAGCTGTATTTTTCCCTCTCTTTAGGTAGTCAGAGTACTTTATAAGTGCCTCCCATTTTATCACATAGATTATTTAAAAATACATCTATGCCAAATCCAGATTTAATAAAATTAATGATTCTTATTACTTCCTTAAAGATTTAAATGAAATTGGCTATCTTTAATGCCACTGACTTGATTCACACTTAAGATGCCAGTATTGTTTTTGTCCCATCAATACAAATGTTAACACAGAGGGGAAAGGCAAACGCTGTTTGTGTTATCATAAAGTATCGTTTTGATGTCTCAGACAACTCAAAGTGGCTTAGGCACCATGGACCCCAATTTGAGAACTGCTGTTTTAATTTGCAAAGCCATTGCGCAAAATTGCGTTATTTGTTCTTTACATCTGGCCATTTTATATATGATGATGGAGCACTAAGGGATATTTCAACACTTAGTGTATGTTAGGAACTTAAAAGTCTTCGTGCTATGAATGGAGTAAACTAGACATACCTAAAATCCGGGTCCCCTGGTGTATGGTCCTGTGTTCCTTCTATTAAAGATTTAATTTTTTCTAGATTTGGATGAACATTGGGAACCAACAGCAATGTGAAGGAGGAGCATCTAACCCTCTAATCTCTGCACTCTGCCACAACTCAACCAATTTGTATGGCAGGGAGTGATATTAGTTACCTTGACTTGTTACACTACAAAACTTTGTGGGGGTGATTTCAATTCAATTGGATTCAATCTACGCAGACTGTGTTCTCAGGAATAACCATTTCTTTACTGGAAGCTGGCCCAGTCACCTTCCTGTATGACCTCAGGCAACTCTCCTGAGAAAGGAGCTCTTTAAACTTTAAGTGAAGAAATATAACTCATCAAAGAAAACAGGAGTGAAACAACCAACCAGGAGGCAGATCTCCTTATTCCCAGGAGATGGCTGTTCACATAAAAACAATGCTTGCCAAGCCTTTGGCTGCTTCTGGAGTCCAAGGGCCACAAAATAAATGATCTACTGCTAGTTCAGCTCAGTCAGGACTGTAGAACATTCAGACTGTGGTAGGGTGGATTAGTGTATCCTTCTTCTATGAACACATGGAAAACTTAAGTTTCCAGGGAGGTGGTTTTGGCACCTTGAAGGAAAGGCAAATTAACTCAGGGAAAAGCTGATAGTGACTAACAATTCCTACAAAAGACTATTTTTATCCAGATCTGGTGAAACCATACTGGTCAGTCAAGAGAAGGACTGGCCCAATGACCCAATTACCACTCCGTGGGAAAACTGAAACCAGCCCTGGAAAATTGCATCAATATTATGACCTTTAATGGGCACCATTTTAAAAAATACCCATGGCTATCCTAAAAATTTTCCCTTTCTTTTTGAGTAACCACATACCGAGAGCCAGTTTCATTTTGAAAAATAATAATAACAATAATAAAGTTCTTTAAATCTCAGGAGAATCCCACCAAAAGTTCTGGTCTTAAAGGTTAATTAAGTAATTAATTAAGTGAGTGATTGTGCTCCTCCTCCTAACCCATAGCTTGGGCCCAGATGCCGATGAACTTCTCATTAGTTAATTTAATACCAGGTCAGCGAATCCATCCATATTTTCAGGTCAGAGCTTTCTTAGAAGTGCTTTTTTTTTTTTTTCTTTTTGGTATGCCGTGCATCTAAGTTCTCTAACAATTGCCGCTGCTCTTGACAGACGCCTTTAAATTTCTTTTTAGCTGCAAAAACATGCCACTGAAAAAGAGTGAGAAATTGCCAAATGGACTTGCCTCAATTTTAATGTGTATCTGTGGTCACAGCTCCAGAGCCACAAAGGGAAATTCATCTAATTAAAGGAGATGTAAATCTGGAAAGCACATGGATTGGCAATGAAAATTAATTAATCCATTTGTTCATTCAATCAACAGTTGTATAATAAATGCCTACTGCATCTTACCTACTGTGAGAATAAACTAACAAACAAAATGAGAGATGGCTTCAGTTCTCCAGGAATTTGGGGGCTAGAGTCACTCAATAAATGCTTGTTAATTTGATTTGACTAATTTGCTATATTCCAGGGATGAAGCCTTTGGTAGAGAAGTACAGCTGTCAGGAAAAATGTTCTAAGAAGAGTTTTGATTACTAGTATAATGGCAGAAACCCAATCATTTAGCTGTACACAGAGTAATTGAATATGAAATGTTGCTGAGAAATAAATTATTCAACTGAAATTTCAACTTGGAGTCTTCAGTTTGCTTAGCTTCCCTTCATCTTTTGTTGAAAGCCCTTATGGAGGCAAAGCTTTCATCAAGACGTAAGCCTTCATTCACACAGAGAATGTATAACGTTCTTGCCCTCTCTCCCATGGCTGATTAGAAGATACTAGAGCTTCTCAGACATCCTTGCACTCCCTTCCAGCTGCTTGTGTAAAGCCAGATCCTACAGCTGTTCACATTGTTTTCCCTTTCAATTCCACACCATCATTCTGATATATTTCTCTTTCACTGACTATCTTCTTCTCCCACAAGCCCCAGAATCCCTTCTGTTGAAGATATGTTTGTCTGGGCATGAAGGCAATGTGCTTGATTTCAGAGTATATAGTTTGAAGTATAAAGATTCTTTCAGAGTTTTTATCACAGTTCTTATTGTTGTGGTCTGTTTTCACAAGCCAATGTGGCCTTCTAATTCCTCAGCTATCTGCCTGCAATTGCAACAAACTTTGCTATTGGTCTTTGTGAATTGCAGAGGCCCAGCTAGAGATTCAATTCATACTCCCATCTGCTTACTAGCAGCACTTCTGAAAATTTTGCAACACAGCAGATTATTTCTATGAAATTAAGTACCTCTAGAGCTGACTTTTAAATATTTAATGTCGAAATTTCAAAAGCATTTTAATTATATCACAACTGTTTTATTCCCCTTCACCATCTAAAATGATTCAAATGTGCTAGGTTTTGCCTAGTTGTCCTTCCTGTTCAAAGTGAAGGGAAGCTACTTCTTAAATCATATTTTTTAGGGACGAAGGGAGGGGAGACCTCTTGTAGGTTACACAAATTCTCATGATGGTGGCTCAGAGGTTACTGAAACTCAGTTCCCCTATTGCCCCTTTCCCTTGTAGAAAAGTGAAAATAGTTTCATTGTTCATCAAAACCCTGGGTAATAGTTCTGTTGCCTTTGAGGGAGGCTCACCTGGGCCTGAGGCCATAACATGAGAGGGCAATACTCAAGCTATATCTATATGAGTCAAGACTAGTATTACTTGATCAGAAACAGTTTTCTCTTCATATATTACTTGTTCATTGTTACCCCAGATAATAGTTTAATGAGGAATAATAGTAATACAGATAAGAGATCTTTCCTTCTCTTCACACTAGTCAAAAGTTATGGTTTCAAGTTGCTTTTAAGGATCAAGAACATGTAGCATCAAAAACAATTCTGAGTGGTCAATGAGATTGAAAAAAAATTCTTACTCTGTAGACCTTACATTCCAGCAAAAGGAGGTTAGCAATAAATATGTAAACAAGTAAATATTAAAATAATGTCAACATGTTTTAGGAGAAAATAAAACAAGATAATAGAGTTCAAAGTAAGCAACAAGGAATTTTGATCAGAGTTAGTGAAAATTTTAGCTAGAAAGAGAAGGTGAAGAAATTTCCTTTGAGCAGTAATATTTGAGCTGGGAGAGCACTGAATGATGATGAGTGGGCACTAGATGTAGAAAATTTGAAGACAGAAGCTTTCTAGGAAGAAAGATGGTGAACACAGGGTCTTGAAGCTGGAAGATAAGTAGCAAGAAAGATGAAATGGCTGAAGAATAGTGAAAAGAGTGGAAAGCTTTTGGGAAAAGAGGTGGAAGAATGCAGACCTTCTAGATCATAGTATGGATTTGGGATATTTTGTTAATTGCAAAGGAGAACCATTGGTTCTTGAAGGACATATGAAATCCTGTGAAATTTCTTTCTATGCAGTCTTCCATGTTTTGCTTGTAAATTATCTTTTCTAATTAACTATCAGAAGTAACTCCAGCTTAGTAATACATCTGCTAGGTATGCTGTTTCTTCTTGGTTCTCAGTGTCTAGCTTACATTCTGGGAAGCCACTGGGCAAGTCTAGGATCCCAACCTGCAATCCACAGGCTCCATTTTTAGTTTTACATAAACCAATTTCAAGTAGCCAAAACTTTTAGCAAGCATACAAGCTTGCCATAGTAGGTACTGTGAGCCTACCTTTTTGTTTCCCATTTCCATTAGCATGAAAAAAAAGTTTAGTGAATATTTCTTATTTCAGAAAGGTGAAGATGAAGTCTAGTAATATTTGGCTGTTGCAAAGTTAGTGATATGTTCTCCTTAGAGTAAATCATGAGGAGGGGAGTTAGAGCACTGTCTCTGCCTCTTCCTCTTTCTTTATTTTAATTTTTGTTTTTGGTAATGAGATCATATCCTATCTCTGAATATCAGTAGCACATGGATTTGATGAAACATTGCTTTATTAACTGTCATGGACATTGCATTTACTATCTAGAATTCTTCAAATGGGAAATTATGCTGTTGTTAGTTAGGTTCTCCTGTTTACCATAATTACTGAACATTTATTGAGCACTGGATTCTATGCAGAACATCGTGCTGGGCATTGGGCCAGAAAAGAACAGGAGATCACATTCATCTGCAATAACATTACATTTATAAAATGTAGTTGCAATGTCAAGCATGCAAGAAGAACATGAGCTTCTCTTCCCTCAGCCTTCAATTCATTTACCTATTAATGAGCAAGTGGGTACAAAAGCACCAGGCATCTTCTTAGCTTTTTTCCATAATCCTCTACCAAGCTCCATTTCCCTACAAGCCAACCCTCAGAAGCCATTAATTACCAAACTAGCACTTTTGTTTGGTTTGTGTTGTTTCAGTATCACCTGAATTCTGCCTCTGTACCCTTAAAATTTGCTTCGATAAGAGGTTGGCAGCCCATCCTTGGGTACCACGAGGTCTACCATCAAAACCAATGTTTAGAATTTGTAGTTCACACTTGTTACTAAGTGTGATAAGATCTTCAACACCAGCCTTCTTAAAAATGTGTTGAGCTTACTTTAAGGTTTTTCCACTATGTATCTTCCCTTATCTAGCACTTTCTCTATCAATTTGATTCTAATAGCCCATGTTAAAAAAACTCAATGCCATTTATATTTACCGCCGTAATTTTGAAATGATAGAGCCCATATACTTTCTTAGGTACAATTATAAACCTATCATGAAAGACTAAGAAAAACAAACAAATGAAAACTCCTATTTTGTATTATACTGAACCAGTGGTTCTCAGCTTCAAGTGATTTTTGCCCCAGAGGGAATATTTTGCAACTAGAGACATTTTTGGTTACCACAGCTCGGGGTGGGAGTAAGAGACACCATTGGTAATGAGTGAGTAGAGACCAGGCTGGATGCTAAACTTCTTAAAGTGCAAGGACAACCTTTACAACATAGAATTATTTGCCTCAGACTGTTGTTAGTGCCTGGGTTGAGAAACCCTGTGTTAAACTCATCCCTAGGAATCTCACAGCCAATTTGGTTTTTACTTATTAATAGTTACAAGGCTTTAGTATGGAATATATATTTGTCATTGTGCTGAAATACTGAAATTTTATTAAGTGATTTGTTAAACATTTGATAAAGATTTTAAATATAATACTCTTTTGTGCTTATGTCACTTCAAGTATTCCTGGTTGCATTTCCAATATAATTTTGCTAGACTATAAAAATCATGTGTTTACTTCAAGACTGCTAAAAAAAAATCCATTGCCAAGTTAATAAAGTAGGCTAGTCTAAACACGTTTCGAAGATTTAAAGAAGCTATTGATCTTCTAATGAAAACTAATCACACTCTCATATTCACTGTGTATACAAGATTGCCACATTTCCATCGATCATTTTGCATGAGAAAGGCACCTCTGAGAATAAAGAACCAAATCAAATAGCAAGATCTATAGGATGAACTGCAAAACTTTACAGTATCTAAGTTTAAGCATTTTTCCAGTTTTATTTGCCATTTGAAGACAGAACAAACAAACTAACAAGAAATGATTACAACTTTGGTCTATCTCAAGCTCATTTGTAATTGCTATCATGAGAAAAAAAAAAAAGGAGGGTAAGAAAAGCGTCACCAGCCTTAAAGTATTTTACCAGGTATTGTTAATTAGATTGTTTTATGTTGCTCTTTTCAGTAAGTAAATAAATTTTGGGCATTAAATACCAGAAAGGATTAAACAGCATAATGTTTATTATATGAATGAGTTTGAGGGTTGGCTTTTCAGAAAGGTTGGATTACTTTAAAGGGAAAATTTTTCTTTATATGTAGCCCAGCAATAACCAAGGAGACTAAGAGACCTCTGACCAGGGTGGGGTTTTTTTTTGTTTTGTTTTGTTTTGTTTTTTGAGACAGAGTCTCACTCTTCTCACCCAGGCTGGAGTGCAATGGAGAGATCTCAGCTCACTGCAACCTCTGCCTCCTGGGTTCCAGCAATTCTCTGCCTCAGCCTCCCAAGTAGCTGGGATTACAGGCGCCCGCCACTATGCCCAGCTATTTTTTTTTTTTTTTTTTGTATTTTTAGTAGAGATGGGGTTTCACCATGTTGGCCAGGTTGGTCTCGAACTCCTGAGCTCAAGTGATTCACCTGCCTCAGCCTCCCAAAGTTCTGGGATTACAGGCGTGAGCCACCGTACCTGGGTAGGGTGCAAACATCTTGAGAAATGACCAGAAAAAGCATGATTTTGTTAATAATTTCTACCTTGTAGCACATTATGACTTACATCCTACGAGCACCTATTCTGGTCAGCATTTTCTCAGACTATGTAGAGGTCACCAGAAATAGAGCATAATGATACAGAAACGGTGGCATTCATGACTTAGTATTTACAACAAGCCATTTTCTCTGAGGCTGCTGCCAACCTCCTATGCGGATCTATTTTCCCAATAATTCTCCTTCCCTCAATGTATTGTTTGTGCTTGCTGGACTGGTTTGAAGTGTGAAGGTTAATATCCTGTATGTGTATGTAGAAAGACGTCCACACCACTACCTAGAGGTTGTTAATCATTACAATTGTTATTTTAACATTGAGACTATACTCTATCTCAGAAACTTGAACCTGCACGTGGGAAGCTGGCAACTACTGTTTCAGGACTGGACTATGTGACATTGTATTTCATGCAGTCAGGCCTGTTTCATGTCTGTGATGAAGCTATATGATCAGCTCTTTGAACTCTACTGTGCCGTCAATCTCTACATAGGACATAGGTTTGTGTAACAAATCTTTAACAAATTGGTTACCTGAATTGATTAAGTTCACCTCTAGTCATAAGATGTGTGTATGTTGCCAGCAGAAACAATAGCTTGATCCTGTTTCCTCAATAATTAATGCCAAAAAGAATTTTAAAAAGTCTTGGTATATTTCCAGCTAATCAGTGGGCTGGGGCAGGAGAATCGCTTAAACCTGGGAGGCGGGGGTTGCAGTGAGCTGAGATCTCGCCACTGCACTCCAGCCTGGGCAACAGAGCGAGAGTCTGTCTGAAAAAAAAATAAAAGAAAAAAAATCTTCGTATTAATTTTGTTAGAGTTTTTTTTTTTTTATTTCAGTAATTTTCATCCAAAGAGGTACATAACGTAGTTTCAGCAAAATGTTATCTCAAATTAATGTCTTATTCTTTTGATACCAAAAGTTATTTCAACATAAATATGTTATTTCACTAAGCTTTACCAAGTACCCAGGAGGCAGGGGTGTTGAAGGTGATTAGCAACTCTCAGTGCTTGGTCAAATATTCTTTGCACATAAGATATGTGCATATTCTTTTCGAAACTATTTTATTTTTAATTTTATTTTAAGTTCTGGGCTACATGTGCAGAACGTACAGGTTTGTTACATAGGTATACATGTGCCATGGTGGTTTGCTGCACCTATCAACTCGTCATCTAGGTTTTAAGCCCTATATGCATTAGGTATTTGTCCTAATGCTATCCCTTCCCTTTCCCCCCACCCCCCGAAAGGCCCCAGTGTGTGATGTTCCCCTCCCTGTGTCCATGTGTTCTCATTGTTCATTTCACACTTATAAGTGGGAACATGCAGTGTTTGGTTTTCTGTTCCTGTGTTAGTTTGCTGAGAATGATGGCTTATTTCCACTCTGTTTCTGAGAGAAGAGACATCTTCCCCGCTTCCTTCAGCCCCAATTCTTTAATCCCCTTTAATACTGACTGTTTCCTTGAACCTCATATACAGTCAAGCACTTAGTAGGAAACAAGCAATGTTGAATTTTTATATTCTATTCCAAGGAGAGGAATAAATTAAATAAATTAACTGACTAAATGAATAGAAGAAAGGGAGAGTTTGCTTGCTCACAAATGGTGACATCTTGGTTAAATTATTTTCAGTAGCATTATTAGGTGCTTTCCTTAGTAAAATAGAATTGTATAACTAAAAAAGCCATTGCCAATTTATAGATATAGATAAAATCTGGGCAAATGATAATCAATCTTCTACTATAAAAATGTAAGCAGAAAATAATATCTGATATAACATCTCAAGCCCAGAGTTCAGACCTGTGTCCCTTTTCCCAATGCTTTTCATGTCTGGGGTCACTCTGAGACAAGACAGCTACTCTGAGATACCAACTTGCTGACACATACCTGCAGACCACACATTAGTAATGGAGGTGGTTAAAATATCTGTAACTGGAAAATTGAAAATTCATTATGTAATACTAAAATACTGTTTCTGAATTTTCCTGAAATTTTACCACTCATGGTAAGGAGAATTCCAGACGTATGAAAAAAGGAAAGTGCTGGAAGAAATTCACCCTGTATCATTGTATGTGTGTGTGTTGGGGGGCGGGTGCGTGTTGTGCCTTTGGGGGATGCTTCAACCACCTCCTTCTGTGACACTTATATCTTGAATTTAACCATAACTGGGCTTATTAACAAAATAACATTGTAAAATACTTGCATTTTTTTTTCTTTTTACTATTGTTTAAGAAAAAGGCACTCTTGATACATAATAGTAAGGAGTGTTTGATGATTCAGAGTTTTCCAATAGTGATGGGGTTTGTGGGCATTGTAACTGTGGATAGAGCCTTCAGGGAGGAACTGTGTGGTCTATGGAAAGAGTAATAATAAGCCATCGGTGCTCTTAGAATACATGATCCCTAAAGGGAAGCATGACGTTATAATGGTATCATTGAGCTGTGATAGGAGAAAGAAGAATGGAGCAGCTACTTTTTTTTTTTTTTTTTTTTTTTTTTTTGAGATGGAGTCTCACTCCGTCGCCAGGCTGGAGTGCAGTGGCATGATCTCAGCTCACTGCAACTTCTGCCTCCTGGGTTCAAGTGATTCTACTGCCTCAGCCTCCAGAGTAGCTGGGACTACAGGTGCGTGCCACCATGCCCAGCTAATTTTTGTATTTTTAGTAGAGAAGGGGTTTTACCACGTTGTCCAGGATGGTCTCAATCTCTTGACCTTTAGATCCGCCCTCCTCCACCTCCCAAAGTGCTGGGATTACAAGCGTGAGCTACCACGCCCGGCCTGGAGCCGCTACTTTTTACTAGGAGCACAGAGTGTCACAAGCCTTTCAGATGAGTGCTCAGACCATAGGAACATTTTCTGCCTCCTGCTTGGGGCCAAGGATACGGTCTGGAAGCTGGATGTTATATACTGCTCTTTCAAATGCTAGCTCTTAAAGTGCAACAACTTATTTGTTGTCTACTTTGGAATGTGTACCATAAAACCTGTCTCAGAAGGAGAATTTTGATAAAGAGTGGACAAAAAGAAAGATTGGAGGTAATAATGGGCATTAAAAAAATGGCCAGCCCATTTTGTTCTGTAGCTTACAAAAATACACAAGAACAAACATGAACAGCAGACTCATATTAACGGCACTTCTCAAGTCCTTTGTAGGATGGAGGCCTCAAGAGTACGTTTTATCATTTATTTAAAAACAATATGAGTTTGGCAAAGCAAACTCAGATATAAAATTTAAGAATGAGTTTTTCTGGAGCATAAAATTACAATTTTTTTTTTTTTTTGCTAGTAGAAGGATAAAAAAAATGTCTATTCCAGTTAATTATTCTCCAACTTGTGATTTTTGTTGTTGTTGTTTGGCATGTAATAAATCCAACTCATTTTAGTGTAATGGGCTATAAAACAGTCCCTATATAATATTATAAATCCTGCAAAGATTTGAGCATCTGCACATTTTTTTTTGGCAATGTTCACTTAAACTCAAAACTTCTGTAGGCAGTGACCGAAAAAATAAATTGGAAAAATGAAAACCATTCAGTTCAATGCCAGTTTTCCCTTGGGATTTAAGCAGTTTTTTTTGTTTTTGTTTTTGTTTTTTTTTTTTTTTTTGAGACGGAGTCTCGCTCTGTCACCCAAGCTGGAGTGCAGTGGCGCGATCTTGGCTCACTGCAAGCTCCGCCTCCTGGGTTCACGCCATTCTCCTGCCTCAGCCTCCCGAGTAGCTGGGACTACAGGCGCCTGCCGCCACGCCTGGCTAATTTTTTGTATTTTTAGTAGAGACGGGGTTTCACCGTGTTAGCCAGGATGGTCTCGATCTCCTGACCTCGTAATCTGATGGCCTCGGCCTCCCAAAGTGCTGGGATTACAGGCATGAGCCACCGCGCCCAGCCGATTTAAGCAGTTTTTAACGTGTGGATTTCCAGGTGACAATGAAAAATGTAACGACTTTGGGAAATGGAATAACATATTCCTTAGGTAATATTACTAGGAAGACTGGAACAGTGAAATTAACTGCTAAACAGGTGATGGGATTATGACACCAATCCATCAGAATAACGTTTTGCCAAATTCTTTCCAGTGCCCTATTTGATCAGATCAGACTGTCAGGGCCCTGTGGAGTGAGCAAGCCCTCCCAGTGTGCCCAGGAAGACAGTTTTTCTGGAAGCAAAATATTTTAGAAGAACACCTGCTTTTCTCACCCAGAGTCTCTGTTGACTAAGATATGCAAAATGCACTCATCACTTGTAAGATACTAGAATTCCTCTCCTATATGGAACTAGTTATTTTGGTGTAATATAGTCCAGGAAAAATTTCTTTGCCTTCCAGATATTCATACCTTGGTCCAAAAGACTCTCTACTCATCTCAGCTCAAGTTAATGTTTTAACCGGGACATCTGAAAGTACCCTTCATACGTCACTTTCTGGCTTATGCTTAAGTGGAACAATGTTATATGTTATCTAGCGATTCCAACTGACAAAGGGGCTTTTGATGCAATGGAATGGATGAAGTGGATATTCTCACACCTTTCAAAGCCTCTCCTTGCTTTGATATAGCAGTACTCTTGGGAAGGGGCAGAGACTGGCAAAGATAATCCCCAGGATAATCAATTTTATTTCAGGTGTCACATAAAATGTTTATTATGTAAGCATATTACATTTGCTTGAAACAAAACCTACTGTCAAGAACCTGGACAATCCCCAGCTCCATGCAACTCACCTGGAAGGGCACACTCGGGGAGGTTACGGAAGGCAAAGTGCAACGTGCTGTTCCTAAGTCAGCTCACTGTTGAGGTATCCGTGCAATCCGGGGTTACAGCATGATCCACCGTGTACCAATTATGCCATTAGTATGCTTCATTTGCTATATACACACATCAGAACCAGAGTTTTTTCTCAAGGGCAAAACCCAAATCAGGCCGCCAAAGCCACAAATCACGTATGCCTTGCACTAAACACCCACAGAAAAGCGGGGCAGCATACACACATGTGCCTTTAGATATGTATTTATACTGCAGAAGCTAAAACAATGGTACAGATTGAAAATAGAAGGAGACCAAGCCAGCAAACAAGACCCTACATAGCCATCATCTGGGAAGCAAAATTGCACAGACACAATTAGAAACCAGACATGCAGTCTCACCCATTCACCTAGGAAGAGTTAACAAAACTTGAAAGGAATTGGTATTATGTCCTCATAATGTTGGCTTTGAGTTGGAGGTCTTTTTTCTAGACTGGTTTACTCTCTTCCTCTCTCTCTCTCTCTATATATATATTTTTTTTAATTAATTTTTTTTAATTAATTAATTTTTTTTTTTTTTGGCAGAGTCTCACTCTCACCCAGGCTGGAGTGCAGTGGCATGATTTTGGCTCACTGCACCCTTTGTTGCTCAGGTCCAAGCAGTTCTCCTCCCTCAGCCTCCTGAGTAGCTGGGATTACATGTGTGTGCCACCACACCCAGCTAATTTTTCTATATTTTCAGTAGAGACATGGTTTCACCCTGTTGGCGGGGCTGGTCTCGAACTCCTGACCTCAAGTCATCTGCCCGCCTTGGCCTTCCAAAGTGCTGGGATTACAGGTGTGATCCGCACCTGGCCTAACGCTCTTCTTTTTATCAGAGAACCAGTGCCTTTGAATACTCTATCTTACCATTTTACTAATAAGTCATCGAGTTCTTCAGTTGTGTTAGATTTTAAATGATTGAAATCATAAAGTTATGATGATATCATGAAGCTATATTCCTCACACAGATAAAAACCTGCAAGAAAAGGAAAGAGTTTGCTAAAGTGGAGTTTTAAGCATCAGTTAGTAGGTGAGGCAAGATTTATTTGGTCACGGGGATCTCCAGCACCTAAAAGCAAATTCCTAAGTCAGTGCCTAACCTGTCAACTTCACATTCTGAGGGTAAAGGTGCTACATTTGAGGAAGCCGTTTGGAACTTTTTCAGAGTTTCCGTTTTGTTAATTCAGATGCCCCTTGTTTTCTATTGAGTGAAGAAGGTGACAATAGGTGCGGAGTACAGTTTTTTTAAGATAATTGGCAGTATCTCTAAGACAAATTTAGTTCTGTAAAAGGAAGGTGGATTGCAAGAGGACACTTGTAAGATATCGAATCTCTTTTATCCTTCCAATCTTTATTGCCCTACTTGATCATGCTTTTATGAGTGGGTACTCTGGATTCAAATAACATAATTGCCAAGATACAAAATACATTTTGCTCAAAACATTTTAAAATGGCACAAACAGATTGGCACTGGTGTTACTGAAATGTAAGAAGCTCTACAATTTCCCAGTTCTAAGTCATTGACTGACACAATTCAAATTGACTAAGTGAAATTTGTGTGTTTGTGCGTGTGTGTTTTCCTACCAGCAACCACTCTGACTTGTGTCTCAAATCATTCTTTATGTGCATTACATATATATGTCTATAGTCAATAAATGACATCTAAATTATTAGAATAGTATCAGATATGACTAGATAGAATTATGTGATATGCCTCTTTGTAACAAAGCTGTGATTTATTAAAGATTATAGAATATTGTAACACAAAATTATGTATCCTTCTTAATAGCTGGTATTTATTGAGTGCTTACTATATGATAGGCATTGTTCTAAGTGTTTCATATGGATGGTCTCACTTCACCCTTAGAGCAGCCATGTGCCAGATGTGCAAATATTATCTCCTATTTTATAATTAAGAAAACTAAGGCTTAGAGAGGACATTTCCTCAAACTCAGTTTTAGTAAGTATAAGTATTGAACAAGAAACATTTATATTTCTAATCGATGTCTGAGTAAAAAAAATTAAAGATGCAATTTTAATCTATATATAAAGTGGTAATATAAAAATTTATTTCAGCAAATTAGGACACTCTACATTCAAATTTAAAAGTTATACTTACTAAATAGGGGTTCATTTTTTTAACATTCTTTTTTGTAGGAAATGAGACAAAGCACTCTTCTTATAAATAAAATATCAGATTTTAAAATTACTATTCTAGTTGACCTAGAAATATAGAGGTCAACTTTTAATAATTGAGGAATGGAGCTCAATTTAATGTTTCTTATGTCTAATTGGAAAATTGTGCAAACAGAAGAAGATGTACACATAGTAGGCACTTTATAACTGTCAGGTTATAAGGCTAATCGGCTGAAAATTGGGTCCAAATTATTTGCAATTAAATTTTGAGTCACTTGGGTCTGGCTGTTACTTTGAACAGATTAACTTTCCAACAGTACACATGCCCCTGGTCTCTAGCTGAGAACGTAAGAGGGAGAGGGTTATTGCACCCTCTAGGGGTAGCTTGTAGAAAAACCTACCGAAGTGCAACTACCCCAAACAAAAAAATAATGCTCATTCCTAGCCCCGCAGATAGGAAAGGAGGGAATGCATGAGCGTTGAGAGAAGCCACAGAGTCCTCCTGCCTCTGATGTGTGCCTCCACTGGCTCACACTTGGAACTGTTTCATCAGATGTCTTACAGGGACTCTAACTCTATCAAATCCAAAATCAATTTATTATTTAAAGGAAAAGTTTATAGCACACTATTAATTTTTAACTGCATGCTGTTTCTCTAGCCTTTCCATTCCAAAATAGCTGTTTATGGTGGCTGAATTTCTACCTTGGTTGGCAGGATTTATACAGTGACCTCTGCTGATCTGCTTCTGTATACTACGCAATGTCTGTAGCAGCTCCTCAAGTTAATATCACATGCTTCCCTGTAAAGAGCTTGACTGACTTACTGAGCATCAGGCTATCTTTTGAAGATAAACCAATTTTTAGGGAGAGACAAAAGATAGGATAAACTGATGATTGCATCAACGTCAATCAACAAAGAGTTATGAGTTGCTGAAAGTGAAGCATAGAGGCAAGTACTGAGAATAAAAACATATAGTTAGGCAAAAACCACAATTACTTTTGCACCCACCTACTATAAGGGAGTTCATACTTACTGCACAGGGTACATGTCAGGCTGTAGACTAAGGAAATTCTATTTAGTGCCTTATGTAGTTACTCACTATACCACCTAAGAGGTGTTTTATTATTCCCATTTTTTAGAGAATGTGAAAGCAATTCTGAAAAGACAAACATATTCAGAATCACACAGTCAGTAAATAGTAGAGAAAACATTAGATCATTGGTCTTTCTCTTTTTCTTATGCTCTTACTAACTACTATAACCTCTGTCTTCCAAGAAGGTATAACATAATTTGTAATAGTTGGAGAGAAAAAAATCATGTAAAAGAGAAGAGCATTAAGTATAAAGTTGGTAGCACCACTTAATTAAAGTACTACAAATTTGTGACAGGATAAAATAGAGCAGGAAGTGGGAGCTCACAGTGTGCTGGGGTGGGTGGGAGGGTCAGGGAAAAGAAAATTTGAATTAACATTTATGATGGCTGGAAAAATTAAATAGAATAGAGGAAATAAAATGATTTCAGAAAGATGAGGAAATGAAATAACATGAACTGTCCGGGCGTGGTGGCTCACGACTGTAATCCCAGCATTTTAGGAGGCCAAGGTGGGTGGATCACCTGAGGTCAAGAGTTAGAGACCAGCCCAGCCAATATTGCAAAACTCTGTCTCCACTAAAACTACAAAAATTAGCTGGGCATGGTGGTGAACACCTGTAATCCCAGCTACTCAGGAGGCTGAGACACCAGAATCTCTTGAGCCCAGGAGGCAGATGTTGCAGTGAGCTGAGATCATGACACTGCACTCCAGCTCTGAGCTACAGAATGAGACTCTGTCTTAAAAAAAAAAAAAAGAAAAAGAAAAGAAAAAGAAAGAAATAACATGATTCAACTCATGAATTATCATTTTAATGTAACATAATAGATTAATTAATCAGATTGCTGTTCTACCTCTATGCTGTAAAGTAATTTGAAATCTGATTAGAGGGAGAGTCAGATGAGACAAAGAAGCAACAAGGAAAGAATTTTGCAGCTTAAGTAACATTGAAAGACAGCAGCCCAGACAAGGTGCTACAATTTAAAAATTCTGACTAGTTAAATAAAATCAGGGGCATTCTGGAGAAATGGAAAAAATTAAGTGTTGGAAGAAAGAGTAACTGAAGCACAAAAATATTTTTGAGTGGGCTTCAGTCAAATTTGGCCCATTCCCTGGTTTTCCTTAGGAATATGTTTTCTTGAATGTATAATTTAACATTCGTTCTCACAATAATTTTTTGCCTCCCTGGAATGATAAAACACTTCTAAATTAGGAAAGAACATTTGACAAGGTGCTGGAGGCATGGTGTGTTATTATGACACACAGAACAGGAGGAAGACCCCAGAGTAGTTAGGCGCATTAATGGAAGATGTTACATTGGGCTGGCTCAGATCCCGTCAAGGCCAGCCCACACGGTGCATGGTTTAAAGGGAACTATAGATGTAGCTCAAAGTTGACCCCCTTCCAATGAGAAAAAAATATAAAAGGTCACTTCAACCTTCCTGCCAAATTGTAGCTGTCCATGCCTGCATGTAAAACTGATGTTGTCAATTGCTGGAGGCAAACTGCATATGATAGGCTTGGAAAAAAAGTCTAAGAATGGTGCATCATGTACAGCAATATAATCTTTCAAATTATTTCATGCTTAGAAATAGGGGGCTGGGTGCGGTGGCACATGCCTGTAATTCCAGAACTTTGGGAGGCAGAGGCGGGCAGATCACGAGGTCAGGAGTTCGAGACCAGCCTGACCAACATGGTGAAACCCTGTCTTTCACTAAAAAATACAAAATTAGCCAGGCGAGACACATGCCTGTAATCTCAGCTATTCAGGAGGCTGAGGCAGGAGAATTGGTTGAACCCGGGAGGTGGAGGTTGCAGTGAGCCAAGATCGCGCCACTGCACTCCAGCCTGAGCAGCAGAGCAAGACTTTGTCTCAAAAAAAAAAAGAAAGAAAAAGAAAAAAAGAAATAGGGGGAAAGTGGGCTTGGTTTAATATCTCTGTAAGTAGACAGGCAAACCCCCTCACTCTAGCTAAGCAATTTCTACTTTCCTTATAGGAAGAAGAAACCATTCTTTCCACCCACGTGACATTAAAGGAAACATAAAGATGGGACTAATTCTGCAGCATTGTCTAGGGTAGGGACACAATTCTCCCGAGAAGTTGCTTTGACCTTGGAATTTACATATGCCTAGATATCTGAAAACTTACATAATTAAATCGTCTCTCTTCATTGTTCTAAACTTAATTTTCCTCCATTCCCAGTCTTGGGGCCTTGAGTCCTTTGGATAAGTTGCTGAATTCTCTCCTTTGTATTGACCGTATTGACATGGCCTCAGAGGAAAGTCAAATTTCAGGCTGAGTACATATGTAAGAATTCACTTCCAACATCTTGATGTGAGCCAGAGGTCTGCCTTACAGTAACAAAGACAAATGCAGAAGGAAATTCAGGCTGACAAATACCAGTCCCACCTGTGTTGGTTAATAAGCAAGACTGCAGCCCAGCCAGCAATCCTCCGGTAACTGTCATTTCTCTGTATCCAATCAGTTGCCTGGGAATTATCCCAATAAAAAGAATACAGTGTGTCATTTATCAGGCAGCCAATTAAAGGGCCTCTACAGCACTAGGATAGCTAGAAGCTAATTCTCACACGGGAGGCAAAATGGGCCAAGCCAGTATGGGCCTTAAGGAAATTTAAGAAAGTGAGTTGTGGCTGATTCATAGGGGGACCAGATCTACAAAATATGAGAAGGAGTTGGCAATATGTCAATATGTCTCCTCTACAAGAATTTCTTGAGGACACCAGGGTGTGAAAAGGAAGCAAACTAATTTGGCTGATCTTACCAAAATGGGACAGTTAGCTTTTGTAGCTATGAGACAATTATTTCATAGAGCATTTCCACTGATTTCTAAGGCCTGATTAGCATTAGAAGCCTTGAAAATGTAAAATAAACATAAGTAAATAAAATGAAGTAAAGACAAAAATTCTATAAGTTTATTGGGCAATTTGACCTGCTGTTTAACTGAGGTAGTCAGCAGAATGAACAGAGCTGACAAGAACCTTCGTAGCCTCACTTTTGGAAAATAAAAACAATTCTATGTTCTGAAAACATGCCACATATTTCCACCTTCATAATCAGCTTATTGATTAAAGTGGTATAGAATTTTTTTAATCCAGCGGCATTAAACATTTTCTAGTCCCACCATAACCAGTTAGCTAATCCAAATATGAATTCAGTACCTACAAGTGTCAGAAAAAAATATGTAAATATATTTCATGGGTTCTAGAATGTACTTAATTTTTACATTTTAACATCTGTAGAAATGGAATAAGTCTAATAGTTCAAGTGGTTATGAAACATTGTTCAATAAATTGGTTGTTGGCCTTTAAAAAAAGTTTTAGTCCGAAATTAATTAATGATATGTTTTAACAAATCAATGACATCTGAGATTGAATGAAGTTTAGAAATGGGTTTTAAGCAAATTGAGGGAAAAATCTTATCCACCCACCAAAAAAAAAAAAAAAAAAACCCACAAAATCTACCTGTATAAAATGCATTCCCAAAGTAGTAACTCAAATGTGAATATAAATGTGGTTCAAACTGAATACACTGAGGCTGGATAACCTAACAGTGAAGAAGCATGGCCTTTGGTACAAGGAATCAGCAGAAACTTCTTGAAAGAGTTGCATTTTAAAATCGTTAAAAATATGAATCTGTGAAGCTCTGAATTGGTTTTCATGTGATAGTCCTTGAAAGCCGATATAAATAGGAATCAACTTAAAATGAGTTATTCATTTGCTGGTTATTTTATTCAAACTAGTCTTAGCACTGAGTTAAATGTAGTTAAAATCCTTGAGGCTCATCTAATCTGTCACATGGTATCCATTGCCTGAGAATTATTTCAAAATAGAAAACAGCCAAATGTTTTAGGAGGTACTTGGTTTAAACATTCAAAACAATTTTACTCCTTAAAAGAACTTTTTTATAAAACAAAATAGTCCAATTAAATAAACATTTTTAGTGGATACTACAAGATTTTGCTTTTCAAATAAGTCTTACTAGTGTTCAGTTGAATCATGTATTAGGCGAACACTTACTACATACACTGGAGTTTATTGGATACAAGCTGGGATTTTGATATTTGAGTTCAAGTTCCAAATACAGTGTTTACTAGCTGTGTGACCTCAGAAACTTGATTAACCTCTCTGAAATCTAGTTTCTGCTTCTTTAAAATGGAGATAATAACACTTACTGCATCAGGTTTAGTTTCAAGAAACTAAGATTCTATAGTGAAGTGTTTAGAAAAGTACCTGCTACACAATACGCTTTCAATAAATGGGAGTTATAATAATACTTTTTATTACATCGAACACTTTACTAGAAGACAGCACTAACAACTCTAACTCAATTAAAGAAGTGGTTTCTTATTTCTTCTGCCCAGAACATATTAAAGCCCAAGTATTCTTACTGTGTCCTGAGACAATGTCTAACGTGACTTGGCAAACCACAGATGGGTTCCAATTTTATTAGCTGTACAGGAAATTTCTGATTGATTTAACCTCCAAAAGACAATACCGTGTAATCAACATGTAACAAATGTCAACTCTTGTTATTGCTGGAACAGGCAAGTCCTCCAGATCAATGTTCTACTCCTGGCTACACTATGCATCAATGTGGATTTTTCCTTTCTTTCTTTCTTTTCACTTTCCCATAGCGCCTCGTTGCACCCAGTTCCCTTTGAGTGATGTTGGGAACAATTTCAGTTTCAGTTCTTCCTGAAAGTCAGTTATTTTGAAACATAAGGAGATAAACACTACCTACCTGCTCTGTTTTGGGTGGCCCAGAGCCAGAAATGATGCAACTGGTATGACACTTCATCAGTAGGGTTTTTGTTTCATTTTTTTAAGGATTTTTTCTATTTGCATATTATAGTAATTAAGGGATTGTTTTTCCCCCAGAAACAATTTGTCTAAAATTCTTAAATGATAGTATGACAGAAAAAATGAAAACTCTTCCCATTTAAAATTATTATATGGTGGAGAACAAGGCAATGTGGTATCAAAACATGCTGTGTTTAGAGTTGGGAGTCTTGGTTGCTAGTCTTGGATCTATTGATGAAACCCTGAGCTAATCATCTTATCTCTCCAAGCTTCAAATTCATCTTCAAAAAGATCCCTCAGGTACCTTTTGTTTTTATTTTCTATGACTTTACATCATGTTAAGAAATGTAGATAATGAATGGGAACATAACTTAAGAATCTTCTTCAGCAAGGTTATCAATGAGAAGTCAAGCAAACCAAGACACATATTATTGTTATTTCCCTATAAAGATGCTGCTTTTGACTTTGGTAAATAGGATATGTGTTTCAACCTCCTCCATGAGTAGAAATAGACCACCTGGTAAGTACCTAGCTGGAGTTATGGCTGGAAATCATTTCCTCTCTCACAGGCAAAGTTGTTCTTTTCAGCACCAAACAGAAAACTTGGCCACATTAACACTGAATGCCAATTGATTGACCCAAACATTGAGTGAAGAAGGCAAATATAATAAAAAGGAAGCAGAAAATGATTCCTTTTAAACTGTGATTATACAATAATGATAATTAAACACACACACACACACACACACACACACACACACCCAAAACCCTCACCTTTTTTTTTGTTTTGTGTTTATAGATTAGCTTTCATTCTTTGGTTATGCCATAGGTGTTTATAGAGGATTGGGGAATACTTTCAGTAAGGAACTGGAAGAAATACTAATGGTTAAGACAAAAAGAGCTGTTCTCAAAGGGTTTACACTCAAGTGGGGGAAACAGGTGTCATGCATAAATAACTAGGGTACCAGGAGAAGAAGAAATTACAAAATGAGATGAAAAAGTTATATTCATATTGGGATGGGAATTCAAGGAAAGGGACATTACTGAAGTGGTTTTGGAAAAAGCTCCATGGAGAAGGTGCCATTTACAAAGATTCTTGAAGGATGGGAGAGTTTGGACGTTAAAAAATGGGGTGGAGCAGGGCCAGGTGTGGTAGCTCACACCTATAATCCCAGCACTTCAGGAGGCCGAGGCGGGCAGATCATGACATCAGGAGATCGAGACCATCTGGCCAACATGGTGAAACCCTGTCTCTACTAAAATGCAAAAAAATTAGCCGGGCATGGTGGTGCATGCCTGTAGTCCCAGGTACTCGGGAAGCTGAGGCAGGAGAATCGCTTGAACTCGGGAGGTGGAGGTTGTAGTGAGCCGAGATTGCGCCAGTGCATTCCAGCCTGGCAACAGAGCAACACTCCATTTCAAAAAAAAAAAGAAAAAATGAGGTGGAGTAAACAGTCCATTGAGCTTTCATTGAGTTAGATCTCTATAAGCAAACCATAAGGCCATGAACAAATAACCCTAGTTAGGATTGGAGCTGAGAAATTTTAAAGAAGCAGAGTGGAGGATAAGGTTGAAGGATATGTGATTGTTGGACCATTAAGAGGTGGAACGACAGGACAGAGATTTAAATTGGGTTAGGCAATGGGAAATTAAACCTACGTCAAGCAGACACTTGGCAGGTTATTAGCTTGGGTGGCTTCATCTTGCTTGCACTTAGGTCTCAGGTCAAATGCTATCTCCTCAGGGAGACCTTCTCTGGCCACTTGATCTAAAACAGCCACTTACACTCCTCAGTTAGTCTCTCTCCTGTATTACATTGCTCTGTTTCATTCTATTAATAAAATATATTACTATCTGGGATTGTCTTGCCTATATGTTAATATATTTATTTTCTGCAAGCGCCTTCTAGAATGTGAGTTCTAAGAGCAGATGGACATCATCTACCTTGACCACTTCTGTTATCCAAGACTTGGTACATAGTAGGTGGTCCATAGATCATTGTCAAATAGATAAATGAATGAACTTGAACATGTTTCATGAACATCCTCATCTTACAGGTATCCTCAGCCTGAGATATACACTTTTGTGTGTGTGTGGTTTTTTTTTTTTTTTCCAGTATCTGGTAAAGCGAAAAAATATTTTAAATAAAACACAGCTACTGCCAACCTGAATAAGTGGCATCCCCCACTACTGAGAGGATCTCTATATTTACAGCAATGTTTCTTCCAAATGTTGTTGGTGTGTGTGTTTTTTTTTCTTTCCAAGTACAACTAAAACTTCTCATGTGTTCCAAAACCACATGGAAGTGGAACGTTAAATCTGGGGGTGGGCATTTCTGTGTAATTTCCTTCATTTCTATAAGGTTTTGGTGGCTTTATTCTCCCCTAGGCTACAGATTAGCTTAACAATTGCAAACCAGCTTCAGAGGTTTTCCCCTAAGGAAAAAAAATGATCGCATGTTTGAACAGGTGGGACTTGGTGAAAGTATCTTTGTTTTACATCTTAAAATGTTCACCCAGCATCTATCTATCCACTTTCATTTGTAACTATAAAAATCATGCATAGATATAGATAGATAGATAGATAGATAGATAGATAGATAGATAGATAGATAAAAACCTCTTTTTTCAAATTAACACAGAAGCCAGAACCAGAGGACATGGTGCTCCTTTCTGTTCTAATCTCTGCCTAGATTGGTGTGTGTGTGTATGTGTGTGTGTTTTGTGTTTTAATACAGATTCCCAAAGGAGGGAGAAAAAAGAAGTGTAATATAAATAAGCAAACAACCAATTGACTTAGCAAATCCGTATTTGGCTGGCCTCTGGTTTTATTTTTGAGAACCCCTTTCCTTGTTTTGATTTGAAATGATGCCACCAAAACATATTACAGAAACACTGTGCTTTGCAAAACAGAACAAGCCAAATGAGCCTCCCCAAGTATAAACAGAACTCTTGTTTGGATGAACTGTTTTTTGAAAATCCAGATTAAACCAATGGTGGCCTTTTAAAGTACGTGCGTGTTTCCCTTAAGTGCTAAAACTATATTACATTCCTGCAAGTATTGTATTCCAAACGTCCCAGTTACGATGTGGTTTTTAAGTTGTCTCGAGTAGAAATGATTTTTATACATTCAGGGAACATGATTCTAGAGACACCAGTGATAACAGAAGGTATTTAGGTATTATGTGTTTTAGCATCACCAGGGATCAAATTCGGGCAACACACAGCTTGGCAGAAATCAGTTGGGTGCCACTGTATGAGTAAAGATGGACAAGTTCCTAGCATCTCTTTGCCAGTAATTAGTCAAGTCTAGGTTTTTCCACCCTGAGTACACTTTACCTAAGTGCCTGTATCACGCCCTCCATCACGAATTGTGATGTTCTACTCTTTGCAAATCATTATTAATGATGGCAACATATTTTGAGGTCAGAGTCACTGGCCTGAACATCACTTTGTCATTAACCTCTGAGAAGGTAAAGCTATGAGTAACAAGGCCAGGCATGAACATTTTCAAAACACCCCAATTTGTCTATTCTGGATAGAGGCAAAAGGAAGATAGAGTGTGTTCTTTTCAGCATTTTATCAAATCAGGTTATGCGTACAGTCAAAGCAATAGGGAGTTAGTCTGTTTACAAAAGTTCACTGGTACCTCTCATCTCTGTTTGTTTACTTCAGACTTGGAAAAAACTTCATTTGCCGTCTACATATGAGATTGACCCCTAAAACGAAGGGGTGAGCAGGAAACTATCACTTACCTTCCTTCATGAACAATGCCCCCGACCCTTGTACCCCATCTTCCTCGCCCATACAAGGGCAAAGGTCTTGTGTAGCTTCCTTAAGCAGAGCTTGATGTGTGGAGACCTACAGAGATGATCAGTGGAGGATAGATGTCTTTTCTCTGAGATAAACTTAGTTCCACGCCTCCTGTCTCTCATCCGTCGGCAGCTAGTTTAATGTTGACCAGAGTGATCAGAGCAGGGAGAAACATAATTTGTGGCTGTCTTGTAGATGACTACTAATGGTTGTGCTTAGTTCGTGAGTCCCTTTTGTCTTTTAGGGAGAATAGGATATGAAAAGAAATATGAGATGGGACTAAAAGGTAAATAAATCTTGTTATTTTAATAAATATAAAAAGGTACACTCCCCCATGGTTGTTCTCACCTTCGACTTGGTCCCTTTCAAAGTTTATACAATTTTTCATAAGCATTTGGACCTCCTTTTTTTCAGAATTGCTCTTAGAGCCTGAAGCACATTCCTTAAATGTTTAAATATTTGAGGGCAGATTTGACTTTGGCGGCAGTCAATTACCTTTTACAGTTGGGGAATGCCATTTGGATCCCAAAACGAGTTGCAACTATAAAGTAATGAGACTAATATTTTTACGTGGGTGATACAATGTTTCTAAAAGCCCAACAGTTTTGAAGGTAGAAATGAGTGTCCATGGTTTATACAACCAACATCACTGACATAACACCGAGCTTCCTGACTCTGAGAGCCAAATACGCATCAGAAAGGGACATGCTAGCTATGTTTGTCTATGCAAAGCCTTAGTTACGTTTAAGGATGGGAGTCAGCCCCCGTTGTGGTGTAGTATCCTCCTGCTATTTTTAAAATGTGTCTGTATAGTCCGTTTTCACGCTTTAGATAAAGACATACCTGAGACTGGGTCATTTATAAAGAAAAAGAGGTTTAATGGACTCACAGTTCCACGTGGCTGGGGAGGCCTCACAAGGAAAGGCATATCTTACATGGTAGCACACAAGAAAGAATGAGAGTCAAGTGAAAGGGGAAACCCCTTGTAAAATCATCGGATCTCGTGAGACGTGCCCACTACCGCGAGAACAATATTGGGGAAACTGCCCCCATGATTCAATGATCTCCCACCAGGTCCCTCTCATAACACGTGGGAATTATGGGAGCTACAATTCAAGATGAGATTGGGATGGGGACACAGCCAAATCCTATCAGTGTCTATGGGGATAATGACAGGCATGTGGACAGGAAAATAGAAATAAAGATGAGAACAAAAAGAAATTGGAGAAAAATAAGACAGAGAGTTTCGTCAATTTGGTGATGGAGAATGGTAGATGAAAGGATCAGAAACAATCTTTTGAGCTTCCCTCAGTAGCACTGCTCCCAAGAAATCCTTCTGAGATTTGCGGACTGGTTTCTGTGATGGTTAATTTTATGTGTCAACTTGACTGGTCTATGAGGAGCCCAGGTAACTGATCAAACATTGTTCTGAGTCTTTCTGTGAAGGTGTTTTTGGACAAGTGTAACAATTAAATTGATAGACTGAGTAAGGCCGATTGTCCTCCCTAAGGTAGGTGGGTCTCATCCAATCAGTGGAAGACCTGAATAGCACAAAAAAGTGGACCTTTCCCTAAAGAAGAGAGAATTCCTCCTACCTGACTGCCTTCAAGCTGGGTCATTAGTTTTTTCCTGCCTTGGGATTCCAGTTGAAATAATGGCTCTTCCTCAGTCTCGAGCCTGCTGGCCTTTGATCTGGAACTACACCATCAGTTCTCCCGAGTCTCCAGTCTGCTGCCTGCAGATCTTAGGACTTGTCAGCCTCTGTAATCACATGAGCAAATTCCTTATAATGAATCTTTCTGTATACATACATATATTTATATATATATATATCTGTGTGTGTATATATATATATATATGTATATATCTGTATATATACATATATATAATACATACACACACACAAACTTCCTTCTGGCTCTGTTTCTCTGGAGAGCCCTGACTAATACAATTTGGGTACTCACAGTGATCTTGTAGTCTGCAGTTTTGCTGACCTTGCCCTTCATAAATCTTCATCACCATGTTAATGAATCTTGACAGATGAGAAACTCTAAGCCAGAAGGGGGGTGAGGGGGAAGCCAAACACCAGGACTGGCAATAGCTTATTGTGGCTCCATGTCTGTGCCCAAGGCTCCCGGGATTAGCACAATCAGCAGGTGGCTGGGGACGGACATCTGAACCGGAAGAATCCTCTCCTTCCTCACTCTCACCCCCTGCACCTCTATTCTGTTGGGGATCATTACAGATTTTTAAACTCTAACTGTGGAAACGAATGCAGCTGCTCTTTGTAATTGTTTGTGAAACTGAGTTAAAGGGAGGTTGTTGTGGCACTGCAGGTGCAATCATTAGATGCATCTATGCTGTGTAATTAACCTCATTTCCATGTGAATGTCCATGGTTTATGTGCTGCTTACAGAACTCACGCCATGATCATTACACTTCCAGTCAATCCAATTAGACAAAGGTTCCCACACTTAGAGAAAGATCAGGACAAACCACAAGGGTAGGCCTCTCTCAAGAAGGTCTCTAGTTAAATGTCTCAAAATAAACAACTGTGGCCTAATGAATTGTATGACAGGCCAAAGGAACACACCAAGGAGCTACTTATGTGTCTGGAGCTCAATCTTAGGGAGCTGCTTAATAGAATTTCCTTTTGTTCACACTTGCTGTGGCTGAGAGACGTGCACAAATGGGGGAAAGTCTGGTGGCTATACTTCATCCTCTCTCTCCGGTTGCCCAATAAGATATCCAATGGCTTTATTTTGATGATTCTTTTAAAATCCTTTTTTTTTTATGTTCTCAGAACAATTAGGGGGAAAAAATCCATCCAAGCTTCTCAAAGAAAGTTAGTTGGTCAAGCTAGCAGAGTTTTCTGTAATATTTTAGCAGAGCTACAGCCAGAGGGCGCCATCGAAGGATACTCTTTTTCCTGGATGTCTCAGATTTATTCGCTTCCTCTTCTTCTGAAGATCTTCAATGCAACTGGTTGAACCCCTCATTTTAAACATTTTGTTATAACCTATATGCTATGCATGTCTGTCCTTTCTCTTTAAGTTCATAGTTAGTTCCTTGAAGGTAGAGCTCATACCTTAGAATTCTATTGTGTCCCCAACAATGCCTTGTACCCACACCAGTAACTCCCCGGGAGCTCAATAAATGCTTGGAGGATCCACTGATTAAATGATAAGAACCAGTATTTGTCAACTAATCAAAGAAATTGACATAAGTTTTTAATATCACAGAACACATCAGTGACTGTTTGAACCTCAGAAAAGTCAGGCTAAAAATAAAGGAAGTCAGGAAAAAGAGCAAAAAGATACAGAGTAAACCAGTCCTTGAAAGAATGAAAGCTTATGAGGTTTTGTGTGTGTGTGTGTGTGTGTGTGTGTGTGTGTGTGTGTGCGCGCACGCACGCTAAACTTCAGCAGGTGACTGCTGAATGCCTGATCCCAGCAACATCAACATTACCTGGAGTTTGTTAAAAATTTAGAATCTCCATGTCCCAGGGACACAGATGGTGCTGGAGGCCATTTTTCTTGGCAAACTATTGCAGGAACAGAAAACAAAATACCGCATGTTCTCACTTATAAGTGGGAGCTAAATGATGAGGACACGTGGACACACAGAGGGGAACAACACGTACGGAGGGCTACTGGAGGGTGGAGGAGGGTGGGAGGAGGGAGAGGATCAAGAAAAATAACTAATGGGTACTAGGCTTAATACCTGGGTGATGAAATAATCTGCACAACAAACCCCATGACACAAACTAACCTATGTAGCAAAAACTATGTAACAAAACTGCACATGTATGTGAACTTAAAATAAAACTTTAATCAATTTTTAAAAAGTTCAGGATCTCAAGGCCCCACCCCAAATTTAATGAGTGAAAAACCGATGTTTTACCGAGGCTCCAGCTCTTTCTTATGCACCTTCCAGTTTGAGAAGCATTGTCTTGGAGTACGTTCAGCTTAGCTTCCTGCCACTCAGAGGGAGAAACGCCCAGAGGGTTCCTCACCCTCATGCTAATCATCCCTTTCTTTTCTGCATCTTCTGCTACTACTCTTTTTGTTTTGTTTTGTTTTGTTTTTTCTTTACCTGAGATTATTGTATTTTAGAGTAATAGGTTTGGTATCTCCTCCTCTCCCTTAATTCCTGTGTCTGTACTCTCTCTTAATTGTACTTCCAAACCAAACTCAATGTCACTTTCTTTGGGTCATGCCATAACTAAAAAGTAGTGAATTTGGAGCCTAGCTTTCAGACTTTACTTTCCTTGAGGGCAAAGGCTGCACTCAATACATCTTCTCTTGTAGTCAACATTTGGATATGTGAATGAATGAAGGAAAGTGTCACATCCAATCAAAACATCTAAGAACACTGACTTGGGGCTGGGCTTGGTGGCTCACGCCTATAATCTCAGCACTTTGGGAGGCTGAGGCGGGCAGATCACAAGGTCAGGAGATCAAGACCATCCTGGCTAATATGGTGCAACCCTGTCTCTACTAAAAAAAAATACAAAAAGATAGCTGGGCGTGGTGGCATGTGCCTGTAGTCCCAGCTACTCAGAAGGCTGAGGCAGGAGAATCACTTGAACCTGGGAGGCAGAGGTTGCAGCGAGTCGAGATCGTGACACTGCACTCCAGCCCAGGTGACAAAGTGAGACTCCGTCTAAAAAAAAAAAAAAAAAAGATCACTGACTTGTCTATGGCATGTGCAGAATCCCAGGCTGAAAATCCAAATGCTTTCTTCTCTCACCCATTCCACGATCATTTATATGCCAAGTGCTGTGCTAATTGTTGTAAATGTGTTCAAAGTCTAATGAGGAAGGCAGACATGTAAAAAAGTAAATAGGTATTTATAGTATCTGGTAAATGCTATAATTGCAATGGAAACAAAATTGGCACAAAACCAACCTGGAAGACTTGTATACTCTGTGTGTGTGTGTGTGTGTGTGTGTGTGTGTGTGTGTGTGTGTGTTCTGTGTGTGTATATATATAGAATCTCTATATAAAAATGTGTGTATATATATATATATATATATATATATATATATATATATGCACAACCTAAATAAGCACAATTGCCTAGAAATGAGGGTCTACTCTATTGAGAGGAGATGATTCTAAGAAGAATTCTGGTGCTCCACAGCATTTAAAAATATTTAAAAATGTTTTTGAGATAGCTGAAACAAATACGGCAGAAAGGTTAATGTTTATAAAATCTTGGTAGTGAGTAAAATATGATTATTGCATTATTTTCTAGATGATTAAAATATTACCGTAGGTAGAAATAAATAAACAAATGAGAGAAAACAGAGAAAAAGCAACCAAAGAAGATTTGCATCAGTGTAGTTATTATTTTTTAAAAAAAACCTAAAATCAGATCAGCCATGTTTACCCATCTAATATGACAACTGTCAGTTTCCGGCTGACTAAAAGTCTGTAACCTGCCGTTGAACCCTCCCAGTCATTCTGTCTGTGGGAATATTTTTCTGTAAGACAAGCCAGGGCAAGTCTACAGTGATCCCTGTAGAAGAGTTTAGGACTGACTGTAACTCGGGAAAGTTTGAACACTCAATCCGGTTCATAGTAGATAAGAGTGTCATGGCGTATGGTGGCTATTTTCTGTTTCTCTTTCCCTATAAACTGGTCATTCTTCTCCTCCCTACTTCATGCCCTGGAAGACAGCCTTTAAAAAACTTCAACCACTGGGCTCCCTTGTCCTCTGGAAAAATATTTTAGGTCAGAAACTCAAGTATTCAATTGAATTTGATAATTCTTGTCAGGGGAATATTTCACCATTAAGGCTCTAAGCTATTCTGCAGCAATACCCATAACTTGTGACTTCAGCCATCTATAGAGCGTGTGAGGTCCAATTACTGAAAGTACTAATTACCTTCATAAAATAAGTGAGGGCTGAGGGTTGGGGGTGGCTAAAGGTAGATATAATTTAGTTTCTTTCCATTGGCCCACATAAGACCTAACCTGGGAAAACATCACCTAGGCATCAGGTCTCAGTTGGTCCTAATAGTTCTTTCCTGATCCGTAATTGCTAATTCACTTAAGTAAAAAAAAAAAAAAATTTGGTCTCACAGGTGCCAACCTAAGTAAGCCATTGCTTTAGTTGGAGTGGCTGAAAAAATACAATTACATTACATTCAGGAACATTCCACTTTCTTGAAAGAATGCAATTAACATTTGGAAAATGATTTGCTGTTGGATAATCTGAGTCTGTTAGTTCTACAAAAGAACAAAAAAAGGATAATAAGCCATGTAAGTTTTTTAAAGCACAGAACTGTATCACGTAGAGACCAGGTCTTGATGCCAAAAGTAAAATCAGTGTTAGTAATAACTTTTGCTTGTTGTCACGAAAATATTCTAATGCTTCTTATTGGGATAGGCTGTGAGTACATTGTGTCTATTTGTCCACTTGATCCAAAGAAACATCCACTATTCCAGGGAACAGATTTTCTCAAACAACTTACTGGTGCTCTCTTTGGTGTTCTTATGGTAGAAGGTATTATGTATCCTTTAGCAAATATTGGTAAAGGTCTGTGTTTTATAACTTTTTCATCCATTCATAAAATAATTTGGTTTGGAGTAAGATTTAGCAATAACACATAGTTTCTGGATAATAAAGCCATTTTGGAATTGACATTCATTGAGAGGAAGCCAATATTTTAAAATAATGTTTAAACAAGTTTGCTGGCTTTATTTTTAGACTAATGTATTTATGTATGTATTAAAACTCTGCATCTCCCATTATTAAATAAATTAGGTATGAATTATGCACACTCAAATCTTTAAAGACATTTAGAGAAAAAGGGAGACTTCATTTGAGAAATGGTCATGTGGAAATATAACCACAGGTATGCTGTTTCATTGCTGGTTAATCCATGTATAAGTTTGTCTAGTCTATGCCTAGACTACCTATTTGTATTTATAAGTAAGAAGTATATACTGTTTAAAAACAAGCAAAATTAAAATCAACTTCATAAGTAGTAGGAGGAAAAGCAATAAATTTCTAATTTCTTGTAATTAGAAATGTGCAGCCAGACAGTGAAAGCCAGCCTTCCATGGCAAATTCAAGGTGTGGTTCAGGTAGGAATAATTGACTCTTCTGAAGAGCATTTCCTCCTTGCCAAATCTGACACAAATGTTCAAAGCACATGGATTAATTTCTTCATAAAGTATATTTATAGCATTATTTACACAGGGACTTATGTAGTGAAGGAACGGGGACAAGAAAACAAAGGTAGAAACCTCCATCACCTTTATTCTGCATTGCAGAAGAGACTCTTACATCTTCTTATATGTGTTTATATATGTTTGACATTATTGGTTAAGGTGTGAATACTCATATTGGGTCATTGGACTAAAAGTTGATGTCAATAATAACTGAAAAGATAACACATCATCAAACAGTGTCCAATGCACAGACTCATCTAAATATTTACTGCCATGAAGATAGGCCTGAGGAGTCTTGCCCAGATGGTCCTCGACTTAAGAAGGGGTTCTGTTCCAATAAACCCATCGTAAGTTGAAAATATCATAAGCCAAAAATGCATCTAATACACCTAACCTACCAAACACCATAGCTCAGCCTAGCCTACCTTAAACCTTCTCAGAATTAGCCTGCAGTTGGGCAAAATAACTAACATAAAGTCTATTTTATAGTTAAGTGTTGAATATCTCATGTAATCTATTGAATACGATAATGAAAGTGAAAAATAGAACTATTGAAAAGTCGAAAAATCAAAAGTTGAACTATCGTAAATTGGGCACTATCTTCTGTATTTATCTTGAAATTTCTAAGAAAGACTTCAGCAAAATAATGTGAAAGTGTTTTGAATAAAAACGGTGTTTCGATGATATTTCAAATTTGTTTTTGCTGAAGCATGTTGAAGCTAATTCCAGTCAACTTGTGATTTCATTTGCAAGTACTTTAGTATCGTGCACATCTTGTTCTGGGAGTTTAGTATCATGGCAAGATGCTCGGTATATAACTCTACTGTACTATTCTTACAGAGAGTGGTTTCGAATGCTTATGAAACATTTGACATTCCAACACGGAAGTTGGAAGAAACTGCTATTTAGCTACCATCAGAAGAGTCAGGTTTATTTTAAGAGGAAGACTAAACTTTGTAAAGTAAAAAAAAAAAAAAAAAAAAACAACAACAAAAAAAAACATACCTGCATGGGTCATAAATGACACTTATTATTACACAGACTTGTCAAGATGAGAAACACAAATCTAGTATTTTCCTATGTGTGAACTTCTACTGCTAATTTTGACTCTACCTTTTTCATTCCTGAGAAGCGTAGTGAAGACTAGCCCAGAATTTTTAAATGAAATATCACAATAGCCAATTGCCTTGTGTTAAAATATGTCCAACAAATCATTAATAATTCAGTTGAAATTTCTGAGCACTTTTGATGCAGAAAAGTGTACTAAAATCTAAAGAACAAAAATAAGCCAAATGCTTGTTTTTTAATAAGCCAAATTCATAATATAGTGGTTGTCAGAAGCATATATGGAAATTATTTTTACAATGTAGGCTTAGCTTAGTTGTATTACTCATACAGAAACAAGGTGGTAACACGCAAGATAGGATTATTGACTCTTCCTGGGAACGGGAGTCCAGGAAAATCTTCCAGGAGAGATGTCACAGTTGATTTCAAATACACAGTGCAGAACCTTTCATGTAGTATGGTAACAGAGACTAAGTGTTTATTGAATTTTTTTTCTGCAGTCATATGAAATATATAAGTTACATGTTATAACAAAGTCTATATGCAAGATTTGTCTGGTTCAAAAATTTTTTAAAAAATTTAAATTATCTTTTAGAATTTTTAATGGGTACATAGTAGGTGTATATATTTTTGGGGTACATGAGATGTTTTGATACAGGCATGCAATGTGAAATAAGCATATTTTAGGATCAATATCTTTGCAAATGGTTCAATGGAGTTTTCTCAGCATACATGATTTTAAATAAGGCTACAATCAGATGTTACTGTTAAAATTGTATAGACTTTGGGGTAACCAGTCTGGTAGACTAAAATAAATTTTAGACAGTGTTTCTAAGTACAACCAGAGAAAGTATGACTATTTTGTCAATGAAATGTTATCTGTTGATTAATTTGAAAACTCTAGGCCTGGGGGATTCTGTATTCTCATTGTGGTATCCAAGAGGCATCCTGATAAGCTTGTTTTTCTGTGCATCGGTTGTGCAGCAACACTCTTAGTTATTACATCTCCACAAGAAAGAGCCACAGCTGAACCTCATCATGGTCTGTGTTTCGTGTGTCGAATCTTGCATTGGTAACATGACGTTTATTTTTTTGGTGAGGTTTTACCTGCAATGTTAACAAGGTCAATGCATGTCAAAAGCAGTTATTTTCATTTAAGATTTATTTCCCTATGGATAGTCTTAAGATGTTCAGGTTACTAATGAGGGCATTGAAGTTAAAGCTTCACTACATTATAAGGAAAAACATAACTACCGGGAGGATAGCCATGATACATATTTTAGTCATATCAACTCTTGTAGGAAGGCAGGAGACAGAAGTGTATGGGTGTATGTGTGTGTGAGAGAGAAGGTACACACAAATGCGTAGGTATTAGTGAACACAAAAGCAACGATTGATACTTCACTTTAATCTCTTTGTCTTTGTTCAAGGTAGAGAGTTGTTGGTTTTATCTTCTCCTAACCCTAACTTTATTTTGTATAGAGTTATAATTTTACTCTATTTTATTCTGCCTGCTAAGGTTTAATGGTTTAAATCAAACCTTAGCAGACAGATTAAAACAGACAAAACTTATCTGTTTATCTCACTAGAACATACAATCCCCAGGGGACAAAAAAGTCATTTTGTGGTATTTATATCTCTTAATATACCCCTTCCTAACTTCATTCTGTGTCCTTCGTAGTCTCTTTACATGAATATTATAAACACTCAAACCATAAACAGTGTAAGTAGTGCTTCTCAAATGTTCTGTGCGCATAAATTACCAGGGGATCTTAGTAATATGTGGATTTGGATTCCATAGTTCTGCAGTGGGGCCTGTTTCTAACAAGCTTGCAGGTCACATTGATGTGGCTCATTCTGTGGATCAACTTTTGAGTAGCGAACAGGCAGCCCAACCCTGGGCTCCCCACTTTTAGCCCATTTCTAGCACAAAACTGAAATCATTTCTGAAAAAAAGGTGTAGTTGTTCGGGATAAGATGTGGATTTATTAAGCTTGAGTGTCAATATGACTTAAAATTTATTACACCAGGATTTACATATTAGTATTGTTCCCTTCAAAACAATTACCGACTATTTATTCCAGTGTGAAAACTCTACTTTCGGAATTGTCTGCAAAGACTCAAAGATCAGTACTCACTGATTCATTTGCTTATATTATGATTCAACAAATATTTACTATGTGTCTAAAACGTCCTAAGTACTATACTAGATATTTAGAGACATACTGATGAATAAGGAAAAGTTGCCCGTAAGTACTCACGGAGCTCAAAGAAGGAACAAACAGTAAACAAATAATTATGTTTCAACATAATAAATAAAGACGTATGTGCCTCAAGGCTATGTTTTCTTAAACCAAATAAAGGCCATTTGAATTTAAAATTGATGTTGAGTCTGGTAATTCCGACTGAAAATAATTGTGGCTATCAAGCAATGAAACTTTTTTTTGAAAGTCTTATAACGTGGTTCACAAGTCTAACTCTAGCACACTTAGAGTTGTGCTAGAAATGGCATTTTTGGAGTACGTGTATAGTCTCAAAATAACTTCTTTGAAGAAATCTATCTGTGAGTAGCAGCAGGATTATGGCAGAATAAACTTCATTACTTCTTATTTAAGCATAGTTATTTCACAAGCTATAGATTTGATACCTATGTGTGTCTGTATACACACGTGCACACACACACACACATGAATGAATACCCTATACCAAATTTAATAATATTTAATAGTTCACTCAGTACGTTATTGGTTTATAAAAATAAAAGACTAAACTTCATGAATTCTTAACCTATACCTCATACGTTGCTTAAAGGTGGGTAACCATATATTTTATTATCCAAACTAAGACCCTTGGAGAGTGAAAGGCAGTACTATTAACAGTTACATCAGGCACAAATGGGGACTATTCTGGGGAAACCAGAATGTAAGAGCCTCTGAAAGAAAGGCCCAAAAATACTAAATAAAAACATTCTCTGGTTTGGGTTTGGAGTGCCTGCATTTAATAATTTGTTCTTTAATTTGGCAATAATTTTTCAGAATATGGATACTGCTACCATCTGACTTAAAGGAGATATTTTTAAGGAAAATCCTAAACAGTTTTGAGAAGCTGGAATATGCTTCTTAAGGATATATCTATATATATTTGGTGATTTAAACAACACATCTGGGGGGCTCATTTGATCAGTGGATTTTTGTAATAGTAATTTGCGAACTGTTTTATGAATGCTGGGCATTATTTTATAATTTACTGCTGCATTTGGCCAGACGTTCTTGAAAAGGGCTGGGTACAGCTCTTTCATTAAATCTTGAAAAAATTATATTGAAATACATTGAAAGAAAGGAAAACGGAATAACTCACTTGGGCTTAATAGATTATTTCTATGGGTATAGAAAGAAAAAAAAATGTAGAGGACATCTTCCCGAGATACTGAATACACAATAGAAAGAATCCTGTATTTTCTACTGAAGTGGATATTTAATTTTTAATTGACAAGTTGTTTTTCTTTTGGCTCTAACTGCCCTTACCTTTCACAACCTTATGTATGATACTCATTTTTCATAAAATTGAATTTCTCTACATATTTGAATTGCCTGTTTGTCTTTTTCCACTATAAAGGGACTATAACACTTTGACAGGTTATTCCTCATTTTTTGAAAAAGTAGCACCCTTATATAGTTACTCTGTTTGAAATAAATTACATTAAATAAATGGTTAACTAAAAATAACAACACACCATTAACATCAAAAAGACTATTGATTGATTTCATTTTCTACTTCTAGTTGAAATTTTTCAGTTCAATCTTTTCTGATATTATAATTTTTTAAATACTCAGATTTGGGGGTTTTGTCTTAGCCTTTTTTATCTTTCATCTGTTCTTTCGAAATACAATTTTCTTTAACAAATCCAGATGGTCAATTCCTATTGTCTTATTTACCTAAAATTGTACTTTTCTTCCAGCTGTTCTCATCTTCAAAACTCTTCACATTTGATTTTTTAACAGTGGAATTGTATGCAGTATATAACACATTTGTATTTGAAACACAAAATACAATCATATAAACTCTCTCCATAGTATGTAATTATAGTATAGATTGTTCAGAACCTGTATTTCATAGACCGTAGTTGTAAAATCAGTTGAACATTTTTTAAAAACTTGAAATGTGTGATTAAAGTCATATTTAAAAAAAAAAATTGGAAACAGAAAAAGTAACATCCTTGTTACTGCAACTATATCTGCGACCCTCAGTTTTGTAGGATTTGAATAGGAAGGTATTTGTAATCAGTAGACTACATTATTTTTTTCATGTAACTATGAGCATTATAAATCCTCTCAAGTATTAACTGTGCTTTGACTGATTCTTTGGTTTTATTTTCAATAGCAGATTTTGATTTAAATTGTTATAAGTTAATGCAGTGGATTTTCACAATTTTTCTACTGGTCTGGCCTTTGTTGAGAGTCTTACACATCATATAAGAAGGTGACAGAACGTATTTTTAAATAAGGGCCTTAAGTATTTGAACTAGAAATACATTTTTTTACATAGAAAATTTATTTTTAAATTGTTTAAATTTTACTTTAAGTTCCAGGATACATGTGCAGAATGTGCAGGTTTGTTACATAGGTATACATGTTCCATGGTGGTTTGCTGCACCTATCAACCTGTCGTCCAGGTTTTAAGTCCTGTATGCATTAACTATTTGTCCTAATGCTCTCCCTTCCCTTGCCCCCCACCTCCCAACAGGCCCTGGTGTGTGATGTTCCCCTCCTTGTGTCCATGTGTTCTTATTGTTCAACTCCCACTTATGAGGGAGAACACGCGGTGTTTGGTTTTCTGTTCCTGTGTTAATCTGCTGAGAATGATGGCTTCCAGCTTCATCCATGTCCCTGCAAAGGACATGATCTCATTTTTTATGGCTGCATAGTATTCCATGGTGTATGTGTACCACATGTTTTTAATCCAGTCTATTATTGATGGGCATTCTGCACAGCAAAATAAACTATCATCAAAGTGAACAGGCAACCTACAGAATGGGAGAACATTTTTGCAATCTACCCATCTGACAAAGGTCTAATATCCAGAATCTACAAGGAAAAATTTTAAAGTGACTATTTTCAATGCAAAGACAGAGAAACAACTCTCAGTATTTTGTTCTTGCTGAGATATGCCCAGAAACCCCTGGGAGAAAAGATACCATGTCAGACTATAAAAGTTAAACTTATTTATGTTTATTTATCATGTCAACTAAATCATCCAAAGTCAATGCTCAATATTTATATTTTATATATAATATAAATATATAAAAATATAATAAATATATATAATATTATATATAATAATATATAATCTTTATATTTATATTTTATATATCATATACATATATAATATATATACTAATATATACACATACACGTACACATATAAACACATATATATAATTTTCTCTTTATATATTAGACAAATATTATGCAAAATGAGACTGCCTCTGATTTTATTCTTTTATTTTACCTTTATTTTTCTACTTTACTCATATCTTATTCTTTTGTTCCTCATTCTCTGTTTCCTTCCTCTTTGCCTGTGGCTTACAGTTGCCAACTGCCTGAAGTGGCAACCATAAGTCTTGCTGAGCTTATTTTGGATACTTATGGCTAGCAGATTCACCAAATTCACTCTGCATTAGCCACATCTCATTCTCATTCCAGGAATTTTCTTCAATGCTTAAAATAATAGGGTGCAAATGTATTGTATTCACAAATCTTCATTCTAGCTGAGTCTTCCCCGAGACTTAGCTGATTTAACAGTGACTCTGATTTAAGTACACACATACACACACATGCACTCGCACACGCACACACACACCTTGGTCAGGAAACTGGTCTGAATCTTAAGAAACTTGAATTCCCTTTGGGTCCTCTCCATTTGCCTGTGGAAAGGGGAATAAAAGAAGAGGCGGGAGGATATCAATAGGGTGGAACACTGTTTAGACACTGTTTAAACACTATTAGTCTTTTATATCCACTATTGATGATCAAATAGAGTACAGCTGAGCTACTCCAACTCAGTTTTGATTTTGGAGACAGAAAATGCCCCAGAAGACTGAAAGGGAGAAATGGTGCCATAACTTCTTCTTGTCTCAGATGGTACCGTGGATGATTTAATTCATTCTTAATTTTTAACGGGCATGTCAATCACCTGAGGACTTATTAAAATGCGGATTTGGCTACAGTAGGTCTGGAGTGGTACCTGAGCATCTGCATTTCTAACAAGCTCCCAGAAGGTGTGGACACTGTGGAGCAGCTGAACTAACCCCATTTCCCCACAAATTTATTTTAAGTCTCCCCACCTCACCACATGTGTCTTTAGTTTACCCTGCAGCCAATGGCAATGTGCTAGTGTTTAGAGATCCAAGGATGACAACACATCATCATGGCCATCAGGTGCTTAAACCATGAGGCTTTGCGTGTATACCAAAGTAATTCCAGCTAAATTCTGTCTGTCGATCTGGAATGACGGCCTTTTGTTGTTTTGTATTTTGTTGTTGTTGTTGTTGTTTTTCCTGCATGTCTCCTCAAATGGAGAAGGAACCACACAGGGAAAAACAAACAAACAAAAAAACATCAATTCAGTGGCATTGTAGCCTGAATATTTAGCATATGCTTGTTCCGTAATGACGATCTATTCTCTCCATTTTTAAAGAGTGCTTTCTGGGTTCTATTGCTCTCCTTCCTGGCCCAGTTAGATGCCAACATGCTCTCTAAACAAGGATATATGACTTGAAAATTATTCACAATTAACCTAACAAGAATATTTAAAGGAAAAAAAAAAGTTGTCATGGTGATCACATGCATCAACTGATATTATTAATTAACAGCCTTCTGCAAGGAAACAGAGACTTGGCTTTGGGGTTATGGATACAGTGCACCAGTAGCTGTATCTGAGCAAATGATAAAGTGCCTGTGATCGTTAATTTTCTGTGTCAATTTGGCTAGACTGTGGTGCCTAGTTGTTTACTCAGACATTAGTTCAGATGTTTCTGTGAAGGTGTTATGTAGATGTGATTAACATTTGCAATCAGTTGACTCAGTAAAGAAAATGACCCTTGATAATGTGGCTGGGTCTCATCTAATCATTTGAAGGTTTCAGAACAAAACTGAGAAATCCTGGAGAAACAGTTTTGCTTTCCAGACAATACCAGAAATCTTGCCTGACTTTCCAGCCTGCTGAGCTGCCCTATTGATTTCAGACTCAAGGCTGCAACATCAAAGCTGATCTTAGTTTCTAGCCTGCCAACCTACGCTACAGATTTTTGACTTTTCATCCCCTACAATGGTGCAAGCCATTTCTTTAGAAATAAATCTCTTTATATATACAGATACACACACAGAGAGACACACATGCAAACATATACTGTATACATATTAGTTCTGTTTCTCTAGAGAAGCCTGATTGACACGTTGCTCATCCCTCTTTAACCTCTTAGACTTTTTCTCTCTCCATTCTAATGTGTGAATTGCTTTCCTTAAAATAAGTTGATTGATATAATAACACTGTTTGCTAAGAAATATATGTTGGCATTGTTCTGCAAGTATGTTATATTCTGCATGGTTGATTACTGATAGCAAAAAACCCACAGAAGTCTAAGTCCTCCGGGTATATTCAGTAATTTTGAGGAAAAGATGCATGCATAAGAAAAGGTAAAATAATGCAAGGGATTAAATAATCAAGTGTTAAAGTGTATAACCAAGTGTATAGTATTGACTATAAGTGCTGTACCTGTTTAATTAGGGAAAGAGAAATTTAGTGGTATAATAGGTAGAAAGATTGACTTGAGCCATAAAAGGAATGGAGATTGTAGGGATTAGGGCATTTAAAGCTTAGGTAATGGTGTGAGTCAACAAACAGAAGCAAAAAGGAGATGATACTGATATAAAGAAAATCCACACTTATCAGATAAACACGCCCTTTCTTTCTTCAGGCAATATACACCCAGATCTCAAGTGTCTGTTACCTGTACAGAGATACTCCTCCATGACTTTGCAGAAAAGAATATTTCATGACAGTTTAGTCTTCCAAGAGAGAGTGTGATTTTAACATTTCACGTGAAGGTCAAGATTCGGCAGTTTTTTACATGGTAACCCAGCACAGAGTGATGTGATGGAAATTAACACCTTAAAATATATGCGTGTGTGTGTGTGTGTGCGTGTGTGTGTGCACATATATATATATATATTCTATATATATATATATATATATATATAACACAGCCCCAATTGGACTTTTTAAAACCTCTGCTTCCTGCGTCTTATGACTAAGAGTGGGTAATTAAGCCAAGATCACTTTTTCCACTCCACCCATACTTAGTAAAAACCTGTTGTAATTTTTCCTTGATTTATTTGCTCTTTTGTATTTTTCTTTTGCAATTTGCTAAAACTAATGATTTCAAATGAAAGACCTTCATATCAGTAGGTGACCCAATGATTTACTGATCCTTTTAACACTGTGAAAAGAGAAGTCCATTACATGCTGGGGGGTGAAAAAGAGAGGGAAGGGGAACTCCTAACAGTGGTGTTCTATATTTATAGCTTTGGGCTTTGGCTCCATAAGAGGCTATGGAGGTGTCGGGGGGATGAGGGGAAGGAGGTAAATGATACTCATTTGTAAGTATCAGCAATATTAACCAAGAAAAACAAAAAAATTGATTTGTGGAATCCATTAAGATATAATTATGAATAATAACCTGAGAGTTGGCAGGGTGGGACTTTAAAAGGTATATGAGTTTTAAAATGCATTATATTTTGCGATTTCAAAAGCATGTGTTCCAAATGGTAAATGTATGCCCAGATCTGGTCCATGAAATAAAACATTCAAACTAGAAACCTTATTTACTTTGGCTTAGTCTTGGTCTTTCCCTTTTATCTAGAAATGAGTCAATCAATTAGCATTTTCAGGGAGTCTACTATGGGCCCAAGAGGGTGATGAAGAATATGGAAGAAGCAAGGATTATATACATGTTAAAACAAACAAAAAACTTTGGGACTTAGTCCAATTGACTGAGTCCCAATTCAGTCAATGCTTCTCTTTCCAATTGCTTCCCCAAATATCTCCTAACTCCAAAATGACTTCTTACCTTGGGTTGCCAGATTCAGCAAACACAAATACAGGACACCTGTATTTATCTGGCAACTAAACCATCCGTGTATTTTTTTGTGATCAACACTTTCCATAGCCTTCTGCTTTAGAAAAGACTGCCATAAAAATATGAGAAAATACCCTGATACCTTTTAAGAGTAAAGATAATGTCTGCTTGTTATTATAAACACGATACAGACTCAGAGCTAAAGCAGGAGCTTATTCAATACTTTTAATGGTACAGGTCAAAAGCATGGAGAACACTTGCTCTCTTACCCTCCATTTTATTCTTCCCTTTGGCCTTGTTTCTTTATATTAACAGAGATCTTTGCTTTAATACTAATGAGAATAAAGAGAGATTGTAGGCACAGTCCTGGCATAGCCTTTTGGGGAGCAGTGAAGCTTCTCCAAACCAAATCCATTCCCTGGCACATACCACCATGTTGCCTACACAGAAGTCAGCATTTTGGAAGATTAATTGTTATCCAATAGTAAAGGAAGTGCCAGGGTCTTTTCCCCTGTGTCTAATTTTTCATGGCAAATAACCCTCAGCTCAACTCACTGGCACTCAGGCCCATGTATGGTTACAAACCCAGACTATGGCAAAGGCAACTGCTATTTTTTTTTTTTTTTTTTTTTTTTTTTACAGAAAATCCCAGAGCACTTATAATATTGGTATTTTAGAGCAATGAGTTAGTGTTCATCCAAATTTTCAGATTTTTGTACTTCTGTAAATGAAAATCATATTTTTAGGAATCAAAATACAATTTCTATTATCTCACAACTTTCATCTCTTTCTCTCCTGCACCTTTGTGTGTTTGTGTGTGCCCGTGTGTCCTCCATTTCTACTTCTGAAAGTACTGGCCAGCTAGGACCTGCTTAGAGGATGAAAATATTCACTTGGGTATCACTACCACAGCTGTGGGAAACCCCTGCAGCCAACCCAATATCAAAGCCAGGGCAGTCTAGAGTTTCACTGAGGTTTGCAAAGCTTTCAGTGCATGCCGACCAAGCTATGATTTCAGATGGAAACCATGTAATGTGTGGTCATTTGTACCCCCAAACCATGTAAAGCCTGGCAACCTGGTTGATGTTTTGCTTTCCGTTGGATTTGGAGAGGTTCATAGAGAATGAACTGCAAGTGCGGTGGTGATGGGGAACCTCAGGTAAGTTGCAATCCCCATTTGGGGCTTACCAAGCCTTTCTAGTCAAAATAATTTTTGTTATCTGCTTTCTAATAGCATGGCCATCTGTCTTTTAGATTTTTCACCATAGGAGAGATCATCGTCTCCCGGAATTTTTCACTTTTTGTCTCTTGAATAGCACAGAATTGGCTTTGAGGAATGGCAACTTCCAAGAGACTCTCATGCTGACTTAGCAATACCAAAGTTTTTTTTTGCATGATGTTTCTAGCTACATTGAAAATGTGGAGGAAAAAGAACTGGCTAAAGCTATGCCAGAGAAAACAAAACAAAACAAAACAAGAAACAGAAACAAAAAAGCCAGTGTTCCTTTTCTGAGAATTATATAGACCACCTCTATCATCACTCAATAATCAGAGTTGATTCAACATTCTTGAGCAGTGAGAATAAGGCAATTGTCTTAAGTACTAATGAGCATTTGAATCTAAAGACTTCATCTAGAAATGAGTTTAGGGAATTTTCTCAGTTGCTTAATGGCCAGTCAATTCTATGCAACACCCATTAAGTGATGTCAAGGCTCCAAAGAAAAGACTTAATATCAAGCTCATAAATGCCTTTTGGGTTTCTAGGTCAGATGAAGAGTTGAAAGCACGTGCACCAATCAGAGCCCCTCCTTTCTTCATGATGTCTGAGTGTGAAGGTTGTGAACAGGCCACTGTAAATTTGTGTACCATTTCTTTGTCTTAGTTAGAAATTTCTTTCCATGAAGACTGGGTTGACATCCTTTTATACTCTACTTAAAAAAAAAACAAAAGGAAATTTCCTAAATATGTAGCTTATTGCTCTGAAAAATAACATTTAAGTATTTGCAAAATTACCTGGGGTGTAATGTCATGGAGGTAGGGGATCTTGATTCCAAATGTCCCAAATCACAGGGTTGAAAATCTTTATTATAGACTACTTAGGTTAATTTGGAGCATTGTCCCAGATTATTTTCTATGTCAGAGGTTTGAGAAATACAAAGACTAAGGGGACTGTTATTGTAAGAGGCGGTTGTTTGTGATGGCATCCCAGGCCTGGGTGTGGTTAGAAAATCTTTATTATAGACTACTTAGGTTAATTTGGGGCGTTGTCCCAGATTATTTTCTATGTCAGAGGTTTGAGAAATACAAAGACTAAGGGGACTGTTATTGTAAGAGGTGGTGGTTTGTGATGGGATCCCAGGCCTGGGTGTGGTTTTTCAAGTAGTACCTCCAGACAGCAGCAAGGTGCCAGGCTGGAACTAACATGAGGACTGGCAAGGTAGTATAAACAAAGTAGAATACTTCACTGTTTATGTTTTCAATGCCTCTTGGCTGCTTTCCTTCTCGCCGTCCCTTCCTTCATAATACACCAGATTCCTGATTGACTCACCAGGAAGACCCTTTAACTTTTCCTGATAGGGACAAAAACCTTACTAGTGAACAGGAAAATAAATACATTACTAGAGAAAGAGCAAATGCCTCTTGTGTGGCTGCAATGTTATGGCCTCTTCCCTAGGTAATTTACATATATAAGTTCATGCAATTTTCCAAAAACATGAGAGGCAGGCATTCAGAAAAGTTAATTAACTGGCTCAAATCAAGATCACCTCGTGGCTGGTGGCATTAGGTTTCAAATTCGACTGTGTTTACTAAAATAATTTACCCCTTTACAAAATAATACCAAACTGTATCAAAATGGTGTTTCACAAATTCTCATTTAAAGAGATTTAACACAAATTTTTGGTGACCCCTAATTCATTGCCTCATTATCCTACCTTTTTCTAAAAGAAATAATTTTGAAGTTGCCAGAAAGGCAAGAAGCAAAGGACTTTCATGAAGTTTTTAAGTCCTGAAAATAAACTCCTATTGGGTGTTGGGGGAGCAGGGATAGGAATAGATAAAAGTTCTAAAGCTCATATTAGTGATAAGCCCTAACTGAGGATGAAGATGAAGGTGATAAAGACCAATTTTGGGATGATCACTATATGTCAGCCATCATCCTATGTTCTCTACATACCTTGACTCACTTAATTTTCACAACAACCCCATGAGGTATCTATTCTTAATTAATCAGTTAAGAGAAGTCAATTCATTTGTCCATGGGAACGTGTGCATATGTGTCTATCTGAAACCACATTTTCACCCTTCGCCACTAAGTGCTGAATTGTGCTCTTTACATGTGAGTAATAATATAGTGTTGCTTAATTTAGCAATGGCTTGTGATTTCAGAGACATCCCTATGAACACTTGATCGTTTCTGGGTAGTGTGACACTACCATCAAAATCAGCAGAGACTATCATGTACTTGGCCTTAATGGATGCCAGGCCTTAACTCAGAAAATAGTTGTGGAAGGAAAATCTGTGAAATTAATTATTCTGGCTTAAACTTTGGCCTGTCCTTTTATTAAATAACATATAATAAATATAATAATAAATATATAGGTAGTGAGTGCAGGCTGGGCATATGTTTAATTTGTTTTGCTTTTTAATTTTTTTTTTTTTTTTGGACAGAGTTTCGCTCTTGTCACCCAGGCTGGAGTGCAATGGTGTGATCTTGGCTCACTGCAGCCTCCGGCTCCCAGGTTCAAGCGATTCTCCTGCCTCAGCCTCCCAAGTAGCCAGGATTACAGGTGCCCACCACCACACCTGGCTAATTTTTGTATTTTTAGTAGAGACAGGGTTTCACCATGTTTGCCATGCTGGTCTTGAACTCCTGACCTCAGGTGATCACCCATCTTGGCCTCCCAGAGCGCTGAGATTACAGGAGTGAGCCACCATGCCTGGCCTGCTTTTTATTTTTTATATGCTGATGTCTCCATTTACTTGTGAGACAGAAAGGAAAACACTGGAGAAAAAGTGGTCATATACAACTGGGGACACAGGAATGAGTCAATAAAATGGTGGGCAAAATGCTTATGACAGAATTTTTATACTTCTTTTTATGGAGGAATTAAGAGAACAAAAGCCAATAAATTCAAAGTATAGAATTTCTAACTAAGAAGTGGAAGGCAGAAAAGAATGGAATTTAAGCATCCTCTACGTTACATCTACTTTAAATATAAGCTTTGTCATCTTGTCAATACCTTTACCAGGCTGATATTGTTAACTCATTTTATAGTCACAGACATTGAGGATCAAGTTTACGTAAGTTGTCTAATGTTGCGTTGCTAGTAAGCGAGAGATATTTCAGATTCAAAAGCTTGATCTTCCCGGTTGTAAAACCCGTGATCAGTTTAGCACTCCAGTTATGTTTAGCACTCCCATTCAGCAAACATTTTAAAGCATGTCTTACATGTAAAGCATATCTTTACATGTGTGTAAAGTGCTGCTCTTTGGAGGAAATTGCCTATCATCAGAAAAAAAAAAATTTAAAGTGAGATTGTCATTCTGTTTGGAAGATTTGAGTACTCATTTGTTGAGTTTGGGGGGTGTAAAAAATGGCTTCTGGAGAGAACTTTTAGATCTCTCCATGGTTTTGATTCTGATTAGGAATCTAGTGCTGAGACTTGACATCGTAGTGGCTTAAACAACAGAAGCTTCTTTTTCCTTCTAAAACAAAAGCAGTCTAGCAGTAGGTAGACTAGAGATCACATTGTATGAGAGAAGCAACAGAAGCATGGCTTCTCCCATTTGATCTTTCTGCTCTTTCATCTTTATAGAGTGAGGCTTCCATCCTTATGCTCATTTCACACCTCACACTCCAAGGGGATTGTAGGAGTTCTAGCCATTGGGTCATCCCTCTAGGCAGGAAATAGAAGAAAGTTTGAGAAGGTGACTATCTTTCCCTCTTTTAGGAGTCTTTCTCAAAAATCCCACATACAAATTTCAAATTACATCTTACCAGCCACTCTTAGCAATAAGAAAGTTTGCAAATAAAGTCTTCTGGCTGGGCACATTGCCACGTGGATTAAATTTGGGGTTCTATTACTTAGAAAGAATGGGATAATGGATATTGGATAAGCTACTTGAAGTATTAACCACAATTAGCTAATCAGGTACTCACTCCCAGTGGCAGGACTTCCAATATAAATTCATTAAAATAACATCCTCATTGCTGTGTGTGGTCTGGGATCATTAACAAATAATTGGATCAGCTGCCCACTCAAGGGAGAAGCCATGGAAGGTAAGGAGAGTGTGTGCTTGAGAGTCATGCAGTCTGAGGACGGTCGCCATGGATGGGGAAAAGAAGGAATGAGTCACAAGTCTTAACAGAGCTTAGTCACTGCCCTTGTGGATCTGTATAAACCACGTACAAGCCAACCAGGAGAGAGACAGCTACGTGAAGCTACATTCTTTGCTGGCTTCAAATCCGAGACAGGAGTCCCCACCCAGGCATCGTTCTAGTGCTTGTATAAATTAATGGGATTTAAAAATATTTATCTTCTTATGAGCAAACACCTACGTGATACTAGGACTAGAAGAAACCCAGGGCGATTTTCTAGTGGAAGCAAAAGCTACATCTATCAGCGCCCAGGTAGCTTTTCAAAGTAGGTGTTCGGTCAATCACCTCCGGTGTTTGGACTTAGTAAAACGATTTAAGAGTTTTATCCACCTACCCTTGAGTTAGTTTTAACAACCCCAGAGATTTTTCTGTCTTTCTCTTCCCCGACTCCTACTTCCTTCCAGGGTTTGTGACAGTCTAGCTAGAGGCAGAGGCGTGGCTTGGATTTTCATCCCGCTGCCTCCCTTCCAATCAGCCATGTCATGGTGGAATTTTTATTGGTCATAAATTTTTTTACTGGCTAGATTAATGTGATTGAAAGCATCACACCCAGTAAATAGCGTCTGCTATTTGCTTTAGCAATACCTATGGAAAAGGGCAACTTGGGACCCCGGCACCGTGGAGCTGGTGAAACCATTGGCTGTGCACAGCGCGTTGGGGGCCCCTTTGACTGATGACCAGAAGTTGCTCTTAGAGGGAGGTCCGCCCAGCAAGAGGCTCCATTGGTGCATGCCACTGCCATGTGTAGCCATGATTCACTTCACTGACTATCAAAGCTTTCTACAACTTTGCTTGCTGACTTTTGACCAGAGGTTCCCTTTCAACACGAGGAAAATCTGCCTAGAGAGAGAGAGAGAAAGAAAGAACATTACGGGGAAATAAATGGCAGCCCTGTTTCTGGCGGTCTCGGTTTTATGGCCCGAGGAGCCTCGCTTGGAGGCTGCCCTGGGGTGCTGCCCAGTGAATGTGTATTGTGGCATTTTATGAAGCATGGTTTATATCAGCATGGATTATTATAACAACAACAAGGGGGATATTTAATAAAACCTTGTTTGATGGCAAAGGCTGCCATACAAAACACTTCTCCTAGGCCAGAGAAATGAGTGGAGTGTTTATAGAAGCACTACCCTCAGAAATCTACGTTCACAGAAAACCGTTTTCTGAGACAGGTTTTGAAAGAAGGTGTGGATTCTGCAAGCCTTTGGTCTCCATCTGTTTTCTCCCCTCTGACCCTTGGTTGTTTGACTACATGGTCATGACCCTACGTTGAGTGGGGTAGATGGTCTGTGAAGATGTTCATGCAGCTTCATCTTCATGCCTCCCAGCAGTGCCTAAAGCTCTCCTGCTCCTTCCTTCCTGGAAGAAATGCCAGAATCTCACTTCTTAAAAAAAAAAAAAAAAAAAAAAAAAAACATAAAAGAGAAACACAAACAGAGAATGAGCCAGATTGCTGAGGGGGATCAAGGAATGAAATACAGACTCAAAAGCTGCATAGACTCAGAAACCCCAAAACTTTCCCAAAACCCAACCTGGAACATTTATCTTCCTGACTTTCTTTAGTCTCAGGCCAGTTTTTAACCATTAGACGACTTACAATTATAATGTTGACAATGCTTAGGTTAGAGGTGGCTGCAGGGAATTCTCTTTCTAAATTCAGTTGCTTGGGTAGGTGGTGTTGGCAAGACTGTCTTGTCTTTTGGTGCCAACTCCGAAGTACCAGAATGCCATTCCTGAGCTGGAGTTCTACGAATCATGGTCTGGAGATGAAAACTGGGAAGACAAAGGGAGCCTGAAGAGGGGATGATGTGGAAAGACTAAAAGAGTGGTGAAGAGAGGAGAGAAAAGAGAGGAGTCATGAAAGATATAAGAACAAGGAACAGACAGTTGTTTGCAAAATAGAATGAGGGGCAGAAGGAAATGACAGGGAAATAAGGAGCAAGTCTCTGGAAAATATATCTAAAAACAAAATACATCTTTTATTTGAAATTATGAAGTTGATTTCATAAAGCTTTCTAATAGTTTTGAAATATCTGGCTTGTGTTTACTCCTAGTTCCCTCTTCTTCCATTGTCATGAACCAAATCCTACCTAGCCCAGAGACTTCGTGAGCTCTCAGCTTGTGTTTGTCAACAGGAAGCGCTATACAACAGCAATGGGCATTTCTGGTGTATTGATAGAGGGGAAAAGGCCTTGGTGAATCACAGAAATAGCCTTTTACATGAAACACCATCCAGATCACTACCAGCCAGTGGCTGTAATCTCAGCTGAATGTGCAGTGTTTATTTTTCCAAGAATGGGGCCTTCTATGACTCATGGTACTCAGATGCTACTTACTAATGGGCCCTTGTACAAGTCAAGAATGTGACACATGGCGAGACACGCAGCTTAACAATCACAAACAACAGCACAGTTAATGGGGGGTGAAGCTTCAGTGACATGTGTCACACCAAAGAGCCGACTCGTCTTGTTCCCTGAGGCCACAGATGAAGGGTCTCTGGATTGTGTAATAATGATAAAATATTGCCATCTGTTGGCATCCTGTGTAAGCAGGCTCTGACATACATAACATTGATGTTTTTCCAGACTGCCTCTCACATTTCTCCAGGGAGAGGATGTGTGAAAAGCATGGGGGAAAAGAGCAGAACATGCAGCCTGACCTTATAGGAAGAGAAAAATAACAACATTCTGAAAGTTCAAACTGGGAAGACAACAGACTACATTGCGTTGGTCCAACTCTTTACCTCTAGTCATGGGAGTAGCTAAACCAACCACAGGTTGCTGACACTCAACTAATCAGATTATAAGAGTTTGCTTCAGGTATGCTGTCAAATGTTCTTGAGGGTATGTATTCCTCCTCACGATGGATTCAGAGAGGTTTTGATCCAGGAGGACCATTATTTATTGTCTGAGTTAAAGGCAGGGATGTTGGGCTATAAAAATCACACATGGTATGCACAAAGCGGCAAACTGCAATGATCTAAAATATCCCCTACTGTACTTATTCATTCTATCTAATAAACATCCAGAATTCCAGATAAATGTGACAAAATTGCTTTTAGTTTTTTCCTTTGGCTAAACTTGTAAAATAGAGATTGAAAGGAAACTGAAAACCAGTGTGATAAGCATGTGATTCTTCAGAAGCCTGAGGAGGCAATTACCACACCTGACAACACAGAACTTGGGTTAGGATACCTATTCAGGGACCGCATAATGCAGTGGATTAAAATTGAAATCGCTACATAATATTGGGACCCTTGGAGGGCAGCAACCTCAGAAGAAGGTGGTGGTAGGGGAACAATTTACAACACAAAGAATCTTGTATATATTTGCCAGACCTCTGGCTGAAAAAAAAAATCTTCTGATGGAACCACCATCAGAAATGTAAAGGATTTTACAAATTCAAAGTTAACATTAATACTATTTTCATATTTCAAGAACTCCAAATCCAGAAAATTTACAGTAAAACTATCAGGGCCAGTGGCCACTGGGATGATATCACTGTGGTGTGTCCCAGAAGTGAGCCCCAAATTGTTCTAGAACAATTTTCCTACAAAGCAACCCCACACGGAAGTCTCAGTATAAAGAGAAAGAAAAAAAGACAGGAAGAAAAAAAAAGAGGGTTTTGATTTGCATGACAAGTTAATGGGTGCAGCAAACCAACATGGCACGTGTATACATATGTAACAAACCTGCATGTTGTGCACATGTACCCTAGAACTTAAAGTATAATAAAAAAAAAAACAGAGGAAGGGAAAAATCTAAGTCCCACTAAAGAACTCTAATATATGATGAAACACATTGGGAAAAAAAAAAGTCCTCCATAAGCCATGTTAAAAAAAAAAAAGCCTCAGAATTTTCCAGAATTGGATGTGTTCCTCAGATTCAAAAACCACAACTTCAAAAATGTAACTGAAAACTAATACACATTCAGACACATTGTAGTGAATGCAAAACATAAAAGACAAATATAAGTTTTCAAAGCAAAGGGAATGAAAGAAAACTATGTCGGCATGAACTATCAAAAGCCACACAACCCAAGGGCAGATGTCAAAAGTACAGATTCATTTAATCTCTCCAGATTTCAGCTGCCTCTTACAGAAACACATTACATTGCTTTCCAGTTGTTCACAAGAAATGTAAAACTTTAATAATATATACATATATATAATACATAAAATCTTAATAATAACTTGACTCCCTAAATTCCATTTATTTTTTCATGTTTAGTCACTGTGCTGCAATAGTTCTCACCATTTTAAATCTCATTCCCTACAAAAAGATAAGTAGGAATATGTAAATCCCCACTTGAGTAACAATGAAGCAGTTTATACCAAAAGTAGTGCCAACAACGTATAAATAATGATTCATGGCCATAAAGTATGATTTTTGTAATAAGACGTAAAAGTAGAAATAATTTTTCTTTGTTTTCCCTGGAAATCCTATTGTTGGGCAGATTATGTTAACCTAGCAGTTCACTTCCTAGAAAAACCAGCCTATTTCACACCAGGCTTCCTTCCTTTCCCCTGTTGATCTATGGAGGATCTGAAAACCAGAAAGGTAAAGGTGAATCATCAATGACCAATGGAAATAATTTTTTTAAATGTCCTTTTAGAATTAGCACATATTGACGTCATTACACAAGGCCAAAACTTACATGCACTAGGTGACTTATCCTTGTATATGTGGTTCATTATCCTATAGAAAATTTTTACTCCTAAAGATGTACATACATTCATCTGGGACCTATAGACAAAAAGATATATTTTATCCATAACTGTATTTTTTTTCTCTCATAAAACTGTACCACTGTGCTTGGCTTCCCTTCCATGTTGAAGAACTATCTCAATCATTCTCTCTTCTTTTATACTCAGTGCAATTATACAGCCTACATTGGGGGTGGGGGTGGGATATCATTGTAAATGCATTAGATTCTGGTGAAAAGACAGCCTCAGAGAAGCTACAGTGTTCCTAATCTAGCCAGTTAATTTGGTGTTGAGCTTGATCCAGGTTCTAACTTGATTTTTTTTCCTTTAGAGCTTTCCCTTTCCGTCAAATAATCATCCCAGTCTTCCTTTTTCTCTTCTGAAATAACAGAGTAGAATGCGGACTTTACAAACTTAGTGTATCCAAGATTATTTAATTTGGGTGGTTTGAGCATGTCACTAATAAAATATAATTTTAAGTTTGATTCCTGCATGGGTCGGTTCAATGTGCTCTGCCTCACTGCTATAGATTGTATCCCCAAAACATCCAGTTAAAAAATCATGATAACATCAAAGAAAATGGGGCATTTGGATTAGGTATCGAATCTGAGATATCTTTACATAGCTGACTCTTCTCAACTGTCTAATCTGGACCATTTAATATTATGAAAACATATCTCATTCTTTATGGCCACAGTTCTCTGTCTCCATGAAACAAACAAACAAAAAGTTTAGATGGCACGGTTGTGCTGAATTAAAACTAAAATTTCTCACGTGAGTTTTCCTACACAGCAACTGCTTTGTAATGGCTGAACACACATCTTTCAGTAAAATCAGGAACATACTGGAAATTACAAGCTGTAAATATCATTTGGCCATTTTGCCCTGTGTTGCAATCAAGAGTTGTTTGGCTGCATGGTTTTAATTCTGAAATGTATTTAGATTTTAGTTTAATGAATGGTTGTGTTTTCAGAATAGCATCTCCACAACCCATCGTGCCTCAAATGTATATCAATTCATCAGTGGCACACCTAGGATCTTTAACATTTAGTGGATTAAAGAAAATGGCAAGTGTTACACTGTGCCAATATGTTATAATCAGGGCCCATGCCCGCTATCACCTCCCTAAATGGAGGCAGCACTCAAAATGTTTGTTCTGCTACAATTAATCATATGCTTTTCAAATGTCAACATAATTTTCATGGTCTGGTAAAAAGTAGTGTTCATAATAGAGAAAAATAATAGAGTTACCATTAAAAATTGATCTGTCACTGTTCATTTTAAAATCATTGGTTCTGCCTGAACAAACGGTATGGAATTTTAAAAGTTTCCATCCAGTGTATCCCCACATGCCTGCTTGGAAAGATTACCTGGCTTTCTGCATTCAGACCAAGTGTTGCTATTATGCAGTGCTATACTTGAATGAAAACATGATGAAGGAAATATAATAATTTGATTCTTTCTCAAAGTCAGATCTCATTGTCTGAGTATCTTACACATAGTAGGCTCTCTGACAAGGTCTGCCATTTGTTGATATTTAAAGTGTCAGCAACTCTCAATGAAAAATGACAGAAAGTTCCTAAGCTTTCCAGAAATAAGAATCCTGATACAGGGACAATTGCTCTTCTATTCCAGAATACTTTATAAGAGTGGGATGGGAACTCACCACATGTTCAGGTGCCCTTATTGTAAGCTTTGAGTCAGTTATTTGTTTTATTAAAATAAATACTTAGAAAATTTCTCAAAAAAAAAAAAAAAAGAACCCTTTCTTTCTTGGTTAAAATGTAAATAATCCAAAGGCTAAGCTAGTATTTGTCATAGTAACTTTAAGTCATAAATATCGCATGGACTTTGAGATTCATTTAACAAGAAACCAATAATTTGTGATTATTATGATCACATTTCTTTTATGACTTTTGCAGTTCTACATTGTTAACTAATTAAAGTTAGTATTTACATGAACCCCAAAAGATAGGTCTATACAATCTATTTTACTTTTTACTGAAGACATTGTTACAGTATTCAATAGTAGGAAAAATATTTTTTCCAAAATATGAAAATTATAAAATCAAAGTTAATAATTTCAAAAGCTAACTTATCTAAATCTATCATGTATCATAACATTGCAGAAAGTTGCTCATTTTATTTTGTTTTGTACTATATAGACTGTTATCTCAAAAGTCTGAATGCCTAAAACTTAAGCAAATCTTCAAACCACCCTGAGCAAAATCACCTGGAAGAGTTAGAAACACAGATTCCTGAGCCCCACTCCACACTGAAAGATTTAGCTCCTCCAGGGATGAGCCAGAAATCTGTGTTTTAAAATCCCTCCAAAACGATTCTGATGATAAGCCCTGTGTAAGTTATATCATATGGATCATATGAATTTTTTTTGCCAAAATCCCTAACACAGAAGATTTTGGGATATGAATTATACTTGTATCCCAAATACTTATAGCTGTCTATCCAGTGGGGCTGATCAGTATTATTTATTTAAGTTAAAAATTCATGTGCTTCTCTGACCCAGCAATACTACTTATGAGAATTTATCTTATATGTTTACCCAAATATATGTGTATTTTAATTACAAATAACCAGAACCCACCCAAAGATGCATCTATTGGGAACAGGCTGAATAAAAGATTGTACCACACATTCTCCGGGGCTATAAGAAGGAATAAAGAAACAGGATGTACATTCTGCTGTATATATCCAGGATATATTGTTAGATGGAAACAGAAGCATGCAGTGTGCAATGTATGTTACCATTTGTATAAGGGAGCCAGGAAATAAAAGCGTATCTTTGTATTACCTTCTCCTTGTCTAAAAAGAAGTATAAGGATACACTAGAAACTAATAAATGTGGCTTCCTATAGGGTGAGAATGTTGAAGATTTTAGAAAGGTGGCTAGGGCATGAGTGAGACATTTTGTGTATATATTATTATTTTTAAGTCACAAAATGTGTCTACATCATAATTTTTTAAATATATAAAAATGCAAAATAAAGTCATTTTCTTGTTTTAGCTTGTTCTTATAAATTACATGCTTTCTAATCTTGAGGTAATGAGAATGTATAGGCGTAATTTGTTCTTGATAATGCATCCATACAATAAAATAAAATAATGCTAAGAGATCCTTCAAGAAGGACATAAAATAAGCCCAATAAGTTAGGAGAAGACGTCAAGCCAGGCAGTGTAACAGCCTGCCATCAGTCTTGGTATAAAAGCTAAGTGCTTTCTAAATGTCCTGGGATGACTTATTTTATTCACCAGGGTATATTCTTTGATGCTTCCTTCCCAAAACCTCTTCATCTTAAATCCAATAGTCTGAGGGAGAATATGGCAGCCTCAGAACAATTAAGGCATCTTTCTAATGCAAATCTGTCTGAAACTCCAGATTCTGGGGGAATTCTGGAGATGGGTGGATAACAGTTACCAGCTTTGACACACAGCCAGAACACCTGGGAAGGCACACCCAGATCATCTTTCATTAGTTTCCTTTTATTTGAGGCATATCTTAAGGGTACATGTCCATGCATACATACACTTGTGTGTCTGTGTGTGTAGGTAATAGTGCTATGAAAATCTGGTTAATATCTGGGGTTACAGTTATTCTTCCATGGAGTTTTGATACAAGTGAGATAGTCTAGACTCTCATACTAAGATATTTCTTAAATATGACTTCACTCTTACCTAACAAGCCAAAAGAATATTTCTGAGTGTTAGGCATATGGGGATTTCCAGTTACCCACTGGACCTTCATGAACAACACCATGCTGAATCTTGTAGAAGGGGAAAGCAAGTATCCTAAGGCTTCCACCTATGCTAATTTCCCCCAAAATACCACCTGCACCTCCAGTAATCATGGCTCTCTTGCCGTAGGGTTTGGATTCTTTTCCCAAAATAAAAGACACCCAACCCTTCATAGAATTTTTAGTCATTTCATTCCTAAAGAGATGATTCATCAGTACAAAATTAGGCAAACATATAGCAAAAAATACTGTTGCAAATACACAAATGCTCATATGTGTCATTTTGAGAACCATACTGTTCATGAACCACTTTTGAATGGCATTGTTACATGCCCTTCTCGTTGTCTGCAGAGCTTGTAGCAGCTGCCAACTTCATAATTCTGGGTTCCTGGAGGAGTAGCTGAAATCTAGAAGTAGGGTTATGGGTGACTGTGTGGTACTCTCACCTGGCACCGGAAGCGAATTTCAATTGATGTGATAAAGGTCATGAATTTGCACAGCAGTCATCTCAACTGAAAATCCAATGCAATGATTTGTGCTGACTGGCCTCTGGAAGATCTAACATAGAGTCTCATTAAAGTTCTGTTTACTCAGCTTTAAAGTCCTTTCTTACCTAAGTCCATGGGGTTTCAATGTTCATATCATGGCAACACACAGGAAAGCAATTTATATCTAATCATTTTATCCATGCATAATATATATTATGCCATATGATATTAATCATTTTAACAACAATAACAACAACAGTAACAAAAACAATCAACCTCAAAGGATGTCATCCTGGAAAAAGCCTTTAGTGCATTTAGTCCAAATTTATTTTTTCTTAGAAAAGGAAATTGCCATCCAAGAGATTGTGAAACTTGCTGGATTCACTCATCTGGTTAATGACCGAGAAGTGGTGTCTAGATCACAGGCCTCCTAATTCTAAGTTTAGAGGTATTTCTTCCATCTCATGTCACCTTTTCATCACCTTTGAGAAACATGCTAATTCCAGGGATTTTTAAAAGTATATATGTATTTGCACGGAAACTTTAAAAAATTTCGTTTAATCTCTCAGTGATCTTGTTTTATTTTTATAAATTGTATGTTTCATGAGTTTTCTTACAATATGCACTCATTTATTAGCACTTACAAAAATACCTTTGAAAATATGTTGGCATTACACCACTCTGTAGCTGTCTGGAAATTTCTTGAAAACAGAAAATACAAATTAGGAAGGAAAATGTGAAAGTATAATTGTTCTGGACTCCTAAGCCAAGATTAAGGGCTGTTTTGTTTTGTTTTTGTTTTATGCTATCCCTACTGGTGCCTTCTGTTTCTTCTTACTGGCTCTTGATACCATAGAAAATAAGTCACACATTCTCCTGGGTAATGTTCCTAGGGAGAAATAAGAGCTATAGAGAAATCTTGTCCCATTGCTTATTCAGTCCAACTCATTTCTAGTTTGATTTTAACTGGGCATATGGTAGGCATTAAAAACTTGTTGAAATGTTCTTCTTTTGTTAGCATGCTCTAAATCAGAGGGAGTCCAACCACTAACCTTCTTGGACATGTCCCTTGTTATGGATTACACACAGAAGACAGGTCTGACAATTATTTTCAGCACGTCTCATTTTAGAGATTTTAAAAGACACGAATAGCAAGTTTATTTGCTCTTATTTTTATTTTTGAAAAGAGGGCTTTTCTTTTTTTCAAATTTTATGTGAGTCCCAAACATATCCAGGCGGGTTTTAAGGAGCTGGGTTCCCTTGGTGAATCAGAATGTGTTAGATTATTTGAGTCCTCTCGTAATCTGCTTAGATGGACAACGATTCCTTGTCAAACATAGTCACAGATCTTCTTTTTCTAAAATCAAAGATATAGAATATTACATGAAGGTAAAAGAATGCAGCCTCTGTGTTTAATAAATGCCCAGCAACTTTTCATGCTATGAAACTATTTTTTTTTTTTTTGAGATGAGTCTTGCTCTTTCACCCAAGCTGGAGTGCAGTGGCACGATCTCAGCTCACTGCAACCTCCACTTACAGGGTTCAAGCGGTTCTCCTGCCTCAGCCTCCCAAGTAGTTGGGACTACAGGGACCTGCCAGCACACCCAGCTAATTTTTGTATTTTCTGCAGAGACAGGGTTTCACCATGTTGGCCAGGCTGGTCTAAAACTCTTGACCTGAACTGATCTGCTTGCCTTGGCTTCCCAAAGTGCTTAGATTATAAGCATGAGCCACTGCTCCTGCCCATGCCATCAAACGACGGAAAACTTTCTGTTTTTCCTATGTCTGTGTCTTCTCGCGACTGTACAGTGTAGCAGTGAAGGAGTGGAGAGGGGTGCAGAGCTCTGAGTGAGTCAACATGTCTAGGTTCCAATATTTACTCTGTTGTCAATTAACCGGACAATTTTCTGAGCAATGTATCTCTCAGCATGAGTTGATTGAATGAATAAGAATTTCCTTGAACTTCAGCTCCTTTATCTATAAAAGAACAGAAGATACAAGCAAGTGAAACTCAGCCATTCTGCAAAGGGAATGGAGGTATCTTAGATGTACCTAGGATGAAAACAAGCAGATTGTTTTTTGATGCATTCATGAGTGGGATGCTTCGCTGGCTGACTTTTACTGAGATGAGAGCAACCCCACTCATACTGGGTGTAAATATTGGATTTCTAAATAGGATTCCTTTGACTTAAGGTTTGTCTGACAAAGTAAAGAATTTGGAAATCACTGTGCTTTATGAATTTTAGAGTTTCTTCCACCTCTAAGATTCTGTGGCTGTGCTAATTATGATGGCAGTTGAAATTAACAATCATTATATGCATAAGTGCTTTTATTTAAATACATGATTCAAAATAACTTCTGTAGGCCACTGTGATGATATTTAACTTCTTCAAAGATGAATTATACTCATCTCCTTATTTTAATTTTTAACTTCATAGATGAGTCAGACACAAAAAAGGGAATATATGGTCTTGGTTATTCAAGACCATATAGTGAGTAGCATGAATCCCAGCATTGGGATCAAATGTTCTGATTTCTGATCAAGTTTTGATTCCACTATCTTACCTGGAAATTGAAGAATATGCATGAGGTCAGTCTGTTATTGTGTAAGGGTTGAAGTATTTTTATAACACTTGTAGAATTCCAAGATGGGAAAAGTTGCTATAGGTCATCTAGTTTAGCTCTGTAACCCATGCAAGAAGTCCCACTACATGTTATTACATGTAGTAATAGTAACATGTTATTAATTGTTATTAACAGTTCTTCCACATGCATGCCACTTTACTGCAAGACAATCATGAATATTTCTGGCTCAACAATTTAAGAATAGCAAAATAATCCATGATAAGATTTTATTCATCAATACTTGACTTAGAAGGATAAAAATTCAATAAAACCTGGCCACACATGGCAATATGACAGCTACATTTTGTCAACTCTCTCAAGGATTTATCAATGAAGTTAAAATACTTGACACATTTGTAGTCAGCTGATTGGCTCAACTCTTCATGTTTCAACAAGTCTTTCACAGACACGTCAAGAGACATTCTCTTACCATTACATATTAAATCTATTTTCAAAGATCACATCAATGGAAAAGGTTGTAAAATTAGGGCAAGTTGAATAGTAACAAAGAAATACTTACCTAGCTCTGTTTGTCTTAACTCTTCCTCCTAATGCTTTCAGGAAATACCCAGGGAGTATGTCAGGTGAACTAACCACAGGTTTTCCCCACTACTTGTCATGATGTTTCTTCTATTGCACTTATTTCTCTCTCTGACTCCATCAATGATGTGTTTGTTACTCTGTACCCTAATTTCCAGTAATTCTACCACCCAACACTACCCAAGAGATATATCTTCTTATGATTTTCCACTTCAAACATTATCTCTGCTTTAGCTGCCATGAATATTTTGTGATCTAATACAGGGCACATTCACTTAACTTTCAGTTAACCTTTATTCTGTATTAAAGCTACAATACAATGAGGCTTTGGTTTTTCGATGTCTTATAGGTATTTTATCAAACTAGTATTTTCATTTTTTACTACCACTTTATTAAAAATTACTCTTACCGTATATAAACCCATAGAGTCAAGACCATATATAAAATTGATCTTTCCCTTTGACTCTGAAATTGATCTTGAAACAAATGTAATGGCCCTCAGCTTTCTTTTCCTGGGATGTTTTTTCACAAGATTCTTCAGTATCTCGTTGGATTAAGTCTATTCCACATCCCCTACAGAGGTGGCCAAAGTGCAAAGTAAATGTCCCATTTAGTTTCTCAAGCCAAGAGTCCCAACTACATAAAAAGATTGCATATGTTTTATAAGATTTCCACTGTAAATTTCCACATAAACCCACTAAATATTTTGTCGCCATCTGTAATAACTCCAAGCTGTTTATAGAGGCACAATAATATGCAGAGTTACTCATATTTAGAACTCTTGAAAGAATGGCTGTAGAAGTAGCACATGGCTGTTGTTCCCCAAGGAAAGAACTTAAGATACAACTCTTGCCCAGTTTAGTCTTGGTGCCAAGGTACCCAGAGACTGTGTCTTTGAAATATCCCTGTCCTGGTAGTTAAAATAAATTCAGAGATTTGCCTGTTCCAGGAATGGTCCCTAAAATGGCCATTTTTTTTCTTCACGTCCAGTGATTATTTTTTCACAAAGTTGCTTTCAAAAACTACCTTTTTGCTAATGAAATGCATAATCTATCCAAAAACAAGGCTGTGGCTTAGCAGGTTGTTTTACTCAACTTTCCAACTGAAAGTAAACAGGATGCTGTGCTTAATTTTCCTTCGTTTACAGTCATGCCATACTGTCTCCTCCCTCATAGCCCAAGGCTAATTTAGATGGAACCACATTGATGTGGTAACACCAAGAAAAACTATTCCTCCTCCTTATGTTTAACTCAGAATCCAAAAGAGGAAAGAGTTAAAATAAAGAGACATACTTTCATGTACTGGATATTTACCTACCGGCTAATACATAGATGACACCAAGAATGGATTTCAGGAAAGTACTTAAGCAGAGAAGAATGTAGGTTATAGAAAAGTTCCAATGTGAAAAATCCAGAGTAACTATAAGGAACATGTAAAACACAGATTAAGTCTGAATACCGTTTGATTATTTGTAGTTCAGATTCACAAGAATGAACAATTAGCACAGTCATGAGCTAAAATTCTGTTTGCAGATTTATTACAAAAATTAAGGAATTTCTGACTTGATTGTGATTACTGGTGTAGGAACATCTTCGCTGTACCTGATTCTTGGATACTGTTTATGTTGACAGAAATGCATATTGATAGGATACCACTGCTTTGCTAAAACAAAATCATTGTTTATTTTTAAAGTCTTACAAGTGTCTCAGCAAAAGTATAACTCAATATCCTTTCTTAGTTACATTTCTTAATAAAGCATGATTTTTATTTGTTTTTAAGATTTCACATGCATATCAAATTCACTGTTGGAGAAAAATTGTAAGTACTACTTCTTAAATGATTCTGTGGGAGAGTGAGCCATTATTGTATTGGTATTTCTATACCCTAAGTATATTCTATAACTATTATTTGATATCTCATCTGCCTAATATTTAATACAAAACATTAAAAAATCAAGATAACAATATCAATGGAAGGCATGAATTAAACTGTCCAGTGAGGTGTCATAGAGTTGCACATCCTGTTGCTGACCACTTTGGCATATGACAACATGAATGCTATCAACCTCAACTTTAAACTCACCTACTTATTTTACCTTCAAGGAGTATCTGTAAACTAGTCTATGGTGTCTTAAAAATTTTTGTAAGGATTTTTGAATGGAGTTGCCCACAAAAACAAAGAGGATTCAAAATTTTAAAATCCCTGTCATAAGAGAAGCCTCTTTGTGTGCTAAGACCAAATATTCTATGAAAAAATAAGATTGTCTGCGTAGACAGTTGGGCTGTGTACAAGTCCAGCCACATCCAAATGCATTTCTGAGGACCAGAACTTATATGAAGCCTCATTTCACATGTCATTAAGAACATCTGTCAGCAGAAAGAATCATTTCACTTTGAAAGTTTTATGTCCTGAGGGTTACCCAGTGCATTAAGCCCTGGGTGAAAATTGAGTAAGCCGAAGATTTGAACCCATTCAAATGAAAAAGAAAAAAAATAAAAAAGCAAAGCACCTTGATTTTTTCAATGAGGGATCAAGCTCTGAGCTTTGAGATTGAGTCCCTATCCTAACCTTTTGCACAATACTCCTGTGTGGTTGACTAAATCCAAAAAAGCGTCCAGTTTCTTAATGTTTCAGGTATCCAAGCTTGGGTAGATTAACTTTCCATTCATGAAATGTTTCATTCAGGTGTTCAGGTATATTGAAGGAAAAATAAATGAAAACTTAATATGTATTTGCATTGAGTCCTTTTACCATCAATAATCTGGACTTGCTGGGAAATTAGAAAGATAAACTGTAAAATTGTTTATATTCATTGCAAAAATATGTTCTCCATATTTAGCAGTCCTGTTCATGTAGTAAAATGAATGTATACCTTTCTGTTTCTTTCACCATAAACAGTACTGACACCTACCCATCAAGTTTAGATACAAAACAGTTAGTTCAACTTAAATATTACCCCTATTTCAGTTGCATCTTTTTAACCTGTGAATACAAAGAGAAATATGTCCTCTGTGTGTGTGTGTGTGTGTGTGTGTGTGTGTGTGTGTGTGTGTGTGTTTAATTGCTACCTGCAAGGACCCGTTTTCTCTTAAAGCTTTTCACGTTATTTCCTAGTCAGGTTGCTTTTTTGTCCAGTATGTTTTTTGGCTGAATTTTGAACCAGAAGAGAGGCTTCATTCTTATTTTTATCCATCTTTAACATTTATTGCTGTTGCTATTGTTATTCTTTCTCATCAGGGCAAAAACAAAACTTTGAGTTTTGAGGAAAAGGGAGAATGTTGAAGTCCATTAACAAGTATTTATTGGCCTCTTACTCTATGTAGAAATCTGAATGAAAACTTCTACATGGATATGAGAAAAATGGAGAATGCAAGGATCTTCTTAGAGAACAGCTGAACACGAACCCATTAGAAAATCTAATGAGATTAGAATAAATGTAATATAAAATGGTTCTGATCATCCCTTGTTGCATCATTCCAATTGCTTCAACTTAGTTGATTTCACCAGTGCTTGGTTGGCTTGTTGCAAAGCTTTGCTTCAGTGTGCCAGTGTACCATGTTATTATATATTTGTCCATGAAAGTGCCCAGGAAATGAGTTTGCAGTCATGACATTTTGGTGTTGCACAGAATTGCCATCGTAAAAGCCCTGGTACCCACTGCTAAGGCAGCAACCTACCTTGAACCCAAGGCTAACACTTGACTGACTAGAATAAGATATTGAATTGATGTGAGCAGAGATTTTGCTTCACCAATGCATCCTTGACTCTTAAAGTTTATTACAGAATATGTCTCCAAAACATTCATAGACCCTTAAGTTTTAAAGATGAAAACAAGAACTCAATGATTAGGGACCATTAAATCAAAAGAAAAATAGAGCATTTATATAGAAGACAACAGTTTATTTAAAATGTAAGGTACTTTGTATCCACCTAAAAGAACAAGGAAGCATTATACAACTTCACCCTTTTGCATTTAAGGATGACTGTAACCAGAAGTTCATTCATGTCACCCTCTTACATCAGATGGAAACCAATCTTTAGCTAAATTAGTACTCATTTCTCCATAATTCTCTATTTAATTTTGTTTTCCAAAAGACTATTGAGCATTATACTAATGAATAGACTTCCAAAAGTGCTCAGTCCAAATGAGATAAACATTATTGTGATCTCTTAAATTGAATTCAATGAAATTGAAATATTGACAATCACTGTATCTGAGAGTCAGATATGAAATTATCCCCTAAGTCACTTATCTCTTGATTACAACCTTCTGGACTTAGGTTTTCTCTGTCTCAGTCAGAATGTAAGAGAGAAATCGTTACTGCATTTGATTCGCTAGATTAATCTAGGAATAGCAGCTGACCTCCCTCAAATCCATCATAAAGCACTGGCAAACAATAGTGTGTTTCTCAGGTGGGGATTGATGCCAACTCCCTGCCCTTTATTTCTCTTAAGAGTAGTGAAAACTTTTAGGTTTTAGGTTTTGAATTGCCTATGAAAAGGGCATTGGAAATGTAAACATAAACGTTTTTGCAGAAGCCCAGTTGGTCCAGGAAGCCTTTAATTTGCTGACACTGACACTAGCCTATTGGTGGCTGAACCTGCAGAAAGTAGATATTATCCTTTAAAATGTCATGGTGCAGACTGGCTGACAGTTTTTTGTCAGTCAATCCAATCACCTAAATCACTTCTTTGTATCTGATCCTGGGAAAAAAAAATAGTAGTAAGCGAATTACAGAGGATGTGGTTATTGTGAGATAATCAACCCCCTGGGGAGATCAGACACACCTGTGTTACTCTATCTTATGCCTGGGAGAGTGACTAAGGCAGAAAAATTGCACCCTATTTCCTTTACCCCATCACATGTTAATACAGCATTAACCACTAGCCTTTAAATACATCTCCTGATAAAATCAGCGCATATTGCAGACATGACTGTCGTCCACAAGGAGAAGTGGCAAATCACACAGGAAGCTGTAGACTGTTCTTATTTCTCCAGCAAGGATTCACAGATAAAAAGTGATTGCAAAAGCAGTGTCTGCTGAGAATGAAGGCCATAGCTGGGTCCTCTGGGATTTACCCTGCAAGTTGCACCTGCCCCAGCCGGGACAGGCCACCTTAGGGACAGAATCTTCCTCTTCTCAGTCACTGGGTTAGTGCATATAAAATCACTCTGCATGACAGGAAAGACAAGAGTTCTCTTTATTTCCTTTGGGTCCAAACCTGTTTTGCCTAGGAGCCTTCGGTCATGAACAACTTTTCTGCCAGGTGAAATGGAGTGTTTACAGACATGGGAAAAAAATTTAAAACAAGAAATTTTTATATCCCTTTTCTACACTATATGCATTTCATTGCCCCCGACTTCTCAGGCTATATGCTAGAAATCTCACATATGAAGGAAAACTAGTTAAAACAAAACCAATCCCGCCCATCTTGATTTCAATGTGGAAAAAATCTTTCCACGTGGGTTAGTTATAAAATAGAAGTTAAAGAGCCGCACCAAGTGAACCTTATGTGCGCAGAGGATTTGGGGGATTCCCGCTCATTCCCTTATTCCTATGGAGAAGGCAGCATTTTACATATCTGCTTTCGTTGCCAGCCAAAGTGAGTTTGCCACTGAGGTGGTCTGTGCTTTATGTGCAATAACTGATCCTTGGATGTATGCTTAAGTCTGAAATAGATTTCCACAAAATTGCAAAACAGTTAATGCAATAGAATGTAAGGAAATGAGTATCCTTTCATGGATTATGAAATTTCGTGGTGATTTTAAAATCATTTTGATGTCCATCCTGGCTGAAGGTAGAGGTTAAAATGCACAAAAGTTGCAGGTGGACTTTATAATGCAAATATCATCTGGGAGATGAGTGAGAACGTCTTAGAAGATGATTCCTGAGGAGTTAAGTCAAAAGACATTTGAGAGAGGATTCCTGGAGGGAAAAGAGCAAATTGTTCTTTTAGTTAATGCACTAATTTTCCCCTCAAAATGGTGTGTGAGTGCTGTGATTTCCCTCATATCATCTCCAGTAATAAGTATTACTAGACCTTTTATTTTATTTTTCAGTCTAAGAAGTGTGAAGTGATATCTTGTGCTATTTTGTATCTTTCTAATTATTAGAGTATGTGAGCATTTTCTGTGTTTTTTTTTTTTTTTTTTTTTTTTTTTTTGAGGTGGAGTCTTGCTCTGTCACCCAGGCTGGAGTGCAGTGGCGCGGTCTCAGCTCACTGCAAGCTCCGCCTTCCAGGTTCACGCCATTCTCCTGTCTCAGCCTCCCCGGTAGCTGGGACTACAGGCGCCTGCTACCACGCCCGGCTAATTTTTTGTATTTTTAGTAGAGACAGGGTTTCACCATGTTAGCCAGGATGGTCTCGATCTCCTGACCTCGTGATCTGCCCGCCTCGGCCTGCCAAAGTGCTGGGATTACAGGCATGAGCCGCCGTGCCTGGCCTTCTCTTATACTTATTGGCCATTCAGCTTTCTTCTTTTGTGAATTACTTATAATATTTTGCCTATTCTTTATTGAGTTGCTTGACTTTATTGAGTTTTTTCAATATTGATAGGCAAATTGTCCCAGTAAACTTCATTCAGTAACTCATCCTTACTAATTTGTAATCACTAATTTGTAAGGCCACTTTTGCTATATGTTTCATTATATTTATGAATCTGTCCTGGACTCTCAAAACTGTCCCTTTGATGAATTTGTTCATGTGTATGTAAATTTTTTTGTGAGAGAGTGTGTGTGTATATCTTCACAGAAGAGGCAATTGTTATTGTTGTTGTTGTCATTGTCGTTGTGAACACTTATCACAGGAGGCCTTGCCAATACCCGAAGGTGAAGCTACCCTCCCCACATGTGTGTTTGTGTGTGGCTTCTTTTGTTGTTGTTGTTTCTTTTCTTTTAATATTTTTGTTGCCACTCACACACAAATGTCACTTTTTAAAGAACAACTATATACTATGTATTATTATTGTTATTATTGAATATTTTATCCGTAAGTTCTATTTGTTCACATTAAGGAACTTCTCTTTGGTTCACACCAGGGTGTTGCCACCAATTTCATGTTTTTAAAAAGGTTCTACACTTGTATTCCTAGTATAAATCCTATTAAGTGTTTATAGTTTAATGTGGATTAAGTTTGGTAATTTTTTTAGATCTTCACATTATTTCATAAAAGATAATTTATACTTTTAGTTTATTTTATTATCCTCATTTGGTTTTGATATGGAGCTGTACAGGATCATAATGAATCAATAACTTTTATCTCTTGTTCTCTGGAACTGATTTTGAGAGACGATTGTCACATGATATTTTGTGTATTAGTATTTAGATCATCTCCAAAGTCATCTGAGCTGTGGAGGATGTTTTACTGAGGGAGTGAGGAGACATTTTTGATAACTGATTAAATTTCATTAATTTTTTTTTAATATTTGTAGGTGTTCCATGTCTTCTCAAGTCAATTTTGGGAAGTCAGATTTTTTTTTTTTCTTAGAAAGGATATGTTTAATCTTAGATTCAAAATTTCCAGCAAATGCTATTGACATACTTTCTAATTTTTTTCTAAATTCTCCAGTGGTACTTTTGTTCTTTTTTTATACTTATTTTGTTTATATTTTTGCCTTCCATTTTTTCTAATCAATCTTTCTAGTATTTTATTTATTTAGTCAAATACTCAGCTTTTTGTTTTCTTGATCCTCATTGTTAGGGACTATAAATTCAAACTGAGTTAACACATTGAAGTCATTTAGAATAATGCCTTGCATAGATTAAGTATGTAATGATTTGAGCTACTATTACTGTTATTATCATTTCTATTTATATTATCAAATTCTTGAATGACACTTTTGTTTTGGGATTTCTTCCTTTTAATTTTATTTAGATATATGTTATTTTTTGCTTCTTGAGTTTGATGCTTACTTTGTTATTCTTATTCTTCACTTAGTATTAATGTAAGCATTTATATATGTGAATTCTTCTCTTAACTGAATCTTGCAAAATTTCTAATAGCTATTGTTTAAATTTCATTAGTATTCATTTCATTTCATTATTACTTAGACTTTTCTATGATCTTGAATTTAATTTTTACCTTTAGTTAACGAATTTTAGATTTTAAATATTTTCTCATTGTGTTTTTTTCCCTTCTGTTACCATATCATCTTTTACTTTGACAAGAAAACGTTTTCTGTTGTACTGTCCTGTTCCTGTCTTCTTGAAGCTTATTAAAGGTTTATTATGGCTTCATGTATGCCAATTGTGGATGTCATATGGACTCTTGTAAAGTCTTATTCCTTTTTTTCTGAATTGAAGCTAAAATATACACACCTACACACACACAATTAGGTCTCCTTTATTCATTTCTTTTAATGTTTTTAATTTTCAAAGTTATTTTTATTTGCCTTATTTGTTAGGGATGTGAAAGATAAATTTAATTCTACTACTATTGGGCTTTTGTCTACTTCTTAAATTTCCTATTGTTTTTGCCTTAAGAAATGTGTCATTCTTATTGGTGCACAGATAATTGTATCTATTAGATGTTCATTGTTATAATTTGCATGTTACCTATATTGCCTTTTTTTTTTTTTTTTTTTTTTTTTTGAGATGGAGTCTTGCTCTGTCTTGCAGGCTAGAGTGCAGTGGCACGATCTCGGCTCACCGCAGTCTCCGCCTCCCAGGTTCAAGTGATTCTCCAGCCTCAGCCTCCCAAGTAGCTGGGATTACAGGAGCCTACAACTGTGCCTGGCTAATTTTTGTATTTTTAGTAGAGATGAGGTTTCACCATCTTGGCCAGGCTGGTCTCAAACTCCTGACCTCATGATATACCTGCCTTGGCCTCCCAGAGTGCTGGGATTATAGGTGTAAGCCACTGTGCCTGGCCTATATTGCCTTTTTAAATGCTCTCCTTCTGAGTTCAGCTGTTTATGTTAAAGTAAAAATTCTTGTTTCCTTTAATTATTCATTTGTTTACTGTTCCTTGGTCTACATTTTTATTTTCAGCTACCACCTGCCTACTCTCCCCATCCTGCCTGTCCTCCACTTCTGTCAAATCACTGTTTTGCTGTCACTGTTACATGGTATAGGAGTAGAGTCTGTATACAGTTCTATAGCACAGAGTTTAGCCTAGGAGGTGCTTTTTTTGCTTTCTTTGCTACATTTTTATACATTATATATACACATTTTATACATTATCTATAAATATATATTTACCATTACTGATAATTTCTAAGAGTATAAGTCATAATTTATGTTATGCTTTATATTTTTCATGCTGCTGCTTCTTTTGTTTCTTCCTTTTACAATATGATATCTTTTTTCCTAGCTCTGTTGTGTGCTTTGTACACTCTGTGCAAAAATTTTACTTGCTATTTTTCATTTTATTAGGTTGATGTAAAAGTAATGGTAAAAACCACAATTTCTTTTTTCCTAGCTCTGTTGTGTGCCCTGTACAACCTGATTGTGCAAAAGTTTTACTTGCTATTTTTCATTCTATTAGGTTGGTGTAAAAGTAATGGTAAAAAACACAATTACATTTGTACCAACATATAGTAGTTTATTTACAACCAATATTACTTTGCAATATTACTTTCAAGCTCATCTTCTAGAAAGTATCTATTGACTGAGCAACCAAGAAATTGTGATTACCTTTCTACTTTATTTTTCCATCCTCTGCTTTATTACCAGAACTTGATTGATTAAATTGTTTTGATAGTTTCATTAGTGTTTGTATTTATACTTATAATTTTACATCTTTATCATTTTATGTAGTATAAAACTATTTTCCTGACTTTTGTAGATTATTATTTTATAAATTATTTTTCCTTAACTACTTATTTCAAAGTTATGCTTTTAAGAAATTCTTAAGGATTGCCCATTTTATATGCAGATTTTAGTCTGCATATACAATATTATATTTTCCCCATGAAGACAAGTTATTTAATCCATATCCTGTCACTGACAAGGATTTTAGCTACCTCCTTTAGACTCTAGGCTGTATGCAGGGACTTCTTAATATGCAGGAGGGGAGCTACAGTCTCAAGCATGCTTTTCTCAGTATTAGAATTTCAGTTCTTGAATGTATCAACTTTGATGCATTGTATTCTTTTAAATTTATCTTCTGTTCTGGAACCAGAAGATTTATCTTTCTAACAATGATTTACCATTGTTCTGTTTTGTTTTATTGCTGTATTTTACAAGGCTTTTATGCATGCTTAATGTGTGTGTGTGTGTGGAGCGCTTTCTTCATATTCTCTTCTTGTTCTCTTGTCCCTTCTGTTGTGTGTGTGCTTACAAATGAACTCTGGGGGTAAAAAAAAAGCCCTGATTTGTAGCATTTGCTCATTTTCATAGTGTAAATACTCCCACTGTGATCAATTTCAAGCTATGGACATGACATCAACACACTCTCAAAATTCCTGAAAATGTAACAGTCAACTCTTGCAAGTGCAAGTCACGTTGAACTAGCTTCACCACACCACAGTTAAATTACTGTATATTTAAAGTTTCGGAAACTCTGATATTGTAATTCAGTGGAACTCTAGTAACATTTGGGAATGTGCAGTTTTATATGCATTCTCGTCATTCTAATTCAGGAGGCTGTGAACCACCATATTCTTTGTTAAGTGGTATTAGCAAGAAGGTGGGTTGAGAGACATTAGTTACCACTAATGAGAAGCAGTATTTTCACTTGTTATGGACTGGCACTTTGATTCCTCTTTAAACATCTTCCATAAAATCACCAGTTTTATTATCTTAATAACACCACCATCTCTGAGTAGTGTTACTAAAAATGTTGTTTCATCCTAGATTCCTCTGCAACTCCTATTATTACTAAATCTATAAAACTTATGTCCAATTAATCTGCTTCTCTCCATTTCCATTGCAATCGCTCTAATCAAACCATCATTAATATTTGCCTATATCTGTACTGTCCAGTATTAAAGCTAGCCATGTGTAGCTGCTGAGCACTTGAAAAATGGCTAGTTTGTATTGTGTTATAGGGGCAAATACATACCACATGTCAAAAATTTGGTACCCAAGAAAGAATGTAACACATATCCTTAGTACTTTCACATATTGATTGCATGTTGAAGTGATAATATTTTGGGTGTTTTGAGCTAAATAAAATATATTAATAAAATTAATTTCACCCTTGTTTTTTACTTTTTAAATTTTGCTATTAAAAATTGAAATTTGCATATATGGATTGCATGATATATTATACTGACCTAAGAAAATCAGAATTAAATCTTTGTAGTAGCTTTCTAAATGGTCTCTTTAGCATCCACTTTTGTCTCTTCCCTCACCACCAGCACTTACCATCTAGTCCCTAAATTAGATAAAATATTTTTAAATTGTGAATCATATCATGCCACTTCCCTGCTCCAATATATGTCCATTTCATTTAAAATAAAACATAATCTTCTCATCATGGCATACCAATTTCTTTAAGATCTAGCCTCTGTCTAGTCTTCTGCCTGCATTGCATGATACATTGCCTACTTCTCTGGAGTCTTCCTTCATTGCAGTCTTCTTTCAGTTCTCATCAGTATCACCCCTGCCTCATGTCTTTGCATTTGTGCATTCCTCTATTGAAATACATTCCCTCAGAGCTTATAGGACTCACTCTTCCTTATGTTACTCAAACATTACTGCTTCACTTTTTTAGAGTGGGCATCACTGAGTTACTTTAACTTGTCTTACCATCTTCATGGGAGGTTTAACTAGGATAAAAACCTTACCCCTTGGACATATATGTTCTCAACAATGATTTGTTGTATGAAAGATCCAATGGAGATAGGCAGTGTTGCATTCACATGTGAGTTCCAGCACTTATTACTTGCGCAATGTTGAGCAATATTCTTAACTTAGCCTTGGTATATTTCTCATTAAAATGAGATAAATGTAAAGCATAGTGCTAAATCCATAATTTAATGCTTCATAAATTGCAGGTATCATTGGAACTATTATTATTACTATTATTAATGTATAATAATTAAAATGAGGCAAACTTGTCACAAAGACAAATGCATAAAATTGATACATTATTCTGGGAAAGTTGCTCAGGAGCTACTTCAGGAGAAGCAGTTTAGATTTTCTTCTTTAGTAATTTAATTTGCTGAATCCATTGAAATTTTGTCACTGTTATTTTGAGATTGCAGGCAAAGACTTACAATATTCTTGGGCTAACATTTACATTAGATTTCTATTAAAAACAAAAATTCCCAATATATCATTCATACTCTCTCTTTCTCTCTTTTTCTGTCACACACACACACACACAGAGACACACAAATACATGCACATACACACAAACACACACACACACCTGCTTCAAAATTTACATTAGGAAAACTATAAACAAGATTGAACTAATGTGGCTATTCAAAGGCACAAAGCATGTTATATATTCTCAAATATCCAGCAGTAAAGAAAGTTCTAAACCATATTTAATCCAAAACCATCTAAAAGTATTTGATTCATTGATTCTTTTCTGTTCCTTTTACCTATTCTCTTCCCTTGCGAGTTGTTTAGAAAATAAAGATTTTAAGTAATTCCCAAGAGTCTGTGAATGACTGATAAAAAACACTGAAAAAGAACTAGGCTAAACTTCATAGTAGTTCAGCTTGGACTTGGCTGATCATAACCCATGTTCAGTGCAAGTTAAAATGAAAACCAAAACCAAAATAGGACAACGACGACAACAAACTTGACTTTATGGAATGCACCAGTGTTTTATCTTGACGAGATTCAGAGACCTTACTACAGTGTTGACAGCTTTTCAATCCTAGAGCAGGAGATCAAGACTTGAAAAGAGACTTTTAGGCTAAGGTAAGGGAATATCTTCCTTTTCATGACCAGGAGTGAGTTTTGCCTAGACTGTGAGATGTAGAGATGCCTGAAGCACTCCCCATTAAAAGGTGCAGCTAGTTATGGTCATGGGTTAGGGGTGACTTGGGTCCCAAACCAAGAAGATCAGATCTCCTGAGCTCCAAACATGACAGCAGGACCAAATATGAGATCAGAACCAAGGTAAGATACCAGAACCACACAGTAATGGAGTTCAAAGCCAAAGAAGTAGCTCAGGGCATTTGTTTCACATAGGGCAAGTATGTCAGAGACTTTTGTTTGCTGGTAACAGGATAAGTTAGCCTGAATTTAAGGCATCAGATCTATGCAAATACAGCATTCTGGCTGATGTTTCTTGCTAATATCCAAATGAAATCATATCTCAATCAAATTCTTTATTTTCTAGTTCAAATCTATCTACATTTTAAAAAGGTAAATTTCAAATGCTATGCTTTTATGATGCCTGGGATAGTATCACCTCTTAGGCCAAAATAAAGAAAACTCCTTTAAAGTTAATTCTAAAGAAGCCATGTACTCGGATGGTTTAAACTACCACCTAGGAAACACATTATTTTATATTTGAAAAGATACCAAACTTGAAAATTTGACAATCAATATTTCCCAGCTGCTCATCTCTAATTTGTGACAGCAACAATAATCTTTCAACTTGTTTGGATATTTTAAAATATTGATATTTTCATTCTTGTAATAACTGAAAACATTTTATTCTTTCTAAATTTTCTCTACCTTATGCCACTTACCCAGACTAGGAAAAAATGACAAACACTGCAAGAAAATTCCTTTTCAAAATCATTCAATTTCTGACTTTATTTCCAGAGAAATTTTGGGTTTGATCACTTGAGGAGATTCAACACTCAGGGGAAACCTCCCAGATGCAATATGTTGAGTATCTCACTTCAACAATTTACAATTGAATGTAAGTTTACCTGGGCTATTTCCACTGTCGAGATTGCCTGCTACTCCTCCTGTTTTGCAAGTAGACTCTAATGTTATAGTTTTTTATTGATTGCTTTTACCAGTATACCATCCACAATTTCTAAATTCTTTAGGCCTGAAGGTTTCTCAGCATTCCTGGAGAATTTATTAGTTTGGAAGAAAGGAAAGAAAAATGGATCCCTGGAAATGCTAAGAGGCTGACCAAGAATACGCTTTTGTCTCCCATGGGGTGAAAAATTAGTCATATACCATGCAACTAAATATTCCTTAGACCCCATATTCGGCTTTTTGTATAAAGTCTGTTAAGTTCTTGAAACATATGGAAAGGATAGATAGTCTAGAATGACCTGGGATATTGGTTTTTTCAAATGAGCCTCAAGAATGTCTCCTCTAAGACCAAACAAAATCAAATTCAAATTATCATTTTGATGACTAATATAGTTTGAATATATGTCCCCAGCCAAATCTCATGTTGAAATGTAATCCACAGAGTTGGAGGTGGGGTCTGGTGGGAGGTGCCTGAATCATGGGGGCAGATCCCTCATGGCTTGCTGCTGTCTTTGGGATAGTGAGTGAGTTCTTGCAAGATATGGTTGTTTGAAAGTGTGTGACTGACACCCCACTCACTCTCTCTCTCTCTCTCTCTCTCTCTCTCTGTCTCTCTCCCTCCTGCTTTCACCATGTGACATGCAAGCTCCCGCTTTACCTCCTGTCATGAATAAAACCTCCCTGAGTACTCCCCAGAAGGCAAGCATATGCAGGTGCCATGCTTCCTATACAGCCTGCAGAACCAAGAACTAATTAAACCTCTTTTCTTTATAAATTACCCAGTCTCAGGTATTTCTTTATAGCAATACAAGAAGAGCCTAATACAATGACATATATCAATTGACCATTACATGAAACTGTTAATACTACTGCCCTACTTCATTCTAAAAGACAAACACATTGCTCTTGCTTACAGCCTCAAGTCCAAAGGAAATTAGGCTGTAATTAAGAAGAAATCACTGCCAGGCGTGGTGGCTCATGCCTGTAATTCCAGCACTTTGGGAGGCTGAAGCAGGCAGATATCTTGATCCTAGAAGTTTGAGACCAACCTGAGCAACATAGCGAAACCCCCATATCTACAAAAATTAGTTGGCTGTGGTGGTGCATGCCTGTAGTCCCAGCTACTCAGGAGGCTGAGGTGGGGGGATCATCTGAGTGTGAGAGGTTGAGGATGCAGTGAGCTGTGATAATGCGCCACTGCACTCCAGCCTGGGTGACAGAGTGAAACTCTGTCTCAAAAAAAAAAAAAAAAAGACAGTTGTGTCAGAGAGAAAAGCAGGAAGTAATCTCTGTATCATCTTTCTCACTGTTGTAAACCTGCAACATAAGTATTATCCTAGATTAAATTTGCTAACTAGACACAAGGAGCTAAACTTGACCCATATATATAACACGTGTAGCCCATTTTTGTGAAACATGTGACTTGCAGGAATGTATATAAAATATATATGTACAGTTGAATGATAAAAAGCAAAATAAACACTTGCCATCCATTGTGCAGCTTATCTTAAACCAAAAACCCCCAAGTGACTCTCCCAGATTGCATCCCCTTCTGTGATAGAATAATGACACCTCAATGATGTCTCTATCCTAATCCCCAGAACCTGTGAATAGGTTACCTCAGGTGGCAACAGGGACTTCGCGGCTGTGGTTAAAGTAAGAACTTTGAGATGGGGAGATTATGTTGGATTAACCAAGTGGGCTCAAAGTAATCATAAAGATCCTCATATGAGGGTGCGGGAGGAATCAGAGTCAGAAAAGAAAGATATGATGAGGAAACCAAAGGTTGTCATGATGAGCCATAAACCAAAAAAAATTCAGAAGGCCTCTAGAAGCTAGAAAAAAAAAGGAAACAGATTCTCTCATAATGCCTCCAGAAGAAAGACAGCCCTGCCAATATCTTGATTTTACCCCTTGAATTCTAGAAGTATAAGAGAATACACTCATGTTGCTTGAAGTCACTAAGTTTGTGGTAATTTATTTAATAGTGGTCATAGGAATCTAATACACCCTCCTTCCTCTGGAAATAATCACTATCCTGACTTTTCGGATAATCATTCACTTACTTGCTTATTTGATTTTAAATTTGTACACCTGTGCATGTATCTAAACAATTTACTGTTCAGTTTGTGTACCTGAGTAGCAAGCACAATCCTGGCTGTGTAAGGATAGGGTAATGTTGCTACGACTTACATGAGATGTCCACAGAGAAAATAAACTGAGCAGTAGCTCTGGTTTCAGTTCCCTGAGAGTTTACAAAATCTCTTTCTGGGTAAATCAGCGGGCAAGCTCATGAGTAAGGCTTGAGTAACCCAAGACTCATCAAGCTGGTATGCCTGGTGCAACTACAGTATGAGCCTCGTACAAAATATCTGGCAGAAGTCTTTTCACTGGGTTAATATGTTCCACTGTCTACACTTACAGAGGCTTATAGGTCCCACTTATAAGTCGCACTTCGAAAAATTTGTTTTTTTCCTGTATAGTTTCTCTTCCACCTCTCTTTATTCATTTTGACCACTATCTTCTATGTTAGAGTCTTTAAAAAAAATTATCTGTTGATTTGGGGCTTTCTGCTCTATGAAGACTAATCCACCAATTAGAGTCATGCTGTTGGAATTGCTCTTAGGTTTACTGTAGAATAATTTGGGGAGCTATTGGTTTGGGATCCCTTGATGTCAGGATCCTAAGGGAACACTAGTCAGATTTTCAGGAAAACATTTTCCCAATTTCCTGTCTGAAGATTAACAATCGGGTCACCCATCTGTTTGGTGCCAAATGGGGAAAGAAGGCTGGGGTGCAGGGTGATTCCTTTTAAGATTCAGGATGCATGTGGCTGCTTAATCCCTTGTTTTCATTCTTTACAGTATCCACATTCTCATCCTTGTCTGCCATCCTGCAATCCACAGACCCTCGATTTTATACTAGCCACGGGACCAATCTATAGTATCAAACGTGTAGGGAAGAACAGTTTGCTCAGAATGTGTTACAGTGGACAGGTGGGGATCTCTCAATATGTCTCCATCAGCTTCTCAGCCCTTCTGATGTTAGCCATCCTGCCTTCTCCCCGAGTTGCAGAGGTATGAGATACCACTGACTGAGCTTTTTTGAAAATTCTGAGAGAATTTAGCTTTCCTCATTCCAAGCTTGGGATTTTGCTTTCTTGGGTCAGCTAAATCCATTACCACTGGGCCATCCCCTTACCAGCTTCCACAACATTTCAACTATCGTCCTTCACCAATTTTGTACATCCTCAAGGCTCACGTATTTAAAAAAAAAAATGCATTATTGTAATTTTAGCATAATTTTTGAAAAAAAGGTTAATGTGTCTATTTAATCTACCTTACAAGTATATAGGTATATGTGTGTAATGGAGTCAGCTTTGTTGATATGTAAAATAAATAAGGATATAATGAGAATATTGTAGATCAAAATCCAGATTTGTGACTTCTCATAACAGATCAGAAGACTTGCCAGCATGAAGTCCATGATAATAGTTAGTTCTATCCATTTGCCAACTGCGTCCTTTAATATGAGTGTGAACTTTTTTATAGGTATTTTATTTATTTATTTATTTTACTTTAAGTTTTGGGATACATAGACAGAACATGCAGGTTTTTTACGTAGGTATAAATGTGCCATGGTGGTTTGCTGCACTCACCAACCTGTCATCTAGGTTTTAAGCCCCGCATGCATTAGGTATTTGTCCTAATGCTCTCCCTCCCTTTCCCCCAACCCAACAGGCCCCAGTGTGTGAAGTCCCCCATCCTGTGTCCATGTGTTCTCATTGTTCAACTCTCACTTATGAGTGAGAACAGAGCATGAACTTTTTTTTTCTTTTTTTTTTTTGAGATGGAGTTTCACTCTTGTTGCCCAGGCTGGAGTGCAATGGCATGATCTTGGCTCCCTGCAACCTCCGCCTCTCGGTTTCAAGCGATTCTTCTGCCTCAGACTCCCGAGTAGCTGGGATTACAGGCGCCTGCCACCACACTTGGCTAATTTTTTGTATTTTTAGTAGAGACATGGTTTCACTATGTTGGCCAGCCTGATCTCGAACTCCTGACCTCAGGCGATCTGCCTGCCTCGGTCTCCCAAAGTGCTGGGATTACAGGCAGGAGCCACCAAGCCCGGCTGAGCATAAACTTTTTAAACAGTCTCCACTACTCCTTTTTGTCTTACAGTGAGAGCATTTCATTATTTTGTGGTACTTTCTTGACCTTTGCAGTGTGAGAAATAACCTTTCATAAATCATACAAATGAACACTACTTCTTAAATTTTATATCATGAGGAGGATATCCAAATGTGGATATTTTTTGTTCATTTCTCACTTTGTAATCTTCGTATTCCCACTTCTCATATGACACTTACTACATGTTGCCTTGTTTTAAAAACAAGACTCTGTCATATTTCTCCTAGTAGTCTAAAAGATCAATAATGGCAGAGCTTATGTTTTGTTAATATGTTCCCGGAACATAGAACTTAGTAGGTACTAAAACATGAACATTGAATGAGTGAATGTATACATAAAATTATTTTAATGAATGTGTTTAATACTCTAGACAAGAGTTCCCTACAAGATGTTCTTTGGAAGATAAGCTGTTTATAATGTTTTTTATGCGAAAAAATGGTTCCATGACTGTTACAAATTGGGAAATGTTTAAATGAGCAAAGCTAAGTGCTTTCTTTACTGCAGAATTGTTTAAGTGTTCATTAATTTATCGATAATATTTTTACATGTCTTCTATTTGCTGGTCATTATGCTAGTTGCTTCAACGATAATAATGTTTACACTGATTCTGCTATTGTGGACCCCAAAATCTAGCAATATACCAACAAAAGAGAGCATCAATGGACTGTTTTCCCTCAAATTTATTTGAACAATAAAATTCTTTTTGGGGAGCATCTTATGGCACTAGTATTTCATGGTACACCCTTTGGAAAACCTGGCTCTAGCCATAAAAATAACTATTTTGATTCAGAAACTAGTTGGGAATTTTTATGTGCAATTAGTTCCAGACCCTGTAGTAAATGGGGACTAATAGATTATAAATAGTACCAGATAGGGTACTCCAAACCCAACTCCATTTAAGAAAAAGTGGTGGAAAAACTACCTCCCAATGGAGATATAAATCAACTCCAAGGGCAACTAATGACTTTGCTTACCATTCAACTTTCCAAGCCAACCTCAGAAGGTAAAACATATTATAATCAATACAGAATATTGCCCAATAAGGACCCAGACACTTAATGGTGTCATGCCGAAAGTGGCACATATTTGAAGCCCATCGTGATGATGAAGATGGTGCCGTGCCTTCCCAGTGAGTCGCATATTATAGCAAGACTCATCATGACAGATGTTTTTCACATACCAACCAACCTAAATTACCCAATCCCAAATACCTCAAACTCAGAGTATATTTTGGAAGAAGGCCAGATTCTATTAATTAACTTTTATCTCTCTCTTGCTCTTTTTTTTTTTTACCATCTCACATACACTTGCTTTTTTTTAATGCAATAAAATTTTCAGTAAACCTCAGGAATCTAATGTTTATTTTAATTAGCAATAAGCTTTTGAACAGGGATACACATGGAGGTATATTATAGTAGCATATTGGACTCTGTCCCTAAAATATAAATGCTAAAAACTGTCATCCATGACTTTTATTTGTTTATTTATCTATTTATTTTTATTGTTTTTATACTTTATCCTTATTTTTTATAAATTAGTCTCCACCTGAGTTTAAAACCGTAGATGCAGGATACTCTGAAAGTTATAGATCCTATTGGTAATTCAACTTAAATATTTTTACTTAAATTGAGTAATATTCCTCCCTAAATGTTTGATTATGACCCAGAAGCATGTCAGTGAATATTCTGAGACCTCTACTAAGACTAGTAATTTCTAGTACAGTGAGGAAGTGAAAAATACACAAAGTGGTAAATACATAGTTCCTTCCCTAGAGGGACTTAACTTTTAACTTGAGACAGAGCACAGACACAGCTAAATAATTAACCATAGCAAGTTATAGTCATAAGTTGACATGGTAGGGAAAAGAGCAATGCAGAAATAGGTTGCTTTGCTTTGCTTTAAGTGTTTACTTTGGTATATTCAATTTAGAAAATGCAATCTTTTTTTTTTTTTTTTTTTTGGAGACGGAGTCTTGCTCTGTCACCCAGGCTGGAGTGCAGTGGCGCGATCTTGGCTCACTGCAAGCTCCGCCTCCCGGGTTCACGCCATTCTCTTGCCTCAGCCTCCCGAGTAGCTGGGACTACAGGCGCCCACCACCACGCCCAGCTGATTTTCGGAGGCCGAGACGGGTGGATCACGAGGTCAGGAGATCGAGACCATTCTGGCTAACACGGTGAAACCTCTTCTCTACTAAAAATACAGAAAATAGAATCATTTTTAAAATGGGAAGCATAGAGCTGAGAATTAAAAAGAACCCAATAGTTATTGGAGGGTTTATAGAAAAATAATAGTGATGGCATTAATAATTAATGGACATTTACTGAGTGCCTACTATGTGTCAAATAGCTCATCTTCACATTCTGCTAATCTTGACAATGGTCCAAAAATAGTTGTTTTTCTTACCATTTTATTAATGGGCAAAGCTAGACTCCCAAGCTAGTATTTAGCTATGTTGCTCAATCCCTACTTGAATGGAGAACTTGGATTAAAGCTCAGCTCAGTCTAACCCCAAAGTCATAGGTTTTTCTACCATGCCAATTCCCTCCTAAGAAATAGCCATATTGGAAACTTTGCCTGTCAAGTTTAAGTGGCACTTTGTTGAAACCCCCAAACCGAGTTGCAAATGTTTTGTGCTGAGAGAGCAAGACCAAGTCTTAGTTGATATCTCTAGGTTAGAAAATATATCTGAAAATCATTAGTAAGGTGCTAGCATTGGCATGAGAGAACAAAATCTTCCTTGGGACAAAGAAGCAGCTTTAAAAAATATCTAAACATTTGATCATAGTTAGAACATCTCAGTCTCTAAGGAGGATGACTGCCAACCTCTACCCCAGAACTAGGGTCGAGTTGCCAAGAAGCCAGCATCTTATTATGACAATTTTATTTTCCTGCATAGCTGCGTGGGCCTGACAGAATCATCCCATCACCACGTGACAAGTTGCCGGCAGAGACTTGTCTGGGAATCAGTTGCTGGGGGCTGCCAGCTGGCCTGGACAGGCTGAGCCGGAGAGGCAGATATAGAAGCAATTAAGGCACACATACACTCATGCACATGCGCTCTAGCGCGTGCGAACACACACACACAGACATCACTGCTACTACCAACCCACTCAAACACCTGTAGCTTCATTTGCAAATAATAAATTAATTAAAATGTTCTCATGGGAAAATGCCTTAGTGAAACCATAGGTTTATTGTAATGAAACTCAGCTTCCTGAGCTGCACTATAATAATACCAATCATAGCAGGAAGTGAAGTTATTGGTTGGTTGCTTTACATGTGCAGAGAAGGGTGATAGTTTTTATGAATGTTTTTCCCCTCCCTCTTTGCACTTGTGGTTTTTTGTTTGTTTGTTTTAATTAGTGACTATGGTCTTGTTCGGCTGCCCAGGCCGGAGTGCATTATTGCAGTCATAGTTCACTGTGGCCTCAAACTCCTGGGCTCAAGAGATCCTCCCACGTCAGCCTCCCAAGCAGCTGGGACTACAGCTGCATGCCACCACACCCAGCCAGTTTTGTATTTTTTGTAAAGACAGAGTCTCCCTATGTTTCCCAAGCTGGTCTCAAACTCCTGGGCTCAAGCGATCCTCCCACCTTGGCCTCCCAAAATGCTGGGATTACAAGCTTGAACAACCCCACCTGCACCAGCCCCAGTTTGGTTGACTAATGTCTGTTGAGAATATGGCCCAAACTTAAAGGAGAGGGAAAGTGAGAGAGAGTCTAACAGCAAAAGTCTTATTATTGACAGCAGTCCCTGTATTATAGCTAGTTTGTTCTTGAAATCAAAGCTAAAGCAAAAGTACACACTACAAGGCATGAGTTTCAAGGAATTAAAAAAAGAATACAATAATAAGTATTGGAAACTTTTAATGATGTACATAATTATAATTTTTCACATAATTATTTATTATCTGCACAAGCCACCATGTTGGAGTCAGAGAGTGGAAAATGGATATAAATATATTTATCTTTAACACCCTCTGGATTAACTGATGTTATTACAAGCATATAATCATACATATTAATTGCGATGTATACAATCTTTTAATAAAGATATGATTCAAGACCCCCTTTCCACGTCTCAGTGGTGCTACCAGATGTAGTTACTTAATAACCTGAATGTTAGTTCAAGTCTCATTGTTTCATTCATGTATTCATTCATTCACTTATCTACTCATTAATTTATTCATAAATATCCAGTTTCTTTCAGTTGTCCATAGTCCTACTTAAGGAGTTTATAGTCTCCAACAGGGTTTTCAACCTCTACAACATGGACATTTTAAACGTGATTATTCTTTCTTGGGGTCCAGGGTGAGGGGCCTGTCCTATGCACTGTAGGATGTTTATCAGCATCCCTGGCTATCACTCACTAGATGCCAGTATGATAACCCTGCCCCTCCCTGGTAGTGACACCGAAAAATATGTCTCTAGACATTTTCAAATCACCTTCAGTTGAGAATTATCAGCACTGAAGGCTTTACATGTCTTTCTAAATTCTTGAAGTTTCATGACTCTGTTCTTTCTCCACTATTCTCTAAACCCTGACTCGATCTGTAGAAAAACAAGCCTTCTATGGCCGGGTGTGGTGGCTCACGCCTTTAATCCCAGCACTTTGGGAGGCCGAGGCAGGAGGATCACAAGGTCAGGAGTTCGAGACCAGCCTGAACAACATGGTGAAATCCCGTCTCTACGAAAAATACAAAAAGTAGCTGGGCGTGGTAAATCGCGCCTGTAATCCCAGGCACTCAGGAGCCTGAGGCAGGAGAATCGTTGGAACCCGGGAGGCAGAGGTTGCAGTGAGCCGAGATTGCACCACTGCACTTCAATCTGGGCAACAGAGCAAGACTCCATCTCAAAAAAAAAAAAGAAAGAAAAGAAAAACAAGACTTCTAAGTTTGTGCTCTTCTCATTGCGTGTAGAATTAGTCCCCAACTGAGACAATTGACCATTGTTCCTTACAGTGGCTCAGGCACAAGTTTCAAACCCATCATATAACAGCATCAGGCTATGAATTTAGGAAATCTTTTCTATTTATTTATTTTTTTGAGACAGAGTCTTGCTCTGTCGCCCAGGCTGGAGTGCAGTGGTGCGATCTTGGCGCACTGCAAGCTCCGCCTCCTGGGTTCACGCCATTCTCTGGCCTCAGCCTCCCAAGTAGCTGGGACTACAGGTGCCCACCACCATGCCCGGTTAATTTTTGTATTTTTAGTAGAGACGGGGTTTCACTGTGTTAGCCAGGATGGTCTTGATCTCCTAACCTCGTGATCTGCCTGCCTCGGCCTCCCAAAATGCTGGGATTATAGGCGTGAGCCACCGTGGCCGGCCTGAATTTAGGAAATCTTAAGTCTCACATGCCAAGAAGATAGTGTGAAGAAAGGAAAGAAGTTAGAGGTTAAAGGTATGATGGGAGAGTAGAAAGATCATAAGACTTAAGCTTAAATCATATCCTGTCCACTTAGCTAATTGTATGTTATTTAAGCTAAGTTTTAGTTTCCTACTCTACAAAATAAGGAGACTATTGTCTATTATGCAGGATTTTCCCACACAATGGCAGAAAAGGAGTCCCCACTTAATGTTTTGTCCCCTTCATCTCCATTAATATAAATTCAGACTAAGGCCCTGAATTTTGTTTTTGAAAATTATGGAGGTATTTTTGAGTTTTTCTTACCTATGTATTTTTACCATTTGTGAAATGTGGGATGTACTTCCTAGTATAGGTCTTCACAAGAGACTCTGGTTTATCTCAGGAAAAGGTGAATGATAGTATCTTGTCAATCAGGGGCAATGAATCAGTGCTGACTTGCCCTGCATTTCTCAATCCAGCAGGTGCCTGGTGGAGCCACTGCGTCAGGATGCGGTTTGCTGTGTGGTCTCTGGAGTCAGGCCTCCCATCTATTACATTTGACTCAAATGGAGCCCGGATAGGACTCAGGGTCTTAATATTTGAGTCTCTTTACTGTACTGGAAAAACAGGTTCCAAAAATAGGGCTGTGAACTCTTTCACTGGGCAACCCTTTCTTTTTCTTAGGGAGTCCAAAATGCCTCAAATCAAAGTGGAGGCATTATCAGCCTCCTCCATGTGACTCTGATATATGGTCTTTTTGGAATCATAAGTGGTTTTTGTGGAAGTGTGACTTTATTTGAGTAAACAACTGAAAAGTTGGAACAACACAGCATGAAAGGATATTTATTTATTACGAAGAACAACAACAACAAAAACCCAAAACCTGTCATCTGACCTCAGAATAGCATTTTGCCCCTTGCGGTAGCAACAATGAATGCTTTGTTGGAAAATAGGGCATTTGTCTCTCTTGATGTGACCCTCAATTTATTAGATGCCCTCTGAACATATCTAATATTTTGTGTTTTCCTATTTTTAGGCTTAGAAATTTGTGCACTCAATTTTTCTTACACATTTTCCGTTGGTTCTACTCACAACTTTTACCTTTTCTTATTTGCTTCACTGTAACTTATTTTTATTGTCCTACATATTATGAAATAAACACTAGAGTGTAAGGAGGGGAAAGTGGAGAAGTATAAGAGTAGAAGAATTAACATTATTGCTCCCCAGCTTGTGGGAGAAGAGTTAAATGCTTTAGAAACATTATCTCATTTAAATTCAATAATAATTTGGGAAGGGAAGTATTATATCAATATTTTAAGAAAAAGAGGAAACTGAGGTCCAAGGAAATTAACTTAGAAAAAAAAAAAGTATTGAGTGATGGAGCTGAGTTTCGAAGTTAACTGATAAAACTCTAATGCTTTGTACCCTGTCGTGTTACCTACTAGAAGTGTCTCTGACACATTCTCTTCAATCTGCTTTGCAAATACATCCCATCAAACCAGAGATTGAGGGATTCATGTGGGATTTCCAGCTCACCTGGCAGAGTCTCAGTGAGTCTTTCTTTTCTTTCTTTTTCTTTTCTCTTTTCTTTCTCTTTCTTTCTTTCTTTTTTCTCTCTTTTTCTTTTTCTCTTCAGTCTTCTTTGCAAGCACATCCCATCAAACCAGAGATTGAGGGATTCATGTGGGATTTCCAGCTCACCTGGCAGAGTCTCAGTGAATCTCTTTTCTTTTCTTTTCCTTCCTTCCTTCTTTCCTTTCTTTTCTTTTCTTTTCTTTTCTTTTCTTTTCTTTTCTTTTCTTTTCTTTTCTTTTCTCTTCTCTTCTCTTTCTTCCTTCCTTCCTTTCTTTTCTTTCTTTCTTTCTCTCTTTCTTTCTTTCTTTCTTTCTTTCTCTTTCTTTTCTTTCTTTCCTTCTTTTCTCTCTCTCTTTCTCTCTTTCTTTTTCTTACATGGGTACTTGCTCTGTTACCCAAGCTAGAGTGCAATGGCCATAGCTCACTGCAGCCTCCACCACCCTGGCTCAAGCAATACTCCTGCATCAGCCTCTCAAGTAGCTGGGACCCCAAGTGCAGGCCACCACACTCAGCTACTTTTTGTATTTTTTTTAGAGACAGGGTCTCACTATGTTGCTCAGGCTGGTCTCAAACTCTTGGGCCCAAGTGATCCTCCTGCCTCGACCTCTCAAGCATTGGGATTACAGGTGGGAACCACTACCCTTGGCCCTCTCTCTGATTTCTAAGATGAGTCAAGGCCATTTTCCATGCTTGCTTCAAGTCTTGTTCTTGATGTAGACAGGACTTGGGAATGATTTGACCACATTTCCCTTTACTCTTTCAGCCCACTGAGCAATAGCTACACCAGAAGTAGCAGCAAATGAGAGCTTAGATTTTTCAAGGCTTATTAAAGAGCAGGCCTGTGCAAGTGCTATGCCTGCATTTTCCAAACTCACAGTAACCCTATGAGCTTACCGATCCTCATTATGCAAATTAGGAAGCTGAGGACTAGACAGGAGACTAGCGGGTTTAAGTTACTTGCCTGAGACTGCACAGCAGAGCTACGAGTCAAATCCAGCTGATCCCTGACAGCTACACTACCTAGAGAATTGACTCCACATGCTGACGGGGTTGAGCTGCAGATGTATTCTTTCCTTCAATCTGCCTCAGCACTGGATTTAATTTTCAGAAAATCCGAGCACCTGGGCCAGGAAAACACCCTGTGCTCACCACCACTGTTGTTTACTCAAGTCTCATTAAGTGCTGGGGGCAATAATGTGCTGGAGGCAGATCTCTTCAGTTCAGATAAGAGAATGGTTAGAGGGAGAAAGAAGCTGCCAATTCTCCAGGAGAGCCCCATCTTTGGCAGTTGCATCCCTTGGTGTTTATGTGAATTTAGAGGGCCAGGTTTTAATTTGACACTATCTTTGGGAGATCTAATTAGCAAGTCATGGGGTTTCCATCTGCTGATCCTCCCAGATAGTAAATGTGTATACCATAAACACTAGTAAGAAGACAGCAGTAAAGAAACCTTGGGAGGGTACATAAAGGTCCCGGGGCAAGAGTGCTGACTCAACCCAGATGAGTCAGGTGTGCCAGCAGAGGACACAGAGACCTGAACTTCCTTCTTCTGCACACGGTCTGGAGACCCAAGACGCAGATCCAAAAAAGAAAACAAGTAATGTTTGGCTATAGTTGGTATCATTGGTCCCAGTGGTCAATTATGCTAGAGATCTTGAGGGGGCTGAAATAAAGTATTTTTCTTCAACAGTGACTACTGATACAAATTTTATTACTCTGCAATTGTCCCATAATGGTTTTGAATATGGCATATGTATTAAAAAGTATGTCAATTTAGGACAATATAGCACACTTTGAGTCAGGTGGACCTACGTTGGAAACTTAGCTGACCACCTTCTAGACATGTATGTGACTTAAGTCCTGTGAATCTCAATTTCCTCCTCAAAAAATGCTGGATTGAAAGGTGTATTTCTCATTGAAGAGTTACCATTGTTAAATAACACCTTGTAAGCAAAGCATTTAGTACATAGCAAATATTCATTGACTGCCATATATTATTCATTAAATAAACATTGACTAAGCAAATGCTAATTGTAAAAGTAGCAGCTATTATTTGCTGTGTATGCATTCCATATCAGACAATATATACACATTATTTTTATTCTTCATGTAACTCTTGCAAGATACGGTTGAAGACATGACTATATTTGAGTCTTAGTTTTTTTTGTTTTTTTTTTTTTAAACAGCAGAATCTCAGAGCATTTTAATGTCTAACATTCTAAGGAGAATGTAGGATCTAAAAGGAAATTCATATATATATATCTAAATGTAAGTCTATTTTATTGACAAAATCATCATTGTCAATCATCATTGACAAAGAACAACAAGAACAACAACAACAAAAACAGAGCTGAATGTAGTGGCACATGCCTGTATTCCCACCTACTTAGGAGGCTGATGTGGGAGGACTGTTTGAGCCCAGAAAGTCAAGGCTGCAGTAAGCCATGATCACGCTGCTGCACCCCAGCTTGGGTGACAGATGAGACCCTGTCTGAAACAAAACAAAACAAAACAAAACAAACAAAAACATAATTCTCCTTAAATTTCAATCTTTGCAAGGCTTCTCCTATTATAGGTTACTCTATTAATTATTTATTTTGAAATGCAATTAGTAGTTTGAAAAGATACATTAGCTTTAAGTAAATTGATCAATACTAGCTTTTTATAGACAGAGATAAAAATTATCTGAGCAAATAAGGGTTTTTTTGGTGTGTGAAAATGATATCCTTGTAAACTAGGCCTTTAGGGATCCCTTTGAAAAATAAGCTTGGTTTGACTATCACAGATGAACAGCTACCAGAAAACTGAACCAAAACAACCATGTTCGTGGAATCCAAATGGGCATATGTGGCCTGTGATATAACTTCCAACAACAACATCCTTCATCAATGCATAAAGGCCAGAGACAGAAATACTTAATAGAGGTGAAGATGGGCCAGGCGCAGTGGCTCACCCCTGTAATTCAGCACTTTGGGAGGCTGAGGTGGGCGGAGCACCTGAGGTCAGGAGTTCCAGACCAACCTGTCCAACCTGGCAAAACCCCGTCTTTACCAAAAATGCAAAAATTAGCTGGGCTTGGTGGCGGGTGCCTGTAGTCCCAGTTACTCGGGAGGCTGAGGCAGGAGAATTGCTTGAACCCAGGAGGTGGAGGTTGCAGTGAGCCAAGATGGCGCCACTGTACTCCAGCCGGGGCGACAGAGTGAGCCTCTGTCTCAACAAAAGAAAAAAAAAAAGAGATGAAGATTCGTACTATGCCAAAAAAGGTGATAAATGACTCAAAAGGTTTTTCCCTTTAAAAACTCCTCTCCTTGAAGGTTTTGAAAGAAAATGGTTTTCTGAGATATCAGTGGACAATGAATTATTTCAAATGTAATCTTAATATAATGTGCGATTATAAATATGTTACTAAAATATGTTAAAAGAAGCTGTCGTTGTCTTTAAAAGCTTATTTTTTACATGTAGGCAAACAATAGCTTTTTAGAAACAGTAATATGTTTTAGAAAATTCATGGTATTATATATTGCTGAAAGCAAGATCCTATGCTAGTTGTCATTGTGAAATGAACATTCGTCAGCTATCAGTGCTCATTTAGAGGAACTTCCCACATGGCAGGGAAAATCTGACATAGTTTTACAAATCTGTTACATATAATAGGAAGTTACAAAACCATTAGAGTTTGTTTTGCTTTGCTTTTGTCTGTTTGTTTGGTGGTTTGAGATTTGAGGTATAGTGAGGTGAGTAAGTAGCGGTGACTTGAAACATTTAGGAAATATTGACTGTCACAGATGTCCATTGAATTAGATGCAGGTTTAAATGCATAGTGTAGCCTTCCTAGATCCCCCAAATCAAGAAACAGTGACCTAGTCTCATTCCAGGGGATTCAAATTCTCCATATGTGCCTTAACTATTCTTGGATAATATAAAAAATATTTATACATCAAAGAAATGGGGATATCAAACTCCAAGCTAGGGAATAAAGTTGAAAGGCAGTTTTAAAGAGGATACAATACTTAGGCCAATGACAAAATCATTCTACATAACTGTGTGTTAGATAACTGATTCATATAATCTCCGTATATCTATTTCGTATTTTAGTATCCTAAAAATTGGTGAACAAGTAACAGATTACAGTCTATGCCTCTGTAAATAATCCCATGCCCTGTATCTGTGGAAAAGGCTACCTGGTCTGTCTGAACACTCTCAGTGACTTAGAAAATTTTGATTAATCAAGCTTCTACTTGTTTTGGTCCACTGTGGTGATAAACTTTTGTTACCCTTAAACTGAATTAAGTTGTATTTCTTTATGAATCCTGCTTGTTTATTTAAATACTTCCTTCTGAAGCATCACAGAATAACTGTCCATTTGCATAGTCATCATTTAATTATATTATCTAAGAAACCATTAGAAAAACGGGGAAACTGGGTTAGATTTTTCATGTTATTTCAACTCTAAACTTTTATAAAAGGTCATAAAAACTATCACTTGTGGCTCTAGGTGAGATAATTGGCACTAAAATAATTAAATCTTGCTTGGAAAACAACAGAGGCAATTAGCACTGTTAAGTAAGTTGTTTATAATATTTATTGCAGTAATGGTGGCCTTGCGCACACACACACACACACACACTCCAACAAACACATGAACTAGTACACAGTTCTAAGCCCAAGACTACACAGTGAGCAAAAAAGTTAGTTGTAGGCATTACTTGATGCCTAGCTTGAATTTTTTTCACTAACCAGCTAACTATTTGGAGTATCAGAGCACTGTCTAGAGTACTAATGGCTATATCAAGCTTCTTTGTTCTTCACCTATAGCTAACCTCAGCTAGAGTTTCATTTCTCTCTCTTGGCTGTGAACTCTCTAATGAATCAAAGCTAGAATGGATTTGCAATTTTCTTTTTTTTTTAAGCATTATCATTTTCGCTGGATGCTAAGAGATGTATTTTCTTTTCTTTCAAGCAAATAGATGACATCTGACCATTTTCTCCCTGTCGAAAAAGCATTCTGCCACAGCTGAGCCACGATCCCACAGTTGTTAAACAGCAGGGATTATCAGGCAGGACAGTATTAAGTGGTATTTAACAGCGAGACCAAAGTTCTCTGTCAAATGCCTGACTTAGGACTCCTTGATTTTTAGCATCCCGGCTCTGAGACCTTTTGCACGGAACCATTTTTCATTCTGACAACAAACTACTGTGGCTATCCAGGGTTGCTTTGCTGGAGCTGACAGCCAAGTATTTCTGTGGCAGAAATATTGCCACAGAGTAGAGAGATCAGGGATGGAAGGGAGACATTTTTATCCCCTTTCACTCCAAGTGCAATGACATTCCAAGCAGTAGGTGTCCCAAGTCAATGACTTGTTAATCTATTCAGTATGATCCCCTGTCTAGTCAAAACAATAGGGGGATGGGGGCAGGGGAGTGTGGACTATCGGCTTCACAATGCAATTGTCTAAAGTGCGTATTACTTTCTCCATCTCTTCTAGGCACATTCTCATTGACATAGGCAGGGGAGGGTGACCACTGAAACTGTCAATTTAAGTACCATTCTCTAAAAGGTTTTTTATTGGGGGGTAAGGGGGAGAGAGAGAGGTGTTTGACAGGTTCCTAAAGTTCAAGGGCAACCATTTTATGGCCCTAGTAAGACATCATTTATGGAACTTACGATATGATGGGTGCAAAGGCAGGAAATAAAAGAAAGAACCTAATGAAAGTTTAATCTTCTGGGGAATTTGTTCCCCTCAGAGGCATAAATTGAGTGACCTAAAACTAAATTTCCCTGTCACAGGCTGGCATGGAGTTCATGCACATTTTACAGCTATCCTAGAAAGGAATATATTTTTAAAAATAACTATTTCTATTCTTAAGTGATTGCCTGCAATTGCTGATGGAGCCTCAGGAGTGCTCACGGTAGATTTATTGGAGAGGTCATTGCTCCTCTGTACAGCATACATAATGGAGGAGTTATATAAGTGCAGTTCCCTGCACAGTTGTCTGGTCCTGATTGTAGCTGTACATATCTATATCTGATTGGCTGAGAAGCTTGAAAAAAATTGAGAACTGTCACATCAGGCTGCCCTATCTGGGATCTGGAATGCTAAATCCATATCTAACACTGGATGGTGGATGAGACATCATTCACAATCTCTATTACACATGAGGCATAATTCAGACGGGAGGTCATGTGACCAAGCTGGACTGAGATTTCCAGGTTTCTAGGAATGAAAAGGACGGGGAAGCAGAGAATATGACTAAGACATGAAGAAGAACCATGTTGGGTAAGAATATGCCATGGCCAGCATCTAATGTTCCCAACAAAGGCTGCACGTGATGGATGAAGCCTGTGTTCATGTGAGGAAGTCCTGGTTTGTTCAGTCTTTTTTTTTTTCTGAGACAGAGTCTTACTCTGTCACCCACGCTGGAGTGCAGTGGTGTGATCTTGGCTCACTGCAACCTCCGCCTCCCGGGTTCAAGCAATTCTCCTGCCTCAGCCTTCCGAGTAGCTGGGATTACAGGCGCCCACCACCACACCTGGCTAATTTTTGTATTTTTAGTAGAGGCAGAGTTTTACCATGTTGGCCAGGTTGGTCTCGAACTCCTGACCTTGTGATTTGCCCACTTCGGCCTCCCAAAGTGCTGGGATTACAGGCGTGAGTCACCGCGCCTGGCCTGTTCAGTCTTTATATAACGTTCTCCATTAAGCCCAGCACATCTGGTCCTTAATCAAAGATAACTTTGGGAAACCTCACACGTCATGAGCAGACCTCTTCACATTCATGAGATCACTTCGGTAATAATTTATGAGCAGAATGTCTTATACATATGCTTTGTGTTGGTTGACACAGTAAGCATTCTATCTGGGATATACAACATATCTGTAGGATGAACATTATATAATAGAAGCAAACACTCATCTCCGATGTATGTAATGGAAATTAAATAACATGCACATTTAATTGCCGAAAGACTAAGAGCTGCTTTCAAGGTCACACTAGTTGTGCTCAGATCAAGAATCAAATGGAAAGGGTGTTCTCTATTTAGGCTTTTTTTTTTTTTTTTCATGTGTTAGGGATTAGTTACATTGCACTGAAGGAAACACTAAAGAAAATATCTACCAGAATATTGTGAGTGCTTCTTAAAAAGTAGGCTTTATTCTTTAGAGCAGTTTTAGGTTCATAACAAAATTAAGCAGAAGGCACAGAGATTTCCCACCTACCCCCACCCCCAACACATGCACAGCCTCCCCCATTATCAAAATCCTCCACCAGATAGTACATCTGTTACAACTGATAAACCTACATTGACGCATCATTATCACTCAGTCCGTAGTTTACATTAGGGTTCATTCTTGATGATGTAGGTTCTATGGGTTTTGATAAATTTTTAAAGACGTATCCACATTATAGTACCATACAGAGTAGTTTCACCACCATAGAAATCTCTTGTGTTACTCATCCCTCCCTTTAAAAAGCTCAATTTAGGATCTAGGATGATGGTAATAAAACACAAGCGAAAAAGTATTTGTGATATTAGCTTAATGATTGGTGACTATAAAAAGATCTGATTTAGGTTTTAAACTCATCCCATGAACAATTTATCACTAGAAGGAAGAGTGCAGACCCTGGATTCGAATCCTTGATTTCCTACTTATGAGCAACTTTACCCATTTCTTCTGTTATATAAAATAAGAATAATTACAGCTCATTCATTGTAAAGCATTTCAAGGATTAAATGTGATTATGCCTTTCAGGGATATTGGCATACAGTAACTGTTAAATACATGTAAGTTCTTATTACCTTAGTGATAGCAAAATTAGCAACAGTTAGTTCAATGTTAAAATCAAGGGAATTACATTAACACAGGGGAAAATGACAGAACATCTACAATTCATTTTATTTCTACAATACATGCTAAATATTTACTTAAATTGCAAAACTTCTAGCTCGTTGTGGAATTGAGCAAGTGTCTTCACTTATTTTTCTTTGCTAATTAAATTAAACATTGTCTCGTCTTCTTGGCATTTGAGGCCCTCTGAATTACAACTTCTAAACTGGATTATCAGCTTCTCTCACACTTCACTATATATGTAGAGATGTACTAAATATTCATTTTGGCCAAGTGCCCATGGTCTAGCCCTACAACCAATGTTTGGCCAAATCCAAAATAGAAGCTGATGTCAAAGAGCACTGCCACAGAAATGACTTTTGGGAAATGAAGACATACATAAAAATGTACCAAAAAATTTCATTAATATCTTATTTTATCATTAAAAATCATAGTTGTCAAATGTATGTGGGCTACATTACATTGTAGGAAAAGTCATTTCTCATATCTGCCCCTAGATTTTTAAAAAAAAATTTATATATTAAAAATATTTTATATTTTATATATTAAAATGTTATATATTAAAATATATATTTTATATATTACACACACACATATATGTGTGTGTGTGTGTGTGTGTGTGTGTATATATATATATATATATATAAAAGCTGGAGTGCAGTGGCTGTATCACAGTCTACTGTAGCCTCGACCTCCTGGGCTCAAGCAATCCTCCCACCTCAGCCTCCTGAGTAGCTGGGATTACAGGCATGAGCCACTATGTCCAACCTGTTTTTTTCTGTTTGTTTGTTTAACCTACATGTGGGTAATTATGAACATATTTTCATGTTCAAATGGTACATTTGAAATCTTGGTAATTTCTTGATAACAGAGAGTGAAATACAAGTCTGTTATCAAAAAAATTATCAACATTTTAAATGTTTCTTGAAATAACTTTGTTCTTCAAGTTTATTACTTATGTAACCTTCAAAACCCCTTTATCTTCAATTACTGGCAATCTATAAGCGACCATTTCTGTTTTAAAATGTAATTTAATTTAATTTAAACTTCTGGGGTACATGTGCAGGATGCGCACGTTTGTTACATAGGTAAACGTGTGCCATGGTGGTTTGCTGCACCTATCAACCCATCACCTTCATATTAAGCCCCACATGCATTAGCTATTTATGCTGATGCTCTCCCTTCCTCTACTCCCCACAATAGCCCCCAGTGTGTGTTGTTCCCCTCCCTGTATCTATGTGTTCTCATTGTTCAGCTCACACTTATAAGTGAGAACATGTGGTGTTTGGTTTTCTGTTCCTGCATTAGTTTGCTGAGGATAATGGCTTCCAGCTCCATGCATGTCCCTTCAAAGGACATGATCTCATGCCTTTTTATGGCTGCATGGTATTCCATGGTGTATATGTACCACATTTTCTTTATCCAATCTGATTGATGTGCATATGGGTTGATTCCATGTCTTTGCTATTGTGAATAGTGCTGCAATGAACATACATGTGCGTGTATCTTTATAACAGAATGATTTACATTCCTTTGAATATGTACCAAGTAATGGGATTGCTAGGTCAGATGGTAAGCCACCGTTTCAACATTTTTTTCACTTAAAAATTGAACCTCTGGCCAGGAGCGGTGGCTCATGCCTGTAATTGCAGGACTTTGGGAGGCAGAGGTTGGGGGATCACAAGGTCAGGAGTTTGAGACCAGCCTGGCCAATATGGTGAAACCCCGTCTCTACTAAAAATACAAAGATTAGCTGAGTGTGATGGTGCATGCCTGTAGTCCCAGCTACTCAGGAGGCTGAGGCAGAAGAATTGTTTGAACCCGGGAGGCAGAGGTTGCAGTGAAATGAGACTGTGCCACTGCACTCCATACTCCAGCCTGGGCAACAGAGTGAGACTCCATCTAAAAAAAATAGTAATTATCTCTAAAGACTTAAAGCTGCTTTGAATTGTCTTAAATTATTATTGTAAATCTGTGCTTTTGAAGTTTGAGTAAGTAGTTGAAGCAAAATATGTCTAGATGTCCAGGTATATAATTTTTCTCTAACACTTTCTTTTTTTAACATTCTTTAAATTCTCAACTATTAATATATCTAGATGAAAGATGATTATCAATATTATTGTAATTTACTTTTTGTTTTGGGGATTTTGTTTTGCTTTTTCTCTCTTTTTTATATTTCATTTTGAAGTTTAGCTTTTCCTTGCATTACATTTTTAGTGACAAATTGATATCTCCTTTTAGTTCTTTCTCATAAGATTTCAAATAATTTTAAATATAACAACTTTTTTTTGGTTCTTTACATGTTTATGGCCTAAATTTAGTTAATTCACTATAAATTCATTGCACATTAAAGGAAAATTTATCTGATGTTATGAATGTTAGGATACCAAACAATTCTAAGTACCTTAGAATTACAATATGATAGAATTCCTATTGTTTTTTCTGTAATCATTTAATGTATAGAATATTTGATAACACCATAAGAAAATTATGCTTTACCCAATTTTCTAGTTATGCTTTTTCTTAATATTTGTATTAAATATCAATTTATTATATATATGTTAGTTTTGAACTAGTTGAACATTTTTAACTGCTTTTGGACATTATATTAATGTCTATCACAATAATTAATGTATGACTTTATTCATACGTATACATTATACTTTACCTGACTAATTGAATTTCAATATGCAAAACACTTAAGATTTTCACTTCAAATTATATCTAGAATGAATTTTGTATTTCAGTGGTTTTCAACCAGGGATGATTTTTTTTTACCCCAGAGGGCATTTAGCAATGGTTGAAGACATTTTTGGTTGTCACAATTTGTGTGAGGGGTGCTACCAACATCTAATGAGCAGAGGTAAAGGATACTGAAAAACATCTTAAAATGGGCAGGTCAGCCTCTAGACAAATTGCAATAGTGTCAAGGTTGAGAAAGAAAATATTGGAATATTACCAACAAATCTGAGTTGCATAACTTGTTCCTATCACTGACATCAGCGTGATGATTGAATAGAATGTTCGTCTGTATCATCCCATGATCACTGATCAGGCAAGAGTTTGTGAATATCAAAAAGGCACTGGAGTAGGCATTTGGCATTTTGGGCTTACAAAGCCTATGACCAAAATTAGGTGCATTCTGAACGTTATATATTTCCTATGCTCCTACCACGCTGAACTCCTTGTCTTTGCTGACATACACTTTCTGCTATGCTGTATCCTCTACACTGTACAAGTCACTTCTCTCTCTGGAACTTTTCTGCCTCTGCAAATCTTCATAGAGATATTTCATCAAACTGCAAGACCATCTTCAATGTCTTCTTCCTTAATAATTTTCTTTTTATCCAAAAGATAAATTATTGTTTTCATGTTTAAACTCTCTCCTCTTTCTTTGCATGCCTTTGTGGTGACTAGATGCATAGCCACTATATTAATACTAAACTGCTATGCTCTTTTGGCAAAGAAATCTACCACTACAAATTGTTGAAATTTTCTGCAGACCATCACATTGATGAGCACTTTTACATGCAGGATCTCCATGTGTTCCATACTTGTCTAATCCCAAGAATAAGCTTTCTAGGCCTTCCTCTTGAAAATGCTAATTTGGAATGGCTGGGGTGGAACACAAGACTTCCATTGCCAAGGTGTCATTGTTGTTCATGATGAGGCAGATTTAGGGAGCATGACTTACAACTCTGAGAGGAAGTTTCTATCATTATCCTTATTTCCAGACATTTGGAAACAGTGCCATAGGGCGGCTGAATAACTTGTGCATAGGCACACAGCAAACAAGTGGCATTGCTGGGATTAGACCTACAGAGGCTTACTCCAGATCTTATGTTCTTTTTTTTTTTTTTTTTTTTGAGATGGAGTCTTGCTCTGTAGGCCAGGCTGGAGTGCAGTGGCATGATCTCAGCTCACTGTAACCTCTGCCTCCTGGGTTCAAGTGATTCTCCTGCCTCAGCCTCCCAAGTACCTGAGACCACAGGTGCACTCCACCACACCCGGCTAATTTTTGTATTTTTAGTAGAGATGGGGTTTCACCATGTTGGTCAGGCTGGTCTCGAACTCCTGACCTCGTGATCCCCCCGCCTCGGGCTCTCAAAGTGCTGGGATTACAGGTGCGAGCCACCGCACCTGGCCTGTCTTTTTTTTTTTTTTTTTAGACAGGGTCTTGCTCTTGTCGCCCAGGTTGGAGTGCAATGGCACAGTCTTGGCTCACTGCAACCTCCACCCTCTGGGTTCAAGTGATTTTCCTGCCTCAGCCTCCTGAGTAGCTGGGATTACAGGCGCCTGCTACCATGCCCGGCTAATTTTTGTATTTTCAGTAGGGACGGGGTTTCGCCATGTTGGCCAGGCTGGTCTCAAACTCCTGACCTCATGATCCGCCCACCTTGGCCTCCCAATGTGCTGGGATTACAGGCGTGAGCCACTGCACCCGGCCCGTGTTCTTAACTTATTGGGATATACTCATGTTTTTGTCTTAGCTGTATAATATTGCATAATGCCCTGTCCATTACTGGTATCCAGTAAATATCTTTTGGATTGAATTTTGTATAATGGGATCTAGAAGTCACTCAACAGCTCATGGAAACATGATAAGAGGATGGAAGGAAAACAAGAGTTGCAGCAGCATCAAAAGAAAAACTACACTTATAATATATGCTATACAAATAACAATAGGTCCAAATTTTACTTGAAAATTTTCCATTGAGAGTATACACCATGGTGGGTACTTACGTAAAATTCTGTGAGTTGACTTAGATTGTCAGCTCTTCAAGGCCCAGGATCATATCTTTCTGCGATCATCACCAGTGTACTGGAATTAACATTAACAAAGCAAATGTCAACACTGTGATGTTTATTGTCCTCAGGGGCTGAAAATACAGATCTATGAATAAAAACAATAAATAATGTGCAAGGCTTCTATACTGTTAACACCTACACTCACCCACATACACTCGCATATGTACACATTTCTGAAAAATATCTTCAAAACAATAGGGTAAATATAAAACTGATTCATTAAAAATGTTTCATAAGAATTAAAAAGACACAGAATTTTGTGAAATGTAGTATTTTTACTTAAGTGCCTTTTTTCTATTTCTCCCCCCACCCCCGTCTGTTATTTTATAAACCAGTTGAGACATAAGTAGTTTCTCGGGGGATGATATATTACTTACACATTTTCTGTGTAGTAAACATGTATGTGTATGTGTGTGATTGTATGTCTAACTACTTTGTTGGAGTGATTCCTATAATTTGGAACTGCGAAGGCCAAGTTTATGCAAAAATCTACATTTTTGAGTAAACTCCCCATGACTAGAGTAAGTTTCCCCAGTATTTGAGAATAATTCATTTCCTAAAGCTGTGCAAACATCAGATATCAGTATTTGTAAGGATTGATAATGTAATTTATATTGAAATTGCTTTCTCAGCTATTAATGTTAAGTATATCATCTTCATATAGCCTTATAACTCATTTGTGCCATTCCATTTTCCTCTGTTCCTTTTATTTTCACTTCCCTTGTAATGTTAGTCTCCTTGTACTGATTTCCAAAGAGTTAATTTATGATTAAAGATGTTAACATTTTGTCTAAAATTGCAAATAAAAAATACAGTAGTCTAGGTAAATATCCATAATCTTATTGTTTTTTTTTTTTTTTTTTTTCCCAAATGTGAGCTTCTAAACTCCATTTTGGGAAACTGAGACTGGTTCTCCAGAAAAGCAATGCTGTGAATTCTGGTGCTGAGTTCTCCTGCTTGTCCATGGTGCTCAGGTAGGCCATGGCCTAGCTGGGCTATAGGAGGTTAGGAGTTCTATGAGTTTTATGGGAGGATAGATTTCAAGTCTTACAGGAAGCGAACCATTTAAGTCAGCCACCATTGTCTTAATCTCTAAAAGAGGATACCCACTCTTCTTCTCTCTACCCCTTCACCCCAACTTTCACTGGCTTATTTGCTCATATAGTTTCCTAACCAGGGCTGCCTATCTTAGACTCACCTCACATGATGTCCCCTTCCAGAGTATTTAGTGTCTTCTAAGTGCTCCTGATTTATTTAGGTTGTTTTATCTGTAACAACACACTAGTTCAAGTTACTTCCAATAATTGAGGTTTACCCTAAGTATACATAGGCATGAGGACACAGGAAAACACAAAAAGCCAGTGATGTAGGCATGGCCCCAAGAAGACACAGGAATGAGAGATCCATGCAGAGTCCCAGGAAACTCTAGATACTTAAGTAACATGATTTTGTGCAGCTTCTTGATTGCTTTTTTCCACTACTCTGTGGCATTTCACTCTTCCCTTTTCACACTCAACCAATTTATTCTTTCCTTTATATTGCATACCTCTCTTTTCTACCTACCAGTTTCTGTGCATTCATAGTTTATGCTCCATCTCTACAATAGCTTAAAATTGGTTCCATCCCTAGAGTTAGAAAGATGGGACTCTTTCTGGAACAAAACATTTTAGAAAACCTCTTCTGGCCTTTCTCTGACCATACCATTCTCCATAAGGCAAGGCATCTGCAAAGTAGAGCAAACATTGCACTCTGCCCTCCCTAGACCATATTCTGAAAAACAAGGGTCCCTGGAAGTCCCTCTTCTGATGACCCAGAACCTTCTTCCAGGCCTTCCAGGGAACCACTCAAGGGGCAGCTGTTTGTGAAAATATAGAGACTGGATATGTGAGCTGATTTCCACATGCATGAGTACAAGGTCTCCTTAGTCATATGGGAAAGAGACAGGACAAAAAGAGAAGAGGGAGTTTGTCTCAAGCCAGGAGCAATGCCTACTTTTCCCCACGCAGCATCACTGTGGTAGGAGAGGGCAAGGATTCTTAGAATCTTACATTTTAACCTGGCCTTCCAGGACCTTACAAGATATATTTGTCAAATTTGGAAGGTAGACCATATTTTATTATCCAGCTTATTGGCTTGATATATAATTTTTAAATATTTAGGTATATGATATTTTAGCTTCTGTTTTTATTCTTATCCCAGACCTGACAAAAATTGGAGGGAGTATTAGGAATGGGGTGGGAGTGGAGGGGACTTGTTTATAATTTCCCTAAGGCCTAGGAACTGAATTTTCCAGTTAATGTTATTGTGATAGCCATTTTATTAGCTAGGCTTGTGATTCTCAACTGATGGTAGCACTTCTTCCCACTCAGAAATATTTGAACATTTGTGAGTGGTTTTTTTGATTGTCGAGATGACTGGAGAAGGGAACATGGTCTGTGGTGGAAAGCAGATACCATCTGTCCCATAATATATGAGATTGTCGCACACAATGAAGTGTTATCTTGCCCCAAATGTCAATAATATGGTAATATAGAAATACTGGGCTAACTAGCAGATCAGCAGATAAGCTGCTGCCAAATATCCATTATGCATTCCTCATCTAATCAAGTGTGACTCCATAGAGATTTCAAAACACTCATGTTTAGGCTCACTCTTCCTTGGAGGATAAGGTATAGGGTATGATATGTGTGATATGTACATATTGTACGTGATATGTACAATATAGTAAATTGGTACCAGGATTGGGGTGCTGCTACAAAGATATCCAAAAATGTGGAAGTGACTTTGGAACTGGGTAACAGGCAGAGGTTAGAGCAGTTTGGATGGCTCAAAAGAAGACAAGAAGTTTGGAAGTTCTTAGAGACTGATTGAATGGTTTTGACCAAAATGCCAATAGTGATATGGACAATGAAGTCCAGGCTGAGGTGGTCTCAGATGGAAATGAGAAACTTGTTGGGAAATGGAGTGAAGGTCACTCTTGCTATGCTTTAGCAAAGACACTGGAGGCTTTGTTCCCTTCTCCTAGAGATCCGTGGAACTTTGAACTTGAGAGAGATGACTGAGAGCATCTGACAGAAGAAATTTCTAAGTAGCAAAGCATTCAAGAGGTGACAGAGCATAAAAGTTTAGAAAATTTGCAACCCAACGATGCAATAGAAAAAAAACAACAACCTATTTTCTGGGGAAAAATTCAAGCATGCTGCAGAAATTTGTATAGGTAACAAGGAGCCAAATGTTAATCACCAAGACGATGTGGAAAATGTCTGCAGGGCACGTTAGAGACCTTTACAGCAGCCCCTCCCTTCACAGGCCCAGATGCCTAGTAGGGACAAATGGTTTCCCCTTCCAGGTCCAGGGCCCCCTTGCTGTGTGCAGACTCAGGACTTGGTGTCCTGTGTCCCAGCTGCTCTAGCCATGGCTAAAAGGGGCCAAGGTACGTCTCAGGCTATTGCTTCAAGAGTGCAAACCCCAAGCCTTGGCAGCTTCCATGTGGTGTTGAGCCTGTGGGTGCACAGAAGTCAAGAATTTGAGGTCTGGAAACCTCCACCTAGATTTCAGAGGATGTATGAAAATGCCTGGATGTCCAGGCAGAAGTGTGCTACAGGGGCAGAGCTCTCATGGAGAACCTCTGCTAGGGCAGTGCAGAAGAGAAATGTGAGGTTGGAGCCCCCACACAGAGTCCCCACTTGGGCACTGCTTAATGGAGCTATGAGAAGAGGGCCACTATCCTCCAGACCCCAGAATGGTAGATCCACCAACAGCTTGCACCATGTGCCTGGAAAAGCCACAGATACTCAACATCAGCCCATGAAAGCAGCCAACACTGGGGGTTGGTGGTTGGAGAGTGGCTATAGCCTGCAAAGCCACAGAGGTGGAGCTGCCCAAGGCTGTGGGAGCCCACCCTTTGCATTAGCATTTCCTGGATGTGAGACATGGAGTCAAAGGAGATTATGTCAGAGCTTTAATATTTAATGACTGCCTTACTGGATTCTGGGCTTGCACTGGGCCTGTAGCTGCTTTGTTTTGGCCAATGTCTCTGTTTTGGAACAGGAGCATTTACCCAATGCCTGTGTCCTCATTGTATCTTGGAAATAACTAACTTACTTTTGATATTACAGGCTCATAGGCAGAAGGAACTTGCCTTGTCTCAGATGAAACTTTGAACTTGGACTTTTGAGTTAATGCTGGAATGAGTTTAGACCTCGGGGGACTATTGGGAAGGCATGATTGTTTTGAAATACAAGGACATGAGATTTGGGAGGGTCCAGGGATGGAATCATACGGTTTGGCTGTGTCCCCACCCAAATCTCATCTTGAATTGTAGTTCCCATAATCCCCGTATGTGGTGGGAGGGACCTAGTGGGAAGCGACTGGATCATGGGGGTGGTTTCCTTGAAGCTGTTCTCATGATAGTGAGTGAGTTCTCATGAGATATGATGGTTTTATAAATACCTGGCATTTCCCCTGCTTGCACTCATTCTCTCTCCTGCCACCCTGTGAAGAGGTGCCTTCCACCATGACTGTTAAGTTTCCTGAGGCCTCCCTAGCCATGCAGAACTATGAGTCAATTAAACCTCTTTTCTTCATAAATTACTTAATCTTCAGCATTTTTTCACAGTGGCATGAGAATGGACTAATACAGGGTAGTTTTCCGAGGAACGGTCTGTAGATATTTAAGACATATTAGCATAACCTCAAGGCTTTCTCTAAATTTTAGACTTCTGTCACATTAGGCAACCTATAAAGGTTTTCATGTATCTGCTTTACTGTTTGTAACTTGCAATACGATGATGTCAATTATGTATTGTCTTAATATCTTAAGGCCACCTAGTTAACATGTGAAGCACTCTAATTTGCAATGTAGGTCCTAGGAGCTATTAACATGTGAAAAGTACTAATATGAGTGCTCTTTCTATAGACAACATTAAAAAGGCTTCAATTATGTAACTAACCTACATAAACATTAGAGGGTTCACTAAGTAGCCTAAAGGATATTACAAAGAAACTTTTTATGGGTGAAATGAGAACTAATGGCCAAGGGTGTGGACTGGCACTGCTTTTGCTTAAAGAGGGACTATGATTCTTGCGAGTCAAGTGGATCCTATGCCCCATGACTTAATAAGGAATTTTTCAATCATATTAGAAGGCTAGATGAATTCTTTTACAGAAATATTGTTATCATCTTCCTTAGGGGAACCTTAAAACACTGCACACGTAATAATGCCTAAAAAAAGAGAACTGGAACACCACAGAGTTTACAAGAACAGGTTGGATGGCAGCATGAGCTCACTTGTTAACAATCAACGATTGGGATGTATGGAAAAATTCGGTCTGATTACTTTTAAGGTAACAGACCACCTGACCTTAAAGAGGTGGAAGAAGTATCCTGTAAGACCCATTGACTCTCATCCTAGGAATCAACTGACTTCTACCACAAAGACCTTGACAAAATTGGTTTATGTTGGTATAAGTTTCTATACTGGTATGAATTTTTACTGGTAGATGGTAAACTTTGGGATGGCATTAGCAGCTTCTTATATATTTTATTTATTCAGATAACGTTCTTTGAGTATCTACCATGTGCCAGGCATTGTGCTTACTTTTCCCCATTCATTATCTCCTTCAACCCTAAAAATAATAGAAGTGGATAGGCTTCCTATCTTTTACAGATGAGGAAAATGAGGTTGAGAAGTACAACTAATTTGCCTAAAGCCATACAGTGACAAAGATAGAGTTTAGGAATAAGAATCCCACTATTAGTCTCTTAAAGAACAAAACAAAAATGGTGCTTATAAAACAGTCCAGTACAGTGTACATTATATCTAGTTTGTATGTAGTTGGTGGTTAGTAATGCTCTAATAAAATTTATTTTGTGAATATTGATTTCACATCTGATTCTACAGAAAGACTTGAATGCTTAGTGGGCTATCGGGGATCAGAACAATTCTGCTGCCTCTGTACTTTGGAGGTTGGGGATTTTCATCAGCTGGATAGACATCCAGTCTAGTGTTTTGGGATGTGCCTATTTATTTATTTATATATTTTGAGACAGGTTCTTGCTACACTGCCCAGGCTGGTTTCAAACTCCTGGGCTCAAACAATCTTCCCACCTCATCCTCCCAAAGTGCTGGGATTACAGGCATGAGCCACCATGCCCAGCCCAGCCTAGTAGTGGTTTATAAGCTCAGTGTGGAGGCAGCAGTGTCTTAGAGTCACTCAGAAAAGGGCAAAGGAGAGGTCAGTTGGGCAGTATTCTGTGACTACTGCCCCTTTACTATTTCAACTTGAATATCTTCATTTAGCTTCTGAAAAAATGCAAATGTATAAAAGACTCCATCTGGGAAAGGAAATTTGGAGGCCTGGGCATAGTGGCTTATGCCTGTAATACCAGCACTTTGGGAGGCCTAGGCGGGTGGATCATGAGGTCAGGAGATCGAGACCATCCTGGGTAACATGGTGAAACCCCGTCTCTACTAAAAATATAAAAAATTAGCCAGGTGTGGTAGCACGCATCTGAAGACCCAGCTACTCAGGAGGCTAAGGCAGGAGAATCGCTTGCACCTGTAAGGCAGAGGTTTCAGTGAGCTGAGATCGCACCACTGCACTCCAGCCTGGGCAACAGCGCAAGACTCCATCTCAACATTGTTCACATGTACCCTAAAACTTAAAGTATAATAATAAAAAAAAAACGGAAAGCATTAAATCAGATAATTGATAATTTTACTTTTGATCAAAACAGTTTGGTGCTAAGAATTCACTGTCACAAAGGCATTTATCTATTTTGACTGAGTTCAAGGCAGAGATAGAAAAAGATAACATTAATTTATTTCACAGATAAAATCCATTTATTACACACACATATTTTGCATCTTCACTCAAGAGATCTTTAGAACACCTGTTGGGACACAAATTTTTGCAGCAAGCTGACATAACCCAGTGAAGGAGAGATAAAAGATGAAAATCATGAAATAAAACTCTCAAGGGCTAAAGGGAGAGACTCGTAAGTAGTATTAGAGATTGGCCGGAAAGTCAACTTATTCAGGAAGTGATTAGCACAGATACTATCATTTTCTTGGGGAAAGCTGTACATCTGGCCAGCCAGGGGTCTATAAATCAGCAATGCAACCAGAGTTGGGAATTCCATTAGCTATTGATTTCAAGGAGGTCAGCATTTTAAGAAATGTAACTGAAATACATGTGAAAAACAATCCTCTCTGAAGTGTGTGTGTGTGCACATGGAGTCGTGTGTTAAGTAAACGAACACTGCTACAATCCTGTCACAGCACATGTGGCAGAGAAATCACTCGAGTTGGCTGCTTTTGTCACTAATAGCTGAGCACTTGGTTTTACCTGTGACAAGACTCTTTGACAGACCTTCTTTTGAACTGATTTCAACTGTTCCACCTCTGCCTGTCAGAGAAGTCAGACTTGAAAACTTTCATACCCTTCAGGGTGGGGGATTCCTAAATTAAAGAAATATGGGTGTTTTTACCATTTCCCTCCTCCCCATCCCCACAGGGAAGGTGCTTTATCCACTACCCAGAAAAGATTGAAGCTTCCTGTCTGCTCCACCCCTGTCGATATGTGTGTCCAAACTCTGCAGTGGTTTTCAGACTTCTAATTTGTTTAGCATCCTGATTCTAAAATTAAAAATATTTGGATATATCCTAACAGGCTAAAATAGAACCTATCTTTTATTTCCTCATTTTGAAGAATCCCAATATATTACAGGAGACACAATTTATAATATGGGTGATTTTGGTAATTTGTCAGCTATTGAAATGAGTTCCATTTGGCTTGGCCTGACTCTGTAAAAATAAGTAGTAATAGCATCTGTAGATTCAAAATGGAGCCTCATTCTTTGAAATGCCCTTGGCACAGATAGGCTGTTTAGGACACCAAAATTGAGGGTGAAGTTGACAGAAACCAAACAGTAGTAACGCAGTGAAGAAAGGAGTTTGAACAGGAGGAAGAAGAAAGAGGAGACACCAAAAATCAAGTAAGAAATATATATAATTTCCTTAAAAGTTTCTAAAATATTAAAAGGTACTAGTAAAATTCTGTTGGCCAAGTTCTTTACATTGATGTTTGCTAATTGGCCTATTGAAAAAGATTTAGTCTCTGAACATATTGATGTGTCTAACGCTCATTTTATAAGAGCTTATGTCTTGAAATTCAGAGAATTAGGAAATTCTTCCAAACAGAAAGCAAGAGTCTGACATGTGGATTTGGATGGAAGTTATTTTGGATTCCAGAAAGTGTTTTCTAAGTCAGAGCTGGCTTGTTTCAGTTAATTTATAAATAGATCATAATATTGAGAAAATGTTCCATCTGACTGTGTCCTCATAGCTTCAGAATTCCCTTTTGAAAATTAAAGAATCGTAACATGATGATTTCACAAATTGATTCTAATTCTTTAACTACTCCCAAGGTTCCATTTGATGTTTTGATTTCATATATAGTAGTTCTTAGTCAGCTATTGAAATGCATATATGTATCAAAGCTTATATGTATATATTGAGATTCGTGTGTATATGAAATCAAACAGAACCTTGAGACACACACACACAGACACACATATACATCCCACACGAGTGTAAGAACCATGGTTAGAAGGGCTTCAAAGGGGTGTGGATCTCTTATTGGACTGGTTTTAATGAGGTACAGATAAAAGTCTTTAGGTTCTATTCCATCCTGCTGGATGACTATTAAAGATATTTGCTATAATTACCATTTTTATGATCTCCAAACATAAAATTCCTGAATAAAAATGATCACTGCCCCTACTGTATTTAGTTCACCTAAATACTTCCCTTTGCCCACTCACATTAGGAGTCCTGGATTGAATTACAAGCCACATGAGCTGATTGACTTGTCTGCATTTATTATTACCTATTACGTAAACTGACTACCCTATTTGGGAACAGTCTTTTCTTTCCAAAGAAGAAAATAACTTGATAGAAACTTAGGATCTGGGTTCTACATTCAGTACTTTTTTGCTTTGACCTCTAATTTATCTGGAAATGTAACCCTCTGTGCCTTTCCGATGTAGCTCCCGTATTAGGGAAGCCCAATTTGGGATTTTATTTTAAATGGAACATAGTAGCTGAGCTCACATGCAAGAAAGCCTGAAGATACGAACTTCCAGTTTGGGGCCACATCTTATAGCTGTGAACTTGCCAAAATATATGAGTGCATAAATGTTATTAGATATTACTATTTTCAGTATTTTAAGTTACATTTTAGTGTTTTTGTATTTCTATTTTTAAGAGACCCTAAACTAATTGGGTACCCAAAATCTTGATTTTAGGATGTGTCTATGTGGAAAAAGTAAAGAAATAAACAATTGTCTAGATAACTAGATTAATATAAATTATAGATCTGGATAATTCAAATCTAAAAATCTCAAATAGTCATTTTTCATTAGCTTATGGAATTTTGAGAAGGAGTTGAATTATCAATGAAAAAACACTTTGTGATTGCCAGTCACAAAGACCACACTCTTTATCTACTGAAAGAGATATTTGTAATTGTCAAAACCTAGTAATTGCTTCACTCTCTCAGGGAGAGTCTCTTCGTGAATGCCATAGAATGAAGCAAGAGTGGCCTCAACTTATCCACCAAGATCTTTCTTCAAACTAAGTGAAAAAGAAAAGCCTTCTAGAACAAAGGACTTTATACAACACCACCAGATCTGAATTCTTGGTGTCCTTCTTGGTCAGTTCATCCCAGAAGTGGAAGCCACCATGGTGGCTGGAGAAATGAGTTTTCCAAACTCTCAGCTGAAAGAAAATCAAGAATAATAATCCTTGATTCACCAGGTGGATCACACTGTGATCCCCATGACTTGTGTGTTTAGGGGAGATATTCAGTATCTAAGGCTTTTCCCTAATCAAAACCCATTCCTGAAACTGTAACTGAGAAATAGTAAGTGTTCCATAAATGGTGTGATGATCCAGATATTGGACATCTGGAGGCAAGTTAGACTGCTTGTTTTCTGAACTAGGAATGTACTCACATTTTGCAACATTTTGAAAGCATTGTTCCACACACAATCTAAGCATAGATGGAACTACTGATACCTCTAGGCAGGTAACATACACACAGAAAAGATATTTCTTTGCAACTCCCTTGGCAATGATTTCATCATTGATATTTAGTGAGCACCTTCCTTAAGGAAAACCTCAACATTCCATTGAGACACTTAAAACTCAGTCTTTGATCAAAAAAAAACACAAAACTCTTTTTTTTCCGTCCATTTCTTGAAGGATCCAGAAGTATTTCCAGATAAGACCATCCATATAGCAGCTATAAACCATCTGCAGCACAGCCAGCTTTTAAAAGTGACATGCAGTCATATTCCATAGCTATTACCAGAGTGCCCCAACCTCTTTCTCAACATCTCAAACTGTTTTTTCTTTTTTCTTTTTTTCCCCACTAGGCAGCCACATGCTTGGAAAATTCCCAGCATCAGTTGTGTCGGAGTTAAAAATCACCTAACACCCACATAAAGATTTTTTTTTTCTCTTTTATGAATTGGGCCTTAAATCTTTACCTTGATTTAGTGAGAAAATAAAATTGGGTAACAGTCAATGTCTCATTTGTATATATTTGTATGAATTCTGTAACCTGGAGGATATCTCCAATCCAAGGAAATGTAACCATTAACCCATAGCTAAACAGTTTCCAAAAAAGCCTTTTCAAGGAATAGCTTTTAAATGCCCAAGGAGCTCAATCGAACGGCAAAGATATTTGAAATATACACAAACATACAAGCCTTTTAGATAAACACATTTTCAGGGAGCTTTTGATGAAAGTGATAAGTTACATTCTCTACAACTACACACACTGTATTTTATTACCCTTCAGTAGACACTTATCAGCTATGAATGTTGGGTGGTTTAGGCTAGGAATCAGCCCTGAGGGAAACAGTGGGAGGACTCTGAGACTCACAGTTCTATAGATCAACATAAACCTGAGACTCAATTTTATTTTCATTTATTAAAAAGGTCTGTGGTCCGCTTCTGCTATTTCAAATCCATTAGCTTCCTGCCCCCTTTAAGAAAAAAAGGAAGGCAACTGCAGATTTTATGGACTGATTGCTGATGGCTATGCTACTGCTGTATTGGTTTTGAGTGGAGAGTCCATTATAGATACATTATCCATAAACCATGTTTCCAGTGGAACCTGTAACTTCCAATCTGACTGGGGAATGAGTGGAGCTGGCTTGGTCAAAAAGAGGTTGGGGAAAGGGTCAGGTCTCCTGGAAGCTAACACCGGGTAGGCACCGGTATAAATTACAAACTTTCTTTCTACTACCACATAATTATGTCTCAAATGTGCAGCGGTTGGATTTTGTTAACCAGCCACCAGATGAACTTGGAAATCATATCGGCAGTAGATTAGAGTGAGAGTTTTCAACCTTTTCTCCTGCCATGTATGTTCAAACAATATATTTGTCTGCCTTTGAAACCCCCCTTCTTCTCACCACACATAATCAGCAGCTGACTCTGCCTATACGTTTTTCCCTAGTCTCCTGTATACTGTGTTTAAACCTTTATCAACGAAGATGCAAAAACATTTTTAATGGCAATAAAATGGATAAAAATATGGTTTCATATTTTCCCTTTCTAACTCTAAATCTTTTCTTTCCTCCCAAAAGAGTTAAATATCCCCAATGTGATTGCTTGCATTTCCTACCCAATAACTACTCTCTTTGTGAAAGGAGACAGAAAAATAATTGGAATAATTTAATTAGAATACAATTGGCATTCATATAACATGAGACCTTCTCTGAGGACTGGTCTCATTTATCTTTGGATTCCAGTTTCCTTCATACTTCACTCTTGGCTCATAGTAGATGACCAATAAATTTGTTAAACTTGGCTAAATTCTTTTAAGTGCAATTAATGACATAAAACTAGCCTAATCCATTCTTAAAATGGAAAGGTATTTCCTTTCCATTGTTAACACAAAGACTATGTTCACTTAGGCAAAGCACAGAGAAGAATTTACTTCTCTTTTAAGATGATTTTAATTCATGTCATCCTTCCCAGTTCTCTACTTACACATTTTCCTCTCCTCAGCCTGAAGTTTCTAGTTTGATCTGGGGGTGTACATCCATGGAGCAAACAAAGAATCACAAGATGGGTCCAAAATCTGTTCTTTTGTCTAAGTAGTGCAATTTTGATTTAATTTCACATTTCATCCATTCATCAGTTATTCCTGTCCACCTGTCATTTTGGACAATTATTTTCATAATTTTGCTTTCTAGTGGATGAAGACCTGGGTTTAGAGTCTTTTCTTCCATTAACTGTGCTTCTACCTTTGACAAAACACTTGACCTTCCCCCGCTTGCTTTCCTAATCTGCCAATTGCTTTGGAGTTTTTCTATGCATGTCAAATTATATAACATGTTTAACTAAATCAGATGTTGTTTTTAAAACTTTGCATAGATCACTCTCTGGGAGTTGCGTAGATCACTCTCTGGGAGTTGCAACTACTTACATGTTTAGTGCTAAAAAGACTTGGAAGAGCATCACACTCCTCTCCACCTCTTTGCACCCCGCCCTGATGGGAGACTCTACTGTCAGCTTTCCTTATCACAGAGCTGTCAATCATCAGCCACAGTTGCCCCACCAGAAGCACAGGGTACACTTTGGCAGGTCTGCGAACAGAAGCTGTTAACAAAGATCTGCTGACCCTGTGCTCTTCAAAGATGTTTTAAATTCCATCCTTTGATGCCCTTTGCCCTTTGACAGGATGATATCAGCCCCTCCTCTAAAGTCACTGGGCTCTAATAGAGCCAATGACAGTGGAATTGTTCTACCTTGATGCAGATATGTTTCAAACTCATGATTTTAAAATTTAGAAGTTACATGAAAGCATCAGTCTCCTTCCCCACACTGAATTCCCAAAATGTGCTATGTTCCCTGGTCATCTTTTTGACTTATTAAAAAAAAAATCCTGATATGGTTTTCCTGGTATAATCTCTTACAAACTAGTGAAGGTTCAAACAAGAGGGATTAGCTGTAAGAAGTAGTATCTTTTATCTAGAACCCACAACTATAATACATAGTAAGTAGCATTAAGAAAACTAGTAAAGAATTTCCAAAATGGGAGGGCCCAGAACTGTTATTGTCTGTCGTCACGTTACCCCTCAATAAGACCGCAAAACCAGGCAGTAAAAACTGGGAGCCTGTGGTTCTCTCCTAACCCAGAGACATGAGAAAGCAGACAGAGCTGTTATGTTTTCTTTCTGCTTTTTAAGGGAACTCCTCATGAAGTCAGCCTTTCCCTGCTCAGCCCTAGTTCTGACTACTATGCAGTGGTTGTCCTGTTCTCTCTAGGTATCGTGTGCTTTGTCACGAACACCGTACCCTTAGCTGTGGTTAAATCCTCTTTGCCAATCCCCTCGCACTCTCCTAAAAGACAAGTCATTTCAGGGTGGGGAATGTGTGCGTGTGAGAGAGAGAGAGAGAGAAAAAGACAGTCTTTTCCCGTCAGCCAATGCACAGGATGGTCCCATTTAAGCACACATTTCTCATGACAATTTCAGTTTCCAAGACTGTGATTAGCATCACCCATCATCTCTTATAATCTCATTTTAGGAGAGCAGATCTTGGGAAAATAAAGTGGCAAAGAAGAGTGTTACATTATCACCATAATTGGAAATAGCCTTTGCGAGATCTTAGAATTTCACATTTGATGCAGGGAGGCTTCTTGCTAATGGTGGTGTGTCATTAGCTCAGAGTTCATACCGTACTGGGTGAACAAAATCAAAGGCAAAAAATTATAGAGTTGGAAATGACCTTAGACACTTTCTTCCAACCACTTCATTGTACGGGTAAAGGAATTGTGTCTCAGTGAGTTTTAAGGACTTGCTGAAGTCCACCCAGCTGATTAATAGCAGAAAGCAAGCAAAGCTAGATCTCTTGATTCTCATCGGTTAAGGGCTTCTTCTAATGTACAACCTCAATAATTCTCAGCAAATTGTCTTCAAGGGGATGAGTGATGCCCAGGCTAGTTAACATAATAAGCATTATCTATATTCTGCAGCAGTATTGGCTTCCTGATGTTTTATAAGCCTAATATAAAAACGAACTTGAATTGTGTGTAGATCAATCTTACTGAAGTGAGAAACAGCCTAGATGCGTCTTCAGTGGTAGGAGGATGGCAACTCAGAAATGGAAATTTAACCCACAGGCTGGAGAATCTCGGCTCTTTAATTTACAAAGTGGTTCTACTAATTTTTCCGTTACTTCTTTTTGTTTGTTTATTGGTTTTCACTGAGGAAACATGGACATGTGTTCTTTGTAGAAAGGGGAAAAAACGTGTTGTGCAGGAGATTAAAACACAAATATGAAGCCAATGAAAGACCCAGGCGTGCTGGTTCAGCCTCCCTTTCAGTTCCCTGGCAATTCTGCTGCCATCTCAATTGCTTCGCACATAATTAGCCTTGATGTTGGGAGCCCACGTTTGTAGATCCCACTTACCACATTTCCTGTATATTACTAAACATTTCAAACCGAGACAGAGAGAAAGCAGGAGAAAGTGATTTCTATTGGCAAAAAGGCTCACTTTTTTTTTCTGTCTTGTAAAACAAAAGAGGAAAAATAATGTTAAATTACTCTGATGATGACTTCTTTTCTTGAACTGCCCCCACTCCTTTCTCATCCTATTTTAAATAAAACCTGATGATGCAAAATACTGCTTGGCTTGAGACTCTGCAGTCCATCAGCTTGCAATGGAAATGTTTTCTTATTTTTATTTTTTTTTAATGGCTACATATTAAAAGTGAACCAGTCTTTGCCAGCTTTGGATAAAAGGCTATTTATTTTCAACCAATTTGATAGCTGCAGTTTTCAGTAATTGAATTTTCTGTGGTCAGAAAAGCAGTAATCTTAGAAACCAAATAAATATTTTTTAATAAAATGGAACACTGAGAAACCATATAATAATGTCAAAAATGTAGCCACTTATGGATGAATAAATATTTTAAGAAATTTACATTTCACCCAAAGCTTTATGCTTCTAGCTTCCCTGGAGATTTTGAAGAGCATAACATTTTGCTTTGGGAATGGAACAATGTGAGGCTGAGATGAAATATACATGCCCTATAGAAACCTTTCTGGTTGTTAGGCTCTCACTAGCTGGTTGCCTTATCAATGGCTCTAACAAATAGTCTACACCAAGGTTTCTCTATCTCAGCACAACTGACATTTTGGCCCAGATACTTCTTTGCGGTGGGGGCTGTCCAGTACCCTGCAGAATGTTTAGCAGCATCTCTGACCTTTACCCACTAGATATTAGCAGCACCACCCACCCACCCAGTTGTGACAACCAAAAATGTATCTAGACATCACCAAGTGTTCCCTATTCTGACATGCTGTGATGGTTAATTTTATGTGTCAACTTGATTGGGCTAAGGGATGCCCAGATTGCTGGCAAAACATTATTCTGGATGTGGCTAGGAGAGTGTTTCCAGGAGAGATTAGCATTTGAACTGGCAGAACAGGTAGAGATTTGCCTTCACCAGTGTGGGCAGGCATCCTTCAATCTGTTGAAGGTCCACTTGAGTAGAACAAGAAGACAGGTCTTGCAGACTCCAAGACTGACATCAGCAGCTCCCACATTCATCCCTGGTTTTTGGGCCTTTAGTTGAGGTTTCAGATGCTTCAGAAAGTGTGTTTTACATCTCAGAAACTCCTATAACTAGGGGTTATATCATCAGCTCCTCTAGTTCTGAGGCCTTTGACTCAGAATGAATTATGCCAGCAGCTTTCTTGGTTTTCCAGTTTGCAGACAGTATATTGTGAGACTTCTTCGTTTTCATCATCATGTGAACTAATTCCCATAATCTCCTCCTGTATATCTACGTATATCCTGTGGGTTCTGTCTTTCTGGAGAACCCCAATCCAGGTGCAAAATCACCCCTGATTGAGAACTATTAGTCTAGGGAAGAGCTTAACTGAGTTTGATACAGATTTTCATAGATTTTATAAATGTCCAGAATGTTAGTTTCCTTCATCAGTTTACCATTGAATGGCTTGTATTATTTTGAGTGTAAACAAAAGTCCTTCACAAGACTATGAAAAACTGTGCAGAAAAATGCAATTTAAATAGATTATAAGCATGATTTGGCTGGGGAAGTAAAAATCTAAATAACAGAGATAGTTAGATTTGCCCTAGGCCCATTCCGGGATTTTTTTCTTCTTTAATCCTCAGTTGTCAGATTTCTGCTTGGATACATAAACCTGTGTTAATTTTGACTACTTAATATCTTTTTTTCATATAGTATACGTGTTTCACCTAAAAGATTTTAACACACTTTTCTATGTGGTACAAATTGCTTGATGTCAATGAATGAAAAAGAATCAATATGTATGAGGGTGTTCACATTTCAGCGTACAAAAATTTCAGCTACTAGTAGCTACTAGAAGTATAACTAACTAGTGTCTTCTACTAGCTACTAGTAGTACTACCAGCACTACTAGTACTACTAGCACTACCAGCACTACTAGTACTACTAGCAAGTACTAGCTAGTACTTCTAGCTACTACTAGAAGCTAGTAGAAAGTACTAATGGATACAATATTAATTTGGGGTCCCTATCATAGAAATAGAAGATTGTCATGGTAAAGGCACCCCTCCTCCCCAAGTAGAAAGAACGATGATCTAACTTAGCAGTGACATAAAGATACCAAACACAGAATAACTGGAAAGCATGAATTTGAAAACCAATATATTTGTGTTTACACCAATGTATTTGTAAGGCAATTCCATCTATACCCATTTTACAGATTGGACAGCTGAGACTTAGAATGCCTAGGAAAATGTCTCTTAGATCTAAGAAAAAAAAAATTGATGATAAAGAACTTGTGGGCCAGACACAGTGGCTCATACCTGTAATCCCAGCACTTTGGGAGGCTGAGACAGGCCAGTCACCTGAGGTCAGGAGTTTGAGACCAGCCTGGCCAACATGATGGAACCCTGTCTCTACTAAAAAAAAATGAAAAATTAGCCAGGAGTGGGTGGCATGCACCTGTAATCCCAGCTACTTAGGAAGCTGAGACAGGAGAATCACTTGAACCCCAGAGGTGTAGGTTGCAGTGAGCCAAGATTGCGCCACTGCACTCCACCCTGGGCGACAGAGTGAGACTCTTGTCTCAAAAAAAAAAAAGAAAAGAAAAAGGAAAAAAGAACTTGCACCTCTTATTTGCATTATGGGATTGGCTTCTAAAGTAAGGGAAACTAGTCCTTACATTGTCAAGTTCTAGGAGATTCCTATTAACAGTTATCCTTTGCCCTTGGTAACATTCCAACAACTAGCAATTATAAGTCATTAGAAAGGTGGTGAAGTACATCACAGTTAAGAGTTTAGGCTTTGGAGTCAAATTCTTGGTTCCAAATTCTTCTTCTAATCACTTACCAGTGGTGGCATCCTGGCACATTTTACTTAAACCCTCATTGACTTGGTTTCCGTGTGTGTAAATCAAGGCTAATAATCAAACCAATGGCATAAGCTTGTTGAAAATTTCAAGAATTTCATTCACGTGGAAAGTGCTTTAAAAACAAAGAGGTGATTTATTTATTTATTTATTTATTTATTTATTTATTTATTTATTTATTTATTTTTGTGAGATGGAGTCTCACTCTGTTGCCAGGCTGGAGTGCAGTGGCGCGATCTCCCACCACTGCAACCTCCACCTCCCGGGTTCAAGCAATTCTCCTGCCTCAGCCTCCCGAGTAGCTGGGACTACAGGCAAGTACCACCATGCCCAGCTAAGTTTTATACTTTTAGTAGAGACAGGGTTTCGCCATGTTGGCCAGAATGGTCTCGATCTCTTTACCTCATGATCCGCCCGCCTCGGCCTCCCAAAGTGCTGGAATTACAGGCTTGAGCCACCTCGCCTGGCCAGAGGCGATTCATTTTTATACAAACTCTTAGGAAATACTTGCTTATTTCATTCTACCAGCTTTACAGTAACGACTGCACCTTTAGGAAGCTTACTGTGTCGATGTACATGTAGAAATATACTAGTTTAGTTCAGGCTGTTTCATCTAGTATAACATTGCTTTTTTTGGAAGCATTCAAGCTCTAATCTTGGCTTCACCATAACCTCTGTGACAGACTTTAGGCAATTATTGACTTTAGACAACTATCGTTATTGCTCTTCTGCTTTTTTAAACTATAAAATAGGAGTGATTATAACAGATGTGTTTAAATTTCTCACTATATGCATGATAGTGTATTGAATAACCAGTGGTAGTCAATGTCTTCATGTAAACTGAATAATTTCTTACAATCTTTTGTTATGAAATAAAAAAAAAAAAAACTAAAGAAATTTTGGCATCAGTTTTCTACATCTCCCAGTCTCTAATCAGGTTTTTGTCTAAACTACAGGCCAGATTTTTTGTAAATGAATCTCCTAAAAACTTGTTGGGAAGAAGGAAAGATTATTATGGAGTTGAGAATGGAATAGACGGTCAGAGAAGTTGGTAAAACACAACTTGTTTACCCTGTTTGCTAAAGACAAAGGGCAGGATGTAGAAAATGCCAAAATAATACTCCATATTCATTCAGGTTCATATTGTGATTGAAATTTCACATGAGCAGAGGACAAAGGCTAACATAGAAAGTTATTAGCTTTGGGTCATAAAGAAAGTTAAAAACTCCCCCTGAAATACATCAAAAGACTGAGAGCCCCCTGGAAACGACTGGGCAACATTTCTAATGCTGTGAAGTCAGGCCATAGCATTGCTTAGCTACTTTCCAATGTAGTAGAAATGATGCCGATAAGATAACATCGAGATTTACAAAATAAAAATAAGAAGGCCCAGCATAGGCCAAGATGTGGATTATATCACAGTTATGGTTTTCAATTACGTTTAACAATCAGGTTATTGTCCCTCAGTACACACTTGGCTAGATCTACAGGTTAACTGTGACAATGGCTTACCTTGGTGAGTGTGTTTTTCATCTTTAATGGCATTCAACGTGCAATATGCCTTTAAAATTCATTGAATACATAAGCATATCATAGACCTAATTTCACATGTCACAATTTTAAAAGTATAGATTTTTTCCCCCATCATGGTTACTTCCTTGGTGTTTTTTTTGGAACTTTCCTGGAGGCAGTGGGCACAGTTTCAGAGTAACTCCTAATGTATAAATTTGGAGAGGGCAAGGGGAAGGGAAGGAATAGTCACATCTTTATCAGTGGATCCAGACCTATCCATTGGCCTGGAAACTTCTTTTATCCTTCTGCATATGCATTTGTTTTTGCTGATTCCATTCATTATTCAATTAAATTAGTCCCAGTTTAATAATAACGACCTCCCTCTAGCCTGTGCCTTTAATGTTAGTGAAAACTAAAACCCAGGTGGTTTTCAACATGACACTTGCTGGAAATCAGTTATGAAATTACCTGTTTATTAATGATGTGTCAGGAGACTGACATGCTAACGGCAGGCACCGGCTGGAGTTGTGCTAATACAGAAATAACAAGACCATATTATGTGCAATATGTATTCTATACAACTATAACTTTCATTCTCTGGGGACACCCTTGAAATCCAGATGTTTTATCTCAAGATTTTAATCCCGGAGAGTGAAGATTTTAAAGTGAAGTCAAGCACACTCAATGTCGCCGTTTGGCCACACTTTCTCACGGGGGAACCCATGTGAGCAAACATTTAGTACCAGATGTGCAAAGGATTAGTGTCGTATCAGTTAATTGCCAGACAGGGAAAAAAGTCACTTTGCAATCACAAAAATGAATTTAAAGCATGACCTTAAAACGCGTGTTAAAGTCTGGTCCATTGATTAGCGACAATGTAAGTTTTCAAGGTTTGGTGGTTATGGAGCAAAATAAGAGCTGACCTAAACTGGGGAAGAAAAGGGTAATTTTTATTTAAAATAAAAAATTTTTACAGGAAGGTTTTACATTTTTATCATGAAAAGATCTGGCCGCAACACTATAAATAATATACTGCATAGATTCATATAAACCACTTTTTTTAAAGCAGACAAAAATGTACCATAAAGTTGATATTAGTAACAGGTAAAATAAACCAACAACCCCAGCAACTTGGGTGGGGAGAGAGTTTTTTTCTTTCTTTCTTTTTTCCTTTAGAGTTTTTTATAAGCTAGCTCACATAGCAGATGGAGTGAAGGAATAGCAATGATCTGATGATTCTATATTACTGCAAATAAACCCAACTATGTAACAAGCCACTGAGTAATTTGTACCAAAAATACAATATATCTCAATAGCTGCATTTGTATGGACTAACTTGTTGTACCTTATTTTCCTATCACCTTGTCTTAATATAAATATGTTATCTTTCGGAGTCATCGCTCATTCTGGAGGCCAGTCCAACTGGAGAGTATGTATGTAGCAGCCAGCAACTTTGGAGTCTGAATGTGGAAAGTAACCTGAAGCCACAAACGTCTTTAAGTCAAATAACTTCTGGACACTAAGTATCAGGGCTCTAATACAAAATGGCAAGAGAATTAAGAACATATCAGCATGCTTTTACAAAAGGGAGGAAAAATATTACATTTTTTACTCACTTGGACTTCAAATTGCACTCTGGAAATTTCCTTGCACTTAAGAAATCTACCCCATAGCACAGAATAGACGGCTGAATCTGAACCGGGAGAGGTGTGGGGGCTGTGGATTTGGCTGGTGTAGATAATCTGTCCAGGTAACTAATGAAGCTTGTTAGCTTTTGTGCCAAGAAAATCAGGCAATGGAGTTACCCATTGCTGATTACCTGGAATTTAATTTCTTAGGAGGTAATATGGTGGTGAAGGAAGCTTTGGATTTCAGCGCTAATAACACCACCTCTGTCTTCCCTTACCTCCTACTATGCTTTTGATATCTTCCTTTGGTGCTTTTAAAAAACCTTTCCTTTCCTAGGTCCTAGGCATTATCACACTATACTATTTACCGATTTCCCCCTCTAAAATGAAGTTTAGTCTTGATTTCTTGTGTTTCTGCCCTTGAGCCAAGTGTCAGGCCATTGCTTAATGCTGTAGTATGTATTAATTATTGCACATGCTACAAGTTTGTAGTTTACAATTTATTTTCTTGTGCATTTTCTCATTTGATATTTACAACAACCTTTTGAGATAGGTGTAATGTATATTAACAATCCTTCTTTTACAGACGGTCATCGAGGCTCAGAGTAGTGATGCCATTTGCTTACCACCACATGCAGAATGGAAGAGCATAAGGATTTGACTGAAACAAAATTGACATTAGGCCTTGTGTTCTTTCCACTGCACTACCTCAACAATCTCCTTGGTGAACAGCAAACAAAAAATCTTGGCTACCAGAGACAGTAGGAGAATGTTAGGTTACAAAATGGAGGAAAAATATTACATATTACATATCCATAACCTTGGAATTTAAATGTCTAGTTTTTGAAACAATAGGTCCTCTTTTTACAAGAAAATGTTTTGATTTTTAAAGCCAGCTTCTCATCTCAGAAATACTTTTTCAATATGGGCCTAATGTAATGGGAACCTCAGGACTGATAACTACTCAAATAAAGAAAAAAAGAAATCAAGTTTCCAAAGAGGCAGTAGTGATTTGGAATATTCGTTGGAGCCTAAGGGATGTAGAAAATCTACATGGTTATTTACATACATTTTTAATAATTTCTATCACAAATATACCCTTGCTGTTTTCCCAAATCTTTATTTAATAATGATTATAATAAAATTAAGTTTATCTTCACTGCCTTGCTTTTGGTGCCAAGCGGCCAAAGTTAGCAATTCATTTTTTTTAAATTCCTTTCCAATAGAAGTCCCAGAATAAAAATAACATATGACTGTGTGATGCTTATATTCATGGTGATTCAAAAGCACCAACTCCCAAGTGGAAACAAAATTTAGATAATTATGAACAGTCTCCAGTTACTCTTTCAGTTAAGGCAAGTGATGTCTTCTGGTGTCCCCTAATTTATAGGAATTTAAAATCCCGCAGAATAAAAGGAAGTGTCCTGGGGTACTGTCTTCTCTCAGAGTTAATTTCCAAAGAGAGATTCTGCCTCTCCCATACCAGATTCCCAAATCCAAAGCCTAGAAGAGATTATAAAGGTAATTTAGTTCAAGGAGCTCTTAGTGAGCAAGTTCATCTTAGAACCAGTGTGAGGATGATTTCAGGAAAAGCCATAAATGAGGGAATGCAATGTCCAGTCTTCAGCATCCCATCTAATGGGAGAAGACTTCCTGAGTACAGTATCTTCCTTTATTAAAGAATTTTCTGTATTTATGGGATGCATGTACACTTGTGTTTTCTCTATCTTAGATGTGTGGGTAGAACATAATTGAATTAATCTGAAAAAAAAAAAAAAAAACCCTGAAAACAACAAACAACATCCCTAAGACTTACTTCTAATTTTTCCACTCTGTCCTTTCCAAGATGTCCTGTTGATTTTGAGGAAAAAAAAATATCCTAGCTAATATTCATGGATCTCTTACCATTTGCTTTGATCTGAGCTAAGACCTTTCCAGGCAATATCTACTCTTTAAATTTCTTTCAAACCTGTCTTCTTCTTGTCATCCTGCATTACAGTCCTTAATGTCCTCTACCTCGGGACAATTATGCTTATTTTGGAATGGGTCATTCTTCTGCCCAAAATCTTTTTCTAAAATATATAAAATATTTATATATGCATGACTATGTAAATATTTACATTTAAATATTGTATTTAAATCAATATATAAATATAAATAGCATAGATTTTTAAATAGCATGCAGAAGTAAAAATTGTTAGCTGTTTCTCAGTATTCTAAAGAATAAATTCCAAAATACTCATTAGGCCATTCAGCACCCCACAATCCAGAGCCAGCCTGATCTTCTAGTCTCACTTTCTCTTCTAACACTAACACAAACCTTGCAGGTAATGGTCTGGCAACAAGCAGATGGATCACTTTTTCAACACCATTTTGCATACTTTAAAAAATTATTTTCTTTCATCTAGAACATTTTTTATGCCCTCTTTTCTACGTGTCCAAATCCTTACTTCACCTCCAAATATGTTTTAAGTATCGCCTTTCTCTCTTTTATATTTTCATAGCGCTTATACTTTTATTAAATACATTAATCAGATATTGTTACATCTTTTGTGGGGCCCAGTGCAAAATGAAAAATGCAGGGCCCTTGTTCAAAAACTATTAAGAATTTCAAGATGGTGGCATCGGAGCATTAAACGAAGTATGAGCATGTGGTCCTACCTGGCTGCACAGGTCAGATGCCCAGAAGACAACCCTGGCGAAAAAATAAAAATAAAAATAGAAAGAACACTTATGTTTTAACTAACAGAACATCTAACATGGATTGGGTTAACCGTATTTGTCAGTGAAATTGAACAGTCCAAAATTGGGACTGGCTGCAGGCACAATTGAGTACAGGATCCTGTCCCAGGCTCTAAGCTTTGTTGCCCCCACAATGGGGCAGGTTTTCCTGTGTTGTTCTCATGATAGTGAATAAGTCTTATGAGATTTGATGGTTTTATGAAGGGGTGTTTCCCTGCACTTCTTTCTTGCCTACTGCCATGTAAGACATGACTTTGCTCCTCATTCACCTTCAGCCATGATTGTGAGGCCTCCCCAGCCACGTGGAGCTGTGATCCCATTAAACCTGGTTTTCTTTATAAATTACCCAGTCTTAGGTATTTCTTTATTAGCAGTGTAGAAACAGACTAATACACTCCCTCTTTTGATACAAAATAGCCACATTAACTACAGACCTCACAGTCATTTTCGGGTTGCTCTCTTTTCTATTAATCAACTCATAGATAGGTTTACTTTGAATAGAATTAATTCGCCCCAGAGTGTTTTTTGTTGTTCGTTCTACTGAGTATTTGTTTTGCTCACGTTTTGGAATATTGTATATCAGCTCATCTTGAATGAACATTTTTTCTTTCTCTCTTGTTTTTACATTTTCTGCCCTATTGGTTGTACTGTTCTTTCTGCCTGTATTTCAAGATTCCTAGATTAGTGCTGGGACTTCTATTGTCATCTTCCACCAGTTTATCAATTAGGCTAAGTTTAACGATTTGACTGATAAACTACAGTATTTCAGTGGCTTAATGCAACACAAATTCAGCTCTCCTTTCAGCAACAGTCTAATGTAAGTGTGTCTCATCAGAAGACAGCCTTCCATACAGGAATTCAGGACCTCACAATCCTTTCATCTTGGAAATGTTTGCCATCTCTCAGGGTCTCAGAATCTTCTGATGGAAGATGGGAAACAAAGGGATGAGAAGCACAGCAAGATCCTAATCACCCTGTATTGCAAGGGAGACACACCACTTTGGTTGACGTTGCATTGGCAAGAACTGGTCTCCTGGCCCCACTAGGATTCAAGAAGAATTGGGAAGTGTGTCTTACTGGCTAAGCATCTACTTTTCAGGGACAGTTTCTTTTTTTTTTTTTTATTTTGAGAGGGAGTCTTGCTCTGTCACCCAGGCTGGAGTTCAATGGCACAATCTTGGCTCACTGAAACCTCCGCCTCCTGCGTTCAAGTGATTCTCCTGCCTCAGCCTCCTGAGTAGTTGAGATTACAAGTGCCCACCAGCACACCCAGCTAATTTTTGTATTTTTAGTAGAGATGGGGGTTTCACCATGTTGGTCAGGCTGGTCTTGAATTCCTGACCTCAAATGATCCACCTGCCTCTGCCTCCCAAAATGCTGGGATTATAGACATGAGCAACTGTACCCAGCCTCGGGGACAGTTTCTTTCCACTTTTTTTAGTCATAGAATTCTAAAGGCTCTTCAACCCTGGTAGTAGCAACTGCTCTTTCTGCCTTTTTTTCAGGGCCAGGGGAGCCTTGAGTGGTCCCAAATTTCATGCAGTGAGCCTGGCTCCTTACTGTTTACTTCTCTGGGGGGATTGTTGATCTTTGACTTTACATGATGCAAACTCTAGGCCTTTTCCTCTTGAATCTGAACTCTAGTTTAAGTGCATGCTGTGTTCTTACTGATGAGAATTAGGTCTTAACCCTAGTCATTGAAGTCAGGAGAATGAGATTCATTAATTAGCTCAGAGCAATCACGGCCCATCCTTGAAGCTGAAACCAAGATCAATTTCATCTAAACCAGATGGTTTGAGGGCTCAAGGGGTAATGAGGATAATTTTCCCAAGAAACACTAGGGTGAAACAAATGGATGCTGAGCCTCAAAAACAACCTGACCACTCTTATCATTTGCCCAGGTCTATCTGAATTATCTCTGATTGTTGATGTTTCTCATAAGCTTTCTCTGTTTATAAACCATGTCCTGTTCATATTTGGATCCTATGACACCTGGCATTGAGAACTGTAACATAGTAAGAATTCAGTGAAATATTTGTCCAATTGAATTACAACCATTAGAAAGAGATGATGGAGGCCGGGCGTCGTGGCTCACGCCTATAATCCCAGCACTTTGGGAGGCCGAGGCGGGAGGAGCAAGAGGTCGGGAGTTTAAGACCATCCTGGCCAACATGGTGAAACCTCATCTCTACTAAAAATACAAAAATTAGCTGGGTGTGGTGGCATGTGCCTGTAATCCTAGCTACTCGGGAGGCTGAGGCAGGAGAATGGCGTGAACCTGGGAGGCAGAGGTTGCAGTGAGCTGAGGTCTTGCCACGGCACTCCAGCCTGGTGACAGAGCGAGACTCTGTCTCAAAAAAAAAAAAAAAAAAGAAAAGAAAAGAAAAGAAAAGAAAAGAAAGAGATGATGGAAGTGCACAGGCTCTGGTACACTTAGGCTTCCATTAGTGCACATAACGCAGCTATGTGTCTTACCTTTTTTACTTTGGAGCGTAAATGAATATTTTCCTGTTTTCCCATCCAGGATCATTCTAGGCACATTTTTCCATCTTGTACTTCTCATGTAAGGAACTAAACTCACAATAAAGACTGCCTGATCAAAGGAACTTCTAAGCATGCCTTCATCAGGAAAGACCACACTAGGAGTGGTGGTATTCAGCTGAATAAAGTGGGAAGAAATAAGAGGAGCAGAATTCCTGCCAAACTAGCTATTCATTGTGCAGTAAAGATGACATTGGCACTATGACAGCCTATCAAAAATGTCATGAGTCCAACCAGAAAATATTTGATTTGGTTTCTGGAGACTCAGACGCCACTGATTAGGATTTGCTCATTGGTGTTTTATTCATCATCATTGCTATTGAAAACAGTTTGCAATTCATTTGAGGATCCTTTACATATGGCCTGAAGTATATGTGGCATTTAATTGAAAAACCACCAAATAAAGGCTTTTGGGCCATGTAAAGGGGCCATGTGGGTGCCAACTCTGAGCTATATGCCTTCATGGTTTTACCCTAAGTGAATTTTGATTCATGGAGATTCCTATTATTAAAAAATCATTCTTGCCACATTCCCACAGTAGGCACCTCCAGCCTCTGCTGGCTCCATCAGGGGGGCTAAGGGCAGGGATTTCTGGCTCTAATATTTTCTCCATTAACTTACCAATTTAGGAGACAAAACTCACTCTAAAATTTTATCTCTTATCTGCCAGGAAGAGCAGGAGCTGAGGTAGAAGAGTTTCCTCCCTTGTTTAAAGGAAATCATTGAAAAAGGGAAAGAAGAAAGCAAAGAAGAGAGGAAGGAAAGATGGGAGGATGGAAGAAAGGAAGGAAGGAAGGAAATAATTCCTTGATTCTCTGAAATCTATTTACATTATCAAGTCACATAATGGGGAGAAATGTCTGAACAGTACATTTGAAGAATTATCTAAATGTTTAACTTTTTATCTGAGCACCTGTATTAGAAGGCTCCCTCATTTATCATCCCACCCTCAAACCCATCAGAAATTTTTAAAAAGAAATAAAAAGATGTCTTTCTTCTGAAAGCAAATGTGTTCTATGCTACTGGGTTAAAGATCCCAAGAGACTGCCTTGACTCCATCTATAGGAGCCCTTCTGTCACTTAAGCCCCTGAGACAGATGGTAAACATTGGTAGTGCATGTACAAGGGATGACAAAAGACAGTTCCCCATCTCCCCTTCCAAGTGTAGGACTTGATTTTCAATTTCTTCTTATGGACAAAAACCGTCTGTATCACAGTAAGGAGAGGGAGGAGGGTTAAGGGAGGAGGCTGGAAAAAACTAGCAAAGGGAAAAAAAATTGGAGAGCCAGCCTGGCACCAAAAATATAATTTAGTGTGCAGGTATTTGATTTGATAGAAAACCTGCATTGATTTAAAAAAATAGGTTCTTGACAAGGTCGTAATTCATTGAGAGAGGCCAAGCCCGCAGCTTAAGTTTGACATCCCCCTCCAACCTAAACCATAACTGGTTTTAGGTGATCCCCTGTGAGGGTAGCATGTTGCAGCTGGCAAAAAAATAAACACTCCAGAGCCCTGTGCTAACAGAATTTTTTTCCTTTCTTTTTTTTTGATTTATGCCACAAGCTAAGGAAAACAGTTACATATTTGTGAGTCCCGGTTTTGTTTGGCCTTTGCAAGCTTGCAAGGACTGGTGTCCTGCTGAGGGAGGGAGACACTGCAAAGGCTGTAGCAGGCAGGAACACAGTGGATAGCTCACTGGACAAGGCAGTGAGTAGGGAAGAGGGCGGGTGGATGATGATAAAGGGAGAGACACGGTTGCTAAAAGGTTTGATTGGCCAGTTTCCTTTTCCTTTCTTCTCTGCCTCAAGGCCACTTGAATCTCAGGTGAAAGGCAAATTCTTTCAGAGATAGAAACTTGTAAATGATTAGCCATCCTTGTTTTCCCCAAGCAGGATCATTCTTTTCCTAGAGCATGGTCAGTTGGGAGTTTCCCTACTTTTTTGATTTCCTGCATGGCATGGTCAACTCAAGCTTGGCAAATGCAAATGGGAACAAGTGAGGAGGGCTTACTTTCCTTCATTACTTTCCTTCTTCATTGTCTGAGTGGTACAAACTGTGCCAAGAAAAGGCCATGCCATATCAGTGTTCTTCTCAGGCTGATACATGGCTCACTTGGTCCTCATTTTGCAGAGCATGTAGGGGTTTGGAAGCTGATAGGGTCTGGCTTTGTGTCTCCACCCAAATCTCCCCTTGAACTGTAGTAATCCACACATATTGCGGGAGGGACCTGATGGGATATAATTGAATCACGAGGGTGGGTTTTTCCTGTGCTATTCTCATGATAGTGAATAAGTCTCATGAAATCTGATGGTTTTTTAAGGGGTTTCCCCTTTCACTTGGCTCTCATTTTCTCTTGCCTGCCACCATGTAAGACATGCCTTTCACCTTCCGCTATGATTGTGAGGCCTCCCCAGCTATGTGGAACTGTGAATCCATTAAACATCTCTTTCTTTATAAATTATCCAGGCTTGGGTATGTCTTTATTAGCAGCATGAAAACAGACTAATACAGAAGCCCAGCAAGGTTAATTAGCTCAGGGTCCCAAGCTCAAGGACCTGAGGACCAGGTCTAAGGTCTAGGTCCTGGTTTGTCCGTCTAGTTAACTTTACACTTGAACGCATGCCCATCCCTACTCCCATTTAAAGAATTAAAGAAACAATTGTTAAATGGAATGAGGTACCCTGGACTGGATCCTGGGACAGAATGAGGACGTATATGGAAAACTGGTAAAATTCAAGTAAGGACAGCTTTTTAATCAATAGTAATATCAGTGTTGGATTTTTTAGTTTGGACAATTATCAGGATAATGTAAGATGATAACTGTAGAGGAAATTGTGCAAGGGGTACACAAGATAACTCTGTACTATATTTTCAATTATTTTTACAAATCTAAAATTATTTTTAAAATATTTACTTTTTAAAAGATATAATTACAAAAGAAAGCATTTTAGCACTTTTGTCCAAGTTTGTATTAGAACACATCCCCCAGATGGACTCCGTGAGGATCATGCAATTTGCTTCTTACTCCCAACAACTGAAATGGTCTTTCTTCTCTCAGACAAAAACTGGGAGGTCCAAACAGATGAATTTTGACACCCCTAAAGAGATGTTCTAGGGGGTGAAGGTCTTTCAGGGAGTGGAGGGATGCAGGTGGGTGCTCACTTTATCGTTTTTATCTTTAGAGAAGAAAATTTATATTTTGTATATGTATCCAGATTTACAGATGGGGAAATTAAGAGGGTGAGTACATATCTTTATTTCTTTCAGGGCCAGAAGATTAGTAATGATTAACCTTGAGTGAATCCTATCTTAACCCCAGTGTTTCTTGAAAAAACATTAATAAGATCTTTCCCCAGGAGCATGTAGCACAACTTTTGAGAGTCGACTGCAGTCATGGCTTACCACCCACGTACTTGCCAAAACCTCTAAATTACTTACATTATTACATCATCCTTCTTTGTGTATGTGCTTGTTGCATTGCATAAATATACCCTCTCTAGCTGGTTTCTTTAATCTTTTCTATCCGCAGCATATATCACTAAAAAAATGACTTCACAGGAGACAAATTATTCCATAATAATGTGCAGAATCATTTGAGTCCCATTTGGTCTCCATGACAATATAAAAATATAAATGTCTGCTGCATAAAAATGAATAGAAAAGTGTGTTTTGGTGGTGTTAAAAGACATGAAGTTAATTCAATACTTCAACCAGATTTTTTTTTTACCACTTTGTTCCCATAAGTACATGATGCAACCTTACTGCCTTTTAAAGTACACACATAGACAGGAAAATGGATATTTTTTCCATCCTATTTGTCTCCTTTTCAGACACAACCACTGATTCACCAGTCTCCGGACAGGCAGCAGCAGCAGCAGGGGCGCCTGTGAACCCGAGTATAATAAAATTCTAGTATAACAGTGTGTTGAATGTTTATTTTGGCGATGCTGCCCTCTCAAATCCCCCTTTCAACTAATATTTTAAAATGTGGAAAGACATTAAAATGGAGATAAATTCAAGGCTCTTTCTGAAAGTGAGTGTCTCTTATGCTGAGAATTCTGAACTCTGTCCTCTCTGCTCCATTCAAATTCTCTTCATTTTCATAATTAGCATGGCAGGAAAGTTCAAGCTACTACCTGCCTTTTGGCAACTAGCAATTTAACTCTGAAGTAACAGAGAAAATGGAGGTCAAATACCCTTTTATAACCACTCTTTTTTCATTGCTGACATTTATAATTGGTCCTACGGAAAAAACAATGGAATTAACTGGAATTTATCATTGGTCCTTCATAAAGTGTAATATAACTAAGAGCTTAGGTTCTGGAATCAAGCAGCGATTCAACGGAATCCCCAGCCAGCACATTACTGGAGCAAAGCGATCGGTCCGCTTTCGCCTCTTTCTCTCAGTTTCTTTATATGTAAAATAGGTCTAATAGTAGCAGTAATGTAATAGCAGAATTAAATGAGATAATTCATATAAAGCACCTGCCGCAGAGCTCCATAGGCAATATAGGTGCACATGAGTTTACCAGGAGATGATTACTAATGCTGTTGAGATTCGTCAATTTTTATTCCCTTAAGTCATACCTGCCAATCAGTGGAGAATAAAAAAGTGTCTGTTCTCATAGAGTTTTTATTCTAGTGGTGGAGATGGACCAATAAAAAAATAAGTCAATATACAATTTTTTCAGTTGGTAAGCGCTGTAAGGAAAAATAAACAGAGGTAAGGACTACAGGGTAGGAAATGCTATTTTAGGTAGCATCATCAGGGAAGAACTTTTTGAGGTGACATTTGAGTAGAAACGTGCTCAAAGTAAAGGACATCAAGCCAGGTGGATATCTTGCAGGATTATTCTAAGCAGAAGGAATAGAGCATCAAAGCCCACTGAGGAGTGTGGTTGGTAGGTTTATGGAGCATCAGAGGGTCCTCTGTGGCTGGAGCAGATTAAAAGTTGGGAGAGCCTGAGGAGATAAAATCAGAGGGTGGCACGTGTAGACCTGGTGAGCCCTGCAAATGACTTTGGGCCAGATTGAGAAAGAAATGGAAGGAGCCATCTAAGGGCTTTGAGCAATGCAGGGATAAGATCCAAATTACATGAATTTAAATCTAAGCAGGGAAGTTGACTGGGGTGGGTGGAAGCAGGAAGAACAATGGTAGGACTTCGGCTTCAGTCTAGAAGAGGCTAATCATGGCTGGGTCTAGGGATCAGTAGATGAGTCAGCAAGGAGTGATCCCATTTGGCATTTTCTTTTTTGCGGGAAGAAACAACAGGTTTTGGTTTTGAATCGGATGCTTACTCCCTCTACCTTTCTGAGTTACTTTCTTTTAAGTCCATGTTCAACCTCAGTCAATGAGTACTTTTAGGTGACTCAAGACAGTCTTACATTTCTCTGGAACCTATAGTAGAAAGCACAGGTATGCCCCCTTCCAGAATGTGGCCGTTACTAGCAGAGGGTAGCAAGGTGTTAGAAATCAGTGAATACCAAGGTTGAGTGTCTCCTTTGCCTTTTAGTAACTAAGTGAACTTGGTGAATTAGATGGCAGTAATCATACCAGGTGATATGGTTTCGCCGTGTCCTAACCCAAATCTCATCTTGAATTGTAGCTCCCATAATTCCCACATGTTATGGGAGCGACCTGGTGGGAGATAATTGAATCATGGGGGTGATTTCTCCCGTTCTGTTTTCATGGTAGTAAGTCTCAAGAGACCTAATGGTTTTATAAGGGGAAACCCCTTTTCTTGGTTCTCATTCTCTCTTGCTGCCACCATGTAAGAAGTGCCTTTCACCTCCCACCATGATTGTGAGGCCTCCCCAGCCACATGGAACTGTGAGTCCATTAAAGCTCTTTTTCTTTATAAATTACCCAGTCTCAGGTATGTCTTTCTCAGCAGTGTGGAAATGGAATAATATACCAGGCAACATCTATTCCACAAAGCATGTTATTTTTAATTAACTTGTATTACTATTCCCACAGAGCTTGATGAGGTAGGTACCAAATACATTATCTCCACTTTCCAGACATAGAAACTGAGGTACAGTGAAGTTCTGTGACTGGCCTAATGTTCTGCAGATAGTAAGCGGCAGAGTGTGATTTGTATGTCGCTGTCTGGCACCAGCCTCCACAATCTTAGGAGTCTGTTTTACTGTCTATAATCCCATGTGTTTCCCTTCAAAAAGTTGTAAGGATGGCATGAGGCAAGTGATGTAATGGGTTTATTTAATATTGATACTATTGTAGATATCTAATAGACATTTGTTCCATTTTCCCTTCCCTCTTTAAAATACAGTAATCATGTGATCTCTTTCCTTAGAAATAGGTTCTAAATTTTGGTGGGTCAAAAAGTAGTTTTTACAACTAAGATATGGTCAGAATTCCAAGAGTTGGCCTTCCATTTCTCCTTCCTACTAGGGTGATGTGTGCACAGTTCTAAGGGTGACTTTCCAGAGATCTGACAATGACTCAAATGTCGGGAGGTAGATAGGACCCTGAAGTCACCACCCATGAGCAGAAATCCCTCACCTGAGTTGGCTGTGCTCACAATACCATCAGAAGAGTCTCAGAGAAGGCACTTTTTAAAATCAAATGAATAACTAATATAAATACACCAAAGAAAAATGGAAATAGTTGTTTATATAACAGCGATAGAAGAAAAGACCTGGAAAAAAATCTTAAAAATTGTCAATGAATTGGGAAAAAGAAGTAGTGTTACCATCCTTCCCATAGGTAACCTTCCCTAAAGGAAAGAAGATCTGAATATTTGGAAGAAGTGAGTCCTAAAGGGGATTCATCCCTCTACCCCTGCTTGCTCTTTCCTATAGCACAATTTCTGCATTGAAAGAGGACTTCTCCTCATTTTTGTCACTCTGTTGAGAGACTCATCATTGCTGCTTTCCCAAAAAACATAAATACCAAGGTGAGCATTCTTATTCTTTCCATTTTCCCTGAATAAAATATTATCTTTTTTTTGGATTTTAATCCGTTTATTGTTTCTCAAGTCTCTTTCATCATCTGTGAAAGACTCCAAATGCTTATTGTTCCATTGAACAACAACAACAAAAAAATAAATATGACCCTATCACCCCCTATCAATCCTTCCTTCTACATCTTCTCATTTGTACGACAGTTTTCTCTCTTCTTGCTAGTATGGCCTCCCCCTACACATGAAGGGTGTGAGTTAACAAGGAAAAAGTAATAGAAAAGATGGTAGTTCTTACTTTAAAAAATACAAAAAACAACCAAGCAACCAAATAAACAAAAACATCTTTTTCTTCTTTCTTCATTCCAACACAGCCTCATTGAGCTGCTAGAGTCTTCTGTCACTTGACATTTCTCATCAAGATTACAGGTTTTAAAAAAATTTAAACATGAGAGAATGATAAGACATCTTATTAGAAAAATTGAATAGACTACATCATTAGGTTATGAAGATAAGAAAGAAACAGTGAGGTCTCATGAAAGCAGGGAAAAAAGCAGAGAAAAATGAGATTCTCGTGGAAAGCAGGAGGTAATCTGGAGGCCCTTCAGGGAGAGGGATACATTAAAATGCTGATTATGTTCAGAATTACTGCCCAGCAAGTGTTATCTACTGTTATTTAGCAAGCACTTCCATTTGTCATAGAACACAATTTATAGTTGGTATGTCTTCTAGAGACCTCAATAAACTCAAGACATTTAATTAATTTTTAACACTGTGGGTATTGAATGAATGTGAGAATCTACTAAGACTGGACTTGGATGTCCTAGTTATAGCTGGGTTACATAATTCTTCTTTTAAAGTACTATTTTTGGGGAGAGGAGACAAGATGGCCGAATAGGAATAGCTCCGGTCTACAGCAACTAGCGTGAGCGATGCAGAAGACGGGTGATTTCTGCATTTCCATCTGAGGTACCGGGTTCATCTCACTAGGGAGTGCCAGACAGTCACTGACTAGGGCGCAGGTCAGTGGGTGCACGCACCGTGCGTGAGCCGAAGCAGGGTGAGGCATTGCCTCACTCAGGAAGCGCAAGGGGTCAGGGAGTTCCCTTTCCTAGTCAGAGAAAGGGGTGATAGATGGCACCTGCAAAATCGGGTCACTCCCACCCGAATACTGCACTTTTCTGACGGGCTTAAAAAATGGCGCACCAGGAGATTATATCCTGCACCTGGCTCGGGGGGTCCTATGCCCACGGAGTCTCGCTGATTGCTAGCACAGCTGGGAAGCTCGAACTGGGTGGAGCCCACCACAGCTCAAGGAGGCCTGCCTGCCTCTGTAGGCTCCACCTCTGGGGGCAGGGCACAGACAAACAAAAAGACAGCAGTAACCTCTGCAGACTTAAATGTCCCTGTCTGACAGCTTTGAAGAGAGCAGTGGTTCTCCCAGCACACAGCTGGAGATCTGAGAACGGGCAGACTGCCTCCTCAAGTGGGTCCCTGACCCCTGACCCCTGAGCAGCCTAACTGGGAGGCACCCCCCAGCAGGGGCAGACTGACACCTCACACGGCCAGGTACTCCAACAGACCTGCAGCTGAGGGTCCTGTCTGTTAGAAGGAAAACTAACAAGCAGAAAGGACATCCACACCAAAAACACATCTGTACATCACCATCATCAAAGACCAAAAGTAGATAAAACCACAAAGATGGGGAAAAAAAACAGAGCAGAAAAACTGGAAACTCTAAAAAACAGAGTGCCTCTCCTCCTCCAAAGGAACGCAGTTCCTCACCAGCAACGGAACAAAGCTGGATGGAGAATGACTTTGACAAGCTGAGAGAAGAAGGCTTCAGACAATCAAATTACTCCGAGCTACGGGAGGACATTCAAACCAAAGGCAAAGAAGTTGAAAACTTTGAAAAAAATTTAGAAGAATGTATAACTAGAATAACCAATACAGAGAAGTGCTTAAAGGAGCTGATGGAGCTGAAAACCAAGGCTCGAGAACTATGTGAAGAATGCAGAAGCCTCAGGAGCCGATGTGATCAACTGGAAGAAAGGGTATCAGCGATGGAAGATGAAATAAATGAAATGAAGTGAGAAGGGAAGTTTAGAGAAAAAAGAATAAAAAGAAACGAGCAAAGCCTCCAAGAAATATGGGACTATGTGAAAAGACCAAATCTACGTCTGATTGGTGTACCTGAAAGTGATGTGGAGAATGGAACCAAGTTGGAAAACACTCTGCAGGATATTATCCAGGAGAACTTCCCCAATCTAGCAAGGCAGGCCAACATTCAGATTCAGGAAATACAGAGAACGCCACAAAGATACTCCTTGAGAAGAGCAACTCCAAGACACATAATTGTCAGATTCACCAAAGTTGAAATGAAGGAAAAAATGTTAAGGGCAGCCAGAGAGAAAGGTCAGGTTACCCTCAAAGGGAAGCCCATCAGACTAACAGTGGATCTCTCGGCAGAAACTCTACAAGCCAGAGGAGAGTGGGGGCCAATATTCAACATTCTTAAAGAAAAGAATTTTCAACCCAGAATTTCACATCCAGCCAAACTAAGCTTCATAAGTGAAGGAGAAATAAAATACTTTACAGACAAGCAAATGCTGGGAAATTTTGTCACCACCAGGCCTGCCCTAAAAGAGCTCCTGAAGGAAGCGCTAAACATGGAAAGGAACAACCGGTACCAGCCGCTGCAAAATCATGCCAAAATGTAAAGACCATCGAGACTAGGAAGAAACTGCATCAACTAACAAGCAAAATAACCAGCTAACATCATAATGACAGGATCCAATTCACACATAACAATATTAACTTTAAATGTAAATGGACTAAATGCTCCAATTAAAAGACACAGACTGGCAAATTGGATAAAGAGTCAAGACCCATCAGTGTGCTGTATTCAGGAAACCCATCTCACATGCAGAGACACACATAGGCTCAAAATAAAAGGATGGAGGAAGATCTACCAAGCAAATGGAAAACAAAAAAAGGCAGGGGTTGCAATCCTCGTCTCTGATAAAACAGACTTTAAACCAACAAAGATCAAAAGAGACAAAGAAGGCCATACATAATGGTAAAGGGATCAGTTCAACAAGAAGAGCTAACTATCCTAAATATATATGCACCCAATACAGGAGCACTCAGATTCATAAAGCAAGTCCTGAGTGACCTACAAAGAGACTTAGACTCCCACGCATTAATAATGGGAGATTTTAACACCCCACTGTCAACATTAGACAGATCAACGAGACAGAAAGTCAACAAGGATACCCAGGAATTGAACTCAGCTCTGCACCAAGCGGACCTAATAGACATTTACAGAACTCTCCACCTCAAATCAACAGAATATACATTTTTTTCAGCACCACACCACACCTATTCCAAAATTGACCCATACTTGGAAGTAAAGCTCTCCTCAGCAAATGTAAAAGAACAGAAATTATAACAAACTATCTCTCAGACCACAGTGCAATCAAACTAGAACTCAGGATTAAGAAACTCACTCAAAACCACTCAACTACATGGAAACTGAACAACCTGCTCCTGAATGACTACTGGGTACATAACGAAATGAAGGCAGAAATAAAGATGTTCTTTGAAACCAACGAGAACAAAGACACAACATACCAGAATCTCTGGGACGCATTCAAAGCAGTGTGTAGAGGGAAATTTATAGCACTAAATGCCCACAAGAGAAAGCAGGAAAGATCCAAAATTGACACCCTAACATCACAATTAAAAGAACTAGAAAAGCAAGAGCAAACACATTGAAAAGCTAGCAGAAGGCAAGAAATAACTAAAATCAGAGCAGAACTGAAGGAAATAGAGACACAAAAAAACCCTTCAAAAAATTAATGAATGCAGGAGCTGGTTTTTTGAAAGGATCAACAAAATTGATAGACCGCTAGCAAGACTAATAAAGAAAAAAAGAGAGAAGAATCAAATAGACACAATAAAAAATGATAAAGGGGATATCACCACCGATCCCCCAGAAATACAAACTACTATCAGAGAATACTACAAACACCTCTACGCAAATAAACTAGAAAATCCAGAAGAAATGGATAAATTCCTGGACACATACACTCTCCCAAGACTAAACCAGGAAGAAGTTGAATCTCTGAATAGACCAATAACAGGATCTGAAATTGTGGCAATAATCAATAGCTTACCAACCAAAAAGAGTCCAGAACCAGATGGATTCACAGCCGAATTCTACCAGAGGTACAAGGAGGAACTGGTACCATTCCTTCTGAAACTATTCCAATCAATAGAAAAAGAGGGAATTCCCCCTAACTCATTTTATGAGGCCAGCATCATCCTGATACCAAAGCCGGGCAGAGACACAACCAAAAAAGAGAATTTTAGACCAATATCCTTGATGAACATTGATGCAAAAATCCTCAATAAAATACTGGCAAACCAAATCCAGCAGCACATCAAAAAGCTTATCCACCATGATTAAGTAGGCTTCATCCCTGGGATGCAAGGCTGGTTCAATATATGCAAATCAATAAATGTAATCCAGCATATAAACAGAACCAAAGACAAAAACCACATGATTATCTCAATAGATGCAGAAAAGGCCTTTGACAAAATTCAACAATGCTTCATGCTAAAAACTCTCAATAAATTAGGTATTGATGGGACGTATTTCAAAATAATAAGAGCTATCTATGACAAACCCACAGCCAATATCATACTGAATGGGCAAAAACTGGAAGCATTCCCTTTGAAAACTGGCACAAGACAGGGATGCCCTCTCTCACCACTCCTATTCAACATAGTGTTGGAAGTTCTGTTCAGGGCAATTAGGCAGGAGAAGGAAATAAAGGGTATTCAATTAGGAAAAGAGGAAGTCAAATTGTCCCTGTTTGCAGACGACATGATTGTATATCTAGAAAACCCCATTGTCTCAGCCCAAAATCTCCTTAAGCTGATAAGCAACTTCAGCAAAGTCTCAGGATACAAAATCAATGTACAAAAATCACAAGCATTCTTATAAACCAATAACAGACAGAGAGCCAAATCATGAGTGAACTCCCATTCACAATTGCTTCAAAGAGAATAAAATACCTAGGAATCCAACTTACAAGGGATGTGAAGGACCTCTTCAAGGAGAACTACAAACCACTTCTCAAGGAAATAAAAGAGGATACAAACAAATGGAAGAACATTCCATGCTCATGGGTAGGAAGAATCAATATCGTGAAAATGGCCATACTGCCCAAGGTAGTTTACAGATTCAATCCCATCCCCATCAAGCTACCAATGCCTTTCTTCACAGAATTGGAAAAAAACTACTTTAAAGTTCATATGGAACCAAAAAAGTCACCAAGTCAATCCTAAGCCAAAAGAACAAAGCCGGAGGCATCACACTACCTGACTTCAAACTGTACTACAAGGCTACAGTAACCAAAACAGCATGGTACTGGTACCAAAACAGAGATATAGATCAATGGAACAGAACAGAGCCCTCAGAAATAACACCGCACATCTACAACTATCTGATCTTTGACAAACCTGAGAAAAACAAGCAATGGGGAAAGGATTCCCTATTTAATAAATGGTGCTGGGAAAACTAGCTAGCCATATGTAGAAAGCTGAAACTGGATCCCTTCCTTACACCTTATACAAAAATCAATTCAAGATGGATTAAAGACTTAAACGTTCGACCTAAAACCATAAAAACCCTAGAAGAAAACCTAGGCATTACCATTCGGGACATAGGCATGGGCAAGGACTTCATGTCTAAAACACCGAAAGCAATGGCAACAAAAGCCAAAATTGACAAATGGGATCTAATTAAACTAAAGAGCTTCTGCACAGCAAAAGAAACTGCCATCAGAGTGAGGAGGCAACCTACAAAATGGGAGAAAATTTTTGCAACCTACTCATCTGACAGAGGGCTAATATCCAGAATCTACAATGAACTCAAACAAATTTACAGGAAAAAAACAAACAACCCCATCAAAAAGTGGGCGAAGGACATGAACAGACACTTCTCAAAAGAAGACATTTATGCAGCCAAAAAAACACATGAAAAAATGCTCGCCATCACTGGCCATCAGAGAAATGCAAATCAAAACCACAATGAGATACCATCTCACACCAGTTACAATGGCAATCATTAAAAAGTCAGGAAACAACAGGTGCTGGAGAGGATGTGGAGAAATAGAAACACTTTTACACTGTTGGTGGGACTGTAAACTAGTTCATCCATTGTGGAAGTCAGTGTGGCGATTCCTCAGGGATCTAGAACTAGAAATACCATTTGACCCAGCCATCCCATTACTGGGTATATACCCAAAGGACTATAAATCATGCTGCTATAAAGACACATGCACACGTATGTTTATTGCGGCATTATTCACAATAGCAAAGACTTGGAACCAACCCAAATGTCCAACAATGATAGACTGGATTAAGAAAATGTGGCACATATACACCATGGAATACTATGCAGCCATAAAAAATGATGAGTTCATGTCCTTTGTAGGGACATGGATGAAATTGGAAATCATCATTCTCAGTAAACTATCGCAAGAACAAAAGACCAAACACCACATAGTCTCACTCATAGGTGGGAATTGAAGAATGAGAACACAATGGACACAGGAAGGGGAACATCACACTGTGGGGACTGTTGTGGGGTGGGGGGAGGGATAGCATTGGGAGATATACCTAATGCTAGATGACGAGTTAGTGGGTGCAGCACACCAGCATGGCACATGTATACATATGTAACTAACCTGCACATTGTGCACATGTACCCTAAAACTTAAAGTATAATAATAATAAAAAAATAAATAAAGTACTATTTTTTTCCTTTTCTTATGCATTCTTTTTTATTTTTTTAGCCTAGAAGCATCTTGTTTCGCTTGTTTACTGTCTTTGCAATTGTTTGTGAAGAAATTGCATTAAAGGACCAAACATGATGATTTAGAAGCAAGATTCTGATTTCCTACTTGGTTGTCTATTTTTGCTAATTCATTTATCTATACATTTAACAGATATTTACTGGCTACTCAGAAGTGATAAACACATCATTTTTAGCCTAATGGAGTTGACTTTCTAGTAGGAGCCAGGGGAAGCATAATAAACACTTAAATACATAAATAAATGCTTAGTGTACTAAATACTATGAAGGTAAGAGTGTGCAGGCACAGTAAGTGTGAGAATGAGGGAAGAATATTCATAGCCTGACTAGGCATTGCCCCTCCAAGGAGTTGACATTTAAACTCAGAACTAAAAGACGGAAAAGTACCAACCATGCCCCGAGTGAAGAATAGATGTATAAGACAAGGATTGAGTCATGAAAAATATATGGCAAATTTCGGAACCTGGAAAGAGAAGTGTGACTGGGGTCGGGTGAGCAATGGAAGATCTTCCAGCAAAGATTCAGGAAATAAATGGAGCAGATTAGGTAAGATGGTATCTAGTAGACAATACACATCATTTCTTTTCTAAAGTGGAACACTTTCGAGAGTGATGGCAAATGTCAGGACAAACACAAGTTGGCACTATCTCAAGCAAACTAGGAAGTATGACCTCTTAAAGGATCTTGGATTTTGTTTGAACTGTAATGGGAAATCATGGCTGGATTTTCCATTACTTTCCAAAGGTTATGCTGTACATACCCAATAAAAACTCATATATTTGTTGACTCAGAGTTGTGTATTGGAATGCACACAGCTGTGCTATTCAAAATAGTCCAAAGTTGAAACCCACCAGAATAAAGAATGGATGGATAATTTCTGGTGTGTTTTGGCAACGGAATACTACCCAGCCATGAGAATTGAACAAACTATAACTACTTGCAAGAATATGAATAAGACTAGTCACAAAAATACTTAATGTTTATAGAGTATAAACATAAACACACAAAAATCGTATGTGATGCTTCAGGTCAGGAAAAGTGGCTACTTTTAGGCAGAACTACAACTAGAGTCCTATTAAAATTCTACCTTTTTATTTGGATGTTGTATGGGTGTGTTTGTGAAAATCTTTAGTTGTACACTTATTATATAGGTACTTTTCTGTATACAGTATTTGCTATACTTAAAGGAAGCAATATATGCTTCCTACTGTATAGAGAACACAGTAAAAGAGGTTAAGAGTAGAGAGTGTCTCAATTTTTACCCATTTATTGTAATTTATTTCTGAGATGTATATTTGATACACAAGAAACATTTTATTCTATAGGAGGGTTTGTGCACCACAGCACTGTTGACATTCGTGCTGGATAATCTTTTGTTGGTGGTGGTGGTGGTGGTTGTGGTGGTGGCGGCAGCAAGTAGGATGTTTAGTAGCATCGCTGGCCTCCGCCCATTAGTTATCAGTAGCATTTCCTGCCCTCAGTCTCAACACTTAAATATGTCTTCTAACATTGCCTTATGTCCCTGGAGGGGTAAAATTACTCCCATTTGAGAACCACTGAACTGCAGCAATAACAATTTCTGACATTTATTGAGTGCTTACTATGTGCCAGTTTCTTTTCTAAGGGTGTTGCATTTATTCACACATTTTGTTTACCAACATCCCTAAAAACTGTACCTCATTTTCTTTGTTTCCCAGAGGAGGAAACTGAAGTCCAAATATTTTAAGCATATTTCGCAAGATCCTGTAACTAGTTAGTAGATGACAAAGCCAGGATTTATACCCAGACAGTCCATAGTGTATGTTCTTAGCCAAGGCATTTTCCTGCCTGTTTGCCTCTTTACCTAACACATGACCAATGCTGCGTAGGCCATGCTCAGATTAGAGGGATATGCCAAGACCTTCTGATTTCCATGGTGATGTGTCTTCAAACCTGTTCATTCTTTAAAGTTACACAAAGTTAGGATTCATATTTTTAAAAAGTACTATGAGAATCAAGCTTCAAAACCAAGTATTACTGTGACTCGTGGGTTATACCTTAATAAAACTTCAAGAGCTCACAGAGACCAATGTGATTATGGGACAAATTATTCCAGTTATTTAAACAGAGGGGAAATATACTTATGTTTTACAGTTGCCTTGAGTGATATATAAAGCCAGCTTTTGGACCTTTAATTACAGACAAAGGCAGAACCAGTATGAGAGCCTCATGAATAAAGCAGTGCCATCCACATCGGAAAAGGCACTTCTATAGCCTCGAGATTCAATGAAAAGCCCTCCCTTAGAAGCATACGCTCTCTCAGATTTGTGCTTAAGGGTTTTTTTTTTTTTTTCTGTTGCTAAGTAAATATTATCTGGAGTGCATGGTATAGTTTGGATATGTGTTCCCACCCAAATTTCCTGTCGAATTGTAATCCCCAATGTCAGAGGTGGGGGCCTGGTGGGAGGAGACTGGATCATGGGGGTGGATTTCTCATGAATGATATAGCACCATCCCTTTTGTACTGTCCTTACAATAGTGAGTGAGTTTTCTTGTGATCTGGTTGTTTAACAGTGTGTGGCATCTCCCCCCTTGCTCTCTCACTTGCTCTTGCTCTGACCATGTGACTGTGTCTGCTCCCTCTTCACCTTCCACCAGGATTGTAAGTTTCCTGAGGCCTCCCAAGAAGCTCAGAAGATGCCAGCGTCATGTTTCCTGTACAGCCTGTGGAACCACGGGTCAACTAGAACTCTTTTTTTCATATGTTAGCCAGTTTCAGTTATTTCTTTATAGAAATGCAAGAATTGACTAATACAATGCAAGAGAAACAAATATTCAAAACTCTGCATTAAATAAGCAGTATAAATAGAATAATCATGAACAAATATCACCGAATTCTGCTCTCATATTTGTTACAAACTTACTTTTTATGAGAAAGTTGGTTATATATTTCACTTACCATGCCTCGGTTGTCCTGTGTGTACCTGAGAACTGCAATGCTGCCTCTGTTATTGTTTTCTTCCTGTGTGCTGGTCTTCTCTACGCAGACAAATTGTGTTTGAAAAGTTGGTAAGTTAGTTGCTTAGAACTGAAAGGCATACTAAAATAGAAATTTTACAATAAATGGTATTCAGATTCCCTGACCAGCCACTAAATGCCTCAAAGAAAAAAAGAAAAAGAAAAAAATAGAAAGAGGAGGAAGAGTAAGCGTGTCATAAGTTATTGGCATTATTTGTTCTAGTAAGCATGCATGTGTAAATGTGCAAATATACCTATACAGTTACATATGTGTGTATATATTACACACACATACACACTGCATATGTTCCTATTGAGACCAGATCCTGTAATTTAAAATTATTGAATGTGTGTGAAAAACGCCATTTTAAAGCTTTGGTTTTTGCAGTTTTTATTGTTGGTAGTATTTTCGGTTTTTCTCCTGGCTGAGGAAGTTGAAATTAATCATTGAGGAAATATGCATCTTTGTTTTTGGAAAAGACACTTTAAGTACTTTTAAAAATATCTCATGGTAAGGAAATATTCTTATTCAGGAGGGAAAGATTGAAAGCAATATGGAGTTAAACTTTTCTCAAAATTATATGAAGTTTGTCTTGCTTGGAGGTGAACACAAAACTCTGCCAAGTGTTTCATTTTAAGAATTTGTATTTTTTTCAGTAGGAATTAAGGAAATGGAAATTAGTTTCCTATAAGAAGAGACAAGCTCAAGGTTACCTTTTTCTCTGAGGTGAGCACTTTGGGGGTGAATAGGAGATCAGGAGAGAAGCTGTCAAAGTGTGGCCGCCAGATCAACATCATCAAAATCACTTAAGAACTTGTTAGAATTGTGGAATCTCAGGCCTTATTCAAAGAATCAGCATTTTCACAAAGTGTCCAAAGACATGTATGCACAGTAACATTTAGAAGGAACCGGCACAAAGGATTTTCTGTGTAGTAGAGATTGGCCTATGGAGTTCAACAACAGTCATATCTAGGATCCATTCTTTTTAAGGTTTACCTTGTGTCTTTGATTTGTGCTGCTGAAACAGAATACCACAGACTGAGTAATTTACAAAAGACAGACTTATTTCTCACAGTTCTGGAGACTGTGAAGTTCGAAGTCCCAGTGTCTGCATCTAGCAAGGAACTTCTTTCCGTATCTTCCAATGATGGAAGATGAAACAGCACAGGTATGTGAGAGACAGCAACAGGAGGGTGTTTGACTCATTATTTTATGAGGAACCCACTCCTGCAATAAAGGCATAGTCCATTCATGAGGGCAGAGCCTTCATGACCTAATCATCTCTTAAAGGTCCCACCTCTCAATACTGTTGCATTGGGGATTAAGTTTCCAACACATGAACTTTGTGGGATGCATTCAAACCATAGTATTCTTCCCCTGGTCCCCAAAATTTATGCTTTTCTCACATGCAAAATATGTTAATTCCATCCTAGTAGCTCCAAAATGTTAACTTGTTTCAGTACCAACTCAAAAGTCCAAAGTCTAGAATCTAATCTCAATCAGATATGGAGGAGACGCAAGGCACAATGCATCCTGAGATAAATTCCTCTCCAGCTGTGAGCCTGTAAGATTAGCAAGTTACATGCCTTCAAAATATGATGATGAGAGAGGCATAAGATAGACATTTCTATTCTTTTTTTTTTTTTTTTTTTTAGACAGAATCTTGCTCTGTCACCCAGGCTGGAGTGCAGTGGTGCGATCTTGGCTCACTGCAAGCTCTGCCTCCCAGGTTCAAGTGATTCTCCTGCCTCAGCCTCCCAAGTAGCTGGGACTACAGGTGCCCACCACCACGCCTGGCTAATTTTTTTCTATTTTTAGTAGAGATGGGGTTTCACCATGTTAGCCAGGATGGTCTCAATCTCCTGACCTCGTGATCCACCCGCCTTGGCCTCCCAGAGTGCTGGGATTACAGGTGTGAGCCACTGCGCCTGGCCGACATTTCTATTTTTAAAAGGAGAAACATGCAAGAAGAAAGGGATGACTTGTCCCAAGTAAGTCCAAAAATCAACAGAGAAAACAGTGTTAAGTCTTAAGGCTGGAGAATTTTCTCCTTTGACTCTATGCCTTGTGTGCTGGGCACACTGGGGTGGCAGCTGTACCCCCAAGGTCTCAAGCAGACTTTCCCTTATGGCTTCGATGGGTTCAGTCCGTTGAACAGCTCTCAAAGGTTGGAGTCTCGTACTTACAGCCTTCCCAGGCTGGAGTTGCATACTGTTGGTCCTACTTCTGGGGTCTCAGGAGCTGCCCCATTCCTATGGTTCTCCCAGGCTTTGTCCTAGTGGAGGTTCTTTGTGGTGGCCCTGCTCCTGCAACAAGTCTCTGCCTGAATCACTGGGCTGTCCCATACATACTTTTGAAGTTTAGTGTGGGGCTGCCATGGCCCCACAACTTGTTCACTCCACATGTCTGCAAAGCCAGAACCATGTGGATGCTGATGACATGGATGTCACCAAGGCTTACCGCTTTCACCCTCCAGAGCTGTGGCAGGAGCCACATCTGGGCCTGTTTGAGCAACTGCTGGGGCAGCAGAGGAGCACTGTGCTGGAATGTGGGGAGCAGAGTCACAAACAAGCCCTGGACAGTGAATGCTGAGGTCCATGGGCACCTCTCTGATAACCTGGCCCTCAGGGTCTTAGCTTGCCTTGAAGATCTCTGAAATTCCTTTATGTTTATTTATTCATAGTCTTTATGGATAGAGCCTGGCTTCATTCTATCCATATTAATCCCTTTAGTAAGGCGTCACTTAGCAACACCCTTAATATTCTCTCTTGAGCCCACTTTTTTAGTTTTTTCACAGCGAAACTGAGAGTTTTCCAATTATTTCTATTTTGTATTCCTTTTAATTATAAATTCTATCTCTAAATCATTTCTGTTTTATCTCTTTTTACTGTAAGTGCCCAAAAGAAGCCATATTGTATATTGAATGCTTTGCTGCTTGGATATTTCTTATGACAGATATCCTAGTTCATTGCACTTAAGTTCTGCTTTCACAAAGTCCTAGGACTTGAACACAATTCCACCAAGTTATTTTTAAGTGTATAATAAAACTGGCTTTTACTCCAGTTTCCAATATCTTGTTCCTCATTTCCATCTGAAGCCTCATCAGAATGGCCTTTACCATCTGTATTTCTACCAATATTTGATCATGACCACTTAAGTAATTTCCAAGAAGATTTGGGATCTCTCTCTCTCTCTCTCTTTTCTTCTGAGCACTCACCAGAATTTTCCTTAATACTCCAGGCATGGTAATACAGAGTTTTTCAACTTCTTACAGCTTCTACCCATTAGGCAGTTAGTTCCAAAGCTACTTCCACATTTCTAGGTATTTGTTACAGCAAGAGCCCCACTTCCTGGTGTCAGTTATTTGTATTGGTCTGTTTTAAGCTGCTATAACAGAACACCAAAGAATAGCAATTTCTAAATAATAGAAAGGTATTTCTTATAGTTATTGAGGCTAGGAAGTCCAAGGCTGAGGAGCCCACATCTGGAGACACCTTCTTGCTGTGTCATTCCATGGCAGAAGATGGAAGGGCAAGAAAGCATGTGAGAGAGAAATAGAGAGAGAGAGAGGAGAAAGAGAGAGAGAGACAGAAAGAGGACATGGCCTGAACTCATCCTTTTATCAGGAACCTGCTCCTGTGATAACTAACCCACCCCTGCAATAAAGGCATGAATCCACTCATGAGGGAAGAGCCCTAATTACCTCTTAAAGCTTCCACCTCTCCACACTGTTGCACTGAGGATGCATTTTTTCCAACATATAAACTTTGGGGGACATATTCAAACCGTAGCATCTAGTTTGTAAATTTTCTGTGTTCTGTTATTTTTCAGGTCTTTAACTCCATGAGGAATTAAGAGGAAGGCCTCACCCATGCTTGAAAAATAACTGCTTCTAGTGAGCATTGTTGGTTCCTATCCAAACATTTTCACTTTCTAACAAGTCTGAGATTCACCTTTGTTCACACCTTCTCAACACAGCCAGCACCTTTTGGGTAAACATAAACCTACCTTAGCTTAAGTGGTGGGTCCTGGTTGGTTAAACCATTAAGGATACATTATCAATTGGCCATGGCCATTGGTTCAAGATTGGGTATGTAACTTAAGCCAACCAGTCAGGGCGAGTCTTGGTACTGTACTTTTGAATGCTGGATCAGACACATTCTTTCTCCTGTTTAACAAGAATGGAGAAACACATAGCCTTATTTATATTAGAAGCCTTTCATGACCATGGGGTCTGGAAGTGGAAATGGAGGGGAGTCAGACTTAGATAAAGCCAATGTCATGAACGCAGAGTAAGGCAGTAGAAAAAAGTATGTATTTGGTGACACCTTCTAACTATCAGTTCATGAATGCTGAAGCCCTCCGTATAGATGAACTTTCTGTTATGGAAGTCAACAAATCCCCTTTATTATGTAAGCCAGTTTGAGATAAGTTTTCTTTCACCCACAACATGAGGAGTCTTAGAGACACAATTATATAGAAAGAGTGGCATTAGCATGATTGAACATCTATGCTTGAAATACTAAGAAACAGCTTAAAAAGTGCAAACTAGCTGCCTGACTTCAGGGAACTGGCTGGCTAACTCCAGGAGGCCGGCTGATTGGTTTGTGCAATGCATACGCATTTCTTAGAAAGACTATTAAGACTATTTTGGAAGGGAACCTTGTAAAAGAAAACTTCCTGCATTTGAAGAGAAAGAAAACCCAAAATTCAATCAACCAACCTACCTTCCTTCCTTCCTTCCTGTTTTCTTTTCCTTTCTTTCTTTCCTTACTTTTTTTTAATCACTAAAAGGATCTGTTGTCTTTGAAGGGTAGAGATAGCTGAAAAAGTTAGCTCATATAATATGAGTGTTACCTTGACTATAGAGTATTTGGTACACGTAAGGGAATGAATAATATTTAAGTTCCTCTCATTCCCCTGACCCCTATACCCCATTACAGCCTCAACAACACTGCGAAAAAGAATAAAAGGGTTAGTGAGAATAACTACAGTTTCTAATGCTGCAGTTGTTCCCAAGGCAGTAACCGCTACTCACGGTCTCTTCCCTCCATTACTCTTTCTAGGCTTCTTTCCCCTTCTCTAGCATTTTGGATGATCTGGGTTCTTGCCTGGTAGGGTAACCTATCTCCTCATCCTGGAGGCCTCTCAGTAACTGAGGTTTTGTGTGTGTGTGTGTGTGTGTGTGTGTGTGTGTGTGTGTGTGTGTTTTAGGTGCTTCTCTACTTACAGTTAAAACCTGGACATGGGGATACCAAGAAATGTCCCAGTGGCACACATATTCTTCTCAGGCCCTATTGTGCAGCAATGGTTTACTTCCTCATGAGTGTGAATTTCTGTGCCAGCTGGCTTACTGTCATGAAGATTCCAAAATTTTAGCTTTAATTTTAGCAGAATTCTTACTTTGTTCCCTGCTGGCAGCATCCCCCACTCTGAACCCCAGGACCTCTAGATCATAGAGCCTGAAGTTGCAGGGACAGAAAATACAACACATTCTCCAAATGCATCACTGGTCATGAGTATAAACGAGGACAATCCTTCTTCCCTTGATTCTCAAACTTACGTGTGCTACCTATTGGGAACATAGCAGCACTACATATGAACAATTGGTTTAAGATGTGTGATGTATACTTCAATCTAAGGGTTAGTTCCCCATCTTCACAGTGTGTCATCTCCAAGTCAGAGCCTGGGCTAAAATTTCAAGAGGCTATTCTTTCAAACTAGCAGTTTCTAGATGGTGTGGTATATGGCAGGGCCAATGAATCCCATGGTCATTTGCTCATTGCCATGTTTTATTTGTTGTAAAGCAGGTCTCTTGTCCCATGTGATGTCATGTAGGAGTCCATGCTGGTAGATCAGATACTCTATGAGACCTGGAAGAATGGCGATGGCTGAAGTACTGCATGCAGGAAATGCAAATTCATAACCACAATATGAGTCAACCCAAACCAAGATGAAATATTGTCCATTCCAAGATGTCACCAAATGGCTGACTGGCATTTGGCAGGAATTGAACTCTAGTAGGGAGGGTGGGCCATAGTCCTAGTCTGTATTGCTCATATGTCAGCCCTCTACCAGTAGTAGGCTTGGTGAGAAAAAAATCTTTGCTGTTGAGCCTATGCATAGACTCCATCTAAGACACCATAGATGCTCCATACACAAGTCCATTGCTTAAGCACTGAGATGTCCAAGGGCAGAGGCTGGCTAATATCTACTGGCTGTGTCATTCTGTCAACTCAGTTATTTTTTTCACAGTGGTCTTTGTGCCTTGTCCGACATTCATGTACAAATGCAAAGATTCTCACTCTTTGTGTTTATTACCATTAGATCATCCACATGCCTCCTTGCCAGCACTCTTGTCTTCAATCTTCCAAACTTTCCGGGTTCCTATCCAACCACCCAAGCCATTTACGACTCCCCTGCCCATGAGACTATGTGTATTCTTATTTCAGGCCTTTTGTGTTTTTTTTTTTTTTTTGAGATAGAGTTTCACTCTTATTGCCCTGGCTGGAGTGCTGTGACACAATCTCAGTTCACTGCCAACTCCACTTCCCAGTTCAAGTGATTCTCCTGCCTCAGCCTCCTGAGTAGCTGGGATTACAGGTACCTGCCACTACACCTGGCTAATTTTTGTATTTTTAGTAGAGACGGAGTTTCACCATGTTGGCCAGGCTGGTCTAGAACTGACCGCAGGTGATCCACATGCCTTGGCCTCCCAAAGTGCTGGGATTACAGGTTTGAGCCACCACACCCGGCCATTTCTGGCCATTTTAAAATTCACACAAAGTGAATGACCAAGTGCCCCATTCAAAATTCTGCTCATGAGGAAGATTTTCCCTTCATCACTATCCTTTAGGGTCACCTCCAAGTGAGACTATAGTCCATTTTTTTATTGATATTGACATACTTAGCCAACTCTTCTGTTATTTGTGTCTGCTGATTTTACTTAAAGGGATTTGCCTTTATATGAGCTTGGCGATATTGATTCTGAGATCATTGGTAGAATTTCATCTCTGTGGCCTAATTGGTTATGCCTAAATTGGATATGTTTCCTCTAGAGATTAGTTGATTTTGGCGGTATTAAAAAGTCTCTGCTGAACTGCAGAGTCTCAGCTCATCATCACAGTTCCAGCTTCAACTTTCTGCTCTCTGTTACCAGAAAGGGGGTCCCAATTCAGACCCCAAAAGAAGGTTCTTGGATTACGTGCAAGAAAGAATTCAAGGCCAGTCCATAGAGTAAAGTGAAAGCAAGTTCATTAAGAAAGTAAAGGAATAAAGAGAATGGCTGCTCCATAGACAGAGCCACCCCGACGTGTGCTGGTTGCCCATTTTTATGGTTATTTCTTGATTATATGCTAAGCAAGGGATGGAATATTTATACCTCCCCTGTTTGGACCATATAGGGTAACTTCTGATGTTGCCTTGGCATTTGTAAACTGTCATGGTGCTGGTGGGAGTGTAGCAGTGAGGATGACCAGAGGTCACTCTAGTGGTCATCTTAGTTTTGGTGGGTTTTGGCCAGCTTCTTTACTGGAACCTGTTTTATCAGCAAGGTCTTTATGATCTGTATCTTATGCTGACCTCCAGTCTTTTCTTGTGACTTAGAATGCCTTAACTTACTGGGAATGCAGCCCAGCAGGCTTTGCCTTATTTCACCCAGCCTCTATTCAAGATGGAGTTGCTCTGATTCAAATGCCTTTGACAACTCTGTAGCTGGTTCAAGCTCAGGGTTCTAATGGCAGTATGAAGCTTGGCTTTTGCCTTCAGGGTAATCCTCTCACCTTCTGTTCTAGATCCAGTCCATACTTTTTGTGAAACTATCAATGTCTCCAAGAGTGAGTCTTATCTAGAGTTTTGGTGTTCCACAGTGAAAAGATCTACAGAGAACTTCAATTAGCATAACAGCAAAAGGAGTACATTTAAATTTCTAGAGGATAGGCCGGTGTGGTGGCTCACACCTGTAATCTCAGCACTTTGGGAGGCCAAGGCAGACAGATCACCTGAGGTAGGGAGTTCCAGACCAGCCTGACCAACATGGAGAAACCCCGTCTCTACTAAAAATACAAAATTAGCCAGGCGTAGTGGCGCATGCCTGTAATCCCAGCTACTTGGGAGGCTGAGGCAGGAGAAATGCTTGAACCCGGGAGGCGGAGGTTGCAGTGAGTGAGCTAAGATCATGCCATTGCACTCCAGCCTGGGCAAAAAGAGTGAAACTCTGTCTCAAAAAAAAAAAATTCTAGAGGATAATTTTGATTGTCATTGAAATAGGTCTATTTCTAAAAGAACAGCCATCATAGGAGACTTAATACTGAAAGAAGTCACTGTTTTTTCTGCAATAGTGTAATAATAGTTCATTTTGTATGCTTTGCATACATTTTCTCATTTAGTCCTCACAAGACTCTTATAAAAAGCTGCATTGCTATTTTTTTAGTACAGATGGGGTTTCACCATGTTGGCCAGGCTGGTCTCAAACTCCTGACCTCAGGTGATCCACCTGCCTTGGCCTCCCAGAGTTCTGAGATTACAGGCATGAGCCACTGTGCCCGGCCATTTCAGGCCACTTTAAAATTCACACAAAGTGAATGACCAAGTGCCCCAGGCAAAATTCTGTTCATTATGAGGGCTTTCCCTTCACCATAGTCCTTTAGGGCAACCTCTAAGTGAGGCTATAGCCCATTTTTTATTGGACTTTTATTGAACTGCTGATTCTAGATGAGGAACTGGAAACACAGAGAAATCATGTAGTTGGTCAAATGCCACATGACTAACAAATGGTGGACCTGGGCTTTAAACTTAGGTATCCTGACTTCAGAGTTCAGGCCATCCTTCCCTTCCTCCAACACATACACATGCCAGCTTTCACAGTACTCGGATATGAAAAAAAAATGGCATTGGAAAAGACAAGGCCAGAGTCATCTTAACTGAAGGTGGTATTATTTTATACCATGCATTTAGAACAATCAGATATTTGAATTGCTGTAAAAGTTCACTCTGACTATTGATTCATCCATTGCTCCTAGCAATTCCCCAGACCCTCCATTTTAGTATTTCAATTTTTAGGTAAATTTAAACTACATTGAGTGTTACTTAAGTTACTAAAATGTACTAAAATCTTAAATGCACTAAATGTGTCCAGTTACTACCTCATCTTGTATTCTTACTGCAACCTTTTTAAAAAACACCCCTAACTTACCTTTTAATCTGCATTTTAAAATTTAAAAACAGCTGCAAAGAAAAGAAATAAGAAAAAGCATGAGGTGAGAAAAACAATTATTTTAACAAAAAATATTTTGGATATGAATATTGCAACACCCAGGATAATGATGATGACAGAACACTATATCCAAAGGAATAATTTTGGATAGCATCCACTCCAAAGAAATAGCACATACAGCTTTGTTGCCTTGCTCTGAAATAATCAGGAAAGCAGTGCCGGGAAATATTCTAATCTCTCTGCACTATGTTGGTATATTATCAATTTTAATTGTTACCCTGTGCCAAAAAATGTTTTTGGCAATGGTTCACCTTGAATCTATGCCAGAAAAATCACTGCTGGTGGATAATAATAAAAGGAGGTAGTTGACAGTATAAAGCTGAATATGAAAGAAAAGTTTAGGCTGGGTGTGGTAGCTCATGCCTGTAATCCTAACACTTTGGTAGCCCAACACAGGCAGATCAGTTGAGGCCAGGGGTTCGAGACCAACCTGGCCAACATGGTGTAAACCACCCCCGAAACACCGCCCCCCAACATCTTTACCGAAAATACAAAAATTAGCCAGGTGTGTTGACGTGCACCTCTTATTTCAGCTACTCAGTAAGTTGAGGCATGAGAATTGCTTGAACCCGAGAGGCAGAGATTGCAGTGAGCCGAGATTGTGCCACTGTACTCCAGCCTGGGTGACAGTGAGACTCTCCCAAAAAGAAAGAGAGAAAGAGAGAGAGAGAGAGAAAGAGAAATAAAGAAAAAGAAAGAAAGAAAGAAAGAAAGAAAGAAAGAAAGAAAGAAAGAAAGAAAGAAAGAAAGAAAGAAAGGAAGGAAGAAAGAAAGAAAGGAAATAAAAGAAACAAAGAAGGAAAAGAAAAGGAAAGAAAGAAAAGAGAGAGAAGTTAATAAGAAGCAAAATATATCTTGTATACTTGGCTAAAAGAGCAGAATGTCAAGCCACCGGAAATCTGCCGTGATTTTGTAATGTCTGTGGTCTGAAGTAAAATTGTTCATGAAGTTTCTACTAAAGGCACAGCTTTCCACCTTCAGCCACAAGAGGATCTGTGCATTGTTTGTATCTCTTCTGTGGGACACTTCCTGACACTTTCGATTCCTCGACTGGTATTTGTATTCCACACTGTAAGCTTTCAACATGGTTTTATAGAACCACTGGACAGCTGGGGGCCAGGTGGGTGGAACAACTCAAACAATTGTTAAACCACCATGACTTAACAGCAAAAAGAAAGCAAAATATCTACAAAAGTAACCACACCTAGACACGTGGTAAATACTTTCCAGCAATATGTTAAAAAAAAAAAAAGGAAGAAAAAAATGAAAGAAAAACTTTTCCAGAAATCAGTAATTTAAAATGACACTACTGCCTTCATTGAGCTTAACTTAGATTTGAGTTGGAAAGCTGTTGCAATGTGCAAAATGATAGAAAAATATATATGTTTGAAAATCTCAGCAAGAGTAATTTTAAGCCCTCTTGTGAAATTGTGTGAACTTGGAAGAACACAGAAATATATAGATCTAGAAAATGAAAGCAGTTACGGAACTGTGCCCTAATTTTCCATGCTGAATAGCACTCATGCACACACACACACGCACACACCCACACACACAATCACTCACATAAAATGGAATAAACTAAGTATACAGTGGGGAAATATATGAACTACCTAACTATGTTTTAGCAATTAAAGGTGTAATACAAAAAACCTTGAGGGAGAATTTGATATTTGTCTTGTGGTCCTTTAAGCAAAAGTATTTTAAATTTTTCTTTTCTTTTTATTTTTTAATGTACAGAGAACTAGCTATAAAAGTAGTAGGGTTTTTTGGTCACTGTCTTCTTAAAGAAACCATAACAAGCATGACTGAACAAAGAATAAACTTCAAAGTCTTGCTGTTTGGTAGGAAGTGCTTTTGAACAAAAATTATAAACTTTTGTCAATGAAACCTTTGTGGGAAATCATGAGTGCCTTTCTCCCACCTCTTGTCAACGTCATTAAAACTAAAGGAACTTTCTCTACCATACAAAAGAATACCAGCACTCAGAAGAGTCTTGTCCTAACAAACTCTCCCTTTGCCCCAAGCATTGTCCTGGCACCGAGTTGAGAAGTGATTTTGTAATATATCACAAATAAAGAAACATACATTGACTCCCCCCAACCTACCTTTCCTTTTCTTTCTTTTATTTATTTTTTAATCTGTACAGTCCTGTCCTTTAACAGATCTCTAGGAAATTTCTAAAGCAAGGTATTGTAGCGAATGCATGACAGTTGAAAAATAAAAATAAGTTTACATAAGACAATTACATTTGTCCAGGGCAGTTCATTGTTTCTTCAGCTCTTTTTCACAGGAGCAGAAAATGAATCTGTCTTCTGGAATTAGGGGGAAAAAAGCATCTCCCACCCCTTTCTCCACCTTTTAGATCCCAGTTGGAATACCCACTGAACAAATCAGATTGGTCAGAAAAAGACCAGACTGGTAGCAGAAACATTCTATTTTGTGGTAGACTGTAGTGCTATTTACGTTGCCTCCAAAGTCAGCCTCTCTAGGGCTATATTTGAGTGTTAGAAGAAATAGTTCAGACCAGAGAGGTTTGGCATTAGTCGCCTCATGAAAATATAGAAGGATAAGTGTAAGAAAGTTTGGTTAGGTAGCTATCCACTTCAACTAAAATCTTAACTTGATAAATATCTGTAATGAGGGCAAATCATTAATTTGAACCTGAAGCCGTCATAATTATCATTTCTGTTGCATTTCCCCTTATGATAGTTCACCCCTGAACTATTTTTCCTTCAATTACAGGTTGTTTTGGTCTCCACTGATGGAAATGAGGGTCTACGTTTCACCCTTGACTTGTCAAAACAAAATTGTTGGTATTTTGCAATTATCAGTCATTTTTTACCTAGGTTTTTAGCCATATATTAGGCAAAGAGTGGGCACAGAACACAAGTCCTATTTTTTGTGCCTTGGTGTAAAGACAGTTTTTAATGCAGGAAGTGGGAAGGAGGGCTACTCATGCCGAAGTGGGCACAGTGACTTATGTTTGGAGTAACTGAAAAACGAGAAGGTAACTTACAAGGTGCAACTTGACAATTGACCACCCTGGTGGGGTGAGTTCTTATACATACGGGACCATCCCCTTTCCCCTCACACCCACTCGGCTTTAGATAGGCATGAGATACCTGTAGCAAAGAAGACCACAGTGAACCCTTTATGGAAGAATTAGTCCCGGCCCAGATAATTTTGTCTGCTTAAGTTATAGCTACAGGGTTTTAATCTTCCAAATGGTGATGATGTTGCCACCAAAGGAGACTTTTCTAAAAACCATAATGACTTTGTTTTCCGTTGTTTTTCATCATACTCGCCGCTTTCAAGTTTTATTGAGAGCATTTCACCAAATAAGAACAAAAAGAAGTTGTGGAAATTAATAAATTGACCAATAGCCTCTTAACGAATTAGTGTAGCACTAAGAAATGACTCCAACTTTGTACACAACAAAATCCAACACTTGTTTACCATGCTAGCTTTGAAAGAATACTAACAATAAGAGAACACTTGACAAAAATAAGCTTTCCACCTCTATCTTATAGATATTTATTCCAGGAAAAAGTTGTTGTTGTTGGTGGTGGTGGGGTGTGTGTGTGTGTGTGTGTGTGTGTGTGTGTGTGTTGAAACAGGCTCTTGCTTTGTCACCCAGGATGGAGTGCAGTAGTGCAATCACTGCTCACTGCAGCCTCAACCTCCTGGGCTCAAGCAATCCTCCTGCCTCACCCTCTTGAGTAGCTGGGACTACAGGTATGCACCACCATGCCCGGCTAATTTATTAATATTTTTTAGAGATGGGAGTATCTCTATGTTGCCCAGGCTGGTGTTGAACCCCTGGGCTCAAGCAATCCTCCCGCCTTGGCCTCCCAAAGTGCTAGGATTACAGGAATAAGCCACCACACCCAGCCCAGGAGAAAGTTTTAACTTGCGAAATAGCTAGTTCTACTTAGAGCAGCCTTAAACTGCTTTATTTGAGTAAGTAAAAGTGTCTGAAGAAAGATGTAACCTGGTGACATGAGTTCATCTTCCTCCAGTTGAAAGAATTAAGATATTCCAAATTCTTAATTCTATTATTAGACTATATGTAGGCCAGGGAGGAGGAGATTTATGGTGCCTGCTTTTCTTAATCTCCCATGTTTAGTGAAATACTTAAAAATGCCAAGGCATTTAATCATCATATATTGACTTAAGCCTCAGAGTGTTCTTCTAAGAGGGTTTTAGTTCAAAAAGTCTACCTTAAGCACAGGTCTAGACTGAGTAACATGTTTGGCTGAGAAAATCAAGTTCATGGGTGTCAATCCCTAACTCTGACATTGGAAAGCTTACTTCCTATCTCCACTCAAAACTTTTCCAAACTTCACTTAGCAAGCAATAGGTACAGGCAAGTAGCATCTTTTCACCTATCAGGATTTTCGAAATTTAGTTTAATTCGACCCCATCAAAATCTTTTCATCTAATACTTTATTATTAAATGGGATTTAATAATGAAATAAAAATACTTTGAAAATATTTCCAAAGTTGACGTAAATTGTTTTCTCCTGCAGGAATCTGTCTAGTTTTTGTAAATTACTTGTTAATGATCATTTTAAAAATTTTTAACGAGAGTGGAAATATTGATGTCTGGTATATTCTGTCAGTCCCTAAATCATTCCTTCTCTAAATTATTTATCTGAGACAGTCCACTACTGTTTATTTGCTTCCTATTAGTGGTTAAGCTTATGATTTTTGATACCTATGATTTAATTATTGTAGGTGATTAAGGCTCCAAGCAAATCTGTATGCTTTTCCTGAGTCTAAAGTTCAGAAGTCCTTATTTCCCTAGAGTAACATGTTCACAAGAGTTTAGCCATTACCTAAAATAATTATCTTATTTTATATGTGAAGAAATAGGTATCCAGAGATATTAAAGGCTTCCTCAAGGTCAGATATTGGAGAGTGATTCAGTAACAAGAAATGGATCTTTCCTCTCTGCCACCCAGCCAGAAAGATCAGCATGAAAAGGAAGACATTTGCATAGCAGGAGATCAAATTCAGCCTTCCCTGCCTAGAAAGGGCAGCTGGAATGACTAAAGATCAGATGTGTTTTCAGCCTGTTTTGGCATCTGTCCTCTCCAAAATCTGTACAACTGAGTACATACTGGGTTTTGCATAGCTGGCTCCTGTTTTCTTGCTAATTTTTTCATCTGTAGGCAAACATAATGTTAAGAGACCTAATTTGAAATGAAGACTGACAGCAGGCTCCTGGATTCAAACCCGACTTCCGATCAGGTCTATCATTTTCAGAAGTAGACAGTAATGTTTTGCTTGCTCCATTTCCATGTTTACTGGGACACAACATTGTTCCACTTGGTTGCATCAGAAAATATGGGAAGAGTTCTAAAATTGACCCACATGATCACAGAACTCTGCTCTATCACCAGGGAGTTTACCAGCAAAACAATCTCAAATAAAGTCTGGGATGCCACTAGCAACTGCAGAAAAGTGAACCAATTTCCAAATTGAGATGGGAAGGTTTTGATTATGTTTCAATGAATGTATATATGAATATACATGAATACTGCAATATCATTTTTTTTTTTTTGTATTCCCATGGAAAGTATCGGTTTCAGAAATGCTTGGTGTAAGCAGAAGCACCGCTCACTTCACTTAGTACCATTGAGACATTTGGCAGGGAGGTGGGATTTGTCTTGGCACCCTCCCTCCTCTTTTGGTGCCTCTCCTTCCCCTTCCCAGGCATTTCATTCCTCACCCCATCAGGTTTTAATCTTGCTCTCATTTTTCAACTACTTCCCTTTAGGTGTTTGTGATCATGGCTTAAAGCATTCTGACTCCCGGAGGCATTCATATAGAGGTTTTGGAATTTTAATATGGGGCTTAGAAACCTAAAAAGCCATCAGAAAATAAATTATCTGATGACTCCAGGACCAAGCAATGGGAGGAAATCTATGGGTAGGCAGCCCTTAAGCATTTCTGGGTGCCCCCCAGGTCACAGAGATCTGGGCTGCCTGTTCATAAGTTTGGCCCTGGCTTCATATGATGATCTCTAGAATATCTAGGGGGTAGGGGAGATGTGAATAAGGGTTTCTCCTCTAAAAGAATGGATAGTGCCTGGACCAAAAGAGCAGAAATGTACAAAGTTTTGCTTTTTAAAAAATTAATATATAATATTTTACATATCTATGAGGGTACATATAAGTACCTGCATAGAGTGTGTTATGCATAGAGTGTGTTATACATGCATAAAGTGTGTTATGATCAAGTCAGGGTATTTGGGGTATCCATCACCTTAAGTATTTATTTTCTTTCCTTTTTTCTTTTTTTTTTTGAGACAGGGTCTCACTCTGTCAGTGTGACCTTGGCTCACTGCACCCTCCACCTCCTGGCTCAAGCTATCTTCCCACCTCAGCCTCCCGAGTAGCTGGAACTACAGGAGTGTGCCACTATGCCCAGCTAATTTTTGCAATTTTTGCAGAGATGGGATTTTACCATGTTGGCCAGGCTGGTCTCCAACTCCTAAACTCAAACAGTCCACTTGCCTGGGCCTCCCAAAGTGCTGGGATTACAGGCATAAACCACTGCACCAGGCCTATTTATCATTTCTATGTGTTGGGAACATTTCAAGCGCTCTCTTTAGCTACTTTATAACATACAAAACGTCGTTGCTAACTACAGTCATCCTACTCTGCTGTGGAACATTAGAACTTACACCTCCTATCTAACTGTATGTTTGTAGCCAATAACCAACCTGTCTTCATCCCCCCTTCCACACACACACACCCTTCCCAGCCTCTGGTATCTATCATTCTATTCTCTACTTCCATGAGATTGAACAACTTGAATCATTGTTCTCTTGGAAGAAACCTTCGATTGTTAATACATTAAAAAATAAAATAGTTATATCTTTTCCTACCATAAACTGAAAGAGAAGAGCGGAAGTTTGAGATAGCTTCATAAAAAACAAACAAACAAAAACACACTATAATACATACTCTCTCTCGCTCACTCAAAATCTTATTGTACTGTACCATGGGTAACAGAAACTGCAAAGCAAATCTGAAGATAAAAGGGAGACCTGCTGAACCTCAATTTCTGGAATTAATTGTATTTTGGAACAGGATGGGTGAATTATACTTGAAAATTACAAGCTTCTAAAAAATTTATTGTTAATGCTAATTGCTGTTTTAAACCTTCCCGAGTTACTTGCTACGAAGGCACATAGGATATGTAACATTTTAACCTGGCATGGGAGTTACGGTTCCTCCATTTTTTTTTCTTATTTTCTAATACTTTGGAAGTAATTTTTTTTTAATTCCTGAAGTTACATCACGGTAGTTAGATGAGAAAGCATTTCATGAAATAACTCGGTTTCACCGAGTTTTAAGTTCTCATCATTTCTCATCATACACTTGGTCTGAAAACGGGGACAGCTTTGCATTTAAGCAAGGGAGGCAATGGTAAAATAATACCCTCTGGTTTGTACAAATGTCAAATGCAAAGCCCTGGAAATTTGTGGAGCTTTACTGTATCTGGCCTTAAAGTCTACTTGTCATGGAAAGCTCTAATAAGAAATAGAACTCATTTTAAGAATGGGCCATGACCTGAATAATCAAAAGAAACTAACTGGATGTCTTAAATTCTCCAAAAAGGAGATTCTCCCCTTTAACTTTCAATTATCTCACCCTCTTTCCTTCTATTTTATTGCTATAAGTCTCTGGATTTATTAAAAATCCGTGAATGCTTTTAGATTTTATGTAAATAGCAGTTGCAAAAAAGTCATTTCTAACAGAAGAGGCATTATTCATTTTCTCAGGGGAAAAAATAACAACCACTCATTAAACCATGACATCAAATCTAGACTGTCAATGGGATTATTCAAAACTATACAATGCTTCTTGGTGACTCTCATTTCTATTATTACTGCAATTATTTTTCATCCACAAATGAACTGCAATAGCAAAATACTAGTATAATTCTCCATGACAAAAAAAAAAAAATCTTGGTGACAGCAGTTTTAGTGGTATGAGCCTTGTATCAAGGTTCGGTCTCATGAGTAACCAGGTAAGACAGACCTAATTGCCACCTGTCAGATGAGGACATACAGTCCATTAAAATGCCAAAAGAGGTCTTTTTAAACTTTCTAAACTTGGATTCTCAGGATGATATCGGTAAAATATGAGAAAAGTCCTTCTAAATAAATATTTCCGCCTAGGAACATGAATGATCCAAAAGAAAGATATTGATACCTTTTTTAAAACCACTACAGTGAAATTCTTAACAGGTTTCTTTGTGTTTTTTAATGTTTATCTTATCAAAGAATTGTGTGAAGTTTCCTTTTAATAGGAGTATTTTCCTTCCTTTCACATTTAAGTTTATGTTAGGAGTTTCTTATGCATCTGACAGTAGAATATATTCAAGATAAAGTAAAAATGAAAACACACTTAGAAAAAGGTGTGAAATCTGTAGTTTCATATATTCTGAGAATTACACTATCATTATATTTATCTGACAGGGTATTTGACTGTCAAATATTTTGTTGAATAAAATTATATGTATTTCACCTGATCTGTACTTTTTATTTTACTAAAGTATGAAATGAAGTTTCTTTCGATGATTTATTCTTTAGGGCCCTTGTTAACTTCTAGTGGTGATCATACTCTTTCCGTCTATAAACCCTGTGATTACCTGTTTCTGAATTTTTCAAAGGAGAGACATTCTGATTCTACTATGCATTTGTTAGAAGTCATCGAGTCTCTTCTGACAAGTGAAAATAGATCTGACTTATGGCTACTGTTCTTCATGATTGCAAACATTTCTGATAATTGTCTTGAAATGGATCACATCTTTGTATATTACAGAGCATCTTGTTCCAGATATTTTGGAAGTCACTTATGCAAATAGTTACTTTATTTCTATTTTCTACCTTGGATATGGGCTTCAGTGTCTCCTGTAGGCCAAATGGCCTCCTTTTGAGAATAACTGACATGTTGTACTTGTATAGGTATAAACATTTTCTGGAAAAATATACAAGAAACTGTAAGTGATTTCTTCTGTAAAATGGTGAAAGGATATCAGCAACTTTTATGCTATGTGAAGGTTTTACCTAGTGTGTATATTATTTTAATATACTCATGAGTACATTCAAAATATGTGCATATGTGTGTATGTATACACACACACACATGCTCTCTCAAGTCATTCTGGGCATTAAGTACCCAGAAATAAGTAAATTTTTCTAGTTGTCCTTGATTATAATTCCTTCCTCATACTTTTTTCCTAGTCTCTTTTTCTTTTCAGTCTTGTGAAAAAAAATTCAATGCTGCCACATTGATTTCTTTCCTTCCCATGTCCTTGCCATTATTATGACTGGTTACTGCAGGATAAAGATTTCTCTCTTTGTCTGGAACTCGATTGCGTGCCCCTTCCCTCTGTCTCTCTCTGCTGCCAATTATTACTCATTACTCAGGCTCTAAATCTGGGATCATGCCCACATTTTCACAAAGCTTTTAAAATGTACCTTTCTAATCTATAGTGCTTGTTCAAATTTGCAGTGCTTCTTGAAGCTTGAGACCTCGTGGAGTTCAACTAAGATGCCATTAAGTTGGACATAGTGGAGCTTTCAGCGGGTGACAGTCAGTAAAATAGCAGCTTCTACTGAAAACAGAACCTGGCAGCTGGGGAATCCCAGAGTAGCAATCCTCATGTCTAAAAATGGTTCTGATATTCCATTTAAAGCATGTATATTTTTATTTAGAAAATATTTATTTAGCTGTCAGAAACACTTCAAGTAATCACTACTCTTTAAAAGGGCTGGAGTCTGGTTACACCCTCAGACACCATCAGAGCTCTCTGGTTTTTCAAAGCTGGGTATAATGAGCTATAGTTGAAGAACCCTTTATTGTTTCCCATGTGGAATTTTCTTGTCACCTACTGTATACACAACAGGAATCTCTAAATCCTTTGCATCTTCTAAGGTTCTATTCTTGATTTGTCGGCACCCCCTTATCTTTCACAGTAAACAGAGACACGCCTTCAACAAGGAAAAGCAGAGAAGATCAAGGGAACTCAGTGACTCAGTTTAATCTCCTTATGTACCCAGACTGAAAGATTTCAGCAACTACCCAGTCAGACATCTCTTAATGGAGGAAATTAGAGAGCCCCGATAAGATAAGGAGGAGGAGGTAGTAACTGATTAGCTGCAAGGACCTCAGGAAGGGACTGACCATGAGAAAAATCAATGGACATTTTGTTTGGTTCTGTTTCTAAAGCAAGTGGCAACCAAGAGAGCATTTGGAATCAAAGCTAAATCAATAGTCTAGGAAAAGAAATCTAGGTCAGGGGGATTCATAATTGACTAAGCAAACTCAAACCATGACCTAGCTAATCTTTCATTTTCTTCTCTGACTTCTTTCCTGTTCTCTTAACTTTTTGACTTCATCTTAGAAATTATGTCTTCCAGTTATCTGCATTGAATGGGTCTACCTGGAATGATGACACACACACACTCACACATGTGTGTGCATACACACGGTAACACATGGTAATGTAGATTACTAGGTACAAAAATACACACACGTATATTTATTTTCCCATCACTTTGGCTCTTGTTTTTATATTTGAGGATTCATTTTACTCAATGGTTTTTCAGGGGTTGCTAATTAATGCTTGTGTTGCAAGCACTGAATCCTATTCCCTTATGCTCTCCTGCCATTCACCATTCCTTATCAAGTCTCTTCATCCTCTCCTATAAATCCTCTGTTCTTCCAATATGTGCCTTCACACGTTTACTTTTGCCACAACCAGTGCAGGGTTCTACAGTCATAGTATGTGATTAAAACATTCACAGTCTACTGAAATTTATGAAGATTATTGGGCACATAATAATAAAGATGTAAACCCCAGGGATGTGTGGTGGCTAGATCACTCAGTGATCCTTATCCATAAACTGTGATACTATATCCCCTCAGATTCATCAACTACCTCAAATAGCAACATTTCTGAAATCCTTACACCTAGATTGCAATAAGAAAAAAAAGGGATGATGTTTCTCATTTACATCTTATTGTGAGAGTATGGAAATAAAACATAAATGTGACTCTCCTGAAAAATGAAGAATTGTAAAGTCTAGGTCTAGGCAGGACTTAGTTTAAAACTTATTAACCCTCTTTTTAAAGATCAGTCAGATCATTATTTTTCATGTGGGCTTGAATTTGCTGAATAATTTTAGCATAATTATTTGGTAATTCTCAGGAAAAAGTTGAACTTAAAGAACTCAGTGGAGAAATTTATATTATTTACATTTGTCATTGCATTGCTGAAGACCTGCTAATATATCACTTATTTTGGTGCAATGGACCATTGTATGTAAAAGCTTCTAAGGAAGAAGCTCTTTTGACATTTGCAAAACTTGTTTTCTCTCTGAGACTCTGATCATGCTCAGCTACAGCTGATTTTAAGTTGATTGATATGAAAAGATGCTCTCTAGCTCCATTCTAAGGTCTCCTCAGAGTACAACTGAGAAGGTCTGTATTTCCCAGAGTAGGACTAGCCTCTTACAAAACTTGCAAAACATTTATTTTATGTTTCAGAGAAATACTAAGTTGAATGAAGCCGTTGATAAAGAAACTGGCCATCTAAACAGTTTAGGTGGTTTATTCCATCTCTATTGGCTACTTTGAAGTATTATATAACCTCTTGGTGATCTGGAAAAGTGATACAAAGAGAAACGCTGGCTAGCCGATGTTAATTTTTGTTCAAAACAGTGAGTCATATACACTGAGATTTCCTCTTTGGGCTGTTTATTCTTGGCATATTGTCTGAGTCTCAATAATTTGATGCAATAATTCTTACTTAGAATGTGGAAAAATGCCTTCCTGGGGTTTACGGAGACCTCCATTTGTCTTGATTGTTCCTGTTGGAGGGTCTGCTTTGGATGCATTTGGAGGAATAGGTAATCTCATCAGTGGCTACCTGGTGAGGCTGCTTGGTTTTCTTTTTCTCCCCTTTTTACCACCTCTCCATGACATGTATCAACACATTGGCTCATCTGCTGTTATTCTAAGAAACAGTTTCTCATCTGTGTTTTCTCATACACTGACCATCCGATTCAGAAGTTCAGAGGTGACCTTCAACTAGAGAAGGCATGAGAGAGGAGGGAAAGGGGAGATGCTGTTAAAGGGTACAAAGTTTTAGTGGTTAGACAGGAGGAAGAAGTTTTAGTGCTCTATTGCTCAGCATGGTAAGCATAGTTAGTAATAATGTATTGTACATGTCAACATTGCTAAAAGAGCAGATTTTAGATATTATCGCCACAAAAAGCAATAAACGAGGTGATGGATATGTTAATTAGCTTGATTTTAGATATAATAAAACTTCACATTGTACCCCATAAATATATACAATTGTAATTTGTCAATTTTAAAGAAGAAAAAGTGGCCAGGCATGGTGGCTCACGCCTGTAATCCCAGCACTTGGGGAGGCTGAGACGGATGGATCACAAGGTCAGGAGTTCGAGACTAGCCTGGCCAATGTGGTGAAACCCTGTCTCCACCCTAAAAATACAAAAATTAGCCTGGCGTGGTGGCAGGTGCCTGTAGTCCCAGCTGCTCGGGAGGCTGAGGCAGGAGAATCGCTTGAACCCGGGAGGCGGAGGTTGCAGTGAGCTGAGATCGCACCACTGTACTCCATTCTGGGTGACAAAGTGAGACTCCATCTCAAAAAAAAAAAAAAAAGGCTCAGTTGCTCACAGAACAGGGACTATAATAATCTCTTATGTAAAGAACAATTCATCATTTCCTTTCCTGCAAGGAAAACATGAGATACATGTAAACTATTTTCCTGTGTTGAGCCTTTCATGATTTCAAGGGTGTCCTTGGATCTTGATATCTTGAAGTCTTGATATGCTATATCATCATGCCATCTGCTTATAAGATGAAACTATTTACAAAGTAAGTCACCAATAGGCATGTGGACTGCATTTCTCATCTCTGGACAACCCTGTTCCAATAACCCTGGGCAGTAACAGAGCATCGTGGTTGATAAGGTGTGGCACAGGCTATGGAGTCAAGCAGACCTTAACTCAAGTCCAGGTTTTGCAACTCACTAATGTATCAGTTTGGGCCCCTCTCCTGCAACTCATCTGTGAATCTCTTATGAGAACTGAAAGCAATATAAGGCACCTAAGCAAAGGACCTGGCACAGTGAAAGTGGACCACACAGATTTGCAATTACTGTTGTACAGTTAAAAGTCAGTTTGTTGCTGGGAAGACAATATGATGGTTCCTAAAAAGAAAAAAAAATTAAACATAGAATTACCATATGATCCAGAAATTCGCTCCTAAACATATACCCAAAAGAATTGAAGGCAGAGAGTCAAATAGATACTGGGACATCCGTGTTTATAGCAGTGTTATTCACAATAGCCCAAAGCTGAAATCAACCCAAATGTCTATTGACAATGAACAAATAAACAAAATACGGCTTATACATACAATGGAATTTCATTCAGCCTTAAAAAGGAATAAAATTCTGACACATGCTACACCATGAATGAACCTTGATGACACTATGCTAAGTTAAATAAGCCAGAGGCAAAAGAACAAATACTGTATGATTCTACCTACATGAGGTGCCTAGAGTAGTCAAATTCATAGAGACATGAAGTAGAATGTTGGTTATCAGGGGCTGAGGGGGTGGGGAATAGGGAGTTAGTGCTTAATGGGTAGAGGTGCCGTTTGAGCTGATAAGTCTGGAGATGCATGGTGGTGCTGATTGCACATTGCGAATATATTTAATGCCACTGAACTATATATAAAACCGGTTAAAATGATACATTTGATGTTGTATATATTTCTCACAATAAAACTATTTTTTTCCTTAAAAGTCACTTTGTTAGTCATTTGTAGTCAAAAAAGCCTATTCTTCCAACCTACAGAGGTCCTCACATATCCCATACTTGTCATGATGATGATGCTGCTGCTGATGATGATGTTATGGATTCTTAGTTCCTTTTAATTTCTGTTTGGTAGAACTGTGGAAATATAAAGTTGGGGCAGGGGGGAGGAAGTGTATTAGTCTGTGTGATATTGTGGAATGCATATTTGGTCTTCATTCCCATTTCCTGGCATACAACTCCTAAAAGCCTTGGGATCTCCAAAGTGCTGCCTTTTGTGTATCTTTGGTCTGATAGGTTCAGGATGGGGCTGGTCAACTGAAAGACCAAGGCAGGATCAGAGGGTTGGGACTTTCAGCCCCACCCACCACCCAACCTCTAGAGAGGGGAGAGGGTCTGAAGGTCAAGTTGATCACCAGTGGCCAGTGATATAATGAATCATGCCTGTGTAATGAAGCTCTCATAAAAATCTAAGAGGACAGGGTTGGGAAGGCTTCTGGAGAGCTGAACAGTTGGAGGCTGACAGGAAGGTAAAGAAGAATTCATGCACGTGCTGGGGAAGTGGTGTACCCCAATTCCACCAGACAGAAGCTCCAGCACTTGGGAAGCTTCCATACCTTGCCCCATGTATCTCTTCCTCTGGCTGTTCATTTCTGTCTTTTTTTGTTTTTGTTTTTGTTTTGAGACAGAGTCTCGCTCTGTTGCCCAGGCTGGAGTACAATGGTGTGATCTCGGCTCACTGCCACCTCTGCCTCCTGGGTTCAAGCGATTCTCCTGCCTCAGCCTCCCGAATAGCTGGGATTACAGTCGCATGCCACCACACCCGGCTGTTTTTTTTTTTTTTTTTTTTTTTTTTTTTTGTATTTTAGTAGAGACGGGGTTTCACTGTGTTGCCCAGGCTGGTATCAAACTCCTGAGCTCAGACAATCCACCTGCCTCGGCCTCCCAAAGTGCTAGTATTACAGGCGTGAGCCACCGCCCCCAGCCCCATTCGTGTCCTTTAAAATATCCTTCATAATAAACCTGTAAATGTGTTAACCTGAGTTCTATGAGCCGCCCTGGTAAATTAACCCAAAGAAGGGCTTGTGGGAACCTCGGTGAAGCCAGTCAGTCAGAAGTTCCAGAGGCCCAGACTTGTGACTGGGTGAGAGGAGGAAAGTGGTCCTGTGAGACTGTACCCTCATCTTGTGGGATCTAATGCTATCTTCAGGAAGATGGTGTTGGAGCTGAATTGGAGAACACCCAGCTGGTGTCTGCTGCTTGGTGTTAGGGGAAAATCCCCCACACCTTTGATCATAAAGGTCATCTTCTGTGTTGATGATCTTTGTGGTGGTGAAGCAGTGTCATTGTCTGGAGTAAATACCCGAGGTTCATTGTCTCACGCCAAGGGAATTGAGGATGCCTACACACACAAGAAGTGAGTTTAGGAGCAGAGGTTTAATAGGCAACAGAGAGGGAAAGGAGAACAGCTCTCTCTCTTGCCACAGAGAGGGGCACCTGAATGAGACTTCTGGCCTGCAGCAGAGTGCACTGGAGTTTAGTCAGGCTCGAGGAAGTGGTGTCTGATTTACACAGGGCCCAAAGATTGGTTGGACGAGGTGTGACCTTTATAACCCAAAGGGCAGCTGGCTGCCCCACCCTCATCCTCTTATTAGGCAAGTTGGCTTTCCACTTGATTGGCGCCATGTTGTCTGCTCCCTACTTTACACATAGTTGGAAAGGAAAAGGGAAGATGGAGCCGCCATTTTGAACATGCCTAGTCCCAGGTAGCCTTATCCTATTGGCACAACTGCCAGCATTCAGCCGTGCAAGCTTGCAGCTTGCTTGTCTCTGTCTGCGGCTCGATTTTACGGGCTGCTCTTTGTTAGAAAAGAAAATGATTTGGGTAACGCTTTTCATTAAAAGGAAAACGTAACCAAGGACTTCCTTACCTTCACTATCTGCCTAAATAATTTCTTTTTAACTCCTATGTCAGTGGTGTGAGAGCAGAGGAAACACACAGTTAGAAAGAGCTTTCCTGAAACAGTCAGCTTAGGCTTCCATAACCAAATACCACAGACAGAATGGACTTAAACAACAGGAATTTATTTTCTCACAGTTTTGGAGGCTGGTTGTCCAAGATCAAGCTGGCAGCAGAGGTGGTTTCCTTTGATTGCCACAGGGAAGTATCTATTCCAAGTCTCTTTCCTTAGCCTGCAGATGGCCACACTGTTGCTGTCTTTTACAACATGATCATTTCTTCATGCACACACATCTGGTGTCTCTCCATGTGTCCCACTGTCCTCTTCTTATAACGACACCAATTCAGATTGGATTAAGAAACACCCTAATGGCCTTAATTTAATAATTTTTGCCCGGAATTGAACTTTTTATTTGTACAATTCAGATTTTATGATAACAGCATAGAGATGCCCAGGCACATAGATATATTATAAATAAAATATGTATATGTAAAATGAACCAGCCCTTTCTTCTTCCTGCCCCACCTCTTCGTGTCTATCCCCAACCCCAATCCAAAACAAGTTGGGCTCCTGGTTGTAGTTCCCTGAGTGCTAAAATAAAATTTCCTGTCTCCAAATACAGTCATATTTTGACATACTAGGAGTTAGGACTTCAACCTCCTGTAGGAATTTTGGGAGAAACCTGCTTTAGATCATAACAAGGGGTGGAGGGTAAGAAGAACATGTATTTTGTATAACTTGTATTTAAAAAATAAATTTGGGCCAGGTGCATTGGCTCATGCCTGTAATCCCAGCACTTTGGGAGGCCGAGGTGGGCAGATCACTGAGGCCAGGAGTTCGAGATAAGACTCGCCAACATGGTGAAACCCTATCTCTACTAAAAATACAAAATTTATCTGGGCATGGTGGTGCATGCCTGTAATCCCAGCTACTCGGGAGGCTGAGGCAGGAGAATCGCTTGAACCTGAGAGGTGGAGGTTACAGTGAGCTGAAATCGCACCACTGCATTCCAGCCTGGATGACAGAGCAAGACTTCATCTCAAAAATAAATAAAAAATCAGTTCAGTTTTTTACAGTTACTTTTATTTTTCGACAAGAATTACTGAGAGTCTACTGTATCCCAGGCATTTTTCTAGGTTCTAGAGCCACAGTGATGAACAAGGCAATTATTTAGTAAAAGAGAAACATATAATCTACCAATGAATAAAAATATATAATTCTATGTAGTGATACGTGGTATGAAAACAATTAACAAAGGGCCATGGTGCTCGTGGTAGAATGTGGGGAGAGTGACAGATAATGAAATCTAGGAAGAGCGCTCTGAAAAAGTGATGTTTTAGTAGTCGGAAAAGAAATGAGGTGGCAGATTTGCCCGTATCTAAAAGAAGATTACAGAGTCAGAGAACAGCAACAGGGAAGTCTCCGAGGAAGGATAAGCTTGACACACTCAAGGGATGAAAAGAAAGTGAATGTGAGTGGACCAGTCTGCAAAGAGAAAAATGGTTGGAGATGAGGAGTCAACAGGGGCCAGATCATGTCGAATCTTGAAGGCTATGAGATAGATTTGCAGTTTGTCTTTTATTCTAAATACAATGTAAGGCATTAGGGGGAATTACAGAGGAGAGACATAATCTGATTTAAATTTTTAATAGATGACATAACTAGACTTTTGAACAAGTATAACTGGTAACAAAATCTATCTTTATACGTTATTCTCACTTTATTTTATTTTCATTTTTTATTTTTAGATAAGGTCTCACTCTGTCACCCAGGCTGGAGTGCAGTGGCACAATCAGGGCTCACTGCAGCCTCAACCTCCTGGGCTCAAGTGATTCTCCTGCCTCAGTCTCCCATATAGCTGGGAACATAGGCATGGGCCACCATACTTGGCTAATTATTTTTCCTTTAATTTTCTATAGAGACAAAGTCTCATTTTGTTGCTCAGGCTGATCTTGAACTCCTGGACTCAGGCAATCCTCCTGTCTCAGCCTCCCAAAGTGTTGGTATTACAGATGTGAGCCACTGCTCCAGGCCAATTCCCACCATCTCTTCAAAGCCTAGTCAATGGGAATAGTTTTACCCTCATCCTGGAGGAAAACTGGCAGGCCAAAACTTTCCTGCTCACTGTTTAGTAATAGACAGTTCTATAATTACCTTAAATTGCAAACAGAGTTTCACTTCAGGAAACTCTGGAAGTGAAACTTCAGGAAGGCTGGACACTTCAGGAAGTGTCCAGCCCTGTGTAATAATCCAAATCCCAGTTTTGACTGAGTGTTCATTTCTATTCTGTCTCCCAGTGCTGATGTTCATTTCTATTCTGTCTCCCAGTGCTGACACCATATGGGAAGCTGAACTGGAAAAGAGACAAAATTGACTTATCTCCCCTGACCTGCCACCTTCACATAGCTATGGCAGGTGGATGAGACTTGGTTGGGTGGCTTCAAATTCTTTGGGTCTTAAACAGGGACTTTTTCTCATGAGATACTGTTGTGTTTCCTATATTTCCTATGGTAGAGATATTTACACTTCTATTCCTAGTAATCTTTGGACATTCTTGCCAAGTTCCTGGGCATCTGGAAGTCCATATCTGGGTTCTTTCTGCTGAAGGTTTCTTTTTTTCCCTGGAAACTCTATTGGACAAGAGGCAAAGACCCAAACTCTTTTTCTCTTGGACTCTTGCTCAGAATGAGTGAGGGAGATGCAAGATCCTTGCAGCAAGGTGTTCGGGTTTTCTTTTGAAAAACTACACGTGAGGATTTGTCTCACACTTGCTTTGGTACCTGATGTTAATGTCTCATCAAAACGGAGACAGAGAGTCTATTTCTTACATATGTCATGTGACTCCAGCCGCTGTGTGAAGACTGCTCCATATAGAAACAAGAGTGGAAGGAGAAAGACAGGTGAACAGCATTAGCAGTTTGGGTGAGACACAGTGACTGCTTGGCAGGAGACGGTGATGAATAGAAACATTTGGGATGTCTTGAGGATAGAGCTGTAAAAACATATATCGACTTGTCTATTGAGAATGGTCAGTGAGAAAGAGAAATGAAAGCTGACTTTGAACTTTTTGGCTTAAGTCAGTCAACAGAAAAAATAAATATTTTCTGAGAAGCATGAAACTGCAGAATATAGCATCTAGGGTGTGGAAGAGGGTGTGTGAAAAAAAGATTTATGAATCAATTGTTCTGTGTATTTTAAGTTTTAGAGTTGGGTTTATGAGTTTAGAGTTCAGGGAAGGTTCAGGACTAGAGCTATAAATTTTGAACTCATCAGCAGATAGATGATTTTTAAATCCATAGGATTGAATGAGATTACTTAGGGAAAAAAGTGTATTTAGCAAAGAGGAGAGATTCTATGGCTGAGTCCTTTGGACTCTGATGTTTAGAGCTGGATAAGACACAGTGTAGTGAGGGTCATAGAAGGAGAAGATATGTTCATTGTGTTCAGAGAGATGAATAAAGTTATAAGTGAGTGTGGCATATGGAACCTGCCAAAGTCCAGTAAAGAGAGGCCAGGTGATTCGTTTTTGGATTTGGCAAGGAGTTGTTGGTGATCTTGATAAAAGCGGTTTCACAGCGGTGTAAGAGCAAATGTGATGGGTGTGGCCTAAAGACAGAGAAAACCGAACAGTGTGTGTTGAGTCAATTGCACGTTTTATCATTATTTTCTTTATTTTTATCCATACTCCTGATAAAAAATGTTAAATAAGAAAGGTTAAAAAAAAAAAAAAAAACCAGAACACCAAGAAAAAGAACTGTATGGTCTGTTATCTTCCCTCCTAGGTGGCAAGAAATAAAGTTTCATTATATTATCAATACTTTTTGCCTTCATGATGAAAACAACCAACTGCTAAGAAAGAATTCTGGCAAAATTATTTCAAGTCCTTGCTACAGCAGGACTTCTTTTGTTTTGTGTTTCTTTTAAAAAAAGAATAATTAATAGCTCTGTACATCTATTAGAATGATAAAAATCTGAAGTACTAACAATACCAAATGCTAGTGAGGATTTGGACCAATGGAAGCTCTCATTTGTTTCTAGTGGGAAGGCAAAAATGGTACCACCACTTTGGAAGACAGTTTGGCAGTTTCCTGCAAGACTAAATATACTCTTGTCCTATGAACCAACAACTGCACTCCTTGGTATTAAGGCAAATAAGTTGGAAACTTATATCCATATAAAAACCTATACTCTGATGTTCATAGCAGCTTTATTCATAATTGCCAAAACTTAAAAGCAACTAAGGTGTCTCTCGGTAGGAAGGTGGATAAATAAACTGTGGTACATCGAGACGATGGAATATAATTCAATACTGAAAATAAATGAAGTATCAAGTCATGAAAATACATGGAAAACATTTAAGCACATATTATTAAATGAAAGAATCTAAGGTGAAAGGCTACATACTATATGATTCCAACTAGATAACATTCTGGAAAAGGCAAAACTATACAGACAGTAAAAAGGTCAGTCGTTGCAAGGGGTGAGCAGGCATATCCAGGTAAACAGGTGGAGTGTGGAAGATATTTAGGGCAGTGAGGACTATGCTGGTTTATAATATAATAGTATAATAATGGTGGATACATGTTGTTATACATTTTTCCATATCCAGAGAATGTATGACACAAAGTGAATTATAATGTAAACTGTGGAATTTGGGTGTTAATAATGCATCAGTGTATTAGTACATCTGCTCATCAGTTGTTACAAATGTTCCACTCTGATGGAGGTTATTGATAATAGGGTAGGCTATGCCTACATGGGGGCAAGGGGCAAATGGAGACTCTTTATACTTACCTTCAGTTTTGTTGTGGACCTAAAACTGCTCTAAAAAATGAAGACTATTAAAAATAATCAGTAGTATTTAAATAATTAGTAGTTGGAACAAACACTCAGATTACTGAAATATAAGCATTCATTCTGGGTTTGCTAAATTTTAGGAGTAAATGACTGTATACTATTCCAGCAATTTCATTAAAATGGCTCATTTCTTTTTACTTAAATTAGTGATTTAAGCCTACATTAAACCTTAGTGCAGAAAACCTTTTTCCTTTTTAAACAACTTTCTCAATCATCCCACACTGACACATAATCAGAATTAAGTCACAATTATTTTGAGTTGAAGTGTTTGCAGTTATTATAAATGATAATGATGCAGAATCTTTTGAAATATAGAAAGTAACTTTAAGTCAAAAAACATTAAAAAGAAGACATGATTGTCACTGTAAAATATACCAATCTGGGCAACAATTTACAAAAACTGAAAAGTGAAAATCAATTTTAGAGTGGTGAGATTTCTTTTTTCTTCTCTGTTCCAGAGCAATTTTAATTGATTTTGCTTCCATTGGAAAGTAGTTTTAGTCACTTTCTTGTTAAAAAGGAGTTCATCGTTATGAAAAATTTGGAATATCTGCACGTTTTTATATGATTCTCAGTGCACCAGACACCTATACCTCACGTAGCATACTTGTTCTTCTTGATACCATTTCTTCTGAGATAATCTGTTTACTAATTGATTTTACTTATTTCTACATAACACAGAAGCCATAGCATACATTTTGTGTTCAATGACTCAAGAAATGGCTTAATCGGCCGGGCGCGGTGGCTCATGCCTGTAATCCCAGCACTTTGGGAGGCCGAGAGGGGCGGATCACGAGGTCAGGAGATCGAGAGCATCCTGGCTAACACAGTGAAACCCCGTCTCTACTAAAAAATACAAAAAAATTAGCCGGGCGTAGTGGCGGGTGCCTGTAGTCCCAGTTACTCGGGAGGCTGAGGCAGGAGAATGGCGTGAACCCAGGAGGCGGAGCTTGCAGTGAGCCGAGATCGTGCCACTGCACTCCAGCCTGGGCGACTGAACGAGACTCCGTCTCAAAAAAAAAAAAAGAATGGCTTAATCATTGCATTCACATATTTGGAGTCCATTGCGGTGTTTCTTTTTCTCTGAGTAAAGACAGTGTGTATATACATATATATTTATATGTCTAATATAAAGATTATTATATATATACTGAAATATACTCTATTTTCAGATAGAAAGTGCCATATATATATAGCGAGAGAGAGAGAGAGACAGTGAGAGAGAGAGCCATATATATGTGTGTGTGTGTATATATATATAGAGAGAGAGAAAGAGAGATCAGTATCTATCTATACAGATATCTATATATTTCCAAAGTGCTTTGGGGAAATCCACTCTTAAAGGGTGTCTTTGTTTGTGCTGCTATAACAAAATGCCACATACTGGGTAATTTTTAAACAATTAAAAAGGATTTCTCACAGTTCTATACGCTGGGTGGTCCGAGATCAAGGAACTGGCTTTTGGTCTCTGGTAAGGGCCCTCTTGCTGTGTTTCACAGGAGAGAATGACGAAGAGCAAGAGGGCCAAACCATGTGTGAAGCCTTCCTTATAAAGGCCTTGATCTTATTTATGAGGGCACTTCCGTTATGACCCAATCACCACCCAAAGACCACACTTCTTGAGACATTTACATTACAGATTGAGTTTCAGCATGAATATTGGAGGGGACACCATCATTCAAACCACAGCAAAGGGAGATAGGGATTCTGCAGATGATATCTTCCATCCTTGTTGCGTTATCCAAACTCCTCTAGTACTTATCCATGACTCCTAGAATTATTTGCTTCTGCTCCCTTCATTTTCTTTGCTCCAGCTCTGCAAACACACTTTGCTTCCTTCAAACACATCATATGTTTTTTTCCTAAAAGCCTAAATGCTCTTCCTGCTGCCTGAAAGACTCCCTGGCTAGTCATTGCCTTGGCCAACACATATTTAGTGTTCAATCTCCAGGTAAAAGCCAGCTTCTTAAGTAAGTTTCCTTTCCCAGACCCTATTGTAGTCAATTAATTATCTGTCCTTTTTAATATCCACTTTTAGATTTAAGCTCTGTGCAGGCTGGTTTGTGTATTGTTGCATTCCAAGGGCCTCGCACAATGCCTGTCATATAGTAGGTGTTCAATAATTATTTATTGAACCAATAGTCAGCGCCAAGCACTCAGACATACTGCCTAGAGAGGTCACAGCAAGAAAACTGACAGGCTCACCATTGTTTCCTGTTATCTATGCTCAGGATCTTTGCAGCTGTACTCAATCACACATGCATTGGAAATTAATTTTCTTAGCACTTACTGTTTGAAATCAAGATCTAAACATATACACTACCAAAGTTCTGCTTTTGAAAAGTCGTTTCCCAGGTAGAATTTTCTTCACAAATTGACCATTGCTGAGTCTAATAAAAATAATTTATCTATTTTGGAGTTCAGCTTATAAAAGTTTCTGAAATCCAACAGATTTCAGCCATTTCTCGAATACTACAGATGTCTTGCTTTAAAAAAATTACAACACCATATGTGCCCTGTTCCCCTGAGTATGTTTCAGGGAAGTTTTAGCAGTTAAAGTAGGTTTTTTCTTTCTTTTGAAACCTAGCATGTGGATTTAGTGCTTATTAAAGTGAGAGACTGAGCATGGTGGCTTGATTTAGGATTTGAAAAGGAAGCTACACTAAAAGCTTCCCTTCAGATCTCTGCCAAGAGCCCTTCCCTGAACAATTCTCATGCTGAAAATTGTTGATATATCCCTTGGATACATTGTTGTCCATCTTTTTGCCATGTGGTCACGTAGGCATGTGGAAACTCAGGCCATCATTATTCCTTTCAAGAGGGCTGTGTTCAAATGCTGTGCCAAATAAGAGCCTATTGAAAAGACGGATGTGTTTACTATTTGAATCATTCATTCTCTCTTTCCATGACACAAACCCTCTGAAACTACCAAACGCAAGCCTTTAATTTTTAAAAATCCAAATTGTGTGGCAGAGTACACCCAACTCTTAAAAACATAAGCCCAGTAGCCACAGACATGTCGTTGTACAAACAAACTTATGTGTGAAGTCTGACACTGCCTGGCTGCTCCATGTAACTAAGACAATATCCCCCTGAAAATGACCTCAATTAGTCCCTGTTGAGGAAAACATTACTCTAATTGTTTTTCATGACATCAGCATTTATTAGCTAGAGACGAAACATTTTCCCAAACAGTTTAAAAAATATATTCAGAGAGAATGCTAAAAATAATGATGATATTTGATCTTCTGGTACTGTTGAACAAAAATATCCAAGGACACAATACCAAAACAAGACTCAGGAGAGACCAGGCTCTGCGGCTGCAATGAGGCCCTTGTTCATGGGATGCTTACAGTCCCTGCTTTTGCGTGACTATGAAGGAGGGCTAAAAGGTTTCACCAAGGGCCTAGCACTAGAATTATGGGGTACATCATTCCAAACCAGGGGTTGGCAAACCACGTGCCCACAGGCCAAATGTGGCCCACTGCCAGTGTTTAAAGTTTTATTAGAACACCACCACACTACATTGACAATGTAGGCATTGTCAATGGCTGCTTTTGCACTACAATGGTCGTTGAGTAGAAGAGCGAGACCTCTTGGTCTCGCAAACCCGAAAATATTTGTTCATCTGCCCCTTTACGGAAACAGTTCATTGGCCCCGTTTCTAGATTAAGAATGGCCCGTCTTTCAAACTTTGTTCTCGGGTCATTGAGTTCTAGTCTCCTTGTTACGAGGTAAAAAAGTGGTAGCTCACATGAGGTGGAGTGGAGATGAAGAAGCTCATCCAAATGTATTAAAGAGGAAAGCATGGATATGGAGATGGTGGTAACCACTATGAATGCCGCCAAAAATTGCCTCATGGATTATTTTTGATATATATAGGGATCAACAACGAGGCTAAGATAGTTGGTATATACAGTATGGATCGTGGGTAAAAAGAGACATGGTTAAAAAAAATAGATTAGTGAGTCAAGAACATCTGCTGCCCATCCATCCTTATTTGACTCTCCTTCCTTTATCCTGTACCATGGCTGTTCACCACCCAATCAAGATTCATCTCCATTACCATGGTAACAAGTTAGGGACACTGCTTTTCAAAGTTATTCTAATTCCCTGGTATATGTAATACAGGCATTTTACCTTTTATAACTTCACCACTTAAGGACTGCCTAAGATTTTAATAGCCTAGGATTCCTTCCTATCTTTTTATGCATGTATGTAGGTATTTGCCTAAACAGAGTAGTATATTTACGAGTCAAGTTTTACTATGTTAATATATGTCGGACATTCAACAGCTTTAAAATTAATCTTCTATATCATTTATATTCATAAAATGTAGATGGTTTTGCAGGGAAAATTTTAGATATAGGGACACTAATTTTTGTGTATATAACCCCAAAAGATACTTATCAATGTTTTCAATATTTTTAAATAGGTGGATCAAAGTCTAATTATATGAGACTAATATAAAATGATTAAAGATGGTGAAGAATGAGGCTGCCATTTACTGATCATAGGTAAACTGTTTAGCCTTCCTTGATCTCAGTTCCCCTACTTAACTCAGCGTTGTATACCAGTAACAATTGGCTATTCCCTATATGTAAAATATTTGCTGTACACAAATAAATGAGACAATTGATGTAACATGCTTGGAATAAAGTGAAAGATGTTAACGTACTATTATTAGCTATATTTTATTACAATTGTCAGGTCATTTTCACAACTCTGAAGTCAGCCATATGACAAGAAAAGAACCTCAGGATATTTGCCACGTAATTTTGCGTCAGTCTAAATGGAACATTTCCCACCAAAAGTGAAAATAGCTCAGTCTGGCATTTCTCTGGGTTGGGAAGGAAAAAAACAATCATTTGTCAAAGACACTATTTTATGAGGATTTAACTGGGCACAAAGTGAATTTGTGGCTTGGCCAGGGAAAGAAATATTTGCAAAACATCTCAAAGATGACAGTGATATCCACATTGCCACTGGTAGCAGTTTAAAAATGATAACATTATGCTGCCACATATTTCTGAGAAAATAGTAAATATTTTAGGAATATTGAATAGGACAATTTTCCTATTCAATACATTTCTCCTTCACTGAAAATTCTTGAATCTTTCATAAGCATGTTAACTCTTTCACAGTGCCATGTAGGAAATTCTTTCTCTACAAAATTAAATGGTATTCAATAGCAAAACTCTGATTTTTTTTTCTCCTTCCAGTTTGAGGCTTGAATGAGCCTCTCAAATGCTTCATTCCAATGTCATATCAAGTTTGTCTTTAAAGAGATCTTCCTTGTCGAAAACAGCATACTTAGTAAAGTTCAATAATTAAAATGAAGGTGTATTTTCTTTGACTTATGTCATAAATTATGTGTGTACAAGAAAAAATATAGACTGAAAAAAATATTTGTTGCTATTTCTGCTATTAGTGAGATGTGCACAACTGAGGCCAAAATTGAACAAAACCTTATAATTATTCTAGTCAAGTTCAAATGAAGGTTGCTCAGGGGAGTGCCATCTAAGTGGATCTTAATTTACTGGAACTGATTTCCTCAGTCCTTTTGTTCTCATGATATTTAGTGTGTGGTCCATTCACAGTGATTGGACAATACAATATTTTGAAATAATCCATCACACACATGTGTGCCAAGATGTATTTGAAATGCATAGGACACTTCCTAGAAAAAACAAAAGGTGTTTTGTACAGATGACATCTGACCACATATCAACTTTGATACGCATCCAAGTAGATCCAACAACATTGCCTACTTTCTCCTAAACCTTTGGAGATGAATATTCTTCCTTTTTTAAAGAAGCAGAAATGAAAGTGTTTTCCTTGTCTTAACAATACCTGCTACAACATGGATGGACCTCAAACACATCTGCTAAATGAAAAAAAATAAAAAGGCAGATGCAAAAGACCACATATGACCCAAGTTTATTTATACAAAATATCTGGAATAGGCAGATCTGTAGACACAAAATAGATTAGTGATTGCCTGAAGCTGGGGGTAGGAGCAAAAATTGACCAGAAAGGGTTATGGGGAATCTTTTTTGTGTGGGCAGGGGAACAATGAAAATGTCTTAAAATTGGACTGTTGTGATGGTTGCATAATAGTCTACATTTACTAAAAATAAATTGTACTTTAATAAAGCTGTTTAGGAAAAGGACCTGATATTTACTAAATACTTACCTGAGCCAGGCACTTTATCTATTCAATTTAATACCCCAAACAACCATCTTCAACAGGCTCTTTTATCCCTACAAGGAAATGGAGCTCAGAGGGCCATTTTGCCCATGGTCTCACAGAAAACTGAGAGGCAGAGACAATATTTCAACTTGGATATGCCTGGGTCCAATGTTGTAGTTTGCATTTAAGACTCTGTTCCGTGGCATAGGAAAAAGCAGGTAGTAAATTGGTTTCAGAATTCAGTTTAGTGTATATTGAGTGGCTACTCCATGTTTAGCATTTTGGCACCTTTAGGAGAGAGAAGGTTTAAAAGAAATACATGATGGCTTCTGCCCGTAATGAATTAACACTTTGAAAGAATAGGAAACAATTAAAAAGTCCCACGAAACCAGTAAGTGCTGCTGGAGATCAGAGGATAAAGGTCATTGTCAGTGGCAGGGGTAGTTAGTAAAGAAGTGACATTTGTAAAGGAGATGCCTAATTTGTGGCACAGAAATACAGGCTAAGGGCTGCCCCATGGAGGAACAGAACCAAATCAAAGCCAGGTCAAAGTCAAATCAAAGGTGGCAGCAAAGTGTGCTGGGACAAGTGAAACCAAAAAAGATTTATTAGATAGAATATCTGGTGGTAACTACATTGGAAGGAGGGACTGGAGAAAGACAGATCAAGTAGGAATGTATTACAGAAAAGAGGAAGCAGGGTATTTGACTTCATGAGAACAAACAGTAAAATCATAGGTATTTTTCCAATATAGGAAAGGCAGGCTAAATATTTATTATTTTATATCAATTTATTCAATTTGGTTCTTTTCATACCCTGCAAGAGAGGCACCTAATTGATAGGAAAACAGAGTCTTAGAAATTAATGTAATTTGCCCAGTATCACACACAGCTGAGGCTGAAGACTTTGCCTCTTAACTCCAAATCTAGGGCACTTTATAGCTAGTGTTATAAAATCAAAGGTGTCTAGGAGTCAGGCTGGCATTGTAAATGAGAGAAGCTTATTAGGTAAAGGGGGGAAAAAGTAGTGTAAACATGATGAGAAATGGCAACTGACATTTTACCTTATTCTCCAGGAGTAATAGGGAATAGTGGAGACTCTGGCAAGTGCCTCATTCTAAAGGGAAATTGCTAGCCATTTCCAAAAGGGGAAGCTTTAGATTTTTAATTGTGGAAGCCAAAAAATGTAGGAGTCATTCTTGACTTTTTGCTTTTTCTCTCTAAAGCAAAATCCTGGACGCTCTGTCTTCAAAAATATAATCAAAATGTGATCAATTCCTTACAATGCTTTCACTACCTCCAAGCCATCATCATGTCTTTCACTTAAAATATTGCAATGTCCTCCCAGCTATGCTCCCTAATCTTACTCTTGATTATCAAGAGCTTCTGAGACTTCATTTTGCAGCTTTATCAAAAGGCACCTTTAAAAAAGTGAAAATGCCAGCCATAGACTAGGAGGAAATATATATTTTTATTTATTTATTTATTTTAATGGAACACTTGATGAATTTGGATGTCATCCTTGCACAGGGGCCATACTAATCTTCTCTGTATTGTTTCTTTTCTTTTTTTTTTTTAATATTTCAATAGGTTTTTAGGGAACAGGTAGTATTTGGTTACATAAATAAGTTTCTTATTGGTGACTTCTGAAATTTTGGTGCACCCATCACCAGAGGAGTGTACAGTGTACCCAATTTGTAGTCTTTTAACCCCACCCTTCCCCCCGAGTCCCCAAAGTCCAATGTATTGTTCTTATGCCTTTGCATCCTCATAGCCTAGCTCCCACATGAGTGAGAACATAGGGTTTGATTTTCCATTCCTGAGTTACTTCACTTAGATTAACGGTCTCCAGTTCCATCCAGGTTGCTGCGAATGCCATTATTTCTTTCCTTTTTATGGCTGAGTAGTATTTTATGGCATATATATATATATATATATATATATATATATATATATACCACATTTTCTTTTTTTGTTATTATACTTCAAGATCTAGGGTACATGTGCACAATGTGCAGGTTTGTTACATAGGCATACATGTGCCATGTTGGTATGCTGCACCCATCAACTCGTCATTTACATTAGGTATTTCTCCTAATGCTATCCCTCCCCCAGTCCCCCACCCCCCGAAAGGCCCTGGTGTGTGATGTTCCCCACCCTGCGTTCATGTGTTCTCATTGTTAAACTCCCACTTATGAGTGAGAACATAATATACCACATTTTCTTTATCTCATTGTTTGATGGGCATTTGGGCTGGTTCCATATTTTTGCAATTGCAAATCGTGCTGCTATAAACATGTGTGTGCAAGTATCTTTTTCGTATAATGACTTTTTTTCCTCTGGGTAGATAGTAGTGGGATTGCTGGATCAAATGTTAGGCTACTTTTAGATCTTTAAGGACTTTCCACACTGTTTTCCATAGTGGTTATACTAGTTTATATTCCCACCAACAGTGTAAAAGTGTTCGCTTTTCATGGTAACAATGCCAACATCTATTATTTTTTAATTTGTTTATTATGGTCATTCTTGCAGAAATGAGGTGGTATCGCATTGTGGTTTTGATTTGCATTTCCCTGATCATTAGTGATGTTGAGCGTTTTTCCATATGCCTGTTGGCCATTCGTATATCTTCTTTTGGGAATTTTCTATTCATGTCTTAGCCCATTTTTTGATGGCGTTGTTTGTTTTGTGTTGCTGGTTTGTTTGAGTTCTTTGTAGCTTTTGGATATTAGTCCTTTGTCTGATGTATAGATTGTGAACATTTTCTCCCTCTCTGTAGGTTGTCTGTCAACTCTGCTGATTATTTCTTTTGTTGTGCAGAAGCTTTTTTAATTAAGTCCCATCCATTTATCTTTTGTTGCATTTGCTTTTGAGTTATTGTTCATGAAGTCTTTGCCTAAGCCAATGTCTAGAAGGGTTTTTCTGATGTCATCTTCTAGAATCTTTGTGGTTTCAGGTCTTAGACTTAAGTCTTGATCCATCTTGAGTTGACTTTTTATAACGTGAGAGATAAGAATCCAGTTTCATTCTTCTACATGTGGCTCACCAATTATCCCAGCACTAGTTGTTGAATTGAGTGTCCATTCCCTGTTTCGTTTTCATTTGCTTTGTCAAAGATTAGTTACCTGTAAGTATTTGGCTTTATCTCTGGGTTTTCTCTTCTGTTTCATTGGTCTGTGTGCCTATTTTTATACCATACTCTTTTTGGTAACTATGGTCTTATAGTATAGTATGAAGTTGGGTAATGCGATGCCTCCAGATTTGTTCTTTTTCCTTAGTCTTGGCTATGTGGGCTCTTTTTGGTTCCATATGAATATTAGGATTGTTTTTTCTAGTTCTGTGAAGAATGATGGCAGTATTTTGACAGGAATTGCATTGAGTTTGTAGATTGCTTTTGGCAGTATGGTCATTTTTACAATATTGATTCTACCTATCCATGAGCATGGGATGTGTTTCCATTTGTTTGTGTCACCTATGATTTCTTTCAGGTGTGTTTTGTAGTTTTCCTTATAGAGGTCTTTCATGTCCTTGGTTAGGTATATTCCCAAGTATTTTATTTTATTTTATTTTATTTTATTTTATTTACAGATATTGTGAAAGGGGTTGAGTTCTTAATTTGATTCTCAGCTTGGTCGCTGTTGGTGTGTAGCAGAGCTACTTATTTGTGTGCATTAATTTTGTATCTGGAAACTTTGCTGAATTCATTTGCCAGCTCTAGGAGCTTTATGGATAAGTCTTTAGGATTTTCTAGGTATTCAATCATATCAGCAATCAGAGACAGTTTGACTTCCTCTTTACCAATTTGGATGCCCTTTTATTTCTTCCTCTTGTCTGATTGCGCTGGTTAGGACTTCCAGTACTATGTTGAATAGAAGTGGTGAAATGGGCTTCCTTGTCTCGTTCCAGTTCTCAGGGCGTATGCTTTCAACTTTTCCCCATTCAGTATAATATGTTGGCTGTGGGTTTGTCATGGATGGCTTTTATTACCTTAATAAATGCTGATTTTGCCGAGAGTTTTAATCATAAAGGGATGTTGGATTTTGTCAAATGCTTTTTCTGCATCTATTGAGATGATCATGTGATTTTTTTTGTTTTTAATTCTGTTTATGTGCTCTGTCACATTTATTGACTTTATCCCTGCATCCCTGATATGAAACCCACTTGATCATAGTGGATTATCTTTTTGATATGCTATTGGGTTTGGTTTGCTAGTATTTTGTTGAGGATTTTTGCATCTGTGTTCATCAGGGATATTGGTCTGTCATTTTCTTTTTTGTTGTTGTTGTCATGTCCTTCCCTGGTTGTGATATTAGGCTGATACTGGCTTCATAGAATGATTTAGGGGGGAATTCCCTCTTTCTCCATCTTTTGGAATAGTGTCAGTAGGATTGGTACCAATTCGTCTTTGAATGTCTGATATAATTCAGCTGCGAATCCATCTGGTCCTGGACTTTTTTTCATTGGCAATTTTTTTTTTTTTGAGATGGAATTTTGCTTTTGTTGCACAGGCTGGAGTGCAATGATGTCATCTCAGCTCACTGCAACCTCCACCTCCCGGGTTCAAGTGATTCTGCTGCTTCAGTCTCCCAGGTAGCTAGGATTACAGGTGTCTGCCACCACCCCCAGCTAATTTTTTGTATTTTTAGTAGAGACAAGGTTTCACCATGTTGGTTGGGCTGGTCTCGAACTCCTGACCTCAGGTGATCCACCTGCTTAGCCTCCCGAAGTGCTGGGATTACAGCTGTGAGCCACCATGCCTGGCCTTGTTGGCAATTTCTAAATTACCATTTCAATCTCACTGCTTGTTATTGGTCTGTTCAGAGATTCTATATCTTCCTGGTTTAATCTAGGAGGGTTGCATATTTCCAGGAATTTATCCATCTCCTCTAGGTTTTCTAGTTTATGCATGTAAAGGTGTTCATAGTAGCCTTGAATAATCTTTTGTATTTCTGTGGTATCTCTTATAATATCTCCCATTTCGTTTGAGAGAGCTTATTTGGATCTTTCCTCTTGGTTAATCTCGCTAATGATCTATCAATTTTATTTATCTTTTCAAAGAACCAGCTTTTTGTTTCATTTATCTTTTGTGGTTTTTTGTTTGTTTGTTTGTTTCAATTTCATTTAGTTCTGGTCTAATCTTTGTTATTTCTTTTCTTCTGCTGAGTTTGGGTTTGGATTTTTCTTATTTCTTCAGTTCCATGAGGTGTGACCTTAGATTGTGTATTTGTGCTCTTTCAGACTTTTTGATGTAGGCATTTAATGCTATGAACTTTCATCTTAGCACTGCTTTTGCTGTATCCCAGAGGTTTTGATAGATTGTGTCACTATTATTGTTCATTTCAAAGAATTTTTAAATTTCCATCTTGCCTTCATTGTTGACCCAATGATCATTCAGGAGCAGGTTATTTAATTTCCATGTATTTGCATGGTTTTGAGGGTTCCTTTTGGAGTTGATTTCTAATTTTATTCCACTGTAGCCTGAGAGAGTACTTGATATAATTTTGATTTTCTTAAATTTACTGCGACTTGTTTTGTGGTCTATCGTATGGTCTATTTTGGAGACTATTCCATGTGCTGGTGTAATAGAATGTACATTCTGCAGTTGTTGGGTAGAATGTTCTGTAAATGTCTGTTAAGTCCATTTGTTGTAGGGGACAGTTGAAGTCCATTGTTTCTTTATTGACTTTCTGTTTTGATGACCTGTCCAGTGACATCACTGGAGTACTAAAGTCCCCCACTAATATTGCGTTGCCGTCTATCTCATTTCCTAGGTTTAGTAGTAATTTTTTATAAATTTGGGAACTCCAGTGTTAGGTGAATATACATTTAGAATTGTGATATTTACTGTCGGACTAGTCTTTTTATCATTATACAATGTCCCTCTTTGTCTTTTTAAATTGCTGTTGCTTTACAGTTTGTTTTGTCTGATATAAGAATAGCTACTCCTGTTCACTTTTGGTGTCTGTTCACATGGAATATGTTTTTCCACCCCTTTACCTTAAGTTTATGTGAGTCCTTATATGTTAGGTGAGTGTCCTGAAGATAGCAGAAACTTGGTGAATTTTTATCCAACCAATGAATTTCTCAGGTGCTCTTTAAACTTCTTATATTTGGATGTCTAGATTTCTGGCAAGGCCAAGGAAGTTTTCCTCAATTATTCCCTCAAATATGTTTTCCAAATATGTTTGCTGCCATTCTGTATCTTCTAAGTGGAACATTTAGGCCACTTACATTCAATGTTAGTATTGAGGTGCAAAGAGTACTATTCTATTCATTGTGTTATTTGTTGCCTGAATACCCTTTTTTTAAATTGTGTTTTTGTTATATAGGTCCCGTGAGATTTATGCTTTAAGGTTCTATTTTTTTATTGTGTTATTGTTATATAGGTCCTGTGAGATTTATGCTTTAAGGTTCTATTTTATTGTATGTTGAGGATTTGTTTCAAGATTTAGAGCTCCTTTTATTAGTTCTTGCAGTGCTTGTTGGTAGCAGCAAATTCTCTCAGCATTTATATGTCTGAAAAAGACTATCCTTCCTTCATTTATGAAGCTTAGTGTTGCTGGATACAAAATTCTTGGCTGATCATTGTTTTGCTTAAAGAGGCTAAAAATAGGACCCCAATCTCTTCTAGCTTGTAGGGTTTCTGCTGAGAAATCTACTGTTAATATGACAGATTTTCCTTGATAGGTTACCTTATGCTTTTGCCTCACAGCTGTTAAGATTCTTTCCCTCATCTTGACTTTAGATAATCTGATGACTATATGCCTAGGTAATGATCTTTTTGCAATGAATTTCTCAGGTGTTCTTTGAGCTTCTTCTATTTGGATGTCTAGCTCTCCAGTAAGGCTGGAGAAATTTTTCTCATTTATTCCCTCAAACAGGTTTTCCAAACTTTTAGATTTCTCCGCTTCTTCAGGAACACCAGTCCCAAACTTCTTGAAGGTTTTGTTCATTTTTTAGAATTCTTTTTTCTTTGTCTTTGGCAAATTGGGTTAATTGGAAAGCCTTGTCTTTGAGCGCTGAGGTTCTTTCTTCTACTTGTTCGATTCTATTGCTGAGACTTTCCAGTGCATTTTACATTTCCCTAAGTATGTCCTTGATTTCCAGACGTTGTGGTTGTTTTTTATTTATACTACCTATTTCACTGAAGCATTTTCCTTTCATATTCTGTATCATGTTTTTGATTTCTTTAAGTTGCACTTCATCTTTCTCTAGTGCCTCCTTGATTAGCTTACTAATCGACTTTCTGAATTCTTTTTCTGGCAATCCAGAGATTTCTTCTTGGTTTGGATGCATTGCTGGTGAGCTGGTATGATCTTTTGGGAGTGTTGAAGAACCTTGTTTTGTCATATTGCCAGAATTGTTTTTCTGGTTCCTTCTCATTTGGGTAGACTATGTTAGAGGGAAGATCTGGGATTCAAGGGCTGCTGTTCAGATTCTTTTGTCCTATGGGGTGCTCCTTTGATGTGGTGTTCTCCCCCTTCCCCCAGGAATGGGGTTTCTTGAGAGCCGGACTGTAGTAATTGTTTTTGCTCTTCTGGGTCTTACCACCCACTGGAGCTACCAGACTCCGTGCTGGTACTGGGGAGTGTCTGCAAAGAGTCTTGTTATGTGATCCATCTTCAGGTCTTTCAGCCATGGATACCAGCACCTCCTCTGGTGGAGGTAGGAGGGGAGTGAAGTGGACTGTGTGAGGGTCCTTGGTTGTGTTTCTGTTCAGTGTGCTGGTTTTGTGTTGGTTGGTCTCCAACCAGGAGGTGGCGCTTTCAAGAATGCATCAGCCGTGGTCCTATAGGTAGGATGTAAACTTGCCCTATGGCCACCTGGTTAAGTATTCAGGTTTCTCAGGTGGTAGGCAGGGCCATAGAACTCTTTTGTCTTCAGCTATGGGGTAGAGGTGGGGGGAGGCGGATAAAGGTGGAAGAGAAAGACCACCAGATAGGGGCAGACATAAGCATGGCTGAGCTCAGCCTCTCCTTGGGCAGAGCTTGCTGTGGCTGCTGTGGGGGATGGGTTCTCAGTCCAATGGAGTTGTATTCCCAGGGGGATTATGGCTGCCTCTGCTGAGTCATACAGGTTTCCAGGGAAGTGTGGAAAAGCTAGCAGTCACAGGCCTCACCCCACTCCCTTGGTCCTAAAGGCTGGTCTCACTCCCACCGTGCCCCTGCAACAGCACCAAGTCTGTTTCCAGGCAGCCAGTGACCAGGGCTGAGAACTTGCCCAGACCATGAGCCTCCCCTTCGTGAAAGCAGGCAGACTCAGTTTTTCGGTATCTCAGGGAGCCTGCAGCGATGATCCAGTTCTTCAAAGGTTTTGTGGATTCTCTTGGCTTCCCTCATTTTTCCTCTAGTAGTTCTTGGAGCAAAAGTTCACGGTGTGAGTCTCCACACATTGCTCTGTCTGTCTGAGCAGGAGCTGCAAGCTAGTTCTGCCTCCTATCCACCATCATCTTCTCTGTATCATTTCAATTTTAGTATATGTGCTGCTGAAGCAAGCAGGAGGAAATATTTTTAGTATATGAATTCAAAGAAGAAATAGCCAGAATTTATAGATTTAAAAAGCCCCATTACTCAATAATAATAAAAGATAAACAACCCAATTAAAAATATAGACTGGGCGTGGTGGCTTATGCCTGTAATCCCAGCACTTCGGGAGGCTGAGGCGGGTAGATCGCTTGAAGTCAGGAGTTTGAGACCAGCATGGCCAACATGGAGAAACCCATCTCTACTAAAAATACAAAAATTAGTCTGGCGTGGTGGCATGTGCCTGTAGTCACAGCTACTCGGGAGGCTGAGGCAGGAGAATCGCTTGAATCTGGGAGGCAGAGGTTGCTGTGAGCCAAGATTGTGCCGCTGCGCTCCAGCCTGGGTGACAGAGTGAGACCCTGTCTCAAAAAAAAAAAAAAATACATATATATATATATATATATATATATATATATATATATATATACATATACACACACACACACACACATATGTATGTACAGGCAAAAGTTTGAACAAGTCCTTCACACTGAAGATATCCAATAGCCCAAAGCATATCAAAAGCATTATTAAGAAAATGCAAATTAAAACCACACTGAGCTACCACTGCACACCCATCAGCATGATCATTTATAACTCAGGAAAAATATTTGCATATGTATTTTCTATTGTATAAAAAAAGACATTATGCAACTGAAAACAATACATTTATTATCTCATAATTTCTGTGTGGCAGGAGTTTGAACATAGTTTAGCTGGATTTTCTGCTTTAGGATCTCTTACAATGCTGTAGTCAATATTTCAGCCAGGGCTGGAATGCTCTCTGAAAGCTGATGTGGAAGGGACCTGCCTTTAAGCTCACATGGTATTTGGCAGAATCGAGTTTCTCTAGGCATGCTGGGTTATGAGCTTCAGTCACCGTTAATTCCTTGCATGTTGACCTCTCCAGCACAGCAGCTTGCTTCATGAAGTATGCAGGCCAACAAGAAAATAGAGCCTATTAGCAAGATGTAAGTTACAACTTTATGTCACCTAAACATGGTGGTAGTGACATCTCATCCCTTTTTCCCACCATTGATTAGAAACGAGTCATAGTCTCACTGGCACTTAAGGGAAGGGGATAGATTGCCCAAGGGTATGAGTACAAGAGGGCGAGGATTGTTACGAATCATCTTAGGAACTGCCTACGGCCACAAGGTTTGACAAAGGACTCATATCTAGAATAGTAATGAACTTCTGCACTCAATACAGCTCAATTAAAATATAGAAAAAAGACTGGGAAGGGATTTCTCAAAGAAGATATCTCATAGTCAATAAGCATATGAAGAAATGTTCTACATCATTAGTCATTAAGGAAATTCAAATGAAAACCACAAAGAGGTTCTACTACACACCCACCAGAATGGCTAAATTTAAGCGGCTGACAATACCGACTATTGTCAAAGAAGTAGAGTGACTAGATCTCTCCTTCTAGCTCGTGGGAAAGTAAAATGGCCCAACCACATTGGAAAACACTTTGGCAATTTCTAATAAAGTTAAACACACACCTACCCTTGACCCAACAGTTCCATTCATAGGTATTTCTTCTTTAAGAGAAATGAATACTGTACTTGTGTTCACATACATACACACACACAAACACATACACACACACCTGAGTTATTATAACTACAAACTAGAAAATGCCAAATGTCCATCAATAGGAGAATATAATTTAAAAAATAGTATATTTATATGAAACACTACACAGCAATTTTTAAGAAGAATAGGCTACTGAGAAATACAACAAGAATGAATTTCAAAAACAGTATACTGAGCAAAAGAAGCCAGAAACAAACAAAATTCATACTGAATAATTTCATTTTTATGAAATTCAACAGCAAAATATTTTATATATGGTGATGGAAATCAGAAAAGTTGTTATTTCTAGGAGGGTTTGAGAGAGGGTTTTTGATTCAGAAGGAGCACATGGAAATTTTCTGGGTGTGATGGAAATAAATGTTCTGTATATTCATCTGGGTAGTAGTTGTGCAGATGTATGCATAGGTAAATAGTCACTTAAGATGTGTGCATTTTCCTGTAAGTATATTTTAGCTCAAAGATTAAAACAGATTTGGAAACATACTTTGACGTGCTTTCAAATCACCTGGAGATCTGGTTAAAATGCACATTCTGATGTAGTAGGCCTGGAATAGGCTTGAGATTTTGCATTATTAACCAGATGCCAGGTGATATTGATGCTTCTGGTAATGCTGGCTCTGTTCGTAGCTAGGTCCTGAAATCTATCTGTCACTGTTTCAGCTACAATTGCTGCATAGCAAACAACCCATACTCAGTGGTGTAAAATAACTATTGTATTATGCTAAAGATTTTGTGGGTCAGCGAATTGAACAGGGCACAACAGGGATGATCTGTCTTTTCTTTGAGGTGCCACAGTATCTAAAGCCTCAGCTGGGAAGAGTCAAATCCTGGTACCTGAAAGCTGGGGCTGGGATCACTTAAATGTGTCTTCCTCACTCACCTGGCTGGCACCTGGGCTGGGAGCATGTGAGTGTTAGAACAACTCCCTGGGGTGACCACAGGAGGCCTTTCTATGGCCTTAGCTCTCTCATTTGAAGGCTCGGGAGTCTAAACGTGAATACTCTGAACAAATTTTTAAAGAAAGAAAGAGAGAAAGAGAGAGAGAAAGGGAGGGAGGGAGGGAAGGGAGAAAAGAAAGGGGGAAGGAAGAAAGGAAGGAAAGGAAAGAAGGAAGGGAGGAAGAAAGGAAGGAGGGAGGAAACAGAAAGAAAGAAAGAAGAAGGGAAGGATGAAAGGAAGGAAGAAAAGAGAGAGGAAAGAGAGAGAAAGAGAAGAAAGGAGGAAAGGAGAGAAAGAAGAAAGGAAGGAAGAAAGGAAAGAGAAGAAAGAGAAAGGAAAGGAGGTAAGGATGGAAACAAGGAAGGAAGAAAAAGAGGAGAGAGAAAGAGAAGGAAGAAGAGAAGGAAGGAAAGAGGAAGAGAAAAAGAGGAGAAATGGAAGGAAGGAAGAAAGGGAGGAAGGGAGGGAAGGAGGGGAAAGAAAGAAAGAGAGAGAAAGAAAGAAAGAAAGGAAGAAAGAAAGAGAGAGAGAGAAAGAAAGAAAGGAAGGAAGAAAGAAAGAAAGAAAGAGAAAGTAAGTTGCATTGCCTTTTCTGACCTAGCCTTGACAATCACTGAAAGTCACAAACTTCCCCAGATTTGAGTGAGAGGACACAGATTTTACTTTCCAGTGAGAGACATGTCAGGGACACATTGCAGAAAAATATGTGGGATAAGAAACATTTTTATGGCCCTACTTGGAAAATACAACTTTCCACCTCCACAGAGCCTTAACATAAGTCTGATCATGTTATGTATCTTCTCAAAATCCTGGACTGCCTTCCTATTTCACTCAATAAATCCCCAAACCTTTCCCAAAGCCTGTAAAGATCCAAATGATTGGGCTGGGGCTGCTTCTGTGTCTTTTGCCTGTTCTGATGTCACTTATCAGAGTATTTCCTAAGCACTCAATGTAAAATAGATGCTCTGTCCCTCTGTCATCAGTGCCTCATGTGTTTTTCCTTTTGTTATTTGTGTGTTTATTTTTTCCCCAGTTAGAAAGTAAGCTTCAGGAGAATGGCAAACTTTTTTTCTTGCTTGTTGTTGTATTAGAATGAAGAACCATGCCTAGAATACAATAAGTACTCAATACATTTGTCCAGTGAATGAATGAATGGTGCTATTTATTGGTATAGCAATCCTAGTTACTAATCTGTTGACTTCTACTTATGATAAATGAGATTAAGATTTCTGTTTCTCCATCCTCCCAACAGACACTTTTCTTCTCCCATTCTCTTAATGTATTCATATAACAACTTATTATTGTTGTTATTACATGCTTCTGATGTGTTATTTTCAACTTGAGGTTAGATCAGAATTGACTGCAAGGCTTGTTAAAATTCAAAACTGCTAGGCTCTACCCAGAGAGTTTTTGATTGGGTAGTTCCGGGGTGAGCCTGAGAATTTTCATTTTAATGAGTTCCCAGGTGATGATGCTGATGAAAACTATTTGTAATGTTAAAATAATATAAACACTCAAACCTAATGTAAATACTGACATTGACACTGAGCTTTTGGCATTTTTGTTTTTGTTGTTTTTGTTCCCTGATTTTCATATTGATTTGTTTTGTTTTGGCCTCTGAGTTTCATCTTGGAAGCTTTATTCAGAAGCTTGGTGATTCCTGGGTGTACATATATAATTAGGACTGAGGCACTAGATAACATATGGAAAAGTCTGTGTGTTTGGTGTTTTTCTGTATAGTGATTGGGTGTCATCTTGGATTAAGTTCTCCAAAAGCAAGTGCTAAGGGAGAATTCTTATGGAAGTGATCTATTAAGCAAACACCCTTGTGATATTGTTAAGAGTGGGATTAGCATGGCGGACAAGAGGAAGAAGGCAAGGAAGAGTAAGATTCCAGGCAAAATCCCAACTCCAGTCCAAAGCTACAGGGAAACTGTAGGGTAGGGTATATGAGCTAGGCTCTCACACACCCTCTTGAGTCAGTCACTGGTTAAGTGTCATCTGAGGAGAAGGATAACTCTCAGACATCTTTAGTTCTCTCTTTGGCATACAGGACAAAGAGGCTCCAGTAGGAAAAGTGCCCTTCAAATAGAGTCCCAGGTGCGAGCTCTTAGAAGCAAAAGCACACAAAGGCTTGGGGACAGGTTCCCTGATATGATAAAGGGAACTTGAAAGACCTGCAGATGGTGGGGTTGGTAGAGGGACACCAAAAATGTTGGCTGCAGAGGTGCTGGGAGGTTTTCTTTGGGGAGTTCTGTAGGAATTTTGTCTGGGTGACAGTGGGGCTATTGGACAGGGGCACATGTTTTGCAGGTCACAGTGCAGACTTCCCCTTAGTCCTACTGTCGTCTATTGTGTCCAGAGTCGTAGAGTGTAGAGACTCATTGGTTCAATTTTTCCGCCAAATAAATCTCTTATCTCCTGCTGGGCATTGCCTGGGTTTAGTGGCTTTAGTCAGAATTCAGCAGTTCAATAACTCAGTGGTTTTGAGGAGATAATAAGAAAACCTCTCCAACTCCCGAGGGTATTGAGGGGATGAGGAAAAAAAAAAACAACAAAAAAAAACTGGTATTAGTGAGAGCCCTGGCGTAGATCATCTTTGACTCACCCAGCAGGGCAAAAGGCCTGTGTGTTAAGCGAAACAAGCTTAACAAAAACCAAGGCTCGAAAGTGAGGAAATCCTAATCCACTGCTTCATCCAGTTGTGACATGAACCTGGACCTGAACTTTTCCAGCCATAGTCACCCTATTTTTTTTTAACCTGAAAATCTATTTCAGGGCCACAAAAGGTCAACTTAGGTGCCAATCATATTTAGAGATTCTACTGTGGTATATGAAGAATAAATCAGGAACTTAATCAATGATGGTTATATTTTTAGTCTGACCATGTTAAAGATTGAAAACATAACTATTTCCTACACAGGAAGGTTATTACTCAGATTCTTCTATGAGATGTAAAGCTCTGATTGTCTTTGAAGGTTTATTTTCTTAACTTGACATTATTGACTTCTTATATGAAAAAGCCACTTATCCCAATATCTGGAAATTCTACTAGTTGATATTATTATTCCTTAAAATTGTTAACATAATTTGTTCATTTAACAAAAGGATCTAATGGGCTTGAATTTGAACAAAAGATATGTATTAGACAAATTAACATTATTGATATAGCAGTTTGCCATATTGAAAAGTATGAAGATTTGAATCAAAGTTACCAGCTATAAAATTTGGACAATTGTGTACAAAATAGAAATAACAATACCTAGCTTACAATACAGTTGAACAAGACGGTATCTGTAAAGCATGACGTGTATATAGTGCATAGCATGTTAACAAGTTTCAGTTCCCTCCTCTCCATTCGCCTCAAATCTATCAGGAGCGCTAATCTCTAACCATCTCTATGCTCTGACACAAAGTTCCCTGTGAAAAACATTATACAAAGTATTTGACAACAGCTCTGTTAGAATTTGTCTAGCAAGTTTTCTAGCCTGTACCTGAAAGCCTCAATTAAAAAAGGAACAAAGTATTTAATTACCTCATAGTTCTATAAGAAATTAGGTATCATTAAATATTATATAATATTCATAGCTGTTTTTATCCTTTTGTGTAATCCCAGCAATTGGGATAAGTATAGTGCAGTCAATACAACTACAAGAACACTTAACAGGGTTTAAATATTAACTTCGACATTTTAGGAAATAGTTACTAATATAAGATAAATTTTCTTTTAAAAATTAGACCACATTTAATAATGAGGATGTGATCATCCTATTTTGGGGGGAATTTATGAAAAAGAAAATGATGAAATTGGCCTTTTCTGGTTATGTTTGTTGCTTTACATTGTCTTTCCTCTCTGCGACCTCCGTGCTCTACAGCGCTGGGAAAGCTAGGGAGAACCAGGCAGCCGGGAGGACGGAACCAACTTCCCACTCTTAGGAATCACCCTCCCCATCTGTGGGGACTCAAAGTAAAAGAAAAATGAAAACTCCAGGATCAACAGCAAGTCATCACTCAGCAATCCTAAGGGAGTTTTCACAGCATGAGAGGGAAGGAAGGGATAGTAGCCAAAATAGCCAGTGAGTGATGATGAAGAACAAAGGGAGGGTCAAGGGATTACTGACCTCAAATAGAGAGTTGGTTGAATGAAGAAAGGGCACAATTCAGAGGTTAAGATGTCTGACAGTAGAACTGCTAGTTGTCCCATGCATTACTACTTTTTTAAAAATAATATTTTTTCTTGATAACAAAAGTATGAAAGGTTTTATTACAAAATATAAAACAATGCAATAAAAAAATACAGAATGCAACCATCATTGCCACCCCGCATTTTGTATACTTCTTGCCCTTGTATTTTCTATCAGCCAGATAGGAAACAGGAAGACAGGCAGGAAACAGAAGACCTGCTTATGTTAGGAAAAACAAAAATGAAAACATGAGATGGTTTGCTTTCAAAGGAACTCATTGCAAAGGTGTAGCTGAATGTAAGGGATCCAGAAGTGGAAGGGCTGTCAGCCAAAGAGATGAGGGGAAGGTTATAGGAAGCTAGAAAGCATCATATGGAACAGGATGCTTTGTGGGAGCATTACGCCCTCTGACTTTCAGAGACACAGCCAGCATAAGACACCCTCTCATGGGGAGAGAATCAGGATTATAAATACCTTGACCTCTCATTTATCTTTCCCCAGTTTTCTATGGGGCCTGTGCATTGACGGAACTCAACAGTAAGCCAGAGGACATGGAAACCCATTAAGGTTAACCTGTGAGTTTGAGGGAGTCTCCAAGACCACCTTCCATTCAAAAAAAATTGCTAAAAGTACTCACAGACTGCAGTAAAACTGTAATACTCATGGTTATGGTTTATTACACTAAAGGATGCAGGTCAAAATTAGCAAAGGGAAGAGGCACAGAGGCACATAGAACAAAGTTGAGAAGGGGCCTGGGGTAGAGATTCCAGATGTCCTCTCCTAGTGGAGTCATGTAGATGGCATTAACTACTCCTAGCAATGACATGTGACAATATGCAGATAAATTGCCAATGAAGAAAGCTCACTTGAGCGTTGGTGTCCAGAGTTTATATTAAGAATTGGCCACTTTTATATATATGACTGTTGTGTGGTTGAACTCAGTCACTAGTGACTCCAGACGTTGAGCTGTTACTGTGGCCCACCCTATAACACTATTGCCATAAAGACTCTGGCATGTCCCTATCACCCCCAGGTAAACAAAGGCATTCTTATCAGGGAGGACATTCCAAGTGCTTAGAGATGACCTCCCAAGAGTTAGGAGGAAAGGGACAAATCTTTCTTTGCACTGAGTTAAATCTTTACTGCACACACTAATATAATTCAGCAAGACTGGCTGCCTACCTAAGTTATAGCGCCCAGTGCAAATAAAAAATTACAGCACCTATTCAAAAATTATTACAATTTCAGGAAGGTGATAAGAGAGTGTTAAACCAAGAGTGAGAACCTTCTGAGCATGGGGACATGTGAACAACTGCACAGTTTATATGCTCAGGGAACCAGCCTTGCAGGTCAGCATCTGCTGTGGTTTGGATATGTTTTGTTTGACCCTGCCAAGTCTTATGTTGAAATGTTATCCCCAGTGTCAGAGGTGGGGTCCTGGTGGGAGGTGTATGGGTCATGGAAGCAGATCCCTCGTGAATGGCTTGGTGCCAGTCTCATGGGAATGAGTGAGTTTTCACTCTTAGTTCCTGTAAGAACTGGTTGTTTAAAAGAGCCAGGCACCTCCTCCTCTCTCTCACTTCCTCTCTGTCGCCATGTGATCTCTGCACATGCTTGCTCCCATTCACTTCTGCCATGAGTGGAAGCAGCTTGAGGGCCTCCCGAGAAGCACCATGATTCTTGCACAGCCTGCAGAACTGTGAGAAACATACATCTCTTTTCTTTACAAATTACTCAGTTTCAGGTATTCCTTTATAGCAATACAAATAAACTAAGACAAGCTCCATCAGGCAGAGACCAGTGAGGCAGAGAATGGAAAAGTTATATGGGGAGTAGGACAAATGGAAGCTATCTTACTCACCTAGATGATACATACACGTGGTTTTTGAATTTTTTCTACTATGGAACTTTAAATATAAACAAAATAGAACAATAGACTTGGTGTGGTGGCTCATGCCTGTAATCCTAGCACTTTGGGAGGCTGAGGCAGAAGAATCACGAGCCCAGGACTTGGAGGCCATCCTGGGCAACATAGTGAGACCTTGTCTCTACAAAAAATTTAAAAATTGGCAAGGCGTAGTGGTGCACGCCTGTAGTCCCAGCTATTTGGGAGGCTGAGATGGGAGGATTGCATGAGTCTAGGAATTTGACACTGTAGTGAGCTATTATCATGCCACTTCACTCCAGCCTGGGTGACAGAGTAAGACTTTGCCAAAAAAAAAAAAAAAAAAAAAAAAAAAAGACTTAAAAAATAGAACAATAGTATACCCAATGTACCCATCATCTAGTTTATAAATTATCAACTCATCGTCAGTCCTTTATTCATCTGTACTTCTACCTACTTATTCACCTCATATTTCCAAACAAATCCCAGACTCTAGATTGTTTTAATCTATAAATATATGTCTTCCAATGTATCTTGTTAAAAGATAAGAACCATTTTGAAAACATGAGCAATCGCGTTCTGAAACCTAGAAAACAATAAAAAATATATATATTTTAACATAACCATAGATTTTGAGTATTTTTCATGAATTTGAAAACCATCTAAAACCTCATACTTAGGGACTGCATACTATTTCATTTATTTATTTATTTATTTGCATTTAAGCCACTTCCTTTAAAACCATATTTTAAATAATGCTAGGATAACATCTTTTGATTGCATCTAAGGTTACTTCCTTAGCATAAATATCTTGAATGGGAAATTGACTCAAGGGATATTGATACATATTTTAAAATTGCTTTCTGGAGACCTAAAGTTGCTTTTCAATTTAAGAAAAAATTTGGGTTAGTCTCTTTGTAGTTCCATTTATTTGCTAATTGGGCATATCTGCACTCATTTATTTGGTGCTAAGTGCTATAGGGGATTGCACAGCGTGAAGGAATACGCCCCTGCTTTTGAAACATTTATAATATATTAAGTTAGACAAACTACATCCACAAATAGCAGTATAGTTAGCAAATATTCTATGAACCTCCGGGAAGAAATAGGAAAGTATTCTAGGAATTTCGAGAGATTAAAAACCATTCCAGCTAGAATTATTAACATGGTTGTTGCAAGGGTCAAACATACACTATATATCAAAGCAGGTTGAAAAAATGAAAATATATTCACATGTGTTAGATCTATTTGGTAAACAGCTACATGAGTTTAGAATCCTTATTTTTTTTTTAACTTTCATCTGTTCAATTAATAGAAAAAAAGTAAAATACTCAAAGGAGCTTGCTGTTTTGCTTCCAAAGGGCAAGCCAGTGACCCAAACAAAAAACATATATGTTCAAGGAACAATAGAAATGGTATAAGGCTCTGTGATATGGTTTGGCACTGTGTCCCCACCCAAATCTCATCTGGAATTGTAATCCTAATGTGTCAAGGGAGGGACCTTGTCAGAGGTAATTGGATTTTCGGTGGGCGGTTTCTCCTATGCTCTTTTCATGATAGTGAGTTCTCCCAAGATCTGATGGTTTAAAAGTGGCACTTCCCCCTTCACTCTCTCTCTCCTGCCACCACGTAAAACGTGTCTTGTTTCCCTTCACCTTCTGCGATGATTGTAAGTTTCCTGAGGCCTCCCCAGCCATGGAGAACTGTGAGTCAATCAAACCTCTTTTCTTCATAAATTATCCAGTCTCAGGTAGTACCTTTATAGCAGTGTGAGAATGGACTAATACACTATGTCTGTCTGACTGCTCTTATCTACAAATTTAGCCCCAGAAGTTAAGCAAATATAAGCAAGCCAAATAATAATAAGCTATTTTCTGTTACAATGACATTATGTGTGTGTTTAACTGAATAGATCACTTCTCATAGTTGTTTGGGCATTTTTACCACCTTTTCAATTGCATACAAATTGATACTTATGGAAAAATACAGAATAACAGTGATGCAAGGCCAGTGAGTCCCAAAATTGGAGCTTACCCCAGGAGTGTTCTTGGCTTTGCCCAGGAAACAATTCAAGGACAAGCTGGTGGTGTTAGACAGCAGCTTTGATTGAAGCAGCAGAGCACAGCAGCAGTAGAGATCCTGCTCCTTGTGGAGCAGGGCTACCCCATAGACAGGGTGCCCAGAGTAGCAGCTCAGAGGTGGTACTGTAGTCATATTTGTACCCACTTTTAATTATGTGCAAATTAAGTGGCAGATTATCCAGAAATTTTTAAAAAACAGGTGGTAATTTCCGGGTGTTGCCATGGAAAGGGGTGGCAACCCCTAGGTCTTGCCATAGCAATGGTAAACTGTCATGGTGCTGATGGGCATGTCCTAGGGAGAGGTGTTTTCAGAGCCTCTTCCCTGTTTCAGCAAGTCTTCAATCTTGTCTTGAGTCAAGTCTGACCTCATACCTCAACACGTTGAGAATAAATAAAAAATTTCAGCTAGTAAAGTCTTAGGTGCATTTCTGCTCACAGAGAAAAATTCCAATACATATGAAGACTGATGATGTGAAATCTGTCTCATTTCTGATAACATTTACTGAAGAAAATTTGGTTCCCCAGGAATCTTTTAAGAGACCTCAATCACATCCTTTTCCTTCCAAATTCTTAGAAGATAATAATCAAATACTTCCCATAGCTAGAGAAGACAGACACAGCTCACAAGACATCATGGAGTTTAACAGTTGTTAATAAATAGTGATGGAGATAAATACTTAAACTTTTTCTTAAAGAAAATGGACAGATCCCACCAGAAGACTGAATTTATTCATTGGGAGGCAATTTTATATGCCACTGAATGTGGGAAAAGAAACCCTCCAACTGATTCAATCTACCAGTCTCTGGCTTGTTGTTTTATCTTATCCATATTTCTTTTTGTAAACAAAAATTCTCTTGATTTTTATATAGTTTTATTAAGACATAATTCATATGCTATACAATCCATCCATTCAAAGGACACAATTCAATAGTTTTTAGTATATTTGTAGAGCTGTGCAGTCATCCATATTACTTTTATGACTATTATTATCTCCACCTACAGGTTAATGAAGTTACTGTTGCCTCCACGATTTAAAAAAAATGCTTCTTCTAATAAATCAAAAATTCGCAGGCAATATAATACATAGGATTCCCTGGCATCGTGAAAAAGAGGTCACTGGACAGCAGAGCATTTTGACAAAACCATCTTGATATCCTTCAATTTAGCTGTTGTACTGCACTCATTGTTAGAGTAGCATTTTATTTTAAAGGATAACATTGCAACATCAAATTTTAACCTATTAACCTCTTACAATGACCTGGCAAGGGGACCATGGTAACACTACAATAGCAATCTGTTTATAATAATTTTATTTTTCTGAAATAAACATAAAAGGCAGCCAAAGCTCTATAGCCTCAGTTTCTTGAGAAGCCAACAGCTATGATGAAGCTATTTGATACTTCTGTTTGTTTTATTTTATAATGGGACTTTAATAGAATACGTGAGATAATCTTTATTGCCAGACTTTGCAAGAGTTTATATTAGTAGGATTGTGCTTATTTGTTTTTATTTGTTTCTGTTGTTTCATTTTAATCTCACTTGTATGAGAGCTTGTATGCTTGTGAGGCTGTGTGAGTCCATGTGCGTTTTTAAAGAAGTCATTTTAAGAGACTTGGGAAGTGACAGAAGAAGGTTAGTTATGGAATGAGTCCAAACAGCATGGAGGAAAGGTGAAAATAGTTTTGGTCTTTACCAGGAATAACAGCTACAATTTTTAAAAAATGCAACACTTGAATTTTACCTCCTTGAGAAAGGTATTTTAATCCTTAAACAACATTTTCCTCACATACTCACACATATTAAAAAATAGATCTCCATTTAAAAATATTATCTCTGATTTAACCAAAGTACAGCATATTAATGTTTTGTTATAAGTATCCAAATTAGTCCTAGGATAATTCTGAAAAATTTTCAAATGTGTTAATCCTTTATAAATTGCTAATACTTCGATCGTTTGTAAATTAAACAAAGTAAATTCACTTCTTAAACTAAACTTGATAGATCCATTATAAAGTTTCCTGTTGCATGACATATATATACACATGCACATATACATACATAATTTATAATATATGTAATTAAAACTCAATTTTATTTTAAAATTTAAATCAAATTAAAAAATTAAATTTTATATATATATATGTTTCCCAGTTGTTCTGAAAAGGAATCTATGTTTATCTATGAATAACCTAAGTGGAGTTGGAACATGTGCCAGAATCTCTAAATTCAATATGATGCTTGCTAGCATGGTAAACCTGCTTTTATAAAATGGTGCAGGCTTCTTAAATTCCGCACTTTCCTTACTTCTGCAAAATGATGTATTTCTCTTTATTACATATAGCAAATGAGCCCTAAAATGGAAGATGTGACTTCAAAGTTTGGATGTTAAAATGAACATTGCATAAATTGGCCTTATTTGATTTTTTGCCTCCTCCTTGAAACTACTTCCATGCCAGGCCTTTCCTCCTCCCTCATTGTGGTAGATTAATTGCATTAATGGTTGTAATCCACTGACCCTCTTTGTTTCTGTGTCCCTTGCCCAGTTCTGGTCAGGGGCTGGCCAGGTGACTTGCTTTGGTCAATTAGATGATTGGAGTCACATGAAGGCAAGCAGAAGCATGAAATGATGTGTACACATTTCCTCTTGTGTGCTTGCATGTCTTCCATTGACATAAAAAAGTGTTCCAAGCTAGAGGATGAGAGATCTATGTGATAGAGCCAGCTTGCCACAGCTGAGGCCATCACAGGTCGATCAGTAGTCAACTGACCCCCAGAAATTTGAAAGCTCAGTCAAAAATCAGCAGAGGCACCTAGATAACCAAACCAGTCTTGTGAGCAACAAACACTTACTGCTGTATCCTTCTGAGGTTTTGCGGATGCTAGTGATTGAGCAGTATCATGGCACTAGAACAATACTGACATTCTAACCTCAGGCACTGTTTCAAGAAATTGATTGTATTCGCAACTTACACAACTTGGCCAATACTTACCTTTGTGCAATCTGAGACTTTAGAAAAAGGTCTTTACCTCTCAGATCCTTAATTTCCTCATCTATAAAATAAAATAACTGAACCACATCAGCTTCATGGTCACTTGTACATCTGTATTATTTGATTGATTGATTTTAAAGGTGATGATTTATTTTAAATGTGCCTTTAGATGCCTTATGCAAAAGTAAATTTATAGTTCTATATTGCTGGCACATTCCTGAGCTATTTGGGGAATATTTTTTTCTCCACTGAAACTTACTTACACAGAGCTTCCCAACCCCAATGCCCATCATACACTCCCACCACTGTAGACAGAGAGGCAGTATTAGTGGTGGTTAATCTTGCTTCCTCTAGAGCAAAACATCCTTTCTTCATTGCCCAGCTTAGAGCTGTGTAAACTTGGGCAAGTCACATCGGGTCTCACTGTCTTCATCAGGGAGTGCTGGTACTTACCTCAGTGGTTTGCTTTAAAAAAGTGAATGAGCTCATCTGTTTTATTTAATACATGCATTAAGAATTTATAATGGTGCCTGGAACACCTAATATAATTACAATTTAGCTATTGGAATAGCGATCCTTCCAATTCCCATGGCTTAAAGATTTTGCTTAGGAACTAAAATAGTTTCATGTCTGAGTAGGAAGTGTGCATTTTTTCATAGGACCACATTTAGGGGAGCGTGATCAAGATTGGAGGCCTGTGTTCACCAGGAATGATACTGTGAGGCATAAATAAATCACACACTATTATTACCCACTTTGAGAGCTACCATAGCAGATTTTAAAAGAGCCACCGTCAAATCTCTCCTATGTCAGAAGGAGGCAGCCTGACATAGTTCAAAGAACAAAGAAAACCAGAAGTTGAAAGATCTAGGTTTTATTTCTAGTTATACATTTATTTCTGTTTAGTTAGATATTGCTAGTTATACCCCTTACTGATTTGCAATGGACTCTGATGTGCCTTTGCACAAATCACTGAATCTCATCGAATTGCTGTTTTATCATCTATAAAAATGGAAATAAGTAAGCTGTTGTAAAAGTCCCATTGAGATATCGATAATATGCTTCTCCAGTCTGCCAGCCCTGTGCTCCTTAAACCCAGTGGCCTTGGAATTATTAGAGTGCCTTGTAAAAATACAGCTTCCACCAGAGTCGAATTTAGTCTCTCTATATTGTAGAGTCAGTAAACCTGCATTTTTAACAAGATGATTAGAATGTGGTTTATGGAACGCACTTTGAGACTCACTTTGCTGCTTCCCTTCTTTGCTAATTGGAAATATGAATGACATCTGCCATTCTTTGTATGACATGGTAATGTGCCGATCCAAAAGATGATGGCTGAGAAAGAGGCACTTTGAGGGCAGTAAAGCCCTGAAACATTCATTACCCTTCTTGCTAAATAAATGCTAAATGCCCCCAGGCTCCCCGGGTCATGTAGAATGCTGACTCCTTAAGCAATAGGGCTTCAGGATGTCTCTAAGCAGAGTTTGTGAGCTGATGAATGGATTCATATATTGATCTCAGGAGGCTACATGGGAATGAGACTAAAGGTGGCACCAGGCTGTCTAAAAGAACACACTTTTCTATCATTGTTGGACATTTGGGTTGGTTCCAAGTCTTTGCTATTGTGAATAATGCTGCAATAAACATACGTGTGCATGTGTCTTTATAGCAGCATGATTTATAGTCCTTTGGGTATATACCCAGTAATGGGATGGCTGGGTCAAATGGTATTTCTAGTTCTAGATCCCTGAGGAATCGCCACAATGATAAACTGGATTAAGAAAATGTGGCACATATACACCATGGAATACTATGCAGCCATAAAAAATGATGAGTTCATGTCCTTTGTAGGGACATGGATGAAATTGGAAAGCATCATTCTCAGTAAACTATCACAAGAACAAAAAACCAAACACCGCATATTCTCACTCATAGGTGGGAATTGAACAATGAGATCACATGGACACAGGAAAGGGAATATCACACTCTGGGGACTGTTGTGGGGTGGGGGGAGGGGGGAGGGATAGCATTGGGAGATATACCTAATGCTAGATGACGAGTTAGTGGGTGCAGCGCACCAGCATGGCACATGTATACATATGTAACTAACCTGCACAATGTGCACATGTACCCTAAAACTTAAAGTATAATTAAAAAAAATTAAAAAAAAAAAAAGAACACGCTTTTCCTACTGGATTTGTGTTTGACCTCCTCTGCATGGACCATCTCTTTGGATGCTCATAACCACCATGTTATATAAGAACAGCGTCTTGTCGGTGTTAGATTCCAATCTGCTTTCAAATACCTGGGTCCTTTGTATTTCCTTCTGGGAAGGGAAAAATCAAACAAATCAGAAAGCTACTGCTTTGGAGCCTAGGATACTTTCAAAGTTTTCTTGGATGCTACAGGGTTTCACCCTGGCGAACATGGGTCAATTTTAATCGCATAGGTCAGGATGAATCTTGTATGGATAAAATAACACCATACAGATGGTAACGCTAACCCTTCATATAGCTGAGTTGTGGATAACAAAGGCAAGTGAGGCATCTGAGGTTCTTGGATGAGGATGCTTCTTAGCCTCTTAACTTTTTCCCCTTATCTCTGTTTTCTTCTCTTCACCTTTCTTGTTCTCTGTAATTCTCATTTGTGTCGTCAACTTTGTCTTCATGTCGTTACTTTTTCTTTGTTTTCAGCTCTCCTATTCTTTCCTTTCTTCTTACCATTTATTTTGTCTCCGGTAGACCTGCCTCACTCTTCATTCCATCTCTCACGCCCCCTCCGTTCTCCTGCTCACCCCCTCCCCCACCAACTCTCAGAACTCCACACTGATTTTACAACTCCCCTGACAGGTCTGAAGTTTATTGAAGGGTGAGGGAGGGCACGTCCAGCCTCAGGTTGGGGAAGGGGTTGGTGGTTTCCTCCGTGGGGTTCCCCAGTCATCGCAAAAAGGGCAGACAGCTTTCTGGCTCCCGTCTGTCGAATCCCAATCAGAGGTCCGTGTGCTGCTGTGGGTGTCTAAAAGCCACCTTTGGGCATAAAGGATAATAAAAACCTTCAGTCAGACATTCGAGGCAGTGTTCCAAACTGCTGGCTGCCAACTCCCCAGTTAAGAGAGGTCTGGCTCCAAGCCTCTCAAATTAACCCCTTTCCCTCCAGATCTCCACGGAGAGATTTCTGCTATGATGCCTAGCACTGAAGGAGGGAAAAAAGTGAGAAAGTGTGTCGATGAAAGAGAACTTCAGGCAGAATCCAGATTTCAGTGTTGCAACATTTTATTCCGTTTGGACAACGCGTGCTTCACTAAATAAGATGTTGTGAAAGGAGGGTGGTCAATGTGTTTGAAAGAAAAACACTGAAGGGTGGGACGCAGCTTTGCCTGGCTTTTTAACAGCCATGAGCTGCTTGATATTTTTGGCTTGGAATATATATATGAGCGTGTGTGTGTGTGTGTGTGTGTGTGTGTGTGTGTGTGTGTGTGTGGTTGGGTGGGTGGGTGGGTGCGCGCGCGCGTGTGGTTTTTTTTTCTTTTTAAAAATATGAGGTATTAGGCTCTCTCCCAAAGCATATTCAAGTGAGGCTGCCTCTAAGCCACATACCTCCATTAGGGAAACTTGTCTTGCAAAAAAGGACAAATAAATAAACAAAAGGAAGGAAGGAAGCAAAGGGACTCCCTCCCTCTGACACACTCACCTACATCCTGGTGGCATTGTGGCTTATTGTCCTCTATCTACCTCTCTATCTAGAAAGTAGCCTAAGTCGACAGGCTTTGGAATGCTTATGCCTGGGTCAGTGGATTCACTCCACAGAAAAAACCTTAAACATTAAATTTTCAACCTTAAACATGGATAAGGTCGTCCCTATCCATGAGGTCTGCATCCCTGGATTCAAGCAACCACAGATCAAAACTATTTTTAAAAATTGTGCCTCTACCAAACATGCCCAGACATTTTTTTCTTGTCATTATTCCCTAAACAGTACAGTATAACAACTATTTATATAAAATTTACATGGTATTAGGTATTACAAGTAATCCAAAGTTGACTTAAAATATACAGGAGGGTGTGCATAGGTAATATGCAAATATTACACCATTTTGTATCTTGAGTCACCATAGATTTTAGTATCTATAGGAGGTCCTGGAACCAATCCTCCATCCACACCAAGGGATGGCTTTATATGGTTAAAAAAAAACTCAGGTCAAAAGAGATGGAATATGAGACAGAATGACAGACATATAAGTCTCAGAATTCACATAATGTTCCCCTGGTGTTTCCATCTGCCTAATGGCCTGAGTTTGACTCTTAGCTCTGCAAGATGTTGGCCCTATTATTTAATTTCCATTTCTTTACTGGTTAAATGAGGATAACAGTAGAAATGACCTCACAGGGTTGTAATAAAGACTAACTGAGATAAAATGTGAACATTTTCACCAAGTGTCTGACACAAATTAGTTCTCATAAGCAACAGTTATTAAATGCTATTTATTATTACTATTATTATTATCATGATTAGCACAATAACTGTTCTCAGGTCCCTCAGAGGCCTATTGCTAGAGAATGGAAGAACAATTTCACTCCAAGACCATTCCAGGTTGTAGTTTGATAAGCATCCTCCAGCTTAGAAGAAACATATTTAAGTCCAGTCAATTGCCCACCATCCCTACAGTATTTTGACAGATTCTCTCTAGGTACCAATGTTCAATGAAGAAATTAACTCGTCTTTAAAATAGCTTCTGCTTTCAGGGAATCAATATTCAGGGTGATTACAGAGGAAGCTCTCAATGGAGATTTTGGTGCAATTTGAAACAAATTCTTGTCCCAGGTTAAATTTAGACAATCACTACCCATTAATGGTTATATAAGCTAGGTTTTAGCTATCAAAAGAAGCATACCTTTGCACAAAAATATGTTTTAATCACCATTCAAAAGAAGATATAGGACTTAGGAATTTAAGTTGAAGATAAGGTAATTTTAAAAGAGACCTGTCTATTTTGGAATAAATTATTCTCACATAAAATCATCAGAATTACCTTTGTAGCAATATCTTAAAAATTGCCTAAAGAATGAGAATAATAAAGATTTATCTACTTATAAATCCTCAGCTAATTAAAAAATAATTTTAATCTAGTTTATGACCATTGTACTCCTACTCTCAAATGTCCAAGACCTTTAACCTTTAAGCTACAGCTGGATTTCCCTCTTTGATTCTGAGGCAATGTCCTTGGGTCTCTTAACTATGCTTTGCCTTGTCAACGCCATCTGTTTTCATAAGAAAGATGGTGATTTTATAAAAATGTCCACATTTAGGTGTTACCCTTCTTAGTTTTCCATTTGTACGTTAGTAAGAGTTTTCATAGACATAACACCTTATCTTAAACAACGAATTTTAAAAGTGGGAGTGTCTAAAATCAAATTGAGAAAAAAAGTAGACATTTGTTGCAGAGACTTCTAGTTGGTAACACAGAATATTTAACTGGGAATACTGGTGCTTATCTTTAAGACTACATTCACCAGCCTGCTGTGGCACTCAGTAAATCCATATGACTAGGTTTTCATCAATGAAGTGTAGCAGAATTGCTTCCTCCAAATGGAATTGTCTCCTCTTTCTTGATGCCTGGAACGTGAATACAGAGGCAGCATCTCTAGCATACACCTTGGGGTTCAGCAACATGATGACTGTGTTTATATCAATTATCTATTATAGCATAACAAACCTCTCCAAACTTACTAATGTAAAATCACATCTATTTTATAATGTGTGAGGATTCTGGGGGTCAGGAATTCAAATGGAGCACAGTGGGATGACTTGTCTTTGACCTACAAAGCTTTATAATGGCTGGGGTTTAAACTGTGAAGTCTTGAATGACTGAGTACTGGAATTACTTGGAGCGTTCTTTAATTAAATGTCCAGTTCACTAAGATGATTTCGAGGCTGGGCTCAGCGAGGACAGTCAACCAGAACATCTACGCATGGGCTGTCCATGTGCTGGGGCTTCTCACAGTGCTAGAGATTCTGAGAGTAGGTACTTCAAGAAAACCAGGCAAAGCTACACGGTCTTTAATGACCTAACTTCGGAAATCACACAGCATTCTGTCTGCTCCACTCTACTGCTTACCTGCAAATCACTGAGGCCAGCTCAGATTCAAGAGGACAGATGACTTTTCCCCACCTCTTTACTGGAAATGAGCAAAGTTGTATGCAGAGGAGCATGTGGTATGGGAATCACCTATTGTAGTCATCACTGGACACTTCAATGTGCCACCAGGGTGGAACAAAATTATAGGAATGTGGGCCTCTGATAACACTGCAGAGTCACCATAACTGCCCGATACTGCCAACTCACAGTGTGTGTGTGTGTGTGTGTGTGTGTGTATGTGTGTGTGTGTGTATGTGTGTGTGTGGTGTGTGTGTGTGTGTGTGTATGTGTGTGTGTGGTGTGTGTGTGTGTGTGTGTGTAACATAGTGAGAGAGACTTTTATCCTATTTAAACTGTTGTTATTTTTATTTTATATAATATGTAGGCAAACCAAATGCTAACTAATAACAGTGGTCAGCGACCTCAGATTTTACCACATCAATAATCCATTCATGTACAGCATCGGCTCAAACATCAACTACCAAGGAAATTAATATAAATTAGCAGGCAAAATTCAACACCAAATCCATCGCAGTCATTAGACTAATAGCCTTTGCTTTTGCTCCACTGATTCCATTTTTTAAAAAATTTCAGATATTTATCTTAGTGGAGAGCAGTAACTTCTTTGCTGAAACGGCTTGGTGGTATTTCCCATCCAGGGGTGTTGCTGATGGTGTACCAGCACGTTCTGATCCCATTTTTGGAGCTGGAACAATCTAAACTTGTATGAAGAAAGTCTTCATGGGTTTTTGTTGGCATCGGAGAAGTCTAATTACACACACCCAAATACACAAGAGAGAAATGGAAGGCTTTTCCCCATTGACTTGGAAAAGTTGGTGGTTTTGACCTGCAGTGCTTGAATGAGAGATCCAGGCTAATTATGGGATTTTATGTTTAAACAGTTATTTTTCTACAGAACACTCATAGCACATTTGTAAGTTTAATTTTCTTTTGGATCTGTGCTTTTCATGGACTGTCTGCACAGAATTTTTTCAATTTAAGAAGGCACATCAAAAAAGAAAAAGAAAAAAAAGAAGGCACATCAGATTTTATTCATCAAGAATGGCCTTATGAATGATATGTTTGTATTCTTAGGTAAAATAAAAAGATTGTTCTGGAATTATTTTTAAAGTTATTTTGTAGTTGATTATATCTGTTTTATTCTGTGCCCCTAAAGATAACCAACTTCTTTGTTTGAATCACTTCTACTATTACACCTTCCTTTATAGGTTTCATGAGGTCTGGCACCTGCTTTATTTTATTAAGTGATATTTTTCTAGCATTTTGCACAGTAAATATAGCTGATACTTAATATAAATAAATAAATAATGAGGTCTTGTTATTATTGTTACCAGTCTTCCTATTTAAACTCATAGTAGATCTAGTTTACTCTTTTGTTATAGTGAATTTATATAAATTATCTCAGTGTTTTAGCAAAGAGATAAATATCATTGACACACTCTACCTATCAGATCTAGAATAATTGTGACATATTTGATACTCTGATATATTTTTAATTGATTATTAGATCTGAGGAAGAAGCATTAGAGAATCTCCAAATTCTATTAACATAGGGAATGGAAATTTTAAATATGTTTCCAAACTAGGGTATGTCATTTTTTTCTAAGTCACAAAGGGGCTTACTCTGCAAGTGGCAGGATTATTGTCCCTGAAATCAACATGGAGGGGAAAAAAACAACAACAGGAAAAACTGACAATATGCAGTATGCAATCCCGTTTCATCCCTCCTCTCTTGTCTTCTCTTCTTTTCTCTTCCTTCCCATAACTCCCTTTTGCTTACTTTATTTAACCTTTCTTCCTTATATTCTTTTATTTCTCTTCTAGAATTACGAAAAAGCTTTTATTTTCTTCTTTTTAAAAACATAACACAAAAGACATTTTCAGAGTAATGAGTGAAGACCATTCAGAAGTATATTGACTAAAAAGTGAAAGTTCTTCCCCACCGTGCTCCATTTCCCAATCCCACTCCTCTCTTAGGGGTAACCACTTTTAAGAGTTAGTTGTGCGTCTTTCCAGATATCTCCTTTTGCATTTACATAAATATATGTTAGGTGGGAATGGTTTTTGGAAAGGGAAATCAGGAGGGAATTATAGGGATATTCATTGTAAAGAAGGAGGCAGCATCCAGTTGAGTTAGTGTAGATAAGATCAATAAGATTCATAAAAAGACAAAACAAGAGTAGAAAATATCCAGGGAATAGTTTGCATTCTTTTAACTACATATGTTAGGACAGAAAAAAGCAATCAAAGGATTTGACCAAATAGAGTAAAATGCTTGGGAAAGCCACTGCCTGCATAATCCGTTCCCCTTTGGTCTAGCTTTGAGTCTTTCAGTTTACAGTAATCGCATTCTAGTAAGATAAACCCCATACAAATGCAGCGAACAGTAACTGGATGTGGGTGCAGCCACACACTCTGGTTATCATATTCCTTTCTTTCTTTCCTCTCATCCTTCTCACAGAAATTTCAACCAGTAAAAATTTTTATTATTAGGGGATGGAGAATCCTACCCCACTCTCCAAAGGAAATAATGTTATGTGATAATCCTCCCACTTCTTGCATATCCCTGAGCAGGTTAAAAGGAATTCATGGTCAAAATCAGGAAGAGAGCACCAGAGGAGTGTCTGTTTTAGAGGACTGCCTTTGCTCATGAGCCACAATTTTCAAATAAAAAATTGTCTGCTCCCATTTTCATAAAATTAAAAATTGGTTACCTCAGAGACCTAGATGATAAGGGTTAGAAACATAATTGTTCTAATTCTATGTATATTTGGTAATTTGTGGCAGGAGTCATCAGCTAAAATGAGCAAGGGAATCTCATTCTACTGAAAATGGTTAATTATGTTTTGTTAATGTAAAAATATGCCTACCCTTTTGTTCACAGACACAAGCTTATGCAGACAGGTAACAGATAACCCGGATCACAATTTCTTTTTCTTCATGAGGTAACGTGTTAGTTTTAATATACAACAACCGTGACCTTAATTGTAAATGAAGATAAATATCTATATGTATGTAATAAATGGGTAGATAAGTATATTTATATAAGTAGAGATATAGATAGAGGTAGATGAATGAGACAGAGATAGGTATACAGAGAGATGCTCAGGTATATAATAGATAAATAGGTAGATAATAGAAATGGTCTGTCTACTGGAGAAAGAAATTTTTAAATATACTTCTTCCACACTTGGGATTTTTCCTTTTGATTTTTTAATCTCTCAATATAAATTTTCATCTACAAAGAAACTGTTAAAGAAAGGTCCCCATTTTATAGCTTGATACAATGATATCAGCCAGGATATATTTTTAGAAAGCTTTATTGAAAAGGTGATTGGGGGCTGGGCGCAGTGGCTCACGCCTGTAATGCCAGCACTTTGGGAGGCCAAGGCAAGTTGATCACGAGGTCAGGAGATCGAGACCATCCTGGCTAACATGGTGAAACCCCGTCTCTGCTAATAATACAAAAAATTAGCCAGGTGCGGTGGCGGGTGCCTGTAGTCCCAGATACTAGGGAGGCTGAGGCAGGAGAATGGTGTGAACCCGGGAGGCGGAGCTTGCAGCGAGCTGAGATTGTGCCACTGCACTCCAGACTGGGCAACAGAGCGAGACTCAGTCTCAGAAAAAAAAAAAAAAAAGGTGATTGGGGAAATTATCACTAATCTCCCATATATGTGCCAGGCGCTATGCCTATATGTGTCATATGTCCTGTCTATCCAATCCACTTACTGTTGAGTGGAAATTATTAATATTCTTTTACCAGAGAGTAAATTATTATTCTGTGACTTAAATTAACTTGCCAAGGTCATGCGCTAACAAGTGACAGAACAGGATTTGAAATCAGGACTTTGTGTCACCAATGTTCGTGCCTTTTTTCACACCGTGCCTTGAAAGAGTCTTAACACAGAATCAAACAAAACAGAAAACAATACGTCTGAGTGTCCAAAATGCATGATACTGTGACCCAAAAGGTATGAGATAACCTAAAACTAGGAGGAATCGTCACATTCAAGAGAACTTACAATCTGAATTGCATCTTGTTAATTTAAAACACAAACAAGATCAATTATGTCATATGAATATTTAGGGAATAAAAATGAGATAAATATATTCTGAGGAGGAAACGAGGACACACAAATGGCCAAATGCTGATTTATACCTACTTCGGATTCCCTCAGCCTAACATACCTCCTGGGCCCTCTTGTCCTCACAAAATAATAGGCATTCATTATTGTATTTTGAAAGCCAGATATGATGGAAGGGCATGTTTGGATCTGAGTGGTACATTGTACCAGTGGCACTCATGTGCCACTTTTGATGATCTCAGTCTCCTGTGTCTAAGGAATTGTTTTGAAGCACAGATTTCATCCAGAAGATAACATGCAAAGCCCAGTGCTGGCCTCTATCACTTTATGAAGCAGTGGCTCGCTTGATAATGGACCATCTTGAGTTTGATTCGCATCAGTTCCTGCTTCACTTCTTGTTGCTTTCACTCCACCATCCTGGATTACACCTCCCAAACAAGCATTAAGCTCTTAATATTTGCCTCAGGCTCTATTTTCTGTGGAACTGGGACCAAGTAGAAGACTCTCTAGAAGAGAGGTTTCTTGATCTATAAATTAATAGAATATGAAACAAACTTGTGGCAATTATAGTGTAATGTGGTCATTTTATAAATGAGGACATTGAAAAAGTTAAGGCTTTGACATCTTGCTCAAAGTCAAAGGACTTGAACCCCAAATCTTCTTGATTCCAATTCTAACGTATCTTATGCCGTGTCTAAATGTGTTGCATCAGAATCACTTGGTGGTTTCACTTAGGGTAATTGAATTTCCTGTACCTGAATATTACCCCAGGAAACTTGAAACAAAATGCAGCGGGTTGGGGGTGGGGGGCCTTAGTCTTTATTTTTATCAAGAACTCATGTTGATCCCAATAAATACTAATCTTCAGATATAGTAGTCCAATGAGAAACATGTCAAAAGTGAAACAAATAATATAAAGCAATTTTATGAATGAAAATCCCATGTAAAAATATATTTCATTTTGTAGGGTCCCCACTCATGTAAAAACTCACAATTTCTAATTACGTGTGGCTTATTTAGAAAGGTAGCATTTTCAGTGTAACATAACTCTAGGTTCTTAAATGAATGTGATGCATTATGCTGATGTTCTTTTAAAATGGAAAAGAGTATCTCACACCAGTTAGAATGGTGATCATTAAAAAGTCAGGAAACAACAGATGCTGGAGAGGATGTGGAGAAATAGGAATGCCTATACACGGTTGGTGTTGGTGGGGGTGTAAATTAATTCAACCATTGTGGAAGACAGTGTGGTGATTCCTCAAGGACCTAGAACCAGAAATACCGTTTGACCCAGCAATCCCATTACTGGGTATATACCCAAAGGTTTATAAATCATTCTACTACAAAGACACAAGCACATGTATGTTTATGGCAGCACTGTTCACAATAGCAAAGACTTGGAACTAACCCAAATGCCCATCAGTGATAGACTGGATAAAGGAAATGTGGCACACATACACCATGGAATACTATGCAGCCACAAAAAGGATGAGTTTATGTCCTTTGTAGGGACGTGGATGAAGCTGGAAACCATCATTCTCAGCAAACTCACACAAGAACAGAAAACCAAACACCACATGTTCTCACTCGTAAGTGGGAGTTGAACAATGAGAACACATGGATACAGGGAGGGGAACATCACACACTGGGACCTGTTGGTGGGTGGGGGGCTAGGAGAGGGATAGCATTAGGAGAAATACCTAATGTAGATGACGGCTTGATGGGTGCAGCAACCACAATGGCACGTGTATACCCGTGTAACAAACCTGCATGTTCTGCACATGTACCCCAGAACTTAAAGTATAATAAAAAAAAGAAAAGAAAATGGAAAAGAGCAGAACAATTGCACTCAGAAAGCACAGAGTACTTCATAAACTACTGCCAACCTTCATTAAGCATATTCTTTTTTTAAAAGATATTGAAATACTTGATATGAAGGATAGTAAGTGAGAATAAATATTTCATTGGGAGTCTGCCAGGGATTTAATTATTTATAATCTCAGAGTAGCATGGTAATAATCATAGAGTATCAAGGGCAAAGCCAAACTTACATTTATACTATGAATATTTAAGGCTAACAAAGCTGATTTTGATGACCTACTTCCATAGTAGGGACCGGTTATATTGCAATGAACTGTGAAGATCTGAGATCTTTTTCCTACTCACAAGCTTGTAAGTTAGCTTACAAACTAGGTGCTGGTTGAAAGCATCCAACTCTTGGGTCAGAGATGAAAGACAGTTCATTACTCACAGCAGTAGTAGTAGCCATTGTACCAGCATTTTTGCACAGGCTTTCTGAGCTCCGATTCCCATAAGGCGTCATAAAGAGGGCCAGATAACACCTACACACAGTGGATCCTTCTACAGGGGAAGAATTCTGAGCTTAGGGACTCTGAATCTTTTCTAATGAGCAGTAAGCATGCCTGCCTTTTACTTTAGTGGGGGACATTATCTTTATTATACCAGATATTACCCATACCTGCCTATTGCTCCAGAGAGAGACATCTTACACTTCAAGGTTGTTTTTTGTACAGATATCCTTGAAAAGATAGTCCAGAACAAAGGGCAGTTAGTGACTCTGCTTGCAAGACATGAAAGAATGTAAGAGACCTATGGAGAGTTGTCTCTCAACACACATTCTCTTTGATAATGATATAGTTGCTTTATCATTCCATAAGATGATTCTTTCATCATGCAAATAAGTATTCAAAAGAACACCTTTCAAGACATGCCATAGTTCTTTCAAGCCCCAGAATGCATTTTAGCAAACTAATGAGAGTAAGGAGAAAAAGTTGCTATTCTTCTAAAGATAGTACTTTGATGGGAGAAAAGGAAGACTTTATTGTTTCCATAGTTATTTTGTTAAGGGTCCATTTTTTCCTTTCTTCATCTCTCCACAAAATAATGGAAAAAGAGCTGTAATTCTGATACCATGGACAGTAAAGAGCTTAGCAGACAAAGGCAGTGAAGAATCGCAGTAAAGCTGAGTTGTGAAATCAGACAAAACTGCTCAAATTTAATCTCTGATTCTTATGTGGTGTGAGTTACTAAGCTTGTTAATACTCAGGTTCATCAACTTTATTACAAAGATGACAATATCTACTTTATAGGATTATATGGATAATGTATGGAAAATGTTTATTGAAATGCATCACATCTGATGCTCATGGTTGGTAATATTCATGGAAGCATGTAAAGAATTTCATTTCTTCATGGAGCGGATTGGAAGTGGCCTCACCAACGTGTCTTGCATACTGCAGATAAAAAAACAGAAATATGGAAAGTTTGAAGGGATTGTGTGATATTGCACTGGGGTAAAGGTCTTTGCAACTGCTTGGGTCTGCTTAGACCACATGTACACCTTATTTAGTTTTTCCATGATAAATTATTTTTATAACAAGGACTGTTGTGTGACTTCAGTCCATACCTACTATTCATACCAATGTGGGAGAGCAACTCAAGGGAACCAGTGGGGAACGTGTGAGCACGAGCCAGCACAACAGGATGCTAAATCAATCAAAGAGTTAATAGTAGTCAGTTCTAATTAACCAGATTTTAAAGACCTTCTTTAAAAAAATATTCAAGTGTAGCAGCCTGAAGTTGGAGACTCAAAGCTCTTGAGATATAGGTACCTCAAGGTAAGGTCTGTTTTCACTTGTGTTAAAAATTTAAAAAGAGAGAATTCAATTTTCCCCAAACAGTTGTCATTTTATTTTCTATGCGTTTATGCTTTACTCTTAACCACTAATATATATGCTCTTAAATGACATTGTGTTTCTTTTATCTTACATAAGGCTGCAGTTAATTGAGTCTGTGGGCATCTGCAATTCCTGTCTAGGAGGTTTTATTCCTATTCCCTCACATTAATGTATTTGTAGGTATGAGTTTGTATCTTTACGTGCATATGTGCATATCATGGTTTTAGTAGCAGTAGGAAGAAGGGTGTGTGTATGTGTGTTGCAACTGTCCACCTCCTGCTAGTTGAGACTTTAGTTACGTAGAGTAGGAGGATTTTTGGCACACTTTCCTCTAAAGAAAACACAGTCTGATTTGAGGAGTGCCTACCTCTTACAAGGCGTCGATTGTGTGAGAAAGCCAAAAAAGAAACAAATGCAGTTTAATTGCGTCGGATGCTTAGTGACTAGTTCACAAATCTTTTATTTGTTTTTAGAAGTGCTGCAGTGGCACTAAAATTTGTGTGTGTTCGGGGAGATGCAGACGTAACTTACAGTAGGACTTAGAAGCCAGCATAATTACCTGGGCTCCTGTCAACCTAATAAACTAATAGAGGGCTTAAAGAAAATCAGGAAAGGCCAAGGATTTAAGAAACTTAAAGAATGAGACTAGACATTGAGTCCTGTTAAATTTTCTTTATGTATGTATTTGAGAGGCCAGTGGTCCCATGAAATATGAATTACACATTTCAAACTTGAAAACATTTAAACTCTATGTAGGAGTTTAAATATTTGTTTAAGGTTTTGGAACCAACGTACCACTCTTACATTTAAGTTTAAGGTTTTGGAACCGATGTACCACTCTAAGGTTTTATTTCAGTCACATAGGAGGCTCAAGGACATCTCTCCTGCATAAAAAGAAGAGGCTAGAGTTTTCTCACCATGAATAAACACTGAGAAGAAAAGTCTCCTTAGTAGAATGTCCCTGTCCACTTACAGATAACTGTGGGCACATGTGTCATTTGTTTTATGTCTATAACCCAGGAAAACCTTGGAAAACCCTAACAAAATTTAATAGCTGTGAATAGCTACTGAAAAGCGTCTTTTAATAATGCGAAGAATTTACTTAGTGAATATATTCTCTAAACTAGGAAGCTTAGAACACATTTCCTATCTGATAAAATCAGCCTTTTATACTTGAGATTTTATTTAAAAAATTTTAGGATAATACCTTTAGAACCATTTAGTGTTGGAACCATGGTTCCTGAACTATAGACTGCAAGGAAGGCCTTTGAGAAATGTTTATATTCCAGTAGGAGAAAAGAATGGATCAATTACCAACTATGTAAATGTACACATGTGTATAAGTGAATCTAAACATAAACTTCTGATTGTTCTTCTGACTTGCACTTTCCATATAACTAATAACCAAATTTAGTAAATATGAGTCATTTGTTCTACACAGAATATAATGAGTCTATGTAGAATGAGATTCTTAAAGCCATTTGTATAACTGAGATTGTGACTGTGGTATATTTTTGTCTTTCTCCATTTCCCTTTTTAATAATAGCATCATTTATCCAATCGTCCATTCATTCAATAACATTTAAGTGCTTAGTATATTCCAGGAAATATGCTGTGTGTTGGAAATAAAAATAAGACCAGGATGTAGTCCTTTCCTCAAAAATGTCAATGATTAACAGGAGACTCTGATGTATAAATAAATTGAAACACAATGCTAAAAATGATATAAATAAGAACATGTTCAATGTTTATTGGCAATTCAGAGACAAGATTTCACTCAACCATGGTGGAAATGGGAACTCTCACAATGGAGATGACATTTGGGTTGGATCTTGAGTTACCAGGGCAAGCTTGCCAGAGGAAGAATGGAGAAAAATGTGTTAGACTTATAAAATAGGCAAAGTTCACTATAAATTCACTTCGTTATAAAATGCTCCAAACAGAATCACTTAAGTTGGATTTAAACAACTCCTATTATATAGTTCCATGTTATAATTTTAGACAGCGGTTTCCTATTTGACGCCTCCCTTCTTTGGCACTGTATACTCTTGAAGCCTACATATTTCTGATTCTGTTGTCCTACCTGGAGAATTTTGTGTATGTGTGAAGTTCCTTGAAGATGCACGGCCATGCCTGATTTGATTTGCATCTCTCATACCCACTACCATGCCACCATTATAGCAGGTGCTAAGAAATAATATGTCCAGTAAAGCCATAAAGGAATAATTGTTATGGCTCTCAAAATCCCATATAGGTGAGGCCTAGGAATGAAAACTGGATTAGAAGTGTGGTTAGGGGAGTTGTTGTAGAGCTTTTTGCTTAGCAATCATGCTGATTTTACATAGGCTGTGGCTTTAGGGGACGGGAACTGGTGAAAATCTAATACCCTTCTGTAGCCACACTTTGGCCTTGCCATTGGGATAAGCAAAAGACTGAGTTAATAAACAGGCATGACTTCCTTTTTATTTTTAAAATATAGAATCTAGAAGTAGGGTCTGTCAAAGCCTAAGATAAATGAGAAGTAATGAAAAGGTTTTCATCAATGCCCAATGAATGAGTGGAAAGCTAAATGCAAAACGGCAAATTGTGAATACTGCCTGGTATCATTTGCTATGAAGCTATCTGAAGCCCTTTGATTAATCCCTTGATTCTATGACTGTGCATGGGACAAATCAAATGTTCTTGTCACTAAGCAGGGCAGAGAGAGGCTGAGCCATCCAGCCAATTTAGCCAATCTAAAGTACACTTCAAGTCTAGATTTTGGCCAAAGTTGTAAGTGAAAATATCCAGGGTAAAAATCATATATAGAAAAGAAGTTTTTCATCTGAATTTCATGTAACATCATAGATCACTAAAGCGAAAGGAATTTTAAAATCTAATTTGCTTTTCACAAGGGATTGGGAAACCTGGCAGGATTTTGGGTTCTTCGAGTGTCTTGAGTTATTTCTCAAATATTTTGGGTTCAATAAAATCCAAAATGCATTTTGCCCTGAGCACTTTTCCCCTTAATTTTGAAACCCATGTGTAATCTAAAGGAAATGTAATCCATATGTTTCTGATTCATTTACACTTAACTCATCAAAATATTTTTCTAGGAGCTATTTGATGTTGAAGAAGCATTTTGAGACTTTTTAATAAGCTTTTCAACTGCCCCCCCACCTTAAAACAGAAGGCCATGTTTTGCCAAGGTGAAATAAGCCCCAATACCAAAATAGCTGGGTTCAGTTCCAAACTCTCTGAACCACAGAACTTAAGATAGATTCTCAATGTATCCGGTTTTTTCTTCTATCCCATTTTCTGGGGCTGGTTGAGCATGTAAAATTCAGCAGCATTGCTTAAGAGGAAAATGGGACTCCTGTGACTTTACCACGGAATGAAGAGGAAGGATTAAAACAATGAGCTAACAAAGTTGTGATGTTAATACAAAAACAAAAAATAAAAATAAAGGTTAGCTTTCATGCGCCATTGCTTCAGTTATAGGGGGACATGCAGGATTGAGGCAAGCAACTTGTTTCAGCTAGGATCATAGTCAAGATTGCCTAGCTGCCATATTTTTGTCGTCACTGTTTTGGAAGCCAAGTGGAAAATTATCAGTGACTTTTTCAAACGTTCCCCAATATAAACTAAATTTCCTAATGAACTGATCTTTGCCATATATGGGTCCTGTACTCCAAATTCTCCATCACCATTCTTAGTTGCAATGCTTATAAATCTGGAGTTTTATAGTTTCACATTCAAAGCTCACCGTAATTCTAGCCCAAGGTGCTCTCTGTGTTAATGTCCACTGGTCTCCAGCACAACCGTGACTTCAAAACAATCAGACCATGTGCCATTCTTGCAGCAAATGTTAAGTTTTGCTGCATTTGCTCATGCCGTGTTCACTGTCTTCATTTCCACCGTATGCATATATAGAAGCTTCCTCTGATCACCACAGGCAGAAGCATTGCTTCTTTTGACTTCGTTGTTCCTGATCACAGTTTCTCAACTGTGACATTATTAAGCAATTGGACATTTTGAACAATTGTTCTTTTTTGTCTGGACATCCTACCTGTTTGTCCTGTGCCTTGTAAGATTCAGTGTATATACCCAAAGGATTATAAATCATTCTATTATAAAGACATATGCATGTGTATATTTATTGCAGCACTGTTTACAATAGCAAAGACTTGGAACCAACCCAAATGCCCATCAATGATAGACTGGATGAAGAAATTCTGGCACATATACACCATGAAATACTATGCAGCCATAAAAGGGATGAGTTTATGTCCTTTGCAGGGACATGGATGAAGCTGGAAACCATTATTCTCAGCAAACTAACCCAAGAACAGAAAACCAAACACTGCATGTTCTCACTCATAAGTGGGAGTTGAACAATGAGAACACATGGACACAGGGAGGGGAATATCACACACCAGGGCCTGTCGGTGGGTGGGGGTCTAGGGGAGGGATAGCATTAGGAGAAATACTTAATGTAGATGATGGGTTATGGGTGCAGCAAACCACCATGGCATGTGTATACCTATGTAACAAACCTGCACATTCTGCACATGTACTCCAGAACTTGAAGTATAATAATAATAAAAAAAAGATGTAGCATCTTTTGCCCTTTCCATCCTCTTGTTTCCAGTAGCACTGTTACAGCAATTGAAGATGCCTCCAGATATTGCCAAGTGTCCCTGGGGAGGGGAATAAAATTGCCCCCAGCTGAGAACCACTGCACTAGAACTTTACTGATACCACCTCTTTGGACAATCATAAGTTTGCCTTATATGTACATGCATACATTGGTATATATTTTAAGCTTCTGGGAAACAGGGAGAGTATCATGCTCAACTTTTTATTCAGAACAGTGCATTCATCAGTGATTTGTATAATCTCTGTTTTTTATGTTCAATATTTGTTAAATAAAGTGCTAAAGTTAAAAGAAAATACTTAGTCTAATTCTGTTTTCTGCTAGAATGTAACCAAGCTCTGCTAGAATGTACCCCTGCCAGTAAAGCTCCTCTACATATCTCTGTTTTGCAGTCATTATCTTTTTTTTTTAAGATTTATTTTAGGTCCTGGGTACACATTAAGGTTTGTTACATAGGAAAACTCATCTCAAGTGGGGGTTGTTGTACAGATTATTTCATCACCCAGGTATTAAGCCTGGTACCCAATAGTTATTTTTCCTGCTCCTCCCCTCCTCCTATCCAGAACCTTCAAGTACACCCCAGTGTCTGTTGTTCCCTTCTTTGTGTTCATGAGTTCTCATCATTTAGCTCCCACTTATAAGTGAGAACATACGGTATTTGGTTTTATGTTCCTGCATTAGTTTGCTAAGGATACACACGCATGCAAATGTTCATTGCAGGACTTTTTGCAAAAGTAAAGACATGGAATCAACCTGAATGACCATCAGTGACAGAGTGGATAATGTAACACGTATACACCATTGAATACTATGCAGCCATAAAAACAATGAGATCATGTTTTTTGCAGGAACATGGATGGAGCTGCAGTCATTATCTTAAACCCAACTGTTTCAGGCCTTGGTTATCCTATAATAACCACTCTATGGACTTCTTTCCTCCCAGATCTTCTGCAGTAAAGGAAAGAGAAGTATAATACGTATTTTTTTTTCCAATGGGAAGTTAAAATCTAAGTGATTTGGAAACACCTATAACAGTATGTAAATGAAAGTTAGAGAGTAAGATGGAAGTTATTAGTAAGGTTTTCAGATCCGGCAAAATAAAATGCAGGATAACCAGTTAAATTTGAATTTTAGATAAAGAACAAACACTTTTATTCATACAAGGTATATCCCATGCAATATTTAGGATATACATATGCTAAAGTTATTCATTGTTTATCTGAAATTTAAATTAGACAGCATTTGTATTTTATTTGGCAACCCCAGCTGTCAGTGTAGGGATTCAAGGAAGGGCTGAAATAACCATAGCAAGGTATAGGGACAGGAAATGCCATGATTTGTTTAAATAAATTAGAGATGGGTCAGTCTCTAGAGGAGGATGTATATTAGAGAATACCATAAATATGATTGCCTCTAGAGGATGGAGGCATTTGATAAAGTTGTATGATACAGATTTATTTACATTTGAGGGAGAAAAATATAGGAATGACTTTTCTCACCTGCTGTTCTCACTGTCCATCCTTTCTCATGTGTTAATCTCCCCAGGTGAAATTCCCACAGTCTCTAGACACCTTATTTACATCTGCATATAACATATTTGCAGTTGTTTATTACCTCTATATCACCCCCCTTTTCAGTTTTATTAAGATATAATTGGCAAATTAAAATTGTGTATATAGTATAAAATGTGATGTTCTGAGAGAGATATATATGCGTATACACATGCATAGATATTTAATCAGAAATGACTAACATATTTATCACTTCATATACCTATCTTTTTTATGATAAGAACATTAGAACGTTTAAGATCTCTCTGAACAATTTTTAAATCTACAATGCATTATCTTAAGTATAAGGAATGACACTAGTATCAACAACCAGAAGCATCAAATAGATCTGTTCTCCAATAAAAGGAACTGAGGCAGGCTCCTTGGAGAAATGACTCTTTCTAAGGTGGGGACAAAAAATGAGCCTAAAGCATCTCATCGTATCAGAAAACAAGAAGTGCTTTTGCAGAATGGAAAATGGAGATAAAAGCCAGCCAAAGAGCTCCTCATGTCCAAAGCTGGAACAAATTGGGCAACAAAATGAATAACATCATATTGGATTATAACCCAAAGTATGAAATATTCATGATTCCACATTGATATAAATACATGATTGAATAAATAAATAAGTGTGGGAGTGTAGAAGTTTCTCCCTTGCAGGAGAATTCTAAATAAATCATGTAGACACTCTGCCCTCAAAAAAGTAGAGCATCACACCCCAATTTTTTAATGTGGGCTGAGCATAATGACTTCATTCCAAAGAGTTCAATGTGGAAAGAGGGGGAAGGGGAGTAACTTTATAGTAAGAAAACTCGAAAGACTCTACAATTAAAACCAGCAGTGCTAATTCATGTTAACAATGTGTACCCTTGATGTGATGTAGTGAAAATGATAATTTACCCCTGTGATTTTTCCTTCCCAAACCCCCAGTCCTATTATGAGGCAAATGTCAGAAGGATATTCCACAGAATACCTGGCAAGTATCAAACTGCCAAGGTCATCAAAAATGAGGAAAGTCCAAGACATTGTTACAACCAAGAGGAGCCTAGAGAGTTAGGATGACTAAATATAATATGGTGCTATAGGTGGGATCCTAGAAAAGAAAGAAAAAAACCTAAGAGAATCAGAATAAAATGTGGAGTTAAGTTAATAATACTGTAACAACATTGGTTCATTAGTTTTGATCAATGTTCCATGCTAAGGTAAGATGGTAACATTTGCAGAAACCTGGTGTGGGGTCTATGGGAGTTCTCTATGCTATCTCAGCAACTTTTCTATAAATCTAAAAGCTGTTACAAAATAAAAATTTATTTTTGAGAGTTAGCAAGCAAGTGAGCGAGTGAAAAAGACTGAGAAAGACTGGGTAGTGAGGCAGTGAGGCAGGAAGAAAACCAAGAGGAGTAGGTACGATCAGGGAAGAGAGTGTTTGGGGATGAGAAAATGATCAAACCTGTCAAGTTCTGTCAAGAGATTTGTTAAGATGAGAAATGATGCTTGCCCCCTGGGTTTATCTGAGAAGGGCTTATTTGTCAGGATGATTTCAGTTAAAAAAGACAAACATTTACTTTCAACTCTTTTCAAGCAAAAAGAGCATTTGAGTGGAGTGTTCAAGAAGTTATTCCAGTGCAAAGGAAGATCTGTAAAATGCAGGGCAACCCAAGGACTGGAAATAGAAACTCACCTGGCCTCCCGCTCCCCACATCAGTGTCTGTGTGGCAGGAAATTAGGCCACAGGCTGCTATGGAGTCACATCCTCCGAATCACTCAGGATGAAGCTGGAACTGGTTCAATCACTGTAGCCAGAGTTTCATAAGTAGCTCACTTTGGGTCATCTTATCTCTATATTCAGGGGACCAAGGGTCTGTTAATGAAATCTGGAATAAAGTGTTTAGGGTAATAGTAATGAGAAAAAATTAATCATCACAGGTGGTTGTAATCTAACACTGTGTTGTTCACTTCATTGCCCAATTTGTTCCAGGTATTGCCGCAGGTAGCTCTTTGGCTGGCTCCTATCTTCGCTTTTTAAAAAGCACTTTCTTACTTTGTGATATGACAAAATGCTTTAGGCTCATCTGTATTCCCTGTCTCATCCCTAGAAACAGTCATTTCTCCAAACCCTAGTACGTTTGATTGGAGAAAAGATTTAGAGAGTAAGATCTGTGTGGTGTGTGTGGTTGTTGATACTGGTGCCATTGCCTCCAGATGCTCTCAGCTAACAGAGCAAGGAAATATATGTATGTATCCTCACCTATGTAAATATATATATATATATATATATATATATATATATATATATATAATATTTTTGTATCCATGCATCTGTATCTATATTAAGCTCAAATTAGTTCATACCAAAGTTTCCAACTTGAATCCATTGCTACATGGGTTATTCTATTCATCTGCCTTTGCTTGTCTGTAACCTCCCACTGCAACTGTGAATAACCTGTTTCCCACCATTCACCACTCATATCTTAATTGTTCAATTTCAGTATACATGTTTAATAGTTTCAGAATTGCTTACGTGTATTCTTGTGGGGAACAACTTTATCAACTAGGGTACAATACTTATGTACAGTTCCCTTTGCTTTTATTCTTATGGATTCCATTCATTTCCAGATTATTAGACTAGCACTTTTCCTCAAATCCTTCAGTGAAGTTGTTCCATGTGCTTTTTATTTATTCATTTATTTATTTTATTTTTTATATATTTTTAAAATTTTACTTTAAGTTCAGGGATACAAGTGCAAAATGTGTAGGTTTTTTACAGAAGTATATATGTGCCATGGTGGTTTGCTGCACCTATCAACCTGTCATCTATGTTTTAAGCCCTGCATGCATTAGCTATTTTCCTAAAGGTCTCTCTCCTCTTGCCCCCCACCTCCTGACTGGTCCTGGTGTGGTGTGTATTGTTCTTCTCCCTGTGTTCATGATATACACTTTTTAATGCAGTTATGTTTTTTTGTAACAATCTGCATCTCATCCTGGGATCCATGACCTCTTAAACCCATTTCCAACAACAACAACAACAGCAACAACAATAAAACTGCCAGTGCAGTATTTTGGAGACAAAGGGGAAATGGGTTAAATTACTCCTTTTTTTTCAATTTACATGCACTAAGCTTGGCTTTTTCTATAATAGAATTCTAACAGATTTCAAAAATTCAATTGTCATGATTCACCATTACAGAATTACACAGAATAGTGTCACCATCCTAAGGAACCCCCTATGCTTAACTTGCCTCATATTCTTTGCTGGATTCTTCTCTTCTAGTACTCTAAATGTTGTAATGGCCCTAGGCTCATTCCCTGAAGCCCTTCTCTACCTTGTCAGTACTCACTCCCTTGGTGACCTAATTTAGACTCGGGTCTTTAATGTTATCTGTATTTTGATGACTCCAAATTTTATACATCCAACCCCAATCTTTTCCATTTCTCCTCAAATTCAGTCTTGCATACCTAATGGGCATTTAAAATTTTGCAGGCCTGAAATGAAACTCTTCATATCTCCACTCTCATTCCAGGTACCAAATCCATAAGACCATCATCTGTCTCCTTTAAAGCCTCAGTAGTCTTCTAATTTGTTTCCAGCATTCACATTTCTCTTATAAAACCTATTCTATATAGCAGCCAGTGTTATCTTTATGAAAACATAAATCAATTCATGTCTTACAACATTCAAGCCATCCAATAGCTTTCATCACACTTAGAATAGAATAAAATACCAAATACTTACCATAATCTTCAGGACTCTGTGATTTGGCCTTTGATTTCCTCTTCAAGCTCATCTCCTATGACTCTTCCCTTCCCTCAGTATGCCCTTGTTAACAGTGTTTATTTTACTGTTTTTCAAACATACTGAGCACATTCTCATTCTCACTTCAAAGCACCTATGCACCTGTGATTCCCTCTCTTTGAATACTCCATTCCCTAAGTTTTCACTATGCCTTTTTCTCTCTCTTTATTAGTTCTCAGCACAAATGCACCCTCTTCAGTGAGACTTTTCCTGGAAAAAAAAATGCGTGTATGTGTATGTGTGTGTGTGTGTGTGTAGAAAGAGAGAAGTGGTGGGAGGGAGAGAGAGGCAGAGCCAGAGAGAGCCAGAGAGAGAGAGAGAGAGTTTATTTACCTGAATCCTGTATTAGAAGTAAATATTTCAAAGGCAGAGACTTTGACTCCCTTGTCTGCCAATATGGTTTGGCTGCATCCCCACCCAAATCTCATCTTGAATTGTAACTCCCATAATCCTTACATGTCATGGGAGGGTCTCAGTGGGAGGTAATTGAATCATGGGGGCTGGTTTTTCCTGTGCTATTCTCATGATAGTGAATAAGTCTCACGAGATCTGATGGTTTTATAAAGGGCACTTCCCCTGCACACACTCTCTTGCCTGCCACCATGTAAGATGTTCCTTTTCTCTTCCTTCACCTTCCACCATGATCATGAGATCTCCCTAGCCATGTGGAACGGTGAGTCCATTAAACCTTCTTTATAAATTACCCTGTCTTTATTAGCAGCATGAGAATGGACTAATACATCGGCTATTGAATTCCCTGCCCTTAGAAACTCAAAGTTTTTTAACAGTTTAAAAATTGGTGACATTGATAATTCATGAGTCAAGTCTAAACTTGTACACTGCTTTTGAAGACATTGATCAGTAAATTTCACCTGGCTTCCTGTGTTTTTTCTTAGTTCTAACATACCTCTTCTTTCATAATCAAGATTTCTTCATACTATCTCCCACTCTCATTTCTTTGCTCAACAAGAAAAAGGAACTCTGTCTCTCTCTTTATCTCTCTCTCCCTCTCTGTTAAGCCCAGATCCACTCTTATGTCAGGAATCAGTCCATCCTTTCTCCAGAAATCAGTTCCAGCTTCACAAAGCAAGGGCTTTGCTGTTTGGTTAAAGCTGATCCATTGCTTCCCTATTCTGAATTCTCATAGTAACTGAGTTTGAAGCAATATTCCAACTGTTTGCTTTTATTTTATTTTAACATCTCTTTCTGGTTTCATGGGCATAATTTTTATCTCTCTGACTAAACTGTAATATTCTTAACCACAAAGAGAGCTTATAAAAATATTTTTATATCTCCCATGGTGACTGCCATGCTTCTGAGCATACAGCAAATGATCAAGAAATACCTTTTGGTTTTAATTCAATTAGCATAGAGGGAAAACAATTTAGAAAATAATATGTGATTTGTATCAAATGTTCATAAGCTTCTTAAATCAATTTGTAGCAAAAACTGGTACGAAGATTAACCCTTTTTACTTCAAAGTTTTCTTTCAACTCAAAGCATAAACAATTTCTTAAGATAGTTATAGGGTATGGTCTTTAAAGATCACGGTGCACTGATTATCCTCAGCCTAAGCAACTAAAACGACAATCACATTCAGTACTGTCCTGAGTACCAACTGTATTTTCTGGCCATTGTGTTAAGTAGTTTTAAATGTATTGTTTCATTTACTCCATGCATCCTATAGATATGCTTTTCATTTTTCTTTTAAATAAGAAAATTGAGGATAAGGAAGTTCAAATAAGCTAGCCAAAGGCACACACTGAGGAATAATGACATTGGGATTATAACTTAGGTTATTCTTATTCCAAAATCTACACTCTTTACCATTGAGTTGGTTTCCATTTTGTAGCATTGATGATCAAAGGAAAGTAAAAAGTACTTCCTAACTCTCACATAGAATTTGATTGAAAGTTATTGAGTGAAAAATGAAAACAAGTTGAACTCAAGCGTTCTCCCATAAGAATTTCTCATCACTCACTTTCCACAAATACAGCCCTGACATCTTTTATTTTACTTATCTCTTGCTTTTTTTTTTTTTTTTTTTTTTTTTTTTTTGAGATGGAGTTTTCGCTGTTATTGCCCAGGCTGGAGTGCAGTGGTGTGATCTTGGCTCACTGCAACCTCTGCCTCCCAGGTTCAAGCAGTTCTCCTGCCTCAGCCTCCTGAATAGCTGGGATTACAGGCACGTGCCACCACACCCAACTAATTTTTTGCATTTTTAGTAGAGATGGGATTTCTCCATGTTGGTCAGTCTGGTCTCGAACTCCCAACCTCCGGTGATTTGCCCGCCTCGGCCACCCAAAGTGCTGAGATTACAGGTGTAAGCCACTGTGCCCGCCCTTCTCTTGCTATTTTTTAAAAAGGCTTTGATGTACGGTATATTGATTCTACTTTTTCCTCCGTATTCTCACTGCTTCTATTATCACATTCTCAGATTTCTTTTTTCTTGCCTATGTTATTAAAATATCCTACTAACTTCCCTGGCCACCTTCAATATCTCTCTACTTAATACACCAACATACCCTATAAAGAATAATCACATTAAGGATACTTTTCAGGAGCACATTTCATTGTTAAAAAAATCAATGACTTCCTCTGACAACTGCTGATAAAACATGATCTGGTATTTTCAGATTTCTTTAGGTTTCTGAATTTGTCATCTTTGACTAGAATATTACTGGGATATGTTTATTCGGGTAGTATTCATATTTGATTACTTTTCATTTTTTGGTTTCCCAGAGAAGTTAGTACACTACCGGCACTAGCAAATGCTCAGGAAACACTTACCAAATGGACAAGTGTAACACTGAAAATTTAGGATGATTTTTTCAGATTTGAATAATACTACCTCCTGTTAAGTAAACTGCAACTCTTCGATTTACTGATAATATAAACCTGTGGTCCAGTTAGAAAAGAAAGTATTCTAGTCTTAATTTCTGATTGTCTAGAAGGAATCTACTTGAGATTCTTGAAGATTCTTCAACATAATTGCTGATACTTCAGAAAACGGTGAAAATAACACATATAATATTTAATTATTGTATTCATATTCTTCGTACCCTCTCATTCTCTACTTGTGGTCTTCCCCCAGTAATAACTACCAGATCTAACTAAGGAGGAAAAGTTAACCCTGGAAAGGAAGTGTATCAATCTTTTTGAAATTCCCAATTTTAAATGACATTCGAAGGAAAACATATACATTTAAGGGTTTGACATTTCACACAAGAAGATAATTTCACTGACATGTTTATTCGTGTAGAGAATGAGGATATTTAATGATGGAACACAATTCCACTATGATTAGAAGCATTTGGTATTTCATTTAGCCCCAAATAAATTTCAAATTTGAAACACTTCATTTAGCAGGATATTAATCCCTTAAGACTGGAAAGGAGAGCTAGTGTGAGCAAAACTTTACAGAATGGATCAAGTTAAAAACACACATGCACCCATATACACACACACGTCTGCGATGCATATGGGAATGGAGACAGCTATGAATGGCTACAGAAGTCGTCCCTGGCTCTGTGCTTACAAGTTTATTGGTATTGTGTCCACTTATCCACTTGCTTCGAATAGAGCAGGACACATTGCAATGAATAATTATTTAATCAAATAATTGCTTTATGCCTCCAACACCACTCCTCTAAAAATCATGCTGGAAAAAAAAGGACCAGCAAATATGTAAATTGGAACTGATTAGGAGATTAAGTTTCACTAAAAAAAAATTAAAAATTGGAATAAAAACAGCCTGCAGATCCCTCTAAGCCAAGCCCTGTCTCTGAATTACAACACCAGCGCCTGTCGGCTGTGATAATTTCACTTCATTAAGTTCCAGATATAAATAGAGAGACTTTTTTTTTTTTTCCATGCACCACTTTAAATAAGCATGGACTGAAAACACAGGGGTTATTGATCCTCTCAGCTGTTTGTTATTGGGTCTTTGGTCTTGCTTTATTGTTGCATTAGAAACTCAAACACCTATTTCGTGAAGCCAGGGACAATTCACCTCTGTGGAACCATTTTAAAGCTATTGTTTCCATTGCCAAAAAATATTAAAAGAATAAAACTCATCAAGTATGCTACATACTGAAATGCAAAACAGACATGCATGTGCTCTGCATGTAAAGAATGCTGAGATGAGAAATTAAAAAGAGAACTTAAGTACCAGTGTTTCAGGCACTAGTATCAGTTTGACTATCATATGCAATGAGATCGTGTAAAATACAGTATTTTTCTGGGATGTTTCTTTTCTCTAAATCAAAGGTTCGTATACTATAGATTTTTCAGGTAATGTATAAACCAAGTTTTTCAAACTAACTATTTTTCGTTCCCTCAAAACTTTCAAAGAATGATTTTTTTTTACATGCCATACCATGTGGAATACCACTAATTACAATTTTAAAAATAGAATCTTGGGGCAAAAAGCAAACAAATTCAGAGAACAACAAAAAGTATGTTTTTTTTATAATTTAAGGCTGGGGTCAGCAAACTTTTTCTGTAAAGAAAGCAAAATCAAGAATATTATGTTGGTACTTCTATAACCTTTTCAAATGTGACCCTTTATAAAATGTAAAAGCTATTCTTAGGTTGCAAGCCTTATAAAAACAGGTGGTATGCTGAATTTGGCCTGTGGGCTATAGTTTGCCCACCTCTGGCTTAAGGTATACAAAGATATTGTGCTTTATCATTTTGTATATTTATCTCTGGGTTCAAATCTGTTCACTGATTGAGTATGAACATTTAATAGGTTTCAACTTTAACCATTTATCTCAGAAAACTCAGGTTTGAAAACATTTTAAGTCATGAAGGAAAATGACTGCAAGATCTTAACCTAAAGTCAATGGGCATTCGTCCATATAATAAAACAACTTGGCATCACTTGATACCCACAAACATGATTGGCCAGCTGAGGTTGGCAGCAACCTAGGAGTGAATAACAGAAGGAGACTGTAGATCAACTCCAAGGAGAAAAGTCTGAGTCTTGTGTTGGAGGTTTGAAAGCTGTTCTTCAGGGCCTGACAGAGCTTGTACCTGACTCGTCAGTTGGTTCTATAAATCTCTTATTTTATGAGCATCAGTTTAAAAAACAGTTTCAAGGTGTCAACACCCAAGGACAAGAAGTTTCAGGGAATTATTAGGAAGGATCCATGAGTTGATCAGCCTGGGTTTGTATTGGTCAAGTTGTTATTGTGTCCTAGAATTTTATGAAATTAATGAAAATGAACTATGATGCTATTTTTCTTTATATTATATTCCTATAATCACTCATGTTTGGTTAGTTAAGATGGGGGGGAAAACGCTTGGGCAGATTTTTATCCTAGTTATGTCTAAACTTTATTAGACGAAAGACAATAAAGAATTAACCTTATTCCAAATTACCAACATTCAAAGATCTTGGAGAAAGTTGCATCGATATTTGAAAACATAGCTCCTATAGGCAGCTGCAGAATATATACTTTAAGTGTCTAAAAGAAGAATGACCTTACCAAAGAAACAGGTAGTTTAGAGCTATAGTCCCCTGATTCTGAACCAAGGACCCTGAGGGAGCTATGACAAAAACAGCAAGACTTCTGATAATTTATATGTTCAAAGCACTTCTTATAGACTAATTGTATGGTACACATTTGCCTGGCCTTTAAAACACACACACACACACACACACACACACTCACACACACACACACATTCTTGCTGATGTAATTGTTAAGATACCATTGATGTCAAATAATTATCTAATTATAAAAATAATTTATATTGAATGCCTACTCTACACCGGGCACTGTTGAACATGTTTTATAGGCACTATGCCAGTTAATTATCACAGTATCCCAAGAGGTAAATACTATTTCCAAGGTTTGAGGACAAAGAACAGTCAAGGAGAATAAAGAATGGGATGTGTATTAATGTTCACATTGAATTTCCCACGAAGGAGAGAGTCTTTTTTAATGGGCAAGAGAATGTTGGTCTTTTTGGTGGGTTACGTGCATTGCAGAAGGAGAGTTTAAAAGCTGTGACTCATTTGACTGTAAGACACAGCTTTGTAAGCCAGTCTGTAAGTAGCTTCCTAATATAGCTTGCCCATGACAGCAGAATGCCTTGTATTCTCTTCTCTGAAAATTTCTGCGCCCCAGTGATATAACACACACACACACACGCACACACACACACACACACACGCACACACACACACAATTTTTTTATTGGCTTATATATCTTATGTTTTGAATCTTTTTTCCCAGAGGTTAATAATTTTGTTTCTACTGATGGGTTTACATTTTGGATTTGGAAAAATAGGTAATTAGATTTTGGAGTTTATTCACTAACTCATGAGCCCCTGGCATCCTCTAGGTCAGTACTGACTGTTAACAATAATGCAGGCCACATGTGATATCAAATGTTCTAGCAGCTGTATTAAAGAATAGAAAAACATGAGTGCAATTAGTTTCAAAAATATGTTTTATTTTATCCCAAATATCATCATTTCAAAATGCAATTAATATAAATATTAGTGAGATATTTTACTTTTTTGTGCCGAGTCTTTAAAATATGGTGTGTATTTTACACTTACAGCACATCTCAATTCAGGTGTTAAATTTCCTTGAAAATACTAGGTCTGTATTTTCATTCCATAAAATGTACTGTTGAAAAACACATTCACATACCCAAGCTGTTTTCTCATAACTGAATCAAGTATTAGACATGAAATTAAGATGAAATAAAATTTAAAATTCAGTTTATTCATTATATTGAATGTATTTGAAGTGCTCAATAGCCCCCTGAGGCCAGTGACTATCAAACTGGACACTGCAGCTCTAGATAACCAATTTTATGTTTTTATTATATATATATTTATTTATTGACACAGAGTCTTGCTGTGTCACCCAGGCTGGAGTGCAGTGGCATTATCTCGGCTCACTGCAACCTCCACCTCCTGGGTTCAAGGGATTCTCCTGCCTCAGCCTCCCAAGTAGCTGGGACTACAGCTGCCTGCCACCACGCCTGGCTAATATTTTTCTTTGTATTTTTAGTAGAGATGGGGGTTTCACTATGTTGGCCAGGCTGGTCTTGAACTCCTGACTTCGTGATCCGCCCGCCTCGGCCTCCCACAGTACTGGGATTAAAGGTGTGAACCACCATGCCTAGCATACATAACCGTTTTAAAACCCTGGCTTTGGATCAGAATCACCTGTAAAGCTTATTGAACATACACATAGTAAGTAGGGATGAAGAAAGAGCTGACATGAGTTAAGCACTTCTATGCTAGGGACTATTCTAAATGTTTTAGTTTTATTGATTATTAGTATCATCATTTTACAGATAAGAAAAATGCACCAAAGGGTTATGTAATTTGCTCAAGGGTACATCACTAAGAAGTGATGGAGGCCCTCCAAAGCCTGTGGTCTTAACTCTACTACATACGGTCCCATGCTGTTCTACATTCAGTCTAGAGGTTCTAGTAACTCACAGAAGCAATGATTCACTGTGTCTTGAGCGACATCCTGATGTTTGTATTTTCTATATGACCCACAGCTGATTATAGTGTACATTGCCATTCTATATGACACCACTGTCAGCTTTCTTAAAAACCGAGTAAGTGGTAATAAATATTGACTTAATTTAAATATACTATCCTTCAAAAACTTTTTTTTAAAATTAAACTTTAAGTTCTGGGTTACACATACAGAATGTGCAGTTTTGTTACATAGGTATACACGTGTCATGGTGGTTTGCAGCATCCATCAACCCGTCTTTTGTTGAGGATCTAAGCATGGTCATTCAAAACAAAAATCATTTGTACCTGGCTATATATTTGGTGAAATAATAATGCAGACTCAAGGTCTGGTCTTTATTGTTGTATTTGATGAAGTTTCTAATAATTCTCAAAAAGGTTAACTAAATCCTAAAGCAGTTTTAATAACTAATTTCATACTTTTAAGAATCCAGTGCTTCCAGACTATTCTGCAGAAACCATTTAGAAGAAATTGTCACTGAGTTATGCATTTAGAGGGTAAGATGAAATAACAAACAATAATTTTTAAAAAATGAAATTTAAAATGCAATTTGCTGAGGCGGGCGGATCATGAGGTCAGGAGTTTGAGACCAGCCTGGCCAACATGGTGCAACCCCATCTCTACTAAAAATACAAGAAATTAGTTGGGCATGGTGACAGGTGTCTATAATCCCACCTACTCAAGAGACTGAGACAGGAGAATCCCTTGAACCCAGGAGGTGGAGGTTGCAATGAGCTGAGACCATGCCACTGCACTCCAGCCTGGGTAACAGAGCAAGACTCTGTCTCAAAAAAAAAAAAAAAAAAAAAAAAAAAAAACTCAGTGTGCCGGCCATGAAAAACTGCTAGATTTGCTTGAAATTGAGGTCTGTGGATTAAGAACACAACTTTCATTTATTCAGCAACAATTGGAAAGTGCATGTGTTTCCATGGAGATAAGTAAGCCATTTCCTTTCCCACATTAGAAGCACAGGCCTTTCTACCAAGTCTGATTTCCATCCCTTCACCCATGAGTTTGGTAAGGTTGGGAAGTTTGATCCTAGGATCTGGCATGGCTCCAGGCAGAACAATAAAAAAAGACATAAATCCTGGGGAAAAGAGGTTAACACCGGTGGGAGGTGTGAAGGTGGAGAGTTGAAATATGGCTACCACTGCACATCTGCAGCATACAGAGCATGCTGAAGTAGAAAGAGCACATCTTAAAGAAAATGTGTGTACAACCAATGGTATTCATAGCACACATGTCAACATGTGTGCTGCTACTAAGGGATCATAGCCCAGTGGCATTCCTGGACTATTGTAGATAATTCCTCATCCTCAATTTTATTCTTTCAAGGTGTTATTTACTCAGTTACTCATTGATTGTTTTGTTCATTCCTTTAGCAACCATTTACTAAGGGCATGCTAAATGCAAGCAATCACATTAGATTATAGGGTAGAGTAGGGAGTGTGAAGAAGATCCAAAATTGTGTGGGACATGAACCTTACTATGAAGTAGAGAAGCAAAATAAGGCATGCCCAGAAAGAACCATCATATGAGACAGATATTTATAAATGCTAGAAGATTTCAGGTAAAGTGCTCTGAAAATGGGTATGGCTTCATATTTCGTTTTTAAATCGAATACAAATAATTCACATGGATAGAAACATTTATTCTATGTTTATTCCATCCTCACAAAAAAGAGTGATTGACTTGTAAAATTAATTGGCATCCAAAGTGGAATTGCCAAGGACTGAGTTTCCAGAATACTGAAAATGTTAATTAGGATGATTAACTGGCATTGGGATCATTTGCACTAATTAGCACCTCCCAGAATCTGAACTACCAACTGCAGACTCCAGCTTCTTACTCTGCCATGCCAATATATGAACAACCTGTTAGGCACCTGCTTAGAGTTACCATGATTGACTATGCCAACACAAGGGAAAGGAAGTGGAAAATAGACTAGATTTTTAGATAAAGATATATGTGTGTATTACATATATATTTATATTTTTTCCAGATATATTGTTTCTTGAATTATTTAGAATTTAAAGAATCAACAATCAATTTTTTTTTTTTGAGATGGAGTTTTGCTCTTGTCACCCAGGCTGGAGTGCAATGGCACCATCTCCTGTCACTGCAACCTCTGCCTCTTGGGTTCAAGCGATTCTCCAGCCTCAGCCTCCCAAGTAGCTGGGATTACAGGCACCCTCCACTAAGCCCAGCTAATTTTTTTTGTTTGTTTGTTTTTTAGTAGAGATGAGGTTTCCCCATGTTGGCCAGGCTGGTCTCGAATCCCTGACCTCAGGTGATCCACACACCTTGGCCTCCCAAACTGCTGGAATTTCAGGCATGAGCCACTGCGCTCAGCCAACAACCAATTTTTAAATGATCACTTCATTTAATATAGCTTCCTTCAGGTTTCTAGTCTCCCTAGTCCCAGATTTCATCAAATAACATTAAAATCGAAGAAGCTAAAGCAGTGTCTTTTTTCTTTTCTTTTCTTTTTGTTTCTTTTCCTTTTTTCCTTTTTCGCATTCCTTTTCTTTCCCTCCTCTCTTTTGTACCTTCAGGACTATTGCTAATGAGAGGACTTGGAACTTTTGAATAAAGGACTGACGTGAATTAATCCACTAATGGGGAGGGGGATTGCATTTAGTTTTTAATTATACCACCAAATATTCTAAATCTCCAAATTTAGAAACTCCCAGAATTATTGATAAAAGATAAATTTTATCTGCACCATCACTTATATTTTCCAACTGAATCAGAGTTACTGCTCAGGGTTAGTATAGGCCACTGGGATTGCAGCTATGAACCAAGAGATGTTCAGAGCCGCTGAGGGAGCCTTTCGAAAGGGTTATCAAATAGAGCGAAGTTCCTCTATTTACAGCTCTTTGCTTATCTTTATAGCATACTCATTTTCTAATTTGTTGCTTGTATGATGTCAGAGATTGAGACTAGGGCTAGTTCATTTTGAGATGTGATCCTAAGATACCTGAAGGAGAGGCAGGGATGAATAAAGGGGAAAGAGAGGAAGCTGATTCCTACTGGACCAACTGGAGCTTGATCTCTTGAGGTGGCCCTCTAAGCAGCTGCGTAGAATGGGATCAAAACCTGAGCGACAGAAGAAAGGAATGTCTCTGTTGATTCCCTTCTCCCATTTGTGGAGTTGTCATATGGGGTGTTCACTTGCATATCCTGGTTTCTGCCTGTGTCACCATGGCTGAGCACATTGCTCAGACATCTCACAGTGCACAGAGGAGAAATCCTAGGGAAGAAAATGAAGCTTAGTTGATGCAGGTACAAGGACATCTGCAGATAACTGGCTCCATAAGGCTGGAGTAAAACAGTAGGCCAAGAGGGCATGAAGCCGAGCATAAGAGGTACTGCAACACCCACAGCTATCTCCATTGGCACGATGAAGATTTTCCAAGGGCCATGGCAAGTCTCATTCATCTCTGTGTATTTTTCACGATCCTTGCCCAATGTTTTGCATGTAGGAAGTGTTCAAAATACATTTATTCAATTGAATTGTTCCTCTGACATTCTGGGGAAATGCTGGGTTTGTCCCTCACTGTGTCTTGTTATGCCCGCATGTTATTTTAACATATTTGTCCACATTTCATTAATTTATTCATCCATCTGAAACTTACTGAATCTATGAGAAAGGAACAGTTGTTCGCAGATGTCCTGGTACCTGCATCAACTAACCTTGGAACACATTGGGATCACAAAACAATAAGAAAGGGTGTTTATTCTCAAAATTACATAAAACGGAAAGGCACATACTTAAACAAGTCTTATCCAAAATAATTAACTAAACTGATACATGCTACTGAGCATATGAAACCTCGTGTGGGGTTAATGAACAATTGTACATATCAGGTATCATTAAGGCTGAGCCCTGAAAGCTCAATAGAGGTTGCTCTAGTTCCAATGCAGATTCAGCATAAAACCATAAACCAGCTCCCTTCTCTCGATTTTATGGGACAAAAATTAAGCTTAGTTTCTAGAAAAGAAACACAGACCCTGGGATGCCTTTGTGAATACATATTGCTGCTGCAGGATACATTTCTGTAGATTTTTTTTCAAAGTATGACAGGATTCACTCATGAGATATTAAATTTTGTTTCTTTTTGTTGTAGCAGATTTGAAAGGACAAAAAATGTAATATTTTTCCTTTTCCCCATGGGTCTGAATGCTAAGTCTTTATATTCTTGTTTGAATATCTTGACTCACTCCTGGGGATTTTAACTCTTGTTTATTTCAATAACAGAAGTGAGCAGGCACCTGGAACATATCCTCAGGCCCAGGATTCTCTTTGGAGCTGAGGATAACTGAGCTGGATCCATCTGGGTTGGTCACTAAGAGAGCAGGCATGAGGCTGGTGCTGGAGGTGACTTAGCCCAGGTTGCAGACCCCAAAATGAGGAGGAACAGGATGGCCAGTTATGTAAGTGGTAGAGACATGTCTACTGCACTCCTTCTATGCAGTATCTTGAAAACTGGGAGGATTTCTAATAAAGTTGCCTGTGAACCCTGGGGTCCGCAAGTACAGCCCACTTTGGATTTTGTTTCTCAAAGATTCCCATGATGGACCCAGACTGCTGGTCCTTTCCCATAGTTTTTTCTGCACTATGGATCACTCCAGGACTTTTATACTACCCTAGAGAGGTAACAGGGCTCCTCTATGGTGACCGGTACCATTTACTTTCTATCCTGTTAAGAGGAGCTTGAAGGAGAGATAATTTCATATGGAAAAATCAGAAAAGGCCATTTCTGCCACTTGAGGGCTGTAGAGCAAATTCAAACCTTCTACATTAGAACTGAACCATGAAGTCCATTTTGTTTTTGGCTCTGTTAATCAAAGTTGTACTTTTCTTCATCATTTTACAGCCAACCCTTGAACAACGCTGGTTTGAATTGAACAAGTCAACTTATCTGTGGATTTTTTTTTTCCAGTGAATACAGTCGGCCCTCCCTATCCATGGGTTCTGCCTCTGCAACCAACATGGATGGAAAAATACAGTATTCACTGGATACAAAACCCACAGATATGACTTTTGCTAGAACCAACTGTGGAACTTGAGTATGCAGGGTCCTGGAAACAATTCCCTGAGGATACGGAGAGAGACTGTATTAAGATATGGATTATTTACCATTCATTCTCCCAAAGCGACAGTAATTAGAAGCACCTGATCATGTTGATTACACCAATAAGCAGAGGAAAATAACCAACTCCTCTTCCTAACATCTATTTGTTACTTCCTGTGCGTGGGAAGTCAGAAGGGAAAGAGTCTTACTATGGACATCATCACCATTTCATCTTCATTGTGCCTAGTACAGTTCCTTGCATGTAGCACCATTCAACAGTTGTTTATTAAATGTAGAACGAATCAGTTTATGGAACTAATTGACACTGACAAACGGAAACATGTTTCATTATCTTTGAGGAAAGAAAACACCAACTTCCCCTGACTGTAACTCACAGTCGCTTTCTACTTTCCTTCTTCCTGCCTCATGCAAGGTAGATCCTCAGAAAAGTAAAGCCTGAACGTGGGTATGTACCCTTTATTTCCAGGAAGAAACAGGTGAAAAAGGTGAAAGGAAAGGAGAAAAAAGACAAAGAAGAAGAAAATAGGCTGAACCAGGAGTGGAGATAGCTTCTGGGAGCTGGCTTTTTCTATCCCAAATGGACTAATAACAACACAAGCGATAGCTTTCTTGAACCCTTATTGAGCCAGAATTTGTTTTAAAATCTTTATATTATTAACTCACTAACTTCTGACAGCAACCCTTTGAGGTATGTAATATTTTTATCCCCCATCTGACAGATGAAAAAACTGAGCCACAGAGAAGTTGGACACCTCGTTCATGACTACACCATTAGAAAGATTTCATACTGGGATACGTGAAATCAAATATGGCACTATTGTCCATGCTCGTAACACCACATTACACTGTCTCTGCAAAGCAGCACTGTCATTCGGTTCATCAGATGCATAGTTTGTGCTGGTCACATTACCTATGCCTATTCTATTTAGTCATACCTATTTTATTTAGTCATCAAAACAATGCTTTGAAATAGTTTTATTATTCCTATTTCAATGATGGGGACGTTGAGGCTCAGAAAAAGGATGTGCGTTCTCTATGATTTTCCCCTCTTGTAAGTGGCACACTGGAATTCAAGCTCAGGCTGTCTTATGTCCAAACCCCTGTTCTTTCTCTGTGCCCCAGTGCCTCTTTATGAAAGTACAGCAAAATGCCTTCTAATCTATATCTATGGGAAGAACTAAAGATCCCCACTACGGCAGTTCAGCTTGCAGTGTTTTAGCTCAAAGTGAGGAATCTTTGGGAGTTTTGTTTCTGACTGCCTTTTGGTTCTAGATTTCTGAGAAGTAGACTTATCTCCCTCTTATTGTCTACCATGCATCACCAACCACAATTATCTTGAGTTCATGTAGTCATTCAACTTATTTCCAATATGGGGGGTTAAAATGTATCACTGTTAACTTTTATATGCAAGCATTTATATTATGGTCATCTGTTAGAAAAACAAGACAAAATTCTTCTTTAGCCCAAGACTGATTCAGAAGATAGGACTTCTGAGTAAAATAGTAAGATTTTTAAAAATTTAAGTATTAAAAAAAGTAAGTCTACATTCACACATTTACAGATTACCATTGTACTTTAAATGTTCTTCTCCTTAAAAGCAAATGTGATAAATGGTTTCATTATTATTCCAGTTTAGAAATAGGCATCTACAGAAATCACATTTTAATATATTCCAGATTAGACTGCATGCTATATTTGTAATAAGGACTTGTTTCCAACATTAGTTGGCAGATCACGCATATGAACAATTATCCAAATAGCTATTAGGATATGATTGCACTCATTTCCAGGCAAAGCAAGGTTGCCAGAACGAAGCCTGGCTGCTGGTTGGATTTTGGTTTGACTTTTGGAGAAAGCCACAAGAATTTGTCAGTCATCTTGGCTGTAAGGGAGTCTCCCTGTCTTGAGGCTAGTCTCCTTCCTACTTGAAAATTAGGCAAATGTGTTTCTCTTTTGTTTTATTTTTACAGTTTTACATGATCTAAGAAAAAACAAAGGAAAGGAAAGAGAGGAAAAGAGAGGAGGGCTAGTCTTGCACAGGAAAGTAAAATGAAACATCAAGATAGCAAAGAAGTGAAAGGCTTAAATTCATGGTGTTCTAGGGAAGTGTGGGTACAATGAACACACCTCCATAGCTATGCATAGAGCGTTTTGTGGATATGCTCCATAGTTATATCTCTGCAGAGAGGTCCACGCTTAGCGGAATTTGTAGAATGGATGCCAAAAAGAAATGGTGTTTATAGAAATGGAGAATCAAACTTTTTCCTGTTGCCCATTCATTATGCTGTGCATAGTTTGGCAGTTGGGGACCCTGCTAGTTAATCTGGTCCAACACTTTAACCTGAGAACAGTGACTCCCTTAGACGAGGTGAAGAAAAGCTCCCTTTGTGCTAAGGTCTAGGGCTGGTGGAAAGATTATTTAGAAAGCCCATGTGCTGCATAGGAGTGGGGTGATCCCTCCCACAGCTGCATGATGATGGAGGTTTATGACAGATCTCAGATTCCACTCATCAACCACCAAAACCACTGTCCCTGCCCCAGCTGGAAAGGTCACTGTTCTTCAGACTTGGGGATAGGGAAAGGCTAAAAGGGCAGAGCAAAAACATTTTTTTCTTTTGATTTAAATTTATCGAAGTCCATCTTGCTGATGACATCTCCAGTGTACTTTTGATAGTTTGAGTCTGGAAAAGCATGTTATCTGAAAGAATCATCTTTAATGAAAAGGAAATACCATGCACTCAGAGAGGGTTTTTTTTCCCTAACATAAATGAAATGAGGTCATTTTGCTTTGCATAGAATCTAAGGGTCTCCAATAGCCTTCTAGTTGAGACTTTTGCTTCCAGAGACGATTATCAAAGTTAAAATATGTAACATGGTTGATCAATAGTGAATTTTGTATTCCATTTTGTATGATTTCTGCTAATGCCCTACCTGTCCAGACATTGGAATTTAGAGTGTCAACAGAAGGAAGCCAAGGGATCCTCCCAGACCATTCAATAAATGTCAGATGAAAATAACTATAAACTTATATTCTAACTGTATATTTTCATCTAGCATTTATTGAATACTTACCATGTGCTCAAGTACTAAGTTTTACGAACAAATTATCTCTTTTAGTGCTCACAGTGATACGTTTTGGAAAGCAGGATGATCATCTCCCTTATATAGATAGGGAAATATGGTATCAGAGAGGTTCAATAGCTTGTCTAAGTGCATAAGGAGATTATGGATGATCTGGAAGCACACTTAGGCATAGAAACACCTAGTTCAGAGCTATTTAGGCTTCTCATAGTTTAATAATGTGGAATGATGTACACTTTGAGGAAAATTGAATATACATTATCCTGTAAGAATCTCAAAGTAATTGGTTTGGATATACATCATAGAAAGCAGCACCATGACTAAATGGAGACCCTCTGGCTCGAAAATTGAAATGCCCAATTTTGTTACTCTACTATAAATGTTGTAGCCATCTTCCTTCATGACCAGAATATAAGAACATAGGTAAGGATTCCAGAGTGGTTTGAAAAATAGTAATCGCCTCAAAAGGCTTTGGTTCATTTTGTGAAGAGGCAGCTAAGGCCAGAGGTTTTCTCTCTTGTTTCCCTGGAAGAATGAGATGAGAGATAGTGAGAAAACAAAATTATTAGAGGAAAACATTAACTTCAAGGAAAAAAAAAAGTCATGTGGTGGATATCCTCCGAGTGAAACTATATTGAATTTTTTTCTTTCTTTTACGTCTCTTGCTTCCCAAACACCATGAAGTTCCCAGTATTTATATTTTCTTACAAAAATATAAAACCATCTAATAAAATCTTTATAAATAAAATATTTTGAAAAAAGTTATATAAAATTAGCAAAATTAGGCTTTCATGACAAGCTTGTCTTAAAAAAAAAAAAGAAAATCTCACCCCAAAGCTCCTTTGCGGCAATAAATGTTTAAGACAGAAGACATAATAAATCCCTGAGCCCTAACTCTTTTATAGGATTACATCAAATGTTACCAATCATTACATTTCTCTAGAATCTTTTTATTTTTTTCTTTCAAAAATTTTAACCTTGGCATGGCATTATCTACATTTTCACTGTCAACTAGAGGAAAGGCATTGTGTTCTGCCTGCCCCATGCCCCATTCTTCGCTGACATTTGAAAAATCTCATAGTCATAGGAAGCTTATGTGACTCTCAAGGTCAAAGATATAATCAGCTATAAAGAGAATACACCCTCCTGTTTTATATAAATTCTTCTTAAAATCTGCAATTGCCTGGGGTATAATGATATTCAGCCTGCACTTTCCTTTCTGCTTTGTAACTACTGCTGAAATTAAACTTGGAAAATAGAGGGAAAAGATTGATATTGTCAGTCATTGGGGTTTGCTTTTGACATTCCTCAAATAATGGGATGTATACAGTTATGCAGAAAACAGATTGATTTTTCACAATTTTCCCACAGAGGTAATGGGGAACAGACTGGAGGAAATTCCATGGTTTCATTGGGGGAACTATTTGCAACACAACTGAAGAAGAAAACAAACTCAAACCATCTTTTTGTGCAATTTTCCTTTCAATATTTTTAAGTAATAAATTTGTTAACCAATTTGTTTTTATTCCTGTGAGTTTCAGGAATTTGGGAAAATGCTCAGTTTTGTAAAAAGGTTACAGAAAGTCTGCCAGTTGGGTGAATCGCAGGTGATAACAGTTAAAACAATGGTGATGGCGAAGGAATTTGCATAATGATTTTCTTCTAAAGATTTATGATTTATATTTTAGAATTTCCTTTCCCCCCCGCCCCCGCAATTTCTCTCTTCTCTGCCTCCCTACATCTCAGCAGAGGCTAATTAATAATATCAATATATTACTGACATTGAAATAGAGCCAGAGGCCGGGCGTGGTGGCTCACGCCTGTAATCCCAGCACTTTGGGAGGCTGAGGCAGGCGGATCACAAGGTCAGGAGTTTGAGACCATCCTGGCTAACACGGTGAAACCCCTTCTCTACTAAAAATACAAAAAGATTAGCCGGGCATGGTGGCAGACGCCTGTAGTCCCAGCTACTCAGGAGGCTGAGGCAGGAGAATGACGTGAACCTGGGAGGCGGAGCTTGCAGTGAGCCGAGATCGTGCCACTGCACTCCAGCCTGGGCGACAGAGTGAGGCTCTGTCTCAAAAAAAAAAAAAAAAAAACCAGAAATATTGGGGTGTATGCCTAATATCACACTATTGGTAGTGACAATGCTAGAATCCCTTCTATTTCAACTTACACAGGCTTTTATTGGTACTAAAGAATGGAATGTACCCATTAATTCAATTTCCTATTTCTTTGAAATATCCCCGTCAACTCAGTTGGTTTAGAGCATGGTGCTAATGCAGCCAAGGTTACTGGCTTGACCTCTAAATGGCATCTTCAGCTTTGCATTTACAAAGCTTCATTTTTTTTCTAACTCCAGAAAATCAACTTGCCCAATTTCTTTTGTGATCTGGGTATGGATGGTTCATAGAAAATCAATTTTCACCACTGAAAAAACGAATTCATAGAAACAATGTCACTAAAATAATCAGCCAAAATTAATGAGTCTGCTTTCTTTTTTAAATTAACAAACTTTCTTTTTTTCCCACTGAGTAGCTCTGTCTGTATCTCTTATTTCTAGTACAGGAAGAGAATTGTACCTCATTGCCCCAGATCTCTGGGGCTTAGCCTAGCAGAACCAAGAAATCTCAATAAAGAGGTAGTTGTAAAGGTACTGTGTAAATGTAGTTCTGGGCTACCCACAATTTCTAGTTTCAGACTGGGGTGGTCCTCACCATAAGCCCTGCAAAGATTGGGAGCTGAAGATTCCAAAAAATATGAACAACAGAACCTGGTTCATGTGTAGACATCGCCCCATTACAAATTATGAGTCTCATCTTGAATGCACACTTCCCATTTCAGCATCCTGTCTCTCCAAGTGCGTTGGCTTTTCCCAAGGCATGAAAAGTCTTCACATCATTTGTGGCCTCGAAAGAATTCCAAAGATTTCCACAAGTCAGGTACTCCCAGGTATGCTGTCCCATACTCTGAACTAGAAACATACCTGGAAGAAGGTTGGAGTCACAATGACCTATTTACAATGAGCTTGTGATTAACTGTCCATAGAGAAAGTAGTGTAAATACATTATTGAGAAATCATTGGTCAGTCTATGAGACATCTAGAGAAGGGAGTTAGAAGGCGATGCTCTGAGTCATATAAACTAATTAGGAAGTGGCCTCCTTTAAAAAAATCTGCTAATTCCTCCACCAACTAATTGTGGAGATATTGTCGCACTTAGAGCTCCTCTTAGAACTTCCTGCTTCTGATTTGGACATATCCTTCTCTTCGTCTTGGCAAAACCTACTTGGATAACATTTTCTCATGGGGCTGTACTCAGCCAGCTTTCATCTTGGCAACTCATTGAAATGCTCAGCTAGCAACTGTGTTTTCCTCCTAAGTGAATCCATTTTAAGTTGAACTTTCTAGAGAAAACAAAGGATTTTTAAAAAACCAACAAATTATCAATGGATAGAAATTTAGAGTCTCAGCAAACTATCACAAGGGCAGAAAACCAAACACCGCATGTTCTCACTCATAGGTGGGAGTTGAACAGTGAGAACACATGGGCACAGGGAGGGGAACATCACACACCAGCGCCTGTTGGGAGGTGGGGGACTGGGGGAGGGATAGCATTAGGAGAAATACCTAATATAAATGACGAGTTGATGGGTGCAGCAAATCAACATGGCACATGTATACCTATGTAACAAACCTGCACGTTGTGCACATGTACCCCAGAACTTAAAGTATAATAAAAAAAAATTTAAAAAAAGAACTCAGATTAGAGAATATATGTTAAAGGTGGAAGAATCTTTATGGGGAGGACCCTGTTTTTTTTGAGACAGAGTCTCGCTCTGTCACCAGGCTGGAGTGCAGTGGCCCGATCTTGGCTCACTGCAAATTCTGCCTCCCGGGTTCAAGAGATTCTCCTGCCTCAGCCTCCTGAGTAGCTGTGATGACAGGCGCATGCCACCATGCCCAGCTAATTTTTGTGTTTTTAGTAGAGATGGGGTTTCACCATGTTGGCCAGGACGGTCTTGATCTCTTGATCTCCTGATCCACCCACCTTGGCCTCCCAATGTGCTGGGATTACAGGCACGAGCCACCATGCCCTGCCAGAAAGGACTCTTGAATTCAGATCATACCAGGTGAAATCGATGTTGTCTTCTACAATTATTCATAAAGCAAGTTCTGTCCACAAACATGCTTGAATTTAAGAAGTTGTTTTAAGGTTGAGCACTTTTGAGGGAAAAGTAACTGTTGGCTCTGAGGTCCCTAGGTAGATTGCTCTTCACAATATTTGAAGATAGTTTCAGAAGGGGTTTAGGTTCAGACCTGCTTCTTCTGCTTAGAAAACGTCCCCAATATCTTATTCCTAGAGCAGACATGGATTGTCTAGTTTTTCTGTTGCTTTGCTGGCAAGTCAGCCAAGTGAGTACATTATTTCATAGTAAAATAAACTTTCCCTTTTTTGTTCCATGGGAAATTACTCAGTTTTTAGTACAGACGTGTCACCCTCACATTTCTCTGAGATTTGCTTCCCTTTATAATTGTGGATCCTGCCTTGTTTAACAGTGATCAAAAGTTACAGAGGCCTGGTTTTTATTTCTCTTCTTTTGTTACTTCCTAATCTCCAATTTCATTTATTTCCCTTCTCCCCTTCCCGTCTGTCCAAAGCCCACTAACTGTAGTGACTTAGAGTTTTACTCACATAGATGCACCAGGAATGGGTTTGGTGAATGAGATACTTACTCTGTTTTATTGGATTTACTTTTCCATGAAAAATAGAAATGATCATTTATCCAGTTGTAGAAACACCCTTTTTTTTGTAGCCTTCAGGAAAACCAAACAACCATTTTGGTATTTTCCCATTTTGAAGGCATGTCAAACTTGCAAGTGACCAGTGCCACAGAAAATTACCTCTAGCGAATCTCTGCCCTTGTACTTCACAGTTCCATAGACAGAAAGAAAAAGATAAACTGAATTCTTAAAGAACTACCTTGGATGTTTCTTGTAGGTGCTCCGTCATTATTTGCTGTTTTTAATTCTTGTGGTGGTTGAATAAAATGCCCTGCTTTAGATGTTTGATTAATATTTCTCCTTTAGAAAACTGCTTTATGCTTAAGATTTTATACAGATGATGCTATTGACTGTCTCCTTTTTTTTTTTCTGGATGAGTCTCGCTCTTGTCCATGCTGGAGTCCAGTAGTGCGATCTCAGCTCACTGCAACCTCCACCTCCTGGGTTCAAGCGATTCTCCTGCCTCAGCCTCCTGAGTAGCTGGGACTACAGGTGCCCGCTATCGTGCCTGGCTAATTTTTGTATTTTTAGTAGATAATCCACCATGTTGGCCAGGCTGGTCTTGAACTCCTGACCTCAGGTGATCTGCCCATCTCGGCCTCCCAAAGTGCTGGGATTACAGGCGTGAGCCACTGCGCCTGGCCAACTGTCCCATTTTTAAAGCATGTGATGGTCATAAAAAAGAGCAAGTCAATGGCTTGTTAAAAATATTGATAGGTGCAGCAAAACACCATGGCACATGTATAAATATGTAACAAACCTGCATGTTCTGCATATGTATCCCAGAACTTAAAGTAAAATAAAAAATATGTATATATCTCTACATTTACCCATTAAAAAATAATATTAAAACAAACAAAAGCCAAAGCAATAGATTAGTAATACCTGGGTGCCCAGCTAGTTTAGATAGCTAGAGGCATACACTAATTGAAGCAAGTTTTGGGGTCAATGTCCCCACAAAGCAGTTAAATTTAATCTATTCTACTAACACAGTAGATGAGCATTACTCTGAAAATCCATCTTGCTTATACCTGTTATTAATCATTAGAAGTAGTGGTAAGTTTAACTAAATGCTGCAAACCATGCCCCACTATGCCAAATCAAAAAGTAATTCCAATTATGTAGCCTAATGATGATGAATGCAAAGTATCACTGTTGCATGTGAAATAAGCATACTGTCAAATAGGTTTCACAGTTTAAATACCTGTGGTATGCAATTTCAGAATGCATCAATGTTTCATTGCAAGCCCGTGAAAGAGTGGTTCAAAGACAATGTCTTTCATGTATGACTGGTAGATTTAATTGCATTGACTCATAGATATGAAAGCCCCTTTCTGTATGCTGAATATATGTGCTTAATTAATGCTAAAGAGAGATAACAATCCAACACCGTGCTTATGGAGCATGCTGGACTTTCTAATTAACTTACTGGAACACTCAAGAAAGTTAAAAACACAGGGCCTGGCACAGTGGCTCATGCCTGTAATGCCAGCACCTTGGGAGGCTGAGGTGGGTAGATGACGAGGTCAGCAGTTTGAGACCAGCCTGACCAATATGGCGAAACCCCATCTCTACTAAAGATACAAAAAAATTAGATGGGCATGGTGGCAGGTGCCTGTAATCCCAGCGACTTGGGAGGCTGAGGCAGGAGAATTGCTTGAAACTGGAAGGCAGAAGTTGCAGTGAGCCGAGGTTGTGCCACTGCACTCTAGCCTGGGCAATAAGAGCAAAACTCGGTCTCAAAAGAAAAAAAAAAAAAAGAAAAAAACATACAAATGATCTACCATCGTAGGCAAACTTGTTAAAGGAAATGTATAAATGTATTTTGGAGGAATGGCTGCGTTGGGCCTCCCTCTGTGAAGATTGTTTGAGTAGTTGGAAAAGTATGACAGAACTATACTGAACAAGAGACAAACCTGTTTGGAAAAAGAGGAGCCCAGAAGTGTTACTATATCCTCCTCAACACCAGGAGTTTTCAAACTTCCTTCATTTCTTATGAGCTGTGGAAACCCTGCCCTTAGGAAGGCAAATACAGCCCGAGTTCCCATCCCAGCTCTTCGCTAGCTGTATCTTACTAAATGACTAAGTATCTCTTGTTGCCATTTGCAAAATGGAGAGGATGACAGCAATGCCTATAACACAGGGGTTCTGTGCTTTCCAAAGAGATATCATACTTGAATTACTTAGTATAGTGTCATCTACACAGGTGCTCAATAAATATAAATAATTAGAATTAAAAATAGAACTACACATGATTCAGGAATCCCACTACTCAGTGTATATTCAAAAGAAATGAAGTCAGTATGTAGAAGAGATATCTGAACCCTCATGTTTGTTGCAGCACTATTCACAGTAGCCAAGATATGGAATCAATGTGTGTCCATCAACAGATGAATGGGTTTAAGAAATGTGGTATATATACAAAATGGAGTACTATTCAGCCATAAAAATGAAGGAAATTCTGTCATTTGTGACAACATGGTTGAACCTGGAGAACATTATGTTAAGTGAAGTAAGCCAGGCACAGAAAAGCCAATACCATGTGATCTCACTCATGTGTGGAATCTAAAACAGTTGATGTTATAGAAGGAAAGAGTAGACTGGAAGTGACCAGAGACTGGGGTGGTTGAGAGCAGTGGTTGAGGAAATGTTTGTGAAAAAATAGGAAATTACAAAATTAGGCAGAAAAAAATAAGTTCAAGAGATCTATTATACAGCATGATAACTACAGCTAATGGCAATCAATATTCTTGAAAAATGCTAAGAGAATGAATGTTACGTGTTCTGACTACAAAAATGGTGACTATGTGAAGTAATATATATGTTAACTAACTAGGTTTACCCATTTCACACTGTATGTATACTTCAAAACATCATGTTGTACACAACAAATACATATTTTTTTCTGTCAATAAATAATATTTTTTGAAGAATGGAATGAAAATAAACAACAAGTATAGATTGTGAACATGACAACAATCCACAAGATTCAGCTAGAATTTATTAAATAATGGTACGTTCCCTGTCTTATCTTCAGGCAACATTATTGCCTTCAAAAAAAAAAACCAAGAATACTAAATGCCAAAATAAAAAATAAAAGATTATTTATGAAGCTTATCACGGCCTGGCAAGTTTCCATACTGTAGCTAATGAGGACATAAGTAAGTAATTCATTATCCTGCTTGTTAAGTGTGAAATGTTTACCATTTTAATTTGGTTAGTTCTTCCTTTGGTCCAGTGGCTCCGCAAATTAATGAGTGCTGCCACTGGTTGTAACTTGTGTCCACCAACTGAATGAAGGTAAATCATTCATTAAGGTATGAGAATAAAACAGATGATGAGTTGATATGGCATCCCTTACTGGCTTCAGAAGCTGAGTGTTGGCAGTTAATAGAGGAAATTTAAAAAGTGTATAGGATCAACTTTTAGAATGTTCAATTAATTAAAATAATACACTGTAAAGCTCAACATCATTCTTGGCACAGACTGAACACCTAACAAATAGATATCATCATCATCATCAATATCATCTCTATGGCTGTCATCATTCAACTGTACCCCACCTGAGTCAAATAGTGTTTTCTTCCCAACAATCCAGAATTCCAAGTTATGTCTATTCAAAAAAAAAAAATGAATGAAGCCTATTTATATGACACTCACACAAATAGACAAGCCATTTCATGACTAGTGTGGCTAAAATCTTTTTTGGACAAATAAACACTGATTTCACATAGAATTTCAAGTTTTGATAAGATTTTAAAAATGTTTTCTAAGACACCAGTGAACTTCATTATATCTCATTATCTTTCTGAATTTCCACACTACATATTTTACAATGAATAAAGTGAGAGCTTGGGATGGCTTTCCTGAAGCAGGATGGAAGAGGTATAGAAAAATGAGGAAATGAATCCAGGGTTGTCAGGTCTGAGGTGTGGTTTGACTCCTGTTCTGCCAGTCTCTGATACTTTGGGGGGATTTCTGAAGAGCCAGAGATGATGATGGTGTAGTGAGGATCTGAAGAGATAGATGATTAATTGATAGATAGATAGATAGATAGATAGATAGATAGATAGATACATACATACATACATACATACATACATGAACAGATAGACAAACAGACCGACAATAGGTAGACCAAAAGATAGAGATAAGTAGATAGAAAGACATAGACTTAGATATATTTATAGAATATCTGCAGTGTCCATTTTATTTTCCTATTGTAGCTCCAGCTAATGCATGAAACTAGCACTTGACAGGTAGAAAAATGAGATAAAACTATCTTAGCACACCAGAAAAGAAAGTTGCTGCTACATTTTGCAATCAGGTGACCGCCAAAATATCTCAAAGACTGAGAACCCAGAGAAGAGTGTGATGTTTTCATTCTTATGGCACCTTACATTAAGTTCTTAGTCGGATATGCTTTAAACTAAAACAGGAGTAATGTTAGTGGTTATCTATATTCACTGTGCACTGAAAACTGTTAAACAAACTGGGTGAGATTTCTTGGCTTGAGGTTGGTGTCATTTCTCCAAGTCCAAGCTTTATTTCCAGAGGCTCGTGGTTTTGAATCCCGGTCTAGAGTTGGCATTCCAATTTACCCTCGGCCTGCCACAGCTAGATTGAATTTGCTGTTTCTGGACTCAAGTGCTGAACAAGATCCTGGTGCCTCAGGTAGGGGATGTTTGACAAGAGAGGAAGAAAACTCTGTCTGCAGTCGGCTTTGCTCAGAGAGTGGAATCACCCGTTAATATGTGGTGGAACTACAGTGCAGGCATTGAACTCCTGTATGTGACATATTAATGCACGAGTGTTTAATTTCTTCTATGGAAAAGTAAAGTATATTTCCTTCCATAAGTTTGTCCAAATAGAGCAGATATAAAGTACTAATGGTAAGGTCATAGAATTAGCCCTCCTACATTTCTGGCACCTTGGCAATTTACATTGCTCATGGTTTCCAGTAGATTCCTGAAAACACCCTCTTAGTCAATTTTACATAAATGATGACAGAATAATCATAAATGTAAATTAGGAACAGCATCACAGTCCTTCAAAGGGTAAACATTTAAAAGGTAACTAGTATATAACAGATATTTTAAAAACAATCTGCTCTCAGTGGATTATAAAATAAACCGTGGGGGAAATACTATAGTGAGTGCAGACTGACATATCTCTTCCCCAAATCATTTGCAAAATTAGGTTTGAAATCTTCTGCTTCCTCCTTTGTTTGCTGTCTGCCAAACAATGCCTTCATCCCTATTTTGCCCAGTCTAACTCAATGAAACTCTACAAGATTTTCTTGAACCTCTCTCCATGCCCAAACATTCTTAATATGGGTAGTTGCTACAAATCTCCCCACTAGTGTTCAGTGTTTTTAATTTGATTTTATCCAAGATAAGATTCAACTATGCCTCTCCCCATCCTCTCTGCCCACCCTGGTGAACTTTGCATAAAAACTTTCATGTATTTTGTAGTGTGAATATGAGATATGGGAGCAGGTTTTTGATGGTGTGGAGTAGAGGAGAAGGGTCAGAATGGAAGGAGGGAGTTGAGGGTGGGGAACAAAGAAGCACACAGTGCCATTTTGCTTATGGCCAGTCATTTTGGGGCTCCATTTGGGAATAAAAAAGACTGAAGTTTTTTTCCTCCTGATTGACAGGGACTACTTATTACTTACATCCCTAGGTAATCCTAAACATTACTGCTTTAAAAGACAGATAATCATCTCTCCTTTAGTTAATCCAGTTTGTACATTTTCATTGGCTGTAGCTGAAATAGAAAAATACTACGTAGGAAGACTATTCATTTGTTCAATATTCTAAATTTTTAATTTTGCCAGAACTGACTAGGAAGGATTAGATAGGAGCCATTTAATTAGGCAGAGTTACACTAGTTTCTGTTTAATATAAAACATAAAGCAATCTTTATTTTATCTTTAGAAGAATTTGATCACTGATTGATAAGGAAGAGAGAAAATCAAGCATTTGGGGAACAAAACGTTTCATAGTCAATACAAATAAATACATTATAATTAGTTTCTCCTTCAGTTTTTAGGGAGTACTAGGGATGTGCAAGGGATGCTCACACTCATGTAATGTGAATACAATGGTGGAACATTTTTCTTATAATTTATTATTAAATTCACCCGTACTATAGTTGGCCTCACTCTACAGAAATGGTAGTCATATGCATTATAGAAGAGCCAAAGGCAGATAAAATGATTATCTAACCCAAGTTTCATTACCCAGTGGTTCCCATTACTCTCCATTTCTTTCTCTATACTCTCTATCTCAGAAATTTTCCCATTCCAGAGTTTTAAACTCTTATTTCTGCATGGAAGACTCTTGGATAAAGCTTATTTCCAACTTCTCTTGAACTTCAGACCTACATTTACAACGACACTCTAGACATTTCAATAAAAATGTCCTTTTTTTTCAGCTCATGCGAACCACAAGTCAGCATTTTTTTATCTATTATCTAATTGGTGGATTAGACCCAGTTATCAGTACATGTATTTCCTCGGTAAAAAATATCTTAAAATTACAGCATTATGTTATCATTTGAATAGAATTGGTAATTCATTGTAGAGTTTTGATACCAGCATTCTGTCAAAATGGACTCATTTATAGGTTTTATTTCAATTCCCACACTTATTCAGGTGACAAATTTTGTTATCTCTTCCAAAAGAAGCAATTTACTTGATTTTTTTCTTCATTATAGCATCAAAACTTCTTATCTAAAATAGCTTCCAATGCGAACTGCTTTTGTTTCTGTTCTTCGGGACATTCAGTTAGCATTTTGTTAGGCACAATTTTTATGATGTCATTTCAACTTAAAAAATATAACTTAGAATTGTATTATCTTAAAATGTGATCTTATTTCTCCCCTTTGATGTTAGGAGCTTTTATGAATTTCGATCAAGCTAAAGACATCGTGTAGCTCAAATGCGTCCTTTCATCTTGAAACCACTATTTCACTGAAATCAGTTGCTGATTTAGTGTTAATTGAACAAAATGAGGGTTTATATATTCTTGTTGATATGCTTGTTAGCATAATTAGTTGACATTTAAGAAAAAATAGAGTGCTGAGAAAGAGTTATCTTGAACAATTTGACTAAGAACAAGGTGAAGATTCCACAGTCTAATAAAATACGGTGTAAAAAAAAAAGCCATGCTTAGCTATTGCCGCATGAAATTTCTCTTTCGTCTTCAAGTGACTGTTAGACAACATGAGATAAACTGAAATTACTTTTGAACATTTTACCCAGGATTTTTCCAGGACATTCATTGCCTGAGGTAGTATAGATCTCATTCTGCTTTAGCAGAAATATCTGTGAGATGCTCACAAATTACCCTTCACTTCGGTTTTCCATTCACCTCTGTCTTCTGTTCACCTCTGTACCATTTAACTCTGTGCCATTTAATTCTGTTTCCTGAAGAAATCAGCTCACTCAGATAGATACTGTCCCATCAAGAGCACTGAAAAGAATCTAAGGGGAAAAATAGGAAAGAAATCAATTTCTGAAGTTCCTGTTAACCCTACTGTTTTGAACATTGGTTCTCAAGTTTGCCTAGGATGCAAAGATTCATATGTTAATATGCGTTTTAAAATTATTCATTGAAGTACTGAAAACAAATATTATCATAATGGAAATTTTAATAAAAGTGGAAAAATTGAATATATCTCAGAAGGCACAGTTAAATACTGCAAGATTTTCTCCAGAAAGATGCAGCTGTACAGTGCTGTGAATCATAGCTGTGTGAGGCTTATCTGCAGAAAAGCAGAGCCAATGGTTTTGGTTATTTTAATACACATGTTATCCCCACCTACAAGACTTGTTTAAGACTCATAATTCCCACCTTGCCCTACAATTATGTTGTGCAGACTGTTCTAAAACAGGAGTCACTGCCATTAAAATGTGCACTATGCTTTGGTTCTGCTGAAAATACTAAATGCTTGTGGGCAATCTTAGTGACCACATGCTGAGGCTAGTTACAGAAATTCTCATTCTAGGTGACTGTGCTGGCAAATGTACTCTCATGAAACACAAGCACAATTTGGAGTTCCATGTGTTATCCAAGCAAGGACATCCCATAGGCTCCTCAATGACTAACTTAACAGTGTGAGATGCCATCTGCTGGAAATTGATAATATGGACTATGATATTCTGCAATAATACTTAGGCTTTGTCTATCAGCCAGACTGAACATTGATGATCTTTGTTTTTATCTTCTCCTTCCCCTACTTTAGAAGAATGATGTATACATAGGGTTATTGAACTACTTAGGGAAGCTCCTGTATTTCTTTCTTCTAAACAGTCTTCAACTCTAAGATATCAATTTAATGTAATGTTAGTTTTTAGGTTGGGAGAGGCTGATGGAAGGAAGAGTAAATATAAGCCATACCCAGTCTATACTCAATGATAAGATACATCTTAATTTCAGAAATGTTAAAATAGGAAAATTTTTACCTTAGCATTTCAGAAAATTAGATATTATAATAGTAACGTTCAACTTACATTAATCATGAGCACAATTGACACATTCAGCATTATATCATGTAACGTACATCAAATGTAAACACGCTGAATGTTTGCAATTTGGTCAATTAAATAGGGATAATATGTGATGGTGTTTGAGAATGTCTTGCTTATACAGCGCTTACCACTATGATGTAGATATTTGGAGAATTTACAAGTGATCAGACATTATAGTCAACATAGGTCTTGAAATGAGTTAGCCATTCCAAGAACATTCTGTAGCATTGGAATATAGACTGCCAAATTCCACATGTGCTTGACACATAGTAGGTGGTTAATAAATACTGACTGACACATGGGCTCAAAATTAGTTCTGAGCTGATGGGTCTATTGAGCTTATGGGTTGTTGTTGACCCTTTTGGAGTCTGATATGTGTAATGTTTTAGTTCATTTCTTTATTTGAACAAATACTTCGATGCCTTGGAATCTGTTTTGGAATGATGGTGTACCTCATTTTGCTTTTTTGATCATTAAAATTATCAGAAATGTCTTTATTTCTTAAAATGTACCAAATTAAAGGTAACGTACACATGTAGGTTATCTTATTGATCAAAGTACACAGATGGCACAACATCCAATTGATGATTAGACAAGTTCTCATGATTTACCTGAAAACTATAGAGTTAATGTCATTTAGCTCGTGTAAAATAATTCTATTCAAATGATAACATAACTTAATGCTGTAATTTTAAGATATTTTTCACCCAGGAAATACATGTACTGATAACTGGGTCTCATCAACATATTATAATTGGCTCTGTTTTGAGTCTATTTTTAAAAATTTCTATTGACTCTATTTGCAGGCAAATTTGTGAACCAATGCTCAAAACTGTAAGTCTAAAAAGAACTTCAGAAATGGATTTTTTTTCTATTTTTCACCTTAAGGAATGCTTTTCAGTGTTCTTGTTGGGCCAGTCTTTATCTCAGTGGGCTCATTTCTCAGGAAAACAGAAAGAAATGGTACAGAAGTGAACAGAAAACAGAGATGAATGAAAAATAGAGGTGAATGGTAAACAGCTGGGAAGGACAGTTCATGAGCATGTCACAGATATTTTTTGCTGAAACAGAATGAAATCTATGTTAGCTTGGGCTACTGAATCTCTTAGAAAAAGATGAGCAAGGCCGGGCGCGGTGGCTCACACCTATAATCCTATAATCCTATAATCCTAGCACTTTGGGAGGCCAAGGCCAGCGGATCACCTGAGGTCAGGAGTTTGAGACCAGCCTGACCAACATGGAGCAACCCCATCTACTAAAAATACAAAATTAGCCAGGTGTGGTGGCGCATGCCTGTGATCCCAGCCACTTGGGAAGTGAGGCAAGAGAATTTCTTGAATCCAGGAGGTGGAGGTCGCAGTGAACTGAGATCATGCTGTTGTACCCCAGCCTGGGCAACAAGAGCAAAAAAACTCCATCTAAACAAAAAAAAGAAAAGGAAAAGAAAAAGATGAGCAAAATGGTCAAAAGTAATTGCAGTTTATCTCTTCTGTATTATAAAACCTCCAAGTCCCCCAAAAGCTGCTTGATTCTAGGTATAAATCACTATATTAAATTGTAGAAATGTGTGTGTGTGTGAGTATACACATACTCGTCTTTCTCTATTGCTATATGTTTGTGTGCTATATGTAATTATATATTATGTTTACATTTATATTTATTCATTTTATACATTTTAAATTTTTTTTAAATTTTTGTGGGTACGCATTTATTCATTTTTAATATGAGTCACTTGGCCTACTTTTCAAGTTATACTTGATTTTAGCCTCCTGTATATCACAATAATACATTTAGCACTTTTTTCCTTTCTTTTTTTTGAGACAGAGTCTCATTCTGTTGCCCAGGCTGGAGTGCAATGGCATGATCTTGGCTCACTGCCACCTCCACCTCCCAGATTCAAGCAATTCTCCTGCCTCAGCCTCTCGAGTAGCTGGGATAACAGATGTCCACCACCAAGCCTGGCTAATTTTTGTATTTTTAGTAGAGATGGGGTTTCACCATATTGGCCAGACTGGTCTTGAACCCCTGACCGCAGATGATCCACCTACCTTGGTCTCCCAAAGTCCTGGGGTTGCATGCATGAGCCACCACGCCTTGCCCAGCACTTTTTTCAAGACTATTTTTAGAGCAGTTTTAGATTCACCTCAAAAGAAAGAGGAAAGTACAGAGATCTCCCATATGCTCCCTGCCCACTAATGTCAACATCCTGCACCAGTATTGTACATTTGTAGAATACTTGAAAGTTTAATATTAACTGTAGTAAATAGTTACAATTTATTTCTTATTCTTTATCCTTTTCTTCAAACTGGTAGAAGTGTTAGCTGCTTAAAGTAAATCAGTCTGAGGCAAAGAGGTTTTTAATAGAAGGCACAGAAGAGGAAGCAAAAAATGTTTTCACTATTCCTTCTAGTTGCTAGATAACTCAACATCAAACCTTATTCCATTTTTCAGAAACTGATTCCATCATCTAAATGGCTAGGTGAAGGCATGCCTATATTCATTGAGGAAGCCATACTTACATGTAGTTAAACGATTCTTTTGCCATTGTGATATAAAATAGCACTTAATATTCCTTTATAACATTCCCTTATTGCTGTTGGAGTTTGATAAATGGTAACACTTAAAAATTTGTCTTTCTTGTTTTTCTGTTCTAGCAACCTTAACCGTCTTGGGTCTCAAAGCTAATTCCTCTAGGATGTTTTTCTTCACCTTTATGATAGCTATAAGAGGATGCCAGATTTTTATGTTCGTTAGCCTCCCTGGGTTGTTTCTGCTCCTCAGAAAGGCCTTGATTTGCTACCTTTACCATGTGTGGATGTCCATAGAGAAAAATCATGTGTCTTTATTACATCCCACTGGAAGCTTCTTGAGATTCTGTCTCTTACTCTTCACCCAGAGACAGTCTGTACTGCACGAGCTCACAGGTCTCTTTATTAAGACAACATAAGAGGTGGCACTGACAGTTTTTCTCTTCCCCGTGAGTATGGCCGAAATCAAGACTAGAGACTGACAGCTCTTCTCACTGCTTGTGGTTCAACTTGAAACCACAAGGTTCAGAGGCACATGGTTTCCATTCAGTGTCTTTCTCCAGCTAACGCGAACCATTTGTTCAAGCAACTTTGGTGTCTGTTTGAGAACAAGAGATCTGCCTCGATACTCCCCAGACAGTCAAATAAATTCTCTTGGCTTCAAGACAAATTCAGAAAATTCCGCCCAACAATGACATGTGGTTCAGTTTTTCCGTTTATTTTTGCAACATATGAAGGAACGACCAATAGCGTCCTTGAAAAATCTGAAAATGCCAATCACAAAAGTGGCAAATTAGAGAACCGTTTATTATGGCAAGTTACTATATTACATTTAGAGAAAATGGGAATAAAATAATATGTCAAACAGGAAATAGAATTAGAGGCCTTCCAGAAGCAGAATACCTGTGACTGATATTTTTTCCCCTACTTTTAATTCTCCCATTTAGTTGCATTGAGGGTAAATGCGATTCATCGATTTTGAGGGGCAAGGGGAAATCTGAGAAAAGAGTATGTTATTATCTATTCATTTCCAAGATGTGTCTCATTAATCTTTTTACTGTCATGCTGCTGTTTGAAACAATCTATTTGCTTAATTCAAGCCTTTGTTCTGATAGGCCCAAAGCCCATGGCCATTACATTTTTTGCTTGAAACTATTGGGAATGGGAGAAAAGGTGATTGCGTTATAGTTGTAGTAAGACGTAAACATTTATTCCAAGGTATTTTACATTCTTTTTCCCTATTGTAGATTTAAAAGATGACATTTATAATTAGTTTTTTTGTTATTGATGTTGTTTTTAAGTATCATTTTAATCTTTTGACACTAAAAATAGCATGGGAAAATACCTAGGAATCAATAATGATAGCCAAATGTTCACATCCAAATGTGGGAATTTGGAATCGTTATTCAAAGATAAACACTTGCTCCACTAAAATATCAACCCAACAATCTAGATTTTAATCCCAACCACCACTCAATATAGCTGTAGTATGCTATGCTTTCACATTTAGTGTTTAATTCAACTCAGCAAGTATCTAATAGGCTCTTGCGGGAGACACAAAGGAAGTTGCTGTCTTAGTCCATTTTGTGCTGCTATAACAGAATACCACAGACTGGGTAATTTATAAAGACTAGAAATGAATTTGGCTCACGATTGTTTTCCTACAGGCTGGGAAAACCAAGAGCATGGTGCCAGCATATGGCCAAGGTCATCCCATGGCAAAGGGCAGAAAGTGAAAGCCAGCATGAGACAGAGGGAGCGAGCAGGAGAGAGAGAAAAGAAGGAATGGCGGGGACAAACTTTTTCTTTTATTAGGAGCTCCCTCCCGCAATAACTAACCTACTTCTGAAATGATGGCATTAATCCACTCATGACAGCAGAGCTCTCGTGGCCTAATCATTTCTTAAAGGATCCGCCTCCTAATACTGTTACATTGGCAATTAAATTTTAACATGATTTTTGGAGGGGACATTCAAACCATAGAAATGTCTTACTCTCTAAAGCCAGCAAATAGCATAAGTATGTAAACAGTGATCTATGTTGGAAACATTCTAAGTGTTTCCATTACAAATGTAATGGAAAACATGAAACACTTTGTCTTCACGGAAGAGGGGACATTTGAACTGAGACTTGGATGTAAAAGTTCTGGTGAGATAGTTACGGCAGAGTTGTTTTTTTTTTTTTTTTTAAGAATTTATAAAAATGAAGGATGTGTGACTTTCCTAAGACCACATAGGTCATTTGAAGACCTGGGCCAAGGTTAATGATAATTAGTGCTATCTCTGTCTTTACTTTCCCCACAATACTGATACAGTGTCAACAAATGCTGCATCATACTCATACTCCAGAAGCTAGACAGGCATTTGATTTAGAAGGTTAAGGCACAGGAGAAATCAATTTAAATTTGGATCAATGTTAACATTAGAGATGTTAAAGGGCAATTACGTCTTTATGGTTATGATTCAGTAAATATTCAACTGAAAATGCTTTTCTTTCTTTTCCTTTCTTTTTTATTGTGGTAAGAACACTCAACATGAGACCTACAGTCTTTACAGATTTTTAAATCTACAATACAGTATTGTTATCTATAAGCACAATGTTGTACAGCAGATCTTTTTTAAAAAAACAATTGACAGGCCTGGCATGGTGGCTCACGCCTATAATCCCAACATTTTGGGAGGCCAAGGCAGGTGGATCACCTGAGGTCAGGAGTTCAGGACCAGCCTGGCCAACATGGTGAAACCCCATCTCTACTAAAAATACAAAAACTAGCTGGGCATGGAAGCAGGCGCCTGTAATCCCAGCTACTTGTGAGGCTGAGGCGGGAGAGTCCCTTGAACCTGGGAGGCAGATGTTGCAGTGAGCCCAGATTGTGCCATTGCACTACAGCCTGGGCGACAAGAGCAAAACTCCATTTCAAAATTATTTAATTAATTAATTAAATAAAAATAAATTTTAAAAAATTGAAAAATTCGCATGATGTTTTTAATTATGAGTACATTGTGGAATGGCTCAGTTGGGCTAATTAACATGCATTACCTCACATTCTGACCATTTTTTATGGTGAGAACACCTAAAATCTGCTCTTAGCAATTTTCAAAATACATTGCATTGTTATTAACTATAGTCACCATGTTGTACAATAGACCTGTTAACATTATTCCTCCTATCTAACTGAAATGCATTTTTTGATACAGCAGATCATTAGAATGTATTCATCTTGCATGACTGACACTATATATCCCTTGATTAACGTTTCTCCATTTCCCTCTGCCCCCAATCTCTGGCAACCACAACTGTCTTCTTTGTTTCTATGAATTTGACTATTTTTGATACCTCATGTAAGTGGAATCCTGCAGTATTAGTCTTTGCATGACTTGCTTGTTTGACTTAGCATAATGCCCCCAAGCTTCATATTGTTGCCTGTATTAGTCTATTCTCACGCTGCTAATAAAGACGTACTCAAGACTGGGTAATTTATAAAGGAAAGAGGTTTAATTGACTCACAGTTTAGCTTGGCTGGGAGGCCTCAGGAAACTTACAATCATGGCAGGAGCAGAAGCAAACACATCCTTCACATGGTGGCAGGAAGAGGTTCAGAGCAAAGTGGTGGAAAAGCCCCTTATAAAACCATCAAATCTTGTGAGAACTCACTCACTATCATGAGAACAGCATGGAGGTAACCGCCCCCATGATTCAATTACCTCCCACCAGGTCCCTCCTACAACATGTGGAGATTATGAGAACTATAGTTCAAGATGAGATTTGGGTGGCGACACAGCCAAACCACATCCTGCATTTGTAGGATTTTCTTGTTGTTGTTGTTGTTGTTGTTTTAGGCTGATTAATCCATTGAATGTATTTTCGACATTTTTAAAAATCCATGAGCATTCCGGCAGTTTCCATAGCTTGGCTATTGTGATAGTGCTGCAATGAACATGTGACATCTTAGTTATGTGTATGTGTTTGTGTGTCTGTATGTGTCTGTGTGTGTGTGTATATATAAAATGAGAGAGAGAGAGAGAGTCATGTGTTGATTAATGAGAAAACTTCTAAGAGATGCATTGTTAGGTGATTTCATCATTGCATGACCATCATAGAGTGCACTTACACAAACCTAGGTGGTACAGCATGCTGCTCACCAAGGCTATATGGCTCACCCAAGGATATTGCTCCTGGGCTACAAACCTGTATAGCATGTTACTGTATTGAATACTGTAGGCATCTGTAACACAATGGCAAATAAATATATGTATATCTAAACATAGAAAAGATGGCATAATAGATTTAAATATGGCATAAAAGACTTAAAGAATTACTTACTTACCATGGATAGAGCTTGCCAGACTGAAAGTTATTCTGAGGAAGTCAGTGAGTGAGTGGTGAGTGAATATGAAGGCGTAGGACATTACAGTACACTACTGTAGCCTTTTTAAGCACTGTACACTTAGGCTACACAAAAAATAAAAATATGATGTTACGATGGCTACAACATCACTAGGGGATTGGAATTTTTTAGCTCTAACATAATCTTATGAAACCACCATTGTATATATGGTCCATCATTGACCAAAACATCATTATTCTGCATATGACTGTATATGTGTGGTGTGTGTGTGTGTAATTTTTTTAATTTACTAGGCAACTATTATAATTATAATTATTATAACTGCTTCACATATACTATGTCATTTAAAGTTCCATTACAGCTCTATGTGGATGATTTTTCCCATTTTACAGAGGGGAACTTAAGGCCCAGAGCTGCTAAGTAACTTGTTCAAGAACGTGCATCAAATACTAGTAAAGCCAGCAGTTGTACTTAGAAAGTCTGATGCCTTAACTTCTTCACAACACAGCTTGCATTCTTTTCCTTATGTATGCATTAACGAACGTACGCCATGATTAGGGATGGCTGTTAAGCTCGAAGAAAGAAGAAGATGTGAAGAGTGAGATTTGAATCATATAAGTAAATCTCCATAAATTTGGCTTTTTTAGGTAAAGTGCATTTTCTGAGGTATAATTGATGTTGGGCAAATATTCCTTACTTCTCGGGAACAATACAGCATTTTGTGTCCATGCTCTTTGTGATATGATGTAAATTCATGGTGGTAAATTGGAGCTTCTATATTAGTTGGTCACAACAATTTAGCGACTGAGCTTATAAACCCGATAAAGGGTAAGTAATATGCATATAGAGGCTTGTCATTAAGAAAGCATTCTTCTATTAGTTGATCTTTGAAGTGTCATGTCTTAAATATATCCATATAACAAAGAGCACAATATACTAAACCAGTTTAAGTTAAAAAAGAAAAAACAAAATTTTCTGCTATGTGTCTCTATCTCCTAGTTAGGAATAAGTGACCATAAAATCCCCGAAAGTGTGAAACCGCAATATATTTCCCTGTTCTATCATTAAAAGCTATTTGCAACATAAGTGGGAATCAGAAGCAGAGGGCTTGGGGGAGGGAGAGTAGCTTTAAGATTATATATAAGGAATTATTTCCCAGCAAGGATTGGTTCTGGGAATTTTGGTTCCTTGTTCTTTAACTGTTATGGGAATCTTGAAGAGACTTCTAATGTTACAACCTCTTAAATTTCTATATAGTACTGTATCATTTATATTAGCAAAATTGAGTTCATAACATCAGAGGCTGATGTCACAAAGTTAATGAAGTGAGTCTGAGACATTGGGAGATGGATATACTGTAGGTACAGTATCAGGAAAACTAACTTGGCAACCTCATAACTAAATGGAAGTACAGATTTAGCTTTTATGTCTGTTGTTTAAGCCCGTTGGCCAGGCATCAAGACTAGCATTGGGCTGAGCTGTTCACCAGAGTTTCCAAAGTGTACTGAGTCAGTCTGCTGTAAATGTAAAATCTTCAAGAGTAGAAGCTTGGAAGTGCAAAACTTTTAGACTGGGCAGTGAATTAAGATGGCTAAACTCTGGGGATGATTTTAATGAGAAAGAAGGCAAATAGAGAAACACCTAATTGGGAATAATTTCGCGTGTGTGAAATATGAAGAGGATATGGGGACATGGGGTGTGTTTATGTACACAGCAAAGTTTGGAGAAAGAAAAGCTTGTTGAATTCAAAGTTCTGTTTATTTTTGACACAGCTGCTTTGCAATCAGTCATTAATCTAGCATTTTGCTTAATTATGGTAGAAATGTTTTTAAAGAGATTTAAAATGTAAGCAGAGTTATTAAAAGGTTAGGATGGTAATGGATTTGAATTAAAGGAAGCATTTTTACTCTTTCAGCAACAACATGTATAATCTATGATATAGAAACATACTAGCAAATAAGGGACAACACCTGAGAACAGTAATTTGCATTAACCTATACTGCCTAGTATTTTGTTATAAGTATAAAGGTGTTTTAAAATATAATTTTAAGTTCAGCTAAAACAATTTGAAGACTCATTAAGGAATACTTAATGAATTAAGTATAGATTTCAGTAGTTAGTGATTTTACACTGGATACCTCTTATTTATATGAGTATATTTAAGTCATAAAGTAAAGTTGGTATTTTAACTCATGACATTACACATAGCCTCACAGGTATCAAGAGACTTAGCGGGTTGTGTTTTTATGTTTGCAAGATAATGGTATCCATAGTCTAAATTGAAACAATCCACTGGAGGAGAAGAAAGGGGAAAGCATTGCTCGGTGGGAAGTCATGCAAAGCCTTCTGGAAATCCACAAGCTGAAGATGCTTGCACAATGGAGAACAATTGAAGGAGGTAAAGAGCATTGCAGTCAATGTAAGATGGTGATAGAATTTATTTTATAACAATTTATGTAATATCTCACGTTTAATGCACTCTCCTGTGTGTAGGCATTGTTCTAAGCACTCTAGCTCATTAACTCAGTTAATTTCCTCCAATACCCTAGCGATAAGTATTATTTTTATCTCTGTTTAAGAGATGAGCTGACTGAAGAATAGAAGGAATAAGTACTCAGCTAAGTAACAGATGTGAGAATTGAAATCAAGACACAGTATGTTACAGATGGAAGACTTCAAGTGCCCAACATCTGGTAAATGTCTAGTTTCACTGAAACCAGAATATCTTATATAGTCGTGATTTTCCTTGTAGATTTTATTTTGCTTAAAATGAAGGACTCATGGGTAGAAGCATGAGTTGTACTTAATTTTTATCAGCAAAGGGGGAAAAAGACACACAAATGATGGGAACCTGAAGGAGAGAAAAACAAAACAAAACACAAATGCTATCCACAGCCAAAATGATAAAGAAAAGCATCAATGTGAATATCCAGATAAGACCTCTAGACTTATTAAAGTGGATAAAATATAAACATTAAAATGCATAGAGGTTCCTATGAACATTTCTGAAAAGCAGTTCAGCTCAGAAGTTGATCAGTTCTTACAAAAAACTATATATACCTTTCAGAAGAAAAGAAAAGAGTAAGAGTAAGCAATTCTCTCCAACTAGCTAGAGTATCTAATAAACCCCTAAATGAAACATCATGGCCAGGGAAGTTATCATATAATTTATAGTACACCTAGACAAAAATTGAATCAACCTTTCTTAAGAGGAGGTGTTTGTCAGTTTTACATTTTTTAAAGTAGCAAAGTCTTAACTGTGGTAGTAACGTGCATTGCCATTAACCCAAATATATACAAATATTTACAGAGGATGTATTAAGTTGAAGCTTGACCAAAGAATATTCTGGAATGGCAACAATGTAAGTTTTACTATATAGTTATTTAGACATTAACCATATACGTTGTTTATTGGGATTCTCACATCAGTTCTTTGAAGCTGGAGATGCTATTTAATCTGCATGGGAGGGTAAATAATCATCTCTCTTCTGGTCTCATCTAGATTCTTCTTCCAGGTTCCCTTTCCTCATCCCCTACCCTTCTCTTACCCCTTACTATTACTCCTGGACCATCTTCTTTTTGATTCAAGGCCTCTGTTATAATTGCAAATTTTATATTTATTTATTTATTTATTTATTTATTTTGAGATGGAGTCTCGCTCTGCCATCCAGGCTGGGGTACAATGGCGCGAACTTGGCTCACTGCAACCTCTGCCTCCTGGGTTCAAGCGATTCTCCTGCCTCAGCCTCCCGAGTAGCTGGGACTAGAGGTGCATGTTGCCATGCCCGGCTAATTTTTGTATTTTTAGTAGAGATGGGGCTCCGTCATGTTGGCCAGGCTGGTCTCGAACTCCTGACCTCAGGTGATCCAACAGCCTTGGCCTCGCAAAGTGCTGGGATTAAGGGCTTCAGCCACTGTGCCCAGCACAAAATATTCTTAAAGTTTGCTTGTACACATTCTCAAAGTCTGTTCTTTAAGTACTCTGCATTTATTAACAGTTTCCCAAGGCAGACTTTCTTGCTAGCTCGCTTTTTGACTCATTATCTGGGAAAGTGCATAAAGTTGTAGATCTAATTTTTTTCTTCTGTGTATCTGGAGCATTCTATCTTATATTATCTCTGTTTTTGATGTTTGATGTGCTACGGTAATGCCTCAGAATTAAGTTCCCTTTTGTTTGGAGAATTATTTCTTGCTTGGAGAACAAACTGAAAAAAAAAATCACCCTGAAAAAAAAAATCCCTCATGAAGTAGATCCATGACCCTTTCAATGTAACACTGCTGGATACTTATCTCTACTGATGTGTACAATTTTGGAAGAGAAAACTTTTAATTTTTTAATGTTAAAAAGTTTTTGCTCTCTTTAGAAGAAAGCTTGCTTTAACCTATTGCTGATGATGAGGGAGTGAAACAGACTCTTTCATACTGTACTGACAGGCTGTCAATTGCAGAAAAAAAAAATCCTTTTGGAAAGCCATTTGGCAACATTTGTAAAGACTCTAAGGATGTCCATCTTTCTTGACCCTTTAATGTCACTTCTGGGAATTTATCCTGAGGAAATAATATTAAATACAGAAAAGCTTCATTTAACAAATCAGAGTAATGTTATTTAACATGGCATCCTCACTGAGAAAGAAAACACCATAAGCATTCAATAATGTGAGAATGGTTGAATGTAAGGTACAACCACAATGAAATATTCTTCTGCCATTACCATTATGATTAAAAAATTTATATTAACACAAAAAATTTTGGTATAAGGTTTGGAAGAAGGTAATTATGAATTATATATTTAGTATGATGATCAGTATGTAAAATACACATAGAAAGAAGAACTACTGTGACATGCATCATGAATTTAGATGGTTGCTTTTGGGAAATGGAATAAGGGTGATTTCTTGTATTTTATGTTTACCACCATGTCAATAGCAAGTATATTCCATTTAAATAGGGAGTAAAAAAAAGCAAGTTCAATTTTTAAAAAAAGTCTTTCTGAGTAAGACTTTTAAGGCTAACTCCCAAAAGGATTTTTTTTTTGGTGGTTTTTTTGTTTGTTTCTTTGTTTTGTTTTGTTTTCCTGGGGAGAAAGCAAATTGACTAAAAGGATTTTTGAACAGTGGTGATTAGAAAGCAGTAGCTCCATGGGGCCGCTTTATAAAGACTGACTTGACCTACAGGACTTTGGGGAGAGATGACCTTGAACACCCCAGACAACATTAAACTCCAGGTTACAGCTGACTGGAATCCTGAGGTTTTATTGGCCAAGAGCCAGTCTGCAGCCTGCTCTAACCACCCTAGTATTTTATAACATTGTAAAGACTGTATTGTTTGAAACATTTCAAAATTTTACACACAACCTGGCAGTCATCCAAAGCCATTTCCAATGGGCCAAAACTATCAGCAGCCACCCACCTCCTTGGCCATGGCTGCCTGATTAATGATGTTCCACCAACAGGGTCCTCCATTAGGACATCTATGCTAGGAAGCCCCAGGACAAATATGCTCTTTGAGACTTGTAAATTGTCTATACATTTTGCAGCTGATTTTTTTTTAAACATAGATGGAACATTAGAAAGTAGAGGTCTGGTGCAGTACGGCTTGGATTGGCTGAATGCAGCATGCTTTAATTCAATAAAAAAAGCAAAGGATGCTCTTTGTCACAGACACTGTTCTTGCTTCAGGATATTTGTTACGGCATATAGCCTTTCTAAGCTACTCAAGTTCCACCTCCTCACCCCTTCCCTTTTTTTTCCATTCCTCCCTTATCCAGACTTATGGTTTATTTACCTTGTGGGCTGAGAACTAAAGTTTTCAAGAAGCAAACATAATATTAAATATTCTTCATTGATACTTTCATTTTTGAATGAATAATTTACACATTACTAAGTGTGTGTTAGTCCTTTTCATCAGAACCTTATTTAGGTAACTATGTGCCAGTTCTGTTCTAAGCATTTTACATACATTAACTCAGGTAATCTTTGCAACAAACCTAGTTTGTTGCAAATAACCTAGTAGTTATTACTGTTATCCTCATTTTAGAGATGAGAAAATGCAGGCAAAGAATGGTGAAGAATGTTACCCAAATTTATTCACGTGCTTTATAATCGGTAGAGCTAGAAAATGAGCCAGGGTGGAGAGAACATCTATGTGATTAACCAGAACTCTGTTATGCAGACACTTGTGACTTTCAGTCTCAAATTTTCAAATTTTCAAAAGCCTCAAATTTTTGTAACAACCTTCATCAGTGATAGTTAAAATTTTTATGTTCAATACCTACTCAATAGACCTTTACTACTTCATTATGATAGAAAGTCGAAGATAGAAATCACTCATTGAGAAAGAAATTTTCCCAAAGTTGTAGTTTAGAGGAGAGAATCTGTCTTCAGACTCTGATACTAGTTTTCTAGTCACTCTGGGGGACACAGTAGTTTTGTTTGTTTGTTCTTCTGACTTAGAATATATCTTGTCTTAGTTTCTCAAATTAGTTTTAGTCTAAATGCTACAGAAACTATCAGAAACACATTTATCATTACCATTCATTACATGAAACTTTGTTTTACTTCTAGCAATGTTATTTATTAGGTTGAGCTTGTAAAAATGAAGGAAAGAGAGCTGACTCATTCCCATGCACTATCTGGAGGGTGGGAAGTGAAATAAGATTTTACCAATGCCCACTGAGACATTGCAATCATCTCCGTCAATAGCTTTCTTTCAATTATATAAAGCTTGACTGTGCATTCTTTTAAGCCAAATTACAGTGTATGACAAAGAAAAAAAAAAAGAGCCACGAGGTTCACAAGGAAGATGACCTACCACCATAAAAGGCCCCGTATGAACCCTTTATGCAATTGATATGCAAAAATTCACTTTTTTATTTGTAACATAGTTAACATAATTCCTATGTGGAGACATTGTCTTAAGGGTTAGGAATAATACTTGCAGAGTACTTAATGCAATGTCTGGATAAAAGGTAGTGAGTATGTGTGTGTGTGTGTGTGTGTATGTGTGAATTTCCTTTATCATCAGTCCTATGAAGATGAGGATACAATGATATCTCAAGAGGTAACAGGTACCATAAGTGAAGACAATATTAAGTATGGAATGTTAGTGTTATAGATACTGTCATTAATAATAAAATGAACAACACTAGAAGTAGGAATATGATACATTGTAGTACCATTCCTTTGAAAAGCTCAGATTTCATAGGCCTGAGGGAAACCATGATATAGCTTGAAAAAAAATGTGTTACCTCACTTCTTTTAGAAGGTATTTTGTATTCTGTTTTCCCCTACACTCTTATGCAAGTAAACCATGTTGCTGATGGAGATGAAATGAGGATTAACGCCTATAGGCAGAATTTTATTGCTGAAGGCTTATACACATTGAAATATGGTAGAGTCTTTTAAGATACTCTGAGTATGGAAGGGATTATCCCAACATTCTTCAAATGTTGATGTGGTACCAGCTCTATAGAAACAGGCCAGAATTAATGTTACAAGTGCAGGCATAAGATAGTAACTCTAAATCTCTATTAACAATCCCTCATATTGTTTCAGGGCTACCATTACAAGCCAGTTAGGAAACCAAGCTTCAATTTTGGTGGCTGGTGTGATTCGTAAGTTGTTTTTCCATAGTGATTATTTTGTCAGGTTAAACATTACTGCTCAGAAATTTCTGTGCCATAAGCTTGAATGCATCTTGATGTGTTTGCTTGTGCTAGATCAGGGATCACCACTCACTAAATGAAAATCTTTTTGTTATAGATGGAGCTTGAGCAAGAAGCTTACCCACTTGTTTGGATAAAGAACACTTTGAACCTTTGCTTATTACAGCCGTCTCAAAACATTAGGGTGGGAGTTAAGCCCACAATTTTGTTTTAAATTAAGTGCTCCTAAAAACCGTGAGACTAATAGCACCAACTAAAGCCAGTTATTTTTCTGGCAAGCAATATGTGAGTTTCCCCTCATTGCTAAGCCAGTAAAATTCAGCATTACTGTGGCAATTTTCCTACTGTTCCAGTTATTGAACTGTGTCTATACAGTACCAAAATAGCTAGATGAAAGGTAAAAACTTCAGTTAGTCATTGGGATGTTGCCATATAGTAGAACATGCTGTATTATAAGTTATCAAGATGTTTCATTATATTTTCCTCCTTTTACTGCATATCCTGGCATTGTGTAAATGCCAATTTAAACCTCAATCCTAAGGACATTTCATGAATCCATAACATTCAGGGTGAAATAATAGGAAGAACATTAGTTATCTGTTCAAAAAGAGTAATGTCAATGCTGATCTTTGTTTTATTCCTTTTATTTTAAACTAAAATTATTTCCTGTTTTGAGTTTGCCAAAAACCATGTATTTTAGATTTTAATCTCTACCTCACACTTTCTTTAAGCAGCCTACCATATAATTATTTATCCATTTAAGATAGTCAGCTCTCAAAGGATAGAATATGTCCATCAATAATAAGAAACGTGTTGAATATTTAGTACATTTCAAGCACTATGCTAGATGGCTAGACATATCACAAAATGAGATATAGTTCCTACTTTCTAGGGATATATTCCACTGAGGAGAATGTACTTATACATATGACTAATAGATGAATTTTAAAATAGAATCGTATTTTCTAAAATAATAAACAAGAATTGCTATTAAATGTACTGACAACCTCATGGAATGTGGCAGAAACTCAAAGACTTTGCTGAAGATGTGAGACTGAAGTTGGATTTTATAGGAAACAGGGGTCCTTGGCTAGTAAAGAAGAAAACAGAGGACCTTCCAGCCAAAGGGAAGAGTAAGGTGAGGTTGTAGAATGACCACTCATCTTAGTCTGCCAGTGTTAATATTGATAGTCCTGTGGTCCAGGAAACCTTTCAATCCTAGGCAAACTAGGAGGGTTGATCACCCTACTAGGTAGTGAGTAACAGGACAAGTTCAAGAAATAATGAACAAGTTAAATTGGAAGACTTTTGTTAGGTGGAAATGGAAGAATAAATTGGAAAGAAGTGGTTCAGGCCATACATCAAGGACTTTGGCTCTCATATTGAGGCATTTGAAATTCATTCTACATTCGGCAGAGAAAATTGCAAATGATTTTTTATAAGGGTTTCTGAAATCCATGAAGAATTCTTATTGAGAAGCCAGTTAAATTATAGTATGTTAATGTATTTAATTAATGCACTTATTTAACAAATATTTGCTGCACACCTATTATATACTATTAATTGTTGTAGACATTTGAATGCAGGAGTAAGAAAAAATTTTTGTTTTCATGGTGCGTACATTTCTGCAGTGGGAATACAACTAACACAGGATTATATAATGATACCTCAGTATAACGCAGAAAAATGAAGTAAGATGAAAAGATAGGAAGTGATGGGCAGCAGGGTACTTTAGAGTGCACCGAAAAATACCTCTTTAATAAGGTAGCATTTGAGTAGGGAGCTGAATGCAGTAGAGGGATACATCATGTGGATAATCATAAGTGTGTTTCAGTTAGAAGGAAGGTATGCACAAAGGTCCAAAGATGGGAATATGCTATATGTGTTTGAAAAACACCAAGAGGGGTTGTGTGTTAACAGAAAAACAAGTGAGGGGAAGAGTGGTAAGCCATTTGGCACTTGTGGTATCCAAATTACTCAGGTCTATAGGCTTTGAGAACTTTTGTTTGATTTTCAGTGAGTCTGGGCAGTGAGCAGATTGGAGGCTATTTCATTATTAGCAATGTGCTGGAAGAGAACTCTAGAACAGAAGGTAAGGGTGAATAATATATTACAAACAGAATGTTGGTACGATATATTTGCAAGAAGGAATTAATTTATAAAACAATGAAATAAGGCTATGCTTCCAATGAGAAAACATATTACACACTCCAATGGCCCACCCATTGAGGGGATGAAAAATTACTTTATTAAAATGAAGAAGCCAAAATTGTTGCCTATCTTATTAATATCTTTGTAAAAGCTTTCCAGTCAGATAAGGCACAAAAAATCCAAGAACAACTAATTCTTATATGTTTGAAAATATTAAATTTATTTTGAATCACTAGGTGATTTTATTTAATATATCAGAGTGATAGCCACTCCATATTGCAGATTTTGTGTGTTTGATTTTTATCTGGGGATATTTTTAATTAGATCATGAAATAAAATTTTAAAAAGCATAGCTGCACACTGCTACCCCATATCCCATTCCATAAGTATTTTAACATTTAAAGACAATGTAAATATTTACTGCTTATTTTCATACGAGTTCCATAGTTTATTTGAAAAAAATTAATTTGTACACATAAATTCATCTTGCTTCATCCTTTCAAATATATTTATCTACATGATGACAGTTCTGCTTGATTCATGTTTTAAAAGGAATACCATCCTTTTCCCTTTGTTTGTGGAACCAGTTTATTAAATTTTAGACTCACATGGCAGTGCAATTTTAAGATTACAAATTTAATCATCCATAACTCAAGAAAGTGAAACATAGGATTTGCATAACAGCATTACTTTCTCAACATGTTTTCGTTTTTTGAGAAAGAGTCTTGCTCTTGTAGCCCAGACTGGAGTGCAATGGCGCGATATCAGCTCACTGCAACCTCCGCCTCCTGCGTTCAAGCGATTCTCCTGCCTCAGCCTCCAGAGTAGCTGGGATTACAGGAGCACACCACCAAGCCTAGCTAATTTTTGTATTTCTTAGTAGAGACAGGGTTTCACCATGTGCTCTAGGCTGGTCTCGAACTCTTGACCCCTGGTGATCTGCCCACTTAGACCTCCCAAAGTGCTGGGATTACAGGTGTGAGTCAGCGCGCCTGGCTTCCCAACATGTTTCATGCCTCATAATAAAGTGTACATTTAGAACACTAGCCAGCAGCCCAAGAATTATACCTAATCAATGTTGGGTAAGTTAGTGCTACTAGGAAGATCTGACCTTTCATATTGTTTGATTTGTTTTTTGTTTGCTTTGAATTACATTTTATTTTGAGATAACTGTTGATTCATAAACATTTGTAAGAAATAATACAAGGAGATCTCACCTACGCTTTCCCCAGTTTCTCACTAAGGTAATAGTTTGCAAAACCATAGTACCATGTCACAGACAGAATATTGATACTGATACAGTCAAGATAGAGAGTATTTCCATCAATGCAAGCATCTGTCATGTGACCCTTTTATAGCCATTCCCATTTCCCTCCCAGTTTCTCTCCTCTTTCACTCTGGCATCCAGAAATTTGTTTTCCATTTCTATAATTTAATTATTTCTAAATGTTATAGAAACATTATTAAAGTACAGTGTACAACCTTCGGGATTTTTTTTCCACCAAGCATAATTCTCTGGAGATTCTATATTCTTGCATGTATTTATGGTTTGTTCCTGTTTATTTTTATGTAGCATTCCAAGGTATCGATATTCTAGTTTGTTTAAGCATTCACCTGGTGAATGGCATCAGAGTTGTTTTCAGTTTGGGGCTATTAAGAATAAAACTACTATAAAAATTTACACACAGATATTTGTGCAAAATAAGTTTTTATTTCTCTGAGATAGATGCCCAGAAGTACAATTGTTGGGTCTTATGGCAGTTACACGTTTAGTTTTGTGAGAAACTGCCGAACTGTGTTTTAGAGCAGCTGTATCATTTTACATTCCTACTAGCAGTGACTGAGAATCCCTGTTGCTCCACATTCTCACTAGCATTTGGCATTGTCAGATTTTTGCATTTTTGCCATCTTAATAGTTGTATAGATGCATTTCATTGTTGTTTTAATTTGCAAATCCTTCCCTAGTGAGATGTGACATTGAGCAAAATTTAACGTGCTTATTTGCCGTCTGTATGTCTTCTATGGTGAAATTTCTTGTGTTTTGCCTAGATGTTTTTTAAACAGTTGTGTTTTTTTTAATTCTTAACTTTTTTAACTAAGTAAAAATTATATCTATTTATGACGTACAGCACAATATTTCTATACATGTATATATTATGGATGGCTGAATAAAGCTTTTGACATATTCATTACCTCATGTACTTATTTTTTGTGTGTATGGTAAGAACACTTAAAGTCTATCTCTAAGCAATTTTCAAAGATGTATGTAATACATTATTATTTACTAAAGTCACCATCATGTATAATAGATCTCTTGAAATTATTCATCCTGTGTAACTGAAATTTTGTGTTCTTTGATCAGTGTCTCTCCAATCTCCCATCAACCTCTGTCAACCACTATTTTACTCCCTGTTTCTATGAGTTCAACATTTTTCTGTTCCACTCATAAGCGGGATCATGAGGTATTTGTCTTTCTGTGCCTGGATTATTTCACTTAACATAGTATCTTCCAGGTTCAAACATGTCACAAATGACAGAATTTTTTTAAACACTGTATAATATTCCATTGTGAATATATACCACCATTTCTTTATCTAGTAGTCCATTGATGGACACTTATTTTGAGTCCATATCGTGGCTATTGTGAATAATGCTGCAATGAACAAGGGAGTAAAGGTATATCTTTGGCATACTAATTTTATTTACTTTGATACATATTCAGTAGTAAGATTGCTGGATTATCTGATAGTCATATTTTTAATTTTTTCAGGAATTACCATATTGCTTTCCATAATAGCTGCACTAATTTATCTTCCCACCAATAGTATACAAGGGTTCCCTTTTCTCCACATCCTCACCAATACCTGTCATTTTTTGCCTTGTTGGTAATAGCCTTTCTAACTGGTGTGAGATGATGTCTCATTGTGGTTTTAATCTACATTTCCTTAATGACTAATGATGTTGAGCATTTTAAGTGTTCTTTATATATTCTAGATTCTAGTCCTTTGTCTGACGTGGTTTAGGAATATTTCCTCCTAGTCTATTGTTTGTCTTTTCACCTTTTACAGAGTATCTCTTTTTTTTTTTTTTTTTTTGAGACGGAGTGTTGCTCTGTCACCCAGGTTGGAGTGCAGTGGCTCGATCTCGGCTCACTGCAAGCTTCGCCTCCCAGGTTCACGCCGCCATTCTCCTGCCTCAGCCTCCCAAGTAGCTGGGACTACAGGCGCCCACCACCACACCCGGCTAATTTTTTGTGTGTTTTTAGTAGAGACGGGGTTTCACCGTGTTAGCCAGGATGGTCTCGATCTCCTGACCTCTTGATCCACCCGTCTCGGCCTCCCAAAGTGCTGGGATTACAGGCGTGAGCCCCCACGCCTGGCCAAGTTTTTGATTTTGATAAAATACAATTTATCATTTTTTTCTCTTTGGGATCATGCTTTTCATGTCAACTCTGAGAACGCTTTGTCTAGTATGATCCATATATTTTCTTCTGTTTTATTTTTAAAATTTTATACCTTTATATTTTATATTTAAATTCATTGCCCATTTTGAGTTAATTTTTGTATAAGGTATGTCAACTAGGTTAAGGCTAATTTTTCTGTGTCCATCTATGGATTTCTTTCTTTCTTTCTTTCTTTTTGAGATGGAGTCTCGCTCTGTCACCCAGGCTGGAGTGCAGGGGTGTGATCTCAGCTCTCTGTAACCTCTGCCTCCCACGTTCAAGTGATTCTCCTGCCTCAGCCTTCCGAGTAGCTGGGATTACAGGCACAGGCCACCACACCTGGCTAATTTTTGTATTTTTAGTAGAGAGGGGGTTTCGCCATGTTGGTCAGGCTGCTCTTGAACCCCTGACCTTGTGATCTGCCCGCCTTGGCCTCCCAAAGTGCTGGGATTATAGGCATGAGCCACCATGCCCGGCCGCATCTATGGATTTCTAATTGCTCTGTTACTATTTGTTGAAATGCTATCATTCTTTCATTGAATTATTTTTGCCCCTTTGTTAAAAATCAATTGAGCATATTTGTGTGAATCTGTTTCTATGTTCTCTATTCTGTTCCATTTATCTCTAAGGCTAGGCTTCCACCAGTAACATGCAATCTTGATTGTTGTAGTTACGTAATGCCTTGAAATTGGGTAAAATTGCTCCTTTCATTTTACTTGACTTTTTCAAAAATTAATTTAAATACCTTATTTTTTATCCATTTTCAGACAAATTTTAGAACAGTCTTGTGTATGTCTATAAAAAAATCTTACTGAGATTTTTATATGTCTGTATAGCAATTTGGGGAGAATTTTTATCTTTACTATGGCTGAGTCTTTCGATCTATACATCCATTATGTCTTTCCCTTTATTTAGAGCTTTGATTGCTTTCAGTATTTTGTGGTTGTCAGCATACAATCTTGCACATGTCTCGAAAGCTTTACTCTTAAAGTTTTTTTAAAAAAACTTTTTACTGATGGTGAATTGTATTTTTAAGTCCTCATGTGTTCTTTGCTAGGTCATATAAATACAATTAATTTGTGCATGTTTACCTTATATCCTGCAAGTTTACCTTATATCCTGCAAGTTTGATAAACTAACTTATTATTCTTAGGAGGATTTTTATTTTGTAGACTCCTTGAGTTTTTCCATGTGGATAATCGTATCACCTGTAAATAAGAACATTTCTTTCTAGATCTGTAAGTCTTTTATTTTCTTGTTCACTGGCTAGACCATCCAGCCTATGTTGAATAGGGTGATGAGAAAAGATATCCTTAACTTGCCATAGGGAGAAACATTTAGCCTTTCAACATTAAGTATAATGTTAGCTGTAAGAAGTTTTTTGTGTCTTTTTAAAGATACATCTTATCAATTTGAAAAAATTTTTCTGTATCCTTTTTTTCTGAGGGTTATGAATTAGTATTGAGTTTTGTCAAATGCTTTTTCTCCATTGATTGTTATGATCATGTACATTTTTCATCCTTAGTTTGTTAATAGGGTGTATTACAGTGACTGGTTTTCAAATATTGAACCAGCCTCACATACCTGGTATATGCCATATTTGGTGATGGTGTACAATTCCTTTTATATATTGCTGACTTCTACTTGTTAATTTTTTTAAGGATTTTTGCATATATTCATGACAGGTGTTGGTGCTTAGTTTTCTTTTCCTTTCTCTCTCCTTCTTCACGGTTGTCTTCATCTATGTTGGTGTCAAGATAATCCTAACCTCATTAAAGCAATTGAGAAAGGTTTCCTCCTCTTCTTTACTGAATAGACTGTGTATAATTGGTATTAATTCTTCTTTTAAAAGTTTGGTAGAATTGACAAGTAAAACCATTTGGGCCTGGAGATTTCTTTATTTTTTTTCTTGAGAATTTAAAAATCATAAATCCATTTTCTTTAAGAGTTATGGAGCTAGCAAAATATCAGAATTATCTTTTTCATACTGGTGAATTGTCATAGTTGGTGTTTATTGTAATTTGTGTTTTTTGAGGCATTAACCTATTTCATCTAAGTCATCAAATGCATACAATTGTTCATAGTTTCCTCTCATTATGTTTATAATGTCTGCAGGGTTTGTAGTGATATCTCCTAACTCATTTTTCAGATTAGTAACTTTTGTCTTTTCATCTTGCAAATCAAAAATGCAGCCGAGAGAATCTTTACTCAATGAATCACTGGTGCTTGAAGTTGAAAACCTTGTGTTTGGCCAGACATGGTGGCTCATGCTTGTAATCCCAGCACTTTGGGAGGCCAAGGTGGGTAGATATCTTGAGGTCAGGAGTTCGCAACCAGCCTGGCCAACATGGTGAAACCCTGTCTCTACTAAAAATAAAAAAATTAGCCAGGCGTGGTAGTGAGTGCCTTTAATCCCAGCTACTCAGGAGGTTGAGGCAGGAGAATAGCTTGAACCTGAGAGGTGGAGATTGCAGTAAGCTGAGACTACACCACTGCGCTCCAGCCTGGGTGACAGAGCAAGACTCTATCTAAAAAAAAAAAAAAATTCTTGTGTTTGTGTATCACTTTCACACCAGTGTAATGTTGAAATATGATAAGTTGAACCATTATTAAGTCATGGATCACTTGTATTTTCATTTTCATTCAGTTCATTGTGTATTTTTCCTTTGAGATTTCCTTCTTCACATTTAGATTCCTTAGAAATGTATTGTTCAGTTTGCAATAACGTATATTTTGCAGCTGTTGGTGGAGTTTTTTTAATAAGTATTGATTAGACACTGTTGCTTGATGGTGTCTTTATATTTCCTTGCTGATTTCTCTTTAGTTGGAGTATCAGTTGTTGAGAGGGGTGTTAATATTTTCAATTAAAGTGTAAATTGGTCTGTTTTTCCATTTTAATTTTTTCAGTTTTAGATTCACATATTTTGCAGCTCTGTTGTCTGATGCATATACATTTAGGATTGCTATGTTTTATTGGTTTATTGAACCTCCTATCATTATACAGTTCCCTTTCTATCTTGGATTTATTTCTTTATCTGATATCAACATAGCAGTCCTTTGTTTCCATTAATATTTTCTTAATATATATTTTTCTTTTTTTTACTATTAACTTACCCGTAGTCTTAGATTTAGATTTTTTTTTGTAGACAGTAAATGATTGTGTCATTTTTATTAATCTAATCTGCCAATTTTCATCTTTTGATTGGTTATGTCTTAGTCCATTTTGTGATATTATAACAGGGTACTCAAGACTGGGTAATTTAGAAACAATAGAGGTTTATTTGGTTCATGGTTCTGGAGGCTGGAAAGTCCAAGAGCATGGCATGAGCATCTGATGAAAGCCTTCATATTGGGTCATCCCATAGCAGAAGTTATCTTGCGATAACTTACCCATTCCTGTGATAATCACATTAATCTATTCCTGAGGGTAGAGCCTTCATAACCTAATCACCTCTTTAAGATCCAACTCCCAACACTGTTACATTATGGATTAAGTTTCCAAACATGAACTTTAGATGACACACTAAACCACAGCAGTATATTTAGATCATTTGCATTTAAAGTAATTATTAATATGTTAGAGCTTCATTCTGTCATTTAATGTTTTTTTATCTATTTGGTCTCTCTGTTTTTTGTTTTGTAGTTTTCTTATTTCTGGCCTCTTGTGGTTTTCTTGAATATTTTTAAAAATTCATTTTTCATTCATTTGTAGGGGGTTTGAGTACATTTCTTTGTGGAAACTCTTTAGAGATTCCTCTAGATATTGAATTATATGTATGTAACTTATCACAGTTTACTGGTTGTGATTTTACCAGTTCAAGTGAGGAGTAGAAATCCTATCTCCCTTTAAATTGTTTTATCCTGTTCTGCTTATAATCATCCTAAATATTTCCTCTCTATATATTTAGAACTACATGAGACAACGTTATAAATTTTACTTCAACAGTCAGATAATTTATATATCATAAAAAGAAAAGGAAAGTGTATAATATTTACCCATTTTTTAATTATGTTGTTTCTTTTTTACTCATGTCCTAAGATTCTTACTTGTATTTTGTTGTTGTTGTTTTGCTTAATGAACTCTCTTGACCCATTATTTTAGAGCAGGTCTGCTGGTGACAAGTTCTCTTCATCTTTTTTCATCTGAGAATGTGTAGATTTCCCCTTCATTCCCAGAGGATGTTTTTTTCTGGGCATAAGACTCTGGGTTAATAGCTCTTTACTTTACTTGAAAAATGGTGTGCTACTTGCTTCTGGCCTCCATGGTTTCTGATGAGAAATCCACTGTCCTTTCACATGTTTTCTTCTATGGGTAAGATATAATTTCTCTCTTATTGCTCTTGTGATTTTTTTTCTGCACCTTTGGTTTTCAGAAGTTTAATTATATCTGTCCTGGATCTTGTTTTTTGATCCACTTTGAAAATCTCCTTCTTATAATTGATATATTTAAACCATTGACATTGAAAGTGATTGCTAATATAGTTGGATTGACAGCTACCATATTTGTTACTGTTTTCTAATTGTCGCCCTTCTTCTTTGTTCCCATTTATGTCTTTTACTCTTTTTCTGCATTTCGTGGTTTGAACTTAACATTTTAATATGACTCCATTTTCACTCTTTCCTTAGCATGTCAGTTATTCTTTTTTTTTTTCTTTTTACCTTTGTTTAGTGGGTGCCCTAAAGTTTGCAATATACATTTACAACTACTGCTTCATGTATAGTGTGAATATCTTATAATAACAAAAAATTGTAATTACTCCCTCTTGTCCCTTGTATAACTGATGTCATTCATATAAATACATATATGTTTATGAATAGATAAATAGATCTATACATATATGCATAGATACATAAGCATCTGTAATTGAATATATTATTGCTATTATTATTTTGAACAAAATATTTGTTAGATCAGTTAAGAATAAGAAAAAACAATTTTATTTGCTTATTTTTTCTTTGGTGTTCTTTTCTTTGTATAGATCTGTTTCTATCCTACATAATCTTCTTTCTCTAAATAACTTATTGTAAAATTTCTTGCAAAGCAGGTCTACTGGCAACAAATTCTCTCAATTTTGTTCATCTCAGAAAGCCTTTCTATCTCCTTCACTTAAAAAAAAATTCTATAGAGTACCTAATTCTAAGTTGGTAGCTTCTTTCTCTCAACACTTTATCTAACTCCACTCTCTCCTTACTTGTATGATTAGTGAGGAAAGGCTGGATGTAATTCCTATCTTGTCCCTCTCTCATTGGGAGGGACAGGAGTGCCTTGCTATTTCTTCATTCATGACCTCCACTGATACCACAGGGTAGAGGATGGACCAATTTTTGCCAGGTAATGATGAAAATCTTGAGTCTTTATTAGGCCTTCTTTTGACCTCCTCAGTGGGGAGTGGGAGGAGCACCTTTCATTACTATTCTTTCAGAGTAAAAGTCCAGGCTCTCCATGTGTTCTCCCCTGACACCAAGGGGAAGGCAAGACTTATGACTGCCTGATGGAGATGAAACTCTTGGTCTCCTACTCAACCTTCTTTGACATCACCCCAGAAAAAGATCTGGGCTCCGTGATTACATCCAGGTTGAAGTTTAGGCTTCCCACCTGTCTTTGCTTGTGAGACGAGGGGCAGAGGCATATTATTTTCTGTGAGTTTTTACTGGAGTATAATATCTATTGTCTAAAAGTGTGTTTGTTTTGTTTTTGTTTTTGTTTGTTGTTGTTTGTTTTTTTGTTTTCTGGGTAGGTTGCCCCTTTCCTGGACTTTTGGCTAGAGAGAGTGGGCTTTTATTTTGGCCCCTTTTGCCTGTATTCATTGGCATTTCTGGATTGCTAGCTTCTTCAGCCCCAAGTCTGGGACATATGAGACACAAAGAAAAGTGAGGGAACTCACTTCTTTCTGGTTTCTTGGGTCCTAAGTTTCATAGCCAGTCTGCCTTTTTCTCTCTACCTTTCAGAGTCTTCTCATGCTTGCATTATACATAATGTGCAGGATTTTTCATTGAGCTTAGAAGGAAAAGGAAAAAGTACATTCACTCCATCTCAGAAGTGGAAATCTCTTTTATTCCTTTGGATCCAGAGATACATGAACAAAAAATATTGAATTGTGTTATTATATAGATATTGTTAAATTCAAGACTAGAAAAATATCTTCTGGCCTCACATCTTCAAATTTTACTTCCTCAAATTCTCAAATCCTGACACTTATCCCAAATTTATGTACCACAGATACAAATATCTGATAGACATATTTACCTGGATGACCCATCACCACCTGAAAGGCATCACAGTTAACTAGGATAAACATCTAAAACTGAGCTCAGTATTTCCTTTCTATCTTCAGATCACAGTGATTTATTTTCTTGATATTTCATTTTCTGTTCTTAGTGCTACTCTTCTACCACACACTCAGCCTCAAAAGTCAGATCAAATCTCAGTGATATCCCCCTTGAATTTCTCCGTACACTTATGCATGGCTTTATATTTATAGTGCCACCACATTAGTTAAGATTCTTTGTCATCTAAATATTTATGTCACTCTCAGGTACCTGTTCTGATTCACTTTACAACATATTAGTCTTCATAAGTCAAATAATCAGCCAGTGGCCTTCTTATCTCCAAATGTTTAATTGTTTTGATCTTTTGAGGATCATTAAAAAACTCTTCTGCAAAGAGAAGAGTTTCTCTGATCCTTGTAGCTATAGGAGAGCACCACTGCCAACCATAATTCTGAAAGACACAGTCCCAAATGCCATAATTCCAAATGTTGCAATTCCAAAAGATTAAAATCTCTAACATCTAAATTCCCTAATATCTAAAATCTCAAGAATCAGAATCTCAAATTGTTAAAATCTCAAATATCAAAATCCTGAAAGTCAAATTATAAGAAAGGGTTTCCTTGAGGTTGTAACTGTGTGTAGGATACTGGCTTCATATTGGTGGCATCATAGTAGGCAGAACTGTTGCTTTCTTATTGCATTTGGTGGAAAATTCAGATGAGTAAATTGCATTTGGTGGAAAATTCAGATGAGTAAATTGGCCACAATGGCAATGACAAAAATATCAGCTTAAAAATGTGTCACTTGTCTACACTGACATCCCTTTCAGTTGATAAAAATTCAGGAGCTTTTATTGAATTAAAGCCACATTTGCCTGAAGAAGTCAGCAAAGTCACTGACTGGTTAGAAAATAATTATGTCCACAGTAGGATAAAAAGGTTTTAACACAATTTTTGCTGTTTGATTACTTGTACTGTTTCTGCCGAATTTGGGGTCTCTATATAAGTACATGGGAAATGGATTCCTGTATACCCCAAACTACATAGAACCATGACGCAGAAGACAGGAAAATTTAATAGGGAATGCTCATGTTGGTATATATTGAATCGTAGAAGAATTTCATAAAGAATAGCGTCATGTAGAAAATGAATGTGAATATATTCTCCCAGGAAAGCCATGCCCTCAAAGATAAAAAGCAGCTATTCATTGCAATGCAAGACTTATTAATCATAGTTAATGATTATCAAGGCTGGCCAGCCCTTAGGGACTACCTTCATGAAATTGTTCCTAATCTATCCCTGTGATATGCATTTACATATGTCAGATTTTATTTTTAGCCAGTTTTAGGGTTTTTTGTTTTGTTTTTTTTCCTGTTATCCCCGCTATTTTAAGTTGTTAGCATTATTTTGTATAACTTTTATGCTATGTATTTCATCTTCACACCATTTCCAATACTGGTATATATTTTGTAAAGACTCTTGAGAGTTCTAAATCATTTATTCTGTTTTTGGCAAATTTGACTCCATAAAAGTACAGTATGAGAACACTGACTTTGTGTATAAGCATTGTGCACGTATGTAAAAACATTGCCACATGCTAGATAAATGAAGAGATGTCCTTTTTGTACATCTGCGTTTGTGAAAAACAAAATTTCTTGAGATCTTGGCTCTTTGGGCAACTGCATATGCAATGATGACCTATCTTTTTTTTCAATTGATCTTGTCAAGAGACTTAGGATGTCTATCATGGTATCTCAGATGATCACAATTATAAAGCTGGGGGAACATAATTAACAACCATAATGATAGGTGTTTATACATTTTGCTCTGAGTTAATAAATAAGACAAAAGAAAATAATTTGCAAAGTTTTTCTTTCTTCGTTTACTGTCATTTCTGTCTCTTTAGTCTCTTTAAAGTGATAATACTCAACCCAAAAGATTTACAAATATATTAAACTACATGACAGGATATTTATCAAATGAATAAAATGCCCTCCCATTCCCCAAATGCCCATCAATGATAGACCTTATCCCAAATGAATAAAGAAAATGTGGCACATATATACCATGGAATACTATGCAGCCATTAAAAAGGATGAGTTCATGTCCTTTGCAGGAACATGGATGAAGCTGGAAACCATCATTCTCAGCAAACTAACACAGGAACAGAAAACCAAACACTGCATGTTCTCACTGATAAGTGGGAGTTGAACAATGAGAACACATGGACACAGGGAGGGGAACATCACACACTGGGGCTTGTTGTGCGGTGAGGGTGTAGACGAGGGATAGCATTAGGAGAAATACGTAATGTAGATGACGGGTTGATGGGTGCAGCAAACCACCATGGCACGTGTATACCTATGTAACAAACCTACACATTCTGCATATGTATCCCAGAACTTAAAGTATAAATTTAAAAAAATTGCCTAATAGAAATGAGGAAGGCAAAATCTAAAAATATCTCTTCTTTCGTCAGTGAAAAGGGCAAGTATATTTCTGTCCCTCTAAGGTATGAATGGAGCATGAAGTCTGAGATGATGTAATCAGTGACAAAGAACATCATCATCCAACTCACTGGGTTCCAAGTTGTCTCTAGGCAACCACAATATAGCCACATTAATATATCAATCAAAATATGTAATTTTAGAAGAGCACATAACCTTTAAAGAGAGTAGCAGACAAGGTTTTTGCTCAACAGTGACTCATCTTAGTAGATGACTTCTTTTTTGGATTCAACCAAGGAACTCTGAGTAAGTTTGCTTTGCCACGTCCCAAAGAAACCAGGGGTAATTCTCATTCAGCCTTTGCTGTGAACAGACACTATCGGGTCACCTAAGAAATAGCAATTTGTGGGTTCCTGCTTTATGCAATGATGATCTTGGCTTGCGCAACCCAAATAGAATGTGCCCCAACTCATGAAGTCAAGGCAATGTGGTAAACAGAACCTGTGCCAGCAGGACATCATTTCAACACCCCCTGGCATATAAAGCATGTTTGGGCAGGGGCATACACATCATAAACTCTATTTTGGTATGGACAACCTGGGAACTCAGTGATGACTATGTCATAGAACCATTAGCTTCATAGAGACAGCCTCTGATGTTACTTTAAGTTAGCCACTTATTAAACTCCTGAAAAGTCTCTGGAACAAATTATATTAAGACATGAGCAATGTTTAAAATCATCTAGAAACAAAGTAGATGTAAAGTGTTAGATGAAGGGGCTTAAATAAAGCATTTGTATGATATTGTCATTGTGGCGATGATGGTTGGCTTCTAATACAAGGTCTCCTCCGCAGTCCTGTCCACTTCCATAAAATCTACCTAAAAATATCCAGAATTGCCTTTCAGGTGTCGATAAACTCTTGCAATATTTGGTACTCTGCTACTGGATATTGCTTTGTAACAATTAGAATTATTTGACCTTATGGTTTTCCCTTAAGGCCCAGATGAAGTATCTTGAAGGTTTAAGAGAAAATGTGAGTTTCTTTCCTCAAGCACGTCCACAGGATATATTTCTATTGAGCGCACTCCAGTGTGGCTTCTAACAATATGGCTAAATGGCCATAACCTGAAATGCAACACATATATATGTGTGTATATATATCTATATATATATATATATATAGATATATATCCCTAACACTTTAATAAACGAGTATTTGACCTATCACATTATAAACTTGTTTGCCATAGTAATAATTTAATGCCTACATTTTGTAGAAAACTTTTCAATTAATATTGAGTGCTCAAGGGCAGGGCCAATGAATGACCTTTAAATCTGTTGTACTTAATACCATGCCAGACACATAAAAATGCTCAATAAATGCTTGTTTAAATTGGTTTGACACTGTGCTAGGCCCTTAGGAAAACCAGGTGGTTGCAAATTGCTGACTACCTTAGTTCACAAAATGTAGTTGTGCTTGGGGTTTTCTAATACTTGTATAGATTGGATTTAATTACTAGCTACCTTCAGCTCTTTCAGACTCTGTTTTGCATGATTTCTTGATTTCTTCAGAAAGTTCACAACCTCAGATAATTTGGCTAAATGGTAGTATATTTAGGGGACATTAACATGTTAAAAATCAACCAAATGACATGGTCTTTCAAACATCATTGTTGTTTTGAAAAATATTGAGAAATGTGAAGTCAAGAGCAAGTAAAGAGAGAACAGTAGTTTCGCAGAACCATTCATCATTTTTTACCCCACCTTTGGCCCAAAGTCATTGGACAGACATCTCTATCCAGTCATTCCTATGCATTGCACATTCTCCTTGCAGTCTAAGAGCTGTTTTTTGACCAAAAAAAAAGTGATTGTGGATCTAATCTGTTCACGTAGTTACATGCAAGAAATATGAACTTAGACACTCAGACTTTGTACCTTAGTTCTTTTTATGCTTTGATTCTCAGCTTTCTGTCTTCAGAGCAGCTTTTTAAAGATGATATTACATCTCTAGGGCCTAATTCATCCTAACATTAACTTGTGATGGCTAAAACAAATGTGAGATCTTATAATAAATAAATAGCGCCATTTCATATGAACCAGAACACTAAGAGACCTAAATACAAAATACAATATGCTCAGAAACATGGGGCCATAACTGCAGACTTAAAAGATGTGCCACAATGAGTTCAGGAATATGATTTAGCAAATGATCCAGACTCAAAGGCATTTAAAATAGAGAACATTTTTGCTAAAGCAATTTCTTTTTTTTTCTATTTTATTATTATTATAGTTTCAGTTTTAGGGTACATGTGCACAATGTGCAGGTTAGTTACATATGTATACATGTGCCATGCTGGTGTGCTGCACCCATTAACTCGTCATTTAGCATTAGGTATATCTCCCAGTGCTATCCCTCCCCCTTCCCTCCACCCCACAACAGTCCCCAGAGTGTGATGTTCCCCTTCCTGTGTCCATGTGTTCTCATTGTTCAATTCCCACGTATGAGTGAGAACATGCGGTGTTTGGTTTTTTGTCCTTGCAATAGTTTACTGAGAATGATGATTTCCAATTTCATCCATGTCCCTAAAAAGGACATGAACTCATCATTTTTTATGGCTGCGTAGTATTCCATGGTGTATATGTGCCACATTTTCTTAATCCAGTCTATCATTGTTGGACATTTGGGTTGGTTCCAAGTCTTTGCTATTGTGAATAATGCCGCAATAAACATACGTGTGCATGTGTCTTTATAGCAGCATGATTTATAGTTCTTTGGGTATATACCCAGTAATGGGATGGCTGGGTCAAATGGTATTTCTAGTTCTAGATCCCTGAGGAATCGCCACACTGACTTCCACAATGGTTGAACTAGTTTACAGTCCCACCAACAGTGTAAAAGTGTTCCTATTTCTCCACATCCTCTCCAGCACCTGTTGTTTCCTGACTTTTTAATGATTGCCATTCTAATTGGTGATTTAGATTTGTAAAGAATGCATATGAATTTGTGGGGTCCCACACTGGATCCCACAAAGTAAGTCTGCTAATGAGGTGAAAATATTTTTACCATACTTGACAAACATATGTATTCATATGTTTATATACAGTAGTAATAGGTGGTACCCATGTAGTATTATAGTCTTTAATGGCATTCTATTTCAGAACAAGTAAAAATGTTGAGATTATGAGGAACTTAAATTTTTAACCAGTATCATTCACATTTATAAAATGATATTAAAACCTCATTCATCCACAGGATCACAAGGGAATGAAAGGAAAATAATAAGCTTTCTAAATAGCTGAAGGTTATCTCTTTTGGTGAATTTTATTTAGATTTCAGGATACTTTCAATTGAAACCCTAAAATGTATAAAATCCTTTTCTGTTCTTCTTAAGATGTGTTCTGGACCACATATATATGCCTTCATCTTCGGGTTAAGTATCTTTGTAATATTTAGGCCAGTGAGGAAAGAAAGAAAATTCAGTTACCTTGTGTTACAACACAGCATGCTGGTTACATATGGGTTTATTATTACTTTATTCATTTAAAGTGTGCTATCTTGTATACAACTGATTTTAATAGAAATAGTGCCTACCTTACTGGTTGATGTGAGAGTAAAATAAAAATATCAACATGCAGTGAACCTAGTATATGCTCAATAAATATTAGCTAATTTAACTGCATATTTGTCACAGGCAGGGTTCCCTGGGAAGTGTCGTAAAGGTGGGGTTTAGTGTGCAGCATATATAGTCTAAAAATATATATATACACACATATATATCCTTTAAATATTCATACATTTTTATATATTCATATATATTCATATTTATATATATTCATATATTTATATATATTAATATATTTATATATTCATATTTTTATATATTCATATATATATATATATATATATATTTTTTTTTTTTTTTAAGACAGAGTCTTGCTCTGTCACCCAGGCTGGAGTGCAGTGGTGCATGATCTCGGCTCACTGCAACCTCTGCCTCCTGGGCGCAAGCGATTCTCCCGCCTCAGCCTCCCAAGCAGCTGGATTACAGGCGTGTGCCATACCCAGCTAATTTTTGTATTTTTAGTAGAGATGGGGTTTCGCCTTGTTGGTTGATCTGGTCTTGAACTCCTGACCTCAAGTGATCCTGAAGTGGCCTCCCAAAGTGCTGGGATTACAGGCATGGGCCACCACACCTGGCCTAATAACATTTTTAAAAATCAAAATTAATGCAAACAATTCCAAGATGAAAAAATATCCAAATTTTAAATAAAGACAGACATTTGTTTGTGTGATGGATCTGTAATGGCAATAGTCATTTCCAAACCACTGGGTATTGAGTCCCCACTGGGAAGGTTTATGAGAGTTGACAGTGGTGTTCAAATAAATTGAGCAATGCAGGACTCTATTTACAGTCTTAAGATTTGGGTTCATTTTGTCTATCTTTTTCACTTAGTTTAAAATATGAGAGGCTATTTTGGTAAGTGTATATGGGGGCAGACATTTTTCCTTTTGCTTTAGGCTCCAATGTGGCTACACAGGGTGTTGCTGAGAGTCTGACCCTATGCCAGCAGCATTCCAGCTTCTGAGTCAACCAGTTCATCACTGAAACAAGATCTGGGAAGCCCATTAGCATGTCCTCTACAACTTCCTATAATCTGAAAGATTGACAATATCTTTCAACGGTGAAGTTTTGATTTATAGTAAATAATAAATATAATTGGTTCTAGATTTCAAAATTTATCCCATTTAAAACAGTGACCAAACTTGTTTATCATTTAGCAGTGTCATTTTTTAATATATTCGATATGGCTTGATGTTAGCTTTAGGTGATAAATTAGTTTCCCTTTAAAAAAATTGATTGAATGTACGTTATTCACTTAGTGGTCTCTCAGAATTTCAGTTTTCTGCTTTGTAAAATGAAGAAACTATACTAGGTAATTTTTAAAGTCTTACTCTACAACTTTCAGTTTTAACTACTTTATTACTTACTTTTTTTTTTTTTTTTTTTTTTTGGACAAGTCTCGCTCTGTTGCCCAGTTTAGAGTGCAATGGTGTGAACACGGGTCATTGCAGTTTCAACTCCAGGGCTCAAGCAATCTTTTCATCTCAGCCTGCAGAGTACCTGGGACCACAGGCACATACCATCATGCCTGGTTAATATTTTGTTTTATTTTTTTGTAGAGATAGGGTCTTGCCATCTTTCTCAGGATGGTCTTTAACTTCAGGGCTCAAGTGATCCTCCCAACTCAGCCTTGCTGCTTACATTTTTGGAGGTATGCAAAGGTCACCCTTCATGAACAGAAATTCTTTTCTGTCATCGTGAACCCAGCGAAGAATTCATAACTGAACTTCATAGAATTGTTTACTACCCCAAATGTCCCCAAACCATCACACATTATGAACTACTGCTGTTTATTTTAGTTCTCTTATGATAGGGTCATCAGGATATCAGCTGTTATTAACTGGTGGAATAATTACTCCTAACTCTAATGATCTTCCCCACTGATCTACCTTATTTTCTTCCAAATGTCTTGAGATTGGTTAATCAGCTTCTTATAATTGCCTAAAAATGTGTTCACTAAAGAGGTAAGAGAGTTCTGGAGGGGAAAAAGATCCAAATGAGTTCTGAAACAGTAACTTACTAATATCCTCCCAGAAATGCCAGAAATGTACAGAGTGAAGCAACAAATTAAAGCACCTAAGAGGAGAAACTAAGTGGCGAACAGACCTGTTAAAATTTTGTTTAGTCTTTCATTTTCTGTGTGTGTTCTCCAAGTGGATTCTTTGCTAAGTGAATTCTTTGCTATTATGATACACATCAAGAGAATCTAGTATAAAGTGAAAATATATAACATTTGAGGGAGGGACTTGGAGGCTCTAATTTGAGTGAAGTATATGAAATTCATTGTGCAAAGAGTCATCTTTACTCCATATTTATTGGATTTGCTTAGGATCATTGAGATGACCTGAAAATTAGCCTCCAATTTTGTAAAATACACAGGACTCAACTGTCAATTTTATTATAAAAAGCTAAAGTATGAAAATCGGATTAGCAACAATTGGTGACTAATGCCTCTTGCATTACTTGTGTAATCTGTGCTTGTCAGAATTGAATACCCATCAACAAGAATTGCTGTTTTTAATTTTACTTGCCTCAAAATATCATCTTATAACTTATGAATGTGTTGACTCCATTTGTTCCCATTCCCTAATCTGAAGAAGAGGAAAAATGGTTGATTTCACAAGTGGTTTTAGAAGGAAGCGCAAGAGTTAATTGATGAACAGTATTGAGTTCGTTTGTAGGAGAACTTGTCCTACTCATTACTGTGCCTGAGTAGAATGCTTTGCAGAGAGACAGGCAAACAACAGACACATACACATACACACACCGACATACACACACTTGCATACACACACATATACAAGGAAAGTGTCACAGGGTAATGTCCACCAAGAAAATCATATTTGGGAGCCCACTGTTGTGACTTCACAGTCACATCATAATCTATTGTATGACTGTTCAAAACATGATGTATGGAGTATGTTTTTTAGCCCTGGGCAATTCACCTTTTCTTTAAATACTCATGTCACATTTGTGCTGTTGCCAATGCTTCTCAGACCCTCCAGATGAGGTAAGAAAATAATTACAATAGATAAAAATTTTTCTGTTTTATACAAATAATTTATTGTGGGGAAAGTTACAAAATTAAATATGTATGTATTTATCAGTCAAATACTCATTTCATAGACGAAAGCACTTGGGTAGATATATATGAATGGGGTTATACTTGAACATAGTAATTTTTTTTTTCTGTAAGGGGACACTTTAAGCACTGTGGTTTTAAAAAGCTAAAGCCTGAGCTAAAAATACCCTACTATATTAATAGGAGTCTATTGACTATACTTAGGAATTTACTGATGCCAAAATAGTTCACCAAAATGCCACAGCGTGTTGCAAGAGAAAATAATAATTAGAACTCAATGAGCAACATAAGTCCTACATTTAGCTGGAAATAAATTTTATTTATAAATTGGAAAATCTACATGAAATATATATTATTTAACATTGGACTATTTTTAAAAAATAATTCATTTGTTTACTTATTTGTTTGCTAGAAGCATAAAATCAGAATTTGAATGATATACTTTGCATTTGTGAGTTGTACAGTAGAAACCATTGAGTAAGTTAACAGTGGAATTCCTATGTCATATATATTTATGTGCACATATAATATACACATGTATGTATATATCCATATACATATTTATATGCATATATGTATATATATAAAATCCTGTAGCTTGTTTTGTCCAAAATGACCTTTCAATAAAAATATTAAAGTCCTGGCATGATAATCAGTTCAAATTAATATCATACCAAGTGAAAATAGGCAAATTTACTCAATTACTACAGGCTGACCTTTAATTATTCTGATTATTTCTTGTTACTCTCTGAAGTAGCCTATTCACTGGAGCAAATTTTACTAAGTTGAAATCATCATTTAAATCTCATTCATATAAATTTAATTTATGCCTGATTCTGAATCAATTCCTTCCTACTATCCCCAACCCCGCCAAAAAAAAGTTATTGAATAGGGTCATTTTATTTACTTGCTTTTTTATCATTTGGGCAATAAAATTAATACTGCAGTTGTACTTTGAGCTACTAAAGCCCTTCTCAACAGACTGATCTTTTCAACATCGCAGATGTGTGTAGAGTCCTGGGCTCACATTTTTGGAATCTATCAAAAAGATGGGAGCCCAGTCTGAGTGTTCCTGTCCTTTTATGCCAGGGCCCTCAATGAATCTCATCCAATCTGGGTTATCTGAAATGATTTATAGTAAAACTGACTATATACATGTGGGCAGAGTTTGGAGAAACCATCAAGAGAAATTGCAGTTCCATGGAGCTAGTTGATGTAATAGTTAGAAGTCATTTCTGTAACCAAGAGAAAGACATTTTATAAAGAGATTCTTCAGATAACATCAGTGGCTATCTGAGTCACCAGCAAGGAGGGAGCTGGTGGGATAAATATTTAAACCCCACTTTCTTTCCTCCTTCAAATCTCTTGTCAAGGTCTCCCATTGGTTGAACCCACTGGAAGCCAGAGGTCGAGGGGACCACTGTTACAATCCTTACAGGTCAGCCTTTCTGGGCACAGAATAGAGGGTCAAGGACAAAGAGAGAAAGCATACTGGGAGTGGAGGGAAGCAAAAGCTATCTAGCATATACAATTATATTTCACTGAATTTTATTAGAAACTCATCCAGAGATGGGCTGAAACTCTTTTGGAAATACAGAGACTAATCCTTTTGAATCCAGTTTTCACTGAATCACTTTGTACAGGTAGTGAGAATGTGGATAATGATGGAAGAGAGAGAGAGAAAATACTCTAATGGAGGCTTAGTAGCACTTTGAGAGTTTTGAAAAAGTTTCTAATGAATAGCATTATTTATTGGAAATGAAATGCAAAATTTTACTCTACCAACCAAGAAACATCATCTTTATAAAGCATTTTTACCCAGTAGAGATTGTCCTCTTGACTGCAGCTCAAATGAAGAACTGGCTCAGCTTTCTTTCACCCAGATGTCCTTGAATCACCTTCACCTCTCGGACTAAAAGTTTCTTTATCTAAAAGTAGATAATATAGAAATCACCTTCATTTCTTCAGAAACTTTTTGGGGAGTAAGTGAGACAATAAATAAGGCAGCAAATAATATCCTGCAAAGGCTATACAATTTAATCAAAGTTGGTAGACTAGTGAGTGATTCTTACTAGAAAAATACAAAGAAAAAAATCTTTCTTCCTCAAACCTTGGAAGGAAGGTTTGCTCCCATGAATCTTTTTACTTGGTTTGAATTTTTCAAGAAAAACCAACATATAAGCTAAAAACAAGAAAGGTGAAGACAGGCCCTCCTGCCATTACACAGTTTCTAAAGTCCCAATTGTAAAATATGATAATAAGTTATTAATCAATCTTTGTTTATCTTAATGAGATAGCTATTCTCTGTGGGGTTTGTTCATACCATACAGGAAAAATCCTTCAGAATCTCCCACATGAAGATTGCAAGTGCAAATAATGGCCAATATTTGTGGAGTTTCCTTCTTGGCCAGTTAAAAATTTCCTCTGGCTTTAAAGAGCATGAAGTCTTTACAGAAGGTGTCAACAGTGATTTATTATAAGCTGAGTTAATTCTCTCTCAATTTAAAAACCTTGCATACGACATAATCACTTTCTTTCCCCCCACACCGAGGGAGCTGCTTATTCCACAATTCTCAAGACAGCTTCATCCAGACACTGGTCATGGTGAAATTTCAACTGTTTTCTTTGGAAATTTTTTTGTTGTGGAGGATGGGGCATGGAGTATAATTAGCAAGTATGGTGCTCACCCAAGAAAGCTTCAATATGAGAAAAACTAGGTGTATGTATGTGTGTGTGTGCATGTGTGTGTGTGCTGTGAATATATTAATATGTTTATAACTCTGTGCACCTGTATGAAACAGGAAAGCTTATCAGCAGCAGAGCAGTGAGAGGCCATACATAAACTCAGCTTTCTGTGATGCTTAGCACTAGTTAGACCTTGACTTTATCCGGTTTGTTGTGCTCTTACTTCCTCTGGGCTCATGAACTGAATAGAGGGAATCCAGAAAGGGGTCAGAGATGAGCTCAGATAACTTCATAATTGGAAAGTGAGACCCAAAAAGCAGTATTTAGGTAGTAGCAAATGTGGAGAGAAGAGAGAGACCTAGCTGGAGGTCATGACACCGTCTTTAACCACATGAACTTCCTAGACACCAGTGATCTTGTCTCCTCCAGTTCTTCTAGAGATAATTAAATAGAAGTTGAGCATTTAAGACACAGTTGTTATGGCTTAGTTGTTGGTATTGGGAGTAATGAGTACTCCTGAACTGCTCTTCTTAGGATTGTGACCCTTGTACTACAAAAGCTTAATGATTATGCTCTGGGCCATTTTAATCTGTAACAAGACAAAAATGATGATTTATCCCAATCTTCATTCTGCACCATTTAAGATGCTCAGAATATAACCTGCTTCAACCCAGATATCTATAGGATTCTGTATTTATTTGAGTATATCTATGTTTAGAAATAAAAGACATGTTCTCCTCTATATGTTTCTATAATATTCATTCAATACCAGGCAGTTTTTCTCTTTCCTTCTGAAAACTTTCTGATTTACATGGACACTAGCTTTTTTCTCAGCATCATCTGACTACTTCACTCCAGAAGGAAATATCAATATGAGAAAAATAACACTCCTGATATGATTTAAAAAAAAACCCATTACAAATACTTAAGGCATTTTCAACAACAAAAGAGAAAACCATTGAAGGCTTAGCAAATGATAGAACACGCACATCTCTGTCTCAAGCCAGCAGTGTTACTGTATATATTGGAATGTTTAAGCAGGGACATGTTATAAGAGTACATTTAAAGAAGGGTTTCTCATTCTCAACACTATTGGCTATTTGGGCTGGGTTATTCCATACAGATGTTTCCGGACATGGCCAAATGCCCTTTGTGAGGCCAAAAGGCCCTTATTTGAGAACTAATGATCTAAGTAGACGACACTAACTACTCTTATTTTGTGACTAAAATAAAATAGAAAATTTGGGGCCCTAGGTCATGATGATATGTCTTTTTGCCTTGAAACCTTTGCATCAGCAGTTATAATTATTATTAGTATTTGGTAGGCACAATGAAAAGCCCCCAAGAATCTGGATGTGAGGGAACTAAGATTTTTTCCTTAGAGAGTTAAACCCTAATATGAATGCACAGATATGCAGTCACATAGTTGTTTAATTTCCGTCATTCCAGGCAGAAAGTCCTTAGCAATTCTCAATTAAATGAAAGCCTGATTTAGAACCTTGAAAGAAGTTTCTAAATTCAGAAAACTGACTGAAACTATTTCTAGCACATGTTGTATCTGGACATCTATAGAAGTGTCTTGTGTACTAAAACCTATTGGGAGGATCTTTTAAACCTCTTCCCCACTATGCAAATTTCAGGCTGGCAACAAGATTTGCAAAGAAAATTGACTTTAAACAACATATACGAAAGCCTTTTCTACACCTATTGAGACCATCATGTGGTTTTTGTTTTTAGTTTTGTTTATGTGATGAATCACATTTATTAATCTGTATATATTGAACCAATCTTGCATTCCAGGGATAAAGCCTACTTGATCATGGCGGATTAGCTTCTTTATGTGCTGCTGGATTAAGTTTGCTAGTATTTTGTTGGGAATTTTTGCATCTGTGTTCTTCAAGAGTATTGGCCTGAATTTAAAAATTTTCTTTTTGTTGTTGTTGTTGTTGTTGTGTCTTTGCCAGGTTTTGGTGTCAGGATGATGCTGGCCTCATGTAATTAGTTAGGGAGGAGTCCATTCTCAATTTGTTGGAATAGTTTCAGTGGGAATGGTACCAGCTCTTCTTTATACATGTGGCAGAATTCAGCGGTGAATCCGTCTGGTCCTGGGCTTTTTTTGGTTGGCAGGTTTTTTATTACTGATTCAATTTTGAAGCTTATTATTGGTCTTTTTAGGGATTCAATTTCTTGCAGGTTCAATCTCGGGAGGTTCTATATGTCCAGTAATTTATCGTTTTCTTCTGGGTTTTTAAAGTTCGTGTGCAGAGAGGTATTCATAATAGTCTCCGATGGTTTTTTGTTTTGTTTTGTTTTGTTTTCCTGTGGGGTCAGTGGTAATGTCTCCTTTGTGATTTCTAATTAAATTTATTTGGATGTTTTCTCTTTTTTTGCTTTATTAGTCCAGCTAACTATCTATCTTATTTTCAAAAAATGAACTCCTGGATTCATTGATTTTTTTGTATGGTTTTTCATGTCTCAATTTAGTTTAGCTTTGATTTGGATTATTTCTTGTCTTCTGCTAGCTTTGAGGTTGGTTTGCTCTTGCTTCTCTAGTTCCTCTAGTTCCAATGTTAGATTGTTAATTTGAGATCTTTCTAACTTTTCAATTTGAACGTTTAGTGCTATTAACGTCCCTCTTATCAGTGCTTTGTGTGTATCCCAGAGATTCTGATATGTTGTATCTTTGTTTTCATTGATTTCAAAGAATTTCTTGGTTTATGTCCTAATTTATTTGCCCAATAGTCATTCAGGAGCAGGTTGTTTAACTTCCATGTCATTATATGGGTTTGAGTGATTTTCTTAGTATTGATTTCTATTTTTATCGCACTGTGGCCTGACACTGCTGGTAGGAATGTAAGTTAGTTCAGCCATTGTGGAAAGCAGTGTGTCAGTTCCTCAAAGAACTTAAAACAGAATTACCATTCAACTCAGCAGTCTCATTACTGTGTACATACCCAGAGGAATATAAATCATTCTACCACAAAGAGACATTCATGCGTGTGTTTATCACAGCATTATTTGCAATAGGAAAGATACCGAATCAACCTAAATGCCCATCAGTAGTAGATTGGATAAAGAAAATGTGAGGCATATACACCGTGGAATGCTATGCAGCCATAAAAAAGAATGAGATCATGTTCTTTGCAGCAACATGAATGGAGCTTGAGGCCATAATCCAAAGCAAACTAACTCTGGAACAGAAAATCAAATACCACATGTTCTCCCTTATAAGTGGGAATGAAACAACAAAACCACATGGACACAAAGAGGGGACCAACAGCCACCAGGGCCTACTTGAGGGTGGAGGGTGGGAGAAGAGAGAGAATCAAAAACTACCTATAGAGTACCATGCTTATCACCTGTGTAATCTTTACACCAAACACCCAAACACACAGTTTACCTATATAACAAACCTGCATATGTACCCACAAACAGAAAATAAAAGTTATTTTTTTAAAAGTATACAATGTTGAAGCTTAGCATAAACCTGCCTAAACAAGTATATTTTGCCATCTTAATTCCACATCTGATTTCCTTTCATTCTCAGCTTAAATGTATGCTCTACTAGAAACTGTATCATCAATAAATTGAAACTTGCTCCTTTCCATGTATTCATCATCTCTAGGAGTGATTCTTTTACTCCAATTCCCTTCATTATGTAATTATGGATCCCACTGTTGCCGCTCATCATTTATTTTCACAGCCTTATTGAGCCATAACAATCACTTCTAATACTGCTTCTACCAGTTTTAAACTTGATCTCTTACCACGTCTTACCTTTTGATCAATTGTCTCCATTTCCTAATGGCTTGGGTCTGGGAAGTCCAAATATTCCCCCAGAAATTAGCAACAGCAAATTTTAATCCTAGATTTCAAAAGTAGGGGCAGTCTTTACCACAATGGTGGGGTTCAGGGATTAAAGTGGAACAAATGGCATTGGATGTTTCTTTATTCCAAAATAATAAACACATGATCCAAAATGCATGAAATGTTTCTCTCCAAATACATTATATAACTAAACAGAGACCACAGCCTAACCATTGTGTTGAATAAAAAAAAAATTGCTGTATGTGTGCTCCTGGCATTGCTTCATCAGAAAGAACCATGGCTGAATAAGACAGTGTGGATGCCCCTCCTCCTCCTCTGACTTTACAGCCAGAGACTTACTACTCATATTTTGAAGTTGCCAGAACTTTTCTGCTTAAATCAAAATTAGCTTTGTTACAAATAAGAGAAAGCACTCATTATATCTTAGGCTAAAGAGGAAATGTGGAAACATGCAAGGGTATTTCGTATAACCCAAGACAGGAAGCACCAGAACTGGAAGAAGCCTTCCAAATGGTAGATGCTCCTTCCCTATGCCCAGTTGGGGCTCCGTGCAGGATATCTTCCTTTGGTCCTCCAGGTCTACTCTTTCCTCCTCTTCTCGCAGCTGTCTGCCCCTAGAGCATAATCTATATGAATGCCGTCACATGGCTTTCGTGCCTTCTGGGTTCTCGTTAGATTCAGCCAAAGGAGAGGCTTGGCAGATTAGTGATAACGAGGAGAGTGAGAGTGCAATATTTGGCACCCTTCTGTAGGTTCCTGTCAGTTGATTACTTCCCTTAACCACAGACCTATTTTCCTGATCCCTATGCAGTTTCATATGATGAATTATTAGAATCTTGCATTTCTCATTACAGCTACTACTCCTTCCACTTATCCTGCTAACTAAGCCCTCCTTAAATTAGCTGTATGTGAGTGTGGCATCTGTTTCCTTCTTGGACTCTAATTGACATACTGATAGAAACTCTTCTCTTCATCTCTATCTCTGTGATTACTGACTCTCTCTAACTCTGTGTGTGTGTGTGTGTGTGTGTGTGTGTGTGTGTGTGTGTGTGTGTCTGTGTGTATGTTTCTGTCTGTCTGTCTCTCTCTCTCTTTTTCTGATTACCCCCTCCATCACTTTTCTCTATTCTCGTAGATGGAGGAGAAAGAATATCACTTTAGCTCCTTTATATCTTCCCAGTTCTTGTGCCAACAGGACTCAACTGTAATAGCAATAATTAATGTTTTTTTTTTTTTAGTATGGCCCATTCCCTTTTTCTAAACTTAAAATGTATTCTCTCATTAATCCCAACAATAAACCACTAGTTCTATTATCACGTAAATTCACAGATGACAACATTGAGGCATAGAGAAATTGAATAACTTAATTATTCAATAATTAAGTCACATAATGCACATAACGAGAGGAAGAACCTGAATTCTAACCTAGGCAGACATATTTCAGAATATATATTCTTAACTACCATTTTTGGCAGTTTGATATTTAACTTAGACCATCTTGGGTTGAATGGTCAATATTTATTACTCAACTTGACACTGATGGGTTGATGAGGGGGCAAGATACCATTATTTACTTTCCAATGAGCTGGACCTTTGGGAGAAAACTTCCTGAATGGGGTACTAGGCAAAACAATAAAATTGACTAAAACATTTCTTATATTTCACTAGCCTGGGTATGTTATCCATACTTTTTCATATCCCTTGGAAAAGTTCCCAAAGAAAATGTGTATTCTGTATCATTGTTTTTAGTGCCTAGTATGGTGCTTCGTACATAGTAGATGGCCAATAAATATTTGTTGAATGAATAAATAAGTATAAATATAAATATATGCAGAATTGTATCTCTTGTATACACATGTCTTTAACCATTTTCTCCCTCCGGTGATGATGGATATATTATGAAAGTTATATCACAGAATGTGAGGGTATTTTATTAATTTCTCCATGTTGGGTAAAATCCAGGTTTCAGTATAGAAGAAGATGATGCGCAGTTAGGGATTATGGCATTGCCACCCTAAGATTCTTATTTTGGATCAAATCTGGAAGTAATAATAAATGCAAGACTGCACAATTATCAACAAGGTAAGATTTTTCAAAAGTGTTGAAACTGTGCAGACTTGTTCTCTCATCTTCCAAGAAAAGATGTTTATATCAACTTAAAATGAGATGAAAATGCCCCATATTAACCTGTATTATAATGAGGACATTACTAACATTTTAGGCACCAGTAATTAACCAAAGATATTGGGAAGGCAGTAGAGATGGGTGCCCATAGTGATGGGAGTGAAAATCGGTGGTGGTGGATATTATTGTACCATTTAAAAGGCAGGTCCTCTGTGCTCCTGGGACCCTGGCTGGAGTAGTGGCCCATGCCAAGTTTTTTAAGTAAAGAAGGCCACATGGTAGTTGAGTGAAATTTGATGTTTTGCTTAGTTGTCTCAGACATGTTTACTTTAGTAAAGGGTTATGGAAAGGTTGAATCAATAAACACTTTCTTTTCAGTCAGCAGACTTGCCATGGACATCAGTAGTCATGCTTAAAATGAAACTGGTATTTCTCCATGAATGGGGAGCCCTTCCTTGTTTCCGTGGAGAAAATGAGATACCATAGATGCTAAGGATCCAGCTGGAGACTTTGATACTTTTCATTTGATTCCACATAAGATTTTGAGAAGCTGGTAAATGAGAACACAAAGAATAAGGTTGTTTTCTGGTCTTTACAATCATTTTCCATAAGAAATAATAACTATATTGTGTAAATATTTTATTATTTGTATCCACTAACTTGTTCACTGTATCAAAACAAATGAGGATAATTTCTATAATCTTATAGCCCTAGTTCAAAAATGGATTTTAGGTCTTTTGTTCTAGTTTTACTTTAATCTTTCCATATAGAAAGCCTTTATAAACGAACAAATTCAATTCTCCCTGATAGCATTGTCTTGCCACATGTCTCTAGTAAAAATAAGGCAAAAATAGATAAACAAACTAGGAATTTGGAGCCTTAAAATTAGCCATAAAAATAAAAAAACATAAGATGAAAGAATAAATTTTTTCTGCAAATGCAACTATTAGACAATGAAGATAAATTGGTGAAATGAAATATATTTTTCAAACTTTTCACTTTCCTACTTTCCCAGATTTACCTAATTGATTATGCTGACTGAGTAAAAAGTTCATTTATGTAACCTTAATTCTGAACGTCATATATAAACACATGACAGGCTTGGAATACTCTTGTCTTTTGTGGGCATGACTGGCTGCTGTAATGTACATGCATAACAAAGCCACTGAACAGGGAAGTTGAAAACAATATAATTTTATGGTGTTTGCAGTTTGTTTTTAAAGAACTTTACTTCTTATTATACCTTTGACACCTACTCACCATTATTAGCCTGAGAGCTTGGTTTTCGGCAAACAAAAGCTTTCAGACATCTTCTTGGACCTAGTTCAACTTGACTATAATAAGGTGTTTATTTAATTTCTTCCCCTGTTTTGCTTATCGGGTACCCACAACACACAGGTGCAGATCAAGTGCTATAGTTTTCCCCCTTATTCTTGAATTGGAAGAAAATTATGAGGAAGTATTTAGTGAATTGGAGAAGGCCCAAAAGCTGGCGGGAAAGCTGGGCCATGACACCCAGATTATCATTGCCAGTGAAACCAACCTTGGTGGAATCATCTCATTTGTGCTCCAGAGTTAGACGGCAAAGGCAGTGAAGGCAGAAGAGCCTGGTTATGGACCAGAGATGAATGGGAGGCGTCTGATTCAGGATATGCAGAAAATCCAACAGCTCTGTTCTATCAATACGAAGAAGAGACCAAGATGTTGCTGAAGGAAATATCCTAGCCACTTGGAATGATGCTATCAGAAGAAGTAAAAAAATGATCCTGTATTGCACATTTGAAGTAGGATATTAAGTACAGTAAGAGTGAATAAGTTGAGAATACATTTACAATTTAGTTTTGTAAGCAAATGGTGTTCTCATGATAATTTTTGTGGTTCTTTTAATATTTAATTTTACTTTTCACATTTAATTTTTCTTAGTATTGGCGACAAATTGTCATAAGCAGTCAACGTTTTAGTCTGGTCTTTCTTTCTAGCCTTTCCACTGTCTTTTTCTCCATGTCGCTTTGCGAACAGAGGCTGCAGTTTTGAGGGGTTTGGAAAGTTGATGATAATAACCTAGCCGAGGGGATATATATAAAAATAATCCTGGAAAGATGAATGTGCAAAGATGTTTATGACAACCTGATAGTGAAAAATTGGAAATGTTTTAAAGTTGAATTGCTGGAGATATGTCAAATAAATCATAGTACAGTTAAATAGAGCAACACTCTGCAGCTATTTAAAACAGTGAGGTAGAGCAACATGCATAGATATGGGAATGCACTTAAATCACATTTTAATTTAGCATAGGTTTGAGTATTTTTGAAAAAAAAATAACCAAAATGTTTATAGTATCACATTTCCTGGTGGTAGAATTATGAGTGACTACAAAACTGGCCACAAATTCTTCCAATGTGCGTCCTTCTATCAAATATTGGAATCTGTTTCTCTATTCCTTGAATCTGGGTTGCCCAAGTGAATGGGTTTTCCAATAGACTGTTGGCACCAGGGACACAATCAGAGGCTTGAAAAGAGCTTGTACGTTGGAACTTGCCTTCTTGCTTCTCCTGGGAACCCTGCTACTGCCACCATGAGAATGAAGCTGGACAAGCCTAATGGAGAATGAGACACTTATGGACCAGCCACCTCTAAACAGTCCCCAGAAATGGTGCCACCTAACTTCATAGCAGTAGAAAAATCTCTCAAGTGAGTCCAGCCTAAATTTCTGACCTATGGAAAAGCAAGCTAAATAAATAATTGCTATTATTTTAAGCCATAAAATTTTGGGATGGTGTGTTATGCAGGAAAACTAATGAAATGCCTATATGTGTGCATGTGTGTTTGAGTGTTTATGTGCATACACATGTTTCTGAAAGGATATAAACCAAAATGTTAGGAGTATTTTTCCATTATCCTAGGTAGTGAAAATATGGGTAAATTTTACTCTTCTCTATCTGGGCTTTCTACCTCCCTCCTTCAATAATCAGAGTTTACCCATGTGATTAAAAACAAAAAATTTTTTTTTTTTAAGAAAAAAACTAAAATTGGAACAATTGCCTTAGGAAAAGGAAGACTGATTAACATGGGTTTTTTTTAAGTATTTCCAAAATGCTTTTTCTTGATAGTCTTATTATACGCTGGCAGATGTTATTGTTTAAAGCATAGGAAAAAATAGATGCTGAGCCTACAGTAGTGCCAATTAAGTTTCTCTCTATGACTACGTCTCTTTATCTCTTTGCCTTCTTTACAACAATGAGAAAAATAAAAAACTAAGATGCCTAACACAAATGATGTTCTATAAGTGTCGATGCTCATATTTCTCATGCTTTGGTTTTGAACAATCATTTATTAAACATAAAACAAAAGTGAGAAAGAGTGAAAATGAAAAGCAATTTGATGCCTGATGGGCTTGATACCAGAATGATAACATAGGTGACTGGAGAAGGTAATGGAACATGAAGTGATATGGTTTAGATCCGTGTCCCCACCCAAATCCCATGTTCAATCGTAATCCCCTATGTTAGAGGTGGGGCCTGGTAGAAGGTGATTGTATCATGGGGGTGGACCCTTCATGAATGGTTTAGCACCATCCCCTCAGTGCCGTTCTTATGACGGTGAGTGAGTGAGTTCTCATGAGATCTGATTGTTTAAAAGTGTGAGGCACTTCCCCCCTCTCTCTTCCTCCTTCCCCGGCCATGTAAGATACCTGCTTTCCCTTTGCCTTCTGCCATGTTTGTAAGTTTCCTGGGATGCCCCAGAAGCAGAAACCACTATACTTCCTGTACAGCCTGCAGAACCATGAGCCAATTAATCCTCTCTTCTTTCTAAATTACCCAGTCTCAGATATTTCTTTGTATTTAGCAGCGTGAGAATAGACTAATACACTAGGCAATGGGTTAAGTGGTGAAAGAAATTTTCAGAAGCAGAAGGGACACTTGCCAGATAAGAACTGGGTAGACTTCTTTTGCACTGGGCCTTGAAAATGGATGTAAAGCTTATTACACTCATCACATTTTTTAAGGATGAGAGAGAATAAAGAAACCACAATAGAAACTCCAAGTGGCCTACCAGTGAACCACAAATATCTTCTGAGTGAATAAGTATTCACTTTTATACTTTACACAGTCTGATTATGACTGTGTTTTTTAAATTCCCTGAAGATTTGCTATCTCATTCTTCTTGCAAGCTTGATTTGTATCTTGAATGTCCAATTGCTACTTTACAGGCTGGATTATCAGCTCGTTGAGGAATAGTCCCTTCCCAAGGTAATTTTGAACAGATTTCTTCACTTCTGCCTGAACCCTATTTTTGTATTATCCATGAGGCTTAATCTTCAATTTATATAGAATATGTAGACTCTTTCAGAGTTTAGGAATGCACACTTACCAGGTGCAGGAGGCTGAGTCATTTGCAAAAAGATTGAGCCTAACAGAGAACATCCAGTAATTATTGTGTGGATAAGAGCTGAGGGCAAATCTAGCCTGTGCGGTTGGTTTTTCAAATCCTATTCTTAAATCTCACAGTTAACATTTCTACTTCTTATTTTGGTTATTAGGCCAGTATTGGGGGTTGGAGTATAGGTTCATTGAGCCAACTACTGTATGCTGCTCTGCTGGGAACATCTTGAAGATTTCATTGCATATACCTCTTATGTCACGGTGTTTGTTTTTCAAACAATTTGACATTTTAAGCCTTCAGCAGCCTGGAAAGTTTGCCTTCCAGATGCAATTTCTCTGAACGCCAATTTCCATGTGGTCAATTTCTGCCCCCCTTTCAAACTGTGGGACAAATCCAAATCCCTAGCTGACCATGCTGACTGTCTCTGAAATGCAATTGCCTATCAGGGTTTCACCCAGAGACCACCAAAGACAGTTTTCCACAAACTCACCTAGCCAGGCTGGTGGTGTCTAAAGGCTCAGCCAACAGTGAAACCTCACTTATTTTCTTACTGGTACCAAGCCTTTTTATTCCCCCTCAATGTCATATAGGATCCATCTTCGTAGGCTGGCACATCAATCTTTTAGTTCTTGGTTTATTTCTTTTGAACATGGAAAACACTAACTTACCACAAGAAATATCTCCCATGCTGTAGACATTAGGTTTCTGGAATCATATACTTCATGCTGTTGTTGTTGTTGTAATTTTATCATGATTTTCAAAGACATTCTGTTTCCTATACTGCTTGCTAATAAGGGAAATTTAATTCAGAACTAGGTGAACAACGAAGTCAAATTTACTCAGATGCAAAATGGGCATAACATAGTACGTGCTGAAAATGTATAGAGAAAGAAAGTAGGTTATTGGTTGCTTGGAGCTGGAAGTGAGGATGTACCTTGATTATAAAGGTCATGCATGATCTTACCAGGGTGATGAAAATGTTCTAAAACCATATATTATGCTGATGGTTGTACACAGTGCAGTAAATTTGCTAAAATCATTAAGTCGTACATTTAAAATGGGTAAATGTTTAGGTATATACATTATACCTTAATAAAATCATTTCATAAAGGGAAAGTTGTACCTGCATAAGATTCTTTTGATAATTAATCAAAATTGTCTATGGAAAATATCTTCTGGGCTTCAGCAAGTACCCAGTAATCTTAACCAAAATCAGTACCATGTTAATAGCAATAAAAGTCATAAAAGTATTAATAGTCCATAAAAGTCAACTCATTTTCAAGATTCCTCTGGCCCTTTGGCAACTATACGTCACACATGCATACTCACACTTACACATACCTTGACCTGTAGATGTGATTCATTTAGGTGCTCTTGGAGTTTAACTTGTTCTCAGCTGTCATCTCTGTTATCTGCTTTCTTATCACACAGTCTAGCACCAAAAGTCTATTATTGGAATGAAAAGGCTTCAATTTCTTCCTTTTAATCTGTGATGGTTAATATTGTATCAACTTGATTGGACTGAAGGATGCAAAGTATTGTTCCTGGGTGTGTTTGTGAGGGTGTTGTCAAAAAAGATTAACATTTGAGTCAGCGGACTGGGAAACGCAGACCCACCCTCATCAGTCAGGGTGGGCACCATCTAATCAGCTGCCAGTGCTGCGAGGATACAAGCAGGCAGAGGAGCGTGGAAGGACTAGACTGGCTTAGCCTTCCGGCCTCCGTTTTTATCCCGTGCTGGATGCTTCCTGCCCTTGAACATTTGACTCCAAGTTCTTCAACTTGGTCCAAGGGACTCTTGGACCTTCAACCACAGACTGAAGGCTGCACTGTCAGCTTCCCTACTTTTGGGGTTTTGGGACTCAGGCTGTCTTCCTTGGTCCTCAGCTTGCGGATGACCTATTGTGGGACCTCACCTTGTGATCGTCTGAGTCAATACTCCTTAATACACTCCCCTTTAGATATACATCTATCCTATTAGTTCTGTCCCTCTAGAGAACTCTGACTAACACATAAACCAAATCTTATCTCTTCAAGAATTGTGCATGATTTTTGCTAGACTCAGTCACCATTTTACCAACATACTTTAAAAGATGAGCGGCCCCTCTAGGTTATTTTTCTCACACTCAAAGCTTCAAAGATTTTCATAGCTTTAAACTCCACAAATGCGAAAGTGGATTTCTCTTCATTTCACCTATCCCAATGTTTATTAATATTTTTTTCTCCAGAGACCTCAGAATTATCTTTGACTTGTTTCTTGCTCCTGACTTACAGAAAGTCCCACAAACCCATTAAGTTTGCTCTTGAATGACTCTCTGTCTCCCTTTTGACTCCTTCCCCACTCTGTTTTTTTAACATCTTGTGTAAGGGTGATAGTGAGAAGAAAATGCTAATTTCATTGCTCTACCAATTTTGTCTACAATATCCTGATTCCCTTGCCAGATTAATGCTCCTAAATGACAGACTTTTGTCATCTTTCTTCTTCTCATTAACCTTACTTATTCAGTATTGTACTCAATCTACATTTATTAAAAAATGTTAAATCTAAAAACAAAGTCTGAAAACCCTCTTTCTCTCTCTCTCTCTCTCTCTGTGTGTGTGTGTGTGTGTGTGTGTGTGTGTGTGTGTGTGTGTTTGTTAATGTGCAGGTATACAATATTTCATCCCTCCCTCAAAACTCAGAGTTCACCATAGTAAGGTAGAGAACCTGAGACATCTGTGGTAAAGAGACGCTTTACATGCAGTTTCATACAGAATTTATTACGGTGTTTTGAACACAGAATACTTTAAAAGCATCTTCAGAATCATCTTGTGCAGGACTGTAGAGTGAAATATTAGGCTAAAAATTATTATCTAGGCTGGGCACGGTGGCTCATGCCTGTAATCCCAGCACTTTGGGAGGCCGAGGCAAGCAGATCACTTGAGGTCAGGAGTTCAAGACCAGCCTGGTTAACATGGTGAAACCCTGTCTCTACTAAAAATATAAAAATTTTCCAGATCTGGTGGTGGGTGCCTGAAATCCCAGCTGCTTGGGAGGTTGAGGCAAGAGAATCATTTGAACCCAGGAGGTGGAGGTTGCAGTGAGCAGAGATCATGCCACTGCACTCCAGCCTGGGCAACAGAGTGAGACTCCATCTCATACCCCCACGCAAATTATCTAAATATGAGACTCAGTAGGTGAGGAAAATGATTAATTTGACTTTTCTCTATCCCAAAGTGGAAGAATTTTGGTTCACCTCATTCAAATTTGCCCCTGTCCCTAACAGGTTTAAGTCTTTCGCCCTTATTCAGCTTGGTTGCATATTTTTTGGAAGTTTTATTTCCTTCTCATCTTTTGTGTCCTTGAATCATTTCAGGACATTTCCCTGAGGAGGTGGCTATGATGGTAGAACTTACAAGACTTCAGTGGACATAAGGTAAGTATTTTTTCAAATGATTGTTCAAAATTGATTTTTCCAAATGATTGTTCAAAAATGAGCCCAGGTAATCATGCCGGAGTGTGGTAATACAAATACAGAAAATTTCATTTTTGACCAGAGATCCACTCACTTTTTCTAGGTTGGCTACAGATAGCTTAAATTTTAATTAAGTTAAAATTTAACTTAAGTGTCTGCTCTACGCCCATTCATATTATGAAGGTAGCATCAATTGTGTAAATACGTGCAGCCAAGGCCAGGTATTGGCCAGATCACTGATGGAATAAAGTGATATCTCACACTGAAAGCAAGACGTCATTACTACTTAATCTTTCTAGGAAAACAGTGTCACACAAAAACATTTGAATCTATAATTGGCATCTTTAAAGATGCTTGCCATCTGGACCTCACTCGGTTTAATTAGTCATTGCAGGGTGGCGGTTCTCTTGTAAAAACCTTGCACTCCATTAACCTTGACTTTTCACACATTGACATTTCAAGCCCCTTCTTTGCTTTCATATGGTGGAGTGGACACGTTTCCATTTAATAAGAGTCCACCTCGGGATTCATGAGCCAGACGCTTGTTATTTGGCAAGGCCACTCAGCCCAAGTCTATAAATTCTGGCAGCCAGGAAAGGTTTCAGGCAGCTAAAAATGGCAAGAGAGCAGGAGTCATGGGATTCACCCCACCCTTCCTTTAGAGATTTCCAAATAGCATGGTGAGCAAGGATTGAGAAGGGTAGCCGAGAGAAATAACACATAGTAATGAACCTGAATAAAACCTAAGAGTGATTCATGCACTAAGGCAATTTTATTCAGCTGTGGACAGCTACTCCAAGATGGATCATTTAGAAATTTCTGTAGCTGAGACATTTTAGACTAGTATGCCTTTTTTTTTTTTTTTTTTTTTTTTTTTTTACCTTTTAAGTGAAGTACTGTTAAACTTGGGGATAAGGAAATAAGGTTTCCTATATTTCAGGACAGTCTGTAACATTCAATATTGTCCTTCTTATCATTTTTCGATTCCCTTTGGTGATTGATTATTTTCTGCAGGTAGATGTCAGGACAATAACCATGGTTGTTCAATAGAATATCTGTACCTGTTTTACACAGTGTTTTTGTTTGTTCCTTTGTTTTTAGTTGGAAGCTATGTAGTGGAAATGGCCATAAGATATGGTAAGAATGATGTCAAGGTAGTTACAGAAAGATTAACAGTCTTGCCTTTTGTGGTCCAAGGAGAATCTCTATTTGTAGATTGTAAGGGTTCTCTTGGGCCTTATTGAAACGAAAAATGTTTTCTCTTATACTTATCTTCTAACACTTTATTTCTAACATTATTTCTATGTTTTATTACTACATTTTTTCATCATGCCTAGTTATTAAAGCAAGTTATGTCTCTTATAGGACATAGAATTGTTTCTTTACATTTTTCCTTAATTATTTTATTCCTTTAATAACCACTTATTATGCTAGACTTCTGACCATAATCAAAGTTAGAAAATTTAAGTTTTAAATTTTAACTCTATTCACTGAATCCTGTATATGGAATAACATCAATAGAGACAGTTGCCAGTTAGCAATAGTGTGGTAGAAATTAAATTTGCTAAAGTATGCACAGGATACCTTTTTGCAGTAGTTCTCCAGTGTGCATGGTTAAACCTATCAGTATCCCTAAAACATAGCTATCGTGCTGGGCATAGATGCAGCTCTAGCAATAACATATTAACTAACCAGTTGATTAATTAGCTCTAGCTGTGGTAGCCAGTTGGGATATTTTAGAACTGAAATATAAATATACCATGGACCTCCTCAAATAGGCTCCGTGCATTATTTAAATCAAGAGGCTAACTACTGCCATGCACTAATGCAATATGACCACTAAGGCAGTATGTTCCATCTTTATTTTGTGGACATAATGGCCATGCTTGAGTACATTATGAGGTATAAGTACCTGAAGCAGGGTCACCAAGCAGCTAGGGAGAAGCATGTGAGCATTAGGTGGCTTGGAGTATGGACTTCAGTAAAATTGCAATCAAACCCTAAGATTATTAGAAGGTGTTGACACAAAAACCTCTTTACAACTCTTTACAGAGTGTATATTTTTATAGCAGCCGCCTATGAAGGCACTTTACTTTCAGTTTTATACCAGTTATCTATTGTCACAGCAATACTACATAGCAAATCATATCAAATCTGTGTGGCAAAAGAAGATAAGAATTTTCAAAATCGTGAGTCTTGGAGTTGATGGTTTAGTTGGGCTGGACTCACCTGGCTGGATCCCTTGCCTCAGATGGGATCACTTTCATATCTGGCAGTTAAGTGACTGTCAGCCAGGGCTAAGATAGCTACTGGGCCTGTTTGCTCAATCTCTAGCAGGAGAGCCAGGCATGTTTTTATGGCAAAGGTAGAAAAAGTAGAAGTGCACGTGACCTCTTGTGGCCTGGGCTCAGAACTAGTGAACCATCACTTCAATAGCATTCTATTGACTGAAACATGTCACGGATTCAGAGTGAGCAAATAGAATCTATAGACGTCACCTACTTAAAGAAAGAAATTGCAAAGTTACATGGCAAAGGGTGTGGGAACAACATGGAGTAAAGAACTGTGGCTGATAATTATATGTGTTTATTCTTTATCAGAAATACTTTTATCAGAAAATCTTAATTTTCTCCAACTGTAATTGATTAGGATGTCAAGCTACAGGTAGACATATAAGATGTCAAAAATATAGAATTAGAAAACTTATTAAAGAAGTATCTGTAGAGTTGACATACAATTCTGCTCATAGAAAGGGAGAAGAATGCCTTTTCTTAGCTCAATATAGTAAAATCTGTGCCAATTAACAGTAAAATATCAATCAATTTTGGAGATGCCTGGTATCATTTTTAAGAAGAATTGCGAATGTATGCTATGTTAGAACCACGTTCTGGCAGAAGGCTTCCTCTAACCTTGTCCTTTGCTCATTCTCTATTTTTTTTAACATCCTACATTGTTTTCCTTAAAGCAAAGTCCTGGTAGGACAAGTAGAGAAACGATCAATCAGTCAATGGGAAACTGGGATAACTTTTTCTATCAGCCATGAAATATTTTTCAGTGATATAGCTGCAATTTAAAAACTTGAACATGATGCATGAGTTAACCATATTCTAAGTCTTTTATACTAAAGACACCACACCCACTGGAGAAAATAGATTTCAAATATGTGGAGTCTATTGATTATAAACAAGTGAAGTAATGGCAAAATTTTCCTCAGAATAATTTACAAACACACTTTTATGAAATATTTTATAAAACAATGAGAATAAAGTAAATTACCTTCACAAATAGATAAGTAATTGTCCCTGTTTGCCCAGGGCTGAGGGTTTTCAGAAACATGGGACTTTCAGGGCTAAAACTTGAAATGTTTTGGGCAGACTGATCGTCAGTCACCCTATTCACAGTATGACTTTTGGAAGAATAGTTAATAATCTCATATTTTGCATGGGTCAAACAAGTTTGATTAAACTGGGTATTAAAGGTATCTATATATCTTTTGCAAATATAGTAGTTTTATTTCATTTTATATGGACAATTCTAAATTATTCTACTTTACTTTGTTGCCCAAGGTACAAAGTGCAATAGAGCATCTTTTACTTACAGGAATATTGACTAAAGGAATAAAAATAAATACTTTTATAGGTAAATAACAGAAATAAGATGTCATTATCTTTAGTAATTAAAAAACTCAGTCTAACCCATCTATTTTTGTTTTATTCTATGTCAAGTAGGGAAATTGTGCTGAAAGATTTCTAAGATGCTTTTGCTATGATGTTCTATAACTCTAAGCTTATATTAAAATGTATTCTCTATTAGAGGAAAAGGTACTTAAGAATTCAGACTCACTTTTAAAGAGTTAAATAGCACTGCAAAATGTTGCTATTTTAACAGAACATTTTAAACCAACTAAGTGTACTAACTACTGTTATTGTTTATTTTCTTTCTAGTCTAGAGATTTTTTTTTCATTTTAATCTGCCAGAAGGGACCTTCAGGATTTGAGCCTTAACATTGTTCCTAAGACTTGAATTTATTTTTTAATTAGGGTTAAAATAAAAATAAATGTTCACTTTCTAGAGCTATGCAAGTTTGGGGAAAAAAAGAAACTTCCTCATCTGAAAAGATTTAATGGTAATCTATGCTGTAAAAGAGCATTTTGAAAAATATAAAACAAAGAGCTTTCAAAGTGGTCAAAGGCTAATGTAAAGTGATATATTTCAGACCGGAGAGATGGTGTAACTTACTCCTGTCACTGCTGCCTGTTTATTGTGTTTGTCTGGTTGGCCTGGCAACCAGCTCATGCCATTTCACTCATTTTATAACGTTCCTGTAAATGTTAGGTAGGCCTGGATTTATTATACACTGTCAACACCTAAAATGGAACCCACTGCTTAACGTAGTTTATTTGGCTGGATGCCCCTGCCTCCTTGAAAAAAAATGGTGTGTGTGTGTGCGTGCGTGTGTGTGTGTTAAAAAAAAAAATCTGTAGTGCCTCCAAAAGAAATGTAGCCCAGGCAAAATTGAAGTTGGGTGGCATGGGCTGTGTCAAATGAGCACTTGAGCCCAGGAGCCGTTGTGTTGTTGGCTGGGAACATCTGACTCACAATATTTGTGTCTTGGGTTTACAGGGACAGAGGACCAAAGCCATGTTTATTGCTGAATTTATCATCCCCAAAGAAACCAGATGGCAATCACTGTTGTCCAGAAAGGCCTCTGAGCCATTGGAGGGTGAATCATAAGACTATTAGAAGTTGGACAGATTTCTCTTCTTCTTATTAACATGCTAGTTTCTTCTACTTTATGACAAGGCAGTTTTGATGGAGGCTCAAGAGATACAGTCCTGGAAAGGCTGCATTTCGGATAGCCTTAATTAACTTTATATAAGCTATTGAGATGATAGCTGGAGCATTAAGGCAGAACCGATAGGAAGCACCAATCTGATTCAGAAATATTAAAGTGAAATGTGGTCCTCAAGCCAAAACCAGTGACGGCTGACTCAGCCCAGCAATGATGAAAATCACAGACAGGTACCTCTGTTGCTTTGCTCTTGGTCAATCACACATTGAATTAGTGTCCTATTCATTTATTACCCTGCAGGCAGAAGGGGTTCGCTGTTAGCTAGAGTGGACATTTGTTGATAGCTCTGTTCAGTACAAGGGAACAAGTCATTGAATTTTATAATCTTTTTGGCTACCTAGGATCAATATGGTCATTCAGTCTATTCCCCTGTCACTGTGCATTTTAAACAGGATGATTGTGTGTCTAAGTCAAATCGAAGGTTTGATGGAAATTGTGACACCCTCTTGTTAGGCTTTGCTTGAGGTAATAGTTTTCCAATTTCCTTCCTAGTTGTGCATCTGATCATTATTTAAACATCAGAACAAATGAAAAAGATTCTAAGGAGAAAAATTACCACAAGCATTCAGGCAATTTGAAACCAAAGCTGTTCCAGGTAATTGTTTATTTTTATTAGTTGAATAATTATTCTGACATTGCTCAATATAGTTTGAGATTATAAATCATCTTTTAGAAGAACAGCTTAAAGCTGATTATATCAATTGTTTAAACTGCATTTTACTCCCATCCCCACATCCAGCTTACATGTTTTATGAATTAAATAGTGAAGGCAAGTTTTTCCTATAAAAGAACATTTTTCCCTCTAATCTCCAGTCTCCAAACCTAATGAACGTGGCATAAACTTTCTGAAGGAAAATTGGAAAATTTGTGTTTAGAGCTCAAAAGAGTATATGTGCCCTTTGACCCAAGACAAATAGACTTCAGGGAATTATCTTAAGGAAAAAATAATAATGTGTGTATGTCTCATATGTGTGATATATGTATGTATGTATTTGTAATATATGAATCTATTTTATTATTCCATATGTCAAGTAGGTTTTTCAAAGTATTAATTACCTTAGACATATATAGAGAGATTTTTCTTTTTACTTATTCATATGACGTGTGATACTAAGTTTTTACTATAAGTCTAGTTTAAATTATTGGGATATACCTTGCTTGTTCATGGTCATTGGTTATTTTCATGAGGATGTAAATCTTTGGCATTTGTTTTCACTAATGTATCCCATAACCCAGAATGGTAGCTCATAGTACGTGCTCAATGAACATTTGCTGAATGTGTGAATATTGACTGAATTTACAAGAAATGCCCATTCATGAATGGATAAAATATCATCCTGTATAAAGTGAATTTTTTTATAGGTCATACATAGTTCGATCACATAAATTTCTATTGTAAAATTCAAAAGTTTTGTTTTGCTTTATTTGACCATATTGGTCTTGCAGCTGTTTTTTGTTTGTTTGTTTCTTTCTTTCTTTCTTTTTGAGATGGAGTCTTGCTCTGTCACCAGGCTGGAGCGCAGTGGCACGATCTCGGCTCACTGCAACCTTCACCTCCTGGGTTCAAGCGATTCTTGTGCCTCAGCCTCCCAAGTAGCTGGGATTACAGGCACACACCACCGTGCCCAGCTAATTTTTTTTTTTTTTTTTTGTCTTTTTAGTGGAGACAGTGTTTCACCATGTTGGCCAGGATGGTCTTGATCACCTGACCTTGCGATCCGCCCGCCTCAGCCTCCCAAAGTGCTGGGATTACAGGCGTGAGCCACCGCACCTGGCCGTGGCTGTTTCTTCTAAATGCTTGGCCCACCATCACCTTTAGTCTCAATGCGTTGTTCCCCGTCTGACTGGGATACTGTACTTCTGGATATCCACATAGTTAACCCACTTCCTTCATTTCTGCATCTTGTCAAGGAAGTCTCCCTTGACCACACTATTTGAAATTGTAAGTTCTTCCACCCAAACCTCCAGGCCTTTCTTACCATCCTCTATTTTTTCCATACAATGTATCACTTTCAAGGCCTTTATTTAATGGACTTACTAGTTGATTGTTTGCTCTCTATCTGATTTTATTTTATTTTTATATTGCCCACATTGAGAACAGTATGTGGTATATCATAGATGCTTAATAAATATTTACTAAACAAATAAGTTTTGGAAAAAATACTTTAAGTATTGACTGGTACTGTAAAGTATAAGAAAAATGAAAAAGTTCTGTCAACAGAAAACTAGTTTAAATATTGGTTCTAATAGTAACATGACTTTGGACAAATTATTTAAACATTCTCAACCTTGTTTCTCTAATGCCCACAATACAAATAACAATCCTCACTGCATAGAATTCTTGTAAGCATGAAATAAGGTGAATGGATGCCCATCATCCAGTGTAATGTCTTGTGCAGAGAAGACACACAATATATATAAATTAATTTTTACTCAACATGTAATAACATTACATTTAATTCCTTTAAAAATGTCATACTTGGGGCTGGGCGCGGTGGCTCACTCCTGTAATCCCAGCACTTTGGGAGGCCAAGACAGGCGGATTGCCTGAGCTCAGGAGTTCACGACCAGCCTGGGCAACACGGTGAAATCCCGTCTCTTCTAAAATACAAAAAAACTGGGCGTGGCGGTGTGCATCTCTAGTCCCAGCTACTCAGGAGGCTGAGGCAGGAGAATCGCTTGAACCTGGGAGGCAGAGGTTGCAGTGAGCAGAAGTCATACCACGGCACTCCAGCCTGGGCAACAGAGCGAGACTCCATCAAAATAAAAATAAAAAAAAAAGTCATACTTGGAAGAAAAGCATAGCATATAAATTAATAAAAAGTTACAAATGGGAATGTACAGTAATCAGATAAGACATTTTCATACATTAATATGAGAGAAGATCCCTACATATCCTGAGAGATCCATGGAATATGACTGATCCCCATCACACGTTATTGTTTCAAGTATTTGAGGCTAACTGGCTTGTTTTCTCAACCTTAAACAATTCTATGACTTCGAATTTATTTTCCAAGTAATTTTCCCTTTAAGTTATTCACCATTCTGGCCAAACATTACCTGTTTTGTTTGTATCCTTCTAAAAATCATGGACATCAAGGGTCATTTGAATAATCTTGCATGTGCAAAAATTTGAAATCAAGGAATCAATCAAAGTTATAACTCCTTCCCCTTTCCGGGTGGAGATGCAATTTATCCTAAGTACAACAATATTACCGATTCTTTCGGAAAGCTCATAGGATGGCATTGAAAATACGTTCACTTTAAGAAAGAATCTCGGAAGGCTGAGACAGGAGATTCACTTGAACCCAAGAGGCACTGAGCCAAGATCACGCCACTGCACTCCAGCCTGGGAGACAGAGCGATATTCCATCTCATTAAAAAAAAAAAAAAAGAGAGAGAGAGAGAGAATCTCATTACATCCTATCTTATCTGCTGGCCCATTCCATTTTGGTTCTTTGTAATTTCTTCAATAAACATGATAAAGAAATTTCTGCAGCTCTACATTAACGACCACCTATATAATGAGATCAAATCTTAATTCTTGGTGACAAACAGAGTAAACATATGGGTAGTTTGTTTAGGCTTTATTTTGAAATGACTAAATAGCCTGCGAAAACAAAGTTTAACAGGCTCATAAAAGTATGCCGTCTACATAACTAATGTGGACTTTGTTTTTATGTTGCCTATTACAGACTATAAACAGTAACAGTGGAGTCTATCTTTTATTCCACACTGTTGTAAAATATTCTGGCTGTGACAACATATATACTGAACACACTTTGCAAAGATGTTGCATTTATTTTTGTATTTAAATGAAAGCAATACACTTAAAAATGTAAGATACAGATAAACTTACATTTGAAATGTACTGGAAATAAAATAGGAGTTCTAGGTTCATAAATACATTGCTACTATATACGGGAACATTCTTGCACCAAAATTTGCATGTTTCAATTTGCTCTTTAATTGGTCTATACACAGAAAATCTGACAGCACAGTGGCAGGGCAGTGTCAAGGGAGTAGTGACTGCTCCTTTTAAATGACCTCACAATTTGCTCACTGGTTTTGGGTAATTGGAACAATTTGCTTGGAGAAACCTGTGAGGAATCAGATGTTAATTGACTTTGTCTTTCTTAATTATCCCCTCAAAAAAACAGGCCTCATTTTCCTGACTGTTTCTTAAGCTGTGTTCTGTGTCCCGTGATACAGTCAAAAGAAAACACACAGGCAGTTGCCTTGGTATCAACTGGCCAAATCTGATTATGACTCTAACTCTGAATGGAGAGATTCCAGGCATTAGCAGAGGGGTTTTTAAAAAATACTCATAAAAGTGAAATGATACTAAAAAAGTGATTCTATGATTTACTTACAAAGCAGTAAAAAGGTAACACACATTTAAAATCAGGGTTCAAAACATATTCCGGTTCCATTACTGTGATCTGGAACCATTCAAATATAATATCGAGCTCAAGTTATTTGAAAGACCCTTCTGTTTGAGTCTTTTAGATCATGATGTGTATCAGAATTAAGCATGTTTGATATACCTTGTCACTTGACAATAGCTTCCAAATTTCCGCTTTCCCTTTTTGTCCTGCCCCTCTCAAAGCCCAACAAACAGAGTTAAAGACGTTCTACATTGTCTAGAGTCTAGTAGATAGATAGATCACTTATTTTAGGCCAATCCTATAATTAATATTCTTCCTTTTTCCATACCTGTAATGCTACAAACCCAAGAGGTTTGGTGAAGGATGAAGACAGGAGAACAGGGGAAAATATAGACTAGTTTAAATAATACTGTTTTTTATTCTAAAATAAGTAGATTATTTTGCATATATCGGCCAGTATCCCTTATGTAATTTATTTCATGTAATTTTCGTCTTTCTCGTGTGAGACAGTTACTATTTTATCTTTCCCATGTAAATCCCACTTCGGCCACTCAGTAGATCCAAGTCTCGGGGCAGCTGCCTTAGCCTCTCTCTGTCTCAGGTACTTTTAATTCGTATTGTACAGTTAGGTGAATTTACAAATTTCAAGATGTTAAACAACCCTTTCCATTACTAGATTAAATCTAGTTTGATGGTAGTGTGATCTCTGTTATGCAACGTCAGATCCAGCTGGCTAGTACTTTCTTTGAATTTTTGCATCCATGTTCATGAATAAATAACTTTTTCCTTTCTTTTCTCCTTCCTTTACTCTTCTTACATGGCTTTAATATCGAGATTATATGGGATTTGTGGAGTGAGTTGAGATTTAGGCTGTTCTTTGGAAGATTTGAGTAAGAGTGTTATAATCTTCTACTTGAAATTTTGGGAAAATTTACAAAACACTGTTTTCTTGGTATTTTCTTTGTGAGAATATTTTAATATGTACCAATTTTAAAGTCTAATTATAAGGCTTTTCCAGATAGTCTCCTTAAGTACCAATATTTGCAAAATTATCCATTTTATCTAATTCTCAAATTTATTGAAAAAGAGTTGTTGGTTGCATATTCTTTTTAAAATTTCCATTGTATTTATATTTATGCATTATTTCCATTTATAATTATTATTTTTGATTGATCTTGAATTCATACAACAATGTGACAACCTTGTAAGGACCTGATATCCTCCAATTTACATGCTATCAATTTCCTGTGTTTTACTACCACCCTTTAGAAATTACTTATTTTTATAAATGGTAGCATTAGTATTATTGCCTCAAACCAGATACTGTTTGTTTAGATTTAATACATGTTCACCTTTTTAAAAAATATATATTTGTTTTTACATCTTGAATTTCCTCCTAGAAATATTTTTCTTCTCCTTGAAGTATATTTTTAATTTAGTCTATTAGTGGAAAATTTGTTTTCCTATCTGCAAATATTATTATTTTATCCTTGTTTCTTAAAGATGGATTAATTTAGTGGAGTATTCCAGTCTGATGGGTACTTTCTCAATCCGTTTATTTTGAAGATTCCACTGATTTCTGACCTCTATGGTTGCTTTGAAGAAATCTGCTCTTGGGCTAATTCTCTTTTTTTCTCTCTCTCTTTGCCAATTGTGCTACAAATTTACGATTTTAAATTTTGTTTAATTTAGGGAAGCTCATCTATAATTAAGGGTGCATTTTACTTTCCTTCTCTGTTGATTAGTAAGAAACATGCCATTGTTGAATAACAATAAAGAAACAACTTAAACCCCTGTGAAAAAATAATGATTACATGCCTTGTTTAATTTTATATAACTAGATATTAAATATGTATTTAGTATAGTGTATATATACACACATACATATATGTATCTTAACTATTTTTACTATATTTACTTAAGCAAATAAATAGTGGAAATCATAAATAGCTTTAAAATACCTGGTGCTGTGGTGGACGTACTTATTTGGGGGTTTCTGTAGTTTAATATTATGCCCAGAAGAATTTTTAAAAATCGTCACCCTCATGTAATGCTGTATGAACAGGCCATTAAAACACTTTTGAGCCACAGCCAAGTTTTGTGCTACAGGGTTGGGATACTCTGAATAAGTATTTGTGAGTTGGGTGCTTAACTCAATCAAACCTCACCACTTGGTATGGTTGTCCATGACATTCCTCTGCTGTTTATCCAGCATAGTAACTAGTTGTAGAAGTAAGTAAAGAAGGGCATGGAAACTTCGGAGGGAGTTCAAAGAAACAAAATGATGATTAAAGGCTTAGAAAATCAGACCTCTGAGAAAAGCTAAAATGAACTGGGTTTATACAGCCTGAAGAATGAGTAATTGAAGAGATATTTAATAATAGTTCTCAAATTGATCAGGAAACTTAATTAATAATGATGGTGACTGAGAGTCCCCTGCCTCATGAAGCACAGTCAGGGAATATAGCTTGTGAGTTCAGCACGGGGATATCATTTAACCGTAATGAATTGTCTAATGGTAACCATTGTTTAATATGTTAATTAAATTCAAGGCTGGCTCAGAGACCCCCTTTCTGTAGTTTTATGTGAGCCACCATCCCTAATTCCCAAACAGAATAAACTAGGTTTCTCTAGTACTTTGTATATTACCATTATAGCAATAGCTGCAATTCTACAAATACCCCATGAACAATTTAGTGTGGCACATCCTAGAATTTATTTCCTTATCATAAGTGCCTTGCAACCAGAAGATACTTAATAGACTGTTGCTACATTGAGTTGAGTGGATTTGGAATTACTCTACTAGTGTTATAACTACTGCACCCCACATGTCATAGGAGACTGATCCACCGTTTGAAGCTGGAGCTTTACAAAGTCTTCATAAAAGAGTTGGCAATTGGTGGAAAGGCAAATTAGTAAAACCACTAAGAAAAACAGTATGGACATTCCTTAAAAAACTAAAATTAAAACTACCATTCAATCCAGAAATCCCACTACTGGGTGTCTACCCAAAGGAAAAGAAGGCATTATATGAAAAAGACCCATGTACGTGCATATTCATAGCAGCACAGTTCACAATTGCAAAGATATGGAACCAACCTGTATGCCCAACAACTAAGTGGATCAAGAAAATGTGGTATATATACACCATAGAATACTACTCAGCCATCAACAAGAATGAAATAATATCTTTTGCAGCAACTTGGATGGAGCTGGGGGCCATTATTCTAAGCGAAGTAACTCAGGAATGGAAAACTAAGTATTGTATGTTCTCACTTATAAGTAGGAGCTAAGCTATAAAGATGCAAAGGAATAAGAATGATATATTCAACTTCGGGGACTCAGGGGAGGGGGGAAGGTTGGGAGGGGATTGAGGAATAGAAGACTACATATTGGGTACAGTGTACATTGCTTGCATGACAGGTGCACTAAATTCTCAGAGATCACTGCTAAATAACTTACCCATGTAAACAAAAACCACCTGTACCCCCAAAACCATTGAAATGTTTAAAAAAGAGTTGGCATTAAATTGATTCTAAAAGGATGAAATATGATATTTTCTTAAAATTAATGAATAAAAGTTATTGGACTGGCACAGTGGCTCAGCTCTTGGGAAGCTGAGGCGGGCAGATCACCTGAGGTCAGGAGTTTCAGACCAGCCTGACCAACATGGTGAAACCCTGTCTCTACTAAAAATACAAAAAAATAGCCAGGCATGGTGGTGGGCCCCTGTAATCCCAGCTACTCGGGAGATTGTGCCACTGCACGATCCACTCCAGCCTGTGACAGAGTGAGAGTTCATTCAAAAAAAAGTTAATGGAGGGATAGTAAGAGTGGTCAGAGAGAATAGACTGAAAAGTGGACGGGCCTTCCTGGGGATGACCATGTCCACGGAGAAGTAATGGAATATAAGACTGGACAGCAAGGACGTGATTATGAAGAAATGTGTCAGGCTAAGGAGTGCGAATGCTATGATTCTCATGAATGTTTCCCAAAGTATGTATGTTATTTAAAATATTCAATCTGAGAAATGTTAATAATGTTTACATAAATTAAAAAAAAAAACAGGTTTTCGTATTCAACTAATTTGAGACATGAGTGTGTTAAGTAAAATGAAGCAGATTTTTCTATTGGGAGATTTATTCAAGTCATTGTTGTGCTAATGAGCATTGTGAATTTTTTTAAGAGGCTAGGGCAGGCAGTCATTTCAAAATGTATTTAATCACATGACCCTTTGGTTGTTGAACTCACCACCAGCTTGTTTCACATGGATAAACGCAAGGCAGAGACTCTGAAGACAAATAACAATGATCAAAATGATGCTTAAAGAAGGTTGATCTACTGGTGGAATGCAGGGCCACTTGGATGGAAAAAGAGTCCAGTTACAAGGATCCTGCAAATGAACATGCATGAAAGGATAATGGGTTTGAATTAGGGTCTTGCAAAGGACAAGCAAGATAGGCTTGGATGGGAAAGATATATAAAAGGATTGAATAGAGTTAGCAAGTGACTGGGTTAAGCTGTAGGAAGCCAAGAGAATGAAAAATAACTACAAAATTTTGAGCCTGGGTGGCCGGAAGAATGCTGGTACCATTGACAGAAAGAGGGAATCTAGCCAGCGAATACATTTAGTTATGTGTTTGAGGTGATAGCAGGGAATTAACGACAACATTTCACAGACTCACAGGGTCATAAAAGACCTCACAGGGCTTCCAGTTCATTTTCCTGTAGGCTAGTAAGCCCTCGGTTAACTTACCTCAACTGGTCATGGACCTTTTTTACATTATTCTCTGAAAAAACAGGGATTGTACAATATTGCCTTGGGTAAGATTTTGTCATGTCATCTAAACTAACATAATTTTCTGCAATTACTCAAGGTCTTCTGTTTGTTACTTACAGTAATTTCTGCTTTATTCAGGATGAAGAGTTAGTTATTACTTTTCACATATAAACTTTGGATTGAAATTGGAGGCAGTTATAATTTTTCTCTCTTCTCCCTCTTTTTGGAATCATGGAATTTCTCAGTCCTTTCATAAGTTGTCATTGATAGTTGTAGTGATTAAAAACTGAGTCATATAGAGATCATATTATGAATAACATACTAAATAGGCTAATAAATGGAAATCTGTTGGAAACCAACACTGAGAATGTAAGTGCTCCTCTTAGTTCAGGAAATTCACACCATTTCATTAGAGTTTTACAAAAATATATTCCCTATCTTTGTCAATGGTGATCTAGAGACTAAAGGTTTCTAGACAGATTAATAACAGATATCTTTCTCATAAAGTATAGTAATCACAGACATCTAATATACTTAATGATGAGAACTTCTGGGCTCACGTACATAATATATGAAATAATTGTATAATCAATTCATTTTTAAAAAATGTTCTAAGTGTTACTGAACACTAACCACATGAAATAACAATAATAGGATTAAGTAAATTAGATGGTTAAATGTTTTATACCTGCCTACAAGGTTTACTATTTTAAAGTACAACTTTGAATCACATGTGTCCCAAAATTGACTAGAAAGTTTATTGAAACTGGCCAAATTGAAATCGAACACTTAGCATCACCAAAGATAACACATAAAGAAAATGTCAAAGATAGGACTTAATTCCCTACTTGAATATTCAGTCAGTATTTAAGATTTTGAAATAAATCATCATTATAAAATGTGTATACAGTTTGGAGTTGTTTGAAGAAATTATCTTTTTTTTTAATAAAAGGAGGGGACTATCTTAGTAATTTCCATGACTTCAGGGATAGGATTCATAGCCACCTTGGGCCTACACCTAAGGGCACATTTTGCACTTGGAATCTTTTCTGGTCCTCTCTCCTTTCCTTCCTATTGCAGCAATGCTAGATCTGCCAAAGGTAACTAAATTTTATCCAGAACTAGAACCAATAAAAGAGAGCACTGTTGGATGCAGCTGGAGGAATGCTATCTGATATGTCTGTGAGCACATTAAACTTTAGAAACCTAAGAAAGCATCATGCTTCAACTTTCCACCTTTTCTCAATAATGGGTGACCCATGTGTTTAACTGGACTTTGTACCTGGTTTCTGGCTTTTATTGCCTTCCACCTTTGGCCTGAGACCTATTCCTGAAACCTCATCTCATCATTCAAGGTTCTGAAACTCTTGATTGGTGCCCACCATACTCCTTTCTACCAAGGCAATCTGTGTCTTCTATCCTTTTTATCAACTCATAGGGATTGTCTTGGTTTAAAACTTTCATATACCAAACTCAGAAAATCAGTTCAGTAACACAATAGGGTGTCTATAGTTAATAATAATTTATTCTGTATTTTTAAATAACTAAAAGGATGGAATTGGGATGTTCCTAACCCAAAGAAATGATAAATACTTGAGGTGATGGATACTCCAATTTCTCTGATTTGATTATGGCATGTACCCTATAAATACGTAGAATGATTCGTTGTCCATTATAATAATTTTTTTTTTTTTTTTGAGGCAGAGTCCTCGCTCTGTCATCCAGGCTGGAGTGCAGTGGCGTGATCTCAGCTCACTGCAAGCTCCGCCTCCCGGGTTCACGCTATTCTCCTGTCTCTGCCTCCCGAGTAGCTGGGATTACAGGTGCCCGCCACCACACCCAGCTAATTTTTTTGTATTTTTAGTAGAGATGGGGTTTCACTGTGTTAGCCAGGATGGTCTCGATCTCCTGACCTCGTGATCTGCCCACCTTGGCCTCCCAAAGTGCTGGGATTACAGGCTTGAGCCACAGCAACCCCTTCCAAAAGTTGGTCCCTTCCAAAAGGCACTGTGGTGAAGCCTACCATATCCACTCAGATGGACTGTGTTCCTTAATTCAATTATCCTGTTATTGGAGACCCACCATGAGGCTATTAAATATGAAAGTCAGCCAAGTTCAAATTCAAGTAGTTTGTATTGGCCAGGTGCAGTGGCTCACACCTGTAATCCCAGCACTTTGGGAGGCCAAGGTGGGAGGATCGCCTGAGGTCAGGAGTTTGACACCAGCCTGATAAACATGGTGAAACCCCATCTCTACTAAAAATACAAAAATTAGCTGGGCGTGGTGGCATGTGCCTCTAGTCCCAGCTACTCGGGAGGCTGAGACAGGAAAATTGCTTGAACCTGGGAGGTGGAGGTTGTAATGAGCCAAGATCATGCCACTGCACTGCAGCCTGGGCGACAGGGCAAGACTCCGTCTAAAAACAAAAATAGCTAGAAGAGAAAACTTCGCATTCCCAATATGAAGAAGTGATAAATATTTAAGGCAATGGGTACCCCAATTACTTGATTTGATAATTAAAATTTGTATGCTGATATCAAAATATCGCATGTACCGTATAAATACGTGCAACTATTTTGTATCCATAAAAATTAAAAAAATATGTAAAAATCGAGGTTGTTGGGTCTAATGTATATTCTAGATCTTTCCTCATCATAGGAAAAGAGAACACTGGAAGGCTGAATTACATTATAATCTTCAAGAGTTGTACTTCTGTTTTAAGAAATAATATGCCTTAGTGGCAACAAAACATTAGAAAAAAATACCCTTATACTCTGGCTCTCTGTGGTGTCCAGATTTATAACTTTGGTTCCAATATTTTGATTTTCTAATCTGGCATTCTTTTATAGTACAAGTATCACACAAAGACATTCTGGAGAATGGCAGAAAAGTGAGCGAAGCCAGAAAAACAACACTTCAAAAGGTCTGTGGAGGTAAATGATAGAGAAAACTGAAAGCTGCAGAGTGCATGTGATTACCAAGAGAGTATTTGGCATTGTGCCATTCTGGAGGCAGAGTGAGAAATGGACCCAGGCAGGTCTGTCCTGCAAAGTCTTGGTGGGACACCTCAACTCTGGGTCCAGATGACAGAGCAGTTCCTTTGAAAGTTAACTAGAAGAAAACCATGCCCTCTTTTCCTTGCAGAAAGATTTTTAGCTCAGCAGTTTTCTACAGTATAAAAATCACCATGTACCGTATGTGCTTACAGGCACACACACACACACACACACACGCACACACACACACACACACGCACGCACACACACACACACACACACTCTCACTCTGTGAAGCACACCATGCTATTGCACTTAAATCCCCTCTGATTAAGCCAATCCAGTGACACAGAAAATGCTACCAAATTAACTCAATTGAAGAGCAAAACCCATTAAGAACTCAACAGACAGAAAATGATGCATTTTTTTTCATCAGCTTGCTCCATATCACCACTGTCTCTCCTCATTTTTTCCCCTTTGTCTGTAGTTTAAATGAGAATCTTTCTTCCTTTATATAAGAAAGCGGTAAAATAAAAAGTTTTAGGAAAAAGTCAGTTTGTTGGCAAAAACCAACAAGACTTCTGCAATACCAGGGCCAGCCTTTGCATAAGCTCTTTCTTGTGCCCAGAAACGTGTAAAACAACAGAAATCTCTGACAGAGTCCAGTCCTGGGTGAATAAATGAAGCCCTTTTCCCAGAGGGTTAGCATAAAGGGTGGCAAGAAGGGAAGACGAAAGGTTTGCTACTGTGAGAATGTTAGGTTGGGCGATATTTTAAGACTTCGGAAAGTGTGAAGAAAGACTGTTTTTTCCATTTCTTCTCCTTCTCTCTCCTACTCTGTTATTTCTCCTTTCCATTGCTTTGGGTTTGGGGGAACAAAATAAACATTTAACAGTACAGATGTTGCAGTCTTGAAAGTTAGTGCTCAGCAGATGTTACGCTTTTACGAAATTTATCTAGGGAAAAAAGACAAAGATCACCTCACAGACAAAGCTGGACCTGAATATCTGTGGTGAATTTTAAGAGAAGTTCCTGATTAATTCGTCTGTGTCAACATATTTGAATTTTTAAGTGTCAACAATGTTCTTCAGTTTTAACTTTGACTAATGGGTGAATTGCAGACAGTAATGTATTACTGGAAAATAGTATGGAAAATTAAGTCTTTTTTTTTCAAATTAAATCCTTTTTCTCCATTAGCTCACTTTATTATTCATGAGATGGTTTATCTTTTATGTCTTTTATCATTATTTGTCCCTACTTGGCATTGACCACTAACAATCCAAGAGTAAACCATTCTATCTCTTTCTACCCTCTCCATCCCAAGTTGATCTATAAGAAAATTCTTATATATACTAAAAGCAAACAAATAAAAACTAGGAATCCAGCAGAGAATATTTGGCCAGAAGAGTCATTCTGTGGTGATAAAAGATTCTTTACTTGCTCACAGTTTAGACTTTAATATACTCTCAATTAAGTATTCGAGCTTTTTTAAAAAAATATCTTCCTGAAGGTTTTATAATAAAATCTGATGATGAAAACATCATTGAACTTAATTCTTCACCCTCTAACTCCAAGATCGAAGTAATAGGAAGAAAAAGTATTCTAAAGCACTTAAAGGAATTGTATTGTAATATTTTTAAAAATTGTATTCTCTGTTGTATTTGCTCTTCCAATTTGAACCTCGCTCTTACAGTTTGTTTTACATCATGATTTTGAAATTATTATTATTATTAATGTCTGAGGAACTGCTTAGCAGATGTGTAACTGAGACTTGCTTTTAGTAGACACGTGTCCTGGTGGCCTTGTTTTGGTATTCATAAATATTACAGCCAGACTTTTAATAGACATTCTAAACGAAAATAGAACTCAACTGCTAAAATTTAATTTTCTGTGTAAAATAAAAGAAGTAGCAAGAGACTAAAACATTGGCTGGGGCTTGGGGTTCATTTGGGGAGCTCCCATAGGCTATATATCACCATGTGTGGCTTTCATTTTCTTAGTGCAAATTGATTTAATGTGCAACATTATTAGATTAATCAAGTCCCTTTGGAAGAAATGATCTTGCCAAAGAGATTTTGTTTAACTCTGTTCCTCTGCTCCACTCTGACCTTGGCAGTAGTTTTTGATCATTAAGAGAAGAATGGGAAAATGGCTAGGGCTGTAGCCATCAACGTCCCCTATTCTTAGTAAGGAAACAAGTCTCTATCCACCTTTACCCATAAAAAGTTGAAGATTTCCCTGAAAAGCCATATGCTTCTTGAGTTCTAGGAATGATTCATTGCTCCCTTTTGTTTTCTAAATTGGATTTCTTCTCTGTATATTCAGTAATAATACAGCTGAAAATCTTGCTCATTCTTGCACTCATTAACTTCAACAATCAGTTCCTCTTCAAGTTTAGACACCGAAAAACACCTGTTTATCCAGATAAATTTTTATGTTTATTTTTATAACAGACGGATAAACCTATATAACCAATCACTCCCTGTTTACATTGAGAGAGAGTAAACCAAGGGCAAATTCTAGTTTTATTTCTTGACAACCGTCCCTACAGTGCAGTGCCTAAAAATGCAGCCTTTGGAGCCAGACTGCCTGGGTTCAAAACCCAGCTTCTCCAGTAACTAGCTAAGAGCTCTTAGGCAAGTTAGTCAACCCTTCTGTGCCTCAGTTTCCTTGTTTATAAAAGGGGAGTAATATGGCAACTTCATTGCATGGTATGAGGATTAAATAAGTTAATATATGTACGATACTCAAATGAGCACCCAACAAATGGTAAGACTATTATTATTGTAGAACTTCATTTCATTCACTTTTCATCTTTTTTCATGTTATTTACACCTATCTTAATACTATAGGTTGCCTTAAACTTATCTTGAATGGAGATTTGATTGCCTGAATTATCTTAACACATAAGTATTAATCTATTAAAACAATCAAATGGCAAATTTTAGCATGTAAAATTTGAAATGATAGAAAATCATAGAGAAAAAATGAAATAAAAATCACCTATAATTCCACTGAGTAGAAATAGGTTTTTAGCTTTTTGTGTATATATTTATTTTAACCTCTTTATCAAATATTTTATTGTAAGATTTAAATTATATATCCTGATTTTTTTCACTTACAATATATCAAAACTTTCTTTAGTCATTAAATATTCTTCAAAAACATGTTTTTATGGTCTTCAAATTTCTTTATATAAATGTACCGTTAATATGTTTAACAAGAAGATATTATTGTAAGTGAATTAATAACAAAAACAAATCAAAGTTGCAACTTCCAGTGAGAAAATTATGTGGCATAATATACCTATAAACTGAGTCAAATGAACACTTCTTCAATATCAGGTTTCCTTTTTTATAATGCTGTAAGTGGTTGTGAAAACAAAAATAAGTGCTATCAACTGCCTCTGACTCTCCAAATCATCAGGTTCTCAAGCTTCTGATCACATATTTTTTCTCCACTCCTGAGAGAATTTTATATTGAGCAAACCTTGCGCATAAGAACAGATACTTGTATGTCCGAAGACAGCACAATGCAGAATTGCTTAAGGCTGAGTTTTCTCTGCCATTTACAGTTTCCAGGAAAAAAGAAAAAAGAAAAAATCTCATCACTGTGGCTGACCTGTCTTTTATTTCTCAAAATATAGACTAGCAGTCTTGAACGTGGTGTTCATCTCTTCTGCCTATACTGCATTGAACAGAATGCAGTTACAAAGAGACAGGGCTTAGCTGTTGGCCCAAGAGATGACAGAAGTGATGTGATAGGCATTTAGCAGAATCTCTGCGGCAAGAATGAGGCATTTTCGATGCAAATGATATACAATACAGTCTATTCCCAGGAAGTGGAATTATATATTTTACATTTCATCCTCCATTTGAGGAGCAAAAACAGGAATGAGAGAGAAATAAGGATGGAGATATTTCTATGGTGAATTGTTATATATTTGACATTTCTATGGGCTGGTTTTGGTTTCTTTCTTTACATATTTATCTGTTTGGAATTCCAATTTATTTTTAAATTTTACTTCCTGAAAAAGAGTTTTAGGTCACTTTCTCAGAAACAAGATACTAGTGCATTTTCTCTATGATCCCAAACTTGTAGATTTCCTGGAATTTATATTGAAAATCCTCTACATTTAGTGTTAGATGAAATACAGGTTGGTCTTATCCAAGCAAATGATTTATCAACCTATTGATGAACTAAGTATAAGAGCACATTTATTCTTTAAAGGAAAAGAAGGAAAGATAATTTCTGAGAATATAAGAATGAATTAAAAATTGTTCACTCATCAAAGGACATTTATTTTAGATGATACTTCTTTATTCTAAAGAAGTAAATTAAATAAAGAGTTCAGAATAACCTAAAGGTTTATAATTATTAATAGTTTATATGTGAACTCTGCTTCTTACTTTAAAAGGCAATTGTTTCTTGCAGATTGCAGAAGGGATAAAGAAGTCTGTATATAGAATCTATTTTTCTTTATTTTTCTTTTTCCTGGATGATACAGCGTGTAATTCATGATCTAAGGAACAAGTGAAAAGTCGAGCTGTCTGTTTTCTGGCCTCTCGGGTTAAAATCAAGATCTCTAACATTGCTTTCATGAAGGGTGTTGTTATGTTTTCTGAGGTGAGGCAGGGGAAGAAGTGGTGGACGGTTAATATTTCAAAAAGGTAGCAATTACCTGATAACAGAAAGCGGCGTGGACTGTGTCTTGTTACCGCTCGTTTCAGAGGTGCCAAATCTGCTGTGGACATCATCGTCATTATAGCTTCAGTTGGCTGAGGTCACCTTGGTTCATGTGTTTTATACATTGGTAGCCTTCTCCTTATTACTTGCCAAACAAACCTTTTTATTTTTGCACACGTTTATGTTGATTTTGTGGTTTCTGAAATTGGATTCTGGCTCCTGGAGGCCTGAGTTTCCACAGCAACTGGAGGCCTTATCTGCTACTGGTTTTTGGCAGGCAGACAACCAGGTCTTTCAGTTTACTTTGGATTTTTTTTTTTTTTTTTTTTTTGCTTTTTTTTTAAAAAAAAAAAAAACTTTTTCTTCTTCTCTCTTATTTTTCCTATACCCTGTCATTTAAGCATCACATAATTAATTGTGTACATCCTGTGCCACATGCAATTGCCACAGCTTTGAAGTCCCAATAGATCATTTTATAGAGCAGTGGGTGCCATTTTAAAGAAAAAGAAAGAAAAAGAAAAGCAAAGGCCTGGCGCCAGGACACGGCTGTGTGGATTTGAACATATCCTTCTCCAGGTATGATAAAGAAACTCGTGCACCTTCTGTTTGTTTTTCTGCATTTCCTTTCCACACTGGCCTTTTCAATATATAGGAAAGACCTCAGGACTGAGTTTGTTATTTTTCTCTCTGGAGCTAATTCCTTTTCCAAAACCAGCACGAACTGCCTCATTTGGTGCTGAGGTGAGGTTTGCTTTTTTTCTTTCAAATTTGGAAAAAAAAAAAAAAAAAAGGTCTGATTGAGCATCATGTCATTTAGTGGCTGCTACTGACCCAACAGGAACGGAAAAAACAACAGCCCAATAAGAAAAAAAGTGCCAAGCCCCTTATCTAGACACCATTAAAGTTTAACAACAATAAATGACCTCATCATCTTCATCTTCTTAATGTTTTTAAAAATATATGTACAATTATTTTTTCAGTGAAAAGAATAAATTAACACAAACTTTCAGCGTCTTTTTGGAAAAGATATACTCTTTGGAAGGCGGAAAATATATAGGTTTTGAGAAAAACATAGAGTCTTTTGTTGAAAGTTTAGTTAGCCTTCACTTTTCTTTACAGAGAGAAAAATGTATGGATATATTTTATTGGCAGTTTTGGTGTCTTCTTAAGGGAAAATCACCCTAACAATGATCTGTCTAGAAAAATAAAGTGAGTCCCATTTTCTTAATAAAGTAAATGTTGCCAGATTCTTTTATTGGTAGACATAAACATTTAACATAGCTAGAATTTAATATTCAGTATGTCTACGTTTTTATTTTAGTATCTTCTTTTTTATATTAGCATTTAAAGAATCTTTTCCTCTGTGTAGATTCTGGATTATTAGCCCTTTGTCAGATAGAGAGATTGCAAAAATTTTCTCCCGTTCTGTAGGTTTCCTGTTCACTCTGATGATAGTTTCTTTTGCTGGGCAGAAGCTCTTTAGTTTAATTACATCCCATTTGTTAATTTCGGCTTTTGTTGCCATTGTTTTTGGTGTTTTAGTCATGAAGTCTTTGCCCGTGCCTATGTCCTGAATGGTACTGCCTAGGTTTTCTTCTAGGGTTTTTGTGGTTTTAGGTCTTACGTTCTATTTCATGGAATAGAAAATTCCATGCTCATAGCGTGAGATGCTCACCCCGTATGCTCATAGCATGGGATGCTCACCCCGTATTCTCATAGTGTGGGATGCTCACCCTCTATGCTTATAGCCTGGGATGCTCACCCCATATTCTCATAGTGTGGGATGCTCACCCTCTATGCTTATAGCCTGGGATGCTCACCCCATATTCTCATAGTGTGGGATGCTCACCCTCTATGTTCATAGCCTGGGATGCTCACCCCGTATTCTCATAGCACGGGATGCTCACCCTTTATGCTCATATCTTGGGATGCTCACACCCTATGTTCATGGCACGGGATACTCTCCCTGTATTCTCATAGCGTGGGATGCTCTCCCTGTATGCTCATGGCATGGGATACTGTCCCTGTATTCTCATAGCGTGGGATGCTTTCCCTGTATGCCCATGGCATGGGATACTCTCCCTGTATTCTCATAGAGTGGGATGCTCTCCTTGTATTCTCATAGCATGGGATGCTCACCCCCTATGCTCATGGCATGGGACACTCTCCCTGTATTCTCATTGCGTGGTATGCTCTCCCTGTATGCTCATGGCATGGGATGCTCACCCTCTATGCTCATAGCATGAGATGCTCTCCCCCTATGCTCATAGCATGGGATGCTCTCCCCATATGCTCATAGCATGGGATGCTCACCCCCTATGCTCATGGCACAGGATACTCTCCCCGTATGCTCATAGCGTGGGATGCTCATGGCATGGGATGCTCACCGCCTATGCTCATAGCATTGGATTATAGCCTGGGATGCTCACCGCCTGTGCTCATAGCATGGGATGACCTCCCCATATTCTCATAGTGTGGGATGCTCACCCCCTATGTTCGTGGCATGGGATGCTCACCACCTATGTTCATGGCATGGGATGCTCACCCCCTATGTTCATGGCATGGGATGCTCACCCCCTGTGTTCATGGCATGGGAAGCTCACCCCCTATGCTCATAGCATGGGATGCTCATAGCATGAGATGCTCACCCCACATGCTCATGGCATGGGATGCTCTCCCTGTATGCTCATAGCATGGGATGATCTCCCTGTATGCTCATAGCCTATGGCGATTCCATGGGCAGGCTCCCTCACTCCCTTTTTTGAAAATTTTTAAACAGGTTCCTTATCCAAACTTATTTGCCCACTGTCTCATTTCCTCAGGGAATTGCTTCTTTCTTCCAGAGAGAATATAACGAACAGATTATTACTTATTAGCAGTTGGCCTTTGACAAGTTATTAAAATTCTCAGAACCTCAGTCTTCTTTCTATAAATGGAAAGAAATAATGGGTCATACTTCAGAGGGCTCTTATGAATATTGATTATCTTAATGCTCATAAAGTGTGTGGAGTATTGCCTAGAACATCATTTGTGATAGTTAAATATTCAGAGGAACACTGATGAAGTTATTTTTAAGAGTTAAATACTTAATATTTCCTTAATATACCTCAGACATCATTATAAATACACTACCTTCCATCTATTGCCGATAAAAACCCTAGAGACTAGTAAGTTCTATTACTTAATCAGCTATTATTATTATAATTATGTATCACATTTCTAAAAATCATTTTAACCTAGATAACGGCTTAGTGTTAGAATTCAGGCTTTATGACAAAGCCCAATAGACATAAACATTATAAACACGTAACACAAATGTGCCATCACCCAATGGATACCTACAAATTTCCAATTATAGTATAGCATATATCAACTATGTATCAACCAATTCAAGAGATCCCAGAAAAATGAGGATGCATAAAATAACAATAATCCTTTGCCATCAGATTATCTATTTTCTAGAGACATAAAATTATGGAAGAGTAAAGGAGGGTCAGGGAATTATAAAGACAATGGTAACATGGCTTAATAAGTGTTAGAACATAATAGTTGCAGGATATGATGGGCAACTGGAGCCTTTCTGGATCAGGGAAAGCTTAAAGGAGAATAGGATGCCTAAGCAGAAACCAGAAATGCAAATAAAAATTACCCAGGTCAGAATTGGGGAAGATGTTTCAGGTAAAGAAACTAGGATTTCTAAAACCTCCAATCCCAGATATAAGGGAGTAAAAGAACACTTTGGTTAGTTCAAAAGGGCTAGAACAGAGACAGTAGGAAGGGACTGGTAGTCAGTGAGGCAGCGAGCTATGTAATGAAGGTTCATTTATCCCAAGCTACAGGGACCCATTTAATCTATTAAACAAGAGGAAACCATGATCAAGTTTGTATTTTGGAGATTAATCAACAAAAGATGTTTTGAAAGAAGAAAGTTCTAGAGGCATGGAAAACAGGCATAAAGGAAAATAATCCAAGAGAGATAAAATAAAGGTAAGACTCAACTAGGAAAGAGGCTGTGGAGAAAGAGGAAAGAAATGTATAAATGTTAAGAATGATTTGGGAAGTATCATGGTGCTCATTAGAGATGAGAGAGCAAAGAATCTGATGGCTTAGAGTCCTCATTGAGTTATGTTTATTCTATTGACATTAGGGATGGTTTTCAGAATCCTATTAGATAATCCATACTAATATCAATTTGATTAAACCAAATACCACGTTAAAATATAAGGTAAGAAGCTATAGAACTGTCTATAAAGTAGCACTTGCACTTTATTAATGAAAGAGAAGTAGGCATTCCATTTTGTTAAGAGCTAAGAAAAGAATTTGACATTCCATATTAAGAGGCATTTTTGATGTGAAAATATGGAAACGTAACTGTTTTATTCCATTTTCACACTGGTAATTTATAAAAGAAAGAGGTTTAGTTGACTCACAGTTCCACATGGCTGGGAAGGCCTCAGGAAACTTACAATCATGGTTGAAGGGAAAATGGGCACCTTCTCACAAGGCGGCACAAGAGAGAAGAGAAAAGCCCAGGGGAAACTGCTATTTACAAAACCATCAGATCTCATGAGACTCACTGACTATCATGAGAACAGCATGGGGGAAACCACCCCCATGATCCAATCACCTCCCACTGGGTCCCTCCCTTAACACCTGGGGATTACAATTCCAGATGAGATTTGGGTGGGGACACAAAGCCAAACCATATCAATAACCTTCCTCAAGCAAATATAGATGTTTGATTTTTAACCAGTGTACAAAACAGTTAACTGCTTTGTATCCTTGTCCCTATTAAATCACTTAGAAGAGGGTAGATCAGGGACGGTGTCAAGTTTTAACATCATGTTTGATACCATAATTTATAAGAGGTTAATGGATTCAAATTTGGGTTATCAAATAATTTTCTATTCACAATAGGGCACTTTGAAGTGAGAATGCATGCGATTAATAGTAACACCAGGGCAATAGATACAGACACAGTAATATATATGATCGTCCTAGTGGGTGTTTTTCATAGTATATAAAGTAAGATAACATTTTTAAGTTTTTCACTATCCGTGACGTTAATTGTATATGTGAACCTGACCGGGCCACAGGGTGCCAAGATATTCTATTAAACATTATTTCTGGGTGTGTTTGTGCGGGTATTTCTGGATGAGATTAACATTTGAACTGGCAGACTGAATAAAGCAGATTGTGCTCCACAGTGTGGGTGGGGCCTCATGCAATCTGCAGAAGGCCTGAAAAGAATGAAAGGCAGAGTCAGAAAAAATTCTCTCTCTCTGTCTGGGACATTAGACTTCTCTTGACTTTGGGCTTAGACTTGGTTTGGAACTGACCTCATTGGCTCTCTTACTTCCTAGGCCTTTGAACTGGGGCTGGAACTATCCTGTTGACTCTCCTGGTCTGGATTTCTCAGCCTCCATAATCACATTAGTAATTTCTTATAATAAATATCTTTCTATTCATTGTATTGGTTTTGTCTCTCTGAAGAACACTGACCAATTCAACATCCTCCCTGGCACCTAATAAGTACTCTCTAAATATTATATGAATCAAAATAGCTGCCACAAAGTATTTGCATCTCTGTTGGATATAATCTTGAGAGTGGAATTACTGGGTTACAGAATAGGTGAATATTTGACACTATAAGAGGCTGATAAAAATTTTCTGAAATAATTGTACCATTTTAAATTCTCAGCAGCACTGCATGAGAGTTCTATTTTCTCCATATCCTTGCCACACTTGGCTTTATCTGTCTTATCAATTTTAATGGGTGTATAGTAATGTCTCAATGTTGTTATAATTTGCATTTTGTGGGTGATGACCACTTTCATATGCTAATTGGTTATTCCAATAACTTTTATATTAAAATTGTCAGCTTTGGAATGCAATGGATTGAAGGAAAATCTCTGCCTTTAACCTTCTCATTTATAAAACAGAAATAGTGCTTGTGTTTTCTCATAGTTTTCTTGTTAATTTAGTAAATGTAAAATGTCTAGAACCTAACCCATGGGAACCTGGCAAAAAATACTAGCTATGATTATTATCATTAAACCAAGAACCAAGGATAAAATATATTTAACCAGTAGAAATACCATTAAGCAAGAACCCTATGGATATAGTTTCTGGAACAGATATTAATGACTTGCATTTGTTCTTATTTCTTGAAATAGAGAATAAAACCATGAGCTCTGAAGACATCAGGCAAATACCTCTGGTTTGCTTTCCCAGACTGCTACTTCCTGACTTTTTAACTTTGAGCAAAGTACTTAACCAAATTACTTAACTCTAGTTTCTTTCTATATAAAATGTGAAAAAAGAATCTAGCCCAGGAGGTTGTGAGAATTAAATGAGGTCATCCATATAAATCACTTGAAAAAGAGCTTATCTTTTGGTAATTTTAGCAAGCATTTTTTATATGCTTACTAAATACATATTAAGCCCCGTGTTAAGAGTCAGGGACATGGTATTCAAATTTATACAGTCGAGTAATTCTTAATTTCTCTCTGCCTCTCACTCTCCAATCCTATTAGCTATACCTCTAAAATATATACCAACTCCAGCAATTTCCCTCCATCTTCACGCTTTATCTTGATCTCAACCAACATCTTATTTCACCAAATGACTAGAGTATCTCAACCATCATTTTATTTCACTAAATGACTAGAATAACCTGAACAATTTCCTGTTTTTTTTCCATTTGGGGGCCTCAACAGTTCATCCACCTACTTAAAATTCTCCAATGTCTTTCTCTTTTGCCCTTGGCTTGAAAACTCAAACTCTTCACCTTGGCTCAGAAAGACCTCTGGGATCTAGTCCCTTGACTCCTTTTTTTACTTCATCTTATTCTATTCTCTTTTTCTAAAATCATCTTCTTCTATACTCTCTTTTTAAAAATCATCTTATTCTTTTATCTCCTTTTTAAATCATCTTGTTCTATTCTGTCCTTTTTAAATAATCATATTGGCTTTATGTTGTTCCTCTAATATACTAAACACATTCCAGACTTGGGGATTTCACATTTTCTATTTCCTCTGAAGCCCTCTTCTCTGAAATTCACACCTGTCTGACCCTTTCACATTAATCATGTCTCAGAAGAAACATTGCCACCTTAGCAAGGGCTTCCACAAATATCTCATATAAGGTAGTACCCCTCAATCCCTTGCCTCTCTCTTGCCTGCTAAAGTTATGAAAAGAGCACAGCTAACACATCTTGGGGTGTGATCTCTTCTCATTTCTATTACTTTGGCAAAAGCCATTCATATCAAGGAGTAAGTACATGTCAATTACTTGTATTCACCAGATAAATTGGTGATTGATTGGGGTGTGTGTGTGTGTGTGTGTGTGTGTGTGTGTATTACACTTCTACATTTATGGACTTTCCAACCACTAAGTAAGGTCAGTATTACAAGGTACATCAGTGGGATTCGATTTTATTAACTTTGGCATATGGATGGTTAGCATGTGGCCATATGTTTCTCACAAAATGTAACTTATAATCTGAGCATTATAACTAAACAACACACGTCGTTGCAATAATTTCTTCCCAGCAACAGTCCATATCCCATTTCTTTCTCAGAGGGTCTGCTTTCATTTCTGTTTCCACCCAAGGTTCACTTGTCTCTAGCAACACCTCTTTTTTTAAAAAAAACAACCTGGAAATATGGGGTGTTATCCTGAGGCTGAAATATTCCATATTTTTTCTTCCACGAAACACTGATTGGCAACAATCTGTGATTGTCTGTCTTTTCCAACCTAGCCTTGAGCCAGGATCAAAATCTTCATGAATAATTCGCAAATAATTAAATTCTTTAGGTTTTGTTCTTATTCAAAGGAGCAAAGTAATTTTGGTCTCCTTATGGATTAGATTATCCATAAAGGTTGTGATTTAAGCAGTCTCTTTTCAAATGTGATTCCTTTGAATGTGTGGACTGATAGGACTCTGGGCAGAACAGGGTCTTGTTTTCTCTGTAAATAAAAACCTATGAAATTTCAACAAGTCAGCCCTTTTATGCCACACGGAGAGATTGATGACAAACCACATTATATTTCACCTTAATACAACAAGTCCAAAATCACAAATGCACTTTCTTAAAATACTGATTTACTTTTTATTCAGAGCTTATGAGATGTTAGATGACGAGTCAGTTATCTCCTGAATGAGTTCAACCTTCACAAAGGACAATTGTTTTGGTGTAAGTTATTGTTTTTTAAAATCTTCCAATAGAGAGAACATTTTCAAAATAAACTTTACTAATTTACATTAATTAAAGCAAAAATAACATAGACAGTCAATTATCTACCTGTGTATACACCACTACTCACACATATTAATATCAATACAATCATTTGCATTGTGCCTCTTCAGAATCACACATAGAGAAAAAGAAAAGCAAAGACAGAGTTTAAAATATAAGGGAAGATAAGCAGATAATTACATTACAGAGGTGATATTATTAGCAAATTCATAATATCAGGTTTGAAAAGGATCTATGTTTCTTTTTCTATAGTAGCGTATTAGTTTCTTCTCACATTGCTATGAAGAAATACCCAAGACTGGATAATTTTTAAAGGAAAGAGATTTAGTTGACTCAGGGTTCTGCAGGGCTGAGGAGACCTCAGGAAACTTACAATCATGGCAGAAGGCAAAGGAGAAGCAGGCACCTTCTTTACAGGGTGGCAGGACAAAGTGAGTACAAGCAGCGGAAATGCCAGACGCTTATAAAACCATCAGGTCTCATGAGACTCACTCATTATCATGAGAACAGCATGGGTGAAACTAACCCCCTGATCCAATTACCTCCACCTGGTCCCACCCTTGACACATGGGGATTATGGAGGCTACAATTTGAGGTGGGATTTGGGTGGGGACACAGAGCCAAACCATACCAAGTAGTGTTTTAATTTGTGTTGTCAGACTTAAACAGCTGCCAGTAATGTGTCCTGCTTTAATCAACCACTCATGACCTTACAAAAATGACCTATACTTTTATCAAGTCATTAAGCCTTTACCAAACCTATGTATTCACAGACTCTACCAATACTTTTACCAACTGACACCTATAATCAAAGTAAAGTTTGAAAGTGCTATCTAGGATAGTTTTATCTTTTCTATGTTTTTGAAATTAAGTTATTAATCTTGGAATATTAGTGAATCATGGTTCTGGATAAAATATCTCTGTGAAGAGTTATCTTTACAGCAAATGTAGGCTTTAAGGTACTTCTACACAAAATACATCCTTCATTGTCCTGCCAAAGTTCTCCAAGTTTCTACTTCTTTTCTACCATCCTTTTGTCTTCAAGTATCATATCAAATGATAACAGAAGAGTTCCACTGATGTCCTAGCATGAATGCTTTTATCAGATTAGTTAAATCTGAGGAAAGAAGAACACTGAAGAAGTTTAATATAGGGTGGAGATGCTCTGATTACAAAGAAAGTGATTCTGCAACTAGAAAATCCTGGCGTCTGACAGTTGACAGGGTCAGGGTTTAGACACAGATGCTGATGTATATGCTATAGACATAGACATAGGTGCAGACATAAATGCAGACATCAATATATATAAGAGAAGGAGTGTGTGTGTGTGACAGAGAGAGAGAGAGTGTGTGTGTGTGTGTGTGAATAGGTGTGAGTGTGTGCATTTGTGTGTGTCGGGTGGTGGTAAGAAAATGGCTGAAATTAACAACTATAGCAATTTCTGCCTAGCAAGGAGACCAAAAAGAATCTACAAAATTAAAAAATACGTCGACATACTTTGCTCTCCTGCCAAGTCTATTAGATGGAGTTTGGCTTTCTTTAGAGACAAACAAATCATAGAATTATTATTGTGATTCTGGGTTGTAACTATTACGACGGGATTAAAAACATTTTCATGCGGTCTGTTACATTTCTTGATTTCATTTTACATGAATACTTTCTAGAATGTCTTCTGAATTTTTTTAAATGAACTCTAAATTTTATATAAATGTTTGCCTCATATTTTCTTAAAATGTACTAACATTTTGAACTTGTTGAGAAAAATAATGTTCCACAGAAAACTAAAGGTAAATAAATGTTCAAGAAAATATATTCTATTTCCCACAAAGCTGCTCTTTTCTTATGTGCCCAGGGAATATTAGTAGTGAGGTCATAAAGTTTGGAGCCTCACTGACTGGATTTGAATCCAGGATTGGCCATTTGCTAGTAATGTTAATGTTGGACAAGTGATATTATTTCCACATGCCTCCATTTTCTTATGTGCTTTAGGGATATAATGGCGATACCTATTTCATAGGAAGTGTTATTGTGATAAACTGAGTTAATATTTGTAAATTGCTTGCCATAGTTCTTCCCATACAATAAGGGCTACTTCAGTGTTCGTTAAATAAATCACAGCATGTTCTAGGCCCTCAGAGCAAGAAAATAGAAATCTGATCATTCTTTCTAGATTTTTCATTCTAAATTATCTCCCATATCAAATGGCAGTAGCTGTCACACTTTTCCTTCTCCATTTCACTTCTATTGCTTTAGATCAGGCTTCATTATTTTTCACGTGTAGTATTAAAATCATCTTTTTCTTTTCTTTCTTTCTTTTTTTTTTTTTTTTTTTTTTTTGAGACAGTCTCATTCTGTCACCCCGGCTGGAGCTCAGTGGTGCAACCTTGGCTCACTGCAACTTTCTACTCCCGGGTTTAAGCCATTCTCCTGCCAAGGCATCCCAAGTAGCTGGGATTTACAGGCAAGTGCCACCATACCTGGCTAATGTTTGTATTTTTAGTAGAGACAGGGTTTTACCATGTTGGCCAGGCTGGCCTCGAACTTCTGACCTCAAGTAATCCACCCTCCTTGGCCTCCAAAATCATCTTCTAATAGGGCTCTCAGTCTCCAACCTCACCCACCTCAGTTGTTAATAGTCCTGCCACCAGTGTGCTCTTTCCATAAAAAAACATCTAACCATATAAAGTTGATTCCATCTTGGCCAATAGCATATCCCTGACTCTTAGCACGGGGCAAGGTATGTGTTAGTAAGCATGCAACACATGCTTGCTACAATTACCAAAAGATAAGCTCTTTTCTAAGTGATTTATATGGATGACCTCATTTAATTCTCACAATCTTATAGACTAGATTCTATCATTTTCCACATTTTATATAGAAAAAAAGTAAAATGATTTGGTTAAGTATTTGCTCAATGTTAAACAGTCAGGAAAGCAAATCAGAGATAGTTTGCTTCTGACTTCTTCAGGGCTCATGCTTTTATTTTCTGTTTTTGGAAATAAGAATAAATGCAAGCCATTAGCATATTATTCACTTGACAATGTCTAAAGCCACTTTTGGTTTCCATAGCTTGGTGGGCGCTACTGTTATCTGTTGCTAAAGATTTATCATGCACAGGACATTTCTAATGGCAAAGAATGATTGGACCCCAAATGTCAGCGGTTCTTAGGTTGAGAAACCTTCGTCTGTTAAAGTAAATCTCTGAGACACCAATAAACTCTCTCTAAGAAGGCATGTTATGAATGCTGTCTCATTATCTGCCATTCAGTGTTTTTCCTGACTCACTTATTTTTTATTTGTGATATGTTGTGAACATCAAGTAACCAACTAAATGTCTAATATCTAGAAAAATCATATTTGGGCCAGGTGTGGTGGCTCAGGCCTGTAATCACAGCACTTTGGGAGGCCGAGGAGGGTGGATCACGAGGTCAGGAGTTCAAGACCAGCCTGGCCAAGAAGGTGAAACCCTGTCTCTACTAAAAATACAAAAAATTTAGCTGGATGTGGTGGCAGGCACCTGTAATCCCAGCTACTTGGGAGGCTGAGGCAGGAGAATCGCTTGAACCTGGGAGGTGGAGGTTGCAGTGAGCCGAGATCATGCCACTGCACTCCAGCCTGGGTGACAGAGCAAGACTCCATCTCAAAAAAAAAGAAAAATTATATTTGGCTATTCATGACTTTCAGAAACAAGTCAGCTTTTGAATATATTCTCAGAATTATTTTGTCCAGTGTTCTGATGAATTAAGGAATGGGTTAATATTGTGTGGACCCCAAGTGTATTTCAGCCCCCAAAACTGTATTTGTTTTGTTCCTGAAATTGTTTTGTGACTAATATTCTCAGATATTAGAGCCCAAAGTTGTAAACTGAGCATGCAAGTTTTTTTAAGTGCATATAATCAAACATTTTTCAAAAATTGAAATCCTTGATCGCCCAGAGTAGTCTAATCTGGGACCTCCACCTGAAGACTGTCTTGTTATTGTAGAAGAGACTTGCAGGAAAGGTAGTGAGATGGAGGTTTTACTCAAACATTCTGCGGAATACTAATGTGAGTCAAAGGAAGGAAAGATCTGTGTTGTGCTTCTTTTTCCGCCCCCCCAAAAAGAAGGGAGACTAAAAAGCAATAAAGCAGAAGGCATTTCCTACAGGTAGCCTTAAATCATTCAACACAGAGGTCTTCAGGGAGCTACCCGGCTCCTCTTTCCCTTCCAGAATGAGCTTTTTGGCTAAATACTCCTCATCCAATGCTCAGTGTCTTCACCTGGCTCTCCAAGGGTTTTCATACAGACTTATCCTGGCATAACAGCATCCCCACTTCGTCAGAAATAGGTCTTGACCCATGCATCACATTCAAAGACTCTTTCAATTGCTCCCCAGTGGCGGAGGCTGAGGGCTCTGTTTTGCTTGTGATAATGTGCTAATCTCCAAGACCCAACATAAATTCTCTTCTTGCATTGTCATTTGTCAAAGTCGCAATAAGGGGCTGGGGCAAAAAAGGAGCAGGAAAGGAGAGGGAGGAAAGTAATGACAGAAAGAAAACTTAGCCTTAGTTTTGTTTTCCCTTGTGCAGAACTTTCCCCTCCAGTCTTCTTAATCTGTAAAACATCTGATGGTGCAGAGAGGGCATGGCAAACACAAATAAATAAATAATCATCCATGAGTCTCCCTTATGGTTTTGTGTTGGGTCAACATTTTAGACAATTAGTTAAATATAAGCAGGAATGAAGATAATTTAAGTCCCAAAATGGATGCTTGAAGCTTTGTGAACCTGCGTTCTCCACTCGTCATTTGCTCCAATACTATCAAGCTGAGAGTCACATGGTTGTGTGAGGATACTCCATAAGCAACAGTTCAACAAATCTGATATCACATATATGCCTCTAATGACTAGTGCTTTCCTTATGATTTGCCTTTTACAAGTTATCCTGTTTTGCTACTACAAAAATATTTAGGACAATGATGCTAAACAAGGTAGTGTTTTCTCTCATTGGTGTTAAAACTGAAAAAAAAAAAAAAGAACAAATGTGAGATTTTCATTGCTGTTGTTGAACAGCTTTATTAAGGCATATTTTATACACCATAAAGTTTAGAAATTTTAAGTTTCCAATTCAGTGATTTTAGTAAATCTATAAAATTCTGCAAGCATCACTGCAGGCTAACTGTAACATGTCCATCATCCCCATGAGATCCCTCGTGTCCCTTTGCACCCACTTCTTTCCACTGCCCTTCCCAGGCAAGCACTAACTTACTGTCTCTGTAGATTCACATTTTCTGAATATTTCATGGAAATGGAATCCTGCGCTAAGTACTCTTTTGTGTCTAGCTTCTTTCACTTTGCATAATGATTTTAAGGGTTATCTATGTTGTTCCATGTATGAAGTAAACGAATGAAGTAAAAAGGTATTTCATTCCTTTTTAAATTAACAAATAGTATTTTATCATAATACCTATTATGCTTAGCCATTCATCAGCGGGTGGGCATTTGGGATAAAGCTGTTTTGTAAAATGTATGCAATGGCAACGTGTCAACATGATATTAAATCAGAGAGCTTGTTTAAAGAAAAACACTTTTAAGCTGCTGAGGCAGAAATTGTTCACTGCGGAAGCCAGCAATCCCTCACCTCCGTTCTTGGCCTGTGGGTGGAGGTTTCTCTGAATATACATTTCCAAGAAACCCAAAATACTTACAGTTTAGTTAGTACACAGTGAAAACTAAGGATAGTCCTAGCTCACAGTCCCAGCTCATGGTTGTTGGCACCAAATATCAGTGATACGACCAAAGTCTGTTTGGCAAATTTTACATGGCAAATATTCTCTTACTGCCTGTTCAACACTCTTCTGGGAGTTCTAAGAGTATTACATAAATAAAAGAAAGGGATTCCAATCAAATTTGAAGCCAACCAAATAGAACTCAGGAAGTTCTATGCTTAAGCCCTCATTTTTATTACACTTAGAAACCAGACAGTTTGTCATTTATTCTAACAACAAATATTATTGTGATAAAAACAGCTTGCTCTAGATTCCCAACACAGAACTTCTGATGGCATAAAATGATTATTACAGGCATTTACATTTTTGTTATTAATATTGCATTAATATTTCTAATATTGAGATACAGGCATCACTGAAAGACAATATACCTTCTCAACTGTACTGGGGTAAGAACCTGTCTTCACTGGGGTAGTGAGTCTGTGACTACAGGAAGCTGCTTCTGGAAAGACGATTCTATTTCTCTTCATATATTCATAGAGACAACAGACTAAAAATTAGATTCTTTTTTTATTCTTAATCCATGGAGAAGTCCTTTAATGTCCAAGCGACATTAGGTGTTTTAGTACAGAGAAAAAGGATCAAACTCAATTTCATTACATACTGAAAAGGCCAAGAATAGAAATAACCCCGATATCATGGTCCTTGAAGTCAATTCTGCTTCCAAATCCCTGATACTCCTACTATTAATAGCACTTACATTAATTTTCTCTTATGGAAACATTGAGAATTCAAGCCTTAATATCTAGAAGTTGCCACTGCAAAGACAGATGTGCCAGGATTATCTCTGTTTTGTTGCCCAGGCTGAGTGTAGTGGTTTGATCTCGGCTCCCTGCAACCTCTGCCTCCCGGGTTCAAGTGATTCTCGTCCCTCAGCCTCCAGAGTAGCTGGGATTACAGGCCTGCACCACCATGCCTGGCTAATTTTTGTATTTTTAGTAGAAACAGGATTTCACCATGTTGGCCAGGCTGATCTCGAACTCCTTGCCTCCAGTGATCAGCCCGCCTTGGCCCCCAAATATTTTGGGATTACAGGCGTGAGCCACTGTGCCTGGCCATGCCAGGATTGTCTTTGACCCTGTCTGATGGAGTTTTATACAGAGTGGAAAAGTAAAAATAAATGTTTTCTATGTAATTTAGTCTCTATTCGCTCTTTTAATCCTCACTAGTGTTGCATAATTTTTTTACATAATTTTTTGTAGGCTAAATATTTACTCCAGTCTGGTTAAAAAACAACCTTTTTAATCACTGATTGGTTTCAGGCATAATATACCATTGAGTGTACAGTGCTCTTTTTTTTGCTAAGAAAGCATGGGAAGCTGCTATTTGCATCTCTTCCTATGTCTTCTATTTAACCATGTTTGTATGCATCATATTACCACAATGGAAACCCAGTTTGTGAAACATAATTTAGTTTATACCGTTAAATGGATGGTTTTGTAGCTCCTGTTGGCAATACCAGAGCTTCCAATAATGAACAAAAGGCAGCACAAAACTTTGAAGTCAGCTAACCCAAGCAGTCGACGTCTCTCTAGCAGGAACCTTTGTTACATTTTGTCATTCAATATATGGCTGTTAATGCACATAAATGTGATATTTGATGTTGGTTAGTTCCTCTCTATTGAGGAAACACAGTTCTATTTTCTAATTCTTAACAACCACGGATGCTTTATCATCAGAGCTGAGCTGAGCACATGGTATCTTAAATCATGGTGTGAAATCGAGCCTCGGCCCTGACGGCTTGCCATGTATCAGCCTGGCGGGCACAACTCCTCGCCTTTGGCCTCATTTTTCAGGGGCCAACGTGCCAATAAGATTTTTACCTCAGGTAATGATTCAAAAGAAAAGCCTAATCATGTTAATGGGATGGGCGACATCTTAGGGGGAAAAATAACAAAATTAAAGTTGATTTTAACCTGCAATGAAAAACAAGCCATGGGGTGTTTCCATGTGAAATCTTGGATGTCATACAACAGATGAAGGGAAAACAACCAAAAGCCAGAGAGGAAAAAGGGAGGAGGGAGGAAGGAAAGTTTTCGGCCAAGTCTGCTTCTAAGTAAAGGTTCATGGAATGGGTTTAGAATTTCATAATGCTGTGAACAATCAGCTACACTTGGTGTTAGGGCCTTGAGAAGAAAACCCTTAGAAAGAATCCTTCCTTTTTATTCCTTAGCCTATCTTAAAGGTCAAGTAATCATATCAACAATATTTGAAAGAAAAATGTCACTTCCCTTATTTTTTTTCTGTTGTAATAAAATCATTTATTCGTGGCAAAGAACCTAAAGAGAGAGACAGGACTCCAGTGTTCAGGTCTGCAATGTGATTTTTGTGGTCATTAGAAACATAACTTTTCTTTTAAAAAGGAGGAAAAATGGAAAGAAATAGAAACAGAGAGAGGGAAGAGGAGAAAGGAGAGAAGAGAGTAACAAAGACGGTAAGAGAGAAAAGAGAAAGGGAAGAGAATAGATTGGGAAGAAGGGAGAACGTGGGGAAGAAAAAGAATAAATAACGTGGAAAAAGAAGCCACCAATACTGTTTCTAGATTTATTATTTTTCCCTTTCATTTTGACTGCTATAGGGGAAAGTGTGTAAAATTATTTTTCTCTCCTTGGTGTAGAGTACAGAACAAGGCGTCTTCCGTCAAATGACTGATTTGTGAAACGCAGAAGAAAAGAATGCAGAGACAAAAGAGTGTTTGTTGAACTAATTTTACAATCAATAAATGAATATTTTAAGTTCTTTGGGATCCAACCAATTCAACTTTGGAAAATGGAAGACTTTAGGTTTTAATTCACTTACACTACAAGGGAAATCTCTCTTTGGTGATTTTATTTTACATTTTATTTCTAATTTTATGATACGATTTTCTGTTGAATTGGCATGTCTTACAATGCTTGCTATGGAAAACACTTGGTGGAAATGTAAGGAGATTTGCCTGTTCTTATTATGCCTCCCATAAACTATTCATAGAGGGAAGCTTCTGCTGAATTCACTTCGTGATTCATAAACTCCACAACACAGCTGGTAGCCTATGCTTGCCGACAGGCCTCAACTTTTTATCACCCAGAATTCTACACATGTGTTCTTTGGATGCCCTTTCTCTGGTTCTCATTTTGACCTTTCCCCTAAGTGAGTCTGAATTTTAATTTCCTTAATTCTATTCTGGTTCCATGCAATTAATCACATTCAAAATAAGAATTCTCTAAATGGACCCCTTAAGTTTGTATCATTGCTACAAGCAAGTGTGCTTTGTTCTTTACCTATGAACTGTGTTCACTTTGTGTGCAGAGATATAGAAAAAAAAATCCGGCTACTTCTTTAGAAATCAGCTGTCATCTGGGATAAACCATTGAAAAGCCTTTTATTTTGGCAGACTGAAACAATCATGGATCTACGATGGCTATCCTTTCCTTGGTTTTGGTCTTTCTTGATATGATTTGCATGGAGACCTTTTGCCTTAGTAGCCCATCTGTTCTTACTGCTTATTCCCCACTGAAGTCAAGCTTAATGAAGAATGGCTCTCCATAGGTTCATAAGTTTGATTTGCATAGCCATTCAGAGTTTGGATATCCATCAGAATTTCTCTGGCCTGGAAATCAGGTTAGAAATATCAGGAGACTGTGTTCTCATTTCTCATGGGAGATTTCTCCAAGTCTCTCTCTCTCTCTCTCTCTCTCTCTCCAGTCCAGCTAGAAATAAATTACAAGAAATATCTCTTATTTCTCCTTTATTTATTTCATTGGAGTTATCACTCTTGGATGAGACTTGTTTAAACATTTAACTTGATTAACCTGATTATAAATGTGTTAGAGCTTATTAAGTGCTGTCAAATACAGTCAAATATTGACTTTGAGTATCATTTGAGGTCAGTTTTATTCCACTTATTTTGGCCTTACTTTTTTGGGAAATGCAAACAAAATAAATTTAAGTTATCAAAGAAGTCCTTTATGTCTACATAACCAATTATCTTAGAAAAAACAATTAGAAAGGCAAGTCATGATTTTACTAGGTATTCAAAACCTTGGATAGCGTATTCTTCCCTGGCTCTCTTCCTGAAAAATTAAACCAAAAGTATTGTAGGAATTTTGAGGACTGACTTATGAGTTTATAGACACAGAGGCTCTGATTTTCCAGAAAAGTCCTTGTTAGGCTAGGTATTATTTGGAACCACGATAGGTCATTCGAGTTATTTTTTGTTGGTTTGTTTTGGCTTTCTCTTATGCTAACTTGGGACTACATGATTGATGGTTTTTAAGGAAAACTAAACAATTATCAGTTATTTGTATTAGTGATTAACTTTTTTTCCACATATGATTATAGGACTTAAAGAACCAACAGGAAGTTCATTGTGATTCATCAGGAGTGAAAATTCAGCATTTTTGTCTTAAAGATTAGCAATAATTTTTAAAAGCCATCATTACATCAATGTATATGTTTTGATTAATAATAATGCTAGGTCAGGTGCTATGGCTTATGCTTGTAATTCCAGCACTTTGGGAGGTCAAGGTGGGAGAATTGCTTCAGGCCGAGTGATTGAGACCAGCCTGGACAACATAGCAAGACCCCAGCTCTACAAAAAATTAAAATATTAGCCAGGTGCAATGCTGCATGCTTATAGTCCTAGCTACTCGGGAGGCTGAGATGGGAAGAGGATGAGCCCAGGAGTTTAAGGTTACAGTGAACTATGATTGCCCCACTGCACTCCAGCCTGGCCAACAGAGTAAGACACTGTCTTAAATAATAATAATAATGCTAAATGTTAGTTCTGATATTATGATTATATTTAGTAAAATTAAGAGTAATAAAATGATCAAAGTAAATTGTATAAAAATTTTATCATTATTATTATTTTTGAGATGGAATTTCACTCTAGTCACCCAGGTTGGAGTGCAGTGGTATGATCTTGGCTGATTGCAACCTCCGCCTCCAGGGTTCAAGTGATTCTCCTGCCTCAGCCCCTCAAGTAGCTGGGATTACAGGCACCTGCCACCACATCCAGCTAGTTTTTGTATTTTTAAGAGAGACAGGGCTTCAGCATGTTGGCCAGGCTGGTCTTAAACTCCTGACGTCAGGTGATCCACCCGCCTCAGTCTCCCAAAGTGCTGGGATAAAGTATAAAGAAATAATTCAATTTTCCTAAATGGATAAACAACAACGACAACAACAAAACTCAAAACAAAACAAACACAAAACAAAAAATTTTGTTTTCCAAAACCCCTTCTCACCTTGGTTCTGTCTTGCCCCTCAAGCCAAATAACATCACTACAGAATTATTTTCAAATAAGCTTTTCTTCACACACTAAAATAGAGACCTGTCGTTTGTCCTTGATTTATGATTAATTTTGAAGGAAGAGTGCTCTAGGATAGCTTCCTTGTTAGGGTTCTAGATGGAAAAAAGTAAATAAGTACACTGAAAATTGCCCTGAGGATATCCTTGTCTGGTTTCAGACAAAAGCACGTATTCTATGTATTTTCTTAAAAGTAATTTACTTAAACAAATTATATAAATGTACTGAATTACATGTTTACATAGTAAATTAAATAATAATACTCAAATTCCCAGATAAGATGTTAATTGCAGCCTCTAAAATATAATTTAAAATAATTATTTTCTCTAACAATTATTATCAAATTATATGGTGCATGCTCTATCTCATATAACAGGAAAAGTAAAACTTAAATATTGCTAAACAACAACCAAAAAGTATCATATCCAAATAACCCTTATAACTTTGTAACACAGGAGCTGTTTCAGTCTGTTAGAAGATGGTAGTACCTTAAACTGACATAAACTCAAATAATGTTATGCATTTTGTTTTTGTTTTTATTTTGTAATCATCTATAAGAAAACTCTTAACTTTTTTTTACAGCCCATTAAAAATGTGTTACATTTATAGTCGTTAAATGGTTAAAGAACAATAATAATACAAAATAAGTAAGCTATAAGGAGCTGAATTTTGGTTTAAAACACCAAATTGAAATAAGAAGGTATTTGTAAAAACCAGTGGTGTCTCGTCTTTTGGCTTCCCTGGGCCACGTTAGAAGGAGTATTGTTTTGGGCCACACATAAAATACACTAACACTAGCAATAGCCGATGAGCTAAAAAAAAAAAAAAAAAAAAAAAAAAAAAGAGTCACAAAAGAATCTCATAATGTTTTAAGAAAGTTTACGGATTTGTGTTGTGTCACATTCAAAGCTGTCCTGGGTCACATGCAGCCCATGGGCTATGAGTTGGACAAGTTTGGTATAAACCTAGATACTGGGGACTAATGTTTGTAGTGGGTTCTGAAATAACATACCTTAAGCAACTTTGTGGCTGAAGTCCATTAGTATTTTTTCTTTTTTCTTTTTTTTTTTTTTTATGAGATGAAGTCTCACTCTGTTGCCGAGGCTGGAGTGCAGTGGCACAGTCTCGGCTCACCACAACCTCCACCTCCCAGGTTCAAGAGATCCTCCTGCCTCAGCCTCCTGAGTAGGTGGGATTACAGGTGTGCGCCACCACACCCAGCTAATTTTGTATTTTTAGTAGAGACGGGGTTTCTCCATGTTGGTCAGGCTGGTCTCAAACTCCCGACCTCAGGAGATCCGCCCACCTCGGCCTCCCAAAGTGCTGGAATTACAGGCGTGAGCCATCGTGCCCAGCCTAGTATTTTTTTAGGCATAATAGTCTTGCTTTCCCCTGACCTTAAAAGAGATAGCTTAATGTTCCGATGTGGCAATATTTCCTCAATTAAATGCTTAATTTAATGAAGTCTCCTTAAAAATTAGTTAATTTATAAGGAGTTAATTTATCATCTAGAGTTACAACTCATATCTAAGAGAGCTAATATTATTTTTTTCAAAACTCACTGTTTTATCAATGGATTTCACTCTACACAGTAAGTAATGCTATATTTTGTCGACTGTGAAAAAATTTTCCTCTGTCTATACTGCACATATCTTTAGCTTTGTAAACACATGCTTCATTCCAACATCTGTATGGCCAGCATTGCAGAAGCAAATTGACTGGAAATGTGTAATCACCTTTTGTCCTGCATAAAATCTGTGCGCTCATTAGGTGTGGGAGATAACTGTGCAACCACACCACATATGGGAAGAAAGAAGCATACACACACTTTCCACATTCTGACAGTGTCCTGATGAACTGGGAACGGGCCCTAGGAAAAGAGTGAAGACAGAAAAATAGTTCCCCATGGAAGAAGTTAAGAATTTCTCTAATAACAGAATGAGTGAGCAAATCAAGAGAACCACAGCTCTGCTACTGTTTAAGAGACTGTAGATAACAATGTAAACACTTCAGGGAAAGAACCATTTATTTCCTCTATTATCTTACTGGGTAATAGTTGTAGTTTGGTGCAGTTAGCAGGAGTCCTTTCAAACAGCTTATTTTTTTTCTTGCATTCTACGTCTCTTAATCAATGAAAGAAATTTACTATATTTCTCTCAGTGAATAAACTGAATTTTAAAAACGTTAAATACTTCCTGATAAGAACCTTAGAAAGTTACAATTCAGGAAAAATGGACTATCTTCTTTCCTGGGAATATTTATTTTGAGAAGACACCGACAAGCGAATATGCATGTTACTTATTTGAAGGAAGAAAAGGAGCTTTTCTCTCTGAGTTACGGATCCCAGGTTTAGCTTTGAATTTTATCAAAACTCATAAGCCATAGTGTGCCTAAAACAGACATCATGTTGGTTAATGAATAGTTCCTGAATCTGGGGATCAGTGGACATTAATTAGAGTCCCATTCAACTGCTAACAAGTTAAAAGGCTTTAGATACATTATTTAATCTGTTTAAGCATCATTTTAATAACATGAAGAAAACAAATCTCAGAGATGAAGTGTGAGTAATATAAAAAGAGAAAGCTATTTTGAAAAGTTAAAATGCCTATATCTGTAATCTATGTGCAGACTATTACAGGTTTCTAAACCTGTAATACTTTAGAAATCTAAGACAGTAATCCATAAATGTGTTTATGTTCTTCAACTTTATGTAGACAAAGCTTTTCCTCATCTGGGTGAATTTCACTACCATGTAATGCAAGACACGTAAAATTCATGCCATAAATACATGGTATATTGCACAGGAAAATTTACTTTCATTTTTAACTGAAAAATATTAACATAAAATCCATATACTTATTAGACAGATTCGTAAACCCCAGGATTTCAATATATCTGTTGGCCTAATAATCACAATAAGAAAAAAAGTTGTAATCTATTTATCCCACTGGCCCTATCTAGCCCACCCAATGATTATAGCAGATGTGAATTAAATATAGATATATTTGCAATTAGAGTGAAAGACGACACTGACCATATATGAACACAGACCCGCCAGCTTCGTAAACGTTAATGCCATAATAGTCTCAATTCTGCAGTCACCATTGCTGGGATAACATTCGTTTGCTGTCAGCACTCCTATGTTAAAACAAATTAGCCAGATGATTAATGAATATCAAAATCAGCATGTGGATTCTCTGTGCTGAAGTCTTACTCAGTGTGAAATCCACTGGTTTCCAACTTAGTGAGATAATTTCTGGATCAAAATAATTCCCCTATGAACCTCGGAAGCATGTGGAAAAATGCTTCCAACCAACCACGGAATTGCATGGGATTGCGGGGCAGAGTAAGCCCCTTTCTTCGTAACAGAGATGAGGGTTTTGTTGTTGTTCCCGTGACGTTTTTCGGACAAAACAGAAAGGGGTTAGTTCATCAAAAAATAAGCAGATTCAATACAGAGTTAAAAAAAAAATTCTGAAGAGCAAAAAACTGTAATCTTATAGAATGTTTTTCAAACAAATCATATTATGGGCTTTATTAAGAGCTAAAGGCGAAAGTTCATGGATGCCCCATTACCCCACTTGCACTTGCCAAAAGCCAAAGCCTTTTCTTTTTTTTTTTGACTTGGAGTTTTGCTCTTGTTGCCCAGGCTGGAGTGCGATGGCGTGATCTCGGCTCACGGCAACCTCCGCCTCCCGGGTTCAAGCGATTCTCCTGCCTCAGCCTCCCAAGTAGCTGGGATTACAGGTGCACACCACCACGCCCAGCTAATTTTGTATTTTTAGTAGAGACAGAATTTCTCCATGTTGGTCAGGCTGGTCTCGAACTCCTGACCTCAGGTGATCCACCCGCCTCAGCCTCCCAAAGTGCTAGGATTACAGGCGTGAGCCACCGTGCCTGGCCAAAGCCAAGCCTTTTCAATGTTCTTCTTTGAAACCAATTAGCATCCAGAGATATAATATAAAAAGGCAAATAAAATTAGCTTTGAGATAAGATTCATAAGCCTATATTATTCACATTTATTAAATAGACATACACACATATATATGTATATGTATGTGTGCATATACAAAATTTTATACATATCAAACAATAGTATATACATAATTATAAAATTATATATTAAAATAAAATTATATATAACTATATATAATTTTGTTTCATATGTATAAACTTTGTATATGTACACATACATATACATATATAACCATATATAACTTGTTATATATTATTACATAAACATCTACATAAATATTGTTTTATATATGTATATAAAACATTGTTATATATATATAAAACATTGCTTTATATATGTACAGACACACACAAAATTGGTTAAGGTTATCCATCAGATATCTCTACTATGATTACTGTATTTCCTTTTACAACAAATAAGTATATTGTGGAAAAATAATTTGAGACTATGCATATATCCTGTTTCTCATTATAATTTTCCTATTATTTTTAACATCTATTAATGATTCTTGCTTGTAACAGTTGTTATGTGTGTGCACGCTAAATACTGATTTTATATTTCCAACGTTCCTTCTATGTTTATTAATTGGAGTTCTAGGGTAATTAAGAGCTTTTCTTTTTCCCTTGGTTATTTATATGTTCCATTATTTATATTAGTTTGAACTTACCCACATTTATTGCATGGGTTATAATCCATCACTATTTATTTTGTTGTTCATAATGCCCCACATTCTACCATTGGGAGCTCCCTCCAGTTGGCTCCTGTGTCATTAGACATGCCTCTAAAATTCTTTGAAAACCTCTGTATTTTTCAGCCCAAGAAGACATTCCAGGTTCATCTTATACTTTCCCTATCCCACTCCCTGCTCCAAGGAGTCTTGGTCCATTTTACTTGAAAAAGATATTTAAAAACCAAGACTTGGGCTTTAGATATTTAAAAACCAAGACTTGGGTCTTTGACATACTCCTTGGTCCTGGGATATGATTGTTTTGAGGCCCTCTTAGTTGGTGGAGCTAGGAAATATGTGTATGTACATGCATATTTGTCTGTCTAGATTTTTAAAATAAATTCACACACCTCTGATTTCAGTCCACCACAAGGCTTATTCTTGCCTTCCCAACTTTCCTTACTTATAACCTATTTCTCCAACAGTATGAAACCTGGCTCCCATGTTCCACAACAAATTAACCTATTTTTCTGAATCCTATAATACATATAAAGTAACTTTTGTGTTACTAACTTGTTTACTAACTACAGTACAATATTTGCACAAACTTCTTTTGTCTTCAGCCTTACAGTACAGGTACTGGTTACTGAAGTTTGTTCTCTTCTTCCCACCACATTCATTGTGGTTATGTCATTTATTAGTAATAGTTATAGGTTCATTTGTTACTGTTTGTATTCCATTTGGGATTCTTCCAAAAAATATGGTTGGTTTTATTTGTTAATTCATTGGGTGTGCATATACAAAAAGGCATACTCAGAGAACTGTCACTTTGTCATCTCTAACGCCCTCTCCCTAGACCCCAATCTTTCCATGCTGTTTAAACCCACCCTCTTTAGGTGATCAGATAAGAATGTTAAAATAGTGATTAAAGCACTCAAGAAATGAAATGACAAAATGGTGAATATCAGCACAGACTGGAAGTTCTAGCCAGAGGAGAATAAGTCATTATTTGAAAAAGATACTTGCACACACATGTTTATAGCAGCGCAATTCACAAATGCAAAATCGTAGAACCAACCCAAATGCCCATCAATCAACGAGTAGATAAAGAAAATGTGATGTATAAATATATATACATATATATATGATGGAACATATATACACACACATATATATGATGGAATACTACTCAGCCATAAAGAGGAATGAATTAACAGCATTTGCAATGACCTGGATGAGATTAGAGACTATTATTCTAAGTGAAGTAACTCAAGAATGGAAAACCAAAGAATGGAGAACATCAGTGTATGTTCTCACTGATATGTGGGAGCTAAGCTATCAGGATGCAAAGGCATAAGAATGATACAATAGACTTTGGGGACTTGGGGGGAAGAGTGAGAGGGGGTGAGGGATAAAAGACAACAAATATGGTGCGGTATATACTGCTCGGGTGAAGGATGCACCAGGATCTCACAAATCTCCGCTAAAGAACGTACTCATGTAACCAAATACCACCTGTACCCCAATAACTTAAGGAAAAATAAAATTTTTTAAAAAAGAATTAAATGGGATTATAGAACCAAAAGATAGAAAAACTGAAATTAAGAATTCAAAGGCTGAAGGGATTTCACTACCGATTAGGCTGTTGAAACTGTGAAACATCATTGTTTCTGCCCAAACAATGATGTTAAACTAAAAATTCCTCTTCTTTAATGACATTGAAGGTCTGTAGACACAATGAGGTCTAAATGATTGATGTTGCAGATCAGGGCAAGCTCTTTCCGGCTGAGGAATGCCCAGCAGTCATTTTCACGTGAGGGGAAGGGGTAGTTGTCCTATCTGATGGCATGTGTGTGCCCTGCAAAAGCCCCTTGAAGTAAGACCTGTTGGTGCAGCGGTTGGGAATGCCATCAGATGACAGATTTTGGCTATTAATCCCTTCAGGGTTTGCTTCAGCTGCAGAAAGCCAACTCGCTCAAAAGCATGCTTTTCTAGGGGTGGTCCATATCCAATGACTGAGACATTTTGGCCCAACCCAGGAAAATTGTGACTGGCCATTTTATTCTCGAACTCTTTGTGGGGTTGGTTGAGGCTATTGGGTCTACATTGTAGGTTGACTTCCCTTTCTGCCTAAATCTGCTTTTTCCTTCTCCCTTCCACGGATGTTGGTTTCTAATAAACATTCTATCCATTAGACTGTCTCAGAGATTGCTGCCTGGGGAACTTCACCTGTGGCAGTTAATGCCTGGAGTGTCCAAGAAAGCGAATATTCAAGTCGGGTTTTGGAGCTCAATTGCCTTCTTCCCAGGTGGCAGTGAGGACCCTATCCTTGGTGATAAGTGGCACGTAGCTTGTGGCACAAGGTGACAGTCCAGTTGTGAAAACTTTCACTAGTGATGAATGCTGATGGTACACACAGAAGGGAAAGTTCTAGCTGGTGAAATGCATCAGCCAGCCTTTGAAAGGACCAGAGAAATAGTAACTAAAAAGACAATGGTTGGGAGGCCAAGGTGGGCAGATCACCTGAAGTCAGGAGTTCGAGACCAGCCTGGCCAACATGGTGAAACCGCATATCTACTAAAAATACAAAAAAAAAAAAAAATAGCCAGGAGTAGTGGTGGTCACCTGTTATCCCAGCTACTTGGGAGGCTGAGGCAGGAGAATCGCTTAGACCTTGGAGATGGAGGTTGCCATGAGCTGAGATTGCACCACTGCACTCCAGCCTGGGCGACAAGAGCGAAACTCTTTCTCAAAAAAAAAAAAGACAGAGGGATTAGATGTCTGTTGCTAAACTCATTTGACACTTAGAAAAAGATAAGGAAAGACTAAAAGCAGTTAACTGGCAATTGAAAGACCAGTGTAAACATCAGGGTATTTTTTTGTAGGAAGCAAGGAGGCTCTGCAAAGTAGTCTGCAGTGAAAGTGCAGAGAAAGCTGAAGATGGGGCCCAGGACTTAATCATCAGAGCAGCAGAGCACCTAAAGTTAAACTTCCAGCCATGCAGGCTTGAAATGCCAAGGTCAGAAGAATGAGACACTGACATATGGGATGAGATATCTACATTGAAAACCCTGAACCCTGAAAACCTTAAATATGTACACTTCCCAGAAAGTTCTGGGCCTTCAGAAGGGGCCCATCCTTCCCCATGAAGAACCCCTTCCCCATAAAGATCCCCTTCCCTTGTAGACAATCCAAAGGCCTCTCCCTTGTGAGGCAGGGATGTGGCTGAGGATCCGACCCCTCCCTCCTCCCTTGCCATTAGGTGTATCACTAGGGAGAGGTCACAGGATGTCTTAGGCTGAAAATACAGACAATACAGGGCCTGAAAATGGAGGAAAAGGCCTATACCACAAAGGATTGCCATTCCCAGAGAGTGCGTTCTGGCAGGAGCCAGGGGCGCATGTGTGGGGCTGGATTCTGAGTGTGCTTGACAAGGGGAGCTCTGAGCGTAAGACTGGATAAGGGAGAGTTTATAATTTATTTGCACTCTTCCAAGATACAGAATTTACTACCCTGCAAGGACTCCTAGAAGCATGGACAAAATGATGTCCTGCACCTCCTCGCTTCCCTAGGCTAACTGAGGGAAAATGCCAGAACTACTGTAGCAGACAGTGGAGGAAGGGCTAAAGAACTCAGGGTACAGGGCTTGCCGGAGTGGATATATTATGTAAGGATAAGAAACTCAACAGATGATCACGTTGGATATAAGGCATGGAAGTTCTGCTATTTACTGAGGTCATCAGGAATGCACTGCATCACTAAGAAACTCAGCAGTGTCCCCTCTCTGCAGACCATGGCTGGTGGGAAGCCATTATAGAAAGAGGCATGGCTAGCATTGCGGATGATAAGGCTCTAGAAAGACAGATGGCAGGTCAGAAGCCTGGTGCATGGTACCATAATGAGAGGTAAGGTTGGAGGAGCTGTTCCCGACTGTGTATGAAGAAGCAGATTTTAGCAGCTCAAGAGTAGATTCCAGTGAACCTGGAGATGTAACGTCCAGATTCCCTTTCAAAGAAGCACTGCTGCTCCTGTTGTTGGGAGCACTGTCAACCCTCTAGAAGTTGCTTCAGCTACAGTCACCTTGCCCTTCCCAAAGCAGCCACATTTTATGACTGACTGAGGCAGGAATATAAAGGTCTGGGCATTTTTGCACGATGTAGGAAAAATCTAACAGGCATTTCAGTCACATAGCTCTCTGTGTGGCTTGCTGAGGCAGTTGGGCCTGTATTGCAGCTCGACTTCTCCTTCTGTCCAGTCCTGCATTCCATCCTCCTGTACTAGATTGAATGGTCCCTATCCCCCAATCCCCCCAAAAATGTAAACTCACTTCCTAATCCCTAGAACCTGTGAATGTCAGCTTGTTTGGAAAAATGGGTCTTTACAAATGTGACAAAGTTAAGAATTTGAGGTGAAATGATCCTGGATTATCTGGGTGGGCCCTAAATCCAATGATATGTTCTTATGAAAGACACACATGGGAGAGACACACAGGGAAAAGAGCAGGCCATGTGAAGGCAGAGATTGAAGTAGCAGCCACAGGCCAAGGAATGGTGGTAGCCAGCAGAACCTGAAAGTGGCAAGGCACAGAGTGTTCCCCGGAGCCTTTGGAGGGAGAGCAGATCTTCCCACACCTTGATTTCTGACTTCTGGCCTCCAGATCCATAAGACAATAAATGTCTGGGGTTTTTTGTTGTTGCTGTTGTTTCTTTGTTTGTTTGGAGGCAGAGTTTCACTTTTGTTGCCCAGGCTGGAGTGCAATGGCACGATCTTGGCTCACTGCAACCTCCACCTCCCAGGTTCAAGCAATTCTCCTGCCTTAGCCTCTGAGTAGCTGGGATTATAGGCATGCTCCACCACACCTGGCTCATTTTGTATTTTTAGTAGAAACGGGGTTTCTCCATGTTGGTCAGGCTGGTCTCAAACTCCCGACCTCAGGTGATCTGCCCGCCTCGGCCTCCCAAAGTGCTGAGATTACAGGCGTGAGCCACCGCATCTGGCTCAAATGTCTGTTGTCTTAAGCCACCTGGTTTGCGGTACTTTGCTGCGGCAGTCCCAGGACACTAACACACCTCCCTCCACAGGTACGAGCCCAAGGGCACGTCCAATGAACATACTGCACATTGGGCTCCATCTCAGAGCCTGCTTCCCAAGAATTCGACCTGTGGCATGGGTAGGGCAATGGCCAGCCACAGTCACAGAGATTTTTCCATAATGAGAAGACTCTTGTTGAAGGTTTACCCTAGGCTGGAATGACAAGAGAGAATCTGGAAGGTACCAGGGTAGGTAGAACAGTAGCCCCTCAGGGATATTCAGGTTCAAAACCATGAAACTTCTGAATATGTTAGGTTCCATGGCAAAGGGGAATTTAGGTTGTTGATGGAATTAAGGCAACTCATCAGCTGACCTTAAAATGCAGAGATTATTCTAGTTAATTCAATGTAATAACACAGGTCCTTAAAGGTTGAAGAGAGAATTAGACAACACTAGAGAGATGGCAGCGTGAGGACACACATTGACATTGTCGGCTCTGAGGAATAAGGTAGGGGCCATCAGCTAAGGAATGCAGCACTAGAAGTTGGAAAAAGCAAGGAAATGGATTTTCCCTCAGAGCCTCCAGAAACAAGTGCACCCTGCTGACATCTTGATCCTAGTCCAGTGAAATCTCCATCAGGCTTTTGATCTACCAAACTCCAAGATAATGAATCTGCGTTGTATTAAGCCATGAAGTTTATAGTAACTTGTTATAGCAGCCAGAGGAACTGGCTCTGTAAAGTTAGCCCCAAATGTAAAGCTAGACCCTCCAGATTCAACAATTCTTTCCTACTTTTTCTGAGTTAGTGGTGATTAGAACTATCTCTTAGTCCCACTGTGCCTGTGTCATGGACTGGAGAGGTCAGACTTCACCTCCAAAACACTTGAAACTAAAAGATAACTCAAGTTCATTAAATCAGAACCCCAAATACCACACAGATGACATCCTGAGGAGATCAAAGAGCCTGGAGAAGCTGGAAAGGAGAAATATATCTTACAGTCTTTAGGAGCTTGGTGAAACATTTGTAGAGCCCTGATGGAGGAATGGGTCTGACCTCACTCTCAAGAGAACCAGTTCTGAGCTGGAACTAACCAAAGCTGCTACTGATCCACTACCCAGCTTAACTCCTAGTGAGATAGAAGAGATTACCCCTTCACTTTAGCTGTTTGACACAAAAAGGTATACCATTTTGGGGACAATTGTTATTTGATTCAGTCTCTTCTCTTTTGTCCATAATATATATCATAAAATATAAAAAGTATAAGACATGTGAAGAAGCAGGAAAATGTCATCTATAATTTAGTTTTGAAAAGCATCCATAGAAGCAGACCTACAGATGCACATGACATAGATTTTGAAATTAGAGACATGACCTTTAATAATCTCTTTTCTTAGAGAGATATTTAGGAAATAATCTCTTATTTATTTGAAGCTTGTAATTCCCTCAGTTTTTTTTCACCTATCAGATTGACAAAAAATCCAAAATCTTGACAAGATTGGCAAGATTGTAAGGCAACAGGCACTTTCATACATTGCTGGTTGAAATATAAAATGCTATTATCCCATGGAGGACAATTTGGCAATACTGAGCTAAACTACTAATGCATGTATTTTTTTTTTTTTACCTGTGGATTTCATGTTTAAGAATATACCCTGAAGACACATGTTTAACAATGTGGAAAAGCATATGCAAAAGTTATTCATTGCGGTATTGTCATTGTAAAATATTGTAAACTACCTAAAGTGTAGAATGAAAAAGACTGCTTTCACTGGCCAAGTCTGAGATAATTTAAGCATTAAGGTAGATAAGAAAAATAATAGTTGGTAGAATAAACTATGGTACATGCATACTATGGGGTACTATTAACTGATTTAAAGAATGAGAAACATCTCTATGAACTGAAAGAGAGATGTTTCCAGAATTTATTTTAAAGTGAAAAATGAAAAGGGACATATGCAGTATGCTACCTTTTGTGACAGAAAGAACAGAAAAAAAGAAAATGTACACATATCTGTATAATTTCGTAAAAAAAAACAAGACTGATAATATACAAATGAATGAAACTTGTTACTAATTAGGGAAGGAGATGAAAGGGTAGGGCTGCAGGGGAGGGGAGGAAATGATGTTTCTTTGAGTATACCTTTCTATACAATTTTGACTTTTAATTGTATGCTCATCCTTTACATATCCAATAAAATGAAATTACAAGGGTGGGGGAAAACCCCAAACTAAATGCAAACAGTAACAAGTGAACTTCATGGCTTTCAATGAGTAAAGTAACTTCCCTAAGGAAATTAAAAATTCTTTTTATTGTGGTAAAATATACATAACATAAAGCATATCATTGTAACCATTTTAAATCTCTATCTATTGAAAGATTTTTCTTTTTTAGGAGACGGGGTCAAGGTGGCAGGCAAGATGGTCAAATAGAAGTAGCTTCAGTCTGCAGCTCCCAGTGAGATCAACACAGAAGGCAGGTGGTTTCTGCATTTCTAACTGAGGTACCCGGCTCATCTCACTGGGACTGGTTAGACAGTGGGTGCAGCCCATGGAGGGTGAGCTGAAGCAGGGTGGGGTGTCGCCTCGCCCGGGAAGTGCAAGGGGTCAGGGAACTCCCTCCCCTAGCCAAGGGAAGCCACGAGAGACTGTGCAGTGAGGAATGGTGCATTCTGGCCCAGATACTATACTTTTCCCATGGTCTTTGCAACCCACAGACCAGGAGATTCCCTTGGGTGCCTACACCACCAGGGCCCTGGGTTTCAAGCACAAAACTGGGCAGCCATTTGGGCAGACACTGAGCTAGCTGCAGGAGTTTTTTTTCATACCCCAGTGGCGCCTGGAATGCCAGGGAGACAGAACCATTCACTCCCCTGGAAAGGGGGCTGAAACCAGGGAGCCAAGTGGTCTAGCTCAGCGGACCTCACCCCCACAGAGGCCAGCAAGCTAAGATCCACTGGCTTGAAATTCTTGCTGCCAGCACAGCAGTCTGAAGTCGACCTGGGACACTCGAGCTTGGTGGCAGGAGGGGCGTCCACTACTACTGAGGCTTGAGTAGGCAGTTTTCCTCTCACAGTGTAAACAAAGCCACTAGGAAGTTTGGACTGGGCGGAACCCACCACAGCACCACAAACCTGCTGTAGCTAGACTGCCTCTCTAGATTCCTCCTCTCTGGGCAGGGGATCTCTGAAAGAAAGGCAGCAACCCCAGTCAGGGGCTTATAGATAAAATTATCACCTCCCTGGGAGAGAGCACCTGGGGGAAGGGGCAGCTGTGGGGGCAGCTTTAGCAGACTTAAACATTCCTGCCTGCCAGCTCTGAAGAGAGCAGTGGATCTCCCAACACAGCGCTTGAGCTCTGTTAAGGGACAGACTGCCTCCTCAAGTGGGGCCCTGACCCCCATGCCTCCTGACTGGGAGACACCCCCCAGCAGGGGCCGAAAGACACCTCATACAGGAGAGTTCTGGCTGGCATCTGGCAGGTGCCCCTCTGGGACAAAGCTTCCAGAGGAAGGAACAGGCAGTAATCTTTGCTGTTCTGCAGCCTCTGCTGGTGATACCCAAGCAAACAGGGTCTGGAGTGGACCTCCAGCAAACTCCAGCACACCTGCAGCAGAGGGGCCTGACTGTTAGAAGGAAAACGAACAAACAGAAAGGAATAGCATCAACATCAACAAAAAGGACATCCACACAAAAACCCCATCTGAAGGTCACCAGCATCAAAGACAAAGGTAGATAAATCCCACGAATATGAGTAGTCCAGGAATTCTAAACAAGCCTGGGCAACATGGCAAAATCCCGTCTCTACAAAAAAATACAAAAATTAGCCAGGCATGGTGGTGTGCACCTGTAGTCCCAGCTACTTGAGAGGCTGAGGCAGAAGGATTGCTTGAGCCTGGGAGGTCGAGGTTGTAGTGAGTTGAGATTGTGCCACTGCACTCCAGCCTAGGTGACAGAGCAAGATCCTATCTCAAAAAAAAAAAAAAAGTTATACAAACATACAAATATTAAACTCATTCACACCTACTAACAATATATGCCACACTGAATGTGTGCTTTAGCTGTATCAATGTTACAATATTATGTAACATTACTACACCTCGTTAAATATCTCATATTGCTTGTTCTGACACATTATTTTACACCCAGTATTTTCACTCAATTTAGCCTAAAAAGTGAAGGTAAAAGATAATTTCATTTCTTTTATGCTTGTGTTTATCTGCTATAAAAACCTGCTAAATTAATAAGTAAGAAGAAAACATAGTGTATCTTTTTTTAAATTCCTGGATTAGCTTTCCATCTATTTTATTTTTAGGCTGGAGTGCAGTGGCACCATCTTGATTCACTGCAACCTCCGCCTCCCAGGTTCAAGCAATTCTCCTTCCTCAGCCTCCCGAATAGCTGGGATTACAGGTGCTCACCACCATGCCCAGCTAATTTTTGTGTTTTTAGTAGAGACGGGGTTTCACTATGTTATTTGTTTTTTTTAAAAAAAGTCAATGCATACTCATTGTAGGAGATAAAACCATCTCATTGCAACATTGCCTTCTTAAATATTGCTCCTGGTAACTATACCCTGGTGCCTATTAGGTGGCCATGATGTTTGGGCTAAAATCTCAATGGTGTCACGAGTGAAATGAAATAAGAAAGACATGTGTATTTTCTCTGCTAATGAAATACCCTAAATACTTAGGCCCTTTTCATCAAAATATCTCCATTAATAGACAGAAAATATGCATATGTCCGGCTGTTCCTTTACACTTTCTTCTTTATTGCATTTTACTTTTTAAACATCTATCTTTTACTACTTCCTAGATCACATACCTGAATGGAATCAGAGTAAAATTCAACCACAAGTCACTGGCATCTGTAATCCAAATATACCTCTAGAGGTTTCTTGTTTGTTTTTCTATCTGTACATACGTGGTCTAGAGACTTGTGGTATTTAAAAGCATGTATGGGTAAAATACCCAGCTCAATCATTTTTGCAAAAACATCTCTGTATTCCAGAAAATACATTCAGCTCTATCCATGAGGCAATCTATTTGCATAAATGTTTTGCTTCATCCATAAACACATATTGCAAATAAACAAAAACATATTTAAAAAACATAAAATTCATCAGCAATGGTGAACATCCTAGATCGGGCAAGTTGTTAAGAATCAGTTTTTATTATTAACTGAATTATGTGAATTCTGAGTCCTCTCTCACTGTCAGAACCCTCTAGAGTATTTAAAAAAATAGAAATATATTTTTTAATGAGGACAACCAGCATTTCTGCAATCATAGCACAGTGTAATAGTTTGAATGATAATGCCAGCATATCTGTATCCTAGTGAGAATATAAGATGTAAGCCACTTATTTAGATACCTAGTGTAATATGATCAACTCCAATATATCTTTTTTGCTAGGGGGAAATCAAGTTCCTGTTAATCTTCTTTCAAGGCATAAAGAATGAAGAGAAAAACAGTCTTCCTAAGACGTTAAAATTTTAAATCGTATTTAGTAGGTTCTACTGTATTTGAAATGCCATATTCTCCCTTCCCACACTTCACTTGAAGTTAGGAAATAGATTTACAATTTTCAGTGTTTATTAAACTAATGCTGGTCAAAGTTAAACATATTCTTTGTAAAATATAAGTCCCTGGTTCCTTCTGAGTGATTACATAAAGAACTCTTTGGTCCTTTTAAGACATTAGCTTCCATTGTAGCAAAGGTTTTACTTCTCAAGGCCACTAAAGTGTGGATTGACTGTTCAGTGGATCTTAAGCCAAATTAGTTTTAATTTCTATTTTATCTTAAAGTGTACACATCCAGAATGTTGTATAGGAGCATCCCTTATAACACTGCCACCACGCACATAAACACACATTCAACCCCACACACACCAAACCTGCTATACCTAAGAGGTAGCCACAATCCAATGTTTTTCCTCCCACATTCAGTGTTCAGCTAGGTCTCTGAGACTTTCCTAATTTCCACTACACACCTTCCTCACTTCAGCTTGTTTCTGATTTGGAGACACCACAAAATCTTGGGAGAACCGTGTTTGTGTACAGGATTTAGTACTATTTTGCTAGCATTCTTTTCCCATCGACCAAGACACGTTCATTCTGACAAACGCCACCATCCCAACTTAAAGTACATAAGATGTTGTTACTGTTGAAATTTGTTTCCTTAAAATAATATTTTACTATAATTTAGGCAAACAATAAATATGCCTCCTCCCAGGAGTAACACACCAAAGTTATGCACAGAAGAAAACTGATGATATTCTCCTCGGACTCTCTGTCTGTTTCACACCCTCTCTTCCTATAGTCTGTGCTACTTGTGCCTTAATTTACACATTTGTCCTTAGGAACTGGTGCTTGAGAGTGCCTTTTAATATTTTTTATCTTAATTAATCACATTTTTAAATCAAGAAAACCTAAACTTGCCAAAGAAAAAGCAGAATTTAAAAGGTTATGAGGTCTGCAAAGGTCTTAACTAACTTCAGAGTTTAGGAGAGATTAGATTTTTTTTTTTAAATTTGATTATTATACTTTAAGTTTTAGGGTACATGTGCACAACGTGCAGGTTTGTTATATATGTATACATGTGCCATGTTGGTGTGCTGCACCCATTAACTCGTCATTTAGCATTAGGTATATCTCCTAATGCTATCCCTCTCCCCTCCCCCACCCCACAACAGTCCCTGGTGTGTGATGTTCCCCTTCCTGTGTCCATGTGTTCTCATTGTTCAATTCCCACCTATGAGTGAGAACATGTGGTGGTTGGTTTTTTGTCCTTGCGATAGTTTGCTGAGAATGATGGTTTCCAGTTTCATCCATGTCCCTACAAAGGACATGAACTCATCATTTTTTATGGCTGCATGGTATTCCATGGTGTGTATGTGCCACATTTTCTTTACAGAATATTGCCGAATTCCAATACAGAAAGTGTTTTTGTTGAACTGTCTGATCACATAAAAAGGAATGTGCAGGGATTTCAACATTAGCTATAAGTTAAATGAGCAATTAGACAAAACTCTTGAGAATACTGTTTATCTCTGTTTCCTGACTTTGTTACTTCGAGCACAGTACTTTATCTCTGTGGTTAGGATTTGTCTCTTACCAAAATATAGAGCAGGACTAGATAAACTACAAAGACTTTTCTAACACTAAGACTATAATACTATAATTTACTTTCAGCATAGGCATATATACGACTATACATGCTGCTTACCCAAATGACTAATGACATAGTAAATGCTGATATAATCTGGCTTATTGCCTGGATTTGGAAATATGATTGGTCTATCACAATATATTAGGTATCTAGAGAATTTATGTGGGCATACTCATATAGCTTAGTTTTATTTTAAAGCAGATGTCAGTCAATTCTTAATGCTATTGGGAGTAAATGTCCCATCCTAAAGAAGAAGCTGAATTAAATGACAAAGCAGCTCTCTTGATTAGTACGGTTCCCACATGACACCTAAGAAACCTCCTCCACTCTATTTATTTGGACTGGATTAGTCTCTACTAAAGTCAGAAATGCCTGAAACTGTGTGCTTGCTCTTGAATGATCAGTTTTTTTGAGTAAAAACTATTTCCCGTGCATTATATTTCACTCAGTGACTTACACGCATTGAGTGTGTTTTGAATCAGAAACTTTCTCAGAATAACTACCATGTTTTTAAATTTCATTAAATGAGTATCATTATTTTAATGTTGAGATAGAAACCTGAGTTTTAGAAATATTAGGAACCTACGTTAAGGCCATGCAGCCGTAGAATGGTTGAGCCGGAATTTGACACTTAATCCTGGGTTTCCTCTATCTCACTACACTACCTTTAGACACACAGAGGCTGACAGTCTTCTTTGCTCACCAGGTAGAGACTAACAGTCATGTTCTTCCATTGAACTTACCAGACTAACTCCACTTGAGGGACACACACACACACATGCACACACACACACGCAACAAGCAAATTTGTTTATCTTTCAACCCATCTGGAAACACCATGTTATAAGTAAAAGAGAGTTATCAAAAGTTACTAAAGATATGTCTTGCAATAAATCCCTTTAAAATCAAATGTGTTTTTATTGAATTCTGTGTTGCGCACATTGAACAACATCAGAGCCATTCTTCAATGCAGTTAGCTTTTTTGGTGTTGCAAAAGTATGTTTTAAAGAAGAACCATTTGGAAACTTTTATTAAAGCAAAGCAAGCAAGACTGGAAATTGAGGGGAAGCAGGTTGCAATGTTGAGGTAGAAAGGTATCCCATGTAAGCTCATTTATTTTTTATTTGTTTTAATATTTGTTTATCACAAAATCTGGAATAATGGGGCTTTGAGGGCCTATGCTAAGGAAATAGAAGGAAATTAGAGTGCATTGTGTCAGGGGCACACATTGCCACCCTCACCAGGAAAGGAAAAGGAATCTGAGAAACCTCAGGACAATTAAACTTTGATTTCCACATCCTTACTGACAATGTGCTACTTACCTGCTATGGGAGTTACGGCTCTTGTCATATCACTGCTCCTACAGAAAGAGAATGGACCAGATGTATGCAATTTAATAAGTTTACATAGGTAACTACTTGGTTATTGATGGCTGGGTGGTGCTGTGTCATTTTGAATAATGAAAAAGCTTGCATTATAAATTAAGGTAAGAAAGAAAGTTTGGATGCATAAGGTAGTAAAAAGAGGTTGAACATTTTTTTGGCATTTATTGAGTTAATTGTGTTTTTCCCCTTAACATACCCTGAATAGTTATATAATATAAAAAGCTCTTTTTCATATCCCTCAGTGTGTGTTGGGACTCCACATATAGAATACCCCCACCCCCTGCAAAAAAAAAATTTAGTCGGTGCCAAAATCTACATTTTCATTTGGCGAACTAGTTAAATCTATTCATAATCTGGTGCCTGAATCAAATTTCAGAGCCGACTAGACTGCCTTGGCTCCTGGTTTCTGTTGCTCGACCTGTCTCCAACTGAATTTAGCTATGATGTTACATCTTTAGCTGTAGAAAATTTCTAATAAGGGTGGCCTGTTTTCCTTTGCCACTGAAGGGTTCATACACGAGATTCAGCATTTCCGAGTAGGGGCCCAGTTGGAGCCACCATGAAGCATTCTTTGGAAAGAAACTCCCTGTTTCTTTAACTTTTTCCCCTTTTTTTCCCCCTCTAAATGTTCACTTTAACGGCTCTAACACTACATAAAACTTATATACTACATAGTGAACAAATTGTATAGAGAGTGTGGTCAGGAATTATGAGAGAAAGCATAAGGATCCAAGGAATTTGTTGTGAAATTGTGCAGGATTTTTATGTTTGTAACACAGGAAGTGCAGGTGAAGACCGATCAGGAGCGAGCTGGGGTGTCCTCTTATCTAGAATGCGAGTAACTTTTTCCTCAAGACAGATTCAGATGAAGATGGAAAGAGAAGCAAAGTAGAGAAGAGGGAGAAGATTGGAACATCAGTTGCCAGAATACAATGCATTTGGAGACTTAGTTAAAATGAGAAAATAATGAATGGATTGTTGAACATTAAGAGGGTTACTGTAGATCTCAGTTTATTGCAGACAGTCCAGATATGGTATTGTTATCCTGTCTGGTTTATACATTGGAGATAGATCACATGATCATCCTACACATTGGTCCTCTAGGAAGCCCATGATAAGTAATTATGTTCATGTATTTTTTATTTGATCATAAAAATATTGGCGAGTTTTTTTTTTTCTCAAAGCAGTGGGAAGTTTTGTTATTCCAGGAAAATATCAAACAGAATGTCACATCACTATTTGTTTAAATACTTTTGTGGAATTCTGTTTACCATCATGTTAGACATAGTTATTAGAAATCAGAAGTCGGCAAGATGATAAATGTTTTGGTCTCTGTCACAGTTACTGAACTTGGCCAAAGCAGCTAGCAAAAGCAGCCACAGATAATATGTTAACAAATAGGCATAGCTATGTTGCAATAAAACTGTGTTTATGGTGGCACAGTGGCTCATGCCTGTAATGTCAGCACTTTGGGAGGCCAAGGTGGGAGCATTACTTGAGCCCAGGAGTTTGAGAACAGCCTAAGTAACATAGCATGATCTTGTCACTACAAAATTTTTTTTAAAAAAATTAGCTGAGCATGGTGGCACAAATGTGTAGTCCCATCTACTTGGAAGGCTGAAGTGGGAGGATCACTTGAGCCCAGGAGGTCGAGGCCGCAGTGAGCTATCATTGTGCCGCTGCACTTCAGCCTAGGTGATGGAGTGAGATACTCTCTCTCAAAACAAAAATTTATTTACAAAAAAGATTGGCCAGGTACGGTGGCTCAAGCCTGTAATCCCAGCACTTTGGGAGGCTGAGGCTGGTGGATCACCTGAGGTCGAGAGTTCGAGATCAGCCTGATGAACATGGAGAAACCCCATGTCTACTAAAAATACAAAATTAGCCAGGTGTGATGGTGTGCGCCTGTTATCCCAGCTACTTGGGAGGCTGAGGCAGGAGAATCGCTTGAACCCAGGAGGCGGAGGTTGCAGTGAGCCGAGATCGTACCATTGCACACCAGCCTGGGCAAGAGAAAAATTCTGTCTCAAAAAACAAACAAAAAAAATTACAGTCCATATTTGGCTCGTGGACTATCCATTGCTGACCTTTGATTTAGAAGAACATTTAAGGTCATGAGAATATGTTGAGGATATATTGATAACTGCAAAAGCAGACTGCAGTGCAATATGAACTATGTTGTTAGTATGTTTATATGAAAAAAACTAAATAACCCACAGTAGCCTAATATATTAAGAGAGATTTCCTAGGGTTGTGAAATCACTAGTGATTTAGCTGTGCCTGTGTGCACCCATATAATTTTCTCAGCTTTCTGGGTGTTTAGCACTGAGAGTTTTTTAACTCTTGTACTAGGGATAAGGGGGGCAAGGAGGGTATGGAAAAGTACCCCAGGTCATGTTGTCACTGTTGTGTACTGATTATCTCTAGAACATGTTGTTATACCTAAATACCTAAAAATAGGCACCCAGGTAGGGGATTCAGCCTCCAGCTTTAGCCATCTGGGGTCCTGATACTGTAATTTAACCGCTTCTTGTCTCAGTGTCTTCTTCAGTCTAAGAGGATAATAAAACTTTGTTCATGGAGTGCTCATGAAGACTCGGCTGCTCTATGTAAAGTTTCTAGAATAGTTTCTGACACATATTCAATGAATACAATTCTTTTTATAACCTGTACTGGATAAGAGTATCTGATATTCCTCTCACTGAAGGTTTTAGTGGTTTCCTGCATACATTTTGTAAATACTTTGATTTTCCCAATTGATAACTATTAAAGAGATACCAACCATGTATTGTTATTTGTTGATGTTATTAGTATTTCAAATTCCCATAAAGTTGGCCTGGTGATAACACTGAAAGAAAAAAAAAACAATCAACAGAAACAGAGTAATTCTCTATTGTTTATATAATGACATAAATCTTAAATAGCTAAACTTTGAAGGAAGACATCCATGGAGTACTAAAGAATACACTCTTAGTATGATTTCAGTTTTAGTACATGCCATGGCTAACTTTTTGTGTCAAAATGACTTGGGCCAAGAGGTGCCCAGATTAAACATCTGCAGGTGTGTCTATGAGGATATTTTCAGATGAGATCAGCTTCTGAATCAGTGGACCCAGTAAAATAAGATTGCTTTCTTCAATGCAAGTGGGCTTCATCCAATCCACTGGGGATCTGGACAGAGCAAAAGGCAGAGGAAGGAGGAAGACACTTTTTTTGTTGTTGTTGTTTGTTTCTTTTCTGCCTTACTGCTTGAGCTAGAACATCTCATCTCACCTTCTTCTGCCCACAGACTGGGATTCAGACCATGAGCTCCTGCCTTTGGACTTCAGTTGAATTACACCACCAGCTTTCCTAGGTTTCTGGCTTGCAGATGGCAGATCATGGAACTGCTCTGCCTCCATCATCATGGGAACCAATTCTTTGTAATAATCTCTCTCAATCTCAATCTCTCTCTCTCTCTCTCTCTCTCTCTCTCTCTCTCTCTGTCTCTCCCCTCCCCTCATTGGTTCTGTTTCTCTGAAGAACTCTGATTAATATAGCACACTTATTAAAAATGTTTTCTAAATGCTATTTTATAGCAAACCTATCACCTTCCTGAGGATTGTAGCCTATGTGAGACTTTTTCACTATATTCCCATATCTGCAATGCCTGGTATCTTACCCTATAAAAAATTGAAAAGGAGCACACTTTTTTCCCTATAACCACAAATATGTACCAGTAAACCTACTATGAAATTGCTTTCATATTTTGAGCGATGATTTTTTTTCCTTCTTACAATTTCTCTACGAATATTGTCAGAGAAAATGCATTAGCACCACAAAAAGTAGAAATAGTAACCATTTTCTGCTGTATGCAGCAAATGAGTGCGACGCAGAATACTGGGAGTGAAATAAGTGATAGAAAAGTGAAGAGTGGTTAAGAAAAGCAGATTCTCATTTGCCAAGGTTAGAATCTCTGCAGCAAGGATAACCCTTATAGAAGAGATTTTTGAACTTTTCTGTTTCAGTATTTTTTTTAAAAAGTCATTACATTTTTTCTTGCTCATTTTTTATGATAAAGATTTTTTTAGCCTTCTCATGGCATGTCTCACATTTGCTCTTTTTTGTTACAATTTTTTTCCTTATAAAATGCCACGACATTCATGTGAATCCGTTGGTCAACCTAAACCCTAAGGGCTATAGTAAAAGGTCATAAATGATTCTTCCTGCCAATAAAATTTAAGTCAATTTTCTATAAATTAGGTATCCATGCTGCCTTTTCTATTCTCAGCCACATTCCTACTTTCCATGTAATTGTCCTTTTCTTCCTCTTTAACATCCTAGTTGGAAATCTTTTGGGCATTCTTTTTTTAAAATCATCACTGTGATAATATTGGTATCTTATATTAGATGAAGAGAGCAAGGGTTTGTGTCTGTCTTGCTCATAATTGTTTCTGCTATGCCCATTGCCTAGCACATGGCACATTATAGATGCTTGATATAGTTTGGATGCAAATCTCATGTTGAAGTGTAACCTTCGATGTTGGAGGTGAGCCTGGTGGGAGGTGTTTCAGTCATGGCGATGGATGTTTTATAAATGACTTGGTGCCATACCCATGGTAACGAGTGAGTTCTTGCTCTAGTAGTTCATTTGAGAGCTGGTTGTTTAAAGGAGCCTGGCACCTCCTTCTCTCTCTTGCTCCCTCTCTCACCATGTGACATGCCTGCTCCCCCTTCACCTTCTACCATGATTGTAAACTTCCTGAGGCCTCACCAGAAGCCAAGTACATGCCAGCACCATGCTTCTTGCACAACCTGCATAACTGTGAGCCAAATAAGCCTTTCTTAATTTATAAATTACCCAGCCTCCAGTATTCCCTTATCTGCAAAACAGGCTAATACAGTGCTCAATAAATATTTATGAAATAGGCTATACTGACAACCTTTAAAAACTCATTTATTCAGGCTTAATAATCATTAGGAAATATTATTTAGGGCAGCAGTATTGTTGAGACATCCCAGAATGGCCATCAATTACTGTAAGTTTCTCAATTAATTTGACAGTAAGAATTTTTTGATGAAAAGCACACAAGCAAACCATAAAAACACATTAAAAAAGAAAAAAAGAAGCTGACTGTACTGTTTTCTAACTAAACGTGGTAGTCTCTTCCCAAGTTTTTTTTTTATTTGTTTTAATGAAAAGAATGGCTGGAATACTAGTGTAACTATAAAGATGACTGATATTGAGGGTTTACATAACATTTTCACCTGTCCATTTCTGACTGACAGAAAGAAACATCAAAAAAATAATCCACGTGTAATGAAACAGAGATACGTTATTTTTCTTAAATGTTCTTATCCAAATTTCTGGTTGTTTCACTAGGGTCCTAGGGAAATCCAACAGTGCTAGTAAAATGTGGAGCTGAGGAAAAGGAGAGAAGAATATGCATTTATAGTTATGGCTGCTTTTTAAGTAAATCTTCTGGTCCCTTTTTAGAAAACATAATGAAGGGCAGAGGGCCAGGGAATGACACTATCTTCATATCCCTCATGGTGCAGGTCCAACATCACCATTTGACAAAGCATTACTTAATTTCTTTAATTCCTTTCTTTGTTTAGCACCCTGCCCTTGCCTGTTGTTTGCTATTATTCAAATACCATTATAGCTATTCATGTAAAAGCCTGTCTCCTCTACCAGAACATCAGCTCTATGAGGGCAGGGACAGTCACTTTAATTTTCTATTCAGAGTACTTAGCAAATTACAACATAAATCTCTTTTGAATAAATTCAACTGTGTAAATCACATGCAAAATAGGATTTCCATATATTGAAGTGATCTGTGAAAGTGTCAGTTGAAACACCTACAGCTCTCCTCTTCTATGGTGAGGCAAATCCGTGCTCCTCATAGAAGTAGTTGGCACACTGTGTTTTGACATGGTACCCCATGCCCACGTGAACCTCATCTAGGTTTTAAGGTTTGTGTGTCAGCAAGTGGACCCCTATCACATCCCACACACTACCTCCTGACTTTGTATCATGTCCAATGTGGTTATAGTGATCCCAGGAGCAGCCTCACCTGGCTCTCACGTCTTGCTCTCCAGGGACCTACTTAGTTTTCTACCAAGAGGCCATCTACCTAAATGCCATCTTGGAAATGTGTGTTTACAGAGTTTGGACATAAATTCCTTGGTTGTTTGATGCAGTTCCCAAAGACTCTGGGACTTTTGAGGCCATTTTTCTCACCTGGAGATGTCAACCATTCTACCCCATGAGCAAAGTTGTCTTTGCTGTTTGTCTCATGGAGTTGATACAACACAGCCCCAATCTAGAAGACAAGAAAGGCCCATAGTCCAAACCCAATTTTTACTAATTTAAGCACATTTAACCTGGAGAGAAAGCCAAGAGGCTGGATTGGTTGGGGTCATTTATTCTGCCAAGTTTGGGTGGGTTTGCACTAGCTGAGTGTTCAGTGCCAACCCTGATCAGTATGAACTGGCACAGTAAATTAAGCTACCACACCTTTAATGAACTTAATTCCCTTATTTTGACAGAGTTCCCATTTCCAGTGATTCACTTTACATTTTAGACACTTCTCCTATAGGTGTTTGCCAAAGGCCCTTACTGGCAGCCAAACACTGAATTAGTTAGAAACTAGAACGAAAAACCATCAAAATCATCATTGCATGTTCTGTAAGCCAATTTTGAGCCTTAGCTATTCAGGGTCAGAAGCACTTAGGGTAAGTTTTGAATACTTGCCCCATGTCTTTTCTATTTTTCAAGATTCCATTGCATTTTGTAAGATTCAGGATCCGGGGCTTTGGTCAGGGACTGTGAAGAGTATCAGATCTGCACAGACTCAGCACACTAGGCATTTACCAACTGCTAAATACCGTCATCAAGAGTTTGACTCTACTGAAAGAGAAGGAAACAGAGAGGAGTTATTTGGAGAAAGCAGGTTTGCCAGAATTAAAAGGAGGTACATTTATTCTCCACCGTTTGTCTATAATTACAAAATATTTTCGTTTTTGAGGATTAATGAGAGTTGAGGAAATTATCTCAGTTTCTCATTGAGTTTACACAAGAGAGATAGTAATGAGTAATATGATTTCTGTGTATCAGCAGGGTGCTAAGTGTTTTAAAAGCAAGGCCTACATTAACCCTTACAATTTAGTTAAGGTCAAACAGCTATTAAGTGTTAGAACTGAGACTGAAGTTTATATTTATCTGGTTCTAAAACCCATGTCCTTAAATGCTACTCCAGAAATCATCACACTTTTCATGGTAAGGGCCAGTTAGTAAGTCTTTTAGGATTTGTGGGCCTGGTGTTATGTGGAAAACACATAGTTCTGCAGTTACAGCACATGGCAGCAGCCATAGTTGATTTGTGAATAAATGAATGTGGTTGTTCCAATAAAACTTTATTTGCAAGAACAGGTGTTAAGCCAGAATGGTCTCATGGATCACAGTTTGCTGACCCCTGTTCCAGTCTATATTCTAAACTTGATGTTTCTCAAAATGTTTCCTTTTCTTTCAACAATTTCTGGAGTACTAGATCATAGAATATTGCATTTCATCAGATACTCTCTTTTCTGTCCTTTCATTCATTCATCAAATATTTATTGATTACTAATTTAAAATATATATAAATCAATCCCTAAAATTTTCCCTCACTCTCTCATTTTGTGTTTTTTTTCTTAATCAATTGTTTTATCCATCCTTTCTTTCTTGAGAGTAGATCAGACTTTCTGTTATCTGCCCTATGCTGCCAAAATTTCAGATTATCAAAAACCTTTTCTCCTTCTTTCTAAAAAAAAAAAACACACTTTGAGTTTAAGACATTAGGTGACCTTCTTTTGATATAAAGCAGCCAGTCACCTTCCCTTAGATTTCTTCTCAGGTTGTGTATAATCAGCAGTTTGGGAATCTGTAATGGATTTTCCAGGAGGCAACTCTGATGAAAATGTCAACTTTCTAAACAAAGACAGTTGTCAGAATGTTCTTTCAGAAACCCAGGTTATTCACTGTTTTTGTCATGTTGAGCTTTCAGCTCTTCAATAGTAAGAGGGCATTGCCACCTGGTGGAAAAAAATATTGAGGGGGTTAGATGGTCACCTGGGGAAAACATGGATAAGCACACTCGACATGAATTGGAGAATTTTATCCTGGAAACGTCATTTCAGTGTCGAATGATAGGAAAACAGACCTCTTCTATGTTCAGAACCTAAAACAATTAAATGAAAGAAAACACAGTTAACAATTGCGTTTAAATGGATACAGGTAATCTTTTTCTGGAATAAAATGACTTGAAAGGTTGTATGTTATTTCTAGTTATTAAAACTCCCCTGGAGCCATTTCTTCCTCATTTATAGAATTTTCCACTCTTTTTCTGTACTTTTCAATTACTTCCTTTACATGGTTTTGTTGTTGTTGTTCCTATTCTCAGTAATGCTCAGGTTGTCTTCGAGCTACTTTTTAAACTTTTATTCTTCATTAGTGACCTATATCCGCTGTCCCTAAGTTGTATCTGCCTACTTGCTGTCAGGCACTCTAAAATCTCTCCTTTATTTCTCATTGTCTTCCTAAATCTGCTCTCCAAAGTGTTAAATTTGATTTACTCACGTGGGTGTCTTCAATCCTTATGCTCATTGACCTCTTCATGACCTCAACGTCATCCTCAAAATTCTTCGTTGGTTTCCAACTGTGTGGTTTCCTAGTTGGATTCTTTCTGCTCTCATCTTTCCTCCTGTATTCATTGAATATGATCACTTTCTCTCTTTGCCTGGCTTTTTATCTGTGAGTCTTAAAGCTAAAAATGTTACCATCAGATTTGTCTTGTTCATAGTCTCACTTTCTGGATACATTCATTGATTCTCATGGCTTCCAATAAACATCAGATTAGACAAATACCTGCTTTCCTAGGCCTGTCCCTGGACTAACTTTTCTCCCATTCCTATTTTTTTTCAGAGGTACCCCAAATTCAACATGCCCTCACATCAGCTGAAACCCCGTCTTACCCAAACTGGGGGGAATGTATTTCTTATCATAATATTATTATTTCCCAATTCCTTCATTTAAATGAAGCCACGCTTTTCCTACTATTTTATGTTAGAAATCTTAGAGCAATTTAAAAATATCCTCTGCTTTACTGTTTTTATTTCAGTCTGGCATCATGGGTTCTCTTTGCTTTTTTTATTTTTAAATTTTGTGGTTGCATAGTAGGTATATCTATTTACGGGGTACATGAGATGTTTTGATACAGGCATAAAAAGTGAAATAAGCACATCATGGAGAATAGGGTATCCATCCTTTTAAGCATTTATCCTTTGAGTTGTAAACAATCCAGTTACACTCAAGTTTTTTTTTAACATAGAATTAAGTTATTCTTGACTATAGTCACCGTGTTGTGCTATCAAATAGTAGGTCTCTTTACTTCTTTAGGAGGTTTTATCTTGAGTGTAAACTTCATGAGTAGAAAAGCCTTCCCTCTTTTACTCACCATTGTCTCCTAGCACCCAGCACAGAGCTTGGAATATTATACATGGTTAATAAATATTCGTAGATAAATAAGTGGACACATGTCCTCTAAGCTTTCTGTTTTCTATTGCCGCTGCCAGCTTCTGTGTCCTGATTCTTTTTGCTTCATCCCAGGATACAGGAACATTCTTTATACTGTAGCCCTCTACTTTGACTATTCATCAAAATCACATAGGCAGCTCGTTAAATACTCAGTTTCCGAGGCCCCATTTCCAGATATTATGATTCAGTAGGACTGAAATCTCGATATTAAACAAGCACAATACTGAACTCATAGTCCTGGATCTTCTCATTCTCTTCTGTCTTATTTTGTTCTTATAAACTTCTATGCAAACAGTAGCATTCTATTATAGTCAGTTTACACCCACATTTTCCTCTTTGGCTTTCATTCTTATTGGTCTTCATTTCTCAAACAACCTGGATGCTTCTCAGGATCAGAATTAGACCTGTTTTCAGAGTCCCAGATTTATTTCCTAGCTCCTTAATCTCTTCAGTCATATCTATATCCTGTGGTTTCTGTGACGATCAAATGAGGTAATTCTTTAATGAAATTGACTTGTAAATGCAAACAGTCAGGATGCTTGTCAATTAGGCTGTTTTTTAGGTATTTTGTAAGTATTGTAACTACAACAATAGCTACCACGTACCTGCAAGATTATAAATTCAGTGGAATGGTTCTCTTTCATTCCAGAACTCCCTGATGTAGCGTATCCTTTATACCTTTTCTAAAACATTAATTAGTGCTTCTCGGAGCATCAAAAGGGAACCAATACCTGAGTATGGAATTTTGTTTGTTGCCTCTGAAAGAATAAATGTGCAGACAAGACTTTGGAGAAATAAAGCTGATGAAAGCTAATATAGGTTTGTTTTTTACAAAATTTCTATTCAATAGAAGAATGATTGCTGCATTGAGAAATAGAGTGTTCCTCCCTGTATGAAGTAAGCGTCTTAGAAAGGACACGGATGTTGCACACTAATTTCTTAGATTATGAAGTAGTAAATTCATGGAGATCACATGGTTTTTTCAACACTGTATTCTCTAAGTCTGGCTTATGGAAGAAGCTCGATAAACATCTGTTAGTTGAGAAATCCAGTCTTCAATTACGAAATCTTAATCATATGAAAATCTTTCGATGTCTTGCTTTTCATCCTGGTTCTCTTCCAGGGCTATCTGTTCCCTACTTTTTTCTTAATCACATAATCCTATTGCCAGGTAACAATTTACAGTTGCAAAGTGGAAAGCTAATTATAATGAGCTTAAGCTGGCCACATAGCCTTCCTTGGAGGCTTCATTTTATTCTAAACCCTCCGGTGGCTGCAGGTTGCCATGTGACTAAATTTTTACTAATGGAATGTGTTCCAAGTAACTAGAGCTGTGGTCAGCACAAATTGGTGTTCAAATATTGATTGAATGAATACAGAAACAAGTAGAATGGAAAAAAAGTGAAGTGTGTAACTTCTGCCTCTCGAGGCTGTCTTGTTGAGACTTTGATCCAGCTTTGAACATGCAGATGATCACAGGGCAGAGATTTGCAAACTTTTTCTGTAAAAGGTCAAATAGTGAATATTTTAGAGACCATAAGGTCACTGAGGTACTCAACTCTGCTGTTGTAGCATCAAAGGAGTCACAGACAATACAAGAACAACTAGGTGAGGCAGTGTTCCAATAAAACTTTATAAACAAAAACAGCAGGCTGAATTTGAGCTTTGGTTGCAGTTTGCCGACACCTGCTCAAGGGGATAGTGGGTGAATAAAAGACAGAAAAAAGTGGAGCGCGGGACAAACCTCATACAGCCAAGCCATCACATCAACCTGAACTGCTCAACTCAGAGAAGTGATACGGAGGAGAAATAAATATCTCTCTTTTTTTATTTTTTGAGATAGAGTCTAGCTCTGTCGCCCAGGCTGGAGTGCAGTGGCACAATCTCGGCTCACTGCAACCTCTGCCTCCCAGGTTCATTTGATTCTCCTGCCTCAGCCTCCTGAGTAGCTGGGATTACAGGCACGTGCCACCATGCCTGGCTAATTTTTGTATTTTTAGTAGAGATGGGATTTCACCATATTGGTCAGGCTGCTCTCGAACTCCTGACCTCGTGATCTGCCCGCCTTGGCCTCCCAAAGTGCTGGGATTACAAGCGTGAGCCACTGCACCCGGCCAATATCTCTCTTCTTTAAGTCACTGTATATTGATTTTTTTTTGTTATAGCAAAGCTAATTAACCAATGCATACAGGATACATTAAAATGAAGGGCTAGCTAAATTCATTGTTTATTATGTTTCATAATTATTATTCTTCTTCTTATTATTTTAAGCCCATAATACTCCTGGGATAAATTGCCTATGATTAAACATTGGAAGTAGCCATTGCAAGGGTAGGGACACTCAAACCCTATATTGTAGTATTTGATTAACTTGCTTACTTTAGTTATTATCACATTCCAATGAATGGGACATTTTAATTCTATTTTGGCAGATGAGGCAACAAAGGATGAGATACTTTCAATATCTCATCTAAGATCATAGAACCAGAATGTCTGGAGACTAGGATGTCAACTCAATCCCATCTGATTCTAAAGCCTTTGCTTAACATGGGTAGCTTTGCTACTATTTTGTTTGGATACATGCATTTATTAATATTTTCAGGCCTACTGCAGACTTGAAGGGAAATCTAAGTACCAGGTGTTCTTTATGTTCACCAAATACAAAGTATCTGTAATAATATATAAGCAACCCTTTATCTGGTGTTCATGTCATTTGTACCAGCCTGCTAAAGTGTTCACAAAAAGAGATGAGAAATTGTGAGTGATTTCTCTGTTCCTGCACTGTCCAGAATGATGGCCCTTGGCTGTATGTGGCTATTCAAATTAATCGAAATTATTTTTAAAAACTCAGTTTTGCTCCAAAATTTCAGCTCCTCAGTTTCACTAACCACATTTAATGTGCTCACTAGCCATCTGTGATGAGTGGACGCCACTTTGCACAATGCAGATTATAGGATGTTGCCTCATTAAAGAACATTCCACTGGACAGCACGGCTTTCTCCTCTGTCACTAGATTTGACTCTTTTGGTTTCTATGTAAATTCAGGATCTCAGTACTTGACCTTCGGGGCACCCGGATGGCTATTCCATTCGCAGCATCCAGAGGAAGGTGCCCCTGCCTCCAGCTGCCTTGATTTAGTTCCCCCATGGCCCCTTCCGTTTTTTCTTTTTTTGCTTCTCATCCTCATGGCCCTGCCACTTATGTGCTAGAGTTGTCATTCCTTCAGCACTAATTACTTCCCAGCAGGATGGAGACAGGGTCATCAGTGGTGTAAAAGCAGAAAGAATGAGAAGGAAAAAGAGTCAAGACAATGTGTGGAATCTGCCCTCAGAGTGTGGAATCTGCAAACCAACTGAATGTTCACACTGTCCATATGAACAATCACCTTAAGTTATTATGCTCAGAGAATGTTTGTATCTCTTTACTATCCCTGCTAGGATCCAGAAGGAAGGGAAGATGTGAAAAACATCCAGCTACCTCAATCTTTAATATTATATGCTTGTGTATATGGTTGTCTTTGTGTGTGTGTGTTTGTGTGTGTGTGCATGCACACGTGTGTTTTCCTGCCCTATAGGGAATGGGAAAGCCCAGATTAACAGCAAATACTCATCAGCTAGACCTGGTCACCCACCTAGTGCTTAATTAGTTACGGTTTAGAAAACAAAAAGTGTGGCTTTATGCAATGTTTTTGTTAAGGTTGAGCTCACTTTTATTATGGAAACACAACCTCCAGAGTTTATGAAAGTGAAGCTTATGAAAAAAACCAATACTTGTTTGAACAGGCTGAGCAACTATGATACCCCTGGTAGCATCCATAATTGTGATCCGAACTTGATTCTGTGTTCTTGGCTGCTAACAGTGTGAAGAATCCTAAAGGCAATTCTAAATGCTTGGCTCACGTATAGGATGCTGGGCTGCTCCTCCCAGTGATATTTCATTAATGAGCCCAGTGGGCTAACCCAGATCGATACATAGGTTCCTACTATCCATCTCTCATCTTCAGGAATAGGCATTCCAAAGATGAAGACTCATACAGAGATTAGAATTTGTACAGTTCCTTGTTACTGGATTTTTTAGCAGAAAAACACATTTTGGGAAATTTAGCCCCATTATTAGAAATCTTGGGACCTTTAAAGTGTTCATCCCACGGGCAGGGATTTGGAAAAGTCTGCAGCCTCTTATTTATATCAAGAACTGGTCCAAGGTGTTCTTTGTGATTTGAATGTTTAATGAAATAATTGTTATTTGCCTTCCGGGGTGAGAATTTACTTTCTTTGACTCTCCTTTGGAGTTCTTCGGTTTAAGATAAGCTCAAATATTGACAGAACTGGAACTGAGATTAAAGACATATAAAATACATTAGTGCTATACCAAAGGAAGAAGAGGAAAAACCAAAGCGCCTCTCCCACAGTAAATAAGGGCAGCAAAGATTAACAAAATACTGCTGAATTTTACTCCTGTATATGATGAAATGGATTAAGTTTACAGTGGTCTACAGAACAGTATGGATTCTTCACCTTGACACCCCCAAGAACAAACTAGAGTATTAGCAGAACTCCCTTTGTATTCATTTTGACCATTTTCTTTTTGTTGTGTATCATAATCTGATGCATAATGAAAACCAGCTGTTGTCCCTCGGAGAAAAAGAGGAAAGGCTCGGTCAAATATTCTAAAAGCAGAGTAGGCAGAGAGTCCACAGCCTAGGATGTCACTTATTTAGTCACTTAAAGAAAGATGGAATTTGATGAGATGGAAGAGAGAAAAGAATGAATATATTGATACCCTTGTCATCAGAGAATAAATTATCCATGTGCACTGTATATTATTTAAGTCTTCTGATTTTTCTCAGTCAAGTGTTGCATGCCTTGTTAGCTGATTTTCAGATCTATCACAGTCTGCCAAAAAGAAATCTTATTTGTGATAGAAGCAGGATTCAGGATTCAAATGATGACTAATTATTGACAGGGGTAAATAGAGAATTATATGTTTCCAGTTAATATAAATTAATATGTTTAATGTAAGGGAAGGACAGAGAAAAGGGGAGTTCCTATTTCCTCTCATAAAATATTTACTATTCAGGTTCTCACCGGTTCTACCATTCAAATATTTACTGTCAAAGTCCAGGAGCAAGGTGAGGCATGTGGCCATTCACAGTGTTATGGGCTAAACTGGCCAGACTGAAGTCAGATCCCCTAAATTTTAGTCTTTGTTTGACATTCTGGCTGTCTGTGTTCATTGAAAAATAGATCACTGAAAAATTTTCTGTCCGCCAATGAGTTGTTAAGCAGAAATTAAATGTTTTATAAAGGCTCTTGAAAAACTATGCATGTATATTTGAGGCCTTCAAAAGTCTATGATGAAAGTATGATGGAATTGTTCACTTGGAATCCTTCTTTCATTTACTTACCAAAATCACATTGACATTGCAAAACCTATCTATTCAGCATCTTCAATATCAACTTGGAGTACAGCAAAAATAGATAATGTAGCTTTAAACGTTGTTCATTTTTAGAATATTTTTACCATTCTCAGTATAAAGGTCACATTCATTTTAGAGTTTAAGGTACACTTTCTCCAACAAGCAAATTGTATGATTTACTCGATGAGTTCATGTGGAATCCTAAAGCTCCCCATTGATTCCTTCTAATGGATAGAAGTGTGAGGGGAAGGGGAAGAGTAGGAATGTGTAAGATAGCATGGGATGAGCTAGGCGTGGCAGCTCATGCCTGTAATCTCAGCACTTTGGGAGGCCAAGGTGGATGGATCACTTGAGGTCAGGAGTTCGTGACCAGCCTGGCCAACATGGTGAAACCCCGTCTCTACTAAAAATAAAAAAAAAAAAAAAAATTAGTTGGGTGCGGTGGTGCATGCCTATAGCCGCAGCTTCTTGGGAGGCTGAGGCAGGAGAATTGCTTGAACCCCAGAGGTGGAGGTTGCAGTGAGCCAAGATCATGCCACTGAACTCCAGCCTGGGCAACAGAGGGAGACTCCATCTCAAAAAAAAAAAAAATGTTAGCACGGGATGACAATATTAAAAGTGCAGAAAGATATTCTTCTCTGGCCTTGTGCTGTTTTCATCCATTTCATTCTACCTTCATTTTCATAATCAATTCACATCTAATTTTTTTACATCTAATGTCTTTCTTTCTATAACTATTCAAAGTAAGCAAATGTGTGCTGTTTGTTGCAACAGGATTGACATGTCTGAAATGACTCACCTTTCAACACTTCCTAAAGATTTGCGACCTGAGTCAACTTCTTAATAAACTGACCAAAACACCTAACTAGAATCCATCTATTCCTCAGAGGGGTATAAACAAAGCCTTTGTGGAAAGAATATATCAGTTCCGTTACTTCTGTTGGGTAAATGGGAGTTTTTCTCCTGAACATTTCTCTTCTGTTTTAGTGTTTTCAACTGCAGCAATGCGCTAAACAGAGAAAATCCATTCTCAGGACTTTCTGGGATTTGGGTCAAATGTCCCTTGGTTGTCATTCTAATCCTAAGGTTCTTTAAACAAAAGAGCTTTGTCTCAAAACATGGATCAGTTATTTCCTAAATTGGGTGAATAGCTTACCTTAGCTAAGACAGGAAGCCACTTTATTAATGGCATTCAGGACAAATCCACAACATTAAAACATTTGATATTGCACATAAATACAAATGAGAAATAAATCTGGCTGAGAACAAGGAAAATGCCTATGTCCGATCTCTCTTAAATTCCTTAAAGTTAGGAAAACTATTTTTCCTGATGCTCCAGGTTTTTATAATGTTCTTTGACTTTTTTTTTTAATTCCTTACATTGTTTTTATTAAAAGCCTGTGTCCTAAATACTCCACGCTCTACTTAACTTTTCATTGCGCAATAGCTGTTTGAAGGAATTTTTTTTTTAAAAAAAACTCACCAAAAGACATGAATAAAATAATGAAAATATACCTTAGCAAGATTTTTTTAAATTCTGGTTGCTCATACTTCTTGTTCCAACATTGACTTATTTCCACTGGGGATATCAGGCTGGAGAGACTTCAAATATCTCCTTGTTTCAGGAACACTTGGAAGGACTGAAAAATAAACAACATTCCCTCAAAGTTAATCTGTACATTTGTCTCTAAGCATTTTCCCATATTCGTAGCTTGTTCAGACAAGGAAGCCCAAAATAATGATTTTTTTTTAAAAAGACAATAATTCAATGAAGGGCAGTCCTCTGGTCTTCTGGCCAATGGTGATTCCAATATGGTGCACTGCAGTAATTCCCAAAGTGTGTTTGCAGATCACCTTGTATGACTTTCTATGCTCTTGCGCACCTTGGAACTCCTGAATCTTCAAGAAAAAGTGGCCAGAGGTTCAGTAATTTTAACAAGCTCTTCGTATTATTGTTAATGCGTGCTAAATATTGAGAACCATTGAAGTACATAAAAACATACCAAAACACAATTGCAAGCAAAAGGATAAAATAAAGCTTAAGGCATAAAATAAGAAAATAATAAACGTGACTATTTCAAAGTTAAAAAAGTTGTATAACCACAGATATCATAAGCAAAGTTAAACCATAATATACAAGCAACAAGAGATTACTATTCAGTATAAAGACCAACAAGTCAATGAGAAAAATGGCAAATAACTCAGGAGAAAAATTAAGCAAAATATTTGAAAAAGCTTTTCAAAAACTAAATCCAAATATTTAAAGAATGGGAAAAGATGTTCAGTTTCATTGGTAATTGGGGAAATACAAGTCAAATTAAAGTAAAATGCCATTTGTGAAACTAAAAATTAGGAAGTATGCTATTACCACTTGTGATCAGAGAGATAGGTAAACAGGAATTTTCATAAAACTCTTAAGGATATTTTAGAACACTTGCTGGAAGGTATGTGGTAATAACTAGCAAAACTAAAAATGTGCATGTCTTATAACCCAGAAAGTCCATTTCTAAGTATATAATTTATTTAAAACCAACAAAAAATGAAACTCTGAGCCATGTCAAAACGATGCATGCATGAGGATATTCATGATAGCTCTGACTGCAATTGCCCTAAGTCAGAAATGACCTAAAAGTTCATTAAAAGGAAGAAGGTAAATGAAATATGGGATTTTTATGTGACAGAGTAATGAATAACACTCAAAAGAAACGAGCTAGAGCCGTATGTGTCAGGATGGATCATTTTTAAGAACTAAATTGACATCCTAGGCAACATGGTGAAACCCCATCTCTATGAAAAATTTAAAAATTAGCCGGGTGTGATGTCATGTGCCTGTAGTCCCAGATACTGGGAAACTGAAGTGGGAGGGTCACTTGAGCCAAGGAGGTCAAGGCTGCAGTGAGCCATGATTGTGTCAATGCACTCCAGCCTGGGCAACAGAGTCAGACTCTGTCAAAACAAAACAAAACACTAAATTGAGTGAAAAAAACAAGCTAAGAAGACATGAATATTTTCTTACTTATGTAAAAGTTAAAGCACAACATGTGTGGGTACATGCACCCATGCAGACCTGAATAAAGGCACCAAAATGTTAGTATTTTCCATGTAGACAGTAAGGTTGTACATCAAATTCACCACAGCTGTTGCTTCTGGAGAGGGAACGAGAAATGGGGCACAGGAGGGTACTTTAATTTTGAAATACTGTAAATAATGAAGTAATGCTAGCATGCATTTATTTGCTAAGTACATTATGTATAGTATTCCATTTAATTTCATAACAAGTCTATGGGGTAATACTATTAACATCCCTTTTTTACTTTTTTCAAATGTTTTATTTTTGTATAAGTACACACACAAACGCATTTTAAATCTGAAGCTGATTTGGAATAAAACTTTAAATTTTTTATTATTTATGTATACTTCTCTATTTTTATTTTTATTTTTAACATATATAAGATTGCCTTACAATGCTGATGCATTTCTTCTATGGAAAACACCACCGCCATCTAGGTTTTCTCCTCTGCTTCACCTCATGTGCACTATTTGTTACTTACCTTCTCACCCCTACCCCCATTCTCAAAAAAAAATCTTTTTATTCTAGGGACAATTCATTTTCATACCTCACATGCCAATTATCTAATGGAACTTAGCTCTTTCTAATCTGATTTGGCAATACAGACAAAAATTAAACTCTTTTAAAGTTTTAAAAGATACCCAAAGCAACACTTTACTATTCCTCTGCAAATCCCCAAAGTTAATAGACACTAATATGCATCTCTACTCTGTGTCTGCTTTTTAGCAGGTCTCTTAAAAAGAAAATAATATAAATTAGGTTTAATTTCCTAAGCCATGTTATCAGGAGTCACCACTTTTCACTTAGGAGGAATCCCTACATCATATTCACAAAATGACTTATCTGTTCAAATAGATAAACCCTATGCAAGACTTAGTTGGATTCTATTGGGAATAGGATGATTCATTTTACACTGCACGATTGGAAAGATCATCACAAAGAACATGCTTGGCTAGTTATCATATTGGGTGAAATTTGAGGTTGCATCACTGGCAAGAAAACTCTATTCCTTCTGAACTTTTGAAAGACAGTCACAGAGCTGCAACTCTCTATACTGAACATGTTTCTGAAATACTGATTGGATTGTAGACAGGCTCAATAAAAATAAGAATTTGAAGTAATAATAAAAAATGCCTTTTTTGTTTGTTTGTTTGTTTGTTTTTGTTTTTGAGATGGAGTTTCGCTCTTGTTTGTCCAGGCTGGAGTGCAATGATGCGATCTCGGCTCACTGCAAGCTCCTCCTCCCGGGTTCAAGCGATTCTCCTGCCTCAGCCTCCTGAGTAGCTGGGATTACAGGTGCACGCCACCACACCCAGCTAATTTTGTATTTTTAGTAGAGATAGGGTTTCACCAAAAATAATTTCAACTTTTAGATTCAGGGGTACATATGCAGGTTTGTTATATGAATATATTGTGTGATTCTGCAGTTTAGGATACAAATGATCCCTCACCCAGGTACTGAGCATAGTATCCAATAAGTAGTTTTTCAACCCTTGCTCCCTTCCTTCTCTCTTTGAGTGGTTCTCAGTGTCTACTGTTACCATCTTTATGTCCATGAGTATCCTACGTTTAGCTCCCACTTATAAGTGAGAACATACAGTATTTGATTTTCCATTCCTGCATTAATTTGCTTAAGATAATGATCTCCAGCTGCATCCATGTTACTGCAAAGGAAATGATTTCGTTCTTTTTTATGGCTTGTAGTTTTACATGATGTATATGTACCGCTTTTTTTTTTTATCAAATTAACTATTGATGGGAGCTTAGGTTGATTCCACATTTTTGCTATTGTAAATAGTGCTGTGACAAATATTCAAATACATGTGTCTTTTTGGTAGAACAATTTCTTTTCTTTTGGATATATGCCCAATAATGGGTGTTACTGGGTCAAATGGTAGTTCTGTTTTAAGTTCTTTGAGAAATCTCCAAAATGCTTTCCACAGTGGCTGAACTAGTTCACATTCCCACCAACCATGTATAAGCATTCCTTTTTCTCCATACCTTGCCAACATCTGTTGTTTTTTGACTTTTTAGTAATAGCCATTCTGACTGGTGTAAGATAACATCTCATTGTGGTTTTGATTTGCATTCTTCTGATCATTAATGATGTTCAGCATTTTTCATATGTTTTTTGGCCATTTGTATGTCTTCTTTTGAGAAGTGTCTGTTCATGTCTTTTGCCCACTTTTTAATGGAGTTATTTTCTTTTTGCTTCTTCAATTGTTTATGCTTCTTACAAATTCTGGATATTAGATCTTTATTGGATGTGTAGTTTGTGAATATATTCTCCCATTCTGTAGGTTGTCTGTTCACTCTTTGGCTAGTTTCTTTTGCTGTGCAGAAGATCTTTAGTTTCATTAGGTCCCACTTGTCAATTTTTGTTTTTGTTGCCATTGCTTTTGGGGACTTAGTCATAAATTTTTTTCCAAGACAGATATCCAGAATGGGGTTTCCTAGGTATTCTTCTAAGATTCTTATCGTTTGAGATCTTACATTTAAATCTTTCGTTCGTTTTGAGTTAATTTTTGTATATGGTAAAGGGTATGGGTCCAGTTATTCTTCTGCATACAGCTACCAGCTGTCCCAGCAACATTTATTGAATAGGGAGTTCTTTTCTCATTGCTTAAAAAATAACCTCTTTTCAATACAGACAAGTATTTTATGCTATATGATAAATTGATTTTGACCTAATTTCTTCCCAAACTTCAAAAAGACAATTTTAATAAATTTCCAAGCAGTGGTGCATAATTACCCTCTATAATAATAGGAAACAGAGAAGATATGGATGTATCGAGGCTTGCAGCTCCCTATTACTTTGGATTATAGTCAATGTTGGTCTAAGTAAAGAAGGGCAACTGCTTTCTCCAATGCAGAGAAAACCCAGCCAGCTTTTAGTTACCATTTACTGAAATCATGCATTATGATATACACACACCTGTGCATACACAGAAACATTTGTGCATGTATATATATGTGTATATGTACATAGCTGTATGCATGAATATATGTGTATGTGTGTATTCATATTATTTTAATTCTCCCCAGGTATGCTTTATATCTCTCTTTTTACAGATGAAGAACATGAGGCTCAAAAGTTTGAGATCACAAAGCTTAGTAAGCAACAAATGGAGAGTTGAAACTGGATCTGTCTGACTCCATAGCCTGTTTTATCCTGTACATTATTTACATTCAAGCATTATATCACTACCTAAAACATAAAAAATGCATGCAAGCGTATGGTCAAGAGAACAAGCAAGAATTGTGAGATAGATTGAGAGAGATTTTTAACCTAAACCCCTTATTTAGTATTTCTGCCATGAAAGAAGTAAGCTAATAAATTTTTCAGAAAAATATTGTAAACATGGCTCTAGACATCACTGATTCAATAAAAGCCAAGCTCCACAATTAATCTGGCCTAGCTTCTTTCTTTCTGCCTATTCTGAGAGCTCCATTTGCTCTCAAAACTTTGTTCCAACAGATGAATGCTGATTTTTTAATTTCAATTTTTGTCCCATTCAAAATGTCTTTGTTCTTCTTTCAATCTTGTAACCCATTATTAGAATAAAAATTCTTCCATAAGACAAGAAGACATCAAGACTTCCTCACCTTCACATAATATCTAGTATTTGTATATGTCTTGAGGGCTAATGAAATGCTCTCTTCAAGAATGCTCTATTTCTCAACTTACAGAGCCTACTCTATAACAGCCATTCATCCTTCTTATCCTTTCCTATTAGTTGTTCTTTGCTTTTGAATCTGATCACTGAATCCTATTATGGAAATTACTGACCACTTTGAATGTCTTAATCCCTGGAGGCTGGTCAACTCCTCCCAACATTCAACAGGAAGGAGAAATGCACAAAGAAAGAAATCTGAGAGCCTCTACATTTTTTTGACTCTCTTTGGAGTACTACAGATGTATCACTTTGCAAGCAAAAATCAAATGTCCCAGGTCCCTATATTAGCTTTGCTAGGGGAGTTGGTGCAGTCCATTCTGTACACCCACATCATATTCTAGCTCATAGCAATCCAAATATGTGTAGTGTTGAAAGAATAATTGGTTTTTCCACGGTGCTGTTTTCCAAATACTTTTTGTTTCTGTGAAAAAATCTAATGGGTACTTATGCAGATAAGTACCCATAGCTTTGCTAATTTCTCTCCAAACATGAAGCAATTCTTTTAAGGAGGTGCTGCCCTACTGTTGCTGTGGATTCAAAACTCAGGTCAGGTGTGTTAAGTTTAACATATTGCCTAAAAGCTGCAGCAGATTGCTGCAGAGGTGATGAAAGATGGTCCAAGTTCTCATAAGAGGCAAATGCACATGGAGAATTAAGTTGCACACAACACGCAACTGAAGTTGCCTCCATTCATGGGACTCATCAAACTTGTGTGATCCCTATTCTTCATGTATTTATTTTTAACTCTGTTAGGCAAGATTGACAACATAATTATACTACTTAAAAAATAGAGTTTATTTTAAAGATACACGTGGGTCAGAACTACAAAACCAACTCTCCATCTCTTCTCGGTTTGGATGATCTCTCTTTATGCTATCTCAATTGCTTTTAGTGTGCCTGTTCCATCTTTGTCTTAATACACAGTGGCTGATTGTCTCTATTCCTTCTATCCAACTCCCAGAAAAAGTTAACCTTACCGTTGTTCTAGCTACTTAGCATTACCACACTTTGTCAGTTCTCTATGCGTTTTGGCTATCTCCTGGGCTTTCCTAGGGCCAGATACCTGTCTTCCCGATATGACCAGTAGCCAGTTCTGTGCAATTTTTTTGTTATTGTTGTTATACTTTTAGTTCTGGGGTACATGTGCAGAATGTGCAGGTTTGTTACATAGGTATACACGTGCCATGGTTGTTTGCTGCACCCAACAAATCAACCCATCATCTACATTAGGTATTTCTCCTAATGCTATCCCTCCCCTAGTCCCCCACCCCCCAACAGGCCCCAGTGTGTGATGTTCCCCTCCCTGTGTCCGTGTGTTCTCATTGTTCAACTCCCCAATTGCAGCACTGTTCACGATAGCAAAGACTTGGAACCAACCCTTTAAATGCCCAGCAGTTTTTTTAAATGCAAATTTAAAAAAAAAGGCCAGTTTCCATTTGCATAAAACATAAAAATATAAAAAAATAAAGAGTTGAGTAATGATATAAATGGTTTATGTTCCTGATCACACTCTCTTTTCACCTCTCCCACTTTTTTTACTCCCACTGAATGTGTTCTTAACAATGATTGAAATGTCTAATCATTCAACTTCTCTTTCCTCTAGGCCTTCTGGCCCTCCTGAGTCTCATGTGGCTGTTCCCAGCTGTGATCCAGTGACACATATTTCAAACATGCTATCATATCACCAGAAGTCTTGATTTATTTCATCTTTCCCTCCCTTGATTATCTCATTTCAATTTACTGACAAAATGAAATCCATCCATTATGAAATATTTTTATGTATCTCCTCTCCATCTCAGAATTTCTTTCTTAAACCAACTAGTCTTTTCTAGTTCTTATTTTTTAGTTTATGTTTCTTGTTTTAAATATACATATACCTTAATGTTTTTTAAAACCAACCTTTAGCTTGGCCATAATCTCTTTTTTTCCTGTTAACTACAAGTTACACTCTATTCGATTACCTCCTATTAGTTTCTACATAACTTTTCTCTTACAGACTTCTGCTAAGTGTACACACATGTTCTAGTCTAACTAATTCCTCACATCTATTAGAGTTTAAAAAATCCTTCCTGGCGGGGCACGGTGGCTCACGCCTGTAATCCCAGCACTTTGAGAGGCCAAGGCGGGCAGATCACAAGGTCAAGAGATCGAGATCATCCTGGCCAACATGATGAAACCCCGCCTCTACTAAAAATACAAAAATTAGCTGGGTGTGGTGGCACACGTCTGTAGTCTCAGCTACTCGGGAAGCTGAGGCAGGAGAATGGCTTGAACCGAGGAGGCGGAGGTTGCAGTGAGCCGAGATCACGCCACTGCACTCCAGCCTGGGCGACAGAGCGAGACTCCGTCTCAAAAAAAAAAAAAAAAAAAAAAGTCACATTTCTTTCTTAGCCTTTAAATCCAAGTCATCTATTATCTGCCTCTGACATAAGTTCTCAGAATCCTGTCCCATTAGATCTTACCATGTGAGTGCATTTTTGCTATGCTGGAAAATTTGTAAGGCTGAACACAACATTCACTTTCTCATTCTGGAAATACACTGATCTTTCAGCCGGAAAGTCCTTCATCTCGATTTATAAAACTCTCTCCACTTTTCAACGCTCAGATTGATAGCCAGTTCCATTTTTATACTACAGTCATGCACTGAATAATGATGTCTTGGTCAATGATGGACTGCATATGTGACAGTGGTACTATAAAATTATAATACCATATTTTTACTTTACCTTTTGTATGTTTAGATACACTAATACTTAGGTTTGTAGCTTAGGAGTGATAGGCTACACCACGTAGCCTAGGTGTGTAGTAGGCTGTACCATCTAGATTTGTGTAAGTACATTCTATGATGTTTGCAAGATCATGAAATCACCTAACAATGCACTTCTCAGAATATATGTATATCACCATCATTGAGGAATGCATGACTATGGTTGTATCTTCAGTGCTAACAAAAATAACCAGGAAACTGAGGACTGCTCAATCCTTTTCTCACAATAAGGAAAAATACCATAGGAATATCAATAAGCCTCAGACCCATTAGGATTTGGAGATAGGTCTATATCAGCAACCTGTTTGAGAGTAGAAAGGACAGGCATTTTCATTTCATAACTATGGCATTACCTATGTGAAAACCATTTTTTCCCCTATGTCAAGTCTTATGAAACTTAGATTTCTTCATCTTCCTGTAGTGGGCTCATTTTTGCTCCTGAATCAGACCTCCTGATTCCCCAGGCACTTCGTAAAGGCTTTCGTCTCTTTAATTTCAATCAGCTTTCAATTCTAACATATGGATATTTTCTTTGTTTCTCTCTACCCAGGTTTTACAGAATTCTGGAAATTAGCCTAAATTGGTAGTAATGTTATAGTCTTTAAATTGCAGTCTCAAAAACTTGACCCCATTGACTGGGTTAGTGATATGGTTTGAACGTTTGTCCCCTCAAATCTCATGTTTAAATGTCATCCCCATTGTTGAAGGTAGGGCCTGGTGCGAGGTGATTGGGTCATGGGGATAGATCCCTCATGAATGCCTTGGTGCCCACCTCATAATAATGTACGAGTTCTCACTCTGAGTTGATAGGAGATCTAGTTGTGTAAAAGAGTGTGGCACCTGACCCAGCTCTCTCCTTCTTGCCATGTGATATGCCGGATCCCCCTTTGCCTTCCACCATGATTGAAAGCTTCCTGAAGCCTCACCAGAAACAGATGCCTGCATCAGGCTTCATGTACAGACTGCAGAGCCATGAGCCAAAATAAGCCTCTTTTCTTTAAAAATTACCCAATCTCAGATATTCCTTTATGGCAATGCAAGCAGACTAACACAGTTGAATTGTCTCCCAAAATTCACATCCACATGGAACCTCAACTGTGATCTTACTTGGAAATAGGGCCTTTGCTGATGTAATTAGTTAAGATGAGGTAATACTAGGCCCTAAATCAGTGGCTGGTATCCTCATAAGAAGGCCATATGAAATGAAGGGAGACACAGGGAAGAATGCCATGTGAAGATGGAGGCAGAGATTGGAGTTATGTGTTTATAAAGCCAAGTAACACCAGAGATTGATGTCAACCAGCAAAATCTAAGAAAGAGATGTGGTACAGATTCTCCCTGCAGCCACCTTGGTTTTGAACTTCTAGCCTTTGGAACTATACAGAAATTTTTTTTTTTAATTTAAGCCACCCACTTAATCCATGGCATCAAAGACTTGACACCTAGATTAAATCAGAACACATCTTCTGCAATCTTGTTTGAGTTTGTGTGTGTGTGTGTGTGTGTGTGTGTGTGTGTGTGTGTATGTGTGTGTTTTATTCCTGACACATGCCAGAAGATTGCAGCCTTGAACCTTTGGTAATAGACTGAGGAAAATTCTCTGAGAGCCTGCTTTCCTATCCAGCTTCTCTTTCTCACTGCAGAGTTCATATTTCCTATGTCAGAATGACCCTCAAACTATTCCAGGAGAATATTTATCTGAAGCTTTAATGAAATTCAATTTGGACATCAAAAGCCTGTTCCTTCATTATCAAACCTCTTGATCAAAACACATTTTTCTGCCTGTTGTAACTTCATAGTACCCTCTGCCTCCACTATATCATGTTCTGCCTTAAGCTGGAGCTAGTAGCCCAAATATTTTGCACGTGCCTGCCTGCACCCCCAATACAAAAGCCCAATTAAACTCTTAAAGGCAAATACCAGCCTTCATTCATATTTGTCTACAACACAATGCCTTCACTAATAAAGTCATTCAATACCCATGTATTTGCAGCCCATATTATAACAGGAACATTTCAAAGTACTTAATAGGTGTTTGGTCAACATGCTTTGGATCAAAATGAATGATATCTAAAGCTTTCCTTTTCTTCATTTTAGCCTGTTGAAAAATGAGCCTGGACTCACTTTGCTTTAGCTTAGCTACCCTTCTGGTTAAATTATTTGATATCAGATACCACTGACATCCCTTCTTTTTCTTTGAAACAGGAAACAATGCCAAGAATACGTTAATCTAAACCCATGATGTTTCTACATCTCAAAGAACAGAGAGAAAAGGAAACTGGAGAGAGGCCAGAAGTGACCAACTCTATTCCCTCATTTCTGTGTTATACTCCCTTTGTCTAATCTTCCCTACCCTACCAGGTGGTTTAAGAATTTTATCCTTTCTCCAGACTAGAAGAGGAAGTGGGGGCCGGAATTAGGTGTATACAAATTGTTGGAAAGCCTTTGTGTGGATTTGGAGGGCTGAAGTAGAGTATCATTTTTACAAAGCAGCCCAAGCCTCTAATCTGAGCAGGAAGATTCACACTCATTCTCTGGCATGAGTCCTATCAGGAGGATCAATGAAGCCAAGGCTGTAGAAATAAATAATTAATCTCTCCACCCAAGGAGGCTAGTAAACAATATTCAATACGTGAATACTGAGTTCTGCCAAGAGGAAGAAGCATATAAACCAGGCAACTGCTGAACGCATTGCCAAAAAGGGAGACTTACGCATCATTCACTAAAGCTTTCCAAAAACTAAATCAGATCCAAGAACAGATAAACTCCTGCAGAATGACAATGGTGGAGAAATTGACCTCCCAGCATTGCAGACTTACATCAGTTGTTCTGATGTTCTTAGTTATATCAGATTCCTTCCAGAATCTTCTAAATATATCAGACGGTCAGACACAACCCCAGGCCCTAATAAAAAACCCTGATGCTGGCCTACAGATGTGCAATTTAATAAACTTTCTCCATGATTCTGGTACACATCCAACATAGAAGAACCACTTAGTACTTCTCTCTGGCTCATATTTCTTCCACTATTTACTAAATGTCGACCTTAGGCTAATTTCTTAAATCCGTGTCCAAGGGTTTCTTTAAATGGAGATAATATTACCTTATCGTCAATCTATTGTAAGAATTAGATAAAAGGGTGCATGCGAAGGACCAAGCAGTGTAGATGTCACACTGTAAGTGCTTAATACGTGTCTCAGCTTATTATTCTGCAAGAGAAGTTAACTACCTAATAAATTGTGTAGATATCAAGTGCCCCTCATGGCACTTTAATCAAAGAAATCTGTTGTTAATTCCTATTGTAAACCTCAGTTGCTACATCAGCCAGCTCTTCAAAGGGATAAATATGACATTATTATTTTCTAAATGACTTTTATTTTCTAAATGCTCTTAGAGTGTTTGATCCCCCGGAAGCTATCATCATTAATGATTTCTCGAGTATACTGAGAGTAATGTTTAGGTGTAAAGGAAGTGAAAAGTAAACATGAATGCTTCTTTGCTCTTCAAAGATGAAGGTTCTGAGATCAAAGAGCCTGAGTGATGTGACCACATCCCTAAAGATGGTGCCAAATGCCGCCCTACTGATAAGGCTGCTGTGGGGACCGTGCACCTGTGTTCTTCTCTTAATACTTACTCTGGGTCTCTGTTGACAAGGAACATTTTGAAGTTTCTAAGAATTATTTAATAACCCTAATAATCATTGTTTCTTTAGTGACTCAAGTCTACACCTGTAATGCTCAGGTTTTTCTTTCTTTTTTCAATCGGGGAACGTATTTTTTTTTTCTTGTAGTCTCTTAAATAACAGATTATATAATAAAAAAGAGAAACTTTCTCAAGAAGGAAGCTATCTGCACTGCTCTGCTGAACTCTAAGCCACCTCTGCTACTAAAACAGATAGTAGCCCCTGTTGGGGTCTCTGGAGCAGGGAAATCCAAGCTGTCATGGAGCATGTATTCAGTAACCAAAGAGGATTCTACAAGTTTTGTTTTTCTGGCTAGGTGACTTCAGCCCATCAAAGACAAAGATGAAATAAAATAATCTGAATGATCACTCTCTCTGTTCATTTTTTTACAAATAGATTTTATTTTTATGGCAATTTTAGGTTCAAAGCATAATTGAGCAGAAAGTACAGAGAGTTCCCATATATCCCCTGCTCCTAAACAGCACAGCCTCCCCCACTATCAATATCACACCCCAGAGTGGTACCTTTGTTGCAATCAATGAACCTACATTGACACATCATCATCAACCGAAAGTCCACAGTTTACATTAAGATTCATTCTTGGTGTTGTACATTCTATGGATTTTCACAAATGCATAATGACATTTATTTAATATTGTAAATATATTGTTATCTACAATCTAGACACCACTGTCATGTCACATAGAATAGTTTCACAGCCTTAAACATTCTCTGTGCCCTGCCCATCCATTCCTTTCTCCCCATTAACCTCTGGCAACCACTGATCTTACTGACACCATATTTTGTCTTTTCCAGAATGTAATATAGCTAAAAACATTCAGGATGTGGCCTTTTTGGATTGGCTTCTATCACTTAGTAATTATGCATTTAAGGTTCTTTCATGCCTTTTCATAGCTTGATCGCTCATTTCTTTTTGGTACTGAATAATACCTCAATTGTCTGGATGTATCATAGTTTATCCATTCACCTCCTATTCTATTCAGTTTTTATTTCTTTTTCTTCTTCTCCTTTTTGTTTTTTTGTTTTTTAGAAACAGATTGCCTAATAATGCCAAATGCTACTCTACTGGTAAGACTACTGAGATCTAGATTGTAGATAACAACCTATCTACAATAGTATGTAAATGTCATCATGCATTTGTCAAAATCCATAGAATGTACAACACCAGGAGTGAACTCAATGTAAAAATGCCTCACTCTATTGCCCAGGCTGGAATGCAGTGGCACAACCTTGGCTCACTGCAACCTCAAACTCCTGGGCTCAACCGATCCTCCCACCTCAGCCTCCTGAATAGCTGGAACTACAGGCAGGAGCCACCATGCCCAGCTAATTGTGTTTTAATTTTTGGTAGAGACAGGGTCTCACTATGTTGCCCAAGCTAGTCTCAAACTCCTGGGCTTAAGCAATTCTCCTGCCACGGCCTCCCAAAGTGCCGGGATTACAGGTGTGAGGCACCATGCCGATCCTCTATTCAGTTTTAATGCTTAAAATTCTCTTCTCTTTTTCCTCCACTGCTAGGTTTACTAAATTTTGCTTTGCCTTATGTGGTGACTGTAGGAGTGCATGACTTGAAGCTCTTGTGACAGGGAACATTATCTATTGACAACTATCTTGATCCAACCCTGTGTTTGCATGGAGGTGATGTTGCTGTGGGCTGCCTTCAGCCAATGACTGTACACAGAAGGGGCTAAGGGACTCATTCCTACCAATAGTAGGGCTCTACAGAGGGCGACTTTTGTGTGAGAACTTCCCAGTGGCTTGGCCAAAACTTCCTTGAAACTGAACTGCGGTAGAGACCCTTCTTGCCCAATTCTTCTTCCATTCTTGTCTCCTCCCACAGATGTCAGACCTGTTTTGAAATTGGAAAGCTCACCCTACATTCATCTGCTTACTTCTACTATAAAGCTCTTGTATATCTAATCTTATCTTGCTTTATGCTTCCCAGGGCACCTGAACTCTCCTAGGTACAATAATTTGGTCTGTCTATGCAAAAGAACAAATACTTTTCAACATCATAGATTCCACAGACTAGTGTTTCTGCAACTTTATTGTATATACTAGTTCCTAGGAGTCTTGTTAAAATATATAATCTGATTCAATCAGGATGAGGAACGGCCTGAGATCCTAACAAGCTCCAAAGTGATGTTGATGTTGCTTGTCCTTGCACCACACTTCGAATAACAGAGTTCTAGACATGTAAGTTTCCTGTATTATAAATTATTCCTTTTGCTCCAGATACTTCAGTTTAAAAGCAATATCCTTAAAGTGTTAGTTTCAAGCACATCTTTTAATAAACAAGGGGAGATATCTAATTGAAGTTATCATCGTGAACACTTTCACACACAATCAAAAACTTTTGCCTAGACAAATTTACTGGGCTTAAGGTAACATATTGTATTTCAAAACATAAGGAATAAGTCCTTACTGTAAATAGACACAAGTCCTTGGAAAATTTAATCACAATAGTGATTAGAACAATTTTTCTATCCGCCTTAAAACACACACACACACACACACATACACAGACAAACATACACACTAAACCTCCCTTTCTTCCTTTTTTTATTATACTTTAAGTTCTGGGATACATGTGCAGAACGTGCAGGTTTGTTACATAGGTATACACATGCCATGGTGGTTTGCTTCACCCATCAACCTGTCATCTACATTAGGTATTTCTCCTAACGCTATACCTCCCCTAGCCCCCCACCCACTGACAGGCCCTGGTGCGTGATGTTCCCCCTCCCTGTCTCCATGTGTCTCATTGTTCAACTCCCACTTATGAGGTGTTTGGTTTTCTGTTCCTATGTTAGTTTGCTGAGAATGATGGTTTCCAGCTTCATCCATGTCCCTGCAAAGGACATGAACTCATCTGCTTTTATGGCTGCATAGTATTTCATGGTGTATATATGCCACATTTTCTTTATCCAGTCTATCAATGATCGGCATTTGGGTTGGTTCCAAGTCTTTGCTATTATGAACAGTGCTGCAATAAACATACATGTGCATGTGTCTTTATAGTAGAATGATTTGTAACCCTTTAGGTACGTACCCAGTAATGGGATTGCTAGGTCAAATGGTATTTCTGGATCCTTGAGGATTCGCCACACTGTCTTCCATAATGGTTGAACTAATTTACACTCCCACTAACAGTGTAAAAGTGTTCCTATCTCTCCACATCCTCTCCAGCATCTGTTGTTTCCTGACTTTTTAATGATCGCCCTTCTAACTAGTGTGAGATGGGATTTCATTGTGGTTTTGATTTGCATTTCTCTAATGACCAGTGACAGTGACTTTTTTCCATATGTTTGTTGGCCACATAAATGTCTTCTTTTGAGAAGTGTCTGTTCATCTCCTTTGCCCACTTTTTGATGGGTTTGTTTGCTTTTTTCTTGTAAATTTGTTTAAATTATTTGTAGATTCTGTATATTAGCCATTTGTCAGATGGATAGATTGCAAAAATTTTCTCCCATTCTATAGGTTGCCTGTTCACTCTGCTGATAGTTTATTTTACTGTGCAGGAGCTCTTTAGTTTAATTAGATCCCATTTGTCAATTCTGGCTTCTGTTACCATTGCTTTTGGTGTTTTAGTCATGAAGTCTTTGCCCATGCCTATGTCTTGAATGGTATTGCCTAGGTTTTCTTCTAGGGTTTTTATGGTTTTAGGTCTCATGTTTAAGCCTTTAATCCATCTTAAGTTAATTTTTGTATAAGGTGTAAGGAAGGGGTCCAGTTCCAGTTTTCTGCATATGGCTAGCCCGTTTTCCCAACACCATTTATTAAATAGGGAATCCTTTCCCCATTGCTTGTTTTTGTCGGGTTTGTCAAAGATCAGATGGCTGTAGATGGGTGGTGTTATTTCTAAGGCCTCTGTTCTGTTCCATTGGTCTATATATCTGTTTTGGTACCGGTACCATGCTGTTTTGGTTCCAGTACCATGCTGTTTTGGTTACTGTAGCCTTGTAGTGTAGTTTGAAGTCACGTAACGTGATGCCTCCAGCTTTGTTCTTTTTGCTTAGGATTGTCTTGGCTATACGGGCTCTTTATTGGTTCCATATGAAATTTAAAGTAGTTTTTTCTAATTCTGTGAAGAAAGTTAGTGGTAGCTTGATGGGGATTGCACTGAATCTATAAATTACTTTGGGCAGTATGGACATTTTCACGATATTGATTCTTCCTACCCAAGAGCATGGAATGTTTTTTTTTTCCATTTGTTTGTGTCCTCTCCTATTTCCTTGAGCAGTGGTTTGTAGTTCTCCTTTCTTCCTTTCCTGTGGTCTTTGTATCAGCTTGTTGGAAATGAGACTGTGGAAAGCAATGTCATTTAGAAATAATTAATACATTTGCTCATAATTTCTAAATCCTCACATTAGCTGTGAGAGGGTGGAGCATTTTGTTTCCTATAAGAGCTTTCACAAAGCAACTTATTGCCATCCTTTGATGAGGGTGTATTTTACAGGCCTTATCTTATAACTTTCCCAGGTCTGAATAGTCCAAATTCCAGATTTAAATAGGTTTTAAGAAATAGTTGAACTATGCAATATTTTTTCATAAAACTTTTTTCATCTTCCTAGTAATTACGGTTGTTTTATTTTCACTGTTTTATTTTTCTATGCTATCAATTTGGTTAAAGTTTAGTTCCATGGTAAATATATAGAAATCCAAATTAAGAGAATGTTCATATGTCATTCTTTGAATATCATGATTCATGCCACATACACTATGCCAGAATTTCACCGTCACATATATGTTCATATGGCCTACATAACTTTCCTTTTACCATGAATTATTTTATCAGGAAAAAAATCTCATTTGCTGATCACTTGTAGGGAGATATGTTGACATTTATTAATTTAATCACCAAATACATAATATTTAAAGATAACTTTATTTGAAAAAATTCCATAAAATTACATTAAAATATGATATTTTCTCAAAGGAAAATGAATAAAAAGTATTCATCACAGGATGTCTCTAGAAAGTATTTAGTAGTAATAGTAGTGCTGTCCAATAAATATATAATGTAGCCCATATGTGTAACTTTAAATGTTCTTAGAGCCAAATATTTTTCAAAAGTAAAAAAGGAACAAGCAATGTTAATTTTAATAATGTGTTATTTAACCCAATATATAAAAAGATTATCTTTTAAAAATGTAGTCAACATAAAAATCACTGATCAGCTATTTTACATTTTTTTTGGAATTACATCTTCAAAGTCAGCTGTGTATCTCATACTTGCAGGATGTCTCACTGTGAGTCTGTCACATTTTGAGTGCTCAGAAACCATACTTGACTAGTGGCTACTGTATTCAGCAGTGGCAATCTAACAGATGAGATAAGGAAAAGTATGAAAGCCAGAAAAAAAAAGCCAAAAATGAGTTAGATGATGACAAAAATTTTAGCGATGATAGCAAGACTGTATGTATGTGTATATATATGTGTGTGTGTGTGTGTGTGTGTGTGTGTGTGTCTCAATATATGGATATATGACATTTGTGACTATTTTTAAGGCTAGAAGAATAAGAAGACAAAGAGAACACACTCATCAATATTACAACGTTAAGCTATAAAATACAATTACAATTATGCTTACATTGGATAAAATACTTTTTATGATTTATTATTCTTTTTGGAAATAATGTATCTTCCCTGCCATCATGAACATGTGTTTGTAGATCTAATTGGAAGTGCAATTTAGAACATAACAGCAAGTATTTTTTGAGCACGCACTTTGGGCTTAGCACTAGGTTAGAGTTGTGGGAATTTCCAAAACATCAACACATTTCCTATCCAGCAAGTGTGATGTATTGGAAGGAGTCAGAGAGGGCTAGATTTGAATCCTTATGATCAACTTGCTACCTTCTCTAAACTTCATTTGTTTCCATAAAATAGGTGTAATAATACTTATCTCACAGTGTATAGTATTTATTAAATGAGTGCAATGCCTGTCTCACAAAATTGACCTTACGGAAACAAGCTGCTTTTTATCTCCATGACTCTATTTGATAGTAGATTACCATCTACTTTGTGCAGGGAAGATAATGTCTCAAGTACTTCTCAAGCAAGTCAAGACAGCCTTTAATGAAAAGCTTAAATATGTAAGGTATAATAACAGACCCATAGAAGTTTAGAGAATAACAATTGAAGATTATCCAAAGGGAAGGGCGTTTGAATTTTCTTTCGTCATCATAAAAATTTAAGGAAGAAAATTTGGGGAAGAAAAGATGAGGGGAAGAAAATTCTAGAGAAGAGGATCAAGGCAATAGCTATGCAAGTAGTGGGCATGGTAGGGTAACCAACTAGGCCAATTTGCTTAGTACAGAGGAGGTCCCCAGAGTGCAGGACTTTCAGTGCTAAAACCCAGACAGTCCTTGGAAAATTGGGATGTTTGGTCACCGTAGCACAAGGTAAAAAGTTCAGTAGGTGCATTGGTAAAGAGAATGAAGAAGCTCAGCTTGATGGTCACAAGATTTTCATATTATGAGATGAATAGAAAATAGAGTTAAATGGCAAGACGGAGCAAGGTTTTGATGGATCTTGAAATACACGTAGGGCAATGTGAAAAACACTAGGGAGTATTGGCCAAACACATTTAACAAATGTGGAAGAAAAAAATGGTCTATGCATCAAGAGAATTGAGTCTTAGTTCTGGTTTTGCCACCAACTCTGACTCCCCCTCAACTTTTACATCTGGGGACTCATTTTTTTTTTCACCTGTAAATAAGGCGGTTGGAGCAGATGACCACCATAGCCTAGGGTGGCTGCAATCGGTTGCGATTCAACTGATGGCAACAAAGCTCTAATATCCAGAATCTGTAAGGAACTTAAACAAATTTACAAGCAAAAAAACAAAACCCCATTGAACAGTAGGCAAAGGACATGAACAGACACTTTTCCAAAGAAGACACACATGGCCAACGCATATATAAAAAAACTCCCAATATTGCTTGTCATTAGAGAAAAGCAAATTGAAACCACAATGAGAAACCATCTCACACCTGTCAGAATGGCTATTATTAAAAAGTCAAAAAAATAACACAGGCTGATGAGCTTGTGGAGAAAATGGAATGCTTATACACTGCAGGTGGGAATGGAAATTACTTCAGCCATTGTGGAAAACAGCTTGGCAATTTCTCAAAGAACTAAAACAGGATTACCATGCTACCTAGCAATCCCATTATTGGATATGTACCCAAAGGGATGTATATCATTCTACCTTAAAGGTACATGCGCACGTATGCTTATCACAGCACTATTCACAATAGCAAAGACGTGGAGTCAACTTAAATGTCCATCAACGGTAGATTGCATTAAAAAACTATGGTACATATACACCATGGAATACTATGCAGCCATAAAAAATAACAAGATAATGTCCTCTGCAGGAACATGGGTAAAGCTGGAGGTCATTATCCTAAGCAAACTAACATAGGAATGGACAACCAAATACTGAATGTTCTCACTTATAAGTGAGAATTAAACTTTGAATAGAAGTGGGCACAAAGAAGGGAACAATGGCCACCAGGGCCTACTTGAGGGTGGAGGGTGGGAGGAGGGTGAGGATTGAAAAAGTACATATCCTGTACTATGCTTATTACCTGGGTGACACAATAATCTGTACCCCAAAACCCTGCACCAGGCAATTTACCTAAATAAGAAACCTGCACATGTACCCCTGAATCTAAAATAAATGTTTTAAAAAGCATCATATTATATACCATAAATATATAGAATTTTTGACAATTGAAAAATAATTTATAAAACAAATAGAAGAAATTAAAATGAAATAGTTATTTCTAGAACAACAAAAAAGGAGCCATTGAAGACTTTCACCATACTGGTGGTCCAAGAAGAAAAGCTGTATATTTAGGTGAGAACACTAGAGTATCATTGGTTTCCCTATCATCTGGGAAGCTTTTCATACATTTCTCCAGCACTATAACTTGAAAGTCTCCTAGCAATACAGATTGATAACATGTCCTCCCATTTCTTCCATGAATAGCAGTAAAAAACTGTAGGCAGTGGGTTCCTGAATTCTCTAGGGAGAAGTGTCCAAAATCCAGTTAAATTGAAGCTACTTGTTCATTACCTTCAGAACATTAAGGACATTAAGATATAATTATTTCCAAGAATTCAGAAGAAAGATGGCAGTGTAGAATACCTCCATGAGCACTTTCCTTGAAAACACACTTTTATGAGTTACTGCCTCACTAACAGAACCATCATGCTAGAATTTTGTGTCACTTTCAAAAGGCAGTTTTGACTTCGGAAACTGGAAAGAGAAAGAATGATCAAGACGGGGAAATGAGGGTGACAACTAGAGACAGACTCTCTAGGGCTAAATAACTCAGTTTTTATCTCATCTGAGTTCACTTCCTTGACTTCTATAAATAGAAGAGATTATAAGACTTTTAGCTACTATCTCTTAAGAAGCTTATCTGTTGACTTCCTAGATCTCATTGGCAGAAATACTACTCTATATTTAGCATTTATAAACATTAATTTAGCCAATAAACATTTAGTGCTAGAACTTAATTTCTTGCCAGAATAAAAGTATCATTATAAATTGTCATGGAAGAAAGAGAAAATAATAATAATGCTTTGGAAAGTTCAACAATGAGAGTAGTCATGCAAAAAAAGAGTGATTGCTTCTGCTCTCCATGTTTAAGGGAAAAAGAAGGAACATCTTAATTACACTAACGGCTTAATTTTTTTCATGTAATTACAAGTTTAAAGTTTTTCTTTGCTGCTAATTTTGTATGAAACATATTTGTGCTAAATATTGCCTTACCATATACCTAGAGATGTTTATTTACACAGATGCAGGATATTTTAATTTAGGGGGAGGGGGTCATTGAAACCAGTCCCCAAAGCCAACTGCTCTTCAATTCCAATGGTAATTTGTGGCTTTTCTTAGATTTAGTGGTTACAAAGGAGCCTTAGACTCTGTTGATCATAACCGATACTACACCACTATTTTAAATGAAATTTAAAAAAACAGAGTTCTTACTCTCGTAACCCATTAAATATTTTAGCTCACTTTAAGTGGATAGAGCAATGGCGGCAAGGAAGAGGTGGAGGGAATCTGGGTGGTATCACACAAGTGAAACCAGATTTCCGCAGAAGGGAACTACTTGTCCGGTTTCTTTATCTTTGCCAAGAAAACAAACTTGGGTCTGCATATAAAATAAAATAAGGTAGTAATAAAATAAATTAGGCAATGAGCCAAGTTTAGAATTCATTTTCTTCTCGTTTTATTTCCATGCGAACATCTATGCAGAAATATTTACGTGAAGACAAAATATTCCATTGTATATGTAACATATAATTTATTTAATGAAATATATGTAAGTTTCTGCAAACAGCGACATTCATACAGATGCTGTTCATGTCACAAATCATAAAAAAAGAAATATTGATCAAGAATAAGGGAATGGGCTCAGAAATGTAAACTTTCAGGATGTTTGAAAGTCTCATTTGAATGATATCCTAGCGATGAGATCTTTCATACGTTATCTTCACTCTCCTCCACAACTAGCTGAGTATTCTATGAAAATAAGAAAAACATAAACAGAAAAATCTCAAAATAGTGTCAGTTTATATTCTGACGAAAAGGAACAAGGTAAAAAAAGGCCAAGAAAGTAAGTCTTAGATAGGTGCACATATGTGGGGAAGAAAATTCCCTTTTATTGCAATGACAGCTTAATCAAGGACTTGATTTGATCATTAAGATTAAATTTTTCAATTTAAATTGAGAAATTTTAATTTAAAATTTTAACTATGGAGCACAATTTTCTATGAAATGTTGTCTGAAAGCAGTGGCAAGTTTAATTTCATACAAAAGTCTTAAATGTCTATGAATGTTCAGCCTTTTTCTATAGAATCCCTAGTAGAGACTTGGGAACTTCTGTGACTTCTTTCGGATGAGGATTCAGACAGTATGAATATGACAATGTTTTATCAGATTTTGTTTTCAGGCTGATATAACTGGTATCATATTTTAACTTCCTTTAAAGAAATCATGTTTGACTCCATGGCTGAAGTATTCAGAAGCTGCCTGGCTAATTTTTTGGCTGAAAGAATCATACTTTATTTCATTTATTTTCGTTCAGTGTACAGAAAACATTTCTTGCCATAGCTCTGTCACTAGCTTTCCCCACTTAGCTAAGAAGGAAAAATAACATATTGTTATAACTGGCATATAGTTGTAGCTTTTTTAGAACTCCAAATATTAATTAGACTTGACTAAAACACAAGAGTTCCTGAAATGAAAATTTTGTTGGAGTCGAGACAACAAAAAGGTTAAAGAGTTAATAAGCATTAAGATTTAAAATAGCCCAGGACAAAATTTCTAAAATGCTATAAAATATTTAAAATTATATGTTTAAAACCTATTGCTTAAAATCAGTATGTTGAAGAGTTATCTGCACCCCATTTTCATCACAGCACTGTTCACAATAGCCAAGACATAGAACCAACCTAAATGTCTATCAATAGACAAATGGATAAAGAAAATGTGTATATACATAATGGAATACTAGTCAGCCATCAAATAATGAAATCCTCTCATTCATGGAAACATGGATGAGCTTGGAGAACATTATGTTAAATGAAATAAGTCAGGCAGAGAAAGACAAATACTGAATGTTCTCACTCATACATGGTAGCTTAAAAAAAAGTTATGTTCATAAAAGTAGAATTGTGATTATTAGAGGCTGGAGAAAAGAGAGGTGTTGGGGTGTTGTGGGGGCAGGGGAATAGAGAAAGGATGCTTAACAGATACAAAATTACAGCTAGACAGGAGAAATAAATTCTAGTTTTCTATAGCGCTGTGGAATGACTCTAGTTAACAATAATTTATGGTATCATTTCAAACAGCTAGAAGAGAATTCTGAATGTTCTCAACATAAAGGATAAATGTTTTAGGTGATAGATATGCTAATCAATCATTACACATTGTATACATATATCAAAATATCACTCTGTACCTCCTACATGTGTGCAATTATTATGTGTCAATTAAAAAAATTAAAGATCCGAGCATCCAAAAAAAGTTAAGTAGTATGATATCACCATGGTAACCAGTGAGCATGAAAAAAAACCTACCTACTTCAACTGTATCCTTTACACATAACTACAGAATGGAGAGTAATCATATTGAGAAAAAAATGGAGAGATGAAATTTCATATAATTATACACTTGCTTGGGCCAAAGACAGTATACTGCTTGATAACTAAAAATGACATGTATAAAATATTTAAATGTTGGGTATAAAACTCTCTCTAAAATAGAAAATAAAGTCTGATTGTACATTGATAATATTCAGCAACATATACATGAGCCTGTAATTACATGTTTGTTTCTAAAAGTTCCTCTTACTGCATATCAATATTACTATTTAGACCCTTTACAATGAAAATCAAACACATAATTCCTATGTGAGAAAGGGATGTTCTAAAATTACTCTTCCATTACCTGATGCCCTAAAATGATTAAGGGTAGGGATAGACATACAGAATTACTAAAACACATCAAGAGTAATAGCAAAGAAATTTAGTGGTAAAATGCAAATTATTCTCTTTGAAATCAGGTAGAGAAAGGAAGTCCATCACAACCACATTTGTTTAACATTTTTAGTACAGTACAAGTAAGACAAGTTGGAAATATGCAAGGTATACAAATTAGAAAACACTACAGAACTATCTTTCACACACATATGTCCAAAAATATAGATGAGAAAATTCACTAGGAGTAATTGAGCTTAGCAGGTTTGCAAGATTTAAGATTCATGTGCAAAACCCAATTGCATTTCTAGCCACTAGAAACAAAGAATGAGAGAGTTATGAAAAACTTACCCTATTTACCTAAAAACCTATAATTATTCAATCAAAAGATGCAGAAGACCTTTAATATTAAATTATAAATCTTTATTGAAAAAAGCTAACTAAAAAGAGAGTGAGGAAAACTTAATATTGTAAAGATTTCAAGTTCCCCCGGATATATACAAGATATTTTCAGTCAAAATTTCAACAAGTTTCATCATAAAATGTGACAATCTGACTCAATGGCATTAAAAAAAGAATCGAGTAACAATAATAACACAGTAGGAAAAGGAATAAGTGTTTGTCATGCAAGACATATAAACTTATCATAAAGCTACATTATTTAAGTGTAAATTTTTTTTTACACTACATTATTTATGTGTAAAGGATACAGTTGAAGTAGGTAGGTTATTTTTTCATGCTCACAGGTTGCCATGGTGATGTCATACTAAACTTTTTGTTGTTGCTCGGATCTTTAATTTTTTTGAATGACACGTAATAATTGTACATATTTAGGAGTCACAGAGTGATATTTTGATATATGTATACAGTATGTAATGATTGATTAGCATATCTGTCACCTAAACATTTATTCTTTCTTTGTGTTGAGAACATTCAGAATTCTCTTCTAATTGTTTGAAATGATACAATAAATTATTGTTAACTAGAGTCTTATTAAGTAGGGTTTGGGGAAATGGTTGGTTTACATGTGCCTGTCTCAGAGCGCATAGCCTTTTGCAGTTCTATATTGATGGTGGAAGTTCTATTCGACTTTTTACCTTCAGCAGGCTTTGGGCTTTGACTTCTGACTCAATTCTGACTTCTGACCCTTCTCAATTTGACTTCTGACCCTTCCCTGCCCCCTTGTGGTTGCCAGAGCTAGAGGCCAAGTTTGCCAACATAGGTAAATACCATCAGCACTGCATTCCAGTGCTTTGTTGATAATTATCTTAGTGCTATCTTCCCTGTGAATTTTGGCACAGTCACTCCTTAATATCTTGACAGCACGGCAATGTGCTGACATATTGTATTAGTCTGTTTTCAAGCTGCTAATAAAGACATACCCAAGACTGGGTAATTTATAAAGGAAAAGGTTTAATTGACTCACAGCTCCACATGGCTGGGAGGGTGGGAGGGGGCCTCACAATCATGGTGGAAGGCAAATGAGGAACAAATTCATGTCTTACATGGCAGCAGGCAAGAGGGCATGTGTAGGAGAACTGCCCTTTTATAAAACCATCAGATCTCCTGAGACTTATGCACTATCATGTGAACAGCACGGGAGAAAAACCCGCCCCCATGATTCAACTACCTCCCACCAGGTCCCTCCCATGCGGACTGCTACAATTCAAGGTGAGATCTGGGTGAGGACACAGAGCCAAACTATATCACATATGTTTCAGCAATGGAGCAACTAGAGTGAAGAAACAAACCAACTTATATATGGAATCATGATATTTGACAAAGATGACCTGGCCAATTACTGGGAGAAGGAGGAATTAGTCAATAGACAGCACTAAGCAATTGGCTTCCCATATGAAAAATAACAAAACGGTATTTCTATTCTATGCCATATGTAAAATGTTGTAGTAGAAACATTAAAGATTTAAATGTGGACTTCCATTTTAGTATTAATAGGCTATGTTGTTGAGACCAAGTCACTCCCTGAAAGCAACTAATGAAGCAGAAAAACTATTTTAGTTGTCATTGAAAACCGAACAGCAATGATAAGATAATAAGGAGTGACACTGCCAAAATTAATGGAGAAGCAGGAGCCAAGACAGCTAAGCAAAGCACCAGGACACAGGAACCACTTTTTTCCTGATGGCGATTGCATACATTGGCAAACTTGGTCTCTAACTTTGGCAACCACCAGGGGGCAGGGAAAGGATATTAACTGGGTTCGATGTCAAGGCCCAGTAGCCTTCCCACTGCTCCCAGTAGGAAGTCAAATACGGAAATTTCTCACATCAATATGGAACCTCCCAGGCTATACAATGTGGAGCAGCACTAAACCCCTTTCCCAACCCCTAGGGAACGGAATAGATCACCTTAGGAAGAGTGGGGTGGTTGTTATTGAAAAGAAAAAAAAAATTCCTGCAATAATGTTGCCATGGGTCGACTCTCACAGAACTTTGCGATCCAGCTTCTAGATACCAAGGTGGAGAAGGGTCCTTAAGCTGTGCATTTAGCTTGAAGCTTTCTGGGGCTACAATGTCCCCAGGTGCAGAGCAGAAGCAAATGCAAATCCTTACCCATGTGGTATCTGAGTTCAAATTTTAAAAAAGGTTCTTCTCCCATAAGACGTTACTTGCATCTACCCAAAAATTTATGCGACAAGTACAAGAATTTAAGGCATCTGTAAAGTGCTTGGTAGTCCATTTAGATGTGCTACCTGGAGGCAGTGCACAGCCTGGACAACTTTGTACTGCATCCCTAAAGTGGAATCTCATCCTATTTCTTAAGAATGCCCACAAATTGTGTTTAAAGGACAAAATAAGGTGCTATTTTGAAATTCAAATATAACAATAATCGCAACTAGGTAAATAAACTAAATGTTTCAGTTAAAAGTCAAAGATAATCAGGCCAGATTATAAACATAAACAAATTACATATTGTTTTCAAGGCATATACTTTGAGTATAAGAACACATAAAGGTTTAAAATAAAGGGGAGAAATATGTAAATAAATAACAAAAAATAACAGAAATAGACTAACTTTTTTTTATATTAGTAACACTTTTTGTGTTAAAGAGAATCACTTTACAATGATACAAGCTTCACTTTGCCAGGAAAGAAACACCGTAACCAGTTTAAATGATTATGGCTTAAATGACATAGATTTAAGATACATTAAAACCAAATTAAACAGAGATAAAATACACATTATTTACAATTGCATCAAAAGTTGGAAGTACTAAGGAACAAATCTAACAAAAGTGTAAAATATCTCTAAGAAAAAAATATAGAACTACTGAGAAATTTAAATAAATAAATAAATAAATGGGATGACAGACAATGTTCATGGAGTGAAACCTTAATATTGTAAAGATTTCAACTCCTCAATCTGATCTCTAGGTTTAATTCCATCCCAATAAAAATCGTAATGATTTTCCCATTGGTAGGCCTTGACAAGTAGATTCTAGAATTCACATAAAAGTGCAACAAATTATAAATAGACAAAAACTCTAATAAGAATCAAGTTAACTTTCTGTTCCTGTTATTAAGCCTTATTTTGAAGCTATAGTGATTAAGACAATGCAGAATGTGTGCAGATAGGTATGTAGATAAATGCAAAAATTTGTGATAACTCAGAAATAGACCATATTGTATATACTCATTGTATGACAGTGGTGGTACTGCATAGTTAGGTTAAAAAGTACACATTTTAAAACATTTTGTATTTTAATTTATCTTAATTAAAAATTATTTTATTTCATTTTTATTTTTAGTTATTGATTCTAGACTTTCAGAAATGTTGCAATATTAGTACTTTTCTAAATAGCCTTCACCCAGATTATCCAAACATCAAACTTTTTAGGATACACACCCACACATACACACACATACACACACACACTGAACAAAATAAAGATACAAAAGGATGTGCAGAATAGGACTCCATTTGTATAAAGTCTAAAGACAGATAAAATTGAACTCAATTTCTGAAAGGTAAATAGATAAAACAATAGAGGAAAAAAAGAAAATGATTCTCATCAAAGTCAGGATAGCAGTTACCTCAAAGAGGCTGATTATCATCAAAGTCAATATAGAAATCACCTCAAACAGGTGAAGCTATCACAGAAGAGGTATGGGTGATTTTTTTTTTCTTCGAGTGCAGGTAATATTTTATTTCTTTAATTAGATGATGTGGCTTACTTTACTGCACATATATGTTCAATTCATTTCTTCATGTAAAACACATTTCACCATAAAATTTTTAAAAACATTTAAACCAGAAAGAGTGGAACTTGAAACAAAAGGTAACTTTAGTTTTATCAATTCCATAACAATTTAGTTTTATCAATTACTTTAACAAGTAATTCTTTAATACTGGTAAGTTCTACTTTATTAAAAATTTCTTTAGTGAATACCATTCTTAAGATTTTACAGGAACCCTTCTGGCCTGAAGTTCGGTGGTACAGTACCCCTTTGTCATGTTATTTATTCAGAGTTTCATAAACAATTATTTGTTGCTTGGCTAAATAAGTGTCAAAAAATACATAATGCAGTTTTTGGCCTGGAGAAATTTACAAATAAACACAATATTAATTGATTATTAATTCATTAATAAGAAACTAATTAAAGGTAGGACCTAAAGTACAACCACTACATCTTCACCAGGCCACTCACCAACCTGTTGACTTTTGTACCCAAATACTTTACCCTCTTGACAATGGAGGGGAATTAGTTACACTCCTGTCTAAAGTCTACCCCCTCTAACCTGTGCTGCAAGAGCATTACTCAGCAATTATTTCTTTGGCTACTATATTATCAATTTTTTCTTTCAATTAGAGTCATGCTCATCATAAATCAAACATTTTGTTATTTCTTGCATCCTAAAAAAGCCCTGTATATCAAAAGTCCAGGAAAATATTCATTGTATTTAATTCTTACCATTTCACATCTTTTCAAACTCACTTCAACCAGGCTTTTGCTCTCAGCCCTCCACCAGAACTTCTCCTGTAAAGGTCCACAGGGACTCAGTGTTGCTAAAATCCATGATTAATGATTAGTCCTCATCTTATTTGATCTGTCACCATACATTTGACCCAGTTGATCACGCCTTCATCCTGGAAACACTTGCTTTGTTTGGCTTCCATGATGTCACTCTACCTTGTTTCTTACCTACTTTATTGGCTTCTCATTCTCAATTTCCTTTACTACATTTTTGCATTCCCCTCAATGAAGCGATGTTGTTTCTCTGGGGTAATACCTGAGGTTCATTGTCCCACGGCCATGTAAGTTTAATAGGCGAAAGAAAGAGAAGAGCTCTCCGTGCAGAGAGGGGTCCCAGAGAAAATGAGTTGCTGCTTCTGCAGCGAAATGCAGAAGGTTTTATGGACGAGCTTTAGGAGGCGGTGTTTGATTTACATAGGGCATAAAAGATTGGTCGGACCAGGTGTGCCATTTGCATAGCCCCTCAAGAAGCTGGCCACCCCACCCTAAACTTTTATTATGCAGATATGTTCTCTACCTGGCCGGCATCATGTTGCCTACCCCTTTACTGTACACGAAGCAACAAAGAAAAGGGAATAAGGGGCCTCCACGTTGAACACACCTGGCTTCCAGGTAGCCCTTTTCTGTTGGCACAGCTGCCGGCATTTCCCTCATGCAAGCTTCCGGCTTCCTTATCTTTTTTTGCAGCTCGATTTTTCAGGATGCTGTTTGTTAAAAAAGAAATGATTTGGCCCGGCACGGTGGCTCACGCCTGTAATCCCAGCACTTTGGGAGACCAAGACCAGCGGATTGCCTGAGCTCAGGAGTTCGCGACCAGCCTGGGCAACATGGTGAAACCCTGTCTCTACTAAAATACGAAATTTAGCGGGGCGTGGCTGCATGCACCTGTAGTCCCAGCTACTCGGGAGGCTGAGGCAGGAGAATTGCTTGAACCCGGGAGGCGGAGGTTGCAGTGAGCCGAGATCAGGACACTGCACTCCAGCCTGGGCGACAGAGCAAGACTCTGTCTCAAAAAAAAAAAAAAAAAAAAAGAAAAGAAAGAAAAGAAAAGAAAAAGAAATGATTTGGGGGCTGCTTTTTGTTAAAAGGGAAATTCCGCCGAGGACTCTCCTACCCTCATATCTGCCTAAATAATTTCTTTTTAGCTCCTGTATCATCAGTTTCTAAACATTGGATGGGTATGTCCCAGAATTCATGGTTATTTTTTTTTCTACCTACTTACACTCAATGCCTTGGTGATTTCATCCAGTAGCATGGTGTTAAATCACACCTACATGCTAAGGATGAGCACATTTTTACATTTTCAGCCCAGGGTGCACCACTGAATCCCAGACCTCCGTTTGGATGTCTACCTAACAGAATTACTGAGATTTCTCCAGTAGCGTCCTACCGTCTCACCATCTCAGCCAAATCAAAACTACATCCTTCAAATACCTTCATGTCTTTCTTAATCCCTCCCTTTCTCACACCCCATATCGAATTTGTCAGTATATGCTGTCAGCATTTTCTACTCTCTGTAAACAGTATTTATATAATATTTTCTTGGATTATTTCAGTCGACTCTACCTCCAAGTTTCTCTCCTTGCTTCATCTTACTCTCCCCTAGAGTCTGATCTCAATACTGCAACTGGTAGGATGTTTCTAAAACAGATTACGCCTCTTCTCGTCTCAAAACCCTCAAAATGATTTCACACTTCACTCAGAGTAAAAGCCAGTCTTTTGTTTGTTTGTTTGTTTGTTTTGCTTTTGTTTTGTTTTGGTTTGGTTTTTAAACTTTTATTAAGTTCAGGGGTACAAGTGCAGGTTTGTTACATAGGTAAACTTGCGTCATGAGGGTTTGTTGTACAGAAGCCTAGTACCGTTTGTTATTTTACCTGAACTTCTCCTTCCTCCCACCCTCCACTCTCCGAAAGACCCCAGTGTGTGTCACTCTCCTCAATGTGTCCATGTGTTCTCATCATTTAGCTCCCACTTATAAGTGAGAACATGTGGTATTTGTTTTTATGCTTCTGTGTCAGTTTGCTAAGGATAATGAAAAGTCAGTCTTAAACAGCCTACTAAGCATCTATGATCTTGGCTCTGAAGTCATTTCCCACTTGCTCGCTTTAGTAGAGCCAAGCAGACATACAACTCTTTGCTGCTTGGAGCACGGGCATGACGCCTCCTTAACACCTTTGCACTTCCTCCTCTCTGGCCTGAAATATTTTTCTCCCAGATTTCTGTGTGGTTCATTCTCTTGCCTCTCTTGTTTAAATATCAACTTCTCAGGGAAGAAACCTACTGTAAAATTGCAAGTCTCCACTCCCGGTACTCACAATCTTCCGTATCCTGCTTTATTGTATCCCTGAACACTGACCAAGATATAACACACAGTATCGTTTCCTTATTCACTGTTAGTTGCTCCACCCTTAAATGTATCTGTTATTTTCACTGATGTTGCCCCAGCTTCTAGAAGAATGTCCAACATATAGAAGATGCTTAAGATATAGTTGTTCAATGAATTAATTGTATTGCTTTATATAAACTGTAAATCCTTTAAAGTTTGGAGATGGGAGAGAAAAGTATTAGGCAGAGGAGTTAAAGAGTTTTGAACATATACAGTTCCTGCTTGCATTTTACATGCCATATGTGGTTGAAATCAAGCAGAAAGAAAAACACCCACATTGGATGGATGGGATGAAAAATAGGCAGAGTTTAGAAGAAACCATCTTCCTTCAGAATAAGATTTATGGTTTCTAGGCAGTCCCTCATCACCATTTTGGGGTATAAAATAAGAACTTTTTTTACTAAGATTCTGATTCTCCAAGAATACTTTTCCTTCCTAAGGTTCTCTTGCCATGATAAATCAAAGACTATGAACAGATTAGCTGTGGCTGAGAAGCCTAGTTGTCTACCTGTATCTGGGACTTTTTTCTTCTACAATAATAACACCTTACTATTTGACTAGACACATGGCCCCCTTAAGTAGTAGCTATAGTTACATTCTCCCTGGAAACTAGGTGCAGTGATTAAGTTCTGGCCAATGGAATATAAGGAAAATTGTGTGTGAGACTTCTAGGGCACACCATTAAGGTGTAGGGGCATGCCCTTCTGCCCACTTTTTCAGCGTCATGCTGCCTGGAATACAAAGTTGTAGCTGGGGCTTAAGGAGCCATCCTGGACTACGAGGTATTAGTCCATTATGAAAAATGGCAGAGCAACACAATGGAAAATTCTAGGGTCTCGAATAATTGAGAAGCTGCCAAACCAGCCTCAGGCTTTACTTCTGTGAGAGCAAGAAATAAACCTCTGTGTTTAGGCCACTGGTAATTGGGTTTTCTGACATTTGCTGTTACCACTAAAATTGCTATCTGCTTATCGCTAAAATAGAAGGTAGTAATATTTATTATTACTAAAATCTCCAGTTATCCCAAAAATGAAATTTCTTCTCTCAGATGTCATATAATAATATAAAGCCACTGGTAAAACCCAGTTACTAGCAAAGCTGAAAGAACACTGAACTTGGAGTCCCGACAGGCTTAGAAACCTCCCACTGTTCCAGCATTAACCCTTTAGTTGATAGATTTTAGAGAGGTTGGGGTGGTCCTATGGGCATGACCAGACTGGCTTGGCCAGGCAAGGAGTTTTCAGGGAACTTGGAGAAGGGGCTCTTTGTCAACCAGTCTGGAAGGTTTCAATATCTTAGCAACTTGAATATCTGTGAAAGTGAGGATCATTTCACTGTCAACTTCCTCTTCCTCTAATAATAACGCCATGCAAGTGAAGTAGGAATTCATCTCCTTTGACTTTTATTTATGTGTTTTCAGTAGAAGTAATCCCACTCTAGGAACAGGGTGGAATACATGACACTAGGTAAAATCTGTCAGAAAACCCAATTGCTGAATCAATCTCAAGGTCAGTAAATTAAAAACCCAGTAAATATAAGACACATTATCACTGCTAAAGAAGCGCGATCTATGGCCATTTATATTCGATGTTTTAGTGACATAAGCTTGGAACTGCAGGACTCATAAGTGGAGCTTGAGAATGAAGCCAACACAGTAGAAAGAATATCATTCAGTGCTGAGATGCTGGGTGCCAGTGACATCTCCCGAATCCTGAATTCAGCCATACCTGAAACCAGGAACTATCTATGGACTTTTAAATATTCAAAATAAGAATTTCTCTCTTTCCTCTTAATCTAGGTTGGGTTGATTTTCTGCAATTTGTAACTGAACCATTCCTACCTGGTATAATGTACAAGAATTTTAACCTTCAGATGCATCAGAAAAGAGCGTTCTAGATAGAGAATAGAATGGGCACAGATGCAGAAAGGTAGGCATTATTTTTGTAAAAAAAAGTCTTATAGATAACTGGGAGTAGTTTGAAGAACAAATTAAGACAGGAAAAATTACAGAAAACAAGATAAATGAAAATACTACTGAAATGTTTTAGTTGAGTTGATGATGTGGCTATAAATTAGATAAATGGCAAGTAGAGCCGCCATAAGGTGAAATAGATGATGAGAACAAGCTTAGTACATTATTAAGGGTTTGAAGTTTTATTGTAGCTGGTGTTTAAACCCAGTGATTTCAGTTTCCCATCTCTCTGCTTTGACTACCCAACAACAACTTCTTCTAATGTAGAGAAGTATCTGCCACAGAAGGATATCCTAGCCTATGCTAAGGAAGATGTGCAGATGTATCACACACCAAGAGGTGGTCACTAAGTCAGTCTGCTACAAAAGCACTTCAGTACTGCCACGTAGAGAAGAGATGAGAGAGAAATGGAAAGGGGTAATTTAAAGTTTAATAGAATAATTAAAAATTCACTAAATAATTAGAAGATTAAAAAAGACAAAGAGAAGAAAATGAGAAAGGAAAAGTGAAAGACTGACCAAGATGGTTCAACCTCCAAGAAGTGTTATGGGGCCAAATGAAAAATGAAAATATAGGCCTTTTAAAAACATAATGTAAATTTCAAGGTGGCAAGAGCAGAACATTAAATAAATCCCGGGGCCCTTCTAAGTGCAAGACCCTATGGATGGCACAGGTTTCCCAACCATGACGTGGCCCTTGTCCAGGAATGGAATGGATGAAGGCAGTTTTTCTTAAATAAATCTTCTGATACATAAATAAAACTTGTTTTGAAAAAAATCCTAAAGGTATTTCATTGGCATGATCGAACTGCCGTTTGCTAGTTCAATTATGAGAAAGGAGAAGGGTTGTTTTTAAAAAACAAAAACAAAACTTGTTTATGAGAAAAGATACAATAATTCTTTATTTTACTCTACCTACACATTGCAGCTGACCACCCTGTATTCAGTAATAAAACCCCTCATATTTAGCTCCTTAAACTGTCTAAACCCAAATCTTCCATTTGGGCTATGCACTAGCATGTTCAAGAATTGAAATTTGGATATTTCTAAAGGTAATTTTAAATAGTTTTAAAATATATATTCACATTAACTATTTCAGAAAGACAAAACAAGTTTGATATTTAAAAAGAAGGAAAATGTTTTCACTTAGCTAGTTTTTTGTAATATTTTGGAAGTTCTTTGTTAAAGGTTAGAAATATTGAAGCTTGTAGAAAGTTTTTATATCTGGAAGGATTAATAAAAGGATTTTAGATACATTTTACCAAAATACACAAATGTCAGCTCCCTTTTTTATACAATTCCATTTCTATGAAAACCATTTGAAAATTATTTCTCTTTTATAAAAGATTAAATTCAGTGTTTTATTGCCTAGGCTCATCCATGTATTCATTCTGGAGAGTTACAAATGGAGGTTGTGGAACCAGAATATCTGGGTTCAAATCAATAACTTTGTCACTTACAAATGGAACTGGGTATTCCAATCAACTTTAATTTTCTTATTTTTGGGAAAGGAATAATGATAGAAGTAATCTCTTCAGGGATTTGTGATGGCTATATGGGTGAATAGATGGAGAGCAGTGAAAACAGTGCATTGGAGACTGAAAGAACTGAATACATGCAAAGATTATTATTCCTTTATCCATTCAACAAATACTGAGTCTAGACTATAATCCATGAACTTGGTTAGTGATGGGCCACCAAGTGTAAACAAGACAGACATAGTTCCTTCTCAAGTAGAGTGCACAATAGATCTCACAAGGAAGATCAGCAAACAGTTATAATACTGTGTGATAAACCTTTGTATAGAGGAGAGTATCATGCTATGAAGCACTCAACAGAAACACCGAATGCATCTGAGATGGTTGTGTTGCCTTGGAGAAGTGTGTTAGAAGATTATTCTTTTAAGAAGAATATGCAGCTGAGTTTAAATTAATAAGTGGTAGTCAGATAAAGGAAAGAAATAAAAATATCAAGGCAAAGAAGACTAGCAAACAATATGAAGGAGTGAATAGCACAATCAAAGAACTGGGAGATATTTAATAGTGCATTGCTTATTCTGGGCAGTGGTAATCTAGTGAACTACAGAGATAAGCAAAAGCCAAATCGTAACAGCATGCCGAGGGGTTTTATTTCTATCCTAAGGAAGATGTGCAGATGTATCACATACCAAGAGTTGGTCACTAAGTCAGTCTGCTATAAAAGCACTTCATACTGCTATGTAGAGAAGAGTTGAGAGGGAAATGGAAAGGGGAAATTTAAAGTTGAATAGAATAATTAAAAGTGCACTAAATAATTAGAAGATAAAAAAGACAAAGAGAAGAAAAGTGAAAGACTGACAAAGATGGTTCAACCTCTAAGAAGAGTTCAAGAATAAGGGACAAATAAGAGAAGAGAAATAACACAGAATTGAAGACAATGAGTTTCTAGATTAAATGACATCACCTTGTATACAGCAGACTAATTTAAAGAAAACAGACCCACATCCAGTTGCCTTATAATAAAATTCCAGGACACAAAGAATTAAGAAAAAAAACCCTACAAGCTTTTAAAGAAAACATAAGTCACATCAAAAAGGAATTATGAGTGAGATTACTGGAAGCTAGAATACAGCACAAATATATCTTCAAAATTCTAAAAATAAAATTCAAAACTTATAATCATAGCCAAACCATAGGAGTGTAATAGTAAAATTGAGATATTTTCAGACCTGTCAACTCTCAAAAAAATGACCAGCCACGCTTCTTTTTCTAGGAAGCTTCTGGTGTCACACTCCAAGGCATTAATTTATAAAGAAGGAATATGTAGGAATTTATGCAATATGGAAGATGTGAAGAGAGCTCCCAGAATGATGGTGAAGAGAAGACTTAGTAAGATGGCTGTTGTAGCAGGCCTAATTAATAGCCTATGCAAGTTAAGGCAGAAGAAAAGAGAAAATACACACACACACACACACACACACACACACGAACCCCAAGATGAGAGATTATATTGGAATATTCTGAGAGAATATTTATAGTTCTTCTCTGAAAATCGTTGAAGCTGAATAAGTGAGAGTTACATAGAACAAAATACAAAGAAAAACAAAACATGGACAACTATCGTCAGGAGAGTATAAACATGTGCAAAACAGGATGAGACATCTCACGCTTGTAATCCCAGCCCTTTGGGAGGTTGAAGCAGGAGGATCGCTTGAGCCCAGGAGTCCAAGACCAATCTGGGAAACATAGGGAAATTCTGTATCTACAGATCATTTAAAAATTAGCTGGGTGTGGTGGTGTGTATCTGTGGTCTCAGCTACTCAGGAGGTTGAGGTTGGAGGATCAGTTGGGCCCAGGGGATTGAGGCTGCAGTGAGACATGTTCATGCCACTACACTCCAGCCTGGGTGACAGAACAAGACTCTGTCTCAAAAAAAAAAAAAAAAAAAGGCAAAACAGAACAAAGTGTAATCTTAAAGTACTGGGTAGCTCGGCTATCAGCAAATTATGCCTAGTCATAAAAAGGTGGGTATTGACTATTCATTTAACCAACAATCTTGGGAACAGGAGGGAAGGAGAGAAGAGACATGCCTGTTGAGGAATGCGTGCCAGAGTTAATTCTTTGTCAGCTCTAGAAGAAAGTGGAAATATAATGCATAAAGTTAAAAAAAAGATAGACATAGAAGCATTTTCTTTAGAAATATAAAGATCAATACCATTAGAAACAGCTAAAGTGGCTGCATCTGTTGAGTAGGAATTAAAGGTGAGGACAAGCGGGGCAAGAAACAGCTGTTTTTCATTATAATCTTTTAGTACTATTCAACTTTTAAAAACTTTTTATTGTGAATTATAACATACACACAGAAAGCTGCATAAAACACATTTGGACAGTTTAACAATATAATAAATGTCTGTGCAACCACCACCCAGGTCAAAAAGTAGAACATTGCCAGCCCCTGAAAGCACCCTCAACCCCTAAACCATCTACTCTCTCTGAGCAAAACCTCCTCCTAACCTTTAAAGCTGATATTAATATGACTTCTGTAATAATAATTTTTGCATTTATTTATATTTTTATCACTTACGTATGCATCCCTCAATGATATAGGTTAGCTTTTTGTGGTTTTGACTTTGAATTTTTGAGTGTGCATAGACTTTACTTAAATAAAATTTTAAATTTTTAATGCAATATTTTGCTCCTATGAGTACGAGAACCACCTCCACTATAAAGAATTATTGAGTACACTGGCTTTCCCACATTGATATTTTCATATGAAAAAGGTATTATTACTCATTTCTCCCAGACGCTTGTAAATGTACCTTTACCTTGGAACTGTAAGAAATGGCCACAGATCTACACAAGGAGTATTTATATTTCCACAGCATTAATGACCAAGGCATGTTTTTAATATTGTATATGTAAAGCTGTGCTAAAATACAGTTTTAACAATAATTTCAATGAGCCATACATCATTAAAAGGAAAAGAAGACTCTATGACTTGAAGAAAGAATAATGACTAAGACAGGTCACTTAATAAAAAAAAAAGAATAGCATTTAATATTTAGGTCCATACCATAAATCTGGTATTATAAAACAGTGGTTTCCTCCCAGAGCAAGTATCAGAGTTGACTTTGTCCATTTGAAAGCAATTCCCGTAAATGCCATCCTCTTCACCATAGAAAGTAAATTAGAATGTCGGATATGGAGAAGTGGTAATAAGCATAGATATTCTAACAAACAAATAATAGATAATATCCACAGGAATATCAACAGACTTTTCAGCCCATCTTATTCTAATGTATTCATTCCTCATCTTAATATGCTATCCCAGAGCAGAAGTGTGTTACTGATTTAGGAGCGGAAAAAGACACTCCCAACATCTTGCTCTACCCCTGGCTTCTTTTCCTATCTTTTTCTGACTTGCTGAATGCCTCAACTGTGTAAACTGAAAGTTTCTCATTTCAGACTTGGTGGAATCTGCTCACTCCATTTCCGACTCTGGCCCTCTTACCTGCACTGGGCTTCAGTGGCTTTGTATTATAAGGTGAACTACTTCATTGCTACCACTTCTCCACCTAGCCAAAATGTGTTCATTGGAACGTATTCTGGACCGTGGAACAAAATGTAACAGGACATAGTACTGCCATTAGTGGAGGCCAGAGATGTAGAGAAAGAGCCAGCTTGGCTGCGTCAAGGGTGAGTCCTCTTACTGTGGCCAGGGAGGAGCTTTGTCTCGCGGTCAGAGCACAGACTGGGAGCCATGACTCACGGAGTTAGTTCCTGACTCCCCTCTGACTCACTTCATGACGTTGAACGAGTCCCTCTAGGAGTTAGTTCCTGACTCCCCTCTGACTCACTTCATGACGTTGAACGAGTCCCTCTACCTTCTGGGTCTCACTGGCCCCATTTCCTCCAGTTCTTCTGGTCTCCCTGAGATTGCAGACATTTGTATTAATTTACAATTGTGCTAAATACAGTTTTAACAATAATTTCAATGAGCCATACATCATTAAAAGGAAAAGAAGAGTCTATGACTTGAAGAAAGAATAATGACGAAGACAGGTCACTTGATTAAAAAAAAAAAAAGAATAGCATTTAATATTTAGGTCCACACCACAAATCTGGTATTTTAAAACAGTGGTTTCCTCCTAGAGCAAGTATCAGAGTTGACTTTGTCTATTTGAAAGCAATTCCTGTAAATACCATCCTCTTCACCCATAGAGAGTAAATTAGAATGTCGGACAATTGTATTAAATTAAACCCTTCAGGAGAGCCATTTCAGAAGAAATATTGGTTCTGAGAATCAAGGGAGTTATTTGAGTCAGGGTGTGGAAATAGAGATACTAAATGACTACTAACCTGTGTGTGTTTGCTAGTTTTTCTTTTTGCTTTTTGAGGTCTACCTAATTTACTTCCGCCGGTCAGTGCTACTTAAGGCTACTTGGTGACTTTCACTTAAGGCACATTGTTGATTAAGTTGTACCTGCAGGCTGGCCGGATACCTCCGTGACCATCTCATTGCCTATCAAAAAAGGATCAAGCTGAGATTCAAGGCCTTCCACACTTAGATCCTAATCCACTTCCCTGTTTTATATCCTCTACTCTTTTATGTGTATTTTATGACCTAGATGATCTGATCTCTTAGCTATTTTTCAAATAAGTAGTATGCCCTGAAAGCAAAGACTTTGTTTTATTTGACCTCATAGTCTGGGATTCAACACAATACCTTGTGGATTGTCATTGGTTAATAGATGTTGGGTAAATGAGTAAATGAATGCAGAAGTGAATAAATGGATGGATTCAGTTTCCTCCACCCCAAATGTCTTTAAAATATAAATACTACCTGTGTTTTATGGCCCATCTCAAATGACACATCCTCCACAAAGCCTTCCTTGACTCTCCTGTGGGAAATGGCTTTCCCTCCTTTTTTACACCACTTTATCTGCTCTGGTGACATAATGCCAAATATTGAATTTACTTTTATATATCATAGCACCCACACCAGAGTCCCTTTAAGGGAAAGAACAAAATGTTTTTAATGTTGTGCTTTCACTAGTAGCATTTTAATAATTATAGTCATATACCGTATAATGGTATTGTGGCCAATCACAGACTGTATATATGACAGTGTTTCCATAAGATAAGTAAACCAAAAAATCCCTTTTGCCTAGTGACATTGTAGCCATCCTAAGGTCCTAGTGGCAATGCATTGTTCATGTATTTGTAGTGATGCTGGTGTAAACAGACCCACTGTGCTGCCAGTCGTGCAGAAGTATAGCACATACAGTTATATGTAATACATCATACTTGATAATGATAATAAATGACTATTATATTAGTCTGTTCTCACACTGCTAATAAAGACATATGGGAGACTGGCTAATTTATATAGGAAAGAGGTTTAATGGACTCAGTTCCACATGGCTGGGGGGGCCTCACAATCATGGCGGAAGGCAAAGAGGAGCGAAGTCACATCTTACATGGTGGCAGGCAAGAGCACCTGTCCAGGGAAACTCCCCTTTATAAAACCATCAGATCTCATGAGACTTATTCACTATCATGAGAACAGCATGGGAAAGACCTGCCCCCATGATTCAATTACCTTTCACCCGGCCCCTTCCATGACACGTGGGGATTATGGAAATTGCAATTCAAGTTGAGATTTGTGGCAGGGGACAGAGCCAAACCATAGCAACTATGTTATTGATTTATGTATTTACTATACTATACTTTTTATTGTTATTTTAAGATATACTCCTTCTAATTATAAACAAATAATATTAACTGTAAAATAGCCTCAGGTAGGTTCTTCTGGATGTATTCCAGAAGAAGGCATTGTTATCATAGATGACAGCTCCTTGTGTGCTGTTGCCCCTGAAGACCTTCTAGTGGGACAAGATCCAGAGGTAGAAGATAGTGATGGTCCTGACCCTGTGTAGGACTAGGTTGATATGTAGATTTGTGTGTTAGTTTTTAGTTTAAAAAGTTAAAAAATTAAATATTAAAAAAAGCTTATAGAATAAGGATATAAAGAAAGAAAATATTTTTGATCACTGTGCAGTATATTTGTGTTTTAAACTAAGGGTTTATAAAAGGGTCAAAAAGCTTTTTAAAAAAGTACAAGTTTATAAAGCAAAAAAGTTATAGCAAGCTAAAGTTAATTTATTATTGAAGAAAAGTTTTTATATAAATTTAGTATAGCCTACAGTGTATGGCATTTACAAAGTCTACAGTAGTGCACAGAAATGCCCTAGGCCTTCAAATTCACTTACCATTCACTCACCAACTCACCCAGGGCAACCTCCAGCCCTGCAAGCTCCATTCATGACAAATGCCTTATACAAGTGTACTTTTTTTTTTATCTTTTATACCATATTTTTACTGTACCTGTTCTATGTTTAGATATACAAATATTTATCATCGTGTTACAATTACCTGTAGCATTCAGTAGAGTAACATGCTGTACAGATTTGTAGCCTAGGAGCCATAAGCTGTACCATATAGCCTAGGTGTGTAGTAGGCTGCACCATGTAGGTTTATGTAAACTCTGATGTTCACACAATAACAAAATTGCCTAACAACATGTTTCTCATAACGTTTCTCTGTTGTTAGTCAACATATGACTGTATTCTTTGAATCAAGCATGTGTTTGTGTGTGAACACTTATGCCTTGAAAATCCTATACCCCTCCCCTTGCTTTTTTGCAATTATTCTTCATCTCTTGATATCATTTGTAATTTGGGAGCTCTGAGATGTAAAGTCAAGGGTTTCTACTCTGTCAAAGAAGGAAATAGGCCCAGAGCTCTAGCCTTTAGACACGAGATTTCTTTGGGTCAAAAGTTTTGGGATGAACAAATTTAATTTAAATGTATTACTGAAAACACAATGCACTTTTGGCATCTTGAACTGGCTGGTGTTTGTTTTCTTGGAAGTCATTAAGAAATTTATATTTTTTTTTTTACTGGTTTTCATTCTTTTGATATATCCATTTGCTATATTTTAGGGCCTAAATTTTCCTAACTAAATTAGTAGTAAAAATCATAGACTCAAAAGAGGCCTTAGAGATTACACACCCTGATCCTTTCATATAACAGAGGAGGAAATTGAGATTCTGGGATAGAATTGGCTTGCTCCAAACAATGTAAAGTGAATGAGAAAAACTCAACTAACAATCTCATTCTTCTGGACAAGAAAGCAAGACAAACCACAAGACTTGTCAGCTGCTTTCTTACTCATGATGTGCCCTTGATCTTTGGTGTTTTCTTTTCTATTTTCTTAATTTGAGGGATTAAAAATTAGTCTTTTGGTTTTAGCAGTGCTCCTGTGGGGGTCTAAAGCCTGTGGTCCTAATGCTTCTCATATCCATTAGAAAAACACTGTCAGAAGGAGTCAGTGAGCATATTCCAGCTCTAGCTGAAAAGCTGGGCAATAAATGAGAAAAGCAAGAGTGTGAGTTTTGACTTTCTTGGAAGGCTCATGATATCTCGGGCCAGATTTGCATCCTTCGTAACTCCACAAGGGAACTCCCAGAAGACATATATTTTCTTTCCTTGACAAATGTCTCAAATTAAAGAGCAACAAAGGAAAATGGCTGAAGCACCAAGGGTGTGATATTTTAAGAGATTTAACTCGGTCTTTGGCTCTTCTGAGATAAATAGGTCACAGTTCTCTATTGGGAGAACATTTGTCGATCAATTTGTATAACAGTAGGGCTCCAAGGGCACTGCTAACGGGGTCATCTATTTATCTGAGGTTTAGTGATGAAATAGATGGATTTTCTCTCCAACCTAATTCATTTTTTAAAAAACGTTTCCACTATCTTTTACTTTTCCCCATGGTAGACGATCCTCTTAAGGGAAGCTCAGTGGAGAAGGTCAAACTCCTAGCATTGATGTATGTTCACATTACTCATGTCCAGGAAAGATAAAGAATCTTGTAGGCAATTCATAGAGCAGAGTGAAGACAATTAAGTGGATCAAATGGCATGCTTATTAGCCCTCAAGGCGATGACATCGGAAAAGAGCTCCTTTTTTTCCCTCTCCAGAATAAGGTGCATTAATATTCTTACTCACTGCTATAATATACTCTTATTAGAATAGAAATTACTACATCTAAAATGCTAAAGTTCTTTAGAGGCACTGTTTCCACAGAGTCTTTTTGTCTGCCTGAGCAAGAATGGTGATATATTTCATTTAAGGTTACGTTATATTTTCATTGCTACTTTTCTGCAAGTGCTGAAAGGATGCTGAATCTGAATGCAAACATGTTGTGTTGAATATAAATTCTAATAATTTTAGATGGGTGTTGAGAGGACTAGTGCAGGGATTTAAAATCTGATGAATGATAATGTGACTGATCTGATATCAAAGATTACAAGTGAAGTATTTAAAAACGATAAAAAGGTGTCCTTTGCTTCAGGACTTTTTTTTTAACTACCAAGGGACTTTACTCATTTGCCTTGATTCATTCAGTATATGTAATGAGGGTCCACTACCTTCTTTGTGGTTTTTTAGTTCCGTGTTTATTTCTCATTCCCAAGTCCATATCATTCTAGTTAAGAGTCTAATTAAAATGAGGCTAGTATTGATCTTTTCATTTTCAATATTTCTTCACATAATAAGGACCACTAGTTCAGCTCTCTGTCTCTCACATATTTACTCACCTTACAAAATACCCAAAGTGATGCAAAATTAGTCAATATACAAATATAATCATAGCAAACCTTTATAGCATTATATGGCAGACATGAGTAAAAATATTTTCCACCATGAACCCCAAAATTCTTAGTTCTATAACCCCATTCTATTGTGACCCTCTTCCTATGATTGGCAAAAATGAAGCCAAGTAATTTGGTACAAATAATGGGACATAGACAGGTTAAAAGTTTGCCCAAAAGCAAAGAAACAATCAGTGAAAGTGCTAGGATTTGAACCCAGACCTTTGATCTCCACAATCTATTCCCCTAACCCTACACTCTGCTGCCTCTCATGAAGAATCAACTTCTTGGTGATAATAGAGTTCAGATACTTCATTACACTTTCCTAAGTATATTAGAAATAATAATCACTGGATTATTGTAAGAAATTTAAAAGATTACATTAGTAACAGCATGATATTATACTGAATAGGATAGACCCAAAGTATTTCTAAAATTTATTTTTGATAATGCTTTTTCACATTTGGTTGAAAGATGCTTTATCAAGCTGGAAAAATGCCTAATCACAGGCAATTTATAAGCTAGAAAAGGAAAGTCCAATATTACTAATAAGATATAACATGATACACATGCATAGGATATAGTGATAATATTCTCTAATAACTCTTCATGTGTTATTATTGTTTTCTCAAGGCATTCATGTATAAATCTTTTAATAATTACAAGTCCAATTACTGTTGTTTTCTCAAAAATAGTCCTGTCTATAATACATGCTTTCTAAGAATCTAGACCATTCTACTTTTAGCAAAAGGGGAATTGAAGAAACAGTAGTTTGGAACATATCCTATGCTATCTTCTATAAAGTGAAAGCTTAAAATGTTCTACTATTTTAAATGATAATAAATCAACCCAGATGGAGACCACTATTTGTTATATTTGGAATTAATAATAATAAAACTAAATATTACCTTCTGCAATATTCAGAGTGGAATTTAATGGAAATAAAATGATCCTGTGAAGTTTGATTTTTCTACTTTGTACATTGTCATATTTTTGGAATGGAGATCTCTGTAAGATTACATTACTTGAAAAGTTGAAATAACTGCATTCAAGTGTAAATCAGACTATTTTTCCTGGAGCTAATATCACTTCTGTGGCCTAGTTTTACCTCTGCAGCCTTTTAAAAAAATGCACTCAGGCACAGTCTGCTTAAATTAAAGAAAGAAAAAGGAATTTTTTCCTTCTGCCTAAATTTGAAAACAGGCTTACTTGCAGTAAGAAAGAAGGGACTTTTACACGTTAGTAATGTCCTTCAAAATAGCGGGAAATTGTCAACATAAAGAAGAAAACTGGAAAAAAAAGTGAGGAGAAGTTGTTTTTACATCAACCACATTCTTCAGTTTAAACAAAAATACAGTAGAGTTTTTTACCAATCAACAGCTATCTTTCTTCCCAATATACTTTATGAATTAAAGAATAAATTTATTTGTTTCTCCATTTCAGTATTTCATGGGAACCTTTTAAAAACGAAACATGCATCACCGCTGTCGAAGGAAACCCTTAACTCCCTCTGGTGTTCAGCGGTCCCCATGTAACAGAAGGCATTTATTTTGTAATTTACTGAGACACTGCACTCTGCAAAACTGGACTAAAAGACGGACCTCAAGCTGCAGTCACTGCTGAGGTCCTGAAACAACATACCTGAGCTATATTTGGAAATTTCTGTGTAGACAAAACAACGTGCTCTTGGAGGGGAGGGTGTAATGAGGAGTGCAGGAGGCATTATCTGGTTTCACAGTCTATCGTGATCAGATCAACCGAATAATTGCCCATTATTTTCTTTGTAGCCTAGAGCCCAAGGCCGATGTATTTACTTTCAAAGCGAAATGAAGAATTGAGGATAAGTCAGCTCCCCAATGACTTTGTTCCTCATTCATCTCCATTCCAACATTTTTTTAACTTCCCAAATTGCAGTAACCTTAATGAGAGAGCTAGGCCTGAGCACAAAATTGAATTTCTTGACTTCATTTGTGATATAATTAGGAGTGACTCTGTACTCTTTAAGCAAGGCATTATAATGGCATACAGCCAGTGTGCGTGTGTGTGTGTGTGTGTGTGCGCGCGCGCGCGCGCGCCTGTGTGTAGGGATGTGAGTATTTGCATTCTATGTGCACAGGTATGCATGGCGAGGTGGTGGTGAAAGTCAACGTCTTGGAATGGGAAACTCTAACAACCGGAATGATAGCAGCAATAATTTTGGTGTGAAACAAATCATTTTAATGTGTGTCATGTCAGATAAATGTGGTAAATTTTAGATTTGATTTAAAGTAATTTCTGGGACTTCCATCTCAAACATTCCTCAAATGTACGTGTTTTTGTTCATCCCCCCAACTTCCAAAATTCTAGAACAGGTCCCAACATCAGTAACTTTCACAAATGGGACCATCTCCAACCCGGTTTATAGCTTCTTTTATAGCTTCCTCTATGCAATCCATCTTCCACAATGCCATCTGAGTGTTCTCCTCAAATAAAACTCTGGTCAAGTCTTTCTCCTGCTTGAAAACCCTATAGGGGCATCCTATCATCCACAGGAAATTCCCAAGATTCTGTGACCTGGCCTCTACTCACTTTCCCACCTTCACCTTGCTCACTACTTTATGAGGACAAATCACTGGTAAATTGCCCATATATGTACCCTGGTCTATTCCCTTCTTCATTCCATGTAATGTTTGCCCTCCTCTTCAAGTTCTCTGTAATCCAACGCCCTATCAGCGCCTCCATTCTTAGCCTTTCCATTGAAACTGAGCTTGTTTTCCAGCTCCTGTAGAGAATGTTTTCTGACTCTGGAGCTGTCACTCATCTGTGCTTCCACAGGGCACTATCTGTATTTATCACAGCATCAAACATATTAGATTGAAGTCAACAAGTATATACATCGTGTGTATATATGTATATATGTTATATATACATATATACACACCATGTTTATATTCATGTATGTGTATAAACATATATGTTGAGTGAAATAAATCATATACAGTATGTGTCTGTACCTATATATTTTATATATGTACATACAGTTATATGTAACATATATACAGTATACCATGTTTATATACATATATGTGTAAATATATTTGTACATACAAATATATACATATATCTTATGTATATACGTATACATATCATTCATATATATATAACATACACATACACACACACACGCACACACACATATATGTAGCTTATATTTCTGGGAACTTGCCCTGGGACTAGTGGTATATCAAAGGCATGGCATAAATTTTGCAAAGAAGTTTCTGTACCATTGACAGCTCCACTAACTCTTTGACACTTGCTGGATAATTCTTCAGCTTAATGAGCCCTCTATGTCAGATATCCCTGCAGGGACCACTTAACGTTTACTTTTGCTCTAGGCTAAAAACAGTATGTTTGAAGAAAAACAATAACATGACTTTCCCCTTGAAATTTTTATTTGGTTAAATTTTTTAGTTTCCAGACTGTTTTGAATGACTGAAACAGCCACTAAATAAGTGTACATTTTTGTATAAAATTTAGAGTGATTATCACAGATTCTATAGTCGCAAGGAACTATATATGTTGGGCTAAAAGTAGAATAGAAGCTAACATTCACAGCAGGAAGAACAATTATCAAATTTATGAGTCAGTTCAACTACAGTTGAAATACATGTCTCTTAAGACTGTCTTTTCCAGAAAGAAATTGTTATGATTCTGATTCTAATTGACTCTTGAAGGATGATCATTTATTATTTTAAGTAAGACCTTATGTCTTGAAGGTAGTTTAGGACATAAAAATGCTGACTTAGTCTAGTTCCCTGCTGTGAAAGGCAAAATTAGTGAAATTCAAACGTGAGGTCACCATTTTATCCTAAGCACAGTAACTTACATGAAAGCAAAGAGATAAAATTAATCTTGGCAGCATAATAATAAATAAAACCTTGTTAACGAATTGACTTCCTTTCTCCAGCTGCTGATGTGAACTTCAATATAGCCTACAATCATATATGTGCATCTTATCTGGAACTTTAGTAGTGTGGTTTATTCAATAAATATTTACTGAATATCTGCTAGACTTTCTTTTAGGTTTTTAGGATATAGATGTGGAAGAGGAAAACTAGGACTTTGAGGATTTCATATTTTAGTGGGAAAGGAAAATGGTGAACTCAATAATTAAAATGCAGTGATATCAATTATAACTTTATAAAATGTAGTATGAAAAAGCAGATTAGAAAAATCAGATTCAGCATAAAAGTACCAGGAAGGCGCTCTGGAAAAGATCCTTGTACATTTGAATCTAGTTAACTTGTAGAAATGAATATTTTATATATGTATATACACTTATATGTAACATGTAACATATATACAGTACACCATGTTTATATACATATATGTGTAAATGTATTTGTACATACAAATATATACATATATCTTATGTATATATATATACATATCATTCATGTATATATAACATACACACACACATATATGTAGCTTATATTTCTGGGACTCATGCAGAGAATATGTAAAGACGTTCCAGAAAGAGACAATGCAAGCCCCAGATGTTCAGAAACCTCTTAGAATATGGCACATTCAAGAAATGTCAGTCATGCAGAGAACATGAGAAGAGGTTCCAGGAAGGGACAAAGCAAGACTAAAATGTTGAGAGACCCCCGCTTAGAATATGACACATTCAAGAAACGTCAACTGTATAGCTAGAATATTGGATGTTTTGTAAGATAAGAGGAGGAGATGGAGTCATAGAAATAGGCAGATGTTAAATGATAGATGCAATGTTATACCGAGTAGTTTTGACATGATTGTGTCTAGGGAACAACAGAAGTATTGCACTTGGTAAAAATAATAGGATCATATTCATATTTCTTAACAGTAGTTTGGTGTGATAATCGAATTTACATTAGCAAAAAGAGGCAATTGCATTATTCTGGAGAAGAAATAATGAGGACAATAAAATATTAATATAGAGAAGGGACTAGATACAGGAGTCATCTAAAAGTAGATACACACACTACTTCTGTGTGTTTGTATGTGTGTATGTGTTTGTGTGTGTTTGTGTGTGTGTGTGTGTAGGGGTGTGAGCATTTGCATTGTACGTGCACAGGCATGCATGGTAGGGTGGTGGTGGAAGTCAACATCTTGGAATGGGAAATTCTAACAGCCTGAATGATAGCAGCAACGTGTTGGGTGTGAAACAAATCATGTTACCGTGTTTCATGTCAGATAAATGTTGTAAAGTTTAGATTTTATTTAAAGTAATTTCTCAGACATCCATCTCAAACATTTCTCAAATGTGTGTGTTACTCTTTATTCCAACTTCCAAAATTCTAGAACAGGTCCCAACATCAGTAACTTCCACAAGTGGGACCATCTCCAACCTAGTTTATAGCTTCTTTTATAGCTTCCCCCATGCAATCCATCTTCCACAATGCCATCTGAGTGTTCTCCTCAAACAAAACTCTGGCCATGTCTTTCTCCTGCTTGAAAACCCTACAGGGGCATCCTATCATCCACAGGAAAAACCCAAGGCTCTATGGCCTGAGAGCCTCATGGTATATGATGTGGTGATAATGAAGAAGAAATTGTCCCAGATTTCTGGCTTAGGAGATTTTCTGTATGTTAATGCCATTTCCACAAGCTTAGGAATAAAAGGAATCACATTTAAAGAGGCAGGAGAAGTAAGAGTGACTGAATTGTAGACATTTTGAGGTTCAGTTACTTTGGGGACTTTCAGTTGACCAAGTTGGTAGAAAGAATAGATACAGTAGCTTAAAGTTTGGGACAAGAGTATGGGCATATCAGTACTAGTTGAAGTCATGGATGTGGGAATCACTCTAGAAAGACATGTAGAATAAAGCATTCTACTTTAACCATGTGGGACAATGGAGAAAAAGCACAAGATTGTCACCTTCTGCAAAGAGCTTATATTGTTCTGTTCTTACACTATAAAGATACTACCCGAGTCTGGGTAATTTATAAAGGAAAGAGGTTTAATTGGCTCACAGTTCCACATGGCTTGGGAGGCCTCAGGAAACTTAACAACCATGATGAAAGGCAAAGAGGAAGCAAGGCACTTTCTTCACATGGCAGCAGGAGTGAGAAGAGTGCAAGCACAGAAAGCTGCCACTTTTAAAACCATCAGATCTCATGAGACTCACTCACTATCATGAGAACAGCATAGGGGAAACCACTCCCCATAATCCAGTCACCATCCATCAGATTCCTCCCTTGATACATGGGAATGACAATTCATGATGAGATTTGGGTAGGGACACAAAGTCTAACCATATCAGGGCTCAAGTGCCAAAGGAAAAACATCATTGACTTAAACAAATAAGTCAGTGGTAAATTGAAAATAGTATTTTAACACACTTGTTGTAGATGAACCCAAGATTAAGAGGTTGTATTAGTCCATTCTCATGTTGCTAATAAAGACATACCTGAGACTGGGTAATTTATAAAAGAAAGAGGTTTAATGGACTTACAGTTTCACATGGCTGGGGAGGCCTCACAATCATGGCGGAAGGTGAAGAAAGAGCAAAGGCACATCTTACATGGAGGCAGGCAAGAGAACATAAGCAGGGGAACTCCCCTTTATAAAACCATCAGATCGTGTGAGACTTATTCACTATTACGAGAATAGCACGGGAAAAACCTGCCCCCATCATTCAATTACCTCCCACTGGGTCCCTCGCACGACACCTGGGGATTATTATAATTCAAGGTGAGATTTGGGTGGGGACAGAGAGCTAAACCATATCAGAGGTTGAGAAGAGAATTGAATGAGATTAGAAGGTCAACAAGTTTTGATGCTTTGTAATGACATGATTATATGGCAGTGGGCTGAGCCTACAGAAAAACAGAGGATCTATAGACCAGGTTGTGAAGGGGCATCATACTTGAAAAGGAGGAGAACTTTACTCTTATCTGATGTAAAGTGGAAAGTGGAGATTCCAATATGTTTTTAATTAGAGGTGGATATAATTTGAGGTTGTTCTCATCAGCTGTCTTCTATTTCTTCAGCAAAGTAGGAAGAGAAATCACTTGCTAATATAAGGGTAAATAGTGAGACAAATGAACTGGAAGAGATGTGGATTATCTAGGGAAATAAATTGCTGAGTAAAGTAGATTGGCTAGTAGCACAACTGAAGCTTCAACCTCCTGCCTTATTGTTCAGCCCTCCTCTTGAACTTCCTCCTTTCCCTGTTTCTCCCCTCGTGCTTTGTTCCTCTTAGAGGCAAAAGAAAAACAAAAACTAAAACTAAAAAAGAAAACAAATAGCAAAAAATAAATAACTCTTTCCATTTCCTCCTGTAGAATAAATTAGCCTTTCCAAGATGTTGGACCATGGCCAGCACATGCAGTGACCTGCCTAGAGCTTTGAAATACATGAAATTATGTATTTTCTTACTAAGTTCTTAAGCACTTCTTTGGTTCATTTGGATATTGACGAAGATAAAAGTTATAAATATTTTTTCCAATTAAATTTATATGAGAAGTTCTTTTAAATAAGATGTTAATCCCTTCCTGATGCTATCATTATTATCTTTTATTTTATACAAAAATCCATGGAAACATTATCCAAAATTTGTATATGTGAAATATACTTTTAGTTTCAATTGTTAGAAACCATTAAATGGAGATATTTTTACATTGATTTATCATGTCTTAACAGATGAGCAAACTGAGGTTCAATATCTAAAGACAATTCCCATTCTGATTTTATTTCTGAACTGATTTATTTTATTTTATTTTTATTATTTATTTTATTTTATTATATTTGGTTAGAGACAGAGTCTCACTCTCTCGTCCAGGCTGGAGTGAGTACAGTGGCACAAACATGGCTCACTGCAGACTGGAACTCCTGGGCACAAATAATCCTCCCACCTCAGCCTCTCAAGTAGCTAGAACTACAGGTACCTGCCACCACATCAGGCTAATTTTATATTTTTTTATTTATTAATTTTTTTTGGTAGAGACATGATGATGCAACATTGCCCCAGCTGGTCTTGAACTCCCGAGCTCAAGCTAGGCTCCTGCCTCAGTCTCCCGAAGTGCTGAGATTTCAAGTATGAGCCACTGCACCTGGCCTAATTTGTTTTACTTTATAGATATTCTAATTCTGAAAACACAGTGAATTTATCATTATAATATGTCATACTATATATGTCTACAGTATTTGTATCATAATAAATTTTATTTAGATATTATGGACAATGAAACTAAACCATAAAAGATTGCCTGCAGCCAGGAAGGTGAAGGGGGTGATAAATTGGGGAAAGAGGAGTAGAAGCAATACAGAGGCTTTGACTTTCAAACAAAAGTTTTGTATCTTGGAACATATTTAACCTTAAGAAGAACCTGTTCACATTACAAGTACACTACTGTGAATATCTTTTTTTTTTTTTTTTTTTTTGAGATGGATTCTTGCTCTGTCGCCCAGGCTGGAGTACAGTGGCACGATCTCAGCTCACTGCAACCTCCACCTCCTGGATTCAAGCAATTCTCCTGCCTCAGCCTCCCGAGTAGCTAGGATTACAGGTGTGTGCCACCACGCCTGGCTAATTTTTTTTTTTTTTTTTTTTTTTTTTTTTTTTGTATTTTTAGTAGAGACAGGGTTTCACCGTGTTAGCCAGGGTGGTCTCAGTCTCCTGACCTCGTGATCCCTCGGCCTCCCAAAGTGCTGAAATTACAGGCGTGATCCACCACACCCAGCCTGTGAATACCTTTTAAAGTAAATAATTTTGTTTATCTGTGATTTAAGTTTGTCTTTCAACATGTTACTCAGAGCAGGTTATAACTTTATGACAAACCGAAGGTCAATTGTGACTATTTATTTTACTACTTTTCAAGTGCAAGGCAACCTCAAATATTAAGGCAAAAATAATGTGAAGATAGACAACGTTGTTAATATTGGCTCTTCTTCTTTTGAACTCCTGAGTCAGCTTTTATCAGGATCTCAAGACTGAAACGAAATTCCAAACTCTTCCTTCCTTTTTTCCTCAACTTCCCAAAAGAGAGAAATAATATACTCAGACGCCTTTGGTGAATCGCTTGCCAGCTCTACCTAGCAAATATAACTATAGTGTAACATTAACTTTTTTCCTCCATAAATTACCCTTAAAGTATGCATACATTTGGTTGGCCATTTACATCCAAGAAACACCTTCTGTAGAACGGTTCGTTTCAGCAAAGCTGCCAAGCTGGGGAAACAGGGGTATTATTCAAAGGCTTCAGGCCTCATGTACTGTCCTTTCACTATACTAACAGGAGAAAGCACAGCCTTGAAGAGGCAGATAAAGAAATTCAGAAGATCCAGAGACCGAGTTCACTGACCACATAGAAGCACCAAAACTTTCAGGAACCAAAAGTATAAGCCAATGAGAAAGTATTGAGAAATAATGGTTAAGGGAATTGGAGATGTATCAAAGCCAACGCATTTTTTTTTTCTGTATTTCACCATCCGCGTAAGAATTACGAAACCTGGCCTTAAATTATGCCTCTAAATATTTATGTGGCCCTAGCTACTTGGCTTCTTTGTGTCCCGTTTTCCTTATTGCTAAAATGAAGAAATTGTATAAAATGACTTCTAGTTATCTTCAATCTTTATTATTTAGAAGACATACATTCTTAAATATAAGTTCAAGCTTATTTTTAAATATGAGTGAAAATGTTTCTAGTGATACGTATGAAAGCTACACACTAAATATTATTTGAGAAGTTTCTAAAGATACCTCAGTAACGTGTATTGGGAGAAAAAACCCGCCATTTTAAGGAAGTAAAAAAATAGTAACAATTAAGGAAGTGCTTCTGATTTTAAGTTAAGCATAAAGAAGGTAAGACCTCACTTAATAAATAAAAAGGGAAGCTGTTCAGATGCTTTATTCAGCGTTCTTTTCACTTTATTACTTTAATTACATTTTACTACTTATAACCTGATTTATGGCTCTACTCAGCTGTTTATTTATTAATGCAGGAACTCAGCATTCCTCAGGGAATAGACATATCTTTTGAACCATGCCAATACATCTGACGCCCCCATCATCCCACTGGCTGGATAAAATGTAAATTCTAAAATTATACATGGACCACAACCTGAAGATTTTCAAATTCTTTATCCACAGGTTACCTTTAGTTCTAGATTCTTCCTCCTAGAGGATAGTAAATGCCATTATCAATACTAAATTGTGATTACATTTTCTTCCCATGACACATTAACACTGGTATTATAGTCAATGCATAATGAATCTAGTACATTGGCATAAATGGACTTAATAGTTTCTATTTTATTCTATTTATTTTATTTTGAGATGAGATCTTGCTCAATTGCCCAGGCTCAAGGGCAGTGGCGTAATGATGACTCACTGCAGCCTCAACCTCCCAGGCTCAAGCAATCCTCCCTTTTCAGCCTCCTGAGTAGCTAGGATAACACTCATGCACCACCATGCCTGGCTAATTTTTTAATTTTTTTTTTTTTGTAGAGATGGCGTCTCCCTGTGTTACCCAAGCTGGTCTCAAACTCCTAGACTCATAGAATCTTTTTGCCTTGGCTTTCCAAAATGCTAGAATTACAGGCATGAGCCATGCACCTGATATAATAGTTTCTTTGTAGAAAACCTGTGAAAATCATAAGCTGGTTTCTTACTTAAAACACAGACCTTAAAGAATCAATCAGGTTATATAATTTAAATTTTCTTATTTAATAATAAATGTTCATGAAATAACCCAAAATTTGTTCAGCAGGCATAAGAAAGCCCAAATTATTCTTCCCATATCCACAGTTAGGAAGTAGAGGTTATAGGTAGCATAAGTATACTGAAAGATCCATTTTTTTCCTCCTACATGTGCAAATAATTGAGATTCTTGGATTCCTCTTTCAACTGTCTGATATTTAGTGGAAGACCACATTTCATGGTGTTTCTGTGGAGGAGGTGTCTCTGTGTTTGTATTCATGTAGATCAGCCTACAGAGGGTATGGATTGTCTTCAACTGCAGGGGGTGTGAGTAATAATGGCCACGATGCCTTCACACCCCATCTACATCATGGAATGAGATTTCCAGCAAGATCTCTGAGTAAATTTCACCCATCATGCCTTGGATGTGGAGTTTTACAATTGGTCTCATCATTTCTTTCCTTCCACCAACTGCTATATTCCATTTCCATCAGTCTATTCTTCGCATACTAAATAATATGAAAGTTTCTGATGATGTGTCAGCTACCCCCAAACAAATAACATCCGTGTGGCCCACAGAACTCCACTGCCTGTCATCTCAATTGAACATGCAGTCTTGGAGTCGCTTAGAAAAAAATGTTTAGAGGGCAGGGCACAGTAGTTTACACCTGTAATCTCAGCACTTTGGGAGGCACTTGAGGTCAGGAGTTTGAGACCAGCCTGGGCAACATGGTGAAACCCTGTCTCTACAAAAAAAAAAAAAAAAAAAAAAAATAGCTGGTCATGGTGGTGCACACCTGTACTCCCAGCTACTCAGGAGGGTGAGGTGAGAGGATGGCTTGAACCCGGAGACAGAGGTTGCAGTGAGGCCAGATTGCTCCACTGCACTCCAGCCTGTGTGACAGAATTAGACTCTGTCAAAAAAAAAAAAAAGAAAAAATGTTTAGAGAAGAGAAAGGAAGAAGGAAAAAAAGCACCAAAGGAATGAAATATAAGGAAGTTTCTCATTCATCATAGTCTGTTGGCTTTTCCTTACATGTTTGTATAGCAGTTGCTATGATTAGTCACTTAAAGCCACAAGTCCATGTTCACTGGCATTCCTTCCTGAGCATTAGGCTAAAATACTGAAAATTGAAACTCCCCATCAATGGGTGGTGTTTGGATTAAATTAGATAAGAAAGAGACTGGACAAATTACTCACTGAATCTCTTTCAATATGTAGATAAATTCACTCTTCTTCACTGTTTTGATTCTTTCAGATAATGAAATGCACTTTCAGAGGTTTCTTATCCCACATATTGATGTGTTCTTGCTTTAGCCACAATAAAGTCCTGAGGCTTAGAAAAGCATATGGCCCATAAGCAATGTTTTCCTTTCTGGATCATGTGACTGTCCTTGGTTCTTGTTTCTTTCCAGAGTCTTTAAGCCTAAAATTAAGAACTCAATCTTGGAGTGAATGACCAGAGCTGTTTTTTAATACCAATTAAATTAGCATTTGATGAACATTTAATTGATTGATTAACATTATTTTAGTAACATGTATTTTATGAAAATTACTTCTGAGAATTATGCTCAATCCCATGTGAAACAATCCTTTAGTTATTAAATCAGTAGATTAGAATGTGAATTTCAAGCTACCTTGATAAGCAAATCACAAAGACTTTTTTATTCACTACAAAATCATTATGTGTCCTTCACAATCCAGCTTGTGTAAAAATTCTGCAATTATTACTGAATTCTTTTTCTATCCTAAGGGCTGAATATATATCTCTCCAAACAGAATATCTCACACTGTATTATAACTATTTAATATCTGTCTCCTCCATAGATTCTGTGTAATTTCTTGAAGATAAAATCTCGTATCAATGTTGGCATGTTCAGAACCCAGCCATATGTCTAACACTTACAATTTTTGTCTGAAAAAAAAAATATCGGCATACTTCAAACTCCTTCTTTGGGTTTTTCTATACTACATGGTCATTATCATCATCTTCTTCATCAATATCATCAGCTTGATAGTTAAATAATTTTCAGTAATATTTATTAAGCTTTTATGGTTTGCTATGAGCTATCTTTAGTGCTTAACTTAGTGTTATTCTGATTCAGGTCTTTTCTATTCTCTTCTTCATCATGCTCTGTGACTTTTGCTGAAGGCATCAACCACACTCCCTTTGTTGGTTGGATTCTTTTGGCTTTAGCCAATGGCAGTCACTGAAAAGGGTCTAAGGGTAGAGACAATAAGAGTAAATGTTTTTTCTCCTTCTTCTTCCTGTGTAGACACCAAGTCTCTCGCAGGAGCTTTGTACCTTCATGACTTAGCACCCCCTCTAGGGTGGTCCCTTTGCATGATTCCAGTGTCCAGGTCTTCCCTCTGATAGTTGCCTCTGACCCTGTTTGATCTCTGTGTCCCTTGGGGCGTAATAGCTTTCCTTAATTGCTGAGTCTCTCCACACTTTCCTGTCCCTTCTCCCGCTTTCCTCACTGTATGTATTTCTTTAAAGTGTCTCCATTTTAAAGTTTGTAGGAAACTATAAACTCTGTTTCCTGACAAGAATCTGATGGATCAAAACTAAGTAATAATAAATAAGTAAACATGCTGCAAAATATTTATAATAACAAATTAAAATTACATAAAATACAAACTATAGGTATATGTGCTATATGTATTCATTCATGTAATCTTATCAGGAAGATGCTGTTAGATTGAGCATTTTATGGTGAAGAGAGTTGATACATAGGAGTGTTAAGTAATTTCCCTAAAGATGCACAAGACTATACTTGGCAAAGTCAGTGGCCAGTATACTAACCTATGTATATATATTTTTTGACTCCAAGGATTCTCAGTCCCTATCTACTCTCCTGTGATAAAGCCCTCTGGTCATTATTGATATTATTCATACCTTTTGACTACTTTACATTCTAAGTTCTGTCCCCTCCCCATTAGCATATGAATCTCCAGGAAAAAAAAAAAAGTCATACTTTTCCAAGAGCTTCCACTTCTTGGGTTTAGTAAATTGGACTATCATGAATTAGATATTTGGTTGTCTGTTATCAACGGCAATGAACTATTGATGGTTAAAAAAAAAAATGTTTGGTAAGCTTAATTTGCCTCTATGCTAGCCAAGCAGGTCTGGCTATAAAGTTGGAGTAATTTTTTTTCAGCTGCTTTTTCTTGCTCAGTGCACATGGGTTTGGCATTTATTTTTCCTCTCAGTGGGAACACTCAGAGCTGTGGGTGGCCTCTCTTGAAACCTCCTGTTCAAAATGAAGTTGAGGAGGAAGCATGGTGCTTTCTCAACAAAAAAGAGAACATCTGTTCTCTTCCATAGAGAATAAAAATATAGTGAGAATGGACCCAGGGAGAGTTCATTTCTCCCCACCACCTCCCCAACTCACCAAGTCCATTTTTTCCCCCAAATCTAATGGTCCCAAAGCAGAGAGGGAGGCAGATTATCTGCCTTAAATCATATGCTCTTCCTGCCAGGTGGAGACACTTCGACATGGCATCATCAATTATTGGTCAATGAAATTGTGTTTCTTTACTGTCTGGGATTTCCAAAGGAAATAAAGAACAATTTTATTTAGTTATTTGTCTTTCCACCTATCCTCCCTTCTCTGAGAAGGAGGGTTCCCTCTTCTGTCTAAATTTAATTCTTCTTGCTGTGTTTTGCGTCACCTCTCCTCAAACCTCTCTTTAACATTTCTCTTCAATCTTGTAATCAGAGCCACCAACATTTTCTTCTTCTAAACATAAAAATATTCTAAATATACCACTAAAATGGAAAAATATATATATGTCCATAAGTACTCCCATGACACCATATTTCTCTTCTACAGCAAAACGTTTTGAGTGATGATTATTTACTTCCTCTCTGCAATGACTTAACTCCCGATTCACTTCTACCCGGCCATCAGCCTGACCCTGGAACATCCATGCCATGGTTCTCACAAAATTCTGGAGTGTGCATTTTGACAAAATATCTAGTGGACACTTTTCCTTTCTATTGTAACATGACTTTTCTACATGACTTGCCACTCTGGACTTTCTGCTTCTTGAAACTCCATCCTCCCTTGAATTTATTTGTTTATTTATTTATTTATTTGAGGCAGAGTCTCACTCTGTCACCCCGGCTGGAGTACAGTGGCACAATCTCAGCTCACTGCAACCTCTGCCTCCCAGGGTCAAGCGATTCTCCTGCTTCAGCCTCCCTAGTAGCTGGGATTATAGGCACGCACCACTGCGCCCAGCTAATTTTTGTATTTTTAGTAGAGACAGGGTTTCACCATGTTGCCCAGGATGGTCTTGAACTCCTGACCTCGTGATCCGCCTGCCTTAGCCTCCCAAAGTGCTGGGATTACAGGCGTGAGCCACCGCACCTGGTCTCTTCCCTTGAATTCTGTGACACCATTGCTTATGGTCATTTTCTAAACCTCTATGGTCATTCTTAGCCTTTTCCATGAACAGTTCTTCACACTTGTCTGTTAAATGATAACAATCCTCAATGTTTCCTGAGCATAGTTAAGTTTCTTGCACTACAGAGTTTTGTGCTCAACAAATTTCTTGACACTTGAGAAGCCGCACAAATTAATACATTTGCACAAATTAGCGCATTAAACATGTTCAAAGCCCATCTCAGCCTGTTTTCCAGAACAAATTTGTGCTGCTTCTCCAACCTCTCTTTCTCAAAAAATGATACAACCCTGTTTCAGCTGCACAGAATAGAAACCTGAGAGTCATGCTAAATTCTCCTTTTCCCTTACCTCCTTATCTAAATTACCCTTAAGGTGATGATGATGTCTATTAAATGTTCTAACATCCATCCCTTATTACGCCTCTCATGTGTTTCTGCTTTCGTTTCAATTCAAGCTTCTCTTGAATATGTCAAGAGACTTTTGCTTTTTCTTTTGACTTCACTTATGCACTTCTACTCTGTCTTCCAGGTTGTAATTAATGTGGTCTTTCTAAAATTTGCATACACTGTTGGCATAAAGTTGGAAAGCATTGAAATAGAGTGCATCATAGTATTTGATCTTTTGCTTCAACTCACAACGTCACCTTCCACTGTATAGCTTAATAATTTCATGTGTCAAACTACCTGTAGAGGGCCTTAAACTACCAAACTACCTTTAAGATGTTTAAGATCTTTTAAGAAATGGTAGAAATGGCTAGAGTTGTAATTGGACCTGAGGTAGGGCAAATCATGAACTCTAAGCCAACTGTATTTGAGATTTCATTATTGTTAATCATTTTTATCAGGCACGTGTAGCACCATCTAATTAAAATTGACAATTAACAAATATATATATATTGAAGTAGAGATATTAAATATTTTCAGCCAAAAAAAATGTGTTGGCTGAAATAGTACAGCCTACCTATTTAAATATATATATATATATATATATATATATATATATATATATATATATATAGCCATCTCAAGTTACTTCTAAATCCAGGAGAAGGATGTCAATAAATATAGCCAAGTTTACATTCACCACGTATGTTAATTGTGCAGTGTAGCTTTATTCTCTGTTTTTGCATAAGTGTAACTGAACCCTGGGTAGTTAGCCTTCAGGTATTTATTGAACACCTGAAAACTTAAATGCTCTCTAGATACCTTGTTCCTTAACTTCCTCTCTGGTGGGAGAAATACTTCCAGGTTGACAAGTAGGTGAAGGTTAAAGGCTGAGAAGAAATATCCCTTTAGGCAGAGAGGAAGTGAATGAGCTAGTCTTCCTTGAAATTCTGGAATAATTAGTGTTTTGTGGTCAGGATAACATATATGGCCAGGAGTAGATTAGAGGTCATTTCCTCAGAAGGTGTTTATTGCAATCTATCTCCTTTATTAACACCAACTGCAATTTACTAAATAGCACTTGTATGGATGCCATATACAAATTACTTATTTTCCTAAAGACCTCATAAAGAGGAACAATTATTCCTATTTAATCCATGAATCTCACCTAAGTTAGTTGGTAGAGCAGCTTACAATTACTTAAACTAAATCCATTGTTAAAACAAGGTGGAAAGAGTAGATCACCAAAACGAATCATTTCTCTCATCATTTAGGGTCAGGGCTTTGGAATGCAACCTATGGGAAAAGACTAAGTTAAATTTTAGAAGAAATCTATTGTTAGGTATCCATAAAAACAATATAGGGGAAAAATCCTTCTTAGATGTCTTTCATTTGATTTTTTAAAAATTACTTACCTCGGTTCTAAGCAAGACAAAGATGAATAAAACATAGTCCCTGTTTTAAAAAAATAACAACTCTATTCTCAAACAAAGAACTCAAAAAAAAAAAAAAAAAGGAAAAGATAGTAATGGAATACCAGAGTTCAAAATGGAGGTAGATATCATCTATAGTTGGAGAAATTAGTCAAGTTTTATGGAGAATGTGGAATTTGAAAAACATAAAGAATGAAGAATGGGCAAAAAGTTGCAAAGAGACGGAGAAAAACAGACTTACCAATTACAGGAAAAAAATCTTCTATATAAGAATGATAATAAAGTCAGATCTTGGCAAGTAGGGTTTACAGGTCTGGGGTTGGAGGGGAAGGTAGTTTGTGCTTTGAAGTGCTTGCCTCAAAAATTTTTATTCACCTTTCAACTGCCTGAGATGACTGAGTCCAGAACAGTCTTACGGCGCAGGCATCTCAAGCTTAGACCAAGACAAACATGGGACATGATCCCTCAGCCTGTTATTTCCATTTGCAGCTGTCTGCTCTGCAACTTCCTACTTCACCTGTGGGGTTGACCTGATGCCAGAAGAGCTCAGGGTCTCATGACTTTATATCACACTGAGGGTTGAGTCCTCATTCCAGAGGGGTGGTGGGCAAGCAAATCATCCTCTTGAAGGCACCATATTTCATTTATGTATCTGCATAAAAGTGGGCTGCCAGCATGATGCAAAGCACTGTTTTGTGCTTTCATATTAGACAGAGGCTGAGTTCGGAGCTCTGGGTCAACCATCCACCATCAATCCTTAGTCTTGGGTCATATGGATAAGCCTAGATATCCACTCTTCCCTCCTCTCAGTGTTCCAACTGCAGTGGGACCTCCAGTCTGTAGCACCCAAGATCAGCAGGGGTGATGATAAGCATTCTTTACTCTGTGTGTACCCTGTCACTGGCAACCAGGGTAAGCATGTCTACCTCCCTGCGTGCCTTATGCCATGTGTTAGCATTCAATAAGTGGGCAGCCCTCTCTAAGCATCTAATTAGACAAGGCCCAATTAAACACATCAGGGTGGCAAGTGGGGTTTACTGGTCTGGGGTTGGAGGGGAAGATGGTTTGTGCTTTGGAGTGCTTGCCTCAAAATTTTTAATTCCCCTTTCAACAGCCTGAGATGACTGGGTCCAGAACTGTCTTATGGCGTGGGCATCTCAAGCTTAGGCCAGGACTCACATGGGACCTGTTCCCTGGGCCCTGTTATTTCAGTTTGCAACGGTCTCCTCTGCCATTTCCTACTTCACCTGTGGGGTTGACCTGATGTCCAAAGAGCTGTCAGGGAAGAACGTGATATGGAACTAGAATTGCCAACTCACCTTGTTCTTACATTAATGGAACAATATCAGCTATAGATATGATAAGAAATTCCAGTTGAGGAAGTAAAACAGTGCTCATAAAAGATATGGTCACTGAAAATAGGTGTTGGTCTATATATCAATTGGCACCAAGAGTCTTGCCCATAGTAATGGGGTGTCAGTAACGCCAGGTAGAAGTAAGGACGTAGGTTCTAGGAATAAGAGACAATGAGAGATAGACAGTTCTAGATAAAGGATTCAGTTCCTGGAGTAGGTGAAATCTAGAGCTACCACATAGAACTAAGCAGGGAACCAAGCCAGGGACACAGCCAGGAAGAAAGACAAGAGTAGAGCTTTCAAAGTTAGAGCCAGAACGGCAACTTGGGTGACTTGATGGTGATACCTGGCTTATTTTATTATACCTCCTTTAACTTCTAGAGCCTAAGGTCAAAAATGGTTCGAGCTGAAAAGATAGGGCTGGCTTTACACACAGAGTATGAGCAAGGAAAAAGAAATTTCCTCTCTTACAAAGAGAAGACAGATAAAAAAACAAAGCAACGCCTGAGAGACCACATTTAAGTTACCAAAAGTAAATTCATGAGGCATGTCTGAGTATCACCACACATTTGAGAGTACACTTATTTAATGCTTAGAGAGGAAGGATGGATCACATTATAGAACTTTTATGTATAGTACTTCCAAGATGTGAATTTGATAGGCAATGGAGAGATTTTTCTTTATAGCAAGAATTAAAAATCACCAATGACCCCCTTTTGATTCATCTCAGTGTTGGGGTAGATTGGGTCAAAAAGAATTGGATATAAATATTAAACCAAAACTTTTATGTCCAATTGATTTTGACAAATTTTCCAAAATAATTCAAAGGAAAAATGAGAGTTGTCTCTACAAATTGTAACTGAATGAACAATTAGATATTGACAAGAAAATAAAATTATGTTTTGCTTTCTCACCACATACAGTTACAAGTTTGATACAGATCATGCTTCAAAGTAAAAAGTTGAAGCTATAAAGTTTACATAAGAGAGGTAAGAGAAGTTCACATTATTGAGGTAGGCAAATATTTCTTAGATACAACCTAGAAAGCATTAAGCAATGAAAATTTTGTAAATTCAACTTCATCAAAATTAAAAGCATCTGCTCATCAAAAGACACTGAAAAAAAGTGAACAGGCTAGCCACAGATGGGAGAAAATATCAGCCATACATATATATGACAAAGGACTTGTATTATTGTATCTGGAATATAAACACAATTCTAATAATGCAACAAAACAACCTACTTTTTAACAGTACATGAAGCACTTGAACAGACATTTCAAAAAGGAAAAGATACAAATTCCAATAAGCATACGTACAAATGCTTAACATTATTAGTTACCAAAGAAATGCAAGGTAAAGCCACTAAAGATATCACTACATGTCCATTTGAATGGCTAAGATAAAAAGTCATACAACACCAAATGTTAGGGAGAATGAGAAGCAACCACAACTTTCTAATGTTCCTATAAGACTATAAAATGCAACAACCACCGTGGAAATCACCGGAACAGTTTCTCATGAAGTTATACACACCTAGTCTATGATCCAGCAATTCCATTTATAGGTAATTTACCCACAATAACAGAAAATATGTCTAACAAAAACTTGTACAGGAATATTCATAGGAGTTCTATTTCTTTTAGACAAAAACGAAGACAGTCTAAATGTCCATTAAGAAAATGTTTAAACATGTTGCAGGGGTCTCATAATTAAATAGCACATGGCAATGAAAAAGAAATGGATGTCTAAAATATGCGGTAATATGGGTGAATCACACAGACATTATGCTGAGTTAAAGAAGCTTGATACAAATGAGCATATGCTGTGTGATTTAATTTATATGAAATTCCAGAATAGGCAAAATTAATTTATGGCAAAAGAAATCATAAAAGCTTTTCCCTGTAGAAAGCCAATATGTGGGATTGGAGGCTAGAGATTATGGGGAAAGAGGTTTCACGAAGATAGTGGTGATGTTCTATTTTCTTCACTGAGATATGGATCACATGGGTGTATCACTATGTCAAAGCTCATTGAACTTAAGATCTGTATATTTATTTCAGTGCATGTAAATTAAATCTCAATACAAAATTCAGGCCAGGCATGGTGGCTCATGCCTGTAATCCCAGTACTTTGGGAAGCCGAGGAGGGAGAGGAGGGAGGATCACTTGAGGTCAGGAGTTCAACGCCAGCCTGGCCAACATGGTAAAGCCCTGTCTCTACTAAAAATACAAAATGTCAGCTGTGGTGATGCACACTTGTAATCCTAGCTACTTGGGAGGCTGAGGTGGGAGAATCGCTTGAACCCGGGAGGTGGAGATTGCAGTGAGCCAAGATCCAGCAGTTGCACTACACCCTGGGCGACAGTGCAAGACTCTGTTTCAAAGAAAAAAAAAAATTCAAAGAGTACCTATTTAAACTAAAAAATGTAGCAAATTACAGTAAGATGATTATAAAGCATTTTTCATAAGTTCTATATATTTGTATCTATGAACCTTTCACAAATTTCTATTATTATTCATAACAGCTTACTTTCAACACTTCTTACAACTGACAAAAACACCTCAGGGACATGGCAATTGAGAAGCAGCAAATCTTGATAATGTAAGCTTTAAATATTCTCACTGTCTCTCTTCTTTTAATCTTTTCTCCCTTCCAGCTTGATGAGAGGTCTGAAAAAAATCAATTACCTGCCTTAATTCATCTCTTGGAATGTAAAGACAAATCACAGCCCACACAAAAATAAATAAATCTCAACTCTGTACAGGGTTTTTCTATGTTTGTGGCAAGGATTAAATCCTACAATGTACTCTAATGTTCCCAACCACTTGGCCTAGGCTAAAAATTACTCCAGACTTTTAACACTGTCTTCTTAGGATGTGAAAAATTTCCACATTTACCAAGCCATTTCATGGACATTTGCTGTGCAATTTGATGAATAGAGACAGCTCTCTGAATAACTGATACCCATATGTTTATAGCAATCAAATAACTTTAAAGGGAGAGTGCTCTAGTATATATATATAATATACATATATATGTATACATATATAGATATATATGTATACATATATAGATATATATGTATAGATATATAGATATATATATGTATAGATGTATAGATATATATGTATAGATGTATAGATATATATATACACACACACACAAACACACACACATACATACAAAACAAACAGCAACAACAAAATTCTAAAACCAGAGTTTATGTGAATTGCTCTGAATTATAAAAGTACTAAGGAGAAGTCTTACATTTAAAAACAGCTGTGCTTGAATATAAAACTAATTACTATTCTTAGAGTTACTTTGTTACAGTGAATAAATTGAAACAATAAAAATGTATTTATTCATTCACTCAACAAACACTTGTTGAGTGCTTACTGAGTGAGTACTGTGTTCAGAGTTAAGACAAAAACTAATAAGCAATGATCCTTGCCTTCGAGGAGCACCCAGTCTAGTGCAGACGTAGATGAATAAATATTCAATATGTTATACTAGAGGCATAAATAAGGTGAAGTGGTGAAAAGACTAATCAATACTCAAGAGATGAACAAGCACTTTCTCTAGAAAGATGCTTTTCTTTCTCGTTTTTTTTTTTTTTTTTCAGGGTTATTTTCCACGAGGTGGGAATGTTTTCGATTAACAGGGAAGAACTGCACAGTTGTGTGCTGTTTTAGTGGTTGGAGTATGACATAAAGTGACAACCGTAAGTTCAAAGTGTCTGGCTGTTTACAGGAATGCCACCTCCAGAGAACTGGCATGTGAGTGTGAGATTACTCATCTGTATTAACTCTTTGGATAAACACTTTCTTGTTAAGTGTAACGCGGGCTTTACATTTCCTGACAAAATTGTTTTCAAATTTAAACAGAGTATCTGAACCGGGGTTTATTTTGTAAGACGTATTTAGAAAGACACAAGTTGCTTCAATACAGCCTTTTCTGCTGCCATTCAGGGTTTTGGGGGCAAAGCTACAGCCCAGAGTCTTGATCCTGAATCCTCAAGGAGAAGAGATCTTACCAGATTCCACGTGTTTTCCATGGTATTACTGCATTGATGTTTCTGCAACTCCAATGAGCTTAGTTATCTCTGGGTTGACTTGATTTTTTACTTTGTGTATCGATTCTGAATGCCAAGCCGGGCTTTCTTCTGATTTCAATTTATTTGCAGCTGCATAGTTTTCTGGAGTAAGAGAATGAGTGCCCAAGGAAGACATAACTATAATAATAAATCTGGGGAACAACAGGGAGAAATCCTAACAAAAATCTAAACTATAATACACTCAACAGAAAATGGGAGAATTAATTTAGAGGATTACCACATCTAACCACCTGTTTCATCCCATTGCAACTGGCACAAGAGAACTGGCATTTATTCAAATGTTTGTTTGCCATGTTTCTTTAAGGCATATTTTTGTTCTTGTTTTAGTAGATTCACCTATCCATTTATTAACAGTTGAATCTCTAAGGTACTATGTTAGGTACTTTTAGAACTATAAGCATTGTAAATGTATATATTTTTAAATATCCCAGTAGCAGAAATTTCTGATGAGATTATAAACAAACAAACAAAAACTTCCTTCAAAATAAATAAGTACTTACCTACACACTCATTTTAAGATTGAGCAAACCTCTGTTGTTGAAGACCAGAAGAGGAAAAAAGACACATTTTCGTTCACTTAGACATGCAAATGATCTTGGGAAAGATTGTCCATTTTATACTATTGGTGTAATAAAAGAGTTAAATTGTCATTTGAGCAATGAGTTTCTTCTAAGAAGTGTGAATATTATTAAATGGCAGAATTTTTGCATCTATAGGTATAAAGAGGAACAAATGGTTAATTGCAGCAACGCTATCTTCTTGCCAGGCTGGTGTGTTGGCTATACATAGTTGGACCTGGGTAAGAAAATGAAATTATGAGTTCTAAAGGGACAAAACACTGCAGTGGGCTTTTGCTTTCCTTGGGCTTGAAATTGACTATGGGTCCAATCTTATGTAGATCTTGTGGAACAGAGAGGACCCAGCTTCATACATGTAGGTTTTCAGAAGAAAACAGGGCCTTGTCTAAGTGTCAAGAGCCATCGTGGATTTGTGCTCCTCATGAAACTTTTTACCATGAGATCTTGTATGGAACTCTCCATTTCAGGGTTCAACTTCATAGTACAAATATCTAATTAAAACCAAACCAATCCAACAGACAAGAAATGGAAAAAAACTTACAACTGACTTTTGACACACGTTGTTTTGGAATATACGTTCTAAGCAAGAACATCACTTTTAATGAAGAAGAGAGTTTAGGGAGAGGTCAAGATATAGGGAAGGCCATGAGTTATTTTGCCAAACTTCTTAAAGTTGTCAAACCAGCCAAGATTGTCTCTGGAGCAAGAAGTGATTCTTGTGACTCATGGGACTCCTGAAGTCCTTTTACTCCATGGGCTGCTCAGACAGCAGACACAGCTCCTATGTGAGGACCCTGAGAAGGGAGGAGCATTTTCTCATGAGCCATGCTCAGGTGGGGCCCCCGAGTAACAGACATTGCATAGAAGACTGACCACCATGACTGGCCAGTCCTTCAAGACATTTATTACTTTGTGTACTTTCCATGTGATTATTGACCTTTGCCCAGAAACTTAAAAGCCAGGAATGACTAAAAGGTGGCACATGACTCCACTATTTCAAAATCTATGAACCAGGTTGTTCCAAAAATTTCATCAACTTCACTTTTCTTCTCTTGCGTTTCTGGCAGTTAGCAATGGCAAAATCGTGCAAAAGACAAGGTTTACCTCTAATGTGCCTGATTTGCTTGTACTGAGAAACTCCTATTCCTTCTCTTTAGCCTTTCTACTATGTACCCAAATTCTGGATTTCCAGCTGAGCTCACCCTTCCTAGAAAAGCTCAATGTTTTTGACTTTTCCAAGGTCCCTGCTCCTCACCTCTGAAAACTTAACTCTGAATATTCCATTTCTGTTGATTCTTATAAACTTCTCTCTGCTGATGATTTGCTAGCTCATACCTTTAATTTGTGAAAGGATTTTTTTTTCCAGTTTTAGGTAGTAATATCTTTTTTTAAAGTAAGATTTCTTAGGGAAAAACATAATAACCACACAGTTACTTAGATATTTAAAGAACAGACTGGTTAAATCTCAGAGCAGAAGGGAGTTTGGGGAGCAAGTGAAAAAGTGAGTCCTTACATGGCATTCAACAATATGAATAAATGGCTAGCCAGTAAAACTACACTCTCTCTCACTCTCATAGTAACTCTCTAAAGTTCAATGATTTACATTCAGTTTGGCTTATATACTCAAACATTTAAACCTGGAGAATACAATGCTTCTATATTGTATAATGTTTTGCAATGAATATGATTATTTTTGTAAATTAACATAAATAATACCTTTTTCAACATTATTTACATAATCATAAATATGTGTGCATTAAATTACTTTTTTCAGTTTAGTTTATTCAAGCACATAATAGAAGCAAGTTTTCTTATTGGTAGTATACTTGTCATACAAAACAAATGCACTCAGTTTTGTTTTCCTAGAGATGCAGGAAATACCTGTTTGAATCTACTTGCTGTCCAGTTTTGAACCCTGTTATTTATCAGCACATTGTAGGTATGTGAGAAAAAAAATCAGAGGACCTGAATGCACGGGAGATTGTTGCTTTGCTGACCTCCAAAATACTTAACCTATGCCTCTTTATAGATGAGTTAAGACACAATAGTTAATAATTTCATGACAGTTACCAAACCAAGTTGATAGTATGTCTTGCTGCTTATCCATGAAAGAGGAGATTGTAATCGTATATAGGTCTCCAGGATACAACTGCTCCCATGTGTTAGCTAGCACTGAGCACCTGTGACTGATATTTGTGTAGAGGATGGGCTTAGAAAATGGGCCTCAGACTCAGCATTTGTGGCCCGTCTATAATCAACTTTGCCTTTCCCTGACATATATCTAGGTGGCTTCAACATCCCTGGAAATGAGAAGCTAGAGGATGAGACAGACAAGGTCCCTGATCTTATGCATCTTATAATCTATTCAGGAGAGAGAACAGTAAATGACAACATTTTTTAAATGACTAAGGAAAGAATAAAAAAGAAAGATTTTAGATGATGATAGGTACTTTGTAGAGAGGTACAGAATAGTCAGGATTGTCACAGAAAGGCAACAATATCTACTGTGGATTTGAGGGCCAGCAGAGGCCATTGGGATATAGTGATACTTAAGCAGACCCCTGGTTGGCTACGTGGAGTCCTGGACCATCAGTTGTAAGGCTATTTCAGATAGTGGGAGAGGCCAGTGCTGGGTACTTTAGAAGCAGTCAGAGTTCAAGAGTGTAAGGAGCAAAAAGCCAACATGGAAAGGATGGCAGAGTAGGGACTTGTCATATGAAAGAGGCCAGATTACAGAGAACTTTCAAAATCAATGTAAGAAATTCAGATTTCATTCTAAGTGGTATGGGAGGGTATCAGTGGGTGCTTAAGGGATGGAAGAATAAGAGATTATCTTCAGATATAATTTAGTCAGTTAACAAAAGCAAACAAACAAAAATAAAAGATGAATTATTATAGAAAAATTTCTTACCCTCTTTTCACTTAACGATTGACTATATGACAGAGTGGCCTCTTTTAGACCAATCTTCCCCAGTGGTATGCACCATATGGGGTGGATTCCTTAATTTTGTAGTCCATAATTAACTACTTTTTCTTGTCATTGTTATTTTGGCAGCTTCATTGAGGTATAGCTGGTATATAGAAAACCATATGTATTTAATGCGTACAATTTGATTAGTTTGGACATGGATACACCTGTGAAACCACTACCAAAATCAAGATAAACATCTGTCACCTCCAAAAGTTAGTTTCCTTGTGCCCCTTTGGGATTTTGTTGCTGTGTGTGTGTGTGTGTGTGTAAGAAGACCTAACCTGAGATTCCTCGCTTTAACAAACATTTTTTACGTGCACAATACAGTATTGTTAACCGTGGCACCATGTTGCACAGCAGATTTCTAGAATTTACTCATCTTGCATAATTGAATCTTTACACCCATTGAACAATAACTCCCACAATCAACTGGTTTTTAATGGCTTAGTTAAATCACATCTATTTAAGTTATCTGTTAAAAATGTCACTCCTAAAAATAAATAGATGATGTATTATAGATAGACAGGCAAACAGATGAACTAACGAATCATCCCTGGTTACTTCTCATTATAAAATTTCAATACTTAGAGGCATGACATAAAGATGAATACTATGAGTTGCCATTTCAGTGAATGTCTCACTTTGTATCTGTTGCTGTGACAATGGTCATAAGAAAATCATAAATGAAAAAAATATTCAGACACATTTAAAGCAGAAACTGAAAGATACGTTGACAATTTCCTCTAGTTTTTTTAAAATTCAACTATCTATGGGATCTAAAAAATTAGTTTACATCCATAAGGAATACTGTTATTCTAACCCCCAAAAACACAACATTGTTAAAACATTAAAGCTACAATATTTTCTTTATCTAAATATTATTATGATTAGTAATAATTATCATTTACTCTCATTCAGAAAACCAATTTGAATCTGAGCATGCCTAACTTAACATTCCTTTATGCTGTATGTTTCTTCTTTGCCATCAAAAGGAAGGATTGGATCATTTGCTCTCTAAATTTGGATATGAAAAATAATTTGAAAGAAAATATTTTTAAAACTCCAGGGAAACTAGTTTATATCAATAATCATAGATATTTTTCCTGAGTTTGAAATGAAGCAGTGGAGATCTAAGTGTATACATGAAAATCCAAGAATTATTACTAAGAAAACCTATTATTTCTCTCTCCTACTGTAGCAATTGGCTAAAAGTAAATATTTGTTTGTTCAGTAATTTATTTAAAATCCACTAAAAAAAGGAACTTGGTTTTAAGAGCAAATTTTTGGTTTATTAAACAAACTTCCATCTGGCCACAAAGTTCTTTGTACCTACTTAAGTACATTCCCTTGAAAAGATGAAAAATATGTTTTGTTTTTAGATGTCCTTCCATCTAGGCAAAATTTAATGCAGTCTAAATTCTAAATTGTGAAATTTTAATGTGGAAACGGTACTTACATTTTTGTCACAGATGCCACTGCATTAAGTTTTTGGTAAAAACTTTGAGGACACTTTTATGGCTCCGATGAGGATCGAAGATGCCAGTCTGTCAATCACCCTGCCAATCAAATCTCACGTTTATGCCTGAGAATACAGATCTCTCCACTCCTGATCTCTGTGGAGATCCTTAAACCAGTCAGAGAAAGTGCTTTTGTCTTCATACTAAAATACTGAAGATTTATGGACTGATAGGTTTAATCCTCCAGAGAGGAGAGAGAGAGAGCCTCAATCCATCTGAGTTATTTAAAACCATGAGTATCTCATGCACATGACAATTGGTTTGAAAAATTTAAGTTACAATAGAAGGTGTTTGTCTGTAAAGAGATGAATTCAACCACAGATATTTGGGTTGCCTGGGAACAAAAATCCGGAAAACCCAAGACCCTTGATGAAGAAAAGCTTTACCTTGCACTTTTTAAAAACAGTGCTTCCAAAGCTTTCAGGTCCATCTGACGTACTTGAAAATCTGGTTAAGTTACATGTTCTTATTTAGTAAGTTTGGGTTGAGATTTGAGATTTTGTGCTTTTCAAAAGCTCTCAGGAGGTGTTGCTGCTGCTCGTCCATGAGTCACACTTTAAATAGCAAGTTTTCAGAATAACGAATGCACTTCAGCATTGAAGATTTAGGGTAACACCGATCCTCAATAAAAAATAGACGTCTTCATCTCTTATGGTAGATTTATTCTTAGTCAAGTAACACACTGTTCCAGATAGGCATGGTGGCTCATACCTGTAATCCCAGCACTTTCGGAGGCCGAGGCCGGAGGATGGCTTCAGCTCAGGAGTTCAAGACCAGCCTGGGCAATGTTGTGAGACCCTATTTCTACAAAAGATTTAAAAAGTTAGCAGGATGTGGTGACCTGAGCTTGCAGTTCAAGCTACTCAGGGGGCTAAGGTGGGAGGATCCCTTGAGCCCAGGGGATCGAGGAGGCAGTGAGCCAGGGACCCACCATTGCACTCCAGTCTGGGTGACACAGTGAGACCCTGTCTCAAAAACAAAAACAAAAGCAACCCCTGGAACACTCAATTTACCCATGTAACAAGCCTGCACCGGTACCCCTTGAGCCTAAAAAGAAACGTTGGAAGGAACAAAACAAAAACCTTTCCCCTGACAACCACTCAGACTGTAAGAAGCAGGCTAGAGAAAACCACACCTTTATTTCCTAGACTCAGCATCTTATCACAGTGACCCCATCACCTAGCTCAGACTATCTTCTTGTATGTTCCAAGAATCTGGTTTAGAAAGTCATTGCAGATTCATGAACTATCAACATACCTATGCACATGAGTGGAAAAACCAGAGCGGGACCAGTGTTTCTTCATGGTTCTGGGTACAAAAAGATACCTAATCAGTTAAACGCCAGATGCCTTAGTTACATTTTTTTTCTCAATTGCAACCAAACTCCATACTTGCATGAACAACATTTTAATAAGGCAAACTATCACATCAGCGCATCCTTCCATGGCAATACAGATCTCTCTATAGAACCTCAATCTGCCCATGAAACTATGGGTTTCACAAAAACTTTGGTTTCACAAAAGTGGAAACTTTTGTCAAATTGCCAGGAGAAGATGGGGATTTGGGGACGTGGCGGGGGAAGAACATGAAAATTTCCATAATCAAATCCTGAAGAAAATAACTAAAGAGAACCCATTCTCACTCAAATGCTACTCTCCCACTCAGTCCCCTCTCACAAGGGTTTACAAAGGGCCCTCTTTAATTTGTTGTGTATTTTGCTCCCAGGCATGAAGTCCTATTACAAGAGCCAGCCAAGTACACAGCATCATCGATCATTTCTTCTCTATAAATGCACCAAATTGTTAGAATTCTATCATAATTTTTTGTCTCTTCCCCATTTTGCCATAATACTCCCCATCTTATTCACATCTCTTTCCCAAACTCAAGTAATCTCCAAGTCAATGCTTTCAGTCCTGCTCCCCAGAATACCAGTATCTTCAACCACGCTGCTGCTCAGCATTCTCTTCCCATGCTATCTAATGGCTACAAATGGGCTTGTCAGGGTGTCTGCCTCTTGCTGACCTGCTTCCATAGAAATCTGACGGAACTCTGTGGGAAGGTCGTAGGGGGGAGCAGAAAGGCTGATTAAGCCATTGCTTGCATTGATTTAGTAGCCAGCAGCTTGAACTGATGCTTTATCAACTCTTAAATTCAAACCCTGGCTGGAAACTGAGTTATTCATCAAGAAGGATTAGAAAATGCAAAAGGTCTATAAATTTCACAGACTGATTCTTGTTATCTCCAGAGATTTTCCTGTCACTTAAAAATGATGTCTGGGGTACAATCTGCATCTAAAATGGCCTTGGAAAGAGGCAAAAGGCCAGCACTTCAAACTAATGAATCCTTAGGTTACAGAGAACTGCTCCCAGCCAAATAAAGCAAACCACATTTCTACCAAATTCCAATCGGACCCGACCCAAATCAATGACAAGCTTGCTAGTGGACTTGAGCTTCTTTCTTCCAGGAGGAATGCTAGTATTTTTTTTTCACACAATTCACATTCATATTTAAGTAAAAGGAAAAGTAGTGTATTGGAAACAGAAAAACAGGATGGCGTATCAAGAAAACATGGGTTTTAATGTCAGCGAGGCCACCAAATAGCTCTGTGATGGTAAAGGAGTCATTCCTTCTCTCTGGGCTTTCATTTCACTATTTATAAAATTAAATCTCTAGGGTTCATTCTGTATGGGCTGCATTTCACTATTTATAAAACTAAATATCCAAGGTTTATTCTGCACTGTTATCGAGCAAGATCCTTTCCTTACTGTTACAAGGCAGTAACGGTGATTTTACAAAACAAGTAATGGCTAGTGATTTTTCTAATAAACTAGAATGTTCACTCTCCTTCCTACAGGGTAGGATGATAAACATTCAATGTTTTCAATCTCTTAAAAATATGTTCTTCTCATTCCCACCACAGATTATGTGATGGTTGTCACAAGTGTGAAATTATTGCTTGTGGGTAATGCAGCTACTGTGTGTGTGTATACATGGATGTATACATCTCCCAGATGAAGTTCTCTAAGTTGTATTTCTAAAAGAGAAAAGACATGCTCTGTTCATTTTAAATTATTATTTGGATAAGATTCTGTTAGATTCATGCAAAATGTGGGCCTGAATTTTGTATAGCCCAAATGAATACTTCTTTTGCTTAAAGATTCTGATAAGGATGCATTTACGGATAAGAAATATTGTTGCCTAGAGAGATTTTCAATATTTGAACAGAGAAAATAAATAACTAAAGCAAATGCTGCATGTGGAATAACCTAATAACATCACAGGGTACAAATCTTATATACACAACTTCAAGAAATAGAGGGTTGCTCTTTAACTGAACATCTTATGAGTTATAACTTTGGATTGATTCCATTGACTTAATTTTTATCCCAATTCATGATTTGTAGGGAAACCTATACTGATATCCAATCTCATCATATGAAAGCCCAAGGCACTATAGAAAATGTACACATAATGGAGATTGTCATGTGAGGTCATTTGTAGGGCAAGTTATGTCACTGGGCATTTTCCAGTTGCAAAGAAGGGACACATTCCGGATAGAACATGAGTTTTTTAAAAGTGTCAAGAGAGATCAAAGAAGCTTAGTAATATTTTTTGCAACTAAATAGTGATTTGAGACACATTATTGTCTTAATTAATCTGTCCCTACCCAATACCCAACTCATCATAAAAACCAAGGTGCAGAGCAGTGCCCCTTTTTAGACACAGCATGTCAGAGACCTTAAGTCAAATAACATATAATCATTTTGCATTTTTCCAAAGTCACCAATTTTTACCTTTTTTTGCCTGACCTGACTCAAGTTATCTGCCCCTCTCAACTTTCCCACTAAAAGGACCTATTTTTGTACGTGATAAATATGCCTTATAATCTTACTGAGTGATTGTCGTTACTGATTTGCTTTTACTATCTATGTATTTGCTTGTAGAGTGCCATGTCATTACTGTATTTGCTAAAATCTAGAGTTTTGATATACAGTGTCAACAAACAACAATATATCTGAGTAACCAATGGTCAGAGTGTTTGTTGTTGCTGTTTTGGAGAGACAGAGATCTTGCTTTGTTGCCCAGGCTGGTCTGGAACTCCTGGCCTCAAGTGATCCTCCCACCTGGGCCTCCTAAAGTGTTGGAATTACAGGCATGAACCAACACAGCCAGCCAGAGCTTTGCTGAATTCCACTCCTGGCCGCAAGTGATCCTCCCACCTGGGCCTCCTAAAGTGTTGGAATTATAGGCATGAGCCAACACACCCAGCCAGAGCTTTGCTGAATTCTCATCGGTTGAGTTCACAAGTGGTTCAATTACTCCAACCATGTGTTAAAGATGCTCACTCTCTATCTAGTAAGAAACGTGCAGTAACTATTCTTGCAGAGAAGCAATGTTCCCCATGTTTTATATTTTGCATACTATGTAAGACTTTCTAATTTTTTTAAATAAATATCTGACAATGCCCAGCTTAATAAACTCAGTAAATTTGCCATCCCAACTACTACATCCACCCTTAACATTAAAATACTGTATGAAGAGGGTAAACAATCTTTGAATGCAAATAATTCTTGAATTATTAAGTTAGACTGAGGCTGTTAGCCTAGAGTAGGACTTGACCTTTTCGTGCTCAAGGTAATGGTCTAATTCCTCTTATTACAGAACCATTTCTGGTATACAGTATGTTTAAAGGTCAGAAAAGGTTAATCTGAGAATGTAGACTATAGTATTCGGACAAGACTAAAGAAAATTTCAAAGTTGTTTTGGACTGCCGTAGTAACAGTCCTGAAACCTTTTCATTTTTACTGGAAGACAGAATAATTCTAGTGATGAAAGTGTAGTGCAGATAAGAAGGTAGAGTTAATATCTCACAGTGTTTCCTTAAATTCCAAAATGTAAGCATCCACTTGGTCCACCTACCTTCCTGTTATTCTAATATGTTATTCTAAGGTAAGGCAGTGGTTTGAGAATTGAAAATGTAAAATTCTGCAATTCTTCTTACGGCATTCAGTTTATAATAGTTTCTTTGGAAATAAAGGCTTTCCAGATCTGTAAAATGAAAACTTTTTTTTTTTTTTACATATTACAGTCGTTATTTTAAAAAACACAGATGTCCAAAACTCATCTCAGACCCAGAATTTTCACCTGTCTAACAGTACCCTAATAGTACTCATCACATGCATTGAAATTTCACATAGTCTGTGTTTTCTTACTTCAGTTATGGAGAGTTAGTAAGCCTCTTTCCCATGGGTCCCTAACATGATGCACAAATACCTATGGATTTTTTATTGCATTTCATCATCAGTATTTGTTTTGTGTTCGTGATTTCAACTAGAAGCACATTAACTGGGCTAGGACTCTTTCAGCAAATATTCACCTATGTATTCATTCAAGGATTTTCTAGGCCCCCTTCATCTTAGTTCTGGGAAATATAGGTACTTAAATTATTATCAACAGAGTATCATCATACCTGTCCCATTGTAACCATTTACCAAGGATTTCTTAAATGAATAAAGGAGAAAAATACATGCATTCCTCACTTGCCACGAGTGCTTTCTGGACAGCTGTTGCTCCAGCATATTCAATAGAAGGCCTGGAACATGATAGATTATTTTGAATATTGCTTGAATAATGTCGAATAAATGAAGAACAAATTAATTAAGAAACTTTCAAGTCAAAAGACCTCTTTTTATCCTTGAAGAATTTGTCTTTCCTAATTTTCATTCTCTTTCTCCTTTTTCTTTTTCATCACCCTTGTTGTCTGTATCGTTTGTGTTGGCTTCATGCTCAGTATCAGCCTCATATTTATCAGCAAACATTCACTGAAGGCTTACCATTTTGTTCAATTAGAGTTTTTCAAATCAAATGTATTGATGTCATTGTCCCTGCTCTACTTTGCTGTGAAAAGGAAGTGTCTGGTTACCATTGTAAATTCCACTGGGCATTTGATCGCTAACACATAAACCTGAACGTTTTCTCTCTGACCATTTCTCTGCTCTAAAGCAGATCATTAAATTGCTCCCAGGCAGAAAGAACAGGACCAGAACAGCAGGGCACTTTTGTAACAAGACCTTGTAAATTGAAAGCCCTAGATACTTTTCCCACTGTGAGGACCCGCTGAGACTGGTTCCTTTTAACATTGCATTAATAGGCCCTTCAGACTCACTTAATTAAAGACAGTATATCTAGGCAGACTTTCATCGCTTAGAAGGATCATGTGCGTGGCAACTCTTAAAAACCAGCACTTATCTTTAAGGTCATTTTATTCTATTGAAACGTACATCGGTCACATATTTTTGTTAGTTTCCATGTCTTCTGAAAAACATAGTATCTGTCTTACGTATAGGACCATGGACCTGGAATGGGCTGTATTAAGAAATCAATCATGCCCTTGAATTTATACATGTTTTTCCATAACAAAGTCAGATGTGAGGGCCTTCTAGCTGTGATTAACCAAGTCCATTTGTTAAATCCCTGCTGGTTAAAGGAAAGGCTTATAATTGCAAATATCATGGCCATACAGTTACAAACTGGGAGCCTGCTGGGAAATGCAGACCTTAATGTAGAGGTGTCATTAAAACCTCCAAGTCAGTCAAGGTAGTTAATCACTCAATTAGACTCTCATTATCATCTGCCCTGCATCAAAAAGGCTTCCCGCAGTCAAGGAGGGGTTGTAACCAGTCACTCTGACAGGTGATCCCCTCCTCAAATACAATGGCTACAATAGGCCTTGGAGGAGTTATCAGCATGATGTGGCCTGTATCTAAGCTGAAACAGACGCCCATGGGAGTTTGGACAGCCCTAACTGAGGAGATCAAAGGCAGGGAAACAGCTGATCCCAGACTAGCTGGTGTCAGCCTGGTGATTCCTCTGTCAAAGGCAGATGGAGAATCAACTTATTGATTGCTGGCCTTGGTGTTCATCCTGGAATTAAAGGTCTGGCCTGGGGGAATATTCAGGAGGAATGTCTGGCTTTAGAGGCCATGGTAGCACAGATATTAACAATCGCAAGCCCTTGCTTCGCAAAAAAAAAAAAAAAAAAAAAAACCTGCTCGAGAAAATTGGGGGTAAAATTAACATTTTCCCACCACACTGTGGCAGGCAAAGAAGAGAAAAAACAGCAATTGGTATAGCCCAGATCTATTGAAATATTTTCCAAATACAGAGTTGGTCTTTTACGGTGGAATAATTTACTGGGGAGCCCAATAACTAATTGACAATTCCATGGGGCAATTAACATAATAAATGGAATGTTGCTGAATATGTAACCAACCATATTCTCCAAAATATTTAAGCCATGCTGAAATAGGGGTGTGTATATTGTCCTGACATAATATTTTAACCTTTTTCCTAAAGGGTCAAATACACCAAAGTTAATTACTTAATGCAAGGAAAGTCTCCAAGGGAAAAGTACAGCTGGATTTCAGGATATTCCAAAGAGAATTTGTCAAATTGGTCTTTACTTGTTACTAATTTTAGTAAGTCAAGTAAAAACTATCTTCTACTGCTACTATCTTGAAGACAAATTATCTTAAGGTTCACAGTACAGTAGAGTAGAAAGGTGTGATCTTTTGTTTGCCATCACAAGGGTCACGGCCACACTTTTGTAACAAAAGATAGGTTAACAAGAGAAAAACATAATAAATTTTTTAATCAAGGTTTTATCTGACATGAGAATCTTTAGACATGAAGACTCAAAGACCCAAGGGAAAACAATCTATGTATTTTTTATTTTATTTTTTATTTTTTAAGTATTGATAATACTTTAGTGTTTAGAATGGCTATTTTCCCTAAATTCCTTTTTTTAAATTATACTTTAAGTTCTGGGATACATGTGCTCAATGTGCAGGTTTATTACTGAGGCATACATGTGCCATGGTGGTTTGCTGCACCTATCAACCCGTCATTCAGGTTTTAAGCCCCGCATGTATTAGGTATTTGTCCTAATGCTATCCCTCCCTTGCCCCCCACCCCCTGACAGGCCCCAGTGTGTGATGTTCCCCTCCCTGTGTCTGTGTGTTCTCATTGTTCAATTCCCACTTATGAGTGAGAACATGTGGTGTTCGGTTTTCTGTTCCTGTGTTAGTTTGCTGAGGATGATGGTTTCCAGCTTCATCCATGTCCCTGCAAAGGACATGAACTCATTCTTTTTTATGGCTGCGTAGTATTCCATGGTGTATATGTGCCATATTTTATTTATCCAGTCTATCATTGATGGGCATTTGGGTTGGTTCCAAGTCTTTGCTATTGTAAATAGTGCTGCAGTAAATATACATGTGCATATGTCTTTATAGTAGAATGATTTATAATCCTTTGGGTATATACCCAGTAATGGGATTGCTGGGTCAAATGGTATCTTTATGTTTAGGTTTGATGCAGAATGGACAGTCGTGTGGAACTGTGATTGGACAAAAATGGAATGATATAACAGGAATAGACTGAGAGGGGAAAGCAAGCAAGCCCTGTCTGTTCAGATTCTTTATGGCCTTTCTGTGTGACCTTCCTTCTCCCAGGTATAGGGCAGAACCCCTTCTTCAATGATGGTCTCGTGATGTACCTTCAGACAAGATAGGTGAGAGAATTTCTTATGGACAGCCCTTACAGAGAAAGGCAACAGAAGTTTAGAGCAATATTTCTAGGTTTTATGGCGGCTCTGGGGGATAGGGGTTCTTGTTTCTCTGACCTGCCTTGGGGAAGAGGAATTCTAGATTTTTGGGCTGGCTTGAGGAAGGAAGGGAAGCAGGAGAAAGAAGAGCAGGAGAAGGTCAGAACCAGACTTTGCTTCTGAGGCCCTTCCAATGTCCTTCAGTTCAAAGTTCTCATCATACCAAAGCGCCATGTTTTGGGGTATCATTTATTGATCCCTAACCGTACTTATTTATCCATTCAAAAAATGAGTTCTCTGCATGTGCTAAACCCCTGTAGTAATTAAATCACATTATTTCACTGTTAATGAAGTTTATAATTTAACTTTTTAAAGATACACTCATGGAAACAGTTTCTCTGCTTCTTAATGTGAGTCTTTTTCCCATAGAATTTAACTCCATAATGGACTATCCTGATAAACAGGCTTGGTTAGTTGCAATTTTACCTTCCCTGCCCCTCTTTAAGATACTGTTTTTTCCCAAGTATTCCTTTAACACTTTCAATTATTTACGCTAAAAAATGTTTTTAAGAACATCTGTCAAACCAAGCACTCAAGGGATTCTTTTGCACGTGTGTTGTGTTTTGCAAAATAAAGCCTACTGTCAATAAGTTTGGAAAATGCTAATTTGTTTTTAATAAACTTTCAATTTAGAATATCTTTAGAGTTGCAAAAAAAAAAAAGGAAAGATAGCACAGAGTGCCCTTATACCTCCCATGCTGTTTCCTCTCTTATTAACATCTCACATTAGTATGGTATATATTTGTCACCATTAATGAACCGACATTGATAGATTACTATTAACTAAAGTACATCATTTATTCAGGTTTTTCTCACTTCTTACTAAAGTTATTCTTTTGATACTAGGATTCCATTCAATACATCCTACCACATTTAGTTATTATGACTCCTAAGGACCGTCTTGTCTGTGGCAAGTTCTTGGATCTTTTTTGTTTTTGATGACCTAGATAGTTTTGAGTATTACAGATGGTAGTTTGTAGAATGCTGCTTTACTGGTATTTGTTGGAAATTTTTGTTTGTTTATTTAAATTATTAGACTGGGGTTATGAGTTTTTGGGAGGAAGACCACAGAGGTAAAGTGTCATTTACATTACACCATCTCAAGGATGCATCTTATCAACATAACTTATCTCTGTGGATGTTAGCTTTGATTACCTGGGTGAGATAGTGTTTGTCAGATTTCTCCGCCATAAAGTTATTCTTTTACTCCCTGTCTGTACTGTTCTCTTTACAGCAAAGTGAACATAGGCAGCCTAAACATAAGAAGTGAGGAGTTAGGCCCCACTTCCCTGAGGGCAGCGTATCTACATAAATTATTTGAAATCCTTCTGTGTGGGAGATTTTTCTATTCTCCTGCATTTATTTATATATAAAATAATTAATTGATACCAGTATGCACTCATGGGTTTTTCTTTTATACTTTGTGATACAATCCAACACTATCAACTATTATGTAGGATTTATAAAAAGTTCCTTCTGCCTTTGGTTTCATGGATTCAACTCATTTCCAAAATTAATTAATGAAGTCAGCACTTTTATCCTCCACCTTCTTGAGTAAGGTTGTTTCATACATTTGTAATTTAGTCAGGTTACATTCTGGGATCCTGCAGCTTCCTAAAATAATTTATTTAAAGATCATTATTTTGTAATACAGTAAGGTTACATTTTGGGATCCTCCAGCTTCCTAAAATAATTTCTTTAAGGATCATTATTTGTGCTGAAAAGGTCTGTGGATTTTCACAAATGTTTAGTGTGCTATGTCCACAATCACAATATTATATAGAATTGTTTCACGACCTTAAAAGTTCAAGTCTCAAAACTGAAGAACTTGGAGTCCGATATTTGAAGGCAGAAAACATCCAGCACAGGACAAAGAGATATATATATATATATATGTGTGTGTGTGCGTGTGTGTGTGTGTGTGTGTGTGTGTGTGCGTGTGTGTAGAGAGAGAGATCTGTCCTATTCTGTCCCTCTAGAGAACCCTAATACACAAATAAATTATGTACTTTTAGGTTTTCTTATAATCTCAGAAACATGTTATCTTTATTTCTGATAAATATTTAATTGTGAGAGTTACTGAAATTACTTTTTTTCTCTTTGAGGGTGGCAATTTTATTACTTTTCTCTAACAGCTAGTCAGTTAGCTTTCTATTTGTTTATTTTTAAATGACAGATAAAATTGTTTGCATTTATCTTGTATAACCTTGTTCTGAAGTATATGCATAAGTACTTTAAAATTACTTTTATATATCCAGTATCCCATAGCTTCTTTTTATGTGGTAAAATGAATTTTTAATTGATTTAGTGTTTTTGCATAACATAGGATTTGCATTTAAAATACAAAGATAAAAATAAAAAACAAAACACACAAGTCCTCTAACTGAGGAACTTATATTGTTATTGCAGAGAAAAAATATTTTCAGGTATTGATCAAATAATAGTTTATAATAATGCATTAAATAATTGATAAAGACTGGAAAATGCTTCAGGAATTTTGAAATATTACTTAACCAAAGAATTCTCCTTTGAAACATTCAGACAAAAAAGCAAGGCAGAATTGCATTGGCTATAAAGGGTAGAAAATTGGGGACACGCAAATTTGCCTTTACCCTCCTTTTTACCTCACTTCTCTTCCACCAATTATAGCTCAAAATGTGATTCTAAGATATATATAAGTCTTTGAGGAACTAATTCCCAAATCTCTGTCATCTATAGGTATTTGGGGAAGATATTGCAAAATGCAGACTAAAATGTATTGGAAAGGCTCTATCAGAGTAGTTGAAATTTGTGTTTTCACCTTAAGGTTTGAGTAGTATTTGGGTAGATGAGCAGATGAATCCAGAAATGCTTAGGAGTGAAACTGACAGTATTAGCAAAAGCAGGAAACATGAGTTTGGCAAAATATAATACAAACAGAAGACAATGCAAGATGCCTGGTTTAGGAAGTTTCATTACTGGGAATGCTGAACTGGAATTAAATTCTGGAGAATTCAAATGTAGTCAGTTTAAAATGGAAGAAATTCTTAAATTATCAAATACAATATAGTTTATATTGGTTAATCTAGTAGTGATTTGTAGTAGTCATTAAAAATATGAGAGACTGGACACGGTGGCTCATGCCTGTAATCCCAGCATTTTGGGAGGCCAAGACAGGAGGATTGCTTGAGCCCAGAAGTTAGACACCTGCCTGGGGAATAGAGTGAGACCCAATCTCTACAAAATACTAAAAAAAAAAAAAAAATTAGCTGGGCATGGTGGCACACACCTACAGTTCCAGCTACATGGGAGGCTGAGGTGGGAGGACTCCTTCAGCCTGGGGAGATCAAGGCTGCAGTAAGCTGTGATCACGCCACTGCACCCCAGCTGGGGAAACAGAGCAAGACTCTGTCTCAAAATAAGAAAAAAAAGAAAAGAAATATAAAAGACTAGATCCCCAAATCCTCTGAGAAGAATGAATTGTGGATTTCTGTTGAGTTCCTGGCGAGCATTTCTTTCTTAGGGTTTTAACTGTCCACTATGCCATGTAATCCTGAGGTCACTTCAATTTTGTGACCTTTTCCTAAGGCCCGAATGAGACCCAAAACCGATCTATTAAGAAGCCCTATTCCTCTAGTCAGAATAATTTTATTTAATTATGGACACATGCCCCATGCTATTCTCCCCTGGCAATATTCTGACATTGGAGACAACAATCTCTTACTTGTAATAGTGCTGAAAGAATGGGAAGACAAGCTGTTGGCCAGCCATGATGAAGAAAGTTGGCCGGGCCTGGTGGCTCACGCCTGTAATCGCAACACTGTGGGAGGCCGAGGTGGGTGAATCACCCGAGGTCAGGAGTTCGAGACCAGCCTGGCCAACATGGTAAAACCCCATCTCTACTAAAAATAAAAACATAAAAAATAAAAAAAATTAGGGGCATGGTGGCAGGTGCCTGTAATCCCAGCTACTCAGGAGGCTGCGGCAGGAAAATCGCTTGAACTCGGGAGGTGGAGGTTGCAGTGAGCTGAGATTGCACCATTGCACCCTAGCCTTGGCAACAAGAGTGGAACCCCATCTCAAAAAACGAAAAAAGAAACTTAACTGTAGTGGGAGGGAATGAGGTTAATCCCTGAGATTATCCCACAGGTGAAAAGAATAAAGAGAGAAAAAAAACCTTGATGAAATAGTTTGGGTGTTGAGACCCAGCTGAGCCTGAAGTCATTCCATATCAATACTTTTTTTAAAAGCCGTTTTTAATTTTTATTTTTTAACTAGTCTAAATTGGGTTATGCCACTTTAAATTGGTTTGCTGGGTTTAGGCTGGTAACTGCAATAACAACCTAACAGTTATTTACACAGCACCAACTCTGACAGCTACTGTAGTAGAAACTGTCAAATAATTTATTCTAAACTTATAATAATTTTATTTAAACTTTATAACACCCATCATAAAAACTAAATAAGATGTCATGTGTTTTTCTTCATTTATAAAAAAGGACAATAAAATCAAGAGAGCTTGAACAACTCCTCCAAATTTGCAGAACTAGTACCTGGAAATTCAGGGACATGAACCCGTATCTGTGTGTAACCAAATTCTATGAGTTTTTTAGAGTACACGGTTTTGCCTCTGGGAAGCAGAAAGGAAAGTTGATCTAAGAGACTTTCTCAAGAACAGTAAATAAATGATGGGATCCAGTGACTGCTGAACATGAAGAGTAAAAAAAAAAAAAAAAAAAAAAGAAGGTTTGGGAATCAAAGAAAATGACATTTAAATCGAAGATATTTAGAAAACTGAAAATCAAGTAGGCTTTTTGGAGAACAGGATAGGATCAATTCAATTTGAAGTATGTGGAGTTTCAAGCAATGGTAGAACATTTAAGCGGAAGTGGCCATGAGAAAGTAGAGACACAAGAGTGAAGTTCAAATGAACGTGAGAATTAAAGAAGAGCAGACTAATAACCTTGGTGTGGGGAAAGCAAACTTGTAATTCACTGATCCCTTCTTATTGCTAGAGCTGGTGAGAAGGCTGTCTCTTGCCTTCTATGAGAACCTGGGGCAGCCGGTAGCTATTTCTCCAGCTGAATTCAGAACACCACTCTGCAATTGAAGATAATGAGGCAACACATAAACAGAGCTGATGGATGGAAGAGGAAGATGACTGTTCAGAAATGCTCAATTAAAAAGAAATCCAGTCCTGTGTTGCAATGTTTATTAAAATGCTGTGGAAACCACAGCTGAGAAGTCCAGGCAAATTTTAAGTAGTTGAACTCACTGAATAATTATAAGAGTCTTAGGCCTTTCTTCCCTTCCTTTTTCCATGCCGCAAAGTGCTCCAGGGCCACCTTATTCTACGGGTATTGTTTTCCATAATGAGCAAGGTTTCTTAGCACAATAATTTTAAGAGAAATATTTAGTAACTGGAAATTAAGAGTTTTTTTAAACTCTTAAAACTCTTATTTCAATATTTAAATATTTCTTGTCAAGTTTTTCTAATTTAAGAGCTTAGAAAGGAAATTAATAAATGCTAATATTCCTCAAATGAATCCATTCAGTGGTTCATTTATTCATTCATTCTTTTCCTAAGCTTGCATATGTGTGTGCTTTATGTAAAGATTTGATTAAAAATGTGTAATAATTTATGAAAATGTTAATATATGATACATGTTAATATATAAAGAAAATATAATTAACAAATTTTGTTTTCCAATAAGTGAAATAAACAAGTATTTGCTCATAGCACATTCTTACCTCAGTTGAAATTGAATCTACTACAATTGTTGAAAGTAATGAAATTATCAACAGGTAGGAAAAATGTCTTTACTCCCATAGCCCCAATTCATTACAATTAAAATAAAGGACATTGATAATAGACACTCAAAATCCAAGGTTATCTCCTTTACAGTGTTTGAATCCGTTTATTTATGCTTCATGCATTAAAACCCCTAATAATAATAATTCTTTGCTTCCTTTTTTTTTTCTTTTTGGTACAGAAAGATGTACCTGTTGTAATTGAATGCGAGGAACTGTAAAGGATATGAATCTGTGAAGAGTCCTTCCCAACCCAGCCATTAAATACTAATTTTCAGTTGGAATAGAAAAGTAAATACTATAAACTCTGTTTTAATGACATTTAAATCGATTTTAACTGAGTTATTTATTTAAAATATATACAAATGGCATTTCAACTATTCTACAGAAATCAATTTCAGTCACTCATTCACTTTTTCAATTTATAGCTGTCCCTGATTGTTTGGTCTTCTCTCTTTAGTCCTTTTGCAAATGGCTTGTTTTGAAAACATCTTCAGTAACTTTTTAATGTACTCCTCTATCCATCTATTCAAAACAAAAGAAAATAGAACAATACCTTGCAAAGTTGGGAAACTTAATAACATTAGCAAACTACCTATCATATGCCCTAGAATCTATCATGCAATTGTTAAATGATATTATCTTTAATAATAATTATTATTAATAACAAGTACATTTTACAAATTGAATAAAATGCCTGCATAGTGTCTGTGTGTTTATTTGGTCCTGGAATGCAGGGGTCAACATAAGCATCTGGGAAGAACCACTAGAACCGTGTCTGAAAGTATATACGGCAAGGCATAGTGGTTGAGAGCAAAGGTTTCAGATTTCAGCTGACTTGGTCTAAATGCTGTTTCTTCTGTTTACTGAGCTGGATGACAGTGGGCAGGTTGATCTTTCTGTACCCCATTTTCTTAATCTGTAAAATGGGCGATAATAATACCATCTCTTAAGGACTCTTAGAGGATTAAATTACTTAATATATGTAAAATCCTTAGAAGAATAGCTGGCAGAGAATGAATGCTACATCACTATTTTTGAGTGCTTTTATATTAATGTGGCATTCTGAAAGTATCAAGTCATCTTCCTAATCATCATTATTTGCTCTTGGCTTATGACAGCAGAATATGTAAACCTTTTACCTTTAAAACTCCAGCAGTTTGCCACTAACCATTATTTTTCTTTTCTCTCACTAATGGTAAGAAATACATGCTAAACGCAGTGGCCGTGGGAGTGCAGAAGGAGCACGGAGCTTGTTTTAAGCCAGGACTCCCTGCTGGAGTACATAGGAGAGGCCCAGATGGGGGCAGCTGTCGAGGCAGTGATGTATGACAAATGACTTGCTGCTGCAATGGATCATCAGAGGCTGGCTACACTGGTGACATGTCACAGTCATACATCATCAGAGCAATGCCTGGCAGGAGCAGCAGCCTGAAAACCACCCTGCCCCATAAATTTTAATACAGCCAAATAAAAAAGCTGTACTTTTCTTTTCTTCTAAATTAAAGATTGACACTCAGGAAAGGAGGGACAGAGGACTCTTTCATATGACCAGGTTGCTTTCCAAGACCCCAGAGGCACTGAGGTCCTCTATTAATATGCACTGTCATCGGTGCTCCACAATAAATGAAAAACAAAACAAAACAAAACCAAAACCCCAGGTACCTTAGTTTGACTCAACCAGACTGGACCCAGTGTATGACTTCCTGGCACAGTCTGCCCTGTGAGGTAGAGACATCCTATATTAATCTATGGAAAACTGTTAGAAGCAGTGAGTTGCGTTGTTACTGATTACTTGCCTGTAGTCAGCCGATGAGAGTGCATTAAAGTTTGCTATAATCTGTGAGGCATGCTGAGCAGTTTAGATCTCAGCGGAGGTGGATATAGCTAGTCCACTAAACAGCTTTGGTAAGTTTTTACCAAAATGGCAATTTCCTTACTAGGTTTTAGGATACAACCGTGAATGAAGCATTCCAGTAGCTTGCTTTTCAGTTGGGTTTAAGAGGAGATACTAAAAATGAACAAAAAATGAGTAAGATATGAATTCCAACTATTGATAAGAAATAAAAAAAGGGTGATAAAGAAATAAAAATAGGGTGATGAGATAGAGATCAGGTGTCCGCTTTAACTAAAGTGGTCAGGAAAGGTATCCCTAAAAAGGTTAGCTATGATTTGAGACCTCAATGATAAGAAGCAGGCAGCCAAGGAAATTTCAGATAACGAAGTGCCCCAGGCAGAGAAATGGCAAATGCAAAGTCCAGAGACAATAATGGATATGCCAAATTTAAATCAGAAGGGAGACACTGTAGCATATGCATAACAAACGTGGGAAGAATTGAGATAGTAGAGGACAGATGGGTAGACAAGTTTCAGTTCATCCAGTGTCTTGTAAGCCATACTGAGGAGTCTGGATAATCTGATTGTAAACAATTAGAAGGATTTTTTTTGTGTTTTTTTGTTTGTTTGTTTTTTTGTTTTTTTTGAGATGGAGTCTCACTCTGTCACCCAGGCTGGAGTGCAATGGCACTATCTAGGCTCTCTGCAACCTCCACCTCCCAGGTTCAAGCAATTCTCCTGCCTCAGCCTCCTGAGTAGCTGAGACTACAGGCATGTGCCACCACGTCCAGCTAATTTTTGTATTTTTAGTAGAGATGGGTTTTCACCATGTTGGTCAGGATGATCTTGATCCCTTGACCTCGTGATCCACCCGCCTCGGCCTCACAAAGTGTTGGAATTACAGGCGTGAGCCACTATGCCCAGCCAATTAGAAGATTTTAAGCAGGGTAAGGATGTGAGAACACTCCCAATTTGGAAAGAAAAAAAAATATTCTTGTTGCTATGTGAAGAGAATATTGAGATGGGTAGCATTGAAGGCAGCGGTAGCAAGACCAAAGGTAGAGAGACGAGTTAGAAAGCTTAACTAGCGTAACTGGATAAGTCACAATAATCCAGGTAACAGATGACTGACCTTGTTCAGCAATTTTAGCAGTATGATGATAGAAAGTGTTTGGATTTACAAAATATTTTGGAGGCAGAGGCGATGTGACTCATTCATGGAGTAGATGTTTTGCATGATGAAGGGAACAGAACCAGGGAAATGTCTTTAGATTCTACTTCTACATGACAAAGTGGTGGTAATGTTGTTTACTAAAATGTCTAAAAAACTTTGGAAGAACCTTCTGAGTGAAAATGAATATGTTGCTTTTTGATGGCATTCTGTTGAGATGGAAATTCAGTATCCTAGCAGAATTCTCAAGTACGTAGTTGGATAGAGGACTCTGGAGCTCAGGGGACAGGTCTGGAGATCAAAATTTGAGATTCTTTATCCTGAGATTTAGGTAAAGCTGTAAAAGAGAGGAAGGCATGAGGAGGGAGCTCTGGGACATTCTAATATGTTGAGATTTGGTAAGGGAGAAGGGGCAAATAAAAGAGAGGAAGAAAGGGTGATAAGAAGAGGTAGAAAATCAAGCAAGGTGAGCGTTGGGGTTGAAAAAAACCTAGAGAACAAAGAGTTTCAGGAAGGAGGGACTGGTCATCTGCTGCTGGGCCACTGACGTTAAAAGGTAATTTAGAATGAACATGGAGAATGAACATCATCTTCCAAAGGATGAATTTTGTCTGTAACATTATTATGAGAAATGTTTATAGTGTGATGGTAATGAAAGTCCATTTGGCAAATCTGAGCACAGGACAGAAGCTGAGGAAGTAGGAATCAGACTATAGACAACTCTTTGGATGGCCGTTTCTAGCAAATGAAATGGAGAAATGGAATAGTAACTGAAGGTAGATGTTGGAGTTTATGAAATTTCTTTTAAAGGTGGGTGATATTAAGGCATATTTGAGTAAGGGAGGAGACCACCCCTCATATTGTCTTATGCTCAATTTCTGCCTCCAAAGAAAGAAGAAGTAAAAACTAAAAGGCAGAAATGAAATCCACAAGCAGATAGCCTGCCGCCACACCCTGGGCCTGGTAGTTAAAGATCGACCCCTGACCTAATCGGTTATGTTATCTATAGATTACAGACATTGTATAGAAAAGCACTGTAAAAATCCATGTCCCGTTCTGTTCTAATTACCGGTGCATGCAGCCCCCGGTCACGTACCCCCTGCTTGCTCAATCGATCACGACCCTCTCACACAGACCCACTTAGAGTTGTGAGCCCTTAAAAGGGACAGGAATTGCTTACTTGGGGAGCTTGGTTGTTGGAGATGTGAGTCTTGCTGAAGCTCCCGGCTAAATGAAGCCCTTCCTTCCTTAACTCGGTGTCTGAGGGGTTTTGTCTGCAACTTGTCCTGCTACATGAGTACTAATGTAAATGAACCATTAGAAGGTGAGACAGAAGTAAAAGGAGGGAGTTCTAGGAGTGAGGTCCTAACAAGGTATGAAAGTATGGATCCAGAGTATCCATGCTCTTAGATAAGAGCAGAGAAAGTTCATAGATTTTAAAGAGAGAGATGACACAACATGTGATACAGATGCAGGTATTTTGGTGGATGTAGCTGTAATAAGATAAGGCACTGGATTGGATCTATTTTATTAAATATGAATCAAATTTTCAGCTGAGAATGAGAAAAATTTCAGGAAAGAGACAGTGGAGAAATGTCACCTTTGAGAAGGGAAAATAATTAGATTAAAATGCTAAAATTGTCTGGAAATGTGAGAGGCTTCTCTGGGATTTGTGGTCATGAAGTTGTTACGTGTGTTACTTCAAAGAGTATTCAGATTTTCAGATCTAGGCATTGAGTAAATGATTGATTGGGTTAATTAGGGATAGATATTGCCAACATTTCACTGAAGCACAGAGGAGCATAGGAATTCAGAGTATATGCAAGGGACTGGTTATAGTACTAGACCATGGAGGATGGTTGTTTAAAAAGGGAAATGAAGACTCAGATGCAAAGGGATTTTATGCATACAGAAAACATAATGCTTTTGATGGCTTGGAGGTATGGGTGAATCAGTCAATTTCTGGAGTGAGAGAAGCAGAGTAAGTGAAATGACTAGTAGTAGATGGATGGTCAAAGCAGCAGGGTTTGAAATTAAGATTTTCAAATTGGTGTAGTTACTGGTGATTAAAAGTCTTGAGTGTGACCATGTGAGTCAATGGCTTTTTTAGTGAAATGAGAGAAGAAACATTGTAGAATCTAAAGAAGTGAAGGAATTGGTGGGCTGTTGGTGGTTCATTTAGATGGATATCAGAATTGTCAAGAATGATAGTAAACAAAGAGGTGAAAGCAAGACAGTAATTGAGATGCAAAATATCCACCTGCTAGGTCCTCCTGAATTCAGCGCTCCCTACACCTAGGGCCCAGATTATTCCACAGGGCTATCTGTTCCACCCCACACTTGGAGAAAGGACCAAAAAGTGCTTCAAAGAAGGGAAATTAAGAGCTGGGGCTCAAGCAGTTCCCTATCTGGGGTGTCATAGATGACACTTCTAAATCATTCCAAAGTGTGGAGGGTCTGAGGTCAGGGCTGGGATTACAGGTACGTGCCACTATGCTTGGCTAATTTTTTTTGTATTTTTAGTAGAGATGGGGGTTTTACCATGTTGGCCAGGCTGGTGTTGAACTCCTGACCTTGGGTGATCTGCTCGCCTCAGCCTCCCAAAGTACTGGGATTACAGGCGTGAGCCACCGCACCTGGCCAACATTTTAATTTTTTTTTTTATGAGAGGGATCACAGTAGGTAAACATCTTTCCTTTCCCGTAAAACACTGGCTTAATTCCTAAAGCATCATTTGCAGACTAATTTATTTCATAGATTTTTGAACCCAATTTGTTTTCGATTGGCAGTATTTCTTTAGGAGAGATCGAGCAGAGAAAGAAAAAGAAATACACGTTTGGGTGAGTAACAGAATTAAAACACACTGGATCCTTTGATAGGTGAGGAGCAGGATTTGTTCAGAGCCAAATCCCTCTAGAATTTTGAAAACAAAAAAAGAACCATTAAGGCATTCGAACCTTTTAACTTTAGAGTTGTAATTAATTTAGGACCATTAACATTATATGCGGAAACAACAAAATTCCCCCACAGCATCTCAATTCTTCAGTGGAAGCATATCCAAAATAAATACTGCCCCTTGATACTGTACCATGAAATACATTTCTAAGAAATCCTTGGCACCTTTTCCCTGAATTTCCAACATGGTCTGCTAAAGAACAAGGTCATGCTTCTCTTCAGTGAAACCACATAGGTACTGCTTCAGGAAAAACAACGAAAAAAAAAAAAAACCCTGAAACTGCAGTCCCAGAGTGCGTTTTCCAGTCAATTATGAGGATGTATTAATGTGCTTTTTTTTTGTTTTTGTTTTTGTTTTTGTTTTTGAGACGGAGTCTTGCTCTGTCGCCCAGGCTGGAGTGCACTGGCATGATCTCGGCTCACTGCAAGCTCCGCCTCCCAGGTTCATGCCATTCTCCTGCCTCAGCCTCCCAAGTAGCTGGGACTACAGGCGCCCGCCACCACGCCCGGCTAATTTTTTTTTTGTATTTTTAGTGGAGACGGGGTTTCACCATGTTAGCCAGGATGGTCTCGACCTCCTGACCTCGTGATCCACCCACCTCGGCCTCCCAAAGTGCTGGGATTACAGGCGTGAGCCACTGCGCCCGGCCGATGTATTAATGTTTTTTATATTACCCAAAAGATGTTTGCGATAGCATCCGTAGCAAAGGGATTTCTCCCAGTATTTTAGAAGTATTTTTCTAATGATGCTGCATCCTGATCTCTATTCTGTCTGTCTTTGTGTGTCTCTCCTTATGTTTCTCTGTCTTGCTCTCTATTTCCCTCTCTGTCTGTCTCTCCTCCTGTTCAGCCAGCGTCTACAGAATTTGGAAACAAGATATTTCTGCAAACCAAGCAACAGATTCACCCACATTTCAGGATTTTAGAGCATTTATCTTAGCGCTGGATTATGATGTCATTTAAATAAATTATTTAACAACACTGACTCCATTGTTTTTCTTTTAATTTTCGGCAGGGATATGAATTAGGAAAACATTATTTATGGTAGAAGGAATTATGCAGATAAATGGTAAAAAGCATATATTAAGCATATAGATATGTTCCTTTATTTAAAGGAAAATGTACAGATGTTTTGATATTATAATATAGACATAGACATAGAGAATCTGGATATTTGTTAATGATTCATGCCTCATAGCTCTTACAGCGCTTTCTATAATGTTGGGGAATTTTAAGCCTTAGAAAACAGAATCTCTCTCCCTGACCATCTCCCACTCTCTTTTCACCTGTTTCTTTTTCTCCCCATGGCAGGAATCTTCCCTTACCTTTCCATCTTGGAGCTGGCCATAAAGAAATTATCTGACCCACCTTGTCTGATTGTGGGCCATAAGACCCCCATTTCAGAAGGGGTCCTGCCCCATACCCTAGAGGAAGGAACAATGCACAGAGACCAAGAAGAATCGGAACAGACAGGACTTGCTGGGTTTCCCCACTCAGTCCATTAGTGTAAGACCGTGCTCTTTCTGTCCAATCACATTTCCACACAGTGGTCAATCATGCCTATCCAATAAAGTCTCCATAAAAGGCCCAAGAAGGCAGGATTTGGAAGCCACGATTGCGCCACTGCACTCCAGCCTGGATGATAGAGGGAGGTTCCATCTCAAAAAAAAAAAAAAAAAAAAAGAAAAGAAAAGAAAATTAAAATGTCAAAGTTGTCTCTATTATGCAGTGTTTTCACTCATAGAAGGGAAGGAAGGAGTGTCTTGTCTTCTTTATGACTAACCATGGCACTTTGTATACTCTATGTCCTAAGGACACCAAACCTCACCTGATATTTTACACAGTCAACTATCAGTTATTCACACTAATGGGTAGGGGGAAAAAAAGGGTAGAGGTACAGGGGAGGGACACCACAGTTAACTCTAAAGAGAGAACACTTTTCAAATGGTTCCATTTGATTTTTGGAGTTTTTATTTGAATATGATGGTAGTGATGTGATATGTGGATTTTTTTTTTCAGTTCTTAAAATAATCTAATGATTCATGTAATGAAGTTTGTTTATTTATTTATTATTTCTTCTTTTTTTTTTTTTTTTTTTTTGAGACAGAGTCTCTGTCGCCCAGGCTGGAGGGCAGTGGCACCATCTCGGCTTACTGCAACCTCCACCTCCTAGGTTGAAGCAATTCGCCTGCCTCAGCCTCCTGAGTAGCTGGGACTACAGGCGCGTGCCACCACGCCCAGCCAATTTTTTGTATTTTTAGTAAAGACAGGGTTTCACCATGTTAGCCAGGATGGTCTCGATCTCCTGACCTCATGATCCGCCCACCTCAACCTCCCAAAGTGCTGGGATTATAGGCGTGAGCCATTGCGCCCAGCCATGTAATGAAGTTTAATGAGGAAAAGTCACCTTTCTCATTTTGCCTTTATGCTTAGCTCTTCTCTTATTTCTGTAAAAGAAATTATTTATATATCACTTCTGAGATTGATTATTCCAAACCACCAACCTGAAGAGAAAAGCAGTCTTTTGCAAATGTTGCTGTTTTACACTTTCCCTAGGGCCAGAGATACTTATTTTGGCCTTTGAAAATTTTTCTACTCCCTAGTCTAACCTTAAGTAAATATCCCGTTTGTTTCCACAAACTGCATAATTAGCAGAACCAATGAAAATATTACTATGAATTTAAAAGCAAAATGTCCATGGATAATCTTTAATTCCAATAATCTGCTCCCAGGTCATTAAGAATTCCTTTATAATTCTTAATTCAAAAGTGGGTCATACACTTTGTACATACCAGTCTTCAAAATGAAAGTCATGGCACTGTTGGCAAAGGCTAGAGAATGTCTAGAAAAATAAGGAAACAGATCTTGGAGTTTCCATGTAAGGAGAGATAAATGATTAGTTATATTTCGTCTAGAAAGCAGGGAGACTATGGAGAAGTAATTGATTATTAGCTTGAGAGTTGTATGAATAAGTGGAGACTTTTCTCAGTCTTTGGACAGTTATTATATATACTCTAATTTTTGGTTCTCCTAGAAAAGACTGCCCCATAGAGTAAAATTGTGAATTGTTTATCTCTGTAACCCTAGGACCTAGCCCAATGCAATACACCTCTCATAATTATTGGGGATTTGAATAAAACTAAATGAATTAAATATTTATTGGGCTATATGATGACTCCAGGCATACTCTTAAAACTTGAGATTTGCCAACGGACAGGAGAGTGGTGAAAAAACTCAGGAAATATATTTATATTTCTCTGCAATTTTACACTTAATTCTAATGACAGTAATTATGATTTATTGAATATTTTATCCTACATTCAGCCCATTGCATACTTTATCCCCCAAATCCTTATAAATTAAAGGAAAAAAGACAAGAGAACATTTATACACATTTAATATGTTAGAAAACTGAAGCTCCGAGAAGTTATGGAATGCATGCAGTTTCACATAGCTGAGATTTAAATCCAGGTCCGTCATCTTCCAAAGGCTAGACACTTTCCTTCATATTGTATCATGTTTACATCGATTCTCTTCATTACTTGGCTAAGGATGCTTAGAAGTCTTCTTCATCCCACTATATTAGTTTGAAATTGTTTTGGGTATGAAGCTTTAGTTCTGGTTACCTTTGGTAAACAGAATTACAATTTTGATAGTTTCATTAGGTTGGTGCATACATAAGTGCAGTTTTGCCATCCTTTTCATCACTATTTTTATAATTTTAATGTTCTATCTCATAAATCTTGCAATTTAATTTAAATGCGGTAAACTGGCAGGTCACAATGTACATTAAGTAAATGGCAGTTTATCAACAGAGGAGAGTTCTTTATTTCCCATAGCAGAAAACAAGTTCTCCTCCAGTCCAAGAATTTCAAATGTTAATCCCACTGTAGGACATGGAGATACTCACTGGTTGTACCCTGTGTTGTGTCTAGGATCCTTCAAAAATTTTATTTTCCAAAGGACATTCCTCACCTTTGTTAATGTTTCTCCTACAATGAGATTTCGTTTGTTGTGTCTCTTCACGCTGTCGCCTGGGAGCCCATGAGCATCCTGCTGTAAAGAGAACAAATACAGTTAAGATTATTTCCCCACTTTCAAAATTGAAAATTGTAGACCCAGTGAGTGTGAGTGCCCTCTCCATTCCTTAAGTAACTGTATGTAAGAATGCTATTCCTAGAGATCTTCTAAGCCCTCGTCAATAAAATTGGAGGAGGATAGATATTTCTTTCCACATTTTGATGCTTTATGGGGTTTTATAGCCTAAATTATCCACGTTGCTTAAAAATAACACCAGCATATTAAAAACAAGAGGAGCTGCTTGTGGGGATAAAATGGACAGACTCTTTCTAGAGGACAATTGTGTAGTATTCATCAGAAGTCTTACAAATAGTCACTTGGTCCTGCAATTCACAATCTAGGTTATATATTTTTGGAAATAACAGCAACAGGCCGGGCGCAGTGGCTCACACCTGTAATCCCAGCACTTTGGGAGGCCGAGGCAGGCAGATCACAAGGTCAGGAGCTCGAGGCCATCCTGGCCAACATGTTGAAACCCTGTCTATACTAAAAATACAAAAATTAGCTGGACGTGGTGGCGCGTGTCTGTAATCCCAGCTACTCGAGAGGCTGAGGCAGGAGAATCATTTGAACAACGGAGTTGGAGGTTGCAGTGAGCCGAGATCGTGCCACCGCACTCCAGCCTGGAGAAAGAGTTAAGACTCCATCTCAAACAAAAATAGAAAGAAGAAAGAAAGAAAGAACAGGAATAATATATACAGGCCTGTGCAGAAAAGCTACAAATCATGCTAAACAAAAATTTGAAATATCAGAACTATAGCTAGTTAACTACATAACACTCATACTAAAATCCATGTTATAGAGAAAAATATTTTTATGTATGACAAAATGCTCAGAATATAGAATTAACTTGAAAGGCTTTTTTATTATTTTTATTTTTTATTTTTTATTTTTTTTTTTTTTGAGACAGAGTCTCGCTCTGTCACCCCGGCTGGAGTGCAGTGGCGCAATCTCGGCTGACTGCAACCTCCCGGGTTCAAGCAATTCTCATGCCTCAGCCTCCAAGTAGTTGGGATTACAGGCATGCACCACCACACCCAGCTTATTTTTGTATTTTTTGGTAGAGAAGGGGTTTCGCCATGTTGGCTCTGCTGGTCTCAAACTCCCGACCTCAGGTGATCTGCCCACCTTGGTCTCCCAGAGTGCTGGGATTACAACCATGAGCCACAGCATCCAGCCCCCTTATTTTTTTCAACCATTCACAGCGATATTTTAAATTTGGAAATCCATATTTTAAATTTGGAAATGCGTATTTTAAAGCAGCAATGCAGAAGCATTCATGAAAAATGCATAATCTCTGAAAATTATGAAAACATTTCTGCTACCAACACATTTCTAAATACAAAACTGACTACCATATTTGTTACTTCTGTGTAGCGAGAGAAGTTCATTTCTAAAACAGATAAAATTGAGTCTTTAGGTGTGAATGGAATGAATAGCAATCTTCTTTTTAAAACATTTCTTAGTCATTTGTAAGCACTAAACATGCAACAGCTTTAAAGAGGAGAGTCTGCAAAGGAACCAGGGTTGTCTAAGGGCATCCAGGTAAGCCAGAGCTGGGGGTACCTTTGGGTCATCATGTCAAGAGCAGAAGCAACTGCCTTGTGGATCCTGCTGCCATGGTTCTGACATCCACCATGCCCAGGTCCATGGCATCCTACCCTGCCACCACTGTCCTGGGTGGCCAAGGTCTCCAGAATTAATCTCCAGCTGAGACATTATATCAGAACACTATATCATTTGCTGGCTTCTGGAAATGATGGTCTACAATCAAATCTTCAGCATGAGCCTTTTCACTCTTTGGTTTATGAAGAACCAACTTCTTCCACCTTCACGTGGTTTTCGGACATGAAATTCTACCTCCGCCCAGTCCTTATGTTGGACAGCCTTCCACTCACTCAAAGTCATCCCTTTTGGAGCCTCTGCCTTTACCTCCTCAGCTTCATTCTCCTCCTTTTCAATGCCTGCCACCGCATGTTCTTCACCTTCAAGGGTTTCCTTAGTTATATTTGATTGATGCAAGTCACTGCAATGATAAGATAATTGTTTCTGAATGTAAATTTTGGGGACTCTGTTAATCCACCTTTGACAGTTCCCCAGTTGTGACATCTGCCGCCCACATGTCTGTCCTGGTGCTTCAGGCCAGCTGTGTGGCTTGCACTGCTCTTATATCATACTCATGAGTGCCAGGAGAATCAAACCCATCTTCCTGGCCACTCCACGCCCACCGCCCCCTCGACCTCTTCCAAGACCCCCATGGCCTCCACCAGGAAGGCCAGTAATCAGTCTATCAATGAGAGGTCACTAATCAACCTATCAACTGAAGCTTCTCCTTCTTCCTTTTCTTCAAGTGGCTTTTCAAATCTTCGCTCATGAGGTGGTCACCTTTCTGGTCTTCTCTCAATCATTTTTCCATCCCTCTGAAGTTGTTGATCAGGCCTTCTTCTCAGGCATCTTACTCCCTCTCTCTTAAGTGACAGAGCAGCTGTGTCTCTTCTTTCTTGTCAATCATGATAATTCTTGTCAATCATGCAAATGTTAGGGGGCAGTGGGTTCTTGTTGTCTTTTGGGGCTCTTTTTATCTTTTTGAGACAGGGTCTTGCTCTGTCACCCAGGCTGGAGTGCAGTGGCATGGTAATAGCTCACTGCAGCCTCAACCTCCTGGACTCAAGGATCCTTCCACTTCAGCCTCCCAAGTAGCTTGGACCACAAGCATGCACCACCATGCTTGGATAACTTTATTTATTTATTTATTTTTATACTTTAAGTTTTAGGGTACTTTTTAAATTTTTGTAGAGACGGGATCTCGCTTTGCTGCCCAGGCTAGTCTTGAACTCCTAGACTCAAGCAATCCTCCCACATTGACCTCTTAAAGCACCGGGATTATAGGCTTGCACCACCACGGAAAGGCCTTTCTGTGACTTTTTAGGCAGCTGTGTCCCTGATGCCTTGGAGTTGGTCTCAGCTATGGCCTGAGCTGCAGTCTTGGCCCCAGGGCCTCCAACACCGCCCCTCAAACAGCTTCTTTATTCTTATTCTTTCTTACCTTCAGCACCTTGAGGGGGTCCAATTCATGGTCAAATAGCTGGTCCAATTGGTGGGTGACCATGCAGCCAAAGCTTTCCTGTAAGGTCCTAGCCATGACGGGGACTCTGTGGCATGTTCCTCCGGCTATTGTAACAGGCAGCCCTGAAAGACATTTGAAACAGATGATAGAGTATGATCCATTTTTAAGAACTAGGTAGTATGTGAATGTGATCATGAGACTCATATGCATGTGAATATTTCCAACTGCTTTTAGCACTGATTTTTGAAATGCTATTTTAGGTAATCTTCTCCCAAATTATATTTAAATCATATAATTACTTTTTAATGAGAAAAACATTGATAAATGCTCTATTGGGTCTGATTATAGCATTTAGTGACTTTCCTTGTAGAAAGGAGAATCAGGTTGAGCAGCAGAAAAGCAAAAATAGGAATTACAATGGCATATCTTAGATGTGGGAGTCTGCACTTACGTCAGCACGGATAGTTGGCAATGTTCCAAAGCTTGGGGGCCATCTGAACACTAAACTAGAACTTTCCTCCTTTAGTGCCCTGGCAGCTTCTGTGATTGTCCTCTTTTCTTTTTTTCCCCCGTGCTTTTAGGGGCATTCCTTCGTATGGCCCTCCCTTTCTTCTTTTTTTTTTTTTTTTTTTCTTTTTTTCCTTTTTCTTTCTTTTTTGAGACACAATTTTGCTCTTGTCGCCCAGGCTGGAGTGCAATGGCGCGATCTTGGCTCACCGCAATCTCAGCCTCCCAGATTCAAACAATTCTCCTGCGTCTGCCTCCCGAGTAGCTGGGATTACAGGCATGCGCCACCACGCCCGGCTAATTTTGTATTTTTAGTAGAGATGGGGTTTCTCCGTGTTGGTCAGGCTGGTCTCCAACTCCCGACCTCAGGTGATCCCTCCGCCTCGGCCTCCCAAAGTTCTGGGATTACAGACGTGAGCCACCGCTCCCAGGCAGCCCTCCCTTTCAAACTCAACATGCACCCTGATGTAGTTCAGATTATCCACTGGACCGCTTGTCCAGCTAAGGCCAAAGACATGGCTGGCCGTTGCCACAGCTGTAAGCCTTTCCTGCATTAGAAGAGTCCAAAGAGTATAAAAAATCCTATTCGTGAAACTGTGTAAAGTTAGAGAAAGCTTTTGTTCACCTGAGTGGTATTGGATCCCACTTACATGAGGTCACACAGTGCCTTGTCATTACTGTACTACCTCAACGCGAATATCGTAATCTCATGTTCTCTATTCTAGAGCTATGAAGCACAAGAAGTACACCACAGCTTCCTATTAACTGTAGTGAGCAAATTGTGTGGGTGGAAAACAGATGGAGTCAGAAAAATAGCTTACGATTTTTTTTCCATATGTTGATGTTTTCCTTTTTTATTAATAAGTGTTCTTGTCTTGATTCAGCCAGAAAATACAGCTTGTACTAGGACAATAAAAGCCCAATGGCATCCCAATCATATACACATTATGTTCATGGAACTTGGTCCCTAGTGTTTTTAGGATGATGAAAAATCCACATATGTACACATCAACAGCCCATAATGCAGCTCGTGCTACAAAAATACTGCCGACTGGTAGTGTTTCCCATATTTGCATGTCTTCGTAAGATGCAGAAAGAAAAATAAATAAATAAATAGATAAGAAGGTGCCTTCCATGCCACTACATTTGGCCATTCGTGACTGTGTCTTCAGGCTTTTCCTACCATAGGAGGGTCCAGAAAATACGGTAAATAAATAAGCAGAGGGAAATGCCTTCCCATGCCACAACTGCTACTCAGTTTACACACTGCAGCGGAAGACTTAATTTCGCATCTACCATTATTTTAACTGGCAATTGCTTAGACAATTTTCCAGTTCTTATGAAAGAACTCAAATTATTTATGATGCTGACTCCCCACAATAGTTAATTCCTTAAAATGGCCCTATATAAGAATGGAACACAATTTTATTTTGTGAAGGAGAAAAAAAAAAAGAAGAAGGGAGCAGGAAAGACTTATATTAAATTTATAAATAAACTGTAGAATCTTGGGATCTTGGTTCTGCTGTTGCTCCTAAGTACATTTGGGACACAGAAAAATTCAAATGAATAATATTGTTGCCAAAATTCACGTATCTTTCGTTACACTGAAGATGTTAGCAGTAATTCACCTTCACTGATAGACTTGACTTTGTTAAAGTCAAAGAGAAAGGAGTAAAGATTATTCTTGTTCCACGTGGATGAAATTCTTCCGTTTTTTTCTAAGGATGATAAAGAAAACAGGGCTTCTTAGAAACTGAGTCCATCCCCAAAATGATATTGTATACGATGTGAAATCACCATTATGAAATAGTTTGTTGCTTTTGTAGTGGTAGCAATGACAAATTAAAAACGTTAGAAAAGATATTTTCTCATATTCTGCTCTACAGCAATTAGCTGAATTAAGCCATAGTGTTGTTTGGCCTATGCTAGCCACATAAATATGCCTAAAACTGGAATTAACCACACGTTCCTGTCTTGTCCATCCTTATCTTTCCTACTCTATATGAAAATTCATACTCTGGGTTAGTTTTTCTTGTTGCTCTGTTCAGCAAGGGTTTTTACCCCTCACTTCACAAAATGTGGAGAACTTTCAGATTTATGCAATGCTGTATTCTATTTGGTGGTGATTTATTTTTTCTCCTGTTATACTCTGGCTTCCAAAATTTTCAGGCAAAAATCTGCGCACATCCAAAACTGTGGATACCTAACTCATCTTTAAATGAAATTGAAAAAAAAATAGCCTTCACCTTAAACCATTAGTTTTTGTAACAATGGGGACAAGTCGAATGAAGCTATTTATCTACTTCAAGGTAATATTGAAGTTTCACTTAATTCCTTTCCTTGTCTTCATTCTCCTTTGAACCATGCCAGTAACTATTTAAGATCAACAAGACTCCATTCATAAGATCTGAAGGCATTTTGCTTTTACAATGCAAAACCTAATTTTTTTTTTCTTGAGACAAAGTCCCACTCTGTTGCCCATGCTGGAGTGCAATAGCATGGTCTCGCCTCACTGCAACCTCTGTCTCCTGGGTTCAAGGGATTCTTCTGCCTCAGCCTCCTGAATAGCAGGGATTATATGTGTGTGCCACCACTCCTGGGTAATTTTGGTATTTTTAGTAGAAAAGGGGTTTCACTATGTTGGCTAGGCTGGTCTCAAACTCCTGTGATGGGATTACAGGCATGAGCCACCACACTCGGCCTCAAACTCAATATTTTACTACACGATGAGAGAAAGCGGCCTGATCTAAACATGTTTCATGGCTGTTTTTCTTTGATGGCTTTTGCTCAGCTGGTTTTATAGGCAGTAGTTGTGGGTAGTGGGCATATATGTTAAATATGTAATAGCATATTTAAAGGTAATACTAATAGAGTGTTTGCAAAATTAATTATCTAACTCTTCCCACCCCCATACACTTCCTCATTCATTCTTATCTTCCCAAGAGTTTTTGTTTTAGGATCATGGACACAGACAGGAAGAGTCTGTTTCTAAGGGTTTTAACTATCTTTACTCACTATAGTGTATCCTAGAGGTAGCCTATATGGAGACTCAGTTTTTCCATATATTGGTTTTCAGACTTGAAGTACTAGAGAGAATGCCATTGCAATGCATATATAAAATACATATTCCATAGAGCATCCCCAATACATCAGCAAAAGAAGACTGCTGTAACATGATTACACGTAACAATCACAGTTTGCCTGAGTGCCTGCAGTAGCTTTCTTCTTCTCTGTTCTCCCTGACTTCAGCCTCTTCCCGTTCCCAGGTTGTTCCACATGCTTCTGCCAGAACAAACCTCCCGGTGTCCTCGAGAATCCAACTTGAGTCTTAACTATGTCCGAGCATGTCATTTAAACTGGTGGAAAGTTGGGACAAAAAATTTATCTCTAAGTGGGCTTAGGAAGCCTCTTAGGAGAAACTCATATTGAGGGAAACAGAATTGAAAAGTAAAGCTTGATCAAATAGTAAAACCTGAGTTGTCAGAGAGATGATTCTGAGTTCAGCCCAGAGCCTACAGTTGTTCTACTGGACTTAATGCCTTCATCCAGAAGAGAGCTATGGACTTAAAAGCTAGAAGAAATATTTTCCTATAAAAAGCCTGTATACTTGAAGGGCAAGATAACCATCACTTTGGTATCCTACAAACTGTGGATAATACAAAAGGATTAGGGTTGCTAGCCCTCATTTCTCTGCCACTTACAGCAGACTTTGGACCCAAAATATATTTCAGTGTATGGGTGGAAACATCTGTAGGGAATAAAGAATACTCTGCAGGAATTTTTCTGGACAGAAGTGCTGTCAGAGATAAGAAGGAGACACATACTGCCCCGTAGAGATGCACTGACATTCAGTGAGGCACAGTTGCTATTTAAAAAAAAAAAATTGTTATGGCTAATAGTAGGTGTATATATTTACGGGGCACATGAGGTAATTTGATACAGGAATACAATGCATAATAATCACATCAGGGTAAATGGGCTATCTATCACCTTAGGTATTTATCACTTCTTTGTGTTACAAACATTCCAATTATACTTGCTTAGTTATTTTTAAATCTACAATAAATTATTATTGACTGTAATCACCGTGTTGTGCTATCAGATACTAGATCTTCATTCTATCTAACTCTATTTTTGTACCCATTAACTGTCCCCATTCCCCCGACCTCACAACCCTTCCCAGCCTCTGGTAAACGTCATTCTATTCTCTGTCTCCATGAGTTCAGTGGTTTTAATTTTTAGCTCCCACCAATGAGAACATGTGAAGGTTGGCTTTCTTTGCCTGGCTGATTTCACTTAACAGAATATCCTCCGGTTCCATCCATGTTGTTGCAAATGACAGGATCTCATTCTTTTTATGGTTGAATAGTACTCCATTGTGTATATGTACCACATTTTCTTTATCCATTCATCTGTCAATGGACACTTTGGTTGCTTCCACATTTTAGCTATTGTGAATTGTGCTGCAATAAACATGGGAGTAATGCACCTGATCTCATCTGATCTTGCTAGCTCAGCAGGGCCAGGCCTGGTTAGTACTTGGATGGGAGTGAGGCACAGTTTCTAGAAGGAAACTGTACTACCTGCCTGACACCCACCAAGATACCGAGATAGTCTCAGCAAAGCATCCCTGGGGCATTTCCTGTGGAGGTAGCAATACACGAGAAGCACTTCCTGGTGAATGACCACAGTTATTAGTGAGCACATGTGATAAACTCCCCAAGACTCTGAGAAAATACATGAGGAAGCTTCAGATGGAGCTCAAGTATTGGGTGAGTGTATTAGTCCATTCTCACACTGCTATAAATAAATACATAAGGGTAATTTATAAAGAAAATAGGTTTACTTGGCTTACAGTTCTGCAGGCTATACAGGAAGCATGGCTGGGGAGACCTCAGGAAACTTACAGTCATGTCGGAAGGTCAAGGGGAAGCAGGCCCGTCTTCACTTGCCCAGAGCAGGAGGAAGAGAGAGGGGAAGTGCTACGCACTTTTAAAAACCAGATCTTGTGAGACCTCTGCCATGAGAACAGCACTAAGGGGATGGTGATAAACCATTAGAAACTGCCGCCACTAGCCAATCACCTCCCACCAGGCCCCACCTCCAACACTGGGGATTACAGTTTGACAAGAGATTTAGGTGGGGTCACAGATCCAAACCATCTCACTGAGTGTAAAGAAAAGGAGATAGAAAAATTTGCATTTAAAAAAAATTATAAAATATTTAATCTTATGGAAGAGCATACCCAATACCCACATAAAAGAGATGTTAAATTTTGGCATATTTGCTTTGCGTTCCAATTTTACTTTTTAATGTTTATTTTTAAGTAAATAAAACACTAGAGCTATATCTCTTTTCCCTTCTACTTCCCTGTAGGTAATTACCATCGGGGAGTTGATACATGTGAATCCATAAAGAATATTTAACTATTTTGTTTAAAAAATTTGATAATAGTTTACTACACACACTTTTATAACTGTTTTTGTATTCACTTTAAAAAACATATTTAACCTATTTCTTCCACTTAAATCGTTATACAGTATACCATCATTAGAATTCGAGACACTTAAATGTGTGCTATTACTGTTGATTTGAGCAAACTTACTCATGCAGATCTATGGTGCACTTACCATGTTCAAAATGTTCCCCAAACTTCTACTGTTGCGTATGTGTAGAGGCCAAACTTTCAGCCTGGCATTTGGATTTGCTCGTAATGCCACCTGCAAGTTTTTATCCATTGTTTCTCTCTTCGCTTATGAATAGTAGACCAGGCCAATGCCACTCAAATGGCCATTCCATGAACTTTTCTTCTGCTGTTTTTTTCTATTTGTATTTTATTTTATTTTGAGACAGAGTCTTGCTCTGTCACCCAGGCTGGAGTACAGTGGCACAAGCATAACCCACTGTAGCCTTGAACTTCCAGGCTCAAGAAATCCCCCTGCCTCAGCCTTCCAAGTAGCTGGGACTACAGACTTGCATCACTGTGCCTGGTTAATTTTTTTTTTTTCTTTTTTTGAGATGGAGTCTTGCTCTGTCACCCAGGCTGGAGTGCAATGGCACAATCTCGGCTCACTGCAACCTCTGCCTCCCTGGTTCAAGCAATTCTCTGCCTCAGCCTCCCGAGTAGCTGGGATTACAGGTGCCCGCCACCATGCCTGGCTAATTTTTGAATTTTTAGTAGAGATGGGGTTTCACCATCTAGGCTAGGCTGGTCTTGAACTCCTGACCTCGTGTTCCATCCACCTCAGCCTCCCAAAGTGTTGGGATTACAGGCGTGAGCCACCGCACCTGGGCGGCTAATTTTTTTAATAGAGACAAGGTCTTGCTATGCTGCAAGGCTGTGTTTTTTTCTAAAATCCTTCCTTCTGTTTGGGATACCTATTTCTACTCCCCACCCCAAACCAACACCACTATCCATTTGTTGAATCACAATTAAATATTTGAAGCCCAGATTTTCACATTTTTTTCCCAGTCCCCGGTTGGATTTTATCTTTCTTTCCTCTGTATTTTCATATTTTATCTTTATTAGAAATTTGTTATGCCTGGCCTTATACTTCGGTTATGACACCTGTGAGCCTTCCCAGATTCTAATCTCTGGATCATCCTTAGATCCTTTTACAAAATAAGCATTAAACAAATACTTAATTAAATTGAAAGGGGGCTGTAACCCCAATCTGAAGGTAGCCTTTGTGTTCCTTAAAACTCAGAAGCTGATGATTGAATTAGTTATGACATCCGCCATCCTCTCTAAAATAAAGTTGTACAAGAATGCCAAGGAAGCCAGCTGAAAAGTGTTTCAGTCAAAAACATCACAGGATATTGTTGATGGTAAGAGACAACAAGCAGGAGAGAACCCATTTTCTATTCCTGAATTAGACTGGTATACACTGGTGTGTGTGTGTGTGTGTGTGTATGTGTGTGTGTGTGTATGCATGCACGCACGTTACGACATTCCTTGCTTGGTCAAACACTTCAGTGCGATTATGAGTAATTCACATGGTAACATATGATTTTGCCCTAGATAGAGCTGCTCGAGTCAGAGTCAAACCTTTTTGGAGGAGGGGAAATCTTGGATTGAGAGCGTGACTGATACAGGCACCCATCCTTGTCTCTGCTCCAGATTACAGGAATCTCTGGTAAGAGCCAAAGCTTGTTATACCATTAGAAAGAAAATCACTCGACTCCCCCAGTCTTTTGCGTCCAATTTATGTCCAATTTGCAGACTTTCAACATTGCAACCTCACAGTTCATAAAATCAAACTCAGCCTGGGCTAAGTCTCCAGGTAATGGATTTAGGATCACGGGAGGTGTTACCTGCAGTTCATGATGGGTAACTTTCTTGTTAACTAAAGTCCCTTTAGCTAAATGAGTTCCAGGTTTTAGTCTCCCCTCTCTCTTTTTTTTGGCAGGGATTTTTGGGATGGGGGTGGGGCAGGCGTAGAATTTTATTAGGCCGCGCGTGGAGAGCTTTTCATTGAAAAGGCAACAGGAAAAAAAATTGGGATAAGCCAGTCTTTGTATAAACGGAAGGTGGTGAAAGGAAGGCTGTGTGTAGGGGCTAGGGGATCAACCCTCCGGCTCCACTTGGCTACATAGGGACTCCGGGAGACAGCCTGGTGCTCAGAGCGGAGCCTGGGTATTTCCGCAGGTAACTGCAGCTCTGCAGGGAGGGCCCAGGGAGAGAGAAACCGCAGATGCAAGGGGGCTGGGAGGACTTGGTGGGGATACTAGCATCTCTTGTCCACTTCTCTCTGTCCCTGTTCTTAGCAACAAATTCTCTTTCCTCCGCTTGCCTTCGGGGAGTTCTAATCATTAGCCAATTGTTGAAAGCAGGTCAATTTAATATTCCAGGTGGGTGTCTAAGCATGTGTCTGAATATACATCGCACGCATAAACATATGTATGTGCACACACTAACGATTTAAGGATCTGTTCCAGAAGCCTAAAGGGAAATATCCCTTCCAAGATTAATGGTTCTTCAACTGTCAGTTTCAGTAGTTGGGTTAATTTGATGTCTATGTTTTTAAAACACTCATTTATGGAGTCACTCCATTTAAAAGGCTAATGAAATGCTATTTAATTTTGGCCTTCTGTCATCCCTTAAGCCAAGATCAGCTACTTCTATATTTTGCTTATTTTAAAAATCATTTTCCTTATAAAAATCACATTGCTGCTTGAATTTCATCTCTTTCCCATACGTACACATCTCTTAAACTGGTCACATAGCTTCCTGTTCTATATACCTGGTATTTTCCCCCTGCGGCCTTCCTGGTTTTTTATTTATTTATTTTATTTTTTATTTATTTTATTCTGGATATCTTTTCTGATCTCTTATTATATTATCCTTTTAGATAGAGCTCAGACCACTACGTTGGAGAAAGAATTAGTATTTTACTTAATTTAGTGGACAGATAATTTATTTATGCTTACACAACTATAGTTCCTAGTCTTGGAATTCTCAGAAAAAGAGTTAAGTGGTTAGTTCCACCATTGGCCTTTGGTTGTATATACAGAAACTGCTCCATTGTTACCCACAGTTGTTTGTAAATCATAGATTTTCCTATCATAGAGGGATTGTAGTCATGTAGGGCAGAGTTGATATTCATTGTTTATTTCAAGACTAACAAATGATGGCCTATTATGGCATTATGGTTTTATGGTATTGTTTTCTGTGCTAGAATTATATATATATACACATACACATTCCACACGTAAACATATGTATGTATACTCACTAATGATTTAAGGATCATTAGTCTGTGCACATACATATGTTTAAGGATCTGATATACATACATATATATATATACACACCTCACAATCATTTTTTTATGGGGAGAGGTTCTTATGATACTATTCTTGTCTCATGTCTCTCGTCAAAGTTTAATGCAAAAAAAAAAACCAACTCTTTTTCTATTAATATTTCAAAATTTCTGCGTAAGTTCATTTAACTTTCTCAATGTTGTAGAAACATTTATCACACAAGTTTGAGAAAGGGCTTTGAGATAACACCCTAGAACATCTTGGAAATATGTGTAACAAAGATTCTGGCACCACCATTAATCAACATGAATTGAGTCACCTGGGAAAATCATTCAACAAACCAACCATAGAATGACCTTGATGACTGGTTGGAATCTTCTCATGCTGGTGTTGTTTCTCTCTTTTGTGTGGGTGCATGCAAGGGCAGGTCTTCTCTTGATCTACATTTGGTAGCTGTTCTTTGCTCTCCCTGGCTCGCGGCAGGTTCCGCGGGGACGAAGATAGACCTATTAGCTCAATGCCTTGGGTCTGGAAAATAAGCAAGTTTTGTTTCAAAAAGTTACCACCATGGAAGGCCTCAATTTCAATGCCCCAATCTGTGAATGTGATGAAAAGAGAAGCTGAAGAACTTATTGGAAAATTTAAGTCGCCTCTTAGCTATGTGCCCTTTGAAAATTAAACTGCTCACTCAGAACTTGGACTCCAGACTCCTGTTTTTTGGTTTGTGTCAGGCATCTGGAGGGAAGCTTTGAGCCAAATGTGGTGTCCTGGGTGGGAAAGGTGGTTAACCTGAACCCCAAACACCTTTCCCTGCCACATGCTCCTGGGTGTCTTAGAGTTTGCCTTTTAAAACCGAGCGTCAGAGAATGTCTACAAGATGAGGTTAGGACAATTATATGGTGGCAGTAGTATCCTATTTTTAAAAAAAGATGGAGAGCCTCTAGGTGTTCAGGGTTTGGCAAACAAACTTAACAAAATATTTTAGATTTGGAAATGTGGAGGACACTCTGTCCCAAGGGTACTTGACTTTTATTTCTGTTAACAAATTTTAACATGAACTTAAAAATTATTGCTTTTAATTCACCAAAACTATATTTGTTCAGAAATGTATTAGAAAAATAAATATTAGAAAAGAGGAAGCAAGATTCTCGGTAGTTAGAGTTAACATGATTACCTTTTAAAAAAAAAAAAGCAGGAGAATCAAGGAGACATAACTAGAAGTAACAAGCATAAGTAGTCGATGGCTGGCTATAACAACAATATAGACACATCAATTGTTTTCCTAAAAATCAAGGTTAACCCTGAATTGAATTTGGGATTAGTCATTCACCAGCTGAAGAAATATTCTCAGCCTTTTGGTGTCTACTTCTTCATCTGTAAATTGAAGTTAATAATATTTCCCATGTCAAACAATTGTGAAAACAATTGAAATCGCAAACATAAAGCATTCAGCAATGTACTTCCCATGGAAGTGCCTACTAAACATAAACTATTAGTTTTAAGTAGTTAGAAAATAAAATTAAAATTATCCTATTCAAAACTGCCAATCAAATATTTTTAGAAAAAGCTTTAAAAGATTTACGGCAAAAAAAAAAAAAAAGGTGGCACTGATTTTAAAAAAACATTATTTTTTACTATAGGATATGAGGTTTACTTCTACTAATGAAATGATATGCTATGTTTCTAGATTATGAGACTCAATATTGTAATGACATCCGTGTAGACATGTATATACCAGCCATTGATTGAGTGCTTAGTGTCTACTATGTGTCAGCCACTGTATGATGATTTTATATGTGTTCGTGTGTGTATATGTGTGTGTATATCTCACTTACTATGCATATTAACTTGAAGGAATTATTTTGCTTATTTCATAAAAGAGGATATTAGGGCTTAAAGAAGAAAAAAAAACATGACTCCTTACAGCTGGTAATTGGAGAAGTGTGAAATTGGATAAAAGTTTATAATTAATTTCTAATCTGAAAAATTAATAGAACTTTGAAATTGCCAAAGTGGTTCAAAGTTAACTGGGAAAATACATTTATGAAAGCAGCCTAGGGTTGTTTGAAAACAATAACATAAGTAAAGTGGTCTTACCAGATACTAAAATATGTAATAAAACCATGAAAGGGTATATAACTGGTATAGAATAGAAGAAATAAATAGAAATGAGAATAAATGATGATTTATTCCTTAGCTAGGGTTTACTCTAAAATCAGAGGCTGAGATAAAGGCTTGAATCCAGATAGCTTCTGGCATGTAGGGAATTATTCCAAAGAATAAGAGCAGGGAACTTGGAAGACCGGAACAAGAAAAGAGGAAAATGCAGTCTTAAGATCTCTTACTTAACTGGTAACTCAATGGACAACTGGGGCTTGGTCTCACTAATGACACTCTAAGGAGCCATGTAGCATACATCTTCTCCATTGGGGAACAGAAGAGTGGTGTATTTATTTATCCAAAGTCTCCTGTACAACATTGGTCTGGGATTGCCTTTGATCAAGGGTATTAATTCACTTGCGTGTCTAGATTTGTGCATGTGTCACAGTGGCTGAGTGGTTTCACCAATAATCCTACAATTGTGGCAGAAAAAGAGCTGGGGCTGAAAGGGAGAGATTTCTGTTTTCAGCCAAGTTGCCATTCCTATTACAGTCAGCTGCCTTTTCAGCTCGGAAGATGAGCTGAAAAGATGTTATGTGGCAAAAGTGGTATTTGATAAAGTTATATGGTTTGTAGTAGAAGTAGTATTTCAAATTCTTAAAAACATTGTGTTTTATTTGAATATAAAATTAGAAATTTGGTTAGAATAGGAATAAAAAATAACTGAAGTCACATAAAGTTAACTTGCACGTTAAATAATTTAAATGGTAGAAAGTAAAAATACAAAAGGATTAGAAGAAAATACTGGTGTATAGTTTTTTTGTTTGCTCATCTGATTGTTTTAGTTTTAGTTTTTAAATAATCTTAGGAACAGAACAGACTATCTAGCCATAATATTTATGATCAAAAACCATGTGTGAAAATATTATAACTCATTAAAAATGTATTTAAATAGTTAATCCAAAACAATTTTTACTCTTCAAAAGTTGCTTTCTTTTTCCAACTAAATAGTCTCATTAAGTTAAATAAACATATCTAAATTTTGACTATTTTGTTGCCAAGTGCTCACATAAACTCTCTGTACCAATATACTATATGTAATATTGTGTGTACAAGTAGTTAGTATCTAAGGAGCATATGATCCAAGAGCAATCTAGACTACTCTTAAATATATATCTTAAATCTAGAAGAACTTTTTAAAAAAATCGAAGTCAAGTTTATATTCACAATGTATTAGATTTGTAAACCTGTAAGTAAAATATTGGCCGGGCATGGTGGCTCACGCCTGTAATCCCAGCACTTTGGGAGGCCAAGGCAGGTGGATCACGAGGTCAGGAGATCGAGACCATCCTGGCTAACACGGTGAAACCCCGTCTCTACTAAAAATACCAAAAAAATTAGCTGGGCATGGTCGTGGGCACCTGTAGTCCTAGCTACTCAGGAGGCTGAGGCAGGAGAATGGTGTGAACCCAGGAGGTGGAGCTTGCAGTGAGCTGAGATCGCGCCACTGCACTCCAACCTGGGCGACTGAGCAAGAATCTGTCTCAAAAAAAAAAAAAAAAAAATTGTTGCATTTTAAACGTTCACCACCTCAGTTTCACCATTATTTGTATTTTTTAAAAATATAGTCATTTGAGACATTTATTTTTCTGACAAAGATGGCGAAACTGTGATTTAGTTGTAAGGCCTACGTATGCAAAAATAAATTTTAAAGGTGGAAAGCTCAGGCAATGAATCAATTATCACCATCACCTCTAATTCCCATATCTAATTATATGCCACCCAGAGCCTTTTGGTCAAAGTTATAAACATATTTGATTAGTTAACCATTTAGCTTTTCTCATTTGACGCAATTTATGTTTAGAAGATTGCTTGATTAATATAGGTGTAGCATAGATAAACTGGTGATTAAGCGCTTTGTAATTGAACTGTTTTTAAAGTATTCTCCACTGAGCAATGAATTTGAAATTTTCTAATTCAGATTCAAATATTTTTCTTAAACCTCTTGTCCTCCACTACAATCTCATTTTTACTATCAATATATATTAGAAAAATAAATTCTAGCTTTAAGTCTTCTCAAAGACACTTTAAGTTGCAGGCCAAGATCCAAACAAAAGCAATTTTATACTGTGTAATTTGGCAGAAGAATGCATATAAAGGAGAAATGGACCTAGCGATGGGCCAAACACTGGGAAATTCCCCAAATAGCATATGTATGGCAGCTTTTTAAAAATTTTCCTAATGTCTTTCTTCATTCAGCTATGTTTTGTAGCCATGCTTTTCTGAAATGAATTTTATACTAAATGAGACTGAAGGCCTTTACTTGTGCTCTGTCTCTGTCTTGCTTTTAATCAACTTGGAGGATCGTCAAATACATGTGAAGAGTAACCTATCCCAAAACAACTGAAAAATTAGGTGAGAAGAAAAATTGGCCACAAATTGGTTATCTAGGGCAGCATAAATCCAAAGAAACTTACTTTTTGAATTTTCCAGGTTTCAGACAAAAAGAAAACATGATTTTGGACACAATTTATGATGCTTTTCTTCATGCACCATGAAGGGGGATCTCCTTAGGAAATCATCAACAGCTAGAATTTGTTCTGGCTTGTTTTTCTTTTTCCTTCCAGCTTGTTATGTTCTTTATAATTATTATTATTATTTTTTGCTTACTACTATGCAAAGACTTGAATGTGCAATGCTGTCATACTTTCCACTGAGCTTCAAAGAAACAAAGCAGAATGAAGCTTGTTGTAAACTTTTATTTCCATCTTCTGCTTTATGTAACCTTATTTTAGTAGCTCCAGTAAAATGTAACCACATTAACCAACACTTAATTTGGGCTAAATGATGAAAGAAAGCCAATAATAGCTTAGAAACAAATTCTGAAAAGACATGTCTGCCTCTATATCAGATGTTGTCAGGTCCCAAATTATTGAAATTATAACACTTGCTGTATAATATGTAAACACACTATGGTGGTGGTATAAATTCAATGCTCCTTAAATATAATGGGCATATGTGTTTTATTTGTATTAATGTTTATTTATCAACCAACAACTACATTGTTGGCAAGTCACTTCAGAATACCCTATATTTGTTTAGTGCTTTACAACATATAAAATGATTTTATAGCAGTTGTTTTTTCTGATTCTAATAATTGTCCATGATATGTCATGTTCAAAGCCTGGTAGTGTTAGAGCTATAAACTGATCTTAGCTCCTGTGATTCCTGATCCATAGCATTTCTGGACTATTCAGGTACCAGATATGTTTATGCTACAAGTAATATACATCGTTGCACTTTACCTATTTAATTGCATGTAGTCAATAACTATTTATTTAAAATAAGAGCCTGGAATTTTAGCAAATTAATGAAAAAACTAGCATGTGCCAAGGACCTACTATATACCAGGATGTGTTATTTCCATTCCCATTATGTATTGCTGTGTGACAAACCTTCTACAAACTTAGTGATTTAAAATGATAACTATTCTATTTATGTACTCATGATTTTGCTATTTGGTCACTATTTTGCAAACATAACTTGTTTGCTTCAATGAGATCACCTGGAATGGCTTAAGGATATGCTTTAAAGATGGCTTCAACTTTCAACAGCAGGTTGATAATGACTGTTCCCTGGGACTCAGCTGTGTCTGTGACCCAGTAGCTTTGGTTCATACTTATGTCTGGCTTGCTTGGTTCTTCTCCCTTAAATCTCTCTGTGTGGCTAGCTTGGGTTTCCTTACAGGATTGGGTTATCAGGAAAGTTGACTTCCAAAAAGCCAGAAGAGAAGCTTCTTAAGGCTTAGGCTCCAAACTGGCACAGGGTCACTGCTGCTGCCTTCCCTTGGCTAATATGATTCAAAGAGATCTCCAAATTCAAGGGGAAAGGGCAATACCAGAGTGTGGATAACAGGAGTTGTGTTTTCCTTGCGAATATCAATGTATCATATAGAAACTTATACACAAATGTTCATAGCGGATTTATTTATTACACCCCCAAACTGGAAACTATCCAGATGTCCTTCAATGGATGGATTATTATTACTATTGAATATTACTCAACAATGAAAGGAAATGAGTGCAACACTTTGGATTAACCTTAAGGAAATGAGAACGGTGAAAAAAAGCCAATCTCGAAAGGATACATACTGCATCATTCCATTTATATAACATTGTGAAATAACATTTTGTAAATATGAAGAACAAATCAGTTGTTTCCTGGGGCCAGAGGATTAAGAATGGAGATAAGTAGGCATGTCTATATAGGGGTAATGGGAAGAAAGCTTGTGATGCTGGCATAGTGGAATATCTTGATTGTGGTAGTGGTTATAGAAGCTACATGCATGATAAAATTGCAAGGAGCTACACATACACACAAGTGCCTGTATAACTAATAAAACAAGAATAAGTTCTGTGGATTGTACCACTGTCAATTTCCTAGTTGTTAAATTGTATTCTAGTTAGGCAAGGTGTAGACTTTGGGGGAGGCTGGGTGAAGGGTGCATAAAACCTCCTTGTGCATTTCTATGACTTCATGTAAATCTCAGTTTTTAAATTAAAAGCAAATTGGAAGAAGAAAAGAAGAAGGAGAAGGAGGAGAAGGAGAAGAAGGTGGAGGAGGAGAAGGAAGGAGAAAAAGAAGAGAAGGAGGAGAAGGAGAAGGAAAATAAGGAGAAGAAGGAGAAGGAGAGAAAGAAGAGAAGGAAAAGGAAGAAGAGGAATAGGAGGATGAGAAGGAAGAAGACAAGAAAAGAGGAAGAAAGAATAAGAAGAAAAGAAAAAAATAAAGAAGAGGAGAAGAAGAGAAGATGGAGAGGGAAGATGGAAGAAGGAAGGGAGGAAGAAGAATATCCTTGGGGTTAAAAAGAGGAAGGGGATGTGCAGCCAAAGGGCCTTGGCTCAACTCCGGGTACATTTTGTAAAGTGTACTTAGACTTTTTGTTTTAATTCAGGTATGGAGAGGCCAACAGGTCAGGAGACAGTTGCCATTAAAAATATACTTTGTTTCTCATAGTTCTCACAAGAAGGGACACTCCATACCATGTGCAGCTATATGGCGAAGCCCCAGGGTCAGTCAGGAGGCAGAAGGAGTAGGGGGAAAGCATGGGCCCGAGCCTTTATTGTGATTTCCACAGAAAGGAAGGCTGAGGCAGGCGAAGCAGTTGAGCAGGCTTAGGATTGGAGAGTTTGAATAATTTTGGCAGGCCATGGGCTATGGGAGTGGTCACTAGTTGTCCAGCACCTGCCTCTGGGGTAATTTATGTCAGAGGGAATGTTGACTTAGTGTGTGAAAGTTTGATAAAGGAGGTGGTTAAATTATAGACTCTGGATTGGTTTGTTTGCATATCAAAGGTGTGCACACAAGCAAGTTGTTTGCTATCTCTAGTTACTAGCTAAGCTAGCCCTCTAAGGTGCAGTCCCTCCCTGGGTCTGCAAGGCTCCAGCATGTCAAAGCAAAGTATTGAAAAAAAAAAAATTATTCATACAGCATGCTACTTCCTAGTGGTCGTACCTCCAGACTGTTTTTGACTCTTAAGGCCTCAGTTTATCCCTCTTTATAATTTGCATAGTAATTGCACCTATCTCATAAAGTTGTCAAAAGGACTAAATAGGAAATAAGCCACATAAAGCATTTACAACAGTGCCCAGGATCCATTAAGCATTCAAATATGCTAACATTGTACAATCTTGGATTCTTAATAAAACAATATTGGTACAATGGTAAGTGAGTTTGGAGGTTTCAATAAATCCTTGCTCAAATAATAATTTATATAACTTTTAATCCCATATATAGACTTCCGTTCTCACGAAGCAAATCTCTTTTACTCTATCTCATTTCTATTTGAATGCTACTTATACTAAGCTTCAGGATAAGCTCCGGAAGACAATAAATTTTGGTAGTGAAGAAAATCTTAGTACTGTTGTAGGTTATAATGTGCATATAAAACAATTATTCCAAGATGGAAACTGATTTGGAAATTACCAACATAAAGTGCAATAAAAATACATATTCCACCTGTAACCATTAATGTCCTATGGTTTCTTTCATGGAAAACACTAACCTTGATCTATGTTATATTTTGAGGAAATAGCTGATTTTCAGGTGCAATATACTCAGGCTACAAGAAAAAACCTGGCTATAGTCAAACATTTAGCTCATTTTCTTTGCACGAAAATAAATCACATTTTGTCAGCTAGAGAAGGTTAAAAGTCAATTGGTAAATGGATGGCTTCACCACTGATCTGTGGAACTTCACAGGGACATCCAGCTAACTATAACACCCCTCACCACTTCATAAATTTAAAACAATCCATAAATAACAACTTACTCCAAATTAGATGGAAGAATGACATTTCAGGAGGTGTGGAGATGAGAAAGATGGGCAGTTCTGTAAAATATGAGAGAGGTCCCATGAGAGATCTCATTAAGTATTGCTTAATTTCAGTCAACGTGACAAGTTGGACACAGGCCTGATAAAAACCAAAGACTATAAATTGTCTAAGAAAATTAAGATACAAGTGATTCACTTAAATAATAGTCTAAAGTCAGGTAACTTTACTATAGTACTATATTTTCTGCAATATGATATGCAAATAATTCTTCCTTAGATAAACAAACTGATTAAAATTTCATTAATGCCGACATTTCACAAGAAACCTGGATCCAGTGAACCCCTTTCTTGTTGCTTACTTAAGTCCTTATAATTAATTCTAGATTTATGTCATTTACTGGTCAATGTTACAATCACCTTACTAACTATTTAAGCAATTTGAAAGCTGTCGGAGCTCACAGGAGCCACTGAAGCAGTAGGTGAGAGCCCACAGTTTTAATCTGATCCTTATTTTGAGAAGTTTTATTTTCCCATGCTGTGGCATTTTCTTTTAGCCAAGTAATTAAATGTTATTGTCTTCATTTTATGTACAACAGTAATTCCAAGATTGGGTTTCCGTTGGACAGATGTGGCAGCACAATTTTGTCCAATACACAGCCTAGCAACATTTTTCCCCTTTTTAATTGTTTTCTCAGTTTCACCCCCAAAGCAATTTTGCCATAATTGATAAATCTAAACTTTGATATTACACAAAGGTCCTAAGAATTATTCACATAATTTGCTTACCCTAATTTGTGTTGTTACTTTCTTCTTTCAACAGGCATTTGTTGAGTTCCCCAAAAGTATTTCAGGGCCACACATAGAAGAGGCTTCCAAAATATCTTCCAGACCTTACATAATTTCCCATTAGCCAGGTAATGGAAGATGAGCAGCCAAATTCAAAACCTTACTCCACATGTGACCCTTGTGATGAGATGGAGTTTTCTTCCAACACTTTTGAACAGGCAGAACTTTCACCAAATTTAAACATTTGTTCATGTACATAAACAGTTTTAAGAATAGCCTTTTAGTAGCACCAAAACAGAACAAAATAAAAAAACATAGTCAGCTCATTTACATTTTTATCTCACATAGGTAGTGTGTTATTATGAATGAGGTGTTTTCAGAATCAGGTGCCCAGTATGTCCTCACTCTTTAAAACAAGTTGTGGGAGAAAACTATTCAGACTTTAAAAACCAGGGATTTGTATGACATCCAGGATCATAGAATATTGTAATTAGACAAGGTTCTCTAAGAACATGGTATTAGTCTGTACTCATGCTGCTGATAAAGACATACGCGAGCCTGGGTAATTTACAAAGGAAAGAGGTTTGATTGACTCACAGTTCAGCATGGCTGAGGAGGCCTCAGGAAACTTACAAACATGGCAGAAGGGGAAGCAAACACGTCCTTCTTCACATGGCAGCAGCAAGGAGAAGTGCCAAGAAAAAGGAGGAAGAGCCCCTTATAAAATCATCAGATCTCGTGATAACTCACTATCTTGAGAACAGCATGAGGGTAACCACCCCCATGATTCAATTACCTCCCACAGGGTCCATCCCATGACACATGGGGATTATGGGAACAACAATTCAAGATGAGACTTGGGTAGGGACACAGCCAAACCATATCAAACTTTAAGAAGATAGAAATGACTACTTTCATTTTCAGTTCGTTAGCTTGGACATCAAAGCCTTCCATTATCTGTCGAGAACTAATTTGAACAAAATAAACATTTTTCTCTAGCCAGATGCACAGTTCCCCCATATGCTACAACTTGCATAATTTGTTTGTTTTGCTCCCTAGTCTCAATTATTTTCCCAATTATTCATTCATTAACCAAATTTTTTATATGTTAGAGACTTAATACTAAATATTTATCATTCTTTTTTCTCTTCTGTTTTTAGTTCAAAGCTTTTCTTGATACTCTTCTTCACAGAAGTCTCTTACTAATAGTAGTCATAATAACAATAAAACACTTGATTGTGTGTGATTAAATATGCCTTCTGGTTTTCCTGTATAGATTGGCTTTCAACTACCAGGAGACTGAAACTCATTTTGAAATAAGAACCATGTCTCATATTGTGATATTTTTTCCCTCAGAAGCATACCAAATACTAGGCAGAACGTAGCTTACAAATATGTACTATTGATTTATGCAACCATCTCATTGCCTTTTCGCAGTACATAACATCCCTTATAGCAGTGCTAAAAGTCAGTTTTAAAAATAAATGTAAATATACTGTAGGAGAATTACACAAATTTTTTAAAAAAGATATCCATTTAGCAATATTTATGCATGTTTCCTAGGCATTTGAAAAACAAAACCAAGGGCCGGGCGCGGTGGCTCATGCCTGTAATGCTAGCACTTTGGGAGTCCGAGGTGGGCAGATCACTCGGTCAGGAGATCGAGACCATCCTGGCTAAAACAGTGAAACTCTGTCTCTACTAAAAATACAAAAAATTAGTCGGGCATGATGGCACGCGCCTGTAGTCCCAGCTACCCAGGAGGCTGAGGCAGGAGAATCGCTTGAACCTAGGAGGCAGAGGTTGCAGTGAGCTGAGATCACACCACTGCACTCCAGCCTGGGTGACAGAGCGAGACTCTATCTCAAAAAAAAAAAAAAAAAAAAAGAAAAAGAAAAAACAAAAACCAAAAAAATATTTGTTACAGAATCATGAAAAAATCTTGCATCTGTTGCAATATCATCAACAAACTGCATCCACCTTACTTGTCAAGGTTTTACGTTATTCTCCACATCTCGAAATCATTCAATGTTTGAGGACAAATATTTGATGTAGAATAAAATCATTCTGAAATTTTTTAGTTAGATCTGGGGTCAAATCCTAGAGCCTTGCTATTTAAAAGATGTGCCACCTTGATGGTGCCATCTTTGTTAAAGGGCACTCGCAGTTTACCTTAAATGGAGACCATATTGCCTCCCACAGGGAGTAGTGGTGAAGTTTAAATGGAAATAAGGATACGCTTTTCTTCTCCAAGCATTCCCGTTGTATTATGGTACTTTTCGAAGTAGAGAACTTAGGGAGAAACATGCGCACACAAACAACAATGGTCTTTCAACTCATTCCTTCCATTCTTAATGCAAAACTTTCATTTCTTTCTTACAGAGCTGTTTTTGTTTTTGTTTTGTTTTGTTTTGTTTTGAGAGGGAGTCTCACTCTGTCACCCAGGCTGGTGTGCAAGGGCCCAATCTCGGCCCACTGCAAACTCCACCTCCCGGGTTCAAGCGATTCTCCTGCATCAGCCTCTCAAGTAGCTGGGATTACAGGCATGTGCCACGATGCCTGGCTATTTTTTCTATTTTTAGTAGAGACAGGGTTTCACCATATTGGCCAGGCTGGTCATGAACTCCTGACCTCAAGTGTTCCTCCTACCTCGGCCTCCCAAAGTGTTGGGATTACAGGCGTGAGCCACTGCGCCTGGCCAGAGTTGTATTTTTATCTTCCTTTCATCTCCTGCAATAGACAGTCTCAGACATGTGTGCTGCTTTCTTTCTGTCTCCAAATCTTATCTCAAAGGTTTTTTTTCTCCTCCATTTCTGCCTCTCAACACCCGTTCCATCCCATCTTTGAGGTTAAATCATTCTTCCATGCTTATTAGGTCTTGTTAAACTGTTTCCTTTCTCTGAAGAATTTCATTGTCCCTCAGGCTGAGATTTTATGTGTCAGAGGCATTTGAACCAAAGTAACTTCATCTTGAATAGGGGCTGGGTATAATGAGTCTAAGGTCTTAGTCATGAATTCTTTGCCTAGGCCAATGTCCAGAAGAGTTTTTCCTAGGTTATCTTCTATAATTTTTATGGCATTGGGTCTTATACTTAAGTCTTTGACCCATCTTGGGTTGATTTTTTAAATATGATGAGAGATAGGGATCCAGTTTCATTCTTCTACATGTGGCTAGAAGTTTTCCCAGCACCATGTATTAAATAGGGTATCCTTTCCTCAATTTATGTTTTGTATGCTTTTTTGAAGATCTGTTGCTTTTAAATATTCAACTTTATTTCTGGGTTCTTTATTCTGTTTCATTGGTCTATGTGTCTAGTTTTATATCAGTATCATGCTGTTTTGGTAATTATAGCCTTATAATTTGAAGTCTGGTAATGTGATGCCTCTAGATTTGTCCATTTTTAGAAGTAAATAATGTCTTTTGCAGCAACATGGATAGAACTGGAGGTCATTATTCTAAGTAAAGAAATGCAAGAATGAAAAAACAAATACCACATATTCTTACTTATAAGTGGGAGCAAAGCTATGGCTACGCAAACGCATATAGAGTGATATAATGGGCTTTGGGTCTTCAGGGTGGGGGAGAGGTTAAGAGCGGGGTGAGGGATAAAAAAACTGCATATTGGGTACAATGTACACTCCGGTGATGGGTACACTAAAATCTCAGACTTCACCACTATACAGTTCATCCATGTAATCAAAAACCACTAGTACTCCAAAAGCTATTGAAATAAAGATAAATATTAATTTTAAACAATGAGGCTGAAACCTACTGGGCTGTGTTCCCAGGAATTTAGGCATTCTTTATCACAGGATAAGATAGGAGGTCAACAGGACTGGTCCCACAGGATACAGATCACAAAGACCTCGCTGATAAAACGGTGTGATAAAGAAGGCAGCCAAAACCCACCAGAACCAAGATGGTAACAAAAACAACCTCTGGTTGTCCTCGCTACTCATTATACGCTAATTATAATATATTTGCATGCTAAAAGATACTCCTGCCAGCATCATGACAGTTTACAAATGCCATGGCAAAGTCCAGAAGTTACCGCATATAGTCTAAAAAGGAGAGGAGTCCTCAGCTCCTGGAACTCCACACCCCTTTCTCAGAAAACTCATGAATAACCCACCCCTTGTTTAGCATATAATGAAGAAACAACCACACTATACTTAGTCATGCAGCTCATGCCGCTGCTCTGTCTTTGGAGTAGCCATCCTTTTATTTCTTTACTTTCTTAATAAACTTGCTTTCACTTGACTCTATGGACTCGGCCCCAATTCTTGCTTGCTTGAGATTGGAGAAACTTCTCTTGGGGTCTGGATCAGGACCCTGTTCCGGTAACACATGTTCTATAATAGTTAGAGATGCTCTTTTGTGTATGATTGACTACTCATGCCACAAGCATATCACTGAACCTTAAAAAATGATAAGTGCTTCTCGGGTGAGACTCAAAGGTTTTATTTTTGTTCTCTTTTTTTAAAAAAAAATGTAGTCTTCCAATGTACATAAATTATGTAGGCCAGGAATTCATGATACAACCAGAGGGAAGTATTTTCTATTCATTATTTATTCTTATCTCACTTTGTTCTAAAAAGGATTTTAGGTGGCTTCCAAGAGAGTGTATCTGAACCTATAGTATAACAAATTATTTTATAATGAATAGCTTTGCATTGTACACTTACACAATGCCATTATATCATGTTCATTCTGTTTAACCTCATGACATCCTATGTGTTAAGAGGCTATATGTCATAGGTTAGAGAAAATTGATTTTGCTCTAAAGTAATAAGTTTTCTTTCCTGTACTGCCTCCCCAATATGCCTCTCATTACTTAGGAAGAACATTTTCCTGTTTCTCTAAGCCAGTATTTTAATCGAAGCATCTTTGAGACACTGATCACCAGTTTAATGAATACACAGAATCTGATTATTTGGGGAGACAAGCAGATTGATGGTGGAGTTGTGGTCACAGAAGGGTAGTTTATCTTAGATGCTTGTCTGCAATATTCCTAATGTGTTCCATTTTGAACTTCATGTGGATTGAAGGGAGATGATATTTTTAATAGTGAAAACAAATAGAAAATGAAATTCTGTAAGGAATGGTCAACTGGTTTACATTTGAACTGGTGTTTCTCTCGTTTCAGACTGCACTTGGGATTAAAACAGGTTGATCCACCCTATCATTATGTACAACAGCCAATAACTTCAGAGTTCTCGGAAATAGTGATAATGTAAAAATATATCTACCCAAAATGGGAACTTAGGATTTATTAAGCGGCTTAACTTTGTTGGCATTGATAAATGAGCCTTTCTAAAAAAAGATTTTTTTTCTTTAAACTTGGTTCCTAAGTGAGCCAGCTGCAGATGGCTTTGGGGGTTTTTTGCAGTGTCATTATGAGAAACCGTCTGTCTAGCTTTCTTTCAAAATCTCCCAAGCTCTGCCCAGGTGTTGAGATTTAAGGATGTGCCATTCCTTACATCAGCTGCACAGGATGGACTCTCACCCACACTGTCAGCACCTTGTGAACAAGAGAAGGCCCTCTTTGTATACTTCCTCAAGGCACTTCAGTTGGCTATCTCATTCTGTTTCAAATTAACATCGGTGGTAATTTCCGCTGGTTATGCTGTGTAAAAGGAACTCAATATCCTTCAACTGTTCTTTGCTTGCAGGGCACCATGGGAGGCTGTTAAGATATGCAAATTGTGTTGTCTCAATGTACTCTCATGGGTAGTTTTTTTTTTCCCCCTTCTTCTTAGCAAACCAAAAGGAAATGTTAGAGTTTGGCTCTTAATCCTGGAGGGAAAAAGAACAGTGACTGCAGGTTCTCCCTTTGAATCTTCTCTCAAGGACAGATCATTCCATAATGTAGAATGTTACATTTGGGGAAAGTGGTTTTATGTATTGGGGGGACACATAAAAAAATAATAAAATTACTAAAGACATCTTTAAACATATTGTGAATTTGTTACTATTGTTTACATATATGCCAATTATTTTGCTAGAAAATGACATTTTTCTAGAACATGAATTTTGCAAACATGATCTTGTAGGGGATAAAAAAAATCTCTTTCTTACCTATTACAAGCTTTATGGTTGAGACCTCTACAACAAAAGACAGTTTAACAAAAGAAAAGCATACACATTTATTTAATAGAATAAATTTTATTTATTTTTTAATGATGTGGGAAACTTCATAAGGAAATGAAGATCTCCCCAAAATAGATAAATTTGTATAAGTATTTTTATGCTTAGGTTTGATGAAGAGTGAAATATGATTGGAGGAGAAAACGACATGATCTAATGGTAATAAACTGGGGGTGGTAGGGAGAGATTTAGTAAGGCCTTTTTATTCAGATTCTTCTCTGTGTCTCTATGTCTTAAGAGAGAAATTTCTTTCATCCAGGTGTAGAGAGAGTACCCCTGGAATGAGGCTCTTATGACCTGCTTCAGTGGAGAATGGCAAGGGGAAGGGGAGATGGCCTTCCTGTTCCTGTTGTTTTCTCAAATGTCAAGGTGCCATATTTTGGAGTAGCATGTCCTAGGCCCCATTAATCTTCAAGTAGTTTTAAATCACTGCGGTGAACAATGAAGACTTAACCCTCTGAACTTAATAGTTAAAAATATAACAGGGTTCAAGACTGGCCCAAGTTCAAATTTTTCATTCTGTTGATTATGTGATCTCAGTTACTTAAAATCTCAAAGTTTCAGTTTTCCTATCTCTATACTCAAGAAATTTGATACCTAGTTAATAATATTATTATAAGTCTAACACAAGGTAATGTTTCTGTCCCAAGGCCATCATGCATTTTAGGAAGGCTTTTATTGTTGTTATTTAATTGCCTTGGGAAAAATAGTTGATTGAATATTCCACATTCTTAGCAGGATTTGATAATATTTAATGACATATTTCTGCATCATGGATCTGATCAACTGCATCTGAATTAATTCCATTAACCTGTCATATATTATCAATAGATTAACTTTTTATATAGTATTTAAGTAGGCGCAATAATTATGCTACAGTGATATTACAGATGTTACAGTAGGTAGCTAGTCAGACATTAGCAGAGCAGGAGAGAGCTCCCACACCACACACATACCAGGAATGTCAGATGCCGTCAGGTGGTTGTTAACTGTCTCTCTAAAATACTAATTTGTTGCAGCCAGATCCAGGGAAAAGCAGTCTCCCAGTAGATAGAAAAATCAAAGCTGGTGATCAGTAGCTTCCAGGGAAGATCTCAGGAGTTGAGCCAGTGGGCTCAAGCATGAGATTAAGAAGCAAAATGGTGAAGTTTAACTGGTATATAACCTTCTAGGGACATTCGACCAGTAAGGGAAGAATGCCTCAAGTGAGCATGCGTACAATTCCAGAAAACACACTGTGCATACTCCCCTCCCAGGTGCTGGCAGGCCACTGCACATGCAGACAGCCCACACCAAGGGAAGAATCATGGACACAGGATACTGGGAGTATGCAAATGCGTAAAACCCAAAGTCAAATGTCAAACAGTGCACTTGATCTCTCAAGTCACCCATGTGGCCCTCTTCCGAGTGTACTTTATCTCCTTTCATTCCTGCTCTAAAGCTTTTTAATAAACTTTCACTCCTGTTCTAAAACTTGCCTCAGTCTCTCCTCTGCCTTATGCCCCTCAGTTGAATTCTCTATTCTGAGGAAGCAAGAGTTGAGGTTGCTACAGATCTGTATGGATTTGCCAGTGGTAACAGTGATAATGGGAAAAAAAAGATACAGTACTATTAGATGGCTTTATTATAAAGGTTTCTAACATGAATACTGCATAATAGATTACTAGGACATAGTGTGACTGAGCATTTCTCACAATGGCCCTCATGTGTGTCCCACAACAACCCTCCCTGACCCCTCTTGCACTTGGCCTTAGCCTCTAGCTCTTCTCCCTTGCCCTTATTCATAAAATCTAAATTGCTCCCACACTAGATACTAATGCACAGGAATAGTTTCTCCTTCTTCCCTAGATACTAATGCACAGGAATACTTTCTCCCTCTTCTAAGAAGCATCCTGCACCAACTATTCTAGAAACTAGTTGCTGAAAGAAACCACCTGCTGAAGCCCAATAAAAGATTCCCGATATGGTTTGGCTCTGTGTCCCCACCCAAATCTTATCTTATAGTTACCATAATTCCCATGTATTGTGGGAAGGACCTGGTGGGAGATGACTGAATCATGGAGGCAGGTCTTTCCTGTGCTGTTCTCATGATAGTGAATAAGTCTCGTGACATCTAATGGCTTTAAAATGGGAGTTTGCCTATACAAGCTCTTTCTTTACCTGCCACCATCCACGTAGGATGTGACGTGTTCCTCCTTGCCGTGTACCATAGTTGTGGGGCCTCTGCAGCCATGTGGAACTGTGAGTCCAATTAAACCTCTTTCTTTTGTAAATTGCTGAATCTCAGGTATGTCTTTATCAGCAGCATGAAAATGGGACTATGACAGTAAATTTGTACCAGGAGTGGGGTGCTGCTAAAAAGATACCTGAAAATGTGGAAGTGACTTTGGAACTGGGAAATAGGCAGAAGTTGTAACCATTTGGAAGGCTCAGAAAAAGACATGAAAATGTGGGAAAGTTTGGAGCTTCCTACAGACCTGTTGAATAGCTTTGACCAAAAGCCTGATAGCAATATGGACAATAAGGTCCAGGCTGAGGTGGTCTCAGATGAAGATCAGGAACTTGCTGGGAACTGGAGCAAAGGTGGCTCTTGTTATGTTTTAGCAAAGAGACTGGCAGCATTTTGCCCCTTCCCTAGAGATTTGTGGAACTTTGAACTTGAGAAAGATGATTTAGGGTGTCTGGAGGAAGAAATTTCTAAGCAGCAAACCATTCAAGAGGTGAGTTGAGTGCTGTTAAAGCCATTTATTGTGATAAGAGAAGCAGAGCGTAAAAGTTTGGAAAATTTGCAGCCTGACAATGTAATAGAAAAGAAAAACCCATCATCTTCTGAGGAGAAATTCAAGCTGGCTGTAGAAATTTGCATAAGTAATGAGGTGCTGAATGTTAATCCCCAAGACAATGGGGAAAATGTCTCCAGGGCATGTCAGTGGTCTTCACAGCAGCCCCTCCCCTCGCAGGCTGGCAGGCTAAGGGAAAAATGGTTTTGTGGGCCAGGCCCAGGGTCCCCATGCTGTGTGCAGCCTAGGGACTTGGTGCTCTGTGTTCCAGCCACTGTAGCTGTGGCTGAAATGGGCCAACGTAGAGCTTCGGCCGTGGCTTCAAAAGGTGCAAGCCTCAAGCCTTGGCAGCTTCTAGGTAGTGTTGAGCCTGCAGGTGAACAGAAGTCAAGAATTGAGGTTTGGGAACCTCTGCCTAGATTTCAGAGGATGTATGAAAATGCCTAGATGCCCAAGCACATGTTTGCTGCAGGGGTGGGTTCCTCTTGGAGAATCTCTGCTAGGGCAGTGCAGAAGGGAAATGTGGGGTCAGAGTCCCCACCTAGAGTCCCTACTGGAGCACTGCCTAGTGGAGCTGTGAGAAGAGGGTCACTATTCTCTAGACCCCAGAACGGTAGATCCACCAACAGTTTGCACCATGTGCCTGGAAAAGCCTCAGACACTCAATGCCAACTGATGAAAGCAGCCAGGAAGGGGGCTATATGCTGCAATGGCACAGGGGCAGAGCTGCCCAAGGCCATGGGAGCACACTACTTGCATCAGTGTGACCTTGATGTGAGACATGGAGTCAAAGGAGACCATTTGGAGCTTTAAGATTTGACTGCCCTGCTGGATTTTGGACTTGCTTAGGGCCTGTAGCCCATTTGTTTTGGCCAGTTTCTCCCATCTGGAATGGCTGTATTTACCAAACACCTGTAACTCCCACTGTATCTAGGAAGTAACTAGCTTGCTTTTGATTTTACAGGCTTATAGGCAGAAGACACTTACCTTGTCTCAGATGACACTTGGACTGTGGACTTTTGAGTTAATGCTGAAATGAGTTAAGACTTTGGGGAACTGTTAAGAAGGCATGATTGGTTTTGAAATGTGAAGACATGAGGTTTGGGAGGGGCCAGGGCAGAATGATATGGTTTGGCTCTGTGTCCCCACCCAAATCTCATCATGTAGTTCCCATAATTCCCACGTATTGTGGGAGGAACCTGGTGGGAGATGACTGAGTCATGGAGGCAGGTCTTTCCTGTGCTGTTCTCATGATAGTGAATAAGTCTCATGACATCTAACTGCTTTAAAAGGGGAGTTTGTCTTCACAAGCTCTCTCTTTACCTGCCACTATCCACGTAAGATGTGACTTGCTCCTCCTTGCCTTCTGCCATGATTGTGAGGCCTCTGTAGCCACTTGGAAGTGTGAGTCCAATTAAACCCCTTTGTTTTGTAAATTGCTCAGTCTCAGGTATGTCTTTATCAGCAGCGTGAAAATGGACTATTATAATTCCAGTCTTTTCGTCCAAGTTAGAATGCTCCTTTGCAGCTTTCCCAGGCCTTGCATTTTGAAATAAAAGCTATGCTAATGGTGCTTTTGTTGGTTTTCTTCACAGTAGTCTGTAGGTTTTCTTTTTTCTTTTTTTTGAGATGGAGTCTTGTTCTGTCTCCCAGGCTGGAGTGCAATGGCATGATCTCAGCTCACTGCAACCTCTGCCTCCTGGGTTCAAGCAATCCTCACTGAGTAGCTGGGATTACAGGCACTCGCCATCATGCCTGGCTAATTTTTGTGTTTTTGTAAAGACTAGGTCTCACCATGTTGACCAGGCTGGTCTTGAACTCCTGATCTCAGGTGATCCACCCGCCTCAGCCCCCCAAAGTGCTGAGATTACAGGTGTGAGCCACCATGCCCAGCTGGTTTTCTTTTTGTTAAGTTTGCGAAATACCCTATACAAGAAGTAGAATATCTTATGCTTTATTATCTATCATGGTTTTGAGAGTAATCATCTGCAAGAACAATAACAAATTATAATTACTGATTTTTAAAAAGCAAACTGTCTCAGGCAAATATTCATAAATCAGATTGATTTTAGACTCTGGGAGATGACAATTTTACAATTAATTTTTAGAAATCCCTGTAGCAAAATCTCTCAGTTCATTACATGCTTTCCTTAAAAGTAAAATGTTTAACCGGTCACACCATTCTTGAATAAAATAAGGTCTGATGTGGAAACAAAATGGGTAAACCAAAGCAACCTAAGCCTAACCCTTGGGGATCAGTTTAGGAGAGACTTGGAGATGTTACAAGTCAAAGAAGCTGTAGTCCAAAGCCATCCAATATGGCGGGTCATCCAAATGCAGCCAGCCTCCTAATTTTTGTATGGCTTATAAGTTAAGAATGGTTTTTTACATTTCTAAATGGTTGGAAGAAACATGAAAAGAAAAAATTATATTTTGTGGCATGTGAATATTATATGAAATTCAAAATTCAGTATCCACAAATAAGTTTAATTGGAACACAGCCACATCTATTTGTTTATGTTGAGTGAGTGGCTGCTTTTGCCCTACAATAGCAGAGCGCAGTAGTTTTAAAGAGACCGTATGGCTTACAAAGCAGAACATATTTACTGTCTGGTCATTTACAGAAAAAAAATGGGCTGACTCCAACTATAGACCAGTGGAACTTACATATATAGCCATTCCAGTACTGTTTACAAAGTTAGTTTTCATTTGTTTGTTTTGATGACATAAGAAAGTTCTTGTATTACAGAGTTCAGAAAATAAAAGGAGCATGGGAAAGAATATCCAGTGTAATATTGATATATAAAATAAAAAATGAGTAAATTACTTAAAAAATACACTTGAATGTTAATAATACCTGACTTAAGATTGAAATTACACACATTCTCCCTCTCCCACAGGCTTTTCTTCCAATACCTATAAACTAGAAAATCAGAGGAAAGGTGATGAAAACACTTTAAAATGAAACTGATTTGTGTGACAATCTGTAGAATTGTTTCTACACTTTGGTTCTGGTATTTTGAACAAGAAATGTGCATTTAATAACTATTTTCTGCTAATTAATGCTCTAAAGACCACATCCAATTAACTCTCTCTAAAAATTTATGTAACATGTGTTTTTGTCAAAATAACTCTTCACTTATTAGAATGAATTTAATAAAAATCAAATTATAGTCTAGTTCTAGTATATGTTTATATCTTATGAGGAAAGTGAATACTGAGATGTTACTGTTATTTTGCTAACCTGGGAAAAGAAATGCTAATGAATTAGTTACAAAATGTAAATCCGGATGTGGAGGGTAGTTATTGTAGTTAAAGAATACATTTTAAGATCAAGTGATTTATTTGCGACCGTTTCTTTACGTATGAAGAAAATCCATTTATATAAATATCAATTTTGTGGTAAGAATTTTCCATTTTTAATGTTTTTTAAATGGAAAAGGAAAAACAAATGTCTAAATCTTTGCTATAATTCAAGTAAACTCAGAATGATATAGTTCCAGCAGATGTTTACCTATATAGAAATAAAATACGGAGATGTGTACGCAGATTGATAAAGATGTGCACATATGTGCATATGTTCAAGGCCAGGTAACTCCACAGATTTATGTATGATTAATTAAAGTTAAAAGAATTGTGCCTTATATATTTGTTTTTCTGATCAAGAGTTGCATTGTCAGTAATTTTGTAAATGGCTATCCAGAGACAACATTTATTACTGGTTACGCTGATGTATTAGGCTATTTCGGTCATTCTTCACTTATAAAGCATTTGTTTGCCTTCATTTTCTCATGGCAGACTGAGCCAAATAGAAACAGGCTTTGATGTCATTATAAAGCAAAGTATTTTTCCAAGAAAAAAATCAGAACTTTAGAAAGTCAAGTAAGAAATGAATGAGTCTAACAAAAGCTGACCCTTCTTCCAAAAAAATCAGTGGTGATTGCAGACAGCAATTACCAGTATCAATTATTGTTCTTTCACATCCTCTTTACAATATTGCTGTTTGTTATTGTTGTGTTTGTTTGTTTGTTTGTTTGTTGCAATTCAAGAACCCAGTGTCCTGGCTGACAAGAAAATATGCCAAAAAATGCAATAAATAGTTGTTTGAATGCTCACTCACTGCAGATAACTCAAAAAAAGATAAACCGTATGAATGAGAGTATCAAATCACGTTAGGCCATGCACCTACGTTTTAAGGGAAATCATTAGCTTGTAAAAATAACACACTAAAAGGTTAATTTTGTTTTTTCTTCATCTTATTAGACTACAGATAAAGGAGGATATGCAGGGGAGAAAAAGTCATATCTTTTCCTCACTCATCACAAGGTTCACGGCTGAGATCCCATAACAAAAGACAGGCTGACAAGAAAAAAATCACGCAAATTTATGTCATAGAAATTTTATTTCACATGGGAGGCTTCAGAAATGAAGACTCAAAGACATAAGGAAAAATTGTACTTTTATGGACAGTTATGCAGAAATATGATTGGAGGATAAAAGGGTGTATACTAATGAAAACAAACTTTGGGGAGCTTAGCAAGACCTGATTATTCCCATCCTTATTGGTGTCTCTGTGTGACATTTCTTCCATGGAAGTAGAGATCAGGGCATCTGACACATGAGGGTTTTTAGGGTATTACAGTAGGTAGCTTGTCAGATATGAGCAGGGTAGAAAAGGCCCCCTCCACACCAGGAATGTCAGGCGACCCTCAGGTGATGGTCAGGCTATTGTTAAGTTGTCTCTCTAGAATAATAATTGGTCACAGCCAGCACCAGGAAAAGGCAGTCTCCAAATAGACAGAAACAACTGAAATTGATGGTCAACATCTTCCTGAAAAGATCTCAGGAGTTCAGCAAGTGGGCTCAAGCATGTGCACTAAGAGGCAAAATCGTAGAGTTTAACTGGTATATGACCTTCCTCTAAGAGCACATGACTGGTAAGAGAAAAATGCCTCAAGTGAGCGTGTGCACAATTTCAGTAAACGCACCATGCCTGTGGACCCTCCCAAGTGCTGGCAGGCCACTGTACATGTGGACAGCCCACCCCAAGGGAAGAATCAGGGGAGAAGTAATGCAACCCTGGAAGCATAGCAGCATATAAGACGCCAAGGCAAAGGTCAAACCATGCACTTGATCCTTCAAGTTGCCCACTTGGCCCTCATCTACTTTACGTATTTAATTCCTGCTCTAAATTTTTAATAATCTTTCACTCTTATTCTAAAACTTGCCTTGGTCTCTCACTCTGCCTTATGCCCCTTGGTCGGATTCCTTCCTCTGAGGTGGCAAGAGCTGAGGTTGCTGCAGACCCATACAGACTCACTGCTGGTAACAACAGGAGAAGGAAGAAGGCCAGATGGACACCTTCCTAGGTTTTTTGGCCTGCTTTGGGGAGAAAGGTGGAGGTAAGCTGAGAGTGGCCTTCCTGCTTCTGCTGTTTTCTCAAATACCAAAGTGCCATATTTTGGGGTAGCTTTTCCTGCACCTCATCAGATACATGTGACCACATTCCTTTTGTGTTCTGAAGACGCTCTTTTTCTCTGAACTTGAATAACAACCTCAGAATTTCCAACAATCAACCCAATCAGCCACGACTATCAGTTGAAGTCAGCCTAAGAGATGGAAGAGATCCTTGAATTGGAGGTAGCTCCTCAGGGGCCAGGCTTGTGTTGCAACCATCCTTCTATCTGCAGAAGGGGTATTACTAACAATAAGAGCTAACACTTAGGCAGTGCTTACTATGTATGTACCAGGCACTTTTCAAAGAGCTGACATTTATAACTTGTTTATGCCTCAACAAAAACCAAATGGGACTAGGGACTATAATGCCTATTTCACAAATGAAATCACAGGCTCCACAAGGAGTGGTAATATGCCCAAGGCATGGCTGTGAAGTGAGACAATGAGAATTCAAACCAGAGTAGCCTGGCTTCAGTGCCTGGGGCTACCCACTGCATCACACAGCCTCTCCTGAACATGGTAGCTGTGTCTTAATCATTGAAAAGATTTGGCCAACCTCCCTTTCCTTTCCTTCCTTCCTTCCTTCTTTCCTTCCTCCCTCCCTCCCTCCCCTTCTTTTCCTCCCTCCCTCCCTCCCCTTCTTTTCCTCCCTCCCTCCCTTTCCTTCTCTCACTCCCTCCTTCCTTCCTTGCTCCCTTCCTCCCTCCACCTTCTTCCCTCCTTCCACCCTCTCTTCCTTCCTTTCTTCTTCCCTCCGTCTTCTTCCTTTCTCCCATCCCCATCCCTCTTTTTTCTTCCTCCCTCCCTCCTTTACTTCCTTTCCTCTTTCCTTCCTTCCTTCCTCCCTCCCTCCCTCCTTCCTCCTTCCTTCCTTCTTCCTTCCTTCCTTCCTTCCTCTCTTCAACCCTCCCTTTCTCCCTTCCTTTTTTCCTTCCTTCTTCCCTCCATCTCTCCTTCTTTTCTTCCTTCCTTCCTTACTCCCTGATATGCTTTGGCCACATCTCCACCCAAATCTCACCCTGAATTGTAATAATCTCCATGTGTCAAGGACAGGGCCAGGTGAAGATAATTAAATCATGGGGGCAGTTTCCCCCATGCTGTTCTTGTGGTAGCCAATAAGTCTCATGAGATCTGATGGTTTTGTAAATGAGAGTTCCCCTGCACAAGCTCCCTTGCCAGCCACCATGTAAGACATGCCTTTGTTCCTCCTTTGCCTTCCACCATGATTGTGAGTCCTCCCCAGCCATGTGGAACTGTGAATCCATTAAACCTCTTTTTCTTTATAAATTACCCAGTCTCAGGTATGTTTTTATTAGCAGTAAGAATGAACTAATTCCCTCCCACTCTCCCTTCCTTCCTTCCTTCCTTCCTTCCTTCCTTCCTTCTTTCTTTCTTTCTTCTTTCTTCCTTTTTCTTTCTTTCTTTTTCTTTCTTTCTTTCCCTTCCTTCCTTCCTTCCTTCCCTCATTCCCTCCTTCCTTTTCTCTTTTAATGGAAGAAGGGCATGTTTAAGACAAAGTGCCCAGAATCATAAAAATTATAATGTAGCCCTGGTTGCTGATGGGAGAAAATAACTATTAATCTACCTCCTCTCAGCTTCTCCTAACAAGTCATGTTAGTACCTGAATCTAGGAGAAAAAGCAACCTTTTTGGTTTTATTAATAACTGAATCTAAAAAAAAACAGCTTTTTTGCTAAAATAATCTGCTTTACTTAAAGCTAAAGCTGATTGAAAAACATTTCATATTTCTCTGGTTTATTATTCTGGGAGCAACCCCGAAATTGTCTGTTTTCTATGAATAGTTATTCTATTAAATAAATGAGAATAACAGATACTAGTAGCAACATATGTAACAATATATCTGAGTGTTGCAAAATATAACTCTGATTTTGTTCAGGAAAAAAGTTATTATTTCTTTTCAGCCTTTCATGTGGTTATTTTAAGTAGCTTTTATTGTTAATAACTTTAATTGTTAAAATAAGAACAGCTTTGATTACTTGCTATATAATGCTAAATTCACTGAAATTCAGTGCAAAAATAATGGCAACTACAAAAGGTGTAGCTACTAAATATTGACCTACTAAATTTTAGCCTTCCAGAAATTCTCATACATAACATCATTAAGAGTATGGGCTTTGGAATTTGACAGACTAGAACCTCTATATTTGTGACATCCATTAGAGGAGCCACAAGACACATAGGGTGTTTAAATTTAAATTTAAATCAATCAAAACCAAATCAGGTTAGAAATTCAGGCCTGCAGTCACACCAGCCACATTTTAAGTGCTCAATAGTCACGTATAGATACTGGCTCCCATATGAGAAAGAGTGGATATAGAATATTTCCATCATAACTGCAAGTCCTATTGGAGTAATATCAGAGGTGAACACACATTTTCTGTGAAGAGCCAGAGAGTAAACATTTTAGGTTTTGTGAGCCAGATGGTCTTTCTTTTGCAACTACTCAACTCTGCCATTGTAACTTGAAAGCAACCATAGACAAATGTGTAAACAAATTGGGTGTGGCTTTACAAAAATTGGCAGTGACCTGTATTTGGCTCCAAGGTGTAGTGTGTCTAAACCACATCATGCAAGCAGGGCACTAAGCACTGTATTGGACACACAGTAAACATTCTATACTAATCTTTTTATTGTAAGTTTTTAAAAATAAGAAAATAACTATAAAGTCAGAAATAAACTAAAAGTCCAAGTTTTTGTAAATACAACTTAGTGTGTTCCAGAAACATACCGGTAATTAATTAGACATGATACTGCAACAAACAAGCAAGCAAACAAACCCTGAAATGTATTTATTGGCATGGAAAAATGTTACTGATCCCTCTGTATACTTTAACAATAATACGTAGGTTATGGATGTAGTTTGCTTAAAAGAGGACAGGAACACATGTATTAATAGTTGCACATTTTGATGTACTGACATATATGTTTTAATGTCTTTTTTGGTTTATTTATGTTTTTTAATTTTTTCTACATATAGTCTCTGTTACTTTTATAACTGAATAAAAGTAACTGGAGTTTTGGTCTTCTTGCAGTTCGTTCCTAGTATCAATAAGGGAACTGCACTGAGTGAGCTCTGGTCTCACTGGAGCATAGCATTGTCTAGTTCTATTTAGTCTGTTTCTATATACATATTTTATAAACATCATTGGTATGAGACAAAATAATAATAGTGTGAAGGTGGCCAACCATGAAAATCTTGAATAATTTAGGGATACGGTTTAATGGACTGCTGGATTGTTTATGACTTCAAGATAATCATTGGAACTTAGGGGAAAACCTCATAGATAAAAATATCCCTGTTTCTCATTAATATTACCTTCTTTCCATAAATTCAAAAAAAGAGAAATATTTTCCTTATATGGACCATGTTCCATCTTTATCAATAATGGGTATGCACATATTATACCGGGGCTTAAGCTATACAAAACCTATGAGACAAACAAACTTCATGTTCCCTGATAATTTATTATTTGAGAAAATGTCTACAACATGTTAGTAGGTATAAAACTAGATTCATCCACTATTTGGATTGGGGTTATAATACAGACAAAACATGCAGGTATGAAATTGAATTTTTAAATTTACATTACAGAGTTTTATTTTTATAAAAACAGATATAAACATATTATGTATGTATATGTCCATACCCATGCACACGCTAAAAATACATAGAAAACATTTAAATGTGTATTAAGTAAATACACAAATAGTGAATATGAAATGTACCATAAAGATAAATAATTCGGTAAAAATATTTAGTGCACCAGGAAATACAGCATAATCAGAAGTTCTGGCAATACAGAAATCAAACAAAACCTTTTTTTTTCTTTTCTGTTTTTGGAGCTACAGCATGCCAAGAATGATTTGACAATTTTTTTCTACTGAAAATAAATGATTTTGTTAATTTTGGTAGCCTGATTCCTTTAGTCTGAATTGTTATGAAATTTATCACAAAGGCAAGTATTTAAATAAGCGAAATGTCTATATTTTTATAGTCAAAATTCTTAAGTGAGTGTCTATAATTTTTATACTAAAAAAATTCTGTTAGAGTATAGGTCAGTGTGTATAAGAAAGGGAAACCTGTTTCCCTTTTCGGTTGAGAAAACTTCATTTGGGTAATGGTGTGATTTTCCATCTGCGGCGGTTATGCAGGCATTAGCCAAGGAGCCTTATAGGAAAAGACGAGATGTTAAGTTTCACCTCAAGATACATTTACAAGTCCTGTTTGGCAGCATTTTCTCTGAGAACAAGCTATGCTATATATTTCAGAGAAATTGAAACCATATGTTGACACCTAAAAATTTTGAGAAATACCACTGGAGTTTGCAAGAAAACATATAAATATAATCAAATCATTGTAGAATCTGTCTACTTGGACTAACTATAATACCACACTTGTTTTTTGAGAAGCTGTATTAGTGATGTCTTAATGCTATTAGCTGTAAAACACAGTGATCTAGTTGAAACTGACTGTTTGAGTTAATATTAAACCCTTCATCTTATATTTCCAAATTGAAATGAAAAGATTTAATAGTACCTGCTTCAATTTTAGTAATAATTATGTTTCCTTGCTGATACTTGGCATATAAGGCTTTCCTGTCAAAAGACTGGGGTCTTGGAACAAGATTTAGGCCAAAATGAAGCCTCAGTAAGAAAACACTATTTGGGGCATATTTAGGCTGACAGCTATTTGATGAACTACGGTATAGCCATTCTGCTTTCTCCAGTACTCAGGGCAATCACTTTGGTCCACAAATATGAAAAACAACACACCCAAGGCACTGAATTAAATCTTAAAGGTGGACAGACACCTTTAAGGACAGACACGTGACCCTTGTCGCCTGTCACAATTAAATCTTAATTTAAAGTGAGGTATAGGACAATTCTTCTGCAGCTCCAGGAACCTACCTACTTAGAGGTACATAAAATCAAACATTGTAGAGTATTTCTCCCTCGAATAAAAACGTCAGTGGCGTCCTTGCCGTGGTAGGATTTTAGAATTATCTTCACATGGAAAGCATACAGCAGAACCATGGTTATGACTTTTCCTGTGTCAATTTGAATTGGAAATTGTGGGACAGGGGCCCCAGGAATGGATGGCTGTCATCAGCTGGCTGTGCTATCAGCTGGCTATCACTGTGCCTACCAGGGATCCCCCTTCTTAGTCTTCACCATTAAGTCTGCTCATCTCCAATCTCTTTGCTACCAGCATCACAGCTGAGTGCCCTCAGTTTGCTATACTTCTATGTGAATCTTTTCATTAGTGTTAGTTTACTGGACTATTTGAAATAAAAAATAAGGCAATTGTAAATGGGATTTTCAGAAGTTTCTCTTGCACACATTTACTTTAAATTTTACTGTAGAACAACCTATTTCTACCTGCAAATCTGGGCCACCTTGCCAATTTTCTGACCTTTGGAATGTCCTTTAATTATCTAGGGTTCTTCCATGTGTTTTAGTTTTGAGTGTGTGTGTGTGTGTGTGTGTTTTTCTTTGCTGTTGTTGTTGTTGGTGGTGGTAGTGGTGGTGGTGGGGTAGGTATGTGGAACAAAACAAATATTTCTACTTCAATTTTTTGGAATGGGGGAACTCCCCCATCTCAACCCCGACTCCCACACCACCACCTAACCTAAAGGGCAGTAAAATGTCTTAGTTTCTTCAGTGCAAAGTCACAAAGGGATTGCATTTCCTGAAATTTTATATACTTCTTTTTAATATGCTCATGAGAGAGAAGAGTACTCTCACCATATGGGATTACACACACATGCACACACACCACAAACATAAAGTTTGGACTAGTAGTAACTGTCTACATTTATTTGAGTACCTAGTATGTACCAGAGAAGTAACTAGGCATCAAATATATCTTATTTAAACCTAACTAAGATCCATGAAAGACGTAATCCTCCTTTGATAGGTGAGAACACTGAAAATTAAAAATTTAACTACATTGCTCACATTTCCAGAGTTAGAATATGGAGGTAGATCTATTTAAACGTGTAACTGACAGCGAAGACTACACTTTTAGTTGTACTATGTATTGCCCAGATTTTACTTCTCGTAGTCCACAATGGCCTTGTAGATGTAAAAGGCAGTTTTACTACCATAAATAGATTAATTCAACAAAAGGACAAAATGATTTAAGGTACACTAGCATAATTTGCAAGAAAGGAAGTAGACAAATGCAGATTCTAAATTGCTTTATTGTAAGGGTTCTTCATGCAAGGGATTTCTTGAACATCTCAAATCCGTGGAACAGAATTATGACAAATATTTGAGTAGGTGGATACTTTTTCTGGGGAGATGATCAATAGCTTTTATCAGATTATCTACGTGATTTATGGTGTATGCATATATGTATAAATCTTAAAGATCTAGATGGTGCACAGAGATACTCAAACTTTTATCCTAAAGCATTAGAGTTCCACTCTCTCTAGAAGTAGGAAGACTCTTCATTCTTAAAGTAACTGCTTCTTATCCTTCTCTATGTATATAGACTCCAAATGCTCCTCTGATCCCGCGTAATGAAATTTCAAGTCATTTGCTATATCCTTGGAGGTTATTTGATATTGGATCTAGCTTTACAAATGTGAAGGAAACCATTTAAGCTGGATATGTTTTCTTTATTCCTTTTGAGCTTTTTACATTATAGTATTGAAATAATATTTAATCATTGCCTTTATCCCTCTTGGAGACTTGGAAACTCTGGGCCTCTAGAACCTGACAGTTATTCTTGATCTTTTTGTGCCTGACATTTTTGGTTGCCTTAATAGCACATTCATTAATCACTTGTTTCGTTTCTTTCAGTCTTGGGATAAACTCAGCTTTCACAGCTACTGTTCTAATTTGGCACATGTCCTTAGCTTCTCTATCAGTTTTGAGAAGTTAGGATGACCATCTTTCATTGCAATTAGTGTGCATAAGTTCCCTCTGTCAGTCAGAAGCTAACTCCCTACCCCACTTTTGGAGCTGCCCACTAAGTTAATTACTCTATAACAAAAACCAATGGCTTCTCAAATAGTTGCAATTCAAAAATACCTGAAATATCCTAAGACCAGTAATCAAGGTGGCAGTTAACCAAAAACCTTTACCTAATTATTCCTAACTCCCTAATTTGTCCAAGGTGATATTTTTACAGGATTGTGGTATTATGCTTTTGAAACCTAAATAATTTAATTGTCATTTTAGTAGCAGATGAAATTTCTACCAAATATCAAACCATTCAAGACTCACCAATAAATCAATGCATGTATCTTGCACTCTGTGATTTGCTTTACCAACTCATAAGCATGATATCTTACATTATTGATTCTCAATTAAAAACAACATCAACAAAGCTTTATCCAAAGTAAAGTTGCATATCACTGTTTTTTTTCAAACACAGTAAGGTATTTATTTTCCCAATAAATATTGGGTAAAGAATTTACCATTCTTTTTGTTTAAATTATTAGTAAAATGGGGTCAGTATTGGATTGTTTTGAAAATAATGCTCCCAGCCGGGCGCCGTGGCTCAGGTCTGTAATCCCAGCACTTTGGGAGGCTGAGGCAGGTGGATAACCAGAGGTCAGGAGTTCGAGACAAGCCTGGCCAACATGGTGAAACCCCATTGCTACTAAAAATACAAAAATTAGCCAGGCGTGGTGCCGGCACGCTTGTAATCCCAGCTACTCAGAAGGCTGAGTCAGGAGAATCGCTTGAACCTGGGAGGCGGAGGTTGCAGTGAGCTGAGATCACGCCACTGCACACCAGCCTGGGCAACAAGAGCAAAACTCCATCTCAAAAAAAAAGAAAAAAGGAAAGGAAAGGAAAGGAGAGGAGAGGAGAGAGGAGGGGAGGGGAGGGGAGGGGAGGGGAGGCGAGGGGAGGAAAGGAAGCTTCCTAAAGTCAGACATGCATTTGAAATCAAGACCCTCCTCTTACAAGTTGAGCAAGGTTAGATAGTCGCCCAATTTTCTGTTGTTCATTTTCCTAATCTACAAAATAAGAATAATAATGATAATCCATACCCCAGAGAATTGTTGTCTTTAAAATGAGAAAACATATGCAACACACTTACAATCCTACTTATCATATCATAATGAATTTAGCATATTTTATTTAGTATTACTATAATTGCTTTTTGCTAAATAAAAGTGGAAACTAAGAACCACAGAAGTAATTAGACAAGTATCCAAAATCTGTCACACCTAACTAATTTTTTTTTTTTTTTTTTTTTTTTTTTTTTTTTTTTTTTTTTTTGAGACGGAGTCTCTCTCTGTCGCCCAGGCTGGAGTGCAGTGGCGTGATCTCAGCACACTGCCAGCTCCGCCTCTTGGGTTCACGCCATTCTCCTGCCTCAGCCTCCCGAGTAGCTGGGACTATAGGCGCCCACCACCAGGCCCAGCTAATTTTTTTGCATTTTTATTAGAGACGGGGTTTCACCGTGTTAGCCAGGATGGTCTCGATCTCCTGACCTCATGATCCACCAGTCTCGGCCTCCCAAAGAGCTGGGATTACAGGCGTGAGCATACCTAAATAATTTAATTTGGACAACAAGAAAAGAAAACAAACAAACCAAAATAAAAACTAAGCATTGACCTGGATAATCTAGCAATAATAACTGAAAGGGTTAATAAGTAAAAAGTTAAAATATTATATGTAGATTTTTGTTTCTATAAATAAATACATACATATACTATGTATCTATAGATACATATATGTAGTTCTATCTATACATCCAAATATATATCTGTAAATACATACATCTGTTTCTTCTTTGAGCAATTCAAATTCTCAATTCTTTGAGTTATTTGAGTTATTGTCACTCCAACTTACTCCTAGGTTAAAATCCTTAACCAAACTCCTGACCTGAAAAACATAAAAGAAAATTACAGAGCTGAATGTTGAGGTTGCTGAGACTAGAGCATTATTTTCCATCTCAAATTAAAAAAATGAAAGAATGGATGACATAAGAATTTATCCCCCGCTTGATGCTTGATGCTTGTAGATTCCATTTTCATCCCCTGTGTAAGCAGATAATATATTTGAGATCATGGTATCTTCAATTCCAATGACATAGATTAGCCCATTGCCTCACTTCCTCTAAGGAAGTTAAATAATTCAGGATCAGATCCTAAACTTAATATCTGAAGTTAATAATTACTGTGCTCTAGAATTTCTAAGCTCTAGGTCCTGTTATCTTAGGATTCCTTTTCCGAGTGGAAGTAGTATCCATATTCAATAAAGTGAGCTACTGTGCAGTGCCTTTGAAGAAGCTCATAAAACAGCGGGTTTAATTTGTCTGGGAAATAGAGACGAAAATGTGGTGCAGGTCCCTGATGGAAAATGTGGCTCCGTTATGCCGTGTTCTCACCAAATATCTTGGAAAGTGGGCAATATTAACATAGCTCTCTGGAGTAGGGCCAGAAAGAAACAGTGGATGTTCTCTTGTAAAAACCCTGAAAGCAGCAAGCAACCCATAAACAGTATGCAGACTGAGTCTGAAAATGGACCATTTTATGTTCCCTAATGGAAGGATAGCTTATTTGTTCATGGATTTATAGCAACAATGTGATGTCATCAAGTGATTTATGGCAAGAAACATAGCAAGTGTCAATATACAATGGGAGGTGGAAACATCCTATTCCCACCAAGAAGCTGGTCCCCGTAGGAGGTTGTCTTTGCCTTAGGGTGGGGCGGATGTAGGAAAACGCAGGTTGTTCGTGTTACTGGAAATGGAACGAAGGAGTGAGAGATTTACTGGAGCCATCCATCTTAGGAAAGGACTTGGGGAATATAAAATTAGTCTATTTAGAACATAAAAAGGACAATTACAAACCAGATCATCACTCTAAATTCTTGACTTATCCAGTGAGCAATGTTTAATGCTCCACGGGAAGGTGGAAAGATACCTACAAAATCCAGGTACACATGCAGCGAATATTCATTTTCAATGGGAATGGGTTACTGACAGTATGAAGTGGTAGTAATGAAGCATGGCTTTATCTTATTTTTAAATTTGTATACAGTAAAATTTACTATTTTTGATAGTAATAAAAATTTGACAAAAATTAAAAATTATTTAACTGTCACCACAAACTAAACACATTTTCATGATCTCAAAAACTTCTCTAACCTAGTCCCTTTGCAGTTAATCCCTCTCCTCAACCTCATACCCTTGCAGCCACTGATCGATTTCCAGAATGCCATTTAAATATAATCATATAGTGCACTGACCTCTAAGACTACATAATGAATGCATTTGAGATTCATCCATGTCATTGCATTCATCAATAGTTCATGTTTTTCATTACTGAATAATATTCCATTGTATGGATGCACTACAGTTCATGTATCCATTCCCAGGCTGAAGGACATTTGAGTTGTTTCCAGTTCATGGTGATTTTAGTCAAGCCACTAACACTATTCATTGTCCAGGTTTTAGTATGATGATACATTTTCATTTCTCTTGAATAAATACTTAGGAACAGGTTTGCCAATTCACGTGGTAAGTATATAATTACTTTTATAAGAAACAGTCAAACTGTTTTTTTTTTAAGTTGCTGTATGATTTTGCAACCCCACCAGCAATGCAGCCGAGTCCCAGTTCCTCTGCATCCTCACGCACTTGGTATTGCCAGGCATTCATGTTTGTTTATTTTTGTTTCTTGCACTTCTAATGTGTATGTAGTAGTATCTCATTGTGGCTTAATTTGCATTTCCTAATGACTAATTCTGTTAGTCATCTTTTCAGGTGCTTATTTGCAGTTCACATACCTTCTTTGAAGTGTTTGTTTAAAGTTTTTGCTCACTTTTTAATTGGATTGTCTGTTTTTTTATTATTGAGTTTATATATATTATCTATGATGTCTCTATGTGTGTTCTAAACACAAAGACTTGAAGGATTTATGATTTACAAATATTTTCTACCAGTCAGCAGCTTGTGCTTTTTTTTCACTTTTAGTTTTATTCAGATAATAGACATGTTTAATTTTGATACCCATTTTACCATTTTTTCCCATTTAATAGAATATGCTTTTGGTATACTATAAGAAACATTTTGCCTGGCCGAAGTTCACAAAGGATTTTTTCCTGTATTTTCTTCAGAAAGTTGTATACTTTTAGGGTTACACTTGGGTCAATGAACCATTATGATTTAATTTTTGTTTAAGGGTGAGGTATGGGCTAATGATGTCCCAACAGCATTTGTTTATATTGTTATTATAATGAACCATTATGAATTAATTTTTGTTTACGGGTGAGATGTGGGCTAAGGTTCATTTTAGTGCATATGATGTCCCAACAGCATTTGTTGTTATTCCAACATCATTTGTTAAACGTACTATACTTTATGCATTGAACTGGATTTATAATTTTGTCAAAAACAATACATTTGTACTTGTTCGTTTATGAATTTTGTTCTGTCTCATTGATCCATATGTCTATTTTTCAAAAATGTGACATTGTCTTGATTAATGTACCATTATAGAAAGCACTGAAATAAGATACTATGAATCTTCCAACTTTGCTCTTTTTCAAAATTGCTTTGGCTTTTCTATTTTCTTAACTTTTCATAGAAATTTGAGAATAAGATTAACTAAAATCTACAAAAATAATGTTGAAATTTTGAATCTGTATGTAACAGAATGTATGTGTCATTTGGAGGAGAGTTGATTTTTTAAACAATAATGAGTCCTCTAATTTAAAAATATGGTATATATTTCCATTCCATTTAAATTTATTTAATTTAAGAGTATGGCATATATTTCCATTTATTTGGGTCTTTGATGTCTTTCATTGTTTTAGAGTTTTCGGCATACTGCTTCTGTACATATTTGTTAGATTTATGTTTCCCAAGTCATTTTTTAAAATTGTTATCGTAAAAGGTACTTTTTAAAAATTTTCAATTTTGAAATGTTTCTTGCCAGTATATAGAAATATAATTGATTTTTGTACACTCACTGCAACTTTGTGGCACAGCAAAAGTTACTTATTAATTTGACAAGTATCTATAGAATCCTTGGGACTTTTTTGTGTAAATGATATTGCAAATAGTTTTATTTCTTCATTTCCTATATATGTGTATATATATACACTTTTTTTTTTTTTTTTTTTTTTTTTTGAGACAGAGTCTCACTCTGTCTTCCAGGCTGGAGTGCAGTGGCAAAATCTCTGCTCCCTGCAAGCTCCACCTCCCAGGTTCAAGCGATTCTCGTGCCTCAGCCTCCTGAGTAGCTGGGATTACAGACATGTGCCACTGTGCCTGGCTGATTTTTGCATGTTTAGTAGAGATGAGATTTCACCACATTGCCCAGGCTGGTCTTGAACTCCTGAGTTCAGGCAGTCTGCCCACCTCGGCCTCCCAAAGTGCTGGGAATATAGGCATGAGCCACTGCACCCAGCATATATTTCTTTTATTTCATTTTCTTGTGTTATTTCATTGGCTAGGACTTCCAATACAATGATGACTAGGAGTAGAAAGGGGGCACATGCCTTCCTTGTCCCTGATCTTAGAAGGAATACACACATGCTTTCATAATGTTAGCTTATTTTTTTTTAATTCCTATGTATGCCCTGTATCATGTTTAGGAAGTCCTCTAATATTCCTAGCCTGCTGAGAGTTCTTATGCTAAGTAAATCTTAAGCCCTGTCAAATGCTATTTCTATTTTTCACATCTTTTGAGATTTTTTTTTCTTTTATTCTGCTAATATGGTGAATTATACTGATTTTTGAAGGTTGAACCATCCTTGGATTCCTGAGATAAGTCTCAGTTGATAGCATGCATATATTATATATGTTATATGTTTTCTAAATGGTGAATTCAATTTGTGACATTTTATGGAGGATTATTCCATCTAGGTTCATAAGTGATACTGGTGTATGGGCTTCCTGTCTTTTAATGCTTTTGTCTAGTTTTGGCATCAAAGTAATGGTAGCCTCATAAAATGAGCTGGGAACTCTTCCCTCCTATCCCATTTACTAGAAGATATTGTGTAGTATTTGAGTTATTTCTTCCTTAAGTGTTTGGTAGAACTTGCTAGTGAAACCACCTAGGATCTGGAGGTTTTTTGTTTTTGTTTTTGAAGGATTTTAATTATGGATTTGATTTATTTAATAGCTATAATATTATTCTTTGGATCATTTATTTTTAAATGAGTTTCAGTAGCTAATGTTTTCTTTAAGGATTGATTGTTTTATAAGATTGTAGGATCTTTTGGATGGTAGGACACAACACAGTGACACTAGGCATGTTAGATGAAACATATAGCTCTTTGTTACTTACAGCTCCAAATGACAGAAGGCTGCCAGGCAGGGCCACAAAAGGAATTGCTCCCAGGGACAGGGTAACAGTGAGCCGAAACAGTAGGGGTCTGCTTAGTATGGTACATAACGCCAAGTTAGCTAGGTTTCCTGGGCTTCCTGTGGATTGGATAATTTGAATTATTTCATAGGCTCCAGAGCATAGAGGGTGTTTCTAGTTGTTTGTTACCTGGCCCTGGAGTAATAAAAAACAGGTGCACAGTAGCCAAGAGTGTTAGTGCCCAGTAAGGGAAATGGTTAGAGTGTGGATTTAATCAGCTACTCAAGAGGGGAAATTAACTGTCCTGTAGCCAAGTCCTCAAAGTGGGTCAAGTCAGTATTTTTTCAGTAACTATTTTACATTGGTGCATTTCATCTATCAAATTTATGCCTTAAAAATCTATTTTTATTTTTAAATTAATTTTTTTAAGAGACAGGGATTTTCTGTTTCACCCAGGTTGGAGTGCAATGGTGCCATTATAGCTCACTGTGGCCTCTACTCCTGGGCTAAAGTGATCCTCCTGCCTCAGCCTGCCAAGTGAGGACTACAGGTGCATGCCACCACGCCTGGCTAATATTTTAAATCTTTTATAAAGACAGTATCTTTCTATGTTGCCCAATCTGGCCACAGATTCCTAGCCTCAAGGAATCCTTCCTTCTCAGCCTCCCAAAATGCTGGGATTACAGTATGAGCCACTGTGCCCAGCTGAGTTGTAAAATGTATAAACATTAAGTCATCTGTGGTATACTTTTAGTATCCCTTCGGTGTCTTTTTGATTTACAAGACTATAGTACAATCCCATCTTTTATTCTTGATATTTAAATTTGTGTTCCTTCTCTTCTACTTTTTTACCATGCTGAATAGAATTTTATTAATCTTTTCAAAAATTTAGCTTTTCATTTTATTAATTTTCTCTCTTGCTTTTCTGTCTTAAAATTTAAAATAAATTATCTCAATGATATTACATTCTTCTGCTTGTGTTTTTTCCAGTATCCTCTTTTCTGATTTCTGAGGATGGTAACTTAGATTTTTTAACATTTTTAACATTTTTCTTTTTATTCATGGAGCAGTGAGGGTCAGCTTAGTATGGCACATGGGGCCAGGTTAGCTAGGTTTCCAGGGCTTCCTGTGGATTGGATAATTTGAATTATTTCATAGGCTCCAGAGCATAGAGGGTGTTCCTAGTTGTTTGTTACCTGGTCCTGGAGTAATAAAACACAGGTCTCATTGATTTTCTTTTAAAACAATTATATTCTAGGTGCTTTTGAAAAAGAAATTCAGTTTCTACCACATAAAGAGTGAGGCCACATATCAATAATACTTTATTGAACAGATACCTAGTTATGAGAGAAAGAATGGCAAAGCCCAATTCCAAAAATCAAGGAGAGCACCAAACCAAAAATGGAGTCACATGTGTCAACACTACAGCATCCTAGGGGCTCTCTGGAGGTCTATAGCCCACCCCGAGGAAGAAGGTGTGGCTTTGGACCTACTGGACAGAGTTGATTCTGAGATTCCCACATAAGCCAAATATCTGGAAAGAATTTAATCCTTGGGAAGTGAAAACACGCAAAACTCATCCACCAGTGCAAATTGGGACAGTAAACTTACTGCCTCTCTGGTCAAATTATTCCATGAGAAATTAAAATTATACCAGTTAATAAATTTATGATCCTCTCCCTAAAAAACAGAGCCTATTAATAAAAAAATTTGCTCAACATATGTCATTACAGAATTACAAATTAAAACAACAATGAAATACCACTACACACCTACTAGAATAAATCCAGAAAACTGACAATACTAAAAGTTGCAATAATGTAGAGCATCAGAATGCTCATTCTTGACTGGTGGGAATGCAAAACGGTACAGCCACTTTAACAAAAAGTTTGACAGTCAATTTTTGTCTTGCTATAAAGAAATACCTGAGGCTGGGTGATTTGTTAAAAAAAGAGGTTCATTTGGCTCACAGTTTTGCAGGCTGTACTAGAAGCATGGTGCCAGGATCTGCTTTTAAGCATCTGGAAGCTTCTATTCATGGCAGAAGGCAAAGGGTAGCTCATGTGTAGAGACCGCATGATGAGAGAAAAAACAAGAGAGAGAGAGGAGGTGGTGCAAGGCTTTTTTCAACAACTAGTTCTCACAGTGACTGAGAGTGAGAATTCACTCCTGCACAAATGAAGAAATGGCACCAAGCCATTCATGAGGGATCTGCACCCTTCCCAACTCAACACCACACACCAGGCCCTACTTTAACACTGGGGACCAAATTTCAACATGAAACATAGTGGGGCCAAGCAAACCATATCTAAACCATAGTGGACAGTTTGAATCCAAAGCTAAATACACTCTTACCTTATGATTCAGCAGTCAGGCTCCTTGGTATTTACACAGATTAGTTGAAAATGTTATGTTCACACAAAAACCTGCACATAGATATTTATAGCAGCTTTATTTATAATTATTGCTAACTGGAAACCAGGATGCTCTTTAACAGGTGAATGAATAAACAAACTGGGGTACATCCACACAATGGAATACTATTCATCAATAAAAAGAAATGAGCTATCAAGCCACCAAGACACATGGAAAAATCTTAAATACATATTGCTAAATGAAAGAAGTCAGTCTGAGAAGGCTACATAATATATAATTTCAACTCTAGACGTTTCTTGCCTTATGATAGAGTTATATCTCAATAAAACCATCAAAAGTTGAAAATGTTAGGTCAAAAATGCAATTCTTTTACTTTTTCTTTTGTTTGAGACAGAGTCTCACTCTGTCACCCAGGCTGCAGTGCAGTGGTGTGATCCCGCCTCACTGCAACCTCTGCCTTCCAGGTTCAAGCAATTCCTGTCACAGCCTCCTGAGTAGCTGGGATTACAGGCACCTGCCACCACACCTGGCTAATTTTTGTATTTTTAGTAGAGTTGGGGTTTCACCATTTTGGCCAGGCTGGTCTTGAACTCCTGACCTCAAGAGATCCACCCGTCTTGGCCTCCCAAAGTGCTGGGATTACAGGCGTGAGCCACCGCCCTGGCCCCAAAATGCATTTCATACATCTAACCTACCAAACATCATAGTTTAGCCTAGTCTACCTTAAACATTCTCAGAATACTTAAATTAGCCTACAATTGGGCAAAATTACCCCAAAGCCTATTTTATAATGAAGTGTTGAGTGTCTCATATAACTTATTGAATACACCACACTGTGCAGTATTGGTTGCTTACCCTTGTGATTGCACGGCTGCCTGGCTGCTGAGGCTCACCGCTGCTGCCCTGCATCACGAGAGTATTGTACCATATATTGCTAGCCTGAGAAAAGAACAAAATTCAAATTCTGAAGTGTAGTTTCTACTGAATGTGTATCACTTTTGCATTATTGTTGAGCTGAAAAATGGTAAGTAGACCCATCGTAAGTCAGGAACTGTCTGTGTATGACATTCTGGATAGAATAATAAATCTAAAATTAGATTTTGAAAACTAGACATGTTTCTAAGTTATTCGGGGTTCAAATAAGAAATTTTTAATGGCATAAATAGAAAACAACTCATTCATTAAGTAATCAATAGATAAATTGTAGTGTACTTACAATGTGGGAAAACATCAATCACCAAAATTGATAAATTAACTTGATCAGGTTTACTCTTTGGGGCTTTTTTGGTCAAGATGTGAGTTGAAAAAAAAGATGTGAGTTGAGGATATTATGTAAATACTTATTTAACAAGAGAAAAAGCAAATTTCCACAACTTTGGGGTTAGTAAAATTCGAAATATAATCATAAAAATTGAAAGATTTTTGGTTTTTAGTTTGTTTTCTTGTTTATTTGTTTATAAGACAGTTCTACTAATGAGAATAAGATTTCCTTTTGGGGATACAATTTTATTAAGTTGGGGTTCAAAGTTAGCATTTCTTATCATCAAATTGATTGCAAATTTTAAAATTTAAAAATACTTTCTGGGCCTGAAATCTGTACAAAAACTAATGGTGGGTTAAATTTTGGCCTATGGGCCACAGTTTGCCAATCTCTGAACCAGATCAATATGTATCAGCATGATATTGAGCGTAAACACATCTTGTCAAAGGAAGCATACATATTGGTGCCATTCATGCAAATTATTTAAAAATCAAAACATAACCATTATTATTTGTGGATATGAATATGTAGTAAAGTATAATAACATGGACAGGAAGGACAGATATCAGCTTCAGAATTAGAGCTGAATGCGATTTCTCAGGTTAAACTAGTGACTCTAACATTTCTATACCAGAATCCTCTTCCGGGTTTCAGATATTCACTTCACATGCTGCCTGCTGAGTATACCAACTGGGGTTGGCCACAGGAATTTTGAAAGGAATATATACAAAAATAAATGAATCATTTACCTCTTCCACCGCTTCCTGCCAAATTTTTCTTATTCCATTTTGCTTATCTTAATAAATACCACCAATGCCTTCTGAATTTTTGTCATCTGTTTTATTCCTCCCCAAATATTACTGTTATTAATATTTCCTAAATTCAGGTCCTCCTCCTCACCATTCTCTCTCTTTTCTCTCTATTTCTCTTTCTCCTCTCTCTTCTGCCTTCCCTCTTCTGTTACTAATATCAAAGAAGCCTCATAATTTTTCTCTATGAAATAAACTTTTCAAAACTCAAATGGGATCCTATCATGCTAGTTCTCAAACTCTCTGATATCTCCTTACCCCAAATAGGATAATACACAAACTCCTTGCCAGTCTTAAAAGACTTTCTTAACTTTCCTTAACTTTTAAAAATAAGATTTCTAACTTTTAATTATTAACTTTTAACACCCCCCTCTACACACCCATCCAACCCCCACACAATTTACATTCCACAGTTGTAGTCTTAAAAATCCTATGCTAACAAACCCCTATCAATAATACATTTTGAAATTATTCCTTGATACAATTTCATTTATTTAAAATATAAGCCTATCTGTATATTTATTCATAAGTACATTAATAAATACACTCAAAACATTTTAAATATAAGCTGAATAAAATATACATATTTTAAAGGTTTATCCCTTAGTATTAACAGCACACACACACACATACCCTTTTTATTCTGATCAATACATTAATATTAGCTAGAATAGAAATAATGAAATTTTATATATTTTATTTCATTATCTTAACACACAACAGTCATACATGTTTATGGGGTACCTAGTAATATTTTGATACATAGAATGTATTGTGATCAGAAAGGGTAGTGAGTATATACATTATCTCAAACACTTATGATTTCTTTGTGTTGGGAACATTTGATATCCTCTTTCTAGCTAACAAACAATGTTTTTAATGGGACCAAGGTGACGGTGTCTGCTGCCACTTCTAACAAGTTGTTTGCATTTGTGCACAGATGCTCTGCCTCCATCCTTCTAATAAGAAAAGGACTCAGTGCTCTGGACTCAGTGCTCCTATTCAAGCACAACTCCTTCTGTTCCCATCCCTTCTCCCCTTATCAAGTCATACCTCAAGGAATTGTTTGTCCTCTTTCTAGATTGATGTTCTCCCTCCATTTCTGCTGAATTATTTCCATAAGCATATACACAATCTGTAATATCTGCTCTTTGATAACCAAAACAAAAACATCCCTTGACTCCTGTATAGACCAATATTTCTACTCTTCTTTACCGCAAAGCTCCTCCAAGGAGTTTTCTGTACACACTCTCTTTAGTCCCTCCTCTAGCTTGACCACAGCTCCACTGAAGTTGCACTTGCCAAGGTCACCAATGAACCTCATGCTTCTAAATCCATTGACCAATTCTTAGTCCACATGGTATTGACCACCCAGCAGCCCTTGAAATGGTTGGCCATTTTCTCCTCATTGACATGTTTTCTTCACCTGACTTCCTGGAAAACCATTCTCTCAGTTTCTTCCAAACTCACTTTCTGATGCCTTGTCTACTTTTCTGGTTCTGTCTCTTCTCTCAGACCTCTCTAAATGACAGAATATACCAGCACCCAATAAGAAATTGAATCTGCACTTTTATCTTAGTTGATCTCATCCATGCTCATGACTTTCCACCTGAATGTCAATGTACACAGTTACATCTCAAGCCTGGTCCTCTCCACTGGTCTCTAGATTATTCTAGAAAAATATTGACTCAGCACCTCCACGTCTGTGTCTGTCAGGCATCACATTGTTAACAGCTCCAGACAAAATTCCATATTTCTGATCTCCATGACTTCTTCCTCATTTGTTGCCCTATCGGTAATTAGCAACTTTAATCTTCCCTTTGTTCAGTCTAAGAGCCACAGAGAGATCCTTGACTTCTCTTTAGTTTCATAAACCATATCCTATCCATTCATCAATCTTTCTGACTGTACCTTCAGAACATCTTATGTGTGTTATGTGTCAGTGTGGCTAGATTACGGCATCCAGATGTTTGCTCAAACATCAGGGTAGGTGTTGCTGTGATAGTACCTTTGTAAAGATGTGATATTTGAATTAGTAGACTTTGAGTAAAGTAGACTGCTGTCCCCAGTGTGAGTGGGCTTCATCCGATCAGTTGAAAGCCTCAAGAAAAAAGACTGAGCACCCCCATAAAGAAGGAATTCTGCCTCCCTACTGTCTTCAGACTTGAGAATGCACCATCAACTTTTGCAGGACAGTCTATCTGTGGATCCTTTGTAGGAATCATCTTGAGCCATGTGTCTATATGTCTGAAATCTGAGCAATGTCCTTTACCATCACTACTGTCACTTTAGTCCAAGTCACCATCACCTCACATGTATTAATGCCATAGCCTGCTGTCTCTCTGCAGTCCCCACAGAATCTGTTGGTCACACAATACTCAGAGTCATTCACTTTTATAAGGTAAATCAGATATGTCTCTCCTCTGCTCAAAATTCTCTATCCCTATCACCACCACCACCATGCAATGGCCTACAAGTTTGTACATGACCTTACTTCACTCTCCTTTGTATTGAGTATCCATCTCTTCCCAGCAGGCTCAACTCCAGCCACACTGACCTCCTTGCATATCCTTGGACACATCAAGAACATTTATTTCTTATTCTTCTCTCTGCTTGGAATGCTCTTCTCTGTACTGCCTGCATGGATAGTTCTCTCATATCCTTTAGGTCTCTGCTCTCAAAGCTTCTATTGACAGCAGATACCTTCCTACCCATTGCATTTCCTATTCTCTTTACTCTGCACATCACTGCAACTACCCTGATGTACGCACATTTGTGTATGCCAATTAAATTTTATTTTTCAAGCAAAAATGACAAATGAGATCTAATTAAACTAAAGAGCTTCAGTACAGCAAAAGAAAATATCAACAGAGCAAACAGACAACCTAGAGAATGGGAAAAAATTTTTGCAAACTATGCATCTGACAGAGGTCTAATATCCAGAATTTATAAGGAACTTAAACAAATTTACAAGAAACAAACAAACAACCCCATTAAAAAGCAGGCCAAGGACATGAACAGATCCTTTTCAAAAGAAGACATACATGTGGCCAACAAGCATATGAAAAAAAGGCTTGGCCGGGTATGTTGGCTCACGCCTGTAATCCCAGCACTTTGGGAGGCTGAGATGGGCAGATCACCTGAGGTCAGGAGTTTGAAACCAGCCTGGACAACATGGTGAAACCCCGTTTCTACTAAAAGTGCAAAAATTAACCGGGTGTGGTGGCAAGTGCCTGTAATCTCAGCTGAACTCAGTAGGCTGAGGCAGGAGAATCACTTGAACCTGGGAGGCAGAGGTTGCAGTGAGCCAAGATCGCACCACTGTACTCCAGAATGGGCAACAAGAGTGGGACTCCATCTCAAAAAAAAAAAAAGCTCAACATCACTGATTATTAGAGAAATGCAAATCAAAACCATAATGAGATACCATCTAACACCAATCAGAATGACTATTAAAAAATCAAAAAATAACAGATGCTGGTGAGGTTGTGGAGAAAAAGAAACGCTTTTACACTGCTGGTGGGAGTGTAAATTAGTTCAACCATTGTGGAAGGCAGTGTGGTGATTCCTCAAAGACCTAAAGTCAGAAGCACTATTTGACCCAGCAATCTCATTACTGGGTATATACTCAAAGAAATATAAATACTTCTATTATAAAGACACATGGAGACATATATTCACTGCAGCAGTATTCACAGTAACAAAGACATGGAATCAACCTAAATGTCCATTTGATGATAGACTGGTTAAAGAAAATATGGTACATATACACCATGGAATACTATGCAGCCATAGATAAGAATGAGATCATGTTTTTTTGCAGGGACATGGATGAGCTAGAGGCCATTACCTTAGCAAATTAAGGCGGGAACAGAAAACCAGATAGCACATGTTCTCACTTATCAGTTGGAGCTAAATGATGAGAACACATGGACATATAGAGGAGAACAACACACACTAGGGCCTATCAGAGGGTGGAGGGTAGGAGGAGAGGGAGGATCAGGAAAAATAACTAATGATTAAGTACTAGGCTTAGTGCCTGGGTGATGAAATAATAAGTACAACAAACCCCCATAACATGTTTACCTATGTAACAAACCTGCACATCCTGCACATGTACCCCTGAATTTAAAATAAAATAAGTAAATAAATTATTTTCTTCCTTAGAGGTGGGGTCTCACTATGTTGCCCAGGCTGGTCTTGAACTCCAAGGCTCAAGCAATTCTCCCACTTCAGCCAATTATTTATTTGCTTCTTGTTTATCTACCACCTCCAGAACATAACCTCCACAATCCAGGAACTAATCTATTTTGTTTGATGTTGTGTCCTCGGAACCTAGAATGACATACCAACTTACAGAAGGAGCTTGACAGACCATTTTCTTTCTTTACAAATGAATGAAGAGCAAATGAACACATGACAGCATAGATAATCCTGATTAGCTTCTTATGGTTTTTGACGTGTAATATGCCTGTGATAGTTATTTTTATGTGTCAACTTGGCTAGACGATGGTGTCCAGATGTTTGGCCAAACACCAGGGTAGATGTTGCTGCGAGAGTACGTTACATGTGATTCATATTTAAATTAACTAGTAGACTTTGAGTGAAATAGAATACTCTCCCTAGTGTGAGTGGGCTTCATACAATCAGTTGAAAGCCTTAAGAAACAAGACTGAGGAGCCCCAGAAAGAAGGAATTCTTCCAGACTGTCTTCAAACATGACAATGCAGGCTCAACTTTTCCCTGGGTCTCCAGTCTGCCCTGTGGATTTGAGACTTGCCAGCCTCCACCATCATGTGAGCCAATTTCTTAAAATCTCTGTCTTTATGTAAGTGATTTGTACAGATGTGTGTGTGGGGGGGGTGTGTGTTTGTACGTGTAACCTACTTGTTCTGTTTCCCTGAGAACCCTGATTAATACAATGCTTGATGAAAACTTTGTGCTCAGAGTAAAGGCAATTTGGGCTCTGTCATTCCTCTTTTGCTGATTCCTATATTCACTAGTAAATATAATAGTAGTAGAGGTGATAGCAACTAACCATAGCATGTACTATGTACTGTTCTAAGATGTACTGTTCTAAGAGGCTAACATATGCTAGACCATCTATATTAATCTGTTCTCATGCTGCTAATATGGACATACCCAGGACTGGGTAATTTATAAAGGAAAGATTTAATGGACTCACAGTTCCTCATGGTTGGGGAGCCCTCACAATCATGGTGGAAAGCAAAGGGGAAGCAAGACATGTCTTACACGGCTGCAGGCAAGAGAGCTTGTGCAGGGGAACTCCCATTTATAAAACTATCAGATCTCATGAAACTTATTCACTAAGACAATAAAAGTATGGGGGAAACCACCCCTATGATTCAGTTATCTCCACCTGGCCCTGCCCTTGACACATGGGGATTGTTATAATTCAAGATGAGAATTGGATGGGGACACAGACAAATCATATCACCATCTAATCTCCACCACAATCCTTGAGAAATATGCCAATGTTTGATTTCAGACAGGAGAAACTCAGAGATGCGCACTGTTTAAGCATTCAAGTACATCTCATAAGCGGCAAAGGCAGGATTCTAGGCAAGATAGTCTATCTGTGGCTTCCTTGGAGGAATAATCTTAAGCCATGTGTCCATTTTATGAGGGTCGCATTAGTTAAAAGCAGGCAATATAATGTGTAGCTTTGCTTACACAAGCATATTTACTGACACAATGCTTTGCGGTTACTTGAAAGACAGTGGATGATGACACTTTTGCACGCGGGAGCCTACGTTCTTTCTTCCCTTAGGACACCATTCAGACTGCACATGATGTATAACTGACACGTACTCGTGTCAACCTATAAATTATAACCACAAATGACAGGTGACTTGGGAAGACACTCATATTCATCTCTATATTTAGTATCAGCAAGTTCATTGACTCATTTATAAATAAAATATAAACATGAATACATACTCTGTTTCTTCCTGCACTCCAATAGATTGTTCTGCTTACCCCTGTACTCTACTTGGGAGATCTTTGCTTAGACACACTGGCCCTTTTGTTCTCAGATGTGCCAACTACTTTCTTACCTCCACACTCCTCCATAAGCTTTTCCCTCCAAAAACCTTCCTTTCCTTCTTAACATTACAGACCGGTTTGGAAAAATAAAACAAAATGTGAAAATTATAACTCTGTATGTGAGGATTCAGTTCAGCAGACCGATTCTAAACAGTTAACTAAATGTGAAACAGTTTCATGCCATAATAGCAACACTACTGTGGTCTTTTTCTAGATAAACAGTGGTCAGATAATTCCTGCACCTCTCCAGCAGATGCAAATAAATTAGTATAGCTCAAAAGGAAATTCACACTCTGCTAGGGAAGGCAAATCTTCATATGTTGCAACATCTGTTTGTTTTTCTCTACACTCCTCTTGCAAAAAATATATAACCTTGATATCAGAATTAGATTTGAGTCTGGGAATATATATAATTTTCTTCTAAAGCTTTGTTGAGTTTTATCAGAAAATAGTAGTCAAACTGGGTTATTCTTCACCATATAGTTCATCCTCCCCCAAATAGAATAAAACAAAATAAAATAAAACTGGGTGACATTGTGAACATTTTAATAAATTTACTTAAATTACTTTGTAGATCATTTTAAAGGTTATTTCAAAATAAGCATTATTTCAAGAGACCAGCATAGTTTTCAGTAGTTTTGGCATTGCATTAATGATTAGTTTTAATATTATTTAAATTGTCAGACTAAATTCACTAGACACTGTCTAGTGTAGATTCCCCCCCAACAAGAATTTTCTATCAACACACTAAGTAATTGAAATGTATTGTCTTCTCCACAGAATCAAATGCTACACAGAATATATGAACAAGAGAGATATATGACAGAGTTAAAGTAGTCATATATATATATATTTTTAATACAATCACAGCTCTGTTTGACACCTATTGCCCTTAACCACTTTTTAGAACTGTATGACTCCAGTGGACTCACATTTTTCACACCTTTATCTACTCCACAACAGGTGTGAGGGAAAGAGTAGAAGACAAGTGTGTGCCTTAAACCAAACTCATTTTTGGATGTCAAATTTGAGAAGGGGAAAGAGTGTAGAAATGGAGTTTATTCATTAAATTGAAACCACCTTTCCTCTTCCAATTAGAAACACCTTTTACTGTCAATCTCTTCGCAGAATTACCTGCTACTATTGCATGTATAGGTTGCAGTTTAAAGAAAAACAACATAGACTAAAATATTAAGCCAAGAATAGCACTAACTGAATAGAAATTTAATTTTTTTTGGTAAGAAAATGCCTACAGGATGCTCAAAGGAGATATCAAAATGTTAATAGGTTTCCCATTTTTCCCACCCTTAAAGACAAACAGACTCTATCCATGAATCAGATATTCTCATTTTGTTCTCATAGTTCACATATGAAAAGTATGTATATATGTATACATCTTTTACTGATAGATGTATAGTGATATATATAACATATATCTTGTATATGTGCTTATATGTAATACATATTATATATATAACTGTTATATATAAACATCAGTTATATATATAACTGATTATATAACAATTATATATGTAACTGATATATAAACAAGTTTGAGTATTTAAGGTTTATAATTGAAGAAATAAAATTTCCCTTTTTTACCTATACCATATATATATTTTTAAATGTGTTTGGACTTTTATTTTTATGTTGTAAATAGTATTATTTTCTTAACTTGAATTTTTTATTTAATTTTTGTCATAAGTTATTGGGGTACAGGTGGTATTTGGTTACATGAGTAAGTTCTTTAGTGGTGATTTGTGAGATTTTTGTGCACCTATCACATGTGCAGTGTGTACTGAACCATATTTGTAGTCTTCTGTTCCTTGCCCTCCTCCCACTCTTTCCCCCAAGTCCCCAAAGTCCATTGCTCCATTCTTATGCCTTTGCATCCTCATAGCTTAGCTCCCACATATCAGTGAGAACACACGATGTTTGGTTTTCCATTCCTGAGTTACTTCACTTAGAATAATAGTCTCCAGTCTCATCCAGGTCACTGCAAATGCTATTAATTCATTCCTTTTTTATGGCTGTGTAGTATTCCATTGTGTGGAATGGAATACCACAGTTTCTTTACCCACTTGTTGATTAATGGACATTTGGGCTGGTTCCAGGATTTTGCAGTTGTGAATGGTGCTGCTACAAATGTGTGTGCAGTACCTTTTTCTAATAATGACTTCTTTTCCTCTGGGTAGATACCTAGTAGTGGGATTGCTGGATCAAGTGGTAGTTCTACTTTTAGTTCTCGAAGGAATCTCCACACTGTTTTCCGTAGCGGCTGTACGAGTTTACATTCCCACGAGCAGTATAGAAGCATTCTCAGTTCACCACATCCACCCCAACATCTACAGTCTTTTGATTTTTTTTTTTTTTTGATTATGGCCATTCTTGCAGGAATGAGGTGATATCGCATTGTGGTTTTGATTCAGATTTCTCTGATCATTAGTGATGTTGAGCAGTTTTTCATATGTTTGTTGGCCATTTGTATATCTTCTTTTGAGAATTGTCTATTCATGTCCTTAGCCCATGTTTTGATGGGATTGTTGGCTTTTTTCTTACCGATTTGTTTGAATTCATTATAGATTCTGGATATTAGTCCTTTGTCGGATGTATAGATTGTATAGATTGTTGGATGTATAGATGTATAGTGGGGAAGATTTTCTCCTACTCTGTGGGTTCTCTTTACTCTGCTGACTGTTCCTTTTGCTGTGCAAAAGCTTTTTAGTTTAATTAGGTCCCAGCGATTTATCTTTGTTTTTTTTTTTGCATTTGCTTTTGGGTTCTTGGTCATGAAATCCTTCCCTAAGCCAATTTCCAGAAGGGTTTTTCCAATGTTATCTTCCAGAATTTGTATAGTTTCAGGTCTTAGGTTTAAGTCCTTAATCCATTTTGAGTTGATTTTTCTATAAGGTGAGAGATAAGGATCCAGTTTCATTCTTCCACCTGTGGCTAGCCAGTTATCCCAGCACCATTTGTTGAAAAGGCTGTCCTTTCCCCACTTTATGTTTTTGTTTGCTCTGTCAAAGATCAGTTGGCTGTAAATATTTGGGTTTATTTCTAGGTTCTCTATTCTGTTCCATTGATCTATGTACCAGTATCACACTGTTTTGGTGACTATGACCTTATAGTATAGTATAGTTTGAAATCAGGTAGTGTGATGCCTCCAGATTTGTTCTTTTTGCTTAGTCTTGCTTTGGCTATGTGGGCTGTTTCTTGGTTCCACATGAATTTTAGAATTGTGTTTTCTAATTCTGTGAAGAATGATGGTGGTATTTTGATGGGGATTGCATTGAATTTGTAGATTGCTTTTGGTAGTATGGTCATTTTCACAATATTGATTCTACCCATCCATGAGCATGGGATGTGTTTCCATTTGTTCATGTTGTCTATGATTTCTTTCAGCAGTGTTTTGTAGTTTTCTTTGTAGAGGTCTTTTGACTCCTTGGTTAGGTATATTCTTGAGTTTCTTTTCTTCTTCTTCTTCTTCTTCTTTTTTTTTTTTGCAGCTATTGCAAAAGGGTTTCGGTTCTTGATTTGATTGTCTGCTTGGTTGCTGTTGGTGTATAGAAGAGCTACTGATTTGTGTACATTAATCTTGTACCCAGAAACTTTGCTGAATTCTTTTATCAGTTTTAGGAACTTTCTGGAGGAGTCCTTAGGGTTCTCAAAGTGAACAATCATATCGTCAACAAACGGTGACAGTTTGACTTCCTGTTTATGGATTTGGATGCTCTTTCTTTCTTTCTCTTATCTAATTGCTGTGGCTAGGACTTCCAGTACTATGTTGAAGAGTAGTGGTGAGAGTGGACATCCTTGTCTTGTTCCAATTCTCAGAGGGAATGATTTCAACTTTTTCCCATTCAGTATTATGTTGACTGTAGGTTTGTCATAGATGGCTTTTATTACATTAAGCTATGTCCTTTATATGCCAATTTTGCAGAGAGTTTTAATCATAAAGCGATGCTGGATTTTGTTGAATGCTTTTTCTGCATCTATTGAAATGATCATGTGATTTTTGTTTTTAATTCTGTTTATGTGGTATATCACATTTATTGACTTGCATATGTTAAACCATCCCTGCCTCCCTGGCATGAAACCCACTTGATCATGGTGAATTATCTTTTTGATATGTTGCTGGATTCAGTTAGCTAGTACTTTGTTAAGGATTTTAGCATCTGTGTTCGTCAAGGATATCAGTCTGTAGTTTTCTTTTCTGGTTATGTCCTTGCCTGGTTTTGGTATTAGGGTGATGCTAGCTTCATAGAATGAATTAGGGAGAGCTCCTTCTTTCTCTATCTTGTGGAATAGTGTCAAAATGATTGCTACCATTTGACTGACTTTGAATGGCTGCTAGAATTTTGCTGTGAATCCACCTGGTCCTGGATATTTTTTTGGTTGGTAATTTTTAGATTAGCATTTCAATCTTGCTGCTTGTTATTGGTCTGTTCAGTGTATCTAATTCTTCTTAATTTAAGCTAGGAGGGTTGTATTTTTCCAGGAATTTACCCATCTCTTCTAGATTTTCTAGTTTATGTGCATAAAAGTGTTCACAGTAGCCTTGAATGACCTTTTGTATTTCAGTGGTGTCAATTGTAATATCTCTGTTTCATTTCTTAGTGAGGTTATTTGGATTTTCTCTCTTCATTTCTTCATTAATCTTGCCAATGGTCTATTGATTTTATTTATCTTTTCAAAGAACCAGCTTTTTGTTTCATTTATCTTTTGTATTTTGTTTGTTTGTTTGTTTCAATTTCATTTAGCTCTGATCTAACCTTGATTATTTCCTTTCTTCTGCTGGGTTTGGGTTTGGTTTGTTCTTGCTTCTCTAGTTCCTTGAGGCGTGACCTTAGAGTGTCAGTTTGTGTTCTTTCAGTCTTTTTGATGTAGGTGTTTAGGGCTATGAACTTTCCTCTTAGCACCGCTTTTGCTGTATCCCAGAGGTTTTGATATGTTGTGTCATTATTGTCATTGAGTTCAGAGAATTTTTTAATTTCTATCTTGATTTCATTTTTGACCCAATGCTCATTTGGGAGCAGGTTATTTAATTTCCATGTATTTGCATGGTTTTGAAGGTTCCCTTTGGAGTTGATTTCCAGCTTTATTCCACTGTGGTCTGAGAGAGTGCTTGATATAATTTCAATTTTCTTAAATTTATTGAGGCTCATTTTAGGCCTATCCTATGGTCTATCTTGGAGAAAGTTCCATGCGCTGTTGAATAGAATGTGTATTCTGCGGTTGTTGGATGAAATGTTCTGTATATATCTATTAAGTCCATTTGTTCCAAGGTATAGTTTAAATCCATTGTTTCTTTGTTGACTTTCTGTCTTGGTGGCCTGTCTAGTGCTGTCAGTGGAGTACTGAAGTCTCCCACTATTATTGTGTTGCTGTCTATCTCATTTCTTAGGTCTATTAGCAATCGTTTTATAAATGTGAGAGTTCCAGTGTTAGGTGCATATATGTTCAGGATTGTGATATTTTCCTGTTGGACAAGGCCTTTTAGCATTATATAATGTCCCTCTTTGTCTCTTTCAACTGCTGTTGCTTTGAAGTTTGTTTTGTCTGATATAAGAATAGCTACCCCGTTCACTTTTGGTGTCCATTTGCCTGAAATTCATTTTTTCACCCCTTTACTTTATGTGAGTCCTTATGTGCTAGGTGAGTCTCCTGAAGGCAGCAAATGGTTGGTGAGTTCTTATCCATTCTGTGGTTCTGTATATTTTAAGTGGAGCGTTTAGGCCATTTACATTCAATGTTAGTATCAAAATGTGAGGTACTGTTGCATTCATCATGCTCTTTGTTGCCTGTGTACTTTTGTTTATTTGGTTTTTTGTTTTTGCTTTTTAACTTGTGTTTTTGTTTTGCAGGTCCTGTGTGATTTATGCTTTAAAGAGGTTCTGTTTTGATGTGTTTCCAGGATTTGTTTCAAGACTTAGAGCTCCTTTTAGCAGTTCTTGTAGTGGTGGCTTGTTAATGGTGAATTCTCTCGGCATTTGTTTATCTGAAAAAGACTGTATCTTTCCTTCATACCTGACGCTTAGTTTTGCTGGATACAAAATTCTTGTCTGACAATTGTTTTGTTTGAGGAGGCAGAAGATAGGGCCCCAATCCCTTCTAGCTTGTAGGGTTTCTGCTGAGAACTCTGCCGTTAACCTGATAGGTTTTCCTTTATAGCTTACCTGGTGCTTCTGCTTCACAGATCTTAAGATTCTTTCCTTCATCTTAATTTGGATAACCTGATGACAATGTGCCTAGGTGAAGATCTTTTTGTGATGAATTTCCAGGATGTTCTTTTTTTCCTTCTTGTATTTGGATGTCTAGGTCTCTAGCAAGGCCAGGAAAGTTTTCCTTGATTATTCCCCCAAACACGTTTTCCAAGCTTTTAGAATTCTCTTCTTCTTCAGGAACACCAATTATTCTTAGGTTTGGTTGTTTAACATAATCTCAGACTTCTTGGAGGCTTTGTTCATATTTTTGTATTATTTCTTCTTTGTCTTTGTTGGATTGGGTTAATTCCAAGACCTTGTTTTTTTATATTACCAGGGTTGGTTTTCTGGTTCCTTCTCATTTGAGTAGGCTCTGTCAGAGGGAAGGTTTAGAGCTGAAGGCTGTTGTTCAGATTCTTTTGTCCCACAGGGGTGTTCCCTTGATGTAGTACTCTCCCCCTTTTCCTATGGATGTGGCTTCCAGAGAGCAGAACTGCAGTGATTATTGTCTCTCTTCTGGGTCTAGCTACCCAGCAAGTCTACCTGGCTATGGGCTGGTACCAGGGGTTGTCTGCAGAGTCCTGTGATATGAACGATCTATGGGTCACTCAGCTGTGGACACCAGTGCCTGTTCCAGTGGAGGTGGCCGGGGTTTGGGGGTAGGGGGTGGTGGGGAATGGTGTGCAATGGACTCTGTGAGGGTTCTTAGCTTTGGTGGTTTAATGCACTATTTTTGTCCTGGTTGGCCTCCTGCCAAGAGGTGGCGCTTTCCAGAGGGCATCAGCTGTGGTAGTATGGGGAGGAACCGACAGTGGGTTGGGCCCTAGAACTCCCAAGATTATATGTCCTTTGTCTTCTGCTACCAGGGTGGGTAGGAAAGGACCATGAGGTGGGGGCCGGGCTAGGTGTGTCTGAGCTCAGTTTCTTCTTGGGCACATCTTGCTGCAGCTGCTGTGAGGGCCAGGGGTGAGGTTCCCAGGTCACTGGGGTTGTGTAGCTAGGAGGATTATGGCTGCCTCTGCTGAGTCATGCAGGTTGTCAGAGAAGTGGGGAAAGCCAGCAGTCACAGGCCTCACCCAGCTCCCATGCAAACTGAAGGGCCGGTCTTGCTCCCACTGTGCCTCCCACACACAGCAGCCCCCCAGACCGTTTCTAGGCGGACAGCGATACAGCCTTGAAAACCTTCCCCAGACTATCCGTCTCCCAGGCGCGAAAGAAAAAGGCTTAGTTCTTTCCCCGCCTGTGGAGTCTGCACATTGGATTTGTGCCCTCCCAAATCCTGTTCTGGCCAGGAGGCTTCTCACCCTGTTCAAATTGTTACAAAGTTCAGCGAGAGATTTCCTTCTCCCTGTGTAGTTTCACTCCCTGTTCCTCTCCCGCTGGATCCCTGTGGTGCCAGGCAGGAATGGCGTGCGAGGCGACCCAGCCAGCTCCCAGGGCCTTTCTGCTGCTTCCTCTACTTATGTATTTCACTCAGCTCTCCAAACTGACTCAGCTCCAGGTAAAGTCAGAAACTTCTCCTGCAAACAGACCTTCAGCTTCTTTGGTGGGGACGTGTGTTTGGGAGAGGAAGGTCTCCCTTTCCCAATTCTGCAGTTGGGGCACTCACAGTTATGGGGGGAATCTTCCAGGTCCTGCAGGAGCAGTCTGCTCCCTTCAGAGGGTCTGTGGGTCCTCTTGGGGTTGCTGGTTTGTTCTTGCAGTTGATCTGGAGCTAAAATTCACAGTGCAAGCCCTCACCCGCTGCTCTGTCCAGAGCTGCAATCCAGTCCTGCCTCCTGCCCACCATGATACCCTGCCAGGTCCCCTATACTATATATTTAATCAAAGTTACAAAGACACTAAATGGAGGCAAACATCTCCAAAAGCCAATATTATATAAATTAATAACTATAAAATATAGTTTTAAAATGTTGTTCGTGTTTTTCATGGGATAGTTATTGCTGAAGCTTGTGGTGTGGAAGTTCTTACCTTTTGTTTCACTCTAAAATCTCCTGATTTTAGATTTGGCTTTCCTTATGCACAAGATCTTAAAATGTTTATTAACTTATTTATGTTTAAGACTTATATATGTCGTTTTTGAAATATAACAAATCTGTGTACTTTTATTATAAAGAAGCATTATAAAGGGCACACCATACTTCGGGTAGAAGCTTCTCTATATGGTACCGGAAAGATGGGTACAAAATTAACATCACAAATGTGTCACAGGAATGTTTGAATATATCTAAGCTTAAATATCATAAAGATTTGAAATGATTAAATTATTCTTAAATTGGAATGTTTGACACAATCAACACTTTCAATCGTTACATATCAACTATGCATTTGAATTCTTTTCCCTCAGTGTCCAAAACAAAGTACGTAGACATATTTCATTTAGTCTTCAAGGGAGTGCAGGACTCTGAAAAACCCATAGAAGATTCAGAAGAAGTACAGTGATGAAAAAGATAAAGAGCAGGATTTCAGAGAAAAACAAGAGGGTCTTAATTATTCAGAGAGAAGAAAGAGAAAGACAAAAAGAGGAATGAACTCTTTTGTTGTTTATAGTTTCAAAAAAAGGTGATCTCTCTATACTGTCTCCATGGGGATGTTAGGTTTGTTACTAGGAAAAATTGTGTGTGTGTTTGTGTGTGTTCATATATGGACGTGTTTGTCTGTGTCTGTGGGGTGTGAAGAATGCAGTCTTTCTTCTGTTGATCATATAATCCTCCTTGAAATTATGGATATGGACCAATTTACCATTAAAACTTTTCTCTGACCCTTATGGTAAAGAGAAAAGTGTGACATGGAAGGCGCTGTAAAATGTCCTTTGACAGAAGCCTGAGTGAAACGTATTCAGAACTGGGCTGGCAATGTAGACTGAAGCTATCTTCCTCGCCTGGCTCTACTGCTAGAATTTTAAGAGAAAGGCAATATCCTCATCAGCACCAAGACAAAGTGAAAATCATATAACATTGTCATGTTCTGTTTTGTCATTTAATGTAAAATAAAACACCTAAAATTAAAAACCCATATGTTCCTATGCAGCAATAGTTTATTTGTAGAAAGAAACCTTGGCTATGTTCTAATACATTTGGAAAACTGTAAATCAGGGGGAATGATCGAAATCGTGGCATGGTTGATCCTGCTTCCACAGTGGTGCTTAGTCATCATTGTTCCGGAAAACAATGTGTTTGGCCTTTGATTGTTTTAGATCTTTTCCTTTTATTTCCTGAGAAATAGATGTATTGATATTGAAGCCAGCTAGTTGAATGATCTGTTTCTGGGCCAAAGGAAATGCAAAAGATTAAGTGCTGAAAGGTAGCTGTTGGGAAATTCAGAAGGTGAATTTTGCTTTTCTGTCAGTTGGCTGATACCAAGCTCACTTGATAATAAGAGCTCTTTAGAGGAACATAAATGTCAGTTTTGCGTCAGCTTGTAACCTGAGGAAAAGTGTGAAAGGGTAGCGCACCCCTTCCCTCAATTTAAACTTTGTAAAGGGGCTTTTGACTGACTCCCCTTGGTTTGTGGTTTCTGGATCTAGTATTCCAGACCATTGAATGTTTTTTTGTGGGTGTTCAGGCCAAAAGAGACTTATCTGTAGACTCACACCCCCACCCTGTGGTTCTGGCCAACCAATGACGCTGGGTCAGAATGAGTCTCTTAATGGTAACATTTAGCCTATTTCAACACACTTTTCTTAAAGCAGCGCGTTCAGCTTGTACTTGAACAGGGGCTTTATTACTTAAGTTTTTTTAAGAAAAATAATAATATTTATTTCTAAATCTGATAACTCATCTAAATTATTCTGCAATTATCATGGAAAAGTAGAAATAAGTAGTCACACTTTAAACAACAAAGTTGCACTCATGGGCATCAAGTATTAAAACATTTGTTCAAATGAGAAATAATTCAGATTTAATTTTGAATTCTTAACTTTTATGTTTTTACTGAGGATACGGATCAAAATAATAAATATAGAAATTAAAGCTAGTATACTGAAGATATAGTAAACTAAGATAGTTAAAGGAGGAAAAATAATATAATTTGTAGAATAATGTTGTAAACCTTAAATTCAGTTTTCGTTAATAATTTTGAATCTTCTTTTAGAATCATTAATTAATTCCAAATACCTTAGCCTATGACTGCATTTTAAATTATTGGGGTTCAAATTAAAATGTATGGCAGTTTAATATTCTATTACCTTTCATTTAGAGGGAAGTCCTTTTAGAAGCTAACAGATTACACTGTAATTAAATTTTTAGAGCTAATCAATTAATCCCCTTAGCCGCCATTTGCTTAGTTTACCTGTTGAACTCAGTTATATCACTTTTATTGAGGGAGCTAGGAATTTCTCCTCCATTGTTCTGGCTCATATCTGGAAGTAAAGAACCTTATTTTTTCTGATGAAGTCTTAACATTCCTAAAATGATTTCCTTTTCCATAAATCTCCCATAGCTCCAAGCCATCAATCACTAAGACCCTTGTCTTATGATAACCACAAGCAAGGTAATATTAATAAAACTGATATTGTAGGGAACAGGCTAGAAAGAAAGGCTGACGTGTTCAATAAGAATCTGTTATACTCTGTACCACAATAGCAACCTTTGTTTTTGTTTAAATTATATTTTAAATCCTTGTGAATACAGGCAAAAGCAAATCCTAAATAAGTAGTAACACATAGTGTTCAATTTCTGCTCCTTTTTCTTTTCTTTCCTTCTGTTACCTCTTGGTCATTTCACTCCTCGTTACCACCTTTGATTGAACCTCAACTTATGGAAAAGGGTGGAAGAGTGAAGTTCACTAGGCTCTCCTGCTCCTGCTGATGTAGCCCAGAAAGGAAAAAGTGAAGGGCAGGGAGTTGTAGCAGGGTGACAAGAAGGTTTCAGAGCCTATAGAGAGGCAGTGTATCTTTGAATGCTTTCTTCCCAATGTGCCTTGATAACTAAGAAATAGGTTATGCTCAAATAAGCACATGCACATAATGCTTTTATTTTGAGGGGTAAGTAAAAAGCTTTCAATGTTTGTTTGTTAATAATTAATGGTTCATGGGAGAAGTGACCTAGCATTGCCATGGTTTGAATGTGTCCTCTCCAAAATTCAGGTGTTGCTAACTTGAATATTAAGAGGTGGGGTTTTTAAGAGATAATTGGGCCATGAGGGGTCCTCCCTGGTAAATGGGATTAAGATCCTCATCAGAGAGGCTTCACCCAGCATTCAGCCAGCTTGCCCTTCTGCTCATTCACCACGTGAGGACACAGTGCCTCTTCCCTGCAGAGAATGCAGTATCAAAGCAATGCAGGATCAAGGTGCCATCTTGGAAGCAGAGAGCACCTCTCCCTGTACAACTGAACCTGCTAGAAGTTTGCCCTTGGACTTTCCAGCCCATAGAACTGTGATACATACATTTCTGTTATTTATAAATTACACAACCTGTGGCGTTTGATTATGACAGCAAAAGAGAGAGTGAGACCAGCACCTATAGCATGCCTATATAGAATTCCCATATTTATCATCAAATTTGTATAGGCTTCCCTGTTCCATATCCATAATGCTCCCTATTATTCTATGATAAGGAGATTGCCATCATTCCCTAGAGTTCACTTCCCTGGTTATAAACCTTAATATTTAGGTCATCCTTGACACTTTTCTTCTTTTCTCTCCCCTTGCCCATTCTCTACTATACTGAATCCATAATCAAGACCTACTGGTTTCTACCTTCTAATATCTCTTACAGATATCTACTTCTTCTCCAATCCCTTTCCTTAGGCTAAGCTGGAATCTGTCTTCTAAGTGACCAACACGTCTCCTAGGTCCATTTTACCATCTGGATTGTCAAATCTATGAAAATAGAAACCAAAGTTGTTTTTGATTCCTCTCTGAATCCCCGGAAACTTCCACAGGACCTGGCATGTAGAAAGGGGAACAAGGTGTCAGTATGTATTGCCAATAATTTTTTTTAAAGTAACTAGAGAAGATGATTATACCTTTAACTTTTAAATTTCTTTACCTACTAACACACACACACACACACACACACACACACACACACACACATTTTTCTACAGACATACCATGTGGCATGTAGCTAATAACTGCTGTAGACAGGTCTTGAGATCACAGGTCTTGAGATCACAGTCAACATACATTTCTTGAGATCTAATAGAAAATGTCCTCTTCCTCTTACATGCTTTACACAAAAACTATTAAACAGCCCTGAAATGACCTGAAACAGGAAGCTTTGGTTCTAGCTACCTGTTTGTAGACTGTATAGTGGGTGGTTAGTGCCCAGCACAGTGCTTTAGGATGGTTAATGCCAGTGCAATCTGATAGTATGTTTACCACTTACTAGGTATGCAACCCTAGGCAAATCACTTCATCTTCCTGAAATTTGGTTATTTCTATTGTAAAATTAGAATAAAAATACATAACTTCCAAGGTTTTGTGAGGGTTCAAGACAATATTAATGAAGTGCCCACCACAGTGCCTAGCACATAGAGATGCCTAAAACATTTTAGTTGGACTTTTCAAGTGACAATCTCTTTAAGTTACTAAATGACTTGTGCTCATCTTTCTGGCAAAAAGAGGTGTTGTGATTATGGGACATTTTTATGCTTCCAAAGGCCATTTACAACTATTCAAGAATCTGCTTAAATATAATGGAGAAATTGGCAGGACCGCTATTATTACTCTCGATTTTTCTAAAAATAAAGAACTAGAGACCCAAAGAGTTGCACGAATTTCACAAGGTCATAGAGTGAGTTAGTAACTAAACTTGAAAATGGCCTTAGCCTTTGGGATTTCTCATCTGTTTTTGTCCCTGGTCCCCCAGTAACAAGAGTTTAATTCATTCCAAAGATGTTTGAACTGTGGGTATAAATGTTTCAATGTACCGAGGCTTTTTGGAACTGTCAATGTTAAGCATATTTTAAGATACAATAAGTATTCTGCAATTTCACTACCTGCTTAGCCTAGCCTTTCTATTTAAGGCTGTATTTGGTCCCACATTCATTTACTCATTAAAAGTTATAGAAACAAAACTATGTGTGAGGCACCATGAAGAGATGCAAAGGCGTCCCGCTGTCAAGTGCCCTGCCTTCATTGATTCCTTATAGTCTAAGAATAAATCTGCTAAGATGACCAGCAGCCAACTGAGGGAAAAGACCACCATTGGAGGTTTTCCTTCCAGTAGAATCATCAACCCCCTGGAGATGGGAGATCAGCCTAAAGACACTAAAGACATAGCAATCCACCTTTCAACAATTACTTAATCCTATTCCAGCAAATCACCAAATGGAGTGATCTTTTATAAAAGAAAAAAGGAAAAGAAAGGCTAGATAGAAATGAGATCCAGAAAATATTTCTAGGTGGTAGCATGCTGAAGTCCAGATGGAAATTTAGCATTAATTTGGCTAACACTATTTCAGTCACAGCACATTTTCAACTATTTATTTTTGTACTGAGCCTCTCCTAGTAAGGTGGGTATCAAATGGAAATTTTTTTCTAAGGTGGCATTTCAAATAATAACAATAATAATAAAATCCTGGATCAGGAACACTTTTTCCATTAGATGCACAAGGAAGCAAAGCAGGAAGCTTGAATGGTCCTATATTTTTTGGCTAATTGAATCTGTTCATGTAAATGACATCTCTCCATTTCTTCCTTTAAAACTTTTGTTTTTCTATCCTTTTAAATGATTGGCTCCAACTTTGAGATGCTTGTTTCTTTAGTGTTGATACCCAAAAATGAATGCAGTCCTCTAATTTATACCATGGGGGAAAGGAGAGCTGGAGTATGAGAGGTGGATTTTATCCGTCCCATGGTTACATATAGAAAATTGATTTTCCAACCATACCAAATGATAAAGTCCATCTTTGATATATTCCTGTCTCACTGCTTTCCAGGTCTTAAGGCATCCGATCTCAGGTCAGCTCCCCTTGGAGTGTAATTCAGAACACAGTCCCTTCCCTTTAGAGGTCTCATGCCACAGGGCATGGGTATGTTTTCTTTGGCTAGGACAGACCTTATGAAAGAAATTATTCTGCTGCCTAACTGACAGAGTTGGGCATGGGGTACAGAGGAATGGAGCCTCTCCCAGTGGCCCTTTGCCTGGAATTTGTCCTAAAAGCATGAAACTAAGCAGGATTTGTAGCAGACAGATGTGGATAATATATGCACTACCTTTCCATTCTGGTGTCTGTTTGCATGAGAATGGTAAACTGCAGGATTTTAAATGTGGCCCTAGGTAATGGTGAAGTTGTGAACTCTTGGAGAGACCTGGTCCCAGGTTTGATTGGAAAATTTATTATGGATGAATCTTCTGGCCAAAGAAACAAACAAAAAAACCTCCAAAAAACAGACAAACAAAAAACTCTCATAGTGCCAGATCTGCTGGGGCAAGCTTTCTGAAGATAATAAGCTAAAGATGTTTAGTAGACCATGAAAAGTATGTATGTTATAAGCAGACAGCAGTCAAATTTGGTGGCTGGTCAACACCGCTTGCTCTAAAACTACCTAAAAACTGGGGCTACTCAGCAGGCCAATGGTGTTTATTCAAATACCTCTTATTACCTGGGCCAACATCTTAACCTAGAATTATTGAAGGGTCCAAGAGTTTGTTTCTTTGGTTCTTTTTTGCTTGTTTCTTTTGGATGAGTTTCCAGGAACAATTACAGTGAAACTATTGTTGTGTAGTGAAAAGAACCCCTTCTTGGGTCATATGAGTTCTAGTCTGGCTCTGCCATTTTAATTGTAAGCAAATTGTTATCTTACGTATAAAGTGAGAGAGATGATTTACATGACCTCCAGCTTACCTTTTCACTCTAAAACATTATAGCATTAGTGCCACCAGACTTATCATGGTGAGTCAAATGTAAAAGGTGAGTGTCTAAAATCAGCAGTCTGTACCTCCATTGCCTGAAGTCTAGTGGTTTGTGGGAAATATATATTATTGATTATAAGACATTCATTAATTTTTTTGGAATTTAAATTGGAGGTAAAACCTGGGAATTGAGATGACCTCTTTCTTGCTCTCTGACTAGCGCATTTCTTCTAAACCAAGAGCTGAACTTCCCATTTGTACATGGCAGCCAGCTTAGGTCTCAGCTTAGAGCAGGAATTGGCAAATTATGACCCTCAGGCCACATATAGCCTGCAACCACCTGTTTTTGTAAGACCGAAAGCTAAGAATGGTCTCCTCCATATATGTTTTTCTCTATATTTTTAAATAGGTGAAAAAGTATCAAAACAAGAATAATATTGTACAACATGAAACATACATGAAATTCAAATCTCAGTGTCCTTGAATAAAGTTTTATTGGAACCCAGCCACACTCATTTGTTTACTATTATCTATGGATGTTTTCATACCACCACAACAGAATTGAGTAGTAGCATCAGAGACAGTATAGCTTGCAAAGCTGAAAATTTTTACTGTCTATCTTATTATTAAAAAATATTGCCAACCTCTGGTATGGAGAGAGAGTATGAATTGTCAGAAATACATTAGGAAAGAGAGAAGGAGAAATAATTACTAAGAAAAAAACATAAAAGAGGAAAACAATAATGATCACTAAATTGTAATTTCCATAACATTAGCCATATTTGTTTATGTATAATATTACTAACATTTTGAAAATATAGGAAATATACTATTTTATTATTCCTAGGCCTAAAGAAAGTTATGAAGGAGTAAGATAAGTAAGATATTCTCTATTTTACTGAAAGATAGTGAGGCCCAGAAAAGTTCAACGTGAATCACACAGCTAGTTAGCCCTCAGAGCCAAGACTATATAATCCAGATTCCTGAAGATTTATTCCAGTAGGCCTGATCTATACAACACACAACAGAAGAGGACTGGGGTGAGAGGGAAAGGTCATTCTGGGAAAACTGAATCAAAGCCTTACTAAAAGACTGAATTGTCACTCTTTCTACAGAATACACTTAAAACCTCAGGTTGACCATATCATCCCATATGTTGGTTCTATTAAAGGTGACACACACACACAAATATATGTGTAAAACATTTATGTGATTCTAAAAGATTTACCATTATCCAAAAAACCGTTGACATACAAACCATTTAATTTAGACAACACTCTGTTTTCAATACCTACACAGATACTCAGTAATTTGGGCTATATTTTTATATTCTGTATAGTATGAAACAAAAAGGACAATAATGTTCAGATCTCAAGATCTATATCTTTGAACAAATCACCAAATACCAAATTAAAAGTAAAAACTAACTAAATAAGTTATATATCTAGCAAACTACAGTAATGCCAAAAACTGTCATTTCTGATCCCTATGTCTTGTGAGAAAGTAGCCAATAAATGCAGCCGCGGTCTCTCCCACCTCAGCAATCACCATCAACCCCAAATCCAGAGCAGCTGATACGATTTAGTGGCACAGGAAGAGACAAACATGTGGGAAAGCAAACCCTGAAAGTCAATTGGATTATAAAGTGGAGACTTTTGTGATAAAGGGGACTTAGTTTTACAGCTTAGTTGAGCACGAGTGGGGAGAAAAAAGAAAGAAGAAAAATCACTCTGGGTCTCTTTGCTTAAGTTATTTTGCAGATTTATTGAAGCATGCACGTGGTAGAAAATGACTTCCAGAAGTTAGAATTTTAGCTAAGCCACGCTGTGGTGGCTGGCTCTCCTGTGCAAACACGGCCTCATGCTCTGAGCTCTGAGGTAATGTGAGGTAACTGTTTACACTCAGGAGCGCTTGACAATGTTAATTGCAGGATGCCTCTGGCCCAAGCTGGCATGGCACTCCTGGATCCTCCACTCTGATTAGAAATTTGTGAAATATAACACGTCTTGCCAGGTACATTCACGTTTGGGTCAAGCCATTTTTACCAAGTAAAAAGAAGTGGGAAAATATAGTGGAAATGCACACGCATGCACACACACACACACACGAGTAGGTCATATTAGCCAATGCCGGGTCTACGCAAGCCCACTTGATTAGGTATTTTAACTGATCGTGACATTCAAAACGATCGAGCCATTCTTCATGGGAGATGTAGCATTTGGTTGGTTGCTCCTGGCTCTCCACTCTTTCCTGAGGTGAGTGTTTGCCATGGAACATGGAGACTTGCTTATTGATAATTGGGAACACTTTATTAAATGCCAATGTACTGGCGAGGCGAAGCAGCGTCACTAATTTCTTGGCCTCCTAATTTATAGCCAAAAAGTCAACAAACAGATCTGAGCTATGCCTACAAGAATCCAAAACAGCCGGTGAATATTGTTTGATCCACTTCATCAGTTTGATCGAATTCACAGGTGGCTTAGTGAATCTGGGTAGAAATAGCCACAAGCTTAATTCATAGTAAAACAAAGCACGATCAATTTAAGTAATCCACTGAGAAAAATACAGTCAAGCACTTTGTTTGCTGGAAGGTCATGCTAAAGGGAAATCGCTGTTTACAAAATTTCATGCAGCCCTTTTCGGCTCTGTGTGATGCTGGGAATAAAGTCTTCCTCCCCTGGAATGTCTTAGCATTTCATTTAATACTCGTATGTGGGTTAGATACTATCCATGTGTAAGAATTTTGTACTATTTTTTATTCCCTATTAATTTATAATTTTCTTAAAGTAAGGAATGATGGTGCATTTTTGTATTACGTATGGCACAATGTCATCCACAGCCTAGTTTCTCTAGAAATATGTAATAAAAACAAGTTAAAATAATTAATGATGGATAGGCAAAGTCTCTTACATATCTTGGGGCTCTTCTGTTGACAGTAATTCATTCACCTATGCTCGTAGTAGAGATATCCTTTGTTATAAGCGTGGTCCTTGTCATTTCAGGTATACAAATGTAAATGGGACACACTTACCAGCTGCAGATAATTTAGGGGAAACCTATTAGGAGAAGAAACGTTTTTAACAGAATATGGAATAGAGTATATCTTATTAGAGAGGTCCAAACAAAGAAGAGGATTCAAAGAAGAAGCTTTGTCATTTAACTTGTTATTTAATTGCCTCTTCGTCTATTAAATATTTATTTTAGTCAATCACGAAAAACATCAATACATGATAATATTTGTTATCACCTATATAGTGTTTTGTGCTGTAAGCTACTGTCAATACATTACAGGTATTAATTAATTCATTAAATCCTCACAATAAATTGGTGAGGTATGTATTACCATCATCTCTCTATTAGACAGATGAAAAAACCTGGCGAACAGAGAGATGTTAAATAACTTGGGCAGTATCACACAGTACATAATTAGTGGAGCTGGAATTTGATCCCAGGCACTCTGGCTCAAGGGTTGTCCTATTAACCAAAATACTGTGTTAACTTAACCCTTGCTCTTTTGGAGTTTATGATCTAGGGGATGGCAAATATTTCCCATAAAGGGCCAACTAGGAAATATTTTGGCTTTTTTGGCCAGAGGGTCTCTGTTACTACTCCTAACTCTGCTGTTAAAGTAGGACAACCTCCCTAGGTAGTGTGGAACCAAATGGGGCATAGCTGTGTTCTAATAAAACTTAATGTCTAAAAGCAATCAGCTGGTTGAATGGCGCCTACAGGTTGCAGTTTCCTGACCCTAATCTAGAAGGAAAGAAGTATATAAGCAAGTAAACGCAGAAGGAGTTTACTAGTTGCAATAGGTGTGAGGTTGGGAATGGCCTGAGATAAGAAACCATGAGTCTAGCCAGCATGAGAGAGGAGAGAAGCTAGGGCGATAGAGTGTTCAGAGGAGGTCTCTCAGAAGCAATGGCCTTTAAATAGGGTTTAATGGTGAGTGCTCCAAGCAAGCAAAGAGGAGCCAAAGAAACACCATTCTGGATGGAGGGAATAATAAGATAGAGGCCACAGAGAAGAAGTTAGAAAAATATTGGTGAGGCATGTTCTAAGAGTAAATGGTGTGAACAAAAAAGAGAGTGGTGTTGTCTTCCAAAAGGGCCAAGCAAGGCCACAGAGGGCCTTGCACACTGTAGTGAGGATGGATACTCCTAAGGGTTCTGGGAAGCCACCGAGGAATCCAAGTAGGGCTCAAAAACAAGGCAAACTGTAGATGTTCTTAAAGGGATAAAGTAGACTTTGGGCTTAGCCTAGGGGCCTAGGTGGAGTTTTGTTTCAACATTAGCTTATAATTTTATGTATAGAGAAGCTAAGGCAGGATATAATACTTTCCAAAAATTGAAACATAAAATTATACCTGTTGATGTACTCTACTAAACTCTAAAATTTATCTTGTATAATTCTATTTAACTCACCAACAAGAGGATTGCTAGATGCCGGGTGCTGGGCTAAACATTAATGCAAAAATATACATGTCGCGAATAAGAGCTCTGTGTGTACTAGAGTTAAATAAGGGCATAGCCAATACAATGTTCATTACTCCCTAAGGGAGTTCAAATCTCAGCTGCGCAGCCTTAGCATATTATGCCTCAGACAGAACAGGATGATAATAAAATATGTGATTTAGAAAGTGAGGATGACGAAAAAAGATGATGTAGACATTGTGAAGTTCCTAGACTAAAAAATTAATGTTAGCTACTTTCATGAAGAGATAATAATATTTCATAATTATCCTTAAGAAAATATTAGGCATTCACTCTACTAATAAGTACACACACACCTATAATTTAATAAAACTAAAAACAGCAATGCATTGTTTGGTAAGTGACAAAACAAATTCTAAAGATGTTTTAAAGCTACAGGATTTCAAAGAAGGGAGAAACCAAAGAAAGCTTCTACAGTGAGGATCTTTTGAGCCCCTGCCTCCTCTGAGACCAGTGACTGTAAATAGCACGAAAGAGGCCAGTGTAGTTTGAGTTTTAAATTTATATTTTGGGCACTATTTGGAATCCAGCTTCTTTCGGATGTATCCTAAACTCACCAAGATTTTTCAGGCCAAGAAAGGGAATGTGTAACCTAGGATTTGTACATTTGACCATAGGCTGGCAGAACCCATCACAACAGTGTTTAGTATTGGAAAATAATTCAACAGAAGACAAGTTATGCAGATGCTACCCAAACCAACATCATCTATCATTATAACAAAAGAGTCTTAGAGTATAAATGTAATATCATATACAATTTTAGGAAGTAAGATATGGGGAAAAGGCTTAATATTTAGTAATAGATGGTAAATTCTGTAGCATAATTAAGTTTCTCATAAAATGCCTTATCAGCATTTCATCTTATACATAAAATTATAATACCAAAGTAGAATGATATTGCAAACACACATATAGAGATCATTGGAAGAGGAATTTTCTCTCTTGAGAGCTTCATAGCATAGAATAATCTGAGGAACAATAGCATGTAGATATAGTGAAATAAACTGCAAGAATGACAAAAAAATGAGACCTCAGTGGTATAAAATGAAATAAGAGCGATCAAGTTAAATTCATTTTGTTTTTAATGTGTACTTTGAGAGTGGCACAGATTACAAAATAGAAACTTGAGAGTAATTTTTGTGGAGTATGTGTTTTGAATCCCATGTAATAAATACATAAAGAAAATTGCTGCGAGTTGTGGAAATTATTTTCTTCATTTCAACCAGGAGCTTTGTTCTTTAAAATGATAATGTGGTGTCAAAAGTTTGATTGCAAAATGGCTGTGCTCTGGGGGCAGCTTCTGTGCTGCCTTTGCGGTTTCTGCTGATACAAATTTGATATTTTACAAATGCAGAATATGAAATATATTCCTAACATGTGTTTCATACACTTATAATACACCAAAATGTAAAACAGCATATGCTTGGGACATTTCTTGGCTGTGTGCTTAATGCACTATATCTGGAACCTGTTAAATGTTATTATAGAAATAATTGAAACATTTCGCACAGTTTCATGCAGTGAATTTTGCATGTTAAACTCATACTCCTTTCTTCAGTTATAGAGGACTTTACATGACTGATACACAAATGTTTCTATTAGAATCAGGAACACGGATATGGTATTTCTTTTTAGGAACCAGTGTTAGGTAAACTTTGGCAGTATTTCAGACTTAATTTTGCCAACAACCACCTATCACTGAATAGATTCATGAAGAGAGGTTTTTCTACAAATGAATTATATTGAAAATAAAGATAGACACGATTTCTACTTTCACAATTTAAAAATGACATCCCTTATTCCTCTTAAATTCGTTTTTCTCCTTCTATTTCTTTGCTGAATGTTCTTTGTTTATCCTAGTATCACATCAGTATTTTCTCAGTGATAAGTTGTAATATTTAATCATTCAGATATAACTCCTGCTTTAATTTTTTGTGCCGAGTGTAATCAGTTTCTAGTACGATTTCTGGCTTCAATGTAAACAAATTGGAAGCTTGTAATTCCTGTGGAGAATTCAGAAATGAATGGCTTGAGAGTTGATTCCTTTCTCTCTTTTTAATCCAAAATTACATTGAGTGCCCGATTAGGTTGCTGGCAGCTATGGAAAGATTTAGAAAGTCTGAAGTGATTCAATAATAGCTTTAAATTACTATTCATTATTATTACTGTTTTGAGACAGGGTCTCACTCTGTCGCCCACGCTGTAGTGCAGTGGCACGATCATGGCTCACGGGAGCTTCAACCTCCCCAGGCTCAGATGATTCTCCCCACTCACCCCCTCAGCTTCTGGAGTAGCTGGGACTGCAGGTGCACACCAACATGCCCGGCTAAATTTTATATATTTTTGAAGAGACAGTTTCACCATGTTACCCAGGCTGGTCTTGAACTCCTGGGCTCAAGCAATCTGCCTCAGCCTCCCAAAATGCTGGGATTACAGGCTTGAGCCACTGCACCCTGCCCAATATTAATTTTTTATTTCTGACAACTGAATGCCACTATTATTTCTAGATCATTTAGAAACTATGTAAAACATGTTTTATCTGTCATTCTCACGACAAACGGCACCATTTATTTTACTGAGTACCAATTGTTACCGCCAAAGTACAGTATGAGCCTATATGTACATTTCATTGATAGTGGGCCTCTCCACTTCGGTGGTTCTCCAGGTGCGGTCCCCAGACCACCATCAATATCATCACTTGGGAACTTCCTAGAAATGCAAACTGACAGGCTCCCCTGGAGATCTACTGAAATGGAAACTGGGGATGAGGCTTGGTAGTCTTTGCTTTACCAGGCCCTCCAGATGATCCAGAAGCATGTTCAAGTTTGAAAAGCACTGCTCTAGAAGGATGGATCCATTTCATCAAGCACTGAGATGATGAGTGTCAACATCCTGCTAGAATCCTCTGTCCAATTACAGGTCTATGACAGGTTGGAGGGAAAACATTTACATTAAAGTCAAATAGATCTACTAGAGATAGAATAGACAAAAGTTAACCAGTCTCAGATTCTGGGAGAAATATTCTTCTTGCTTTCCCTTTCCCTTGTCTGCATCCCGTATTTCCTCTGCCAAAACACACTCCCATAAGCGCATGCATGCACACACACACGCACAAACACACACACACTTACCTACCCCTAAAAAAAAAGATAACTTGCCCATTCCCCACTTTCATTTAAGTAAAGATTTTACATAAGATGATCAAGTATCTCAAGAAACAGAAATTTCATTTTCCAGCCAATGTGTGAATATTATCTGGGCCTCACAAAATGTTAGAGAGATTCACAAAAGGTAAGGATCTACTAATTACTTTTTTTTTTTTACCATGTTTAAGACCTAAAAGTAGGAATAATGAATTTCCTCAAACTTAAAATTGGCCAAATAATTAATTTGTGTATTTAAATGTATAGTAGAACTTATGGATTAAAATGATTTGTTTTTATTATTAGACAGTCTGAAGAATAAGGCATTGCATGAACCCACCTAGAGTTGTGCATATACCTATCTGACAGTTGTTAAAGGCAGTATAATGTCGTAGCACATGTGGTTAAGAAAGGTGATTCTGAATCCGAATTTCACCACTTTTTAGTTTTGTGATCTACAGCAAATAACATAGGCTGCTTGATTTTCTCTTTTCTCCACTGCAACATGGAAATAATAAGAAAATCTACTTTATAGCATTGTTAGGCAAAAATAAACAAGATAGTGTTTCTAATGCCTGGCACATAATACTTATTTAATAAATGTTAGCTATCACTAAGCTGAATTTTTACTGACCATCTCTCTTGAGATCACATCCTCATCCTTATTTTATTTCCTTGATTAATGTGCCAAAACATTACTTTGGAAACACACAGCATAAAGTTTCCTTTCCACTGAATTTTCAATAAATTATGAGCTTTCACTGTAATGATATGCATTTACCTTAATTCCTCCCTTTGAAAAAACTCCCTTAACGTTTATATTAATGAGTCTTTTCAGTAGTTATGAGTCTGGACTATGCTCTTCCAAAGAAGTTTCCTCATAAATTAGCATTAATTGATGTCCAGTTTTTGGAAAATGTTAGCACACACTATTTATGGCACGTTCTGTTCGTGTGGAGCCTCTTAATGTGAAAAAAAAAAAAGTTTTCAAAGGAGGTTCAAATGCTGTTTCCTTTGCTTGCAAAATGGTGAAAGCCACGGGCTTTTCGTCTTTGGCAAACTTTCAGCAATATTTCTACTTGAAGAACATGTAAGTGATCTGAAGTCAAGGGCGAATTTGGGATCACTCTCAATGTCGTGTTTTTTTCCACATCCATTTTAAGCCTGCATGAGCCGTGGATGGTGTATCCAAGTGACAAAGACACATCCCTCCAATATTAATAAGAATGCCTTGTATCCAAAATGAAGCAACATTTCAGAAAGGTTGGCATCACTTCTACCAATCCTAGGGTATGATAAAAACACATCAGCACACAAATATATATTTGGTTTTATTCTTCATGGTATGTCTGTACTTGTGTGTAAATGGACTATTTGTACTTTTCTAAGCATTTTAATAGACTAGAAGGGGGAAGAAAGTAAGAATCCATAAAAATAAAGTTGTAGTTTGATTTGATTCTATAGAAAAAAGTTATGTAATACTATAAGCAGAAATCTTCCTAAAAGTTGGAGGCTTTTTCTGAATGTTAAACATCATAGACTAATGGGTATTGGGTAAAGGTTGGTACAGATATGTTAGAAAGCTGATCCTGAAAGATACATGCAGTGGGTCATTAGGATCTGACACATAATGAATTCTCAATAATTTGTGTTTGTTATTTTCATTTTTCCTAGTCTTATGTGCTTGGTGATTTTCGTTTTGTGCCCTTTTCAATTTTGTGTATTTGCTGAATTTTTGGTAACAAAGACTTAAGAAGGCTCTTGCTTACAGATGAATTCATTTTTCATTATGAGAAAATATAGAACTAGTCACTTATCCTAATACAATCAACCACATAAATGTCAATCTATATTGGATTTTCTTGGGAGAAAATCAAGTTCAGCTGAAAGTATTTCCATAAAAATCTAGATTGATGTGATAAACATAGAATGTTATTTGTATCAAATATAAACCCTGATCAGATGAAAAAGACAGGTCAAAAGACTTTTTATTTTTAATTTTTATTTATTTATTTATTTTGAGACAGAGTCTTGCTCTGTCGCCCAGGCCAGAGCGCAGTGGCGCGATCTCAGCTCACTGCAACCTCTGCCTCCTGGGTTCAAGCGATTCTCCTGCCCCAGCCTCCTGACTAGCTGGGACTACTTGGGAGGCCGAGGCAGGTGGATCATGAAGTCAGGAGTTCGAGACCAGCCTGGCCAATATGGTGAAACCCTGTCTCTACTAAAAATACAAAAGACTATTTTTAAAGAAGTTCCACTGTAAGCCCAATCTTTGAATAATAAATGAGCCTACAAATAATTTTTTCCTCTAAATAATTTGTATTTTTATTAAGGAGATGACATATACACAGGAAATAAGAGAAAACTAGAAATGCTGTAGAAGAGACTACATAACTTGCTGCTTTGTTGTATTCATAACTACAGAAATTCCAAAGAGATATAAATATTTTTGGCAGTCCACAATTTTTCAGGATTTGAGTCAGACAAGGGGCTGGTCCCAAAAATACATGACCCTTCCCAGAGTGGGTGCTACCAAAAAGATTATCTCAAAGTCAAGGAGGAAAAATAAGCCATATTAACAGTAAGTCAACTATACTAACATAGAGAAAGAAAACAATTTCTGATGTGAAAACAAAGCAATTGGATAGAAGCTTAGATAAGCCAAACCCCCAAAGTGTGGATGGGCCAGAAATAAAAAGCCAGTATGGGCCGGGCATGATGGCTCACACCAGTAATCCCAGCCCTTTGGGAGGCTGAGGTGAGAGGATCACCTGAGGCCAAGAGTTTGAGACCAGCCTGGCCAACATAGCGAAACCCCAACTCTACTAAAATTACAAAAATCAGCCGGGTGTGGTAACACGCACCTGTAGTCCCAGCTACTTGGGAGGCTGAGGCAGGAGAATTACTTGAACCCAGGAGGTGGAGGTTGTAGTGAGCTGAGATCGCACCACTGTACTCCAGCCTGGGTGACAGGGCAAGACTCTGTCTGGAAAAAAAAAAATGCCAATATGAGAAAAACAGAGGCTGGACCGAGGAACAGACATGGTGAGCTGCAATGCGGAATAGGCCTTCCACAGTCTGCCCAGAGCTTAATTAAACAGTTATGTTCAGCCTTGCTGAGAGGATACAGCATTTCTGACATGTTTGTGGAAAAAATACTGTTTATAGGTCAGAATTTGTCAGTATCAAAGACTATAGAGGGTAAAAATGGAAATGTTGCAGACATAAAGATTTAGATTTGGATAGTGGTTCCGTCTCTGTTTACTATTTTGCAACGGATTGGGAAGCCATGCAGAGTTCTGGACCTTCTATGTTCTCATCTGTGAGACAGGATGAGTAACACAAACTTTGTGAAATTCTTCTAAGGGTTGGCAATGATGTATAGTTACCACAAGATCTAACACAAAATATGTGGTTTTTTATCACATTTTCAAAACCTAATTTTTTTAAAAAAGGAGATTCATTTTATTTTAGATTCAGAGGGTACATGTGCATGTTTGTTACATGGGTATATTGCATACTGGTGGTGACTGGGCTTCTAATGTACCCATTATTCAAATATTGAACATTGTATCCAATAGGTAATCAAAATGTTCTTAGTAAATAATGGCTATTTTTATTGTTGTTATTATTATTATTGGCTCAACTTTCTATCCAGTCTTTAAGTCCTCATGATAACATAAACATCATTTTACTTTCTAAGCAGTGCTTGAATAACAACTAGAAACTTTTTTTTTTTTACCGCTAGAAGTCCCCATTCCATCTATTAGAAAAATTTTCTATTAAATTAAAATGTACTCAGGCTACAAATTTTCTGCATTAGTTTAACAATTGGTAAGAAATAAATCTATGGCTGGGCACAGTGACTAATGCCTGTCATCTCAGTACTTTGGGAGGCCGAGGCAGGAGGATCACTTGAGCTCAGGAGTTCAAGGCCAGCCTGGGCTACATAGCGAGACCTTATCTCTACTAAAAACTAAAATAATAATAATTAGCTGGGCATGGTGGTACGCACCTGTATAGTCCCAGCTACTCGGCAGGCTGAGGCAGGAGGATTGCTTGAGCCCAAGAGATGGAGGCTGCAGTGAGCTATGATCGATCCACTGCACTCTAACCTTGGTGACATTGAGGCCCTGTCTCAAAACAAACAAACAATCAACAAACAAAAACCAGAAAGAAATAAACCTAAAGTCTCTTTTGCATAGTAGCATGTCCATACTCTGCTTATACTTTCATGTCTTTGCTTCTGTTTGGCTCTCTTAGCTACATATCACTGTCATCTCATACACAGGGAACTAAGTGGTTGCTCTCTCTCTCTCTCTCTCTCTCTCTCTCTCTCTCTCTCTGAGAGTTTATTCTTCTATCTGATAGAAGTAGTTTTGAAACAAAGTCTTGGTGTGACTTAACCAATCCAGAATAGATATAAGCAATTACTTGTCTTACCTCTGAATAATATCCTTCTAGTAAAAGCCTAAATCACATTAGCTTTCAGACGGCCATATCACAGTATTGATGAAGGCATAGTGTCATCTTAAACCTCTTTCTAGGGGCTAATACATCAATCAATCAATTCTTCCACCATCTAAGATACATCAGTCTAGGGGCTAACATATCAGTCAATCAATTCTTCCATTCATTTGAGAATGGTAAGTTTTGCTTTCCACATATTTTCAGAGTGAAAAGGCACTTTATTGAATCTACATAGATTTAAGAAACTGAGAGATTCCCTCTCCTACTAGGTTGATATAGTCCCAGATTCCCTGACAGTTGATATGTGAGCTGAGTAGTTACATTATTTTGTCTGTTTTTCATTTGGTTCTACCGAGCAGATCTTATTTGCATCATCCAAGCCCCCTCCTGAATCTAGAGAACAAAAAATTCACTACTTAATAAGAGAATGTAGAGACAGGCGGACTTAACGTGTTGTTTACATACTTCTGCTCTTTTAATTTGTTTTCTCCATGTTCCTCTTGTCTTTTATTTTCAGGTTCTATTTTCCTTTTAACCTCTATAACTAGCCAGGTAAGAAACATTTAGTAATTTCAAATTTTAGTAAACTGCATTTCAACAGTAAACAAGCAAAAGTGACCACATTCATGTCATGTTCTAATAAGTATCAGGGTCTGACGTAGATTGGGGTTTTTCCTGACTGCTTTGGGAAGTACTGACGTTCCAGCAGTCAGTCTTTACTAAATTTTTAAACTGATTTTCTAGATGTTCTGCACTCGACATTGAACACGAGGGTCATTGTATTCTCTATTAAATGACACGGTTAAAGCTTGAAGCAGAAATTTTTGACTGTAATCAGGCCTAAAGGAAATAGGGAAATTTATCCCAATGAATTCTATTCTTCTTCATTATCATAAAAGGTAAAGAATGTTGATAAAACATGCACATCTGATTACTCACAATTTATTATTCCTATGCTTAAAGATAGATTTTCTGTTAAAGTAGAAAGATGCAAATCTCTCCTGAAGAGCTTCAGAAAACTTTCATATTAAAAAGGCATTCATCTGCCAATGATGAAATATTTTTCTAGCTGTGATTGTTCTATCAAACAATTGCTAAAAGCAATTAGAAGTAAAACATACAAGTAAAAACAAATAGTTTTTGTCACCAAGGAGAAAGGATATATCCTATATACAGTTCAAGGTAATCATAAGTATTCAATTCATGGTACTAACATTTTCAGGACCCAAATTTCTGATCCTTTTCAGAGATTTATTTCCCATGCCATTTAATAGTCCCATTGCCTGGAATCAAGTTCAATCCACAATGTCTAATCTAACAAAAATGTTAATGTAAAAGAAAAACTAACATTTTCCAAAGTGCTCATAGAAGACAGACTTCAACAATATTTCACTCATATTTATGATTACTTATAAACTTCTGGAAATAGTTTCCTCTGGATTTGATAATTTTCGAAAAATAACTAAACACCGAAAACAGACGAAATTCTGAAAAAGAATTAGGTTAAATTACTCAAGTGTGGGGTTAGAGAAGGAGAAGTAACTGTGGGAATCTGAATCATAAGCTATTTCCAAAGTATGACTTTTTATTTCTTTTAGGAACATAATAGGAACAAGGAGCTGAGAGTGTTACCAAGTAGGAACACTGCTAGATGTGCTTAGATAGGTAGATAAAAAGTAGTTGTAAATAAAATGGTGTACTAGCTACATATAGGTAAATTTAGTTTTAAGAATTCTTGAAAAGTTTTTAAAGTAAGAATCAAATATTTTATTCCATAAAATGTTCTATTGTTACGATGACACACAACCCAATTCAATCCATTTTCACCATATTTTCAAGAGAGTGAAAAACAAGTAAGTTCTCACCAAAAATACGTCTTTTTTTGTTTTGTTTTGTTTCTTGTTTTTTTTTTAGATGGAGTCTCACTCTGCCGCCCAGGATGGAGTGCAGTGGTGCAGTCTTGGCTTACTGCAACCTCCGCCTCCCTGGTTCAAGCAGTTCTCCTGCCTCCACCTCCAAGTAGCTGGCACTACAGGCATGTGCCACCATGACTGGCTAATTTTTTATTTTTTATTTTTTTTTGTATTTTTAGTAGAGACAGGGTGTCACCATGTTAGCCAGGCTGGTCTCTATCTCCTGACCTCAGGTGATCCGCCCTCCTCGGCCTCCCAAAGTGCTGGGATTACAGGTGTGAGCCACCGCTCCCGGCCCTCAAAATACATTTTTATTTGGAAAAGCAAACTTACCAATAGCAGGATGTGCTGAACATACACATTTTATTGAAGGGTGAGCAAATGTGAGTAAACCAGGTCTCATTGAAAGAGCTAAAAGCATGAAAAGAAGCATTTGACATTTGAACTGTGGTCACGTAAGGTGTGATGTACCATAAAATTACTGCCATGTTTCCTGTCGTATCTTCTCCCATCCAGCCTCGTAAATAGAACTCTTTCTTGCAGCATTTCATCTTACATGTGATATTCTATTGACCAATGTTTCTGAGAGTTGTGGTTAAACTCACAGTCTCTGGAAATTCTGGTAGCACCTTGCACAATCCTGGGTAATGTATTTTCTCTGTCTCCTCACCTGTTAAGTATTAACTCATTTAACCCTCACAACTACGAGAATTTTTTCTCATAGAAAATTTTTTTCAAGTTGTGAGGATTAAATGAGTTAATGTTACAAAATTCTTAGAACAATGTGTACCACATATTAAGTCCAAATTATCATTTGCCATGAGGCAAATAACCTAGAACAAGCACCCTCGTAGTCTTCCATTTATCCAATGCTCACTATTTGCAAAGTTCTGTGCTCTGCAAATACTTGTATGGGAGATGCAGAATTTTATACAAACATTTTTATAATTTAAGGTGGTTTTTAATTTAGAAGAGGAGAAATCCTTTCTGCAAATGTCTATAGAAAATGACTATGGGTTTTGTGTTTGGACTTGACAGTCAAAGGTTATTTAATGCAAGACAAGTTTAAGATCACGGAATTTAGTGGGCAAACCACACATATTCTTTGAGCACCTTCCCACTGTCAGGCACTGAGCTGGTTGGTGGCCGATAATGTAAAGATGACATTTTCTCATCTCAAGTTACACTTTGTAAAGCACACAGACCTATAAGCAAATAATTCTACCACAGTGATAAACTAGAATTGAGATATGCACGAGAGAGGATAGAGTGAATTCTTTTGGCAGGGAGGAAAGCATTCAGACAAGGATCAGGAGGTGAAGAGAGTTGACCAGGAACAAATCCAAGGCAGTGATGGGCATGCTAGGTTGGTGACTCTTGCATACCGTGGCCAGGAGGCATGGAAGTCACTGTGGTACACTTTGCACCTGTCAGTAGTAGAACATGACAGACAGAAAATGAAGGGGTACAGAAGACATGGCTGTAAGTAGACATCTCTGTTCAGAATGATTATTTGTAATTCATATTTCAAATTACAGTAGATACGAGAAAATTATTGCGAAAGACTGGTAGAATAATTATACCTGTAAGGCCAGAAGTAAATACAGAAGAATTCACCATTACTGCATACACACTAGGCACTATCATTTGAATGTGTCTTCTCTGATCTTATTCAAATTCAGGCCTTACTGCTTCCTCGAAGATATTGCTTAAAAATAGGAATTCTTACAAATAAAAGTCTTCAAACATTATTCTCTTTTCTGAAGGAAAAGGTCTATGTGATTTTCTTTCAAGCCACTTTATTTTTGGCAATATTTAGAGAAAAGCTCTCCTTTAAAAAATATAAGTTTTCCTTCCTAGAGGCACAATACTCAGACATGAGGAAATATCAGTCAAGAAGACAAAATAAACATGTAATTCATAAGTGCTTTAAGCCAACTAGAATGTATTAAATATTGTAATAAACCCGAGTTCTTGTGTGCCTGTGTGAGAGAGAGACAGAAAGGAGGGGTGAGGGAGAGAGGGAGAGAAAAAAACAGGGTGAGAAAGAGACAAAGAGGAAAAGGAAGAAAAAGAGGGAAGGAGAAAAGGAAGACAGGAAGAAAAGGAAGGAAGGAAGGAAAAAGCAAGCAAGCAAGAAAGAAAGAGAAAGAAAGCAAGAAAGAAAAAGAAAGAAAGAAAAAGAAAGAAAGAAGGAAGGAAGGAGAAAGAAAGAAGGAAAGAAAGAAAGAAGAAAGAAAGAAAGAGAGAGAGAGAGAGAAAGAAAGAAAGAAAGAAAGAAAGAAAGAAAGAAAGAAAGAAAGAAAGAAAGAAAGAAAAAGAGAGAGAAAGTCTACTGAAAGGTTTTGGTCTGTGAAGTGGATTATTGGGAATAGTTAGTCCCATTCTCTCCCAGACCATAGCAGGACAGTGTTAGTCAGCCAACAAATCCCTCAGTGGGTTGAGGGTTGGCAGATGATCATTGCTTTAGGTTTTGCTCTGTGGTCTGACTCAAATCAAACCTATGTTAGCATGCATGTGTCTAGCCATAATGGAATCTACCATTAGTGCTGGTTCCACCCATACCAAATGATATTCAAACATTATCCCCAAATGGAAGACCTGAGATGAGATGGGAAATTGAATAAACTGCAAACCCTTCCTTATTCCAGGCAATTCTAAGTTCAACATGACCATTCCCATTAAAATCAGTCTTATTTGTAAGGTAACTAAGTGCTTAGAAATGTCTTTGGGGATACTTGGTATAATGCAGGTAACCAACCAAACCAAACAAAAACAAAAACCTCTAAAAAGCTATGCCAATAAAACCACAGCCTGCATTCATTTATCTCTTTAGAAAGTAGTTCACTTTCCTCAGAGAAAGGAATTTATTCTAGGACACAGAATGTATCTTGAATCTGAGGAGACAGTTCTGCTTGGCCATAAGAGGGATGGAGATTAATGCCAGTGAACCCTGATACATCCCACAGTTGAGAGATCATGCCTTACAGAGATGGGCAAATGATATAATTTCTGTCTTATGAAGAACCCCACTTTATAAAACTAATAGCATACAGGCAGCAACATAGCTTAGTGGAGAGAGAACAGATTTTGGAATTGATTAGGCACAGGTTTATATTTCAGCTCTGTCATCAGAGCAGTCACCTAATCACATAGACATATTTTACTTTATTTTTTTAGAGACAGTGTCTCATTCTGTTGCCCAGAATGGAGTGCAGTGGTGCTATCATAGCTCACTGTAATCTCGAACTCCCAGACTCAAGCGATCCTCCCAGCCCAGGAGTAGCTGAGGTTACAGGTGTGTGCCACCACGTCTGGCTAATTTTTCTATTGTTTGTAGAGATGGGGTCCCACCATGTCACCCACGCTAGTCTTGAACTCCTAGGCTGAAGCAGTCTTCCTGCCTCGGCCTCCCAAAGTGCTGAGATTACAGGGTGAGTCACCGCATCCTGCTCACAAAGACAGATTTGAAAGACAAAACTTTTATTAAGTGCCTATTAGAGTACTTGGCACATGGCAAACCCCAAATGCTAGTCATTTTTATACAAATCTAAAAAAATGATACAACATCGAAAATAACGATCCTACATAAACAGTATGTAGGAACTGATGCAGAGTAAAGAGAATGGGACTAATATAAAAGGCAAATTTCAATAAATTTCAGGAAATTAGCAAAGGCAAACTCAGAGGCAATAGGCAAAAATGTAAGGACCACCCACTCCCCACTCCTCTGCTTTCCCTAAGAATCTGCAGAATTATTGAGAGGCGATTTGCCCCTGCATGGAAAATGTCTTTCCCCCTAGTTTTATTTAAATGGAAAACAAAGATGACCGCCAAGGACCCTGCAGTTAGGTCAGTAAAGTGCTGAGGATGCCTCTGGCACATACTGCTGAATATGTAAATATGGAGGTTCCTAGCATGTGGTTGGCCACTAATTAGTTGTAATTATGTATGTTGACTTTATGTACATGATGATGATTTAATTTCTGGAAGCTTCACTTTCCTTATCTGTAAAATGAGGAGAATGAGCAATGTGATCCAAATTCTCATTGTGCTCTGAGAAACAATGACTGTTATCAAGGATCAGAAAGGTAAATGATGAAGCAAAAAAATCATAGAGGTGGAACAGGAGCCTGTAGATAGCAAAGTTGAAAATTATGCAGCTCCCAGTCAATTCCAGCACCATGCCAACCCTTGTAACATAGCGAAGTGCTGTTTTCCATTTGTCTATATATCCTTAGGCAATACTTGCTTATTTTAAGGAGCCCATTTTATCTTATACATTCTGTGTGCACATACAAGTACATATCATATTATGTGAACCAGAGACCTATCTAAATGTATAGAACTTGTTCAGTTGGCAGGAAAAAAAAATAATAAAAATATTCCCATTTGCTTTGTTTAAAAGATGTAGACATTTTTCTTTTATTTATTTGTTTTAATTCAAGAGAAAACCAGAAAATGTAGCCAGACAGTAGCTGTGTCTTTTGGCAGTAGAAATAATCTAATAAAAGCATCACGTTTCAAAGGGGGAGAGGGAGACCCATCTCAGACATTAGTAACGTCATTTTAGCCCCAAATATATTTCATTCTGGGTTTATATTTTTTGGACTCACACAGCTTATGATGATTTTATCCAAAGTTCATGCCACCAGAGTTGGAATTTTTAATACAAACATTTAGACCAGGCAGTGATTGGCAGTTCTGACTGTTAATACCCCGTAGTAGGTCTTCTACCGTGGTCAGAAGTTAAGATTTATTTTGACAAGCTTTCTCTTGGTTTTGTAGACTAGAAGCTTTATAATGGGGGTTACCCCATGACTATATATCTGGCATAGGTTATTAGAATTCATAGCAAAATGGTAGACAGCCTTCTCCCATACAACCAGAGCCCGCAGATACTGGAACATGATATTAATGAAGTTATTTCCAGTTATTACCTTCTTTAATGGGTAGAATCTGGACATTGGATTTGAATTACAACCAGACAATAAGTGGCCATGAATGTCAGCATCTCAACTTAGGAAGACTCCTGATTAAAAACAACAACAACAACAAAAACTGACTTTTTCCTAAGCTCGCTGTCAATTCCTCATCTCCAAAAGAATCATTTGGTAGCTTTTTCACACACACACACACACACAATTTACATAGATTTTGAATTAAGGCTGCTGAGATTTCTTCAAAAATTGCTAAGTTAGGGCCAGGCATGGTGGCTCGCACCTGTAATCCCAGCACTTTGGGAGGCCGAGGTGGGCGGATCACCTGAGGTCAGCAGTTTCAGACCAGTCTGACCAATATGGTGAAACCCTGTCTCTTGAAAATACAATAATTAGCCAGGCTTGGTGGCGCACACCTGTAGTCCCAGCGACTGGGGAGGCTGAGACAGGAGAATCGCTTGAACCTGGGAGGCAGAGATTGAAGTGAGCCGCGATCATATCACTGCATTCCAGCCTGGGCGACAGACTGTATCTCAAAGAAAAAAAAAAAATTGTTACGTGAGGGTAATGTTTCTCAAAGTTATGATTTGAAGAGGCTTCATTAGTAGAATAATGGAGATTGTATAACAGATTGTTATGTATAGCAGGATGAAGAAAAGGGACCATATTATGATGCTTATAATAAGATTACTCACTCACTTTTTTAACATATGGGGCTCTAGTCTTTGACAGTGTCTTCATGAAAAACACAATAAAGCTCAGAATATACATGCATTTAATATTCAATTAAATATTTACTATATATTTAATACATATTTAATAGATATTTAATTTATAGATATTTAACTTAGTGATGACTTTATTGTCATTAGGCAAAAATCAATCTTCAATTCTTAGACATCCATCAAGATTGTGCTGATGACCTTTGGTGGTGTCCAGGGTCTTCTGAGGGATAAGCTAAGTCCGATAGAAGTTCTTGTGAGTGAGGGATCCTGGGCTGGTCCAAACATTGTGCCTAAATGATGATAAAATGAAGTGTCATTGGTGTTAATTCTACAATTATTGAGTGTTTATTACACAACGGATTGGTGTGCTATGCTTCATGAGACTAAGCATGTACTCTTTAAAAAAGGAATTATAAGAGAGATCTCAATGTGTTTAGACAAGGTAATCTTTATAGTTTGAAATAATCCTGAGATGTAGGATTCTGAAATCTTAATCAAGGAGATACAATAAAATATGACTTTTATCTGCTTATCAGTAATCAGAATTGAATTGATTTCTTATTGATACAGGAAAAATCAAACAAGAATAATAGTCATTCAACAATTATTTAAAAAATAGGTATTTGTGATGATTATTATTAGGTTTTATCTTGATTGGATTGAAGAATGCCTAGATAGCTGGTAAAGTATTTTTTCTGAATGTGTCTGTGAGGATGTTGCCATTGGTATGTGAGTTAGTGGACTGGGAGAGGAAGATCCACCCTCAATGTGGGTGACCACCATCGAATTGGCTGCCAGCATAGCTAGAACAAAGCAGGCAGAAGAAGGTGGGATAGCCTTGCTTGCTGAGTCTTCTAGCTTCCTTCTTTCTCCCATGCTGGGTGCTTCCTTCCATTCCTCCTGCCCTTGGACACCAGAATCCAGGTTCTTTGACCTTTGGACTCTGAGACTTGCACCAGTGGCTTGCTGGGGGCTCTCAACCCTTCAATCACAGGCTGAAGTCTGCACTGTCAGCTTCCCTGGTTTGAGGCTTTTGGACTCAGACTGAGGCACTACCCGCTTTCTTCCCCAGCTTGCAGATGGTCTATCATGGGACTTTGCCTTATAATTGTGTGGTGAGCCAATTATCCCTAATAAACATATATTAGGAAGATAATATATAAGCAGTGACCTGAGCTGTACTTTGGGTCCTTTGAGCCAGGGCTGGAGCTGGAGCTGGAGCAGCTGGGATGCAAGGAGCAGTGTCCTAGGGCTGTGCAGAGCAGTGGGCCCTGGGCCTGGGCCAAGAAACCATTCTTCCCTCCTAGGCCTCCAGGCCTGTGATGAGAGGGGCTGTTGGGAAGACCTCTGAATTGTCTATGAGTTCTGTCTCTCTGGAGAACCCTGACTAATACAGCATTGGTCATTTGTTTATGTGCAGACTCTGCCTGCTGCTGGGAATATATCAACAAATATAGTAGACATTGCCTCTTCCTTTGTAGTATTTATATTTTATGTGGGGAAACCAAACATCAAGTCAGCAACAAATAAGACAATCACAGATTGTGCAAAACTATAAATGACACAAATAAAATAATTCAATAGAGACCAAATGAGTAAGGCCAGCTAAAGATAGAATAAGAGACAGCTTTTCTAAGGAGGGTAAAAATGAGCTACCTATAAGATCTTGGAATTTAGCATTTGGAGTTCAAAGAGATGAAGAAACAAGTGAGCATTCACTTGGAATGAAAATATTTGATCTGTTTGAGCAACAAAGCAGTGAGAACAGAGACAGAGCTTGACGGGGGAGGAGTGAGGAAATGGGGTGGTACAGATTAGAAAGGCAAGCAAAGACAAGCCATTCAAACTTTTTAGACCAAGGTAAGACCTTCTTTTTTTTTTTAAATAGTACAATAAAGCCTTTGAACATCTTCAAACAGAAAAGTGAAATGGCCTGAGTCTCAGTTTTAAAGGTTACTGTGGATGCGTTATTTAGAATGGGCCAAAGACAACACAAATGGAAAGCAAGGAGATTCACAAGAGATCCCCATCTCTATCTGTGTTTAAATGATGGTGGCTTAGGCTACAGTGCTACTAGTGCACTAATAAAGAAAATAATTGCAGATTTAGTACATATCAAAGAGACAGAATTAACAAAATTTTGATTAGATGTAAGGGTAAGTAAGACTGAATTAAATGAATGCTAGTTGCTTACTGTCATAGCACAGAAGTTGAATGCTTGCTCACGTGAAGTCTAAACAGCAGCTGTATTAGTCCGTTCTTGCATTGCTATAAAGAAATAACTGAGACTGGACAATTTATAAAGAAAAGGGTTTTAATTGAATCATGGCTCTTCAGGCTCTACAGGAAGCATCATGGCTTCTGCTTCTGGGGAGGCCTCAGGAAAATTCAAATCATGGTGGAAGGCAAAGGAGGAGTAAGGGTCTCACATGGCAGGAGCAGAAGCAAGAGCAAGAGACAGAGGGGAGGTGCCACACACTTTTAAACAACCAGATCTTCTGAGAACCCACTCACTATCATGAGAACAGCACCCAAGGGATGGTGCTAAACTATTTATATGAATCCAGCCCTATGATCCAACCACCTCCCACAAGGCCTCTCCTCCAACATGGGAACTACCATTCAACATGAGATTTGGGAGGCGAAAAATATCCAAACTCTATTATTCCACCCCCACCCCTCCCAAATCTCATGTCTTTCTCACATTTCAAAATACAATCATGCCTTCCCAATAGTCCCCCAAAGTTTTAACTCCTTCTAGCATTAACTCAATAGTCCAGAGTCCAAAGTGTCATCTGAAATAAGACAAGTCCCTTTTACCTATGAGCCTGTAAAATATAAAACAAGTTAGTCTCTTCCAAGATGCAATGGAGTTAGGTATTGGGTAATCATTTTCATTCCCAAAGGCAGAAATTGGCCAAAAGAAAGAAGCTACAGGCCCCAGCCAAGTTCAAAATCCAGCAGGGAAGTAGTTAAATCTTAAAGCTCCAAAATAGCCTTCTTTAACTTCATGTCCCATGTCCAGGGCACACTAGTGTAAGGGGTGGTCTCCCAAGGCCTTGAGCAGCTCTTTCCCTGTGGCTTTGCAGCGTTTGGCTCCCAAAGCTGCTCTCATGGGCTGGAGTTGAGTCTCTGTTGATTTTCCAGGCACAGGGTGCAAATTGTCAGTGGATCTACCATTCCTTAGTCTGGAGGATAGTGGCCCTCCTATCACAGCTCCACTAGGCAGTGCCCCAGTGGGGACTCTGTGTGGGGTCGCCAACCCCAAATTTCCCCTCTTTACTACCCTAGTAAAGGCTTTCCATGAGGTCTCCTCACCTGTAGCAGGTTTCTGCTTGGACACTCAGGCTTTTCTAGATGCTTTGAAATCTAGGTGGAGACTCTGAATCCTCAACTCTTGCACTGTGTGCACCCACAGGCTTAACACCATGTGCAAGCCACCAAGGCTTATGGCTTGCACCCTCTGAAGCAGTGGCCTGAGCAGTACCTTGGCCCCTTTGAGCCAGGGCTGGAGCTGGAGCTGGAGCAGCTGGGATGCAAGGAACAGTGTCCTGGGGCTGTGCAGAGCAGTGGGCCCTGGGCCTTGTGCAGGAAGCTATTCTTTCCTCCTAGGCCTCCAGGCCTGTGATGAGAGGGGCTACTGGGAAGCTCTATGAATTGCCTTCAAGGCCCTTTCCCTATTGTTTTGGCTATCATCACTTGCCTCCTTTTTTGATTATGCAGATTTCTCTAGGAAACAGTTTCTCAGCAGACTGCTTGATTTCCTCTCTCAAAAAAGCTTTTTCTTTCTCTCCCACATGGCCAGGCTACAAATTTTCTAAACTTTTATGCTCTGCTTCCCTTTAAAATATAAGCTCCAACTTCAAGTCATTCCTTTGATCTTGCATCTGATTGTAGGTTTTTAGAAGCAGCCAGGCAAAATCTTGAATACTGCAGCTTAGAAATTTCTTCTACCAAATACCCTAGGTCATCACTCTCAGTTCAAACCTTCATAGATCCCTAGGACATGGACATAATGCAGCCAATTTCTTTGCTAATGAATAACAAAAGTGACCTTTACTCCAGTTCCCAATAAGTTCCTCATTTTCATCTGAGACCTTGTCAGCCCAGACTTCACTGTCACTTGATTTTGATCACAACCATGTAACTAGTCTCCAAGAAGTTCTAAACATTCCCCCATCTTCCAGTCTTCCCCTGAGCCCTCCACACTCTTCCAAACTCTACCTGTTACCCAATTCCAAAGTTGTTTCCACATTTTCAAGTATCTTTAGAGCAATGCCCCACTCCTTGATAACGATTTTCTGCATTAGTTTGTTCTTGTATTGCTATAAAGAAATACCTGAGACTGGGTAATTTATGAATAGAAGTGCTTTAACTGGCTCATGATTCTGCAGGCTGTACAGGAAGCATAGTGGCTTTGGCTTCCGGAGGAGGCCTCAGGAAGCTTCCAATCGTGGTGCAAGGCAAAGGGGGAATAAGTATCTCACACTGCAGGTGCAGGAGCAGGAGCAAGAGCAAGAGCAAGAGAGAGGGGGGAGGTGCCACACACTTTTAAACAACCAGATCTCCTGAGAACTCACTCACTGTCATGAGAACAGCACCAAGGGGATGGTGCTAAACCATTCATGATAACGCACCCCCATGACCCACCACCTCCCACCAACATTGGGGATTACAATTCAGCATGAGATTTGGGTGTGGATACATATCTAAACTATATCAGCAGTGGAGAGGGATAGGGTTCTATTTGAGTAGTAGCTTTGTTCCCAGTCATTCATGAGAGAGGGTCTATTATTTTCAAAACATGGTTTACAAAGTTATTTTGTGCATCAGCAGTCAACACCCAGCTGCAAGGTAGAGAAAGAGAACATAAAGAATGCACACCCCCTTTTTAAACTTTAGCCAAAATATTTTGACCTACTTCACTTTTGCTTCCATATCTTTGGTAGAACTAGTCACTTGACCCTATCAAGATGCAGAGGGAGATGAAAAAAGTAGTTCTTGGTTGAACAGTTGTTCTCCATAGCAACTCTGCACCACGGACTACAGAGCCATCTCTGCCATAACAACTGAAGAAACACCCATCACCATCTTCAGAATCATATATGTTTCTGATTTTAAAAATTGGGTTGCAAGTTTTTTATTTAGATTCAGTTTTGCCTGTAAATTAAAGCTGTATAATTTTCAGATTGGAGAAGGCATTTGTGTTAAAGAAGCAAACTCTGAACATTTACTTAGAGAGTGTTCTACGTAGAACTTCAGAATAATAATGTTCAATGCTGAGAATGTCAAGCTGTGCTGTTGTGAAGACATAATCCTAAACAAACTAACTTACTCATTTTTTATTGTAATTTCTTAGATTGAAATAAGTTGTATAAGTCCTAAGCCATCATGCTTATTCAATGAGATATTTTTCACCATTTAAGTTGGCAACCTAGACTTCACATTATGTACCAAAATACAGGTATTATTTGCCCAGGATATCTCAATGCTTGATATCATTTTTCTACTGTTCCCTCTGTCCATTTCACACTTAGATGACTTGAAAATTAACAGTGTAATTTCATCCAATTATAATCAGCTAGCCATTGACTAACAAGTTCTCCTTAGCTATTACATTCAGTATTTCACTTGTACATTGTTGAATATGTGACTAGCAAATAGGCAATAAAAATTGCACTTGCACTTCTAAAAAGATAACTAAATGTTTATTCCTTACATCACTAACTTCAAGAGAGATATTATTATTCTCTAAACTAATTTTCTTCTTGTCCTAGGCTTGAAGTTTCATGTATATTAAGATTACTATAATAAGGCTTTCATTGCAGAAAAACTGAAACGTACCTATTAGTTTTTTATTATTGTCTTTGTCAGACATAACTAGATTTTTCTACCAAATCCCAAAGCATTCAAACTTATACAAATTATTCATTTCCCAAAAAGGATTTTTGACCTTATTAAGTACTGTTTTCACCTAAAGCTATGATGTAGTCCTAGGGTGGTCTATCAGACTAGTAAGAAGTTTAGAGTTTCTACTTTACTCATTGGAAAGAAACACATGTATTTATTCATTTTTTCAAACCAACATGGATTAGAGCTGTGTCATTGATATGGTTTCGCTATGTCCCCACCCAAATCTCACCTTGAATCGTAGCTCCCATAATCTCCATGTGTTGTGGGAGGGACCTGGTGGGAAGTAATTGAATCATGGGGGTAGTTTTTCCCATGCTGTTCTCATGATAGTGGATAAGTCTCACGAGATCTGATGGCTTCCTAAAGGGCAGTTCCCTGGCACATGCTCTCTTGCCTGTGCCATGCAAGACATGTCTTTGCTCCTCCTTCTCCTTCCACCATGATTGTGAGGCCTCCTCAGCCATGTGGAACTGTGAGTGCATTAAACCTGTTTTTCTTTATAAATCACCCAGTCTAGGATATTTCTTCATAGCAGTATGAAAATGGACTAACACAGTTATATTTTAAAAAACACTCTTATAACACATAGAAAAAATGTATGCACAAATAAAGTAAGGTGTGCAGAGTACTTAGCAGAGTTATTGGCACTTAGTGCTCAAATAAATCAATCTTTTATAATAAAAATTATTTGTGTTATTAATCATAATAGTCAAATAATGAAAATAAGTATTTGCAATATTATATTTCTTATTGCCTTTATTAAAGTGAATAATGAAAAAGCTGCCTCTAGCCTCTAGTACACTTTTTTCGTGAGTGAAAAAGGCCCCATGTTTTAGGCAGACATCTCCATTGTCACCTGGCTTATGGAAATGATATCACTTTTACATTACACAAAAATGAAATTCAATTAGCCAACTCATCCATATTTTGATAGAGGTAGAATCTTGTTTTTATCCTATTGTCCCAAGGCCTTTGTAGATTTAGGTTGAACTTGCATAATAGTGACATTAACAATTAAGTGGCTGAGTCTACTAGTAACTCAGAGAACAGAATCATCAACTAGGCACAAAGCTGAAGTTGATATAATTTATGAGCATTAATAATCCCAGTGCTTTGGTTTTATATAATTATTGAATCAACATCTATTTATTGAGCATCTGCTGTGCAGGAATGCTAGGGTATGTGCTTGTGAGCGATGGTGAAAAACACAGACCCCATCCAAGATTTCAGGGTCCTAAATAACTTTAGCAGTTTTCAAGATGATATTGAAGAAAATGTCCCTGAAAACTAGGATCAAATGTAGTAAGTGTTAGAGATAACTAATTCTCCCTCTGTGTCTTTCTGGAGAGCAGTAAGTAAAATGTCCAAATTGTGAAGCCTTCATTTTCTGGCTATTGTGTGAGAGGGCTATATTTAGCAAATAAAAATACAGGACATCCAGTTAAATTTGAATTTCAGACGAACAACATTTTTTGTGGTACATTGCATGTTATATTTGTATTTTATTTGGCAAACCTTTGCGGGGAGGAAAATCCTTTCCAAGCCAGTATGTTGCAACAGTAAACACTATAATGTTTTCCCAAGTTACAATTTAGAAAGAACATTTATATCAATTGTTTTAATGGGTGATTTCAAATCTTTACTGGTTAGAATTTTTTTTAGCATTAAAATATAAATGTGTTATGAGAGTGGATTTTTTAAGAAATACAATGTTTTAGATGATGAACCTGCTATTATAGCACCCATAGGCATGTTTGTAATAAACTTTCAAGGCATATAAATGATCTAATTTGTGAAAATATGTTTTTGATCTGTTGAGATTTGTTTCAAATATGGCCATTACTTCAATGTAACTGATTGGCCACCCCAACCTCATTCATTTCACAGCATGAAATGAAGTGATGATGGTCCCTGGAAAATACAGCATATACTTGAGACAGATTCATGAGCTAGCTATAGATGCTTATTCCGAGAGAGCAATCCATTGCTGGCTTCTGCTCAAAACGTGTAGGAATCTGTTTCACATCCTTCAGGGGTGTCCAATCTTTTGGCTTCCCTGGGCCACATGGGAAGAAGAATTGTCTTGGGCCACACATAAAATATACTATCACTAACAATAGCTGATGTGATATATATATATATATATATATATATATATATATATATATATATATATATATACATACACACACACACACACACACACACACAATCTATATAATTAACATAAATATATATTTATATATTGTGATATATATATATCATGATATATATGTATTGCGATATATATGTATATAGCAAAAAATCTCATAATGTTTTAAGAAAGTTTACAAATTTGTGTTGGGCTGCATTCAAAGCTATCCTGGACCCCATGCAGCCTGAGGGCTATGGGTTGGACAAGCTTGCTCTAGATTATCTTGTTGGAATCTGATGCCTCAGGTGGAATATGTACATAAAGATGACCCCTTTTCCTCCCAATCTACTTTGAAATAATTTTAAGGACATAGGAATGTAATAGCTACTATAAATTGCATGTCCACAATGTAGTTAGGGAAGTTAACTAAGTGGAAAATAATATATAAAGGATATAAAACCTCTCATTGTTCATTGTAGCTGCAGATTACCCGATGGAAGGCTTACACCTGACTTATCAATACTTTTTTTCTAACCTATTCTATTGAAATAGTAAAACAAATCAACAACATAACTTCTAAAAATATTTCAAATAAAAATGTCCTAATTTATTCTATTTTAAAGACAATTTCTCAAAACTTTTAAAATTAAGGTGTATAGTACATGTAACATAAAATTTACCATGTTAACCTTTTTTTTTTTTTGAGATGGAGTCCCGCTCTGTCCCCAGGCTGGAGTGCAGTCACACAATCTCGGCTTGTTGCAACCTCTGCCTCTTGGGTTCAAAAGGTTCTCCTGCCTCAGCCTCCCGAGTAGCTGGGACTACAGGTGTGCACCACCACACCTGGCTAATTTTTGTATTTTTAGTAGAGTTTGGGTTTCACCATGTTGGCCAGGATGGTCTCGATCTCTTAACCTTGTGATCTGCCTGCCTCAGCCTCCCAAAGTGTTGGGATTACAGGCGTGAGCGATGGCGCCTGCCCCATGTTAACCATTTTTAAGTGCACATTGGCCTTAAGTACATTCACATTGTTGGGCTACCATGACCACTCTTCATCCACAGAGCCCTTTCATCCTGCAAAACTGAAACTCTGTGCCTGCTCTAGGACAATTCCTCTTCTGCTGGCAACCACCATTCTACTTTCTGTCCCTATGAATGTGACTATTTTAAGTACCTAATTTAAGTGGAGTCTGTCCTTTTGCAGCTGGCTTATTTCAGTTAGCATAGACCCCTAAAGGTTCATCCATGTTATAGTTTGTGTCAGAATTAACTTCTTCTTGAAGGGTGAATAATACTCCATTGTATGTATATACCACATTTTGTTTATCCATCCATCTGTTGTTGGATACTGAGTTGCTTCTATCTTTTCTCTGTTTGAGTACTTGCTTTCAATTCTTTTGGGCATACACCCAGAAGTGGAATTGCTGGATTATATTGGTAATTTCATTATTAATATTTGAGGAACCACCATTCTGTTTTTTATAGTAGCTGCACCATTTTACGTTCCCACCAACAGTCACAAGATTTCTGATATTTCTGCATCCTCTCCAACACTTGTTATTTTGTGTTTTACTTTATAGTAGACATCCTAATGAGTGTGAGATGATATCCCATTGTGGTTTTGATTTGCATTTCCTTAGTGATTAGTGATGTTGAGCATCTTTTCATGGGCACATTGGCCATCTGTATGTCTTCTTTGGAGAAATGTTTATGCAAATCCTTTGTCCGTTTATTAATTCAGTTATTTGCTGATGTGGATTCATAGGGGTTCTTTATATATTCTGGATATTAATCCCTTATCAGGTATATCATTTGTAAATAGTTTTCCCATTCTTTTTTTTTTTCTTTTTTTTTGAGATGGAGTCCTCGCTCTGTCGCCCAGGCTGGAGTGCAGTGGCGCGATCTCGGCTCACTGCAAGCTCTGCCTCCCAGGTTCATGCCATTCTCCTGCCTCAGCCTCCTGAGTAACTGGGACTACAGACGCCTGCCACCACACCTGGCTAATTTTTGTGTTTTTAATAGAGATGGGGTTTCACTGTGTTAGCCAGGATGGTCTCAATCTCCTGACCTCGTGATCCGCCCTCCTCGGCCTCCCAAAGTGCTGGGATTACAGGCGTGAACCACTGCGCCCTGCCAATAGTTTTCCCATTCTATGTGTTGCCTTTCAATTCTGTTGATTGTGTCCTTTAATGCACGGAATTTTACAGTTTTTATGTAGTCCAGTTGATCTGTTTCCTTCTGTTGCACATGCTTTTGCTGTCATATCCAATATATCATTACTAAATCCAATGTATGAAGCTTTTCCCTTTTATGTTTTCTTCTACAAGTTTTATGCTTTTTAGTCTTACATTTAAGTCATGAATTTATTTTGAATTAATTTTTCTATGTAGTGTAAACTCAAAATTTTTAAATCATGAATTTGAATTGACATTGAAAATCATTTAGTTCACAGATGGATTGGATTTAAACATTATTTAGCTTAATACCTGAACTAACAACTAAATTGCTTCTCAAATACTCTTAAGACATTCTGTCAACTCTGGCTATGTCCTACTTTTTCTTCAAATTTCAATTTAAGTATTATCTATTCTGTAAGTATTCCAGGACATCTTACTCTCCAACAAATACTCAGCTCAAGAGGAAACACCCAAACGTGTCACCTTTGATCTCTTCTAAATTTCCAATCATAATGTACCATGTTTTTTAGATGATTTTATTTTTTAGAGCAGTTTTAGGTTAACAGCGAAATTGAGAGGAGGAAGGTACAGAGATTTCTCATATACCACTGTCCTCTACATGTGCAGCTTGTATTATCCCCATTATCAACATTCTTCACCAGAGTGGTACACGGGTTACAAGTGATGAGCCTAAATTGGCACACCATAGTCACTCAAAGTTCACTGTTTAAAGTAGGATTCACTATTGGTGTTGTATATTCTATGGATTTGGAAAAATGTATGATAACATATATCTACCATTATCCTATTGTGCAAGTATTTTCACTGCCCCCTAAATCCTCCTGCTTCACCTGTTCATCACCACCACCCAACCTCTGGCAACCACTGATCTTTTCACTGTCTCCATAGTTTCTTCTTTTCCAGAATGCCACATAGTCTGAATTATACAATATGTAGCCTTCTTAGACTTGCTTCCTTCATGTAATAATACATATTTAAGGTTCCTCTATGTCCTTATGGTTTGATAACTCATGTCTTTTTAGTGCTGAATAACATTTAATTGTCCACAGCTTATTTATCTACTTATTTACTGAAGGATATTTTGGTTGCTTACATGTTTTGGAAATTATGAATAAGGCTGCTATAAACATACATGCACAAGTTTTTGTGTGACCATACGTTTTCAACTCCTTTGAGTAAATACCAAGAAGTACACTTGCCGGATCATATAGTAAGAGTATGTTCAGTTTTGTAAGGAAGTGCCAAACTGGCAGGGCACAGTGGCTCATGCCCATAATCACAGCACTTTGGAAAGCCGAGGCAAGAGGATCACTTGAACCCAGGAGTTTAAGACCAGCATGGGCAACATAGTGAAATGCCATCTATACTAAAAATAAAAATAAAATAGCCTGCTGTGGTGACATGTGCCTGTAGTTACAACTGCTTGGGAGGCTGAGATAGGAGGATAGCTTGAGCCCTGAAAGTCAAGGCTGCCGTGAGCCATAATTATGCCACTGCACTCCAGCCTGGGCAATAGAGTGAGACCCTGGGAGGGAAGGAAGGAAGGGAGGGAGGGAAGGAGGAAGGAAACTGTCAAACTGTTTGCCAAAATGGCTACACAATTTTCATTCCCACCAGCAATGAATGAGAGCCCCTGTTGCTCCACATCCTCATAAGTATTTAGTGTTGTCAGTGTTAACCATTAATAGTTACGTAGTGGTATCAAATTGTTGTTTTAATTTTCATTTTTCTGATGACATATGACGTAGAGCACCTTTTCATATGCTTTTTGTCATCTGTGTAGCTTCTTTGGTGAAATATCTGTTAAAATTTTTGACCCATTTTTTCATCGGTTCGTTTCTTACTGTTGGGTTTTTAGAGTTGTTTGTATATTTTGGATAGCAGTCCTTTGTCAGATATGTCTTTTCAAATATTTTCTCCCAGTTTGCGGATTGTCTTCTCATTCTCTTGACATTGTCTTTTGCAAAGGAGGAGTTTTTAATTTTAATGGAGTCCCCCTTATCAATTATTTCTCTCATGGATTCTGCCTTTGGTGTCATATCTAAAATGTCATTGCCATAGCCAAGGTCATCTAGTTTTTCACCTAAGTTATCTTCCAGGAGTTTTATAGTGTGGCATTTTACATTTAGGCCCATGATATGTTTTGAGTTAATTTGTATAAAAGGAACAAGATCTGTGTCTAAATTCATTTTTTAAATGTAGATTTCATATACTTTACCTTTAATTCTCTTTGCCTTCCTAAAAATTTTAAATCTTTAGGCAAAGATTATATCTTACTTATCTTTATATTCCCCAATTCTGTTCCAGAGTTCACAACCCAAATAAATGCATGATGGTGACCTTCTAGATGCCATACTTGTAAAGTGTACTATTCAATTTTTGACTCAGTTAAATTATTAAAAAATTTTCTTCTCTTTAGTTAACATAGTATTCGTCCTTCTCTCTTAGATACCTGCACAGATCACATAAAGTTCATCTTCTTTATAAGAGCCCTCCAATTATTTTAACACAACTATTTTGGTCTTGCCCAGTGTCAAATCTTAAATTCCAGAATGAACATCTTCAGATCCTTTCCAGGCTCTTAATCAACCCTGTAATTCTCTTATGGATTTGTATGTTCAGAGTTGGGGGGAGTGACAAGTTATTTTCCTCGGAATTTTTAATGGTAAAAATACAGAACCAAACTTAAAACTCTGACAAATTCACACAAACTAACTATTTGAAGTCACAAATTTAGAAAATTTCTTCTGAACCAGGAGAATGAGAATCCATATACAAAAGACGCATTTGCAACTATTTGAATTTTGTAAATGAACCCAATTAATATTTCATAGTTTGTAAATTTTTATTTTAGGTTATCTGTAAAATTAAAATTATAACTTGTCCATCTCTCTCAGGTCACTATCACCTCAGGTAGTTGTGCAACCTTCTTTGAAAATGTACGTTAGTTTTCCCAAGAAATTAGCTCATTTTCATGATAGAAATTGATAAAATATTTGAAACCACCAATGTGGAGTCTCTCGATCCTTCTGTTACTTGCCTAAACCTAATGTATCATAATATCATTCTCCACTTCTCATTATTTTTATTTCATCTCTTTTCAGTCTTTCCATGTAACCTTAACATGTATATGTTAGTTCTCTGTGCTTATTGTGAACAAAATGCATAAGTAGTTAAAGAATTCCAGTTGAACTAAATTCAGCACTCATCTATTTACAGTTGTTTTTATTTGCTTTTTAAAATCTTACTGCTTTGGGAGGAAAAAATACCAACAAGCTCTAAGTTTGCAGTGACAAATGTAGACTTCATCTCAAATTCATGTATGGGTGACATTTGCATGTTGATTTCTTTGCCGCCCTAATGGTTACATTTCAAAGCACATCTTTCCTTTTATCTTCAGCTGAATGAGACATCAAAATAAGGGCCAGATAAAGGCGGAAGTCCTTTGTCTGAAACTGCCCAGGCCTGGCCAGCTGTGATGAAAACTGTCTGATGTTTCACAGGCTTCTTGTCTGGCCTCAAGCTGGTATTTGCTTCTTTTATTTTGGAGGTTTTAAAGGAATATTGCATTCTAGCACACAATGTCATAATGGACAATGGAAGGCCTGTTCATGGTGGTATCTGAATATATACATGTTAGATTAAATTATTTATTAGATAATAAGCCACTGGTCACACAGGGGATATGTGCCATGTTTTATTATAATCATGACAATTTCTAAGGTCAAACTAATGTTTGGTTGTATCACAATATCACAGCCTAATGAGAGTGTCTCCTTTACTGATAAATCTAACCTTCATGTTTAATTTTCCAGTGTAGGTAATGAGATCAAGTGCTTTGGTTTAGTCTGCTTATTTTTAAATATCAAATCAATTACTAGTAGCATCTGCAAATAGTATACTACTTGATGATAAGAAAGAGGGGTAGACAAACTGGAGTATGTTAAATTATATTTGGTCAATTTTTAATAAGAAATAATAGTGATTAGCTCTAAGCAGCAAGTAAATTAAGGCAGCTCACTTAAAAAAAAATCAAATAAGTCAGTGGTTGGCCATTAAGGTCATAAAGTATTTCATTAGTTTTTTTTTTTTTTTTAACTTCACGTAAATATCTTCTTAATTTGGGGGATAGAATAGATATGTACAGGAGTAAAAGTGTGCTACAGTTATCTGAACCTGTAGCATTATTTATATTACAGTTCAACCTTTTTTAAGAGAAACAAGCAATAATTATTTCAGAATATTTTGCTTTCTAAAATAGCACAAGGGCAAGTACATATAATACATTATAAATTATCTTGAGTCCAAAATCGTTAAGATAACTTGACAATTGCACATACTGGATCCTTAACTGTTTTTGGACCTCACTACTTGATGCTCCATTGACGAAATAAGGCTGACTCACTTCCTCAGGCCACAGTCTTGTGTTTTTCTCATGCTGAGAAGTCCAATCTACTTAGTGAGACCTCAAGACCTGGCACTCTGCCTCCAGTCCAACTTCCTGCTCCTTCCAGCCTGTCTAGCCACATACACAGCACACACATGTCACGTGGGACTGTCATTTCTTCTTCCCAGAACCTACTCTGTGTTCTTCCACCTCAGCACCTTTGCTCAAAATGTGCTCCACAGATGGAGTATTCATCAGCCCCATTTTGTCTGTTACAATCCTGACTATTCTTTGCGTTCAACTGAATTGCCTCGTCCTTCATGAAGTTTGTCACAACCCTGCTTTCTTCTTCTTTATTTTATGATAGACTTGTTTGTGGTTCTTTCTTAGCAATAATTCACCAACATGGTGAAACCCTGTATCTACCTAAAAATACAAAAATTAGCCAGGCGTGGTGGTGGGCACCTGTAATCCCAGCTACTCAGAGGCTGAGGCAGGAGAATCTCTTGAACCCAGGAGGCAGAGGTTGCAGTGAGCCGAGCCGAGATCGTACCATTGCACTCCAGCTTGGGTGACAAGAGTGAAACTCTGTCTCAAAAAAAAAAAAAAAAAAAAAAGAAAGAAAGAAATGAAATAATGGCATTCGCAGCAACCTGAATGGAGTTGGAGACCATTATTCTAAGTGAAGTAACTCAGGAATGAAAAACCAAACACAGTATGTTCTCCAATTGCTTTTTAATAATAGTCTACTAGGGCTCACTTATACATTTTTCAGGATAACCATAAAAAAGTTTTGTTCTATGGGGCATATTTTGCATATATTTCATGGCAGAATCACTGCAGGCTTCATCCAGTTGTCCCTAAAAATACTTTTACCTACCTGTGCCGAACACTATTACAAAATTGATTAGTATCTTTGGTGCATAAAGTGAAGTTTATACCATAATGTATGCTTTCAATCAATTAAATTTATTTTAATATAGACTCTTCAGATTGAAGGAACATGAAAAAAACCTAGGATAATCATCCACCTCCTCCTTCCCACGTCTTATCAAATGGTTGTCCAACCCATGCTTAAAATGTTGGTGCTCACTATATTTGAGGAACAATCTCTTGACCACATGATGTGAAGTTTTGCCTGTTATTCATTGGAAATGGCCTGGCAGAACTGGATTCCTCTACATCTTTCTATACACAAGATACTGGAATAATCTCCATCCTCATACTAAATGGAGGATGTCTGGGGGAGTGGGATTTTTTTTTTCTTTGAGACAGATCTTGGCTCATTGCAACCTCCGCCTCCCGGTTTCAAGTGATTCTCTTGCCTCAGCCTCCCAAGTAGCTGGGATTACAGGCGCCCACAACCACACCTGGCTAATTTTTGTATTTTTAAGTAGAGATGGGTTTTCACCATGTCGATCAGGCTGGTGTTGAACTCCTGACCTCAAGTGATCCGCCCGCCTCAGCTTCCCAAAGTGCTGGGATTACAGGTGTGAGCCATTGCATCCAGCCTATTTTTAGTTTCTTTTTATGACTGAGTAGTATTCCATGGTGTGTACGTATATATCACATTTTTAAAATTCACTTGTTGATTGATGAGAATTTGGGCTGGTTCCAGGTTTTTGCAATTGTGAATTGTGCTGCTATAAATATATGTATGCAAGTGTCTTTTTCATATAATGACTTACTTTCCTCTGGCTAGATACCCAGTAGTGGAATTGCTTGATCAAATGGTAAATCTACTTTTAATTCCTTAAGAAATCTTCATATTGTTTTCTATAGTGGTTGTACTAGTTTACATTTCCACCAGCAGTAAAAAAGTCTTCCCTTTTTACCACATCCATGCCAACATCTATTTTTTTTTTTAATTTTTTGATTATAGTCATTCTTGGCGTTTTCCTGATAATTAGTGATGTTGAACTTTTTTTTATGTAAGTAAGTGGGAACTAACCTATGAAGATGCAAAGGCATTAAGAATGATACAGTGGACCTTGGGGCTCAGGGGAAGGGTGGGAGGGGGTGAGGGATAAAAGACTACACATTGGGTACAGTGCACACTGCTCAGGTGATGGGTGCACCAAAATCTCAGAAGTCTCCACTGAAGAACTTATCCACATAACCAAACACCACCTGTATCGCAAAAACGATTGAAATAAAAAAGAAAAGAAAAGAAAGCACCTAGCACAGTGCCTATCACATAAGACAACCCCCCTACCCCCCAAAAAAAGGCCAGGTGCGGTGGCTCCCGTCTGTAATCCCAGGATTTTGGGAGGCCAAGGCGGGCAGATCATGAGGTCAGGAGATAGAGACCATCCTGGCCAACATGGTGAAATACCATCTCTACTAAAAATACAAAAAATTAGCTGGGTGTGGTGGCGTGCACCTGTAGTCCCAGCTACTTGGGAGGCTGAGGCAGGAGAATCACTTGAACCCAGGAGGCGGAGCTTGCAGTGAGCCAAGATCACGCCACTACACTCCAGCCTGGGTAACAGAGTGAGACTCCGTCTCAAAAAAATAAAAAAAAATAAACAAACAAACATAAAGTTTGAATTTCAGTCTATGAATTACATCTTTTATTTTCTAGTATTGATTTTTGCTAATTAGAATGAGTCCTTATTAAATAAAACAGTTCCCCCAAGGAATACTGTACATCTTTACCATGCCTTTTAATCTTTCTCAGCAAATAAATTGTATTTCTTTATGGTATTGCTTTTACTTGCTAATATTTTTCATAGCAAATGCTTATGGAAATGGGAAGTTAATAAAACAGATTACAGTGAAAACAAAGGCTATTAGAAAAGCATCTTGATAGTACCTTATTTTGTTTGACTCATTATTAAGAACATAGAATTTTTAAAATTAGGAATATTAAAGAATATTCAACCAAATGTCACATTTTAATAAAACATAATTTCTCAGGCTGTGTGTTCTACAGAAAGAGAAATGATGAGAGTATAAATTTTATTTTATTCTGGACCTTGATTAAAGTCAGAAGTATAATATTTACATCTGATCAGTTAATATAGTATCTGTGAAGTCCCTGAAACATATTTCTTTAAATATTAGATATCTGCTTAGAATTGTATCAATAGTATCCCTTCATAAATATATTTTATTTTTCCCAAGTCTTCAAATAGTCAATGACACATCATATGAATTTGACTTAAGATCTTGCCTTGCTTCCTTCTCTCCCTCAGCAGAGAATATTGTACGTGGTTATGTACATTTTCAAAAAAAGGAAGAGAGAGAGGTATAGAGGAGGAGGAGCTGCAGGTTAATATTCAACCCCCAAAATTTAAAGAACTATGACTTGAAAAATTAAATGTGTTTCTAGTTAAACACCTAAGGGGTACAAGGATATCATGGGCATTGTTTGAAACTAAAATGTGTGAACTTGCTGATTTTTTATGCATCTGCTATATGCTGAGTTTACCTAGTTTCCCAGCAGCCAATACAGCATGTAACCCACCCATTTCATAAATCTTTTGCTGCATAGTAAATCTTCCCAAAATTTAGTGGATTATAGCAACAGCACTTTATAATTTTTGATTATTCCATTTGTTGACAATCTAGACGATCTTTTGTTGGCATCCTTTGAGGTTGCTCATGATGCTGCGGTCATGTGACAGCTATGCTGGCACTCCAGTGTCCAAGATGGTCTCAATCAGCTGTCCGATTGTACTTGCTACCATTGTGGGTCTCTGGTTGTTCTCTATGTGACCTCTCATCTTCCAATAGACTGGACTGGGATTCTTCACAGTCTTGTGATCTCAGGGTTCCATCAGCTAAATCCTGGACTCTAGAACTCTTATAACTTTACTTCTACCACATTTATTTATTAAAACAAGTCACAAGACCAGTTTAGATTCAAGGAGTCAGTAAAATAGACTCCACCTCATCATAGGAAATTAATGAAGGGGTATAAAAACAGTGAGCTGTGGTTTACTGAGGATCATTTTGATGATTATCTACAGCAGTGCCATCTCTGGCCTCAAGGAGTCGTACTCTCTCACATGTAAAATGCACTCACTCCTGCTTCTCAAGACCCCTTCAAATATCATCTAATCCACACCAGATTCAGGCTCTGAGTCTGGGATCTCATCACCTAAATCAGGTCCAGATGTGGATTACACGCCCCACACACTCAACCTACAACAGTGAGATGGAGACAAGTAACTGCAATAGACAATCCCACTCTGAAAACAGAACCAGGAGGTGCATAGTAAACACTGTCAAGTTGATATGGTTGATAACAATTCTCCTTTTCCGAAGTCAGGGAATAGTTTTTGATTAAGGCTGAATTATTCTCCCTGGAATCGATTCTCTAATCTATTCTTCTTCTTTATTCTTGGCTCTGTCCTCTCAGCCTGCTTCCTTTCCATAGAAAGTTGACAGCCCAGACGCCTCTTCTCATTTTGAACTACACTTAAGTCTAAAACAATACAGCACGCTTAAACTTGGTGGGTTTCCTATGTATGAAATTATGTACCACTCCATTACATAAAGCCATGCCAAATTCATCCTAAAGCATGCCATTTTACATTTGGGAGCTGTTGGGAAATAGCCTTGAAATAGAAGCCCCTTTTTCTACCTGAGAGGTTCTAGTGAGCCCCACCTTAAACCTGTCTGAGATTTTCACAATTGGTATTATGGACATACCCTTGAGCCAATCTTTTCTTAGGCATTTCTTAATTGACAGTATTTTACTGGCTGGAGAGAATACCCTGGGATTTCTCTATTTCTTCTAAATTACACATATAAACCGAACTTCTTTTTTAGAGCTTTTTTTTTTTTTTTTTAATATTAAAGGAGCCAACTGACACTTCATTTAGCCTGATATTCTCCTTGGTAAGATTTACAAGTTCATTAGGTGTATTTTCTATCTTCTGCTTTAATGTAGGATAAAACTATGTGAATTATTCTGCTGGTGTAGGACACAGGTTGCCTTTCCTGCAGCCTAAGATAATAATTTCCTCACTGCTTTTCTTGCCTCCAGTAGAAGTCTCCCTGCTTCTCTTCCACTCTCCACTTGCCACCTGAGCTAAAAGATAATGCCAAATGGTTTAGGTTTTTTAAAGGCAACAACCCACTTCCAGGTATTAATTTCTGTTTCAGTTACCTTTTGCTGCATAAGAGATCACCTCAAAACTGAGTGGCTTAAAACAATACTGATTTTTTATTTCTCATGATTCTGTACCTTAGCAGTGTGGGAAGTTCTTCTGCTGGTTCTTCCTGAGATCACTCATGTGGCTGCAGTCTTTTGATGACTACACTCAAGCTGGAGGTTCTGACATGGTATCAATCAAAGTTTTTGCTATTTCATTTGGCTATGAGCAGGAGCTCCTTGGTTTTCCTATAGTTAACCTTCCATTCTCTATTAGGCTTGGCTTAAATTTCACCTTATGGTGGTTTCAGGGTTTTAAAACAATAAGGGACAAACCTGCAAAATCTGTTGAGATTCACACAAGACTTCTGCCACATTATAAGGGGTAAAGCAAGTCACAAAGCCAGTGAAGGGGATGATAAAATACAACCCAGATACTATGTCACATTACAAAGGTTCTGGGTACATGAAGATGGGATTTCTTAGAGGTCATGAGTATAACAATCTGTCACTCTACCTTTCTCCTTCAAAGCGCCTCTGAAAGTGTATGAAATTATGAATACTTTTTTAAAAGACTGCATTTTTAGAGCAGTTTTAGGTTGAGAACAAAATTGAGGGGACGATACAGAGATTCCCCTGCCCTCATATATGCATAGCCTCCCCCATTATTAATATCCATCACCAAAGTGGAACACTGGTTACAATTGGTGAACCTACAATGATACATCATAATTACCCAAAGTTCATGGTTTACATTAGGGAGAATTTTGGGTGTTGTACATTCTATGAATTTGAATAAATGTATAATGACAAGTATCCATCATTATGGTACCATGCAAAGTATTTTCCCTGCCCTAAAAATCCTTTGTGCTTTGCCTACTTATCACCTCCTCCATCCTAAGCCCTGGCAAACACTGATCTTTTTACTCTCTTCATAGCTTTGCCTTCTCCAGAATGTCATATAGTCTGAATTATCCTGAGTGAGTGTAGGCTTCTTTCACATAGTAATATGCATTTAAGGTTCCTCCATGTTTATTCATGGATTGATAACTCATTTCTTTATAGCACTGAATTATAATAATATACCATTGCCTGAGTGTACCACAGTTTGTTTATCCATTAAGGACATCTTGGTTGCTTCCAAGTTTTTGGCAATTAATTATAAATGAAGTTGTTATAAATATTCATGTGCAAATTTTCTTGTGGACATGCATTTACAATAATGTATATACCAAGGTTATTGGGTAAATACCAAGAGGTATAATTGCTGGTTTATTGGGTAAGTATGTTTAATTTTTTAAGAAACTGCCAAACTCTATTCCAAAGTGGCTGCGCCATTTTGCATTGCCATCACAATGAATAAGAGTTCCTCTTGCTCCATATCTTTGCCTGCATTTTGTATTGTCAGTACTGTAGGTTTGAGGCATTCTAATGGATGTGTAATGGTGTCTTTTTGTTGTTTTAATTTGCATTTTCCTGATGACATGTGATGTAGAACATCTTTTTATATGCTTTTTTTTGCCATCTGTATATCTCCTTGGTGAAGTGTCTGTTAAGACCTTTGGCCCAGTTTTTAATTGAGTTTTTTTTTTTTATTATTATTGTTGAGTTGGTAAGAATTCTTTGTATACTTCGAATAGCAGTCCTTTATCAGATGTGTCTTTTGCAGATATTTTTTCCCAGTCTGTGGCTTGTCTTTGCCTTCCCTTGACATTGTCTTTTGCAGAGGAGGAGGTTTTAATTTTAATGAAGTCAAGCTTATCAATTATTTCTTTCATAGGTTGTGCCTTTTGTGTTGTATCTAAGAAGTCACCACCATATCTAAGGTCATCTAGGCTTTTTCCTATGCTAACCTCTAGGAGTTTTATAGTGTATTTTACATTTATGTCTATGATCCATTTTTAGTTGTTGTTTTTTTTTTTTTTTTTTTTTTTTTTTTGAGACAGGTTCTGGCTCTGTCATCCAGGCTGGAGTGCAGTGGCTTGATCTTGGCTTACTGCAACTTCTGCCTACTGAGCTCAAGCCATCCTCCCACCAATACCTCCCAAGTAGCTGGGACTACTGGTGTACATCATTGCAATGCCTGGCTAATTTCCATATTTTTTATAGAGAAGGAATTTTGCCATGTTGCCCAGGGTGGTCTCAAACTCCTGAGCTCCAGCAATCTGCCCGCCTCACCTCCCAAAGTGTCGAGATTACAGGCGTAAGCCACCACCCACCCCTGGCTTAGTTAACTTTTTGAAGTATTACTTTTTAAAATTAACTGTGAGATTCTAGATCAGTGACACAATTGGCCCTGATTAATTTTGAAAATGAAAATAATTTCCTGATTGATTGACTTCAACATATCATTCACATATGTAGGATTATAGAGTTTTAGGACAGTGAAGGTAATAAGGTGATATCTAGCACAAATTCACTTCTTATTCTTGAATCCTTTCCATCATTTCACTGTGACTGTTTTTGCCCAAATCTGCAAGTGTTGTTAACACTCTGCTGCTCTAAGAAATTTTCATCTGAGCCCATCTACTACTATCATTCCTCTTGTTCCTCCTCCTCCTCCTACTAAGAAACAGCAGCCTTTCCTCATTGCTTTTTATGTGCCAATTTCTTTTCATGCATTAGCTTTATTCAACAACTTCATAAAATATATATTATGATTAAACCCACGGATATGAGATTTAGAAACATTAAGAAGTAGGCTATAAATGTGGGCTTATCTATGCTCAGTCTGAGTTCGCCCTACTTTCCCTAGAGAATATTATAAAGGAAGAATATGAGGAAAGCAGTTGACCAGAAAAAATAAATATTTACTAAGCACCTGCAAATGTCAGACAGCGAAATATAGTACTTCAGTATAATGTCCATTTTGGTCTCAGTTTTCCAACTCACTCTACCTACTTTTGCCTCCTCCATATGTCAAAATTATAAACCCTTATCATGGCACACATAGTTTTCAATTAATGTTTATTTCTCATCCTTAACCCAGAAAACTCAGAGTTGAATATCTGTGTACTGTTTTTCCTCTTCATCATTTTCCACCTTTCCCCCCACCCCCGATTATATAAGTGCAGCATGAGGCATTAAGATTTAGGAATTTATGGATACGACATTATATTTGTAATAGTTCTGACCTCTGGGCCTTAGGTTTGTTGTTGATGTTGTTGGTGCTGTTGTAAATCAGTATAGTTAGTTAGGTGTTTGGATCATCTTTTAGGAAAACTTCCAGGAAAGATGCCTTCAGGATCTGGGTTGTTACTTCTGGGACCAGCACTGGCAGCTTCTGCTTCTGAATAGGAATGGAAAAGAGAACAGGTGATCAATGTGGAGGCCAGGGACAAGTCAGTGAACATAAATAACAAAGGAGGAAAGAAGAAGGAATGTAAACTGTCAAGGGGGCATTATTTCTTTTTTTTTTTTTTTTGGTCCCCTTTCTCTTTTTTGTTAAAGAAAAGAAAAAATCTTTCTGGCAGCTTTGTAGCACCATCTCAATCTCTTTGCATCTGCTGTTATGCTCACTCAGATTCAGGAAAGTCACATGTATCATTTTTCAAAAGGCACAGAAAAGAAAATATTGCAAACTGACAACCCTTTTAGGAAATCCACTTCGGACTTGGAATTTAAGACGAAGTGAAGTAGAGACTTACACAATCCTCCAGTGGATTTTGATTTGAATACTAAATCTCTTCAACACTGCGTTTTCTCTGTAGTTACTTTGGATTTTGATTTGAATCCTAAGGCTCTTCAATACTGCACTGCATTTTCTCTGTATAAAGCATGTGTGCACGCACACACACACACACACACACACACAGAGGAGGAATGGCTCCAAGATCTCTTTATTTAACACTTTGCACCACTGCAGAGAATATTCAGGCAGAGAATACCGGGAAATAACGTGAGTTTCATCTTCATCTCCATCTCTATCTAGTGGTTCCTGCTGTGGACATCTTTATCTGATGGGAAGAACAGTCCAGCACCCTGGAAGAAAGAGAGTTAGGATCTTCACAGCAGAAACCACTGTATGGAAATTAAAATGGAAGTGGAATTCACATCATTTCCTAATTAATACTGGAAGCCTGATTTTTCTAGAGAAGGGCATCCGTTCTCCATTTTACTCTCCATGTGTAAACATTTGACATTTAAAACAATTGAGGAGGAAAGATCTAATTTTGAAATTTTCTCATGAAAATCTACCTTTTCTTCTTGCCTTTCCTAAAAAGAAAGTAACTAAAGGAGCTATGATAATAGAGGTTAGAAAAGCTAAAAATCCTTTGTATATTATAGTATTTCTACATCCTTGTTAAAATTTGGTTTCAGTAAATGAAAACATGGCCATTCTATCCTATTGAGTTGTCTTGTCTTGAAGAATGAGCAGGTGACCCTCCGAGGCATGCAAAATGGGAACATATTCTACTACGATAGGAAAAAGAAAACAATGTGGACGCAGGTATCTCATGGGCCCCCCAGGAAGTAACCTGTGGCACAAAGAATCAATTTTCTCTATTTCTGTTTCTGGGGCCTTATATACTCTCTTCTCTGCTTCATTTTGTTCATTGTTTTTTTTTTTTTTTTAATCTCCTCAAAAGAGCCTTCGCTTCTCTCAAATGCTGATTAGAGCCTTTGCGAGCTAATTTTAAATTCTCATAAATGAAATTCTGATGGTTCCAGCTGGAACCAGATTTCTACTCTTGGTCCCCACAGCTGTGGCTATGGGGAGATAGGGCCACATGACCTGATGTCCCTTCAGTCGGGAGGCAGATGGTCAGATGAAGAACTTTGGGCAGATTTTTTTCTAAAGGTAACATAGAGTACGAAAAAATATAATTGATGGAGGAAATAACTGATATTTCTGGTGCATATCGCCTTTTCTCTTTCCAGCTACATGTTTCATTACCATCTTATTGCTGAGTAATAAACAACTCCAAAACACAAAGCATAAAACCACAAGTGTTTACTTTTCATGTGCCCATGGGTCAGCCAGGGCAGTTTTGCTGTTCTGGGCCAGGCTTGGCCGATCTTGCCTGGGCTCATTCATGAAGCCGCTGCAAGTTGGCCAGCTGACTGGGGGCTTGCGGGTCTAGGATACCCTCACAGTAGATCCACTCATTTTCTACTCATGTGGCCCCTCATTCTCCAGCAGACTACCTGAGTTTATACTCATGGCAGAAGGAGTCTTAGGGAAAGACGGACAGAGAGAGAGAGAGAGAGAGAGAGTAAAACGAAGCACAGCTTCTTGAGGCCTAGTTTCAGAATTGGCGTGATAATGTTTAAGAGCATTTCATTGGCCAAAGCATATCTCCAGGCCGGCTCTAATTCGAGCATTTCACTGGCCAAAGCATATCTCCAGGCCGGCTCTAATTCAAGCATTTCATTGGTCAAAGTGTATCATCTCCAGGCCAGCTCTAATTCCAGGTTGGAGAAATAGATTCCACTTCTTCCTGGGAGGGGCTGCAAAGTGACATCTCCAAGGGTGTTGTGGCTAGAGGGAGGTCATTAACTTGTGTCACCAATGCAATAATCTATACCACTTGCATCTTTATTTACCTCATCCACTTATCATTAAACCCCAAGCTATTCTCTCTTTTTAAGTTTTCTCTTCTTTCACAGTGGCCATGTCTTCTTGGATTCTCTTCAGGAAGCTAAAAGTTTTCCAGTTATTTTTCTTTTTTATAATCTTTTTAAGATATGTACACCTGTTAATATCTTCAGGATGATGTTTCCTTTTTTATAATCTTTTTAAGATACGTACACCGGCTAATATCTTCAGGATGATGTTTCTTTTATTTTATCCCACAATATTTACACTTTGTCTTTATTACTTCTTTATAGTTTTTTTTGTTCATTTATAATATTGGTTAAGAGTATTTATTTATTTATTTTGAGACAGAGTCTGTCACTGTTGCCCAGGCTGGAGTACAGTGACGCAATCTCGGCTCACTGCAACCTCTGCCTCCCAGGTTCAAGCAATTCTCCTGACTCGACCTCCTGAGTAGCCAGGATTACAGGCGCCCGCCACCACGCCCAGCTAATTTTTTGTACTTTTAGTAGAGACGGGGGTTTCACCATGTTGGCCAGGCTGGTCTCGAACTCCTGACCTCGTGATTCGCCCACCTTGGCCCCCCAAAGTGCGGGGATTACAGCCGTGAGCCACTGCTCTCAGCCAAGAGTAGAGTTTAATTAGAATTATACTGCCTGTGTTCAAATCATACCTTCATCACTTACTACCTGTGTCACTTTCAGCAAATTACTTTGACTTAAATTCTCTTTGTCTCAGTCTCCTCATCAGTAAGATGGGAATAAGCATAACCACCTCATCATGTTTTATGAAGGTAAAACAATTAACTATATGCACCAAAAATAGTACCTGTCACATAGTAATTTTCAGTAACTATTATTATGATTATTGTCATTATTATTATATCAATCTTTAAATGAACAATAATATTTCCAGACTCAATGTTTTCATTGAGCAGATTGGCCTTTGGCTTGCCATTTTTTTTTTTACTGAGCAAACTTTTCAGATAGATCTGCAGCTGAAGAACTAGATCAGGGGTCCCAAACCCCAGGGCCACAGACTGGTACCAGTCTGTTTTGGGAACCAGGCTGGACAGCAGGAGGTGAGTGGTGGGTGAGCGAGCGAAGCTTAATCTGTATTTACAGCCCTCCCTATCGGTCACATTACTGCCTGAGCTCTGCCTCCTGTCAGATCAGCAGCCACATTAGATTCTCACAGGAGCACAAACCCCACTGTGAACTGCGCAGGTGAGGGATCTAGGTTGTGCGTTCCTCATGAGACTCTAACGCCTGATGATCTGTCACTGTCTCCCATCACCCATAGATGGGACCGTCTAGTTGTAGGAAAAGATTCTACATTATGGTGAGTTGTATAATTATTTCATTCTGTAGTACAATGTAACAATTATAGAAGTAAAAAGTGCATAATAAATGTAATGCACTGGAATCATCACGAAACCATCCCCCATCCCTGGTTCGTGCAGAAATTGTCTCCCATGAAATTGGTCCCTGGTGCCAAAAAGGCTGGGGACTGCCGAGCTGGATACTGTGCAGAGGTCCCAGCATCTTTTTATGATCAATTCCCATTCACCTTGGGCTGTGTCTTCTTGGGAGTTTTGTTATTGGGTCTACACAGTCAAGGCTACAGCATTTCACCTCGACTGCAGGTCTCTCTTGCCCTAGTTCTCTCTTATGCAGATTGCTTTGGGACTTTCAGATACTAGAACATACAGGATGAAGGCATCAAAGAGGGGAAAGGGGGAAGAGCATCACCTACAGAGATCCTTGATCAGAAGCAGGTCCTGCTTCTCTGCTAGGGGAATGTGGATCAGGTTTGGTGGCCTTCTATCATCTCTCATTCTGTCAAGGTTGTTCTATGTCACAGGATGGCATGCACACAGGGCACCAATTGGTTAATACACTCAGCCCTGTCTGACTTCCAATTATTGAAAATTCCTTCCAGATTCAGGCCTTGGGTTGTCTGTCAATCTTAGTATATGGGGTCATAAATTTACATCTTTTCTGCCCTTACATAGTTCTTTTAGTGAGAGTTCGGGAGAGGCTTTGTCCAAGGCTTCCAGACAGAGGCCATTTTTAAACCAGAAACTTTGTTCACCTAATTGTCAAGTTTATTTGGCTCTTGTTTTTATTCAACCTAAAAATGTGGATGTGAACATTATCCAGGAATAACTCCTTCTTAAGTAAATATAGTATGTTATTGAATAAGAAGCACATAGAATTTTAAACTAAGAATTCTAAGGTTTCCAGAAAACAGGTTACCCTCTCATGGAGTTTTCTTTTAGGGGTAAGTGACTTGTGACCCCCTCTAATGAAAACAAACTCTAAGATGTCAATGGTGATAGTTGGGTATTATTTTTGTTTAAGAATTTTTGTTTAAGAATTTTAAATATCGTAGGTATAAGACTCTTGTAGCACAAGTAATATTAAATATTTGCACGTCTCTGAATTATGGTTTTTTCCCCCTTTTTATCAGGGGGAGTTGGGGGTTGATTCAAACAAGAGGTGACAAAATATATCTTCCTGTCTGAAAAGAAAAATTCTAAAATGGTTATTTTTAATTTTTGCAGTTTTTAGTTTCTAAATCCGTCACTAATATGGGAATCATTTTTGTGTGTGGCTGGCTGTTATTTATGAAAAAGTTGTATTTTATGAAATGTTCTTTGACAAGTTTCTTTGGAATACTGTTTATGCTGACTCTGTACTTATTAAACTACACAGGAAGAGGTAACTTTATAGAAGGAAATACATCTGCAAAAAATGTTCATAAGTTGCTTAACCCTTAAAGAAATTAGAGCCAAAGTTAATTCTAATGTTTGCATTTAAATGAATAATAAAGTATAAATTCTTGCCTATTAAGAAATATATTTGGTGGTCCTGGCTACCAGTATTTCCTTGTTGCAAACTGATAAACCTGAAAAAAATAGATTTATTGAGGGATATATATTTGTTAATTCTGACTCTTAGAAACACGCTAATTTTCATGTAGACAAACAAATGCTGATGGAATGATAAGTCCAACCAAATTCAGAGAGTTTTTTAGTCATATTTATAAAACCAACTACATATAAAATTGACTAAAAACAATACCATCACCACCAATGAAACCATGACCACCATCAGTGAAAAGTAACCTGATGGTAAAATAAATTTTAACTTTTTTGTGACTTGGTTCAACATTATAAAAACTCCCTGACATAAAGCAGCTTAATAGAACTCCATCTCTGAAACAGAATTGGACAGGATCTAACAAACAGTTTTTCTGAAACAGAATTGGACAGGATCTAACAAACAGTTTTATTTTTTTAAAGGATATAATTGTGTACATTTACTGGTAGTGAAAATGATTAAAATAGTTTTGGAGTTCGGAAAACTCCACTTACTTATTTTATTCATCCCATGAATATTTTCTAGGTGAGAACTTTTTCTAGGTGAGAACTATGCTCACTAGACTGTATTCTAGGAGCATCTTCAGTCAGGTCTCTATTACATGGGGTAAATTTGCTAATATTATTTCTCACTTCTACAGAAAAATTGTTAATCCATCTTTATGTACATCTAAAGTTTCTCTTCTCAAATAGAATTCGTTGTCTCTCTCTTTTATAATAATTATATTTAAAGTTTGTCTCTTATATGAAACTTCACTCTCATTAATTACCTTTACTACATTGCTACTTTAATTATTATTGCTTAGTGTTATCACATTTTCCAAGAATTATCCCAATTTCCATGAAATACAGCACAGCTTTGAAAGTTTACTTTAGATTATATTCTGCCATGGAAAATTTTTTTGACAGTATTCATATTTTCTGGAAAAAATGCATTTACATAGTTTGGAAACCATATGTGTATTTCTGGGAACAATAAGGGAGATATCTGAGATTGGAATGTGTTGGGAAATCTATACCATGTACTCACGTAATTATGGGGTTTGGTCAAACAGACCAAAGAAACCGACTGGCCAAAAAGCTTTTAAACCTTCGTATTATTTGTGTTGGTTACTGTTTGGAATCTGGTGAGAGAGGCTACAACTCCCGGAAGAACTAATTTTCAATGTGGATTTTATCTTAGAACAAAAAGTAAATTTTTATGGGTAATTTTTGAGCTGTAGAAATGTTTCAAACTCTTGCACTTCCTATTTTTACTCATCTAATCAAATAGTTTTTGGGTACTTACCATGTTCTATGTAATTTGCTGGGTACTGGAGATTTGATGATGGAGAAAACAGATACCCCTTCCCTAAAGAAGGCACTAATTTACCATGTGTCATTAAGATTCTTTGGTCTTGAATTTCTTTATAGAAAAAAAATGGAGGAAAAAAAATCTCTGAATTCCATACTTATCATGAAATTATGTCTAAGAGTAGGTAGTTTTAGAATAATTTATTGGAAGTGAGAAAGACAAATTGTAGAAGGCAATGTTTGGAACTTAACGCTTTACATCAGAAATAACTGATTTACATCAGAAATAACACGTGTTAAAAAGTATGTGTAATTCTAACAGACTTAAAATAGTACCATAAATCTAAAAATAAAAACCCACAACACATAAATAATATATCAGGAATTCAATAAAACAGAAAAATGCTACATCAAATATCACTTGGATAATAGACAAGATCAACCATAGATTGTTTCTGAGTCTCTTTTTTTCTAGAAATAGCAATCCCTCTCCATTCTGTTGGCATTTGTAAGGATGATCTGAAACCAAACAGACTGATAAAAGTTTGTGGCTAGCTTTCTCCGCTCTTCCTCTTCACCCCTCATTTGATTTTTTAATTCTATCCCAAACGAACATGTAATTTTTCAAATATATTATTTTAATCATTGTTATTTAAATGGTCATTTTGAAACTAACAAACATTTCTTAAACAATTTTAATGCCTTTCTTACCTCTGTTCATATTCTTATCTAAACTCCAGAAACCATTAGCTATATGATAGAAAATTTGAACACCATCTGTACGGAGAAAATGATTCCGAGGTCTCAGCTCAACCAAATGCTGCCCACATATAGAATTTCTGACTAGCATTTTAATCAATAGATAAGTATATTAACATATATGATCAGGTGCATATACATTTCATTACAAAATAAGAAATGCAACTTAACCTGACTGATACGTAATATTTTTACATATACACATGCATACACACACACACAGCAAAAACTTGCTGTGGTTCCTTTTTTGGGGATTTGGGGCCTGTCACTTATATTGCTATGACTACATCTTTAAATCAAGGTGGGGTGGCATTTTGGTGGTCAATGGCTGTGTGAAACTAAGCTTCTATACATTAACAAATTGAGGCAATATATAATAAAATAACACAATAGAACAATGATTTTGTCCCATTTTTCTCAAAAAATAAAATGGTCTCATTTGGAAAGGATGAAGAAGAAAATGTAATTTAAAATTACCTGGATCATGATATTCTACATGCATTGTGCTACAGAAAAGCAATACTAGTTAGATGAATTAACATGATTTTCTTTGAGTGTCTCACTTTTTTCATTTGTGTTTGTGGGATTTGGATGGCTCTCCCTGATATAAATTAGCTTTTTGTCTCCACGCCTCTAGGACATTTCACTTTCTTTACAACCAAACTTGAAGCAAGTAGGATAAAGTATATGTCATAAAATATGCAATGACTTAACTGATTAGTGAGGTGATCTTTCCTAGTCCTGTGCCAATATATATTCAGAATAATAAATCCTATGTAACATCATGCATCACCAGCTTTATTTTGGTTTTCTTTGTTAAAACCAAGCATTTATACAGTAGAAAGATGGTTGAGAGAGTGTTTTTCTGTTACCATATTTTATCAGCAACCTTTTAATCTCTATTAGAGTTGATAATATGGGATTCATATTTAACTGGAATATATAGATTATCAATTCATCTACGTTGCCCAGACTGGTCTCAAACTCCTGGCTTCAAGCAATCCATCTGCCTCAACCTCCCAAAATGCTGAGATTAGGGGCATGAACCACCACACCTGGCCAAAGTTAATGATTTTAATCTTCTGTCAAGCACAAATCGAAGTTGTTACTTATACAAATCAAAGTTGTTACTTATAAGCCAAATTGGCCAATTTAAATCAATCTTTCCTTTCTTTCTTCTTTCTTTCTCTCTCTCTTTCTTTTTCCCATTTTCTACTCCCTAGAATAAAAATAATCATGGATTAGGCAAAAGCTCAAGAAGAAAGATAAGGGCTTGGATGTGATGTTTAGGAAACTATATTTTAAGATCTTTCAATTAGTTTAAAATTGATTATCTTTCTACTTTTCTACTGAATACTAAATTTCTCATAAACACAAGACCTCTTAAAATATAAACAACAAAATCAAAGATAAAAATCCATACGGTTTAGCTCTAATTTTCTAAAAATTAATTTTTATTATTTTTCATCTTACAAATATGTGCTATACTAGATGCTTTAAATTTTAATATAATTTCATAATTTCCCATATACTCTGTTCCAAATAGTTTCAATGTATAGGTCTGTGTAGCTAATTGCCTTTCTTGATTCCCTGTAAGATTTTCAAACAGTGTTTACAATTAATCATTTTATTTTTGTTACTTGTTTGTTCCACTTTTTTGCTTTTAATGTCCCTTCCTTAGATGTCTCAGCCAAGAAGTGTATCACATTGACACCAACTTAACTCATGACTGCAGGCTGGCTTTCCAATCCATTAGTGCCCTCCACAAGTCAAGTGTTGGACCACAGGAAATGAAGAAGTAGAGCTTTGGTTTACATATGTTGACGTGAACAACTCAGTTGCACCCGTTATGAGAGTAACTGCTCAGCTTATGATGAGTGAATAGGTCATCCAGCAAGAAACAGAAAACACAGAAATGGACCTTCTTTGGGAGCAGGGTAGCAAGGTGCTGACAGCTTAATGAATGACTTGTCTGTTATGACAGTAGGACACCTAGCAATGCCAAGAGCAAATATTTGAAAGAATATGCAATGCAGGAAATGTATGTATGTTCTATGTATAGGACACTTAGATTGCCTGTATCACTAACAGATGGGCAGCATTTGAGAAATCTTATTTTATAATGTGCAACATCACTCCTGTCAGATACACTTTGAGATCTGGGGATTAATGGAGCATGGCACTCAGAGTAAAATGGGAATTCCATGGTATGTACTGAGGGATTGGGGGTTTTAGGGATAGATGAGCTCAACAGAGAATATTGTCCATATTTTTTACAGGTATAACTCCGATTTCATTTATAATTTAATAATAAACAGCTGCAGACGCCATGTCAGATGAAATACGTAAGTAGATAATTTTGTGATGTGTCTTTGGATAATATTAAATAGTGAAACCATGGCTAAAGGAGCCAAGTGATTAGATGGATGAGGAGTTTACTTTTTCTTTCTAAACCGAGAAATCTATGAACATCAATTTTGAAGGGCAATAAAATGAGTTAGCTTGCAAAAAATGATATTATTTATAAATGGACTAACTTTGGAGCTAAGACTCAGATAATTATAATTAAATCAATCAACTGAGACAGGTGACTGAGAGATGGTTCTTTTAATTTATTTATATTTATTTTTTTTTAATTTATTTATATTTATTTATTTTTTGAGATGGAATCTCACTTTGTTGCCCAGGCTGGAATGCAGTGGCACAATCTCGGCTTACTGCAACATCCGCCTCCTGGGTTCAAGTGATTCTCCTGTCTCAGCCTCCCCAGTAGCTGGGACTACAGGCACGTGCCACTTAATTTTTTGTATTTTTAGTAGAGGCAGGGCTTCACTGTGTTTGCCAGGATGGTCTCGATCTCCTGACCTCGTAATCTGCCCTCCTTGGCCTCCCAAAGTGCTGGGATTACAGGAGTGAGCCACTGCGCCTGGCGGAGAGATGCTTCCTGAATAGATTCTGACACTCTTATTCACTCTGGTATGGTCTCTTGCAAATACATTTGTTAACCATAGTAAATAAGCATGGAGACAAACTTAGGCCCACCATCTATTAGACATTAATGGCCAATTTGGAGTCTCGTGGTTAACAAACATATGTACTGTAGACTAGATTCTGAGATATTTCTTATTAATTACAGAGGTCAAGAAGAGGATGGGTAACCGGTAAATACTTGAACCCTCCAGTTATTCATTGAAATTTCATGAGTGCCAACTCATTAGCCAGATCCTATCATAGACAAGCCTCTCTCTCTCCTCATCACTGTGTTCATCCCCACTCATCATTCATTAGTTTTTACTGGCAAATGGCTCAGTACCAGGTGCTTTGCTGCATGTGCTAGTGAATAGCATATTGCCTTTAGAAATGCTCTGTGTCAAAATTCTAAAAGAAAAAATATATGGATTACTGTTCTTAGCTTTCCATTCATTCTCTAGCAACTCTGTTAACATCATGGGCTTCTCAGAGCATGGCTGAGGAGGCATTTCTTCCAGCCACACAACAATTCCACAGAAATAAAGAAGGGCCCAAGCTAGTAAGATCTCACATGAAACTGGTAAAGTATGGGTTTGCCACAGCTGTTGTTAGGTCACTTTCTCTGTGCAGTCAAGTCTCAACATCTGGTGCAAACTACTTGGCTGAGGCAACAGAATGGTATCTGGCTTTCAAATCATCAAGGCACAATCACTTGGCCTCACGAAGTGATCTAATTAGATAAGAGATCTCAACACTATTGAAACATGGTTACTATGATGTTTGCAATATAATAGGTCTCTACAGTTCAGGCTAACCTTTTAAAGATAAAAGGTTTATCTTTTAGTCGTTTTTTCAATATATGCCTTAAGTAAACTGTCACAAAATTGACCACATAAATAAGCATAAAATAAATTTTATGTAAAAAAATGTGGTTCTTCCTTTCTCACTGTGAGCCTTAACTCTCTGCAAGAAATAGCTCTGCCACAGCATTATCTCAGAGCCCCGCAATGGAGCCCTCCCTGACTCTTCACGTTATCCCTGTGGGTTTACCTGGTCAGTCACTGGGTATTGTCAATTATTTATGAATATTGCTCTCATTTCTGTTCTCTCTGGTTTCATTCCAGGTCAGGTCTTCATAATCAGGGGCTTAATCAACATTATATATGGTATATTTATTTAAACATTCTTGAAGACTCTTGTTAGAGAACATCATGGTATAAGTGAGTCTCTTGTTTGTTTGTTTGCAATTCAGCTGAATGAAGACTTAAGCCATATGTCTATATAGATAAACACTATGGCAAGTGAGAGTCTGAGATGATAGGGCTCTCCCATGGTGAAAGGGTTTGTTGGCTCTCAAAAGATGGCAGCAGCATAGAGCTGGAAATAGAGGTGTAATGTTAGAGACAGTGGTTCTCCCACAGTGTCCCCTGTAATAATAGTTGTAAATTATTCTCTTCTTTTTGCCTCCCTTGGGTTGAGCCTGAACAAAAAAATTATAAATATGTGAACACAGTCAAATGACAGGCAATATATTTTGCAAACTTATGGGAGGGAAAGAGCTAATTGTCTTAATTTAAAAAACTCACTCATACAAGTCACTGAAATAAAACAAAATCATCCAGTAGAAATATGGCCAAGGCACAGGAACAGATAGCTCCCATGGATTTAAAGATAAATTGAACTCAAAGAGGAAAGTGTCCCAAATCAAAATTAAAACTATACATTTTTATTTTCTTATAAATTAGTAAGGATCAGAAAGTGTAGTGTTTGTTAGAAGGTGCAGAACTATATGCAGAACTATACTCACATGTTGCAGGGAATATAAACTTTTATGAAGTACAATTTGTCAAAAGCTATAAAAATTTAAATAGACATATTTTGGTAAAGAATTCCACTTGGCTATTGACACTAGATGTGCATGGAAACATATGTACGAGAATGTATATATATTATTGCTTATGAGTTTAAAAGACTAAGAAACAACCTGAACATCCAGCAATAGGGGATTTATAAATAAATGGTAACTCCATTGAATGAAATAGTATGCAGTTTCAGCTGTCAAAAAGAAGGAGGCTCTGTACATACCAAGACAAACTGACTGACTTCCACGATAAGGTGAAAAATGCAAAATACTGAATAGTGTGTATAAAATTCAAGTTGTGTTAAAAAGGAAATGAAATGTATTACCAATTTTAGCATATGCCCGTATTATCCATGGATGTTTACACAAAAACTTGGTAATAGTGTGACTGCATCTTGGGTGCAGAAGCAAGGGGCTAGAAGTCATTGGCAGAAAGAAAATATAATTTTCACTGAATACTTATTTGTTGCCTTTAAAATGTTCACGTTTGCATGTATTTATGTAACCTTTCAAAAAATTGAAATAGACATGTACAATGCATGTATATTTTATATATTAATATAGTGCATATTTATTATAAATTATATATGATAATATACAATTAATAAAATGCATGTAAAATAAAAAACTCTCAGCCTTTTCCATGGTGTCACTTGGAGGTATCACAAAGTGTCTGAGTCATGCTGGGAATAACGTGATAAAGGGAGGAGAATCAGAAGCATGTGGAAATACCTTTCAGCTACAGTAGCTCTTGAGAGAACAGAACTCAATCGGCAGGACAAAGACCAGAAATTCACAGTCCCATGGTGGTAGAGATGGCAAGCAGTAACCTGATAAGCTTACACATGTGGTGGCTTCATTTAAGCCTTCTCAGAAACCGTAGTTGGAGAAAAACTTTCGTGAAAGTCTTTTCATGTTTTGCAGTTAAGCTAGATGAAGACTGAAATCATTGTTTACAATTAATGCTTGTATGCCCCATTTTGTAAACATCGCTGGAAATAAGTACTCTCCTAAAAGCAGGAGGTGCGGGCATGCTAAAATGAGGCTGGCTCAACAGAGGCCAACCAAGAATTTGGAGGGAACGGGGCTGTTGTCTTCCAGATAACAAGTCACATGTTGTTGTCATCCAGTTTATCTAATTGTATAGTGCCCTCTGAGTTTATGCCCCCTTATGTATGTTAAATTCTGTCTAACGATGCAGTCATATTGTTTTTCAAAATTCAAAATATCTTTATGTTTCTGTAAGGGTCTGTGCTTGACACATGTCCCTGCCTGTTGAAATGACCATTTTAAAATTCCCTTTTCTACAGTGCTCAGTATTAAGAAAAATGTGGAGAAACTGTACTGGCATACAATTTATCTATTTACAATTCACCTAAAGTTTAGGAAGAAAGGAATCTGATCAAAAGGAGTTACCATGAGATCTTGATGACCAATAACTGGGCAATTTCCTATTCTCTCAAATCTGGTTGGTTGGAAATTTATATCTGAGAGCAAATTAGTCTCTGATTGATGATAGAAACTTAAGTTATAGGAAATGATGTATCTTTTTGGTAAGAGGGGAATTGCTGCACTTGCTGTATTCTGCCAGTTGCCTCTAAAAATCATGGTGGTAAGAGACAGACGTTTTGATTCTCACTTGTTTGTTTGTTTTTATTTTTTGCTATTGATTTTGATTTCTGCCTTCCCTTCTTCCCTCCAGCTCTTTTCCTATTAAGAAAAAGGATTTAACCACAGATCTATTTCTCCTATTCTGTTTGTTAGTTTTCTACTTTGACCCAGTGATCATTATCATCTTGCTTCATTATAAAAAGGGAACAAAGAGAACTTTGAAAAAAGAAGGGCCAACCTCCCATAAATACCACTGTTTTTCAGGAAGGCTGCGTACACTGGATGGCTAGCAGGAGTCAATTGAGCAAGTTTCTCTGTAATGAGAATACAGATGTCTAACTATCCCAACTACTCAGGAGGCCGAGGCAGGAGAGTTGCATGAACCCGGGAGGCGGAGGTTGCAGTGAGCGGAGATTGCACCACTGCACTCCAGACTAGACAACAGAGTGAGACTCCGTCTCAAAAAAAAAAAAACAAAAAAACAAAAAAAAACTTCGTGTAACATGTTAGGACGCACTTTCCTGACCTTAGACTTAAAAGTATCATTGCAGAAAGCAAACCTTTTCCCTCTCTTTTCAGAATTCTGCTCCAATTCCTAGTCTCAAAATTAGTTTATACCAAATGCAGATAACAATTAGAATCTCCGCAGCATCTGGGGATTCAGCCGAACAACTTTCATGGCTACTGCTTTGAGTCATAAGCCTGACACACTCTGCTTTTGATTATTTCTGCTCTCCTTTAGTTGTTTACTTTTTCTCATGTGCATAATCCCTTTCAGCAGGCTCCATCTCTACCCCACTCACCCTGGCTGCCGCACCTTCTAACCATTACACTGCACCCTTGGAAACCTCATTCCATCATCTACAATTGCCCTGCATCTTCAAAATTCTAGAGAAAGAGTGCCCTACTTTTTACATTTCCCATTTATTTATTTATTTCCATAGAGAAAAGATCTCACTTTGTTGACCAGGCTCGTCTTGTACTCCTAGCCCCAAGTGATCCTCTTGCTTTGGCCTCCCCAAGTGCTGGGATTACAGGCACGAGCCACCATGCACAGTTTCCATTCCTTAACTTACATAATAGTAGCAACATCACTTCTCTTTTATTGTCCTTTTATGTGAAGGCTACTCATTCTTTCAGGCCTCACATGCCACGGGACTGAGAAGCACTGTGGCAAATGTCCTAGCCCTCACTACCTTCTTTGGCCCATCTGTATTTCTGCAATTGCATTTCCCTCCCGTCCTCCACACCAACTCCTCCAAACTTCCATCACCTTCTCTGAGAAAACTCCTCCCCTTTCTCTCACCAGGTATCTTGCCGTTTGCTCACTCACCTCTTCAGCTTCCTGCCCGACTACTCACCAGAATGCATTGCTCTGTGCCCCTCCTCCTCCCTCTTGGAAGAAGTCAGTTCCTTTCCGCAAAATTAGATTGATGATACATCCACCTTTGCTTTCCATCCCATTCCTTTCTGAATCGGAAAAAAACTCAGGAACTGGGTTTCTTTAGTAAAGTGTCTCATTCCTGCATGCTTTCTCTTCTTCCTTAGCCTTTTGGCCTCTTTTAGCTTAAAAACAAAAACAAAACACCAAAAAAATAAAAAATGAAACCAAACTCTTTCCCCCTACCTCTTTACACTTTCAGTCCCTGATTGAGCTAAAAAACCTACAACTGTCACGGGATTCCTGTGCTTCTTTATCCTAATCATTATTTATCCAGTTCTATAAACCAGTGCTTTTTAAATTTCAAAGTGCTTTTGATTTAGTTGGAGATTTTGCTGGAAAGCAGATCCTGATTTGCTTGGTCTGAGGTGTGGCCGAGTTTCTGCATTTCTAAGATGTTCTCAAGCACTGCGGCCACTACTACTCTACATATCACCCTTGAAGTGGGGATAAAAGAAAGATAGATGCCTCCAAAATACTTTGTAAGATTTTAAGAGCCATTTTCAAAAGAGTAACACACACATATTTTTCATAAGTTATATCCAATTACATTGAGAGAATGTTTTAATCCTAATACAGATAAAGCAATCACCATAATTTTACTGATCACTTACTAGGTGCTATGGTATTTCATTAATCTAGATGAACAAAGTGGGCTTTAAAGAGGTTAAACTGTGGGCCAAACTGACAAAAAAAATAAAAATGGTTTGCATAACTATTGTTATAGTAATAAGAATCCATATGTCTTAAAATATTTTAAATTTATACTCCAGTTCCCCTTTTATTTGTCACCTTACTTCCCTATTTCCCTTTAATAATGTAACTTGGCTTTAGAAATTAACTCTTGTTTTTAGAGAGGACAAACAATTTTCAGTTTCTCTAAAGAATAGTAATACAGTAAACAAAGCATTTAACTAGACAATATGCTAATAAATTAAAATATAATCACATTCTGAGGTCAGATTGATGAGGTTGGAATCATGGCTTTACCTCCTAACGTGTGATCAAATTACTTAACTTCTCTGTGCCTCAATTTTCTCATAAAATGTAAGGCAGCAATAAAACCTTCTCATAGGCTGTGATGAAATGAAGTTAAACCTCTAAAACACTTATAAAATTAACTAACACATGGCAAGTGATTAATGCATGTGTGTAGTTATTATTATTACTAAGGCATTTTTAAAATTCTGCTCCTGGGATGGTGTCTGTGATTACCCTACTGGGACAGAAAAGTAAGATTTAGCCAAATGATCCATCATCTGGGTTTGTTAGTTTTGTCTGCAGACTGAGTCTGAAGAAATCCCTTGGTACTTGAAATTCTACAGACCAATTTCTCCCCCATCTGTAATCCTCTCCAAGAAGATACAGCAGTTAATGAATTAGCTTGATCTATCTCCTAAGCTGTACTGTCATCAGCAAATTACCCCAAAGAATATTATAAATGGACGTTACAAATTAGAAATCATGTCCTTAAATTACTTCCTTCCTCCCTCTCTTCTCTTATTTCAAAACCTTGCAAATCTACTACCAATCAACTTTGCTCAGTTGGACAAAATGTAATGAGGCATTTCTTATTTAGAATTGCGTATGAAAAGCTATGTAGTAGGATTTGTAGATTTGTTTGCTAAGACTATCCAATGATTTCAACTGTAACGATTTTTTTTTTTAAAAAAACACCTGATCATCCTGCCATCAGAGGATTATTATAGGATTAGAATCACGGATACTTTGAATCTCTGAGATCCTTACTGATTTCACTTATGATTTGCCTGAGTTGATGTAATTGGCAGACTCACATTTCTTTTTCTACCTAACTGCTAAAGGGGATTCATATATGCACAAAATCATTTTTTATACTTACAAAGATATAAAGGTCATAGTGTCTATTAGCAAAGTTGGAAGGTAATTTCCTTATACTGACAGACATGAAACAAGTTTGCATTTTCTTTTGACAAATGGTAAATTTATAAAACTGGGGTTGCCCTTGAAGTTAATGAAATAAAAGACTTTATTTTTTTCCATTAGGTGAGCTTCAGAAAGTTGTGTCTTGCCTAATATCACAGAGGGGCAGTTAGGGCAGAAACAGTAGATCAATGTTTGTTTTATATGGTTACATTGCTTCTGAGTGAATGCCAACATTTAATTTGACTTCATTTTAGCTATCACTCACAATTTGGGATAACATCAACATAGCAAAGAAATACATAATTACCACTGTCATTTAATTTTGATGAAAATGTGGTTTGCATTATTGTTTTGTCAGGGTGCATTTTGTTTACAGCTTTCTTAGTTCACTTAGGGCTGCCTATACAAATGTCTGCACAAGAAATATTCACACACAGCTATTGCTGCCCTGCTACGGCTTCGGTTGGTTCAGATTCCAAATGTTTTCATCTATGTAAGTTTCCTTTGGATGAAACTGTGAAAAATGGAAGCTAAGTCTATTAAAGATGGAAGAACACATTCACAGGCCATTACTGTCTTCCAGAAGTCCCAGTATAATAATTTAAGGGAATAAAGGAGAAAAAAAACAAAACCCACAAGAATAAAGAGAATGGGTCAGTAGACAATAAAGATAGAATGTCAGGGCATAAACGTAAGATAGAGGAATGATAAATGACTTAGCAAGATAAAAAAAGCTGAATTTTGGTTTGCTACTGGGAAAAGCTATGAAGTAATCTCATGTTCATTGCAGAACTTCTCCTCAAATCTGAAATTGGAAACAAAAGAAATTCTGGAGAAGAGGATAAAGGAAATATTACCACAGGGGAATCGGTTGACTATTTGAAAAGGAAGAAATAGTTTGATAACCAGATCCTCTTGCTAGTATGCACAGCCTAGAGATTGTGGAGTCAGTATTTCAGCTGAATATTGGAGATGCATTCGCTGGAGAGAGTAAACCAAATGGCCTCTAGCCTAGGAAACAACAGTAAAAGCTAACAGTCAGCAATGAGAGCATCATGTGGAAAACAGACATTGATTACATGTTTGTGACGTGAATGTTTAGATTCCCAGATTTCTACTCTGCTTCCAGAATTCTGGCAACAGGTTCCCATCAGTCAGATTCAGCTACACAGCAAATGACCCAAAATGCAGTTGGTTAGAACAGTCATTGTATTTTACTCATGATTCTGTGGGTCAGCTGGGCAGTTCTTTCGAGAAAACATGTGGAATGTATGCAAGACAAATGTGGTGTTATTTTAAATTTTCAGAAAGCAAAGACATCTTGTGTGAATTAAAAATATGGTTACAAAGTGAAAACTTCAATAGACAACAAAATTGAAGAAAGCAACCAGAAAGTAGAAAATACAAGTGCTGAATAATAGAAGAATGAAGAAAATAAAATTATAGCAATAATCTATAGTTCCAGCTGCTAGACAGAGGGAATTTCAGAATGAAAAATAATGAAACAGAGAATGTTAGCATTTCAATTAAGACATAGACTGGGGCCAGTAAACCTTTTCTGTAAAGGACCGGATACTAAATATATTAGGGTTTATGAGACATATTTCATCTGTTGCATATTCTTTGTTTAGTGGTTTGCTTGCCTTTACAATCCTTTAAAAATGTAAAACTATTTTTAGATTACTGGCTATAAACAAATATGTTACAGACTAGATTTGGCCCTGATCGGGCAGTAATTTGACAACTGCTGGTGTAGAGAATTACACAAGCTTTTCTCCTGCCAAAATAATAACAACAACAACAATAATAATATAAATTACAGGCGTCTTCTATCTGTACATGCACAGAAATGTGAAGGAACTAAATATTACTGGAAGATCTCTTCCAGGATAAGCAAAGATCAAAAGCTGCTCACCCACGTGAGACCATTGTCCAAGATCTGGGTAAATACTGGTAGAATACTGGGCCTGACAAAGGCAAAGGATGTCTGCTAGATCAAGGAAAGAACAATAGATATTTCAACAGCCATGCAGACCGCCATGACCTGCTAGAACTTTGGAAGTCTTGAAATCAAAGCTACTTCTTTTTACCCACTGAATCTCTACCACGGAACTTTGGTGCATTATGGCGTATACGGAGAGCAAGCCTAGAGTTGGACTGAAAAGATGTAGAGATATTTCCATCTTATACTGTAAGAGCATGAGAAAAAGGTTTTAAAAAAAACAGTGGAAAGATGCTGCCTGACATTGACTGAGACGTTGCAATCTCAGCTAGACATTGCTAATACTAGCAAGGCATTAAATAACTAGCACAAGTATATTAAAGAAAATAGAGAAAAAATATATACAAAATGAAGGAAAGGATGGCTGGAAATGTCCAATAGAGAAAAGAAATTCATTTATTAAAAGGATCAAGTGAAAACTCCAGAACTGAAAAATGTAATCCTTAAACATTATAGAATAAACTTAACAGACAACATACAGCCACAGAAAGGACCAGTGAACTTAAAAATGGGTAAATAGAAAATGATCAAAGGTGAAAATAGGGAGAAAATCTATGTATTAAGAATAAAAAATAAACAAAAAACAAAAATACCAGTACCAAGTGGGAGAGACATATAGGATAATAATAAACAGTATAACACACATGTAATTGAAGATCCAAAGGAAACAAAAAGAAAAAGAAGAGAGAGCTATTTTTTAAGTGTTATTTTATTTGTATAAATGTATGGGATACAAGTATAATTCTGTTGCATGGATATATTGTATCTTGGTGAAGTCAGAGCTATTAGTGTGTCCATCACTGGTTAAATTGGCTTTGGTAAAGAATTTCCTAACACTCTTTAAACTCTTCATCTCAAAGATCCAAGAAGCTCAATGAATTCTGAATATAGTACAAAACAACATCTAGGCACATCATTGTGAAATGTCTGAAAAATACAATCTTAAAAGAAGGAGCAAAACAAGCACATTGCATTCAAGGAAAAAACCATAAAGTGGACTGTTTTGCTCTATAAAGGACACTATGAAAGCAAAAAGATAATGGAATAACATCTTTAAATTGCCAAAAGAATATAAAAAGCAAAAAACCCTGCAACTCTAGAAAAAAAAATTCCTCAAAAATGGTGATAAAATGAGGCTATCTTAAGACATTTCAAAATTGAAAGAGAAACAGTATGCCAGACATGATTCTACATTTTTTTAAGGGAAGCTATTCATTAGAGGTTCTAAATGTACAGTTTTAAAAGAATATTTGTTTTAAAAAACAGCTTTAAAAGAAGAAGAAATTCAAGGAATACTGAATCTAATATAGTGTGATAAAATAAGAACATCTTTAAAATAGGAAGTAGAAACAAATCTGAATGGTTGATTTAGAAGTAGCCACTTTTGTGACGTTCAATGCTTATTCTTGTGAAAAACTACATTTTACTCATTGTACTAAATCAACATGGTGAAACCCCATCTCTACTAAAAATACAAAAATTAGCCAGGCATGGTGGGCACCTGTAATCCCAGCTATTCGGGAGACTGAGGGAGGAGAATTGCTTGAACCCGGGAGGTGGAGGTTGCAGTGAGCCAAGATCATGCCACTGCACTCCAGCCTGGTGACAGAAAGTCCTCATTAGACTGTCAACCTCCTTGAACTCTCATTTTCCTATTTACATACTAAATGGAGACAAGTGAGCAAGTATTTTGACCATTTTGTATTCAAATTGACCTTATTCACATTTGGAATATCAAATTTGGAATAGGTACACTTGTATTCTAAGGTTAGAATTAGCCAGCTAATTGCCTCTTCATCATAACAAAGCAAGCCAAAATCCAGCCTCACTTGTGACATAGTGTTTCTTAGCAGTCCCAGTCCCTTTCCTACCCATCACTGGCTGCGTGGACTTCTTTAAGACACCTAAATCTTTTCCATTCTTTAAAATCTCTACTTGGACTCCTGACACGAAAGAGTGCCCAAAGGAAGACAATTGTATTTTTGAACTCCAGAGGTAGTTCAGGAGAACCATTGCTAGAGTCAGCTCTTATTCTACCCCAATGGTTTTTTCAGTATAGGAGACACTGGTTTGGTCTCCAGAAGATGGTAAACAATACTTGATCTTTCTCAGTTTACAGGAGTATTGTCAATTCACAACCACTCATAAAAGTTATACGTAACATCAGTTCTATGTAATGGGCTGTTCATCTCCAATGAGAGCTTGACTTACATGTACTTAGATGTACTGGCCTGGCTTTTGCTATGGTTTATATGAATTCTTAAGAGAAATCAAAGGACTGGAGGTCATTTCCTTCTTGTAGCTTATGAAAGAACAGTTGGTTTTGCAGGAGATAAACCCAACATCTCTATACCTCTACTCACTCCTCTTCACGTTCTCGTCAAACCCCAACCTCATGTGATGACACAGATATCATCTACCAAAGATGCCCACACCTGCTCTCCAGTAGAGAAAAACCGTGCTCTATCTGGGCAGTCCTCGGCTACAAGCTTGTCTTATCTTCACACACCACCATCCTGACCCTGTGAGACAAGGACTATCAACAGTGCTGGGCACTGGTAAAGCCAGCATTCCCCTCTTGACTGATAACAGGGAGATGCATGAATTGGTCTTTTCAGCCAATCTCATGGTGTCCAGCCAGAGCTTATCTTCAGTTTTAAGGAAGGAAAAGCTGAAGTTGGCTAAAAGCTTTTCTTTATTCTCTCTTGCCTTGATATTCTATAAGTCACCAGGGGAGCTAAATATTGCAAAATCCTGTCATGAAAGAGCAGGCTGATAAACTGAAAAATAAAAACAGATGTGGAGCAAAGAAGGCTTATGGACATTTGTTTCTTGCTTTGGACTGGCTCAAGTGCTGGGAATCTTTATTCCTACTCCCACTAAGAAAAATCTAATATTTCCTCTGCTTCTGACTATCACAATCTTTGGATAATTCACATCTTTGGATAATCACCTCTCCCACATTGAAGTCAAAATAAAGTGATGGGAAAATGCAAAATAAAAATAATAAGTGACATTTATTGCATGTGTATGTGCCAAACACTCTACAGGCAATATTTCATTTAAACAGGGAGAAAGCCTGCAGCTCATATTCTAAGGCCTGATGGCCTGGAGTCAAATCCTAGCTTTAGTGCTTACTAGCTGAGTGACCTTGAGCAAGTTACTCAACTCATTTTTGTCTCAGTTTCCTTACCTATGCAAGGAGAATAACAATACTTTTACCAGCCACTTAAGGTTCTTGAATGGATTAAAAAGTTAATATTTAAAAATTGCTAAAAACAGTGTCTGCCATATTGTAAACCCTCAATATGAATAGACTGTTAATCTTATTATATGCAATGAAATTGGTAGTGTTATCAATCCTCATATTTTATATGAAGAACTAAATCTCGGCGAGATTAGGTCACATGTGAATTATTATGCAGAATTGGAATCAAAGCCCTCATCTGTTGGATTCCACAGCCCAAATACTTAACCATGATGCCATACAGTAGAACTTTCAAGGCAAAGTCAAAATGGAGATGCCACCAACCTATGAACACCACTGTGATTTCTACATATGTTAGGCAAATATATAATTCAGCCCCTAGTCTTGATGTTTTACTTTCACAGATTTGAATATGAATTCTACAGATTTCCCCTCAGCTTTCTATTTGCTACATGAAGGCATGACTGCTATCAGCACCCTAGGATATGAGGAATCAAAATGATGTCATGGCCAGGTCTGGTGGCTCACAGCTGTAATCTCAGCACTTTGGGAAGTCGAGGTGGGTGGATCGCCTGAGGTCAGGAGTTCAAGACCAACCTGGCCAACATAGTGAAACCCCATCTCTACTAAAACTACAAAAGTTAGCCAGGTGTGGTGGCACACACCTGTAATCTCAGCTACTTGGGAGGCTGAGGCAGGAGAATTGTTGAACCCGGGGGAGCAGAGCTTGCATTGAGCTGAGATCCCGCCACTGCACTCCAGCCTGGGTGACAGAGCGAGACACCGTCTAAAAAAAAAAAAAAATGCCTCCAGTTTTGCAAAGGCACTGATATCTAAGTACCCTAAGAGTGGAGTGTTTATCTCATCACATGGAAGGACTAACTAGAAAAGGTGGATACTACATCATCATCACCCTGCTTCACCTGAGATTTATCATATCAAATTTTATTGGCTACAAGTTACAGAAGACCCAATTCATAATAATGGATTGATTATAAAGTGTTTATTATCTCACATGACAAGAATTTATAAGAACAGATGTTTCCAGGGTTCAGGTGATTTAGTAAGACAAGAATGTTATTTTCATCCTTTCCCCTCATCACATGTAGCTTATTTCCTCTTATCTCCAGCCTTGTCCTCATATGTGGCATGATGGCTATAAGATCAGCTTGATTTTTTTTTTTTATTTTGAAACAGGGCCTTGCTCTGTTTCTCAGACTGGAGTACAGTGATGTGATCATAGCTCACTCCAGCCCTGAATTCCTGGGCTCGAGCCATCCTCCTGCCTCAGCTTCCCAAGCAGCTGGGATTACAGAGGCATGCACAACCACACTCGGCTAATTTTTAAAATTTTTGTAGAGACAAGGGTCTCACTCTGTTGCCCAGGCTAGTCTTGAATCCTGAGTTCAAGCTATCCTCCTGCCTCAGTCTCCCAAAGTGCTGGGATTACAGGTGTGAGCCATTGCGCCCAGCCTCAGCTCGATTTTTAACTGAGCTCATGACCTCCCTTAAAACCAGCTTAGATGTGGGACTAGTTTCTTACCACTGCTATATGAAAGTGGAATATGCATCTTTCAGAAGGGCCCTTTCTTCCTACTTTCCTCCTTCCTGCTTTTTCTACCCTTGAGATATGGCAGAATGGAAATCAGGAGACAGCCCGCATTCATCACGTCAGGATCTACTATATCAACAATGAATTGCTTATTATTACATGAAAGAAAGTGACATTTTAATCTCATTTAAGCAACTGCTACCTGGATTCTCTGCTATTTGAATCTCAATCAGTATCCTACTGATAGTATCTCTGCTAGTTTCCCCAGTAATCCACAGTCAGTATTGCAATTAGAATAATGACTTAAGGCTGGGTGCGGTGGCGCACGCCTGTAATTCCAGCACTTTGGGAGGTTAAGGCGGACGCATCACAAGGTCAGGAGTTTGAGACCAGCCTGGCCAATATGGTGAAACCCCATCTCTACTAAAAATACAAAAAAAGTTAGCCAGGCATGGTGGCGCACACCTGTAATCCCAGCTACTCAGGAGGCTGAGGCAGGAGAATTGCTTGAACCTGGGAGGCAGAGGTTGCGGTGAGCCGAGACCACACCACTGCACTCCAGCCTGGGTGACAGAGGGAGACTCCGTCTCAAAAAAAAAAAAAAAATGACTTAAGTAGAAATCAATTAATTCCACTTACTGTCCAATGGCTACCACCATTTTGACTGCACTTAGAATCCATAATCTGTCCCCTGCCTACTTTCTATACATATCCTACCTACCCCTTGACTCTTACTGCATCTTGTCAATCCTGACCTTCTTTCTGTTCTCCAGGAAAGAAAGCAAAAGTGAAAGAAAAGGAAAGAAAAGAAAAGGGAAGAGGAGAGGAGAGGAAATAAAAGAAGAAATGGAAAGAAAAGAAATATCATCCCCACTCTAGGAGTTTATGCTTCCTGTTCTTTCCCTCCGTCCTGTTTTCCCAAAAAGCTTTATATCATCATCTTCCTAATTCAGAACTGACCTCAGCCACCATCTTCTCAATAAGATCTTTCTTATTTCTTGATCACCCTTTCTCAATCACCCCTCATCATTACTCATAACACTGCTTTATTGCCTCATGGCTCTTCACTGTACCTGAAAGTTTATTTTCTAGTTATTTGGTTATTGGTTATATTACATGTCTTCCACCATTAGAGTGTAAGCTCCAGGAAAACTAGGAGCTCATATACCTAGACATATCTGTCTTGTAAAAGCACAGCTCAAAGTAGTTTATATTTTGTCTAGCTCTTAGTTTAATTTTCTGGATTTATTTTCATGCCATTTCATAAGCATTCAGATTGCTGGAGGGTGCCTGTTAGCTGGAGTCTTATTACATAAATGATTTTGTGTTCCCCCTTTATATGTGATGAAGATTTCAAATAGACCACACTTAAGTTACTCTCGCAATAAAAAACTAAGAGAATTTTTAAATAAAACCATAAAGAAACTTAGAAGGATTGGGGGGGTAAGGAGATAATTGGGAGAATAAACATCCAAAATGATGTCTAATTTGGTTGAAAATAACCAGGATCTACTGCATGACGCTGGGAAAAGATTACTGAAGCTCTTGACTCCTGGCCTGATTTGCAGTCTGACCTTAGGACGCCTGTTAAAATTCTCTTAAGTTGGATGGACACTTCCTAATAAATGCATTGAGAATCTTTAGATACAACAATTTCAAGTCAAGCTTGGAAGGCTTTTCTGTATGTTTTTAGTTATCTTTAAAAATTAAAAACAGCTCTGCCTGCACTTGTCTTGTTTCAGCATGGAAACGTTCCCAGCAAGTGCTTGCATGAAACAAAATAATCATTTGGAACAGGACAATTGAAAAAATGAGCTGTGCCTTTTAGGTGCTTGATGACAATCCAATTGTACTGATTTTTTAAAATTAATTTTCTTATTAAACCAGTTTAAAAAATGTATTTTTTTAAATGTACTCTTTCCTTATTCATTTTGCATCTGTTTTTTCTTTTTTCTTTTTTTTTTTTTTCAGTCCACATACTATGGATTTGGCAAGATGGAGCTATAGTTTCTGTATTTGGACGATGAACAGATAAAGAGATGTTCCATATAGAATGCAATGTTTGTTTTTGGAAATTTTACATACTTGCATTCAGTCCCACAATTATATAGATGTTTTCTGCCAGCTTTCTAATGTTTCAAGCCTATTTTCACTCTATTATTTTTCTCTAAGCAGACTTAACCTTAGAAACTGAATAATGACATCCTTCCTAGAAGAAAAAAAAAGTTTCCTCAAATTACTTCAGAGGACTTCCGTTGATGTTTTATTTTCAATAAACCTTGAGGCAAATAGCCACTTTTGAACTTTGCACTTTGCCCTCTGAGTTTCACAACCTGGAGAAAGATCAATACCAGAGTCAAAAGTGTCAGCAAAAATGAAAATGATATGCACAAATTGTTATTTATACAAGTCCCCTGATTTTGTTTACTGAGTTTAATATAAACTATGCCTTTTGATTAAAAGCAAATGTTCAAGTTCTCTGTAGGGACCTGCTGTTCTAGATGATTATATCTTGTAAGGAAAACTGCAAAGGGCAAGAATTAACATAGAAAAGCAGATGGCTAGCAGGAATTCCTTTGGTATTAAATATACTAAATAGCAGAAGATAATGACTGAGCCATGTGGCTATGTGTGGCAGAAAAGAGGAGAGAATAATTACAGCAGACATAATGCTCTATTTCTTAAGGCCTTCTGACATACATATTATTCAAAACTGTTGGTATAGTATACCAAAATTAATACAAATTATCATCCTTTTGCATTAGCTACTTTAAGTCTTGAAATTCACCACAAAATAAGACAATCAAATATGCACACAAAGATGTTATCTTTAGTGCTATTGGCACTTTAGTTCTTAGAGAAATACTAAAATAAAAAGCCAAAAAAAAAGAAAAAATTAAATGATTTTTTTCATTTTTCATAGAATTTAATGAATCAGCTTAAAATATTTTATGGGATATTTCTTTAAATGAGAAAACTATCATTGTATACAGATACATGAGAAAACCAAGATACTAAAACTGCATACCCAAAGTGATTCATCATTTGTAAAATCTTTAAATTTTGTATAGATTAAAATATACAAATAAGCCTAGAAGAAAAGATACAAAATTAATGCGCTTTCTCTGGAGTTGGGCCTGTATTTCTTATTTTTCTTATTATACATTTTTATTTTTTAAATGTTTCCTCAAAGTGTAAGCATTATTTTTGTCATTAAGAGATAATTGTTAAAATGGGTGCTACGCTGTTGATATTTATTTCTAGGCACAAAAAGGAAATGCTATTGAACTTATTAAGATTCTACATCTTTTATAGAATCTGACGAGCCATATGGCAATGAATTCCCTACTCGTTTGCTCCCTTTTGGGGTTTCCCACTACTAAGATAGCAAACCTTAACTACTTAAAAGTATTAATGAACATCTATGATAGATTGTCGTTTTAAAAAAGATTTAGCTTAAATTTTTTTGAATGATACATAATATACATTTATTTTTGGCTTTAGATAGTGCTAGGAATTTTAGAAGTTTATAATTCTTGTCCTCAAGGAGTTTATAATCTTGCTGGGGAAAACAGACCTGCTGTATGAAGTATTTACAGAATAATTAATGGACAATTTGTGTGGTCCTAACCAATTGTGTGGTGAGGTTCCTGAGTTTATTCCTCTTCTCATATGAAGTTAATATGTAAGATAATGGCAGATATTTTGTGGAGTTAATTAAGAAGAACAAATATAGTTAAGCCACAGTCAGATTTATTAATGCTGTATTTAGTGTAGCTCAAATAATTTCTCTAAAATATGGGAAGTGAAATACGTGCATCTTCTGTTTAATTTTAGCTCTCAGGGAATACAAATAAAAACATCCTGATTTTATCATTCAACAAATGTTTAAGATATTTCAATGAAGATAAAATGTTAAATCAAATAAGGATTAAAGCTCAGATGAGAGCTCTTTCAAGCAACCTATTGTCAGTTTAGTGACTCCTATCCATCAGAGGAATGTTGTGACCCATTAGAAAGAGTGTCTGTCCTTTGTAAGTGAATCTTCTGTGTCATGCCCTCAGGGCTTATGGTGATATATTACCTTTGTATGAGTTCTAACTTAAAAACAAAATGGCACAAACAAACAAAAACACCAAATAATTTACAAATGGGGAGACAAAATTAAAATTAGTGGGGGAAAAAGGCTCAATATCTGTAAGTAATTAAATATCACATTTGTTCTTTGGAATTTAGCAGCCAAGAGATCATGTTTCACTCCATTAATTTGTTCTTTTACTGCTCACTGTAGGAAACAAAGAATGAAAACCAGTTTCCAGATTTCCATCTTAATTAATCCACAATATCCTGACCAGTAAACTAATCTTCCATTATCAAATTTCGACCAAAGATTGCGACTTTTCTGGTAAGGGTGCCAAGAAGAAATATTTCAAAATAAAACAATAAACAATAAAATGTAACTTGAACCTGGAATTGAAAAAACAACTATGGATTGACCAGCTGTGTAGAGTATAGCAAAGAGTAATTGCCTTGTAACAATTTTATAATAAGATATCATCCATGTTACTCTGCATAGGATTTCAAAGGAAATGATAGTACATATATTTAGCACCCGTTATAAATTAAATTGGTGCCTTAATCTTTGCTTAGTTGTCATATTTTACTCTGATTTTACATATATATATATATATATGGAGATATACACATGTATATATGGAGATTTTTACATATATATACTTTACATATATATATATATTTTACATACATATATGGAGATTTTACATATTATATATATATATATGTAGTGATTTGGCTGCCCAATATCTTAATAACAAGAAACCACAAAAAACTTAGTTTAATGCTTCTGTTTTCCTACGTATAAACAATGTGTGATTATAAACATGCACTGAAGGCAATAATACCCCTTTAACATGACCTTTAATTTACCTTTGCTTATACAGAAGTCATTTCCTATACCAAACAATAAGTCAGCTGCAATACTGAATGTACAGCTGAAAATTCATTTCATTTATTTTAAATGAAATGGGCAACTGAGTATTCCCCAGAGTGATATTAATGGGTCACTTAAACATTAGGTGGCTGGGCTGCCAAGAAAAAGTGTTTCGGCATGGCTTCTTTTGTGAATGCCTCATTTTTATAAACCATAATCTATTATTCCTTTCCTTCAAGAAACTGGACAAAAATGTCTATCATAGCTTAAAGAGATTTTCATATTTTATGTGCTTTGGTTTACCATTTGTCCAATGTCACCATGAGTCTTAGGGTAAGAGAACAAAACAGAGTGCCGGAAATAAACCTTATGCAAAGCAGTTCAAAGGAAGGGCCCTGTAGTGCATACTGCAGGGTACCAATGAGCACTTCATTTCCCAGTATTGCTTTGCCTCTTACTAGTAAAGAAAGTTGCTTATAAAATAAACCACACACACTGACGGAACTCACAATTGGAACATTTAAATGATTATTTGCTTCTCTTTCTACCAGCTTGTAAAACATTATTTTCTTATTCTTCCTTAAATGGCCTGCGCTAATTACATACTATGACCCTTGCCCTCCAAGTGCCTTCATTTATGGCAGTGCATTCCTTTTCAGGGCAACACATTGGCCTGGTTTATAGGATGCTGCTACCAGGCCTTCCCTCCTGACTTCTACTTCCCTAGGTCATAAGTCTAACTCACCACACACAACCTAGCAAAATAATCCATTTTTTCAGCAGAGGTAGGTAACTCAATTGCATCCTGAGAAATAAGGCAAAATAACATGACTGATTATATGTGACTAAAATAATGCAAAATAATATATCCCTCTTTGGAATATCAACCATATCAATATAGAAATACTTTGGTGATTTCTTTCCTAAAAGAGAGAAAATAAAAATAAAAATTCAACCTAGGAATTTATAATTGAATTACCATTGTGGAGCCACTTCTAGAGGGATTATAGAAATAAGATTTGAGTTGACTTCTTAAACAGTCTGCAGATTGGAAGTTTATAAACTGTTTTGAAATTTATAACCTCAGTTTTGTGTGATTCTAAACTGGCAATGACATTAGAGGATGGAAGTGAGATTCCATGTTAATCTAAGTGTATCGGGGTAAAAGGTTGTTGAGATGATGTCGTACCTATCTTTCATTTACCTCAGACATAATAGAAGATTGAAACTCTTTTCAGTTGTGTATTTGTCAAATTGTTGAATTCAGCACAACTTGGTTGTCAGGCTCTGAATATTGAATTGATTGAGACAAATTGACCAAATAGAGATTGCTATTAAAACATAACTATAAAATTGAATCATTCAGAAACAAACTAAACATTTCTATGCACAGGGCCATATTATTTTAACCATTATTGCTATCCCTCAAAGTTCTGGTAAATTTATTGCAATTATTTATTGACTTCAAATGAAACTGTTTTAGGAAGTTGAACTATTCAGTTAATTACATAAGGCTCTTAATACATTTCCTATAGCTAGACATATCTATACCATGAACATAAATACAAGTTTTTATCAATTGCTAAATGAAATAATTGTAGTTTTCATACAACTGTGACTGAGTAAGAAATACACAACAAAAGAGGATGGTGTTTTTGGCATGCTGTTATATCTATACGTACCTAACATCATGTAAAACAACATAATGTGTGCCATTCTAATTCAATTTCTATTACAACCAGTACCTTTACTGAGAAAACTAGGATGCCTGAATTTCTGTGAAGTTAAATTTATTCAATCAAAGTGTTTGTTTAAGCAGCAATATAATTAACTTAAAAGTATTTTCATTTAAGTATGTTAAAAATCTAGATTTAAACAAATAAGCATCTATAATTCATTTATGAGTATAACTGTAACTTCATTAAAGAGTATATATTATATATACAATATTATGTATATTATAACTATTATACAAAAATATTTACATATGAAATTTACAACAATTTGATTTGCAAGCATATTTTCCACTTGGGCATTATATACATGTTAAATGCCTTCCCCATGGTATTTGACTTTATGTTGATATGTTTTCATCAGTAACATTTTAACATGTGATGACTTCATAGCACAGGTGGAGGAATCCTTGCTGGCCATTTCCTTGAGGATAGTGTAGTAAGGGTGACAAGTGTTAAAATTCTGAGATACTTTTTCCTATGATGGCTTGGGGTCCCTCTCCCCACCCATGTACCAGTGATGTGGGCTCTCAGAAAAGAGGCCATTTACTTGCCCTGTTGTCAGCGCATCTGGAGGCCTTGTCAAAACAATCTAATTTTACTCTGTAACTTTTTGACATTGGTATTTATTGCACCTGTCTTTGGGCATGATTTATGACCTGTCTGGTGAATATTTCTCTTCATGTTGGAGTTTACAATATGAGATAAGTGAAGCATTTAAAGGCCTTTGTGTGCTTCAAAATGGGAAATGGACATTTTGCACGTGCAGCTCACCGCCTTTCCTCTTTCCTCAACCTCATCGTCACCTCAAAAATGGCCACTGTGATACACCTTTCACTCAGTTCTTCAGAGAAAGAAGACAAAGATTATGTAAGACTACATTTTCCATAATCTATTTTGCAGGGGAATTATGCATCAATAAATTCTAATGAGTGGCAAGGAAATTCACCATGGGGGAGACAGTCAATGGAAAACATGTGTTTGTTGTAAGGAGAGCCCAGTGACCTTTTGTCTTTGTAATGGTATCCTGGCTGGGACTCATCAGTGTTTCTACATGTCACCAGAAAACACACTTACCATTGGCAAAATTGCACATATTTTTAAAGCAGCCATTTTAATTAAATTGCTTAACTAGGCTGTAATCAAGAAAACTTTCTTTCCTTGAGCCATCCCCTCTGGGTCTTGGTATTAGGTTACAATTGTTTAGCAATTCTTCTTAATCTCATAAAACACGTGCCTCAGATATGTTTTTTTTTCTATGTTCTCGTAAGAAAATGTTTTAAGTCCCTCAATTTCTACTCTCTGAAGTTCAAAAGAATATGATCTACTTTAAGAAACTTCTCTAATTACTAATAAATTCTAATATTTCTGAAGAAAAAGTTTGAGATACGTGACTAGAATCTGTTTCTGTGCCTCTTTCTTCAGGCCTGCAAACTCTTTCTTTTCTTTTAACACAGTGGAAACTAAATTATCTTGAAATAACGTGAAATATGATTTATGTGTTTGTACAATTATACATGTTTTTACTTCAAATTAAGTAAAACAGATTAAAACTTAATGTGTTTTAATGATACTTTAAAAGAAAACATAGATTGCCCTGTCCTAAGCACTTTTATTTTTTTCCACCATCATCCTACCTAGAATGAAGACTCAACCTCAACCTCTCTGGAACTTTCCTGCCTGGCTATATACTTTCTTTTGAGTGAGGAAAATCTGTCAAAATGTTGTATATGCTTAATTTAAAATTATTAATATGTTCACTTCCAAGATATCCCCAAGAGTTCACGATTTGTTTACTATATCACTATGTTATTTAAGCGTAGTCATAATTGGCACCAGCTTCTGTAAGTTACCTTTATTTTGATCAGATAGCACATATACACTTAAACATTTATTAATTTAAATGTGTTTCAAAAACTCATTACAGAAGCCTTCAAATCATAAGTGGGTTGAACTTCATTCACTCGATTTGATTTGAAAATTGAGAACTCTGACACAGTTTTAAATAGAAAACTCAATTTTCTGTACATTGGTAATTCAGACAAAAATTATACCATTAAAAGAGAAGAGAAGGTAATTAACTATTGCTTTCTATGATAACTCCTTTTTTTTTTTTTTTTTTTTTTTTTTTTGACTGTCTTGCTCTATTGCCCAGGCTGGAGTGCAGTGGTGCGATCTCGGCTCACTGCAAGCTCTGCTTCCGAGGTTCATGCCATTCTCCTGCCTCAGCCTCCTGAGTAGCTGGGACTACAGGTGCCTGCCACCATGCCCAGCTAACATTTTTTTGTATTTTTAGTAGAGACAGGGTTTCACCGTGTTAGCCAGGATGGTCTTGATCTCCTGACCTTGTGATTCACCCGCCTCGGCCTCCCAAAATGCTGGGATTACAGGCGTGAGCCACCACGCCCGGCCGATAACTCCTTAAAGCTTCAGCAGTAGGGGGTGTATAAGCAATAGTCCTTGCAGCAAGGAATCCTATAGTCTGTGCCCTTCATATCTTTACTATCCATCTGTCAACAACAAACACCTCAAGTTTCTTAACGTTTTTACCGAGAAATGACAATCTAACTCTTCAATCATTTTTGTTGTATTTCTCTCAATCCTCTCAAAATTCTCCATATCATTCTGTGGTGGTGGTGGTAGTAGCTGGACCCAAAAATGGATAAACCTGCCAGGGTTGAGCATAGATGGACAATTACCTCACGGTTCCTACATACAACACTTACATATATATCAATAACTTTGTAGTTGATACAGTGTTAATCTATCTTACAGACACATTCAGTGCGATGCCCCAGTTTTCTTCTGGACACAAACATTAAGACTACTCCCTACCATCTTCTTGTGGTGCAACTATATTTTACTCCTGTGAAAAGTTCTGCAACATTTTCCTTTTTAGAAGATGAAGGACTTTGTTCCTTGGAAAATGCAAATGAGGAAGAGACACTATATTTGTCAACTATAATACGTTAATCACTGCAGTGAAATATATACTAGCCATTTTATTGTCAGCTCTTGCCATTTCTTGTTAGTCCATCTCCAATCCAGAAAACATAAGAAGTCCCTCTCCACGCAGTGATACAATTTCCTTCTTGAACGTACTCATCTTTAACAAGTTGGACTCTGCCAATGTGTTGCCAAGCCAGTGACATCAGCACTGGCAGGACATAAAATTGAGATAAGAAGTGGCCCCATGACATCACCCTCTTGTTCCTATCAAACAGATGGTTTTTGTATATTGTGCAATTTTAGATCATTATTCATGGTTTGGGTCAGTATAATTCAGGAAGCCAAAAAACTGCCAAGAAAAATTGACCTGGAACCAGTTCAAAGACTTAAAATGATTTTATTGATTAGATGACTAAGTTTTCATTTTCCAGAAGAACATCATGAATCATCAATATATGATAATACCTGAGTCATTTTGCATGCGGCGCGATGTTTAGAACTTCAAAACAAGATCATCTTTGAGGGGTTAACCTTAAAGAAATGTGATAATAAGATAGCTGAGGGACTTTGTTGGGTACAAATGAATGTGGGCCAGAACTACTGACTGAGGCAAGTGGTTTGTTTGAACTGGATGGTTATTTATTTTCACCTTATACTTGCGGACTTCACATCCTCCTCACAGCTCAGCTCAGAGATAGTAAAGAGGTATGTTTCAAACAAGCCAGACAGGAAGCTATTTTGTAAGGCCTTGTTCAGGCATTATACCAAAACAAGAAGACAAAGCACGATTTGGCTGGCTGAGAACTTGGAGAATAAAATCGTGTTCAAAACAAAACAAAACAAAACCTAAATGTGTTCAGAGAAAGCTTTACAAGAGACCATAAATCTCATCTATTCTTTCTTTAAAAAAATGGAAGGAATTTTAGTAATAACACATTTAACACAGAGTAAATATTAGCTATTTTTTAAAAGATATATCTCCTTATATTCATTAGATTATCACTGCCACAGGGCAAATCTCTTGCATGAGCCATTGTGAATTTGTTCCTAAACAAATTCACACTATGCCCAAACCTCTACCCATCTATGCCTCCATTCCATCCTGCTGCCTAAGTGCTGTTCCATGTCTTTGAACATGTTACTATCTTACTTAAAATTAGTAAGACTCTTGTTGCCACCCACTTGAGTATAAATTTATGCATTAAGAAAATCAGGTCTTTTTATTTCTGTGTGGATTTCTCCTTCCATCCTGTGATGGTATATACCTGGCAAAGTTATGCACACTTTTCACAATGCTGTTTAACAAGCCTCTGTTCAGATAATTCACTGTTGACATCACAAGCAATACAGCTTTATTAGAAGGCTGTAAGTTATTAAACTCTCGGGATAGGGGCTTATTCCTTGTCTTTGTTCCTAAAGTTTAAAATTTATAACTGGGTATAAAAGATGAGATCTTCCTACTATCACAGGATAAACCCTATTGAGATTTAGGCTTCATGGTTTACACAACTGAGTTAACATATTGCTGTGTTTCATGTTCTATCATGATTTGCATAGTTACGTTCCTCCCCTCACTCCCTATGGTCAGAGTAGAGTTTTGTAATGACAGAAGCATTATAAGGAAGAGGAGGTGCTGGAGAGGTGGGAGTAGAGAAATACTTGGTATCCACTTTGGAGCTGTGTGACTGCCAAGATGTTATTTTCTACATTAGATTTTGAAATACACCATAATCATCTTCACATTTTGGGTGCCTACTATAGTGCTTGGCACATATTCACTACCTAGTAAATGTTTGTGAAAAGAATGCTGAATTGGCATTTTCATGTTGTATTTAAGTGGGAAGGCTCCGGCTTTAGTCTGTCCAGGCTGATACATTTACAACTTCTGTGACATAAGGTATATTAGTCCATTCTCATACTGCTATAAAGATGCTACTTGAGACTGAGTAATTTGTAAACAAAAGAGGTTTCATTAACTCACAGCTCCACTTAGCTGGGGAGGCCTCAGGAAACTTACAATCATGGTGGAAAGCAAAGGGGAGGAAAGGTACATCTCACACGGCAGCAGGAGAGAAAGAGAGAAGGAGCAAAGAGGAAGTGCCACACTTTAAAACCATCAGTTCTTGTGAGAATTCCCTCACTATCATGAGAGGAGAATGAGGGAAACTGCTCCCATGATCGAATCACCTCCCACCACATCTCTCCCTCCACACATGGGGATTGCAATTAGAGATGAGATTTGGGAGGGGGCACGAGGTAAAACCATATTCTTTCACCCCAGCCCCTCCCAAATCTCATGTTCTTCTTGCATTTCAAAACAAAATCATGCCTTCACAACGGTCCCCCAAAGTCTCAACTCATTCTAGCATTAACCCAAAGACCAAGTCCAAAGTTTCATCTGAGACAAAGCAAGTCCCTTCTGCCTAGGATCCTGTAAAATCAAAAGCAAGCTAGTTACTTCCAAGATACAATGGGGGTACAGGTATTAGGTAAATGTTCCCATTCCAAATGGGAGAAATTGGCCAAAACAAAGGGGCCACGGACCCCATGCAAGTCCAAAACCTAGCAAGGCATTTCTTAAAGCTCCAAAATCATCTCCTTTGACTCCGTGTCTCACATCCAGGGCACAATGATGCAAAGGGTGGGCTCCCATGGCCTTGGGCAGCTCTGCCCCTGTGACTCTGCAGGATTCAGGCCCTGAAACTGCTTTCACAGGCTGGCGTTGAGTGCCTGTGGCTTTTTCAGGTGCATGGTATAAGCTGTTGGTGTATCTACCTTTCTGGGGACTAGAGGGCAGTGGCCTTCTTCTCACAGCTGAGTGTGGGGGCTTCAACCCCACATTTCCCTTCCACACTGCCCTAGCAGAGGTGCTCCATGAGGGCTGGGCCCCTGCAGCAGACTTCTGCCTGGACATCTAGGCATTTCCATGTGTCCACTGAAATCTAAGCAGAGATTCCCAAAGCTCAACTCTTGTCTTCTGCACACCTGCAGGCATAACACCACATGTAAGACACCAAGGCTTGGGGCTTGCACCCTCTGAAACAATGGCCCGAGCTGTACCTTGGCCCCCTTTAGCCATGGCTGTAGCTGGAGTGTCTGGGACACAGGACACCAAGTCTGGAGGCTGCACAGGGCAGTGGGGCCATGGGCCTGGCCCACAGAACCATTTGTTTTTCTCCTAAGCCTACAGGCCCCTGATGGGAGGGGCTGCTGTGAAGATCTCTGACATGCCTTGGAGACATTTTCCCCATTGTCTTGGCTATTAACATTTGGCTCCTTGTTACTTATGCAAATTTCTGCAGCTGATGGCTTGATTTCCTCCCCAGAAAATAGGTTTTCATTTTCTACCACATGGTCAGGCTGCAAATTTTCAAAACCTTTATGCTCTGCTTTCCTTTTAAACATAAGTTTCAATATCAAATCATCTCTTTGTGAACGCCTATAACTGAATGCTTTCAGAATAAGCCAGGTAACCTCTTGAATGCTTTTCTGCTTAGAAATTTCTTCTCCCAGATACCCTAAATCATCTGTCTCAAGTTGAAACTTCCACATATCTCTAGGGAAGGGGTAAGTGACCTTTGATCTACTTCCCAATACGTTCCTCATCTCCAGCTGAGACCACCTCAGCCTGGACTTCATTATTCATATCACTATCAGCATTTTGGTCAAAACCATTCAACAAGTCTCCAGGAAGTTCCAAACTTTCCAGCATCTTCCTGTCTTCTTCTGAGCCTTCCAAACTGTTCCAGCCTCTGCCCGTTACCCAGTTCCCATGTTGCTTAGACATTTTCAAGTATCTTTAGAGAAATGCCCCAAACTCCGAATGATATGGTTTGGCTTTGTATCTCCACCCAAATCTCCTCTAGAATTGTAATCCTCACATGTTGAGTGAGGGACCTGGTGGGAGGTGATTGGATCATGGGGGTGGTTTTCCCCATGCTGTTTTCATGATAGTGAGGGAGTTCTCACAAGTTCTGATGATTATAAAGTGTAGCACTTCTCCTTTCCTCCTTTTTTCCCTCCTGCAGCCATGTAAGATGTGCTTTTCTTTTCCTTTGTCTTCCACTGTAATTGTAAGCTTACAGAGGTCTCCCCAGCCATGCAGAACTGTAAGTCAATGAAAGCTCTTTTGTTTATAAATTACCTAGTCTCAGGTGGCACATTTATAGCAGTGTGAGAAAGGACTAATACACATGACAAGTCACTTATGCTAGCTAAACATCAGGCTCCTCATCTGCAAATTGAGAGAGTATAGTATAATGAGTCACACTGACTGCCTACACGTTAATCATAAGTTTGAGATCATTCTTGGTACTTTATGCATATTAACTTATCTGATGTCTATATAAGTCCTAACATGTAAGTGCTATCTTTTAAATCTACATTTACATATGAAGAAACAGTCTCAAGCAGGTGAAATGACTTGCCCAAGCTCAAGAGCTGAGGGGCAAACCCAGGCAGTATGCTTACAAAGATGGCATGTATGGACGCTATGCCACATTGCCCAGTTGTTAGGTTTAATGCAATGTAGATGTAAATCACTTGACACATAATGCCATCAAAAATATAAGTTCTTATTGTTGCTGAATTCCATCATCTACAATTGAAGATGCAAGATAAAATTCTCCCTAGACCCTGACTAGTTGCACCATTCTATATAAAACCTGTGGTGATGATTACATTGTTATAAGTAGCAATGACACAGGAAATAAAAGATTTGGCACAGTGATGGAGTGATCACTGAAGCTATTTTTCCTCCAATTTCTCTCAAAACTTATGCTATGAATAAATCATATGGTTCCTTTAAAGGTATTGATGGAGGCCAGGCATGGTGGCTCATGCCTGTAATCCCAGCACTTTGGGAGGCCGAGGCTGGTGGATCACAAGGTCAGGAGTTCAAGACCAGCCTGGCCAAGATAGTGAAACCCTATCTCTACTAAAAATACAAAAATTAGCTAGGCGAGCACCTGTAAATCCCAGCTATTTGGGAGGCTGAGGCAGAGAAATGCTTGAACCAGAGAGGCAGAGGGTGCAGTGAGCTGAGATGGTGCCATTGCACTCCAGCCTGGGCAACTGAGTGAGACTCCATCTCAGAAAAAAAAAAAAAGATATTGATTGAAACACCATGATTCTATTTATTATATATATATGTGTGTGTGTGTATATATATATACACACACACGTATCTATATTATGTGTGTATATATACACATTATATACACATATATGTGTATATATGTGTACACATACATATACACATGTGTACATACACATATGTATATACACATATATACACATATATACATACACACATGTATATACACATATATACACATATATACACATATATGTATATACACATATATACACATATATGTATATACACATATATACACATATATGTATATACACATATATACACATATACACATATATGTATATACACATATATACACATATATACACATATATGTATATACACATATATACACATATATACACATATATGTATATACACATATATACACATATATACACATATATACACATATATACACATATATACACATATATACACATATATGTATATACACATATATACACATATATACACATATATACACATATATGTATATACACATATATACACATATATACACATATATACACATATATGTATATACACATATATACACATATATACACATATATGTATATACACATATATACACATATATACACATATATGTATATACACATATATACACATATATACACACATATACACATATATGTATATACACATATATACACATATATACACATATGTATATACACATATATACACATATATGTATATACACATATATACACATATATACACATATATGTATATACACATATATACACATATATACACATATATGTATATACACATATATACACATATGTATATACACATATATGTGTATATATACAGATATACATATATGTATACATGTATGTCTGTATATATGTATGCAGATATACATATATATGTATGCATATATATACACGTATATATGTATATCTGCAACTAACTTATGTAATATTATACCTATTTTGAATATGCCTGTAATAAGATAACAGTGAGCTAACAAGTAAGAAATTCTATGCAACTCAAGCTTAATCACCCTATGTAAACCTTTCAGTTTTTGTATCATGTTATATTTTAAATCTCATTTCCAGGTCCTATTAGATAGAATATCTGGTGGTTATAGGAACCACTGAAAGTAAGAATATAGTTTTCTGTAGGAATGATGAAATATATCTTATATTACTTACATAAAGGAAGCTTCAATCATAGGTAATAATAGGTTCAGAAATGTTCGATTTTTTTTACTGCAATGACACATCACCTTGTTTAACTCTAATGTACTCCAGCTATCATACACTGGCAACATTCTCTCACCAAGCAATCAAACAATTTATCACTTCAGTTCATCACTTACACACCTACCTCCTCTCCCTACCTCCCACCTATTCAACCCCATGATGTAAGCAATAACAACATTACATTGAATTAAGCTCCAGAATGAAATCAGCATAAAAAGAAGAAAATGTTTTAAATGGTAGTGCTGATTGGGGAGAAGAGGACATAGGAATTCAAGTAGCTTATTTGGGTATTCTTTTTCCAAAGGCTCTCTTTGCTCTGAGGGGAACTGAACATATGTTTATGATTCAATTTGATTTTTTCCCCAGTTACGGCAGGAAGAACACTGTCTGGGCATGCCTCATCCCTCAGCCCTATTTCTCTGAACATTACCAGTATCACAGATAGTGTTAGAAGCGGTAGCAAGAAATTTGTTTCCCGGGATTTTTTTGTTTGTCTCTCTGGAATAGAGGTCTTATCTATTTATATATGCTTTTGCCCCTTCTTTCTTTATTATAATAATTATTATTATTTTTGAGACAGGGTCTCACCCTGTCACCCAGGCTGAAGTGCAGTGATGTGATCAGGGCTCACTGCAGCCTCAAACTCCTGGGCTCAAGCAATCCTCCCACCTTAGCCTCCCAAGTAGCTGGGGCTACAAGAACGTGCCTCCACATTTGGCTAAATTTTTTATTTTTTTGTAGAGACTGGGATCTCGCTCTGTTGCCCAGGCTAGTCTCAAACTCCTGGGCTCAGCCTAGCCAACATGACAAAACCCCTTCTCTACTGAAAATACAAAAATTAGCGAGGCATGGTGGCACACACCTGTAATCCCAGCTACTCCAGAGGCTGAGGCAGAAGAATCTCTTGAACCAGGGAGGCAGAGGCTGCACTGAGCCGCGATTGCACCACCGCACTACAGCCTGGGCAACACAGCAAGACCGTATCTCAGAAACAAAACAAAACAAAACCCTCCTGGGCTCAGGAGATCCTCCTGCCTTGGCCTTCCAAGGTGTTCAGGTTACAGACATGAGCCACTGTGCCTGGCTGAGTCCCTCCCACTTCTTTAAAACACTGTTTTCAGGATTGCATTTACATATATATAGGAATACTGCTCATCCGGGATGATTCCTTAGGGACTTGGTCCTTGCCTTTGTATCTACTCTGCACCATTCCTAGACTTGTGTAACTAACTAAACACTGTTTCAAAATGTCCTTATTTCCCACTCACATGACATGTCTTTTTCAGTCTTCAAAAAAGGTAACAGACACTACAGGAACACTGACTGACCTTTCTTCTTTGTTTCTGCAGAAATAGAAATGAAATCACCTAGCCTGTTGTAGTAGCACTGGAAAAATGAAACAACTCTTAGCTGGTAACTTGGTTTGATGTACAAACAGGTGAGGATAGAAAGAGAAACATTCAAAAAAAGGTTTATCTGTGAATGACTTTTTTAGAATTCCTTACGAAAGATGATCTAAAGATGTAAAATTCTATGCTTGAGGGAGATGGCTGTGTTTATATATTACATTCACCCTGAGTACTGACTGATAAGCTATTGTAGATCCTGCTTGCCATTAAACTTCACATTTTGAAACTGAAAAAAAAAAAAAAGGCTAAACGGAGGAGTGCTTTATGTCACATCTCCCGTAGATTGATGAATAAATAAATATAAACTGTAATACTTTCCTTCCAGGAGCCTAAAAAGGCCTTTTACTTTCTAAAAAAGCCTTTTTAAGAGTCACTTGTCTGTAAGGATTCAAGGTTTCATTTGCATGGCCAAGTAGAAGAAGATTTTCTTAGAGGGGGACCTTCTCAAATATATCCTCTATTTTCTCCTGTTCTCCAATTCATGCTAAAGTTATAAAGAGAACTGAAAAACAAAAGAAAACCAAACAGAACAACAACAAAACCCTCCTTTCTTCCTTCATCGCTACCAACTGCAGCCAAAACATCGCAGTGAGGAAAATACCTGCAGCCTCTAGGAGCTTTGATAGAATCAAGACCAGTGAGATGTGCCAGGCCTTTTTCCTTTCTCCCAGATGGTGTGGTTTGCGACTTTCACATTTGGCTTTTAATGGACAAGCAAGAAAGCCTGCCAGTAAAGCAGTGAAGCAAACTAAGAAAACAAACAAACAAAAGCAATCGCGCTCTAGACACGGAGGCCAATGACAGGTATGATTGATCAGGTGACCAGCTGGAAGCTGTCACCACCAGGTTGAGAGAAACAGGCAGAGTTTGGCATGTTTCACAGGCCAGAGATTACCATGGGGTATTAGGTAGTTAGCGTTCTTCGGCAAACAAAGAAATGGAAAGAATGGAGTCTGCTTTGCCTGGGCCACATATCTCATGAGCAATACTTATCACATGATCTAGTTGGTATAAAGGATACTTGCCTGGGCCACATGTCTAATAAGCAATGTTTACCAATGATTCAACTTGTATAAAGGATAGTTGAAACTAAACATATCATATTTCCTCTTGGAAACGCTTACTAGAGAAATTCATACTGTGCACCACTGTGTTCCTTGTCTGTCTGTATTTCTGTGTTCAGAGACAGGCTGAATACTTTTTCCTTGCTAAAATAAGTATACATTTTGGCATGTAATAACCTCAGCAGCCGTACAATCCACTGGGAAGCAACCTCAAGTTTAAATACTTAAATTCTAATTGTGCTGTAATTTCCTTGTTGCTTCATTGAGGAAAACAGAAGCCCTACTAATTCGATAGTCTTGAAACAAGTAGAATAATACCACATACACTTCATTTCGAGATGTCATGGATTATAAGGCTCACAGAAAGTTTTTGAAGAAATAACACCTTTTTGCACATTAAGTAAACATATTGATTTTAAAATTAATCTCATTCTTTAAAAAATATTAAAATGTGAATAAAAGGTACACATTGCAATTAAAGAAATATCTACATGAAAATATTTTATAAACCACAAAGTGCTAGATATATGAAAGATATTACCAACAATTCAGTCTTAATATGAACATGTTAATAATACGGAATTATTAGTATCCTGCTTGCTGTAGACAGTAGCCTTCAATAACACAGCGTCTTCACACACACAAACAGAAACACATCATGAACAGCATAAACTTAAGATCTTAGTGTACGTCAGCTCATGTATACTAAAAATGAAAATAATAAAAAATAAACCCTTTACAAATTTTACTTCATCAGAATGCAAGTAAATATCAATTTAACAAACATATCCTGAAAGCCTCAACCTGATTCCATTTCAACCAACACACACATATTTGGTGAGTAAATTATTGATCGAACTCGTCTTATAATATTTATTCCTGGTTTTTGTTAAGCGCCCAATTTGTATTTACAAATACAGTATTTGTTTTCAAAGAATTAAGATGAAACAGAAGATAATCAAATGACACTGTATGATTGACTAAGAGACAGATCATCAATATCTCCTCAATATGGCCAAATTCTGGTATCTTGCCAAAATATTTTGGTAAAATACTGGGAAATAAAGCTATGTGCCTACATTACTGGTTCCCAAACTTGGCTCCTTCCAAGGATCCCCTGAAACAGATAAAACACATTCAGCGTTTTTTGTCTATCCTTGGAGACGCTGAAGCACTGTGTCCGAGTGGGGTCCCAGGATTTTCAATGTTTATCAGGTGATTCTAATGAGAGCTGGAGACTGTTGCAGTAACAATTCACATTAACCTTCTAGAATCATTAGTAATGTAACAATATGGAAAAATATTCCTTTGCAGGAGAATATTTTTTTTTCTTTAATGTTGGAAAAATATTTGCTACATCACTTGGCAAGGGTGGGAGAAATGCTCATGGGAAATTTTTGAGGAAAAAAAGATGGTCCTGGGCTACATTCTAAGCTTATTCTTGCTGGGTAGGGTACATAAACTCAGAGCATGAGATAAATTATTATGAACAAAAGAGGAAATTTTTTAAAGGTTGCAAATGGGAAGAAAATAGGGGTAAAGGAAAATGTTCTTAGTTTAGTGTCTCACGTGTACATATTTACTAAATTTAGTAATTATTGCTGTTGTTAGTATTATTACCCCTAACATCATATGTGGATAACAAAAGTCAGTAACATATTAGGGTCTAAACATGTCCTCAAAGGGATTGATCTAATGACTGGCAAAGTTCAAGGATCCTTAAACTCAGTGGCCATTGACCATGCACATGTACCATAAAGAAAGAATAAAACAGAAGCATCCCTTTAAACAATCTGTTGGAACAGCCAAATGTCTTTGTCGATTTAAAGTTGAATCAAAACTGTCCAGTATACCCCAAAACAATGATGAATCTTTGGAAATGCCAGCAGACATTCCAAAAGAAATGATTTCATACTTGATCGTCTTCAGGAAGCTAGAGTTAATGGTAATGTAATAATGCTTTCTTAAATGTCAAAGGATATAATAATTGACCCCCTTCGACTATTGCTACTTTCCTTCTGTTTTTCCCCAGTGATTGATATTCTTTAATCTATTTAATTATATTTAAAAATAAGTTTTACATGCAATTTTTAAACTTTTATTTCATAAATTGCTAACTAGATTTTAGGTTCCAAAAACTCTAAAATAGTGTATTGAAAATGTAATCTTTGTAGAGTCAAGAATAATAAAAAAAATTACACTTATACTGACCATTAACCAGGGGAAAGAAGTTCTTTTGGGATAAGGAGTGTTACTGAAAAAGATCATGCTGCCTGTGACTTTTGTAGTTCACAGATTTCAGGTAACTGGTGCTCTGCAGTACATGAGTGAAAAAAAATACTTGTTTTTAAGACAAGGTATGGAGCAAAATATTGTCAAAATAGTGTTTTTCAAGGTGTATTTATTTTTATTTTTAATGAAACAAAATTACTGCCAGCTGTGCAGTGTTCTCACTCTACCCATTACATTTTAATGAATCTTACAATAAGATGATTAATTCTACACTCTTGGAGACTTTTGGCTGAATGTTGTTGATTAAGCAATTACATTAATCCACTTCTGTTTGTTTTTTTGCAAGCCCAATGATGAAGGTAATTTTTCCCCCTGTGGAATAATCTCACTAGAATTATTAGGCACGTGTGAAAGGAGTTTTATACACGTTTCCAAGGGCTTCAGTTGCTATTATTAACCAATTTTAAGCTGCAAATTACAATCAACCTGTTTTATTCCAGCTGATAAAGTTCACAACATCAATTTGTTTAATTTCTGATCTTAGGCATTGACATTATACACTGGCATTAAAATAATATCATAGTTTTTTGGCATGGAATAACTTACATAAAAACAAAAAAGAAATTGATCAACTATTTGACTTAGCAAAACATACACTTTTTTTTCTTTTCAAAAATGATTAAAATGTAGGGAATAATACAAATAAAAGTTTTAGAAATGTAGTAGAAAATATTAGAAGTAGTATTATCGTTTAGAGTAGGTAGATCAGTTTGGGTGTTGGTTGGGGACCCCTGTGGGTTTGCAGAATTAGCAAGATATTTATTGTGGACCTGATAGGACAGGCAACAGGAGAGGTGTCTACCTGACATGGAGAGATACCGGAAGGTTTGGGTTATAAGAAATTTAATAGTGGAGATAACTGCCTCCGCATTTCTTGTGATGGCAAACGGTAGCACATACAAGAATCAGAATAGAGGTAACACAAATGATTGGATTATTTGATGCTTATTTTGCCTACCTTTTTTCTTCTTTTACTGTAGAAGACCAAAGATGTGAATAGTTTTTTATTTCATGTAACTTGTTATATTAGGCTGCATCATACAAAAGAACTAATGTTCAATCATTTTTAATTAACTAAAATGGCAATTTATAGGGTTAAAAATAATAACTATACAAAATAATTCTGTCATAGAGGCTTATTGCCTTCTTACTTGGTTCTTCTTTTATTGTTGCTGTTACAGGATAAAATGTATCAGCTTTTGAGAGTTCCTTGATTTTCCTTTCCCCTTTTCTGACTACAGAGGACTCTGCCTTGAATGACTATTTGCTCTCGAGAAAGTTCAGGGCTTCTGTGATAGAGAATAAGGAGAGAAATGGGAGAGAATAGGGAGAAAAAACAAAAACACCTCTCTGAATGTGAAACACAGATGTTTTATTTTAGTGAAGTTGAAGAGAAAAGTGAAGCTGAAGAGAAAATTGCACAAAGCACAGCTGCATTGTGCAAGAAAAATTATTTGTTGAAAGAAAAATAAATTTGATATTAGGCAGTTTTGCTGAGGATTATATATCCATTTTATTTCCTTAAAAAATACAAGTGAAGGGCTGGGCACAGTGGCTCATGCCTGTAATCCCAGCACTTTGGGAGGCCGAGGCAGGCGGATCACAAGACAGGAGATTGAGACCATCCTGGCTAACACAGTGAAACCCCATCTCTACTAAAAATACAAAAAATTAGCTGGGTGTGGTGGCATGCACCTGTAGTCCCAGCTACTCAGGAGGCTGAGGCAGAAGAATGGCGTGAACCCGGGAGGTGGAGCTTGCAGTGAGCTGAGATCGCACCACTGCACTCCAGCCTGGGCGACAGGGTGAGACTCCGTCTCAAAAAAAAAAAAAAAAAAAAACAAACCCAGGTGAAGAATTTGGATTATACTAGCTTCAAAGCATGCACTTACTAAATTTGAAAGACATTTAATTATATATGCATGACATTATTCTTTTCTCCTTCTGTCTATAAAACTTTTTTTTAGTTTGTCTAAATTTAAGGAATACAACTGCGATTTCATTACATGGAAATATTGCACAGAGGTGGAGTCTGGGTCTTTCATGTATTCATCACCCAGATAATATATATCAAATAATCTTATATAATTTAAAATAAAGTAAAATTAAATTTTACATTGTATTATTCATATCTTATCACATGCTATTGCATGAAAAACACATTCAAAAACACATATTACAACATAGGGGCTTAAATCTCACAGGCATGTCTAGTCCTAATTATGGACCTACCTGCAACATATGCTCTAAAATACATGTTATTTGACCCTCCTGTTTCTGGCAATAGCTTCTTATATTTCATTTGAATTAAAAAAAAATTCTGTCGATAAATTTCTTACATTCAAACCATTACATCCCATCACCTTAGCAAATTGTCTGTTAGACTTGAAGACTTGGGAGAGTGCTTAAATTATATTATATTAATACATAATTAATAATAGCTACCCTTTTAATAGTTTATTCAATAAATATTTATTGGCCAGGTGCGGTGGCTCACGCCTGTAATCCCAGCACTTTGGAAGGTTGAGGTGTGCAGATCATGAGGTCAGGAGTTTGAAACCAGCCTGTCCAACATGGTGAAACCCCATCTCTGCTAAAAATACAAAAATTAGCTAGGTGCGGTAGGGGGCACCTGTAATCCCAGCTCCTCAGGAAGCTGAGGCAGGAGAATTGCTTGAACCCAGGAGGCAGGGGTTGCAGTGAGCCGAGATTGCATCACTGCACTCCAGCCTGGAGACAGAGCAAGAGTCAGTCTCAAATAAATAATAAATATTTATTATTTACTCTATCCTTAGCACTGTAATATGAGCTAAGAATTTTCCCACATATAGGAGAAAGGATAGTCCCTGCTTTTACTGAGTTTTAATGACTTTCTTCTGGGTTGAATAGGGTGAGGTCTTCAATATGCCTCACAGAGATAAACAAGAATGTATACTTCCTAGCCACTGTGAAATGGGATGAAGTAGATTTTCCTATGACATACAATATCCTGAATACAGAAAGAATGGTATGGGCAGAAGAAGGAAGATTTTCTTTCCACTGTACCTTAACAAAAATTGAACAGTTTAAAATATTTTCCCTTTCCTTTTCTTTTGGGACTGCATTGGTGTGTTAGGCTGAATAAGAATTAGTCCTTTATTTTTCAATGAAAGTAATGAACATTCTTTCTCCACAAAATAAATGGTTATATTCATAGGCACAGAATATGGGTAAACCCCAAATTAGCTTTTCTGTTACCTCCCATTCTTTTGAGAATGAATAGCGGAGAGAGGGAAGTATTGGGTTGCTCACTCCCATGACTGGCAGGATGGGGCAGCACCTATCCTGGCAGAGGAAGAGTCACATGTTTAGAAAGATGGTTCCTGTCTCCTCTTGACTGACGAGGACCCTGACTTCTGTGACTGGGTTTCAGCAATTGCAACAGCAGCACATTATGGCCATAGCATATGCCTTGCCTTTTCACTTAGGGCTGTCTTAGAAGTTCAGAAATTGGTACTATTTTCCTTTAAGACCTCCTGAACACAGTTCTCACTCTTTCTGGGTCCACAAACTATATCAATGATGAGCAAATATTTAAAAGTGTGTTTCCCAAAGCACTTAAGGGTGGCTGGACACTGAGAAGCACTTTAAAAACCACACCAGGAACCTTTCATGTCTTATGTACATTTTAAACATAGCGTGGGCATTGAATTTTTAAATTCAGAAATAGTGTATCATAACAGCTACACTCCAGAGTTCTATAAACTTTAAGTATCCTACTGGATAAATTGGTGACCAGAAAAAGAAAATTCCCCTACAAAGTGTCTTTGGTTACATTGTTTCTACAACCTAAAATGAACACTGCAGCAGGGTGCACTTTTCAAGCCCATTTGTTATTATATTAATTACGACAAATTGATTATAGAAGATAGAATTTGAATTAATTACAGTTTTAACATAAAAAGAAATTTATTAGATTTATTTAAAATGTACTGAGGAAACTCAATAATCTAAGCAAGCATTGACCATCAAGCCAAAATAAACAGAAGCATTCAGCTGTTGCACCTCAGAAAAAAAAAAAATAGGTCGAAGTACTTAAGCACTGTCAAAATACTCACTGTTCATCTCTAAGTATTAGCTGTGTTGATCTTTCTCCCTAGACTAACTTTCTCTGTCTGGTAGACATGTTAACCAAGAATTCCTCAGTTTTATGTCTTATAAAGAAGTTTCTTATTTCCACGTTCCAAAGTTCCATTGAAGTGACTCATGAAGTCAACTGGAGTCAGATTGTACCTTATGTCAGATAAATATGATCAGTGCTGGAGTCATATAAAACATGAAAAATAAGTCAGTAGAACCTCTAAGAACAAAATGAGTAAAAGAAACGCTGTCAGCAGAAGGATTTGTTGTTACCTGAGTGAGGGAGAAGATATCTGGACACTGACAAGAACCTCCCATTGGCTAGACCCAACTGGAAGCCAGGAGTTAAGAGAAAAGAGTGCTCTGTATTCTGTCTGATATAATACCTTGTGGTAGAGATCAGGAAAGAGAAGATGAAAGGGTCTGGGGTAAAGGAAGGCAGAGTAATTAGTTCCCATAGTCAATATGATACATATATGTGAGATGGTTTGGCTGTGTCCCCACCCAAATCTCATCTTGAATTGTAACTCCCATAATTTCCATGTGTTGTGGAAAGGAGCCAGTGGGAGATAACTGAATCATGGGGGCAGTTTCCCCCATACTGTTCTCATGGTAGTGAGTAAGTCTCATGAGATCTGATGGTTTTATAAAGGGAAACCCCTTTGCTTGGTTCTCATTTTCCCTCTTGTCTGCTGCCATGTAAGATGTGCCTTTTGCCTTCTGCCATGATTGTGAGGCCTCCCCAGCCATGTGGAACTGTGAGTCCATTAAACCTCTTTTACTTCATAAATTACCCAGTTTCAGGTATGTTTTCATCAGCAGTGTAAAAATGGACTAATATAATATGGGAGACTTTTACCTATTAGACTAGAATTTGTTAACAATAATTGTTACCTGGCCCCTTTCTGGCCCTATGATAGAAAGGATTATAAATGGAAAAAGACTCAAGGAGCTTCTTTTTTATAGTTAAAATTTATTCTAGTTGAGCAAGGAGGAGTATTTTGAATGCCAGGTGCTATTAATGTCAGTGTTGGTATCGTTTATACCTGCTATTAATTTTAGTTTCCTTCACATTTCTATGGTTGTATACCAGTGACTTTTAGGTTAGTGTTTTGTCTCAAGAAAGCAATACTAGTGGATGACCTGCTTGTTCCCTCCTATTCTATTGTTACCAACCCAGACTTTGAAAATATAGCATTTAACTCCATAGTGATTATTTTATTTAATCCAGTAGGAGTCATATTTTGGTCCTTTGCATTCTTAGAAAGGAAAGGTGAATTCCTTAAAGAATTAGGAAGAGAATACTATTCCCTTCCTGCACATAATTCAAAGGGCTTGCTGAATCATTGCAGTAATATTAGAACCTGTGAAAACCCCACTGGACATGAGAAGGTGTTGAAGGGATAGGAAAGGAGAAATGGACTTGAAAGGTTTCTTCCCATCTGGTGATTCCCCCAATGACCAAGCTAAAAGAGGACCGGGAAGAGAAAAGGCTCAAGTAATATTATGAGAGTCGTGTTTTCCACTCATGTTCAGGAAACCATTGAGACAAAAGACACCCAGCAGCAGCCACATGGCTCGGGGACTTGGAAAAACATGCTACTTCCTCTGTTGTTTCCTCACAATATTCGTGCCCTCTCTCAATTTGTTTTTGTAAGGAAATAATTAAAGATACAGATTTTTTAAAAAAGACTGACCAGTCGCTCTTTAAATGTTAAAAAAAAACTCTTTTTCAATGAAATTATTTCAATGCTTTCTGTTTTGTTCTTCAGACAAGAAAATATATATATCAGTTTTCTTTATCTGGACACTAAAGAGAAGATTGGTTTACATCCCCTTAGAGGAAAATACCCAAGGAAACTTTTGTCAGCTTAATGCATTAGTTTGAGATTTTTATGTCATGTGGTTATGAGGTGTAAGACTACTTTAAATCAAAGTACTCTTTCTTATGCCACTCTTGAGCTATATGAAAATACATGAATTTCATACTTCATATTTCTTATCTTCTAATCAGTTTTTTTGGTCAACTGCCACTTTTAACACAGTAAATGCTAAGAGTATTGAAAAGTAATATAATCTACATTGCAAGTTTATTAGGACTTCATTCTTTCTGTGATTCAGCGGATCTCTGCATACATAACTCTTTTTTCATTAGAAACTATTAATAGAATAGGAAGTGGCACCTCTTCAATAAAGCCACCAAAGATAAAATCTTACTAAAAATTTAGTAGGCATTCAGTATACTAAACTATTATGTGTAGTACATATTCATGCAGTTCTAGGCAAGAAAAATAAAATTCTACAGATTTCATTGAGAGAGAAGGTTTTGTATCAGATTGAAAAACATAAAAGTTTCACATGTTCTATATTTATTCCATCTAACTGCTGATCTCAAAGAATAGTAAAAACTCTAAGGTTTCTAATACAGAGAGAATTTTTGTTTGGTTTTCCTTGCCTCACACACAAAAAATTATCCTTCATCATTGTAATATATATTGATCCATCATTTTAGAAAATAACATGAAAATACATTTTCTTTAGTCTTTCATCTGTTTATTTTTGTTTTCTGATGAGAAATCTGCAGTCTCTCAAATAGCTGCTTTCTTATATGTGATTTGTCATCTCATTCCCCTCACCCACCCTTTAGCTACTTTCAATTTTTTTTCTTTGTTTTTGATTTTCAGCAGTTTGGTTATGATTTACCTGCATATAGATTTTTTAAGTACATCTTATTTGGGGTTCACTGAGCTTCTTCATTCTGTAAACTTTATTTTACCAAATTTTACCAAATTTGCAAAATTACCAGCCATTAATTCTTTAGTTATTTTTGTACTATATTCTTTCTCCTTTTTTTTTAAACTTTGATGTCATAAATATTAGACTCTTAGAATTGTCTCACAGGTACCCAAGGCTGTTTTTTTTTCCAAATATTTTTCTTTCTGTTTCTCAGACTGGATAATTTTTATTGATGTATTTCACTCTTTTCACAATTAACTCCATTTTGCTATTAATTTTAACATTTCAGTTATTTAAACTTAGATTGTTTTTAGGTTCTAATGTTTCTATTTTTCATATCCTCTATGTCTTTGCTGAGACTATCTTTCCATTCGTTTTAAGAGTATTTTCTCTACTTCCTGGAGCATGGTTATACTAAGCTTCATAAGTGAAAGAGAAATAAAATCCTTTACAGACAAGCAAATGCTGAGAGATTTTGTCACCACCAGGCCTGCCCTAAAAGAGCTCCTGAAGGAAGCACTAAACGTGGAAAGGAACAACCGGTACCAGCCACTGCAAAAACATGCCAAATTGTAAAGACCATCGAGGCTAGAAAGAAACTGCATCAACTAACGAGCAAAATAACCAGCTAACATCATAATGACAGGATCAAATTCACACATAACAATATTAACCTTAAATGTAAATGGGCTAAATGCTCCAATTAAAAGACACAGACTGGCAAATTGGATAAAGAGTCAAGACTCATCAGTGTGCTGTATTCAGGAAACCCATCTCACGTGTAGAGACACACATAGGCTCAAAATAAAGTGATGGAGGAAGATCTGCCAAGCAAATGGAAAACAAAAAAAGGCAGGGGTTGCAATCCTAGTCTCTGATAAAACAGACTTTAAACCAACAAAGATCAAAAGAGACAAAGAGGCCATTACATAGCGGTAAAGGGATCAATTCAACAAGAAGAGCTAACTATCCTAAATATATATGCACCCAATACAGGAGCACCCAGATTCATAAAGCAAGTCCTTAGAGACCTAGAAAGAGACTTAGACTCCCACACAATAATAATGCAAGACTTTAACACCCACTGTCAACATTAGACAGATCAACGAGACAGAAAGTTAACAAGGCTATCCAGGAACTGAACTCAGCTCTGCACCAAGCGGACCTAATAGACATCTACAGAACTCTCCACCCTAAATCAACAGAATATACATTCTTCTCAGCACCACACCGCTCTTATTACAAAATTGACCACTTAGTTGGAAGGTTATAATAGTTGCTTTAAATTATTTTTCTAATGATTTCAACATTGATGTTATCTGTTTATTTTCCTCAAAGTTATTAAGATTTTCCTGCTTCTTTATATGTCAAGTAATAGTGGATTGTATCCTTAAAAATTTTAATATTGTGGTAGATTTTGAATCTTTTAAAAGTCCTATGGATTGTTTTAGCAAACAATCAGCTCAAACAATCAGCTGGGTTCACATGATGAGCTATAACCTATCCTTCAATATTTGTTCAGTTTCTAAAACCTCTACAGGACTCTTCAGTTATTTTCCATGTGTGTACCAATTAGGAAGAAATCTGAGTCTTTTTAGTATTATCTCAACACTCTTGAGATTTTATTAATGCTTTTCAGTTATTTTTCCATATTTTAGTTCTGATTGGATGATCTCCATTGATGTATCTTTGAGTTCACTGACTCTTCACTCTGTCTTTTTAATTTTGCCATTGAGTCTATCCAATGAATATTTAATTTTGATTATGTTGGTTTGACTTGTAACACCAAAAAATTGAGATGCTGATATGGTTTGGATGTTTTGTCCCCTCCAAGTCTCATGTTGAAATGTGACCTCCAATGTTGGAGGTGGGATTAGTGGGAGGTGTTTGGGTCATGGGGGCGGATCCCTCCTGAATGGCTTGGTATTGTCCTTGTGGTAATGGGTGAGTTCTCATTCTATGAGTTCACATGAGATCTAGTCGTTTTGAAGAGCCTAGCACCTCTTTCCTCTCTCTCTTGTTCCCTTGCTCATCATGTGACATGCTGGCTCCCCTTCATTTTCCATTATGATTGGAAGCTTCCTGAGGCCTCATGAGAAGCAGATGCTGATGCCATGCTTCATGGACAGCCTGCAGAACTCTAAGCTGAATAAACCTGTTTTCTTTATAAATTACCCAGCCTCTGGTATTTCTTTATAGCAATGCAAATGGACAAATACGGCTTAAAAATATGACAATCAGAAAGTGGAAGGTAAACAGTCCAAAACTTTAGGGACTCATATTCTGGTTGAAGTTTAAAGGTCCAAGTGTCTCAGTATATCAAAATATCCCCTCAAAGGTAAAGGAAAGTTTTCTGAAATTTTACTGCCTACCACTCAAAAAGATGGGTACTATACAGTGGAACATTTTGGAGTGGGATAAAAGAGCAACATACAACACACTTGAGTACGCTAATCCAAAATATTTATCTTATTAACCTCCAAATACCATTTTTGGTCATTTGTTTTCTGGGATCACTCCTCATATAAATGTATATAACAATCAGCATCCAGATGAGAAGTAGAAATTGCACATGTTATTTAAACAGAGAAAATAAAGAATTGGATATTAATTGCTGAAGAACAGAAAGGACACAGAGAAAACACTAAGAAATCATGGGTGTATTAACAGCAGTAAGGAGTTGCCACCTCTGTGACTAGGGGAACACTAGATGTGTTCCCACTTAACACTTGAAGAATGGGACCTGGAGACCTCTGAGGATGGCTTGCTGCTCTGCTGCTAAGGATGCCACTAAACTTAGATGAGTGAGTTCAGTGCCATTGTGGGACTGACCTGAGACCTTGTGGGAGGAGGAGCTGGACAGTTAATGAGAAGGAGGCACATTGAAGCTGATCTGTAAGTGCTGGAAGACTGAAAACTGGATTAAACTTCTGCCAGTGGAATGGTTGCAGGAGCAAAGCCAGGGTGAAGCTGACAGGCTGAGAAAACAGAGAAAAAGCCAACAGGATGCTAGTATAAAAAGGCAAGTCTCTTTTCATCTTCCAGTCTTCCAGTTCACTTGTATTGGCAGAGCCTATTAAGGAACCAGCTGCAAAGAAGGAATATGAGTGGCAGAGATCTGCCTTTCCATCGCCAAATGAAGTAGAGAATTATAGACTTGGGTGAAAGGCACTAGCCCAGGAAATGGCACACTGTGTCATGACTACTCATGACAGCTTATATGTGAACAATTAACTTAGTTTCATAATATTGGCCAGGCGCAGTGGCTTATGCCTGTAATCCCAGCACTTTGGGAGGTCGAGGCAGGTAGATCACCTGAGGTCAGGAGCTTGAGACCAGCCTGGCTAACATGGTGAAACCCCGTCTCTAATAAAAATACAAAAATTAGTTGGGGATGGTGGCAGGTACATGTAATCCCAGCTACTCTGGAGGCTGAGGCAGGAGAATTGCTTGAACCTGGGAGGTGGAGGTTGCAGTGAGCCAAGATCGTGTCATTGCACTCCAGCCTGGGCAACAAGAGCGAAACTCTGTCTCAATAGTAATAATAATATTGTGTGTGTCCAGCTGAAGATGTAATTTTAAAATTAATACGTTTAGGAAAATAAAAACAAACAGTAAAATAAAAAAAAACGGCTGTTTTTAATTGTCATTTGCCTTTCAAGTATTAGGTTGCTGAATTTAGTGTAATTGCATGTTTGATAGCTAAATTTTGGATTGAGTACAATTGTAGCAGGAAATTAATATTGATCAAAATAATTTTCCCAGAAAGATGAACAGTGTTTTTCCTGTGGTGCCATGTATTCCCTGGCAGGGTGCTACATGCCACATGGGTGCAAAATCAAGGACTTACGGTGATAAATATGAATCTCAGTGTGAAGGCTTGCCTACTCATGAGATAGAGTGTGTTATATTTTACTCCAGCACCAACAAATATACATTGAAAATATACATCTAAGAAGATGACCTAGATTTTGGACCTTACCTGAAAAGCACCTGGTAGAGCAAGCCCATCTCATTGTTAAGGTAAAACACAACTAGAGGCTATGAATTATGTAGTTTTATTTATCCATTAATTGTTCTAATCCTCAGCTCGTTCAGTTGTAATGTATGTATCTTCAAACTTGATGTTTTGAATGTCAGGGGTTACTCCATCCTATGTCATCACTTTCATGTAATTCCTAAATTATTAAATATGTTTTTTCTTTGTTTTTAGGTATCCTTCTTCATTAATAACAGACTTTATTTTTGAGAGTCCCAAATTCAACGCATTTCCTTGAAACTTTAGAGGTAGTTACACATATCTCTAAAATAGACATGACCATTACTCGCTAACAGTATGAATAGTGGAGCCAGAACTTGGCTATTATGCCTCCAGATCAGATCTATAACCATTTTTCCTCTAATATATGATGAGTGTCCATTTCTAAGAGCTCTTCTACTCCCTCTGGCTTATTGTCTTGCTGTTGCCATCATTGTTACTTTTCCGTTGATTTACTTAGGCCAAGAGAGCTTTTGCAGAATAAGGAAGATAATACTTTATTTCTCTCTTTTGGGTAAAGTCAAAGATGCCCTGGATTAGCCTTGCCTGGCCTCTGCACAGCATAAAGGCCAACTCTTTCATTTCAAACACATATAACCCATTCTCCCATTATGCATATGTACCTGCAGGGTGTCAAGAACATGGGGGAATGCCATTGTCTTCACATGCCATACAATCCCTCCGCTGCTCAAAAAGTCTCACTTATTCCATATGGCTAAAACTTCAAACAAAACCACTTGAGATTTTCATAGAAATTGCATTAAATTGGGAAATTATTTGCATACACTTCTGTTGTTTGTGCAGCCTAGGAATACACTGCTTTATTGTTTGTGGCTGGCTAGTAGGCTATACCCTTGTAGGCTGCCTTGTTGGAACTACATTATGAAGGAAATCAACAGATTCCCTCTGATTGGGTACACGCAAAGTCTGGGACAGCAAGAAATTAAAGACTGAGAGAAAGGGGAAGTCAGTACATTTATTGCTTTGACTCCATCACCCTTTGGGCACACCATTGGGTTGCCTCCATCATTCCACTGAAAGCCATAGCAGCTGTGGGTTTTTCCATGTGGATGCCTTCTCTATATTCTAGTAACCACTCCTAGGTGTAAATAGCAACAGTACCCTCCGCAACTCAATATTATGGAGTATACGATCACACTTTGGTTGCCTTCATTCTTCACCCAGCAGCCATAAATCACACACAAGCTTAAAGCCTTCCACTGACTTCCGTTAAACCTGGAATAACATACACACCACAAACTACATCTACAAAGTGCAACCAGACTTGACTCATCCACCTTTCCAGACTCTCATTGCCACCATTTAAAGGCCTCATCCTGGTCTCAAAACCCAGCAATATATCCTGATTATATCTCCTGATTATATCTCCAACATCTCATCCCACTTTCCATTTCAGTTGCTACTTTCCAACGATTTTGTCTTTCTGCCATTTCCTTAAACACACTGAAACTTTTCTTGATGAAAAGTTCATCCTTGCTATTACTACTTCCTAGAATGCTCTTCCCTGTTTCTTTCCAAATTAGCTCATTCTCATCCTTCAGGTCTCTGCCCAGTAGTCACTGCCTCTGAAGGATCTTTCTGAACATCTTAAGTTGACCACCCTAATTACTTTTGATTATATCATCATCTTATTTTCTTTATTTCATTTATGACATTACATAACAACCATAATCATTTTTCATTTATTTAGTGATGGTCTTTCCTAATGAGAATATAAGCTTCATTCATGCAATAATCTTGCTATTGGGGTTTACCATTGTAGCCTCACAAAACAAACCTGGATTAATAGATGGCACTCAATACCTGTTTCTTGAGTTAAATTCTAGTATAATGTACTTTGCAATGAAAGGCATGTATCTCTCTTCAGCAAAGGTATTTGTTAGGTAGAAATCATTACTGATCCTCTCTACTTGAATTTTTCCATAACCACAGTGTTCCCTAAGGTCTGTTACTTACAACTACACTTATTGTTCCTGCTTCCAGCTCCAGATGCTGATGTTGGGGTGAGGATGGTGATATAGTTTCGCTGTGTCCTCACCCAAATCTCATCTTGAAATATAACTCCCATAATTCCCATTGTGGTGTGAGGGACCTGGTGGGAGATAATTAAATCATGGCAGCTGTTTCCCCCATACTGTTCTCATGGTAGTGAGTAAGTCTCATGAGATATAATGGTTTTATAAGGGGTAACCCCTTTGGCTTGGCTCTGACTCTGCTCTTGTCTGCCACCAAGTGAGATGTGCATTTCACCTTCTGCCATGACTGTGAGGCCACGTGGAACTGTAGGTCCATTAAACCTCTTTCTTTTGTAAATTTCCCAGTCTCGGGTATCTTTATCAGCAGTGTGAAAACAGACTAATACAGATGGGAAGTGGGCAAGCAGAGACCAGAGTGAAGTTCTTCTGGGATTTTTTCCAGGTTGTTCCTTTACAGGTAAAGAATTAAACATTGCAGACATCCCTTGATGTATCCAGTATAAATATAGTGCCCTCTCTTAGCTTAGAACCCTGAAGACATTATCTTTCCTATTTTTCTGTCCTATTGGTTTCATCTATGGGTATCTGAAAGGGTTTATAGGCCTCTCTGCTGAAGCTATAACCCCATAATTCATCTGGAATATGAATACTGGGCACTCAATAGTTGTTTACTCAATAGCTGTTTGCAAAATTCAAATGGACAGAAATTTTTATTCTTACTTAAAACTTATCCCAGATATTTTCTGTGGCACATGCTTTTGGAAGGTTTTATTTGACAATTTTTAGGGTATTTGTATTAGTCAGTGTTCTCTAGAGGGACAGAACTAATAGGATCTATGTATATATGGAAGGGAGTTTATTAAGGAGAATTAACTCACATGATCACAAGACGAAGTCCCACGATAGGCCATCTGCAAGCTGAGGAAGAAAGAAGCCAGTAGTGGCTCAGTCTGAGTCCAAAAGCCTCAAAAGTAGGAAGCTGACAGTGCAGCCTTAAGTCTGTGGTCCAAGGGCCAAGAGACCCTGGCAAACCACTGGTGTAAGTCCAAAGACTGAAGAACCTGCAGTCTGATGTCCAAGGGCAGAAAGCATTCAGCACAGGAGAAAGATGAAAGCCAGAAGTCTCAGCAAACCAGCTTATCTCGCCTTCTTGTACCTGCTTTATTCTAGCCCTGTTGGCAGCCAACTGGATGGTGCTCACTCACACTGAAGGTGAGTCTCCCTCTCCCAGTCCACTGACTCAAATGTTAATCCACTCTGGCAACACCCTCACAGATACACCCAGGAACAATACTTTATCAGCTATCTAGGCCTCCTTCAATCCAATCAAGTTGACCTAATATTGACATCACAGTATTCTATATCACTAGAGAAACATCAAACTAACTCTTATAACTAATTCCTAATCTATGAGCAATTGTGAGATTAAGCATCAGAAAGCATCAGGATGATAATTAAGTCTCTAATTTTAATTTTAAAACATTTTATGTTTTAAAAAACTTAAGTGTTTAACTTGTTCAGATTATAGGGATCCACAATTGCACTGGTGTATTTTCAGGGGATGGGTAAAGTGGCGGGGGATATGATACCTCTTATTAAAGAGTAGCTTGCTCCCATGACTATTGTGTTGTTTTCCTTTTATTTGTTCCTCTGATATTTGACACAAGTTAACAATTTTCTGATTGTTCGGAAAGAATGTATTTGTCAATATTTCAGTTATTTATAATAATCTATATATTCTTGTGAAGCAGTATTTAGTACACTTATCCATGTTGAAGCAAGCAAATGAATTTATATTTAACATCTCTATGAAAATGAAAGCAGTCTGTAATAAAGTATTTGTACATAATTATATGTAAAATATTTGTATGTACTATTATATATAAAGTATACATAATTATATGTGTGTGTAAATGTATATGCATATACATATCTATTATTGTTAAGATCAAGTTCGTTCTCAGCTAAGTCTGTGTTTAACTTTTCCAACAGGCCTCCACAATAATAAAATTGTCAAGCCATTTTTCCTTAACAATTACTGACTCCAGCTATAAATCCCTAAACTGGTCAATAACCTATAACCCAGCACCTTTCGAAATGGAATGTGGGATATTTATGCTCCCCCTGAGAATAGCTTGTATATAAAGTCCCAAACAGCAGTGTGTGCTGACCAGGACCACCGTTCTTGAGCAATAACACAAACACAATAGCATCGGCGTCTTCCCTTCTGTCTTTCCTCCCCCACCTGTAATGTCTGAGAGCACTTTTCTTGGAAGGCTTGAATCGCACCCAACTTAACGTATTAGGTGCTAGCTTAGCACATGCGGCACTAAACCACACCACAGCTCGTTAACCTTTAGACTATAAAAAAAGAAAAAAAAAAACTTGCAGAAATGTCAGTTTAACTTTCCATTTCAATAACAGGGTTTAGGGTTAACAAAGAAAGAAAACACAAAACCTCAGACTGTGTGGTCATTATTATTAAGAATTGTTCATTTCATAATTAGTTTTTAAGTCATAAAGCATCTGAGGAAAATTAGCTTCTAATTGTACATTTTATTTAAAATTCATTATGTCATGTTTTTCAAAAATATATTAGTCTAACTTCAATATAATGTAAAATTGAGTAATCCCTTTACAATGTACTGGAGTTTTTTTCAAAAATATTAAACACATATAAGACCTTTTTCCTAATATATTCTCCGACCATTAAACAAATATTTATTAAGCGTTACATGCTAGGCACAGCTTAAAAATCACTGAAATACAGTGGAGAATAAAACAGACACAAGCTGCTGTCCTCAGGGTGCTTACATTCATTTTAGTGTTTTGCATCATCCTCTAATATATGCTTATATGTGTCTTTCCTTTCAGGATGAGGGTAAATTTCACAATGGTCAAAGTCCAAAATACGTGATTCCTATTCTGGTTTGTTTGACATATACCTCCTTTCAAAGAAAAAATCATTTTGTACATTAAAAATTAAAGTATTTTTATTGTCCTAGAAGCATGAAGATAAGCAGTGAAGATTGAAGTATCTAAATGCTTCTCCCTACGTGTACTCTATCATGTGCCACAATGTCCCCGAGAGACAGGTCACAGACAGGAGGAGATATGTGCTCTAGAAAAATAAGAGTGTCAGCTCAGTAGCTCCAGACAGCAGTATATTGGAGGCCTTAACTAGTAGCAGAGTGCTGGGACAGGATGCTTCTTGGTGGTTGAAACTTTGCTATATTTTTCGAGATACCTGAAAATATAATAAGCTGTCAGAAAACTATGGCTTGTCACAGTGACTTAGATTATGTGTGTATGCATATATGTATATATGTATGCATATGTGTGTATGCATACATATGCACATGTATACATATGTACACACATATGCATACACATGGACATATATGTATGTATACACATATATACACATATATAATCTAAGTCACTGTGACAAGTCAGTGTTTATATATGTAAGTCAGTATATAGATTAACACAATTGATTATTACACAAAATGGGGGTTACAGGATCCAATCCCCTACACAGTCAAAAATCTGCATATAACTTTTGACTCTCCAAAACCTTGACTACTAGCAGCCTACTGTTAACTGGAAGCCTTACTGATAATATAAACAATTGATTAACACATATTTTGTATGTTATATACTATATTCTTACAATGAAGTAAGCTAGAGAAAAGAAAATGTTACTAAAAAAATTCTAAGAAAGAGAAAATATATTTATTATTCATTAAGTGGAAGTGGATCATCATAAAGGTCTTCGTTTTCATTGTCTTCATGTTGAGAAGGATGAGAAAGAAGAGGAGAGGTTGGGCTTGTGGTCTTAGGGGTGGCAGAGGCAGAAGAAAATCTGTGTAGAAGTGGATCCATGCAGTTCAAACCCGTGTTATTCAAGGGTTACCTGTATATACATCTCTCTCTCTCTGTATATACATATACACATACATATACATGTATATGGAGAGAGAGAGAGAGAGAGAGAGAGAGAGTGTGTGTGTGTGTGTGTGTGTGTGTGTGTGTAGAGAGAGAGAGAGGGACAGAGAGCACTTACTACATATCAGGCGCTATACTGTGCTAGTTGCTAAGATTATTGAAAACATAAAAGGGCCGGGCGCGGTGGCTCACGCCTGTAATCCCAGCACTTTGGGAGGCCAAGGTGGGCGGATCATGAGGTCAGGAGATCAAGATCATTCTGGCCAACATGGTGAAACACCGTCTCTACTAAAAATACAAAAATTAGCCGGGTGTGGTGGCATACTCCTGTAGTCCCAGCTACTCGGGAGGCTGAGGCAGGAGAATCGTTTGAACTCAGGAGGCAGAGGTTGTAGTGAGCCGAGATCACACCACTGCACTCCAGCCTGGCGACAAAGTGAGACTCTGTCTCAAAAAAATAAAAATAAAATAAAAAATAAACATAAAAGAAGACAAGTCCCACAATTTTCACTCTAGTTGGGGAAGTGATAGTTATAGGTTAGGGTCCTGTGTTTATTATTATGGGAGGCTTAGACACATGGTTAGCTAAGAGAAATCGTCTAAGAAAATAAAGCACCTGATCTGAATTAATTTTTTTGGCACCTACCTTGTGCTAGGAGCCTGAATGAAATTTTAGTCTAATGTGCTTTGCAGTGGAAGGCAAATATTTTTGTTCAACAAAGGCATTGGAATTCAATAATGAATAACATGGTCATGGTTCCTGCCCGAAGGAGACAAAAGTATAGTGAGGAGATGAGACACTTTTAATTACAGAAAATTATATGTACATCTCAACCGTGGAGAGGCAGGCTTGGCCAAGTGCAGCATAGGTAGGGAAATCCTGGCCGAGGGGACAATTGAGCAAAGGCTAAAGAACGGATAGAAATGGCAAGATTACACAGACTGAGCTTAACTAATTTGGTGTTGCTAATGTGTAAACACAAGGAAAGAATGGAGAGATTTCCTGTATTCTTGAGAATTATTCTGTCATAGAGGTAAGAGAACCAGACTGAGAGTCAGAAGACCTGAGCTCTAGTTCCAGAAGAAAGATCTTGGGGAAGTCATTGCAGGGTAATAATCTAGTCATTTCAGAATAATCTGGGGAGAGAATAATAGTTTTAAAATAAGGGTGGAGTATGCATGACTCCAGGGTCATCTCCTGCCCTTCAGTCCTGTCTCAACTGAAGCTTCTTTTCACTCACCTGCTTGATATGACAAAAATGATGAAAACATTTATTGCCAACTTCAGGATGGTTGCAAAAAATGAATGAAATAATGAATGTGAAATTGTATTCAAATATTAATCAATAACACTGTTGCTTAGAAACGGATATATAAAATAGACACCAAGATTTATCGAGATTTATACCGGGAAATTTAAATCTGCTTTACGGAGAAAGATAAAGCAGTTCTAATTAACATGTTCCAAAGCAATTCAAAATATCTGCTGTGCTCTTGGCCACTGGATGTCTATTTCGATAGAAGGGTGCTTAGAGTTTTTGTCCAGGGTGGAAAAAAGAAAATAGTATGTCCTTTAGAATTTTTTTTAGTCTTCTGGGATCTACTTTTTGTAATTGAGAGACCAAAAAAAAAAAGATAGATATTTAAAACTTATCTTTGGAAAGGAAGATGAAATGTCATAATGTTGTCAGTTTTTCTAATAATAAGTGGTGTATCAGATGCAATCTTATTTGAAACTCAGTGGGATTTTTCTCATAATGTCATATATTTTTACTAAATTTTACTAATGTGGAAAAAATAAGTAATTTAGTTTATCCAAGGTTATTCTAAAAGGATAAATGATAATGTGTGTGTATATATACATAAAAATGAAAAACTAAAAGTAAATTTAAATGACCGTTTAGCCAATATATTCATCAGTAGCTTTCTAAGCTTTGGGATTGGCTTTGAAAACACTACACGGAAAAAAAATGATGAAAATAGATTATATATTTAAAATAACTAAAAATTTTGGTGAGAAAATGTCAAAATTCTGGGAATAAAGCAAATAATGGATTTAGAAAAAATAATTGCATACGTAGCAAATTTTATCTCCTTATATAAAAAATGTAAATGGCACCAATAATGATGTGACATTTTACCCTTATTAAAGTGACCAATTTAAAAGGTAAATTCCAACCAGGCAAAGTTACATTTATACAGTATCTTCCTACATTATTTGAAGAGTATAAATTGGTATAGCCCTGTGGAAAGTAATTTGACAGTATATGGTAAAAATAACAATGTTAATCATTGTGATTTGGTAAACATCCTATGAATGTATCCTAAGGAAACAACTTAAAAGCAAAAGAAGTTATACACATGAAGGCATTGATTACAAGATTACTTGGAAATAAATGAGAACCAACCTCGTTTGCAAACGTAGGATAATTGAAAAGCCAGGTAATGTAATTAAATAACAGTATAGTGCTTTTACTTAATGATATTTTATGTGAGCACAAATGGAATAATAACAGCTACAGTGATAGGAAAATGCATACAGAATTTACGTGAGGAAGCAAAATTAAAAACTGTATACAGGCCAGCCGCAGTGGCTTACGCCTATAATCCCAGCACTTTGGGAGGGCAGGCCAAGGTAGGTGGATCACCTGAGGTCAGGAGTTCAAGACCAGTCTGACCAACATGGTGAAACCCTGTCTCTACTAAAAATACAAAATTAGCCGAGCATGGTGGCACATGCCTGTAAACCCAGCTACTTGGGAGGCTGAGACAGGAGAATCTCTTGAACCTAGGAGGCGGAGGTTGCAGTGTGCCGAGATTGTGCCATTGCACATCAGCCTGGGCAACAAGAGCGAAGCTCCATCTCAAAAACAAAACAAAACAAAAAACTGTATACAGATACTATGATTGCACTTCAATAAAGACAATAAATGCAATTAATAGAAATACTTCAGAAACTATTTCTTAATACTAAAAAAACACATAAATAATTTTTAATAAAAAATCTATAGAAAAGATGCATTATTTTGAAAACTAGTATATAAAGAAAAGCATCAAACATTTATCTTTACACTTCTGTATAAAGTATACTTGGAGTAGCTCACAGTTGACATATTTTTATATAGTAGTATTCTAGCTAATTAAAAAAATAAAACCAGGAAGTCAAATCAGTCACTTGTGCGCCCTGAAGGACTTTGAAACCTATATCAGTTAAAGGACTTTCAGTTGTGAGGAATAGAACCAACAGTGGTTTTCCTGAGCAATGATGAAACAAGTAGGAGATTGGAGGTTGAAATAATTGATGGAAAGTTAGAAAACCAGGCTTAGAAAGCAACCCAGGCTACTTCAGACATCCAAGAAGCAGGAAGCCATTCAACTATCTTTTAGGAGTCACATTCTGACCAGGATTCTGAGGCTCTGGGACCCTGCTACTGCTGCTTCTGCATATGAATTTTAACCTCTCTCCATCTCTGTCATACCTGTTCAAGATTCAAATCCTGGACATAAGCATCTACATTTTTGAGCCTAGAGGTCATGTGCACATATGTTTCTCTAGGAGAGTGGTTAAAACAAGGGAGGCTCTCGTACTTCCTGATTCTGTAAAATGGAGAAGACAATGCCTTATGCCAATACCAAAAAGCTAACACATGTTCACTGTGCAATTTGTTAATCACAAAGCAATAAATAATAGAAGACACCAGAAGAAACAGAAGAAATTCTATGCCTGCTAGGTGTAGGATACAAGACATCTCATTTGTGTCATCATTTAATCCTCACATCTCCAAACTCTTCATGAAAGATACTCTTGTTACCTTTCACATAAACTCACAATTCAGGAGAATAAGTGAGGTCACTCATGTGAAATTAGTAAGGCCAAGGTTTAAATCTAAGTCTTTATAACCACGAAATTCAGCTGCTGTGGGAATCCAGAATGAAGAAATTATATGCAATCGATGGATTGACTCAACGGATGACATTTACTTCAAATCTTGAAAGTTGAGTAAAAGTTTTGACATCTACCAATAGGGAAGGAGAATATCAGAGAGCGTGAACAACATGAGCAAGAATAGAAGAAGGAGTAGAGTTTGGAAGTCTTGGGAAAAATATTGAGAACACAGATTGAGGTTAAGACTAAGTTTTAGAAACCTTTGAAGGGCAGTCTAAGAAAAGAATTTGATCTTGACTCTGAGCATTCCTGGGAACCACTAGGTAATCTTGGACAGTGTGGGTAATATTATCAGAACTATGCTTCAGGAACACTAATTTGACAAAATTTTTATGAAATTATCAGCCAATATACACTAATCTTATTAAAAGGATGTGGCTGGCACTTTCCACTCTTTATTCAAAGACACAAAACGGTGTTCCTTACATAGCTTGTACTGAAATAATCTTGAAGGAAAACTCTTCCCGTGGATAACTTTAATATAAATAGCCACCTTTCAACTCGTATTAAGGTAAAACATCACGCATATAGCAATATTTGCTTTTTGAACAGCTAACATTTTATTTAAATTAAAAGTGGTAGTTGAACATATAAAAATTTCTAAGGATGCTTCGTGTTCTATGTAAACCTAATATTTTATTTAGAGAACAAGGAATGAAACCAAGGAAGATAGAATGACGTCAAAGACGTCAAATTACAAATTAGTGACAAAGCTAAAAAAAAAAGTCTAATTTAGCAATCTGGACTCTCAATTCCAATTATGTCTTATTTTACCACACAATTGCTGTCTTCTCTCCTGGCTGCTCTGGGACAAAAACAATCTCATAGAAACTGCTGCAGGTAACCGAACATTCTTTTATAATTTAAGAATAGTCTCTCATATTCCTTTTGCATTTTATGTATCCAAATTTTGGAAAAGTTGACAAAGACATCATCTTAAAAACATCTAACCTAATCTGACTTGAAAAACTATATCTTGAAACCTGACTTCTAGTATGTAAAATTATCAACAGATCAGCAAACTGGCCATTTAGATATCTAATTCCAATGAGAGATGAAAAATCATAGGAAATTGCATGATTTTTATCTTTCTATGTAGAAATAGCAAAGGAAGATTTATTTCTAAACCACCTAGTTTCTTAACCAAAAAAAAAAAAACCTCAAAATACATGTCAAGGGAGCATTTTAGGTTTTTAAATAGAAATTATCAATATGATCTGTCATCATTATTTACTACATGTGCTGCCCATTTATTTTTCTTTGAAAACAAAAGAAATTTAATCTTCCTTATTTTCTTTACTTAGCTAACTATATGGCATAGTATTTTGAAAGGGTTAAATAATTTCCTTCTCTTCTGCACATTTATTTTTTTTTCTTTTTGTGTGTGAGGTTCCCCACTAACCATAGCTCTGTCCAAAAGGAAATTAAAATGAAATACATAAGGCATGCTGGGACTTCACACTTCAGAGACTTACAAAGCAATATGGCCTGGTTAAATTGATTGTCACTTTAACTGCCCACAGCTACTCTTCAGGAAGGGGGCTTACGGTTTTACTGTTCTTAACGGGACCATATCCCTTTTCCAATAGCTTAATTTAGGTTGTGCTGAAATTCCTATTAAAGTCAGAGTCATTAATATTTCATTAAATATACCCATGATGTCAGAAGCAGTCATTCCGAGCCTGCCAAGTTTCAAAGAAAACTACTCTTTCTTTGTCGGGTTGTGCTAACATCCTGATATCTAAATTCACATTTACATTTTTTCATCAACCTGAACAAAAAACAAAAATGAAAGAAGGAATATATCAAATAACTCCCATTGTCTGATGCCTTCTGTGTTTTGATGTCTTCAGATGATACCACTTGCTCTTGACAATATGATCTTAAAACCTGACTTCAAGGATGTCAAATTATCAACAGATCAGCAGGCTGACCATTTAGATATTTTACTTTTGCACCACAAAATTAGAGTGTTTGACAAACAGATATGGGGTTTCTCTGTGTCAAGTGTACTTAAGGATTTTATTTTAACAAAAGTCCTCTAGCCAGAGCCACCTTAAAATCACAGAGCTGTCACATGAATGCATATATAAAATCCCAATCTTAACTAAAATGCATTGTCATGGACTTAGACAATTACTTGTAGATATTCATTATTCTTTGCTATTTGATTTAGAGAAAACTTCTGACAGGGTCTGGTTGAAAGCTTCAATTTTTAGTGTTTGGTTTTAGAGAGAACATGACTGCCCAAATAGCCAGATAAAAATGTGATGGATCTCTTACTCAACTGAGTCAACACTCATTCCTAAACCTGACTCATTCTCTTGGCCTTCCAGCCCAGTTCATCTTCATTGTATCACATTCTACATCTTCACCTGCCCTATGACTTCTAAATATTCACATTTTCAACATGATGACCTTCTCTATGAAGTTCTGTATAAGCAGTTCTCTGTTCTAGAATACATTTTCTTTTCCACCCCTTCTTCTAGGAAACATCTATAGTCCACACATGCTTTAGGAATCAGCTAAGATGCTATTTCTTCAGCTGGGAACTCTGCTCAATGGTCTCATAGCCTATAGCGTTTCCCCCACAACAGCCAGTGACTACTGTTAGACCAGGGATTTTCTATGGCTTGTTTGCAATTGTCTCCTTAGCACTTAACATGGTGCCTGGCATACACTAGCTCCTCCTCATGGTGTGTTGTTCTTGATAAACCTAATGTAAGAGATTCAGAAAATAAAGCATATGGGTTGCTTCCAATACTAAGAAATGGATGAGACAGGTAGCTTTCTGGCAAAGTTTACAGAATGGCCGAAATTTTGCCACAAACAGAAATGCACAAAGCATATTCTGAGGTGGCAAGTAAGTGACTTTCTCAAATTGCAGCAATGACAGATAAGGCAGAAATGTAAGTAAGGCTCAAGTATGAATTTTAAGTGCAATATAAAAAAAATGCCTCTCCTTTCCGGGTTCCTCTTCATTGTTTTAATGGACCTAAATATGATTTGTGACTTATTCCCTTGATAATCCTTTTAGTTAAGAACAATTGGTGGAGGACAACATAATGTACAAACTCCTCAAATTAGAGCACTATCTTACCTGAATAGAAATCATTCATACCATCAACTGGGGAATATTGCCCAAACCCAGTGGTACAGGCTCTGCCATTTTCTTTCTAACCTTTTCCCCTTCAGTGCCCAAGGTAATCGCTTCATTTCATTCTCAGAGAAAATGTAAGAAACTAAAAATCTACATGCTCTAGAATATTCCAGACAGTTAATATTTAAATTTCATTCAGAAATTTTCCATTGCACATAGGGAATGAGCTATCTAAAAGAAGTTCAGCCCAAAGAATTTTTAACTTAAAATTGAGATTTCCCACTATGTTTCTCAATAAGAATGAATTGAATTTTATACTAAAATGTTCGTATTCTTTAAGTAATATATCATGATGGCTGAAAAAGTAATTAATACAAATAATTTTTAAAAATAAATCAAAATGTTTCATTGGCACATGAATGATTAGTACCAAAGCCTGGCAGAGACACAACAGCAAAAAAAAGAGAATTTTAGACCAATATCCTTGATGAACATTGATGCAAAAATCCTCAATAAAATACCGGCAAAACAAATCCAGCAGCACATCAAAAAGCTTATCCACCATGATCAAGTGGGCTTCATCCCTGGGATGCAAGGCTGGTTCAACATATGAAAATCAATAAACGTAATCCAGCATATAAACAGAACCAAAGACAAAAACCACATGATTATCTCAATAGATGCAGAAAAGGCCTTTGACAAAATTCAACAACGCTTCATGCTAAAAACTCTCAATAAATTAGGTATTGATGGGACGTATCTCAAAATAATAAGAGCTATCTATGACAAACCCAAAGCCAATATCATACTGAATGGGCAAAAACTGGAAGCATTCCCTTTGAAAACTGGCACAAGACAGGGATGCCCTCTCTCACCACTCCTATTCAACATAGTGTTGGAAGTTCTGGCCAGGGCAATCAGGCCGGAGAAGGAAATAAAGGGTATTCAATTAGGAAAAGAGGAAGTCAAATTGTCCCTGTTTGCAGATGACATGACTGTATATCTGGAACACTCCATTGTTTCAGCCCAAAATCTCCTTAAGCTGATAAGCAACTTCAGCAAAGTCTCAGGATAAAAAATTAATGTGCAAAAATCACAAGCATTCTTATATACCAATAACGGACAAACAGAGAGCCAAATCATGAGTGAACTCCCATTTACAATTGCTTCAAAGAGAATAAAACACCTAGGAATCCAACTTACAAGGGATGTGAAGGACCTCTTCAAGGAGAACTACAAACCACTGCTCAAGGAAATGAAAGAGGATACAAAGAAATGGAAGAACATTCCATGCTCATGGGTAGGAAGAATCAATATCATGAAAATGGCCATACTGCCCAAGGTAATTTATAGATTCAATGCCATCCCCATCAAGCTACCAATGACTTTCTTCACAGAATTGGAAAAAACTACTTTAAAGTTCATATGGAACCAAAAAAGAGCCTGCATTGCCAAGTCAATCCTAAGCCAAAAGAACAAAGCTGGAGGCATCATGCTACCTGACTTCAAACTATACTACAAGGCTACAGTAACCAAAACAGCATGGTACTGGTACCAAAACAGAGATATAGACCAATGGAACAGAACAGAGCCCTCAGAAATAATCTATCTACAACTATCTGATATTTGACAGATAGTTTTATCTGTCATATCTACAACTGTCTGACATATCTACTATCTGACATATCTACAACTATCTGATCTTTGATAAACCTGACAAAAACAAGAAAAGGGGAAAGGATTCCCTATTTAATAAATGGTGCTGGGAAAACTGGCTAGCCATATGTAGAAAGCTGAAACTGGATCCCTTCCTTACACCTTATACAAAAATTAATTCAAGATGGATTAAACACTTACATGTTAGACCTAAAACCATAAAAACCCTAGAAGAAAACCTAGGCAATACCATTCAGGACATAGGCATGGGCAAGGACTTCACGTCTAAAACACCAAAAGCAATGGCGACAAAAGCCAAAATTGACAAATGCAATCTAATTAAACTAAAGAGCTTCTGCACAGCAAAAGAAACTACCATCAGAGTGAACAGGCAACCTACAGAATGGGAGAAAATTTTTGCAACCCTCTCATCTGACAAAGGGCTAATATCCAGAATCTATAATGAGCTCAAACAAATTTACAAGGAAAAAACAAACAACCCCATCAAAAAGTGGGCGAAGGATAGGAACAGACACTTCTCAAAAGAAGACATTTATGCAGCCAAAAAAACACATGAAAAAATGCTCATCATCACTGGCCATCAGAGAAATACAAATCAAAACAACAATAAGATACCATCTCACACCAGTTAGAATGGTGATCATTAAAATGTCAGGAAACAACAGGTGCTGGAGAGGATGTGGAGAAATAGGAACACTTTTACACTGTTGGTGGGACTGTAAACTAGTTCAACCATTGTGGAAGTCAGTGTGGCGATTCCTCAGGGATCTAGAACTAGAAATACCATTTGACCCAGCCATCCCATTACTGGGTATATACCCAAAGGATTATAAATCATGCTGCTATAAAGACACATGCACACATATGTTTATTGCGGCACTATACACAATAGCAAAAACTTGGAACCAACCCAAATGTCCATCAATGATAGACTGGATTAAGAAAATGTGGCACATATACACCATGGAATACTATGCAGCCATAAAAAATGATGAGTTCATGTCCTTTGTAGGGACATGGATGAAGCTGGAAACCACCATTCTCAGCAAACTATCGCAAGGACAAAAAACCAAACACCGCATGTTCTCACTCATAGGTGGGAATTGAACAATGAGAACACATGGACACAGGAAGGGGAACATCACACACTGGGGACTGTTGTGGGATGGGAGGAGGGGGGAGGGATAGCATTAGGAGACATACCTAATGCTAAATGACGAGTTAATGGGTGCAGCACACCAACATGGCACATGTATACATATGTAACAAACCTGCACGTTGTGCACATGTACCCTAAAACTTAAGGTATAATAATAAAATTTAAAAAAATAAATCAAAATGTTTCATTGGCACATGAATGATTAGTCTCTGGATACATGTATCAAGAAAGAGGAAGCATTCTGATTCAGGCTTATTTCAAAAAATGGAATGAAGAATGTACTTATAAGAAGAAAATGAAATTATTAGCCAGTTGAATCCTAAAGGAAAAAAGGAGAAAACAGAAAGGAAGTAGTCCATAGGCTTTTCTGGTCCAAGCAATGACTCAAAATTAGATGTGCTAACTATGTGTAACCATTTGAATTATATAAGCATTACAGAAGGATAAAAAACATGTTAAAACAGAAGAGACTATGTGATAAGAAAATAAGACCTGTGGTCTGAATAAAAGGAGGAAGCACTCTGAGATGTGTTATCTTGGTTCCTCTATTTTATAAGTAAAAGTTAGATAAAACCACATTTTTATAATATTTAGTTACTTATTTGAGCAAGTAGATATACAGGATTATCTAAACCTGCCAAATTGATGTCCCAGTCAAGCATCTCTTTATTTCTAAAATGATAGGGTAATAACAAAAAGGACAGCCTAATCTTGTCTCTGTCTTTCTCTCTCTCTCTCTCTTTTTTTGATTGAGTGAAAAGAGGAAATGCTCAGAAGTTCACAAGAGACAGAGTAGCCATAAACTCTCAGTTTGATCTCCAGGCCAAAGACATGTAGATAAATTCAGATTCAGCTAGGGCAGGATTAACACAAGACATGATTGAATCGGAGCAAAGACAGCCAGTCCAGACTCCCCTCCCTGATTTCTGGCACTCAATCCATTTTGATTGTACCTTAGCCAGGGCCTGTAATGCATTGAACATCTGCTTAACTATATTCTGTATTGTAGTAAAATCAAAAGGAGGTGCAGTGGGGGCAGTGCTCGCATTCAGCAGTTTTCCTGCTTAGATCACTCATTGGATTTGCTGATAAAGAAAGAAAGAAATAATAGAGGAAGAGAAGAAAAGAGAAGAGAAAAAAAAATCAGATGCATAAAACATAATTAAAACATATTTTAAAGCATCATTTTGCTAGAATGACTCAGAACACATGAAAATTATACTAACTACAGAATCTTCATTTTAATACTTCTAGATTAAAATCTCATTTTCACCTGGTAAGTGTATTTGACAGGTGGATTGTTCTTTTCTCACAAGTGCTAAGTAGCAATATAATTCAGTCCTGCAGTAGGCAAACTTTTTCTGCAAAGGGGATGATAATATTTTAGGATGTGCAGGCCAGACAGTCTCTTTCACAATGATACCACTTTGCTTGTATAGGGCAAAAGCAACCACAGACAACATGTTAAAAAAAATGGTGTGATTGTGTTTCCATAAAACTTTATTTAAAAATGGCCAGACCAATTTGATATGCATGTAGTCATCTGCCAACCCTGGTTTAGGCAATTGCCTTTATCATGCATCATTTAGAAACTCGGAATCTGCAAGCCTTTGACATACAAGGAGGAAAGTAAAGTAATTTTTTTTGCATATTGACAAAGATCCAAACTTTACCATTTCAAATCAAATCTCAAAAAAATTGAGTGGCATACACATGGTGAAAAAACTAGTAAATGCTTAAAGCAGGATTCCAGCATGATTTGTCAAACTCCAAAATCTGTACTTTTATAAGTTCATCCTGCTACTCTCTTCAAGTAATTGGTCAAAATTTAATAAGCAAATCAGGAAGTAATTAAGCATGCCTACTTTAAAAAGACGTGTTTTGTAAAATTCCCATGCCCCTCCAGACATGTGCTTAAGAAAATACACGTTTGGGAAATAATCAGGACCCAGAACTGTTCACAAAATTTAGTTCAAATGCTCCATTTTTAGTGAAAAATTTTATTTGCACAAAAGATTATGCTTAAGTATTTTTCTTTACTGTTTCATGAAATATATTTTCCAGTTTATACCTTGCCTTTTATTTTTATGGTATTTTTTGAAACATGAAAAAATATGTAAAATTGAAAATTTTTAAATTATTTCTATCATGATTTATTTTCCTCCTTTTGCTTTTGTGGAAAAGGAGGAAAAACTGGAAAGACCACTCTGAAGACCAGATAAATATTCACCAATAGTTTATTCTAATTTTTAAAATTACCTTATGATTTTAACAGTGTGAAATTTATCTTGATACATGATTTCAAATAGGAGTTAAACTAATTTTTTTCCATAAGTCACTAATTGTGACTATTTATTGAATAAACTGTCCCTTTTCAAAGGGTTTGAAAGGGCTTATTTTTATTAAATACTATTTATATCTTTATTAAATACTAAAGTTTTGTATACCTAGTGTGATGGTTAATATTGAGTGTCAACTTGATTAGATTGAAGGATACAAAGTATTGGGTATGTCTGTGAGGGTGTTGTCAAAGAAGATTAACATTTGAGTCAGTGGGATGGGAAAGGCAGACTCACCCTTAACCTGGGTGGGCACAAGCTAATCAGCTGCCAGTGCAGCTAGAATATAAGCAGGCAAAAAAAATGTGAAAAGACAGACTGGCCTAGCCTCCCAGCCTACATCTTTCTCCTGTGCTGGATGCTTCCTGCTCTTGAACATGAGACTCCAAGTTCTTCAGTTTTGCAACTTGGATGGGCTCTCCTTGCTCCTCAGCCTACAGACCACCTTTTGTAGGACCTTGTGATCATGTGAGTTAACACTTAATAAACTCATATATATATATATATATATATATATATATATATATATATATACACACACACACACACACATATATTCCATTAGTTCTGTCCCTCTAGAGAACCCTAGCTAATACAGATTTTGGTACCAGGAGTGGTTCTAGAGGAACAGAATATTAAGGATGAAGTTCTTTCACTGATTTTGGGGTTTCTGGAGTTGGCTGCTTAATATGATTAGACCCAAAAATGCTAAGGACTCTACTTCTAATAGTATGGAGAACACTGATAGTCCTTGGCATGAACTGTTTAGAGAGTTATGCAAAATAAATACATTTGACACTCCTGATTCATCGCTCATGAGAGTCAAGGAGTTTAGTGACTCTGTACATAATACCTTTGACCATATGTGGAGAGCCAAGGAACATAATGAAGCTAGTTGGTTGCTCCTAAGTTCAGTGGACAAAGTGATGACAGAAAATAATGAACTCGGGGATTCTATCTCCTAGCTTCAGAAGCAGATACTGAACCTCAAATCTGCTAAGATTGCCCTGAGTGAGTCTCATGTCCTGTAGAGAAAGAGCTGAAATTGTGGAAAAACAGACACAAGCTCTTATCATGCAAGTGGCTGACCTGCAAGGAAAGGTGCATGCACAGCCTCACCAGGTGTCTACTGTTAAAGTGAGGGCACTGATTGGAAAAGAATGGGACCCTGCAACTTGGAATGGGGATGTGTGGGAGGACCCTGATGAAGCTGGGGATACTGAGTTTGTAAACTCTGATGAACTTTTTTTGCCAGAAGAGACAGCTTCCCCATCCCCAGTAGTGGCAACATCCTCTTCCTGACCCATGCTGCCATCAGCCTTTCCACCTTTATCTGAGGAGATAAACCCTGTGCTCCCTGAGGCAACAGTGATGGCCTCCCATGAGGCAGTTGCCAGGCAAGGTAATGTTGATTCTCCTCAGGAGCCACCCGCAACACTCCTGTTTGCTTCTAGACCTATAACTAGACTAAAGTCCTGGTAGGCCCATAGAGATGGGACTGAGAGTATGACCCATGAGGAAGTGTGCTACACTTAAAAAGAAGTGCTTGAGTTTTCTAATTTATATAAACAGGGATCTGGAGAACAGGCATGGGAATAGATATTAAGGGTGTGGGATGATGGTGAAAGAAACATAGAGTTGGATCAGGCTGAATTTATTGATTTGGGCCCACTAAGTAAGGACTCTGCATTTAATGTTGCAGCCTGGGGAGTTAAAAAAAGGTTCTAAAAGTTTATCTGTTTGGTTAGCTGAAATATGGATTAAAAGTTCGCCCACTGTGAGTGAGGTGGAAATGCCTGATCTCCCTTGGTTTAATGTAGAGGAAGGGATCCAAAGGCTTAGGGAGATTGGGATGGTGGAGTGGATTAGTCACTTTAGACCTACTCATCCCAGCTGGGAAGGTCCAGAAGATATACCCTTGACCAATGTCTTGCGAAATAGATTTGTGAGGGCAGCACCCACATCTTTGAAGAGCCCCGTAATTGCTCTTCTCTGTATGTCAGATCTAACAGTGGGAACTGCAGTCACTCAACTACAAAATTTAAAAACAATGGGAATAATTGGATGCCAAGGTAGCAGGGTCCAAGTGGCAGCACTCAAATGTCAAAGGCAAGGTGGGCATAGCTACCGTAATGAACAGCAGAGGCAAAGCGGCAATCAGAATAGTCTGATTCATGCAGAGCTATGGCATTGGCTAATGAATCACTGTGTTCCTAGAAGTGAAATTGATAGGAAACCTACTGCACTCCTACTTAATTTATATACACAGAAAACTTAGAGGTCAAATGGACAAAAGACTAATTTGAATTATAAAAACATAGAATCACGCCCCTTCAATCAATTTCCAGACTTGAGCCAGTTTATAGACCCAGAACCCCTTTAATGAAGGGGAGGCTGGGTCTCCTTTAGGGAGGACACTACTACATTACTGACAATTTATGTAGTGAATCTTTATAGAGCAAGGCCCTGCCATCTTCTGCAGATAACTACTGGAACAGCACTTGGCCCATTATTTGGCTTTGGTGGAAACTGAACATTTGACTATGGGTCCTCAAGTCACCATGTGACCTGAACTGCCTATCAGGAACTGAGTGCTTTCTGATCCATCTAGCCATTAAGTGGGTTGTGCACAGCAGCATTCCATCATCAAATGGAAGTGGTATATATGTGATCAGGCTCAAGCAGGTCCTGAAGGCACAAGGAAGTTACATGAGGAAGTGGCTCAAATGCCCATAGTCTCCACTCTTGCCACCCTGCCTCCTCTCCCCCATCCTACACTGATGGCCTCAGAGGAGCTCCCTATGATCAGTTGACAGAGGAAGAGAAGACTAGGGCCTGGTTCACAGATGGTTCTGCACAATATGCAGGCACCACCCGAAAGTGGATAGCTGCAGCACCACAGCCCCTTTCTAGGACATCCCTGAAGGACAGTGGTGAAGGGAAACCTCCCCAGTGGGCAGAAATTTGAGCAGTGCACCTGGTTGTACACTTTGCATGGAAGAAGAAATGGCTAGATGTGATTCTATAAACCCATTCATGGCTGTAGCCAATGGGCTTGGCTGGACGGTCAGGACTTGGAAGAAGCATGATTGGAAAATTGGTGACAAAGAAATTTGGGGAAGAGGTATGTGGATGGACCTCTCGGAGTGGTCAAAAACTGTGAAGATATTTGTATCCCATGTGAGTGCTCACCAACAGGTGACCTCAGCAGAGGAGGATTTTAATAATCAAGGAGATAGGATGACTTGTTTTGTGGACACCACTCAGCCTCTTTCCCAAGCCACCCCTGTCATCACCCAATGGGCCCATGAACCAAGTGTCCATGGTGGCAGGGATGGAGGTTACACATGTGCCCAGCAACATGGACTTCCACTCACCAAGGCTGACCTGGCTATAGCCACTGCTGAGTGCCCAATTTGCCAGCAGCAGAGACCAACACTGAGCCCTCGATATGGCACCATTCCTCGGGGTGATCTGCTGGTGGCAGGTTGATTATATTGGACCTCTACCAACATGGAAAGAGCAGAGGTTTGTCCTCACTGAAATAGACACTGACTCCAGATATGAGTTTGCCTATCCTGCACACAATGCTTCTGCCAAGACTACCGTCTGTGAACTCATAGAATGTGTTATTCACCGTCATGGTATTCCACACGGCACTGCCTCTGACCAAGGCACTCACTTTATGGCTAAAGAAGTGCAGCAGTGGACTCATGCTCGTGGAATTCACTGGCCTTACCATGTTCTCCATCATCCTGAAGCAGCTGGATTGATAGATGGTGGAATGACCTTTTGAAGTCACAATTACAACCCAACTAGGTGACAATACTTTGGAGGATTGGGGCAAAGTTCTCCAGAAGGCCCTATATGCTCTGACTCAGCATCCAATGTATGGCACTATTTCTCCCATAGCCAGGATTCACGGGTCTAGAAATCAAGGGGTGGAAGTGGCACCACTCACCTAGTGATCCACTAGCAAAATTTCTGCTTCCTGTTCCAGTGACATTATGTTCTACTGGCCTAAAGGTCTTAGTTCCAGAGGGAGGAACACTGACACCAGGAGACACGACAATGATTCCATTAAACTAGAATTTAAGATTGCCACCTGGACACTTTGGGATCCTCCTACCTTGAAGTCAACAGGCTAAGAAAGGAGTTACAGTGTTGGCTGGGGTGACTGACCCAGACTATCAAGATGAAATCGATCTACTACTCCACAACGGAGGTAGGAAGAGTGTGCCCGGAATACAGGAGATCCATTAGGGCATCTCTTAGTATTACCATGTCCTGTGATTAAGGTCAATGGGAAACTATAATAGCCCAATTCAGGGAGGACTACAAATTACCAGACCCTTCAGGAATGAAGGTTTGGGTCACACCAACAGGAAAAAAAAAAAAATCCACGACCTGCTGAGTTGCTTGCTGGAGGCAAAAGGAATACAGAATGGGTGGTAGAAGAAGGTAGTCATCAATACCAGTTATGACCACATGACCAGCTGCAGAAATGAGGACTGTAATTGTCATGAGTATTTCCTCCTTCTTTTGGTAAACATATTTCCGCATAAGAAAGTACCTTCATTTTATTTCCTTTCTCCTTTATCATATGACATAAAATTTATTGACTTCACATCAGCATTTAAGTATTGTTAACTTTATGTAATAATATTTGGGTTGGGGATCGGTGCCTTTCCTGATGTAGTAAGGATAGTTGTATTATGTTAGGCATAATTATGACCTCATTCTTTTCTTCATTTGAAGATTATATATGATCTCAGGAGATGTGTATGGGTTCAAGTTAACAAGGAGTGGACTTGTGATGGTTAATACTGCCTGTCAACTTAATTGGATTGAAGGATTCAAAGTATTCATCCTGGGTGTGTCTGTAAGGGTGTTGCCAAAGGAGATTAACACTTGAGTCAGTGGGCTGGGAAAGACAGACACACCCTTAATCTGTGTGGACAACACCTAATCAGCTGCCAGTTTGGCCAGAATATAAAGTAGGCAGAAAAACGTGAAAAGCCTAGACTGGTTTAGCCTCCCAGCCTACATCTTTTTCCTGTGCTGGATGCTTCCTGCCCTCAAACATTGGACTCTAAGTTCTTCAGTTTTGGAACTCAGACTGGCTCTCCTTGCTCCTCAGCCTGCAGATGGCCTATTGCGGGACCTTGTGATCATGTTAATTAATACTAAATAAACTCCCCTTTATATATATATATATAAATATATATTAATCTATAAATATATAAAAATATGTATATTTATATAAATATATATCAATATATAAATATATACTAATATACATAATCATATGTAATTATATATAATTATATGTATAGTTATATATTTAATTATATATAATTATATTTATATAAATATATATTAATATATACATAGATGTAAATATATTAATATATATTAATATATATATAATATATATTATATAAATATACATATTATATATAATATATATTATATATTATATATAAATATGTAAATATATAATATATATATCTTATATATAAATATATAAATATTGTATAATATATATTTATATATAAATATATATTATATAATATATATTTATTTTATATAATTTATATAATATATATTATATAATATAAATATATATTTATATTATTATATAATACATAATATAAATATATATTTATCTTATTATATAATACATATTAATATAAATATATATTTATATTAATATTATATAATATGTATTAATATAAATATATATTTATATTTATATTATATAATATGTATTAATATAAATATATATTTATATTAATATTATATAAATATATATAATATAATATATATTATATAATACATATTTATATAATATATTACATAATATATATAATATATATTATATAAATATATATTCTATATATAATATAAATATATATAATATAAATATATATTTATATATAAATATATTATATAATATATATAACATAAATATATAAAATATATATAATATAAATATATAATATAAATATATATAATGTATATAAATATATATATAATATATATATATTCCATTTGTTCTGTCCCTCTAGAGAACCCTGACTAAAACACCTAGCTTGGAAACTGTTTGAGAAATTTATGTTTAATTTCACTAATAAATGTTATTTCTTCTATAGCATCAAATTTCTACTTACTGCAACTCTATAATACTTAAACATTCCTTTATCCCTCAAACCTCACTAACTCTTCTCCCCTGTTTATTATCCAAACCTCATTTTAGATTTCATTTGTATTGTTTATTTTTTGTAATTCCTTTAACCTAGACACAGATCAAATGCTTCCTGACAGAATGACTAGTTGAAGCATGAATATTAAGATGTTATATATTAGTTGACTGAAAGGAAAATAAAAAGAGATGGGCAAGGGCTCTATGTGGGAAGTGCCAGCATGTTGCTGGTCTTCAGCTGTGTTATGCATCATGCACTGAGGTCCACTCTTGTGGAACCAGCCACCATCTCTTCCCATTTGGATCAATCTTTGCCTTTCTTGCCTCAAAGGTAGGGAGGTCTTGTGGATTTAAATATTTCACTTGCAGGGGCTCAACAATTGTTTTTTTCCAATCACAGTTATTTGTTTCCTGTCAAAGAATTAGAATTAGGACATTATACATTGGTCTGCTTGCAATTACTATTTTGCAAGAGGATGATGAGGTTAGCATGAGAAGGCTAAACTAGACTGCTTCTTCTGACTCTCGCCAATGTGCTTTTATGTTGTTGATGGTTCTCCACCAAGAGGAATGTATTAGTCCTTTTTCACACTGCTAGTAAAGGCATACCCGAGACTGGACAATTTACAAAACAAAGAGGTTTATTGGACTTACAGTTCCATGTGGCTGGGGAGGCCTCACAATCATGGTGGGAGGTGAAAGGCACGTCCCACATGGCAGCAGACAAGAGAAGAGGGCTTGTGCAGGGAAACTCCCATATTTGAAATCATCAGATCTCCTGAGACTCACTCACTATCAGGAGAACAGGGCAGGAAAAATCCAACCCCATAATTCAGTCACCTCTCACTGGCTCCCTCCCACAACATGTGGAAATTCAAGATGAGATTTGAGTGGGGACACAGCCAAACTATATCAAGGAAGAAAGGCTCAAAGAACATTCCAAATGACTGCAAATACCTCCACTGATGACCTCACTAATTTAGAGGAATAGCAGCAAACGTTTTAAGATATTGTTCTCTACCTTTACTACTTTGCTCTATTCTGCTCTTTCTTGTAGGGATCCAATTGTGGACTTCTTGCTAATTCTTTCAATTGGGTGCAATTCATTCCGCACTTTACACTATTTATGTTTGGCTGAGGGCCCTTAACTTGTTTCATTGACTGTACTAATTGACTGTACTTACCATTGACTGTACAAACACATTGTTGCTATATTTACTCCATAAATCTCATTTTATTTTTGAAGAGGAGATTTTAAAAATTTAAACTCCCATGTTGTCTCATTTCTTGCAAGTTTCTGGATTGCATTTTTTTACTTATATGAGTTTTTGTCTTTTATTGAGGAGTTTTATCCTATTTGTATTTATTGTCATCACTAATAAATTTACTGTTTGGATATCAAGTTTCATTATTCCTATCTTATGTTTCTGGCTGTTTTCTTTTTACTTTTCTAGTATGAGTTACAATTTGTTTGCCTTGAATATTTAATATGATTTTTAATTACACAAATGGTCACCTTTTATTTTGTTGAAAACAGCACAGTTGAACTTAATCTTTTCTGTTTACCAATGTCAGTGACAAAGTAGTATCTACTTATTCCTATTTAAAATGAGGGAAGTAGCACATTTTTATTCTTTAAATCGCAGTTGCCCAGTTTTGGGGATACGACCCAGCAATTTAGAATCTGTTTATGATTAACATTTTATGTGTCTGCTCTTACAAGAATTAGTTGTGTTTTGTTTTATAATTACATTTATAATGCTTGTTTTTCTATGACTAGTTTAAATAGTTTTTGTGCTTTCCACCTTTAATGCTTTCTAGAAACTGTCCACTTTTGAAGTCTTTATTGTGATGCAGTTAGCTGAAGGATATCTTCAATTAGTGCTTTCAGAGAAAGTATAGGAGCCTGTCTTGCCATTATATTCACATTTGAATTGTACTTTGTTTGATAATAGGTATCTTTTGAAATAACTTATTTCCTTCAAATCTTGAATTCTTGTGTTTAATGCTGAGGAGAAGGCATTGAAAGGAGCCTGATTTTTTGTTATTATTAGTAGCAAATTTTGCATTATTTATGTTGTTACACTCTTGGATTCTTCTTCTTATTCTTTTGAGATGCAGTTGTCTATATCAGTCTATTTTGATTAATTTTGCCTGATGTATCGCGTACCTATATATTCTTCAGATTTGGGTCTTTTACTCAGGATTATATCTTATTCTATTTTTATTATTACTTCTGTTCTATATTTTCCAGTCTCGTTTTCTGGAATTCCAGTATTCTATATACTCCTCTCTACTTTCTATCACTATTACTTAATATATCTTATTTAAGACATTCTAGCTTGGATTTTTTGTTAGAGCAACCCAACTTCATATGAATAGATACAATAGATATACATTTTCAGTGCCACTTCAGCAGCACAAAGCGTAAGACAAGTCGGCATTTTCAACAGTGGCAGTTTATCTCTTCTTGCTTGGGGAAAATGCCTTACTGGGGACAGCTATCAATGGTCCCTGTTCTGTTTTGCTTGCCTTCACTCCCTGTACACAGTATGTCTGTCTCTGATACTCTTTTTGGTGCTGCTGTCTGAAATATCAGTGACAGGGTCTGCCTGATCAAGAAGAAAGTTCATTGTCTTTCAGACTTTCTGCCTGGCATATTTCTCTCACAGATTCTTCCAAATATGTTTCTCATCTGGGACACAAAAGAAAACTCATTTGGAGCACTTGATCTCAATCCCAAGCCCTATTTTGGCCATAAGTCTCCACCACGCTCTTTCTGAGTTGGGCATGTTAGAAGGATTTTACCAGAATTTTTTCCAAATTAATCTTGTCTAAACTATTTTATCGGAAGAAAGATTTAGAAATTTAGTGTCTTCCTTTAATCTCGTCATATCTTTATCCAGTTTTCATGGGAAAGTTTCAGCATGCAGATAGTATTTTGTTTTCTCTCTCTCTTTTTTTTTTTTTTTTTTTTTTTTGTTGGATTCTCTCTCTGTCACCCAGGCTGGAGTCAGTGGCACAGCCTTGGCTCACTGCAACCTCTGCCTCCTGGGTTCAAGCAATTCTCCTGCCTCAGCCTCCTGAGTAGCCAAAACTACAGGCATGCGCCACCACACCTGCATAACTTTTGTATTTTTAGTAGAGGTGGGGTTTCACCACATTGGCCAGGCTGGTCTTAAACTCCTGACCTCAAGTGATCAGCCAGCCTCGGCCTCCCAAAGTGCTGGGATTTCAGACGTGAGCCACTGTGCCTGGCCAGAGAAAGTAAACTTAGAATTCTATGAATTCTATCTCTTACAGTAAAGCAAAGCAGAGAGAGTAAGAGAATCTCCTTTGGATATTTTAAATGTTTAAATCTAAGTTTGAACCTGGCATTATTTAGACATCTGTGTTCAAATTACTGACTTTTTAAAAACATTGTTTTAAGAAATTTATTTTAATTGACAAGGAAAAATTACATATATAGTCCTTATGGTATACAGCATGATACTATGTTACATGTACACACGGTAGAAAGGCTATGTGGCTATGTCAAGCTATTTAACATATGCCTTACTTCAAATATGTATCATTTTCTTTGGTAATGAGAAGACTTTAAATATACTCTCTTAGCAATTTTCAAATATTAAATATATTACTATTAACTGTAGTCACTACGATGTACAATTGATCTCTTGAACTCATGCCTCATATCTAACGGAAATACTATGTGTCCATTGAATTCACATGTCCCCATTCCCCAGACCACTTCGCCAGCCTCTGGTAAACACAGTTTTGCTCTCTGTTTCTGTGACTTACTGAAAACTCTTGACCCTTAGTACTAATGAGCAATCAGTGGTTTTCAATTAACAGTGAGGTCTCAGACAAAAAAAAAAAGAGAGACTAGTTATAAATAAATGTTTTTGTTTGTTTTTTGTTTTGTTTTGTTTTGTTTTTTTGAGACAGTCTTGTTCTGTCGCTCAAGCTAGAGTGCAGTGGTGTGATCTTGGCTCACAGCAACCTCTGCCTCCCAGGTTCAAGCGATTCTCCCACCTCAGCCTCCGGAGGAGCTGGGATTACAGGCAGGCAACACCACGCCCAGCTAATTTTTTGTATTTTTAGTAGAGATGGTGTTTCATCATCTTGGTCTGGCTAATCTCCAACTCCTGACCTCAAGTGATCCGTCCACTTCGGCCTCCCAAAGTGCTGGGATTACAGACATGAGCCACCGCCCAGCCTAAAATGTCTTTTTTTTCTTAAATAAAAAACAAAAAACTGGCTACTAAAAATGTAAAATCACACATGTGGCTTTCACGTGTGACCCATGTTTGATTTTCATAAGACCAGCACTATGTAGAAAAGTAGCAAAGTCACTGATGTGTCTAGGACAGTCTGAGAGAAAGGAAGAAAAGCCAGAGAGTACAACGGAGGGCTGACCATAGTCCAGATGGAGAAGTGGCCTGTCGACTGTTGCAAAGATGTCAGCTTTCATTCTGAGTGAACTGTACATCCAAACCATTACCGCGTCTGAAGGAGAGAACATTTGGGCCGACATCATATTTAAAAGGGTCTCTATGTTTGGTGTTTTGTGCCTGGACACCAATGAAGCAAAGGTAAATTCAGGAAAATGAGTTCAAAGGCTATTTTATTAATCGAGTCAAGAGATGATGGTAACTACGATCAGAACAATCAGTAAGAGAAAACATCTTCTGGAAATCACAACAAATATACAATGGATGAAAAATAAGAGGAAAAAATAATGAAAATAGGAATAACTCTAGGAGGTTCAGAGAGGGGATAAAATAAATAATAATAATGATAATAATGATAGACAATTTCCCAAACCTGAAAATGAGTCTTCAGTTTGGAAAAGCCACTAATTAAAAAAGCAATCATCAATAAGATGCACTGTTTGGTAATTCAGACATTCAAAAAATAAAATGGATATACTAAAAACGTACGGAGGAGGAATAAAACAGATCACCTACTAAGAATTTGAAATTAGACTTCTCAGTGGAAACTTTGAATACTAGTAGAATATTGAGTACTAGTAGAGTATCTCAAGCACAGAAGAAAGTTCAAGGAGAATAATTTTGCACCAGGAGTCCGCGGCAGCTAGTGCAAAAGAGGAGGCAAAACTCAGTGTGTACTAAGGGATGGGGGTGAAATTAACAGCATGCTAGTATCTGTGCTTTCAATATTAGAAAAACTTAGTGACAGGAGCTTGATGGAATTTTTAGAACAAAGGTATAAAGATATTTAAGCAAATATAAAATCAATAAGTGAGGAAATTTGAAAAGTAGCATGTAAGCAGTGAATTATAACATAAACACTGATAACAGATTAAATCCCCAAATTGTGATAATATTATATTGATACAGTGGGAGAAGGGAACATATGAGTAAACAACAAAGTTAAACCCTTGTCTCCTATTACAGGAATTTGACAGATAACATCTGAAATTGATGAATATGTATGAATACAAATTTATACAAAATATAAGCACATTACCATTTCCTAAATATATTTAAAAATATAAACAGACCGGGTGTGGTGGCTTACGCATGTAATCCATGCACTTTGGGAGGCTGAGGCAGGTGGATGACGAGGTCAGGAGTTCGAGACCAGCCTGGACAACATGGCGAGACCCCATCTGTACTAAAGTTACAAAAATTAGCCAGGCGCAGTGGCAGGCGCCTATAATCCAAGCTACTCAGGAGGCTGAGGCAGGAGAATTGCTTGAACCCTGGAGGCGGAGGTTGCAGTGAGCTAAGATCACGCCACTGCACTCCAATTTGGGTGACAGAGCAAAACTCCACCTCGAAATATATATATATATATTTACATATATACGTAACTATATGTAAATATATATACACACACACATAAACATAGATAAATAGATGAAGGTAAACAGTAAAAGAAATAGAAAAGATTTGTCTCCCAGAAGCAGGATTAGGTGTTCAGAAAGAATGGTATTTTTCTTAGAAACATTTGGTACTGTTTATTGTCAATTTTGTGAGATGGATTGGATTATTAGTGTCAGTTATTCACTCCTTTGTAACAACTACATTCTCATATAACTGTAGACCCCCCGCTCATGTACAGAGAAATGTTCCTGACACTGCTGCAGGACTTGGATGTACACCCATGTAACTTTCTTTAGCCAGTGGAATGGTAGGGGACATTAGACACACACAGAGGCTTTAAGCATATTTTTGGTATTTTGTTTGCCTACTTGTGCTTCTCAGATCCACCAGGAAGAAAAAAGGATGCTACTGGCCCAAGGAGAATGTAGAAACCTGTGGTGTCAACTTGAACCCAACTTTACTACGTAGTGAAGCCCAGCTCCTTCCAGTCAAGTCCGAGGAGCCATAGTTGGTCACCCATGAGTAAGAAAATGAGCGGCAGCTGCCATAAGCCAAGAAAAATATGGTTGGTGTAAGACACTGAGAGCTTTGAAGTTGATTAATCAAAATTAACTAATACTCTACACATTTATGATACATACACCATGAGAAAATTCATCAAAACAAATTTTATGCTAATGAAAAATAATAATAACAAAAAAGGAATCAGTGGGAAAGTTAGGATTCCACACACTGGAACTTCACCTGCTCAAATAAAGTAGTCATATATCTATCTGTTTACTTCATTCTGACAACATTCAAATCTGTTCTTAGCCAGGTGTGATGGCTCACGTCTATAAGCCTAATGTTTTGGGAGGCTGAGGTGGGAGGATTGCTTGAGCCCAGGAGTTTGAGACAGGCCTAGGCAACATAGTAAGACCCTGTCTCCACAAAAGATTAAAAAATTAGCTGGGTGTGGTGGCTCATGCCTGTGGTCCCAGCTACTTGGGAGGCTGAGGCAGGAGGATCGTTTCAGCCCAGGAGGTCGAGGCTGCAGTGAGCCATAATTGAGCCACTGCACTTCAGGCTGGGCAACAGAGCCAGACCCTGTGTCAAAAAAAAAAAAAAAAAAAAAAAAAAGTAAAAGAAAGGAAAATTTTAAAAAAGAAAAGAAAAAAAAATCTATTCTCTTCCCAGGAATAGCATAAGTGACTCAGCATAAGCAATCTGCTGGGTCACTGTTATCCAAAAAACCTGGCAATCATACAGATTATAAACATTCTTTGTTTGGATCTGTGACCTTCTCTTTTTCAGAAGGCTGCTCTCTATTTCTGGCCCTGCAGCAATTTCACCCTCAAGCTTTTCAAACCAGTTTCCCTGTTCTGGGAGTGTTGCTATCTGCTTCCATCCGGTGTTCCCCCACCCCACTGTTGAAAGGGAAATCAATTCCATTAGTTTAGAGCAGTGCAATATCACGCAGTGGAAGAGGCCAAGGAGAGATTCATGGGCACAGATCATGGGGGGATTGAATGGGTTTTGAAGGGAAGATAAGCATGGGATGCATAAAACAGAGTACATAGAGGTCTCCTTTCTACCTTAGGAAGTAGAAAATAACTTTTAAGATCCCCAAAAGGAAATCAATGGCTTTCTCCCGCATGGTGAAACTTTCTCGTCTTAACAGGAACGACATAAATAACTTTTATTATAAGGAAGAATCGGCCTCTTATGAAGACTCATAAATCAACAGTTATTTTATTTTCACAACATGACCCCCAAATGTAATTTTAACATGAAACATATTTTAAATGGCATGTGGGTATACATAATTTATATTTGTTTATATATATGGTACTGAGATATCTACTTATGTTTGAATACATATTGTATTATTTGGGGGAATACATTATTTTGCTGTATATAAAAAGCTGGATATAGTGGAAAAATATGGGGCTTTAAATGTATTAGAGTGTTGAGAAGCATTAGAGGCAGAGAGTCCTGGGGTCAAATTCTAGCTGCACCTTTTATAAATTATGATCGTGTTTGTTTTTTTCTCACTGCAAACCTGGTGTTACCACAGTGTCTGGCACAGAATATGTGTTCAATATGTATTTGTTTGATAGTGAGTAATAGATGAGATACTTGAAGTTTTAAAAGGGTAAGTGACTTCTCTGAGCTCAGACAATCTGTAGCACACACAGGATAGAACCCAGCCTGCTTGTCTCCTCATTGAGTCATCTTTTAATCAAACTTAGTCACATGTATTAGCTTATAGCTTTAGTGTCTAATCGTTGAAACCAAGTTTGAATTGAAACTAAAGAAAATATGGGAATTTAATTACAGGTCCCTATAATATTTCTTAAGTCAACCCAGCCCTGGGAAAAGTAAGAAAACAGGTGTGTCCCTGAAACATCTAGCAACAAGGTGTGCATGCCTCCAGGGAATTTTCTCTTCCATGGTTTTCTGCTTTTCTCTATGAAGTGTGGCAGCGTCATCCTGTCATCTCACAACAGAATACCTTTCTCTTCATGAAGTAAATTATCACGGATAATACCTCAACTGTTGATACTTGTGATGGTTAATTTGTGTCAGCTTGACTGGGTCACAGGAGTCCAGATATTTAGTTAAACATTATTCTGGATGCGTCTCTAAGGGTCTTTCTAGATGCGATTAACATTTGAACCAGTAGACTGAATACAGCAGATTGTCCTACCCAATGTGAGTGGACCTCATCCAATCTAATCAAGCTTGACTAGAACCAAAAGGTTGAACCAAGGAGAATTTTCTCTCTCTCTTTACTGTCTTTGAGTTGGAACAGATTGGTCTTCTTTTGCTTTGGACACAGATTCAAACTGGAGCTACACTATCAGCTCTCCCGGGCCTCTAGCTTGTCAACTGCAGACCTCGGAATGTAGCAGCCTCATAACCACATAAGCCAAATCCTCATTTTATATGTATTTTATGTGTGTATCTCCTATTGGTTAGAACAGATCTATTTCTCTGGAGAACTGAGTCTCTGGACTAATACAACACCTCATCGTTTGGGAACCTTCTTAACTGGAGGAAGCTTCCCTGATAATTTTTGTTTCATTCCAAAATACTGCCAAAGAAAGAATGTCATTGGCCAAGCTTGGGTGAAGTGCCCAACCCAAGACAATCAGCTGTTGCACATGCACCCTGTCCTTCTAATCACTGCTCCTCAAGGAATATGACTGTGTGTATGTGACTACGGAAAGAGATACATCATAATGCAGCACACCACTTGGTGAAAGGTAGTTTCCTGTGGTAAAGCCACCTAGTGGGCAAAGGGAGTTTTCTCACACACTCTTACTTCTCATGGTTCCAATGCCTGGCTTACTCTTAGTGGGGAGTTTTAAGTGATCATGAGAAATGTAGGGATCTTGACCAGACCAGGTCATATCTCTCTGGGACTTCCAGGGCTTAGGCTACGAACTATGAAGTCTGGGCAAGGTCATCAACAACAGCAGCATTGTCTGTGGGTTTCTGGCATTCCTATTGACAATGTTGGTGACAATAGTCTTTGAGACAACCAACACCAGCAGGCTGAAGGCTTTTAGTTGAGCATTTGATGATGATACAGTTTGGCTCTGTGTCCCACTCAAATCTCATCTCTTATTTTAATTCCCATTCTCTTCCTGTGTCAAGGGAGAGACTTGGCGGGAGCTGATTGTATCTTAGGGCTGGTGTCCTCCATGCTGTTCTCATGATAGTGAGTGAGTTCTCACGAGAGCTAATAGTTTTAAAAGCATTTGTCATTTCACTGCTTGCACTTCTCTCTCACCTGCCTCCATGTAAGATGTGCCTGCTTCCCCTTCCACCATGATTGTAAGTTTCCCCAAGTCTCCCCAGACATTCAAAAGTGTGAGTCAAGTAAACCTCTTTTCTTTATAAATGACCCAGTCCTAGGTGTTTCTTTATAGCAGTGTGAAAACAGACAAATACACATAGCATGGGGTTCAAAGAGAATACAGAAGCAGTTGCAAAATATAACCTCAGTGGGGTAGAAGAGCTCCTAGGTTATTGTCGACTTAGCTCAGAGGCCATGCACGCACCTACATGGCTCAGAGTGCAAAGTTTCCAAGGTATGACAGGTCCCATATGAAGTTATTCAGTAGGCTTGCACCAGCTCCAAATTATATTTTTCTGTGTCTACAGGACACAGAAACATGCCTGCAAAAGGAATTCTTAGAAAAAGACTTGATTTTCCTAGAGTAAGTGTGCAAATTTAACTCAATAACTGTATTAACTAGGCCATATGGATGTGCAGAGAAAAATTTTCCATAGTTAAATATGTTACCTCTAAGCCCTAGTCAGCCATCACACAAATATGTAAACAGACATAAGAAGAAACTTGAGAAAGTGCAAAATGTGAATTTAACGAAAGTCCATCTTTTCCCAAAACCCAAAGGAAAATTACTTTATTATTTATTTATTCTTACTTTACTTTTTTTTCTAAAATGTATTTGAAGCTGCAAAAGGTGAGGATTAAGATAATGAAAGCCATCTTTCATTTATACTTGTTTTGCTGCCTATATATAACAAATTAAGTGTGTTCACAATAGGTATGTTTTTAGTTTACCATAAAACAATAGTGATCAGACTGGTGATATTTATTTATTTAAAACATTGAAATAGTTATAATGAAAGCATGTAAAAAATATAAACCTCTAGGGCAATATTTTGAACATTTTATACACTCTCACTAATGGCTTCAACCTCACAGAAGCAGTCTGAAAAGTCTTCACTTACCTCTCACTTATGCCATGTCAACATTTATAGGCAAGTGGATAGCTCTTATCTAAGACGTGTCAAAAGGAAACTGTGACCACATGACAAAAATGAAATAAATGTTAACAATGACAACAGAAAGCTTAAAATATTTTTTTGGCAAATATTCTTACTGCTTCAACAAAGTATCTTCAGTAGTAAATTAATGCTTATTAGGATGGATGGTTCTAGACCCTTAAAATGATTTTGTTAGTTATTCCATGATCCTGTGATTTTAAACACTGTGTGGGTGAAGTGGAGAAGAGTGATAGTTAATAGCTTTGTCTTTAAGCATCGAGGGCATATTTTAATTACTGAGTTATCATAATAAGCATGCATTTCTCTATAATCAATTTGCTGGGCGTTTGTCACCTAGAAAAAATTCACTTGTGAGGGTAAAGCAGTCAACTGGTCAAAGATTTTATTTGATAAGAAATCATCAATTGACATGTTTTAGAGATATAGTTCATGAGATATTATATGTTATCCTTTAATTTCATATCCTTTTTGAAAGAAAATTACTAAAGCATAATACTTTTTAGTGTTTTATAAACTACATGATCATATGAGTATAATATGTTGTGTTACATTTTTGATAGCAGAATGAGATTTTCTTAAAATTTACCAATACACTTAGTTGTCCTAAGTTCTTTTTATATTTTCTGTAATGGATCAGGGCCTAGACAAAGCAGTTGGTACATGTACTATGTATATATATTTTTTTCTCTTACTTAATATGTTTTCTTATTAACCTGTTTTCATAGATTAATTTTATTTAGTTATGTTTAGATAAGAGACAATATCTAAGAATCTATGCAGAAAAAATCATTTCTTATAATAAGAATCTGAGCAAACTATCTTTGCAAATGAACTCAAATATACTCTAGGTTGGGAGAGTAAGGAAACCTATAGATCAGAAATCAAGATTGTCAGCAAATTTATATCAACATGATTCTCACAGAGTCATTTATAGAATTTCATAGCACCCCCTTCTGATGGTTGCCTGAAGCATAAATCTGGGTTCCAGATGAGTAATTAGCACAGAAGTGTGGGCCTAGACACTTTAGAAGAGCATCCTTCCCAATAAGTCAGCTTTCAGAGGGCAAAAAATCACACCTGAAAGAGGCTATAGGTGAACCCTGAATGAAGACGGAGGGGGGAAATACGTGCTGTCAGCAACAATCTGCCTGTTTCAATTGTTGCATTTGTAGGACTCAATAGGAAAGTACCCGATTATCCAGCTGGAGTATAAGGCCAGGCATATGGCTCCATGGCCACTCCTCTGCTTGTTCAGTAGGACCATGAACAAGATGGCCATACGGGACTAGTCCTAAGCCAAACAGCATGGGCTCCCTTTAATTAAACCTAATGGAGAAGACTTCATCATGGAATGCCCAAATTATAGGCAGCAGAGGCCTATGAAGAACTCTTGATGATACTATGCTCTAGAAGAGACCAGCCAGCTATTTGGTGGAAGATTGATTATATTAGACTCCTTCTACACTGCTGTGAGGCTGTGATCCATTTTTACCAGAATTGGCTGGATGTTGGCTTTCCTTCTCTGCCCGTAATACCTCTGCCAGCACCACTACCCAAGGGCTTAAAGAATACTTGATGGAATATTAATGGAAGGGAAAGCACTAATTGGGGCAGCATCTCAAACAATTGAGAAGTTGGGGGAAGTAATATTTACAAGAAAAATACAATCCAGTGGTTATTTCTGTGCACCATCAATGCACTGGAGAAGAACAATGAAAGGCTATTCTTAACTAATCACTAATTTAACACTAATTGCAAAATCAGCTAAAGAGATGTTTAACTTCTGCATAATGCAATTACCATTTACATATTTAAGAGTTGGCCAAATCTACACCTCGGTGCCTTGGCCTGTTGGGGAGACCTTATGTAAGTTTCTAGAACTACACTTACTGCTGCTTGCCAAGGTCGTACACCAAGAGCAATATTTGATTTCTGTTTCTGCCTAGGACATAGAAGACTGGAAAGTGTCATACTCATTTTAACAATAAAAATATTAAAGATAATAAAAATCAAAATCATGAATTTTCTTCCCTCCCTCCCTCCCTCCTTCCTTCCTTCCGTCCGTCCGTCTGTCCTTCCTTCCTTCCTTTCCTTCCTTTCTTTCTTTTGTCAGAGTCATGGTGGTTTGCTGTACCTATCAACCCATCACCTAGGTATTAAGCCCCATATGCATTAGCTATTTATCCTGATGCTCTCCCTACCCTCGCTCCCCGCAACAGGCCCCAGTGTGTGTTGTTTCCCTCCCTGTGTCCATGTGTTCTCATTGTTCAGCTCCCACTTATAAGTGAGAACATGTGGTTCTTGGTTTTCTGTTCCTGTGTTAGTTTGCCAAGGTTAATGGCTTCCAGATCCATCCACGTCCCTATGAGGGACATAATCTCGTTCCTTTTTATGGCCACATAGTATTCCATGGTGTATATGTATCACATTATAAAACTTCTCTCTTAATTAGCACCTTTCCTTCAGCCATTGGGGGAAGTATAGTAAATCTTGTCATACTCCCACTTCCAAAGCACATGTAGAACTCATTTTTGTGTTGTTTCCTTTTTGGGGGAGTGGGAGGGGAGGAAAGATAAAAGAAAAACTCTCCTCCACCTTAAGAGTGGGGGATAGGACAAGAAGGAAACATTTTATAACCCAGGATCTTATACAAATACCTTCAGAATTCTGAGACTGCTGGAGCAGGGTCAGGAAATGATTTCCCACAAAAACCCTCCATAGACATAAGGCAGAATTTAGGAGCCATGAAGAGAAAAAGAGGGTTCCTGGGAAGGACTCATTCCTGGTGCCTGAGTTCACAGAGTCTAACTAAGACCAAGAAAACAGAGCAAGTGCCTCTGCCCCTAACACTAGAAATGTCAAGTAGTGTTGGAGGAGAGACAAGATTGTGACTCACATACACCAGACCAGCTGACAGCCTTGGGTGGGGCATGAACATTGAGGAAAATCCCTCTAAACATACTATTACAAAAACAGGGCATTTTTAGAGGATTTGAAGCTTTTGGTTTTCAAATGAGGGCAATTTGACTCACAGGGAAATTTTGACAATATTTGGAGATCCTTTTAATTGGCACACCTGGGAATGGGAAAGTGCTACCGGCATTGAGTGGATAGAGGCCAGGGATACTGCAGAACCTTCTATAGTACACAGGACTACCATGACCACTGCCACCACCATCACCAACAAAGAAAGAATTCTCCAGACAAAAATGTCAGTGACACCAAGGTTCTAAAACTCTGAAATAAGGCAACCACAATAACATTAAAACTCAAACTTAGCCATACTCCTTATTAAATTGACTCCTACTTTCCTCTCCTTAATAAGTATAGCCCGATAAGCAAGTAAACAAGGAGCATGCATTTCCACGTTTAAATACTGTGTAAACCACACAATATATACTATTATGTTCTACCGTTCTATGCCTATTGTGTTACAATTAATTAAAAATTATGAGACATACACATACACACACACACACACACACTCACTTTAGAAAACGCATTGTAAAAGATAAAACAATCAGCAGAACCAGAATGAAAATTGACACAGACGGTTGAACAGCCAGAGAAATATTTTAAAATATGTATGATTAATATAATTATGCTGCTATATTATAAAAAGCTAGACACAAATGCATGAACAGATGGGAATTTCAGCAGAGAGAGGCAAGCTTTAAGAAAGAATACATTGAAGAAGCCAAAATGAAAAACAAACCAAAAATAACAATATAAGAGAGGACGAATTCTTTAGGCATATTCACTAGTAAACTTGATACATCCCGGGAAAGAATACATGAATCTGAAGATAGATAAATAGAAATAACACAAAAAGAAACAGGAAGTAAAAAGAATGGGAAAAACTACACAGATCATTTAAGAGCTGTGGGACAATATCAAATGGCCCAACCTACGTGTAATTGAAGTTCCTTCAGAAGAGAGAGAAGAGGGAAAATTTAAAGAGATAATAACCAATAATTATTTTAAAAGAATGAATGAAAATATAGACATGATGAAATTACATAAACAAAAGGCAAGATCCAACTATATATTGTCTACAAAAAAAACATTAGAAATGTAAAACCTTAGAGTGACTAAAGTAAAAGGAACCACATCATAAACAAAAAACAAAAAAGGTGGAATTACTATATTCATATCAGATAAATTAGACTGGATAAAAGGAATATTACCAGAAATAATGAGGGACATTACAAAATGATAACAAGGTTAGTTCACCAAAGATATAATTTAAATATGTATGCACCTTAAAACAGGACATCAAAATACATTGAACAAAAATGGATAGAGCAGGAGAAAGAGACAAATCCACAATTATGATTGGAAACTTAAACATTTCTCTCTCAGTATTTAATAATAAAGTAGACAGATAACCTATGAAATAATAGAAGACCTGAATCAGACTGTCACCCAATTTAGCCTAACTGATAGCGAACACTGCCCAACAACACAGAACACATTCAAGCACACATGGAGAATTCACCATGATAGGTCATGTTTTTTGCCATTAAACAAACTCAACAATTTAAAACTGTTGAAACTACGCAAAGTATGTTTTCTATCCAAAATGGAATTGAGCTAAAAATCAGTAACAGAAAGATATCTGGGAAATCTTTAATGTTTGGAAGTTGAGTAACATTGCATCTGAAAAACTGATGGGTCAAAATCAAATGACAAGTGAATATTTAGTTCAGTGAAAATTAAAATGAACATAAAGCATTTCTGGGATGCAGCTGTAACAAAGCTCACTCCACTTTTGTGATGGTCTCGGTGGACTCTGGCAGCCCCTCATCTCAGTAGAACTGCCTGCCTTCTCCTTTCTGTCCTTCTGTTTCTTGGGCACCATCTGGGAAGCCTGTGGCAACTGCTCAGAGATTCTTACAGATGAGAATCTTGAAGGTGAAAGGAAACAAGTTCCATAGAGCAACTCATGAGTATTGGAGGCACAAAAGATCAGATTCCAGCCCTTAAGAAACACTGTCAAAGGAAAGTCTACTCATTTTTTCAGAAGGTCCCCAAGCAAGATTGATATACAATTGCCCTGGAAATGGCAAGATCAATATCATGTGTCAGGATTGGCAGTCACTCTTTTTCTGTCACACTATTCTCATGCTTCTACTCTCATCAATTGCAATCAATTCCCAAAATAAACCTGCAAGCAATGCAGCCCCTCAGGCTGTGTTTCTTGAGAGAACTCAGGATAAGAAAAGATTACAATTTATTTTCCTTTGACTACTCCTTTCACATATTGCTATTTGTTACTATTACAGATAATGTGTTGGTGGACATCATTTTATATATATACACATATATATATGTATATATGTGTGTGTGTGTACACACCTATACATACCTCCCCACAAACACACACATATCTTTGTCACACACACATGCATATGCATTAGATTCACGGGACTAGCATGTTAGGTAAAAGCATTCATGAATTTCATATTTTGACAAATAATGCAAATTTTAACAGTTGTAACTGTTCATATTCTCACCAAAACTCTGGGTGGCTTGCTATTTCATGTTTTGCCCTTTCTTTTCAATTTCATTTTAGATTCCTTGATAGCAAAGACTAAGTTCACTATGTTATATCCCCCGTAGTAGCGTAGTATCTATTGGAAATATGTTCATGGGCTGAAAGATTGTATAGAAGTAAATACTTTTTCTACAGAGGAGAGAACAGGTAGGATGCAAAAGTCAAACATTCCAACATTTAGGGGTGCTATCAAAACAGAGCAGGCCAATCAGTGGAGGTTCACACTCCAGGTAACTGGCCTAACTTTTACAAATTTTCTAGCCTCTAATATTCCTTTAATTGAAATACACATTCACTAATTATGAACATAGCAAATTATGGAAAATAACAAAATGATTTTGGAATTATTTATTTTCTTACGAGGCAGCCTCATAGTTAATCATCCAGATTTTTCAAAAGAATTTATTTATGGGAATTTAGTAATACAGTAGTAGTATTTTCACAATATACTTGATGGGTGGGTAATTCCCTAAGAAAAATAAAAGTCATAAATATTAAAATTTATAAAGGCTCAATTGCTCCAAACTTTTCTGTTGCAGAAAAGTAGTTAAAATCTTAGCTGCTGCTGACTTTCCCCCGGGGACAAAATTTTTACTGGAAAGGTGGTTGGACTATGGAAACATTTACCAGCTGCAGGTATAATACTGTGTCTGTTGTCAGACTCACAATTTCATTGGTTTATTTCTGGAGGATTATTTAGATGGCTGTGGTCTTATATCCAGGCCCCGAGGAAAGAAAAAAAAGACAGAAAAAAAAAAGAAAAAGGAGCCTATGAGGTGTGCCTTCTCACTACAGAATAATGATTTGTTATGTGTTTATCTGAGTTAAATATAGCAGCCAGTCATCTTGCACAGTTCTATATTATATTATGCTCACCCCCCATCCCCCCAAAAAAAACATTTGTTTGGATAGTAGACGTAGTCTCAATAAAAACCATAGCTCATTTCTCCATTTCTACATTTATTTAAGGTAGATTTGCAGGGCTTATGATGATATAAATTTTACCAATTAATCAGTAAGAATTGAAATTCGTTTGACTCATTAATGCCATCACCTTTTACTCAAATTTGTTATTATTTTAACAACGGTGATTTTGAATGTGACATTCCTAATGGCAGTAGCACTTATTTGGGAGGGGCAGGTGGCTGACTGTTCACTCCCCTGGGTTATTAATCAATTGGTGGGTTGAGGGCAAAAATTAATTAGGGATTACAAAAACCCTCCTTCGTTATATTAAATGGCTCACTGAAAACAAATAACCTCACCTGCATTAATTTCATGAGTTCAAAGATTAAAGAAATTGAATTGAATTCCTTACAAGTGATTTTCAGTTCCCAAGCTGAGATCAACATAGTGTTCAAAAGCAGCCTATGTCTCAAGGAAAGTCTGGGACTTCAATTTATGCTGCCTTTTCTAGTTGCACCAGGCATTTGCTAGACCCATAGTCTTTATGATTTGATTAAAACTAAGGTGTTCTTTTTATTATTATTATTATACTTTAAGTTCTAGGGTACATGTGTACAACGTGCAGGTTTGTTACATAGGTATACATGTGCCATGCTGGTTTGCTGCACCCATCAACTCTTCATTTACATTCAGTATTTCTCCTAATGCTATCCCTCCCCCATCCCCTCATGCCATTACAGACCCCAGTATGTGATGTTCCCCACCCTGTGTCCAAGAGTTCTCATTGTTCAATTCCCACCTATGAGTGAGAACATGCAGTGTTTGGTTTTCTGTCCTTGTGATAGTTTGCTGAGAATGATGGTTTCCAGCTTCATCCACGTCCCTGCAAAGGACATGAACTCATCCTTTTTTATGGCTGCATAGTATTCCATGGTGTATATGTGCCACATTTTCTTAATCCAGTCTAACATTGATGGACATTTGGGTTGGTTCCAAGTCTTTGCTATTGTGAATAGTGCCGCAGTAAACATACATGTGCATGTGTCTTTATAGTAGCATGATTTATAATCCTTTGGGTATATACCCAGTAATGGGATTGCTCTTAGTCATTGTGATCATATAATGTTTGAAGTCAAGAGAACCAGATCCTGAGGTATATTGATTCTTGTAAAATAGCTGATAAGTTAAAACTTTGATAGCAGACCCAAAAGCCTTGTCTGAACTTTGTAATACGACTGTAGTGTGTCATTATAATGTTTCATCCCTCTACTTAAATCGTTGCTATATTTTTCAAAAAAAGATAAAGTATAATGGATATATTTTACAATTTTCCTTAGATATTATACATTTTGCTAGTCTTACAAATTGAGCACAGAACGTATTTGTGTCTACCACCATACCTGTAATATTAATAGCGAAAAACGATCACTTTGCTTAGTGTACCCTATTTGTAAAGGTCCAATAAAGCTTTCAATAGGTCACCTTTACTTCTGTTTTTAAAACAGTTATGAATTTTTGTTGATTACTAGGAAATATACTATCATCTTTATTACACAAAAGAAGATACTAAAAATAAACTTAAATCATTTATGACTCTACCATTTCAAGACCACTGCTATATATAAGATTATATGAATATGTACACACACGTACTTATCTTTTGCAAAATTTATTTCACTTTGATGTAAAAATTGATTTTACATTATATTGATTTTACATACAAATACAGATATTGGCTTAACTCTCCTAATTTTATATCATGAGCATGTCATCTTTAATGTTCTCAAAAGTGATTTAATCATTTACTTAATTTTAAAATCTTCTCTTCTATGCACTTTTTTACTCTTTGGAAGAGTAATGAGCATAATAAGACGATTGACTTCAGTAATATTCAGACCTAGGCCAACATTTAATGTTTGCTGTTATTATTTGCATCCTATAATTTTAAAATAAAAGTCCTCCAATTAATTTCTATGATCTCAGCATTCAACGTTAATACACTTTACATCAAATAATACTATTAGTTTTTCTCACTGGTATGTAAGTCAGCAGGGCAGTGGGAACGTTTGATGATTCGATTACACTGGTGAGCATCAACTTTAATTTTTGTGTCTTTGAAAAATCATCCTGCAGGTATTGCCCTTCAACAAAATTTAATTTGGCATGGGTCTTGCCTAAGCATTTTGCTAGTTTTCCCGCTACTTTCTTGAAGTTATCCATCTTTTTATTTCTGATTACACACATTCACTACTGTGAGCTGTCTCTGCCCATGGCAAAGGTAAGTTGCTCTTTGTAGATATGGAATTACATGCCACACATTTTAAATAAAGAGTGTTTAAAGACCTAGATCTTAAATGTGTTTACTTACCAACTCTGTAAATAAAAAAATAGATGTTCTATTCTATAATTTATGTTCTTGACTCTGAGCTTTCTATCCCCCAATGAAGTTATAGAAAAAATTCTTTGAAAATGAATGGAACAGCCCAAATGTTGTTATATTTACCTTGTTAGCTATATGTGATTTTAGGGGGCTGATATCATCAATTATGGATGTAAGTATTTTAAAAATATTAAATAATTCTTTGTCATAGTCATTTTATGTTACAGAAATGATTATGGACATGCATGGATTTATTGGTTAGAATGTTCAACATAAAATTGTTTATGAAATTTAAACATTCAAATAAAAAACAAATGACATCTCCAATAATATTAGAGAAATTGCATAATTTATGGTTTTGTGAAATTTAGTAAATGAATCCTAACATAAGGAAATATTTCATGAGAGAATAATGAAAAGAGGGTTAAAAACAGAACGTGCATTGTGGTCCAATTTTATATGCATAATGCAGAACCATTTTAATAAATACAAACATTGGAGTTATTTTCTTTAACGTACAATGAATCAGAAATTCAACATAATATTGCCAAATAAAGCTTGGTTTTCTCCATTAGCTCATTGTATGGATTCTGGCATTGTCAATGATAACATTTATATAGCCCTTTAGATTTGTCCCTCAATCTTTTACAAATGTGACAGGAATAAAAGAAGTTCAGTATTAGTTTATTACGTGGATAAAGAACAATAGAGTTCAGTATTGAAAGCTTTCTTCCTTTGTATGACATGCAGAATACTGCCCCCTCTCCAATGTGCATGTCCAAATTCCCAGAACCTGTGAATGTGTTACCTTACGTGGCAGAAAGAACTTTGCAGATGTTATTAAGTTAATGGTGTTGAGATGGGGAGATTATCCTGGATTATCTGGGTGGGCCCAGTGGAATCACAGGCATCCTTCAAGTGTGTTGGGGTAAGCGGGACAGGACAGAGTCGGAGAAGGAGATATGATATGTATGATGATGGAAGCAGAGGAAACAGAGGTCAGAGTGAGGAAATTGTTGGATGGAGGCCATAAACCAAGGCATGCGGGCAGTCTCCAGATGATAAAGAAAGGAAGGAAATGGATTCTTCCCTGGAGCCTCTAAAAGAAACATAACTCTGCCAACTCCTTGATTTTAGGACTTTTGACCTCCACAACTGTAAGACAATACATCGGTGTTGATTTAAGCCACTAAGTTTTTGGTACTTCGTTAGTGCAGCAACAAGAAACTAATACGCTTTGGAAGCCAGAACTTGCTTCTGAATTCCTTGGCAGTTCCACCATAGAATCTGTTTACTTAACACTCATTACATTTAACAGAGTTTAACTGAGCAAAGAACAATTCACAATTCTGGCAGCCTCCTTCCACCCCTCCTGCAACCAGAATAGGTTCAGAACAATGTCAGCTGCTGCACACTTGGAGATGACCTACAGACAGGAAAAGGAAAGTGACACACAGAAAAGGAAGTGAGGTCCAGAAACAGCCGTGGTCGTTACACCTCAGTGTTTGCCTTATTTGCACATGGTTTGAACAGTTGGCCACCTGTGAGTGGTCAAAGTATGGCTGCTGGGATTGGCTGAGACGTGACTTCTCGTTAACAAGAGTAACTTACAGTCTGTTTACACACCCAGTTAGGTTACAGTTCACTATGAATGAGAAACACTTAGGCCCAACTTAAAAATACGTACAGGGGCAGCTCTAGGTTAAATTTAATTTAACAAATCATATCAGACATTCAGAAAGACCTTGTCTGACTTTTTTTTCTTTAACTCTGCAAGGATGGCTTCAGATATTTTCCCAAAAATAAGCACTCACAATCACCATCTGGCTCACTTATATATGTATATGTATACACACACACACAAACACACATACATATATATAGATTTTATATATATTTTGTAAATGTGGGTATTTATGGCTTCTTTGTTAGCATTTGAACCTTTATATATTTTTATATATAAAATATATATTTATATAACATATTCTATTTATATGTATATACTTATATATATAAATCATATATTTATATGGTTATATATACATAAATCATATATTTATATAATATATTATTTGTATATATTTATATAAAATATTTATTTATATATGCATATATAAAATATATATAAAAGCCTCAAATGCTAACAAAGAAGCCATGACGACCACATGTACAAACCAGAGCCAGGGAGATGTTCCATTCCCAGAAAGAATGTGAATAGAGAGCACCCAGCAAGGTAGCTCTCAGCCAGGGATTCCCCACATTTCAATCAGCTGTGTGCCAGCAGTTTAAAGCAACTACCTTAAGGGCAGGTGAAAATGAGGTTATAAGCTGTGTGATGACAGTTGCCCATACTTTATGAAGAGAGCAATGCCTTCAACATACACCTGCTACATACTAGATGATTGTTGCTTTGTAAATTGCTACAGTAGAATTAGGCACAATTTCTTATTGCACCACAATACACCTCGGGGTATCTCTTGTGTTTCTCTTTAAGATTTAATCACAAAACCATTTGTTCAATGAAGAAATCATGGAAAACAACAAAACGCTTATGGCAAAAATAAATAGCCTATAATGCTGACTATTAACATTTCACATGCTGTCTCTTTCTGCCTCATTTTTTTCTATTTATGTATGTAAGTATGTTTTTCTATTTTGTGAAGACACAAAATTACCTCTGATAATGGCATCACACTGTGTTACCTACTATTCTGAGTTCTATTACTATCATTCAGTCATTAAATATTATCCAACTCTGGTCCTCCAACTTTGGCATGTATCATAATCAGCTGGAAGCCTTGTTAAAACACATATTATGGGGTCGCAGACTTTGAGTTCTGTAGGTCTAGGCTACGGCTCCTAGAATTTGTACTAAGTTCCCAAGTGATGTGGTTGTTGCTGATCCAGAGACCCTACTTGGAGAATCACTCCTCTAGATAGGAGATGATGAGCTGACATAGAAAAATATTTTATATTTCTGTTATCTATATTTCTTATTTCCAATTAATATTTATATTGTTATAATTTGCCTACTCAGTATGTTTGGAGGGTCCCAGGATTATACACTATGTTCAGTTGGTATGGAAGAATGGCCCTCGTTCAGAAAATTCAAAAACAAAACACTTTGCTTCAACTAAATGGGCATTTCAGTTAATCAAGGCCTGTAAATAATTGAGGTAATTTGGGTCAAAGCTGCAACTACCTTCGCATGTATAAACTGAAATTCTATGTATGATGGTAATTGTTTTTCAAGGAATTCCATTTAAATAAAAAGAGGTTGAATTTCCTAACATGTGTTTTCCAGGTAGTTTTTTAAACAGGTCTCTCTTTTTTATTTTAACTGAATTTTTTTTCTAATGTGAATCAACCGAAAGTGCTGGCTGGAAGCCTCAGGATGTAGAAAACCCAACCTGTTCTGGTTGCCCAATCCAAATGTAAACAGCCTTCCTTGTCATTGGTTGGCATAGTGTTTGGGACACCAAGTTAATTCATTTTATTGAAATTTCTCTCATGAAAAATGCATGGAACAGCCTTCACACTTCTGCCAAAACCTCATGTATTTACTTCACTTGGGGGCAGTGAAGATCTGTGTGTAAACATATAGAAAGCCTTTGTAGTATCTGAGGCAAGCATAAAATGATACTCCTACTGCCCATAGGAAAAAGCATCACATAGATAAACTTTGCACTGGCACCCTCTTTCCTAAAATCTTTCCAGAACATTTCTGCCTTACCTGTGCTGTCTCTACTCATAGCATATCCCTAGGCTGAGCCTACCCAATGTGACAAGGCATTTTTTAGTTGGCTTCAACTTGGACAGGAGGAATTGAGACTTTGTGATTCTGGGTAAACCAGCAGCCTCTTATCTAAATCCAAAATGTAGAACAAAGTATTCAAAAATGTTTCTTCTATAAATTGTGAGCTTATTGATAGGGCAGCTCATATAAAATCACACATATTAAATCATATTTGATTACTGACTTACAAAACAATCACCTTTACTGAATAAAACATTATGTGAAATTAAACCTGAAATATGAGAGTCACAGCATAGAAAATATGATAAAGGAATGTAGTGCTTGTGAAACTTTTCAGCCATCATCATTTAATTGAAGGGAGTGAAAATGGGCAGTGATAGTTCTTTGGCCTCAACACAAAGGAAAACACAAAATGCCTACTAGATAGTTGACGTTAAGAAAAACAAAGTATTTACATACATATTTTTAAATTTTAATATATATTTCAAGTTAATTATCTAAATTATCTATCCAATCTGATTTCCCATCCCCTCCTGCCTATACGCCATTGAACTTGACAAGCCTCAAATGGGTTTATTCTGTAGCTTCTTGTAATACACAATTGAGAAGTGTCATCACGCAGTTTTAGAGTACCAGCTTTGGATTCAGACAGATCTAGATCCTAATCTCGTTGCTTCCATTGTATTCCATAGTGTTCTTTGCATACCATCTAGGATCACTGTGTAGTTTTCATCTGGGTCAGCTCCCGTTGCTATAATCCTAATAGCCAGCATCTGTGTCTCTTTGCCTAAAGACTCGTAATGCTATATCAGCCCTTCTCAAAGTGCAGTGCACTTGGAAATGTGTCAAAAGTAAAAATTACTGAGTCTCACCCCAGATCTACTGAATGTGAAACTATTTTAGCAAGCCTTCCAGCTGATTCTGATTTGCTGAAGCTTGAGACCCACTGGACCACACACTGGGGACACAGAGAGCCTTCATGTGGGGCCTGGGATTTCATATACTCCCTTGTCTCTCCTGCCAACTCCTCACTGATGATACTCAGGTAGGGAGGAATGAATAGCCCAGCCCTCTCGTCCCTTACTGGGACAACTTTAATGTGTGAACTGCACAGTTTTGAGAACTTCCCTATAGGGTGATGCTTTGTGGGAGTTTGCTAAATACATGCCTCTTACTTGGCATTTGTTGGCATAGAGAATGCCTTCTTTTCTTCTCTGTCTCACTTCCCTGATTTTCCACTGGTAGTTCTTGGGGAATAGTCTTTTAAAAGCAAACAAATCAACTTTTATATGAATCATCTGCTTCTTGGGAATTCAAGAGAATAGAGACAGAGAGAGAGAGAGAATAGAACAAAGAGAATAGAGAGAGAGAGAGAGAGACAACAGAACAAAGAATAGAGACAGACAGAGAGAGAGAGAGAGAGAGAGAGAACAGAACAAAGAATAGAGACAGACAGAGAGAGAGAGAGAGAGAGAGAGAGAATCTGGCCCCAGTTCCTGACACAGAGCTCCTTAAACTCTTGTAATCTGAGTGCTAGAGATTCTAGGAACATCTTTTTTTTTAACATTCAGCCTTTGACCTTGGTTCCTGACACAGAGCTTCTAAATTCCTTGGAAGTTTCTGGGTGATAGGATCATCTTTTGTTCTAATTAGGTGCCTCTTGGTGGGCTCCTGAATAGCTCCTGGATGTGGGCTGGTCACCAGAAATATCAAGCCATGATCAGAATCTGTGCAACTTTCAGCTCCACCCCCACCTCATCTTCCAGAAATGGGAAAGGAGCTACAATTAAAATAATCCATCTTGCCTTCATGATGAAATCTCCATGAAAATCCCTAAAGCACAGAGTTACAAGGTCCTCTGGGTTGGTGAACACATCCATGTGCTGGGAGGCTGGCACATTCCAGCTCCACAGGGACAGAAACTTCTGCACTGGGTGTCATGACAGACCCCTGTCAACTCTAGTAGGAATGCCACAAGGTTCAAGAGGCTGAAAAAGAGACCCAGAGCAGGCCAGGTGCGGTGGCTCATGCTATAATCCCAGTACTTTGGGAGGCCAAGGTGGGTGGATCACCTGAGGTCAGGAGTTCGAGATCAGCCTGGTTAACATGGTGAAACCCCATCTCTACTAAAAATACAAAAATTAGCCCAGCGCCTGTAATCCCAACAACTTGGGGGGCTGAGGCATAAGAATTGCTTGAACCCAGGAAGCAGAGGTTTCAGTGAGCTGAGATTGCACCACTGCACTCAAGCCTGTGGGATAGAGCAAGACTATTTCAAAAAAAAAAAAAAAAAAAAGACCCAGAGCCAGCAAACAAGACACAGAATTTATTGAGGGGAACTTGCATACAGGGAGGTCCAGCGCCAGCAGGCAGTAGAGGGGAACCACCACTGCTTGTTAAAACCATGCAGTTTACATAACAATCTCTACCTGGTAGCCTTCATTTAACCCCAAACAAAGGGTCTCAACTTCCTGTATGACCCATGTTCCACAAGATGGGCTGAGGGTTCAGATGCTCCTCATAGATAAGAAATAAATCTCCAGGTTTGCTGCTCCTGGATTCCATAGCTTGGAACTCCAAACACATATTCAAGTGCATTTGCCATATAGGGTCATTCTATAAGTTACCGCTGTCAGGTGCATCTGTCATACAGGGATCCTGCTGAACTTCTCCCTATGTACTTCCACCTGGCTGTTTATCTGTTACCGTATCCTTTATAATAAACCAGCAAGCACAGTTAAATGTTTGTCTGAGTTCTGTGAGTCAGATTAGCAAATTCTGAACCTGAAGAGAGGGTCATGGAAATTCACTATTTGGATCCAGTTGTTCAGAAATATGGGAGGCCTGGACTAGCGCTTGGCACGTGAAGTGGGAGACAGTCTTAAAGTAAGACTGAGCCCTTCACTTTGTAGAATTCAACACTAACCCCAAGTAGATAATGTCAGAATTGAATTGATTGCAAGACACTCAGCTGGTGTCTGGACAATTGGAGAATTAGTTGGTGTAGAAAAACACGAAAACACCCACAAACACACCCTTCTTATGGGCTATCTCCCTCAAATTATTTAACTCTTTGTCCCTTGGTGTCTTTATCTGAGACAATATCTACCTCAAATAGTACTTGTATACCAAATAAGATAGGGCAGTCCTTGGAGCATGGTTAGCACTCACTGATGGCTTCTCCTCACCCTTTCCTCATCTCCCATCTCATATCCTCTCCTTTCTATTCATTGGTGCTATGATGATTATTGTCATCATCATCATCATTACCATCATGATTATATTTATAAATAGTACTTTGGAATTAAGATCAATTAATTCAATTTATGTTAAGAACTATTTTATTATAACAACAAAAAAACTGTTTAATGTGCACAGAAATAAAGCCACTACTGAAGTCTAGCACACCACTGAGAAAGAAAATCGAAAAAGACCATCCTGACATTTGAAAGTTGGCATAATACCCATCCTAGGCCATGCCACTATATCTAGCTTAACTGATCTCACAAAATACCAGACTTAGACAAGGTTATCCTGAGTCTATGACAAAAGAGATAAAACAAGGCTACTTCATAATTTTGCCTAAGAACCAATTAAAAAATAAAAGAAAATCACAGTGCCACCCACAAAATACCAAACGTCTCTCTCTCTTACCTAAATGATAGGCTGCTACTTTACCAACTATAGCTTTATCTTTGTTTTAGTCCCCTCTTTGTATGGGTAAGATTCTTTGAGATAGTCTTAAAATTGTCCTGCTTTCTGGAAGCATTAAACTTAGAGCAAACTCATTTCTTAGATCCTCTCCCAAATTACCCAACCAAAGTGTAAATTCTGTATCACGTTCTCTCTAAAACCCTCTTTTGAAGACATCCTCAGATCCCCATGGTGCATGTTCTCCCTTTTTGCAACCAAAAGTAAATCTAACTAATTTAACTACAGCTGTGCTTCTGGTGGTCTTTGGAAGGCACTGTCATCACTCAGAAGAAGATGTAAAAAGTAGTGCTTTGTTTTCATGGAGACAAATTGATAAGCAAACATAAGGAAGTTGGTAGGGCTTTCAGTTTTGAATTGTTTTTCCTTGTTTGTTTGCTGTGACACTAGTCTTATTTGTTGTTTAACTTCTTTCTTCTGCACTGTCTATAGATTTTATATTTACTGTTATTTGTCTTAATTTTAAATGAGATACACATAAATTTTAAATATGATATTGAAATATTATACTAATAATGCTATTAAGACAACAATGCCTCCTTTTCTCCTCTTCAGTAAAAAATGAAAAAAATATAAAATGTGATTCCACTTCCTAGAAAATTAGAATCCATATGACATGACAAATATATCTGCACTATAGATAATAATACAAATATGCATATTCTTGTTTCAAAAGTCCTACAGGAAATCAGAAAAGGACAAATACATTGTGAAGATTTATGACCACAAGCATGTAATGCTGAAATTAAATCCTTAGGAATAATGATCCTACAGGTAGATACTAGGTGAATAGAAATCAGGAGAGATTGTTGACTATATTACTTTGTAACTGCAACTAGGGAGACCATTTAGAAGGTAATGTCTGAGTCTTTGTTGAAAATTTAGATCATTCAATGTCTCATCAATTTTGCAAATTGAAGGTACATTAAACTGAGAGCAGATACTTGAGATTTCATGTATATAGCAGAATTTTAAAGATGAACCCCCAAGTTTCCCATCTCCTGTTATTCAACCAAACACTAACCTAAGCTAGGTACTGCTATGAAGAAGTTTGTAAATGTAATTAAGGTTACTAATCAGCTGATTTTAAAGTAGGGTGATAATTATAGGTTATCTGGGTGTCCAATAGTAGTATGAGTCCCCTTTAAAGCAGAAAAGTCACTCAGAGAGATGTGGCAGGGAGATCAGAAGTATGATAAGCATTTGACAGACCCCTCATTACTAAATGGGGTTTACTTAGAGAACATGAGAAGAAAGACCAGCCCCTGCTGACAGTCAGCAAGGAAATGGGAACTGCAATCCTACCAAACTACATTTGATCAATGGCCTGGATGAGCTTGGAAAAACATTCTTCCCAAAGCACCTCCATCAGAACCCTGGCAATTGACACCTTGATTGTGTTCTTGTGAAATCTGGAACAGAGAAGCCTGCTGAGCCAATCCAGACTTCTGAATGCCAGATATGTGAGATGATTTTTTAAGCTGTTAAGTCTGTGGTAACCTGTAACAGCAGCAATAGAAAACTAGTCATGTGCATGTATGTGTGTGTGTGTGTGTGTGTGTGTGTGTATATATATATATCTATATCTATATCTATATATATAGATATCTATATATATATATTTAAGTATCATTTTTCTTTTCCTCTTTTGCACATGGAAAAAAGACTTTTAAGAAAAGATAGCAACTGAGCTCTTCCACCACATCCAACTCAAATACCTCCACCTCCACCTCTAATATTATCTCCACCTCCACCACTACCTCCATCATCAAGGAATCCTCCATAATTACTAATATGCCATCAATATTTCCACCTCCAAAAACGATATCACCATAACTTCCCCCACTACCACCTCTACCACCACCATCTCCACCTCTAATGGTATCATCAGGACTTAGACAACCATCTGCTTTATACACAACCCCACAATCCTCTCCCTTATTTTCACTCCCACTGCCATTTTCACAATCACTACCATCACCTCCATCTCCCCTTTAAGCATCAATACCCCCATCACCATCATTTCCACTATCACCTCCAATCACCACTGCCTCAACAGCTCCTTCGCTACCATCTCTATCCTCATTATTTATCAGCAAATAAACTAGAAGGAACAGCTGTTTTCCCCAACTCACATGCACTTCCACATAACTCCTAAAGTTACTTTACAGTTTGCAAGTTGCTATTTCCTTAATTAAAAGGGAACCTAAGTATCAACAAGCTTTATCACTTACATTCACTTTATGTTTTAAATATCAGGAAAATAGAGAAAAGACAAGACTTGGAATATGACTCCCATAAATGAAATCATTTCACTTCTGAAAATGAAGACTACGGAGATACTGACCTTCACTAGATAATTTAAATTCTCCTACACACCATAGCTCAGCTGTACATTAATTGGAAAAGCTAAGCAAGCAGAAAGTAGGATTTTATATGCTAAATTCCAGGAACTCTTTTATGAGTGACTGTGGTAAAAAATCCATCTATTTACCTATAATATTTCTTTGCCAATTTATGTGCCATTCTCATCCAAGTTCAATTTCAATTATAAAATTCAGCATTTGTATGTTTCAGGTAAGAAAAGTTCATATGTAGTAGATAAATGCAAATATGATATAGCAGATCCATGCCATCTACGGCTCTTTTATCTACAGTGTGGAGGATACTTAGGCTGAGATGCTTTTTGCCCAATTGTCCTGGAAACCAAATGTGAACATTTATAATATTGTTGGCAAGGTGAGTGGTGTACTTGGTGGTCATGGAAATAAATGATGTTAACTGGGCTGAGCTGGGATGGTGCCCATGGTTTTATTCTCATAAACACAATGCGCTAACCAACTGTTGCTCATTCAAAGCCAACTGTGGAGGGAAGCCTTCTCCAAATTTCCTTCACCCACCATGACAGACTTGGCTGCAGATCTGCTTTCACGCTTGGTTAAGTTGGGGGAAGGTTAGCCAAGTCAGTGTCTCATCAGTGACCTTAACATTATGGCTTACTCTGCCCATGGCAGTCATTCCCAGTAAAACATTCAGAGACTCTTTTGTCACTTACACACAGTTGGTCTACTCCTTATGAGGTAGTGTCTCCAAGGTCAGAATTCAACACATATTAACTCAAAGGTACATCAGGTGGAATCCACATTGTGAAATCATCATCTGGGTTAATAAATCTCTTCTGAAGGATTAATTGTGCTTTCCTTAGAGACAAGGCAGGAATATACACTTTGTCACTGTCACTGGTCCTTATACTATTTTAATAAACTACTGCTCTAGCTTTTTAAATGACTAAACTTTATTTTAATAAAAACACATCAAATGATTTTTGTAAATATTTTTTCTTCACCCTATGCACAGCTTATAGAATTCCAACCACACTACCAGCCTTTGGTTAAACAAAGTAGATTATTATGAATGCAAATATTTGATACATTAAATGTGAGTTGAAATTAGATTCACTTTTAATGGCTCTACACTCAGGAAGAAGCTTTTACTTACAAGAAAATAACCTTTAAAAATGTCCTTGACTCTGTAAGGGAAATGGGATCATTTGCCCATAAATACACACAACATCCCTGTTTAAAAATAAATATCCTAAATATTGCCTGCCACAACTCAAATCCTATCATTAGCAAGAAATTCTTATAAAGAGGCATTTCATTAAATTAATACATGTGAGATGGCATTAGGCATGTACTATACTTTAGGGAAGAAAAAATAGATAAATAAGTGAGTGGAAGGGATGTTTTGCATCACATGTTGTATATTCTAACATTTTCCCCAATATGAAAATAACTCTGACCACTTGGCTGATGAAAAACTAGACCTTAGCAAATATGGCTAGACCCTGAACAGTCGTGTTCAACACATGGGTGGCAAAACCAGAAAACAACCAGTGCCTGCTTAAGTTTTAAAGAAAAGTGGTATATTGACTAAATCAGAAAAATAATTTAAAAGAAAATGAAACTATAAATAATAATTAAATGTAATTGAGCAAGGAAAGAGGTAATTTACTATAAATAGGATATTTAGCATTTTGAAAAAAAAGAAAAACATTATTGGGTATCAATAAACTATTTATCTGAGTTTTCATTTGTAGGTATTTATTAGCCACCTTGACCACCTTGACAGAGAGTGAGGGAGAGAGGGAGAGAACGAGATGGAACCCATATTCTTTTATAACCCAATATCAGAAGTGATATACCACCACTTCTGCCATATATGGGTCAAACAGAGTAGATTATTATGAATCTTGTACAATGTGGGGGAAATATACAGGTTGTGAATACCAGGAGGTAGAGATCATTGGAAACCATCTTGTAGGCTGGCCACTTGGATTCATGTCTTTTTTATTCATTTACTGTTATTTGTGGAGTTTTGGGAGGAAGAAAACATGAATGCATTCATCATGTATAACCATAATCTATGGTCTGTTTTTAAAGCAGGACATGAGGAAGACACAGGGGTTAGTTCATCAATGGGGGAAAATTGCCACAACAAATGATTTTTAGATTTGGGCCCATCTCCACAATGGAAAAAATGAAAAACCTCGAAATACCAAGCAGACAAAACCATAACCAAATTTATTCCACATCAATTGAATTACTCATAGAAAACCTGACAGTTATCCACATACTACCTGCTATTCTAAAACCCTGACTAACACAGATGAAATTCTACCTACAATTTCTATTAAAGGAATGCTAGACATTTAAACCAAATTTTCTGGGACTAGCTGTTTTCTGCATTTTTTACTTTTTATGTTGTTAAGAAGAAAGCTTTGGCCAGAGGCAATGTTTCTGGAATGAGAACATGATATACAGATGCTTTTCTCAACGGTATGAAGACAATATGTTCTTAATAATGTAAAAATTACAAATTGATCGGTTAAATCAGCCTTTGTAAAGGTAGAGACTGAAGATAATAGGAGGTATATTTGATGAAGCCCATTTGTAACCATTTTACTTTTAGCAATGGGATGAGTGACTAATGTAATAAGAACAAAACATACACTAAGATTTTATATAATCTTACGATAATGACAAATGTTATGCTACAAAACTATCGACCCTTTCGCCATTGGTTTTTATGCATCACAATTCTTTTGGTATTTAATAGCTCAAATCACATTGAAATTGTACTTCTAGCTGGCAAAATATCTAAAATAGTGTTTTGTTTTAATATCTTACTGTGAATAGAAAGGTTAATTTTATGAAAAAACTAGCAAATCAATTTAACTTTTAATGAAACTGGTTTATATGGCCATCATCTGAAAATCTGTATCATTTGCAACATTGACAAGCATTATTACCATATGATGCTCTCAGGGTCTTTGGAAGCTGAAAATTCTGATGTAATCGTATTTGGTGTATTTCCACCAGAAAATTTATTATTGTACTGCTATTCCCAATAAGTTTGCAATCCATTCACTAGCTCTCCATTTTATAGATACATAGATATGATTTATGCACACATGGATACGATACCAAAAGAAATATAGACATATGTGAAGTAGATATAGACATGGTCACAGACTTGTGTAGGTATAGAGAGGATATTTTGAAACAATAAATAATGCATTTCTTCCAGGTAATTTTTAGTGGTCCTTAGCTGTTTGTGATTCACTAATATGATGGCTTTAATAGCTTCAAAACAAGAGTCAAATGCTTCCTAGAATGAAGAAATGCTTGCTAAGTTTTACATTTCAAACAATATCATATAATATTAGCAGTGTCAATAAGCTAAAGATGCTGTTGACTTTCAAGAGTATTGATCCTGAGAGAGAGAGAAAAAAAAACTTTTAACTTTTCTATACAAATCAAGAGCAAAAGCTAGCATTGTTCTTACATAGAAAAATACGTGACAATGTTTCCTCCAAATGAAAACTCTGACCGAGTTGAGGAGAATCTAGGAAGATATGCTTGTTTTCTCTGCACTCATTCTCTGAAAAGTGTCCCGCTACCCTCGGCCTCCTTGGGCTGAGAGTCATATTGAAATTCTGTGATTTAGAACAGAGGAACCCACAGCTTTGCATCCTAGCATGTTTATGAAGAGACCTACTCTAGAAAGTTTATAGCCCATCGTGAATGCAATAATGGAGACCTAGGGGAATACGGCCAAGAGAACCTCATAGCTAAGATTTCCAAGCTTCGAGGATTGAGGACATGGCATATAGTCTGATTACCAGAGGCTGTAGCAAACTAAGTAGATACTAGCCCATGGCAAAGGGAACCAGATGGCATTACCTCTGATGGGCATCAGCTATCAGTGGTTTAATTTTTTCAAGATTCAACTTGCTCATTTGTAATATGGGTTCATTAATAAATACTTGATAAGCTTGTGAAAAAATACAAAATTATATAAAATAACACTTCTCAGTGACTGATACACTGGTTATCATTTGAAACAAACTCAATAAACATCAATTCTCCCTTTTCATTTCTGCATACAGGTAGTGCTTTGCTACTGACTTCTGTGACCTTTCACTTTTTAATAGCTTTATTAGAATAATTGAGAAGCCAAAATCCTGAGTGGCAGACTTCAAAACTTAAGAAGTAGAACCTACGCTGTCCACCATCCCGAAATAACATCACACACAGTAGTCCCATCAACACACTGCTTTCATTATAACTAAGTTCCTTCTAAGCATGAAGCTACAACATCTCTTTTATTTATTTATTTATTTATTTATTTGAAATGGAGTCCTGCTCTGTTGCCTAGGCTGGAGTGCAATGGTACCATCTTGGCTCACTGCAGCCTCCACCTCCCAGGTTCAAGTGATTCTCCTGCCTCAGCCTCCTGAGTAGATGGGATTACAAGCATGTGTGACCACACCTGGCTAATTTTTGCATTTTTAGTAGAGATGGGGTTTCACCAGGTTGCCCAAGCTGGTCTCAAGCTCCTGACCTCAAGTGATTCACCTGCCTCCGCCTCCCAAAGTGCTGGGATTACAGGCATGAGCCACCGCACCAGGCCACATCTCTTTATTTGTTTTAAATTTAATCCTCAATGAAAAACTGCCAAAGGCAAATTAGTTGTGTGGATATTTGCATATCTGTAGTAATAGATCGTGAGGGGGTAATAACCCTTTTAGGCAGATTTCTGAAGGAAGTGATGATGAGCTCAAAAGGGTTAAGTGAGAAGAGATTAAAGAAGCGTGCTACGGAGGTGGAGCCCTCATGAATGAGATTCGTACCCTTATAAAAGGGACCTCAGAGAGCTTTCTCAGCTTCTTTTCTCCATGTGAAGATGCAAGGAGAATTGGCAGTCTGCACACCAGAAGAGGGCCCTCACCAAAATCTGACCTTGCTGTCACCCTGATTTTGAACTTCCAGCCTCCAGAACTGCAAGAAATAAATTTCTAAGTCGCCTAGTCTATGATACCATGTAATAATAACCAGAACTGATTAAGAGCAGGCATCTGTTTTTAGAGGTGTGGGTAGAGTGAAAGGAGCCACCAAGGATGGTGAAATGGCCGTGGATGAACACCACTTAGGCATCCGTGATGGTTAATACTGAGTGTCAACTTGATTAGATTGAAGGATGCAAAGTATTGATCATGGGTGTGTCTGTGAGGGTGTCCCCAAAGGAGAATAACATTTGAGTCAGTAGGCTTGGAAAGGCAGACCCACTCTTAATCTGGGTGGGCACCATCTAATCAATTGCCAGAGAGGCTAGAATATAAAGTAGGCAGAAGAAGGTGAAAAGACTAGACTGGCTTAGCCTCCCAGCCTACAACTTTCCGCCATGCTAGATGCTTCCTGCCCTCAAACATCAGACTCCAAGTTCTTCAGCTTTGGGAGTGGTTTCCTTGCTCCTCAGCTTGCAAACAGCCTATTGTGGGACCTTGTGATCGTGTGAGTTAATACTCCTTAATAAACTCATATATATATATATAGATCCATCCTATTAGTTCTGTCCTTCTAGAGAATCCTGACTAACACAGCATCCCTGAGCAAAAGGGCAAAGCAAGAGAAAGGCATTACTTGCTCCAAGTGAGAGCTGTAGCCATGGCAGAGGGGCTGCCCTTTAGGAGCTGTGGCCATAGGTAGAGGGACATAGATACTGCCAATACGGCAGCCCATTGGTGACATACTGGGGACATAGAACCCTTCTCTCCTGCTTTCTTTTCTCCTTTCAGTGCTTCCCTTCGTCAAAACCATGGGGAAGCTCAAGCACCAAGAAGCCCAGGTAAGACAACACTGCAAGCTTAGTCCCCAGGTGCAGAAGGAAAAAAGGGCAGAGAATAGAATCCATAACCAGCCCAAGAACCAGCTTGTCTCTATTTTAAGAATAGGAGCAACTGAGACATAGAATAGCTCATTCACAAAAGCAGGAATAGATGATTCATTTAATAATTTCTAGGACACGGCTGTATCCACGCTAACTGGGATGTGCTAGTTGGCATTTTGTTTTGTGGCCTTTTAATGGATGGGTGTATCTCAGATTTGTATAAATGCCTTTGGTCTGGGTGGTCAGTGAAACATCTAACCAAAACTCATCGTATTTGTTTCTGGAAAACTGACAGATTTTTAAGTCGTGTCCATTCAGGCAAAGATTCCTAATTTTTTGCTTGATCTGCAAGTGTGTCTTCAAAGACCCAAACTGTTAATAGAATCACCTGCTCTATTCTCTGTCCCACAATACTATTTAATTAAAATGTAAGAATTAATGAAAGCATTATACTTGAATACAAACGTTTATCAGAATGTGTATTTTTATATTCATTAACCTTTATGCTTTGATAGCCTTATATGTGGTAAATTTATTATCATCAGAAAAAAACTTAAAAAATCAATTTCATGTTGGTATAAACTAGATTTAAAGAATATAGGGTGCACCTATTTGCACAGCATAGAATTATATATCTTATTGATGCTTGAACAGTTTTTTTTGCCTAAATATGTGAAGGAAATGATTATTAATTACAGCAGACAACCTAAAAGTAAATTTATTTATTTTTCAGCATAATGCCCTGAATGATGCAATGTACTCAACACCTCTCAGTAGTGTTTCCTTGTTTTTTAAAAAAAGTCAAACTTGGGGTACATAAGTTACATAAAGACAGTGATTAGACAGTGGAAGGCAGTTATGCTTAGATATGTTAACTCATTATTTTATAGACATGATACAGGGTCTGCTTTAACCTCTTTAACCTCTATTACAGACAGGGCTGGCAATGTTTTAATAGACCACGCCACATTATATCAAATATTTATACTTTGGGAAATATGATTTGAACCATACAAAGTTTTCACATTTGTAGTAACAGAAATGGCTATACAGCAAAGTGCCAATATAACTGTATCATTCCTCAAGAATTTTCTTAGCTGTTTAGTAGCTAAAGTATTTGAACATTAAGCTACGTAGTGGTATGAAGTAGCAAGAGTCCATGGGATTCTGGAACATTCATTTTATGTTTATTAAATTTTATTTTTAATTAATGTATAACAATTATATATATATTTATGGGGTACAGAGTGCTATTTTGATACATATATATAATGTAAAATAACCAAATCAGGGTAGTTAGTATACCTGTCACCTTAAATATCATTTATTTGTGTTTGGAGAATTCAAAATTCTTTCTTCTAGCTATTTGAAACCAAACAATAAATTATTGTTAACTATATTCACCCTATGGTGCTATAGAACATTAGAACTTACTCCTCCCATCTAGATGTAATTCTGTATCTCTTAACCAATCTCTATCCTCCTCTCTCCTGTGCACTTCCAAGCCCCTAATAGCCACAGTTTACTCTCTACTTCTATGAGATCAACTTTTATACCTCCTACATAGGAGTGATAACATGTGGTATTTATCTTTCTGTGTCTGACTTATTTTCCTTAAAATAAAGTCCCCCAGGCTCATTTACGTTGCTTTAAATGACAGGATTTCATTCGTTTTTATAGCTAAATAGTAATGCATTGCGCATACATACTACATTTTCTTCATGCATCTGTTGATGGACACAGGTTGATTCCGTATTTTGGCTATTGTGAATAGTACTGCAATAAACATGGCGGTGCTCTTTGGTATACTGACTTCCATTCTTTTGGATAAATACCTAGTGATACAGTGATTTTAGCTCCTTTGGACGAATACCAAGTGGTTCTATTTTTAGTTTTTGAGGAACTTCCATACCGTTCATTATAATGGCTGTAATAATTTACACTCTCAAGAACAGCATTTAAGAGTTCCCTTTTCTCTGCATCCTTGCCAGCATCTGTCATTTTTTTTTCTTTTTGATAATAGTTGTAATATTTATTTTAACTGGGGTGAGTTGATATCTTGTTGTGGTTTTGATTTTCATTTCCCTGATGATGAATGATGTTGAACATTTCTCATATACTTGCTGGCCACTGCATGTCTTCTTTTGAGAAAAGTCTATTCAGATCCTTTGTCTATCTTTTAATCAGATTTTTGTTATTGTTTTCTATTGCGTTGAGTTCCTTGTATATTCCTACATTGATATTTGTGTAGTTTGTGGAATTGTCACTTCTTCCAATTTTATGGAGTAGCTCTTTAAGGGAAGACTTTCTCCTATAGACATGTCCTATAGCGTCTGCTGGGTAGAGTGCTTTGGGTTTGGTTCTGGGTGGATGTAGTGTGTAGTTTCCTTATGATTTCCTCATCTGTAATCAATGTTGGCAGTGTCTGCTAGTGACTCAGTGGCCGAGGCTGCAGCTGTTTGAAGAGGCTGTGGTGAGGCTTTGTTGGGGGTTAGGGAAGGAGTGCCACAGGTTCATGGAAGCTCCATTACTAGCAAGGGTGGAAATGTTGGTGGCAGCAGGCCTTATTTGGCTAGACCTTGGAGCCCTGAAGCCTACACATGGACACACAGCTGCTTCAGCACTGAAGGGGTCAAGATCACTAACAGTGGTGGTATGCTCTGGGTATGCCAGTCTTTGGGACACTGTGGGGCACACATGAGTGTGACGGGGTTTTGTTCTGGGGTGAACAGGCAGGCCAGTCTTATGGCCCCTGGAGAGTGCCAGCAAGCCTTACTGCTAGAGGAAGTGAAATTCTCAGCATTGGTGACCGGGCCTGGGCAGGCAGCTTTCAGGTTAAGAGGAGCATGCACATGAACTGCCTCTGGCCTAGGGGCAAAATACCCGCTGTGTGAGACTGCTTGTGCCCAAAATGCAATGTGCTGTGTGGGCACAAGAAAGGGGACATGGCTGCACAGGTGAGTTCAGCTGGTGTTGTAAAATTTTAGCCCTTTGTGTGGTGGGATGTCCCTAGGGTCCCAGGAGTGTGGAGATGCAGAGGCTATTGAGTCCCAGGGCAGAATGCAGTCTGATGGTAGCTTCATTCTCAAAATTGTGACATGCTATGTGGCAGCCTGAGTCCTGGGGGTTGGGAAAACCAATTCCTCTCTGGATCAATGCAGTCATGTGGTCTCCAGGCAGTTCCCCCACTGGGCTCAGGGTCTGCAGGGGCTGTGGGCTGTCTTGCAGCTAGGATTGCAGGAGTTTGTAGTGAGAATGCGTACTTCAACAGATCACCTCTTACCTTTTCCTGCAATGAGAAATTCTTCCCAGCTCTGAGCTGATCCCAGCCAGATGCCTTGCTTCCCCTCTCTATGCTGCCATCCTGAGTCGCTGGGCCTCAGAAGGTCTGTGTTACTTTGCTAAACTCCAGTTTTGTCCCTTAGACTGTTCCACATGTGGTGACCTGGTTGTTGTTTCTTTCTTTATAGAAGAGGCGAGTGCTGGGTGCCTCTAGTCAACCATGTTGATGACGTCCTTTCTAGAAAACACCCTGATACCTTGTGCCTGTGCTTCCAAGGTGGCTGACGCTGTGCCTGTGCTTCCGAGGTGGCTGACTTCTAACTGAGTGCAGTGGAGACCCCGTGGTGCTTTACAGAACAGATGGCAGTGCTGCCCAAGCTCAGAACACAGCTGGACGGATCCCCATTTTTAAAATGTTGCTTTTAAAGTTCCTTGGTCTATTTTAAGTCTTAGACAATAGAGCACTAATTTGTGTCCACAGCTAGGGAAAAAGCACCCCAAATACTCATGTTATGTCACTTTCAGTACCACAATTCAAATAGTGAAAGACGATGCTTCCATGTACCACGTATAGGTCTCTACTAGTGATTTTTCTCTCATTTCAACCTAGCTTCACATATTTTTATGGTATAGCTAACTCAACATTGATTCTATACAAAATATATTATCTAAGATAGTCTTTAAAAATATTTGAATTCCACTGGGATTTGTTTAAACCCCTACACAAATAATTACCTCTTACTAAAAACACTGAGTTTGGCAAGTGAAATTTTGTAATAAGGTGAAGATTCAATAAAATCTTGTCTCAAACTAATGGGCTCTGGCAACTTTTATTTTTTTTTTCTGTAAATTCTGTCTATGGCACGACTGCTGTTAGGCCAAATAGATGTCCTCTGCAATAATGATCGTAATGGTACAATGACAGATGGCAAGCCATGGGGGCCAGTCTACTGTCTGGAAAGGAGCACGAAATTTTAACTCTGTCTCCCTTTGTCTACCAAGGCATCAATAGTCTTGACTTTCTTTCTTTCTTCTTTTTTTTTTAACATATGCTATAATCGTCTAGGTCTGGGGTTGGCAACCTTTCTGCAAAGAGCCAGACAGTAAATATTTTTGGCTTTTTATACCAGACGGTCTCTGTCACATGTACTCAGTTTTGCTGTTGTAGCATGAAAGTCACCACAGACAATACATACATGAACGAGTCTAGCTGTTTTCAAATAAAACTTTATTTATAAAAACAGGCAGACAGCCAATATGGCCCCCATTTATAGTTTGCCAACTTGTGGTCTAAATCATCTTTATCTAAAGTGTCAAGATTACAGAGAAAGAGGTGAAACCTCTCTTAGCTGTCTTTGAAAACTAAAGGAAGTAGATTATGACCATCTATAGGTGTATGAGCTATTAGAAAGAGGCCTAATACATTGTTCTTTATTAGGCAACTGCCTAGCAGAAGAAAGTGCCTGTATATAATTACTTGTGATACTTCAAAAACTCACCATCATCTGGCACATTTTAAATGTCCTAGTTTCTTCTATATGCATCATAATATTTTCGTCTGATATCGTCAGTTCCCAGGATTTTGGAATCCAGTCCCAAATCTCAGTCTTGCTTCCATCATATCAAAACCCGAATATATTTTAATTTGGGAAATATTTGGAATTTTATATTTCCCCTTCATGGAAACAAATGACAGACTGCAACATGGCAAAGTTTTTGTTGTTTTAACTTTAGAAATAATTAACTCCTATACTAGGTTTACTGTTTTCTGAAATACCTATCTTCCACGAATTTGGAAAGAGAATGGAAATTTAACATCACTGGCCAGCTAAAGATGACTTTTATGATCATGTGTTATTTGTTTACTGTCTCTGAAACTTACTGTTCTTATCTGTGAGATGGAAATAATAAATTATTTTTAAAACGTGTAAGTGAATTTTACACGTAAGGTGCTTAGAAAAAGTTCATTCCATGTAGTATGCTGAGTAAATAGTTGCTAATGTATTTAATTAGCTAGAGAAAGAATGGCCTATCATTGAGTGACATGTGACATAACCTTATTTCATCTTTAGGCATTTTAAAACTAAAAATTGTGTGGTATCCTCCCCTTAGAGAATCTCATTAGATAAGATCTCTTATCAATACCAATTATGAGCAAAATTAGAGACACAAATTAGGTATAAGACTTTTAATTTTTGAATTCTTGGTGTTTAGTTTGTTCATAATAGTTACCTTATTCATGATGATATTGGTTATACATTTTATTGAGAAAGACGTCCTAAGACTTTCATGTCAATTAACCCACAAAATCACCTGGAGTAAGACTTTGCATATTGTGGCAGAAGCACTCTCATAGTAAACAGTAATTTACTTATATGAACACTGCCATAGGCCCCTTTCTAGGACCCCCCACTCTGCACCACAGAAATAAATAGAGTCAGGTGATTCAAGTGTGTTTCTCAGGATTTTGTGTGAATCATTACTTATCCTATTCACTGGGTGGACAAGGGACATCGACAGTTTGGGTTAAAGCTTCACAATGGCTGTCTGCACCACGAAGTGTCCCATTCACAAATTCGACAAGGCATTTCCTCAAGGGTTACTGGTTGTTTTGTCCTAATGCATTGCAGTTTACCTTTTTTGGCATTTATATTTTGTAGGTAATTTTGAGCTGGAGAGTCTTGAAACCATTTGACTTGAGGAAGAAAATTGCTTGGAGCACTATGAAAATATCACTGAGACCATGTGGTTTTTAAACTCTTTTGCACTGTACTCTGTTTCTCAATTATTTCCAGCTGTGTCTAGCCACTAAGCGTAGCTTTACAGCCTGACTTTTTTTTTTTTTTTTTTTTTATAGCTGTGGAGTACCATTTTCTGTTTAGTTGTTTAAGTGGATGTCGAATGTCAGGTAGCTGTGGAAGATTCAGCCCTATTCCAAGATATACCTATTCTTTCTCCTGGCACTTAATACTTCTCTGCTTTTCCTGATTTTATATTTTTGACAAGAGTAGGAAGTGAAAATAGGATGAAGCCTCATTAATTTACACTCCATTCATTTACTCTTTGTAAATATAGATGCAGATAAAATTTTACTTATATTATCTACGAAAAAAGATGTAGAAATGAAAATCCATAGTTAAATAAGGATATTAATCTCCTGTTGGAATCATAACTTTTTAAAGTCATTAACAGCATGCATCCATTTGCCTGTTAGTCATGTAATGAATGGATTTCCTGCCTTAGTTAAGATAAATTTGTTAATCAGTAACTTGCATTGTTTCCTGTTCTATTTTTCTTAAAACTATTCTAAAACTTAGACATCTAACCTGTTTCAAAGTGCTTCATAACCCTTCCCCTCTATGTTGAAATTTTGATAAAGATAACTGTCTTTACTATACAAATCAAATGTATAAGTATCAAGAATATAGCATGGTTGCCTATTCTGAGGGGTGATATTGAAGATATCTAATGACTGTTAGAGCATGGGCAACAACCAATCAGAAACAGATGTCCTGTCCAATCAGAATGGACACCAGCCACTTCAACAGGTGCTTACCAGCTGCCAGTCTGCCTTGCCTGCTCCCTAGGGAGGTCTGCAGCTGCTTGCAGACCAAAAAGATTAGAAAGGAATAGAAAATATGTAATAAAGTACCTTCTCTGTAACCCGATTTTGTCCATATCTCTTTCTGCCATTGTAAGTCCTATTTTGACTACTGTTACGAGGGCATTCTCATGAAACCAAGACTCTTAATTAACTTCCTAATTCTGCAGAAAATCTGAGTCATAAACTGATGCTTTGTTAATGTTCTAAGGGAAAGAGATGTTCTCTATTCCCAACATTGAACAAGTTTAGATACTCAGTGGCAACATGGGAGGGACATTATATTAGCTTCACCTGGAAGGTGACTTCATCACTGCTTAAAGTTGGTTTCAAAAGCAACACAAATGTATAAAAACTAAAATTAATAAAAACTAAAGTTTAATAATGCATTCCAAGGAAACAATAGATCATTTTAATATTTTCTATCCTTCTGCTCCTCACATCCTAGTGCAGATAAGAAAGGCTGATCCATTTTTTAAAAATTCCCCAAATTAAGTACGTGAGTACAGACACACACAGTATTTATTTTTATACACACATGAGCGAAGCTTACACATAATTCTGTATGTTATTTCTCTAAATTTAGCTTAAATTCTAGCAGAAAATTCTATATGGCGCAGAAAATAACATTCATCCCTGATGACAAATTTAGTAACCAAAAGTTGGCAGAATATTAATAGATGCAAGAGGTCATTGCTCTCTTGCAACCACTAAAGACATGTTCTCTGTTATAAACATTTGAACAAGGTTTAAATTTGGTAGATTATTTATAAAATGAGAGCTTTTCAGCCATTCCTCTCCAGCATCCTAGGAGAATGGCCATCCCTTTCAACTCTGTATCCTTAGAGATGTATAATGTGCTATAAGCATGCCTCTTAAAGACCATATTTGCTGAGACAGCATAAGCAAAACTCCTTTGTAGTCAGGTGTTACACAAGCCCATGCATTCCACAAGTCAGAGTGAAATGACCCATTCACTTATCCTTTTGCTTATTCATTCCACAACATTTTATTGAGTGTGTACTTGGTGCCAGAGGATTCTGATGCTACTTTGATAAATGCAATCTCACCTCTGTCTCCTAGAAGTGCATTCTCTAAAGGCAGAGGAAAAACCAGTGTAAATAAAAATCTACCTAAATGGAAATATATGCTATGATTACAATAGAACAAGATGCTATTTGAGTACAAAGAAATAGAAGCTAAGTGTTTTAGGGTAGAGGAGAAGACAGTAGTTGTCCCTGAGGGTTCCTGAGGAGGCTTTGCTGAGGCAGCAAAAAAAAATAGCAAAGCCATTAGGTATTGAGAGCCTGTCATGTAACTCAATTTGACATAATATAATTTAGTCCTCTATTATGCCTTCAAAATTAAAATAAAGCTTCAGGCTTCTCCAGAGTGGTCATATATATAAATAAGAATAGAATTATTTTTACTAAAAAGTAGCTTAGAGTCCAGGAATACATTATTTCTTTACACCAGGGAACAGTTGATTGGGGTTTAACCCAAAGAGCCTCTCGAACTTCAGTCAGGAAGGCAGGACTGGAGCAAACTTGTGAAGTCAGTGGACTGTGTCCTTGATATCAGTGTCCTCCAATATCCTCTTTCAGTTTCTCTCTCCCTCTTGCGTCTGCCCCTAATGTTGTCAAGGTGTCCATTTTAACCTATCATCTTAGTTTTGCAACTTAAATTTGCAATATAAAAATGCAAATTTAATCTATCAAAATTGTTTTTCCTTTATATTTAATTCACATGAAACTATGCTCTAGTGAAAGCTTAGTGGTTCCCATTTCAGTATTTTCCTAAGAATCTGATGACATGGGAATTACTTTTAACCTGGAATTTTAGGTGCTAAAAGCTTGGCTTGTGAGGAAAGATGTAAATTAATTAATTATGAGAGTTTATATATAATAAGTGTATGCATGCATGCATGCATGCACATATATACATACATATGCATGTGTAGTTTGAATAACATAATATGATATACAATGTAGATGTACAGTATATAACACGTCCATATATATGACTGACTGTAATACAAGATTGCTGTTTAATTATTATAACACTAAAAATTTACATCATGCAAAATAATTTGAAAGTGATTGTGTTTTTTATATGGAACAAGTCCACTTATTCCATTTTATTTCAGAGCTCCCAACTGTTTAAAAGAAAATTAATCACAGCAAAAATTTCTGTCAAATACTCCAAAGGGGCCTCTAATTCTTTTTTCTTTTGGTTATGCTGCACAATTTCAACTAGCACTTTTTAGAAAATGGGTGGAGCGGAAACTTTGAACTCAGTGGAAGACAGATACAAAATGTCTCAAACACTCTAATTGTTTTTCTGAGAAATTTAGTAATTATAGAGAAGTCTGTTTATTTTAGTGGCTTCTTATCACCACATGCAACTCACTTTATGACATTTTCTCAAGGGACCTCCATGACATCATAGAGTAGCTCCAGTGCTTTCTGACACTTTAAAATTCTGTCACAGCCAGTTTTCAGTATGGCATAGAATTGTGGGATGCCTAGAGCAGTCTCCACAAAGCTCCTTTACACACATTCAAATACATATATATGTCTATTTATGTGTGTGTGTATATATATACTACATAATATTTTAAAATATACAATACAAAATATAAAAATAAAACATTACACATAGATACATAATTTGCAACGCGAGGAAGCGGAGGCAGTGAAGGTTGTGCTCGATTTAAATCACTGTAATATCTGGAGAGCCCGAGAGGTCACTTCTCCAGAGCAGCTGGTCTAAATGAGGAACTTGCCCAGACAAATGGCATAGGCCATGTACTCTTCCCCCTGCCTGGTAATGTCTTGGCATGCAACCAGTCTATCTAGTGAATGCATGAATAGTGAAGGAATGATTGAATAAACAAGTACCTAAATACATAAGTGAATGATTGATTGAGTAAATGCTGACCTCTCCGATGATGGGGAGCAGGGAAGTGTACGAACAGTACCAGAGTCCTAGGAACTGCCCTGCTTGAGAATTTCTCTAAATAATGGTTTGTCATATTTCTCTGGATGTGGCTCTAGTTTTACCAATTGTTTCTAATGTTCAAAGTTTTATCCCAAGAGAATGATATATCCAATGATGATGTACTTTTAGCACTGGGACCAATGGATTAGAGAGACATGGAGGGATTGGGAAAGGAGGAACATTCTTTTGTATTTAAATCCTATGACATATTTGGCCATTTTTTCCACAACCTTGAAAGAATACCCTAAATTCCCTTTAAGAAGACTGAAAACTACTCTGTGAAAAAACAGAAATCAATTCCCTTTGTACCAGGAATGTCAAGTTCCCTAGGGCTCTTCACTGGCTTTTACCTTTATACACGCGTGCCACTATGTACATTTCATAAAATGAGGCGATAATAGACACATCCAGAAGCAACCGAGGCTGAGTGTCGGGCTGAGAGGTCATTTTAGGTTACGGCTTGGGAACTTTGACCCCAGGCACAATGTACAGCACCGCACTAGCGATTTTCTCATTTCCACTGAAAGCACTGGTCCGCTTGCGACGGGAATATCAAGTGTTACTATGGGTTGCTGCAGCTGCGAGCCATTATTTCCAGTGGCAGTGGAAATCCATTGAAAGATCTCCTGGGAGATTGTGCAAAATGCTGTGGTGGGTTTAATATTAACCCTTGCCACCGCTGTAGCTAACACTTCCGGCAAGGACCAAATTTTACTGGTCAGCTGCTGCCAAGTTTTAGAAAAAAACAGACTTCATCACATGCAAGCTCGATTTTGAGATGGAAAACAAGTGCCTTCTAATGCAACACTAGGCCCCTTGGACGCCTTTTGTCTGCATTTGACAGTTTCACACCCCACAATGTCTGTTTCATAGAGGTCTAGAAAGCTTTCTAGGAGAGGAAAGCCTGTAATGAGGAATGCAGCGCAACTCAGACAAACCAAATGCGTTTTTCTTTATAGTTCAATATGTGCCTTAAAAATAGAGGGAAAAAAAACTATATTACATTACCAGACACACTAATATTTTATTTCCACATCTATTTTTTGGCCCTTAGTTAATTTGAAACTTCTCTATTATTTTGTTTCCTTTATTATTTAGGTAAATTTGCATTCTTAATCCCTGTTCACTTTTTTTTTCTGTTTAAGATGAACATTTATAAGAGGATGATAAAGTCCTGAAAAACACACAATCATGACAAATACAAGAAGTACTCTACTCCTGACTGTTCACAAAACTAAATAATTTCAGACTCACGATGCTTTCATTGTAGGTCTAAGAATTTGTATGTCAGTTATGTATTTCCATTTTGATATAATTTCTACAATTAACTAGCTGCCCTTACTTGGTAGACATAGTCACATGACCAGAAAAGTGGGCTTAAACCAGGGTTTCTCAACTTATGTATTATGACATTTTCGACTGGACAATTCTGTGTCATGGGGTGGGCCTGTGGGACAGGCTTTTCTGTCCATTTTAAGATGATTCCAACATCTTTTGCCTCTACCCACTAGATGCCAGTAGCACCTCTCCCTCCAGGTGACAGCCAAAAATGTCTCCAGGCAGTGCCAACTATCATCTAGGAGCAAAATCTTCCCAGGTTAAGAACCACTGGTTTAGAAGGAAGTTAGAGTACAAAATTCTTTTTTAAAAATATCTGGAGGCCGGGCACGGTGGCTCATGCCCGTAATTCCAGCACTTTGGGAGGCCGAGGCGGGCAGATCACGAGGTCAGGCGATCGAGGCCATCCTGGCTAACACGGTGAAACCCTGTCTCTACTAAAAATACAAAAAAATTAGCCGGGCGTGGTGGTGGGCACCTGTAGTCCCAGCAACTCGGGAGGCTGAGGCAGGAGAATGGCGTGAACCCGGGAGGCGGAGGTTGCAGTGAGCCGAGATCGCGCCACTGCACTCCAGCCTGGACGACAGTGCAAGACTCCGTCTCAAAATAAATAAATAAATAAATAAATAAATAAATAAATAATCTGTAAACCACATCCTTATGGGCTAGGATATTTTATGCACATGATCTAAATGCCTATTCTCAAATCCTTAAGGGTTCTGATTCCTACTCAGCCTTCACTCTCCTTTTGTTCTCCATTTGGTAGACTTCAAAGAGGAACGTCCTGAGCCCTTTTCCTTACCTACTAACTATTGAAATCCTCAGGTGGTTCCCAACTTGGCTTTTCATTTTCCCTTAGAATTAAAGCCTTCAACACTATAACTGAGCTCACAGCTGCAGGCTAACTCTGATATCTCAGACTGGCACTCCCTCTTGCACGTGGCTATCCAGGGAAGCGCCAGGTGGGAGCAGATGGAGAGCATCGGCTGTCCAGGAGTCACCAGTAAGTTGCAGCCCCTTTCCTCATGTGCAGTAGCAGAAAGAAGGTATTACAAGCGGCTGGTATACCCCAATATAGCAGCTGCAACAGAGCTGGTCCTTGTCATTCTCAATGAGAAGAATATTCTCGTGCATTTTGATTTTAAAGAAAACTCACCTTTGTTTTATTTTACCATTGGTCTGTAAACATAGCAAACATAGCTTGCCCTTTAAGCCAAAGTTACTTCTACCAACTAGTACTGTTTCCACCCAGCTTTGGATTTAGATTGCTCTGGGAATAGAGTTCCTCAAAACTGCTTTCTAAAAGATCCTGTATTCCCACAAGAACATGACATTGTAAAACAGCAATTTCAGCTGAAAGTTAACAAGGTTTTAAGGTAGTTAAAAATCTGTGAAAGGCTGACTCCCAGTGTGAAATACAAAACCTGTGAAATTCAAATGTGCAGGAATGCTTTCATTTACTCAGAGCTATGATTAAGGCTGAAAATGCTTCTTTGTTTAAAAATAATCCACAGGCCAGAGTGTAAAGAAATGTAGGATTCTTAAATTTACTATTTATTTTTTCTTTGGCTAATTATGAGCTGAAAATAGTTCAATGTATATATAGTTAGGTGTTTTCATTTGTATACACTTTCTATATGCTTCCTTTGTATTCCCTCTCTCTCTCTCTATATATATATACACACACACACGCACACATGCACATGTGTGTATACATATATATTATACTTAATATACAATATAATTACAGATTAAGCATGATGTATGCAGTTATTTAGACACAAATATGAAGGGTTTAGTAGCTTAAAAGAACATGTTATGTTGCAGTGGAATGAGCACTAAGGCACCCATCTGCAAAGAGGATTCAGTTCTCAGCATGCTATGTCATGGTGATCTAATAACTACCAACGTTAATCAATATTTCAGCCAATTCTAAGTTTTCACACATATAATATTAGAATACTAATATTCTGATTTTCCTCTACCTCCTCCAAAAATATAAAAGGCCTTTAAAAACTGCAAGGTCTATAAATATATAGAAATAGATATTTATATAGCTACCTAAACTAATATTTTCCAAAAAAATCGAAAGGACAATTACTCTATGCAATACATTCTGTATTCATTCTGTATTTGGTGTCAAATATCTAGTTATTTTATAAGCCATGCCAAAGTTCTTATATCAGTATGATAAAATAAATCAGTATACAGCAGATTGAAAACTAGAATTTATGGAAGTAGGGTAAGAACTTCTTCTACTCACAAGAAGACTTTTCGTTAATATTAGCTTCCCCGAACTTTGTGAGATTTTTAAATATTTTGTACCTAGCTTTCAAATTTAGTTACTAAATGTATGGCTATGAATAATATAATGAAATATTGAATTTATTTTTTAAGTTTTGTACAGTAGCAGAAAAAGTATCTGAAAATATTTTGGGGCATATGAATGTTGAAAAATGGCATTCATTCTAAAGTCTGTCTCACCTTAACAAAAGGACCAAGAAGGTTTCATTATAAGCAAAAGCATGCACATGTAATAATCACATAAATAAGAGTCTCAAACTCTACCTTCCTTTCTTTATGCTATTAAAATATAGTCATTAAAATATGTATCTCATCTCTTAGAGCATACAGTCAATATTCTTCCTTCCCTTTTAAGACTTTTAAATTGTAGTTACTAGTTGTTTACTCAGATTAGTGAACGGACCTAATTTCAAAGACAGAGGTTTTAAGTCAAAAGACTCAACTGATACCATAGAACACTTTGGGCTTTAGAATTAATTCTCAATTTGTAGGCTACTACATTTTCAGTTGTATTATTTATCTACAAGGAAAAATAAATGAATTATGGTAAATCTATATGATATAATAGTTTGTACCTACTTAAAATCATATAGTGATAACATAAAGATGGGAAAGTCTACAAAGCATAATATTTGGTAAAAATAAGAAAATTATAAAATTCTGTAGCTGGTATAATCTGACATTATATATGTGTATATACACAGATATATGAAATATATATTAATATGTATAAAAATATATACAAACATATGTGAGATGTATGTTATAATAAATGTATATTGATGTTAAATAAATATTCTTATACAGGTATAAAAAAGGAGGGAAAAAAATCACCATTCTGACAGCAGTCTGGTAGAAGTATGGGTCATTAAATTTTGTTTATATTGGTTATCTGTGTTTTCTAAATGCTCTACAATCATTATTATTTTTCAATCATAAAAAATATATTAAATAAAATATTATAATCTTAAAATACATACAGAAGAAACCAATTTCATTAGAATACAAAAAATTCAGATTTTAGGTGTTAATTCTAGAACTAATTCAAATGTGATGATAATATATATTTCTGCCTCCAAATGTGTTTTGAAGAAGTAAAGTACAAACTCAGTTAAAAAACAAAAAGAACACAAGAGTTGTGACAGAGAATAAAGAAGACAGTGTATTAAAAGGTTTCTTAAAATCAGACTTTTTAGCCACATTTTTCCGAAGAGTCAAATTTAGCTTAATTTTTAAATAAGTGTCCAAGTCATAACAAAAAGGTTTCACTTTTAACTCTAATGGATGTATTTTATTCAAAATGCAAGGACTTTAAAAAATATGGGGAATGAGACCCATACAAACATTATTTCTATTTTTTTTCAGATGATCTAAAAAAATTCAAATCTTTATGTAAACCTCACTGGCAAAAATAATTAGAGCTTTGCTGTCATTTAAAATTGTTGAAAATATTCCATAAGAAAATACAAACTGTCATTAAGAGAATACTATTTTTACAAAACAGTCCAATGACATTCCTTTGAGTTATAGAGATAATGAACATAAATTGTCTAATTTGAAAGGTTTCTGTTTACCAACTAGCTTTTTGTTTAAGTGTAATTTTTGTAGGATTAATGATTAAGGGTTAAGTCACAGGCTCTATAGGAATATTGCCTTTACTAGTTTCTGATTTTTTTTTTAATTCTTAATGAATCCAAAAAGGGGAGTGGGAGAGGTGGGGCCACATATGGTGTCAATACACTTTAATTAAGTGCAATAATTCCCCCTTTCCTGAGGTAGCTGTGTTAAGACATATTTCTCTTCAGAGATTTACATTCTGGGCATCTATTTTTCAGCACAGCCATCAAGTTCATCTGTGGAATTTCACTGCCCCCTGTTGGAATCCTGTAAAAGTTCAGATGGCTTTCCATCTTAAAAATCAGAAATTTGGGGGTTCGGCTTCTTAATTTTGATGTTTTCAGCTTTTAACATAAATCTTTCAAAGATACAAAGTTTGAAAAATTTCAAAGTTAAGGAAAGGTTGCTTAAATTTACAACACACAAACATCACTCAGAAACATCTCTTTACGTGTTGAAAATAAGCTTAGATTTTTTATAACCATTTCATTATGTGTAAATACTATTTAAAAAAAAAAAAGTTTGCCTGCTAAGACAGAATGAAGAAAAACGTCTTCGAAGTACAACAATGCCATTTTTCCCTCTATCAGGCACCAAACAGAAAATATACTAATTTAAGAAAACTAATTATACCATTATATTATTGTATTTTTATTTTTAGCTAAATATCATAGAATAAATTCCTTTGAAAATTAAGGTTCATTAAAATCTGCAATTCATTTTTATGAGTGGCATTCACTGAATTAAATTTTCCAACATTGACCCTTGTTTCAGTGGGGAACTTAGGAGATGGATGCCTTTGATCTGTGGAGCAGATGGTGATCTGCACGCTTCTAGTAGAAATCCTCCACAAATATACAACAAGAAGTGACCTGGAAAAGTCACTTCATGGAGGAGTAAAGAAGTGGCCAGAGGTGGACTCAGAAGTGCCCAAAGCTATGTGGCTGGAGGCATTGTTACTGATTGGGTATCAGTTTTTAATTCATTGGATACTGCTTTTCAACTAAAATTTAAAAATCTCTCCTCCCTTTTCAACATCTGGTTTAGCAATTCCTTGAGAGACAAAACAGCCCTTTCTCTCTCATCCCATCTATTAAAATGTACCTAGGTCCTGAGACAGAAACGAATGATCATGTCAGAGCTGAATACTTCTATTCCCGTATTCTGCTAGAAATAAGTCCTAATGCCCTAAAATCAAAATATTACAGTAGGACAATCTTCAACAGTGCAATTGATGGAAAATTAGCTTGGTTTCCTGTTATATCCCATGAAGTAATTTGTTACATCAAAATGTATAAAAATATTGTAATCAGTTCAATGTATTTATTTAAAGAACAAAATAACAATTTAAGTCCTTATATCTTATCCCTTCATGGCTGCTAAATATTTTAATTCATAGTAAACTATTTTAAACATTTTCTTTAAAGCATTTTGAAACAATACTTACCATATTGAATATGCAAGAAGACCTAAACTTGGATGTATTCATACTAATTAAATGTTGCAATATAGGGATAGACATTTATAATCACACATGTATTTTAACTATAAATAAATTTTTATTAACTTAGTCTTCGTATGCCTTTTTTTATCAGTGCAAAATTTCCCAAAATAAGCAAAGCTCTTTTAATATTATGAACTCTTAGCCTGAATAACTACTTTTACATGTACTTTTTTGGTTCCCCCATTTAAGTGAAATATAACAAAGCAAAAAAAAATTGAGAATAACTTTTTTTTACAAATATAGATTTATCTGTAAGTTGTCAGATATCTGCCATATGATCAATGTTTACTCATGTCTCTCATTTACCAAGGCTAACATACTTGCAGCTCTGCAGGAGTGTAGTTGACATATCATATACCAGTACCATCACTGTTAGAAGAGAGAGATATCAATGTCTTTCGTTAAAAATAGATAAATAAATAAAGACTAGGCCAGGCGCAGTGGCTTATGCCTGTAATCCTAGCACTTTGGGAGACTGAAGCAGGCAGATTGCTTGAGCCCAGGAGTTTGAGACCAGCCTGGGCAGTAAGGCAAAACCTCTTCTCTACTACAAATACAAACATTAGCCAGGCATGGTGGTGCATGCCTGTAGTCTCAGCTACCAGGGAGGCTGAGGTCGGAGAATCGCCCGAGCCCAGGAAGTTGAGACTGCAGTGAGCCAGTATTACACCACTGCACGCCAGCCTAGGTAACAGGAGTTGGATCTTGTCTGAAAGAGAACAAAAGAAACTAAAATCCAAGTTTGTAAACTATAAGGTAGATTATTACTGTGTATCTCCACAAACATATGTCTTGCATGTATGGGTAATGGTGTCAAAATATGGGTTGAGTCAATGTCAATAATCTTATATAAGTTGTAAAAACTTGTAACACTATGTGTAATTTTAAAAAAAAGTTTTATTATTAGAGGGAATAGTTAGTATTCTAAAGATAATCATATTGGCTTAAATACAAAAGTGTTATTGTTGAAAACTGTGTGAAATCAGAATTCGTGAATATTCTAAATATCATTTTACACAGGTCCCAAAGTTTATCTAAATTGTCCTCATTTAAAATCAAACTTGCTTCCATCTGTAGGTAAAAGCGTATTATTTAGTGACTGCTAGAGGACAGAGTAGAAGGAAATGCATCGCAAAAAGGTTTCAAGATCTCCTATAGTTAAAGAGAGAAGAAAAATATTTCTTTAATTTGGAAGTTATCTTTGGGCGATGGGGTTTTACATATATAATACAGAGTTTTCTTATAGCTGTACAGTCAAGACTTACTGGGCTGGAGTGAAACAGAGATGCGTATATTCCTAACTTCTCACCACCTTCTAGAACTATGCTTCACGTAACAACTCACCCACAGAAAATTTCAATCAAGCTTCACCTCAGAGAACAAGAACAGAATGAGTTTTACCTTCTCCCCTCACTCTCTCATTCTCCTATTTTATGGATTTTTCTTAACATTATCTTATCATTACAAACCCTATCCTATGCACTAAGAACACTTGAAAATAAACCCATCCACTGCACTGCTTATCTATTCCTTTTAGCAATTATAAGACATAGAAATACAGAGTGGCACCAATTCCTACAAGAACTGTGAACTTTCTGTTGAAATATCCATGCAGGAAGGCTGTGCTACCTCTAGGCATGATGGGAGTTCTTTACTTCTTGCCTTCTTTAAGTGTTCTTAGTTTCAAGCACACATACAGTCTGGGTATCACTACTACATTTGGCCTGTCTGGGTTCATACTGTTTCCTATTCAAATTTTAACCAAAATAGATAACGAAAAAATATAGTACTATACTCTACCTTCATTTCAGGAAAGACAGATTAGGAATTTTCAAAGGAATTTAATGAAATGAAAAATTAAGAGTACTATATTCCATTAGGCCTTTTACAGACATTGTTTCATGTGATTCTTGTCAAGAGTTCTCTAAGTCATTATTATTTTCATTTTGCTCATGAGGGAACCGAGGTTCTGATGGGGGAAGTGATTTGCCAAGGATTAGATAATAGTTGAAGTTGAAGGACAGATGCAATTTTAAGACCTAGACTTTTTTTGTTTTAACTACAATCTTCTTACTCCCTTATCCTCTATTTTTCCCACTTTCCCACAAAAATCTCTTACCCCCTCACCATCAAAAGACCCTATATAAAGTATTCTACCAAGCAAGATTTTAGACCTTTCAGAGAACATTCTGGGAACATTCCTAATATATTCTTTAGGAAATACAAATTTAGAAAGAAAAGAATGAGTTCTTGTATGTAGGATATCCAAGAATTAATTTCTGTCTAGCCAGCTCAAACACGGTATCTTCCAACTGTACATTTTCACTCAGCAGTCGATATTGGCACCAATGTCTCTGAGTTATAAAGAAGTTATCCTGGGTTTTGCTGTCTTCCCTGCCCCATGACAAGTCTACCCTTGAGCTTCAAAGCACCTTACAAGTCATCACATTCACCTGCATTCCTCTGGCATCCTTGGAAATCTTAAAATTGCTCTGAATCGTTGCTAGGTACTGCGTGTAAATGAATTATATTTACCACCCCATGTTTTTATGAGCTACGTGTGGTGAGCTTATGACTTTCTTTGCTAGCTTCTACTAGAGGCCTTGGTGCGGTGGGGCTGGGAACACAGAAGTCTGATGGAGGGTGCCATCTTGAACCTGCTGATTTAAAAAACAATCCTTTAGCTTCCTGTTTCTTTTGTGCTTATATGATGAGTTTTTAACTCTTGTCTGAGGGATACCATTAATTCTCAGTTTGCCTCAAGAACAAAGATGACTTAACTATTCGGTTGGTGCAAAAATAGTTGCAGTAATGGCAAAAACCGCAATTACTTTTGCACCAACTTAATAAATGATGAAGTGTCTTTGGCTCAACCGTAACTACTTTCCTCAATTCTTTGATAACATTGTCCTGACTCTGATTTTCCACAGGTCCCTGGTTTACACCCTCATGACACATACTAATTCAATAATTAAAATGAAATGCTATGTTGTTTTAATTACCCACATTAACAGACTACTATTTGTAAACTTCAAAGTAATTTTTAAATTGGCCATTGTTAGAAGAGGCAGGCAACTTTGTTTGTGGGGGCTTATTTCAAACAACAAATCTACTTAAATTTGCAAGAGTTGGGTATAATTACTACTGGTATTTTTACCTCTCTCTTGTTTTACAGGATATATCAAGGACCATTTAAATAAATTTTATTTTTAGCTTAAAAAAAGTTGTCTCAAACTATATAATATCTTTTTACTTGATAGTATCTGAAAAGTGCTAATAATTTAACAAAACATTGTGCAATGTATAAAGCCTTTACTATAATAGGATTACTTTTCTTTAAGTTTCATTCTTTGCAATGCAAGGTATTCACAGTTACCGTCTGCAATGTGCAACAGCCCTATTTTATAGTCATATTGCTTAAAATATCTATGCATGCTATAAATCCATATCAAATAAAAATAAAATTGAAGATAAAACACATTATTCAGCATGATAATTGAGGAAAAAATAGTTTATTCTGATTTTTCTACAAACTTTCGTGAAGCACATATTTGTATTGCTAATAGACTTTTTCCAGGAAACTATATTATATTTTATGCCTGGTATTATTGAATCCAAGTTCAGTTGTCCAGTTCTCAGGCTTACAGACTCCATCCTTTGCTCAAGAGATGTCATAAATATATATCTTTGGTCACGAGTAGGACCAAAATATTTGTGGAGAGAAGAGCAGAATAATCTATTAATCATTACAAATAGGAAAGAGTATTACTAGTTAAAAAAAGCTCTCCTGCTGTATTGACAATTTATATTACATGTTTTAACACTGGTAACTAAGTAGTTCCATATTTGTGGACAAGGTACAGCATATTACATTAGATATGAAACACTGAGATGCTTTTGTAAACTCTCAGGGAAATTAGCAAAACTCTCAGTCAACAGGAGCAGTATGCTTAATAAAAGGTAGCTAACTTGTTTCCTAAGATTACTTTACTGTTTACAAGAGAGATTTTTTAAATAAAAAGATCTTATTTTCTAAATGGTTTCCATGGCTTTATTTTGTTTGTTTTGTATTTTCTTGGCACATGGATTAAATTATCTGAGACTAGAGGAAATGAAGATGGTAACAATCCAATAATTCCTCTTCAATGAACAGCATTTAAAATTCAGCAACCATCTATGTTTAATTTCTTCCTCGTTAGAACCAGGGAAGTAGTGAGATGGGGAAAGGGGACTGATGTAAGAACACTGCAGCTCATTCTTAAACATCGTGGTATTTTTCTTGAAACAGAAGGTAGTAATCAATGAGAAGTTGTTCAATGTGGTTCAGCTCATATAATACTTTCCTGGTGTTAGTCTAACCACTATTGCTTTGCACCTTTTTTTTTTTTTTTTTTAAACCTTAGTAGACTCTTCAAGGTCACATCTGTTAGGGCACATAATGGTTTTTAATCACACTTTTCTAAATGACTAGAACACAAGTATGTGAGCGGAGCAGCACTTAAACCGAAGCCTGATCCCTGTTGTAGGATATTTGGGTGGTGATTTTCAGGAGGATTGAATGCAAAATGGCAGAGACCTCTGCTGAACCCATGCCAGTTGATATACAGCTGAACAACCAAATGCAAGCAAACCCCCACTCTGAATAAGTCTCCTTTCCCAAAGGAGGATCATGGAGAACAGTTTCAATTTTAAGGAAGCAATGAAGTCTAGAATAATATATTATCTTTACAGACCCTTGTCTTCAATTCCAAACACCTCTAATGCACCTTAAATCCACATCAGATCAGTTTCAACCAAATTATAATAAGTATTCACAGTACACTGCCTTTTGCCCAAATTTGAATTAGGTGCTAAAAACAAATATTTCTTCTTTTTCAACTTACATTTAGCTTGAGTCATTGATGATGTGCTACTGAATTTTGCTATATAGCTTGGAACAAAATCATATACTATAGTCCATATCTAAGTATACTTCCAGTAGTTACTTATATTCTAGGGATATAGACAAAAAGAGCTGATACTTATTTAGAATTCTATTTTATGCAATAAATTACACTATTCTAGACAGTAAGGAAATAGCTACAAACAATAAGGATCTTGTTGTCATGAAGCTTCTAATCTATATATATTTCATTGGACTTGAGAATAAAAACAAACTAGATAATTTCAAATGGTGATAAATCTGATTAGGCAATCAAAATAGAGTGGGCCGGGCGCGGCGGCTCACGCCTGTAATCCCAGCACTTTGGGAGGCCGAGGCGGGCGGATCACGAGGTCAGGAGATGGAGACCATCCTGGCTAACACGGTGAAACCCGGTCTCTACTAAACGAAATACAAAAAATTAGCCAGGCATGGTGGCCGGCGCCTGTAGTCCCAGCTACTCGGGAGGCTGAGGAAGGAGAATGGCGTGAACCCGGGAGGCAGAGCTTGCAGTGAGCTGAGATCGCACCACTGCACTCCAGCCTGGGCGACAGACCGAGACTCCGTCTCGAAAAACAAAACAAAACAAAACAATACAGGATGTAAAAGAGAATGACTGAAGGAAGCTGCTTATGTTTATCTTCAGGGAAGATATCTTGAAGACATGACATTTGCATTGAGACCTGAATGATAACAAAAGGTCAACTTTGAGAAGATTTGAGGGTAAGTATAAGAATAAAATTTTATGGCACAAACAAGCACGTTAGAGAAACAATATGAAAAGGCCACTGTGGCTGGGCCATAATGAATGAGGAAAAGGGCATTTCTAGGTGAACTCTAGTTTGCAAAAGGCCTTGGAGGACACAGTGGGTTTTTCATGTGGGCAGTAAACATGGTTGAACAGCGCTCTACTATCCAACGTGTTGGACTGTAGTAATAGTTTCTGTTTTAACTAAAGACAAGCTGAGATCACCATAGGCAATTCTGTTCTTAGGTTCTAATATATTACATACCTAAATGAGGCAGAGTACATTATTTTAAAGAGTCATATTAATATATTTTTAATTCACAAAATATCATCTAGTTGCAATAGCAATCTTAAAAATGTTATATCACTAGTTTATTAATTCAATTATATTTAAGTAACATTAACAGCATGTTATGATGGAAAATTAATGAAAGGAATAATTTCTTTCCTTAAAGGGCTTATAATAAACACATTAAAGCCATTGAGGTCAATAGAATACAAAACTTGCTCTGATCTTTCTTCCTAAATTTTAAAGTTTAGTTTAGTCCTTTGAGCTACTGAATGGACAAATGACTAAAATTAACATGAGACATTTGCAGCTCTGAGAATAAAACACTGGTTTTCCATATGTCCACAGCAATTATAGCCAAGAATATTGGTAAGTTAACCTGGCCATGTGCTATGGTTTGAATATTTGTACTCACCAAAACTCATGTTGAAATGTAAGCCCCAATGTGGCATTATTGAGAGACGGGGCCTTAAGAGGTAACTGGGTCATGAGGGTTCTGCATTAATGGGATAGTAGACTAATGGGTTATCATGGGAGTGGGACTGGTGACTTTATAAGAAGAGAAAGAGAGACCTGAGCTTGCACACAGCTGCCTCACCATGCAATGCCTTGTAATGCCTCAGGACTCTGCAGAGAGCTCTCATCAGCAAGAAGACCCTTACCAGATGCAGCCCCTTGACCTTGGACTTCTCAGCCTTCATAAGTGTATGAAATAAATTCCTTTCTTTCTAAGTTATCCAATTTCAGCTATTCTGTTTTTAGCAACAAAAATCAGACTAAGATAGGAAATTGGTGCTAAGAAGTAGAACGTTGCTGATAATGAACACCTAAAAATGTAGATGTAGCTTGGGAGTTAAGTGGTAGGTGGAAGTTGGAAGAATTTGAAGGAACAGGCTAGATTCTGGTGAGGGCTTAGAAGATAAGAAAACTAGAGAAAGTCTGGAATTTCTTAGAGATTGATGAAGTGGTTGTGGCCAGAATGTTTATAGAAATATGGACAGTAAAGGCCAGTCTGATGGAGTTTCAGATAGCACTGTGGAGCAAGGTATTAGAAACTGGAGTAAAGACCATCCTTGTTATGAATTGGCAAAGAAATTCGCTGAACTATGTCCATGCCTGAGGACTTTGTAGAAGACAGAACTTGAGAGTGATACACTCAGGTATCTGGCAGAAAAAAATTTCTAAGCAAAATTTATAAGAAGCTCCATGGTTACTTCTGGCCACTAATGGTGAGACTTAAGAGCAAAGTGATAATTTAAAAACAAAATTTATAAATAAAAGAAAAGCAGGGGGGTAAGACTTAGAAAATTCTCTGCTTGGTCATGTAAAGAGTGAAAACTGTTTTAAGGTTTGGAAACCACGGGTGTAGCCCTGCAGCCATTTGCTAAAGGGATTAGCATGGGCAGAAGGATATAGGTCCTATTCCTCCAGACAATGGAAGAAAGACCCCAGAGGCATTTCAGAGTTCTTTGATGCTGCTTCTCCCATCACAAGCCCAGAGGCCTACAAGAGCAGAATGCTTTCAGGGAATAGAACTAGGCCACTCTCCATGGACTTAGGTTCCCTGTCTATGGCTATCTCAAGACAGTTCCCACATCCCACCCATGGCTCTGATGGATCCAGGTGTAGCTCCTGCTGCATCTCTAGAAGGTACAAGTCATATACCTTGGTGGCTTTCACCTGCTGCTAATCCTGCAGGGTTACAGAAAGCAAGAGCTGCAGAGGCTTCATAGCCACACTTCAAAGGATGTTGTAGAAAGCCTGGGGGCTCGGCCAAGGACTTGTGTTGGGGCAGAGCCACCAAAGAGAGCCCCTACTAGAGCAATGTTGAGCAGAAAGGTGACTAAGGTGCCACAGAGACTCTCCACCAGAACAATGCACAGTGTTGCCATGGGAACAGACCACCACCAGGCCCCCAGAACTGCGAAGTCCCCAACAACATGCAAAACCCATCTGGGAAAGAAAGCTTCAGGCACTCAACTCAACCTATATAAGCAGCTGCTTGGGTTGCATCCATCAAAGCCACAGGGACAGGGCTGCCTGTGGCCTTCCAACCCCCACCCCAGTGTGTCCAAAAGGTGATATGTGCAGTCAAAAGAGATTATTCCCTAGCTTTAAGATTTAATGTCTTCCCTGGTGGGTTTCATACTTGCTTGGAGCAAGTGTGAGTGTGTGTGTGTGTGTGTGTGTGTGTGTGTGGAGAGAGAGAGAGAGCCCAATTTTAAAAATTGAAAAATGTTATTATAATTGGGTGCCAATTGGATGCACTGATAATTTCTTGATGACCTATTATCTGAAAGGAAAGTAGTGTTCTGTGCAAAAGTAATTCTAAGAAAAAGATGTTTTATATCCTCAAGAGTTTTACAAGAGAAGAAAGTCGTTAGCCATTAGAAAACCATATTATAAATGAACTTAGTAAGATAACAGCTCGTGAGACCATATAAAGCATTTGAGGCTTATGACATGAAAAGATCAAGGAGATCAAGCTATGAAAAGCTTTGGTGGCAGAAGATGAGAAGAATAATTCTCTTTGGAGAGAATCAAATGGAGCTTTAGGCAAGAGAACTTGGAATCACCCAGGCAGTCTTGATAAGGATGGGTGAACATGGGAAGGAAAAGGAAATTTCAGGGAGAGGAAACAGCAGAAGCAAATTTATTACCATTATCTATATATATATTTTTCCTTTTTTACTTATTAAAGAATCTGGTAGGACAACTTGTGATAATGTTCTATTCAGCCCAATGCAAACATTCAAAGTCAATCATTCTTCAGGATGATATATTTTTCCATGTGGATAAGCTTTTCCCACAGTACCAAGATGTATCACTGCAGAAAGATTCTCTTTCCGCCATTTGTTTCACTGTTCATTTCACTATACATTAAACAGGAGAAATAAAGAAGATGAAGCATAAATAGATCAATTTTCTCGATTCCTAGTTGAGAGTTTGACGTGGTGGAAGTTTTGATCATTAATTATAAAGTAACATGATGAATATTCCAGTCATCGAAAAGACTAAAGGGTCTAAATAATTCTTTTAAAACAAACAAATCTTTTAAAGAAACAAACACAAAATTTTGAGAGCAGTTTTATTCCCATAAGGTAGCAAGCTACCTAGCCAAAAAATGCTGCAACTCTTATTAATTATAGTCAACTCATTTTTGAAGACGTAACTCTTTTTAATAATTTTGTGAACATTAGCAAAGCTTTATTTCTAGTTTTAAAACTTTTCGTCTAACTAGTTTTCATGTCACAATAATTCAATTGATCTGAAATATGAACAATAATTCTGATGCTTTTGTCTAAACCCACTGCAAAATTCCTTGCTTTGAGGGGTGTCTTCTATAACTGGCAGACAACAATCTGGCTTTAATTGCTAATTCATCTCTACATCGGAAACTTGCAATTTTTTCTTTAATTTTTCAGGTGAAAATTTGCTAATAAAAGAAATAAATGGGCCGGACGCGGTGCTCACGCCTGTAATCCCAGCACTTTGGGAGGCCGAGGCGGGCGGATCACGAGGTCAAGAGTTTGAGACCAGTCTGGCCAGCATACTGAAACCCTGTCTCTACTAAAAATACAAAAAAATAGCCAGGTGTGGTGATGTGCTCCTGTAATCCCAGCTACTCGGGAGGCTGAGGCAGGAGACTTGTGTGAACCTGGGAGGCAGAGGTTGCAGTTAGCCAAGATAGTGCCACTGCGCTCCAGCCTGGCAACAGCTCCATCCCGAAAATAAACAAACAAACAAACAAACAAAAACAAACAAACAAAAAAATATTTTTTTTGTGGGTGGCAGGAGGGAAGGTCATATTATGTGGATGAAGAAAGCAGAGAGAAAGGTCACAGTGCTCCTTCAGCAGCAAATCAAAGGTAGTCAATTTGAATGAGAGCTGCTTAAAGTGGAGACAAGCGATAAAGCAGTTATGTTAGGAGATGCACTGGTAGCCAGATTAATTTCCAGAATCCTATGGGTGCATTTTTCAACTGATATCCTCCAAATAACCTTTAATTTTTGTGTGTTAAAATCTCTATTATAACAGGGAAAATTGAGGAAGACACTTATTAAAAAGAGGCAGCAGCACATGTGGTATTATTTTTACAGCCATTCAGTGTGTTGATATAAAGTAATACATTTGAGTCAAACATCATCTGTGTGAGTAGTTAAAGTGAAAACTGATCTGACTTTGCACTGTGGCCCAACTGGCTGTCCAATTAGCAAAATGATTAGCCAGGTTAATATCAACAGACCCATTCCTGTGTCAATCTGACAGTTATATTGCTACACAGATTTCAGCCTTTCCCTTAGGGCCTGGCCATGATCCATATATATATCCTTATGGGTATGTATGGATATACCCCTAATGAAGCACCAGTCATTGGTGTAGGACACATACTTGTGCCTCTGATAGAAATCCAATGACAAAAATACTTCAACGGTTTTCCAAAACTTGAAAGACTTTTCTTTAGAAACATCTCTAGTTAATACAGCCCACCTCCAAATTATCTTCTAGAAGAGTTTGTAATAGAAGAGTTGGTTGTCTAACAAATGGCTTTGAACTGAGAACTATGTCTTTGGCCTGCAGTTATAGTGAAAAAGAATAGTTTAACTAAAAGCCATTTAATACTGTTATTTGCATATTACCTCCATTTAAAACTCTTAACTCCTGTAAATGTTTTGTTTTGTTTTTTTGAGTCTGAGTCTCGCTCTGTCTCCCAGGCCGGAGTGCAGTGGCACAATCTCGGCTCACTGCAAACTCCGCCTCCTGGGTTCACCCCATTTTCCTGCCTCAGCCTCCTGAATAGCTAGGACTACAGGCGCCCAGCACCACGCCTGGCTATTTTTTTTTTCTTTTTTTTGTATTTTTAGTAGAGACGGGGTAACACGTCCCTGACGTGTTAGCCAGGATGGTCTTGATCTCCTGACCTCGTGATCTGCCTGTCTCTGCCTCCCAAAGTGCTGGATTATAGGCATGAGCCAACGCACCCAGCCTGTAAATGTATTTTTTAAATAAATGCTTGTAAATTGTTTTCCTATTGATACAATTGCCAAATGTGGATTTCTTGACAAGTTTTGCCTTGATATTCTGGACATTTTCCAGACAATCTATATGATTGGCATGGAGACCACAAAGCTGGATAAAATACACCTTTATTTGGATCTTTTGAATTTCACCAAAGAAAGGAGAATTAACAGCTTCATGTGAGACAAAAATAAGATTCCTAAATCTTACTAATACTACAGCAGACTTTCTTAACCTGAGACTTAGGATGGACTCAAGGAACTATGGAATGCTCCCTAAAAGTGCATGCCACATTTGTGTGTGTGTATGTTATCATGTGCATGTCTCTGGGTCGACAGATTATTAGTTTTCAATTCTCAAAAGGGTCTGTGGCTCACAGAAGTTTAATAACCCTGCTCTGAAGGGCTTATCAGATAGAAGTCAAATCCCCAAGGAGAGGGTGCTGGAATCTCCCATTTGGCCCTGCTGATCCTCTATCTTTTCCCCACACTGCCTCTGAGCCAGGGAAGCTGGCCTGTAGGATGACACTACTTGGGTCCCATTAGGATTCCTGTCAATGGAGAACAATGGTGGAATATTAGAGGAAAAGGGGAAGGTCCACCTGGTATGTACTCCTCTGGCTTCATCCATGTTGGGTTAACACGTGGCTGTGACCTTCCCTTGAGGATCACAGGTCCTGCCCGGCAGTGCTATTATCACAGCTCTCTGTCTCCCTCTCTCCTTTACACATTCAGGTCTAGGGATTTTAACAAAACCCTACTCTTACTACTCACAAAGTATTACATTTTTTTTTTTTTTTTTTGCATTCCCCGACACCCTGCTCACCCCTTTGTAAATAGTCACACTGAATGAACCATCTCTTTCTTTCCACCATCTCAATTGACAAGCAGGTGAACTCGTTATAAGCAACACCCCCTTTCTTTTGATGAAATGGATGGGGTGTGTAAGGAGAAAAGTCCTGTGATAGGTAAAAAGGATGATCATATTAGATCAATAGATACTAATTATCACTTTAGGTGGCACCTGAAAGTAGACTGTAACGGGCAGAATCATTATTGAAATTAAAAGGTGGGGGAAAACATAGATTAATTTTCTCATGGTACAGAAGACATAAGTGAAATGATATATTAACAAGGCAAAAATGATATTAACCTCAAATAATACAACAAAGAACTTGGACATCTTACAAAGTGGCATTGACTTCACCTAGTTTTACTATAATGGATTTAAGTTATTGAATAATAATTATTAATGGAAAATGTATGTGACAATAAAGCCATTGAGCAGTCCCATTTTAACCAAGTTTCACCCACTGTGAGACAACGTAACAATATGTGTCTCCTAATTTAGTGCAGTGAGACATACACAAAAGCCATTTGTTTCTATAGTCGTTACTACAGTTAGTAGTCTTTCAATCAGTATATCTTCACTATGTCTAAATGAAAAAATATTTAGAAAACAGAAAATTGAAAGGAAAAATGAAGTGCCTCCTATAAGCATACTAGCCAGAAATAAGGACTGCCATTTTAATTCTATATCTATGTACACACACATATATGTGTGTGTATATATGTATATATGTATGTGTGTATATATATGTGTGTGTATATATATATTATATATATATATATGTATATCTTTGCAAACACATATAAATATGTGAATGCATAACTTAAAACAGCAATCCCCAACCTTTTTGGCACCAGGGACTGGTTTCTTGGAAGACAATTTTTCCATGGGGTTGGGGGATGGTTTCTGGATGAAACTGTTCCATCTCAAATCATTAGGCACTAGTTAGAGTCTCAGAGGGTTGTGCAACCTAGATCCCTCACCTGTGCAGTTCACAATAGGGTTTGTGCTCCTGTGAGAATCTAATGCCACTGCTGATCTGATTGACAGGAGGCGGAGCTCAGCAATAATGCTTGCCTGCCTGCCACTCACCTCCTGCTGTGCTACTGGGTTCCTAATAGGTCACAGAACTCTGCCAGTCTGTGGCTTGGAGGTTGGGGACCCCTGATTTAGAAGATAAATGTTTTTTAATGCACAACAATTAATTAATACATCTAAAGTTCATTTTATAACACTTTTGTGTATATATGTGCTCATTTTATATTTAGCTGCATTCTTGTAAAGAGTACAGAACTTACTGGAGTACTTCAAAACCATATTTTACACTTTCTTTTAACTAAAAGGCTGAGAAGCGATCTATATTTTAATTTCTTAAAATAGTATATACATTTTTGTATTTTTAAATAATCTTTTTATTAGGAATCTTTACTCAGGATTTTTGTTGTTGTTGTTTTGAGACAGAGTCTCACTCTGTCCCCCAGGCTACAGTGCAGTGATCTTGGCTCACTGCAACCTCCACCTCCAGGGCTCAAATGATTCTCATGCCTCAGCCTCCTGAGTAGCTGGTCCAACAGGCCCGCGCCACTGCCTCTGGCCAGTTTTTGTATCTAGTTTGTTTAGATAAAGGGTTTTTCCATGTTGCCCAGGCTGGTCTTGAACTCCTGAGCTCAAGTGATCCTCCCACCTCGGCTTCCCAAAGTGCTAGGATTACAGGCGTGACCCACCGCTACTGGCCCTTTACTCAGTTTTGTTGACAAAATTGTTATTCTTAACTTTAAGGTTCAGGTTCTGGGATGTATACAAATGAATAACAATGTTCCAACCTGTTTATACTTTCAGTAGTCCTGCATTGAGCTTGACAAATTAAATAGATATTTAAAATAAACATCTATGCAAAATTATTTATTACATGCTCTCTAAGGGGAGCTTAAATAATGAAGATGTGAATAGGTTGACAATTACTTTGGAAAAGTGGTATTGTTCATTGAATTTAATGTTATGGATTACTCCAGCCTTTTTGCAGTGTCAAAATGAATATAATAGGTTACATTTTTTCTTTCTAAAACTTTCTCAGGATGGAGATATATTCAACTACTTTGGTATCTGCACAATAGCTATATCAGTTAGCTTTTATTTCTAGAATTATTTTACATTCTTTATTTCTAGAATTACTTTAGGAGGTAGATAACGTTAAACTGTCTCACAATTGGTAAAACTTGGTTACAGTTGGCCTACCCAATGGCTTTATCATAACATATATTTTTCCAGTTTTGTTTATCATGTATTTTACATACAGAACACCACATATAGGTAAACTAAATTGTTTTTGTCCTTTGAACTAAAACCATTGCTTTTGTGTGTTGCATTTAGAAATAATGAGAGTGCAGATTAACAGCACTTTTTTCTCTGACGATAAACTTGAGTGTTGGATTCAGCAAAACTTGTTTCCAAATATATTTAAACTCAACCTAACTAAATACCAGTCACACTTTTTAAACAATGGCAATGACACAAGCCGTGGTTTGTTTTAATCCAAACCATACCAATACAAATCCCATTTGTATCATACTAGATACCAGTTGTTCACTAACTTTCTTTTATTAATATCTATGTGCAAATGCATGGGCTCACAGCAAATCAGACATCTTATTAGATGCATCCAAGTCCTTTTCAAATAATATATTTCCTAAAGTAGTTTCATCTGGGCTATGTCAACAGAGATCACTCCATACGTCTTAGTTTGCGAAGACAGGGATTGAAATGTACTCTTAGCCAATGTGTAGAATAGAAATAGCCCATGATTCACAGCCTGGGTTTTATTGAGAAAGCAAAATGATGTATTTCATTGTTAGGTAACAAAAATCTGTATTGTTTAAAATGTCTGTAATCTGAGTTCTTCCCCACCACCCCCCAAAGTGACATTGACTGAAATCTCTCCATAACGAGAATTGGGCTATTGCTTCTAGTTCAAATGCATACCCCTTCATTTCCTCTAATTTTATACAATGTAAATAAATACTCTGTAGTGTTCAGAGGCTACTGGAAAACTCTGAATGCCTATCATGTGTTCTAAATAAGGCCCTCTTGAATAAAGAATTACCTTTGAGCTAAGAAAAGTAATAGTTGCTAAGCAGAAAGGTCAACAAGAGCAAGTGGGCTTTTTCCTGTATTTGTCTGTGAGAATAAACATATGGAGGAAAATGTCCTTCTATAAAAGAATTCAAACAAAGCAAAAGTCTTCAGAAAATAGATTGCCATGGAAAGTTTATTTAAACTTAAGACTCCCGCATGGAATTAGCCATGTTAGACTGCATTGAATTGAATGAATAATTCCAGTCCAATATGGTCCACTTTCTTTTAATTTCTGTGAGTAATGTTTGGAATATTTGTGCCCAGCAGTATATGAGACATTTCAACATCAGCAAATTGGAGCACAAGAAATAAGACCCTGAAGAAATGAGCCCACAACTTTAGTGCTAGTCAGAAATGTTCAGAAACTCTTAAAATAAAGGATGTAAATGTAACTCAAAACAATTCTGAGAGCAAAGTATAATATCTGAGGTTTTATATATATAAATATACATATAAATACATAAATTATATATATTTATATATAAAACCTGCTAAAATATATGTATATTTTTAAAAACTAGATTACAAATGTACAGCATTCATTAGAATCTTATAAATTTTATATTTTAAAATTTGTTTCTGTAGAAAACATTTAATATAATTGTTAGGGTGTTTCACAGAACACAAAAAGCAAAATAAAATAGAAAGATTATTAAGTTGGGAGTATCTAGGTTTGTAACTCCAGACAATTATAACTGCTGTCTTTCCCGACAAAGTGCATCTGCTCTTCCTTCTATTGTTCTATCCTGAATTATCTCCATTAATTCTTTGTTTCTCACATATGATACATTCCTTTGCAAGTTTTGACCAACCTTTTTAACAGGGTGATATAGAAAAATAGGGCTTTCTGGGTTTCAGGCAAATGGGTCCTGATGAATGATTTCTCAATTTACTCATGAAAAATTAATCATGATTTAGAAATGTTAAAAACTTTTAGTAGTATTAAAAATTAAAATGGCAACTTCACATCGTTAGAATCTGGAGTGATTTTCACCTATCTTTAAAGAGTTGGGTTTAAAAAAAAAAATGATGATGGACTGACACTATGCCTAATGCAAAACCTGAACAAGGAAAACAGTTCACTCTTTCCCCTTCATTTTCTCAAAAGTGGCCCCGACTTTAAGACCAAGATCTGGGCTAGCTAAAAAACAGGGTAGCCATCACTCAATGCTCTGGCCACCACGGTTCAAGTGAAAAAGAAGGGTGAAGACTAATAAGAATACATCTAAAAGGTCCAGTCACCATAAGTAAAAAGCGAGTGGGCTTGTCCTGCCATATATTAAAACATATGGTTAAGCTATATTAATTTAAACAGTATGGCACTCAAGCAAGAATATATGGACTAATCAATCATGCAGAAGAGATATCTGAAAAATAAGCTATATGGATATACCAATTTAGTTCTATTTTTAAAGGTGGAGTAACAAAATCTATAGGGAAGGAAATGATTAACCAATAATTGATTGGACTTGGATAATTTTGAACAGCGTACTGTCAGAGCATCACCACGAACCACACATCAAAATCAATTCCACATTGTTTCAACAATAAAAAGGGACCCAAACATAATTCAAAGAGGCTGGGCGTGGTGGCTCACGCCTGTAATCCCAGCACTTTGGGAGGCCAAGGCAGGTGGATCACCTGAGGTCAGGAGTTTGAGACCAGTCTTGCCAACATGGTGAAACCCTGTCTCTATTAAAAACACAAAAATTAGCCGGGCATGTTTGTGCGCACCTGTAGTCCCAGCTACTCAGGAGGCTGAGGCAGGAGAATCACTTGAACCCAGGAGGCGGAGGTTACAATGTGCCGAGACTACGCCACTGCTCTCCAGCCTGGGTGACAGAGTGAGACTCCAACTAAAAAAAAACAAAAAACAAAAAAAAACTTGAAGAAAATGTAGCTAAATATTTACTTGTTGTATAGAATTAGGAAGGATTATCTCAGCATTAAAAACAAAGGAAAAAATATCACTGGTGAAGAGAATGCACACAGGAAAGTTAAGTGAAGAATTATAAGGCTATCTTATTTTAAATGGTAAGTCAAACTATAAACTCTGGGGGAACATACAGTCCATAAAGTTTGCTAATAAGTAAACAAGGGAAACTTACACCCAGGAGACATAAAATGGGGAAAACACATAAATAGGTAATTCACAGATAAAACATTCACATTTGGAAAAAATGTTCTAAAAAAGACTTTTAAAAGTGCTCTTTGAGGAACTAATGCCAGCTAAATATTAATACACAATACATTTTCAACAATAAATTGACAAATATTGAAAATGAATTAGGCATTCTCATACAATATTGAAAAATTGAAAATGTAAATTTAGGATACCATTCTGCAAGTAATTGGATAATATGTATCAGTCAGACTTAAAGTTGGACTATTAACCCTATTTCTAAAAACCTATCCTAAGAAAACGAACAGGGATTGGCCAAATATTCAAGTAAAAGGATGTTATTGTGCATCTTTATTTATAACAGAAATACAGTAGAAACAAAAATTCAAAATAAAACTGGTTAAATAAATTTAAAAAGGCATTCAGTCAAAAATTATGCGACTATTATAATGACAAATTTAAAACATATTTAAATGTAAAGATTTGGCTAAGAGTTACTTTTTTCTAATTTATATTAAGAATTTGGCATTTTGAACATAGGTTCTTTTTTTTTAAACCATGCAGATTCCATATTCTCCATCCTCTCCTCCCTTGTACTTAGACTTATTATGACAGGTGGAATGTCAGGTTTACAAAGCTAAATTCTTGTCTTGTTTATTTTGTTGTCATTTTTTGTTTTGTTCTTTCTTGTTCCCTTCCCTGCCTCCACAATACACACTTACACACAAAACAAACAAAAACAAACAAAGAGAAAAAAAAAAAACACTTACAACGTTTTAACTTCAGCACAGAGGCTGTGGTAGGCACACAATATCCAGCGAATAAATGAAGAGATGGAATAAATAATACAGGCAACATTTTGAACTGCAGGTTGGTGCAAATATAATTGTGGTTTTTGCCATTACTGATAATATCAGATGATTTTGTTTTGCAAAAGCTTAAACTGTTGAGTGCTTGCCTTTGACAACTAAAAAGAAAAACCTCTTCCTAGAAAAAATACTTTTTAAGAAACTCATTATGGGGTTTTATATGTGTGTTTCTGTTTGTTTATAAAATTGTGGTATCTAATAGAATGTATTTTCCCTTTTTTGTCGATAGAGTTTTGTCATTTTTGTGTCAAAGATAGAAACACACCAAAAGCATGCTCTCATGCTCTTCCTGTATTTTCTCTGCCTTCGGTGCCTCAATTTTAAAAATAAAAGACTGCAATACAGTTTATTTCTGTGTTCCACCTAATTCTAAAATATTTAAAAGGATGTAGTGGCATCTTATCACAGATGTTTATCTTGTGCAAATCCTGGCAAAGGATAATTGAAGATTCTTAATAAAATATTTGTCAGCCAGATCTGGAGAATGATTTTTGACCTCACAAAAGCAGACAAACAAACAAAAAGGTCACCTACGTATACAGTTGCACATATTAAATTAGTCAAAAGATCCCTAATATGGGTGTTTATTTTAGTCCAAAGAATATGACTCCACTATAGATGTGAATTCTGTAAGATATTTTAGAGAAAACCAATATAATATAAAATGCTACTTCTTCCTGCTAAGATTTGGAAATCTAATAATAGAACTCAAACCTGGGTATGTACTGAAATAATGAAAAGACTGAGATGAATGAAAGCATGCAATAATAAAAGTGCAGTGGAGGTGGGGAGGTAGCCTACAGGAGGGGGTGAAACATAAAGAGGCACATAGGGAAGTCTCCTACAACAATGTATGTTCAAGCTGTCTTACTTCTGAATGAGAGCTGATTCTCAAACATTCCAAGGAGATAGGTTGTTAAAGAAGTGAAAGGGCTTATTCCAGACAGAAGGAAGATTGTGAGTTGTGAAGACAAGTAGGTATTAATTAGTATGGTGTCGTGATTTTTTTTTTTTTTTCCTTCTTTTAAAATTTTTACGTTCAGGGTTACAGTGCAGGTTTGTTGTATAGGTAAATTTAGCCATGGGCTTTCCTTGTACACATTATTTTGTCATCCAGGTATTAAGCCTCGTACCCATTAGTTATTTTTCCTGATCCTCTCCCTCCTCCCACCCTCCACCCTCCCAAAGACCCCTGTATGTGTTGTTCCCCTCTATAAGTCCACGTGTTCTCATCATTTAGCTCCCACTTATAAGTGAGAACATGTGGTATTTGGTTTTCTGTGCCTTTGTTAGTTTGCTAAGGATGATGGCCTCCAGCTCCATCCATGTCCCTGCAAAGGACATGATCCTGTTCTTTTTTATGGCTGCATAGTATTCCATGGTATATATATATACCACATTTTCTTTATCCAGTCTATCCTATGGAACCAAAAAAGAGCATGATGTCTTTAAGCAGCTACAGGCAGTTTGTTGTCATGGGATCATGGTTTGTGTAGGGGGTACATGGAAGATAAATGATTGATAAAATTGGAAACCACCAAAGCCACTTTTCATAAGAAAAGCTAAGAGCTTATATTGGACTTTATTCTTCATGGGTCATAGGGATTTACTACTGCAGGGTTTTAAGCTGAGGATTGATATAATCATAGCTGAGTGGTTTTAAGATAATGGTGAACATGTTTCCAGGGGTGCTACCTGAGTCAGGGGTGCCAGTTAGGAGACAGTAGTCTTTGGGAACGCAAATGAAATCAAGGTGGTAGACATCTCTAAAGGACAGTAGGAGATGTTCTTAAGAAATCTGCTAGTTCTTCCTTTAAATCCATTCCACATTTTAGGACTTGCATATTACTCAAATACGGTTTTCTACAATGAAACACTTTTTATTCATAAAGAATTTGACTACATCCTTAATACATTAAAAATTTCAGAATTCCTCTGATTGAATAAAAAAGTCAACATTGTTTAAAAAGTTTTTTAAAAAATTAAAAATGACATTAACATTTATATAAAGCATCATAGTTTCCAGGTAGTATGTTCCTTTGATGGGGAGTGAATTAAAATTAGTGTTTCTTGTGAGTGTGCATCTTTTGAAGCATCTCTGGGCTTCTAGTTTTAAAAATAAAATAATTTGGACTACACTTTATCATGGTTGTGTTCTGGAGGAGATTTTTGCCTTTCTTACTAGGGTTTATCTAAATCTACATCATGGATTATTTTCTGCTCCCACCTTACGTGATTTGGCTATTTGTGTAAAACCAAGCTCAGTGTTAGTTACCTTATGTCCACCCTTGATTTTTTTAATTGGTTTAGACACCAGAGAGATTTCCAATAGCCTGAGGTATTTAAAGTTTACTAATTTTTCAGAGTTGGAAATCAGAGCTTTCAATAAATTAATCATTTCCCAATTTGAGTGTTAAGTCCTTACACAAGTCCCTGGAAAGAGAATAAGACACTGAAATACTTTTGGTAGCATAAATTCAGCCCAACAGTATTTCTCATTTATCGAAACCAGGCGGAATCTGTATGTGGTTTGGATGGGCTACAAGAGTCAGTCTTTTCTAATCCTGTTTCTGTCCTAGAGTATGGGCCATGCAGAACTCTAAAGATAGAAATAGAAGAGAGGTTTAAGGTGAGCCATTTGCTTTTGGCGCTTAGAAAGGGGGTTTGGGTGCTTCAGAAACTGCACACATTTCATTTTAGAGATCTGCATGGTAATTGGATGCACATTGAAACGTATTTATAGTTTTGATAAAATACACAGTTGTCTGAACTTTTGCCCAGAACCAGAAACCAACAAGGATGTATGCCTTCGTTTGGAGAGTTCATTTATGCATTTCTCAATTTGAACATTCCCCTCTACTAATGAAACATTAAGAACTTGTGGTTAACTCGAGATGAAAATTTGGAGTGGCTACCGTTTGGATAAAATTATTTTCTTATGTTTTCATACAATCGCTTAATGAGCTGTATCCCATGAGGTCATATTGGAGACCCACAACAGTTAAACCTAAATAGCCAATTGAAGCCTGTCTTTCTATCAAGAACATTAATTTTTAAAGCTTTGTTTGCTCTCCCCACTCTCCTGCCGCTCCCCCCAGCTCGTTAGGAATAGGACATTTGGCTCCATGTTTAAAACCAGAAATGGAAAGTTGTTTTGGTTTTCCTTCCTTCTTTTTCCATTTAAGGAAGGCAGCAAAGTCAGCTGTACAGAAGCCTGTAATTAAAAACAAAGATTCTCTAGTTTCCCACTTACTCAAATATACATTATGCTTCTTGAATATTGAGTTTTAAATTTTTTCTTGATGCATTATACTTGGTATAATATAATGCAATTAGGAGTCCTGGCATGATGTTGGAGTGTGGAGTCAGTTATCTAAGAGTGAAAATGGCAGGGACATTATATAGGCTGCTGGGTGCCTACTAATGTATATAATTATGTTGGTTTTGGACATGAAAGTGAAATGTCATAGATTCTTGCCTAGGCTGGAATGCAGTAGCACAATCATAGCTCACTGCAGCCTCAAACTCCTAGGCTCAAGCGATCTTCCCACCTTAGTCTCCTGAGTAGCTAGGACTACAGGCACACGCCACTATGCTTGAGCAATTTTTAAATTTTTTTTGTAGAGACAGGATCTGGCTATGTTGACCAGGCTGGTCTCAAACTCCTGGCCTCAAGCTATCCTCCAGCCTTGGCCTCCCAAAGTGCTGGAATGACAGGCATGACCCACCATGCTCAGAAAATCTGGGACGATTATAATGAACAGTGTCTACAATTTAGTGGAAAGCACTGGATTTGGGTTTGGGAAAAACTGGACGCCTCTGTTAGCTGCAGCTTCTGATGTTCTTTCCTAAGGTTAAATTCTTTTAATACATCATTTCATTTAATCATCAACAAATCTCCTCTGTAGTACTTTGTATCTCCACTTTATAAATAAGATAATTGAGGTTTAGTGAAGTTAAGTAATTTTCTGCAGGCCCGAGAGCCTGCAGGTGGAGAGACTGGTCCAGCTAAGTGTCATTTCAAAGTCCTTGCTCTTTGTGACCACAGAACTGGCATGAGAATGGGAAGCTCCTGCTGCCACTAGCCAGTGATGCACACTTGGTTAATTTGTTTAAAAGTTCTAATCATTCTCTTTGTTATGTGCAAATTAGCAGCAATACTCTCTGTTCCACAGGGTATTAAGTATATTAAACGAGATGACATGAAAGTACTTAGCTGCATGTTATCTAATGTATCTTGGAAGTCAGTACATATTTGTTTAGTTTAGAGAAATACATATCTATGACTTCAAAAGATAAAAAATTGCTGAAGGAAGACAATACTTTGTGTAGAACTGCCTAGATAATTAATGGTGTGACAAGAAGTAAAGGTATATTTGGACCAGAGAATCCAGGAAATAAGAAGAAAGTGTATTTGCTTTCATTTGGACCCAAGAAAGTATTAAGGTACAGTGAAGACAGAAGAAAATGGACAACTGCTTTTCACAATATTAGTTGACTTACTGAATTAGAAGGTGTCTTTCCACATGTAAAATGGACAATGTCAGGCTTGAAAATGTATTAGTAGCTCAGGAATTCAACAACCAGACACTATTTCATTCTGAAGAACAAAATTAGAAATCCCCATTAATTTACTCTTTGCAGACTGGAGAGTACATAAAAAATACCCAAAGTAGGATTTCATCATGAATTTATGGTGTTTTTCTTTGCTGTACAGTTTGGCTCTTTCTGAAAGCTGCAAATGTGAATATAGGTTATAATGGAGCTTAGAAGAAGATGAGGAAGAAGAAGGAGGAGAAGCAGGAGGAGAGGAAGAAAAATGATTGCTGCAGGATACTATACCATTGTAAAAGTAGATCATTTTTATGACCAAATGGGGAAAATGGGGTCCAATAATAAACTATTACACAAAGAAGTTTAAACATTTAAAAATTAACTATATAAATTGCTATTCACATGGAAAGAATGAGTTTTTGTTCAGAATAATTCTTATCTTTACTGGCGGAAGGAGGACTGTGTGTGTGTGTGTGTGTGTGTGCATGCATATATGTATAAATGCATATATATGGTTTATATATATTAATCCTCATTAATTTTTAAGAATAGAAAGGAAGACCTTTCTTTTTTTTTTTTTTTTTTTTTGTGAGATGGAGTTTCATTCTTGTTGCCCAGGCTGGAGTGCAATGGCGCAATCTCAGCTCACTGCAACCTCCGCCTCCCAGATCCAAGTGATTCTCTTGCCTCAGCCTCCCGAGTAGCTGAGATTACAGGCACATGCTACCATGCCCAGCTAATTTTTGTATTTTTAGTAGAGACGGGGTTTCACCATGTTGGCCAGGCTGGTCTTTAACTCCTGACCTCAGGTGATCCGCCCGCCTCAACCTCCCAAAGTGCTGGGATTACAGGCATGAGCCACTGCACCTGGCCTAGAAAGGAACACCTTTCTAAATAATTTTACTATTGGTCTAATCTACTACTTCTATTTGCTATTTTGCCCTGATTAAGTTATACTTAGGTTTCTCCCATTTTGAACCCTAGACAATATTGCATGCTAGACAAAACTACAGATGCTTTCTGTAGCCTATCTCTAGATCTCTCATATCCTTGCCATGTTTAGCTTTAAAATACATTGACTAGTTTCCTAAAAATTTAAAATAAATATTTTTTGTTATTAATTTGTTTTGATGTGCAGTCTAAAACATCACTTAATAATATAGGTCATTTCACACCATCCTTTCAAATACAGAGGGAAGTCCCTTTTAGTTGCTCCTAGAATTACCTTTTAGTCCATACTATATGAATTAAGTTATTGTTTACAGTTGTAAAATAATTATGGGAGCTGAAATTGAGCCCCCACGAGGGGAGCATATGAGGTTAGCAACACTAACCTACCATGAAAAGCATGACAACCCAGGACCAAGGCTAGCGGGGGGTGGGGTGGGAGCATAAGTGGGCATCCGGCTAAATAAAAGTGTTGAGGATGATTCTGCAAACTATACGAGCTGTGAAATTCAGCCCAAACTGTGGAGAACAGGCAAGTTCTAGTTAAGCAGGGAGAGAGAACCCAGGTTCAGGCTGCCACGCTCTGCCATTTTTCATCCTGCATCTATGTTATAAGTGACTCTGTGTCCACAGATGCTCATTATTGTCTCCTCCTGGGTGCTAGAGGACTCCAGATAGCTTTGGCTCTAATATGTGCCATTGCCAAGGTAATTCTGAAATTAAAAGTCAGTTGGCATTTTGATGCAGATTTAGGTTTTGTAAGGTCTGAAGCTTATACAATTCTGAGAACTCTCCTTAAGAAATGTTTTAAAAACTACAAATGCAAAAGTAGATGTGAATGTTAATGTATACTTAGAATGAGAAAGAAGTCACACATTACAAATTTTAAAAGACTCATTGAAAAAAAATTTAAATTGATTTTAGCTTGATTTTAAATATGACTCAATAAAGAAACAGCAATTTATTACCTGAGATGTAAGCAACAGGGTAAAGACATTGTTTCATGAAAATTAAAGTACAGGAGTCTCCTTCACATGCAGATATTTGCTTTGCAAGATATCTATTCTGAGACCTAGAGAAATTTATGTAAAAGTCCATAATTGGTGCATAGATGTTATTTTCCAAGAATGCTTGTGATTATAAAAGCAACTGAAGTCTGCACCAAAGTTATGCCATATGTAACTTAAACTGTGAAGATTCAATTTTTCTTTTCATATCTAATTTGAAAAACTTAAATTTTACTCCCTTCTTGACCTGACAATAGGCTACCAGGCAGAAAAACATAATTCTAACACCGTTTAGGTAGTTGTATATAACATCACAGTTTTTACACACAAATGAGACCAAATAAACTCAGAAGTTCTATTTTGTGTATAACCATTGCTGAAATTGCTCTGTAATATATGCTAGAAATTCAATACCCAGAATGACTGAAATTTAAAAACATTTTAAAGTAAACCAAAATTGGTACTTTGGAAACATTTTGTAATGTATCTTAAGATGTATACATGCAAATTTTATGGACTTCATTAAACCTTAAGTGGATATGACAAACATCTATTGAACATAATTCAGCATATTTATATTCTTTAATCAGGGGCTTCTGAGTCTTTAAAAATAATTATTTAGTATTAGATTTAATGATCCAAAACATTATATATTTCACTGTTTTCATTCCACTAAGAGTAATACTTAAGTTCTCTGATAGAGCTGCTCAACTTAATATTGTTTTATCAATTATTACTTCATTTAACATAAATGTAAGACTGATTTTAAACAGAAACAATTTGATACATTTTAATTCTTAGTGTCATTCTTCAGAAAGCTCCTCCTTTCCCAAATATTCTTAAAATACATTTTTCATGTGAGTAGAGAAAGGTGGAGGAATCTATACCTCGTGTTGCTCAACTCTACAAGTGCTTTTTTCACCTTTAAAGAATAATAAATCCAAACAGCATTCTGTTTCCTTTCATTGTTATAATGTGAAATGTAAACAAGAAATCTCTATTTTATCTATAATATCTCTCATTAATCCTAATTCAATTTTTTTATTTTAAAATTATGACTTAAGCTTCAAGGATTCAATAAATTTACTTCCATGTCTTCTGATAAAATATGTGTTCAGGTTTTGATGGTATATATGCTTTCTAGAACAGCAGAAGTAACCGTAGATTCTAGCATCAACAACCAAATAAACATTCATTTGCATCAGGTGGGTTTCAAAATGTGTTGCTGCCACAGGCAGGTTCGGTAATTTTTTTGAGTTTCATAAAATCTTAGACATCGAAAGATACAAAGGGAGAAAAACTGGATATGTATCATTTGGAGGTGACTTTCTTTCTTATACGTAAAATTGTTTACCAAAGAAAAAACACGTTTATTTAAATTTCAACGTGTTTTTATTATTGTTGTTTGTTTATTTTTAAAAAAACCGTTTTAGTTTGAAATGATTTTACATGTAGAGAAGTTGCAAAGATAGTAGAGTTCCCATACATCCTTATCGCACACCCCATAATGTTCCCATACACCCCATGTTATCATTTTGTACTGCCGTCTCATTTTTGTCAAAACTAAGAAAGCAACACTGACACATTACTATTAACTAAACCTCAAACTTGATTCAAATTTCACCACTGTTTCCATTAATATCCTTTTTCTGTTCTAGGATACAATTCAGAATACCACACAGCATTTAGCTGTCTTATCCCCAATAGTCTCCTTTGGTCTATAACAGTTTCTCAGTCTTCCTTTGTTTCCATAACCTTGACATTCTTGCAAAATGAATACAATGTATCAAGGCTAGATGAAAGTCCTGAAGCCAGGTAGGGCCCTCCTGAGGAAGAGTGAATGGTAATGCTAAATGTACAATTTGCTGAGGTGATTTTGGAAGCTATCTGTAGCCTAAACATTAGGTAGCTTGAGGAAGGTTTGAATAAGTTTTTACATCTGAATTCCTTATTGTAGCTGCTTCTATGATTTGCAGCTAAGCTAGGAAATCCTGAACCTTTTCCAGTGGTCCAGAGCTGTAGATTTTCCATTGTTTTGATGCCCAAAGTGCTGAATGCAAATGGAAAAGTATAATGAACACATCTGAAAATTGAAAGTATATAATTTGAGGTTGCATTGCTTTCAAAACTTTAGAAGTCTACTCCTGCCAAGAAAAGAAGTCGTAGCATTACACTTCTATTTCTAAAGAGAAGTGAAGCCAATACCTATAAGACATATGTCTTTATTTACTCAAACATAAATCAAATGGTTCAGGAACTTGTGCAAGTAAATCGGATTCCATTTGTATGTTTTTCCTGACACATAAATCTAGCTGCATGCAGAATGACATGAATAATGCAGGAACTGAGCTCCCAGAGTGGATAATCTTTCACTGGAAACCTGGGACTGATGGCTTACCTGACAGAAATGGGCTTGGCACCATGGAGATAAATGCAAGAACACACATAAGCAATCTATGTGTATCTATTTTTTCTCCTGTTGGATTTTTATATTCTGAGACACATGAAAGTAGTGTCATGCCAGTGTTGTTTCCTTATTTAATGCATTAAATAATAATAATAATAAACACTGGTCACTGTCATTATGATTACTGAATCTTTTTTTTTTTTTTCTTTGAGATGGAGTCTCGCTCTGTCGCCCAGGCTGGAGTGCAGTGGCACGATCTCGGCTGACTGCAACCTCCGCCTCCCGGGTTCATGCCATTCTCCTGCCTCAGCCTCCCGAGTAGCTGGGACAACAGGCGCCCGCCACCACGCCCAGCTAATTTTTTGTATTTTTAGTAGAGACAGGGTTTCACTGTGTTAGCCAGGATGGTCTCGATCTCCTGACCTCGTGATCCACCTGCCTCAGCCTCCCAAAGTGCTGGGATTACAGGAGTGAGCCACCATGCCCAGACTGATTACTGATTCGTTTATGCTGATTGCACTACTCACAGCAACCCTGTATACTATTGTTATTATCATGTTAAGATGAAGAAGATGAGGGAATGGGGATTTTCATAACTTATTAAAGATCATACCCTTGGGCAAGGGCAGAGTGAAATCTGCTCTATCTCACTCCATAGGCATAAACATAACTAAATATAATTCCTATTTTGAACTCAAGATGGTCTTTGATGGCTTATAGTAGTAAGATAAAGCAAGCTGACAGAGGTAAAAGGAATAAATAAGTTAGAAAAAGACCCTGAGTTTATAAAGAACAAATCCTGTGCTCAGACTACAAAGCTAAGTTAAAGCATAGGATTATTTTCTCAGCAGTAGAAAGAGCAAGTCTACATAAACTAATATTCAGATCCCATTTATCACTTACGTGTCTGAACAGTTCAGGAAAAAAATAAATCTTGATACCATAACTGAGGTTATAAAGGCCTTTATTCATTGACTAAAAGTCTATCAACAAGATTGTATCAAAATCTATCAAAAATCTTAATAAGACAAGGATGTCCTCCTTTCCCACTTCCATTTAATGTTTTATTATAGGTTCTAGCCAATGCAATTGGCCAAGGAAAAGAAAGATAATGTATTCTGATTATTTGGGAAGAAGCAAAATTATCTCTATTTACAGGTAACAGGATCTTGTATATAGATAATTCTAAGGAACACACACACACAAATAAGATCTTATAACAACTGCCACAGATGATTTTAACAAAGGACTAAAATCAAGATTTTTATCAGAGAAGAGTGTTTCTGGAATTTAGAGTTCCTAATATCTTTTCTTGGCTGCTCTTGAACTTCTCAGAAAATTTTCACTTTAAACATAGTTGCAGTGTTATTTCTAATGTCAACTGGCAGCATGGATGATTTCATAGTTGCTGTTGGAAACCATTCCCAGAGTGGCTGATTACTTTCTACAATGGAAAACCATTTCTTTGTGCTCATTCTGATCTTTTATCCCTACTTTTCTCCAACGTGTTCAGTAAATAGGGCAAACTTGAGAGGTTAAAACTGTCAGCTTTGAAACGCTACTCACTTTCATTGATTCCTTTAACCAATTGAACCTCCCAGTCAAATGAAATGGCAAGAGTTATTTTTTCCCCTGTATTTCTAATCCTAAGTAGTTATGAAAAAGTTTCTCAAAATCTCATTCTGGGACTCTACCAAAGCTGTATGTGTTCAAGCCAATCACATAGTAGTGGAACATAAGGAAACATATTTTTAATAAAAAATAATAGCAAGTTTCATCAGAAGGTATTGAATACTTTCCAAATAGAGTCAGTCACCAGTGGAAAGGAGCTAAAATTATAAAGCAACTGAAGAAGCTTGGAACTGTGGATTTGGAATGCATTCTGAGAGTTAGGAGAACCAAAATCATAAGTGTGTTAAGATTGTCACAGTGTATGCTTTGATATTCAAAAAGATGCTAAAAGCCCGGAACACATGAGGGAAGAGTGGGCTAATCACACCAAATTTGGAGTTACCAACATGTCAATGGTGATTGTGTCCTTTGGAATGAATGGGATACTAAACATATTATATAAAGTGATAAAAGAGGGCACATGTTATCATCTTGAGCAATACCTAAATTCAAAGTGTGCAAAAGAAACAAGGAATAAGTCAGAAAATCAGTAGAAAAATATATTAATGGCAAAAAATGCAATTACTTTTGCACCAATGTAATAGAAATGTTGCATCCGAACATTCAGGAAAAGTGTGGTTCAACCGAAGATCCACAATGTCATACACTCTTAGAAGATCAAATAAGAGAAGGGATGCTGCATTTAATGGTCTTTTGAATTGGTGACAATTGGCAAGTTAAAAGGTCACAGGTCTTCCCTTTCTTACTGAGATCCAAGTGTTATTTTTAAATAAACATTGAGATTGCTCCAAGACTCTGTTTAATCTCCAGAGTCTTGCAAAATTTTATTCTGACAATGTGTGCCATTGCTTTTTCTTGCTCTTATAGAGAAGTTTTGAAGGTGCTCATTCTGCTTCTTCACTAATATCTCACCTATATTTTGTGTTGCTATCCTCATTTATCCATCTTTTTAGATGACTGCACTTAATCTGTCATTTATCTGTAATGTGCAGCTGTAATCATGGCAGCACCGTTTCCATCAATCCCTTTCCCTGTCTTATTCGTGTTCTTCACTACTTCTCTTATTTATTACTTAGATAAGTGGTGACCAAAGAAAGGTGTGCATATTTTAGGATATGCTCAGAATGATCTTGCGGTCACAAAAAAAGGAAGACATTCTGGGAAAGTTATTTTATCTTTTTGTTTCATTTGTATGTGTTTGATCATATATGTGTCTATACCTTCTCATCCTATAGTAATCACGGTTATTTATAGAAAATAACCAAAGTTCTTTGCTTGGTAATTTTTAAATAATTTAAATATGATTCTTTCATATGTATCATGCTTTTCCAGCCCAGTGGTTTAAAAATATCGTTTAAATGTATGCCCGAATAAGTTAACTCTGTATTTCTGTTCAACATTTCATACTTTAAATCATACGTTATATGTAAAAAAATCTCCAGGATTTTTTTTCTCAAATGATCTACCTTAGCTAGGTTTCTATCAGTAGAAGTAAATGACAAAAATATAGCTGCTGACCAATGTATATGTTTGAAACAGTTAACTAATGGTGAGGTAAATTCATGAGAACTTTGCTTTCACATAGGATAGAAATGTCACACATACAAGAAAACCTAAAGTAGAAATTTTTAAGTTTGTCATTTTGAAATTGGTGTACTGCAGCTTTATTTTGAGGTTATATTTAATCTTCAGGAAAAAAAGCCAGAGTATCATTTTGTGAAATGTGGTAATGACTTTAGCGCACAGCACATTTGATGTTCGTGGCACCATCTTGATGTGTCACTATAAAATTGCTTCGGTTTTATTTCACTAACTTCAAAAAGATCACTTGTCATTATGCCTCTAAAGAAACATTTGCTCCCTCAGAATCTTTGTTATTATGCCAACTAGACTGTTATTTCTGCTCTTCTTTGCAAAGGACTATAAGATAAAGGCCTAATTAATAAATTCAAAATTGGGAAAGATCGAGGGGTTCTTTGCTTATAATCTCTTTGTATCAGTAGAGATGTACAGAGAAAATCTATTTTAATATTTCAGCATCTGGTTGGTTATCAGTAGAGATTAAGACAAATTAGTACAGCAAGGGTATAAAATAAGTATGCTCGAAACATAGAATGATGTCACACTAAAAAGTGAATTCTCTTTATAGAGTTTAAAAGGTAATTAAAAGGTTATTTTTTTGAGGCTTTAGTCACATTTCATCTAATGTGAAGCCAATGTGCGCCAGGTCACATGCAGGCCAGCGTAGAATGAAGTCACAGAAATGAAAATGAAGATGGAATGGGAGATAATTTAATTAGGATTTCTTAAGATAATATTTAATTTCATGAAGGATTTTAAGGCTGTAAGATTGTTTCCTCACATCACAAGTGACATGGAATACGAACATTTTCAGATTCTTCCCAGCCACCAGGATTGTCTGGAATTCACAACCTCCAAAAGACACAAAGCCAGTTATAATAAGAATCCACAGAATACTAGCGGCATGCAAATGGATTTGATTAATAACAAAATGTAAGGTGATATTTCTATAAGTATCTAATCCAATGAGTTTTGAAAGGTCCTGTCCTTGATCTCATTTTTTTTCCTGGAAATGGTGATTTGGTGCTGAACTTCATTTGATAAGAAATTAATACCTAAAGTATACAAGAAAAAAAGTGTGTGTCTTGATGTGTGGCATGTGAAAACTTTGAGGAAGAAAAATAAGGATCAGGGAACCAATCTCTGAAACAGTATAGGTCACAAGTGTGCATTAAAGTAGGATTTATTTATAACCTTGAAATACTGAATTAGGAAAAGTCCTTGGGGGTGATAGTTTTGAAACTCTAGCTTATTGCTTGGGATTTTGAGATTTCTCACTTAGATGGGTATACACATTTGGAAATGCAATGTCACATTTTTAATGAAATGCAATGTCACTCACTCACACTTGGGAGTGAGCATGATATTCTAGAAAGAAAGAAAAAAAACCTGCATTTAGATGCCAAGCACCTTATAAAACTCTTAGAATTTATTACGGTTCCACTTTTACAGATGGAGAAACTGAGATTCAGACTAGGCTCTTCTGCCTGTTACACCGCTTAAGTGGTGGAAACAGAATTCAAATCTCAATCTACCTTTAAGCCTATACATCAGATTACCTCTCTTCTCTGAATTAAAGACTAGAGATCAAAATTCCAAATGGTAACCCATTTGAGTGGGTGCCTTTTTATTCTGCCTTGACATCTTGCTGCTGTATATTCAGAAAGTGAGGAGAATGGTAGTGCGCATTGCCTTTAGCTAGAGGACTACATCACTTTTTCTCCATTTTCCCCTCCAAACCCATCCTCTCCCATTCTCTGTCCTGTCCTGTATCCTGAGATGCTTGTGCCCTAGGGATGCATCACCAAACTTCCTTACCTCCTGGCTTCTAATTTAGCTTGGCTAATAGGAGAATAAGGAGAGAATAACCTGAGCATTTCTTCTCTGTTCCATCTCAACTTCAGTACTTTGGTTGTGACTGTGATTATGTTTCCCAAAATTTTGGATGCTATTGGGAGGCGCCTCTTTCTCCCCTCTTTCCCTGTCACTAGATCCTCATGAATAATCTCTCCCTGTGCTCACTGAGGCCTGGAAGTGGTAACACATCCCAGTGCTGCTAGTCCCTGGAAGTCTCGGCATCCCTGACCAGCTACCTGATCCCTGCCCGCTCTGTAAGTAGTCCTTCGTGAAATTCTTTTCAATATACCCATTGCGCGCATCTAGTCTTTCCTTTTGGAATCCTGAATGTTATATGACTATTAGAAGATTAAAAATTTCTTGGGCTGGGTGCAGTGGCTCGTGCCTGTAATTCCAGCACTTTGGGAGGCTAAGATGGGCGGATCATTGAAGTCAGGAGTTCCAGACCAGCCTGGTCAACATGGTGAAAACCCCCGTCTCTACTAAAAATACCAAAAAAAAAAAAAAAAAAAAAAAAATTAGCTAGGTGTGGTGATGCACTCCAGCAATCCCAGCTAACTGGGAGGCTGAGATAGAAGAATATCTTGAACCTGGGAGGCGGAGGTTGCAGTGAGCCTAGGTTACACCACTGCACTCCAGCCTAGGAGACAGAGACTCCTTCTCAAGAAAAAAAATAAATCTCTGCAAATAGAGGCTCTTCAATGTTTCCTTGTTTTAGTTATTGTTTAGGCTAATAATACAGATTCCAAAAATGCTCAGAATCTTTTTTCTCTTCTACTGTACAGCAGGAAAAATTTATATTTACTATTCTTTCAATTCTTCCAGCGACCTATCCTCTTCTCTGACAATATATCTATCAACTGGCAAATTTTTACATATAATTTGAGTATACACGAATCTACCACTTGTTAAAGCAAGCTAAACATGGCCTGAGAAGGACTATGTTCTTCTGTATTTCAGTCTTTGTGAAGGAACCGTAACCTAACTTAATAGGTAGACAAGATTGAAAATCTAACTTAGCAGTATGCATCTGTAACAATAGCTGAGTCTTGGCCAATCGCAGCAGCCATACTTCAACCATTCATACACTGTGTTCAAATCAAGCAAACGCCAACCTGTAACCAATACAGTTGTTTCTGAACCTCACCTCCAAGTTCTGTACATCACTTTCCTTCTTTTGTCTATAAATTTGTTATGACCACAAGGCATCATCCCTGGAGTCTCTCTGAATCTACTGTGATTCTGGAGGCTGCCTGATTTGTGGATTTTTTTTTTCCTGTCAATTAAATCCTGTTAAATTTAATGTGTCTAAAATTTTCTTTTAACATCTTGTAAACCTCTTCATCAAAAAGAATTTTAGAAAAGTATATGAAAGTTCCTTCAAGTCTCTGCCATATTTGATAAGCAATCTCATAATATGGATGGAGCTCCTGAGCCTTCTGAGCTGGGCTGCCGTGCTGCCATTACCAGAAGGGCACCTCACAGTTGTCATCTTTCTTGAAATTTCAGGGGCAGGTTCACTTGTTAACACTCACTCTTTAAAAGATGTTTCCCCTGTGATTTCTGCTATCCTTCACTCTCTTTGTTTTCTTATCTCTTTGGCCATCCATTCCCATTACTTTGTGGATCACCATCTTGCACCTCTTCTTTTAGTCTTGAAATAGTTCAGGTCTCTGGCTTTGAAAATTCCAAAAATCATCCAGAGAGGATGCAGCATGATCTTTGTATGTACATTCTAGCCCTTTTACTTGGACTCCAGGCCCGTTATTTCAAATTATTTTGACTACTTAACATCTGCATTTAGACTTGTCTCTGGTATCTATAACTCAATTTGTGTAAAACTGAACTCATACTCTTCCTTCTTCTACCAAAGAAAAAAATAAATAAGAAAAAAAGGAAAAAAATAAAACAACCGCCATTACAGCAACAACTCAATGAAATATTTCATAACATGTTGAGGACCTTGGATTTTTGCTGGCAGGCGACAGTGTACAATGGACAGATCCTATGCAGGAGGAATGGGAAGGATCTTCATACTTACATTTTGAAGTGATTACTTTGCTGATTTTCAATAGTTTTGAAGAAAAGATAACTGTTGGCAGACAGGCCATATGAGATATGTTTTAAACGTTTGAGGTAAAACACAATGAAGATGTGAAGAGAGGTATCAAACTAGGGACAGAGAGGAGGTGCATGAATTTGAGAGATATTTAAAAGATAAATCAATAGAACTTGATAACTGACTAGATTTAAGGACTAAGGAAGAGATAAGCTTTTATTACCTAGGAAAAGGATGTTGTGACCAGGTGAAAGAGAGAATACAAAATAAGTAAGTCAAAAAGTAAAGGGGGAAAATAGCTGTTTTCTTTCTCTTTCTCTCTCCTTCCTTTCCTCTTTCTTCTTATTTCTTTTCTTCCTTTTTTTCTACTTATTTTTAATTTTTTCTTTCTTTATGTTTGAAATACCTGTATGAAATGCTAAGAAAGTAGCTGAAATTTCCAGTGTATTAGTCTGGATGTCAGAGAAAATCTGATTTCAGCTTACAAAGCAGATGCAGGAGTAATGGGTATATAGAGGATAGTGGAATTATGCCATAATTAGCTCACGAAGGGAAGGAAACTGTGCCAAGTGGGAAAAACAGCAGCCAAAGACAGAACTCTGAGGACTACAGCACTCACAGAGTGGTTAATGAAGAAAAAGCTGTAAAGCCTGAGATTCAGGTAACTTAAGCATTTGTTCCAAGCCTTGTACACAATTATGGGAAAAGCAACAGACAGAGCATGAATCTAGATTCTCACACAAGTTCTCTTCCCGCTGAACACTAATTTGTCCCCATTCTATTAAATGCTAAATGGTAGCATAGGGGACTTCAGAAATTTCAGCTATGTCTACACTAATATTTTACCATCATTTATCAAGTACCTAATGGATAATTCCGTTTTTGCACTGTAAGAAACTACTCTAAAACTTAGCCACTTGGGATAATAATATGGATTGATTTTCACAAATGTGTAGGGCAACTGGGGATTTCTTCAACAGTAACTGGTTTGGCTGAAGCTGGATGGTCTCACTAGCACTCTGGTGATGGGCTCAAGACCAAGTAAGGTGATGAGAAGACTAGACTACGTGTCTCTCATCCTCTGCCAGGTTAGCCAAGACCCACTCACATGGTAGTGGTCAGAGTTCCTAGGCCCCAGTGTGCAAGCATGTTGCAAGTCTGTGCTTGCATCAAGTTTGTAGTCAGCCCATTAGCTAAAACCAGAGTTAGACTGGGAGGGACCAAACCAAGTGTGTAGGCAGAGGGAGAAGCATCATGTCAGCCACTTTTGCTATCTATCACAGGTATCCAGATTTGCAATCACTGCCCATCTTTGAAAGACTGGATAAAGAAAGTGTGGCACATATATACCATGGAATACTATACAGCCATAAAAAAGAATGAGTTCATGTCCTTTGCAGGGACATGGATGAAGTTGGAAACCATCATTCTCAGCAAACTAACACAGAAACAGAAAACCAAAAACCACATGTTCTCATTCATAAGTGGGAATTGAACAATGAGAACACAAGGACACAGGGAGGGGAACATCACCTACTGGGGCTTGTCGGGGGGTGGGGGACAAGGAGAGGGAGAGCATTAGGACAAATACCTAATGCATGCAGGGCTTAAAACCTAGATGACGGGTTGATGGGTGCAGCAAACCACCATGGCACGTGTATACCTATGTAACAAACCTGCAAGTTCTACACATGTATCCCAGAACTTAAAGTAAAATTAAAACAACAACAAAAAAAAACCATATCATTTATACCACTCTTTCAGGACTGACTATAGGTTTTGTCTTTCCATGTGAGTCTCTGAACCTTCACTAACATATATCATGCTACTCAAAGTTTCAGAGTAAAGGTGAGGTATTTATTTTTCCTAATTAAAGCATATCTTACCAATGTGGAAATATTAGACTTTGGAATCTGAAACCTTTTTATAACAGAAAAAACAATTTTTTCTGTTTTTTTCAACTTTTATTTTAGATTTAGGGTTACATGTGAAGGTTTGTTAACTGGGTATACTGTGTGATGCTGAGGTTTGGGGTACGAATGGCACCATCACCCAGGTTCTGACCACAGTACCCAACAGCCAGTTTTTCAGCCACATTTTTTTAAGAAGAAATAGTCTAAACTATTAAGAATGGTCTATTTTATAAAAAGATAAATTCTTGGCATTTTAAATTCATACCAAGTTGAGGAAATTTGCAATCAGTCTCTGTAGTTTTCAAAGAGGTCTGAGCAGAGTTAATATTTAATAAATGTAAAAAGAAATAATTCTTCCTGAATCACCTAATTCAGAATGCTCACACTGGGGATGGGCTGTACAAAATGTCTCCAGTACTGAAAATCCCCTATATTTTATTTTACTTACAAGTGGTGACAAACATCTTGAAAACAAATATCTTTCAAGGAAATCTGATGGAACAAAAAGTATTTTGTTCCAAATGTAAGGAATAAATCTTGTAAATTTTAAGTGGTTTCCCGAACAAGAAGTGTATGGAAAACGCCAAAAATGTTTTTTTTTTTCCCTAGGCATTTATTCAAGAGCAGAATTTCAAAGACTTAAAAAGGTTTTGTTTTTGTTTTGTTTTCCTTCTTAAACTACTAGCTCAATTATTTATGGTAGACATTTAGAGCTTTTTAAAGTTATAGTGTGGATGCATTATGCTGGCCTCACTGGCTATGCTTATAGATGTACCACATGCTGAAGGATGTTATTCAATTATTTATACACAAAAAATTGCTCTAAAGATAATTGGATTAGTTGTGAAAATATTTCTGTCTTTCAGAAACATCTTTAGTCTCCAGTCAGTCTTGTGGTGAACATCAGGATTACTGAGTGTTCTGATGAAATAACCCTAGTTATTATATGAAGAAGGAAAGAACAATTCTAAAAATCCATATATTGTAATTAGCATGTGCCACAATTGTGCAAAATATGGTTTTCATCTATTTTGAATGAACAGTTGAATCTTGAGCACCCCTTTACTGAGAGGTGCTACCTTGTTGGCAAATGCCTAGGTTTAAATGTTAGATTCAACATTTCCAGTAGAGTAGCTTTAGCCTCATCTGTTACATTTTTTGAGATTCTGTCTCTTAATGCAATAGGGGTATCTAAGCAATAAGTATTTTTAATGTTTCTAATTGTTTTCTAGATTCTCCTTTCCAATACCAAAGTTACATTATTTTATTACAATGGTTTTGTTTTGTTTTTATTTTGAGACAGAGTATCACTAGAGTGCAGTGGCATGATCTCGGCTCACTGCAACCTCTGCCTCCCCGGTTCAGAGGATTCTCTTGCTTCAGCCTCTTCAGTAGCTGGGATTACAGGCGTGTGCCACCACACCTAGCTTATCTAAATGTTTTTGAAAGGAAGTCACTTTTATCTATGTACATTCATATGCAATTTCAAATTACACGTGAAAATATGTGCAGAAAGTAGATAGCCAGGTGGGACCATTGTGGACATCAGAAATTTCAGGTGGATAAAAATCCAGGAAAAAGAGATACAGCATTACTTTTTTGTGATAAAGCCTGTAACTGAAAGATCAAATGTTACATACACAGCTTGTTTAGTCTTGAAACTAATATTATAAACCAATTAACTATCAATCAAAGGAGTTTTAATGAATAGACATACAAATTAAACACTCTGCTGTAGACATTCTTACAAGGTCAATAGTTTATAAATGGATCAATAAATGCCAAGGCAAGCGAATCACAAGGTCAAGAGGTCGAGACAATCCTGGCCAACGTGGCGAAACTCCATCTCTACTAAAAATACAAAAATTAGCTGGGCATGGTGGCACATGCTTGTAATCCCAGCTACTCAGGAGGCTGAGGCGGGAGAATTGCTTGAACCTGGGAGGCAGAGGTTGCAGTGAGCAGAGATGGTGCCACTGCACTCCAACCTGGCGACAGAGCGAGACTCCGTCTCAAAAAGAAAAAAAAAAACAGAAAAAAAATGCATGTCCACTTCTCTTCCTTGTTCCTGCATGGTGCCATTTATTCTCCCCACAAAATTGCCAACCACCTCCTAATTTGTCTTTCCTTCTCCCTCTTGCTCAAATTAATGCAGTCATTGGTTCTCCACGGTGCAATTAGAACCATTTTTGTTTTTTTACAACTAAATTAGATCTTGTCAATTAGTAGTTGAGTTTCTTCCACGTCTTTCTATTGCTCTAAGAAGAAAAACACTTAATAAATCAGACTTGTGTGGTCTAATCCATACTAAACTCCTAATCTCTACACTGTAGTGAGGCTGCAATCCTCAGCTCCAGCCAGAGATTCCTTAATTTAGATTGCAGCTGTGCCAGTTACTAGATGTCAGTTGACCTTATGTAAATGTCTTAACCTCGCTGAACCTGGGTATTCATAAATGGGGTGAGCATCTACCTCACTAGAGGACAAAATGAACACAAAATGAAGCCGTGCGTTTAAAACATTTCCACCAAAGCTATGTGCTCTGTGAATATGAAATCTCCCACTATCAAGCCTCACCACCTTCTTTTTAGCCTCTCTATCCTTTGCCCAGTTTCTAAGGAATGCCGTGTGCCCTCCTGGCACAGAAACTCTGTGTATGCTGTTTCTTTCTGGGGAAGCTCTTCCCTTACCTGCTGAACTCTCGTTGCATCTGTAGCACCCAACCCAAGCATTTCTTCCCAACAGAAGCTTTGATCCCTGACTCCATCTGCACTTTATCTCCCTTATCAGAACAGCAGTTGAACAGTCATTGATTTCATCATCTGAATAATGTCTGGCTCTCCTGAGACACTGTGGCTCCTTGAAAGCAAGGATTGAATTTGGTCACCTTTGCATCTCCGATATCCAGAACTGTGCTTAAAAATATGTGTTGAATGAATAAATCCGTGAGTTAATTAAATGGAATCAAACAAGTACAAATACTAAATGAATATGTGAATACGAACTTTAGCTTAGTATGGTCCAATGAATTCAACAGACCGAAATGAAATGTGAATTCTATTTGCATGTTTTTTCCTCCTGTCCATCACATTAAAAGGATGATAGTGACAATGACAGTGATGATGATCATACCCAGCTCTCAAACACGCCTAATATATTTGAAGCACTAAATGCATTTTGCATATATTAACTTATTTCATATTAGATAATAGCTACACAAATTTCAAGTTTCTTGATGGTTAATTTTATACCACTGAATTATAACCCATTTCAAAATATTAACAAATTGATTTTAGTGTATTATTATTTTGAACATGTCAACTTGTCCAGAAATCTTGGAGAGAAAGTCTTGGAAAAAAATCATAATGTTAAGGTAAGAACTCAGACTTCTGGGGCAGAGAACATGTATGTACTCAGGTCAGAGAATAAAATACACAAAACAATTCAGTGGGTCTTCACTATAAATAAGCTATTAATAAATGTCTAATGCTACCATTAGAATATCCTTAGAATTTTAGATAAGAGGAATAATAAAATACTGCTTAATTATATATATACGTATATGTGTGTGTGTGTATATATATGTTTGTGTGTGTGTGTATTGCATATTCACTCTATGGCAAAGTCTTTACAAACATTTATTATATTATTCAATCCTCAAAACATCCTTACAGACTTTTTACCATCTAATTACACAAGAGGATAAATGTAGTAGTATCAGCAAGGTTTCACAACTAGCCCCAGGTCTCCCATCTTGTAAAGTGATGTTTGAATTGAGTTTTCTCTGACTCTGAAACCCATGATGTTCTAACTATACTTCCGACTACACTATGCTGGAAGAATGGAAATTGCTGGGATATGGATACAGTTGGTTATTTTCCTTTGCTCTTTTCAAATCAGTCAATTTTAGATTAAGTTGTGTTATCTCTGCTGAGCTACTAACTGGGAGTCCAAACAGTTCTACTCCTTCACAGCTGTGTGAGCAGAGATATATCTCTCAGACTAGATTATTTCCAAGTCTCTATTATCTTGAAAGAGATAGGTTAGAACACATTTATTATATTTGATAAATATAAAAATTATATTTGAGGTATAAGTAGATACATATTTTGACACTCAACGGCATAATCCAGTTTATGGAGAGGAGAAGACAACAAAAAAGAGAAAAACCTCATGAGCAAACACAAACAACATTCAAATCCAAACTAAATATGGGTGGGAGACTCAATAATGATCACTGCACTGACCAAAAGGCAATCCTTAATTTTGCAAAAATATTTGCAGTGTAAATTTTTGGTCAGCTGGGGACTGGCTGCATTTTTCAAAAGCCACAAAATCATAACCATAGGAGTATTTTAAATGTCTATGATAATTACTTAGTGGTTCAGAAACTACAACTATATAATTCAAACTTCCAAGGAAAATGGTTTGTTCTAAGTTTAAAAAAATCATGGAAAGTAAGCAATACAGGATTTTTTTTCAAATCTATTTACAAAAAGAAAAAATATATAAGAAATATGCATTAAAGCTTTTTAATTTATAGTTTATTTTAAACTAATATTTTCCCTTTTCTCAGTAACATACTATTAAATTGTAGAGTGGGATAGTGCTGAGGGAGATATTTACATAATTTAATGTGCTACATGAATTGGTTGGTACAGAGAAAATTCTCTGCCATTTTTATTATTCAAATAATTTGGACAAAGTATCTCTGATCAAATTGTTTGACTAAATTAGGATGTCTATTTCCAACTTGCAAGATAATTTTGAAATGTACACTTCCAACTTGGCACAAGTATTTCAAAGAAAGCCCTCCCTTCCATGATAATTGTATTCCTCATCTCATTCAACAGTTTACTCTACAAATTTGTTCTTCACTAAGCACAAATGAGAGACATGGCTTTGAAGATAAAGGGCAATAATCACAATGAAATTAACAGGCCAGAAAGCTAAGTCTTGTTTACAGCTAAATTTCAGTAGTTTGGAATGGAATGAAGACAACTCTCCAACTTTAGAAAGTTTTACTTACACTTGAAAGTATAAAATAATCTTCCACCACCATAAAATGCTTGCTGAGGAGGTAATTTAAAAGTTAAAAACAAAATGCCTGACACTTTATTTATTTATCAACAAATTAAATAAAGGACAAGAACATCCTGACGTTCCCCTAATTTCTCCACACTTGAAAGATCCCGAGAGTAAGTGGTGAGTATAATTTAGCTCCCATCCTTTGTTGCAAAGGCAGTTATTTAAGCCATGAGACGCATTTGTTAGTTCTAAACATAAAACATAACACATTGGCTTTTTTGAGATTCTGTTGTGATCATCCAACCAGTGCCACTTAGAATCACGCTTGGCTTTGAAGCCAAGAAGAGAAAAAAACACCAAAAATAAGAACTGAATATAAGAGATGGTTTTGGAGCCAAGTCATCAAGAATAAATGTGAAGAAGTCATCTGAAGGCTACATGCAAACATATAAACATTGTACATGTGCACAGTCTTATGTTCCTTGGGTTTAAATAAAATAATAAACAGATGTTGGTAAAAAAGTTTCAGGTCTTGGGTTGGCATCTAAGGGAAAGATAAAAGTGAAGAAACCACAACAAAAAAGAATACTAAGAATTACACAACACAACCTTTAGTTTAAAATGCTGCCTGGCTAGAAAAGAACATTGCAGCCTATTCTAATTTACCACCACACACTTCAGAAAACAGTTAAAGCAACAAAATAAAACAGAAAAAATAAAAACCATATCATTTAAAAATTAAGACTCACAGAAACACTATTATTAATATTGTCAGGCCTCTGAGCCCAAGCTAAGCCATCATATCCCCTGTGACGTGCACGTACACATCCAGATCGCGGGTTCCTGCCTTAACTAATGACATTCCACCACAAAAGAAGTGAAAATGGCCTGTTCCTGCCTTAACTGATGACACTGTCTTGTGAAATTCCTTCTCCTGGCTCATCCTGGCTCAAAAGCTCCCCCACTAAGTACCTTGTGACCCCCACTCCTGCCCGCCAGAGAACAAGCCCCCTTTTTCCTTTACCTACCCAAATCCTATAAAACGGCCCCACCCCTATCTCCCTTCGCTGACTCTCTTTTCGGACTCAGCCCGCCTGCAGCCAGGTGAAATAAACAGCCATGTTGCTCACACAAGGTCTGTTTGGTGGTCTCTTCACATGGACGCGCATGAAAAATATAAGGACCTAAGAGGGTTTTTCATAAAATTCAAAATCTGTTGCTCTGTAGAGAATTATAGGCAAGTCTAATAAAATAGACCAAATCCTCAGACTTCAAAGAAGGGAAGCAAACTCTTTTTCTCCCCTATATTCTCTCCTTGGTTCTGGTATCTTCCATTTATGATTAATAGTTACATTAACATTTTCCAATAATTGTTGCTATAGAGATATCATTGCTAAAACTTTGTCATTTCAAACATAATAAAGTGCTGTCAAAAAGATATTTTTCTTAAGTTTGTTATTAACATTTGGAGTAGAAATTTAAGGGTTTGGCAAGTATTTGTGCAATAGAGGAGATCTGTAAGTCACTGTAGTAACTGCCTGCCAAGTATTTGCTGAAGACCTACAGAAACATAGACCTGCATATACCTAGCAAGTTCTCCAGTCCTGCCATACCTAATAGTACTCAGTTAAATGATAATAGACAAAAATAAATAAATTAAATAAATAAAGGTAATAGTCCATTCTGAATTAGACTACCTTTGATATTGGCTGAAATGTATTAAAAGATCAGTAGACAAGTTCTGAGACCACCACATACAACACTGCCTCCTACCTCTGCCAGGTGGGGAGGAAAATTGTTACATGCTTTAAGGGATTGGTATTTGCAGCAGAGTAGAAGTTATCTGATTGCACCATCAGAAAAACATTTGAACATTCCAAGTTTCTGCCCCTTTACCCCTCTGAAAAATAATAACACTAATAAATAAATAAAAACAAGGAAAAGAAACGGGAAACTTGGGGCGGCAGTGGGAAAATGGGAAACTTGATGTCCCATTGGAGTTGTCAGTATGAATGAGCTAGACAAAGAAGAAGAATCCAGTTAAAAAAGGGTAAGGAAACTACAACAAAACACTTCCAGCAAGTGAGTTCACACAAACACACACACACACACACACACACACACACACAAAGAATATATTTCACAGGAAGTACAACAGAGAGGTAAAGAGAGACCTTCAGAGAATTAGAAGGAGCTGTTCCTTGCGTAAAGAAATGCAATAGAAATTTCAAGCCTAGAGAGGAAAAAATGGTTCCATGTCCATCTAATTTATGTAGGCAAAACTGTATCTTGACAGCAAATATGACTTTTGGAAAATAGAGTTAATTAGACTTTACATTTTATTGTAGACAAACTGAAAATTTTTTTCTACTTACCTCCTTCTTTTTCCTAACGCCCGTTTTGACTGCATCTTTTCAATCAGTTTCTCTCTTTCCCTCTGCTTCTCTCTTCTTCATTCATGGGTCTCTTAATAGAAAATGTAGATAATTTAGTGATCTTCACTATGTATTGCCTGGAAATCAGCGGCCTAAATTCATTATTCCTCTAACCCATTTAATTTCCTTCCAGTTCTACGCGTCTATGTTTAGCTTATAATCTTCCAATTATCATTCAATTTCCTGGTACTTTGATACTAAGAAGAGAGTGCTCTGCATATTAGACATAAAAATAGGGTCACTGGAATGTCTACCCTTCATAAATTCAAATGTTGACCTTTACCTACCCAACTATGTTTCTGAAAACTCACTTGGAAATTTTTGTCACTCAAATCACTAAGGACAAGAAATCCTGCTCTTGGCTGTAGTCAACTGTATTGAGAGTAGATCTATTTTAACCCGGTGCCCTGGATATTATGGTCCTTGATACTCAGGTTCTCCCTTGATGAGCAAACACAGTCTCTGCACTTATCTCAGATGTCTCTCCCTGTGCTATACATTCCTGAAGACAGTGTTTGGCATTTGCTCTCTATATGAAGAGAGCTTCAATTGAGAGGTAGCCTCAGCTTCTCTGCTCAGTTACAGCCAAATGCATATACCTAGTTCCCCTTCTCCACTGGAGCAGAGGAGCCAGTATCTTTTGAATTTGAAATGATCTTATGTGAGTTTCGTTTCAGAGAATTATGTCCTTATGGTACCTCGGGATGAGCTTAGACTGTCTCCTGAGGTAAACATCTTTTTTTTTTTTTAGACAGAGTCTCGCTCTGTCACCCCAGCTGGAGTGCAGTGGCAGGATCTCAGCTCACTGCGGCCTCTGCCTCCTCAGTTCAAGTGATTCTCGTGCCTCAGCCTCCCCAGTAACTGGGATTATGGGCACCCACCACCATGCCTGGCTAAATTTTGTCCTTCTTCACATGGTGGCAGGAAGGAAAAGTGCCTAGCAAAATGGGGAAAAGCCCCTTATAAAGCCATCAGATCTTGTGAGAACTCACTCATAAGAACAGTAGCATGGGGGTAACCACCCCCATGATTCAACTACCTCCCACCAAGTCCCTCCCACAACACATGGGGATTATGGGAACTACAATTCAAGATGAGATTTGGGTGGGGACACAGCCAAAATATATCAGGAGTTCAAACAACTCAGTAGGAAAATAGTCTGGCAAACATATGGCAAACAGACATGTGAAAAGGTGCTCAACATCACTGATCACCAGAGAAATAAAAGCAAATCAAAACTGCAATGAAATATCATCTTACCCCCATTAAAATGGCTTACATCTAAAAGACAGGCAAAAGCAAATGCTGGCAAGGATGTGGAAAAAAGGTAACCCTCATACAATGCAGGTGGGAATGTAAATTAGTACAACCACTTTGGAGAACAGTTTGGAGGTTCCTTAAAAAAAACAAAAAACAAAAAAAAAACCTAAAACTAGAGCTCCATATGATCCAGCAATCCCACTGCTGGGTACATTCCCAAAAGAAATCAGTACATCAAAGAGATATCTGCACTCCTATGTTTGTTGCAGCACTGTTCACCATACCTAAGGTTTGGAAGCAACCTATGTGTTCATCAACAGATGAATGGATAAAGAAAATGTGGTACATAGACATAATGGAGTACTATTCAGCCATAAAAATGAATGAGGTCCTGTCACTTGCAACAACATGCATGAAAGTGGAGGTCATTGTGTTAAGTGAAATAAACCAGGCACAGAAAGATAAACATTGCATGTTCTTACTAATTTGTGAGATCTCAAAATCAAAACAATTGAACTCATGAACATAGGTAGAAGGATGTTTACCAGAGGTTTGGAAGCATAGTGTGGTGTTGGGGGAAGGTGGGGATAGTTAATGGGTACAAAAAACACAGAAAGAATAAATAAGACTTACTATCTGATAGCACAGCAGGATAACTATAGTCAATAAAAATTGCCCATTTTAAAGCAACTTAAACAGTGTAATTGAATTATTTGTAACACAAAGGATAGATGCACAAGGGAATGGATATTCCATTCTCGATGATGTGATTATTATGCACTGGAGGCCTGTATCGAAACACCTCATGTGCCCTGTAAATATATAATCTACTATGTACCAACAAAAAGTAGAAATTTAAAAAAATTAAACATTCTTGGAAACTTAATATGAACTTCCTTTCTGGATTATAGTATTTTTGGAACTGTGCTCTATACCACTTTTTTGCTACAAATGCTTACTCCATTAATTGGTTCATACTTAGCCTAAGGAATTTTGACTGTTGTTTTACAAAGTATTTTTTAATTTCTGGGACACCTATCTGACCATCTAAAGTCAATGGACCATCCAGTTTGACCTTACCAATTACATCTATGTTGGAAGCATCTCCACAGTAGAATTTATAATGTTTATTTGAATGGTCTACATTTCTTAACAAACACAGCAGGTTCACATTGATTGTGATTATAACAAGAATCTAAATGTTCCTGGTTCTTTTGTACAACTTGCTCAGAGAGTTGGACTGTTTGTTATTGTTAAGAATTATTTCAGCTTAATTGTGACCCTAAATTAAAGCTGGTAATTTTAAATAGAGATGCTTTCCATATTAGAATACATATTGAAGGAATTGCTCTTTCCTTTCTCAAAGTCAGTGTTGTTTTCCCAATTTTTCTTACATTAAGTTACTTAACTGGCAACAAGAAAAATCTGGTATAAAACAATTATCGTGCTATAATCTTCTTGAGAAATGATAATTATTATATCTAATCAACATGACTCATGTTACTATGGATACTTGAAGTTATGTGATACAGTATATACTTGTTTTCCTGGAGATGAAGTACATTATTAACATTCCGGTTGAAGTTCTTTAAATGAACTAAGCAGTTATCCCCAAAGACACTGTATTTATGAACTCACTTTATATTAAAATATCATGTACATATTTATCTATTTTGTCCATATTAAACATGGGCATGTCATTTCCTTAGCCCAGAATTTTTTATGAAACTGTTGGGACATTTCATGGAAAACTGACTTGACATCTCAGAATTACATTATTCTAAAATAAGTCTTCCTTGATGTTACTCTCAATGATTTAGGCAGTGCATTAATATCATAGTTTCCCTTAATATTGTGTCATAGCTATATAAAGCAATATGTGATTGAACAAGGGGTTCCTCATTTGAATTTTGATGAGCTATTGCTGTTGCCTTCACATTGATCTACCACGTGGCCATAAGCTCCCTTTGCGATTTACTTTGCCATTTCTTTTCTCCATATAGCCTTTTCTCAAACTGAGAAAAACTGTTTGCCACTGTCTGCCTACAACACACATTGTTTTACCTTCATGACTTTGCTTGGTTTTCCTGCCTACATAAAATACCTTCATTCACTCAATCTGAAATTCACCAAGTTCTACAATGTACTAAACAGTGTTCCAGCTTGAGAACAAAGAAGGAAGATGCTCAAGATCCCTGCTCTTAAGGAGTTTGCCTTCTAGTAAAGGAGATACACAATAATCAAATAGACAAATACATACTGTAATTTCAGATAGAGAGAATGCAATGAAGACAATAAAGCACAGGAATAAATCAGAAGAAAACAAAGCAGAGGAGATGAGAATTTCTGGTCTAGAATGACTGTCAGGAACGGCTGCTCTGAAAGAGTGAGAATTATACAGAGGGCTAAATTGTAAAGGAGGGCTAAGTAGATGTAGTAAGTCAGGGTTCTCTAAAGGGACCAAACCAATAAGACATATGTATATATGAAAGGGGTTTATTGGGAGAATTGACTCACGCGATCACAAGGTGAAGTCCCACAATAGGCTGTCGGCAAGCTGAGGGGCAAGGAAGCCAGTCCGAGTCCCAAAAGCTCAAAAGTAGGGGAGCCAACAGTGAAGCTTCAGTCTGTGGCCGAAAGCCCAAGAGCCCCTGGCAAACCACTGGTCTAAGTCCAAGAGTCCAAAAGCTGAAGAACTTGGAGTTCAATGTTTGAGGGCAGGAAGCATCCAGCATGGGAGAAAGATGAAGCCTGGAAGACTCAGCAGGTCTGCTCTTTCTACCTCCTTCTGCCTGCTTTATTCTTAGCCATGCTGGCAGCTGATTAGATGGTGTCCACCCAGATTGAGGGTGGGTCTGCCTCTCCCAGTCCACTGACTCAAATGTTAATCTCCTTTGGCTACACCTTCACAAGCACATCCAGGAACAATACTTTGCATCCTTCAATCCAATCAAGTTGACACTCAATATGAACAATCACAGCAGGGTAAGGACTGAGACTGAGGAGGGAAGAGCTTGCTAGGCAGAAAGAGAAACATGAATAAAGCTTGTAAGACAGAAACAAACTTGATATGGTGGATAACCAGTCAGAAGGTCAGTGTAGCTGTATTCATAGTTAAAGAGAGAAAGAGTCAAGGGAAATATGTGGTATAAAATCTTGAAGGCCACACTAAGGAATTTCCTTTTTATTGCGAGTATAAATGAAAAGCTTTAGCAAGAGACTTAAGCAATTTGATTGACATTCTTAAAAGACCATGTTCATTGCTGTGTACAGAATAGAATGGTTGGGAGAAATATTAAAATATGGTAAGAGTCCAGACAGAGATGATGGCAGCGTGAATTTAGGATGATAGCCAAAGAATTAGTAAGAGGTGATTAGATTTAAGCTAGGCTTTGGGGATAGAGCCCACATGGCTTGTTGGTGTATTACATGTGGGAATGACAAAAATAGACTTAACCAGAATTATGTTGATAATTATGTTGATTGTTTTGCCTGAGCAACCAGATGAATGACAGTTCCCATAACTGCCAGAGGAGGAGTATATTTTGTGGATGGGAACCACGGTTCTATTTTGTGAATGTTTATGAGAGATCAATTAGCCATTACCTCAGTATAAATAATTATATATCTATATTCACAAATATCTAGATGGAACCTCTCTCTCTCTTTCTCTCTCCCCCCGACCTCCCTCTTGTTTTCTGTCATCCATTTCCACTTCCTACTAAATTGTTAATTTGTATATATGTCTTATTAATCTGTATTAGAAAGTATTAACTTCAAGTCTTCAATAAATGAAAGTCAGCCAATATGTGAAGAAGATGAAGAAGAAAAAAAATGATGGATTCATCTAAAAACACAAAGATATTTGATATGACTGGCTCTCAGGAAGACCTAGAATCATGTCATTGAAGTCCATGAATTCTTTAACTAAAATTCCCTTTGTGCATTCGCCTCATTGTTCTTTATTAGAAGACCAGAAAATTCTTGTCTGTTTTTTAAATAATATTTCTACTGCAAATGTGGAAGATGTTTGCTCACAGCTGCAAAGTGTGCATATTCAAAAGCCTTCAAAAATAGATTCAGAAAATGAATCCATTTCTGTTTCAATTATAAATTCTTAGAGATAGAATTATTTTGCTTTGGTTTTCATCAGTTGCTGATCCCTGGCCCAGATAACACTGTAAATGCTTTATGGTTGGAGATATGTTTCCTGGAACTGTGTAAATCCTCTGAAGTTTAGTGAGTATGCCATGGGTAATTTTTTATGGGACAGAACAAATGAAAGAATAAACTAACGATCAAATGAATGAATGGATGAATGAAAGGCTTCAGGGTATGTATAATTGGGGAGAAACATGGGAAATTCACTATACTAAAAGGCAACAGAGTGAAATTTTAAATCCTTAATTATGTTCTAAGTTCCACTTACAGTAGAAAGTAGCAGTCTGTTAGAGACAATTACTTCTATCACAATACCAGACTAACTAACAGTCATACTTAGAACGGTGGATGCAAAGAAGCCTGAAATAACTAAATTACAAAAAAGGATGAGGAGTTCTTCATAGGTAAGCAAAAAGCAGGGGCTTCTTTTGTACTTGGAGCAATATTTTAGTCTTAGCATGAGCAGCAGAGGGAGAGGCAGGCCTGATAATCAGAAAATAGTCCATGAGACCACGAGAAACCAGCTGAAATTTAAGCACTGTATGGGTTGACATGATGGATTGGAATTTAAAAGATCTCCAAAAGCAAACATAAATCTCTCATCTGACAATGATCTCTCATGAGTATTTTGCTGAGTATATATCAATGGGAAGAGTGAGAGAACAGAGAAAAACAGTACAGGCTCACATAGTGCCTGAGCCCGGACACTGCTAGAGTTGAATAAAGAGGTAAACTAAAACTCACGCTGCAACTCAGCTGTGTGCCCGTTCAAATCTTGGTAGGATCAAAATGCTCAACCCCCTTTGCTACAACACAGGGTGTTATGGACTGAGAGGAAGGAGAAATATAGATCTCTTTAATTGCAGTTTAAACTTTACACTAGTTAAATGACCCAATGCTAGTCTAGCTCTACTCATGGTAAAATCTAAACATTCAATCCTTCACCCTAGCTGCCTGAAAGGGAAAAGGTATGGAAACTCTGGAAGAAAGAAAACAAAACCTGTTGTCTAGTTCAGTCTATTCTATATTTTTGTTCAAAATGTCCTGCATATAAGCAGAAATCAAAAGACATACAAAAAGAGGTTAAACTGACCCAAAAATGAAAAAAAAAAAAACAGCAAATACGGGCATACACAAAGATGAACTGGATGTTTTAGTTAATACACAGGACTTAAACAAATCTAAATATGTCAAATAACTAACAGGCAAATAATTTACCGAATGGTAAAAGCCCTAAAAAATGACAGAATTGAAATTCTAGGAGAAAAAAATGCAATATCTGAAATTAAAAATTTATCAGATGATTTTAAACAGATGATTTTAAACAGATTTTAAATAGACATGTTAGGACCATGTCAAATAATCTAAACATATAACTGGTGTCCCTGAAGCGAGAGAGCATGGGCAAGGAAGTATTTGAAGACATACTTGTGAAAATTTTTCTATATGTAGTGATTGAAATCAGCACACATCTCAGAAGCTCAGGAAATCCCAAACACGATAAATACAAAAATAAAACCAACAAATAAAAACCCATAATTCCTACATGTAGCATAGTCAAATGCAGAAAATCATAGATAAGAAAAATATTTTGAAAGAAATCTGAGAAAAGTAGACACATTACATTTAGGAAATAACAATAAGAGAGATAACTGATGTCTTATAAACCCAAAGCATTTTCAATCGAATTTTGTATTTGATTAGCTAATACAAAAGTGTCACTGCATTTTTTTTTTTTTTTTTTTGAGACAGAGTTTTTCTCTTGTTGCCCAGGCTGGAGTGCAATGGCATGATCTTGACTCACGGCAACCTCCTCCTCCCGGGTTCAAGTGATTCTCCTTCCTCAGCCTCCTGAGTAGCTGGGATTACAGACACCACCACACCCAGCCAATTTTTTGTATTTTTGTATTTTTAGTAGACATGGGGTTTCACCATGTTGCCTAGGCTGGTCTCAAACTCCTGACTTCAGGTGACCCACCGGCCTCGGCCTCCCAAAATAGTGGGACTACAGGTGTGAGCCACCTTGCCTGGTCTCATTGCATTTTTAACTGTATTTATTTATAAAAAGTAATAGAGACATAGCCCAAATTAGATGAAATTGTATCTTGGGAATCTGTCTCACTTTTTCCCCCATTATCTCCCTCCCACCAAAACATACAAAATGGGTTCAATATATGCAGATGCTTATTAAAGAGAGATGATAGTTCATATTATAATAAGTTCAGGAGACTGGTGGCAGAGAGAAAAACATCAAATGCCTTAGTTATGCTTTCACTGTAGTCATTAATTTAAGCTTTTAATTGAAAGATATTGCCTTAATTTTTCCATTGAAGAAAGATGGAAATATTTGAAAATAATGAAACTTCAGGTGGAGAAATTGTAGAACTTAGAATCAATGGCTATAGGTTTTAGCATTTTAATGGTGGTTTTCACGTTTTGACATTAACGTTATTTTTTTCAGGGGACAGTGTTGACCATGCTATGAATGATAGTATATTTTATAAGGTGGAAATCTGGAGTTCTATGCTTTTTTTGCATAGTGTTTTTGAAAATAATAATAACAAGTGACGTTGTTTGTTCTCAGCCTGTTACCTTCTAGGAGTAGAAAGTAAAACAGTGAATTCTCATTTTGATTTTTTATTTTTTCATATAAATATGCAAAATTGGGCATTCTTTACTCCAAGAGAGGACGGGAGTAATTTTATTGTTTTACCAATGACGTATTGGAAGCATTATGTGTTTTGATGGAATGAGCTATATTTGTGAAACGTGGTTTTTAAATCTATAATATAACAAATTTGGTTATAATCTGTGCTTTAACAGATTATGAAGCATTCTACTTTTTCTTTAAACAAGATTATTCCTCTAGAGCTGTTTGCTATTCCAGATATATTCTATGTAATCATTAACTTTGCACAGTATTTCAACTGGATCAAGAATTAAATAGACCATTTCATTTAGAAATTTGTTGTTAAATTTTTAATTTTCATGATCAAAAATCAAATGTATAAATAAATATGTAATTAAATAATTTAGGAAGACTTGCTATTATGCTCCCAACCACCACCAAGCTTGTCTAGTGTTTTGTAGACTGAATTTCATTATATTTATATATATGTAATTCACTATATATTATGACTAATTTTTGTGTTTCAAACTTTACCCTTCTTCAATTATCTAGGTTATGAAAACTAAAACCAGCACTGTCACCAAAACAAAATAATTATTAGAGGGCCTAGAGAGAAATATATAAAAAAATAAACAAAAGTAAATTAAAATATATGAACAGTTATGGATATGGGGAAATACAAATAGAAAAATAAAGTAAAATAAAGGACAAAGTTCACAGGAAAAAAAAATGTCAAATCAGCTTTTACATCTAGTGGTTGATTACAAATATGGCTATGAGAATCCCACCAATCAAAACAAAGACTTAAATAGGGTCATAGTGTCCATTATTTAAAAATAAACTTTGAAGAGGAGTACAGATTTTGGAACAACACAATTAGAAAGAAATACTGCAGAATGGCACTAAGAGAGGAGCCACTGCTGTATAGTTACAGATGATACACTAGAGTAAATCACAGTATAGTGGACCCTGTCTTTCCCATACAACAGAGGGCTGTATTTTTCTAATATTCCTCAGAAAAGCAAAGAAGTGTACATTCAATGCTCAGCTCAGTAAAAGCAATTCTATGAGGAGCCAAAATTATTGGGGGAAGAATATAGACCTCCCCTAGACTAATGTAATTCAAAGATAAAATTTTGGGCCGGGTGCAGTGGCTCATGCCTGTAATATCAGCACTTTGGGAGGCCGAGGCGGGCAGATCATGAGGTCAAGAGATCGAGACCATCCTGGCCAACATGGTGAAACCCCGTCTCTACTAAAAATACAGAAATTCGCGGGGCGTGGTGGCACGTGCCTGTAGTCCCAGCTACTTGGGAGGCTGAGGCAGGAGAATCACTTGAACCAGGGAGGCAGAGGTTGCAGTGAGCGAAGATCTTGCCACTGCACTCTAGCCTGGCGACAGAGTGAGACTCCATCTCAAAAAAAAAAAAGAGAGAGAGAGAGATAAAATTTTAAGTACTTGGTGAAATTGAAGCAGTCCATGCATTATAGGTAATCATCAATAGACTCATATTTAAGTTTATTTTTATCAATGGTATTATTTTTAATTGACCATTTGACAAAACATTCTTGAATGAGACTATATTTTCTGGCTGGAATATGAAAGAGGGGAAACTATTCCCAAATAAAGGCAAATCCATATTCTTTGACTATCAAATTAGTTGATAATAGAGTTAATATCAACTTATAAAATAAAGTGCTTATAGGTGTTAGGACAGTATACTATGCTGAAAGATAAAGAAATGCTGACTCTCAATGCGTCAGCACAGTAAGAATTTCTTTCGAGGCCAATCTGGAAGCTTTCCTAGTGGATTGCTTCCAAGACCATGTTGCTACTGGGCCCGATGGAAGTCTTGGCTTTCATGGACACTATGGAAGAGGAAGAGGAGTCTGAAAGATGCTGAAGAATGGTTTTTACATGTTGCCCAGTAGGATTAACACCACTTCGGTCCACATTTTACCTGCTAGGAAAATTGTTCTAACAAAAATACAAGGAAGGCTGGGAGGGTAAGAAATGTAGTCTTCCAGTGGGTTCTGGGAAGAGGAAACAGTGTTGGGAACATAAAGTGTTTTCTTTGTTGTTGTTCTTAACCAGAAAATGTGTCTGAATAGATTTTTAACTCACTTCTAAAAAAACTAAGATGACTTCGATGCATAGATGATGTTGATGAACAAGTCCCCATAGATCCACATTAACAGGTTTCTATAACCATGGCTACAATACATTTTCCCCAAAGAGGTTTTTGCATAACAGAAAAGAGACGAAATGTTGTCTCAGTAACCCCTCCAAAAAATAGAATATGTAATTTTTCTAGTATATTTAGGTAATAAATCAATAATATTAATGTGTAACTGAAAATAAAACACATTGCTATAAACTTCAGTTTGGCTTTCTTCATAAACTGAGATACAAAGATGTCAATGTAAGTTTTGTACTTCTAATCACTCTTATAAAGCTTATATCAGTAACCAAAACAGCTATTAAAAAATGTCAACATTATGTTAGGAGATTCTGATCTGCCCACTTTTCCAAGTAGTTTATTGCAGAATAGTGTTTAAAATAAGAGCGGAGATTTCCAAATAACTATTGTTAATGTTCTGGTAGGGAATCGTGCTTCTTCAGATACTGTAAAGAATAAAAAATCTTGCATCCAAATAATGGATAATATGAAATTTCCAGAAAGCACCAGTGATAACTGATTTATCAAAAGCGAGGAGTATTCATTACTGAAATGTCTCAAAATTTCATGAGATCATTGTGACCACAGAGCTCACTATTTACCATAGAAAAAATGGCCGTCCCATTTTACTGTCTTTCTTAAGGGTTTGCAGGTTTTCTACAATAACCTTCATGACCAAACACAAAGAAATTAAATACATACATACATACAGTAAAATGCTCATCATCACAGGCCATCAGAGAAATGCAAATCAAAACCACAATGAGATACCATCTCACACCAGTTAGAATGGCGATCATTAAAAAAGTCAGAAAACAACAGGTGCTGGAGAGGATGTGGAGAAATAGGAACACTTTTACACTGTTGGTGGGACTGTAAACTAGTTCAACCATTGTGGAAGTTGGTGTGGTGATTCCTCAGGGATCTAGAACTAGAAATACCATTTGACCCAGCCATCCCATTACTGGGTATATACCCAAAGGCTTGTAAATCATGCTGCTATAAAGACACATGCACACGTATGTTTATTGCGACACTATTCACAATAGCAAAGGCTTGGAACCAACCCAAATATCCAACAATGATAGACTGGATTAAGAAAATGTGGTACATATACACCATGGAATACTATGCAGCCATAAAAAATGATGAGTTTGTGTCCTTTGTAGGGACATGGATGAAGCTGGAAACCATCATTCTCAGCAAACTATCGCAAGGACAAAAAACCAAACACCACATGTTCTCACTCATAGGTGGGAATTGGACAATGAGAACACATGGACATAGGAAGGGGAACATCACACACCGGGGACTGTTGTGGGGTGGGGGGAGGGGGGAGGGATAGCATTGGGAGATATACCTAATGCTAAATGAGTTGATGGGTGCAGCACACCAACATGGCACATGTATACATATGTCACAAACCTGCACGTTGTGCACATGTACCCTAAAAGTATAATAATAATAAAAAAAGAAAATAAAGGAAAAACCAAAAAACAAAAAAAAAAGAAAGAAAGACAACCTGACAAATATTCCCATAATCCCAACATTCAGAGGCAACTGTGGAATTTTGTTTTATCTGATAATTTTTTCATAGTTTACATCGTGATGATAGATATTATTGCTGGCTCCTAAATATTGGCTAAACATTTTGACAAAGAATTTCCTATTTCATTTATATAATTATGTAAATATTACTCCTGTGTAAGAGACACCATATATCATAATTTACTTAACCATCCTCCTAATATTGGACATTTAGATATTAGGATATTTTACTATATTTATTAAGATAGTATTCATCATGGTAGTCTTATGAGAGTTCCCAGATGAAAAATTCTGGGTCCAAATGTATCAGCATTTTCAAAGTTTGGAGTACCTATTGCAAATTTGTGTTCTATTCATGTTTCTCTATCTTCTCTCTGGAATTCCTAGTGGGTTTTTTTGGCTCTTAAGAAGTGTACAAATCTTAAACTGGTTAAAATATCTTTTCTGTCCTTTAGGTGCAGAACTTTTCATGCTCTACAGTTTATAACAAAAGTTTGTATATGATTTAATTTATGCTTCATAAACATGCTTTGCAAGATTAGGATGATATTATTTCCATTTTCACAAGCGAAGGAAGAGGGATGTTAAATTTCTTGCTTCTGGTTCCAAGACTAATAAATAACACGGTCGGAATTTGGATCTCTAGCTCCTGCCTCCTACTCCAAGGCATTTTCAATTACGATAGGACTACAAGGTATAGTGATTCATGGGAATTCAAACTGTTTACCTTTTGTAATAAAATGCAGCAACATTGGTCCTCACTTTCAAAAGGGAAAGCAACATTATGTCAGATATGATTTAAATGTAATAACAACTGCTTAACTTGCAAGGCAGTGAGAACATGTGGTACCCTTTTATAGAGACTTTGTTTTTAAAAGTTAAACTACATCAGCTTTTTCTCAGCGCTGTATCTGTGATTCCCGAGGAAAACTTAGAATCAAAAACGCTTTTTAAAAAATCAAGTACTTTTTTTTTCATGTTTTGTAGATTTTCTTTGAATTGTGAAAAGAAAATCCTTCTAACGTATGCATAAACAAAACCAGCTTTTGTCACTAGCACCCTGTAGAAACCCAAGATGAACATTAAATTACTCTGAGCACATGGCTACTTGCCAGTAATTATTCAATACGAGGTTTAACCAAGTGTATCTAGAATATGAGGACCATGTATACACAGCTAAAGGGAAAGACGTGGTTAAAGTAATTATCTGGCATATTCCCACAGTATGGACAGTCAGTCTGGCTCATTCGGAGTAAAGAATAATGACCGAGCACATTTCTTTTGCCAAAAGGAGTTATTTGGCAAATCACCTCAATGTGCCTCAACAGATGAACATTAAATCTACAAGATGCCAAAAGAGAAAGAAAACATGACTTCCTTGGGTATTGGAAAGCCTGCAGAAAGCACAGCCTACGGGAAGGACGCTCTAGAAGAGAATGGGCTAGAATCAGGGAAACTGCCTTAACATTCTGTGATCCTTTCTGGGGCTTGTGAATTGAGATTCTAGAGTCTCTTCGTCATACCTCTCTTACTGCTTCATCATTTCTTCCCATGAAGCTTCTGGTCTTTTCTTAAATGTCTTTTTTGCTAGGTAATGAAGATCTAACTTCTCTATAGACAGTGGTCCCCCTCTATCCAAAACCCCTAGTGGATGCATGAAACTGCAGATAATACCGAACTTTATACACAGAGTCCCTAACTTATGAGGGTTCAACTTAATGATTTTTCCACTTTACTATGGTGCAAAAGCATTCTGTTTTTCTCTTCAGTACAGAATTCAATGAATCATGAGATAGTCAACATTTTATTATAAAGTATTCTTTGCCCTAGATGATTTTGCCTAACTAGGCTAATGTAAGTGTTCTGAGCACATTTAAGGTAGGCAAGATTGATCTATGATGTTTGGTAGTTTAGGTGTATTAAACGCATTTTTACTTAATAATTTCAGTGTATAATGGATTTATCTGGACATAACCCCATCATAAGTCAAGCAGCATCTGTATACATGTTTATTTTGATCTGATAAACAAGACACAATTAAGTGACTAACTTGAAGATGGCCCATACAACATGGATATGCGGGACAAAGGGATGCTTTACATCCTGGGCAGGACGGAGTGGTGTGGCATGAGAGTTCATCACACTCTTGAGAATGGCACACAATTTAAAACATATGAATTACTTATTACTGAAATTTTCTATGTAATGTTTTTTTACTATGGTTGATCACAAGTAACTGAAACCATGGAAAGCAAAATTGAAGATGAGGGGTGGGATACTATAATTCCAGAGCTATAGTTTATCTGATGACTAATTCAATACATTATATAATCCCATCTTGAAATTTTCTTTTGTGCTGCACATAAGAAGAGACTGATTGAGAAGCACCAGGCTTGTTTACTGTTGACAACAATAATACATATCTCAGTACCCTCTGCGGATAATCAATACCCTTTCTAGTTTGTTTTCCCCTTTGTTCCAATTTCCTTGAGATTATTTTTAAATGAAGCAACACTGATTTACTATCATATAAATGTTACTTCTATGGACAAGAGTGTTATTCATTCTAAACATAAGAATTTTCTTAAGTTCAGGAGTATATCAGCAGATTTGTTACATGAGTAAACTTGTGTCATGGGGGTTTATTGTACAGATTACTTCATCACCAAGGTATTAAACCTAGTACCCAATAGTTATTTTTCCTGATCCTCTCCTTCCTCCCACCCTCCACTCTCTGATAAGACCCAGTGTGTGTTGTTCCATTCCTAAAACCAAAACAGAAATGATGGCTATTCTTTTTCTTGCTTAACTGACAGATAATATTTCTGAAAGATTCCATTAGATTTTTCTTTGGCTGTTTATTTTGATATAGCAGATTGATCAATGGGTTGGATTCTACAGGCAATTTCTCCAGGCTCATATATTTCCTTCACTGTTTATTAACTATATGACTTATCTTTCTTGGTGGTAATTTTCTCATTCTCATAAGAGAGATAATGGTTTCTGCCATGTAGGAATTCTGTGAAGAATATATAAGATGATTTATACAAAAGCTTAATATTGAGCCAGATGCATGGAAATGTGTTAATACATATTCATGATTAGAGGTAGTAGCATGTCAAACATACACACTCGCTAGACTTAGATTTATTGTGGGATCTTACGCAAATTACTACTTCATGTTACTTGTTCTAATTTTCCTTGTCTATAAATTAGAGAGATAGTAATGACCCCATAGATAGGTGATATGAGAACTAAATGAGTCAATTCATACTAAGTGTTATTATAACATTTTGTGGCTCATGCATGGTAAGTACTCAAAAAATTAACTGCTGCAAATATTATTTATCCATCCATGCTAAAAGAATTTTCCAGGATAAACGGAAAACAAGACGAAAAAACAGGAAACTCTACATTAAAAAGGGCATATTTGTGAATTATTTGTAAACACTGCTGCATTTGAATGTATAGAAAAATAAAATTTAAATATCTCAACACAGAAAACATCACTAAACATAATGTCAGTGTCTCCCATGGGGTGAAATGTAAAAGACTGTAGATGATTATCAGCCCCAATCTCTGCCTTCTGCTTCCAGAACTCAATTTTAGGTTTGAGTTATAAAAAGCATTTAGAAGCACTTTAAAGCCCACTTTTCTTTTTTTTTTCTATTTATGTAAATTAAAAATATATGCATATAGGCTGGGAGCAGTGGCTCACACCTGTAATAAAGCTCACTTTTCTAATTTCCATTGTCTATTTGCCCAAATTTTAAAGAAAGGCTAATGAGTTCTATTTTTTTTTTTTATCATAGTGTACTTTTTGGCTCCTGACTGTACCCAGGCAGATATGCCTATCTTTTGAGATTCAAATGAGGATTCAAACTCTATTCCTTTTGAAGAGAAGTTCCTAATATTGTTTCTAGCCCCTACCTGGAATCAGGGGTTGGGACACACATTTTGCTTTCCCAATCCCTATTCGGTTTTTAGATCCCGGTTCTACTGTCTTGATTCAGTGTGTAGATGGTCTGCCACCTTGGTATACAGCCAAATATTAAGTTCTTGTTTCTCATCTCCAAGTCCACTTTTTAATATTCTGCCCTGTGATATTGTGCAGACCATATTTCTCCTTTGCCATCTGCCTGTCTGCTACATATAATGCAGTAGATGGCACTAAGGGGAGACTGGAAGCCTGGGGACTCATGAGTTCTGTTTGCTCCCTGTTGTTAAAAGCACCACTCCCATAACAGGTCTTCATGCCAACAGCAGCATGTACTCACACAGCTCCCAGCTTCATCTGGCTTGCTGGGTCTAGTTTCCACCTTCATTAGAACTCCCAGAACCCGCTCAGAAGGTTCCCTCAGAGCTATCCACCAGACAGCACCCCTTCTTAGACGTCTGAGTAGAAGCTTTCACTTTCAGGAGCTCTCTCCTATGAATTCTAGAGGTATGGAGCTGAAATACGTCCTCTTCTCCTTGTGTAGGTCCCAGCTGCCCAGTCTTCTCCTCCAAACTTCTAGTATTTGAAAATGTTCAACAACTTCTTCCCTTTCTTCCTGCATCTTGACCAAGATGGCCTTCACATTCCTCTCACCTTCACTAAACTTTAGACAGATTACATCATGACCATAAGCTTCTGACCTCTCTTTTCTTAGAGTATTTACAGTAAAATACTAGCAACGGTAAAATCTTTCTCTGCCCCTTTTACAGCCCAGAAATGTCTTTCTCAAAGACATGGGAGCCACCCCCTTTGAAATCTAATCATTAAGGAAGACAAGTGTCCCTTTTTCCCATTCTTTGTGGGAGGGTAGGCGGCTAACCTGAACAAACAACAATTAGCAAACACAGATGCTCTAACGACTTGACCAACTTCCCCTTCCAGCTACATTTCCACTAGTTTATCCCAGAAATTAAAAACCCTCCTATTTCTGCAGAAACAAAAAGTGGGAGGGCTGAATTCAGTCCTGTTCTGAAGTCTCCCTCCTTTATTGCTATAACCCGAATAAAGTCTGTCTTGTCCATGTTAACAAGTGTTTAGCACAATTTCACTTTGATAATCTTTTCTGACAGTATCATCTCAGTGTTTCCCCTTTGCCTTTTCTATCCTCCCATACCAAATAATTGATTCTTTGTATTAAATCCTGTTAAAAACAAACAAACAAACTAATATTCCGTCTGGAACCTGCCCGATACGGTGTGCCATCCTTTTTTAGCTGTCAACAGGTGGAGGACTCATCATTTATCACTTACTTCTAAAAAAAAAAAAAAAATTCCCCCCCCCCCCAAAAAAAATTAAAACACAGAAAACTAAACTGATAATAAAAGGCTGTTTTATATAATAAGGTTTAAAAATATGGGGTGGGTAGAAATGTTTGTATCATACTGATGCCAAGAAAATAAAACTGAAGAGTATCAGCGATATGGTTTGGCTCTGTGTCCCCACCCAAATCTCCTGTTGTATTGTGATCCTGGTGGGAGGTGATTGGATCGTGGGGGTGGTTTCTAATGGTTTAGCACCATCGCCCTAATGCTGTCTCATGATAGAGTTCTCATGAGATGTGGTTGTTTTATTCCTATTTCAAAGTCTTTAAACTTTTTTTCATTAAATATTTTGTTTACTAAACTAAAATTACTTATGCATACAAACATTTCTGAACTTCCATAGTACTTTCAGTTAGTATCACATAATTTACCACTTGCTTGGACACTCCTAATTATATTATTGATTCTTGCATATATCTTGCCTCACACACTATGTTGTAATTCCTCATTTTAAAATTGCCTCCTATTCATTCCATTGGTGAGGAAAGGATTTCTCTATAGTGTTATGGGAATGGCAAAATACTAATACTTCACACTGGACAAGTGAGATCAACAGCAGTGTATTAGTCACATATACTCACAGACCAGGGGAGAGGGACACCATGCCACACACAGCCACATGGAGTGTGCGCTCAGCAAAAGAGCTCCTTCATTCTCTCTCTTCCTCCAGCTCCCACCATGTAACATGTGTTGCTTCCCCTTTGCCTTCTGCCATGATCATGTATTTCCTGAAGCCTCCCCAGCCATGCTTCCTGTACGGCCTGTAAAACTGTGAGTCAATTAAACCTCTTTTCTTTAGAAATTACCCTGTCTCAGGTATTTCTTTACAGCAGTGGGAGAATAGACTAATGCAACTAGTTCTGTGCTTCAAAGTCCCTTGCTCATTTCAATAAACTTGACCTCTAGGTTCTAATATGGATAATTAGCTTGCTTTTCCCCTCCCTTCAGGAGGACAACAGAATACACAAATATTTTCTGATGCAGCGCAAGTCAGCTCTTGGATTTGTTCTGCTCCTGCCTTTGTCTCATCTGGCACCTCTTTTCTCACCTAAATGACTAACCACTGCATTTACCTAAAGAAAAACAGAGTCCCAAAAGGGAATTTTAAGAAGACAAACCTGGCCAGGCGTGGTGGCTCATGCCTGTAATCCCAGCACTTTGGGAGGCCAAGGTAGGCAGATCACAAGGGCAGGAGCTCGAGACGTAGTTGGCCAACGTGGTGAAACCCCATTTTTACTAAAAACGTACAAAAATTAGCTACGCATGGTGGCGGGCGCCTGTAATCCTGTGTCAGGAATTGGTTCCTTCCAGTGGGTTCTTGGTCTCGCTGACTTCAAGAATGAATCCACGGACCCTGGCGGTGAGTGTTACAGCTCTTACAGATGGTGTGTCCAGAGTTTCTTCCTTCCAGTGGGTTCGTGGTCTTGCTTGGCTTCCGGAACCAAGCTGCAGACCTTCACAGTGAGTGTTACAGCTCTTAAACGTGGCAGGGCCGGAGTTGGAGTTGTTTGTTCCTCCCCGTGGGTTCTGGTCTCACTGACTTCAGGAGTGAAGCCCCAGACCTGGGCATTACAGCTCATAAACTTAGTGGGCACCTAGAGCAATCAGCAGCCAGACTTATTGTGAAGAGTGAAAGAACAAAGCTTCCACATTCTGCTAGGGGACCCAAGCAAGTTGCCCAGGCTGGTTGAGGTGGCCAGCTTTTATTCCCTTATTTGGCCCCACCCACATCCTGCTGATTGGTCCCTTATACAGAATGCTCATTGGTCCATTTTACAGAGTGCTGATTGGTCCGTTTTTACAGAGTGCTGATTGGTGCGTTTACAAAACTTTAGCTCGACGCAGAGCGCTGATTGGTGCATTTACAATCCTTTAGCTAGACAGAAAAGTTCTCCAAGTCCCCACCCGACCCAGAAGCCCAGCCAGCTTCACCTCTCAATCCCAGCTACTGGGGAGGCTGAGGCGGGAGAATTGCTTGAACCCAGGAGGCAAAGGTTGCAGTCAGCAGAGACGGCGCCACTGCACTCCAGCCTGGGCGACAGAGCTCCGTCTCGGGGGGAAAAAAAAAAAAAAGACAAACCCATACAAATAAACTCTTGTCAATAAGCAGGCAATTCACAGAAATGTTTGATTTGTTGTATAGTCACTATCATTACCCTTACCCTCCAGCTGTTTTTTAAAGGAATGATGAAGCAACTACTGTGGTTTTAAGCAAAGTGGTGGAGAGAAAGTTCTATTGCTATAAAAAGAAAACCAGTCACAATGTTTCTAAATTTTGCTTCAGTTGTGCTTTAGACCAGTTGATATAAAGCAAAAAATAAAACGTTAAAAATCTTGTAAGCTCTCGGCTCCCTTTTTTTGGTAATGCAATTTATGTTTCCTCTTAGCTCCTCTAACTGCTGTGATTTGAAACCTTTCTAATTGACTTCTTAGAATCACCGTGGTGCAATTTAAAGGCAACATTTTGCAGTTAAGAAAAAGAAAGAGGAATTGAAAGGGGTGTATTTATAACCTTGGTCATAGGTATCCTAGGAGTGTTTCTGTTTTAATAATTAATTAGCTTATCAGTTCAGAAATGTTAAAATGACTTTTGGAATCCTGTGCTCTGAAGCTGTTGGCACCATGCATATTTCCTGACTGGTTTCCTTAACTTTCCATTGAATTTTTTTCTCCTTGAAACTAAAATCATTTAATGAAATCTGACACTTCAAGGCCACCGACTGATCTTCTGAGCAGAAGGTATGCAAAGGTGGCCAACTTCATTAAATTATAGCCCCTGTCCAGGTTAGGAGACATCATTTTAAGGCAGACAAAGTGCAATGCAGCCAGGAATGCTAAGAGACATAACTAATAACATAGAAAAAAAGAATAATGTGAAAAAATCTGAAGGGAAAATAAGTTCAACACACAGAAAAGTGAAGATCAGGAGGTGGGGGAAGGAAAAGGCACACGTGCAATTTTGTTCCCACTTGTTCTATTTCCTTTATGTTCCCTAGTTCAGGGCCACTGGTAGAAGATTGATACATTTATTAATTCTCCATGCAGAAAGACAAACAGTGGACTCAGTCCATTGGGATTGCAATGTCTGGCCCCAGGTGTCCCTGTGGAATCTTCCAAAGTTGCCTAATGGTCTTTGACCAACACAGACCCATTTAAGAAATACAGTATCCATTTTCTAAAATCTCACTCAGACTCATACATAAAATAAAATCATGCTGTCACAATGCACTGGCTTTCCCTCCAGTTCTTCCTTTTATTTCTCTTGGTTAATTTAAAACACAGGGCTGGGAAAAGAAAAGGAAGAAAAAACAATTTAAAGGATGTTCAAGATAGTCTTTGTAATATGATTTTTTCCCATTCAAATTGCAAGAATGTAGTCAAATACACCATTTATTTCTGTATAAAGTGGTAATTTTGCTTTCTCTTTTAGAAACTATTTGAGCAAACATTCATACAAATATTTTCACTTATTTTACCTGTTTTTTAAACTTAAGACCTGACTGAGGGCACTGCAAATTATGGAATCTATTTTATTAGGGTTAAAACTGACATCATAAAAGGGTGGAAATTTTGGTTTATCTGCTTAATTTTTTGGGGGGTAGAGACTTGCTTTCATTTTCAGAACTCATCTTGGATATTAGATGCTTATTCGTTTTAATACATTTCTACATATTAGATGAAGTATACATGAAATATTAGTAACATAGCAGGTATTTTTCTTTTCTATAGTTCCTAGTACACTTCTAATAAAGAGAAACAACTAAAGAAAAAAAGTTCAGATGATCAGAAGTGATTCTGATTTTAAGTCTTGAAAATAGGTAAATTTAGTTCAATTATTTGAGATACCTTTATGTAAAATTCTGAAAGTTTGTCAGCGTAAGATGAGAATAACTGTTAAGTCTGTTTTACAGAGCACTTAGATTTTGTGAAGGATAATATATTAGGATATTATTAGAAATTAAAAAATCATCTTTTGAGATCAATTTATATGTGAACCCTAAAAAAAAACATGCTTTTAGTTTGCATTTTGGATGATGAATTGGAAAGGTTGTTATTTTACTAAAAGATTCTGTTATGTCGGTTTATGTTATTAAGTGAGATGAGATAACGTATATACAGTATCCAACTCTGTTTTAAAAGGATAGAATATATCATTTCAAGTAATAAGGTCCATTTATCTAAACTTTATATTTGTTTGGGTTGGTTCCTGAAATAGACCATGAAACCAACTTTCTTAAAAGATTTGAAAAAAAATCATAATTGAACATAGAATATCTGACAGATTTTTAGTTAACTACATTAAATATAAAATTATAAGACTATAATTTTATGTATAAATTCATTTTACCTTTTTCATTTTGTAAGACCCATATTTTAGTAAAGAATGATCTATTTGGTGGATAGATGAAATATCATATTTGTATATATATGTACCCAAGCCTATTATAAAGTAAAATATAACTACATTATATATATGTATATGTAGTTATATATACTTGTATAGTTATATTTGTTAAATATAAAATAAATATTCACAAAAAGACTTTGTGAGGTTATCCACCCTAAAATATAGCTTGTTGAGAGAGTACTGTACTGGTTGTAAGCCCTTAGATTTTGAGGATAATTGTTTAGAAAGTCAATATGTACAATTTTTTAAAAAGTTTGAATTCCTACCTCACTCCATATGCCAAACAGTTAAATTCAAATAGAAATCATTTAATGAAATAAGAGCAAATACAGGTGATGTTTTAAAATAAACTCTAAGTGAAAATTTCTATTTAAGAATATCATTAAACCAAATAATAAAAACAGAAGTTTAAATTCGTCATTCTAACTGAATTAAAACTTAAATTTGTATACCAAAAAAAAAAAAAAAAAGAAAAAGAAAATTTGGTAATGAGGACTTTGATGCTGAGCAGGTGTTCCAACATCACTGCGACCACAACACAAGAATCACTTAACAATTCTCCACCCTGAACTCCCAGACATATTCAAGGAAAAGGTGCTCTGCCAGCTAGAGGACTTTCTCTGTTGTAATAAACAGCATCAAACCTAACAAAGTCTTCAGAAAACTGGAATAATTCAGGGAGGAAGATAGTAACATAGTGAACAAATCAAAGACCGAGGCCAGAAAGATGTTAATATTTGTCCAACCTCTGCTCTATCAATTATCAGCTCCAACACAACAATATATGAACATATATTATCTCTGTTTCTCATGTAATCATTCATAAATATCTCCAAGATATTTAATGTATAGTTTTGTATAGGTAACATAGAGGGATGGACACTGGGGACATAGCCCAGCACCTCCTGAGTGATAGGAATTTAATGTATTTTGGTGACCAGCTGTCCCTTGCCTTAGGTTTCTGATTTGCATTAAACAAATAGAGAGGAATTTTAGGTATAAAATAGTATCAAAGAGACAATGGGGAACCTGTAAGGAAAGAACTAGACAAAATTCTGAATCAGCCAAGATGTAGTAACTCAGCTTTCGGCAAAGAGAACAAGACAGATGTGATGGAGGGAAAATGGCACAGACTTTCACAGCAGGTTGACATGATTGTGTATGATGAGCAGCATGGCCTTGGCTGCTGTCAGCCTCATTATATTTACCTGCCTGAAGGAGCAAGTGATAAATGATTCATAAGATAAAGTAGCATTGTTTTTGAAACATCAGGATCTTAGAAATACTGGGTTCAAACTCTCTTTTTATGTAGGATCCAGTATCAGGGCATCAAGGGTTGGCATGGATTTAGGCCCCTTAGGTTGGTATGGATATCTACCAGAGTAAAAATCACAAGTTTCTAGGTCAGGTAAGCCAATCTATAGTCTATCAAAACCTCATCAGGCAAGAAAGAATCAAGATGGGTCATGGGCTCATAAAACCAAGAAGAAAAACTAACGGGAGCTCTCAATTTGGCAAAGTCCCCATCCTTAACAGAAAGCTTTTGTTTGGAAGCATAGAACAAGACAGGGTTGTTTGTTGTGTGGAACTCAGCGTCCCAAAGAACTTTCCCTGGGCATGGCAAAACCAGGTTAATTAATTAAACAACCATTTATTGACACCTGCTACACAGGGTAGATTAATGCTGACACAGTTACACTCTTGGATGAGAGAAAGTGTTGCTACTAAATTAGGAGTAAAGACTGTGTGAACTGTTTCCATTTTATTTCAATTTGCAACTGAAATTTTATCTTTACTTTTTAATTATACTTTAAGTTCTGGGATACGTGTGCAGAACTTGCAGGTTTGTTACATAGGTATACATCTGCCATGGTGGTTTGCCGCACCCATCAACCGTCATCTAGGTTTTAAGCCCCGCATGCATTAGGCATTTGTCCTAAACATCACACACCGAGGCAACTGAATTTTTTACTGGGCATGTATCTTTTGCAAATTCTTAGGGCAGCACCAGGCATATATCCCTCAGACCTTTCCCTCAAGCCTCAGACTACTTTTCCAGAATATTGGTTAGACACTACTCACTCCAAATATCAAATCATCTCCCCTTCATTATGCACGGTAAACCAGCACTGATGTTTGTGCTTCAGAATTTGTATATCCAAAACTATTACGATCATCTGAAAAAAACTGTGAGCATTATACACACACACACGTGCACTTTTTTTCTGTCAGTTTCTTACTTTGCATTGTGCACATAGAGCCTCATTTTAGATACTGCAGTACACGTTTATTTAGGTCTACCGTATTCAAGGCACCATCTCATCCTTGGATATAACAGCTGGAGGATTCCTCTTTGATTTAAAGCCTCTTCTCTGCTAAGTTTAACACAGAAATTTAACCTGTACCAGATTCCTTGGTATTGGAAACCACATGATAATTTCTGAACCAAAACACATTGACAATTTTTTGGATCCGTCATCATCATCACTCACCTGCTCTGTTCACTGTTCTAATGCTTCACTGGTCCTCAGCTATTCTTCTTTCTAGTCTTTCCATAAGCTTCCTATTTCTTCTGTCCAGACAGCTCCTTCCCCAGACAAAGCAGGCACTCTCTCTCATATTCTTCAAGTCCATGTGTTAAAGTTGCTTTTAAAGTAAGGCCTTCATAATCACTTTGTTTAAAAGTGTAAAAATCTCTTCCCTTAAACTTTTTCTCTTCGTTGTTTTTATCCGTATCAATTAACATATTGCAACATGCTGTATAATTTGGTCATTTTATTTTTTTCCTTTACTGGAATGTAAGCTGCATAAAAGCAGGGATTTTTATCTTTTATTGTACAACGATGTGTTTCAGTACTTAGAAGTATATATGACACAGTGGCAATTCAATAAATATTTGTAGAATAATGAATAAACCATCATCAGCCACATCTCAGAAACTGTCTTATAGCCCTAATATGAGTTAACACAATTTTCTTGAGTTTTGATAATAAAAATAAAAAATATTGAAATTCCCCACTCTGAAGACTTTTTTTTAATTGGGGGTAGGGGTTGGCATCAGGCTTAAATCTACATTTTAAAAGAATAAATTACTTTTGGAGATGAGATTCTCTGAAATGTGTAACGGATGTGTGGAAGAAAAGGCATAAGGCAACTGCAGAATCATCTAAGTAACAGAAAAATAATTGGAGGGATATTATCTTGATATTTTAAAATTCGAAGATCTGGCAAAGGAATAAAGATAACATTTTTAAAAGTTGCTAATCATGACCATTTTTAATTTCCAAAAGCATGGAGGAGCATAAGTCAAGAAGGATACCATTAGCTCAAACACTTGCCCTGTGTGCCGTCTCAAGCATGCTAATAGAAGTTTCCATGTTTTAGAACTTGGCAGGGAAATCCTTATAAAAATAAAAGTGATCCACTGTAAGTTTACTGCAACTGGAGCCTCTATAAGTTATGTTCTTGTCTCTAAGCCAGATCAGGGTGGCAATGAAAATATTTGGAGGTAGTCCTGACACATAACTTTTGACATTTAGGTAAAATTCACTGGGAAAAGAGTCATTTTAGGTTAACCTGAATCTGAAGGCTCATTATATTAGAGACATAAGCATTCATTTTTGCAGCTCTGAGTCTGGTCTTCAAGCCAAATGTAGATGTGACTGTGGTCCTAGGTGTAGAGTCACAGAATACGTTTAACCATCATGCCTAGAATAGTGCTCACTTTTTGCTGCTCTAAAGCCCTAGATTTAAATATATCTGTCTATATAGATAGGTTACATATTATAATATATAGGATATATATTTTTTTCCTTTTTTTTTAATCAAAGGACTCCAATTCATTTTACCTTAAAAACGTGCAGTTTTATATATACGCTTCTGTATATTCATTTTCCTGGAGTAGAATTTCGTCCTTTTATCCTTTCCCAATTGGAAACATCCCAGTCAGAGGGTGTGCAGGGCAGAGTCAATGATAGCTGAATCTTTCTGGCAGCTAGGTAAATGTCTTTGCCCTAGCCAGTTAAATGTCCCTACTGAGGGCTTTGCACATTTGTTCATTCTCTCAGCAAGCAGGTTCAGGCAGAGCTTTTTCCTAGTGGCTACAATGTAATTAAGACCCTACAGCTGATGACGGTATCAGGGGCAATGGCACCAACCAAGCTGGCAAATGCCATGGGATGATGATCTGGGGGAGGTGTCCAAATCATCTCATGACATGTCATGGCATTGGTCATGCGGGCATACCTCAGAGATATTGTGGGTTCAGGCCCAGACCACCTCAATAAAGCAAATATCACAACAAACAAGTCACACAAATTTTTTGGTTTCCCAGTGCATCTAAAAGTTATGTTTGTACTACACCATAGTCTATTAAGTGTGCAATAGCATTATATCTAAACAATGTACATACTTTGGTTAAAAATATTTCATTGCTAAAAATGCTAACAATCTTCAAAGCTATTATTGAGTCATAACCTTTTGCTGGTGCAGGTCATGCCCCATTGTTGATGGCTGCTGATTGATGAGAGAAGGGGCTGCTGAAAGTTTGCATGGCTGTGACAGTTTCTTAAAATAAGACAACAATAAAGTTTACTGCATTGATTGACTCTTCCTTTCCGAAATGCATGTTTGATAGCATTTTACCCACAGTACAACTAATTTTCAAGTTGGAATCAATCCTCTCAAACCTTGCCACAGCTTTATTAACTAAGAAGTTTATGTAATATTTTAAGTTCTTTTTTGTTATTTCCATAATGTTCACAGGAGTGGATTCCACCTCAAAAAACTCTCTGCTTATTCATAAGAAGCAACTCCTATCCATTACAATTTTATCAGGAGATTGCAGAAATTCAGCCACGTCTTCAGCCTCCACTTCTAATTCTAGTTCTCTTGCTAGTTCCATCACATCTGCTGTTACTTCCTCCACTGATGTCTCGAACTCCTCAGAGTCATCCATGAGGGTTGGAATCAACTTCTTCAAAGCTCCTGCTAAGGTTGATATTTTATCCTCCTCCCATGAATCACAAATGTTCTTAATGGTATCTAGAATGGTAAAGCCTTTCCAGAAGATTTTCAATTTACTTTGGCCAGGTCCATCAGAGGAATATGGCACCTATAGCCTTATGAAATTTATTTTTAGGTAGGAAGACTTGAAAGTCAAAATTATCCTTTGACAATAGGCTTCAAAGTGAATATTGTATTAGCAGAAGTAGAAACAACATTCATCTCCTTGTATATTGGCAGCAGACCTCTTAAGTGACCGGGTACATGGTCAAGAAGCAGTAATATTTTGAAACAAATCTTCTTTTTCAGAGCAGTAGCTCCAAACAATGGGCTTAAAATATTCAGCAAGCCATGATGTAAACAGATATGCTGTCCTCCAGGCTTTGTTGTTGCACTTATGAGCACAGGCAGAGTAAATTTAGACCCTTGGATTTGCTAAATGGGTATCGGCTTCAACTTAAAGGTCACAAGCTGTGCTTACCCCTTAAGAAAAGACTCGCCCTGTGTATTGAAGCTTTGAAGCCAGGTATTGACTTCTCATCTCTAGTTGTGAAAGTCCTAGATGGTATCTCTTCTAATATTATGCTGTTTTACCTACTTTGAAAATTTGTTTTTTTAGTGTACCCACTTCCATCAACTATCTTAGCTAGATTTTCTGAATAACTTACTGCACCTTCTACATTAGTACCTGCTGCTTCACCTTGCACTTTTATGTTGTAGAAACAGTTTCATAAATTTTATGAACCAACACTTGCCAGCTTCAAACTTTTCTTCTGCAGCTTCTTCACCTCTTTAGGTCTTCATAGAATTTAATAGAGTTAGGACCATGCTCTGAATTAGGCTTTCATTTTAGGGGGTGTGGTAGCTGGTTTTATCTGCTATCCAGACCACTCAAACTTTCTCCACATCAGCAATAAAGCTGTTTCCTTTTCTTATCAATTGTTTGTTCATTAGAGTGGCATTTTTAATTTCCTTTAAGAATATTTTCTTTGCATTCACAAATTTTCAAACTAGTGCAGGAGGCCTAGCTTTTGGCCTATCTCAGCTTCTGACAGGCCTTCCTCCCTAAGTTTAATCACTTCTAGCTTTTGATTTAAAGTGAGAGGCAAGCGACTCTTCCTTTCACTTGAATACTTACAGGCCATTGTAGAGTTATTAATTAGCCAAATTTCAATATTGTTTTATTTCTGGAAATAGGGAGGCCCAAGGAGAGGGAGAAAGATGGAGAAACAGGCAGTGATTGGAGCAGTTAGAACACATACAACATTGGTCAATTAAGGTCACTGTCTTACATGGGTAGGGTTTGTGGCACCTCAAAACAATTACTATAACAAGATCAAAGATCTCTGATCACAGATTACCATAATGGATATAATCATAACGAAAAAGCTCAAGCAATTTACAGAGTCAATGCTATTCCCATCAAACTACCAATGATATTCTTCACAGAGCTAGAAAAAAAAAAAACTATCTTAAAATTCAAATGGAACCAAAGAAGAGCCTGGATAGCCAAGGCAATCCTAAGCAAAAAGAACAAATCTGGAGGCATCACATTACTCGACTTGAAACTATACTACAGGGCTACAGTAACTGAAACAATATGGTACTGGTACAAAACAGACACATAGACCAATGGAACAGAATACAGAGCCCAGAAATAAGGCCACACACCTACAACCGTATGATTTTCAACAAAGCTGACAAAAACAAGCAATGAGGGAAGGAGCCTCTATTCAATAAATAGTGCTGGGATAACTAGATAGGCATATGCAAAAGAATGAAACTGGATCCCTTCCTTACACCTGCACAAAAATGAACTCGAGATGGATTAAAGACTTAAACGTAAAACCTGAAACTATGACAATCCTAGAAGAAAGCCTAGGCAGTATCATTCTGGACATAGCAACTGATGAAGATTTCATGATGAAGACACCAAAAGCAATTGTAACAAAAGCAAAAATTGATAAATGAGATATACTTAAACTTAAGAGCTTCTGTACAGCAAAAGAAGCTGCCAACAGAGTAAAGGGACAAAGGGAGAAAAGATTTGCAAACCATACATCTGAAAAAGATCTAATATCCAGCATCTATAGCAAACTTAAACAAATTTACAAAAGAAAACCAACCCCATTAAAAAGTGGGCAAAGGACATGAACAGACACTTCTCAAAAGAAGACACACATGTGGCCAACAAGCATAGGGAAAAAAAGGACACTATCACTGATCATTAGAGAAATATAAAACAAAACCACAATGAGATACCATCTTACACCAGTCAAAATGGCTACTATTAAAAGGTCAAAAAATAACAGATGCCAGCCAGGTTGTGGAGAAAAGGGAACCCTTACACACTGTTGGTGGAAGCATAAGCTAGTTCAAACATTGTGGAAAGCAGTATGGTAATTCCTCAAAGAACTGAATGCAGAACTACCATTTGACACAGCAATTCAATTACTGGGTATATACCCACAGTAATATAAAGCATTCTACCATAAAGACACATGCATGAGAATGTTCATTGCAGCACTATTCACAATAGCAAAGACACGGAATCAACCCAAATACCCATCAGTGGTAGACTGGATAAAGAAAATGTGGTACATACACACTATGGAATACTGCACAGTCAGAAAAAAGAATAAGATCATGTTCTTTGCGGGAACATGGGTGGAGCTGGAGGCCATCATCCTTAGCAAACCCACGCAGCAACAGAAAACCAAATACCACATGTTCTCATTGGTAAGTGGGAGCTAAAGGATAACAACTAATGAACACAAAGAAGGAAACCACAGACACTGGGGCCTACTTAAGGGTGGAGGTTAAGAGGAGGGAGAGGAACAGAAAAATAACTATGGGGTACTAGGCTTACTACTTGGGTGATGAAATAATCTGTACAACAAACTCCCGTGACGTGAGTTTATCTATTTAACAAACCTGCATGTGTACTCCTGAAACTAAAAGTTTTTTTAAAAAAGAAAAAAAGCTCTAAATAGGAATTATCAAAATGTGACTCAGAGGCACAAAGTGAGCACATGGTATTGGAAAAATAGCGCTAACAGACTTGCTCAACAAAGGATTGCCACAAACCTTCAATTTGTGAAAACACAGTATCGGCAAGGAACATGTGTAATTGACTTCTACCATCTTTCTGTCAATGATGAGAACTACCTAAAATCCTTGCAATAACTTTATTGTCCACCTAAGTTAGTCAAATATGAATTTTGTTGCTTGTAAGCAAATATTCAGATAAGTGCAATATAATATGAATGCATTTTTCTCTGTACTTAATAAGGATAAAGCTGTTTATGTGGCCTCTGTTGCGAAAATGTATTTTATTGTATATGTTAAATTATATATTATATAATTTAATATATATGTTATACAATTTAATGTTATAATTATATATCATTTTATATGTAATAAAATAATATATAAAATTTTGTAGTCTTTTATTGTATGTTCTCTCTGAAGATATTCCCATTTTGCATATTCTTTTAATAATTACTTGTATATTTTCCTAAAGTGTCATAAGCGCATTAACTGATTCTGTTATATTTTAGTGGTTTCATTGTTCATCATTATTTCTCTTCTAGCATGTCTTTTTCATCTTGGTTTATTTTTCAACAAGTGGAGTACTTTTTTCAGGAAGGGTAATTTGGGTTTAGTCTGATCCCTTGCATTTCTGAAAATGTCTTATATTTTCTTTACACCTAAGCAATAGTTTAAATAAACAGAAAATTATTGAGTCTCTTTCTTTAAACCTTACATTTCTTTATATTACACTTCATTATTCCCTGAAATTTAGTTCTGGGAGGAGAAATCTCATGTCCATCTACTTTTTGTTTTCATTTGTATTTTTCTTTGACACGCTTATCTGTAAGTTTTTATAATTTTTTCCCATTTATCTGTGAAATTTTTTAAAAGAATATGATGTTTGTATTCTTATGTGTTCTGTAGCTTTTCGTTGTGATTTCTTGGCATTAGCTGTGATTAAGGATCACACTGATTTTCACTGTGGAGACTATTTTTCTTTTGCTGTTTTGTGTGTTGCTTTTGTTTTGCATACTATGTATTTTCCTTTCTGCAATTTCTTTTTGTTTGTTTGTTTTGTTTTGTTTTTGAGACAGAGTCTCACTCGATCACCCAGGCTGGAGTGCAGTGGCGTGATCTCCACTCACTGCAACCTCTGCTTCCTAGGTTCAAGCAATTCTCCTGCCTTAGCCACCCAAGTAGCTGGCATTACAGGTGCCCGCCACTATGCCCAGATAATTTTTTTTTTTGTATTTTTAGTAGAGATGGGGTTTCACCATGTTGGCCAGCCTGATATCGAACTCCTGACCTCAGGTGATCCACCCACCTTGGCCTCCCAAAGTGCTGGGATTACAGGTGTAAGCCACCGCGCCCAGCTTGCAATTTCTATTATATGTGTACTGGATCTCTTTTTATCTGTTCTTGTCTCTGACTTTTATCTTCATTCTGTAGTACTCATTTCTTCATTCTTTCTTCAAATTCTGAAAGAATTTCTTTAGCTTCTCTTTGCTTCACATCTCTGCAGTCTATCTAACACTCTCTGACTTCTTTACATTTTGATTGAGCTATCAATTTCTTTTTCAGTAGCCTTCCTCCATCTCAATATTTCTTTTCATGACTACTATCTCTAGTTTAGTAAGCAGAGTATCATTCTGAGTCTTTGTGAAAGGTGAATTCAACATTTTATAAAATTTGCTCTTATACCCCAAACAGTCCTTTTCTTTGAAACTGAAATTTACTTTCAGTTTCATGTAAATGGTTGTTCAATATTGAGCAATGAGATGATGTCAGAAACCATTTTGAATCTTTTTCCAAAATGTTGGTTCAGATAAAGGAGGAGAAAGGAAACGTTAATATTCAGCCTAGCTTTGTTTTGTCAAATTGCAAGTCTGACAGCCTGAAGGAATCTGGAGGGAACAAGACCGGAGACTTGAAGTAAGCTGCCTTTTGGTGTCAAAAAGATCTGTTTTCATTAATATGCAGGCAACCTGCAAGGAGCCGTGGAAGGCCACACCTTCTCTAATTTGCTTTTCATTAGGAGTATGGTATGACAGATCCTTCAAATCGCTTTAGGCACATCTGTGGAAGTGAAGTTTGAGGCCTGAGTGAAGAGGCAGGGCCAGAAAGCCTTTGGCTCCCTGAAGATTTGAAACAAACACAAATGTCTAATGCAAAATTTTAAGTTGTGAATTAAACATAAAATATCACATGAATTATATCCTTAATTTAGTAGCCAGGACTTTGAGCAATAGGGCGAATGTATTAGCAGTCACCAATCTATTGTTTTTATGCATTTAAAAATCTACATAAGCCCAGGCGTGGGGGCTCACACCTATAATCCCAGCACTTTGGGAGGCCTAGGCAGGCAGATTACCTGAGGTCAGGAGTTCGAGAACAGACTGGCCAACATGGTGAAACCCTGTCTCTATTAAAAATACAAAAAAATTAGCCGGGCATGGTGGTGCACGCCTGTAATCCCAGCTACTCAGGAGGCTGAGGCAGGAGAATCACTTGAACCCGGGAGGCTGCGGTTGCAGTGAGCAGAGATCATGCCATTGTACTTCAGCCTGGGCAACAAGAGTGAAACTGCTCAAAAAACTACTTAAGGAGATATTTTTAAGTATGCATAAAATGATACTATTATATTATTTCAATTCTGCTCAAACCTGTTTTCTTTTATTTTACAAGCAACTATATGTAAATTATTCTTCTGTTGGCTTCAGCCTAAATAAAGATGTTTCCCACTCCTTCACTTATTTGGCAGATATAGTTGCTGTTGGAAAGTTGCAGAATACACCATGATCTTAAGGAGCAAATGAAGTTGAAGTTTTTAGAATCGAGTGTTTTAAGTCAGAGCTTTATATGATGTACTCCCAGAAAAGTGTGATTGCCTAGATAGTTGAAACTTTTAATTAGTAGACTGATGATGAAGCAAAGATGGGGATTTTTAGTTTCGGAAAAAGTGGACACTATAGCAAAGTCAAGAGCTAGACATTTCCAACGCACTAAGAAACATGGGGAAAAAGCGTCTCCATCATCTGACATAGTTTGTAGTTGGGGCTGCAAAGAAATGAATGTTCTGACAAAAGCCCATCATTCTGTAAGTCACTGAAGATTTCAACACTGTGGAACGTTGTTCAAGAATCAGGAAACATCTACCAAAGAGAAACAAAACTATAAGAGGTTGGGAAGAGACTTAGGAAAGAGATCACCACTGCTCTGGTTTTTAGATATCTGCATCATGAGTTGTTTGGTCTGGAGTTTGTAAAGGTGAATGTAAGTGACATTGATAAGCTTCCAGGAAGAGATACAATTGTCCCTCACTTGCTTATTTCATTACTCAGAGCCGTACTAGACTTCTGCTGACCCAGATAGACCCATGAATGGAGTATCACACCAACTGTGGGAGCACGAGACAGAATGTTGAACAAATGAATGATGCTAAAGAGAGCTCTGAGTCTATAACCTTGCTTATGCATCTTCTGTTACTATTCTAGAGCATAGCATTTTTCCTGTTACTGATAACAAAGGTAAGAGTGTGTTGTGATAATGAGACATTCGAATGAATTGCTTTTAGATTTAGGTGAAGATGTAATAACATGATCCTGGGGCTTCTAAGGGCACATTGGGGTGCATAAAGCCTCCCGCTTCTTTAATTCCAGAAGTGGGAACTACATGGGGTCTCCGAGTCTACTGTGTCATGGACTATGTCTCTAAAAAGTCAACACAATCACTCGGTTTTTTACCTTTGCCAATTATAAGCAACTCCTGATTTTGTTTTTAAAGAAATGCTATTTTTTAATGGCTGTTGACGAAAAGAAATTTTGTGTTGTCCCTAAGATTTTATTAATAAAAAAGATAAGATATGATGACGAGTTTTAGAGTTAATATTAAATGTACTGAAGACACAAAATAAACAAACAAGAAGATTCGTTTCCATTAAGACCAGGTTAACCTCATAAACAAACTTTTCAGGTTAACCTCATAAACAAACTTTTCATGAATAAAACTTAATCATTTTCAAGAGACCCTATGATCAATGTTTGATCAAGTCAAGCTGAAAATTTTAAATTTCCTTAAGCAATCATGCCATGTATAATTTAATTCCTCTAAATTTATCAAACACATATCAAAAACATATGTAACACATTGACTTTTCTGTTGCATCTTAAAAGCAAAACTAAAGAGCAAAACTCTCCAAAATATTTAACAACTTAATAATCGAAATGCATACATATGATGAAACCCAAGTTGGTTTGAACCTCACAATACAGATTAAATACTTAGCCAAGTTCTCTTAAAATCTCAGTTCTTATGGAGTCCTCAGCCATAGCTAGGTTGCGTACAAAATAATAAATTCCTTAAGAAAAGAAACTACTGGTACATTAAAAAAAATAATTAACAACCCACACAGTGTTAGACATAGCAAGTGTTTAAAATGTCTACTAATTGAAATTCTTGATTTTACTTATAAGAAAACAGAGAAATATCTAACTTCACAACACAAGCATTTTTACCCAATTGTCTTCCACCATTTTAAAAAATGTAATTTTCCAACCTTAGTGAATCAAGTTCACCAAAATGAGTCAAAAATTCTAGTGATTCAAGTATAAACTGTGATTTTGCAATATACAGCATTACCATACCTTAAAAAGAAACATGTTAGTATGAAAGTATTTTCATATAGTTTTGAAATATGTTTTGTAAATATAACTCAATCTGATTTCTTTACAAATAAATCATTTTAATAAAAAAGAATATAGTAACTGAATTTACCAGGAAACAACTAATTTTCACACTATAAGGGATCAAGGGCTTTTCTGTACTTTGTTAAGCCTGAATTAGTTAGAATGTCAGGAACCACAACACTTTTAGAAATACCAAGTCTCCAATTTTGACTAAAGTTTGCTAGGTTAGGTTAGTTTCTAAACATCGGATTTCCACTGTCTCAGCAACTGTGGCCTTTTTCTTGTTCCTCACCTTGAAATGGAGAATTAGCATGTATATTTTCCCCATAATCCTTGTAACTATCTTTCATTTGTGAACCAATTAAAAAATCAACTTCAGTAAATAAATGTTTGCATATGTTCTAACTTACTAATATATAGAAGAAATAAAAAGAATCCATAAAATATTCTAGTGCAAACATCAGTTACTCAATTATTTAGTTTAAATTGGAATGCCAAGGCTACTCTATTACATTATCTTAAAAGTCATATTTTCTTTAAACATTACAAAACCTGTGAATACCAGTACAGGTTGTTCCACAAAATGGATTAGTATCATGGGTGCAATTTACTTTGCATATTTATAGATCTGCTCAGCATTTTCAGAATTAAGAGATTGATCATTTATACAAATGTTTATATCATTTTTAAAATGTTAGATTCCATCTCACTAGGCTGAAGTCTTTCCTGACAGGAGATTTTTGACTGGAATGCAGACTTGCAAGGTAATTATTCACCTGGCCTTTGCTGGAAGATTAAGGTCATTATTGCATCATTGTGAAGATTCAGACTCCAAGTGCATGTCCTCCAGATGGGCTGCTTTTATGACACAAAATCCCTGAATGAAAGTTACAACACTAACCTACTTCCTTTTTAATTCAAATCTGTGCAAGTTATTTATTTACTTGTTGGAATGCTACTAATCTAATATTTACTGCCTGATTCTATCCAAATTATTTTCATAGTATTCTCGGCATGTGGCTCCCAGCTCTTGTCAATAGTGAAATATGATTCAGTTTAGATTTTGTCTATATTGCTTGTCTTTCTCTGGCTTTGTGAGTCTCACTAATGACATTTAACAGTCTCCCGAATCACCACCAATGTTTTATATATCTTATAAAGGTAATCAAAGTTAACTGCTTTCAAAATGGGACTTATAGGAAACTATCCATAGGACATGTGCTATAAATGAATGGTTAGCAATGAACCCCAAAGCAACAGAATCCAGTGTGCAGCTTTTAGATATTTAGTTTTTTTTTTTGTTTTTTTGAGACAGAGTCTCACTCTATCACCAAGGCTGGAGTGCAGTGGCGCAATATTGCCTCACTGCAACCTCAGCCGCCCAGGTTCAACCAATTCTCCTGCCTCAGCCTCCCAAGTAGCTGGAATTACAGGTGCCTGCTACCACGCCCGGCTACTTTTGTATTTTTAGTAGAGACGGGGTTTTACCATCTTGGCCAGGCTGGTCTTGAACTCCTAACCTCATGATCTGCCCGCCTCAGCCTCCCAAAGTGCTGGGCTTACAGGCGTGAGCCACAGTGCCCAGCCTAGAATTCTTTTTACTTAAATTACCTGTATGGAAAACGACGTTTCAGCCAACCCCCAAACCACCAAACCACAGGTGTTTAAGTAAGTCTTGAACTTCTATTATTTTTCTATTGAAATAGATTCTTTGGAGTACCAAGCAAATACTAGGCAAAACATATAACACCAGTATTTAGGAGGTACATTTTAGAGTTGGCAGCTCTTCCCACCTCTTTTCCCCTCTCCAGGGTATACAGACATAAATCGCTTTAATTTTTTTTTTTTCTGAGAATTTATATGCTAAATTTTCTGCATCTCAAAAACGTTGAACCATTTATTCACACAAGGCATATTTTCATCTTTGGTCTTTCCACCTATATGCCCCTCTGAAATATTCTAATTATAAAATAATGTAGCCAGAACATTTTCATTATTGTTTCTCCATCATCTCTGGCACTGTTCTCAGGACTTGTAGTACAGGTTTTTTATATGACTATTCTCTCCTTTATACCTAACAATAGTAGTCTTGAGTTCAAGTTGACAATCAAATTCATGAGACACACAATAGTCTTCACCTAGCACCAAGTTTACTTGGTATTGAGAAAGAATAAAGACTGGCAACAATAGAGCTCATATAGAGATAGCAATGCAGTGTTCATGGACCTTCCAGGTACAATTGCCATCATCACATCACCCTATATGGAAGACATGTATGACTGGAGAGACCATACAGGCAGGCATGGGTCATCTTTGTTCAGGGAAGCCATAAATTCTAGGTCCCTTCAACACTCATACCTTTTAAACCAGTGGTCTCCAACCTTTTTGGACCAGGGACCAGTTTCATGGAAGACAATTTTTCCACAGACCAGGGTAGGGGAAGGGTTTCAGGATGACTCAAGGGCATTACATTTATTGTGCATTTTATTTCTATTATTACATCATAATATATAATGAAATAATTATATACCTCACCATCATGTAGAATCAGTGGGAGCCCTAAGCTTATTTTCTACAATTGGATGGTCTCATCTGGGGTTGATGGGAGACACTGACAGATCATCAGGCATTAGATTCTCATAAGAAGCACACGACCTAGATCCCTCGCGTGTGCAGTTCACAATTGGGTTTGTGCTCCCGAGACAATCTAATGCCACTGCGGATTTGCCAGGAGGTGGAGCTCAGTCAGTAATGCCAGCAATGGGGAGTGGCTGTAAATACAGATGAAGCTTCACTCTCTCACCCATCATTCACCTCTTGCCGTGTGGCCTGGTTCTTAACAGGTCATGGACTAGTATCAGTCCATGGCCCAGGGGTTGGGGACCCCTGCTTTAAACCACACAGCTCCCTCAACCTCAGGGGTACATAACTAGTGGTCATTCTGTGATACAGCTGCATCTCATCAATATCTGTTACTCCTTACTTGATAAACAATCCTGACAATGAAGTAGAAGATTTTGGTCTGGAACATAGTAATCTTAGCTCCTTAATCTTGGAAACCTGAGTCAATGTGACCAAGAAGATTTAATCAAGGCATCTAGCTATACATCCTTTTTTTTCAACAAACATTCTTTAAAAGACTTCATCCTGATCTTTTTTAAATTGATAGTTTGTAGATTAATCTTACTTGCCTTCTATCTCTCTTTGATAGTCTTTTCCCTTTCATCTCCTTAAGTACCACTGGTTTCCACATTTGCTCAGTAGTTCTATTTATGTTTTAATCTCTTCAGTTTCCTTATTTTAAATCCCAGTTTCTAAGAGTTATAGGCACATGGATTTTTTTTTTTTTTTTTTGAGACAAGGTCTCACTCTGTCACCCATGCTGGAGTGCAATGACATAATCTTGGCTCACTGCAACCTCTGCCTCCCAGGCTCAAACAATCCTCCTGCCTCAGTCTCCCAAGTAGCTGGGACCACAGGTGTGTGCCACCATGCCCAGCTAATTTTTTTTTTTTGGAGAGATGGGGTTTTGCCATGCAGCCCAGGCTGGTCTCAAACTCTTGAGCTCAAGCCATCCTCTCGTGTTGGTCTCCCAAAGCGCTAGTACTACAGGTGTGAGCCACCCCGCCTGGCTGGCATATGGATTTTTATGAAGAAGCCTCAAGAGGAAGTTTTTATCAGTTATTTGTTTTTGCTCCTAAATTTTGCTCCTACATTTCTAACTCACATGGAGGCTTAGGTTACTTCTCAGAGTTCCTTGTTTCTTTGTTTCCCGAAAAGTGGGAGCACACAGGCCTGCAAGTACTATTGCATTCCCAGCTAGCCCAGGAAGTATTAAGCTGCTGTACATGAAATATCCCCACAGCTTCATTGCCCAGGTTTCTTCTCAGTTGACTCACCACTCCAGGTATTCAAAAGTATATGAATGAATGGACACCACTCATCCAAATATGGTAATGGTACTTGACATACATCCCTGGGAATATCTCAGTCTCATTTGGTTGGTCTAGTTGTTTCAGCAATTGAGTGCATAAATATGCCCCATCCAAATTAGACCATGTAAACCATTCACACTCATAAGGGTGTTTCTCTCTCTTGGGCTGGGTCAGGCTAACCATAGTGCTGCTTGCTGAAGGCAGCCCCGGGATAAATGATGTGTATCTTGCCTATGAGAAAGATAAGTGCTTCCAACACAAGGTGAAGCTCTAAGTAGAAATATGCAGACACAGGACAGGCAGGGTAAATAATGGCCTCTAAACTTTCACTATTCCATAAGAAGTTTGCTTAGGTAGGATATGTCTAGCCTCATCATGGGTCATTGTTATGTAAATGTAGTCACTAAATTCCTGCCTCCTTGCATATGTCTAGAGGAACTGGAAAGAAACAAGCATTATCCAACATATTTCCGAGAGCTCAAGTTTGCATTTTCAGGTATACTAGAACGAGAAACATGATTGTTTTTGCATGCCGAATTTTGGGGGAAATTGTATATCAAAGGCCTCATGCCCCTCCCTGGTGATCCAGCTCAGCTCATTGCTGGGCTGCATACCATCTAGGTCACCCAGGAAACCAACTAGGTTGTTTTTCCTCAATAATCCCCTAAAGTGTCCATTGTGGAAAACGTACTGTCCTCTTCAGGCACCTGACCATCATCATAAAGTCCCACCAACCCTTGTCCCTGGCACCTACTGCTTTCTATAAACCCTGGCAGCCAAACCAAATATAATTTAATCTGTATGCTCTGTGAGCAAATGGAGAAGCTCTCAATTGCTCTCCAGAAACTGTATTGGTTGTTGAACAATTTAGTACATTAAATGTTGTATTTTTTAGGGTGAGGCAAACAGGTGGCAAATTATTTTTTCGTCGAATGAGGATTTGGTCTTTTCAAATTATATGTCCTGGTATATAAGATTTGAAAAACAGCCACCCAGAATTACTATTTGCCAGTTAAAAAAAACTAGATATCTCCATATCAATTAGCTAATACTTCATGGAACACTAAAACAGACCTTACTATTATTTCCCTTCCTTTTCCCCCACTCATGTATTCCATAAATTATTTTATATTAAAATATCCTATGCAATACATTTGCTAGGAAATTATATTTTCAGTCTAATTTCTTTCATATGTAGTCCATCTTAAGGCTTACAAGTTGCTTCTACGTGAATTATAATTTTGTGTCTTCCCCGGCTACCCTAAGAGTCAATGCAGGGCAACTATTGCTTTCACTTTACCAGAGAGAAAACTAATATTTTAAAGTGACAGACCTGGGAACTAGAACTCAGTAGTAAAAAATAATAATACTGGAATAGAAGATTCTAACATAGTATATCTAGTGAAACATTCAGACATTACACTGCTTCCTACTGAACAGAAAACTGTAAAAGACAAATCACTATAATTTCAAAAATTTTAAAAAGAAACATCAGTGATTAAAAGAATTACAGCAAATATGAGTGGATGGACAAAAAAAAAAAACCAAAAAAAACAAAAAACAAACAAAAAAAAAACCCCAAAAAAAACCACCCAGACCTGACCTCAGAAACAGGAAAAAAGAAAGGAAATTGTGCAGCACGGTGAGGTTTACCCTATCCTGCATTTTCGTTATGCCATTGTTTAATTTTTTTAGTCAAAGCCATTCATCTTCCAGGGGATCAAATAAGCTGGGTGGTAAAAAAACACATGGAAGCAAGGGAACAGCGTTATGGGGTAAAGGGTGGTGGGGAGTTTGGTGATTCGGGCTGGTGAGATTTGTTGCTTCAATCTCACCACAATGATCAAGGAAAAATATTGTTTTTTCATACAAAGTGAAAATCAGAAATGTGGGCTTCCCCTTAGCAGCACTGCGCACTGGGGATTCTGCGTAAGAAAACCAATTCTCCTTTACTTCAAGATCCATATCGGTTTCAAAGCCATTTATTTTTCTTTTCCTCTCAAGATAACAGGTAGTGTGGATGGGGTGAATTATCAATACAATATCTATTTCTAGAAGCATAAGTTTGTAGCTACTTCTGGAATAGCAGATAGATTACAAGAAAGAGTCAGAAGTAACACATATAAAATTTATTTTACTTTGCCCCACTCATACATATGAATGCTTCTGTGTATTATTAAAATTACTGCAAAGTTCTGTTATAACTAATGCAAATTTCCCATCTGAAGACTACAATGACAGTCATTATTGTTAAGAGTATGAACGCATTTTGATTTTCTTCCATATCAGAAATGGGGCAGGGTTTTCAGATAAGGCACATTATTTCATTAACAGTACCTCCACTCCTTCAGCATTATAAAAAGGTATTCTTTTTTGGCAGGGTGGGGGGGCGGTGCAGATTAACTGAGGCCTTTTTCCTGGTATGTGTATGTCAATGAATTGGTTTCCTGACCCACTTTATACATCCAAACACAATTTGAAGAAGTTCGGGCAGAGGTACAGGAAATATGGAGTCTCTTGCCTCCCGGAGACTAATTTACATGGAAAAAGACTATTTTTAAACCAGAAAGAATGAAGACATTTTTAATCGGCAAGTTATAATACCCTATTATGAAAGTGAAAATCCTACATACGATGCAGATTTTATAATGCAATGCATCTTGTGAGTACTTTCAACATCTGACCAGCTCTAAGAAACTGTCTTAACAAATGTTGCTAAACTAGACAGGGATAAAAGCTAGTTTCAAAATGGGAAGGGTATTTAAATGGAGACTAATTTTTTTCAGTCAATACAAATGTGAATTTATGACTTGAGTTTTATGTTGCTTCCCTATATAATTGTGGAAATTCTGGTAATGAATATTTGGACATTGAAAAAAGCTGTATTATGATGAAATAGAAAGTAATTTATTACAGGTTTCCACCCAATTAAAACATTCAAGTGTCTGAAACTTTAAGCCTGTTATTCATATTGAAGAAGTTTTTCATATTGTTGCTGTTGTTCATCCCAATTGGAAAGACCGAAACAAGTAATATTTCTTTAATTAAGATTAACTGATTAGATCCCTTATGCAAGATTTTTCTTAGCAAATGAGATAAAATTCTCTCAGCCACTAATGTTTAATCTACACTACTCATTCCAATTCTGAGACTGCCATTGACGTCAGTAGAAATCCTTGATACGAAATAAAAATATATAAAAAAAGAAGTAGTATAAAAGGACTCTGTATGTTCATGTTTATAGTACGTTACAGATGTATGTACAGGGCTCTTTGCAAATTGGTCTACTTAAATAAAATGTGTGCTTTCGCTTGTATAAATACAGTTTACTTACAACATGAATTAAGTACCATTAAGGAAAAAAAAAAAACCTTTCAGTAGCTATAAGTACCTTGAATTTTCCTTTTTTTCAGAGTATCATCTCTTAACCCTGGAAACATTTTTCTCATGAAGTTGCATCCAAATATTTGTTTAAAAGTGACCCACGGTTTCCACCTAATGACACAGTAAAGTATTCGCACGGACAAGTCCATACTTAAAAGATATTAGAACATGGCTCAGTGTTATTGACACATTATTTTTAGAGAAGAAATTTTCTACCTTGAAAAGTACTTAAAATAGTAATTTCCTTTTGTTAGGATCAGAGAGAACTATAAATTTGAGAAAAACTATACTTCTACAAAGTTGTTTAACTGAAGGAATAACATAGATGTTATAGACAGATGCAAAATTTTAACGATGGTAACTTGGCACTGTGGAAAATTAAAACCTGCATTTATTGTCAAAATTTTAGGGACATCTTCTAATGTCAAATGTGTTCAAATTTAATGGTTAATATTTTTCTATAATATAATGAACCCTTTTTATCTATCTTCATTCTAATTGTAAGTTAAGAAGTCTCCTTTGCTATGTATGTGATCTTAGAAGTTATTCAACCTCTCCGATTCTCACTACCCTTAACTATAAAAATGAGGATATCATAATATACCTCAGAGGGTCCCCGTGATGATTAGATGGATAAAGCACACAGCCAGGTCAATTTGTTTATATATAGTATACATGCATTAATTAACTATGTCTAGTCATATTTTCAGACCTGGGCACATAGTGTATTTTCACATCTCTCAGATTAAGAATGTCAAATGTTGGTACACTCTTTGGCAACATATTTTAAGTATCATTTTGTCTCTATAATCTGAATTATTCCAGGAAAAGCCATTTTTTCCAATAAAATGCCCAGATCATTGTCTCCATTTCCAAATAGCAAAATACACTTAGTTTAAGCAAAAGCCAGTGTCCACAGAGTAAAGGTAACAAGAAATGTTGGTAGCTAACCTATTTCACATGTGGCAACCACAATTACATTTCATACTGGAGTTTGTTTGCTTTTTTTTTTGCCTGCCCTGAATGGATTCCACGGTAGCTGGGAACTTGCAAAATTATTGCCAGTTATAACTAGAGGAAAAAATATATTGAGTTTAACTTCATTACAGCTACAGCACTTGTATCAACAGGGCCTGGCATAAAATGGGAAAACTGCCGAAATTCATCAAGTGACGTTACTGTTTAGAATAGGTAGTGGGGACTGTTGCTGCTCCTGGTTCCAGATCTTCTACTGACCCTGCTTCTGTGGTCTTCTGTCTCAGCAGGCTGTCAAGTCGGAGACTGAGTGCCTGAGCAGGCGTGGACCATGAAGGAGAGGAATCTAACACACCGAGGTTGGAGCTGGGCAGTCTGAGGAAGTCAGAGATGGCAGGAAGAAATGCTAAGTATGTATGTCTAGGCAGGCTGGCAAGATCCAGGGTGAAACAGGTTAACAAAGGAGTATTAGTGACCAAATGTAAACACTTATTCTAGTTCAGAACCTTTAATTTATACATGTGTTTATTCCTTAAGCATTTACTGAGTACCTGATATTCATAAGGCACGGAATTTATAGTATTGATGTAGACTAAGGCAGGGTTCCTCAGCTTCAGTGTTACTGATATTCGGGGCCAGGTAATTCTTTGTTGGGAGAGGCGAAGGCCTTTTCTGTGCATGGACAGATGCGTAGCAAGCATCAGTGGCCATTACTCAGTATATATCAATAACAAGACCACTCCCCAGTTGTGTCAACTAAAAAATATCTCCAGATATTGTCAAACATCCCCTCGGGGGCAAACTCTTCCCCCATTGGAAGTCACTGGCCTGGAGGGACCAAAAATAACATCTTGCTCTGGAGTCTTTGGGAGCCTAGAAGAGCTTTTAGAGCTCTGGTTGCTGATGTTGGTATGCCATTCTGGGCCCACATTATATCCAGAAAGTTGTCTGATAAAAACAGGAGTATCATTTTCTTCTGGGATTCTTAGTAGTGACTCATAAAAATTTCACCAGATAAGCAGGTATAAAATGCAGAGCTTCTCTTTCTCTCAAGCTAATCTTGCATTAAAGATATTTCTCAACTTAATGCTGTCATTATATTGTCCACTCGAAATAATTGAAGATTATGTAATGCTGAACTTCAGGATATTGACTTTGTATGAAACTGGGCTTTCAGAGAGGTGAGAAATCACTTGAGTAATTGGAAACGAAAAGTGTAGAAAAAGAATCTAATTTAAGATGAATAGTGTGATCAAATTCGCTGTGATAAGGGGGACTGACTAAAGAGAAATGTACATGTTGGAGAATAATGAGAAATAACCTTAGAAATAGAAGCTTCGTGAATCCCAAGAAATTGAGCATGCAAATTAATCAAAACACCTCCACAGCACTTTTTTCTCTTGATCTTGACACAGAAAATCCCTGAAGGAAACACTTAATTCAGGACGTTGGCTCCTTGAATTGAAACTCAACCATCTTTGAAATCTCCAGACGTAATCTCCAAGCAGTTCAGTCAAAACCACTATCACCGTGCTGGAGGATCTGATGTCACCTCCATCATGGAGGAGAAACCTGAGCCTGACTGCGTTGGACTTTCTGATCAGTTCACACAAGAGGCCCCAGTTCAAGGCTAACAATATCTGACATGTAAAGTAAACACAGTTTGCAGCCTGTTTGTTGCAACAAGCAGGACTGCAAGCTGAGAAGAGTCCATGCGCTGGGATCATGTGAGCACAGTTCTCCATTATGATTAATGAGGAAGTTGAATTGCAGTGCCCCCACTCTGAGAACAGTGACTGTCAAAAGAATTCAACACAAAAAGCTGTAAAACAGAACATTAAAACAAGCACTGGGCTGAAATGTACCTCCAGGGGCAGGGAAGGGGCGGGTGGCGAGGTGAGTTAATTTGTTTTTATTTGTAGGTCTCATTCCAAAAGGCGATGTTTGGTTTTGCCTCCTGAACTGGTGCTGGAGAAGAGACATGGCCCATGAAACAGCGGTGGACCTTACCAAGCAGAACTAGAAGATATCTGTCAGAGTTCCAGACATTGGTGAACAACTCCCCAGATTCCCTGAGCTTGTTGTTATTAAAAGTGGGTTTAAGGCTGATGAAAGCTCCCAGGTCAGTAGCCTCTGAAAAGTGTAGTTTAACAGCAGGGAAGATACAGCAACTACACCCTCCAGTGCAAAGATAACCCCCCTTTCTTCCAGGCATGGCCCCCTGCTGAGCCCTAGGCTTTTGGCAACGGATTTCAACCTTGATTTGCTGGATCCTAGGGGAAGAGAAAGTTATTCCAACTTCATGACACATTCATGCTAGACCTTTATTTCTATAAAACGGCCACTGCTTGCCAGTGACCCTTAAGGTGTCTAATGAGGAACAGGAAAATGAGGAGCAGGAGTTCGCATATGTGGAGAAATAAACAAAATAGGAACTATGAGTCGATGCAACTGCTAATACATACGTATAACATAACACAGTGCTTCCAATAAGACTAACAGGTCCCTCCTCATCTTAAATGCTCACAACTTCCCATCAGGCTAAAATCATCCAACAGCTTATTCGTTATATAGTCTTTTTTGTTAGTAGATTATAGTTCTTTAGAAAATTACTGATAAATTTCACCTTTTCTCAAAAATAATTTATTATTTTTACCAATAATGGCTTTAGAGCTATATAATAACTTGTTAGATTATAGTTCTTTAGAAAATTACTGATAATTTCACCTTTTCTCAAAAATAATTTATTATTTTTACCAAAAATGGCTTTAGAACTATACAATAACAAATGGCGTTGTTTGCATTTCTTTGCTCTTCTCCAAACTGAAAACTTGGGCATCAATATCATTTTCTGATTTTTAAAGTCTCTTCTTTTTAGTGTTTTCATTTGAAGTGTCTTTCTTTAGTCTTAATAATCTGTGCCTAACAACTTATGTGCTGAGTAAATACTCTGTCCATGTTACTTGACTCCTGGTGCACATTAGGATATATTTCAAAAATCCTTACCACTTTTTCAGAAGTCTATGGTTTATATTATTTCCATTAATTGGTTCATTCTTTATTAATTGAATGACTTATAATGGATTGCAACCACAGGAGAATTGTTTTGGACCTAAATTCTAGAAGTCCCCAACATAGTAATGATTCATAATTTTACTAACACTGGAGCTCTTCCTGTCTATCCTGTGCTCCAATATGCTCACTTAAAGACACTCCACTCCCAGAACACACACACAAAGCCACCTGAGTTATCATTGCTGTTGCTAGCATTTCCTTCTTCACACCTCCTTAATTAGAGCAGGGCAATGTGAAATAACACATATTTGGCCACTGGGGCAACATTCGTCTTGCTGGTATAAAGAGTGGAAGGGGAGAAGTTATGAAAAATATGATGTTTATGGAGAAGGAGAAGGTTTAGGAGTAAAAGTAGCCAGGACAAAAATTAGTTGGGCATGGTGGTGTGTGCCTGCGGTTGTCAGCTACTCAGGAGGCTGAGCCCTGGAGGTCCAGGCTGCAGTGAACTGCGATGGCACCATTACACTCCAGCAGCTGGGTGACAGAGCAAGATCATGTCTCAAAAAAAAAAAAAAAGAAAGAAAGAAAAAAAAAGAGTAGAGAAGATATTTTGTTAAGTGAGAGCTACTTAAGAGAAATAATTTCTAGCAACTAATTTCTCAAAAAATGCTAGCTTTCTCCAAAATATTTCTAAACAGAGCATGTTTTGTTTTTAATCTAACTTTTCGTGAAAACCTTAGAGAAGGTTCTACATGTAGATGTAGGCCCATATTTGAGTTAGCACAACTTTAAAAATACAGTATCTTCTAAGACTTTCACTTTAGTGAGAACAAGTCAATTCTCTGAATAATAACGCGAAATCAGCTTGGAGGATTGGACTTTTGATGAGAGAAATACAGGTAATGCTCCTGAAATTGAGTAAACATAGGTATCAGAGTACATTTGTGGTAGAAGACTAATCACTTTTGTACTCCACAGCCACTCCAGCAAAGATGAGTGCAGGAAGAAGAGTAAATTGGTTCCTTTAAAGCCCTTTGAATCCTTAGTTTGTTGTAAACTCAATTGCTTCTTGGATTTAGTCCTTCAGCATTATCTGTGATGCACTTAATGAAAGGCCATAGACTGGAAAGGAAACCATGTAAAACAAAGAAACCACTGCTCAGCCTAGAGACAAGTTCACTACTATGTACGTAAGAGTAAGATGAACCAAACTGCATTGGAAATATCATGTGTTTTCTGACATGCTCAAAATTCTAATTTCATTAGCGAAAGGGAAATGTCAGCCAAGTTGAGCTGCAAAGACATTGATATCCAGAGTTTTTTTTTTTTTTCACTTTTCTCTAATTACTAATGTATTTAAAATACATTAACAGGTTCATTTCCTCAAGAGATTCAAGATTGAATTACCTCTGGCCATTTATCTGTATGAGTTCCTGTACCAGAATGTAAGTAGCCATCCTTTTATTGTTATTGTTTTAATCCATTGTAAGTGATTTTAACAAAAACACAAAAGAAAAATTATTTTTTACACTTATGTAAAATTTTCAAAGAAATACATGAGCATTACGATAAGTTCTGAATTCCTTCGGCTTATCTCCTGCCACTTCCCACAATTAGGTTCTATGAAAGGAATGACTTACATGCTAGTTAGGAAAATTTGTTTGATTTATTTATGATGATTAATACTTTATTTTTATTTACTTGTCTCTGATCTTAACAGTGTGGGTCTCCCAGGTCAATGCTATCACAATAATCTATCAGAAAAATTGAAGTCTCCTGGGGTTTAAACAAATACATGTGTGTTACTTTTTTGCTAGGTGTTTTCTTTTGTGTTGAGTTTCCCAATTCACAAGTACAATACTCTTTCAGGAAAGAGGAACTCCTCCTCGTTATGAAATGAGTCAGTAAAGATTGCAAGAGTCCCAAAACCTGAGTTCTTATAAAAACACTTAAATAACCTATTATTTAGTGTTATCCAGATAATAACGAAATATAATAATAAGCATATATTGGCAGTGCAAGAATCTTTAACTAGGACGGCATAAATTCAGTTGAGGAAGAAGATGAATCTTGTGCAAAAGAATGAAAATTATTGATTACAGAGCTGGCATAATTTTATGTGCACTAAACACAAATTAAGAGAAAGGGAGCAGGATGCATTGTTATTCACCCAAATGCCTCTGAATGCAAATAATTAAAGTCATACTTCTGAAAATGCACCTTGCCCCAACGAATCTATACTTTCTTGGAAAAGAAGGCAAAATCAAGTGAATGCTATATGAGAAAAACCTTGAGGTAGAGTTATTCTGTTCACTGAGTAAGGAGGAATGAATTCATTTGTACCATTTAAATGTGAGGAAAAGGATTGCAAAATCTTGGTGGTCTGGGTGGGCTCAATGTATCTGGTATCCATTAAGATCCAAAATTTACTCGAACCTACAGATTAATTCTCCTGCAGGAACTGAGGCAAACCAATAGCAGCTGAAAGTTAATCAAGCACTGATCTCTCCCAATCCTTCTAATCACAGCCAGCTGTGATTTCAAACCTTTGCACTGAGGTTCTCTGGGGCAGATATCCACAAGCCCTGGAGTGAGCACCCTCAACTTTTGAAGGGCAAGAAAGAAGTTAATAAAATAAAACTTAATGCCTCCAATAAAGGAACTGAAGAATAGGATCGGGATGGCCTATAGCTTTTTTCTGTATTAATCTCTTCCCTCTCTTCCAGCTGCCTATCCCTGGAAGGCATATGGTTTCTTCTGAATGTTTGCTGGGAATCCTTTATTTAAAAGGCTAATACAATTGGGGACAGTTGGTTACTCACTCGGGCTTCTCTACTTGTCTCAGGAGAAGGGGTTATTTATAGTGCCTAATGAAATTCTCCTAATTTTTATTGATATGATCATGGAATTCTTGGGTTTGTGTAATAAATGCCATCCAAATGAAGATGAACATTCTTATCTTAGGCTTAAAGAAGTCAAAATGTATTCTGAGTACAACTATCTGAGCCCAACCCGTTAGTAAGCTTTAATTAAACACAAAGCCATACAATTTGCAAAGAAGCTTACTGTAAAGTTGGTGGTTTTGTGATTTTACTTTTAGTTTATTGATGTTATAAGCACGCAATATTGTGACAGATAAAATTCTGTAATTATCTAGCTCTTCTTATTGTCTCTTCCTATCCACAAGGCCTAGTACCTATATATACTTCCTTCATTCAGAGCCAGTTCTCTTCCCCTGGGACTGATCTTTCCTGCTATTCAGCTAAAAAACCTGAGCCTTCTCTCCCTGCTGACAGAATTCTGAAACTACTTGTGTATCTTCTTTTCCAAGTATCTGTAACACCTCCGGACATCTTTTATCTCTCTCTTGGTTACCCACTGTCACTTTTGGCACACTTTTGAGTTAGGACCCTAAATATATATAGCACTTATTGTCTATTGCCTTGAGCTTTAGATAACATGTTTTGTCTATTAGATTGTCTATTAGATTTCCTTCTATCATTAAAAATGGATTTATCTCCCCAGAATCAGCTATATTTAATTTTTTGGATTTATTTCCAGTTCTGGCTTTCCTAACATGCCCCATTTTCTCACGTTTAACAAGCATTTACAGCCATGTTCTAAGAAATGACATGCTCCATGCTAAGTCTTCTCAAATAATTCTGGTCCCCAGTGACCCTAACAACCTAATATAGCAGAATTCACCAAAGCATCATGCAAATAGACAGTGAGGCCTCTATATCTTCTAATGCAATTGAGGATTCAACTATAAAATGAAGTCATAATGGATAAACTGAATTCTAACCTACCTACTTATAAAAAGAGAATGGATATAAGATTATTGATTACATTAAGATATCTGATCGTCTGTGAGTGATAATTCAGGCACATATGTGTAACTCTTATCTTGAATTCACCCACCTATAATTCTAATAATCAAAGGAATATACAAAAGATTGAGAGAAGCCCAGCATCTGATTTAGAAATAAGGGAATGCTACCATTTATGTATAAAATTTTCAAAAAATTACTTCATCATATACAAATAAAGCACAGATAAATGAACCCATCATTCACTGCATGAACGGAAGCTGATTAAATTGAAATTACATGGGAGATATGACTCCAGCAGAACCACATCAAAATCTACTATCTCAAAACTGCAAAATTTGTGGGGGCCATGGCAGGATGTGGAACCATTGGTCAGCCACAAATTCAGATCCTTGCCAATATCCTGGAGAGCTCTCCAGCAAAGAGAATTGAGAGGAAAGGAAAGATCCCACAGAAAAGCTCCCTCCTGCTTTCTATTTGACAGACAGAAGTGGTAGGGAGAGCAAAGGCTTGGCTGCACCTGTTCTCAATCATAGAAGCCAGGCCTGACAGATAATGAGGGCGCTGCCCCAAGAAACTTTGATCACCACAACAAACACAAGAAACCTATATAATCTCCCAATACTTGACAAGTAGAGGCACATGGGGATGGGTAGAGCAAAAGGAATCAAATACGTAGAAAGAGAGCAGTTTAAAACAGCAGTTTCAAGTCAACATGACGGATTGAACACATGTATTCGCTTCCTTTTCTTCCCCAAATCCTACTGAAATGACAATAAAGCTGTTTAAAAATAGTGAATCCCTGGCAGTAGTAAGAATAAAGGGTACTGTTAGTGATTCAAAAATGGGAAAATTTTCTGAAAGCACAGACATGTGGTCTAAGTTAGATAGATAAACTAGAACAGAAGTGAAACCTGAGGCTGGGTCGATGCTCCTTTCTTCCACACTCTAGAGGGGCTGGTTGCAAGGTTCAACGGGGTTAGCGCGGAGGCGACCCGGCTATGAGGCAGGAAGCATCCGCGTCCACGGAAGAGCAGCTACATGGCCTCCCTTCCTCTCCGCCAGGAATATGAGTCAGGTGCCTGCTGCTGTTGTTCCCAGGTGAATCCCTGAAACCTGCTCTCTAAATTAAGCAGAGGAATTTTGGGGAGTGGCCTGTTGTGTAGATTCAAGCCTGGAAGAAGGAGCAGAAATGAAGATAGTTCTCTATTTCCTAATAGATCAATTGGGGGGCGGGGAAGGAGAAAGGTAAAAACAGACAACAACATGCCATCCAGAAGTGAGTTACAGTAAAGAAGCCTAACGTCAAGTATATTATTTAATGTCAATTTACCTATTGCAGCTGTAACTAATTACCTCAAATTCAGCTGCTTAAAACAACACAAATGTATTATCTTACTGGTCTCAAGTCAGAAATCTGAAATGGGTTGCAATGGGCTAAAATGGAGGCCTCAGAAGAGCGGTCCATCCAGAGGCTCGAGGGCAGATTCTATTCCCTGACTTTTCTAATTTCTGGGGGCTGAATACATTCCTTGGCTCATGGCCCCTTCCTCCATCTTCAAAGCCACAACATAGCATCTGCAAATCTCTCTGACTCTAGCCTTCCAGTCTCCCTCTCTGATTTATAAGGATTCTTATGATCACACTGGGCCCCTCCCAGATCATTCAGGATAATCCCTATCTCAAGATCTTTAACTTAATCAGATATTCCAAGTTCTCGCTGCCACTTAATCAGGATGTCCAAGTTTTTTTGCAGTTGCCATTTAGGTAATCCACTCTCAGATCCTGGGGTCCAGGTCCAGCCCATGCTGCATTCCAAGGGGAGTGGGTGGATGAGCAGAAGGAACACTCCGGGGGGCCGTAGGCAGGTGAATATGGTTTTATTCACAGCAGTTTTCATCAACAGCTTTCTCACTAGCAGCTTACTCTTACACTGTTCGCCTTGTCTAGGCTGCTTGAGCCAGCCACCCTCACACACAGCTGCGTGGCTGGCTCTCCCTTGCCTTCAGGATCAGCAGCTTAACTCTCTTTCTCTCTCTGGGCACAAGCAAACCAAGCTGTGTCCTAGCTCCCTCCTGTCTGTCTGCATAGATGGATAGCTTTGGCTCTTTCTTTCTCTGGGCACCCTGGCACCCACCATGTTAAGCCATGTTGAGCCAAGCTGAGCCCCAAGAGCCTAAGAGCCATGTCACTTGTGCACAGCGTCAACAGGGCAGTTATACCTTTTACAGACAATAGTGGCTCCAAGTCAAGTATGAACTTACACAAACAGGTTATATAACAAGTGGAGGTGTGCGCCTGCACACCAAACTCGCTGGACTCATGCAGGCCTGGATATCCACCTCAGCCTATTCCTTGACCAAAGCACGTCCATATGCCTTACACTCCACCCCCCCAGGCCGAGGGAGACGTAGGTTTTGGATACACAGGTTTGACACACATTAGCCTGACCGTAGGCTTTGGGCATACAGGCCAGATATACACACACAGGCTTGACACAGTAGCTTGACACGTAGGCTTTAGGCACACAGGCCCATGACATACATAAGCCTCGATAAACTGCCCAGCTATTGGTGCAGATTACCACAGGTGTCACCCTTTTGGTGGTTATTATTCACACTGCCCTGAGTTAGCTCATTAGCTACTCTGTTTACACCTGGTTTCATACCATATGGTGTTAGTACTAGGCTGGGCTGCAACAACAGTCAGGCAGCAGAAGCACCCCGGCTAGACCTATCTGTATACCATACCCTATTAGGAACGGGGGGATGCCCATCCTAACGGTGAAGGCTCAGGGTCTAGGGGTGCCTCAGGCCCCATGGCCTTATCTTGAATTAAGACTACAGGTCCCAAGATTTCTTGTAATTCTGCTGCTAAGGGACTTGTACTCAGTGTACTCCACTGCTGTAAGTAGGTGCCCCACTTTGCTAAAGTGGGTGTCTGTGCCATCCCTGTCCAGGGGGTTGTTACACATGAACATACCCATTCTGCTATTGGTAAGTACTCCACACAATGACTGTAACCTACCCTGCCACGCTCTTATGAGCCCGAAGGGCAGCATATACAGTTACTAACTGCTTTTCCAGCCCAGGGGGTCGTTACTCACGAACACAACCATCCTGCTATTACTAACTGCTTCTTTATTAAGGAACACTAGAGCTCAGCTCCCTTCCACAGCTGGGACTAACAATAGCCTAGTGGCGCACCCAAGCGCTCCATGCACGGCTATGCCCTAGCCCAAACTATCTGTGGTTACATGCACATCAAGTTTAAATGGGCACCCCTGGTTAACTACCCATAGGGCTTGTGCCTGCTAAATAGCCTGCTTGGCTACCAGGAAAGACTGTTTCAGCTGCATCATCCCAATCCCAGGCAAGAGGGGCGTTGCCACTTCTAAACCTGCAAGAAAATCAGAGGTTAATATAACATCACCAACAAAACCATGACATACGATGGTACTATGCATATAGCCCTGCAGCAACACTGTGAAAGTCCATTGTCAGCCTCCCATGAAGGCAAACTGTTTCTGGATCTTGATGGACTGTCCAGTTCCATTGCCCACTGGTCCATTAAGTTTGTGATAGACGGCGCAGCTGCCAAGCTGTGCAAAACATCCACCCCCAGAATCTTCTCAGGCATGGGAGACACATACACAGTGCATAAGTGCAGAGCCAAGTGGCCGATGTCAAGGTGCAAAGACACCGGTTTCACTTTCACTGACCAGCTTTCATAGCCATTAATAAATGCGGCTATGCCTGGAAACTTATCTGGGTTCAGAGACCAGTGGATGGCCAAGCACACATGTGGCACTCGTCGTCCAGTGTCCCGCAAGCCAGGCACCTTGGCCAGTTGTCTTATCAAACAGAAAAGGCTTCATATCTCTGCCTGTCTGCAAATAGTCCTTGAGCTGCAGTGTCCTGGTGGGACTAGGTTGCACAGCCATGTCCTTCTCCTGAATGACTTGCACTAAGTTTGTACGTGACTGCCGACATTACTTGCTTAAACTCCCACAACTCACTGGGGTTGTAGTCACTATGAAGTGTGCTCCACCACAATAGGCAGGTATGGTCCCCGGGCTCTCCCCTTGCAGCCCAACAGCTGCTCATGCTTTATTTTTTGGCAGATTACTGGGTGAGCCTGCAACAGAGGTTTTTCCTCCTCCCTGCATGACATCCTGCAGGTACTGGGCATGCACATCCTGCAACCCAGTCACAACGCCCATCTGACTCTGCTGGCAAAGGCACATTTTTCCTTGGTGCTATGCACCTTGGTGCTACAGCCAGCCCAGGAGCCCTCAGGGGCTGAAGACCCACTCACCTCATCCCATCCTCATCACCAATTGTCAGATCCCGGGATCCAGGTCCACCCCATGTTGCAGTCCGAGGGGAGTGGGTGGATGAGCAGAAGGAACACTCTGGGGGCCATAGTCAGGTGAATATGGTTTTATTCACAGCAGTTTTCATCAACAGCTTTCTCACTAGCAGCTTACTCTTACACTGTTTGCCCTGTCTAGGCTGCCTAAGCCAGCCACCCTCACACACAGCTGTGTGACCGGCTCTCCCTTGCCTTCCGGGTCAGCAGCTTAACTCCTTCTCTCTCAGGGCACAAGCAAGCCAAGCTGTGTCCTTGCTCCCTCCTGTCCAACTACAAGAAGGACAGCGCTGGCTCTCTCTTTCTCTGGGTGCCCATGTGCCCACCACATTAAGCCATGTTGAGCCAAACTGCACCCCAAGAGCCATGTCGCTTGTGCACAGTGTCAACAGGGCAGTTATACCTTTTATAGCCAATAGTGGCTCCAAGCCAAGTATGAACTTACACAAACAGGTTATATAACAAGTGGAGGTGTGCGCAGGTGTGCGCCAAACTCGCTGATTCATGCAGGCACCTAGATATGTGCCTCGGCCTATTCTTTGACCAAAGCACATCCATGTACCTTACACCCACACATCCCAATGGCGAGGACATGACCATCTGTGAACACTGATAGCCATTGTTCTGCCTTTTTGACAGTTTAGAAATTGCCTTCTCTCTGTTCATACAATATAAATGGAAATATGATTGTTGCTAAAACCCATAGTTATTGGGGTAAACAAGATCTGAACAGCATCAAAAGGAACCCAAATGAGTTGCCTATGCAGGCATCATAGCTCATCATTCCCCTATGATTAGTTAACAATTTAAAAGAAAAAATATTAATCATATGTTGTAAGATAAATTCATTAATGTAATTAGGGCCTACTGTATGCCTGGGACAGGGGATAAGATAGAGAAATACAATTACAAATTCTCAGCATCATGAATTTTGTATTCTGTTACAGTATGTAAAGAAAACTAATTGATTTATTCATTTACTTCTTCAACAAATCCTTATTGAATATCTTTGATGTGCCAAGAGCTGTCCTAGCTAGCAGTATTGTAACAGCAAAACAAAGTCCCTGCCCTCATAAATTTATGTTGTGGAATGAGGAGACAGACATATAGTCTAATGTATAGACATATGTTACCTGTAATATGTTTTATGTATTTCTATATATACACACATATATTTTAGTATATCAGGTGGTAATCATTGTTATAAAGAGAAATCAATTAGCATAATAGGTGTTTTGATGATTATCATATAATTTATTAGTCCAATTTATTAAATTATGAGTAATAGATGTTCTGAATTATTATGGCATGAAAATAGGCATAATCTGAGACTATCCTGGGCAGATTAGAAAGTATGGGAATTCCAGCTAAGTGTGCATGTGTTTGTATTTATGTGTGTTTATGTGTTTGTTTAGGAATGTAGCAGAAGTGTTTTTGAACAATGATCTGATGGAACAGAGGGAGACAGCCATGCATAAGTTAAATAAGGAAGGAAAGAAAATTTAGGTAATTGGTAGCACTACAAGCAGTCTTAAAACAGGCTGCTTTTAGTGCTACCTATGCTACAAGTCCTTGTAGTGCTGAAACAAGAGATTGAGGGCTACTTTAAATCAAGGTCGGGAAAAGTCTTAGTAAAAAGGTGACATTTATGTTGGATCTGAGTGACAGGAAGAAACCATCCATGAAAATATCAGGGAAAAAACTTCCATGAGCTTCCTCTTCTAGTTATGGCTGGTAAACTCCCGTTGGACTAACTGTCCTACAGATAACAGCTATAAATTCTAGACAAAATACAAAAAACAATTCCCTGAAGGCATTGGAAAGCAATGGAAACAAGGAAGAATTAAGTTGAGGTTGACCCTAGAAGGAAGGAAATGATACTGAAAGTTATTTTTGTATTCACTGCTTCCAGCCTGAGGGCACGTATCATTCTTGACCTTGGGTATGGAAGTGATGGCTAAAACTTCTACAGAAAACCCATAATGATTCTTGTTTCAAGATCCAGAGGACAGAGCTGGGGCGTTTTACAAGACTTACAAGCTCCAAATGTAAAGTCAATATGCCATGATTTAGAGCAACAGGTGGAATTTACTCTTTCTTAGTGTTTGGGATCTGGTTCCTTTCCTTCTTCTTTCGTCGTTGTAGAAAATACAGAAACTCCAGATAAAGATCACAGTTCCCAAATTCCCTGCAAGTATATATGGTCATATTGCTTCTTTCTTTCTTTTCAACTTTTAAGTTAAAAAAGTTAAAAAGTTAACTTTTTACATAGTAATAGATATCTTATTTACAACAAAATAGTTTTGTTACATAGGTAGATGTGTGTCATGTGGGTCTGTTGGACAAATTATTTCATCATCCAGGTATTAAGCCTAGTATCTATTAGTTAATTTTTTTGATCCTCTTCCTCCTCCCATCCTCTACCCTTTCATAGGCCCCAGTGTGTGTTGTTCCCTTCTATGTGTCCATGTGTTCTCATCATTCGGCTCTCACTTATAAGCAAGAACATGTTGTATTTGGTCTTCTGTTCCTGCCTTAGTTTGTTAAGAATAATGACCTCCAGCTCCATCCATGTCCCTGCAAAGGACATTGATCTCATTGTTTTTTATGGCTGTATAGTATTCTATGTTGTATGTGTATCAGATTTGCTTTATCCAATCTACCATTGATAGGCATTTAGGTTGATTCCATGTTTTTGCTATTGTAAATAGTGCTGCAGTGAACCTATGTGTGCATGTGTCTTCATCATACAACAATGTATATTCCTTTGGGTAAATACTTAGTAATGGAATTGCTAGGTCAAACGGTATTTCTGTCTTTAGGTTTTTGAGGAATCATCACACTGTCTTCCACAATGGTTGAACTAATTTAAATCCCCACCAACAGTGTATAAGTGTTCCTTTTTCTCCACAATCTCACCAACATCTGTTATTTTTTGACTTTTTAATGATAGCCATTCTGGTTGGTATGAGATGGTATCTCGTTGTGATTTTGATTTGCATTACTCTAATAATTAGTGATGTTTAGCTTTTTTTCCTATGATTGTTAGCCACACATATTACTTATTTCTAATTAATGGGATGTGAGTAGAAGTAGTATGACAATGTCAAAAAGTATCCTTGAAGGGTTAAGAGCCGTGTACCCTTCCCAACCTCTGGCTCTGTCCTCATGGCTAAAAAGCGAATATGAAACTGAGGATGAATTCAGCTACCTATCTCTGGCTTTTGCTTAAGTAAAAGAGAAATACATTTTCATTGTTAATACCCTATTATTAGGGACCCTCTGCTACTCACAAACAAAACCCCTGTTTTTACTCATTCTTAAATTATTCTCATGTTGCTTTTATTAAATCAATTATAAATGCTAAGAATAAAATTATAATTATTTTTCTTCAATTCCTTCAATGAGCATTGTGGTTCTGAAAATGCTATATTCCAGAGAAAATGCTGTAATGATTTAGAACAAAATGATTCGTAACTTTTTAATATACATAATATACATGCTTATTGCCTCTAAAACCTTTACAAACACATATAGCATATACAAAATGTTTGCTCTTTCGAGATGCTATGTTTGTTTGTAGCATGCTATGTTGAATGTATGTAGCATGGTGGAAATCTCATAATAAGATATCTCTATTATGTGATCATTTTCCTGGAATTGCAGAGTAGGACCTTAAATTTGTTACTGTATATTATTTCGTTTAATAGTCAAGGTTTTCTGGATATTATACAATGAAATAAAAATACAGGAATAAATAGTAGATTGGTATGTTAGTAAAATTGCCACGATCATCTACAAGCCATGATTTCAGAGATATTCCTGTTTGTCAGAGTAACTTCAGAGTTTCCATGGGAGAGCTCAGTAATGATCTGAATTTATAAACATTAAATTTAAAAAATAAATACAGTAATAAGATACTCCTTTGCTTGTTTCACATAGTAGGACTTCTAGTAAGATTTTGTGTTAATTATGTTTTCCTATGAAGAATTTAAAAATCATAGAGGTAGCATAGAATAAGTCTTAAACTAAAATGTATCCAATTTTTACCTGATCAAAAACAGGTTTAATATAGAACAAATTTAAAGGATTAACTTTTTAAGAGAAAAGATTTTGTTCTTGAACATTGCAATATTCATGTAATATGTTTATATATTAAACTTAAAAATGTGGCTTCTTTTAAACCATGTTGATTATGCCAAATCGATAAAGTACAGGGTAGTTATATTACATTACTTGTAACGAGTATAAAAGGAGTCGTTTGAATGATTTAGTTAACCTATTAAATAAGCAATCTCGGTGCAAATTTTTCTAAGAAGTTGCCAAAACCTAGTTATGTCCTTTAAGGCATTCTATAATTATCTCCCAGATCCCCTTTCAGATAGCCTCTGGCTACATGCTACACGATGACTGTTTCCATTTTGCACAAACGGTTATTAATAAAAGCTAAATCATCTTTTTCTCCACACATCAAAATCTCAAAGAAATCAGGGTTATCCATAGTGAATCATCATTTCATAAAAACTGATGGATCCATGATGGTAACAAAGTCCTTTTAAATTGTTGTCAGCTAGCTGCCTTTTTAAGTAAAGGGAAGTTAAAGCACATTATCCTAAATTACTTCCTCTTGGAAATGCTACAGCTTTATATTTGATATCACTTAAATCAATTAGGCAGCTGTAAGCGTATTCCTTCTTTTTTTTTTTTTTTTTTTTTTAGACAGAATCTCACTCCGTCACCCAGGCTGGAGTACAGTGGCACAACCTCAGCTCACTACAACCTCTGCCTCCCGGGTTCAAGCAATTCTCCTGCCTCAATCTCCCAAGTAGCTGGGATTTCAGGAACCCGCCACCATGCCCAGCTAGTTTTTGTGTTTTTAGTAGAGACGGGGTTTCATCATGTTGGCTATGCTGGTCTCAAACTCCTGACCTCAGGTGATCCACCCGCCTCGGCCTCCCAAAGTGCTGGGATTACAGATGTGAGCCACCGCTCCTGGCCAGCTGTAAGCATAGTCTTTTGAACAACTTAAAGTCATAGCTGGGGTATACATTTTATTTCTTTCATGAATGCTCTGTCTGACATTGAAGTTGAGAAGGAAATGACAGTGTTTCCAGTGTAACTATTCACTCTGGGTCAATTCAGTTTCTCAATGTGCTGTTGCTTCCTTCTGACGTGGTCAATGCTAACTTTTCTCTCATCGAATATTCCCTGAGAACTAAATAAAAAGAATGGCATGGGATAAATATTAACTAATTAATTAATTAAGCCTCAGGTCTTGGAAGTCCTTAACATTATGATGGGAATGTGAACACATCTCAGTGATTTTGAGAGTAAAAAAAGAGCAAAGCTTGCCAAGCTCCACTAAAATATGGAAAAAGGAAGCATTTGTGCTTCTCTAGTTCATTGTAGCCAGCGTGCTTTGTATTTCTGCCCCAAAGAAGGTTGTCTTAAATTTATGAGGATTTAACCCCCTGATTCTGTCCATTGGAAAAAAAATCCCTGTTTCTGTTCATTTATCAGGTTCTGCCAGCCTAATCATTCTTTTAACATGTTAAAAATAAAGGCTACAGAATAAGCAGAATAAAGACCTAATAATCAGTTGAAATTATTATTTTAAGAATGCATAAGACATTGTTGTGTTTGACTAGCATCCACTTGTAATGAATATGCAATGACAATTTTGAATGACAAACGTTCTGTTTTGAAAATTCCAGTCACGTCTCTAATAGATCATTCTGATTATTCATAAGAAGGTAGGTAAAACTGGGTAAAATCAAGTAATGTGATGTTACGAAGTGCTAATGGGTGAATCTTTGATAAGCAAGGAAGACATGTCTACATTTTTTGGTAAGACAATTAACAGCCAGATTCTAAATCTGTTTTTTTCAGGTCTGCTTTTTGTTGGTATGTTATTATTGTGCTTTGGTACTTTAGAGAAAAGAAAAAAAAACTTTTCTTAAAAAAATTGAAGACCTAGATAATAAAATATAAAATGTCTTTTTATTTTTCTCACCCTCAGGGTTTTTTAGCCTCATATATGTATTAATCTGTAAGGTCAAATAGCTCATAATGTGTTTTACTGAAATAAATACTGTTTGATTCCTTCTAGGACATGTGCACACCCAAAAATGTCTAACAAAGCATTCTTGAATAACCTCTAGTGGGCATTAGTTAAATATATTATGATCACAGTTATTTGAAATATGGGAAAAATAATTTAAAATAAAAAATGGCCAATGTGTGCCTTACAGGTAGGCAATGGGATGTAATTTTAAAGTGTTGGTGAGAAATGGAAAACCTTTGAAGCTAAGTGGAAGCTGATGAGGACTCTTTATCTTATAAACACATTGTATTTATTAAGCCCCCATGGCTTTCTGAAGCATAACTAAAAGAGGATTATAATTCTATCCTACCAAAGTAACTTATATTCTACTCCAGAATGCAGTTAGTTTAGGTGATGATATTCTCTCATAGATAAACGGAGTTCATAAGCAATTCAGACCTGTCCATAGGGCTGATAGAACTGAATATGTTCTTAAATTGAAGAAACATCCTAGTTAGAGTATAAGATGCATGTTTTACGTGAGTAGGCTACATTCCAACATTGCCTAAACATGCCTTTAATTTTTTTTTTAAAAAAACATTCTTTTCCTTCAGAATGAAAAAGTCTGCTTCCATTTATTTCAGGTGACTGGAAGACAATGAAGCAGAAGGAAAAATTTAACACCGGCACGGCACTGTCTTGGAGCTAATCGTTTTTCACCAAACACACACATGTAGCAGCAAAACATCCTTAAAATGTAAAACATCTTGGTTTTTTAATAACCCCTTGTGGTATGTTTTTACTTTAGCAATAATTGTATTTTCTTTTTTGCACATTTTATTTAACAACATTGCAGTGCCAGATAATCGGTTCCATGTGTTCAGGGCACTAGCAAAGTGCCTAACGGAGAAACAATTAACTTTATTGGGCTCCTGTTATTGGCAGACACAGCCTTACACCCTTACTTGTTCATGGTGCTCAGCCACATATGAGCTGCAAAGAATTTGGTGTCCTAAGTAATCATGCAGCAACCTGAATTTAGAGCCAAGTTATCATTAAAAAAAAAAAATCATGATCATGAACTAGAAACAGAAGTTAAAGTCCATGACAAGATCCGAAGATAAAGTTCACTTCAGTAACAAAAAGTGCAATGATTAGTCCAGGGCCTGGAGCCAATGGTTGATGAGCAAACTTGGACTTTTGCTAAAGAAGAACATGCAGTATGATTTGAAGCAAATATGAGCACTGTGACCGTAATGCAAGCTTAGCTCTTTCAGTAATAGGCACTGAAACAATGGTTAAATGCAGTTAAGTGCAAGGAGCAACACAGTTAGGTTTTATCAAACATTAACACTTGTACTGGAGAGTCCATAAAATTCTAATTGGCCTCTTCTGCGGAAAGCAGCCCCAAGAGGTTCTTTATGTACAAAGCAGCTCTGACTCATGCCATGAGTGCTGTGAGAAAATAAACCCTGCTAGCGTAGCTGCCATTGATTTGTCCAGGGAATGATGCTCAAGCCACAGAAAGGATAAATAGGTCGGGCATGTGGTAGCACAACTACCTCTGCAATGGCACAGCCTAAAACTCGGCATTGCGTTGGACAAATGGACCTGAACAAATTGTCTCTTATGAAAAGTGAGCACGGCAAGTATAACTGGGCAGGGAATATCATTTGGGCTCAGATAATATCCTAAATAAATCTGAGATATGAGTCTGTTTCTTCATGAAGCATATGATCTATCTCAGGCTGAGAAGGGCACCTGGAGTGCATGTTACCCTACCTTTGTTGTGTACTCTTATTTTTAAAAAAATCTCTCAATATAGGAAATAAGCTGAAAAGTTCTCTTTTCTTTCAGAATTTACTTAATACACATTATGTCTGCAAGGCATTCATCTGGGCCTTGGCAGAGAAAAAACTGTCAATGAATGGACCCATAAGATGGGACTGTAGAGTCCAAAGGAGGGAAATGTTTGGAGAAAGTCTCATTCACCCCAGTATGTTTTGCTCTGCTGATTCCTTCACAGTTGGGAGCAGCACAACATTCAAAGCAACTTTGGGGAATTTAGACAGCTGAAAGAATACTGGCAGGTAAAGGAGGAATAAAGAGGTGGTGAAGACATATTTTTATCCTGCTTTGTTCCTCTTGAGCACTACTAGTGGGCACATAATATATTTCATTATTTAAGAACAAGAATTACCCTTTTATTGTTAGAAATGACACTTGTGACCTATACTACTATTTCTGGAAGTGTGACCCCACTGAACTCTAATATGCTTGGAGATGATCCAAAGATTTTTCCTGTGAATGCTGAAATTAACGGTCTTTCCAAAGTTAAGAAAAATAATTCATGGGTAAAATTATTTTAGTTTTAGAGTTTTCCACGAGTTAACCTTGAATAGTCTGTACCTATCATGTATGTTTGAGTCACAGTTGTTGAAATCAGACTTGTGATATGATTACACATGTAGTTTCATTTTTTGTTTTTTATTTTTAGGATACTAATATTCCATAATACTCTACATATGAGATTTCCAAGTTGTGGTCACTATGAGAATATGAGGCTCAGACTATCCCTCAAGAGAGGGTCTGCTGACAGGATTATAGGAGGCTGATGTCCTCCAGCTGCCTCATCTTGGGAATGTAAGCCATACTCCCTCTGTCCCTAAGCACAATGTGGGTACTAGTGTACACGGTGAGGGTGCCAGAGCTGAGCCATTCCTTTTAAATGCAGGACTCCACTTACAGGCCATTTTTTCTCTGGGGATCCTCATTAGCCTGGCTGAGATTTTCTCAGAGCTGCACAAGCTTTCCCACCCTACCCTTCTTCCTTCCCTCTCTCCTTTCACAGACCTGTGTCTGCCAACTTCTAGTCTCTCTTCATTTTCTCCATCGAAGGTGTTTCTCCAATAAATCTTCTTCATATCTAATTTCATCTTGACATCTTTTTCATAGAGGAATTAAATCAATACTCTGATACTCAGGTATTCTTTCTCAGTTTTAAGAATTACCTATCTGCAGTATAAGTTTCGAAAAAAAGGATGAGGCCCCGCATGGTGGCTCACGCCTGTAATCCTAGCACATTGGGAGGCCCAGGTGGATGGATTGCTTGAGCTCAGAAAATCGAGAACAGCCTGTACAACATGGTGAAACCCTGTTTCTACAAAAAGTACAAAAATTAGCTGGGTGTGGAGGCGTGCACCTGTGGTCCCGGCTACTCAAGAGGCTGGGGTAGGAGGATCACTTGAGCCTGGGAGGTGGAGGTTGCAGTGAGCCAAGATTGCTCCACTGCACTCCAGCCTGGGAAAGATGGTCAGGCTCTGTCTAAAAAAAAAAAAGTAAAAATGACATTACTCTATACTATTGAATAAGCTGTTACTTGAAGAAAATTGAAAAAATACCTAATGCCACAAATAACTTCAGATGGACTGGTACAGACTAGTTACAGCAAGAAAACATTTTAAAAGAAATATAGGGATATATATATATATATATATATAATATAGGAATATAATATTCAGAGTCACAGGGCTGGAAAACACATTATAGAGGGATCCAGAGTGTCTAAGTGTCTAATTTAAATAAAATTCTCTATCATATACCAAAATAAGATGTAGCTTTCATACCTTAGCAGTCTCCTATAAGTAACTGATCCTCATTTCTATGAGATATTCTATCAAGGAAAATAATAAAATGCTTTACATGTTATCTATGTTTACCAACATCCTCATAGTTACACAGTAGTTACACATGAAGTATACTCATATCCCTAGACATAGCATGGCTTATAAACAAGTTCAGCTTAAACTGTCTGCCATAAATCTTTACTATGACACAGAGTTACCCAAATAGTTACATCACCATGTTTAGAAATTTTTCTAAGTTATTAGGGTTGGTCCTGGCTCATAGTTTAGTATTCTCTCTCTTCAGCCACCGATACCATTTTTTTCTGAAAGTGGATCTCATTAAGCATAACTCTCTTCTCAAACTACTTCACCCTCTATCTGGAGAAACGATCTTACTTAAACTCCTGTGATTCTTTAAACAGATGAAACATGCACTAAATCTGTCTCAAAATGAAGTGCCTAAACTAATTAAGCTAAAAATATTCTTAAATTCTCTTGGTCTTCTCTTCCAACCACCCGGAAGACATTGGGGTTTCTAGCAGCCCCAGGAAAACAAGAATCTTTTCTTATCCTCAGGGTGATGTGAGAAGGGAAATTGATTTCATATTATATTTAGCACTTCATTGATTCTGTCTCCCCTGTTGAGAGACCCTGTTAGGACTAAACAAAAGACATCACTTTTATGAACTGCCTATAACTCTATGTCTTTGTTGGATTATGGAAAAGTCTGCCAGTGTGGAAAGCTCGAATTCAGAGTGCTCAGTGAGGCTTGCCCAGTGGAGTCCAACTCAGTAAATCATATCTGACAGCCTTTTGTTAAAGAACTTTCTCAACGCTCACTGTGTCCCCCTGTACTGGCCCCAGTAGCTCACCCCCACACCATACCCACAGCTATTGGAACTTGCATTGGTATTTACTCAGGACGATTTCATGGTCCTTGCCAGCACTGACTTACCTAATACTGAAGAGCCTAGCTATAGGCCCCAGTCTTTGCAAAGAATTTAAAGAAGCCTCAGAAGTCTTTTTGTTGGATTTGTTCTACAGTGATGGCACTTGCAATTTTCTTTTGGCCTCTTGCTGGTAAGAGTTCGGTCATGAATGAAGGAAGATAAAACTCAAATGTTACTGCTTTCCACGCACTATTTCCACTACCTTTTGATAGTAATAAAGTGATGCAAAAATAACGCATGCCCTTGTAGAGACTCAGAAACCATTTCACCATGGCCGCTTTTATACATCTCAATAGATGAGATTGTCAGTGACTCCAGTTAAGGTGCCACCAACTGTACTTAAGTAGGTTATAAAGTGAAAATTATTTCCTTGAGTATTATTTTTTATAGCCACTAATATAGTGACTTTACCTCTACCTGGATACGTGAGGAAATATGGTCACTCTAAAATTTCTACACATCTCTCAGTCCCACCTCTCACCCTTGATGTCTGTTTGTAGAGGAAAACAGACCCCTGTATTTGTCTTTTTCTGTTTGTTTGTTTTTGTGTTTTTTTGGAGATGGAGTTTCACTCTTGTTGCCCAGGCTAGAGTGCAGTGACACAATCCTGGCTCACTGCAACCTCCACCTCCCGGGTTCAAGCGATTCTCCTGCCTCAACCTCCCAAGTAGCTGGGATTACAGGCACCTGCCACCACGCCCGGCTAATTTTTTGTATATTTAGTAGATATGGGGTTTCACCATGTTGGCCAGGCAGGCCAGGCTGGTCTCGAACTCCTGAACTCAGGTGATCCACCTGCCTCAGCCTCCAAAAGTGCTGGGATTGCAGGCATGAGCCACTGCGCCCAGCCTGCCTGTATTTGTCATATTGCCATTTCATCTTACATATCAGCAATATCATCTTTGTAGTCTGTGAAAAGCTGTGCCCGCTGTCTATACTTTTTCAAACAAGTCATATCCACCTAACTTTATGTTAAAGAGCTGCTTTAATCTTCATATGTATGTAGTTTTAGCATCACCAGACCCATCGTAAATTACCAATATTCTCAGATTTTATATACATACAACAGTAAAATAGTTTAACTCGTCTTTTTCTAAAAGAGCCATTTCAGAAAAAGTATTGTTAAAGAATGGAAATTGTAAACCCTGTGATCATAGACCAACGTGGTAAAGATATTTGAGACAGTTTTTCCAAAACAGTTTGCTCTTGTTGAAAAAAACATCAATATAGATGAAAGTTAGACGGTAATATTGTAAGTTGGTTAGTTCTTAGGTGGACAGGAAAGCTACAGACACGCTCCATGAGCGTGGTTTCCTGTGCTCATAGCTCCCTGTCTATACCCAAATTCTTAATGCTATAGTTTGTCTCTCCTTTCAGCTTTTTTACATAATGAAATTTGTAACAATAAAATTGCACAGGGCTGGGCGCGGTGGCTGTCTATAATCCCAGCACTTTGGGAGGCCAAGGCGGGCGGATCACGAGGTCAGGAGATGGAGACCATCCTGGCTAACACGGTGAAACCCCGTCTCTACTAAAAAAATATAAAAAATTAGCCGGGTGTGGTGGCAGGTGCCTGTAGTCCCAGGTACTCGGGAGGATGAGACAAGAGAATCACTTGAACCCAGGAGGCGAAGGTTGTAGTGAGCCGAGATGGTGCCACTGCACTCCAGCCTGGGCAACAGAGCGAGACTCCATCTCAGGACCAAAAAAAAAAAAATTGCACAGAAGCCAAAAACATACATAATGGATTTAGTTAATGCCAGTTGGCCAGGAGGGAATCATAGAGTCTCTCTTTGAATTTCAGGAGTTCTGCATTAAAGGCTACATTGAGAAAATTACCTTCATAATTTGGACTGAGAAATACTGAGTATTTTAGGCTTTTTTTTTTCTTAAATTGTCCAGTCTTTCTCTCTCCATTAATTTAATAATATAAGAGGTATTTAATTTCTTTGCCACTTCTAACAGTAATTGCACATCAAGGACTGAATTAGGACCATTTCTGTTGAATCAACATCACCACCAAGTATCAGGTCCCTAAATGGTCTGCTGCCCCAAATAAAAGCCTTAGAATCCAAATGGAAAAGGTAAAATTCTGATTTTGCACTTAGCCATTGTAACATTGGGAAAGCCACTTAACCTGTTTAAGCTTCATGGGGCTGAAGAATCATACCTGTCACCCTGACTAACCAGGTTGTTACTGAAATGAATGAGATAATCTACAGGGAAGTAATTTTTTATATGTCATGTAAATATCACGTTATATTTATAGAAAATACATTTTGTATTGTTCAAATACTAAATAATCTCAAATCTTTTTTTTTAACTATAATCACTCTTTCTCCATCTCTAGAAGTGCTTTGCAGTTTTAATAATCAGGAAGGGAAAAACAACTTAAAATGTTGTGCATTATATTAAAAATAAAGTATGTTGAATTGTTGTTTAAAGCAGACCATGAACCGAATCTTCCCTGCAGCCAGTTTTTGTAAATACAGCTTTATTGGACTGAAGCTACACCTATTCATTTACATATTGTCTATGGCTGCTTCCAAACTCCAAGGGCAGAATTCAGTCATGGCAACAGAGACCATATGGCCTGCAAAGCCAAAAATATTTACTATCTGGCCCTTTACAGAAAATTTTGACCAACTCTTGGATTAATAGCACAAAAAGGGAACAAAGCAGTTTCATTTAAAAATGCCCTTTGCATCTATTAAATATTTTGTAGATTTGTACTTTAAAGATCTTGCTAAAGCTATTGGGAGTCGGTGAGAAAATGCATGGTGTTACACACACATAAAATGTGTGTTTGCCTGAAAATGTGCACCTTGTCTGACTGCAAATTTGGTTACATTCAATGGCTTAAATATTCTGACACTGAGCCAGAAGGATTCCATGGTGATACTGAAAGCAGTGCCTGCCTCACAAATGAAACCAATTGCAGCTGTCAGCCACTGTCACTTTGGCTTAATTATTAAAATAAAGACAACTGGTTTTGAGCACACAGAACATTGGAGATGTGAAGATAATTGTTATGAAATAATTCTGCCTAGAAAACTAGTAACAGTACATGATTTTTATTGTGTGCCTGTCAGTGCAAAAATCTGACTGTCAAGCCCACTTTAAATATGGACACAAATAATAGGAGGTTGGCCTGCGCCTTTGAATTGGTAAACTGAAAAAAGAAACACACACACACACACACACACACACACACACACCTGCAAAGGAGCAGGCAAATAACCTTTAAGTGCAGTGCAGAAACACTATTTCTTTAAATGAAAAACTCTATAAAAAAAGAGAGATTTTGTAGGGGTAGAATTCTGTACAGTTATTTCAACATTGGGAGAGTATCTGTCCTTGGCTTTTTTTTTTCTTTTTTTTTTTTTTTTCCCAGCACAGATGTTCATCTGCATCCCATCTGATCTGAATATTCGGCTTTCTTGGCACACATCTCTTTATCTCCACTGTGCGTTCTTCCTCTGGGCCAAACTCCAGTGTCACAGATGTGCAGAGAGAGAAAGGAAAGAGAATATTAGGGATAGAAAGGCTGAGCTCAAATTAATCAACAGGTCCTTATGAGTACTGTTTATTTCCCTAAATTCCCACCTGCGCTGTTACAATCTAATAGCCAGACAAATCTGGCGACAAATCTCCAATCTGTGAAAGGATTTTTTATAAATTTATACCTTACGGAAGTAAGCCTTATAAAAGCTGAGCTCAGGATAAACCCATCCATAAATGCTTTATGTATTTACTTATTTTGCATAAAAGTGGGGATCCTAATTCAAAATTTAGTGTTCCTTGCAGTAAATTTGAAAATCTGATACAATCAAGAGAATCATACTTTTTAAATGCCACTTCTTGAATCTAACACTGGAAGTATCAAAGAATCATTTGCCATTCTTCTGTTCTGGTGGATGAAATGCCCTAGGCAGTGGCTATTTACTCAACATTCATACATTTTGACTTTTCTGATCTCTCATCCAACCAGTGAAAATTTCCAAGTAGCTCTATTTTTTTGTTTAAAGAGATATTTGAATTTTCTCAATGCACACATTTGTGCTATACGTGATTATATATTAGTCTTGTTATGTTTTATTATGTTGTCTGCTTTTTTATCCCCTACAATAAGACTTAGCAATTTTTCCTTCTGTAAAGGTGAAATATGATCTCTGTTGAAACTCAATTTGTAATCGTAGGACCAAAGTAGTCATAGATAATATATAAATGTACAGACGTGGCTGTGTTCCAATAAAACTTTACAATACAGTCAGTGGGCTGGACTGAGCCCCACAGGCCATTGTTTGATGAAAATTACTGTGCTAGATTCTATGTTTTTGAGGACAGTTTATTTTCCTGGAAACTACTTCCATCAATTAATACTTTCCTTCAGCCTGAAGAACTTTTTCCAGCATCCTTAAAATGTTGATGACCATTAATTCTCTCAGCTTTTGTTTGACTGGCATTGTCTTCGCATCTCCATCATTTGTGAAGGATATTTTCACTGAGTACAGAATTTCAGGTCAATTTCTGTTTTTCTTCTGTTACTTCATATTTGTTGTTCGATTGTTTTCTAGCACCCATTACTACGGATAAGAAGTCAACTGTTTTTATAAAATCGTTCCCCGAATTGTGATCTGTTTTGTTTTGTTTTGTTTTTGCCTTTGGCACATTATAAAATGTTTCTTTATCTTAGCTTTTTATGATAGCAGTATAATTTTGATATGTCTAGATATGAGTTTTTTTTGTATTTATTCTTCTTGGCATTTATTGAGCTCCTTGGATATGAAAGGTGATTTTTTTTTTGCTTTTACAAGAGGAGGAAATTTCTTCAAAAAAATATTTTCTGCCCCTTCTTTTTCTCCTTCCTAATACACCACTGCCTGTGTGTTAGACCACTTCATATTTTTGCATAGGTCACTGAGGCTCTGTTAATTTTATTTATTTTTCTTTTTAATTGCTTTTTAAAGTTATGTATATTTTATTTAAATAATTGTAACAAATAATAATTGTATATATTTATGTGGTACAGTGTGATCTTTTGATACACACACACAGTGGAATAATTAAATCAAGCTAATTAACATATGCATCACCAAACCTACTCATTCTTTTGTAGTGAGAACCTTTAAAAATCTACTCTCAGCAATTTTTAAATATGTTATACTGTTATTAACTATATTCACCAGTTTCAGTTAGACAAAAGGAATAAGTTCTGCTAATTTTCTGTCAATCTTTTTCTCTCTGTATTTTAAAATATATATCTTCTGTTGATCTGTTTTTAAGTTGACAAAGCTTTTTTTGTAATCAGCGTCTAAACTGCCCTTAAACCCAGTTTTTTCTTTTTAATTTTAGATTTTGGACTCCTCAGTTCTATAATTTCAGTTTTTTTTTAGTTTTAATTTATCTATTGAGTTTTCTCATCTGTTCACTCATTGTCACTTTTTTTTTTCCTTTAGGTCCTTGAACTTTAAATGGCTTTATCAGTTAATTACAATATCTGGGATATTGCATGATCTATTTGTATTGACTTTTTTTTTAAAGTCACATTTTCGCTGGTTTTTTTTTTTTCACATGCCTAGTAATTTGTATCATATTCTGGACATTACAGTGATGTGTTATAAGACATCTGGATTGTGCCAACTTTCTTTCTTGACAATATGTTCAATAATGGCAGATCCTACTGTCATTGTGAAGCTTGATTTTATTATTTTTTATGACATAATGATTTCAATTTTAAGTTGATACTTAGGATGTGGGCTTTATTTTAGAATGTAGTCTTTATTAATAGTTATTAATTTTCTTGGATCTCACTTGAATATATTAGTTTATTAGAGAGGTTTCTCTACTCTTCCTGGACCAAAATTCTATCATCCATGCTTAAAAGGCCTTTGGTATCATGATTCTGCCATCTTCTCTGTAAGAAAAAATTTCTGCTGTCTCACAGTTTTTTATCCTATGCCTGTACAACTTCTCTCAGTCAAGATCCCATGGTAAATTCTCATGCAGACTTCTGGGTCCTTTACTTTATGTAGCCCCTATTTTCTGTGATCCTGCTCAGCAAATTTCAGTTGTTTTAGTGGCCTGGAACTCATATTTGCCTTATCAGCTCAGAGGTATTGCTTCACTACTTGAGCTCTAATTTGATCTGCCTTGAGGTATGAACATATCCCCAGGCAGAGAGACAGGGAATATGTTTACCTTCTCTTAAGAATTGGAGGCCGGGTTTGGTGGCACACACCTGTAATCCCAGCACTTTCGGAGGCCGAGGTGGGCAGATCACCTGAGGTCAGGACATCGAGACCAGCCTGGCCAACATGGCGAAACCCCATCTCTACTAAAAATACAAAAATTAGCCGGGCATGGTGGCATACACTTGTAATCCAAGCTACTTGGGAGGCTGAGGCAGGAGAATTGCTTGAACCCAGGAGGCAGAGATGAAGTGAGCCAAGGTTGCGCCACTGAACTCCAGCCTGAGCGACAGAGCAAGACTCTGTCTCAAAAAAAAAAAAAAAATTGTAGACTTGAATTTCCTGTTATCCAATGCCTGAAAACCATTGGTTTCTATATTTTGCTACTATTTATACTTTTTTTTTTTACTGTGGACAGACAAGTCATGAACAAAAAATTAAAGGAGGATCTAGTACCAAATTGTCAATTAATATTCATCTGAAAACAGATGAAATATAAAGAATGCATCTATGTCTAAAAAGTGGTAAGAAATTTAAATGAGAAAATCTAAATTAAAAAATATTGTGATGAAGTGAGAAATCTCACTAGTTATTAAAAAACAGACTTTTTCAAAAAAAGACATACATGCAGTCACCAAGCATATGAAGAAAAGCTCAGTATCACTGATCATTAGAGAAATACAAATCAAAACCACAATGAGATACCATCTCACGCCAGTCAGAATAACTTTTATTAAAAAGTCAAAAAATAACACATGTTGGTGAGGTTGTGGAGAAAAGAGAATGCTTATACACTGTTAGTGGGAGTGCAAATTAATTCAACCATTGTGGAAAACAGTATGGTGATTCCTCAAACTGCTAAAAGCAGAACTATCATTCAACCCAGCAATCCCATTACTGGGTATAAACCCAGAGGAATATAAATCATTATACCATAAAGACACACGCATGTGTATGTTCACTGCAGCATTTTTCACAATAGCAAAAACATGGAATCAACTCAAATGCCCATCAACCGCAGATTGTATAAATAAAATGTGGTACATATACACCATGAAATTCTATGCAGCCATAAAGAATGAGATCATGTCTTTTGCAGGAACATTGATGGAGTTCGTGGCTATTATCCTTAGCAAACTAACACAGGAATAGAAAATCAAATACTGCATGTTTTCACTTATAAGTGGAAACTAAATGATGGGAACTCATGAACACAAAGAAGGAAACAACACACACTGGGATCTACTTGACGGTGAAGGGTAGGAGGATGGAGAAGAGCAGAAAAAATAACTGTTGTGTACTAGGCTTAATACCTGGGGCATGAAATAATCTATGCAACAAACCCCTATGACATGAGTTTACCTATATAAAAAAACTTCCCAGGTCCCCCTGAATCAAAAATAAATGTTTAAAAAAGCAAAAAAAAAAAAAAAAACCTCACACTTTTAGTCTTTTCAGATAGCTTGCTGAGTGTTTATGAGCAAGTTGAGTAATGAGAACATAAATTTTTGTGTCTGTATTTGCAAAATGATTATCATATACCTGTCCTATCTGCTACATAGGCTTTTAGATATGACATAGCATAGTTTTTACAGGGATAGCTAGACTTATAATCTCACTACTACAAGATTTTGGACAAGTTATCTATCCTCTCTGATCCTCATTTTTTTCTATAATTGGGATAATAGTAATTGTCTCATAATGATATTAAATATTAAAATAAATAATTTTTGATAATTCACTTATAATAATTGGTACATGGTAAACACTCAAGAAATGTTGACTATTATATCAATATACTATTATATGAGTATCGTAAATATAAATAATTATATTAATAAAGTTGTGATTGCAATAAATTACAATGTATAAGAAATAATACAATGATAAATTGTTATTAATACTACATTGTATAATCATAAGACTATTTTCTTATATTTGAAACAACAAATGAAAGTAAACATTTTAAAAATTTATTCTTCTTTAGTCAGGTGAGGTGGCTTATGCCTGTAATCCCAGGACTTTGGGAGACCCAGGTGGACGGATCGCTTGAGTCCAAGAGTTCAAGACCAATCTGGGCAACATGGTGAAACCCTATCTCCAAAAAAAAATACAAAACAAATTAGCCGGCCATGGTGGTATGCGCCTGTGGTCCCAGGTACTTGGGAGGCTGAGGTGGTAGGATGGCTTGAGCCCGGGAGGCGGAGGTTGCAGTGAGCCAAGATTGCACCAGTGCACTCCAGCCTGGGTGACACAGTGAGACACTGTCTCAAAAAAACAAAACATAAAACAAACAAATAAACATTTATTCTGCTTTGATTCTGGCTATCTACATATATAATTAGACCCTAACCTATCAAAAAAGAATTTTGATACTACTTATCAAATAACGGAAGTCCTTAGAAAAGTATCTGAAAGACAGGCAAAGCAACCAGGGAGGAAACCACAGGGTACTGAGTAAAATCATCACAAACAATAAGTAGGTAACAGCCAAAAAAAAAAAAGAGAAATGCTTTATTAACATACTTAAATTTTAAAATATTGTTTTCTTATATTTTATTACTTCTTAAAGAGTTTTTTGTGTTTATTATTTTTCGGCTCTAGTGATAAGGCTTCAGCTTAAACTATTCTCTAGCTTTCTTATGGAAACACAGAAATTAAGAAAAAAAATAAAAACATTTGGGATCCATTATTGTGCCCTATTTGTCTATTTGAAGTGTGATGCCTCTCCAGTTGTCATGTTGTTATTCTAGTAATTTCCTGTGCTTATTCTCTCAGCTCTCCTTCTCTTTCTCTCTCGCCCTTTTTAAAAAAATAATCCTCAATACTAATTAAAGCAGAACTTTATCACTGAGAATTTCTGAATTACAAGAGAATGCTGAATTTTACAGGATGAGGGAAAAGTTTGAGGTTGCATAAATAAGCAAAAAAAATGCTAACTCACATAACAGAATTGTATGAACACATTCTGATGATCTCTTTTTGTATGGGTTTTGAATTTTGGTTTTGCATTATTGAAAACAATCTTAAGCAGAAGATAGTAATAATAGTGCTAAATAGCTGTTCACTGAAACATTATCTATATAACAAACTTTTGAGGATTAAATGCTAAAAGTAAAAGCAAACTAAAATCTGTGAGAATGCTGAGTTACACGTTGTGTAAGCCAAATAGAATTTAGAACTCATAGGATTCATACAAATTTCACTCGAGACCTCCTAGTTCACAGAAGGGTCAACCTAAAGATCTTGCCAACTGTAGAATAACACTTTAAGAATATGGGAGACCCTAGTAATATGTCTGAAGGAAAAGCTATGGAGTGGCAGTTCCTTGGGCTTCAGTAATCTATCTAAACTTTAAGACTTTAAAATAAAATAATGTACTTTTTTATTTTGGAGAGCCCTGGTTCCTTTGTTTATAGTCGATTTTTAAAAAGTCTCATTAACTTTGTTGTTTTTTGTAGGCAACATCTTTGTTTTGTCAGGTATCCAATGCAATAAGAAGCACTATCCAAGTTTCCAGAAAGTGTGAGCACACACCTTGTAATGATTTAGGGTTGAACTGCCTCTAAGTTTTAATTATGAGTTTAAGACAAAGACTGAAATTGACATTTTGCATTTTCAGCAAGACAGTAAGAACTGCAAATGCTTTATGCTACACTCATTAAATTGTGGCCACTTTGATGAATTAAGTAATAGTAGCAATAATATTTTAATGTTAAATTAAATATTTAAAATGTTAAGACTAACATTTTAATATTATTTTAATTTTAAATAAAAAATATTTAATGTTAAAATATATTTAATACAAGTATATTTGACACTGACATCACATTGTGAAACCACTAACTATGAAAATTCTCTAAATGATATTGTGAAATGGGCATTAATCTTAGTTTTCTCATCTGAAACATGCAGAATACAAAAATGTATTCATCAACACATAACAAATAGCAAAGTCTTCTGATTCCAAACCTGCTTTCTTCTCCCATTTGTCTGTATTCAGCATTGTGATTAATTTCTTTGTAGCATATACAACACCTAGCATAGAAGTATACCCAAGGTGTTAGTAAACATGTGTTGATTGATGCATTTACTTTGATACAGGTAGAAAATGATTGAAACATATGTTTGATTAACAAATACTTATTAAAAACTTGTTATTCAGCAGATTTCAACAACAAAAATAAATTGTTAAGCTCTGTGTGTAGCTGAAGACATGGACAAGAAAGAAAATTATAATGCATATAAAATGTGTTTTGATATAAAGGCAAATATAAGGGTGCCTTGGTACTGTAAAATGAAAATTCAGCTTAGGGATGGGGTTGATTAGGATGCTCTAAGCTGAAGAAATAATATAAAGGAATGCTATATACAGTGGTGCATATGTAAAGGTGAACCAGCGTGTTCCAGGAACAAGTCAGTTTGCTGATATTTAAGGTGCAAGTGGATGAATGGAGAATATGAAACCAGCAGAGAATTTGATTATAAAGTATTAGTGAGCTTTGTTAATACACACATACTTACAGAAATACATACTGCAACAAAAATAAAACACATCAAAATGTTAATAAGGACCATCACTGGATGTCAGAATTGGGGGTGGTTTTTAAATTTTACAAACGTTAAATGTTTGAAAATGTTTTATAAACATGTTACACTGTTTATATTTGTGAAAAGCGATACAGATTATTTAAAATCAGGAGCCAGTGAGACAAAATAAGTACAAGATTAACAACAAAAACAAAAAATAATATGTGGAAAGTACCAGCCAAACTTCAAAACTCAATTGTTTAGAGACAGCAAAAAAAAAAAAAAAAAAAAAAAAAAGAAAGAAAAAAGAAAGAAAGAAAGAAAGAACAGACACAGATGGGGATTGGTGTATATTAGCCCAAAATATTCTGCTTTGAGATAAGGCTTATTTTAAGCTGATTGCAATTTAGGAATAGCAAATACAGAAAAAGCTCTCTGCCCTCCACCTTTCTGTCTAAAAGCGGGGCATAAATTTTCCTTTGTAAACGTAACACAAATTTCCATTTGTAAAGGTATCTTTCTTTTTTGTATCAGAAAGAGGAGGACAACTCTGTCAGTGGAGATACCTCTTATCAACAGAGAAAGCTCTTGAGTCTACATAACACTTCTTAACTAAATAACCCTTATATTCCATTAGTTTTCCTCATACTTACATTTCCACAATTTACATGCCCTGGAAGTTCAGTGCCCTCCCTTCCTTTGTATAGTTACTTCTCCACAATTTATCATCCTTTGTTAAGATGGTATATGAGGCCCAAATTCTAGACATTTCCTTTTGACACATTTCTATGTGAATACCTGTACGTACATATGTAATTCAATCTGTTTTTGTCCTTGCTAATCTATCTTTTGTGAGTTTACCTCACAGGTCCACAACTACTAGATCTAACAAGCTAGAAGTATGAGGATAGTTATCTACTAAACTGCAAAAACATATAATGAGAGAAACAAAGGGAGGGTAAATATGCACATTCCCATTTTTTCAATTAGGCTTGTTGGTGTATCTGGAAATCTAACACAAAAGTCTATGATGCAGAATCTTGGTGAGAAATTCACATACCCATGTGAATAGAAAGGCAGAACAATATTTTGTCACAAGGTCAAAGTTGAGCTGGGGTATCAAGGGATAACTTCATGATGACTAAACTACAATATATGTGAAATAATAGGCACATAAATCTTGTGGTCTAATTTTGAAATCTAACATATAATGAACCTAAAACCCAGAAAATATTAATAATGGCATTTAGAGAGTTGAAAAAAATAAAGTAACTGAAAAGAAAAACTTAAAGTAAGTCTCAAGAGATGAGAGAGGGGGGAAAATATTAAGCAACACTTACAAATACACCAGGTATCGAAAAGCGTAAGACTGGAAGAAAGTTATTTTGTAGGATAGAAAATATTATTAGAAAATGATAGACATAAGAGATTTATCAGGTCATCTGAGAAAATAAAGTGATGAAGGTTTGAATCTCATAAATGAAATTATTAAAGATAACCTTAATAAATATCACAGCCAATATCAACAAATGTCAAAGGACTATATAATATCAATTGTAGAAAATATATTATAATCAAGTGGGTTACTGGATAACATTAATTTTATTAGACAGAAATTTTCAAGATATTTATTACTGTGGAATTTACCCATCATGTCTATGAAAAATAGAGACAGACACATTCAGCATTCAAATAGAAATTACTGAGTCACATTTAAAATACATAAAACCTTTTATATGAAAAGTCAGGCCCTGGTTCACATCTAATGTCCAATTTTTAAGCCATCCATTTGCATTGAGTGCTATTATTTCTTTATTGCTAGGCATGACCATGAGTAAAACACATTTACTTATAATGTGATAAAAACTATGAAAGATGTCATAGCAACCATGTTTGAAAATTAGTTCTAGCCCATTTGATGAAAATTTCCATTATTGTAATAAAGAAATAGGTTCAAATTCCTAACTATGGAGGCATATGAGGGAAGTGTGGATGTTTCCTGTTATACATTAAAATAAGCTCCCTTTTTGTACTCAAAAAGAGATTGCTAAGGTTAAGATGCCTATATCTGGGGATTATTTCATTCCAGGTCTCTGATTCAATTAACAATTTCTTCTAATAACAATGGCAAGAATAATTATATCCAATATTTATTGTAGACTCACTGTGGTCAGGCATTAATCTAAGCTTTCTAAATAAGTGTGATCAGTTAGTGTGCATGTCTTTCAATTCTCACAATAATTAAAAGAGATACATGCTATGATTTTCACAGTTTTAAAGGGCAAAACAAAAAAAAAATCAAATAACTTTAAATCGAGTAAGTTAGTTGAGTTGAAACTCAGACCCAATCAACACTTAAATTCATGGTTTTCATCATATATCATACCTCCTCCTCACATATTAGGAACTTTATAATACTAAAAAAATTAGAAATAACCTCTCCAGGAAACAGAGTTGGAAATAATTGGCCAATACAAATAATTCTATCACTCAGCCTAATACAAACTGCTCAGGATATTAAAAGACTTATTTAGAAACGGGCCAGTTGTATATGTCCTTACAAATTTAAGCAGTGCACACATGCCATATGTGTGCGTGTGTGTGTGTGTGTGTGTGTGTGTGTGTGTCTGTATGCAGGGCAAGGGTCTTCTCTTTTTTTTCTTTCTTTTCTTCCTTATTTTCTCCAGGCAAGAGTTTGATGCCAAGCCTGTTTACAAAGTTCAGCTTTGGGGTCGTGAGAATTTTGCTGCAAACAACTGGCAGTTTTATGTTCCTGAGACTCACAAAGTTTTCATCCTCTTCCTGGTCTTTCTTTACCATCATGTCTCTTAACCTCTTTTTCTTGACCTGCCCCAACTATTGTTTAGAATCATATAGGGGAAATCTGGACACAGAAAGCTAGAAATTCAACTTATTACCTGAATTTTATTGCTGGAACACATTTGACAATATTTCAGTCAATTTTTCCTGTAATGGGATCTATTCAGGCAGTCAGATAATAGTCTCCTTTTGAGCAAGCTAGATCTCTGGAGATAAATATAATACAAGTATTAGAGAGATATGGCTCTATAGAGGTTTTTCTACAATCAAACAAAAAAAAAGTAATGAGAAGGGGATAACTTAGTAGTCTTAAATATGATTCCCTGTTTTGTGTCAGACTTACTTCACACACAAATCAGTAAATTGTGATTTCAATTGATAACTTCAAAAATAATAAAGAAATTCTCATGGAAAGAATGGTCTCTGTAAGACAGAGATCTAGAAGGAAGTCTTTCTTAACTAAAGGTCAGGCCACAATTTCCGGCACTGGGTATATTGTACTCTCAGGCAATTCATGACTTCAAGACACCAACTAGCTTTCAGGAGTAAAAACAAACAAACAAAAAACTGAATAGACGGTCTTCAACATACATGCAAACTGTTTTGGATTTGTTTTTACACTAGCTGTTTGAAACTTGGAACATGTTTTTCCCATGAAAACAATAATATAAATTGTGGCTAGGTTCTTAAGATACTTAAAAAGAAGGCTATTTAACTAATAATGTCTTTGAAATAGAGCACAAATGGCATTAACCGTACATCCAGTTTGCGGTTACAAGTGAGTATGGGGAACCACTGAATGAAAGAATATGGGAAAAGAAATTTTTCCCATTTTGATATGCAGTACTGAATCATCTATAGATATAGCAAAATAGCATTTGTTGATGGCTTTTTGTCTTTGTGTTTTGAAGTTTGAAAAAATAAGAAAATTTAGTATCACCATAAAATTAGAAACCAGCAATAACCACCATTAATATATTGGTAAATGAATAAAAAGAAGCCAGTTGCAAACAAAATACCTGGTATAAATTGTTTGCCCCTCCCTCTCTCTTTCTCACTATTTGCATATAAAAAATTTTGGAAAGATGAAACAAATTTTATTTAATTTTTTATTTGTAAAAGTTAAATTCTGTTACAATAGTTGTTTGGGATATCGATGATGATTTTCTGGGTATGAAGACTTCAAATTGTATTTGCTTAGACAGAGTATCTGTTATTTAAGCCTTTAGATAGATATTCCCAAGTAGCTCTCTAGGAAAGTGATTCTAAGTTGCATTCTCACCAGAAGGTCACACAAGTAGCTGTGTAAAAATTTTGTAATAGGTTTGTTTGTTTCCAGGACTATTTTATTTTCCTTTCCACCCCTTCCCCACTTTGGCTGCATTTTTTGTCTCCTACCTAAAAGGACCTGGTGCATTCTAGATTCTCAAAGCTTCTCTTGTACCCCACACTGTGGGGTATTACACCATTACTCTATTGCACCATTACTATGACTCCATTACACCATTACTCAGAAATTGCCCCTTATTCAAAACTCCCACTGGAGTTCCAAAACTTGCATCTCATTATCTGTAAAAATTCCCCAATGAAGGGCATTCACAGAGCTAAGATTCGTTTTAGGCACGTGTCTACATTTTGAGGTTTAAATATTTTCTACAGTCTGTTTTATCCATAATTCCACGTATACTAAAAGTACTATTTCAAAGGAACAGCTGAAGGAATGGATTAAAAACTACATGGTGGCTAGAAATGGTGAATTATACTGAGAGAATAGTTTTCAATAGCTTTAAGATATTTGTATGTTTTGTTGAGATCGCCCATTTCTAAGACATAATCAAGGATGTGATCAATGACTTATGTAAAGGAGTTTCATTCAGGGTTGTTTAAAATATCAGATAAAACTAGACACAAACGCCAGTTATAACACATTTATGCAAAGGAATAAATACCACATATGAAGGATGCTAATGGCATACAGAATGATAGCGATACAGAATTAAGTAAAAACTGAAATATAAGAGTTCACAGCCTCATGAATTTGTTAAAATTAGATATATAAATATATCCACCAAACAGATCCATAGATAAATTTATCCTGATTAGTAGTCATTTTGGATGTTGACTATACATAGCAATTTTGGTTCTCTATTTCAAATCGCTTCACAAAGATTTCCTGTATCTCTCAAAATTCAAGCGATGAAATACAATTTAACAAAATTTTATAGTTGATAATAAACTTTCCCGAGCCTGTCTCTAAGAATTTTTGTGTAGTGGATGAAAACTTGCTATAAAACAAAAATTCAAGCAGTACGAGTAGATCTTTTTTGCCTTTGCCATTTTTCCTCCCTGAATGGGGCAGGTGCTTGTTTTATTTATTTATTTTTTTATTTTCCTCCCCTCTCTCTATTGCATAGAATAAAAATAAATAAATAAAGACACACAAGCTCCTTGTCATTGCTATGCTGGGCAACAGGCATTTCAACTGGGGTTTATGAGGTAATAAATTATTGTTCCCTGTCCTGGCAAGTTACTTTTTTGAAAGGCCACATCCGGTCCTTGGGGCACCAGCTTTTATTATGCATTTCATATTGAACCAAAGGTCAAATTAATTGACCTTATCTATGTGAAAAACCAGCTGGTTGCCTAGAGAAATAAAATCTTTGACAGAGAGTTTCGGGACAAGAAAAAAAAAAATAGGAAATCTCAATCCCATGGCAGCTGGAACCTTCAATTAGAAAAAGAGTAAATTTGGAGGAACTTAATTTTTGAATGATCAGTTAGAATCAATAACAATTACATTTTCTCTAAGGAATGGTAGAGCCAATGAGATCCCACATGTTATCTGCATCTTCACACATATTTTACATATCACAAATTTGAGGGACAGCAGAAGAGAAGAACCGTTCATTTGGTGGACTCTGAGGCCTAATGTGGCAACCCATTTTATGGAAATAAGAAAACCATCCGGGTTCTGAAAGAAATTATTCTTGACCTAAAAGAATCAAAGTTAGGGCAAATCTCCATCTCCCCCAACCCAAATGCAAAATAGATACTCTATGCCTTCTGAAATATAGTGGCTTAATAGAATAGAAGCGGAGGCTAATTCCCTTTTCTAAAACTTCTGTACCTCCACTTCCTCATCTGGTAAATGGGATAATAATTCTTGAATCTCAACATTATATGTATGAATCAAATCAGACAATATAGAAAAAATCTTAGCACTTAAGTTCTGGCAATAAGCAATGAAAATGTTAGACTTCTATACTACTTAAAAGAAGAGGTAAAATGATTATCACTGGTTTCACTCAGAACAACAAAATATAATTTTTCTCTACCTGTAATAGAGCAAACTAAATACATTTTTCTCTACCAGTAATAGGCAAAAATAAATAACTAAATAAATAAGCTTATGTCACCAACTTCTTAATGTATTGCTTTATTTCTCTTCTTTTGACTTATGCACGCAAACATAGCCCTTGACATATTTAATGTGAAAAATGATTTAGAATGGTGAGGATAGGTATTTTGACACCATTGCCAATTTGTGACTCTGATATGTTAATTTGATTCGAATATGTAAACTTAGCACGTGTCTGAAGAAATAGTGAGATGGGGGATATTGATTAGGCTTCCTTGAATAAATTCTGCTAGGGATACCCCATACCAATCCTTGTGTCTCTTATTTTAATGACTGAGCAAAAGTCATGACTCTTCTCTCTGAAAAAAAAAACAAAAACCATTTTACATTAATCATATGTCAACAAAGAGGACAAATCAGATATGATGAATGAGATTTTTATGCTGCATCAAAGCGCACGTCAGGTGGAGGCCTGCTGTATCATCTAGTATGGAAAAGATTAAGCCACACAACACACATCTGCTTGGTGAAACGCTGAAAAAGTTAATGGCTGTGAAAAAGAGTTTGAACCCCTAGCTGAGGTCAGAAATGGGGTGATTTAGTGACTTCAGTAAACAGACTTTCAATAGGGGTAAAATGAAGTTTGGTTTCATTTGCCCAGTACATATAGAACACCAATAAAGTTTTTGGTGCTCAAAGATAAGTTCAAAGCCACTTAAAAGTGAACTATTTGTAAAAATCAGTCAATTGTTAAATAAATCCATAATTAATCACTTCATCTTTTAATCTTATCAAACCCAGGATGTAATTTTAGAAATGGAGACCTAAAGATGAAATTACTCGGCCAACTTAGAAAAAAACATAGAAGAGACAGATGACCCTTTACCCCCGAACACTGAGCACACAAAGGTTGAACCAAACACTCTGAAACTAACAGAGCTGACTTTCATACCTTCTCTAAATTCGTATGGAAGGGAATGTGATCTTCCTATGCCAATTCATATGCAAAGTTGATTTAACTTCACAAAACTATGGCAATGAATATGCTCTTTTAAATTCATAGTTTTTGTGTATCAGGTGGGATTTGAGGTTCAGGACAAAGAAAGTCAAATCAAAAGAAGGAAATGACAGAAGTCAGTAAAAAAATCAAAATTTTGGAACTGAGAATTTGGTGAAGAGCAGGATTAAGTAAAACTAGATGCCGCTGAGAAGAAGGATTTTCTATGATTTCAAAGATGTAATGATAAAAATTCTGTCTACTTGGTAGAAAGGACTGATAACATATCTCTAGAAACACATGTATGGATGAGGGCATAGAAATATTCTTTTATGAGATGCTTTGCTGGATCTTGAGCCATAAGGTAGATCTGTTGGCTTACCATATTTACTGGAGGAATCTGATCCAGTTAACAGTGGCTGATATTTCAAAGTCATTTGTATTTCCTTATGAGTCTTGGAGAAGGAGCAAGCATGGTGTCTTTAGGGGTGTAAAAAGACCAACTTGGGGATCTGGAGCTGATCAGATTTCCTTGGCCTCCGTGGCTCCACGTTTCCTGGTGGAAAGCAGGAACGTGCGTGAGCTGCTTTGACTCCAAGTACCCCAGGAACCGTCAGTGAACCTGAAAGCCCCCACATCTGGCTATAGCTTACTCTTGTTTGCTTTCAGTTCTGCACACAGACGACCACCCTGACTGTGAATTCAGGGATGTCCCAGCCTTCTTTATGCACGGCCAGCGAGGTGCAGAATCTGAAGGCTCACCTGGTCTGAGGGTGAGGTCCACCACATTTTCAACTTGCCTTTGTTTTTGTTAGTATTACTCTTTTTGAAAGGGATTTCTGCAGGGGAAAGCATACATTCATCATCATCTCTCCTTGGCCTATTCCTTCTCCATTATGTATAAACTATGTTCCAGCAAAGAAATGGTCAGTGCTTTACAGCAATACCCCAGACACATAAAACTGAAGAACAGAAATTTCTGATTTAGATACCTCAAATAACAATTTACTTCCAAGGAGTTTCATTTAGCCTTATGATGGTTCAGTTTTTTGTTCCCCAAAAAATTTTCTACTAGGAGTATAAATTGAATAGAAAAACAGATTTCCAAAGAATCTTAGACAATGATTAAGTATAGTATACTGCACTTAAAAAACCAATATATGAGCATGAGATAAACACACACTGTAGAAAAGAACAATGACCTGAATGGTCGGGTAGTTAATAGTTAGAATAATCAGTTACTCTTTAGTTTTTCAGAAACTGATTAGTGTTTTTTTTGTTGTTGTGGATGTTGTTGTTGTCCGAGAAAGCCATCAGTTTTTGTTGTTTCTTTTGTTTTAAGAGCAAATAAACAGAACTGAGAAAAAAGTAATTAAGCAATGGTCCTTAAAAAATAAGACAATGAAATTTCTACCATTTTTTTCTTTTCTTTAAAAAACATTTTCTATGAAAACCCTGAAATTCCAAGGATATAGCATCAAAACTACTAGTAAAAGGTGAAATTTTTACTTATTAGAGTATTTTGCCTATCCTAAAACAAACTTGACATATTTGTAAATACAAATGACAGAATATTTTACATATTAAAATATAATATGTATATATAATATATAATATGTATATATTATAATACATGTAATATGTAAATATATAATACATATTTATGTGTGTATATATACATACACACATGCCTTATGCCTTTAAGTACAATATTGAATAACCAAAATTTTCTGTTGTATAAAGGAAAAGAGAGCAAAAATAGAACAACCAAATCACCAACTGCATTTTACACTTTCTTCCTTTATATTCAAAAGATGTATTAGATTAACACAAGTTGGAAAAAAATATGGGTTATATTGAGGACTCACAGTACTACTGTGTCTTTAGCCACATTTTCAGCATCTCAGTCTTCTCCCTGCTGAATAGCTCAGAAGGGCTCTGCCTCTTCTCTTTTGTTGCCCTGGTAGATCCACGGAAGTCTACCTCACTGCCTTCTACCTAAAGGGTCCCGGCTGGCAGAATTCTTCCAGAGTTTGATTACCTTATCTTTCTGGATTGTAAGTGCCTATAAGTCATACTCCAGGTGTCCTTTGATGAAAAATGCTGTTTTGTAATTGTCCAAAGGCTGGCAAGAATTTTTAACAATTGTGTATGTTCGTTATAATTAGAAAATTGGTAAGGAGAGGCAATGTTCTTCTGAGCAGACAGGACTAATTCAGAGTGCCCGGCATTCCTGGTAAAGAGCTCTTTCCACACCTAAGCATCAAAGCACTAGAGGTCTTGATCTATTAGATGTGAGCCCTGGAAAAATGCCACTTATTGGAATTTTTGTTCCAAATAACCAGAATTAAGATTAAATGGATAGGTATGGACATAAGAAAAGAAATCATGAAGGAGAATGTTGTAGTTCATCACTGATGAGGAAATCAAATGAATCTGTTTAAGATTTATATCATCACTGTGTCTGTGGTCATCAGTCAACATGGACAACATTACTCAAATGTTGTCTAAGTTTTAATTGCAGAGAATATGTGGACCAATAAGTAAAAACATGTAGACCCTATTCTTAGAAATAAGTAGGGTTGCCTGTTATTATAATCTCTTAGTAATAGAAGTTTTAGTTTTAGAATGATACTTTCTAAAATATTGATGGCAGGTGTTCTCTATTTAAAAGATTATTATGATTAATCCTTTTTTGGTCTAATTTCTCAGGCCTCAAAAGTCTTTTTAATTGAAAAGCAGGCAATGATGCACTTTACACAAGACACATCTCTAAAAACTTGTATAACTCAGAAAATGGAAAAAGGCAAATCATTATTTATTTCAGTAGCCTGTGAGCATCTTACAGAATGTGGTATGTGAAAATAACAGATCAAACTGTGACTGAATCAATAGATTTCACCTTATATTAAATTGTGTCTAATATAATATTTTTGAAAAAATTCTGGTTCTTCTCATACCTGTATCAATCTTTATTGAAAGAGTTTATACAGAGAGTTGAGAATGTGATTGACATAAAATTAGACATAACAAATGCCTGATTATTCAAAGTAAGGAAAGAAACTGATGGATTAGAAACTACAAAGCAAGCCTCGTTTTTGGATAGAAAGACACTGCAGTTCCATTTTTATTTTTATAATTTGCCTTCCTAATTAGATATTGCACTGGGTGACACTAGAAAGTGCTTTCATTTCCTGAATGGTAGAAAGTGTCATCAAGATGGTAGCAGGGAGAATGCAGATTGGGCCATTAAATGGTAGCATTTAGTCTAAATGGTTCTCCTGTACTTTGAATATCACCCATACTGAAAGCACTGACAGCATCATACTGATCAGTTTAGCTTTCCATGCCTTGGTAGTTTCAGACATTGCATGCTACACTTATGTCTGGGCTAAGATAAATGTCCGTTAAGTCTCCAGATGTTGCTACCTGTTCAACTTTTATCCATGTGCACTTATATCCATGTCTGGAAATGTTTAAATAAATGGTAAAATTTTTTTTCACTTTATTTCTGGATATCTCAGTATCCTGGAGTCCTGTCCACAGCCAATTTATATCTTTCTTGATTTTCATCATAATACTGGGAATTCTTCCTCTTACTGTGTATAATAACATCATATCATAACATTAAAAACTGTTTGTTTTCCAAGGGTAGTTTTTAAACCTCCCAATGAAGAACTGATTTTAACTGATGTGCTGATACTTCCACCTGGTGGCTGAAGTGGAGAATACACTCTTCTCATATTGAAAACTAAAGAAAATTATTCATTGGTGCTCTATAATTCAGTGACTTGAGCATTTTCCATGTGCTACCCGCAGTAAACAAAACAAGATGAGTAAAAGTCTCATTTTTGATGTAATAATAATATAATTAATTTAGAAATCACTTCAGTATACTTACTGAAAAATATATTTATATTTAGTTTTTAATAAGCGTTTTATTTTTAGAATAATTTTATATTTACAGGAAAGTTGCAGAAATAAAACAGAGTTCACGTATAAGTATAATCCAGCTTCCACTTATGCTAATAGCTTACATGACTGTGGAACATTTGTCAAAGCTAAGAACTTGACTTTGGTTACATTACTATTAAATATTTCTATTGACTACTTTCAGACCTCATTTGTATTTCACCAGTTTTTCCACCAGTTTTCCACTTTTCTGTTCCAGGATCCAGTCCAAGTTAGCACATTGCACTTTCTATGATGTCTTCTTAATCTCTTCTGGTTCATTTGTTTCAGTGTGTCAGATTTTCATACCTTTCCACAATGATTATTTTGATAGTAATAGAACAATAACATGATCAACAAGAAAGTGAATACGCTATGTGTAGGTATGAGACAATCATTATATTCTTATGTGCCGACTTTCAAGGTTTGAAAGATTTTAAGAATATTGGGGAAATGACAATGTTTGAGAATATAGACTAAAACTATGCTGAGTTCATTTAAAACTATAAATCTAGGAACAAAATCGTCTTTGTTTCTTTCTGGTTGACCTTTGGGCATCTCTAACATGGTGCTGTCATTCAACGGCTTGAATGAGTCAAGCGCTAAGTGACCAAACTGCTACTTAAAGAAAAAGGTGAATGGGAGGAAGAAGGAAACAAGTATTACATATAAGGAGATTAAAAGACAGAATGACATGTTAAAATATATATATCAACATCATTTCAGTGTCCAAATGTAGGCCTGTATTTAGGGAGACTCAATCTCTTTAGTCCCCAGTGACTTATACCTTTCCAAGTATTCAGAGTCTACACCATTTGTCTGGCAAATTATGATTTCTCACCTAGTGAGAATACATTGTTACTTTTATATTTAACTCACAAAAACTAAGTTGTCCAACCCACCCTTTTGTAATTACTTGTAAATAAGAATAACGCCTCTTAATTTTACCCTGTTATATGCTTAGCATAAATATACACAGAAAGACAAAATTATTTATTTCACTCATTCATTAATTTCATCATTCATCCCATAAATAGTTAATATACACCACGTGGAAGGCATTGCTCCAGTTGCCAGGCATGTAGAAAGAAAAATACAACAGCCCTGATCTCATGAAGCTTCACAGATTCTGAGTTGAAAATAAAAACCTTTTGATTGAACATGAAAGAAAACACCTGTCTATACCATTATCTTTCTTCTTTTCAATGCATTTGTTCTGTCACTACTTTTCATGAGAAAGCCCAAGAGTATTTAAAAAAACCTGTTTTATGATCAAATAGATAAACTTGAAATATTCAGATGTAAGACTAAATAAACTGACTACCTCTAACTATATCACATAACTCGATTTTTGAGTTATACAAGATGTGTAAAGAGATTCTGCTGTCAGAAAAGTAGAACCATTTGGTAACTAGCACTTGGCGTTTGTAGGAAAAAAAGATGGAAATGCAAAGAAAATTATGACTAAGTGTTTTGGATAAAATTAAGATTATCTAGTAATTTAGTTTATGATAAAGGAGATATTTAAATAAGGGAAGAAAGGATGAACTCATCAATACACATGGATAAAAAAATTCATTTCTTTCAGAAAAGAAGTAACAGACTTTTTCTAAACCACAAAACCTACATAAAAAGAAGTTTTTGATAAACTACATGGTTTTGAGGGGAGAGGATACCACTCAACACCTAGAAAAAAATCTGAATTTATTACTTAAATAAGAGAGAACTATGTTTTTTAGGCACCATTTCCCTGATTGCAAAGCAGGAAGCTTATTTTGTATGAGGATTTGGAAGAGGTAGAGCCAGGGACCGGCCGACTTTCAAAGTCAGGAGTTGGTGGATCTCAGCAGTGGAAATGTGCTTATTCAGGTAAGCTATTTGTTGTTTTTTCAGAAACAGGGTCTTGCTATGTTGCCCAGATGGAGTGCAGTGATGTGATCGTAGCTCACTGCAGCCTCAAGTTCCTGGGCTCAAGAGATCCTCCTGCCTCAGCCTCCCAAGTAGCTGAGACTACAGGTGTGAGGCACTACACCCTGCTCAGGTAAGTTTATTGTTGATTGGCCAGCTTTCAGAAATGTGTTCATGGAGTAAGGCTTTTGCTCACCATCTGACTTTGAAAAATAGGTGACTTCCCTGATTGATTTTCAGAAACATGATCACTGACTACAATGGCCATCAGTCTTGAAACAGATTCTACAAATAACGTAATTAAGAATGGGGAAAAGATCTGAATACATACTTAACCAAAAAAGAGATACACAATGGCAGATAAACCTAGGGGGGAAAAGACACTTAACGCTGTTAGTCATTAGAGAAGTGCAAACTAAAACTGCAATGGGATACCACTACACATGCATTACACTTGCTACAATGGAAAAGACTGATCATAATAAATAATGGAAAGGACATGGAGAAACCGGGACCCTCATAAAATGCTGGTCAGAATGTAAAATGCTACAATTGCTTTGGAAAACAATTTGGCAGTTTATTAAACAGTTAAACATATTCCTTTCATATGGTCCAGCCACTCCACTTCTAGATAGTTAACAGAGAAAACTAAAAGCATGTTTATACCCAGGCCCATACACAAATGCTTACAGCAGCTTTATTTGCAATGGCAAAAAGTGGAAACAACACAACTGTTCAAAACAAGTCTGGGTAAAAAAAGTTTGTGCTATAGCTATATGATGAAATACTACTAAACAATGAAAAGGAATGAGGTATTGATACACGCAACAAGACAGATAAATCTCAGTAGTTTAGTTGTGCTTAGTAAAAGACATAAAAGGGTGCATATTGCATGCTTCTATTTATATAAGTTTCCAGAAATGCAAACTAACTTTTAGTGACAGAAAAAGATTGACACTTCTCTGTAGACAAGTGTGGAGGGTGGTGGAAGAGATTACAAAGAAGCCTGAGAAAACTTTTGTGGTGATAGATATGTTTATCTTCTTGATTGTGATGATGGTTTTACAGGTAGATATCTATTTTAAAACTTATCAAATTGTACATAATAAATATGTGCACTTTATGTTAATTAAACATCAATAGAGATGCTAAAATTATGACCCCAATTTGATCATTACACATTGTATTCATCTATCAAAATATCACATGTATCCCATAAATATGTACAAGTACCAGATATCAATAAAAAACTATAGATGAATATATTTATAAGAATATATTGGCCAGGCACGGTGACTCACGCATGTAATCCCAGCACTTTGGGAAGCTGAGGAGGGCGGATCACCTGAGGTGGGGAGTTCAAGACCAGCCTGACCAACATGAAAAAACCCTGCCTCTACTAAAAATACAAAATTAGCGGAGTGTGGCGGTGCATGCCTGTAATCCCAGGTACTCAGGAGGCCGAGGCAGGAGAATCACTTGAACCTGGGAGGCGGAGGTTGTGGTGAGCCAAGATTGTGCCATCGTACTCCAGCCTGAGCGATAAGAGCAAAACTCTGTCTAAAATATATATATAAATAAAGACAAGTAAGGACTTCCTAAGAAAAAACCAAAATATCAAAGACATAAAGTAAAACTATCCTGATTATAAAGTTTTTAAAGTTTAAGTCAGATTTGGATACATGAAGAAAAAAAAGAAAAAATACTGTAAACAATGTTAGCATGGAAAAATTAAAATTGAAGAAAATATTTGCAAAACATTTAATAGACAAATGAATAGTATATGAATATACAACAAGCTCTTATAAATTAGTATAATGGTAATAAACAATAATAGAAAATGGGAGCAGGATATGTCAGAGGGATTCTGACTAGCCAATAGCATATGGAAAGGTATTCAACATCAGTAGGAGCATCGCGCAAGACAACATATGTCTACTGGACCATTTGAAAATTACCCAGTTACTTGCTTGTCTTCCTTCCAAATAGAATCTAAGGGCAAGGTGTCTTGCTCTTGGTAACATTTAATCCCCACTATTTAGCCCCATTTCTGAGAAATAGAGATTTAAAAACGATTTATTCAATGAAGTCACCCCTCCTCCCTCTTTTATGACATAGCCTCTCTTTTCTTTATTTTTTGGCTGTCTTCAGGATCTTGTGCTTTCTCTTCCCCCCCTTTTAAAATCTGAAAAATAAGGGAAGGGTTTCTTTTCTTTGACACACCTGTTCTATTCTTTGTCTCTTGACTATCATCAGGTCTTGGAAGCAATGTATGTTCTGTTACTGAATATTTTTGACTGCTATTCCAAGGCTCACTGACATCATTATGTAATGGAACAATATATCTAACGAGCCAATCTCTGATTTTCTTTTCTTAAAATTCATTTTTTAATTTGCACAATAAAACTCACATTTTTGGTATTAAGTCCCAACTTTGTCTTACCATTTCCATCCATCAAGTAGGAAACATCATCAGTTTTCCCACCTAAGTATCTCTGAAATGAATAAGTCTGTTTTTTTCCCCAGTCTGCCATCACTACCACATATTAGCAAACAACTGCAACAGCCCCTTTCCCAGGTTCCCCTGGGTCCACTATTGCTCCCACCCATTGAGTCTCAGTGAAACCAGTTGGTGTGATCTTTGCATACGCAAACATGCCATTTTCCTTCCTGAGCTATGGAATAGTGACCGCTTGATCATAAGGAATAAAATCCTTAACGTAGCTTAGAGGGCTTCCCTAATCTACCACTGACAATACATCTAATGTAGTAATTTTCTGTTGCTGTCATAACAAATGACCACAAATTTACTGGTCTAAAACAGCAAAAATGTATTATCTTATAGTTCTTGAAGCCAGAAGCCCAACAGGAGTCTCACTGTGGTAAACATCAAGGTGTCTACAGGGCAGCATTCTTTTCTATAAGCTCCATAGGATAATTCACTTTCTTGTCTTTTCTAGCTTTCAGAGACCACCTGGATTCTTTGGCCCTTGACCGCAGCATTTGTCTTTAAAGTCAACAGTCATGGGCCAGTTCTCTGTCATTTGTGGAATCTCTCCTCCCTCTTCTAATTCATTCCTCTGACTCGTTCTTCTCCCTCCCTTTCCTACTTCTAAGACCTCAAGTGGTTTCACTGAACCCACCTCGACAGTCCAGGGTCATTTCCCCATTGTAGTCAGAGGATTAGCAATCTTATTCCATCTGCATCCTCAATTATCTTTTGTCATGTAGTGTATTCACAGTTTCCAGGATTAGATTGTTAATATCTTGGATAGTGGCCCTGGCCTCATTTAATAACTACTCTACTTTACTGTCTATCTACATAAAACTCCCTTCTGTTTTTCAGAGGAAAAGATGGTGCCTGGTGCTGGGCTTCACACTGTTCCCAGTGCAGCAAAAGTTCTTTCTCTCAGCCATTAATCTTTCCCCCTACCTGGTTAAGTCTCATTCTTACTTCATTCTTTATATTAAATGCCACTTTGTCATGGCGGTCACGTTTGACTTTTCCAACCTTCAATATCAGGGCAAATCCCTTTGTTTTAGCATGATCTACTACTTCTTTTCATTAAGTTCCTCACATTTGTATCACTTCCCTTGTGAAATGCAACTTTCATGTTACAACATAGTCAAAAATATTCATTAACAGAGCATACTTGCTGTAAAAAACCTGATGATAGTCAAGAAACAAAGAATAAAACAGGTGTGCCCAAGAATAGAAACCCTTCCCTTTTAGTTCATAGATTTTGAGAAGGGGAAGAGGAAAAAAAGATCCTGAAGAGAGCCAGGGACAATATCTGCCTTGTCTACTCTGGCATCCCAGCACCTAGCAGGATACCTGGCAAATCAGTGGTGAGTACATTAGGAATTGAAATGAAATTTTTACTCCTTATCTCAATCATCATATTCCCTCTGCCTTGATTCCACTTCTTCTACCACTCTACTCCCCAAAGTTTTACTCTATTTGACTAATTTCTACCACCCTTTTAATACGCAACCATAGTGTTTTCTTTTTTTGTAAGTATCTCTCAATGCACCACTCTGAGCTAGGTGGTTCAGCCAAAGGATTTCTAGAGCATCTCTCAGTCATGGCTCCAACATTGTAATAGCATTCATCATCAGTTCTACCTTGAGGACAAACAATATATTCTTATTAAGCCATGTGCCTCCAGGACCTGACACAGGCCCATACATGGAAAGCACTCAATAAAAGGTGGAAATAATCAATTAATGAGTTTCTTCCTGCAAAAATAAAATTGCATCCATTTATTTGCAAAACAAAATCATCAAAGTTGTTGAAAAATGTGTATGCTGATAAAAAAAACTCTTCTCTCTCTTTCTCTCCGTGTGTGTGTGTGTTTTTAAATTAATTTGTTTTATTTATTTGCCATGAACCCATGGCATTAGAATAAAATTCATTACACTTGAAAATATAATATAGCTGTGCTACCACAAGATGGCAGGGGAGTATCGTGCTCGCCATGTGCACGCATATTACATAATAAGTATTTTTTATATATATATATATATGCAGTATATACACACATATGTATTATATTTCATGTTTTTTTCCCTGAATAATCAGTACCTATTAGTGTAGAATAAATTACTAACACATGAATCCTGTTCTCAGTATATTACACAGAGGAAAACTCTAGCTAACCTTTTCACTCTGCTTTGACTAAAATTCAAGGTATAATCACTTTCTCAACTCTTTGTTTTCTTTCCTAGAACTCTAGTAGGTACCATTTGATGCATGGCTGCTATGAACCAGGAATCAGTTCCATAGATAGTTAATATCTATGGTTTTCCAAGGGGAAACTGAAGCTAAGAAATGTTAGCTATCTTACCTAAAATCACTTGATATAATTTTGAGCTTAGCATTTAAACCCAGGTCTTTATATAATTTAATTTCAAAACTACCATTATTCCTGCTAGGCAATTCTGCCTCCATAGCTCTGTGTGTGTGTGTGTGTGTGTGTGTGTGTGTGTGTGTGTGTGTGTGTGTGTCTGTGTGCATGTGTGTGTATGTTCTCTTCCATAGTCCTATCTTTTTACTATTGTCTGTTTTTGAAAGGTAAAATTACGATCCAACCAAAAGATTTTTCCTCAATCAAAACTTTGAAATGGACTTGCCCTCTCTGTCCCAATCCCAACCCTTTTACATTCAGTAGTCTCATCAAGATGGACCAAGCTAGAGAATGTCCTGTGTCTTCCTCAGAGCTGCAGGAGGTCAGGGGGTAATGATGATGCCTAAACTGAAGTCAAGAGATCTGACGTCAAATAGCTTGTGATCAGCAGAGCTGAGAAAGATAACACTTTTAAAAGCAATTCTACTTGGACACGGTGAAGTTGGGAAGAACTCTCTTGCAAATAAACATATAACTAACAAATTTGATAACCAAGCATTTTATACAATAGGTATGGGATTTTAAAATAAAGATTCAGAGATGAATGGCTTGTTTTAACTGTAGCAGATTTTGGACACAGTCAGTAGTCATTTAGAAACCTGGGGGCACCATTTTCCAGAGATTCTGAATTTTGCCTTCTTATTTTTGGACTAGATGACTCTCAAAGTCTCCAGAACATGGATAAGTGAAAGAAAGAATTTATATATTAGACAGATATCAAGGAGCTTGAATCTTTACTTTTGTGATTCTGAGCAATAAGATTGACATACATGAATTTTAAGAGTCTGTAGAAGAAGCACAATATGGTACAGAGACAATGACAAATGTCTTTACTTGAAACAATTAAAAAGAGATTTCACGGCCGGGCGCGGTGGCTCACGCCTGTAATCCCAGCACTTTGGGAGGCCGAGGCGGGTGGATCACGAGGTCAGGAGATCGAGACCACGGTGAAACCCCGTCTCTACTAAAAATACAAAAAATTAGCCGGGCGCAGTGGCGGGCGCCTGTAGTCCCAGCTACTCGGGAGGCTGAGGCAGGAGAATGGCGTGAACCCGGAAGGCGGAGCTTGCAGTGAGCGGAGATCGCGCCACTGCACTCCCGCCTGGGCGACAGAACGAGACTCCGTCTCAAAAAAAAAAAAAAAAAAAAAAAGAGATTTCACTAATGCTATGCCAACGTTTTAGGAAGCAGTTGGAAAAGTCTTGTAATTAAGGAAAGTCAGATATCTCAATACAAGCAGACTCAGTCTATCTTCGTTGAAAGCTGAAGTTTAGCTCATCTTGCAGTCTGTCAATGGTTAAAACAATCGTCAGGGCCTCTTAACCAGCTCAAACATACACACAAAGTAAGTACAGGGATGCATTAGAAAATTAATGTTTGCAGCAATGTATTATCAACTAGTAAAATTAAACTGATGAATAATGTTGCTTCATCAGTGGTTGGGAGAAGAGAAACAGCCACTCACTGAGAAATTAATTTACTCAATAATGGAAACTTGCATTTTATAGATTTTAATGGATACCTAATAATGTTGCTTTTATTAAATATGTAAATTGCAGATTTAACAATGCATGAGATAAATAGGACATTAATTATAATTAAAAGTGTTGAATATTCTAGAAGTTATAGTTGTTTTTCTTAGAAAAATAGTAATGTTCAATATTAAAATTTTAATCTTAAAGAGAAAAAAACACCCTTTAATTGGCTCTCAAATTCCCTGAGCCCTACCATGATGTAATGCTTTCCCAGTGGCAGATTAAGCCATATTCTCCCATCTATATGGAGGGAAGCAAACAGATAGTTTTAAAAGCAACAAGAAATTTCCTGTTCCACAGAGAGTAATAGCATAATGTATGAAGTTGAGCCTCCAACTGTCCAGCAATGGGCCAGACCCATTCAAGTTGTGCTGTAAAGGTGAAGAGGTACAAGGTGAACTACCACACTCCATCAATTCTCCAAAAACGGGTGAGACGGAACATGTGTCACTGGTAGTTTAATTTTCTCACTTTCCTGATTGCTGTGTAGCTGTTAGCAGGCTGACTGTGGCTTTACCCCTCCTGTTAGAAGAGGGCACCTTAGGGGAACCTCAAGGAAGGCACAGAAGATAGGAGGTTGTTTGTATGGAAATGGAAAGTTCACTGAATCCCTGCAGTATTAGAACGTTCATGGCTTATACGGTGCATCCTAACATGTCCTGCAGGATGTAATGTTCAAATAAATTTAGCACAACTTTTAAAACTTAAATTCACTGTAAAGAAAAGGACAGGCTGAGCGGGGTGGCTCATGCCTGTAATCCCAACACTTTGGGAGGCCAAGGCAGGATTGCTTGAGCCCAGGAGTTTGAGACCACCCTGGGCAACGTGGTAAAACCCCATCTCTATAAAATATAAAAATAAATAGCCGGGCATGGTGGCATTTATCTGTGGTATCAGCTACTTTAGAGGTTGAGGTGAGAGGATCGCTTGAGCCTGGGAGGTTGAGGCTGTAGTAAGCTATGATCGTGTCATTGTACCCCAGTCTGGGCAACAAGCATGATCGTGTTTCTATCCACACACACAAAGAAGAAAAAGTACGAACAGGAAAGAGATGCTAATCGTTTTCAGAAGCAGGAATCCTCTGCATTGAGTTATTAATTTTAATTACTTCTTCCCACTTTAGTGCCGCTAGCTAATGGGCCTCTTCCAAAACCTGAGGATTTTGCTGCGGTTGTTGCTTAAATAATATAATACCGTTGAAGGAATAAAACAATGAAACAATGTTTTCCTCCAGATCATTAGCATTGGAGTGAATAAATAAAACAAGGCAAAACAAAATCTTAAATATCCTCTGATGATGTCTTTTAAACTGTCATTTGTCTGGGATTAATAAAAGTAACTACTTATTAATAGTAATGAAAACATTGTTTCTGGGAAAACAGCACATCTAATTCGTAGGCAGTTTAGGCTTGAAGGTGAACATGATCTTTGGCAAAAGGATCATTTAGAGAATTCTTCATCATGATTAAAGTAATAAAATTATTAATACAAATAAAATGATTAAACAGTTGATGTTTTTCTCATGAAATAACAGAACAGCTGGGGTTGACCTGGTAAGATTTGAGGCAACGCTGGTCACTAATGACTTTCAGTTTTCGTATTAATAGCCCCAAGAATGATCTGGAAGAAGTAAACTTCTTCCAAATCCATGTTTTCTAATTAAGTCCATTACATACACACACAATAGCTTGTTGACTTGCTTTCCTACTCCAATATTATTCAGAACTGCATGTTCTAAGCTATACCAGTCTTTTTATGCAAAACCATCATTTGGCATTATCCCCATTTGTACTTAAAACTACTAGCCTTGCGAAGACATCTTTCCAAAGGTGAAAACTTAATAATTCACAGAATGACTATAGACACAGTTCTATTCTCATGCTGAATTGTTGGTTCCCACTTTCTCCTCCCTTCCCTTGTCATCTGTTTCTGATTCTAATACAGTCTTCACTAAGATCAGTATATTTTCATGCTCTGAATTTTTGAGTTTCTTGGAATTTCTTTTTTCCTGATCCACAGAGCAATATTTCAGTTAAAGTCTTAATAAGTGTGTGCTTTTTAGTTGACCTCCAAATTTTCTTAATCAAGAAAAGGCAGAGAAATGTTGGGCTTATTTCAAATTATTTTTTTCAGATAATCACTATATATTATGCATAATTTTATATAACTTTGCTAGACACTACAGTAAGAATAGAAACACAACCCTCAGTTCTATCTTGTGTTCTGCATTACTAAAATTAATGGAGGTGTTTTCAATTTAAGAATTTTAAAAATTCTTAAAAAGGATGGGTATTTTCTAGTCGTATCCAAGTACTTTCTAAAAAACAGTAAAGATTGGAACATTTTTCAAGGAGTCTGAGAAGACTAGTTCTCACACTGAGAGGACAGTAAATTTAGCCAGCCTATAGGGAGAAATGAATTGCAGTGTTTTAAGGAACTCATAGTCCTGTAGAACATTCCCTGAAAGCCTTATTTCTGTTTAGAAAAGCTGTATTTCTTACTCTCCATCAGACTTTTTCAGGTATGTTTATCATCATAAAGTCAATCACCAAACAAAGCGATTTTTACTGAAAAGAAGAGAGGCTTTAAAGTGAGACTTAATTGTGAATGCTTTGTCCTCTCATTTGACAATATGGTGCATTGCGGTCTGACTTTCAGCCAAGGAAAACTTAAGGGAAAAATAGAAAGTTATAGAAGCTGCTTTGGCTGGTGGAACAGGGGTGAGTTTCTTGTTTATTTCAGGAGTAACTGTACTTCCCTTCCATGATAGGCCAAGGAATATGTCACTGTTTTTCTAGGACCCAATGCAGACTTTTGTTGCAGAGTGAACTGGACTGGAGCTATTGAAGTCCTGCTCAAAAGGACTATCAGGATGAGGAAAATGGGACTCCAATATATGAGAGGTGATATGTGCTATAAAGTGAGCCTCCCAAGGGCCAGGCTTTCAGAAGGCAAATGTCTGAAGAGGAGGCAGGGCACACACCTAGAATTTGAGTTGGAGGGCCCAAGTTGAATCTCCTCCAGTGAACCCAGGAAAGCACCCATGTTAGACATTGTTCATGCATCATATCAGATCCACTAAACCCCTTTGTTCTCTGATTTTGGCCACAGCTTCAGTGATGGGCCTGTGCATGGACCCCAAATGGCTTCCTGCAGGTGCATCTTGGCACCACCATACATCAAGCCCATCCAGCATTCCTGTGGCCCATCCCTGGGCTTTTCTGTGACATGGCAGAAAATTTTGTGATCACTCTTTTTCATCCTGGAACTCTAAGAGGGCTAATGTCTCATGGGATGAACTCTGGATAAATATGCATAGAAACCAGCAAGCAAAACTTCTCCTTCCTCTGCTGAAGGCCTGATCCTAAAGCTCATGCCACTCAGCTTTCCAGAAGATCCCATAGGAGTGAACATCCAGATATCCTGACATTGACCATCTTGAAACATCCTTATTTTGAACCTGCCTTGTTTCACTACCCCTGTCCCTCACTTTCAGGGTTACAGTTCCCAATAAATTATGCAGGTTCTGCATTGTGAGAACCCAGGTTAAAACAGAATCCTTGAGATTAAGAGAAGTCTGAGTTGGCACAAAACTCACCCCAATAAGAAATTTCTCATCCCCACTCCCATATTTCATGCTCCACACCCCACTTTCTAAGTACTAACCACTCCCATTCAAACTAATAACTGGAGGAAGACTCAAGCAGGAAAGAGGAAGTGCTGTGTCACTGTTGGCAATGGTGTGGCCAATTTCAACAGCCCAGCTAGGGAAGGGAAGAAAATTTAACATTAAGTCAATCCAGACATGTGAATGTTACAGATACCTGCACACTTCAGCTTCCAAGTTGAATCTGAGTTGTCATCTAAAGTAATGGGAGAAACTGTTCAATACCTCCAAGCAGGTAGAAACTCAAGGGCCCGCCCAACTCTCCATCTAGAGTCATGGGAAAGCGACGCCGCTGAATAGATTTTGAAAGGGAGGTTGGGAACGGAACTCAAGTTCCGTGTGTTTATAACTCATTGATCTTGCTTTCTCAACACATAAGTTACTTGACATTGGATGAGTTACTTGCTTTCTTAAGGTTTTAAGTATCCAGCTTTAAAAATGCATTAAACACACCTTGCCTCATTAGAATTGTAATGAATAAGATCATTTAGGTAAGCACGGCAAAGCACCATGAGCATTCGATCACTGTTAGCATCCTTCCCTCCCAAACATTTGCATTCCATTATTCATTGATCTAATAGTAACACTGAAGAATTGTTAGAAAGGTCAGTTTATTAGCTAAAAAAAAAAGTAAATAGAAGTTAATGCTTAGAAATGAGCTGAAGTTGAAAGGCATTTATCTCTGGTTATTAGGCAAATCACTTAATATTTCTCATGTCCAGTTTTGTGGGCTGGCAACCTGTGCTCAGTCCTCAGAAGGGCCCTGTGTCTAGTTTAATGCTCTCATGTTACTGTCTTGAAATTCTTGATAATTTAATCCTTCAACTTGTGTTCTGTAAGTAAAGTCTAATGGGACAATGGTGCCTATGTGTGAGCAGAGGAGATATGCACACTTTGAATGTTCCCTGTAGTTCCGTACTTCCCCATTGTCTTATAGCATTTGCAATGCTGCATGACACAAAATTCTAGTAGACTCACAATGCCTGAGGGTCTAGAAAGACTCAAGAGTACAGGTAAGCATGTACCATTCCCAAGGGAGTGAGCAGGGACTCTGACATCCCTAGAGTCCACATATTCCATTCAAACCTGAAGTTGCTTTCCGGTGGAGAAATAAGACAATGGCCTTCTGGGAAACATAGAGGAACAAGGAACCTATGATAGCCATTCTAACTCCTGTTACTTCCCTCCATGTGCCAGCCAGCCACTTAGGCTGGAAATGAAGACAACATTGGAATATAGGAGTAGCCATGGTCTCTTTACCTTTAAGTCCTTCTTTATTCACTAGTAAACTGAAGATAGAGAGGGTTGATGGGATGTATATGTTTCCGGAAGTAAAATACAAACAGAAGAGGTGGTTTTCTGCAGTGTTTTCACTCTTCTGATAAGAAGGAAATGGGTAGGCGTGTACGACCTACAAAATAGGAAGTGGATAGCATCAGTGACTCCGTGTAACCAACAAAATGCATTTACATTCATATTAAAAGCTGACATTTCACGACATAAAGATGAAAAGGGAAATTAATGCTAATAATTACATTTTAAAATTGTCTTTGCTTAGAATTACACTAAATCAATAACATGGAGCAAATAAAGACACCATGACTATTTCAGAGAATTCATGGAGAGAGAAAAAAGTTTCTGTTAGTACTTTTAATAACATCTTTTTCTGCTTTCTGAAACAGAGGTCCTTATTTTTGTTCTCTACTGGACCCCTGGTGTTTGTTCTCTTATGTATAAAATGAAGTATTTGTACAAGAATGCCTCTTAGGGTCCCCCATTCTATGCGGGGTTTCCACTAGAAAAATTGGCTTCCCCTCTGAATGACCACAACCCGCCGAAAGAAAGCAGCCCCTCTGTTGAGATGGCCAACAGATGGCGCCTTTGTGCTGAGAAAAAGGTACCCCTTCTTCGGGAAGTAGTAGCCTGACTCCTGGGTGCACAGTTTGGTTAGGGGAGCCCAAACTGCATTTTAAGCTTCCATTTGCTTCGTTGGCTGAGTGCCTTTATGCACAGCAAACTGCACAGCATTACATGGCAGTTTGGGTTCCATCCGTTCAAATATTTTCCTCTTACTATTGGCAACTTTGACTTTACCTCTTTAATTTCTACCCCTATTTTATGAATCACGGTTCAAAGAATGGCTGCTATAAACATGTGTTTTGTTTCCGTGCTAAAGAGAGAACAGAGCCAGGTTGAAACGATGCTTCTTGCATTGTCATCTGAGTTTTGGCAATTCTAGCTAGTCCTAGCTAGTCCAAGGGGTAGCTGGATGAAATGTTATTAACTTTTGGGGAAATAGTAGGAATTATATGAAAACATAACCCAGTTGACCTTTATTCTTTGCTGTGGGTGTTCTTTTTTGTTGTTTAGTTCAAAATAAAAATAAAAAAAATACTTCTTTGGAAGTATGTTTGAAACAGAAGGACTCTTTCGATGATAGCAGTTAAATATGTATCAGTGCCTTTCAAGTGGAAGATGAGAAAAAACACTGGGTCTCTTGATTTCATTAAAAATTCACTACGTTCGCTTTCAGGGCAGGTTTGTTGACTAATTAGATGCTCTCGACTCTAAACTATTACCTTCTGCCCTGGTATCTTGCTCTCCCCAGGGAAGTTTAATTTAAGTATATTGCTGGTCTTTGCTTTCCTCCCACACTGTTGTGAAGTGTTGCTATGAGGCAGCTGAACAGCTGCTGTGCCTTTCCCCAGAAGTGGCAGCATTCCAATAGTGGGCAAAGTGAGTTATGTAAAGACAGTTTTTCAGGGTTTCCTAGGAAACTAGTGATGGTGGTCCAGTTTGGATTTGACATGGAAACAAGAAGATTAAGTCTAACTTTGGAGGGGCCGGGGGTGGTGAGGGGCAGAACGCTCTGGAGGCTACTTCCACACTAGTTTGCTGCATTTTTATTTTGAAAGTATATAAGAAATTTGGCTTAGGAGGGCTGCGATAGTCTAAACAATAAAACAGCAGCCCTAGACTGAAGTTCATGACCTCACCCACGTCTTCACAGTGACCTAAACTGACTTAGTCCATTAGAAATGAGGGAGAAATTAAATCCGGCAGGTGTCCCCCACTGAATTAATAAAACCAAGCAAAATAGAGGTTCTAGCTACCATTTGATTATTCAAATATGTAAAATGCCAAACTGGGCTAATTCAGCCCTAATCTTCTTGTAATGAACTCATTCCATTTAACTACAATATAGAGAGAACTAACTTTGTACTTAGTACTGTGTTAGATTTTGAGAGAACAGAGAGATTATAATGAGAATATACCTTGTTAGAGCCCAAAGATTAGTGAAAGAAATAAGAGAAACTGAAACCATACTCTAATATAGTAAACAGCTCAGGAACATATGGGAACCAATCAGGAACTCTTTCTAATGAGGTTTCCCTGATTCTCACTGGATATTTCTGACACGTCGACTATAGCATGACACTTGTTGAATGCTGGAGAAGGCCAGCGCGGTGACTCATGCCTGTAATCCCAACACTTTGGGAGGCCAAGGGGGCAGATCACGAGGTCAGGAGATCGAGACCATCCTGGCTATCACGGTGAAACCCCATCTCTACTAAAAATACAAAATATTAGCTGGATGTGGTGGCGCATGCCTGTAGTCCCAGCTACTCGGGAGGCTGAGGCAGGAGAATCGCTTGAACCCTGGAGGTGGAGGTTGCAGTGAGCCGAGATTGTGCCACTGCACTCCAGCCTGGGCGACAGAGCGAGACTCCATCTCAAAAAAAAAGAAAAAGGCCGGAGAAAAGTCATTTAGAGTTGGTTCTAAAAATAACTATCTACATGATACCAAACAAAAAAAAAATGTCAAACAACCAGTTGCTTTGTTACATTATGCCCAATAATTCATGGTCCAAAATATATTTTGCTGAAGTGGCTCACCACAGATGGAATGGACTGTAAGTTTTGGAAGCACAAACATAACTAATAAGGCAGTCATGACTCTTTAAGAACCTTCTGTCTGAAGAAATGAACACTACCTAGAAACACTGCTGATAAAAAAGAAGGTTCAAAGAACTTCAGAAATGCACAAATATTAAATTTTTACAAAGTTATACGAATTTACAATTTATTGTCATTATCAATATTATATTCCAATTTGCTTCAGAGCACTTCTTATTACACTGAAGAGAAGAATTTATTTTGGCACCTGCCTCCAGTGACTGACAATTTGCTTTTGTAAATAATTCATGTATTCCTTTTTCAATATTTTAATAATTAAAATACAAACAAACCTTTATATATTCTTGTTTGATTTGACTTATTTGTTATTGTTCACTCCAAAAACAAAGAAGTAGACATTTCTAAAACAGAATTACTATTTGGCCCAGCAATCCCATTACTGTGTATGTACCCAAAGGAATATACCATAAAGACACATGCATGCATATGTTCATTGCAGCACTATTTACAATAGCATAGACATGGAATCAACCTAAATGCCCATCAGTGGAAGACTGGATTAAAAAATGTGGTGCATATACACTATAGAAAACTATGCCACCATAAAAAGAAATGAGATAATGTCTTTTGCAGAAACACGGATGGAGCTGGAGGCCATTAGCAAACTAACACAGGAACAGAAAACCAAACACCGAATGTTCTCACTTAAAAGTGGGAGCTAAATGAAGAGAACACATGGATGCAAACAGGCGAACAACAGACACTAGGGCCTACTTGAGGGTGGAGGGTGAGATGAGAGAGACAGAAAATAACCACTGGGTACTAGGTTTAGTACCTGGGTGACAAAATAATCTATACAACAAACCCTCATGACACAAGTTTACCTATATAACAAACCTGCACATGTATGCCTGAACCCAAAATAAAAGTTAAAAATAAATAAGTAGAATTTTTTTTTTTTTTTTTTGTGACTGAGTCTCGCTCTGTCACCCAGGCCAGAGTGCAGTGGCGCGATCTCGGCTCACTGCAAGCTCCGCCTCCCAGGTTCACGCCATTCTCCTGCCTCAGCCTCCCAAGTAGCTGGGACTACAGGCGCCCGCCCCCATGCCCGGCTAATTTTTTTTGTATTTTTAGTAGAGACGGGGTTTCACCGTGTTAGCCAGGATGGTCTCCATCTCCTGATCCTCGTGATCCGCCTCGTGATCCTCAGCCTCCCAAAGGGCTGGGATTACAGGCGTGAGCCACCGCGCCCGGCCCCAGAAATTTCTTTTTAATGGATCTTGAAATAGAAGAATTAGGATTTAGTGGCTTTGATTGATAGATTTAGTAAACATTGTTTTTTTCCTATGATCCTATGTCTTCATTTTTGGCAAAAATAGACGAAAAGTAGTTACCATTTGAATGTATCACGTGAGAGTGTAGTGGGAATCGTATCTCCTTTGTTATTACCAAGAATTGATCAGAGTCATTTGTTTCCTCCTTTGTTATTACCAAGAATTGATCAGAGTCATTTGTTTCCTCCTTTTCTTTTCCTCTTCCTGCTTTCAAAATGCACAATAATTCTTTAGGTGTCGTCTAGGTCTTCACATATAATTTAGCCAGAGTTGAGTAACTCTATGAGGATGTTCTGGCTTTCCCAACAAAGGTCTCCAGAACTCTCTTCTCCATTATATATTTCTTTTGGCAAACGCTCGTGGCCTAAATCCAAAGATTCTAACTATTGCACTTGGGAGATCACATTCTTACAAATTATCCCTTTTCAAAGCAGGCTAGGGGATGTGTGGCTTCTGGTTTGTAAATATGTACTGTTCTGCTCATTTTGAAAATATGAATTTGTTCCAACGTAATTGGTATATCATCCTCAGTTTGAGGATAACACAAATTTTGCATTTGTTTACATGAGTTTTCATCCATGAGAAGCAGTAGGTAAACACAGAAAACTGCACTCGGCTGAAGGGAGCCACCTAGAAATACACAAAGCACACAAATGCACACACCTCACGAGGACCACAAGCCACACCCGTCTACATCTGGTGTTATAGCTTTCTGTCTGGTTTCAGAGGATGCTCCTTCCCTCACTTCACAATAACACAGAGCTGTCCGCTTCCACAAGCAAACTCCAGGTGCCATATTGAATGTGATATGTGTTTCTTAACCACTTCACATGGATAAAACTGTGCTACCATTTTTGTTTTAATTTCCACTTTTATCTTAGATACAGGATGTGCTGCCATCTTTATTATATTTCTATCTTTTTAAAAAATGTGTCACTGATCATGAGTGTTGTATGCCTAAGCCGATTTATCCAAAGCTCTGTGGTTTTAATTGCTTGACGTTACACAGAGCAGCGATTCTTAGGAACACATATGTTGCATTATAGCAGAAATGACTGTACATGCAAGCTGACTAGCCAGGAGTGGGAGAAGGGGTGTGTAATAAATATTAGGAAAGAGTGGAACTAAGACACTCACCGAGTATTTGTCATATAATGTTAAACACGTAGGTACTGGTGATAGGCTAATAAGCATGCAGTCCTAAGCCTTTTACATGCATTACCAAGTCAATCATCATGGCAAACTTATTAAATGGGCATTGCTGTGTGGGGAGAATGCTTTCCGCCCACTTTTGACGCTATTGTTCATGTGAAAGATAATGCATGAGTAGAACACCTCCAGCTTCTCACCACTCGAGGTGCTGACTGCTCATGCTCCTTCCTGAGCCCTGAGATGTTCACTCTGTCTCTTCCCACTCATTCTTCCCTCTCCCTCCAACCTCCATCTGGTGTGTTCTGTTGGACTAGATGACTCTCATCAGCTCTCCCAAGGACCCACATCCAGTCCCTGGGAAGCACTTGTGCTTCTTTGTTCTTGGAAATAACTGGAAAAGCAGGGCAATGCCCATAGAGAAGCATCTCTATAGACCATTCAGAAGATGTCTCATGCTCCAGGATTATCAGGCACAGGGAGGATTTCAGTTGGCTATGCCCCTCACGCATGGGAATCACCTCTCCAAATTACACTTTGGAAACCACTGGAAGGATTAAGGTGAGGTGGATGGGCCAACTGCTCATGCTGGAGATGGCATCAGATGAGACTCATGCAGTATTCTCCAAAGAATGCATTGTCATAAAATTTCTTTCTCCTTATTCTCTGGACTCTTTTATATTCTCAAAATAGGCTAAGAGAATTTATCGTGTTGAAACATGTTTGATGTGTCCATTGGAAATCTGCACATGGTGATTTGTGACTTCCCGATATATTCTATCTCTCAATCTTTTTAGATCAGAGAATATACAGAGAATGAGGGTATCAATTCCCACACATCCCCGGAGACTCAAGCAGAAATATTGAGCAATAAAGACAAAGAGAATAATTAGAGAAGCTGAAGATCTCCATGAAAAGGTTTTTGATGTGGGTAAGAAATATGGTTTGGGGCCATGAGTTTAGTGTGTGGGAAGAACATTCTTATCTTGGTGCTTTGTAAAGGCGTATACTAGCCTAGGCAGATTTTTTCCCTCGAGCCTTGGCTCTTAGCTGCTGTGGACAGGCCATAAGGCTTCAATCAGCTGTGCTAAATGTTTGGTGATGCTTATTGTGGCTTCTTCCAGAGTGAAGTAGCCATTTTCATAATATCAGCGGTGTATGCATGAGTAGCTTCAAGTGAATGGTTCTCGGGCTTTACATGTCTCTGCCAATGAGGCTTAACCTCTATGCAAGGCCCTGACCTTGAGCAGAGGAGGGCTTCTGAAGATGTGTAGGCAACTCAGGCCTCAGGCGGGGCATGCGAACAATGTTATAGCTTCTCTGCAGTCATGGCAGCCTTATAAGGACCTCAGCAAATGCTGGCCACATAGATGGTGAAGATTCAGGCTGTGTTTGGATCTCAGCAGTCACCAACTTGCATTATCCACTGCAGAAAGCCTCAATGGCAAGTTCCTATAGCTTACCCTAGAAGTAACGCTTGAAATAGCATAAAATCTGTCACAAGAAAAACAGTTTGTGCACTGGCCTTTTAGATGTAAGAGGGTTAAGTCACAGTTTTTGGTGCCAGACTGAGTTCTATGTGCATTAATAAGATTCAATCTTTAAATTGTAGATGCTGTAGATCAGACAACAAAGAAATCGAGAAAGAACAAAGATTGCACTCCTGTCGCTGGCCTACAGACTCCAAAACCACCTCCCAACATGTGGTCTTATGGTGGCTCTGACTGGAGTGAAAATTTTCCGTAGAAGACTGGTGTCTTGGACATAAGTAATTCAAAAATAGGAGGCAGTGGAAAGGGTCACATTGGTAAATGCAAAGGCTGACTCAATTTGGAACTTGGGTGGCAAGAACATGAGACTCAAGGTGTAAGTATAAATGAACAGATTTTGAAAATATGGATATAAAAGAAAAAATAACACAAAAAAATGATCTTGGAGCTGGGACTGCACCATTGCAAAAATTTTAACTCGCCAAGAAAGCAGTGATGTCTGAGAGAACAAGGAGTGATAGCAAATGCACAGTTCCAAGGGAACCATCTGCAAGGAGCTTCCTCCCAACTGAGCAAGGTTACAGATTGCAGATTCTGGGCAACTGGTGTGAACTGAGAGGCACTCGGCTAAAGATAAACCAAAGGCATTCTTCTTTTGTTCAGATAACATGGGATATCTTCTCCAGCTTTTGGCAGTACCAAGTGCTAGGTTCTAGGAATATAATGTTTCTCAGAGTAAGTCTGTTATTTTCTAAATATCTTGGTGATAATTATGTGGCTTTATTTCTATTGGACTCTAAAAAGAAAATCATGGGCACCAGAGTCTTGTTGTCAAACTAATTTAACTTCCAAAGTCCTGAAGAAAATTGAACCTATTCCTGAGAAAACAGCCCAGGTTGCATCTGCTGAAGGAAAACTAACTCTATATTGGCATCACATGCCCTTTAGTTAAGTCAGAGAAGAGTAAGAAGCAGGTTTGACATTGTGGAAGACAGGGCGGTCATTCCTCAAAGACCTAAACACAGAAATACCATTTGACCCAGCAATCCCAATACTGGGTATACACCCAAAGGAATATAAGTCATTCTTTTATAAAGACACAAGCACATGTATGTTCATTGTAGGACTATTTACAATAGCAAAGACATAGAATCTACCAAAATGCCCATGAATGACAGACTGGATAAAGAAAATGTGGTACACATACACCATGGAATACAATGCAGCCACAAAAAGAAATGAGATCACATCATTTGCAGGGACATGGACGGAGCTGGAGGCCATTATCCTTAGCAAACTAACACAGGAACAGAAAACCAAATACCACATATTCTCACTTGTAAGTGGGAGCTAAATGATGAGAACATGTAGACACATAGAGAGTAACAATACACACTAGGACCTATCAGAGGGTGGAGGGTGAGAGGAGGGAGAGGATCAGGAAAAATAGTAATGAGTACTAGGCTTAGTGTCTGGGTGATGAAATAATCTGTAGAACAAACCCCCGTGACACAATTTTACCTATGCAACAAACCTGCACTTATACACCTGAACTTAAAATAAAAGTTGAAAATAAAAAAGGCAGGGTGGGATCCATTTTATTATATATGTATGTAAATAAATACATATATATACATACACATACAGTCATGCAGTGCTTAATGATGGGGATACATTCTGAGAAATGCATCCTAAGGTGATTTTGTTGTTGTGCGAACATCATGGAGTGTACTTACACAAACCTAGATGGTAGATGCTACTATACACTTAGGTCGTATGGTATAGCCTATTGCTCCTAGACTATAAACCTGTATATGACTTCAAGGAATATTGTCAGTAATTGTAACACAATGGTATTTATGTATCTAAATATAGAAAAGGTACAGTAAAAATACTCGATGAAAAATGAAATATAGTACACCTGTATAGCACACTGGTATACCATGAATGGAGCTTACAGGACTGGAAGTTGCTTTGGGTGAGTCTGTGAGTGAGTGGTAGTGAATGTGAAGGTCTAGGAGATTACTGTATACTACTTTAGACTTTATAAACACTGTACACTTAGGATACACTAAATGTATTTAAAATATTTTTCTTCAACAATAAATTAACCTTAGCTTACTGTAACTTTTTTACTTTATAAACTTTCTCACGTTTTTTAACTTTTTGACTTTTTTTGTAATAACGCTTAGTTTAAAACACTCATTGTACAGCTGTACAAAAAATATTTCTTCTTTATGTACTTATTCTATACACTTTCTTCTTTTTATTTTATTTTTTAATTTTAAAACATTTTTGTTAAAGACTAAAACACAAACACACACAGTAGCCTGAGACAACACACAGTCATGGTCATCAATATCACTGTTTTTCTTCTTCACCTCTTGTCCCGCTGTCTTCAGGGGCAATAACATGCATGAACCTGTCATCTTCTATGATAACAATGCCTTCTTCTGGAATCCCTCCTACAAGGACCTGCCTGAGGCTGTTTTACAGTTAACATATTTTTTGTAAGTAGGAGTATACTTTAAAATAACCATAAAAATATAACACAGTAAATACATAAACCAGTAACATAGTAATTTATTATAACAGTCTAGTATTATGTACTATACATAGTTGCCTGTGCTAGACTTTTGTAAGACTGGCAGAGCAATAGTTGTGTTTATACCAGCATCACCACAAACATGTGACTAATGCATTGTGATATGACTACAAAGGCTAAGAAGTCAGCAGGCTATAGCAATTTTTCAGCTCCATTATAATCTTATGGGACTACTTTCATACATGTGGTCCATCCTTGACTGAAACGTCATTATGTGGCACATGACCATATACATATATATATATATAATCTTACATTTGCAAAATTATCTGTAATTTGCAAATAAAAAAGAATTCGATGGGGGGTTCTTTTGGACTATTATATATAAGAAACAAACTTTAACAAGCAAAAGACTACTTGAATTAACTTCTTTCTGGAATCCCTAGTTGGGAGAAATTTTATTATTGACTCATGAGGTTTACATTCAAACTTTTTGCAGTGCCCTAGTAGGCTACATTGAATAATATGGCTGGACATAGTTCGAGGTTAAGAAAGAGATCAGGGTATGAATTTTCAGCTTTGGGTAAAATACCACCTTAGAGTCCATTTATTTAACATTTTATTGTGACTCATTCCAGAGTCTTCTGGGAACAAAATGTAAAACAGCCACTTGTAGGTCTAGGAGACAACCCAGTGGAGGTATGGCTGGTATTGGAAAAGTACAAGAACCTGGACACAAGGCTGTTGTAAAAAAAAATGCTGCTCTCCTTCCCTGAGTGGGTAGCGGCTTATTGACTGATGATGAGTGCAATGTCTAGACACAAAGGGTTAAGACCTCAGAAACCTGGGGGAAAATTATGGGGGAATAGTTCTTTCCAGCCCCTGAAGTTTCCCCCGATATAAACACTTCTGTCTTTTTCTAACCTTTAATCACTATTTTACCAGAAGTAATAAGATGATTCATCGAACTAGTAAATTTGAGGACAATAATTTGGGTGTACTGACTTCAGCTCTTCCTTTTTTCTTTTATTTACTTCTTCTTCTCCTCCTCTCCCATCAAAAAGTCAGTAGGTGACGTACCTCCATGCCCGATGTGTAACCTTTGTGGTCTTTGCATTTCAGGTCTGGTCTGGCATGTGCAGGTGGTTAAGTGTCTCAGTCTCATATTTACTTGGTAGGTTTATTTGGCTCAGACACTAAGCTACATCATCTCACTTAGTAGTTATCATGAATCAAGGTGAAAATTTTGACCCCATCTGCTTCTTTTTTTCACACTTTCTCAACATTTTTAGAACATGGATGGGAAAGAGGGATGCTATTTATTAAGCCTGCTGATTTCCTAGAAAACTGACATGAATCCCATTTGGCAGATGAAAAGATTGAGTCTTTTGAGTGTGAACAAGTCAACCAAGTTCACGTCATTAGCAAAGGAAAGGGGCCCATATTTGAAGCCACCTGTCTGGTTCTATAACCTACCCTTATAGCCATCTTGCTGATTTTTTGTTCTTTTCTTGTTCCTGGGTTGAACACATACTTTATTTCCTCATTAATGAAATCAGATTCTTTCTTTCAACGAATTAAGTACTTATTTGGTAACAAAACGAACTAGAATGCGTAGAAGGTCTCAGAATCCATTGCTCTTCTAAGCTAATGTTAACTCAAACAGAGATTGAGAAATGGAAAGAGGGAACAGGAAGAAAAGAGCAAAAGAAGAAACTTGGGAGCTGGAGAAGAGGACGTTTGGGAGGATGGGGTTATTGCAAATGTCTATTTATGCTTCTAACTCCCTATGGTGAGGAAATGATCATGAAAAATGACAACAATTTCTCTTCAAGTAACTTGTGTGGTAAAAGTGGAAAAAATAAGGGGCTTGGTTAAGTATTATGTATGTTGTTAATTACCACACACACACAAACACACACACACACATATACATATATACACACACACACACACACACACACACACGCATAATTATTTTTTATACAGGGTCTCACACTGCCACCCAGACTGGAGTGCAGTGGCATGATCTCTGCTCACTTCGGCCTCCACTTCCTGGGTTCAAGTGATTCTCATGCCTCAGCCTCCTGAGTAGCTGGGACTACAGGCATGCATCATCACGCCTGGATAATTTTTTGTATTTTTTGGTACAGATGGGGTTTCAGGGTGAAACGAGCCAGACTGGTTTCAAACTCCTGACCTCAAGTGATCCTCCTGCCTTGGCCTCCCAAAGTGCTGGGATTACAGGCATGAGTCACCACGCCCAGCCCATTTATATTTATTTGTAGTGATGGATTAAAAATGATATAAGACATCTTTGTCTCTGACATAGTTTTTAAAGAACATTTCTTTGTGGTCTATATTCATTTTCGTGCATTGAATGAGCTATGCAAAAATGTTCAAACTGAACGCAAGACTGGCCTAAATCAGAGAATGGGAAAAATCTTTTCAGCCTCATGGAGCTGCTGATGCCAGATAGCTCATTAGAAGTCAATCAACTAGAAACCACCAGGAATTGAGTAAGGATTTTTTTTTTCATTTCTTAACACAGAGGAATGATTTAAGCAGTTAGCGAGAAGGGCCAAGAAGCATCCTTTCAAAATAACTGTTGTTGTTAAGTATTCCTGTTGCCTTAGGATTGACAGTAAAGGGGAAAAGAAGTCCGGAATTACAGAATCCATGCAGCAACTTAGAAAGGTTTGCAGAAGATAATTAATAATATATATTAATATATATACTAATATATATAATATATACTTATATATACTAACATATAATCATTATATAAGATATATACACTAATATATTAGTATACATATTATATATGATATATACTAATACATCAGTATATTATTATATTAGTATATATATCATATATAAACTCTATATAAATATATGTATACTGATATATGTATACTGATACATATATAGGTGTACATATACACACATATATACTTATATATATACATTATACATATATATACATATATACACACACACACACACACATATATATATATATATATACACACATAAGTTTTGAAAGGTTTTGTGTATATATGTAGGCTTTGTCCCATCTCCAGAAAGTGACCTACCTTCATATCTGGCAAATCCCTTTTGTGCTAGAGAACAATTCTGACACGAATTGTTTGTGTTTTGATTTATTCAAGCTTCTCACAGGGAAAATGTTTTAAAAATATATTTCATTTTTAATTACCGATTGGGTACAACATACACTATTTGAGTGACAGGTACACTTAAAGCCCAGAATTCACCATGCCACAACTCATCCATGTAACCAAAAATCCACTTGTACTCCTAAGGTGATTGAAATAAAATTTAAACAAATAAACAATTAAAAAATACATTTCTTTTTTGCTTGCTGCTACCATGTCATTTGGCTTGCTTGTGCTATGAGAGCACATAGCCGGTTTAATTTCTAAGAATTTGCTGGCCCTGACTCCAAGGAAGGGGGGGTCTCTGAGAGTAAGTCAAGTCTCACTTTGTTGTCTTGTTGTCTCTTGTTCTCACAGGGACACTCCAGCAATGTTTTGTTCCTCTTTCCCTATAACCTAGGAAAAGAAGTTTCCTCGATGATTACAGTTCTGAATCCCCTTTTTCCAGCTCAGTCTTACATAGGAAGAAAATATTCTTGCCTAATAGCGCCAACACTCTTATAAGAACAAAATAGTCTTTCAGATAACTTAATTTAGCCAGCATGGTAAGCGTGACGACGTTAATGAAATAATAAATGATAGGTTGTAATACCATACTTACCAGTTTCTAATCTGACTCATCCTCATATTAGCCATGAAACCCTAGGTATGTCATGTTAACCTTTCCACACCTTACTTTTCCCATTTTAACAACCTTAATAACAATAGTATGTACTAATTGGGTTCATGTGAAGATTAAGTGAGAAGGCAGCTTGGAGAGTGCTTAGAATAAAGTATATATTCACTAAGTGTTAGCTATTTTTGCTAAAAAAAATTAGTTTGCAACATGTACTATGGAGAAAATAATATATCAGACTTTTTCAATACAATCTGTATTTTAAAACTAAACATTTGAGTAAATGGAGACATTTTATTTATTTGGATATTTTGAAAGGGTTGTAAAGTGATGAATCTGGGGTCAGTTTCTGTATTGTTCATCTATGTTGAGTGATACAAAAATGGTTGGTCTGGTCCTGAGAGCTCAAGGCAATTCCATACTCCTTTGTTAGGCCAGGCTGGCTCTTGTCCCAGCACCTAGTGCTGATCAACCAGCTGACTGAGGCACATAGAAGATCCCAGTCACGGAGATAAAATAGGTTTTGAGACAGTGTCCCATTGAAGAGCACATTATCATTCATCTATTCATTTCAAAACAGAGTGCTTTACATTCCCTTCATAACAACAACAACAAAAAGGACAAAGCACAATGAAGTATTGTTCTCAGTTGTTGGTTTGTTGTTTTTTAATAAATCAAGAATTATTTGTTAGGCTATCTTTGCAAAAGAGGAGTAAACATCAAAATTTATTGTAATATTTTGCAGGCTCAAGAAGAATAAAATATAAAATGGGATCACAATAGGAAAGAATATAAATACAGTGATTTGGAAGTTAAGGGAACAAAAAGTCTGAGTTTTTAAAATTAAATCATTTTAAAATGTCCACCTTGCTAGTGCAGTTACTGTTGGGTTATCAACTGCATTGATTAACTCAACTCAGAGGCCTTGTACCATCTTGTTATGTATTAATTTTAACTGTTCTGGCTCTATTTTTTTCTCAAGCATCCTGCTTTACATTGGGTATAACTTTCATAAACAATAAATAAGAACATTAGAACTTAAGCTGAAACTCTCTTATTTTTTATGGTACCAATGGCCACAATGAATTTCTTCAAAAGTTAGCGTCAGGTTCACATCATGAGTTAAATGAGTTTCAGGTACTGATGGGAGGATCATGTTTCAGTGACTGATCTGAATCCAATGAAATGGCTTGTAACAAAAGGTAGTCTACGGAATATTGTGGGTAGGAAGATTTAACATAATAGAGAGATTTGCTTATATGCATAAAGGCCTTCTAGGGTAATGGAAACAACAGGGCAAGCATGCCTAAAGAAGCAAGACATTGAAACAAACAAACAAACAAAAAACACCAGCATGTGGAATAAAAAAGCATATATTCTAATCCCACCTTTTCTTCTTACTAGGGATTAATGATCAAGGGTTGAGTCTTTTCTATAATTAACCTCATTTTTCTCCACTGTAAAGGAAGCAGAGAATATCTCAAGTATTAATCGAAGGACCATAATTCCAAAAATGTTAAAGTACACTTTAAAACGAGACATTTTCATACAGTAAAGCAAGTGACAGGGTAGAAAAAACATAGCGTTGAGAGCAAGATGAATTTGACTTCATGTTCAAGCCCACTACTTATTTACTGAATGACCTTTCTAGACTTTTGCTCATCAGCAAAATGGAGATGTTTGGAGGTTTGCTGTAAGGCTTAAAAGGCATAGGAAGCTCCCGACATGGTGTTTATACCAATTAGCTGCTCAGTAAATATTAGTCTCCATTCTTTTATGCCATTATTACATAAGAAGATCAAGAAAACTTTATGGATTAAAGATTTGCTTAGTCATACCATTCTCCTCAGAAATACCTTGCATATTTTCCCTGACCTCAGGAGAAGGGTGACAAAGAATTGGAAGACTCAGAAAGAAGTTGCGTATGAAAGAAATGAAAGATACCTTGTGTTATTGTAGTTAATAAAGAAGCAATTTAAAAGTTATCTATCTGCAAATCATCTTCCAGTTCATGCACATTGACTGGCTTGGGGTAAGGCTACTCAATGTTAGAGTTTGTAAATGCTTTTGCAAATAGATAAGAGAGATTTTTAATTAAGATATTAAGTAGTCACAAAAGAAGAAAGAAATTATGGTATTCACTGAATTATTGCTTCCATGATTTTAATTTGATTTCTATATCCTCTTTCACAGATATTAAAAAGGTTAATTTCACCAGATTCCTTTAGCAGGTTAAGCTGTTAAAAATTTAGAATTATTGTACTTCAGGTAAATGAGGTTTTGGTATAGCAAGTTTAAACTCTTTTGTACATGTATAAAGCGCAATTGCCACTTGCAATTTTAAAAGCCTACTTTTTTTGTCATGATTTATTTTTCATTCCTCTTCAGTAAGTGGTTTTTTGGGGCTTTAATTTAACTTATGCTTAAAGAGTTAGAAATAAAATATTTGTTTTTGCAAAAATAAGAGATAGTTAAAAGGGACACCTGTGCCTACATAGAAGTTTAACTATTATTTAGATATGAACATTCAATGATGTCTTTGCTTCTTATATAGATAGTCTTAAACTCTTTATAGAATCAGAAATTATATTTTTATATATATTTTAAAGGAAAGCATAGGTTTGGTAAATCTCCAGATTATCACAAGTTAATAAACTCTAACTTGATAAAGCTTTTCAAAAATCCTCATCTACAAAAGACAGAACTTTCCGCAAGTGTGTTAATGGCTTCAAAAGCTGTCAAATGTTTGCAAAGAAAGAGGTCCTTCAGTAAAAAAGATGAATAAATGTATTCCACAGAACTTATAAGAACCTTTAATCTGCTAACATATACTTTGATTTCCTAAGTAAATCCTAAGATTCCTAAGATCTAGTGTGTGTTGTTTCCCAAATGTATATAAGCATGAAAGTCAATTTGAGCATTCTGTGAAGTTAGAAATCAACAGAACACATCTTGGAAAAGGCTATTCTGGGCCTTTAATTCAAACATTGTCAACACATTATAAATATGCAATTACTTTGGATTTATTCTAAATAATTAGAACAACATTCATGATACTCTGGGAAATGATAATTTTTAATTAATCTCAAAAAGTAACAGGTCAAATCATAACGTCAGTTGCACTGAGCATTTCTCCAAGGAAAAAAGTCATGCCCCTTTACATCAGAATTATCTAAAAGACTAAGAAAAAACTCAGTGTAATTTTCCACATTAAAGTATAAAGAAAAAAGTATAAACATATGAATAGATCTAGAGAAAGCATTTGATAAAATTTAGCACACACTTATACAAAAACAAGTAGAAATAGAAGAAAACTTTCATAAATAAATTGTATATGATAAAACAGATTAATTTTAAGAGGGATCTACCCCAATCTTGGTGCCTGATGGATTCTATAGGTCAAAATAACTATATGTCATTTTGAAAAAATAATAGAATGAATTTGTATATTAAATACAAGCAATATTTTTCATGAATTATTTTAGTATAGAAATATTTTTAGAGAAAAATATAAATGTTAAATTTTGCTTTGACTGTTTTGGATTTTTGTCATCGTTATTTTGTGTTGATTTGGGTAGCTTCTAGGAAAAATCTAGAGTACTGTATTCATGGATAAACTCTTAATTAAAAAATTATGTTCAGCCATGTTGAACACCAAGTTCCTTTTTAATTTTCATTTTTCCAAGTACAATATGAGACAGACCTACAACATACAATGCAAAGGCTGAGCTGCTTTGTTTCAAGTGGGAAAACAGAACCAACCTGGATTACCTCTTAAGAATCCCTGCAGGAGTGACCCTTAAGAATCTTCTGCAAGTCACAAGGTTATAGCTAACAAAGTTTGAGAACTATTTATGCAGAGAAAGTTTTAGAACATGGGAATGGGAGGAGGGAGCTAAAGAGAGGATTGCTTGGCTCGGAGAGTCTTCATTTCCTTAATGGAATAATAATATGTGCTTTAGCCCCTTGGGGATAATGGGAATGAGCAAATTTGTGATTATAAAATATCCTGCAGTTTGAGAGTATTTTGTTTTCAATGCCTTGTTGGCAAATACAGTACTTAAAGTTGAATCACTTGAGATATTTTATTTCTTTTCAAGATGTATGTGGGGGGAATGCGATAAAAGGAATATTAAAAATGTGCAAATGAGAAAAGAGAGAAATTTTAAACTAGGACTCTGTTGGCTTAAACACAAAACTGCTTCTGTTGCTTTTGAAGACAGAAATTAAGCTTGAAAATCACAACGTGACAGTGTTACCACAGGTGGGGTGCAGACAGAAAAATAGCAGGGGTTTGGATTTTGGATTGGGGTGAAAATTGAATGTATATGCAAATTAACTGAGTTATAAAAATATATTTATATCCAAAGCAAACATTTTGAAAGGTAAGGGGGAAGCTCATCAGACACATCCAACCACTGTAATTTAATGTTTTTAAAAGAAAATAAGGATTCATTTAGAACTTTCAAAATTGCTTTCGGTTATGACTACATTTACTTTCACATTACAGTCCAAAATAATTCATTTTTAAATACATTGAAATTATATATTAGAGTTTTCCCATCTTCATTTTAAAAGATAAAAAAATTGCAAAATAAAACCATGCTATTGGAAAATAAATACACATATATGCACACACACGCACAATGGGAGCAAGGTAACTAATGTGAGACAGTAATAAAGTGGGGTGGAAAAATAAGTGATAAGCATTAGGAAATAATTATTAAGCTTCAGTGATTATTAATGAACAACAGCAGGGGAAGCCAAATGAACTGCAAGTTTATCAAAAGACCTAAGGAACTGAGCAATGCTTTATTGACCTGAAGGGCATTCACTTCAGTCATTTCTATCTATGGGGATTTTCAATTAACTTCCTGCAAGCTGAAGCTGATGTTCTTGCTAAAAAAAGTGACATTTCTTGAGAAATACATTTTATGCCTTTTTTGTTGGAGGCAATTGTTCTTAGATATTGCATTAGAAGTACATATGTTGCCTGTATTAATATTCTTAATTCAAAGAAGCTTTAAAAATAAGCAAACATTTTACTTACACCTGAAAAATTTAAAGACAGAGTGAGCTCTAAGTTTGGTTTGATACAAAGTTTACTGGGATTCTAAGTCCATTTCACTGCCCTTTTTCTGAAGTTTGGCTCGTATTACAGCAAGATGGCTACTGGCAGCAGTGGTGCCATCTATAGGTTTCCTTATGTGACTAAACAGGGAAGCAGAGAGTACTGTTATTCCAGGGACCTTGCAAAGTATTCAAGGGCATGGAGGAAATGCATGTGTTTTTGTTTTTTTCTTAGTGTGTTTTTCCAGATAATGTGAAGATGTACTGTCCTATGATTTATGGTACAAAAAAGAAAGCTCAGGCATTTAACCAGTAGGAACAAGTCTATTACTACTCACGAAAAGAAGAAACAAAAAAAAAGTTCCTCTAACACGACAGAAGGGATTAGGATAGGCATATTCAAGGCTAAGAGGCCAACTTACCAAGAATTTCCAAAACTGTTCATTGTGATCCAGTTTTACTGATTCACATGAGAATATGCTATTATCAAAAGACCTTGGTCATGCACAGCATTAAAGTTTTGGATAAGAAAGGAAATACTATAAAACAGCAGGTTAAATTATATTTTATTTTCGATGATGTACTATTTGATACTTAAAAGAAGATATGCAGCATATATGTATGTTACCAGCAAAATCCAACAAACATTTACAGTGGGGCCCATCAGAGGGTAGAGGAGGGGAGGAGGGAGAGGATCAGGAAAAATAACTAATGTGTACTGGGCTTAATACCTGGGTGATGAAATAATCTGTACAACAAACCACCATAACACAAGCGTATCTATGTAACAAACCCGCACTTGAACCCTTGAACTTAAAGTAAAAGTTACAAAACAAAGCAAAAACCCTAAGTTTGTTTACAGTGACCTGTAGTACCCCCAAAAGCCTCTGTGACCTACCTGACCTCCCCATCTGTGCTCTCATTCCCTCACTAAAACTTTGTCTTTCCTCACACACATCAGACATAGCTCCATCGTATGGCACCTACTAGCTTTGAAAAGCAATTTTCCCAGGTAGTCTCAAGGCTTTCTCTCTTACCTCCTTCTAGACTTTACTTAACCATTCCCAATTAAGCTTGCCCTGACCAACTTCTGTAACATGGAACCATGTCTATCCACCTAACTCTAGCACTTTCAATCTTTTTTTTTTTAACTTGGCTCTGCCTTTCTTCCTTTTATTTCTATAGAACTATTTTCCTAAAATAAGATATAATTATCTTTTTATTATATATATTTTTGCTTGTCTGACACTGCCAACTAGAATGTATACTTCAAAAAAAGGCAGTAATCTTTGGCTATTTTGTTCACTGATGACTACAAGGGCACAGAACACCACCTGACATTTTATAGAGATCAACAAATGTTTGTTGAATAAATGAATGATGAAATTAAGTACCTACACAAATTCTAGATGACCATCCTACATAGATAATACACAGCTCATTTTTGAGGGGAAGAGAATGGCTAAAATTCTCACGATCCTTTCATTTTTATAAGCCTATTGTTTCATGACTTTTGTTTCAAATAAACACCAGAATTGCAGTTTGACCTGGTCCTCAGTTTTTTTTCTTTAATAAAAGAGTTTAAGCTTGAAAGTGATGAATTAATGAGAATAAGTGAATACCACATTCTATATCTTTAGAACATTCAGTTGAAGGCAATCAAGGAAAGGAAAGGCCGTCTCTAATAACTATTCTGTCAACTCTGAAAGACCTGTTTGGATCCAGGGAGCGGCAGGGACAACCTGTTGCTCACACTGTCTCACGCCCAGAAGCTTTATAGGGTATGCCCACAGGGACCAATGAATGATTTCCTTTTCTGTGAATCAATAAAAGAATATTAATCAAGTTGCCTTAAAATTGGCCAGTCATGAGGGGTCACCGCCATAAAACCTGGGCTGATTTAATTGAATTGTGATATTTACTGAATTCTTTTAACATACTGAAACACATGGGGAATATTTACTAAATTGTAAAATAACAATCCCTTATTTTTTTTATTCTGAAGACAACTGTGATTAAGAATTTTTTCATCAATTCATATTCTGAAAATAAATTTCTTCTTATTCCTACCTTCTTTGGTAATGTTAACAAGAACCTATTTAGAGCACTAGGTAAGAACCAAGCATTGACAGATTTTTTTATTTTTTGAGACAGGGTCTCACTCTGTCACCCAGGCTGGTGTGCAGTGGTGTGATGGCAACCTCCTGGACTTAGGGAATCCTCTTGCCTCAGCCCCCCAAGTAGCTGCGACTACAGGTTCACGCCATCACACCCAGCTAATTTTTCTTTCTTTCTTTTTTTTTTTTTTTTTTTGTAGAGACAGTGTTTCACTATGTTGCCCAGGCTGGTCTTAAACTCCTGAGCTCAAATGATCCACCTGCCTCGGCTCCCAATGTGCTGCGATTACAGGCATGAGCCACCACACCTGGCTGGGAGAGATTCTAGTTAATCAGGAAGCAAAGGCTGGAACCTTCAGTCACCCAATGCAAGATCTGAACCCAGACCTCAAGCTGGGACAGAGCAGTGTTTATGTTCATATCCTAAGTCACTGACTATTCCAGAGGCTTCAGTAGAGAGAGACTGAATTGTAACTGAAGAGACCAATTCATCGGAAGTTCTCTGTGTGCTGTGGAGAACACCAGTCCATATACACTAAATAAGGGGAGTCTACCCGGATAATGTCCTTGAGGTGTGAATGGTACTGAAGAGGGTAGTGGTTAGACTCGGAGGGTGGAAATAGGTCAAAGCCATCTGAGTATGGACTGGAGGTCTTTTGAACGCACCTGTTGGGAGATTTGGATATCCCCTTTGGAAAAAAGCTTTAGAATGAACTGCATCCTGAAACAGTAGAGTCTGGTTTGGTTGTAACAAACGCATGCACTAATATGTGAAGTTAGGAGAGAGGCTGAAAAGGACTCTTATGATTACTAAGTCCTGACTCTAGCCAGAGGCTTATGTTTGAGGCACACACCATAGAAAAACTTTGCCTTTCCTGACCTAAGCCCCCCTAGTAAGGATTCCAATGCCATCTCTGAGTTATTTATTCCCTTCAGTTGAAGATGAGTTTTGTCTCTTAAAATTATTTGGAAAGAGGTATAAGAATCTCAGATTCATCATCGAGTTGAGAAAGGGTCAGCTGCAATAACGAAAAAGGGCAGTGTGTAAACATAAAACTAGGAGCTTACTCCACTTCTAAATTAGCCTTTTAAAAGTGCAGACAGTAAATTATCATAGTGGAATGGCTCTGAGGCTTCTCTGATTTCAATAATGTGCTTCTCTTCTGCTTGGATGTGCCTTCTTCAAAATGCCAGCCAGACCCAAGATTCTAGTTCTTAAGGATGTAAGGCACGGAAGGGTTGTTGAGACTGCACCCTGCCATGTGGCAGGCAGAATAGTGCGCCAATTCCAATAGCTTCGATTTGGTTTGGCTTCTAAGTCTCATGTTTAGACTTAATTTTGCTTGTAATTAAAATTAAACAAACAACAATGACTTTTGCCTCAGACACAGCCACCCTCTTTTTTAGCAGGTAAGGAAGTTGCTCATGAGTTCCAGGCAGGAGTAGCATACAGATAGGGTTGCTTCCACTGTTTAGTTTTTCAGCATATAAAAAGGCCTGGGCCAGGCGCAGTGGCTCACACCTGTAATCCCAGCACTTTGGGAGGCCAAGACGGGCGGATCACGAGGTCAGGAGATCGAGACCATCCTGGCTAACACGGTGAAACCCCGTCTCTACTAAAAATACAAAAATAATTAGCCGGTCGTAGTGGTGGGCGCCTGTAGTCCCAGCTACTCGGGAGGCTGAGGCAGGAGAATGGCGTGAACCCAGGAGGCGGAGCTTGCAGTGAGCCGAGATCGCGCCACTGCACTCTGGCCTGGGCGACAGAGCGAGACTCCATCTCAAAAAAAAAAAAAAAAAAAATACCTGAAATGGCTCAGATGTGAAGAGAAGTGAATTTAACAACTATATGGGCCTTCCACTTGGTCAAACAATGTCGTAAGTACCAATGAAGGACAAGAATGTCAGTAGCTTGAAGAAGGGGTGAAGCCAATAGCACTGGAAATTCCTCAAGGTACTGCAACTCTTATCAACCTGAAAAACTGATGCCCCACAGGAGCGAGTAGTCTTGGTTTGCAAAGGCTCTTCTGGATCAGGAATCAAAGAGATCAATATAAGCTTTAAGTCTAATAATTAAAAGAGTACAATGTGGTGATCTGTTATGAAAATAACAATCTTATTTTTATGTTACAAATGGGAGACGTCATTGCACCAAATGCTATGTATGCTTTGACTGACTGGCACATTCATACCAATTATCCAGGCAATAGAGACATAGGACTGAAGTCTGCGAAAATATTACATGTCTTTTTTATTTGCTTGGTTCCTTACTGATGTTTTGTAGCTCTGTTACACCACAGTTTTATTTTCTTCTTGTTTTATGATTGCAATTTTGTGAGAGCAATGGGTTTTAAAACAGTAGATATCCTTAGTTAAATTTGGATTCTTAGGATTTAATTTTCTACTTTCTTCAACTGAGGACACAAATCCCCTTTGCTCAATGATGTCTTGACACAAAGATATCTGAACCACACAGAAGTATCCTTTATTTCGCTTGTTTGATTGACAACTTCATTTTGTTTGTTGGTTTTGCTTTCCAACTTATCTGGTCCTTATCAAAAGGTGTCCATTGTTAACCAAAAATAAGATCACTGGATACAATTCTCAATGATAAAACCTCCAAAATGGGACTGTTAGATATTTAGTAGGCCTCCATTCCATAAGATGGAATAGTATTAGGCAAGCTAATTGAAAGGGAAATCACCAAGAAGGAATTATATAACCTTATCAAAATTTATCCTAGAATCTTGTTTTTCAGAGGCCTCATTGTCTAATTCAGGAGTTCCCAACCCCTAGGCCACAGACTAGTGCTGGTCCATGGTGGCATGTTAAGAACTGGGCCACACAGCAGGAGATGAGTGGTGGGCAAGCAAGCAAAGCTTCATCTGTATTTACAGCCACTCCCCATTGCTTGCATTACCACCTGAGCTCCACCTCCTGACAGATCAGCAGCAGCATTAGATTCTCACAGGAGCGCAAACCCTACTATGAACTGCACACGAAAGGGATCTAGGTTGCACGCTCCTTATGAGTATCCAATGCCTGATGATCTGTCACTGTCTCCCATCACCCCCAGATGGGACCATCTAGTTGCAGGAAAACAAGCTCAGGGCTCCCACTGATTCTACATTATGGTGAGTTGCACAACTGTTTTATTATATATTACAATGTAATAATAATAGAAATAAAGTGCACAACAAATGTAATGCATTTGAATCATCCACAACCTCCCCAACACCTGGTCTGTGGTTAAACTGTCTTCCATGAAACTGGTCCCTCGTGCCAAAATGACTAGGAGCCTCTGGTCTTATTTCCATGATGCTATTAGACATCCTTAGGTCAAACAGACTCACAAAGGATCTGGAAAGCTAAACTGGTCTCCATTTTCAATTTGCTTATCTTAGCCATTGCTACTGGGCAGTGTATACATGTGTAATTGCAGAGCAAAGAGCTCCTGACACTTCTAAGGGTGACTTTGTCTTTGATATGTGTCCTCTCTCAAGAAAATATTAGTTTTGAATCCTGATATGGGTTTCCTTTTTAGATTTTTTATTATTTTTTAAATTTGTGTGGGTACTGAGTACATACATATGTATAAATATATATATTTATAAATGAATATATAATAAATATATAATAAATATTTTATATATTATTATTATTCATTGTCACTAATATTTTATATATTATATAAATATATAAATAAATGTAAATATGTTTATTTATTTGTGGGGTAAATGAGATGTTTTGATACAGACATGCAATGTGAAATAAGCACATCATGGAGAATGGGCTATCCATCCCCTCAAGCATTTATCCTTTGAGTTACAAACAATCCAATCACATTCTTTATTTTAAAATATACAATTATTATTGACTTTGAGCCATAGATGAAGGTGAAATAGCTTTAACTTAGAGGATTAGGTGAGCAAAGAGACAAAGAATCAAATGATTGCTGAAGATTCCATCCCCCTTTTTAAACTCCTTCCTACTTATTTTCTCAGTCTTTCTTGTACATGCAAGCTCATTCTTTATGCTATTTCTGTCTTAAGTAGGAAAACCTTTGGCCTCTTCTACCTTGTAAAAGAAAATATTACTCCTCGTGCTGTGACTCTCTAGAGTTACTATTCATTTTATTTGACACCCCAATTTCTCAAACATATGTTTGCCCTAATTGCCTTCATTTCCATGTGTCAGAACGCTGGCTCCATAGCAAGGTTTCCACTCCCCTTATTTTACCAAAATGATATTAACAAGGTTGACTGTGGCATACAAACTATCAAATATAGTGTCATTTTTTTTCAGGGCTTTTTGATCGTTTAGTATTTGTATGGAACTTCTTGGAACTATTTTCTTCAGTTCCAACAACGCACTGTTTTATGTCTTTGGAACCTGGCCATTTCTGTTTTACTTTTTTCCCCTTCTTCCAAATTCTAAGATTTAGCTTGACATAATCTTTTCTTCATTAAAACTAAATGTATCATGGAATTATCCATCATCTCAATATCCATAATTCTTTATTGAAATTATTCCTAAATATGATTTTTTCATACAGTGGGAATGAGGACTTCCTTGATTTCATTTTCCTTAATCCATTACTTCACACTGAATTAATCATCAACTTCTGATGATTTTTTTCTATATACTGTTTCTCATAGCTTTTCTTTATTTTTCACCATTAGCGTTTGTTCCATAGTTTGTTTTACTATATCATAGAGCAATAAAACTTCTAACTTTCATGTTCCACATATGCTGACGTTTTGATCATGTTAGAATCATTACTGATTTCTATAGTTACTAAAATTCCTTCTCATCTAGTCAGATTTCCTTATAATGCAAGGTAAACTGTTTGTTATTCAATAAATAATTATTTATTGAGTGTATATTAAATGTCCTACCTGGGCATAATGGTAACTTATGTATAATAATTACAACCCTAACTTTGGATATAGAAACTAAGACATAATCCCTCAGCATGTAAATACAGATGTCTAGTGACTCATTATGGCACTTATTATTGTTGCTATTATAACAATTATCTTTTGATGGTTTCACATTGGGTATGATCCAACATCTTATGGGAACAATTTTAAAAGGTGGTTTCCAGGAATAGCATGAGGAAGAAGCCATGGCTCTGGTTAGACAAGCTTTACCCAGTCATCATCTCCTAGGTAGTTTTCCTTTTATAAATAATCTTAGTTTCAAGTAGAAAGAAATGTGTTTTCTCTGTCTTGCCATAGACAACAATTGCCTCCATCTTTCCAAAATAGATATCCATTTCCTCTGCAATGTTTTATATTAACTATCTGAAATTAAATGAAAGTTATATGTTTAATGTTCTTGTATACAACAGCAAAAGAGAAATGAGTTTCTTTTTTAGTATTATTTAATATGAGTAAATCTTGATTTATGAGGATTGTTAAGAGAAAAAATGCACATTATATCCAATAGCTCAAACTAGCCTTAGTAGACTCTATAAATCATTAATTATTATGCAAAATGTATTTACTTCAGCTGTGCATAATTACTACTCTTAAATTTAAAAATAATACACCAGAAATTTGTTTTCACCCACAGAAAAAGGAAAGCATACTAGCAAAAAATGCTCTTTTAATGTAGAATTCATAAAAATTGGCGTGGATTTCCTAAATACCAATCAAACTTATCAGTAAGTATTTAAGAACTATAATGAAGTCTGGATTTTGTATTATTTTGAAAAGGGTTGGTTGACAATACACAATTAATGTGTATTGTTATGCCAGGCAATGCTTTAAGATGAGGTCAGTGAACTGTTTTTCTGTAAAAGGCTAGCTAATAAATATTTCAGGTTTTGTGAGTTACCCAGTCGATTGCAACTACACAAATATAGTTGCCTTTTTAACAGCAAAGCAGCCATATTTATTATGTAAGCAAATGGATATGGTTGTGTTCCAATAAAACTTTATTTATAAAAATAGGTGGTGAACAGGATTTGGCCTATGGACCGTATCTGCTGAGCCCTCATCAAAGTACTTTATTTCTAGAATTTTGTTTAATGTAATTGGCTTAACACCTGCCTATGGTAGAAACTATTCACTTATCTCATTCTTAAATTAATTTTATGATTAATAAACAGTAGAATTTTAATGTTTAAGAAACACACAATGATATAAATTGAGCTTCAACTATGCAGGTGTTATATTTATTATGCTAATTTTACATATAAAGAAAACAAGGCTCAGAAGCAGATAATTTGCCCAAATTGCATGGCTGATAAGGGGCAGAGAGCCAGGATTCACATTCTGACTTTTAGTAGAAGGAATAACAGACAACACAATATTAGATAAAGAGTTGGGTGTTCAGGACTGTAAGTCAATACATAAACAGAATGAGAAATGAGGTAGAACTTACAAGAAATTCACAGGATCAGGAAACTTGGTAAGATGGTACATATCTAATGGAACAAAAAACAGAGCTGGAGATTCCCAGAGCCAATTTATAATATCGTAATAATTGTTTTATTTAGGTTCACTTAGATAAACTAGAACAGTCAGAGAATTATTTCCCAAAGTATCCTCTTTCTTATTTTTAGTGCATAACTGAATGCTTTACAGAGTAAACAAGGAAATATTTACTTGTTCCCCCACCCCCAGCTACTGCAATTGGGTCATATTAGTAATCAGGTTCACGGAAAGTGTCTCCATAAATAGAATAAGATGGAAAGTTGAGGCGTTATCTGCTCTAGAACCTTTAGCAAGTCTTTCAATCCCTTTGTGACCTCAGAAATAAAACAAAGGGGTTTCAGATAAATCATCCTAGAGATGCTGTTTGGCTTAAAATGTTTCTGATTATAAATTTTTGAGGCAGTAAACTCAGATCTATCTCACATTTAAAACTGTGTTGGAATATTTCAGATAAAAGATTTTTTTTAAGGTCATCATTTAATACTTCATACTATTTCACTATTACGCCTTAAGAAACAACATAAAGATAATATAATATGTTCAGCCACTTTTTTCTCTGAATAATGCTAACCCCCTCTTACATTCCCCACCTCATTCTGAGACTCTAATTACAGGTTATTTAACACATTATAAGTATGTTCTATATGTCTCTTATGTGCTTTTCTTTTTCTTTTTCTCTGTGCTTCAGTTTGTATATTTTACATTGATCCAGTTCAGAACTCTTATCATCTGTGTCTGATCCATTGTTAACCTATCAGTTGAGTTCTTAAGTTCATAGGTCACATTTTTGTTTCTAGACTGTTGTTCTAAATCTATTTATAGATTCTAATTTTCCACTGAAATTCCTCACTTTTCAGTCAATATTTTTTCCTTTTCTTCTTTTTCTTTTGTATATTAATCTTAAGTATCTTAAGTTCTTATCTGCTAACCTGAAAAACAGAATCTGCTTGTATTTTTGTTTGTTTCTTTGTGATATTGGCATATGCTCCTATTGCACAAGCAGAATAATTATTAATTGCATGCTGTTTATTTACTATAAAAAATACAGGCATTAGATGATGTAACTTTCACCAGAAGAGGTTTGGAAATTGATCACTTAATCCAATCGAGGCCTGAGCATGGGTAAAGTTGGTTGCAGTCCTTAGGACTCAGTCTCCTTGTGGCTTACCCTTCATCCTTAACACTTGGCTGTTTGAGGATTTTGGGTGAGAGTTTGGGGAATGTGTCTGTTTCTCCAGCACTCCAAGACTGTAGGAGTTTTGCTGTGTTTTCCAAAATCTTTTGCTTTATTTTTTTTTAGTCTCTTGCTACAGGAAGCTTCAGAACGTGAGGCACGTCTTTGGGAGAAAACCAACTCTGTGTTTTAGACCCCATTAAGTCTCTGATTTTGTCACTGTATCTTTGCACAACTACTAAAACTTCTACTGACTTTTTTTTTTTTTTTGAGACAGAGTTTCAGTGGATTTTTTTTTTCTTTTTTTGAGACAGAATTTCATTCTGTCACCTAGAGTGCAGTGGTGCGATCTCGGCTCACTGCAACCTCTGCCTCCCGGGTTCAAGGGATTCTCTTGCCTCAGCCTCCCAAGTAGCTGGGATTATAGGCGCATGCCACCACGCCTGGATAATTTTTGTATTTTTAGTAGACAGGGGGTTTCACCATGTTGGTCAGGCTGGTCTCGAACTCCTGACCTCATGATCTGCCCACCTCAGCCTCCCAAAGTGCTGGGATTACAGGTGTGAGCCACTGCACCCGGCCTCTACTGACTTCTTATTCCCCAGGAAATGACTAATGCCTGGGCGAAGCCAGTATTCTCCACTTCTGCCAATTCTGAATGGGCAAATGCAACCTGGAAAAGGCCAGTGCACATCTTCATTCACCTTTGAACAGCTCTATTCTCTCTGGAGTTTCAGTCACTTTAATCCTCATTATTTCTTCTGTCCTCTAATTCCTTTAGAAATACAACTTTTGTAATTTATTCAGCTATTCTTATTGTTTCAGTAGAAGCCCTGGTCTACTTAGAAGCAAAAGTGAAGTTTTTTAATCTGATAAAGGTTATTTTCAAAATTCTACAAGTATACATCATGCTAATGCTGCAGTTTCAAAAACTTACATCCTGAGATCAAAAACTAGAGTAGGATGTCATTTATCACCACATCTCTTCAGTATTATATTGAAGGACTTTGAAAGTGGGTAGAGAATCCTGAGGAAGAAGAGAGTTGGAAGATTCATCCTGCAGGATAACAAGACATATTAAGACTTAATACATTGTTGTACTACCAGAAGGAAAGAAAAAATAAACCAATGGAATAGATTAGAAAATCCAGAAACAGATGCATATGAATAGAATTAACTTATTTACAGCAAGATATCATACTAGGGAAGGTGCAGTAAGGGAAATGTGGTCTTTTCAATATATTGCACCAGATCACTTATATATTTATGTTCTATATTTATGTAGATTAATGAACACGAAAATGTTTCCACATTACAGTTTAGAAATGTTAAAAGAAATTCTATAATATAAATAAATTATGATTCTGGAGTTGTACAAGAGTTTCTTAAATAGAAGAGGGAAAGCACTAACCATAAAAGAGAGAATTGTGAGATTAGACTTTTAAAATTAAGTTCTTCTCTTAACTAAAACTCAGTATTAAAAGTAAACATGGAAGCCATAGGTTGAGAGAATATGTATCTATATATGAGTAATATAAAATATATGATATATAGGTAAAAGAGACATACTTCTTATACATTATTTCATTTAAGAATATAAAAAACTCAATTTTTTAGAAAAAGGGAGAATATTGAGTGAGCACTTTACTAAATATGAACAGAAACTACATAAAAAGATGCCAATATGCTTATAAAAGATGTACATTATTAGTTGTTAGGAAAATAAAAATCCAATATTAATTAAGCCATAATAGCAAAAATTAAAAATAAGTGACAATATATAATATTGTCAAGATAGTGTAGCAACTACAATTTTCATATACTGCTGGTGGAATTTAAAAACTAGTACAGCCAATTTGGGAAAATTGATAGTCTAATGAATTTGAACATGTTTATACTCTAAGATCCAGAGGTTCTATTTACATATATAACACACATGTGCTCCAACTGATGTCTAAAAATATTTGTAGCAAGTTATTCATAATATCATGAAACTGAAAACAATGCAAGTGTTCATCTATAGTAAAATGAATAAATTGTGATGTATTCATACAATAGAATATCATACAGGGATGAGAATTCTATAGTAATGTTACATGTAACATGGATGAATCTCACAGACATGATTTTGGGAAAAAGAAGCCAGATACAAAAATGTGTGTACTGTAAGATTTTATTTATATAAATTTCAAATAAAAGAACAAACTAATCTCTGATGACAGAAGTCAAAATAATAGTCACTTTAGTGAGGGACAGGGCAAGAAGGAAGGACTCTGGAGTACTGACAATATTCTCTATTTTGATTTTAGTGGTTAAAGAATTTGTTCATTTTGTAAAATGTATCAAGGTGTAATTTAAGATCTGTTCATTTTATTTATGTGTCATAATTGAATAACAAAAGTTTACTAAAAGATGAGCTAGAAAGAGGAGTTGTATCCCTATCACAGACTCAGTGTGTAGTGAAGTAGAATTAATGGACTCAGCCCTCATTGTGACATTAACAGAAGTGACTCAGGTTCGCCTGAATACAATCAACTCAAGAATAGATATGTACAAAAGGAATCACATGAATTATTATAAAAATGTTACCTGACAGCATGCAACTACGTGATACCTTTCTTTCTTTGTTCCCTTTTCAATAAATGCAGGCTGAATATGTAAAATGGAAGTCTGTTTACTTTTAAATACATGAAATTTATAGCCATTTTTTAAACAAAGGATTAAATAGATAAGGGAAAATATTAGAAAAGACTGATTCATTTTTTTTAAACATGTGATTGAGTGTTCTGTGTTTGTGTGTGAGAAAGAGAAAACAAAAAGAAAAGGGAAAGAAACAGATCACTCAACAATTTTTTTCAGTGATAATATTCATCAAAGACAAGTACAACTATACGAATATATGAATATAAATTATTAAATTTTGCAATACAGATGTTTTTATTGGGCACAGGCAGACTATATCTTTAAATTAATGCAGATAAAATAAGCGATGGCACATGAAATTAGCAGAACTCTTTATATTCTTTTTTTTCTATAAAATCAAGTGACTGTGCAAGTTTGCCATTATATACACTGGGAAATAATGAAAGTTCACTCATTCTAAATGCTAGTTAGTGTATTTGGTTTGTTTTTAATATTATATTATTATATTCATAATATTTTCTTTAGTCAAAACAAACATTGAATTTTTTGTAGTGCACTTCTCATCACTTTGACTTAAAAATAATTAATTTTAAAGTGATGACTATAACACTCTAGGAGATAAGCTTTTCTGGAACTGCGCATTCCAAAATTCCTATTAATTAGATAAAAATGAAGTCATACTCTTTCTTCTCTTTTTGTCTAATTAATGGTTAAGTAATGGATTTTTAAATGAGCATAATTAGATGCAAACCTCTTACTGTTCTTATAAAGACTTTATCCCAATTTAGCTATCAAATACCTGTTTAATAATTTTTCATTTTGTCCTTGGGTAGAGTATATTGCTCAAATTTTGGAAGAGCCTTCTAGCTTTTCAAATAACATTTATGCACTCCATGGAGATCTGGTAAGACCCAACTGGTAAACATCTTTTAAAATGGATTATTTAGTGTTCTTTTGTAAAATATCCAACAGCCTTTGCTCTCGACCTACTGTGTGAACTCTGTATCAGAAACTTAAGGAGATTCAAGTGAGAACATGAAAAGTGGACTTTATGTCTGGATGAGGTGGCTCAGGCCTGTAATCCCAGCACTTTGGGAGGCCAAGGTGGGTGGATCACTGGAGGTCAGGAGTTCAAAACTAGCCTGATCAACATCGTGAAACCCTGTCTCTACTAAAAAAAAAAAAAACAAAAATTAGCCAGGTGTAATGGCAGGCACCTGTAGTCCCAGCTACTTGGGAGGCTGAGACAGGAGAATTGCTTGAATCCTGGAGGTGGAGATTGCAGTGAGCCAAGATCGTGCCACTGCACTTGCCTGGGTGACAAGAGTGAGACTCCTTCTCAAAAAAAAAAAAAAAAAAATGTGGACTTTACAATTTGCTTGCTATAATAATACTAGCTAACATTTATACGTTTCTTATTTTTGTGCCTGGCACTGTTCTAAACATTCTACATATATTCATTTGTTTATTTCTTGCAATAACACATAAGAAACCTACATTTTATAGATGAAAAAATGGAGGCATAATTATATAAATTGACCAAGGTGACAGAACTAATATATGGCAATGTTTGAAATTTGAAACTATGACAGGCTCTAGATATTATGTGCTGTATAATGTGATTATACAACTATGATATGCCAAGAGAAAATTAGAAAGTGGGCCGTGCGCAGTGGCTCACGCCTATAATCCCAGCACTTTGGGAGGCCGAGGCAGGCGGATCATGAGGTGAAGAAATTGAGACCATCCTGGCCAACATGGTGAAACCCCAACTCTACTAAAAATACAAAAATTAGCCAGGCGTGGTGGCGCATGCCTATAATCCCAGCTACTTGGGAGGCTGAGGCAGGAGACTCGCATAGACCCAGGAGTTGGAGGTTGCAGTAAGCCAGGAGATCACGCCACTGCCCTCCAGCCTGGGTGACAAGAGGGAAAGAAACTCCATCTCAAAAGAAAAAAAAAAAAAGAAAAGAAAATTAGAAAGTAATATAAGGATACACACAAAAAAATTTCTAACCTCTTTTTATAAGTTCTAGTAATATGGAAAAAGTAATATCAAATACTCTGTTTCATTTAACAATTTATACTTTTAGAGTGCTCACCCAAATATTTGATAATAGCAGAGGATAATATTTATTAAAAATAAAGGACGGCCCGGTGGCTCACACCTGTAATCCAGCACTTTGGGAGGCCGAGGCAGGCGGATCACGAGGTGAGGAGATAGAGACCATCCTGGCTAACACGGTGAAACCCCGTCTCTACTAGAAATACAAAAAATCAGCCGGGCGTGGTGGCGGGCGCCTGTAGTCTCAGCTACTCGGGAGGCTGAGGCAGGAGAATGGCGTGAACCCGGGAGGCGGAGCTTGCAGTGAGCGGAGATCGCGCCACTGCACTCCAGTCTGGGCGACAGAGCGAGACTCTGTCTCAAAAATAAATAAATAAATAAATAAATAAATAAATACCTGTACAGATTACTACAATAAATGAGACTTCTGCCAAAAAACCGATTATGGAAAACAACTTCCTTTTATTGGAAAACAAGTATTTTGAACAGATTATATAACCTGAAAATGATTCTATCAGGACATGAGCAGTCTCCTGCATTATAGTTCTGCTTTAGAATTTTATATTAAAATCCTTCTAAAAATTTAGCTATATTTCAAACTGCAGTACAATCCACCTTCCATATCCAAAGCTTCCACATTCATGGATTCAACCAACCATGGATCAAAATTAGCAAAAAAATAAAAATAAACAACGGCCGGGTGCGGTGGCGGTGAAACCCCATCTCTACTAAAAATACAAAAAATTAGCCAGGCGTGGTGGCGAGCGCCTGTAATCCCAGCTACTCGGGAGGCTGAGGCACGAGAATCGCTTGAACCCGGGAGGCAGAGGTTGCAGTGAGCTGAATCATACCACTGCACTCGAGCCTGGGCGACAGAGCAAGACTACATCTCAAAAAAATAATAATAATAAAATAAAATAGAAAAATAAGAATAAAATTTAAAAACAACAATAATTAAAAATAAAAATAAAAAAATCAATACAGCATAACAACTGTTTACAGATTAGGCACTATAGGTAATCTAGACATAATTTAATTTAAAGTATACGGGAGAATGTGCATAGGTTATATGCAAATATTATGTCGCTTTATATGAGACTTAAGCAATCTTCAATTTTGGCATCCACAGGGGGTCCTGGAAGCAGTCCCCCGAGGATGCCAAGGAAAAACCATACTTTATGCCTAAGCTACCAAATAAATGTTTACACACACATACACACACACATTGTAATGTGGAGATGTGTGTGTGTGTGTATTTTTCTCACAAAAAGAGCTATGAAAAACCAGATTCTTAAACCGAAGTCTATAATCTTGAAACACAAAAAATATAATTTATAAAATTATGTTAATTATTGGATTAGAGGCATTACATAGGAAGTAGAAAAAGACATTTTTCAACAGAAACATTTTCTCTTCTTCCTCAGCGAAGGGAGTTAACACAGTGTTTGGAGACATGCCATCAATATCTCCTGCTTCTTTGTGTTTTTGGGCCATGGCCATTCTCAGGATTGTACTTGCAGTGAACAACCTTGAGAGATGAGGCACTATCTCTCCACACCTCACACCTCCAAAGTGCAGCCTTGCTTACTGCTTGCTTTAAAAGTACAGCAGTGTTTTGTAGTTTTCCCTGTAATGACCTTTCACCTCCTTGGATAGCTGTATTCCTAGGTATTTTGTTATTTTTGTGACTTATGTAAATGGGATTGTGTTATTGATTGGACTCTCAGCTTAAACATTATTGATGTATAGAAATGCTACCGATTTTTTAACATTGATTTTGTATCCTGAAACTTTAGAAGGCATTTATCGGTTCTAAGAGCCTTTTGGCAGAGTCTTTCGGGTTTTCTGTTACAAGCAGAGAGACAGTTCAACTTCTCTTTCTGCTTGGATGACTTTTATTTCTTTCTCTTGCCTGATTGCTCTGGCTAGGACCTCCAGTACCATATGCTCATGTAACAAACGTGCACCAGTATCCACCGAATCTAAAATAAAAGTTGAAATTATTTTTTTAAAGTACAGGTTTTCAAGATCCCTATATGATTGTAGCTTACATTCCAGCAAGAGAGGCACATGATAAACTGAAAAATAACTACACAAACCCAAGCAAACATTAATTTCCAAATAGTGATATGTTCTATAAAAACAACAGAGTGTAATTCAATAGAAACAAAGCAAAACCATATTGAAGCAGTGGATTATTTGTTTACTTTCCATATGGGCATGGAAGGGAAAAGAAAGAAGGTCAAGAAAACATAGCTTGGTCCTGGCATGGTGGCTCACACCTATAATACCAGCACTTTGGGAGGTCAAGGCAGGCAGATCACATGAGGCCAGGAGTTCAAGACCAACCTGGTTGATATGGTGAAACCCTGTCTGTACTAAAAGTACAAAAATTAGCCAGGTATGGTGGTGCACATCTGTAATCCCAGCTACTGTGGTTAGTGGAGATTTAGACCATAGATTAGGTCACAGTGGAAAGCTGTTCTAATTAGAGACTGAATGAGGAGAAAGAATGAGTCATAGTTTTCTAGACAGGGGAGCAGTGAGCATAAAAGTCCTAAGCGGTAGAATGAGATTCATGGGTTGGAAGAAAAAAAAACACAGACCTGAGTGGCTTGAGCCACAATAGCAAAGCACAATGTTGGAACAGAAGACATAGATTAGGACACATAGAACCGGATGGATGATGAAGGCACTGAATTTAATTCTAAATGTAAAGGAAGGCCATTGGAAGACCAAGCAAGGTGTTTAACAAGATTTGATTTTACGTTTCACATAAGATAACTAGTCAGTCTCTGAATGTACTATTTTTTTGTCTTCTCTTCTACCTTTCATCCATACAGGGAAGGTTTCACAAGGTAAAAATGAATGAATATATCTTTTTAAATTCAGTTAATTCAGAATCACTCCTTTTCAAGATGTCAACAAAATAAAATAATTCAAGAAATAAAATAAGTCAACAGAAAGGCCAAGAGAAACTGTTTTAAGTTAGTAAAACTTTGTTTTTTATTCCACTTCCTGCCAAAACAGCAGGAGTTCTGAGCATGATCATGTTATGTCTTAGCTAAATGGAACATGAACATCTGAAAAATAATTAAGTCACAAAAGCATCCACCATTTCTTTTAAAAAAAAACAGTGAAAACTCTTCATCAAATATAACCTTATTGCTCTGAAAAACAAATCAGAATATTACAATATAATCAATATAAGATGACTACCCCTATTTTTTTCTTTTCAAAAAGGAAAGACATGTCTATAGGATTTTCAGTTTTTTGAAAAAAATGAGAAATTATCTAATTGTCACTCTTATTGAGGCAGAAATAATTTGGGCTTAATATTACAACTAGAATTCCTTACCATACTTACCCTGGTGTGATTCGTATGCATTGTATATCTGTATCAAAGTATGGCATGCACCCCATAAAAATTTAAAAGAAAACTAGAAATCTTGGCTTTGATTTAATAAAATGCTTCTTGACATTAGTGCAAAACAAAATAGAATAACATCATAATAAAGTTGGAAGGACAAAATAACTGGGTTATAGACTCATTATGGGATATGTTCACGAATGAAATTAATGCCCATTTTTTTTTCCTAGGAGGTTTAGATTTACAATTTGAAAGAAATAAGTTGTGCTTTGTGGCCTCTGGCATTCCATAATTCAAAGTTTGAAAAGAAGCATGACTTTAGGGCAGGTAAGAAAGTACCAGGCCATTTTGGTAGGGAAGTGATGGCAAATTTACCTTTCCCTTGGGGAGCACTATTATGCTTATAAACACCTACGCGCTAACACACAAGATCCAGTTAAACTTGTTAAGATCCAGTTAAACCAGTGTGGGAGCATAATTGTTTAAGGGTCCTATTTTATCTGAAAACTTACACTCTTACTCTTCAGTTCCCATCCTAAAATAAGCCCAGCCATAGTTCTTGGTCCACAGAGTGACTGTGGGGGCGTGAGCAATTTAACTCAATAATGCTCAATAATGTCCTTTTGTTGTTTTCTTTTTTTAACCTGGACTTTAATGTCTAAATAACGTAAAGATTCTGAGTTTAGAATGATTATGATTAGCCATTTAATGCTTTAAAAGTGTTGCTTGATTGAATCTCCATTATCAAAATTTAGTGTTCCAAGACTAGTATAGTAATTTCACACAGTGCATCATTTTGTGTTAATCTTTTTCTGGCAGGAAGCCTGTAAGATGATCCCCAGTGATCTCTGCCTTCTGGTATCTGTGCCTTGTTTAATCACTTCACCTCACTCTACCTGGTAACTCATTTCTAATAAATAGAATATGAATAGAATGCTACAAAAGTGATGGGATGTCATGTCCAAGTGTAGGTTATAAAATGACTGTGGCTTCTGTCTTGTCACTTCCTCTCATTTGCTGCCTCTTAAGACCCTCTAGCTGAGGAAGCCATCTGTCATGTTGTATGCTCTGTGTGGTGGCCCATGGGAGTGAGCTTGCAAGTTGATCCTTCTCTGGTCAAGCATTGAGATGACTGCAGCCTTGGCTGGCAATCTCATTGCAACTTTATGAGAGACTCGGAGCTAGAGATACCCAACAAAGCCATATCTATAGAAGCTGTGAAATAATAAATAACTGTAATTTCAGGCCACTAAAACTGGAAGTAATTTGGTACACAGTAAAACAAATGCAGTCTTTTAAAATATTGTTGTTAAAGCACTTTCATTAAGAATTTGTTATACAAATAACAATTAATAAGTGCCTATGTATTCATGGATTCCTAAAATTCCATGAAATTTACCCATTCATTCTTACCCCTTTTGCTGTATTTACTTTCATTATCCATGGGTTTATTTTGTACTGTAATATTTATTTGGGAGTACAATTTGATGGTACAATTAAATCCCCTAAATTTTGACAACATTCTGCTTTTAATAAATGTTCAATACAAGGTACTCCTCACATGCTTTCTGAATATGAATATGGTTATTTAAAATAAATAACAATATACCAACAAATTATGTTATCTACTACCAGCATAAATGTAAATTAAAAAAAGAAAAGCAACTCTATTTCCTAATGCCTCTTGTTTATCCAGTCACCACTCAAAAATTCAGAAATAATAATATAATAATTTTGTTCTTGCTTAATAATCTGGAGAAACAGTAATGCCCACTCAATTGCAATCAAGTAATAGAAACTTGAACTTGGAAATGGCCATCAAGCCTTCTTGTTTATTATTGTCTCTACTTTCCATTTTTGGATGATGGATTGGTTCAAGAAATGCATATTTTGTGATAAGAGCCAGACTTCTCCCTGGGTTGTGTTCCTTTCTGACTACTGCTTTCAAATACAGTTCTGTGCTATATTAAATCCAACGAACAAACTTATTTTTGTAAAGCTTGTAAGGCTAAACTTGCTCCTAGCATGTTGCTAACACAACAGGTTCAAGCACACTATTTTACATACATTTTATCTAAGAACTACATGTGAAAATAATATTTAGTATCAATAAGATATTGATAGTGACAGGAGGCAGCCAAATGCCTAGGTAGATAGGGGTGGGTACCCAGTGAAACCCCACCACCAAGCTGAAGATAGTTTAAAGCCTGAAAGCCAAAATACAAGTTAAATCTTCAGAATGGACTGAGAACTTGTCTTCCTGCTTGGCATGTTTTCCCCTGATTGATGCCCACCCTTCGCCTATTTTACATATACCTTCCCTTTCCTAATTGGTTTTCTACACTGTTGTGCCCACCTTTGAGTGATACTTTTTATTTGAACCTTTTTTGCATACTCACAAACCAATCAGCATGCACTCCCCTTCCTGTGCCTATAAAGACCCTGGACTCAGTCAGTAGAGGAGAAGATGACCTGAGTTCAGGGAAGAGACAACCTGACTTCAGGGAAGATGACCTGCCCTTCCCATCCCCTCTCCAGCTCCCCTCTCCACTGAGGGCCATTTTCATTGCTCAATAAAATTTTCCACCTTCACCATCCTTCAACCGTCTGTGTGACCTCATTCTTCTTGGACACCAGACAAGAGCTTGGGACCCACCGAGTGCGGGTACCCAGAAAGGCTGTCACACCAGCCTTTTGCCCTTGCCAACAGAGGGGAGCTGCCCCACACAATGAAGCAAGGGGCCAATTAAGCTGCTAACACACCACCATCTGCAAACAGTGGAACTAAAGGAACACTGTAACACCCCCTCTGGGGCTTCAGGGTTGCAGGCACCGTCAGCTAGGTGCCACCACATTCCCCTTGAGGTGACATACCTGGGCTGGCCACAGGCCCTGCATGGAGCTCGTTGCTGTGTAGGTGCTGGAGTGGCCTGCTGAATTCCACACCAGCTCACTCACATGCTCCCTCCTGCAAGGGGTTGAGTGCCGGGGTCCGAGTAGAGAGGGCAACCCTACTGTGAGTCTGGCAAAGGGTCCAAGAAAAATCCTGCATCAATGTTACTATATGTTTTTCTAAAAGTCAAAGGCTATAAGAAAGCCAAGTAAGCCTTCTAGGATTAATCATCACAAAATCAAGTCACCTAAACTTTTACATTTAAATTATCTCCACCACACTCCCTTCTACCTGATGGCCAGTGATGAACTGGGAATTTTTTTTTTTTTTTTTTTTTTTTTTTTTGAGACAGAGTCTTGCTCTGTCACCCAGGCTGGAGTGCAGTGGCGCGATCTCAGCTCACTGCAAGCTCCGCCTCCCAGGCTCACGCCATTCTCCTGCCTCAGCTTCCCGAGGAGCTGGGAGTGAATTTTTAAGATTATATAAATCAGTGTTTTTTCTAGAAAAAGAAAGTTTCAAGTTTCAAGGCTTCCAACTGCTCTTCCCTCCAAAACTCTAATTAAATAGATCAAAAATAGACAAAAAGAAAAGCTTATGAAGGTGAAAATGGTAGGGCTGGCTTATAAGTTTATATTTTAAATTCTTGATATAGGAATATATATTTATAGCCAAATTTTTTTCCAATTGTCTTTGATTTCCATTTGCAATTAACAGTAAAAGTAATATCAAAATAATTTCCACGATATTTTATTTGCTTTTGGCATGAGATTAAAACACAGACATCAAACTTTCCCAAAACAAAATTTGATCCTGGTAATAAATACCTAAAATATAATTTATATGTAAAACAAAATTTATTCAATAACCTTGCGGTGAAATACAAGAACCTACTTTAATCACTTTAATCACTTTTAGCTGAATACACAGGTTAATCTCTAAGAGTGCATGGTGAAGGGGAGATGAGGATGTAAGTGTCAAATCAGAAGTTTTGAGATCTAAAAGTAGATAGCTGAAGAAGGTTACATGATCCCTTGTGCAGATTTCAATCTGCATTAAATATGTTAAATGTAAAAAAAAAGGGCTGTTGCTTTGGTTTCAAGTGGCAGACAGGATATATGCTACACATTTCAAAATAAGAAAGGAGATATTTGTGATAACTGTCTGTATCACTAAGATCCACTAAAGAAGTTTGGAGAAAGAAACCACAGCACAGGATGAATTTAGGAAGGCAAAGATGCTGAGAGAAGACAGGAGGAATGAGGCCCAGGACCAATGAAAGAATATAAAGCTGTTAAAGAGTTTGGGGTAAGTGTTAAGCATTGTCACTGCCTTGGAGAAGGTGGGTGTAGGGAGATTCCCACCTAATGGGAGCTAGTGCTCTCAGTAGAGGAACACAGCCCACACAGGGAACAAAGAAAAGAGAGAGAGAGAGAAGAAATCAATGGCCATTTTCTCACTCACCTCTTGCTCTCTGTACTCTCAACAGAGCTTCCCACTGTGAGACCAACTGGAACCCAAAGAGCAAGGGATGTTGTAGACCTTAGGGGTCAGCCAGGTGATGCCCAGAGGGGAATTAAAAAAAAAAGTAGTAGATCTAGAGGGAAAAAGAAAAGAAATCCAGCACAGTGACCTGACTTGAAGCATTGGTAGGAGAAGCATCGATACCAGTGAGAAGCCTAGCAGAGTGTGCGGTAAAAAATAAAGGCTCAATTACTGATACTCATAATATTATTAATTATCATTATTCTTTTGTGAAAAATAAAAGAGATTTAAAAAAAGGAAAAAGAAAAAATAGGAGGAGGAAGGGGGGACTTTTCAAATTCACTGTGTTGCATATTTTTGACTAAGTGTTGGTAAAATCATGAGGCCACAAAATGCATTTAAATCTGTTCAGTCCTTTTATGTACTGAATATTAATTAACTTAATGACTTTCTTAATATCATGAAGGGGAGTTTCTTCTTCTCTAATGCCGCAAAGAACAGTTTGTTATCTTGACTCTTTTTGACTCATTGCCATCTATAGCATTTTGAAATGAGAAGAAAAATCTTTTTACCTGAACTAAGGTATCTATTTTTAAATAACTGCCATTTTAAATGGATTTCATTAGGATGAGTCCTAAATAAAAGTTTTCTTAAATAACTTTTAATGACAAATATTTTTTGCTTCTATAATTCAAATAGAAATAAACATTTTAAAATATCTTTCACAGTTTTTGAACAATTAAATGGATGTTTCAGTATGCATAAGCAAGAATAATCAATACATTTCATAAGTGAACAATATAGTTCAGAATTATAGTTCCTAATAATCGTTTTATGTAAACTTGGAAACAAGAAGCAAAATATGTGCCAGAAAAGCATAGGATTAAAACCCCACACTTCTGAAATATATTTGATTTCAGAACCAGAAACTTTACATGTGGGAGAAATATTTGAGAAACTTTTGTGTCTTAATACTTTTGACACTTCAACACCTTATGTTGACAAAATGAATATTATACAGTGTTACAAAAGTTATCTAAAATGAAATAATTGGTACGTGAAAATTAGGAAATATTGCAATATCTAATGTTTCTGTTATTTCCTTCATATAGAGAAAACCTGCATATTAAATTTTTCAAGACCTACTATGTTAATAAAGTTTTGTTAGAATGGAAAAAAACGTTCTATTGGCACTTGCTAAATTCATTTGAGCAGTAATATCTCAAGAAACACACTTATCTCAATGTTGGTGAACATGCAGAGTTGGACTTGGCTCTGGGGATTAACACCTGTGTATCTACCGATTTAATCGGTGGTTTCTTGTGTTGATCATTAGAGTATTGGCAACAAGACTCATTCTTATGTCAATGTTTATTTAGAATGGCATCATGGCAATGCTGAATTCTCACCATAACTAGTTGGGAGAGAGAGAGAAAAAGGAACCAGGGGCAAGGGAGAGAGGGAGGAAAAGATTTAGAAAGGACATCTAAATGTAATAAGGTTTATTGGCTCTTCTCTTTGCTTGGTTTTTGGTACTGTGTTTTCCTCTGAATCTTAAATGACATTCATGACCAATCTGTTTTCTGATCAATTTTTAAAGTGAATCAGTGTTTATGAAAACAAATGGAGTGCTTTGATTTGAAAAACTTCCTCTCTACCGCTGATTGTGTTATAACACCCAGGCATTAATCTGTGCTGGGGCCTCTAATGGTACCAACAGTTAATCTTATATGTGTTGGTATCCTTGCTCTTGTGCTTCCAGACTTATTATTCTTTTATTACAGTCAATAGAAGGAAGAGAAATAATTCTCAGTATAGAAGCACATTAAAGAATTTACTGACTCTATTCCTGGAATATAGTTCTAATACTGACTCTGCAACTTCATCTCAAATTGTGCTTTTCCTATGTCTTCTATCCTAAAACACATAGATGTGCAAACACATTTTGTTGTTGCTGGTGAGGTGATTGTATTGGATGGCAGTAAAGAATAATTTTGACATTAAGGAAAAATATTTCTGTCTATTGCAAGGTGACTCTTGAGGTAGAGTTCTTGATAGCTCTTTATGTACACCAGCTGAGAGGCATCCTTACAAGCACAAGTCTGGAAACTCAAGATGATGGTTGTTAGTCAGTTTTTGCATTGCTATAAATAAATACCTGGGACCAAAAAATTTATAAAGAAAAGAGTTTTAATTAGGTCATAATTCTGCAGGGTGTACAGGAAGTATAGTGGCCTCTGTTTCTGGGGAGGTCTCAGGAAGCTTCCAATCATGGTGGAAGGCAAAGGGAAGCAGGCACATCTTACATGGCTGGAGCAGGAGGAACAGAGAGAAGGGAAAGATGCCACACACTTTAAAGCAACCAGATCTCATGAGAACTCTATTACGAAAACAGCACCAAAGGGATGGTGCTAAACCATTCATTCATGAACAATCCACCCCCATGATCCAATCACCTACTATTAGGCCCCAGCTCCAACATTGAGGATTACAACTGAACATGATATTTGAGTGGGGACACAGATCCAAATGATATCAATGGTCAGTGGGTCACTATGAAATATTTGTCCATTGTGTTAGTCTGTACTCACACTGCTAATAAAGACATACTCAAGACTGGGTAACTTATAAAGGAAAGAGGTTTAATTGGCTCACAGTTCCACATGGCTGGGGAGGCCTCATAAGCATGTTAGAAGAGCAAGAAACATCTTACATGGCGGCAGACAAGAGAGAAAGCATGTGCAGAGGAACTCCTCTTTATAAAACCATCAGATCTCATGAGACTTATTTACTATCACAACAAAAGCATGGGAAAGACCTGCTCTCATGATTCAATTACCTCCCACTGGGACTCTCCCATGACACGTGGAAATTGTGGGAACTACAATTCAAGATGAGATTTGGGTGGGGACACAGCCAAACCATAGTATCCATTCACCCCTCTTTAGGCTCATGATTGTATTTGGAGGTACACTGTCTATTCTAGATGAGCAGAAGCATATTCAATATGTTACCTATTTGCTACATGGATTAACTGATTGGTTGATTGATTGTTTCTTTCTTTTTTCAAAAAGAAATTAGGCTCTTTGGAAATTTAAAGTTAAGCTAGAAATAAAACCTTACTTGTTAAATCTTACAGTCTCATGGGACAAAGAACATATCAATAAATATATTGCTAGCACATACGTATTATGAATCTAGAAAAAAGACAGATACTAAATTAATAAATGTAATAAATGACAATATACATGCTAAAATGAAAGTATGTATATGCTAATGGGAGTGATATAGATAGGAGTGAGGAGTGGATGCTTTGATGGGGGAAGAGAAAAGCTCAGAATTTAACAAAAAAGTTCTAAACTAATCTATGGAGGATACAACATTTGCTGGTTGCTAAATTGGGGTAGCTTTTTCAACAGAAGGCATAACATATGCAAGCATGGAAGGCTCATGATGTGTCTGAAGAACTGCAAACAGGCTAGTACATCTTTTATCCGGAGGACATAACAAAGAGTGGCTGTAGACATGATTCAAGAGGCACTCAAGTACTGGATGATGGAGAGATTTGTTCATTATCTTAAATTATTTGAGCTTTAGCAGAAGAAGATGTGTAACTATGAAAGGTATCAAAGGAAAACAATGGCATTTTCAGCTTTGGATTTAGAATGATCACTCTGAGAGAATGTGGACCAATGATATGTTAGATAGATCTTCTTTCTCTTTACCATTTTTGGAGTCAAAAGAATAAAGTACAAGACTATGTTGGCTGAAAAACCCCTGTCAACAGGCTCATATAGGTGCTCTCATGTTATACATGGGAAAACTGAGACTTACCAAGGCCACATATGTTTATGTCATAAACAGGAGAATCAGGCCTCTCTGATTCCAAAGTCTGAGTATGTTTTTTACTAAACCACAGTGCTTCCCTAATGTGACTGTTTCGTCCTTAGAATCACCCTCCCTCTTTGAACTCTCTTATGGTGTTTATTTTGTTCTACCTTGAATTACTTAAAATTGATGCCTTCTTTTAAGCCACATATTTTGAGAGAAAGGGCTATGCATTGCCCATCTTTTAAAATTATTGGTGTTTTAGCACATTTTCTTATACTAATAGGTGCTTGACACACCTATTAAATAAATATATAAATAAATTTAAGTAAATATAAATGTCATCAAACATGAGCTGAGCAATTCGGCCCCTCTCATTTGTGGTAGTAAAAATGTCATTAGGTAGAAAGGGATAGGGTTAAAAACCTTATATTGTTTAAAGGATCACTAATAAAAGCTTTCTTGCTTTCAGGCCACAGATCCCTCACATGGTATGAGCACTTCAGTGGTCAAAGTGTCAGGGTGTTAGAAAATCCATCCTCCATTTAAATTCATTTAATTCTTTATCAGTTTCTTAAACTCAAGATAACAAAGCAATTTTCTTTCTTCAAATTTATCACGGAGGTAATTACTGTCAGGTGTCTTGAAGAGATAATGTGGATTAGTATCACAACTGCTTATTCAAATTCTGGAAAGACACTCTTAGTAGTAACTTCACATTCCATTTAGTATAAGAAAATGCAAGACAATTTATAACCTTTCTTACATAAGCCAATTAACAAAAAACTATTATTCTTTAATTTATTTTTATAACATAATACCATATGTACTTTGGATGATAATGATTCACAAGGGATGCATTTATTCATTCATTCCTTTAGCATATGCTTATTGGGTGCCTATTCTGTGGTAAGCTCTGCTAAGTGAACAGAACTACACTTACTTGTTGCCTTAATCGAGCTTATATTATGGGAGTTCAGTGTAGTGCAGGAAGAGGTGTGGATAAGATGGTAAGAAATATTAAAAACTTCAAAAATATAATAAGCACAAATCAACAGGCCATAGGGCCCTAAATGAGAGTCCTTGGCTGGTTAGCAAGAAAGTGATTTGAAAGATTCGCCAACTCACCTGTACCTCAGCAAGAGTTGTTGGAGCACTTTGAAAATGAAGAGCATACCATTGTTATAGGCGGGTCTTTGTTCTTAGAGCTCCCAAGATGGGGCAGGCGGCTCCCAAGATGGCAGCAAGCCTTTTATTCTCTGAACTGGGGGTCTTGGCCTCATGGATTCCAAGGAATGGAACGTTGGGCCATGAGGTGAGTGTTATAGCTCTATTAGAAGCCGTGGGTCATGGACGAGAACTGTGGAACCCAGCAACTCCTGTTCAGCTGGATTAGGACGAACCCGGACACTTAGCCGCACATGAACAATGGTGAGCCTCTAGCCCGAACGGGAGCGGCAGTGGGCGCCTCACTGGATCAGGAGCACAGCGGACACCCTGCCGGATCCGGGGGTGTGGAAGTCAACAGTGGGTCTGGGATGGCGGCGAACAGCAGTGGTGAACGGCGAGGGAAAGCTCAGCCCGAGCCGTAACAAACACGGACCAGAAGAATGTGCAGTTGAAAGATTTAATAGAGTGAAAACAGAGCTCCCCTACAAGGGAGGGGACCCAAAGGGGGTTGCCACTCCCTGCTGGAATGCCTGAGTTTATATCCCAATCATTGTCCTTCCCCCTGTGCACTCAGGCGGTATATGATTTGACTATTTCTTTACCTCCTGCTTTTAGTCTAATTTGTATTTTAGTGAGCCCTCTTTACTACCTGATTGGTCAGGTGTGAGCTGAGTTACAAGCCCCGTGTTTAAAGGTAGGTGCGGTCACATTTCCCAGCTAAGGTTAAGAATTCTTAGTCGGCCTAGGAAATCCAGCTAGTTCTGTCTCTCACCATGGAAACTGACCATTGAAGAGGGTGGAGTATAGCAGGCTCCAAAACCCAGTGAAACGAATCAAAGGTAGTAAAAGATAGGAAGGAAGAAGGAACACCAACACACCTGCAGAAAAGTGAGCAACTAACCACAATCTTGTAAAAAACAGGGGTTGAAAAAAGAAAAAAAAAAGGCTGGTACTTTTTATAATAGCTTTAAAAACTCCAGAAACAGTCCAGGAAAGAGAAAAATATTAAAATTTTTATTTAGAGTTTTAGTTCTGGGGAAGGAGAATACATAAGGGATGGAAAGGGGTTGTATATTAGTTCGTTTTCACGCTGCTTATAACGACATACCTGAGACTGGGAAGAAAAAGAGGTTTAATTGGACTTACAGTTCCACATGGCTGAGGAGGCCTCAGAATCATGGCAGGAGGCAAAAAACACTTCTTACATGGTGACAGCAAGAGAAAATGAGGAAGATGCAAAAGCGGAAACCCCAGATAAAACCGTCAGATCTCACGAGACTTATTCACTACCACGAGAACAGTATGGGAGAAACCGCCCCCATGAATCAAATTATCTCCCACCGGGTCCCTCCCACAACATGTGGGAATTATGGGAGTACAATTCAAGATGAGATTTGGGTGGGGACACAGCCAAACCATATCAGGCAGATAGGCACCGTGTGGAAAACCAAGAAGAATCATCAAAGTAGACCCACCCACTTCTATAACAAGACCACCCCAGAGGTTGGCTGTGCTGCCAGGGGAGAATAAACCCGTGGTGGAAGTGGACGGAATGCACTCTTCACTGCTTGGAATGGGCACTGGCACAGGATGTTCAGACCCCAGAAGAAAGACAAGAATAAATGTCCATTAGCAAGAACTGAAAGTGGTTTCTGAGGCTCTCTGGCTACACCCACTGCTATTTCCTCAGAGAAAAGAATGGAGGTAAGAAATCAACTCCCAAGATGCTAGTAAAGTGCAAGATGCAAGTCCAGAGTGGGAAAGACCAACTAAAGTTTGGGTGTACCAGGGCAGAAACAAGGATGTTCAGCAAAGAGAATCTTGTTCAATGTCAACAACTATATAAAAAGGAAAGTTCTGATACACATGCAAACATCATACACACACATGAATAAATAAACACAAGACATACAACACATACACATAAAAATTCTGTTTAAAAATGACCAAAATCTTGAAGAAAATGTAACCCCTGGTACATGGTAGAGAAATAGTTTCCCTATGAATACTTTAAATGATTAAAAAACTTAATGAAAATTCAATAAAACACATTCCAAAACACTATTTTAAAAATTATTTCATAAACCATAAAATATTTGAAAAAACCAGCAATTATTAAAATATAATAAATACATTAATAACATATAGAAACCAGAATAAGATAGCCAAAACCTTCATTAATGTCATGATGTTGAAAACTGAGATAATGGCAATAAAGAAAAAAATAGTGATTCTCACAACTACAGAGATGATAGCTTCGGAAGATAAAAACAGTATGGTCTAAGAATCCTTGGCATCCTTAATATAAAGTATCCAACAAATGTGGCAGAACTATTCTGAATATAATACAGGCAATTGTTTCTGGAACCAAGGAGAAAATGAATTCACACATTTTCTTCTGTGTTAGAAAAAGAAAAAACATAAAATAATTGGCACTAAAGCATATTCTGGTTAAGTTTTTGAACATCAATGATAAAGAAAGACTAGTTTAAGTATCAGTAAAAATAGAGCAAGTCACCCACGAGGGATAAATATCTTGCTAGCTTTGGACTCCCCTGCAACTTTCAGTGCCAGAGAAATTAGATTACTGTCTATAAAATTCAGAAGAGAACCAAATCTGACCAAGAATACATTCTAACCAAGCAAAATGTTATCCAGTTAAGAAGGCAAAATGAAATATTAGCTCTTCCAAATTTAATATATATTTAAAATACATAAACTTCTTGATGTTTATATCCAGCCAACCAAGAGATCAAGACAAAGAAGTTAAAAGCAGAGAATAAATGATAAAAATGCTGACAGTAAGCACTAATTTCATTTGAATATAGAAGATTAAACAACTGCATCATTTTACCTCAAGAATAAAGTGAAAAATGATAAACTATGATGAATTAAAAGTAATTACAGCAATTAGAATGGGAGAGAAAGGGGAGAGGTGGAAGTAGCTGCATATTACCTATTTTCTTCTAGAATAAAATCAACTGGTAATACTTAAAACATAGATAGACAGATAGATAGATATGAAGCTATAATGATGTAGATATTGCAGTACGCAGAATTCTAAGAGAGCCTCTAATAGACTCACCCTGTAATGTTAATGTATAATATCCTGTGTAACTCCTTTTTTTTGAGTTGGATATGTTGATGTCACTCCTGTGATTAGATGATGTTATGTGCAAAATGTGAAGAAGTTTTGAAGATGTAATCTCTTTTCTCCTTTAAATTGTTTGTATCTGAATTTGTGTCTTCTTCACACTACTAACAGTAAAATTATATTCATTATTGTAATTGTTAGTAGTGGTTATGGTGATCAAGTTTGAGCCAAAGTCAGTAGCTTTTTAGAATTCTTATGCTTTCTGTGTATTTTCACAACCAAGCAACGAATACACTGAGAGAAGTGTAAAATAGACATTTGAAAATTAGGATGTCCTTTAGTATTCATTGACCCGGAGACAAATAGGTGAGCATGAGGATCTTAGGACCTCCCGGAAGTGATGTCACTGAGATTCCAATTTTGACTTCCTAAGTATTTTTAGTTAGGAGAATCTAGAGGGATAGCCTCAACTTAGCTGCTGGTAGAAAAAAGAAAAAAAATGATACCAAGGTACTTAATGAAGGTCTCACAAGGAGGGAGGGATTCAGAGCTGGTTCTACAAGATCTACACAAAGGTCGAAGCATAGGTGGCTGGTGTCTGCATAGCATATGGCTGTGTTTGAAAGCCATAGTACATGGCTGGTTTCTGCACAGGTTGTAGCTCCTCTGAATCCCTCCCTCCTGGTTGGGAGAATGCTTAGAAAAAAAGGATGGCCATTGGAGCATGAACCAAAAGATCTCTCATTTTGGGACGCTGCAAGAGCATCAGTGCTGTTTACTGCTCTTTCCAGGGTATAGATCCTTAAGGGCAGCCCTGAGTGTATCAACTGAAGCAAAAGCGCTAATAAACAGGTTGGATTTTGCAGATATCTGTCTTTTGGCTTTCATTCCACATTTAGAATTAGAAATGATTGTTTTTAGACAGAAAAACCATTGGTGTTGCTGGACATATGATGTGATAGAGAGAAAAAGAGATAAATAGGGAGGGAAAGAAATAGACAGGTAGAGATAGATAGATAGATAGATAGATAGATAGATAGATAGATAGATAGATAGACAGACAGATAGATAGATAGAGATGCATGCATACATATATACACACTATTGTTCAATTCTTGTAACCATAGGGGGAACTTCAAGGAGGAAAGTCTATACTTTCTGCCAAACAGGGACTTCAATTAGTAATTAATAAAAAGATGTAACAATATATGTGGCAGCACTTATATCTTAAACTTGTGAACGATTTCCTATTGGTTACCTAAAAAAATTCTGGAATGACTTGTCACTCTGTTTAACTCAAATCTATACTATCTCCACTCAGAAATTCAGAAGCAGTGCATTATCCTTTTTTTCTATATATCTACAACTTCTTTTTGCTTTAAAATTTCCCATAAAGAACTGTATTTTCTAGCATCTTTGTAAGTAAGGCCCTCCCAGCTAACTTCCCAGTCTCCTAGCCAATCTTTGCTGATATTTTAAGCTTTAGCAACACAGAACTTCTTACACTTCCCTGAAAGCATTTTCCTTACCTAGTGCAATTTCTTGTGCTGTCCTCCGTGTTCTTGCTTCCCCTTGACATGAGGCTGGTCAGCTCCAGGTACAGTCTACTACGATGCACTCAATATTCACCTTAGGTTCGAAGGGGTTCCTGAACTGATTGATTCCTCATACCTAGGCTAGATTTAGTGTCTTTTTTTCTAATTGTTCCCAGGTGCAGTCTCCACCATTGCATGGGGTCATATTTTATGTGTATTTGCATGTTTTTGTGTGCTGAAAACAGTGTCTTACACATAAATACTTTCTTAACATTGACTGAATCAGTAAATGAATGAAGGGACTCATGGCTTTATCTTTTCTGCATAAACTATTCAACTTTCTTTATACTTTTCACATAGAAAACTTAGGCAACTGGAAATATGCAATTCAAATTATTGCCTATGCTACCTTTTTGGTAGGATTTTTCATATGTAATTATGCTTGCTTTAAATTGCTTTACTTTGAATTGAAAGAAAATTCAAAACAAATAAGTTTATGTTTGAACAACTCTCTCTGTTTATTTGACTACTGAAACACTTGGAATGAAACCACATAGCTCATGCATTTGTTTGTTAAAAATATGCACTTTTAAATTCTCATCCATATTTTACTTTGAGTAATTCTATTTGACCAGGAAACTCAGTATATTATTTTTCAAACTCAAGAATTCATGTAGTTCATTCTCACAGGAGGAGTCACTATTTTGATAAATACATTGTCACATAATTGAAGTCAACTGCACTTTGGTGATAATGGTAGTTATTAACTTCTCTAAAAATACCAGAAACATTGTGAGAAAGCAAATGTGCATTGGTCACAATTTTATTTTGTCGGTATTATAAGCTAATGATGGGAAAGAACCAAACTACTAGGTACTGGATCAATGTGTAAGAAAAATGTGCATGTTTCCAAGACTTAGCAAATATAATCTTTAGAACTGCTTCTATAATCATTTTGAAATATTAGACAAATCACTACAGCTCTCTGGCAAAAGTAACCATAGGAATCAGTTTTTTTCTGAGTTTTAGCTTCAAATATACCTAGTACTATCTTGGCAAATCTAATTTTTACTAAGAAAACAAAGTTAAGGCAAACTGCAATCAGATTTAGGATACCTTTAATTTTGAAAGAAAAGTAAATCATAATCATCTATCTAGACTTTAGCCAATAAGATTACCTATAATGAGAATGACCGATAAATACTATACAACACTGAAGAAATAGTTAAGCCTCATTAAGTGAGATTAGTGTGGGCCAAGGAAGGAGACTAGGAAGCAAGAGGTGGTAATAAAGAGAAGGACATAATTCTTCATTCTCAAAAATGGTTAAGAATTATAATTTATAATTATATGTAAGATGTAAATTCTGAGTATGAGAATACATTATCACTAGTGAGCTGCCCATTAAGTTCCCATTTAATATTGATTAAATTGAATTGGAAATCATCCTAGTATGCCAGATAGTTGCAGGATACTATTTCACAGCAAAGTTCTGAAATCAAGAAGTTAAATATGTTTGTGAAATCTGTCTAAGACAAATATATTATCTTATGTATCCTAAATCTAAGAAACCACTGGCATAGCGCTAAAAGTAAACTTACATTTGTTTTATGAAGTTAGATTTTTGCAGGTCTGAACTGAAAAAAAAAAAATTCTTCATGAAGTCATACTCTTCGAGATTTGCCTAAGCAAAAAAATGGTATCACATCAGACTTAAAATAGATGCCAGACACAGAGGTCTAAATATCTTCCTTCCTATTCACTGCCATGTACTCATACCTGCCAATTTCTTTTTTAATTTGTCTATTGAATACAAAATGTGTGATGTAAGGGAAAAATGAGACACTGGGAACATCATAGCTTACAGAGTTATTGTATTTGCCAGCTATCATGCTCTGAATTAGACTGTTTTGTTCAAATTAATTTTATAATATTTGTCATAGATTATCTTACCAGCAATGTATTATTTTGACCTAGAAGACCATACTCAGCACATGATAGATTGCATAAAACATTTGGGGTTAAAAAATTATTTGGAAGATGGTATTATTCTTTGCATTTTCTTTTGGAGACAGAGACATGTCTATATAGTTGAAAAAGATACACGCTATAAATAGTGCACAGATTATAATTTCTACAGTAAACCTCAAGAGTGACAGGACCCATTAGGTATTTCAAAGGTGAAGGAGATTTCTGATTGAGACTACAGATTGAACAAAAGCAATAAAAACTCTGAGGAATTTATGCACATTTAATTGTCCCCATGAGAAGAGCTTTAATATGGAAAAAATAAGAGATGTCTTCCTTTCTAAGCAATTGGGTAGGACATTAAAAGTGATACATCTTCAGTTTTTTCAAAATATGGGAAAAATTGCCATTGGCATTCTCTTCTGAGACATGGATGACAATAGATGGGTTTTTAATAACAGCTCAGCCTTCCAAATAAATGCACATGTCTATCTGAAATGGTGTGAAATATTTGGACACATTTGTTATCAGCACTAAGGTCTACCATTACAATTTCAGAAAACATTGTTTTTCCCATTACGTCATTTACCAGAATTTAAATATTTTATTATCGGAATGAATTTGAAAAGAATGGAAAAATGCTGTTTTACTTTTACTCACGTAAATTCAACCTGAAATGTTAGCTGTGTAAATTATTAGCCAAAAAGGGCACATGTGGTTTAACTCCAAGTCATGGGATAGGAATGGTAGTGCTTCAAAAACTAATTTACAAGTTAAAATAATACCAAAGTGCAGATGAAAAATTCAGAAAGCACATACTCATTTTAAATGGGAAAAACTAGTCTGGCCTATATGAAATGGATAGTTCCTGTGTTTCATATAAGAATTACCAGGCTGGGCATAGCAGCTCACGCTTGTAATCCCAGCACTTTGGGAGGCTGAGGCAGGCTGATCACCTGAAGTCAGGAGTTTGAGACCAGCCTGGCCATTACGCTGAAACCCCGTCTCTACTAAAAATACAAAAACTAGCTGGGCACAGTGGAAGGCACCTGTGATTCCAGCTATTCATGAGGCTGAGGCCAGAGAATCCCTCGAACCCGAGAGGTGGAGGTTACAGTGAGCCAAGATCATGCCACTGCATTCCAGCCTGGGCGAAAGAGCAAGACTCTGTCTTAAAAAAAAAAAAAAAGAATTATCCAGATAATGTTACATAGTAAAATCTTATAATTTGATGGTTTAATCGAGTGTCCCTATTTTATCATGAACTAAATGTCCTACTTGTCTTTAAAATATCTGTTACATAAAATTATGCCATTTAAACGACCATTTCCCAGAAGTTTTATATTTAATCAAGGAGCATTCATTTAATTGTGTGCACAGAGAGGTCCCAGAAAAAAATGGTCCTACTGAAAATGAAACTCTGCTGTAAAGTTATTTTTCCACCGGTTGAATCTACAATATATTTTTGCTCACTCCTGTTTGAACTGAGAGTGTCTATCTGAACATGGAGTGGGGACAGCTAAAACAAGCAATGGTGGAAGAAGTTAATCCACTCTATAGTACTCAGCCTTGTCAACAGGGCTTAAGGACAGCTTCTGATCAGCATTATGGTGTCTTTGATTTATGGTGTTTACTGCAGAGTCTGGGTTGCTGCCCTGGAAAATAATATTTCTTCTATAAAGTGTAACTAATAATATATATCAACTCCCTCTTGTGTATCATTTACTGTTGTGTACCATTTAAGTAGACAAAGTGCTTTAAGGTAGAATAATCAAAGATTTCTGAAAATATCTGTGTGGGACTGAACTGATCAATTTTATTGGGTTGGTTTGTTTCTCAGACTGTTTATATAGCTTCTTACTAGAACATAGATTAAAATGATGGGCTTAACAGTGGATAAATTAAGTAGAAAACACAGATACTTTTTTGCTTTCTTTCCATTCCATTTTCAGCTCTTTACCTGTTCTTTACTTTAATGAACTGGATCTCCACAGTAAGATATGCATAGTTTTAAAATTCTTCTTCTTCTGACTCATGAACATGGGTGTATTTCCTAGTGGAAAGTTGGAGTCGAAATGAAAGAACTGAATTATTGTCATCCTTTGATAGGGCTCACATTAGCATACACACACTCCCTGATGTAGAATAACTATTCCAACATAAAAAGTAACATATTTATATTTAAAGATACTTTATTAGTCTTTATCATTGAGGATTTTTTTTTCTAACACATAAAACACATCTCCAAATGATTTAGGTTAGCTGAAGACAGTTCAAAAGTATGTTAATCAGATCTTTTTTCTTTTCTTTTTTTTTTTTTTGAGACGGAATCTCGCTCTGTTGCCCAGGCTGGAGTGCAGTGGCGCTATCTCGGCTCACTGCAGACTCTGCCTCCCAGGTTCAAGTGATTCTGCTGCCTCAGCCTCCGGGGTAGCTGGGATTACAGGCATGGGCCACCATGACCAGCTAATTTTTGTACACTTAGTAGAGACAGGGTTTCACCATGTTGGCCAGGCTGGTCTCGAACTCCTGACCTCAGGTGATCCACCCACCTCAGCCTCCCAAGGTGCCAGGATTATAGGCGTGAGCCACCTTGCCCAGCCAGATGATGTATTCTTACTTCTTTATTTTTTAAATGAGAAAAATGAGAATGAGAAAACAGAAATGACTTTCTCTTAGATACATAGCGTAACAGCATCTTAAGTTGAAACCTCCTAAACGTTTCTGTTTATACAATAATGCTTTTAATACAAAATGTTTCTGCTTATACAATATGCTTTTTGTATATTTCTGCATATACAAAATGCTTTTAATACAAAACGTTTCTGCTTATACAATAATGCTCAACTCACAAACAATTTTGGGAATTCCTTTTTGGATTTGCCTTTAGAGCCATTTAGAAGACAAAAAGAATCTAGTTTCATAGGTATCCATTAGTCTGTATGCTTTGGTTTTTGCCAAAGTAATACTTCTTAACTCAATCCCCTACTTACTCATCAACTTTGGCTATGTTGGGACCTCCTTGTGGGAAAGTATCATATTATATTCCAACAGTACTTTAGTACAATAATTGTTGCATTGTTGAATTGATTACATATTGATAAAATATATGCATAGTATATGCATTCTTTTGTTCATAACTGAAACTAAAAGGGTATGGACTGAAATATTCTTGATTAAAATTATTCTGAGGTCTTCTCTTGCCAAAAACTTGAAAGTCAATCTATATATGTTTGTCTTTAGGATATTATTATTACTCATAGATTAATTTTGAGACTCTAAAAACAGCCTATATGAATGAAATGCTAATCTAACTGACTGAACACCTAAAGGTGTTAATGACTGGATTAGAATATTTTTCTATTATTGTTATTTCATGCTTGAAACATCCAGTGCTTTGGACTTATGTTTCTATAAATAGCACAAAAAGAGTCTTTACAGAAGATCCTAAAATGAATGTGTGGATTTCAAAGAATGTTTTCCAATGGAAAGAAAGTGTAAATCTTTTATGTAGTTGGGTGCTAAAACAGATAATTGATCAACGTTAACAGGTGGAACCAAAACAAATGGTCCTAATCTATGCCCCTGTAAATATATTAAACACAAGGCTGCTTTTCTAATGAATCAAGAAAATTAATACAAGATTGTTTTGCTTAACCATTCAATGTCCCATACTGGAAGTCAGAAAGTCTAAGGGAATCTTCTTTGGTATATTTGAAAAGTCTAGGTCATATATTTTGCCTGGAACTCCTTATGGAGAACTATGCTTGCCATTTTTAGAAAATAACTGTGGTTACTTGGGCCAGTGTCAGGGCAACACTTTCCAAAATACAATGACAAGGAAGATTTACAAGTCTCAAAGATATTTGAAGTTGATGGAGTCTGTAGCTACTTAAAGATCAGCAGCTTGTATTAGATTAAATAGAATTGGGTTATGATCTGGGCCCACTGATTGTGAATATTCCGAACTCACTCATTTTCTTTCCTGATCTCAAATGCCATGATGCCTAATCTTTCCCATTGCAGTCCTTCTTCTCTAGATATAGGTTGCTCAGCCTTCTTAAAACTGTCACCTACCATTGCATATTACTCTCTGGACATTGATTGACAAGCACAGGATGCAGTGACATTATTATTGTCTATTATTAAATGGGCAATACATATAGGTAAACCAGCATATGCCAAGCCATTACTAAAGGGTCAATAAATGTGAGTCGTTCTTATCACATGCTCCCCACTGCTCTTGCTTAGCTGTTGAATCAGTCTTTTATGTATAATGCTGATTGTCAAATAAAATCTCTACTTTGGGCTTTTAGTATTCTCTGGGGGGGATTATTTTTCTTTTTTTTCTACTTTTATTTTAGGTTCGGGGTACATGTGCAGATTTTTTACATGGGTCAATTGAACTCTTCTCAATTCAATCTTCACCTAATCTGTATTTCAGCAGTTGATTCCTTGGACACAAAATAAAGAATTTTCCATGAGTCATTTCTAATTTCCAAGGTGGGTGGATCACCTGAGGTCAGGAGTTCAAGACCAGCCTGGCCAACATGATGAAACCCTGTCTCTACTAAAAATACAAAAAATTAGCCGGACACGGTGGCAGGCACCTGTATTCCCAGCTACTTGGGAGGCTGAGGCAGGAGAATCACTTGAACCCGGGAGGCACAGGTTGCAGTTTGCTGAGATAGCGCCACTGCACTCCAACCTAGGCGACAAGAGCAAAACTCTGTCTCAAAAAAAAAAAAAAAAGTAAAGACTGAGCTACTGAGCTATTCAAATTGTTAAAATTATTGCCTACATCATTCTCAGCAAACTATCGCAAGGACAAAAAACCAAACACCGCATATTCTCACTCATAGGTGGGAATTGAACAATGAGAACACTTGGACACAGGAAGGGGAACATCACACACCAGGGACTGTTGTGGGGTGGGGGGAGAGGGGAGGGATAGCATTAGGAGATATACCTAATGCTAAACGACGAGTTAATGGGTGCAGCACACCAACATGGCACACGTATACATATGTAACAAACCTGCACGTTGTGCACATGTACCATAAAACTTAAAGTATAATAATAATAAAATTTTAAAAAAATATTTCCTACTTGATGTTATAAAGTACTACCCAAGCTTCAAAGAAGAGATACATGACATCATCAAGCTGAATACGCATGCTGTTTTGTGTTTTGTGGCTTCCTTCATAGTACTTAGCATAATTCTGAGTATGTTACACAGTATGCTTAAGCGCTTTTTTGAGGATGAATGAATTAGATGGATTAAAAAGGAACAGTGAAAGAGTGAACCAAGAATTGAAGAGGACTCTCTACGGTAACGTCCTACAGACAAGGGACAGATTCTCAAAATCCTGGATAAATGTTTTGGGGGCAGAGATTTACTGTATAAGAAACTGAGATGACCACATTTAAAACTGAGAGGGTTTTTCAAGATATAGGAAATACATTTCAGTTCAATTACAATCAGACAAAGTAAAATGTTCAAAGCATTCTTCTCTTTAATTCCCCTGATGTCTTAAAATTACTTTCTTCTTACATTTTCCATAAATTATTATTAAATCTATCATACATGGTAAACTGGATTATAAAGAGATGTTTTCTCCTTATATAAGTGACGGTCTTCACAAACAGAAAAATAAACTATGCCATAGATGTCATAACAGGTCTGTGCTCTTATCAATTCGACACTGCTTAGAACTGATAAAAATAGAAAACTAAAACACAATGGCTTAAATAGATTAGAAGTTTATTTTTCTCTCACATAAATTAAGTTTAGAAGTAGACAACCCAAAGCTAGCACGCAAGCACATGGTGATTGAAAACTCAGGCTCCTTGTAGCTCTTCTTTCACTGTTTCTTGTGCTTTCAAATTGGCCTCCTTATTCCAAAAGAGAGGAGCAAAATGAACTTTTCACACAAATCTACTCTCATGGAGCTTTCTGGAAGCCCTCATTCATGGGACACTCATTCATATTTCATTGGCTAAAGCCTAATCGCACGGTCACCTGCAACCTCAAGTGAGGCTAGGAAATATTTTTAAGGTAAATCACTGTCTCCTCCAACAAACTGAAGGAATGTTAATAAAAAATGTCAGTAGAAACTAGCAGGGAACGTTTGCGCCTTACGTGTTGTCTTTTTTTTTCTTTATTTGAATGTTTACGTTAATCTATCCCCTTTATTTTTTCTGGAACCTGCTGTAGAAGTGGCTCTTTTCTGGAGCATGACAGCTATTGAGGAACCTGGTTGCCAACCAACTTTGCCTCGCGTAGCCCTAGCAGTTGACTTGCTGCTCAATATGGGCCTTCGCTGTGGTGTCATTCTTCTTTCGATTATGCTATAAATCATTTATCATTTCACATAATTTAATTCACAAAATAAAAAGCACTCAAAAGTACTATAAGATTATTCCACAATTGCTTATCTTTACTAATCTCTTTCCATCTACTCTTGGTTATTCATTCATTGTCAACTCTATTTGACTCCATTTATGAATTATTTTCAATTAGTAAATATTCCTAGAAGTAAATTTAAAATATATATATTTTTCTCAATGACACAAAGAAAAAGGAAACTCTATTTGTCTTTCATTAAGTTACTTGGCCCACACACGACTGTCTACATTATACAATTTTAAGGTACAATTTGTTTAACGCTCTAGAATCACAATGGCCATCTTGGCAAATCCCTCATCCAAAGTATGTATCTCATTTGAAGACTCCCAGGCTTTTTTTCCCTAATATTTTCAAATTTGATTTACTTCCTGCTTGAAGAGGCAGAAATTTCCATTTTTGGATGCTTCATAATTGGAAGTTCTTCTTATAACAACTTGCTCTGTCACTGTTACTACTAGCCTTGCTTCCATTTATATTCTGGGCATTTGACTGAACTGAGTCATGCACTTGGATGATGTGAGATCACATAAAAAATTAGTTTCCTGAGTGAGTACTATGGTCCATAATGTCTGTACTGTTTATATATTCTCAAGTTTGAAGGTTTCATATACTGGACAGTCTTAATTTGTCCTACACTAACGTTAAACAAAACCAGAACCTTGTGGTAAAGTCTGTTGAAACAACAAAAGTACTTCATTATTTGTAAAATCTCTGGCCCAGAAATATAGTGAATGTCATAGTTAAAAGCTATGTGAGGAATTTCACTTAATAAAATATTCTTACCTCTATAATCTCAGTATTTCTTGCCTATCTACTTCATGCCATTTATTATGTGTAAATTGTCTGACCTTTGTCTGACTTTTTGAACTTAGGATGTTTCTATAATTAAAAAAATATGTCTCAAGAAAATAAAGCGATAAAACTCTTTGTGTCTCTTCTACAACCATATCATATTTGTGTCCATAATGTAACACAAATCACAAATTTGGAGACAAGTTTGTCTGTGTATTACTTGTGTACCTAGGAAAATAATTTATTTTTTTCCATGGATGTTAAGCATTGCTAAGTGAAAAATAGTCCTTCCAGAGTCTCTGGATTATGTTTTTCTATGACATAGTACCCTAGCACTTTCCCTGATGGAACTCACCCTCTTTGCAATGAACTGTAGTCACTTAAGCAATCTTCTTTAAGACTAAATACTAGAACAGATGGTCCAGACACGCATTAAGTTCAGCTGCCCATTCCATAACAACTGTACTGCTTTAAATGATTAGGGGAATTGTGGAAGCCAGGAAATGTTTATTGTTTTGGAAAGAGGGTGGACCAGGATGGGATTTCACTTTCACTTTTTCCTAGAGGAAAGTATTCATCCAACAGATTTTATGTGACATATCAGAACCACAGTCTACATTTGCCAACTGTCAAGACATCCAACGGTTAAGGCAACTGGGAAAGGTAGCAATAAAATAAATTGACTCCCAGCCAAGCAAATGCCAATTATAGTCTGTTTTAAGAGTGCTAGAAAGGATGGCAGAGAGCCAACAGCATGGTAGATGGACAGGGGCTGTTTTAAGGGCACATAACAAAGGCTATGGCCTGTGAAATTCCAAAGAGACATGATTGGCACATTGGCACATATTGTGGGGGGAGGGTGGCCAGGCTCTCCAGGCTCTCTCAAAGATGGGTCTGTGCCAATCAAACAGTTCTTTCATTTATAGTGTGAAGTCTTTATCATGGGAGTTGTGGGACTATGGGAATGGTTTACAGTAGTGCCCTTTTATCCCTGGTTTTGGTTGCCATGGTTTTAGTTACCCACAGTCAACCATGGTCTGAAAACAGGTGAGTACATCACAGTAAGATATTTTGAGAGAAAGAGAGACCACATTCACACAACTTCTATTACAAAATATTGTCATAATTTTTCTATTATTAGTGATTGTTGTTAATCTGTTACTGTGTCCAATTTATACTTAAATTTAGTCATAGGTGTGTATGTATAGAAAAAAAAACAGGGTATATATAGGGTTCAGTACCCACGGCTTCAGGATCCACTGGGGATCTTGGAACATATCCCCCATGGATAAGGGACAACTACTGTATTCTAGGTGTTAGCATGCTTTTAATTAGGAGAATCACAATATACTGATCACTAGCTTGGCTTTGTCAATGGGCAATCAAAACCACATTTGAAGAAGACAATGGGAAAAAAGTGTTCTCTGGTGTGGCTAACTTTCTGGTTCAGAATAAAATGAAGCTACTGCAAACTTCAAAAGGCAACCTGTATCTGGTTACCTTTAGGTAGGCACAAATAATTGTATTGCATTAAAAAGTAAAGATGCAATGGTTCTTACATGATGTCTGAAGGCTTTTGTTTGTTAAAGAGATCATAAGGGTATTTGAATAGCATTTTGGGATTCGGTGGTTCATATTGACTGACGTGTTTTCCTAAATGTAATCCATCAAACTATTGTACTTCATTGAAGAACAAAATCTATTTAATTGGGGGAGATGTTGCAGGGTGTGCATGATAGGTAAAGGATGCCACATTTACAAATAATAAATAAGAACATTCTTTAAGTTGCTTTGCAGGTGAATTTTTATATGGTCTCTATTAGCAAAATTTAAAAATGCAAGGTTAGCACTAAAGTAGAATTCCAACCATGTAAAGCAGAAATGCACTTTATCAAGTACTTCATACATTCAAGTGGAATATCTTAGTAAGTCTTCCCCTGGAAAAAAAGGGAATTTTACTTTCTGAAATATATGCATGCATTCCTGAAAAGCTGCATATAGAATCATTTTTATAGATTAAATACATTATGAAAGTTCGTTACTTACAGGTACATTATAATGATTTGAGGAGAGCTGATATCTCATTCATTGAATCTACTTAAATAAAGCACATTTTTGTGAGGCATATATTTTAGGTTTTATTTCTTTGGTTCAACCAAGATATTCATGCCAATACATAGATAAAATTAGTAAGTGAGAGGACTACTTAGAGGACTTTACATCAACATTATTTTATTAGGTAAGTACAAAGTTAATTATTAATTAATTTTGCCACCCAAAGCATAGATTAAAGATACATAATTTTTCACAAGGTAATAAGACCAAGGCAAGCAATTACGGCAAATGCACCTGAGACAATCTTGCTTGCTCAAGGCATTTTGTACAAAGGAAATAAATGTTCTTTCAATGCTTTGAAATATTGTCAGAATGACGTAGTTGTACAACAAAACATCAGACATGCAGGCAGTGGAGCTCTCAGATGTGCTAAGGATGACATAGAATAGACCAGAAGATCTCATCCTTGGCTACTCATTGTAACTACTTGGGGAGACTTAAATAATACTGATATCTGGTGGTCATGCCTAGAGATCCTGACTTAATTGGTCTTAGGCATGTCAAGGGCATGGCAATTTTGAAAGCTCCCTTGGTGATGCAAATGTGCCGCCACAGCAGAGGATCTCTGGTTTAGATTGATCTAGCAATTCTTACATTTCACTATGTGTAAGAGTCTCTTACATGCTTGTTAAAAAGTGCGTCTAGGCCGGGCATGGTAGCTCATGCCTGTGATCCCAGCACTTTGGGAGGCCGAGGTGAGCAGATCACCTGAGGTCAGGAGTTCCAGGCCAGCCTGGCCAGCATGGCAGAACCCTATCTCTACTAAAATAAAAATACAAACATTAGCCGGGCTTGGTGGCGGGTGCCTGTAATCCCAGCTACGCGGGAGGCTGAGGCACGAGAATCGCTTGAACCCAGGAGGCAGAAGTTACAGTGAACTGAGATCATGCCATTGCACTCAACCTGGGTGACACAGCAAGACTCCATCTCGAAAAAAAAAAAAAAAAAAAGTATGCCTAATCAGCTACCCAGGGGATTTCCGTTCAGGTGGTCCTTGAGCCATAGTCTAGGAAAAACAAAACAAAAACCTCCTGTCTTGTTTTACCTTATTTTTTAAGTCCTGGGCTTCTCACTTGGTGATGCCAACCTAAGCTATGTGAAAGTTCACTCAGAGTGCATAATTCTCAATTTTGGCAGTTCCCATCATTCATGGAAACAAAAACTTTCACAAAAGCTTCTGTACCATTGTGTTGCCACATGCAATGCCAAGGGCAATTCCAGATTCCCATAAGTTAGGCAAGTCTCCAGCCACCACCCCCCCATCAAAAAAAAGGCCAAAATAATGAAGTCGATTACACTCAGAAATAAACTACTAAATTCATGAAAGATCTTTTCTTTTTTAAATTATTTTTACTTTAAAATTTTATTTTAAAAATGTGTTAAGTCCATGACTCAACAATTCCACTCTCAGATGTTTATCCTAGAAGAATAAAAACATGTGTCTCCCAAAAAAACTTGTTCAAGAATTTTTCTAGCATTTTTATTTATAATTACCAAATATCAGAAAAAAAAACTAAATGTTTATCAACAAGTGAATGGAGAAATAAATTGTGGTATATGTATACAATGGAAGACTACTAAGTTGAAAAATAAAAATTAAAAAACATACAAGCAACTGATAGGCAAATAACACAAACTAATTCTCAAAGACATTATTTTGAATGAGGGAAGTATGAGACAAAAGAGAACATACTACATGAATCAATTTATATGAAGTTCTAAAATAGATAAAATTCATCCATGGTGATAGAGTACAAGAGGATTGACCAAATGTAGTGAGAGGAAAGGTTATGAGAAGATGGAAACATTTTATGTTTTGATTGGGGTGGTGGTAACACCCCACAACACATGTGTTATGGAAATGTGCTCAAAAACTACAATAACTAATATGTTGCCCTTAAAAACACATAGTACCTTTCTAAAGACATTTCTAATGACTTTTCAAAAGAAATGCATGTAAGGCCAGATTGAAATTCAAATGCTTCCTCTGTCAATCCCTTTTTAAAGGCAGTATTATAGCTAAATCATTACATTAAAAAAACTTTTAAAGAGGCTTTTCAGTTCAGGGAAGAGCATAGAATATTAGCCTAACATATGAATCAGCTGTTCCAATTCTTTTATTTTAGAGATGAGGGAACTCAAGCCTGCAATAATATATTCGGCATCACCCTGGAAGTTGCTGGTGTTGCTTTTCGCACTCAGCTTTTGTGACAATATATCTACTACTCTTTCTAATGCACATTCTAGTCTAGTTTACATTAATAATTAGGAATACTTAGCTAATACCTAATATGTGTGTCTTATCAAATCTCAAATATTCATGAAATACCTCTAACATGTCACCTTAAAAATATGTCATAGCTTTTCTCCATTGATTGATTAGTAAGTGGGTCATATATTTAAACTCACAGTACAACTTGGAGATGTATATATATATTATATATATATTCTATTATCTTTATTTTTGTGAATCACTTATCTAGCCTTCTGTCTTTAACCTTGCCTCATGGGTAGCAGAGTAAAATAATATAACTAATATACAATTGGGTAACTCAAACTAATTTTTAAGGTGATTCTTAGTTTTTCTTGAGAAAACACTTGGTTTCCTATAAAACCTTATAATGACAAAAAAGAGGGAAGTCAATATTAGCTTACTTTCTATATCTGCATAAAGAATACATATACAGTATAAACACACATACTCACATACTGCATGTTAGAAGATGAATTAATATTCTAACATGCAGCATTTTTCATGAATACTTTATATAATAAATCTTAATTTTCTCACACAAACAGAGGTCCCAATTGTACATTCATAAAGACAAAAAGCCTTATAAATAAAATAGCAAAAGAAGAAACATCACATTAATAATTATAAAAATCTCATCCATGATAGAATTAGTTATACAGAAAACAGATATTCAGATTCGGTTGTATTCCAGGCACAAGACTTTACAGTGGGGATAAATAAGGTCCTTGTCGTCACAGTCTGAGTCCGGTAAACATACAAATTGATTAGTACTTACCAAGGAATGTGGTAACTGCTAAGCTGAAGGAAACACATGGTGCTTTGGGAGGAAGTAGGAGAGATCTCTAACCAGATTGGGGAGAACATGTAAGAAGGAGACCAAGTGGGGAATTTAATGAATAATAAGAAAACTGTGGATAATTAGTGAGGTGTACATGAATATATAAAGGTTTGGGTAAGGAATCCAAAAGAAAGATAAGCCAAGAGAAGTCAGAGAAGTCGATATGAAAAATTGGGTTAGCCATGTTAAAGATTAGGCGGATGTTATCTGTTTGAAATGGTGAGCCTTTTAGAGTATAAACTTTTTGGGCATGAGATTTTTATGATTATATTTTTGTTTTAGAAAGACCACTTTAGATGCCATCTTTAAAATATGTATGCATATACTCAAATGCATATACTTAAGTAGCATCAAAGAAAATGTCTCATGATCACTTTCTGTCACTAGCATTTCTCCCTTTAATAGCAAAGAGTAATTTTGCACAACTTTGTTTATTCTATAAGGGGTATTATACAATATGTACACTCTTGAGTCTGGCTTCTTTTACTCAACATGATGTTTTGAGATTCGTCCATGTTGTTGCATACAATTACAAATAATTTACTGCCATTGTTGGATATTACTCTAATGTATGATTAGACAACAATTTATATATCCATTCTATTGTCAATAAATATTTGGGTAGTTTTTACTTCACAGTGGACTGTTACAACTATTAATTTTAATCCTTTGAAATAAAAATAAATCTTGGATGTCACAATATTTATAAGTTCAACTTTCCTCCAAGCTGGCCAAGCTACCATGTGCCCACACCTTGGGCTAGGGTAGCAGGCCGACCCACCTCCAGCACTCAGTTCATTCCCCAGGGGCCAAGCTGCTGCATCCTTATGTTCTCAGCCAGAGAAACAGCCTAGCAAACGCATCCAATGTGGCCTTTCCTCTGAATTGGATACCCTGCCACACGTCTGCATGTCTGTACCCCTGGTAAGGGAAATATCTCAGTGACCTTACTCTGATGAGAATTTACATGTCTGTGGCCTGAGAATCAGCCCAGTAGGCCCAGTAGGGCCAGCTGGCAAAGCTACACCACCATGATCACAAACTTCCACAGCCTAGGCCACTTAGACACTTGCAAATATCTTGTTAACATAAAATATAACCTAAGAAATTGCATGAAAACTAAACTATATTACTGTGTCAACCCAGAACCAAAACCAGTGCATCTTACCCAGCCAATATGCTAGAGCTCATCTACAGGAATAAGTCTTTTCCTACAAAAGCTACTCCATAAAACTGAAAGGGACAAGTTTGCCACCAGATGTGCAGATATCAACATAGGGACATAAGAAACATAAACAAGCAAAAAAAAAAAATGACAGCTTCAAAGACACATAATAATTCTCTAGTGACAGACCCCAAAGAAAATTCATGAAATGCCAGAAAAATAATTCAAAAGAATGATCTTAAGGAAACTATACAGGATACAAGAGAATACAGATAGAAAATAGAGCAAAAAAAAAAAAAATGATTTGGGTATTTGGGTCAGGCACGGTAGCTCATGCCTGTAATTCCAGCACTTTGGGAGGCTGAAGTGGGCAGGTCACTTGAGGTCAGGAGTTCCAGACCAGCCTGGCCAACATGGTGAAACCCTGTCTTCACTAAAAATGCAAAAATCAGCCAGGTATGGTGGCACGCGCCTGTAGTCATAGCTACCTGGGAGGCTGAGGCAGAAGAATCGCTTGAACCCGGTAGGCAGAGGTTGCAGTGAGCCGAGATCGCGCCACCATACTCCAGCCTGGGTGACAGAGTGAGACTCCATCTCAAAAAAAAGAAAAAGAAAAAATTCGTGATTTGAAAGAAAAATTCAACAATGAGATAGATACCTTTAAAAGAACTAAACAAAAACCTTGGAGCCAAAAAACATAATAAAAAACAAAAAAAATTACAATCAATAGCTTTAATAAGAGACTAAATCAAAAAGAAGAATTTCTGAACCTGAAGACAAGGCTTCTAATGTTTATGGCCGCACTATTTACAACAGCCAAGATATGGAAATGACCTCAATGCCCATCTACAGGTGAATGGAAAAGGAAAATGTTTATATATATATATATGTGTGTGTGTGTGTGTGTGTGTGTGTGTGTGTGTGTATATATATATATATATATATATATATATATATATATATATGTAAAATAACAAATTAGAAAACCTAAAGGACATAGGTAAATTCCTGGATACATATAACCTACAAGACTGAACAAAGAAATAAAAAGTTTTACATATAGATGTGATTTTATATATACATATATAATTATATTACTTTCCATAATGGCTATACACACACACACACATATATATATACACACACACACACATATATAAACAACTATATTATAAATACATATTACTCCATTATATATAATTATAATATAGAATGGAATATTCAGTCATTAAAAAAGAGTAACATTCTATCATTAGTGGCAATGTGGATGAATCTGTAGGACACTGTGTTAAGTGAAATAAGCCAGGTTCAGAAAGATAAACACTGCATGTTCTCACTCATATATGGAAGCTAAAATGTCAATCTCATAGAAGTAGAGAGTAGAATAGTGGTTACTAAAGGATGAAAAGTGAGCAGGGATAAGGAGACGTTGTTTAACCAAAACAAAATTACAGCAAGATAGAAGGAATAAGTTCTAGTGTTTCACAGCATTTGTAAGGTGACTGTAGTTAACAATTTATTCTATTTTTTTAGCAATCAGAAGAGAGAATTTTGAATGTTCTCAACACAAAGAGATAATAAGTATTTAAGGTTTGGATTTGCTAATTACCTTGATTTGATCATTACACATTGCATACATGTATCAAAACATCACACTGGTCCCCATAAATCTGTGCAATTATATGTCAATTAACATAATAAAAGTTTATTAAAGTTATTAAAGTTTTGGTGAGGCTTTTATATTTTTATTTTCTGGGCATATTTATTTTTTGCACTGGGACCAAGAGTTTAATTAAAAATCATTATTGTGAATCAGTTATATGCCAGTAACTGCACTGGACAAATGTGTGAAAGTACATTGTTTAAGTGTTTCTTTTTAAGAGAAATCTACAGAGCTGCTAAATATCCCTTTCTCCCTCTCTCCCTCCTTTCCCCCTCCCTCATTCCCTCTCTCCAGCTCTCTTCTTTCCTTCCTTCCTTTTTTTTCTTCATTCTTTTTTCTTTTTCTTTTTCTTTTAACTCAAGAGAAATACTAGTGCCTCAGTGAATATCTGCTGGACTGCCAGTGGTTAAAGCTGCTTCAGAAACAATTATTAGGATTTTTAAACCTAGAGATTCCTTCATTTCATAACTGGAAGCCAAACACAATGGTCAGTTAAATTGATGTCCAGCTGGAAATAAACATAACGAATTCCAAAAGGTTGCAATCAAAGGTTTTCCTTATAAACGGGCCATCAAATGCAAGTGCTTTCATATAGGAAAGCCAATTGTACACAGGAAAGTGAAGGGACTCCTAACAACACACAAAATCACATTCACTTAAATTTTTTTCTCTATTATAATTGGTTTTAGATTTCTACATTTTCAAACTGGAAAATGACAGGGTTTTCAGATCACATTTCAAAGTCATTTTAGGATATTAGGGTGTTTTTAACAAGGTTCCACTAACTGTATTTTACGGAACCATTCACCTCTATAGTGATAATTCAACTTAATACAGTTCCTGGGATTTGCATAATACAAACTTTCTTATTTAAATGTAGAAAAAAATGAAAATAGAAAATACAAACAAATTTAAAAAACAAAAAATGTTTTAAAGATACCTTTTATTTTGCTCTGAATCTAAATTTTCTCCAATTTAACAACATCCTCCAACCCACCCACCACTCTTCCCACCACCAAATCAAAATCACCGTATGATTTGTTAGAAAATGAATTTTCAGAAAAATCTAGGCACAAAATATAAGACCTTTTCAGATTTCTCCTCCTTTGATTTATTCGTAAATATTTGTTAAACATATATTATGCTGTTTGCATTGTATGAATGTATATTCTAGCTTTACATATCTAGCTAAATAAAGATCTTGCTATAAATAAGGGGTTGTCAGAAGCTTTATGGAAAATGTTTATTTTGCAAAATCTACGTATAGATTTCAAAAAAAATTTTGCACCAAATAAACTTGTACCAATTTGTTACAATATGACTGAACAGGATCTAATTAGAGGCACTAAGAATTACAAAACATGAGTTTGAAATGATTCCCTATCAAAGCAATATGAATTCTTCCAAAATTGAAGCAAGAACAAACATCAAATTTATGGTAAAGCTTGGGCGAAAGAATGGCAAAATCATTGTCACTTTATGAAAAGTTTATGGAAACAATGTCCCAAATAAATCAGTAATTTATAAATGAGTAACTCACTTTAAATTGTCAATGAGATGATGTTGAAATGAGCCCAAAGGAGCAGACCATCGACATCAGTTTGCAAGAAAAAAATTAATTTTGTTTATGCCTTAATTGAAGAGAACCACCAATTAATAGCAGAACCAACAGCCAACACAATAGATATTTCAATTCGTTTAGTTTACACGGCTTTTTTCTTGCTTTTCTTTTTTTTTCTTTGAGACGGAGTTTCGCTCTTGTCGCCCAGGCTGGAGTGCAACCTCAGCTCACTGCAACTTCTGCCTCCCCAGTTCAAGTGCTTCTCCTGCCTCAGACTCCCGAGTAGCTGGGATTACAGGCACCCACCACCACATCCACCCTGATAATTTTTTGTATTTTTAGTAGAGATGGGGTTTGGCCATGTTGGGCAGGCTGGTCTCGAACTCCTGACCTCAGGTAAGCCACCTGCCTAGGCCTCCCAAAGTGCTGGGATTACAGGCGTGAGCCACACAATTTTGACTGAAAAATTAAAGGTGAGTAAACTTTCCCCTTGATAGGTGCAAAAACTGTTGTGCACAAATCAGCTGCAGACAAGAACAGAGCTTTCAATGAAAATTTTAAACAAATAGAATCAAGATCCTGAAGTATTCTTCAAAGAATTGTAACAGGAGAGGAAACATGGCTTTATTAGTGTGTCCTGCTGTCAAAGCACAATCAAAATAATGGCTCCCAAGAAATAGAAGTGGTCCAGTCATAGCCAAAGTAGACCAGCCAAGAGCAAAGATCATGACAACAGTTTTTTGAGATGCTTGAGGCATTTTGTTTGTTGATTTGCTGGAGGGCCAAAGAATAATAACATCTGCTTATGATAAGAGTGTTATGAGAAAGCCAAAGCTTTAGCAGAAAAACACACAGGAAAGCTTCACCAAAGAGTGCTTCTCCACCAGGACAATGCTCCTGCTCATCCCTCTAATAAACAAAGACAATTTTATGAGAGTTTTAATGGGAAATCATTAAGTATCCATGTTACAGTCCTAATCTGGATCCTTCTGACTTCTTTTTGTTTTCTGATCCTAAAACAAAAAATTTTAAGGTACCTATTTTTCTTCAGCTAATATGGAAAAAACACTGCATTGACATGGTTAAATTCCAAGGACCATCGGTTTTTTATAGGTGGACTAAATGGCAGGTATCATCACTTACAAAAGTGTCCTGAACTTGAGGAAGCTTATGTTGACAAAGCTTGTATTTTTAATTTTTATCTTTAATTCAATTTTTCTCTGAAATTTTTATCTAAGTCCTCTTGCATATGTCATACACATATATCTATAAGACTTAATCAGAACTCTAATTTTATGGAATCTAGGTCCTTAAAATCTGTTGCTTAAGGAACATCTAATCTTCATTGAAGTGCCCTTTTGTTCCTGGATTCCTGTTCTTTGTTAACAGTGTCAGTCACAACTATTTACACTTGATATAATTTAATGACAGTTTGCCATGAGAATGGCCAGGCTGTCTTTCTGTCTCCCAGACACAACAAAGAGGGAAACAGACAAGTTTGTTAGATCCTGGCCAGGCATCATTCAATGTATTACTGTGTGATCACCCTTTTAAAGTAATTGTGTGGTTTGAAGTTTCTTTTAGAAATTCCCCTTTGAGTGGCAAAAGGCTTTTCTATCAAAATACCAAGAAGGAGCAGGACCTCAGAGCCATCCCAAGTGGAGTCACTATCTTCCAAATCTCGGAAGTATTCTGACGACAGAGGCATAATGGAAAAGTTCCTGAAAAGTGATGGAGAAAAACCGGGAGAAAGCTGACTTCTCAAGCATTTGCAAAACTGATTAAATAAGGCTTTTTTTTTCTTTCTGATTCAGGGGCTGACACCTTTAACTAACGATAAGGGCATCTTGAATACAGCTCTGACAAATGACACTTAAGATCCCTGTTATTCCTGTAATTGGCATTCTATGATTTCTTCAACCTGTTTTCTTTAGTACGATTTTTAAAAAATGTAACCACCAGAGGGCGTAGGATATTACATTTCAAAGGGCTTAAATTTGTGTTTCAGCCACTAACTCCATCTCCCTAAGCACGCTTGAAAGGGGGAACCCTCTGCTATGCAATGGAGAGGGTTCTTCTTGCCCAGCCCTTCCATGCCAAACACAAGTCCTTCACCAAATCCGCTACCTCTTTAAAGATTCCATCAGCAACATCATGTCTGCTGTTTGCCAAAGAGGTTTTCTTACCAAATAGACTGAACTTTTTTTTTTTTTTTTTTTTACCTTCTACTTTCATTAAATTAAGCTATCCCTTATTCCTTGATTTGGGTCACCTAAAGTTCAAGGCAATAGTGAATTACTTCAGAGCTCTTTGGTTTGTATGCTTACACCAACAAGACATTCCTCTACCTAAAACTCAGGGAAAGCATTTGTAAAGCCATTTTGCCAGGTGCTCACTAACCACATTTCCCTGTTGCTTTATGAACATTCTCACCCAGCTCCTGTGTGTGTGCACGTGTGTATACAGCTTTACATTGGCTCATCACTTCTCTGTTAACCCTTCAGACTTAGTGCCCCAGGTCAAACTTAACAGCCTACATTTTGACAGATTTGAAAATTCTTATTTGCGTCGCTACATCACTCAAAAGTGACTCTCAACTCTTAGTTTCATATAATCTCCTCCAGAGCGTTGAATGCCTGTGTCTAGCAGACCTATGCCTTACTGAATTCATGTACCCTTACTAGGCAATGGGCTCTTTAAAAAGCTCAAATATGGCATGCAAGGTGGTGCTGCTGGTCTATGTTACTTTAAAACCTTTAAGTAATAATGCTTTGGTAAAGTGTCATAGGCAACTGTTTTGGGGCAAAGAAGAGCTTGAGTGACTTGACAGGCTTCTTCCTGTCTTATTTTGAAGGTACTCCTCCTTTAAATCATATTTACTATGTTACATTATTATGACGTTATCCAGGTTACGGTGGACATCATCCCTGTGTCTGCTGTCGGCATCAAGACCCACTACTCCCATTCTCCCTTGTAAGGAATGATGGCTTCTGCCTCTAATACCTTCTACTTCTCAGCACATCAATGCTCTGGAGGAGGACGGTACATTGATGATCCATGGGTTGCTGCTCCATGACACCTTATGGAGCAGTTGTGTCCAAATTCAGGGTACATTAGAATCATTTAGAGTACTTTTAAATATGTAGACAGCTGAGCCTAATTCAGTAATCCTGGGGAAGAGTTAAGGGCTCTGTATTTTCAACAGGCATACAAAAATTGTTATGACGTACTGTGGGAGACACTTTCTACTATTGTTATAATATCTATACCTGGTAACAGAGGCTCAATTAATAGGTTAAGAGCAGGGAGACATCAAGAACTTAAGGAAAATAGGCCCTGTCACTCTACTTTCAGAGGATGAATCATGACTGGCCTAAACCAGGGTACCATTTAGGGTAAGGGTAGCTACTATAACAGATGGACCCCTAAAATCTCCTTGAATTAACAAAATAAAAATTTCACTTACTCTTCACACAGCAACAAAAGCGGGTACTTGTCAGGTAATGCTCATGAACATCTTATGGCTCTCCACCTTCTCCCCTGGCCTCAGCTTTCTTCCAGCTTCCATACACACACACACACACACACTCACACACAGTGAGATACAGAGAGAGAGGGAACAAGGAAAAAGGGGACACCCACTCATTCACTGCTTCAGCCTGGAGAACCCAATAACTACCATGCATATTCTATTGGCAGCACCTAGTCACATGGCTCTACCTAGATTCAAGAAAGGCTTGGAGAGGGAGGAGCCAAGATGGCCGAATAGGAACAGCTCTGGTCTACAGCTCCCAGCGTGAGCGACGCAGAAGACGGGTGATTTCTGCATTTCCATCTGAGGTACCGGGTTCATCTCACTAGGGAGTGCCAGACAGTGGGCGCAGGCCAGTGTGTGCGCGCACCGTGCGCGAGCCGAAGCAGGGCGAGGCATTGCCTCACTCGGGAAGCTCAAGGGGTCAGGGAGTTCCCTTTCCGAGTCAAAGAAAGGGGTGACGGACGCACCTGGAAAATCGGGTCACTCCCACCCGAATATTGCGCTTTTCAGACCGGCTTAAGAAACGGCGCACCACGAGACTATATCCCACACCTGGCTCAGAGGGTCCTACGCCCACGGAATCTCGCTGATTGCTAGCACAGCAGTCTGAGATCAAACTGCAAGGCGGCAACGAGGCTGGGGGAGGGGCGCCCGCCATTGCCCAGGCTTGCTTAGGTAAACAAAGCAGCAGGGAAGCTCGAACTGGGTGGAGCCCACCACAGCTCCAGGAGGCCTGCCTGCCTCTGTAGGCTCCACCTCTGGGGGCAGGGCACAGACAAACAAAAAGACAGCAGTAACCTCTGCAGACTTAAGTGTCCCTGTCTGACAGCTTTGAAGAGAGCAGTGGTTCTCCCAGCACGCAGCTGGAGATCTGAGAACGGGCAGACTGCCTCCTCAAGTGGGTCCCTGACCCCTGACCCCCGAGCAGCCTAACTGGGAGGCACCCCCCAGCAGGGGCACACTGACACCTCACACGGCAGGGTATTCCAACAGACCTGCAGCTGAGGGTCCTGTCTGTTAGAAGGAAAACTAACAACCAGAAAGGACATCTACACCGAAAACCCATCTGTACATCACCATCATCAAAGACCAAAAGTAGATAAAACCACAAAGATGGGGAAAAAACAGAACAGAAAAACTGGAAACTCTAAAACGCAGAGCGCCTCTCCTCCTCCAAAGGAACGCAGTTCCTCACCAGCAACAGAACAAAGCTGGATGGAGAATGATTTTGACGAGCTGAGAGAAGAAGGCTTCAGACGATCAAATTACTCTGAGCTACGGGAGGACATTCAAACCAAAGGCAAAGAAGTTGAAAACTTTGAAAAAAATTTAGAAGAATGTATAACTAGAATAACCAATACAGAGAAGTGCTTAAAGGAGCTGATGGAGCTGAAAACCAAGGCTCGAGAACTACGTGAAGAATGCAGAAGCCTCAGGAGCCGATGCGATCAACTGGAAGAAAGGGTATCAGCAATGGAAGATGAAATGAATGAAATGAAGCGAGAAGGGAAGTTTAGAGAAAAAAGAATAAAAAGAAATGAGCAAAGCCTCCAAGAAATATGGGACTATGTGAAAAGACCAAATCTACGTCTGATTGGTGTACCTGAAAGTGATGTGGAGAATGGAACCAAGTTGGAAAACACTCTGCAGGATATTATCCAGGAGAACTTCCCCAATCTAGCAAGGCAGGCCAACGTTCAGATTCAGGAAATACAGAGAACACCACAAAGATACTCCTCGAGAAGAGCAACTCCAAGACACATAATTGTCAGATTCACCAAAGTTGAAATGAAGGAAAAAATGTTAAGGGCAGCCAGAGAGAAAGGTCGGGTTACCCTCAAAGGAAAGCCCATCAGACTAACAGCGGATCTCTCGGCAGAAACCCTACAAGCCAGAAGAGAGTGGGGGCCAATATTCAACATTCTTAAAGAAAAGAATTTTCAACCCAGAATTTCATATCCAGCCAAACTAAGCTTCATAAGTGAAGGAGAAATAAAATACTTTATAGACAAGCAAATGCTGAGAGATTTTGTCACCACCAGGCCTGCCCTAAAAGAGCTCCTGAAGGAAGTGCTAAACATGGAAAGGAACAACCGGTACCAGCCGCTGCAAAATCATGCCAAAATGTAAAGACCATCAAGACTAGGAAGAAACTGCATCAACTAATGAGCAAAATCACCAGCTAACATCATAATGACAGGATCAAATTCACACATAACAATATTAACTTTAAATATAAATGGACTAAATTCTGCAATTAAAAGACACAGACTGGCAAGTTGGATAAAGAGTCAAGACCCATCAGTGTGCTGTATTCAGGAAACCCATCTCACGTGCAGAGACACACATAGGCTCAAAATAAAAGGATGGAGGAAGATCTACCAAGCCAATGGAAAACAAAAAAAGGCAGGGGTTGCAATCCTAGTCTCTGATAAAACAGACTTTAAACCAACAAAGATCAAAAGAGACAAAGAAGGCCATTACATAATGGTAAAGGGATCAATTCAACAAGAGGAGCTAACTATCCTAAATATTTATGCACCCAATACAGGAGCACCCAGATTCATAAAGCAAGTCCTGAGTGACCTACAAAGAGACTTAGACTCCCACACATTAATAATGGGAGACATTAACACCCCACTGTCAACATTAGACAGATCAACGAGACAGAAAGTCAACAAGGATACCCAGGAATTGAACTCAGCTCTGCACCAAGCAGACCTAATAGACATCTACAGAACTCTCCACCCCAAATCAACAGAATATACATTTTTTTCAGCACCACACCACACCTATTCCAAAATTGACCACATAGTTGGAAGTAAAGCTCTCCTCAGCAAATGTAAAAGAACAGAAATTATAACAAACTATCTCTCAGACCACAGTGCAATCAAACTAGAACTCAGGATTAAGAATCTCACTCAAAGCCGCTCAACTACATGGAAACTGAACAACCTGCTCCTGAATGACTACTGGGTACCTAACGAAATGAAGGCAGAAATAAAGATGTTCTTTGAAACCAACGAGAACAAAGACACCACATACCAGAATCTCTGGGACGCATTCAAAGCAGTGTGTAGAGGGAAATTTATAGCACTAAATGCCTACAAGAGAAAGCAGGAAAGATCCAAAATTGACACCCTAACATCACAATTAAAAGAACTAGAAAAGCAAGAGCAAACACATTCAAAAGCTAGCAGAAGGCAAGAAATAACTAAAATCAGAGCAGAACTGAAGGAAATAGAGACACAAAAAACCCTTCAAAAAATCAGTGAATCCAGGAGCTGGTTTTTTGAAAGGATCAACAAAATTGATAGACCGCTAGCAAGACTAATAAAGAAAAAAAGAGAGAAGAATCAAATAGACACAATAAAAAATGATAAAGGGGATATCACCACCGATCCCACAGAAATACAAACTACCATCAGAGAATACTACAAACACCTCTACGCAAATAAACTAGAAAATCTAGAAGAAATGGATACATTCCTCGACACATACACTCTCCCAAGACTAAACCAGGAAGAAGTTGAATCTCTGAATAGACCAATAACAGGCTCTGAAATTGTGGCAATAATCAATAGTTTACCAACCAAAAAGAGTCCAGGACCAGATGGATTCACAGCCGAATTCTACCAGAGGTACAAGGAGGAACTGGTACCATTCCTTCTGAAACTATTCCAATCAATAGAAAAAGAGGGAATCCTCCCTAACTCATTTTATGAGGCCAGCATCATTGTGATACCAAAGCCGGGCAGAGACACAACCAAAAAAGAGAATTTTAGACCAATATCCTTGATGAACATTGATGCAAAAATCCTCAATAAAATACTGGCAAACCGAATCCAGCAGCACATCAAAAAGCTTATCCACCATGATCAAGTGGGCTTCATCCCTGGGATGCAAGGCTGGTTCAATATACGCAAATCAATAAATGTAATCCAGCATATAAACAGAGCCAAAGACAAAAACCACATTATTATCTCAATAGATGCAGAAAAAGCCTTTGACAAAATTCAACAACCCTTCATGCTAAAAACTCTCAATAAATTAGGTATTGATGGGACGTATTTCAAAATAATAAGAGCTATCTATGACAAACCCACAGCCAATATCATACTGAATGGGCAAAAACTGGAAGCATTCCCTTTGAAAACTGGCACAAGATAGGGATGCCCTCTCTCACCGCTCCTATTCAACATAGTGTTGGAAGTTCTGGCCAGGGCAATCAGGCAGGAGAAGGAAATAAAGGGTATTCAATTAGGAAAAGAGGAAGTCAAATTGTCCCTGTTTGCAGATGACATGATTGTTTATCTAGAAAACCCCATCGTCTCAGCCCAAAATCTCCTTAAGCTGATAAGCAACTTCAGCAAAGTCTCAGGATACAAAATCAATGTACAAAAATCACAAGCATTCTTATACACCAACAACAGACAAACAGAGAGCCAAATCATGAGTGAACTCCCATTCACAATTGCTTCAAAGAGAATAAAATACCTAGGAATCCAACTTACAAGGGATGTGAAGGACCTCTTCAAGGAGAACTACAAACCACTGCTCAAGGAAATAAAAGAGGACACAAACAAATGGAAGAACATTCCATGCTCATGGGTAGGAAGAATCAATATCGTGAAAATGGCCATACTGCCCAAGGTAATTTACAGATTCAATGCCATCCCCATCAAGCTACCAATGACTTTCTTCACAGAATTGGAAAAAACTACTTTAAAGTTCATATAGAACCAAAAAAGAGCCCGCATCGCCAAGTCAATCCTAAGCCAAAAGAACAAAGCTGGAGGCATCACACTACCTGACTTCAAACTATACTACAAGGCTACAGTAACCAAAACAGCATGGTACTGGTACCAAAACAGAGATATAGATCAATGGAACAGAACAGAGCCCTCAGAAATAATGCCACATATCTACAACTATCTGATCTTTGACAAACCTGAGAAAAACAAGCAATGGGGAAAGGATTCCCTATTTAATAAATGGTGCTGGGAAAACTGGCTAGCCATATGTAGAAAGCTGAAACTGGATCCCTTCCTTACACCTTATACAAAAATCAATTCAAGATGGATTAAAGATTTAAATGTTAGACCTAAAACCATAAAAACCCTAGAAGAAAACCTAGGCATTACCATTCAGGACATAGGCGTGGGCAAGGACTTCATGTCCAAAACACCAAAAGCAATGGCAACAAAAGCCAAAATTGACAAATGGGATCTAATTAAACTAAAGAGCTTCTGCACAGCAAAAGAAACTACCATCAGAGTGAACAGGCAACCTACAACATGGGAGAAAATTTTCGCAACCTACTCATCTGACAAAGGGCTAATATCCAGAATCTACAATGAACTCAAACAAATTTACAAGAAAAAAACAAACAACCCCATCAAAAAGTGGGCGAAGGACATGAACAGACACTTCTCAAAAGAAGACATTTATGCAGCCAAAATACACATGAAGAAATGCTCATCATCACTGGCCATCAGAGAAATGCAAATCAAAACCACTATGAGATATCATCTCACACCAGTTAGAATGGCAATCATTAAAAAGTCAGGAAACAACAGGTGCTGGAGAGGATGTGGAGAAATAGGAACACTTTTACACTGTTGGTGGGACTGTAAACTAGTTCAACCATTGTGGAAGTCAGTGTGGCGATTCCTCAGGGATCTAGAACTAGAAATACCATTTGACCCAGCCATCCCATTACTGGGTATATACCCAAAGGACTATAAATCATGCTGCTATAAAGACACATGCACACGTATGTTTATTGCGGCACTATTCACAATAGCAAAGACTTGGAACCAACCCAAATGTCCAACAATGATAGACTGGATTAAGAAAATGTGGCACATATACACCATGGAATACTATGCAGCCATAAAAAATGATGAGTTCATGTCCTTTGTAGGGACATGGATGAAATTGGAAACCATCATTCTCAGTAAACTATCGCAAGAACAAAAAACCAAACACCGCATATTCTCACTCATAGGTGGGAATTGAACAATGAGATCACTTGGACACAGGAAGGGGAATATCACACTCTGGGGACTGTGGTGGGGTCGGGGGAGGGGGGAGGGATAGCATTGGGAGATATACCTAATGCTAGATGACACGTTAGTGGGTGCAGCGCACCAGCATGGCACATGTATACATATGTAACTAACCTGCACAATGTGCACATGTACCCTAAAACTTAGAGTATAATAAAAAAAAAAAAAATTAAAAAAAAAAAAAAAAAAAAGAAAGGCTTGGAAGTGTGCCTTCTTAGCAACCATTCTACACCATGAAAAAGAAACAGAAATCTTTGATAGGCAGGTGGTCACCCTGGCCATGACTAGTTGTGGTAATCTTGTTACCCTTTTCCAAAGATGTATTGATGGTAGCCATGTGACTAAATCCTGTCTAGTGCGACTTAAGAGGAAAGTTCCTAGGAATGTTTTTTGTTTTTCTCATAAAAGGGAAAGACTCCACTAACATGACTTTTAACCCCTTTTTACTTCCTCTTTTCTCCTCTCTGGAAGGAAGATGCAGTCATAGAGACATAACAATCATCTAGTAACCATGAGGGAAATGTAGAGAAGCCAACACACAAAACATAGTGTAGTTTAAAAAAATAAAGAAAAAAATTCTGTTCTTGATTGTGTCTCTCAGCTACTTAGTCTTGAATATTTATCCCTAGAACTTTCTATCCCTAGAATTAATCCTGACCATTACTTAAACATATAACTCCAATTTTTTAAAATATATTTAATGTATTAGTCCTAGAAGATGGTAGTCGACAGATCATAATTTGACAAATACTGATCCAAAGCATTTCAACCCACCCTGACATCCAACATGTGGTAGACACGACATGGGAAATGCTACCTAGCTGTTCTATGAAATACACACAGTGCAGGTCCATGTACAAAGCTTAAGTGGCCTAAAAGGACATCTTATCCCAGCTATAAACATCACTTCCTATTGACTTTCTTGACTAACTTGTGATGCTATCCTATATTCCAGTGTTCCACTCCAAAAATCTTGGATGGGGAAGCCAAACAGATTGTCTAGGAACTGCAAGAGCCATGGAAACATCATGAAGGACTTGGTTTGCTGGGGTGGGGAGGAATGGGGGATTGAGGCATAAAATATTAGCAATCATGGGAAAAAAATCTTCATCATAGCAAATATTTGCCAGTAATCCTGTCCATTCAGACAACTCTGACTGGGATGAGAGTCGTGAGATGAGAGAGGATGCGTACTGAGTGTGGATATGTGTTCCTGTTTTTCCAAGGTGGACCTGGCTCCGTATTTCTCTGCTTTGTGGATCACATCCACTTTTGCTGTCAAATCACATAGTTACCCCTTTGGATCCACGGGATATGCCTTATATGTGCAGGGAAGACTCCATCTATATTTACAGAAACTATGTTTAAAAATTCCAAATCACATGCTCTTCGGTTCAGAGAATTCTTTCAGTCCTCCACATGCTAGCTGCATGTAGTTCTAGATGCCCTAGGCCAGGGCTTCCCATGATATCCCAGAGTAACAAGCAAACGATTTTAGGTACATGGTACCCTGTACTCGGGAAAAACAAATGAGACTGAGCAAGTCTCATTGCAAGATCCATCCCAAGGGCTGAGCGAATCAACATCTCAGCATATTTGAACCCGCACTTGGGCATCCTATGTACCATACGCACTGGAAGGAAAGCTGTGCTGTAGGCTCACATCTTGTCTCCACGTCCCTCAATATTTCCAGTTAGTAATATTTCTCCTGAAGGCCTGATTCATAGTTAGAAATACCCTAAGTAGGGAACCATTACCAGAATAACAGACTTCAGACTACTCAGGCCACCACCTTGCCCTTTCCAGACATTATAACCCACGTAGGTCTCCAGCTCTGGCTGATGAAGGAGGTCCAACGAAGCCAATTTATGCAACGGTGCTGCAGGTGTTCCCCTTTCCTGCCAAAGTTAAAGAGTAGCAGTGCCTTTTGAAGATAAAGCTTCAAAGGAATAATTCACTCAAAGATGGTTTTTCAGTTGCCTTAGGCAAGGCTGAATTTGTCTCGCACCATTTACATAAAACTAAATAAAAATGTGTCTTCCTTCCTACTCATAGGGACTATTTTACAACTAAACTTTTCAAAAGGCCAGAAGCTCATCATTTGGCTCTAACGGGGCAAACTTTGTTACTCCTTGTCTATTTCAGCAATCCCTGCGCCTCAGTTTGATCCTCTGTTGATTTAAGGATTGGATTAAATGTTTCCAAAATTTGTGAGAGGAGGTAGAGTGTATTTGGGCTTGATTTCAGTTTTGCCATTTAGTCAGATGGTATGTAACCCTGGAAAGTCACTGAATTTCTTTAAGTGTCCATTTTCTCATCAGTAACAAAATGAAGATAATCCACATACTTATCCTATGGATATGTAAGAATCATAAATCAATTTGCTAAATTGGCTGAATGTAATAGGACACAATTGTTACAGGAAAGGGGTCCCAATCCAGATCCCAAGAGAGGGTCTTGGCTTTCGCTCAAGAAAGACGAATTCAGGGAGAATCCAGAGAGTAAAGTGAACGCAAGTTTATTAAGAAAGTAAAGGAATAAAAGAATGGCTACTCCATAGACACAGCAGACCCAAGGGCTGCTGGTTTCTTATTTTTATGGTTATTCCTTGATGACATGCTAAACAAGGGGTGGAGTATTCATGCCTCCCCTTTTTAGACCATATAGGGTAACTTCCTGATGTTGCCTTGGCATGTGTAAACTGTCACAGCACTGGTGGGAGTGTAGCAGTGAGGATGACCAGAGGTCACTCTCGTGACCATTTTGGTTTTGGTGGGTTTTAGCCAGGTTCTTAATTGCAACCTGTTTTATCAGCAAGGTCTTTATGAACTGTATCTTGTGCCGATCTCCTATCCCATCCATCATTTAGAATGCCTAAGCATCTGGGAATGCAGCCTAGTAGATTTCTGCCTCATTTTACCTAGCCCCTACTCAAGATGGAGTTGCTCTGGTTCAAACACTTCTGACACAATTGAAAAGGAGTCTCTAAAACTATACACCAGGGGCCAGGTGCGGTGGCTCATGCTTGTACTCCTAGCACTTTTGGAGATCAAGGCGGGTGGATTGCCTGAGCTCAGGAGTTCAAGACCAGCCTGGGGAACACGGTGAAGCCCCTGGCTCTACTAAAAATACAAAAAATTATTCGGGCAGGGCAGTGCGCACCTGTAATCCCAGCTATTCAGGAGACTGAGACAGGAGAATTGCTTGAGCCTGGGAGGCAGAGGCTGCAGTGAGCCAAAATCACACCATTGCACTCCAGCCTGCACAACAGAGTGAGACTCTGTCTCAAACAAACAAACAAACAAACAAAAACTATATGTAGGATCTTCCTTATGTCTCCCTTACATTTATCATTATGTTTAGCTCTAAGAACAATAACATATTTTAATTGTTAGAAATTCCTATCCAGTGGAAAAAAAATAAACAAATGAATAAATAGATATCACCCCCACCAACACACACATATATAGATACCAGTTCAGGCCCAGTTTGTGGTCTGTAGGTATTAGGGAGAACTGTAGCTCTTCCAGACATGTCTGACCCAGAGTAACTTTGTCTTTAGCTGTTTTACATTTAAACTCCTAGGAAAAATGTTACTTCGATAAATGTTGCTGTAGCTAATAACATTCGGAGTCTAGAGAATTAAGAAGCATCACTATATAACATATCACCTAAGCCAGGTACTTTTGAGGGTCCTGGGAAGTAGCAGAAAAATTACAAGACATCACTGTAATTCAGGACTGTCCCAGGTAAACTGGGAATTACACATCGTAGGTTGAAGTGGAGGTATCAGAATAACATTCAGCAGTGAATCTCAGAAACCCAAACTAACAGTGGCTTAAACAAAATAGAATAAAATTTTGTTTGTTTCTATGATTAATTTTTAACAATCCTTTTCTCAAATGATATTGTCCATGGCTGATAATATGAAGCCATGCAGATCCCATGTTCATTTCTGGTCCGAAATGATTGATTGTACCCCAGCCATAAAGGATGAAGATCTTGCCCTAAACCTTTGAAAAAATGTTGCACATAACACTTTGCTTACATTCCATTAGCCAGAACTAGTTACAATACCATATCTAACTATAAGAAAGTGATTCTCTGGCTATAAAAGTAAAAGAGACAATATTTGTAGAAACTAGTATTTTTTTTTTTTTTTTTTTACATTATAACATTTACTATTAGGTATGTGAATGGGCCAGATGTCTACTCAATATTACAGAAAAAATGGCAAAACCCTGTCTCTACTAAAAATACAAAAAAAAAAATTAGCCAGGTGTGGTGGTGCGTGGTCTGTAATCCCAGCTACTTGGGAGGCTGAGGCAAGAGAATTGCTTGAACCCAGGAGGCAGAGGCTGCAGTGAGCCGATATCACGCCACTGTACTCCAGCCTGGGCAACAGAGTGACTCCATCTCAAAAAAAAAAAAAAAAAAAAGGCAGGTAAGAAAGTGTAATTTGGTCCTTTTAATTATTTTACAATGTTCACTCTAACATTTGTTGCTACTCTCAGATGTTCAGTAGATGATAACTATTATTGAAATATAGTTCTTTTTGTTCAAAAAACTTAAAATACTTGTAGTGAAAGAAATTAACAATGCATAACAAAGAAGCATACACACGCAGACCACAGACACACACACACACACACACACACACCGTGCACGGAGTGTGCGATGTATCCTAGGTATTCCAGGGATGAGATAACATATTGTGTCCTGAAAAGGAAAGTGTCTGCTAGTCCTTGGACTTTATTTTGGACCTACAGAGAGAATGCTTCGGTTACAAGAAGAATAAGGAGGCAGATAATAAAAACGGGAGCAATAACTGAGTAGAAGTACAATAGCAAAGGGAGCCCAGTGGGAGAAAATAATGAACTTAGAGCATAGAGTACTTGTTAAGAAGTGGAGGTGAGGCCGGGCACAGTGGCTCATGCCCATAATCCTAGCACTTTGGGAGACCAGCCTGGGCAACACGGTGAAAACCCATCTCTACTAAAATACAAAAAATTAGCCGGGTGTGGCAGCGTGGGCCTGTCGTCCCAGCTACTCGGGAGGCGGAGGCAGGAGAATTGCTTGAACCCGGGAGGTGGAGAGGTGGAGGTTGCAGTGAGCCAAGATTGTGCCACTGCACTCCAGCCTGGGTAACAGAGTGAGACTCCGTCTCCAAAAAAAAAAAAAAAAAAAAAAAGAAAGAAATAAGAAGTGGAGGTGGAAGTAAAAGGAATGTAAAAGGAATGCATGGATAGAGCAGACTTTGATTCTCCCACAAGTACCTGTTGGCAGAGCTTTTGCATATATCTACATAAATTATGCAACCATTTGTGTGCATTCTGGTCACCAAAATAAAGAAAATAACTTATCAAACATTTAAATATATGAGAAAATTCCTAACGTTTTTCATCAATGGAGTTCTGTATCCATTATCATGTGAATAACTTTATGTACAGTGATCTCACACACATTTTTTAAGTAAAACATTCCCCTCTGCTATTTTGGAGACTCATATCTTCTAAGACGTGTTCTGAGATGAAGAAAAAGTTGTAGGTTGAAGGTTCTGAGATGAAGAAAAAGGTTGTAGGATGAAGCCGAGATTCTTCAATGCCTTTGCTTGGCAATTTGTCAAACATGTTGTGCAAAGGAAAACTTCTCAAGATGTGGTTGGAGAAACTGATTTTGTAGAGGAAGCAAACAGAAATAACTCCCACATTCAACGACAAGAATAGTTAGTTCAGTCCTCTCAGTCCTGTTTTTGCTCATTCTGCCAAAATCAAGAAGCTCCAAGAAATACATTTTTGAAAACCTAAAGAGAAATCTCTCTTTTTTTTTCCTACTGCTTTACATTTGAAATTCAATTCCATCTTTTCTTAGGCTAAGTAATTAAAATGCTACACGCAAACATGGATAAACCTAGCTTGATATTTTGGGTCAATAAAATCAGAAATAGGAGAACAACATTCAAATACTAACTTTAGGGTCACACTTGTATCTTCTATGAATATTTGTCTACATTACTTTTTAATTTCCACGAAACATGGTCATATTCTTTCCTTAATGGATCAGATACTTTTCCAGGAAATAATTCCCAGCTATTAGCCAACAAGAAAGGCAAAAGTGAAATGGCAACATCAAAGAATCTCAAATAAGAAATTACATTTTTCTGCTGCAGATCAAATAAAATTAAGTCATTTGACACACTGCATTCTGAATTATGATGCATATCTTTTTCTCTTCCTGGTTTAAGAAGCGGTTTTTTGAAAAATATTACAAGGCCAGGCACGGTGGCTCATGCCTCTAATCTCAACATTTTGGGAGGCTGAGGCAGGAGGATCACTTGAGCCCAGGAGGTCCAGGCTGCAGTGAGCCATAACCACGCCACTGCACTCTAGCCTGGGTGACAGAGTGAGACTGTCTCAAAAAAAGGAAAATAATTTTAAAAGAAATATTACAATATTTTAATTTTAATGTTATTTTTGCTTATTTGTTGTTCAAGAGGCAATTATAGCAATTTGTTTCTAAATGTAAAGGTTATGCATGTTATTCAGTTTCATGTTATCGTTCAGTTTCAAAATCAAGACATCTACCTCCTTTTTCTAAAGATGATTATTTTGCAATAAATATCCTTAATGAAGAGGGATTTAGTGGCAAAATACATATGAAACTAGTAAACTCTCAGCTTTTTAAAAATGTATTAGATTAAAAAATTTCACTTCCTATTGAATTGTCACCTAAACCAGCAATATGGTTTTTTCTAGTTTAGAAGCAAAGTATACATGTGTTTTCAAAAATGTATTTGGATTTTGTTTTGCATAAGGTATTCTGAAGCATTTATTTTAATAAAACAAAATGAAGTAAAAATAATGAATACCTGCCTGCTTTGAAGCACAATATGTATGAAATACTGGAATTTAATGACCTCCCTATAAAAAGGTTGGCTAAATTTTCAAACTGCCAAGTTATGTGGCAGAGTTTCCTGAAATGGCAATGCTTATCGGCTTTTACTATTATCTTGGATTACACCCCCCTTTCTCTTGCACCCCTCTGCAAAGCAACTTCAACATTATCCTCTGGGGCAATTGAACCATGCACTATACACCTGAAATTGTCCATGGATTTTTAAGGAATTTGCCTTTTAAATTGAGGGATAGAGAAAGAAAATCTTGCAAAACAAAGACAAATACCTATGTGGGAAGGAAACAGAAATGATAGCTTGCATCTTTGGTCTAGATGAACATCATTTACTCCCACTGAGAAGTTACACTGGGAAAGGTATGCAACCAACCAGAAAGGGAATCAACCAGAATTTTAAAGATATTAGCTACATATATCTGCATCAGCCACCGCTATGGTGAAACAATAAATGCTTTAGCTTATCTAAAACACTGTAACTCTGGCTTTCTTTTTGCTTTGTCTTTCAGTCTTTCTGACTTCACTAAATTGTTGAGAAAAGAAGATGAGTTGACTGACCTGCCTGTTCATGAAAGGAAGGCTCTGATAAGAACAGACCTATAAAAGTTTTCTTGGTTGCAAATGACACTGGCGGCCAAGTCCTCCAAAGAAGAAAATCTAGGCTGAGAGTGGCTTATTGTTTTTTTACTGAGTATAGGTCCCAGAATACCTTCTTAGTCATGACAACTTGCCAAGTCAACAGCTATGTTTGCCCTTCAGCTTCCTTCAAATTTACCACCATAATATGTTCTATCAGAGCCAATATATAAGCTCATTTTCCCCATTTTTTTAATTACACAGGAAACTACCATCACATGCAAATATACTTGCAAGATATTAAACATCACGTTTATTTAGCCAGATTTCAGAGTGAGAGAGAGACATGGAAAAAGTTGTTTGACTCAATGAATTCATTATAGTCAAAGAACTCTATGGCAAAGGCTGATAAACATGATGTATGATTCTGTTTTTATTTTTCTCCAGCTTAGAATGCATCAATCTGCTGAGGCATTTTAAGGATTTGAATTGCTTTGCCAATATTTATTTGAGATGCAGCTAGAACCTAAAAGTGGATTATGAAGCCAGGAAAAGTAGAACAGCAACATTTACTGGGCTAAATAGATGCAGGACAAGTCAACCCACAAGACAAAGACAAAAATAAGTGAAAATAGGTCGGGTGTGGTGGCTCAATCCTGTAATCCCAGGACTTTGGGAGGCCAAGGCAAGCGGATCAACTGAGGTCAGGAGTTTGAGACCAGCCTGACCAACATAGGGAAACCCTGTCTCTACTAAAAATACAAAATTTGCCAGGCGTGGTGGTGCATGCCTGTAATCCCAGCTACCTGGGAGGTTGAGGCAGGAGAATCACTTGAACCCGGGAGGCAGAGGTTGCGGTGAGCCGAGATCACACCATTGCACTCCAGCCTGGGCAACAAGGTGAAACTCCATCTCAAAAAAAAAAAAAAAAAAAAAAAAGTGAAAATAAACTGTTAGTAACGTGTTATTTAGTTCACAAATGCAATTGTACGTTTTCTTAAGTTGAATATACAGCATTCTATACCAATATTACATATATCATTATAATTTTTTTAGGGGTGAATATTATGCACACTGAAAATAATTGTGCAGTGAAAAGAAATGAGGTTTTATGCAATTTTGGATAAAAAAGACCTGGGGATACCTTCTCAGTATAAGATCTTCTTCTAAAATGTATTTGACTGAAATTAATTTAAAATGTCTTAAAAAATAAATAAACCTAGCACTTTGGGAGGTCAAGGCAAATGGATTGCTTGAGCTCAGGAGTTCAAGGCCAACCTGGGCAACAAGGCAAAACCCCATCTCTACCAAAACCACAAAAATTAGTCAGGCATGGTGCCACATGCCTGTGGTCCCAGCTACTCAAGAGGCTGAGGTGGGAGGATCACTTGAGCCTGGGAGGCAGAGGTTGCAGAGAGCTGCGATCACACCACTGCACTCTAGCCTGGGTGACAGAGTGAGACCCCACCTCAAAAAAAAAAAAAAGACAAAACATAACAAACTCTTCTGTCTATTGCTGATCTGTTTTCTCAGTTTATATTACTGTAATGTCATAGTAATTTGGTGGAACATCCAAAAAGGAACCCTATGTTAAAGCCCCCCAAAAAAAATCTAACTTTGCTGAAAGAAATGGAAGGTACCCAAAAAATAGTGATATAGTTTGGCTCTGTGTCCCCACCCAAATCTCATCTCAAATTGTAATCCCTACATGTCAAGGGAGGAACCTGGTGGGAGGTAACTGGATCATGGGAGTGGTTTCCCCCATGCTCTTCTCATGATAGTGAGTAAGTTCTCACAAGATCTGATGGTTTTATAAGGGATTCTTTGCCCTTCACTCACTCTTTCTCTCTCTGGCCTGCTACCAAGTAAGATGTGCCTGCCTTCCCTTCTGCCATGATTGTAAGTTTCCTGAGGCCTCCCTAGCCATGCGGAACTGTGAGTCAATTAAATCTCTTTCTTTATAAATTACCCAGTCTCAGGGAAGTTCTTTATGGCAGTGTGAAAACAGACTAATACAGATGGAGACAGATGTCAAGAGCAGTTGGCTGAGATGGACTTCATTCCTTCTGGGAAAATAGAATGTTGTGATTTTTCTATGTCTGGAATTGGAAGAACTGACTATGAGAAATAGCTTTTACCCTAGCCAGGCATGTAGAGGTAGTGTTCTGATTAAAACTCAGTAATGGGGTCTTCATCCAGTTATACAGAAAGGAAAATGTGGGCAAACAGAGCGCTGATGTGGGAAAATGTGGGAAACCAGAGCACATCAGAGCTTTGCAAGGCAGGGCACCCTGCAGAACCCAGAACCAGCCTTCAATGGTCAGGGAGAGACCTCAGTTTGGTTATTAGCCTTTGTCTACATTCTAAATGGAATGAGAATTCCTGAAAGTTATTGTAATTCAAAGATATTGAATTTTCTTGCAAAGCGTTTTTCAGGGTTCCTACCCAGGCCTAGCTTCCACCTGGTATGTATGTGGCCAACATATCCAGACCCATTATCTCCCACTCATATTGAGTAGTTATATTTCGGTAGCAATGGTCACAAAGCATTCCTGAGACTCTTTTAGGTTAATGATCCAAGAAGAATTACCACTGCTATTTGAGAGTAAGAGGCCACTGAGAGAGATGGAGACAGGAAACTATAAAGCACCCCAAACATCCATCCCCATTCCATACTTAATTTAAATTCCAAGAGTTTATTGTTCCAATTGTCCAGTTGGTGAATTATAATAATTACAATAATAACAATTAGAAGAGTTTTAATTTAAATCTCTGTTGTAATCTTGAGGTTCTGTGGCTTGGACAACGCTTCTTACCATAGATAGAAGTTATAGCTAGTGAAATTCTTGAATTCATTCAAAGTGCAATTAAAACCAAAGAAACTTCATATAAATCCAATTAACATTAGCATTAGAGTTGGGCTCAGTCACTTTTCCAGTACAAGTCAGCTACCACCTGAAGTAATAATTCCATATCTAAGTGGAATATAATAAATAATAACTACTCATAAAAAGTTAATATATGTAATACATCCTGATATTTATAAACATCTACTGAGGACCTGCTCTGGACCCAGTGTTGTGAGTCTGGGGATAAACACACCAGATTTGAATACTCTTGTTCTGAAGCTTATATTCTGGTTGTAGAGACAGAAAGCATGGGAAGAAATATATAAACCAAGACATTTCTAATTTTGCTTAGTGGTATAAAGGAAATATATGTGTAGAGAAAAATTGGAGGTAAGGCCATAGGATGATTGAAAATTCTGAACTGCCCCAGTAACTTATATTTACTGGTTTGGCAATTGGGTAGGACTAGAGATAATTTACCTGACTTGTAACAGAGACTATGAAAATAAAGAATAACAAAAATGTTTACTGAGAAAATATTATTTGCCAGGAGCTGTATGTTATCTCATTTAAATGTATTATTACACCCATTTCATAGATGAGTAAGAAGCTCAACAAAGTTAAGATCCGAGGTACAAGAGAGTACGTGATAGAACTGGAATTTGAATTTTGGTCTATTTTATGTCCAAATTCTTCACATGATTCCTCCTTTCCCATGAAAAAGAAAGGAAACAGTTTCATCAGTAAATCTTATTTTAAACCTATAAAAATGATGACAATTTGGGGTTTCCAGCACAGTATATATTTATGCAAACATATATAAATTAACCACCTCACTATCTGACAGCATAAAACTTAATTGAAAAAAGTAGTCAACAAATTACGTTATGAAGTTTGAAAATTGTAGACTACAGCTGTTCTTCCTACTTGGGTGCCCTTTTCAAAAGACAAATGATAAAACTTCTATTTGCAGACAAATTCCAAAGAGATAGCTCTGAGATGACGCCTGGGTTGGTTTATGTTAAAATAAACTGTTTTAAACAATTCTTTCTTTATTGAGGAGGCAAGTAATAAATATAGACCCAGAGGTTCCCTCTCTTTCTTTTTTCTCTTTTTATGTTAAGTATCACATTTTAATTGAAGTGTTAAATCCCCAAGGTTGACAAACCAAATATGGAACTTTTTATTAAGTAAACTACTTTAGAAGGATATAACACAAATTAGAAGTAACTACCGATTATAATAACCCTTTTTCATTGTTCAAGATGATTTCAGGACTTATCACTAAATTTCCTTAGAAATACAAAGCTCCAGCCAGGCGCGGTGGCTCATGCCTGTAATCCCAGCACTTTAGGAGGCCAAGGTGGGTGGATCACGAGGTCAGGAGATCGAGACCATCCTGACTAACACGGTGAAACCCCGTCTCTACTAAAAATACAAAAAATTAGACGGGCATGGTGGCGGGCACCTGTAGTCCCAGCTACTTGGGAGGCTGAGGCAGGAGAATGGCGTGAACCCGGGAGGTGGAGCTTGCAGTGAGCCAAGATCACACCACTGCACTCTAGCCTGGGCGACACAGTGAAACTCTGTTTAAAAAAAAAAAGAAAAGAAAGAAAGAAATACAGAGCTCCTCCACATCTGAATTTTCATCAAACAAAAACTTTGCTGACTCTACCATCTTTTCCCTAATTAATTCATGATATATCTGATATCTATTAATTATCCTCAAGGAAAGCAATGGAAAGTTGAGGGAGCCAGTAAGCATTTCAGTCACCACAGAACTTTTAGAAACTTTCATCAGCTACATTAGCCTAAGTCTCTCCAAATATACCTATTTTATTCTCCTTTACCAGGCATCTTTATTATGTATATTTCCTCTCCTCTGGTAATATTCTTTTTCATATGAATTAATTCCATAGGTGACAACAGAATAGAACAACATCAAGAATAACACCTATTGCATGCCCATTAAGGCAAGCAGACTGCATATCTATGTACCCCTCAACAACAACAAAAAAGAAAAAGAAAAAAAATGTATAAAAGAAAAGGCAATAAAATTTGTTTTCTATAGTAGGGTTTATTTCTACTATTTTAGTTTTTAGGCAACTGAAGCTCAGAAAATTTTAAAAGACTAAGTGATTTTCCCAAGAATATGTAGCTAAAGTGTTATGAAATCAGAATTTAAATCAACATCTGCCTGGGGCCAAAGACTGACATTTTTAAATCATACTGAACTGTCTTTCAGATCTGTAAAATATATATAATAATGTGCCCCTTGGGTAGTTGTTAAGATAATTAAGATGTTTATAAAGCACTTAGCTTAATTCTGGAAAATGGGAGACATTCAAAAAATGGTAAATCGATTTTGGTATCTAGAAATGGAGAGTTGCTATATGAAATAAATGCCAAAAATGTAGAACTGGCTTTGGAAATGGGTAAGGGGCAGAGGCTGGAAGAATAATGAGGAGTATAGTAGGAAAAAAACTTGTATTATCTTAAAGAATGTCTAGATCATTGTAAACAGGGTCGTTAAATTGCTGACGGTGAAGACACAGACAGAAGTGAGGAGTATAGTAAAGCTGTATCATCTTAGAAAGTAACTAAATCATCACAAATAGAGTTTTAGTAGAAAGATGAGTGTTAAAACACTACTAGTGAGGGCTCAGAAGGCGACGGAAACTATGTATTGTGAAGTGGAGGAAAAGGCATCCTTGCTACGTAGTGACAGGAAATGCAGCCAAATTTTATCATGAGGTTAGGTGGAAAGCAACACTTGTAAATGATGACTTTGGATATTTACCTGAAGAGATTTCCAAGCTGTGTAGAAGGGGCAACCCAATTATTTCTCACTGTTTATGATAAAGGATGAGAGGAAAGCATAAGTTAAGGAAAAGTCTGTTAAGCAAACAGGAACCAGGACTTTATGATTTGAGAAATTATCAGCCTCTACAGACTTCAAAATATCCTAAAATTAGTTTTATTGCCAGGAACATGAGCTCTGAAGAGAAACTCAAGGGTCGAGCTGGATAACACTTTGCCAGTGCCTGACAAGGATCTGAAAGAGTATTCAGTCAAATAAAAGGATCTTTGAAGAGATTAGGCGTGTGGATAATGAATTCCACCAGCCATCTCAGCAGAAGCCAAGAATGGAGATGTGATTATCCAGAAAACATTGGTGAAGAAGCCTTGTGTCTAATGAAGTGAATCTCCAGATATAAATGGGAGATCCATAAAGCTTTTGATAATGTTATAACAACGCAAACACTGCAGGTTGTACAGAAAGGGACAAAGTGAAGATGAAATGAAAGAAGGCTGCGGAACCACCCCACTTCCCCCCATCCTCCACCCCTCCGCCCCCACCTTCCACCCCCCCCACCCTCCAGCCCCCACCCTCCACTCCCACCACCCTCCACCCTCCACCCCTCCACCCCCAACCCTCCACCCCACCATCCCCACCCTCCAGCCCCCACCCTCCACTCCCACCACCCCCACCCTCCACCCTCCACCCCTCCACCCCCCACCCTCCACCCCACCATCCCCACCCTCCAGCCCCCACACTCCACTCCCACCACCCCCCACCTTCCAACCCCCACCCTCCCATCCTCCACCCCTCCACCCCCCCACCCTCCAGCCCCCACCCTACACCCCCACCCTCCACACCTCCACCCCCACCCCCACCTTCCACCTCCCCGGTCCCTGGCTATTGGCAGGAAACAGGCTGATAAAACTACTCAGCCGCAAATACCCTTCAAAAAAAAAGCAAGGATAACACCAAGGGCAGAGCCACAGGCCCAAAAGGCAAATACTCAAGCTATGGAGGTTTATTTCCAGAAACTGGATTCTTGTGGTATTTGCCCAGCTGGATTTTAAAATTGCTTGGAACATGTGACTTCTTTTTTCCTTCTATTTTATCTCCTTTGGATCAGAAATGTCCATAACTGTTATCCTATGCCTGCTCCACCATTGCATTTTTGGGAGCAGATAACTTGTTTTTTAGTTTCACAAGTCTACAGATGGAGATAAATTTTTCCCCATTATGCTTTATACCCAGAACCTCATCCAAACCTAATTTAGGTGATGTAGATGATGAGATTTGGAACTGCAGCGACTTTGAGAATTTGACCTGAAAAGACTTAGATAAAGATTTTGGATTTGAGTTGATGGTGTAATGCATTGAGACTTTGGGGTACCTTGGGAAGGAGCAAGTGTATTTTTATGTGGGGTGAACGTGAATCTTTTGGGGCCAGATTGCATCCTGTGGAGCAGGCTGAATAATGATTCCCAAAGATGTCATGTCCTTTTCCCTGAAACCTGTGAATACATCACATTACATTATAAAACGGGCTTTGCAAAAGGGATTAAACTAGGATTTTGCGATGGGGAAATTATCCTGGATTATCCAACTGGTCCCAATTAATCATGAGTCTTTATAAGCGGTAGGCAGTAATTCAGAATAAAAAGGAATGATGTCATGACAGAAGTAGAGATTGAAGTGTTGTGTTTTGCAAATGGAGAAAGGGATCACAAACCAGAGAATGCATGTGATCTCCAGAATTTGGAAGAGTTAAGACAACAGATTCTCCCATTTAGCCTCCAGAAGACACGCAGCTCTGCAGATATCTTGATGTTAGTCCGTAAGACCCACTTAATAAGACTTCTGACCTCCAGAACTGTAAGACAATGAACTTGCGTTGTTTTCAACCCCTAAAGTTGTAGTAATTTGTTGCAGTGATAATAGAAAATGAATACAATATAATTGTTATTGTGCCTTGTAATTAATACACTTAGTGATTGTGATTGATATCCTTTTATATACATTATTCAGATTATTATTTTCTTTCTTTCTTTTTTTTTTTTTTTTTTAGATAGGGTCTTGCTCTGTCACCCAGGCTGGAGTGCAGTGGTGCCATCACAGCTCACTGCAACCTCCGCCTCCCAAGCTGAAGCCCTCCTCCCACCTCAGCTTCAATGAGTAGCTGGAACTACAGGCATGTGCCACCACTCTGGCTAATTTTTATATTTGTAGTAGAGATGAAGTTTTGCCGTGTTGCTCAGGCTGATCTCAAACTCCTGAGCTCAAGGGATCTGCGAACCTCAGACTCCCAAAGTGCTGGGATTATAAGCATAAGCCATAACACCTGGCTTACTATTTTATTAAACAGAAAATACTGAGCAGAAAGGGGACATTTCATTATGAAAGATCCTGATTTTGTTTATTGCCTGATATATTGTGCTGCAATAAAGTGAGATACATATTAATTGGCCCCAAATAGAATATTTTAAAGATTTAATATTTGGTTTCTGTAAGTTTTTTAAAAATATTTTCATCCATATCAGTTCAAACTTCTTGCTAACATCATTTTGCCTCCAGTAGTCCCTTTTTCCCCTCGCAATTTAGAACAAATCTACAAGTATTTGAGTAGCTACAATAGCAGAGTTACTAATTATTTTTCTAAAATTGAAGTGGAAATACAATTTTATAAGGAAATTTTTATTTGACTAAATAAAATTGACAAAAATGTGTGTAAAATAAAAAATAGACATGGTGAATTTTTGAAAGATATCTGTATATGGAACTTTGGAGGTGGTCTGAATTACAGAAGCTAGATGTCTTAATAGCTGAAACGTTCTTCTTAAAACTTCTTGGATTGCACATTCCTACCACTACATACTTCAAGCACAACAGAATATATAAGAATGTAAATTCTTATATTTACATACTATATACACTTATTATGTTATGCATATTATATCTCATATACACAAAAATTTAATGAAAGAAATAAAGAAAAATTGAAATGAACCTCTTTCCTATTTTCTTCTCATACCCCTACAGCTCATGTTAGAAACCTACAGGAATGTACACAGCCAGTTGGAAGATTGCCGTTTGTAAAACTTGGAGGTAGAGGCAAGCAGTTCTTGTTTTATATTGTTTTTTTGAGCGAATCAATTCACTAAAAGCAGATCAAAGACTCAGCATTGTTTCTGGAAATTAGAAAGAGCTTAACAAACTTTAAGGTAGTAGTTGTGGTTATTATTTTTGCTTAAGAAAACTTATGAGACTTTTTAATTGTGATATTTTTCCTGGGTTTCAGTTCTACTTGAGGAAAAAAAGTGACTTTAGGAGAAGCCAAAAATTCATCATTCTTGAGTAATGCATTTATTTTAAATTTTGACAGACTTTCCCTACCTACGGTATCTATCTCAGTCACACTGACATTGTTCTGATCACTCTGCCTTCCATCAACATTTGTGATTTTCTTGTTAGTTCCGTTCATATTTTAATATAGGTTTTGTATTTGCGTGTTTTTCCATGAGATAGTTCTGAAGGACAGAAAAGCATTTCTTTATTCTATACACTCCCAGTCCTGTTTGTAACATAAGCTAAAATATAAATGTTTTCTTAGTCAGGTTTTAAATTATAACAAGCATTTCTTAGGATGATGAGATACTATTGCTTTAGTGAGAGGCACACTTGACATTTATGAGAAGAAGAGAAAAAGGAAAGAAAAGGTATTCTCCTCTTTTCTCCATCTTCCATGCCTTCTAGGTTCTCAGCAAGCACTATCAATAAACCGTTATTTATTTTTAAAAGCTATAGCTCTTTATTAAAAAATTTCTGTAATAGTTTGCAATTTATTAAGTGTTTTCCTTTTGTGGTAAGAGTCCCATCAGTTCACTTAATGGTAGCAGAATGTTTTAGTGGAAAGAGAGATTGCTAGCTTCTAATACTTGAGTCTAAGAGATTTTTAGTCCTTTGTGTTTTGAAACTAGCATTTCCTTCTTTAATCTTCCACCCCCTCCTACAAACACACCCACTCAGAGCAGTCAGGTGTAAAATTAGAAGGAACAGAAATAATAAAAGAATGGAAAATATGAGATAACATTTCTAAAAATAATTCTTGTTACAGAAGCAGACCATTTTGAAACCAGTAAGAGGGCGTTAAGCCCTCTCCAGACTGAATTTCTCAATTGTCCTTCATGGGTGCTGCCATTAGTGGTAGACTGGGACCTTGCATTTCTCAATAACCTTCCGGTGTCAATCACCTGTGATTTTTTAAGATTGCCTAACATGTCAAATTTCTTTTTATATCCAAGTTAAGTACATGTTCCCACTGTACTTCCTTCATTGCTTCTTTCTTCCTCTTACTGCCACTCTTTACCCCTGCCTGATATGCAGCGTCAGCCTTTAGTGAAGTTGTGAAATTTGTAAATTATCTTTAGACTTCTTCATTTTTTAGCACTTCCCTACAGCAAGTTGATGAGATGTCCTATAGGAAAATTATTAAGCTCGTTTTCTGTATTTCCTAATAATTACAACTGAATAAGTTGTAGAGAAGTGTTTTTTGTTGTTGTTGTTTTTGTTTTTTGTTTTTTTTTCTTTTTGAGACAGGGTTTCATTCTATTGCCCAGGCTGGAGTGCAGTGGCATAAATATAGCTCATTGCAGTCTCAACTTCCAAAACTCAAGTGATCCTCCTAAGTAGCTGGGACTACCGGCACACACCACCACGCCCAGCTTATTTTTTATATTTTGTAGAGACAAGATCTTGCCATGTTGCCCAGGCTTATCTCGAACTCCTGGACTCAACCAGTCCTCCCATCTTGACCTCCCAAAGGGCTATAATAGGTTTGAGCCACTGTGTCCAGGAGAGAGAAATTACTGGAAAAGAGAATTTAGATTAGAAAGAGAAAACCCTGTTTAATAACAGACACCATCCAAGAATAAGAAGCCTGACCCAGGTAAAGTGAGAACACAAAAGAGTTTCCAAGTGACTACTTAAAAGGGTAGCTGGGGAGGGTTTATGTAACACATGTGAGCTGGAACCCAGGAAGTTAAAAGACATATACATTGCACTGTACTTATTAGGATAGTAATGCATTCTCACTGAAAAAAGTAAAATAAGTCAAGAGTTGCAGGAAAAAAGGGAAAAAATAAAAACTAAAACATACATTTTCTTTTTTCTGTCCCCTGAAACTACAACTCATTTAGTGTGTATCAACTCACCCTTTTTCTTTTCTTTTTTTTTTTTTTTTTTTGAGATGGAGTCTCACTCTGTCACCCAGGCTGGAGTGCAGTGGCGGGATCTCGGTTCACTGCAACCTCCACCTCCCGGGTTCAAACGATTATTGTGCCTCAGCATCCAGAGCAGTTGGGACTACAGGAGCGTACCACCATGCCCAGTTAATTTTTTGTATTTTTAGCAGAGATGGGGTTTCACCATGTTGGCCAGGCCGGTCTTGAACTCCTGACCTGAGGTGATCCTCTTGCATTGGCCTCTCAAAGTGCGGGAATACAGGCGTGAGCCACCATGCCTCGCCCATCTCACCCTTTTTCTACGTTTATATAAATATATCATATTACAACAGCTAGAGGAATCATTGTCAAGCACAGTTTACTAGTCTTTTGTTCAAAACTTCCCTATGGCTTCCCGCTGCATGCAGAATACAAGGCAAAGTCCAGGGAGGAGTTGGCCTCCCTACTACAAATGACCTCATCCCCTGCCTCCCAACCTCACTTCCTCTGCATTAGCTGCACTATTCCTCAAGGTCTGGGACACACAAAACTCTCTCCAGGCATCAGGCCTCCTGCAAGTGTTGTTTCACTCTGCCTGGATTACTCTTTACTCCAGTATTCATCTTTATCTTTATGTAACCCCTTCATCTTTATGTCTTTGCTCAGATATCATTTTATCATTGATTTTTTGGTTTTCCTACTCTTACTGTTCTACCTATTTTTATAAAGGGATTCAAAACCTGTGTCACTGCTGCAACCATCTTCCCAGAAACTTACTGCTTGCTTGCTTGCTTTTAATTCAACCAATAGATAGGACTCATGCTAATATAATTCATGTTCTGAAATCTTTTCTTCCAGCAAACCCTTTTACAATTTCACTTGGCCTTAAGATTTTATCATGGAGTCATTCACTTGGCAATATCTTCCTTTTCTCTCCTTTTTATTGACGTTCTCGGCTTGCCATTTTTCCTGACCAGAGCCCCTCTGATGGTGATGAAGGGCAAGTGAACCCCCAAATTGAGACTCGGCATGGGAGGGATTTTGCCTCTGCCCAGGAAGGAATTCAAGGGCAATCCAGTGGTGTTAGACAGCAACTTTTTTTTTTTTTTTTTTTTTTTTTGAGACGGAGTTTCGCTCTTGTTGTCCAGGCTGGAGTGCAATGGTATGATCGTGACTCACTGCAACCTCCGCCTCCTGGGTTCAGGTGATGATTCTCTTGCCTCAGCCTCCTAAGTAGTTGGGATTACAGGCATGTGCCACCATGCCTGGCTAAATTTTTTTGTATTTTTTTAGTAAAGATGGGGTTTCTCCATGTTGGTCAGGCTCGTCTCAAACTCCCGACCTCAGGTGATCCGCCTGCCTCGGCCTTCCAAAGTGCGGTGATTACAAGCATGAGCCACCACCGCACCCAGCCTAGACAGCAACTTTTATTGAAGTAGCAGTGCGCAGCAGCAGCAGAGGTCCTGCTCCTAGCAGAGCAGGCCTACACCATAGCCCATGTGCCCAGGGAAGCAGCTCAAGGGCAGTTCTGCAGTCAAATTTATGCTCACTTTTAATTACATGCAAATTAAGGGGCAGGTTGTTCAGACTTTTCTAGGAAAAAGCTTGTATTTTTCAGGTCATTGGCTTGGAAAGGGGTGGTAAACTCTGGGTGTTGCCATGACAATGGAAAACTGAGATGGCACTGGTGGATGTGTCTCCTGGAGAGATGCTTTCACCTCTTCCTTGTTTCAGCTATTCTTCAATCTGGTCAAGAGTCGAGTCCCCACCTCCTACCTCAACTGTGTGTTTTGTGCTAGTCTTGCTGATTATGGATTATGTCTTTCTGTATTTTCCTTCCTATCAAGTATATCTGTTTCTGTGGAAAACTTTTCCCTAATGACAGATCCATTGAGGAAAAAAAAAAATCTCAAAAACTCACCTATTATCTTAATAATCCAGAGGAATGCATTTCAAATGGTGGGATTCAGACATCAAAAGCAGGCATTTCTCTTGCTTCCTATAACGTATTTTTTTGTACCTACCAGCCAAGGAATAGAGAAAGACCTTCAGTCTTGGAAAATATTTCCTCTTTCATTACATCCTTGGAAATTCACAAGATTTGGGATCCATCATGATTTCTCAAATATTCGCTATCACTTAAAGTACATGTTGCACACAGATATGAAAGGTCAACAAGAAAGATGGCTTTCCGGTCCTTAACTCTTTTGGAGTAGTTACCTTTTCATCCAGTTCCTGAAAGCAAGAAACCAGAGAGTAAAAACAGTGTGTGCTCCTGACAGCTGCAGTACTGAGATAACTGCAATTCCTCAGGAAGAGACACGTCATAAGAATTGATACAGTGACTTGAATTAACTGAGGTAATCTTGACACTGATCATCGTGTTATCTTCCTAGAGTTACATACTGCTGAATTCCTTTTCTTATATTTTAAAATGTTAACTAATTTAATATTTCTTCTTTGCCAGAGCAAAATTAGAGAGAAGTAAAGTTTTCTTTGACCCCTAGCATCTCTCTGCTATTCTTTTTGATAATATTTATAGTTCTGTTGGCCTCCATTACAATAATACCCCCTATTTTTTTGGGTAAATGAAATAGAAGATCTAATACTAATACACTGACATCCATGATGTTTCCAAGATAGGGAGGATTATGAGAGAATTTATAAATGTTTTAAAATTAGGCAATAATACTTAAGATTATTTTTCTAAAAAAAATAGAGCTAATACCTTGATTTCCTAATATGAAGTAAGAATTTTTTTTTTTTTTTTACGTTTCAACTGTCAAATAAAACTCTCAAATTTTCCTGGTGTGTTAGTTCAAAATAAATGTGCACTTGTTTCATTATCACAAGATTCTCTAACTATCCTCTCCATATTTATTTCACTAATATGATAAGCATTGACGTCAATACTCTTTCCTTGCTTCCAACTCTATTCACTCCATGATGGTATCAAATCGTTTCCTGAATGAGAGAAAAAATCATAAATATTTTATTGTGGTCGAATCATGATGTCAAGTGCTTCCTGATTGTCTCTTTGAACTGTTTATTTTTTGCTTTTTAATGGGCCGTGGTTTGGTAAGAGTGTGTTGAATGAATGAGATTTTTGGATGTTGACATTAGTCATGCCATTTGGAATATTTCAAACATGAGTTTAATTTTACCTGGCCTAATATTTTTATTTTCTGCAGGTTGCAGTATATTACTTCTAATATACAGCAAATATTCATTTGTTTTATACTTATGAATTATATTTTCACTTTGTATCCAACTTAATGTCTATTGAGGTATAAATTAGTTGTTTTTAAGGTACTCTGTTCAATGGCCTGTACCAGCCAAAGAAGGCTTCTAGCTATTTACCTTTGACTACGGTATTTTACTCCAAGAAATTTCAAGTTTAGTTTTAGGAGAAACAAATCTTCTAGACCCTTGATAGCTTCTAACGGAATTGTTCAGTATCATAATATACTAGCTAATTCTTAAAAGGCAGTTTGGAACATCTTAGGATTCAGAAAAAGACTATTTAAAATGCAAATACTAAATACTACTCAGCATTTATCTAACGTTAATGCTAACACTAGACCTCAGCATGAAAGTTCATGCAGCCAAGCTGGGACTGAAAATACCTGTAAAATATTCACAGTAGTATAATTAATAGGATGATTTTTAAATAGGGCACATTTATTTTAAAATTATAATAATAATAATTATTACTTTTCAAATAAAGCTCTCAGTTTTGCTAAATCATAATAGTGGATTCTTCTACAATAACCTTCATTCGAAAACATGTACATGTCTAAGAAGTAAATTAGATTTCTGTAAATTACTCGGTTTTCACTTTATTGATATAAACTCTAAAATTGATAATTAAATCAGAATTCTCTGTTAAGAACTATATCTAAATTAGTGATGGCCTGTTTGATGGAAAAATGGACTTTTTACTGTTCAAAAGCAAAACATAAATTTTAAAGGCTATTCTCACAAAGCACATAAGTCATAAAATACAGTACAGAGTCAAATATCCAACTCCAATCCATATCAGTCCTCTAACATAGTTAAAACTCAAAGATCCAAGTTTCAATTTGTAAAACTCTGGGGCCCCTTACAGCAGTTTTAGGGATTATTTGAATTTTAAAATGTTAAATTCTGACTTTACAATACTAGCAAGAACTGTAGTTTATGAAAAATAAATTGAAATTCTGGTGTGCTTGTCCACCATTATTATTCACTCCTTATCCCTCCCAATTCACTCTCTGCCTGCTTTCTGCCTAGGGAGCTTAATTCTAAGGACCGCACAACCTAGGGTCTTTTTCATTGGTTTTTGCTGAGATCACCCAGTGAGAGTTACCAGGCAGAATAAATAGTAGTCATATATCCCCTTCCACTTTTTGGCTGGGTTGTCTGTCTTTAACCGTAGCTTTTGCAGGATAACCCTTCTCCATCGTCTATAACTGTCATAAGATTTGAGTAACACAACTTTCTCCCCTCTTATCTGCAGGCTTAGGAAGTTTCTGGCTGAGCTTCCTACTATTGGCGAGTTTCTGGGCACTCTGCCATCCCCTCATGATTCTGTTGAACCTACCCTTACATCAGCAAATATTTCTTTTATTGAACTCTCTTCAACTAGCTCTTTGAGTTAATTAATTGTGTCATCTGTTCCCTGCCAGAACTCTGCCTAGTATACCTGGTTTGGTCTTCCTCATTGCCACCCCCAGATAAATTGGTCACTCAGCCACTCAGCACCATTCCTTCCATCAGTAGTGTAATAATAACAATAATACCAGCAAAATGATACTAGCTTACTACATGCCAGAGTGAGTGGTTCAGGCATGCTAGAAAATCTGCCAGGTATTTTATCGTTATCAATTACATGCTCACAGGCATCCTAGGAAACAACTACAATAGTTATTTCCAATTTACAGATGAAGTAAGTAACTTAACTGAAGTCTTGGCCAGTAAATTGTGAAGCAGAGCTTCAACCCTTGAACACTGACTGTAAAAATTATACTTTGAACTGCTTGACTCTCATTCTTGTCTGTAACCAGCTTCCTAAATGGCTGAAGTGACTGGTGAAACGAGGAGATTTTTACCTTAAAATCTGAGCATTCACTTTGAATCTAAGCATTCCCTTTATCTTAAAAAACCAAGCATTCCTTTTATCTTAAAATTTTATACCTCCATGATTAAAATATGACATCCAAAATACTAAAATTAAACGAAGAAGCATCTCTACTATGAATAAGATATATTATCTACAAATAGTTGGTAACTTGGAAGCACAGAGTGACTGGCATACAATCTGAACATATGTGCTATTGGACAGAGAAGATCTCATAAAAATGACTATTTCTGACATAAACAAGGATGGCAGCGACGAGACTCAGACTTGCGGAATGTAGCTAAAGGCTCCAAAGTTGTAGGGGAGTAGTGGAAAAAGGAAGGACAGACCAAAAGAGAATCCATCAATAGCAGCTCTTCAGAGTTTGATAGCCTGGGTCGGAGGATACACACCACCTGTTTTGCATACTTATCCAAGGCCTGTCTTTCTAATTCAAGCTTCCATTTTATTTTCCCCAATATCATCCACAACAGTATTTGTGAGTTTAATGAAATGCTGAAGGACTATATTCTTTAGAGCAATGGCCCTGAGAGATTTGTATTATCATCACCAAGAATCACTTTTAGCCTAAGGATTTTAGAAACAGAACCAAAATTATCCACTGCTTTGGGTTGGACTGGTATCATCTTTTTAAAGAGTACCTTGCAATTCTGTACTTTAAGACTTTCCTTATTCATTGCATTCTTTCAATTTTTATTTTCCTTTCTATTTTTTTTCCTTTCTCTGATTTACTTATTCTCTCATCTTTAAATCTTTCTTTCCCTGAGCCTCAGCTGATAGGAGTTTCAGGAATCGGAGCTATCTATCAGTTGAACTCTTCACCGATGACAACAGTAATGACAAGAGCACCTGGAAGTCCTGTTCTCCAAGGTGAGTAATGCTATCCCTTATTGTGTTCCCAGCCTTTTATGTTCTCTCTTCTTATCAGGAAACAATGTTTCTCATTCAATTTTAAAAGTCAACAGATTAGAATGGAAGTCAGACAAAAGCAATGCTGTGCGACCGTCCAGTTCCAACTCAGCTTTCATGACAAGGCCTTCGTACCCCTTGGACAAAGGTGTATTTAGAATTTGAATTTAGAAATGTGCCTGTACTAATACGATTTCCATCTGATGTAAACAAGTATCGTTCCCTCAAACAGCACTTCTCTTTAAAATAAATAGTAGCATGATATATTTAAGGATTTTTTTTTTTCTGCTTTGACTATTAGAACAAAAAACAAAGAGCTGCCTAGATAGTCAAAAAACAGTGGGACATCCGTTCTTGCCAGTTAAGGCATCTCTTTAATCACTTAGGAAGAAAAACACTGACGATAATTTTTAAGACACGTTGTCAAAAGTGTTCAAATGAATAAAGGCTTGGGAGTACCTAGTACTAAGGAAAATGGCGTGAGAGCCTAAATCAGAATGGAGACTCACAGAGAAAACCTCACTTCTCCCATCATGTGTTAACCAAGTGTTTCCAAAAAGGCATAGATATGCCTTTTTGATTATAATAGGTGTTTATTTTAATGAGTTTAAGAAAATATTTAAATAACCCACTGAATTTAGGATTTCACTCTACTGAGGTTATGAGACAAAGAAATAATTTACATTACATTAAAAGTTTCACTTTAGAGAGAATGTCAGTACCCACGACATTAACATAGAGCAAACACATGATTGTATATGGTTGACAGAAATTTAGGCACCATGTTCTATCCTAAGCATTAGATATACATTGCCACCTAATTTTAAGGCAAAACAAACCTGCTCTATTATAGGAGCATATATTAAGATATTCTCCAGTGAACACACGTGTTAAAGCCTCAGTTGCATTGTCATGCTTTAGTGTTTCATTGGTTCACAAATAGTGATTCACACACAAAAAGTCATTCATTTTAAGAGAAAATTATGTTTTCTTTAAAAAAAATCAAAAACAGGAAATAAAAACATTTTATTAGAAACAACAGCAACAAAAAATTTCCTTGGTGGAATGCTTGACTGCTGGTCTTGTCATGACGTCATAAAATCACTCTTGCTTTTGTGGAAATGGTTTTTCCACAGTGCAAAGATCTGATCTGGTTTATTTCAAAAGGTCAGGCTTGATTTTTGAACACCAATGTCTGTCTTTCTGTCTGTCCACCAAAGCACTGGACTTCATTTTTTATGTGAACAAAATGAAAATGAATGTGGAAGAAATGTGGAAAGGGATGAGCGGTACGTCATTCTTCGCTCTTCCAAGAAATAAAGATATTCTTCCACGATGGTTGAGGGGCAAACAGTTGGTAAAATTCCAGAATACCAAGTCACAAAGCAGAGGTACTGGGGATTTTAGATGTTGATAGAATCCGGAGTGAAAAAAAAAAAAGTTGGCTGCAAAGGAAGAGGAAAGGAAAGAGAATCCTGTGACAGTTACTGTTCCAAATAATTCCAGTGGCCACCCTTTCCTCACCCACCCTCGTGTAGAAAAAAATGGGGAAAAATGCAGACCGCTGGGCAGCTCATCTCAGCTTCTTTGGGCTGAAAATCTATGGTGGAAATTTCATATAAAAGTGTTATTTTATGAGATTATCTGTCTTTTATTTTTATTAAAGTGGCCAAACATTCCCCTAAATAGACCTTTCCCTGGAATCTTGGAGTTTGGATTCCTGTCCTGGAAGCAAAATGCATAGAGACTGATTAAAGTGGAAGACACACACACACACACACACACACACACACACACACACACGCGTCTCTAAACATTACCCAAACTTTGATTTTTTTAAAAAATTTTCTGTCTTAGATAGTTCCACTTCATTCTTTTTCATTCAAATCCTGAAGAATTCTAAAATATTTTATATCATAAATTGGCCTGAAAGGAGTCTATGTTGTGTATATTAGTTTGGCATTATACAGAATCCCAAGAAATAAGATGTATTTGCATTTATTTCTAAAAGGTACTTATACTTCAAGGCTGGGCACAGTGGCTTGCACCTGTAATCCCATCACTTAGAGAGGCCAATACAGGAGGATTGCTTGATCCTAGGAGTCTGAGACCAGCTTGGGCAACAACGTGAGGCCCCGCTTCTACAAAAAATTTAAGAAACAAATTAGCCTGGCATGGTGGTGTACGCTTGTAGTACTAGCTACCCAGGAGACTGAGGCAGAAGGATCAACTGAGCCCAGGAGGTCGAGGCTGCAATGAACCATGATGGCGTCACTGCACTCCTGCCTGGGCAACAGAGTGAGACCCTGTCTCAAAAAAAAAAAAAAAAAAAAAAAAAGTACACTTTCAGAAAGACTTCCAAAATTGTATCAGGCTTCCTTTGTTTTAGACCTTTAAAAGGTAGAATGATATTTATACATTTTAATTTGTGATCTGTTACTACCAAAGCATTATAAAGACATAAAGTCCTAGTTTCTATTAATGTCTCTTTATTTCAGCAATGATTGATTTTTCTAACTTTAAAATTCCCCAACACAATAAAAGACACACTGTCTTGTCATGAGTCATGTTATCACTGTGATTCAGGAAGTTTATTACAAAACTAACTAAAGACACACAACATATACAAGGAAATGATATGCTTGTTTAAACAATTGCAGTTAGGAAAAATGGGGAAAATACATTTGTTTGTCATTGGTAAACAGCAGTCTCAAAACACAGATGATCAATCTTTGAAATAAATAGTAATTCTGAGAACTATAAAGATAGGAGAACAAATTTTCTTTCCATCCATCCTCTGGACAATCATTTTCCTAGACTCTTCAGAAAATAATATGTTGGATGTTGAAGATGGATGTAGTACATATGGGAACCAATAAGGCTAGATTGGAAAATGATCTTAGACTTTTTTCACATTGGGTATTGAACTGTCCTGTAATGTCATAAAGAAGGATGTGTGAAATCCAGCTGCTGAAACAACGTCTGGTGGCAGGACTACTCCTGCACTCCCCTGCTATCTCTCTACCCAGTTCTTTTATGCACTTGCCTCTTTGATCCTCTCATTTTTAAATCCCCTTCCACTTAAGGTATCTTTGCATCATGTCTCTATTACTTATTAGTGTTCATCTTGGAATATCTCAGTTTTGAATTGTGTGTGTGTGTGTGTGTGTGTGTGTGTGTGTGTAAAAGAGAAAGAGAGCAAGACAGAGAGAGATTCCTGCAGTATATCTAAGGTCCTTAATATGACACCTGGTCTGGTTCAGAGCAATGAATAAAGAGGGATCATACTAAATCCCGGAACAAAGCAACAGAGTGTGGTGCTATAACCACGTGGCATGAAATTTCTTTCTGAGCACCCATCTTGAAAGGGTGGGAACATAATTGATAGTATCTTTATAAATCAGGGACCTAAGTGCTGGTGGAGTAACCTTCCTCATGAAGATTCCTGGGAAACAGAGAGTGAGGTATTCATTGGATTTTCATTGTATAAGTATGTCAAATGATGGTGCTAAAACCAAAAATCACTACCTGGGTTCTTTTATCTTTCTTTTAATTTTAATTTTTAGTTTTGGGGTACTTGTGCAGGATGTGCAGGTCTGTTACACAGGTAAATGTGTGCCATGGTGGTTTGCTGAACCTATCGACCCATCACCCAGTTATTAAGTCCAGCATGCATTAGCTATTTTTCCTAATGCTTCCTTTCCCCACCCCACACCCCAACAGGCCCCAGTGTGTGTACCTGAAGTTCTTCAGTGTTATAAGGGTTAGGTACATGACCTGATAATTCCAACAATACTTTCCCACTTGTTTCCACTCTAATTTTTACTATTTTTTGCTGTCCTTTCAACCTCTATACCCCACTGTCTCGGTTAGGCAACCTAAAATAACATACTGGAGGATGTTATTAAAGAAGAATTAGACCACTGGGAAGTTTATATTCACATTTACTGTGGGGTTCTTTGGGAATTTAAAAGCTGATAGATATCACTGGATGCCACTTCAATTTCATGGATGCTCTGTAAGTTACTGCAATTTTTCACCATTTATATACAGCAGGGACTGAGTGGATCATGGCACAGAAAGCCAAATAGTAAAAGTAATAACTTTTTCAAGGTAGTTTCATAAGACCATTTTTTTCCCCACTAACTTCCCAGAGGCAATGATCTTACCAATCTGCTCCTTCAATCTTTGCTGTTATGTCCACTCACTTCCCCTGTCTGCAGCTTTTCCTTCCCAGTTTATAATTCATCCCTGGGCTTACAGATCTCATGACCAATCAAGGCTTATAACTTTTTTTTTTTTTTAAGCTGGAGTCTTGCTCTGTCTCCTAGGCTGGAGTGCAGTGGCACGATCTGGGCTCACTGCAACTTCCAGCTCCCGGGTTCAAGTGACTCTCCTGCCTCAGCCCCCTGAGTAGCTGGGATTACAGTTGTGTGCCACCACACCTGGCTACTTTTTGTATTTTTAGTGGGGATGGGGTTTCACCTGCCAGGCTGTTCTCGAACTCCTGGCCTCAGGTGATCCACCCGCCTCGGCCTCTCAAAGTGCTGGGATTACAGGCATGAGCCATCAGGCTCAGCCCAACGCTTATAACTTTTGCCAAATTCTCCAGTTTATCAACTTTGTATCTACTTCAAGACTTTTTAATCCATAAGTAATGAAGATATGCAATAAAAGAATAATGATCATCATCATTGTTATATTAATATAAGATTAGCTGTATGAGTTTTAGGAAACATATTTAGGCTCAACGGGTGGGACCACATGCTAATATATCCCTAATCACTCACAGAGAGTCTTTAATTCACAGTGGTTTCCCAGTGGGTCTTGTTCATTTTAACGTGATTTCACTATTAGCTAGCTGCAGAGTATGCATTATACATTATTTACCTGCTACATTACTTAAACTATTACTTTTAATAAACATTAAAACTGGAAGAGGGCAGAATGCAAAATAGTATGTAGTCCAAAAAGGCTGTGATAAAAGCATTAAGGAAATACATAAAGCAGTGGCTTACAGTCCAAATCTCTATACCATCTATGTTCCGATTTATGATACTATTTAAATTGGTAATTTGTTCAAAGGAACAATTCTGGGGGGTTCTAACTTGCGAGGTCCAGAAGGGAAGGTGTAGTTTAGAAATCTGTATTTGGAAGTTTCCAAGTTTATTCTAATTACAGTCATTCAAGGAAACGCTGGTCTCAAGTAAAGGACAATGCCGAGGCTGAGTTAGAAAACACACTGGTAGGTTTTAATGATCCATTGTTTAACAAGAGAGGACTGGATGCCTGGAGAGGCGTACCACCCCCAAAAATAGCAAAAGCAAGGAGAGGTTAAATACTGACAAATTTTACCTAATTTGTACTTTTCATAGTAGCTGATCTCATTATGTTATGTCAATTCTTTTGGTTTACATAGTTTCAAGGATGAAAGTGAGCCTTAGGTTTAGCTACTTGAAACTCAGATACTATTCAGCCTATCATACCAGTCTGGGCAAATTATTCATTTGATAAGAAAAAAAACTACCAAATGATCACATAAAATGGAATATTCTGTAAAGTGCACTTAGCATATTATGTCCCTGAATATAATCCCACTGGAAAATGTAATCAGAGGGCCTTTTAGTAACTAGAGGACCAAATAGCAGAAGCTTGTTTAATGGAACCAAAATAGGCATAAAATTCTTTAAGACTCTGTCTCAAATGCACCATGCAAGGATGCACTCTGCTCATGTATATTTCTTTTTATTTATTTATTTTTTTAGAAGGAGTCTCCCTCTGTCGCCCAAGCTGTAGCACAGTGGCGCGATCTAGGCTCACTGCAAGCTCCGCATCCCGGGATCAACGCCATTCTCCTGCCTCAGCCTCCAAAGTAGCTGGGACTAGAGGCCTGCGCTACCATGCCAGGCTAATTTTTTTTTTTTTTTTTTTTGTATTTTTAGTAGAGATGGGGTTTCACTGTGTTAGCCAGGATGGTCTCAATCTCCTGACCTCATGAACCACCCGCCTCGACCTCCCAAAGTGCTAGGATTACAGGCCTGAGCCACCGCGCCGTATTTCTAAGACTCAATTTCTTCCGTGTTCTCAGGCTGAACATTTTTCGTTGTTCTAACTGATGTATTTTTTATATAGATTTTAATATTTTATTTTAATTTGTTTCTTTTTCCCTTCTTAAAAAATGTCCCATTCTGCTTATGTGTAGATTGTAATATTTTATATTAGACTAGTGGTATGGTCCATAGAAACATTCTGACTTGTAAATATCTCCACCCTGATTTATTTTGTATTTCTCTGAAAGCATAAATCTCTTTGTCATGTTAATTTACCAACATCCCAAGGTTAAATTATCTCATGTGCTTGTAAAGAGAACATTAAGGATAAATCCCAGAGTAACTCCCCTCTTGGCTTGACATGGTCCCAAATCTACCAGGCAGGACCAGCTACATAATTTGCAAGGCCCAATGAAAAATGCAAATGTAGGAGCCCTAATCAAAAAGCAGAGAAAAAATGCCTTGGAGATATTAAAATAGAAATTTTTTTCTTTAAAATATATAAACTTACAAAATGTAATAGGGATAATAGCGATACATGAGTATATCATAACAATGTAAACTTGTGAATTACAAAAAAGTGATTTTGAGGTCATAATTTTATATAATAAACTAAATAATAATACTTTGTAATGTGGTATCTTAATAAGAAAATGTTTTTGGTTCACTTTTCTGCAAAAATATTTGTTCCTTAAAATGTAAATACTTTTAGCAGCTACATTTTTAACTGGTATGATTGAAAGCAGCATTAGTTCCTCTTGGAAAATTCAAGTTTGCAAATATTTTTTGAAAATTTTTAATTTTGAGAAGAATCTCTCTGCTAGCGTAACTATTACTGGAGCTGTTAGAAGTATTTTGTAGGCTGTGACAACTTGAGGATACTTTTAAAATAAGTTATTTCAAAATATAAATTATCCCAGAAAAATCCTCCTTCAAAAATTTAACTATTCAGAGAAATCATTTTTATGGAAGTTTGAATTTAATTTAAATTGTGAATTTTATTGTGAATTTATTCAATCGCCTTGTAATATATTTCCTTTGATGTCCTACAATTTGTTGAGTCTTATAAGCTGAAAGTGGCTTCATGATTTGCATATAATTCAAAATTCCTACTTATGCATTCTATCACTTTATCTTGATTAAAGGAAAATATTAAGTTGTCCTTCTTGTTAGTAATTGATCCATAGGAGCTTCAAACAAAAATAGTGCTCTTTTCAGCTGAATGCAATAATCTTTCAATTTAATTTCTGTTATTGGCAGAATCGTGTTCCCTCCCAAATTTACATGTTGAAGTCATAAACCCTGTAATTCTTAATGTGACTGTATTTGGAAACAGGGCCTTTAAAGAAGTAATTAAGGTAAAATGAGTTCATATGAGTCCTTAATTCAATATATTTTGTGTCTTTATAAGAAGAGATCAGGACACAAGCACACACAGAAAGAAGATCAAGTGAAGACACAGGGAGGGGAAAATGGCGCCTATAAGCTGAGGAGAGGGGACGTAGAAGAAACAACCCTAAGGATACCTTACTCTTGGACTTCTTGTCTCCAGATTTGTGATGACATACATTTTTGTTGTTTCAGGCACCTGATTTGTGGTACTTTATTATAGCATCCCTAGCAAACTAATGAAATTTCTATTGCTAAACCTATGGATATTTGCTTTGAAATGTTGCAGCAGTTTGCAAACCTGAAGATTTCCTACCTTCTTTAAAGTAACAACTATATACTGTTTATGTTCTTAGAATCTTGGTTCTTAAAAATAACAGTGCAGTGTCAAAAGAATGTTTTATATGTTCATTTTCTCTGACACTAAAAATCATATTTTATTCTTGTTAGCATACCATAAAAATTCACACACTGCTGATATTTATATTGAAATTGCACTGAATCTATAGAAGAAACTGGGTAGAATAAACATCATTAGAATATTGATACTTCCTATCAGTGAGATTGTCTCCCTTTATTTAGGTTTATTTTAATATCTGCATATTAGTTTTACAAATTTCCCCTTAAAGGGCTTTTGTAGGATCTATACATAGATAACTGTTGATTCTCTGAACTACATATCTTGAATTTTTTTGTCTGTCTCAGGTGTATACAATTGCATTTGATTTCTCTCGTCAGTTATAGATCCAACAAAATTGTTTAAGTCTCTTTTCATAATTTTCCTATGCTTTTTCTCCTATACTTTTATATAGCCAATTATAGAATGTGTTAATATAGCAGATGCTATTCCTTTTCATTTTTATAACATTTACATTCTTTTTTATTTTATTTATTTTTTCAAGATGGAATCTTGCTCTGTCACCCAGGCTGGAGTGCAGTGGTGCGATCTCAACTAACTGCAACCTCCGCCTCTTGGGTTCAAGCAGTTCTCCTGCCTCAGCCTCCTGAGTAGTTGGGATTACAGGCATGAACCACCACACCAGCTAATTTTTGTATTTTTAGTAGAGGTGGGGTTTTGCCATGTTGGCCAGGCTGGTCTCAAACTCCTGACCTCACATGACCTACCCACGTCGGCCTCCCAAAGTGTTGGTGTTACAGGCGTTAGCCGCCGCACCTGCCTTTTTTATTTTCTTAAGTGCCTTAGTTAGAACCCCAACTAGAATGTCAAATAGAAATGATAATGATAAACATCTTTGTTTTGTTACATATTAAAAAGGAAATATTTTTAAAGTTTCATTAGTAAGCTTTTTATTTCTTAAGATATAGGTTATACCCTGTAGCATGTTTTAAGATTTTAACGTTTTCCCTAGTTTGAAATCAGAATTTTCTTCCATGATCTTTAAGTTTTCAATTGACATATAATTACTGTGTATATTTATGGCATACAGAGTTATGTTTTGATACATACAAAGTACAGTGATCAGATCAGGGTAATTATTTTTTTTCTCTTCTTTTTTTTTTTTAGTATACCCATCATCTCAAATTTTTATCATTTGTGTGGAAACATTTAATATCTTCTAGCTATTTAAAGGTATCTATTACTGTCAACTACAGTCATCCTAGGATGCTATAAAACACTAGAACTGGTGCCTTCAGGACCTTTTATTCTTATTGTAGAACTGAGGGGCAAGAGGTTTAAAGAGATTACATGATTTGCCTGAGTTGAAACCACAATTTCAAAAGGATATTTTCAAATGCAAATCAGCCATTCATTCTTGGGATAAACTTCAATTGGTCTTGATGTTTTACCTTTTTCACTTAATGTTGCATTATATTAGCTATTTTGTAAAAATTTATGAACTTATGTATATATATACGATTGGCCTATCTACCATAGAGATGTCATTTTCTCTTTTCATTTTGTTTATTATATTCTTCAATGCATTACTAGTTTATATTTTATGATTCAAAGTCTATCAGTATATTCCTTTTTAAAATCCATTTGGATATAATGCTTATAAAAGCTCTCTGAAGTCCAGAATTATAAATTCTACTTTTTTTTCCCAAATACTTTGGTGGTTTTATATTTCTCCTTACCATTTTTATCTATATCAGGTCTGTAATTTAGTCTTTGGTGAAACAAAATTAATGGATAACCTCTTTATTCCCACTGAAGCGCAATCCATATGATTATTAACCCTTATATATAGTCATGTACTACATAATGACATTTTGGTGAACGACAGACTGCATATACTACAGTGGTCCTATAAGACTGTCATATCATATGTTTACTGTACATTTTCTATGTTTAGATACACAGATACTTGCCATTGTGTTGCAATTGCTTATGGTATTCAGTACAGTAACATGCTGTACAGGTTTGTAGCTTTGGAGCAATAGGCTATATCATATAGCCTTGGTGTGCACTAGGCTATATCATCTAGGTTTGTGTAAGTACAGTCTATGATCTTCACACAACAAAACTGTCTGCCAACACATTTCTCAGAATGCTCTCCTGTTATTAAGTTATGCATGACTGTGTATACCTGGGTATATTAGTTACCTGTTACTGCATATAGCAAGTGATGCAGAAGAAAGCGTGGCAAAAGCCATAATGTCTTTCATGGCCTAACACCAGAAGCCACATGGTCATTTCAACAATATCCTATTTTTCACGTGGTCAGCACTATTCCAAGTGGGAGGAGAAGACACCAGAACATGAACAAACACCAAGAGACAAGGAGCATGTGGGGGCCATCTTGAAGGCTGGCTGCCATGTTGTATTATTAATGACTATCCATTCTTTTCCATTAAACTGAATACCCATTGTGAGTCCAAACATACAGTATTTTATTACTTAATAAGATAATTTCTCTCAAATTATTTCTTTGTTGCATTATTCATTTACTTAGTCTTTTAGATAAATTTTAGAATCATTTTGTCAGTTGTAAAAACTTGGGAAGAAGTTCTTACATATAAAATTCACATATTTTAAGTGGGTGAGGATATTTATTGGCACTGCTCTGACCTATATTAAAATATGAAGAACTGACATCTTGAGAACATTATGGCTTCCAACCCACAACTCGAATATCTTTCCCTTAATTTTTCTATTTGATTTTTCAGTTCATTTTATTTTCATTAGTTAAATGAATTTTTGTTACATTTATTCCTAGGTATTTTGTATTTGCTTCCATTGTGAAGGAGATTTCTTTCATTATTTTTGTAACCTTTAATATTGTTCTGCAAAAAAAAAAAAAAATCTATTGCTTTTTCAACTGCTTTAGCGTTTGGAATGGCTTCACGTATAAGCCTTTTGAATTTTCCCAATAACTCTATTATCTACAAATTATGATAATTTTATCACTGACACTTCATTTTTTAACCTATGATTTAATATTAAGTTCCCATAAATTGAACAGCACTTTAGGAACAAAATTAAATGTGTTTACCATCTGCAACTTCCTCTTTTCTGTTATTAAGAGGTAATGATTACAACTGAGAAACACTCACATAGCACTTATTTTCCAGGAGGCACTTCTTTAACTACTATACGTTGGTTAACACTGTATTCCTAACCATAACTTTAGGAGGTGAACACTCCCAATTTTACAATGAGAAAATGGGGGCACCGAAAAGTAAGGTAATTAATTAAAGTCACAGACCTATTAAGTAGCAGAGACAAGATTCCAGTCTTAGCAATCTGGCTCCTTACTTGGTTCCTGTAACCATTAAGCTATGTCACCTCTCAAGGAACTATCTCTGTGGCATCTGAAATCTTAAGAAAGGCACCCAAACACTCGTTTGGGTGTAAAGAAGGTGACAACTCCTGCTTTGTTAGAAAGTTCATTCCCATCTTAAAGATGTATTAGATCAGAAACTGAAACTGAAGGGAACCCTAGAGACCAACTAGCCCTACCAGGTAGACTACAGATGAGGGAGAATTAAGAAGAAATCCACAGGGAAACTGTTTTTCCTAAAGTCTTACAAGTACCTAATGGAAGCAACTGGGCTATTTAAAGATGACTGAGGTGGAATTATAACTCATGCATTTCTACTGATGTGTAATTAAATGCTCTTCTCCTATTCAGAGTGATAAGTAATCAATAGAAATGATGGGAGACTGAAATCTAATGGAAAAGGATGGAAAGATTTGAATTCGTGTTCCCAGAGAGAATAACCATAATCCCTGGGTCCTTAAGAATGGGCAGCACAAACACTCTTAGGAGATTTTAAAGTTATAGCAGTCTCTACTTGTGCAGAAGCGTCAGCTGTTTCCAAAGTATGTGAATGTTGCTTTTATTTTAGGCAGAGGATACAAAACAAAAATAAAATACAGATAAACACAAAACTTTTAAGTTGTCTTAAAAAAAATCTGCGCTTATTTAAATTTTCAGACAGAGCTAAGCTTGATATTCCAGCTTTCAATAAGGTTCACAGTGTTGGTTGTGATTCTTGATTTTTTTTTTAACTTTTTAATCACAATTTTGATCATTGTTTTTTTGTTCATAGTATTTGGTGAGGAGGGGGAGTTTTACCAGTCCTACTGGAAAGAACGTGTTGTTCTTTCATAAACACATGGAAATTCTTATTTTCACTAACTTGCTTTTTCTTTCCATGGAAGACTCTTTGGAAACATAGCATCTCATTTGGAATGGCAACTAGTGGTGGAAATCCGTTTTTAGCCTTTAGCCCATCATTTCTGCATGGCCAATATTCAACTCTGGAAAGATGGCATCAACCAATTCCTCAAAAAGCAGCCCATGTTCCTTAAAATACTTCTAGGTTACCAATCTCTTGTTACCATTTATTCTTATAAGAAGGAAGGGGTTAATTATTTGACTCTATTTTCTTTGAGTCTTTCTAATTCAATTTCCAGGTGTACAAAATTGGCTCTTAATAAACAAGTACTGCAATGATTACTGGTTTTCCATAACCTATTTTCTCCCTTTACTCTAATTTGGATTATAAATTAAATAATAAACCTATTAGTAATCTCACTAGAAACAAGTGTAAAATGGTCAAATGACATACAGTTTTGATTTCCTCAGTGCATAAATTAGATCAAGTACGTGAATTGATTGGAATATTCTGAACTTTTCCCCTTTAAAAAGTATATTAAGGGAAAACAGATTTGGATAAAATTCTATGTTTAAAATATTCTGCATTAACAATTTAGACAACTTCTTTGGTAAAGAGAATGGAAAGTTGGCATGGAGCTCCAAAATATATACTGCAAACCGTGGCAAAATATCCAGTCTATTTTACACGTTGTCCACATATGGACATGCAGTATTTTATAGAGTTTTATGAAATTCCCAACATTAGAGGCAATGTATATTTTTGTAAGTGACAAGTAATAAGTCATTCTTTGCATATATTATGAAAAAGAACATTAGAAACTGGATATTGTGGGTTTTTCTAAACTCTGGTCTGTATAGAACTGCAATAAATATTCAGTTCATTTTTCAGGTAAAAAGTAACTCCAAAATGAATAAAGTAAACCACAAATTAAAAAATTCACTAGAAAATTTGAATTGTGTAGGCAATTGATCTTTCTCTTTGTAAAACCACTTCCTTCACATAGTTTAGACTTTTTCAATAATTTGGTTGTGTATGTGTGCACATATGTACATGTGCATGCTTTAATTAGCATCAGCATTAGCATTTTCAGCAGATAGAGAGACTTGTATTTGTTTTGGAGAAATATCTGTCAATCAACAAATATAATTAGACTAAATATTCTCTTAGATCAATATGTGTATGTGTATACATTTAATCTGTTTGAATATCAATTTATTGGTATGTCAAATCCTTAGCAGAAATCACTTTGCTTTAATATAGTCCACTTGTTATGAGTCAGATACCTTTACTTTAATGTTCAGTTTATAATGTGATATGAAGGATGTGGTGAACAATCTCTTTTCACAGATCAATGGTAGGCTAGAATAACATTGTGTGTGTATATACATATATATACACACACACACATGCACATACATATACAATATTTTATGTATATATACGTATATACATCTGCCTAAGTTATAGGATTTGTTATATAAACATATAATTTTTATTAAACATGTAAACATGGAGAATTTACAATGTTTTTCAGAATTTCTAGTGATTTGTTTGCCCTTTGTGCTCATTAATATTCCCCAAACACAGAAATGTAGCTATTATTCCTAGTCTTAAAAACCAGTAGTCTGTTACATACACTTAGCAAAATACAAAGTATAAAATGTAAAGGGATGAAAATTAAAACACAATGGAAATACCCCCATTTTTCTATGCTTTGGAAGATGTGAAACAAAGAAACAAACAAACAAAATAACAACACTGTAAGAGTCCCCACTTCTATAAACATTACTGACAAGGTAAAGATGTTATCATCAGCAGTGCCATCACGTTTATACAGAATTGGAATGGAGGTATAGATTGATTTTTTTAATTGTATTATCTATAAACAGAAACTCTTAACTTCCCAACATAGTATCAATAAATTAAAAGAATCAAGTAAATCAAATAGTAAATTTGATTTTCTATCTATATAATATTTCCTTTTACTTTCCAAGGTGCTTTTATGTAAATCAGTTATTTTGTATCAGCTTTCTTAGATAAGTAATATAGATATTATCAATATTCTGGATTCTAGGTATTGTAAGTGGATTAAAGCATCTTTATAAAGTAAAGCAATGTAACTATGATTGCTGAACTTTCTACAATTATGTGACAAGGAGAGAGAAGGTATTCTCTTGTCTTTAGAGAAGAAAACAGAGGTTTTGAGTAGAATAGGTTGTGTGGTCATGTGTGGCCAAGCTAGCACTAGAAATGTAGTCATCTAACCTCCAGTCTAATTTCCATTCTCCAGAGTTTACCCAAATTTCATTCCATATTTCTCCAAAAGTGTATAACCTATGTTAGCCAAAGATAAACTAGCTTCTTCCTCAGAATCCTTTAGGCCCTCAATGTGCATAAGAATCTCTGAGAGAGGGAATTAGCATGAAATGGGATCTTAAAAACTTTTTTTTCTCCTTCTCATTGACTTCCTGTTAAAATCTTGTGGAACTGGTGTTTAGCTAAGAATGATTTGAGAAAGAAAGCACTCTATCTTTGGAAGTAAAAATAGAAAAAACCATTTTTTCTTTTAAAGTGTTTTGTTAAGGTTTTGGAAAAGTAGTGTCTGACGTGCTGAAAGCAAATAATGAAAGCTCAAGGGCATTGTTCCCACTTTTTCTGGAGCTGTTGTTTTCTGAGAAATCCTGAGAGTTCCTTGGAGATACTTTCAGACTCCTAGACCTGGCTCCGGAGTCCAGAGAAGCTCCTCTTTTGTAGAATTTATTCTTATTATTACCTTTTTTCAGCATCTGTATTGTTTTCCTAGGGTTGCCATAGCAAATTACAACAAACTTAGTGGCTTAAGACAACAGAAATTTATTCACTCATAGTCGTGGATTGTAGAATCCGAAATCAAGGTGTTGGTGGGCCCACACTCCCTCTGAAGGCTGTAGGGAAGAATTCTTCCCTGCCTCTTCTTAGCTTCTGGTCGATCCTGGCAATCTTTGGCTTTCTTTGGCTCCTAGTTGCACCTTTCCAATCTCTGTCACTGTTTTTGCATGGGCTTCTTCTCTGTGTGTCCTCTACTCTTCTTATAAAGACACCAGTCTTGGATTTAGGACCCACACTTACCCAGTGTGAACTCACTTTAATTGGCAAAGGCCCTGTTTCCAAATAAGGCCACATTCTAAAGCTCCAAGAAGACATGAATTTTAGGGGACACTGTTCAACCCACTACAGCTTCCAAAATGCATAATTAAAGGAAAGTTGCAGCAACTAAAAATAAAGTTTAAAAATGATAGTTTTAGACAGAGAAAGCAGAGGCAACTTCTTAAATTATCATGCAGCAAAACAATAACAAGGAGAATTCATTTAACTACATAAAGAAATGGGACATTGCTGGATATAATTCTGTTCATGTTTTGCTTAAAGGAGAAATATAAGTTCATACTAAGATCCACATTATCTTTGCCTAAAACTTTTCACTGATGTCTTTGAATGGCAAGTAACCTGTTTTTTGCAGTGATTTTCACATTGCTTAAAAATGGACACTATTGTCCATCAGTCATCATGTTATTTGCCATGTCAATAAAAATGATTTACTAATCCAAAATGCATACCAGAAGAGCAGAATTTAACCCTCTCTTTCTTAGATAGATAGATAGATAGATAGATAGATAGATAGATAGATAGATCATAGATAGGTAATGGAAGACGTTGTTGTGATACAGTTGGTTCAGATACAGAAAAGCCATCTGCACAAGCATTACAGAAATCTTAGCATTGGGAGTTATTTGCATAGAAATATAAATCACAAATAAATTATTGGGGAATTTTATTGAATAGAAACTGTTATTTCCTATTATTTCTTGATATAATTTCTCATAGAGAAACATAAGGGAGTATAAATACATTATGTTTCTTGTTCTAAATCAGTGGTTTTCAAACTTGAGCCTGCATCAGATTCATACAGAGAGTTTGTTCATGACAAGATTGCTGGGCCCTACTTCCAAAGTTTAAGATTCAGTAGATCTGGAGTGGAGCTCAACGATTATTTGCCCTTCAACAAATTCTTGAGGTGATGTTGATGTTACTAGATTGGGACCACACTTTGAGAACCACTGGTTTAGCTGCATCAGTTAAACATCAAATTAAATGGAATAAAATAGCCATGAAATACCAACTTAACTTTAACCCTTTCTGAGGATTTCTTAAAATTGTCTTTCCTCCATCGAGATGATAAAAACTCTAAATTGCAGATGTCAATACTCAATAGTAACGCAACTCAAGAGCTGCACAGAGACATTTGAAAAGGATACTCACAGGGATTAAAAAAAAAAATAAGAAGAAAAACCTCATACAATTTCCACATTTTGGTGAGATCTTTATGTTTCTTTAAAAGTTCCATAGGTAATTTTTTTTTTTCCAGATAGAGTCTTGCTCTGTTGCCCAGGCTGCAGTGCGGTGGTGTGATCTTGGCGCACTGCAACCCCTGCCTCCCAGGTTCAAGTGATTCTCCTGCCTCAGCCTCCCAAGTAGCTGGGATTACAGGTGCACGTCACCACACCTGGCTAAATTTTTTTTGTATTTTTAGTAGAGACGGGGTTTCACCATGTTGGCCAGGCTGGTCGCAAACTCCTGACCTCAGGTGATCCACCCACCTCAGCCCTCAAAGTGCTGGGATTACAGTGTAATGTTTTTTAATGGTATTAACTGTAAATTAACTCATTATTGAGTGAATCATTAGCAAATGCATGAATACATGCAAAGTACTAAGAAGGGGGTCCGGCAAATAACGAAAACTTTGTGTTAATTCTCATTATGGAAATACTCATACAACATAGACTATTAAATAAATCCTTCCTTCGATTTCTCCTCTGCTTCTGCCAATCCTGCTTTTCATATACAGAATGTTGGAAGTCTGCCATGTATGCCTCTAGATTTTATCACACACTTACACACACACACACACACACACACACTTGTTTTTCTATAGTTGGGTTATTTAAAATATTTCTATTTTTGCACCTTGCAGTTCTCACTTAAATATCATGACACCCTTACTTGACAGTAAAATGTTCTTTTTATGTAGTTTTATCATTATTTTTATGTAGTTATTATGCTAACTTTATTAGTATTACATAAAATCAATGTGTACATATATTTTTAAAAATAAGTGTGAGGGGCCGGGTGCAGTGGCTCACATCTGTAATCCCAGCACTTTGGGAAACTGAGGTGGATAGATCACGAGGTCAGGAGTTCAAGACCAGCCTGGCAAACATGGTGAAACCCCGTCTCTACTAAAAATACAAAAAAAATTAATCGAGCATGGTGGCAGATGCCTGTAGTCCCAGCTACTTGGGAGGCTGAGGCAGGAGAATCGCTTGAACCTGGGAGGCAGAGGTTGCAGTGAGCTGAGATCGCAGCACTGCACTCCAGCCTGTGCGACACAGCGAGACTCTGTCTCAAACAAACAAATTAAAAAAAAACATAAGTGTGAGGGCTTATATAAAATGCAATAAGTTTCCTTTCTCTTCCACTTCCTCCCCAACCATGGCGCCAGCCTTTCTGACAGAAGCAACCTCAGTTTTAGTTTTTTTCTTTTCTTTTTAATAAAAGCAATTAGCACACTGATATTTTTCTTTTTTAAAAAAATATATTGGTGATATACCCTAATTTCCTGATTTTGTAGAATTTAATCAGCCAATGTTGGACTAGTGTAATAATCTTTTTTGGATGGCCATATAACTTTAGAAATGTAACCCCTCTGGAGAAAAACTGCCAATTCCAAACAAAATAAGCTCTCCATCGCCATTTCAAATAGGACAAAATCCTTTGTGAAAGATACTTTCTTAGTGTAGACAGAAAAAAGAATCAACCTTATTCTTGACCACCCAAGCAGTTAAAAGTAAGAATAAACTTTGAATTATACATTAATGTTTATAAACCTTCTAGATGGACTTATGTGTCGGGTTCGTGTGAATGAAGAAAAATAGAATCAAGCTTTTGTAAAAAACCAAAAACATGATATAGATTCTGTTTGGCTTCCAGAAAGTGAATAACAATTACACTGCAGCAGAACATAAGTGCAATAAATCTCAACTTTATTTCAAGTTTAAACTTTCAACCAAACATGGCAAAGTATAAATATAATTGCTCTTCAGGCCTTAAAACCTTGTTGGTTGAAATGAAAAAGAGGAAAAAACAAGTCTTTAATTTTGTTTTATAAACATAAGGAGAAAAATGGAAACCTTTTATCTGAAATTATTATGACATTTTTACGATATTTAAAGTGGGGGTTCTCAAATGCATGACTGAAGTTCATTCCAGCAAATCGAGGGTTTACACAGGTTAAAATGTCTGTGAGATTAGGATAGTCTCTTAGACACTCAGGTTTATCTTGTAATGTTCAGGTAAATTTACATAGCAGAGTTCCTTGAAATTTCTAGATCGTCTTTTTCTTTCATCCCAACCTCAGTGGAATCCTTTCATATCCACTCCAACCCTCTTTATCTGGACCTGCATGATAGAAAAGCTTGATGTTTTGACAATGTCTCCTGTTAGATACAGAAAAGAGAGATTAAAAAAAAAATCAGAGCTGGATGATACATGGGGGAAGGGAAGTTGTCTTAGATCTAAAAACCACAGCTCAATATTGTAGAACATAATGGTTTAAGACCAACATTTTAAATAAAACTTTGTTACACTTTTTTTTTCCCCAATAATATATGTGCTGGTCTATAGCTATATAGTCTTCATAGTAGTTTAGTTTCTTCTTATCCTTTCTTCCTGTAATTTAGTCTAATTGTTAAGAGTCTTATGATGTCAGAAAAATTTTCCAGGTCTTGGAAATAGGTGGGCATGAGAGACTACTGGGTGCCCTTTCAGTGGAGATCTGGGCATTGTCTTGAGGCCCCTCCCTAGGGATTGTCTGATTCTACAAAGGTGTGCATGTGTGATTGATTTGCCATTATTAGCTATTTGACCATTTTGAAGGGGTAGAAGTTAAGCTGTGGGAAATCAGAAGCAATGCAAATGTTTCCTGTTCATTGCAATGCAAATTAACTTTCTCTGTTAGAAAATATGCATTCCACGAATCACGTTCTCATTTGAACCAGTTTTAACCTTTTAGTATTTTCATCATTAATTAATGAGTAGAATGAAATCTTTTATATGTGTTTACTGTATATGTAACAATTTAACTTTTTAAGAACACATACTTTAACAGTTGTCAGTCATTGGAGGGTCTATATTTCTTGAAGGTTAGAAATCACTTACTAAGCAGCTAATTACAGGACACAGAAATCATAAAAGCTGAACTTCTCAGTTATTCTTTGGACTCAGCATTTCTTGTCTTTCAGGAATACAATTGTCTAGCACATTTATATTTGGAAGCAATTCAAATCTTAATTTCAAGTTTCTTTAGAAAATGAAAAAAGGAGGCTACGACATTCTTAATGCACAGCTAAACTTCTAAATATTATCTTTCTTCTATCTCTGCCACAAAGGTGAGATCTCTGTCTTTTTGCTCCTCCTCCCCTCCTCTCTGCTTTCAAGTCCAAGCCGTTGCAGCAGAACAACTTAGAACTCAAGCACTAGCTCTAGTATCCCCACACTCCAGGTCTGGCTCTCAAAATCAGCATTAGTTTGGTGCAAAAGTAATTGTGATTTTTGCATTAGTAACAGCAAAATAAAATACCATAGTAATGGCAAAGCAATTACTAATGGCAAAACCGCAATTGCTTTTGCACCAACCTAATAGCTGTAAGTCTTTAAGAAAACTGCTTAACTACCCTCTGGCCCAGTTCCCTTTCTGATTTATAAAAATGGGATGATGATGATAAAAATAATAGTAACAATAATTCTGTTGTCAGAAAAATTTAATCAGCTACTAAATGTAAGTGCACTTCGAGAAGTACTTGATGCATTGAACCTCGATGAATGGGAACTGTGGCTTAGGGCTCTTCCACTAGTAAGAATAGACTAGAATGTATTTTCCATACAGGATCTTCTAATGTTCTATGTCTGAATATATGACTCTAATCTTGAAGAGGCATCTTTCAAATTTAGCAATACTTTTATCAGTCCTGGATCAAGATTGTGATTTCTTAAAGTATTTAACCAAAATAAATCAAAGCTCCACAACTTCTAAACTAATGCCCAAACCCTGACAGGTAACTTCTTTATGAAGCATCACTCCTGTATCTTAGTGTCTTGTAAGTGCAAAGCTCTTTAACGTTAACAAAATTTTCAACACTTAAAAAAATTACTGCACCAAAAATAAAACCAAGATTTTCTCATTATCTTTGACTCCACATAAGTTCTGCAATTGTGCCTTGGTTCTTTAATTTATATTTTAAATAAACATAGTTTCAGTCACATGGTTCCTCTTGCCTCAAATATTCAGTATTAAGTCTTCTGCAAGTTTTCTGTCTACTTCTTTCTCTATGCTCTCAGAAATCTTTGTACTTCTTTAATTCTAGCATATAACAGTTTTTCTTCTTTGCATTCTCAATAAGTTTTGTTGCTGATTCCCTAGGGTGAGGACTTTGTTTTCTGATCTGCACATAATAGCAATAAATATTTGTAGATTGAATACAGAGAGGAGAAGGTGGATACATGAACTATGGGACTAACATGATTTCTATTCCTTTTCCTATGCAAATCTCATCCTCCCTTTGATGTCTTTTTGGAATTTCAACTCGTAAATGAAGACCTCCTTGTTTATCTCAGACCTCAGGAATATTTTTTCCTAAAAATTTCTCCAGAATTAGAATCCACATTTATTTTTCTCCTTCTCTTCCTTCTTTGTATTATTATGATGATGCACTCTTGAACTGAATAAGTCTTCCTTCTACCCAACCCCTGGGAAGGTTTATAAGACTATAAGATTCAGGTGCATAAGGACAATGAGCTATAACTTGGTACCATCCTCAATTACTCATGCAGTATTACATTCAGTGTAGGCATTCAATAAGTTCAGGCTTAGTGAAGGTTGTCACTGAAATCCCATCAGCTCAGCAGGGAGCAAGGAGCCTCTTTGAAAGTAAGTAGCCAGGACTCAGGACCCTCCAAGGAATGTGTGATTTAATTAAACTTTTCAAGCTTCAGAGTAATTAGTTGCTGATCAGCAATATTACTATTTTGAGTTTCCAAATTATAAGCACCATTAACTACAAACAACTACATTCTTAGAAAAAAATAGAGGAGGAAGTACAGGAAAATAATGCAGAAGTTAAGAACGTAGGAACACACAGGCATTCAGTGCAGATGAAAAGACAGAAGGCGCAGAGTACATTTGAAACTAACATTGAGAAAGTGACTGCTGATAAGCAGATGTGCACAGAGCCTTACTCAATAAAAAGAGAAAGTTATGTTTTGACTGTAGGAACATTTGTTTTACAGAACTGCTGTACTTTTGAAAGTCTTGGATTATTATTTACAAATATACTTACATAGTATAAAAACAAAATGACACACAGGAAAAAAAGCTAAGAAGTAGTCTGGCTCCAGAGCCCAGGTCTAAGTTCTGATTCCTAAGCTCTCTTTTGTTCTTTGGGTTTAGATTGTTTTTCTTTCAGCCAAGGGATGAAAAAGAGTAACAGACAGGCAAGCTTCCCATTTTCCCCACAAAATGTAGGATACCCCACTACCATTAACTACAGTATACTTTCTGTATTTCTTTTTCAAGAGAAGTGTTGGATTAAGAAATGTACAGGCTCATCAAACAAAGACAGAATTCTGGCTACCATTTGGACCTCACAAGATATTTTTGGAAAGAAATCCTGGAACTGTGAGTGGAAAAAGGACAATCTAAGAGCAAAACCCATCAATGAAAACCAAATCCACAAGCACGTTTGATTCTGAAATCCCATCTCCGGTCTATAAAGTTTTTTTAAAAAGTATTTTTCATTTTTCTTGTAGTATGTCAATCACTTGTTAGACATCAGAAAATAATTACCCTTTTTATTTTCAAAGTTTCTGCAATTATAAAGAGAAAACTGAGTAAAACAACAACAGGCCTGTTATTTGGCAGAGGATAAAAACATGACTTCGAAAAATAGTAAGACCTTTAAAAAATGTGAAAATGAAAACAATGCCTAGACTAGGACTGAGACACAATCTTTCACAGATAAACAATTTCATAGGCTTGACTGCCCTAACATTCATCATTTTCTTAGGTTGGGCCTCAAAAGTCATGGTAAATATAAATCTATGTCAGCCTTGCAGCAAAATGTAATTTTTTAGAAATAAGTTAAAAGTAAAGCTCTTCAAATTTTTATACTTTATTTGGCATAAATGACAGCATGCGATTCTTTTGAGTTTTATATTTTATTTTACACGTTTCGGTTTATTTATCATTGAGTGAGTACCCATTGCTTCTATTATTACTTAATTGAAGAAAACTTTTAGACATGTGTGTCATGAAACCATTACAATATTTCTTATGCATCAATGCCAATTTCAAAAGCTTCAACTGCCTGAATTTGGATAAAAATGCAGTTTCAACATCATTACCATCATTATTACAATCATTGTGTTTAAAAAGAATTAAGATACCGATGTAGAAAGAACATTTATGAAAGAACTGAGAAAGTGGCAGCCATTCCTTCAGATCCCACTTAAGATGTTTCTGCTTTTGAGATGCTGACTTTAAAGGTGTATTAGTTGATTATGTTATTAATCTGTTTACCCTTCCACCCACAGTTGAATGTAGAGAGAGCCTCAGATCTAGTGACCTGTTCACCCATCCTTAAAATAGCTTCCTTATATTGCTTTTAGAATGAAAAGCAATAGGAACAATGTACTGGAATGAGGATGTGCTATGGGGTCAGACTGACCTGGAAGCAAAGCCCAGCTCTTTTAACAATTACATAATCTCTCTCAACCTTAGTTTGTTCATCCGTGAAATTGGGATATGAAGACTGGCCCTGCTGCAAAGTTTCAAGGGTTTGAAATAATGTAGGTAGTGTTCAGTAGATAATAAGCAAGTTTTAAGATAGCATTTCAATGTGTTTGGTCACAACAATTGATTGATTAGGTAGAAACTTCTGTTCTCCATGATTCTACTGTGCTTATGTCGGTCTAGGGTTTCCTAGACAAGATAGTATATGAAAGTCATCAAACATCCCTTCCTTAAAGATGAGTTTCCTCTGGAGATGTATGGGAATACTCCCCTGAACACTGGTACCTTCAATTGCTGGCAAAAAACCATCAGACTCATTTTATCAAAATAATGAAAATAATGTAATCTAGAAAGAATTTCTGTTTTCCCCAATGCCTCATTCCCTAGAAAAGACAAAATCTATTGCCAAACTGTAGTATTGCTAACAAGCTATGGGAAAGAGAGGAAAATCCAGCACCTTCCAGAAGATATTTTACAGATAGTGGAATCACTTTAATTATTTTCAAAACAAAACAAAAGGTCTGCAATATTCCCAGGAAGTATATTGGGTGGGAATATTTAACCCACTTATTGAATGGATAGTTTGGACCTTTGCATAATCTTAACAAAAAATTTAGGTGTACTCAAATTTCCAAGTAGAAAACGTGGCATAGGAATTCTACCTAAACTTGTGAGGCACATGAGCAAACTTTTGCAAAGAATAGCTAAATATATCTAAAGAAATATAATTTACTGCATGTTATAACATATATTACATAATTCTTGAAAACAAAAATATTTAGATTTGCCCAGCACCTATGAATACCTCTAGGATTATCACAAAGACACAAAGATGTATCATTTTCTTTGTTTCTCAGTTTAATAATATAAAGGTAATTGGCATCAAATGTCAATCTCATCAAACATAATTGATTTGTTTTTCAATGCCTATGATAAGAACGAACTAGTGCACACATTTACCTCTTTAATTCATATTGCCCTGAAATTTTCAGTCATGTGTATTGCTATTTCAGAGCAATTAATTTACATCTAAGATAATTCCTAAGAGTTATTGAGAATTCTCAAAATTGATGTAGCCTATCAATCACACCACCTTCCAAAAACAAAAACAAACACCTTAACATTTGCAGAGTATTAGAAGCAGCCTAATTTTAGAGAGATTATCCATAATCCTTTATGTGAGTTGTTTCCCTCATAAAAAAAAAAGAAGTGAATTACTATATTTCAATGGGTCAGTGAAAACTTTCTCTGAAAACTGTGTTGCTATATAAACAAAAATGGGTTTATCTACTTAATTGGCTTAACATATATTTTTATCTTTTGTTTTTTTATTCAGTGTTATTAAGGTATAATTGACAAATAAAAATTGTAGACTATATATTCAGGGTGTACAAGGTGATGTTTCAGTATATGTATATATTTTTTAATGATTAACATAATAAAGCTAATTAACATATCCATCACCTTACAGTTAACTTTTCTTTGGGTAAGAATATTTAAAATAGAATCTCCTAGCAAAATTCAATTATACAATACACTATTATTAACTATAGTCACTACTTTGTAAGCTAAGTTCCCAGAACTTATTCATCTTGTTAGTGCAAGTTTATACCTTTGACCCAACACGTCCCCTTTTCCCCCACCCCTCAGCCTCTGGCACCCCCCATTCTACCCTCTGTTTTCTATGAGTTAAACTACTTTAGATTGCACATGTAAGTGAGATCCTACAGTATTTGTCTTCCTGTACCTGGTTTATTTCACTTAATATAAGGTCCTCCAGCTTTATTCATGTTGTCACGAATGTCGGAATTTCCGTCTTTTTCTAAAAGACTGAATACTGGTACAGCCATTATGAAGAACAGTATAAAGATTTCTCAAAAAATTAGAAATTGAACCGCCATACAATCCAGCAATTCTGCTGCTTGGTGTGTGTCCTAAAGAAATAAAATCACTAACTTGAAGAGATATCTGCACCTCCATGTTCATCGTAGCATTATTCACATTAGCCAAGATATGGAATAAACATGAGTGCTCTTGAGCACATGAAAGGATAAAGACAATGTGTGTGTGTTGTGGGGAGTATGTATGCGCAGGTATAGAAAGATTACTCAACTTTAACATATACTTTAAATGAAGTATAATTTGCAAACCTGAAGCAGACATTCTATTTAACTGTGTTTCAAATGTGGTCCAGAAAAAGAGAAATGGAAGGACAACTGCATGAAGGATAAGTGAAAAGCATCCATAGAATAAAGGTAAAGAAGGAGAAAACTAAGTTCACTGCAGAATGACATTTTTTTTTTGACCACGTCTTCAGAGTTTATGGATTTAGGAATATGCCAAAGGAGAAATGTTACCATTTGAAATGTCCATGTCGGTTCTCAGCCTGCAGGTGCCTGTTCCTCAGAGAACCTCATGTAGATTTATGTCCTCCTCATTAGGCCACATGATGCCATGTTCTATTATGACTAACATCCTTATAGTGTGTACAAAATATGTGAGACAAAAGTCCACACCCCCTCTTTGATTCTAATTAACTCTGTTGCCTGGGACTTAGCATTAAGACTCTGGCTTAACATCCCTACTTTAAAATGGAAATAATGACGTATCCATAAGACGTAGGGACCACTCTGAGGAAAAACTGTAAGTATTCTCTAGTTCCAGAGACCAGTGACAGTCCCCTGTTACAGTTTCAATGGGATTCTTTTATCCATTTTATTTTTCCTACCTAACATTAGGATTCAGTTCTCATTTTCCCCATGGACACCATTTTTTATAGTGACATAAATATATTTTCTCTTTCTTTTAAAATTGTTTTCAGGTTTTTTGTTTGGTTTTTGAGATAGGGTCTCACTCTGTCACCCAGGCTGGAGTGGAGTGGCATGATTATGGCTCACTGCAGCCTCAACCTTCAGGCTCAGGTGGTCTTCCTGTCTCAGCCTCCTGAGTAGATGGGACTACAGGCATGCACCACCATGCCTGCATAGTTTTTATTTTTTTATTTTTTTTTATTTTTTGGAGAGATGGGTTTTGCCATGTTGTCCAGGCTGGTCTTGAACTCCTGGGCTCAAGCGATTCCCTTGCCTTGGCCTCCCGAAGTGTTGGGATTACAAGCACGAGCCACCACACCTGGCCCATTTTCAGGTTTCTTAAGTTGCAATTAACAAAAGTTATATATATTTATGGGGTACAATGTGATGTTTTGCAACATGTATATATTGTGAAATGATGAAATAAAATTAATGAACATTCATCCCTTCACATACTTAAATTTTGCAGTAATAACATTTAAGATCACTCTCAGCAATTTTCAAATATACGATACAGTATTACTAACACTAGTGACCATACTGTCACTATGTGAATAGATCTCCAGACCTTATTCACCCTGCATAAATGAAACTTTGACGCCTTTGACTAACATCTCCCCATGTCCCTCCAGCTCTTTGCCAGCCTCTGGCACTCACCATTCTACTTTCTTTTCATGAATTAGACTTTTTAAGATTCCACATACAAATGAGGTCATGTAGTACCTGTCTTCTGTGTTGGCCTATTTCTCGAATAACGTAATGTCCTCCAGCCTCCTCCATGTTGTTAACAATGTCAGGATTTTCTTCTTTGTAAAGGATAAAAGTATTTATTCCATTGCATACACACACGCACGTGTGTGCACGTGCACACACACACACACACACACACACTGCATTTTCTTTATCCATTCTTCCCTTGATGAACATTTAAGTTTACTCCGTATTGTGGCTTTTGTGAATAATTATGTAATTAATGTGGAAGCCCAGGTATCTCTTTCAGATAGTGATTTTATTTCCTTTGTATGTATACCCAAAAGTGGAATTGCTGGATCATATGGCAGTTCTATTTTTAATTTTCTTTCTAAATTCTGTACTACTTCTCCATTTCTGTGGTATACAAATTACAATAGTTCTCTTGGCTGCTGAGGACATTTTCTTGGATTCATTTATAGATTTGACAACGCCCACCTTCTTCCCCAGACTCTTCATATATATTGCACACCATGATAAAGCATTTTGAGCAATTGAATGGAAGGACTCCTAGATAACGCAGCAGGCAAAAAGGAAACTCATCTTGGATGGAAAAGAAAATGAATCATCAGAGACAAGATAAATGCATACAATAAATATAATATTGTACCCCAGGGGACAACAGAGGCATTGCACCTAATGGCCATAGAGTATAATAAAGCCATAAAAATAAAATAAAATGATGCACTATTCCCAGTGCATCGACCCACCCACAAGTTGCTAGCAGCACTACCAGAATAGATGACATTTCCATGATGCATGGACCACCAATGAGGCTCACAGAGATATGATGTATTTATGGTTTTCTCATTTATCTTTTAAAGACAGCATAGGAATGTGACTGTGAATGTAGAAAGTACTTTCAAAATCCTAGGAAAACTTAAGCTGCATAAAATTTATAGTCAAACAAGCATGCTACTACTAAGACCTAAACTGGCTGTTATTAAAGGAGAGGTAATAAAATGAATGCGTCTTAAGGATAATTACCTCTTTTCAAAAAAATATATAGTTTCCAAATACATGTATATACACATACACACACTTTAAAAATTTTGAAATATAATAAAGAAATAAATATTGCATAAACATAAAATAGTGTCATATTCAGTTTAATGGACTGCAGAAAAGAAAATCTGTGTAGCTTACACCCAAGTCAAGGAACAGAACATTTCTGTATTCCAGAAGCTTCCATGGGTCCCTTCCCTATTATAAATCACTCCCTCTCTCCTAGTGGCAACGACGTTCCTAATTTTTTAATAGCTTCATTGAGATGTGATTAACTACACATATTTAAAGTCTGCAATTTGATCAATTTTGACTTGTAAATCACTGATCATAATCAAGACAATAAACATATACATTAGCCCTAAACCTTTATTCATGCCCCATTATAAACCTCACTATCCCTTTTCCCCCAAGTCCCCCAGGTATTCAGTAATCTCTCTTCTGTCCCTATATTTTAGTCTGAATATCCTAGAATTTTCTATAAATAGAATTATACAGTTTGTACTCCTTTCATTGTCTGCTTCTTTCACTTGGCACAATTGTTCTGAGATACAATCATGTTGTTGTATTTGTTAATAGTTCATTGTTTTTCATTGTTGAATGATATTCTCGTGTGTGTGTGTATGTATGTATGTGTGTGTGTGCATGTGTGTGTGTGTATTATCCATTTACCTGTTAATGCGCAAATGTATTGCTGCCAGTTTGGGATCCTTATAAATTTAGGTATATATGGACACATGCTTTCCCTTGGGTAAATACCAAGGAATGCAATGGCTGGGTTATATTGCAAACTAATTTTTAAATATTTAGATAACCATCAAATGGCTCTCCAATGTAGTTGTATCTGTTAACATTCCCAGCAGCAGTGAATGAGAGTTACAGTTATTCCACATCTTTGCCAACAATTGGTATGGTCAGTCTTTTGAATTTTAGCATACAATATGAAATATTTTATTGAGAGTATTTTTTATTTCAAATGTAAATGTAGTCCTAATTATTCAGTTCTTTTGAAGCCCAGATCCTAGTAGAGAGATTCATTCTTTGCTTCTCCCACCTACTGTACATAGCCCTGTTCCAAGTGGATTACTCTTGCCAGTCCACCTTTCCAGACAGATCTCTTAGTTCTAAGTTTTAAAATTTAAATCATTGTTCTACCTCCCTTTAAAAAAATCTCCTGTCTCACCAATCACCATAGCTCTTACAGTGTGTGGGATGATGAATTCACTATTTGCCGTCACATCCTATAAGTCTCATAAATCATCTGTACATATATCATATTATTACAACAAAAATTTGTGGATGAAAAATATAAAACAATTTATCATCTGGCTGTATAACATTTATTTTAATATCTCAAAATCAGAATAATAATAACACTAGTGAAAACATGGAGATGATATATTAGGAGAATAGGAAGAGTATTTTAATTTTTTCTAAAACAATTGCTATTTTAATAGAAATATGACTAAAATGTATTTGGTTCCATATATTGAGTGTATATTGATATTCACACATTTGCTCATAATTACTTTCTAAAACTACCTATAAAAATTTAGCCACTGTATCAGATTATTACAAGAGTTGGACACTGCAATTAGTAGAACAGTGAAATTATTAAGTGCAGAGAACATATATACCTTTTTTTTATCAAGAGAATAATGAAGGTTCAGTTTTATTGTTGCTATAGAGTTTCCATTTGTTGGCTTTTGATAAGAGCTTGGGTGATATATTCTGACCTCCAAAAGCAGGGTATAAATCTTCATTTCAAAGCTCATAGCAACAAATGTTATTGTCCTACATATTTAAAAAGCTTAGGAAAAACAAGACAAAGTTAAATTTCCTCATGATAGAAAAGAACATATGTGCCCTTCCAAACCCATAAAACTGAGATGAAGAGGCTAAGAGAAAGCAAAGTCTTTTTAAATTTAAAAGATAAAAAAATTCACGTTCACAATGCCAGACCATATTTTCCTGCATTCTGTAAATTATTTTCCTAATTCATATAAATTTTACCAGAGTTATTCCTTTTTAATATTTGTGATAAAATCATTTACCTAATCATAACTATGAAAGGAGGGTCCAATGACCCTCCTTAAGATATATAAATCTTAAGACATTGTGATGTCCAAAGAGATGCTAATGTTAAGTTTGTACATGTTTGCTTATTGTTGATGAGTCCATTTAGCCAGTAAATAAATTTCATTTCTCTACCTTTGATATCCCAATTCGTGGGCTACTTAAGTGTTCTATACTTTATGTGATTTGAAAAGGAAAAACCAATATATAAATCTTGTCCAGGATTTATATATTTGTCCAGGATATCTTAAAAGTTAAAAGATACGCTTAAATTATTAAATTTTTCTCATCTTACAAAGGATTACAACAAAATACAGATAATGGGCTTTTTCCTAACTTAAAAAATTAGTAGGATTTTTTTCACTGCCGCCTTCATTAAAACTAGCATGTCTAGAAAGAACTGTCTTATCAAATATCTGAAATAACCATAAACTTCTGTATTGTTTTTAGTCATATTAACATGAAAATATTTAAAAAGTAAACGGACTAAGCACTACTGTCTATTTCTCCAGAATAACACTTTCATAAACAAGAAATGCAAACAAACATCTTTAAAATCTGAGTTTCGTATACCACTTGCTTTATGCACATTCTTTCAGTAAGTTTATTTTAGAGCTAAAATGACGATAGGAGAATATGTCTCCCTGGAAAACAAAATAAAGCACTATTTTGCAATTGTAGGACTTTTCTGGGGGAAATGCACGAGAAGAAAAAAACAAACTGTGATAAAAAAGTTGACAAGAAATTTAAGGTCTACTGAAGCAAATGTGAACAGACGTAAAAAGTGGTATTTTACTGGATAAAGATGTATTTTGGTAAGATAAATTGAAATACTTCTGTTAAAATAATTACATCCCATCTAAATGAGTAATATTATTAATTAATGTGAAGAACATAAACTTTTGGAAACAAAAGACCTAGATCTGTAAATCGTCTTTTATTATCAGTTGTACAGTCTTGACAATTTATTCCAGAAAATATAATTACATCAGTGCATGTAAAGAAAAAAATCACACCTCAAATTGGTTTGAATAAAAAGACCGAAAAAAAAATCACCAACAATTTAGAAATAAGAAAATCCTAGGGTGGGGTTGGATCAATTTTCAACAATATCAGGTCAGATTCTTTCCAGCTCATCTGACACACTTCCATTCTCAGAGTGTCAGCTTGTCTTTAGGAAGGTTTCCAACAAAGACAAATCATCACTACAGCAGTTTAGAGAATCATATCTAGAGTTAACCATGCCCAGTGAAAGAAAAATGAACACTGGTCAATAAAAAGATGAATAATGTGTTTTTAAGTCAAAAATACTCTCTGTGAGCACTGAATTCAAATTAACTATAGTCCCAAGGTTAAAACAAATGGACAATTGTAGTTATAGACAGAAAGTAGATATAGACCAAACAGCACAGAAACAATGAAATGAAAACCAAGTTGGGAGGGGGTGGGGGAAAAATTGGGGTTGAGAACATTTATAATATTTTTTGTTTTATTTATTAGGTTAGCCTGGTATCATCTGAAAGTGATCAATAATGCAAAAGATGTATATGTTAAGGTATAAAATAGAACACAAAAATAACTGAAGATTTGAGTGGCAAGTAAATGTCTAAATGGAAATATTGTTTATCTTATTGCTAATAGAAGAAATCAGTATATATTGTGTAAAGATATAGAATATAAACTGCATCATGTATAATGTACTATATATAATTATACTTAACTATTAAAATGCTTTCCAAATTATCAGAAAAAAGCCACAAACAAAACATTATAATCAAAAATTTTTAAAAACAGAATATATAAAAGGGGAATTAAAAACAGAAAGCAAAGCATAAATGTGATGACTGTCATAAGATCAACTGTGTCTGCTTTATCAATATTTTATTAAAATGATAATATAAGAAAAAATAGATTAAGTCTCAAAGTGAATACTGTATGTGATAAGCAGAGGATCTTTTTAAAGGATTTTGACTTAGAAGGCTGGGAATAAGAGTTTGTACAGAGGCCTAAGAATAAAGACGTGTCAAAATAAGCAGCAAATGCTTAAATTCTCATTTAGCTCTCCATCTTAATCTACCAATTAATCTTAGCAATAACTGCACGATTTTAACCTAAACCAAAACATAATGTATCTTATTACTTCTAAGTAGTTCAGTATTTTCATATTATAAAAAAAAACATAATCTCACATAATACTTTTTCCAAAAGAAAAAATGGAAGGAAAATGCCTCTTCATTGCTCAAATAAAATGTAGTCACTGCACATGATTTAGGAAGTGGTGCATTATTCATTTTTTGTGGTGAAATATATATCATTTATACCATTTGCTTCTATTGGCTTATGAATATTTTTGTTCTTCTTGGATTCTTAAAAAATCCCTCTATTAGATGAATGATGATTGCTAGGAAATTCTAATAAGAAGTAACATTACAAATGGTATTACAATTGTAGTGATATGGATCTAAAATTCCTATTGTCCATTGATCTAACAAAATTGCTTATATTGACATTTTGATGATGGCTGTAGTCTCACATCTGTTGAAAAATAAAACAAAAGTAGGAAAAAAAAACCTCCCCAAACACATCCAGTTGCTCCCTTATTTGAATGTTTACATTGAGAAGAAGTCAAAAAAGAGCACACTGAGCGGCTCAAATTTTAACATCTCCAAAAGCTGACCAAAGGCAGATATTAAGAAATTCAACTATGGGGAATCTCTTGTAGACTCCATGCTATTAAAACTCATTTTTCCGATAATGCTCATATTATGTCTTTGGTCTTATGAACATAAATCAAGCTGGACATAAAGAATTACTTTATGACATTGCTGTATATATGTAGTTCAAGCCCACTAGAGACATTTCTGCCACTCATTGTTTTCCAGTGATAAAAATAAATGTAATTACTTTCTTGGCTGCAGCTCACTATATGTATTTTTTTCTAATTGTCAGGGTAATACGCTTTTCTAATAATGAGTTCATGCTCCAATGGTGGTTGGTTCTAGACCATTTCTTGGAGAACACAGGAAATGATATACAATTTACCTATGTTGGGAACTCAGAAAATAATTTTGTGAAATGACAACGTTAAGGTCCCAATGATAGCAAAAGTCTAAATCTATTGGAAGGTTATCATATTGTTGAAACATTGGATGCATCATCATTATCCAAATAAGAGTGTTTTTTTAAAAAGACTAAGGTGGAAAAGAGTCAATGAAAAAAAAAAGTTAAATTCTACAGCCTAGAAGAAAAGCAAGAAAACATAGAGAACAAAAAAGTGATGATCATCATATCCTATTACATTTATTTAGGGATATTATGTATTTATAATAAAAGTAAACCTATTATTTCTCCCAAATTCAGAGTGGCAAAAACTAAGGCATGGAGAAGTTATGTGTCATATAGGTTTTATTGAATAGAAAGAGAGCCTGAAACAAGGATTCTGGTGTATGTAATTTATGGAGGAGTGCTCTCAGAACAGGGGTGAACAAATTAAGAAAGGAAGGAAAAAAAAGAGCCAATCAAGAATGTGGTGTCGCCCAGAGATGAATTTTAACATGATCCTTAGTGGCCTTCTGGGGCATAAATTACAGCCCAGAGATGGACTTAATTTGAAGCATGAGCACTAGTCTTATATGTCGCCATCTCAACCATCAGGTGAGATGGCTCTCACTTATCTGAAGGCAGTTCTACAGAGAAGGGGCAGCTTTGTGGTATTAGTGGCTAATGCTCACAGTAGCTGGGGACACTGGCTCAGAAAAGGAGATCTTGTTGGTGGCACAGACAAAATCCATTCCATGAGATGATTTGCTCAATGCCACCAGCTAGTTAGCAGTGGAGTTAATATGTAAGTGAAGCATTCTGACTTCAGATCTTGAGCTCTTAGCCACCAACGTAAATACAAAAAGTCCTTAATAGGACTTAATTCTTATCAGCATACAATTTAGTAATTGTAAAAAAATGACTTTCTAACAGCCAGATGCTCATCATCAATGGTATATAAAAAATTACCAGGAGGCTAAATGTTCATGTGCATTTACGTGATGGCAGGAATAATTTAGATCAGAATTTATCTCATCATTATTTAATAAGTATTTTTTATGCATCTTCAATATATTATGCACCATTCTGGGTACTGGAGATTCCATGGTAAACCAACTGACAAGGTTTCTCCTTTTTCTAGAATTTATATTCTATCGAGAAAACAATAATAAGTCAAATAAATACATATATGCAATATAATATAAATAAGATATTTTGAATCAAAATAAAACAGTGTAAGGGGTTAGAGAATTACTGTGGATTTTTAAATTTTAGGAGTGAGAAGAATATACTAGGAAATTTTATCTTTGTTTTCTTTCCAACAACTCTGGGCCCGATGGAAATATATTTTCCCCCCTAGAGCAACGCCTAGGAAATTATTTTATCTCAATATCCCGAGTGCTCAATTCCCTATCATCAGCAAGATAAAGGTTATGGATTCTTGGAAATAGTCAAATGCAGTGTTTCACTATGGAACTAATTTTTGGTGGGAGTTTTCCACCAGCTGTTGACAGTATTTCATCAATGCATTCAGAGTATTTGAGAAAAAATATGAAACTCTTCTTTCAATCAATTAAAAATAAAAATCAAATTCCAATTTCTCTTTAGGGAAAATAAAATAGATTACTATGTCCAGTAATCTACCTTGGAACTAATGCTGTTTCAGTTGGAATTCAGGTTTCAGGCTATTTATGATGATCCAAGACATCGGTGATGATATGATCAAGTTGTCTTTGAAAGAATATCATGTATAGCTATTTTAAGTTGATAGTGTCAGTAGCCGTATTTTTTTGTTGTTGTTTCAAATAGTTAATCTATAAAGTAGTGAGGTGAAAACTGAAGACAGTGTGCAAGGAACAAGAAGAGTAGAAAATGAGTCTATTATCTGGACCTAAAATTATTTAACTATGTTAAAGTAAATATTTATTATATTCTCTTTAGTTTGAGAATCACGTGATGTTATGTAACAGAAAACCGTAAGCTTTTAGCCCATTAATTTAGCTTTGCTGAGAGATCATCAAACTGAAGCCAGAATGAAAAAACACATACACAAATGCACACACACATGCTTAAGAAAACAGATTATGGCATAGGCACTTTAAAGAGGTAAAGCCCCGAGCTGTAGCCTGCTTATTATGGTTAAAAACTAGAAACGTTTGCAAACTATTCACCTTGAAAACACTAGGCATACAAAATAAAATCCCTGTTGGAGTCATTTCCTATCCAATTAATATTTGTTCCATATCTTGTTACCATGAAAGCTTTACAGCTAGTTTACAAGATGTACCCTTGAGACATCTTGGTTTTAAGAGATTTTTAGTAGTTGCTGTGAAATGTAACCTACTTTTTATGACTCCACTTATGGGACTCTGTGACTTAGCTAGTATATACATGATTTGAATTTACCTACTCAAGAAACATCAAAGGGCTTTTTCTCCCTTTTTCCATTCATGTTTGATTGTAATAAAAAGTATATTCTTAGCAGATCCCTTTTCTAAAAACACAAATAATAAAATATTTTATCCAACAAAGTAACCTTTTAGATACTCTATTTACTATTTGTTTGCATCTATTGGTGTAAACATCTTATGATAAGGGATGATACTCCATAAGAAAATATGTTTAGAAATAATTAGATATAGAGAAAATGTTTCTTTCCTAACAGAATGTCAATAAGGAAGAGTCAATTATAATCTATGCTGCTTCAAAAAGCCAGAAATAAAATAATAGTTAAAAGAACTAGAGCTAAGATAAGAGGATCATTATTTAATGAAATCATGTTTGCAGTGCCCTGACCAGAATCCCAGATTCAGGACCCAAACATATTCCTGGTCTTCATTCTAGGTGTTGGATGCGATGACTGCAGAACAACTGAGTTCTTTCCCAGGATGGCCCTTGGCTGAAGAGAGCTGCCTCACCCAAGTTTATACTTTCTCCCTGGGAAAGCTCATTCCAGGGATTTATCTATGCAGTAGGTCTGCTCTCTTTGCCCTGACTTCAGGTTATCTTTTCTTTTTTTTAAATTTATTTATTTTTATTTTTTAAATGGACAGGTAAGATTCTATGTAATTATTGTGTACAACATGATATTTTGAAGCATATATTTACAAAGTCAGATGACTAAAACTAGCTAACTGACATGTGCATTAATCACCTCACAGAATTATTATATTATTTTGGGGGGAGAACACTCAACATCCACTCTCTTAGCATTTTTAAGAATATAATATGCTGTGATTAACTACAGCTACTGACGGCAGCGGCGGGCCATCTGGAATGGCCATGACGCTGGATGCAGACGGGAGGCATGGCCGGGCCCCCACTCTCCACTGAGCAGGCAGAAGCCTCGTCCTCCTCAAGTTCCACTGAAGATGCCCTGGTGGGCTCCAGACTTTGGAGTCTCTGAGCTTTGGGGGGCCTGGGAAGTCCCCCCCTTCCCCCCACAAGCTTGGAAGTGCCTGCTCCCATTGCCTGGTTTCTCCCTGCTGTCAGTGCCCATTTTGATTTCAGAGGCATGGTCAGAGCTGTACACTCCACAGACCCTGTGGGAGCCAGGGACAAGAGGGAGCCCTGCCCTTCTAAGTTGGCTGGACAGGAACTCCCCAAGTGTGGGTGCAGCTGCAGCCTATCCGAGCACAGCTGTGGATCCAGACACTTCTGTGCTCTTGGGGCCCCAGGAAGGACCCCCTTGCCCCCCAGCAACAGGTTCATAAGTGCCTGCTCCCACAGTCTGGCCTCTCTCCACTCCAGGTGCCCACTCTGATCATGGAGCAAGGTTGGGGCCAAGCCCAGTGTTGTCACAGCCCAGCTGGGTAGGCACACACTCAAGATAGTGCTGAGACACCAGCCCTCAGCTGCCTCGTCTCCCTCTGGACTTTGGGCACCAACAAGCGTGGGAAGTACCTGAGGGCAGCTAGGCACTGGCCTGCAGGTGCCCCTTGGTGCAAGCAGCCTGGGTGCCACGGACAGCGGCAGGAGGCAGACAGGCTCCTGGGCAAAAGTGGGTGGTCCCCAGTGAGGCCTGACCTTGAGCCCAGGGAGGGCCTGAAGGGGCTGGGGGCCAGGCTGCCAGTCCTGCAGACTGGAGTGGGAACTTGTGGTGCCTTTTGAGCATGCCCATGGACCAAGTGGCATGTGCTTCCACCCCTCTGAGGCCCATAAAAGCCCCAGGCTCAGCCACAGCAAAGCAGACATCTGGACGACCAGCTGCAAAGAGGAGCTACGCTCTCCAGGGCCTCCTCCCTGCTGAGAGGAGCAGATATTGGGACAACCAGCTCCGGAGAGGAGCTACCCTCTCCAGGGCCTCCTCTCTGCTGAGAGCTGCAGATAACAGGATGGCCAGCTGTGGAGAGGAGCTGCCCTCTCTGCTGAGAGCTGAATACTTGGGAAGACCTGCCCACAGAAAGGAGCTACCCACTACAGGTCTCCTCTGGGCTGTTCTAACATTCAATAAAGCTTCTCCTCATCTTCCTCACTATTCACTTGTCCGCATACTTCATTCTTCTCGGATGCAGGACAAGAGCTCTGGCAAAGGTGCCACCAGCCACAGAGGCTTCCAACCAGAAAAGCAACACCCCAAAATCCCAAAACATTACCATGTTGTATAATAGATCTCTCAAACTTCCTCCTATCTAAATGGAATTTTGTATCCTTTAATTAACATCTCTCTAACCCTCCTCCCCCAACCACCCCAGCCCCCGGTTACCACTATTCTATTCTCTATGTCAATAAGATCAGCTTTTTTAAGATTCCACACATAAGTGAGATCATGCAATATTTGTCTTTCTGTGCTGAGCTTATTTTATTTAACGTAATGTCCTCCAGGTATATCCATGTTGTCCCAAATGACAAGATTTGCTTCTTTTTATGGCTTCAAAATATTCCATTGTGTGTATATACCACATTTCATTTATCCATTCATCTGTTGATGGACACTCAGGTTTACTCTACATCTTGGCTGTTGTAAATTATGCTGCAGTAAACATGGTAATCCAGATAGCTCTTCAACATACTGATTTCATTTTGTTTGGATATATACCTAATAGTAGAATTGCTAAATCATATTGTAGTTCTATTTTTAATTTTTTAAGAAAAATCCATACTTTTTTTCATAATGGCTATACTCTTTTATATTCCCACAGTGTGCAAGAGTTCCTTTTCCTTCACTTTTTTTTTTTTTTTTGGAGACTGAGTCTCACTTTGTCACCCAGGCTGGAGTGGAGTGGCCCAATCTCAGTTCACTGTAGTGTCCACTTCCCAGATTCAAGCTATCCTCCTGCCTCAGCCCCTCAAGTAGCTGATAATACAGGTTCACACCACCACGCCTGACTAATTTTTGGATTTTTTTGTAAAGATGGGGTTTCGCCATGTTGCCCAGGTTGGTCTTGAACTCCTGGACTCAAGCAATCCCCCTACTTGATCCTCCCAAAGTGCTGGGATTATAGGCATAAGCCATCATGCTCAGCCCTTTTCTTCATCTTTAAGGAGTCATTCAGGCTTTGGAGCTCCTGTGGGGTTGGTGGAAGCCATTGTTGTACCTACATCTCTTTTCCAACTTGCCTTCTGCTTACTCCTGCTATCCTTGTTTCTTACAGGTGACAATCTCAAGAGATGTCCCCAGTAAATCTTTTGAATACAAATCTTCATCTAAGAGTATGTTTCTTGGTGAATTTGACTTACAAAATATGAATTATATGAAACAGGCAGCACTTAATCATAAACATATCTGACTCACTTTTCATCTAAGATTAAAAATATCATTTTTGTCATAGAGCACTTGTTTTAATCAGTATGCAAAAATTGTGCTTGCCACCATTCTCTACATCAAGTTTTCATTCAACTCTAAAAATTGTGGTAAATTTTATGACCCTAAGAGAAACTAGTGTTTTCAGTGCTCTGACCAGAATCCCTGTGTCAGGACTCAGACTTATTCCTGACACCCATTCTAGGTGCCAAGAATGATACCTAGGTTGCCTTAGTTGTAGTCAAATGGCTAGAAGCCAGTTGCAGGTCCCAACTGTACTACAAGAGTGCTAATACTAGAAGACAGTAGTTATTAGGGAGAGAGGATTGTTCTCAGGGTCTGTCTACCACAGAGACTATGGTTCACTATGTCACGATTCTCCATTTTTGGATTTGAGTTCCACCCCTGCATTCTTAGAGCCTCTCAGATTTGTTCAAATATGAAACTCTAGCCTCTTGGTCAGGGTTGGGTTGGGGAGGAGGGCGAAAGACCATTACCTGATTCTGCAAGCTTTGGAATTTCAAAGGTTTTCTGTCAAGTGCAACCACTTTCTATATATTCAGTATTACACCTTAACTCACCCTAGGAATTACCTGTTTTCTCTAAGAGGCTGAGTTTGCATGAGCTTTTTAGGGTCTGGTGGCCTACTTCTTTATCAAATTCCCATCAGACACCTAATATTGTAGATTCTTATTCCCTGCTGAGTCAGTTCCTCTCCTGCATTTGTGATTTAATCAAAGTCTGCTGAAATTTCTGAATTGTAGTTGAGTCTACTTCAATTCCCTTTTGTCTTTGTGGGGTTATTCCTTCTTTTTATGTTGTTTTGCCATTATTTTAAAGAGGCTAGTGGTGGGGGAGACAACATAAACATGTATGGTACATGTGTCCTATTTAACTGGCTGTTTCTCTTTCAAATGTTGTATTTTGTCTTTCTTCATGCTGCTCCAGTTTTCCCTGTACCCAAATGACCCCTGGGACAAGACCAGGATCATTTCTACATAACCCCACAACACAAGAAGCATCTTTAAATATTTTTGCCTTATCAAATACAGAAGTAAAATTTAAACAAACAACAATGACAAAGATGAATAAATAGCTGCAACTGGGTGTGGAAATATTTAGGGCAAGGAGCAGTTACGGTCAGAGCCAGTATCATCTTCAAGAGGAATGTGATGGGGAGCTTTAAAGCCTGCAATACCTATGTCCTTCTGAGGAAGCCCATTTCTAAGCCAAAGAGATAGTCCTGCCCTCTGGCCTTCAATAGGTCACTATTACATATGAGGCAATAGTTTGTCATATTTCACAAAATTAAACTATGCAAACTTTGTAACAACACATGATATATCAATAAGGTTGAACTGTTACAAGCGGACTGCTATCCTTTTCTAAGTACGAGAGGATCAATAGGACTGCATTCCTTTTTATTGTGTATCAGCAGCTCTGCTCAAAATCACAAATGACCAAATGTATAATATGCTCATAATCATGATCTTCCCTTTAAAAAAGGCAATATAATATCAGTAAAGGAAACGCAAATCAAGTAAGAGGAAAAATGTTTGTGCAGACTTAGTTCTGATAAACATAACCAACTTAAAGTGCTAGAAACTCTGTATAATATGTCCTGAGTACCCTCTGTTTTGGTCAGTTTGGGCTGCAACAATATGCCATAGACTTACAAACAACAGAAATATATTTCTCACAATTCTGGAGTCTGGGAAGTCTAATATCAAGGTGGTGAAAGACTTAGTGTCTGGTGAAGGTCATCGGTAACTTCAGGTGGTAGAAAGGGATAAACAAGCTCCTTTGTTCCACTTTTAGGAGGGCACCAATCCCATTCATTAGGAGACACCTTCATGATCAAATCGCTTCTCAAAGGTCACACTGCTGATACCATCACCTTGAGGATTAGAATTGCAACATATGTATTTTTGTGGGGACATAATTATTCAGACCACAGCACCTTCCTCACTCCAAATCAACTGGCATGTACTGGGTTTGAACTTACGTAACTAAAATCCTATTGAGGTGAAAGTTTCATGGTACACAAGCAAGCCAGGTGTCCCAAAATAAATTCAAGTTTCCATTTCTTGGGCTAGAGAGAATGCTTACAGATTTAACATGGCATTTTTTCTAGGTCCCAGTATTAAGGATTTTTAAATATATTGAGATCCATTCTCATTCATTGTCTTAAGAGTTATGGTAATATATGCAACATATGGGAGTATGCATGTGTGTGTGAGTGTGTGTGTGTGTGTGTGTGTGTGTATTTGAGGAAAGTTTATCTTTCAATTATTTGCTGACTATGCATCTAACAACAATTATCTGCATGTTTCATATGAGAACAAAGGAAGAAATTCAAGAACATGATTTGGCCAAGTTGGTGCTACTCTGATTAAGTCCTCTGGTTCCAATATTTATAGTCTTATCACAAATAGTTCAAGGCTCCTAAAGAGATGGGTCTAAAAAAAACCCACTATTCTGCTTTTGTAATTAACATAAAGACTTATAGGGACCATAGATTATTCTCATGGTACCCTTGTGAGTAAATAGTCTCAGACTGATTCAGCTGACCTGTGGCAGAAGCTCAAATTGAAACAAGAAATTATGACCCCAGGTCGGCATCTCTGTTAAATTGAGAACGTTCTGTTTTCTATTTGCTGTAAGCTACATCTCAAAACTTCAAAATGTACTTTAAAAATTTCTATGTTCTTATTCAGCAATTTAGAAACCCTCGGATGATTTTTTTTTCTGTTGACTATCAACTTCATACAGTGAATACTAATCTTAGTTTTAGAAAAAAATGCAAATCCTAGCATTTCTTTAATCTGGTATGTCTTTTAAGTGAGCTGTTGAAACTTAGGAAAAAAAGTGACTGCACCCAGTGATTATTTGGAAAAAAGAATGACCTCAAGAACTTGAAATTAAATGCATGAAAGGAAATACATCATATATTTTTTTCCTCTGGGTGATGACAGGACTTAAAATGCAAAATGCTACACTTGCCTGGAAAAACTACCTATTTAAAAAAAAATTAGATTTTAAACGATCTCCTGGGTACTACTATGTTACTCAGGACTGTCGACACAGAGAAATGAGGCATTCTACTTACTGAAATGTTGAGAAATGGCCCAAACGGTGCCAAGTGCATGTCCCTTACTGTGAACCATTCCCCCATTCCCTGCACTCTGGCCCAATTACGAGGAATAGCCATTACTATGCCAAATTTGGAGAGTTGAGCTGCCAGGCCAGAAGTGTCCCTTGATGGTTTCCTGCGTACTCATTCAAGAGAATGAACATACAATTGTTTACTGTGATAAGATGATACTTTATTCACTCTTGTAAAAGCCATCTAAAACAATCTTCAAACTTTCCAGCACCATTTGAATAGTGATATGTATCATTTAATCTGTGCCAAACTCAAAGTTACAAAGCCTTATTCCTGGCAATGACTACAAAAAATTTCCATTTACTATGAAAACTAAAAGAACACACAAAGTTTCAGTCTTCTTCTCTGGGGTGTTTTCAATGGATTAATACAATGTGTTATTTCTGAATAAATACATCCTTCTGTTCTTTTATGTAATCCTTTTTTATATTAGAATCACAAATAATGTATAAGGATAGTTAAAATTAATATTATTTAGTGCATAAAACTCTACTCATAGAAAGAATATTAAAATATGTATTTTGACTGATTATAAATGATCATTTAGTATGGCAAATTTAGAAAACAGAGGAAAATAAAAATATGACAGCAAAATATAACCTGAAATTCCTACACTAAGAATTAGAAGCCGTGTCATCATTTCTGTGCATTTATTTTCAAATGTGTGTGCATGTGTATGCACACATTCTTTGTATATATGCTTCTATGTATTTACATCATCACAATTTTTAAAACCACACTGTGTAAATTAATATTTAAGTTTACATTTACAAACAAAATTTTTAAGGTACCTGAAATCTTGTGTGCAGATAAATTTTGCAAAAAGCTTTAGTCAGAAAACATTTATTTATAATCATAAATAATGGTCAAACAATGCAATAAGCATTGGTCAAGCAATGTTATAGAGTAATGTATATGTAATGACTTAAAAAGTCTTTATATCCTAAGGCCATTTTATTCAGATCAGAATATTTGATTTAATGTATAGAAGTTCTGACCTTCATTTATCTGCTTCTGTAAGATAAATCAAATAAGTTGAAGACATCACATATTTTTCTTACTAGGCCTCAATAGATTCAAAACATTTCTTTATTATTATACAATTTACATACACCAAATTGCACCCATTTTAACTATCAGTTCAATGAGTTTTGACATATATGTACAATTGTGCAATCACCTCCCTTACCAAGATATAGAATATCTCCATCATTCCAAATAGCTCCCTTATGCCTCTCTGCAGTGACTTTCCACCCACGACTAGCCCAACGCACTACTGGGCTGCTTTCTGTCATTATATATTAGTTTTACAAAGGACTTGTGAAATGCAGTTTATTTTATAAATAGTCCCAGATGGACCCCTAATCAAGAAAGAATTTCAGTTAAGCCAAGAGGTCACTATGAGAATTAAATTCTAAAAGTAAAGAGAAATATAAAATTTCTTACTGTTCTTTCCAGCATCAGATATTAGCCATTAGAGAAAAATACCATTTTGTGAATAATAGACAAGAATATAAGGATTTGCCTTGTTCTTATTTGTAGTCTCCTTTAATACTTAATGATGAAACAATGCATTATTTTAATAGTCTACAGATAACATATAATCTTTATTTCTTCTCAATAAGTTGAATTTTGAAAATTAGTAATTTCAATTATTACATTAGACAATGGTGGGAAGACATGTTTTGCCTCTGGTTTGTCCAAGTCTAAAGTATTTCACCTTTAGTAGATACATTTCTCAGCGACAAATGTCACATACACACACACACCCTAAAACAGAATGCAACACTTTAAGGCAACGAAAAGAAACGTTTGTTTGCTTTGGGAGTATGATTTCTAAACCATGGATCCGTTTAAATTTTTGATGAGATAATTCTTTGTTGGGAGTTGAGGGGTTGAGGAAGGCAGGAAGTTTACTACATGCCTGGTCTCTACTCACTAGATGTCCATAACTAACAAGCCCCCACCAGCCACGCTAATCAAAAATGTCTCTGGATACTGCCAGTTGCCCTTTGATAGCAAAATCACCCCTTTGGAGAACTACTTTATACAGTGTTGGGAGTGTACTTTTCCTTTTTTTAAAATTATATTAGGATAGCAATAAGCCAGGAAATGTATAGAATCAACATGCAGCTTATAAAAGTATTACATTCATGTTCTCATACATTAACATTCTTTGCATACAAAGATACTAATGGTATGCTCATAAATACAGTGGCAATATGTACTGTGGGAATGACAGATAAAGCTGGAATTATTTAACTTATCTATTTGCTTTTTAATAAGAAGTGTGATGGAAAGATTTACTGCCTCTCTTAAAATTCATTAGGAAAAGCTTCCAGAAGGCAGAATAATAATTTTTTTTTGTGCAGCAATAATATACAATAAGACAATCATAAGACAGCAGATTTCCCCTGACTTGGCCCACTATGTACAAAGGTAACACGTTCAGTCATTGCAGCGCAAAGCACTTGGAGAAACAAACAAACAAGAGCAAGCCACTGAAATTTTGCGATGGAGGAAGCCCTCTATTAGATCACAAAAGTCAGTATCAGCAGCTTATATTTAGCAAATTGTTCAGAACAGTGCTTGTGACTTCATATCAGTACAAACTAGAGATAACCTTTCACTATAATAAAGAAGCAATTAGATCATCACTCCTGAAATACACATATGAAATTAAGATTAATGTCCATATTTTAAATTCCTTTAATACATCTCTATTTTTCCCTTGACTCAGAATTCAAATTATTTTACCATGAGAGGAAATACTTCAGGACAATTTACACTCTTGTGATTGATAACTAAGGTCTTCTGAAATCCCCCATTGGAAATTGACTTATTCCTTACCAAGTAAATAGGGTGCTGAGAAATGTATTTTACCCTTTTACTCAAGATGATCATGTTTACCCTCAGCAATTTCCAAATAAGAACTTACTCATCTTGGCCGGGCGCGGTGGCTCACGCCTGTAATCCCAGCACTTTGGGAGGCCAAGGTGGGCGGATCACGAGGTCAGGAGATCGAGACCATCCTGGCTAACACGGTGAAACCCCGTCTCTACTAAAAATACAAAAAATTAGCCGGGTGTGGTGGCAGGTGCCTGTAGTCCCAGCTACTCGGGAAGCTGAGGCAGGAGAATGGCATGAACCTGGGAGGTGGAGCTTGCAGTGAGCCAAGGTCGCGCCACTGCACTCCAGCCTGGGTGACAGAGCAAGACTCCATCTCAAAAAAACATAAAAATAAAAACAAAAAAATACTATGCTCCTATGCTGTTGTCATAGTTGCCATCTCAATATACCGAGAGTAGAAGTGTCCACATCATTTTTTTCGTAGAGTAGCCTTTTTAGTAAGTTATTTTCCATTTAAGTCTTCATAATGATCTTAAAGTTGCTACATGGGAAAGAGTTCAATGTTCCAACTTTATTTTTCTTCTAATTCCTGATAATATTCTATTAATAAAAATAATTTAAAGAGCATTTCAAACTTCCACCTCCAGTCACACACACACACAATTACAATTTGATAGTCTGTTTTCCCTTCTCAACTCTTTTGCTTGTATATACTAATTTAAATACCAAATTCACAGACTAAAGAATTAATGGTATGCATTAATAAATGTATTAATTATTCACTCCTTCATGAAAAACTAAGACTATTTCTTTTACTCTTAAAAGCATAGATAGCCTTAAATAGAATGGATTTATATCAAAGGGGATTCCCTAACATGTGACATGACACTTTACTCTGGCTGTTTTTAGAATTTCCTTTTTGTCTTTGAATTTTGACAGTTTGACTATAATGTGACTCAGACTGTACCTTTTTGGGTTGAATCTGTTTGGGAATCTTGAGTTTCCTGTTCCTGAATGTTTATATCTCTCTAAGACTTAGAAAAATTTCAACTATTATTTTATTAAATAGGTTTTTGATATAGTTTGGATATGTGTCCCCACCCAAATCTCATGGCAAATAGTAATCCCTGATAAAAGAAAAACTTTAGCTGAATTAAATTTAAAGGAGTTTAATTGAACAATGAATGATTCACAAATTAGGCAGCCCCAGAATCACAGCAGATTCACAGACTCCAGTGCAGCCACGTGCTGGAAAAAGATTTACAGACACAAAAAGGGAAAGGACATACAAAAATTGGAAATGAGGTACAGAATGGCTGGACCGGTTACAGGGTGGCATTTACCTGATTTGAACACAGTTTGAGCACTTAAAAGTGTATGAATGGTTGAAGTACGGCCACTCGGAATGGCCAAGACTCGGCTATTGTTACAGGTGCATACTCCTCAGTTAAGTTTTCAATTTTGTCTACCTATTAAGTGAGATTGCCGTTCGTCCACAAGGACTCAACTATAGAAGTAGAGAGTCCTTCTCAGGCCATAGTTTACTTTAACATCCCCAGTGTTGGAGGCTGGGCCTCATGGGACGTTACTGGATCATGAGGGTGAATTTCTCATGAATGGTTTAGCACTATCCCCTTAATGCTGTTGTCATAATAGTGAGTAAGTCCTCATGAGATCTGATTATTTAAAAGTGCGGACCAACTCCTCCCTTGCTCTCTCTCTGTCTCCTGATCTGGCCTGTAATGTGTCTGCTCCCCCTTCACCTTCCACCATGATTGTAAGTTTTCTGAGGCCTCTCCAGAAACTGAGCAGATGCTACTATGTTTCCCATACAGCATCTGGAACCATGAGCCAATTAAACTTCTTGTCTTTGCAAATTACCCAGTTTCAGGTATTTCTTTATAGCCACGTGAATATGAACTAATACAGTTTTCTACACATTTTTTCATCTCTTCTTTTTCTGGATCACCCAAAATGCAAATATTTGTTTGCTTAATAGTGTCCCATATGTCATGTAGGCTCTTTTTTTTTTTTAATTATTTTCTGCTTTTTTTGTCTGACTGTGCTATTTCTAAGGGCCCATCTTCAAGATCAAAAATTATTTCTTCTGCTTGATCTAGGCTGCTGTTGAAATTCTCAATTTTATTTTTTATTCCATTCTTTGAATTCTTCAGTTCCAAGAATTCTGATTGGTTATACTCTCTTTCTCTCTCATACACATATATATACACATACACACACACACACACATATATATACACATATATACATATATATACACATATACACACATATATATACACATATATAGTGTGTGTGTGAATATATCTATCTATATATATATATCTTTGTTGAATTTCTCAAATTATAAATTGTTTTTCTATTGTCACTGAATTGTCTATCTGTGTTCTCTTGAATCTTGCTAAGTTTTTTAAGATCATTATTTTACATTCTTTTTTATACATCTTATAATTTTATTTTCTTTAGGGACTATCATTGAGAAATTATTAGGTTGCTTTGGAATTGTCATGTTCTTTTGCTTGTTCAAGTTTCTTATAACCCTACATTGACACCTATGCATCTGATGTAATAGTCATTTCTTCCAGTTTCATGAGGTAGGTTTTTTAGGGAAAGATTTTTTCCTGTATATGTGTTTCATGGTGTCTGTTAGGTAGGATGTTTTTGCTTTGGTTCTGGGTAGACAAAGTAATGTGGTATCCATAGAATTTTTTCAGCTATAGTCAATGTCAATAATGTTTGTTAATGCCTCACAGTGGCCTAAGCTCTGGTTTTTTGGTGAGGGTTGTGGCCCAGCTTTGCTGGGGATGGGAATGCCAAGTAGGCTGATCCTCAGGCTCCTGAGTGGCATGTGTATGTGCTGGTGGTGGCAGTGCAGGCCCAGGGTAGGTTGGTCCTCAGGCTCCCGGGTGTCACATGAGGATGCAGGGCAGTCCAACTGCTGGAGGGGCAGGTTCACTGGCAGTGTCGGCAGCAGGCCCTGAAGCCACTGTTTGGTTCATGCACATGCTGGTGGTGCAATGGAATGCCCAGGCATCCAACTTCTTGTGCCCCTGGGTGGTGTGCATGTGCACTGGCGGTGTGGCAACAGGCCCTGAGAAGCTGGTCCTTGAGCCTCTGGGTAGTGTGTGTGGGCATGCAATGTTCCTGCCACTGGAGGTGGCAGGTTTGCAGGCAACGGTGGTGGAGAACTCCAGGTAAGTTGATCTTTAGGTCACTGGGTGACATATGTGAATACTGGTGGTGGCAGTGGTGGGCCCAGATAAGCCAGTCCTTGGACCTTCAACCACACACACAGTTGTGTAGTAGGTCTGCCACTGGAGGGTGGGGCCTTGGTGGCTGGCAATGGTGAGCTCTGGGCAGGCAGCTCTCAGGCTCTGGGGAGCCAGGTGTTGGCTCCCTCTATACTTGGGGCAGCCTCCCTGCTGTGCTGGACCACCTATTTCCCTAGGTGTAGAGTGCCGTGGAGACTCAAGTGTTGTTGTAGATGTACCTCTACGTCCAGCTGGTTTCACAAGGCCGCAGCCTTCCGTGTAGATGTGAAGGAATGCTGGTAGGGCCCCAAAAATATGGAGATGAAGGAGATATTGGGCCCAGGGTAGGATGCACTCTGGTGGTGCTTCTGTTCCCAAAATTCAGACGTGCTACAGCAGCCTGGATCCTGGGTGTAGGAAGGCCTATCATGAATTTCTTCTCTGAAGAAATGCAGTTGCATGAACTTCAAGCAGCTCCCTGCACTGGTCCCAGGGCCATGAGCATTGAGGGTCTCACCCATAACTAGGATTGCTTGTCTCTGTGGCAGGAACTGGGTTTCTGTGAATCTCCTGCTTATCTTTTCCCTGTGATGGGGAATCCCTCAACTATGCTGCCATTTTGAATTTTTGTGCCTCAGGGAGTCTTGTCACTTCCTTGCTGAATTTCAGTGTTCTCCCCTAGACACTCAATTCAACCTGTGGTTTTCTGTTTCTTCTTTTGGTCTTTGCGGAGAAGGAGATGCACGCAGGGTGCCTCTAGTCAGTCATCTAGATCTTAGAAATAATTTTTTAAATTTTACCAAATTAGATAAACCAGAAGTGAACTGGAAATTATAATGTGTCAAAAACAGCAGCCATAATGGGGTCACCCTTTAATAAATTTTTATCTAACCTAGTACCTATGAATGAGAACCATTAACACTGCCATGATAATTCAGGTCTGGGAAGACACAGCTGTTGGTTTGAAATTTTAAGAAAAGTTTCATGGAGGTAATTGGACCTTAAAGAATCATAGGGATTTCAAAGTATCAAGAAAAGATGTTACGAAAGTCTTGGAAAGTGGCAGGTAAGAAGGAAATAATGAAATTTTAAAATCATACCAGGGCCATTCAGAGGGCAGATGAGGGGAGGAGGGAGAGGATTAGGAAAAAATAACTAATGGGTACTAGGCTTAAAACCTGGGTGATGAAATAATCTGTACAGCAAACCCCCATGACACAAGTTTACCTATGTAACAAACCTGCACTTGTACCCCTAAACTTGAAATAAAAGTTAAACTATAAAGCAAATACATTCACAGAAACTAAAAAAAAAAAAAGCCTGTGTTCTACTTGAGAAGATATTAACTAGACTTTAATTTTTGGCTTCTTTTATAACCTGTTCACGATAAGAGGAAAACTTGTTAAAATTAAATCTTCTAAGCATAGGACTTGCAGATGTGGAAAAAATGTAATAGAAAGATATTTTCAATTCCTTCTTGGCTAAATGTACATACTTGTAGCCAATATTCAAGAAAGAGGAGGAAAGAAAAAAAAATTGTTTTCTTATGCCTTAGAGTAAAAAGAATTATCTCAATGTTCTCTCTTCCAACAAGTGGTGACCTGGCAGTATAGAAAGGTGCCTCCTGGTAGAACACATTCTGCAAGACTTTTGTACTTACATAAAATGAAAAAGAAAGTCTATGGTTTAGCGACTAATGTTTATATGAATCCAGATTTTATGATGCCACATGAATTACTGCTGAGATGACAATAGAACTCAACCTATGTAAATACATTTTACCCCAGTCCTCTGAAACAGAAATTTGTCTCAAATTAACACACTGACTTTGTTATCTGCGAAGATCCATCATCTTTGAATTAGATGTTATCATGGCTAACTAGGGAACTGAATTCAAAATAACGTCATTTCTGAAGCAGAAAAAAGAAATAATAGAGACCTATGTTCGTTTCCACTACACCGTGTCATCTACAAACAATGGAAAACAGCCCACAAACTTGAATTTAAAATAACTTTTTAAAAAAATATACAGGTAACTAGTCAAGAGAGAACAATACCAGACAGGCCAGGAGTGTTAAAAAAAAAACAAAACAAAAACAAGAAAATTACTCTTTTGGAAAATGTAACACCTAGAAAATAGATCTTATAAAATAAAAGACACAAGAAATAAAAACCTAACTAGACTAAATCTATACAAGAAATAAAAGCCTAACCAACAGTATGGTGGCTCCAATTGGAAAGATCATATGTCGCCTTTCTACAGATTTTAAAAGCAGAAATTTCAGGGAATGTAGGTTGGGAAGAAAAGGATTCAGTACTCGTCACAGCAATTAGACATAGATCAGATTAATATTAAAGTAGCATTCCCCAAAAAATTTGTGGTTTGACTTACCAATTAATTGTAACTTTTCAAGATATTCTACCCAAATATAGTATTTTAAATTATAACTCTGATGGATTAATATGATTTAAGATGGATTAACATGATTTAAGAATTATTCAATAACCCTTACTATGTGCAAGTTATTGATAAAACTATTAATTGTTTAGAACTTGTTACTCAAAATTGCCACTATGTATAACATTTTTATTTTCATTTATAAAAACTGACTTAAGTCAAAGCGATTAATTATTTTCTACAATGACCTGTGTTAGCGAAGTATATTTAGGTTATTATCAAATAACCTAAATATAGTGTAACCTGAATCAAGTGTAACTAGTTTAAGGTTAAAATAAAAAATAAGAGTATCTTTGGGAGTCCAGAACTAGAATGTTGCAAAATGGAACTAAGCAATAGAAACATTAAGGAGGTGAGGGAGACATTTGTTATTTTTCTGGACTTGTTTCTCATTTTCACTTTTTTACAGATAGGCATTTTTTGCTGCTATTAAATTGAGATGAGACGCCATACCATCTCAGAATTGGGACACGGCAACCTCAGGAACCCTTCCTCGCCTCTCTTCTGATAGCAGCCCAGGCTGGAGATAACCTCAGAGCCCTCATTTCAAGCTTCACAGGGAGTAGGTCTCTACCAGCTCCACTTTTGTCAAGTGCTACTTTCATCCAATCAACTATGTTCTACTTTGGATGGGGAGACATACTCCAATGGGTAACAGGAACAGAAAAAAAAAAAAAAAAAGCTATTTGTAGCTAAGCAAACATCACCAATAGTGTCTCTTTTTTTTCAAGTTGAAAAAAAAATAAGACTCAGGCATTTATATAATTGGTCAAGACCCCACAGTTGGTAGCAGAGTTAATTTTAGTCTAATATTCTTACTATTACAGCTCCAACTTCAAGATGCCTGTTTATTAGTGAAAGAAATATGTAAAATCATACCTAACCTAAGATAAATTGTTGCTCCTGCTTTCTTTTGTCCAAAAAGTTGATATCTTAATATTGTACAAATTTACTTATTATATCAGAAAGATTTAGCTCTTTTTCCCTCCCTTTCCCACTCGTGTCTGTGTGTGTGTGTGTGTGTGTGTGTGTGTGTGTGTGTGTGTGTGTGTGTGTTATGGTTGAAGAGGAAGAATGTGGCTGTTTTGAAATATTTATCATTGAAATAATATTTATCACGGCATTATCAGCAGGTGACCTGTTAGGTGTTCTTATCACCAAAGTACAATTCAATTTCCTTTAGACTTTAATGCAAATGTGGAGTTTCTATCCTCAAAATGGTATTTCAAACATATATTTGGATATCTTACTACTTATTTAAAAAAAGATGAAAAGACAAATTCCTTGACAGCACAATTTAAAATTCTAAATCCTAAGGACATGATCCTGAAGCTCCCTACTAAAAAAAAATTTTCCTAGGGATTTTACAGTATTTGGTAAATCCTCTTTGCCTTTTAACATGGTGCATGAGTCTACATTTCTTAGCAATTCTGCTTCTACGGATATTGGGGATTTAAGAATGTAAACATAGGAATGGACAATAAGTATAGTTTGTTAAAATATCCAGATCTTGAAAGGTAATTTTGAAGGATTATTCTGCCAATTAGTAAGTATTTCTGAAATGACACAGCAGACAGGAGATAATTCATTGAAATGTCATCCATCCACCCTTTCCCCTTGTGTCACGAGGTGTTTAAATAACTTTGTGAAGGAAGGAGGAAACAGCTGTGCTAAAATTGTGGATTTTATGTCTTTCACTGTTGTGTGTGAAGCTGCCAAAATGAAAGTGTTAATGAAATTAAGACTATGTGAGATTAGAGTATGCAAACGAGCTCATTCTTTGGGTGGGGGCTCCAATGTGCTCTTTTTCTTTCTCACTGTTCACACTGAATACTGAGGGCTAATATGACAAGAACTGTATTTTTTAGCTTAACTCCTAAATCTGGAGTCATGATTGAGCAAAACTAATAGAATAATTCAGTATAGAGTCTGGCCAGTAGCTTATTTTCCCTATGGCTATTCTACTCATTGAATATAAATCGAAAGCATGTAAAACACTTTCAGTGTATTTGGGTGGGTGGGGTACAATTTAGTACAGGGACAGGAGAATAGTTTCTAAGTAAAATAATAGATCTCAAGATACTCTAGGGTTTTAAGATCAGAACCACAAAACTAGACACATAAGATACATACATACATATATCCATATATACATACATACATAGAAAATGAATCAATGGAGAGGTTTATAATGATCACTATAAAATGAGAGTATAAGAAAAGTGAGGTCCCAATCTCAATAGAAACAAGTTTAGCTTCCTGGAATCTTAAATCGCATCTCCAAAAACAACATTCAACACCCAGTGAAACAAACATATTAGCCAATCTTCAGTGCGAATACACAAACAAAAATAAAAGCATTTAATTTAGAAACTATTTAGAGAAGGCATCAGCAAATTTTAGACTAATATCCAGTGGTTACAGGATTATAGACTTTTAGCACCAATAAAAAGCTTAGAATTTAAGCCACCACATCATTGAAGATGGGGGAACCATAATTCAAAGAATTCGATTTACTTAAACAAGATCATACAGCTGCTGAATGACAAAGCAAAATTTATATCTTATGTCTATTCTATTTCCAGTGTTGTTTCTATAAAACTGGTTGATGTTTGATGTCTGGCACTACACTTTCCACTACAAGAAAGGCAATACTTCAAGGAGAAAATATATCATATATCTTTTACTACTGAGATTTAACAGACATGGAGGAAAGGTGATTTTTGTTATCAAATTTACAATGTATTTGGGTATATAAAGAAAACAAAATAAGTACTGGTAGGATCCAGAAAAATGAGTATCATAAATCTGTAGCTACATTATAATTTGTTTAACATTATTTTGTTTGCCTTACTTTCTAGTTATAATCAGTGTTTAGAACTGAAATACTAATCTAGTAGCTAGGTGTGGTTGAGTGAGTAATTCAAAGAAGAAATAGAGAGAATACTATAATGATGTCAATGCTTACAATTGACCAAAAGAAAAATGAAAAAAAAATTAGCCTGCTAGAAGAAGTTGATCTGGAATTCATCCCACAAAAACTAACATGCATTTATCCTCTTCATTCCTTCTTCCTTTTAACACTTAGAAAATATTGCAAAAAAATACATATACAATAATTATCTAAAGAAAGACATTGGGATTACTGCCTAAGAAAATGACCAAAAGTACATTTGCAAACATAAATCAACAGAAGGCTTGTAAAAACACAAAAGAAGGACTGCATTCTTGGGCATCAAACCAGAGGGGTGTTGGTTGCTTCAGAAACTATTTCTCCATTGTGTCTTTTAAATTACCAATGACCCCGGCCATACACTTTTCAAACATCAATAACTAAATGCACATGTTAATGTAATCTTGAAACACGAGAAACGAAATCAGGCAGTTTGATATACAACATACCTTATCTATGCGAAGCAAAAACAGAAAGGGTAGATTTTTAAAAAAAAAACTAGCAACCATTAAGTATATACTATATGTCAGACATTTAGTCCTCAAAACACCAACTATAATATCCACTTCACAGAGAAAGCTCAGAGAGCTTGCGGGTTTTCTTTCCCCTAGAGTTCATATAGCAGAAAGTTGATGTCAAGATTCAAACCTAGGTTCACTTGAGTCCAAAGTATAAGGTCTTTTCAGTATACTTTTTTGTGAAATGATAGATAAATTTCTGGTCTCTCTCTGTCTTTTCTTGCAGGCTTGAAATGACATGGTGATATTTTGAAAAGAAGTTATTTTATTCACTCTAGGTAAATTCACAGTTAATAAGATTTCCTTACCAGAATGATGGAATTAGGAAGCTAACAAATCATTTCCTCAAACAAATGTGAACCATAAAGCTGAACAAAACTGTCAATCATTTCAGATTGCTAAAAATCTGGAAATCAAGCAAAGCTGTATATTAATGTAAGAAGCATTCATGCTTGAGTTCTACTATATTTGGGTAAGACTGGCGTGAGCCTGTGGTGCTCTTGCCCAGGACTGCTCCCATGCCCCTACTATCTCTGTCCATGATATTCCAACTAGGGAGGGACAGGCTGTGAAAACCAGCAGTGTCCCTGTTCTGCCAGTAAGGGCACACAGGATTTAGAGCACTTAATTATTAAAGGTGTGTGATGGTTAATATTACATGTGAAGTTGACTGGGTCATGGGGTGCCCAGATAGTTGGTTAAACATTATCTCTTGGTGTGTCTTGAGGACATTTTCAGAAGAGATTAGCATTTAAATCATTAGACTGAGTAAAGCAGAGTCCTCTTTAATGTGAGTGGGCATCATCCAAGCTGGTGAGGGCTTGAATACAACAGAAGGTGGAGAAAGAGAGAATTTCTTTTCTGCCTGATTGCTTCAGCTAAGTCTTTAGTCTTCTACCCTCAGACTGGGATTGACATCATTGCTGCTCCTTGTTCTCAGGCCTTTGGGTATGAACTGGAACTACACAGATCCTGGAACTCCTCAGCCTCTGAAGTCTGGTAAAACACTCCTTACAATAAAGCTCTCTCTCTTCCTTTCTGTCTCTGTCCCTGTTTCTCTATCTCCATATATATACAGATGGATACACAGATAGATAGATATGTGGAGATATATAGAGTAAGTCCTCACTTAATGTTGACAGGTTCTTGGAAACTGCTACTTTAAGTGAAACAATATGACAACACCAGTTTCTCATTTACATTATAACTAAAAAACATTGAAAAAATGAAGTTCTTTGAGAATCTGCTATATGTATTCAAGGACCACTATATATATAAAATGTATATCTATATATATGTCACATGTATATACTGTGGTACATATATATCTCACACACACACACATATATATACTGTGATATATATGTATATTTATATATATGTGCAGGTGTGTAGGTGTGGTATGTGTGAGATATACATTTAGTCATGCACTGCATAATGATGTTTTGGCTAACAACAAACTGCATATACTATGGTGGTCTCATAAGATTATAATGGAGCTGAATAATTCCTATTGCCTAGTGACTGTAGCTATCATAACATCACAGAGTTACACATTACTCATGTTTTTGGTGATGCTGGTATAAACAAACCCACTGTGCTGACAATCCTAAATAGTACAGCACATACAACTATCTACAGTACATAATACTTGATAATGATCATAAACAACTATGTTACTGGTTTATGTATTTACTATATTAAACTTTCAATCATTATTTTAGAGTATACTCCCTCTACTTATTAGAAAAAAAAGTTAACTGTAAAACAGCCTCAGGGAGATCCTTCGGGGGATGTTCCAGAAGAAGGCATTGTTATTATAGGAGATGACAGCTCCATGCACGTTATTGTTCCAAAAGATCTTCCAGTGGCACAAGATGTGACAGTGAAAGACAGTGATATTGATGATTCTGACACTGTGTAGACTTAGGCTAATGTGTGTATTTGTATCTTAGTTTTAAACAAAAAACTTTGAGAAGTAAAAAAAAATAAAAAAAGTTCATAGTACACAAAATCTTTTTTTTTTTTTTTTTTTTTTTTTTTAATTTAAAACTTTTTTTTTTTTTTTTTTTTTTTTTTATTATACTCTAAGTTTTAGGGTACATGTGCACATTGTGCAGGTTAGTTACATATGTATACATGTGCCATGCTGGTGCGCTGCACCCACTAATGTGTCATCTAGCATTAGGTATATCTCCCAATGCTATCCCTCCCCCCTCCCCCGACCCCACCACAGTCCCCAGAGTGTGATATTCCCCTTCCTGTGTCCATGTGATCTCATTGTTCAATTCCCACCTATGAGTGAGAATATGCGGTGTTTGGTTTTTTGTTCTTGCGATAGTTTACTGAGAATGATGGTTTCCAATTTCATCCATGTCCCTACAAAGGATATGAACTCATCATTTTTTATGGCTGCATAGTATTCCATGGTGTATATGTGCCACATTTTCTTAATCCAGTCTATCATTGTTGGACATTTGGGTTGGTTCCAAGTCTTTGCTATTGTGAATAGTGCCGCAATAAACATACGTGTGCATGTGTCTTTATAGCAGCATGATTTATACTCATTTGGGTATATACCCAGTAATGGGATGGCTGGGTCAAATGGTATTTCTAGTTCTAGATCCCTGAGGAATCGCCACACTGACTTCCACAATGGTTGAACTAGTTTACAGTCCCACCAACAGTGTAAAAGTGTTCCTATTTCTCCGCATCCTCTCCAGCACCTGTTGTTTCCTGACTTTTTAATGATTGCCATTCTAACTGGTGTGAGATGATATCTCATAGTGGTTTTGATTTGCATTTCTCTGATGGCCAGTGATGATGAGCATTTCTTCATGTGTTTTTTGGCTGCATAAATGTCTTCTTTTGAGAAGTGTCTGTTCATGTCCTTCGCCCACTTTTTGATGGGGTTGTTTGTTTTTTTCTTGTAAATTTGTTTGAGTTCATTGTAGATTCTGGATATTAGCCCTTTGTCAGATGAGTAGGTTGCAAAAATTTTCTCCCATGTTGTAGGTTGCCTGTTCACTCTGATGGTAGTTTCTTTTGCTGTGCAGAAGCTCTTTAGTTTAATTAGATCCCATTTGTCAATTTTGTCTTTTGTTGCCATTGCTTTTGGTGTTTTGGACATGAAGTCCTTGCCCACGCCTATGTCCTGAATGGTAATGCCTAGGTTTTCTTCTAGGGTTTTTATGGTTTTAGGTTTAACGTTTAAATCTTTAATCCATCTTGAATTGATTTTTGTATAAGGTGTAAGGAAGGGATCCAGTTTCAGCTTTCTACATATGGCTAGCCAGTTTTCCCAGCACCATTTATTAAATAGGGAATCCTTTCCCCATTGCTTGTTTTTCTCAGGTTTGTCAAAGATCAGATAGTTGTAGATATGCGGCATTATTTCTGAGGGCTCTGTTCTGTTCCATTGATCTATATCTCTGTTTTGGTACCAGTACCATGCTGTTTTGGTTACTGTAGCCTTGTAGTATAGTTTGAAGTCAGGTAGTGTGATGCCTCCAGCTTTGTTCTTTTGGCTTAGGATTGACTTGGCAATGCGGGCTCTTTTTTGGTTCCATATGAACTTTAAAGTAGTTTTTTCCAATTCTGTGAAGAAAGTCATTGGTAGCTTGATGGGGATGGCATTGAATCTGTAAATTACCTTGGGCAGTATGGCCATTTTCACGATATTGATTCTTCCTACCCATGAGCATGGAATGTTCTTCCATTTGTTTGTCTCCTCTTTTATTTCCTTGAGCAGTGGTTTGTAGTTCTCCTTGAAGAGGTCCTTCACATCCCTTGTAAGTTGGATTCCTAGGTATTTTATTCTCTTTGAAGCAATTGTGAATGGGAGTTCACCCATGATTTGGCTCTCTGTTTGTCTGTTGTTGGTGTATAAGAATGCTTGTGATTTTTGTACATTGATTTTGTATCCTGAGACTTTGCTGAAGTTGCTTATCAGCTTAAGGAGATTTTGGGCTGAGACGATGGGGTTTTCTAGATAAACAATCATGTCGTCTGCAAACAGGGACAATTTGACTTCCTCTTTTCCTAATTGAATACCCTTTATTTCCTTCTCCTGCCTGATTGCCCTGGCCAGAACTTCCAACACTATGTTGAATAGGAGCGGTGAGAGAGGGCATCCCTGTCTTGTGCCGGTTTTCAAAGGGAATGCTTCCAGTTTTTGCCCATTCAGTATGATATTGGCTGTGGGTTTGTCATAGATAGCTCTTATTATTTTGAAATACGTCCCATCAATACCTAATTTATTGAGAGTTTTTAGCATGAAGGGTTGTTGAATTTTGTCAAAGGCTTTTTCTGCATCTATTGAGATAATCATGTGGTTTTTGTCTTTGGCTCTGTTTATATGCTGGATTACATTTATTGATTTGCGTATATTGAACCAGCCTTGCATCCCAGGGATGAAGCCCACTTGATCATGGTGGATAAGCTTTTTGATGTGCTGCTGGATTCGGTTTGCCAGTATTTTATTGAGGATTTTTGCATCAATGTTCATCAAGGATATTGGTCTAAAATTCTCTTTTTTGGTTGTGTCTCTGCCCGGCTTTGGTATCAGAATGATGCTGGCCTCATAAAATGAGTTAGGGAGGATTCCCTCTTTTTCTATTGATTGGAATAGTTTCAGAAGGAATGGTACCAGTTCCTCCTTGTACCTCTGCTAGAATTCGGCTGTGAATCCATCTGGTCCTGGACTCTTTTTGGTTGGTAAACTATTGATTATTGCCACAATTTCAGAGCCTGTTATTGGTCGATTCAGAGATTCAACTTCTTCCTGGTTTAGTCTTGGGAGAGTGTATGTGTCGAGGAATGTATCCATTTCTTCTAGATTTTCTAGTTTATTTGCGTAGAGGTGTTTGTAGTATTCTCTGATGGTAGTTTGTATTTCTGTGGGATCGGTGGTGATATCCCCTTTATCATTTTTTATTGTGTCTATTTGATTCTTCTCTCTTTTTTTCTTTATTAGTCTTGCTAGCGGTCTATCAATTTTGTTGATCCTTTCAAAAAACCAGCTCCTGGATTCATTGATTTTTTGAAGGGTTTTTTGTGTCTCTATTTCCTTCAGTTCTGCTCTGATTTTAGTTATTTCTTGCCTTCTGCTAGCTTTTGAATGTGTTTGCTCTTGCTTTTCTAGTTCTTTTAATTGTGATGTTAGGGTGTCAATTTTGGATCTTTCCTGCTTTCTCTTGTAGGCATTTAGTGCTATAAATTTCCCTCTACACACTGCTTTGAATGCGTCCCAGAGATTCTGGTATGTGGTGTCTTTGTTCTCGTTGGTTTCAAAGAACATCTTTATTTCTGCCTTCATTTCGTTATGTACCCAGTAGTCATTCAGGAGCAGGTTGTTCAGTTTCCATGTAGTTGAGCGGCTTTGAGTGAGATTCTTAATCCTGAGTTCTAGTTTGATTGCACTGTGGTCTGAGAGATAGTTTGTTATAATTTCTGTTCTTTTACATTTGCTGAGGAGAGCTTTACTTCCAACTATGTGGTCAATTTTGGAATAGGTGTGGTGTGGTGCTGAAAAAAATGTATATTCTGTTGATTTGGGGTGGAGAGTTCTGTAGATGTCTATTAGGTCTGCTTGGTGCAGAGCTGAGTTCAATTCCTGGGTATCCTTGTTGACTTTCTGTCTCGTTGATCTGTCTAATGTTGACAGTGGGGTGTTAAAGTCTCCCATTATTAATGTGTGGGAGTCTAAGTCTCTTTGTAGGTCACTGAGGACTTGCTTTATGAATCTGGGTGCTCCTGTATTGGGTGCATAAATATTTAGGATAGTTAGCTCCTCTTGTTGAATTGATCCCTTTACCATTATGTAATGGCCTTCTTTGTCTCTTTTGATCTTTGTTGGTTTAAAGTCTGTTTTATCAGAGACTAGGATTGCAACCCCTGCCTTTTTTTGTTTTCCATTGGCTTGGTAGATCTTCCTCCATCCTTTTATTTTGAGCCTATGTGTGTCTCTGCACGTGAGATGGGTTTCCTGAATACAGCACACTGATGGGTCTTGACTCTTTATCCAACTTGCCAGTCTGTGTCTTTTAATTGCAGAATTTAGTCCATTTATATTTAAAGTTAATATTGTTATGTGTGAAGTTGATCCTGTCATTATGATGTTAGCTGGTGATTTTGCTCATTAGTTGATGCAGTTTCTTCCTAGTCTTGATGGTCTTTACATTTTGGCATGATTTTGCAGCGGCTGGTACCGGTTGTTCCTTTCCATGTTTAGCGCTTCCTTCAGGAGCTCTTTTAGGGCAGGCCTGGTGGTGACAAAATCTCTCAACATTTGCTTGTCTATAAAGTATTTTATTTCTCCTTCACTTATGAAGCTTAGTTTGGCTGGATATGAAATTCTGGGTTGAAAATTCTTTTCTTTAAGAATGTTGAATATTGGCCCCCACTCTCTTCTGGCTTGTAGGGTTTCTGCCGAGAGATCCGCTGTTAGTCTGATGGGCTTTCCTTTGAGGGTAACCCGACCTTTCTCTCTGGCTGCCCTTAACATTTTTTCCTTCATTTCAACTTTGGTGAATCTGACAATTATGTGTCTTGGAGTTGCTCTTCTCGAGGAGTATCTTTGTGGCGTTCTCTGTATTTCCTGAATCTGAACGTTGGCCTGCCTTGCTAGATTGGGGAAGTTCTCCTGGATAATATCCTGCAGAGTGTTTTCCAACTTGGTTCCATTCTCCACATCACTTTCAGGTACACCAATCAGACGTAGATTTGGTCTTTTCACATAGTCCCATATTTCTTGGAGGCTTTGCTCATTTCTTTTTATTCTTTTTTCTCTAAACTTCCCTTCTCGCTTCATTTCATTCATTTCATCTTCCATTGCTGATACCCTTTCTTCCAGTTGATCGCATCGGCTCCTGAGGCTTCTGCATTCTTCACGTAGTTCTCGAGCCTTGGTTTTCAGCTCCATCAGCTCCTTTAAGCACTTCTCTGTATTGGTTATTCTAGTTATACATTCTTCTAAATTTTTTTCAAAGTTTTCAACTTCTTTGCCTTTGGTTTGAATGTCCTCCCGTAGCTCAGAGTAATTTGATCGTCTGAAGCCTTCTTCTCTCAGCTCATCAAAATCATTCTCCATCCAGCTTTGTTCTGTTGCTGGTGAGGAACTGCGTTCCTTTGGAGGAGGAGAGGCGCTCTGCGTTTTAGAGTTTCCAGTTTTTCTGTTCTGTTTTTTCCCCATCTTTGTGGTTTTATCTACTTTTGGTCTTTGATGATGGTGATGTACAGATGGGTTTTCGGTGTAGATGTCCTTTCTGGTTGTTAGTTTTCCTTCTAACAGACAGGACCCTCAGCTGCAGGTCTGTTGGAATACCCTGCCGTGTGAGGTGTCAGTGTGCCCCTGCTGGGGGGTGCCTCCCAGTTAGGCTGCTCGGGGGTCAGGGGTCAGGGACCCACTTGAGGAGGCAGTCTGCCCGTTCTCAGATCTCCAGCTGCGTGCTGGGAGAACCACTGCTCTCTTCAAAGCTGTCAGACAGGGACACTTAAGTCTGCAGAGGTTACTGCTGTCTTTTTGTTTGTCTGTGCCCTGCCCCCAGAGGTGGAGCCTACAGAGGCAGGCAGGCCTCCTTGAGCTGTGGTGGGCTCCACCCAGTTCGAGCTTCCCTGCTGCTTTGTTTACCTAAGCAAGCCTGGGCAATGGCGGGCGCCCCTCCCCCAGCCTCGTTGCCGCCTTGCAGTTTGATCTCAGACTGCTGTGCTAGCAATCAGCGAGATTCCGTGGGCGTAGGACCCTCCGAGCCAGGTGTGAGATATAGTCTCGTGGTGCGCCGTTTCTTAAGCCGGTCTGAAAAGCGCAATATTCGGGTGGGAGTGACCCGATTTTCCAGGTGCGTCCGTCACCCCTTTCTTTGACTCGGAAAGGGAACTCCCTGACCCCTTGCGCTTCCCAGGTGAGGCAATGCCTCGCCCTGCTTCGGCTCGCGCACGGTGCGCACACACACTGGCCTGCGCCCACTGTCTGGCACTCCCTAGTGAGATGAACCCGGTACCTCAGATGGAAATGCAGAAATCACCGTCTTCTGCGTCGCTCACGCTGGGAGCTGTAGACCGGAGCTGTTCCTATTCGGCCATCTTGGCTCCTCCCCCCACAAAATCTTGTAGAATAACAATATATGGAAAGAAAATATTTTTGTACAGCTGACCATGTGTTTGTGTTTTAAGCTAAGCGTTATTACAAAAGAGTGAAAAAGCTTTAAAAATTAAAACATTGATAAAGTAAAAATAAGTTGCAGTAGTGATATGGCTTGGCTCTGTGTCCCCACCCAAATCTCATCTTGTAGCTTCCATAATTCCCACGTGGTGTGGGAGGGATCCAGTGAAAGGTGATTGAATCATGGGGGCAGGTCTTTCCCATGCTGTTCTCGTGATGGTGAATGGGTCTCATGAAATCTGATGGTTTTAAAAATGGGAGTTTCTCTTCACAAGCTCCTATTTTGCCTGCCACCATCCATGTAAGATGTGACTTGCTCCTCCTTGCCTTCCACCATGATTGTGAGGCCTCTGCAGCCATGTGGAATTGGAAGTCTAATTAAACCTCTTTCTCTTGTAAATTGCCCAGTCTCGGTATGTCTTTATCAGCAGCATGAAAACAGACTATTACAAGTGGCTAATTTATTATTGAGGAAGAAAAATACTCTTAATTTAGTGTTGCCTAAGTGTACAATGTTTGTAATGTCTACAGTACTGTATAGCAATATTGTAGGCCTTCGCATTCACTCACCACCTACTCACTGACTCACACAAAACAACTTCCAGTTTTGTAACCTCCATTTATGTTAAGTGGTCTATACAGGTGTACCATCTTTTATACCATATTTTTACTTTACCTTTTTAATGTTTTGATATGTTTACATATATAAACACTTACCATTGTGTTACAATTGTCTGCAGTATTCAGTACAGTAACGTACTGCATAGGTTTGTAGCCTAGGAGCCATAGACTATACCGTACAGCCTAGATGTGTAATAGGCTATACCATCTAGGTCTGTGTGAGTACGCTCTATGATGTTTGCACAACAAGGGAATCACCTAAACAACACGTTTCTCAGAGTGTGTCCCTGTTGTTAAATGATGCATAATTGTACACACATACATACACACATATATGTGTACATACTATAATGGTTAATTTTATGTGTTAATTTGATGGGGCTAAAGAATGCTCAGATGGCTGGAAAAATGTTACATCTAAGTATCTCTGTGTGCGTGTTTCTAGAAGAGATCAGCATTTGAGTCAGTAAATTGAGTACAGAAGATCTGTTGTCACCAATACTGATGGGCAGCATCTAATCTACTGAGGGCCCAAATAGAACAAAAATGCAGAATAAGGACAAATCCTCTTTCTCTCTCTCCTCTTGAGCTGAGAAATCCATTTCTTCTTTCCTTGGACATTGAACCACCCGGTCCTTGGGCCTTTGGACTCTGGCTTACACCAGTGCTTCCCCCAGTCCCCATTTTTAAAGTCTTTGGACTTGGACTGAATTACAACTCCACCAGATTTCCTCTTTCTTTGGCCTGCAAATGGCATATCATGGGACTTCTTGGCCTGCATAATTGTGTGAACCAATCCCCACAATGAATTCTCTCTGTCTGTGTGTCTATCCATCTAGCTATCTCCTATTGGTTCTGTTTCTCTGAGAACCCTGACTAATGTGAGTGGTTATCTTGGTGGCAAGTGAAAAGGGAGGGCCAGTAGCTCTGCTAGCTTAAATTTGAATAGCTAGACATTAAACAAGGAGCTCCAGTAAGTAAGGCAGACTTAATGGGATTGGTAAATGTTCTGCATAACCAGCTTTAACCAGAAGTTGTGTGCGTGTGCAGTAGAGGCTAGAGTGAACTCAAGCAACTCACATATCCCTGGCTTATGAAGCCAGTGCACATGCTCAGGAGACACACAAGTGAGCTCGATGGAAAGTAAAATGGGCAGACTTCTTAAAACAGCCTGATGTTTGAACGTGCTCTCCAGCCCATACAGAGTCATCAGCAGGCAGTGGAAAGCTTTCCTGGCTTTAGCTGTTTGAATGTAACCTCTAACTAATCTTCAGCAGAACAGTAAACTGTGCAGACACCGGGCCACCCCAGGAAAAAAGGCTTAAACATAAAAACCAGACAAAATAATAACATCAGAAAAAAATTCCAGTAGAAACAGCAGCCATACATTTTGGCAGAGACAGACCTCTCCGATTTAAAAATGAGAAACAAATAAAAGCCAAAAAAACACTAATGAAGGAAAAAAGTAAAAATCAATAGCAAATATTAAAAGAATCAAAAAGCAATATTATACTGCTATATTATCTAAAAATATAATCCTCAATTAAAATTATGTGAAGAAGAAAGTGTGACTCATACTCAGGAAAAAACAAAGCAATCAATGGAAAATGTGTGACTGAACACCCCACCACCACCAACCCACTGATTTTGGATTTAGCAAAGACGTCAAAGGACCTATGTTAAACATATGTTAAAATAACTTTATAGTATGGCTATTTTCATGATATTGATTTTTCCTATCCATGAGCATGGAATGTATTTCCATTTATTTGTGTCCTCTCTGATTTCCTTGAGCAGTGGTTTGTAGTTCTCCTTGAAGAGGTCTTTTATTTCTCTTGTTAGCTCTATTCCTAGGTATTTTATTCTCTTTGTAGCAATTGTGAGTGGGAATTCATTCATGATTTGGCTTTCTGCTTGTCTACTGTTGGTGTATAGAAAAGAAGACATTTATGTGGCCAAAAAACATGAAAAAAGCTCAGTATCACTGATCACTAGAGAAATGCAAATCAAAAGCACAGTGAGATACCATCTCACACCAGTCAGAATGGCAATTATTAAAACATCAAGAAACAACAGATGCTGGTGAGGCTGTGGAAACAGGAACACCTTTACACTTTTGGAGGGAATATAAATCAGTTCAACCATTGTGGAAGACAGTGTGGTGATTTCTGAAAGACCTAAAACCAGAAACACTATTTGACCCAGCAATTCCATTACTGGCTACTCACCCAAAGGAATATAAATCATTCTACTATAAATGAACATGCACGTGTATTTGATTGCAGCACCATTTACAATAGCAAAGACATGGAATCAACCCAAATATCCATCGATGAAGACTGGATAAAGAAAATGTGGTACATATACACCATGGAATACTATGCAGCCATAAAAGGAATGAAGTCATGTCCTTTGCAGGGACATCGATGGAGCTGGAAGCCATTATCCTCAGCAAACTATTGCAGGAACAGAAAAGCAAACACCACATGTTCTCACTTAAAAGTGGGAGCTGAATAATGAGAACGCATGGACACAAGGAGGGGAGCAATGCACACCGGGGCCTGTCAGTGGGTGGGGAGAGGGGTAGGGAGGGTGCCAGGAAAAATAGCTAATACCTAGGTGGGCTTAATACCTAGGTGATGATGGGTTGACAGGTGCAGCAAACCATCATGGCACACATTTACCTGTGTCACAAACCTGCACATCCTGCACATGTATCCTGGAACTTAAAATAAAATAAAACAAAATAAAAATAAATAAAGTAACTCTAAAAAGCATGTTTAAAGAATTAAAGGCAAGTCTAATGATAATGACTCAATGAATAGAAGCTCTTATGAAAGAGATAACAATTACAAAAAGCAAATGGAAATTTTGATGTGAAAAGTAAAAGGAAAAATTCAAAAGAAGCTCCATTAATGATTCATGTGGTCAGGAAAAAAAGAACCAATCATTCTGAAGACAGATCAGTATAAACTATCTGAAAATAAAACAGAAGAAAAACCAGGAAAAATAAACAGAATCTCAGAGATCTGTGGAACATTATTAGGCATACATATGTGTAATAGGAGTCCCATAACAAAAGAAGAGGGTGAAAGCAGGGAAGTATTTGAAGAAATAATGGCCCCAAATTCCCAAAATGTAAGGAAAGTCAATAATCTGCCAACCCAAGAAGCTCAGTTAACCCTTCTTTTCTTCTTCCCTCCCTCCATCCCTCTGTCCCTCCCTCCCTTCCTTCCTTCCCTTCCTTTCCTTCCTTCCTCCCTCCCTCCTTCCTTTCCTCCATCCCTCCCTTCCTTCCTTTTCTTTCTTTCTTCCTTCTTTCCTTTTCTTTTCTTTTTGTTTCTTCCTTTCTTTTCCCTTCCTTCCTTCTTCTTTCCTTCTTTCTTTTCTTTCTTTCTTTCTCTCTCTCTTTTAATGTAAACTTTACATTTTTATAGGCATCTGTAAAATAATTCAGGCACGTATACCAGGCTTACAACTATTTGCAAAATATGTAGGCAGATATATTATTGGATCAAAACACTCAATGTCAAAGAAATAGCTATTGAAGAGGTAAGATCATGGTACATCTGTTTATCTGTTTCCACTGGACATTACCACCAGCTTTTCCTAACGTTTCCTCTTCAATGCAGAGGAGGAACTGGGAGCTACATTTTCCAGAATTTGCTTATGCATATGGTTCCTGAAATAGAGCTAGAGTTTATGAAAGGCAGAGGTTGAAGTCCAGTTGGGAAGTCTGGAAAGAATAAGAGGCAGGCGGATACGGGACTAGACAGAATGTTTGAAGCGGTTTCCAAGTGAACTTTTGATAATCATCCACATTGGAGCCTCAGACTGATAAAAGTACATTAGGAGATACCCAGGAGTTCTTGAGATTTGCAGAAATTTTATGTTAAGCTATTGAGAATCACTTACTTTGATGCTGAAGCTAAGACTTTGGATAATAGTTTCTTTAGGCTTCATTTGTCTACCCCTTCACTAGTTGTTTAAGCCTCTAATCTCTTATATTAAAACTCTTCATAATTTGAAAAAATGCAATAATACTTCAGTCTTAAAATCATAGTTTATTTTACATTCACATAATTCATACAATCCCTCAATTGTTAGAATGCCTCTAAGTCACCATTACAGGAATAACCATCACTATACTTTCCACATGTAGGATAGAAAACTCCATTTCAATAAAGATAAGATCTCCAGATCTTGTAACGAATGCCATCCTTAAAATGAGGCAACTTAAGTCACCATATTTTTTTCTCCTGGAGAATATTTATTTTTTCTAAACATAGTATACAAATGGCTGCTCTAATTCTTCACTTCATTTTATCTCACCATGTAAATTTTGGCCACAGGAGTTTTTTTTTTTTTTTAACTATTTGAATTTACCCAGAGATGCTAATTTTGGAGATGACTAGAGCTAGATATAAGCAAGTAGCAAAGGCAAAAATCTGAGTTCTACAAAAGGTACAGGTTTTAAAATAAAACCCATTGGTGAGAATTAAAATTCCTTTTTCCACAATATTTTAAAATACATTTAAATTTTCAATGTCCTGTAACTATCAACTCTGTTTCATTTGCCATCTCTGTATTAGAATGCAAGTGAAGAGAAGGCAGATGTTGATGCGTTTGTGTTAGAGAAATGCATAGGCAATAACCAGAATAAACACTCCATAACGCATCTACTCATTGCCAGCTTCTATGAAAAGGAATGCTATTATTGTAACTCTGTTGCTTAATAATTTTGAATAATTAATAATTTATAAAGTTCTTGAATTCTCAAAGCTAGTACTTTATTCCTTCATCATAGTGTGATAGAAACTGAGGTAATAAAAAGGTGTTTTTTCAATGACTTAAGGACAATGTGCAAGGAAAAATCTATTTAACCACTTGGACTTGGAGAATCTGGTCATTACTTCTCAAGACAGGTTGACAGAGGCCAGGCGCGATGGCTCATGCCCGTAATCCTAGCACTTTGGGAGGCCGAAGTGGGCGGATTGCCTGAGCTCAGGAGTTCGAGACCAGCCTGGGCAACAATGGTGAAACCCCATCTCTACTAAAATACACAGAATTAGCCGGGCGTGGCAGCGTGTGCCTGTAGTCCCAGCTACTCGGGAGGCTGTGGCAGAAGAACTGCTTGAACCCAGGAGGTGGAGGTTGCAGTGAGCCAAGATCGCGCCACTGGACTCCAGCCTGAGCAACATAGTGAGACTCCGTCTCCAAAAAAAAAAAAAAAAAAAAAGGTTGACAGAGAGAAGTTAGTAGCATTCTCTTGCAATTGCTATTTATTATGAGCATGTTGTGAAGACTTTTTTTCCCTTTTAAATAGACTTTATTTTCTAGAGTTGTTTTAAGTTCACAGAAAAAAATGAGCAGAAGGTACAGAGATTTCCCATATATCCCTGCCTTCACACACACAAAACTTCCATCACTATCAACATCCTGCATCACAATGGTACATTTGTTACAACTGATCAATCTACACCAATGCAGGATTATCACTCAAAGTCCATAGTTTACGTTAGGGTTACCCTTGGTGCTGTGCATTCTGTGGGTTTTGACAAATATACAATGATGTGTATCAACAATTTATAGTATAATACAGAAGAGTTTCACTGCCTCAAAAAATCCTTGGTGCTTCACCTATTCATCCCTCCTTCCACTTCCCCTGGAAACCACTGATCTTGTTATGGACTCTACAGTTTTGTCTTTTGCAGAATATCGTATAGTCAGGATCACACAATATGTTGCTTTTTCAGATTGGTTTCTTTCACTTAGTAGTATACATTTTAGCTTTCTCCATGTCTTTTCATGGCTTGACAGCTCATTTATTTCAGCACTGAATAATATTCCATTGCCTGTATGTACTACAGTTTATTTATTCATTCAGCTACTAAAGGATATCTTGGTTGCTTCTAAATGTTGGCAATTATGAATAAAGCTGTTATAAGCACCAGGTTGATATGTAGACACAGGTTTTCAGCTCCTTTGGGTAAATACCAAGAAGCATGATTATTGGATTATACAGTAAGCATATGTTTAGTGTTGTAGGAAACTGCCAAACTGTCTTCGAAAGTGGCTGTACCATTTTGCCTTCTCACCAGCAACAAATGAGAGTTCCTGTTACACCAAACCCTCACTAACATTTGATGTTGTCACTGTTCTGGGTGGCCATTAAAAAACAGAGGTTAAGAAATTTTAATGAATTCTAAAAACTTTCAAATTTTGCCATGTTTCTACTTTTCTTTAAATCAGAAAGAATTATAGAAATACCCTACCCTCAATCCTTGTATAAAGGATTGTATAAAAGTAACATATTATCATAGGAATGTCATGTTTCCTACCCCCAAAAACCTAGGAATCCAGGTTATGGTAGTTTGGCTGTTAGGAACTTGAAACAAGTTTGCTTTGTAAATCTTCACATTCTAGAATATTTTACACAGAAACACTAGCTTAAACCTAAAACAAAAAATAAAAAATAAAAATAAAATTAAAAAAACTTCCATAAATTATTAAAAAAAAAATAACCACAACCATGGCTGTTCTGACTCAGTTTGCAATTTATGAAAGATGTCAAAATTTTATCTTCCAGCCAGGAACTATGGCTCATGCTGTAATCCCAGCACTTTGGGAGGCCTAGGCGGGTGGATACCTGAGGTCAGGAGTTTGAGACCAGCCTGGCCAACATGGTGAAACCCCGTCTCTACTAAAAATACAAAAATTAGCTGGGCATGGTGGCAGACGCCTGTAATCTCAGCTCCTCAGGAGGCTGAGGCAGGAGAATTGCTTGAACGTGGGAGGCAGAGGTTGCAGTGAGCCGAGATTCAGCCACTGCACTCCAGCCTGGTCGACAAAGCAAGACTCCCTCTGAAAAAAAAAAAAAAGTATCTTCCCTACCATATATAATTCATTCTCCAAACAGCATAATAGTAGTATAAAATCAATACTAAAAACAAATATTATTATGTGTATATATGTATATATATTTGAAAAAAAAATTCTACAAAGCTATCAGAAACTAACATTAAGAAACATTTAAATCCCAGCTATGTCCAACCCTATTTTGAACACTTCCTTCCAAAAGAGAATGACTAGGCAGGCATTCAGAGCATACTTTATAAGTATCAAAAAGATGTACAAGACCTGCTCAAATAAAAATTACTTTTCTGGAAACTGCATCAGGTATGAATAGGTGGAATATCACTTATCCCCTAAATGGCGTTATAAACCTCAGGCTGGTGTAAATTTAGTAAAATTAGCTTATACATTTAAGGAACAGTGTAAATTGGTAAAGCCCTTTAAAAAACAATTTAGAAATGTATATATGCAGCCATGAAAGATGCAAATTTGTGGGGGGGGGGCAATAATTTCACTCTTGTTCTCTTCCAAAAGATTCAGATTTGAAAATTCTAGAGTGTAAATTAAAATTCTCCCATCCTCCATGCTGCCAGTTACCAAGGCTGTCATGCTATTTGGTGTTACTTCTATTACCTTTCATAAAAGATTTGACTTAGCAAGGAAGCACATTTCTTAACTGCTTCACTTGTAAGTAGGGTAAGTTGTGGTACTTTGCTATTAGAATGACAGTGGTACTTTCAACATTGCCATAAAGACAGATTTTGTATAAGCATAGCTACCATATAGAAAATAGGGCACTTCTGTTCAATGGCCCTCAGAAATCTTTATTTACTAAGGTTTATCATTTATTTATAATTTTTTTCAAAAAAAATCACAGAACAATACTTTGGAAAGAATAAAGTCCAAAAATTCTCAAGGCTGAGCTGAAAATTTTGCCTTCTCAATGGATCCCCTCCCCTCCCCCACTTCCCACTCCCCACTTCTTTCCCTTACCTCTCCCCTCCTCTCCCCTCCCCTCCACTTCCCTCCTTTTATTTTTTGGATAGGGAGCTAGGAATGTGAGGCAATTCATTTAATTTCTTTTATTTTTTTGGTTGAGGGGCTGGGATTGTGAAGGCAAGTCATTTAACCTGAACTTTAATTTCTTCTCCTGTAAAAGGAGGTAACAAAATCCACCCTGAGCAAACTTGTTGTGATGGTCAATAAGCTATTAGTTCTGAACTCACTGTGATTATTCTTAAGAAAGTGAACATTTAAACGTTTCTAAGTAAGCAAACTGGACGTTTTGCAGTTATACTGTGCTTATAAAAAGTGTAGAGAACTGCTGTAGGTACTCAGTGTCCTTAGCAGATTATTCCTTATCATCAAAGCTAGGAAATGGTGCAGAATTCCAAATACAATTGTTTCCATTTTTTTAAATTTATTCTTCCAGGAAAGGCATAGTGTTGCATCTGTCATTAAAAATTAATTAAAATTTTTTTAAAAATCTTAAGAAACATGGGGAGCTAATATGCAAACACAAGTTGTTTTAAATAATTCCCTGATTTCCCCCTCTGCTCTTCAGCTTTAGGAAAGCAATAAAAGGTCTAAATCCTTTGCCCAAGAAAAACTTTCTATCCCTAACGTCCCTTTGACAGTGACATTGAGATTCAACTGTGACGAGGTATATTAGGATGTCTTTTATCATGTAGAGTTGCTGTACTCATTTATGTGGAATCCTAGAGCAGGCTCAGGCAAAGCTCACAGGACATCTTGTTCTTTCTAAAAAGGCTTCAATTAAATGTTGGAAATGTAAAGGCAATAGCTCAGTTCCCTTAGATGTGGCAGTTCTCATAGCTATAGGGTTGGACTCACTGTTCTTTAGTACATAATACCATACTTACAAAGTTATAATTTTCAGGGTTCTAAGGACTGATTTCATATTAAACTGTTTCCATGCATTTGTGTTAAAATAAACACTTTAATTTTCTGATATTTCCAAGGAGCTTCTATATACAGTCTAATGGGAAAAGATAACAAAATTCAATAAATTCAATTAAATTCAATGTAAGAAGGTCCTGGGGCATAAGCCTATCCAATATAATATTGGGAGATAAGGAGAAAGGGTATTGGGAATTAAATAGACCTGATTTCAATATGGACTCTATGAGGCTGTTCTGGTTTATCAGGTGCTATGGGGCTGAATGTTTATGTCCCTCCAACATTCATATGTTGAAACTTAACCCCCAAAGTATTAAGGTGTTGGTTTTAAGAGGTGGTACCTTTCAAAGGTGATGTGGCTTGGCTGTGTCCCCACCCAAATCTTATCTTGAATTCCCATGTGTTGTGGGAGGGACCCAGTGGGAGGTAATTGCATGGGGGTAGGTCTTTCCTGTGCTGTTCTCATGATAGTGAATAAGTCTCACAAGATCTGATGGTTTTATAAAGGGGAGTTTCCCTGCACCATCTCTCTTCTCTTGTCTGCCCCCATGTGAGATGTGCATTTCACCTTCCACCATGATTGTGAGGCCTCCTCAGCCATGTGGAACTGTAAGCCCACTAAAGCTCTTTCTTTAGTAAATTGCCCAGTCTCGGGTATGTGTCAGCAGCATGAAAATGGACTAATACAGAAGGTGATTAGGTCATAAGGGCCCCATCCTCATGAATGGGATGAGTGCCCTTATTTTAGAAAGGCTGAGGGAGCTTGTTTTTTCTTTCTGCTAAGTGAGGACTCAGAAAAGAAAGAGCCATCTGGGAGACCCGGGGTCTTACCAGACACCAGATCTGCTGGTGCCTAGACCCTGGACTTCCCAGCTTCCAGAATTGTGAGCAATACTTTCTGGTATTAAAATTTCTCAGTCAAAGGTATTTTAATACAGTAGTCAAAATGGACTGAGACCCCAGAGATTAAAATTTCCTGGAAAAAAATTTTCAGTGCTAAAACCTGGAAAATTCTAAGCAAATCAGGATGAGTTGGTCACCAAAACGGCACCACTTTCTTGGGCTTATCTCTTAACCTCTTTGAATGAAAACTGTTCTTTCATTTGTTAAATGGCAATGAAGTATACTTTTGTTTCCTTGGGTGATTTTGAAGACGAGATCAAACTAATAACCACAGTCATTTATTACGTGCTGTGTATCACGTTCTGTCAGTATTTATGTCCTTAATTTTATTTAAACCTTAAAGCTTAATAAAGTGGCCAAGGGCTCCATTCTCTCTGCTTGTGTTTGAGTTCTGGCTCCACCAGTCACTAGCTGTATAATCTGGGCACAGCCTCTAGCCTCTAAAACATTTTTCTCAACTGTAGAATTGTAAATCTCAACTGTAAAATGGTAATAGTTTCAACTTCAGTGTTGCTGTTTGCACAGAGAAAACAGACATGATCCCCATCCTATGAAGCTTACTTTTTCATGGGGAGACTAACCCCAAAAACTAAAAAGTAAATAGGTAATTCTGGAATGTGATAAGCACCTTGAAAAAAACATACGTTTTGTAATAGAAAACCACTTCTAATGATGCAGTGGAGGGAGGGGCTACTTTAGAGTGTCATGTAAAGAGAGCCTGTCTGAATAAATAATATTTGTACTAAACTTGAAACATGAGAAATGGACTGGTTATAGGAAGAGCAAGCTGATCATTTCTGGCAGAAGAAATGGCAAGTGAAAAAGGCCTGAGGCAAGAATACTTTTACTGTAGCACAGGAATGTCAAAGAAGCTGGTAAGGTTTGAATGTTGACCAAAGAAAGGAATGCCATGCCATCTTGGGAATATGGTTTGGCAACGAACAGAAGCACTGATATTTAATGACACAAATCATAGGCAACAGAGGATCAGGCCTTCTTTCTGTTTATCCCAGACAGTGAAATAATTCTCAAACAAGCTAGGTAGCCAAGTGTCAGCAACATCTAATATAAAATGGCCCAGAACTATCTACAGAAATAGATACAACTTATCAAACTTACACACGCAGCATTACCTAAGCATTTGGGGAGGAGAGTGGGTGGGATGTGTGGTGTGGGTGAAGGAGCTATAAGAACCCACTCTCCTCTTTCACTTAAATATGCTTAACTCTTTTTACCAGGATAAAATAAAAGCACTGGCTACTTCTGAGGAAGCAAATAGAAATTGATGTTTTGTTTTGCTTTCTTAGAAATTTTTCTGATTTTAGGGCTGGACACAGTGGCTCATGCCTATAATCCCAGCACTTTGGGAGTCCGAGGCAGGCAGATCACTTGAGGTCAGGAGTTCGAGACCACCCAGGCCAACATGGTGAAACTGGGTCTCTACTAAAAATACAAAATTAGCCAGGCGTGGTGGTACATGCCATTAATCCCAGCTACTCAGGAGGCTGAAGCAGGAGAATCACTTGAACCCAGGAGGCGGAGGTTGCAGTGAGCTGAGATCGTACCACTGCACTCCAGCCTAGGAGATAAGAGCAAAACTCTGCCCCAAAAAAAAAAAAATTCTGATTTTATAAACTATGAACTTTAATGCCTCAGGCTTCACTTTTTCTAAAGAAAATATCATTCCATTGCTCCTCTCTCTGCCGAAAAATTAGATTTCCAATAAAAAGCAAATATATGTCTTTTATTATGGAGGTATGTGCTCTTGGGGCTAATATGCAATAATTAGCTCTCCCCTCAGAAATTTACATCAACCAAATATTACAGCAACTGCCATTCCACCACTAGCGATCACCTGAGGCTAACAGAGGATTCTCCATAAAAATGCACATAGTACTAAGTTGACACCTAAAATCTATTTTTAGTTCTAGGCCAAAAATAGATTTTAGGTGTTAACCTAGTACTAAGTTGAAAGTGAGCTGCTCTCTGATGACAACAGTAGGTTGGAAGAAGCTGAAAGAAGAATGAGAAGCATCTTAGAGAGATGGTTTAGATAAAGAGTGCATAAAACACATTTCAGAAAATGAAGGTAGAGAGTGAGTCAGATGGTTCTTAAAATGAGGGCAGCAGATGGGAGATTAAAGGAGATCCAGGGCAAATGGTTAGTGTTTAATTATTCATGTAAAATCTTATTATATCAGGCAAAGCTGTTCTAAGGTTCCTGACAAACTTGAAGTCTCTGATACTGTGATTCTGTGAATTACAAACTCTCATTTCCAAAATCCTCACTGGGTTTTAACCTTCAGATGTTCCTATCCTTTACCAAAAAAAATATTAGTAGCAGTGATTAACATGACCTAGCCATTTCCAGAACCACAGATACACACACACACACACACACATGTATGTACATGTGTATGTTTTTATGTGTATTTTTTGAATATCCGTCATTCTAATACCTGTTTTGACTCTTCTATGTTCTTTTAAAATTTTTATCCAAATGTTAAACACCAATTATTTAGTTAGCTGTAGATATGATAAATCATAGTATGGATTCATTTTTAACTTTTGACTATGATCTAATTTCAGACTTTTAGAAAAGTTGTAAAATTAATACCAAATCTTCCCATAACCCTTCACTCAGCATCCCCTAATTTGAGCTTCTTACATAATCATATTAAAATGATCAAAACCAAGTGTAATACTATCAGTACAATACTCTAACTCAGAATCCCACATCATACGGCTCCTTCATTACTTCCAGCTGTAACAGTGCTTCATCTTTTCTTGTCTTTTGTCATCCTGACACACTTGACGACTACTGGGCATTTATTTTGTAGAATGTCTCTAATTATGAGTTGTCTGAAGCTTTTCATGCTTGGAATAAGGCTATACACTTTTGGCAGAAGTAAAGTTGTGTCCTTCTCAGTGCATCATATCATGGGATTTGTGATACTATGTCTTACTGGGTGATGTTAACCTGATCTCTTCGTTAAGGTGTTATCTGCTGGGTTCATCCACCATAAAGTTACTATTTTCCCGTTGTACCTTAGGCAAGATAATAAATAATCTGAGGAAGATACTTTGAGGCCATGTAAATATTCAGTTCTCAAAAATGTGCTCAACAATTTTAGGATTCGTAGATTGGTCTTGTCTGCAACAATAACTATGGTGTTTGTCCAGTGGTAATTTTTTGCTTTTCCTCTTTTTATATGTATCAATAGAATTTTTCCGTGACAAACAACAGACTCCTTTCTGCAATTTCTTTACTTGTTCAGTTATTCAGATTAGTATGGGCTCATGGATATTTATTCTGTCCTGTGGCTTATGGTCCAATACTATTAGTTGTTTTGTTGCTCAGATTGTTGTTCCATATTTGGCCATTAGAATTCCCTTCAAGTTGGCTCCTATGTCCTTTGCAAATGTCTCATCATTTTCCAAAAACTCCCTTATTATGGCATTGCAAGTTGTTCCAGCTCATCTTGTACTTTCCTGGCCCAATCCCTGGAATCAACCACTTCTGCATTGAGCCCTGGTTCCTTTGACAGAAGAATGGTGTTTAGGGACCAAAATCTGGATGCTAGTTGTGCTCATTGTTCCTGGAGTTTCATTGCTCCCAGGCCTCTCAGCAGAGCTATGAAATGTATGTGTGTATGCCAACCCACACATGCACACACACACACAAACACATCTGTATTTGTGTGTACATATGTGTATCTATGCACATATATTTATGTTTGTGCAGATGTGTTATGTGTGCATATTTGTTATTTGACTATGATGTACACTTAAAGTTGTTATAGAAATGCTAACCCACACTTCTGTGAGAAATATAGAGCATTTGTTTATAGATCTGTTTATCTCTTGACTTACAGAATCCAGTCAAAACATTGTTTCTAAAGTTATTTATGTCAGTTATTGTCTTCTCCATTTCCCCAGTGTGGACTGTATTTGTAATATAGTCAGACTCATTTGGTACTGTTTTATTGCATTTCTAGGTTCTTGCTCTATATTGTGGTTGATTTTAATAAATACATAATTGGGAGATATGTGACATATTACTGTAATTCTAAGAGCCAGAGCTCTACAAAAGAATACACACAAAGTTGTGCTACTACCTCCTCCTCTCTACTACCCCATACTCACTTATCACTTTTTTCTATTACTTTCAATGACCCCTCTTTATGTACCAACTTTTTAATTTCTGGTTTATTTTTTCTATATTCTCTGTTGTGTAAATGAGTAGATTCACGTGTAGTTTTTTCGATTTTCTTCGTTACAAAAACAGTAGCATATGCAAGGTAATAGTTTATGTATTTTTTCCTTATCAGTCTATTTGGAAATCATTCCCCCCATTAGTCCACAGAGATTCTGCACATTTTTTTAAATAGCTTCATTGCCCTTGATTAAGTGGATATACTGTAATTTATTCAATCATTTTTCTGGGTATGGACATATAGGTTTTTGCAATATTTTGCAATCAAACAATGCTGCAAGGAATAACCTTGGATATATGCATTTTTCAGGGTCGGTTCCTAAAGGTGTATCTTCAGGGTAGGAAGATATACCCCAGAATCGGAATTGTTGAGTCAAAAGACAAGTGCATATGTAGTTTTATTAGATAGTGCTAAATTTGCTTTCAGAGTGATTGTGCAAAGTTGCATATTTGTCAGCAAAGCATGGCAATGCCAATTTCCTCATAGCCTCTCTCACAGAGCAGTTATGGGTTCACAGCAAAATTGGACAGACAGTTCAGAAATTTCCTGTATCAGTGGTCCCCAACCTTTTTGGCACCAGGGACCAGTTTCCTGGAAGGCAATTTTTCCACGGGGGTGGACGGTTTAGGGATAAAACTGTTCCACCTTCAGATCGTCAGGCATTAGATTCTTGTAAGGAGCATGTAACTTAGATCCCCCGCATGTGCAGTTCACAATAAAGTTTGCATTTCTATGAGAATCTATTGCTGCCGAGGAACCGATAGGAGGTGGAGCTCAGGCGATAATGCTTGCTGGCCCACTGCTCACTTCCTGCTGTGCAGCCCAGTTCCTAACAGGTCACAGACTAGACCTGTCTGTGGCCCAGGGGTTGGGAACCCCTGCCCCATATAACCTCTGCCTTATAGACGAATAGCCTCTCCCTTGATCATCATCCCCCACCCTAGTGATACATTTGTTACAACTGATGAACCTACATTAATACATCATTATCACCCAAAGCCCGTAGTTGACATTAGGGTTCACTTTTAGTTTTGTATATGGGTTTGGACAAACATACAAGGGTATGTATCCACCATTATGGTATGACACAGAAGTTTCACTGCCCTAAACATCCCCTGTTCTCTGCCTATTCATCCTTCCCTCCCCAAAACCCCTGTCAACCACTGATATTTTTACTCTCTTTATAGTTTTGTCCTTTCAAGAATGTCACGTAGTTGGGATCATACAGTGGATAGCCTTTGAAGATTGGCTTCTTCCACTTAGTAATATGCATTTATGTTTCCTCCATAAATGCATTAATGAGAGTTTTTAGCACTGAATATTATTCCCTTGTCTTGGTGCACCACAGTTTATCCATTCACCTACTGAAGGATATCTTGATTACTTCCAAGTTGCTACACACATTGTGTATAGGATTTTGTGTGAACATGTTTTCATCTCCTTTGGGAAAATACCAAGGAGCGTGATTATTGGATCATATATTGTATGTGACACTATTTTAATGTCAGATAGTCCAATAGATAAAAATGATATCCCTGTTTTAACTTATACTTCTCTAATTATCAGCAAATTTTAATATTCTCTTGAATGTTGGATGCCCATTTTAAATATTATTTTTGAAATTGTTATTTCATATCTTTTTCCTATATCAGGTCATTTGCCCCTAAAATATTTGTTCCTCAATTTTTCAGAATTTTTAATACAAAGAATATTAGCCATTTGTCTTAGATATATGTTGCAATTATTTTCTCCCTGTTTACAAATTGTCTTTTTTGACTTTGCTTTCAGTGGTTTTTGGCATGCAAATTTTTCATTTTTATGTAGGGAAATTTATCAATCTTTCTTTTACTGCATTTTGATTTTGATTCACAGAAAGTCTTCTTTTATACCAAGGTCAAGAAGGAACTCATCCATATTATCATATATAAATTAAACAGTTTTGTTTTGTTTTTTACATTTATATCCTTGTTTTATTCTTATATACGGTATGAAACATAAATGCAGTTTTATTAATTCAATCAAAATGGTTATCCACTTACGCCAGCACAATTAAAAAAAAAAAGACTTTCTTCACCACAGAGATTTGAGAGGCTACCTTTATCATTTATTAAATTTCCATATGTATTCAGTCTGTTTCTGAACTTTCTGTTCTTTCCCACTGGTCTATTTGCCTGTTCATGTACTGATACCACAATTTTTAATTAAGGCAACTTTACATCTGATTGTAGCTAATTCACCTAGTCATTTTTTCCCAATTTTGTGTATATTTTCCTGGATATTTTTGCATTTTTTAATCTAAATAAACTATTTTCAGCTTATCTAACTCTATACATAACTTGCTAAATTTATAGGATTTATAAATTAATTTAGGAAGTTCTGACATACCTGTAATATGTTGAATTTTCCCAAGCAAATGTTTGCAATGTAATTACAAAAACTTGTAATGTTGAATTTTCCCAAGCAAATGCTTTTGCATTTGTTTAAGTCTACTCTTACGTTCTTCAATAGTGTTTAAAATATTTTCTCACATGGGTTTTGCACATTTTTTGTTGTACTTATTCTGAATATTTAATCTTCATTGATTCTACTTTATTTTTAAATCTTTTTAACGTTTAAGCATTTTCATATTGTCATGCGGGGTACATTATAATTATTTCAATAGTTTTGCAATATTATATTAGATTTATGTGATTCTAATGTGAGGAATTTTGCTTCTTCTGACTCTAACTACATATAATGTTGTATTAAGCTACTTTCTATAATTTTTTTCTTATCTTAGGAGAACTTCCAGAAACAGGTTGTTATTTTTTGAAATGCAATTTAAAGGGTTGTATCAATCTACAGTGTCAATGACATTCAATAACTTTTTCAGCTTTTTCATATCTTTAGCATTGATCAAGGATCAATTTTAAATTTTGTTGATAGGGACAAAATATCACTTATTTTTAGCTTTGAATAATTTTGATGTCTAACATTGCTTATCATATTTATGACTTTTCTGTCTTCTAGCTTGAATGGTTTATTAATTTGGTCTAGTTTAAAATTTTTATGGCACTTAATGTAATTTTAAAAGGCTAAACAATTTGTTAAACTTAACCTAATAAATTTGTGCTTAAAAAATCAAATATTTTCCCAGAAATATAAAAACAAAACCATCATTTAAAATGTGTTCTTTAATGTGTGTTATATATAAATATATTCATATTTTAGATATGTGAGTTTAGTTTCAAACTGAAATATAGCCTTTGGCTCCATTCTTGGCCCTTATCAATATTTAGCCTTGTTTTGAGTTACTGCTTCTAAACTACTGAATTTTCTTCTGCATATAAATTATCTGGAAAACTTGTTCATATGAATTATTTCACTTCATTCTGAATCTTGTTTCCCTATTCAGTCAACTGTTAATGTATTAGAGATGAACTGTTTTTGGTCCTTTATTAGTCTGTATAAAATCTAAACAAGTGCTGAAGTTAAAACAAACACCTTGAATGTATGCTCCCTATTATACATGTGATGTGTGCAATCAAGGTAAGTTTTGGAATGTCCTAGTTCTTCTTCACTGCTAGGTAAGTCAGTTAATTATTTGCCACTCTGTCTGTCCCTTAGTCTATGGGTCCCCAAACCTATAAAAATTAGTTGTGTATCTTTAATATAGAGTTAATGCAGTTTTATCTATATCTCTGAACTAAACTTTGCCTAGGATCAGCCTTTATGCCACTCATATCAGAAGGAACAATCTGTTTTGGAAGATTACGGTATTTCAGAACTGAACAATGTGTGTTTTTCATCCCAAAGGACTGAAAATGTCATCTGTTCAAACTGAAATTTTTCAATCCATTACACTGTTAAGCCAAGATTTTTCTGTTGTACACCAAGGTGGAAATACCATGTTTCTACACACCAAGATGAAGGAGAGACTGACAGTTGCGTAGATTTGTTGGAGTGTGTGTATGTGTGGGGTGTGTGTGTGAGAGAAAGAGTGTGCTCACAGGAAAACATTCTTCAATTCACACAGAAGGAACAATAGTTGGAAGTGTTCTTACACACAATAACTTGTGTAGTCGCCAACCAATGTCCTTCAAGAACACTTTCCCATGCTTCTTACCAATAAAGGCTAAGAATTTTAAGCTACCCACGAAATAAATGAATACAAGTATTGAAGCATCTCTCTGCAAATTTATTGCTGGCTTCTTTGTGTTATTACTAATGTGTCATGAGATGATCTGTACTATTAATGTGGCACTGCACATTTGTGTAAGTCTTTATAGTTTACTAATGTTTCGCATAACTCACTTCATTTCATCTTCATAAAACTATCAAGACACTTTATAAACTTGATTACATATTTCAGGAAAAATTATTTATTCATTCACTCATTTAATCATCTATATCCATTGAAGCATTAGTCCATTTAATCATTAAATATTCATTCATTCATCTTTTTCTTCATTCAGTTATTATTTATACCATGCCATATATACAACTGATGTAAGATGACTGGAAATATACATTATTTAGACCAGTGCCTCTTAAGTTTTAATGAGCACATGAATAACCTTGAGAAGCCTGTTCAGATTTGTCATTTCTAATAGGCTACCTGATGCTGTAGATGCTGCTGGTCCATGGGTCATCCTTTGATTAGTAAGGCTTAGATGGTCTTCTCTCTTCTTGAGGGGTCCTTAGGAAAGGAGATATAACACATACTGGACATTCAGTAACTAAAATTAGCTTCCCAAGCTCCCACTTGTGTCTGAGAGAGTGTGGTTTGGGAAGTGTTTAATACTCTTAGACATGGTATGTAATGTTTCTGTATAACAGGATTTTATTTTCAATTCTGTTTTCAAGAAAAAAGTAGATTTGCCAACTAAAGTTGCTATATCCATCCAACTCACCTTCAGAATACAAATAAACACTGAAAATAAACACTGATCCAATAGAGAGACGAGAGTATTCCCAAAGACCACAGTCCTATAATGTTAATCTGCTGCACTTGTTTCAGCAATAAATCGGCAAATATTAAGAAGCATCTGTGGTCAATGAGAATTATCTTGATGCCAGAAACTGTGCTCTCCAAAGCATGTGGGTCACACAGCTTGAATGTCCCAGAGCTACTCTTTATCACCCAGCTCAAGAGCTGGCTCCAGTCACTTAAAGAAGGAAACAGATTCTGAAATCAGCTCTATGTACCTTGTCATGTATTTTTAATAAATATGTGTGATTCTTATCATAGAGGATGGTTTCAGTGAATTGAAAACCACCTGTTATTTTGCTTTTCCTTTTCTTATTGTTGTTTTTTTAATAAAGCTTCATTTTAAAGAAAACTTCTGCCAATTATTACATGTATATGCCTGGAGAGTCACACCCCTAACTGAGTATAAGAATCAAGCTCTGCAGTTGGGAAACTAGAGGTTGTGGTCCAAACGTGGCCAAGCACCTGTGTTTGCAAAAAAAATAAATAAAGAAAAAAAAATAAAAAAAGTTTTATTGTAACATACACACATACATTCATTTACCTATTGTCTATGACTTCTTTTATACTACATGCCACAGACAGCATGTGGTCCACAAAGCAAAAATATTTACCACCTGGCCTTTACAGGAAAAGTTTGCTGCTCCCAGTCAAGATAATGGTAAAAATCTAGATTAAATAACCTTCCTTGTAAAATTCCATATCATTAGGGCTGTTGCTGCATGGTTGGCTAATACACTGTAAACACTGTGTATGTTTGCACATGCACACACACACTCACTCATACCCACTAGGAGAAGACACATATATATTCCTAGTAAATAATAATTTTTTGATCTTTTTTTCATTGTATAAATAATAAATCTACTTCCAAGGAATCATCTTAAGCAAAAGGGTGGGATACTGAGGGCTTTTAAAAAGTCCTTTGACATTCAAAGTGAGTTATCACAATATAGTGTTCCCGGAGATTATGCATATGCATGAAGCAATTAAATACACAAATGAAAATACAACTGCCACAGATTTAACGCACAAATCCTGGGATAACATTTAAGTCTGATCAATGCAGCACAGGAAACAAGGCAGAATTCTCCGTGCCCTCTTACCAACTCTCCTTCCTCTTACCCACCTTCCCAACACCTAAAAAGTGATTCTGACTCATGTTTTTAAGGTGTCTGGGAACAAATACAGGAAGGGTAATAACAACAAACAACAGGAGGACAAGAAACATAATTGAGGTGCATTTAACCTAATGGGAACATGAATGAAGATTGTGTCCTTTCTGTTATAATGCGATTGTTCGCGTCCTTCAGAGTATCCTGAAAACACAACCAGGGAAAACCCATGCTAAAGAAGGCAGAGAATCCCACGGGGTCAGAAAAAAATAACATTGCTTTGTAGAGGTTGAGGAATACATGGGAGGAATGAGAGTTTTGTGGGTCTCTAGTCACTGTCAAGATCTAGTAAATTATGCACCAGTGTTACACGAATCTTCTGCTACGATGTTATTATCCATGCGACTATATCAGACTCAAGTTGAGCTATGACGTAATCACCACTGAAAGCCAATTTGTTTACTAAACTAATAGCTTCTCTGCTGCAGTTATCTAAGTGTCCTTTTTTGTTGCCCTCCTAATATCAATACATTTTATCTTGTTGTTGTCTAAATCTGACATTAACTCTGTGTGTGAGATTCAGAATATTTTCAGAATGCCTTCAACCTGCTTGAATCCAAGAGTATTCAAGTACTAAGACAGGCCTGGCATGGTGTTCCAAAAAGAGGACAAAACTTGCATGCTAAAAGGATTTGTTTCCTAGTCTACTGAGAACATTTTGCCCAGCTTCTATTATCTTCATATGAGAATACTATCAAGATATTGATTAAGCAAGGTGCACATCAGTCACTTTCATCTCAAACCCTGGCCAAATGAAAGAGAAGACTCCTTCTACCTGGGGCTCAACTTAGCTCAATTTCAAAGTGATTGCAAAAATTAGAGTACAAACATCAGTTTACCAATGGAGTAGAATTAATATATCTGGCATCTACTCAGCATCTATTTGACTGTGAGTGATTCTTCTGTGCCCCCAAACTTCTTCATTTCCAATCTGCTGGCTCAGGCAATGAGATGGGTCTGGTCCCCTGGTTTCCTTGAAACCCCTGAATTGCTTTTGGCACTGGAGCAATGTTGTGATCTCAAGCCTGCTTGCCACCTTCTCTAAGTAGCTGAATTCTGCTTATTGTGCTTCCAAATGCAGCTTCTTTCCTATGACTGACTTGATTATCTAGGGTGAGATAATAACTAGACAATACCGTTCAAGACATAGGCATGGGCAAAGACTTCATGACTAAAACACCAAAAGCAATGGCAACAAAAGCCAAAACTGACAAATGGGATCTAATTAAACTAAAGAGCTTCTGCACAGCAAAAGAAACTAGCATCAGAGTGAACAGGCAACCTACAGAATGGGAGAAAGTTTTTGCAACCTACTCATCTGACAAAGGGCTAATATACATAATCTACAAGGAATATTAACAAATTTACAAGAAAAAAACAACCAACCACCTCAAAAAGTGGGCAAAGGTTATGAACAGACACTTCTCAAAAGAAGACATTTATGCGGCCAACAATCATATGAAAAAAAGCTCATCATCACTGGTCAATAGAGAAATGCAAATCAAAACCACAATGAGATATCATCTAATGCCAGTTAGAATGGCGATCATTAAAAAGTCAGGAAACAACAGATGCTAGAGAGGATGTGGAGAAACAGGAACACTTTTACACTGTTGGTGGGAGTGTAAATTAGTTCAACCATTGTGGAAGACAGTGTGGTGATTCCTCAAGGATCTAGAACCAGAAATACCATTTGACCCAGCAATCCCATTACTGGGTATATACCCAAAGGAATATAAATCACTCTACTATAAAGACACATGCACACATATGTTTACTACGGCACTGTTCACAACAGCAAAGACTTGGAACCAACCCAAATGCCCATCAATGATAGACTGGATAAAGAAAATGTGGCACATATACACTGTGGAATACTATGCAGCCATACCAAAAAAAAATGAGTTCATGTCCTTTGCAGGGACATGGATGAAGCTGGAAACCATCATTCTCAGCAAACTAACCCAGGAACAGAAAACCAAACACTGCATGTTCTCACTCATAAGTGGGAGTTGAACAATGAGAACACATGGATACAGGGAGGGGAACATCACACACCTGGGCCTGTCGGGGGATGGGGGGCTAGGGGAGGGATAGCATTAGGAGAAATACCTAATGTAGATGAAGGGTTGATGGGTGCAGCAAACCACCATGGCATATGTACACCTATGTAACAAATCTGCATGTTCTGCACATGTATCCCAGAACTTAAAGTATAATTTTTTTAAAAAAAGTAATCTTTCTCCCCTAGTCTTCTGCTGCTGTATTTCACATTCTAAATTTACCTTCTCAGTTATCAAGATTGCCCAACCAAAGCCTAGTTCTACCATTGTTCTAAGACTTCTATATTGATTCCCCTGTCATCTGCATAAAGGGCATTCCTACCAGATTATCAGCTGTCTTAGCTCCTACTTGACCAATGAAGCTGTGCCAGTATTCTGACAACTTGTTCTTTACTCCAAGTTTCCTAATTTATAAATCAGGCTTTCTTACAGAGAGCAAGCCATTGAAAATAAAAATTTCCTGAAGGATCTTACTCAAAAGAATATTCTTGGTTACAATAAAGATTCTTGGTTACAATCCACAGAACCTGATTATGGTCAATTTAAGAAGAAAAGAAATGAATTACAGGGATATGGGTAGTTCACAGCTTAGAGAACCAGGTGCCAAAAATGACTGACAATCAATGTAGGCAAGAAATATGAGTATTGCCCAAGGTGGAAGAAGCATGGGCACAGTCACCCCGAGAACATTCTCGTTAGGTGACTTTTGGTGGTACCACACTTCTGGTACTGCCGCCATTAAATGCTAAAGCCCATCACATCTAAAGTCCTGGTGCTGCTGCCTTTGCCACACACCTCACAATTCTCACAGCAACTATTACCACTGTCACCATGAATAATGTTTATCCCCATAAAATTAAAGTGCTCTGCCAAGATTCAAAGTCCAGGGTGGGTGCAGCTGGTTGGCTTGTGCTCTAGCTGTCAAGGGTGAGAGGAGTGGCGTTTCTAGAAAGGGAACTGGGGTTCTGGTTTTTACCCAGATTCAGACAATGGGGAATTTCTTAGAAAAAGGAGAATGGTCTTCAGATGGGGTACACCCACTCATTCCCTCCCAGACCAATACTACAATTGGACTTGTGGATGTCAGAATAATGGCCCTCAAAGATGCTTATATCCTAATCCCTGAAACCTGTGAGTATACTACACATCGTAACATATGTAGGATACATACTACATGGCAAACGGAAATTAAGGTTGCAAATGGATTGAAGGTGGCAAGTCAGCTGATCTTAAAATAGATTATCCTGGATTCTCTGGGCAAGCCTAACATAATCATAAGGGTCTGTAAAAGTAGAAAAGAGTCAGAAAGGAAGGTCACAGTGATTGTCACATGAGGAGCTCTTTGAAGGTGGAGGAAGGGGTCTGTGAATCAAGCCATGCAGACTGTTTCTAGAAGCTGAAAAGGCAAGGAAGCAGGTCCTGCCCTATAGCTTCCAGAAGGAAATGCCGCCCTGTCAACACCCTGAGTTGAGCCTAGTAAGACCCATGTCAGACTCTGACTGCAGAACCATGCGGTAATAAATTTTGTGTTGTTTTAAGCCACTAACTTCGTGGTAATTTGTGACAGCAGCAACAGAAAACTAATGCAGAAGTCTTTGACTTATGTTCTTTTGGAGCTAATTAAATTTTCTATCCCAGGTGGCATTTTTTGTTTTCCTAAACAGCCATTAACTTACATTTAATTAACAGACAAAGACTTAGGCTATTTTGTTGCTATGGATTTTCCCCTTATAATTGCGAGAAGGGATTCCAGTTTTAATACCTACTCAAAAATTATATTTCTTACAATAATATTTAACCAATGTATGAAAAGAGCTTAGCACATTCAAAAAGCAAAGAACAGCTTCAGATAACAGTGATGCTAAACAGGCAATCAAAAGATTATTTCAAATACTCAGTACTATAGGGCAGTCTAGCTCTTAAAATTTTTATTAAATGTTTAATTGACTAAAAATAGCTGTATACATCTATGGGGTACAATGTGATATTTTGATATATGTATACATTATCAAAAGATTAAATAAATCTAATTAATATATCCATCAGCCCACCTACTTATCTTTTTGAATGATCTTTAATATCTACTATTTCATTAATTTTGAAATATACATTGCATTATTATTAACAATGGTTACCATCCTGTGCAATAGATCCCTAATTTTACTCCTCTTAACTGTAACTTTATGCTCTTTAATCCCTTTCAATGAAAGAGAGCTGTGTTTGACCTTATAGACTTTTAAAATTTCTCAATTCCTTTGCAAGTTACTGATTTTTAAAGGGCAGAAGGGGGCAGGTAATGATTTCTTATAGAGACCAAATAGTGAAAAATGGTGAAGACAGTTTTTCCTGCTGCCCCCCCACAATTGCCCACCATAAGTTATGAATTGTGGAGTGCGTGATTTGGTAAATTAGAGACACATATGTAGTTTTAGAAAGCTATTCATCCTTGGTTTGATTCACTATTATGGTTTCTTGATCAGTGATCAACAAATTTTCTGTAAAAGGCCAGATAATAAGTATCTTTGGCCTTACATGCCAGAAGGTCCCTGTCATAATACTCAGTTCCATTGTAGCAAGGATACAGCAATGTTCAGTACACAAAGGAGTTTGAGGTGCAGCCTAGATGTCACAATTTCTAATAGTTCCCATGTCATTCTAACTTGCACCCAGGGTTAATAAACACTGCCTTAAGAAATGGCTCCTGGCCAGGCACCGTGGCTCACACCTGTAATCCCAGCACTTTGGGAGGCCAAGGCTGGTGGATCATCTGAGGTCAGGAGTTCGAAACCAGCCTGGCCAACATGGTGAAACCCCGACTCTACTAAAAATACCAAAATTAGCCAGGCATGGTATTGGGCGCCTGTAATCCCAGATACTTGGGAGGCTGAGGCAGGAGAATCACTTGAACCTGGGAGGTGGAGGTTGCAGTGAGCTGAGATTGCACCACTGCATTCCAGCCTGGGCAACAGAGCAAGACTCCATCTCAAAAAAAAAAAAAAGAAAAGAAAAGAAAGAAAGAAAAGAAAAGAAATAGCTCCTAAACCAGATGAACAAACATCAGAATAATCTGGAGACATACAGGTACAGTGAGAAAATATGCAGAGTCATACAGGATCTTGCCATATCAAATGACTCAATTTCTGATGGAGAGGTCAGGCAATATGTAGCATTTTCAAATTCTCTATACGGAAATAGGATGTTTAAAAACCATGTTCTTAAAGAAAATGGAATATGTGCCACTAATCATTTCTTTCTTTGCTGTTTACATGTATCTTCTGCATTAAGTAATAATTTTCTCCAAGCACCTGCAGATTATAACAAAGATAGTTTGGAGGTGATAGCTTAAGAATTTAAAAATCTTAAATTCTGTTATCTGGATTTTGAAGGAATATCGGGTGCGTGGCTGGGCTGACTGAGTTATTTTCCTGAAGCAAGGAGAAAGTTCAGCCTATCTTTATTTTGATATAGCATTCAGAAGGTCTATAAAATAGTATCTAAGGACTGAAAATGGGCACAGAAGGGGAGGAAGAATGGCTCTTTGGAATAGATGCTCCAATCTACCTTGAGAAGACGGAGGAAAACATTATCCTGCTGTGAGTTATTTTAAAACATATTGGTCTTGGCCGGGTACGGTGGCTCGCGCCTGTAATCCCAGCACTTTGGGAGGCTGAGGCAGGTGGATCACGAGGTCAGGAGTTTGAGACCAGTCTAACCAACATGGTGAAACTCTGTCTATACTAAAAATACAAAAATTAGCCAGGCATGGTGGTGTGTGCCTGTAATCCCAGTCACTCAGAAGCCTGAGGCAGGAGAATCACTTGAACCCAGGAGGCAGAAGTTGCAGTAAGCTGAGATCCCATCATTACACTCCAGCCTGGGTGACAGAGCCAGACTCCATTTCAAAAAAAAAAATATATTGGTCTCTGTGTTATCTTTAACAAACTTTTTGTTGTATGTATGTATGTCATATATTTTTTTAAAATTTAATCATAGGACTTAAAAAAAAGACCACTGGAGATGAGCACTGCTTTTTGCATCTGTAAAGGCCAGGGATGGGGTCTTATTTATTTTTGAATACTAAACACTTAATAAAAGTACCTAGAATATAGTAGGCACAATGAAAGATTACTTAGTGAATGAATTTAGGAAGGACAAAATTCCACATGGAGGACAAGATGCATTTTTAGAATGTCAAAATTCTGGAAGAGTTTTAGGGGGCTGAGTCATGGATATTTCTTTGTCCAAAAGAGCAGGTTTCCAAACAAGTTCCACACATATGTTGCATTGTCCTTGGGAGGAACATAAATGTAACATCAGACTATACAGACATGGCTAAATAGCCTGCATGGTCCCTCTTGCTGACTGACATTCCTGGAAATCCCACGCAAAGCATCTCTATTTCTTCCTCTCCATATCTTTAAGATAAAAACCTACTCAAGATTTACTGTGAAGAATTTTGCAGAACACTTGATTGAATAATAGAGTTCTTAGTTACTTTCATTTGATTTTCGAAAATGGGTAGTTAAAGCTCTCTTCCTTTCAGGCTGGAACAGTAGCTCACTCCCATTTGGGTCTTGAATCATAGGGAAGAAATTGACCCATTTTCAGAATTTCAGTGTCTTAGTTATTTATGGCTGCCTATAAACCCATTCTTCTTCACCTCCTTGGACAGCAATCGCAAGGCTCAGGTGCCAAACTGGGAAATGTAATGTATTTTTCCAGGAGCAGCTGGCTTCTTGGGAGCACTCTGGCAATGATATGGTCCCCTTTGAAACTGCCTACTTCACTGACTTGTGTTTTTAAGATGCATGATAAACTGTTTGGGCTGCTGTGCTGTTGTACATGCTATTTTCCTTTGACTCACCTCAAAATAATGAGGAACTGATATCCATTTAATCCACATGGAGAAAAAGCTACTGAGTACAACTGAAAAAACAGTCCATATATGGAATATCCACATATTTATATGCTGGAAGGGACATAGGGGCCACCTAGTCCAACATCCTACCCAGTGCAGGAATTTCCTCCATAATGACCCTGAGCAGGAATCAATCAACATCTGCTTAAAAGTTTCTGGAGACAGGGCAATTACTACTTCTTAAATCAAACCATGTTATCACTGGATTCCTCTAATTGTTTAAAAGTCCTTCCTAATACTAAGATGAAAGCTGCCTCCCCACAGTGTTTTGCACCAGTCCCAGACCTGTGTTTAGAGCAGCACAGAATAAATCTGATCCCTCTTCAACCTAAAAGTTTCCCAAATGTTTCTCATCCTGTATTCTTCATTTTCGAATGTCACCATCTCCAGTTATTTCAACTACTCCTATTGCCTAGTCAGAAAAGCTTGTCGGTGTACATTTTTAAATATGTCATCTACTTTCAGAATTTCATTGGGGTTTACTACTGCTTGTCATTGGAACATTATAATTCTATCAGTCTAGATTCTTAACACTTGAACTTTCTGTTAGCAGTCTACACATTGCTGGCTTCAGTTATTCAGGAACTATGCTAACCTCTTGTATGTCTTCTACTCTCTAGTAGTCTCTCAACACCCTCAAGACAGGTACCATTATAATTCTCAATTATATTTGAGAAAAGTGATGGTCAGAGAGATTCAGAAATCTGCTCACAGCTAGTTCTTTCTGACTATAAGACCCTTAATTAATAAACTATATTGTCTCTCTTAAAATAAATGACAACTAAAACTGAGTTATTTTTAAAATAAGTTGCTGTCAGACCAGAATCTGTTCTTCCTTTTTATTGCTTCCTGTGTGGTTCCTTAGTGGCAATCATATAATAGGAAACTTCATCATGATAATTCACTTCCACATACAATTAATGAATTTAATTCTTACAGCAAATCTATAGGATTTAGTCTCGTTTAACTGTATTTTCTATGTTGAAACTTGAAGCTCAGAGCTTTCCAAAGTCACACAGCCAGTAATGGGATCATCACTAAGCCTGTTTCTATTGACCATTTTGTCTTTTGATTATTAATTACTGTTTGCTGCTTCTTTGCACATATATAGTACTTTTAATTGATTGTTGGATATTGTAGGTGGGACATTATGGATGTTCTGTATTATGTCATCTTCCTATAATTATTGTCAAGTTTTTTTTCTGGCTGGCAGTTAGATTGCCAGTGAGTCAACTTGACCTGTCATGTCTTGGTTTTAGACTTTACTAAAGATGAGAGGCTAGGTGTGGTGGCTCACAACTGTAATCCCAGCAATTTGAGAGGCCAAGGTGGGTGGATCACCTGAGATCAGGAGTTCAAGACCAGCCTGGCCAACATGGTGAAACCCCGTCTCTACTAAAAATACAAAAATTAGCCTGGCATGGTGGGAGGCACCTGTAATCCCAGCTACTCAGGAAGCTGAGGTGGGAGAATTGCTTGAACCTGAGAGGTGCAGGTTGCAGCGTGCCAAGATTGCACCACTGCACTCCAGCCTGGACAACAGACCAAGACTCCATCCATCTCAAAAAGAAAAAAAAAAAAAGATGAGAAATTTTGGCTTTAAATTTACATATAGAAAACTGTACTTTCTCATAAACATGGCTCTTCTGGGACCTCAAGTATATTCCCAGGGAGTTCACCAAGGTGTCTCTACTATAACTATGGCTGAACTCTGTATCTTCCCAGATGGTCCAACCGTGAAATCTCTTCCCAGTTTTCTGGCACACAGCAAATATACTCCCTGCTAGGTGTTGCTGAGTGTTGCCCTGAACATGCATATGTTTTGAGTTGTATATGATGTTAGCTATAGGATTTTTGTGGATATTCTTTATTGAGTTGAGAAAGTTCCTCTCTATTACTAGTTTACCTAGAGTTTTTATTGTGAATTGGTGTTAGATTTCATCAAGTGTGTTTTATGCAGCTACTGATATGATTATGTGATTTTTTTCCTTCTTGAGCCTGTTGATGTGATGGGGTACATTAGTGGATTTTAAATTGTTGAACCAGCTTTGCATATCTGAAATACATCCCACTTGGTCATGATTTATACTTATTTCTATATATTGTGAAATTTGATTTGCCAATATTTTATTGAAGATTTTTACATCTATGTTCAAAAGCTAACTTTTTAAAACTTTTATTTTAGGTTTGGGGTACATGTGCAGGTTTGTAATATAGGTAAACTCATGTCATAAGGGTTTATTATACAGATTATTTCATCACTTTTATTCCATGTCACAGATTATTCCATGTCTTTGTATTGTGAATACTGCTGCAATGAAGATACACATGCATGAGTTTTATAGTAGAATGATTTATATTCCTTTGGATATGTACCCAGTAATGAAATTATTGGGTCGAATGATAGTTCTGTTTTTAACTCTTTGAGGAATCAGCACACTGCCAGAAGCTCACTTTTTATACTCATCTAGAAATCAGTACATCCAGTCTTGGAGCATAATTGTGGAGGGTTTCAGAATGACAGAAGTATGACAAGCAGTGTGTGTCATCTATTTATATTTATTTGAGTGGGATTATTGAGGGCTATTGGGGAGGGAAAGAAATGAGTTCATGAACAACAGCCATGCCCTATTTGAAGAATTTAAGGAGATAAACCCATATATTGTCTGGAAATCAGTCAAAATTTCAAAACATTAGAAATATAATACATAAGAGAATTCAATACAAAGGTACAAGGATAATATATTGATGTAATCCAGCCAATTAAGTGATTATTCACATAAATAACTAAAGAATGATAAAAAGCTGTTAATGAGTATTACATTTAGACATAAAAATTTTAAACTGGTAGAATTATTATCATAAAAGAGAATGTAAACATACAAAACTTGAAAATATAAAATTAAAGGGCCCAGCCTCTTAGAGTTGTTTCTATTTATTAGAAATAACAATTCCATTTTGAAAAACGAGTAACTCTTGTCCTAAAAAAATCATTATGTGAAATTATCAAATCCTTCAGCTTTATTTGTATTCTTTCCTTCTAATAAATTCCAGAAAACTAAATTTAATGCTCACTGATAAAAATAGCAAGGATATTTTGCCGGACACACTATCTTCCTTCTTCCTCACTGCCTACCCATGATCCTGTTCACCTTCTTTAAGAGGGCACCTGTTCCTGAGGGTGCTAGGCTCATCTTCTGCTTTAAGGAATTCCTTGTTTGATATAAGGCAATCTATGGTCGTCTTATCATCTTTGTGAAGTGCCAAGAAGACCCGATTTGGGAAAAGTCTGCTGGGGAAAAGTTTTTATCCCATTCAAAATAAACAAAAGATGGGAAATTCAATTTTCTGTTTGTAGTACTTAGAGCCCCATACTATCTCAGCTGTGACACATTCAAACACCATGACTTTGAGTAAACTGTGGTTGTTTTAACTTCTCTGTACTTTAATTCTTCATGTAACTGGTGATAATACCAAAAACCTATCTCATGAGGTTGTAATAAATATTAAACATGTAAAACGCTTAGAAAAGTACCTGGCAGATACCAAACCCAATGTGTTTAATACTATTACTATTACAATTATTATGAGCATTCTAGGAAACTACCTGAATTAATGATCAGCTGTTACTATATCTTCCTCTCAGGCATTTTAAATTTATCTCTGTGCCTTCCATTTTATTTATTTATTAATCTTTGCTAAAAGTGCTGAAAATAAAATTCAGTTTTAATGGCTCTGCCTTTTCTCTGTCATATATGAGGCTGACACCAGCTTCTAGGCAATGCTTTTAAAATCTTATTATTCTCCTTTGGAACTTTTTGGTCCTTACTGGATTTTCCTCTGACTCTATTTCACCTCCACCCTCTCAAATTTATCTTTTTTAAAAATATGAGGTCAGTCTGTGCTTGGATTATCTTCTAAAAAGTTTTTCAGAATTTATCTAGTAGCTATGATGACTAATCCTTCTGTCCCTAATTCGTTCTCATTGGAATTGTGATTTTTAAAATCAGAATTATATCTCTTTTTTTTTTAAGAATCTCTCTGCCATGGGATCATACCTATTTTTTCTCTATGAACATTTTGAAATCTGCTTTCCCAAAGCCAAGGTCACATCCAAATCTGCCCAGCAAAAATAATTATAATGATTATAGGAAAAGCAGATGTTTGAGAAAATAGAAACCATTTTAGAGACCTGTCAGTATGTCCAATAGGAGGGTAGGAGGGTAAGAGAGGGACATGCCCGTCAGTTTAACACTGTCTGCAGGTGGAAGTTGAAGATGAATGAGTATTGAATCACTGACTTGTCTGGCTTGTAAAAAAGCATCTTGAATGGGTGACAAGCTCTAGCTATTCTCTGTATTACAAGCTCCTTTAGCAACCAAGGTCGGTGGGGGAGGGGGCATTGCAATATGAATGGCAGAGAGTCTCTCTATTCAGAAATATTCCACAAAGAATATTCCCCATTTATCGAATCCTTACTATATGCCAGGCATTGTAATGAGAACTTGACATCAATAACTCATTTGAACCATTTTACAAGTGACACAGGATCTGAAAAATATTTTCAGGGGCACACAGCTAGTAAGTCAGGAGCTGTTGGATTTGAACTTCTGACTGCTTAAATCTAACATCTGTGCTCTCTGCATGTGTCATGTGTTTTATAAAATACTCATTTTAGGTGCACTTTCAAAATAAAGTCTTTTCTGGGAGTGGCAGAAGTGCCAAAGGTTTTGCACATCTTAGGTTCTTGACATTTTAGTTTATATTTCTGACACCAAGTTTGAATTTTCCAGCATTCCCTGATACAATGGTGAGCTCTTTGTATACAATGTTTCCGAAACACTAAATTCATACACGCAAAAAGGGGTCTCTCCAATCCACCACTAGCCACTAAAAAGAAAAAATACAGAACATTTCTGTTCAGAATGACTTTGGAATCACGATTTTTCCTAAACATCTGAAGAGTAAACTGATTTTTTGGGGAACATCCCATTTAATTTTTTTCCCCTGACTTCAAGGGTAATCAACAAACCATCACAAAGAAGTAATCAGCATGTTTTCATCTCCTAAGGCATATACAGCAGGTACAAAGGACAAGACAAAACACCAAGGAAGAGAATACTATATAAACACATCAAACACCTTGGAAAAATTACAATAATTAAAGTTATATTAAATGTTAGTGCATTTTGATTGTGGGGTATATGTTAGTGTATCCTCAAGTACAAGTATATACGATCTTTTTAAATTAGTGTACGAAAAGGAAAAAAAAAACCAACATTAACATGCTTTTACAAACAAACACCTGTATTCATTTTCCACCTTGAACATTCATGGCCAGAAAAGCAAATCTCACCAGAACTACCGTTTTTTGTTTGCTCTTTGTGCCTATTGTGAAGAGAAAGTAACAAAGTTGTTTGCTCCAGGATTATGGGAACTGATTGGCGTTTTTATATGAAAAATGAAGACTGTTTTCCTTGTTTCTAGGCTGATTATATTTACTAAACTGTAATGATACACACCAAAGTATTGTTGTGTATCAAACTGTAACTGGAGTGTGTGTGTGTGTGTGTGTGTGTGTAACAGGGAAAAAGAAATAGATGGGCAGAGAAAAATAATCATACATAGCTAATTTTAAAAGAGTGATACTGCTGGTTGGGCAGATGAAACAATCTTTCAATACCAATTGTCCTGAAATCTGGTTTTAACTGAATATAACTGAATGGTATTCTCTTGATAGATAACAAATATTTTCAAGCATTTTTAATCTAGCTTCCTCTGACTGCTATAGTAACTCACAAATAACTGATCAGTTCTTGCCTCTTACTTGGAATTGCCATGGAATTTATCATCTAAAATGGGACACTTTTGAGCACATGTATGAGGGTGCTATTTTTAACTAGATTAATACAATAAGCTTAAACTGCAACAAATCCAGAAAATCAAGCAGGCTGGCTCACTCTACTCATGTTAAACTTTTGTCTTGTTACAGCTTTTTTCTGCAACATAGAGGTAAAAGAAGCATTTTATATTCTTTCTTATGTTTGCCCACATACATGTGTTGTGTGTATAGGGCGTATCTTTTGATATGTTTATACTGGAACTGATGCTGTATGCCCAGAGCATATAAAAATAGATTAACAGACACATAAAAATACAATGCATAGGTAATTTTTTCCTAAGCCTTAATTTAGCTAGTGGGCTGGAAAATGTCAACATGCAAGGGGTTAAAGAACAGCTGATGCCTCATGGAAACTTTGTAAAACATTCTATTTATAAACAATTCTATTTGGATATCACATTTTCTATAATGCCATTGGCTTGTTTTATTTTTATACCTTAGAAAGTTTCCATGAAAGAGTATGGGCTCAAGGTTATCTTTCTTATGCTTATTTTGGCTTATTTGATTCTGAATGCATCAGGCTTTTCTAATTTGTTTAACTGCTCTAAAATAAAATGTGTTTTCATATGAATTCTACACAATAAACTCACAATGAATAATATCTACAAAAATATTGAAACTACACACTTTTGTTTTTGTTTTAACTAAGGTGTATCACATCTACAACATGTAAAATCTTAGAAATCTTATGTTACATAAGCACAAACAATGGCTTCTAATCAAGCTTCAAATAATAAGACCTAGTGCTTGATAATTAGGGTAGCTATAGTTTCCAGTAATCGATTATATGTTTCAAAATAGCTAGAAGAGAATACTTCAAATGTTTCTAGCATAAAGAAAAGCCAATTTAAGGTTATATCACAATTCCACTGATTTTATCTTTACAAATCATGTCAATGTAATAAATTATCACGACTTCAAAAATATGTACATTATGTATTACAAAAATAATCTAAATAAATTATACTTCTCAGACTTTGTGAAGAATTCTGTACCATAAAAGCAGATCAATATGAAATGTAAACCACTGATTACAGAAAGAATGCTAGCAACTCAGAAAACTGCTAGGACCCTGATTTTTAAAATAGATTTGAAAAATAGTGTGATTGCTTAGAAATGTATGTTATCAGCACCACTTCAAAGGACCTTTTGAAGTTTGACAACCTGTGACTGGAAGAACTTCCCTATATGAGTATAATAATCCAATTTCTGAATGGGTCTCACTGTATATAAGGAAGGCTGCATTTTGTTGTTTTAGGGAACTGTGGGGTAGAATCACCCAACTTTTGCTCAGTGAGACCCTCTTAATTTTTTCCTTAATTCAGACAACCAGAAGAGCCTAACTTTAAGTTTGGATCTATGGTTTTATTTTCCATTATGACTTATATTAAAGTTTCTTTATAATCTTGGCCCCAATTTCTCTTGTCTTATTTCTTTCACTTCTCTTTATTCACCAAACATGATGGGTAAAAATAAACTTCCCCTAATTCGCAAACAGACACCCTTTTATCTCTATGCTTTTGCTTAAGCATTCTTTCTGCTGGAAAATATGTATGTCTTTATCTCCTACTTTTATCTTTATGTCAGGATGTCTGGAATTAGTTAGGTGTCCCTCCCTCACAAAGCCATTTGTGATCACAGCACTTGTGTTTTCTCTAGGTTCATCCTGAACATAGATGAGTTGCTAAGACAGTGAGCGGAAATTAAAAGGGGTGAAGATATTATGGAAATAGCATAGATTATTCTATTGAAAGCAATAAAGAGCAAAATCAACTTTCTAAAACTGCAAATAAGTCCACAGAAGGGCAGTTTCAACGAATTCTACTTGAAGCTAGAGAAAATGACAGATAAGACTGGTACACATGGAGAAATGAAGATAGATTCCATGTACAAGAGATTCTCCTTCCTACACGAAAGGGTGCAAAGACTGGAGCAGTATCAAATATAAGATATAAAAGTTCCCTCAATTGAAAAATCTGAAGTAATACAAAGAACTCTCTATGTTGAAAGAGAAAATAATCTTGCTTTTCTCTGGCTCTCTTTCCTTCTCTCTCTCTCTCTCATACACACACACACACATACGCACATATACATACATACAGACTATATACCAAATTAAGAAAAAAAGATTTATATCCTAGTAATAGACCTTGGGAATTTCTTTTATCTTTTTACCTATCTGGACTGGATAACTTTTTATCCTTCTCTACTAATTTTATTAATATTGAAAATTCATAGTGAAAAATTCAAAGTCTATTTCAGATCTTTTAGGAAATCCATCAGTCAGCATTTACTATAAAAATAAGTCACCCAAAGTCAGATTTTTTCCATTTTTGATACTCTTTGTCAAAACCTCTAAAATCCAAATAAATATGAGGACTTTGTTTTTTGTTAGTGTGTGGTTGCATGTTTGAAAAGCAAGTCCTCTGATCTAAATCCAGGCCCATTTCTTGGGGAGTTGCAGTTGTTAATACCTTTTCTAAAGTTCCTTTGATACGGCTTAATTTTTATTCTTTAACATATTCATGTTCGAGTATAGATTCCGCATAAGGCTACTTTTCTTCCCACTGATGTCTTTATTTTGTATGATTATGGAGTTTTTCCTTGAGAGGACCCGTATTGTTTGGCACATTGTTCTTTTTGTTTTAAGATTTCCTTTTGCTGAGATCCCAAGGGCTTAATTTAGAGTTTGCAGAAATTGAATGAAAATGATTTGCCACATATATAAAAGAAAATGCATGAAAAATAAATGCTACTTCCTGTCATAAATATTGTTGGTGCCTTCATATACCCTCAGAATTCACCTTAGTTTGTTTACTATAAATACCTGTGAACTGTTGCCTGAGGGTTTATTTCTGGGCCAGGATAAGCAGTCTGCCTGTACACAAAGTAATGAGTTCCCAGAAGCAGCCCTTAACCAGTAATGTACAGGGAGTTGGCTTATTTTATCCCAGATTCCCTGCCCTAACTTGGAATAACTTTAAGGTACATCTTGTATGTTTTATAAGCATTCCCCAGAAGGAATGATCTGCATGCATCCACAGTGGTAACAGGCTTGATAACACATCATTTACTGGCTTTTGGTTTTCTTCCCTTCCCTGTGTCTACTCTCTCATCAGTGTTTCCTGGGAATACCTATCAAATAAAAGTACTCGCACTATAATTTTTGCCTCAGGGTTAGATTCTTGAGAAACCCAAGCTGAGCAGCTCGCATTAGAAGTGGTCTTGGGAAGTAGCCCTTCAAGATGAAATTCTGGAACTGGACCAGGCACTACAGCATAGAGATGTGAATGGCACAGAGCTATACTGCTTGGTTTCTAGGGCAAATTCCAATAAGAGTGACTAAGAAAACTCATTGGCACACTGGTAAACTAGCTCTGTGGGGACAAAAAGATCCTATTTGTAATGTTTGCCAATGTCCATGTTTTACATACTCCTGTCATGGCCAGCTTCAAGCTATCAATGTGATGCCACTGAAAGTGAAGCTGGGAAGAGTTGCACATCTCAGCTTTCATGGGCCAGCAGGGCTCATGAAAAGCAAGGCTCATTTCAGGAGCAAGGTCACACCATCTTCAGCAGAGAAGTACTCACTGTCTAGGAAGCAGTCAAAAACTTGAACTGGCCCTTGTTAGAAACTGAGCACCTAACCATGACATAAAAGGACTTAAAAAACAACTGCCCATCACGCACTGGTCATAAGATTGTTCAGACATTAGTCTAATCCAGAATGCACAAAAGAAATTATATCAACCAGTTTCCCAGATCTCCATGTCACCTAAAAAGTTTGCACTAGTACCTCTCCCTCAACCTCTATGGCCTTGTTGATGGAGGACATAAACTCAGGTCTGACCTGTTACGTTGGCAAAAGCCAGAAATGCACTGAGGATATCCCATCTTGTGGTATCTGTGAAAGACAGTGGTAAAGTGAAGTTCCATAAAGAAACATATCTTTGAGATGCACACCTGGTCATGAATTTGGTATGGAGAAAGAAGCAGACTTAGGTAAGGACATAAATGGTCTTCTGGGCACTGATGAATGGCTTAGCTGGTTGAGCAGGCACCTGGAAGGCACAGTGTTGGATGATTAGCTACAAAAATGCCTATATAAAGGCATGTGGCTAGACCTGTCAGATTGGACAGAGTGTGTGAATCTTTGAGCATTAAGCCACAAAGAGTTCACTGCAACCAGGAGTTACAGTGATTCATAAAGGGAGGGCACCAAACCTCTGACCTTGACTACCCCAATACTTGCACTAGTCACTCAAGAGCGGAGCAATAGGGATGGAGGCAATGCATGGGCCCAAAATCATGGTTTTCTTTTCATCAAGGCTGATGTTTTCATAGCCACACAAATCATCTGACCTGTCAGCAACTAAAATGTGCTGTTATCCCTTGAGAAGACCTAACAGTCACTAAGATTGAGTCATATTCTAAGGGTAGATTAGCCTTTGGTGCGTGTAATTCCTAAGCCAGCACCATTATCTGGGGAATCACAGAGTGTCTGATTTATTGTTGTAATATCCTTCATTTCATCATTTCTGATCACAGTCTCACTTTATAGAAAGGAGATGTGATAGTGAGTATAAAATCATGTCACTCATTTGCCAACTACATACCATGTAGCCTAGAAGTTGCCAGTCAGATGGAAAGGACCACATTATGACTATCTTGGACCCAAAATACTTACCTCCAATAGAAAAAATATATAGACTCACAGACACATGTATGTGTATATATTTTATTATTTTGTTAGTATAAATATGAATATAGTCAAGACTAGATTCAAGATTATATATTCATTATTATATTGTTTCTTCTGATTTTAAAAGATATTAAAATTAAAGCATTTCATGGAGCCCTAAATACTGTAGGCCCTAGGTACTGTACTTATTGTGCCTTATAGATAAGCTGACTCTGCCGTTAAGAATATTGGAATGGCTCTGAAAAGTATAGCTAAGGTGCCACGTCAGGGAAGACACTCTGCAGGGCTGCAATTTTTACATTTAAGAAACAGTTTACTCTTTTAACAAATGGCCAGTATAAGGGGCTGTGTCCCTGAAGACTGAAACACACGAATCTGGGAACCAAGGATGCAAATAGGAGTAACATCTTCTGCCAATGACACACACTATAGTTTACCTGTGATTTTGGAGTGAGAAGCATGTTACAGTAGAGAATTTTAAAATATGTGAGGGTTGGAATGGCCTTTAAGGGTATGGGAGAAATAGGTGAACAAGTCACACAGTTACTTAGTGATGCTGGGTCCATCTGAGATTAGATAACCTTTCATCACAGCACACATTTGCTTCCTTGAGTAAAATTTCCTTGAAACGCACTCACAAGGTCTGGAGTGAGAGCGGAAAATTCAAATGTCCGAAGGACTCACTGATGAGATTTTGAAAGTCAATAAAACCGGTTATTAGCCTGAACTAATCTGACATGATATATCATCAGTATTGGCTACATTGGGGAAGAAGTAAAATTAGGAGAGAGTTGATAAAAGAAAGAACTTAATGAGGTAAAGGATCTTGGTAAGGTAAATGGGGTCAGAGAGTGAGTTACGTGGATGCCTAGAAGGAAAGTGGAAGAATAACTGAAGTGAAAGTATAGATTGGAATACTGGAGATGAAGAATTCATAAGTGGGTAGTTTTATATTTTAACAATATTCAAAGTATGGTGATGAGAACGGGTAACGGACTTTGCCTGCATAACACCTTAGCTATTCAGGTGTTTGAATACCCTATTTACAATACTTAGAGATAAGGTTCATTTGTAAATATGAAATTAAAGGAAGTGTGTGCCTAAGGTGTTAATGGTTAGTTATATGAAGTGCCCTGGGATGTTAAAAAACATTTGGAAAATTTATTAAAATTCTGACAGTCTACCAACATCAAGATGGTTTAATTCATCATTTAAGAAATCATATATTGATCAAGAAACAATTGTTGATCCCTCGAAGAGATGTGAGTCAATCCTGAGACTGAAATGGAACAGCAAGGAAATTTGAAATACACAAAAGTCCACAAATGAACCAAAGTTCAATTTCTCAATGAGTAGTGTGAGAAGAAAAAATAACTGCCTTGCAGGATTGTTACACAAACCAATAATATAAAAGCTTCTGAGAGAGCTCATAGAAGACATCTAACATTTTAATTTATGTATTCATTCAATAAATGTCTTCTCATACTTCCTATGCCCAGCAATATAATAGGTACTTGTGACATGCAAAAAGGACTCCATTCTTAAATAACTTGAAGTCTATCTAGGGGTTGAAGTGGACAGTTTTCATATTAATTATTCGTGACCCAGCATGGAGCACCTCTTTCTCAGGGAAGCCTCATCAACTGAATACGTTGAGTCCCTGGGTGCATGCTTCTATAGCAACCTGTACTCCTGCTTTTATCACATTTTAAAATAATTACTTGTTAATGTCAATGTTTCTCATAACCCTTGTTCTGTCTATTAGGATATGCATTCTGAAGCTGGGCTACACTGGTGATCATAGGCAAGTTACTTAAACTCTCTGGGACTCAGCTGCCTCATTTATACTATGGTGATAGCAAGAGTATCTACCACTTCATAGAGTTGTTGCTCAGGTCAATTAATTCATAGATGTGTATTGTTCATAAGAAATAAAAGAAATAATATATTGACCATGTAATAATTGTTGATCCCTCTTAGGAAACTCTTTACTAAGTCAAGTTCAATGGACAAAGCATTGTATTCAGAGCCAGAAAATTCATATTCTAGACCTCATTGCTCCAACTCAGTTGTAGGTATCAGAAAATCAAGTTTACTTGCTTGATAAAATATTGGGGCTTTAGTCTAATCTGAAACTCTGAAAAAGTGCCTTTACATCCCGATAGCTAACTCAAATAGCTCGTTTAAGTGGAAATACTTTAACGAAAAGGATCATTATTTCATGCATCTTTATAATGTCCTCTGTCCTAAGCACTGTCTGGCCCATGATGGGTGCTCATAAATGTTTGTTAAATCGAACAGAATATCATCAGATCAAGCTTCACAGAAGGTCATGGGCTTAGACCCAGGTGCAGACAGTGTAATATAAACCTCATGGGAAACTGTCAAAGCACAGCTCTCATGCTATGATATAAGAATTCTTTGGCAAATGACTTTCTCCATGATCTCTCATGGCTTATTTGTAGAAAGGGAAAAACCAGGTGTCCTGACTACTGTTCCACTGACTCCAAAAGGAGTACATCAAATACATTTTTCAGACAATAACTTGGAACATAATGATGGCCAAAAACAACTTCTGTGATAATAACTTGATTCTATGATAGCAAATATTAAGGTAATACATACAGACAAGTCAAACTGACAAATTTCTACCCTCTCTCTAATAATAAATCAAAATGGCTAACAGGAGAAAAGCAATCATGAGTTAATGACTTTATGTCATGGGTCTCAAAAAGGTTGATCATTATACAACCTTCTCTACCTAAAAGAATATTGAGTAACGACATCTTCAACAGTTGCATTGCAGATACGTACCATAATTCATTTAATCAAATCCTCTATATCAATAAACACTTAGGTTACTCTTAATTTTTTAAATGTAAACATCCTTAATACATAAATAGCTTTTAAAAATTAACAGTAAAAACAAAAATATTAATACTGAAGAATGACCATCATAAATAATTGCATGCATATATTTGAGCATTGGTTCTATTATGTCTTTAGGCAATAGTCTAGAGATATGAATGTGAGTTGAGGAATATTCAGTTTGCATTTTTGTTATTTTTATTTTAATTTTGATAGTTTTGGGGGAACAGGTGGGTTTTGGTTACATGGATAAGTTCTTTAGTGGCGATTCCTGAAATACTGGTGCACCCATTACCCGAGTGGTATACACTGTACCAATTGTAGTCTTTTATCCCTCACACCCTCCCACCCCTTCCCCGTGAGTCCCCAAAGTTCTTTCTTGTGCGTTTGCAACTTCATAGCTTAGCTCCCATTTATAAGTAAGAACATAGGATATTTGGTTTTCCATTCCTGAATTACTTCACTCTGAATAATAGCCTCCAAATCCATCCAAATTGCTTCAAAGCCATTATTTCATTCTCTCTTTTTTTTTTTTTTTTTTTTTTTTGAGACGGAGTCTCGCTCTGTCACCCAGGCTGGAGTGCAGTGGCACGATCTCGACTCACTGCAACCTCTGCCTCCCGGGTTCAAGCAATTCTCCTGCCTCAGCCTTCTAAGTAGCTGGGATTACAGGCACCCGCCACCACGCCCAGCTAATTTTTGTATTTTTAGTAGAGACGGGGTTTCACCATGTTGGTCAAGCTGGTCTCAAACCCCTGACCTCATGATCCACCCGCCTTGGCCTCCCAAAGTGCTAGGATTACAGGCGTGAGCCACCGCGCCCGGCCCTTTTCGCTGAGTAATATTCCATGGACTATATATATCACATTTGGCTGGTTCCATATTTTTGCAATTGGGAAATGTGCTGCTAACTTGTCTCAAGAAATTTCTCCTGGAAGAGACTGTATCTCCATTCTCCTACCAACACTTTTATTATTTACCTTTTTATTGTGTCAATCTAATAGACTAATTAATCATCTTAGTTGGTTTAACTTGCTTTTATTTAGTCACCACCAAGGGTGACTATCTTTTCATTAGGTTCTTGTTTAGGTCTCAGCTTAAGTATCAGCTCCTCAGAGATGCCTTCTCTGAGTCTTTATCTAAAAAGCAGCCTCCTTGGTGTCATAGTGTCGTTTTCCTTTTCATTTTAAAAAATTATATGCTCATGTTTATTTTTCTCGAGCATTTTTTATGATTGATAAGTATTTTAATAAGATTTAATCACCACATCATATTACCTTTAATAATGATAGGCTCACATTGTTGAGAGCTATATGTTTTTCCTGTTACCATTTCATTTAATCCACTTAGCAACTCTGTGGGATAGGTACTATTATTATCTACATTCTACAGATGAGGAAACTGAAAGGTTACCTGACTGGCCAAAAATATCACAGCACTAGAATACAGTGCAGATGTCTGTGGCCTAGAGAAGTTAAGTTGCTTAAAAGGACACACAGCTAGTAAACTGAAGATACAACTCAAACTCCAGTCTGGGTTCTTCAGCTGCAATTTAGCCCACTCACTGACTAATCATTATAATTTATCTGCAGATATCTCTTTTCTAGATGTTTTCATTAGGATTCAGAATCAGGTTCTTAGAGCCACTTCCAAAAATTCCCTTTCACTTCAAACCACAAGGCTATCCTCAATTAGGAACTAATAATAGACTAGCAAAAAGGGTAAGAATATTTTACTTAGCCCATTATTCTCAGAGAAAGAATGGTAAAGGGGACTCAGTTTATTCTATGAAGCATTCCTTATGGAAAATTATGTACATGTGACATTCAACAACATAAGGGAATTTTCAAATGTAAATATTCAATCGATCATACATATGGCTTTCTCCTATTTTTTGGTTTCTCTTTCACTGACTGCTTCAATTCATTCTAAGTAAGCCTGGGAAAATATTTTTTTTTAATTCCTATTAATCATAGTGTTAACCCTAGGGGTTAAGACAGAGTATTTTGAAATGATATTTTTCCTAACCAGGGGGAAGGCCACAGGAGCCAGAATGGCTTGGGTTTCCAAACACAAAAAGCATAAATAAAATCAAACATTATCACACTATCAAACATTCATAAATCCTTTCACAATCCTGCTGCCATATTTCCTTTACTCTTTCATTTTTTTCCTGTTTCCTCTTTAAAACATTGCCAATAACTTAACTCCATTACTTTGATTTTTTCCATACCAAAAAAATTCCATGTGTACGGTTTTCCAGCATTTATGATTTTGACAAGTTTATTTCTTTGTCATCTTTTCTCCCTCATGGCACCTGTAAGAACCCTTTACCTTTAAATCTTACCATCATTTCTCAATGGTAGCTTCTTTTACTACCTCAGGCTCCCATGCAAAACCAGGTGGAAAAAGAAAACCCTCTAGAGTTTTCTTGATCATATCACTTTTAAAAGTCTTATTTGGATATTCACTTAAAAGAAAGTGTTAATATGATGATCTAGAAGTTTGCAAATCTCACTTAGGCTATTTAATATTTAGTGTTTAAAAATCTTCATCTCTAGGGGAGGTCTAAAAGTACATGATGCAAGGAAAAGAGAGTCTTACTCTTTGCCTTCCCATATATTGACACTGTCAATCCCTTAGGGCCACAAAGAAAGAACAGTATCCTCTAAACTACCCCTTCTTTATTCTACCACCTCATTGCTCATTAAAGTCACTTTTAAAACTATCTGAAAATAGCTCATTAAAGTCACTTTTAAAACTATCAGAAAATAGCTAAATGTTCCACTCAAAAGATTATGTAATTATATACTTCACAACATAGGCTTTCCAGGTGAGTGGATAAAGAAGCTTTGCATAGTAAATCCCATAAGCAGACCAGCAAAATCATCTAAAACAAAATTAGATGATAATTCCTCCAGCCCTGTTAGTGGAATTGCTTTAGTTTTAATACAGCACAATGTGTTCCGAATTCTAAAACATAATTCAAAATAAACAAAATATTATCAATAAGTAATTTTCCCTGAATCAGTTCTCTGGATCCAGACATGTCATTTGGTCTAATTTATGCTTTAACCTACCCACCACAGGATGAAGAGTGTTTCCAGCAAGCACATTTGTTTTTAGACTTTAAATTCAAAAAATGCAGCCATCCAGGAGTTTAAATGAATTCCCCGAAATGGACAGAGTCCAAACTGTGATGATTATAGAAGTAAAGCTCAAATAATCATCTTATAACCTTTATATCCAGTTTGGCTCAATTCTACTGAGAACTGTGAGAGACGGTTCTGGTGATAAGTAGATTAGATGATAAGCATCTGTTTGCCTGTCTTCTCTGACTTAGAAAAATACTGAGGAAAGACCATTTCTACGAATTTAATAATAATTGTGTTGCTTTTGGTTTCCTCCCTTTGCTTGTAACTCCAGAGAAAAACACCTCATTATCCTTAACCCTTCCAAATTCCTGTGGATGCTTCACAACCACTGGCTTCTATTTAATTTCTTTTGGATCTTTCAAAGTGTTAAGTATTTGGCTCCTCTATATATGAATATCTAATTATCCTAAGCACTGCTGAACTTCTAAAGTAACTACTTTTCTTTCTTTGATTTGCAGTTCTCTATACTGACTTCTTCAGTTCAACATCAAATGCCCCTGAATCCTCTTAAAAGCCAATCTACAATTGGAACTCAATTTCTCCCTTCTCTGGTTTCGTATTGCCTGCATTGTAGGTCTTTTGAAAGATAATTCTTTAAACCTCCTTGCATGTTAAGCAATAGACAAGAGCACAAAGAAGCAATTGAATTTGAGAAAAATTAACTAAAATAGCAGGCAGTACAACATAGTGATTAAGAAAATGACATTGGCAGCCAGGCGCAGTGGCTCACACCTGTAATACCAGCACTTTGGGAGGCCGAGGCAGGCAGATCATCTGAGGTCAGGAGTTGGAGACCAGCTTGGCCAACATGGTGAGAACCCGTCTCTAATAAAAATACAAAAATTAGCTGGGCGTGGTGGCAGGTGCCTGTAATCCCACCTACTCAGGAGGCTGAGCCAGGAGAATCGCTTGAACCTGGGAGGCAGAGGTTGCAGTAAGCTGAGATCGTGCCACTGCACTTAAGCCTGGGCAACAAAGTGAGACTCTGTCTCAAAAAAAAAAAGGAGAGAAAATGACATTGGCATTCACACTGTGTGGGTTCAGGTGTGGCTTTGCTACTTCCAGGCTATGTGATCTCGAGCACATTATTTTCTCTAGACTTTAGTTTCCTCATACCTAAAACAAAGATAATTATAGTAACTATCTTACAGATTAATGGTGAGACAAAGAAAATCCACGTCAATAACCCAGCAAATTTTCTGGCACATAACACACCTTTATCGTTTTTATTAATAATGGCAATATAGAACCAGAAATTCCATTTGACCCAGCAATCCCATTACTGGGTATATACCCAAAGGATTGTAAATCATTCTACTATAAAGACACATGCACATGTATGTTTACTGCAGCACTGTTTACAATAGCAAAGACTTTGAACCAACCCAAATGCCCATCAATGATAGACTGGATAAAGAAAGTGTGGCACATATACACTGTGGAATACTATGCAGCCATAAAAAAGAATGAGTTCATGTCCTTTGCAGGGACCTGTATGAAGCTGGAAACCACCATTCCCAGCAAACTAACCTGGGAACAGAAAACCAAACACCACATGTTCTCACTCATAAGTGGGAGTTGAACAATGAGGATACATGGGCACAAGGAGGGGAACATCACACACGGGGGCTTGTTGGGGGGTTGGGGGCAAGGGGAGGGAGAGCATTAGGACAAATACCTAATGAAGATGATGGGTAGATGGGTGCAGCAAACCACCATGGCACATGTATACCTATGTAACAAACCTGCATGTTCTGCACATGTATCCCAGAACTTAAAGTATAATAAAAAATTTTTAAAAATATTTCTCTCCTAGGTTTTTGCTGTCGTATTTCACATCCTAAATTTACCTTCTCGGTTATCAAATTTGGCCCAACCAAAGCCTAGTTCTACCATTGTTCTAAGGCTTCTACATTGATTCCCCTGTCATCTGCATAAAGGGCATTCCTACCAGATTATCAGCTGTCTTAGCTCCTACTTGACCAATGAAGCTGTGCCATTATGACAACTTATCCTTTGTTCCAAGCTTCCTAATTTATAAATCAGGCGTTCTTACAGAGAGCAAACTATTGAAAATAAAATTTTCCTGAAGGATCTTACTCAAAAGAATACCAATGAGTAAAGATTCTTGGTTACAATCCACAGAACCTGATTATGGTCAATTTAAGAAGAAAAGAAATGGACTACAGGGATACGGGTAGTTCACAGCTTAGAGAACCAGGTGCCAAAAATGACTAATAATCAACGTAGGCAAGAAATATGAGTATTGCATTGCCCAAGGTGGAAGAAGCATGGGCACAGTCACCCCGAGAACATTCTCGTTAGGTGACTTTTGATGATACCACACTTCTGGTACTGCCGCCATTAAATGTTCAAGCACACCACATCTAAATCCCTGGTGCTGCTACCTTTGCCACACACCTCACAATTCTCACAGCCACTATTACCATTGCCACCATGAATAATGTTTATCCCCATAAAATTAAAGTGCTCTGCCAAGACTCAATGGATGAACCTGGAAACCATCATCCTCAGCAAACTAACACAGGAACAGAAAACCAAACATCACATGTTCTCACTCATACGTGGGAGCTGAACAATGAGAACACATGGACACAGGGAGGGAAGCATCACACACAGGGTCCTGTCAGGGGGTGGGGGGCAATGGGAGAGAGAGCATTAGGACAAATATCTAACGCATGTGGGGCTTAAAACCTAGATGGTGGGTTGATAGGTGCAGCAAACCACCATGGCACATGTATACCTATGTAACAAACCTGCACGTTCTGCACATGTATCCCAGAACTTAAAGTAAAATTTTAAAAAAAAAGAAATTAATGAAAATATTAGGAAATGGTAAGTTTCTCTTTACCCGCATCATCCACTTGGAATCTGTTAAGTATTTCTATGTATCAATTACTTGTAAAGTATAAAGAAAATATATAGACTTGGCCCCTGTATTTGCCGTAATAGAAGTCTATTTGCAACCGAAAAGACAAATTAATACCTAATTCAAGACTACTTTGTTTTGTGTGTATCACATGCACTTTAAGCCACTAAAAGTCAGAGCAGGGAACACATAGAATGTATCTGAATATTAACTTGATTCACTAACAAGAAATTCATGACCTTACCTTTTCAAAAATCCTGGAATTTCAATAATTGTAACTGGATAAAGAACAAGTGGACATTTAGAATGTGTTATGTTTGCTAATTTTCAGTGATATTGTTGAACCACATTGAATCTCCAGCAGTCCATACAGTAACCGAATCCAATAGAGATCGGCATTCTTGTTATTTTAACGACAGGCAAAATAATCACTGCCGGGTTAATACTCAAGGGTCGGAAACGGCATGTCACTATTTGTTCCACTTGGAGTGGAACAGAAAGGAGAATACCCTGTTCTGAGGCCTGCAGTGCTTTATTAGGGACACAATTATGAATATAGAATGATAAATATTACCAACAGCTGTATGGTTATTTTAATTTATAGTCATGTAATCACTAAGAGTGCTATTCATGCTTTCCAATGCTTGCATACATATATTCTTGTTAATGCCAAAAGAAAAAAAATTATCCCTAACAATATATAGATATACTATGGCCTAAAAGAACATTTAACGGGAAATTGAACTAAAATGGCTTTCAATTAAATTAGATTTTTTGTACTAAGAATATTTTTGGTTGTGGAGAATTGAAATTGGCTCTATTAAAATAATACCAAATACCTAAACAACAGAAAAATATTTTTGGTTCTCTTGAATCATCTTGGAATCTGTTTCATATAGAGATATTTACATGCATAAGTATTTTTTTAAAACTATAAAGATGGTAGCAGTTTGAGCACTGATGGTATCAGGTGGGCACTGCTTTCTCAATACTTTACGAAGGTGCATGCTTTTATGACACTTTACCTCTGTCCACATCTTCTGGTGTAATGGGATCTTTTCTATGCCATTATTTATCAAAGAGTTCATTCTCCAAGTGTACTCCAGATATTTAATCCCTAAATTATGATTCCCACCTATTACCTGCCCATTTTTCAAAGGCACCAGAAACATTTTAGTATTAAACTGTCTCTATTTGTCAAGTAATAATATGGAAATAATATAATGATTGTCATCTTTGAGATAACAAAAAATAGGCCATTTTTCTTTGTTATACGGGGAACTTACAACGAACTCAGTGTTCATTCCCAAATAACACCAATGTCATATGTTAATTGAGGAGGCCTTTGAGTGGAAATATGAAGTCACAGCCTTGTTGCTTCCTGTTTGTAAATACATGGAGTGGAATCTAATTAGACTCCAGAGGAAATGTTGCCCAGGGAATTTATTTGTAATACATGAAGGTGCTTAGACAATTCAAGGCTGTGCTGAAAGAGGTTGGCATTGTCATGTTATGTGATATGCTTATTTTTATTTCTCTCTAAAGCTTACCAAATAAATGAAGCTCCCACAAAGAATATGGACAGCAGGATGATTTCAGTTACATGTCTCAGGTATAAACAAGATGAATTTTTCTAGCGTAAAGCACCTGCTTCATTGTGCTTAATAAACAAAACTAGAGTGCTATTAAAGTGCGTTCATTTTAATTGTGATTGAGTGAACATGATCTGCTGTGGTATTTGCCTTTGTATAAAAATTTCTCCTTGTAATGATACTTAATCATTTTGGCATACAACATTTCAGGGGACATTAAATTACCATGGTGGAAGATTGACAATGGCCCCTGAGTCATCCAAACAAGAATTGGAAAATATTTTTCAAGCTACCTTTTCATTCTGCTAATTAAATAGAATTATAATAATCTTCTGCTATAATATATAAAACCCACTAAAGGTGAGTGAGTTAAATTTCTCCTGTAATTATATGAACTTCAAAGACCAATACATCCCTGGTAATAAGTGGTTTTGTGACTCCAAGATACATGAGCCATGGTAAAGAAAAGAAATGAATAATGTTTTAATCCGTATGACATTATTAATTTTAAGATTAAAGAGTGGAATGTTATTTCAAAAGGTCATCATAATTCCATTGTACAGATGAGATCTGAAACTCTTGTCTGCTAACCACATATATAGAATACTGTTTATTTCATATATGACAAATGATATTATATAGCAGCACAGTAAAACACTCACATATAAAAAATCTACTTAGAACACATCATTTAAAGCTCAATATTTGTTTGCGTCTCCAGAGACTATATATAGAGTATTAAATTTTATAACTAATTCGTCTGATATATTCTGAGGTTTTCGAAGCCTTAATAGAAAAATTACAGTTAAATCCCATCTAGTTGGATCTTCCTAATTATGAAATTATAAAAATTTAGAAAAGATAAGCTAAAATTTACATTTGTGCTATATATGGAGGGGAAACTTTTCAATGGAAGTTAGGATAAAGATGGCAGGGAAATGTTTAACCTCTTTAACAAAGACTTCTTAATTTTTAAAGTTTGTGTTAATAACATTTTTTTCCTATCCATGCCAACAGCAAATGCAGTGTTAAAATCATTCTCACCTAAAAGCAGTTTTGGCATATAACACTATAAGCAATAACTGTATATGTTTAATAATATATAGTTAGAAATTACTTCATATTTTTGAAAATGACAGAAATATACAAATACACACAGAGTTTAAAACATACAAGTCAGCACTTTCAAGCACGATTTTTATTTCAAATCTTATGTTTAATTAGAAGTATATTTTTATTTTGTGGCTCAGTCTAATTTATCTATATCCAGGAGAATGAAAAAAGATTAGGAGAATGATCTCCAGACAAAAATCAGATTGCCTGAGTTTGAATCCTGACTCTGACACTAGCTAGCAATTTCACATTAAGCATGTTACTTAGTCTCTCTGGAACTCACCTTTCTAGTTCATAAAATAAAGATAATAATAATACCTACTTCATAGTGTTCCTATGAGGATTACATGAATATAGGGACAGCCTTAGAACAGGGGCTGAAGCATAATAAGATGTGTATTTGCTACTGTTATTAACTACTGGTAGTAAGCATTAAGGAAAAAAAAGAAAACAAAGTGAGAAGGAAGGCAGAGAAGATGGAAAGGAGGGAGAGAAGGAAAAAGAAAACAGCCTTCCTTTGAGTCATGACATTAAGAAAGGCCTAGAGGAAGATCTACACGTACTGGTGCCAGGATCAATATATTTTGTTGGAATCAGTCTCAATTTTCCATTTTATTTTGCTCTTGCAAAATAAGTCCAAGTTTCCATAAGGTGTGTTGAACTTCTGAGGAGAGCAAATTAAAAGGGTCTGCTGGATTCTGCTTTTGAATGTAATGTGTTTATTAAATCAGAGCAACAGTGCATGAAACATACTAATAGGGCTGTCAGATATAAAGAGATTATGGCTTTGATCAACCACCAGAAGATATATCTAAAACAGTGTGTATGTGTGTATGTGTGTGTGTGTGTGTGTGTGTGTGTGTGTGTGTGTGTGTGTGTGTTGCATCTATGTTCTCCTTCTTGGATCCTCTCTCAGGAAATAAAGGCTACATCAGAGGGACATGCGGCAGGGCTAAGGGATAGGGCTCTGGCCAAAGATAGAACAAAACGTATTGGTACGCACATGGATTGAACTTGCTGCCTTACAGTCATTGACATGTTCTTCCATCCAATGGAGCTAGACAGCCACGAGGCAATAAAATCCTAATCTGAGTTGCTTTAACTTATTTTGTATTTAGGTTGGTTCAAAAGTAATTGCGTTTTTTGCAATTAAAAGTATTGCAAAAACCGCAATTACTTTCATTTTCTTCCATTAAACTACATCAGTAGAAACAATTTCATAGTAGCTCATCTCAAAATATGAAGCATGTTCTTCATATACATTTGACTTATTAATCATCCTTTCACCAGAATTTAGATCACACGACATGTATGTGGTAACTCAAATGTTATTACAATGACATAAGCTATTGCTTAATGTGGGGTACTTTGTGTTAATACAGCTCTTAATAAATAGAAATAAAGAAGCAGATATCCAGACAGATTGAATAGAAAAGCCCTGAACACAAGCATAATTTACTTGTTCTGCTTTCATTTTGCAGACACATTTTCCTGTCCAGTGGCAGAAATGTAAATTATAAAGCCTCCACACAAAAATTTGTGTAGGGTTTCCTATAGTCTTAGTTTTATAAATAAACAGATGTCCAAGAGAGTCAAATCTTCTTTAGGCTTCTTTAGCAACAATTTCAATGAGAAACTACTTATAAGAGCCAATAAAGAAAAACTGAATAACAAATGGGGATTGCCCCTCTTTCTCTGACTTCTTTAACATTTTTCTCTTCCTTCTATCATTTTTTGAATATATATTTAATTCTCTACCTCCCATATGGATAAATGAAATTCAACATATTTTATAGATGATAACTACTGGGTAACTAAAGTATATAAATATTTTCACCAAATATATGTTTTTATTATTATTATCCTTCACCCAAGTACAGGGAACACATAGGTTCACTACCCCAGTGGGAGAGCATTAGATTTGCTGCTGAACCTTTCCCAAACATTCTGTGGCATTCAAGTGTGTGAGTAAGAAAAAAAAACTGGGGTACCTGGCAATATAATTGGTAAATGCTCATAATCAGCCTGCCATTTCATTTTTATCTTGAGAAAACAAACAAGCAAGTGAAAATCTCTCTCGTCCTTTCCTATTTAATTTGTTTTTATTTTTCTGCTTCTCTGCCAGTATACAATCAAGGACTTAATATTTTGGAAATGGTTCAAAATTCATCTACCCAAATATAGGTTAAGAAATGGTCCAAAATTTATGCATTCAAGAAAAGGCTTATGTATGCCCATAAAGTATGCCTTTAATCTAGGCTTATTTAAGTTTCTGGTGATGCAAATAGCACTTCAGAGAAAAATGGGCAAATGCAACATGTCATTCTGGTTGCAGAAATTAGAAAACTTTAATAAGGATTCTTTATCTAGTGTCAGCAAACCTCCATATCTGAGAGAATTTGAAGGACAAAAATATTGTCACTTGTCCAAGAAGAGAAGTCAGATTACTGTTTTATTCAAACACTTATATAATGTAACTGCATAAAATCTGTTGCCTGAATAAACTCCTCAGTTAGGTATTAGACTGTTATGTACAAAAAATTCTGTAAAGTTTACATAATCGCAAGAGAGCTGTGTAGATGTCACATAGGCCTTGATTATATTTGTCAGCAAGTTCATTTCCTCCAAATTTTTATTTTTTGGAAATTAAGGTACAAAACTTGATTTTTAAAAAATTATCTTGATGGTCAAGAAAAAAGAGTTTGGGATAGATAAAAGCGATGAGAGTAATTCTTAATACCAATGATTCCTGGACACCCTTTGGGGAAAATACTTGACATAGTTGACGAATAACATTAACGACACCCCCACTTCAAAGGACAGAGAATGTCACTAGCAGCTTTATTTTGCTGTGCACTGTTCTTTGAGAGTATTGGTTGCTTACTGATCCAAATTGCCTCTGTGTTGCTGTTATTAAGCTCTACAAGGAATGACTCATAATAGCTCCTTATCTAATGCTGTCCTACTGGGGTAATGAAGAGTTCAGTTCCAACCAATGGATCATGTTAAATTATTGTTTTCTTGGATATTGGGGCTACACTTTGCATAACAGGGTAGAAAGCCACTTTAAAAGCCATTAAACCAACTCATTCTCTGTTTCACTTGGAGCCTGAGTCATGATGCACCCTGTTGACTCATCCTTTACCAAGGGTTCAGCTTTAAGAAATGGCTAGTGGCCAAAAGAACATATTTCTGCAAAAGGGATGGTGTATCTGTGGTTTGCAAATTCCTAGGGCAGATCATATGATTCTAGGTTTAATATTTACTTTAGAGTAAAATTCTGTGATTCTTTCCCTCTGATTCAACTTTTTAAAGGACTGGGTCTACTTTTGTGTCTTTACCTCTGGGCCCTGGGTAAACAGAACTCTGTTTTACAAAGTTACCCAAAAAGTTCAATGAATAAATAAATAATGCTTCCTGAAGAAGCCACAGCTTAGAGGTCTATTAGGCAATAATGTAACCACTGGGCACATGTGACATAAGCAGACAGATGGACATGCAAACCAGCGAGCTCAAAATAAAACCAACTAATGAAAATAAATTCCTGAGTGTGTGAAGGGGCATTTTAGCTTCTTATTTCTCAGGTTAGTTTTCTAGAAAAATATATTAAATGCAACTGGAACCAGGGAAGCAATTTTTCTTTCAAATAAGGTGGAATTCAAGCAATGTTATGAAACCTTATCTGCATTTTGGCAGCACCTACAGAACCTTATATAATATTAATACCTGAGTCCCAGCTTCAGAGAGTCTTATATATTTGGTCTAGCATGCAATACGGGCATCAGGGGTTCTAAAATTTCCCCAGGTATTCCAACAGGCAGCCAAGGAAGAGAGCTACTGAAATAGTGAAGGGAAGAGAATATAAAACAGCAGGCAGAGAGAAAATAGATTGTGGAACTCACGGATTTAAGAAAAACATTTGTAATAACAAAAGCAAAACAACCTGGAACTAAGCCACATGTCATGTGAACAACGGGACTAATCAACTGTGTTATATTCATAATTCATAACCATGCCTTGTAGTTCAGTGGTGAAAAAACGAATGGTCTCCACCTATATAAACCTACATCAATGCATCTTACAAACATAAGGTTGATTGGGGGGAAAAAACACTTCAGGAGAAAACATTTTAAATGTTGTCATTTATGCAGTGTTCAAAATGTGCAAAATATCTGTTTTAGGAACACATTCATTTATTTTCAAGGTATTAAGGAAAGTGAGGGGCTCATGAATACAAAATTTAGGGTAGTAGTTACCTTTTGGAGAAGAATACTTGGGGGCTTCAACACGCTTGGTAATATTCTATGTTTTAAGTCGGGTAGTAAATATAATTTTTAAAGGGAAAATGTATCTATAAAACTTGTAATAATTCCTTTGTGATTTCTTTCATTTATTTCACCTTAAGAGCCTGTGACTCACAAAAGCACGAGTTAACCTAACAGAATGAAGATGTGTTAGTACAGTTTGAAGGTGTGACTGTAAACAGGGAAAGAAAATCAAAATGTTATATAAGGTGAGAGAATATGAACTAAAATGTAGCTCTCAGGAATTCTTCAGGAGTACTTGTCTCTGAAATTATTGGGGCAGAGGGTACAGAGAGACAAAGAGCAAGGAGAAGGGACAGAGAAAAGGAGAGAGCAAGGGGAGAAGAAGATTGAGTTTGCCTCATTTAAGCTGAAAATGAGGGAAAATCATTTTCAAGCTGAAAATACATTTCAACTCTTGAGTGACTGAATATAGTAGTCTTTGGACTTTGTAGTTAAGCGTTAGAGAGCCTGGGTGCAGATTTAACCTCTCCACGTCCTAGGTTTTCTTGCATGTTAAATGGCAATAATAATAGTCAAAAATGCAAAGCACTTGGACTAACACAGATAGATGTCCAATAAATGTTGGCTATTATTTTGTTTTTGCCATTCAGATGCCATTTGGCTCCATATCTTCTTACTCTTGTATCTTCGGTTTCTCCTAGGCCTACCTGGATGGAAAACTGAGAACCTATTGGTTTTGCCGAGAACTCTTCATTGAATATATTGTATGAGCATAGAGAAGGGTTTGCCATTGTATACCCCAAAGCACCAACTTAAACATTCTTAGCTATATTGCCCATTGAGCTTCCTTAATAATTCTACTATGGTAGGCATTACCCAGATTCTTTGACACCTGTCTTTTCTAGATAGGTCCTTTATTACACGTAACTTGTTCCCTTACAATGCCTACACCCAAAACATGCAAAGAAAATGGAATCAATGCATTCTATAAAGTAGACAATCAGTGTGGTCCTTGGACTAGCAGCATCAGCATCACCTAGGAGCTTTTTTGAAATGTAGACTCAGGCCTACTACAGCTATACTCAATCAGAATGTGCATTTTAAGAAATCCCCAAGTGTTTTCCATATACTGCAACGTTTGTCTTCACCATAAAATAGGATGGCCACACAGGAAAAGGAAGCACCATTACTCTCCTTTGAAGATTTCTCAGCTACTTTTTTTTTTTTTTTTTTTTACTTTAACGTACAATTGCAGTCTTAGTCACAACTCTAGATAACTTATCAAAACACTTTTTCTATAAAAATATAACAATAATATTCTTCACAAGAGGAATTCTGAAAAATAAAATTCTATCTGATATTCACCATTATTCGATAAATGAGAATTCTAAAAAATAAATTTCTATCTGATATTTATCATTATTTGATAAACCCACTGTAGATCCTTAAGGACTGAATAAAAGAATTACGAGCCATTCATTTTTCTTCCTCTCTCTGGCTCCTTCTTTCACTGACCCAGTGTCATCATCCTAGCCAAACAAGAAAGACAAACCTTCGAAGAAGAAGCAGCCTGTAAGTTTATTTTGTTCCCACTGATTAAAGCTATGTGGCAGCTTTACTTGCTGATCCTAATTGAGATGACTTGAAGTTTGACCTGTTTAAGGTATAAATATATTACTGGCAGAGAATGAAAGCAGAAAGTTCATTTCTAATCTCCCTAGGGTAGATAATCCTGTTTAGAGCGATTGTAATCAACCTTTCTTTCTGAAGAAGAAATATTGACTTAGAAGATTCTTTCTAAATAAGTCAATATATATCACCATCTGGTACCTGTATGGAGTTTTACTTTTGAGTAAACTTACCCTTTGGTTGTCTGTCATCTGCCTATTTCACCTTCTTGCCCTATATTTTTATCAATAATAAGATAATCTGCGGCTCACCAATAATCCAACAAAGAGTTTATCATTGAGCTAATCTTATATACTAAATGAAAAAAGGAAAATTAAGTCGCTGGAAGATAACCGTAAGAATAGTTTGCTTCTGGAAATATCAGATATGTACATTCTATTTTATCTAAGCAAATGAGGTGTTTTGTTTTGCTTTGATTTTTTTTTTTTTTTCTTTGGTTTTCCATTGATTCTGAAAATTATGGAGTAGGGTTTTTAGGTATTCTGAAATTCTTTAACCTACATTCTCGCTCTTCTGATGGCTATTTTACTGTATGATCATTACCTTCACTGCATCATTTCAATTTTGTTTTATGTATTGGAGCTTGAAACCAGGTTACTTTTATACAACACCCTTTCTTAAAGAGGCCATGCAGTATTCAGCTGCATGCTTGAATAAGCTGTTAGTTGTTTCTTTTTAAAATTTATTTATTCCAGATACACAGAAGCTTGTTGAATATCTGTGTACACAGCATTATATGTTGACTACGAAAGCAAACCTCTGTGCCTCTTTCATCCAGCCCATTCATCTGTGGCTGATGCTGCTCGAGACTAAGAGGGCGCAGGTGGCCTGAAGGTTCTCACCTTGCAGTAGAATTATTTTAATCCCTGGATCTTATTTTTTTCCACTGAGCTCCAGGATGACCGGCTGGTGGGAGGTGTACAAGGAAGGGAATGAGAAGGGTATCCTGGCAGTTTGCAAAGTCCTTGGTATCCTAGGACTTAACATCTAAATGAAGTGGGCTTTCAGCTCAAGCCCTATTTAAAAAGGAAAAAAAAATTCTTCTGCAGATGAAACAAATGCCAGATGGAAACTACTCTGCTGACTTTCTCCAAACAGGCCTGCAGCTGTTAATTCTTCCACAACTTTTTCCAGTGAAATTTTTAGGCTTCACCTGTTGACGGACATGACAGAATTTTGCTTCCCTCCCCCACTTCATCCCCGTCCTCTCCTCAACTTCCCCTGGAAAGGGGAGCAGCCTGAACTCCTAGGAAGCACAGCTCAGAGTGACAGCTTTGAACACACCCTTGTTATATCTTTTGCAGATGTAAATGGGGACATTTCCTTCGGGGCTGGAAGATTGTGGGTACTTCTAACTCTTGGTACATTGGGCCCACCGCTCAGGGGCCTAAGGCAAGCAGCAGAAAAGTAGACTCCCTTTTCCTCCTGGCTGTTTCTCTGTGTCACTCTTCAAAAATTATTTTTCATAACTTAGCTGAGGCTTTCTCCCAGGAGCTGAGTAATAACCACCATTTAGGTATAACAGAAACAGATATGGACCCTCCAGTTAGAACAAAATGGGAAAACCTGGGGTTATGAATCAGATCCCAGCTGTAAAGGGCAGGGTTTTTTTCAACTGCAATTGACTTTAAGGGAGAAAGAAGAACAAAAAAGATTCTAAGCAAGAAAAAAAGAATTATTTCTCCTGGTTTAGACAGATGACTACAGCCACACTGGTTTATATCACTGAGTATGGTTGCTTTTTTTAAAGATGATTAGTTCTATTGACACAGAATTTGATATTCAGAAATGATCTCCTAATAGATCTTCAAGCATCTGCTATCAGAGAAAAATGAGAGAGCATTGAAATACAGAGAACTGATAGATAACACACTAAAAACTAGCAATATAATAAAGTTAATTAAAACTCAAACAAATACTGGGTGCAAGCTATGTAACATTTCACATGCTGTTAATAGAGCCTACAATTCTATAATGATTTTCATGATAAGTCCCACTTAGATTTCTCTGGTTAACTCACTCTCTTTTGAATTGAAATAGTATTTCTAAAACTTTTTAATGCCTCTCAAATTTGTCATCACTGCCTCCCAATTCCTCAACCTTGGCTGGATGATCTTATCTCCTACCTCATGGACAAAGCAGAACCCGTAACACGGAAAACCTCTCATCACCCCTCCATCCACCATATGAATTCACATACATGCATAACTGTCTTATGCCATCCCCAGCCCCTTCTCTTCTGACAAATGGAAGGGCTGGCTTCACATACACCTGGTAACCTGTTCACTCCTCACCTTTCTAGCAACCTTACCTTACTAGGTTTCCCTTTTCTCAGATGTATGACCAATACCTCTGTGCCAACTGACTCATTCCCACCTACTTTTATGCATTATCATTTTCTATTAAACAACAAACAAAACTTCAAGTAAACATCACCCTTCCACTACCCACCTCGTTTCTTTTTGGCATTTGGGATTGGGCACCTTAACCCATCTCTCTGTGTGTCTGTGTGTGTGTGTGTGTGTGTGTGTGTGTGTGTGTGTGTGTGTATGTGATATATTAATATATATTACAAGAAATATTTGTGTCTTAAATCTCTTGACCATTCTTTACTTCTTAACTAAGAGCTCCTCAAGGGAGAAAGAATGAGTTTAGGAGAAGAACCTAACATGCTAGACTCCACATGACCACTCTTTACTTCTTACTAAGAGCTCCTCAAGGGAGAAAGGATGAATTTAGGAGAAGGAATCCAGCAGGCTAAGTTCAGCACCTGTATTAGTCTGTTCTCATGTCACTATAAGGAAATACCCAAGACTGGGTAATTTATAAAAGAAAGAGGTTTAATTGACTCACAGTTCCACATTCCTGGGCCGCAGGAAACTTACAATCATGGCGGAAATGGAAGCAACATGCCCTTCTTCACATGGTGGCAGAAGAGAGAAAAATGAGAACCAAGCAAAGGGGGAAACCCCTTATAAAACCATCAGATCTTACAAGAACTTACTATCATGAGAATAGCATGGAAGAAACCACCCCCATGATTCAATTACCTCCCTCCCATGAAAGTTGGAAATTATGGGAACTACAATTCAAGATGAGATTTGGGTGGGGACACAGCCAAACCATGTTATTGTGCCCCTGGTTCCTCTAAAATCTCGTTCTCACATTTCAAAACACAATCATGTCTTCCCAACAGTCCCCCAAAGTCTCAATTCATTCCAGCATTAACTCAAAAGTCCAAGTCCAAAGTCTCATCTGAGACGAGGCAAGTGCCCCTGCCTATAAGCCTGTAAAATGAAAAGCAAGTTAGTTATTTCCTAGATACAATGGAGGTACAGGCATTTGATCAATAAACCTATTCCAAATGGGAGAAATTGGCTAAAATGACGGGGCTACAGGTGCCATGCAAGTTCCTAGTCCAGTCAAAGCTTCAAAATGATCTCCTTTGACTCCATGTCTCACTATCATGAGAGTAGCATGCAAGAAACCACCCTATGATTCAATTGCCTCCCACCAGGTCCCTCCCATGACACATGGGGATTAAAGGAACTACAATTTAAGATTATATTTGGGTGGGGACATAGCCAAACCATATCAGCACCAAATAGAGAAGAATATAAACCACCGCCACAAACAAAAGACATAGCAGGAAGAAATGCTTTTACAGCTTTGAATATTCAAAAAGTGAAGACAGTGAATGTTTTATAATGCACATGCCAGAAATATTGGTCTTCAACAGACTCTAGGCATGAAAGCTGCAGATACAGCCCCAGCTGCCTGCCTTTGGGAATTCATGGGAGTTATTTTCTCTAGCCAAGCTGACTGTGGAGATGAAAGAAAACCTTTGCTTTTAGGTATGATTTTTTAGTTCTAGTATACATAGAAAAACATGGAACATCAGATCTTGTGGCACAGGTATAAAACAGCCTCCTCATAGGGGAAAAGTGCTGCACCAAGGTACCAGAAAGATGGCTTAGTTTCACAAAAAAGGGAACCTCTGTGATAAGGTTTGTCTGTGTCCCCACCCAAGACTCATCTTGAATTGTTGCTCCCATAATTCCCTCATTCTGTGGGAGGGACTCAGTGGGAGATGATTAAATCATGGGGGCCGTTTCCCCCATACTGTTCTTGTGGTAATGAATAAGTCTCATGAGATCTGATGGTTTTATCAGGGGAAACCCCTTTCACTTGGCTCTCACTCTTCTGTTGTCTGCCACCAAGTGAGACGTGGCTTACACCTTCTGCCATGATTGTGAGGCCTCCCCAGCCACGTGGAACTGTAAGTCCATTAAATGTCTTTCTTTTGTAAACTGCCCAGTCTCAGGTATGTCTTTATCAGCAGCGTGAAAATGGAGTAATACATTCAGTTAAAACCTGTTGCCTGCAGCAGCCAAAATTGCCAATCATCTTTGTAAATTTGTTATCTTAACCAGTCTATCATTTTCATATTAATAAATGGGGTTGATAATGACACTGCCTTCCTTATAAGGTCATACAAGGCACCTTAGTGACACTGCCTTCCTTATTAAACACATACAAGGCACCTTAGTGTCTGCCACCTATTAAACTATCAAATTCTAGCTATATTATTTTATATAATTGCTCCTTTAATCAAGGAAACAATATGCATAGAGTAATTTTATCAACCCTTTCCCACACACAAACTGTATGTAGTGTCATAATTAACAGAAGCATAAGAGATTTCTTCCAGGAGGTTTAATTCCAACTCATGAAAATGAGACAATTGACATAGTCCGACAGTAACTTGGTACATCCCAAAGAAACTGAAATGAATATATTTTTCCGTGTAACTCATACTGGTCTCCGTTATGGCATTTGACTATAGGAGTGTAGGTGAAATACTAACACTTTGTAATATCATTGCACTTTCTGCTCTAGGGCTTAGAGATTAGCTTGTTTTCTAGATTACATAAGGTTGCAGTCAAGTCTGTGTAACTTATTTCCTATTAACTCAGACAGCGTTGAGTCAGTGTCTGAAACACTGAAAGATCTGTACCCATTCCTTGGGAGGAGATGCTATGCGGCAACAGAGAAATAAAATTCCCTATCAAAATAAGTTATATTCCCATTGAAGTAAAACCTTCTGGCCGCGGCTGGGCACAATAAGATAATTTTTAGTGTAACTTCATTTAGTAGGATATTGACCTATGAGTTATGAACTTTATCTCATATTTGGGCTTTTATATATCCTGATGCACTTTAAAATGAACGAGAGTTTATACTGAAATTTTGGAAGCCTTTATGCGGATGCATTATATTGTACATCTCTATTCTGCCATCAAACTTTATTTCATAATCTCCCTTGAGCTTCAGACAATATACCTGGAAAAACTTAGGTTGGGAAACAAAGGATGAAATGATTTGCATTTATTTTAAAAATAGTCTTAGAAATTAATAAAGAAAAGACAAAAAACCCAAGGGAAAAGGTACTTCACTAAAGAAGATATTAAATGATGAATACACATAGGAAGATGAGTTTAACTTTATTAGTCATGAGGGATATGTAAGTCAAATTCGTAATTGAGATACCATTATGTACCCACCAGTATGTCTAAACTTTAAAACTTATTCTCAATACCAAATATTGACTGGCATGTAGAACAACTGGTAGAAGTACATACCCTACTTTTGGGCAAGTAAGTTGGTACAACCCCATTGAAAAACTTCATGGCAGTACCTATTAAAACTAAACATAAGGACCCTATCGGACCTGGTAATTTCATCCCTAGGTATACAACAACACAAATCAAGCATATGTTCACTGAAAGATGTCTACAAGGATATTCGTAGCATTACTATTTCTAATAGCCCCACACTAGAAAAAACACAACAGTTATTTTTTTAGCCTTGACCAAGGCTGAATCTTCAAAGTATCAAACAAAATGCTTTCAACTTTAAAACCCTCAGAGACTTCACTTTATCTCTCTACAAAGTCTTATAAAGAGAGAACAAGAAATGAGTTTCCTGTCTTGTATAATCACATCATCAATAAAGTAGTCTTGCCAAAATCATCAAACCAGAATCTTATCAAGTCTATGCACCCAACCCAACCACCAATATTTAGGAAATAAAAAGGGACATATTAAATTTCACCATGGAAATACCATCATCCAAATCAGGGCTATGGAGAACTGTACAGATCAGAGATCTGGTTTCTTCAGCAACTAAAATTTAAGTAAAAAAGAAAGATAAAGTTCGTCTTACCAATTCCCTAGGCTAAACAGTTGTTTTGTGTGTTTTTCTGTGTCAGTGTTATGTTACATAGTAAAAACACTGTTAAAAATCTGTCACTGTGCTAGTCTCTGGGGATGCAGAGATAAATTTTTCAAGATCCTTTTCCTCAAAGGGAATGTGAAAATGTAATCACTGAGAGTAACATCATGTTATAGGTTCTATAAAGCATGCTGTTCAGGACACAAGAGGGAGGATCCAGTTATCTAGGAATACAGACAACACATAGGTTGCCTCCATAGTAACCTGGTTATAATTCAGATGAAATTGAGGAACACAAACTAAACTATTATGCAATCCCATTTCCCAGGTACATCAATGACACGTACTCTAATCAATCTCTAATGATCCCACAGGCAAGGACCATATAGACAGAACTGATATGCCTCTCAAATTCTATCACACGTAGAGTATAACTTGCCTGTCTACAAGCTCAATTGCAGTTAATTATAATTTCCAACTGCGGGCAGTAGATGTGTGTCTAGAATTCTCTTCTCCCGTTTTTTTGTTTTTCTTAACTGCTTACTTTAATTTTCCGTGGGTTTAAAAATGTAAGACTTTAGTGAAAGGACTTTTTAACTCTCTGTCTATTCTAAATGTCTATTCTAGACAAATTATATTTCTGTTTGCCAGCAGTTTTGTAAACGTGACATTTAGGTCATTTTATCTTTTTAACTATATTTTAAATGAGAATATTCTTACTACCACATTCTTGTGAGTCACTTAACACTTTGAAGTTTCCTTAAGACATATCTTTAATTAATGCCATGTCAGAATTGACAATGAATGGAATCACAGTTTTAAAATTGAACTCAGAAGAGATTGTTTTGATTCTCTATTGTTTTGAGAAATATTCTACCTACTAACTAAACTCCCCAAACGGTCATAGTGAAGAGAGTTAGCCAAGGAGCTGTATTCAAGGAGGTTCGGTAATTTGTCAAGGGTGAAACAGGAAATCTACAAAAGTCCTATGGCTGCCTTTGTTCTTTCACTCAGTAAATATCTGAAAGACAAGTACGGTCCACATTTATAACTCTGGGACTAAGTACTAGCAATATAATTATGAAAAGCAAACTTGCAAACACACACATGCACATATACAGACTCTGCTCTCTAAAAACATGGCATCAGATGAGGGTTGCAGAGTGGTAAGTGGACAATTATGTTGCCACATATTCTGAACTCATGGAAACAAACCCTGGAAACACACCCAAGATAGCACCTTTGTGGAATGTCTGTAAGGCATACAACACAGAGGCGCTGTATGGCTGCAGAAAAATAGGACACAGTCCTTGGTCTCCAGAAACTTATACATTTGGGAGATAAAAGAAAGTCAGGAAGCAGCAATTAACATTTCAGAACAGTACAAGATAAGTGTAAAGCGAGTGCTAAGACTTTTTGAATGTAATCAGAATTCATAGAAGGGAGCCCCTGGTCTCTTATAAAGATTTAGGAGAGGAAGTAAGACTTAGACTTGTGATTGAGTATGTGGGCAACAGATGAGGACAATAAGGCCAATGGCTATGTATAGAATTATGAGGTTCCAGTTCCTGGCCATTGGGACAGCTGATTTGTTTTCATTTATCATTATTTTGATTTCATGCTATTAAAACCATAAATAGCATTATTGACTTGAGTAACATGAGGTATGTTCTAGGTGTCAGTTAATGGACACAATATTTGCAAGAGTAGGACTCTCTTACTAATTCTCCAAACTGCAGAGATGGCATGCCATGTGTACGTAATAGCCTTAATGTGTTCAGGAAAATATTATTGGATTAAAAACCAGACATTTTTAATTTAATAGAGCTACAATAGAAAGAGTCACAAATGACTCACCCAATTGCCTCTTCATGGCTCAATGTTCATTTAACACCAATAAAAAAATAGTAAAACATTATACATAGAATTTAACCTAAGTGCTTTACAAATGAGCATTAGAACAGGTTTTAAAGATAATTCAGGGGGACATCAACTGAAAGACTATATAAGCACTTTGGAGAAAAAGTAAGACAAGGGAAAGGAATTATGACTGAAATGCAAGCAATTAAATACTGCAGTACTCATTTGGGCATATGGACTTAAATATGCTGCAGGTCCTTCCATCTGGATTTTAATAAGCTTTGAGTTATTGCCAATAAAATACCAAGAAGGCCCCTTCCGGCATTCATGGGCATCTGCCCACATGGTTTAAACAGGCAGCTGATGGGTTACAGTTGCTATTGAGGGCAAGATAAAGAAGGATGCCAACATTTCAAAGTGGACAAAGGTTTCACAAACTTTGCCTAGCTACAGCTTTTAACTGGACTCTAGCCTCAACTAAAATTATTTGCTTGGGTATCATTTAAAGTAATTCTACAAGACCGAATCCTTTCTCACATTTTAAGTGGACATGTTCACATGTTCAACTTGTCATCTTAAGTTTGAGTAGTAGTATAGAATATATTTTTTGTAAATATTGGTATTTTAATTAACAGTCTATCCCCACTCTTTTAATTTAATGTATGGAATATAAATTCCAAAGTGATTTGATAAGCATCTTTAAGCAGTACATGAAGTAGCCTTTCTATATCTTGAAATATGATATAACTTTTTGCTGCTTATATTCATATTTTTGTTTCACTTCCCCAAGATAATTTTATTCTAAAATTCAATAGTTTGTTCTTTTGGTTTTATTTTCACCATTTTAGAGTGTGTATAGTAGAATTGCATGGTGATTGTAATTTGTATTCCCCTCGCTATTAAGTTTTATTATTTTTTTAAAAATTGGTGAATTATCAAAAGTTTAATTACTACATTATTTTTACATATTTTATAAAAAGTCACTGTTATTGCATATATGTGATAATTTTTATATTGAAGTCATTGACATCCCCCCAAAACCTTTACTATTTAGCTTTTCATGCATTTATATATGTATGTACGTAAACACCAATAGATATTTACAATTCAACTCTCAAATCATCTCCAGGCCCTACTTTATTTTTCATTTCTGATATTTAAGAATGACCTCAGGGTGAATACCAAGATGCAATGAAGGTACTGGTTTCAAGCATCATTTACTGACAAAAAGAAAATTAAAATGGTAATTCGTGGGCTTATGAAAAAGGTATGAAGTTTCAAAAGTCCAAATATCAAATGTCATGTTTTGTCATCATGCCCTTTGAAATAAAGGCAAAGTAGATTTGTTAAAATATACAGCATTTAAACGTAATTCATCTCTTTGTGGATTAAACAATGATTCCAATTCAGCAGCCTTGAGTTTTGATTGTAGCTTTGTCACTGGTTAAATTGTTTAGGCATCAGGTTTATCCATCCGTAATATGAAGTACTGGAGGTGCTGACACTGCCAATCAGCAGATAGCATCAGCTCTACTCACATATTGTGAGGCCTTAGAGGTCATATGGACTAAGTTTAGCCTGCTGGAAGGCTTCCTTCCTGCCTTTCCTTCTAAGGAACACTCAACATTTTTTATAAATTAAATCTGGAATATTTATTTATCAATACACTGTATGCTTTATCACATTTAACAAATTTAGTATTTGTAAGAATTCCATTTATTTTCCAAAGAAATGCTTTTCTGGATTAATGTTTCGCATTTCTGGAACCCACACTATATAAACCCACTAAAATAGTTCTAAAAGAGACTGGTTGGAACAGAAACTACCATATGGCGAATGGTGGGGGAGAAAAAAAACAGAACTAAAAACTAGCCATGGCTTAAAGAAAAGGTAAAGCAGAAGAGACATAAAGCCATCTTCAAATATTTGATAGGTTAATATATGCAAAGTAGATTAGACTTACTTTTATTGCTAGGGTACATGGCTCTGAGGACAACAAAATTCATGGCCATGGGTTAGATTTATAGGGATATTTGATGTAAATAAGATATTTTCAAGAAATATTTTCCAATCATGTTTCCTTTCCTTGAAGACCTTCAAGGAAATGATGAAGGGAGGTTGTCATCACATCTATGGGATTGGTGAAAGAATCCTGCCTTTTGGAAGGTGAACTATTTGTAGCAAGGACTAGAGATCCTGTTTGCCTAATTATTCCTGGTTAAATGACCAAGGGACCATATACCCATCAAAAGTCCTCAAAGAGATCAAGGGGCTGATTCTCCTTAGAGCCATAAGCCCTACTGCAGGGATAGCATATTTGTTTTGTTTACCATTATTGTATTAAGCATACACTGTTAAAATGGGTAGAATGAATAAATGGTCTCCAATGGCTATTCAACTATGATGCTCTGTTAATTTATGAATTATGTTTAAAAACATCCACTGGCACTTTAGCAGACCTAGAAGAATGGAGAACATAATTTTAACCATAAGCTTATGGAAAAATGTATTTCAAATAATTCAAATCAGAAGTGCAGAGTTAGAATATATTAAATCTATCTGCAAACATAAATTCTGAGTTAATCTGGCACCTACAGAATGATGACCTGGATGAACGGTTATGAGTTGAAGTGTGTGCCCAACCAAATTCACAGGCTGAAGTCCTAAAACACAGTACCTAAGAATGGGCTTTATTTGGAGCTAGGGTCTTTACAAAGATAATCAAGTTAAAATGTAGTCATTAGGGTGGGCACGAACTGGATATGTCTGGTGTCTTTGTAAAAAGAGAAAATTGGAGCATAGAGGGAAAACAATGAGAAGAGACATAGAAGATGGCCAACCAGCCAAGGAGAGAAGGAACCAATCCTGCCAACATCTTGCTTTCGGACTCTAGCCTCCAGAACTGTGAGACAGTAAATTTCTGCCGGTGAAATCACCCAGTTTACAGTATTTTGTCATGGTAGTGTTTGCAAAGGAATACAGACTGTAATATCAAACTCTATGATTGACCATTAAATAAGAATTTTTTGCCAAGCGCAGTGGCTCACGCCTGTAATCCCAGCACTTTGGGAGGCCGAGGCGGGCGGATCAACTGAGGTCAGGAGTTCGAGACCAGCCTGGCCAACATGGTGAAACCCTGTCTCTACTAAAAATACAAAAATTAGCTGGGTGTGGTGGCAGGGGCCTGTAATCCCAGCTACTTGGGAGGCTGAGGCAGGAGAATCGCTTGAACCGGGGAGGCAGAGGTTGCAGTGAGCCGAGATTGTGCCATTGCACTCCAGCCTGGGGGACAAGAGTGAGACTTCGTCTCAATTAAAAAAAAAAAATTTTTTTTTAGAAATAAATGTTTGTATATATTCACATTCTGAAAAATCCTTCTAATTTCATCACTGTGGATGGAATCTATGGTAAGATCAAGAAGAATAAAATGTGATTATAGAGTTTATTTCTAAATGTGGACTAAAAAACTCATACAAGAGTGAGGTAGGCATTGAGGCAAAGGCATATGGGAATTTTGATTTCTGTATTACAAGTGGGGCCTAAAGTGTTCCATGCAGGGTTTAGCATATACAGAGCAATATGTGAGAAGGAAAACTGAGTCTGCCTCAAAGTCAGTACTCTAGGCCTACCTAATTCTCTACTGGCTTATCCACACAACCTGCAACATGTCCACTCCCACTGTAGCAGAGCAACCCAAGTATCACTATAAGTCCAGGCTCTGGATGACAGCATCCCAACAATTTTAAAATTCTTGCAGAGATAAGGTAAAATAATAACCACAAACATTTTTTGGACAAAACTGGCATAAATGAAACAAAGGTATTTATAAAATATAAACAATTTGAAATCTAGAAATAAAAATTGCAGTCATTGAAATAAAAGACTCCATAGATGGCACACTCTCGAAAAGACATTTTCAAAGAGAAAATCAGAGAACTGAAGAATAGTGTGGATAAATTCACCCAAAATTCAGGACAGTTATAAAGAATGCTTTAAAAAAATTATTAAAGACACAAAAGAGAGAATTGAAGCCAATAGATAAATTTATACATGTATACATGCATAATACTCAGACAATAAGATTTCATGAAGAGAAAATAGAAATGATGGGAGAAGCAAAACTCAAAGATATTTGTTAACAATTTCTAATGAAACTGATATTACAAAATAGGCCATTGTAAGGACTATAGCACTGTCTAAAAGGATTATTCATTAATAAATTCATTATTTTTTTAAAAGCTGGGTGAGCCAAACAAAATAGGAATGCTAGACAAATTTGACTAGATCACTACCAGTTTTCAAAACCTTCAGTAAATACCACTACTAAAGAATAAAAATAGATGATGAAACCATACAAGCCCCATAAAAGTTCACCATAATTAATAGAGTAATAGCTCTTAAATTTCAACTTGAGTTATTCTAAATGCTAGAGTCTTTTTGAAATCATAAATATGCTCAGTTGTTGATAGAGAGCCTTTACTTGTATAGCATCGGCAGGAACATTTTGAAATACTGTGAATCTGTTTCAGACATGCCACAGTGTGTGATATTCGCAGTAATGCACTACACTTATCGCAAATGCCCAGGAGTCTAAGAAGCTGATTTGTTGTTAAGGAAACCCTCACTAAAGAGTTCTTTTTCTCTCCTTTTTTTCCCTCTACCCCCACCTCCATTACATAAAGGAAGAGGAACTTAGCTACTGGTCATGAACTCTGTGTAATAAAACAACTCTGAACTTTTGTCCCAACTGTCTTCATTCATGAGTGTAATTTATGTGTGTGTCACCGTCACCAGTAAGGTTTAGAGATTTATAGATTGCAATTTACATCATATCGGTTTTATTTTCCTTTAGTTTAATTTTTTCTCATAACAAGGAGTAAAGCCAAAGAAAAAGTAGAGTTTTAACAGAAAATTTGGGTCAACCCCAAATTCCTAAAATGAACTTCTAAACCAAAAGTATATATTTAAACTACTCATGTGTGAGATTCCAGATTAAGTAAATTCCTTACCATAGCTAATATGCATATATATATATATAAGTTCGTTTTCACGCTGCTGATAAAGACATACCCAAGACTGGGAAGAAAAAGAGGTTTAGTTGGACTTACAGTTCCACACGGCTGGAGAGGCCTCAGAATCATGGGTGGAGGTGAAAGGCACTTTTTTGTTGTTGTTGTTTGAGACGCAGTCTGGCTCTTGTTGCCCAGGCTGGAGTGCAGTGGCGCCATCTCAGCTCACTGCAACCTGCGCCTCCCAGGTTTAAGTGATTCTCCTGCCTCAGCCGCCTGAGTAGCTGGGACTGCAGGCGAGAGCCACCATGCCCCGCTAATTTTTTTTTTTTTAGTAGAGACGGGGTTTCACCATACTGGCCAGGCTGGTCGTCAACTCCTGACCTCAGGTGATCCGCCGGCGTCGCTCGCCACGGCCTCCCAAAGTGCTGGGATTACAGGGGCCAGGCGGGGCAAAAGACACTTCTAACGCGGCAGCGACAAAAGAAAATGAGGAAGAAGCAAAAGCGGAAACCCCTGATAAACCCATCAGATCTCGTGAGATTTATTCCCTATCACGAGAATAGCATGGGAAAGACCGGCCCCCATGATTCAATTACCTCCGCCTGGGTTCTTCCCACAGCATGTAAGAATTCTGGGAGATACAATTCAAGTTGAGATTTGGGTGGGGACACAGCCAAACCATATTAATATGTGATCGTGATTAAGCAATATAGTTTGTCATTTTTTTCTTTATATTTAAAAGCAGTCAGCCCAGCCCAGGTGCAGTGGCTCACACCTGGAATCCCAGCACTTTGGGCGACCCAGGCAGGCGGATCATTTGAGACCAGGAGTTCAAGACCAGCCTGGCCAATATGGTGAAACCCTGTCTCTACTACAAATACAAAAATTAGCTGCATATGATGGCATGCACCTGTAATCCCACCTACTTGGGAGTCCGAGGCGGGAGAATCGCTTGAACCCAGGACGCAGAGGTTGATGTGAGCCAAGATCATGGCACTGCACTCCAGCCTGGGCGACAGAATGAGACTCTGTCTCAAAAAAAAAAAAAAAAGTAGCCCATCTGTAGTTCTATAGAAAAGATGAAGGACTATAGTTTTAGTTCAAGTTTAGGAAATTACCACATTTTGTTTTTAAGATTTACAGACTTTTATTAAACCAAAACATTTGCAATTATAATCTATAATCTGAAAGATTAAAACATACATATCAGATCTTATTTATTTTTAAATAATTTATAAATTTCCTCTCTGAGAGAAATGCCAACTAAAAAAAAAAAAAGAAACTCATTTGGCTTTAACTAATTCAAACACTGTGAGACACAGATTTTTAGTTGTAACTCTAAACACATGAATTTTGAGTAAGTACTAAATTTGGAGAATGCAATTTTAGTAACAACAACAACAAAAAAGCTTTGCCACAGCCAAATCTTCCCACAGTGCAAAATGAATCCATTTTGCTTCTCAAATAGCCTAGCCCATAACTTTGTAACTGGGAGAGAAACTTCAGATTCTGGGCAATTAACACTGACAGTTACAGTTTACATGACATACACTACTACATCTATATATCTCTTTGAGAGGATTACTAGTTGAACTGAATCAGAGTTCAACTTAAGATGGAAACTCATTGCATAGTTGTCATTTTTCTAATATTGCAAGAATTACCTGATAGGGTTGATGTCTAGAGAGTTAAGTATGTTTGTTAGATAAATCTACATTTACATGCTAATAAAACAAGTGTGAACACCTTCACGCCCACTAGATGCATAGTAGAAATATAAGATAACGTGGATATATATAGGCACATATATTTGAATGCGTATCTTTTCATCTTTTAAAAAATACATTTTACTGCTTAGGATTAAGAAGAACCAACCTTCGGTATGAGCAAGTGGGGCCCAAGCTTGAGCATTGAACTTCAGATGGTTTTTCAGGGCATAAGTGCACACATAGAATTCATTTGCAAACACATGAGTGCCTGACTCAGAAGCCGGATCCAACAGACACAGCACTCTCTCTGGTCCTAAACATTTGTGCCCATAACTAACACCTTTCAGACCCCACAAAAACACATGTCTGCATCTTCTGTACTCTGTTCTTGTATTTAAAGTCCACTAAGTCAAAATGCAGTGATCTTTGGGTTTGGGCCAAAATCAATGTAAGGGACAGAGGCTTCCTCAGAGAAGAGAGTGATTGAAGGGCAAAATTCTTCAAAAAGAAGACAAAGTAATTATGTAATTATCTTACCAAATCTGCCTTTTGAGATAGTCGGAGAGCAATAAATTGTTGGATTAACAAAGTAGCCTTTGTTTAGTAGTGCTGAGATTCCAGTTTTTCACTTCTCATCCTCCAAATCATGACTCTGCAGGTATTCACAACAGCTGCGTAATTCTAAAAGTTATCATACTTTGAATTTCTGTTAATAAATATCTAGATCTAGTAAAACAATGATGAATCTTAATGACAATTCTTTACATGTCAAATAAATAGACATTGAATGCTCAATTCTTCATACTTTTATAAAACAAATTTAACAAAACTTAAATTTTCAAAAGATAAATTAAAATTTCATTTGTTTAAATGATTCTGATTTTAAGTTGTAATATTTACTAATTATAATTTGTATTTTACCTTTTAATTTTATATATGTTTCTGAATATTTTAGAAGAAAAATAACTTTCAAAAACGTTTAAGACAATGTTGTTTAAAATATATTTTGGATTGTGTTAATATGAATATAGTTCTTAATTATTAAAATAATTATTAAGTAATAAAAACACTTTAAAATACAAAAGATTTTTATATTTTAAAATATAAAACACAAACTTTCACTGCATTTACATATAATTTATAAGACTTTAAATCATATTTATCAATAGTGTATCAATTAGGTGAAAGTATTGATTATATAAACATAATAACTTTTTACTAGAATGAAAGCAATAAAAATAAATGTTATTAAAATGCATAATTATTTTTGAATTATATGTATCTTTATTACATTACGCAAAGATTGCTAGCTTATGAATAGAACAGCAGACATGTACAGTAATAAGTAAATTGACTCATCTTTCGTATTTTGCCAACTTTCAGTGATATAAAAGCTAAATCTTTGAACGCATCTTTCAATTTTGTAATTCTGAAGATATATTCGTCAAGAATAGAGGATAGAACAGATTCTATTTAACAGTTTGTTAGCTTGATATGTAACTTTTAAATATTTGACATATGGTATGTGGGCCTCCTTTCTGCTCTTGCTCCAGGCCCTGTAAATGTTAGAAACAATCCTGATATTAAAGATCTAGAGATTATGTCTAAAGACTAGTACTTAAAAATGTATAAGCCAGTTTCATAACCATATCATGTGGTCAAGCAACGGGAGGGCATGCCTGTTCTTCCACAGAATTATGACATTTGAGTATGTTATATTATTATTTATATTATACTAATATAACATATTAGTATATTATTTATGCTATTTTAGTTTTTGCAAAATTAGAAAAAGTCTTACAGCACATTCCAGAATACACCAGTCATAGAGCAGGTGCCACATCTTAAGGAAAATCACCAAATCTCCAGAATTCTTTCTATTTGGGATAACCTGTTTGTGTCTCCACATTTACTCTCTACTGTTTATCTGGCTTGTTGATGAGCACTTAGATTGATTCCATATCTTGACTCTTGTGAACAATGCTGCAATGACCGTGAGAGTGCAATGCAGATATTTCTTTCTTCCTTTCTTTTTTTTTTTTTTTGAGACAGAGTCTCGCTCTGTTGTCCAGGTTGGAGTGCCGTGGCACGATCTCGGCTCACTGCAACCTCCGCCTCCCGGGTTCACTCCATTCTCCTGCCTCAGCCTCCCAAGTAGCTGGGACTACAGGTGCCCACCACCACGCCTGGCTAATTTTTGTATTTTTAGTAAAGACAGGGTTTCACCATGTTGACCAGGATGGTCTCGATCTCCCGACCTCATGATCCGCCCGCCTCAGCCTCCCAAAGTGCTGGGATTACAGGAGTGAGCCACCGCACCCAGCAGATATTTCTTATACTGACTGATTTCTTTTCCTCTGGATACGCACCTAGTCGTGGGATCGCTGAATCACATGATTGTTCTGTTTTTAATTTTTAAACTCCCCCATTTTTAATTTCCTCTAATTACCCAATTTGCATGTATTAACTCTCTCCCACCAGCACTCTGATTAATATACTTTCTAGTAACATAGGTGTGACCTTGACCGTTATCTTTTAGTTTTTAAGCTGTGATTCATTGTCCAAGTCACAGGTCTTACATGTTCTACAGATAATTTAAGAACAAGAGAATAGAATGTCTCTTTGTAGCATATGCGCCTTAAACATTTTTCAAGCCAGTTCTCTTTGGGGAGTGCTCTAGCACTGAGAACAGAGTCTGTCCTTTACAAGCACTTAAATAGTTATTGAATCAATAGTAAAGACAAGACAAGATCCCTCATAATGAAGGGTGAATGCTGCTTCCTTTCCTGAGTCAGTTCCTTTCATATAATGAAGGGTCTCCATGTCATTTTTCATCCTTTATATGGACATGGGTGATTATGGTATAGGGGAGGGAAAGAAACTGGTGGAAGAGAGATGAAAGTAATTGAAGGGAACATTTAAAATGCATCGCATCGAAATGTTTGTGAAAAGCCTATCTTTCAGAGATTAGGATTTGAATATTGTCTGATTCTCAAACCATGGTGGTTTTAAATAGTGTACACGTTATATATTTCCTGGTCTTCATATTACTTCATTGTAAATTATTAATATGAGGCTAATTCATTTAGAGGAAAGGTAGGTGCCTTTCATTCCTCTATTAATTTTTCCCGTTACCTTTTCATTGTTCATGCTTAATATCATTGAATATGTTAAATGAGACAATTATGTAATTTATATTTTTCTGTACAACACCCCTGGGCAAATCACATTTTCAAATAGAGTCATGCATGGTAACTTCAGTATATATTAATAATATATTTTATTTATTTATTTATTTATTGAGACGGAATCTCGCTCTGTCACCCAGGCTGGAGTGCAGAGGTGCAATCTCGGCTCACTGCAGCCTCTGCCTCCCTGGTTCAAGTGATTCTCCTGCCTCAGCCTCCTGAGTAGCTGAGATTACAGGTGCATGCCACCATGCCTGGCTAATTTTTTGTATTTTTTGGTAAAGGTGGGGTTTCACCACATTGGCCAGGCTGGTCTCAAACTTCTGGGCTCAAGTGATCCGCCTGCCTTGGCTTTCCGAAGTGCTGGGATTACAGGCACCAGCCACTGCACCTGGCCAAAAATATATTTTTATTAGCAGTTTTATCATCATTTTTCCCTAGAATTTTATATTTTTATATTATTGGTATATAAAAAGTTAAAATATAAAGGATCTCCTTAGCAAGTAGTCTTTCTATGTTGCCTAAGCCATTATTTTCTGATTTTATATTTGTGAATTATTCTTCCTATAACTTTTACCTTTTTATTTTTCTTGTTTTCTTTCTAGCCTCTTTAGATAAATGTTTCTTGAATTATTTTCATTTTGTGATTAATAAGAGTAGTTGAATTACTTAACGTTGTAAATTCTAACCTTGGCTGTAGCCCACAGTGTTCAAATTGCTGCTAATTACTAAATATACTGTAATTGCAAATTTAATTTTCTCAGGAATCCAAGATTTATTTACAAGTGTTTTCTAATTTCTAAAAACTTGAGGAGAAGTTGTAACCTGTTTGTTTGTAAGGTCTAAGTGCATTACAATTTAATCAGAGAACGCTGGTTACATTTTGCTTTAATATATTGACTGCTTTTAGGCCTTTAATACGTTCCACTGATCAAATTCTGTGGACATAGTAAAAGCTTATATATGTGTTATTGAGCTTTTTAGAATATATTATTCTGATTCATTCTTCCTTTCCCTGAAGATTAGGTACCTGTTCATAGATAGGTATATATATGGATAAATATATGTGTGTGTCTCATCTGTGGGTTTATATATTTCATGTACTTCATCTGTTGAACACTTAAATGAAACTTTAGCAGTGAAGACTTCCCTGATTCTTCACTGATAAAACAGAAGCCTCCCTGACATCTCTATTTCCTTTATGCTGCTTCATTTTTCTCCTTAGCATTTATCTCAACTGCTATTTAAATTCTTAATATTCTGTGTTCCCCTCCTAGAATGAATATGGGAGCTTGATTCCTCAGCAGCTAGTACAGTTTAGCAGGTGTTCAAACACATCTGTTGTTTTGTTTTATTGTGTGTTTGTTTTGTTTACTGTTTATTGCTAAATGAGAGAATGCAAGCCAACTCATTATTCAACCCATAAACTTAGGTAACTATTAATGGGAATTCAGTTAATAATTACATAAAATCCTTTTATAACAGGAAATATTCATCTAAATCTTCTATTATGAACTCTCCTCATGTGGTTAAGTTGGTTCAGTTAGTAAAAGGCTTGTTTATGCTTTTTTCTATTTCAACTCATATTTAATTAGGTATAAATCTATTTGGCCTCATTTTTATTTCCTTGATAGCTTCAGCATTGTCTGTCTTCGCAATGACTTCAACATTTTTAAATGGTCAGACCCATCGAAACTTAAAACTTCTTTTTACTCTGACTCCTTTCTTGTGTGCAATAGTATCTCAATCATTCAGTGTGGAAGACAGCTATACTCTTTTACCTGCCAATAATGGTTTCTTCCTTCTTTTGATATATCACCATTCCGTAATTCTCAGCCCATGCAATCAGGTGGGACTAGGCTATGACACCCCTTCCAGCCTGAGTTCCCTTAGGAAACCATTTTTCCAGACCTGGCCAACCAGCATATGATGTGTCATTACTTGTAAGGATTAAGCAGTTACCCTGCCTTCCACAAGCAGATTAATATGAGGTACACTTGGAGAGTAAAGTGTTAGGTTATGCAGTAGCTAATGGAATTGAACATCACGTAGACAATTATACTTTAGGGCTGACTATGATTAAAAATTTAAGAACTCAGTCCAGGACTTCACTGAAAGGGTAATAGAACTACAAGGAGAATGAAAACACAGACTTGCCAAGTCCTCTCTGATAAGGTCAGGTTCATGTAAGGAAAAGAGTGGGGCTCTGAAATCTCGCTTGGCTCTAGGAGTGGGAGAATCATGATTTCCCAGATTCTCCCGAACTCTCCCAGGCAGTTAAAACAGCTCCTTCCCCTTTTGTAGAAGACAGCAGCCTCCCCTTGCCTGGAGACAATGCAAAGACCACACCTAGAGTGAGGTCATGTAAGGTCATAAAGCCTTTTCTCACCTTTATCCATGGCCTCCAATAATTAGAGTCAGGTCTTAGCATAGACTGAGGAGGGAGATACAATCCCTACTCTAGAAGGAAATGCAGTATACAACAAAAGAATGACAGGACCTGGCTCACCTGGTCCAGGAGAGCATACATAGGAGTGGAAGGATGTTAGATTGAGACATTGGCAGAATGTAAGGCTGGACAAGAGATAACTTATTAAAGCATTCTCCTGACACTTTTAGTTTAAAATCCTGGCAAAAATAGCCAGAGGAGCCAGGTGCGGTGGCTCACGCCTATAATCCCAGCGCTTTCGGAGGCCAAGGTGGGTGGATCACCTGAGGTCAGGAGTTTGAGACCAGCCTGACCAACATGGAGGAAGCCCATCTCTACTAAAAATACAAAATTAGCCGAGCATGGTGGCACGTGACTGTAATCCCACCTACTTGGGAGGCTGAGGCAGGAGAATTGCTTGAACCCTGGAGGCAGAGATTGCAGTGAGCCGAGATTGCGCCATTGCACTCCAGCCTGGGCAACAAGAGCAAAACTCCGTCTCCAAACATATATATATACGCATATATACGTATATACACATATACGCGTATATACGTATATACACGTATACGCGTATATACGTATACACACATATACGTATATACATATACACACATATACATATATAAATATATACATATACATATATACATATATATTTATACACACATATATATACATGTATATACACACACACATATATACATATATATATACACACACACATATATATACATATATATATAAAGCCAGAGGAGTATATTCTGGCTGCCAGAATGTCTCCTTGAAGCTTGGACATTGGAAAGATCAAAGGTAAATGAGATGGATATGCCACTGTGACTTTGGCAGAAGAAGGGGTCAAAAAGCTCCTTAGAGTACGGGTATGTTAAAATATATTTATTAGGTGAGAGGAGAGTGTTCACCACGTGACTATGTCCCCAGGGGGAGCCCAAAGGACATTCTCTTTACTGAGTCATTAGAGAATGCACGAAAAAGGGATCCCTGGTATCTTTAAGGTGATTGCTGGGATGGATGGCTTCTTTCCAGAACTGGAAGGAGGGAATGCTAGAAATCTGACCTCTTTGGGGCTGCACTGCTAATAGAGGCCAGGTGGATGTGATCAGTACAATGATAATGAGGACAAAGTGGCAATCACATTACCCTGAGCCAAAGGTATCTATGGTAATGACTAATAGGTCAGTGTTCCAGGATGAGATAGGTGGGCAGCTGATGATAAATTATATCACCAGAAAAAAAATCAGAAACTAATAAATGGAAGGTCACTATAATGTTTCCATATCAAATGAATTCACAAACATTGCACCCATTGATTGGTCCCCTTAATGAAGAAAAATTTTAGATTTTGTGAAGGATGTTGGTTGCCAGGCTTGAACTAACCTTAGTAATGGAAGAGTCAAAACTCCATCACAAGGCCAGGCATGGTGGCTGATGCCTGTAATTACAGAACTTTGGGAGGTCAAGCTGGGAGATTGCTTGAGCTCAGGAGTTTAAGACCAGCCTGGGCAACGTAGTGAGACCTCGTCTCTATTAAGAAAAAAAAAGTACCTGGGCATGGTGGCATGCACCTGTAGTCCCAGCTAGTTGGGAAGCTGAGGTGGGAGGATTTCTTGAGCCTAGGAGGTTGAGGCTGCAGTGAACTGTGATCATGCCACTGCATTCCAGCCTTGGAGACAGAGTGAGACCCTGTATGAAATGAAATGAAATGAAATGAAATGAAATAAACACCCAGCACAGTCCTTGTTAGAGTGAAAGCTTATGGAGGCCAGAATAAATTTGGTCTTCGGTCCATCAGTGGATCAGTGGATCACATGGCTCAGCAGACTCATCCAGTAGTTGTTTCCTCTGTCCTCAGATGTATATTTAGGATGGATATATTCAGGTGCTGGTAGAATCCTTAACTCATAAAGTAAGAGTCATTATAGTAGGAAATATCAATTGGATGTCCCTGAAACTGCTTTTTCTCCTCAGCTGAGATAGTAAATTGGAAGCAGTATTAGCACTACCCTCGAGGACTTAATGAGACAGAGTTGGTGGTCCCATTATATTCCAATTCAATTCAGCAGTATAACCCTTGCAGAAACCAAATGGCTTATGTAGGAGTAAAATGGGCTAACACTAATTTAATCAAGTGAAATAGACGGGTTATTGTCACTAAAAATGCATGCATGATCATGAAGATACCATAAGCTTTGAATAGTGTGTTGAGACTGAAAACTTAAAATGATGGTAACTGAGAATAGCACTAAAGCCCCAAACTTTGGTCACACTCTCATCTATGTAAGAACGTGACCAAAAGGGGGAAATTGTTAAATAAAATGACGGGAGGCCATTGCTTTGGACTGAGCTCATGCACTAGGCCCCAACAGAACAGACCAAATCAAAATGGAGTCATTCATGCTAAATGTGACATCATCAAATGGAAACTTTAAGAAAGAAGATAGATCCCATAACAAACCATTCTTTTTTCTCCTAAAATCAGGAAATTCCAGCATAATAAGGAAGTCCTGTCTGCTATAACCCTTACCAGAAAAGTAACCTGAAGTAATCTGATGTTAACCAATCGAGTTTTTTTAGTTGTTTCATTTCCTTGTTCCCACCTCACAAAATCCACTGCTCTGCTATTTTCCAGTGAGATTTGAAAGCAAATAAGTCAATTTATAATGGTGACAGATTGACATCAATGCCTGAAGTTTTGGTCAATTTCTCAATTTTGACCAAAATTTTGGGAAGTTGACCAAATGGGAGAATTGTAAAGTTTAGCCTAATGCTGTCTCCTTATATATTTTACATTTGGCCTAAAGGTTTCTCCATACACAGTGAACTGTAACCTAATGGGAGGTGGAAATATACTGTATCCCATTCTTATAACCAGTAGCCAAGTTCCAGTCAGTCACAGAAGCTGAGTTTCAGCCAATCACAGGTGGCTGACTGTTCAAACCATTTTCAAATAAGGCAGACTCTGATCTGTAACCAATCCAGCTGTTTCTGTGTCTCACCTCCTTTTTCTGTCCACAAGCGTTACCGGACCATGTGGCAGCCCCAGAGTCTCTCTGTACCTATTCTGATGGTGAGCTGTATTTTGCTCAGTTAAACTCTGTTACATTTAATTTATCAACAGTTTTTCTTTTAGCACAATAAACACTTGGTATCCAGCTTCCAATTTGGTAAATATGTTTTTCTCAATTCCCATGGTGATTCCATTCTCTGTGATACCATCCTCAATGACCTTCACCATCTTGACATTTTGTAGAACATCGCACTAGCCAATTGTATTGACAATGACACACCAATTAAATCTAATTAGCATGAAGTGGTAAGTGGCCTTGGTAAAACACATGTTCCATTTGATGGATGGTAAACCCACAAATACTCAGAGAACTGATTTATCAGTCCAGTTGTCTGAATCAATCCAGAACATTACTTCTCTCCCTTTTGTACATAACAAATTGTTGCATCTTGTGGCCTCCTAAAAGGAAAAGATGTGTATGGGGGTGTGTGTACATGTACACACACATATGCATATATACATACATAAATGAATAACAGGCATTCAACTTACAACAGTAATTATTTTCGTATGACAGAATGATTACCTTTATTTGGTAAATGTATTGTATATTTTGTTTCAGACATAACAGATTTCAGTAGGAGACTTTAAGGGAAGAGAAAAAATGTAAAAATGTATGCTTCTCTATTTTTTCTCATAATTAAAAATAAAACTGTTTAATTTACCTGTTTAAAATTTATTTTAATATTTGAATCATAATATCCATTATTCCCTCCACTTTTCCCATTCATAGTCTTGCACTTAAACACACAAGTTGCCCCTTATTTGTAACTTTTTGTATTCTTAATATGATTTTTTGTTGTTATTTTGTTTTGGAAAATGGATAATCCCATGTATAATACATCATTCCTGCTTATTTAGCCAGATTTTATTAGGGCTGAATATAGTCTTTCACCCGACAGATGTAAATCTTTATATTAAGGTTATTTTTTTAAACCACTCAATGAGTCTGTTACAAACCTTTAATTGTATTTGTAAGTATTATATAAATAATCAAAGTAGTCCTTTAATACAGCTGATACTGTGTTTGTTAAAACTGTACTCAAACTGTTGAGAATTTTTGTCAGAGGTCTTCCTATACACACAAATTGGTTCCAGAATGCTTGTTAATGAGGTGCAAACTTTTTATGTATGTACAGCATTGTTGCTCTGTTCTTTATCCTGTTTAAGTCACACTTAGAGAACTCAGCTCCTAATTTCCTCCCTTCAAAAGGGATTGTTGTTGTTGTTTCAGTTTTTAGCTAATTTCCTTTATTTATACTGCCTTTGTCATGTGTTGATAATGTTGACCAACTTCAGATATTTACAGATTTGAAACAGCTGCAAACATATAATTAGATCTTATCAACTTTGGCCATATGTTTGTGAACAAAACTCTCTTCCCTCTGCCACCAAAGAGCTAAAAACACTTAGGAATTTGGCAAGCTTACAGACTTCAGTATTCTAACTCTTCCTTCTAGGATCCTAGATCTTAATGAGCTTCCTAAAACTAATCTATGTAAAATACTCTCATAAACTTCAAGGAAGTCCACGATCTATCTTTTTAGAATGGTGTTATCCAATTTAGATAAAGGTCGCACTTATGCTATCTGGTGATGTCCTTCACAATAAATGCTTTACCTATTACTACTGAATTAATGACAATGAGGATCACCTAATCTGCTACATTCTTCAGCGTTTTTACACCCCTAGAAAAAGAGCAATTTGTAATAAAACCTCTCATGCATACTCATAACTTGCTTTACAGGGCAAGGATCCCATTTCTGCAGGCTGAAATGAATGTACCTGACAATCTTCCATCCCACTTCTGTTTGTCTTGTTAGGCTCTTGAAATGTAGCTTTGATTTTCATCAGTTATAACAGCGTCAGGCTTTTTTTTTTTTTTTTTTTTTTTTTTTGAGATGGAGTCTCGCTTTGTCGCCCAGGCTGGAGTGTAGTGGCGCGATCTCTGCTCACTGCAAGCTCCGCCTCCCAGGTTCACACGATTCTCCTGCCTCAGCCTCTCGAGTAGCTGGGACTACAGGCGCCCGCCACCAAGCCCGGCTAATTTTTTGTATTTTTAGTAGGGACGGGGTTTCACCATGTTAGCCAGGATGGTCTCGATCTCCTGACCTCGTGATCCACCCGCCTCGGCCTCCCAGAGGGCTGGGATTACAGGCGTGAGGCACCGTGCCCAGCATTTTTTTTTTTTTTTTTTTTTTTTTTTTTTTTTTTTGAGATGGAGTCTGGCTCTGTCGCCTAGGCTGGAGTGCAGTGGCACGATCTCAGCTCACTGCAAGCTACACCTCCCGGGTTCACGCCATTCTCCTGCCTCAGCCTCCCAAGTAGCTGGGACTACTGGCATGAGCCACCGCACCCGGCCGGCATTTTTCTTTTAATGTTATGAATGTATACAGCATGTTTCAATAGAACAGACTCTATAATATTCAGGTACTTAATAAATTCCATTTCATTAGGGAAACTGCCATCTTCCTACCTACACCTCCTACTAGTAGATAACAACTCGGATTTTAATCAGCTTACTCTGCTGGTTAAAAGTTTGTACTAACTGGTATGAGTCATTACCTTGTTGAGATTTTATTCCTTTTTTCCTATTTAACAATCATTTCTTAGCAAAACTGAATTAGTGATAAGCTGCATTTGGAAGAAGGGTAGAGATGTTTTATCCTTGATTGCTTTAACACAGTATAAAATCAAATAAAAATAAAATGAAAAGCAAATGAAACAGCAAAGGTAATGGAAATCAAGGGAAAGATTACATAAAGAAGTACAGAAAAGCAATTTCAGAAACAAAGAGTTCAATCAAAATTCAAATTAATTAAAACATTTCTAGGTCAAAAATCTGCAGTCAAATAACCCAGAAGAAATGCACTGGGCTAAGCTGAATTGCTGTTTTCATTAAAAAATGGCATGTGATTTTGACCTGCATAATGAACTTTGCAGGAAGATGACAACTGTTAAAATAATGAAACATTTGTTGCAAGAAACTAGGAAAGAGGAATAAAGGAAAAGCATGAGGAAATAGCAAAGTTTGTCTGTAGGCTACAAAAATAAAGTTTACATCAAAATTTTTGCCTCACTTGGGGTGGATCACAGAGACATGGCTATTAAAGAGTTTTAATAAATGTTCATGTTTAAATGCAACCCTCATAGTCTTAGTAGTTAGTAGAGATGTCAAGGAAATAAACAGATTTTATAGCTCAATTTAGTTTTAAGCATGAATAAATTCATACTGTCTTCCTTTCTTCCTAGGGCTGTGGGTGGAATGGAGGATGGGGAACAGAGGAGAGATACTAGGTGGAGGCACATTTGAACAAAGCTGAATTTAGCTTAGATTTTAATTCACTTGTGTGGGTGCGCTTCTTCCGAGAAGACAGAATCCAAATGATCTTCTGGGAAAAATGTTAACCATAATGAAAGCAAGACAAGTTCTAGAACCACTAGAAAAAATAAGTACCTGAACCTCTCATTTCAAGTCAAGTAGCCCATTTCTTATGTAAACCAGTTGATCTAATAGTGTTCATTGTAGGCACTTATCTTCCTTCACGCTCTCTAAGTTACCTGCTTCAGGACTTAACTCATAGAGTTCTTTAGAGAAACAATTACTTGAAGATTGACATGCCTTTCTCTGACGTATTTTTAACACAAATAATATAATGACACTTCTTGAATCTTCCTGGGTGTTTTCAGTACTTGTAACAGAAAGCTCTCTTTGCAAATTCAGAATAGAAGACACATTAAAAGGCAAATAGCAAACAAAAAAAGTCTGTAGCAAAGGAGAGTCAGAAACTGTTTTTATACAAAGAGCTGTTACACTGTAAATTGGCTATTAGTAAACAGTGAAGAATATGTGTGTGGCAGGGTTTGCTGTTGCTCAGGAATACCCAGTTCCCCTCTCTCCCTGTGGTTTTGGATTTAGGTGAACCACATGACTAGTTCTGACCAATGGATTGCAAGAGGAAGACAGGTGCGTTCCCTCCAGGCTGAGGCCTTGAGAAGTCAGCATGAGACCCTCTCTTCCCCTGACATAGCAACCCTGGAAGCCATGTGTTCCAAGTGACAGAGCTGCAAGTAGTTGGAGACAGGCAGTTCTGTACTCCTACCTGAAGGAAGTGCCCAAGAGAGCAGTTAGATCTCACATGGGTTTACATAAATGAAAATTAAATGTTAACGAGTTAAGGCACTGATATTTAGTGGTTACTGCTTATCACAGCATAATACAATCCCTTATTATTTATTCAAAACATAAATATAAAATTATAAAATTCACAATTCAGAAATATAACTAGTAAACAATTATCCAACATGACTTGTTAAAAGTAGATGTGCAAATTTTTTAAAGACATATTAATTTATTGTTTAACACTTTTTTGAAAAATCATAATACCCCTATATGACTAGGTGTGATAAAGTAGACACTTTCATGCATTTTCTGATGAAATCATAAGTAGGTGAAATATTATTGGCATTTTTTTCATTAAAAAGTCTCACAGCTTTGATCCAACACATACATTTCTGATAAGACAAAAAAATCAAAAGCTACAGAGAAGACTTTATGCAAAATATGTTTATTTTAGCATTAATCATTGTAGGGAACAAAAGGAAACCATTTTAAATGAGAGGTAATATGGGATTTAAATAAACCATAATAACTCAATATGATTAATATCAATCAGCCATTGAAATAGAGTTCCCGAAAGCCATAGGTAATACAATTTTTTAAAAATTTATTTTTCTCCATTTTTTTCTAAGTAACGGTAACTAAAGGGTTGTGTTCTGGGAAAGTATATTTACAATAAATCTAATTAAATTGCTCTGAACAGGAAAGGCGAAAGAGATGGAGATAGGAATAATTGCTAGAAAGAGGACAACCGATAACCTGGCTATTGCCTGGGGTGAGGTCGAAGGAAAAAAAAGAACTCCTGAATGGCAAAGAGAATGAGAAAAACTAATGTGATGGAAAATTTTGAAGCAGTAGAAACAGGAAGTATAATGTAAGTCCTTTCCTTCATCGGCCAAGGAAAATATTTGTCAAGTTCTACCTTACTACGCTTTATATAAATGAACTATTTGGAGAATATTGGGGGAGAGATGCTGAGGTTTATGTTTAAATTTTACAGATGTGAAAACAGAGGTAGCATGTATAGAATCTGATTAGTGTAATAGAATGAAGAATTGGAAAAGTCTGCACAAATTGCATTAAAACAAATACAAATAATAAATAAATATTAGAACTATCTGGAAATTAGCATGAAATACAACACCCAAAATGTAAATATCCTCCTGCCTCCTCTTAGAGAACTAAATTGTCTCAATGGTGACACCACATGCAGGGCTGAAACTTAACTACTGTATGCAATCCTATCAAAGGAAATATGAAATCAAATAATCTTGGAAAGACAGGAGGAACAAAAATCTGCAGAGGAAGCTAAGAATTGACAATAGAAGAGACTCCTGTAGCCACATTTAAAGAGGGAATGGAACCCTACAGAGAAAACAATACCAGATTAGGACCTTGTCTGGTACTAGATTAGCTCAGCTACGGCAGCTCTGACTCCAGCAAGGAATGCCTGGATCGACTGTTTTTTTTTTTTATTTTAGTTTTGTTTATTTTATTTTATTTTAGATTCAGGGGGTATATGTGCAGGTTTGTTATATGGGTATATTGCATGATGCTGAGGTTTGGACTTAACAATGATCCCATCCTCCAAGTTGTGAACATTACACCAAACAGGTAGTTTTTCAACCCTTTCTCCACTCCCTGCCTCCCCACTTTAAAAATCCCCAGAGTTTATTATTCTCATCTCTGTGTCTTTGTGTACCCAATGTTTAGCTTCCACTTATAAGTGAGAACATACAGTATAATATGAGAACATACAGTATTTGATTTTCTTTTTCTGCTTTAATTTGCTTAGGATAATGACCTCCAGCTGCATTCATATTGCTGCAAAGGACATGATTTTGCTCTTTTTCAGGACTGCATAGTATTCCATGGTGTATATGTACTACATTTTCTTTATCTGGTCCACTGTTGATGGCTAACTCGGTTGATTCCATGTCTTTGCTATTGTGAATAGTGATGCAATAAACAAAGGAGTGCAGGTGTCTTTTTGGTACAATGATTTATTTCCCTTTGGGTATATACCTAGAAATGGGATTGACTAACTTGACTGCCATTAGATGTTCCACTAGATGGAAGATATGACAGCTTTGTTGCTTGTTTTGATGGAAAGCTATGGATAGCTTTTTTTTTCACTTCTACTTTTAGAAATTATTGGAATATTCTTTAGCATAAAATATAGAATTTTATAATGAAATATAATTTTAATATTCATGGCTGGGTGAGCAGGGACAGGGAGAGTGAAGAAGATAATGAGTTTAAGGAGAGACCATTAAGTCAGCAACAGTAAAATTGTGTTCGCCTGTCTCACTGTCTTCCATTTTAGGTCTTGTTCTCAAGTTTTCTAGCTTCAAATCTGAGATGATCCCATCTGACCTTCGCCTTTAATAAGTTTATAGCCCATGTATTTTCAAAAACAACTTTAAATGACAGGCAGTAAAACATATTTAAAGCAGGACACTATTTAAATAAACAGTTGGTTGAGTTCAGAAACCATGAACGAATGGGAGGGCATAAAGATGCTTGTCTTCCTGGGTTACTCTAAAGTTTCTTTTCTCTGTAAATGTCCCTTTTTCCTACGAAGTGACCCTTCATTGATGATGCTGGCCTATGTGACCTGGCTGTAATTGATTGGACCATTTGCAACCTCTTACCCTAGCTGGGCCAGTCCATTTCTCTTTGCATGGAATTTGGAATTGCAACTAGGAGATAGCATTAGGAAAGAGAGCTGGAATTATAATAAGGAAGGAGCAAGAGGAGAAAAAGCAAACCTGGTTTGGGGGAGAAAGACAGAGAAAGAGTTAGAATGAGAGAGAGAGAAGCCGACTCCGAGAAAGAACAGATTGAAGACACAGAGTCTTGAGATATTTCTAGTATTATGTCCTTTGCTGAGGCCCAACACTGCTAACTCTACCACTGTGTTATTTGATCAACCCATTTATCTATTTTTACTCAAGCTGACTCAAGTTATTTTATGTTAATTGCAGCTAATGATTGCTAAACCATGCTGACAGAGAATTGTGTCAGAAACTACAGAGAAAATTCTAATATGCTAACTTAACTGGAAGCCTTTACAAAAGAGAAAAATGATAGATTCTATAGTATTTATCATTCCATACAAGGTAACATGCAAATTAAAATAATAAATACTAAACCACAGAATAAATTTATGATTTACTTTTACTCTATTTATTAACTGATACAATGAATGTATAATGTACATTTTAATAATAAAATATTATGCTTAGTCATTTAATATACGCATAAGAAAACAAATAAAAAAATCTCCAGTGATACTCAGCAGGTGATTTAAGGGTTTACTTCTGTCTTTAAGGTATTAATATCTGTGCTTTTGCCTATAACAATGAGAATACAAACTGAAGTTTTCCAAAAGCACTAACTGGTTTTTTCAAAAATAAAAAACAGATTTGTTTATGCTTATTATACTCAAAATTATGAAGGTAAGTTAATTTGTAAATAATTTAGAGTATTTATACATAAAGAAAGCAGAATTGTTCCTTCTTAATTCCTATTAAATAGAAAGTTTCATTTCTTTGGACATTCTGATATTATGATACCTTATTTCAAGAGTCCTGATACTTCATCAGAATACTTCCATTTTTTTTATGAGGAATTGAGTAAAATGTATTTTCTATTATAATTTGTGACTAAAAATAGAAGAAATAAATGATGACTTAAATTTGAATTAAATCTGGAAACATTTATATTTCCTTCTCAATTTTCTTTTAGTTCCATCAGGCAGAGAGAAGAAAACATTTAGGCGATGTTAAGGAGGATATTTTCAAAGAGAGAAAAACTGAAGATGCCACTCAAATAAAATTTTAAGCTGGGGATAATTTGAATCCTTCTTTTTGGAAAGTGGATACTTTGTAAGCAATAATGTTTCAATTCAGAGATGCCTTTGTTCCAGAAGTTTTTGGCCCTTGATGACCTTTTAGCTTATTCATGCAAATGCATGAATACATCTTCCTATGTATACAGGGTGGTGGACCCTCTTTTCATTTATCTTATAAATGTAGAATCCTGTTTCTTTCTAGTTCTTTCAGATAGCCATTTGCTGGCCCTGGTTCTTAAATTTTCTCTGGTTTGTTTTTAGAGTTATTTCCTTCCCCAGCATGAAGACTTCTAAAAACCATAATGTAGTAGATTTAGCCAAAAAAAATCTTCTTTTTTTTTTTTAAATTTATTTAATTTTGTAATCTAGACGTTCATTGGTCTTGACATAAAACTTCTTAGGTTCAACTTTTTGCTCCTATTTGGTTAACTTTGGGCAGATTATTTTAACTTGCCTCTGTTTATTCAATTGGAAAATGGAAAGACTAATTGAGCAATTTTCATTAGCTGTTGAGAGAGTGAAATGAGGAAATACATAAACAAAGGTTGAAACCGCCTTCCCGAAGATGATGACAGGGAGAGAGGTCTGGCATGGCTGACTCCATCTTGCTTCTAGCCTCACAGGCTCGCTGTCCTCTCTCATTCCTGGACCTAAACCAGGCTAACCATGGGAGGAATTTAGTTTATAGTTTAACTTTAAAGCAAGCATGATCATAGTCCCTCCCTAAAACTGATCCCCTCCTTCTTTCTGGATTGAAACTGCATTTGTAAAACTAATGAGAAGCCAGGAGATTAGTATTATGAGAGGAGCCCAAATTCTGTTATGATGTAGGTATAGCTAAATGTGCCATCATCCCCTAGTTTGCCTTTCTACAATCCTTTCTTGCTCAGGAGCCATATGGCCAGAAGTCACAAGACTTGTGACTTCCCCAATTGCTCCTATAGATAACATCACTATTGTAGAACCTAAAATTGGTCTTTTGAGATTTTTTTAGACTTTTGCATTCTGGCAACTGACCCCACCTGGACCTCTAACTCATGACTCAACTGGTCCTGTGGTTCCCACCCAGAGGTGGACTCAGCACACGAGGACTATTTTCTCCTTTCTGTGACTTCATCCCCAACCAGTCAAGATTACCCATTCCTTAGACCTCTGCCCACCAAATTATCCATAAAAACCCTAGCCTCAGAGTTCCCAGGGAGCCTGATTTGAATGATAACTCCAGTCCTTCCGATTAGCTGCCTTGCATTAATTAAATTCTTTCTTTACTGTAATACCACAGTCTTGGTAAATTGGTTTTGTCTGTGCAGTGGGCAGGATGAACCCATCAAGTAATTACAAAATGTGGAGAGAAATGGAGGTCAGGAATTTGAGACCAGCCTGGCCAACATGGTAAAATCTCGTCTCTACTAAAAGTACAAAAATCATACCCCTGTAATTCCAGCTACATGGGAGGCTGAGGCAGGAGAAGCCCTTGAACCTGGGAGGCGGAGGTTGCAGTGAGCCAAGGTCAAATCACTGCACTCCATCATGGATGACAGAGTGAGTGAGACTGGGTCTCACAACAGAACAAAACAAAAAAACTATGCAGGTAAATAATATACTTAAAGGGCAAAGTGAATTTGCTCCATTGGCTATTACCAGGCATAGACAATATCAAGAATAGCTAATATTTTCTATTCATAATAGGGAATAGTCAGTCAGGGTCAAGGCAAAAAATAAATGAGTAAATTGCGGAGAATTTTTTTAAACGGAACATTTAAAAATATATACAGCACAGTTAAACTCACAGGGAGGTGAAGCACTGGAGCTGACCACAGTGGAAAGCTGTTACCAGCATAGGTTGAAAGGAGTGTGATGAGGAAATGGTTATGCAAAGTCAGAGAAAACTGTGGGATAGGACTGAGAAGAGCTATGACCTTTGCAAGAGAAAACCAATCACTGATAAACCACAGCTTGGCAGTGACACAACCAAGAAAATTAAGAGCTGAGTTTACTTTCCTCTCACCCTCTGGGCACCAGCTGATTCTCCCATGGCCTGAATCCAACTGGAAGTCAGAGGGCAAAAGGGACTTCATGATGAAAGCTGCAAAAGTCGTCCCCTCAGGCACAAACAAAGCGAGCAATGGGGAAGAGTAGATCTGGAGGTGCTATAGGAAACTATCCAGTCCATTACCTGATTCACTCCTCAGCATCCAGCCTTGTTGTTTTCCCAATGATTCATGGCCCAACAAGGAGAGCCCACAAAATCCATTCAACAATTATCATCTGTGTGATGGTTAAGGGATGGCCAGATAGCCGGTAAACATTATTCCTGGGTGTGTATGTGAAGGTGTTTCCCGAAAAGACTAGCATTTGAATTGGCCAACTGAGTAAAGCAGATATCCCTCAGCAATGTGAGTGGGCACCATCCAATTCTTTGAGGGCCTAAATAGAAAGCAAAGGTGGAGGAAGGTTGATATGGTTTGGCTGTATCCCCACCCAAATCTCATTTTGAATTGTAGTTTCCATAATCCCCACGTATCCTAGGAGGGAACAGGTGGAGATAATTGAATCATGGAGGCAGTTTCCCCATCCTGTTCTCATAATAGTGAGTGAGTTCTCACGAGATCAGATGGCTTTATAAGGGGCTTCCCTACCACCCCCACCCCCCCACCTTCACTCTGCCCTGCTCCTTGCTGCCACCGTAAGAAGAAGGATGTGATATCTTCACCTTCTGCCATGATTGTAATTTCCTGAGGCTTCCCCAGACCTGCTGACCTGTGAGTCAATTAAACCTCTTTCTTTGATAAAGTACCCAGTCTCGGGTACGTCTTTATTAGACTAATACAAAGGGCTAATTTACCCTCTCTGTTTGAGCTGAGACATCCATCTTATTCAGCCTTTGGATGTCAGAGCTCCTGGTTCTCAGGCCTTCAAACATGGATCAGGCCTTCTGACTCTGACTGGGATTTACAACATTGGACCCCAATTATCAGGCCGTAGTACTCAGACTGCATTTACACCACCAGCTTTCTTGGATCTCCAACTTTTGTACAGCAAATCATGCGATTTGTCAAGTTCCATAACCACATGAGCCAATTCCTATAAAAAATTTCCTCTTATGTCTGAGTCTGTATCATCTATATCTATATCATTTTTATCTATGTCTTTGTCCTGTATATCTATCTTTATCTCCTATTGGTTCTGGTTTTCTCCAAAACCCTGACTAATACAATGGGTGATGTTAATTTGGACACAATCCTACTTAAAACCTAAAGCTTGAGTCACCACCAGTGTTATTCATATAAAAGGGAGAATAGAAACAATTAACATGAAACATGCCTGCTAGAGTTCTCACTTCTTCAGCTGGGGATGGGGTCCAAGTTGATTATTCCATCAAGTGTTCCCAGCTGCTCTGCCTTCCAAAAATCTTCCCATTTTATTCTCTGCCAAAATGTACTTGTTTTGCTAATCTGATTGACATATGATAATTGTGCCATGATTAATTCTTTAAATTCACTATCTGTGTACTTATCCATATATAATAACTATGTACAAGATGCTTACTACATCAATATTAACTTTATTTAGAAATGCATATTTTAGCATGCATTACCAAAGACATTGCATCTACCAGAAGAAATGAGTTTTTGAGGTGTAGTATAAGTAAGTCAATAAGCTATTTAAGGGCAAAAATTGTTTCTGATGCTTCCCAATTGTAGCCCTTAAGCAGTCAACTGTACCTTCAGTTTAAGTGTACACCGTAGGCAGTCATTGTACTTTCAGTTATCCTCTCAAAGATAAGTCCAGTTTTAATTTTATATTGCAAAGGTAACATATTTAGTATTGCCTTTACTTGTGAAATACTTGCTATCATATATCTCCACTGTGACATGCTGAATGCTCTGCAGCAGAAGCTGCAAACTCCCTGAGAGTAAGTACTTTTTCTATTGTGTTCAGAACTATAAGTCCCACGTTCGCGACAGTGTCTGGCACATAGGCCCTCAATAGATATTTGCTTAAAATAGAGGCAAGCTAAGTAAACAAAAATGACTAAAGACACCTGGTACGTAATAGGCGGTGAACATGATGACATCTAACTGAAAAATGCATCATCTAATTCAAAGTATTAAAAATGCAGATATTTTTACTTGTGAACCAAACAAAATGCATTTATGGACCAAATCTTGCCAGTGGTTTGTATAATAGAAACATGACACTATAGCAATGTGACCAGCATCCTTATGCAGAGTGACCATGGGCAAACTACCTAATAAGTTAAGCCTCAATTCTCTCAACTATGAAATTGATAAGAAATAATATCTACATAATGGGTTCGATTAAAGGGTTAAGTAAGATTTATCATAATTCCTAGCATATAATTAGTGTTCGATAGTGATAATAATATTAATGCTAGTAACAGCTCATGTTTACTGGGTATTTTACATGTTCCAGCCACTGATACATGTAAGTTATCAGCTCCACATTAACTTATTTAAATTGAAACAAAACGAAACAAAAACAGGATTGATTGGAGCCCGGGGTAAGAACCTGGGCTCTTTACTGCTATGATCAATAAATAAAAATAATTGTCTGGACTAGAACTTATTCTAAACCACCGTAGTGACACTCAGATCTCACAAGAATTGTTCTTGCTAGGAGAAGCTGCATGCATCATTTCTGAAAAGTTTGTTGATTTGGAAATACATTTAAACGATATGTATATATGTGAAGATTCCCATATGTGGCGGCACCTTATGAGAATTCCCTGACCTTTTCTGATCTTTCATCAAGCCACAAAACCTTCACATACAATAGAGAATGGAGGAAGGGGAGGAAAGGAAATGAAGGGGAAAAATCAGGTCCTCTGCTCAGATGGCACCAATAGCCTCCCAGGAGTGTGATGCAAATTGCTAAGCTGTTTCCTCTTCATCTCCCTGGGCCTGGCTGCAGAGCCAGGCAGCTCTCCTCACTTTTAAAGATGTGCTGGGGCTTCAAGTTTGACATTGTGCCTGCTTTTGTTTTTCTAGTGAGGACACTTAAGTACTTTGGGATTTTTGATGTGAGACAATTAGGAGCCTAGAATACCATTAGCTAGAAGAGGAGCAAAGCTGGCAGAAATGGAGGCTGCAGAAGATGTTTATTGCCAGCCTTCTGCCTCTGTAATGAGGAGCTTCAAGCAGCTTTGCCATGCAATTGAGATAGAGTGCACAAGATGCCCAATTAGGAGCAAATGACTGCAGTCTTCAGTGGAAGTGATGAATTGGAATTCTCAGATGTAAATAGAAATGGAAGATTGATTATAACATTTTCAAAAAGGAATTTTGTATCACAGTATTATGAGTTTCAAAGCAAAAATTTTAATAAAAATGCTTCCTGTTAGCTTCAGGGATATCAAATTTATGCAAAAAATTGTTTTAAAAAGCTACCCCGCTTTTAAAAGTTTTTAAAGCTGTAATCTAGTTCTTATAACAGCTGCATTCTATACACAATTTGGAATAATATATGTGAAATTTATACAACATTAATTTTAAAAATCAATGAAAAGTCGATAAATCTAACCACAGTGCCTTTACCATAAATAATACGATAATATTAGAAATTTCTGCAGAACTCTTATGAGGATTCAATGAGGCAACTCAAGCATTTATCAAATATTTATGGGCCATATCCTGTGTCAAACATTGTTTCAAGTACTTGGAATATATCAGTGAACAAATGTATTTATTCCCTGTAATCGACGAACTTAGATTCTGATGGGGGCTGAAAGGCAATTACAAAACATATATTATGCAACAAGTAAATTATTTAGCATGTTAGAGGGTGATAAGTAGAGATGAGCAGAGAAAGCGGGATAATATAGAATTCCTGGGGGACAGTCAAGAGGAAAGTTGAATTTTAGCAGCAGTTAACAGCAGTTGTCTCTTTGAAAAGGTGACATTTGAGCAAAACAAATTCAAGAAGGTCAAAGGGGTAGCAATGAAGATATCTAGGAGTAGAGAGTTCCAGGTGGAGAAAACAGCCAGTATTAGGATGTAAGTTGAAAACATGCTTCAGATGTTTGAGGCAAAGCTTTGAGGTCAACATGTCTGGAGCTATGGGAGAAAAAGAAGATGAAAGGGAAGGAATCAAAGAATGCATAGAGGATGAGATCATAGAGCACTCAGTCTATTGAGAGGACTCTGGTTTTACTGTGAGTAAAGTAGGAAACAGTCACAAGATTTCAGAAGAGGAAGTACATGATTTGAGTGTGGTTTAAAAGCATCCCTCCAACTGCTGTGTTGAGAACAGAGCTTCTGAGCAGAAGCAGGGAATTTGTTGAAAGCTAGCACAGTCATTTCAGCAAGAGATCAAGGTAGTCCAGTCCAAGGTGGTGATAATGCAGACAGAACTGAAACAATGAGCCTGGTCGGAAATTCATACTTCATACCTCTCGACTCTCAGTTACTGGCATTTTAAGGAAGTGGGTGATAAAATGATTTGTCTCATTAGTTGTCTTTCCCAGAAAGGCTGGTACAGTTTGTGAATAATATGGAGATGTTTTCTGGACTTCAAAATTCTTCTTCCCCTCTGAGATTTAGCTCAGCTCAATCCTGAATCTAATCAAAGTAAACGGTGTTTAGATTTTTTTTTTATTCTAAGAAGTTTATGATCACTAGTTTTGATGACTCTCCCATAAATCTGCCAATCTGGGAGTCTGTTTTATATAGCCTTTTGGCTGTAGACCATTGAAAATAATGGCTTAACTCCCATCCATATTTTTGGCCTCAACTACATTTTTCTATATCTTTGTTTACGCTAATTTATTACTGTTTCCATCTCTTCCTAGACACTTTTTTTTGTCATTCTTTTCTCACTACAGGTTTAAAGTATTTTAATTCATTGAAACTGTAATGTAATATATCATCACTCAGTATCCTCTCTTGATATTAAAATGATAATAAATATGTGAGACAGATGCTGTCTATATATTCCTTTTAGCCATGAATTTAGGCGTATATGAGGTAAAACTTGCAAGAAGTTAATACCACCTAGCACATACTAAAATATGGCTTTAAGGAAGATTTTATAAGTTGAAATGCATGCACCATTTTATACAGGTTTGTTTAACAGATGTATGAAACAAAGCTAATAATTTTTCCCAGAACGGAAATTTTAATCATTCGTAGCCACCTTTAAGAAGCAAGGACTTTGTTCTAGGTAGGCATGAGCAGTTTGACAAATCTGAATATATTATGTACATATCTCTGAACTTCATGCATTTTCAAGGGGGCCAAAATATATAATGTCACCCCCTAAATTCAACATAATTTATTCATTTATTCATTCAACAACTATTATATCTTGAATGCTTATTATGTTTCAGGTACTCTTGCAAGGACTAACATTAAAATGCTGAATATGCACTGGAATACTTGCTGCTTTCACAGAGCTTACCGTCTAGGGAAAGAGCCTGGAGGGGACATTAATAACATAATCACACTAATGAGCATGCCACTACAAGCAGAGGAAAATGCTTTCAGAGAAAACATATCACCATTCTATGAGAATGAATTTCATAGAAAATAAAAGAAAGTCAGTGTTTATGTATGGATTCTTATCAAATGGAACTTGGTTGCTAAGGTTAACTTACAAATATTTAAAAAACTGCAAATGAGAAATGTGTTAAAAATCACCTTGCAAGACTTATGGTCATTCAAGATATCATTTCCCAAGTAGGACACTACACTCAAATATATTGGTAATTTTTTTCTAACAAGAAGATGTCCTGACAAAAGAAGCGCCAATTCACAGTTTACATTCACTTCTATTCTATTTGTGGGTTTTCATACCATTTATCCATTTCATGGTCATTTGCTAAGCTCTCATTCACAGAAGCCTGTGGTACTCCCTCCGATTATTGTTAATATTTTTACCAAATTGGAAAAATATGCAAGAAAGTTAAAGTGTGCTTATCTGTGCCCAAAATGCCTCTGGCAAATCAAATGTCTTTATCTTTGATTGCCTACTAGGCTATTTGATGGAAAATGTACTAAAAATTGAGGATACAGCATAAATAAGGTAGAGGAATTGATGGCTCAAAGGAATAAGTGACCTCCCTAAGAACTCACAGCTAGTAAGAAGTGAATTGGAAATTCCAGTTGCGGTTTGTCTGACTCCAACGCTTTTGTACTTTCCATATTCAGAATAATATCTTCATAACAAAAAGGACCACTTTTTTCCTTTCCAGACTGTAAGTATCTTTAAGGGGCATCTAGTTTACATGATGAAAAATAGCAACAATAAACAAAAAACTACTAGGACAAAAGTTATGTATACCCTAAAGGACACAATCTCTTTTATTCTAAGACATTATTGTTGACAAGTCACAAAAGCTGGTTTCAAAAGTACAAACACTTCTGTGCTGCATGAAACACAAGGGGAGGAAAAGCAGTTTAGTTCAAAAAGGCCTAACACAAAAACGGAAAAAAAACACCCACATCTTGGCAATGCCAGTCTCTAATTCCTGCTCATCTTTGCCTCATTTTCTTTTCTTCTGAAAATCAGCTTCCCCTGTTTCAGAACTCACATGGCTAAACATGGCTACCCTTGCAGCTTCCTTGTTTGCTTCTTGTGCATGCCAGCAACCATCACAGACCAACTAGCCTATCTCAGTAACAATTCAACATTTCTAGAAGGCAGAATCTGACTGGCCTGGTCTTGGTCACGGGTTCACCTGAATGCAGGAAGCTGTGTCTGGGGAATGGAAGACTTAGTACACTACAACTGATAGAAACCCAATCTCTCACAGGGTTGGTGACCAGAGAGAAGAAATGCAACAAGAGATAGACAGAGACTCCATTAGGTAGCCTGGTTGTTGCGTAGTTTAGGAGGCAAGTTTTGGCCAGGCGCAGTGGCTCATGCCTGTAATCCCAACAATTTGGGAAGCCGAGGTGGGCGGATCATCTGAGGTCAGGGGTTTGAGACCAGCCTGACCAACATGGAGAAACCCCGTTTCTACTAAAAACAAAAAAATACAAAATTAGCTAAGTTATGTTGGCGCATGTCTGTAATTCCAGCTACTCAGGAGCCTGAGGCAGGAGAATCGCTTGAACCTGGGAGGCAGAGTTTGCGGTGAGCAGAGATCGCACCATTGCACTCCAGCCTGGGCAACAAGAAAACTCCGTCTCAAAAAAATAGGCAAATTTTAAAATATATGATATAAAAATGAATGCAATTGAGTGACATAGTTAGACCATGAAGAATCAATAAAACTATTATGAAAATTTTTGGGTGAAATATGTCAAGGAGAAGAGGAGAAAATGAAAATTTGATGAGGGAGAGAATTAAAGTCAAGACGTTATCAAGAGTGAAGAAAAGTGTGAATACAGAGATGCAGTGAGAGTTCACAGGGCAGTGAAGAAACTAAGCTGAGGATGCTAGTGAGGATTAAATAAAAAAGGTTCATCATAGAACCCAGTCTCTACTAAAAATAGAAAAATTAGCCAGACATGGTGGTGCACTCCTGTAATTCCAGCTACTCAGGAGGCTGAGGCACGAATATCGCTTGAACCTGGGAGGCAGAGGTTGCAGTGAGCTGAGATCATGCCACTGCACTCCAGCCTGGGCAACAGAGTGAGACTCTGTCTCAAAAAAAAAAAAAAAGAAAAGAAAAGAAAAAAGAAAGAAAAAAAGAAATGGAAATTTCAAGTATGTCTTCCAAGGTGAGTTATGGTAGATATTACAAGCCCAGGTTAAAAAAAATGAGAAACTGTTATAAGTTTGGGGCTGAAATTATCTGATGCAAATGGATCTTAGAAAAGATAACCTGTGAAAAGTGTCCCAATAACAGCATAGGTCATCTTGTAATACTGCATTGGAGTCTAAAGCATGCAAAATATCAATATCAGTAAATTCAGGACATAAAAAAAAACAGCTTTTGGAAACTATGTGTAATGCAAGCTTGAATTGAAGGTCTGTTAAGGTTATGCTTTGTTTAAGTGACCATATCATTAAATGGTAAGTTGATAACTTTGCCTGAATTTAGACACAGCTTGTGGAAAAATAAATGAGGGAACAAGATCACTGAGAATTTTCAAACTCTTTTTTTAAAGTCATGCATTTTTTTTCTTTAAGAAAAGTGAGGAGCGGTGCCTCTGCGTAGTGTTTCTTTCATAAGCAGCAAGTGTCTACCAAGTCCACTCAGGATTCGGTTAGTACATAATTGTGAGGCAGTTTGTGTATAATTAAGAGAATTGGTTTATCGGCTGTTTGTTCCAAACAAGCATGCATTTCAAGATGCAGAAAATCCCTAAGTTATTTTCCTTGAGGCTAAGTACTTTTTGTTTATTTTTTCTTAAAACAAAATCATTCAGCAACTGTTGGAGGGTGGAAAATGAATAGTGCTAGTCAACTCTGTAAGAAATACGTCCAGAATGCTAACTCCAATCACTCTGAAACACATTTTTCGTTTCTGTAACATTCTGCCGTCCTGTAGTTTGCATCCTGTTCTAATGTGGGCAAATCCTCCATTGTCTTGGATCTTTTTTACAAAAACAACCCTACCTTTCCACTTTAATTGATACCTGAAACAGCCATTCCCAAAAAGCATCTCCTGTACAACCCTCTATTCTTTGATTCTCCACTGCCTTCTCTGGAGAGGTCTCCCCAGCTCGTGTGCTCATTTCTAAATAACTGCTCAACTTTCCTAACCCAATCATCTTTCCTCTTGTTAAATACATAGTGTCCACTAAAAGATCCTTTAACCATTTACTTGATTATTATAAAGAGCCATGCTCCAGGACACATGCTCATCTCTCTCCACCATTTCAGCAATGGGCTCATGTCTTTCTTCTCTACTGAGTCCCCTGATGTCATCTGCAGTGAATCTGAGTGATGGTCATGAACTGTACCCCAAACTCATAGTTCTGTAATTTTTTTTTTTTTTTTGAGATGGAGTCTCTCTCTGTCACCCAGGCTGGAGTGCAGTGGCATGATCTCGGCTCACTGCAAGCTCTGCCCCCCGGGTTCACGCCATTCTCCTGCCTCAGCCTCCTGAGTAGCTGGGACTACAGGCGCCTGCCACCACGCCCGGCTAATTTTTTGTATTTTTAGTAGAGACGGGGTTTCATCGTGTTAGCCAGGATGATCTCGATCTCCTGGCCTCATGATCCACCCACCTCGGCCTCCCAAAGTGCTGGGATTACAGGTGTGAGCCACTGCACCTGGCCTCAGTATACACATTTTAAATTATTGGAATGGAATGGGATACATTCATAAGCTAGTATGCTACCTACTGAAGTATGGCGGTTGTATTGTTATGCAGTTGTTTGAGTGGAAAGCTGAACAAGCTCCTTTCTTCAGAGAACACTTTTTTTTTTTTAAACTGAAAAAAAAAATCCTATGGTAACTATGGTTATTCAGATGGGTATTTGGCAGAAATTTTCTTACAAAGTGAGCTTGTCAGTTCAAGGAATTCAACTGACATTATTTGCTTCCAGTGACAAAATCTGTGCTTTCATAAGAAAATTGGAGTTTTGAAAACTTTATATTAGTTACTGTGAGCTTGAAGCTTCATGATAGTTAGAATGCTTGTTGATTTGATGACAATAGCAAATAGAATGTTTTATATTATGAAATGAAATATGTTAATATTGAAAGATCTGCATAACTCAGTGAAACAATATTTTTCAAATGATCAACGCATGATGTTATTCAATTATGCAAGAGTAAAAGACATATTCCAAGTGCAGGATAGGCTACAGGATTCTAATATACCAGAGAAAACATTCATAAATAGAGTTTCAGACTTTACATTGCAAATAATCTTTAAGAATTTTCTCCTTGTTCAGTATTGGTGTGGTATCAAAAAATATCACAGCTTTCTCAAAGGGCTATTAAAATTATTCTTTCCTTTCCAATACTATATCAGAGTAATTTTCTTCATATATTTCTACCAAAATGTTTCACAACAGATTGACTACAGAAGCTGGTATAAGAATACAGATTTTCAATTAAGTTAGACATTAAAGATATTTGCAAAAAAAAAAAACATAAATCAGTGCCTCTCTTTTCATACTTTTTTACTAGAAAATATAGTTTTCTAATGAAAATGTGATTTATGTTTACATGTAATGAGTTTATTTCACTGGCTTGTGCAATATTTTGATCATTTAGGAGGTATGGAGGTAGGAGTAACTAATTAAAAGAACTGTGAAATTTGTTAGATGTTGCTAAATCCTATCAATGTATTGAAAAGAGAAAAATGTCAGGTTCAGGTCAACTAATTACCAATTTATGGCATGATGTGAAAATCAAAAGGCCTTCATGTCAGTATTTAATGAGGCCCTGGTTTCTGCAACTAAGGAGGAGTCTAAGCTGAAGACCAGGTCAAGGACTTACACGTAAGAGAAAAAGAACTTTCAGAAGACTTTAGCCAGAGTCCAGTGAAATCTAGTGCATCAAAGCCAGAGCCCTGAAGGTAAGAAACAAGACTCTGAAATTTGGGAAAGGGCTATCCAGGTGGCTGCATACAGGTACATGCATCATCAGTCCATGCAGATCTCTGAACCTCATGGTCTGCATGGGCTGTTATCTCATTGCTTCTTACTAGAAGACAGCAACTATCCACTTGCATGAAGTTGAAGTGGAGAGCTCATGCCTTGAAAGACAACACTTATTATCCTCAAGGTCTGCCCACTCTGCCTCTTTCATGGCAATGGACCTATAATAAGATCCACTGTTGGCATGGACCAACTGGGAAGCATGAGTTCTGCTTTGCAAGGAGAATAGTATAAAGGTGGAGCTGCAGGGTCTTTAATAGGCACTACTAGCAATGGGATGAACTTTTTTTTTTGAGATGGAGTTTCACTCTGTCACCCAGGCTGGAATGCAGTGGTGCAATCTTGGCTCACTGTAACCTCCACCTCCCAGGTTCAAGCAATTCTCCTGCCTCAGCCTCCCAAGTAGCTGGGACTACAGGCACATGCCACCATGCCCGGCTAGTTTTTGTATTTTTAGTAGAGACAGGGTTACACCTTATTGGTCAGGCTGGTCTTGAACTCCTGGCCTCAGGCGATCCACCAGCCTCAGCCTCCCAAAGTGCTGGGATTACAGGCGTGAGCCACCACGGCCAGCCCGGGAAGAACATTTATATAAATGAACCTTGAGTGTGCTCTGCAGAGGAAGGCAGACAGACTATAAAACTGATTAGGGAGAGGTTGGCTGATAGGATGTATTCTCAAGATTCAGGATTCGACTAATTGGCAAGAGCTTCTGGAGCTGGTGTACTTGGTCTTAATGGATAGAATGGTCATTGAAGAATTAGGGGAAAAAATAAATGGCTGATGTTAAATGATATAGACTCCAGAAATGCCTTAGCAACTTATTGAAGAAGGGACCAAAAAGCTCAGATCAATAAGCACGCTGAAATTAATCTACTCTAAGAAACATAAGAATACTCCGGCTACTAACATGGATGAACCTGAAAGACATTAAGCTAAGTGACACAAGCTGGACACAGAGAAATACTGCATGATCTCATGTATATGTGGAATCTAGAAAAGTTGAACTCATAAAAGTAGATTACGAAATGGTGGTTGCTGGGGGAGTGGGGAAAATGGAGAGATGTTGGTCGAAGCAAACAAAATTTCAGTTATGTAGGATGAATAAGATCTACAGATCTAATATCTGTAAATATCTGTAAATCAAGTGATGCTACCACACTGAAATTTCTCATGGTCTCTAACACCATGAGACCATGTTTTTCTCACCTCACATCGTTTTCCTTGAGCACTATGCCATCTTTGAGTAAACTGAATTCATACAGTAGCTCCCTTTTAAATATTTGGGATTCAACATTCTTACATATTTCAATAAACTTGTGCTCTTTCTTTGACTTGACTCAATGTTATGCTTCTTACTTACTACTCACCCACACATCTCAGCTGTCCGTGTAACAGGTACTGCCCTGAGAGCGTAAGTATATTCTGATAGATCAAAATTAATCTTACTCATGGATCAAAGTCTGGTAAGATAAGAATATTTATAACAATCAAATCCTTCCACTGAGAACAACTACAAAAGCTAGAAAAAAACTTTTTCATAAGCTATTAGAAAGCTTCGGGAAGCAATCCATGCAGAAAGATTGCTTTGAAGATCCAAGAGGCTGAAAGAAGGTACACTAGGGTGAGTCAGCTAGGCTCTGCCACTTTTCTATACAGCCTCATCCGTAAGCAGTCAAGGGGCTAAGTGGCAAAATAAAAGGGGTGACTCAGAATCTTGAACAGCATTACAATAGCAGCATCGTAATTGTATTTCAGCAGTATTACAAATACAAAGACTGGAGGTCAGGGCTACCAAGGCAGCAAGGGCTTGAGGTGCCGAGATCCCGGAGAAAGGGACCCTAAGATATGAGTCTCACATTCTGCATTAATATTACGCATAGACATTTGCTAATGCCAAAGGTGGGCAGTGGGACAGCAGGCATACAGGAGCAGTTCCAGGCCAAATAGCAGTGCAGCTGCTAGCGGATGCATGATGCTGTGAGATAATAATTGGGGGTTAGGTCAGGCTTTTAGTTGAGACCCCTTGAGGTCTACGAATCAGGAGGATAGGCACTCCTAGAAACAGACACACTATTACAGATGCTAAAACTTAGTCTGCCATGAAAAAGTTAATACTTTCTGCAGAAATAAAGTATTATCCAAAATTCTCCATAATTGTTCACACACAATAGCTGACATCCAATTAAAATCTTGAGGCATCCTGTAAAATAGGACAAGAAACACAGAAAATAGAGGCAGATTCTGAGGTGATCTAGGCGTTGGAGTCTTCAGATAGAGTATTTAAGGTAACGATATTAACATATTCAGAAAGCTAGAAATGAAAATTCCAAAGCTGAAAACATATACTGTAATTAAAATTAAGCACTCAACTAACTGTAGTAGGTTAGACAGAAGAGAAGAAAGGATGAGTCTGCTAGAAGATAGGTAAAATATCAGACTAAAACTCAGAGAAAATACAGAAAATATACATAGAACATTCTAGAACAGCCTAAAATACATGTAGTTTGATTCTTAGAATTACGAATTAAAAAGAATAGGTCAGAGCAATATATCAACCCAAAGATTCAAACTTTAGCAAACAACAGAATAACAACGAAATCATATACAGTCATAGCAAAAGAAAACTGCTGAAAAGAAAGACAAACTTTTAAAAGCACCTAGAACAAAGGACAAACTTTTCTCAAAGGAAAAATAATGTTTGCTATTTGACTTTTTGACAGAAAATATAGCAGCCATGTTTTGACAGAAAATATATGACTTTTTGACAGAAAATATGGCAGCCACAATGTTCTCACTTAATGAGAACATGATGTGCCTGTCCCCACAAAAATGTTGACCCGTTATCCTGTATTGAGCAACATTTTCTTAAAATGCAGGTGGAATAAAGATATTTTCAGAAAAACAAATATTAAGACAATTTGTCACCATTAGATGAACATAAAATTAAATATGAGGAGTACTTTTTAAACAAGAAGTATGATCCAAGCTGGAAGCTCTAAAATTAGGAACTAAAGAGCAAAAGAATGGTATTGTATAGATGAATCTAAAATATTGATTTTAAATAACAATATTGCCATATGGGGATTAAAATATATGTATAATAAAAACATATCTTGAAAGTGGCATAAAAGCCAATGAAGTCAGTTTTGTAAAGATCTTACATTGTTCACCAAGTGGTAAGAGCACTGATTCATAGTTATGAATGCATGTTCTACACTGAAAGATGCTAATTGAATAGCAAAATAATGTGTGACTGGCTAATAGGAAAAATATAAGAAATATTTGATTACTCACAAAGAAAACATGAAGAATATATAATTACTGACAATATACTAAATATAAAATAATATCTCAATATGGAAATAGAAGATTGAAAAATAAGAAATAACTCAATGTCAATAATATATAATGTAATTATTTTCATATAATGGAATATTATACAACAATGGAAATACAAAGTCTATGATAAAGATAAAATAAGTAAATTACAGAAACATAATGTTGAGAAAAGATGCCTGATGCAAAAGATTCTACATGCATGAGATTAAAAAAGAAAACAAAACTAAAACATGAGCTACCAGTTAAAATGGTGATTCATTCTGGGAGAAAGTTAAGTGTAGGGATGGAGTCAGGAAATTTCTGGGGTGCTGGTATGCTTGATATTTTGATATGGGTCTTGGTTACACAATCTTATCTTGTGAAATTTCATTAAACTGCACATCTGTGATTTGTGCAATTTGCTGAATCTATTTTATACTAATTAAAATAAGAAACTTTACCAATAAAACAATGAGTGCTCTATTTCTAAAGATTTCAGATCCCATCGAGCATTCTTTGAAACACGAAAAACCAGTGTTGTCACTATTAGCTCTCAGCAGCACAATCTGTTACTTTTTTCTGCTTCTTTATCTTTTCTTCCATCCCAGCTCTATGAAATAGTTTATTATGTGTTAGACAAGTCCCCACTTAAGTCTCTTTAAAAAAAATTTAATAGTGTCTTCACTAAGGGAAAATCCATCTACATATATTTTAAAAGCTGGTAATTGGTTTATCTGATAAGCCAGGACATACATATTGCTCACAGTGATGACGATAGTTATTTTTAATAACATTTATTGAACACTTCATTTATACCAGGTATTGTTTCAATCACTCACGTACATTACCGTGTTATCCCTTGCAAAAATCCTATGATATAAGAACATGCTTCAAAAGACACCAATAGCCCAGCTAAGCTAGAATTACATTGATTTAATATATTCAGGGCACTTGAAAAAATAATATAAAACATGTTTATAACTGAATAAGAGGATTGCTATATGTATAAAAATCATTTTACGAATATGAAAATCATTTTCTCAAACACCTTTCCAATTCCTGGCACCCATTTCTTACTCTGCAGTAGCTTTAAAAATGGTTTGTTCTGGCAGGGTACAGTGGCTCACGCCTGTAATCCCAGCAGTTTGGGAAGCCAAGGCAGGCAGATCACAAGGTCAAGAGATCAAGACCATCCTGGCCAACATGGTGAAACCCCATCTCTACTGAAAAAAAATAAGTAAATACAAAAATTAGCTGGGCCTGGTGGCACGTGCCTGTAGTGTCAGCTACTTGGGAGACTGAGGCAGGACCCAGGAGGTGGAGGTCGCAGCCAAGATCGCGCCACTGCACTCCAGCCTGGCGACAGAGCAAGACTCTGTCTCAAAAAAAAAAAAAATAAAAAAATAAAAGGTTTGTTCTGAATGTAAGTTCCTTCATTAGCTTCTCTGCCATTACCTCATCATTTTCTTCCTGGCCATGTTATTTTCCTTTTTGTTTTGGGACTAAAGGAAGTATTTGTACCTTGCAGGAATTTTTCACATCATACCTATAAATTAGAATATGGTAATACTTTAAACCTCATTAATATTGTCACTTGGTAATTTTTTTTAAAAAAAGGATCTGTTGCTGGGGAGAAAAACTGCTTAATAAAATAGCCATATTGATCTCAATTTTATAATAACCTTTGCTCAAAATGTTTGCTCTCCAAGAGTACCAAAGAATAAGCAAGGGCTTTTTATCAAGACATTAAACTTAATATAATTAGATGTTTATATGGTTTCCTGGCATTGGAGACAGATGGGAAAACAGACATTAGTAAGGTCATGGCCATTATCAGTAATCATTACCTCTTCACATTTCTCTTTGCTTTACTAATGGGAATTTCCCAAAGGCGACCCTTTGTCATTTTAACTGTGGTTTGCACTTTAGTGGTTTTAGAAAATTATTTTTCTGATATATTTTTAAAAAATATTCCTACCAGTCCTCTGTCTACTCTTAGCTGCCACTAAGCCTCTTCTCGTCCCCTTTTCCTATGTCATTAATTAATTGACTTAAAAATAAGCTGACTGCATCTATGATGAACTGAATTCTAGAAACAAGCCTCACACCTGTTGTTAGCTCTCTTCTTAATGATTTGACTGCAGTTCATGAATGTGCTCCTAATGGTTGTTAAGGAAACCAGAAATTATTAACTCATAAAGTGAAGACTTATTAGTGTGTTACTGCTTCCTCCAAATTGTTCTCATTTGATCTCTTTGCTAGAAGGTGGGGAAAAAGGAATGGCTGCTCTTGAAAAACAATTAATTATTCCAAGAGATGCATTCATATATGTTCTGATAGGCTGATTCTCCTGAAATATCAAGTTGTAAAGTTTAGGTTTACAGAACATCCAAATAACTGAATAATTTAGCCAATTTGATTCATGTTGTGACAACACACTCACACATCATTTATAGGAATTGCTCTTGTTAAACAAAACATATAGGAGGAGCTTAACTTTTACCTTATATTCAAAAATCATTTCTACTTTGGTAAAAATTAAGGTATGGTTTTAAAGTTCAATAGCATATGATAATAATACTAGCCAGTATTTACCAAGTGCTTACTAGTAGCTGGGCAAATATGCTGAATACTTGATACCATATCATGTTCACAAAAAAGCTTATTAAGCATAAACTATCATTTCCCCATTTTCTTGATTAGGCAACAAAGCTGTAAGAAGTTTAGGTATCTTGCCCCGGGCCACTCAATTGGTGAAAGTCGGAGACAAGTTTAGACGCAGATGTGTTAGACTCCAGTATTCACCCTTGCAACCACTTATCTGAGACTTCTAGCTCCTCTGGAACTCCTACCCAGTTATTGGTTGCTATGCTGGAGAATTGCATTATAATTGTGCTGTAAGCACATTGCAGTTTTTTAAAAAAATCATATATGTAACATGAAAACTGGCAGCATTGTGCGTTGTTTTGTTTTGTTTCCAGTGTGTAAGGCCTTTTGAGTTCAGGCCCAGAAGAGGTAGAGTTGGGCTTTGCCAGGTTAGCATTTGCTAGGAAAATCTAGGAAGGTTTTCTTGAAAAGAGGGTCAAGGAAGTTTTAAAGTCTGGTTTCTAAGCTGTGTGAGGAGGAGAGTAAGGTGGGTGGAGTGATAGAGAAGTAGTGATAGGGTCTTGGTAAAATGGATGGAGTTGCCTCATACTCCTCGCAGAGCATGCAACAGGGGTGTGATTCGCTTCTTAGGTGCCCTGCTGCTGAAGCCCTTAGGGGGAGCATGCAGACAGGCAGTCGTGGGGAGTGTTTTTGGGCTCCAACCCCACAGCAGCATCTAGGGTTGAGTGCTTACAGCTCCTGAGGTCCCAGTGGGTGTGTGTTAACAGTGTACTCTTTCAGTTTTGCCATCTTCAAGCAGCTTGTGTGAGTCAGCTCCGTTAGACCCTCTGCCTTATAGCAAGGACAGATGGCTTTCTGTATCCTGGGGATCTTTCCCTAGTGTATAGGAAAAATCAGATCACACATAGGCTTGGAGGATGGGTACAAGGTTTTACTGAGTGGTGGAGGTAGCTCTCAGTGAGGCGGATGGGGAGCCAGAAGGGGGATGGAGTGGGAAGGTCGTCTTCCCCTGGAGTCGGGCTGCTCAGTGGCCAGATTCTCCTCCAACCAACCCCAACTGAATTCTGCATCATCCCACTGTTGATGGCCTGCTGGTGTCTGCTGGTGTCTGTCAGTGTGTTGTTCTGCTCCTTTCAATGTCCCACCACTTGTGTCTGTGCCCACTAGGGTCTCAGGTTTTTATGGGCACAGGATGGGGGGGCATGGTAGACCAGAGTGGTCTTGGAAAGTGCAACATTTCAGCATGAAAACAGGAGTGCCTGTTCTCACTTACGTCTGTGGGCAGAGGACCGAAGGTGGAGCCCTTACCAGGGACCCCACCATTTTCTACCCAGCCCTCAAAGCCCCATTCTGGTATCATTGGGTCATCCATATAGATGGTGAAGGCACCAAGAATGTTGGCAAGCATAATAGAAAAAAGAAAGACAGTTGGCCAGATGCTAAAATTTTTCAACGAGAAAAAGAGAATAGTAGAAAGCTTATTAAATAATCACCATAAAAAGCATTGTAGGTGGAATAATCTGATGGCTTTTGAGGATATTTTGAGGAAGAAGGGAACAGGTGTAGAGATACAGCTGTCAGAAGCCAAGCAAACACCAAAATCATTTTACGTTATAGTTGTACTTGGTTAGTGAATGGAGCAATAGCCACCATTTGAGAGGCATGTAGGGAAGACAGTATCCTTGGGGGAGCTAAGTCTATTTATTTTTTTTTTGAGACAGAATCTTGATCTCTTGCCAGGCTGGAGTGCAGTTGTGAGATCTCAGGCCACTGCAACCTCCACCTCCCGGGTTCAAGCGATTCTCCTGCCTCAACCTCCTGCGTAGCTGGGACTAGAGGCATGCACCATCACACCCAGCTAATTTTTGTATTTTTGGTAGAGACAGGGTTTCACCATGTTGGCCAGGATGGTCTTGATCTCTTGACCTCGTGATCTACCAAAAGTGCTGGGATTACAGGCATGAGCCACCACGCCCAGCCCTAAGTCTATTTTTTTTTTAAAAAAGGCTTTATTTTATGTTTGGGGGTACATGTGAAGGTTTGTGACATAGGTAATCTCCTCTCATGGGGGTTTGCTGTACAGATTATTTCATCACTCACGTATTAAACCCCCTACCAAGCAGTTGTATTTTTCGCTCCTTTCCCACCTCCCACCCTCCACCTTCAGGTAGACCCCAGTGTCTGTTGTTTCCTCTTTGTGTTCTTATGTTCTCATAATTTAACTCCCACTTATAAGTGAGAACATGTGGTATTTGGTTTTCTGTTCCTGCATAAGTTCGCTAAGGACAATAGCCTCCAGCTCCATCCATGTTCCCGCAAAAGACATGATCTCGTTTTTGCTATAGCTGCATAGTATTCCATGGTGTATATGTACCACATTTTCTTTATCCAGTCTGTCATTGATGGGCATTTAGGTTGATTCCATGTCTTTGCTATTGCGAATAGAACTTCAGTGAACATTCACGTGCATGTGTCTTTATGGGAGAATTATTTATATTCCTCTGGGTATATACCCAGTAATGGGATTGCTGAGTCAAATGATATTTCTGCTTTTAGCTCTTTGAGAAATAGCCACACTGTCTTCCAGAATGGTTAAACTAATTTACACTCCCACCAACAGTGTATAAGCATTCGCTTTTCTCTGCAACCTCACCAGCATCTGTTATTTTTTGACTTTTTAATAATAGCCCTTCTGACTGGTATGAGATGGTATCTCATTGTGGTTTTGATTTGCATTTCTCTAATGATCAGTGGTTTGAACTGTTTTTTTTAATATATATACTTGTTGGCTGCATGATATACCATCTTTTGAAAAGTGTCTGTTCATGTCCTTTGTCCAAGTTTTAATGGAATTGTTTGTTTTTCCCTTGTAAATTTGTTTAAATCCTTATAGATACTGGATATTAGACCTTTGTCAGATGCATAGCTTGGGAACATTTTCTCCCATTCTCTAGGTTGTCTGTTTACTCTTTTGATTGTTTCTTTTGTTTTACAGAAACTCTTTAGTTAGATCACAATTGTCAATTTTTGCTTTCATTGTGATTCCACTTGGTATTTTTGGCTGTTCCTACGTCCAGGATGACATTGCCAAGGTTGTTCTCCAGGGTTTTTTTTTTTTTTTTAGTTTTAGGTGTATACATTTAAGCCTATAATCCACCTTGATTTGATTTTTGTATATGGTCTGAGGAAGGGGTACAGTTTCAGTCGTCTGCATATGGCTAGCCAGTTCTCCCAGCACCATTTATTGAATAGGGTATTCTTTTCCCAATGCTTGTAGTTGTAAGCTTTGTTGAAGAACAGATCGTTGTACATGTGTGGCCTTATTCTGGGCTCTCCATTCTGTCCCATCAGTCTATGTGCCTGTTTTTGTACCAGTTTCTAATAGAGGAATGGTTCTCAAAGTGTGGTCCCAAAACCAGCAGCATCAGCATCACCTGGGAACTTGAGGAAAATGCCAGTTCTAGGTCCTTACCACAGACCTACTAAATCAGAGAGACTGAGAGTGGAGACCCTCACCTGTGCTCTAACAAGCATTCAGGTGATTCTGGAGATGCATAAGTTTACAAAGCATTTGTGCTAAAGCAAGATGAGAAGAATTTTTAGATAAAAGGATTAACCTATTGGAGTATTTACTCGTGGCAGGGTATAAGATTTCAAAGGTCAGAGTGGGAGGGTTGGAAGAGTGATAGAACCAAGGGAGATAGAGGCATACACATACAAGATGGTAATGGATATCAGGGGACTTGGACTTCTGCTGGCAATTGGGATTGAGACCATTCATCTTCAGACTTTTAGAGGAAGTTAGAAAATCAGTGACAATTATAGTTTTAGCAGACGCAAGAACCCATCCTGTAAAGAAAATGTGAAGCTCTGAGCACCTGCCTTGAGTGTAATGTCTTCTGTGATTCCTTACCAGGATCAGAAGTAGAATCAGTTCAAGGATTGTAAAACAAAGGAAAGGAAACATGGTCAAAGGAAACCAAGACTTCTAAATTCAAATCCCCCTTTTGTATTGTACTATTCCATCCATTGATATCACCTTTAACTAGTTAGAAGCTGCACGATATGGTGTCTACTTTACTCAACATGCACCAAATATACCACAGAGCCAATTCATAGATTTTCACCCAAGTTTGTCCAAAGTGCTTTATTTACTCAACGTGCACCAAATATACCACAGAGCTAATTCATAGATTTTCACCCAAGTTTGTCCAAACTGCTTTATTTTTTTATTGTTGTTTTTCTGTTTTGTTTTGTTTTAGGCTTTTAGCAGCCTAAAGCCATGGTGTTTAGTTTCCATTTCTAGTGATAAATGGAAAAGAGGGATGAGGAAGGGGCTATAGTGGCTCAACCAAAAACAGAAACTAAGAACTAATGACTGTATTCTCTCCCTTGGACACCCCTGCAAACCCATATGGATGGGAATAGAATAAATAAATAAATAAATTTTCCTCTTCTAGAAAAAGCAGAAGAAATTTGTTAAAATCGGATGAAGGAATCTCAGGCTTCAAACAAAATCAGCATGAATCAATAATAATCAAAAGATAACAAGGACTGATCCTATAAGCCAACCTTCTTAGAACAGATTCCCTGTATCTGAGTAAAAATGTAATTTCTTGGAAACAGTCAATGCATCAAAATGATGCTTAATGTCCCTAGAGGGATATGAATCTATAGTACAGCCTTCAATCTTCACTCTTCTGCAATAACTGATTTGTACAACAGCTAGTGTTGTTCATCAATAACTCCCTAAGTGTCTTTCAATTCTGTATCATGCTGACTCCAAGTCATACGTTTCCATCCTAATCAATGATAATCAATGTTTGCTTTCCTAAAAAGGAGCTTGACTGGGGACACATCTTCAGAGAGAGAGAGTTCTATTTAAATGTCTTTAAAGAGCAAGAAGCCATAGTGTATAAAGGAACAAGTTGTAGAAAAATATTAGTAATTGAAAATAGGACAAGTACTAGTTATGGGCAATAATTTAGTCAATAAAAGCTGAAGATAATGTTTTTATATACTCCCAGTTTTCAACTAAACCAACTGGATCCTCTGATAGCCATTATGCTCAAACCACTCACCAGAACCAGTTTTCCGCTGGCCAGCCTTGCATCAATCCATCTTCTGGGCTGCTGAAAGGGAATGTTCCAATAGGCTCAAGCAGACAAGGAAGGTCCAAGTCTTTGCTGTTCTTTGGTTTTCTATATGCACATGTGTGTTCATGTTTGCAAGGACACACACACACACACACACACACACACACACACACACACCCTGCATTTACCAGTATCATTCAAAACTTCTTAGTGATCACCCACTGGCTATCTAAGGACAGAGGGTAATATCCTCCTAACAGAGATGCTATGGTCTGAGTGTGTTCCCCAAAACTCATGTGTTGGAAACTGAATACATACCCAGTGCAACAGTATTGGGAGGTGAGGCTTGATGGAAGGTGTTAAATCTTCATCAAGGCTCCACCTTCATTAATGAACTAATGCTACTATTAAAAGGGCTTGCAGGAGTGGGTTTTCTCTCAAGCACTTTTCTGCCATGTGAGGACATTGGGTTTATCCCCACTTGTCCTTCTGCCTTCTGCCATGTGAGGAGGGCATAGCAAGGAGGCCCTCACCAGATGTTGGTGTCTTGAGTTTGAACTTCCCAGCCTCCAGAACTGTGAGGAATAAATTTATGTTCTTTATAAATCACTCAGTCTATGGTAGTCCATTACAGCAGCATAAGACGATCCAAGATGAGATAATTTCACAAAAGGACAAAATACACTTAAATAACATAAATCAGGTAACAGTAGCAAAGCTAATATAAATGTATGTTTTCCTAATGGCTCAAAGTGCTTAATGCTTCATTTCTTTTGATTTATTCTTCTTTATATCAGATACTGTACTATGACTCTTCACAGAAAGAAAAATTGTATTTGTTTTGTCCAAAAGGTCATTTCCCAATTAGCAAGTTAAAAACAAAAACAAACAAAAATAAGGCCTAGAGAGCTTCTTACATTGGTCGAAGTCACATAGCCAATTACAGATAATGAAAGGGTATGGATAAACTCTATTTGGCTCTAAAAGCTGTTTGTACTTTTCCTACTATTGTCTTAAGAAGACGTGCTGTCTTAAGATGCACATGCCATAGGGAAGAATCAATATCATCATTATGATAAAATTTACTAAGACATTTCTCTGTTCTAGGCACCGTTTTAAATGCTTACACACACTAACTTATTTAAATCCAACCACAACTGAAATAGAATAGTATATATATCTTGGACATGATAGAAATAAGGCACAGAGAATAACTTGTCTAAGGTCACATACCTGAACTACAGCTGAGACGGAGTAAAATTTCAACAGGTGACATAGGAAGCGGCAGTTTGGCTATTTGCAATTAGCAATAAAGACTGAAGCTAAACCCCTGGGGTTAAAATCAAGGCTCTACCCCTTACAGCTGGGTTACCATAGGGCCACTAATTAAGCACTCTACACTTCAATTTTCTCATCTATAAAAACAGGCATAATAATAGTACCCACTTCACTAATGGATTTGTGAAGTTAATATTAGAAGTGTGTAGAACAGTGGTTAGCACTAGCCCTTAATAAAACAATAACAGCATCCACACCATCTACTAACCCTTGGAAGCACATGCCCAAAATACTGCTACTCTTCAGGACTGGATTGTGGGTATGTCTCATTTGTAACAGTGTAGTCCCTAAAGACAGAGGGCAAGACCTTTAGAAAACGTTCTTCAGCACAAAGACTTCTCAATTATACTTGATGCTGTCCCCATGCAAATGTAATCTCTTCTGCCCTCAAAGATCTGTGGAGAAATACTAAAAATTCTTTTCTACCCCACCCTCATTATTTATAGAGGGTGTGTGTGTGTGTATGTGTTTTCTCAGCCTCACCATTACTAACATTCGGCGTCAGATCATTCTTTATTATGGTGGGTAGGGGGGCGGATTTCCTGTGCATGGTAGAATATTTACGGAGTTACTGATGAACAACACTAGCTTTTGTACAAATCAGTTATTGCAGAAGAGTGAAGCTTGATGGATGTAATACTGATTCACATCCCTCTAGGGTCATTAAGCATCGTTTTGATGGATGGACTGTTTCCAAAAAATTACATTTTTACTCAGATACAGGGAATCCATTGGTCTTTACCCACTTAGATACCAGTAGCACAGATTTTTTCCCTCCAATTGTGACAATCAATCCAAAATGCCTCTAGATGCTACCAAATAACCCTCTGTTGGACAGAGTGCCCCCCACACTGTTAAGAACTACTGCTCTATACCAAAGACCAAGTCCCTTCTCTGCTTGTGATCCATGAGTCATCTAGTATGTTCTGGAAGGGACATCCACCCAGACTCTTCAGGTTGCCATTATGTTTAAGTTACCTATGTATTTGCCAGTAGGGTCCAGCCCAGTAACTGGCATACAGCAGGTACTCAGGAGGCATTGGTTGAATGTTAAATATTGGAATTGTGTTAATTATACAGCAGAATTAAAATGTGGTCATGTTGATATTAAATTAGATAGAGCATATTTATGTTCCATGCCCAATCTTTGAAATCAAAGGTCAGATTAAACACACCAACCTCTTAACATTAAACAAAGTGGGTTCTTTACAACAAGGGCAAAAATGACTTCTGTTTACAGTAGGGACAGGCCTCTTAGGTGGCTTCAGTTACTTATGAAGATTATCATCCACCCATCCCAGAGTTCGGAGAGGTGTACTTAAATTTCATTCCTAAGCCATCACATCACTTCCCACTATTAGGAGCAGGAAAGCACCTGTCCATTAGAACAGCAGTCAAGATTTCTAAACAGAATAGTAGAGAGGGCAGTGAGGGAAATTAGTTTCACTATTTGCCACATAGGTGTATTTCTGTCCTGGAGACTTGAGCTCAGAGCAGCTAGACTACTATAGTATTTAATCCAACCCATTTTTTTTTTCTTGAGTTACGAATTTTACTGATTCTGCTAACTGCTTAAACAGGAATAAATTGGTGGGAGATGATTGGTACATACATTGTAATATCATTATACTTTACACTTGTGAATACTATTCTCTCCCATTCTTGGAGTGATTGGCTGAATTATCATAAAGAATTAAGCCAAACCCTCCCTTCTCTTCCACTTAAGAATTGTATGACACTTTTGACTCAGAAAATCACTATCACTTGATCAATCTTTGAAGAGGCAGAGGGAAGAGGGAGAGAGGCATCACATTTGTTATCATGAGTCACACTTGATGTGAGCTCTGCTCTTTTTCAGCAGTTAAGAAATTGGTACTTTTTTCTTTTTTTAAAGAAAACAGGCTGAAACATTCGCTGCTTTTGAAAGGTAATTTAGCACTGTCAAGCTTATGACATGTCAGAATTCAGCGTAGGAATTTTGTTTATTTAATCCAAAATCAGAATGTCAAGCACATTTTGGAGAAATAATAACAGGAAGAGTCCCTGTCTCTAGAAAGAGAGCTGCCAAACTTTGAAGCAATTTACGTAAACATTGTAATCAGCTCTTGCAAAAAATTTCCACCTTACAAAGCTAGTTGTTACGAACTTGCTCTATCGTAAAAATGTTTTCAGGGAAAGTGAAACTGGAACTGAAAAGTTCAAAAAGTGATGATCTAAGAAATAAAAACCCACTCTAGAAGAGTCTTTATATTGGATTCTCTTTGATAGGCATAAGGGAAAAAAATCGTACTTTCAAATTTTTTTTCCAAGGATTCAGTATGCTGAAAAATCAAAACACTTAGTAAACAGTGTAATTCCTCTGGTGCTAGAACTCAAAGAATTACAGTAATGTTTTTCAAAAGAGTATATACTGAATAAGGGAACCCACAAAAAATCCATAGAACTTGCATTGTACATTTTGATTAGAAACTAAATCTTTTAAACAGATAAGTTCCAGTTATTTAACTAGTCATGTCGGCGCCCAAGTCGCACCATCTTGTAGGCAAAGTAAACACCTTTCACATTTAATTTTGTAAAATAAACATTCTTCTATGGCTTTAGAGTTGCAAACAGATTTGGGTCTAGTTGGAAATTCAAAGTGAAATATCATACTGTCACTGTGCTTCAGTGTTAAAAGAGAAATTAAAATAATGTTGGAAAAGACTAGCCAGAGGGAAAATAATTTCTTGGCGCCATACTGCCTTCTCTTTCTCCACACCAAATCCCACCCAAAAGCCACATGACATTCACTGTCCTCTATGCCTCTCTCTGATTGTCTCAAGGAGCCCTTTTAGTGTGGCTCCCCAGCCAACTCTCCCCTTTCCAGAGAGCTCTTCTTGTTTTAGATCCATCCCTCCTTCCTTTTTATCTTTCCTCATCCCAATTATTGTGACCCAGGATCCCAAAGCAATGCTTGATAAGTTGATGAATGAATTCTAAATTATCCAACAATTACTTAGGCATTTACATAACAAGCATTTATGAAGTACAACTAATAATAGCTTTTGGGTTATCTTTTTTATGGGTGTTTGCTCTTTACTCAAAGACTTTTGGAAATCCTAGTACCTTAAATATTCATTGTACAGCCTGGTGAATAAGAGGGGGCTTGAGTATGAATTCTGGTTTACCTGTGCTAACTCTGTGACTTTGGACACATCATAGGTATTTCTGTGCCGCATTTTCCTTATCAGCGAAATGAGATAACAATGATATGGATGTTCTTATAGGGCTGTTTTGAGGACTCGTTAAGATAAATCACATAAGTTATTCATAATAGCAACTGACGTATAATATACACAAATCAGCATTACTTATTCTTCATAATATGAAAAACTGAGTCATTAGTGGTAAATGCCAGTCTCTATGGGAAACAATTTAAAGATACTTCTTGTAAAGGGAGATTGCATAATGACCCCATGTCATAACACAGTTAACAATAATTTTCATGGCTCTGTGTAAAAATGGCTCTAACGATACTCTTCAGAAATCTGTAGTAGTAGAAATTGGCATGAATGGGATTCATTATTGATATGGTTAGGCTCTGTGTTTCCACCCAAATCTCATCTTGAATTGTAATTCCCATAATCCCCACGTGTCAAGGGAAAGACCAGGTGGAGGTAATTGAATCATGGGGGTGGTTTCCTCCATGCTGTTCTCTCGATAGTGAGTGAGTTCTCAGGAGATATGATGGTTTTATAAGGGGCTCTTCCCCCTTCGCTCAGTACTTCTTCCTGTCGCTTTGTGAAGTGGGTGCCTTGCTTCCCCTTTGCCTGCTGCCATGATTATAAGCTGCCTGAGGCTTGCCCAGCCATGCGGAACTGTGAGTCAATTAAATCTCTTTCCTTTATAAATTACCCATTCTTTATAGCAGTATGAAAACATGCTAATACAATTATTTTAATAAACAACCCAGCTAATCTTCCGTGGCTGTAATTGTAAGAGTAACCATCCTATAACATTATAAGGAGAGAGGTTTGTAACATTTGTAAAGACAAATGTTGAAAGATACGTTAGATCGCTTTTGCCTTATATTATTAAATATGCTCATCATTATGGGGGTAGAGTGTAAAACTAACATAAAAACAATCCTCATCAACATCTATGGGCCAAATTTGTTTTTATTTAAAAAAGAAATAATGAGATTCTGATATACCATTCATTGCTATAGATTCCGATGATTTCTAACAGCCATGAGATGCACTGAATTAATCAATTAATTAATTTCCCTTTCTACACTGGTATAGAAGAAGAAAAAAATGTTATTTGCTAGAAATTAAGAAAAATATATGTCTCGATACCTTCGTAAGTGAAGTGCAAAAGACGAAGAAGAAGAAAAAGCATTGGGAAAGCTTAAAGTAAATTAAGAACTTCTAGACTTCATTCCAGAGCAAGAAGGATGAGCACATGACTGTCAGCATGTTTCTGGTGGAGCAATAGTTATATTTAAATTTGAATTTTAAATGTATGTATTCTTATCAGTTGTCTAGCCCCTCAATAGTCTGTGTAAGAGATTGCATTGTCCAAGAAGAGATGAAATTTGGCATAAAAGATGTTTATTTTATGGCTCAGCCCCTGTGAAAAGGAGGAGGAGACAGGACTGGATAGAGGGAAAAGTCAGCTTGGATGTCAGCCAGACAAAGCCTTAGCCCACCCTTTGGAGAGCTTAGCTCAGGAGTATCACTGGTCAATCCAGCCATGATGGGTCATTGGATCAGTGGCACCAGGGCATTGCCTGACCAAGGGCGAGGCAGCTCTCTGCAACTGAGGCATGAAGGAGCTAACAGCTGGTTGACTGTACTCCCTGTAGCTGGACAGCCAGTCCTTCCTTCAAGGGCCGTGTGGTTGTTGTAAGGCTGTGTTTGCCACAAGCTGTTAATTACTCATTTGATTTTTAAAAATCATTTTACCACAGAGTTTTAGTAAACACTTGTTTAAAAATTTTTTTCAACTTAATTTATATTTTTTAAGAGACAGGGCCTCACTCTGTTATCTAGACTACAGTGCAGTGGTACAATCATAGCTTACTGCAGCCTTGAATTCCTGGGCGTAAGCCATCCTCCTCACTCAGCCTCCCAAGTAGCTGGGACTACAGATGCATGCCACAATGCCCAGCTTGTTTTTACTTTTTTGAAGAGACGGAATCTTGCTTTGTTGCCCAGGCTAGTCTCAAACTCCCGAGCTCAAGTGATCCTCCTGACTTGGCCTCTGAACATGTTGGGATTACAGGCATGAGCCACTGCTCTCAGGCTCCAGTTTCTTTATCCATGTAAAAATATAAAATAATATGCTAGTGGTTTGGTTCCAAGCAAATATAATATATCCCTATCTAAGAAGAGGTGTTAATCAGGGTTATCAATACTAGCTGCTATAACTACAATAATATAAAATAAGCCAGTGGAAAGTCCAACTGGCCTTCAGCAGCTGGGCTTACACCAATGATCTGGGAATCCTGGCCTTTTCCCTCTAATGGTACCGTTAGTTGGAGTCCTTTACTGGATCTTCCACATTCAGCCAGCCAACTGGCAGAGAGAGCAAGGAAAATCATGTATGGCCTTACCGTCATGGACATCACTTCTTCCCTAGCCTCAAACTTACCACATAGGAGGCTGGGTATAGGCTTCTTATGTGTCCAGGAAAACAAAATAGAATAAAATCAATAAGCATCTAGCCAGTCTCTGCCACAGAGGGTTGTATAGTGAGCATATGTTTCTGAATGTTTACTCATGATAGTCCCAATCTATTCTAAAATTATTAAAATTTCAAAATATTGCCATTATTTGGAGAACAGTGTCAGGGGAAGGTTAGTTTAATCCAGATGAATTTAGTGTCATGAGTTTATGTGTAAATATTCCAGTATGCATCAATGTGCTGAATATTTCTAATAGGATTAGCTAAATTTAGAATTGGGACTCATTTCAAAAGGAGTCAATCATAATTTTACAGCTTGACATTGATTTAGATTCTAATAAGTATGTAGTTTTTGGGGGACCATGTGACAACAATCCCAACACCTTCCTTTTGTGTGGACTCCAGGTTAAGAAAGACTTGCTCTTAAGAATAGAAGAGCTCCTTACTTCATGCTTGATAAAATAAAATACATATGCATCTTTATTATCTCATTTAATTTTGCCTCTCTAGCCTGTAAATTCAATCAAGTCAGGAGTCACATCTATCCATTCACTACAATATACCCTGAGCCACTGCTGTCCTCAGCTGACCTCCCACAGGCTTGCCAGAACCAATTTTGTCCATTTCATCCCAACTCTACATTCAGTACCATCATGTCGGCAGCTTGAAGTTAACCTTACTGGGTGCCTAAGGTATTTGGGTTGCTATAACCAACTACCATAAACTGATTAGCTTATAAACAGTGGAAACTTATTTCTTACAGTTCTGGAGGCTGGGAAGTCAAAGATAAGGCACCAGCAGATTCGGCATTTGGTATCTGCCTTTCCTCATAGATGACTGTCTTCTCACTGTAACCTCACATGGAGGAAAGTGTCAGTATCTCTTTGGGGTCTCTTTTATAAAGGCATGAATCTTATTCATGAGGGCAACCCTTCAAGACCTAATCACCTCACAAAGGTCCTGTCTTAGTCCATTTTTTACCACTATGACAAAAATACCACAGACTGGCCAATTTACGAAGAACAAAAATTTGTTTTTCAGTGTTCTGGAGGCTGAAAAGTTTAAGATCAGGGTGCCAGCGAGTTTAGTCTGTGGTTTGAAGATGGCACCTGGTTGCCACATCCTCAGGAGAGGAGGAATGCTGTGTTCTCACATGGCAGAAAGGAGAAAGAGATGGACCCATTCCTGCAAGCCCTTTTCATGGCAACCTTAATCCATTGATGAGGGTAGAACCCCCATGATCTAAACACCTCTCATTCCCGTGAGTTCCCGCCTCCCAACACTGTTGCATTAGGAGTTAAATTTCTAACCCACGAAATTTGGAGGGCACATTTAGACCATAGCAGTCTCTATCTCCTAATACCATCATGTTGGTGATTAGGTTTCAACATATGAATTTTGGAGGAACACAAACATTCAGGCCATAGCAGTGGGAGTATTTGCTATACAAAAATCCCCCAACATTACTGATAAGAGCTTCCCCCAACCTTGGAGAGTTGACACACATCATTGACACAACTTACTACATATTTGGCAGCAGCATAATTGTCTCAGGACAAGCTAGATTATGCTGTGGTTACAATTATTCCCCAAATCTCAGGGTCTCAACAAAACAACAGTGTATTTCTTGTTCATATTATGTGTGCTACACAAGGTGATTGTACTCACTGTGGTCTGTTAGGGTAACAGGTTGACAGAGACATCTTCTTTTCATGGCTTCTTTAATCACAGCCGACCTGAGAAAGGGGAGTCCTGAAGCCTCTATCCAGAACTGACTCATGCCATTTCTCTTATTTAATTGACCAAAGCAAGTCATTGGCCACATCTAACCTGATGATGGCAAAGAAATGAAATCCTTCCATGTGCCTTAAATAGGAATGAACTAGAATTATTTGATAAACAACAGTATTAATGGCAATGGAGTAGCATTCAGTAAATAAGAGCATATCCTTGGTAAATAAACTCAGGCTCAGGTGACAGTTTCACTTCCTACCTGGTGGGTGACTTTGGCCAGCTAGTTAACTTCTCTATACTTCAGTCTTTTTAACTCTAATATGCATCATAATAATTGATACAGTGTGTATTAATTAGGCCTTTCAACCAACACAGAGGAAATGATACTTAATACAAAACAGTAGATTAAAAAGATGCTGCTATTTGTGGCCAGAGGCAAGTTGCCTGGGTATTCTGGCTTCTCTGAGGCCAGAGAAGATCAATATTTAGGCACACTTGTAATTTATGCTATGCCAGGGGTGTGCCCAGTACATAGGAAAAGTACATAGCTCAATGAATCTTAGTTTCTGCTACTATTATTTTATTAGTAGCTCAATTAATATTAAATGAATATATGGATATGAGCCACACAAAGAATGTGAGGTTGATAATATTATTTTCCCTTTATAGATGGAGAAACTGAAGATCAGTGGGGTTAGCCTTTACCCAAGTCCTGGGTGTGTAGGAGCCATTTTGAAGAGTTCAATCTGAGAACTTTGACTTCAGATCCAGTGCCTAACAATGAAGCCATAGCTTCCACACGTACTTACATGAGGGAATATAGCAATTGTGTACAGTATGAGAAATCAACTTGAAGTTGATTCCACTTGCCTCCCTTAAATAATCAAGTTCCCTGATGCTCTTATAGGACATTTGTATTTACTTTTGTTTAAAGACTATTTTTAGAACATTTCTGAATTTTAAAATGAGGGTATCACCTCTATTTGGCCTGAAAACATATGGGAAATGGCTTTTTCCTTTAAGATAGATGATATCAAGGAGATGTGTTAAGTTCAGACTGCCCAATGTTTTAGGAAACTTTAAACTCACTCAAAGAAAGAAATGCGCTGTTTACCCCATCACTATGCTTCAAGCACTTACTGTCTTCTCTTGCCAATCCACAGCAATAGATAAGGCAGGGCGTTTCAATTCCATTCAACTCTACATGACATATGCATTATTGGAGATTTCTTAAAGTTGCCCTAAAAGGGAGGAAAAAGTTCATAGAAAATTTATCACCATTGTCCTAATTACAAGAAGGGGCAGATTTATTAGATGGTTATATTTAACAAAACCCCCGTGGTTTCAATAACCTATAAGCTCAGCAACCAGGAAGTGATTTCACTGGTTGCCTGAGTGAGAATGAATTATGTTTGTTATCCCAAGAGGGCTTGTATATTTTCCAATGCAATGAGACACTATTTCTTTTTCTTTTGCTCAAGAAAACAAAGAATTGAAAGACTTTTAATATCATTCTACTTCATTATCTTGATCAGGGTGAAGATTAAACCTGTCTTTAGAGCTGTTAAAATGATTGTAAATCTGATTCCCTTTTTTCTCCTTACCTCACTCGAGCCCCAAATCTCAAGGGTAACAGGAAATAGGGACTAAAACAAAGTCTATCTTCAAAGCTTTCAGCACTATATCTGCACCATGGGAAAGGAAACATTTGATAAAGGAATTAAAACAGAAATATTAATGGATTGGGGTGGGAGAAGGGAAGTTTTAATTCTGCCTGGTTACCTTGCAAGGTCATGCTGAACTTTGCAAACTTCACTTAAACTGCAGAATTACCTTGGAGGTGTAGGAATATGATTTAGCATTTCTTTACACTTAAAAACACGCAGGAGTTCATTAAACGGAATTTGGATTGCCTGTAAGATGTCACTCAGTAAAACTGATTCAATTTTTTTTGAATTTTTTTCCACCTCAGATCTAGAATTTTATTGCCATATCTCTTATTAACACGGTAACATGTGATTCATGAAGCACAGCCTTTAAACACCTCCATGAGTCAAACACATTGAAATACATACTAATGACATTTACAACAGAATCCAGTATGCAAGAACAGAGCAGTTTCACTCACATACAAGAAATCTTTCAATCCTTTTCTGCCATTAAGAAGCAAAAGAAATAGAAACCTTTTCAGGATGGCCATTGTGTATTCAAAGGCATTGCTTCATTACAGTCTTTAAATCTGCTTCAAACAGATCACATTGAACACCTTAAATATATACCACCTTTATTTGTCAATTTAAAATTAATTTTGAAAGCGGCTTCAATTTTTATAAATTGTGGATTTTGATTTTTGTGTTTCTGTGCCAAGAAGCTCACTTTTTTATTTGAAAATTAGAGTTGGCTTGGATATTTAGATTTCCCTATGTTATTGCAGCAGAGAAAAATAAATAAAATGTATTTCAGATAATACGCTGAATGTTAATACATATTCTTTCTTCTTACAATGAACTGGGAAAACCCCTGGAGACCATGCTTGATAAGGATGTGAGATGACAGAGACAGGAGGGCCCCACACAAGAGGCTTCAGGACCTCCTTGCAAAGAGCACAGAACCCGACTGCAGGCAGCAAAAAGAGGCTCAGAACCCTCTTCTGCTGATGGCCAGTCACAATCAGCAAGAAAGCACATCTTGCAGTTTCATTTTTCTTATCTACAAAGTGGAGCAATAAGATTTACCTCTTAGGACATCTGGGAGCATTAACTGTGCTTATTTCAGTCAAGTACTTAGTTTAATATGATGCCTGCAACAGAATGGCTGTATTAGACAGAATAATGCCCTGCCAAAGACGTCTACATTCTAATCCCTGTAACCTGCTAATATGGCTCCTCACTTGACAAAGGAAAATGAAGGTTGGAGATGGAATTAAGGTGGCTAATGAAATGGGTCATCCAGACAAGTCTAAAGGGATCACAAGTACCGTTAAATGTGTAAGAAGGAAGTAAAAGAGGCAGCATCAGAGTGAGGCAGGGCAAGTCTTGATTGGCCATTGCAGACTTTGAAGACGGACAAGTAGCATAGGCCAAGTAGCGTGGGAAGCCTCTTAAAGCTGGAGAAGGCAAGAAAATAGTTCTCGTTTAGTCCAATGAAACCTATTTCATACTTCTGATCTCCTGAAAAATATAGCAATAAATTTCATTTGTTTTACACCCTCAAGTTTATGGCAACTTATTACTGCAGCAACGAGAAACTAAGACACTGGCTAACCAACAAATACAACTTTTTTTTTTTTTTTTGAGATAAGATCTTGCTCTGTCACCCAGAGTGTAGTGAAGTGACACAATCATAGCTCACTGCAGTCTCAAACTCCTGGGTTTAAATAATCCTTTCACCTCAGTCTCCCAAGTAGCTGGGACTTCAGACACACCTCCATGCTGGGCTAATTATGCATATATACTTACAGATTAAGTCTCCCTGTGTTGTCCAGGCTGGTCTCAAACTCCTGGGCTTAAGCCATGCTCATACCTCAGCTTCCCAAAGTGCCAGGGTTACAGGCATGAGCCACCATATCTGACTCCAAATAGAACTTTTGATAGTGAACAAAGTAAGTTTTATGTGAGAATAACAAGTTGTGTCTGATGTGACTCCTTGAGAGTGAATCTTCTTTGGAAGTTTGAACAGAATGTAAAAGAAAATCGAATTTCAAAATTAAGACAGTTCTTCTGGCTGGCATGGTGGCTCATGCCTATAATCCCAGCACTTTGGGAGGCCAAGGCAGGCGGATCATTTGAGCCTTGGGGTTCAAGACCAGCTTGGGCAATATGATGAGACCCATCTCTGAACAAACAAACAGACTAGAGAGGAACATAAACACAGAAACAACACAGTTCTTCAAGAAATTAAGTATCAAGGAAAGGATTATGTCTTGCCAGATCACACCAACATTTTCTGAACAAATAGGCATTTGATGTAAGTTTCACTTAATGAAACCTTCAATGAATCAGCTAATAATTCTAAAAGCTCCCTTTTCTGAGCACTTAAATGTGCCCAGTTCTTTACAGGCCTGTTTGGCAATTACAACAACCTCATGAGTTGATTGCTATTGTACTCATTTTGTACATACAAAACAGGTCCAGATAAGTAATTTGTCAAAACAAATACAGTAAATAAATGACAGACCCAAGATTCAAACTTTTCTCTCATCCAAAAGCCCATGTTATTCTGTGCTGTTACATGTATGTGACTTTCAAGGACAAACCATTTGTTTGTGCAACAAGTATGCCCATATGCCAGGCACAATGTTACTATAGCTGTAATGATAAGCTAGAGATACATGTATTCTGTATTCACAAATAATTAGATCAGCAATATCATAACATATGACCAATACAATGTTGAGGGAAATACAAGGTTATAGAACCATAATAGGAGAATCTGACCCATTAAAATTACAGAATAATGAAAGGTATTCTGAAGTCAAATTCAGGACATGGAGGGTAAGTGGGAGAGAGTTAAGCAAAGCAGAATGGGAGGAAGTAACAGAATAATAGACCTGAAGGCCAAAAAAAAAAAAGTATGTGCCGAATGAAAGTTGAGAATAGATGGAAGGTAGATGAGAAGGGTGAGAAGTGATAATAAATGGGGCTGAAGTGGTGCTAGGTGGGTATACGAACGGAAGTCTGTGCTCCCATCTTATCCCAAGGGCCATGTAAGTGTAAGAAGAGAATGGAATAATCAGATTTGCATTTTTGGTAGATTCTTCTGATTAGCGTGTGGGATGGATTAGCAAGGGAGTATATGCTTCGTTACACAGCTGCCACAGGTAGTATGACAAGGTAATGGCAATGAGAGTAGAAAGAAATAACATTTGAGAAAAGCTTGGTAAGCAGAAGTAACAGAACTGCATTTAAGGGGGATAATTTTGTTTTAAAATAAAAGAAGTTGCATGGAACCAGATTTCTGGTTTAGTTAATTTATACAGAGCAATGAGCAGGAGCCTTTTGGGAGAGGACAATAATGATTTCTTTTTGGGCAAGTAGAGATTAAGATACCTACAAAACTTTTAAAGAGGCAAGTCCACTAGAAGTTAAGCCAAAACCACAGGCTTGATTTTAAAATAGACTTATTAACTGAATGTAGAGTGTGGTTGTTTTTTTTTTAGTATGTAGATAGTAATTAAATCCATGAATGGATGATACAATCTAAGTGTTAAAGTGAGGACTAAATAGATCCAAGGGCAGAGCGCTGAAAACCAGCAACCTTTAATGAGTGAGCAGAGGAAAGGGAACTTGCAAAACTAATATAAGCAGGAAGAGAGAAAAATAAGGGCCTAGAAGGGGAGAAGACAGAGGAGGAAAGTAAGTCAAGAATCATGGAGTGGGTGTTTACTAGAGTTTGAAAGTCAAGGAGAATGTTTGATTGTTTTCCATGATTGTTTATGTCAAATGTCTGCACTTACCAATCCCTTTACCTAAGATGTTCTTCATGCATCTGTGTCTCCCCTCCCCAGCCTTCCATAGAGCTCATTCATCTTTGAAGCTACACCTGAAAATTTCCTTCCTCTGAAGCAAGGCAGGACCTCCTGCTATATGTTCAGTAGCACCCTGGTCTTTTCCTTCAAAGAACCATCAGAATCATGGTAGGTCAGAAATAAGTAAATAAATACATATCTGGCTAATGCCTTGCTCCTTGTTCTATTTTCAGGACCCTCTCTGCAGTGCCTGGCATACAGCAGAAACTCGCTAAATGAAGTCTGCGTGTTTCATATACGAATAACTGGTAACTGCTCAATAAGCATTTGTTATGTTGAGGCAGTATTGAAATTAAGTGTATATACTCTACAGCCATATTGCCCGGGTTCTAATCCCATCTGAGCCACTTCTTAGCTATGTGATTTTTGAGCTATTACTTAACCGTATAATCCTGCAAACTAAGCAGAAAGTCTCTTGGATTCTATTTATGAGTTGTTAATTTTCTCTGTAAGATTTTGAGTCTTTATAATTTCACTCTAAAATCAGTCTTTTATAAAATGACCCCATAGATGATGATCTCTGCCCTATCTTCCCCCACAGAGTTGCAATGAGGATTACATGTGATAATGTACTTGAAAGTGTTTATAAGTTATGAAAACAAAAACAAAAACAATGCTCAATTACTGCAGCATTGATTAGCCCAACTGGCATCTGAAATGATCTTTGATCTATGTCTGGGTTTACTGTTGGTTTAGTTTTAATGACGGCTTCATACTCTGTTGTTTGAACAGCGATTCCCAGACTTGGAGTGGAGCAGGTGGATTCAGTAATAGCTTAACTGTATGTGTATAATAAGGCTTGGCAGTTTCAGTAATATTCACCACGATAAAACAGTGGAGAAAGACAAGTCCCCCTGGGTAGATCTAAAAGTCTAAAATAGTAACAACAATTACTCAATTTTTCTGGCCTTGGAGAGCCATGCTATGTCTGAAAAGCAGTAGAAAGAGGTCCTGATTTCAGAAACATGTGGCCTCTGTTTTGAATCAAAGTGTGATTACTTGGCATGATCTAAAGCTTTTTTGTCACACACAAAACAACAACATACTCCTGGCACAAATACATCTAGGCCTGTTTTAGTATAAGAATGCAATTTGAGCCATTTATCTTTTTAAAAGAGGGCCGAGTTGCTCTGTAAGCAACTGATATGATTCGGATCTGGGTCCCAGCCAAATCTCATGTTGAACTGTAATCCCCAGTGTTGAAGGTGGGGCCTGGTGGGAGGTGCTTGGATCATGGGGGTGGATCACTCATGAATGGCTTAGCACTACCCCTTGGTGATGAGTGAATTCACATGAGATTTGGTGGTTTAAAAGTGCGTGGCACCTCCCACCCCTACTCTCTTGCTCCTGCTTTTTCCATGTTATATGCCTGCTTATGCTTCAGCTTCTGCCATGAGTAAAAGCTCCCTGAGGCCCCCACCGCCCACCCCACCAACAAGTCAAGCAGATGCGGGTACCATGCTTGTACAGCCTGCAGTGCTGTGAGCCAATTATACCTCTTTTGTTTGTAAATTACTCAGCCTTGGGTATTTCTTTATACTAATGCACAGCTGACCTAATGGAGCAACTAACTCTATCCTGAATTATGAATCTCCTGTGTGCAATAGTACAACGATACAGATAATTGACTGCAGGAAGAACTAAAATCTGTGACAAAAGACTAATTTTATGTTTGATGCCAACTCACTTCAAAGTGGCATGTGATTGCCAATCCTCCTGCCTGCCTCACTCATATGCACACAGACATGGAGATTTACTGTCATCCTTTATGCCCAAGAGAAAAAAAAAGTTGTAGATAAACATTAATTTCAAGCACTCTACACAGGAGTCAGCAAACTTTTCCTGTAAAGTGCTAGAAAGTGAGTCTTTTAGGTTTCGCAGGCCATACAGTCTCTGTCACAACTATTCAACTCCACCATTGTAGTGCAAAAGCACTACACATATATCTAAGCAAGTGACTGCAATACAAAAACCGACAGCAGGTCAGATTTGGCCCATGGGCTATGGTTTGTCAACCTCAGCTCAACAGCATCATGTTACCCTTTTGAATATTAACATGTAAAATATGTTTATAATCTGTGGCATTCATAGGTATAGAATCCTTAGGATGTAACATTTACACTGTGGGCTTACTGTTTTCAAAGAAATCCAGGGCATGCCCCAATTTTTTAAATTTATTTTTATTTTTATTTTTACTTATACTTTAAGTTCTGGGGTACATGTGCAGAACGTGGAGGTTTGTTACATAGGTATACACGTGCCATGGTGGTTTGCTGCACCCATCAACCCATTATCTACATTAGGTATTTCTCCTAATGCTATCCCTCCCCTAGCCCCCCACCCCCTGACAGGCCCCGGTGTGTGATATTCCCCTCCCTGTGACCATGTGTTCTCATTGTTCAACTCCCACTTATGAGTGAGAACATGTAGTGTTTGGTTTTTTGTCCTTGCAATAGTTTGCTTAGAATGATGGTTTCCAGCATCATCCATGTCCCTGCAATGGACATGAACTCATCCTTTTTTATGGCTGCATAGTATTCCATGGTATATATGTGCCACATTTTCTTTATCAAGTCTATCATTGATGGGCTTTTGGGTTGGTTCCAAGTCTTTGCTATTGTGAACAGTGCCACAATAAACATACATGTGCATGTGTCTTTACAGTAGAATGATTTATAATCCTTTGGGTATATACCCAGTAATGGGATTGCTGGGTCAACTGGTATTTCTAGTTCTAGATCCTTGCCTAATTTTAGCATCAAAATGTTATCTCCCAGCCAACTGCTTTCACTCAGAAGTGGTACTTCATCTAACTGTGTACCCTGATTTTAAATTTAAAATTTGTCACAGTGGCATAGTTAATCTGATTAACTTGTTTAAAAGGTAAGTTAAGGAGATTTTTTTAATGTTGAATATTCAGTGGAATAAGTAAGTCACTGTAGATAATCCACTAAGTAATCAAAAATCTCTATTCCTTTTTGCCTTCTCTTTTACTGTTTGCCTTCTAAATAGCAAGCAACTTGTCAATTAGTTTAGAAGATATTAATCTGAAATCAATATAAAGTCTCTAACAATTACATTAACATCTCACTTCTCTGTCAGTAGGCAAATATCATTGCATTTTAGGCACCTGAAATGAACAGAAGATTCACCACCTGCCTTCTTTCATGAGAAATCCTCTTCTTATAAAATTATTTAACTTTCATTACTGAAAGAAAATGACTTTATGATTTAGGCCATTGACCCTAAGTACTAGAAATTCTCTGTGAATCTTCACCAGAATCTTCAGCTTATTATACGAAGTACTTTGGAGATTATTAATAGAGATGTAGATTAAAAATAGACTTTTTTTTTTGCTAATATTTTCTTGTTGTTGTTGTTCTTGACCATTTCTGTTGCTCTATGTTGTGATAAAACAACTGGAAATTTTAAAAGGAAAAGATATCCATATGAATGGATGAGAAAAGGAAGCCAAACAGAAAATAAGGAGCACTGAGAAGAGGTTGGGTCTACCTACTGCCCAGTGCCAGAGATTCTTAGAATACGTTAATGGGATTGATTTTACAATTATTCCCAACATGATAAAACCTTTAGTTTTCCATTTCAAGAGCTTTTTCCCTTTCAGGAAATTGAAGACACTAATAATGGGAAGGTTAATTCTTTCCCCTTTGTACACAGGTCAGGCATGACTGGAGACAGATGCAAGCTAGTTTTTTTCCATTATTGTTTTCATGAAATCCAGCTCAGGGTCTTATTTTGCTTGAGCAGTAATCTGATACAGGTGAGTGTTGATGCGGGTTCTCTGACCTACCTTGTTGCAGAACAGCTGTAGCTTCAGTCTGTCTGATCTTGATAAAGAACCTCGGTGCCCTTAAAGATCTGACTGGTCTAAGCAGTCAGGACCAGATAGTGCCTGCACCATTCTCTGAGCTCCCATATGTTATGTAATAAAAATGTTGATAGTTATTTCACCACCATTCTAGAAGAATCATAGCTTTTTGACCTGTGTCAGAAATCTAACTAAAGGCTAAGACTGGTTACATTTATGATAAATATACAAGTAATACAAGTACCTTTACAGTACTTAAAAGAGAATCACACAAAACTATTTTTCCTTTTTTCAAGATGGAGTCTTGCTCTGTCGCCCAGGCTGGAGTGCAATGGCGCCATCTCTGCTCACTGCAACCTCTGCCTCTTGGGTTCAAGTGATTCTCCTGCCTCAGCCTCCCGAGTAGCTGGGACTACAGGGGCCCACCACCACACCTGACTAATTTTGTATTTTTAGTAGAGACGAGGTTTCACCACATTGGTCAGGCTGGTCTTGAACTCCTGACCTCAGGTGATCCTCCCACCTCTGCCTCCCAAACTGCTGGGATTACAGGAGTGAGCTACCCGGCCACAGAACTAATTTTCAGGAAGACAAAAATCTGAAATTAGTCATTTCCTTAAAGTTTGCTTAAGGGGAATGGGCAGGAGAAAACAAAGGGGAAAATTTTTAAGTGGAAGCCTCCACCTCCCCTCCCCATTCTTTTTCTTTGTAAATTACTTCCCAGTTAATGGTGAGAACATGAACTTCCTAGAAGAAGCAGAGACCTGGGTTTGCTTCAGGTCACCAACCCTCTCTTGGCACAAGTCTCTTGGACTGCAAGTCACATTTCTCAGTTAAATATTTTTTAGCTGCACTGCGGCCGACTTCGTATAATCTTTATGTTGTGGACCGTCAGATATCTACATCTGACTATGTTTCTTTTCTAGTTTTCACATCAGACAGTGGCAGTAAAAATTGATGGAATTTTACAATTTTAAACTATGATCAGTTGCTAAGTTAGCTGTGAGTCTGTGAAACCAAGCACTGGCAGTTGTAGGCAGGTACCCAACCAGGAAATTATAGATGAGCAGGAAGAACTGCCAGGCAAGACGATCTTGAAATTTATGAGTCAAAAGAATCAAAAAGTTTTCGGTCCATTTAATCCCACTCATGGTGTTAAATTTATGATTCAAAAAAATCAAAAAGTTTTCTGTCCATTTAATTCCACTCATGGTGTTAAATCTATGCAAATACATAGATTTAATGTAATTTCATTCTGTTGTACTGTGCAATCAGTTAACTGTCAAAAACTCTTTACAAAACTGCCATGAAATAAGTGGGAGCTAAATGATGAGAACACATGGACACATAGAGGGGAACAACCCACACTGAGGCCTGTTGGAGGGTGGAGGGTGGGAGGAGAGAGAGGATCAGGAAAAAAAACTAATAGATACTAGGCTTAATACCCAGGTGAGGAAATAATCTGTACCACAAACCCCTATGAGACACGCTTACCTATGTAACAAATCTGCGCATCCTGCACATGTGCCCCTGAACTTAAACTAAAAGTTTAAAAAAAAAAAAAAAGAAATTCTAATTCTCTTCACCCAGCAGACCCATTTTCATTCAGCTGGGGAAATGCATTCATATGACCAGGTGTTTTTGCCTCTGACTGGGCAATTTGAGTAATGGTAAGAAAAGCGGAAGTCTCAGTTGGAAATTATATGTAGAGAGAGAAGCAGATCATTCTCCACTTTTTCCGCAAGGTAGATTATGTTACATTCTCATGTCAATGACTTGGACTCAATACAAAATGAGATGTAGAAAACTGCCAAGATATATCTCTTGTTCTCCTTTAACAGTAAGTGTCAGCGGATGGCCGTTATTAAACACAAGTTACTCATTTGTCTTCCTTTTTAGACGAACACGATCTGTTATCCCACTAGGGCCTTTTTTCAAAAAGACGGGCACTGCAAGTCTTGGCATTGCCTGCACCTTACTCCAGTCTTGCTTCTGACAGCAGACGGGCATTATCCCCTAGCAGATGGAAGATTTGGCTTGTGTTAGATTCTTTATTAGTGTGTCTCTGGTGCATGCACAGAGACGTTTTTAAAAGCAAGGTGATTGTTGACACAACATAAGTCTGCTGTTCTAATTTGGAAGAATGAGAACTACCGTTGAACCACAATCAATAAACAAACAGGAACGGCTGTCTGCAAAACTTCCCGATTAGACTTGGGAGTGTTGCATTCACTGATCTGAAAATGAGCGTAGCTGTTTCACTCATGTGGATGGACAAATTTAAATGAATCAATACTTTCCTTGGACTAGAACACCCCTATACGTGTCTACTGCCACCAACAGATATTCAGAAAAGCCTTAAGTTAGTTCTTATTTCTTTCCTATGATTGTTAATTATAATAATTCAGATTTTTGTGCCCACTCAATTCATTTTATATGAGTCATTCTGAAATGGCTTACCACTTTCATAAAAATAGGTAATGACTAGCATCTGTATTTAGTAGGCCCAATAAATTTTAATGTAAACAGAAGTTAATTTATTATCTCTAAGAGATTAAATGCTTTGATTTTGAAGAGCAAGGTATAAACAGATTTAAGGCTACTAGAAAAAATGAGTTTTCTATAAAATTTAGTTAAAATTGATTGTGTACAGATGATATTTAGACATATTTGTATCAAGAATCTTCAATCAACATTAAAATGGAAAGTAAGAATGTAAAGTTGACCCTCAACATCATTTTCTCCTTCTGCCTCAGGTGGAATTTTCTCACCCAGAAACTCATACACACACACACACACACACACACACACACACACACACTTGTGCACCCATACATACATGGCAACTCATATCACACATTGATAGTTCTGATACTCTTTCATAACACTGCATGGGTTCAAACCTACTAAATATTCACATTAGCAAGTTTCTGTGTAGAGTGCAGACCCTGTAAAATAACTAGATAATAGACTAATTTGACCCCATTACCTCTAGCACCTAATCATATTTATGTTTAAGCAACATGCAGCTACAGATGTCATATTACAAAGAATATCACTTATTCTTTTCTATTGCACATATTCTAAAAATTAAATCTGAATGTTCCATGTTTATAGTTGTTTTAGTTATTGCAATGGCTTTCCAAATGGAGTTATAATAGCCATCCTTTCCACTCTCAAATTTAGTCTCTGCATTGCTAATAAAGTAGTCTTTATGCATGCAGGATTTGATCAATGAGGTCCCCTGCGTTCAAATCCCTCTGGTTCCAAATTTCTTTCAAAATGAAGTACCACTTCCTAAAGTAAGGACTCCAAGGCATTTTGCAAACTGATTCCACTGTATCTGTCCTGGCTCATGGCTTGCTATAAACTTTGCTAATCCTGCTCCTTTGCGTCTCTTATGGTCTTAAGGGAGACAAAATAATTTACAGCAACTCAAGCATGCCATGCAATATATGTTGAGTGCTTCCCATGCAAAGTATGCACCTATGCAATAGATTGGTTGAGTACTTTCTGTATGCCTTGTTCTGTAGTCAACATGGGATAAATAAACAAGAAAATATGCGAAAAGAGATACATGATTCTTCTAAAGGCTGTTTTGATGTCCCCATGTTGTTTTGACCTGGCCCAAAACATGAATTATTGGATTTTTACATTTTCATGATTTTTATCTTGACCTGTATAGAAATTATCTTACCACATTCCTGGGCTTCATGCCATTGCTCTCACCATCACCCCACTGAAAGGAAAAATGACAGCAAGGGATAGGGAGAGGTTCATACATGGAGTGCCAAATGGAATATAGAGTTAGGCACCATTTAGATTCATTTGGCACATGTTTCTTTTTCAGATAAAACCATCGGTTAATTGTTCCTCCTCCAAGAATTACTTGTCCCTGGAATTGTGTGCATCTCAAGTTCTCTAGTTCTTTCCTTAAAGTTATATGTTGTTGAATGAAGGATAGCTGGACTGCAATATGATTTATTTTTCTTGTGTCCAGAGTACAATTACTAAGCATCTTCTAAGATTTTACTATTGCACATATGTTTAATATCATTAAGGTCTTACATGATAAACCCTGGGGACAGAATTGAAATTTTGTAAATACTAACTCGGTTTGAATTGGGCTTTTGAAAATATCTCCATCACTTTTAATTTTTAAAAGGGATATGTTGTCTAGTAAAAAATTCAAATAATTAAACAAAAATAACAGAAAATAATCTAAAGTAGGAACGGGGTTATGGGCATTGTTTTGTATACATTACTTCATAATAAAAAGGGATTTTTTGCACATTGATGTGGACATTGTGATGAATCCTGCTTCAATTAAGTTCAAGAGAGTCATGTATAATTGTAAGTGTGTAGTAAATTTGGATAAATTATCTTTTTTTCATATTTTCTTGTTTATCCCATGTTTACTACAGAACAAGGCATATAGAAAGTACTCAATCCATATATTACATGGGTGCATATTTTGCATGGGGAATCTTACATAAGGAGACTGCCAAAGTGCTATGAGAAAAAAAAATCACCTAACTACTCTTTGTGGGAAGAAAAAGGGACTCAGAGCAAACAAAAGAAAAAGGTAACCATTAAATTATAGCTTGAGGTCTAGTCAGAGATTTACCAACAATTTGAGAAGGAGGAAGGACATTCTATGCCAAGGTAGCAAGCCTGCACAAAGACCTCAATAGAGGAAAGAGTCATCATTTTAATGGAAAAAGAATGATTTAGTGTAATTGAACATTGAGCTTTATCAAGGTCCAGATGGGATTTCTGGCAGATCCAATTTACGTGTTCTGAGTTTCAATAGATTCACACAAAAAGTAAGACAGTAAATCTTAGAAAAGTCAACTTTTATCAAAACAGCTTACAGTATAAAATGTCACTTTGGTAGGCTGACAATTGTCCCCAAAGATATATCTCAATCCTAGTAACCTGTGACTATGTTGCCTTATGTAATAAAAGAGATTTTGCAGATGTGATTAAATGAAAGATCTTGAGATTTTGAGATTATCCCGGATTAACTGGGTGGGCCCAATATAATCACAAAAGTTCTTATAACTAGGTAGGCATGAAGGTCAAAATCAGAGAGATGTGAAGTTGGAAGCAGAGATTGGACTGAAGTCCTTTGGTGGTGGTAGAAGGGGCCACAAGTCAATTAATAAAGGTAGCCACTATAAGCTAGATAAAGCAAGGAAATAGATTTTCCCCTAAAATCTCTAGAAGAAACAGTTCTGCCAATATTTTGATTTTAGCCCTAAAGATCTACTTCAGACTTCGACCTCCAAAACAGTATGATAATAAATTTGTGTTATTCTAAGCCACTAAGTTTGTGGCAATTTATGACAAGAGAAATAGGAAACTAATACACTCACTGCATTGGATATCTCTTTTTTCTGCTTTGTTTTACCATTGACGTTTTTCTTAGAGTATTTAAGAGACTAGAAAGTACATAAAGAATGTACGTGGTGCAATACTTGCTAGCATATTTCTCCTTGTGTTTTCACTTTTGTGAAACAAGGCACATCTACTAAAAATAACTTTGAGAAAAGGAGTTCAAGACCAGCCTGGGCAACGTAGTGAGACCCCCATCTCTAAAAAAGAAAGTAAAAATTACCCTGGCATGGTGGCATGTACCTATAGTCCCAGCTACTCTGGAGGCTAAGGCATAAGTGTTGCTTGAGTCCATGGGTTCAAGGCTGGGGTGAGCTATGATCATACCACTGCACTTTGCTGCTCTCTAGCCTGGGCAACAGAGCAAGACCCCATCTCTAGAAACAAAACAAAACAAAATCTCCAAAGGGTTATAGTAATGATCAGTGATACAGATCTTTGAACAAAGTAAATGGCTACTTGGGATAGAGAACCCTAAGTCAGTAGCTTTCACTAATGGAAACTTATGATGGCTAGCACAATTGTGAAGAAAATGTTGATATGAGGTGGACAGAAGCTATCAAAACAAAAAGTAACTGAACCGTACACAGACCAGTAGCTGCTTCCTAATTCCTCATAGTGAAATTTCTTTGAGTAGTGGAAGACAAGAGAGATACTTGTTTATTCATAGCCTTTCTTGAGATTAATGGCCTATACATTTTAATTGTTTGCTAGTTGCTGGTATATTTTTCAAGATGGCAGGGATTCAATACTTTTAGAGGTAATAAATTGTTCAATTGTGCTAAGTATATTTAACAAATGGAGGAAAAAATAAAAATCTGGATATCATCGTCACAACAAAAGTGCATTGACAGTTACTGAGTGTATGCTTACCAAACTAGCAGAATGTTGTAGGACCGCAGCTTATGAATATTTACTCAAATAATCCAGACTGTTTTGCTTGAGGTGATCTTCAAGTACCCTTGCTAGTGTGTAGTTTACTCAGCCTAAATAAGTTGATTTGGGAAAATGATTAAAAATCTCTAGTATGGTAGGCTACTTCCTTGAGAGTATACAAATGCAGGATTCTTTCAGCTGGCCAGCATGCTTGAATTCTCTCTCTCAGCTCTTGGGCTTAGCCATGAGCATTCCATAAAAGGCTGACACGCTCTGTGTTCTGTAACTTCCTGGAACTTTTCTGCAGTGCTTTCCAAGCTAACAATTCTTAACCCACCCTTTCACCCTCAGGTTGAAATGCAATTTTTGTTTTAGCCATTTTTTTTTTTTTTTTTTGAGACGGTATCTCACTCTGTCACCCAGTCTGGAGTGCAGTGGCATGATCTCGGCTCACTGCAAACTCTGCTCCCAGGTTCAAGTGATTGTTCTGCCTCAGTCTCCCCAGTAGCTGGGATTACAGGTGCGCACCACCATGTCTGGCTAATTTTTGTATTTTTAGTAGAAACAGTGTCTCACCATGTTGGCCAGGCTGGTCTTGAACTCCTGACCTCAGGTGATCTGTCCACCTTGGCCTCGCAAAGTGCTGGGACCACAAGTGTGAGCCACTACTCTTGGTGTTTTTGCCAATTATATGTTTTAGATACCATGGTGGCATTTTACCCATTCCTACTTACCCTGCCTTTCAGTTCTCTTACACACTTGGGCCAAAAATGAATTTGCTCTTCACTCCCTGCTTCTTCATCACAATCATCCAATAAATTGTACTGCATTCCCAGCTCTGGCTCTTGAAACACAAACCTGGGCCAAACCCTCAGCCCTCAGTTGTTCTAAGGAAGAGATCAGACCCCAGTTACATGGCTCAAAAATGGAGAAGGTCTATTGGTGACACAGATGAAAGATCAATGATTTTTCTTAAAACTCAGCATAACTTGATGAGAGTGATTTTGAAACTTTAGATATTCAGAAAGGAAAAGAAAGAGAGGTGGAGTAAGGATTCAAAAAGGCTAAATTGGGCCTAAAGTCTGACCCCATTCAAAATGCCAGATTCTCCAATGTATGTGGGTGTGTCTAAAAGAGCAACCTGAAGGCCTGTGCTCTGGTACACATTGGCCTAAGAAGTCACATCTGGCTAGTGGGATATTAAAAATGTTACTCCAATGTGCAAGTTACAGCCGAAGTCAAGGAGATGCAGCTTCTTACTTTCCAGCCATTGGGTAACATTAGAAAGTACAAAAATCACTCTAGTGGGGAGACTCAGTTGCTCTACAAAGGCAGAAACCTAGTAAGATCACAAGTCACCATGTCAGGCTACTATTTGGCATAAGCCATCATCCTGACCCGATAGAGTTTTGCTTGAATAGGTGGAGTCTGGATTTATCTTTCTCTAGCCATGTTTCATTTTGTGATTTTTGAATAGAGATAAAGAGAAAAGAGATTGGGAAGTAGGAAGAGGATTGAGAGCAGGATCCACGTTTAGGGTTTTGTGCCATTGAAGGTCAGAGGCAGAGAGAGTCGAGTGTGGTGGCAGTGTGGAAATAGCAGCTCAGAAATCTACCTGGAGACATGAGGAATGCAGTAGTGATTAACAATGGAGCTGAGTCCCAGGTTTCTTAGGATGTGACATTGGACCACCTGGATCACAAGTTTGTAGGGGCAAAGTCCAAGACATCTGAATTGTATTAGGCACTCAGCGGGTCTTTCCTGTATACTGAGGTTTCAGGACCTCTCGCCTACTGAAATGTGAGTGGAAAAGTGAATACAAGGCATGCAGTTGGCAGAAGGCACAGGAATTTGGGAGAAGTGATTGAAAATGGCACATACTCTATACTCTGCATAGTAAGTAAATTTTAAAATATATTCGATTATGTATTTATAATATGTTATTTTTAACTTATAATTCTGTGGGCAATATATTCTATTCCAAAGATAGAATAAGGTGTTATGAAGCGTAGTGGACATAAAGTCAGAGGTCCTGGATTACAGTCCTAGTGTGCCATTTATTGGCTTTGTGGGGTTGGCAAACCACTTGGCAAATCTCAGAGACTGTTGTAAGGACAAGCGAACTCATATGCACGGGTAGACTGCCAAAAATATGCACACAAAATAATGATGATTATTTTCTTTGTACTGTTAACATTTCTAACTAGTAATACATTATTTTGTAGACAACAAGCTTAGTCCTATAGAAACATATTTTACTAAAAAAAGCAAATAAGATTTATTTTTCTAAAAGGTAAAATAGAGAAAATTTCAGATAATAGAAAGCACTGGAAATTCTGTCTGCAAGTATTTTCCTATCTCTGTATCTCTGCAGAATTAAGGCAACAGCTAGACAAGAAGATAATAGGAGACACTTTAGGGTGTTATGTGCTGTATATTTTATAGCTTGACATAAAACATTCTCCTTTCTCAGCAGCTCAGATAAGCAACTCCCGTGACTTCCGAAGCATTACCCAAGAGCTGATGGGCTGGATGCCCGAGAGTCCCTCTAAATAATTGAGTGCCTGTGGTCTAGCTCCAGAAAGCACAATTATGTTCTCCAGAAAGGCATTGATTTGCCAAGTCTAGTTACACTCTTAAGAGTTATCCACTTCACTTAACAAGATTCCCTTTATGGAAAAGGAAAGAACATTCTACTCATTTATCAGTAGATATTGCACAAATACCCTTCCTGGCAGCTGTTGCAATTTGGTATTGTATGTGCTAATTCAGATTTTTTAAAAATCATTTCACTCCCTGTCTAACATCCCTAGGCATGGACACTTTGAGTAAGACCTTCAACCCACCGCTGCCACCCCTTGCTGTCATACTCTCCAATAGATTGGGGTTTTCCCCACTTGGCAACTTCTAAATTATTTTTTGCTTACTTAAGGAAATGATAGAGAAAGAAAAGGAAGACTATCGTAAGTCTGTAGGATGGAGAACAGAGAATTCAGAAGCTGTTGTCAAGTGTAGCACATCTTTGGATAAATTACCAGAAGGAAAACAGTAATATTAGTAATAATACTATTTAGATTGTAGGTGCTCGTGTTACAGAAAGTATGCTGAATGATCTATAGACATACTTTCACTTACATATTCCAACAATCTCATGAAATAAAAATGAGATGGAAGCCAGTACAGAAAGGTATAGTGACTTGCCCAAAGTTCCACAGCAGTAAATCACAGTCAGAATATCAATTCAGATAGTCTGAGTCCAGAATAAGTATTTGGCTATTTCATACAGTTCTTGCACTAATTACTTGGAATTATTTAGAATTTCTCCAAAAGCTAAATGTTACTCGTCCCTGTTGGTACAATTTGGCTAGTGGGCAGTTGGTTCTCAAGGAGATGATTAGTTTGCTTAATCCAATAATTGTGGATTTTTCTGGCTAAGTAATGTTCTGTGATATGTACTATTTTTAAAAATGATTCCTGTAGCTATAATTTTCCTAGTCTAGACTGGTGAGAGATACACACACAAAAAATATTCAGTTATAGGTGGAAAACCCGATTAACCACCAAGACAATATCACTTTAAGAATATTCACCTAAGGAATTCATAACAAATGTGAAATGAACTGATGAAATTGTAAGATGTTCTTTGATTCCTGGGGATATAATTAATACATCTCATCTAGAATGGGAGGGAAAAACATCTTGAGTCTTAGCTAATTAAAGGATAGATATAACCTTGGTCACAGAGTTGAAAATAACTTGTCACTTACTCCACCTTTAGGCCACTGGTATTTGGAAACATCATTCTTTTAGTGGTTGAAGACAATTTTCTACAGTCACGGTGTTATAGTAACAAGGCTTGAATTATCAAGGGTTTTCATCACTGCAGGAATTGTGCTAAATACTTTACTTGCATTACCTTGTTTTAAACTTATAATGTCTGTTGGGTCAATTTCACGGATTAGGAAATGAAGGCAGAAGCATTAAGTGATTTGTCTAACTTCACATTCCTGGTAAGTGGCAGAGTCAGGTTTCAATTCTAGGACTCCTGATAGCTATGTGTCTGTATTACTTAATGGGTAGGTCCTGATGCCTCCAGTCGTATTATAGGGTAGGGATGTTGATTAGGAGTCAAGGGATCTAGGATTTGGTTTCAAATCTGCCACCCACCAGTCAGGAAATACCATACAAGTTACCTACCACCCACTTTCAGATCCAGACAACACCTGCCCCACTTCTCCCACAGTTTGCTTCCATTGCATAACAGAGTTTTCTTACATGAAGGATTTGATAACTCATAAGGATAGTTAGGCTCTGAAAAATATTTTCAACTAAAACCCAATTAAATTAATCTTTTGCTCTTCATCCAACATGATTAGACTTGAATTGCATATTATGGAAAACGCTACCACTTTGGTAAAAAAAGATATGTAGGAAAGAACATCCCAGAAAAGAGGAATGATGTGAGCAAAAGTGTATAATTATTTTGTAGCCCCTCCCCCAAAATACTGAATAAGAATAGAGTTCAATGTAGGCATTTGATAATTGACATGCGATGTAGTTTGGATTTAACCTGCAGGCCAATTGAAAACACTGAAGATCTTTTCACATGAGGTTGTGTTCTAGGCCATTGCCTGTTTTGTGGTAGTGTTGTCTAGGACAAAGTAGGAGAAGGAAAGAGGAAGGCCAAGCAGACCAATAATCCAACTGCTGTGCTACTTGAGGTATGAAGTGATAAGCTAGAGAAATGGCCATGAAAGAGACTGGACAGATGTGAGGGGGAATATGAGGGCCCTGTGTAGATTCTGGAGACTGGGCAGTTATCCTAACAGAGAGAAATAAAGGAATAAGGAAGATTTAAGAATTCTGAGGCCGGGCGCAGTGGCTCATGCCTGTAATCCCAGCACTTTGGGAGGTTGAGGCGGGCGGATCACGAGGTCAGGAGATCGAGACCATCCTGGCTAACATGGTGAAACCCCATCTCTACCAAAAAATAGAAAAAATTAGCCGGTCGTGGTGGCGGGCGCCTGTAGTCCCAGCTACTCCACTCGGGAGGCTGAGGCAGGAGAATGGCGTGAACCCGGAAGGCGGAGCTTGCAGTGAGCTGAGATCGTGCCACTGTACTCCAGCCTGGGCGACAGAGCGAGACTCTGTCCCAAAAAAAAAAAAAAAAAAAAAAAAAAAAAGAATGTTGAGCCTGAGTGAGTATATGGGAAAAAGAGATGAAATGGGAAAAAAATAATTAAAAATTTGGAGTAGAAATTTCCATCAGGAAGAAAGATGATGTCGGAAATCTTTTGTGGAGATGGTAAATGGGCAGTTGAAGGTGGAGAATCAAAACAGCTTGAATCCCAGGGAAAACTATGTGAAGCCGTCTGGGTTTTGGTATGTTTAACAGCAAAGCCATGAGAACAGCTGAGTTTCCAAGTCTGCCAAAGAATGACTGGGCAAGGCCTGCAGCTCAGTGTGTCTCTGTTTTTGAAGGATTGGAGAAGGAACAATTCACGAGAAGTTAAAAAAAAAATGGGTCTTGATTAAAAAGATTCATTAATCTGAAATTATATGACATGTCTGTGTATATACAGATATATACACACATATATAATGTATATATACATTATATATGTATATATACGCATATATACTCATACAGACACACATGTGTATATATATAAAAAATATGTGTGTCTGCATGAGTGTATATATATATGACAATTCCAGAATGAAAGATGAGGAGGAAAACATAAACAAGAATCAACTAAACTCTGGTACTTTTACCACCTTTGTTAATACCCTTGTGTTTTTCTTAATATCTGAACAGGGACCACTTTCTATAGGTAGACAAATTGTCAGAAATGTCTTCTATGCCCAAATGCATTTGTTTTTCCCAATGAATAATTTTCCTTTATGCCTATTTTGGCATTGCTCATTACATAATTTCCCTCCTCATCATCTCATTTTGCTTCCAGAAACATATTCTCAAGTGCCTGTCTGTGTAATAAAAACTGTCTGTGGATGCTGCCCAACTCTTGATTATGTGCAGAATTGCTGAGCTGTAATGCTGCTTCTGACTCTAATATTTCTAATGCATCTTGGAATTATACCAGCATTAACCATTTATAAAATACCAACTGCCGCTTAATATGTTGAAATTTATGTGATTGCATTTCACTTCTTGCCAAAACAACAGGACTTTCTGAGATCATTTTTTCTTTCTTTGGTTTCTGGGAGAATATAATATTGAGACCCATGATCAGTTGTCAAGTGCAGGCTAGTGGTAGTTGTTTTTTCCTAAATGATTTTATGATATTGAAGAATTGCCTCAGGTCAAAATGTTCTACAGAGAGTAATATGTGAAAGCATATATTTTATATGGTGACCTTTCACCCCGTTCCACTTCTCAGTGTCTGTGTAAAGTTTAGTAACATAGTACTTAATAAGGAAACGTAACATTGCATTGAAAAGGCAAATAGTGGATCTATTTTGCACTTGGAAGATGCAAAATGAGGTTGGGATAATAGGTTCAAGCCCCTTCTCTTTTTTTTTTTTTAATATTTAAGCTAGAATCAAAGGTAGAGAATATCATGGTGAAGCATGGTCTGCCACTGATCAAAGAGTGATAAGTAGTATTTCTCAATCGCTCAGGCCATTTCTACATACATAAAGGTGGGATTCAACATGCTATGGACACTTAGTCATAGAGAAGGTCAACTGAATATTTAGACTTCCTTATGAGCTTTGAGCTAAATAATCCCAGTCTGTTATTTTCTTTGATTGCTGTAATATTCATTTGTGACACAGAAAAGTATTTCAAAATAATGTGTTTATTGGGTCTTCAATAAAAGAAAGATTTCTCTGAACTCGAGGTTGTCAATCAGGTTTTGTAATCTAAAGAATCATTACAAATATTGAGCAAGCAAATAAAAACGAAACAATATTTATCCTATCAGAAAAAAGAAAGAAACAATTGATTCTGCTTATATTCATTCTACAGCAAAAGTCCGGAGATGTAACCTTGTGAATTTATTGCTTCCATAATAGCTATTTTTAGTCAATCGATAGGCAGACACATTTAGCATTTATGGAGTTGAACATGGTACTAGTTTCTGGGGATAAAAACCAACTCTAGAATAACTCACATTCTATGCAGGTTAGAAGGAATAAAGGAAGGCTTCCTTGTAGAAGAATTTGGGTGGGGTTTCAACAGGCAATTAAAAGCTTTTCTGGAGGGAAATGGGAAGAAGAAATAAAATTCTAGCAAAAGGAAACAATGTGTATGAAGGCTTGGAAATTGCTTTTTGTTAAATGTATTTGTTTGTTTCACATACTAAGAGTCAGAGAATAGAAATAGGGAGAATTGGCCAGTTGTGGTGGCTCACGCCTGTAATCCCAGCACTTTGGGAGGCCAAGGTGGGCGGATCATGAGGTCAGGAGTTCAAGGCCAGCCTGACCAACATGGTGAAACTCTGTCTCTATTAAAAATACAAAAATTATCCCGGTGTAGTGGCACACGCCTATAGTCCCAGCTACTCCGGAGGCTGAGGCAGGAGAAACGCTTGAACCCGGGAGGCTGAGGTTGCAGTGAGCCAAGATCGCGCCACTGCACTCCAGCCTGGGCGACAGAGTGAGACTCCATCTCAAAAAAACAAAACAAAACAAAAACAAAACAAAGAAATAAGGAGAATGATGAGGGAATATCAGTAGAAAATATTAAGGAGGTTCTGATATTTTAGTGTCTCACTCAAGATGAGATAAAGTAATTGCCCTACTCGTAAAATTATGATGTAAACGTGAAGGACATTTAAACATGGTTCCTGGAGAAATGTCTGACATGCAGAGAACACTTTATCTCCAAGATTTTAATAAAAGCTGTTAGGGTAAATATTACTTCTCAGCCAATCAACTTAACCTTGAAGTTGAGCTTCAAGATCATGACACCTGTTACTTAAATCAGTCCAAGCATAGTTAAGTTCATGGCATTTGCCTGAGGAACAGCCTGTATCTGAAGGAATCTCATAGATTAGTCCTCCAATATAAAATAAATCCTTCGTAGATCTGACTGTTTAAGATGTAAAATTTTAAACCTGAAGAATCTCTTGAACCACTGATTCAGGATTCTGCCCGCGTGCCTCCTCAAACATTTTGCTCTCAGAGCTCTGGGGTAGGTCAGGTTAGGGCTACAGAAGACCTATGACAAACCCCCTTGTCCTTCCCTACCATCCAGAATGTTGACAGAGAGCCACCACTGCACACTGAAAAACATATGTAATTCAGGCAGGACCATGTGTAGCTAAAATTCTAAAAGGACTTCATAAAACTACCTGAATCAGCAGAATAATGACTCATCCAAAATGCTCAAACCTTAATAGGGCAAAAAGAGACGGCTTCATTGTCCTCCTCAAGATGGGGAGATTATTCTGGATTACTCTGGTGAGCCCAATCTAGTCAAATGAGTTCTTAAAACTGGAAGAGGGCCCGGGTGCAGTGGCTCACACCTGTAATCCCAGCACTTTGGGAGGCCGAGGTGGGCAGATCATGAGGTCAGGAAATCGAGACCATCCTGGCCAACGTGGTGAAACCCCGTCTTTACTAAAAATACAAAAAGTTAGCCGGGTGTAGTGGCACGTATCTGTAGTCCCAGCTACTCCAGAGGCTGAGGCAAGAGAATCGCCTGAACCAGGGAGGCGGAGGTTGCAGTGAGCCAAGATTGTGCCATCACACTCCAGCCTGAGTGCAGAGTGAGATTCCGTTAAAAAAAAAAAAAAAAAAACTGGAAGAGGGAGGCAGAAGGTTGAGGCTAAAGATGGCAGCATGAGAAGGACTGGAAGTGGCCTTGGTGTTCTGAGATGCCGTGACCACGTGCAAAGACCCAAGAGATCCCCCTGGGAGAAAAGATTGGCCTCAAGCCAACAGCTGGTAAGGAAATGGGGCCTTCAGTCCTATAACTGCATAAAAATGAATTCTGCCAACATCTGAATGAGGAAGAAAGAGGCTCCACCCCTATCGCCTATAGAAAGGAAACCAGCCCTGTAACTCCTCGGTCTTAACTGAGTGAAGTTGTGTCAGACTCTTGAGCCACAGAAATGCAAGGTCTTACATTTTACGTTGTTTTAAGCCACTACGTTTTTGGTAATTTGTTATGACTGCCTAGAATCCTAATATACCACCAAAATGTGTGGCAAAAATAATTATTCTATTGACATTTAAGAAAGGGATGGGAAGGATACAATTTTTAGGAAAGAGTTCTACTGAAGTGAAATTTGAACTAGCTTTGAAGGACTCCGGAATATGAACAGGGTTTAGGAGGAAATAGTCATTCCTTCCAAGCAAAGTTCACAGAGAAGAATCTGAGGAGAGGCCTCTGACTAAAGCAGAAGGCTTGTGTGGGGAAGGAGTTGGAATGAACTCTGGATTAGAAATGTGTTCTGGAGGGCTTTGCCTACAACATGAGAAATTTGAGCTATCGGAGGAAATTCTTATTTCAGCTCACCCCTATAGAGAAGCTATATGAGTTTATCTGCTTGCTGCCTAACATGCACTGACATCATTGCATCTTGCTGCCTTCTCACACGCCTCTTCAGCAACATCAAGGACAACAACCAACAAAAAGAATTCACATTTATTGAGTGATGACTGAATACTATGCACTATACTAGGAACTGTATTCATGTTATATACTAAATCCTCAAATCCTGTTTTTAAATGAATTCATTGAGGCTTAGAGAGATTCAGTTAACTCACATTAGGACACAGAACTACCAGGGACAAATCCAGTGTTCAAATCTAGAGCCCAGAGTCCCAGCTGTTTTATGCAAGGCCATCTATGAACATCAGATTTGCATTTCATTTTTCTTGCCTGGAGAATATTTTATTCACGTGTGTTTTATTAGGCATCTCTAGATACAATAAAGATTATGCATGCTGACATATGTATAATCAACTGTTTTAAAAATGAAACTGAAAAATAGATCCAGTCATTCAGACCAGAGAGAGGCTTATAATGACCACAGCATGATTCATCCAAAAATTGTTAATACGTTATGGCCAAAAACTCCAGCTGGTTACAAAAATGATTCAAGGATCAAATATAAACCTAAGCAAATTTGCATCTGAGTCTAAAAAAACACCTGGCGTTTATGCAACTATAGAGACTACTATCCCCACAGTTTTATCTGTAGTGAAGTGCAGCTGGGACCCCAGCGTTGAATAGGTTAATAGAATTGCTTTTGTTTTATTCCGTTGAAATATCTCTCTTTGCTCCCATCATTCTCCATAGATTGTCATGACCGGAGGTAAACTGAACATCTGAAAAGGACCTAATTAACATTGTGCGCAAGTGAAAGAATAAATGAATAAATGAATAAAAGAATGAATGAGTACGGATGCTGAGAACTGAGATGTGGCATTTCCATACTGGCAGAAGCTCCGAAAGAAACAGTCATCACTTCCTGTCCTACTGCACGCAATGTGTTAGGCAGTGCTTTGCTGAAATCCAGAATATAAAGTTAAACTTTATGAGTTAAAAGTTTGAACTTTTGAGCGAGATGTAATTAAGCACAAATTAGTTTGTAGAATCCTAAATGTCAGTGCATCTAAACAAAGTACATCTATGTTTATTTGAAAGCAAAAAACGATGACACATTTTTAGAGAATTAAAATAAACTGATCATTGAAATTGAATTAATTTTTAATGGTAAAATTAATTTGAGTGAAGTAGAAAGAATGCGGCTCATAATGTTTTATTGATGATGCATAAAAATGATCACAAGTCATTACTCATTCACTTGAAAGCCAGCGTTCTTCCAGGAGAATAAATTTCTGTTGTTTTTGTTTGATTGGATTTGATTTATAATTGTGTTCGATTAGGTAATATAAGTAAGTATAAGAAATGTCAAAAGGTTAATCCTCTCATCCTCATCCATTGCTACTTTATTTTTCCTCTAGAGGCTATTATAGTTTCTTTTGTATCCTTTCAGAAAGCTGTATATCTATACTATGCCTATAAATCTACCTATCTAAAACCTAACCATACACGTAGGGTATTTATTACTATAAAAGTCAGCAAGAGATGGTGGATAAAACCTACTTTTCCACAGCTAATTAGAAGGATAGCATTAACTAGAAATACCATTTGACCCAGCAATCCCATTGCTGGGTATATACCCAAAGGATTATAAATCATGCTACTATAAAGACATGTGCACACGTATGCTTATTGTGGCACTGTTCACAATAGCAAAGACTTGGAACCAACCCAAATGTCCATCAATAATAGACTGGATTAAGACAATGTGGCACATATACACCATGGAATACTATGCAGCCATAAAAATGGATGAGTTTATGTCCTTTGCAGGGACATGGATGAAGCTGGAAACCAACATTCTCAGCAAACTCACAAGGACAGAAAACCAAACACTGCAAGTTCTCACTCATAGGTGGGAAATGAACAATGAGAACACTTGGACACAGGGTGGGGAACATCACACAGCAGGACCTGTTGGGGGGTCGGGGGCTGGGGGAGGGATAGCATTAGGAGAAACACCTAATGTAAATGACGAGCTGATGAGTGCAGCAAACCAACATGGCACATGTATACCTTTGTAACAAACCTTCACGTTGTGCACATGTACCATAGAACTTAAAGTATAATTAAAAAAAATTTATGTGGCTATGAATGACAATAAATGGAGCTGATGGAGTATGCATTATTGCTATTATTTAGCCTCTGTACTGGGCAAATAGATTGTATGGTAGTTAAAATCATGGGCTCAAAAACCAGACTCCAGCAATGAGCTGTGTCACTACTCTGTGCCTTGATGTGTAAAATGTGAATTCAAACAGTGATACCTGAGAGGATTACTGAGACAAATCAGGCAAGCAAATTTTAGAACAGGTCAATAAAAATTGATAGGGAAGAGAAAAGAAAGACAGCAAAGGTGGGCCAGTGAGTGTTCAGAAGATGGGTCAGTGAGTGTTCCGGTGTGTGCATGTGTCCTTAAACTCAAGAGTGCTTTGAAAAAAATCTTTATAATTACATTGCCCATTTGCTTTCAGAAAATGAGATTATTTATTCATTTTTCAATCTCAATTCATTTTTCAATTAGAAAGCTCATTTACACATTTGGAATCTGTCACAATCGCAAGGATGTGGAACCAACCTGTGTGCCCATTGACCAATGAATAGATAAAGAAAATGTGGTATATATACACCATGGAATACTACTCAGCCATAAAAAGGAATGAAATAGTGTCTTTTCCACAACTTAGATGCAACTGGAGGCCATTATTCTAAGTGAAATAATTCAGAATACCATTATGTTCTCACTCATAAGTGGGGGCTAAGTTATGAGGATGCAAAAACATCCAGAGTGATATAATGGACTGACTCTAAGGTCTCATGGAGCGGGGTGAAGAATAAAAGACAACATATTGGGTACAGTGTACACTGCTTGGGTAAGGAGTACACTAAAAATCTCAGAATTCACCACTAGAGAACTCATCCAGGTAACCAGCAACCACCTATACCCCCCAAACTATTGAAATAACAAATTCGGAATTTGAGATTTAAAACTTGATTCAAATACATTTCTTATTTTTTTCCAGCAGTGTATTGAAGTAATGAATGAAATCATGTTAGAGTTTTCAAACCTCAAAGGCTTAGACTCTAAGTGGTAGGTCAACAAACTATTGCTTTCCTATGGTTCTAGCTTTTGCACTAATTTACTGCTCCAGGCCATTATGACTTCTTTTTCTTTAGAATCCCATTGTACTTCTTTAACCTTGCTTCATCTGCTCTCTCGCATTTGATGATTAATAATAGAGGACAAAAAATATATATTTTTTAAATACCCAGGTTTCTCATTATCAGCCACAGCGCATCAATATGAAAATCTCTTTAAAGGCAAGAAAAAATGCTTTCAACAGGAACAAGTGGACCTCGAAGCGCACGTCTCTGCCATATCGGTCGTTATCACTACAACCAGCCATGCTTCCATCTCTTTCATATTACCAAATGTAGTGCTGACAGAGAGGTGGGAGAAACTTAACCTTTTGGCAAACAGTAGATAGATATGAAAATAGAACCAAGCAAATATATCCAGTTCCCCATAACCTCTCCTCAAAGGACCTCACTAAAGTTGATATCACCTTGGCTCCCATGACAACCCCGACAAAGATAAATAGGTGTCAAATATGCATTTGCTCCTAAGGCCTCTGGGAATTGCTACCGAACACAAATGTGAAATTCAGGCTGAATTAATCTCCTGATACGCCACTTAAAGAAAAAGCCACAGAATGTGGGCTTGCCAACCTCAGCAGCCGCTAGTCATGCTTCTGTAGGGCTGTCAGCACTCTCTAAAAAAGTAGGTTGATAAAATTAAGCAAGCAGTTTCTGCTGGCATTTTCACACCCCATGAAACACATGTTCTGTTTATAATGCAAACATGACTTCAGAGTTATGGGATCTTTTAAGGATTTATGCTGATTAAAAGATTTCTGATCTCAGGCTTATGGTCTCAAAATGTAAAACTTGGTTGAGCCTACAGCAAGCAAGCTCGGGCTTTTCTCTGAAGAGAAGTTTAGACAAATATCTAGCAAATTTGAGCCACGAAGTTAATCCTTCTACAAAAAGCAGTACTTTCCTTTGCCCTTCGAACACTCTAAAATAAATTTCTGGTCCCCGACTTAACATAGGTGCAACAATCAAATTCTGTTTAGTAGGGGTATTGTCTGCTGTGGAGAGAAAAAGAGCCTAAAGTGGAAGCTATTTTGGGGGTCACTTTTGCTTTTATATAATGTGATGATACCAAATAAAAACAAAAGTATTGTACCTAAGACAAATTCCACCAAATGTATGTATTAGTTACACTCAGTGTAGTACAGTAATTAAGAGTTAAGCTTTAAAATCTGATGGTCTGGCCAGGCATGGTGGCTTACATCTGTAATCCCAGCACTTTGGGAGGCCGAGGCGGGTGGATCACGAGGTCAGGAGATCAAGACCATTCTGGCTAACACGGTGAAACCCCATCTCTACTAAAAATACAAAAAATTAGCCGGGTGTGGTGGCGGGCGCTTGTAGTCCCAGCTACTCGGGAGGCTGAAGCAGCAGAATGGCGTGAACCCAGAAGGCAGAGCTTGCAGTGAGCCGAGATCGTGCCACTGCACTCCAGCCTGGGTGACAGAGCGAGACTCTGTCTCAAAAAAAAAAATAAAATCTGATGGCCTTTATCTGTTGGTCTTATTTTTATCTGGTTTAAAATGGGGACAACAATAGTAGTATATGCTTCACTGAGTACATATGAAGATTAAAGGAAATCATATCTAAAAAGCAAAGCTCACAGCACAAGATGAGACACATATTGCATAGTCCATATATAATAATAAAATATATGCTATATGAATGTAGAATAAAGCAGTCAGTAGGACTCAAGACTTCTAGCATATATTTATTGCACATATTCTGTATCCTGCATGGTAAAATTACTGTCAGGATGGAGAAACTCTAAGGAAAGGAGAGAAAGTTGTAGGTTCACAGAAGATGATAGGTTCTGCAGAAGAACCAATAGTGTAGCAGAGAGATTGCTAAGATTCAATATTCTGTTTTCTCCATGTCTCTGAATGTCAGTACTTTTCTCTCCAGAAAGGAAAAAAGCTGAGAAAATGGTTATATTCATGTTAAATAGAGCTCAGAACAGAAAGAGCTTATAACCTCTTCCTTTGGCCAATAGAGTTAATTCAAATTTTTCCTCCTCCTCTCTTGCTGTTTTAGGTACTAACCCAAAGTCTCAAAATGATACTCTGACTGTCTCCTTGCAGTGTCCTCTGATAGCAAAATGTCAAGTAAAGGGAATAGACATAGGCCAGAAACCTTGGGGGTGAGCCTAGCTGTGCAGCTTATTAGCGCATGACACAAAACCCTCTGATCCACAGCTTCCTCACTGAGCGTGGAGGTTTAGCTGACTTGTGGCTGTTCACATCCAGGCACTTGGCTATCTAAGTACAAAAGAAATTGTTCTTGCTGTATTTTATTATTTTTCCTTTCCAGAAAAGTTATATTTATAAATGTCATAGTACATAGCTGAAAAATGACTGAAAAACTAACCTGAAATTGTGTAGGCTATAATCTCAGGCTGCTTTGAGCTTTTGTTTTAGAGAATTCTGGAGGGCCAGGCTCTGTATTTTTTTTTTAATTTTCACATAATTTGTTCAGAAAAGCACAAGGTGAAAATGCCTCAATCTTGGACAAAGCTGTCCTACTTTCATATAAAAAAGGGAATATTAAAATGTGACAATTGTGATTATTGAGAGAGTTTAGTATAGCTGTGTCCTCGGTCGAAAACACTCCTGTTAAAATCATTGTTTTTTCCATCCAACCTCATAGGTTCTTAGGAAGTCATAGGCAATGGGAATGACTCTTGAAGGTCATTTTTCTTAAATCAACCATACCTTCTCTGTTCACCTTCTATCTAACTCCCCTGTCTTGCTTTCTCTTTAAACTTTACATGACTGAAATGGAATGAATCAACCTACTCTGAAAGCCCATTTCCCAGTCCCCAGTGGGCTCTATTTGAACTTTATTACTTTTAAAGTATACATCATGCTTCCAGTAACATGAAAAGAAAATGACCTCAGAGTGGCAGCCTCTGAGTTTAAAAGATTTGGACTCTAGAGCAGAAAATCTCTTGTTATGCTCCTCAACTGAAAAGGCTGCAAAGCCTCAATGTATGTTGAAGAGTTTTTATTCTCCTGTAAGAAAAAAAAAAAAATAGAGGATGTTTATATCTTTGCTGAAATCCTAAAAAGACCCAGGTAGAAAAGTTTCCATTCCAAGTCTCTGTTCCTGTTGTGTCATTTTAAGTAGAATAAATGAACAGGATCTGATCACAGTCTTGTGAATGTGAAATAACTCTTGAGTGATGGGAAACAGCACAACCACCCCCTTCTGTCTGCATCACTAGTCTCCAGGGGTACCCTGGAACACTGCCCATGGATCATCATTCTTCCCTTCCCATCCCTACGGTTGCTTTGCAATGAGGCTGATACATGGAGCTCAGGCATTTGTGGCACTCGGCCTCCAAAGCATTCTGGACTGGGCTGGGGGTGAAGAAGGTGATTCAGAGCCAAAGCACGGCTCTGCTGCCAGAGGTCCAGTACTGATGGCTGCTGCCTGGGTTTGCCTAGTAAGGGCTGCAGTCTCATTTCAACAGTAAAAATATTAGGGAGGAAGAGAGGTTGAAGTTCCTAAACCTACCCTCATAAACCATCACCTCTGACTGTCTACCCTTCAGTCCTGCTGAGTGGATTTGGGTGCTTCTCACTGACCCCATTCATGTTCTAAATAAGCAAATGGATGCTTGGTTTAGAAAGATCAGGTTGTATGGAAGTGAACTGATCTAACTTAATTGTTGTGAGGAGAAGGCCTGACATCTGTGGGCAGGGAGTAGGGTCTCTATGAAAAGTGCCCATTTCTGAAATCAGTTACCTAAAGAACAAGCCAAGTATCTGTCAGTCTTAAATGGGGAGGGTACCTCTGTGGGAGGTGAGAGGAAGCTTCAGCGTCTCTCTCAGCTGGGCTAAGGAGCACCTAGGCATCTAAGATTGTGCCCTGGATATCACATATTAAATATGGGATTCAGCACACAGAACAGTGGTTCTTTTTGGGGTCATAAGTCTCAACTATGGGGGCTCTACCTAGAAAAAAATGCATGTAATTATAAGCATACCTATTTTGCAAATAATTTCAGGTATTTGCAGGATCACTGAGACCCATTCCTTGGACCCCAAAGTAAGAAAGATGTGAGATGCTGGAACCTGGTGAAGGGGAAACCGAAAGTTTCCATTTGGATATAATGATCCTGCGACTCAGACAAGGAAGCCAGATTTTCTTGTTCCATGGTGATTTCCCTGTAGAAAAGATTTTCAATGTAAAGAAAATTTCAAAGAAAAGGCCTTTGTTATGTTTCAGATTCAGTTTAGTCGACATGGCAAAATCAAGGGAAATATTCTTGGCGAAGAGGAAGCTCCCTCCCTTTCCCTTCCCTCCATCCCTGGGCCAGTACATTACATGGCTGCAATCCAGAGAATTTTAGAGACAGGGTTTGTCCCTAATACCTGATATTAAACTCTGATTTCTTTGCTAATCTTGGGATGGCTGAGTCATAGTATATAGGCTAACTTTTCACATTTTGGGTCCTTTTGTTTGTTTGTTCTAAAAATTTCCTGCTCAGTGTCTCCTGGTTGCCTATAAACCTGATTTCCAAACTCCTCATGATACAGTTTAAATAGCAGGTATCCCTACTGCCTTATATGTAAACACTCAGCATCTCAAACTTGCCCTCCAGTCAAAGGTCAAATTACTTTAATCACTCATATAACAGAAAACATTGGAATTCCAGTTGTGTGTGTTGGGGGAGAGTGTGGGGGGGTGTGTGTTTTGGTTTCATTCACCATCCAGTTCCTAGCTTTACCTCAACCCTTGTTCCTCCTAAACTGACTCTTTTCAAAAAGCTGAATTCTAACCTTTCTACAAAGCCTTCCAGAACAACTTCACTCCCACCCTAAGATGATCCCTCTTGCCTCAAAACCTAATAATATGTATTTCCTAAATTTATTTAGTAATGAATATAATCAATAGTACATATCCTTACATATCCTTTTCACAATGGCCTTAAACTATAATTCAAAACTTTACTTTTTTTTTTTTTTTTGGTTTCCCCAGCTATGTTTCAGTCTTCGTTAAGTAAGGAATATGTGGTAAGCGTTCTTATAATGCAGTGGCTGGCAAAGTATCTGAACTTTTTAATGTACAAAGATATGTGCAGATTGTTTCACTGCTTTGTAGAGAAATTATTTATTTCCTAACTCTTGGTAAATGTTCTACAGTAGCATTTAACACCCAGACTCCCTGACAAAATAACACATAGAACATAAAAGCATCAATGCCACTTTCTGCCAATTGACACCAAGGGCAAATGCATTTTGTTTCAAGATGCTCTAAATTTTTTTGTTATTAACAGTTATTTCAATATAAAACTTTTGCTTTTAGAATGCAGGTCATGCACCAAATTTGAATTTGAATTTATAAAAATAATAGTCTCATTACACCTATCTTTTACAAATTATTATTGTCCATCTTGTATGCCACTGCCCTAGTGCTGAATGGTTACCTTAATTTGTATTGTGTTCTTCTAGCAAATTCCCTATGACTATTAACGAATACTTCCAATTCTCTTCCACTTCCCAGAAATGATTCATCTTCTCTCACTTTCAATAAATCTTTGGTTCTTTACTGAGAAAATTCAAATCATATTAATTATCTGTTGCTGTATAACAATCACCCTAACTTAGTGACTTAAAACGATAACCACTTAATGTGCTTATGACTCTGTGGGCTGGTTTGCCAGGACTCAGTGGGAATGCCTATCTCTTCTCCATGTGCCGGCAGCTGGGCTTGGTCAGGTGCATGCAATCTAGGCTGGAGGATCCAAAATGGCTTCTCTCATGATCTTGTTCCTGTGCTGGGGTAGCTGGAATATTGAAGCCAATCACTTCTCGTGGTATTTCATTTTCTGTGGTCTTCCACCCCTTGTGGACTTTCACCCTTCAGAATGTCACACTCTCCATCTGGTCTCTCTAGCAGGGTAGCCAAAATTATTTACATGGTTGATCAAGACTCAAAAAAAAAGTAGCGTCTGCCAAAAGTCTTATGGCCTAGAAATATAAATACAGGAAGAAATACATGTAGGAATTTAATATATGCTAAATTCTATGATCTGAATTATTGAGTAAACTGATATACTTTAGTAAATGATGTTGAAGCCATTAATTTATCATTAGGAAAAAGAAATCTAGCTGCATCAAAGATTATAATGTAATAATTTAAAACGTAACCATAAAAAATACTTTTTTTCCTCACAATGTGATAGAAAGTTTAAACTTGAAATTTAAAAAAAAGACATAAATGAGAACTCTAACTAGTTTGACAGAACTTATAATATTCAAGCTGTAAAATGGATACCAAAACCTGATACTCCTCCTCCACTTAGGATGGCCAAATCTGTAAGAAAATGTTGCTTCCACCCTAAGAAGGAGAAAAACAAAGGCCAGATAATTTATAAATCATAACCTTTTTTTGAGTTTATTAGAGACCAGAAGTTGCACAGCAACCAGGTGAATTGAATTCCAAAGTGTAGCAGCTAACAGCCCCTCTGAGGAGAGATGGAACAAAAGAGCAGTTGAGCACAGTATGAGAGGGAGAAGGAGCCCCCATAATAGCAGGTAAGAAGAAAACAGCCAGATCTTTAGTGAGCTCAAAAAGCCAACACGATAGTTAGAATAGCTAGGAGCCCCAGGCTTGCAGGGAGTCCACACTCCCGATTTCCTTTTCATGAGACTCTTCTACTGTGCTCTTGGGAAAGATTAGGGGCAGGGCAGGAGACCTAAGAGAGGAGAGCCCTCCTCAGTGGCACTCAGCATGAAACCTCACCCTTGAAATCCCACTTCCTTGAAACCTCTCCTACAAAGTGAATGTCTTGTCATTGTGGTAGGGTAGGCAATCTTCCTGTCCCCAAGGCTCAGAGAAAAACCCACCACCTCTGAAAGAGGAGCAAAACAAGAGCCATCTGCTATAGAAGGACATATGCTACCAAGGATAGAAATCCCTGCTGCCCACAGTCCTAATCAAAGGTAAAAGACAGGAAGAAAGAAAAAAAAAAAAAAACAGTACGGAGATAAAGCAGTCAACAAAATGAGATTTAGATATTATTAGGCTGATGTATGTTAACATATCTAATGGGAAACGTGAACAACATGTATGAACAGATGGGAAAGTATTACAAATAAAATAAAATGGAAATGCTAAGGGGAAAATAAACAGCCTAACATCAGAAATAAAGACGTGTTCCATGAGTTTATCAGCAGATGTGATGATGATCAAGGAGTCAAAGAACTTGAAGATTGGTCACATATATTATCCAAACAGAAAAAAATAGAGAGCTATAGGAAAGATTAAGGAGTTCAACATATACACAATATCAGTCCCAATAAAAGAAAAGATATTTGGAGAGAGAAAGACAATGAATTTCCTAATTTTAAGGGAAAAAAATTAAACCACAGATTGATAAATTTCAGAGAACTCCAAGCGGTTTTTAAAAAAAGATGCAGACACTTCATAGCCAGAGCGCGCAAAACTAAGTATAAAGAGGGAATCTTATGACAAAACAAGACTAAAGAATCATTACATATAGAAAAGCAAAGATAAGAATAGTAACAGATTTCTTTCAGAAACTGTATAAGCCAGTTTAAAGATGGAACAACATCTTTAAAATTGGGGGGAAATTTCAATCCATAATAGTTAATCACAGTGAAAATATCTTCCAAAACTGGAGGGTCTGTAAACCTTTTAATTTTTTCAGATACACAAAGACTGTAAGATTATATTGGTAGATTCCTGTATTATAAAAAGGTCAATGAATGTTACACTAGCAGAAGATTATAGAATCAGATGAAAATTTTGACCTATTCAAAAGGAAGAATATCAGAAATAATTTTTTAAAAGAGGATTTTTTAAAACCAAAAGCATGGTATTGTTTGTTTACTATTTATGTACTCCTTAAAGAAAAATTGGATTTCTAAATAAAAACTACAATATGTTGTGGAGCTTATCCCATTTTTAGTAGTTATGATGCCAATAGCATGAGGGATGGGAGGGAGAAAATGAAAATCTTTTAAGGTTTTTTGTTTTATGATAAATGGGATGATATTAGAAAATAAATAACAAGTTAAAGATCTATATTTTAAATAATACAGCAACTGGAAAATACATAAAAAGAAGAAATAAATAAGCCAATAATGAAAATTAAGAAAATTATAAAAATTCTTAATGCAAAATAATATGGAAAAAATGGAACAAAAAGACATAAGACAACAAATCAGTAGCAAGATAGTAGATTCAAATATTATATCAACAATTACATTAAATACTCAATATATATACACTCCAATTAGAAAACAGAGATTGTCAGATGGGAAAAACAAAGACTTATTATGCTGTCAATAAGACAGTCACATAAATTGTTTAAAAGTAAACAGATGAAAAAAGATCATGCAAGTTCTAAGCAAAGGAAAGCTAAAGTAGCTCTATGAGATCAGAAAAGCAGACTTCAAACTGTTACAAAATTTAAAAGGTTCAGTACATATCAAATGTACCATTGTGGTGTGAGACATTGACAGTAGGAGAGACTGTTGTATGTGTGGGAACAAAGGGTACATGGGAACTGTCTGTACTTTCTGTTCAATTTCGCTGTGAACCTAAAGCTGATTTAAAAAATAAAGTTTATTAAAAATAATCATGAAGAAGGAACCATGCATAATGATAAATGGGTGAAAAAATGAGTAAGAGATAATATTCCTAAATATGTGGGTACTTAATCCCAGAACTTCAAAATATATAAAGCAAACACAGGTAAAACTAAAAAAGGAGAAAGAGACAAATCCACAACTATAGTTGGAGACTTCACCACACCTCTCTCAGAAATTGATAGAGCAAGAATATAATAAATTAATAAGGAAAGAGAAGATCTAAACCACGCTATCAACCATCTTGACCTAATTGAGGTTTATAGAAAAGCACTGCACCCAGCAATAGTACAATGGACATTATTATTAAGAGCATACTATTTACCAAGGCAAAACATATTCTGTGCCTCAAAACAAAGCTTTAAAATGTACAAGAATTAAGACTATACAAAATATGTTCTCTGAACTACATGGGAATCAAGCTAGAAATAAATGAGAAAGATATTTGGAAAATACTAACATTTTGTATATTAAACTACCAAACTGTAATGATACATGGGTCAAAGAAGAAATCACAAGAAAATTTAGGAAACAGTTAGTTGAATGAAAATTGAACAAAATATCAACATTTGTGGGATGCAATCAAAGTGATACTTAGAAGGGTATTTACAGCAATAAATGCTTCTACTAAAACATAAAGATTCAAGTCAATGATCTAGGCTTACCTCTTAGAAACTGAAAAAAGAAGAGCAAATTAAACACAAAGTAAGCAGAAAAAAGAATACTAACATTAATAGAAAAAAAAATCAAAGAAAGAGAAAACACACAAGGAATAAAAAACAATAAAACCAAAAGCTGTTTGAAAAAAATCAAATGATACACCTCTATCCATACTGATCAAGAAGTATAATAATTTACAAATATGAGTGCTGAAAGACTGCATATTGCTACAGATCTTATTTTAAAATGTCGATAAGGTGACATTACAAAAAATGTTTGTGTCAAGAAATCTGATAACATATGAAATGAATGAAGCATTTGAATTATGCTACTATCAAATCTCACTCAAGAAGAAATTGTCCCCATTAAATAAATTAAATTTAAAATTTAAAATTTTCCCACACAGAAAGCTCTAGGCCCAGATGGTTACACTGGTAAATTTTAGCAAAACATTTAAGGAAATGCAATAGTAATCAGACCAATCATATAGACACACACACACACAAAAAAAAAAACAGGAAGAAACACTCTCCAACTTATTTTATGAGGCCAGCATTCCCCTGTTAAGAAAACCAATCAATGACATTATGAAAACAAAACATAAGCCAATGTTTTCCCTGAAGATAGAAATATTTTCATATATAATTTTAGCAAATTGAATCCACCAATAAATATAAAAAGATAACAGAACATACTGGCATTGATCTCAGGAATGCAAAGTTGGTTTAATATTAATGAGAGGAATCAGTGCACTAGACAGTGTAAGCAAAGTAAAAAGAAAAACTACATCGATACGTGCAAAATAATACTTAACAAAATTCAATGTCTACTTATTAAAAAACTTTCAGCAGACTAGAAACAGACTGAAATTCCTGAACTTAATTAAGGACATCTATGAAAAACCTACAAGGAACCTCATACTTAATGTGAATGACTGAATACAATCCTCCTACAATGGGGAAAAAGCCAGGGATGTTTACTCTGCCCATTTTTATTTAACATTGTACTGGAGGTTCTGTCACTGCAATAAAACAAAGAGGATAAGTAAAGGCAATAGATTGGAAAAGAAGAAGTAAACCACTTTGTTCACAGAACACATTATCATTTACATAGGAAAACAACAAAGAATTTACAAGAGAGCTACCAGGACTAAGAAGTGAGGTTAACAATGTTTAAGGATGAAAGATAATATGCTACATTTCTATATATCACCATAAACACTTAAAATGGAACCCAGAACAGCATCAACAATTACAATAGCCTCAAACTCAGGAAATAATTAAAAATAAGTTTGACAAGAGATGTGCAAGATTTAAATGCCAAAACTACAAAACATCGGTGCGAAGAGCTAATTGTTAAAAAGGTACATATATGAAAAAATAATCACATATTCATTGATCAGAAAGAAGTCTCTGTATGATTAAGATGCCATTTCTCCCCATTTCAATCTACAGATTGAACCTAATACTTTGAAAAGCCCTTCCAGGCTTCTTGTGACAATTGACAAGCTGATTCAAAAAAATCATGTGGAAATACAAACGACCTAGAATAAGCAAAACCATTTTGAAAAAAACATTTTAAAAAAAGTTGGAGGAAACCCAATGCCTATTTCAAGGCTTAGTATAAAGTTGCATAATTAGGACTTGGTGGTAGTAACACTGTAATAGACATACATGTTAATGGAACAGAATGATTATTTTGTTTTCAGATAAATTTGGTGTCCATTTCTTTTAGAAAAATAATTCACAGGCCGGGCACAGTGGGTCACACCTGTAATCCCAGCACTTTGGGAGGCTGAGGCGGGCGGATCACGAGGTCAGGAGATCGAGACCATCCTGGCTAACACGGTGAAACCCCGTCACTACTAAAAATATAAAAAATTAGCCGGGCGTCGTGGCGGGCTCCTGTAGTCCCAGCTACTCGGGAGGCTGAGGCAGGAGAGTGGCATGAACCCGGGAGGCGGAGCTTGCACTGAGCGGAGATCGCGCCACTGCACTGCAGCCTGGGCGATACAGCGAGACTCCATCTCAAATAATAATAATAATAATAATAATAATAATAATAATAATAATAATTTACTTCCAGTTAAGCCATTCATCCCAACTCTCTTCTGTACTCCTTTACACAGCTGACTTTCACAACAGCCCTCCTCCTGGGAGCGTCCTCCCTCCCGTCTCTACAGAAACTGCTTCCCTTTCAGGGGATTTCTGAAGCTTTTTTGCCAAACCCAATGACTACATTCTCTCAAAATGAATTTTCCCTTTTCTGAGAAAGTTGACAGAATTTGTCACCTCTTCCTTTTTGAAACTCTCATTTCAGCTTCTAATATCATGTTTTTCTGGTTTTTTTCCCCCCAAGGTTACGTGCTTAGCTCTCTATTTTGCAAGTTCTTTCAATTTGGTTTCTATATCTTTAGTCGTCACCTTCGTGAACCATTCTCAAATTCCCAAATGCAGCCTCAACTCGTTTAGCAAAATTCACTCCATAGTTTTGTCCTTCGAGTGTCTATGATAAAGTCTTCATATGGATAACCTGTCCTCTCTTTAAATGCTCCAAATATGCTTATCATTTTTATTTACATACACCCACACATTCTTAATTTCTCTCTCTATATTGCTGTCACTCTTACACTCTCTCGGCTAATATGATACAATTTCCTCAGCTTCAAAAATTGGAGGGGAATCACCATCTATTCCTGAATGAGTCAGTTGTCAATGGTGATCGAGACTTCTTGAACATTTCTCACCTTCATTTTATTCTCCTTCTTTTTTTTTTTGAGACGGAGTCTCACTCTGTCGCCCAGGCTGGAGTGCAGTGGTGCGATCTCCACTCACTGCAACCTCCAGCTCCTGGGTTCAAGCAATTCTCTGCCTCAGCCTGCTGAGTAGCTGGGATTACAGGTGCCCACCACCATGCCCAGCTAATTTTGTTTTTTTAGTAGAGACAAGGTTTCACCATCTTGACCAGGCTGTTCTTGAACTCCTGACCTCGTGATCCACCCGCCTTGGCCTCCCAAAGTGCTGGATTACAGACATGAGCCACCACGCCTGGCCTATTCCCTTTCTTATCAAGCTTCTAACTTGGCCATTTTCTTGCTCAGAGAACTTCAATTGCAATACTTTCACATTATTTTCCTTATTTTTTTGTGTCTCCAATTATGGCACTACTCAGTACACAAACATTTCATATTCCAGCCTCATTTGTGTAGATATTTACTCCTTAATTATTCCTGAGTTAAAAAAGATTTATTTTTATTGTTCTGCCACCTCTAGATGACTTAAAAAAAAATCTAGAGTAGGAAACAAACGTGAAAACAAGTAATGTATATAATGTAATATAGTAGGCAGTATAAAAGCAACTTTAATTTGGCAAGATAAGTGAGGGCTAATTGCCTCTTTATTAAAGGTAGTAAAAGATACCAAGAGGAGATGATATCTAATGTGGCCCTTAAGAGTTACAGGATGGGCTGGGCACGGTGGCTCATGCCTGTAATCCCAGCACTTTGGGAGGCCGAGGCAGGCAGATCACAAGGTCAGGAGTTTGAGGCCAGCCTGGCCAATATGGTGAAACCCCATCTCTACTAAAAATACAAAAATTAGCCGGGCGTGGTGGCAGGCTCCTGTAATCCCAGCTACTTGGGAGGCTGAGGCAGGAGAATCACTTAAACCCAGGAGGTGGAGGTTGCAGTAAGCCGAGATCATGCCACTGCACTTACAGGATGGATTGTAGTAAATGATAAAGAAGGGATTTGACCGGAGGAATAAAATGTTAACATGTGCAAAGTCCTCATGCCTGACAGCCCATGATGTATCGTGGCAAGATGGAGTTCAGAACTTCTAGTGGCCTTCTCTCATAACTGAGAAAGACCACATGCTGCCTGTGCTCCTAGGTTCATCAGCAAATCTTTTTCATCTTCTAATTCTAATTCATGCTGATCCCTACCTTCTTTTATAAAGTCTTATGAATGGCTTATTTCACCTTTTTTCAAGAATTTCGCTATGAACTATTTTGCATTAGCCACAGCCTATGCTATTTTGGTGGTAATATTGTGGGTGTTTCCTGTCCAGATTGTAAGAATCTGAGGATGAGAAATAGTGATTTACTTTTCTCCTTTCCCCTCCTTTTACTCCCTCCTTCTGTCTGCCTCACTGCCATGCACATAAAAACTCCCTGCAATTATTATGGATTTGGCTTTCTATACTTGGGAAGTAGAAGTAACATAGACGTTATTAACTTCAGTGGTCTTCAACCCTAGTTACTCCTTAGAATCACTTGGGTAGATTTAACATATAATGATTTATGTAATGTCTGAATCCCATCCTCTTTTCAATTAAATCCGAGCTCTTGAGCGAGAAGCTGAGCATTGATGCATCTGTATCTATATCTATCTGTGTATATGTATATATATACACACATGTGTGTGTATATATACACACACATGTGTGTGTATATATATATAAAACCTATATCTACAACTATATGTGAGCCTGATAGATAAGGTTGAAAAGTCTTGATATATATATATTTTTAAATAATTTATTGATATATAATGTACATATTTGGGGGTACTTGTGATATTTTGAGATGTGTATACAATATGATCAAATCAGGGTAATTAGGATATCCACCACCTCAAATATTTGTCATTTCTTTGTGTTGGGAATATTATAATTCTGCTTTTCTAGCTATTTTGAAATATATAGTAAATCATTGTTAAATATAATTTCCCAACTATACTCTCAAATACTAGAGCATATTCCTTCTCTCAACCTGTACATTTGTACCCATTAACTAACTTCGTTCCCCTCTCTCCTCCCTTCCCAAGCTTTGGTAACCACTATTTTACTCTCTGCCTCTTTTAAATCTGCCTTTTTGGCTCTCACATATGAGTGAGAACAAGCAATATTTGTCTTTCTGTGCCTGGGTTATTTCATTTAACATAATTATCTCTGGTTTCATCCATGTTGTTTCCTGTCACAGGATTTCCTGCTTTTTCATGGCTGAATAGTATTCCATTTTGTGTATAGGCCACATTTTCTTTATTCATTCATCAATTGATGGACAGGTAGTTTGGTTCCATATTTTGGCTCTTGTGAATAGGGCCACTATAAACATGAGTACGTGTGTCAACATCTCTTCAATATGCTGATTTCCTTTCTTTTGGATATATTCTTAACAGCAGGATTGCTGGATCATACACTCTTTTATAGATGGGAAGCTTGAGTCTAGGAGAGGTAAAATAATTTAAGCCAAGTCACTTAATTTGAGGCAAAGCTGCAAATGGGAGCCAGATCTCCTGACTCCTGGTAGGAAACTTTGATTTATGCCCTGCTTTCTCTCATGAACCAACTCTATCCTCCTTTTGAATGAGATGATTAAATTCTCCCCATTTCAGTGAACCTTTGAGACATCAAACCTATTTTAACGAAGATAACAGTATATGACATTCTTTAGTTATTGCAGTCTCCCTTCCCCAACGTGCCAGGCTATTTTTACCAAAGTACATTTGGGGTACGTGCAAAACCCCGAAATAAAGAACTACTAAAGTGGATCCTACTTTCAAAAGAAAAGCATAAAGGTGTAAATCTATGGAGAAAACTTTATTGGAAAAAAGTGTATCTTAGGTCATATAAAAGCAGCTCCAAAGTTACATGAGGAAGCAGAGAACCAGCTGAAACTTCTCCAAAATGCCACATGGCACAGCCCAAGCCAAAGCAACAAGGGTGTCCTTCATATGACACTTGAGTGGCTCTGATAAACTATAGCAGGTGGGAGCAATGTGAGCAGATGGAAATAGAGCCATGGGACTGAGTGGTTTTATATATGTATATATTTATTTATTTGTGATTGCTATGGACTATTAATATAGTTCTATGTTTGTTCTCATTAAGTACCTTGAGTGCAGAGCCCCATTGTTACCTCATTGTTTCCCAGTCATGAGAAGTAGGACATTCAGGACTTTACTTCTCTAAATCTCATTGTAAACTACCTGGCTTTCTTTTTCCTTTATCCCCTTTGATGCATTGTCTAATATATTTCAATTCCCAAGGATTCTTTCCCCTGTGAATTTTTTTTTTCTGTAGAGGTCATTGCTTAATCCCTCAAAAGTTTGCAATTTCTCAACATTATTTCCTCTTTGGCTCACAGTGGTAGATAATGTTTCTTTTAAGTTCTCCATTTACAAGAGAAACTGGAAATACTAAAATACCCTGTAGTGTGTTTTTCTTAAACTGAAGTAAACGTGCCCTCAGGGAGTAGGTATTGACTTGGTGTCTTTTTTATACATGTTGTCATTTCATAGACACTGGCTGAAAGTAAAGAACACCAATAAAGTCCTTATTTACCCTAATGAAGAGATGAAAGGGAATGAGTTATTGAAATGGCATAGGTAAAAGATTTCTATAATTTTTGGATCGGGAACTTTTTTTTTGCATTTAAGCATAATGTATCTGTGGGCTTTTTGGTATAAAATATAGCTTCAAGTAAAATATTGAAGACAATATCTAAACATTTGACCAATAAGTAGCCACAAGTTGCCTAACCATGTACAATAATCCCCTCTCCTCAACTAGAGGAAAAGGGTATAAGCTGAGAAAACCACTGATGTCTCAGCCTGTAGAAGTAAACACCTGCAATGTATTTAGGACTAGGGGCAGTAATTGGTGAAATATTCGAGTTCCAGATCCCTGCTGGGATGGATATTGAATCTAAATTTAGATAAATTAAAGAACAAGCTCGCAAAAGAGGGTATGATTTAGCAAGCTACTTCAGGTATTGTCAATATAATTAAAAGCCCATTTGCCAAACATTTGCTGTCAGAAAAAAAATGCCTACAGAAAACCGAGTATTTTCTTCTTTCAGTTGGAGATTTCCTATCTCTGGCCTTCATTGTCCCCATTGTTCATTCACTGTTTTTTAAAATACACAGTAGGAAAACTTTAGCTCTCTATCTGCTCATACATAAATTTATCTTGTGTTTATAATACTTTGAATATTGAGAGGATTTCAAGTTTCTTATGATCAGAAGCTCTGAAAAATAAATTTATTTATTCGTTATTGCTATTGACTATTAATAGAGGTAATTATTCCTAAAAAACCTTAAGAAATTACCTTAATCTTTCCTAAGCATGAGTTTCTTTTTCTTTTCTTTCTTCTTTTCTTTTTTTTTTAAGTTCCAGAGTACAAGTGCAGGAAGTACAGGTTTGTTACATAGGTAAACTTGTACCATGGTGGTTTGCTGTACCTATCAACCCATCATCTAGGTATTAAGCCCAGCATTCATTAGCTCTCTTCCCTAATGCTCTCCTTCCCTCCATCCTCTCCAGACAGGCCCCAGTGTGTGTTGTTCCCCTCTCTGTGTCCATGTATTCTCATTCAGCTCTCACTTACAGGTGAGAACATGTGGTGTTTGGTTTTCTGTTTCTGTGTTAGTTTGCTGAGGATAATGGCTTTCAGCTTCATCCATGTCCCTGCAAAGGACATCATCTCATTCCTTTTTTCTGGATGCATAGTATTCCATGGTGTATATGTACCACATTTTCTTTATCCAGTCTATCATTGATGGACATTTAGGTTGATTCCATGTCTGTGCTATTGTGAATACTGCTGCAATGAACATATGTGTGCATGTAACTTTATACTAAAATGATTTATATTCCTTTGGGTATATACCCAGTAATGGGATTGCTAGGTCAAAAGGTATTTCCGGTTCGTCAAAAGGTATTTCCGGTTCTAAATCTTTGAGGAATGGCACCCTGTCTTCCACAACAATTGAACTAATTTACATTCCCACCAACAGTGTAAAAGCATTCCAATTTCTCTGCAATCTTGTCAGCATCTGTCATTTCCTGACTTTTTAATAATCACCATTCTGACTGGGGTGAGATGATATCTCATTGCGGTTTTGGTTTGCATTTCTAAGCATGAATTTCTTGATCACTGTAAGTGATAGGAATACTTGTAGTACCCGAATCATATCATTGTTCTGAGAATTCACTTGAATCACTGATTTAGATGATTAATGACTGACATGTAGTAAGCACGCAGTTGATAATGTAATGATGATGACAACCAATTTTAGTTAAGTAATAAAATATATTACTAAATTACAGGTGGAATAAATTTATAGTACAAATATCTCTTCATTTCTAATTACTTTTAAAATAACACAATACGTCTGATTTCCCCTGATGTTAAAATTGACAATACTGAGATAAATATTAAAAGTTGAAGTATCATTTTGAATTTAATGTAAGAATATCAATCAATCAATTGAGATTGTTGATTGACTATAATCAATCAATAGGTATGTGAAGTACATTTATATCTGTCAACCCTGGATTTTGATACATAAGGCATGTGAAATTACAAGAAATTGATTTGAGCAAAACACACTCAATATAGCCTCCCTTTATAACCTTGGTCTAAATTACAGCACTTTGCAGTAGATTTAAGGCTCTTGAGTAGCTCCATTGGAAGAAGAGTGATTCGTTTCTTGACGTCACATTAGAAAGAAGTAATTAGCTATAGGCTACAGTACACGGTTCCTGACATTGTTCAATAAAACATATGTGTGATTTGAATACAATTATATTCACACAAATATTGTCCCACAATGTTGCATGACACAAAATTGGAAGCTATAGCCAACATAAGATATAAAAGATCAAAATTCCACTTACCGGATTGGAGCAGTGACATTTAAGAGAACAAATAAAAAGTGTAACATTCTAATTTTAAAATAGTCACTGAACAGATACAGGATAAGTCAAACTTCCCAAACAGAAATCCAGGGAACACCACAGTTATCCAAGATATTAATGAAGCACCACCCCTTCCCTCCACAACTATACAGTAAAATGTGGTCATTTGCCCTCCCTCCTAGGAAGATACTATAATGCCTCCATCTAAATAAATAAGTAAACATTAAGTAAATAAGTAAGTAGTTGAAATAAGCCAAAACACAAAGAGCAAACAAAAAGCAGATGTAAGAAGACTCTTCTAGTTTCCATCATCTGTTACTGACATCAGCATTTACACACATCCCATACCATTGCTATACTTAGAAACATTTTGGACCGTTTTCTATCTCACCTCACAATCCAGTGATTCACAAGAAGTTAGGAAGCAGTTTTCTTCTCTCAATCTCATCTGCCCAAACTTTAATTCTGGCTCCAATCCTCATTCCTTGGGGTTTCTCCTGATTTATTGTTCTCTTCTCTAGAATCTCATTGTTAACAGCCCTTTCTTCTAAAATGCACACTGAATCCTAGCATTTCCCTGCTTAGAATTCTTCTGTAAATATCTATAACCTAACACGTAAGTCCAAATGCTTTTGCCTGTCATTAAAAGCCTTTTTAACCTCTGCTCCAGCCACTTATACCCATGCTCAGTTGTGTTGAACTATTTACATATTTCCCCAAATATTCTGATCTTTTACAAGCCAATTCCCTTTGCATTCGTTAGTCTGCCTAGAATTACCCTCATTCCCTCTGTCTTACTTTGTCAGGCTTCAAATCTAATGTCAAAAACCAAATCTATATTAAAAAAAATGACATGTTCTATTCTTTGTCTTTCTCTGGCCATGTATATAAGTTTTGTAATTTTTTTTTTTTTTTTTTTTTTTTGAGACGGAGTCTCGCTCTGTCGCCCAGGCTGGAGGGCAGTGGCACAATCTCAGCTCACTGCAAGCTCCGCCTCCCAGGTTCACGCCATTCTCCTGCCTCAGCCTCCGGAGTAGATGGGACTACAGGCGCCTGCCACCACACCCAGCTAATTTTTTCACGCCCGGTTAATTTTTTTTTTTTTTTTTTTAGTAGAGACAGGGTTTCACCATTCACAGGATGGTCTTGATCTCCTGACCCTGTGATCCGCCTGCCTCGGCCTCCCAAAGTGCTGGGATTACAAGCATGAGCCACCGTGCTCGGCTATGTTTTGTAATTTAAATATTAGTTTATATGCCTTTTTCTAAGACAATGAAAGTTGTAGAGATTTATATCACAATGACATATCCTCAGCTGCTGTAGAATAACTGCCACATTGGAGGTATGTAATAAAGATTTGGAAAATTAATGCATTAATTGATGGGATGGGCATATCTGATAATTCAGATAAAAGGATTCTTCAAGTTGTATATTAAAATTAAGAGACTGTCATTGATTAGGTCATCTCTACACTGTAATTCTTTGGGGCAATTATATTTATTTGTTTTGAGCCAACAAAAGAAGACCCAGAATTTGGTGAAGAATTACATATGACTAGGCCCTCAATATGCTTTTCTCTTGGAATGTGATTATATTTTCTAAATTCTACAAGAATAAGCATGCATTTAACTCCCACATTGGAAAGCCCTGAACTAATTTTAAGAAAATCCTAGAAGAAGCTATAGTCATTAATTTTGGTATTGATGTTTCAGAGAGAAAAACTGATCAATGAGTCTGCATATGGTTACAAAACAACAGGCAGGTTTCCAAGACAGGAATGCAGATGGTCACAATTTCACCCACAACTTATTCCCATTCTTGATCAAACAATTGCCAGAGAAATACTATTTTTAATTGAACAAGTGATTCATGTCTCTAGAGTACAGAACATGAATTTCACATAGTACAAATATCCAGCTAGGAAAAGCTCAGAAAATACACGGGTTAGTGTCCTTATCGGCCCTGAGTGTCCTGGCTTTGGAAGAACATTACATTGAGTCAGCAGTTCTTAAGTACATTTCTGGAAAACTCTCTGAAAGACATATAAATTGATTTGCTGTTGGGAAATTTCCCTCTGCTGGGTTTTATAATTTTAATCTACTAAATGGCAATTCCCAAGAAATACAGCATCTCACCAAGGCAGTAAAACCATTGGATTGGTTGGTTTCCAAGGGTACTGAAGCTAAAGTAGACTCATTTTGAAATGACTCTTGCCTGGAATCATAGAAAATAATAAAGATGAGGAAGTCTCCAATAAATTGCATTTATCATAGCAGCTCATTCAGAAGTTGAGGCTCTTAGATTATAAATTTTCAAAGATCCCTGATATTTTATCATCACGAGCTTGAGCACCGTACTGTATATCTTGTTCTATGATGGGATGATATCAAGATTTTTTAAAAATAAATATTTTAGATAGGGTTCTCCTGTTGGGAAGCAGGGACACGAAGTTGAGCAATGAAGACAGAGAGAGAAACTCTGAGCTGAGCAATGAAGAACGAGAGACTGAACTGAGAAAAAATACAGTGCTACTCATCCAGAGCTGTATTTTCACCTATTTGAACTCTGCACAGCCACTGATCTTGGTGCAGAACTGTCTGAATCACACTCTGAAGGGAGAGTCACAAAAAATAACTGAAGAAACAATGTTCTGCCCAGGCCAATTGGGTAAATTACCTTTGTGCTTTTCCATGACTTGCTCTTGCCAGATGGAATACTTGGCCCTGAAGACAGTGGCATTAGAGCAGATTTTGGAGCAGTGGGGTTTTTAAAAATGATTTACTTTTTCCTTCCACAGACAGTTACTCTGCCACAGAAGGCTTCTCTGAAGGATGAGCCCAGAGTCTTTTCCATCATATTTTGCCATTGTAAAAGTCTATCTGCTGTAGTTTCTCTATTTGCTCTGTGTATCCAAGAGAATATGGAAGAAATTTTACACTGAAGATCAAATTTTGGCACTTCCCATGTATAAACTTGAGGACTTCAGAGATGGCTCTGTGACTCTGATGAGTTGAAATAGTTCCTTTCCTTCCACGCCTGTTCCTATTATGAAATTCTATCTTTTACAACTAATGTCAATAGGGAAAAACTCAACTAGAAAATAGTGAATATTTATAGTTGCCTTCTTTCCCTACACTTGCAAGCAACCTTTGATTGTGTTTGTATAAATGCTTAGTACTTTACTATTAACCTTCCCAAATAGACTAAGACCTAATTAGAAGTCCCCTATTAACACCAAAAGAGGAATTATGGTAAGAAAAATACTTCCGTTAAAACTCAGCCATGTTAGCAATGTATGCAAGGTAGCAGCTGCCCAATTTCTGCGAAGGAAAACCTGTCTTTGGAAAAGAATCTTAACTTTTCTTTTATAAATTATCATGCACTATAAATGCAAATCTCTAAAAATTCCCTAAGACATTGTGGATTTTTAGTTTCATTTTATAGATAAGTAAATTGAGAATTAGAGAAATAAAGCAACTTACCCAAAAGCACTCCAGTAGTTTGCAGGAAAGACAGTAGATTTATCACAGGGTTCTTTACTTGAGAGTTCTGCATTCTAGCATAGCATATCCTTTCCATATTAATCACATGTAGGATACAGGAGTAAATGTTATTTTGGTGGGCCAGAAAAATGATAGTGATACATTCTTTGATGTCATTAGCAGAGTAAAATATACAGAATGATATGCCTGGCATGGTGCACTTCTACAGGGGGATATGTAGTGGAGAAAATAACAATGATAACTGCAGGATATGATTCCAATGCATGAAACTCAGCCAGAATTGGAGCCCATCAGAGCAAAATGGAACACAAGCAATCATCTAATTACATTGAACAGATTTGGCAAGAGAGGACAAGAATGAACATGTCAGTTAATTATGAATAATTATTTAACTTCTATCTGTCACAACTGTGAGAGTTACAAATAGCCTGACAATATGGGATCTTTGAAAGAGTATAAATGTATTAATACTTTTCCATATTGATCTGTTGTATATTTTGGGTAGCTGAAGTTAGATTGTTTTAAAAATTAGATGACTTTATTGGAAAATATGAAAGTGTGTGTGTGTGCACTGTCTCGCACTAGCCAACCAAAATAAAAACTGCAGTGAGTAGTAGCATAGCAGAGTTTTTGATAGTCATGACCCAACTCTGTACTTTTTGATAAGTCACTTTTCTTCGTTGGTGGTAAGTTGCTTCATAAGCATGGTGACGCAATGGCATTACACCTAAATTTCCTTATTTGTAAACTGGGAGTAACAGGAACAAAATGATTATGAGAAATACATGAGAGATAAAGCACTTAGTACAGTCCTTGTGACATAGGTCAAGCTAATATTCACTATTATTATTTTTGTTATAAATTTGATGAGCTCATTGAGCCAGATATCCTTCAAGGTACTTTTAAACACCCAACAATCTTTGTTTTCCATCTTGTGGTCCCTTGGTCCATTTTTTAAAAAATCTCTGTATATTTCCCCTACCTTGTTATATGAGGAGAGCCGTATATCTCATTTGTCATTAATATCCCTCCCTAAGGAACAATATATGCTTTGTATTCATTTGCAAAACATATTAAAATAGTGATCTCCTTTTAATCAGTGAGTCATAAAAACATGGAAGATGAGTGGAAATGAGATAGAATAATCCAAAAGTATAAGAATCATCACTTACACAGCCCCATCAGGTTTGGGCCAGATATCGTTCCCGTGATTTATAAACAATGGCCTCCCTTTTAGATTTTTAGCTTCTTGTTCACCTTTTGCTACTGATATTATCTGTGTATTTATTCAACAAATGTATTTAAAATAAATGTTATTGTGCATCTTTAAGGTATACAATATTATGTTGTGGGATACATTAAGATTGTAAAAATGTTACTATAGTGGAGCAAGTTAACATGTTCATCGTCTCACATAGTTTCCCATTTCTTTGTTGTTTTTGTGGCAAGAGCAGCAAAAATCTATTCATTAGTCATGAATCCAAAAATCCAGTACAATTTTATTACTGTAGTCTTCATACTGTGCATTAGGTCTTCAGACTTGTTCTTCCCACATATCCGCCATTTTGTATCCCCTTCCCTGCATCTCCTTGTTTCCTACTAATTGTACCTGCTTGCTCTGCAACAGGCACCATCCTTGACACTTAGATATGCAGTAAGAAAGACAGACACAATTCCTGCTGTCATAGAACTTAGAGTTTACAGAGATGAGAGACTCTCCTGATGTATCCGTAAATGTGCTGAGAGTGAGCACCAGAGAGTGCTATGTAAACGTATTTCTGGGAAGGCAGAGAGAACCAAACTTCTATTTTTCTATGGAAATAGAAGAAATGCAGCTCTGGAAAAATAATATTTAAGCTGAGTGAGAGGTGAAGGATGTATAGGACTTAGTTGAAGAAAGAAAGTATTGGGGTCAGAATACTTCAAAGAGAGAAAACCAAGAACGAAGGCCCTGAGGCAGCCCAGAGTGAGGTGAGTGTGATGAACTGAAAAATGCCCATTATGACAGCGGAACAGGTAAAAGGAATGTGATTAATATCTTAGTATATAAACCTTTATTCCAATTTCTAAGAATTTATTATTAGATTGCTTAAAGTGAAATAACTAAATTGATGCATGTTCCAAAAGTTTCCTAATATGGCAAAAGTACTTCTTAGAAAGTTTATACCAATTTTTTATTTCTATAAACTGTATATATGATGATCTTTCTCACCTTATCCTTAGAAATAGTAAGTATTCCTTTTTTTTCTTTTTTCTTTTTCTTTTTTTTTTTTTTTGAGACAGAGTCTCTCTCTGTTGCCCAGGCTGGAGTGTAGTGGCATGATCTCGGCTCACTGCAACCTCTGCCTCCTGGGTTCAAGTGATTCTCCTGCCTCAGCCTTCCTGAGTAGCTGGGATTACAGGCACGTGCCACCACACCTGGCTAACTTTTGTACTTTTAGTGGAGACAGGGTTTCCCCACATTGGCCAGGCTGGTCTTGAACTCCTAATCTCAAGTGATCCACCTGCCTTGACCTCCCAAAGTGCTGGGGTTACAGGTGTGAGCCACCGTGCCTGGCCAGTGTTCTATTTTTTAAAAAGATGAACTGGTTTAACATGCTGTATTAGTCTGTTCTCACGCTGCTAATAAAGACATACCTGAGACTGGGTAATTTATTAAGGAAAGGGGTTTAATGGACTCACAGTACCACATGGCTGAAGAGACTTCACAATCAAGGTGGAAGGCAAGGAGGAGCAAGCCACATCTTACATGGATGGTGGCAGGCAAAGAGAGAATGACAGCCAAGCAAAAGGGGTTTTCCCTTATAAAACCATCAGCTCTTGTGACACCACGAGAACAGTATGGGGGAAACTGCCCCCAAGATTCAGTGATCTCCCACCAGGTCCCTCCCACAACATGTGGGAATTATGGGAGCTACAATTCAAGACGAGATTTGGGTGGGGACACAGCGAAACCATATCACATGCTAACCATTATAGTGAAAAAGTAGCAATATCTTTTTAGATTTAACACAAAAGCTGCTTACTTCCTCTAAAGTTTTTTTCTGATTACTCATCTAAAATAGCTTCTATATGGCATACTTCCCCATGATTCAGATATTCATTTTATACTACATTATATTGCAATTTTAAATGCTTTTTTTGTTTTCTTAATATTACTCAATGTACTTTTTTTTTCAGTTAAATTCCCTGCTTTGGGAAACAGGAGGGTGATGGTTCCCCATGAACAAAAGTCTATAGAATTTTTGTGGTTGTTGTAATATTCACAGATTTAAAAATTTCAAAGGACAAAATTAAATTCTTATTTCGACCCATCATTGTCAAGCACAGGTTGTCTTTGTGGCAAATAAGTATATAACAAATAATAAATTCCCTTAGGGTCTGCTCCAAAGACAACCTTAAACTGCCTCTAATAAGATCAAAATGTTCTTAAGTAGGGATGATTGTATGAGTGAGTCTCCCACCAACAGTGTGCAAAAGTTCCCTTCTCTCCTTATCCTCACCATACTTGTTATCTTTTATCGTTCTGATAATAAGTGTGAGGTGGTATCTCATTATGGTTTTCATTTGTATTTCTCTAATGATTAATGATGTTGAGCATTTCTTCATCAGGCGTTTGTATGTCTTTTTTTTTGAGAAATGTCTGTTCCTTTCTCCATTTTTAAATCATGTTGTTTGTTTTATTGTTATTGAGTTGTTTGAATCTCATATATTTTGAATATTAATTCCTTATCAGATGTATATTTTACAAATACTCTCTTCCTTTCTGTAGGTTTTCTCTTGGGTTTGTTAATTGTTTCCTTTGCTATGTAGAAGCTTTTTAGTTTGATGAAGTCCAATTTGTCTAGTTTTGCTTTTGTGTGCTTTCAAGGACACAGCCAAAAAAATCATTGCCCAGACTCACATTGTGAAGCTTTTCTTCTAATGCTTTTATAGTTTTCTTCTAATGCTTTTATGGTTTTGGGTCTTATATGTAACTCTTTAATACATTTTTAGTTGATTTTTGCATATCGTGTGAAATAAGGGTCAAATTTCATTCTTCTGCCTGTAGATATCCAGTTTTCCTAGAATCATTTATAGAAGAGACTGTCCTTTTCCCACTGTGTGTTCTTGGCACCTTTGTCAAAAATCAATTGGCCTAGGTTTGTGGGCTTATATTTGGGCTGTCTATCCTGTTCCATCAGCTAATATGTCTGTTTTTATGCCAGTATCATACTTTCTTGACTACAATAGCTTTATAATATATTTTGAAATCCAGTAATATGATACCTCCAGCTTTGTTCTTTTTGCCCAATATTGTTTTGGCTATTGGGGGTCTTTTGTGGTTTCAGACAAATTTAAGAATTTTTTTCTATATGTGTGAAAAACGGCATTGAAATTTTGATAGGGATTGTATTGAATCTATATATTGCTTTGGGTTGTTAAGGACATTTAAAGAATATTAATTATTCTAATCCAAGAACATAGGATAACTTCCCATTTATGTATGTTTTCTTCATTATCTTTCATTACTGTTTTATTTTTCTCAGCATACAGATTTTTTACCACCTTAATTAAATTTATACATAAGTAAATTTGTACAGTCATAGGGCAAATGATATGGAGATTCATGAAAAACCTAAAAATAGAACTATCATATGGCCCAGCAATCCCACTTCTGGGTAAAAAAGTCAAAGGAATAAAAATCGATATGCTAAAGAGATATCTGCACTCCTATATTCGTAGCAGCATTATTCATAATAATTAAGATATGGAATCACCCCATGTGCCCATCAACAGATGAATGGATAAATAAATGTGGTATACATACACAATGGAATATTCAGCCATAAAAAGGAGGACATCCTGTCATTTGCAACTACATGGGTAAACTTGGAGGACATTATGCTAAGTGCAATAAGCCAGGCATAGAAAGATAGATACTTCATGATCTCTTATATATGGAAGCTTAAAATGTTGAACTTACAGAAGTAGAAAATAGAAAGCTGGTTACTACAGACTGGGGTGAGGAGGAAGGGAATAGGGAGTTGTTGGCCAATGAGTACAAAATTCAGTTAGACAGGAGGAATATATTATTGCGATCTAGTGCCACAACAGGGTGATTATAGTCAATAATGACGTATTATATATTTTACAGTAGGTAGGAGAGTGCATTTTAAAGGTCTCCCCCCAAAAGTTAATAAATAAAAAGTAAGTGAGGTGATGGACATGTTAACTAGCTTGACTTAAATCATTCCACATTGTGTACATATATAAAACATCACATTTTCCCTATAAATATATACAATTATGATTTCCAATTAAAATAATATTAATCTAAAAAGTTTTAAAAAAATCAAAAGAGTGACCCTCTCCCTGTCAGCAGGTGGGCAAATCAGGTGACAAAAAAGATAATGATTCATCTGATTTTGAATTTACCCACTATTTGTTAGCAGCATTCACAAAAGAGTGGGGGAATTGGATTGCTAACCCAGACATCTGCTGCTTTCATAGCTCTCTGTTATTCCAAATATAGGACAGTGTGATCTGACAACCATAAATGAGGAGGATCTGGGAAATAATTTCTTGGGAGCAGGTGGGAAAATGAATACGCTTACCTGGATGCATGTTCTCCTGGAGGGTTACGTTTTATTCTATCATTCAGACATCCATTCAACAAATATTTAAGAACTTCCTATAGAAATGTATTTTGTGAGACGATACAGTGAATATGATGATCATTACATAGATCAGACCCTCTGTTATTTTATAACTTAATAGAAGAAAATCGTCTTTTTAGAAAGTGCCACATATTCGTTGGGCTGATTGATATTAACTTGATGTTGTAGTTTTCAAAGACTTACTTTCTCTGCAAAATACTCACAGACTTCTCCCCCTACAACCTTCTCTCTATTCTAATTGTCTATTTGGCCCTAGAGAGTGGAAAAACTAATTGACTTTTCCTATGCCTCTCTGAGCAGATCAGGTTGATATGGGTTGCCGCTGTGGCTTAATTTGTGAATGTGCAATAGAAAATAAAACACTTATTGGATTACAGCCCCTGACCAACTGTTTGGCAAAATAGCAGCATTGGCCAAAAATATGGGAGTTGTATAGTAACTAAAGAAATGATTACAACTTCCAGAGGGGTATCCTGGTTTTATCAACGTGGAGATTTTGCTGTAATTTGTTTTAAATACATCCCCAGCCTTTGTTTTTAGGATGAAGTCAGTCTCATAGTCTTCCAGATTTTGCTTTCTTTGAAACATTCATTTTCTCTACCTCTGTATCAGAGACTCTAACCAATCTTTTGTTCATACACATAAATGAAAATGTAGACTACAAAGTCTTTTCTTCTCTGTTTGGTAAATACTATTTAGTAAAATCTGTTTGCCTTTTAATCCGTCAGATTAGAGAAAAGCTCAATTACAAACATGTCTGTGTCCTGGATTGGCAAACCACTGTAAGTTTAAGAATAGCTGTCTTCAAAGGGACCCAATAACTTATCATGTGAAAGGACACAAGCTGGTATTCTTTCCTGGATACTATTTCTGCACCAGCCAGGAGTAGTCATTGTTTCTTTTTCTCTCTCTTCCTTCCTCCTCTTCTTCCTTTCTTTCTCATTCCAGCTCATTGCCGTATTACTAAAACTGAGGCTGAATCTGCAAATTGAGAAAAACTATACTAGCTAGTGCCTTCTCCGTCTTTGCACTGATGACCCTCCCGTCGTATCCTGGGATATCCATTACTGTATGCTCCCTCTGCCATTCTCACCCCCAACTAGTAAGCAGCAGTGGCAAAGCCTCCACTCACATTGGTCTCCTGACTCCAAACTTTATCTATTAATTTATAGTTGTAGAAAGCTTAGAGAGGCACAGGAGAGAACCTTTCAACTATAGAGATGCGTACACTCTAATGCCAATTCATAAATATGTAATGTCTCTATCCCTGGACATCTCTAAAAGAAGACTTTGAATATACTTACAAAGCCTATTTCCCAAATGGATTTCCAATTGTCGAGACCAGCTCAGTGGGGGAGACCCTAACCCAGCGGCACTAGAGGAATTAAAGACACACACACAGAAATATAGAGGTGTGGAGTGGGAAATCGGGTCTCACAGCCTTCAGAGCTGAGAGCCTCGAACAGAGACTTACCCACGTATTTATTAACAGCAAGCCAGTGATAAGCATTGTTTCTATAGATTATAGATTAAGTAAAAGTATTCCTTACGGGAAACAAAGGGATGGGTTTGGCTAGTTATCTGCAGCAGGAGCATGTCCTTAAGGCACAGATCACTCATGCTATTGTTTGTGGTTTAAGAACACCTTTAAGCGGTTTTCCACCCTGGGTGGGCCAGGTGTTCCTTGCCCTCCTTCCGGTAAACCCACAACCTTCCAGCGTGGGCGTCATGCCCATCACAAACATGTCACAATGCTGTAGAGATTTTGTTTATGGACAGTTTTGGGGCCAGTTTATGGCCAGATTTTGGGGGACCTGTTCCCAACACCAATGACTAACAATAAAGGATGCAATAATACTTCAAAACATGCATTGCCTACTTTGGCCAGTTTAAGCAATTTATGTAATTACAACTGTGTATATTTTAACACATTATAAAAAGAACAGATAAAACTTACTTTTTATGTTTTACTCCAATTTTATGTTCATTGAAATAAAAGCAACATTCTGATGAAAACACTCAAAGACAATGTGTTGAAAATTGTGTTTATACTGTAATAAAAATGAATAGGTTATCATGCCTTTCATAAATTTTTGTTTCTAGAAATTCAAGAGGGATGAGTTTGTTAAGGACATATTTGATGGTGCTAGTGTTTTTTGTGTGTGTTTCTTTGGCAAATGTATACTGAAAAAAAGAGACAGATATTGCAGGGAAAGAGAGAAGAAATAGGGATGAACAAAATTAATTTGAAGGTCAAATGATATATCTAAGTTACCCAGCACTTATTTTAGTAGCTGATTCATGCTCAATATAGTCGGCTGTTCACCCACACAACTCTGAGAAATGAGAATAGTGAATAGAATAGCTCCATAAGCTGGCAGAGACAGATGAAGAGGGTTATTAAGCAAAAACCTTTAGGAAACCTACATAGGTCTATCATTGTGCGCTAGATAGGGGTTACCTGAAATAATGACTTTAGCATTCTTCCTCTTTTGAAAATTATTTTATTTTTGCAGTTCGAGGCATTGCTGGTCGAGATCTATGAAAAAAGACTCATGATGTGATAAACATACATTTTATTAATGCTCATTTAAAAATATTAACATAGACTATCCCTACTATCATATTCTGTTAAATGAGACAAATACGGGTGATATCTCATTTATCCTCTTTCAGTAACCTAGCAACCTAGTAACCTCTGATCACAAAAGAAGCAAATTCAATCACATATTTTCCAACATCTGCCTTGGGTCTAGCATTGTAGGATTCAGGGTAGGGATAGAGTTGAGGCAGGAGAGAGGAAGCATACTCCTGACAGGCCTAAGAATATAGCATTTTTTAAAAAGTTAACTTGAAGCTACTTATAATAAAAATTCCAAATACTGTAAAATGCAAACTATTAAATTAAGAGAAGGCATAAAATATTCAAGAAACAATAAAATGCTAAAATTGAACTTTTGGAGCTAGATGCAGTTGGAAATCATAGAAAATCAAGATAAATGTACACTGGGGATATAATCCTGTTTTAGACGGGTGACTATGTTTTTGAATTGATATAATAATTCATTTTGTTAAATAGGTTACTTGGATTGCTGCTATTGTTATTATAAACTAAGTGTTTTTAACATTGTTTCACTGTTTGCAAAGACTAAAGGAAGAGGAATATGGATTGAGAAAAGATGGAAAGCAGGATGAGTGAGCTAAGGTGAGAAGTGGATTCAGGATTCTTGTAGCGCAAGCTAAAGGTTTTTATTCTAGATTCAAATCACATTGAGTAAGATAATCAGATGATGAAGTTGGTGTTTTAGCTTTTATTTTTCCCTGAAGCTCTTTGTTCATGATACAGCTCGAGCCCTTGTCATGTTACACTTTTTTTTTTTCTTTTTTTTGTTTTTTGAGACAGGGTCTCCATTTGTCACCTAGGCTGGAGTGCAGTGGCGTGACAATGGCTCACTGAAACCTCTGCCTCCAGGGCTCAAGTAATCCTCCCACCTCAGCCTCCTGAGTAGCTAGGACCACCATTGCATGCCACCACACCCAGCTAATTTTTGTATTTTTGGTAGAGAAGACAGGGTTTCATCATGTTGGCCAGGCTAGTATTGAACTCTTGGCCTCAAGTGATCTGCCGGTTTCAGCCTCCCAAAGTGCTGGGATTACAGGCATGAGCCACCGCACCCAGCCTATGTTACGCTTTTTTGTTCAGGGACGCGGAAGTGTTGTTCCTCTGTGTCCCACCTCTACACTGAATTGTGAGCTACGGAGTGTCAAATAGCACATCTTATTTCTGCATGGATCCCAGTTTCTTAACAACATGTTTGGTCTGTCGTAGATGCTCAATTCCTGGCTTAGGGGGTAAGTCAGATAAAAGCTGGCTAGTAAGTTCTGTCTATTTCTACAATGGATTTAGGTGGATTGGTGGTGGCATTGGGAAAAATCCAATGGTAACCCAATAAATCAAGAGTTACAAATGATATACTAAGGAGAGCCATTTGCTTTCATTTTAATGAGCTCTCAAATATTGAATAAGGAGATCTGTGGTGTGATAAAGAAAATGTCACATGTGCTGCCCATGTTAATTAGTGTCTACCCTACCCACTTTTCATGGGTGGACTGGCCTATCAAAACATTATCACACTGACTACCTTTTCTTAATTTAGCAAAATTTTTATTGTAACTCCTTTACAAGTGAGACAACAAAAGCACTGTTTCTCTATACACTTTGGGTCCTTCTTAAACATGGTTTTAAAAAATCTTACAATAACTTTGAGAAAATTGTTATTAATCTCAACTGAAGACAACTAGAACTCAGAGAGGTTTCGAAACATGTCTAAAGTCTTACATGTGGTAAATTGTAAAGCTAGGATTTGAATCTGTGTTTGTTTTAACATCACGTTCCTACTCTTCCACACCATCTGCCAAGGAAGAAATGATATCTGCAAGGATCACCAGTGGCTGAGTCTGATCCCTATCCTCAAGCACCAGAATGCACCATCCCTGTGGAGAGTCTGTTGCCTGCTTAGGGAACAGCAGGAACACTTCATAGCAGACTTTGGAGGGTGACTGTGAGGTATGATTGATAATCCCTCTCATTCTCTATGGGGAAATGCGTTGCTTGTTCAGACCTCAGCAAGATCTTAGGAAACCTGGTTTTTCACTGAAGGAGCTTGCATATTGCTGTTGCTCACATTTCCTTGTCAGAGTTTATGAGAATTTTCAATACAACAAAGGCCAGAGTTCCTGTCCACAAAGCAGATTACAATCTATCAGTGTGAGAGGGACAATGCAGCTGGTGCGGCACAGACTCGGTCCTTATTCATAAACACTTTGCTGGCCTTCAAGCACTTGTTACCGACAGCAGGGCATGTTTATACAGCTCCTTCCAAAAATAAAATTGAAGGAAAAAAATAAGTAAATTCATAATATAGCACTTTCCCAAACTCAAAAACATAGAGATATTTTTGTTTTGGATTTGGAAACGTTTCCCATTGAGAAATCAGGTCCCAGATACAAGAGAAAAGAATGGATTCTAAGTACAGTAAAAGCTGTGAACCACGGAAAAGAATAAAGTGTCCTCCACAGACAAAGAGAAGCTACGTAGATGATTAGCTTAGGTTTATTTAACTCTAGATTTCTTTATTCTATAACATTCAGGTGCCTGAGTCGTAAAAACACAGGAAGCAATCGAACATTAAATAGTAGATCTAATATTGATCTGAAAATGTGTAATTGACTTGTTTATATGTACATGCTTAAGAAAAGATGCTACAGATTCAAATCAGTTGAACTCATTAGCCCTGTTGACTCACTGGTCAATTAACTGACGTTTTCTCTATTGATGTTTCACTCAATCCTAGACAGAAATAGAGTTCAGTGTTAAAAAAAAAAAATCAATACCTTCCAATGTCACTGAACCAAACTACTCAAATCAGCTTTCTGTTTGTAACTTCACTGATTCTTATTTTTATTTTTCATTATACAAGAAATAAATTTGCCTCGTAATTTTAAAATACAGAAATAAAGAAAATAAAACCAAAATATATTTGATTATACCCAATTTAACTGTCCTCTGCAGAAGGCATCACTATTTGTAGTTTGCTGTGGATCTTTTCAAATTGCGTGCTTTATACATGTTTTGTGTTTTGAATATCTTCATCTTCATAATATATTATTCTGTGACTTGCTTACGTATTCTTAACAACTTATCTTAGAAAACTTTAACCCTTTTAAATGACTGTATGGTCATCTGTATTGTGGGTATACTCTAGTTCATTTTACTATCCTAATAATTAATAGGCATTTAGTTTGTGTCTAATTTTTGCTAGTGCTAATAGTACTACAAGAAAGATCCTTGTAATATCCTATGTCAGAAATTCACAGAAAATCTGATTGTTTAACTTAGCTATAGAAGGTATGTATCATTAACTTAAACTGTAGGATATAGAAAAGTTGTTATAGATAATAATTATAGCTAACTTTTGCTGAGTACTAATTATTTACTAGTTTAAGTTCCTTTCACACATTAACTAATTGGTCTTTAAATGACTGTAAAAGGTAGCTACTATTATTAGCCTTATTTTACATACTGGGAAATTGAGTCATAGAGTGGCTAATTATCTTTGCTAAAAGTCATAAAACTAGTAAATGGTAAAAATGGAGATTTGAACGCACACGAAGCCCTTGTCACTATACTGCTAGCTGTTATGTCGGATTGACCCTCAGTGTGAGTATATAAGGAACTAGTAAAGTAATTTGACACTCTTTTGGGGGAACTTTGGTGTCTACAGTTGGTTTTTGATGGGAAGAGGATCTGTGGGATTCACATGGTGACATTTCACGTATACAAGGAGTGTAAATCAGAAAGGAGCATGAAACTTTAGTCAACCCAGGTGAACAAGATTTATAGAGTGGCTAAGGAAATTAAAATTTTAAAAATATTCATGAATTCCAATGACACAGTTTTATTCTTTACACGTGTGTCCCTGGAAGGTACTTTACCAAACTTACATTTTAAGGATGTGGAGAAACTGGAGTACACCCAGGAGAAAGGAAAAATGAATTAAGTGATAGAAAGTAAGTACTAAGAACAAAAGCCAAGAAAATCAGGCTTGTTCATTCACTCGGTGACTGTTTATTGAGTATTAACCACATACATGGCCCTGTTCCAGATGCAGTGGCAGAAATGAAGTTGAAATGCTTTAAACATGGCATCTCTAGCAATTTGCTTGTTGTACAGCAATGGAGATGAGACTTGAGAATAAATATTGGCAGTATGATGTAGATATTATATAAACAAGATGAACGGATGATATGAAACATTTATGGAACACCTACTTTGTGGTAGACACCATCCAAGGAGTCATCTCATTTTAATTCCCACAAGGAGCCATTTTCACAGCTAAGGAAACAGATGCTCTGTTATTAAATAGCGTGCTAAGACACATGCATAGTAACTTTGATTCAAACTTAGGTCTGCCTCACTCCAAAGCTCAAGTGTTTCTTAGTTCCACTCCCACTCCTAACATTATGTAGAAAAGAGAAGATAACTGGGAAACAATTACTCTTTTAAAGCAAGTGAAGAGTTCTTATAACAGGTCCATAGAACAGAAGGTTATGCCAGAGAGATTTCAGAAGGATACACTGAAGAGCTCTGTGTTAGATGAAAGACACTCTCTAAAGGGAAGTCTCATCCTAAAAAAGCATATGGTTAGGGCTGATATTCGGATGGTATACTCTCAAAGACTTGCATTCCTCATTAAAATATTGAATTACATATTGAGTACTATATACACCACTCGAGTGAAGGGGGTACTAAAATCTCAGAATTCATCACTATATTATTCATTCATGTAACCAAAAACCACTTGCACCCCAAAAGCTATTGAAATAAAAAAAATTTTTAATAAATAAATACCATTTACACTGTCTCTCTCTCTATATATATATGTATATATGTGTATATATACACGTATATAGTGTATATATATACGTGTATATATATACGTATATATATATGTGTGTATATATATATATATATAGAGAGAGAGAGAGAGATCTCCAAACTGCTTGATACGTAACAGCTGTCCTCAGTTCCTTGACTATCTCTCAATACCCCCACTACATTGACCCCATGCCTGGCTTAGCCCCATCCCCTCCCCATTATCCAGCAACAAATGTGCCCTCCAGTATCCTGCTTCAGAGAAACTGCAGAGCCCATTCCAATTGCTGGTGTCCCTGCCTTACCAGTTGTTATCATTTTGAATACTATTCCTGCACATAACCACCTGAACCCCAGGCAGAAGAACTGTCTCATACTCTTGCTTCTGGTCTTTTTCACCTCCATAAACATTATCTTATGTTGCTCAGCAGGCAATTTGTGAGTCTGAATTCCCATTAGGTCCTGAATTCAAGCCACAGAAATTGTATTTTTTGAAACACACATTTTTGTATCATCATTCTGTTCTCCTTTCCATTTCTATTCACATGCCCAAAGAATATTCAGAGTATGGATTCTAATCTTAATGATCCTAAATTTTACCTTAATAGAGTCATATATAAGAGTGATCTGCATAGCCTGAGGGAATCCACTATGACTTAAATCATGAACTATTAATATTTTAGTTTGAAATATACAGAAGACAATAGAAACAATGCCATAAAACATGGAGCATCTTAATGTGCCCAATAAGTACCAAATGTCACATAACTCAGTTTCCCAACTTTTATTTTTTTTAATCCAGTAATAAGGGAAAATGGAAGAACTCTGGGTTTCTCGATAAATATTCAATGAATGATGACTTTCCTCATTAGCTCATATGCCATACATGGAGTATAAGGAATAAAAGAATAGTCTAAGTAGGCGACATGACCAGAAGCAGCCAGTGGAATCCCACAGGGGTTAATTTATTCATCTCTCTTGCCTCTAAGGCCAAGAATCTTTTTTGTAACTCATAAAAGATAAATATTCCCAAAGAGATTGGGGAGGAGAAAGGCAAATTGGCACAATGGAGCCAAAATTTTAACCATTCTGCAGATAGGACTTCTGGAGAATTCAAGAAAGTTTATTGCAGTGTGTTCATGAAAACACATAGCACATGGGTTAGAACACAGGTGTGTTTGCTGGGGCTAGGAAAATCAATGGAAATAAATGCATCTGAACTGAGCTATTAGGCCACCTTGCTAACTTTCTCATATAGAGGAAAACAAATAGTTCTAAATTTCCAGTGCAATCCTGACTCTATTCATGTACAATCACTTTTAGTTACTTTTATCTTGCTCTTACAATACCCTTTAGAATGGGTTATTTGATATTACCTCTTACTCATTAGCTTCCATCTCTGCCTGGCTGCAGAGTGAAATAAACTAAATTACCTGAGCAAGTCAAGACAAAATTGCATAAAACTCAGGAATATAAATGCTGGCTCTACCTGTTCCAGGACACAATGCACTTTCCCTCTGACATAGTATGGAACCTTCTACTTCTCAATTCTGGTTCTCCATATCTCTACCCGATGTGGTAGAAACTATCATTTTGAAATGACTTGTGATTTCTGCTTTTGTAAGCTATTTGGTGGTCCTTTCTATTCTATTCCCCTAATACTCTCACATTCACACGCACATTCATGTAGACACAGAACTCTTTTAACTCTTGTTGCTATCTAGCCTTCTGCTGCCAGTACCTGGTAAAGAATTGTTTCAAGGGAATGTAGAATTAACGAACTCCCTGTTATAGTTCTTGATTTGAACTTTGAATTCAAATTATACATTAACCGGGTGACTTTGGCCAGATATAGAAACCATTTCTTTGTTTGGAGCAACACAATGTGATGACTAGATGAGGCTATTTTAGGCATACAGTCTAGCACAATGCAAGGTACATGGTATTATCCTATAATACTGTCTAGTGCTGCTGTTATTGTCCTACCAACAACAAAACCTTTCATCAAGATGGATATTATATTGTGCATTTAACTTCTCAATAAAACATGAGACAAAAAAAATTATATGTGAAGTTTAAAAGCCCACTGGCTGGGTGCAGTGGCTCATGCCTGTAATCCAGGCACTCTGGAGGCTGAGGCAGGAGGATCACTTGAGCCCAGCAGCTCAAGGCCAACCTGGGAAACACAGGGAGACCCCATGCCCGGGAGGCCAAGGCTGTACTGAGCCATAATTGCACACCGTACTCCAGCCTAGGTGACAGAGTGAGTCTTTATTTTGAAAAATAATAATAAAAATAATTACAGTAAAAAAATTAAAAGCACAATGAAAAGAGTTTGATTTCTAACACAGAGACAACACAGAATCATAGAAGATTATAGCTGGAAGGTAATGTAGATAGAACCTTTCTATTTTTGAGGTGAGAAAATTGAGGCTGTAGATTAAACGAATAAGGATGCTGATTCCTGTATTATTTCAGCTACTACAAAACCAAAATAATCCGCTGCATTCTAACCATCAAGATAGGATGATCTAGAAGAAATGTGACATCCTGAATAGATATCCTTGGCTGCTAGGAAGCTTCTGTCTCATTTTCTCATAGCTGCCTGTCCCTGGCCAGTATGTGTCCAAAGAAAACTAGTTCATTTTAATCTTAGCCAGTGTAAGTCATATCTCAATAAGATAATCAAGACCTATTTTAAAAGTTACATTACATCTGAGGTTTTAAAATGTAAATTACCTTGCATTTAAATTTTAAATCTTAAATTATGTATTTTGTTCATGGCATGGGCAAATTTTATTCCCATTAAGATGTCTACATGGGTAAATGTTTAAATATAAAATCATTTCTGAATTTATTCAAAGATGACCAGTTTTTAGTAGCAGAAAAAGTTGTGTTTCTTTGGAGCACACATGCACATTCTTTATGCATAACCACAGCTCACACATATAGTGTCTTACATAAACATGCATTCACAAGTGTGTATACACATGTGTCCTCGTACATGTGCACACATGCTCACACATTAATACATCCTCACACACACACAGTGATGTATTCAAACACACACACAGTTACACATATTTATGCAGTCATTATATATATATACGTATAATGTCACACACATTTATGCAGTCAAATATGTATATATTTGAGACAGGGTCTCACTCTGTTGCCCAGGCTGGAGTGCAGTGGTGCGATTATGACTCACTGTATCCTTGACATCCCGGGCTCAAGCGATCCTCCTGCCTCAGCCTCCTGAGTAGTTGGGACTACAGGCACATGCACCACACCTGGCTAATTTTTGTATTTTTTGTAGAGATGTGGTTTCACCATATTGCCCAGGTTGGTCTTGAACTCCTGGACTGACTCAAGCAATCTGCCTGCCCCGGCCTCCCGAAGTGCTGGGATTACAGGCATGAGCCACCATGCCCAGTTCATTATATGTTGATTATCCAAGAGCTACTAGGAAACTTAAACCAAATCTATGGTCCATGTCTAACGTTAATACTACATGCTATGGTATTCATTTTTATATTAGTTAACATTATCATTGTTCTTGTCTTTATACTTGATTTTTGGTCTGATTCCTCCTAGTATTTATTATTTTCCTTTTTGTTATGCATCATATTATAAGTTTATCAAGTTCTGTGGAGTAAGACAGTGAATGAATTAATGAAGATCGATAGGGTAGGGCTATAGCACACACAATCTGTCCGACTGCACTTGACTCTTGGTGTTCTGGAAAGATCACTTAATTAGGAGTCACATGTAGCATAAAAGAGTACTGCCTGTCTTCACAAATACAAAGTTAAGGGTCTCTGATTTATAGCATGTCCCCTTCCATCTGCCAATTTATTAGGAGAATCCCTTCCTTTGTTCAATAAACTGTCTTCACAATTAATTATAACCTATAGAACTTAAGTACAAAACAGCTGCTTGTAAATGCACTATAATGAAACAGTTTACTGTCATAAAAATGCTGTTTGAAATGGAATGTGAATATATTTGACAATTTTTTTTTTTTTTTGAGACAGAGTCTCGCTCTGTCGCCCAGGCTGGGGTGCAGTGGCGTGATCTCGGCTCACTGCAAGCCCTGCCTCCTGGGTTCACGCCATTCTCCTGCCTCAGCCTCCCGAGTAGCTGGGACTACAGGCGACCACCACCACGCCTGGCTAATTTTTTTGTATTTTTAGTAGAGACGGGGTTTCACCGTGTTCGCCAGGATGGTCTCGATCTCCTGACCTTGTGATCCGCCCGCCTCGGCCTCCCAAAGTGCTGGGATTACAGGCATGAGCCACTGCGCCCGGCCGACAATATTTTTTTAATAAGTGTGACTCACCTGGACTTTGGCAGTGCAGATTCAGTTGCCTAACTCTCTCAAAAGGGAGTGAGACTACCCCCATCAAGACTCACCATATGGCATTCTGTCCCTGGAGCATCCTAAAATGACAGGGCCCTTACCTCCTTCTTGCCACTGATGTTGTACTTGCTGAGACCTGCCCACAGAATTATTATTTCTCTGTAACAAGAAAACTCAAGACCAGTTTCTAGGAGCCCCAGGGGTTTTCAGAACAGTGTCCACCCTGCTTTCTCATTATCAGTATATGCCCATCTGCCCTAAGTAAAGGAACAAAGTGACCCAGCTCTCTCTGTTCTCTTCATATTCCTCTACTTTTCTTCCTTAGGTCAAGGAAAAAGGTAAGCAGCATTAATTCTTTCTTTTGTTTTTGTCTTAACATAGGAGTCTGTTTTCTCTTCATAAAGACCCATTTATGGGGAATAAAAGAAACCTGATGGATCTACTTTTGAAATCTGAAAAAGAAATAAGTCTTTGATCCAATTAGCACATCCATTAAGTAGCTGAGCAACCTGCAGCAAATCACCAGGACATTCAGGATTGTCATTCCCAAGATTAGTGATCCTCTAGCTAAGCTCTCTTAAATCCCTTCCAGGTTTATTTAAGAATCTGTAACCCTATCCCAGTATCCCGATTCTAATCTAGGCCTTTAGCTTGTAGAGGAAGACAAAAATAATTTCTTTGGAGAGTGTGTCACATGCAACTCTATTCTCAGGAAGGACAAGGGATCTTCCCATTTGAAGTTACACGTCATTTGCTAATGTCTCAACGTACATCCACTGTCAAGAATTACAAAGTGGAGGATTTAAAATAAACCTTAGGAATGACGTCTTCACTCCGCATGTTTCCCAGTGTGAGTCTAAGCTCATTGAGATTTGTCCACTAACTTTTGGGAGATGGCTTAAACACCGGTCTGCACACAGAATCCAAAGAGATAAAAATATGGTCTCTATAGTTCTTCCATGTTTCTGACTTATTTTTCTTTAATTTTGCTTATTTTTCTTTACTGTTAAAAAACACACCATTGCCACTGTTTGATTTAATTATAATTGCTATAAAGGAAGACGACCGCAAACGTGTGACATGCTGTGAGACATTGTCATTAGAGTCTGTTTGAAAGCTATTTTAAATCGTTCACTTTTTGGGAGGGGAATTCAAGATGAGCTTCTTATTGGATGGGCGCCCAAGGTGAAAGACAACATAGGTGATTCCTCACAAAAGAATGAGGGAGCATACCTATTACCAACTCTCAGAAAGCACAGCCTGAGCCTTAGGCATGTTAGAAGTGGGAAGAGAGATCTAGGCCTGGGTTATTCTAGTAATGCAAGGGAAGCGGCTCCATTCTTGTAACTGGACGGGGCCTTGAGACCACTTAGATCTTTATTCAAAGGTCAGCTGCCTTATTCTGCTACTTCCTGCCTCCCATTTCCTTTTTCTTATGGAAGACAAAGCTTAAAACTAAAGGAGTGATTTGAGACTCAGAAAGAAACATGAAAACATATGGCTTACCAAGGCAATGCTTACTCAGTAGCTGGTGATTTTTCCTCAAGTTTAACAGGTCTTTTCACACATATTAGAAAAAGTTTCACATTTTTCCAAAAAAGCAGCAGCAACCTTCCAAGTCTTCGAGTGCTATTGCCTACTCAAGCCTGGGCCGTCTCAGGCTGAAATAGTTGTCTCCTGTTCAGTCTGATGAATGGGCCAGCAGGATGAAACATCCTGGGAGAGAAGTGTGACCAAGAACTCGAATTCTGGAGCACGAGGAGCATAGCTAGTCTTTGTGGCCTGCTCCTATGTGTCTATCACTTTATTCCAAACCCCATGTTAATCCTGAAGGGAGCCAGGAGAACTTTCTGCACATTTGAAGACAAATATGCTGAAATGGAAATCAATCAATTCCTACCCTAGCAACTTGATCACAATTATAGATTTTACACAAAGTCTAGTGAATAAATCTATTTCTTTTTAGAGTGCAATGCCCTGTTGGTGTTTGTTTGATATGAGATGCCATCTAGTCCTTGGATCCTGCTTCCTTATTCCCTGACCTCCTCCTTGAATCTGCCACTGCTTCTTATTTTTCCATGCTATTTTTTGTTAAATTTAAATCTAATTAACTGAATTTTGAAAATATTATAATCATTAAAAGTCACTGAGATTGCCACTTACTGCACTAAGGGGTACCCTAATAGCTATGTGACTGATTTTGAGCAGGGATCAGCAAAGCACAGCTAACTGGCCAAAATCCAGCCCACCTCCTGTTTTTGGATTTCTTGTGAGCAAAGAATGTTTTTACAGTTTTCATTGATTTTTTAAATTAAAATAAGAACAATACTTATTAATATGTAAGAAGTATATGCAATTGAAATATCAATGTACAGAATTAAAACTTATTGAAACACTGTCATCACACTCATTTGTTTAATATTGTCTAAGACTGCCTTTCTGCTACAATAGCAGAATTGAGTAGTTGCAACAGAGACCATATGGACCAAAAAGCCTAAAGTATTTACTATCTTGCTGTATATTAGTCTGTTCTCATACAGCTATAAAGACATACCCGAGACTGGGTAATTTATAAAGAAAGAAGGTTTAATTTTGCTCACTAGTCTGGAGGCTGTACAGGCTTCTGCTTCTGGGGAGCCCTCAGAAAACTTACAATCATGGTGGAAGGCAAAGGGGAAGCCAGGCACATATTCACATGGCCAGTAGGAGAGAGAGAGCAAAGGGGAAGGTGCCACTCACCTTCAAACAACCAGCTCTCATGAGAACTCTATCACTAGACAGCACTAGGGGGACGGTGCTAAACCATTAGAAACAACCCACACGATCCAATCACTACCCACTAGGCCCCACCTCCAACACTGGGATCACAATTCAACATGAGATTTAAGTGGGGACACAGAACCAAACCACATCATGCTGCATTAGGTAGGGTTCTCAAGAGAAACAGAACCAATAGTATATAGATAGATAGGTTGATTGATAGAAATATTTTTTATGAGGAATTAGCTCATATGATTATATGGAGGCTGATAAGTCCCACAATTTGTCATCTGCAAGCTGGAGGTCTGGTGGTGGAGTTCCAGTTCATGTATGAAAGCCTGGAAACCAGGGGAGGCAACAGTGTAAATCCAGGTTCGAGTACTAAAGCTTATAACCGGGAGTGCACATGTTTGGAGGAAGGAGAAGATGGATGTCCCGGCTCAGACAAAGAGCTAATTTGTCTTTCCTCCACCTTTTAGACTTTTTCAGGCCCTCAAGGGATTGGATCATGCCCACCCACATTGGTGACTGTGGTCTTCTTTACATAGTCTACCAATTCAAATGCTAAACTTTTTCAGAAGCATTCTCATAGACACACTTGAAATGTAATGTTTAACCAGGAATTTGGGTATTCCCTAGCCCAGTAAGTTGACACATAAAATTAACCATTACCTTTGTCCTTTATAGAACAAGTTTATTGGTCACTGGTTTATAGATTCACCTATATTTAACTATGTGAGTTGAATACTTCTCAAAAATAAGGGTGTTAAGAACCTGCAGGATTAATGGAATTTAAAGTTACAGTTTGCTTCAGCTCTCGGGTTCTCTCATAATTCTCAGGTGTCTCTGGAGAAAAGCTGAGTTTTGCATTCAGAAATGTATTGTGCAAAAAAAGACACATGGAGTTCCAAGACATGCTGTATCATCTGCCGATGCCTGGGAGTTGAATAGAAAGGGCATGATCATATGTATACTTTGAGGCCAGAATATCTTTGCTCTAAAAAATTGAGTAAAGTCTTGGTTGAGGACATTAACAGTAGAAATGTGTGTATCTCTCCTTATGGTATACGGATTCCTCTGAAAAACATTGTGCTTAAAATGATTGTTTTTAGCGAATTAAGTAATAACTTTTATGAAGCAGAGAATCTATGTATTTAGGTTTCTTCTTTTTGCATTTTGTAGACTGTATTGTCTCATGTTGCACAACAAATTATTACAAACTTAGCAACTTAAAACAACACCCGTTTATTATTTCACATTTATGCATAGCTTAGCTGGTCCTCAGCTTCAAGGTCTCAAAAGGCTCCAATCAGCGTTTTTGCTGGGGCTGCAGTTTAATTCCAAGGTTCATTCGGAGAGGGATCCCATTCCGTGCACATGTGGTTGTTGGCAAAATTCAGTCACTTGTTGAGGGTGGACAGTGGGCCTCAGTTTTTGCAGGCTATTGGCTAGAGGTTACCCTCATTTCTTTCTTGTGTGAGTTTCTCTGTAGGGTAGCTTAAAATATAGCAGCTTCCTTTATTGAAGCTAGTAGTGAATACAGTCTTCTAGCAAGACAACTTATAAATCAGCTTAAATACTATAATTTTGGAAGTGATAGCCCATCACCTTTGCTGTGTACTATTATAAGCAAATCACAGGTTCCCCTCACATTTAAGGGGAAGGGGATATGAAGTGGGTATAGTACCAAGAGTGGGAATAACTAGGAACCACTTTAAAAACTGTCCACAACATAAATGAAAATTAGTTTTGCTTCTGACCAGAGATGTTCTTGATGAGAGGTATAAAAATGTGAGAATTATAAGAGAAGTTCCAAGGAGAACTATTGATTTTTATTTCTCCCTTGTTTGATTAAAATTAGCCTTTGTCAATTTTTAAACATTAAAAATCAAGGACTTTTCTTAAGGTGTTAAAATTTTCCTGACTTTATTTATTTATTTATTTATTTGTTTGTTTGTTTGAGACAGAATCGCTCTGTCACCCAGTCTGGAGTGCAGTGGTGTGAGCTCGGCTCACTGAAACCTCTGCCTCCTGGGTTCAAGTGATTCTCCTGCCTCAGCCTCCCAAGTAGCTGGGACTACAGGTATCCACCACGTCTGGCTAATTTTTGTATTTTTAGTAGAGGCGGGGTTTCACCATCTTGGCCAGGCCAGTCTCGAGCTCCTGACCTCAAGTGATCCACCCACCTCGGCCTCCCAAAGTGCTGGGATTACAGGCCTGACTGGCTTTAATCTGTTCTCCTTAGTTCCCTCATCACACCATGGTACATCCTTCTATCCCAGCATTAACACAGTGATTGCTAAACATCAACTGGCACATCTAGCTCCCTCATTATATTCTGAATTCTTTGGGGGCAGAGTCTTCAAGTTGATCGTTGTGACCCTGCAGGGCAAAAAATAAACCCTCAATAAATGCTTGCCGAATGTTTGAATGAATGAACCAATAAATGAATTTAATTTTCCACATACCTTTTTCTCTTTAATCCAAACTTTACAATAGCCTAGTATGATGTAAATAATAATTCACTTATATATTTATTTTATGTATTCATCATATAAATTTACATATACTTTTCCAAATACTGTATACACATCACATTTGTATTTGCAAATATGCAAATATTATGGAAACATTCTTATTTCCAAATATTGCAAAATCTGGAGTTTCCGGAGATTTCACAGGGCCAGAAGTTAAAACCATAAATTTAAATTCCTTATTTTTTCTCCTAGAGCTGGAACCTGATTGTTGACCTTATCTTTGAACTGCTAGCCAACTGATCTGGATTACAAAGATCATGTATGTCAAGCCACATGTTCGTCTCTAATATGTGGTATAAAGAAATAGGGAAGGACATGTGGTCACAGAGTTCTTTGATGGTGATGGGGGTGGGAAGGGTTGAAGCATTTGTGTTTTTCATAGTTAGAATCCAGAAAGTTCTGAAATGAACAAAAAATAAATTTGTTTTAGCAGCTTCTCCGCTGGGGTAAGGAATGCTGATTCTTAAAAGAACTTGGGAGAGAATGTTTTGGTGAACTTGTATACTGTACCATAAATATTTTTGCTAAAATTATAGAATTGTCTGTTTCCTTTCAAATTGCATCAGGATCCAGGCAAGACCAATGAGTTTTTAATGTGGAAATTTCATGCACACGTTTCAGCTTCTTCCTTTTCTTTTTCAACTTTGCCAAGTTGTTTTATGTTTAGTAAAGACTGATTTATCAGTGCTTTTTTGGCCTACCTGATGTGTTATGCAACTCTTTACCAAATTCAGGGATACAACCATCAGTTTGCAAGCTTGCTTTGTTGTAGCCCAAAAGAGCTTTAATAGATTCGGGCTGATTTATTTACCATGCTGAACAATTTTTGCATAGCCTAAAGCCTGATTCTTCTCTTCCATTTCTTCTTTGAAATTACAGAAAAAATTAATGAGACACAGTCACAGTCTGACTTGTTCTGTTCCTCAGGGTGCAGAATAAACAGATTCTGATCTGCTGCTGTTTGGAAACTGCAAAATGATAGAAATTCCTATTTTGGGTGACTGGAGAGGGGAAGCTCTTGAAGCATGATTTTTTTTTTTTTCTTTCCAGTAAAGTGTGAGTAAGACAGAAAAGAGAACACAGCAGAACAATCTGCAAAAAGTAAATATATTCCTCTTTGGTAACCGTAAATAGCAGAGGAAGATGTTGAGAGGCACTGGTGCTTTTAAGTGGAAGGCACTGCAACCAGGGTCACTATGCCTGGCTTCCACACGGTGGTATACCTTCTGTGGAGAGACTTCAGATGTGGTTTCAATTCTGATGAAGGTAGCTGACAAGAATGCTTGTTGGGTCAACATCTCAGTGATGTATCTATCCTCTTCTTCTCTCTGAGCATTGCCAAGAATAGGATCCAGGTCAGCACTGGAGAAAGCGTTTGCTCCAAGTTCTCATCAAACAGAATTTCCACTTGTTCTCCAAACAATAAATCCTGAAAGGAACATCTCGCATGCACTTTAGTTTACTGAGATGACTGTTCAGCGGCACACATCGTTGCCTGGCATCATTGCAACATGAGCTATATTTATAATCCAATGTTTCATCTAATGTTCAATAGCACATGGTGAGTCAAGAACCTCCTAATGTTAGTGAGAAGAAATATAAAGTTATAAACCCAGACTAATAAATAAGGCATCATTTTGGGGGTGTTATGGGCTGAATTGTGTCCCTGCAAAATTCCTATGTTGAAGTCCTAATTCTCAATATCTCGGAAGGTAACTATATTTGGAGGCAGAGTCTTGAAATAGGTAATCAAGGTTAAATGAGGTCGTTAGCGTGGGCACTAATCTATTATGATTGGTATCTTTATTAGAAGAGAGATGAGGACGCAGAAAATACAGGTGAAGGGACAACTATGTGAGGACACAATGAGAAGATGGCCATCTTCTAGCCATGGCAAGAGGCCTCAGAAGAAGCTGACCCTATGACACCTCAGTCTCAGACATCTAGCCTCCAGAATTCAGAGGAAATTAATTTCTGCTCCTTAAACCACCCAGTCTGTAGTAGTTTGTTATCCCAGTCCTAGCAAACTGATATGGGAAGTAAGTCTTCTAGTGAAGTTACCTTCCTCAGGCAAAATTACTTGTTCTGTGTGAGATTCCAGTTAGATCTCATCGTGCCATGTGGCTTTAGTTTTTCCTATAGTTGCCATTTATTTGTTTAAGTGACTTGACGCATATGATTTTCCTTGACTTTCTGCTGTTTGTCCTGGCATCAAGAAGACTGCATACTGACTCTTCAATGGGTAGAAGAAAGCATTCACAAGCCAGCCATGGTGGCTCATGTCTGTAATCTCAGCACTTTGTGAAGCCGAGGTGGGTGGATGCATTGAGCCAGGGAGATGGAGGTTGCAGTGAGCCAAGATCATGCCAGCCTGGGCTATGGGCCTGGCTAAGGGGGGTGGGGGGAGAGGAGAGAGAGAGAGAGGGAGAGAGAGAGAGGGGGGAAGGAAGGAAGAAAGGAAGGAAGGAAGGAGAGAGAAAGAAAAGGAAGGAAGGAAGGAAATGAAAGGAAAGAAAGAAAGAAAGAAAGAAAGAAAGAAAGAAAGAAAGAAAGAAAGAAAGAAAGAAAGAAAAAAGAAAGAAAGAAAGAAAGAAAGAAAGAAAGAAAGGCAGGAAGGCGGCAGGCAGGAAGGCAGGAAGGGAGGAAGGAAGAAGGGAAGAAAGGAAGAAAGGGAGAAAGAGAAAGAAAGAATTAACAAAAAGATCCACAGGACAATTTTCTTAGAGGGGATTATATTGATGAAAATAATACCAATTCAGGTGGAAAATAACCATTGTTTTAGGACCTACATGGATATGCTAAATCATATTACCTAAGACCCCATGCTCCTAAAAGAAGATGGCTACTTGTCCTATAGTGGAAAAAGCAATAAACTGGAAGTAAGTAGCTTACGTGAAATTTCTTTAACTCTCTGAAGTACCATACAAATGCAGCTCACTCTTTCCCATGGGAGTCTGTGCATTGACCTTGGGATGTAAGTGGGATTTGCTTTATTATTTTCTTCTTCTTTTTTTTTTTTTTTTTTTTTTTTTTTTTTTTTTTTTGAGACGGAGTCTCGCTCTGTCGCCCAGGCTGGAGTGCAGTGGCGCAGTCTCGGCTCACTGCAACCTCTGCTTCCCAGGTTCAAGCAATTCTCCTGTCTCAGCCTCCCAAGTAGCTGGGATTACAGGTGCACGATGCAATACCTGGCTAATTTTTTGTATTTTAGTGGAGACAGGGTTTCACCGTGTTGCCCAGCCAAGGAGACAACAATTTTAAGTATTTAAGGGATTTGTAAACTAAGTACAGTCATGCATTGCTTAATGACAAAGATGCATTCTGAGAAATGCATTGTTAGGTGATTTTATCGTTGTGTGAACATCATAGAGTGTACTTACACAAATCTGTATGTCATAACCTCCTACACACCTAGGCTGTATAGTATGGCCTGTTGCTTTTAGCTTACAAATGGTAATCAGCATTCAGCATGTTACTGTACTGAATACTGTAGGCAATTGTAATACAATGGCAACTATTTATGTATGTAAACAGAGAAAAATTAGAGTAGAAGTATGGCATTATAATCTTATGGAACTTCATTGTATATGTGGTTTGTGGTTGACTGAAATGTTATGTGACACATGACTGTTTTTGAACCTCAGACTCAGGTCTTCTGACTTGAAGGTATATACATTTCCCATCTCTCCACAATAACTCTGTACATTCAGTATATTCAGTGGGGGAAATGCATTAAAAGCACATAGCATATGCCTATCATATAGTAAATGATCAGTAATATTAGGTGAAATTAATATCGTTATTATAGTAAAAGTTTCAATTAATAAGCCAGATATTTGCTAAGCATTAGTCAGCCTTAGTTCATTTATTACTTAATGAGGGGTCTTAATTCTTTTGTTAGATAGTCTTGATAAAAATATTAGAAAAATACACTCACCTATTTTATTGGAGTACAATATCATATGAGTAATTTTTATTTTATTACATTCATTAGTTATAATTCAATTTATAAATCTGCACAGTAAAATATGTCATTATGGAAAAGTATGAGGTGGTTTGAACCTCTTGTGACTAAGAGTTCTATCTGAAATAAGTAGTTTGATTTAAAAAAATAGCAAATATTCTGTAGGCACTGTGTAACCAATGAAATTTGAGGGGATTAATTTTTTTTACATTTAATGAGCATGTATTAGGATCTTATTATGTGCCCCAACCTATAATAGGCATTAGAAAATTGCATAAAAATAATATTTGAGGAAGGTGAATGTGGAGCAATGAGAAATATACATGGAAGGAAAAGATAAAAAGAAATCATTATGAGGTGTCATCTCATTCACGTTTAACATTAGTGTGGTCATAAAATAGCTAACATTTTGCCAATTACCTATGAAGCATCACAAACAAAGGTTATTATGAAAAGACCTAAAATTTTGGTATATAGCAAAAATATTACAAGATCATACAAAAGCATTGTTTAACAGCTTGCTTAAGGGTTATCTGATATTCCAGGGAATATACATGTGCTTGACTTACTCTTTGTTACTGCTTATGTTCTGCATTCTGTAATGTCAAATGTCAACTTGTAAAGAATTGAAAAGATGCAAATATTTTTGTTCTGTAGTCCAGATAGCCTCGAATGCTACCGTTTTCTTCCCCTTTACGATAATCAGTTCTGTATCTAATGTTGCCATCTTACTGCAGCCTCTTTTTCCTCCACTAGTAATATATTTGACAATGTCTCACAGTCTCATTTGAATGAGCATATCATTCCACTGGTTCCCTTATTAGTGATCTAAAGAGACCTAACATTGCTCACTGTTATGCTCTGTTGGACGAGAGCCATGTTTTTAACATTTCGAAAATTATACTTTGTAAATATATATTAGCCTTTCGGAAACTGACTCTACTGATAAATATAATAGCCCCTTTTGTACAGCTTTGGTGAACGTAAAGCAAATCATCTGAAGTCACAAAATTAGGTGACTTAATGGAATATTATAGTACATATCTTTTATTTTTCTCTGCCCAAAGGTGATTATTCTCCCTCCTTGATTTTCCTATGGGGAACCTCTTTCAACCACTTTGATTTATACTGTTTGGAAGAGGCTAACCCTATGCTGCACCTTTCTCCTTAGCCACTAAGGGCTTTACTGCCCAAATTACAACGTTCGAGCATTGCTATGAATGAAGAACAATCTCAGTGTTTATCTCCATGCCAAGTGTCTTCTAGTTACTTTAGAAGGAACGCAAAAGATAGAGCACATGTGTAGTTGAAAACTCTGTGAAAGAATACCAAAATCTAGGACAAGAGTGCTATTCATAGATGTTCTCAAAGCTTCAGTTCTTATCAAGCTGCAAGATACTGGGTTGCAACAACTCTGCCTATATATGCTTGTTTATACCAATTGTGAACAACTCCTTCATTTCCTGGTTTTCACTGCCTGTACCATAGAAGCCTAAGTCCTACTCAATAGAACAGACAGTATAGAACAGTTCCCCTCCTACCACCATCACTATGATTCTCCTGTTTGCCTGAAAGCTTACCCAAACCAGAACCTCTTCCTCTTAACCCATTACTAAGCAAAAGACAGACAGACAACAACTCTCTTTAACTGAAATAGTCCCTATTAGTTCTGGCCTGCAAAATATGCCTTTATGATAATCAAGTGAAATAAGAAATGAGCTATCACATACAGACATTGTATTACTGATTTTCCCTCTGCCTTCATGGATAGTATTGATTTGGGCTGTTTTAGTCAGTATTGAATATGGAATTAATGGCTAAATACTGTATCAGTAGGCTGGATTATGTTACATTGCACTGCAAGCAGGAAGACTGATAACATGTATTTTGTATTCAGGGATCGGGATGTGCTTCAGATCTAACATCTCTGTTCTACTGTGGTCTCCTGAAATTATGATCCCAAGCCTCTGGATATGATAAGAGGTGTGTTTGAGCTGGAGTGAGGAATGAGGAATGAATGTGGCAGCTAGGGCGGCTGAAGGATTACGTCTGCCTCTCTGCCTATTTTTTTTTTTTTTTTTTTTTGAGACGGAGTCTCTCTCTGTCGCCCAGGGTGGAGTGCAGTGGCATGATCTCGGCTCACTGCAACTTCTGCCTCCTGGGTTCAAGCAATTCTCTGCCTCAGCCTCCTGAGGAGCTGGGTTTACAGGTGCCTGCCACCACTCCTGGCTAATTTTTGTATTTTTAGTAGAGATGAGGTTTCACCATCTTGGCCAGGCTGGTCTTGAACTCCTGGACTCGTGATCCACCCGCCTTGGCCTCCCAAAGTGCTGGGATCATAGGTGTGAGCCACCGTGCCCGGCCACCTCTGCCTATTTTATTAGCAATAGCCTGAAATTGCTAGATGAAAAGTGGATGATGAAGATACCTCCAACTTCTTCACATCCTTAAATCCAACAGCCTTTCATAACCATCTCACTGAGGCCCTTTATTCCTCCACAAATGTGAAAGATGGCCGGAGATTTTGGGTGCTCAAAGGAGAGCATTAAGCCAAATGCATTCATAAACCACTTGAAATGCAATTTTTAGCCCCTCTACTAGAAAACTTTATTTAATACCTAGTTTTCTACATAAAGAGTGACTATTTTGAAGAATGGTGTTTGGTGAGCATATCGTGCAATAGAAATCTTGTTTGAATTTCAATGCATTTGTATAACAGCTCGTTTTAAATATTTGTCAGATAATTCCAATATCAGTGTTATCTCAGTGGTGGCCTCTGTTAATTATCTCTTTCCATTTTAGTTGAGATTTTCCTAATTTGAATATGCTTATTAATTTTTGATCATATGCTTGTCATTTTGAATATTATGTAATGAGATGTTGGGTCTATTTTTATTCTTGTGAAAAATGTTGATTGTTGTTTTCTTTTAGTAAGCAATTAACCTGGATAGGTTCAAGCAGAAAATTCTAATCCTCTGTCTACAAACTGTAGTTATGAAGTCAATTTGAGTTTCAAAGTCTTTGCCTTATGATTTGGATATGTCCTATGTGTGTGGTGGCCTTTCTCTTGGTTCACTTCTCAAAGTGATATATGACTTGAATAAGATCTATGAAATCACAGGTCAGAGTTATCCCAGGAGTTTATAAACAGTTTTATGAGGTCACTTTTCTGAGCTCTAACGTCTCTGTGATCTCCTTGGTAATTTTTTTTCTTTTTTTCACTGAGGCTCATCTTTTCAGTCCTCCGCCCAGAAAGCTGGGCTTTAATTCCCGTGTTCTTTTATGCACTTTCATGATTGCCTCCACACTGGTTCTAAAAGGTGGGACAATACATTGAAAGAGAGAGAGAGAAATACAAAGGGAGGTTCCCCACCCCTTTGGGATCACAGCCTGCTAATCAGAGTAAAAGATCCCTCCCTAGAATTTTGGCTCTTTCTTGCCCCCAGTAGATTAACATTGGATTGCTTTTGGACTGAAGGGTGAAAGAATGAAGAAAAAATAAATAAATAAAAATAAACAAATAGGATTTACTGTATTATCTTTCATTAACAATTCTCTTTCCCTTTCCTAAAGCAGAACTGGAATTCTTTTCCTCCAGCTCTCCCTGTCTGTGCCAACGTCCATTCTGGTTTTGAGGTTGTATTGCATTCAGGTTGGGGATTGGAGAAAAAATTGTATACTCACCATAGGTTCGGTGATATATTGAATTCTTATCTTTCCCCACAATTTACCTTCTTCTATTGACTTTCTGTAGTTTTTAAATAACTTCTCCATGCACTTGGTCAGTTCAGGGTTCGTAGTTGCATTAAGTGTAAGAAACAGAGTGTTGTGTAGTTACTACAATTTACCTGGAAGCAGAAACTTAGTTGAGATTTAAATATATTTCTAATTATTGTGTGGATAGAGGGGTTGATTTTTTAAAATTTAATATTGTACTAAGTGTTTACAGTGGAGCAGCTTAGTTTATACTAGTCATATACACATTGGTGATCTTGATCTATATTACACAGCTATGAGAGATGGAATATGGCATGCACTGCCAGTGCCACACCTGTATAACCTTAGCACAATTGAGGTTTTACTGAGAATTACTTTATAACCTTACCTTACTGTTATTATAAACACTTAAGACTCTGCTCAAAGGTAACCTGGGAGTGTCAGAAAGTGAATGGTCCAGAATCAGTCATGAGACAATAATAAAAGTTAGGGCATGAATATCCCTCATCCCCTATTTCTTAGGGTTGGGAAGGGTAGTTCTAAAGTATTCTAAACCAGATTTTAAGAGTTCCTCAGTAAGATCAAACTCGAACCACCTATGGTGGTAACTAGCTGAATAATGTACACTTTATTGGTTTCCTTTATTTCTCTGTCTAATTATCTCTCCTACTAGTGTTTCCCGAGAATGCATCCCAAATCAACTGGTTATATTACATTGGGGAATTCAAACTATCAATTATCCATATTGGTTAGACTATTCAATCAATTTGAATAGGATTTTTAAAGGAAATTTTCCATATGAGTTGAAATCAAATTTTAATTGCATTATGAATTGCTTCAATACAATAATTGAGTAATCTTTTAGAAAAATAGGAAAATTCTTTCTTTATAGAGCTTAAGAGTTCTCAGTGACAAGATTTTCATAGATAATATACGACATAATTTCATTTTTATCAGAGAACAAACACATATATCTTCAAATATTTATATTCAGGCATGTAATCTAGTGTATACATATAGTGGTCATATACCAATAGATTGATAAGAAAAGTAGCTGGTCCAGTGATTCATACCTGTAATCCCAGCAACTCGGGAGGCTGAGACTGGAGGATCTCTTGAGGTCAGGAGATTGAGACCAGCCTGGACAATATAGAGATACCCCATCTCTAAAAAAAATTTGAAAACTTAGCTAGGCATTGTGGTGCATGTCTACAGTCCCAGCTGCTTGGGAGGCTGAGGCAGGGAGATCCTTTGAGCCCAGGAGTTTGAGGCTGCAGTGAGCCATGATCACACCACTGCACTCCAGCCTAGGGAACAGAGCAAGACCTAGACTCTAAAAAATAAACAAACAACAAGAAAAACTATTTGCTAAAGGTGTATTAATTGTAGAATTCTCATTTGGCATAAAAGTACCCCAAATTTGATTCTAAACCAGTCACAACCTAGTTACAAAATAGTACTGTGCGGTGGAGAATCTAATGGTTTAGGAGTCAGACACCCTTTTTACTAGTGTGTTCTTGGGCATGTTACTTTACTTCTCTAGTATTCATTTTATTCACGTATAATGCCAGGGTGTTGAACTTAAAACAAAATTTCTTAGTCTATGGTCCATGGATTTCTAGTGGTCTTATGCATAGATTTCCATTAGTGAACTGCTGAAATTAGTGGATATGGAAATGTTTGCAACCTCCAAAAGCTTCTAACTGCTAGAATTACTCAACATGTTAACATTCTTTTATTCTGTGAGTCTATCTAAAGACACAAAAGACATTCTTTTCTCAAAGTTATCCAGAAACAATAATTAGGGCAGAATATTTTTGATAAAAGTATACACAATGAATAAGACTGTAGAAAAAAAAAGCCAAGAGAATGAAGAGAATGTAAAGTTAAAAAAGGACATTTAAAGTCATGAAACATATTCTTATGAATACTCATTTATGTAAGATGACTTTGGAAAGAGATGTTTTAAAGCAGTTTTTAGGTGACAGTTGTTTAGACAGTTGTTAGGTGACTCAGCCGCAGACAAAAGAATACTCCAAAGATATATTATTTTTTGCTAATGAGTGAATAGTGAGTAAAGTAGTTAAAATGATCACATCTGCAAAATATTCTAGGTGCAAGGACAGAGAAAATGAGTAAATAGCATTAGTGAAATAGTCAAACAAAAAGATAATCCGTGCAGACAGGACAACCACTATAATGGCTTAAGAAGGGAACAGGCACCCCACATGTGAGAAAGAAGGCTAATATGGTCAGGATAGGCAGTGTAAAAAATATGAGAGGTGGACAGGAGCTGGACCACATAGAACCCTGCAATTCAGGATTTTATTCCAACTCCCATTAGGGAATCTGTTTAGAGTATTTTAAGGCAAGGAATGAAATGCTCAGATGTTTAAAAGCTCACTCTGGATGTTGTATGAAAAAAAATGATAACTCCTTATTTTTTTATTCAATTATGATTGATTGAGTGTATATCTTATGTCATACATTGTGTTAGGTGTTCGGAATGAAAGGATGAATGAGTTCTTAAGAGGTTCTTAGTCAGAGGGACAAAGCAGATGCGTAATTATATCATTACTATTTAGGATGATAAAGGCTATTTGAAATATGTAAATAATTAGCTCCCAAATCAATTCCTTCTTCAATGATTTGTGTATGTGTTAGCCATGTTCCTAACATCAGAATCATCTTTGCTTTTACAAATATTCAGCAGTATATCAGAATAGGATGTGGGCTGGGATTTAGGGAGGAGAAGATAAAACAAAGAAAGGAAGGGCACAGACTCATTCGCTCCATTTCCTTCTTTCTGAAGCATGAGCATGGAAGTTTACAAGTCCATTACATCTTATCTAAAACAGAAGTAGTAGCGAAATAGAAAGAGTAGTAGCAGTATTAGTACTATTTGTCATAATAATAGGATTAGTACTAATAATCACTTGTTCATTTGCATGGTACTGTGCAGTTATATGCTTTTATGCACAGCCTTTTTTATTATCCTTTTTTATTCTCAATACTACATGGTGTAATAATAAGATAAGATATTTTTACTATCTCTATTTCATGACTGAAAAAACAGACATGGAAGAGTTATTTCAGTAGATTTCAAATTGTTTAAATGACAACCCAGGGTAAGGAACGCATTTTACTTTGTGACACAGAAAACACACATCTATGTATTTGGAGGCAATGCCTGCAAAATTATCTTAAGGGCTTGATTCTGGCTCACGGGTGCCAAATATCAGGGACTTTTGCTAAGTTTGTGAACCTCAAGAAATGTACCCAAATTCAAGTGCATGTGTATATGTGCACACACAGATATGTAAAATTCAATTTTATTTTTAAAAAATTTATGTGCTTAAATCAGTCACAATATTCCATTTATGTGACTCATTAGTTAATAATGACTGTATTAGTTAATGAGTTAATGTTAAATAAAATCTTTGACATGCATTTATATTTATATAGATGTTAACTTTTTGACATTTTGAAAATTATTTGTTGACAGATTCTGTTTTAATTAACACTGTCATAAGCATGAATATAGAACAACTTCTTCAAATAAAGGAAAATAAAGAACTGGCTTAACATAATGGCTTTCACAAATTAAGGGCTACTTCTAATCAATAACATTTGGCCATAGGACCATAAATGGAACCAGATAATTAGCTTTGCTAGTAGTCCTTTTTGACAGGCCTTACCACATGTTCCTTGTAGGTCATAGATTACATAGAGAATCTTTCCACAAACACCTGCTCATCTTAGACGTCACACATTCCATTGGCTGCCCTGAGATGCAGGGGAATTTTTATTTATAAAGGTTATGATAATTTTCCTTTCTACTCTAGAGCTAACAACTCTACCCTGCCAAATGGTCATAAATATTTCCAAAAGGTTATGTGTACCTCTTAGTCTTATAACCAGCATCCCTGCTTTCACCATTGCCATCTATATTCAATTTCCATAGAAGAGTAACTTTTTAAAAACAAATATAATCATGAACCTCCAAAGCTTCCCTATACACTTAGAATAAAATAATGACTCATAAAGCCCTACATGATCTGACTCCCGCCTACCTCTGACTTCATAGACTTCCCATTGCTCATATTTCAATCACAACAGCTTGTTTCTCTCTCTAACACCCTTACCCCAGTGTTAGGGGCTTTGTCCCAGCTGCTCCAATTACAAACAAAGCTGTGCCATCATTTTCATGGAAGTTTCTTTCTTATCATTCCAGCCTGCATTGGTGTCCTATTGCTGCTGTAACAAATTATCACAAACTCAGTGGCTTAAAACAATGCAAATTTACCATTTTACATTTCTATAGGTTATAAACCAGACACAGGTCTTGCTGGCCAAAATATAGGTATCAGCAGAGCTACATTCCTTTCTGGAGTCTCTAGAGAAGAATCTATTTCCTGACTTTTCACAGCTTCTAGAGGCCACCCACATTCCTTGGCTGACGGTCCCCTTCCTCCACCTTCAAAGCCAATTTAGTTGTATCTCTCCCATCCTCTCCCACAGTCACATTTCTCTCTGAAAGCGAGGGAATGAGAAACCTCTGCTGATTTCAAGAAGGCATGTGATTAGATTGGACCCACATGAATAACCCACGATACGCTCCCTAGCTCAAGGTGCTTATTTTGATGGCATCTGCAAATATCCTTTTGCCATGTAAAGTAACGTATTCTCAACTTCCAAAGATTAGGATGTGTCCGTTTTAAGGTGGGGTGAAGCATCACTGTCCTGCCCACCACATGGATGGAGTCCACATTTTCATCTCTTCAAAGAGACATTTCCTGACAATCACTGTGATTGCCACTGAATCACTCCTTACAGTATTGCTCTGTTTAATCTGACCAGCGCTTTTACTGCCTGATGTTTTATTGATTTTTTTTATTGTCTACCTCCCTTGGCCAGAATATTAGTTCTTCTAGAATAAGAAGTTCATATGTCATACTTACCGATGTGTCTCCAGCGTCTGAAATGCCAATTGCATAGTAAGCTCAACTGATAATTGAAGAACATGCAAGTCTTCACTTCATAGTATAGTTATGAGATTTACAAAAAATAGCATAAAAACAAAGCAACAGTAGCAATAATAGAAGTCAATTCTTGCAACCTAGGAATTCACCACTGACTTCAGCATAGTAGGCTTTGTTCAGTGACCTGGTACATGGCAATTGTAACTAGTATTCACTGCCTTTCATAAGGCAGGAAATGTAATCCTTATTTGACAGAGGAGGATTCTTAAGTAAATCAAGAGGTTAAGAGTATTTTTTCAATATTTCAAAGTCAATAAATGGAGGAGTTGGGATTCTGCATTCAGGCATCGAATTACAAAACCCAAGAAATTAACCAGTAAGGCACAAATATATTGCTGGAGAGAGAAGAGTTTGTCTTTGTAAACTTCAAAACACATTACTTGGTTCTTGTTTGGTGAGTGAAGAATGTTTGTCTGTATATTGGCCTACTTGAATATGAGGCTGAATATGAGACTGACGGATTTTGGGGTTGGGTTTGGTTTGTGTGTGTGTGTATGTAATAGCTTTATTTACTTGTCAATGATGTGAACTAATTGTTTACTGAATTAGATAACAGCTTTTAAGTACTGGAAAATATTTTTGTTTTTGTGCTAGCTGTAGTATAACAGCTACAGGAACAACACTTATGATAGTTTACATTATTAACATTTCTGCTATTATTTTCTTAAATCTGGGAAATCAACAAAACAATAAACCAAATACAGATTTTTTAGTGTTTGCTAATTTTCTTGGGTGATTTATTGCTACCAATGTGGCATCACTGAACATGGCGTCGTGAAAGGGTATGTAAAGCAGCACACTCTTCTTGTGTTTCTTGATGATACAACTAGTTTAATCAAGAAGGCTGCATTTGATTCTGTAATAGACACACTGTAATCCTAAGCATTTTCATGCTCATGTTTAACAGATTTTTCCACCCCTTTTGTGATACTATGTAATGATGCTTGTTTTATAGCTTGTACTAGAAATGTTTCTTTCTTGTGTAACCATCAATTTCATATTGAATGGGTGAGCCTTAACAGTTTTTCAGATAAGTATTACTCAAAATGTTTTGTTCTTTATAGAATAAAAGCCTTATGACATTGTGAAGGATTATAGATAGTGTAGGTTACTGTCACTAGGAAACAGGTGAGTAAAGGAAGAAGAGGCTCGAGGCAATAAGTAGGATTAAGAGTTGTTTGTTTTTAAGAGAGAAAGAGTGGATGTGTTGATTGATAGGTTGTTTGAGTAGTTAGAAAGTGCCAGTGAAGATTTGAAGACATGGGAAAGACAGAAGAAAATTGTTGTAGACATATATAGAAATGGAATAAGGTAAAAAAAAATGGAATAAACTTTTAATGGAAGACTTAAGTTATATAAAAGATGTATAAGAGTACTATTATGTATGTTAAAGGAGTCATGAAGAATAGCAATACTTATAATTTGAAAAAGAGGCAATCAGTTTGATCGTGAATTTTCTTCAGCAGCCCAATATTACCAAATAGAAAAACAGTAAAAACAGAATTTTTCATTTCTAAAGTAAATCAAGAGAGTAGGAATACTTTTTCAACATTTCAAAGTCAATAATAAATAAACATTTATTTAGCTCTTGCTTTGTATTAACACTGGGTTAGCTACTAAGAATTTAAAGACAAATATGGCATGGCCTCTGCCTTGGGGATCAGCTCGGGGAGCAAGCAAGCACACAGACATGGACACCACAAAGTGAGGAAAACCACAAAGGGGAGAATTTTCCACCTTCAATGACTTCAGGGTACTTCCCTAGGGGTCTTGGAACATATCACCCATGGATAAGGGAGGACTAGGATGCATATTTTAAATCCTTACTCTTCACTTTCCAGCTAGTGAAAATTACTTTACCCCTGAAGCTTATTCATCTATTCCTGAAAAAGAGATGACAATAACATTCCCTTCATGCTAAGTACTTATCCCGGTGCCTGGTAGTTAATTTGCACTCTGGGATTGTTAGGTAATATTTATAATTTACAAAGGAGGTCAGCAGAGAGCCAGTGAGAATTGTAGAGCCATATAAGGGAAAGAGCATAGAAGAGAATTGGTGGCTAAGAGTGTTCTGCATCGTGGAATAGAAGAATACTTTAAGAAAGAGATAACATGGGCCAGAATTGAGTAATGCCACTTAGAATGTGGCTGAGTGGGAGGTTGGAAGAAATATTTTGGAGACAGAAGCAACAGGACTTGGCAAATGGATAGTGTGGGCATGTGAGGGAGGGGGGATGATATCTCCAGGCTTTGAACCTCTGTGACTAGAATGGTGATGCCATTGGCAAAAGTAATATTAATACATTTAAGAGAACGTTCAAGCTGAAAAAGGGTCATGGAGAATCAGGGTTTGCTTTTGTTGAAAATGTGGTCACTTGTTAATGCTGGTCAAATATTCAAGTGGAGATACCCTGTGGACAGTTGGAAGGGTGAGTGAAGACCAAAGATTAAGCAGTGTGGCAAAGACCAGCTGATGCTCCCCAGTTCCAGCTGCTCCTCCTTGTTGCTCAGAAAGAGCACACTTGCCAGCATTCTTTGCACCATTTGCAGCCATGTGACCAGGTTGGCCAAGGAATGGGTGCAGAGGCAAGGTACAGCATTTCCAGAGCTGTAGTTAAAACTTATGCATCATTCTACTTTCTCCTTCCTGCACAATTCACATGATTGGAAGTGAAGTATATTGAGAAACCAAAGTCCGACAAAGGAAGCAGCTCATATCCCTGAATCACATTCAGGGGCATTGCCAACTTCAGTACTGGACTGTGATAGAAGCAAACAAACAAACAAGAAACAAGTTTTTCTTTCTTCAAGTCAATGATATTTGGAGGTTTATTTCTACCTAGCCTACTATGACTAAGAAAACAGTCAATTTTAGAGACCTACATTAGAACTACCTTCTAATCAACTATACTACTTCCCAAATAAAAATGTGTGTGCTGGCTGTGTGTGAATTATCTGGTAGCGTGTGGGAGGTCTTTTAGAAATAAATATTCCTGGGTCCCAAACTGGACATGCTGGTTTAGAAGCCCCAGTGAGAGGCCCTGAAATTTTATTAAGAAGCAATCTAGGTGATTCTTCTCTAAGAAAATAATGGAAGTAATTAACTGGAGCAGATTATCAAGAGGGAGAAAATAGGAGTAAAAGTAAGGGCCAAACTAATGACTTTGAAGAATACCTGCTTTTTTGTGATGAAAGGAGGAAATGAGCTAGAGATAATTTTTAAAAATTAAGAAGTCAATAAGGAAAGTGGAAGATAAGAGAAAATTTTAACACTTATATGTGATTGACGATGTCAAATATTTTACCTGAGTGCTTCTCAAACAATAATGTGTATAAGAATGACTTGGGTAGTTTGTTAAACTACAGATTCTAATTCTGTAGGCCAGAGGTAAGTCTAGAGAGTCTACATTTCTCCAGAGCTCCTAGTTGGCAATAATGATCTGGTCCACAGACCACACCTTCAGTAGGAAGACTTTAGAACAATTGATAAGGATTAACAAAGAATGAGCTGTTGGATTTTTTTTTTTTTTACTAGGATGCCAGTGGTGATTGTTAAAAATGAGGGTTTTTTCAGGAGGTGGAGCTTGCAGTGAGCTGAGATCGTGCCACTGCACTCCAGCCTGGACAGTGTGAGAGTCTGTCTCAAAAAAAAAAAAGAAAAAAAAAGGTTTTTTTATTTTTGTTTTTGTTTTCTTTAAGGCAGTAAAGGAAGAAGCCAGATGGCATGGATTAAAGGTGTGGGTAATGATGAAATTGAGGCATTTATTATAGACTATATTTTCTTGAAAATTGAGACGAAAGAGAAAAGAAACAAAAAGAATCACAAAACGGCAGCAGGGTTGTGAACAGAAAAAATATTTAATTCAAAGAATATTGTGGAATGAGATAAACTAGTACCTGCTAATAAAAAGTTAATAAAGTATATTACACATTTACCATTTATTGCTTTGAAAGATATAGAATATATTTTACTTCCCTTAACAAAGTTAAAGATCAATCAATAATATTCCCCCTTATATTATAAAGACCTTAAACTATTTATTGTCTTATATTCATCTCAAATATCATTGTTTTCTAGCACTTTATTTCAACATTGCTTTCCTTAACCTATCAAATTACTTACTGTTGTTTTATGTGCACTTTGGCTTAGATTTACCCACATGTTTACCATCTCTTTTCTCAGCATGTTGTCTTGGTAATTGGTTATTTCCAGGTGGATGCATTATCCTTCTTCCTAAGTAGTCTTGCTACTTGAAATGTGGTGGTTGGGTTGGGTCAACAGTATGGGTATCACCTGGGAGCTCAGTGGAAATGCAAAAATATCACAACCTAGATCTATTGAATCTAGAAACTATGGCTTGGCATGGTGGATCACTCCTGTAACCCCAGCGCTTTGGGAGGCCAAGGCAGATGATCCCTTGAGGCCAGGAGTTCAAGACCAGCCTGGGCAAGATAGTGAGACACACTCCCCCCAACACACATACAAAATAAAAAATTTATCCAGGCATGGTGGTGTGTGCCTGTAGTCTTCACTACTTGGAAGGCTAAGGCAAGAGGATTGCTTGAGCCCAAGACTTTGAATGGCAGTAAGCTATGATAGTGCCACTGAATTCCCACCTGGGTGACAGAACAAGATCCTTTCTCTAAAAACAAACAAAGAAACAAACTCCCACATTAACGAGATCACTAGGTGACTTACAGCCATGAAACTTTGAGAAATCCTAGGTGGGACCTGAGATACTGCATTTCTAACACCATTCAGATAATGTCCATGCTGCTGGTCTTGGTCCAAGAGACACAGCTTGCAGCAAGTCTTGAGGGTCATTTAGTATCATTTGCTAGTAGTAAATAATGTCAGACTTTGATGTTTGAAAAAATCTTTATGTTTATCTTGGAGTTAGTGCTTAATGGGACATGATATTTGAGGTTGAGAGTTTTTATTTATTTATTTCATTTTAGAGATAGTCCTCTTCTGATCTGTTGAGAAATTTTCTTTCTTTTTTTTTTTTTTTTTTTCAAGATGGAGTCTTGCTCTGTCACCCAGGCTGGAGTGCAATGGCATGATCTCAGCTTCGCTGCAACCTCTGCCTTCTGGGTCCAAGTGATTCTCCTGCCTGAGCCTCCCAAGTAGCTGGGATTACAGGTATGCATCAACATGCCTGGCTAATTTTTTTATTTTTATTAGAGACAGGGTTTCACCATATTGGCCAGGCTGGTCTCAAACTCCTTACCTCAAGTGACCCTCCCACCTTGGCCTACCAAAGTGCTGGGATTACAACTGTGAGCCACTGTACTGGGCTGAGAAATTTTCTATTCATATGATTAACCTTCCTTGTGGGTAACCTCTGTTTTTCTCTCTTGATGTTCTCTTTATCTTTGAGATTTTGTTTCCTTACTAATCATTTAATAGTGAATTTCTTTTTATTTATATTGCTTCAAATCTACTGTGATTCTAGAATCTAAAATTTGGTCTGTAAACAATTCTGAAATGTTCTTATTTATTTTCTAGGTGAATATTGCCTTCCCCATGTTTTTCCTATTCTCTCCTTTTAGAATTTCTTTTAAACATTTCTTATATCTTATATAAGATATCTTATATCTTATATAAGATCCTTAGTATCTCCTAATCTCTCTTTTGTATTTTATACAGTTTGCCTGTATGTATTGCATTATAAATAATTTCTTGAGATTTACTTTCTGGTTCACTAATTCTCTCTTCAGCTGTGCCTTATTATGTGTTTAAAATTTATATTGAGTTTAGTTCTTATTATTAAATACCTATGTTTTCCATTTCTCTCTATGCGTATCTTCTTAGTTTTTTTCAATGTTATCATGTTCTGTTTTACCTATTTTAGAACCTTGTATTTTTTTCTCAAATAATTTTGAATGTATTTACGTTTTAGTCTGCATTCATTATTTCCTCTACTAAAGGTTTTTGGAAGTCTAATACGTTCTTTATGCAAGATCTTGCCTGTGGTGACTTGTTTCCTTGAGCAGTATTTAAACTTTAATGTACACAGTTTACCCTTGACCACTACAAGCTTGAACTCTGTGGGTCAACTTAATACAGTGAGTTCTTTTTTCAACCAAATGTGGATAAAAAATACAGCATTCAAAAGATGAGAAACCCATACAGAGAGCCAACTTTTAATATCCACAGCTTCCACAGGGCTGACTGTGGGACTTGCGTATTCATGGACTTGGGTACGTTGAGGTCTAGAAACCAGTGTTTCAGTGTACCAACAGATGATTGTAGTTCAATTATGCAGCATCTCATGAAAGTGAGTATTTTGATTCAGTAGGTCTAGGGGAAGTCCTAGATTCTTAATTTCTAACAAGCTCTCAATTGATGCTAATGCTGCTGATCCATATGTCATTCTTCCAGTAGCAAGCTCTAGAGTTTTTGTTTTTCTATTATTTACTTACTTAGCTTGAAAGAGATTCATGTTGGAGAATTTATTTGTGACCTGAATTTAAAACCCTTCTGAAGAATGTTTTAACCTCTGTCAGGGGCATTAACCTGGGACTGTTGTGTGTATATCCACGTCCACATGCTGATTCTTTTTTTTTTCTTTTTTTTTGGCTTGTGGTTTCTAGGAGCTTTCAAGTAGTATAAATTTGGATGCCAAATTTGCATTAGAGTTAGGTAATTGTTATCAGCTCTCAGAGGAGAGTTTTCTCTGTCCCTTTTCCTCCAATCTAGGGCCAATATGAGAAAGCAAGATGCTGTGCCATATCCCTTTGCTGGTGGTCAGACTCTTTCTATTGTACTCTCTCAGTGAAGGTGTAATCCTTCAAAGATTTTATTTGAGGGTGTCAGGCCGAACTCCCCACTTTGTATGGACCCAAGGACTTCTCTTCCAATTTATTCATTAAACCCAAGTTCTCAGGACATCCCAACAGTAAGTAGAGGCTTATTCTATGGGTTCTAGATTTCCTTTCATTTCTGACTTCTGGTTATGTTTCTTATGTTTTGTCTAGTATTCCTAGATGTTTCATATTGAAATGCATTGTATTTGAAGATATCTGATATTCAGTATCATTGGAATATAAAACTTTTAAACATTTTGGAAGGATTTCTAAATAAAATAGAATTTTTTAAATATATATATGTCTAATATTAATGGTTAAAAATCCTAAGAATCTGGAAGGTCTCAATTCTAAGGGACTCCTAAATAGATAGAATTTTACTTTATTTAGGTTTTTGTTAACTAAACTTTACCATTATTACACTGAATTTTTCCCTTTTTTAACCAGTTGTGTTGGCGTAGTATAGACACAGCCTGAATCATTGTGAGGAATGGAAATTGGGTTTGACTCTATAAAAAGCCAAAAAAAAAAAAAAAAAGAGATTTGATGCCATGGAGACTGGTGATATTTTCTCTCTCTCCTAGGGAGAGATTCAACCAAAGTGATGAACAAATTTAATTTAAAATTACTAAACCCAACTACAGGTATATCAACTGTGGGCATTTGCAAATGTGTCTGGCTCTGGTAACTAAGATACTCTTGAAGAGATTATTCTACCAATGCTTTATTCTAATTTCATGAAAATGAACAGGTTAGTAAAGCAATAGGCACTTTCTCATCTCTTCAGATGCTTTAATTTTTCTTAAATTGTTTTGCAAAAAATAAAATTAAACAAAGTATAAGCAAGAAAGTGCCCCTGAACTTGAAATACCTTGGGCAATCATGAATGTGGAATATGCTGGGATCCAGGCCCATAGAAAAGAAGAAACCTGGGTCCAAGTGATCTAGAAGCTTGGGAGAATAAAATGGATTTAGAGGTTCATGCCTCAGATTGTTTCTAGAATGTCCAGTGTTGTGCTCAAAAGAGACCTTAGACCCAAGGATAATTCAAGTAATCTTTGGTAACAAAGCAGAATAGAAAGGCTGAGAGAGCTACTCTCCAGAAAGAAGAAAAAGTATTAGTAGGAAGGCCATGCTAAGAGTGACAATTTGAAATACAAAAAACAGGATACATCCAAGGTAATTGAGTATTTATGCCTGAATTTCAGGGATGAGCTCATGGAATAGAGATGATACAGTTGAGAAGTTCAATGTGAAAGCTCTAGAGGTAGTCTAACTGGCTTCAAATTCCATTTTCACCACTTATATGTGTGATATTGCACAATTCATTTAACTTGGCTAAATCTCAGTTTCTCCATCTGCAAAAGAGAGGTAATAAACCTTACAGAGTTGTAGAAATAATTAAGTAAGATCATAACACAAAGTGCTTAGCAAAGTGCCTGGTGTCTCGTATGTGCACAAATATAATTTTATTTATTTATTTTTTTGAGACAGGGTTTCACCCTGTCACTCAGGTTGGAGTGCAGTGGCACAGCCAAGACTCTCTGCAGCCTCAACCTTTCTGGGCTCATCAAGTATAATTTAAAATGATGATAATGATAATGGTGGCAGTGCTGGTAGCATTATGGTCTAGCTAGGGTCTGACCAAGAAAGCTGGGGATAAGATATAGCTGTAGTTGTTTGGTTGTCCATTCATTCATTTAATCATTCATCAACATTTAATACATACCAGATACTGTGCTAGGTATCTGGAATTTGGAAACAAACCCCAGGCACAGTTTTACAGACTTGGCAATGGAGCAAAGAAGAATGTATTACAAATGGAAGGCTTTATTACTAGGCACCACTCCTCACTGGTGTAACCTACTCAATCCACCAACTGTAAGGCTACTGTTAGATCACACACGGTATTAAGACTGGATCCACTAATACATTTCCTCACTTGTTACAACTGACTTGGAAATGAAGCAAAGGTTGGTAGCAGTGACAGCAATGTATGGCAGCGGGAAACAGTACTGAAGTCTGAAATAGCTGTGGCTAATTCTGGATTACTCGGTCTTCTCCAGGAGCCCGACTCTTCATAAAGCATATGCTGGTACTACAAAAAAATGCCCCATAGTGTCTTGGAGTCTCATGTTTATGGTTGAGTGTTGGTTTGACCACATTCCAGTTTTAGAAACTTTAGCTTATGAATTATCCTCCCTGATCTTCAGTTCTTTTATTCTATTCAGGACTGTGAAGTTAGCTGAGCTAATTGAACAGTATACAGAAGAGTGGATAACAGTGGATGTGCTGAGTATTTCCACATCCAATCTCTACTGTCTTTTACCTAATCCATATGAATACTGAATCAAAGGGCTTCCTTGCCTCTGATTTCTAGTTGATTTTGGCTAGGAGGAGGCACAGGATGGTTGAGAGGAGGATGATATCAGAATAGTTATCTCTCTACACATTTCATATGGACTATGTCTTTTTAATAAAGTTCATAGTTCCTATCAAAGGTCCTCTCAGTGTAGCTCTCTCAAAATTCGTACAATCGTTTCATTCCTGCATCCCTAAGGTAGTTATGTTTTACCTCTCTCCCTAGCTCCAGGTACTGAAGTATCTTTTGCCATAGATTCTGACCCTATATACATCTTTGTAATAGTCCCTTTGTGAATGCACTCCAAATTCCCTCATTTATGTTTGCCTCTTGTTTCTTGCCATCTTCTTGACCTCACCATATGGCTCTGCCAGTTCAGTCGGGATTTATATTTGCTTCCCTCTCTTACTAGCCATGTGAACTTTGGCAAATTAATTAACCTTTCTTGCCTCAATTCCCTATCTATTGTTTTGAGCTAAGGATCATTGTGAGGATTATATGGAGCATAATAAGAATTTTGTACATGATAATTATTGAGAGGTGTGAACCATTTTGACAGATCTCAACTACTCTGCACCTGGAAGATTAGCTAATGACAACAATTTTATTTAAACCTAGATTGGTGCCCCACTTGCTATTATGGGGGAATTGGGAAAGAATTATTTTGCAAAAGAAAATAATATCCGATTTTAAAATAAATTAAAATTGACACAAACATTTTTGGTAGCCAGCCTCCAAAGTGACCTCCAGAGATTCTCATCCCCTAGTCTTCATGCCTTCCTGCAGTTCCCTCCCATGTTGAATAGGGTTTGTCTGTGAAATCGGTAGGATATTACAGATGATTTGTGAATTTGAAGTCTGGTCATAAAAGACATGGTGGCTTCTATGCTTGCTTTTCTTTGGATCACCCTTTCAGAGGGATGTCAGGTGCCATGTCATGAGAACACACAAGCAGCCTTATGAAGAAGTCCAAGTGGCAAGGAAATAAGTCCTCTTGCCAATAGCCAGTACCAGCCTCCCAGCATGTGAGTGAGCTATCCCAGGCTTCGGCCCCAGCCAAGCCTTCAGATGACTGCAGATGCTGCGACATCTCGACTGCGCCATCATGAGAGACCCTAAACCAGAATCATCCATCCAAATCAGTCAATTCCTGATCTGCCAGACCATGTGAGATAATAAATATGTATTGATACCTTAAGCCACTATGTGTTTATTAATTTATTATACAACAATAAATAATTATGTCCTCTGTATTTGAATGTATCTGTTGAATACTCAGGAATCTGTGATTTTAAAAGGCAAAGCCACGAACTTTGATAATAGTTAATTTTAAATTCCTGAATCATATGGGAATTAAGCCACAATGATCTATTATCCTAATGAGGAAAATAAGCATGGTTTTTCTTTCTCACTCTTGAGTAATAAAATACTTCATCTCGGTCCGAGTTTATTGAGTCTGCCTGTAGTCATAAAACAGCTTCCACTATTACCCCGGAGATCCCCTTTTGTAAAGTAGTAATTCTTGGCCACAGCAAAGCTACATGATGAGTTTAGTATTGTTTTACATTTCCTCATATTCTCTACTGTTTCAGTACTACATTTATTTTATTGTACTATGTAATAATTTTCATTAATGTTTAAACTTTCAGTGACGTGTGCTTCTAATCCTGTCGTGCTCTTACACACAGCTTAGACAAAGCCTATTTATTTGGCCTCTATAATTTATCCTTTAATCTTCATTTATAAATCAGTTGGTTCATCTTCTTTCCTGGTTATTCCAGTTCTTTGAACTCATTCCAACTCTATCAGGAGAAAAGGAGTTCCCTACTGAGAAATGTAGTTTGACCACAACTTTATCTCAGCAATGCACTGAATACTCATTTGTAATAGCTTTCACTTATTTTGCAAGGCAAAGCAACTCCTAAGAATAAGAAATATTTGTATTTTTTTTAAAAACGTATTACTTCTTGTGAAAATGTGCTTCAGTAAAACATGATTGGGCTACCAAATGTTCGAGTTATTGAAAGGTAGCTCCCACCTAGAACTGAAAATTGCTGTTTATGTGCCAGTGAAAAATCAAAAGTAAAAGGTAAACAAAAATAATCAGTTCCCTATGACTACAAGTTTTAATTTTATGGTATCTGTTCTATGGAAGATTTCCTCCAAACATTTACTTCAAAGCTATTTTCCACAAAAAAAAATTTCTTCTAGTATTTTTGTCAAAGATTCTAAGCACGTGGCTTACCAGTATATATTACCTTTGCATTGCTCCACAAACACATATTTTGTTCAGGCAATTTACATCATTTTGTTTTATTCGAAATAGTATGGCTTCATAGCAAAGTGATTTGGAATTCAGGAGCCCTGAGCTTTCATATCTTCATTCTGTTTTTGTTTTGTCTTTTGGGGGTTTTGGAGGTAAATTGTTATTTTATACTGGAAAACAAATATACAACTTGGAATGGATTTGAGGCAAATTCTGCCATAAGCAGATTTTCTTTAAGTGCCTAAACAAAGTTTAAAAAGCAAGTAACAATAAAGCAAAATGTTTCTGGTATAGGACCAGTAATATATATAAAAAAAGTGTATGAGTACCTGGATAATACACCCCTTTTGCAATAGTGCAAGTTTTAGGTACATATTGTTGACTGTCAATTGTGTACAGAGTTACAACTCCACACTTCAACAACAACATGCTGCAGTTTCTAAAGAAAACTAAAAAAAAAAGGCACAACCCAGATGTTTCCCCTTTGACCAACTCCATCTAAGTTTAGCTGTGCAGAAGGGCTTAGATATATCTAGAGTAAGCCACATGTAACATGTTACTTGATCAATTTTCTAAAATAAGTTTTCAGAACAATGACAACAATGACAAGTAAGATAAGAGAAGAAAACATGGAGGAACGGAGTCCTAGTTACTATGCATGCATTTTTTTGACAGTAGGAAGAAACCTTTTAGAGATAAATTATAAACAAAGAAAAAGGAAAATAAACAATTTTGTACAAGAAATGTAACATATTCTGTATAAGGTCTTCACTTCGCTGTCATCGTTTGTACAAACTCTTCCTAGTTTACCTGACCATCACCATCAATACCTGCTTCCCTGATCATTTCATCAACCTTGTCATCTGTTAGCTTCTCTCCAGGGTTTGTCATCACATGGCAAAGTTCTGCTGCACTGATATAGCCATTGCCATCCTTATCAAACACAAGGAATGCTTCTCTAATTTCTTCTTCACTTTGTGTGTCTTTCATTTTTCTTGCCATCATTGTCAGAAATTCAGGAGAGTCCGTTCTATTACCATCAGCATCTACTTCATTAATCATGTCTGGTAACCCTGCTTTCATGGGATTCTACCCAAGAGACCTCATTATCGTTTCCACTTCCTTTGTTGTTATAGTTCCATCATTGTCTCTGTCAAATAGGGAAAAAGCTTCTATGAATTCTGGAATCTGCTCTTCAGTCAGTTTGGTCTGCTATGCTGCAAGTCCTACCGGTTTCCGAGACGTGACCACACAACCACTCCCATATCTTCATTCTCACCAATGAAATCTCTACCCTGGGGCATGTCATTTGCCTTCTGTTCTCTTCAACGTGTTCATAACTAAAATGAAAATGTACCCACTCTTCCTTTCTCAAGGAAATACTGTCGGGAAAATGTAAGACATCTTATCTACACATAAATATTCTTTAAAAAATATAAATACAGTATACTATAAAGTACATTTATAACATATATAAATATACTTTAAATATAATGACAGTTTTCTAATAGTCTAAAATAAGTCAATGATGTTGAAATAAAATCCAGTTATATACAAAGGTCACTTACATTACAATAGAGATAGTTGAGATTAGAATATTAGGAGAAAATAAAGATTAACACACATGTTCAGGTAGATTAACCTTCATGTTCTCATGGTGGATATTTATTAGGCTATAATACTAGGCTGAAGTATCTCAAATTCATATCCTTTTACACAAGAGCATAATTTTATATAACAAGATGAATACAAGAGGTTAAAATAACATGTCTTTGTCATGGTGAGCATTCCACTTCAAAGTTATAAATCTGCATCCATCCTAAGAACATGGTTCCTTAGCTCAGAGAATTCTCCCTGTCCCCATCCAGTGGGGACACTTCGGCATGCTAAACTGAGTCAGTGCTTTCAGGGTGACCTGTGAGACACACAGACAGCAAGTGAAATAACTGCCATTCTGAACTCACAAGCCTTCTAGAAAATGTGTTGTATTCTCTGAGCTCAATGTCTCCTATTTAAAAATAGTACAGGCAAAATAGATTTTTGGTCTCATAATCACATGAGATAACACATGTAAATCTTTACACATCGTGTCTAGAACAGAATAAGTCTCAATACATAATGCTAGTAAGAATCATTGATTTTCTCATGTAAAGACCAGCCTTTCTATAAAATACTGAAAAATAATAAACTAATAGGAAATATCATTTCTTATGGACAACTATGCAGTCATTAACATAGGAAATATTTTTAGTAGGATCAATATGTACCTCCCACTAGTATAATTCTTGTAACTGTCCTTTAAAATCACTTATATCAACCACAACTTGTCACTTTTCTCTTGTTTAGTTTCTCTTGTTTAGTCCACTGCTAAGAGAGACTAAACTAAAATAGAACATTAATATTTTTATATTTTATGTATTATTTTTTAACTCATAATTTCAAGCTTGGTTCTCAAAGGGTTAGAAACAAGTTAGAAACATAGGGGAATAAAACAAAGCAAAAGGAAGAAAAAAAAAACAAAAAAGCCCAAGATATAGATAGGTCTGTACTTAATAGGAGAAGATAAAATGAAACCAGATGGAGATTTTATACCTCTATTTTTGTTTCACTTCATGAAGCAGATAACTTAAAACATGTTTTTCAACATTGGTCTCTTTATCTTCTCTGTCACCTTCCACCAAAATGTTAGACTGGCAAAGGTTCTGTGTGTACCTCCTCCTTTATCACCCTTTGCTTTAGAGAAACGTATGCTTTTATGACCAAGCTCTGAAATGATCACTGAAAGAAGCTGGGTAAATATTTTCAAGATAAGCCTGGAGATCTTACTGTCTCTAAATCATCAACAGACAAAAGGGAGAGAGAGAGAGAGTTTCCTATTCAAACATGTTGCTCAAGAGCTAATGGGAGTATTATTATGATTGATAGGCCAGAATCTTTGTCTTTAGGGAAAGTAGCAGGAACACTTAATGGGATAGGAACTGACCAATATTTACACTGGAGGTGAAGCCACATTTTATTTCATCTGGGGTCAAATATTACTGAATGTGAAATACATTCCTCAGATGAATGTTGCCCTCTCTTCACCCCAGCCAGGGTGTCTGAGATTCCCATGAACTCTTGCAATCAATCTCCATTTGTAATACTCCCAAGATTCAAAGTTTAGCAACTAAGGAGGATTACACGGCTGCTTCATTCTAAGGTGGGTGGATACCAAACTATAGGTAAATAAAGCTTATTACTCAAACTCTAAAAGCAGTGAATATTCTAAGTCGCGTCCCAACCACATGAGTGCACAATGCCTGTTAAAGTAAAATGTAAAATGGTCTCTTCATAAATCAATATATTGGGCTGAATATTTCAGACTTAACATAATACAAATATGATTCTGCCAGTAATGGTTGTGACTGGATAAAAAAATAAGGTGTTGTTTATACAACTATTTTAGCTATTAAGTAGGAGATGATTTTATTTTACTTTCATATTCTGATATTTAAAACAGAAGTTTCAGATCGATAACACTGTCAGCAACTTCTTTTCTTATCTGGTTTGTGACACCTTTAGTACATTAAAGTGAAAAGAACCAGGCAATCCTTGAGATTAAACAGAAAGAGCTTTTTATTCAGGGTTTGCTTTGGAAGACCCCTCAAGGCTAAATCCTTACTTTCAGTTTGAGAATCCGTCACTGTAAGTAAAGGAATGGAAACCTCCTCAGGCTAATGATGCTATCATGTTTACACCAGGATTGAAGATCAGCACCAAAGTGTCGTCTATTCTCCTTTCAGCCTCAGCTTCTTTGCTTCCCATTTTTAAAAAAACCACTCCAATCAGGGTTTTGTTTTTGCCGTTCCACCCAAACTGCTCTTATCATTGTCATCCATGACTTCTGTACTATATGCTGTGGCCAATTATTTTATTTGATACAGTTGATCACTTCTTTCCCCTGGATTTCCAGGACATTATATTCACATAGTTTTATCTTTCTGGGATTTTCCAGTGGTGTTTGCTTATTCCTCCTCATCTTCCCAACCTGTAAATATAGGCAAGCTCAGGGGATCAGACTTTGGACTTCTTTTCTGTCTACACTCACTCACTTAGAAATGCTGATGACGCATAAATGTATACCCCAGCCAAGACTTCCCCATAGACATCTCAACTCATACTTCCAGCTACCTATCTGAAGTCTTCACCTAGACGCATAATGGGAGTCTCAAATTAAAAATGTCTAGAATTGCTCAAGACTTAAATGTAAAATCCAAAACCATAAAAACCCTAGAAGAAAACCTAAGCAATACCATTCAGGACATAGGCATGGGCAAAGACTTGATGATGGAAACACCAAAAGCAATTGCAACAAAAGCCAAAATGGACAAGTAGAATCTAATTAAACTAAAGAGCTTCTCCACAGCAAAAGAAACTAGCATCAGAGTGAACAGGCAACCTACAGAATGGGAGAAAAATTTTGCAATCTATCCATCTGACAAAGGTCTAATATCCAGAATCTACAAGGAACTTAAACAAATTTACAAGAAAAAAAAACATCAAAAAGTGGGTGAAGGATATGAACAGACACTACTCAAAAGAAGACATTTATGCAGCCAACAAGCATATGAAAAAAAGCACATCATCACTGGTCATTAGAGACACACAAATCAAAACCACGAAGAGATACCATCTCACGCCAGTCAGAATGGCAATCATTAAAACGTCAGGAAACAATAGATGCTGGCGAGGCTGTGGAGAAATAGGAACGCTTTTACACTGTAGGTGGGAATTAAATTAGTTCAACCATTGTGGAAGACAGTGTGGCGATTCCTCAGGGATCTAGAACCAGAAATACCATCTGACCCAGCAATCCCATTACTGGGTATATACCCAAAGTAATATAAATCACTCCGCTAGAAAGACACAAGCACACATACGTTTATTGCAGCAATATTGACAATAGCAATGACATGAAACCAACACAAATGCCCATCAATGATAGACTGGATACAGAAATATGGTCCATATACACCATGGAATACTATGCAGTCATAAAAGAGAATGAGATCATGTCTTTTGCAGGGACATGGATGAAGCTGGAAGCCATCATCCTCAGCAAACTAACACAGGAACAGGAAACCAAACACTGGAATTCTCACTCATAAGTGGGAGTTGAACAGTGAAAACACATGGACACAGCGGGAGGGGAACAACACACCCCGGGGCCTGTTGGGGGGTGGGGGCAATGGGAGCGAGAGCATTAGGACAAATATTTAATGCATACAGGGCTTAAAATCTAGATGATGGGTTGATAGATGCAGCAAACCACCATGGCACAGGTATACCTATGTAACAAACCTGCACATTCTGCACATGTATCCTAGAACTTAAAGTAAAATTTTAAAAAAAGAATGTCTAGAAACTTCTGATCTTGTATTCAAAATCTTTCCTACTTCAGTTAATGACAAGTCTCCCTTTGCTTTCATCTAAATATCATGGACTCATTCTTGACTCCTCTCTTTATCCTATATCTCATGTCTAATGGCAAATATTGTTGGCTCCAACTACAAAATGTTCCACTGACTCTGAGTGCTTTTGACCATCTCCATGGTCATCACTGTAGCCATTGACCACTATCTTTCTGGTTTCTGCAAGAGGCCACTCTTTCTGATCTCCCTACTTCCTCTGTTTCTACTTTACAGACTTCTCCAAACTGCAGCCAAAAACATCTTGAAAAAATATGTTTGACTGTGTCGTTCCATATTAATACGTTAGTTTATGCTCTTGCTTTTCCATCCCTTGAAACTTTATGATCTCGTGGAACTTAGATAGTCATATAGGTGACTCAACTGTAGTCTCAAAGTCCACTGACTTTTTAATATTCTAAGTTCCTCCCTTCTTCAAAACACTTACCTTCATCGCAGCATCTTGTGATGCTTCACTTGAAATAGTCTTATTAACTCTGATTCTTTAAACTCCAATACTATTCTTCTTAATTAACAACATTCAACTTTCATTCAACAAACATTTTTTTAAACATTAACAATCTTAACCCTCGGAGATACAACAACGTTCTTAAAAGGTAAGTCTCTGCTTTCATGGAGCAAATTTCCCAGTGGAGGGAGACACAATTATCTAAAATAATATCTTTGCAAAACTGTATAATTAAAAACTGAGATAAGTAAGAAGAGAGTAAAATATAGGGTGCTATGAAAACTTGCAGCAGAATAACTAAACATAGTCTGGAGTGTAAGGGAAGAATTCCAGATTAAGTCATGTATTAGTTAGGGTTCTCTAGAGGGACAGAACTAATGGGACATATATATATACATGAACTTGGAGTCTGATGTTCAAGGGCAGGAAGAATCCAGCATGGGAGAAAGATGCTGGATTCCCCTACTGGGAAGCTAGGCTAGTCTCTCTTTTCACATTTTTCTGCCTGCTTATATTTTAGTTGTGCTGACAGCTGATTAGATTGTGCCCACCCAGGTTAATGGTGGGTTCGACTTTCCCAGCCCACTGACTCAAATGTTATGGGTCTACCTTTTCCAACCCACTGACTCAAATGTTAATCTCTTTTGGCAACACCCTCACAGAAACACCCAGGATCAATTCTTTGTATCCTTCAACAATCAAGTTGACATTCAGTATTGAGTATCACAAGTTATTATTGAATTGAATACAGGATGAGAAAGAGTTAACCAGATAAAAATTATTTGCAGGGAAGAGGGTATCCTCACTCAGAGAACAATGTTGATGAAACCTCTCTCCTCTGGAACATCATGGTCACCAAGAATGGGAAGAGAATCTGGAAACTGTGCAGGAGCACTTGAGGCTTCCTTTCACAGTTTCATAGTTTAACATTTTCCTTTAGGCTGATGAACTTCGCTTTTCTTATAAATCAGTTCTGCTGGCAATGAATTCTACCAGCTTTTCATGCCTAGAAAATCTTTATATTTGTCTTCATTTTTGAAGAATTCATTTTACTAGATATAGGATTCTATGTTGATAGCTATCTTTGCTTTTTGTTGCTCTTCCAACACCTGAAAGATGACAGGTCTTTGTCTCCTGGCTATCATTGTTTCTGTTGAGAAATCAGCAGTCTTTCCTACCATTGTTGTCCTGTATATAATGTGTCTTCTTCCCCTTACTGAATGCCTTTAAGATTTGTCTGCCATAGTACCTTCTTTTTTTTTTTTTTTTTTTTACAAATTTGTTTATGATGGGCATTGCTGTGGTTTTCCTTCCATTTATTCCATGTGGGGAAAGCTGTTGCTTTCCTGAATCTGCTAGTTTATATATTTTTAGCAGATTTGGAAATATTTTCATTGCTATTTCATCAAGTACCTTTTCAGCCCTAAATATCTCTTTCTGGTACTCTGATTATATGTGCATTGGGTTATTTGATATTGATTATTTTGATATTGTCATATGGGCCACTGAGCCACGGTTCAGTGTTTTTGCCAGGTATAGATATAGATATAAATATAGATATTTCTCTTTGTACTTTCGCCTGGATAGTTTTTATTTTTCTAAAGTTTACTGATTTTTTTCAATAGGGTGATTTTTATTATGTAAAAGCTAAACCAAGGAAAGCAAAAGCAAAGCAAAACTCTGATGTACTTCTGGAATCATAAAATTCAGTCACTAATTCAACTAATTCTTTCACATTTTATTCCAACCATATGTATTATCCCTTAGAAAAAATCTTTCCCTGAAATGTAAACCCATATATATTTGGTTTAAATGTTACTTTACAAATTGGGGAGCGGGATAAATATCATAGTACTTTAGTTTTTCAGTTTGTTTGTTTACTTTTTTCTCAATATGTTCATTATAAAAATTTAGAAGATAGAGAAGGGCAAATAAATTGCAATCTAATTACAAAGAAACTATCCACTTAGAATATTTTATTTAAATATAAATAATATAAAATTTATCATTTTAATCATTTTTAAGTGTAAAGCTCTATGTCATTAAGTATATTCATAATGTTGTACAAATATTATCACTATCCACCTTCAAAACTTTTTCATCATTTACAGTTGAAACTCCAATGTCATTAAACACTAACTTCCTGTTGCCCCCTCTGCCCGGTCCCTGGACACCACCATTTCACTTTCTGTCTCCATGAACTTGACAAGTCTCTATAGCTCATTTAGGTGGAATTATGCAATATTTGTACTTTTGTGACTGATTTATTTCACTTAGCATAATGTCTTCAAAGTTTATCCATGCTGTAAATATGTTAGAATTTCATTCCTTTTTAAGGCTAATATTCCATTATATGTATATACCACATTTTGTTTATCCATTCATCCACTGATGAACTCTTTGGTTGCTTCCACCTTTTGGCTATTATGAATAATGTCATAATAAACACGTGTGCAAATATCTGTTCAAGTCCATGCTCTTGTTTCTTTTTAGTATATACTCAGAAATTACTGGCTAATGTGATTTAATTCTACGTTTAAATTTTTGAGAAATCAAGCTTACTTATCTTTTTTTCTGCAGTTTCTAAACAACTGTGCAATATAGTGAATTTTTCACTCCAATACCATATTTTGAAGTTCTAAAGGTTTCATGTTTCTTTTTTTATAATTTCCATTTTATCGATTGTCTCATTTTTCCTGCATTGTTGTTATATTTACTTTAAAATTATTTAGCATATCTATAATTGTACTTTTAAAGCATTTGATTTTTAGTTTTATTGTCTAATTTCTGAATCTGTTTATATTTACTGACTTCTTTTTCTTTGTTAGCATCACATTTACTTGCTTTATTGTAGATTTAATTATTTTGGTTATGATGTTTCTTGCTGTGGTTTTCTTTTTGTTTATCCTGCCTGGGTCGTATTGAGCTTCTGGGACCTGTTAGTTTATATTTTAAAAAAAAATTTACCATTAATATATGATAGACATATGGATGTCAAGTTATTGAGTGTTTGGATTTTGTTCACTCCTTCTTGAATTTTGTTCCAGAGGAGGAGTTAGTTTACGTGCCCATCAGTGTGATTATTTAAAGATTTGCTTTTAAGCTTTGTTAGGGTTCATCTAGAGGTGCCCTTTTCCTAATGAGTGAACTTGCTGGTACATCTACTGAATGTTTATGCTCTTCAACAAGATTTTTCACTCTAGCTAGTAGAAAATTAAAGATCTCATAGCCTTGTCCAAGATTTGGCCATTACAGCTTACAGCTCCCCAGGATCTTTTCTTTACTCAGTAAGTTATTTTTCGCCTAGACTTTTGGAGTATCTTCCTACATGTGTGAACTTACTATTCAGCCAAATACTCGACAGGATGCCTGTGAATATTTTAGGAGCTCCTTCACTACACAGTTCTTTCTTTCTACAGCTGTGCCCCACGAATTCCAGCTGCATCCCTAGCCCTGAACTCCATCCCTCTTTAAGCAAGCCCTTTGTTCTCTAATCGGGCTTCTCCTTCTTGCACTGCACTGCAGAAAATGCCTTCAGGCAGAAAGCTGGGGCCACCCTGGTGGTCATCATTTCCCTTCTCTCAGGGTTCACAGAACGGCTTTACATGATCTAGCGTCTATAATTTCTATAATCCAGCATCTATAACAATCAGATTACCTATAACATCTGTAACAATTGTACAGATTTTGGTCTGGTTTTATGGTTGTTTACAAGGGGAGATTGAATGCAGTGCAGTTACTCCATCATGACCAGAAGCTGGAATCTCTCTGTTTTCATTCTCGGTTTCTATTGTTAGTTTTATAATTCTACTCTCATCTTAAATGTTCTGCAGTGGATTATTTTTGGCCTATTTTTGGCCTTCTCCTCATTTGATTCACTCTCTGGAATGATCTCATCTGCTCCCATGGCCTCAATTTTCGTTAATATTCTAAGGGCCCCTTAAATCTATATCTTCTGGCAAGCTTCTCTTGCCTATAATTCATGATAATCAATCTCCCATTGGACCTTATTATTTAGAAATCCTAAGACATCTCCAAGTCTGCATCCAAAACTGAATTCATCATCTCTTTCCTTAGATGGGCTTTCTTCCTGTATTTTTATTGCAGTGAAGAGAGACACACCATCCATCAGACACAAAAGGAAAAACCTGGGGTTTATTCAAGCCTTCTGTTTCTAAGTTCTTACATCTAATAAGTTACTGATATGGTTTGGCTGTGTCCCCACCCAAATCTCATCTTGAATTGTAGCTCCCACAATTCCCACGTGTCATGGGAGGGACCTGGTGGGAGGTAATTGAATCATTGGGGTGGGTATTTCCCATGCTGTTCTCGTGATACGGAATAAATCTCACAAGATCTGATGGTTTTATAAAGGGGCGTTCCCCTGCACAAGCTTTCTCTTGCCTACCACCATGATTGTGAGACCTCTCCAGCCATGTGGAACTGTAAGTCAATTAAACCTCTTTCCTTTATAAATTACCTAGTGTCAGGTATGTCTTCATTAGCAGCATGAGAACAAATTAATACAGTTACCAACTCCTATAGATTCTACTTATTTAATATTTCTCAAAATCACTTCCCGCTCTCTATCCTCACTGCACTATCAACCTGGATCCGCCTAATTTATCCCATGCGTCACCGCGTTGTTCTACAAGTTTACTCTCATAGAACATTCTCTAAGTTCCAGGCACTGTTCTAAGCAATTTCGCATGTATTCACTCTTCTAATTCTTATAAAATTTTACAGCATTAGTACCATTATTATTACAGAAAAAAAGAACCAGGACACAGAGAGAACTTCTGCAAGGATTGCACAGCTATTATTTAGAACAGCCAGGATAGGCAGTCTTTTCCCCAGTCTTTGATCTTAACTGCTAGGATATACTGCTTCTTAAATTGTTTTTGTTGTTTTGCGTGTGTGTGTGTGTGTGTGTGTGTGTGTGTGTGTTTGCCTTCATTCTATTCATTCTTCACGCTGACTTTTCTGAAGCATGAGTATGATCATTCTTCTCCAATTATAATATTTCACTATATTCTCATTTTGAAGGTAAAATATAACCACTAAATCCTTTATGTACTCTACTTATCCAGGAACAAGAATATCTTCCCTTACTGTCCATTTTTCTTCACTCTAATCTCCTTTCATGACAAAACCACAGTTTGGATATTTAGAGGAAGTATTTCCTCACATCTTCTCCTTTAGCCGTGTATGGGTTTTGAGCTCACATTTCATCTTCCCTAACCCTAAAGGTTTACTGATACTTTACTATTTATCATATTATTTAAATAATCTGCCATACCTTACACTGTCAAAGACCAGGGATGGGTCTTTTACCCTTGTGTTTTATTCCCAAATCTAGCAGAGTTGTTGAAACATTAAGTGCCATTGTAACTTGCCATTAAAGTGAATGAATAACTGAATTAATAAAACAATGCATATAACCAGCTGCACTCATCCTAACTCAAACTTCTCTAAAGACTTAATGTTGCCACTAAGTGAAGCGCTAGAAACAGTGAATGGATCTTCCTTTTAATGAAAAGATGAGTCATCTTCAGTTGAATTGCTTCTAGATTTCCAAATGCCAGTGTCTTGATGCTCCCTGTAGTTGAATGGTATTACATCATTAGTTTTTCTCAGAAAAGCATCTGTAATGATAGAATACTTAAGAGTAACAGTTAGGTTTTCTAGTAGAGAATACTCTTTAAAAATGGAGGAAAAGGAGGTGGCAGAGGTGATTTGAAAGGCAGAGGTCACAAGTTGATTTATCTTTTAGAGTGAAGTTTGGGAAGCAGCCACTAAAGTTCTTCTATTAACATGTGCGTTATCAGGCCGGGCACAGTGGCTCAAACCTGTAATCCCAGCACTTTGGGAAGCAGAGGTGGGAGGATCACCTAAGGTCAGGAGTTCGACACCAGCCTGACCAACATGTGAAACCCCGTCTCTACTAAAAATTCAAAATTAGCTGGGTGTGGTGGTGCATGCCTGTAATCCCAGCTGCTCGGGAGGCTGAGGCATGAGAATCACTTGAAGCCAGGAGGCAGAGGTTGCAGTGAGCCAAGATCGCACCATTGGACTCCAGCCTGGGCAATAAGAGTGAAACCCTGTCAAAAAAAAAAAAAAAAAAAAGTGCATTATCTATCTTCATCAGTCTAAAAAAAAAAAAAAAAAAAAAAAAAAACCCTGGGTGCACAATCCTAAGTCATGGTCTAAAAATCCTTAGATAAAACATGAAGCAGGGTAGACTAGTCTCACAAATCTTTCCCTTTTGACACCTTACCTACACTCTTTCCTATCACCCCATCACTTAACCCCTGGAGTGCAGCATCCCCTCTTCTCTGTTCGTATCCAGGTATGCAGAAAAGTTCAGAAACCGATCTAGCTAAAGAATTAGTAAACTTAAATGTTTTGTGAATCTTATTTTATTTTCTCCCTAGCAGGCAAGATAAGATTCAAGACTATAAATTCTATGAGGCATCATGTTCCTGCAAGGGAAATTCAGCTAACAGGTAACCAAAAGATGTTGCTTCTGCTTACCTTTCTTACATACCTACATTTCTTTCACATACTTCTTTTAAAGTATACTTCCTTAAAAAAATGGGAGAATAACTATCTCTGCTAGAAATTGCCCTGATAAATCCTCTTTTTTAAAATGTATCTATTACCAACAATTTCCTACCATTTATAATAATTTGTTATTAACCTTGTGATTTTATTGGGTATGACACCAGCTTAATGGGGCAGATAAATGGATTTTGTTTGCCAATCCCTATAGTTCAATGTAATTTATTTACAGAGCTGATTTCCCCCTAAAATCTTGATGATTTCCCCTCTGTCTCCAATAACAAGCCACAAAGGGTTCTTTGCTAACATCCTGTCCATGGCTGGATTCAACACATTGGCTTTTGCTCTTTCCCATCCTTTGTGGACATAGTAAAATACACAATCAGTCAGTAGCCACAGGAGAGGCTTCATATAGATAATTTTGAAAAAGAAGGTTGGGCCAGCAGCAAACCAAGCCAAATGGCTGTAAATTCACTCAGCATCCTATATGGCATCAGTCTCAATTCCACACCTGCTAGTAAAAGTCCAGTGAAATGCGCTACATCATGTAGCCATATCTTTACTCACACTTGGATCCAATCTTCTTGATATATGATAGTCTCTCTCTGTCTCTATGGCTCTGTCTGTCTGCTTCTGTCTCTCTCCCTCTCTGTTTCTCTTTCTCTGTCTCTGTGTATGTGTATTTGTGTCTGTCTCTCTTTCTCTCTTTTTCTTTCTCATCTATGTCTCTGTCTCTTTCTCATGCGTACACACACACGCGCTCACACACACAGACACACACTCATCATTGTCTCCTTCTTGTTCTTTCCACAAAACACAAGGTTTCATGTTAGATCTGCCATTTGGCAATGTGCTGTACTCCTTTACCTTTTCCTCCTTTTCTAAGCTTGCTAATGATTGTGAAATGATTACAGTTATGAAACTTTAATCATCATTAATCTAATCCAAAAAAAGTGAAACAATGTGTGACATGTTACTATCCATCTATGTTGTGGTTACATAAACATAGCTTTTATTAATTTTACAGACCTTATCTCTGCTTTTAGAGTGATTTTTTTTGCCTTCTTATAAATTTATAAAGAACCTGACAAATAAATACAAGTGTGTAAAAATATGCTTTTACTTCTTCTTTCTGACACTGGACAAATGGTTATTTCTTAGGGTGGTTATGTCTTCTCTGATATTTTTAGTGTAATGATTATCTGAGGGAATATACTTACTAGCTTTAATGAAGAGGCAGTTGTTAAATCAAAGGATTTCTACTCTTTATTTGCTAATAGAGCTTTCCCCAGTAGTGGTAGAAAAGGCATTCATGTTTTAGAAAATGCTCAGGATTCTCTCTCATCTGCTCCAAAGAGGAAGAATTGACATTTATCTAGTATCCTTTTTCCAGTTCATTTCTATTTTATTTTCAGAGCTTCTGTGAGCAATTCAGAGCTACTTCAGTCAGTATTCTAAAACCAAACAAACCCAGACCAGCCTGGGAAACATGGAAAAACCCCATCTACACCAAAAATACAAAAATTTAGCTGGGCATAGTGGTGCACACCTGTGGTCCCAGCTACTCAGGAGGCTGAGGTGGGAGGAAGGCATGAGACTGGGAGGTGGAGGCTGCAGTGAGCAGAGATCGCACCACTGCACTCCAACCTGGGTGAAAGAGTAAGACCCTATCTCAAAAAACAAAACTATAAAATGTTATATTTTAAATAATTTTGTGTGTGTGTGTGTGTGTGTGTGCGCGCGCGTGTGTGCGCGCCTCAAACAGAAGCTTTTGATCTGAAGAGCAGATGTGTCTTCATGCACATATATGCTCATTGGGCCAAAAGTCAGGAGATCTGAGTTCTACTGGGAGCTCTACTTTTTTATGTGTGTTTCTGAAAAAAAAAATCCCTTAAATTTCATGTGATGCGGTGTCTCCTCTCTGAAGTGAGGGGGTGGAACTCTTGCTTTTCTTTCATTCCCAAGCTCTTTTATACACAACTCTTCCATGGTTTGACAAGTGTTGGCACATGATATGTTTAAGGCACAGATATCATGTGCTATCCTTTAGTATATAATGTAGAAATATGATGTCTTAAGCCCTGCTCAGTATATTGTGTTAAATCCTTAAAACAAAGTTTATCCAGACTCACCTTACTCCTTCTATTTGAACCCAAAATTATAGGATTGTAAGGCTGCGGAGTTAACTTACTCCTAGCCCTCATTTTGGTCACAAGGTGTAATCTAATCCTCCCAAACTGTGGAATACTGAAAATCACACAAGAGCTGAAAAATGCCAAAACAAACATGTTTTTAACAGATTCAGGGAAAGCAGAAATACAGTGGTGTTTTCCCCAGGAAATTATCTGCACTGTCCAAACCCAGTTACAGCAGGTTTTTTCTGGCCTGGCCTTTTGACCATCAAATGGAACTACTTTGCTCCAGAGAGAATTCTGCAGCGGCCAGCGGGGAGGCTGGGACACATGCAGTGCCCCTTCTCATTCTCCTTGCTGAGTTCTGAGCTCAAGCGATGCTGCAAATTCACTCCGATTCCCCTGTCCAAAGAGTTTCTTAAATGATATTTCCTAGACCACTACAGCAGTTTATAGTCTGTTGTTTTAACAACCGCATCTCCCTTTCCCAGGGTCAAGTGCCTGGTCATAAGGAGAAAATGCCAACATCATTTATTTTATTCCCTGGTTCACTCCTGAGTCACACTGGTGAATGAGATGGAAGTGATTTGGTGCCTAAATAACCATGACTGTTTATATGTGAAGATGTCGTTCACGCAGTGGACAAACCTCAGTCAGAAGATTATTTTCCATGTGCTTATGTAAGTGCGGAGCACATATTTGAAAAATTATTCTGAAAAAAACATTTGAATGGAAACATTATATATATTTAATATTAATATTTAATATTATTTAATATTTAATTATATATATATAAAATAAAGATGACAATGAATACTTGGTTCAGCACATGTATTATTTATTCTGTAGATAGTCCAGAGAACACTTTCAAATGCTGCTTGCTGGCTAGGCACGGTGGCTCAGGCCTGTAATCCCAGCACTTTGGGAGGCTGAGGTGGGCAGATCACTTGATGCCAGAAGTTTGAGACCAGCCTGGCCAATGTGGTGAAACCCCATCTCTACTAAAAATACAAAAATTAGCTGGGCATGGTGGCGCGAGCCTCTAGTCCCAGCTACTTGGGAGGCTGAGGTGGGAGGATCACTTGAACCCTGGAGGTGGGGGTTGTAGTAAGCCGAGAACACACCACTGCACTCCAGCCTGGGTGACAGAGTGAGTCTCTGCCTCAGAAAAAATAAATGCTGCTTGCCTTCTGCCCACTCCTCTGGTTTTTGAACACCACTTTTTCCTCCTCTCTGTCCCTCACCAAGCCTCTCCTGTCTCACTCTATAGCTGGTACATGCCTGGAGAACGCAAATTCACTTCAATATTAACATAATTTGGAAGGCAAACCCAGCACCAAAGCATATGTACTTTATAAGCATGAACAACTTTTGAATTTTCTTCTGTTTGAAATTTTCTCCATCAACGTTCCTCTCTACTTATACAGGTAAATAATGGTTGATGTGGATAAGTGTGTGCATACACATGTGTGTGCATGAAGACAAATTGCATTGTTTAAGACGGCTGTACTGGGAAAGTAACATTTAATACTAGAGTAAACATTTAAACCTATTTAGTAAAACTAGATGTGAAAACATATCTTCCAACGGAGGTTACTCTCTTTTCCCAACCGTTCTACCCAAAAAGATGTCCCAGAGATATTGTCAAAAACATGATCAGATGAATCAATAATTGTCCACATGAATGGTTGAATATATTCTGTAGCAGCTGATGAGAGATCATGTTGGTTTTTACCATGCTCTAGAATATGCCTACCTGTGAGTTTTTTAATTATGAAAGCTAATATCCCAAGGAAATTTCATCTATGAGATGAAATTTTTAGGCAGTTGAACTTGTTCTTGCTGTTTGGGATATGGAAATTAGGCAAAGTCAGGCAACCTACTAAGTTTCCTTCTGTTAACAGAAGAGGGGAAGGTGATGAATTGGGACTGTGTGAAACTTTCTTTGAACACGTCCAAAAATGTATCTAAAGTGAGAAATTGAAGAACCTAGACTGATACTAAATGTAATACATTTATTTCAATGCAGTTGCATCATTGGGAATCTAATTAATCAAAAGAAGTGCACTGAACATTTGATTAAGGGATAAAGGCACGTGCCTAGAGTGGTCCCACCTTGGTTTTGTGTTTCTTTCAATTCTTTGATACCTCTTTCAAGACATCATTCAGCCCTGAGCTGGGCGACCAAACCATATGAGAGCCTGCACTTTCTAGTCATATGATTCTAGAACATGAATGGTAACATTCTTAGAAAACATACATTGATATTGTGATTGCAATAGGATATTGAGCTCAGCAGCCTGTGTTTTTTGTTTTTTTGTTTTGTTTTGTTTTCCTGCATACACTTCTGTAATATCAACTGTAAAAATCAACACACTTTGTACTTGCCAAATGGGAAGTTATCAAGACAGAAGCTGGCATTCTTTTCGGCAGCAAAATACCTTATTCAGACTCAGCTCCGCCACTAAACTGGCCAGGCAGGCTTTCTCCTGGCAGACTCTCAGAAATATCAGTATTCCTTTCTCTCTTCGCTCTCTCAGAACTTCCACTCCCAGGAAGGAAATAACCACGCTATTTGCAAAAGATTAAGATGTTCATTTTACTATGTAAAAGATGTCTCCATGCCATAATTATCATTGTAAAAGAAGTATATAATAAGAATAATAATTTCCTGTTTGTCCCATCAATTGAGATTTTCATGTTCTTTGATAAGTAGGGTGAAGATTTTGCTGAAAAGAAAATGATGTTAATATTAGAGGTTACCAGGAGTGAGACTTGTTTTATTTTAATGCTGTTTATTTTACTTTATCTCTTTCCAATTCTGGCAAGGAAATGAGAAATTGTTGTCTTAAAAATTCAATGTCATATCATTTCAGCTCCATTGGTTTTTGGTAAATAACTTGTTGCTGAAGAGAGAGGTTGCTGGAAGACTCTCAGAGTCAGTTCCATTTTAACCAAGAACTGCTAGCCTTGATGTGGGTTGGATCATTTTTGAGTCTGAGGCTAAATGCCTTCTTGGTTCCTTTTGAAAAAATACTGATTTAAGGGGACTGATATTGTGTCATCACTATTCAACAGCTTAAAATAAACGGTTAAGAATCTGGAAGTGTGGTTGAGCATTGCCTGTGCTGGCATTGTGTAAAAGAAGGAGCTGTATTTAATTTGTATACTTGAATTAAAATGAGATCAAGAATTCTCCAAAGTGTAACCAAACAGAATTGCCTACAGTCTTATTTTGATAACTAAATGATAGATGATTTCTGTTATTATGTTTGCCACATTCTTAATAATACTAATAAATTGTGTGCATTTTGGAAATTTCTTTTGGATTAGGACAATGGAAAGCTCTGCATCTTGCTGCTAATGGTCAGCCTCTAAAAATTCAGAGAGAGGAAGGATCACAATCCATGTGTAGTGTATACAATGTATACAACAGTGCAAAGATGAACTACAAACACCACTCAAGATAAATTATTATATGTTTCCACACTGATCCATGCACTGGTCATTATACATCTGAACTCCTAAAGTAGTGTCATAATCAAGGGGTAATTCTTGAAGATAAATATGGTGTCACCAACCTCAAAAGTGGAATGACCACACAGAGGACTAACTTTTGATTAACTTGAGGAGGCAATTTTTTTTTTTTTTTTTTGAGACGGAGTCTCACTCTGTGGCCAGGCTGGACTGCAGTGGTGAGATCTCAGCTCACTGCAACGTCTGACTCCCTGGTTCAAGCGATTCTCCTGCCTCAGCCTACCGAGTAGCTGGGATTACAGGCGTGCGCCACCACACCCAGTTAATTTTTGTATTTTTAGTAAAGACGGGGTTTCACGGTGTTGGTCAGGATGGTCTCGATCTCCTGACCTCACGATCCACCAGCCTCAGCCTCCCAAAGCGGTAGGATTACAGGCTTAAGCCACTGTGCCTGGCCTAGGAGGCAAATTTTTACCCTCCAGCCTGGGCTTAACTTTACCCAGTGGCCAACTTTTTGAGTCCAGCAGAGAATGATTGATTAAACTTTATAGAGTTTGGAATTTTATAAGAAAATAAACAGGGACCAAGTAAAAGCATACTAATGACTTAAAATAAATTTTCTTCACATTTGAAAAAAAACAAAGCAATATCTATAAGCCTCTTTAGTGACAATGTTTTGTATGAGAGGGAATAATATAATTATATCATATATATTATAATAATATAATTATATCATATATATTATAATAATATAATTATATCATATATATTATAATAATATAATTATATCATATATATTATAATAATATAATATCATATATATTATAATAATATAATTATATCATATATATTATAATAATATAATTATATATATATTCCCCAGCTTAAAAAGTATACATAAAACTCATTCATTATAGTGATCATATTAAACAATTATAGTTGCTTCATCAGACAGTCAAAAGAACAGATTGCTCTCCTTTGTTTCTGAAAAGTTATGTGCCATTATTCTTAGTGATTCTAATAAATTAGACATATGTCAAACTCAGTTTGAGGCAGGTATATGTACTCATACAGGACAATTGCCCTTGAGTTAGTTATCATTGGCTTCCTCTGGGTTTATAAAGGCCAGCTCTCAAAACCACTGACTCATTTCAAAAGAGCATCCCATGTACTCTAATTTAGATTTAGGAAAAAGCAGGAAACCAGTGGTTTTAGTAATTTAGGAGCCATAACAGTTTTCCCAAAGCTGAGCTTAAATTAGATAAGATTGTATTGTCATTATCATCAGCGCCAACAGAAATTCAAACACCACTAATTCATTCCATTAGACTCTTCTACGGTCAATTAAATAAGATCTAATTAGCAGGTGATATTGCGGATTTTATGTGCAAATATACCCAGCCAGACATGGTTTTACAAGTTATATTAAATATTTGAATCGTTGCTAAGTTGCTTATTAGGTACCAGATTTTGGAAACTGCTAGAAGGGGGAGATTAACGTTTTGGAACCATATTCTGAAGACTATACCCAGAGGGCTGTCATAACCAATGTTGTTTTATAAGAGTGTTCATAGATTTGTGCCGCCCTTTGGTGAACCACAGAAGAGAATAAGTCATTGTGTTATGTAATACACAGTGGCTTCAACAAGCCATCAAGACAATTCTTAGAAAGGACCTCAGATTTTTGGTCTTATTGAATAACTCCATGATTGGCACTCAAGAACACAATAAGAATACTGCTACATCCTAGAAGAGAGAAACATAACTATATTCTGAGGCCAAAGATTTTGGTCTACTGGGAAAAAAAACAAAAATCAAGAAACCTCATGTAGTAGTTAAAACATGAATTATTAGAGTCATCCAGGTTTAGGTTCAAATCTCAGTTCTACATGTTTTAAGTAGCGTGATTTTGGTCAAATCACCAAAATTTTCTGATCTTCTGTTTCTGTATCTGTTATATGAAGGTGTTCACAGTACTGGTTTACATTGTTATTGTGAGCATTGAATTAGATGTGTAAAGGACTTAGCACACAATAAGGTGCACTCAATAAATTATAGCTATTATGATTTCTTATTCCCAAGATTCCTGGAATAGAATGTGGCTTTAAAAAAAAAATGAAGAACACTGTATTCCTGCAGAAAGGGAAAAATGGAGATTTTAGTTCATTGTGACTTATTGACCTCCAGGGAATCGTTTACAATTTATGTGGGTATGTTGAAAATGAGAGCTGTGCCAGTCCTCTCAACTCAACAAATTGCGGCTGGTCTAAGCTGGTGCAAAAGGAAGGACTGTTTCCTCTGGTAAGAGTCTTAACTCTATTTAAGATAAGTCTGAGTAAGCATTCTACTTAATAGTCAGTCTTACTAGTTAAATACCAGCTATAAAAATATGTATATAACCCAAAATAAAAGTGTTTGATGTTTGGGCATTATCCTTATCATTTGCAATGACATTCATAGGATGCGTTACGAATTATCACTGCCATAGTTTACACGTGAACCCAGGAAAAGTCTAACTTGCTTATCTTAAAGTTACTTGGTTTTATCATCCATCCTTTATATATTTATTTACTTTGTAGCTTTGCTTGGTTAAAAATGTAAATGAATACAACACAGATTAAGTCTATGGATTTATGAGAATGGATATATCATTAGATTCTTTCCAAAGTGAGTGTTGAGTTAGGTATCTGATGGAATAGAAGGGTCATTCAAGGTAAGGGGCTGACTCAAAGTGTTTCCATAACAAGCCCCAAGTTTTATATTTCATTGTAATGTTAACTGTAGAAGTCAGATGCTAAAGTAATTGCTTATCCCCTTACCCCTCAATCAACCTTGTTTGGCAACATTGTAAAATGAAGCATGCGTATACAAATGATGGACCCCATTGAGATTCCGGTTCAGAAGGAAACAGTCTGCCTCAGCCAATGCCTTTAAGATCTGTGAGGTCAATTTTCTGGGAAATTGAAGAATTGTCTGTGAATTGACATTTGTGTCTAGGCACAAAGCATTTCTGTATAATCAGAATGACTTGTAGAGTAAAGAATAGATGGAGAAGATGGTTCAAAAATGTCAAGAGGATCATAGAAAGTGAAGAAAGTGAATAAACTCCAGAGGGCTACTCCCTGAAAAAGCACATGTATAAGAGAGGTTCATTTTGCAGTGAACAGTCTGACATATAAGACATTAGTATGAACGGAAAGAGTCTAAACTAGACCAAACTCACATAAAGGCATGGTATACCACGTACAGAGTATTTCCTAAAATATAATGAAAGGGACTCATTGGGGATGAAGATATAGTCCATGCAGGTTTGACTATGGCTTATATGTAATAACCCATGCTAAATTCAATTTTAAAAAATCATTCAGAAAACAATTGCAAAAGGCATGGGCCATTTGATTTGATCTTATCAATTTAGAACGTTGACCTAAGTTATTACAAAATGCTGTGCAATAACCTAATGGAAGAATGATATTTCCCCCTCCAATTGAGAGTTAAATATTTTCTAGATTATACTTTATAGGCAAGAATAACATGTATGATGGAAGATGGTAGAAGTATGCATTTCTGACGTAGAAACACATCAGTGGTACTACCCTTAGGTTTGAGAAATACTAATTAGTCTCTGTGCCAAGGTCATACTTTAGAGGACCCAATTCTGTCCCTTGTCTGGATGTACCCTTCCTCATGAAGCAGAGAGAATAAGGGAACAGGCCCTCCTAGGAACTATGCTTCTTTTCTAGACTATATATTCCAGGCATCTAGAATCAGTGAATTTCTTGCCCTAAGAGCTACAGCCTAGTTCTAGGTTAATCCTCCAAGACCATCACCCATGGATATACCCCATAACCCTAGGTCCAGGTAGACCAAGGTAGCTATAATGTATAAGGGTGGAGACGTTGAGGAGTGTAAAAGGATCTTGCACCTTATAGGTGAATAGCTGTAGAGGCACACCTGCAAGTACCCTCACGGTTGCCGCAGAACCAGAAGTAAGAGACACACCAGGTGAGCCTACAGCCAGGCCCTAGGGACTGTCACTTCCTTACTCCTATGTGCTGACGGGAAACTGCAAAGAATCTGAGAATTCTAAATTCGAGCTTGATTATCCACATCGTTAATAAGCTATAAGCTATATTTGTCAAGACAGTTGAATGGAAAAGATTTTATCTAATCATTTTGACTTGGTTTATAATTTAAATATTTAGATATACAGTATATGGCCTTCCATATTCTCACCCTGTATCCCACAGATGTTAGGAAACTGCATTCTTCTTGTTTGCATTTGTCTTTGATCCAAGATAATTGATCGTTGGTGCATTCAGAGGGCAGCTAGACCAAGCAGAAGGCTTTGAGGGACTAGAAAAAGCTCAAAACTTATTCATATCTCTCAAATAAAATACAAGAAAAGGCCAATCTGTTCTTTCAGGATGTATCTAGGCACTGAGGAAACAATATTTTCCAGACCTGTGTCTCCAACTCATCATGTCTATTGACGGTAAGAATAACTATTGATAGGAAGTCAAGCAAAGTTGTATATTTCCAGTAATTTTTTTTCACCTCATCTCTGAAAACCAGAGAGTGATATTTTTGTTGATATAGTCTTCACTGATTTAGTGCCAGAACTCATGAGAACTAGTTTCTGTTGCTGAATTTATTTTAGTTTATGTGGCTGAAAATGCCTTAAGGAGTTTGGGAGATTTTTTTTTTTTTCTGATTTTGAGCATGATACACAAACATTTTAAAGTACTCTTTACATTTGAGGTTGGATGTTAACATAATTTCTCCTATAAGAGTCTTGAAATCTGCATGACTGATGATAATTATTCTTGATGTCACCTTCTGAAATGAAGCAATGGAATCGAGGGGCATGTTATGACAATGGTGATTAATGGTTTTTCCTCTGAGCACTACATCTTGTCTTTATGTTTGCTCTGGCAGGGAAAGATTTAACTGGATAACTCACTTCCCTAGAAGGGTTTTTAGTTTTCAAATGAAAAGAGTAGCCATGAACCTGCCTGTGCATCCATTAATATCTTCAAAACACAGGACCTCCATTTTTGTTTTTCATTGTCTTCCCAATGCACAGTATGCTCAGCACTAATAGGGTTTATAAAACCTGTGTTTTGCCCCACCATTGTGCAGCACCTTAGAATCGTAAGCCTTAATACTGTAGCATGAAGAAGAAAATCAATAATAGCATTGGAAAAATTCCCATCATTTTGCTTGCATTGGATTAAACAGATAATTTAGTTGTTCATAGAAGCACAATCCACACATACCCTGCCTCTTATAAATCTGAGACTCAATAATAGAGGTACTATGAGTGAGTATCTGACTCTTCCGCAATTAAGATAATACTAACATCTCATACTAATTTTTGCCTCGTGGTTCAAAATGTGGACTTTGCACATGTTGATTTGTCAAAAGTGGGCTTATTCTCTTCCCTTTGTCAAAGTGGAGATAAATCCTTATTTTGATTCCTCTGTTTGCCCCCAAAAGACAGCCGAGTTTTGATAGCGACTCTGCCAAAATGCACTCCCATCTGTAAAATAAATTGGGAAATTTTTTTCTTGTAAGTCTTATTAAAGAGAAGCATTGAAATATTTAAGGACTTTCAAAAAAATAAACAGTCTAGGTTACTTTGTTCTACGCTTTCATCTGTTTCAACTAGATTAACTTTAAGCTCTATAAGAAAAGTATTTGCCTGCTTCCTAGTTCTAAAACTTTGTAAATATTTGCTAATCTTTGTTGAATAAATCATTTAACTTTCAGCTGAATTAATAGTTGCTGACCATTTATACAAGATATTGGCAACTTTTTTCTTTAAAGGACCAGGCAGTAAATGTTTTAGGTTTTGTGGGCTACATGTGGTCTCTGGCCACAACTACTTAACTACAGCATTGTAGCTTGATAACAGCCGTGGATACCGTGTAAACACATGCATATGGCTGTGTTTCAATAAAATATTATTTGTAAAAACAAGAAATTAGTTTCCAGACTCCTGATATATAAACCTGTAAAACCATAAGAATGAATACTTTATGATCCTTGACTATCTCACTCATAAATTGGATCAAGAACTTTTTAGAACAGTATCCTGAGGCGTATATAATCCTCAGCAATGGCCACTTGAGGGATTTTTTTGAGAAAATAAACATGTTTTCCAATGGATTATATCTAAACTATATAGCCCATAAGGGTAACAACTGTCCAGAAAGCAACACATTTTTCAGTAAAATGTTAATTATTATTAACGATACCCAATTCTAGATGCTGTGCTAAGTTCTTTGCAAGCTTTAATCTGTTAAAAACCCAGCAAGAATTCCATTGGATGATTTTATTAGCTCATACCACACCCTGATACCAAGTAATATCTCAATAAACTATGATTTTTGACTCTTTCATAAAAAGAACTCCATCTGAAAATAGACAAAGTTGGATGAAAATAATACCCTTTTTCTTTTTACTGTATAACGGTATCAACTTGATAACATAACAAAAAGAGGAAGTTAAAGTGAAATTTTCAGTCTGGATACTTGTTGTCACATAAAGGATCTTTTACTCAACTCTTCATCAAAAAAGTAAGAGAAAGAGAAAGAAGGAAGGAGGGAAGGAAGGAAGGGAGAGAGGGAGAGAGAGAGAATGAAGGAGGGAAGGAAGGAAGGGAGAGAGGGAGAGAGAGAGAAAGAAAAAGGGAAAGAGAGAAAGAAAGGAAAGAAAGAAAAGGAAGAAAGAAAAAAAGAAAAGAGAGAAAGCAAGGAAGTTCTATGAGCAAAACTGTTTACTGGGGGCATTTTGAGACAGGTGGGTTGGGGGATAAAAAGAATATAGTTAAGTAGCTCTCCATATTTAAGCCATTTATAAAAAGCTATATTACAAACAAAAATATGTTTGGTGGAGTAGACTGGAGTTACTTGCATCTGAATGGCACTGGGAAACAACTTTTTCATATATCATATTAATGTAATCATTATAATGTGATTGATGGCAATAGAATATTACATGAAGCTATACAAGAGTGCTATTTTATTTAAAAAAACAAAACACTGAACTGGTCTGAAGTAAGGACAAACTGTCCAAAAATACTGAGAAAGTAACCTAACACATGTTATTCAATGGATTAATACATTAGAAGAACACTACCAATTACTGAAAAGTGAACTAAGTTGAATAGATAGAGCAAATACAAAAATTTTCCATGTGAATCACATGTTTATTTAGAACAATTGTCATTTCAAATGGTTTGTAATCTCTAGGATTTAAGGGATCTGCTTTTATGTGTCTCATCTAAATTTCATGTATTAGCTGATGAAACACGGAGGCCTTTTCATAAAGATATTTGTTTTATCCCTTCTTGAACTTGAATGGGAGAGCATCAATACCAAATTTATCCCCTTTTGAATTTGAATGGGAGAGCATCAATACAAAATTTCACTTTCTTTCTTAGATACCTGCTAACAAATGAGCTTCTTTACCTTTGGATGTAAATAGCTTTCCTGAAGAAATTCTAGTTTAAGAATAACTGAAAGCCAAAGACCATGTCAGTGCTGTGAGCTGAAGGAATGGAGAAGTCTTTTCAGTTTAAAACAAAGTTTGGTGAAGAAGGTTTCAGAGGCATCAATTTGGCAATTGCATTGGCTTCAAAGCAAAATCACAAATTTGAGTTAACTATCACACCTTTCATTTTGGAGCAAAACTGAAGTCTGTATAATTCAGAAAATAGGTGTTTATCAAAATCGACTTTTCAAAATTGTTTTTATGTGTCTCTCAGGTTTTATACATACACATAATATTATTCTGGGTTTTATACATGAACATATATAGTAAAATAATAAGTATGAAAGTTAGATCCAACTTTAGCCAAAGGAATTCTTTGATCTAACTTACTAGGCCTTATCTTGCTATTTCTTACAAACCGGAAACTGGATCTCAGTATAAGTTATAGTTAAAACAATAAATAAATAAATAAGTCATTTACATATGTTAGGAACTCAACTATCATTTTTGGTTAATTTGTTGATTTTAATAAATCCTCTGAAGTAATTTGAACCTCATCTAGGTAAGATATTTACTGAAACATTGTGAATCACTTACCGTAATTAATTTAGGAATTTATTTATGTCTTCCTATGTCAACAGGCAAGTCTGGGGAACAGAGAAAGCCATTTTTTTCCCTATACAGTTATTTGAATAATGTTGTATTTTGTGTTTCTTCGTCAGAGTAGAAAAGTGGGGCATGCTAAGAGAAAGAGTATGAGGTAGCCAGCTCAAAGCTCATTTTTTTTCCCCTCAGCCAGACTGAAATATGCACAAATGTGCCTGTTTCTTTTCTCATCTGAACTTTGAAGGCTGACCTTACAGAGCTAGGGAATTACGGACACCACAAAGAATCAGGTAATAAAGCGAAGAGTGTCTGGGTGGTGTACACACACTTAAAAAAAGAACGTGTCACAATAGGAAGAAAATAAAGAAATGTCTTATAGGCATTTCTATTTTTAAATGATGTCGCACTGTGCCATATAATGAAAGATCTTCAGAACACATAAAATTAGTCATAATGGAAACTCCTTTTATTGAATGGCATGGAAAATGGCCTGGGGCTACTACAGAATAGGCGTAGTCACATGTTATCAGACTGCATTGCTGTCAGCTTATCCAAAATCCAGTATTCAGAGCTGACTTTAACTCTCATAAATCACATTGCAAAAATATTTTCAGGAATTAGCACAAATCATCTTATTGAAATAAAAATGCACCAGCCATAAAAATAATCAAATACCCAATCAATGTTACAATGCAGAGGGGTTTCTTGCCATGTTCCTTTTAAGCAATGGGTTCCTCCAGGGTATTGAAAACGAGTCCTCAATTAATGAACACATACAAGTTTATCCTGTAAAATACATGCAAATGCACAATATTTTTGGTAGAGTGATGAGATTCAGAAGTTTAAAAATTTAAACAAATTTTGATGATAAATTTTAACTGTTGATATTTTGTCATATTTCTTCAAGATCAGAGAGCTTGTTTAGATAAAACTTTACCAGCCACTGTAAGGAACCATACATACAAGCACTGAGTCCCACCCTTAAAAATCTTATGCTCCAATAAAAGAAACAGAAAATATATCATTTAATACACACACAGTGTCACATTCATATACACCTTAGAACATAGACAAAAGAAAATAATTACAAACCGGAAACTGGATTTCAGTTTAAGTTAGAGTTAAAACAATGAATAAATAAGTCATTTACATATGGGAGGAACTCAAGTATCATTTTTGGTTAATTTGTTGATTTTAATAAATCCTCCCAATAGCATCCCAATATAAATATCTGAAGATAAATATATTTCACATGCTGAGAAGCCACTACATTCATGGAAACCTTGATATTATGTAACACTTATTACATTTCTTATTTTAATTATAAAATGTTATAATTTATTAATTCATCTTGATAACAAACTATATTAGTCCATTTTCATACCGCTATGACGAAATATGCAAGATCAGGTACTTCATAAAGAAAAAGAGGTTTAGTGGACTCACAGTACCACATGGCTGGGGAGTCCTCACAATCATGGCTGAGGGTGAAGGAGGAGTAAAGGCATGTCTTATATGACAGCAAGCAAGAGAGCCTGTGCAGGGGAACTGCGCTTTATTAAACCATCAGATCTTGTGAGACTTATTCACTGTCATGAGGATGGCACAGGAAAAACCCACCTCTCAATGATTCAATTACCTCCCACCAGGACCCTCCCATGACACGTGGGGATTATGGGCGCTAAAAGTCAAGTTGAGATTTGGGTGAGGACACAGCCAAAACATATCATTCAACCTCTGGCCCCTCTCAATTCTCATGTCTTCACATTTCAAAACCAATCATGCCTTCCCAACCGTCCCCCAAAGTCTTAACTCATTTCCGCCTTAACTCAAAAGTCCAAGTCCAAAGTCGGATCTGAGACAAGGCAAGTCTCTTCCACCTATGAGCCTGTAAACTCAAAAACAAGTTAGTTACTTCCTAGATAAAATGGGGATACAGGCATTGGATAAATACACCCATTCCAAATGGAAGAAATTGGCCAAAACAAAGGGGCTACAGGCCTCATGCAAGTCCAAAGTCCAGCAGGCAGCCAAATCTTAAAGATCAGAAATGATCTCCTTTGACTCCATGTCTCACATCCAGGTCACACCGATGCGAGAGGTGGGCTCCCACAGCCTTGGGAAGCTCCGCCCCTGTGGCTTTGCGGGTACAGCCTCCCTCCCGGCTGCTTTCATAGGCTGATGTTGAGTGTCTGCCACTTTTCCAGGTGCATAGTACAAGCTCTCAGTGGATCTACCATTCTGGGGTTTCTGGAGGATGGTGGCCATCTTCCCACAGCTCCACTAGGCAGTACTCCAGTGGGGACTCTGTGTGCTCCCACCACACATTTTCCTTCTGCACTACCCTAGCAGGAGATTCTCTATGAGGGCTCTGCCCCTGCAGCACTCCTCTGCCTGGACATCCAGGCATTTCTATACATCCTCTGAAATCTAGGCGGAGGTTCCCAAACCTCAATTCTTGACTTCTGTGCACCTGTAGGTTCCATGCCACATGTAAGCTGTCAAGGCTTAGGGCTTGCCCTTCCTGAAGCCAATGGCCTGTGCTGTACCTTGGCCCCTTTTAGCCATGGCTGGAGCTGCTGGGATGCAGGGCACCAAGTCCTGAGACTGCACAAAGCAGCAAGGCCCTGGACTCAGCCCAGGAAACCATTTTTGCCTCCTACGCCTTTGGGCCTGTGATAGGAGGGGCTGCTGGACATGCCCTGGAGACATTTTCCTCATTGTCTTAGTGATTAGCTTTTAGATCCTGGTTTATGCAAGTTTCTGCTGCTGCCTTGAATTTCTCCTCAAAAATGTTTTTTTTCTTTTCTACTGCATAATCAGGCTGCAAATTTTCCAAACTTTTATGCTGCTTCCTCTTGAACACTGCTGCTTAGAACTTTCTTTCAATAGACACCCTAAATCATCTCTCTCAAGTTCAAAGTTCCACAGATCTTTAGGGTGGGACAAAAGGTCACCAGTCTCTTTGCACAGCAAAAGCGACCTTTACTTCCATCCCCAAGAAGCTCCTCATCTCCATCTGAGACCGCCTCAGCCTGGAATTTATTGTCCATATCACTATCAGCATTTTGATCAAAGCCATTCAACAAGCCTCTAAGAAGTTCCAAACTTTCCCACATTTTCCTATCTTCCTCTGAGCCCTCCAAACTGTTCCAATCTCTACCTGTTACTCAGTTCCAAAGTTGCTTCCACATTTTTGGGTGTCTTTACAGCAGCACCCCACCCTACTGTTACCAATTTACTGTATTAGTCCACTTTCATACTGCTATGAAGAAATACCCAAGAGTGACCGGGCACGGTGGCTCACGCCTGTAATTCCAGGACTTTGGGAGGCCGAGGCAGGTGGATCCTGAGGTCAGGAGATCGAGACCATCCTGGCTAACACGGTGAAACCCCATCTCTACTAAAAATACAAAAAATTAGCCGGGTGTGGTGGTGGGTGCCTGTAGTCCCAGCTACTCGGACGGCTGAGGCAGGAGAATGGCATGAACCCGGGAGGCGGAAGGCGGAGCTTGCAGTGAGCCGAGATTGCACCACTGCACTCTAGCCTGGGTGACAGAGTGAGACTCCATCTTAAAAAAAAAAAATACCCAAGAGTGGGTAATTTATAAAGAAAACTGGGTTTAATGGACTCACAGTTCCACATGGCTGAGGAGGCCTCACAATCATGGCTGAAGGCGAAGGAGGAGCAAAGGCACTTCTTACATTGCAGCAGGCAAGAGAGTGTGTACAGAGGAACTGTCCTTTATAAAGCCCTCAGACCTTATGAGACTTATTCACTATCAGTAGAACGGCATGGAAAAAACCTGTCCCCAAGATTCAATTACCTCCCACCAGGTTGCTCTGAGGACACGCGGGCATTATGGGAGCTACAATTCAAGATGAGATTTGGGTGGAGATGCAGCCAAACCGTATCACAAACTGTTTTGAGAATTCTATACATTGAGTCCTCAAGTGAATTTAAAGTAGTGATTCAGGTCACCACAGCTGCTGCACTTTATGAATCTTTGTCTTTCCTTACTTCAAATTAATAGAATACAGCAAGATCAAAGATGAGCTGGAGCTTTCACTGTCACTATGTGAAGAAAGACTTTTAAAGAGGGAATCCTTAGGGCAAGCAAAGGTTTCATGTACTATTTTGGGCCTGCAAAGCTGATGGAGCCTTCCAAAGTCCATTGCTTTTTAAGCTGTGCTTGTGTACCATGAGTGGGAAACAGACATTGCCTGGAATAAATGTGGGTGGTGGGGGGGCCAGTGGGAAGTGTATAATTATAATAATTATAAAGGCGTTTGAAGAAGGCTTCCAAAATTGGCAACCCAGAAATTGTGACATTTGTATTTGACTGGTCATAAAACAAGAAACCAATGAACTCTACTACAATTTACCAGTTGCCTGAATCTTGCTACATTTTCATTATCACAATGGCTTTTAGCATTTGCTAGAGAGATTATTAAATATTTGTCTAGATGATACAATGGCAAATTCAGAAATAAATGATTCATAACCATTCAGTGTAGCAAAGTACTTATGAGCTCAGTCTCTAGTATGCTATATATCCCTACAATACTTAACTAGTGTCTGTCTGTAGTCGAATTCCTACATTCAACCTTTTCACCTGTAAGAAATTTAAAAAGCTTTAATATCATATGGTGTATTCAGTTATTAATGTAAAATGTAAATTACTGTAAAATGACGATAATAAAAGTAGCTAATTCATGCCGTTATTCTAAGGATTAAATGTGAAAATACATGTAATATATTTGACAAGGATCAATAAATATTAATCATTATTTTTAATTTTATTTATAATATTGCCATAACCACTACTATTCAGTGCAATTGATTTATGTACATCTCTGACAGCAAATAAATTTTCTTCTTTTTTTTTTTTTTTTGAGACAGAGTCTTGCTCTATCGCCTAGGCTGGAGTCCAGTGGCGTGATCTCAGCTCACTGCAACCTCCGCCCACCGAGTTCAAGCAGTTCTTTGCCTCAGCCTCCCTAGTAGCTGGGATTACAGGTGCCTGCCACCACGCCTGGCTAATTTTTGTATTTTTAGTAGAGACGAGGTTTCACCATGTTGGCCAGGCTGGTCTCGAACTCCTGACCTCTTGATCCACCCACCTCAGCCTCCCAAAGTGCTGCGATTACAGTCGTGAGCCACCGAGCCCAGCCGGAAATAAATTTTCTTATACGGAAATCCGGTTCCTTGAATTTTTCTCCCATTAATTTTAATGTAGTGCCTCAGGGTTTATATAAATAAATAAAACCAATCTTGTACATGGTGCATTTGGTTATTAACATGCCCCTGGTGCAACTTTTTTGTTTTGGTTCTGCTCTAGGATATCCTCAAACTTAAATACAAAGAGAGAGAGAGAGTGTGTCAGAGGCAAATGGGGAGAGACAGAGAGAGAGAGAGAGAGAGAGACAGTGAGAGAGAGGAGGAGAGAAAGAAAAGGAATAAAGAGAGAGAAGAAGAGAAGCAGGAAGGGAAGAAGAGGGAGAGGAGAGGCTTTCTATTTTACTATTCTCTTATGTTTTCTAGATATGTCTACATTCTTTAAATATCCTTCCATTGACATGATCCCTTCATTATTCTGTTCAGTTTTTTTCTGACGGTATTTTAATTTTTTGCTGCACCTCTTGGAGATGTTACCCTGTACAAGAGAATTACCCTGTACAGAAACAATTTTCCCAGGTGTTCTAAAGTGTTTAAAAATAACTGTGGAGCATGGCCAAGAGCCTGAGAAGGGAGTAATCAGTTGTCAAATCTGGTCATTGTTGTCCTAGCTGTAGAAGTGTTTCTTTTCCAGTCTCTTTGTGCATGGTCATTTTTTCTCTTTAAACGTAAATTATTAAATTTGTTTGCCATGAAAGTTTAATGGGAAATTACATAAAAATTTGTTGTTTGTTTGCAGGGAGGGAGAGATTTTTTTCTTTTAATGTTAGGAACAAGAGCTCCCAGAATGGTGAGGTGTTGAAATGCATATAAGTAAGTAGGTAATGTGGATAAAGTTTGATCGATAGGTTTGCGCATGTGTTTAAAATAAAGAGAAATAGCAAAGTTCTTGGATAACTTATTATGTCAATTTAGTAGTCAGGAAAATTCCAAGAATGATGTAAAAGAAGTGTGAAGAAACTTTAATTTCTGCTATTTAAGGGGGTAATTTATGTCAAAAATTGTTTTAATTTATTAGAATACAGAACATTGCAGAGATATGAAATTAGGCAATGTTAAATTATCAGATTCCCACATACAAGGGAAATGAGGTGATATTATACTTCCTAAGTAGTTTTTGCACTCAATAATTACTGCTCAGTTAAAATGCAAAGTTTAAAATGATATTAAAGTACAATCTAATTTTTTAAACATTATTATTAATAATTTTATGATAATATTTATGTGTATATAGATTCAAAATCAGAGTCATACACCACACTTTTAGGTTACAGTTTTTAGAAGCTGTTTATAGAGGACTTTTCTAGTCCATGCTAGGTTTTTCTGTAATGTTTAAATAGCATATAATGAATGCACTGTATAACACTTGTGTAATCTGAAGAAAATAAAACAGCTAATACATTAAGTGCATGATTAGTCTAGATTTGTAAAACAATGATTTTTTTTCATTAAACTTAGTATTTATCAAAGGAATAATAATCTAAATTCTGAACTATATTATTACATACAGTCCAAATCTCTTAACCATTAAGCTAAGTTAAGCACCAAGGTGCTTAACTATGAAGTGCTGCTATTCCATCAGAGAATAAACACATCCCCAAAGACCATGGCTTGTGTGTAGCCTCAATATTTGGAACCGATTTAGCCACATCAAAGCCAATTTGTTCAGAAAGAAAAACGTTACCCCCCAAGCTGTGGACTTTCAACTCTTGAGCTCTGCCCCAGGAAATACCCTGGGCAACCGAAAGATATAAGGACACCTGGTCTCCAAGCAACCTGAGTTCCATTTAGCTTGTAGCTTCATAAAGCTTAATGAGAACTGGCTATCTCCTCCACGTTGGGAGAGACTAGGTTCAATGAGAACAGGGTGTTCTGGTTTTTGCACTATGTGAATGAAGAGATTGTAAAGCTGTGTGACTCTGAGCAGCTGCCTGAATCAAGCATTGTGGTTCAAAGGAAACTTCTGGTTACCACATTCTGTGGCTATATGGTTTAATGAAGAATAAACCTTAGAAGGCTGATATCCTACTAACTCCTTTGAAGCATTTTCATTAGTCTGAAATTCTACTGATGCGTGTGCCCTGATGACTGTCATTTATTTCAGGGGCATAGCAGAGTGCTGAAGTTGGCAAGGCCATGGATTCAAGAGCTGCGCTGTCTAGCTTCAAGTCCTGGCCTGTGTGAAACCTTAAGCAAGTTACTGAAACTCTCTACAACTAAGTTTTCTTCCTCTATTAGGTGGGAATACTAATAGTACTTATTTCATGAGTTTCCATGAAGATTAAATGAGTTGATCTTTGTAAAACACTTACAACAGAACCTTGAATATAAGTACTATATCAGTGTTTGTTAAATTTAAACAATTACTCATCGTAACTGTTCCAGGCATTGCTGTGTATCCTGAATATCGGGCGCCATTTCTCAGTTTTCAAATAGTGCTATTTTTTAAATTTAGAAAATGTTCTGTGGGGGTGCAAATGAAGAGCCAATTCATTCTACTCAAGGAAGTAAGGAAAATGATTTCAGTAGAGCTAGCATGAATTTCCCAGCATGAATGAAAGGTAAGGGAGGGGCCTTCAGTCAGAACAATCAACATATACAAATGCAGGGACACATGAAAGCACCCATTATAGTTGAAGAAATAGAAAAAATGTTGGAGCACAAACAGAACGGAGGTGAGTGAAGGTGGATTAGTGATAACTTTTGGGATTTATTATGTGGTGATGAGCAGACGCTGAAGGTTTTGTTAAGTAGGAGAGTGGCAGCAGCAGATTTATGTTAAAGAAAATAAAGCTGGCAGCCACAGGGGGAAAATGTGCTGGTTGGAGCAGGGCAGGAGGCAGAAAGAACCTGGAGGAAGTGGCTAAGGTGAGATATGAGAGTCTCTATTCAGACAGTGACAGTGGGAGTGAAGGCAGTGAAGATTCTTGAGATGATTTGGACGTGAAGCTGATAAAATGTAATGACTGGGTGTCGAGGCAGAAGGAAGAATTAAGAATGAATTACAGTTTTAATAGACAATCTGGGAGTCTCCACAAACCACTGCAGTCTTCTTCTGTAGACTCCCAGGTTTTTCATTAAAACAGGAATTCATCTTCAAAGTCATGTTCATACTTTCAGGTACCACCCTTAAAAGACTAACTGTAGATTAACATCATTTCCCTAGACAAGAACAAATTTTGCTCAGTGGCTTCAGCTCTTCTTAAAATATGTCCCATATTTGTAACTACCTCTTTGCCTTTGCCTAATTGCACTGTGGCTTTGTCTTCCTTCCTTGCTATATATCGTATATTACTATGCTTCTGTTGGTTGAAAAGCAGTCCACAGCTTTAATAAATCATTTAGTGCTCTGATTACAAAATTGAGAGTTTCAGACAGAGAATAAATATTAATTGCATATCACTGAGGACACCCTAAGTCTTTATTTATTTCCAATAATGGTAGCATGTGAATCATTATAAAATCTGTAAAATACATACAGTTTTAATGAAGAGCATAGAATTATTCATGACCCCTTTTTCCAGAGATTAGCACTGTCAACATTTTGCTATATTTTTAGAAGAATCTCACACAAACACACACTCACACATAATATATTGTATCTGATATTATATTTTAATAATTTTAATTATAGAACTAACTCAGATCTGTTTTCTCTTTTTGCTCATATGAAGAATTGTGAGGACATTTGAATTGTGTTTATGTACCAGACTACAAAGTACAGAGTCTAAGACTGGTGAAATCATATCCTAAATATAGTTGTCTTGTGAGAGGGCTGGAATAAATAACTGCATTGTAGCTCTGCCCTATAACTCTTCTTGGAAGCTCTGTGTTTAAAGAGTAAAAAAGGCCAAGAGTGCTAGATGAACAGATGATACTAGCTACCTAACGACAAACAGTTACTTGGAACATGAGGTTCTGTCTACACAATCATGTTTTGCAAAGTGAAAATTGTGTATGACTTCCTACAATAATCTAAATATGTAGATGCAACTAATTTCTTACTGTATTAACTAGCGGAAAAACTTAAAACCTTTCAGGATTTTAGTCATTGGGGCTTGAGATTTCCAGAGAACATAAAAAAGAAAAATCAAGCCATGCCTTTGATGCAAATTCTATAGCAATAATGCAAACATAATATTCCTGGGTTGGACAGAATCCATGGAAAACAAAAAGAGAGGAACAGATTGCTATAATTAAGGGTGCTAATATTCTGGTCATTTTAATTCACAGGATCTGGATCTGGTTTGGTTTGGATAAGAAGGTGAAAAGTAGTAATATTGCTTTAAATCTTAATACTTCACTGCTGGAAGATGATACTTCCTCTTTCTTTAATGCAAACTTCTTTACAGGCAAAATATGACACGTTCATTTTTTATTGCAATAAATAAACCCTTATAGGACCAGCCACAGTGGCTCACTCCTGAATCCAAGCACTTTGGGAGGCCAAGGTAGGTGGATCGCTTGAGCCCAGGAGTTTGAGACCAGCCTGAGCAACATGGCGAAATCTCGTGTCCATGAAAATACAAAACATGAGCCAGGCATGGTAGTGTGTGCCTGTAGTCCTAGCTACCATGGAGGCTGAGTTGGGAGGATCACTTGAGCCTGGGAGGTTAAGGCTGCAGTGAGTCATGATCGTGCCACTGTACTCCAGCCTGGGCAACAGAGTGAGATCCTGTCTCAAAAACAAAACAACAACAAAAACAAACCCTTATGCTCACAGTTCAAAGAGTCTCGTTTGCTACCAAATTGGAAACTGTGGTAAGCCCATGACTTCTGTAGGTTTTGGAATACCATAGTTTTAAAATGATATGTATAATCTGAGGGAAAAAGTTGATATACCTATAAATATTTGTTTATAAAAATAGATATTATACTTCATTTAACATTTGAGAAATAAGTCACATGAGGCCAGGCGCAGTGGCTCAAGCCTGTAATGCCAGCACTTTGGGAGGCCAAGGCGGGCAGATCACTTGAGGTTAGGAGTTTGAGACCAGCCTGGCCAACATGGTGAAACCCTGTCTCTATCAAAAATACAAAAATTAGCCGGGAATGGTGGTGCATGCCTGTAATCCCAGCTACCTAGGAGGCTGAGGCAGGAGAATCGCTTGAACCTGGGAGGCAGAGATTGCAGTGAGCCAAGATCGTGCCACTGCACTCCATCCTGGGTGACACAGTGACATTCCATCTCAAACAAAACAAAACAAAGAAATAAGTCACATAAGTCACATTGTTGAGCCCAGAATGCCAGACATATTCTGAGACGTGTGACTAGAACAAAGCAGGAGATGGCAGGCCCCTGAGGTACCCCCAGTTACCCTTGGGTGGGTCCTCCATGTTTTTCCTAATGCCTCTTTCCAGTTAACCTCTCTTCATTAAATTACATCAAAAGCACAGGTTTTTCCCACATGAGATTATGTAGGGGAAGTTTAAATTAGAAACTTTTAAATTTGTGCAACTGGATTAGAAATTTCACAATACGAGTCTTACCTCTAAATACTTCTTGTTTCTGGTAAGGCTAGAACTTGTCTTTCTTGCCACATTTTGGCACTTCCAGTATTCAATAGAACCAGGAAGTGTAACTGAATATGAAAACAGGGTAGAACAGAAAGAGAAAGAAACATGGAACATAATTTCTGATCGTTGATGTAACTTCGCCCAGGGGCATGGGCAGATGTTTGAGTAAATTCTGACATTCTGTGATCTCGGGAACTCCATATCTGCCTTAGAATATGAGTATGAAAATACTGTGATATGTCTAATAAAGAATTTGACTCTGGGGAAGGTAGGCTCATACTCAATTTAAAGACAGTCCTTTTGCTAAAAAGTAAAGCATTCAATTATATGGATACTGCTAGAAATACATGCAAGCATCTTTATATTTGTTTCTCATAAATAAACTAATAATATGTAGGCGAATGTTTGATAATGTATGTCTGACCTAAAAACACCTTTTTGACTGGTTTGGAGCTTTTCAGTTGCTACAATAGATACTCTGAATGACCTGAAAGAGTTTGGTCCATGTTACAATTTCTTCCCCCTTTCCACAATATATGGCTTTCCCAGGAAAAAATTTCTCGTAAGGATCCACTGTTTTTTATTTGTTGTTGTAAATTTTGGCTGGAAGAATCAGACAATGGCATACCACGGCTGGGGAGAATTCATCCAAAACCTCCCTGCTTAGGGACCCAAGAAGGCTATTAAAGAAAGGCTTAGAAATTTCAGCAACATAGCTCTGGGGCAGTGCACCTTTCCAATGACATTTTCACTAATGTGTTGCCATCTTCCATTTTCCCAGGATATAGTTTCCTTCATGTCTGCATGAGGTTAGGAAAAAAGACAAGGTGCTACCAAAAAAAAAAAAAAAAAAAGAGTTTATGTTTCTATAGCATCTGTTTATGACAGTGTATATAAATAAGAAGAGTTTCCACCCCAGTACAGGACAAGGAAAAATACATCTTTTTAGGAGTTGGCTTTCTGCAAGTGCCACTAAATGAAAGACCGTGGGGGTGGAGCCGAATATAAATGCAATGTCAGAACAAAAAAGAACCACCTACAAAAATCTTTCCTTAAAAAGCATCCATTCCTAAAGAAGATGCATGGCATGTAGGCTCACACACAGATTTACTACCTACCCAACCCAAAGTGGCCTCTGACAATGGCTTCTTCGAGAGAGAATTTTAAAACTTGAGGGTTTTCTTTTGTTGTTGTTAAAAAAAAAAAAAAAAGCAAATTACATGACTCTTAGATATTTTTTGCCAGTCTAAATATTTAATAGGAGTTGGCATGGCAGGGCATGTCATACTACTCCTAAGGTGATGCATTTTTGCAGAACAATTTATTTGAGAATCAACGTTCAGCAAGACAAGATTAATTCCTAAGACCCTCAGCTGTTAAGAAGGGCATCAATCATTCTGCATGTTTATTTATATTAACATCTTGAAATAGATATTGTTTTTGTTTTGCACACATATATAAATATTTAAAAATATGACTACACATATGCATAGGCATATGTGAGTATAGTAATATTTTTGAATGCATGGGTGTGCGAATTGGATGGGATGCTTTTCCATTTACAGGCTCCATGGCAATGGATGCAGGAGTATACCATCCCTGGCTCCCTGGCAATAAATATTAGAAATACCTTCCATGGTTGTGGCTTCCAAAAACATCTTCACATATCCCCAAACACTTCCTGGAGAATGGTAACGTCCTGGTTGAGAACTGTTCCATGAACCACTGACAAGCAAGTTGCAGACTGTTTCATTTTGAAGTACAGGTATCTTGAAGCTGGCTTCACTGCTTACAGCATTGTCTCTGTGTCCAGGGGAGGTTTGCAGAGAATTTCTCCATCAGAGAAAAAAAAGTTCAAGTTCGAATTATGGTAAAACTATAAAAAAACAAACTGGAACCTCAAACTTCAACCTAGATAGATGACCCTTCCTTTTTCGGTATTATGTTTTGACGTTTAATGAATTATTTCAAACATTTTAGAAATGTTAGATTTTACTTTCTAAATTTTGTAGATTTCAAATTTCTTTAATGTGGTTTAAAAAATACTCTTCCATTGTATTCTGGGAAAGACAGACACAGAAAATATTAATAAATTAGGGTTGTCTAAAATGGGAGAAATTAGAACCCCTACAATGTAGCAAGCATTGTATTAGATGCTTTGTATAAATTTTTTCTTTGTATCCACATACCAGCCCTGCGTGGCGGATGCTATTATCACCATTTTACACATGAGAAAACTAAGCCAAACGAAGTTTAGGAAACGCTATAAAGTATTAGTAAGCTCTATGTCACTTTTAGAATGCATGGGTTTAAAAGTTAAAGTGTTTCTAACTTTGACACCAATAAAAATATTTATTTTGACACTAATTAAAATGTAAATACATATTCTCCTATCACATTCTCATGGCATCCAAAGATAGCCCCTTCACTGAAATTAGATTTGCTTCGGTTATTTTTAATGATTGCTCAAAAAAGTGTGAAAGAGAAATTATATCTGTTGACTATTCTAGGGCTTTTCAGGAGACTTAGACTATTGCTGTATGTCCTGTGAGTTAAAGATAGAACACAATGTACTATTCTGGCCCAGATGTAGATACACCCAGAATATCACATGGACTCTAGATGTTTGGTAGAAAAACCAAAAAAGGAACAGACTGCATCTATATGTGGCAAGAGTGTAAACACGGTAAAAAGGAAGGGTAAATGATGGACAGCCACTTGCTTGTCACTGCCTGCTCTCCCTCCTCCTTCCCTCCTTTTTTCTTCCCTTCTGTCAATCATTCAAGGAATATTTACTGAGCACCTAGTTAATATCAGGCTTTGTGGTAGTGTCAGTTTGCCCTCTCCCACAAAAGGTTTCCTACTCAGATCATTTTCTCAAATAATCTTTGTCTTCTCTCTGCTCTGGGAGCATGACCTTAGTTTTTCTGATCTTCTCTCTCTGGTCTATCACAAGTTCTGTGCTCCATAAGTACTTTATTGTTAGTTTTATTTTCATTAGTCTGATTTTGAGAACTGCAAAGAGAATCGCTGACTTTCTGCTTATCCTCCGCTACCTCCCTTAAGACCTTCCTCTGAGTTAGAATGTTAAGTCTTGGGAAATGGGCTCGGGTGCCCTTTCTCCCTGCTTTTGTGATACTCTGTGGCTGGAAATGGGGCTCTAGAATTAAGTGAATATGTGATTTTTCCCTTAGTCAGCTAGTACCTCTACATTTTGATTTGCTAAGAAAATGGTCATAGGTTGGGCGTTTGATTTTATGGCTTTTAGGAAGCAAAAAAAATCAGCGACCTTGCTTGAGATCAAGATATAACTTGCTTTTAATGGCCTTCTGCAGAATGATCCTTCTTTCTTTGTGTCTGGCAGATACTCATCACTGTCACTGTCACAGCTGTGTTCATCTTTTCATTTCACTGGGCAAGGTTTTTTGTTTTTTTTTTCTTGTTAATTTTGTTGTTTGGGGTGTCTTGTGAGAGACTGCCACATAAAAGTGTTTTACGCTGCCATTCCTTTGAAAAACACCGATTAGGCAGATTAAATAGATGTAGAGTTATTTATTGCACTTAAATGTTACCCAAGGTAACTGTTCCGCTGCCTATTTACACACAGTAGAATAAACCTAATGACTTAAATACCAGTGTATTAATGAAGCCCTGCTGAGCTGCATACAGCTATAAGAATTATAAGTCTCAACCTAAGAATGTTAAGGGTTCAGCTAATATATTGTCTGCCCTGAATTTAATAGGCGTAAACTGAAGAATATAAAAAAAAAGTTATTTAAACTAAAAATAAAAATGTGTGCAAAACAATTCATTACATATTTCTTAAAGGTTATTAGCCTTTCAGTGATTAATTCTGGCAATTATTTTTAACTTTGTGAACATCAACTTCATAAAAACAGCTGCACTATACATTGGAATTGCAATGCATGTAACATCTCCACTTAGCTGGTGTTTGTAGCTGGTGTTTGAAAGTTTCTTTTGTATGTGTCCTGTGATACTGTGTAATTTATTTATTCCTAGAGACTTTTAAATTGACTTCTGAAGATTGTTTCCTGTATTTATTGTGTCTCCTTTGATTTAAACAAATAATTGTCAATTGTATAACTCACCAATTGCCACAAATTATTTTGAGGGCCAGATATATACACATACGGAAAGTGAGAGTTATTATAGAAGTTTGGTAATAATAATTTTTTTCAAAGAAGACTATACCTTGTAGGACAAGAAAACAAGAAGATCAGGGACTCACAATACAATGCAAAAAATTAAACATGGATCATTATCAACCCAGATAAATTGCAAATAAGAGAATTATCATTTCCCCCATTTAGTGTAGACACACATAGCGGTTCTATACAGTATAACATAGTGGATAGGATTAACTGGAGTCAAAAAGATCTGGGTTAAATCATGGCTCTGCCACTCAGTAACAATTTAATTTTAAGCAGGTTTCTTAACATCTCTCTGACTCAGTTTCTTTATGCAAAATGGTAGTGGTAATGCTTACTTTAAAGGTTTTGTTAAGGATTAAATGAGACTATATTGTATGTAAAATGCTTATAATAGTGTGTGGCACATAGCAAAGTTGTTTTTATTTCATTGCTGTTGCTGTTATAAAAGTTATTTGACTAGGCTGGGCGCGGTGGCTCACACTTTTAATCCCAGCACTTTGGGAGGCCGAGGTGGGTGGATCACGAGGTCAGGAGATCGAGACCATCCTGGCTAACACGGTGAAACGCCGTCTCTACTAAAAATACAAAAAATTAGCCCTGAGTAGTGGCGGGCACCCGTAGTCCCAGCTACTCTGGAGGGTGAGGCAGGAGAATGGCGTGAACCCGGGAGGCGGAGCTTGCAGTGAGCCGAAATCGCACCACTGCACTCCAGCCTGGGCAACAGAGCGAGACTCCATCTCAAAAAAAAAAAAAAAGTTATTTGATTAAATACAGGAAAAGAATAAAAATTATAGTTACCAAAAAGTAGTAAAAGTATTATATGACTATATTTAAATGTACATCCACGTGAGAGGTAACCCTTCATTCTGGGCACCGTAAATAAAGGTATATATATATGAAGACAGGAATAAACAAGGTGAAGCCAATTATTAAAATTTGTGGAAGGCCTAATTTTTGAGTCCTTCATGATTTTATATTCAAACTTTAAAATCACCTAGACTCAAGCCACTGTTAAAATTTAACTGACATTGCACATACATAAATTCAAGTTGTAGTTTTTGTAACAAAGCTTTGTCTTTACCCTGAAATCAGTATTTATTATTTGTTGAATTATTTTTATAAAATAGCCAAAATTATTTAGTTCTCAGTGATTGTTCTACTCACTAAAGAGCAAATGGTCAGGAGTACTTAAAATTCACAACCATGTTACTGACCATACTTTTTCAAAGATCATGGTGGCCCCTTTCACAAGTGATGTTTTTATTACAGTTTCTTCAGATATTATCCAGAATTATCCTGAACAATTTAACCTTTCCTGTAATTCTTTAAAAGGAAGACATAAAGTTAACAAGATTGCCGAATGCTGGGTTGGTGGCCTTGAGTATTCATTTTCCTTGGCATTAAAAATATTTATGTTTAATTACTTCACTAACTCATTATCTGGTGAATATAGTAGATGAAGTTTATTTAGTTAATGTGTATCTTTATCCTAAGATACAATGAATTGTGTAACACGAGACAGTTTAGATTCATTTGGTTTAATTAAGGTAGTCAGGGTCCTTATAAATAGGGCCTGAAATAATGACTCACACTTTCTAATGGTTTCTAGATTACCATAGGTTATTTAAAAATTGCTTTAAAGTCCTTAGGGTACATTGCTTACTAATTATGGATGTCAAATGATAATCGTGTTTAGTAGAAACCTTAGGTAATTTCATTAAATCATGGAATTAACAAATCCCTGTTTGAACATTTGTATACTGTTGGTGGGAATGCTAACTATTTCATCCACCGTGGAAAGCACTTCGTTCCTCAAGGAACTTAAAATAGAACTACCATTCAACCCAGCAATCCCACTACTGAGTATATACCTGAAGGAAAATAAGTCATTCTGTCATAAGGAACACATGGACTTACGTGTTCATTGCAGTGCAATTCACAATAGCAATAGCAAAAACAAATGGAATCAACCTAAATGCCCATCGACGGTTGATTGGATAAAGAAAATGGGGTACATATACACCATAGAATACTATGCAGCTATAAAAAAAAGAATGAAATCATGCCCTTGGTAGCAACATGGATGGAGCTGGAGGAGATTAAGCAACAAAACGCAAGAATAGAAAATCAAATACCACATATTCTCACCTATAAGTGGGAGCTAAATATTGGACTCGCATGATTGTAAAGATGGGAACGATGGACACTGGGGGTCACTAGACAGAAGATGGTAGGAGGCGGGTATGGGCTGAAGAAGCACCTGTTGAGTTCTATGCTTATGGCCTAGGAGATGAGATTGGTAGGGACCCAAGCCTCAGAGTCACACAGTCTACCCATGTAACAAACCTGCACGTGTGCCTTTCAATCTATAAGAAAAGTTGAAATTAAAAAAAAATTCCTTTTCCATTCTTAGGTGAAAATATATGTGACGACATCAAGTAGACCTTTTTCATCCAAGACTGTCATAGGGAAGAACGTGATAGGGAAATTGTTGAAGACAGAATGGAAAATAACACAGACATTAACAGAGCTAATTTTAAGTAGTGTTTCTGTGTATATGTGAGTGCGTAAAGCATGTGTATAGCATGAAAAGTTGGGAAACACATTTGGTGATTCCCAGGAGCAGTCAGACTAGGAGGCTTTTTAGGTACCAACAGGCAAGAGTTCCCAACTCAGCCCTAGTGGTCATTTTCAACAAAATCTGAATAGAAGCACTCACTGGGTGAGGAAGACCACTGAAAATACATGCCATACATCTAAGATATTATTAATGGCATAATTTTAATTTCATCTCTTGAAAATTGTATCATTCTTACAGAATGAGTTTGAAGATGTTTCCAATTGCTGAAACAAGTAGGAAGAAAGAATATGACTGAGTTGGTCTTACATGAAAGAAAGAAGAATTTCTAAAGGTTTTTTTTGTTTTTTTAGGCCCTATAGAATTAATCTGTTACATTTACCATCCTGGAACTTCCTCCCAGAGCCCCAGGGAAACTTTTGTCTGCACATAAGTCTAGATATTAAATAAAACATGCGCCCAGGTATTCTCTTAATCCTTTTAGACCGAGAATCTCAATTTCTTCTATAGCTTTCCAAGAATCCAAGGTTTTTTGTTTTCTTTTCTAAACATCCTACTTTTTATTGTATTTAATAATTCTTTGTCTTCTTCAAACAGAATTTTCAAACAAACTTAAAATGAATCAGAGAATCAGGGCTGGTTCTGGAGAATTGTGGGGTTGATAAAACTTGTCTTGGTCTTTCCTACCGCCTACTAAGTTACCTTCTGCTTCTGTTTGCAGAACATTTGCTGTTGGTTACTGTAAACCTCTGAGTATGGAAATAATGCAGTTCGTGCCAAAAATGAAAGTGTCAAAGGAGCGACTTATGGTCTGGAAGCCATTCAAAAATATCGAAGAGATAGATTCTTCAATGGTGTGAAAGAGGTATAACCTCACAAGATGTTTCTCAGGATCTGGGGTCAGGCGAGGGATTGATGTGTCCCTAGAAAAAAATGTCCATACCAAGCATGGCAGACCAATGGCAATGACCAGTCTCTCTGCCTGGCAGTTGCTTCATTCATGGCAGATGGAAGGTGAGAGACTAGAAGGAGGTAATTTCTCCTTGGTCATTCTCACTTCTGGGAAGGGCTTCACATCAAAACATTCTCTCAGCAGGTTTCACGGTGGATCACCCTGGTTTATGTTCTTCTTCTTACTTTTGACTGTTGGGCATATGGAGGAGTACCTTAAAGACCTTCAGTACAGAACCCCACCTAGCCGACAAAACTCATGGAATAGATGTACTCCTGAAACTGTTATAGCAGTTTAATAACTCAGTTGACAGAAAACCCACAGGACAGACAAAAGGAAGTTTTGCAACTGACCAGTTTAGTTGCCTTATATCATGCTTACTCTTTGTAGCATAGACTTAAATTGTATGGCAAGAATGTAGTTGGAATGAGTAGAATTCGTGGATTTTAGCATTGCAGGATTCTTTATTTTTTTGTTTGTTTGTTTGTTTCTTTTGTTTTGTTTGTTTTTTGAGATGGAATCTCGCTCTGTCACCCAGGCTGGAGTGCAGTGGCACGATCTTGGCTCACTGCAACCTCCACCTCCCAGGTTCAAGCAATTCTCCTGCCTCAGCCTCCCGAATAGCTGGGATTACAGGTGTGCACCACCATGCCCAGCTAATTTTTGTATTTTTAATAGATATAGGGTTTCACCATGCTGGCCAGGCTGGTCTTGAACTCCTGACCTCGTGATCCACCCACCTTGGCCTCCCAAAGTGCTGGGATTACAGGCATGAGCCACCACACCCGGCCAGCATTGCATGATTCTATGGAGCTGGAAGGTTGAGGAAATCCTACAGTGGAGGATTCATGGCTGCATAAGTCAGAGGGAATTCAACTGGCTATACTTCCTTGTAATAAACATATGAAAATGCCTGCTTTTGGCTGCTGTATACATCAGCTGTGGGCAGTGATTAACTCCTGGCCTCCTCTACTTCCACTCATGCCGTAAGAGGAGGGGAGAAAGAATCTTTACCAGCTATAAAGTAAGACATATAAAACAAGGCTAACAAAGCACTGTGTGTCAAGTTGCAGCAGGAGTGATGGCAAATACATGGGAATGAGTCAATGTCGGATTAAAACAAAGAATGTAATTCATGGAAACCTCTCCAATGTGCATGTTGGGATGTGCTAAACCGTTGACTTGAGTGGATTTGTAGCAGCATGTGAAGGTGATTTACATAAATGTGAGCTCATGCCCAGAACACAGATGTGACTTGCAAGTTTACAACCCTGGGATCATGGAAGCTGCACACAAAAGCAAACACAATTGATAGTAAACAAAACATTACTCCTTTTGACTCTTGTTAAATATTTAGTGAACTCCAATACTATGCTGCTGGGATGAGACTTGAATTAGTTGGCCCCACTAGTTGAATTTCTCTTAAGGGCAAAGCCTGTGCCCCCACCCTTACCTGAGAGTGAAAAGATTATGTTGTTGCAAATGAGGCTTGTAACTTGGATTCAACTCAAATGGAAGAGTTCAGGAATGTAGACAAAAATAGCAAGTTGAATCAATCTGCCTTCTAGAAGCCTATTTGGTGTGTCCACCTATAAATGACCTGCCCACACCTCAAAAATCAAAGTATAATTGTTCCTCTTCAGTTCACTCTTCTCTCCTGACTCTGTTTCTTAATTCAACCGTGCTGTGATTTTTCCAGCCACCTTCTCTCTTCCCATGATTTAAACAGTTGCTGAGTCATAAACATTTCTCTTCTGCCATGTCTCTGGAATTGATCATTGCCTTTCCTTTCTAAAGTCTTTCTTACCCCTCATCTGAAATATTGCCATAGGCTCCTAATTGATCATCCCATTTCCTGGGATTTTATTCCTTTAATCAGTTCTATGTTTTGTGTGGGGGTTTTTTGTTGTTGTTGTTGTTTATTTTATTTTATTTTATTTTATTTTATTTATTTTTTGAGATAGGGTCTCCGTCTGTCGCTTAGGTTGGAGTCCAGTGGTGCAATCCTAGCTCACTGCAGCCTTGACTCCTGGGCTCAGGTGATCCCTTTGCTTCAATCCCCTAAGTAGCTGGGACCACAGTTGTGCACCACTATTCCTGGCTAATTTTTGTAATTTTTTGTAGAGATGGAGTTTTCCTGTGTTGCCCACGCCAGTCTGAAACACCTGGGCTCAAGTGATCCACCCACTTCAGCCTCCCAAAGTGCTAGAATTACAGGTGTGAGCCACTGTGCCCAGCCATCTCTATGTATTTGACACTTAAGTTTCCCACAAGGCACTATGGTTATTAGAAAAAAAAAAAAAAAAAAACTTCAGTCGTTGCTCAGAACCTTCTATTTCTGGTAACTTTTCCTTGGCCTACCATTTAAAATCTGCAAGCTACTTTTCCAGTTGCATTCCCCATTAACGTCTAAATTTAGCTTCCCTGGAACAGGGTTTCTCAAGGAGGCACTATTTCCATATTGGACTAGACAATTTTTTGTTGTTGGGGTCTGTTCTGTGCATTGCAGAAAGTTTAGCAGTATCTCTGGTCTCTAGCCACTAGATGCCAAGAGCACCAACTGCCCAGTTGTGACAAACAAAATTATCTTCAAACATTGTGAAATGTTCCCAGGGGGCAAAATTCCTGCCCTAGACAAAATGGGTTTCTTGTGGTTATCAAGATATGCTTTAGGTTTCTTATGTCTACATGTGTGTTTGTAGTGGGCCATTTGCTTGGAAGGTCTTCCCTACCACATCTACCTATTAAAGTCATATCCATCATTTGTGGTTTAACACAAGGCTCCTTATTACCAAAGTCCTCTCATTGTTTTAACCACTGTCCCTTAATACAAGTGGTTTCCTTTGGAATGACATAACATTTTACATATTTCTTTTTATTTATTTACTTCTGTATTTACTTTGGGGTTTTCTGGTTTTTTGTTTTTCATCTTTTATTTTAGAATTGGGGTACATGTGCAGGTTTGTTACAAAGGTATATTTCATGATGCTGGGGTTTGGTATACGAATGGATCTGTCACTTATGTAGTGAGCATAATACCCAATAGGTAGTTTTTCAACCTTTGCCCTCCTCCCTTCCTCCCCTCTTGTATTCCCCTGTGTCTGTTGTTCCCATCTTTATGCCCAACACTTTACATGGTTCTTAAAACATTTATCTTAATTTTTACATTTTTCTTTTAATTTGGCTGCTAAAAAATTAAACACAGAAGCAAAGTTCTGGCCTTTATTTAAATGTATAAATATTTATAGCCTGACTTACGTAAGCTACTCTATATTTTGCTTGAACTTTACTTTCTCTCTTTTTTTTTTTTTTTTTTTTTGCCCCTAACAAGCCTATTGGATCTTCTTGTATGAAATTTTTATGGGTATATAAGTACTAAAGTAATAGTCCTTATGTAATTAGCTCAAAGTTATCTCACTGATAAATGCAATTATATGATGCTCTCTTTTATCAAATGTGATAGAAAATAAACCACAGCCTCTTTAGAGAAAGAAAAGAACATACACAAAAACTAGAGCTGGCTGGATCTTAGGAGCCATCTGGTCCTTCATCGTCCCCTTTACTTGAGGTAACGGGAATAGGAATATTGGAAGGACAAATGGCTTTCCCCAGGTGGTAGATCCAGTCTCTTACCCACGGGGCCTGCTCAGAATTTGTTGCATTAGACTAGTTGTTCCTCATGTGGGGTCTTCAGACCAGCATCATATGCACAGCTTAGAAACTTATTCGAAATACAAATCCTCAGGCCCATCCCCAATGTACTGAGTAATGCCAGCGCTTTGGGAGGCCGAGGCAGGTGGATCACGAGGTCAGGAGATCGAGACTACCCTGGCTAACACGGTGAAACCCCATCTCTACTAAAAATACAAAAAATTAGCTGGGCGTGGTGGTGGGCACCTGTAGTCCCAGCTACTCAGGAGGCTGAGGCAGGAGAATGGCGTGAACCCGGGAGGTAGAGCTTGCAGTGAGCCAACATTGCGCCACTGCACTCCAGCCTGGGTGACAGAGCGAGACTCTGTCTCAAAAAACAAAACAAAACAAAAACAAAAAACAAAAAACCTCTGGGGATAGGGCCCATCTATCTGGGTTTGGTATAGTGTGGGGGTCCTCAAATCTGAGCTTATCAGGAAAATTTGGAGGATCTGTTCATATAGACTGGTTATTTACCACGTGCCATATTTAGTGAAAGTTAAATTGTTGTGGATTCTCAAGACCAGATTGTGAAAGGCAGCTGCACTCAATATCAAATTAACAACCTGACCTATTTCTTGAAATGTAAAACTTAATCCAGAGATCCTCTGTTTAAACAATAAAAATGTTTACTCTAATATGGTAGTTTCTGTTCCATCTTAAGATAGCATAATAAGTTTGCATCAAGTTTAAAATAAAGATCTAAAATTTATTTGATGTTGATTTTTCTCATGTACTACAGGGAGCAGAAATTCTAAGATTAGGAATGTGAAGTCAGGAGAGAGAGTTGAAAGCATGTTAAGCTTTCGTCTTAGTGAAGAAAATAGATATAAATGCTAACAAGTCATAGGCATCTTCAGAATGATTTGTTTTAATACAATGTAAATATAAGACAGCCACTAAAATAAAAAAAAGTGTATTTATAAGCCAGTAAAAGAAAAAATAAAGGCAAATATGTCAATACAGTAATGACTAGGAAAGAAAGAAAGAAGAAAGGAAAATACAAAACATGTCAGTGTTTATAATAATTATAAATGTTCTTCTCAAATTTCATGTTTCTCTTTGTAGAAAATATTAAAATATAAAAATGGCATAGAAACGTAGAAAAATGAAGGAAGACAAAAAAAGTTATACTGGACCAATACCAAGAAAACTGAAATAGCATTACCATATTAACATCTGACAAAAAATAATCTGAGATAAAAAGTAAAAAGAGGGTTATTTTATTTGGTAAAGTTACAATACTCTAATAAGATTTAACAATCATGAACATGGATGTACCTAATAAAATATCAATAAAATATACAGGAAGCAAGTGCCATACAAGTAAAAATAGAATATTAAACCATCATGGTAGAGACTTAAACATACTTACCTCAATACTCAAGAGATTAAACAGATAAAAAGTATTTAAACTTTTGAATATTTGAATTATACAGTTAACAGCCATATAGATATTTAAAATGTGTACCTAACAAAAGGAAATGTACTTTAATTTCAAATAGCCATGACATATTTATTAAAGTTGGCCATTAGATTTTAAATACAATAATATATTTCATATTTTCTGACACAGTTCAATAAAACTAGATAATAAAAATAAAAGGAAAGAGATAGCCTCCTTTCACAAAAATAAAACAAAACAATAAATAAATATCCAACTGGATGTATTAAAATGTTCTTTAAAATAATCTTTGGGCTATTAAACTACTTAGAAATTTTTGAAAACCATGAGAATGCAACGTGCCAACACCTATGATTTTAGTTCAAAATGGTACTCAGATAATATTTTAGAGACTTTAGTGCATTTATTATTGAACAAAAAAGAGTATAGGAAATATCAACTATGTGTTTAACTCAACAATCATGGATAAGAAACAAAAAGTTATATATTTTCATTGTAGAAAATATTAAAATTATAAATAAGTTATTGGAGAAGAAATAAGAATCACCTACAATTATTTTTTTCTTCCCCTGTAATTATGACACATATAATGGACATTATTTTTTTCCTCCCCAGTAATTATAACACATATAATGGACAATAAATAAATCAGGACAAATGCCCCAAATTGTGTGATGTCTCTACAGTTTCAGGGCTGAATTTCTCCTTTGATCTTACCAAAGTCACAAGAGAGACTCAAGAATGAGGACTGTGACAATCGCTATGGTGTGCCTTTAGTTTCATGCATGTACACATAGAAGTTGTGTGTGTGTGTGTGTGTGTGTGTGTGTCTGTGTCTGCATGTGTTATGGTGAAGTGATGGAAAAATTGAACCTCCTCAAACCTCTTTTCAGGAATACTGCTTTCTTTTTAACAGATTTTTGCAAAGGAAAATAAATGATTCATTTTAGCAGATTTGCCAGAAAGATTTCAGTGACATGAATATTTGGTAAAGATTTGGCCTGCAGAATGAAGTGATGAAAACAGCAAGGGAAAAAATATACCTAAAGAAGTAGTAGGAAAAGAATCCCCTGAAGTCCATTGAGGAAAAAACCACCTTGGACACAATGTAAGAAAAAAGGTTTTCTTATATAAGGAATCCTGATAGAAACACTACTAAACCTCTGTCAAACAGCAGGACACTCTGGTTTGGCTAGAAGTTCTGGGAAAGGCCACCTCCTTCCTATTGGAAGGCAGTAGTTTTGTTTTTGGTAAATAAAGTCATTTGGTTCAGCAGAGAGCATCTAAAACACTGAAGGCATTTCTTGTCTGGACATTGATTCTACTAGGATGTAGGCCAGAAGACTACACTCTTCAGAAGAATGAGAATAAGAAGTAACTAGCATGTCCAAACAAGCTGTGAAATCTTATCCCTCCTGCTCCCTGAATAGAGTCCAATGCCCCAAGATAAAGGAAATCCACTCTGTAATCCGATAGGCTTGTTACTGAGCATTTTGCCAAGAACAACACCTTCCCTTCACGTAGTGCCAGGGTCCAGGTGCATAAACTCCAGCCTTATAAACTCAAGTACCAAAAAAAAAAAAAAAAAAAAAAAAAAGAGTGAAACCTCTTGACATTTGATAAAATGTGACTATGGATTTTCTCAGCAAGGATGGAGAAGAGTGTGCTTACATGTACTGCACAAACACTTTACTGGAGGTCTTTTGCCTTGATTGCTAAGGTCAGAGGACAAACATAGAAACTCAAAATTAGGTTACTGTAATTGTTCTCATTCTCTCTCATGCCTCTGAGAGCTCCTTGACAAGCCTACCTTTGAATCTCCAACACCTCTCATAGTTCTAGGCATTGGATGCTTGGTAAGCATTTTTCAAAATGAGAAAAGCCCTTTGTTGTTGTTGCTGCTGTTTGATGGACTTAAGTATTTGGAATTTAGGGTAAAAACTGTCTATATCAGAAAATAAAAAATTGCTACTACAAGTATAAAATAATATATATAGTGCTATATCATTTGTAAAGCACTTTTACATAAACTATTTTCTTTTAAATCTCACAAATTCCGTTTTTATTTTTATTTTCTAGTTTGAGCCAAACAAGGCTCAAAATTTTTAAGGAACTTGGGGAAGGCCGCTTTTTTTCACAGCCATTTCTCTGTAGAAAATGAATGAGCTTGCATATAACATTTTACTAAGTGGAACTAAATATATTTACTACAAAATAAAAAGGGGAGACATCAAACCTGTTGCACAAAACCTGTAGAAGTTCATCTGAGAATTTCTTAGAATTGTAGATTTCCTTAGGAAGAATATATGTTAAATCATATACACACACGTGTGTGTGCACATGTATATAGACATACATATGTACATATATATGTATATATATGATTATATTTAACGTGTATAATCAAAATTATATTTTTTCAAAAGTTGTGCTACCAAACAAAAAAGGTGTCAGTGGTCCAGAGGGCTGGACCAGGAAGTAGGTAGGGAGCTGGACAGAAGTAATATATATTGAGCACTCAATTTCCAAAATCTTGAAAATTAGTAAAATTCTTCTCTAAGAGTTAGAGAGAAAATCAAGGCATGCTGCATCAAAACAGAGATAGGCAGGTCCTTTAAAAGACACAATAACAAAGACAAAAGATGCATGCAATCTAAAGAGAACTTGGAGTATACATAAATATATAAAAATCAACTCAAACATTTAAAAAATTAACTCAAAATGAATTAAAGATTTAAATGTAAAACTCAAAGCTATGAAACTACTAGAAGAAAATACAGGGGAAATGCTTCATAATATTGACCTTGGTATAATTTTTAACAATAAGATCTCAAAGCACAGGCAACAGAACAAAAATAGACAAATGGAATTACATCTAACTAAAAAGCTTTTGCTCAGCAAAGAAAACAATTAATAGAATGAAGAGACAACCTACAGAATGGGAGAAAATATTGGCAAACTTTACATCTGACAAGGGATTAATATTCACTTGTATAAGAAACTGGACAGCAAATATATATGTACTCGAGTTGAGAACCTCAACTCTCCCTCCCTGAGGAGTTTTGGACCGTGTTTTTTAAAAAATCTTTGGCAGGTATAGGGCTGAGAGGCAGGAGGTCACTGATTAGGGCATGGGAGATACAAAATTGGGATACATATATATATCCCAATTAAAAAATGGGCAAAAGATCTTAATAGACTTTTCACAGAAGAAGACATACAAGTGGCCACCAGGTATATGAAAAATACTTAACATCACTAATCATCAGGGAAAGGCAAACCAAGACCACGATGAGATACCACCTCACTCCAGTTAGAATTGCTATTATCAAGAAAAACAAGAGAAAACAAGTGTTGGCGAGTACGTGAAGAAAAGCAAGCACTTACACAATGGTAATGGGACTGTAAAATTAGTACAATCACTACATAAATGGTACAGAATTTCCTCAAAAAATTAAAGATAGAACGACTGTATGATCCTGGGATTCCACTACCGGATATGTATCCAAAAGAAATAAAATCAGTGTGTCTAAGAGATATCTGCATTCCTATGTTTATTGCACAACTATTTACAATAGTCAAGATATGAAATCAACCTAAGTGTCCAACAACAGATGAATGGATAAAGAAAATGTTCACACACAGAAACACACACACCATGTAATACTATTGAACCATTAAAAAAAAAAATGAAATCTTGTCACTTGTGGCAGCATGGATGGACCTGGAGGGCATCATGTTTAGTGAAATAAGCCAGACATGGAAATACAAATACTGCATGATTTCACATATGTGGAATCTAAAATAAAAGTAACATCATAGAAGCAGCAAGTAGAAGAGTGTTTACCAGAGACTAGGGAGGGGTTAGTAGGGGTAGGGGAGGATAGGGAGAGATTGATCGGTGGGTACAAAGTTACAATTAGATAGGAGAAATAAGTTCTGGTGTCCAATGCCCAGTAGGATGGCTATGGTTAAGAGTAAAGTATTGTATATTGCAACATAGCTAGAAGGTGTTATAGGGCTGCCATGTTCAAGGGCTCATCGAGCAGTAACAATTCAATACGTCGAAACAGCGGGAGTTGCCGCAGAGAAAGAATTTAATAATCACAGGGGCATCCAAATGAGGAGATAGGAGAGAACCTCAACTCTGCCTCCTTGAGGAGATTTGGACTGTGTTTTTTAAGAAAAGTTTGGCACGTATGGGGCTGAGAAGCAGGAGGTCACTGATTAGGGCATGGGAGATAAAATCATAAATATGTAGAAACTGCCTTGTTGCACTTAGTTCCTCGGAGAGTTCTTCAGACTGTCTGGTGTCAGTGGATCCTTAGAATGCAAGATCTGGAAAACATCTCTTAATGGAGAATCTGAGGTTTCTTAACATTAAAGACGTTGTCTGTAGAAGCCAGGAGCTTGTGATGCGGCTACGTGAATTTTAAGTAGTAGGAAGCGAGAAAGAAGTAGGCTCTAGGGAAACCTGATTAATGCTTAGCCCTGCTTCTACTCAAAGCTTATGCTTTTGGTAAGAAAACTGACAATTTAGTTTTATTAATTTTATGAGGACAGTTTTAGGGCTAGGCTTTTAAATGTTCTCATCACAAAGAAATATTAAATACATGAGGTGATGTATAAGCTAATTACCCTGTTTCGATCATTATACAACGTAGATATTTATTGAAACACCAAATTGTACTCCATACTTATGTACAATGACAATGTATCGATTTAACAATTAAGAAAATAAAGATCAAGGAATCAAAAAAAAAGAAAAAAAGATAGGATGAAATCTCTGGAAAAGGTAAACTTACTTTGTCAGTGGTTTCCTGGGGCCAAGGGTGGGACTGATAGGGGAGGATTCTCTGAATTAGGGTACAAAATAAATTTGGAAGATGATGGTAATGACTGTGGTAATAGTTACAAGAATATATACATTTATCCAAAGCATAGAAATGTACACTTAAATAAGTGCATTTTATTGCATGTAAAATATACCATAAAGAGATAATTATATAAAAAAATCACAGATGAAACAAGAGAAAGATTTCCAGACCTCTGAAATGTAACTTCAAATGGACTGTGTATATTCACTTATGTAAGTAAAGAATGTTTTAATTAAAAGGGAACAGAGAATGATGATACTAGTCGGCCTTGGAAGTATCTGAAAGAAGAATCCCACAAGCTAAAATGAATAGTGCTGATCCAAGCATTGTTCAGGGCAAGAGAGTTCCATCTGATGATTCAACATGACCAGTTCTTTAGTCTGATTCCCAGTTGAGTTAGATGAAAGATGCTGTCTTTGTTTGCTAACATCCTACAATCCTACGATTAATTCACGTGACTTCTCCTTGCTCTATTCCCAACCACCATGAAAAATTCACAGACAGTGAACATACACTGACTGTAGTCTTCAAGTGTGTGGTTCCTTTAGCATTCATACTTCTCATTGTAAATAAATATTTTAAGTCCATACATCTGGCTCCTAGGGCCAGATGTGCTGATGGAATCAGACTTTTGAGCTTTTGAGACTGGAGGCAAATGCTGGACTGTGTTATTTAAACTTTATTACTTTATGCATCTTAGTGGCACAGTTATTGTATAATTTTTCTTTAATCTGTGGCATTTTAAAGCTGACCATTTCTAACAACAAGGGCCTTGCTAACCACAGGGTCCCTTGTTTTGCCCAGCACCTTATTGGATTTCAAAAGGTAAAAAGAGTAAATCTCACTCTTGGTGGTGAGAGATAAGAGAACGAAATCCCTGTAGAAATCCAACTTGCAAGATAAGTTTGATGTTTCACGTGGAGGGTGTGCAGAGAACCCCTCTTCTGTCTTCCATATAAAATTTTCTATAAAACCAACATTTCTTAATAATGCATTTTCATGTTATTTTGGAAAAACTCTAAGAGGAGTTGAGTTTTCATCGTGGGTTGATGTGAGGCAAAAACCAAAAACAATCAACAATAAAACAAAACAAAACACCAGAAACAATACATCTGAACTCAAAGCCAGGAAGAGGACACGGCTGACATTTAAAGCTATATTTGAGGAAACTCCTTTTGTGGTTGTTATGTACCTCTAGGTAAAAAGATCTGGAAATTCTAGATTCATTTAAGTAAAATTTTCCAACCTTAAACAGCCAAGGACGTTCTTCAGTTCCATTATTTTTCTTTCTTTTTTTGCTTGCAAGCATGTAACTGGTTTCAGTAGGCATTTAAGAAACATGGCCAGTCTAGTTTTACAAACAGCACTAGCTGAACCAGCCACATTTTTTACCTGCAGGCTGCCAGCTTTCCAAAAAGGGAAAAATCCTTTCATATTTTACTTATACAAAAGACTTATTTGCCTTGCAGAAAGTCTCAGTCTCGGGTTCTCATGTGTAGTCCTCCAAATCAAGAGAACAGACAAGGCATATTCACGAAGAACACATAGGATTGCATTTTTGCTCATTGGACACACCTTGTACCTTTGCATTTTCCTTTTTAAGTAAATTCTATATTGCACTCAACTTCATGCAAATCACTAGCAGGAAGTAGGAACCTAAGAGCAAGTACATTTCAAATCATGCCAGGATTCATGCAGGTTCAGGATTGCCCTGTTTCACTAAAGGATACTAGAAAGAAGATGTGTCATTTTCTTCCAGCAAATTTAACCCATCAGCCCTTCAGGAAGGTGTAAAGACCAGAGGTAGACCCTCTAAATTCTGAACAATTTCCCCCAGGTGAACACTGCAATGGGACCACTGTTGAGGTACTCTCCTCCCATCCTGCTCTATTGTGAAACTAGCTGTTTATTGCAAGTAGCAACAGGATTTCTTTAAAAAAGGATTTTGTTGCCCTTCTCCACTAATTGCTTTTTTGGCATTCTCCTGTCCACCTCTTTTTATTATCCTGCAAAATGATCATAAACCTATACGATGTTTTAGACTACAAATGCCAAAAGGCAGAGCAATTTCAGTAAGCCCTGGTGAACCCAGATGGCCCGATATGAAGATCCCCTGGAAATAGACTTTGTTATAAAAGACTCCACATGCAGACGTCAAATGTGAACCAGGGAAAGATAGAAATGCAGAAAGTCTCGCTCCCCTGTCTTGGTAAATCTGGGCCTCATTTCAATTAAAGCTGAAGTGAAGACTCCTCCTTGAATGGTTCAAATGCCTCGAAATGGAAGGGAGAGGTGAGCTGTAGACTGAGGCAAAAGTACATACTGTATTTATAATCGAACACAGCTTTTTATATAATTACATCCTTGTGCACTTTTTATTTTTGGTTCTTAAACAAAGTCACTCAGATGAAATTAAAGAGTGTGCAGGAGAAGGTGCTTCTCTGCTTCTTCCAGTTTCTATGGCAACTCGGGGGCATCTTATTCAGCTGCCTCATTGACTGAGTGTGCCCAAGTGATGCTGGCTGCCACTTCAGCTCCTCCCTGGAAAAGGCAGGGAGGAGTGCTTTGTTGACCTTATGGCCACCAAAAGAACTCATGATAGGACTGAAGAAAACCTCTGACATGTTCATTCAACTTTCCCTCATTTTGTCATATATGGTTGCCATCTGACAGTGCTTTTGCCGAGAGTGTTTTGTTAGAAATGTGTGTATACTTGCCTTTGAAATTTCTCTCTTGGTAAATAATCTGTTTTTATGAGAAAGTTCCTAATGTAAAGGAACCTCCTATATACTATTCGACGAGACACTCTGTTTGCAGGACCAAATGAAGAGCTGCTTAACTGGGACTTTAGATGTAAAACTGTATTAGCAAAAATGTAAAAAAACAAAATCCAAGTAAAATGACAAAGGCTGAGACTTGATTCATTTGTTTGTTGTACTAGATTGAATGTTTGCCAAGGGATGTCTTTCTGTCCATGTGTCAGGACTGGGGAAATGCTGAGGCGAAGATGATTCACAGAACTAATCGCAGCAGAATACGGGGTCAGAGCAGTCATTTAGCAGGAGGGAGGGAAAGAACAGGGTTCACCGGAGCAAAGTCCTTACAAAACCAACTTAAACTGTAAGAAGAAACACTTTCAAATTTTAGGTTAAACATTGCATTAGGTAACCATGCTTTATTATTGTAACTTTATTAAGAGTCACTTGTGAGCACTACTAATTACAGCAACAACAAACAGAGTGGCAGGCAAATGATAGAGAATTACAAATGTGTGGGAAGAAGGAAGAAAAGAGGAGAGAAGGGAAGCGGAAGGTAGGAAGAGAAGGAGGGAAGGAAGGAGGAAAGAAGAAGCAAGGGAAGAGAAAAAAAGGAAGGAAGGAAGAAGGAAGGGAGGGAGGGAGGGAGGGGAGGGGAGAGGGAGGGGGAGGGGAGGGGAGAGGGAGGGGGAGGGGAGGGGAAGGGAGGAAGAGAAGGAAGGGAAACAAGGAAACAGGGAAGGAAGGAAGAAGGGAGGGAAGGAGGGAGAGAGGGAGGAAGGAAGGAAAGGATGGAGGAAGGAGAACATACATGCTATTTTTGAAATGTCTCTGGCATTGGAGTTTCTCTATGCTTAATTTTCTCACATTTCCCTAAACCAAGAAATTGTCATAACATTTTTACCTCACAATTCCATAATTTTCATAGCAGTAGAAGCTTGCTTGGGTGTGTATGTTTGTTGTCAGAAAGCAGTCTATCAAAACCAAACCAAATATATACAAACATTTAATTTTTCCTTGAGGGACTGTTTTACCTATAGAATTTCCATTGTAAGAGTAAAAAAATATAGATTATAAAGTGATGTCTTCTGATTATGACTGTGTGTCTATACAAGTATTATGTTTGTAAATAGTTGTTTTTTAACTAAGTTGATTTTAAGGTTACTGTTACTGATATATGGCAAATGGTTTCAAGAGAAGTGGCTAGAAGGAGGCTAGGAGGGGAAGAAAATGGTATGTATTATATTTTAAAGGTCTTACATATTTTAATTTTAAGATATTATGAAGTTGAGAAAACAGGTTTGTCTCACCAAACTTCCACATTAATGTGAACGTTTGCAGATAGTTTATCTAGAATTCAAGGGTAAAAATCAAAACAAAAGGTAGAAGTTACCATCATGAATTAGAAAAGAAAGTGAGAGGGAAAGAAAGCGAGAGAGAGAGAGAGAGAGAGAGAGAGAGAAAGGAGTTTTTTAAGCCAGGTAAGATTATTTATAGACATTTGAGATGTCCTTCCAAGTTATCATAGCAGAAGGTTGCTTACTTAATCCAAGTCCACTCTCCCGGTGCAGCATATTTTGTAAAGCCTCCTGGGTCATTTGAGCCAAATCAGAACCATTGACAATTAAACAACCAAACCATCTCACTAATTACATGTTCTTTATAGTCACTCATTGATTGTTTTGTAGGACATGATATTTGCGATCTTAATTATCCAACTTTGTCACTTAAATGTGGTTCTGATTGAGTTCTGGATTTTTCTAAACATAGAATTTAACCTTAACCAAAAAGTTATAAAAAATTTTGTCACAAATAAAATATTTAAATGAGGTGCACTGAAAACGATTCCCAATAGGGTGTTTCAAAAACACTTGAATCCACAGTGACCTCCCTGCAAAGATATTTAATCTTCCAAATGAAGATGTCCACACATGGAGGAAAAGAACAGTGTGTCTGTACAGTGCCTAATAGATCCTAAGTACTCAGTAATTGGTAGTTACTGTTCTATACAAACTTTTTATATCTAAAACCCAGTTACTTTTCTTAGTTTTTAAGACAAAATAAATATATAACCATACCACCCATTTTCTAAGTTGTGACTGATTGGAGACCAAGTCCATAAAGAAAACTCTGAGTGCCCAGTATTACATTATAATCGCTTAACAAATTTTTGGTTGAGTTGAATAGAATTTTCTAAAGTCAAATTCCTTAATGGCCTCAACCTCTCCGAATATAATCTCAAACCTGAAATAAAAAAGATCTCCGAAAATCAGTACAATGAATATAAAACCTGCGCAGAAGCCAGGTCATTTGTGTCTCCTCTGGGCCTTCTGAACCTCCCTGCTATTACGTATGATATTAGTCATAGAGGATTATGTGATATCCTCTCTGATAATCTATATTATATATGATATGACGATATATGATAAACTCATCATATATGCTATGACATATATGATACAATAATCTATATCATAATGGGTTGATCTGATTTATTTGACCCAGAGAATAAGAAGCAGAAAACAAACTAGCACTAGGGGACTTCTGGCAGTGGACAAAATATTAGCTGCTGGTTTCGTGATAAAAAAAGATTAAAAAGCATATCCCATCAGAAAGAGGTGCACATATTAGCTTGAGTCACATAAGGAAATGTTAAATAATATATATCATCTTTTGAATAAGGCAGATAATTGTATAATATTTTAGAAAACCATTCCTCCAAAACAAAAAAAATGCCCTTGAGGTGACAAATTTCAGTTAGTTGGAGAGAGCCACTTCCTAAGTAATTATTCACCATTATTATTCTGTTTAGTAACACTCACGTGCTGCCTCTGGTTTACCTTGCTTCAATTCCTCCCTTGCGAATTCTTATCTACTGGGTCTTCCCCTTTCCCCCAGCCATTCTACTTCTCTACTTTCCAAAGGAGGATGACCAACTCCCCTGGTTTGCCCAGAGCTTTTCCAGTTTCAGCACTGAAAGTCTTGCACGCTAGAAAATCCCTGAGTCCCAGGCAAATCAGGACAGTTGGACACCCAGTTCCTAAGCCAGGCACTCTGATATTCTTATTCTACTTGTGCTTTGCAGGTACTACCTTGTAATTAGATATTTCTCTTTTTATAAAATCATTATAACAACCCTCAGATAGTGACTAATCATTAGGTCACTTAGCTCCATGGTCTGAAATATCCTGAAGAAACACTGAGGTCCTGAAATAAGCTGATCACGGACTTGGTTCTTTACTTCATTTAAAGGACATAGAGCTAGCCATCCTTTATTCATTTATGCATTTATTCACTCACTCAAATTTGGGCAAACAAATACGATTCATTTAATCAGTTTTGCTAGCTTGAAAATGAATATTTCTAGATGGAAATTTGTTTTTTTCTTTGCAAGTATGACCTGGGAAGCTGCTGCTTCTGAAGGCTAGAGCTTGGAGGTCTTGCCTCACTTGTCACTCAAAAGACAGTCCAAGCAAAAGGACTCTGAAATTCCACCCCTGCCTTTTCTTTTTGTATACGTATTTAATAAAATAAAAAATAGAGGCCTGTATAGCATGCAACTCACTGCCTGGCGTTACCATAACCGGTCTGGCTTAATTATCTCAATTGCCCAGAGGATTGTGTTACACCTTTGGCTGCCTACCATGGGCAGAAAGCAAAAGTGTGGATGTGGTCGGGTTCCTGCAGCTTGGTTAGTAACAGAACTTTGTGGTTTCGCCTGGAGACAGACCTAAACAATTCCTTGTTAATTGAAATTAATCTTAAGTTTGAAATTTACCCAAATCCCACAACCAGTGTTTGTAATTACTCTACTCCTTGTAAGTTGTTCTCTCTCACCAAACATTAAATGAGGAATTTAGGAATGAGTTATGAACGAGGCAAGAATTCTGCACTAACGTATGCTGTGCAAACAAAAAGGATGTATTTTCATTACCGAAAAGGATAAAAACTGAAAAGCAGAAAGGTCTTAAATGGTGAAGCTTTTACCAAGAATATGTACAAAAAGAAAGCGCATAGAGTAGTCACAAAAAGCACAGCCTAGTATTGAATGGCCTCAGTTTGAATCTCAGCACTAATAATTCCCATATGTACTTGGACAAGGTGCTTAACCTCTCTGAGCCTTAGTTTCTTCATTTCTTAAATGAGGATAATAATACAGCCTATTCCATAGACTTGCTGTTAAGACTAAATTATTTAGTACTTAGAAAGGACTTAGAGTCATATTTGAAACATAAATAATAATTGCCATATTAGTTAAAGAAAAAAGAGCAAGGTGCAACCCATATTTTAGAATGCAAATTTTCTCCGTATTTCCAACCTTGAGAAACATTTATTTATTTCAAATTTGCCAGAGAAAGTGGCGGGACTACATATCCTTGGTAGCTTTGTGACCTGAAATGATATATAGTTTAATGGATAAAACTAGGTTTAGATGCAGGTAAAACCAGAATCCAAATACTACCTCACTGATTCATTAGCTTTAAAATTCATACTCAGTTTCTTCACCCAAAACAGGGGTCAACACACTACTGGCCATAAGCCAAATCTAGCCCACTGGCTGTAGATGTTAGTAAAATTGTTTTGAAACACAGCCATACCATTTGTTTTCATATTGTCTGTAACTGCTTTCACATTACAAGGCTGAATTTGCATAGTTGAGACAAAGACCCTCTGGTTCATAAAGCCAAAAAATACTTACTGCCTGGCCCTTTACAGAACTTATTTGCCAAGTCTTAGTCTATAATACAAAATAATAATATCCTGATTTGGTTTCTGTGGGAATGAGATAAAAATAATATGTAATGCAAGAACTCTACACATAGTTGAGGCTCGATAAAGAGCAACTACACCTTATCACCCATTAAAGAGAGAAGCAAAATCTAAACTTGATAATATTTTTCTTAGTTTTTTTTTTTTTTTGGCTTGTTTATTGGTCTTTTGTATTCCCTTTCTACCTAGCCTATTCTATCCAAAAACAAAATATGAGCTTGACTTCCTCTAACTTGAATTAAACTAATCTGTCACCCCACTGCACCTGTCTGTTGAGGCCATTTCTATGGCTCTATGCATCTAACCTATCAGGGTTTATGTTCCATTGTTTGGGAACATTTGCTTTATGGTGTTTCTAGAGTAATCATACGGGAAGCCCAAAGATTCTTCCAAGAATTTGTTTTCAATTTTTAATTTTTTTATTTAGAAATAATAAAATAAGACATAATATATAAAAATATGTACAATCCATGGTTTGTGCAGTACAATAGGAAGACTTTAGATACAAAAAGACAGCAAATGGGAAAATAATAACTATCACGATTGTCAATGGCTAGGATTGTTCAACTTGCCAGAGCCCAGAGCGGAAACCCAAAATTACCAGAAAAGAGATTCTACTTTGCTGAGGGTTGGGGATGGGCAGGTAGCTATGCCACACTTTTTTTTTTCCCACCTTAACATTATTAGACACAGAGTGAAAAAGAACTCACTCTACTTCTCAGGACAAGCTTTTGCTTTTACTGAGTGGTTTATTATAAAATATGAAGTGACATTTATTAATTGTAAGGGAAATATGATTTACGGGACAGAACTCATCAAATAAACAGAGTTGAGATAGGAGTGTACTGGTAAGAAAGGAAGTAAAGAGAAGAAAGAATGCATTAACAGAATAAAAACAAAGTAAAACAAACTTTTCTAGGAATTTGGAAATGACAACAGTGCCATAGTGACATCCTTAAAATGTCTGATTCAAGTATACTCTTAGAGGGATAGAAAACTACTCCTTTCTCAATAATCAAAATAGAGTTCACTTTGTCTACATTTTGTTTAAAAATAGGATAACCAGGAATCTATGGCTCCTCCCAAAAATATAGTGCCCTTCCAGATATGGGCAAAAATTCTTTAAAAGGGAATAAATCCGAAGTAAATCCAACAGGGAATCTGCTTGCAATAGAGAAGCAACACACATCTGGGAATCAACCCCAGATATTCATGGTGAGTCCCCTCCGTCTGCATTCTAATGACATGTGTACATTAATTAAGGAGACCCAGTCAATAAGGACAAATATTTTGAAGGTAAAATGCAGCAATCAATGTCGTGCATTACCTGTGTCTTGGCTCTTGACAAAAAAAAAAAAAAAAAAAAAAAAAAAAAAAAAATTGCCATTTAAAGCTTGTAACTGTTAAAACGCTAATAACTAGAAAAAGGTTTCAAATGAACAGTCCATGCTGAAATAAATAACAGAAGAACATAGCAATACGAACCTTATAAGGCTGGTATATATTTGCTAAAACCATGCTAACCGGTAGCATATAGGTACTAGCTCTCAGAAATTACTGCACTGAAATTATACTTTCTATGGCAATTATTTTTCTTTACAGACCTCTATTTACATTTGGCTTTAAATATGAAAATATCTGATAAACTTTATAAAATGTACACTTTAAAAACATAGCTTCTGCAAAATTTTCTTGAAAAAACAAACCTGTGCACCAGAAATTTTATATTTTTTTCTCTTTTTCAGAAATAAGTTGAAAGATTTCCCTCCCTCTTTCTTGCCCCCCCCATACCCACCCCCTTTCAAATTTCTCAAGTCTTTTTAAGTGGCAGCACTGTGTGTTTAGGGGGAGCCTCTTTTGTGGTCACCCCCATTCTCCACTGTATCTTCATTTAATTTACATATCACTGAATACTCTTTGGTTTGATTATTTTCCTTTGCAAAACATCATAATAGCAGCAGCTGAAGCCCTCAATATCCTCTCACTGTCAAGAACCAAATTGTTGCCTCTTCTGTAAGTTTTCTTTACAACTCAATCCCCAATTCCTCCAACTCTTTAAACACCTTCCCAAACCTGCCTTTACATTTGGATCTAAAACAACCACTTGCTTAACATCTCTTTCTTTGTTTCATTGAAAATAACACCTCAGTTTCCCAAGCCATCAAATCTGAAGGCTGAAAACAGCAAAAATTGTCATAGTTTTGCAGGCACGGCATTCAGATATGGCTGTTCAAGAACCAGAGACCATCACAAACATCAGTTTACAAAATACATGATTCTAGAACAAGCTGTTTTTTAATGGCATACAGAGATATAATACCATAAGAGAGTTGATTTTGAGACTCCAATTAAAAAGAAAAGTCAGTAATCCCAGAATTCACAAATAGGGAACTTTAAATTAAAAAAAAAAAAAAAAAGAGTTCCATTATTGAGCTTCAGTGAGAAAAAAAAAATTATGTTTCTAGCAAGGCAGTCAGCCAGGCAGGGGAGGCTTCTGGAAAACAATGTGTCCTTCCTTAGTAACCTGCTCTAGGGCTCCACAGGAGAAAATGCTTAGCTCACATTCAGTCATAAGTATGCACACAGAAAAGGGAAATAGCTGTTTTAGACCATTATCTCCTTTACTTGTGATTATGTTATATTTTTATGGCTCTCATTGACCCTAAAATACTGAGACATTTTCATTACTATCCTCTGCCATAAAAAAGGCAAGTTTCCTCTCCTTCCTAAGCACTTGATCTGAAGTGCTGCATCAAACTGGCTTGTCCACACCTCCCTGTTTCCCTGCTTTGGCATTTGCCGCCCTATCTGACACTGTAGGACTCAATCCAGACAGACTGATCAGAAGAGCAAGTGTGGAGGCCAGGTGTGGCATCTTCCCTAAGGTGAAGGTGGGCTGGTGATGTCCTGACAGTCCAGGCAATAAATTCAGCAGCAAGGGTTTAAACCCATTTATCTTTCATGCTGGATGGCTCAGTTTTGAGAATGCCAGGATGCCAAGGAGGTCCTATGAAGATCTTGTCTTATGAAATGAATTTTGGAATGTGCAAAAGGAAAAGCCCAGAAAAATATAAGAGTACATCACCATCTCGCACACTACACATGAGCCTGGCCAGCACTGCCTAGCAGGAAAGGATAGACGTCGGTATTGTGTGTGTGTGCCCCTTTCTTCTTCTTCCTCTTAAAATAAAAAAGTTACATGAAAGGACAAAATTTTTAAAAGCACTACACTGACTAGACTCGGTGAGTATGATGCTCTATTTTCTGAATAAGGTGCAAAATGAACCGGCGGTTCAAGGTCTTGCTGAGGTTCAAAGTTATTGTCTCTTGATTTCAAGGCAGCCCATGGGGCTTTGTTTTCTTTTAAGTGTAAGCTCCACTGTGCAAAAATATGCATTATCTTTGGTATTTATTTTAGGTAGTTTAACTTAAAATTTGAGATAACCCATTAACATCATGGAGGAAAAGAAAAAAACAACAACCCAGAGGCTACCATTCGGCTAGTGTTACATAATGCCCTTATGTAACAAAGAGAGAGAGAAAAAAAATCAATTCTAGCAAACGAATTACTGGCCTCAAAAAATCAGGCTCTTGTTTTGGCAGTTAATAGCCAAATACTTGCCACTTTGAAGCGCATCATGAGCTTTCAATAAAATTCAACACTGACTTTAAAATTACACAAAAGGAAAACTACACTGCAACAAAAATACACATTTGTGTTCATGTAGTTAGCAGCTTTTCAAAAATTAAGGCAGAGTCTTGCCTTTGTTATGCCATTAAAAACATCCTTGTTCCCTAAAGAGAAGCATTCTGGATAAATCAAATACCCAACCAAGGCTTGCCTGCAAGTTCAAGTTTTGGAAAAACACAAAACAAAACATAAAAACCCATAACTTATTCTACAACATCTATGTGCCATCGGGTCACATGGAGACATGGTTAGTGCTTTATGCTAATCATGGAGCTTACAGTCTTTCTTTGAAACCATTGTGCTTGCCTCAGTCCCTTGTGGCCGCTTGCTTGACCCATCTTGACCAGTACCGTCATCTGTATAACTGTTTTGGGCCTCTGACCAACAGACCGTGTTGTAAAGTAACTATTCCAGAGAAGGAATCAGTCAGTCATATCTCCGACTCTCGCCGTAAGGGCCTGGGCTCTAGAGGTACACTTGCCTGGTTGTGAAGGTCTATGTCAGGGGGCGTGTCCGTACTAGTGCTTTCTGGAACTCCATTTTCACTGTCGTCTTCCTCTTTGCTTGTGAGGGCAACTTCATTTTCATAGCAAAATGAATTTGCATTTGAGAGGATATATTTCTTTTCTGCTAAGTCTCTGGCACTACAAAGGGGAGTGTTGGGGACTTCGTAAGTTTTGTGGAACCTGGAATAGTCCACTTTGTAGTAGTGCTTCTCTTCAAAGAGCACAGGCTCATAGCGGTGGCCCCACAGGATTTCATTTGCTAGATAAGAGCTACGGCACTGTGTCGTCATGGCAGTGGCTTCCACCATGCCTTCCAGTATGACCACGATTTCAAAGTCTGCGTTGTCAATGTCCTGTTTACTCAAATCATATAAAGGACTGTCTTCATCTATTTCATGGACTATAGTGATTGGGGACACCAGAAATATACGATCGATTCCACTGTCAAACCCAACATTGATGTCTATTTGATCCAGAGGGATATACTCCCCTTCAGAAGTAATTCTGGATTTGAGGAGCTGTGCTCGAACATGAGCTTCCACCAAGTGGCTTTTCCGAAGATTGCCCACTCGCCACATCAAACACAGCTTGCCGTCTCTCATGGCAATCACGGCATTGTGACTGAAGACAAGAGTCTCGTTTCTCTTCTTTGGCTTTGCCATCTTGGCCATGACTGCGCCAATGATGAAAGCATCGATGATGCAGCCCACGATTGACTGGAACACCACCATGAAAACAGCAATTGGGCATTCATCCGTGACACATCTGAAACCATAGCCTATGGTTGTCTGGGTCTCAATGGAGAAGAGGAAGGCAGCCGTGAAGCTGTTGACCTCGGACACACAAGCTTTGCCCTCTTTGGATGCATCCAGGTCCCCATGGAGCAGAGCTATCAACCAAAACACACAGCCAAAAAACAGCCATGACAGGACGAAAGCCAGGCAGAAGATAACCAGCATCCACCGCCAGCGAATGTCCACACACGTGGTGAAGATGTCTGCGAGGTACCGTTGCCCCTTCTCACCCACATTGATGAACTGAACATTACAGTGGCCATCTTTCTTCACAAAGCGGCTCCTGCACTGTTGTCGGGTGTGGACTTTACTCTTCCCGTTCCCAAAGCCATTTGCAACTGCCATGGTGGCCAACTTCATACCGTCTTCTTCTGAAGAGACGATGCTGTAGCGGTTGGTTCGCACACTGCCCATCGCTTCTGCTGGGGACTCCAGTGCTTCTGCTTTGGAAAACAGTCTGAGTTTTTGCAAAACGCTTTGGAGAAACAGTTTTGAATGTTCGGTGAAGACACACACACCAAAAAAATGAGGAGAGATGGGTGTCTCTGGGAGCCTTGTGGTTCTACCAAGGTCTGTCTACTGACATGCAGAGTTACTTTAATGACTCAGCTGACATCCAGAGAACATGTCCTGCAAGAAAAGAGAGACTGTGCATTACAAAATAAGCCACTCTTAAAGAATTCTACTGTCTAAGACAATATATCCTAACAAAAACACATAATCAGGTAAAGATAAGTATAATTTACATTAAATTATAAGGTTTTAAATTTCTTTGTATCCTAAGCATGCTTTGTAAAACTTTTATTTAAAAGCATAAAGTCGTTAAACATAGAAGAGTTGTCTGTGACAGTTGTTCAACCAAAATGTCAGGTCAGGTCCCCTTTCCCTTCTTTTTGGCCAGGGATCTAGAATATTCTATTGTTCAGGTCTACCTCTCCCTTCTCTTATTCTCTTCTTCTGCCTGCCCCACTTGCTAGGATCCCTGTTAAGCAGATGAAAGACTGTCTGATTCCAAGGTTTGTCGTAAAATTTTTGGAAAAAGGACATGTTTAGAAAACTTCACGTGGACGCAGCATTGATATCCACTGAGTTGCATGTGCATTACGGGAGAATATTAGAGTCCCTGATGGCAAGGTTGAAATCGGAAGACAGACTATTTTGTTTAAATGATATAACTGAGCAGACCGGATAGGCTGACGAAATGCTAGAGGAAGAAAGTCAGATTCCCACCTACAAATAGAATAGTGAAGTGGATTTTGGAGTAGGCTTGACTGAGTGTGTATCCTGAAAATAGAGGGAACTAGTGGACAAAACCTCCTACGATGGTGAATACTGCCCCTATTGCTTATAATAATCTGAAATGGATCCCAGTTTCTGGATACTGTTTGGGCTTGCTTCATCACTTCTCACACTTTAAGCAACCACTATGCAGAAATGCCTGCTAAGTCTCTATTAGTACAGGTAATTCTGGCTTGAAGACTCTGAAGATGCAGGTTTGCTCTGGGGGATAGAGAGCAATTCTGTTGCCTAGCAATAAGAGCCCTGAAATTCTCCTGAGATGGGGCTGTCATGTGTAATGACAGGCTAGGAAGTAAGCACCGTTGTGCCAAAGGACCAGGTCTTTAGCGGATTGAGATAAGGCAGGAACTCATTTCATGTGAGTCCAGTGCTGTGTTCTCTCAGACAGAGACAACTGTGTAAGGACAGATCATAAATGCCAGTCCGCTTACTTTCACTTCCAGCGCTGTTATTTGGTATAGGTTCCTATGGAGAAGGCACTCACCTTTACTTAATATGTGCAAATAGTAGTTCTCAGTTTTCTCCTATTGCCTCAGTCTTCCCTAGCTAAGAACTATCTATGTACTTCAACTTTCCATCTTCACTCCTAAGAAACTATTTCCCTTGACTAACTAACAAAAAGCTAAGAGAAAGTCTAAGGTGTTTTCTTTACCAAATGTGTAATAACAAAACTAATAAGAGTTAGAACTGAAAAATAAAGCCCATCTTCAACTTTTCATACAACCAAATCCTTCTGCTATATTAAAGGGGGGCAATGAATAACTCATGAAAAGAGTCAGAAATTTGTTGATGCCTGATAATGAAGACTCCACTTTTTCCTTCTCCTCTAAATCCATTAAGATTAAACAGTTAATAGAACCGATATCAGCCAAGCCAGCCGCAAACAAATAAAGCAATCCATTTATGTTGTTTTTGTGCATTCCCTTAAGAAGAGGCAAGGTGCATTGCCTTTGAAAATGCCTTGTTACTGTCTTTTGACTTCTTCTTTATCCAAGTTATTATGCAAGAATGTGCCCCAACACATTTTTCCTGAGATTAGTCATCTTTGAAAATTGCAATGTGTGTTACATTTTGGCAGCTTTTGACACCTAAATGATGCTCAGTTTGAAAGTGCCTTTGAATTACTTTATAAAAAGAAGTTACTGTGCTTTCCTAACCTTCCACCTGCTTCAATGTTTTGTCTGCTTCCCTGTGAAGTTTGCACTTGGACCAAAGAAACAAGAATCCTGCCCCTCGAAGTTCTAGATCCTGTACATGGACAGCATTTTTTAAGCAATTATTTCATCTTAGTTTTCTCACATTACTAAACAGACAGAGACAGCAACAACACCAAACGCAGGTATACGTTTCAAAAAAAGGAGAAGAACTTCATTCAATGAATGCTTTGTATTTTTGAGTTCTGATTGACTTCAGAACTTTGTATTATAAGCTGACACCAAGAAATTCCCTTTTCATGATTCAAAACAATCCTTCCATGTGAGTTACCATTAGGGGCCATGAGTAGACAGTCTCAAATTTCTTCTGACTTATTTCTGTACTCCTTCCAGATTAAAACATAACAACCATATGAAATCTAAAGACTGAATTATGACTTTCCAAAAATCTTGACCCCAGGACATTTGTTTGAATTCCACAAATCACACAATACCAGCTTCCTATGAATAGCTTTCCACATTTAGAATCTTGAAAGTAGCCTGTATTGAGAGACTATTATTGTCTTATTTCCATTGCTAATAACAGAATTTGTTCCACATGTGGAGCATCATTTAGAAATTTTACCATTTCTTCCTGGAAAGAGAAAAAGAGGAGTTTTGGGCTTTTTTTTTTTTTTTTTTTTTTTTTGGCAAAAAGAAAACTTTTGCCACTTTAAATAGATATGCCCCCAAACAGATTTATGTGTGTATGCAGGTGCACACACATATATGTATGCAGACTTTTTGTGGAGCTGATTACATAGCTAAAGTCTAGAACCTGTCAAGGTTTGATGGGGTAACGGTCTTAATATTTCATGGTAAAAATTGCTTTTACTGTTAACCTGCCCACATGCCTGAGCGACTTTAAGCAAGCAGAAAACTTCCTTGCCCGGTCCTCTCACTAGCAATTACCAATTCGTGAGCAGCTGAGAAAAGCTATCATTAAAAAAACAGGGCTTACATGCAACTTTATTTCAAGCATATATTCAAAATAATGTTTGAGATGCAATCAATGAGGAGTAGATGAGAACACTAAGTGATACAAATCCAGAGAATTGAAATTTGATTTGATGAACAATGTGTAAATCTCCCTTCCAGCCAAAATATTTAAGGGTCTAGATGTAAATTTCATGGACACAAATAATCATTTTTATCCAGGCCATAACCCATGATGTAGAAAGTATTTTTGGGAAATTGAGAGGTTACATGTGGTGCTGTTCATGTTAAGACTATTTATAGGCTGAGCCAAAATTAAGCATAAGCAATGGAAAAAAATAGTTCAGCGTTTTAAACTTAGGTAGATGTTAAAGGAGAAAGAGCTATGGATAAATGTAAGGTCAAGGAGATCACATGGTACAAATGGGGGATCTAAATTGCTTTGACTATATAGGTAATACTTCCAATATGGCTTATAAATAACTAAAAAAAAAAATCAAATGAGAGTAAATGTGTCCTGTAATATGGTCATGGTGTGCAATAAATAAGAAAGTTTCTAAGGATAGGAAATAAAGATAGCAAAAGAAAACGTACTGGGCTGAGAGAGAGGTCTGCTAATGAGTGTTTAGAGCAGCTATTCCCCAGCTGACGCCATATAGAACAGCCTGAGTGTGCTCTGGGCACATGTTGCTATGTGAGCACAACTGCTAGGAAAGCAGCCTCTTAGAAGCTCAATAAACATGAGGGAGGAGGAGGGGGAAGTGGGGAGGGGAGGGGGATACCCATCTATCTACGTGTGAGCCCCCTGTCTAACATTTATACTCAACGACACTTGGCTTGTAGCACTGCTCAGCATTTGCATACGCTGAAAAACAGACATGTTTGGTAAATAAAAATATACACTTAAAAAAATCTGAAACACTTAATCTGTGCAGGTAGCTGTTTTCAATCTTTCAGGCTACGCAAAAGTCATACAAGGACGCTACAGCTAACCAGAGATTCTACAACTCAGGAATCCAAAGGATGTAGAAAGACTGTGTTCTTTTATTTTTTTTAAAAGCAAAATTCACATGAGTTTAGATCAAATATTTCTTATGGAGACCAAGAACATTAAAAAATAAAGTGTCATTAAAATATGAGAGAGGAGGAAGCTAAGTAAAATGGCCTTGACCTTATCCTCACCCTTTCCACCATGCTTCAATTAACATCTCTTACCCCTTCTGAGCACCAGGATTTTTCCAGATAATGGCAAATAGAAATGAAACATTTGGAAGTGAGCAGGAAAACGCTAACAAGTGTACAGATAATGTACAGCAGACACACAACATTGGTTGGCGAGAGGAAATCTGGCAGCCTATTGATTATTAATGTGAAAAGAAAACAAATGATAAAACGCAATATGGTTTCTTTGCATATCCGAGGTTTTCAAATAACACCTTATTTCCTAACAGGTAAAATCTGAATTTATGAAAATCGTCGGAATTCACAGCCTTTTATCCTAGTGATCATCCTATGATATCCTTACCCAGACACAGACATTAAACTGCCCATTCCCTATCCCTATTTTTTTTCCAATTGTCATGATGAATCCACGCTATGATGCAATCTTTTTGCAGAATCAAGTCGTTTTGACTATTTTGCTTTCCTAAAACCACACTGTCTTCAAGCCAGGTATTAATACCATTATTACTGAAAATAACAAATTGGTTAGGGGAGAGTGATATGTAATGTGAAAGTTTTGCGATCCTCAGGCTCAAATCCAACTCGGGCTCCCGCTCTTCTTTCAGGAAGGCAACTTTGAGACACTCACTCTGTTTGAAACTCACAGCTATACTTGAAGCAATGACGAAAAAAAAAAAAAGCCAAGGATCAAGAATAGTGCTGAGTCCCAAGCTTTGCCAAGGTTTAAGACCAGGGCTCAAGACGCACCCCCAAACCCGCAACCACGTTTTCTTTCTTTTTTTCCCCACTTAGAGTGAGAACCGAACACAGACGCTCTCGCCCTTGCCTCCAAACCCAGTATCTCGCTACAGCTGGTGCATTGGAAGTTATGAGCACAAACAGATGCTGCAGAGAAATCTGTTTCTATTGCTCAACTGTTCCAAGCATGTCTCAGTATTTTTAGCTCTGGGGATGTTCTGGTGCGCACACAAACTATATAGGCATGATCTGGGACTCCGGAGTGTGGGTGAGCGCTACAGCAGTGTGACAGCTGGGCACCTCTGGAGCAGCGGGGCAGGGTAGGGTAGGGGACGGCGGCCAGAGTCCATTCCCCAGGACACACCGGCAGCGAGCGAAAAGGAAGAAAACACAGCAGCCCTTACCTGTTGCTGGCGCAGGAGCATGGGGACATGGAGTGGAAGTGGGGGGTACAGAGGCATGTAAGATCCAGTGGTTTGTAAAAAGCGAGTGAGCCAAAGCAAACCAGAATTCCCAAGACCCAGCCCGCCGGCGCCGGGAAGGCTGCGCGCTGGCCAGGGCTCCAGTGCGCTCTGCAATATCCTGGGCTCTTTTGAGGCGGTCCGTGCGACACCGGCTCTCCTGGCCCCGCCCCCGGCCGCTGCCGGCCAATCGCAGCGCGCCTGGCCGCGCGGCCGGCCCCGGGAACCGCGGCGGGGAGGGGAGGATGCTGCGAGGCGTTGCCAGCGGAGGGAACCTGCCGCCGCCTCGTCCCCCTCCACCCTCGGAGCCCGGCCGGGGAGTCGGGCCCGGGCCGGGGAGGAGGAAGTTGCGGCCCAGCTGGGACAGCAGCAGGTGGGAAGCTCCGCGCCCGGCTGTTGCGGCTGCCTGATTGCAGCCTGGCCTTGGGCAAAGCTTCCTACTCCGTCTGGAGCCCCACACACTTCCCGGTTCCCCCGCTCTTGGGCCGCTTGCCCTGCGTGCTCCTCGAGGGGCCTGCGAGGTGCCAGCGCCGGGTAGAGACCTTTGCCGCAGGGGCAGGATTGTTCGTCGGTCCCGGCGCGTCTCCCTCTCCACTCCCTCTCTGCCGGAGCCCCTCGGCCCTTCGAAGCCCCCCGCGGAGGCTGCAGCGCCCGGAGAAGCCACTGAGTCAATGGGGCGAGGGACTGGGGCGGGCGCGCAGAGCCCCCAGGATTGAGACGCGCGCAAGTGCGGCCACTGCAGCGCCGCTTGGCTGTTTGTTCTCCCGACTGTTCGCGAATTACTTACAAGGCGCCTAGGCTTCTCCGAAGGGTGGACGGCTCGTTCCCTCTCGCCTTGTCCGCCCTCAGTCTCTCCACCACCGCCCGGCACGCTTTGCTGATCTAAAATCAGAACAATTAGAGAGTAATGATTTTTTTTGGAATAGCAACTCCTACAGACACTCAGATCTGCCCTCGCTTCAGCGCCTCCCAGCCCTCCTTCCCAGCAGCCAGGCGAGAGCGCGCAGACCCCTAAAAAGCAACTTCAGTGTTAACCGGGTCTGGATCCTGGAACTTTATAAACTAATCCGTGTGTGTGTGTGTGTGTGTGTGTGTAAACCGAAGAGTAAGTGCCTATTATTTCTGAGTACTTCGGTGTCCTAACGAAGCTTTGCTCCTAAAGGACAGGATATATTTTAGGAGTCTTTCTTTCCACTGAGTTTTTTAAATGTTTATTTTCTCGAGCGATCAAATGTGTCTTTTGTGCAGTTTATTTAAACCTCGTAAGGCCTCCTTGAGTCGCTGAACTAATTCAGCAAACTAGCTGGTATTGTGGACGGCGCAGTCGGGGTGGATTTTTGTGTGTAGGAGAGGTGAAACTGACAATTCAAGGAAAGGTTCTGTGCGAGTCCCCACCTCCCATCCTCATATCCACACGTGGCCCCTAGGAGGTGCTGGTGAAATATGCTTGCTTAGGTTTCGCAGATCCGCACTTACTCCTGCCTTAACAAGTGTGCCTTTTTTCTTAGCACTGAGCAAGGTACTTAAATTAAAAGGGTGTGCAAGAGATGATGCACTCGGTGTGGCTGCTCTGATAGCCAAATGGCGATGTGGTCCCAGTTAATGTGTTGAGATTATACTGTTCACCAAGCCCTGTTACGAACTCTGTTGCCATGCACGTGGGAATAATGCCTGCCCCAAGGGAGGTCTTCTTTAACATCTATTTAGTCATGTGTTATTTATAAACAGCTTGAATTAATACTGTAAAATAGACGGATGTCTAAGAATCTAGGCTGTAGCCTAAAGCTAAATGAACCTGAGGGTAGACAAGTTCACTCTGTATTAACCAAAGGATAATGAATGAGTTCACCGCTCAGTTCAATAAGCTTCTTCTGAAATATGCTTCCTCCTGGACTTCTAAGAAACAGGCCAAAAGTTTAATTATCCCTTAAAACATGTTAAGCCTAAATAGAAAAAGGAAATTAATCATTTATAGATTTTCTCTTCTTTATTATGATTCAGTTGGTGCATCTGTAGATGGCTAAGAATTTTCCAAACCACGTGAATTCAGAGAGGCAACACTTTTGTTGTTGTTGTTTTTCCAGGTAATGAGCTCGCTTTGAAAACCAGTCACTCGGAAAGGGATGGCATTTTTATGCAACTTGGATTGAAATGGTTTTGCTTTAGTATTCTACTCTAATTAGAAAGAATACACCACAGGCCGAAATAGTTTCATATGATAGGAAAATCTTTAAAGAAAGGAACACAGAGTTATTAGATTATGGTTGGCTGTATAAATTTAGCTGGGCAGCGGGAGGAAGGTCATAATAAATGTATCCTGCTCTCTCTCATCAATTATCAGCAGCACATCCCCCAACATTCTCTCCTCCCAAAGACTGAAGGATGTGCAGCAAAGCTTAGATCTTGAAGGAGAAGGTTCGGGAAAAATTAATGATTTTAATTAGAACTTTCCAATCTAAGTAGAATCATTACCTTAATTAGCTAAATAAGGAAGTATGAAGGATGAAATTTTGCAAATGAAATTTTGTAAATGTATGGTAGCGTAGAATACCCCCATTGCTTCATTTTAAAAAAAGAAAATATAAATGCATTTTAATTAATAAATGACTTTTCATCATGTCCCTATTAGGAAAATTCTGTGTGCCAATGCTTTCAGTGTTTGATTTAATACATCTTTTGAAGTGATGCGTGATGCAGATTTCTGTATTCAGAGTCTATCTTTTTTGGCTGAATCAGGCCTTATTTAGCAAAAATCCCCATTAGTCTTGGACACGAATGCAATTGGGTGTTGGGATCCATCTGTGGATTAAATTTTTCCAAGGAAATGACAATTATGCTCTTACTGATTCTCTCCACGGTAACCACCTATAATATTAGAGCCAAATATTAGTCACAATCTGGATCTGCAGTCAGATTGTGAATAGCTGTGTGACGCAGAAGGTGATTGTTTCACTAGAAGCACAGATCTTTCCTTTGCATTTATATAAAGATCCCCAACAATTAGACATACTTTCAGACTTACATTAACCATGTATATGCAGTTCAAATTCACAATGGTAAAACATCAAACGCTCCTGGCATTTGTATCCACTGGATATTAAAAACCACTTTCTAATCTTCAAAGTAATCATCATTAGCAATAAATAGTAAATAAATCATTGTCAGATTGCCCGGAAATGTAGACAGGCTGAGTTTGCAATCTGCTGCTATGAGAACAAGCCACTTACTGTGGTATTTTAAGGCACTGTATGTAATCTTATTTATTGGAAAACAGTTTTGGCCTTTAGTTTCACTTACTGCATTGATAATATTTAATCTTCATATTTTTAAATTCAGTGAACGTATTTGTTGAAATAACTACGTTGTACTTTGGCTATATGCTAGGTGAGATGAAAGACAGAAGTGTCCTAGCGGGAGTAATTCCTCTTCTTAAGAGTTCAAAATGTCTAACTGAGAAGATGAACAAGGCAGAAGTGAAACATTTAAATGATTAAACAACAATATAAGGCAGCTTATGATTATGCACTAAAATGGATCAAGCAACAAATAAAACGATAATCTTAGATTTTGAAGAATGGAATGAAGCAGGGTAAGACTTTGTAATGGAAGATTTAATACATATGACATATTACTATGTGTAGTGGTATTAAGGATGCTGAGAACACGTCAGAAGATAGGAGTGGCTCCTCATTCAGTTAATTTCTTAAATGCCTGCTATGCCCCAGACCTTTCTATATACAGGTAATCAAGCATATGAATTATAAGTTGTTTCTAAGAATAAATGTCAGTTACATGGAAATGAATGAAAGGAACAGTATGTTTTAGTATAACTTTTGATGATTACTCAATATGATTATAATAAACATAAGCTATTTCATTTTTTACCTGCAATACAGTAGGCCTATCAGGTTACAGTAGAGCCTTTTCTCCTGCATTAAATGACCCTAGACTAAGCTTATTTAAGCCCTTCTGCTTGTTTTCCCTTCTCCATCAATGTGAGCCTTCCGTTCTCATTTTTGCTTCTGATAATGTGCCTTGAATCTGTCAGACTGTCACCATGCTCTGCCTAATTTGTTGATTCTAATCTGTGCTGGGCTGATAAATTATGTAACCAAGGTTGCTAAAGTAATGTACAAGCAAATATGATTTAACATATCTAAAGATGCATTTTTGAAATAGTATGAGCAGATGCTGAATTTGGAGTTACCTTCGCTTGGTCAACCTCCTTTTTGGGTAAAAAAGCTTCAGGATTTGGATTTATGGCATCTATTTTGCTTCTCAGAGCATTTAAATGGCTTAGTCTTTGTATTTGCTGTTATAAATAGCTGAGGAAAACTTCTGAGTAAGTGAGATACCCGCGTGTTTGCAACTATCCATATGTTTATATGTACACATAAAATCATGTACTGATGTATTGAGAAAATATTTCAGTGCTTACTTTATCCGTTTATTATTATGACCTTTATTTTCCATCAAATATGTTAAAACCAAAATCAATAAGTGGGGCTGTTCTTTAAGAAGCTCACACTTCCAGAGCCTCCATGTTATTATTTAGTAAATTACCTATTCTGTCATGCTCTGGAAGACTTCATTTATCTCACATGAGTGAGACAATTACACTCTGAAAATACCATATTCATTTTAGGGCCAGACCCTACATTACTATGTTTCTTGATTCAGTGATTACAATGATCATTTCATCTGTGTTTTCTGGGATACATTAGGTCTCCCAAAGGTAATGAGTTTACAGCCTCGGTTTACCCTCTATAACCACGGATGGCAGTTCCTTAGATCAGGTAGCCTTGCCGTAAGTGCACGTCATTGGTTAGAAGAGGTGCCAGCTGAGAAAACATCAATCATTATGCACAGACTCATCACTGCCACTGGGGAAAGGCAAGCCTTATAACTGGAAGGGTGTAGTATCATCATTTAATCATAGTAATCAAGCAGTAATAAGAAGACTAATAATAAGCTAGCCTCTACGGAGGGTTTTCCAGGAAACAAACACTGCTTTTGTGCTTTACAGGATGTGCTATTCTGATGTTCTGTATTGCACGTACATTTGCATGGGAAAATAATGAAGAGAGGGAAGATAGGAAGGAAGGAGGAAGTAGAGGAGACTAGAAAATATTCATTAGAAACTATTGGTTCTAAAGGAGACACAAACACGTTCAGTAGCCACTAGGGAAAGTGAGACTGCCACCAGCATCCATAGTCACCCTCTACAGCACAGTAAGAAATGCTTTCCAGTGAGAGGTGCCACCATTAGCAAACTGAATCTCATGTTTAAAACACCTGTAAGAATGTCTCTTTGCTTTAGTAATACATCTTTGGAAGATCATGAGAGTCATGCAACTTGACTTTTTCCAGAACTTATAAAAACAAAACAAAAAATTAAAACAAACAACACAAACTTCAGACAGCCAAAACTAATCACTATTGTAGATATTTATGGAATATGCCACAAGCTACGAGGAAAATGCAAAACATATTTTCAGTAACGTCAACAACACTGTAATGATACTCTTTTTTTTTTTTTTTTTTTTTTTTTTTTTTTTTTTTTTTGAGACGGAGTCTCGCTCTGTCGCCCAGGCTGGAGCGCAGTGGCGGGATCTCGGCTCACTGCAAGCTCCGCCTCCCGGGTTCACGCCATTCTCCTGCCTCAGCCTCCCAAGTAGCTGGGACTACAGGCGCCCGCCACTACGCCCGGCTAATTTTTTGTATTTTTAGTAGAGACGGGGTTTCACCGTTTTAGCCGGGATGGTCTCGATCTCCTGACCTCGTGATCCGCCCGCCTCGGCCTCCCAAAGTGCTGGGATTACAGGCGTGAGCCACCGCGCCCGGCCTGTAATGATACTCTTGAAAGAAAATGTACATACTTGAATGTCTAGATTTTCAGATGTGGGCTTTAAGAATTTGTGGGTTTTCCATGGTGTATATGTGCCACATTTTCTTAATCTAGTCTATCATTGTTGGACATTTGGGTTGGTTCCAAGTCTTTGCTATTGTGAATAATGCCGCAATAAACATACGTGTGCATGTGTCTTTATAGCAGCATGATTTATAGTCATTTGGGTATATACCCAGTAATGGGATGGCTGGGTCAAATGGTATTTCTAGTTCTAGATCCCTGAGGAATCGCCACACTGACTTCCATGGAACACTCTGCAGCCATAAAAAATGATGAGTTCATGTCCTTTGTAGGGACATGGATGAAATTGGAAATCATCATTCTCAGTAAACTGTCGCAAGATCAAAAAACCAAACACCGCATATTCTCACCCATAGGTGGGAACTGAACAATGAGATCACATGGACACAGGAAGGGGAATATCACACTCTGGGGACTGTGGTGGGGTGGGGGGAGGGGGGAGGGATAGCATTGGGAGATATACCTAATGCTAGATGACGAGTTAGTGGGTGCAGCGCACCAGCATGGCACGTGTATACATATGTAACTAACCTGCACAATGTGCACATGTACCCTAAAACTTAAAGTATAATAAAAAATAAAAAATAAAAAAAAATAAATTTAAGAATTTGTGGGTTTTTTTAAAGAGTATTTTTTGGTATTTTTAAAAATCATTGCTACAATGATGTATGTCTATTTTGGAAAATGTAAAAGATAAGCATTTGAAAATGTAGAAGAATGTAGATAAATGTGGAAAATAATATAAATTCATATTCCTACCATTGAAAGATAACCATTATAAATACTTTGATATATCTTTCTCCTTTTCCTCTATTTCTGTTTCTATTTTTAAGTCTATGTTTTATAACTTTTAAAAATTAACATATTGGGTTTTTTTTTTTTTTTTAATGATGGGGTCTCACTATATTGACCAGGCTGGTCTCAAACTCCTGACCTCAAGCGATCCTCAAACTCAGCCTCCCAAAGTGCTGGGATTATAGGCATGAGCCACTGCGCCTAGCCTCTGTAATTTTAAGATCAATTGTGTCATACTTTTAGTGCATGAGCATCACACTTTTTATATTATGCAAGCATCTGTCATGCAACTAAAAATTATTTGAAAGTATATATTTTAATGCTCACATATATTTTATGAACTATAATTAATTGTCACCTATCCTTATACCTTTATATTCATTTTTTTTTTGTTTTTTACCCTTATAAGTATGCATTTGCCTGGCCTTGGAGATTTTTTATCTTCATATTTTTCTCCTTTCATTATCGATTTCTAGATGTACAATTACTAGGTCAAAGCTTATGAACTCTTAAAGGTTTTTTTTTTTTCTTTTTTTTAATGCAGTTCTTTCTAACAAAATCTCAATGGATTGAATCTCAAGGATGTTCTAAATTATGTGACTTCACTAGTGGCAGTATTGCCCAGTGGGGAGAGGTTGAGCTTTGGGTCAACTTGACATGTGTTTGCAACCTGCCACTTACTAGTCGTGAAAGATTGTAATAGGAATTAGAAATAATATATGTAAAATGCCTAACACTTTGTGATCAACTAATCAAAGGTATCTTTTTATTCTGTCACTATTGCTACTGCCACTAATGATGATGAGAATGATAAAGTGAATAAATCAAACATGTTAGCTAGGATAATAAGGCATGCATACAATAAGTCTATAAATAAGTAACAGAATTTTCTGTAGTGCTTGAATAAGTGCTAAAGTCATAAATGGAGAGGTAAGCATCTGAGGAACTTAGCAACATATTAGTTCTATATTTGATAGTACAGGTTGGCATGAAACAGAGAAAAAAGTAAAATGGATTTCACAATTGATGATCAGAATTTGAATAAATTCATAAAGGTATTTAAAGAAATATTAAGATTGAACATTAAACTTGGACCAGATTTTAGTCTTTCAAGACAAAGATCTTGAGTTGACACTTGGATTCTTTACACAGGGAGAGATCTACAGATGACTGAGCAGAAGGATAAGATGTGTCAACAAGGCTGTTGGAACATTAATCAAACTGTCATTTCTTCATCCATTGCCTCTGGATGCAGCCCTACCATCTTATCTTTGCTTCCATTTTTGTTTTCTTAATATGATTTCCAACATTCCAATTTTTATTTAAAAGGAAATAGAGATATAGAAATTATGTTCCATCTCTTCATGTGAATGGGACCTATACGTGTGGACTCCTAGCCTGCTGATATCAAATTCAATGTTTATTCCTCTGTTTTCTGCAGAGTATAACTTTTCCTAGCATCTCTGCTCAGACAAATCTAGAAACCTAAAATAAGACCTCTATTTTTCAAAGCCACTTTCTAATTCTCCCCTACATATCCTCCACATTATTTCTTTCCTAACTCTAAAATATATGAAATTTGAATTTTTGCTCCTTATGCAGGACCAAATTCCAAATGCTTGGCTCAATTTTCATGGTTCTCTGTCTAAGAGTTTCTTCCACTTTAAAAATAAATTTGATCAGTATCTACAGGTTTAATTGAATGTTTCCTTTATCATTGACCAGTTTCCATTCTGTAGGCACTTATCCTCAATCGAGATTTAATTTCAGTGTTCCAAGAAATTTATGTTTTAATATTCAATGTCCTAGTGTATAAATTACAAATAAATAAAATTTGTATTGCAACTATGCAAAAATGAAATGCTGTACCCAACTACTACCAATAACATTAGTGATTTATGATAGCACAATAATATTCATAGCATTATGACTATTAAAAGAAAATGCAAGTTTTCAGGTGAAACTTTTAGCTCCATGACAGACTAGCCTGTAGTTATCTGTGTACACAGTTTACAGCTACAAAAACCTACTTTGCTATTTATTGCAGAAAAGTACTCAGTTAAAAGTAAGCGTTGTTCCTTCAGCAAAATATTCACTGACCCAAAACTCTTTGTGACATTTTACAATGCACACAGCCTCATGCAAGTTTAGACAAGTGGATTTATACTGTCTTATGAGTTCCCGCCCCTAATAAATTACCTCATAATGCAAAAGTAACATATCTTTCATAACTATTTTGACAAAAGTTTAAAACACATATGATGAAGTTCAACTTTCAGGAACCAAGGACTGTCAGAAAATATTAGTTTCTACATTATATGTGCATTTAGAAGTTTACTTGAAATCTGCCTTTTATAAAGGAATGGTATGACTAAGTGGAACTGTACATTTTTTTAACTTGATTGCCATTAAAGCAGAAATTATAAGGTTGAAAAAAAATAGGTGCTTAATTAGATTTTTTAATGTACCTATTAGGCTCAAATCCAGACATTTCATCTGCATCATTTGGATTTGAGCTACATACAATTCATTTTAAGTGTTAAATAAATTTAAATGAATTACTATTATAAGCAAATGTTTTCAGAAATTGTTTCTAGGATTAGCGATAGAGCAACTCTGAATTTATATCATAGACTTAAACTATATCACCAGTGTTTCAGCTTCTGATCTTTTTATCAGCAAAGATCTCATTTCAAAACGTGTAGTAATACAAAAGTCTATTCTTTTGTATGGTTTGCATAACTGAGTCACCAAGTTTTAGTAAGGCAGGAACTGACAGTATAAATAAGCTTTTTTTTTTTTGTAATCTGATTGCCATTTCCCTGCATGTAAACAGAAACATGTGAATACTCACATTTTGCCTGTTTAAGTCAACTTGGGAAAAAATTAATTAGGAGAGCCAGCTTTCCCATTTACTGAGGTTAAACCTCTTTTATGTGTTAGCATGTGTAAGAATGCTTTAAAAAAAAACCTTGAAAAATAATATGTCCTACCTATCAAAGTCCAAAGCTATTGCTTTTACTGTATATTATTTTTATATAAAAATACAATGCCTTCTTTGCACAGATTAAGCTAAGGAAGGTATATACTTAATAGTTTAGTTGGCAGAAAGCAAATTCAAAAAGTATATGAACATGCAGGCACACACATACAGACACATGCACATATACAATTATATCTGTTGACCCAATGATGACACATCCAAAAACCTTATCAAAAGATGAAGAGGGCTAAGATTTGATTTGCAGTTGCTTAGTTCTAACAGAAGAGCTGTGGTCAGTTCTAAGACTCTTTCTCATAACCTGCCTTCATGATCTTGATTTTATGGTATTTAGAGTCCAGTTACATTTTGCAATTTAAAAAGTCACCTATTCACTCATTACACACATATTTATTATGCACTAAAATATGAAACATTCAAAATAGACACTGGCAACTCTCAGTATTTTTGAAAAGTAGAACAATCTGTAAAGCTGTAAGGCTAAACAGCTTCAACATGTCAGTAAAACATGAGCTAAGTACACATAATTTAAGCAGTTCCCTTAGACTAAAAGACAATGCACATATTATTTAAATTTTTTTTCAGAAGCAATCTGAACATCTACCTGATCAAAGTATCATTTAGCCCAACAGGTTTAGTCCCCAATGCCGTATCCATAGTTTCAAAATCCAGACAGTATAATGGAAATTTATACAAGTCATTTTAATCCTGGGTTCAAAATGAATCAATGCTCTTCTCTAAGTGAATTAAACAGAAATGAGTTTACTCCTCCCTGTATTCTATCTTCTTTCCTTAAGCATTGCTTGCCTTTGTTCCTTTTTTTTCTCTCCATAGTCCGTACATTATTTCAAGTCCTACATAAAGGGGATTGGGACCCCAAAATAGCCGGTGATCCACGCAGAGTGCTGTGAATTATATTACTACCACGATTTAGCACTGGGTTCATCTCTGAAAATACAGCTCAAGACCTGCATGATTCGAGCCACAGCCTCCGCTGAAAAGCGTTGCCTATCAAAGCAACACACAGAAAAAGCACCAAACATGCCTGATAATATAAAACCAAGCCATACCCCCACAGGGTGAGACAATCCAGTCAGCAAGAAAAAAAAATCATTGTTGGAATTATTTCTCCATAATGGAAAGCAATTCTCTGTGAGTTGAGTTACAGGTCATGACATAAAACCAAAGAAAAAAAGAAAGAGCTCTAAGCATTGACAGATGTTCTGTGCTCGCTCCTGTCTCCTGAACCCCTCCGAGTCTCCATCAGAAGGCAGCCTGACCTGCAGCCCCTTTCAAACAACTTAGAAACTGGAGATCTCTCATACAAAAGGTTTTACCCCTAATTCCACTGAAGACCCCCTCGAACCAAGCAAAAATTTTCTCACAGGAGAATTTAAGAGAGTCTATGGATTCAGGCTCGATTTCATAATTTCCTCTCTGTACAAAAACCAGGGTATTTATTTCTCTTACGTAATTTCCAGGGAATCAGTTCCATGACCTGACTTGTATTCTGTTGGTCTACTGAGGGGACCTTACCGTCAAACAGTCACCCTTGGTGAGAACATACCCAAGGGCTGATATATGACTGCAAAGGAACTTAACAATTCCTGGAAGGAAAAGGGTTAAGAGCCAGTAAAAACAGCATAAATTTACACATGACCTAGTGTGATTACACTTTTATTCTCTTCCTTGGAAGAAACAACAACAATGACAACCTCCATAACTAATGCTTCTGGTCTAAAAAACCTTCTCCCTAAAGGACATGTTTTCACCCACTACCAATGATCTCAACAAATTTCTGGATAGAAAGGACCTATAGACAGAGAGATGTACTTGCCGGTGAGTTTTCTTTCCAAAGGATCTAAAAAGTCCATTCCAGGTCGTGGGAAAATCATCTCAACGATTGGGCTGAAGGGAGCAGCCTTGTGTGATTGGTTTGTGATGGTTCGATTCAAGCTGACAAGTTCTAGAATTATAATTGTTTTGTCCCAATCTTAACTTGCTAAGAAGGGAGATGGCTTAAATAGCCAGAGGCCTTGACTCCAGAAAGAACTGTGAGTAGATAAAAGCTACTGCAGTGGCCTCAGTTAAAAAAAAAAAAAAAAAAAGCTGGCCCTGATACCATTGCCTTCCATGAGGCAGAGTGCTCTGCCTTTTTCTTTGCAAAATATAGGAAGAGGATTGTCTTAAGCAAATGAAAAGTAGTTGGGGACAAATAAAGGACACACATTTGTTTCCTTTTATAGGTGAGATCAAATGCACCAAAGACTAAACGAAGCCAGTGCCTCAGTCCTCTCTGTCCTAGCCCTGCAATAGAGTCATCCCTAGGTGAATAAGCTAGTTACAAACTGAGCTCACAGTATAGGGTTCTCTGGGGCCAGCAGAAAGCGGGCGGAGAAGTGGGTTGCAACCTCTCCCTCCTGCTCATATCTCTTAACAACCCAACAATCTCCTTTCCTCTGTCTTTCCTTTTCCTCTGCTAGGATTTTTTCATCAACTGAAGAACAGGGGCATCTGCTGCCACAGAGAGGAGAAGTTGCTCTTTTGCCTTTGGCCATGGATGTATCAGGGTGGCTGTGTATTCGCCTGGAGAGCCCACAGATGCCACTGACACAGCAGCTGCTCTGACAATAGCCCATCAATGGTACGCTGTTCTCTTTCTCCCCTCTCCTCCTCCTTCCTGCTATCCACACACAAATTCTTCAAGGAAACCCTCTACTATGCTTCTTGACAACAGGGCTGAAATATCTGGAGTAGCAGATACCTTAGAAGGGCCATCTTGGAGACTTTTGAATGCAATTGATGGTATTAGAAGTTCTGATGAAGAACTAACTTAAATGGAAAAGGTAGACATCCAGAGAAAAGTAGACATTTAGAAATAGCATAATTGGAAGATTTTTATTTTAAAAATCCATTCTTAAAGCCGGGCACGGTGGCTCACGCCTGCAATCCCAGCACTTTGGGAGGCTGAGACGGGCGGATCACGAGGTCAGGAGATCGAGACCATCCTGACTAACACGGTGAAACCCCGCCTCTACTAAAAATACAAAAAATTAGCCGGGCTTGGTGGCGGGCGCCTGTAGTCCCAGCAACTCGGGAGGCTGAGGCAGGAGAATGGCGTGAACCCGGGAGGCGGAGCTTGCAGTGAGCCAAGATCGCACCACTGCACTCCAGCCCAGAGGATAGAGCAAGACTCCGTCTCAAAAAATAAATAAATAAATAAATAATAATAATCCATTCTTTAAAAAGACAGCCTCAATTCTTCTGTGTGGAGTGACTTTCCTTACACCATATATATGGGCTTTTCTAAAATGTATCTGTCTCCTTTTATTCATGAAAAACAGTACGAGGAAGAGAATTATTGACGGAAAATTATCTGGGTCAGGAAAACGACCCAGAACCGAGATTTATGCTTTACGAGAGAACATCCTTATATTACTAGACCTGTAGAAAAGAAAACTCTGCACTTTTCTGATATTTTTAAGTGAGGGCACCACATGTTCCCTTCTGGAAAGAATAACAAGGGTGTGTAAACTGTGTCCATAGGCCAAATCAAGCTCACAACTTATACATACAGCTTGTGAACTAAGAATGTTTTTACATTTTTACGGTAGCAAAAAATCAAGAGAGGAATACTGTTTTGTGACATTTAAACGTTTTATGAAATTCAAATATGTGTATTCATGAATAAAGTTTTATTGGGGCACAGCTATGTTCATTCAGTTACAGATTGTCTCTGCTTCCCAGCTGCAACAGCAGAGTTGAGTGGGTGACATAGGGGCTGTATGTGGGCCCAAACAATCTAAAACACTCACTATCTGATCCTTTATTTAAAAAAAAAGTTTGCTGATTGCTGACCTAGAGTAATGCTATGAAACATCAGGCTGAATTGAGTAAAAAGGATGTGAGAACGGTCTCTCATTTTGATTCTTGGAGGCTGAGTAAATTTGACTAAGTTACTTAAATGTTGGTGCTTCCTCATTAAAGTGGAGATAAAATTCAGGGCCAGGTGCAGTGGCTCACGCCTGTAATCCCAGCACTTTGGGAGGCCAAGGCAGGTGGATCACGAGGTCAGGAGTTCAAGACCAGCCTGGCCAAGATGGTGAAACCCCATCTCTACTAAAAATACAAAAATTAGCTGGGTGTGGTATAGGGCACCTGTAATCCCAGCTAGTCGGGAGGCTGAGGCAGAGAATTGCTTGAACCTGGGAGGCAGAGTTTGCGGTGAGCTGAGATCACACCACTGCACTCCAGCTTGGGCGACAGAGCAAGACTCCGTCTCAAAAAAAAAAAAAGAAAAAATTTAGATAGTTTTTTTTAGGATGAACTAAATGATGATTGTAAATATGTACACAAACAATAAATGTGTCTGACTACGGTGACTCATGCCTGTAATCTCAGCACTTTGGGAGGCCAAGGTGGAAGGATCACTCGAGCCCACGAGTTCGAGGCCAGCCTGGGCAACATACAGCAACCCCATCTCTACAAAAAATAGAAAAATTAGCCAGGTTTGGTGGCACATACCTGTAGTCCCAGCTACTCTAGAGGATGAGGCAGGCGGATCACTTGAACCTGGAAGGTCAAGGCCGCAGTGAGCTGTGATCATGCCAGCCAGGGTGACAGACTGAGACCCTGTCTCAAAAGCAAAACAAAACACAACGAAAACCTAATACATGTTATTATTCTTTTTTTTTTTTTTTTTTTTTTTTTTTTGAGACAGAGTCTTGCTCTGTCACCCAGGCTGGAGTGCAGTGGCACAATCTCGGCTCACTGCAAGCTCCGCCTCCCGGGTTCACGCCATTCTCCTGCCTCAGCCTCCCGAGTAGCTGGGACTACAGGCGCCTGCCACCATGCCTGGCTAATTTTTTGTATTTTTAGTAGAGGCGGGGTTTCACCATGTTAGCCATGATGGTCTCAATCTCCTGACCTCGTGATCCACCCACCTTGGCCTCCCAAAGTGCTGGGATTACAGGTGTGAGCCACCGTGCCCGGCCAATACATGTTATTTTCTGTTCAAACTGATTGTAGTTGACATGCTTTGATCAAGTACCCTTACATATTAAGTGGCTTCCAAATGGGTTCATAAAATAGAATTAGAGATATTATTAATATCAGTCAATAAAATCAATGAAGGTGAATGATTCCATGAAGATAAATTTTTGATCTATTTTTCGACACTGTATATTTTCTTGATTTTTGCAAATCTATCACTAGACTGTTGTAAGCCTGCTGTTCCATAGAGGGATAGAGGAGTCTGTGAAGTTTTCAGGCAAATGTTTAACTTTGGGTTGTTTCAACTAAACACATCATGAATTTGATCTCATTGGAGATCATTAAATACTGCATTTAAGAACTCAAAACACCTTGAATATGATCTCATTAGTGATCATTAAATGTTGCACTTAAGAGTACTTAGTGCAAAAGCAATAATTGAAAAAATTGGATTATTTTGCAATAAAAAATTATATCCTGAAAAGTGTTTAAGAACTTCACTTAATTTTGAATGCATATTTTTTTTTTTTTTTTTTTTTTTTTTGAGACGGAGTCTCGCTCTGTCGCCCAGGCTGGAGTGCAGTGGCGCGATCTCGGCTCACTGCAAGCTCCGCCTCCCGGGTTCACGCCATTCTCCTGCCTCAGCCTCCCGAGTAGCTGGGACTACAGGCGCCCGCCACTACGCCCGGCTAATTTTTTGTATTTTTAGTAGAGACGGGGTTTCACCGTGTTAGCCAGGATGGTCTCGATCTCCTGACCTCGTGATCCGCCCGCCTCGGCCTCCCAAAGTGCTGGGATTACAGGCGTGAGCCACCGCGAATGCATATTGTACTATTGTTTGATTTTATTTTTTGATTAAAAATTATATCTGTTTATATCAATGTCTATATTTTTATCTTTTGCTATGTTTGACCTCAGGGCCAGAATTAGGATGAGGTAAGTAAGGCACTACTCTCCTCAGGTATAAAATTTAAGAGGCACCAAAAAGAAAAAAAAAAAAAAACCCACCAGTAATCAAGATAAGTAATACTGTAATGCAATATTTTTTAAATAAAACATGATGCAAAATAACTTACAATAAGCAAAATAGATCATGTGTATGTGTGTATATAGATTAGTTGGAGTTGTCTACAATAGAAAAATTCAAAATAACAATATATTAACCAAATAGACATATTTTTCTCTCATGAAAAAACATTTAGAGATGGGTATTCCATGGCTGATGGGGGCCCCATGGCATTTTGTGAAGGTCAGGCTCCCATGTCTTTGCTCCAGTATTATACACACACACACACAGGCACACACATGTGTATATATAGTTTAACAAGTGACCTAGTTGATGTGATTACAATTTGTTTTTATTTTCTTAAGTTTGTTTTCTATTTTCTCTAAAAATTTGTTATTTCATAATAAGGAACAAAACCTGATACGCTCTATTACTTTACTGATACAAAAGAGATATGATTCCATTTTCATTACCTCTTATGTTTGTTTTTCTTATTAAGACCATGATGCAATTTTGTTCTTTTGTTTAGATGGCTACAAAGAATACTGGGTGAATGCTCTTTCGGGACATGCGGAAGTCATATTTCTCTACTCATTAGGAGAAGAAAATATTTTATCTGTCTAGAAACAACTAAATCATTCATATAATATTTTGATCTTTAGCTATTTAATGAGTGAAAGCAGAAACACTTCTAAACCAACAAAATGCACTAGTGGGAGAGGCTCGGGAAAATTCCCTTGCTGGATTTAATAAGGAAAAATAAAAAGTAGAATGCATATTTTCACCATAATTCATTTTGCAGCTTTTACCACCATGCCTCATAGAAAGCAATTCTTGGTAAACTTTCTCTAGGAACTTAACTACAAAGTCATAAATGACTTGTTCTTACTAGCTATTTCTAAAAATTAATAGAAGTTCATTTATTTCTCCCTGAGCCCCTTTAGACCTACCTTTAAGCCTAATTGAATCTTATTCTGTCAGAGTCAAGTTGTCAGTTTATTTTAATATCAAAAGCTCAGTATTGAACAGGGCTTTTAAAACTTCTGCTCATTTGAATATTTTCTTTAGAAGCAAGAGGAAAAAGCACATCCCATTATTAACTCTCCTGCCCTAGGTTTGTCATTGCACTGTTAATAATATGAAATGCTAAACCCACAGACAGCCCCTGAAAATAAGTGAAAAGCTTCCTGAAAATATTAGTTCTCAGTGAGATCATGGCTGATGGGTTTGTTGACCTGACATTGATTTGTTGTAAAAGTTTTCATAACAGTTGCATAATGGGTGTGCTTCCATAGAGGACAATTAGCCAATCAAATCTGGTGGCAGATGTGGGTAAAAATTTCAGAACAGCTTTGAGGAATCAATTAAAGTAAAACACAACAGAGGGGGAAAAATCAAATATGAAGATGAATGGGATTAAAAAATAATACATGATTGCATTTCATGAGAAATTCTAGGAAGAAAATTTATCAAACATTAAAGATAAATAAAACCGACCCATAAGTTTTGGTGAAATCTTGATTTTCAGAATCTATTCCAATGAAATAGAAACAGTTATGCTAATTACCTCAAACAAAATGGGATTCTTCTGAATCCTTTATATTTTAGGACTAAAGATTTTTATTTAAAAAAAGATTTAGTGGCCAGGCATGGTAGCTCATACCTGTATTCACAGCACTTTGGGAGGCTGAGACAGGTGGATCACTTGAACCCAGGAGTTTGAGAACAACCTGAACCATGCAGTGAGATCTCATCTTTACTAAAAATAATTTTAAAAATGTAGCGAGGTTTGATGGCATGTTCCTGTAGTATTAGCTACTTAAGAGGCTGAGGCAGGAGGATTGCTTGAGCCTGGGAGATCAAGGCTGCAGTGAACAGTGATCATGCCACTGCAGTCCAGCCTTGGCAACACAACGCGATCCCATCTCAAAAATAAAATAAAATAAAATAAAATATAAAATAAAAAGGCATTTAGTGATTATTGAGGTTAAATACTTATCAAAACTCCATGGACAAGTTAATTCATTTCTCTTATCCTGATTTTATTCTCCAAGCAAAAGAGGGAGTTGAACAAGACTTTCCTTAAGGTTCCCTTGTTACTTTTCTCTGTGATCTTTTCGGTACAACTAAAGTGGCAGAAATTTTACCTTATGTCATTTGGCCATCTTAATAATTTGATCTACTAGAAATATGATTGTTAAAATCAATTTTAAGCACTTCTGCATGAATATAAGTCCCCTGGGAGTTATACAATGTGAATGATTATGATACAAGCACAGTTAAATAACAGTTATTAACTTAATTCTCCCTGACCTGGTGTTTTTAGTCATATAACAATGGTCCCCAACATTTTGGCACCAGGGACTGGTTTCATGGAAGACCATTTTTCCACGGACACGAGAGGGGCAGTTGTGGGTGATGGTTTCAGGATGATTCAAGCACATTACACCTATCCCTAAATTCTCATAAGGAACACGTAACCTAGATCCCTTGCCTGCACAGTTCACAATGGGGTTTACACTCCTACGAGAATCAAATGCTGCCCCGATCTGACAGGAAGTGGAGCTCAGGTGGTAATATTCGCTCACCTGCCACTCACATTCTGCTTTGTGGCCCAGTTCGTAACAGGCCACAGGCCATCGACCTGTACTGGGGGTTGGGGATCCCTGTCCTATAACATTCAACATGACATCATTATTTCTTCTGTTTGTTTTTTACGTAGTGACTTTAATCTGATATCTCTTAGGATCCACCCAAAGATGCTGTTACTATTGTTAGTATCATTATAGTTTTCAGTAGAGTATGCCAAACTAAAGACAATTACTTGCTTTCTTCATGGCCAGTAACTGCATATGAATTTAAAAACCGTGTTTCTATCTTTTCAATACAATGTTCTTAACATAGATATGGGTTTCCTTCATACAGGCTCCTGGAAAAACCTAGTAGACTGGCAGCTTTCATTGCAAATAACCAGGAAATAAGAAGATAGTGCATTTTATATTTACAAGAGTGTTTCCTCTGTAAGTATTTGTAAACAAGCATACCAACAAGTTTTTGAGAGCCTCTCTCTTGCTTATACGCTATGATAGCTAATAAAAATCAATGATTTACTGTAGCCACCTGATAAACATCAGCTTTACTGAAAACTAAATATCCCTCATTCACATATTGTATCAAACATCCCTCATTCACATATAGCAATTGAGTTTATGGCAGTCACAAAAAAGTATATTAAGGTAAAGATTTGTTTCCATTGTAAATGCCTTTTTTTCAATACTTTAAAAATATATTGAACACTGTTCATTGGGACAGTAGCTACAATGCATGCTCTAGCATACACCCGCACTCCCCTTTATGAATACTTCATTTGTTCACTAAAAAGCTATTGTCAGACTGGAATCCATTCCATCCCTTTCTCTCATTCTTACTTTTCGTGAAAAATGAACATCTTTATTCTTTGTGTTTTGATTGATTGGAAATAGCCCTATTAGATTTTAGTATTACTTAACTACATGTCCATAATAGTGAATTTTGAAAGCATGAAAAGTAAATTTTAAAATCGAATTTTAGTTCTAAAGGGATATCAAAGAATATATCCCAAAGGAAGGCGGCACTAAATCCATTAAGGAGGCCTGGCATGCTAGCTGTAATCCCAGCACTTTGGGAGACCTGTAATCCCAGCATTTTGGGAGGCCAAGGTAGGAGGATCGCTTGAGCTCATAAATTTGACAATGTAGGGAGACCTTGTCTCTACTTAAAAAAAAAAAAAAAAGAAAGAAAAATTGCTTTTACTCTCACTGCCAAAAGTGGGGGACTGGCTTTAAGGGAAAGAACCAGTTTTGACATTGTACACGAGTGTGTAAGAAAAAACACAGCAAATCCATGGATGGAAAAAGTAAGTAAAATTATTATGAAGATGAACAAATATTTGACTGAAATCTTCATTTCTCAATTGATTGCTATTTAGCTCCAGCATCAACCCACATAGCCAGGTGGCTGCTGTTCTAGGACAATTTTAGTTTAAACAGCTCTTGGTTCTCTAGCTCATGTATTCAGCACTTAGTACCTTCTATTATGTCTTAATATGATATACCAGAAAGGTTGTGAAACAGTACACAGATCCATGGGCTAGGATAAGTGTTTTTGATAGAGTCCCAACCACTTTACCTATTTCCCTTCAACAGTTGTGGTAATATGTGACCAAATAGAAAAAAGGATGAAGAGCTGGCACATTGCAGAGACAGTGGATCCTGCTCTTTGTTATACTTAAGCAGCAAGAGGTTCTTCTTGACCTGTAATGGTGATCTAGCCACGTATTCCCAGATCCTCACAATTAATATTTCAATGGCAGATAAAATTAGTCATCTCTTTTATTGAATTGTGAGTGCATGTGTCATTCACAAAAATGCAACATGTTATATTGGAAAGCTGGATTTTTTTCAATGGATCAGTTCTTGGAAACTAAAGTTTAAAACAAATGTTACAGATGAAGAAAAACATACAGCCATGCTCAGTCTTGTGTTACTTTAAAAGTACAATCTTGGCCGGTGGCTCATACCTGTAGTCCCAGCACTTTGGGAGGCTGAGGCAGGCAGATCACTTGAGCTCAGAAGATCAAGACCAGTCTGGGCAACATAGTGCACCCTGTCTCTGCAAAAAATACAAAAATTAGCTAGGCATAGTGATGCATGCCTGCAGTCCTAGCACTTTGGGAGGCTGAGGTCGGTGGATCGCTTGAGCTCAGGAGTTAGAGACCGGTCTGGGCAACATGGCAAAACACTGTCTCTAAAAAAAAGTATAAAGATCAGCTGGGCATGGTGGCACACACCTGTAGTCCCAGCTATTTGGGAGGCTGAGGTGAGAGATCACTTGAACCTGGGAGGTCGAGGCTGCAGTGAGCCAAGATTACACCACTGCACTCTACCCTGGGTGACAGGGTGATGTCCTGTTTCAATTAAAAAAAAATTAAAAATACAATCCTATTATATTGCCTGACAATCCTGTTTAATGGTCCTAGTCTATTTAATCTCCTAGTCTCTGACATGAGTATTTGAACCTTTCCTGCCTGTATTCAAACCTCTAACGATATCCTGCACTCTCATCTGATTACCTTGCTTCTCATTACACTGAAAAAAAATGGAAGCAGAGTGAACAACTTCAACCTTCAGTTCTCTCTCACCCAACATGAAATCCACCTCTGCGTCTCTACCTGTGCATGCTTTTCCCTTTCTGTGTCTGTAGTTTAGATGAGCTCTCACCATTCCCTCTACTTGTAGACGAGATCCCTTCTCATGTATTCAAGGACTCTGCATCTTTAATTATCCTTTCTCTCCTACATTATCTATTTTTTCCTTAGAGAGGGATCATTCCCATCTGTTCATAAACATACTGAACTACCTCCCACTAACAAAAGAAAGCAAAATACAAAGAAAGAAAGAAAAAAGAAAGCTTCTAATGACCCTGTATCTCCCTCCAGCTATTACTTCATTTGTCTTCCCTCCTTAGCATCAAGACTTTTCAAACATTTTCCCTACTTTCTCATCTCTCATTCTCTATTGAACCCTCTTCAGTTAAGCATTTACCCCAGACATTCTTTCCAAAGTATTTGATGCTTGGTTCTGTCACTGACAATCCATCACCTCTCTCTTCCTTGGATCACATTCTTTATTTGGCTTTTAAGTAACCATTCTTCTCTGCCTTTTCCCTTATGTCTTGCGATCATTTGAATATTGTCCCCTCCAAATCTTATGTTGACATTTGATCACCAATGTTGGTGGCGGGGCCTAATGCCTGGTATTTGGGTGATGGGCGCAGAGTCCTCATGAATAAAATAATGCCCTTCTATTTACCTGTTCATGAGGAATCGGCCCCACGGGGAGTGAGTTCTCACTAAGATCCCATGAGAGCTGGTTGTTAAAAAGAGCCCGGCACCTCCTTCTTGCTCTTTTGCTTTCTCTCTCACCATAGGATCTCTTCATGTGCCAAGTCTCTTCCACCTTCTGCTATGAGTGGAAACAACCTGAGGTCCTCACCAAATGCAGATGGCAGCACTATGCTTCTTGTACAGCCTGCAAAACCGTGAGCCAAATGAACCTCTTTTCTTTATTAATTGCGTAGCCTCAGGTATTTCTTTATAGCAGCACTAAATAAACTAAGACATGCCTCAACCTCACAGTGTTATAGCTAATTTTTGTATTTTTTACAAAATTATAAGACATATATAGTTATTATAAGAAATATATAGTTATATGTCTTATAGCTCTATCTCACAACCTAATTCCCTATCTCCATTTGATTCCTGGGAGGTGTTATTCAAGCCTATGTCATTATCTATCCATTATCTATCTATCTATCTATCTATCTATCTATCTATCTATCTATCATCTACCTATCTACCTACCTACCTATACAGATGGTTTCTAAATGTGCATCTTATGGATCTTTCTTCCACAACTCTAAATTCACATATACAACCTTCTACTCTTTGTCCCCATTTGAGTATAAAATGGGTATCTGACACATAACCTGGCCAAAACTGAATCTTCATTTTTACTGCCACCCCCCCCCAGATTCTCAAATTCTTCTTCGGGGCCTTTGCACTGGTTTAGAATTCTGTTTCTTCAGGTATCCACATGGCTTGCTTTCTCTATTCTGGTTATCTGGGTAAACATTACTCAGAGGCCTCCATTGGCTACCCTACTTAAAATGGCAACTTATCTTTGCACGGGTACGTTTCTTTATTCTTTATTTCATTCCCCTTAATGGTACCTGACATTAAATTGCAGTCATACATTGCTGAGCAATGGTGACGTGTTGTCAGAAATGCATCATTAGGTGATTTTTGTCATTGTGAGAACCTCATAGAGTGTACTTGCTCAAAACTATTAATAGATGATATAGCCTACTATATACTCTGTGATATGGCCTGTTGCTTCTAGGCTACAAACCTATACAGCATGTTACTCTACTGAATACTGTAGGAGTTTGCAACACAATGGCAAGTATTTGTGCATCTCGATACAGAAAAAAAAACATTAAAAATATGGTTTTATAACCTTATGGGACTACCATTGTATGTGTGGTCCATTGATAATTAAACATCATTAGGCTTAGCAGGAGGAAATATATTTGTTTCTTTAATTTCTGTCTCTCCCACTATGTATATATAAATATATATGTATATTTGTATTTTATATTATATATATTGTATATATATTATATATACAATATATATATATTTATATATATTCAAGACAGAGTCTCACTCTGTTGCCCTGGCTGGAGTGCAGTGGCGCTATCTCAGCTCATTGCAACCTCCGCCTCTCAGGTTCGAGCGATTCTCCTGCCTCAGCTTCCCGAGTAGCTGGGATTACAGGCGTGTACCACCAAGCCAAGCTAATTTTCTTTGTACTTTTTAGTAGAGATGGAGTTTCACCATGTTGGCCAGGCTGGTCTCAAACTCCTGCCTTCAGGTGATCTACCCACCTTGGCCTCCCAAAGTGCTGGGATTACAGGCGTGAGCCACCGCGCCTAGCCACTCTCTCACTGTATTTTAAGTTTCATGAGGGAAGTATCTTTTTTTCTATTTAGTTCATTATTACCTTCAAAATGTCTACACATGATCTGACACATGGTATATATGAATGCATGAATTAATGAATTTTATAAAAATCGAGTACTTGTTGAAAATTGTTATGTCACTGGCTGCATTAATTTAAGAGAGAAAGAAATATAAAAGGAAGGAAGACAAAGAAAGAAAAAAGGAAGAAAGGAATAAAGAAGGAAGGAAAGAAAGAAGAGAAAGAGAAAAGAAAAGACAGACTACTAAAAAAGGCATGATTTACATTGGGAATTATTATTCATTGCAATGAACTGTGTGTAAGGATAGAGAAGATATGAATTCCTGTATCAGATCTACTAAATAATTATATGATTATAAGAAAGACACCTTCTTCTTTTGAGCGATTCATTGATAAAGTGGTTAGAAGAGGTACATGGGAGATTCATTTTTAAAATTCTGTGAGCTACATCTGTCACTTATTATACGTATAAATAAGGCAGTATTAGAGCAACTTATGATGGTACAGATTGGAATACTAAAAATGTATATATTTCACAGACAACAAAAATAAAAATAAACACCATATATTGGCCATTTACTCTGTGCTAGATTTTGTCTTAAGGGCTTTTACAATATGTCATGTTTCATTTAATTGTGAGAACAATTTTACGAGGTAAGTACTTTAACCCCTATTTAACAAGCAACTGAGGCTTAGATGCCTGAGGAGTTTCTCTAAGGCCACACCATTAGTAATCCATGGGGCTAGGATTCAAATCTAGATTACCTGACCACCTAGATTTCAATCTAAATTAAATGAGAGAGTGAAACAGACACAGAAAGAGACAGAGAAAGAGAGACTAATATGTAGAGAGTAAGATAAGTAGAAAAAAATCAGAGAAAAGAGAGAAATAGATACATATAAGGTCAAGAAACAAAGAAAACGGAGACAAAGAGGCAGAGAGATGGATGGAGATACTTAAAACCAATACTAGTACGGCAGTATATCTGTGAGAATGCATTATCTTATATACTACTTCTTTCTCTCTCTCTCTCTCTCTCTCCCCCTCCTCCACCCCCATTCTACACACACACACCGCAACATACACCCACAGACACTACTTATAATGACAGAATTATTGAGACTTTCTTGTTTTTAATATTTTTATCTTTAATTAAAAAGAAAAACTACAGCCTTAATCAAATAAGCACTGATGGTATAAGATGGTGGCCATTAAATGTCTGAATTTGTTACAAAATATATTATTTAGTTTCTAGCAGACAGTACTTTATGGGAAGGTGGCTAATCCTACCTTTCTCAGTTCATCACATCTGGATACTGACATAAGCAGGATTTAGAAAACAGAAAAATCCTTTAAACAAATATCACGATTCTTTGAAATGCATATAAATTATGAGATTATAATATACATATTTATAAAGCAAATATTCACTCATGCCATTAAAATCATGTTTATTAAGCTATACCTATACATGCATTAGCGTGATTATTTTAACACAATATTGGTAATCGATACCTACATTTTGGCTGCCTTCCCTTGCAATAAATAGAGTGTTGAATTATTTATTAGATGCTCAACGGATGTCATCCAGAGTTTCATGTCTATATTTGTAGATTGAGAATGGCAGTCTAAAGAAACTACAATTTTATCTTCTAAATATGTAATCCATGTTGAGGTAGCTGGGGGAAATCTAGCACATGGAATCTATACTTAGAACAATGTTATTTGTTGCTTTTCAGTGCCTGCTATTTTCTGACTTGAATGGTGTCCATTATATTTTGTTTATCGGTATTATTGACACCGAGCATTCCAAGTTATTTTTCCAAATATCATTCCATAGCAGTCGGGGATAAATTAAAACTTAATGGATTTACTTCATGGAAAAAACATGTGTTCTCTTGTGACCACAAGGTGGCACAATAGTGACCAAAAATACTCAGCCTCCTAATAGAATTGCAATTACCAGAGGCATTTACATAATTGTTATTATTAATCTTGTTATCACTACAATTATGACATTTCATAATTAAATATCACCCCAACCTTTGGGGAAAAGGCGAAGTGCTTTTGTTTAGTTTTTGTCTTCTTTCTGCCTGCAACATCATTAATATTTTTTTTTCCTCCAATCTCCAGCCCCACCAGGACAAGCAGGTCCACAGAGCTATCATTTTATGTATTATTCAAAGGTTTAAAACAAACAGTAATAACTTAAATAATAAGTTACACTTTTGAAGAAGGATAAACACAAAGTTATATTGTTCAATGGATCTAATGTTGCTCTCCATTCAGTCTTAGTTATTTCATGACCATGCTAACATTTATTTATAATATAAGAATAAAAATACCATTCCAGAAACTTCGGCTTACACTACAGGTTCAAATTTGTCCATTGAAAGTTGCTGTTTTTCTGCATTTCATGCCAGGCACAATATTGGGAAAAGAACCCAGAATAGCCCAGTGTGCCCTGCATTTATTTCATGATGGCTTTGTATTGAGAACAGGCCATCTCTCATCATGTTCAGGAGACTGGGAGACCACTGATGCCTGGGAATCTAGGTGTTGCAATGATGGTGAGCTACACTCATTGGAAAGGTATACAAGAGAAACCACCTTTTCCCCAAGTTAAAATGAAATACAGGCTAGCCAGGTACAGTTTGCCATTCGTCAGACAAATCACCCACCTGAAGATGCACTTCTTTTTATTTTTTATTTATTTATTTATTTGAGACAGAGACTCTCACTGTCACCCAGGCTGGAGTGCTGTGGCGCCATCTCGGCTCACTGCAAGCTCTACCTCCCCGGTTCACCCCACTCTCCTGCCTCAGCCTCCCCAGTAGCTGGGACTACAGGCGCCCGCCACCATGCCTGGCTAATTTTTTGTATTTTTAGTAGAGACGGGGTTTCACCATGTTAGCCAGGATGGTCTCGATCTCCTGACCTCGTGATCTGCCCTCCTAGGCCTCCCAGAGTGCTGGGATTACAGGCGTGAGCCACTGCGCCCGGCCCTGATGCACTCCTTTATAATAACATGAAGGGTTAGTAGCATCCCATAAATGAGCATTTTCCCCCAACTTCCCTAGATTAAGAATTCTGGCATTTTACAAAATAACATGTATGATGATGCCTTTTATTAGTTTATGTCATGAGCGTAAGGTGTCCCCATTAGAATTTTAGTGTTCTACTATGGTTATTACATTTTTCATTATGCTACTTGCTTCCTGCCATTACAATTGTAAAAGCAATATTTTATCTTTTTTGAAATCAAATTTTGTGGTGTTTTTAAATGGCTTCAATTTTCCTGTTTAAAATAGACCCAATTTTAGAAAAGGGCAGTAATAGCAGAACTGAAAACTAAATTCAACAAATATAACTTTAACTGAATTGTCAAATTATTATCATGGGATGTATAAAATGTACATCACAGTGAGTTGTACATTAAAGAAAGATTTTTAAAATTGCACAAAGTATTGTAAAATTGGAACTTTCCAGCTGAATTCAGATGGTACAGTACTTATGAGAATAGAAAATACTGCACTAAAATACATATGTATCTAACCCTGTTCAGTCTGCTATAACAGAATGCCATAAACTGGATGGCTTATCAACAACAGAAATTTAATTCTTAGAGTTCTGGAGACTTGACAGTCCAAGATCAAGGCAGATTCATTGTCTGGTGAGAGTCTACTTTCTGGGTCAGAGGCAGCACCTTCTCACTGTGTTTCCACAGGGTAGAAGGGGTGAGCGGTCTCACACAGGCCTCTTCTAAAAGGGCACTAATTTTTCTTATGAGGCCTCCACCCCCATAAGCTAATCACCTTCCAAAGGCCACACCTCTGGATACCATGGCCTTGGGGGCTTAGGATTTCAACATGGGAATTTGGAGGGGACAGAAACATTTAGACCATAGCAATGTGGCAATGAAATAAAAGCATTGTAAGCCAACAACAAAAAAATCAGGGCTACAAGTAGAGCGAGGAAAAATCAGCACATTTTGTGGCTGTAAAGAACCGTAAAGTAATTTAAAGAACATCCATGTCATCAATGTTCAGAAATAGTGGACCAAGGAGGTTAACTCCCCCAAAACCCACAGCTCATTAATGGCAGCCCTGAGGTGGAAATCAATTTCCCTTGGGAGCAGGAGGAGACTATGATCTCATACATCAACCACATATCAAGATAAAAACATAAGACGTTTTTTAAAATTGTGATAATCAGTAGAGCATTACTATCCTACCGCTAATAATGCTTTTGCTTTCAAATTCCTCTGAAATACCTTGCTATTACTAATATATATGGAAGAAAACAGAGAATATTCATTTACTGAATAACTCCTATCTGCCAGATAGTTAGATGTGTGTCTGTCTATACATACATATATATACATGTATATAAGCATACATACACACATATATATATAGGTATGTTCATATATATGTGTTTGTGTGTAAAGGTATCCTAACATACTCTGCAATTAGCCCATACTATAGTTTGAATGTTTGTTCCTTGTAAAACTCATGTAGAAATTGAATTGCCATTGTAACAGTATTAAGAGGTGAAACCTTTAAGAGGTGAAGAGGCCATGGAGGCTCTGCCTTCATGAGTGGACTAACGCCTTTATCACAGGAGTGGATTCGTTGTAAAAGGGAGACTTTGTCACCTTTCCTCTCTCTCCTTTGCCCTTTCTTGTCTTTCCAACTTCTACCATGGGATGACACAACTAGGAGGCTGTCCCTCAATCTTAGACTTCCCAGCCTCCAGAACCGTGAGCCAATAAATTTCTGTTCATTACAAGTTAATTGGTTGGTGGTATTTTGTTATAAGCAGCACAACATGGACTGAGAGAGCCCACAGGTAAATATGATTAGCTCCACTTACACTCATGAAGAAACTAAGGCTCAATGACAATTAGAAAATTACCAAAGTTCATACAGCTGCCAAGGGGCACACCTTTAAAAAAGGAATTTGAATCCACTTCTGCCTGATTTAGCCATGATCTTACTACAAAAGTATGTCATATTTTAGAGAAAAAGATGAATTGTTCTTCTCCCATCTCAAATGTGCTCAACACACCTGTTCTTTCCCAACATGAGGTGTGGTTCTGTCTTGTGAGCAGTTTTTAGTTCTGTGGGGTCCACTGGCACAGCATAGGCCAGTGAGGTTTTTCGAGTTCAATGAGCAGCAGCTTAGTTGAGTAGTGATATGTTATTTTGGCATGATAAGCCTACTCCTCTCAGGACCCCTCCAATTTAACAGGAACATGTTGAACAGTTTGAAAATAACACATGTTATTATGATATGAAGCAGTTAAGTACTTTTGGAAATGGCTTTAATTTAATGCCCAGTAAGTAGATAATGCAGGAGGATTATCCTGTATTTTATGCAGTTTGATTTTTCCTCTGTTTGTTGCTATTCACTAAGCTTTAGGTGTATCTGAGTAGAGTAGTATTTTATTTTCAAAACTGTATTTTACTGAATGCTCATGCCTCCCACAATGGAAAGGATGTATGATATAAATCATCCAAAGTAATTTTGGTCAGATAGTACGGAAACAATTTACACTTGGATTGGGAATAATTTATATTTCTTCTACTAAAATCGTTGCGTGATTTCTCCTTTTTAATTTTTTGTTTGTTTTTTTGATTAGGTCAATGTTAAAAGTTAAGGAATGTAAATTATGAAACACCAAAAGAGATGAGTTTGCTGCTGGCAGTATTAATTGCCTACACTGTATTAGCATTCATTATGTGCTAGGCATTCTTCTAAGGACCTTATAAATATTTTCTCACTAACCCTTTTAACAATTGTAAGGTGGGTACTGTTATTTTCTTTACTTCACAGTTGAGAAAACTTGGGCCCAGAGAGGTTAAGTAAATTGCCCAAAGTCACACAGTAAGAAAGTAGTAGAACTAGGCTGGGCATGGTGGCTCACGCCTGTAATCCCAGCACTTTGGGAGGCTGAGGCAGGTGGATCACCTGAGGTCAGGAGTTCGAGACCACCCTGGCCAACATGGCAAAACTCCATGTCTACAAAATAAAAAAAAATTAGCTGAGTGTGGTGGCGCACGCTTGTAATCCCAGCTACTTTTAATCCCAGCTACTTTGGAGGCTGAAGTGGTAGAATTGCTTGAACCTGGGAGGTGGAGGTTGCAGTGAGCCAAGATCATGCCACTGCACTCCAGACTGGGTGACAGAGTGAGACTCCATCTCAAAATAATAATAATAATAATAATTAATTTTTTAAAAAAGAAAGAAGAAGAACTAGAATTCAAACTTAAGGCATTTGATTCTTAATTCTGCACCCTTAAATTTGTAGCTTAATACAGAAAGGAAATCTATAGCTAAGGAAACTGAGAATTGGAGACAGCAGCTCAGTTGCTCCAGGTGGCACAGTTAATAAGTGGCTGTATCCAGACCAAATCTGTGTGATTCTCTCAGGTTGGGCTGTTTTCTTCATAGCACTTGTTTCAAGAAGGGAGCACTTCCATTTAATGATAAAAACAAAAACAACAACAAAAAAAAACCCTGTTGCTCCCAAAAAAAACAAAACCAAAAAAAACCCAAAAAAACCTGTTGCTCCTTGTGTTTGCTTATGCTTTAAGGCCGGCCCTGCCAAAAGACTAAACATTTCTGCTTCCAAGGTAAAAGGTTTGGTGGCAATAAATCAGTGTACATAGGTGTGCCTCACTGTACATTAGCATTTCCCTGAAAAGGTGTGAGCTTTTTTTTTTTTATTCAATCGTTGTTTGTGCACATTTTGAAGAAGTTTATCTTCCTTTATCATGACTCTTACCAGCTGCCTCCCACATTTCTTTTTTTTTACCTTTGTTTTCCCAGCTTCTCCAAATACTTTTTTTTTTTTTCCTTTTGAGACAGAGTCTCACCCAGGCCGGAGTGCAGCGGCATGGTCTCGGCTCACTGCAGCCTCCGCTTCCCGGGTTCCAGCGATTCTCCTGCCTTAGCCTCCCAGGTGGCTGGAATTACAGGTGCGTGCCACCACGTCCAGCTAATTTTGTATTTTTTAGTAGAGACAGGGTTTCACCACGTTGGCCAGGCTGGTCTCAAACTCCTGACCTCAGGTCATCCACCCGCCTCAGCCTCCCAAAGTGCTAGGATTACAGGCTGAGCCACCGTGCCCGGCCACTTCTTTAAATACTTAATGATCAATAGCACTTCTAGAAAATACTAGCTTGCTATTTAACAAAGGGTCTCGAAATGATCATTTGCGCTATTTACTGATTAAAAAATAGCAATACTTCAACTTTGGGCAGCATCAGGTCTGCTTATTGCCCCAGGTTGGCCATTGGTAATTGTGTTTTCTTCTTCCGTCCCTCCATGTCTGTCACTCTTTAGGCAGATAACTCCCGAGTTGGAGGTTTCCTCCTACATAAAAAGGGATCTGATGTCCTCCTGATATCCTAAAAATCTTTGGTTCTGGAATTGGCGGCTAGCAGAGGCTAGCTCTGTCCTTAACCCGGCCCCTATGACTAGCCTCCCTTCCCCAGGCCAACTAGTGTCAGAAAGAATCAACCAGCAGCACAATAAATAATTGATCTTCAACATGTGCTTCTAATTCAAATAAAGGGCATTTAACCACAGTGAGTATCGCATGTGACTGAAGTATTTTATGTGGAAAGTTGAAGATTTCTGATAACTTGCTGTAAAGAAGTTTTCACAGTGACTAAATCTCCAGGGGCCCTTTCTGTCTCAAGTTCAGGTTACTTAGACAGTGATTAAAGACCTTTCATTGGCCCCTGTGGTAAATGATAGCATAGAGGAAAAAAAAAAAAAAAACAAAAACCAGCATTCTTTGGCTATGTAATTTAGCAAGACTTAATCTATTTGTTTGAGTTTTCATCCATCAGGCTTGCTGAAATACTTTAAATAATTAACCTGTTTCTCTGCAGCCTGAAGCGTCCCCAGAGTTTCCACTCCAGGCCTGAGATGAGTGATTACCCAGCACAGATTGTCTTATTTATTTGGAAGACTCTCCAGCTCAGTCCAGCTGCTTTTTCTTGGGACAGCAGACAGACCCTGGACATGGTATCCTTTTACGTTACAATATTTACAAAGTAGAATAAATCAATGAGACCCAACAGGAAAAGGCCATAGTTTATTTTATTCATTCTATTTTTGTTTTTTCTACCATCCCTGCTAGGTGCTCAGCAACTCAATCTATTGAATTTCAAAACATGTAGAGGTGTCGACATAAGTCTCAAAACTCTGCACAGAGAATCCCAAACCACAAGCTTGGACATTTCCAAGGAAAGAAGCACAGGGTGGCAGGATGAGGCAAGAGGCTGCTTACTCCAAGCCAAATCTCATGACCCAACCGCATAGTCATAAGAGGAGTGCGTTCAGTTGCTTTAGGAAACCAAGAGCAGTGAAAGAAAACACTTGGGAATTTACTGGTAGATAAGGTTTTTCTGATTGAAGAAAAGGTACAAAGTAATGCAGACCAATGATGGTTTCTGGGCAGCATTATGATTATGTCTTTTTAGGAAAATGCCCCTTCTAGGGGACCTCACTTGCTGTCTGCCCACAGATTTATCTGGACTGAATCTCGGTTACTAGTTTTTGCTTTCAAAGACCTCCTATCTAGGGGAACATTTGAAAGGAATTTACCAAGTGCTTCCCTGCTGCATAATCTGTGTGTTCTGTGTTAACACTAACTTGCATTTTGCATGTGGAGCCAGAAGCTCTCTTCTCGGGAGCCTGGGTCATACTGCTCCTTTAAAAATGAAAGTGAGAGAGAGAGAGAGGCCACGCTGATTTTAGAATTGAGTCAGGGCTTTGTGATTTATAGAGTACGCAGGGTGAATAGGCGTGGTTTCTAGATATCCACAGGCAAGTCTTACCTTAAAAGACACAGGACTTTGCACACGCCTTACAGAACATTCAGAACAGAAGAATCAAGGCTTGTAACTGATGAGACTAATAGATAGAATATATTAAACTGAGTAGAATCTGGTGCCTAAAAATTTACATAAAAGTGGCCCAGAGAATCCACTCAGCACATGTCCTGGCCCACTCAGAAATGATGAAATACAAATATTTAAAGAAAAATCTGGATTCCTTTGTGTGTATTAAAAATCCTCTCAAATATTCTAAATGGATGAAGTTTGGTCTTGGTGAGGGATAGAGGGTCTGAGACAGTATTAGCAGTTTTATTTTTTGCCCAAGTTGTACAGTGCCTGCTTTATCCAGGTTTCTGTGGATTTTATGTTGGGGGGAAGAAAGAAGCAAAAGAGCAGTGGGCCTGGTTAATCCTTTTATCAAGGTCACTCCACCACCAGCATCTCAGAGGGATTTCCAGGCCAAAAGCAATCCTTTGTGTGTGTGTCTTACGATAGTGGCATGTCCTCAACTCCTTTGAAAGTATGAGGTCAGGAGTTCGAGACCAGCCTGGCCAACATGGTGAAACGCTGTCTCTACTAAAAATACAAAAATTAGCTGGGTGTGGTGCAGGCCTGTAATCCCAGCTACTGGGGAGGCTGAGGCAGGACAATGGCTTGAACCTAGGAGGCAGAGGTTGCAGTGAGCTGAGATCATGACACTGCACTCTAGCCTGGGCAACAGAGCAAGACTGTCTCAAAAAAAAAAAAAAAAGAAAGAAAGAAAGAAAAAAGCAAGAAAGAAAGCTAGCTGTTTCCACAGTGATCAACTCCATCAACTGTCATGGACAAGTACAAGTTGGACCTAAGCTGTGCATCGTTTTTTTTTTTTTTAAACCAGGCTTGTTTCCTGGATAATTTCCCTTAGATATATTGCTGTGTCAATTAGAAATCATATTTATTTTCACTTATGAAAAAGACGTCTGGAGATGTGCAATCTAGGGCTGCAGTCTTTCTTACCTTTCTATTTTCCCTTGTAGGGGGTGTCCTTGATTTGCATTCTTACAAGGTGGCTTCAAGAGCATAAGCTACCAAGTTAGAGGTCCAGATGGAGAGAAAGGTGAGCAGGGAGAGGAACAGGGCATGAGCCAGCCAAGTCAGCTTAAAAGCTTTCATAAAAGCCGCACCCATAGATTCCTGCTAACATCTTATGTGCCAGAACTATGCCAGTTAACCCTACCCTCCAGCAACCTGCATCGGGACTGGAAATACAGCTGTATTTTTTTTTTTTATAAACCCGAACACATTGTTTTCCAATTAGGAATTTGTTAGGGAAAAGAAGATGATGGGAGAGTCGATGAAATGGAAATTTAAAAAATCCACCTTACTATGTTATTGTGGGGATTAAATCCATGCATCAATCACTTGATAATACTCACTAATCTGGTGGCACATGAAAATAATATTTTCTTCTCTCTCCTTAGTCTTACTCACTTCTCCAGGGCCCCCTTCAGAAACTATAGCACATGGTAGAGCAATACCTTGATGCCACAATTCATTTTAAATCTATTTAACTTCATTGAATAATTTCATTTTGGGGGAAAAAGTGGATGGCATAAGAAAAAATATTCAACCAACTTCTCGTTATTGGCAGGGCATTTGAAACTAGAATTGCCATTTTACATAGAACCTGCTTGTGATACTTACAGAAGCAACTAATTTTTACTTCAGATATACCTGTTGTACAAGCTGTTAAAAAACCCATAAAAATGCTTTACAATGCTGCCTATGTTCTCTTTCTATGAAGCAGCATTCTTATTTTTGGTGCACTGTACCCAATTCTGACCACATCAGCAAAGAGAACTTATACCACTGAAAATATAGGTATATGCACACAGTTTTTGCATTATTTTAAGATCTTTATTATTAAGTAACTCACTGGGGTTGTCAAAGTATGTTATAAAATTACACAGATAATTAGAGATATATGTTACATAGAAATGCTGATTTTACACTCTCTTCTGAGTACAAGCATTTGATTACAGAGGCTCATAGCACAACAAAATGTATTTCACGGGACACTGATGCCCCTATTCTGATATTGACAAGGCAAACATCAGCGGTAGCAGAGTCAACAAAGCAAAGCAAGATGAAATGAAACTAGATGTAGGTAAAACAAGCTAAAAATATTTTTAAGTGTTTTTGTTTATTGTCATGGTGGCTGTTTTCTACTTACAAGATTGCAGTACTCTAATTTAGCCAAGTAATTGCTGCTGTAAAATCCAAATCTACAGAGCGCACAATTTTTTAAATGGAGTGTGCATTCCTCAAGCAAGACTAAAAACAATCTTACTTGGGTCTCTAATATTAAGCTTCAGAACAGTTTTGCAACTTTTGACCTGAACAAATCTCTTATCCATAAAACAAGAGGAATAAAAGATTGCATACGTGCATTTAAAAAGTAACTTTATTACTCCCAGGTCAAAAAAAAAAAAAAAAGGGAAAAGAAGGAGAAAGGGAAGGATGAGGGGGAGGAGGGAAGAAAGGAAGGAAGAACAAAAAAAGAAAAAAGAAAAGAAAAGAAACAGAAAGGCACTCTATCTACCTATACCTATATATTTTACTTGTATTTCTAATCTTGGACTATGTAATTACTTCATTCACTTGTGTGTTTTAATTTTCATGGAGAGAGAAGAGAAAGAAAGATTTTCCAGAAAAAGCAAAAACTGTGTGTGTGTGTGTCTGGGTGTGTATTTAAATAACATAAACAAATAAAAACAGTGCCACATACTTATTGCCAGTGCAGCAACAATGTAAAACAAAAACAAAACACAAATAATTCTGAATGTTCCTAATATCTCTTTGATTTATAAAGTTTAAAGTGACTCTTTACTCAGTGGATGTGGGCTTAAAGTAATCATGATTAACATTTTAACATGAAAGTAGAGTATACAACTTTATCTCATGTTCTAAAACTTAAGAAATTTCATTGTACTCAGATTATCCACTTACTGTGCATTCAAATCGCTTTAATTGAATTCTATCTCACAAAATCCTTCATTTAAATGGTTGTTCCAAGTTTAATAAAAGAGTTTCTTGCAATCCACAACTCGAGTCATTTGTATCTTGTACAGTAACCAAGACAAGAAGCATACATAACTGCTTCTGGGCACAAATAAATATCTCCCTCCCCACCCTCCCCCCAAAAAGGTTCTATCCTTTCTGTAGCAGCCAAAGTTGCAATCTTTCGGGACCAGCAAGCTAGCAACGGTTTCTCTCCAAGGGTCTGAGAATGTTTATCGCTGCTAACCATCCCCTCACCTCATCTGTATGATCCTGTCCCTTGGTCATGTCCTCGAAGAAGGTGGGACGTGAACATAGAAAGTCCCCTCCTCAGAGAACCTAGCAAGGTCGTGGTTGCCTTGTTTCTGGTCTCCATTTGTTGGAGTCTCCCAGGAACGTTAAGAGAGAAATGCTGCTTTAAATACTGTTAACTTTTCTTCTGCCTCATCGGTTAGAGAAAAAATTGCTTCTAACTCTCACTGATCACTACCTGGGCAAGTAGCAGTGGAATTGGTGGCATGGACAATTTCTTACAGCCACTCGCTATGCTCGCTGAAACCAAGACGGTCCAAGTGGCAAACCTAGTGACTTGAACTGGTGAGCTGATTTCACAGTTACATTTCTCAACGTTACAGCTTACTGAATGCATCTTTTGCATATCTTGGTTAGATATGATACTTTTTATGGTAAATCTTCATTGTATTATCAATGTTGACATGTTTAAAAATGTATTATTTATGCTGTCTTACTTGTCTATTTTTATTTTTATTTATTCCAGCCTCCTTCCTGCCTTCATTCCCCGTTTTTGAATACTACACCTCCAACTGAAGATACAAGCATGTAAGATAATAAAAAAGATAAATTTTAATCAATTAGGCTTAATAGCATTCTTAATACAAAATTGGCGAACAAGAAAAATTTTAATAACTGAGAACTATGGAATTTTTAGATTATCTTTTACCAAGTTTAACTTACTCTACTTACCCAGCATCATCATAAAACATAGCCATAACACTTTCAAAAAAGCCACGTTTACAACGACTTGATTGGCTGAAAGATAAAATGATTCAGTGGTAGCCCTCATAATTGCAATTTAGGACTACATTTGGGATTCTACAGAGATTCTGTTTAAAGTCAGGAGAGCTTTCTGATAAGGTGTTTCCCTATATTCATGTGTGGCGGAAGTGGTGGTCTCCTCAGGGTTTTCACAGCTGCTGACAATGGCAACTGCACTAAATGACCTTCGTCTCGCCTTGGTGTCCGACGTGCAGGATTCTCGAACTGGTGGTGCTTTTTCTATGTGGAGCTGCTGGTCTTTCCAGTCCAATTGCTTGGCACTGCAAAAGGGGGCATATACTTCCACACTTCCTTCAAACTGTAAGCAGTTCACTTTGTAATACTTCCTCTTAACTTCCAAGACATCATTAAACCTATGGCCCCAGAGAATTTCTCGGGGAACATAGGAGCTTCTAGATTGGTGAGATGTTCCAGTGGAATCACCAGTATAGATAAATGTCACCAAAATCTCAAAGTTATCTTTGGCTACTGCTTTGCGGTCAAGGGCATACAGAGGGCTCTCATGGTCAATTTCATGGACAATAGTTACCGGGGTGACCAGGATGATTTGGTCGTTGACTAATTTGAGGTCTTTAAATGCCATCGTCATCCTCCCTTCACTGTCTTCTGTATAGCGGAGAAGTTGGGCTCTAACTGTTCCTTCTACCACGTGGTTTGGCCGAAAATCACCAATGCGCCACATGAGGCAAAGCTTCCCATCTCTCATACCTATAAGTGCAAAGTAGCTGAAACGAATGGTTTGGGCTCTCTTTCGAGCAGTTGCCATTTTGGCCAAGGCAGCTCCAATGATAAAGGTATTTATGATGCAACTTAAGATGGACTGGAGGATCACCATGAGCACGGCCACAGAACATTCTTCAGTAACACAGCGATAACCATATCCTATGGTGGTTTGGGTCTCTAGGGAGAACAAAAAGGCCCCTGTGAAAGAATGGACGTTGTCAACACAAGGTGTGATGTCTGGATCATTTAATAGATCGCCATGATGAAAGGCTATGAGCCAAAAGACAGAGCCAAATATCAACCACGAGAGAATATAAGATAAAGAAAATATCACAAACATATGGCGCCACTTGGTGTCCACAAGAGTGGTGAAGATGTCAACCACATAGCTTCCCCATTCTCCAAAAATGTGCTTGAAGTAGACATTACAGCTGCCATCTTTGTGAAGTAATCGTCTTCTTGCTCTTCTCTTCTCAGCTATAATGTGCTCTGGCGGGTAGCCTGGGTATTTTGCGTCCGCATTGATAATATGATAGCTGCTGCCGTAATAGCTCATTCTTTGCTGTGCCCTTAGGGATCCAGGTGAGTTTTGTAGTAGTAAGAATTCTAGACTTGTTGCTATTTCTTGGTTTGGGTTTTCAGTTAGAACCTAAAAAACAACAACAACAAAAACACACTTTTTAGCTTTCAATGTCCATCTTTATAGCAATTTGCCAAATTTGGAGCAGTGTCATACCATCTAAAATAGCTACGACTTCATCTGAACATTAGGTGCACAGTATTGATTACTCATTTCAGTTTAGAATTTAACCAGTCATTATAGAGGCAAAATATGCAATTAGAGAAAATAACATTTTTATATATGAATAAGGCTTGGGTAAACACTGTGATTATCCCAAATGATGCCTCACTAACTTTTCTGACCTGATATAAAAAAAAATCTGCTTTATTTTTGTAAACTATTCTTGCATGAGGGCATTTAGAAAACAAAGTAATTGCTAATATGAAAAGGCAAAATTCAATTCAGATATGTGTCTAGCAGTCATAAGCTTCCTAACTGTTTAAATCAGGTTTTTCCTTAAAAGAAGGATGCAATAAAGAGTTTCTACTTTCATATCATAATGTAACTTTCATAATTGTTAGTGTAATAGGTAATCCCTCACCTTCAGCACCTGGTGCTTGCTCTCTCTTCCACGGAGGCTTTTCTTCCTTGTATACTTCCCAGGACAAACAGAACTGACAGGAGTACTACTTCACATTAAACTCATTTCCCCCTAACTCCACCTTTAGTCTTGAAAGAAAAGAAAAAAAAATGCATCTTTCTTAACCTCAGTGGACCTAAAACTACTCCCAGGTAAGCTTTCAGAAAGGTGTAAAATTGCCTCTGTCTTTGTCTCATAACATTCATCCTTTTTTTTTTCTTTTCTTTCTTTCTTTTTTTTTTTTTTTGACACTGGCAGCTCTTCTCTTTCCCTCTGAATAGAGTCCCAAAAATTTGCCAAAGTTGCTAATCTCGTTTCCCTCTTAAAGGGAGCACGCTACAATTGAACCCTTCTCTCCGGCTTTTCAGTGTTTTCCTGATACTTTCACGGACATCCTTAGGCAAAATAATTTTTCTCCCTCCAAATTCAGTCTTGAAAACATCAAGGCAGAACATGCAGCTCTTACCATTTTTAGCATCCATGGTATAATAGGCCAAAGGATTTCCCAGCTCAAGTCAAAGTGAAATTTAAAACTGCAACATCAAAATCATCTTGAGTTACTCCTGTGCAAAACAAACAAAAATAAAAGTATTGTAGCCAATTTTAACAGCTTAGTAACTATTAGAATATGTGTTTTTCACAGTCTACCTGTGCTAGATGGGATGAAGGGATTATAACGGGGGACTTTAGGGAATCCTGCCTCTCTATTACATAGAAAATGCAGTATGAATAAATACTATTCCTGACATAAAGACCCCTTGGAACTAACCAGGGAAATTCATCACTAAATATGTGTTCAGCACCTTCTCTGCTGCAAAAGGACAGAAAGAGTTAACTTCCCTCCAGTGAAAAAGAATCAATTTTCTTTTCCTCCAGGGATCAGGCCCACTTTACAATAAACTCTTTGTTTAATGCACCACTTACAAGGATGGACTCCACTTAAAGCCACAAACTCCCGTAAGGCATGTATGGGTTTATCTCTGTCCTCTATCTGCCTGCACTTCACTCACCCATCATCCAGATCAGTTTTGATCTGTTACATCCTCTCGTTTGTCAGCACTTCAACCCAATTTGGGGGGATCCAATTGTATAATTTCAAGATGTGACCTAGGGCTGCGAAAATGCTTACTGGAAGGTCCAATGTAAAATATTTTCACAAATTTTGTCCACAATAGCCACCATGCTTTGGAGGTTTCTATCTGTCTGACTTGTCATTGAACAATATTTTACAAACAGAAGAAGCTGCTGTAGGATTCTCAGTGTCCACCCTCTCAACTGGTCATAGGAGGCATGAGAATGGGATGAAGTATAATCAAAGGTCCATATGATTTCAAATTAAAAAGCAGATATAGAGATACAATTATTTTCTTGTTAAATGTGTCCAACCTAGTTCCTTCAAGGGAACTACACACACGGTGGGAGTCTGAGAGTTAGAAAACACTGTTCATAAATCGAGAGCTACTGTGTGACTCTGCTCTTTTCTTCTGCCAAAAAATAAATAAATAAATAAATAAATAAATAAATAAATAAATAAATAAATGAAAGGTTTTATTTGAAATGGCATTCAGTTGGCATCATTTTGAATTCCAGGGGTACCAGCAACTGCTATACACAAGCCTCTTTCAAAACACCTTCCAAAGTGAATGAATTTTCAATTAATACAAGTTACAAGTGAACAAATTTGAGTGTGTGGAAAATGTATTGTTGAATAATGTAACAATTTGAGAGGTACAAGTTACAACTGAAAATTCGGCCCCAAGCTCACCATGTTTCCTGATGTGGTTCATTATTGTGATCATTAACTTCAACTTAGCCAAAGGCAAGCATTCAGATTCTGTTTAGGTCTATACACTCATCCTTTTCTTGACTCTCCAACGATATAAATAACGCATTTTTTAAAAGACAGTTGTCTTTAGGCCAAATGATCAATTGTAACCAAATAAACCATATCCAATCTGACCCATTTCTCAGCCTACCCAATGAGCAAAGAAGTTTATGGAGGCCTTTTTGTCACACTAACTAGATGAAATATTTATTAGTCTCTTATTTAGTATTTCGTGTTAATTTGAGCTTTTTCCCAACTGTTTACCATTAAATAATCGAGGCTAGCACTTGTTGATTGACTGGAATTTTATATTTAGCATTTGTGTTTCTTAGGATTAAAACTCAGCCTTAAAAGTGCTTCGATGCTTTCGTAATTTTCTTGTCGCCATTAATTCCGCCATGAGAAAGCATTTGCAATGTTCCTACTTTTGTAATTTTTTACATGTTGCTCCGTAGAAACTGATGGTGGCTATTGAAAGACTTTCCACTGGGCCTGGAAGCTGCGGGGTGGAGGGTGAATAACTCCTCCCTTCTCAGGCCCAGTCCCAAGGCTCAAGACCACTTGAGTCAGCAGCCTGCGTCAGCAAGATAGCAGAAGCAGGAAGAGGGCTGCCCGGAAGACACGTACCCGCTGAAGACGGAAAGAGAGGCCGTCCGCGTACTGCGTAGCAGTTACATCAGACTGAGACACTTCCTGTTTACAGGAGACTTTATAAACCCCTGCCGCATACTCATTTGGTGCTGACGCCATTGTAGACCTCAGCCCGTCTGTACCCAGGCGCTCATTAGAACAGCGTGTTGCTCCACACCGCCTTGTGGTGTTTGTTACCGCGCTCTTGGGGTTCGAACCGATACAGCAGGCTTGCAGCTATTTCATTGGTTTAAACTTTTATTTTTTTATTGCAAATGAAAATTACTATCAACTATCATTACAAAGCTGTAGAATATGAAGTTCGAAGGAAAACGCTGAATCAGGTAAGGTCTATTCTGACATATAATAATGACAAAGGTAGTAAAAGCACAGCCGTTTCTTGGCTTAGAAATGACTTAGAGTTCTTTTATAGATGAGGCTAGAGAAGAGAGGCAATGCACTCAGGTTGGTGAAGCGTTTCCATCAACGTTTATTAAATACCCACAGACACTGAGGAAAGCAGCGAGAGACTCCCTGATTTACTTCATCCCACGAGGAGGTCTGAGAGAGGGGAAGTTAGAAGGGTCAGTAACCCCAACCCTGATAACCACTTTTCTCGTATCTTACTCATTGTCTTAAGCTCAGATACAGAAACATTTCTTAATCTACTGTGACCAGTAGGATCTACTTTTAGGCCTCAGCTTTCTAAATCTTTGTATTTAAGGAGAAACTTTTAATAATTTAGTACATTTCAAATAAGCTATAAACACAGCAAGGAACATTCTCAACATAACAAATGCACATCCTGCTTATTTGTCCCCGTTTCCAGTATACAAAAGCGTCTCAATCAGACTCATCCATTTTGAAGCAATTCCTCTGCCATTTTGCCACCTCCTCTCAAATTCAGCGACTTACCAGGTAAACTCCTCTTGTAGATTGCTCTTCAAAGGTAAGCTCATGCCGAGGGTACAACACAGTGGTTAAGACACTGGTGATAAAACTGGATCTTTCCTCTAGCATCTACTTAACATGATATGTTAATATGAAGTGTGTGCTTTGTATACTTTGAGATGCACCACAAAAAAGGTCTAAAATTTCTTCAGAAAACACAATTCTGAATGTCTGTGGTGTTTGAGGTAATGAGTGCCTTCTTTACCATGTAAAGGACCTGAGGTAGTTAACACATGAAGTCATCATTATTCAAGTTGCTTTCCTGACAACTATAAGATGAGATAAGTTTTGGTGGAAATTTGAGAGCTGATGGGGTGGAGAGTAGAAGAGATGGCCTAATTCTGTATGCAGGTCATTGCCTTTGAAGACAGGCTTAGGTGGAGCTCTGAGGGAGGAGGAGGAGGAGACGGGAGGATGGGACCCAGGGTAGATGAAGAGTAGGCCGGTAGAGGAAGGTGCAGTTGGTTGGTACATATGGGTGGGCTTTGGGTGCTGAGGAGCAGAGAGAGAGAGGTATTAAGAGTTAGGACAATGCCAGGCCAAATTAGTCTATGTGGCTATTTTGCTCAAAAACCTGTTTTACAACTTCTTGCCCTTGCCGTAGAATTATGCAGGAGCCTGAGGCCTGGAATCCTCCTAAGACATTCAGACCCGCTTAGGTGGAGCTCTTCATTCGGCCACTGAACTCTTGCTTTACCCAGAACCTACTAGATAACTGTCCACGCTTCTCCAAATACTCCCTGACTCTCTAACTTCAGTTTCTCCTTTGGTGACAAGTCAATGGCATTCTCAGCTTCCCTTCTCATCCCCAGAGCAGGGTGTCCTACACCTTTTCTTCCCTTTCTGATCTCTTCTCCCTCTCAGCTCTAACCCCTAACCCTAATCCTCCATTTTGGTGAATGTGGATTTTACCCCTCTCCTGATATAACTTTACAATTTATCCTCCTGAATCAATTTAAGAAAACCTTGTGCCAGTTTACTATAGAAAGGGGTTATAATATGTTATGAGCAAACAACTAAATGAAAGCTGGAGCTGGGAAGAAATCCAGTGTATCAGCATCACTAGTAACGTTATCTGGAGATCCTGTTTCTAGCCCAGTTTTTCCTTAAGTAGTATCTACATCTGATTATAAATCCTACCTCTCCCCAAATGCTGTTTTATAAAGAAGTAGAAGAAATGTAGAATCTGGGATTACGTTTCTCCATGGTTCTGGATGTCAGGATTGCACCAAAACAATATAAATTATAATTTTAAGTTACCGAGTTTAGAAATCAAATTCCCTTAATATTAGGTTGGTGCAAAACTTAAAATCACAATGATTTTGCACCAATCTAATAAATAGTCTAAAATAAAATGGTTTTCGGTATTGCAGAGAGGGCCCGAATCAGGAGGCGGACCCCAGTTCCAGGTCTGCCCTCAACTTCCTGGGCATCTTGTGGAAATAACTTTTCTCTGAGCCTCATGGTACTAATTCATGAAATAAGGTTATGATACCTATGTCACCAAAGTACTGTGAAGTTTGAATGAGATAATGAATGGGAAGCCACCTTTTAATGTGCCAGGCACACAAGAGTCATTCAATAATTATTGTTTGAATCTGAACCCCATTGTCAAAGGCATTCAAACCAGGGGGACTCCATCTTGGAGTAGGAGCTGGGTAAAATGAAGCTCAGACCTGCTGGGTTTTATTCCCCAGGAGGTTAGGCATTCTTAGTTAACAGGATATTTACAGTTAAGAGAATAAGTTAATCGTGTTTACTGAACAGACCTACGACCTAACAGACCCAGGAAATGTCCTGATGTCCTGATATCTTAAGAACAAAAGCATTCTTAAACTAAGAATCAGTTTCACTTTAAAGATAATAATATAAATTCTTGCAGAAGACTGTAGTTACACAAGAATTAACAATTATTTGTCAAAAGCTCTTGTAGTAAAGCACATCTCCCCCATGATTTTTTTGCTTTGTTATCTTATATATATAAAAGCATTGCACCCAAGGTGGGCATGTTCCTCCTCTTGCTTTTGGGAATGCTCTGCCCCGTCTATAGAGTAGCTATTCTTTATTCTTTCATTCCTCTGTTTTCTATTTTTCTTTTTTTTTTTGAGACGGAAACTTGCTCTGCCTCCAGGCTGGAGCACAGTGGTGCGATCTCGGCTCACTGCAACCTCTACCTCCCGGGTTCAAGCAATTCTCCTGCCTCAGCCTCCCGAGTAGCTGAGACTACAAGTGCCTGCCAGCACGCCCAGCTAATTTCTTTTGTATTTTTAGTAGAGATGGGGTTTCACCATGTTGGCCAGGATGGTCTCGATCTCTTGACCTCGTGATCCACCCTCCTTGGCCTCCCAAAGTGCTGGGATTACAGGCGTGAGCCACGGCACCTGGCCCATTCCTTTGTTTTCTTAATTAACTTTTTTTCACTTTACTCTGTGGACTGGCCCCGAATTCTTTCTTGCGCAAGATCCAAGAACCCTCACTTGGGGTCTGGACCAGGAGCCTTTTCCAGTAACACCATGAGAACTGAGTTTCATCCTCTGTAGAATATCAGAACACTTGCTTTCACTCTCTCAAAGGGTGCTCCACTGGCAGGACACTGGCAGAGAGCCTGTGGTTCCCAGTATATATTTCTATCTAAGCTCAGGAATAGTGCCACTGTTTCCTACCACAAAGCAACCTGGGCCACTTTTCTGTCCTTTCACTAGTTCCTCAAAGCCCCAGGGACAAGGTGACTTTTATTTCTTTCCTCTCCTTTTTTTTTTTTTCTTTGAAACAGGATCTTGCTCTGTCACCTAAGCTGGAGTGCAGTGGCATGATCCGAGCTCACTGCAGCCTTGATCTCATGAGCTGAAGCCATCTTCCCACCTCAGCCTCCCAAGTAAGTAGCTGGGACTGTAGATGTGTGCCACTATGGCTGGCTAATTTTTTATTTATTTTTAGAGATAGGGTCCCGCTGTGTTGCCCAGGCTGGTCTTGAACTCCTGACCTCAAGCAATCCTCCAGCCTCGGCCTCCCAAAGTGTTGGATTACAGATGTGAGCCACTGTGCCCAGCCAACTTTCCTTTCTTTTTACAACCATCACTACATGGGAGATCCCCTGCTCCTTGTTGTCAACACCCATATCTGAACACACACACACAAACACACACCCATCTATTCAACTCAGTTTAAAAATTTTATCACTGCTTACTCCTTTGCTATGTATTACTTTAGGAACGAGCCTAAAGGAGACAGGACTGACAAGATTAGCAAAGTTAACAGGCTAAAGAAATCCACAAGGTGATTATCATGCTTATTCTTTGTCTTAAATTGTGTGTACATGTTTTACTAAGACGGTTCTGAAACTTTCTCTTATTCTTATCTTGAAAATCAGTCTGCCCATCCCTGTCTTGGTTGGATGTTAGCCCAAGTTGCTTAGATTTTTACCTTGAGCTGGATCTGGGTTGGCAAAGAAGTCAGATAACACGAGATCTGATGTTCCTGTAAAAGACCACAGCTCAGCCTCCTTTCATTGTATAAGGAAACCACTTCCCCCAACAGCCTCTACATTCCCCTTGGGAGTAGTTGCTACTAATTATTTTCATTCTTGTTTTCTTTTCATTCAGTTTTTTTTTAAAAAATGAGTTCCTACTATGTGACAGACCCATCCACTTTTAGGCACCGGAAAACAGAATTGCAGTTTACATTGGAGAGGCGGGTATCAACAAACATGAAAACCATACAAAGGAACAATCTCTGATAGCAGTAACTATCATGGAGGACACAAAAGAAAGTGATACTATGGAGAAGGGCCTGGAGCAAGGAGGGAGGTTACTATTGAACCAGGGCCATCCAAGAAGGTTTGGCCTAGGGCCTGACATTCAAGTTCAGAGTGAGCTCTTCATTCCGAGCCTTAGGTTAAAATGCTCTCAACTCAGACCTTGCTCCCTATCTTATTTTGTTTGTTTGAGGTACAGTCACTATCTGGTTGTTAAGTGAGAGCACTATTGATAGGTGTGATTTGGCTGCAGCCTCCCTCTTTCTAAGCTAATTTTAAGACCTGGTTTCCATAAGAAGTTATCATTACAGGAACGCATCTGCATTTTATCATTGAATGCAGGCTTTCCTGATCTCTCACCTGGCTTCACCTGGTTTACATAACAGCCTTTCAACTCATTTATTGCCTCTTTCATCCAGAGCAATCATTTCTAAACCTGAAATGTAAGTATCTCTCCTTCTGCTACCGTGGTTACAGTCCAAGCTCCAGAATGTGGTCTAACAGCAGAATAGTCAAAGGGCAGGAATATGAAGATCAAAGACTTGGATTCTCATTATTATAATTTTTTTTTTTGCCACATCTTAGCTGCATGGAATCAGCATCTGTAAGCCTCATTGTATTTATTGAAATCATGGGGACAATAGTCAATTTGTCTCAAAATGTTTTTATGAGGAATAAATGACATAAAATGAAAGCGCATAATAGCTAGCACCTGGGAAGCTCTCTTTTATTTATAGTCATCCTTATCCCTTAACTTCAATAAATCTCTCTCCTCTGATAGCTTATCATACAGGGCCTTATCTAGTCTGGGAGAGATATATGTCCAAGCTATAATCTGAAAGAGGAAGAGGAATTAACTCAATAAGAAGAGGAAGCAAAAATGTTTCCCAGGCAGAGAAAACAATATTTGCAAAGGCTGCATGACTCATGCAAAGGTTTCTTGCCTCTCGTTTCTGCTCAAATCAGATTCTATCTTCTTATATTTGATGCTATAAGCTAAACTGTTATCTTTTCAATATCTTTTCAAAGGTGCATAGGACATGCTTTCCAAAGACCTGAGTGTGGGCATGGGTTGAAATGAGGGAGAATTGAGGCTAGAAAGAGAGAGCCAGAGCATAGAATATCTCGTAGGTAAAGATTTGGATATTTCTCCCAAGAACAGTGAAAGCTGTTGAAATATCTGAACCAAGGGCATTGCATGATAACTTTTGCATTTGAACAAGATCATGCCGGCTGTCCATTGGAAAATCAGTTGGGGGAAATTTAAGAGCAGAAGGAGGGAGGTAAACCAGAAAGCTGTTTCAACAATGAGGTAAGAGATGATCATGACTGGGATTAGGATGAGGCCAGAGAAGGTATCAGAAGCCACCTCTCATTACAGTGCTTTCTCACCCTTCATGTGCGGCAGGGCCACATGATCTAGGAGTGGCCAATCAGAACTTCACGAACTAGGCTGAATCTTGAGGAAGCGACGCAGAGTTACTGACTCCTGTTATTTAAGGGAATGGCAGGCAGTCAAGAGGCCAGTGGTGAGGTGGTGTACATCTAGGTGTTGAAAGAGAGAGGCAAGTCACAGCTCCCTACGAGGCAGTCTCTGAGACAGGATTGTTATTTTGCCTTTCCTCTTGTTTCTGCTCAAATCAGATTGTATCTTCTTATATTTGATGCTATAAGCCAAACTGTTATCTTTCCAATAATGTTTTCTTCTGCTGGTGTTAACCAGGGATAATTTCTGTTGCTTGAACAATATCAACAACAAAAATCAGTGAAAATTTAATTACATGTACCTTTTTAAAAAGTATTCTGGCCAGGCGTGGTGACTCACGCCTGTAATTCCAGCACTTTGGGAGGCCAAGGTGGGTGGATCATCTGAGGTCAGGAGTACGAGACCAGCCTGGCCAACATGGTGAAACCACATCTCTACTAAAAAAAGTAAAAAAAATTAGCTGGGCGTGGTGGCGGGTGCCTGTAATCCCAGCTACTTGGGAGACTGAGGCAGGAGAATGGTGTGAACCTGCGAGGTGGAGCTTGCAGTGAGCCGAGATAGTGCTACTGCACTCCAGCCTGGGTAACACAGCAAGACTCCTTCTCAAAAAAAAAAAAAAGTATCCGATATGCAAGCATATGGTCTCATGACTCTCCCTTAAATCATCATGTCAACTACCAGCAAGCCCTTTAGTTCACTTCTAAGTAGATATTAAATCTACTCAATTCTCACTGTTGTCAAAACCACTGTCTTCAGTAGGCCATGGCAACAACTTCCTAAGAGGTCTCCTATTTTTGCCCTTCCTACACGTCAGTCTATTTTCTATTCTTTTCTTTTGAGACAGAGTCTTGCTCTGTTGCCCAGGCTGGAGTGCAGTGGCATAATTTTGGCACACTGCAACCTCTGCCTAACAGATTCAAGGAATTCTCATACCTCAACCTCGTAGCTGGGACAACAGGCATGTGCCACCACACTCAGCTAATTTTTTGTATTTTTTTTTTCAGTAGAGAAATGTCTAAGCAGCAAAATGTTCACTAGGGGTTTCACTATGTTGGCCAAGCTGGTCTTGAACTCATGGCCTCAAGTGATCTGCTGGCCTCAGCCTCCCAAAGTGCTCGGATTACAGGTGTGACCCACTACACGCAGCCCTCTTTTAAAACAAAGCCAAAACATGTCACTCTTTGCTTAAAACTCTCCAGTTTCTTTCCATTGCAATTAGAATAATTTGCATAATCTGTATGGTAAGCAGATTGATACATCTAACATCTGGCCCTCTCTCTAAAGTATTTCCTACTACTCTTCTCACCGTTCTGTGATAGGTAGAGATCTTCACCGTATCTTCCTTTTTCACTAACAAACACTGGGGTCAGAAAACTGCAGCCTGAGGGCCAAATCTGAGTATTGAGTTGTTTCTGTAAATGAAGTTTTATTGGAATACAGCCAGACCATTGTTTAAGGTCTGCGGCTACATATTGTTCCTGAAAATGTTCAGGAAATGCCACCCCAAAATATGCCACTTTGGTAGCTGATTACATTAAACTGGAGTTTCTGTGGGACAACAGATGCAGGCAGAGTCTTTCTCTGGGATCCTCTTATCTGCCTAGGGACAGATCCTCCAAAAAGAACTTCTTAATTGTCATTGATACCCCTGCCATCCTCCAGTTTTATCAACCAGAGATTAACTCATATCCCAGAAGGGGTAAGTGGAAGTTCATGCCACACCCAGACAAACTTTGTCACAGACTGTCACCTCTTCTTCTATGGACCCCATCATCTTTCCCCCAAATCATTTATACCCCCTAACTTGTCTGCATCCCCACTCTCTTCTCCCTTATAAAGAGGGGGTAATAAGCTTTTAAGTCTAACTGGTTTCTTGAGTATTCACTTTTCTTTCCTATAAAAGAAAATGCACTTGATAAATGCATATACACTTTCTCCTGTTAATCTGTGATACAGTTTGGATATCTATCCCTGCCCAAATCTCATGTTGAGTTGTAATCCCTAATGCTGAAGGTGGGGTTGCCGTGGGGCCAGGTGGTTTGGATCATGCAGACAGATCTCTCATGGCTTGGTGCTGTCTTCATGACCACGACCAGTTCTTGCAAGGTCTGGTCATATAAAAGTGTGTGGCATCTCTCTTTCCCCCCAGACACTTCTCTCTCTCTTTTGCTTACTTCTGCTTTCACCATGTGGAGTGCTTGCTCTCCCTTCACCTTTCTCCATGATTGTAAACTTTCTGAGGCAACCCCAGAAGCAGAAGCGGGCACTATGCTTACTGTCCAGTCTGCATAACCGTGAGCCAATTAAACTTCTTTTCTTTATAAATTACCCAGTCTCAGGTATTTATAGCAATGCAAAAAGAACCTAATATAGAAAATTGGTACTGAGAGTGGGGCATTGCTACAAAGACACGTGAAAATGCGAAAGTGGCTTTGAAACTGAATGACAGACAGAGGGTGGAAGAGTTTGGAGGACTCAGAAGAAGACAGAAAGATGAGGGAAAGTTTGGAATTGCTTAGTGTTACATGGTTGTGACTAAAATGCCAATAGTGATACAGAAAATGAAGTCCAGGCTGACACGGTCTCAGATGGAAATGAGGAACTTATTGGGAACTGGAGCAAAGGTGACTCATGCATGAACTTGGCTGCATTGTGCCTCTGCCCTAGGGATCTGTGGAAGTGTGAACTTCATAGTGATAATTTAGGTATCTGGTAGAAGAAATTTCTAAGCAGCAAATTGTTCAAGATATACCAGGGCTGCTTCTAACTGCCTATGTTCAGAGGCAAGAGCAAAGAAATGACCTAAATTTGGAACTTATATTTAAAAGGGAAGCAGAGTGTAAAAGTTTGGAAAATTTGCAGCCTGGCCACATGGCAAAAAAGGAAAGGCTTTTTGGGGAGCCAAATTCAAGCAGGCTGTGGAGCAACCACTTGCTAGAGATATGTGCATAACTAAAAGGGAGCCAAGTGCTAATATCCAGCACAATGGGAAAAGGCCTCAAAGGAATTTTAGAAATCTTCTAGAAAACCCCTCCCATCACAGGCCCAAAGGTCTAGGAGAAAATAGTGGTTTTGTGGGCAGGGCCTAGGGCCCTGTTGCTTTGTGCAGACTTGGGACACTGCTCCCTGCATCCAGGTCACTCCAGCTCCAGCCTTAGCTCAAAGGGCCCCAGACACAGCTTGCTTGAGTTGCTGCTTCAGAGAGTGCAAGCCATAATCCTCGGTGACTTCTATGTGGTGTTAAGCCTGCAGGTCCATGGAATGCAAGAGTTATGAGGCTTGGTAGCCTCTTACTTGATTTCAGAGGCTGTATGGGAAAGCTTGGGTGCCCAGACAGAAGCCTGCTGCAGGGGTGGAGCCTCCACAGAGAACCTCTACTAGGGAAGGGCAGAGGGGAAACATGGGTGGGAGCCCACCTACACAGTCCCCACTGGGGCACTGCCTAGTGGAGATGTGACAAAGGGTCACCATCCTCCAGACACCAGAAGAGTAGATCCACCAGCAACTTCTACCTTGCACATGGAAAAGCTACATGCATTCAACAACCTGTGACAGCAGTCTCAGGGACTAAACCCTGTAAAGCCACAGACGTGGAACTGCCCAAGGCCTTGTGAACCTAACCCCTTGCACCAGCGTGCTCTGGATGTGGGCCATGGAGTCAAAGGAGATTATTTTGGAGCATTAAGATTTTATGACTGCCCTGCTAAGTTTTAAACTTGTGTGGGGCCTGTAGAGCTTTTATTTTGACTAATTTCTTCCTTTTGGAATGGGAATGTTTATCCAACGCCTGTTTGTACAATGCCCCTATTGTATCTTGGAAGTAACTAACCTGTCATAGGTGGAAGGGATTTGCCTTGTCTCAGATAAGACTTCAGACTTTTGAGTTAATGCTAGAATAAGTTAAGACTTTTGGGAATTTGGGGGAAGGAATGATTGTATTTTGCAATGGGAGAAGGACATAAAATTTGGGGTGGTCCAGGGCAGAATAATATAGTTTGGGTATTTGTCCCCACCCAAATCTCATGTTGAAATGTATTCCCCAGTGCTGGAGGGGGACCTGGTGGGAGGTGTTTTGTGTTTTCATCATGGGGGCGCATCTCTCATGGCTTGGTGCTGTCTTTACGATTGTGAGTTTTTATGAGATCTAGTCATTTAAAAATGGTGGCACCTCCCTCCTCAATTCTCTCTCTCACTTGCTCCTGCTTTCACCATGTGATGTGCCTGCTCCCCCTTCACTTTCCACCATTTTGTAAGTTTCCTGAGGCCTCCCCAGAAGCAGGTGCTGGCATTATGCTTCCTGGAGAACCTGCAGAACTATGACCCAATTAAACATCTTTTCTTTTTTTTCAGCATTTATTTGTTTATTTATTTATTTTTCTTTTTTTAAATGATACATTAAGTTCTTGGATACATGTGCAGAACATGCAGGTTTGTTACATAGGTATATATGTGCCATGGTGGTTTGCTGCACCCATGAACCCGTAATCTACATTAGGTATTTCTCCTAATGCTATCCCTTCCCTAGCCCCCGAACCCCCGACAGGCCCCAGTGTGTGATGTTCCCCTCTCTGTGTCCCTGTGTTATTGTTTTCTTTAAAACAGGTTTAAATCACCTAGGTTTTAAATTACCCAGTCTCAGATATTTATAGCAATGTAAGAATGGACTGATAAAATCTGCCTCTTGTCAGCTTATTTTATAGACTCAAGTTCTGAACAATCATAAGTTCTACTGAATTACTGAACTTGAGGCTAGAGGGAAAGTCTTCCCTCCCCTACATCACACAAACTTACAAAGTTGAGTAGCTGCATCAGAGGCCATGTGGTCCACAAAGCTTAAAATATTTACTACCTTAAATATTATCCTAGTTTCTTTGAGTCTTTACAGAAGAGTTTGCCACACCCTGCTCTAAAGCCCAAGGATGTTTCTGCTACTGATTAACTTTTTTGTTGATTAGATTGTTCTGTGAAATAAATTGTAAGCTCCACGAGGGCCATGCTTGTCTTATTTACCACTGTATCCCTAACAGCTAAAGCAATATGTGATATATAGGCACTTACTAATTATATTTTGAAGAAATAGATGAATAAATAATTGAATAATACAAAGATGATATTTATCCTCAAGGAAATTTCATCACTCATAAGAGAGTTAGTACTCCTAAGACTATAAAAACATCAGTGTTGACAGTTCTCCAAACACCCATTTATCCTACATCTCCCTGTTGCAGATACCAGCTTATAAACAGAAAACACAAAGGTGATACTACTTGTTTTTATGTTATCGTCTTCCTCAGGACTGATAACGGAGTTCAGTATGAAATTTTATATTATTATTATTTTTTCAGCTTTTAAATTCTGGGGTCCATGTCGAAGTTTGTTATTCAGGTATATTGTGTGATGCTGAGGTTTGGTTCAGGTATATTGTGTGATGCTGAGGTTTGGTGTGATGCTGAGGTTAGTTTTCCAAACCTTGAAGCCCTGCCCGCTCTCCCTTCTAGTAGTCCTCGGTGTCTGTTGTTGCCATGTTTATGTTCATGAGTATCCAATGTTTAGCTTCCACTTTTAAGTGAGAACATGCAGTATTTGGTTTTCTGCTCCTGTGTTAATTCACTTAGGATAATGGCCTTCAGCTACGTAAATGTTGCTGCAAAGGACATTATTTTGTTCTTTTTTATGGCTGTGTAGTATTCCATAGTGTATATTGACCACATTTTCTTTATCCAGTCCACCATTGATGGGCACTTAGGTTGATTCTATGCCTTTGCTATTGTGAATGGTGCCTTTATCAACATGTGAGTGCATGAGACTTTTGGTGAATGATTTGTTTTCTTTTGAATATATACCCAGTAACAGGATTGTTGGTTTGAATAGTAGTTCTGTTTTAAGTTCTTTGAGAAATCTCCAAACTGCTTTCCACGGTGGCTGAACTAATTTACATTCCCACCAACACTGTATAAGCACTCCCTTTTCTCCGCAGCCTCGCTAACATCTGTTGTTTTTAAAGTTATTAATAATGGCTATTCTCACTGGTGTGAGATGGTATCTCATTGTGGTTTAGATTTGCGTTTCTCTGATGCTTAGTGATAGTGAGCATTTTTTCATGTTTGTTGACTGCTTGTATGTCTTCTTTTGAAAAGTGTCTGTTTGTGTAAAAGTGTTTAATTAAATTTGTTAAGGCTATAATTGAATTACTAGAAATGTGACTCCCCCAATATTAATGTGTTATTATATTGTCACTTTAAAGATATATTCAAATGTATACATTTAATTTGAACTATTTCTGGAGGTAAGCTAGCTATGTGTGACAATAGTCTATGAATCTGGTACAACCTCCAATGCAGCAATTCCGTTCTCAGCAATTTTTTTCTAAAGAAATTATTACGGATGAATACAAAGACACGACTACATTGGAGGGCTATTTGTAGTGACAAAATCTGGATGTGAATTAGCTATTTTATAAATGAGAGGTTGATTTCATAGGTAATGGTACAATCATATGATTACTCTATAGCCATTAAAAGTAATGGAGTAGAAGAGTGACGGGAAAAAAATGTGGGCCTTTTAAATGAAAGTAAAAACAGGGCTATAAAAACTCTCATACAATAAAATTTTTTAAGTTTAAATATATTTAAAAATGGAGAAAAAACAGAATCATATACAACAAAATGTTAATTTTGATGTGATTAGTTTTCCCTTTTTTCTTCTATTCACATACTTATATTCTCTAAAATTTAACAGTAAACATGCATGACTTTTGCAGAAAGAAAAAAGGTGTTTTCAGTTAATACTTTGAAGAATATTAATTCTGAGGCTTTGTAAAGGGGAAACAAATCAATAGCAATCTAAAAGCATTTATTAGACTTTTTAAAAGGCAGCTATAAATAGCCCAGCAAGGCAGACAGTCGTACAGACATTTAAAGTCAGCCATCGATGCTGTAATTTTTGCTGGAACAATTTACAAAAACAAATATAGTGACATTTAATTCATCTAAGTAAAACCAGATCTCATTTAAAACAAGGAGGTGGGAGGGAGAAGAGGGAGTCAGATCACATTTGGCCACTGGAGAGCAATTGGAGAAATCATGAAAACAGTGGGTAACAAATCAGGGATGAAGCAGAGTTAGCATTAAATGGGCACCAAATGCATTTCCCCTTTTTGGTGCCTCCTTTTGTCTCTTTCCCATTCCAAACCATATTAAACTGTTAATACCTTTATTTCTTGGCTTGTGTAACAATGTCTGTTTTAACAATCTTTCTTTTATCTTAATATTTTCAATAACTTTGGAAAGAAAATGTTAAAAATTGTGCTATTCTGCAACTTTCCTACTTTGAGGTCTCTATTGCTAGATGTACAAAACTCAAGTAAATGGTCCTTTAAATGAATGAGTTCTGAGGAGGGCAATTATGTATTCATGATGCAGGTTTGCCTAAATAGCTGTCCCCAGCTATTTAGGCATAACCTCAAGCTACATATTCATAACCTCCAACACCTCATGTAGATATCCCTACAAGCAGTATAGTATAGTGGTGTTTTTTAAAGTGTAGTCAACTATTTTCTTTCAGATTCTAAGAGAACATCTTGCACTTGTAGATTCTTGAGTTTCACCCCAATCCTGATTTGATTGGTCCTCAATTGATTCTTATGCATTTTGAAGATTGAGACCTTAAGTTTCAAAAATTGAGACCTAGATTCTGATACATAAGGATTTAAGTTTAAGTACCTGCTTGATTGCTAGTAAGACTGTGCACGTTTGCACCAACTAATCGACGTCTTTGAGCCTCTGTTTGCCCATCTGAAAATGCACATCAGTGGATTGCTATGAGGATAAAAAGAAGCTGTGTTTCTAAACCTCCTTTCATACTAGGTGGTATTGTTTAGTTTTTAATCACAGTGCATGTAGCTATGACTACAGTCTTAGCCAAACCAAATAACGAATGGAAAGTGGAATTATCTTATGTAGATTAATATCATCTTTCAAGTGTAGACCCAAATGGGGAGAGAGTTAACTGGCATTTTTTTCCCCCGCCATTAATTATAAAATTGGCAATTTCCCAGACTTGTTTCAGAATTCTGTTTTAGCATCTAATTGCCTTGACCTTCATTACCTTCAAGGAGACATGATAGAACTGCCCAGAGGAACTACAAGTATTGCTAAGAATAGAAGTCATTTTGTACTAGTTACCTGCTTTGTGTTTCTCAACAGAATGATAACACTCTCCATGGTGTTTCTGAATGCCAGGTTACCTATGACTAATCTTTAGTAGCTCCCATGTAGTTTTGTATGGGAGCTGCTTTGGTTGAACCTAACTGTGCATTTCAAAACAAATGTAATTTGTGGAAGGCATATGTGTCATGACTTTTGACCTTCTCAAAATTTGGCATTTACGGTATGCCAACAGAAATCCAACTCCTGTCTCTCTGTTGCTATTTTCCCATTTGTGAGTACTGCCTGCAAACTGTCCTCTTTGGCAATTTACAGAGAGTCTATTTATTAGTCTATTCAATCTGCTGGGAATCACTGAACTCACAGATGTGATTTACTCGTAGACCAGAAACTCCCTGGATAGTGTCTACAACTTCTTTGACCTTTAAGTGATTGGGTTTCTGTTTTAAGCTGTTGCAATGAAAATTCAGGACATCTTTATTGGAAAGGAAAATAAAGTAAGTGTTATTGGCTGATGTCTCAATTCCCATTTTCCCTGTGGATATAGATAAATTAAGAAGGCCTTAAAATATAAGACAAAAGATCTTCCTAGGAAGATCCAGATAGATAGCATCTTGAGACAATACCTTAAGCTATATGTTGCTTGTCACATGAGATTAACTTTCTATTAGTGTGTGCCTTCTCAAGGCCTCTTAGCAGGGAAGCATTACCACTTACTACAGATAATAGAAGATTTAGAGAGCTGACAGGAGTTAGTGTATTTGATAGAATCTTGAATTTCCATGTTTTTTTTAATACTTTCTCTTCCAATCACACTTTTTATCTCCATGATAGTGCTATAGAAGAATAACGAATCATCCTGTCCTGATTTGGAAGGTTGGAATTTTATTATCTATGAATGTCTACACACACAGCGGCAACCCAAGTTAGTAATATTTTCCTTAAAAAGAAAAGTGATACTTTCCCAGTATTTCTCAGTCTGGAATATTCATGTTGATGGGCAACTAAGAACTGAGTTTGGGGAAGATGGGAGCACTTTTCCCTGAAACCATGATGGTAAGGTGTTTAAACCTTCACGGGAAGAGTTTCTGTACCATTCAGCCAAATACACCAATGACAGTAAGGGACTGGAAAAAACTATGGACACATCTTTGTGTATTTTTAAATTCAATCAACATTCAACTATATCTGAAGTATTGTGAAGACTATGATTAAGAATTATGAGCAGTATCACTGCCCTTGAGAAGTTCAGTCTTGCCAAGTAAACCACAGCCCTGCTGTCAGTACAGCTCTTTGAGAATATAGACTTCTATGGTGGAATAATATCAAAGTGAGAAAGACGCTGCTAGATCCAAAAGAAAGGTGACTAGGGTTAAGACTTTTCCCAGCATTTAAGGAACAAAGATGCTTCCCTGGTATTTGGCTTGGGTGGTTACTTCTTGATTTTCTAGGCGAATGAAGGAAGTTGGTGCCATAGATAAGCCATAAAAGGAAAATAGTGAGAAATCAATTTGCATTTGACTTGGAATAAATTATTTGCTTTGAAAAGAATGCCCCATTAAAACTGATTTTTTGTTCCCTTGAAATCAAGCTATCAGATGAGAAAGATGTAACCAAGGAAAACATTCTGGGTTGTTGAGCAGAAGGAAGTTTAGGAATTTTAATTTTAATTCCTTGGGCTAATTCATCCGGCAGATAATCTGCCTATGAAAATTTGAGTGGTGCTTGCATTGAACAAGTAGGTTTCCTGCATCCAGAACAAAATTATTTCTTAGCCAAGAATGTGTATGGTATGGCTACATGGAGAAAGATTTCCAATATGTATTTAAAAATCAATAATTTTAGATACTGATTTAATTAAATATTATTTATAACAATTTTAACTGTAGACCACATGGTCTTGTTTTATTTGAGGTTGATTAGAGAAGGGGACAGGGATGAGATGAATATTTTCTCTGGTAATAAAATTACCTTTTGCTTTAACTTAATCAAAATGCCATTTTGTACACATAAATGATAGATAATATTTATGAAAAGATCATTCAACTGATGGGTTTGGGAGTACTGCAGAACTTTAAAACATAACTGGAAGGATTATACTATAAACCAACACTATTTTTTTTTTTCATTCATAGAGTTCAAGACAAGGGAAAGAAATACTGGCATTTTAGCTGAGAATTATAAACATCATTGGCATTTGAACTCCCAAATCTCATGTAATTTTCCCCTAGAAACATAGACTGGATGCCCTCATTAAAAAAAAAAAAAATTAGAAACCAGTCCTCAAAGACAGATTGTCAACAACTTGTGAATATGCCCATGCCAGCTCCCTTATCCAGAAACATTTACGAGAGAAGACATAATAGGCTGAAGGAATATTTGTCCTGTTATTCATATTTGGCCAAATGTCGCTAAAACCTTGTGAAAACCAAAAGGAGTGCAAGGCCCTGCCCATCAACCCCTAGCCCTCCAGGACTCATACTTGGTTCTCGGGTTCTTGGTCCCAGGGGCACCTGAGTGTGGCAACACATCATCTATGCTGTGCCATCAAGCAAAGGGGGTCTCCACTTCCTCTCCTGAGCAGGACCACTCTGATGTATATTCTTCTCATTTGAATCAAAGAATGTTCTTTGTATGAAAGCAACACATTGAGATTGGTGACCGTATTAGTTAGTTTTCACACTGCTGATAAAGACATACCTGAGACTGGGTAATTTATATACAGAAAAAGAGGTTTAATGGGCTCACAGTTCCACGTGGCTGGGGAGGTCTCATAATCATGGTGGAAGGCTAAAGGCACTTCTTACTTGGCAGCAGCAAGAGAGAATGAGAGCCAAGCAAAAGGGGTTTCCCCTTATAAAACCATCAGCTCTCGTGAGACTTACTACCATGGGAACAGTATGGGGGAAACTACCCCATGATTCAATTATCTCCCATCTGGTCCCTCCCACACACATGGGAATTATGGGAGCTACAACTGAAGATGAGATTTGGGTGGGGACACAGCCAAACCATATCAGTGACCTTGCCTGTCTGCGAGCATATGTACCCCATTCCTTTCCCCAAAGATATTTTACTACCAGTTTAATAGAACAGCACTAATCAAAATCTCAGCTATCCAAGCAGTAATGGCCAGGAAGTCTAATAGTGCAACCAAGTATTCAGCGTGGTACAACTTTGAAGGTCCAGCCCGCAGACAATCTATGATGCTAATCAAGGTTTTTCTGTGTGCTCCCCACTTCTGCTTTTAGTGACACGTTCCCCTTAGCCCAGCTCCATCTCCTCTTTTTGGGGCTCAGTGCTGTGTCACTCTCCCATAATCCTAATAGCCATCTTGAAAAGCAGGTTGTATTATATCTTTTGTGTTTTGCAAATTATATCTTTTGTGTTTTGCAAATTAACAAGCTAAGCAAAAAAACTAGCATTGCAACCCAGATCTCTGTAACTGGTGTGAGTGGTGCATAATGGTTAATGTCACACTCATACCCTCAGATGTGTATATCTTTTGTATACAGCTTGAACCATGTTTTCTAGAATTGAGGAGATTATATCCTATTCCCTGCAACTCCAGACACCAGGGTTGTAGTGAACTATTTCAGCATCTGAAGTGATTTTTAATTTTTCCTGAGATGCATCTACTCACTCTCCTTATAATATCAGCCCTTGATATACACACTGGGGGACACAAGTACAAGTATCAAGTGACTGTAGCAGACCTCCACCAGACCAAACCATTAAGAATCTAAAACATCGGCAAGGAAAGAGGTCAAAGGAAGCTGAGACATGGGAGGGGTGCTCTGAGTGAGAGCTAATTGAGTGATGCCTTTTCATGCAGAAGAATGTTTCCAGTTGTGGGATTACGTGGCCAGTGGGTAGACTGGAGGGAAGGCTTGTTGTCTTCAGACACCCTTTGGAATGAAGCCAAAGTGTTTTAACACAAAAGGAAAAACAATCCAGTGTGGGTGATGTCACAGGGCATCCTGAGGAAAGCAGCAAGCATGAAGCTTCCTACTGCGTGGATCCAAAGTACACAGGATTATCTTGGCATTAATTCCTTCTGCAGCCAGAAGCTGGACTCTTACTGAAGAACTAGCTCTCATCATAAAGACTGGATGCCGGAAATGAGTTTGTGTGTGTGTGTGTGTGTGCGCGCACGAAGTGTGTAGGTGTGTAAGTCTGGTTCCTGACCTGAGAGAGATCAACATTCCAGTCTCCTCGTAGGCTCTAGGTTGTCTGTGAAATCACTGTGAAGGACCAAAGGCTGTTTTCACTGGGTAGACAGAAAATCGTCCTGTTCACTTCAAGGACACTATCAAGCTGTGATCAGAACATTTGCCTTTTAATATAATAATGGTGATTATTAGATATGGGAAGGATAGGGGTACAGAAGAGTGACCCAAAACAAAAAAACCCTTTATGTCAGTGGCAGCCCTGCATTAATGAAATGAAGAGACATTCACACCATAACAGGTGACGATGGAGAGTCTGTTTGTCATGTCAAATTAGAGATAAAAGAATGCCTGAGACTGGGAAGCAGAAAAGCACATTTCCATCTTCGTGTCTGGAGAAACTTTACAGGATTAAAGTATGTATTGTCATCACAATGGAGAACTGTTTAAGTAGAAGCAGTGCCTTCCCCTTTGAAGAGGGTATATCTCCTGACATTGTAGGTGCAGATGGCCAGGTTTCTGGGTCTTTTAGCCTTGGGAGATCCTTGCTGATGGAATACAGCTTTCACAGCTCCATGCTAGCAGATTGTGGGGCTGGGAGCTGAGAGGATCATCCCAGTGGCAGGGAGCAGTTATTTAGGGAGAAGATAGTAAATCTTCAACTAAGTATTATTAGATCTGACACATGTGGATTCAAAGGCAATGTAGTGGCCAGACTTCTAAGGTCGAAAGCCAAGAGTTTAGGATTGCCCACTGGAGTGTGGCATTTTCTGTTCTTGGGACGCATCCAGCTATGACTGTGAAAGGACGGAAATTCAGTTGAGCTGCTGGAACAGGGAGTAAAGAGGGGCAGGGCTTATTTAATCAGCTTAACAGGCCCCCAGTGAGAGAACAGGGGGAAGAGAAAGAGGGGAAAACCCAGTGTTGGGGAAGTTAGGAAAAGGGATAATAGGCAGTATGTAGATATTTATGTAGCTAAGAAGTCTGCATCAAATAGGTATGGCAAAAAAAAGTAACAGATCCAGATATGGAGCTGGGGTTTAGGACCTCCAAACTGAGAGAGGATAATCAGATAACAATTATCAGCCAGAGAGAAACACTTCTTACATGCCAGGCATTTTATGCCCATGAAATATGTTTAATTCTCCCAGTTACCCTGAGAACAAGGGATCAATATTATCCCCTTTTTAAAGATAAAGAATTGAATCTTAACTAGTTTGGGATATTTATTCAGGGTCACAGGATAATACATGTTGGGGAAAAAAAGCCATGAGAAATTTATCTCATTTTATTACTAAAGTTTTAAGCCTTAATAATAAAAGGAACTGTTGGACATGGAATCAGAGTGATGGTGGCTATTTGGACCTGAACTCAGGAAAAGACAACACTCAGTCACTAGGACTGGAGCACAGGTTCAGAGCAGAACTCACTGCAAGAAATGCTCGCTAAGTCACCTGAGATGAGTTTTAGAGCCACTCACTTAGGAGTTCTAGGAATGACCCATCCCACGGCCCAGAGCAGAAGGACGTGCGTGTGGAATCAAATGCCCTCAGCTCTAGGGATTGGAGAAACTCACAAGCAGGGAAATTTAGGCAACTGATTATACTAAACAGTTATCAATGTCAAGCTCAGAGGGCTAGCAAAAACGGGCAAGGAGAAAGGGAGGGAGGAAGGTGAATGGGGTTAAAAATATATCTTTCCCAGAAAATCAAGGCAAAGATTCAACAAAAATAGTTTTCTAGCCACAGAGAATTCCCAGTGGAAGTAGTGAATGCTGGTTTATTGGGAGATATTTCACATCTGAAATGTAATGTTTGATTCCTGGTACCTCTTTTGTTTAATAGAGGTCACTATAGTGATGAAGGAGTGGAACAGGACCCTCCTTCAAAAGTGACAGTGGTAGAAGAAGCCACTGGGACACGGCCACTTTAAAGCAGATATGTTGATGTGGTCATTTATAGATATCAACATGCAAAATGACTGATTTGTCTTTTAAACTATGCACACACAAAAGAATGTCCCTAGCCTTAACTTTCATCTTGACCCTCATTACCCCTCATGTCAGCCCATCCCAACATACCTTCCCTGACCTCAACTGCGTGACTGACCAGCAGAGATTGGGCTCACCAGACGGGCAAGGCCCAGGGTGGAATGTGGATGTCTGAAATCAGGAAAAAGAAAAAACAGAGAAGAAACTATTAAAGGTGATATATACTCGCATATTCAAAGCTTTTATTGAACACCAGCTATGTTCCCTGTACTGTGATCTAGGTATGCTGAGATAGTCAAAACATGGCCCTGGCTGCAATTGGTTCACACCCTTGAATGCAGTTACGAATACTCTGTATTCATGCAGTAGAGACAGGGGCCCTGCTCTATGGTGCTACAAAGGGCGGGGCTAGAATCTGCTTATGAATTTTACAGGGATGTAGATTTAATGTCTGTATCATGAAGAATGTTTTTATTGTTAGTACCTTACAACAGAAGCAATCTACTGAGTGTTAACTCTGAATTTGGATAATCAACTTGAAGAATTTAAGGAAGAGCTTCATGAGTTTGCTAGGTGGTTGAACTAGAAAACTCTGAAGTTCTCTTTTAACATTAGTATTTAAAGGTTTTATGTTATGCCATTTTCTTATTAACTGGTAAATAGCACTCCAATTTTATGAGATAAACAGTGGTGAAAGTCTTTCCAAGAAGATTGGAAATAAACAGTGTCAGACTTCATCTTCTCAGTAAAGTCAAAAGACTTGAGTCTTCTAATTTTTTTTTTAAAAAAATTGTGAGCCATATTTGTCATGCCAACAGGACAGATCATCCTGACCCATGTTTTGGTACTGTCTGTGCCTTTGCTCATTGCATTGACTTCTTAATTTTAGCTGACCTGTTTTCATTTTCATTCTGTAATTCTGCATAGGGCTCAAAGAAAACAAAACACTCAGACTGGATCAAGGATCTTCTAAGCAACAATGAAAAAAAAATACAACTCAGCAGAATGGCTACAAGGGTAGTCTCTAAGGATAGATGTTTCTGTTTCTTACTCTTGTGTTTCAGGGTGCCCCTGAATCTACTGTGATGTTGGGTGTGTTGCATCTTGAAGGTGACCCAAGCTCAGGTTTTGATGATATGGCTTATTAGGTTCTTATCATGACTTGTGATTCCAGATGAATTATTAAGTGATGCAAACAAAACAGTACCTTTACTTTCATCACTTAGATTTGATTTTTGAGTCAGTCTAGTTTCTGTTTGAATCTCGTCTCCAACATTTGCCTATGTGAACTCAGAGCAGTTATTTTACCTCTGTGTTCTCTGTCTTTTTAAAAGGACAATTATAAGAATTTAACCAGATAGCATTGTAAAATACTAGGTATCTCATAAATGTCAGTAGTTTTTGCCTGAAGCCTAAGCTCTCAAGCAAAATAGGAACTTCTGCTTTGGCTGATTTGAGGCAGCTACTGTAACAATGGTAGAAGAAACCATCAGGAAAAAGCCACTTTAAAGCAGATATTCTGAGGCCTATTAAGGGGGTGGCCTATTAAGAGGCCACCTCTTAATAAAGATCAAAATGAACATTATTCGTCTCTGTTAAACTATGCACGCACAAAAGAATGTCTCTTGCCATAACTTTCTTCTCGACCCCCATGACTCCTCATGCCAGCCCATCCCAACATACCTTCCCTCACCTCAGCTGCATGGCTGACCTGCAGAGATTGGGCTTACCAGACAGGCAAGGTCCAGGGTGGAATGTGGATGTCTGAAAGCTGAAGATTAAATATTGCAGGTCAGAAAACCATGGCAGAAGCAGGTCAGGGCTGGTATTAGTTGTCAGAGGCAGCTTTGATATTGCAACTGTATCCCATCTTCCTCATCACAAAATTGCAATTGGCTTGTGTTTTCTTAACTTGAGAGCAAAACATGTATCTTTGGAATTGCACCACTTGGTATATTACTGAGAGCTTAGCTATTAACCCCCTATCACTCTCTCTATCAGTTTCTCTCCTCTCTAAAATGGAGCTAACAATAATTGTCTCCATTTACTCTGTGCTCCTTGTGTGTCAGGTACACAATTATCAAATGAAATTAAATAATATCTAAGATATAGATACTAGTAAAGGCTTTTGAAAAGGAGGCAGAGAGAAGCTTAGTAATTTGGGGGAAGGTCACACTGCCAATGCGTAGCCAATTTGGTCTCTACCTTGCAGATTGTAGACTTTCAGAACTTCTAATCTTTTTTAAAAAAAATAATTTTGAGCCATATTTGTCAGGCCAACGAGACAGATCATCCTGACTCATGTTTTGGTATTATCTGTGCCTTTACTCCTTGCATTGACTTCTTAATTTTAGCTGACCTGTTTTCATTTTCATTTTGTAATTCTGCATATGGCTCAATGATAACAAAACACTCAGACTGGATCAAGGATTTTCTGAGCAACAATTAGAAAAAATACCCGCACTCCATCTGAATTCTCAGGATTATTTCAAGATTCATGGGAAATTTTTTAAAAGGCAGGGGAGGGATTTTAAACAGAAAAGCTTAACATGTTTCATAAGTAAGTCATTTATGGCTAAACCCATGGCCAGGCATCTATACTGTCTTAGAATTTTCACATGGATAAGCTGCCTTCCTTCAACTTGTGCCACTTCTTCTAGTGAAATGGAAACCTGAAGGCATGGAATGTAGTAGGTGTTATTTACTCCATAGCAACAGTCCAGATTACAAATTGAAAGAAAGCAATGAGCAGAAGAAAAACATTAAAAGTTCGAAAGCCCCGTGCTTTTATACTTAGTCAGATTTCAATGCTTGAAGGGCTTATTATTTATTGAAGTTACCTTTTAGCAGTTGTTTTTCTAAAGAGTCTTTACGGCATTTCTGTCTATATTTTTAGTTGTGAAGATGTAATTCCAAATTGATGTCAACGTATTTTATTACACAGTTTCAAATTTGCGATGCTACTTTGCTGTCACTTTGCAACAGTGGAAGAGTGACAAAGACATACAAAAAAGATGGTTTTATGAATGACTGTTTTCCACAGGAAATGAAAGATTCACCTCTTCCACGTTGCTCCACGTCAGTAAGTTATGTCAGCTGGCTAAGTCATCATCCTTTTAGTCTCCCTCTGTCTCTGAATGTTACTTCCCTTAATGGATCTGCAAATGGCACTGACATTTTTAATCTGTTTGGCTCAGCATTCCCCAGAGATATATGAGAGAAAGAAAACCTATTCCCAGCCATAGAGCATGCCTCCATAAAGCATGACTGCTGAGCCAAAAAAAGCATCATAAAGATGCATATTAGCGGGGATACATGCAAAAAGGATGAGCTTAAAAGAGCCGACAAGCAATTAGTTCAAGCTTGGAACACTTTTAATCCACAACACGATCTTACCTTAGTGAAAGATGATGAAGTGCAGATCTGAACCCCATGTCCTTTTCATCTTGTAAGAGCACCGTAGCTGAGCATCTCAGGGCCCTTTTCTCTTGGCCCTGTTAGTACCCTTCTGAAGCTGTCAGCACCTACCGCCATGGAGATGAGAAACCCCACAGGAGAATCTCTCTCTTCTTTGCCTTTCCGGATACATTCACCACAGACAAAGGCCACTGAGTTCTCAGCTTCGCTCTAGTGAATCGACACTTTCTTTAACTGGTTCCCATGCCTACGCATAGTAGATAGTCTTGCCAATGGTGGCGGACAGAAAACAAGAACCAAGAATAGCCTTCTTCCATGCCTATTTACATCTTTGTTTTCTGATCAAACCTCTGGAAGCTTATATAATAATAAAAATCTTTCCATATCACAAAAGTGGCCACACATTACCCCTAAATTTCTTATTGTCCTGGAAGGCTGCATTTTCTCTTACTGACACCTCTAGGTCTTGTACAACCTCTTCCAAGTGTGTGCTTCTTAAGTGTAGGTGCTCTGTGATTGTGACAGCAAAGATTTTTCTATGCAAATGCACACTTTGTCTGACTATGTAACCCTATACCTATGGCAAACAGCATCTTGCCCAACATCATTTCATTTGGGTTTCAAGGAAGCGTATGCCCCCAGAAAGACTATCAGCCACCTCAGTAGTGACTCCAAGGACAAAGTTTAGATGTTCTTTCAACATGCTGGTCTTGTTTTGCTGTTTGTTCATTTGCTTCCTCTAAATTTCAGATTAGAGAGGGAGCAAGTTTCTTGTAAAGAAGCATTACTTGCCAGGTGCAGTGGCTCATTCCTGTAATTCCAGCACTTTGAGGGGCTGAGGCAGGAGGATGGTTTCAGCTCAGAAGTTTAAGACCAACCTGGGCAATGTAGTGAAACCTCATCTCTACTAAAAATAAAAAATAAATTAGCTGGGCACAGTAGCATGTGCCTGTAGTCCCAGCTATCTGGGATGCTGAGGTAGGAGGATCGCCTGGGATGCTGAGGTGGGAGGATCACTTGAACCCAGGAGATCGAGGCTGCAAGTTTGCTAGGATGACACCACTGAACTCCAGCCCAGGTGACAGAATGAAATCCTGTCTCAAAAAAAAAAAAAAAAGATAATAAAATAAAAATGAACCATTACCCAATAAATAGCACAGTAAATACTTGTGCTGTTTACTCAGATAATGGAGCTGGTAGAAAAGGAGTTTTGGAGTGAGGAAATCAATAATTGGTGTTTTATTGTGCAAAATTTGATATGCTTTCTGACAGCCAAATGAACATGTCAAGGAGACAATATATTAGTCTGGAGCTCAGGGGAGAATTTCAGAATGGAAATATAAGATTGGAAGTTATCAGTGTACATAGAGTAATTGCAACCATGAACATGGATGAAACAATACAAGAGTCAGAGTAGTTAGAAAGGAGAAGGATTCCAATGACGAAGGCCTGGGACAGCCTAATTTAAGTCTGGGAAAATGAGGAGGCTATAACTAAGAAGACTGAGAAAAAGAATTGCTTGAAGTAGGAGGAAAAATTGTGACATGTGATACGAAGTAAAGAAAGTGTTACAAGCAAAAGGCAGTGTGGTCGGGCATAGTGTCTCACCCCTGTAATCCTAGCACTTTGGGAGACTAAGGCGAGAGGATTGCTTGAGCCCAGGAGTTCGTGACCAGCCTGGGCAAAATAGTGAGACGCTGTCTTGACAAAAAAATATATATATATGTGTGTGTATATATATATATATATATATATATACACACACACATATATGCATATTATATACACATATACACATAAATATATATATACACATAAATATATAATACACATATATATACACAAAAATATATATACACATATATATTTATATACACATAAATATATATTAAATAAATTATATATATTATATACACATATAAATATATATATTAAATATATATATATAATATACATAAGCTGGATGATGGTGCACACATGTAGTCCCAGCTACTTGAGTGCCTAAGGTGGCAGGATCACTTGAGCCCAGGAGGTCAAGGCTACAGTGAGCCCTGGTCATGCCACTGCCCTCCAGCCAGAGCGGCAGAGTGAGACCCTGTCTCAAAAAAAAGGAAAGGAAAAAGAAAAAGTCAGTGATCATGTGTGTTAGATATTAACAATCAGTCAGGATAAGGACAAGAATTGACCATTGGATTTAGCAGTGTGATGTCACTGGTGACCTTGATGAAAGATGTCACAACAGAGTTTTGGAGATAAATGCCTGATTTGACTAGGGACGAGTAAAAACGGTGACAGGAAGTGTTGAAAGCATGCAGAAAGCCTACAGAGAGTTCCGCTGTCAAATGGGGTAGAAAAATGTGGTGATGGATGGGAAAGGATGTGGAGGTCCAAGTGGGGTTAATTTTTCAGGGAAATGGTTATTTGTTTTGTTTTAATTTTTCACATAAGATTTTGCCAACTGATTTTTTTAGTTAAGTAAATGTCCTGCAATTACTCTTGTGTGTCATTGCTATTAAAAATAACTACTTGTGCAGGTAGCGGTGGCTCACGCCTGTAATCCTAGCTCTTTGGGAGGCTGAGGCGGGCAGATCACGAGGTCAGGAGTTGGAGACCAGCCTGGCCAATATGGTGAAACCCCGTCTCTACTAAAGATACAAAAATTAGCCAGGCGTGGTGGCGCATGCCTGTAGTCCCAGCTACTCGGGAGGCTGAGACAGAAGAATTGCTTGAACCGGGGAGGCAGAGGTTGTAGTGAACTAAGATTGTGCCACTGCACTCCAGCCTGGGCAACAGAGAGAGACTCCATCTCAAAAAAAAAAAAAAAAAAAAAAAAAAAAAAGTACTTTTGGTGAACAAGAAGAAAGAAGAAGGTGTCCTGATTGGTCTCGTAGTTTCATTGTAAAATCATGGGGAGAGAATGGAATACTATTTTGAATCAGCCACTGGGTCCTTTGTGCATGTGATGTTACTAACCACTGGCTTCAACTAATCAGGTGAAAATGAATAATTCAATCAACTCTTTTCCATCTTTTTCTCTCATTTTTTCCACATCATGTAAAATACTTCACTTAATTCTTAAATCATTGCTTTTATAATCATATAAAACAACATAAACTATAGAAAATATAAATTCTGTGATAATACTTTTCAGTAAACGTTAACTAAAATGTCCTAAAATCCACAATTTAATTGTAATCTAATTCTAAATTACTTGTTCACTAAGAACATTGCTTGGTGTACAGTGAATGCTTAATACTTAAATCTTTAAAAAAATGGATGAGTGGCTAAATAACATAACACTAAAGAAATCTGCAAGTATTGGTAGCGGGCACCTGTAATCCCAGCTACTCGGGAAGCTGAGGCAGGAGAATTGTTTGAACCTGGGAGGTGGAGTTTGCAGTGAGCTGAGATGGTGCCACTGCACTCCAGCCTGGGTGACAGAGCGAGACTCTTTCTCAAAAAAAAAGAAATCTGCAATTATAATCGTTTATCTCAAGAATGATATTAGCATTAAGGCTATGTTATAGGTCTGAGTCTTTTACAAATCAAAAGCAAACATGAAACACCAGATGGTTAAATTGAGTCTACTTAACCTAGCAGATTGATATGTTAATGTAGCTAGAGACAGATAGATATAATTTTTATATACATATAGTTTTCATATAGCTTTTGCAGTACTATTGAGAAAGTACCTAAATTGTTCTGAACGGAATCATTTTAAATGCACAGAATATCCTAGATCTGGGTTTCTCAACCTCAATATTTAGGGCCAGAAAATTCTTTGTTGTGGGAAGATGACCTGTGGTTATGGCATTTAGTTTAACAGCATCCCTAAACTCTTCCCACTAGATGCCAGTATGACCCCAAACCCCAGTAGAGACATCCAAAAATGTGACCAGACATTGCCAGATGTCCCTTGGTGAGCAAAGTCACTCCAGGTTGAAAATCATTCTCTAGACTCAAATAACCAAGTAGACAAGTTTTATTCTTAGTTAGCAGAATGTATAATAGACTGTGGATTCACAAAATATATAAATAGCATTTCTTTCCTAAAATACAGTGAAGGTGAATGATTTAAGGAGGCAGTAAACGTGTAAAATGTGAACAAAAGGAAGCAATGTTTGTAACACCGAATTTGCTCTGTAGCAAAGTTTATGAAAATATAAACGTATAAGTAGAAAGCTGGACTTCTGGAAAAATGCGTAGGGATAAAGCACATTTTCATGGAGGAAGGAGTGCAAGTATTGGTTTTTCGGAGAATCATGTTAAAATTGGTTTAATTTCTTACCTTTAAAGTGAGAGGCAACACAGCAGTTAAGAATTGAGATAAAGTGCCAGTCTGCCAGTTAGAATCCTGTGTCTCACTATTTTAACACTCTGTGCCTCAATCCCCCATTCTGTAAAAGGAAGATAATAGAAATATATTAGCTCTTAGCAGAAGTAAATGAATTCATATTTGTAAAGCACTTAAAACAGTACCAGGCAAAAATAAATGTCATCTAAGTGTTTGTTAAGTCTGATTGGGAGAATATAAAGAAAGGTGTACATAGTTTGGTGAGTGAGAGTAATGTTTTTCGGGTGGTGAAAAGACAAACAGAAAATAAGAAGTACTGGAGTAAATTCCAGTACTGAAGACACGGGCAGAGAAGTATCAGGTAAGATGGAAGATCCACAAATGAAAGGCGTTGATCTTGGAGAAAAGCTGTACCACTATTCTTCTGATAGTCCGTATAATAATCAAACTAATCCAGTAATTTGAAATAGAGAAAACAATTGTCTGACTTATATGTAATACCACGTAGGCATTAGGAAATGAATACAATTTTTAAGTTTTACCGATTTTTCTTATCCAACTGAAAATTTTAAGTTGTTCTGTACAGCCTCAGCCCCTGCTGAAATCCTGCCTTCAGATAGACCCAAACAAACTTCACAGGTGCCATTTTTGCCGGCCTGAGGGCTTCCTGTTATTCTAACTGCCTGGTTACCATAGGATATAGAGGAAGTGTCTGAAGTTCTCACTGCTAAACGGACTTTCCTCCTGTAGATCTCTCACACTACTTATGATTCTAAAGTTATTTGAATCCCTCTGATGTATTTTCCTTTCTTTGACCAAACCGTGCTGAAGTGAAATTGATTATCCTAATAGATTTCAAAATCTGAAATCACAAATAAATCAGTGATGGGTTGGCTAACATGTAGTTCCTCTCAAATTAGTGATCATCATATCATTTTAAAACTTAACAGTGAGGCTTAATAAGGATTTTGGTTTGGGTCACTTTTTTGTGTGAATTTGAGCGAATTATTTTTTTCTTCTCCTTGTATCTACTCCCAAACACACATAGCACCAGGCAAAGACCCTCTGAGGATTGCCAAAATGACTGAGTGAAGAAATGCCATGAGAAAGATTCAACCCACAATATGAATCATGAGAAAGGCATTAACACCCAAGCATTTATTGCCCCAGCTCCTCCACAACACCCCTCAAGATGGCTGTCCGTCTCTACTTGACTGTTTTCGTGGACTAAGACCTCATTCACCCCTAAATGCATTCTATTCCTATTTTATGATGACTAGACCTTACCCATGAGGAAGTCCTTCCTTAAACTCAGATAAAAATGTGTCTCCCTATAGCTTTCACAAGATCTTCCTGTCCTCATGCTGTCCCCTGAAGCTCTGCAAAACAAGTCTCGTACTACTTCCAGGAGCCTGTTCTTCACATAAAGATAAACATTTTGTAGTTGCTTCTTTACCTTCTAACCCAGTCTTCATTTCTTGCAGTGAAAAATCTCCATTATATTATTTTCCTTGATATCTATAGTGATTGTTGAATCTGTCACTTTTGACAGAGAAAAGGGTGGGGACAAAAGTGAAAATCATGGGTCAGAAGTACAACTGGCATCAATCAATACTGCTGTGATATATGGTCAACTTATTCATAGGAAGCAGAGTGCTGGTGCATTTTAACTGCCTCTCTGGAGGAAATCAAAGGACTGATTTGTAGAGTTTTTCATTTCTGTGGTGTAAATACTCCACGCATGGCTGATGTCAGGTCACTGATATGAGGCTTCAGAATGTGGATTTGATAAGAGGTGTAAACAGTTAGCTCTTGTGAGCTAGTGGGAGCTGGCTCAGGCACTTAGAATTTGCTCAACACCTGGTTGTTCTTTGAATGTCTTTAAAAAATGTTATATATTTTAATTCATAATTATTGAGGTGCCGTTTGACCAGCCCCATATCAGTCCAGATTCTGTTCAAAATTCTACTTCAAAGGTTCCATTCCACTCAAAATTCAACTTCAAAGCTACTATGAGTGGAGGAAATACATAAAGTCATAGAAAAAGCTTCTAGCTTCTAATATTTGAGTCAGAAAAAAATTAATCTTCGATGACAGTGCTAGAAATAAAATTGGGGAAAGCCCGTATATCAGTGTACATTATAATTTAATAATATCTATATGCACACACACACGTAATACAATTATTATATGCCACTAGGCCATAAAGGTTTTTTTTTTTTTTAATCAAAGGGAAAAGAAAGAAGATTTCAACTGCTGTCTTGTTAAGAGGCATATGGCAAAAATGATTTATCTTAAATTTTTAAATTGTTTTCCTATAACTCAGCATTTAAGTCCTTATGATAAATTAATAAAATGTTATGAATATTCAAGTTAGAACTGTACTCATGAATAAAATTATTTTTATGTTTAGCCTTTTCCACACTTGATTGACTCCTAAATTCTTCAAAGCACGAATATGTTTGCTTTTGTTCTCCAGTGAATCCATTCTGCAGTAGTTACTTGTTGAGTCACATTTCCCCAAGGGTGCAATTTACACCCTTACTCTATTCATACTGAACCAAACTCGTTGAGACAAACTGTGTTCACACTGAATGAGAGTTACTAGGAAAATTTTTTTTAAATTATTACTTGGCTGCATCCTGGGATCTAAAATGGGGAGAAGTATGAGGTAGAGCTGGAGTGGTAAGCAGCATCTGGTAATTCATGTTAAAGAATTTGTATTATTCTAGGAAAGCATTAAAGAGCTTTGATCAGGAGACTAACACAATCTGATTAGCATAAAGATAAAACACTGAAGATCTGTATTTAAGATTCTGGCTCTAGTGTTGAGAACAGATTGGTCAGACAAGTGAGGAGGAGGTCATAACCTAGGAAACAGATTCAAGAGGGACTTGGAAGTCAGAATCAACAATAATTAGAAATCCATAATGAAGGAAAGAGAAGAAAATGGAGGTGAAGGAGCAGAGTAGAAGGATGGGAAAGAGTCAAGGTTCTTTGCAAGGAAAGAGTGGATACAGATGCAATCAGGTCTATGGATGGTAGACAAGAAGTTTGTGATTTTATTTTCCCTGTTAAATAGGGGTAGTGGGTAAAGGAGACAAGAGTAGAGATTTGAAGAGAACAGAAAATATTTGAAATAGTCACTGTAGAAAAATTGAAAACTATGCTATATGGGGCTGCGATGAGGGCCTGTTCTTAGTCACATTTCCTTGAGAATCTAATAGAATATGTATGTTTTTAAAAAGCATTCCTGGTGCTCCTGATGGAGCTCTTATTTCTCCATCCTCCTGCTCCTGACCTCCTCCTCTAATTTCTACTGAAACTCACCAAACAATATAAACACTTTTTGATTTAAAATTTTTAATAAGGTAACTCATTCCATTCTTGGTTCCTAGTTAGACCCCTAAATGGCCTTTCTAACAAAAACAGTGACATTCTCACAAAATATTTGCTCCAAAAATGTTTGCTAGAAACTTCCCAGGACAAATCCTGACAAGAGTGGGGAGACGGGGGCGCATGGGTTGTGCCATTGACATGTCCTTTGTGTGGATCCCCGTAATGCAGTGAACGAACAAACCTCCCAGTGAGGTCATGTCTCGTTTGGGGTTGAACGGCTAACTCTGTATCTGTGATCACATTAACAAAAGTGCACATAAAATGCCCAGGAATTTTTCCTTTGTGTGATTATGAAATAAAACTTACACAATATCGTGTCTGCAAAATGAGCATTTCACCATGGAGATTTCTTTGATTGTAATAGGGTTCAAAAGAGAATAGAGAAAATTTAATATGTTAGGACATGTTACCTCTTCAGTTGGCTGTGTCACGTACCTTTCTGCACTTCTGAAGTATCATATTTTAAATGTAGGTTGGTCTACACTCTAAACAATAAAGTTTATATCCAAAAACCCTGACCAAGTTACTAGCTGTAACTTGCTTTACCAGTAGAAGCTGTTGAGAACACTGAGGCAGAAACTCTAATATCCATTCACGCTCGCTCTGAGATGCTTGATTCTCAATAAAGGAGAAGGTTGTTATCACCTGATTATGAAGAGAATGACTTAATTCTTCACCCCACTTAATGTACATATTGTCACATCAATAGTACAAAAGATTGTTAATTTAGAAATATAGGCACCTATTATGATGTAATAATAATGATAGTTATTATTTATTGAATAAGCATTACATATTGGAACTTTGGTAATTGTCTTACAGAAATTATCCTTTAATTCTCAAACAACTTTAGAAGGTAGGTGCTAATGTTACTATAAAAATTTTTAAATAAATTAAAAATTAAATAAGTTCATAATACTTTTCCATGCTTACAAGTTGAATAAAAGGTATTGGCAGAATTTCAATGGAAACAATCTTATATGAGAGACCACATATTTCTCAGTGAATAAGGGCAAAATGGACCTAAGAAAATAGAGCCAATTTGAACTATCCACAGGCAAATGTCATATGACCTCTAAGTAGTTCCACAAAGAAAACAACCACCCAAATCAGACTGTATGCAGGACACTCACAAGCAGTGAGGCTTTTGCTGAAATGGACTGGAAAAAGGATTGAGTAGGCTGGGTGCGGTGGCTCATGCCTGTAATCCCAGCACTTTGGGAGACCCAGGTGGGCGGATCACGAGGTCAGGAGATCAAGACCATCCTGGCTAACACAGCGAAACCCCGTCTCTACTCAAAAATACAAAAAATTAGCCAGACATGGTGGTGGGCGCCTGTAGTCCCAGCTACTCGGGAGGCTGAGGCAGGAGAATGGTGTGAACCCGGGAGGCGGAGCTTGCAGTGAGCCGAGATAGTGCCACTGCACTACAGCCTGGGTGACAGAGCAAGACTCCATCTCAAAAAAAAAAAAAAAAAAAAAAAAAAAAAAGGATTAAGTAATATAAAATGCCAAATTATCACAGATTTGAGCTAGATCAAAGGGATCTTGACCCAAGTTTGAATCAGTTTCAACATTTTTTTTGGTACCACATTTGATATCCAGTGGCCCTAAATGATTTCCTAAATCTGGGCAGGGCTAATCTTGCCATTTAAAAGATTCTGTATAGAGATCCTAATAAAGATTGTGGAAATAAACAACGATCATCTGAACCAGAACAAGCAGAAATTATTTATCCAGAGCTTGCAAGGAAGACAGGCACGATCACTTTTGTTTGCCAGAGACTCACAGGCAGGCAGAGGAGTGGAAAATCTTTATAGTAGAAAGAGTAGAAAAGCTTCACGTTTGCCCTGATCAAAAGCTGTTGGCTGAGGAAGCTGGAGGTAGGCTATGTGGAAGCCGGGCTTCCTCTATAAATGGTTTGAGGAGCACATTTTCTTTTTCTGGTTGGTTCTAGGTTAGAAGTGAAGGCAAGCATAAGGAAAGCTGAGAGTCATTGACCAAGTTCTGACCATTTTGGGCCAAATGGCTACAAAGGTTATGATTGGGCTTCCTGGGCTGGTTCCTGCAGAGATTATGGTCAAAGTTGTTTTGTCTTACATGGTCTGGCCAGTATTTATTTGTATATTCAGCATCTCAAGATAAAAAACATAGTATGGTGGTAAATGCTACGTGGGACAGCAGCTTTACACAAACATGTTTCTTAAGCCTATAGCCCACACCAATACTTATAAATTGAGCTATTTGTGAATTAAACAAACAAAAGTAAATTATTCATATGCTCACATAAGTTGAATCAAGAAAATAATATCTAATTGCTTTTTTTTAGGGAAGCTTGGTTTTCTTAGAAGTCTGTCTGTTAGCCAATATATGAAAGGTTGATTGATTTAATTATAATTGAATCTGTCTGAACTTAATAAAACCTACTGTGACAAATGCTCAGTGATGACTGGTGATGATTTTCTGTGGACAAATTCTACGGCCTTGCAAGATAGGATTTGGAGAGCAAGAGTTCCTGCCGTTTCTCAGGACTGGTTAACTCTAGCCAGTAAGATGTGTCATGTTCTTGGAAACATGATTTGCCTACAGTGCAATTTACTTTCAAGTGTAATTCTATGTAGCGTCCTAAATTGTTTCAAACCTGCGGGGGACAGTGGTATAATAAATTTCAGCCCTATCAAATCTACCACCTCGAATTTGTTTAATCACAAAAAATTAAGAAAATATATGTTATTCCCCCCACCTTTCACCTCATTGACTAATAAATAAGTGCAATGGATGGTTACAATAATTTAAATACCTCACCTTCCCATCCTTTCATTCTAGATAATCTCTGTAGATAAAATACATACTTTTATTAATTGTTAGCAGTTCAAGTTCTTTCAACTTTTACAATTTCTCAAATTTCTAATTGCAACACTTACTACTGTTTTCTTCATGTAGATGTTTTCTCTTGTAGAAAGATACAATTGATATTCCCACCTTTCCAACTTCCCTTACCCTCCAAAGCTTGAAACTATTGCTATTCCTGCCATGAAAATAAAGACCTAAAGACAGTCTTGGCCAAAATAGTTGAGACAGTTATTCCATGGAGACAATTCTTGAAGGTTACTTTTATTTTCACTTTGAGTTTTTCCAAAGCCTTAAGTAAATGCAAATGTCACAATTGTTATTTCTCTTTAGGCTGTGAATTCTGGAAAATATAAAGGAAGCTTCAGAACACAGGGCTGTCTGGGGCACAAGAGACATTATGGAAGAAAACCTGAGTCATGAGCCATTGCATCAATACCAAATCGCAATTTAAACCAAGTTTATAGGATAAATATTTTTGACAATGCTTCATGTCTTTCACCTTTCCTAATCCATCATTAATTATTCCCCTTATTTGCCCTTTTTATTTGTTTTTTTTTTCCTTACTCCTTGTGAAACATGTTCTATTTTTTGTTATCTGTACTAAGATCGCCTGCTTGCTGACACCTAACCATATTCCAATAGTTATGGCAAATTACAGAATAATTGGCCAAGCCTCTTGAAAAGAATGAAAGATTTAAATAATAAGTAGAAAAATAAGTGCTTCCATGTGGTATTATCTTACCTCCCAATAATGGCCATAAGAAACTAAAAGCACAGTAAAAGAAAGAATTATTAGTAAGAAAATGAAAACAAAGCCCTCCTTCATTTCACTATGTTTCTCTACCCTTTTATAAGGAAAGCATGGAATCTCCTGGAGTCTCTCATTTTCTTGTCATCACTATCTATTATGGGTTAAATTGTGTCCCAGAAAAAGAAATTTTGAAGTTCTAACTCCTAGTACCTGCAAATGAGACCTGATTTGGAAATAGGGTCTTTGCAGATGTAATCAAGTTATGATAAAGTCATTAGAGTGGGCCCGGATCCAATACGACTGGTGTCCTTACAGGAGATCTGGACACAGACACACACACACAGAAGAATTCAGGTGAAGATGAATTGCACTGCTACAAGGAAGGAAAGCCCGGGGCTAGCAGAAGCTAAAAGTGGAAAGGGGACATTCTCCCTTAGAGGCTTCAGAAGGAGCAAGGCCCTCCCAACACTACACCTTGGCTCAGACTTCTAGCCTCTTGAACTGTGAGAAAATACATTTCTGTTGTTTTATGCCACCCAGTTTGCAATGCTTTGTCAAAGCAGCCTTAGACAAATAATACTATAGAGCATCCACACTTGCGTCCAAAAGGTTATTTCACCTTTTTCAGATTTTCTTCCATTTCTTCCTTTCTGAGGAATCTTTTACTAACTTTCAACCTTTGCAAATTGATGGACGTGTTGGTTATATTTTATGTGTCAGCTTGACTGGCGAAGGGTTGGCCAGATAGCTGGTAAAACATTACTTCTGGGTGTGTCTGTGAGGATGTCTGGCATTTGAGATTAGCATTTGAGTCAGTAGACTGAGTAAAGAATGCCCTCGCTAATGTGGGGGGCATCATGCAATCTGCTGAGGGTCTGGATGGAACAAAATGGTGGAGGAAGGACAAACATCTTTTCCTTTTTCTGGAGATGGGGCATCCATATTCTTCCCTCAGCCATCAGAGCTTCAGGTTTTTGGACCTTTGGACTTTAAATAAAATTTATACCATTGGCTTCCAAAATTCTCAGACCTTCTTAATCAGACTGAATTTCAGCACAGTTTTTCTAGTTCTCCAGCTGCAGATGGCATATTGTGGGACTTCTTAGCCTGCATAATTGAATAAGTCAGTTTTCATTATGAATCTCATCTATCTATCTATCTATCTATCTATCTATCTATCTATCTATCTATATCTATCATCTATCTATATCTATCTATATCTATCTGTCTATGTATCTATCTATCTATCTATCTATCTATCTATCTATTGGTTCTGTTTCTCTAGAGAACCTTGACTAATACAATGGACTAGTACATATTTCAGTTATTTCGAACTGTAAAACCAACTGCCTCTTACATAACTCATGCTCTGAGTTTGTTTTTCAGAAATGCTATTCTTAGGTTGTAAAACATCCCATGGTCAGGAAGTGATAAAAATCTTAAAATGTTGTTCTTTGACTTCACATGGTATCTACAGATCCATATTTTCTTGGAGGAAGGTAAACTTGCATATATGGTTTATTCCATAATTGTAAATATACAGGCTAAAAGTAGAAAACACTTATGTAAAAGATGTGATTTGAGTCATTTTGATCCTATATGGAAACTAAGACTCATAAAACAATAAAAACACAATGAAAAACAAAATTAGGAACTTGCTATGGTTCATTCCAATGTGCTTTTAGGTAGATGTTTTAGGTTTCTGTTATTTATAATGCAAAACAAATTTTAGCCTTTTTGGTGTTGTGTAGCATTCTTTTTTCTGTGTTAAGAATGAGGCTTAGCTTACACAATGCAAATAACCACAACCCCCCTCCAACCCAATAAATTACAGCTCTCACCCAAGCTGTCACAGGACATGGAATGTTAACATTTACTTGCATAGACTGATGAACTCCACACTCCCCGATTAAATGTAAATATTGCCCTGGAAATAAGTAAGGGAGAGGTGACTCTTGATAAAGTACATCAGGATGATTCAAGGGTATGTATTCAGTTCAAGCAAAGCAGCCCTTAAGTGTCTAATGAAGCCCTACCTAGGTAATAGCAAGAAACTAAAGGCTTATCTGGGAAAACAGCAGAAAACTATATTCTGCAACCAGTAGAATAGATGCCATGGAAACATCAGAGGAGTGGTGTGTGTGTGTGTGTGTATGTGTACTGGGGGATAAGGTGGGGTGCTGAGTGGAAGGAGCACCCCAAACAAATACTGCATGTTTACTTGTTTGCAGCAAATCCTATTAAGGAGAAAATCCCATTATTTATCATTCCTAAGCCTAAATTTTGATTCTTTGACCCCTGTAAATGCGTACTATTCCATAGGCCTCTCCTGCACTGTGTTGGAGGAGGGTAGCTGGTTGTTAGCAAATTTATGATGTATAAGACGTGATTGTAGTCCACAGGAAGTTAGTAAGCTATTTAGAAGGCAAGATATAACAAACAGGAAATTATCTTATCACTTAAGTTGTGTTTTGACTTCAATTTTATTTTAGTTAACAGTCAAATGAGTGGGAAATGGTGACAGATGATGGTCAAATGAGTAGGAGAGGAAGTAGACAGCATGAGTGAGTTCTGAGGAGGACCTACTCATGATTGGTGTAATTCTTCTGAAAAGGTGTTGTGTAAAGGGTAGATTGGGCTATCACTTTGAAAGATATGCTTAGATGGATGAAAGTCAAGTAGGGGAGAACTTAACATTCTCCAGATGGGAGAAAGAAACAAGGCATTTTTGTAAAGTGGGAAGGCTGGAGTCATATAAGAGAAGTGGAGGCAGAGAAGGCCAAAAGATCAAGCTGAGTCAAAACTGGGAAAACATTCACCGGTTAGGCTAAGGATTTTGAATCTTTGTTTCATAGCCACAAATGTCCTAAAGAATACTTCTGGACAATGTTTTTGTTACATTGCTGGCAACTGAGCTAAACAAAATGGTTGACACTTTTTCAGGTGATCTAAGTGGGTTAGCGGTATTGTGAGTGGGTTAGCGGTATTGTGAGTGGGTTAGCGGTATTGTGAGTGGGTTAGCCATATTGTGAGTGGGTTAGCGGTATTGTGAGTGGGTTAGCCGTATTGTGAGTGGGTTAGCGGTATTGTGAGTGGGTTAGCGGTATTGTGCACTATTTCATATATCCCTGCTAACCCGGGTAGATAAATCAAAAATTACTGAAGAGAAACTATAGAGCCTGATCATCCAAAATGATACTCTTGGGTTTTTCAATGTCTATCGTATGAACTTACTAAATGCACCCAATGAATTGGCAACACATTCTGTAAGTAGGACTCTGTGCCAGAATGAGGCTCATAATTCAGGCTAGAAAAGAAAAGTACCTGGGAAAATAAAGTCCAAGTGTTTCCATTGACCTCAATTACCCAAATAATGTGTGCAATGTTATCCAGCCAAAATGTAACAAAGGTGATCTGTTTTCTACTAGCTAAAGGTTTGTGAGATGACAGTGTTTTTAGGTCAGCTTTTCTCCTTATCTTAGAGTTTTCAAGCCTGTAGAATTTTCTTTAAAGGGAAAAACAAAAAACCCAGAACAATTACCCCCATTCAATCACAAAATCACCACCATCAGCCTTTCCATCCCTGTCCCTTTGGACAGAAGCAGAAACAGCCAGTTCTGCCTAGATTCCAGTTGCCCTGTTTTACCAGCACAATTACTTTGGCAGGAAGATAAGTAAGTGATTAAATCTGGGGTGGAGGCTAAAAAAATTAATGCTTGGGCAAATGATTTAACAGTGTCCTTGAGGTGCAGTGAGACAGTTGAGGCTGGATGGAAGTGGACTACACCAGTTTCCCTGTCGAGATCCCCTCTTTCAAAGCAGCAGTGCATAATTTAAACTTAGACCTGCAGTGGTGGAAGCAGTTATTACCACGGTTACAAAGTGTTAGCAGGATCGGCCTTTATCTTGAGTGTGATATAATTAGAGATTCTAAACAGAGTTAGTCAGAGGTGTGTGTTCTCTGTAAATACTGGAGTAACTAACTTTTAATCTTTTTATGTACATATAAATTTGATAAACAGAGATGTGGTAACCTTTTGAAAAAATGTCACTTGCGGTTGTAAGTCTAGTTTATAGCTAAATGTTTTCCCTCCTTCCCAGCAAGTTAAGATTATTTAATAGAGTGCCCTCGGGTTATAGACTACAGCAACTATGGAAACCCTGTAGTTTTATGCTTCAGTAACTGCAGGCATTATGTTTTTTTCACTGCCTCCCTCAAGTCACAGATTCCACCTTTGGGAACTATTAAAACATACAAACAAACAAACAAAAATTTTAAATGGTTTTGGGTGATGTTTTTCAACTTCAGGAATCTGGAAATGCTGAGAGTTAAATAAAAGTAAACATACTTATTCCCTCTTTTCTAGTAATTAAAACTCATATGCAAATTATGCAAGACTCTTAAATTAATTTAAAAATAAAAACTTACGGGGCCAACTGAAGTGGCTTAGACCCCAAAATTCCTGCTGTAGAACAGTCCTCAGAAAAAGAGTGAAATAAATGAGGATAGCGTGGCCCCAAGCATACGGCATGGTACCTGGCACAGAGTTGATACGTAACAACTACTGTATGAATTGAAACCATTTATAGGTTCAGGAAGAGGACATATAGGGATCAGAAGAAGAAATTGGCTTGATTTGCCTGTTTGTATTCCTGTGTTACATACAGCAACGTAGGACCAAAGTAGCCGGTTACAAAATGAGAAAAGCAAAAGAAAGAAAACTTTCACACGTTCTGGTGGAAACGAGACTAAAAACCTTTTCTCATTAAGTTTTAAAATCGAATTTGACTTTTTAAAAGTCAATTTTAAATTCAATTTTAAATTGAATTGACTTTTTAAACTGAGGACTTTTATATTACCAAGCCATATTAGATCTACATATTTTAAGTCATTCAAGCCATAGGACTAAAATCGGCCACTAGGCAAAACTATTGTGGTATAATGGTCAGAATCACATAAATAAACAGGTCATGCCACCTCCTTAATTTTTTTCCTAAGTTTCCTAGTTAGAAAAAAAAAAATCACTTGGCCTTATTTGATTTCTTTTCAATGGCAGCCACTAACCATTTTGAATATAGCCAAAGTGTACCATAAGTTACCCAAAAGAGGTAACTTTTCTTTCCATAGAGGACAAAATTTAATGAATAATTTGGAATTAACCCTGGTGACAAGCTTTAATCCCCTGGGAATGTTACCATTTCTAAAGTGCCTGTTATGAGTTGGTTGTTTCAATTTCATTGCCCCAATATCCCTAAGACAGGGGTCCTCAACCCCCAGGCCAGGGACCGGGACCAGTCCATGGCCTGTTAGGAACCGGGCCGCACAGCAGGCGGTGAACAGCAACAGCAGACATCCAGCATTACCATCTGAGCTCCTCCGCCTGCTGGATCAGCGGCAGCATTAGAGTCTCATAGAAGCACGAATCCTATTGTGAACTGCACATCCGAGGGATCTAGGTTGTGCGCTCCTTATGAGAATCTAACTAATGCCTGATGATCTGAGATGGAACAGTTTCATATCCCCTCTCTCCTCCATCCGTGAAAAAAATCGTCTTCTACAAAACCAGTATCTGGTGCCAAAAGGGTTGGAAACCGCTGCCCTAAAAGCTCTGTATCACAGCTATCGTTGATCCAATTTGAAAAGAAAACAGTTTTGTGGTGGTGAGGTGCCTTGGCCTAGACTACTGGTTTTCAAACTTTTTTCTTTTTCTTTTACTTTTTTTTTTTTTTTTTTTTGAGACAGAGTCTTGCTCTGTCGCCCAGGCTGCAGTGCAGTGGCGTGGCGCTATCTCGGCTTCACTGCAAACTCCACCTCCCAGGTTCAAGCGATTCACCTGTTCTAGCGTTTGACATTTCCTTTTACGTAATTGCAACTTCTAAACTAAAGATCAGATCATACACTGGCATATTTTTCTTATTCTTGTTTTATTCATTGTTGGTACTTTTCTGATTTGATTCCTCATGAAAATAACAAACAACATTTGTGGTAGCACTTTGGAACTTAAGCCTTTTACATCGTCACATTTTATTATTTATTTATTTATTTATTTTGAGACAGAGTCTCAGTCTGTCATCCAGGCTGGAGTGCAGTGGTGCAATCTCGGCCCACCACAACCTCTGCCTCCCGGGTTCAAGCGATTCTCCTGTCTCAACCTCCCGAATAGCTGGAATTACAGGCGCCTGCCACCACAACCGGCTAATTTTATTTTTGTATTTTTAGTAGAGAACGGGTTTCACCATGTTGGCCAGGCTGATCTCGAATTCTTGACCTCAAATGATCCGCCCACCTTGGCCTCCCAAAGTGCTGGGATTATAGGTGTGAGCTACCGCGCCTGGCCTCCTTAAGATTTTTCTATGACAGAAGTAAAAGAGGAAAGAGGACACTGTAGTGGTTGGATGGTAAATGAAAGAAAAACAGAGGCCAGAATTGAAACCCTGGAATTTGAGTTTCCCTATCTGTCTTACACTAACATCACTTAATTTACCTGAGTCTTAGTATTCCTATTGCCATAATAAGAATTCTACTACCACTTCCTCTCACTACTCTCACAGAGTTGTTTTAAAGATAATGTCTATAATCCCAGCTCTTTGGGAGGCCGAAGCAGGCGGATCACCTGAGGTTGGGAGTTCAAAACCAGCCTGACCAACATGGAGAAACCCTGTCTCTACTAAAAATACAAAAAAAAAAAAAAGTAGCTAGGTGTGGTGGCAGGTGCCTGTAATCCCAGCTACTCGGGGGGCTGAGGCAGGAGAATATCTTGAACCCGGGAGGTGGAGCTTGCAGTGAGCTGAGATTGCACCATTGCACTCCAGCCTGGGTGACAGAGTGAGACTCTGTCTTGAAATAAATAAATAAATAATAAAATGTGACAATTGATGTAAAAGGCTTAACTTCCAAAGTACTACCACAAATGTTGTTTGTTATTTTCATCAGGAATCAAATCAGAAATTGTACCAACAATGCACAAAACAAGAATAACAAAAATATGCCAGTGTATGATCTGATCTTTAGTTTAAAAGCTGCAATTACGTAAAAGGAAATGCCAAACACTAAAATGAAGTTTATAAGGACCTTCAGAAGCCCAGTCATCCTCAACATGAATGTACTAATCGTTTCTTGGATAGGAAAACTGCCAATTTTTTTCCCAACTTAAATAGTAAACATCCTATTTCTTCAAGAGGCATTCTTCCATGGATGTTGAAAAAAATGATGAATAAATAACCATTTTTGTAAAATAATTTCTTGATCTGTAAACAATCTTAACAGCTTTTTGTCTTAAGCAGTGCAGTTTTCTTTTATTCACAGAACACTGAACATATTTTACCTTTAAAAATACACTTTTCTTGTGCTCACCTCTGGCTTTTGTTTGATAGTCTCTCTGAAAATACACGTTTGACTTCATTAGTAATATGTGTTCTGAACCAAGGAAATACAGAATTTACTATGCAATAAATGGCAAACAAAATATTTTAGTGGATGACTTCAGATCATTGTTACTCTTCATTAACTAATTGTAATAAAAAATAAAAGTTAAGATTGCTTCACTTTCTCACAAAAATTCTCATTGTAAGTATTTCCATATCAAGAGCAGTATTTCTAACAAATCAATATTTGTATAATATTTATATTATCTTGAATTAATTAAGTAAAGACTTTTTAAACTAAAGAAACCTGTCGAGGCCTATTGGGCTCTAATTTTATTGACATTTTCCCCATCAAATAAATGGTGTCACAGTTGAATATTTGGTATAAAAGGCAGCAAACTTCCATCTGTCGTTGGGACCATAAAGAATGGTTACATTTTCCCCCATCAATAAAACATTACTTTCGTTAGATTTGGTATTATCCTTGCTCAATGGAGTAAAATCTTTATTGATTTTTCTGTTTGTATTTATTGATTTTGAGGGAAATAACAAATTCTTATGCTGGAACATCTAGTGTTCTGCCCATTGAATAAAGTGAAGATATTCTCTGTGGTTTGCTTTTTTTATTCCTTAAATGCTTTGATAGAGAAAGAATAAGCTAGCGGTTGATGTATGAAATAGACTACTTCAATAAAATCAATCATCAGAGGCATAGAGCAGAATTGAGGTGGTAGGGTTTCATTCTCCTTTATTATTTCAATGCCTGAGCATTTCTCAGGATTTCACTTGGAGTTATGTACAAAGGTGTCTTGACTAGTGGGTATGTAATCCAAAGAACGTGTTAATATAACTTAGCATCTCCAGTAATAACACAGATATGAATTTATGGGGAATTGAGGCTCTTTAGAAGACATACACTACTGGTTAAAAGCCCATACCTTTACTACATGACTACATAGTTCAAATCTAGCTATGTCATTTACTGGCTGTGTGACATCAGAACATCCCGACCTTTCAGTGCCTCTGTTTCCTTATCATAAAAATAAAGTCTGTTATGAAGACCGAATCAATATTTTTAAAGCATTTAGAATGGTGCATGGCACAGGTTTAGAACCCTGTGTTGTGAAATTTAAAAATAAATGGAAAATGTAATGTCTGACACATGTTCCTTTGTTATTGGCAGGTGAAAATTGTGTGTCTCCATGTAGTGGTATATGGTCCACGAAAGATTCAGAAATAGTTTCTTTTTGTGACTTTGAGGACAGAACAATTGAGATGTGGAAATAAACCCTTTAACAAGATGATGAGCTCACCTGTCATTGTGACAGTATCTTCATGATACAGAGAAAACATGGAGTCTTTGAAATACACAAAATCTACCCAACTAAGTAGCCTTGAAGGAAGATAAACTGAGGCAGAAGATTAAGATGAAAGCGTTGGCCAAACACAATCTAAGAAAGAAATAGAACAAAAATCTATAGAAGATGGTGCCGATAAACAAGTAGTTTTCACAATAGAGGTTTGGTATAAACATTTGAGGGTTTAATTTTATTATTATTATTATTAGTGATCAAGGAATTTTACTAGTGTTTCTTAACGTATCTGTCATTTTCCTCAGCTTAAAGGAGAGATAAGCTATATGAAAGCGGGGCAAACACCTCTGGCAAGTGGTTGGTGGATTAGCAAAATCAGCATAATTCCATGAGCAAAAGGACTGGGGTTAGTGTAGGGGACGTGGTTGCTATCCATTCAGCACCACCGCTCTACCAGAGGAAATGAAGCAAAGACCAGGGAATCTTACAGAATTCAAACTTATTAAAATGTCTACCATGAATGGATTCCTTTGTGTTTTGCTTTTAAAGATAGAGGTAATCAAACATCAGATAGTCAACATGAGACTCTGAAAAATTGTTAAAAGTTTAACACTTCCAAAGCTCGTTTGTGTGTATTAATCTCATTTTATGTGTGTTAAAGAAGCAAGCCGTTCTATCATAACACGCATCAGGTGGATTATGACTCTCTCCTACCACTTAATGGACTCTTCAATGTCAGGGACAATGTCTCTATCACTTGTTTTTTGTTCTGAATGGACGTGTCAGATGTGGTATATTTGGATTGTACCAATTTAACTAACTGAGACTACGTGTCTCAGAATTCCATTCCCTTCATAGTTTCAGGCCATGGGAGTCATCTTGCATGACTTATGTAAGGTGGAAGTGAACCAGTAGCCATATTCTTTCCACAACAAGTCACTGTAGGGCACAAGGTGCTCAGGCGACCCACGCAGGTTGTCACTGATATACTGGCACACATTATGGATTGGCAGGTGAGCCCACTGTGCCTACACATCCTGCTGGTCTCCTCTTTCAGTTTCTATGGCTCCTGTGTTACAGAGGGAGGGTACTGTGCTGCTGGCCACCCCTGTTATGAAGTTGGAGGCTCGAAAGCCATGGGACACCAACATGGGCTTCATTTCATCTTGGTGGCTTCTAGCTAATCCTCACTGGTTTCAATATTCTATCTTCCTCCACTTCACACCACTATGTCCTTCCAATTGCCTGCCCTACAACTTTAGACTCCAGTGCCAGATACAGGGATGTCAGCTTCACATAGAATATGTGACCAACTGTGTAAAGTCAAATTTTTATGATATATATACAGTCATGTGTCACTTAACAATGAGGATATATTCTGTCAAATGCATCATTAGGCAATTTTGATGTTGTTTTAACATCATAGAGTGTATATACGCAAACCTAGATGGTATAATCTACTACACACCTAGGCTGTATGGTATAGCCTATTACTCCTAAGCTACAAGCCTGTACAGCATGTGACTGTACTGAATGCTGTACATGATTGTAACACAATGGTAAGTATTTGTGTTGTCTAAACATAGAAAATGTACAGTAAAAATATGGCTTTAAAATCTTTTGAGACCACCATCATATATGCACCCCATCGTTGAACAAATTGTCATTGTGCAGCACTTGACTATACACATCCATATGTGTATATGTATGTATATACATACATACACACAATACAGGTTGATCATAACTGTCTATATAGTATATATCTAATACATATATATCATATAGATATGTATTATATATACACACAGTTTTGGACTTCTCCTCACCTGCTACATATATTATAATATATATCTCTTTACATATTATATATATATAATATATATAATCCCAGCTACTTGAGAAGCTGAAGCAAGAGAATTGCTTGAACCTGGGAGGTGGAGGTTGCAGTGAGCTGAGATCGTGCCACTGCACTCTAGCCTGGACAATAGAGCAAGATTCCATCTCAATAATAGATAAATATGTTGTCCAAGTAGTTCTGCTTCTCTAATCAAACCTTGAGTGTTCAAACCTATTAACTGTTTGTTGAGGGAACGTGTAAATGAATGAGGGAAATATTTTTATTTTGTAGATGAAGAAACTGATGGTGGAGAATTACTTACTTTAAAATAATAATAAATGTATAATAATAGGAAGACAGCAGCTCCTGACTTTGGGCCCAGTGTTCTTTCTGCTGATCCACAAATGCCTTTTTTAGTCTACCTTACTTATCTCCTAGTATGTAGAAGAACTGAATCTTTGTAGGTGAATTTCTACTACCATCTTAAGCACTCTATCCAGGTGTGAAAAGACGTTCTGGCCACCTACTCCATAAAGATAGTGGCAGCAAGTTAATACCAATGTATAAAGCACAGGGAATGGGCAACTTCAGAAGAGGGGAGAGCCTCGACAAGCAATTGTCATGTTTTTGGTGTTAGTTGTAGTTCCATTTCTTGGAAATACCTACCTTACCTCTGAACCAAGGGTCTTTGATAAGTAGGAAAACACTAATTAGCTTCTCCTATCTCTTCTCTGCTCTCCACATGTTCAATTAAATTCTCCTCTCTCTAGAATCAGTCCCAGGTAACTGGGAAGGAGTTCAGTATTAGAATTATAGTTTCAAGTGGTTTGGGGGCCTAGAAATGGACACTAAAAACATTCTCCCATCTAAGTTACTCTCTAGGTCATACTCCTGTATTCCATTTTACCCCCTGCCACTCTGCTTTTATCTTCACACCGAAAACCCTACACTCTGAACACTGAACTTCTCACATTTCCCCAAATCTGTTAGGCTCTTTATAACTAGGCAGACAACTTTTCTTCCTTCTAGCTAAAACCTGAATACTGTATTACTTCCACAGTAAAGCTTCCCTTGATCTCCCAGGCACAGTTGTTTTTTCTGTCAGTGTCCTCCTTTGCTAGACTTTGACTTTCCCAATGTCAGGGAGCTGATGGACTAATCTTTACATGCCTAGTGACCAACAGAACGAGTCACTGCACATCAACCAAGAAGAAAGGAAAGAACATTTGTTCAATTCATGAAGCCAAAGTGTAAAAGACAACAACCTTCTGTTTACTGAGTGGCAGCATGGTCACTGAATGCTATTATTTTCATGTCTAAAATAACCAGGTCCACAATGTTGTATTAATGGCATAGCAATTATCATGGTATTACTTTGTGAATAATTAATACAGACACTTATTTACACACACACACACACACACACACACACAGAGCATGGTGACTCTTAACAAGTAACATCTCAAGGACACAATTTTGGACTTCTCCTTCTCACCTCTTAACTCTGCTCGCTCTATACCCCTGTGCTTCTGTTGCACAAGCTGCCCTAACAGAGCACAACCAAATTCCATACACAACTCGAGAAACAGTGCCCACTGTTTGCAACAGCAAAAACAGGGATGAGCTGACACAATAGTGCAGAGACACACGAACAATATTCTGCCTATAGAAATATAATGCATAAAAACTTTGCCCTGATTTCTATTGTACTTGATTCCTGCATGTGGAAAGTGCATTTTGCTTCTGTTTGGTTTTGTTTGGGTCTGTCTGTGATTTGCTTTGTTCAGTTTTTTCTCTCTGAATGTTTCTTTAGCTTTTAACTTCTAAGTGCAAATGGCCTAATCTTATCTTCAGCTCAATACTGTTATCTAATACAGTTAAATAAAATTTTAGTCATGAGGAAATGAAACCACCTCCTATTCCCATAAAGCCTAAATTTAAATGTGTGTAAATCATGTCTTAGATAATTTGTTCAAATTAGCCACTCCACGTTCTCCTTGGGCGTGAGATCGAACCACCCACAAATTGGCTCAATTCTGATCCAAATGAAAGGCAAGTTACAAAATAAAGAGCATTCTTGATATGACAATCCTGGTGCATAACTCATCATCTCTAATATTCTGGAAACTTCCCAAATTTTGGTTGCAAGTCTGGGAAGGATTTTACTTTCTCAATAAAATAAACAAATAGAACTCAATAACATATTACAAGAACACTAACAGGTCAGCTAAGAACCGAATTCATTCATCAGATATGGCTAAGTGTGTCTTGCACTTGCTGGCTGGTGAGAGCTATTAAGCCCTAGTTTAGCAGACCTCCTGTGCTGTCTTCAGTATAGGAAAATCTTGAATCGGAGATCTAGCGAACAATTTTGAGGTCCAGCCATTAGGCCAGGCACCTTGTTTTGTGAGCTTACTTTAGATTATTTTCCCGAAGTAGAGACAGAATGTCCTGAATTACCCATTGTTTGGCTCAGCCTCACATGAGATGAGGAGAGCACATAGTTGTGAAAAGACTGGCCAAGTTTGTGGGTTAGTAGATATTTTTCTGGGGCAGAGCCAACTAACTAATCAAGTAGTAACCAAACCCAGGAATTTTCCCTCACAAAATTCATCCTTTAATAGTACTTCTCAAAATTTTCCATTAAAAAAAATAAACCTTACAAAGCAGAAGATAAATGAGTACATTACCCCTATTACTACCCCAAGTCCAGGGGTATTTGAGGCTATAAGACAAATGACTGGGCCCGAGCTCAAAATATTCCACGGTCTTATGATAGTTTTTCTTTTAGTCTTAAATATAAAAATATATTTATTGTTGGATATATAGTCATACCTGCATTATGAAAATAATTTTAAAGTGTTTATCCATAAAATTACTCAGTTCTTTTACTCCCCGTCCAAATTGTTGAGTGAAATTAATACTTCTAAAAGGTATACGATGTTAATCACATGGTTTCTCAGAGATCTTGGTATGTTGCTACTACTGTAAACACAGTTATTCAGAGGTAGGACTCATACATATGAACTACATGAAAACATGGAGGAAATTATGTAACAGCCAAAATATATGATATGGATAGTGATTTTAATGGAAGAGGAAGCAATGTCATTAGAAGGTTGGACTGTCACTGTCAGTGTCTCAGAAATAACTTACTCTTTACCTCAATTTAAAAAAATCTTTTTCTCTTTAACCAAGTTGCATTACAAAAAAGCTATAGCATTAACAATGCTGTACTGCCAGATGTGGTTGCTCACGCCTGTAATCCCAGCACTTTGGGAGGCCGAAGTGGGTGGATTACTTGAGGCTAGGAGTTCGAGACCAGCCTGGCCAACATGGTGAAACCCCATCTCTACTAAAAATACAAAAAATAGCCAGGCATGGTGGTGGGTGCCTGTAATCCCAGCTACTTGGGAAGCGGAGGCAAGAGAATTGCTTGAACCTGGGAGGCGGAGGTTGCAGTGGGCCGAGATCATGCCACTGCCCTCTAGCCTAGGCAATAGAGTGAGACTCCATCTAAAAACATAAAAATAAATAATAAAATAAAAATGCTGTACTAAATTAATGGATGCTTCTATATGCAAATGATGGTATTTTTAGGCAGATCCATTTTATGAAATTTAATATTTATATGATTACTAAAGTATGATTCTTAATTTCTTTTAGAGAAATGGAAGCTTGAAACATATAATGTCTAATAACTGGATGGCAAAAGACAATCAGGATGAAGTTGGATTCTGTTATTGTGATGTTTAATTTTATATGTCAACTTGGCTAGGCTATGGTACCCAGTTGTTTGATCAAACACCTGTCTGGATATTGCTAGGAAGATACATATTAGATGTGAGGAACATTTCTCATCTGTAGACTTTGAGAAAAGCAGATTATTATCCTCCATAATGTAGGTGGGCCTTATCTAATCAGTTGCAACCCTTAAGAGCAAAAGCCAAGATTTCCTGGGAAAGGAGTTCTGCTTCAAAAATGTAACATACAAATGCCATCCAAGTTTCCTATTCTGGCATACTCTGCAGATTTGAACTCAATACTGCAATGTCAACTCTTACTAGAATTTCTACCAGCCCGCCCTACAGATTTCATACTTGCCAGCCACCATAATCGCTTGAGCCAATTCCTTAAGATCTCTCTGTGTTTTTCTCCCTCTTGCTCTCCTGTATCCTGTTTCTTCTGCTTCTCTAGAGATCCTTGACTAATAACCAAACGGTAGTAGAAAAAAAGACCATTTTAAGAGAACTGTCTGAGTTCTCTTAAGAGTGAGTTTCTGACAGTGGAAAATCGTGTAATAGAGTTCATAGTGAAAATGATATTTCAGTGTCTAAAAGTTCTGAATTCCACAAGCACACGCAGGACAATATTAACCTGCCTCAAACTTGGCTATCATCCCTCTTGCCTTCCTGGAAAAAAGTGTGATTGGTTGGTGTGCTAATTGTACGTTATGTTATGATGGTGCTGGACCATTGCATGGCTCTTAATTATTTACAGACATGCCTTTTTCTGCCAGGCTGGGGGCAGGGACCAGATCTTTGTTATCTTTGTCCCCAGACTGTCCGGTACAGTGGTACTTAATAAATGTTTATTGATTGCATGAGAACATGCCTCTGATTTAAAATGGGATACAACAAAAAATTAAAATTTACCAAAACAAGAGTGTTTTTGGTCATGTTTGCTAGAACACACATTTTTCTTAAAATAAAAAAGATAACTGAATATTTGTTTCTCAGTTAAAAGGAGAGCAAATCTTACAAAATACAATCTGAAGCCATGTAACCATTTGGAGTCTCTAAAGCTATTTTCATATAAGGAAAATAAAATTAGGAATGGAGGTGATCTTTTTGGAACATGTTAAGGTAAAAATCACCTTTTTTTTATGCGGAGTTGTTGGATAAATCTAATTTGGGACTGTTTTTTCCCCAGATGATTGACTTTTTAAAATTTTCTTATACACCTGTCAGCAGTTTCAGATCTAGTTTTAGGAGGGGGAGAATGTGGAGCCATGGCAACTGGGAAAAGTTGCATTTAATAGTGAGAAGCCTCTATTAGAATGTTATGTTTTGCATCCAGATCCTTGATTTCAGAGTAGAACTTTCTGGAACAAGGTGAGGAAAAAAATCTGATCCTATCTTTTTCATTTAAAAGCAGCTATACAAAAAAATAAAGTCATCCACCCCTTGTGTTTAACAGAGTGAAATAACTACAAAGCCTAGGGTCCATAGGCCCTAAAGCATGATGATAAAAATAGTTCTCCTCCCAGTCTGCAGAAGCTAACCAGCTAAGAAAGCAAAATGTAACTGTCTTTGTATAGGAAAGCATTCTTCATGCAATGCATTTCAGATAAACTATCTTTTTTTTTTTTCTGAATCTGGGCCCTTGGGCCTGAAAAATTTAACCAAGAACCAGCTATTTGAGTTTACTTTCATTTCCCATAGACATCTCAGAAGATGAGCCCTTATTACCATGGTTTCCAGCAAAGGGGCCATTTGGAGATGCCAAAGCTGATGGATGGACTCACTAAAATGCAAGAAAAAACAAACAAACAAAAAAAAAAAACACAGCCTAACCAGGAAAGAGGCATTTGGAGAAAGACTTCTAATTCTGTTTACTGTCCATGAAATCTACTTTTACTTAGATTTCTTAATTTCCTGTCTCTTGACAACATCTGGTTTGAGCTACAGAGGGCCTGGCTTCTGTGTTGAGATTTGTGTTTCCCTTACAAGTTTCATGTTGGTGAGCATATTGTTAGCCTCAGCACAGCCTTGATGTTCAGAAACCTTTTTATTTACTCCATTGGGTACACTGGAGGAGCCTAACTTCATTTGCTCTCATGCTTATGCTAATTCTGCTCATTCTCACATCTATATTTTGTTCACTTGTATCATCAGCCTGTCATCCGCAATACTCCTCACTGTCTCTCCACTTATCTAAATCTACGCTTCCCATGGTCTTTTCTAACATCTCAAAAACCTTCTCTGACACTTGTAGCTTGCAGAATCGTATCTGTCTTGGTAAATATTATGGCACATCTACAGGACCTCATGTATTCCCTGCTACTCCCACTCCTGCAATTTTGCTTCAGCCACACTGGCCTCTTTGCTGTTTTGTTAACTCGCCAGGCACACCTCAGCCTTAGGGCTGTTCCATCTGCCTGAACTGCTCTTCTCCAAGGATTCTACGTTGCTCACTTCCTTGCCACCTCCAGGTCTTTGGCTAAATATCACCCCCTTAGTGAAGACTTCTTTGACAGTTCCATTTATAAATGGAAAATGGTGGGAGGTAGCTTTGAAGATGGCTCCCAATGATCTTCTTATGCTGGAACTCAAGTTCTTGTATGAGGACAAGTGGTAGGTTTTACTAATTTAACAAAGAAAATACCTGTATTATTTCGGTGCCAAATATTTACTTTCAATGCCCTTTATATATTTTGCCTCAAACTATACTTTTTTTCCATTTCTAATTTTCAATTAATTTATATCCAGGTCTTAGCTTGTACTCACCACTAATCTATATAATAGAAGAAACATATATTTTTCAATATCCTTGAAGACTCTTGTTCTCTCTCATGCTGAAATTCTTGTTGAGAAAAATGCATTAAAATAGAATATTGAATTCCTCTCCCAAAGCAGTCTTTTCTTGCAGTTTCAAAGGTTGTCAGTCTTGTTGTATATGAGACTAATAATCTTAGATTTATCACAATTATCGTGTTCTAAAAATAAACAAGCAGGATTACATCTCTAAGTTACTCAGGCTCTCTTTCTCTTTCTCTCTCTTTTGATTTGAATTGAACTCTGGACCTTGTTCACTTTTAAATTCTTTTTGGCTGAATTTCAGGAATTCCTTAAATGTATTCTGCAAAACAGCTGTGGTTTGGGTACTTCATGTTCCTTTATTGGTTAAAATCTGACATAAAGAGTGGCTAGTCTACATTTCCCATACTAAAGTAACAAAGGTGCATTCATACATTTTTTTCTTCTTCAGGATCTGGCTCTTACTAGCCATAAGAGTAATATTTAGCAGAAATACTCCAATACTCTTTTTCTAAAGACCATTCAGTCCATGTAATACACATGATCAAAATTCATCTGGCTTATAGAAATGTTATTGTTTACTACCTAAATATACCAACAAGGAAAACTGTTCAATTATATATGTCAGAGAATTCGTGGCATCCAGAGAGCAAAGTTTTACAAGCTCACACTTTTCTGACTAAATACTCAAAACAAAATTTTAAGATTTTTAAATGATAAGAAAAAAAAAAAAGCTTTAGAGGGATTAAGGTGAAAACAAAAGGAGAAAATTCTTCACTTTCAATTTATGTTAAAATAAATCTAGAAAAAATAGATCTCTTATTTCCTTTCAATGATTATAGACAACTATAAAAAAAAGTTAACGTGTATTTTCTCTGAGCTTTTTAAGAGGGGGGTATAAAATACATATTTTTCAATATTTGCAATTATATGTTCATAAGTGCATACAGGATGCAAAAATCTGGTTTTGAAAGACATTGCAGAATACTCCATGTGGTATGAATATAATAAAGCCACTTTTAGACATTTACAAATATAATAGCAGGCAAGGGCTGTTTAACAGACTCTGTAAACACCAATGTGAGACTACTTTTAACCAAAGCTTCAAAATAACTTAAGGAATATGACACACTGTTTGATTCCTACTTAAAGCACTTGGATAAAAAATTAAATTATCTTAATTGCATTTAATTGATCATTAATATTTACGTTTGCTGGAAACAGAGTGTTGCTGCTCCCCAAACACAGATGCCAGCAAGAGCAAAACATAGGCTGAATGACATTGTATCCATAGCAATAATAGCACTTACCTTTATTCACTCTCCCCACAGAGAATCTATGAGCTAGGTGCTTTCAGCTGGGCAATGGTAGAGAATGCTCTTTAGTTAATAATAAAGGAAAGAAAAGCTCCAGACACCAAGAACCTGGGTTAACCATTGACACCGGTTTGTTCCTACAGTTCCTCCCTGGGAATCTACATAGGTAGCCCCTGGCGTCTTATCAAGCAAGCCATAGCCAGTCAGCTGTGGCAGTGATTACGTCACCACCTCTGTACCTCTGGAGGAGGTACAGTGTGAAGGTCACCCAAGTATATCCTGACTAAGTTTTTACTTGATCAGGGATACAAAGGAGGAAGATTTGCTGGGCCAGAACTATGCTCAACAATGCCTGTAAGTGACTCAAATATTTACAGACAGGATTGTTGAGAGACGACCTATGGAAATGCTCCTGCTAGTTTTCAGACTCTGTTGGAATAGTACAAATAAATCCCTTTCATCAGAACTCTTTGTCTACATCTTAACAGCTGAGGATTGGGATTGCATGCTGACGAAAAGCGAGACAGGATAATGACAGGTAGCTAAGCATCCATTCAGTCTTTTATTTACCAAACCTTTAATGATTATTTTTCCTGTGCTGCCTAGTTCCAAAGAACATGAGTTCACAGTTGATTAGCCCTCTGACTAATCAACATGGATGGCAGAAATTGGGGTTGGAAAGTCTTCCTTTCCTCAACCCCAGGAATCAGAGCTCGAGCCTGAGATGGTGAATACAATGCAGGCTGTGGTATAGGTTTTGCCTGGCATTGAGTCCTAATGGGTTAAATAAAATGGTGAGGTGATCCCGTGGTCAGTGCTCTCCAGGAGGTAGAAAAGTGAGTGATCAGGGAAGAGGTAGACTTATAATGCTAGAATCAAGAGAAAGATCCAGAAAATGTGAAAAGCAGCCATGGGGAACTAAACAAATAGCAACCCTAGGCTCTTCAGAACCTGGGGGAGTTGTGTCCAGGAATGCTCAATAGAAGTGTTATGCTAGCAAGGAATTAGTTTTTCCTTTGCTTCACAGAGCGGTGGCAGCCAGGGGATCTAGGGAACCACATCAGGCTTGGTTAACACTGCAAATTTAAGAGGCCTTTTCTAGGTTCTGACAATCGTTGCTGTTTGACGGTTGTTAGAGTTTTGTTTCCATTTTTAAAAGCATGAACACTTGAGGAAGTGGACTTCTATGTTGGCACCGCCACTTACTAGCTGTGTGACACTGAGAAACTGCTTAACCTTTCTGCAACTCCATTTTCTCAACTGTCAAATGGGGATGATAATAGCAACAACGACAACACCTACCACAGATAGATAATTCGTGTTCCAAACTCATAGCTGTCACTAAGGTATACATATTCTGATAGGAAGACCTATTTTGCAATCTGTTACACAATATCTGCAGAAGAGTTTGAACTCTCCAAGGGACCTATCTTTTCATTCATCCATAAATCTCAGGTAAGCAGTGAATGCAGAGGTTGCCTTTTCTGTTAAAAAAAAAAATTGAAGACTAAACAAATGCCTACATTTCCATAACAATTGCAGCAACTCTCATTGTGGTTTATCCATGATGTTGTTCAATATTATCACTTAATGCTGCTCAATTACTGCCTTGTTTGAAAGCAGAGCACACTTTGTTAGAGTTCTATCTCAAAAGACTTAAAAAAAACACACACGCAAAAATGGACAGGACTCCATCTGCTCTGCAAATACAATTTCAGGAAAGGTGATTTTATGTGGGTGAGCATTTAGATTGATCTGAGAAGACGAGGCATCTAAACACAGCGTAAAAACAGACCATGGAGAAGAGCAAGACGGGAGGCAAGATGGGGAAACTAGATGGATTCCCAACTCCAGCTGAGTCAGATCGCCATTGCGTGGCTTCATTCCTTTGTTTGAAGTAAATTCCCAGAATATCAGACACACCCATACTCACATGTAAGTAGAAAAACACTTTCTAAAGCCAAATAAATAAAAATGATATCTGGATTGGCTTTTCTGTTACATGTCTCTGCCTCCTCAGTCTACCTTAACTGATAATTAACTTCATTGAAGTTCAACTTTTGTGAACTTTAATCCTCCCCCAAACAGAAAGACAAACTGAGGCAAGTTGAGGAGGCATGTTCAAGATTTGTCAAATTACAAGAATTTGTTACTTGAATGTAAGTGATAAATAATTATCTCTTTCAAAAATCTGTAATGTATTGCTGTTCTGTGATTTTAGTATTGGCCTAAGAGGAAGTTACATTGTACAAAGGGGTTACTTGTTAGAGAGAACACTCTAGCTCCGTCACTGGAAGACTGTGGCTTGCTTCCAGTTTTTGTAAGGACTCCCAGCTAAGAATGGTTTTTACAATGATAAATAGCGGGGGAAAAGTAAAAGAAAACTAATATTTGTGACATGAAAATGATGTGAAATTCACATTTCTATGTCTGTAAATCATGTTTATTGGTAAATATGCCTATCCCTATTTTTTTACTTACTGTCAATGAAGGCATCATATTACACAACAGAATTCAGTGACCTTCAAGACCTCAACAGAGACTGTGGTCCTTAAAGCCTAAAATATTTTGTATCTGGCCCTTTACAGAAAAAAAAAACAAAAACAAAACTAGCTAAGCCGTAAAATTTACTCTTCTCCAAAAGTAATGTTCCTCTTTTCTGATTAATGATTTTCCTCTCACGGTTAAGTCCAAGTCAACTGCATTTCTATGACTTAAAATCCTATCTTTCCTTCAATATTCCTTTTACTAAGTCTTTCCTTGCCTACTATAAATATCAATAAATAGTTTATTTCAAAATTAATAATAATAAAAGAATAATACTCTTTAAAGGCACGATGTTTTTCAATCTATATATTTTAGCTTTTAGTTGCATGTCTTATTTCCTCTACTAAATTCTAAATATTTGTGGTTAGGAACTTACTGAATCTTACTCATCTTTTTTTTTTTAATTTTTAATTTTTGTGTGTTTTCAGATGGGGTTTTCCTATGTTGTCCAGGCTGGTCTCAAACTCCTGGACTCAGGCAATCCTCCCGCCTCAGCCTCCGAAGTAGCTGGGACTATAGGCATGTGTCATTGTGCTTGACTCCCTCATTCATCTTTGAGTCCAACCAAGTGACTAACAGAAAGCTAGAATTCAGTACTGATACTAATACTAATACTGAGGGATGAATGCTTTTCTGAATTAAGCAAACAAGCATATTAGGAAAATAAAACTGTTTGTCTTTTAAAGGTTTCTTTACCTTTTTCTTCAGTTTACTTTCTTAATGAGCTTCCCTATCACTGTCCATCGTCCATCTCTCCTGAGTCGCAAGACCCTCTTGCTGCCCAGATACTGCAGCATTACTAGGTTGTGCCTGAGTTGTCCTCTCGCTTCATAATCCCAGTTCTCAAAATGTTCCTCTGAAGTGTCTCAATCACTTGAAGAGCTCAGTGTGTTTTATTGTGTTTGAAACCCTCCAGACTATATGGAATCAGAGGCAGAAGGAAAAGGGGGGAAAAGAGCCAACTTGAATTTTCTTCCTCAAGGAGCAATTTTCTTAAGATTGAAATGAAAATTCCCACTCAGCATTTTCCTAAGATGATGCACTGCACTTCAACAATTATTTAAATAAAATGGATGAAATTGGCTGTCTCATTTGAATGAATCTGATACATTGAATCATGCTAATAGATGAAAAACTACATTATCTCTCCCAGAGTGGGGAAAATGGAAAGAACACCTTAAAAAAATCTTTCCTGGATGTTAAAGTTATATAGGTTTATTGTAGATACTATGAATAAGAGTGCAAAGAGGGCAATAAAAAATAATCACAAGTCTCAATTTTCTTTGGTCAAATTATTTCCAGTCATTTTCTCTACTGTCTTAAGATAAAGTTGAGATTCGGTCAGATTTACAATTTTGAATCTTGCTTTTTAACCTTAGTCAAGGAGCTCTTGTCTGAATGCAAAGGAATGCATTTCTAACCATGGAATTCCCAACATTGCAGGAGATTTGAGTGAAGCAGATCTTTTAGAGCATGTGTACTGGCTTTTTAGTACTCCAATCACAGCCGCGTTGACTGATATGATCTACGCTATGTTATGGGGATTACTTGAAACCATACCTTGAGAGAGCTTTATAAACTATCATGTATCCACCAGATGTGACCCAACATTTGAAGGGCATCCTCAAGCATTAGGTAAATTCTATTCTTCTGCAAGAAGTGCTTGTAAATTGAAAAGTTATCCTTCTCAAAAAAAAAAATGCTTTCCAGGGGAAGAGTAATTGCATCAAAGATAATTGATTTCATTTCAAAACATGCCCTCATTTTAAAGACTAGTTTGCTCTTATTAATTCTTTTTCTATCCAAGGAGAGATTTCAAATAATTACTTGGATACTTCAAGCCCCAAACTCCTAACTGGCTTCATTACCACATTGATTATGTTATTGGGAGATATTTGAAGGAGATTAATCTGCCTTTATCATGTCCTCAGTTCTTCACTTTTCATAGGAAACATAATCCTTTTCTTCCCAACTTGTGCTCTTTCAAACCTCAGGAATGAATTGCAAAAATGAATGTCCTTATTGCCTCACTCCCTTCCAAGATAGCTTTTTCTGATGCTTTCCTTCCCCCTAAAATAAGAATTAAAAGTGATATTTCTTTTGACAGCTGGTAACTAATCCCACCTTAGCAGGAAGGAGAACAGGAAGCCAGCAGAGGAATTTTCCATTCCTGTCTCTTTTAATTTTTCCCCACATCAGGTATTTTTCAAAATCTAGACATTTCCAATGAGTCTGTATATCTTCTTGTTTTGTCTACCAGAGTCACGTGTTCTTTAACTTCTGCGCTGATGAGAAACCTGACTGAGTTTATGTTTGTATTTGGAGGAGGGAGAAATTGAGAACTTTTGAATCTCCAAAGGGCATATAATTGAAATGTGATGCCTTTGCTTATGCAAACGGGCTTTTTTCCTTTTGTAAAGATAAAGTTCACACAGCTAGTCCATCAAACCACAAATCAGAATGTCTCATGTTGTAACAAGAGCTACAACTTTGACTCCTACAAAAAGTCTCTTTTGGCCTGCCTGGCTGCCTTTCTCTATTCCTTTCCCTTCTCTCTCCCTCCCTTTTTTTTTCTCCCTCTCATTCCTTCCTTTTTGTCTTCTGTTTAATTTAAGGACTCTGTATTTTACTATCTACTCCAAGCCCTCCAAAATGCATATAAGGTGCAGAAGATAAAGAAAAAATAATTAACTCAAATTTGTTTCTCCAAGGAGCAATTCAGTTCAGCATTTTCAAAAAAACAATGTATTCAAAATTTTAATGAGGATTTTTTTAAATGAAGAAATTAGCTTTCTGGAGCTAATGGCTTGCACAAAAAGTGACCAAAAGGTATTTATGTAACTTGATGTCATTTCAAATTAAATAATGTATCTAAGATGATGTCTATTGTAACATGGTAAGTTACATATACTAATGACATCTCTCTAAAACTGAAGTAGACTTTTTCTGAAATGTGTATCTGGCCCATATATGGCACATATTTGCCTGGAAGACAGTAGGTGAGAGGGGAGGGGTGGAGAAGTAAGGAGTAAGTTAGAAGGAGTAAGTTAATGAGTGCTGGAAATAGCTGGTAGAGGGAGAGCTAAGCAGAAGGAAATGGAATAAAACGCCCTTATGTTATTTAATAGCTGACAAAAGTAAGCAAAAGAGGAGAAACAGGGAGTCACAGAGAGTTCTGAGTTTTCTTTATCTGAGTATGCAGGGGTACTTATTCTGAAGATTTTTCACTTCTTGAGAAGGAAATTCTTCAATGGCATCAATTAGGTAGAAGCAGCCAAGTATAGGGGCAACATCACTAGAGAAAAATCAGAAAATGGGATTCTACTGCGAACAGAACTAACCAGATGTGTGACCCTTGTCAAGACACTATTTCTTTGGATCTTAGTTTTCTAGTGTGCAAAATAAAATGGTTGGATGCCCTCTATTATCTCTTCTAGATGTACAGTTGTTTTCTTTCTTTTCTGCATATTACAACGAAACGAAACTACATAAATAAGGACATAGATTTTGTCTTATTTTTCTTCCACACCGAATACTCAAAGTTTGGCACAGGTCTCAGCCCATAACATGTGATCAATAAATATATATTTAAGGAATGAATGAATCTATGTAGGATGTTATATTTATACAAAGGCAAAAAGACTGATACATTGTTTCTTTTTTAAAAAGATTAATATGGCCATTTGAATATTTAGCATAGGTGGTTGAATTGGATTCATGTAGACATAGTCTATTTGACACCAAAAAAACATAGTCACGCTTACATAGTCTTATAATTTCATTTGCTATTGCCCAAATATAAGTGTTCTCATTAATTATTACTCTTCAAAATGGAACAGTTGGGTACATTTTTGTACATCTTCATCTCATTGTCATCTATACAGGTTGCTAATATTACATTGATTAAAATATAGATCTAGGTAGGCTAAAATGAAGAGAGTTACTGTTCAGATTTTACAAGCTCAGAAATCCTGAATTTGGTTTTGAATTTGTATAGTGCTGCATGGAGATAAAATACAACTTCAATTTTCTTTTTTTCTTTCATTTTTTTTTCTTAGCCCCCAACAAATTGACTGGCTATATTTATAATGCTCAGTTGTTTCAATATCTTGTAAACCACAATCCAACTTAGGAAAGAACATACTTCATGTTTTAACTATTTACTTTGATTTATACGTGAGACAAAAAAATGAATGAGCCAAATTTAACAAAATTGTGTAGACCACTGCATACAATTATTCTAGAGAATTAATTTATTTTGCATTTATGGTTTCCTTTATCCTAATCTCTGCATTTCAAAAAACATAATACACTCTGTCACACACATGAACACACACATACACACACACACCTCACACACTACTATTTCAGATATATGCATACTAGGATTGGTAGAAAGATAAGAGGTTAGGTACATGTACCTTTAATTCACATTAAAACATTAAAATCTTTGCAAATGTGTTTATATAATGCTAAAATAACAGGATGGCAAATTAAAATTTTTTATTTAGCATTTGATTTACATGTTATGAAATATGTAAATATTTAGTACTCTGTAAACTAAACACCTGGGTGATAAATTATTTACATCTAATAAAGATGCTTTAATGTTATATCAAATGGGCTATGTATTATCTAATCCCAAGCCTAAACCACTACCATTTAAAAATTTAATGAAAATGAATTGGATATGAAAACGGTTCAATCTATGTTATAGAATAAAACTATAATAGACAAAATAGTACCCTCAAAGATTATGTTTAATATTATCCCAAACAGGTAAATAAAATACATGTGTTTTAGTGATTTACAAAACAGGTCTTTTAAAGTAAATTTAGAACAAATAAAATCAATGGTTTATCCACAAAGTATTTTAAAAAGGTCAGTGTTAGAGATCATTACATTTCTAATACTGAATTTAGAATGGGGTTTAAATGAATTTATTTTCTCCTCTTATGCAAATTGATATCTCTGTGGAGGGAGGGGTGATAGAAGAAAAAACACCACAGCGCATGCATGTGTGTGTGATGTGCGCATGTGTCTGCTTTAGCTGAAAAACGAAGGAACTAATTAAATAACACTCCCGTTGGTTAAAGGAATAGAGTGTTCTTGAGCAGGTAAAATGTTGGCCTTTATCGAAAGTGAGAAACAGGACTGTTGGCCCTGCATTTCTGATTCCTGAGCCCACCAATTTTTCTTTGCCTGCTCACAGAGCAGAAAGCCATATAGTGTTCTAGCAGAACAGAACATGAAAGATTAACCCTGTCCTTCCACTTGAACCAATTTTCGCAAAATGGAATCTAGTGGAAACACACACACACACACACACGGCTCCCCAAATGCACATCGAAAAGTAATCCATTTTTCACTCATCAGATAACAACACTTAATGATTGGGTAACTCAGCTTCATTCCCTATGGCCTTAATGAAAAGGCCAGTTCATTGCATTAGGAAATCAGTGAGATGAATTGTAATGAAGAACTGTGAAATTCTGCCAGGATTTAGCAAAGGCCATGAATAGCCCAGCTTAAAAGTTGAATTTCTTGTTTTCCTTCCTGTGTGGCTCTCTTTGAAAAGACAAGAAAATGGTACATTTGGTCTTCGGAAAATCCATCACAGAGTACGAGGCACTGCCAACTGGTTAGGTTCATCCTAGGTAAACAAAACCGTGGAGGCATTAGGAATACAATGACCAGAGGACACATTTGAAAATAAAGACAAAGTAGCATGTTGAGATTTTCTTGCTACTGTAGTAGAGAAGAGATCTTATTTCATAGAAAATAACACCTGCAGGGCTCAGAGTCCTGGCACATTAAAGTGTTTGGTGCCTCGTGTGCTTGTCACCCATGTGTTCTTTTCTGCCATCACACTGCTCACAGTGAGCTATGCCATTAGTTCCACTATAACGTGACATAGTGGTTCTGAAACTCACCATACGATGCATGATCTACAACAAAAATCACAGGACTTTCAACCAAACAGAATTGGGAGCATAACACTCAAAAATGTCACCAGAAGTACATTTTTTAAACAGATAAGGACCTTGGCTAAGCATGGTGGCTCACGCCTGTAATTCCAGCACTTTGAGAGGCTGAGGCGGGCGGATCACGAGGTCAGGAGATCGAGACCATCCTGGCTAACACGGTGAAACCCCGTCTCTACTAAAAATACAAAAAATCAGCTGGGCGAGGTGGCGGGCGCCTGTAGTCCCAGCTACTTGGGAGGCTGAGGCAGGATAATGGTGTGAATCCCGGGGGCGGAGCCTGCAGTGAGCCGAGATAGTGCCACTGCACTCCAGCCTGGGCGACAGAGAGACTCTGTCTCAAAAAAAAAAAAAAAAAAAAAGTCACAGGACTTTCAACAAAATAGAATTGGGAGCATAGGAGCATACCACTCAAAAATGTTACCGGAAGTGCATTTTTTAAAAAGATAAGGACCTTGGCTAAGCATGGTGGCTCACGCCTGTAATCCCAGCACTTTGAGAGGCTGAGGTGGGAGGATCACTTGAGGCCAGGAGTTTGAGACCAGCCTGGGCAACATAGTGAGTCCCCATCTCTACAAAACATAAAAAATTTAGCTGGGCATGGTGGTGCCTGTGGTCCCAGCTGCTTGAGAGGTTGAAGTGGGAGGAGCCCTTGAGCCCAGGAGCTTGAGGCTGCAGTGAGCTAAGATCTTATCACTGCACTCCAGCTTAGGGAACACAGTGAGACTTTTCCTTTTAAAAATTCAAAATAAAGTAATAAATATGATAATAAATAATAAAAAATAAGAACCCAAGGAAAAGGGTAGCATAGTTTTGCACATGGTCATTGTTAAGAAATGCATAGATACTGTAATAAATATGACATTTTGCCTTGAAAAACCTGAAGTTTACTCAAAACCTGAAGTTTACTCATGGAAGTGGGCACTGGAAGAAATGTTTGCTGTTTTTTAGTTGTCCTGAAGTTGTCTGAAATCTGATGGAAATTTGTAACACCAGGATGGGTGAGCTTATACCACACTGTGAACTGAGGTGGCTGGGAGATGATTGATTTTCTGCGTGTATTCTTACATAGATCAATTGACCTGGGTGCAGATTTTATTGCATTTACCTAGTGTTTCTCAGAGGCAAAATTTCACATTGGTACATAGAAAGTTGGCTCAAATTTTATGCTATGCTCAAGCAGACACATGTTCAAATTGTTCCCTCATATGTCAAGTGAATTGGAAGTAATTTGCATTAAAAAAAGTCATATCATATCAGCTCACCACTGTTGCACTCCAGGAAATTTATCTTACCCTTGAAACATTCTTTCCTTTTTGTTCATCTCAAGTTAGATTTTGTTGTGGTGGTGGTGGTTCTTGTGTTTTAGGCTTTTTTTCCTCAATTCTGTGGCACTAGCTCACTTACATAAAACACCCAAAGTAAATGCTTTTCAATATATCGCATCTGGTTTTTCAGCAATGTGCAGATTTAGAATCTTCTCTGTCTAGGAATCTCACTTTTCCTAAGTATTTTACAAGGATCCAATGTATATATAAAATAACAGGAACACCCACACCATACTTGGCCTCTTTTTCGTCATGTTTTTAATGCTAACCAAAGAAAACAACTTATAAAACATGCACACACGTATGTACATTATAGATCTTCTTGTAAACATCCCTTCTATGATTAAATTGATTCCTGAGGAATTGGCTAAGATAACCAGTACCAAAGTTCATTTTCAAAACTTCCTGTGTCCCTGAAAATGTTTTGTGTTAATAATATGCATTAGTTTTATAGCCACTTAAGATCTCTTTTATGTCAAAGCAGAAACAGAGAGCCAAGATTAAAACAAGGAGAAAATTCCAACACCTCTGTAGAATCAAACGAACATCGACTTTTGAAAATAAAAGCAGAGTTTTGAAAGACCCACTAATAGATTCAGTCTCTTGATGTTTTATCCCAAGGCCTACAGACAGAAAGCAACGGGAAGCTGTACCATCCAGGGACAGAACCCATGAACTGACCTGGACAGGATGATAAATGAGGAACAGGGGAAAAAGTCAGGGCTAGGATCTCTCTCTCACACACACAGACACACACAAAAACAGAGGAAACAAATTCTCAATGTTAATAAACTTCCCAAACAAGGTTACTTTGCCATTTTTAAAAAAAGAAAATAAGGCTGGGTGCGGTGGCTCACGCCTGTAATCCCAGCAATTTGGGAGGCCGAGGCGGCAGGATCACCTGAGGTCGGAGTTCAAGACCAGTCTGACCAACATGGAGAAACCCTGTCTCTATTAAAAATGCAAAATTATCTGGGCATGGTGGCACATGCCTGTAATCCCAGCTACTCTGAGGCAGGAGACTGAGGCAGGAGAATCGCTTGAACCCGGGAGGAGGAGGTTGCAGTGAGCCCAGATCTCTCCATTGCACTCCAGCGTGGGGAGAAAGAGCAACATTCCATCTCAAAGAACAAAAAAAAAAAAAAAAAAAAGAAAGAAAGAAAAAGAAAAGAAAAGAAAAAACGTTTAAAACTTCACGACATTTAGGAATTTTTTTAAAAAAATATGAACCAGTAAATATCTATCTATCAGCCACCCCTGGTCTTTCCTGGGGAACTTTGCTTGTCCTGCCAAATAAGTATAGTATGTAAATGCGATATTTGCTTTCTAGAATTAAAAGGAAATTGGTATATATTTCATACAGGGAGACAAGATTTCATTGATGTCTTACCTATATTCTTTGAAAACAAATGTTTCCATTCCCTTATGAAAGCAATATATTTTGCTTTGTCAGAATGACACAATTCAGTTTCATAAACCATAGATGGCTAGAGAGTCACTTTTCTTTTTTTCTTGAATACTAGAAATTATTAAAACATGAAATTTGATTGTTGAGTAACTATTGCAAATATCCCAAGATTGCTCATGAGCTTTCTAAAGTTTTAGGCAGACAAGGGGAATATATATATATATATTTATATATATATATTTATATATATATATATATTTTTAAATCAGATTCTTTTTAAAATGGGAACTCAAATTACCAATGCCCTTATTGGGTTCCTGTTGTCATATGGTACATGAGACACTTTGTCTCATATGATTGTAATTACCAACATAACCAAGCTATTAGAGTACTGCATCATGGCCGGCCTCTAACATAGCTTAAGGTGATTTATTTAAAAAAAAAAAAAAAAAGAAAGAAACAAAGAAAGAAACAAGAAAAAGAAAGAAAAGAAAGAAAGGAAAAAAGAAAGAAAGAAAGAAAGAAAAAGAAAGAAAGAAAGAAAGAAAGAAAGAAAGAAAGAAAGAAGCAAGCAAGTGAGCTACAGATAAATGAGCTATAGGGATTCCAGAGGCAGAAACTTTGAATTGTATGGTGTATTCGATCTGGCAGCCTGGTCTGAATCCCACTCATTTGGCCCAGCTCAGATATCAGTAATTGGAGGAGACCAAAAAACAGTGTAATCAGCCCAAAGTACTCATGTCTCATCAGTTCTAAGCTTGTGACAGGTGACATGTGTATAGATCCTTGGGACAGAAGGTGCAAGAAATAAGAAGAGCCTAGTGGTGAGAAAAGCCAACTGAAACTCCTAAATATGAGTACAAGTTGTTTGAGTAAAAAAGGTGGAAAAAAAGAAATAGCATACAACTGTTGAAGGTATTTATATTCAGTAGTTCTTATTTCTACTTTAATAGTTTCTTTTTATTTGTTTAATTAGACACGCGTGTTGTTGCTAATCACTAATTTTCCCACTCCTCATGCTCAGCTTCAGGTAATAAGTAAGGCATCTAATCCGCAAGCTCTATCTCTACTGAGTTCTTGGTTGGATACTGTGACCTCAAATGATTTGCTTATTGCTACTACCTAAAACCTGCTGATGCTCCACCTACAGCTGGGCATGGTGGCTCACGCCTGTAATCCCAGCACTTTGAGAGACCAAGGTGGGAGGACTGCTATATAGCTCAGGAGTTCAGGACCAGCATAGGCAACATAGCAAGTCCTCATCTCTCCTACTTTTTTTTTCTTTTTTTTTTTTGAGACGGGATCTCTGTTGGTCAGGCTGAAGTGCAGAGGCATGATCATAGCTCACAGCTCACTGCAGCCTCAGCCTCCTAGGCTCAGGTGATCCTCCCAGCTCAGCCTCCTATCTACTAAAAATTTTTTTTTCACTCCTTTATTTCATTCTTTTTTTTTTTTTTTTTTTTTTTGAGACAGAGTGTCACTCTGTTGCCCAGGCTGGAGTGCAGTGGCACAATCTTGGTTCATTGCAAGCTCCGCCTCACTGGTTCACGCCATTCTCCTGCCTCAGCCTCCCAAGTAGCTGGGACTACAGGTGCCTGCCACCACGCCCGGCTAATTTTTTGTATTTTTAGTGGAGACAGGGTTTCACCATGTTAGCCAGGATGGTCTTGATCTCCTGACCTTGTGGTCTCCCCGCCTCGGACTCTCAAAGTGCTGGGATTACAGACTTGAGCCACCGTGCCAGGCCTACTAAAAATTTTTAAAATGAGCTAGGCTTGGTAGCACATACCTGCAGTCCCAGCTACTCAAAAGGCTGATGCTGGAGGATCACTTGAGCCTGGGAGATTGAGGCTACAGTGAGCTATGATCGCATCACAGCACTTCAACCTGGGTGGCAGAGTGAGACTCTGTAGAAAAAAAAAAAAAAGAAAAGAAAAAGAAAGGAATAAATTTCTAGTATATTTTTGTCACCAAATTTTGGGTCAGTGCCTCACTTCCAATTACGTCGGTCCCATAGCCAGCCTATCATTGGCTTTCTGTACTTTCATGTGGGCCTGTTGGGGGAAAACAAAATTTCAGCGTGGTTGGGGAACACAGATTGAGTGCCCGATACATAGCCAGTCCTTTAAATAGATCAATATTTTCTTTGATATGAAAATCAATGTATTAATGAATTTGTCAAAACCAAACTGTTGAATCATCTGAACATGCTTGTGTTTATGAAAGCACCAAATCCATGCATCATGACATAACAGGAAACAAACTGCTACCATTTCCCCCAAATTAATCAGAAATTGACAAAACAGCTTCACTGATAACCATTTTCCTTGCCTGTCTCTGTGGAGAAGACAATGTGTAGAGGGAACCAGGCATTTTGCCTCTGGGGCACATAATTATATGTGATGATGATTCGTTCTACCTGATACATGGACTGAACCTTCCCATCATCCAGTCAGTTGTACTAGGATGAAATTAAAATATGAAAATAATGGTATACAATTTGTTTTGTAAAATATGAACATATAACTCTTGTGGGGATCTTTTATGAAACAAAAGGTAATCTGGATAATATTATTAAATCTCATCAACCAGTTGACACTTCTGTGTTTTAGAAGGTATCTAAATAAGATGGTTGCCATGAGAAAACAGTAGGTCCTTATTAAATTAAACAAAATTGAACTGGATAATATTGACAAGAAGTCACAAATTGATTACATACTTTGAAAACACCCATCTTAAAATGGAGAGATCTAGCCTGTGGTCTCATCTTTGCCACTTACTCATCTGTGAGCTTGAAATGCCATTTAACTTCCCTTAGTCTCAATTTTTCATGTGTAAAATTAAGATGATTAAGTCAAACCTAAGATTCTTTTCAGCCTAGAAATTCTATGATTTTTGGATAGGTCCCTGTTCTGTTTCTATAATTTATTTGCAATTTGTCTATAGGATTAAGTTAGAAATTTAGACACTTCCCCTATTTCCTTTGCCTTTTTTAAAACATACAACCCAATTATCTATCATATGATTCCTAGTTTTTGGATTTGAATGAAATAAGCAAATTATTTTACCTTAAACGTGACTTTAAATTTTATTTCTGATTTCAGTAATATTGCTGGCCCGTGATATGCTAATCAGCCCTGCCTCTGATAATGGTGCTACAAATCTGCACCTTGTTCAGGCACAGAATTTTTCTCTCCAACCAATACTGATGAAGTGAGTTCAGAGTGTTTTGGGTTTGAGTACAAGCAATTTTACATAGAGTATGTAATCTATATATGGAGCCTGCTCCCTTATTTCCTCCCAGGGTGGAATTGGATGGTGATGGTGGTATTCAGAGCTATGGAAAATGAGTGTTGCTATAAAAAAAAATAGAGGAGGAAACTGTCAGAGAAATGCATCTTTCCTGGCACCTGGATCATGCTCATTTTTGTTCGTAACCCTTTTGTTGGGTTTATCAGTGGACAAAGAAAAGTTGTTCCAAACAACCAGATGGCAAATCCTAAGCTCAGTGAAACCTGAGAGCTGTTTGAACGAGTGCCACATGCACCAAAGAGGCAGTGCCAAAAACAGATGGAAATTCCTCAAACCACATCTATGTGTTAGACAGGGGTTATATGTGTGTGTGTGTGTATATATATATATGTGTGTATATATATGTGTGTGTATATATATATGGTCTTCCATCCAACTTCCAAAAAGCAGTACTTGCTCTGTCTGTACAAGGTATTAGTATCTCTGTATTTCAAACCAGTCTCAGTGGGACTCAAAGATGAATAGGACAGAGTCACTAAACCACAGAATTGCTAAAAAGTGTCACCTTCATCTTCTTTATTGCCTTTATTGGTAAGATGGGGTATCCACTCTCTAGGAAGCAGAGTACTCTTCCCCACTGATAATTCTAACAATTACACTAATTCTTCCTAATAATGCTAAGTGTAACATGAACTCACCATCAAGCCTAGTATAACAAGGAAAATAATAATAATCCTGTCATCGTTCTTTTGTCACTTTAGTTAAATGACCATTCAGAAGTAATGAACCTTCTCATAATATATTTGGGTTGTCTTTGTGCTGGGTATTTCTTAAGGGAAAGCTTATTTCATGACAAGGAAATAGAAACTAGGTTTGTTCTGCAGGTCTTTATTTTTTCCTAAAATAGATACAAAAACAGTACTGCCACTTAGTTGAAAGAGAGTCAGTGGGAGAAAATTCCACAAGGAAACTATCGTGTTGCGCTATTAATAGCAGCTATCTCCTATGTAGCATTTGCTCAGTGCCAGGCAGAGTGCTACGTGCCTTACATGTGTTATCTTGTTTAATCCTTCTAACCTTCTTTGCGAGTAAATACAAAATCATCACTCCCATTTTCCAAATACAAATATTAGCCTGAAAAAGTTAACCTCAAAGTCACACAGGTAGTAAGGGTGCCAGGTTATCTTCATCAGTGTTCTCCCTCCCACTCCCATCCTTTTGCATATGGTACCTGGGGCAGACTAGAAATGACCTTGTCAGTGTCCTTAATCTAAGTAAGAAATGTACTCTGGAATTCAATTTTTTTTTCGGTGTTCTGCAAGGAAGAAAATGCACATTGGCAGAGCCCAGCTATTGACTGAATGTTAATTTTCCTAGGTGTTGCAATTATTTCGAAAGGAAGTAGGAGCCAAACTTCCTTTAAGTCTCATCTTCACCATGAGTGGGCCAAGGTGTTGTGTTAGTCATTCTTCTTCCTTCAACTCTCACCATTTCATTAAAAACCTTTCTTTTCCTCTGGGTGTTGGAACAAGGCTTACATTGTCACCGAAGTAATCTGCAAGGTTGTCACGAGAAAACACCAAGCTCTCTTGAAATAAGCAAGCTTACTGGAGGTCACACAGGGCACTTCATTCATTTCCTGGAACAACTTTGAGCCGTTGAAGCTGATACTGATCTGGAAGTGCCTGGATGTTCTGAACATCCAAACCACAGTATCACTGTAAAAAAAAGAAAGTCACGAACTAGTTCTATGGGATTACCCTAATGGCACTTTCATTTGACACTATAAAGAACAGGTTGAAATTTAACAACTCGAGAAGATCTCAGTAAAGACAAAGAATTATAAGGTTGGAAAGGGATGTTCACTCTCCCTTCAAAATCTGCAGGAAAAGTTGCCCAGCTTCATTTGTTCATTAACTATATTTTAATGTTAACAATTCTGTATAGTGACTTCCCCAGAGGGTTACTTCCAGTCAAACAATGTCAATTATAAATTTTAAATCTCACGAGACTGTTTACTTTAGCATTCAATTACCCAAGCTATGTTACTTAATGTTTTTTTAATTTTTATTTATTTATTTATTTATTTATTTATTTATTATTTTTTTTTTTTTTTGAGATGGAGTCTCACTCTGTCGCCCAGGCTGGAGTGCAGCGGCAGGATCTTGGCTCACTGCAAGCCCCGCCTCCCCTGGTTCACGCCATTCTCCTGCCTCAGCCTCCCGAGTAGCTGGGACTTACGGCACCCGCCACCACGCCCAGCTAATTTTTTGTATTTTTAGTAGAGACGGGATTTCACCGTGTTAGCCAGGATGGTCTCGATCTCCTGACCTCGTGATCCGCCTGCCTCAGCCTCCCAAAGTGCTGGGATTACAGGCGTGAGCCACTGCGCCCGCCTATGTTATTGAACTCATGGGTAAAATAACTAAATTTCATGGGCGAAAAAAATCAGGATTTATGTTCCAGGCAAATATGTTTCTGATTTATGAGTTCATTTCCAAATAAACCACATTTAATTATCCCTTTGATGAACTGATTTTATTTAAAAAAACATGAGGGAATGTAGGCAAACTGCCATAGAAAACCTGATTTCATGGTAATGGGGCATCTATCCTAAGCATGAAACAAAAATAACTGTCACCATTTTGAAAAACCTTAAAGGCTTAGCAACCTCAATATTCTACTATTTTTATTTATTTAAAAAAATTTTTAATTTATCAATTTTTTTTCAAGACAGTTTTGCTCTTGTTGCCCAGGCTGGAATGCATTGGTGCAATGTCAGCTCACTGCAACCTCTGCCTCCGGGGTTCAAGCGATTCTCCTGCCTCAGCCTCCCGAGTAGCTGGGATTACAGGCATGTGCCACTAGGTCTGGCTAATTTTGTATGTTTTAGTAAAGACGGAGTTTCACCATGTTGGTCGGGCTGGTCTCGAACTCCTGACCTCAGGCGATCCACACACCTTTGCCTCCCAAAGTGCTGGGATTACGAGGATGAGCCACCATGCCCAGCTTTTAATTGAGTTAAAAGATATGATAATATTTTTAACTTTAGCTACTAGTTACAATATTTTGAAACCCATGCAAGTTTGCTTTGAAAACACAAAGGATTCTCATGTATTAACCCATTAACACACATAAGTCCACTTAGAATTTTTTTTTTCAAATTCTGTCTACATAATCTATTTTCTATTATTCAGGATCATCAGTGTGGAATGTTAAAAGCCAAAGAATTAGATTTTAGAATTGGAGTTAGAGTTAGAATTTTGTCACATCTAGTAGGCATAATCCAGTGTAATCCAGTTTCACTCCAAATTCTTTTCGATTTTGTCGTCTACTTTCTTGCAGTACTTTGGTCCATGGAATTTCAGGAAGGTGGGTTTTCACAAATCATCAGGAGGGAGAAAAAGCCTGGAGGACCAACAGAACGAAATCTGCTCTATCCTAGAAAAACTGTCCTCTTTCTCTTTTTCTTTCTTGTCTTTATCTTCTCCCGGCCCTGTGATCCCTTCTAAATTTCCCAAAAGGCTGGCTGAGGTCTAGATAGAATTGCAAAACACACACACACAACAGCGGCCAGTGAGGTGGGAATGTCCACACCTTAAACCTTACAAGAATCGTTTATAATAAGAATAGATACTTACAGATTTGAAAGAAAGTTTGTTGTTAAACTGTTGAGTCATTTCCAGAAGTCAGACTTTATTTTATTTTATTTTATTACTTCTACATCACTGAATTAATTTAATCTACCTGAGACCAGAACTCATGAAGATTCGAGGTCTGTAGTCTCACACCACCTACTGTTCCCTGGTTTTACGTTTCCAAGGCTCAGCTGCTCCACACTGCTCCAGTCTCAGTTAAAATGAAACGTTAGTCAGAGGGGCTAGAACACATCTGTAGTATGAAAATATTTGGACAAAAATTTGGACAAGGTACTGTGTATCTCTTACATATAGATTAGTTTGTTTGCCTAATTGTAGAAGTCTAAAGCCTGGAATCATTAAATATACTGTACCAGTCACTTACTAGAGACCCATGCATCTTTCATGAACTTACTCCTGCTTCTTCCCAGGCAAAATGTGCTTCCAGAGCACATTGTTCAGGCTCAAGTATCCCATTTGTAACTACAAATTCTGATGATTTATTTGCATATCTCTCTTCCCCCATCATACTATGAACTCCTCAAGGTCCTGTCTTTATCATCTTGGTATCTACCACCCACCCTCCTGTCTCTCTAACTCTTCGTGGTAACTGAGATGAAACAGGTGCTCAATATGTACTTCTTAAATAAATACAAAAACAAATGAATAAAGGACCTTTGGTTGTCCTTCCTGTGAACTAATACTTTGTTCTTAAGACAAAATTGAGCATATGTTATTTTGCAAGTACAGCTGGCCCTCTGTATCCATGGGTTGTGCATGCATAGATTCAACCAACCTCAGAGCAAAAATATTAAAACAAAATAAAATACAAAACAAATGAAAATACAACAAAATAATAAAAATGAAAAACAACACAGTATAACATCTATTTATATGGCATTTCCATTGTAAGTAATCCAGAGATGATTTTTAAAAAACGTGGGAGGATGTGTGTAGGCTATATGTAAGTAATATGCCATTTTATGGGTGACTTGGATCCTGAAATTTTAAAGTCACCAAGGGCCCTGGAACCAATCTTCCATAGATACCAAGAGATGACTGTATCCTTTCTCAGAAAGTGGGCAGGCATCGTGAGATATAAATTCCTTCCTCAGTCTGATTCTGTTTAATCTTTTTACTATGCTGTGAAGACAAAGCTATAAGCTTCTCATTTGCTGAAGGCAAGCCTGCTTTCCTTTGACTGCATTTTGCAGCCTGCCCTCAGCTCTTCAATTACTCCCATCACACAAAAACACAACTTCATACTTCGGCATGGTTACATCACTGCCAGAGAATCCTCATTTTTCCAGTCTGTTAAAAATGACATTTATTCTTTATTGATTCTATTCAAGATTAATATGCTTTGAAGGCCTATTATGTTGCTCTTGGGACTCAGAAAAATAAAATGACGTCTCAATCAATGGTTGGTTGTGGCGATTAGATACCTTCCAAGACTTTAAAAGAATTAAATGAACACCAACTTTTCTTTAGAATCTTGGCTGATATATCTTAAATAAAGTTTCCTCTTGCAGCCATGATTTTGTGGTAGGATTAAAATGATCAAACTGAATAGTCTGAATTTTGAAAATCAATCACTCCTGTTTGTGCAAGAATTCCAAGGAAGGAAAAATGCTGCAGAGATCAGAGGGCTCATGGTAAGAGAGAAAAGTCCACAGATCCAGTTTCAAAGATCCACCCCCACTATAAGTGTGATACTCAGCAACAAGACACCTGCTTCTGGGGAAGAAACAGGCTTTTAGAGAGTCAGCTGAAAAAGAGGAGCAAAGCCCCAAAACGAAATTGCCTTTGCACCTTTAAGGCTTAAGTAGTAACTGGGAGTTTTTAAGTGTCTTTGACAACATTGAGTGGAGGGATATTATGAAGTTACATTTTCAATTTTCTCCAGTTGCAAAAGAAAATGTAACAGCTGAATCCTAAGTCAGGGCTACAGTATTGCCAACAGAGGACGAAAGAAATCTAAAGGATTTTGCTTCTCTGCATGACCCAGCGATTCCAACAGTGAAAAGTTAGAATGGTAAATTTCCTAACAGCTGAAGCCTCTGGCAGAGTAAAGGCAACACCTGACTGATACGTTATCTTCCTACCGAGGCTCTGCATGTAAGGAAAAATTTCAAGTATTTGCTCAGGTAAGTGAGTCTCTCAGACTGAGAGAGAGCTATACATCTCAGGACTTTTAACTCCAGAAATATTTTTAAAAGTAAGAAACACTTTTAGAGGTTTAAGAGAGGTGGGCTACCTGAGCTCTGTTTCTTACCAGCACGACAACATCACCAGATCTTCTGCAATATTAAGATGAAAATATATTAAGATAAAAGATATTATTATCTGAGAGGCACTGGAACAATCACAGACTCCATCATTTGGTGGCTAGTAATGGTAAATTTACCACCACCACCACCACCACCAACAAAAACAAACAAAACAGCTTCATAGACCTCTCTTACTTGGGTTGGTGTATTATTCTCTGACTGCTTAAATGCTAATACATTCATCTTTTTAAAATCTCTCCCGTAAAGTTCATCTGTAACAGAACGGATAAGTGTAACACAGTGAGTCTTCAGCATTCATGGTAAACTCTAAGGGTTGATACTGATGAGAAACTTACCAAAAATTATGGGAAGAGTCTTTTGATGAAGTAAAATTTGAGCTTTTAATTCAAGTATTCAATTAAATTTAGCTTGTAAATTAAGAATAATTGGGACTTTAAGGTTTTTAGGTGGAACTTCAGGTCATGTTTCTGTTGATTTAACAAATGACATAGAAACTCTTATTTTTCAAATACATTTTCCCTCCTGGGTCTCTAGCTCTTTAAGAATTAACTGTTTTAAATGATCTAGTCTTCATACTTGCAGACAGAGACTTAGCTCTAATAATATGATTAATTAGTTTCTCTATCAGATAATAACATGAAAAATATTAGAATCAGGAAATAAACTCCAAAGACTAATCATTTAAAGATATAATAAGATATATACTATATATAATAATCCTGTCATTAGATGGACCTCTCATTTTAAAACATAATAAAATGTGTAGTTTAAAAACCTAAAATCAGCCCTATGAAACGTGTTAGAAGCTTGGAAGTTGCCACAAGTCAAAGTGAAACTGCCTTTGCAAAAAATCATAAGTGAGGAAATTATGTCGGTGAAACAGACCTAACTGACCCCTTCTTCCTTCTAACCTTGAAACTGTGTTTGTTCATTCCGGGGTGTAGGCCAAACTAGCCTTGGGAAGGAATTTATAGTTTAAACTCTGAAATAAAATTGATAACAGTCCTTTCCTGAAAAACCCTTTCTTGCCTGGGGACCAGTCTGCCTTTGTAGGACTAATAAATTAGCTACAAGATTAGAAATTACGGTTTAGGGGCCATGCAGCCTCTGACTGCAAGAGTCTGAACCTTCCCAAAATCGCTCCTGGGAATAACATCACTATGGTAAAACCTAAGATCAGTGTTTAAGATATTTACAGACCCTGCGTTCTGATATAGCACATGACATCACTCAGATGACGCCACTCAGACTGATAATACAGCTCAGCCAGTTCTGCGATCCCACCCAGGAATGAATGTAAGCCAGCAAGAACTCACTTCGACCCCCTATGATTTTACCTTCAACCCAACCAATTAGCACTCCTCACTTTCCAAGCCCATACCCGACAAACTATCCTTAAAAACTCTGATCTGGGAGACTGATTTGAGTAATAATAAAACTCCGATCTCCCACACAGCTGACTCTGCTTGAATTACTCTCTCTCCATTGCAATTCCCCTGTCTGGATAAGCTGGCCCTGTCTAGGCAGCAGGCAAGGTGAACACTTGATTACAAAAGGATGAAGAAACTGAAGAATCAACAACTCTTAGATCGATCAGAGAAGCGAGGGCACAGGGCAAACCACTGCCTCCAAAACTGGGTAAGTCAAGAGGTGAATTAAAAAAAAAATCACAGCTTATTAGAACAGAAACCTCCAAGGGAATCAGTTTTGAGTAGGAAAACCTGAGCTGTAATTGATGAATTTCTGGAGGTCAGTGTAAACAAGTCCAAGGATTAAAAACTCCAGGGAGATCCAGTCCTGGAGTAGGTGGTTGAGGGGAGGAGAGACACACTTTTGAATTTTGCCTCCAGGAGTTGCACCAAGTTCTCACAGTAAATATTGGCAAAAAAATTTTAAAAATTAAAAATCCCCTTATGCTTCTGGCAGAGGAAGGGGAAAGGAGGCATTTTGACATACACTAGAGAGCATTCTTGTCTTCTTAATAAGATATCTCATCAGGAGAAACTAGTTAACTAGTTAACTCATATACTGGGAGAAAATTTTTGCCAAAGACCTATCTGATAAAGAACTATTATTCAATTATATACAAAGAACTCTTAAATCTCAACAATAAGAAAACAAACAATCCAATTGAAAAAATAAGCCAAAGACTTAACAGCCTCCTTACCAAAGAAGATATACAGATGGCAAATAAGCATATGAAAAAATACTCCATATCATATGTCATCAGAGAAATGCAAATTTAAGCAATAATTTGATACCACTATATACTTATTAGAATGATCAAAATCCAGAATACTGACATTAAATGCTGGGGAAACTGTGGAGCAACAGGATCTCTGATTTATTGCTGGTGCCAATACAAAATGGTACAGCCACTTTGGAAGACAGATCGGTGGTTTCTTATAAAACTAAACATACTCTGACCATATAATCCTGCAATTGAGCCCCTTGGTATTTACCCAAAGGGGATGAAAACTTACGTCACACAAGAATCTGTACTCAAATGTTTATAGTAGCTTTATTGATAATTTCTAAAAATTCAAAGCAACCAAGATGTCCTTCAGTAGGTGAATGGATAAAAATATCTGTGGTACATCTAGACAATAAAATATTATTAAGCACTAGAAAGAAATGGGCTTTCAAATCATACTAAAAGGTGGAGGAAACTTAAATGCATATTAGTAAGTAAAAGAAACTAATCTGAAAATTCTACGTACTGCGTGACTCCAGCTATATAAGATTTTGGAAAACAGAAGAAAGATCAGTGTTTTCCAGGAGTTAGGGGAAGGGAAGTATGAATAGGCAAAGCACAGGGTAGTTTTAAGGCAGTGAAACAACTCTACATGATACTGTAATAATGGATAGATGTCATTATAAATTTGTCCAAACCCATAGAATGTATAACACCAAGTGTGAATCCTAATGTAAAGTATGGACTTTGACTGATAGTGATATGTCAGTGTAGGTTCATCAGTTATAGCAGATGTACCCCTCTGGTAGGGATGTTTGATAACACGAGATGCTATGTATGTTTGAGGGCAGCAGATATACAGGAAATCTGTGTACCTCCCACTTAATTTTGCTACAAACCTAAAATGGTTCTAAAAACTAAAGACCATCCAAAAAAACAAAAACAAAAAACGAATCATTCATGATGGCTTCTGTACTCAAAGGAAAACAGCAAAAGTGTAAAATGTTAGTGTTATAGATGAATGTTAAATGCATAGGTTGTCAGAGAGACTTTCAAGTGTCATTTCTTCTCTATGAGCTCAGTTTCCTCATGTTTTGAGTGTAGAAGTTGGTTCAAAATGATCTTTAATTGCGACATAGCTCAACCTGAAGCAATTAATTACGAAAATGAATACTCAGAAACAAACGTTATTAATATTTATTCCAAAGACAATACTACAGCCACTATACTTCAGACAGAAGCATCTAGACCAAAGCCGATAGCACTAATTTAATACGATAGAAAAGGAAATCTTCTTTGGTATTATTGCAAAAAATTTAAGTTTTTACTTACCTACTCACAGGCTTAAAGTTTCTTGCTTCAGCACTTTCTTTAAGTTTCTCTTGTTATCTCTGGCTCAGAAAAGTACTTTTTCTGCTCCGGTTAATCTCTGTTATCCCCTTTTATCAGAATCTTGGTCTGATATCCAGTCCAGTTGGTCTCTTAGGACACTTAGATATCTGTGAAATTCTAAAGCTGATATTATGCTGACATAATGTTCAACAAACATTCTCTCCTTCAGCCAAACCACATTATCACCAAATATTTGGGGAGAAACACACATGAGATAGACGCATTCAAGGAAACAACATCAAAGCATCCATTACTTAATCTTTGTCTTGCCCTGGAGATTCACACCCTTTTTCCCAACACAGGCAGCCTCTGAGCTTCAAGTTGACTTATGACTTGACAATGTGGATTTTACAGAGTCCAAGACTCAAGAAGAATCACAGATGATGTCTTCCACATCTTGATACCCCTTAACAAACACATAATGCACATTGCCATTTTACACTCCTGTGAAACTCTTATCCATCTTTTTTGTGCCTCACACAAGTTTCATCAGCAACTCATCTGGAAGTCTTGCCTGCATATCATAGCTGTTAATCATATGCCAACTCTTTGCTCTTAACATACTTTTATTTTACACCTGCAATATTATAATGTAATTACATTTATGCAGGTTTGTGCCTCCTCACAGACTGGAAGAATCTCGATGATAGGACCTATGGCTGAGTCTTTGTCTAAATCCTTCATAGAACCTATTAGAATGTCTGGCAAATAGGAGGTCCAGATAAAATATTTTTAGAGCTATTAAATGCATTAAAATGTGAATTAAGCAACAGATCCCTCTACTTAGAAGAACCTTCAAAGGCTAAGAGGTAATTTGCCTTTAATCCCTCCAGCAATGCTGCATTATCCACCCAGCATTAGCATTGAGCACCTCTATGTATTACTAGTTCTTTTAGTGGTGTAGAAAACCACAAAAATTTATTGAAAAATAGAAAAAAGAATCAGAAAAATGCAGATGCACATTATGTCCCAGGGGATGTGAAGAATGCTCATTATTACACATGTCAACTCTCAGGTTATTTCGTAAGTGTCATTCACTTCTGATCCAAGTTTAAGTAACAGTAATCCAAAATTAAGTAACCAAATTTAAGTATGGGAAATTGACAACATGACTGCAAAATTCAAATAAAAGAATAAATCTATTAGGATGTCTAAGAAAAACATGGGGAATTAGAGTCATGCAAGTGAGTTGAATTATTGGGTGCTAAAGTATTATAAAGTCATAACAAATAAGTCAATGATGAAGAAGCCAGATTATACCGGCAGATACCTCTAAGACTAGGTTTCCCTGAAGCAAATTCTAAAAAGTGGAATAGGAAAATATTTGATAAAGATCACAGTGCCCACTAATGAGAAAGGAATGTATATTCAATAACAATTATTGCAGTAGTTGCCTAGCTATTAATTATTATTATTGGTTTTTTTTTTGAGACAAGAGTCTCCCTTTGTTGCCCAGGCCAGAGTGCAGTGGTGTGATCTTGACTCACTGCAACCTCCACCTCCCAGATTGTTCAAGCAATTCTAGCGCCTCAGCCTCTGGAGAAGCTGGGATTACAAGCACATGCGACCATGCCCGGCTAATTTTTTGTATTTTTATAGAGACAGAGTTTCGCCATGTTGCCCAAGCCGGTCTTGAACACTTGAGCTCAGGCAATCCAACTGCCTTGGCTTCCCAAAGTGCTAGGATTACAGGCATGAGCTACCATGTCCATCCAGTAATTGACTAGCTATTTAGAAAATAAACCAGTTTAGACACTGTCTCTATACTATACACCAAAATAACATCCAAAGAAATTTTTCAAATTAAACCATAATAAAGTTCAAATAAAATAGAGGTAAAAGTGTATTTGATCACCAGATAGGTAGTGACCATTTAAGCGATGACGGAAATGTACCTTCACTACCATTCTCATAGGTAGTATTTATTGAACATTTTCTGTGTGCTAGGTAATGTGTAAAGTGATTTCTTTATATGCTATTCTCATTGGGTTCTCAAAGCAAGAACGTGATGTAGATACTCTTAGTGACTCCATTTTAGCAATGTGGAAGTTGAGGCACAGGGAGTTTTAGTAACTTGCGAAAGGTCACACAGCCAGAAAGTGGAAGAATTACGGTGTGAACCTGGACCGTCTGATTCTAGAAATTGTGCTCTTAAATTTTTACCATCTAAAATATGTACGGTGGAAATAAAATTGGAGAGGAAAAGATAAAATGATGAGAGAAAAAACAGACAAATGGGCCAAGATAGAAATAAAAATATTAAAATAGAAATACGAAAGGAAAATAAATGTAAAAAATGTTGAATTTTTGTAACCTGTCATGTGCACGCAAACCTAATACATTGAGATATCTTTTTTTAAAAAACCGTAAAATTCATGCAGCATTTTTGTTTACTTGTTTTCCTTTACAAATGATTGTACTTAGAACAAGTGAGATCTTAGGGAGGGATTACTTAGGCATTGCCAAACTGCTTTCCAGAAATGACACACCAATTTACATGCCCAAGTGGCAAAAGAATTAAAAGGCTTAAAAATATTTATAGCTTTTGACCTAGAAATTCCACTTCTAGGAAACTATTCTAAGGATAGTTTTGGAAATGCAGACGAAGTCTTAACCATAGAGATGTTTGTTGAAATTTTTTATTAGAATAGAGAAATTTTGGGAATCATCTAAATCCCCAGCAATAAGAAAATAGTTGAGTACATTACACTTATACTATAGCAGAGAGGTTGGCAAACTATGGTCTGTGGGCCAAAGTCCAGACCATTGAATATTTATCTATTTTTACCTGCTTTTGTGAATAAAGTTTTATACAAACACAGCCCTGTTCTTTCATTTATATATGGTCTATGGTTGCTTTCATGATTCAAGGTGAGAGTTGACTAGTTGCTGCAGAGATTGTATAGCTTGCAAAGACTAAATTATTTATTATCTGGACCTCTACAGAAAAATTTTGCTGATCCCTGTTGTAGCCAGCCAGTTATATTTTTTTATTTTTTTAAAAAAAGTTTAATGGCAAGGATCAAATGTGAAACTTGTAACCTTAAATGAAATAGAAACCTATTTATTCTGATCTATTAACACAATGATTACTTCGTGATAATGATGCCAATAGGTGTGGTACAAAAACATTGGTATTTCACAATAGCCAATTTTACAAGGTAGTGGGTTTATATTATGACTGTAAACTCACTTAAGCTCAAATATCTTTTTTGGTAATTTTTTTCTTAGTACTAACACTTCTGACAATGTGTATCATATCTTTTTGCCTCTACACAACCAGTACTGCACAAACATTCATCTGTGATAACTTATGAAATTTAAATATCCAAAGGCCAGCAAAGCTACTGCCAATATGATGTCATTTATTTTATTAAGGACGACTTTTTTGCCCAGCTGACTTCTTGATCCAATGACCATCCTTTTTCGTGGTGCATCAAATTCTGAAATTAGCTGACTGACCTATTGGGTAACCATTGCCTGGAAAATTAGGTCACTGTACCACTATGTCTGTTTTTGGGATCTTAAGAAATTACAAAGATGACGGTAGACCGTCCCTAGTTGCTCCACCTTTTAAAACAAACAATGCCTTCCAGCTAATAAATCAGCAGGAAGGAGCTGACAGGACAGGGATCTGTGTTCACTTCTCTAAGTTGTTTTTGTCTGGTTCAGAAATCATTAGCACCTGATACTAGTTTCAGTGTTCACCCAATGGGAAGGGAAAGGGGTAATTCCCAGGCCAGGTTTCTGTCAGACGGGAGACAATTCAATGCAGACAATACTTTGAAGATAAAAAGACTTGCAAACTTCCTTTTTTTTTCTTTTTTAATATAAGACAGGATCTTGCTATGTTGCCCAGGCTGGTCTTGAATTCTTGGGCTCGTGCAATCCTCCCAACTCCTTAGCCTCTCAATTAGCTGGGATTATAGGCACTGGCCACCACGCCTGGCTCTATGGCTTGCAAACTTTCAAATACTATGCACCAGTACCTTAACAGAATTGCTAATGTAGTTGTCATAGTAGCTCCATAGTAGAAACAACAGCAAAACTTTCAATAACAATAATTAATTATTAATTACTTTTTAAAAATTGGAGAAAATAGTATTGTACCAAACAGTAAAGAAGTCAAACTAGAATTTCTATTAAAGAATTGCCTCTTTCAGGAGGTGCCTGTATTATTCACAATTGCTTCCTATTAACTGAACTAGGAAACAAGAAATCAAAATTGGCTCTGAATTCAACTATTTCTGTAATAATACAAAATATAGCCATCATATTTGGGAACAGATATTACATTTTATTTGTTTAGGTGATTGGATATGAACAATACTGAATGTTTAACTTATGGTTTATTTACTTGTTTTTTTTTTTAAATAAGCATACGGTCTATCCTTCCTTTAAATGTTTTTTCTGTACTTAATGTGCTACAAATACGTGTATGGCAAATCCAGAAAGTAAGAAATTACAACCTTATTTGTTAGGAAATTCAAAGTCCAGAGAGAGATAACAAGTAACAGAACAGGAAAATGAGGACAATAAGTGAAAACTTGGCTGTATAACCAAAAGCTAAGAGGAGAGGTGGGGAAAAGTTTACACAGGTAACTTAAGGTGGTTCTTGAGGACAAAAGAAGAATTCTTTGGGTAGTCAGGGTAAGAGAGGTCATTTCAGGTAGAGAGAAACCATGTGAAAAAGCATAAAGCACAAAATGGCTCCGAGTAGCCAGATTCTGTGGGAACTGTGAGAGGCTTCAAAGAAAGCCTGGAGGTATATGAAATGCAGGATCGCAAAGAGCTCTATGTGCCGAGATAAGGAGACTGGATTTATCCTCCAGGTAGTGGAAAGCTGATTACATTTTTTTTCTAACATTTTAGAAGTATCAATCAGGCAACACTGGAGAGGATGGATTAAAAGTTCAGAGGAGAATCAGGGGCAGAGGCTGGTAGGATGTCACGGCAATAAGAGAGAAGAGAGATGATAAAGCTTATTATTGTAATGAGCAGAAGAGCAATTATATGAAATATTTAGAATAGCAGTGGCCAATAGAATTCTAACGAAAGCCACATATGTAAGTTTTAATTTGCTATTAACCACATTGAGAAAGTAAAACAAAGTGTATGCAATTAATTTTAATAAAGCATTTTATTTAACCTAATAGACATAAAATATTGTCATCTTAACATGTAATTGATACAAAAATCTTCTGTGAGATATTGTACATTCTTTTTAGGTGCTAATTTTTCAAAAATCCAGTGTATACTTTTAACTAAAATCCAGTGTATAGTTTAAACCAAAATCCAGCGTATAGTTTAAACTAAAATCCAGTGTATAGTTTAAACTAAAATCCAGTGTATACTTTAAACTAAAATCCAGCGTATAGTTTAAACTAAAATCCAGCGTATAGTTTAAACTAAAATCCAGTGTATAGTTTAAACTAAAATCCAGTGTATAGTTTAAACTAAAATCCAGTGTATAGTTTAAACTTAGAGTGTTATCTCAATTTTGGCTAGCCACGTTTCAAATGCTCAATCACCACGTTAGTGACTGCCATTTTGGACAGTGCAGATTTAGAAAATAGAATCTGCAAGACACAATGGTCAATTGGATAAATGATGATAATAAAAGAACAATATCTACCATTCATTGAGTACTAAATATGAGACAGGGATAATAATCATATATTATCTCATTTACACTCATACAATCCTGTCAGGTAGGATTTTTTTGACACCATAACAGGCTTAAAGAGATTAACTAGATGAAAATCACATAACTTGTAGTGACAAAATTTGAACCAAGGTCTGTGGAATGGGATAGCTCAGACTCTTAACCACTAGACAATACTGCCTTTGAATACTTATAAAAGTGGAAAGAGGAATTGAGGTTGATTCTGATCATGCTAGCATGAAAAAGCTGATTGATAGATAATTATACCACTTACGGCTATTGCTGTTAAGGGAGAAATCACAGGTGTAAAAGAGGAAGATAATGAGCTGGTTTTAGAGTTGTTGACTGAAAAATATTATTTCCCCCTACTGTTTGTTTATTGTCTGTTGAGCCAAACTAGAGTATAAAATCTCTGAGTACAGATATTATTGTCTGTTTGTTATTGTTGTATGACAAGTGCCTAGAATAGTGGCAAGCATTCTGTCGGTATGAAAAAAATGTTAAATAAATAAATAGATGTCTGGATAGATGGATAGATGAATTAATATCCATAAGATACCACTAATAAGAAAATTGGTGAAAATTTCAGGTAGGAAATAAAGATTTAGGAATGACCATATTTACGAGATAGTTAAACATGGGATATTGACTGAGATCTCACATAAAAAACATAAATACTGAGAAGAAAAGGGAACCATGGTGGATGTTAACCCAAGTGGGTTTTGGAGAAAAATGAAAGTGGAGAAGGAAACCAGGAAATACAATTCAGAGAAGTAGAGTAAATAAAGGAAACAATCATATTGAGAAACTCAAGAGAGGTGAGAATTTCAGAAGAAGGGAATATGCCTCCATGTCCAATAAAGAATCAATGTCAACTCTATAGAGATTGTGGTGAGTCCATTGGGTTTGGCAAGATGAAGTTTATTGGCTGCTTCATAAGGCTTGTTTTGCTGGAAAAGAAAGAATAAGAAACAGGTTGCTCCTGGTTGAAGAACTAACTGAAGTCTGACAATTGAGAGAATGAATAAAGATGCTTGACTGTGCATTGCTTTTTATAATGACTGATTGGAAGCAAAACAATTTCAAAAATAGGAGATTGGTTAAATAAAGTACACCCTTATTAGTGAAGCCGATATAATTCTTGTAAGCTTCTACTCAGGTATACAAAGAAGTTGCTTTATTTTTTCAACCCAATTTTTTTCTTTTACAATAAGAAAGCAATCCATTCTGGAAATTCCCCTTCCTCACCCGTGCAGTCATTTCTAAGTTACTGAATTCTTCAGTAAAATAGGGTGATGGGAGAGAGAGAGAGGAGAAGGATAAGGCAACTGGTCATTGGTTGGCATCTGTGGGTATATGATCCATGGGTTTATTATTCAGCCTTACTCTTGGCTGTGGTTGTCTCTTTTCCCTTCGTTATTGAGATGTCCACATGCTTGTCTGGTCCTGAATGCTGCCACTGCAGATTTCTCATGTGATGTGCCCTTGGCTCAGGTTCCCTTCATTTTGGCCAATACATTTTTGTTCATCTTACACCCACATCCCTTACAAAAGCATAGAATAGTGTGACCCTTCTCCCAGAGCAGTCTGCAGCCACAGACGTCCTGGGACTGCACCAGACTCTCTCTGCCTCACTTTTATTGCTGCTCAACTCTTATTATGGCGGTGTTGGAAATTTGGGAATGCCAAGCCCAATTGCTCTCTATTCTCAGATCATATCATTTAGAGATTATCTTCCCTACCCCCTAGGTTTAGTATGAAAGGGGCATAACACAAGCCTACTTATTTCCAACTCTCATCCCTTGCTTATAAGATCCTAGTTATGGGCGGGCGCGGTGGCTCACGCCTGTAATTCCAGCACTTTGGGAGGCCGAGGCAGGCAGATCACTTGGGGTAGGGAGTTTGAGGCCAGCCTGACCAACACGGAGGAACCCCGTCTCTACTAAAAAAAATACAAAATTAGCCGGGTATGGTGACGCATGCCTGTAATCCCAGCTACTCAGGAGGCTGAGGCAGGAGAATCGCTTGAACCCGGGAGGCGGAGGTTGTGGTGAGCTGTGATCACGCCATTGCACACCAGCCTAGGCAAAAAAAGTGAAACTCTGTCTCACACCAAAAAAAAAAAAAAAAAAAAAAAAAAAAAGATCCTAGTTATGGTGACCATGAACACTACTCACAGTTATAGCATAAAATTTTCAACACCAGATTCCTGAAATACTCATAAACTCAACATTTCCTTTCTATTATCTCTAGTTCCTCTACTTTGAGTTATGAAAGTGTCTTTTTAAAATGCTACCCATGCTTCTTCAGTAACACATTTAGGTTAAGAATATTAAGTCTGGTATATATGGAGAGACTGAGAAGGAGGTAGTGATGAGCAGGTGCAAGGGTAGGAGATGGTGTCAGGGAGGGAGTACAGGAGGAAACACATTAGTTAATACTTCAAAATATTATTCAGCTACACCATGGAATACAATTTAGCCACTAGCAATGGCATTGTAGATTGAAATGCAATGTAACTGAACTATCTTCAAAATATTAAAAATGAAATATTTATATTATAAAATAACGTGAACAGTATAGATCCATTTTATGATTCCAAAGTACCTTTATGCATAGAGGTATCCTAGAAATATATAAAAGTTGGTAACAATGATCATCTCTAGTTATTAATATATGGTTGTGCCTTCCAACTTCTTCTCTCTATTCCTGTATCTCTCTCTTCTATGACTATTCTATTTCTTAACTTTATATAATGAGCATGTTTTCCTTTGCAATAAAAACATCCTCAGTTTTCATTTTTTTCAAAGCTGTGGAGGGCAGAAGAGTGATAGGTAGTAGCTGGAAGGAGATGCAAGGTCAAAGGAGGGTTTGTTTGGAATTGCAGAAGTTTGTTCATGTTTATAACTGAAAGGAAGGAGCCAGTAGAGAAGGAAAGGCTGAAGATATGGAGAAAAAGGGGGTCATTGTTGGGGCAAGGTCTTAAAGAAAAACAGAGGGTATGCAATGTAGGATCAAGAGTACAACTGGAAGGATTGCTGTCATCCCAAAAAGAAACACTTCTTTCTTTAAGAGAGAGAGAAAAAAGATGTATTTGTATACCTAAATATTTATAGGAGAGCAGAAACAGGACTAGGGAGAGTATGAGGAAGCCATGCGAGAGTTCATCCTCCTGGGCATGAGGGTGGGCCTCTCTACAAAGGGCTTGAGACAAATAGCTTGCCAGAGCTTCTATGAGAATAGAAGAACTCATTGAAGACAAGCAAATCATTGCCCTAATTGCCCAATGATACTGAATGAGCAGTTGAAGTAGGGCCTATACTTTTTAAAGGCACCAAGCCACACATTTGTAAAATTTTCTCTGGCTGTGCTCAAAGATCTGAGTACAGGAGCAGAAATAGATTCAGGATCCAAATTTTCAGGGCAGAGTGATTCCAATAAATGGGGGGAAAGGGTTCGAGTTTGTCAGGAGGCTTCATAAATTTTGTAATAGCCAAATAATATATTTGAAGCCCTTGAAAAATGAAAAGCCAAGAGACAGCTCAAAATTATTTTTGTCTTCTGTTTCAATCACTGAGGTCACCTCTCTTTAGAATCATGAAAGTGAACAATAAATAACCAACTCCTTTTTCTAAACGATCTTCTCTGGGAAGCACAAAAGCAGATTCTTGCTTTTCAAAGAAAACAATCATCTTTTCTAGGAATTTTGGACCTCAGAGTAATCCATAAAATAGTTATTGCAATACATTGGCTTCTTATTATTCTTAGGATTCCTTCTCTCAGCATCAAAGGAAGAAACCTCCAGATCAGGTTATGACCTTCCTAATCAGAAAGAACAATGTCTTCCTTTGCAGTAGATGCTTATAAGTCTTCCACCACACTTTCCTGTGGCCTATTGTAATTTTCACATATCATAATCTCTCCGTAATCCTGCCTTTCTAATAGGGGTTTCAGTTTTATCTTCTCAGAGAGAACAACACAATCTAAGAGCTATCTAATTCTTTAGCTTTTGCATTTTTCCCTTCTTAGTATTGGAGCCATTCCAGAAAACAGCTCTAGTCAAAAGGACTATTTACGTCTATCGTCGGACATTATTATTGAGGAAAAACAACTGCACGCAGATGTTGCAGTACTTTTCACGGGCATAGAAATGATCATGATGAAAAAGCGCTGTTTCAAAGATATGAACGGACGTGAAGAAACCCATAAACCCAGGTTTAAATTCAGGAGCAGGCTTTACTTTCTCTTATTCATAGTAAGCCCTGTTGAAAAATTGGAAACAATACTTTACATCACTTATTATTTACACAATTCTTTCCCCAAGTATTCAATGATTTTCTACTGCCTGTCTCTATCAATCAAACTTTAGTCTGCATGCAGAATGTGGGTGATTCACTGGCCCCTGCTTTTAACCTCTCAGGCTATTTTTCAAACCCTTGGAACCAGCTAAGCAGCTTTGCTCATGATTCCTCAAACAGGTCTCAAGTAATACTGCTCAACACCTTTGCTCTTTCTGATGGCTCTCCCTACCCACTCTCCACTTACCCTCTTAGTCAATGCAAGACCACCTTCTCTAGGGACCTCTGCAATTCGCCATCTTCTGTGGTCACTGGTTTCTCTGCACAATTTGAACATAGAACCCTCTGGGACCCTTGTAAAAATACACATTCCCAAATGGTGGTTACCAGAGGCTCGCGCTGATAAGATGGATAGAGAGGTGCTAGTCAAAGGCTACAGCATTTCAATTAGGAGGAATAAGTTCAAGACATGTATTGTACAACATGGTGCCTATAGTAAATAACAATACGTTGTATTCTTGAAAATTGCTTAGAGTACATTTTAAGTGTTCTCAAACCCCCCAAAATGACATGTGAAGTGATGCATATGTTAATTAGCTCAATTGAGTCATTCCACAATGTATTTCAAAAAACTTGTTGGTCATGATAAATATATGCAACTTTTACCTCTCTAGTAGAATAGACAAATAAAATGAATTAAAAAAAAATGAAACAACCTAGTAACCATATATTAAAAAAAAATTCCCAGAATCTCATGACTGACACATCTGTCTATAGTCCAGAGTGCTTCCTCAACTTCAATGTGCTTATGAATCATACAGGAAAATTACTAAATATGCGATTCTGATTCACTAGGTCTTTGACGGGTCTGGCAATCCAACACTTCTAACAAGTTTCCAGGCAATGCCAATGCTGTTGGTCCTCAGTTCACACTGAATAGCAAGGGGATAGTGTAAGACTAGGGAAGTTGTATTATTATTTCTTTTCCAAACAATTTTGATGCAACCAGCCTAGGAACAGTTAATCAATATGCATTTAGGAACTACCACTCCCTACTCTTCTGGCTGTCAGCATGTGCTCCCCTGCTCTATTGCAGTAATTTATCTATGTATATGTTTGACTTGTATCCTCCGCTGTCCTGCAAATTGGTGAAAAGTTCAAGGATATTTGATATCCCTTTGGACTTCTCCATTGAGCAGAATGTCCATAGAGTCAATGGCCAATTAATATATGTTAAAAGAAAATGAATGATAAATTATCGGATAGAAAGTGACTTCAGGCCATGCTCCGTGGCTCATGCCTGAAATCCCAGCACTTTGGGAGGCCGAGGTGAGCGGATCGCCTGAGGTCAGGAGTTTGAGACCCGCTTGAGGTCAGGAGTTTGAGACTAGCCTGACCAACATGGTGAAACCCCGTCTCTACTGAAAATACAAAAATTAGCCAGGTGTGGTGGCGGGTGCCTGTAATCCCAGCTACTCAGGAGGCTGAGGCAGGAGAATTGCTTGAACCGGGGAGGCGGAGGTTGCAGTGAGCTGAGATCGTGCCACTGCACTCCAGTCTGGACAACAGAGCAAGAATCTGTCTGGGGAAAAAAAAAAAAAAAGAAGAAGAAGGACAGTGACTTCAAAGAGGCTGCTATAATAAATGCAGAGTGAAAATGAGAAATGATTTTAAATTTGAGATTTTATTTGAATTTTAACATAGGCTGCTTCCATTAAGTATGAAAGGATGTCCACAGAGTCAATGGCTAATTGAAAGGATACATATTAAAATCCATGGTTCGGCCTCTAGGGTGACACTTCCCAATGTTTCCTGCCATATTTATTATTAATCTGGTCTTGGATCTGTCTTAATTACAAGGTGTCTTGTTTTCTTCTTCTCACACCTGATTTCAGGATGCTGAGGTCAAACGCTCTGCTTTTCAAGTTCCCTGCATTACACTGTACCTTGTTTTGAACACCTGAAATGCATAAAATCTAGGGTTAACATGGATTTTATGTTGTCCTCTGGGGCAGGAAAATATAAAACCTGAGCTCCAGGAATTGCATATTTCCTGTTTTTATTGGTCATAAAGCTTTCATAGTGGGGCAGGTGGCACAAACAGAGACAAAATCGACTAAATCCTAGCAAGTCTCTTTCCCAGATGAGGGCTAGCCTCTCCCTCCATACAAAACCTTATTAAGACACCTGCACAGAAAACCTACTGCAGTACTCAAGCCCATTTTAAGCATGCAATTCAATGGCTTTTAGTAAAGTACCTAGTGGTGGTACATCTGTCTCACTATAATCCAGATTTATAATGTTTCAATCATCACAATAAGATCCCTCAGGCCCCTTCATAGTTAATGCCTGTTTCCACCTCAATTCCAGGTAACCACTAATCTATTTTCTGTCTCTATAGATTTGTATTCTCAGGACTTTGCACACAAGTGGAATCATACTATTACATGATATTTTGTACCTGGCTTATTTCACTTAGCATAATGCATTCAAGGTTCACCCACGTAATAGCCCGAAACAGTGCTTTATCTTATTATTGCTGAATAGTATTTCATTGTATGAAAATACCACATTTTATTTCTCCCTTCACTAATTAATGGAGATTTGAGTTGGCTCCACTTTTTGTCTATTATGAATAATGCTGCTATGAACATGCATGTATATGTTTTGGTGTGGACATATGTTTTCATTTCTTGGGTAGAATTTCATTTCTGGGTTATATGATAAATTTGTTTCACTGATTAAGAAACTGCCAAAGTGTTTTCCAAAATGGCTATACCATTTTACATTTCTCTTAGCAGTGCGTGAGGCTTCTGTTTCTCTGCATCCTCAACAACTGTTATTGTCTACTTTTTTGTTATCACCATCCTTGTGGATGTGAGATAGAACCTCATTGTGGCTTAAACTTGCATTTCCCTAATGACTAAGATATTGGGCAATTTTTTTTATGTGCTTACTGATCATTCGTATATCTTCTTTGCTGAAAAGTTTCAATAGTTACTTTCTTTTTAATGTAAAAGTGTCATAATGGTTCTTATTTCAACTGATTTCATTTATATGTGGATGACAACGTAAAACGTGCAAAGACCAACCATTCTCCAAATAGAAAAGGGCTGAATAGGCTGGGCACTGTGGCTTATGCCTGTATTCCCATCACTTTCGGAGGCCGAGGTGGGTGGATCAGCTGAGGTCAGGAGTTCAAGACCAGCCTGACCAACATGGTGAAACTCTGTCTCTACTAAAAGTACAAAAAACTAGCTGGCCGTGGTAGTGCATGCCTGTAATCCCAGCTACTAGGGAGGCTGAGACAGGAGAATCACTTGAACCGGGGAGGTGGAGGTTGCAGTGAGCCGAGATTGCACCATTGCACCCTAGCCTGGGTGACAAGAGCAAAATTCTGTCTCAAAAAAAAAAAAAAGGCTGAATAATATTAGTAGTAGATATAACAATAAATACATTTTAGGAAATGTATGCTTCATGTTATAGTATGCAATAAAAATGTTTTATTAACACAAAAGTTTTCCATTAATTAACTTGAATTTCAATTGACACAGTTCAGTTTTTTTTTCTTTTTCTTAACTCTCTTTGCCACTCCTCAGTCCTACCCACTATAAACCTAAATACCATGGTAAGCTATTACAGCATTGGGAACAGATGGTGAAGTTTTCCATAAAAGAGAAAGGGAAACAGACCTGTCTGAAGCAAGGTAAGTAAACACAGAGCACATGAATGGTGAGAACGAAAATAGAGTGTTAAGTATAAATTAAAAATAGAAAGCATGATTACTCAACTTGCTTTGGGAAAAAAATCTTTTTAGAAAATGGCTAATAGAAAGTGTGCGTAAATCAAAAAATGTTTAAAAGTCTTTGGAACATGGCCATACAACATTATTGGGGACAATAAGTAAAACATTCAGCAACAGTAAAACAGAGTAGAAGAAATTATCTAGATAATTTAGTAACAATTCACACTTTTATAAGGGAATGCTTTTTGTCTTATTTTGTCTTTATGACAATAAAAAAAGCTGTTGACATAAGTCAAACAAGAGGATAATTATTATTCTCTTTTCCAGTTCTATTTTATGTATAGTCACAAATAGTAAAAGGAAGCCAGACTTTCTTCTTCTTCTTTGAGTTTCTTCTATTAATAAAAAGAGAAAATACGGAGTAATCACTATTGTTACCTACAATACAGGTTATTGCCTTGAACTGAGCCAGAAGACTCTTAGTTTGCTTGTTGCTGTTGTTATTGTTGTGGCTTTTGTTCTTTATTTGTTTCTCTGATTTAATATCCATATTTTGGAAAAAATACATAAGGCTTACTTTAATTTCCATATCCTCTTCACAAAATAGAACAGAAAGTGTAAAGTCTTCTCTTTGTGATGGAAGAATGTTTTTTCAATCTTTGAATTCATGTGTTGTCTTTGGAAAGAACTTCTGTTACTCTTCTAATCACCAATTTAGATAATCACAGGCTTTGTGGAGTGACTATATATACATGTCATGTGTGAACAGCATTAAATGATGGTTATTACTAATAACACCTTACCTTTGTGGGGTTTCCAATGTATAATACTTTAATATACATTGCCTCACATAATAATATATACCTCACAGTATAATTAGGGGAGTTATTATACCCACTTACAGATTTAATAATTGAGACTCACAGAACTTAACTAGCCAAAGAAATACAACCAGTAAGCAAGGATGCCCAGCCTTAAACTTGGCTTCATCTGGTTCCAAATGCTGCACACTTTCAAGATATAACTTTCAGTTCACAGCTAGAAGAGTTCTTCAGAAGAGGCATTAGAATAATAAATCAATATTAATTACTTATTTTAATAATTTACATTTGCATAAATAAGTTATTACATTTCTAAGAGGTACACATAGAGAAACATTTCTTATAGATGTTTCTTTTCATTAAAATCTTAGCGGTGAACAGAATATTTTGAAGCAAAAAATCTAGAAAGACAGAATAAGAGTTAATATTTGTATCTCCCAAGAACCAACCTGCCTTGCTCCAATTCCTTTGTTTATATCAGTATTTTATTTCTCTCTGGGAACATGCAAATGAAAAGTGACTACAAGCATACAGGAAATGCAGATGAATAGCTTACCCGTGAAACCCAGACACGGTGTATAGGCCTTGAAATTCCACCATTTGGCTTATTTAGTTTTGTCTTATTGGAGGCAGTGTTCTCAATTCCATTCTTGGCCACACCACTTTTATCTATGAGTGAGACCCACATGAACAGAGAGACCACAAAACAAGGTAAATTTCTTGGGCAGAAGCCGCCTTCACCATACTCTAGTAGGACCAGTTCTAGCTAATTACTTTAGAATTCTTCCCCCTGGCAGCAGACAAGGGAAGTGAGGAAGGACTGGATACAACTGGAAAATAGTCTGGCTGGCTTTAGGATACGAGTCCAAGGTCAACCTTTCATATACCCTTTGGGGTAAAGCCCACCCACTCAATTTTCAGGTGAGATGATGAAGGGTCCACTTCATCCCTTGAGCCATGGAGATGGTGGTAGTGTGGCAGAACAGGAGGAGCTCAAACAGCCTTAAGCTTATGAACCTCATGACTCCTTACTTAACCTCAGCCTTGCCTTAGAAGGTAGTTGTAGCCGGGCGCAGTGGCTCATGCCTGTAATCCCAGCACTTTGGGAGGCCGAGGTGGGCGGATCACAAGGTCAGGAGATGGAGACCATCCTGGCTAACACGGTGAAACCCCGTCTCTACTAAAAATACAAAAAATTAGCCGGGCGTGGTGGCGGGCGCCTGTAGTCCCAGCTGCTGGGGAGGCTGAGGCAGGAGAGTGGCGTGAACCCGGGAGGCGGAGCTTGCAGTGAGCCGAGATCACGCCACTGCACTCCAGCCTGGGCGACAGAGCGAGACTCCGTCTCAGAAAAAAAAAAAAGAAGGTAGCTGTAAAGATCAAATGGGAATATTCTTTGTGCAGTGACAGGCACACTCTCATTAAATTCCTTTTCTATGTAAAAACCAGGTGTAGCATAAAAGCTCAAGTATGGTACATTTGAAAGGGAATAAGAAAGGAGGAAAAGAAAGGAGATAGAAGAGGCAGTTACAATGATACAAAAGTTGGTGTTTCAGAGAACTCATTGATAAACATACATTATATATATATAAGTATACGTTATATATATATATATATATATATATATATATATATATATATATAAAAAATTTGGTATAACTTTCAGAGGGAGTATCAAGGCCTGCATAAGCACATGATTTAGTTCTTGCTAATATTCTTACTTCACCTTGTAACACTCACCCTCCTTGTCCGAACACCTTGCCTTTTCTTGGAAGAGGATATTACTTAGGGCAGCAAGTTCAACGATTTTTCTATCCAGAAAATTCTGCTGTCACTTATCCACATGATGTTACTCTCACTAAACCTATATCTGATTTTATATCATGCAGCACCTCCTTAGAACAACTTCTTTGGCCACCTATTTAAAATAGAAATTCCTGATTTCACTGGCAGTGTCTTATTCTTCTCCTTGTCTCATGCTTTCCAATGCACTTACAATGACCTGATAAAATATATTTACATTATAACATTTTTATATTTTTTATATATGTATATATATTTGTCCATTTGTTTATTATGTCTCCACTCCCATCTTCTCCATGTTACCCTAATATTCCAGGACTGGAAAAGAACATTGTCTTGTTTATTTCTGTATCTATAGACCCTAGAATAATGCCTTGCACATAGTAGACACTCAATAAATACTTGCTGAGTGAATGAACAAATATTTACTTCTTCATTTCAGACTCAAAACTAGGAAAACTGTGCATTTCAACGAGCCTAAACCATACAATGTAATGAAATATAAGTTAATTCCACATACGTAATGCATCTTGCAAGCCTTACTTAAAAGCAATTTCATGAAGTTATGTAAATATGTACAAGGGAATGCAATGCCTTATCATTGGCCATGAAATCCTGGCAGAAAACTAACATTGTGTTTCCATGTTGAAGGCCTTCCTGTGTGGTCACCAGCTTCTATGTTATCAGTTCATAGGAGTCTACACCTTTTTCCTTTGAGTCACTTCCTATGAGCGCACATTTGATTACGGTAATTAAAGAAAACGTCTTCCTATGTGAAATAAGGTGTGAGAAAACAATCAAAAAAGTAAAATGGTGAGAACATTTCTCTGAGCAAAAGCAATTTCCCCTTTGAAAGTGTTCTCTATTATGGTCTCTGTGGAGGCATCTATTTTCAGTTTATTACTTCTCAATGATGAAGAACAAACTCATCTCAAGGAACTAAAATATCAAGATAAGTCACAAAGGTCACAGTTGGTAGTCCTTGTCAATCAAAATTCATAAGGTGCAATTCCATTAAAATAAACTCACAAGAGTAACTTCCAGAGAGCTAGTAAGTTTCTTTGGGAAGAAGACTGCTCCTCCTGTATTGTATTACATTAACAGCATGACATATAAAAAAGACATCTTCCAGAATAACATATAAAAAAGACATCTTCCAAGGTTCCTAATGTATTTCTTTGCAGAATTTAGTTTATAAGATACTGAGGATTCTACATCCAGTATCTCCAGAAACTTATGTAATTTCCAAATGGCTCTTTTTACTCGGAATTATGTTCGATCATTTAACACACAGTTTGAACCTTTGTTATGTACATTACACTGTGCATGGTTACATTTTAATTATAGTGTTAAAAATCAAGAACCTTTGCATACAAATCACTGTGTCAGGTGTGACTAAAAAAAACAATGATGATCAAGGTATGGTTTCCTACTTCAAAGGGTACCCAACTTAAGTGGTATGGACCATCAAAATACATATTATCTAGATAGCAAGAAAGCATAATAATATTACCAGGAAGTGGATGATAAAAGAAAATGAATGCCTCAGATGCAATTGGCTAGAAAAACAGGGAGAAGAGGAGGAGATACTACTTTCAGGCTATGGCAGGTAAATGGCTTATCTTGGTCACCATCCCAATTGAGGGTGGAGGGAAAATAATTTCTTTGCCCTTTGATCCCACTTGGCTCACATTAGCAAAACCATAAACTACTCTAGTTACTATCTCTAGAAAGCTTTCCCATCTGAGCACATATTGCTTTGGGCACACAAATGATACTATTTAGCAGTAGATGCATATGTGATAAATTACTTTTATAAGCTTTCATATGAGAGAACTTAGTTATTCTCTACCTTTTTCATCCATCAATAAGAATAGTACCTGTAAATGGGATGCATTACTAGATTCTGAAAGAAGCTAATGTTTGTGTTTGGTTAGTGTTGACTGCTTGCTCAAAGGGATTAAACGTGAAAGTACCTCAAGAAATAATGATATGCAAAAGTATGTTTCCATCCCCATTTTGTGGGAAGAAAAATGGTAAAGAAGCATCAGTCACACTTTGTGTCTTTGTGAGAAACAAAGAGTATAAAATCTGATTTCCCAGCATCTAAACATCCTTTGAATATGAGGCGAAATCCTTTGATAAGCAAGACAAGCACATCATTTATCATCTAAACCTGAATACATTTTGGAATAAAGGGAGCATTATTCATCATTACTCCTGAACAATGGGCTAAAATCATGGCTATTACCACAAACCAAGATTTGTGGCTACTCAAAGGATAGGTAGAGGTTGATGTGGTTTGGCTCTGTGTCCCTACCCAAATTTCACCTTGATTTGTAATAATCCCCACATGTCAATAGTGGGATCAGGTGGAGATAATTGAATCATGAGGGCGGTTTCCCCCATGAGGTTCTCATGATAGTGAGTAAGTTCTCAGGAGATCTGATGGTTTTTTAAGGGGCTTTTCTCCCTTTGTTTGGCACTTCTTTCTCCTACCATCATGTGAAGAAGGACATGTTTGCTTCCCATTCTGCCATGATTGCAAGGTTCCTAAGGCCTCCCCAGCCACACTGAACTGTGAGTCAATTAAAACTCTTTTCTTTATAAATTACCCAGTCTCAGGTATGTCCTTATAGCAGTGTGAGAATAGACTGACACAGAGGTGGAATTACACTTTCTACTATAAAACAAAAGGAGCATAAAGTATATCTTGCCTTTTCCTCTGGTGATATGGTTCGGCTGTGACCCCACCCAAATTTCATTTTGAATTGTAGCTCCCATAATTCCTATGTGTTGTGGAAGGGACATGGTGGGAGATAACGGAATCATGGAGGCAGTTTCCCCCATAATATTCTGGTGGTAGTGAGTAAATCTCATGAGATCTGATGGTTTTATAAAGGGAAACCCCTTTCACTTGGCTCTCATTCTCTCTTGTCTGCCACCATGTAAGATGTGACTTTTGCCTTCTGCCATGATTGTGAGGCCTCTCCAGCCATGTGGAACTGTGAGTCCATCAAACCTCTTTTTCTTTATAAATTACCCAGTCTCAGGTATGTCTGTATCAGCAGCATGAAAACGGCCTAATACATCTGGGAACCTAGACCCTGAACATATTAACAGCTCAACTAATCAGAAGCTGTGGCCTGCATTTGAAACTGAAAAAAAAAGGAAGAGAAGTGAAGGTATAGAGTCAGAATTTTTTCACTGTAATCTGGAGATTCCCAGTGGCATAACAACGAATATTTAGAGACAGTGGATACTGGCAGAGCAGCAGCCAGTGTCCAGGGGTGAAGGCACAAGAGACAGCAATATCAAAGGTTTGTTTGTCAACAGTGATACCATGAAGTCCACTGGGGACTCCTTGGCTGCACCTTTACTTCCTTGATTTCTCCCTGAGTCTGGTTCTCCAGCTTGAATCTGAGAGCTATTATAGATCTGATGAGCAATCCCTTTTCTGCTTAAGTTAACCAGAGTGGGTTTGTTGGTTTCTATTCCAAACAAGAATTCTGACTGGAACTAGTATGTTAGATTCCACAGATGATGATGAAGATGATGATTTTTCTCTTGACCATTTTAAATTGAGTGCCTCACATATTAACTGGGGATTGCACTGACAATATAATAGCATTTCTCTAATGATACCTTTTGGTTTTTAAATACTTTACTAAAAATAAGTATGAATTTTGTAACCTAAATCCTTTCCCTTTCTAGTCTTCTAAAAAAAGAAATCAATAGGGGCATTATGAAAGAAAGAGCCTGAGATATTTTAAGAAGTCACATACTGCTCAGTTGAAATAAAATATTCAGGGCTTTTGAGGCCCTTGTCAAATTATTTACCTTCATTTTTAGATGTAGCAGCTGAAGTACTGAAATAAACAAATATTCATTTGGAAGATTACAGATGGTGAATATTAACTGCTGTGTATATCAAATTTTTAATGGAGCTTTATAATTATAGTTAATGGATTTCATAATTGCTAGGGGCCTAGGGAAACGGAGAAATGTAAAGGATGCTAGAAAGCCAAGGAAGATAAATATTTGTTGGGATGGAGATATATAACACACTCATTGAAGTTTTCTAATTTAGGAGAATATGGAAGGAGAGCATGTGGTCCTTGTCTATGAATTGGAGGTCTCACAATAATAATGCAAAATCCACAACTTTCTACCAGAAGACAATTACCAGAGGACCTCAATTGGACTAGTAAGAGTCAGAACTTCTATCAGTTTGGTTTACGAGTCAGTGAATTACTGGGAACCACCTGATACTGCTGCAAAATGCGTAAGGGGAGCTGGAGCAGTATGAGTGGCCTCTTTTTAAGGAGAATGGAAAGGGAATAGCTCTAGAGCCCTGTAATTAGATTTGATCTGCCTTAGGACACATTCTGCTTATTTGGATGACAGCTTGGGACCCAATTCAACTTCTTGTGAATGGCTATTAAAGATGGGAGACCTAGCAGCTGCCAAGTTATGATCCAAGGTTAATTACCAAGCATTCTTTCCATCACATATCATGTCCAGCACATGGGAAAAAACCTAAACTATAAGACAATATTGCTTTGAGACCCAGGGTGGAAAATTAGGATATAATGAACTTTTGGTACCACTTGTTACTTCCCAATCCATTGAAGCTACATAAGTAGAACTTTTTTTTTTTTCTAAGAGAGTGTTAAGAGTGTAGAATTAGATTGGCTAATGAAAATGAGCTAAAAGAAGCGGAAAAAATGATTTCCTTACTCATGTATCCCTCTAGTTAACTTAAACTCTATTTGAAACAATACATTACCTTACTACATAAATTTTTTGACATAATTAATAGTCACAAAATTTAAATAGAGGATTTGCAACATCCTCCTGGTATTGTCTTGGAGGTGACTAGCTGTACAGAGCAAAAGACAAAGAATAAAGATGGCTGACTAGACACAGCTAGGAAGAGCTTCTTCCATCTAGAGCCATCAGACTCCCAAGCAGACCAGTATACTCCAAATAGAGATCCTTCTGACAGAATGTGCTGAGAGTGAATGAAGAGACAATGCAGACACAGGAGCTGAAGAAGGAGGAAGTTGGGAACCCTGTGTGCAACTGATGAACACCAGAACTCATTCCTGACCCTGAGCCACTCCTAAGGATAGTGGTGAGTGAAATAACTGCAGTGCAACCTACTCTTGCCACAGATCTCCCGTGTCTTGGCTGCAGAGCTTATGACCCCTATGGACAAGTAAGTTGACAGGGAGATCTGCGTGGAGCATCGGCAGAGACAGAGCCTGAGTCTATGCAGAGCCCAGGGGGTTTGGTGTGGAGATAGCTGCAAAGGAAATCAGCAATAGGTGCCTATCCCCCAAGGTTCTCCATACTCCCCCAGCTGGCTCTGACCTTTGCTAACAGTCAGGCCTGCAGACAGCAGGGCTGTGGAACCACAGTGAGTATGATCTATGTTCCCCCTTGTCTGCCAGTCCCTCCCGGAGTCCCTACCTGGAGGCTCCTTTGGGAGTGGACACGCAGTGCAGCCTCCACTGCTCTGCTGGAGCACATTTGCCAGTGACCACTGCCATAGCACTTTTACCAGCAGCCCCCTGCCACCTGCTGGAATGTTTTTTTGTTCCAGCTAGCCCCTGCTATCACACTGGAGCACTTTCATTAGCAGCCCCCAAGGGAGTGCTTTTGTCAGTAGCCTGGGAGCACCTTGGGCCCCCCCACCCCAGCACAGCTACTGCTTGATCTTGAGGGGCCAGAGGACAAAGCTATCAGCCTAGTCCCAGCTGCCTGGATTTAGAGAATGCAACCCAGGAATGTGGAACTGAGCCTTGGCCCTCTGAAGGCATCTAGAAATGAAGCCAATCTACCATACCTCAAGGGAAATGAAGAACATAAAAACAAACAGCCCCACCCAAAGGATATCAACTTAAAAGAATAAAGTTATATTAGTCCTCACAGATAAGAAAGAACCAGCACAAGAACTCAGGCAACTCTAACAGCCAGAGTGTCTTCTTATCTCCAAACAACTACACTAGTTCCCCAGCAATGGTCTTTAACCAGATTGAAATGGCCGAAATGACAGATATAGAATTCAGAATCCAGACAGCAAAGAAACTCAATAAGGTACAGAGGAAGGTTGAAACCCCATCCAAGGGCAACAGTAAAACAATCCAAGAGTTGAAAGATAAAATAGCCATCTTAAGAAAGAACAAAACAACTTCTGGACTTAAACAATTTATTATGGGAATTTCAGAATTCAACTGGAAGCATTAACAACAGAATAGGCCAAGCTAAGGGAAAAATCTCAGAGCTTGAAGACCATTCCTTTGAATCAACACAGGCAGACAAGAATAAAGAAAAAATAATCAGAAAAAGGAAAAAAAGCCTTGATTTAAGAAATGTGAGAGACTGTGTAAAGAGATCAAACATATGACTCATTTGGCATTCATGAAAGAGAAGGAGAAAGAGTAAGCAACTTGGAAAATGCATTTGTGTATATGGTCCATGAAAATGTTCTCAATATCACTAAAGAGGTCAACATGCAAATTCAAAAAATTCAGAAAGCTTTTGTGAGATACTATACAAGACAACCATCCCTGAGGCACATAGTCATCAGATTCACCAAGGTCAACACAAAAGAAAAAATCTTAAAGGCAGCTAGAGCGAAGGGGCATGCCACTTTCAAAGAGAACCCAGTCAGGCTAACAATGGATCTTTCAGCAGAAACCTTACAAGCCAGAAGAGATTGGGGGCCTATTTTCAGCATCTATAAGGAATAGAAATTTAAACCAAGGATTTCATATTCTGCCAATCTAAGCTTCATAAGTGAAGGAGAAATAAAATCCTTTCAGACAAGCAAATGTTAAAGGAATTCATTACCACTAGAACTGCCTGAAAAGAGGTCCTTAAAGGAGTGCTAAACAATGAAATAAATGAAATGAAAGAAAGGTACCTGCCACCAGAAAACTCTTAAGTACATAGCCCATGGACACTATAAAGCAACTACACAATCAAGTCTACTTAACAACCAGCTAATAACACAATGACAGAATCAAATTCTCACTTATCAGTATTAACTTTGAATGTAAATGGAACAATGCCCCATTTTAAGTGGGACATGCCCACTTAAAAGGCATAGAGTGACAAGTTGAAAAAAGAAACAAAACCTTTCTGTCTGCTGTCTTCAAGAGACTCATCTCAGATGTAACGACACTGATAACCTCAAAGTAAAAGATTTCAGAAATATGTGTCATGCAAATTGGAAAAAAGAGCAAGAATTGCTATTTTTATATCAGATATAACAGACTTGAAACCAACAATGATCAAAAAGGACAAAAAAGGGCATTATATAATGATAAAGGGTTCAATTCAACAACATAACTATCCTAAATATATATGCAGTCAAAGTTGTAACACCCAGATTTATAAAACAATTTCCTGGAGACCTATGGAGAGACTTAGATAACCACACAATAATAATGGGAGACTTCAACATCCCACTGACAGGATTAAACAAATTATTGAAGCAGATAATTAATAAAGCTATTCTGGACTTAAACTCAACACTTGAACAATTGGACCTAATAGACACAGAATGCTCTACCAAACCACAAGAGAATATACATTCTTCTTATCTGCACGTGACAGATACTCTAAGATTGACCTCCTGCTTGGCTGTAAAGCAAATCTCAAAGATTCAAAAAAAAAAAAAATAGAAATCATACCAAACATACTCTTGGACCACAGTGCAATAAAACAGAAATCAATAACAAGAAGATATCTCAAAACCATACAATTACATTGAAATTAAACAAGCTGCACCTGAATGACTTTGGATAAATAATAAAACTAAGGTAGAAATCAAAAAGTTCTTTGAAACTAATAAAAACAGAGACACAACACACCAAAATCTTTGGTAGATAGCTAAAGTAGTATTAAGAGGAAAGCTTATAGTGCTCAATGCTTACATCAAGAAGTTGGAAGAATCTCAAATTAACCAACCTAACATTGCATCTGGAAGTACTGGAAAAGCTAGAGCAAACTAACCCCAAAGCTAGCAGAAGAAAAGAAATAACCAAAATCAGAGAAGAACTGAACAAAACTGAGATGAAAAAGTTCATACAAAAAAAATCAACAAAACCAAAAGTTTGTTCTTTGAAAGAATAAACAAGATTAATAGACCATTAGCTAGATTAACACAAAAAAGAGATTCAAATAAGCACAATCAGAAATAACAAAGTGATATTACCACTTCTCCACAGAAATGCAAAAAAGTCCTCAGAGACTATTATAAACTTGTCTATGCAGACAAACTAGAAAGCTGAGACGAAATGAATACATTCCTGGAAACACATAACCTCCCAAGATTTAACCAGGAAGAAATTAAAATCCTGAACAGACCAATAACAAGTTCCAAAATTGAATCAGTAATAAAAACAAACAAATCCCTGGACTAGATGGATTCACAGCTGAATTCTACCAGACATATAAATAACAGCTAGTACCAATTCTACTGAAACTATTTAAAAAAAAAAAAGAAAATAATGAGAAGAAATACCCCCCAACTCATTCTATAAAGCCAGCATTATTCTGACATCAAAACCTAGCATAGATGCAACAAAAATGAAAACTTCAGGCCAATGTCTCTGATAAACAAAGATGTAAAAATTATCAACAAAATACTAGCAAACCAAATCCAGCAGTACCTCAAAAAGTGAATTCACCATGATCAATTAAGCTTTATTCCTGGGATGCAGGACTGATTCAAGCTATGCAAGTTCTTATAGACGCTGGATTTAGACCTTTGTCAGATGCATAGTTTGCAAAAATTTTCTCCCATTCTGTAGGTTGTCTGTGCACTCTGTTGATAGTTTCCTCTACTGTGCAGAAGCTCTTTAACTTTAATTAGATCCTATTTGTCCATTCTTGCTTGTGTTGCAATTGCTTTTGGTGCCTTTGTCATGAAATCTTTGCCATTCCTATGTCTAGAGTGATGTTGCCTAGATTTTCTCCCAGGGTTTTAAAGTTTTGAATTTTACATTTAAGTCTTTAATCTATCTTGAGTTAATTTTTGTACACGGTTTGAGGAAGGAGTCCAGTTTCCATCTTCTGCATATGGCTAACTAGTCATCCCAGCACCATTTATTGAATAGGGAATCCTTCCCCCATTGCTTGTTTCTGTCAGGTTTCTTGAAGATCGGATAGTTGTAGGTGTGTGGCCTTATTTTTTGGTTCTCCATTCTGTTCCATTGGTCTGTGTGTCTGTTTTTGTACCAGTACCATGCCTTTTTTGGTTATTGTAGCTCTGAAGTCTAATATCCAGCATCTGTAAGGAACTTAAACATATTTACATGAAAAAAACCCATCAGAAAGTGGGGAAAGAACAAAGTGAATGAACGCTTTTCAAAAGAAGACAGACATGTGGCCAAGAAACATGAAAAAAAGCTCAACATCACTGGTCATTACAGAAATGGACATCAAAACCACAATGAGATACCATGTCACACCAGTCAGAATGGCTATTATTAATAACAGATGCTGACCAGGTTGTGAAGAAAAAGGAATCCTTATATACTGTTGGTGGGAGTGTAAATTAGTTCAGACATGGTAGAAAGCAGTGTGGCGATTCCTCAAGGAGCTAAAAACAGAACTACCATTCAATCCAACAGTCCCATTACTGGGTCTATGTCCAAGGAATATAAGTCATTCTACCATAAAGACACATACACGTGTATGTTCATTGCAGCACTGTTTACAATAGCAAAGACATGGAATCAACCTAAATGCCCACAGAACTATAAACAGACATATTAGTATAAAACTTCATTTTAAAGAATGATAGAGTACAAACTCTATTTTTATGTGAGTGCCAACATACAATGGGAGAACAATTCTTATTCTGCTTCCAATCACGTGTCCCTGCCTGCAAAGGGGGAGGTTGGTTTGTTTAGTTTTGAATTAGTAGAGTTTTTGTTTTGTTGTTTTGTTTTTTGACACAAGGAAATATACCTCTATTTCTCTTCTCAGTGTTATTGTTCTCATTCTCTCCAGCTCCAGGTAGACAAAGCGTGTATTACAAAAGACAACTGGAACCAACGACATGCCCTAGATTAAAAAAAAAAAAAAAAAAAAAAAAAGATGTCTCTTTTAGATTGAGCCAACAGGGCAGGATTAAAGATTGGAATTAACTAGCGCATTAGGCAACACCAATCAGAAATTGTTTCTCTTATCTCTAAATAAGTCCTAGTTGGAATTCATTTTTGTAGTAGATAGAAATAAAAAAATTGCCACATTGAACCTACAGCTTCAGAACTCCGGCTGATTTATCCACTCAGTCAAGGAAATCACGAGAGACATTGCAAAGTGAGAAATCAGCATGTCTATTCATTGATGTTCAGCAGCCTGGGAAATAATTAGATACTTACCTCAGAAAATAAAGTTGCCTGGACTCTACTGAGACCTGCCAGTCCCTTCCCATTGTACATCATTACAGAGGGCATTGGAGGCCTGTGCTGCTGTATGGAACAGTAGTTGTTTAAATATGCAATATTTCCTTTGCAATCTTTGTGCAACATTTGTGCATTCCTCACCCCTTTCTCCAATGTTCTCAACTTGTATATACAGATTACTATAAGCTTCATTATGAAATCAGATGAGGTTATGCCCTCCAGACAGTACAAAATAATTCCTTTTACAGATAACACTGGAGAATTTCTTTATAAATTTATAAGATTTACTTCATACGATATAAATTAATACAGATGGTTTTTTTCCTCTCACAAAAGAAAATAGTATTAAAACCAGAAAGAGTGTATTTGTTGTTTTCTGTAACTGCAATGTTCTCTGCTTTCAAATAGGATTTCTAATTAAAAGACACAACTCTAGGCCAGTCGCGGTGGCTCACAACTGTAATCCCAGCACTTTGGGAGGCTGAGGCAGGCGGATCACGAGGTCAGGACATCGAGACCATCCTGGTTAACATGGTGAAACCCCGTCTCTACTAAAAATACAAAAAACTAGCCAGGCGCGGTGGCGGGCGCCTGTATTCCCAGCTACTCGGGAGGCTGAGGCGGGAGAATGGCGTGAACCCGGGGGGGCGGAGCTTGTAGTGAGCCGAGATCGCGCCACTGCACTCTGGCCTGGGCGAAAGAGCGAGACTCTGTCTCAAAAAAAAAAAAAAAAAAAAAAAAAGACACAACTCTAAAGAGCTCATTTTAAATACTACTATCTGCTGAAAGCAATGAAATAGGCAGATCAAGCTACCAAGCTGGAAATCCTTCAGTGCTTTTAAGTCTGTTCAATGTGGGGTCAAGTGGATGCTAAAGACCCTGATTTCAGTAAACTGGTTATTTCTGCCAAGGATTACACTTCTTGTCTGGCTCATAGCTCTCTTTCCCGGGGACAGTTATAGGAGACTGATTATTTTCTGAGTGACTGAAATGTTTAGACTTTTATTGTGGCCCACGTAAAATTCTATTACTATCTTAGATAAAAGGATGATGAGTTTTCCATTGGATAAATTCACTACCCTGTGAATTTTATGTAGTATTTTATGTAGTATTACCAATAAAGGATACAACAAAGGTATAGCCTTCAAAATAAAAACTATTTTAAAAGGGAATTTTAAAATGATCCCTAAAAATCTGTTGTTTTAGGACGTGAATCAGCTTAGATCGTTATAGAATAGATTGATCTAGATTGCTCTGTGAAATCTTTACCTTAGACACTCATTTTTACATAACTTCAGAAGTCAACCAGCCCAACTTCTTTATTTTACATGTGAAAAAAACCAGTATCAGGAAGGCAAGCCACCTTACTCAAAGTTAAAGAAAAAAATCCAAACTGTATTTGCATCATCCTTTATCCACATGGCTGCTACCAAAATTCAAATGAGAAATAAGATGAGAATAAATGGTGAGAGAAAGTTCATGAATAAGTTCCATGGGCAGATCAATCTTCTCACTTTGGTTATTCAGTAGAATTTCTCAACATAAAATTAGCTGCTGTTAACTGCATTCTAATTCCTCAGTTCCCTAATTTAGGGAGAAGAAACTGAAAATACATGGTTTCTCAATTCAATTTTGGTGGTAGACGTGTAGTAAATAAAACCAAACTATAAAACATAATGAAGATGACATCTAGCTCTCTGGCATGAATACTTGCAGGTAGCTCTTTGCATGCCATTTAAAGAATCCTAGAATGAGATCTGAGATTAGAGAAAAATGTTTTATGAGAAAATATTCATCGGGAAGGTGTTATTAGGAAGACAAGTTATCAGAATCTGCACCCAAAAAGAATCTGATTTAAGAAATGGATGTGTGAATATTTTTGCAGAAAAGGATTTTTGTTATCTACCATAACTACAGGATTAGCACACAGCAATTTCAAATCAGCCTATGGCTATGATTTTTCTAGGCAAATCATGATTAAATTATAAAGCATTTAATATTAAAACTTGATGGACAAAACTAATGTGAGGAAATTAATCCAGAGCTTCGTTAAAGTCAAGATAGATCACATATATCTTATATCCTTTAGCAACCGTATCTGTCAGTCAGTCACAGATGATTAGACTCATTCAGCTACAGACATTTGGAGCTGGCAGAGACTCAGAGATTAGTCTGGATGGTTTGAACTTATTCACTGCAAAGAGACAAGGAAAGTGGCATATCTGTCAATGGAGCTGCCGTTGAACAGGGCTTGGGAATTACTGCACTGCTAGGAAACAAGGCAACTTTATAAAAGAGAATTAATTATGCCATGATTCATAGTCACTGGCTGTACTATAAATACTTTTATGGAAGTGTTTTTCTTTTCCTTTTTCCTTCCCATTTTTTTTTCCCCAGAAAGCCTGTGTGGATGAATATTGCTTCCAGGAGTCACATAATTACATCTAAAATCATAGAATGTTAGAGCTGGAGGAATCTTTAGAGTTTGCCCAAGGTCCTTCACCAGCATTTTACAGGTGAGGAAACTGGAGCCCGGAAAGATTAAGAAGATTTCTGGAGGTCACAGAGTTAGTTCCTGGCAGGCTGCAAGCTGAATCCCCAAATCCCAAGCAGACCGCATTCCACTACACCTTGTCATTTTCCAGTGTAGGCAAGAGAAAAGCCCTGGACAGGGCACTGTTTCCTACAATTAGACCTCAGCCCCAGTGCCGTCTAATACTGGAGAACCTGAAGAATTTCTCTTCGCAAAGTTCACTGGTATTTCTGATCATTACTTTAATGAGAAGGTATTTTTAGCTTTTCTCCTCCCATGCGCATTCTTCCAACTTGCTTTCAGAGCTGCCAGCTTCAAGCTTACAGGCCACAATAACGTTACTATTTTTCTTTTAATTTAAGAAAATCATTTCAGTAATCCTTTACTGAAGGCCTTAAATGCATAAAGCTTTGTGCATGCAGTTATGAATAAAATGGAACCCCTCTTTCTAAGTAGTTTACAGGCTATTGTAGAATGGAGAATAGTGGGTTTCATCAAGGAAGGTGGTAGCAGAGTCATGTGAGAAGCTAGAATAAATAGGCACTACTGTCAGACCTTATTAAGAATCAGACGGATTCGACCTCAAGGTATTGCTTGCCCACTTCCTAGCTATGAGAGAATGAGCAGCTTACTTAAATGTGTTATGCCTCAATAGCTTCTTCCGTAAAGTGGGGGTAACTAGTAGTTACCCTCTAAGGTTGTCATGGAGATTACACAAGGAAGTGTATGTTCTTGCACAGGGCACATGGTAAAAATGCAATGTGTGGTTGTTATTATTAATACATATATTTTTTGAGACAGAGTCTCACTTTGTGGCTCAGGCTGGAGTGCAATGGCGTGATCTCTGCTCACTGCAGCCTCCACCTCCTGGGTTCAAGTGATTCTCCTGCCTCAGCCTCCTAAGTAGCTAGGATTACAGCCACGCACCACCACTCCCAGCTAATTTTTTTATATTTTTAGTAGAGAAGGGGTTTCACCATGTTGGTCAGGCTGGTCTCGAACTCCTGACCTTGTGATCTGCCTGCCTCAGCCACCCAATATTATTATTAATATTAATTGCGCCTACGTGGAATGCAAAATTAACTGGGAAAAGCACAAGCTGAGACTGGAGCAGAGTAGATGAGGGAGTTACTGACTGTCAGGAAGACAAATAGAGGAGGTGACCTTGAGAAATGCTTAGGATGTCAATGGGTAGAGATGTAGGGGAAACACATTCCAAACAAATTTAAAACACATATCTAGCACCGAGTCGGGACTAGTATGGACACTTTGATCTTAGGACATAAGAGGAACAGAAATAAATGAGGCTAAAAAGGGAGGCTAGGACCAAGATCCAAAGCCACAGAAAGTCTTTTTGTGTCTAGGAACATTTTGCCTAGTTATGAAATTATATCCTTTATTGTTTCGACATTAGAGCTATCTAATCAAATTCCAATTATCTAGCATTCCCCTTATGTACACAGAGATAGCAAAGCCTCAGCCCTTGTTTCCTCATCCCTAATCATGACTGCTCTGACCTAAGATGCCTTGAGATTTACCTGATGCCTGTCGACTTAGGAGCCCAGGATTAAAAAGGATGCTACAAAATGTCACAGTCAAGAATGGTCCGAGGTCACATGATGAGTAAATTGAGTAAATGTAATGTGGTGTCCTGGATGGGATCCTGGAACAGAAAAAGGACATTAGGGGAAAATCCAAAGACATCCGAATAAAGCACAGACTTTAGTTAACATTAAACTATTAATACTGATTCATTAATTGTGGCAGACTTACCATACTAATGTCAGCTATTAAAAATAGGGATAACTGAGTGCATAGCTTATAGGAAGCCTCTGTGTTACTTTCAAGATTTTTTTCTGTAAATCAAAATTTATTCTCAATTTAAAAGTTTACTTTAAAAAGGATGTAGCCTCAGCCTCCCGGGTAGCTGGGATTACAGGCTTTCACCACCATGCCTGGCTAATTTTTGTATTTTTGTATTTTTTTTTTTTTTAGCAGAGATGGGGTTTCACCATGTTGGCCAGGCTGCTCTCGAACTCCTGACCTCAGGTGATCCATCCACCTCGGTCTCCCAAAGTGCTGGGATTACAGGCCTGAGCCACTGTGCCTGGAGAATTGCTTGAACCCAGGAGGCACAAGTTGCAGTGAGCTGAGATCACGCCACTGCACTCCAGCCTGGAGGAAAGAGCTAGACTCCGTCTCGATAAATAAATAAATAAATAAATAAATAAAATAAAAAGCATGTAACATTTGAAAGGGGAAAAATTGTTCCTGGGGAGACTTATATTATCTTCCTTAACTTGCTGGTCTGGTGTATGCTTACCAAAGAAAACCTTCTAAACTACTCTTTCAACTGTTCCTTTTGAAATGACGGATGTTTTAACATGGAGAAAAACACATAAAAATATTTTTAAACATAACTTATTGTGACAAATTATTTGAGTAATCCCTTCATATTTTTTCTTTCAGAAGATTCTTCGATTTAACTGCTCTTAATTACATCCCGTTGCACTGGCCCCATCAAGTTGCTTTAAACAGCCCTTCTAGTCAACAGAGCTGCAGAGAAAAACCTTGGTTGGTTCAGGTCACTAGGATGCAGGTGCAAGTCATAGATATGAGACACTTGTGCATGGGCCACAGTAGAACAGCTTTGGGGATCCTTGGTTGTGGGTTGGAGAGTAGAGAGAAAATGGGAGGTGGGAGAAACATCTCAGTTTTATTAGATAAGTGGTTCTCAACTAGGGGCAATTGCCTGAAACTTAGGAATATCTGGTAAGGTCTGGAGACACTGGGTGGGGGAAGGAGGGAAAACTGCCGCAGGTATCTAGTAGATAGAGACCAGAGATACTGCCAAGACTCTGCAGTGCTCAAGCCAGCCCAGCCCACAGAGAAATTGTATCTAGCCCAGTATGTAAATAGTGCCAAAGTTGAAAAACTTTACATTAGATAGAAGAGGGGAAATCATGCATTTGCTTCCATTTTCTTTTTTTTTTTTCTTTTGAGAGGGAATCTCACTCTGTCACCCAGGCTGGAGTTCAGTGGTGCGATCTCGGCTCACCACAACCTCCATCTCCCGGGTTCAAACGATTCTCCTGCCTCAGCCTCCCGAGTAGCTGGGATAACAGGTGCCCACCACCACGCCTGGCTGATTTTTGTATTTTTAGTAGAGATGGGGTTTCACCATATTGGCCAGGCTGGTCTGGAACTCCTGACCTCAGGTAATCCACCCTCCTGGGCATCCCAAAGTGCTGAGATTATAGCCGTGAGCCACTGTGCCCGGCCTTGCTTCCATTTTCTATCCCCCAAAGACATTAATGACTATCTGAATTTATAAGCAGTTCATATTCTTGCAAATCCTAGTAAAGATGGCTACTCAGCCATTGTTACTATGATCCTCTTGTTAGAGAAAATGCTTGTAGAAGATTGACCTTGGGCCCGTTCTCACATCCTCCTGGTTCATCTTTTACTAGGACCATGGGCAGCCAGCTAGCAGCAGTGTGATCTGACAGCCCCTTTCTTCAGCTGAAACAAGTATCTTTCACTTCTGCCATGGGCCCTCTCTCACATCCACACAGTGAGATGATTATAAAAACATTCCCAGCACCAACACACATGAATCCTGGATGCTCTAGGGAGTTGCTGCTCCATGGGCCAACACTTGAACATGGGAGATGGAAGCTAGTGGATAAATACCCTTTTCTTCTTTCAGATGGGCAATTGTAAGCTGTATTATACCCAGTTGCTTAGAGGAACACTGTAGGGACAGGCAATGGAACTACTGAGCCCAGTGGAGATTAACTTAAGAATGTTCCTATTAATTGACTTCTCTGTTATCCTTGACTCATTTTCCCCAGTTCTCCACTCCTCATATCTGAAGTTGCTTCCAAAAATGAGCTGCCCACACACAGCCCTTGCCCCAGGCTTTGCTCTCTGAGAAACTTAGGCTGAGAACTTGTTCTTTAAGATATTCATCAAATAGTTTCCCCTTGAGTGGTGGATTTGGATTACTACAGATTTCTCAGACTCTCTCAGTCTTGGTTGCAAGTAATAATAATAATAATAATAATAATAATAATAATAAATATTAACAATAACAAAAGTAGTTATTTATGGTAGTTCTCCCTACAGAAAAAGAAATTGAGCTTCATAGTGTTTGAAACTTGCCCTAGTAGAGAGCCAGGATTTGATCCCAGTCGGCCTGAGCTCAAAATTCTTACCACACACAACGGCTAGAAGTTTTCCCAGAAGCAATACAATGTCTTGGTAGAATGTCTAAGAACAAAATATTTTATTCTAAAAAACAACCTTCTTACCATATCCTAATCCACTCAACTTTCATGGATATAATGCGAAGTCTAATGGAAAGGATATTTACCATCATGTTGGAATTTCAAGTGTGGCACATCTATATATAGTTATTGATTATAATTGTAGGACACCAAAGTGGGTTGAAGAGAGAAGAGGTCAATATAGAAAACACTGCACATATGTCTAATGACGGTGTGTATGTGTGTGTTCATGTGCATGTGTATAAATGTGTGTGTGTACGTGTATGTATGTTTGTATGTGTCTGTGTGAGAGACAGAGACAGGGAGGTTTGAACCTCAAGCTCTGAAGCCTAAAGATAAATTATAATTAGTTTTTGTAGCTCACTGCTTTATATTTTCAGAGCTGTCACACTTCATTTGTGAGAACACTCCAGAGCTTCCTCCAGCTGCTGATTCCAAACCAGCTTCACAGTGAGTGAGATTGTACAGACAGAGGAGTGGCTTTGCCTTTACAAAATTATGAAATACCATACCCTTCATAATATAATGGTGGTTATCTACAAATAGGGGTGCTCTTTAATTTGTGTGTGTGTGTGCGTATGATTAAATAGCCACATTTAAGGTTGCCAGGGCACTAGTGTTTGAATCAGGAAACCTAAATGTAACTTTCCTTAATTGTTTATAATATAGCCCTAAATAATAATGAGTGGAGTTAGTTGTAGTGGTAGTAGCAGTAATTACAATAAACAAATGTTCATTGACCATACTTTATGTGTCATTTTGCTAAATGCACTATTTACATTACCTCATTTAAATTACCTCAACAACCTCATGTAGTGAATACTATTATTATCACTATTTATCAGATGAGTTATTAATTAAGTGTAGAGAAGTTAACTTATCCGAAGAGGCATGGCCAACATACAGGATACTCAGGACTCAAATCAGAAGTCTCAATGTCCCTAACTGTTTTTCATTCTGCAGCTCTATAGAACCCTCTGAGCCTCCATTGTCTTACCCATGAAATGGATCTGGTAATACTTTCTCCATGCAGGTGTTCTTGTAGTAAGAATATCTATTTTATGGAAGGTGGAGAGGGGAAAAGTGGTGCCACAGGCTTAACTAGAAACTATTCCTTCGAATCCACAACCCAGTCCACCATTTTAGAGGATCACTTTTAGCAGACAAAAATGTTCATATAAGATAAATTTGAAGCATAGTAGATTATGCTCAAATTAACAACCTTCCTTTATACTTGGGAAAAATTACTCCTAAAGATGACCAAAAAGTCCCTGTGTGTTCTGGCTCCTGCTTTTCTCTCTACTCCATCTCCTTGTTCACTCCATCCAGGCATCCTAGCCTTTTTGATTTTTCTAAACTGTCCCAACCTCAGTCACAGCTCCAGAACTTTAGCATTCACAGGTGTTGGATCTGGGAAGACTTTCAGCAAGGTCAGACAGGTTGAAAATGTTGACATGGAGTTTGTTCTGTTGGCCCCCTCAGATGACCAAGCCCACATAAGTTGTGCACAATACTTCTTCTGAAAAACCTCTTTAGTCTGGTTAATTACCATGTTAGACCTGGGCAAGAAGGGTTGCTGTCCTGAGCCTAAAAGTGTAGAAAGCCTCACTCTGTCCTCCCATCAGCTTCAGTCCCTTCTACAGGGCTAGGAGTCTACAGGATGAAAGGGTCATGCCCTCCTGGTATCCACAACCTCTCCCCTTTAGACCACACTACCTATACCCAAAGGCCTAAGATTTTCTCCTTAAATGTTCCTGAGCCTGCTTCCACGACCTACACAGGCCTCTTCTTTTTCCCTAAATCTGATCTTCAGAGGCTGAGGAGTCACACCACAGGTGTATGCACCCTCTGGGCTCCAGAGATTACCAAGGGGTGGCTGAGAGTAGGATGTGGACAGAGTTTCAATGTATGGACTAGGATATCTACATGAAACGTGGAGGCTTCTTACATTGTAGGAAGGACCCAGGGATGAGAAGAGATTGGGGAACAGGCCTAGGGATAGGGTTAGCTCTCCTTTATGCTGCCATGTGCCAACAAAAAATTTCAAGAAAGGCAAGAATTCTATATTCAAAGCAGGCTTTCCAGGCTGTTATGAAGGCAACGTGTCAAGGTGGGAGAATAGAAAATATTGTATTGACAGTTTGTTAGCTAGATTTATAACTTTTAACTAGATGAGGGTGTGTGGGCCACCATTTGTACTGTCACTATGCAACCCAAAGATGTTTAGGGGAGAGCCTGGGTTCTGTTTACATGCTGTGAATGCCTTTCTTCAATCTTTAAACAAGAGGTTCCCTTTTGTCCTTCAGGTGCCTGGATACATGTTATCTTCTGAGAAAGGCCATCTCTAACCACTCTGTTCTTCCAGTACAAGCAAGCCGCTCCTGGGTCTTATCTCTATTTTATCCACAGAACTCATTTATTTCCTTGCTTTTTATACCTTTATGCCTGAATGGATGTTCCTTGGAAGCAAATTTTCCTTCTTTACTATTTCATTCCTAGTGTCTATAACATAAAATAAGTGTTCCACAAATTCTCGTATGATGAAAGAATAATAGAATATTAATATAATAGATAAATTAATAAAATACGTTCACCTATGTGCACTTTTACCTTAAATAGTAATAATAAGCAGTTTTAACGTGTCTGATGCTTTTCTAATGCCAGTGCACAATGCCTTCCTGTTTATTTTGGGCCTCTTAGGCAGCCAGCTAACTAGGGAGCTCATACCACTAAATGATTATTGTGAGAACGGAGCAGGAAAGACAGGCAGTAGATCCAGGATTCATCCATTTGTATTATGTTAAATACAATGGTAATCACACTATTTTACCCATTCTTCTCCTAGCTCCTTCTGAATCCAAGGCAAATAAACAAACTATGCAAAGAAATCAAACATGACTTCTTCTTGGTCCTATAAGAAGATTGTTCATGCTATGCTTGTTAGAAGAGTTACATGTATACCTATGATCTTCGAAGACTAAAGAAAATATCAAGGAAACGTATTTCAATAATGATATGGTCAAGACATAGAGTTTCTTATATTAATAATACAAAGTTCACTTTCTGAAAAAATGCACATATTGTTTAAGATCGTCACATAGTTTATATATTTTAATCGCTCCATAATTACGGAATTATTTTAAATAATAGCAATAATTATAATTGTAGTATTTAATGTCAATATTTCTACAAATTATATTTAAGTAAATAAGTATATTGTGAAAGGAGAGGGATTCAGGATCAGGGGTATGTTCAAAAATCTATTTGTTTTTGTCATTGTTGAATAAAAATCTCCCATCTCAAAATCTTTGTAAAAGGATATCCATGGAAAAAAGAACCTATTACTTTATTCTCCAGTCAAAATTAAAACTGGTTCACAATGGCCACATCTTCTATTTATACATAAAACACAGCTTTTAACATAGACTAATTTTTGTCTGTTAAAAATGAAATTGAGATTCAGTAAAGATGGATTCAAATTCAATACGTTAAATCTATTGTTTTAAATATACCAGGTCATGTGTGCTCTCTCTTTTCCCTCCAACCCATTTCACTCCCCTTCTTTCTCCTTTTGAACTGCTGACCCGAGTTAGTAGCCAAACATAATAATACAGTGTTTGATTCTCTGGAAACCCATAAAATTACAAACCAGCAACCACTAGGATGTTGGCAGAATTTCTGTGGACAGCAACCAGCATGGTACTTTTTTTCTTTTTGAAATGAAGCAGTACATTGCAATTGTTGATACAGTACCAAGGAAGGGAATAACGTCCACCATATGTCGCCCCCACCACCTAACTCTTTTGACTACTTGAGGTTGGGAGAGAGAATTCATCTATTTAAAACATGAATGCCTTCTCTTTTAGCCTTTACTATTTAAAGATGCCTTTTTTCATTTTTTTTATTTTTATTAAGCAGCAGTGGAGTTTTATACTACTATACTAAGTGCGACAGAAGATAAACATATAAATAAAACATACCACTACATGCCTTCAAGAAAAACAAAATCTAATAAAATCTAAAATCTAATGGGAACTTCAAGTTTTACTGGAAATTAGAGACTCTTTCTTCTCACTGCAACAGGAATATTTGATTAGTCGTACAGCTGCACTCAAATGACAAAAAAAAAAAAAAAGACAAATTTTCAGGTTCCAGAACTAAAGAGGCAACTAAAGTCAGAGAGATAAGTTTATGAATGGATGCACTAGGAACTCCAGAATCTGAGACTAGAGATAGATCATAGAGACTAGAGGCTGATATTTTAATTAATATAGAGGTTGCATGGATCTAGCATTTGATTGAGAATTAGAACTGAGACCCTTACATCAGATAGGTTAGGTCTAGCTTTGACCCACTATAAGACATGTGCTAGATATAACCTAATCAATGGTCTATGAATATGACATTAAAAATGCACATATCTGCCTGTGATCTTCTTAATAGGAGGAGACAATTAAGTTTTTTATTGGAAATAAAACATGTCAGACCAGCACAATATATCAATATGGGGCAAAGTTTATGATACTTACATGGTACTTGTTTCCCCAACGTGAGAAATCAACATACAGACAGGTCACAAGCCCTTGAAATTTCAGGAGCAAACTGCAGAGTAAACTGAAAGCACATACAGTTTCACCGAGAAAAATAAAATATCAACCTCTGCTGAAGGTGCCCACAATAAAAACTGATAAAAGAAACAATACATGAGGTTGGATCAACAAACAGGGATATTAGTATACATAAAATTTGAAGTAATAGAATCATGTAAAAAGACTGTAACACAGATATAAGTCAAATAGTTAAGGATATAAAATAAATAATAAAAACACAAGGACAAAAATAAACAGATTTGGGGAAAGACAGGGAAGTCCAGAATTAAGATATGTGATCAAAGCAAGAAAAAAGATCATTGGACAAATTAAACTGCTGTTGAAATGAGAATTAGTAATCTGGAAAATGGAACTGGGGAAATTATTCGGAATACAGTATAAAGAGAAAAGGAAATTCAGAATATAAAACATTAACAGAAATAAGGACAGAATAAGGAAGTACAAAAATGTCTAATAGAAATTATAACAGGAGAAAGTAGAGAGAACAGAGAATAAAAGAAATATTTAAATGGAGAGTAGCTGGAAATTTTTCAGAATTGCTGGAGATTTTAAATACAGTCAGACATGTGGTTTTAAAAAGAGACTCAGGAACTTTTGAGCCCAGCGGTGGAATGGAATGATATGCCTGAGAATAACAATTAGAAGCTGAGCAAAATGTAAAAAACATTTTGAAGGCACTGTAGAGTGAGGAAACAAGCAGAAAGCAGGGGGCTTTGGATCTTTGAAAGGAGGAAGTCACACTGGGTGAGAGTCCCATTTAATACAGTATCTTCCCTAGAGGGCTTTCTGCATTATGTGTAGTATGAAGTAGCTGAGACTTGTCACACTGCATGCACAATTTAATTCAAGACGAAGTATAAACAAGAATGTAAAAGCTAAATGTAAAACAGCTCTAGAAGAAGACAGAGAATACATTCCCTACCCAGGATAGACAAGACAGGATGCGAAAACATTATGAAGAAAATTGATAAATCAGACTTCATCAAAATTAGAACATCTTCTCTTCAGTGAGCACCAATAAGAAAAATGAAAATGTAAGCCATGGCCCAGGAGAAAATATTTACAATTTATCAATTTGAAAAAAGCACTATATTCAGAATGTATAAAGAACTGCCTGTGGCTATACAGATTTTTCTATTTTGTGTTACATTCGTTTTGGTGGTTTGTATCTTTCAAGGAATTTGTTCATTTCATCTAAGTGTCAGATTGATTGGCATAAAGGTATTCAAGATATTCCATTACTTTTTTTTCCTGGTTGCATTCAATAGCTACACAATACAGTCTTTACAAGGGCAAACTGAATGTTCAAGTGTTTTAGTCCATTGTGTGTTGCTCTACAGGAATACTTCAGACTGGGTAATTTATTTTAAAAAGAGGCTTATTTGGCTGATGGTTCTCCAGATGGTACAAGCATGACACCCGCATCTGCTTGGCTTCTGGTGGAAGTGAGAAGCCAGAAAAGAAGTCAGAAAGGAAGGTTTTACTCATGGCAGAAGGTGAAGGGGAAGCAGGCATGTCTCGTGATGAGAGAGGGAGCAAGAGAGAGATGGGGGCAATCCCAGGCTCTTTTTTAACAACCAGATCTCCCATGAACTCATTACCATGGGGAGGGCACCAAGCCATTCATGAGGGATCAGCCCCAAAGACCAAAACCCCTCCCACCAGGCCCTACCTCCAACATTGGGGATCACATTTCAGCGTGAGATTTGGAAAGGATACACAACATATTTGGAAAGGATACACATCAAAACATATTATGCTCCTGGCCCTCCACATCTCATGTCCTTCTCACATTGCAAAATACAACCATCCATTCTCAACAGCCTCCCAAAATCTTAACTCATTCCAGCATGACTAGAAGCAAGTTCCTTCCATCTATGAGCCTGTAAAGATCAAACACAAGTTATGTACTCCCAAAATAAAATGGTGGCACAGGCATTGGGTAAACATCCTCATTCTAACAGGGATAAATTAGCCAAAAGAAAAAGGCAACAAGCCCTACACAAGTCCAAAACCCAGCAGGGCAGACCCAAAATCGTAAAGCTCCCAAATGATCCTGGACTCCATGTCCCACAACCTGGGTACACTGATCTGCAGGGTGTGCTCCCAAGGCCTTCGTGCAGCTCTGGCCCTGTGGCTTTGATAGGCGCAGCTTATATGGCTGTTTTCAAGGGTTGGAGTCTGGTGCCTGTAGCTTTTCCATGCTGAGGTTGTAAGCTGCTGGTGGCTCTTCAACTGGGGTCTGGAGGACAGTAGCCTTCTTCCCACAGCTCTACTAGGTAGTGCCCCATTGAGGAATCTATCTGGAGGCTGCAACCCCATCTCTCCCCTTGGCATCGCCCTAGTAGAGGCTGTCTGTGGGGGCTCTGCCCCTGTGGCAGGCTTCTGCCTGGGCACCCAGGCTTTTTCCTACCTCCTGTGAGATCTAAATGGAAGCTGCCAAGCCTCTCTTACTCTTGTATTCTGTGCACCTGCAGACTTAACACCATGTGGAAGCCACCAAGGCTTATGGTTTGCACTCTCCAGGGCAGAAGCCTGAGCTGTGTCTAGGGTCTTTAAGCCATAGCTGGAGCTAGAGCAGCAAAGGATGTAGGGAGCAGCCTCTTAAGGTGGTACAGGACAGTGGCATCCCAGGCCTGGCACCTGAAACTATTCTTTCCTCCTAGGCCTCTGGGTCTGTATGGGGAAAAAACTGTCCAAAAGACTTCTGAAACGCCTTCCAGACCTTTTTTCCATTGTCTTGACTATTAGTGCTTGGCTCCCATTCAGTCATGCCAATCTCTTTAGCAAATAGTTGCTCTGCAGTCTGCTTGTGTTCCTCTCCTGAAAATTCTCTTTCCTTCTTTACCATGTGATCGGGCTGCAAATTTTTAAAGCTTTTATGTTCTGCATCCCTTTTAACTAGAAGTTCCAACTTTAAGTCATGTCTTTGCTCCCATGTCTGATCATGGGCTATTAAAAGCAGCTGTGCCACATATTGAATACTTCGCTTTAGAAATTTCTTCCACCAGACACCCTAGGTCATAATTCTTAAGCTTGACCTTCCACAAATCCCTAGAGCATAGATACAATGCAGTCAAGGTCTTTGCTATGCCTTAAGAAGAATGACCTTTATTCCCAGTCCCAATAAATTCCTCATTTCCATCTGAGACCTCCTCAGCCTGGCCTCCGCTGTTCATATTTCTGCCACCATTTTGGTCACAATCACTTAAAAATCTCTAAGAATTTCCAAACTTTCTCTCATCTCCCTGTCTCTGCTTCCACACTTTCAGGTATCTTATAGCAATGCCTCACTCCTCAGTATGAATTTTCTGTTTACTGTTTTGTGTTGCTATAAAGGATATAACTGATACTGGATAATGTATAAAGAAAGGAGGTTTATTTGGCTTGTGGTTCTGCAGGCCATACAAGCACAGAAACTTTATCTGCTCAGCTTCTAGTGAAACCTCAGTAAGCTTTTACTTATGGTGGAAGGCAAAGTGGGGAGCAGGCATCTCACATGATGAGAGAGGGAGCAAGAGATAGGAGAGCTCCTAGACTATTTTTAACAACCAGATCTCATGTGAACTCATTACCATGGGGAAGGCACCGAGCCATTCATGAGGGATCTGGCCCCATAATTCAAAGACATCCCACCAGGGCCCACATCCAACATTAGAGATCACATTTCAACATGAGATTTGGAGGGGACACACATCCAAACCACATCACCAAAATAAACTATATACTGGATCACATGAACCAAACACCATATGCAGGATAATAAAACAAGTCTTAATAACTTTCAAAGGTTTGAAATCATACATTGCATGTTTTTTATCTTTTCTTTTCTTTTCTTTTTTTCTGTTGACAGGCTGGAGTACAGTGGCACGATCTCTGCTTACTGCAACCTCCACCTCCCAAGTTCAAGTGATTCTCCTGCCTCAGCCTCCTGAGTAGCTGGGATTATAGGTGCCTGCCACCATGCCCAGCTAATTTTTTGTATTTTTTAGCAGAGACAGGGTTGGTCTCGAACTCCTGACCTCAAGTGATCTGCCTGCCTCGGCCTCCCAAAGTGCTTTGTATTGCAGGTGTGAGCCACCGTGCCCTACCAATACATTGCATACTCTGTGACAACAATGAAATTAAATTGAAAAGCAATAGTCATAATAACAAAATATCTAGGTATCTAGAAAAATTAAAATATTTGATAATTAATTAATACCCTTCTAAATAACCCATGGATCAAATAAAAAATAGCAAAATTAATTAGAAAATATCTTGAAATAAAAGTAAAGAAGACATATCAAAAATTGAGAGACACAGATAAAGCAGAGTTTAGAGGAAAATGCATGTCCTTAAATAATACCACCTTTTAAGCATTTAATACTTAAAATCAATGCCTAAGAATTTAAAATGATTAAAATCAATAATCTAACTTCCAGCTTACGAAGCTAGAAAAGCAAGAGCCAATACAAGGTAAATAGAAAAAAGAAAATGATAAACATAAGAATGGAATTCAATGAAATAGAAAACAAAAAGGGGAAAAAATAGACAAAGCCAGAAGTTGGCTCTTTGAAAACTGTAATAAAATTAATAAACCTCTAGCTAACCATTTATCTATTTAAACAAAATGAATTTCTAACTAAACATATTCCCATAAAGAAATTTCCTGGCTCAGGTGGCTTTACTTAGCAATTCTGAATAAAGATTTTTTTATGTTCATTCTATGAGAAGTTTCAATATTAAAACAGAAATGTTCTACCCAATTACCCAATTGATTCATAGATTTCAATGCTAGCCCAGCCTACATCCCAACAAATTTTTCTGAGAAGTTGATACACTGATTCTAAAATTTATATGGCCTTCAGAAGAACCTGGAGGAGCAAATATATATATATATATATATATATATATATGTTTAAAAAGTCCAAAGACTTAAATCACCAGATTTTAACTTGTAATATAAAGCTATAATAACTCAGATAACATACTATTAGTATAAAGATACAGATATCAACAAAACAGAACAGAAAGTACAAAAAAATAGATTCATATATGTAGTCAATTGATTTTCTACGAAGGTGTCAAGGTATTTCATCAGAGGATAAGATGATTTTTGTTACAAATTGTGCTGAAACAACTATTTAAAAATTTAAAAAGAAACTCAAGTCTTATCACACATCATATACAAAAACAACTCAAAATAGATAATAGGCCAAAATGTTCAGAACCAAAACTGTAAAATTTCTAGAACAGTTGTTAAACCTCAGTGGTAAGTGCAGAGGTGTCTAATACAAATTTCTATACTATTCTGTAATATTCTGAATATTGAAGCATTCCATTGCATAATTTAACTTCAAAACATTTCTTGTTATCTTCCTTAATTTCTGAGCCAATTTTGGGTATGCCTAGCTTCTTTCTTTCTTAAATAATGTATTCCTCAGGATTCAGCTTTTCTGTCTTACTCTAAAAGTGCTTTTCTTGGAAGATCACAGTCCTTCTCTGGTCTCTCTCTCTCCCCATTTGGTCAAAGACCCTCATACAACTCAGAAATTATTAGCCCTGAACTTCAGATTCATTTTACCTACTTTCAATTGAATATCTTCACCTCAATGACATATGGACAAATAGAATTCATTATAACCTAGTTAATCTAAAAAACATCTTCCTTCATGTCTCCATCTTTTCTATTTTGCTTAATGGCTTTACATGGCTTGGCTTGTCTAGTAACCCAAGAGGTCTCTAGACTTACTTTTCCCTTTTACCACAACATTCAAAGAGTCATCAAATAATGCTGATTTCATCTCCAAGGTTTTCTTGAATATTTTCACCTTTCCCATTTCTGCTGAAATATTAGTTTTCTACCATGCCCTGAATATATACCCTATATGGTCTATTGGGGTCATGTTGCCCCATATATATGAACTGATAATGTATTCTCTGTGCTGCCACTAGATCTATCTTCTGTCACAATCTGATGGTAACCTACTGGTTAGCCATATCTCAGAATACTTCCACACCTAATACACCAGCCTTGCAAAACTACACCCTTATCCACTAAATATGCATTTCATGCTCCAACATGGTGTTCTCTTTATTTTTAAAAAAAGTTTTCTTCCCTTCACTACCTACCAAATATCAATTCACTCTTTTAGCTCTCTGTTCAATTTCTCCTTCATAAAATCTTCCTTGCTTCCTCAGACAGACTGAGCTACTTTCTTTTCTATTCCCATAGTATGTTTTTGTGAATATTTCTAACAATAGTATTTGTCATACTATATCTTCATTACTGCTTGTCTGCCTTTTTGATGGAATTTGAGCTTACCACAGGCAAAACGTAAGTTTTACTTTAAATGATAATTCCTAGCACAGTGCTTGCAGTATAATCAGTACTTAAAATATGTTGAATAAATTTATGTAAATGGATGAATTAAGAAACAGAATAAGTTTTTTTATTGTCCTTCTAAAGTCATCTCTACCTCCAAGTCAAAAATATTGCTTTCCATTAACTTTGAAGATCATTCTCATTGAGATATTTTCACGGATGAAGGTCTTTAAAACTTCAGTTATCATGGAAAAGAGAAGATAATTAACATTTATTTTACCTTCTGTAGACATTCCAGTAAGATAGATGGTTTACCTACATGATCTCATTTCGTCCTCACAGCGGACTTTTAAGATATTGTTAGTTTTCAGAGTAGCTAACTGAATTAGTTAAATCCGGTTTGGTTATGAGTAATAGAAAATATAACAGTGACTTAATCCTCATGCACTTAAGTTCCTTCAATCTTGCAACACTACCATTCTCTACACCTTGGTCCAAACTGATTGTTGCAGCTCCTGAGGGAGGAGAAAAGAAAGGGAAAAGAACATGTCTCTTCCTTCCAGGAAGTTACACCATTGCTTTCATTTATATATCACTGGCCGAACTTTGTTACTGGTGCACACTAACTGCAAAGGAATCTTGGAAGAATTGTCTTATTTAAGATATTTATAATCCTAGCTAAAACTCTGGGGACTTATTTCTAAAGAATAAGGGCAAAAGCTCAGATTTTTCATGGTTAAATTGTAATATCTACCTTGATAATCTGAATCATCTGACTGACTTCAGAACAAATTCCTGAAAGCTGGTGGCCCTTGGTCCTGACCAGTCTTGTCTATTCAGAGGCATCACGTTTTGCTAAGCCCTTTCCTTTTTTGTTCAATAGTGAACATTTATTTTAATTTATATGTTTTTGATGCTTGCGCACTTAGCACATGAAAATATTTATGGGGTCAGAAATAAAGAAAATCAAAACTGTTTGATGTCTGAAAAACCTTGAGTTAATTTCACAACCATTTTTCATCGTCTTTTAAAGCATGAAATCACTCTTTGCTAAGTTTTTTTTTTTTTTCGTTTTTTTAAGTCACAAAATCGAAAAACTCCAATACAGTTTGAGGGCTCCCAAGTGAACTCCCTTAGGATGAGAAAAATTGGTAATTGGCTAAGAAATCCAAATTAAACTTAAATAATTTGCGTTTTATTAAGAAACATTCATTCTTTTTGAATTCCTCACAACAAAGTAAAATAGTGAAATACTCATGGTTCTCATTTGTGTTGTTTTAAATTGCTGTTTTGAAAAATGAAAATCAAAAAGCTAAATCTGGTTAAAATTTCCTCAAACCAGGAAATCCCATCAGGTATCAAATGCAGAAGCCTTACAAAAACCAAGTTTCCTCTCAAGCAAGAGCTTTATGCAATTCTTGCAAGAAAGATGTAAGAAAGACCACTTTATTAGTGTTGAAACAAAGAAATTGGAACGTTGTCCTAATTGCGAACAGACTCCTTAACGTGCCATCAGTTAAGGACAAAATGGAACTGGAGGTCAATGATCTTGTTTTGGTGGTGAATGAGCTGCCTGGGAAGGGTGAGAGAATAGATAACTAACTTTAGGTTGTTTGTATTCTGTCGTCCATTGACTTGCTTACTTTTTTAAAGGGTGACCTACATGGGAAGTGTCTTAACATATTTCATGCAGCATAAAATAAAAGACCTTAATGAAGCCAGTCAACATCCTGGCATTATTTTCAACTTTTTCTTGGCTTAGGATTAACACATCAACCAATGTTACATGTTATCACAGAGAGTGACAATTCTTAATGAATTGGAGGCAGAATAACATATTCGCAATTGGCCAGGTTCAGTGGCTCACGCCTGTAATCCTAGCACTTTGGGAGGCCGAGGCGGGTGGATCACCTGAGGTCAGGAGTTCAAGACCACCCTGATCAATATGGTGAAACCCCATCTCTATTAAAAGTATGAAAAATTAGCCAGGCATGGTGGCGGGCTCCTGTAATCCCAGCTAGTCAGGAGGCTGAGTCAGGAGAATCCCTTGAACCTGGAAGGTGGAGGTTGCAGTGAGCCAAGATCACGCCATTGCACTCCAGCCTGGGCAACAAAAGCTAAACTCTGTCTCAAATACATACACAAACACACACACACACACACGCGCACACACACACACGTATGTATATGTATATATATGTATGTATATATGTACATATATGTATATGTGTGTGTATATATATATTCCCAATAATGCCCATGTCCTAATCTCCAGAATTGGGGAATATGTTACATTACATGACAAAGGGAAATTAAGATAGCAGATGGAATCAAACTGGTTGATCAGCTGATTATCCTGGACTATCCAGGTGTGTTCACCATAATCACAGTGTTCTTAAATATGGACAAGAAAGGCAGAGGAGTCAACATCAGAATGCTGTAATGTGAGAAAGACGACTGGCTGGCCATTGCTGACTTTGAATATGGAAGAGGGTCATAAGCCAAGGAATGCAAAAGGTTGCTAGCAACTGAAAGGCAAGAAGACAGATTAACTCCCATAGCCTCCAGAAAAGAATGCAGCACTGCCAACACCTTGGTTTTAGCTCAGTGAAGCCCACTTCAGACTTCTGACCTACAAAAATATAAGTTAATAGGTTTAGGTTTTTCTAATCCATTAAGTTTGTAGTAATTTGTTACCGCAGCAATAGGAACTTAATGTGTCCTTAATATACCCCCTTAGTGTGTTTTTTTTTTTAAATCAATTCCTGCACAGACTCTCATCTAGGATGGAAAAATGGATTCTTGTCATTCTAAGTCCTTTCTCAAAGGTGTAGAGAACTGCTAACTCCCGTGCACTCAGAATAGTTTTGCCTGGCTAAATAATTGTTAACATATCTGTTACATATTAATAGTTTGTTCCTAAAAGATGGAATGTTCTTACCTAGTGTCCCCCCAGGATCTCACAAGCAGCACTTCTCATTTCTATATATTATCTTCAAATAAACAAATTAATGCTTGTTACCCAAAATTTTATAGCTAACTGAAATTGTCAAGCAGTTCCCAGAATTTCAACTTGTGGAGTACCAAGTGCTTTTGAGTCACAAACTTGAGCAACAACACTGAAAATGACTGAGGCCACCCAGTTGATACTGGGATTTTTTAACACTGCCTTTTTATGCTTTCAAAATCAACTTTAATTACCAGTTGAAATTCAGCCCAATTTGAAAGTGTGCAGTAATTGGTAGGTAAACAAGTCCAAGGTGAAGATTTTTAACTACTGAATGCTATAAATACCAAATTAAAGCTGCTGGGGAGAGGGTGAATTCTATGCATTTAAGCTGATGAATCTCCACCGCCTAGAAAAGTGTTTAGGAATCTGATAAACACTAAATATGTGTTTGTTGACTTAACAAGTGGTCTAACCCTTTTCTCCGGAGACTTGGTGATCTGCTGATCATTATTAAGTTGAAGTGTGAAGCAACTAGAGCTTCTTAGTGGATGTGCAGCAGAAAGTAGGTACATGGCCCAGAGACCAGTGGAAGTACACAAAAAAATACCCACCAAAAGCACTCTATGTGAGGCGGCTATATTTAATGAAGAATCAAGGCCAGAAGAGGTGGCTCATGCCTGTAATCCCAGCACTTTGGGAGGCCGAGAGGCAGGAGGACCACCTAAGCCCGGGAGTTTGAGGCTGCAGTGAGTTGTGATTGTGCTACTGCACTCAGCCTGGGTAACAGAGTGAGACATTATCTCAAAAAAGGAAAAGAGAGAAAGAAAGGAAGGAAGGAAGGAAGGAAGGAAGGAAGGAAGGAAGGAAGGAAGGAAGGAAGGGAAGGAAGGAAGGAAGGGAAGGAAGGAAAATAAATGAAGCCTAGCATTCTGCTGCTCTTCCTAGCATCAACTTCTCCTCAGTTTTCTTAGAAATGATTGTATACATTAGTTGTAGCTATTTTACTGGATTACAATTCCAGTTACATAGTGAAATATTATGGATGAAATCTTTGGTGTTTCTATTTATATATCTTTCTTTATTTTAAAATTTACATATAGTAAAATTCACTCTTTGTGGTGTACAGATCCACGGGATTTGATTCACAATGGTTTCAGCACTCCCCAAAATCCCACACATTCTCCTTTTTCAGTCAACTCGTCCTCCATTCCCAACCCCAGGCAACCATTGATCTGTTCTCCTTCCTCATCATTTTTTTGACATTTCCAGAATGTCATATAAATTGAATTATTCAGTATATGTGTAGCCTCTTGGGTCTATTTTGTTTCACTTAGAAGAAAGCATTTGGGATTCACCCTTGTTGCTTAGTCAATTAATTTAATTGCATGGATATCTCATGGTTTGTTTATCCATTCAACAATTGAAAAACATTTGGATTGTTTCCAGATTTTAGCAGTAATGAATATAGTTGCTGCAACCATTCATGTACAAGTTTTTACTAAATTTTCTTTTTTCTTGGGTAAATACCAAAGAGTAAAATTGCTGGGTCATAGGTAAATGTATGTATGACTCTATAAGAAACTGCCAACCCATTTTCCAAAGTGACTGTACCATTTTGCATTCCCATGAACAACATACAAGAGTTCCTGTTGCTTCACATCCTCACTATTCATTCGTACTATCTTTGTTTTAAGCATTATAATAGATGGATAGTGGTTAGGGCATTTATTTAGAATGTTCCAAGGAAAAATTATTAAGCTGATTCTCAGATGCCTTGCAAGATCACCCAGGCTTGGATTCTGAGAGAAACCACATCTTGAAGGCATATCACAAGTGACTACTTATTGCTCCATACTAATGGTTGTAGCTTTACCATAAACTCTTTTCCAGTCAGTATACAGGCCTTTAGAAGTACTTCCTTATTTTAGTAACAAGTTCAATAAGCACTTAAATGATGATTAAAGTCAAAGATTTGATTCTTTAATAGACAAATAACAATCTCTTTACCCTTTGTCATAGACTTGAAGTCAATTCACTGTTTGCAAATGCATCCTTTTTGGTATCAAGTCCGCAAATAGTTCGTTTAAAAGTCAGGCCATCATTTGGAAAAATGAACTCAAACTTACCATTCTGTTCATAGCAGCATTTTCCTAATACATGAAGCGCAGCAACAATCAAAATGAGAATGATGAAGACTTTAAGAAAATGGAATACTTTTAAAGTGCCACACACTATCACAGGACGTTTAGGATATTTAAATTTCCATCCAACACAGTTCATTTACTACTACCCAGTCAGTGCCACACGAATTACCCTTCTGTTCTTTTTCTTATTAAAGTTATCTCAATTAAGTCGTTTTCTCCAAACTTTGAACTTTTAAGGCAAAAGAGAAAGATAAAATCTGTGGGTTACTTTTGTAACAAGTTATGTTCTTTCCCAGTGAATTTTCCATGACATCTGTTTAGGAAAATCTCAGAAGATACCAAAATGAGATAATGATGGGGTTTTATATTTATCAAAGGCAGCCTTACCCCCATGCACAAATACACTAACTCCCCATTGCATGGCAGCACGCTTTTGTGTGCCCAGAGGCAGAGTCAGTGAAAGGAAACTGGTTCTAAGGAAAAAGATCTTGCTAAATCCTCCTTGTTAAAAGCTGGAGCCATCTGAGCTTGACCTTTCTGATATTTCTATCAAATTGGCCTCCCTTTTGTTTTCAATATACATATATATCAACACATATATATATATACACACGCACATATATACATACATGTATATGTATGTATGCATATATAAATACATATTTTATACACACACACACACATACATACACACACACACACAAACACTTTTACCTTGTTCCGCTTTCAGGTTGAACTTGAGAACACATTTAAGGAAGTTCTCAGCAATAAGATATTTTCAGAGAAGGACTCTTCATGATGCAGGAAAATGAGACTTTATTTTTTATTTATTTATTTATTTATTTATTTAGATGGAGTCTTGCTTTTGTTGCTCAGGCTGGAGTGCAATGGCATGATATTGGCTCACTGCAACCCCCGCCTCCTGTGTTCAAGCAATTCTTCTGCCTCAGCCTCCTGAGTAGCTGGGATTACAGGCACGTGCCACCACGCCAGGCTAATTTTTGTACTTTTAGTAAAGATGGGGTTTTTCATGTTGCCCAGGCTGGTCTTGAACTCCTGACCTCAGGTGATCCACCCGCCTCAGCCTCCCAAAGTGCTGGGATTGCAGGCCACTGCGCCCAGCCGAGACTTTATTTTTGAATGTTTTATAGTTGTTCTCAAGTAGTGCCTGACTCAGGCAGAGGCTTTTGTCACCAGTTACAAACTGCTGAGAACCCTTTAGGTTGAGAGTAGTATAACTGGTACTCTGGGAATCGAATAATTTTAATGATATATGTGCTTTGCTTGCTAGGTTTGTTCAAACGCTACTTAATTTATTATTCAATAGAGAATCTAAAGATCTATAGATCTGTAATCTAAAGAGGGATTATGAAGACACGTAACGTCCATTTCTTTCTTTATAACCACCATAGTAGGAAATTCTTTGATCCTAATTTTAACCATAAATTCTCTGGAAATACAAATAATGCTGGTCACTGGTAATATTTTAAGATGTTTATGTATATATTTCCCTATTTAAGATGAGACTATACCAGAGTCACTTCAGGCTATAAGTTCATCCAGCTCTTACTGAGAATAATGTTCATTTTTTTCCTCAGTCTCTTCTCCACAATATCTGTTCCCCAGGCGCTGCTCTTTTATTTGTTTCTCTCATCTTCTAAGTGTTTTATTTGCTCCTTGACCTTCAGTGTTCTCCTTCCATCAGTAACACCAGCACATCCAAATCTATGCCTCAGGCTGTGACATTTTACCTTCAATTCAGTCTTGAATTCCCAATTGCCTAAAGACCTGAAGATCCGAGTGTTTTGCTGGTACCACAACACTTGTAAAAATGAATTCTCCACCACCTGGCATTAAACCAGCGTCTCCTTCAGATTCATCTCTTCCTACTAAATGATGCTGCATTGGTCCAGACACTCAGATACCCAAGCTCTTGTCTTTTGGACTCCTCTCTCAACATCTATACTCAGGAAATGTCTACACAGAATTTTGTTGTATTTTGTTTTCCCACAATGTATTTTACTTTAATCTTTTCATAGCTGGGTACTCAGTATCATCAGGTGATGTATATTAATTAATCCAGGCATTAAATAAGAGGCTTAATTATGTCAGCACTTGGCAATCCATCCACATTCCAACCAACTTAATGGCTACAAGACAAGTTTGCCAAAATTCTGCTTTAATAGGCTATTTTCCTACCCCCAAACACCAAATAGTTCAATTCAAATAAAGCCTAGAAAGTTCAAAGTCCTAACAACTTTACTCAAGGCTCAATGAAGTTTGACCTGTACTTTTTCAAGGCTTATATCTTGCTACTTCCTTATATGCACCCCACACCCCAGGAAACTTTTGCTTTCAAATCCCCAGCATGCCATATTTTCAGCTGCCATACCTTTGTCTATATTCTGTCCATCTACAATTGTTGTCCAACTTAGTCATCTAATGAAATCTAATCTTTCCCTTTAGAATTTATGCTCCACTTTGATGTACATCGGAATAAACCAAAATGATTGTTAAAAATTCAGATTTTCTTACCCAATCTCAGAATTTTGATTTAATAAGTTAGGGGAAGGACCCAATAATCTATATTTTTAACAAATCCACTTGAGTGATTCTCATACAGATGGTCATGGGACAAAAACATTTGAAAAACATTGTAAGGACCAAAAATATAGACTGTTTAAAGTTTTCTTAGATGTCACTTGTTAAAAACTATTTCATTTTTTTTTTGGAATACATCAAGCATCTTTATTAAATCTAAAAAGAAGTGAATTCACTATCAGACAGTAGCCTGAATTAGCATCTTGATTCCATCCCGAATGAATTAACTAATGTCTGTGATACTCTTTGGTAGTCTGTAGAATGAAGTAAATAATAGTACTCACTTAATAACATTGTTTTAAGTTATGAGAAGCACTTGGCCTGGGTCTGGCACAGAGAAAAAGTTACATATTAGCTATTATTGCATTTCTTACGATAGGTTCCTAGACACAAAAATATTTTTATGGCTTTGGATTATAATCCTGGTCTCCCTTTTCAGTCCCTGTCAAGCATCAGGTTTATTTTTGAACATGCCCTTTCTCCTTAACCAATCATAGAAGTTCCTAAAATGTGGTCATTATGTTTATAGAGTGTGCATTAAAAAAACAAAACTCAGGCCAGGTGCGGTGGCTCATGCCTGTAATCCCAGCATTTTGGGAGGTCGAGGTGGGCAGATGACGAGGTCAGGAGTTCAAGACCAGCCTGGCCAACATAGTGAAACCCCATCTCTACTAAAAATACAAAAATTAGCCGGGTGTGGTGGTGGGCGCCTGTAGCCCCAGCTACTGGGGAGGTTGAGGCAGGAGAATCACTTGAACCCAGGAGGCACAGGTTGCAATGAGCCACGACCACGCCATTGCATGCCAGCCTGGGTGACAGAGTGAGACTCTGCCTCAAAAACAAAGCAAAACAAAACAACACAACACAAAACAAAACAAAAAAAGCTTAATAACTACGTTATTTTATTCTATGTGTATTACCCACACCTATCTCTGAATAAAGTAAATGTTCAATAAATATTTCAAATTAGGTTAATTCAGAAGTTTTATATGTATTTTGAGCAAGTGAAAATTAGGGTATGCATTAGAGAATCTTAAAACTATATGGATCACAGTGATTATGCATGCAAACTTTTTATTTTTGTATGTTACCTTTTCAGAAGAAGAGAATGGAACCCACAGATGTAATGTGATCAATGGTCTGCAGTCAGTTGGTGGCAGATCTAGGTCTGGAACACAAGTCTCTAGCCCATGGGTTCAACCCTGTATTTCTTGTATCTCTGCCACAACTGCTACTAGAACTTGTGATTTCCACCAAGATTTCAAAAATAGGAATTAAAAATTAGTAAAGTTCTCTGAAGATGTTCATAAACAGAACATTCTGTGCACGTGTAATGTCATAAGTAACTAATTGAGTCCTGGTAGAGGTAAGTAGGCAAATGCATTTTCTTCTTTAAAAATTACATAAAACCAAGTGTACAAAGTACAGCTTAAAACCAAGGATCCCTATGAATAGTATCTGAGTTGGGTTCTTACCCTTTTAAAACTCAGAGGAGTAGATTTTCAGGCATGTCATCCTGTGTCCTACTTTTACAGTAGAACAGGAAGTAGACTAACAGAGAGGAACTCTATGGGGCCCATGAGCTGGCAAATAAACAAACAAAATGATTCTATGTCTAGGAATGGTATTCATACTCCAAAGTCCTTGGTCCATCCAGGATATCTTGTGTCTGTAATGTCAAAACTAATAAGAGAAAGGAATGAAGACAAAGTCCAGAAGTCTGACAGCTGCTTATTTCCTATTGGAAGCCATGATAACTCATGCCTGTGTGATTAAAACAAATGGTTGAGACATCTCAATGATATCTTATTGATAAGACAGCAGTGGCCAAATATTGATACCAGAACACAATGAAATAGTCCTATAAACCAGCCATACCAAGATGTCAAAATTATTGATTTAATCCCTTATATTTTCCCATTTGTCAACACTCAATATTGGATACCCAGCCAAATGTCTTTTTGGTTATCTTTAAAAATCAAACGCTTTATACTTCCTTGAGCGTTTGTTCCATAATCTCACATGTTTTTACTTAGATTTTCCTGATAGAGTGCCTATTTTTTAAAATCTTAGCTTTATCCAATATTCATACTTATTTTATCTTTTTCCATCACATTGCAGTAACTCTCCATTAGTGTTGTAATCTTTGCTTCTGCATTGTTGCTTTTCCTACCACAGATGTATATTAAGACATTACTAAATTCAGAAATTAACTCTGAGATCCTGTTGTAAATGTACCCATCTTGCTGCTTTTGACCCCATGCATATCTTTTGGCTAAGAGTAAGAGAGAAAGAAGAAAACCAATGCTCTTCTTCATTCCAGAATAAACAACATTTATAATCCCAGACCTGTGGGAAGCATTTCCAGGAAATATGGATCATCACATTGGCTCTTGTTACCAGAACTGTGCAAGGTAAAGGAAGCCCCTCAAAACACATTGAATTATCAAATGGGAAAAAGGTCACATTTACTGGCGAAGAGTCATTCTTTTCCTCATTCATTCAACAACCATGTTTTGATTATTCCTTATGAACTAACTGCTGTGCTCATAGGACATTAACTCTTTGGGTGGCATATCTGTTAGTGTCCCAGCAAGAAAAAAACAAGACCATATTCAATGGACTTGAGGAAGATTTAATAAAGAAACTATTAGCAAAATTATGGGAAGAGTTCAGAGAAATAAAAAAACAGAGGTAAAAACTAAAACACAGTGGTAGCCTAGGGCTAGTAATGCCCACATTGTTGTTATCCCTAGGCCTAAATAACAAAGGAAGAGAGGTGTTACTGGATCCTGGCAGGAGAGACTCCTGTAGAGGAACTGCCATAAAAAGAAGATAATGCTCAGGAGAGGGACACAGGCAGCCTCAGTTGACCCCGCAGAGAGGGGCTTAGGGGTTAGATAAAGTGACCTTACTCTTTTCTCTTCAATTGTAGGCTCCCATTGGCCGAACACAACTGGATTTCAGAAGACTTAATGGAGACTATACAGGTCAGCCTTCCAGGGTACAGAGCAAGATGGAGAGTGATAGACTAGATACAGAAGAGCAATCCCAAGATAGCTCACTCAGAAGACAACACTCACTCTGACTACCCAACTTCATTGAAACTAAAAGAAACTTCATCTTGCTTTAGAGGAAAATAATCTGGGCCAGATACCCAGTTTGGGCTGATAAATATACTGCTGTGTATATTTTACACTTTGCAGAGATGTGGCAGATACCTAAAATCTGTGTTTAATGAACTGAATAAAAAAATACTCTGATGTAAATATTTAAATTTCAGAGACCTAATAATGAATAGTGTGGTGCACAGACTCTAAGGAAGCCCCCATGATCCCTGCCTCCAGGTATCCATGCCTTTGTGAAATCTGCCCCCATCGAGTGTAGGCAGGATCTGAGACTAGCCTCTAACGAATAAAATTGCAAAGGTAATAGGCTGTCACTACTGTGATTATGTCATTCATATGATAAAGGTGCTGATGTCACTCCTGTGATTATCTTGCATTACATAAAGCTGCCCTGCTAGCAGGCTCATGCTGGAGACTTTCTCTCTTGCTTGCTTTGAAGGAATGACCTGCCTTGTTGTAAGAGGTTTGGGGAGAGAGCCATGTGGCAAGCAACTGCCAGCAGCCTCTTGGAACTCCTGGCTAACAGTCAGCAAAAAGCCAGAAACCTCAGTTTACAACCACAAAATGATGAATCCTGCCAACAACCTGAGTCGGTTTTGCAGTGGATCCATCCCCAGTCAAGCTTTCTGATGAGAATCCAGCTCCAGCCAAGAGCTTTTGCTGTTGTTCTTGTAATTAATTGTGAGTTTTTTTCAGTTTTATGGAGACATAGTTGACAAATTAAATCATAAAAATTTAAAATATATAATGTGATGATCGGATATATAGAGATACTGTGACATGATTACTACAATTAAGTTAATTAACTGTGTTAGGCTATTCTTGCATTTCTGTAAAGAAACAGCTAAAGGCTGGGCATAGTGGCACATGCCTGTAACCCCAACACTTTTGGGAGGCCAAGGTGAGCACATCACTTGAGGTCAGGAGTTCGAGACTAGCCTGGCCAACGTGGTGAAACCCCATCTCTACTAAAAATACAAAAAAAAAATAGCCAGGCATGGTGGTGGGCACATGTAATCCCAGCTACTCGGGAGGGTGAGGCAGCTTTCACTTGAACCTGGGAGGTGGAGGTTGCAGTGAGCTGAGATCGTGTCACACACTCCAGATCAGAGACAGAGTGAGACTCCATCTCAAAAAGAAAAAGAAAAAGAAAAAGAAAAAGAAAATAAATAGCTGAGACTTGGTAATTTACAAAGAAAAGAGTTTTAATTTGCTCACAGTTCTGCAGGCTGTACAAGCATGGCATTGGCATCTGCTCAGCTTCTGGTGAGGCCTCTGGGAGCTTTTACTCAAGGCTGAAGGTAAAGTTGAAACAGGCACATCTCATGGCCAGAGCAGGAGCAAGAGAGACAGTCTGTGTGGGAAGATGCCACACACTTTCAAACAGCCAGATCTTACGAGAAATGAGAACTCATTCACTATCATAAGGACAGTACCAAACACCTCTAGCACTGAGGATCACAATTCAACATGAGATTTGGTGGGAACATATATTCAAAATAACACATCCATCACCTCACATAGTTACTGTGAGTTACCGTGTGTGTGTGTGTGTGTGTGTGTGTGTGGTGAGAACATTTAAGATCTACACTTTTAGCAAATTTCAAGTATAGGATACAGTATTAACTATAATTACCATGCTATACATTAGGCCTGTAGAACTTAGTTATCTCATATCTGACAGTTTGTACCCTGTGACCAACATCTCCTCGTTTCCCCACCCCCCACCCCCTGGCAACCACCATTCTACTTTTTGTTTCTTTGAGTTTGATTTTTTTTAGATTTCACATATAAATGAGATCATACAGTGTTTTTCTTTATCTGCTTGACTTATTTCACTAAGCATAATGCCCTCAAGTTTCATGCATGTTGTTGCAAATGGCAGAATTTCCTTTTTTTTTCAGTCTGGCAGACACCTTGATTCTAGACGGATCCTTTCCAAAAGACCCAGCTAAGCCACACCTAGATCCCCTACCTACTGAACCTGTGAGATAATAAACGTGTCTTAAGTCATAAAGTTTGGTAATTTGTTATGTAACAATAGAAAACTAATATAAATGAGTATTTCATTTTTCCATATTGCATTATTTATTAACCTTTTATAATTAATATTCTCTCACATTCCTAGAACTGGGCCTTGTGGCCCAGGTATTATTTATTCAATATCCATGCAGAACTTTACCACTTACAAACTATTTTCATAAGTATTACATCAACTGTTCATCGAGATAAGCCCATGTTATTAGTCTCAGATAAAGGATAAAGAAACAGAGGCTGTGAAGTTTGAATTGACGTACCCAAGGTTAGCTACTAAATGGCAAATTCTGGCTTTTGTCCCTTGACCTCTGACTACAATTCCCAGTTTATTCCACTCTGCTGCACTGCCTTTTTAAATTTAGTTCCAGATGATTAAAACAGTGCTAACAAGCCACACTTTCAGTCCTTAGAAGGACCAGCTACATTCATTCTGCTCCTCATAATGGCAAAATGCCTTCTCTTTCTCTCAAAAATAGGTATGTTACTGGCTACAAGATGAAAATTATCTGCCAGTAGGAAAATTCCCATGGAAAATTCAAAGTCTCCTTTGGTTAATCATGGCTCAGCAGCGCATCCTTATCTAAAAATCAAGGTTTGAATTGCAGTTAGGAGTGTTACTAGCAGCAGCAGCAAAGACATAAGCTGACATTCAGAAACATTTACTGCATAGTCTACCCAAGCTTAATTGTTCATTCCTTAAAATAGCCGAAAATAAAAGGACTTTGGCAAAATCCCTTATGATAAAAGCCCAGACTCAAAGCCTTGTTAGAGATCAGAACAGATGGCAATATTAGTTAACAGATTTGTTTTTTGTAAACTGCTCTCTGCTTAAAAAAATATTTAAAAGTGATGCAAAAGACCTACAATTTACCTCTTTGTGAATGGTCATTGGTGGAATTCTATCTGTGAGGTCTGTTGTTGGTTTGATCCAAAGGCCAGTGAATGGCAAATGGCATATATGACAATCTCTTTTGAAATGGAGCAGAGCATTTTCTATGATGGAGATCAAAGGCGCTAGTACAACAAGTCATCAAAGTGGGCACCTGTAATAATACAAAAAAGAGTGATTGAAGTTTTCCAGCCCTTTTGTTTCACATTAGTCCATTTGAATAGTCATCATTAACATTTCTCTCCATATTTGTCTCTTTACTTAGACCTATTAGTATCATTGAAGCTATGAGAGCTTAAGAATAATTTTATAACAAATAAGAGATTGTTTAATGTTGCCAAACATTTAATAAGCTTCTAGAAAATATTCTGTTTTAGTTTGGCTCAAAATTTCGCCCAAGATGAGAGAATTTGTGTGATTGTTCGTGGCTTGTTTTTCTGAACCTACATTTTAAAAGACAGCAGCTTTGGAAATGAAGTTTGATCCTATGATTCAACCTTGGAATGCTCTTGCTGTGTGTCTGTGTGTCTTTTATCAGGGCCCTTGATTAGAAAGAGAAGAGAATGGAGCCCTTTTTGTTCCATCTCTCCCTGTTATTATATTCATTATTAATCTTTCCCTTTCTTTCTGCCAATTAGGACCGGTCCCAATATGGCGGGACCTCCAGAGTACTACCGCTGTCTCTCATGCATGATTCTTTCCAGAAATCCCTTGGCTTGAAATTCAATCCTTTTTTTTAATGAGAAAACACAGTACCACTGAATCCCAAAGCATTCATATTTAAATCTTCCATGACCTAAAGACTTATCAAGAGAAAATGAGAATGATGCTATTTTTACCCTTACCTAAACACATGGGCTCACTGCATGCCAAAATATTTTAAATACTTAGCCCTTGTTTCTTGACCTTGTGCAGAGAAGCTTCTTATCATAGTGTCACTTCAGGAGAATCAGGCAGAGGGACTTGGGTTCTAGTGCTGACTTCACCATTTACAAACTCCGAAAAAATTCAATATATTATGTAACCTCTTTTAAGGCTGTTTTCTAATCTATAAAATAGCAATAATAATCATGGCTTCTTGAGGCTGCTGTAAGGGTTGAATGAATAGTATGCAAGGCCTCAACCCATCATCTGAGACATGGGGAGTCATTGAAAGTGTTATTATTTCATGACTGAAAATAGCATATTTTTCTCCAATTGTCTTTTTCAAGTATTCATCAGTTCCCTTTGGTTTTCCCTCATTCTTATTTGATCAACTTTGCCATAAACATCTGGATTCTCTATCTAAATTGTACAAAGGAAAAGTAAAGAACTGAAAAAGGACCAGTTTATTCTAGTCATAAATTTACTTTGTAAATTAGGTTTATCTTCATTGATTAATGATGGGGGTTCAGGACACACTACTCCAAAATACGTCCCCTTGACACTTGAGAAGACTGCAGAAGTAAGATCTCTCTGACCTTCTCCCAGACCTTCCCCTTTGCAGGAGGTCATAAAAATTAGGAAGAGTTTGTTAGAGTTCAGAAACCAATATCCCCAAAATATGCCATTTTTACATTTATAGAGTACCCTTGACATAACTAACTCCATTTTATATTTCATAGGACACTTTGCCCTCAAGGGTAAGATGTTTTGCTTAATAAACAAAAAAATAAAGAACTGCATCTAACCAGATAAGGACAAAAACAAGTACACTCTTCCATGATCATTTCTCACCGGAGGACTCTTTAACCATAAAGGAGCAGGCCTTCAGCAGCCCAGATCGGCCATCTTAACTGACACCACATTCCAGTCACCTGTGCTAAGAACTCAGCATCTGCCACCAAGGCTCTGCCATATCAAAGATTCTTCCTTGCAATATCCAGGGACTTCCAGGCCCAAACCAGGACTCCTTTTACTTCTTCACTCCCCCTGGATCAGTTCATTAATGCTTTCTCCTCTTTTTCCTTTTGATGCTAAATATTACTTTGTTGTGGAATGTTTAATCTATAACATTTACACATTGATTAAGTATACTATTATGTATGGTTTGCAATATTGACAGACTTGTGGAGTGGCCTGAGCCTGTGTGTCTGCAGCACTGACTACCAAGTGAACGGGAAGTACTAAGGAGGGTTACCTCCTTGGGAACTCATTGCAATGCATGACTTTTGTGATTGAAACAGTATTAATAAAAGCCTGACATTGTCAAAAGACATAAACATGTGTAGAACTAGTTATCTCTAACCTTTCACTGCTCATGACAGACATACTGAAATGAAGAAGCTTCAAGGTCTCTCTGACAACTTTCCCTCCATACCATCCCTCTCGTAGAAGATGAAAGTTCCTTTAGCTGCCTAAGATCCAGACCCACCAAGCAGAATAATTGTTTTTTCTTCCTCTCCTTGTTATCTCATTATCTATTGCAGAAAAGACCAAGAATGTAACTGCACCTGAGCCGATCCTTTTACAAGTATAATGATGGTCTCCAAGAATTATTAAAATTCCAAAGAGAACTACTGCTTATAAGTTAATATCTTTTCCTGGATCCATTCATTCTCCCTAGTAATTCTCTCAACAGAATTCTTCTTCTCTCCCCTCCCATAATCTGTTTTATTAGGTTCCAAGCATCCATTCTTTCTGTAGCCTCAAGATGGTATATACGATTTTGCACTTCGTTGGGAGGTAAGATCTTTATTCTTAAGGCTCTCATGTGCACACATTAAATAAATTTGTATGCATTTTCTCCTATTACTCAATCTACCTTATGTCAGTGATTTTTCAACAAACCTTTTGGGGACCAAGGACCTTGGCTTCCATAGTTATTGTGCCTTGGGCAAAATCACCAAAGCCTGTCTGTTCTTCTGGAAGCCTCAATAAAAAGACCCAGGAACTTAAGAAGCCAGCAAAAGGGGTAAGAATTTCTTACCAGCTATGGTCCTGCTCTCTCTTTTGGTCAGTCCAGTAGAGTAGATGGTAAAAATTACTGTTTCTCTCCTCTGCAAGGTTTTTATTAATGAGAAAAGGGGGCCTGTGTGACTAGTCTTGGGGTATAGCAACTCTAGTGTACTTTTTGGCATTTTGTGATATGAATATTTATATTGTTTGATCCCTTTCTTCCCAGAAATCTTTTTGTTTGTCTTTGTATTTATGTGTTCTGCCATAAAGAGGGGTACTGGTTGAGGTTCTGTCTCCTCTTGTTTATGTCCTTAAGAACTCGACCTGTGATCAAGTGAGCGCTTTCTCTGTTGGTTCCCACCATCCGTGGGGCATGATTTCTGGGTCAGGTCAGGTGGCCAGTCTGAAAATGGCTGGGAATCCGTGACTTTTTCTGTTTCAAGCGTGTCAAGCTCTTGGGAGTTTGTCATAAGAAGTGCCATTCATAAAGGGGCTTTTGTCATCTTGACCTGTGCTGCCTGGTTAGTGCTGAGCAAGTCTAATCACAGGAGGGCCTACCCAATGTGACAGATTAACTGGTCTGTGACTCACAGCCCCCAACAAATTTCGGGGTACAGGAGGAAAACACCATTTTTAACTGTCTATAGCAAAAAGAATGTTTCACTCTCTCAGCCTATTTCTGGGAAAATGGGGGAATCTTTGATCTTTGGAATCACTTCTTCTCTGAGAAAGGGTATTGGATTGAGTTGCTATTGGAGTTAAGTACACCATTCAAAATTCAATGGCTAAAAGATCCATTCCTTAAATTAGACTCCTAAAAATGAGAAATAAAATAAAATAAAATAAAATTTTAGAGATCCCTTATTCCAAACAATGGGAAGATAGTATTAAAAGAATCATATTAGTGTCATGGCAAACCTTAAAAATTCTTTCAACTAAATTAAATAGCAAAATCTGAGGTAAAACAAAGTTACACTCACACAGGCCACTTTGGATTCCATGCAACGTTCACAGTGGACACTGCTCCATTTTGTAGTCTGTTGGTTACAATTCCCATTGTGGCTTAGGTTAGCTTCCTGCTCAGGGAATTAGTCCCTCTTGATTTGATATTTGTGTGACTCTTGGGATACCAATTCATTATTAATCTTTTTTCCTTCCTTGGACAGTATTTGATTTCCCATCTTCTTCCATCTGTGGGAGGCACACGATGTTTTGGGGCCTTTGTGTGTAGATGAACAGCTGAGAAGCTGAGACCCCTAGAAAAGATGGCTGGAGAGACATATGAGTTGTACTCCATTTGTAGCTGGTGAAACTTTCCTTTCTTTAAACTGTCTTTAGAATGGTTCTGGATTTTGTGCAAAGGCCAGAAATATCAGCTGTTTATCTTGGCTAAAATCGGGTAATAAGATACTTGAAAAGATGTTTTAAAGAATTTTAGGGTTAAAACTCAACTTAATTAAAAGCTAATATCCACACTATATTATACACTATATATAGTGTATAGTGTATAATATGTACACTATATATATAATATATACACTATATATATACACTGCATATAATATATACACTATATATAATATATACACTGCATATAATATATACACTATATATAATATATACACTATATATGTATTATATATATTATACACTATATATATAAAATACACTATATATAGTGTATTACATAGCATGGATATTAGCATGGGTATATATACATATATATAATTAAAAGCTGATATCCAAGACAAGTCACATATGTGTGTGTATATGTATATTTTACACACACACATATACACACCCACACACACACATATATATAAATACACATATATTTTTAAGGTCATTCTGCTTTTCTCTTTAAATTCTGTTTCTGGGATTTTTTTTTTTTTTTTGTGAACTAAAACTTTCCCCCCACAAAAAAAAAAAACAAAAATAAAAATATGTGCTTGTATATTTGTCTGTTCAAACACTGCTAATAAAGACACACCCAAGACTGGGTAATTTATTAAGGAAAGAGGTTTAATGGACTCACAGGTCCACATAGCTAGGGAGCCCTCATAATCATAGCGGAAGGCAAATGAGGAGTAAAGTCACATCTTACATGGTGGCAGGCAAAAGAGAGCTTGTATGGGGAAGTCTTATTTATAAAACCATCAGACTCGTAAGACTTATTCACTACCATGAGAACAGTATGGGGAAAACCGCCCCCATGATCCAGTTATCTCCACCTGGCCCCACCCTTGACACATGGGGATTATTACAATTTAAGGTGAGATTTGGGTGGGGACACAACCAAACCATATCATTCAGCCCCTGGCCCCTCCCAAATCTCATGTTCTCACATTTCAAAAGCAATCATGCCTTCCCAACAGTCCCCCAAAGTCTTAACTCATTTCAGTATTAACTCAAAAGTTCACAGTCCAAAGTATCATCAGAGACAAAGCAAGTCCCTTCCACTTATGAGTCTGTAAAATCAAAAGCAAGTGAGTTACTTCCTAGATATAATGGGGGTACAGGCAGTGGGTAAATATACCTGTTCCAAATGGGAGGAATTGGCCAAAACAAAAGGGCTAAGACTCCATGCAAGTCTGTAATCCCAAGGGGCAATCATTAAATCTTAAAGCTCCAAAATGATCTCCTTTGACTTCATGTCTCATATCCAGGTCATGCTGATACAAGAGGTGAGCTCCCACAGCCTCGGGCAGCTCCTCCCCTGTGGCTTTGCAGGATACAGCCCCCATCCTGGCTGCTTTCAGGGGCTAGTGTTGAATGTCTGCAGCTTTTCCAGGCGCATAGTGCAAGCTGTTGGTGGATCTATCGTTCTGGAGTATGGAGGATGGTGGCTCTCTTCTCACAGCTCTACTAGGCAGTGCCCCAGTGGGGACTCTGGGGCATCCAACCCCACATTTCTCTTCCACACTGCCCTAGCAGAGGTTCTTCATGAGGCCCCACCTCTGCAGCAAACTTCTGCTTGGACATCCAGATGACAGGTATGCAATGCATATAATAATCACATCAGGGTAAATGGGGTATTCATCTCCTTAAGCATTTATCCTTTGTGTTACAAACAATCCAATTACATTCTTTTAGTTATTTGAAAATATACAATTAAATTATTTTGACTATAGTAACCCTGTTTTGCTATCAACTACCAGGTATTATTCATTCTTTCATTTTTTTTAACCCATTAGCTATTTTCATCTTCCCTATCAACCCCAACTACCCTTCCCAGCCTCTGGTAACCATCCTCTACACTCTATGTATACGAGTTCAATCGTTTTAAATTTTAGCTCCCACAAATAAGTGAGAACATGTGATCTTTGTCTTTCTGTGCCTGGCTTATTTCACTTAACATAATGATCTCCGGTTCCATCCATGTTGTTGCAAATGACAGGATCTCATGCTTTTCCGTGGCTAAATAATTCTCCATTGTGTATAAGTACCACACTTTCTTTATCCATTCATCTATTGATGGACACTTAGATTGCTTCCAAATCTTGGCTATTATGAACGGTGTTTCAGCTAACATGGGAGTGCAGGTATCTCTTCAATATATTGATTTCCCTTCTATTGGTCATATACCTAGGAATGGTATTGCTGGATCATATGGTAGCTCTATTTTTAATTTTTCGAGGAACCTCCAAACTATTCTTCAGAGTGGTTATACTAATTTATATTCCCACAAACAGTGTACAAGCATTCACTTTTCTCCACATCCTCACCAGCATTTGTTATTGCCTGTCTTTTGGATATGGACAAGTGGGGTCAAATCAAGTTTAAAAGCTTCTGCAGAATGAAGGGAACAATAAACAAAGTGAAGAGACAATGTGCAGAGTGGGAGAAATTATTTGCAAACTACCCACCTGATGAGGGATTAATAATTAGAATATATAAGGAGCTCAAACAATTTTACAGGAAAAAATCTAATAATTTGATTTAAAAAATGGGCAAAAGATTTGAATAGACGTTGCCCAAAAGAAGACATACAAATGTCAAACAGGCATGTGAAAACGCATTCAACATCATTGATTATCAGAGAAAAGCAAATCAAAACTAAAATGAGATATCATCTCTCCCCAGTTAAAAATCTTTTGTTAATTTTGTTTATAAATTTTCTAATTTAATTGCTTTTTTATTAGTCAAGTGCAGTAGTGAGAAGGGGGGAATTGTAGAACAAAGAGTAAGATCCTTAACGAACTGTGAACAATCAGTTGAGATACTTCGCTATCTTCAGACCAGCCTGCTTATTTTTCTTTTAATGTTCAGCTTGAGAGCTCTTTATATATTCTAAGTAGAAGCCCTATGTTGAATCTTGTGATTTGCAAATATTTTCCTCTAGTCTGTAGATTAACTTTAGATTAACTTTTCATTCTCTAAATGTAGTCTTTCACAGAGCAAAAGTTTTTAATTTTTATGAAGTCCAATAGAGTAATTATATTCTCTTATGAGTTGTGCTTTTGGTGTCATATCTAAGATCTTCTCATCTAGCCCTACTTCCTAAAATTTTTCTTTGTTTTATGCTAAAGTTTTTTAGTTTTACATTTATATTTAAATCTATAATACACTTTGAATTAATTTTTGAATGAAGTATTAGGTTTAGGTTGAGACTCAATTATTTGCCCTTGGACATCTAATTGCTTTAACATCATCTGTTGAAAGAACTGTTCTTCCACTGAACCGCTTTTATAACCTTTGCAAAAATCAGCTGGGCATATTTGTGTTGTTTAGTTTCGGGTTATCTCTTCTGTTCCATTGATCTATGAGTCTATTCCCCCAACCAATATCACACTCTCTTGATTATTGTAGCCATATATTAAGTCTTAACATTGGATATAATAATCTACCCAACTTTATTCAATTTCAAAATAATTTTACTTAGTCCATGGCCTGTGCCTTGAGATATAAATTTTAAAATAAATTTTACTATATCTGCAAAAAAATTTTTTTGGAATTTTGATATGAATTGAATTGCCCCTGTTGATGAAGTTGGAGAGAATTGACATCTTTATTATGTTGAATCTTTCTATCCATTACAAAGTCATCTCTCCATTTATTTAAAGGTCCTTTGCATTTGTTCCTTTGGGTTCTGTCATTTTTGGCATAGAGGACCTATGTGTACATTAGATTTGTATCTAATTATTTCTCTCTTTTTTGAAATAATTGTAAATAGTCTTGTATTCTTAATTGTGTTTTCCACATATTCATTGCTAGCGTATAAAAATATGATTGATTTTTGTGTGTTGGTCTTGGATCCTATGATCTTGCTAAACTTATACATTAGTTCTGGGAGTTTTTAAAAGATTGCCTGGAATTTTCTATGTATACAATTAGGTCATTTGAAATAGAAACAGTTAAATTTTTTTCCATTCAAACTGGCTATAGTTTGAATGCATCCCCCAAAGTTTTTGTATTGGAAACTTAATCCCCAGTGCAACAGCGTTAAGTGGAACCTTTAAAAGGTGATTAGGTCATGAGGGCTCTGAATGGATTAATGATGTATTGCGGAAGTGACTTAATTATCTCAGGAGTGGACTCTGGATAAAAAGGATGAGTTTGGCTCCCTCATATCAACCTTCCCCCATCCCTCTTTCTCTTTCTATCTTGTACTCTTGCCCTTTTGCCTTCTGCCATGGGATGATACAGCAAGAAGGCCCTCACCAGATGTGGGCCCCTGCACCTTGAACTTCTGAGCCTCCAAAACTGTAAGAAATAAACAATTTTCTTAATAAATTATCCATTCTGTGGCATTCCGTTATAGCAACACAAAATTAACTAACACAAATTTCAGTGTCTTTATTTCCACTGTGTGCCTTATTGCACCAGTGAGAACTTCCAGCACTATATGGAATGAGAGTGATGATAGCAAACATCTTTGCCTGGTCCTGATCTTAGGGGGAACTAATTCAGATTCTCACCATTAAGTGTAATGCTAGCTTTTGTGTTTTCTGTAAATGATCTTTATCAATTTGAGGATATTTCCTTCTATTTTTTATTTTTAGAGAGGTTCTTTAAAATTATAAATAGGTGTTAAATTTTGTCATAGATTTGATCTTCATCAACTGATATGATCATGTGATTAGCCTGTTAATATGGTAGATTATATTGACTTTTTTTCAAACATTTAAAAGCATTGCATACCTGGAATAGATCCCACTTGGCTATGTTGCATAATTCTTTTTTACATATTTCTGGATTCAAGTTGCTAATATTTTGTTTAGAAATGTTATGTCTAAGTTCATGTGAGATATTGATCTATAGCTTTTTCTCTCGTACTGTCTTTGGTTAAAATATCAAGGTAATTTTGGCCTCATATAATGACTTGGAAAGATGCCGTGAAAAATTTCTATTTTTTGGAAGATGCTACATAGAATCAGTGTAAGCCTTCTTTAAATGCTTGGGAGAACTCTAAATATTGGAGTGACTTGGATCTTGGTCATAAAACCTTGATTCTTTTCTGTCTACATTCTGTCCTTAGGAAATTTAATTTTAGTCTATTTTAAAATATGTTTCACCTGCCAGTAAATCCAAAATTTATATCCCCAGCTCCATTCCATTGCACTTAGAATAAATCAAACTTTCCCAACCATAGAGTATCAAATTCCTCACTGGCCTCATTTTTAACCAGTTCTTAAGCTAGGTCCCTGTTTGTCTGCTAGGGTTGCATAACGAACGACCACAGGCTGAGTGGCTGAAACATCAGAAATTTATTTTCTCACAGTTCTGAGAAAGGCTAGAAGTCCAAGATCAGGGTGCCAGCAGGGCTGGTTTTTGGTTCCAGTGAGATCTTCCTTCCTGCTTTGCATATGGTCTCCTTCTCACTGTGTCCTCACATGGTCTTTTCCCTGTGCATGGAAAGACAGACAGAGAGAGAGAGAGAGAGAGATCTGGTGTCTCTTCTTATAAGAACACCCATCATATCAGATTAGTGCCCTGCTCTTAGTCTTCATTTAATCTTAATTACCTCCTTAAAGGCCATATCTCTAATGCAGTAACAGTGCGGATGAGGGCTTCAACATACACATTTTTAAGAAACACGGTTCAGTCCCTAGCAGGACCTAATCTTACTTCCTAGAGTACGCACTTTGATTTTCTTCTCTAAATCAAGGACACCCAGCCCATTCCTATCTTAGGAATAGGATTTTGTGATTACAATTCCTGAAGTAGTCTTTCCCTGAATCGACATGTTTAGATCATTTTTATTTATTATATCTCAGCTCAGATGGAATCTCTCTAGTGAGTGTCACGCCCTGACAGCCCAAGCCAAAGTTTTCTCTACATCTTGGTCATTGTTTTCTATCCCATTGCCTTGTTTAATTTTCCTTATATAACTTACTGCCATCTAAATTATCTTTTTCTCTTTATTGGTTTACATTCTTTGTGCCTCTGTCTGCTACACTAAAATATAAGCTTCTTGAGGACAAGAACTGTTTCTTTGGTTCACCTCTATATTCTGCGTCCCTTGTCCTGTTTCTGGTACATGGTAAAGGATAAAAAATATTTGATAAAGTTTGAATGAGTGGGTTTGGTTTAGTCAATGCAGGCAGATTGCATGAGACCTATTCAATATATGGGTTTCACTGTGCTTCATGGTCTTATGAAGTCCTGAGAAATGAGCCATGAATAAGAACCTCTGGCTTATATTTGTATTTTCAAAAAGATTAGTGAAAATAACTTTATAATTTGTTGATTATAGAAAATATATTTAAGGACTTTAAATTCCTATTTCCTAGGGTTCAGGGGGAAAAAAATCATAGCAATACTAACCATCTTAATTTCCTCTAGTTTCCCAAATCAGAAGTGAGGACAAATAGCACAACTTCATTCTTTGGATTTTTCTTTTCTAATTTATCATCCAGAAAGTGCAAAGGACAATGGGTATTCATCTCCATATATACAATCTAAACAGTGCATGTGAAAGGAGAAGAGAAGAAAAATATATACATATACCACATTATTTGCAAAAAGGAATCATATTCCTTACCCACAGAGTGTCCTCCGTTGTGAATTTTATGATTAATCATCCATGCACCTGAACGTAATTGGCCTTGTTAGTACTTTACTTATATTTGGCTTCCCTTTACCTGCAAGATAGTTGTTAATGGATGAAATTTGTTCTAAGTGAGGTGATAGGGCTTCAATCTTTGAATAAAATCGGGATTCATAGGAAATTTACATTTGCATCTTTCAGAGTTATGAAATATTCAGGGGCTTGTGAAGAGTACAGAATTCCATTTAGATTGAAGTCAAAAAATAGTTTATTTTTCTTATGCTCCGTAAGAGATTTAAACCTTTAAGAGATTATCTGCATGAGAAGCTTTGCTAAAAAATTCAATGCTTTCTTGAAAACACATGATCAGAAATGCTGAGGAAAGATACAAAAACTTTGCTGGGTGGTCATTTTCAGGTTATTAAACTCTTAAATCATGTATTTTTAAATGATTTATATTTGTGGAAATTTCAGTAATAAAATAAAATTCAGAAACATCTGCTTCAACAAGCACATTCTCCTGAATTCAGAAAACTGAAATAATTCGTGAGCCAAAGTCTATGTTCACATATTTTCTATTTCAAATGTAAATTAAATATAACACTTGGGAGATTATGAAGAATGTAATTTGGCCCAGAGAAAGTGACTGCCTCAATTGAACGTTCTTTCTTAGACTGAAGCTGCGTCCGTGTTCCTCGGTAGGCAGCAGAAACAACATAGGTCACTGTGTGATTTCCCAAAACCAGGAGATCTTTTGCATGGCATGCTCCCCCAAAGTGAATAATGGTTGGCTTCCAGAGCTAGATTTTTTGAGGACATTTTTTTTGTAGCACATCATAAAAATGCAACCCAATCTTATTACTTACCTTAAGTACATTTCTTGTCAGATTCATGGCTTTGTTTCCGCATATTGCTTCCCCAACTACTTCTCCGGGTGAGGGGTGAGCCCTCTCCTCATGATCAATATATCTATATCATGGAAGGAAGAAAAAGGTGCTGGAAGAAGAAGAAGATGGAAAACCCATCCTGATGAGACAGTTGTTGGCTAGCTCTTGAGGACAGCTGTACATAAGACTGTATTATCAGCAAATATATTTTAAAATAGTGACATGATCACACATGAAGCTGGCCCAGCAAAACACTGTTCCTGAACTAAGATCCAAGATCCCCTGAGTGATGTAGTAAAGGCAAGAAATTGTTTCTATCAATAATGAACAGACAGCCAACACATTAAAATTGGTTTTCAAAATATAACAGACATACACGGTACGTTGTAAGAGTTAGAAAAAAAAATTACGTTTAAGCCAATCTTCACTTTCTTTTAGTAGACTAATCAAAGAGCTTAGAGAATTGCATATGAATGACAAAAACTATCTATAAGAGAATATAAATATATATATCCATATATCCTAGATAACTAACATATTAAGCCTTAGAAGTAGTAAAGTATTATTGTTTTGCAAGATTTACAGTAACGATTCTGATCCAAGGGCTATATCCCCCCCAGGGGCCATTTGACAATGTCTGGAGACATTTTTGGTTGTCACGATTGAGGTGGGGCTTGGAGAAGCTACTGGCATCCAGTCAATAGAGGCCAAGGATGCCACTAAACATTCTGCAATGCACAGAACACTCCCTCACCCACATAAAGAATATTCTGGCTCAGAATGGCAATAAAGTCAAGACTGAAAAAATCTGATTTAGATGTATTACTTGGGCAGACATACAAATGAACTTTTAAGAAGTCTTAAGTCTATGGCTGAGTTTATTTAGAGGGAAATATCAGATACCTGCAGCTAAATAAAGAACATTCTTTCCACCTTAGTTCTCCAAAAAATCAGTCAATATATTCATGTTCCCACGGCCACATACTAAAAGATATATTTGTTTATTTAATTTCCTAGATGAGGGAGAATAAGAAAATTTCAAGTTATCTCAATTTCCAGAGGACCTCAGCAACTAGGACATTATACCTCTCATCTGAGGGAAAAAAAGGGCAAACGTTTCAGAATTTTTCATTTTTTTTTTTTTTTTTTTTTTTTTGGCAAAAACGGAAAGGCTACAAATGCATTCACTTTCGAACTGAGATGTAAGGGCATTTTATGAGTCTTTTGAATGCCTCTCCAAGTTTTTCAGGAGTTTCTACATTGAAAGGCTATAAACTTAGTTGCAATAAAATAGACATTATTTTTAATTGTTTCCTCTCAGCCTTATCATATATATGTACCAAAAAAAAAAGACTGGCATGGAAAATCATTATTTACAGTTCTGAACAGCTTTCATACTGTCATCATTCTGTAACGTAAGGTGTTTCTGCATTGAAAGAAAATATACTGGGGCAGCAGTGTGAGGGAAGAAAAGCTAAAAACTACCAGGTGTTCTTGAAACCTTGTACAGATACTTATACAAATAATGTATATCTTTTGTAACTTCACTGATTCCAGGTATCATTATCCATGTGGAAGACTAGGCTGGAAGAGCTTGTCTCCAACTTTGAAGGTCAGTGTTAACCTCACCACATCCAGGCTCTCTGAACAATTGAGGCTGCCTAAAGAATAGTTCCAGGAACCAATTTGATTCGCTTTTCCAATATTAAAATTTGGATTTTTTTAACTGAACATGCCAATTCCTAAAAAAAACAATAGCATAAAAAAGAAAACCAGGGCTTCTTGAACTAAATATCTGGAGATGCTGAACCTGCCCATCAATGAGTTGGGCCAAATATCTCTGAGCTTGAAGTTTTGTAAATAGATAATTATTTTAGCTGGGGATGATTCTTTTTGTCTATGTGTTCCCCTTGTTCCATCTAAACTTTTGGCAATCTAAATGTATATTTTGCAGGTTAGTTCACTTGATAATAATGATTGCACTATACTTCTTATTTGATTGATAGGCTCAGGACTTAAAAAACTGTATGAATGTTCCATTTTCAGCCGCTATAGTCACAGTATATATTATCCGGGTAAAATTCAACTGTAAATACAATCTTAGAAGTTTTCCTGTTGTAAAAGATTGGGAATTTCAGGAATGCATGATCTGAAACTATGAGCCATGGTATTATGTCTTGTTTGCTTTCATGTATAAACTAAAACAAAGCAAAACAAAAACTGCAAGAAGAAAATAATATTATATAAATAAATTTAGTAAACCAAGTAAACAAGTGATTTTCTATTTTCTGGCATTGTCACTTCTCTCTTTATCTTGTTTATTACTAAAAATGATATTGTGTTCCCAAAGAATTTCAGAATAAAGAACAAGGTGAGTGACTTAAAGTACAGATAATACTGTATCTTACAATATGTGAAAATTGTTTTATAATGATTGGTTTCTTTTCGTTCAGACTTCAAACCAGGGCACCAAACAAGACCTTCAAGGTTCAGAACAAAGTCAGTGTTGACTGACTTTGAAAGACATATAAAATTTGAAGGACAATAAAATTGAAAGACAATAAAATTTTTTCATCACTGAAATATGAAGAAACATAAAACTGAACATTCATGTTAGAAATGTTTAATCACAAAAAGATCATATTCACAGTTTTTCCATTAATTTGTTTCTGTGGAATCTTTGCTGTATAATTTGTATCTTGGTTACTGATTTTCATTTGACTGAAAAATAATTAGAATACATCTTTAAAACCACCCATTGAGGTTCTTTCACATGAGAGGCAAATAATTTAATAATGACTTTCTAGCATAAGCTGCATTCCAAGATGTTTACTTGACCTGTTACCCCCCATGGGACCTGTATAATCTCCCTCAAAAAGTATGTCTTTGGTCTCAAGACACAGTCACAGGAGCACCAGGTGAATGTGTGGGAATGGTTCATGCTAACACACTTTCAGTCCTGGGAATGTGATCAAAATCACACACCATTAGCTGCTTGGGAGTTGCTGTCATCTGTCTGTAAGCATCACAGCAGATTCAATCTGATATTGAAACTCATGAGGCTGATAAAGCCCTTTTCTGCAGCAACATGCTAACTAGAAGAAAACAGATCAGGACTTGCGTGTAGCAACTTGAAAAGAGAAATAAAACATGTTGGGACACACTTGATTGTTCCAAAGGCTTTGAACAGAAGAATTCACCCACATATTGGGTTGTAGCAGGATTAATTAGTGAAGCTGCTGTAACAAAGCATACTTAGAAAAAAATGATGTATGACAATCTCCCTCTCCTTTTCCTGTTATATATTCATAAAAACAGAGGAAAGAGCGCAGGTGCCCCACGGTTCTAAGTGTCTTTGTTCACTTTATGTTAAAAATGAATCAGGAGGGAAGGCATCCTTCATTTTCAGTTAGTTATAGTTCATTTTTATTTTCATTTTTCATAATGGGCTTTTATTAATCATCTTCTATATTTTGAATAATTTATCTCACTAAATTCATCACATAAAGGAGGAAGCCATGGATCTGACAGCTTAGGGTGACAGGCTAAGCCTTGGGTTAGAATTGCATGAGTATTTCTCTTTCCACTATTCCACAGCTACTTTCAAACAGGTTAAAATTTACCTTTCTAAGACCTTTGTCTTCTTCACAGAGGATAAAATTTTTCTGTGTCATTGTGGAGCTTATTTGTGCATGGAGAAAACTATAACCTTCTGGTGAATTACATTAAGAAATTAGATATAAATCTAACTCATACAAACACCAACAGCAAGTGGAAGGCAACTAACCTTGGTGAGAGCCCTGCTAGATATTTCACTTCCCAACATCCCTTTAATTTCTGTCCTTGTTTCAGAAGTGAAAAAACCAGATGTTTGGGGCAATTCAGAAGTCTGTGGAAGTTGAAGGTGTTAATCAATGGCACTCAGGTCTGCTTATTCCAAAGTCTCTTCTTTTCTTTCTACACCACAAATTCTCCTATGTAAAACTAAAAGAGGGCAACACTAATTCCTGGATGCCTTGTTCTGGCAGAGGCACTAAATCACATCATAGAGCATCCAATTACTTGGCGATCTCCTTGGACTTTAGAAGCCTGCTCTTCCTTTGTCCAATCCACAGCATTGTCCACACCATTGAAATCTTACAAATGTTTTTCCATGGGTGGATTTTGAGAATTTCAACATGTAAATTTTATCTAATTGTTGATAGGACTATAGTATGTGTTTACAAAAAAAAATTATTTAAAAAAATGGAATTCCTTTGGGTTTATTCATTATATTCCTATAGATTGTTTTTTTTCCTGCAGAAACCCAGTAATAGAACCTAGTCTTTCTCTGGGAAGTCCCCATCATACATTTGGTACTTGTTCTTTAAAAAGGAACAACCATTAAGGGTAATAAGAATGGGACTAAATGTCCGCTATGAAAAGATTCTGGAGACCGTGTCAGTGCTTTCTTAAAACATTCCCTTAACATTCCTCAGAAACTATTATTTTTTAAGGCAATAACATGCCATTTGAAGCAAAATTGTAGTAAAAAGCTTTTAATTTGTTATCTTCTTAAAGTGCAAGAAAGGTAAAGACAATTGTTAAAAACAGAGTCAAGCCTACCGATGCATAAAGCTATGGTTTGAAATTCTGATAAAAACAATTTTTGTCATGCTGGATCAGCTAACTTTAATCTCATAAGTGTTCTTGATCTAAGTCTAAATAAAAATAAAATGCTTCAGAAAAAGAAAACACCCAGCATTAATAGTTCTTCTGAAACATTTTTAATTTTTTCCATCAGGTTACTTCCAAGAGAAACTATTCAGGATTTCCAAGTAACGAAGAATCAAGCTAGGTAAGTCCTACTCACGGAATTTCAGGAAAACTACCAGAGGGAATAAAAAGTGCTCTTAAATTTCAAAGGCACAAGTTTTTCCCCACCAACTCTAGCACATTGCATGACCTTATAACCAAGGTCATGCAAATAGATGGTCCACCAGAACAGATTATCACAGTGGCTATGCAATGTTTCTAGCTTTTTATGACAATCTTGGCCAAAGCAGGCTAGATGGCAATAAGAAAGACTAGAATTGTTGCATGGCTAATTTTCAATCATATCCAGACTCTTACTTTAACAAGCACAAATATCCACACAGTAAATTATCCATTTCACATTTATATTCTTCAGATAATTAAAGGCATTATTTTTATAAAGAGAAAAAAAGTTCCTCTTTGATCCTCTATTATAAGCTCAAATGTTGGGAATAAGCAAGAAATTGGAAATGCCTATTCCAATAAGTGATGAAATTCTTTATCTAAAACTGCCTTTGTATCCTCTTCCACCCATGCATGCAATTGACGTCATCATTGTCACAACTTAGCTGGATTATCAAATTTATTGCACATATATTCTATTTTATATGTAACTGCAAATGACAATGTTTCTAAATTTGCTACCACTGCATGACAAGAACACCACTTCTTTCAAATTGAAATAACTTTTGACTCACATACCTGCAAGCATATCTGTCTATCTATCTATCATCTATCTACCTACCTTCCTATATATCTATCTCTGTAGAAGTCATTTAAAATTTGTATCAACCCTATGGGAAAACACTATTATTTTCTGTATTAGTGAATGAAAAAATTGAGTCACGAAAGGTAAAGTAATTTGCTAAAGGTACTACAACTAATAAATGGTGAAGCTTGGAATCAAAATTCTGTGATCTGACTCCAAAAGTCGAAGTCTTTAACCACTTGTAATTTTGACTCTCATTATGATATGTAGGTACTCTATTACAGCAATTAATGTATAAAGTAATTTTTAACTTCTGCACAGTGGTGCATCCCTTTATGATGAGGATACATTCTGAGAAATGTATCATTAGGCGATGATGTTATCTAAACATCATAGTGTGTACTCGCAAAAAACCCAGATTGCATAGCCTACCATACCCCTAGACTATATGGTTTAGCCTACTGCTTCTAGGCTATAAACCTGTATAGCATGTTACTGTTCTTAAAACTGTAGGTAATTGTAACACAGTGGTAAGTATTTGTGTATCTAAACATAGAAAAAGTACAGTAAAAATACACTATTGTAATCTTATGGGGTCACTGTTGTATATGCAGTTTATTGTTGATGAAACAAAATTATGATACATAACTGTGTATGTTTATTTCCCTAATAGTTTGTAATGTCCTCAAAGAAAGAAACATTTTCATTTCTACATGACCAGCAGCTATCATAGGGGCTGGCACACAGGTAAAAGAGATTTTTTTAAATAACTATATAAATAGTCAACTAAACTAGTCACATTAAAGTCATTTTTGTTTCTCTGATAGCTCTGGATTTTCAAGGTTGAAAAAAATACTATTTGTCAAAGCCAGCCTACCATATTGTTCTCCCAATGATCCTTATCTCCTAATATTGTATAGTCCTTCCATATACTGTATCACAGTTTGTGTGACCAACAGAATATGGCAGAATTGATAGTTGGTACTTCTGACACTAAGTTATAAAAGGCTGAAGCTTCCCTCTTGGACATCTCTCTCAGATTTCTCATCCTGGGAGAAACCAGCTGCCAGGTCTTGAGGAACACTCAAGCAGCACTGTGGGGAGACCCATGTGGTGAGGAACTGGAGCCTCTGGATAACACTCAGCAGAAACTGAGGCCTTCCAACAACCCCATGAGTGATACTGAAAGCAGATCTCCCAGCCCCAGTCAAGCCTTCGGATGACTGCGGCCCAGTAACAGCTTGAATGCAACCTCACAAGAGACGTTGAGCTAGAAGCAGCTAGCCAATCCACTCTTGGATTCCTGACCCTCAGAAACTGATAATAATAAATGTTTGCTGTTTTAAGCTGCTAAGTTTTGTAGTAATTTGTTACAGAGCAACATGTAACTATCATATGTTAATATTAACAGTGAGATGGTGGCAAAATACCAACCCACAATGTGGAAGTGGCTTTAGAACTGAGCAATGGGCTTTGACGAAAGGGTTAGTGACAGTCTGTAGTGCCTCGAACACACCGTCAATAGAAGCCTTGTGGTTTTTCCTAAAGCTACAGGTGAGGGCTCACAGGTAAATGAAGCAAATGTTGGAAACTAGAGAAAGAGGGAATTCATTATGTTGTAGTAAAAAAATTAGTAATGCTTTTGCCTGAAGTTATGTGGGAAGTAGAAAAAGTACTCAATGAACTGAGTGATCAATAAAGATATATAGATATCAATAAAAATAGATATTTCAGCAAGTGATAGTTATATTAATTATTGTTGTAACATAGTAAAAGAAATCTTTAACAGGAAGACAAAAGGGCCACTTCTGTGGTAGATTTTGATACTCTTCAAAATATTTACTGCCTCACATTGAGATGTCCTTCTCTCTTGAGGAAGAGTTTTACACCTTCATCCTGTTGAACTCTGACATGTATATGTGACTTGCCTCAGCCAGTGAAATATGAGTGTGGTAGTGGCAAACACAAGTTTTAAGAGCTAGAACGTGCTTCACTATGTTTATTTTCCCTAAGGTGAAATAAATAGATAAGATTTACTCCATTAGTCTGGGTCCTGGAATGAAGAGTTCTAAAACCAGTCAGCAATGGGGATGTAATGTAAGCAAGAAATACATGTTTGTGGTTATAAGCCACTGTCATTTGCTTCCTAACCTAGTGTCTCCTGACTGGTTCAATTTCAGACAAGAGGTAGAATTGGAGGATCAGGAGTACTTTGACTCATGGACCATTGGAAGAAGACACTACAGATAGATAATATTGCAGAGACAGGGGCATCAAGGTGTATGAAATCATGAGAGGATCATGGATGTCTAAAATGTAATGCAGAAATTAGAGCAGAAGCTCTAACCCAGCTGCCATAAATTAGAAATCAATGCTTATATTTGTATGATATGATACTCAGATCTTATTGTTTTCTGGCAAAACTTGATTGATATACCACTTGATATGGTTTGGCTGTGTCTCCACCCAAAATCTCATCTTGAATTGTAATCCCCATAATTCCCACGTGTCAAGGGAAAGCCCAGGTGGAGGTAATTGAATCATGGGGTTAGTTTCCCCCATGCTGTTCTCATGATGGTGAGTGAGTCCTCACAAGATCTGATGGTTTTATAAGGGGCTCTTCCCCCTTTGCTCAGCACTTCTCCTTCCTTCCACTTTGTAAAGAAGGTGCTTTGCTTCCTCTTCACCTTCCGCCATGATTGTAAGTTTTCTGAGGCCTTCCAGCCATGCTATGAGTCAATTAAACCTCTTTTCCTATGTAAATTACCTAGTCTCAGGCAGTTCTTTATAGCAGTATGAAAACAAACTAATATACCACTGAACTCTAATTCCTAAAAATCTGAAATGTTAATAACCTAATACCCCCAACTCTATGTTCATTTTAAAATAGTTGACCACAAGGTTCCAGACAAAATTCACAGTCTTTTTAGTAATAAAGAATTAACAGAAGAAAATTCTCAAATATTATATTTAATAGGTTTTTATTTGGGGGGTTATTTTTTAGTCATTTTTCCATGTATAAGTTAGTTTGACTGGGTCACCTATTCCACCTTAAGAAAATTTGCCCACCTATTATGATAAGGAGTCACTGAATTATAAGGAATAGAATAATATGCCCCAATTTTACAATACAGAGTTAACGACAGTATTTTAGAAGATGAAGGTTAAGTCCATGAAAGCACAGGGAAGGAGATCATTGGAATAGTTTAAGGGAGATATGTGGCATTCGTAACCCAAGAAACTAGAGAAGTAGGAAGAGACATTAAAGAGAAAAGAAGCAGGAGAATTTAGTCATTGGGTGGAAATGTTTATGACAACATTGTAGGAACATGAAGTACAATATGTATCACTTGTGGGAGATTAAATTGTTATTCAGGAATGGTCATTCCATTCTTTCTCATCTCTCAGAGAGGAATAGGCATTAGCAATACTTGGGCATGTAACTTACAATAATGGGATGGGAATGGCCTACATTCCAGGCCTAGGCCTTAAGTGGCATTTTTTTTTCTCTCATCACCTTTGGGACCTTTCATCCCACATCATGAGAACATTCCCCATCCAGCCTACTACTCTCAAAAGCTGAGAACACTTGGAGCAAAACTGATCCAAATACGTGGCTGGAACCAAAGACCAGCTGATCTCAGCCAAGATGTACCCTTCCCACCCAGCTGCCGTAACTCAGAAATCAATGCTTATAGTTGTATGACACTCAGATCTTAATGTTTTCTAGCAACATTTGATGGATAAACTACTGAACTCAAATTTTTAAAAATCAGAAATATCAATGACCTACTACCCCCAATTCTATGTTCATTTTAAAATAGTTGACCACAAGGTTCCAGACAAAATTCACCGTCTTTTAAGTAATAAAGAGTTAATGGAAGAAAATTCTCCAATATTACGTTTAAAATGTTTTTATTTTGGGGTTTATTTTTAGTAGTTTATCCACGTGTAACTATGAAGAAAGACACGTAATTGCACTTGTTCAGATTTCACCTCAAATCTGAGAATATGGATTTTAAAAATTATTTTAAGTTATCACGAGAAGCAACAGCATAAAGCCATATGAGAAGTACATATGTGAATAATAGTTTTACTTAGTCTTTAAGAAACAAGCTTAGGTGAATCAATTATATATTTCTGGGATATGGTCAAGGTTCTTGTCCAAAACCCACTAAAGGAAGCACTTTTAAATTTTCAACCTTTACATCATTTTTCAAAGTTCTCTTTGGCTCTCTTATTGGTTTGAAATAAGGCACATAATGTTTTCATCTTTATTAGTCCAAATAAGAGCAAATAAAAGAGTGATAATATATAGGGAGATAGTTTATTTGCAAACTTTCAAAAGTGGTTTACTTTAATACCCAATTCATTTGCAGATTATAGTCTAGATAATAAGTGCATATCAAAAACTGTAATAAAAATTATCGAATGGTTTGCAAGATATACTCTCTTGTTTGAATTAAGCCTACTTCAGGGGGTTGTGATTTTTCCCTTTTTATCTAAATGCTCATAAACTGGATAATAGCCCTGGTTTGTTTCTGAAATATTTTATTTGGGTTTTGTAACTTGACAGAAATGGACTACAAAGAAAGCAAAGTGAACTGCTGTAACGTATGTTTAAAATCTATGCCAATGATACCCAGGTGATACAAAGGTTACTAGAACATGCCAATTGGTTGGAATGAGCATTGAATTGATTGGTTAACACAGTATCTTGGGAAAACAATTTTGTCTGTGATATATGAGGAAGCCTCAATTTGGTGCAACCTCCTGTTTAGATGTCCTACATGTTTGTGGGTTGGTGTCACCAATATATTGTCCCCCTACTGTTTAGCTTTTTTAGTTTGTTTTTAATTATGGAAGTAACAAAACAGCATTATGGGAAGATTACAAATAATGTAAAAGAATTTTAAATCATTTTAACATCACTCCTATTTTCATTTTTGTGTGTCCTTTTCAGTCTTTCAATAGAGCTTTTTAATTAATTACTAAGTGCCAGGCAATGCTTTAGCGCATGTAAGTCTCATGAAAACAACAGAAAGTATTATCTTCTTTTTAGAGAGATAAGTTGGAGACTTTAAATAATGTCCTTAAGGTTACCGAGCTACCAAGTTCCAGGGCTGTGATAGACAACTAGCTGTTTTATTTCCTGACCCAAACCTCTTAAATATGTACCTTACATAGTTATAAACATAGTGTAAATACAATTTTATGTCTCATTTTTCCAACTCAATGTTGTATTATATTTTCCTGCACAATAACATAGCTCATTATTTTAGAAGGCAGGTTTTCTTTAATTTAGATATGCCCTTTCTTAACTATTCTCCTATTATGAGATATTGGATTACTTTCAAATTCTCATTTTCAAATTTTATAGTTTTCAAATTAACACTATAATTACTATCTTAACGCACCAAGCTTTTACATAATTTAGTTGTTTCTGTTTTCTTCCCCTAGAGGCTAAAAGTTTGGAAATTCTGAAGATTTTTTAAAATGTGTAACATCTAAATGGGACTTTTCCATTGTCTCAGTTTGGGCTACGATTTCAAAGCTCAAAAGTGTATGCAATAATTACTGTACCTTCTGAAGAGAGATGCCCGATCTTTTAAATGTGAGCTGCAAAAGGGCTTTCCCAAAACAGATTCAGCTGCTCTTAGTCCATCACCTGCCTTCCCTTATACAACAAAAGGTAAGCATTCATTAGGGGAATTGATCAATTATTTTTTTGGAACAGTTGTCAGCATTACTCAGCATTTCTCTTTCCTTCCTTCATACTTTCTTAACTAACCTCAGGCCAAGTGAGGGAATTTAGATCTTGATATGTGAGGGATTTGGAAAACAAAGAGGCCAGCTCTTGCCTGCAAAATTTAAAGACAGGAGATTGGCTGGAAATAGTCTTGATGGCTGAACACGGAGAAAAAGTGGAGCCAGTGTGGACCCTACAGAGGGTAGCGAGGCATAAATTACCTAGAAAGGATCCCAACATGTGGCTTACCTGCGAGGGCTAACAGACAACAGCACTAAGAGGCTATAGAAAGATTACCCAAGAAGCAGAGGTTCAGGTGGATGGCATTCATAGCCAGCTAGTTGGGGCACTGCCCAAGACAGTGAATAATATAGCAGATTGTTTTCACTGGCTTTTTTGAAGAACCTACAAAATATCTTCAGTAGGAAGACAGCATTTAGGTATCTGTCTGGCTCCAGATTACAACTGTGTTGATTGATAAATAACTTTTCCACCCTGGTTTCTCTTATCTACCCAACATCACCAAGACGGGGTCAAGAAATAACATCTTGAGTAAGGGAAGATGAAAGAATAAAGTGGGAAAATAATGAAGTATCTACTTTCCTTACTGTAATTTTCCAAGTCCCACATCAGGGGTCCAGGGGAGAAGCTTAAAAGAGGATGAGACAATAAAAGATTTTGTGGTTTGGTTTTGTTTTGTTTCTTAATTTTGACTAGGCTTTTGTACATCAGCTCTACTGGTAATCAGCTCTACTGATTAATTTATCAGAAGTTTTTGTCGGGGGGCAAGGATGGAAAATTCAACACAGAATTTAACAGGCTGTTGCAGAAGAAAAATACAATCATTTCACAATTTCATCCACTAAATTCAGCTTATTCAATCAACAAATACACACGTTTTCAAGTTGCATCCTAAAACAGTTTTACCAATTTATAACATCATCATCAGTGAAGGATAATCAGGCCGATGATACTCTTGCTAGCTTTAAACATTCTCTTTCTGTGTTTACCATAATTTAATATGTGAAATAACATCTTAACTTATGATACTTTCTTATTATTAGCATAATTAAACAGTTTCCATTAGCATATCTGCTATTTTTATTTGTTCATTTATACATTTACTATAACATCGACCAATAAATTATTGTTAATTATGCTAATTATTTTCTTATAAATTTGCATGAGGCATTAAGAGATGAACTCAATCCCCTATGTAATGTAACTATCACTGTAATATGTGGTTTGCATTTCAACAGAAAATAAGTTTTTACATTAGAAATTTTTTAATGTATTGAAATTTCAACTGTGAATTTTTTCTTTAATTTCAACTCTTAGGAAAGAAATGTCTATTTGTTTCTCTATTCTTTTGTCATGAGATTTCTAATGTTTAAATGTTTGATTTATTTTCCATCTAAAGTTTATTTGTATAAAGCTCAGAATCCGATCGGCATGAGTTGAGTATAACAAATTGGCTGGAAAAAGCCTGTTGTTTGTAGGATATTTCACTTTTCATCAATATTCATATTCTATTAATATTTTAAAGCCCAATTATTCTCACTCTCTAGCAAAGGCTGAAGTGACTTTTAACAATAGATATTCTTTCCAAAAAAGAAAAAAAATCCAAACAATTTCTCCCTTTGTAAGTATAAAACTGCCTAAGCTCAGCCTCTCTTTTTCTGCCACATCCAGCCTCTTCCTCCCACCCCCACCACCATTAGATTTTACACACCATCCATTGTCAGGGACGCAAACTCCTCTACAGTTTGTTAATGTCCAAGAAAGGCCATCACCTCTGAATCATTTTTTCCCCACACATAAATCCTTGAGCCAACAAAGAAAAGTGGTATTTTTCCATTTCCATAATTCCTGTTATTTTAAGTCTATCCCTTAACCAAAGTGGCTTTTTGTTTTTTTTTCCTTGATAACTCACAGGTTCAAATGTAAAAATTTATTATTACAAGGAACAATTATGAGGTTCAAAGCATACTGTGTGCATTCCATGCTCCTAGCTTCTGGTACTGATATACGGAATAAAATACTTGTGGTTGTCTACTTGCATGAAGTGGATGGGATCCAACCACTGGTGGTGAGAGGCTTAATGAATGTCTGCCTTCGTCAGACCCAACAGGGATCTAGCATCATGGGAGGTTGCCCAAGTGCCATACTGCAGGCATCTCAAAAACAAACTTTTGACCATTTAACTTATTCTTTCCAGTTACTCTTCAACGTCAACAATAACAACCACCAAAGAGGAAAAAATGGCTTTGCTTCTTTTCTTACTTTAAATATTGTTCTGGATTTTAAGATTTCAAGATATCTTCCCCAAAACATTGAATTAGACAAACCACTGACCTTTTTGAACACCTTTGGGTTTTGCTTCTTCAGGGCAGCATGTTCAGCACTTTTTTTTTTTTTTTTTTTTTTGAGACAAAGTCTCACTCTTGTTTCCCAGGCTGGAGTACAATGGCGCAATCTTGGCTCACTGCAACCTCCACCTCCCAGGTTCAAGCGATTCTTCTGCCTCAGCCTCTCCCAGGTAGCTGGGATTACAGGCGCCTGCCACCATGCCTGGCTAATTTTTGTATTTTTTAGTAGAGACAGGATTTCACCATGTTGGCCAGGCTGGTCTTGAACTCCTGACCTCAGGTCACCACCCGCCTGACCTCAGGTCACCGCCCGCCTCGGCTTCCCAAAGTGCTGAGATTACAGACATAAGCCACCGCGTCCAGCCATGTTCAGCATTTTGATAACTCCCTGCTCATAAAGTCTTCCTTATTTGATGAGATACTTCATTTACATAGTAAAACCAAACAAAAACAAAAACAAACCACAGCATTCTTAATAGTTACTATTTTCTTGCTGTCTCTGTTTTCTTTTGTTTTTAAATAAGACTAGACATAGTAGTTCCCTCTTCTGTGCTCCTATATAATGTTTATAACTGCATAATAGAACAAAAAAATGTGTTTTAGTTACTTGTGTGTATGTTTGCCTCTTCTGGAATACTGAGAGCTTTTTGAGGTTACAGATATATCCTGTGCTTTTTCTTTGCATAGCACATAACATAAAGTCCAATACATAATAGGTAGTCAATAATGAGCTTAAGTAAATGAATTGCCTCTGATTTGTGTATGATAGTTGGAATGCCTCAAGATTTTTAAATCGTCTGCACATTGATATCATACTATCAACAGATCTTTTGCTGTTAAATGTTCAGTAACTATCAATAATAGTTCATAATGCTCTAAGCAATACCGTCTAACAATATAGCTGAATTTGGCATACCCAGATACTTAGTTTTGTACTTTTTGGTGTGACAGAGACTGCACATATGCACTAAAATCCATTGCCATTTCCCACTGGGCACACACACACACACACACACACACACACACAAATACATTTTCTATCACACTTTGCAATTAAATATGGCCATATGACTTAATTGTGACCAACAGAATGTGGGCAGAAAAGATGTTAATCAATTTCAGGCCCATTTTATCACAATATCCCACAAGTGATCCTTGTTGTTTTTTTCCATTTGTCCCTGAAAAGGGAAGGATCCCAGAACCTATAATGCAGCCTTAGGATAGAGATCAGATTAAGGAAATAAGTATTCACAAATATTATTTCAGATAGCCTCATGGAGGCTGATAGATGAGGTTGGAACAATGAAGGTTCAGGTCATGTTGTTTCATGGCAAAACATATGGTAAAACCACTTCATACATTAAATAGAAAGGCACAACACACCTCATGAGCCTATAAGCCTGTAGTTTTTGGACGTGAGGACAAGAGATTGATATGAGAGTAACAGTGCCTATTTGCTACTATTGGCCTTTCTTAGCAATGTATTACAAGAAAGAGATGAGCACAGACAAAAACAGACTTATTTTGAAGCAGAAATTGAAATGGATATGTATCCAGAGATCAATAACTTTTAGAGTTAATAAACCTGAGTGCTTCTGCATCCTAATTAAGATAAATTGAAAAAGGCTCTGAATGACAACAATCAAATAAAATTATTGTTAAAAAACAGACAATTTAATATAAGGATTAGACTAAGGAAACAGTATTCAAAAATATTATTTCAGATAGCTTCAGGGAGGTTGGGAGTGGCTTAGAATGGTGTATATGAGGAAGCAAAAAATAAATCAGTCATGAGAATTATCACATTGAGAAAACTTCAAATGTAGTTATTGGCACATGTAATTGACTAGAAACAAGACAATTTCAATGTCTGTTAGTTTGGGGAAAATTGTTTCCCTAAGGATTCTATGAGCATGGACTGAAAGTATTGACTTCTTAAGCTTTAAGATTAGTGCTGGGTCCCCCAGCTTTTATCAGCACCAAACATAATCTCCAATCCCACTTCCTGAAGGTCATGGGAAAGATAGACAAAGAAGAATCTCTCAGAGGCTGGAATCAGTAACCATGGAGAACAGTGAAGAAAGGAGATTCTAGGGAGCATAATTTAGGAATAAACGAAAGATTTTTTCCCAGCCAAATAATAGGACCCTTAATATGTGCCTAACATGATTTCAAAATTGCTATGGTTCAGTAACAGCTGCATGCCTCTCATTTTTTCCTTTACCAAACAGGTGTCTAAAATGTTTTCCCGTATCTATGTATCTTCCCTGCATGGTATATGTATGCATGTGTGTGTTTGTTTGCATGTGTGTGTGTGTGTGTGTGTGTGTGTATAAATATATATCATTTGTAGGCTCAAAGAAGCCACTTCAATTCTGGTCTAGAGAGATGAGCATCACTCAAGGATGCTGGACTTTAAGTTTTCTGCAATGACTTGTTGGGACCTTTAGTTTTCCACCTTCAGAAAGGACACCCGTGTGTTCCATGTGTGGCAGGAAAAATGGAATAGATGTTTGGTGAACAAATGGACAGAATTGGCACAGACTGACTAGCTCTTCATCAAATGTATTTTCTTCATGTCCCAAGCACATAGATAGACTATATTTCCTAACTTCCACTGTACTTAGGTATAGCCACATAACTGAGTATTGTCAATGAAAATATAGGTAGAAATAATTTTCACTGCCTCCAAGCCTGGTGCATAAAACCACACACACAAAAGCCTCTCTCTGTTTCTTCATGTATTAACCGGACAGGGAAGGCTTTCAAGCTCAGTAGGAAGGCAGATGCAGAAGATGAAAGGAGCCTAAGTCCCTGAATAGTCACTTAGAGGATTGCTCTACCAGAAACTCCCAATGTTAATAAGAGATAAACTTATTATTTAGTTAAGTCATTGATATTTGTAGCTTTTCTCTTACACTCCATGTTAAGCAGAATGATGACACACCCTCAAAGATGTCCACTTCCTTATCTTTGGAACTTGTGAATATATTAAGTTATATGGCTGAATGGGGGAAATTAAGGTTGTAATGGAATTTAGGTTGCTTGACAGCTGATATTAGAAGAGAGGGGTTATCCTGGGTTATCCACGTAGGCTCGATGTAATTACACGGCCCTTAAAAATGGAAGAAGGAGCAGCAGAGGAGATCACAGTGATGCCATATCAGGACTCAACTCACTGTTGCTGGCTCCGAAGATGGAAGATTGGGGATAAAAGCCAAGGAATGCAGGTAGCCTCTAGGATCTGGAAAAGACAAGGAAATGGATTCTTCCTTAGAGTCTCCAGAAGGGAAGGTAGCCCAGCCAACACCTTGATTTTGGTCCAATGAAAAACACTTCAGACATCTAACCTAAGAGCAAGAAGATAATAAATTTGTATTATTTAAGCCTCTAAGTTTGTGGTAATTTGCTACAGCAGCAATAGAAAACTAATACACAGCCATTAACATTACATTTATAAGTTTAAATTAAATGGCATTGTATAAATCCCTCATGCATCTCCTCCTTTCAGCCTATCAAAACATACTCTCAGATTGTTAGTTCATACTCTGTATAAATGCCTAAATAAGATAAAATTAATACCTCCCAAAGAGATTTGAACTTCAAGGGGAAATCAAGTATTACAGTTAATGCATAAATCTCTACCAGATGGAAATTCAGTCTGGCCTAGAGACTAGGAGAATTATTATTACAGCTAAATGGCAACATATAGTTCTCTTACTTTACCTTCCAATGTTTCAGAACCATGCTTTCTCTGATTTTAGATTACCATTTGTTAAAGAGTAAGGAAGATGGCTGGGCGCAGTGGCTCACGCTTGTAATCCCAGCACTTCTGGAGGCCGAGGCGGGTGGATCACCTGAGGTTGGGAGTTTGAGACGAGCCTGACCAACATGGAGAAACCCCGTCTCTACTAAAAAAAAAAAAAAAAAAAAAAAATTAGCTAGGAGTGGTGGCACTTGCCTGTAATCCCGGCTACTCAGGAGGGTGAGGCAGGAGAATCACCTGAACCTTCAACCCAGGAGGCAGAGGTTGCAGTGAGCTGAGATGAGCCATTGCACTCCAGCCTGGGCAACAAGAGCGAGACTCCGTCCAAAAAAAACACACCAAAAAACAGAATAAGGAAGCTACTAAAACTGGGGAATTGAGCTCTAGGATATCTAAGCTACAACAGAGATGGTTTATCTGAAAACAAAAATTACTTAACCACTCTAGCTTGTTTTCCTTTCTCCAAGATGAAAGGCATTAGAGTTATACTAACTGGCCTGGTAGATCTCTGTCTGTTCTAAGCTGCTGTAAAGCAGATGAGTCTATATTTCTCTAATGGCTCCCACGCAAATTAGTTTATTAGCAAATATAAATTTTTACATGTTTGACTTTTTCCCACTCTAATTGTTCTTATGACTGATATCCAACTAAGAAGAAATGTGACAATAGTGGGTAGTGACAGAATGACCATTTAGGTATTAAAATTCTTTCTTCACTTAATTGTCAACTGGTTAGGAGAAGTGGGATAACTTTCTCTTCTGACGGAGGGAAAAAATGACCAAGGTATTGTAAAGAAAGTTTAATCAGCAGACATCAGACTTGGTTGGAATCATACACATGGTAGTAACAGTCAAGCAAAGATGGAGGAAAGATAATAGACAGCATCTGGGAAATGGTACTGAAAAAGAAGTGGGACACAAAATCTCCATTAGCAGAGAGACAACAGTAGTCTTTTTGTGTGGTTTACTGTTATAAAATTCTGAATAGGAATTCTGTTTCACAGCTGTTAAAAGAGAATTGAAATACAACTGTGTCCAATAATTGAAAAGCAGCTGTTCATTCGCCATGTCTAAAAACAATTGTATAGGAGAAATTGGCTTGGCAGTACAGCAAAAAAAAAAAAAAAAAAAGTGTAATTATTTTTAATTGCCAAAGTGGGGAAGCAATCTGACAGTGGAATAGGACATTGTATGACATCATGAAATCTGCTTTTCTGAGAGTTGAAAAATGGTTAACATTTTCTCTGCCTGATGTGCTATCCGAAGGCAGGAAGGAGTCCCAGTTCATCCCTTATAGGCCCTTAGAGAGAGCATTGTGATGCCAGTTTCCTTTTTTTGTCTATTTTTCCTCCATATATGTACACATATTGTGCACATAACTGATATGTTTTCTTAAGACTTCCCTTTACAGTAACTATTTCCCACTCTGCTGCAGACTAACAAAAACAGAAAACTAAAGGGAAATCAGTGTGAGTCCTGAAAGTTGTGTCCTGCAGTAGGGATTCTGCATAAAACACAAAGAGAGGACACAAAATACGCCACTTTTCAAGTCACATTTACAAAAGGCTTCTCTTTTATCATAATTCACTCGCCAAAAATATAATTGGACAGTCCTTTAGCATTCTGCAGTATTTCTCAGCACCAGCAAAGAGACAGTAAGGAATTTTTCACCAAGAGCCATGAGTAAAGAGAGCTTGTAGCCTTCTACAAGGATCTGGTTGCTCTGAATGGTCAAGTAATCGTGGGAAGTTTATTGTCAATGCCCGGGTAGCAACTCTTTCAACTATGTGATGATCCGCTTTTTTGCTTGCTTTCTATTAAAAAACTGTATTTGATTCTGTGCAAATTCATAAACCAAACACAAAATTCAGGGGTTAAAGAAAACAGTTCTGTAAACAGATGAGACAGACATGCTAATACATTGGAAACATGCTATTTAAATTCAGACTAGTTAAACAGGATGCCCTTTTGTCACTGACCAAATTGTTAAATTGGTGCCTTGGCAAGAGCCTTTTGTACTCTGAAGATTCCCGGGATCCAAACCTCTGTGGTATTAAAACAAACAGAGTAAATATTTTCCTTGAAGTTTACATCCAAGATCTAAATATTTCCAAGCATGTCAAACTCACTTTTCTCCACCGCTCCCTGCAGGGTCCGTGTAGACTTCGGCTGCCAAAGAACCCAGTTGAACTTGCCTTGGGAGGGGCTCCATCCCTGAAGACAAGCAAAGCTCAGAGCCAGAAGCAGGGTGTCTTGCAGCTGTGCTGCTCTGCTTGGCAGAAGGAACTCACGCAGCAGCAGGTGTGCTATCTGCTGACTTCAACACACAGAGACGGGGAAGGCTCTGTCCTTGCTGCTTGCTCCCTAAGCTTGAATATCTGCCATTCCCTTTTACCTATTTGCAGAGAAGTGCCAAGAACCTACCCCGGAAAACCTGCATTTCTCTTCATTAGCTTTAAGTGTGCAAGTCAGCTTTCTAGCTACATAACTTCTAGCTACATAACTTAAGCTAGTTGCAACTGCAAAATAAAGTGATTCCTCTGCAGAATCTAGCAGAGAATATTAACAAACTCTGTTTCTTCTCTCTCTCCCTTGTTTCATATTGTTTTCCATCCAACATGCAGCTGAAGTTCTCTTAGAAAGAGACTACAAAGAACCACAATTGAGTACCACATCAGTATTTTTTTTGGACCTTGTATCTTGGGGACTTACTCTGAAAGTGTCCCAGCATAATCGCGAAGACAATGCTCTGCTCTTTCTTTTTTTTTTTTTTTGGTAGTTACTGACAGTAAATTTTCAAACTGCCATCTCAAATTCAGTGTAATTGAACTCAACCAGAAATAATGAATATAACTGTGGGTATCAATACCTTTGCCTTTAAACTCAGTGAGGTACTTCAAAGTACCTCATCCCACCTCTAAGAAATGCACTTACATTTACCTGGAGTTACCTAATATAAATGAGCCCAGTGCTGCACTGGCCAGGCCTTCCTTCACTGAAGAACTTGTTGCTCTTCAGCTGTTGGCAGATGGCCATAAGCTGGCTGCCCTTCCAAGGATTGCCTCTGTTACAGAGAGCAGCCTTGCCCAAGGACACATCCCTTTGCAGGGAGCCCACATCCAAAAACTGATCAAGGAGGGAGTGTAAGGGCCTGTTCATTGCAAATCAACCTGAGAAAATGCTGAAGGGTCATTCTAGCTCTAGAAATCTCTATGAGATTCCCTGAAGCTGTGATGGGTCTCCGTGGAAGCTCAACTTCTTTCTCTGCCCTGTCTGCTTCCTTCCCCTAACTCGAGAGGTGTTGAATCCAAGGATGCACCTTAATTAACATAACGAGCTCTTAATTTCATCTCAGATTCGGCTTCCCAGGAACCCTAATCTTTGCCACATAGGCTCCTACAAAGCCCATTTTGGGGGGAGTCATGTCTGCATTTGATGCAGGCATCCAACCAGTCAAGTATTTGATTAAATAGGTACAATGTATAAATTTATATCCATAGGAAAATGAGGAAGGAATATTTACTTCTATCTTGGTAGAATATATAGTCAAGTTAGAGAGTTAGCATAAATATATGAAAACGTAACTCATTATATAACAAATGATAAGTATCCAATGGTTACATGGCATTGGGACTTATCAGAAGGGAAGATTGGTTTTAGGACAAACTAGTTGCTGGTTCTTTCAGGAGCAGTAAGTTTATTGTAACCCATTATTATCTGCAGGCTGTTCTTCTATGAAAGTCATCCCATCAGGACATACAAGAGTCTTCACCCTAGAAATGAGATTGATTCTGAGTAGCCTTCCTGCTGCTCTGTACCTCATGGTGAAACTGTCAGACAATTCACAATGGCAGTAGGTAAAAAACATACTTCCATAAATACTTTTTCCATGAGATCTGCTATCGTTGACCCTCTTCTTCCTGGGTTGCTTAGGTTCCCAGGGACTCTCCACTTTCCCCCTTCAAACTCCAAAGCATTGACCCATAATGAAGGTGCCTTGCCCCTCTTCTGGCTGAGCTGGTTTGCAGGGTTGGCCCTGCCAATCCAAATCCCCAAAGCTGGGTCTTGCTCTCACCTGTCTTGACTTTGCCTTTCTTGACATCTTCATTGTTTCCATTTCTACTTCTAAGTTCTCATCTCCATTTTGCCCCTTCTAGATTCTATCAACCTGCTGTGATCTCCCATCTCCTATGTAGAACTAACAGAATTTGCTCTGCCTTTTTACAAAATCACAGTCCAACATGGAGGCCTTGGGCAAATCATTTAATCTCATTCATCTTCAGTAGTCTCATTTACAAAATGAGGATACTAATTCCTACCTCCTGTAGATGAGAATGATAATGATTAATGAACTGACTTGAAAGCAGGAGTCTCCTGGGAAGAAGTAAAAACAAAACATAAACATAAAATCCTTGCCAAAACCATTACCTAGATTTACTGTATACCAAGCACTGTGTAAAGTGTTATATCATAATATATAACCCTCCAGTAGAAATTCCAAGGAACTGTGACAAAAAGTTGTGTCACTTGGGAATTAAAATGTGATTTATCTTTGGTTACTCTGACTCTATTCCAGGTGTAATCTGAAACAACACCCTGCCCATTCTTGCACAAGATCTCTTTCCTTTCTTTTTCATTCTCAATCCTACCCCATTCTAAGTTAAGCCTTAGCAATTTATAACCCGTCTAAAATGCTGCCTAATTGATTTTCATGACTCTGATTGAATGTATCTGCATAATTCCCTTGCCCCCTCAGGCTTGGAGCCAGGTGGAGAATAGTTTCAGGAGGGCAGTGTCCTATCTGCTAGGATGGGGCTCTTGTTATCCATAGTAGAAATAATAGCAACAAGACCTGAAGTAGTATCCTGGAGCAAGGCCACCATCAAAACTGTGATACAAAACAAGATTGCTAATCTGAGGAGGACATAAAGCATAAAACATGGGCCAATACTAAATCAAAACAGAGCATAAATAAGGACAACCAATGAACAAGCTATATCTAAACACATATGAAAAGGTTAAGTGGGAACTGTTTTTAAAGTGGAGAATATATGACTTTTTAAACACTTGCAAAAGCCACACAACCATCATTACAACCTAATTTCAGAACATTTTTAATCACCTCAAGAAAAAAAACATATCCATGAGCAGTCACTCCCTAGTTCCCCCTCGCTCCAGCTTCTGGCTATCCCTACTCTACCTTCTCTCTCTGTACATTTGCCTATTCTGGACAATGTGCTTCGACTTCTAGTTGGCATTGTTCTGCCGGATGTATTGAAAGAAATTGAAATGTGGTGCATTCTTTCCTGTACACCTCCATCGATAATTCGCGTCATATCTTACTCCAATTTTGCTATCCCTTTCATCAAGATTTTAACACTCTCTTCTCTTCCCTTCCTCTCCCCTTATACAACTGTTTCCGTTGCTCTTTGGTTTGAGGTTAAGATGCTTCAGCCTAAATTCCATCCAACAATTTTGCGCCCCCCTACTTCCACATGTGCCCTTTAATAGGAATCCCAAGTTTACATATTATTTACGACTAGATCTAATGCCACCTCCTCCACCATGTTTCCCTAGATCAATCCAAGAAGTTAGCTCTTTTTCTTTTATGATCTCCATCTCCTAGAGGACTCTGCACCATTCCTTGCTGGGTACAAATATGCACTCCTCTGCTGTAATTATTCCTCCCCCTTGACTGTAAGTTCCTTGATTAATGGTACCATGTTTCTTTCTCACCCACAGTGCTGACACATTGTGAACAATAGTAAGTGCTTGCTGAATAAATATACAAATAAAAAGGAAATCGCATGAAATACCCAATGTAACCCCCACTTAGATAAGTGTTACATAGAATTCTGGAATTAAAGACCAAGATAATACCGATTACCATATAACAAATACAGTGATTTGTCTAGATACTTCTAAACTTTGGATACAATAAAATGCGTTAGCGAGCATTATAAATTGTTGGAATACACTTAAAGGCACCTAAATTAATGGGAAACTTGTAACTTAAAAATAATATAATCATTAATTTTAAAGTGAATGAAGACCATTTGCCCAGTGACTTCAGATTGTTATTCTACTGAGATTTAGATTTTGATAAAAATTTGTAATGAAGAATCTGTATTCAATAGTTTCTCCCTTCTTTTCAAGCTATCTTCTTCAACCCCTCCATTCTATTTCCCTTATGTGAAAATGATAATAAATTGCCATAATAATTCTTCCCATATACACACAAATCCACTTATAACCTTCATTTTTCTCAACACAATTTGTCAGCCTGTCTTCCCAGCCAGTGTGTTTTGAAAGTGTGAAGTTCACCCAAACAGGTTTCTTTCTTTTGACACACATCTTAAAATGTCATTGATTAATTTATTGTGCAAACATTTAATGGAAATCCTGTCTTGTGTGAAGCACAGTGTTATAAAAAATTAATATGCTGAGGCCTCTGTCTTTATGGTTCACATGGTTTTGTAGTGGATCAAGATGCCTAAACATAAGTTAAAGAGAGATGCATGCAGAAAAGAGGTTTAGGTAAAGTGTCTGTGAGTTCAGAAAGTGTTTGGATGGTGAAACAATTGAGCTGTAATAAAACTGTCTTTTGACATGCTTGCTTTTATCTGATAGACACTATGAATCTGATCGATTTTCCTTTTTGGTCTGCCTGCTAGGAATCTCAGAACCATTTTTTGTGGTCCACCTTTAACTATAGTATAATTTGACCTACGGTATAAATTTCATGCATCAATGGAACCCCTTACTTTTTCTTATTTTGCCACTTTAATTTTTTCTTTGTCTACTTTTTGGTTTTTATTTATTTTTACTTTTATGTCTCTCTTCAAGCTACATAAAATACGTGTGTGTGTATGTGTGTGTGTGTGTGTGTATATATATATATATATATATATATATATTTTTTTTTTTTTTTTTGGAGATGGAGTCTCGCTCTGTCGCCCAAGCTGGAGTGTAGTGGCGTGATCTCGGCTCACTGCAGCCTCCGCCTCCCGGGTTCAAACAATTCTCCTGCCTCAGCCTCCCAAGTAGCTGGGACTACAGGCGTGCACTGCCACACCTGGCTAATAAATACATGTATGTATATTTTTAATGAGGTGAGACATAAGTACTGACTAAAAATAATTCTGAAAAAGGCATACTAAAGAGAGCTATAGAATTGCTTGATTGCTTGACCCTCTTCACTCTGAGTGTGTGTGTGTGTATATATTTGCACCTGAGACTGGGCAATTTACAAAAGAAAGTGTACAAAAGAGAGTTTAATGGACTCACAGTCCCACATGGCTGGGGAGGCCTCATAATCACAGTGGAAAGTGAAAGGCATGTCTCACACAGCGGCAGACAAGAGAAGAGAACTTGTGCAGGAAAACTCCCCTTTATAAAACCATCAGATCTCATAAGACTTATTCGCTATCACAAGACTAGCAAGGGAAAGACCTACCTCCGTGATTCAATTACCTCCCACCGGGTGCCTCCCACAACACATGGGAATTGTGGGAGCTACAATTCAAGATGAGATTTGGGTGGGGACACAGCCAAACCATATCATTAATTTTGTATAAATTTAAGGGGTACAAAAGCAGTTTTGTTACATGTATAGATTCCATAGTGGTGAAGACTGGACTTTTAGTGTAACCACCACCTGAATAATATACATTGTATACATTAAGTAATTCCTCATTCATCACCCCCATCCCATGCCCCCACCCTTCCAAGTCTCCATTGTCTATTATTACACACTCCATGTACATGTGTACCCATTATTTAGACCCCACTTACAAGTGAGAATGTGCACCTCCACATATGGCTTTTTTTTTTTTTTTTTTTTTTTGGTGGGATGACATCTCACTATGTTGCCTAGTTTGGTCTTGAACTTGTGAGCTCAATTGATCCTCCTGCCTTAGCCTCCCAAACTGCTAGGATTACAGGCATGAGCCTTCATGCCCAGCCCCACATTTTCTTTATCTACAGTTTTATTCTATTGTGATGGTTAATATTGAGTGTCAATTTGATTAGATTGAAGGATGCAAATTATTGTTACTGAGTGTGTCTGTGAGGGTGTTGCCAAAGGAGACTAACATTTGAGTCAGTGGAATGGGAGAGGCAGACCCATCCTCAATCTGGGTGGGCACCATCTAATCAGCTCCAGCATGGCTAGAATACAAGCAGGCAGAGGAACCTGAAAGGACTAGACTGGCTGAGTCTTCTGGCCTCCATCTTCCTCGCATGCTAGATGCTTTCTGCCCTTAAATGTCAGACTCCAAGTTCTTCAGCATTTGGGCTCTCAGACTTACACCAGTGATCTGTCAGGGGCTCTCAGGTCTTCAGCCACAGACTGAAGTCTGCACTATTGGCTTTCCTACTGATGAGGTTTTGGGACTTGCACTGGCTTCCTGGCTCCTTAGCTTGCAGCCGGCCTATTGTGAGACTTCACCTTGTGATCGTGTGAGTCAATTCTCCTAATAAACTCCCTTTCATATATTCATCTATCCTACTAGTTCTGCCCCTTTAGAGAATCCTGACTAATACAGCTATCTGTTATCTGTTGACAGAAACTTAGGCTGATTCCATACCTTTGCTATTGTGAATAGTGCTTTGATAAACATACAAGTGCAGGTATCTTTTTCCTTTGGGTAGATACCTGGTAGTGGGATTGCTCGATCTAATGGTAGTTATATTTTTAATTCTTTGAGAAATCTCCATACTGTTTTCCATAGAAGCTGTACTAATTTACATTCATTAAAATGATCATACTGCCCAAAGCAATCCACAGATTCAATGCAATTTCTATAGAAATACCAACATCATTTTTTTACAGAATTAGAAAAAACAATCCCAAAATTGATATAAAAACATAAAAGAGCCTGAACGAGCAATTATTTTTTTCTGTCATCATATCTTTCAGCTGAAAACTGCAAAGGTTATTAATTAGAGAGGAAACACTTTTATATACTTATTCATGGTGTACTGATTCAGATAGCCTAATTTGAATTGTTTGGTGTAATCATAAAGACATATTTGAATGAAAAGCAAAATAACCAATTCTAGGACATGAAAACACTAAATATGCTATCTATGCTCACTTTTTCTAGCACTCAAATACTAATCTGTATAAAGTTAAATTAATCAACAAAAGGTAACCTATGTAAAAGGAAAAGGTAATATATATAGATGTAATTTACATTAATGTCTCTTGAGTGAATCATTGAGTAAACAATGTTTTCTGAGTCGACGTTACTATTTAGAGTACACTGGCTAGATATTTTGCATACATTATTCAATATAATGCCCAGATCAATCTTAAAGGCATATATTATTATTCTCATCTTAGAGAGAATAAACTGGGTTATAACGAAATTTATAATAGTAATAGAAGCCCTGTTCTCAATGTTTTGCATGAGTTAATTCTTTAATCCTCTCACAAAACCAATGTGGTCAGATCTATTTATTTTTATTCTCATTTTATAAATGAAGAAATAAGGAACAGGGATATTACATAAATCACCCCAGGCTATACAGTTAGTCATGGAGCTGGGTTCAAACCCCAGCAGTCTGACTCCAGAGTGTTTACCCTGAACTAAGTAATTTCCCCAAACTGATTTTACTAAACAAATGGTAGACATTCATGTTTTACACTAAAATTTATACCATGCTGCCTCAGGATTCAGTTCAAACCACACACCTACTGTCTACATCTTTTCTGTTGGTTTCAGACAGAATTCGTTACTTCTTTTCCTGGGTTTCCCTAGAGATAGATAGATAGAAAATAGATAAGAGATAGACAGATAGGTATAAAAAATAGAATAAATACAAGTATACATGAACAGCACTTTCTATATTTTCTTTTAATATGTATATGTACTTTTTTAAAATAAGATTTCCTTAAATGTAGGGATTACTTAAGAATGAAATCTCTCTTTTAAAATTAAATATATTTTAAAAATATAAATAAGTCAATGAGTGAATAAAATAAAAACTTCACAACATTTACATTTGGCGCATTAAAATTTCATCAGTACCTGAAATTCTGCAATGAAAGATTTATTATTTTGGCTTAAATCCTTTTATCGCTTGGAAAGAAAAGATTCTGACAAGAATTGCTATATCAATTCATATCTGTCTTTAATGTTTTATTATAAACACATTTACTAGACCTTTTCCTAAGAATAATTTTGATGACACAGAATACAGACAGAACAAGAACACACTACATCTTTCATAAGGTCACCAGAGAGAACCACGGAAGGAAGTTAGGGACAATTGAGATGGATACCAGAAAATTAATTTTGAAAACTAGAACTTTTGGGAGGAAATCTCGACTTATTAACATTCTCAAATCTTATCCAAAGAAATATTATCTACAGATAAAATCCTTCTCTGAGTAAGGAAAGTAAGGAATGACAAATTGGGGGGGTGTTAGGTAGGTTAAAGTCAACAGACTCATAAGATTTCAAGTTGTTATAACCTGTACTGTCCAAACCTGGCCTGGGCAACAGAATCAGCTGTGGGCACTTGAAAAGAATATCTTACCTTTGTCCCAATAAATTTCATTTGAATCTCTATATGTTAAAAAAAATAAAAATATGGCCGGGCACCATGGCTCACGCCTGTAATCTCAGCACTTTGGGAGGCCGAGGTGGGTGGATCACGAGGTCAAAAGATTGAGACAATCCTGGCTAACATGGTAAAACCCCGTCTCTACTAAAAATACAAAAATTAGCTGGGCATGGTGGTGCATGCCTGTAGGCCCAGCTACTTGGGAGGCTGAGGCAGGAGAATTTCTTGTACCAGGGAGGTGGAGGTTGTAGTGAGCAGAGATGGCGCCACTGCACTCCACCTGGCAACAAAGCAAGACTCTGTCTCAGAAAACAAAAACAAAAAACCCAAAAAACCCCAAAAAACTCCTCCATGTGATTCTAACATAAGAAGTTTGGTGACAGAAAGCAGACCTATGTTTACACACCAATGTTTTAGACTGAGCATCACCAACCTCTTATTGATAGTCTATCCAACATGGACTGGGGGTGGACTAACTCTTCAAATATCTCTCCAACCTTCTAATGTCAATTTCAAGCCATCAAGACCCATGGTAGTGGTAGTGTTGGTGATATATGTGGCACCAGGGCCAGCCTCATGGGCATGCAACCTGTGCAGTCACACAGAGCCCTATAGTTAGAAAGGTCCTGTGCATGGTCTAATGATCTACTGTCACTATTTTTGGAATTCTTAATTTTAACAAAGGCCCTCTCTCTCTCTCTCTCTCTCTCTCCTTCTCTATTTTATTTGTTGCATTAGGCCTCACAATTACATAGCCAATCTAGGTGGCTCTCATTAAAGGGTAGGGGGATAGGTGGAACATTGGTGGACAATAATCATTAGCAAATTTTTGATCCAATTAATTAGATGAACAATGCAGTCACTAGTTAGGTGTTACTACATATCCAGAGGATTCTTGAGTGAGTCAGTTCATTTAGCGGACTTTATCTTGATCTTCAGAAAGAAAAGAGAATATTGGAGTAGATGACCCCTAATACCCTACCCAGTTCTAGTACTGTGGCAGAAATTGCTGTATGTTCAGCAAAACCTGTTTCCTTTTATTCCTCGACATACAGCAAGACTACATGTCCCAGCTTCCCTTGCAGATAAATGTTGCCATGTGTATTAATTCGTTGGGGCTGCTATAACAAAGTATCACAGACTGATACTGTGTTAAGCAAGAGAAATTTATTTTCTCACAATTTTGGAGGCTAGAATTCTCAGATCAAGGTAGTGGAAGGGCTGGTTGGTTTTTTAAGGTCTCTCCCCTTGGCTTGTAGATGGCTGACTTCTACCTATGTCTTCACATTGTCTTTCCTCTGTACCTATCTGTGTCTAAATTTCTTCTTCTCAGGACACGAGTTATATTGAATTAGGTTCCACCTAATAACTTCCATTTTAACTTAAGTACCTCTTTAAAGGCCCTATCTCCAAGTACTGTACAGTCATGTTTTGAAGTACTGGGAGTTAGGACTTCAACATATGACCCTGGGGGAATAAAAGTCAACCCAATACATCATACAATGGAGTTTTGACCAATAAAACATGGGCAGGAGTCACAAATACTACTTTCAGTTCAATTCTACGTACACATTATACACACAGTCCTTTAGTCTCTTTTTCCCTTTCCAGATGACCAGGATAGAGACCACCCTCTGGGCAATCTTGGAAGCCATGTGGTAAAGCCACACAATGGAAGGATCCTGGATCCCTGAGTCACTACTTGGAGAAGAGCCACTCCACCAGAAATGCCCACACAGAAATATGATATGAATGAGAAGTAAGTGATTATTGTTTTAAGCTCTGCAATTTGGGGGATTTTGTGTTATAACAGCTATACTATTATAGCTAAAATAATCAATCAATGAGGATTCAGAGAAACCAAGGTATCATATTTGCTTTACCTCAGGTAAGCAATTACTAGTTAATAAGCATTTACTCAGTGTTCAGATCTGTTCTCAGTGCTGTAAATTACAAAGAAATAGAAAGCACAGTGTCTGATTTCAATATTGCTTGTAAGGCACAGACCATAAAGACACCATTAAATGCTGAAGTGTGGAGAAGTACCTCTCTATTTGACAGTTTTTTAAAGTAGTTGATCTATGAAGGCTGAAGGATGAGCCATGAAAGGCTTCATTTGATAAGTTGAACTTTGACCTTCAAGGTAGCCTGGGAGGGATTTAGATAAGTGATGGGTATCCCAGCAGGGAGGATGATCATGAGCAGAAAGTCAATGTAAAAAAAAAAAAAAAAAAGCCAGGCATCAGTGGGAAATTGTGAAAATTCTGCCCAACAGAAGCAGAGAATCCTGCTGAGCTGTGCTGGGTAATAAAGAAAAGCAAGTCCCAGCCAGACTCAGGACAGACTAGAGAGCTAGGTAATTATTTTAAGCTGGTTTACTTCAGTACAATCCAGCCTCCAACTTGATTGGGAAAATCCTTCAGAAAATTATCATGTCTTTTTCTTTTGAGCTTTTACTTGGTGTCTTTTTCCCTTGGGCACTTTTTTTCTAGAGTCTGTGAACAGACACTAGGAGAGAGTTATAATGCACATCCCCCTTTCCCCCTCCCAAAATGGCTTATGATCTCACTTGTCTTTTGTTTTTATTATTTTTATTCTGCTATCAGTCTAGTTTCTCACTCACATTTTAATCTTAGGGGTTTTACAAAACTTTTCCTTATTAGAAATGAATTCCTCCCTTTCCTCATAGATAATGCAACTGGGGTTAATTTGGAATTCTTAAATAAAATATTGTCATCATCATCATCACTCCTGGCTTCCATTGGTGGCTACTTTAACTGTCTTGCTTCCCTCTTCTATGGGCCATTTGTTAGAAGACTCCAGCCAGCATTTCCTGCAGCACTCAGTAATCCTACAGTAATAGTTTTTCCATTGAAAAATACCACCAAGTACAATATTTCCAATGGAAATACCGCAAGAACAGTGTTTCCACTGAGCATACCGCAAGTAGAGTGCTTTTGTGGTATCTAAATTTTGAGATGAACTCGTAATGCTCATCTTGGATTCATTATAACTACAGCCCCTACTCTCTGGAAAGCACTGAAACAGGGATGGAATTTTTATTTGTAGTTAAAAAAATTCAATAAAAATAAAAGTTAGGTGATGCCAAGACAATTTTGCACTTGCTTATGTGAGTAAAATATAAATAGATTTAGCAAGTAAAAGAAGGGGGAAAAACTTTATAAAAATGTGCAGAGAGGATTAACAGCTGGCAAAGCAAGGATATGTGTATATGTGTGTGCGTGTGACAGATAACATTTAAAACAGCTCAGCAGCTGGGAAAGCAACAACCTGTAAAAACACTTAACATTTACAGCCACTCAGTGGCTGGAAAACCAACTTCTCATAAAATCGATTTAACATTTTTGTCGCTGGTGAAGACATTTAATGCATGCATGTTTATATATCTGTGTTTATACTGCAGCCCCATGGACTTCAGTGGGTTTTAGTAAATCATAAACTGGAAGAGAACATTTGAAACTATGGAGGGCATATAATATTTTTGCACCATTGGTCAGAACAATGACTATCAACACACATAGAGCTCTGTTAGATATGTTGGTAAGTGTGCCTAGAGTCCAATCAATGATAGTCTCTTTATTAACTTTTGTATTTGTACCATCTCACTGATCTGTAGTGCCCTACTTTAAAAAGTCATTTTAAAAAAAATTCCAGTTGGAAGCATTTTCTTATTTTCCAGGAGTTTAAGAGTAAGCCTCTTAGATCCTGATCTGCCTGCAGTTTGGCAAACAAAGTTATCTGTCAGGATAGTCCAATTTTTTCATTTCCCTTGTTATGTCTTAAATCAATTCAGTTAAAGAGAGTTACAATTTTCTTTTTTTTTTTTCTTTCAGCTGGTTTGGTTTGGTTTGGTTTAGTTTTGTTTTTTCTCTGGTTAGTTCCAGGTAATGAATTCAATTACCAACTGGTCAAAGAGAATTTCTTTTTTTGGTGGGGTGGATAATTTTAAAAAGTAAATGGAATTTTTAAAAATGTTCTTAAAATTTCTAAAGTTAATAATTCTGGAGCAAGTAATACTGAAAAGATGCCAAAATGCTAACACATAGGCCACTATTTTATAGATATGTGACCTTGGAGATGGAAAAGTCACAACACCTTGAACCCTCAAGTTTCTATTTTTAGGATATAAATCATCGTACCTGCTTTTTACCCACATCTCCAGATCGTTTTGAGGCTCAAATGATATAATATGTAGAAATATGTTCAGTTGATGTCAAAGTACTAGCCATAAAATATTATTGTAAAAATTATTAATAAAACTGTAACTCTCAAGCTTCACACATTGAAAACTTAAGCACATTTTAAGTAAAGCTTAATCAGAATTACAATGATGTATATGGTTCTAGACTCCCATTAAGTGACCATTTATTTGTCCCTCTGGAGGATGAAAGTTAGAGAAACTGGAAAATTAAGAGATAGGTAATAGATTAGGTTTGTGAAAACATAATTACAGGTTTTGTCATATTAAAAGTAATGGCAAAACTCGCAATTACATTTGCACCAACCTAATAGATAAGCATAAAACGATTCACTCTAAATCCAGGTGAGCATTTTCATCTGCTTCCTTCTCTAACCAGAGCCCACCCCTGAACAGACGCATTCATGTGGACAATTGCTCATTCACCTATTTCACACCCATTTCATTTTACTTAAAAAATATTTTTTGTTGTTGTTTGGAGAGAGAATTTGTGTTTATTTACAACAGTGTTTTCTAAAAGCAACACTGAGAGGAATAAGATCCTAGACTATTGTAACATTTCACTGTGTTGGAGCAAGTATGATGGAGCTGCTGCTCTTCTTCTTCTCTTCTTCTTCTTCTTCTTCTTCTTCTTCTTCTTCCTCCTCCCCCTCCCCCTCCCCCTCCCCTCTCCTCCTCCTTCTCCTCCTCTTCTTCTTCTTCTTATTCTTCCTTCTCCTCCCCTTCCCCTCCCCCTCCTCTTCTTCTTCTTCTTCTTCCTTCTCCTCCTCCTCCTCCTCCTCCTCCTCTTTCTCCTTCTCCTTCTTCCAAGGATAGAACTAAACAAAAAAAAAAAAAAAAAAAATGGACGGCAAACTCCTTTCTCCTACAACTCACGGACTGGAACCCAAATGACATTGTTACATTTAGTGTTATGATCTTAACTAAGGTTTTTCCCCCTGAAAATGAATAGAAACCCTTTAACAGATAAATAGAGAATTGAAATTTCAATTCTAACAATTCCCTGAATTTCTAGGCCACTGACTTGTCCAGATTAAAAACATATAACTCATTAATGTTTAAAATATAATGGACATTAAGACTAGAACCTCTAATTCTAGCCAAGTATGCCCAAATCCAAATCCATCCCCCTTTTATTGGCTTTATAACTGAATTAGGTTCAAGTGGTACTACAAATAAAACATGTAAAGGAAAATAAAAGTTATAAAATGTTAGTCATTTGGGAGAACTCCATAGAAGCCTTAATCGCTTCTAATAGAGTGGAAATAAAACAAAGATTTGGAGAGAGCTGTTATTGAACTTGCCCATAACTTCAGAAAGATACATATTGTGTGTTCAAGAATAGGAATGCATTTAAACTTCATATCAAGAAAAGAGCAAACATTAATGCCTTAGTGGTGAAGTCTGGATATTTTAACCTCATAGAAAACAACAACAAAAAGAAGAATGTTTTAAAAAGTTTAAACTAGAAGGCTGTGAGCTAATGCCACAAAAAGTCTTAATGAATGCCTGGGTTCTAGGTCCTTAGGCAGAGTTTCCAGAGGACCCCAAGCTGCTATTCTTTCTTCCCTCCCTGGTGATATCCAAATAGCGCAGGTCAACCACAGACCCCAGCACTGCACAGTCATCCTTCCTGTGCATAAGTGGCAAGGCCTTTGATAATAAAGAAACATCCAGCTCGGAGTGGTGGCTCATGCCTGTTATCCTAGCACTTTGGGAGGCCAAGGTGGGCAGATCACTTGAGGTCAGGAGTTTGAGACCAGCCTGGCCAACATGAGGAAACCCAGTCTCCATTGAAAAAAATACAAAAATGAGCCAGAAATTGGTTGAACCTGGGAGGCAGAGGTTGCAGTAAGCTGAGATCGTGTCACTGCACTCCAGCCTGGGCAACAGAGTGAGACTACCTCTCAAAAGAAGAAGAAGAAGAGGAGGAGCAGGAGGAGGAGGAGGGGGAGGGGGAGGAGGAGGAAGAGGAGGAGGAGGAGGAGGAAGAGGAAGAGAAAGAGGAAGAGGAAGAAGAGATGTCCAAAGCTCAACAATTGTAAACAAGAAAAATCAAGAGCTACTACGGCAGAATCAGAAGGAAATGAGAATGGAGAGTCAGTAGCACACCTGGCCCCAGCTTCTTCCCATTCCACTGCTGCTAAGGCCAAAGAGAGCTTCCTTTAGACACACGAATGCATTAGGTAATGGGTTAATTATACTTAGGCTTCCTAGATAGATGTTATAAAATAGTATATTCTTGGAGAAGCTAAATTTAAAAGGTAGAGGAATATGGAAGATGGTTGTATCCTCTTATTGATACTTCTATGACTTAAGGGAAAATAAAACTGTCATTATAGACAGGATATAAGTAATCAATATTTGCTAATGATTGTAATTAGTTTAATATCCCACATCTCAAACGTAAAGCGTTCAAAAAAATCTAAATGGTGGCCAGACACAGTGGCTCATGCCTATAATCCCAGCACTTTGATAGGCTGAAGCAGGTGGATCACTTGAGGTCAGGAGTTTGAGACCAGCCTGACAAACCTGGTGAAACCCCATCTCTACTAAAAATACATTTGAAAAAATGTGCGTGGTGTGTTGGTGGGCACCTGTAATCCCAGCTACTCAGGAGGCTGAGGCAGGAGAATTGCTTGAACCCAGGAGGTGGAGGTTGGAGTGAGCCAAGATCACACCATTGCACTCCAGCTTGGGTGACAGAATGAGACTCTGTCTCAAAAATTAAAAAAAAAAAATCTAAATGGTAAATAAAATGTTATTGAACAAAACAGGCAATTTACCCACTTGATGGATTGTTCTTAATTTATATGGTATTACTACTGGCCAAAAAATTCAAAATAAGCGAAGTACAGAGAGGAAAGCAATTGGCAGTATAAAAATATGAGGATAAGAAACAGCAAGAGGCTGTAGTAAAGATACAGTTGGATCTGGGAGAGAAAAAAGGAGCTTAAAAAAAAGAAGAAAAGGGCAGGGGAGAGCAGAGGAGAAACTTCTGGAAAAAGATACTCTCTTGGCAAGATGAATGGAAAATAAAACTGCAGAATGAAAGACTGCTTAAAGAGCAGTCCCTAATCTTCTGCCAACACAGGCTAATTTGTATTTCTGGAACTAGCAGAAAGGATGTCAGCTGAAGCTCATGTTAGAGTCACCTTGCAGCAAATGTTCCACTGCACATGTGCATTCAAGAGGGAGTGGGACGAATTTAGGTTTCACAGAGTGAAGAATGACTTTAGGAACTCCAAACATCCCATTCCTGAGCTTCGACTTCAGAACATATGCTCTCGCTTTCTAATTGCACATAGGAAATAAAGAGAACAGGGTCTGGGCTGTCAATTAAAATCTAAATTTGGCTCCATGTGAAGAGAAATAGCAATCATCCAGCTGTAAATTCTTCTTTAATGAGGTATGAAGAACTAAGCTTGTCACCAAGAAAAAATTTCCAGTGGAGAATTCTAAGAATTGAAAGAGGTGAACAAGCTACACACACTCCAGATTACCATTCTCATTCTTCAATTTGTTTTGGTTACTGTGAAAAGGAATCGGTTTAGGTTCTTCTTTTTCCATATTGTTTTCCATGTCATGATAATGACTATTAGATTGTAGATCCCTAGAAAGTAACTCTTCCTTTAGTCTTTCTTTCCTCCTTTCTGCCTTTCCTTATGTGCTTCTTCTTTCTCCTGCCCTTCTTTACAGCTTTCTTGTAAACTTCATTGAAAGTATAGAAAAAACAGTTTGCTGAATTTTCACAAAATAAGCCTGTAAGTATAATCAGCACTCAGATCACAAAATAGGAAATTTCTAACATTGCAGAAGTTCTGGATGTCCCCTTCCAGTTACTACCAAAGGTCAACATTGTTCTGAGTTGTAATAACATAGATGAAATTTGCCTACATTTGAACTTTATAGAATGAGAAACACCTAGTCTATTTTCTTTTGGGTTTGGCTTCATTTTGTCTGGCATTATGTTTGTAGGCATAATCCACGTTGCTGCCTGTCACAATAATTTGTTCATGCTTATTCATTCTCTATTGTATGGATATACAGCAACTTTATTTATAGACTCTTCTATTAATAAAAATTATCATATACATTTTTTGGTGAACATGTGTATGTACATCTTTTGGGTATATACTTAGAGAAATATAATTGCTGAATTATAAAATATAATTTTCTCAGCTTTAATAACCATTTGAATGCCCTCTTTGTCAAGTTCTTATTCAAACCTTATTCTCACTTTTCTATTGTATTTTTGCCCTTTTACTCTCTTAATGGTTTATTTTGAATGAACAGAGTTGTAATTTAATGTAGGTTGATTTACCCACCTTTTCCCCGTTATGGTTAAGGAGGTTTTTGGGCCTGATTTTAAAAAGCTTTGCCAACTTGAAGATCACAAAAATACCTTCCTGTTTCTTCTTCTAGAAGCTTTATTTCATTTTAGATTTAGATCTACATTTCATCTAGAGTTGACTTTTGTGTACAGTGACTTTAGTGAGGTAGAGGGTGGAGTAGAGACAATTGCATTCACGTAGTTAGTCAGCTGGACAGAGAACTGAGGGCACCTGTGACGTGATGTAACTATTTGCTCCAGGGAATTCTTGCAAACCAATTTCTCCCTGAAAAATACTTTCTTTAAGTACGAGAGTACCTCTTCTGTCAGGATAATTGATTTCTTAACAGCGCAAGCAGCTCATGTATCAAAAATCAGTTTCCTTATCGAGACTTATTTCAAGCCTGTCTTTGTGTTGACCAATCCTAAACTCCTATGAATCTGAATTTTCCTAATCTCAGTCAGTTCCTAGTCTTGAAACGTCTTGCTTTAACCACTTAGACCCAAACCCAAAGTCCCAAATACTTCTCTCTGACTTTTGTCAAATAGAATCTAATAAACTTTGCTCAATCAGTGAGTTCTTTGATGGTCTTTTTAGGAGTTGACAACAGAGAAGAAAGATGTTTATCTACTTAGAAAACCAAACTGACTTGGGCCCAATAACTGAAAAGGCCACTCTTTCTAAACTCTACTGCAGTCTCTCCTTTGTAAGAAATCAAATAACTGTAAATGTGTGTTCTTTTTATAGGCTTCTCATTTTGTTCTATTTGTCTACCTTACACCAATACCACACTTTCAAAAAACATTACAGCATTATTACTCTTAATATCTGAAACTATGCATCCCCAACTTGGTTGGTGTTCTTTGAGATTTTCTTGGTTATTTTTGGCCCTTTGCATTTCCAAATAAATTTTGGAATCAGCTTACCAATTTTCAGAAAGCACATCCAGTGATTGCATTCCACCTATTGATCCGTTTAGGATGAATTGTAATCTGTAAACTATTGACTCTTCCAAATATGTATATATTAATTTAGGTCTTCTTTATTTCTCTCGCTGATGTTTTACAGCTTTCCGTATAGACATTTTGTACATTATTCCTAAATATTTTGTTTTGGTTCAATTATAAATGGAATCTTTTTTATTCTATTTACTTGTTGTATCCAGAGACCTTGATAAAATAGCTTCTTAATGTAAATTCTTTATCTGTACATTTTTATGTACTGTCTACTTACACAGTCATGCCTTTGTGAATAAAAACAATTTTCTGTTTCTCCAGTCTCCCTGTGTGTATGTGTAAAAATTTTTTGTTGGCAAAGTGGCATTTTTTCTTATTGCAATAGGTTTGATCAATGTGTTTTGGCTAATCTTTTGTGGAATTTACAGTTGACAGAGGCAAGGTTTATCTAGCTCCTTTGAATTTCCATTTATAAACCCTGGGATTAGAAACAGAAGACCTTAATTCAAGTATGTTATAAGATAATTTTCAGAAGGATAAAATTATGACTTTTGTAAAAATATACAATAAACATTTGTGTCAATTTTTTAACTCATTAACTAATGAGGAAACTCATAAGATGTTAAAATCAGTCCAAAAGAAAATCTAAACACAGATGCAAATACAGGTAATCACAAGTTCTGAAATAATTTTGCTAATAGATGCAAAGTGGATCACTATCTACCAGTAAAAACAGATAATATTTGAATGATCTATTCTACAGAGTAGAAGTCAATTATAAACCTGCCAGACAAAATTCATTTGCCTGTAAACACACAAGAATCATTTGTGTTCCTTTCAGTTTTCCATAATTTACAGAGTTGTAAAGTGGCTGAGTCGATAAAAGGCTCAGATTCCTTTACAAAAAACACTCAACATTTCATTGAAAGGACACCCACAGATCACATATCCACTTTCAAATCATTTATGGTTGTTCCTGACAAATATAAAGAATATATGATTTGCAATGTAAATTAACACCTTTGAATCTCAACTTTTCCATCTGTAAAATGAGAATGATAATTTTATCTCACAGGGTACTGTGAAGATTCAGTGAGATGATGATCATGAATACAATTAAAATATATAAAGATATATAAACGCAAACCTATTATTTAAATCTACGATAATACTAATCCTTATAATAACATATTTGCTATAAGTAGTAAAAATTCAAACTTATTTCAGTTCTCCATTAGGCTGCCACATATTCCTCATTACAGCTTTCTCAAGTCCATAAAAATTCTCCCTTACTGTTTGCAATTCTTATTCTATTTGTCCATATAGAAACACCTTTGAGTAATAAACTAAGGGTAGTTCCTGTGGAGTAAGGCATGATTAATGAAATTAATGTGTATTGAGAATGATTATGACCCAACGATTGTGTCAGGGTTCCTACGCTGCTATTTAATTTAATTCAATTTAATTTAATTCTTACAACAATCCTGTAAGATATTTTTCTTCATTGTAAAGAATGAGAAACTAAAAATTGGCAAGTTTAAGTACTTATTATGAAATAATAAGTAGAAGAGTTGTTTTACAAATTAAGGCTATACAATGTCAAAGTCCATTTCATTTCCCTGTGCAAAGCACAGGGAAACTAAAAGAAGGTGAATTTGTAAACATTGGATGTCCTTATGCCCTTTCAACTAAAGCAAATTAAACCAATCTAAGTACCTTCTAATTTCCTTCTCCTTGAAAAGAAGACATATACTTTCTGAAATTCCAAGTCACTAAGGGTAGAGAATGACCTTAAATTGCCAAAAGGAGATCTAGTAGAGCCAAATCTTGCAGAATCTTTCTTTGCCTTCTCATTACCAGGAATGCAGCTCATTCTCAATAAGTGTATTTCTGATGTAATTGTTAAGTTCAAAAAATATGTTTCCAGTTATCATTTGCTTATATACGGATTCCCAACTTATTCTGTTGGTTTAAATACGACTTATTTCTTAATATATACTAGCTAGAGAAATCTGCACAGAATTATGAAAGGACTATACTAGTAAAACGTTGATCAGAGTTCCAATATTATAGTTCTTTATTTCAATATTTCTGCCACTTTGGCTTATAAATGTCTATAGTGATACTGTAATGAATTCTAGAAGATGGTTTTATAGATAGAGACCTAGACATACAGATGCAGCTATAGATGTATACATAGATAGTCCTGTATATTGACATATACACATACATATATACATATGAGATTACAGGTTATCTTAGAATTCTACAGAATGCCTTCAGGTCCTTCAGTCAGTACCATTTTTATGAGGATTCTAGAAGTTAGAAGTTCTGCTTTTATTTTTATTTCCATGAAGAAGAATAAAGTAAATGTAAATGTCTTTTCCAATTGACTAACTAAATTACTGTCCAAATGAGAAATAAAAGGCAGCTGGTTAATGGGCATTGTCCCCATTATTTAATGGTGTGGGAGCTTTATAATAACAATATAGGGTCATAGACTATGATGTAAAAGACACCATAAATGTCACACAAATTCCTTTATACTGTATATTCCTTCTGATCATAAGAGTAGTTTGTGGCCTGGCACAGTGGCTCACGCCTGTAATCCCAGCACTTTGGGAGGCTGAGGCGGGTGGATCACTGGAGGTCAGGAGTTCAGGACCAGCCTGGCCAACATGGTGAAACCCCATCTCTACTAAAAAATATTTAAAAAATTATAGCTGGGCATGGTGGCAGGTGCCTGTAATCCCAGCTACTCAGGAGACTGAGGCAGAAGAATCGCTTGAATCCAGGAGGTGGAGGCTGCAGTGAGCTGAGATCACACCACCGCACTCCAGCCTGGGCAAAAGAGTGAGAATCTGTCTTAAAGAAAAAAAAAAAAAGAGCAGCTTGCACCCTCTGAAGCAGTAGCACAGGCTGTATGTACCTGGGCCTGTGTGAGCCATGGCTGGAGCTGGAGTGGCTGGGATGCAGGAAGCAGTGTCCTGAGGCTGTGCAGGGAAGCAGGGCCCAGGCCTGACCAAAGAAACTATTCTTCCCTCCTAGGCTTCTGGGCCTGTGACGGGAGAGGCTGCTGCAAAGGTCTCCAAAATGCCTTTGATGCCTTCTGCCCATTGCCTTGGCTATCAGCATTTGTCTTCATTTTAGCTATAAAAATCTTTGTAGCCAGCTGGAATCTCCTCCCCTGAAAGTTGGGTATTCTTTTCTACCACATAGCCAGGGTGCAAATTTTCCAAACTTTTATGCTGTGCTTCCCTTTTAAACATAAGTTCCAGTTGGGGGTCATTTTTTTTTTGCTCATGCATATGAGAATAGGTTGTTAGAAGCGGCCAGGCCACATCTTGCATGCTTTGCTGCTTAGAAATTTCTTCTTGCCAGATACGCTAAATCATCATTCTCAAATTCAAAGTTACACAGATCCCTAGAGCAGGGGCACAATGCAGCCAACCTCTTTGCTAAAAGTGATCTTCGGTCCAGTACCCAATAAGTTTCTCATCTCCATCTCAGACCTCTTCAGCTTGAACTTAATTGTCCATATTACTATCAGCATTTTGGTCCCAACAATTTAAAAAGTCTCTAGGAAGTTCCAAATTTTTCCTCATCTTTCTGTCTCTGCCCATTACCCAGTTCCAAAGCCATTTCCACATTTTCAGGTATCATTATAGCAATGCCCCACTCTTTGATATCAGTTCTCTATATTAGTCCATTCTCATCTTACTATAAAGAAATACCTGAGACCAGGTAATTTATAAAGAAAAGACATTTAATCGACCCATGGTTCTGCAGGCTGTACAGGAAGCACGATACTGGCATCTACTCAGCTTCTGGGGGCAGGAGGCTCAGGAAACTTACAATCATGGCAGAAGGCAAAGGGGAGGCCAGTAATTCACATGGTCAGAGCAGGAGAAAGAGAGAGAGGGGAGAGGTGACACATACCATTAAACAACCAGATCTCATGAGAACTCTATCAAAAGAACACCACAAAAGGGATGGTTCTAAATCATTCAGGAGAACTCCATCCCCATGATCCAATCATCTCCCACCAGGCCCCTCCACCAACACTGTACTCTCTCCAGCTTATATTATACCTGGCCTCCCCTAATGCATGAACAATTCTAGCTGACTTCTTAGCTGTTTCTTGCTCTATCTGTCCCATGTAACCAAGTACTTGGATATATAGTGGCCGGGCTTGGTGGCTCATGCCTGTAATCCCAGCATTTTGAGAAGCCAAGGTAGGAAGATTGCTTGAGCCCAGGAATTCAAGAGAAGCCTGGGCATGGTGGTGTATACCTATAGTCCCTGCTTCTCAGGAGGCTGAGGTGAGAGAATCGCTTTGGCCCAGGAGATTTAGACTGCAGTGAGCCATAATCACACCACTGCACTCCAGCCTGAGCAGCAGAGAAAGACCCTGTCTCAAACAGAAAAAAAGAAAAAAGCACATGTATATAGTGCCCAAGCAAGTACCAAATTCTGTGCTAATCAGGGGATTCAACAGCAAATCTTATAGCGGAAAACAATCTTGAAAGTTATTGTAATTACTTACTAAGACAAGCCTGCTTTAATGCACATAGTGATTTATTCAATTGTTTAAATTTGACTTATTAGATTTTTAAAATATGTGACTTAACTCTACACCTTTGATATTTTATATAAAGTCAATGAATCAGAAAATAATAGTTCCTAAAATTTGTCCGGAATTTATGATGCTCTTACTTAATGGTCCATTAAATAATTACCTACTCTGTTCTCTAGCAGAGATTTCTATGGTAACAACCCTGCTCAGCAATTATATAGCTTATTCTTAAACACTCCCAATGTTGAAAAGTACATTTGCTTCCAAATCATCATCATGCAATTTTTGCAGGACTCAATGGGGCATGGAATCATTTAGGATTCTAATTAGAATAATATTTACATTCCTTTATCAATCCATATTCCAGGGCAATCTATAATTGTTAAATTATAATTGCTGATCGATATTTGTTTACCTATAATTGTTAAATGATTGCGATGTTCATCTCTTGCACCAGTCCTCGCCTCTGCCAAGTAGAATAAGCATCCAACTACTCATCTCTCCACTGTAGCTAGCAAAGTTCAATATGGGTAGGACTGCTAGAGGTTTTACCCTCTTCCCCAAAAAACCTTCAGTTTGAAAAAACCATCACAAATACTTTATGCCCAAATAATTATTCATTTCTCATTGACTCACATCTGCTTTCCGTAGTTGAGCTTTTTATTGAGTTTTATACTCTTGTATTCAACTGTTCAATGCACAATTTTGTGATTTTTATGAGAATCTCAGCATTATCTTTCCTACCCTATAACCCATTCTTCCTCATTCATTTTTATTTCAATCAATGGAACTAATGTTCCCTGAGCTGGAAACCAGATACCCATTGTAAGGCAGCCTTGTCCCTCAAGGGAACATTGAATCATAGTCCTGGTTATGCTACCTCCTAACTGCTTAACTATTTTTCAACTTCATCTTCATTCTTTTGCTCCAAGCTTGAGTTTGAGGACTACCACCCAACTGATCTCTTTGCCTCTGGCCTTGTTGACCTCAAATTGTCTTCCACACTCTTCAATAGCCACATCTAAGGAATGACCTTGATCATAACCTTTCCCTATCACCTACTATAGGATAAAACCAAGCTCCTTAGCATGACATAATAATTGCTTTCAGGTATTCCCCCTATGTATATTCCATTCATGTTTATGCCACTTCGTGTGCTACTTCCTGCCTTGAATTTATATCCAAATACCCAACAAATTTCAGTCTTTCCCATTCCTTGACACAAGCACACATATACATCTCACATATTTATTTGCAATATTTTTTCCTTTGCTTATGTCACTTTTAACTACAGTACTTTCTCACTTCTTTACTCTTTCTCTCTTTTTTGAGACAGGGTCTTGCTCTGTTGTCCAGGCTGAGTGCAGTGGCACAATCATGGCTCACTGCAGCCTCAATCTCCTGGGCTCAAGCAATCCTCTGGCCTCAACCTTCTGAGTAACTGGGACTACCGGCATGCACCACCACATTGCTTTTTTGTTGTTGTTTGTTTGTTTGTTTGTTTTTCATAGAGATGGGATCTTGCAATGTTGCCCAGATTGATCTCAAACTCCTGAGCTGCAGGGATCATCCTCACCTTCAGCTCATGCCTGTAATCCCTCCAAAGCACCGGGATTATAGGCATGAGTCACAACTTCTGGCCACTTTACTCTTATTAATCCTCTTTCCAGTTTTAATTCAAGTGCCATTTCCTCTAGGAAGCCTTCCTTGATTGTTCTAAGTTAAGTTAGGTAGCCCCTCTGTAGCATTTTGATATTTGACATTTATGCCTCTGCCACCTCCCTTTTTAGATTAAATGTACTTCTCAAGAATAAGGATGTTTCTTTTTTTTTTTTTTTCCTTGAGACACAGTCTTGCTCTGTCAGCCAGGCTACAGTGCAATGGTGCAATCATGGCTCACTGCAACCTCAAACTCCTGGGATCAAGCGATCATCCTGCCTCAGTTTTCTGAATAGCTGGTACTCTAGGTATAAGCCACCATGCCTACTAGACTCATTTTTTAAAAATATTTTTGTAGAGATGGGATATCACTATGTAGCCCATGCTGGAAGAATGAGATTATTTCTGATTTAATCTTTATCGTCTCCGAGCCTACCATGGTGCTTAGAGTAAAGACTCAGCAGATTTTTGTTATTGAGTGAAACAAGTTCTGCAACTCTTGATTATTTCTGGGGTAGTCATCCTTCTTGCCCAACCAGATTCTAACCAACCTGGTCTCTTATATTCCCAGGATTTACCTGGCCTGCCAGCCCCAGAGTGCTGGATACTGGAGGGGTCCTTTTCTGTATTCCAGCTTATGATCTTCTCTCTTTTCCATATCTCTAGAGTCTGGAAATTTCTGAAGATCTGTGCTTTGTTTTTGACAGAATTTCCCTCATGATCTCAGTTCATAACTGTCCCTCCAGTGCCATACACCATGGTTAGATGCTCTTTGTTTTCAACAGCTGCCCCAGTACTAGAGCTTCTGAGCCTTGCTGAGTTTTGTCTTCTTTTGTTCCTTGCCCTCTCTTCCCAATGCCATCAGAACTGCAGTCATTTTCCTGCCATCCCAGTAGTTTCCTGCTAAAGTCTATAGCTTGATTCTCTGCTCCTCTAGAATTGCCACGTGTATTAGTCCATTTTCACACTGCCGATAAAGACATCCCCGAGACTTGGTATGCCTTCCACATGGCTGGGGAGGCCTCACAATCATGGCAGAAGATGAAAGTCACGTCTCACATGGTGGCAGATGAGAGAAGAGAGCTTGTGCAGGGAAACTCCCCTTTATAAAACCATCAGATCTTGCGAGACTTATTCACTATCATGGGAATGGCATGGGAAAGACCCCCCCCGCCCCCCACCACGATTCATTTACCTCCCACCAGGTTCCTCTCACAACACATGGAAATTGTGGGAGTTACAATTCAAGATGAGATTTGGGTGGGACAAAACCAAACCATATCACCACGTGACTGTCACCACACTGCCACACATAGAGCTAATCCTGGATGCCATGCCTACTTAGGCACTCTTAGCTAAGAGTGAAAAACCACATCTTCTGTACCTGTCATCAACCAAACTTTTCCTAAAGTCGTGATAGCTTTTGGAGGCCTCTATCTTTTCTAACTTCCCACAGAAAACCTTCAGTATTGCCAAACAAATCTGCCTCAACCATAAATTACACTTAACATTATCTATATAACCCTGGCTAGATCAGCATGGGTAGGCACTTGAAACATAAATTGGTTTTACACCTGGATTTGCTCTGAGAGTATGGGCAGCTTTTTTTTTTTTTTTTTTTTTTTTTTGCAATCTGCTTGTATTCTACCTTACCAAGTTGCAGGGGTGTAAAACTTCTGTCACTTTTACTGACTAGTTTATCTGAGTGGTAATTAGGCTTCCTGTGGAAGTAGTTTCTCTGGTTTAGAGTCTGGGTGAAAGATGAATTTCCAACATTAATTAATCATCTGAACATGCTTGTTATAATATTATGAGCATTGTTAACAACCAGCCCCTATGGTAGGAAAAAATAACACCTTTTAGGACTAATCTATTTCTACCACAAGATATATCTTAAAAGGTGTATTGAAAATGTATTACTTATTTCCAAAATACCTGCAAAGAAATAACTTAATGTTTAATTCACATGTGAATAGGACTATTTCTTAGTATGAGATTACTCCCTCCTGATTCCAGACAATTTAGTTGTTGGTTAATAGTCTCTTTTTACTAGATCTTCAGTATTTCACCCTTATTAAAGAAAGAAATACCTAACATACATAATGAAAAGTTATGTGCTCTAGCAGCTTGTTTTTGTCCATTCCTCATTTCATATCCACCTGTAGCATGTGTTCTTTTGGGTAACTATGATCAACATTCTCTGATCGCTTTTGGTGAAACAGACTCTCACTAGGGAGACCAACTTGCTCCACACACAAGTTTTCATAGCTCAAGTTACCAAATAATTTTAATATCACAATTATGCAACACATTCTGTAATCTTGTCAGAGCCATGATATTTCACAGCCTGAAGAAACTCTCAAGATCACCTAACACACTATCCATTTCTTAGATCAAGATATTCAGGAAGGTGAAGTGACTTGCACAATAAGCTGGCGGTAGAATAAGAAGTCTTCTCAGGGCCAGGCATGGTGGCTCATGCCTGTAATCTCAACACTTTGGGAGGCAGAGGTGGGAGGATCACTTGAGACTAGGAGTTCAAGACAAGACTGGGCAACACAGGGAGACCCCATCTTTACAAAAAAAATTAAGAAATTAGCCAGGTGTGGTGGTGCATATCTGTAGTCTTTGCTACTCAGAAGGCTGAAGTGGGAGGATTGCTTGAGCCCAGGAGTTTGAGGCTGCAGTGAACCATGATCACACAACTGCACTCCAGCCTGGGTGAGAGAGCGAGAAAACAAAGGAAGAACATTTCTCAGATCTCCTGACCCACCTACATCCCTTGTAATTCATTTATTTTTTAATCCATTCACTTTTCTATACAAATACTTACTAAGTACTACTTTATGAAGTGGACCCTTCCAGAGCTTTGAAAAGACGAGGAAGAGAGATGTGACTCCTGCCTTCATTACCTGTGCATTCTAGGTAATTCGGCTAAACACACAACGTTGGTTTCTCCATCAATCACAATAGAAATGTAGGTGTATAATACATGATGAGGTCAATGAACTCTTAAGACTTCTTATAGCACAGATAAGGATCCACTCAGAACTATTGCCTTTTGTGGATACATTGCCCTCACTCCTTCTAAAGCATAACACTCTCTCTCCATCTTCCAATTCTAACCTTGAATTAAATCCCCATTATACTATAGCTTCCAACTAGCATGTAACCCTCTCATCTAATTAAGAACTTATTCGGGACAAGGACTTCCATACTCCTGGTCCAAACAGTCATAACCAGTAAAGAAGAACATTTTCTCTGGGGATGAAAGTTCACCTCCCTTTATACAGTGGTTCTCAGTGGGTGGGCAGTTCTGCCCTGCAAGAGACATTTAGCAATGTCTGGAAACATTTTGGGTTGTTACAACTGGGGAAGGGTGCTACTGGCATCTAGAGAGGGGAGACCAGGGATGCTGCTGAACATCCTACAATGCACAGGACAGCCTTCCTCCCTGCAATAAAGCATCATGCAACCACAAATGTCAGTTATGTCCAGGTCAAGAAACCCTAGGAGCCACCTACAAAAGGAAACCGGAAGTGGAATCATGCAGTATTTGTCATTTTGGGTTGCCTATTTCACTTAGCACAGTGTCCTCTGGGTTCATCCATGTTGTTACAAACAGTAGAATTTTTTTTATCTGAAATAGTCAAACTTATAGAAACAGAGGACAGGATGGTGGTTGCCAGGATCTGGAAGGGAGGGGGAAGTGGAAAGTAGTTTAATGGGTGTAAAGTTTTATTTATGCACAATGAATAAATTCTAGAGATCTGATGTACAACATAGTGCCCTCTATTTCACCAATATGGCATTGTGTAGTCAAAAATTTGTTAAGAGGTTAGATCTCATATTAAGTGTTCCCACATACACATGCAAAAACACAAAGGGGAACAATAAAACGTTTGGAGGTGATAGATACGTTTAATATTTTGATGATATCATGGGAATGTGTATATGTTCAAACTCACCAAATTTATACACTAAACATGTAATTTTGGGGGGATATCAATTATACCTCAATAAAGCTGTTAAAACCAAGTAACCTACAACCCAGGAAGCACAATTGTCCCTTCAGACCCACTCAGGATAATTGATTTCAATAGAATCAAATGCAAAGCCTTTAGAGAATCTTCAATCACCTTGATTGTTCTAGTTTCTTCCCTAACAAGGAACTGGAATGTTATTTCACTCAAATATATACTCATACAAAATAAAAAACTCTAACCATTAACATGCAGTTTATGTGCCATCATTAAATTTCTTGGTAGTCTTCAATAACTTATGAAAGTATTATCAATATTAGCTACATTTTCTGTTTTCAGTGTGAATAAATAAATTACAGGTTCAATGACTACCACGTATAACAAAGATACTTTCCCCGCAAATCTGGAAAAGAATTTCATAGGAAACCAAAAATAAAGTATAAATTATCCCTGAAGAAAAAAGATAATCTCATTTTAAAATATTTTAAATCAATCCAAGATATGAAAGACTAAGGTATATGCTCTAAATATTATCAGTTCAGCTTTTTTACTACTCAAAACCTTTATGCTCTATTTAACAAAAATATTAACAAAATCGTAGTGTCATGGCAATATAATTAACAAAAATTAGTTATTTTAAACCAATAGCTAAGGCAGCAAATAATTGTCATATAAACATCTCACCCAGTAAAAAGTATGATATGCATAATCATAACAACCATCCCTTATTGAAGTCCAATCCTGTCTCCTTCATGGTCTCCAAAACTAAGGCTCATAACTTTGAGAAGTAGGTTATTATTTTCTCCAGTTGAATTATAACAATATAGGTTTGTTAAACAGATTGACTAATGTATTCGTTCATTTTCACACTGCTACAAAGATGCTGAGACTGGGTAATTTATAAACAAAAGAGGTTTCGTTGACTCATAGTTCCACATGACTGGGGAGGCCTCAGGAAACTTACAATCATAGTGGAAGGCAAAGGAGAAGCAGGCACCTTCTTCACAAGGTGGTAGAAGACAGCAAGAGTGAGTAAGTGCCACACTTTTAAAACCATCAGCTCTTGTGAGAACTCATTCACTATCAGGAGAACAGCATAGGGGAAATGGCCACCATGATCCAATCTCCATCTACCAGGTCCCTCTCTCAGTACATATGGATTACCATCTTGATGAGATTTGGGTGGGGACACAGAGCCAAACTATATCAGTTAACATACCCACGTCATAACGAAGGAAAACCAAATGCAGCTAAATATAGCTCAAAGTTTCACACCACTTTCTCTACATCCCAGTGTTCCCAGAACTTCACTTTCAGATAAAGTCTCATCTCTTGCCATTAGCATTTTACAGAAGCCAAAAATGACCTCATCTGTTCACCCTTCCTCAATTCTTAGGTTGCTGTTACATATCCCATGCTCTTTCTTAAGAGTCTTCAGGCTAAAGTAGACTAGAAAAACAAAAGTCTAACAGGGCCAGGTATCTAATTGAGTTCAGTCATATTAACTCACCAAACACTGCTTAATTTTGTGTCTACCTTCTTCAGAGTGGATGATACCATCTTATTGGGAATACTAGCTGTACCCATCCCATTCAGTCAGTGACCTAGAATTGCCTTTGATCAAAAGCAAACGTGGTTTGTGGAACTGACTGTTTTTAGATGCCAAAAAACAAATACGATGATTTTTCTGGAGCTAGACAAACACTGGGAACGCTTACTAGCAACCACAAAGTTAGTGTATTTGATCTTCCATGCTTGACGTCAAGACAAGGTTTTTAAATATCCTAGTATTTGGCTTGCTCTCAATTTAACATTTGAGATGTTTATAGATATTGTAGTTAATAACGTTGACACATACAAGGAGAGAGGATCACTTATATGAAGAAAACATGCAGTTTTAAATAACACACAAGTATGAAATGCAGTACTTTTCAACCGTGACACACAATAGGCAGTAACAGGGGAGACTATTCTTTAAAAATGCAAATGCCTGATTCCCACCCAAGACCAATTAAATCAGAATCCCTGGGAATGAATCAAATTCGGGAAGCAGTGTTACTGTTTTTAAACTTCTGGGATTGATTATAATGGACAGCGAGTGTTGAAAATGATGATATCAGAGAAGGTTTGGGACTGGCAGTTTGTGTGCATATATCAGTTCTGATATTACCAACTGCATAGACTTTGATGAAACCCACAAATTCTCCACCTTTATTTTCCTTACCAATGATGCGGCATAAATGGCACATACCACGTATTGGTGTTATAAGGATTAAGGCGAGATATGAAATGCACCTGCCACATAATAAGGGGTCAATAGTATTATGATTCTAAGATTCAAACATTCTACACATATTCTCTTAAAATTAAAGAACTTTATTTCTGAAATAAGTGAAGAGAGCATTCTTAAGAGGCCTAACTCATGAACCGCTCATCTGTTTCTGCTTTCTTTGTCTAACTGGGTGAGCGATCAGGAAATCTACTCTGCTTTCATTTAATCTGAAATCAAGTCACTTCGCATTGAAGGACAAAAGAGAAAGGTGCTCACTCTGTGTTTATGTGATTTCTAGGCCAGAGGCGGAACAGTTTGAACATTCCCTTACCATCATATATGCTCTTTTCACAATCCTGAACAGAATAAGCTCCTATTAACCACAGAAGTGGATAATGACCGCATCAAAATATCTCCTACAAAGTGACTGCTGACGATGAAACTGGAAGAATGCTAAACACTTTTCACTCTTTCATTCATTAATTCCTCACATTATCCTAGATATATCATAGGTATGAGCTCAATTTCACCAACAAACTTCTCCCAATTAGAAAGTGACATATTCTGCATCTGAAGCCATATTTCTTTGATGCACAAATCCCTCTTTTTTTTTTTTTTTTTTTTTGAGACGGAGTCTTGCTCTATCGCCCAGGCTGGAGTGCAGTGGCACGATCTGGGCTCACTGCAACCTCCGCCTCTCGGGTTGACGCCATTCTCCTGCCTCAGCCTCCCGAGTAGCTGGGACTACAGACACCCGCCACCACACCTGGCTAATTTTTTAATATTTTTAGTAGAGACGGGGTTTCACCATGTTAGCCTGGATGGTCTCTATCTCCTGACCTCATGATCCACCTGCCTCAGCCTCCCAAAGTGCTGGGATTACAGGTGTGAGCCACCGTGCCCGGCCAAACCCATTCTCTTAACCAATCAATCACACCTTGAATTAAAAGAAACACAACACAGCAAGAATGAAAGTGCCTACCCAGTCAACATCTTGCCTCCTAGGTTTTCTGCTTTGTGGGTAAGCTAACCTATGCATTTATGGCTCTGTAGTGGTAGGAGTTCTCAAGTTTGTACAAAATGGTCTCCAGGGATGATTATTAATATGCAGATTTCCAGGTTTTCTCTGTTAGACATCCACAAACTTGAAGTCTGAGACAGGAGCTCTGAACCTGCATTTACAGCATTCATTCTAGGTATCTCTAAGACATGTTTTTTTTTTTATCATATTTCCTTTAAGAAATACCTTTCTAAATGATATTCTATGGATTTTATTTTATTGGTCGAAACTTACTGTCATAAAACAAAAGCCTCAGGCCAAAGTGGTCCTGCTGTCTGCTTTTATAAATAAAGTTTAATTAGAACACAATCCCTCCTATTTCTGCATCATCTATGCCTGGTTTTATGACTGCACAGTTGAATATTTGCAATAAAGACTGCATAGCCAACACAAGCAGAAAATATTTTCTATCTGAACACTTAAAGGGAAAATTTGCCAGACCCTGTCCTAAAATGACTCTACTGCTAAATTTTGGCAAAAGTGTGGGCCACTGATTAATTTGGAAATATTTTCTATATCTAACATCATCTGAGTTGTTCAGCTTCTGGGATTCAATGAGTATATAAAAAAATATTTTATGCATGAAAAACTTGTCATTCATTATGACTTGGAACATGCTTGTCAAACAAGTACCTAGATGAATTATATTATCTCCTTTTCCTACTTTTTGATTAGCTGCAAATTCAAAGGCAAGGGACACAGAATTTTCCCTAACTCTCAGACCAAGAAAAGCAGGTGTTCTCTGCAAGACAAATGGAGAAAAATCTGAAGAATCCATTATAATTCCTCTTAATTTATTTACTTGAAAAAAAAGTTAGTAAAGGCACAGACCTTTCCCTGTTGCCATACACTTAAAAAAAAAAAATCAAGACTAAGGAGAAGAGCCAATTGACATTGGTAGAGGTGACTCCTTCCAGTTGCTGACTATTAGGAAAGTTAACCCACCTCTTCCTTCCCAACCCATCATTATGTAAAGGAAATAGTTGCCACATTATGTCAAGTTCCTTTGGACCAGAGAGGGAGAAAGGGACAAATCATCAAGCCAGAGAAAAGAAAAGAAGATGAGTAAGAAGCAGTCAAGTGACCAGAAGGTTGTAGTTTGAAGTATCAGAGAAAGACAATGACCAAGAAGAAATAGATCAATTTGCATTCAGAGACTGTAAATGAGGACCTTACATGGTATAGGCATGCAAAGGATGCTCAATGTTTGTTGAATGAATGCACTTAGAAAAATAAAGTTGAACTGAGGGTTCCAAAGAGAAAAGTAATGCAAGGAGTTTAAAGAAGGAAAATAAAAACATTATTTTTACACATAATCATCTAGTATCATATGAATGATCTCTAAGTATTTTCCCACTAGGGAAAATAAAAGCCCAAATTCCTCACTTCGAGCTCGGGTTCCTGGAAGAGCTAAAGGCTTGACCAGGTCTAGACTACATTTTATATGCAGACCTTTGCCAGCTCCTCTGGCATAAGTGGCTGGGTTCCAGTGACTGCTGTTGCTCTCTCCACATTGGCTTGGTGTGTGCGGATTTCTCCATCTGGTTCAACAGGAAGTATGTACTGTTTGCAGGATGCTATTGAGCTATTTTTAACAGCTAAGCTACATACAGGTATTTATGACTCTAGATCTGATTTGGAGAAACAAAATATTTGCCAATGTGAGTGCAACGAATATTTTTAACAGCCAACCATATGGCCTTGAGATGGAAATGGTCAGGGTGAACAATTGGAACAAGGCTCTTTCCTTAGCACTGCAAAAGCCATCGTTTCCTTTTGCCAGGCTGGAGTGTCAGAGACTGAGAAATGGTCATTGGCTGGCAGAAGTGGGGCTCTTACCTGGAAGAAATGGCACTGATTTTTAACCACTATTTTTCATACCAAGGGGCTCATAGAGATCCCGTTTTTGTGTATATGAGAACTCAGAATCCTACAAGGTTTGTGTTAGTCTTCTCCAGGGAACTGACAGGATGTGTGTGTGTGTGTGTGTGTGTGTGTGTGTGTGTGTGTGTGTAAACACATTTATAAGGAATTTTGATTCACATGATTATGGAGACTGGCAAGTCCAAAATCTGCAGACCAGTGTCCCAGTTTGGCTACAAATGCCAGACTCTGCTGCAGAAACAGGAAGAGCTGATGTTTTAATTCAAAGGCCATGGGGCAGGAGAATTCTCTCTTACTTGGAAGAGGATCAGGCTAATGCCTTATTAAACGGACTAGATGAGGCCCATTCACATTAGGGAGGGTAATCAGCCTTATTCAGTCTACCAATTTAAATGTTAATTTCATCCAAAAACGCCCTCACCAAAATACTCAAAATAATGTTTGACAAAATATCTGGGCACTCTGTGGCCCAGTCAAGTCAAGTTAATGTGTGAAATTAACCATTACAGGGTTCATGCCAATTGGATGGTCAAGTAAGTATTCTGGGCCCAATGCTGAGGCAAATTGTTTAACCTCAGCAGAAACTTTGATTTTTGCATTGTAACCCACATCCAAACCATTAAAAAAATGGATATTTTGAAAACAATTTAGCCAATTTACACTCCATTAGGTGGTACAGTACATATAAACAGAACATAAGAACATTTTCAGAGTTTTTTCAATCTTTGTCTTTTTTTTCTCCTTAATATTCAATACAACTAAATTTGAACAGTTTGGTGTTTTTATACACTCTTTGGGCTCTCTTACCTCTATACTTTTTTCATACTGTCCTCATGGCTTAGAGGGCTTTATCCTACATTTCTAGATAGTTTATTCATTTCTTCGTTCATTCAGATTTGCAACTCAAATTCATTTCTCCACTAAGAAACTTCTGAACTTCCTCACTAAACAACAAAAACAAAACAATTCTGACTGCACTGAAACCTAATGCTAAATGACGAGTTAATGGGTGCAGCACACTAACATGGCACATGTATACATATGTAACAAACCTGCACGTTGTGCACATGTACCCTAAAGCTTAAAGTATAATAATAATAAAATTAAAAAATAAAAAATAAAAAATAAAAATAAAAAAAGAAAGACCACATATTTCCACCTTTTGAATTCCATTTTTCTTTTTCTTTTTTCTTCTTTGATGTATTTTTAATATCCAAACTAAGTCTGTAAGCACTTGGAGAACAGAAATAGTATATTATTATCTATATATCTTTTCTAAGACCTAGCATAGTGCCCTAAACCTAAGTACTCAATGAAAATTGAATGAGTAAATGAATAAATAAATGTGAGTGAAAATGAAGTGAAATAATGTTTTTTACTAAGCAGTTATCTTAATAAAATATCACACGCCTCCTTGACTTCCTTTTCATCCTCTGACTTGCATATGCCTCATGAATCCTGGCAAGGTTTTGGAAGGCATTCAGCCTGCTAGTTACTACAACTGCCTAATCTTACCCACCCTTGCCATGTCCATCCTAAGTCACCATCAGAAATGTCTGTTTAACATTTTCATACTGCAACATAAGAGATAGCATATTTCATATCTGGTGAAATGAACTCACATAAAATCCATCTATGTCTCTTTAATTGGATTATTTTGACCTTTAAGACATTCAGGCACATCTCCTACAACTAGCTGTGTTCAGTTAAAGGAATGTAAATTATAAAATTATAAGGACACATCTATTTTTCTTTTAAGTTTTTCAGATTCACATTAAACTTTTAATTATCTGAAAATATACTATTTTAAGTCTCCTCTTACTGCCTTTGAAAGCAAAGAGAAGGTGCCAGGTCTCTTAATTCTTATATATAAGCAAGCCACCCACAAGGATATAAGAACTATCTTCATTAAGTTTTGTTGGAAATTCAGGTTCTAATTTAATATTGAAAGTGCACTGGTGGCAGTACCAGAGGATTAAGTGAAATTATTCCTAGAATGAAATGATGGAAATTTCATTATCCACCTGACTTTGATCTTTGCTACCGCTGAGCTAAATGAGAGAGTGTGAGAGAATATATATCCATTCAGTTAGACATACATATTAGCTGTAACTGCAACTCATTTTGAATACATTTTCCAAGAACATCATAGGTTCTAGGTAGAGAATGATGTTAATCGCACGGGTTCTCACATCATACCTTGAGGCACCTCAAGGTAGCGAGAAAAACATTAACCTGACTCAACCAATCCGCCATGCATCTTTGAATTTACAACATTGAGGAAATTAATGTAAAATGAATCACCAGAAACGTGAGAGAAAATCTCTGAGACCTTGGGTTATGCAAATGTTTCTTAAATTAAAAGGATAATGCATAAAGAAAAAAATGGATATACTGGACTTGAGTAAATTTTGTCTTAATATCTGCTTTTTAAAGGACATTGCTAAGCAAATGAAAAGCCAAGACATTGACTGGGAGAAAAATCTATGCAAAATATTCATGCAATAAAGTTCTTTATCCAAAATATATTTAAAATCTCTCAAAACTCAAAAATATTTTAAAAACCCAATGAGAAATGGGCAAGAGATTTGAACTGTTATTTAGCTATAGAAAATATGGAGATGTAGTTCTCCTTGAAAAGGTCCTTCACATGCCTTGTAAGTTGGATTCCTAGGTATTTTATTCTCTTTGAAGCAATTGTGAATGGGAGTTCGCTCATGATTTGGCTCTCTGTTTGTCTGTTATTGATGTATAAGAATGCTTGTGATTTTTGTACATTGATTTTGTATCCTGAGACTTCACTGAAGTTGCTTATCAGCTTAAGGAGATTTTGGGATGAGATGATGGGGTTTTCTAGATATACAATCATGTCATCTGCAAACAGGGACAATTTGACTTCCTCTTTTCTAATTGAATACCCTTTATTTCCTTCTCCTGCCTAATTGCCCTGGCCAGAACTTCCAACACTATGTTGAATAGGAGTGGTGAGAGAGGGCATCCCTGTCTTGTGCCAGTTTTCAAAGGGAATGCTTCCAGTTTTTGCCCATTCAGTATGATATTGGCTGTGGGTTTGTCATAGATAGCTCTTATTATTTTGAGATACGTCCCATCAATACCTAATTTATTAACAGTTTTTAGCATGAAGGGTTGTTGAATTTTGTCAAAGGCCTTTTCTGCATCTGTTGAGATAATCATGTGGTTTTTGTCTTTGGTTCTGTTTATATGCTGGGTTACATTTATTGATTTGCGTATATTGAACCAGCCTTGCATCCCAGGGATGAAGCCCACTTGATCATGGTGGATAAGCTTTTTGATGTGCTGCTGGATTCGGTTTGCCAGTATTTTACTGAGGATTTTTGCATCAATGTTTATCAAGGATATTGGTCGAAAATTCTCTTTTTTGGTTGTGTCTCTGCCTGGCTTTGGTATCAGGATGATGCTGGCCTCATAAAATGAGTTAGGGAAGATTCCCTCTTTTTCTATTGATTGGAATAGTTTCAGAAGGAATGGTACCAGTTCCTCCTTGTACCTCTGATAGAATTCGGCTGTGAATCCATCTGGTCCTGGACTCTTTTTGGGAACTACAAACCACTGCTCAATGAAATAAAAGAGGATACAAACAAATGGAAGAACATTCCATTCTCATGGGTAGGAATATTCAATATCGTGAAAATGGCCATACTGCCCAAGGTAATTTATAGATTCAATGCCATCCCCATCAAGCTACCAATGACTTTCTTCACAGAATTGGAAAAAACTACTTTAAAGTTCATATGGAACCAAAAAAGAGCCCGCATCGCCAAGTCAATCCTAAGCCAAAAGAACAAAGCTGGAGGCATCATGCTACCTGACTTCAAACTATACTACAAGGCTACAGTAACCAAAACAGCATGGTACTGGTACCAAAACAGAGATATAGATCAATGGAACAGAACAGAGCCCTCAGAAATAACGCCGCATATCTACAACTATCTGATCTTTGACAAACCTGAGAAAAACGAGCAATGGGGAAAGGATTCCCTATTTAATAAATGGTGCTGGGAAAACTGCCTAGCCATATGTAGAAAGCTGAAACTGGATCCGTTCCTTACACCTTATACAAAAATCAATTCAAGATGGAATAAAGACTTAAACGTTAGACCTAAAACCATAAAAACCCTAGAAGAAAACCTAGGCATTACCATTCAGGACATAGGCATGGGCAAGGACTTCATGTCTAAAACACCAAAAGCAATGGCAACAAAAGCCATAATTGACAAATGGGATCTAATTAAACTAAAGAGCTTCTGCACAGCAGAAGAAACTACCATCAGAGTGAACAGGCAACCTACAAAATGGGAGGAAATTTTCACAACCTACTCATCTGACAAAGGGCTAATATCCAGAATCTACAATGAACTCAAACACATTTACAAGAAAAAAACAAACAACCCCATCAAAAAGTGGGCGAAGGATATAAACGACACTTCTCAAAAGAAGACATTTATGCAGCCAAAAGACACATGAAAAAATGCTCATCATCACTGGCCATCAGAGAAATGCAAATCAAAACCACAATGAGATACCATCTCACACCAGTTAGGATGGCGATCATTAAAAAGTCAGGAAACAACAGGTGCTGGAGAGGATGTGGAGAAATAGGAACACTTTTACACTGTTGGTGGGACTGTAAACTAGTTCAACTACTGTGGAAGTCAGTGTGGCGATTCCTCAGGGATCTAGAACTAGAAGTACCATTTGACCCAGCCATCCCATTACTGGGTATATACCCAAAGGACTATAAATCATGCTGCTATAAAGACACATGCACGCGTATGTTTATTGCGGCACTATTCACAATAGCAAAGACTTGGAACCAACCCAAATGTCCAACAATGATAGACTGGATTAAGAAAATGTGGTACATATACACCATAGAATACTATGCAGCCATAAAAAATGATGAGTTTATGTCCTTTGTAGGGACATGGATGAAATTGGAGATCATCATTCTCAGTAAACTATCGCAAGGACAAAAAACCAAACACCATATGTTCTCACTCATAGGTGGGAATTGAACAATGAGAACACATGGACACAGGAAGGGGAACATCACACTCTGGGGACTGTTGTGGGGTGGGGGGAGGGGGGAGGGGGGAAGAATAGCATTAGGAGATATACCTAATGCTAAATGACGAGTTACTGGGTGCAGCACACCAGCATGGCACATGTATACATATGTAACTAACCTGCACATTGTGCACATGTACCCTAAAACTTAAAGTATAATAATAATAAAATAAAATAAAGAAAATATGGAGATGAAAAATAAGCACATAAAAATGCTAAGCATCTTTATTTCTTAGAGAAATGTAGACAATTAAAGCCATGATAAGATACCACTACACATGTAATTAGAATTCTACAACAAGAGGCCGAGCGTGGTGGCTCAAGCCTGTAATCCCAGCACTGTGAAAGGCCAAGCTGGGCTGATCACTGAGGTCAGGATTTCAAGACCAGCCTGGCCAATGTGGTGAAACCCTGTCTCTACTAAAAATACAAAAATTAGTTAGGTGTGGTAACACAAACTTGTAATCCCAGCTACTTGGGAGGCTGAGGCTGGAGAATCGCTTGAACCCAGGAGGTGGAAGTTGCAGACAGCCCAGATTGTGCCACTGCACCCCACCCTGGGCATCAGAGCAAGACTCTTCTCTAAATAAATAAATAGTTTAAAAAAAAAAGAATTCTACAACAAGAGAATAACCATAACAAGTGTTGGTAAGGATGTGGTGTTGTTGGAAATCTTGTATAGGGTAAAAATCCAAAATGATATAACCACTTCATGAAACAGTTTGGCAGTGTATGAGAAAGATCAACATACACATACTGTATGATCTAGTCATTTTACTCTTTGTATGTACCCAATATAAATTTAAAATATGTCCATACAAAAATTTGTGCCACATTTTCATAGCAGCTTTATTTGAAATAACTAATAATTGGAAATAATCCAAAGGTGATTATACAGGTGAGTGGATAAACAAATTGAGATATACCCATGCAATGCACTACAACTCAATAAAATCAGCTATTGATACATGCAACAACATGGGTGAATCTGAAAATATTAATGTTGAAGAAAAGAGGTCAGTCAAAAAAGACTACAGATCTTATAATTCCATTTGTATAAAATTCTAGAAAATGCTGTAGGATAGAAGTCATATCAACGGTTGTCTAAAGATGTGGGAGGGAAGGAGAGTTAGGAAGGGAAATCATTTTTGTCCCTTTATAATCCGTAGAGGGAAACAAGGACACTTTAGGGGTGATGATTATGCTAATTCCTTTATTGTGGTGGTTTCACTGATGTATAAATATGTCAAAACTTAGCACATGTAGGTATGTTAAAATTTCTATCATTTATAGCACAGCACAACTGTTAATATAATAAAAGATAATATTTGGGAGTTTTGGACTCAGGAATAATATATCCAGCCTACAAATTTTAGTCTTGATGAGTAACAGGAATATATGAAGAACAGATATGTACAAAAATGTTTGAAAGGAATAAATAAGGCTGGAGACAAAACTGATAATAAATCTCCTTTAAAATAAAAAGTGAATGAGATCAAATGTTTTTAAAAAGAAAACAAGAGAAGAAACGTGATGTGAAATTCAGAGAAGGTGATTTTTGAAATGGCTCAGAAACTGTTGTTGGCAGTGCATGCTCATAAATAATTTTTAATCAAAATGTAAAAAACTAAAGACAGATATGAAAGGTCATTCCTGCTATGTTGACAACAACAAAAGACAAGACCCAAACCAACAAAAACAAAAACCCAGCATACTTTTGAATGGGCTTAGCGAGGAGTGATGGACTAAAGGAAGCTTTGGTGAACTGAATTCCAGAGAGAAACAAGCCCTCCATAAGTGAGCTAGAGTCACAGCAGCTTCCACACCTGCAGGAAGGCTCCTGGGCTGGGTACAAACAAGGAGGAGCAGGTGCATTGTAGACAAGGGATCCCTTTGGAGGGATGAAGAGAAATCAGCTGCCTTACATAACAGTGAGGGCTAGTGAAAAAAAGAGCTTCAAACACAAAAACAAATCCTTTAACCTTACAAGAGCTCCATCCCAGTTGCAAACTGTGTGGGGAAAAAAAAAAAAGCAGTAATTGAGGGTGGGCTAAAGGGCAAAGAGAGCTCACATAGTCCTGTGCATTCTTGCAGTGCTTGGATTCCAAAGTCCTGCCAGAATGGAATCTAAAGGTGAAACTGTATGTCAAACACCTTCGACACCATAAAAGGTGATGATATTGGTGGAGCTTTGGGGTTGGGCTTGCCACAGATGAAAAAAATCTAATAAGAGTTATGGCTCCCAGCCCCACTTTAGGAGGAATTCAAATGATCAACCCCTCACCTTAACCAAAGAGAATGAAGAGACTAGCTACTCCTTGAGAAATGCACAAATCATTTTTTTAAAGATTCTTTAGTCTCCACCATTCTTTCATACAAAATGTTCAAATGCAATAAAAAATGATGACACATGCAAAGGAACAAGAAAACTTAACCCTTAAGTTCAAATCAAGGAAGAGCAGTCAATAGAATGAGAATCACATGTGACTCAGTCATCAGAATTAACAGATAAGCACAAAAAAAAAACTACAGATACAAAATAATTTATAAGAAAAGATGAGTGTAATAAATAGAGTATTTCAGGAAAGAAATGGAAACTAAAAATGAACTGAATGGAAATTCTAGAACTTAAAAATATATTTGTTTGTATGGGTTATTAACAGCATAAATGCTGAATAAGAAAGCATCACTACAGTTGAAAATAAATCAATGGAAATTGCCAAAAATAAAGAATAGTGACACAGATGTTTTAAAAAGATAATCAGAACATTAGTGACCTGTGAGATAATATCAAACAGTCCAATATACAGAAGATGAGAGATAAAATGGGGTAGAAAATAAAAAATATCTGAAGAACTGATCAAAATGTTCTAAATTTGATGAAAAATATTAACACAGTTCAAAAAGTTTCATGAACATAAGCAGAATAAATACAAAGTAAATCACATCTAGGCAAGTTGCTGAAATAAAATGATAAAAAAAATCTTTTTTTTTTTTAACTTTTAAGTTCAGGAGTACAAGTGCACGTTTGTTACATAGGTAAACTTGTGTAAGGAGGTTTGTTGTACAGATTATTTCATCCCCCAGGTGTTAAGCCTGGTAACCATTAGTTGTTTTTCCTGATCCTCTCCCTCCTTCCATCCTTCACCCTCTGAAAAGCCCCTGCGTGTCTTGTTCCTCTCTATGTGTCCCATGTTCTCATCATTTAGCTTCCACTTATAGAATTAAGAACATGCAGTATTTGGTTTTCTGTTTCTGTGTTAGTTAGCTAAGGATGATGGCCTCCAGCTCCACCCATGTCCCCAAAAAGAACATGTTCTCATTCTTTTTTATGGCTGCATAGTATTCCACGTAGTACATGTACCACATTTTCTTTACCCAGCCTATCATTGATGGGCATTTAGGTTGACTCCATGTCTTTGCTATTGTGAATAGTGCTGCAATAAACATATGCATACATGTGTCTTTATAACAGAATGATTTATATTCCTTTGGGTATACACTCAGTAGCAGGATTGCTGGGTCAAACAGTATTTCTGTTTTTAGGTCTTTGAGCAATCACCACACTGTCTTCCACAATGGCTGAACTAATTTACACTTCCACCAACAGTGTATAAGCGTCCCTTTTTCTCCACAATCTCGCCAGCATCTGTTATTTTTTTGACTTTTTAATAGTAGCCATTCTGACCGGTATGAGATGGTATCTCATTGTGGTTTTGATTTGCATTTCTATAATGATCAGTGATGTTAAGCATTTTTTCATATGATTGTTGGCCATATGTATGTGATAAAGAGAAAATTTTAAAAGCAGCTAAGAAGGAAATCTATATTTTACATGCAGAGGAACTGTGATGGCAATAACTATATTATCACTCATCAGAAACAAGGCTAGCCAGACGATAATGAAACAACAATGTTAACATGCCAAGGCAGAAGGAAGGAAAAACAAAACAAAACTTTGTCACTCTAGAATTCCTTGTCTAGCTAAGAGAACCTTCAAAAAGGAAGGTAAACTGAAGATATTTCACATAAACAAAACTTGAGCAAACTTGTCACCAGTCAACCTGCAGTACCAAACATATACAGGAGTTTCTTCAGGCTCAGGGGAGCTCATACTGGTGGAAAATCAGGCACTGGAAATATTAAATAGGTGAATAAAGATAGAAAAGTCCATTTTATCTTTTTATTTAGAACAGGTAACTTACTGTTCTAAAGCAAAAATAGCAACAATGTACTATAGGGCTTACATCATAGGTAGAGTTAATTAAATCAGTAAATAAGTAAGTAAATTCAGTAAGTAAATAAAATTTTTTGTAAATTAATGACAACAGTAGCACAATGGATAGAGATGAGGTATAGGTGACAATATGCAATGTAATGATAATTGAGAGATGAGAATAAATTAATTGTGCATATTATAATTTTGATATCAAATACGGAGAAAGAGAGAGAGAGAACAGGCAGGAAAAAGAGGCACCTCAAAAATTTAAAGCAAAGAAAATGAGGCTAGTAACCTAGTAGATGAGATAAAATGGAAGATTAGAAATACATGATTGATGGCTGAGCATGGCGGCTCACGCCTGTAATCCCAGCACTTTAGGAGGCTGAGGTGGGTGGATCACCTGAGGTCAGGAGTCCAAGACTAGCCTGGCCAACATGGTGAAACTTCGTCTCTACTAAAAATACAAAAATTAGCTGGATGTGGTGACGCACGCCTGTAGTCCCAGCTACTTGGGAGGCTGAGGCAGGAGAATAGCTTGAACCTGGGAGATGGAGGTTGCAATGAGCCGAGATCGTGCCACCACACTCCAGCCTTGGCAACAGAGTGAGATTCCATCCCTGCCCCTCCAAAAAAAAAAGGAAAGAAAGAAATACATGATTCATCCAAATGTAAGACTCTAGCTCATTAGTTTCTAACAATTTTTATAACTAAAAACATTGCATGTAACTCGAATTTATACCCAACTCATCAAAAATACTGATGATTTGACAATTCATTAGAAGTCTTTTAAATCCTTTGAATTTTCTGAGGTACACACAATAATGTGTTAATTTATTTATGAATCCAAGTTCTAAAATATGCAAGCAAACTCTGACTTTCTACTCCATGTCCTAGGAAATGGAAGTGACTTTATAGGCAAGCAAGTACTTCATAAGATCTACGAATGCTACATCTTGGTAAAATAGATCTCATCAAGGTTTAATCCTTTTCCTATTTGGTATTAGGAGGAGAAAAGTACGGTTTTGATTATTTCTTTTTAAATTGTTCTTTGGGAGGGCACCAATATCTTATTCCCAGAAAATGGATAAAATATATCCAACTGTAGGCACTTTTCTCCTACATAAATTGAATTGTGGCTTATTTGATTTACAAAATTTTTAAAGGAAAAAAAGACAAAGATACTGTAGCTACAAAACTAGTTTTTAAAGGATTGAAGGGAAATAGCCTCAGAATAACCCTAAATGTTCTTTGATGGTGCATTCCCAAGGAAAATTTTTTAAAAATAAATAATTGTATATGTATTTGGTTAGTGCAAAAGCTGATTGTCTTTTCAGACATCCTTCTTGATGTGGTTGGAAATTGGAACAAGTTTGGAAAGCAATTTGACATTTTACAGTTTAGATATTTCCTCCTTTGCTTTCTACTTTCAGAAATGGAACGCTTCATGATAGAGAGAACAGCCAGAGGCATGAAATTCAACCAGGAATAAATATTTTAAACTACAGGTAGCCTGTACCCTTCTGAATTATATCTCTTCATATGTTTTGTGCATTTCTTTCCCTTGTTGTTCTATCCAATTTCCTTTGAAATGTATAGCAGGGCACGATGAAGAAAATGTTTTACAGTATTTCCAGAGGTACCAATGAAAAATATGTTTTGTATATTCACTACTGTACTTTGATTTTTTTTGGTTGAACCAGGAAAATTACATTGATTTGGTGGTTTTTCTGTTTTGTTTTGGTATAAAATTACTTTTTCCAAACAAGTCAAGAGGAGATGAAAGAAAACAATATTCTATTAACGTAGTATTATTCCTTTAAATAATCATCAGAAGAAACGTCTAAAGTGTTTGTGGGGAAGTAAAAATTGCACCCTACATTACTGAGGATTTTGCATGCCAGAAAGCTTAACTTACTTACCATCCCATTCAAATACCAAACAAGAACCCATGGAAAATGTTCAACTTCTGCAAGGGGAAAGTCAATTTCAGTGATTGAATGGGCCAGGGACTTGTCCAGTTTGTGTTACTGCAACCAAAATGTACTGCAGATGTGTCTTTTGTATGTTAGAAAGGCCTTTCTTTCTAGTACTTGAGCAGATTTAACTGAGCCATGAAGCTCTTTCAAGGATTTCTCCTTGTCAAGTATTCCAGTTGCTTCATTGAGAACAAAAGCGGTGAGTTAGCATTCCTTTATAACCTCAGCATGTGTCTGCCCATCCAAGGGCCAGCCAAAACCATCTCTTCCCATCTCTTCACACCTTCCTTTAAAAAGGTTTTTTTAAGAAGAAAATAACGGAATTTATTGTATTTTTTAAACCTAATGAATGACAACATATTTGTCATTAAAATTATTCCACTGAGCTACATGGATAACACTACAATAATAATGCGATAACAATAATCACATTTTGCTCCATACTTTATTCTAGAGACTGAACCATCTCTGAATACATTTGCTTTGTTTCTCAACACTCCTCCGTTTTACAGAGGATTGAATGAAATCTTAGGGAGGTAAAGCAACTTGCCCAATCAAGTTCGTAAGTGGCAAAGGCTGGACTGGTCCTTCAACATGTCCAATTCCAAAGCCTATGCTTAAATTGAAATTTAATGCAGAAACTCCAATCACCTTGACACGTTCTTACACTTTTCAGAAACTAACAGCCTGTTTAGATTAGGACAAATCATCAAATGTCACAAGATAGAATTTCCATTTTATCCACGAAAAATTAAAGAATTTTTAACTTATTGTATTTCCTGCTTTAATTGTATCTGATTCTGATGGCTCCATTATTCTGTCTCCACTTTGTATAAATGTACACATTCTGCATTGCAGAGAAATTAACTCAGACTCAGTTGGAATTTGTGATAATTTGACTGAGACTGGATGGGTTTAAATTAACTTTCCTATTATCTATGAAAAAAGAACTTTTGAAGAAAGTTAATACTATGAAAATGGTTTCCTGAAGTTTAATCTACCTAAGAAAATATAGCAATTCTCAAGAACCTGGCAGCTACAATTTGCATATAAATGATTAGTTCTCAAATATCTCATATGAAGTTATCAAAGACGGTTCCAAAACCTTGTCAGCACTCAAATATTAGTTCAAGTTAGCCTAAAGAACTTACAAAAATAAAAATTAAAGAGCTCACCTATAATAACACAAGCTGTCCCCTTTCCCAATTATTTTCAATTGGTAAAAGTGTTTTACAAATTCACTTGTTCTCTACATTGTTTGTTTTCAAGTCATGTCTTGTGACCATCTTTGCAATTAGTGTATGTAGCCTTTAGAAAGCAGGAGTTAGGTACTTTTAAAAATTTTACTGATACATAACAATTGTATATATTTAAGGGGTACATGTGATTTTTTTTTTTTTTTGGTAGAGATAGAGTTTCCCTATGTTGCCCAGGCTGGTCTCAAATTTCTAGCCTCAAGCAATCCTCCTGCCTCAGGCTTCCAAAGTGCCAGGATTACAGGCCAGAGTCACCATCCCCAGCCCACATGTGACATTTTGATGCACACATACAATGTATAATGATTCAATCTAGGTAACTGGAATATCCATCATCTCAAACATTTATCATGTATTTGTTAAGAACATTCTCATTTATTAAGAACAGTCCAAATCATTTCTTATGAGTGATCTTGTTTGTTTTCACTTGTTTTAACCTAAGAATTTGACTGAGAGACAAAGATTCTAATCAGGCTTTGCTTTTAATGCAGTTAGAATTCAGGCATATTATTTTGTCCCTAAGCCTATTTCCAGTAAAAATAGATAAAATACCCAACTTACATGCAGCGGTAGAAACAAATGATATTAAGCAAATGAAAGAATTTAACACTGGACCTGGCATATTAGTAACAGCATCATGAGAGGAGTTTGCTTCTCTCCATCCTTCCCTTGTACACTATACAAGTCTCAGCATCCACGTGCAAGAAAGATGGTTGTACAGTGACTGACCCACAAGTGCCAGATGCCTATATCTACCACCTGGTGGCTGGCTGTGTCTTCCCCGCTTCCCAGTTCAAGCCCTGTCCTGCCCCTTCTCTGTCCCAACCACGCCCTCTGGAAAGGACTCTCAAAGACTCAGAAGGGTCTTGGAGTCTTCGAGAAAGAACAAATCATAGGCTCTAGGACTAAAATATAATGGCTAAAACATAGTGATACAATCATGGAGGAATACCTGACAAAGCTCTTCCCCTGTTCCAAAGTGCAGGCCCCAGGCACCATGAAAAAATGAGGAAAGGGAAGCATGAAACTAAGCCATTTCAGGGAAAAGCATTATTCATTTGCTGCCTGGGACCCTGGGGCTGTGACAGAAACTGTATCTTTCCTCTTGAGCAGGCCTAAGGGATTGGTTAAGTGACCATGCACATCCTGCCAATCAGATGAGAGAGAGTCTGTTAATGAGGTTCAGTCTGCAAACCCTCTCCCTACCTTTTTTTTTTTTTCTTTAGACAGGGTCTCACTCTGTCACCAGGCTGGAGTGCAGTGACACAATCTCCAGCTCACTGCAGACTCTTCCTGGATTCCAGTGATTCTCAGGTTCCCAGCAAATCCCAAGTAGCTGGGTCTACAGGCGTGTGCCACCATGGCCAACTAATTTTTTTGTATTTTTACTACAGACAGAGTTTCACCATGTTGGCCAGGTTGGTCGTCTTGAACTCCTGGCCTCGAGTGATCTGCCCACCTGGGCCTCACAAAATGCTGTGATTACAGGCGCGAGCCACCTGTGCCTGGCTTCTGCAACCTTTTTAAACAGACACTTTCAGAATCTGGGAGGTGTTGTTCATGCCATTGCTATCAGGATGCATGGCAGATTCATGAAGAAGTTTATAAAGATGTAGACCTGCAATGTGATTTGTGCCTCAAATTCTGGGATGTATGGATAAGGACAGACATTAGGATGAGTCAAGGAGAGCTTATTTGCATGTCAATTTGAGCAATTAGGAAACCTGCCAGTGAAGTTATAAAAGCTGCTCTTCCCTAGGGCAAATAGCCAATAGGAATAGGGTAAAAGGCAGCAAACTAGAAATCAGATGCTTATAGGTCGTTGCTCACATTAAGCTTTGCAATCAATGTAATTGCACTGAGGTAGGAACTATTATCATCACCATGTTCATCCTCCTTCCTCCATCCATCCTCCTGCATCATCATCATCATTGTCTTATTTGATCTACAGACAACATGGTGAAGAATTTGAGACCTTGAATCCTGTAAGCCATAAGCTCAAATTCCTGTGGCTGGTACTGTAGGAACACTTCTGGTTTAAAGAAGGCAGGCCTGGCATTTGAACTTGCTTCTGTCAATCATCACAGCTATGTCTGTGGGTACGTGGGTTACTGTCTTACGACATCAGTTTTCTCTGAAACATCAGAGGCTTAATGGAGAGAATAAATGCACAAGATCTAGAACTGTGTCTCACACAAAGAAGATACCCAAAGAAATACCTTCCACTTATGCTTACCCCTGCTAGCTGCCTTTTTCTCTTCCAGTGCACAGAAGAATTGTGAAAGGAATAGGAGTTGACGGCATACAATAGTATTGCTGCCAGTGCTCAAAGTTTGGAGGCCCAGTCTTCCTCTTTAAAACACTCAAGGAAAGTAAGAAAAGAGATTGTATAAACAGCTCTGATTTTCTTGTCTCTTGCTGCACTTCTGAATTTCACCAGTAAAGAAGTCCGAGAGCCAGTGCAAACTGAAACTGCTTTCTGATCTGTGATCCAGCACAAACACAGGGACCAAATTATATTTCCAACCAATCAATCCAGGTCCTCTGAAAAAGAAAAGCATTTCCCCAGACTGATGAATGAACTTGAATTAAAAGAGAATGCCTTACACTGACAGGTGAGCCAAGGAATTCACAAACCACAAGACAGGGGCAAAAGTGTCTACCCCCAGGATAACCCTGATTTGCTCTCAAAGCATGAAAGAAAAGACGTAGTACAATGCTTTTAAAGAGCAATGTTAAGGTACCTTTATAAGGGACTGAATATCTACAGACATCTTTAAATAGAAACATCGGGACCTCAAGAAACATAATTTATCATATCCATTTTTGTCTATAAAAAGGATTCTTTGGCAGTCTGCCACAAAATCAACATATTCATATCACTCGGGATCTATTAATCTGACAAAATGTCAGCAATACAGAATGATTTGGGGCAGATATTTGGCAGCAAATATAAATATCTCCAGACTAATGTGTGGGGCTGGTGGTGGGGTGAAGGAAGATTCTGTTGGAATCTTTATAAGCTCAAATATCTGGCACTTATAGAATTTTCCTACTTGGCTACCAACAGAATAATAATATTAGTAGGACCATTTGTACCAGAAAGATACGCTGCTTAGCTCTTTTCAAAAAATTTTGTGGCCGAGTGCGGTGGCTCACGCCTGTAATCCCAACACTTTGGGAGGCCGAGGCGGGTGGATCACCTGAGGTCAGGAGTTTGAGACCAGCCTGGCTTTCATGGTGAAACTCTGTCTCTACTAAAAATACAAAAACTAACAGGGCATGGTGGTGGGCACCTGTAATCCGAGCTGCTCGGAAGGCCTAGGAGGGAGAAAATCTTTAACCCTGGAGTCAGAGGTTGCAGTGAGCCAAGATCTCACGACTGCACTCCAGCCTGGGCAACAGAGCAAGACTCTGTCTCAAAAAAATAATAATAATAAAATAAAATAAAAATAAAAAAATTGTAAAACCTAGAATGTTACATAATAACTGCAGTAAAATCAGAAAGTAAAAATATTCAAAAAATAAAATGAGGCCAGGCCCGGTGGCTCATGCCTATAATCTCAGCACTTTAGGAGGCTGAGGCGGGTGGATCATGAGGTCAGGAGATCAAGACCATCCTGGCTAACATGGTGAAACCTCGTCTCTACCAAAAATACAAAAATTAGCCGGGCATGGTGGCAGGCACCTGTAGTCCCAGCTACTTGGGAGGCTGAGGCAGGAGAATGGCGTGAACTTGGGAGGCGGAGCTTGAAGTGAGCCGAGATGGCGCCACTGCACTCCAGCCTGGGCGACAGAGCAAGACTCCATCTCAAAAAATAAATAAAATAAATAAATGAATAAATAAAATGAAATAACCTATAATACCATTAATCCAGAAGTAACAACTATTGTCATTTTGGTGTATATCCTTCCAGACAGTTTTATATGTGTAACTATCTAGATTTCATTATTTATTACTAATGGGTCACCATATTTGTCTTATAAAAATGGAATCTTACTATATATACTCTTCTACAACTAGCCACTCAAGACCATCATAGAAAACAAAAATTCAAATAAACGAAAAAGAAAATGTTTTAAATCATCCAGTTCTCCAGTACTTGGTATCTGTCTTCTCTAATATTTTCAACACGTTTTTAATACATTGACTAAAATATTTTGTATAAATGTCATTATTCTGTAAGACGTGTTGTATTACCTCATTTCCTCATTAACCCTATACAATCTTTCATGTCAAAAAATGTGAGTATATGTTATCATTGTTGATGGGCTACTAGTCCATCTTTGAATATTTTTTGCATTTTTAGAAAAGATTTTTAGGTCAGAAAATATATAATTCACCTCTGCAAAACGCTGTCAGATAGCAAGCATTTCCCCTTCACCTAGCTAGTGTTGGACCCTATCATTCATTTTATCATTGTCAGTTTCATAAAAGAAAAATGCCATTTGCTAAATAAATCAAAATTCACCCTGAAAGATGTCCATGTTCATATGTTTAACAAATGCTTCTACAGCCTTTACTGCTTTTATTCCAATAAAATGCTTTTATACCCAAGCATCATTCTAATACTCAATAGCTATTAATTAATCTAGTTCTCCTAACAACCCTATAAGATAGATGCCATGATAATTTTCTCCATTTGATAAAAGGGGAAACCAAGGTATGAAAAGCTGAGGTAACTAGATTGGGAGGATACAACTAGTAAGCAAGGGAGCTGGAATTCAGACCAGGCAGCCTCTGACATTCACCTCCAAATTTTGACACTTGGGTCCCTCACCCTTGTCCTTGGAGCAAACAAAATCTCTTCACAAACTGGTCTCTTTTAGTGTCAACAAAGCACTTACCAAATATTCCTCAGTGGATTTTCCCTTAAATGATGATATGGTTTGTCTGTGTCCCACCCAAATCTCATCTTGAATTGTAGCTCCCATAATCCCCACGTGTTGTGGGAGGGACCCCGTGGGAGGTAATAGAATCATGAGGGCAGGTTTTCCCCACGTTGTTCTCATGAGAGTGAATAAGTTTCATGAGATCTGATGATTTTATAAAGGGCAGTTCCCCTGCACACGCTGTCTTGCCTGCCACCATGTAAGATGTGACTTTGCCCCTCCTTCGCCTTCTGCCATGATTGTGAGGCCTCCCCAGCCATGTGGAACCGTGAGTCCATTAAACCTCTTTTTCTTTATAAATTACCCAGTCTCAGGTATTTCTTCATAGCAGTATGACAATGGACTAATACATATGATAACAATGTCCTAAGGCCAAGAGGGAAGCTTGGAAAATAAACAGGGGACAAAAATGACTATGATTACTATGATTGGGTTACAAAATGATAAATTATCCCCTGGGACTGGGTTACTGTCATTCTGAGCAAAATTCAGGGTTCTGTTTGCAAATAAAAAGTGAGAGTGGTAGTGATGACTATTGATTAACCAACAAAAGGTGTCTGCCACCACGGTTGTCAGTGCTTAGTGTCAGCAGTGACAGGTGCACATCTTCTGCTGGCCTGGGCTGCAGTGATAGCAACAGTGGACAGTGGTGGCAAACAGAAAGAGGAATCTCTATGCAAGAACACGGGGTCCTCCAGCTCAAGAAGAACATACCAGAGTTCTGGTTCGAGTTTCAGGATGAATGAAAATGGGACAGGCCTTTTGGTATAAGCCAGTTCTATGTTGTGCGTGCAACATTCCAAATGGAGGAATGGGACTCTCACAGAGTATGGAGAGCCTGAGAAGGGGCTGACCCGGAGATGAATCACACTAGTACATGGAAAGGCTAGAATGGCACACAGCAGAAGTACCATCAAGGGGACATTAAACTGGCAATAAAAGCAGTGTCCTAAGTGGTATGCTAAGCTAAGGACAAAACTAAGAATCAGAATCTATGTAGATGGTTTGAGGATGACATTCAGAAGACTAAACTTGGCTGAGTGTAAGAAGAGACATGTCTTAAGTTCAGATATCTAAATGGGCCAAAGTGAGAATTTTAACGGATGTACAAGGCACAGGTCAAAATCTTGGGTCTTTAATGTATAGGAAAAAGGAAGCACAAGAGAATTCCAAGCAGGAACAGCATCTCAAGTTCAAAGACAGGTACATCTGCATGCTAATGTAGACCAGAGCTGTGTGCCTACTGCCCTGGATTGTCAATAACCAATAAAGTCTAGACAATATGAGCTCCTTTCCAGGGCAAGTCAGGGCTCTGCAGATGGGCAGCAGAGCTTCTCTCCAGGGAGTGTTCTTCTTACTCATTGCTCACTGCACCCATGTGCTTGCTGAGGCTCCTGTGGTTTGCAAGCCTGGGTGACTTTTTCAAATGATGCACCTTTTTCAAAGCTGTGAGCTGGAATTCATGCAGTGTCCTTTTCATTTGCACCCTTGCCTGCTCAGTCTTACATAAAACCTGATTACACAAACCTATTTTGCTATTCAAGGTGCAAATCTGCTGCCCAAAGCCCTAAGGAATTTTCTTCATGCTTAACCAGTAAGGAACTTAAGCAAAGAGATTAATGAAATGATGTGCCTCTTTCTCCAATCTTAGGTCATTAAAGCTATATAGTAACTAAACAAATCATAAATATGGCAAGATCTTTGTCCCCAAGACAGAAAGAAAATCCAGATCCTAAAGAGCCATACACACAAACACACATGCACACAAACACACACACACACACGTACATACACTTCTGCTAATTTAAGCCAGCAGGGAAGCTTTTCTTCTGTCACTCACCCTTTCATACTTTACTTTTAACCTTTAAAGGATCAGAATATGTTTCTTATTGGAAAATGTAAAAATAAATCCATAGAAATGTCCCCCATGATTGAAAACAGAAGCTGGCCATTAACACATCCTCGTTGGAAAATAAAAGAAAAAAAAAACTAATGGAAAGTCAAATGAAATGGAACACCACCAATGCATTTTATCAACTGCATGCTGAGAAACCACACCCAACACATTTTATCAAAGGAATGACAGACATGCCGGACTGTTAATTACCTACAGGTTTCTCTTCTAAATTTATATCCCTCATGGGACAAAGGCTGAATGAAGAATATGCTGGCAACAGAGAGAGTGGTGGGGAGGAAGGTGGGTTAGCCAGTGACTCAAAAATCCATGAACCTTCATTTCTTCATCTCTAAGTGAGCCAAAGAACAACATGCCTACATAGAGTGGAGTTGGTACAATATTGGCAAGGTTATGTTCTTACAATCAAAACAACCTGATATCAGCCCTGAGCTTGGCTTATTTTTGTTGTTTTGCCTCCAGTTTTAAAGAAAAATCAAGGGAAAAAAGAAGTCATGAAAGTCTAAATTAGTCTCATGAGAGCCACACATAGCTTATTTTTTACTCTATTCTGTCTCTACTACTTGGGGACTAATCTTGGTTCCAGAGGAGCCTACAGAAAGTATTCATAAAGTCTTTCTTTCTTTCCTTTTCTTTTTTCTTTCTTTCTTTTTTCTTTCTCTTCTTTCTTTCCTCTCCTTCCTTCCTTCCTTTTTCTCTCTCTCTTTCCTGAATTCCCAGATATAAACAGAATTTAAAAGTCAACGTAAGATGATAATGGTCTTTTGAGGATATTTATTTATGGTTGATAACAACAGCAACTTTTGCCAGTGGCTGTGAATTTGGGGAAGAGTGCAGCTGAAAAGCTGAGCAAAAAGAAGAGTGTTTATACATGTGGGTGAATGCAGATGTGTGGTGCAGGGAGAAGACAAGGAGGGAGAAAGTGATATAAAAATCTTCTTGCTCATTGGGGATCTATTATGAGCATGCATTCAAATAATGGAGTCTAACAGAAGGTGTTAAGCCTGGGGGGTACTGGAGTTTTGTTCTGCAAACTTCTCTTTATCCATCATGGTTACCATTATTACCAATGCACACTCTAACTCTAACTGGTTTTTGGAACATAATGTGAGAAATTCCTTGAGAATATCTGATAATTGCAATCATAAGCAAGTGTGAAATACGGATTTTTTATGGAAAACCACAGCACACTTCATTTTCCTCACTTCTGGGAGAGAGGGAGACACATCTAACTCTCAAAGTGCCTTGATTCTAAGGTCAGGAAGGAGTTTTCTATCATTCCTCCTTTCAAACAGACCTGTACAAGTATCTCTCAATTTTTCCTCTTAAGAAGCAGAGGCTCTGTGGGCTCTGCTCTGTCTGGGTTTATCAGGTTGGCCTCTTGCTTGGAGCAGATATAGCTTCTTCCATCAGTGGGAGCGGGAAGTTGGGCGCCGTGAGATGGAAGCAAAAAAGGCGCAGCCAACAACAACAACGGAACTTTGTGTCAACACTGTCCTGTGCTGATGTGAATGAAATATAAATATTGCGCAGTAAGCCCTTTTTTAAAATTCTTCAAAATATTACACTCTTACATTACGGATGGCTAAGTGGAGGCAGCAGCCTTCTGTTTCATCCCAGCAGAAGTTAATAGTAGTCCAGGAGCTGGAAAACCAACTTCAGAAACACTTAATGTTTAGATCCACTTAGTGGTTGGAAAAAAAAACTTTAGAAAAAAAAAAAAAATGTTTAAGAGCTGCTCCAGCAAGTGGAAACAGCAATTCCTTGTAAACAAACCTTTAACATGAAGCTATTTCTCAGTGGCGGAAAACCTAACTTCATAAAGTCGGATTTCTGAGATTTTTTTTCAGCTCCTCGGAGACTACAGAAGTAACCACATTCTGTCAGTTGATGCATCAAGTAAACAAATGCGAACAAGAGATTTTTCCATATCCTATGTCAACTAATTGTGTGTTGGATAAAGCACATGTGAATCTTAGATACACGTTAACTGTGGGGAAAATCATAAAGAAAATTAGTTATCATAAAAAGCACCCATGCTTTCAGCTTCGTAAGCTACTCCATGAGGGACACGGACAGTTTTAAATGTGATGTAAGCAATTTGGGGGCTGTTTCCAGATATATCTCTCCCTTTCCAGCTACCACAGTAGTTCTAATTAACCATGTCAGTCCTGAAGTTCTGGGTCTGACCGCAAGTTGAAAATTCTCTGCTCCTACCACTACCAGATCCCAGAGAAGCAGGGCGGTGTCATGAGACAGGCCAGACCCCACTTAAGAAATCATGCCCCTAACCTCAGAATCCTAGGCCCTGTCTCTATGCAGAATAGAAACAATTCAGGTTTATACATTGAGTGGCACTAGGATAGAACTCCTTGCCGAAAATCTCATTGAAATTCTACGATTAGAAATCAATACTATTCAATTTTGCTAAAGAGCTACTCTTTAATGGAAAATATCCTTAGAAATGCCTTCATTAGGTTGTAGCAAAAATTTCTTGTTGTTCTACCATTGTGCTAGCTTTACCTATTTTCTGCTAAGCAAATAAGAGCAGGTTATATAACCTAGCTGTGCCTCAGTTTTCCGATCTGCAAAATGGGACAATTATACCTACTGCACAGTATTCCTGTAAATAATAAATAAGATTTATGTACGTAAGAAGCATTGAGCTTAGTGCCTGACATGTAGTAAGTGCTCAATACAAGGAGGATGATGTTCCCTGAATTTATTTAATCAGTTGTTTTTAGAAAGTATGCTTAGCTCTCAAAGAAAATGAGTATTTTTCTGGAAAACGGGTCAGTGTTTAGGAGAGAGTTAGGGAGAGTTGCCTGTCTTGAGTTCAGATAAGTGGTATTCAATGGGGTAAACCCAAGTTAGAATCGCTGTTTTATTATCTGAGCTTGAATTTCCATTTTGAATACATATTGCGTATGTTTATATAGCAGCACACATATATAATATATAAGTGAGTAAAGCAAACACATATTGTGTACTGTTTTTTTTCCAATGGGAACATGTTTGGAGATGGGAGACATCCAGATAGCAACCACAGGTCTTTCGTATTGAGGAACACAAAGCAAAGAGGGAAGGGGGTATTGAGATGTAAGTGTTGGGAGACAGTCCTAGAACACAACGAAAGAAGCAAGTTCAAAAATAGACTAACCAGAGGTTCAGATGGGTCAGGGTCTTAGAGATCATTTGGTTCTGTACCCCTGGAGCTAAGGAACCCAAGTTTCAAGGCTGAGAAGTGATGCATCCAAGATCACCCAAGAGCGGAGGTGGGTATTGAATACAGGTGTGCTTCATCCCATTCCCCAGCTGTCTTTCATTACCTCATTTTACCTAGTCATTCTTTGACCTAGCACTGCTTTTATAAACAAACCCAAACAATGAAATGGTTCTTAAATTTTAACTTGTATCAGAATCACTTGGTGGGCTTGTTGAAACATTGCTGGACCCTTCCCCAGTATGTCTGATTCAGTGGCTTTTAGGTGAGGCCCAAGAATTTGCATTTTTTTTTTTTTTTTTTTTTTGAGATGGAGTCTCGCTCAGTCACCCAGGCTGGAGTGCAGTGGTGTGATCTCGGCTCACTGCAAGCTCCGCCTCCCAGGTTCATGCCATTCTCCTGCCTCAGCCTCCCGAGTAGCTGGGACTACAGGCACCCGCCACTATGCCCAGCTTATTTTTTTGTATTTTTAGTAGAGATGGGGTTTCACCGTGTTAGCCAGGATGGTCTCCATCTCCTGACCTTGTGATCCGCCCATCTCGGCCTCCCAAAGTGCTGGGATTACAGGCGTGAGCCACCACGCCCAGCAAGAATTTGCATTTCTCACAAGTCCCCTGGTGACCATGGATGTGATGCTGGTCTGGGGACTCCACTGCCACAATCACTGGCATATGTTTCAAAGTTAGCTGCCTATCATTGGCCACAGATCTTTGAAATGAAAAGAATTGTAATTTAGAAGCCCAGCCAGCTAGCTCAGTTGGTAGAGCACGAGATTTTTTTTTTTTTTTTTTTTTTTTTTTTTTGAGACAGCCTCCCTCTGTCGCCCAGGCTGGAGTGCAGTGGCACAATCTCAGCTAACAGCAATTTCTGCCTCCCAGGTTCAAGCGATTCTCCTGCCTCAGCCTCCCAAGGTAGCTGGGATTACAGACACATGCCACTACACCTGGCTAATTTTGTATTGTTAGTAGAGACGGAGTTTTACCATGTTGCCCAGGCTGGTCTCAAACTCCTGACCTTCTGACCTCAGGTGATACACCCGCCTTGGTCTCCCAAAGTGCTGGGATTACAGGTGTGAGCCACCGCACCCAGCCGAGGTTCTTAAAATAATTTTAATTCAATTCTAATAGAGTAAATAAAATGGTGTGGTGGGGAAAATTTATTTCTGATGAGAAAGAGAAAGGAAAGAAGAAAAGGAACTTCAAAGTATTAGACATGCACTGTAGATGGGGCACCTTATAAGGTGCTGTGGATACAGCAGTGAGCACAATTCTTTGGCTGCTATTGTGGAAAACAGACAATAAACAATATAAATAAATAAATCATATGCTATGTGGTAATGATTAGTGCTAGGGAGGAAGATAACAAAGGAAAGAGGAGTAAATAGGGGGCACGCAATTTGAATTATATGGTTAGGGAGGACCTCACTTAGAAGATGCAGTAAAGCAATGAAGAAGTTGCCCTGCGGCTATCTAGATGAAGAGTTTTCCAGGCGGAAGAAGCAGGCCTGAAGGCTGTGAGGTAGGAGCTTGCCTAGTGTGCTTGACGGAGAGGTAGAGGGGCACTGGCTAGAGAGGAGTGCGCAGGTCAGAGAACCAGAGATGAGATCGCAAAAGCAGGGAAAAAGGGTTGCAGGAGAGGAGGCAGATCATTGGCACCTTGAAGGTCATTGTAAAAACTTTGTTTTTTTCTGTGAAAGGAGAAAGCATGAAGAATGTCATGGTCTCACTTATTTAACAGGGTCTCTATGGCTGCTGGGTTGAGAACAAACTCAAGGACCTGGGAGACCACGTAAGGAGGCTATTGCCGTAATCCAGGTCAGCTACCATGGAGGCTGGAGCTTAGGTGTTAGTGTTACAGAGTCCAAGGACTTGCTGCCCGGTGCACTAGAAACCAAAAATATGACATTGGGTTTTTGAGAAAAGAAAAGCTTTTCATTGAGCTTTTCAAGGAGACAGGAGTTTAGCTCAAATCTGTCTCCTCATGCTGGTTTTACGGCAGTCATTTTATTACAAAAGGTTTACAAAGTGGATTCTGGGATTCATCTATGATGGGTAGAAGCAAAGGGGAGGTCTGGAAAGTCTTCTAGCACATGCACTTCTCCATGCTACCCCATAGATTGTATGTGTAAATTTGAGGGTGGAATTAGTATAAAACCTGCAGTGGAAATTTGGGTTGTGATGTCAACAAGCTGGTTCTGTGTGCAGACTCTAGCTGGCCAAATTGGTTTTAGCCAATTTTAGTCAGTTTTGACATCTTGCAAGCAGAAGGAGTTTCAGCCTTTCGGCAAGTTGTTTTTCTTTTCCTTCTCTGCCATCCTGCAAACTCAAGAATATTTGCTAGTCATTTTTTTAACTCTTTGGGGCACGGTTTCATTAGTGATCGAAATGAGAATTGTTCAGATTCCGGATGCTTACTGCATACAGAGACAGCAGGTTGTGCTGACAGATTGGTCATAGGTGTAATAACAAGAGAAGAATCAAGGAGCACACTAAAGGTTTTTCTCTGAGCAAGTGGAAGTATGGAGTTGCCATTTCCTGAGATAAGCCAAGACCAGTGCAGCTCCTGACGCACACCATGGACCAATAAATGTGAGATAAGTAAATCTCAGTTTTAAAGGATGAAAAATCGGAAGCTCATAGAGGTTAGTCTATTTGCTTGAAGTCATACCAAGACTAGGTGGCAGAGCTCGGAGGAAAAAAACAGGCCAAAGGTCCGTGTTTCTCCATGCAGCCATCTAAGATGTTCCCAAAGAAGTGAACCGGGGCCGGAGGGGGAGACCAATGGGCGGTCTGGTTTCCATTCTCAGCATATCATCGTTTCCCTTGCCCAACCTGGTTGAGGATCGGTCCAAGGGTCACAAACCAGCAACCTGTTAGCCTAATAAGAACTGCTGACATGTTTTGTTTGACTCGCACGGCTTTAAAAAAAACAATTCATGTTTGAATGCCCTTAAACTGGGCTTGTATTTTCCACTTCAGCCACAACACACACCGCTCCCTCTGGCTTAGAGCGGCGTCCTTCGGGATCCTGCCGGGTCCCTGAAGACATTTGATTTTTCAATCGGTGATTCAGACCAACAATCCAGTGGGAATTTAGCTGTGAGGCAATGCAGTGTGCTAGAAAAAAAAAAAAAATCATAATATCAGACAGCTATAGATTCACACCCAGCCTTATCATTTACCATGTGCGTGACCTTGAACAAGCTTTTCCTCTCCTTCCCCATCTGTAAAGTGGAGAGAACAGTATCCACTTTGCACTATTGTTGGGAGACCTGAATGAGAAAAGCTATATAATGTACACAGCATAGGAAACACTAAATGTATGGCCATTATTATAAAGCAGGGATCAGTAGGCTTTTTCTGTAAAGAGCCAGATATTTTAGGCTTTGTGGGACGCGTGATCCCTATCAGGACTCCTCAGCTCTGCCTTTGTATTATGAAAGCTGCCATGGAAAATACACAAATGAATAAGCATGGAAAAGAAAATCCCAGTGCAATTATATTTACAAACACAGGTGTGGGGGGTGGGGGAGGATTGGGGCATCATTTACTAATCCTTGTTATAAAGTGCAATGGTCTAAATGTTTGCATTCCCCCAAATTCATACGCTGAAATCCTAAAGCCCAGGGTGATGGAATTAGGAGGCCAATTTTAGAAAGGTGATTAGGTCAAGGGGGCAGAGCCCTCAGGAATAGGATAAAAGAGACCCCCAAAAGACCCTCACCTCTTCTGCCATGTGAGGGTACAATGAGAAGAGAGTCATTGTATTAGTTCATTTTCACACTGCTATAAAGAACTGCCCAAGACTGGGTTTTTTAATAAAGAAAATTGACTGACAGTTCTACATGGCTGAGGAGACCTCAGGAAACTTACAATCATGGCAGAAGGTGAAGAGGAAGCAAGAACCTTCTTCACATGATGGCAGGAAAGAGAAGAGTGAGTAAGAGCAGGGAAAACTGCCTTATAAAACCATCAGCTATTGTGAGAACTCACTCACTATCATGAGAACCACATGGGGAGAACTGCCCTCATGATCCCATCACCTCCCACCAGGTCCCTCCCTCGACACCTGGAGATTGCAATTCAAGATGAGATTTGGGTGAGGACACAAAGCCTAACCATATCAGTCATGTATGAGCAAGTAGGCCCTCACTAGATATTGAGTCTGCTCGTGCCTTGATCTGGACTTCCCAGCCTCCAAATCTACGAGAAATAAATTTCTGTTGTGTATAAGCCTCTTTGTTGTGATATGTTTGCTGTAACAGCCCAAACGGACTAAGACATAGAGGATTTTTATACCCCTCCTTATTCTGCTCTGTCACTTCCCCTCAATACCTCCCCACACCCCAAAGGAGCCCTTTAGTTATGGGGCAAAGACTTTTATACGCTTTTGATATAAGCTGTAAGGTGACATTACAATGATACTAGCTGCCATTTTCAAGTGTGCCCACCAGAAATGAGAAAGAAGGAAAAATCTTCAGTGGTCTTATTTCTTCCATGAAATAAACCAAAATTGATTTTCCTAGGGAGTGAGGCATCTCCAGCAAGGCCAGCCTTTCTTGGGTCAGATGTCTGCAATTACAAATTGAAGTGCTCTTCCCTGGACTTCCAGAATCTTAGGGACTCAAAGGCTTCCACGGGAAAACTGCTTCTCCCCAGCAGATTCAAGGACTCAAAAGAGATGGAGCAAGGTCTCCTGAGTGAAGCCTGCCCAGCGGCTCTGTCCCAACATCTGAAGGAACAGGAAGCTTCTACACCCTTGGCATTGAAGAGCCTCTGAGCAGCGATATAGCCACATTTCCCATCCTTTGACCTAATCAGGGCTTTGATTTGCAGGCCGTGAGGGAGAGGCTGCTGTGTTGTTCCCACTGGGCTATTTTTGGGACCTGGCATCAGAGGGAAGGACAGAGTTAGCAATCGGTACTCCTGGGCAGTGCTGAGCAGGACCTCTGCGTAAGCCCCGTAGTAAACTTAGGTCATTTCCTCTTACAAATCTCCAGAGTTAAACAGCACCAGAAACTCTGAACGAGGGTCAGATATGGAGGAAGCCGAAGGCTTCATTTTTATCAAGAAATCTTTTTTTTTCTCTCTACTTGCTTTCATCTCAAATTATCAGAAATAAAATTTGTAAAATAAAAGAACTTGCGGCCGGGCGTGGTGGCTCACCCCTGTAATCCCAGCACTTTGGGAGGCCGAAGCGGGCACACTATCTGAGGTCGGGAGTTCAAGACCAGCCTAACCAACATGGAAACCCCGTCTCTATCAAAAATACAAAAAAATTAGCTGGGCGTGGTAGTGAATGCCTATAATCCCAGCTAGTTGGGACCCTGAGGCAGGAGAATTGCTTGAACCCCGGAGGTGGAGGTTGCAGTGAGCCGAGATCATGCCATTGCACTCCAGCCTGGGCAACAAGAGCAAAACTCTATCTCAAAATAAATAAATTAATAAATAAGTAAAATAAAAGAACTTTCATGTTTTGGGAGAGCATAGAATGGAGACCAAATTAATACACAAAAGGACGAAACCTTGGGTTGGCAGGGAGGCAACAAAACCACTGAAACACTCATTGAGTTTCACTAACTCTTTCATTTTTTACCCAGGTATTAGCAGTTTGTTTCTAATCTAGGAAAAATAGGCTAAACTCGGCAAAAGGTGGTTCTACCTTCCTTCCACACTATGGGCAACAGTCCTAATGATGAGGGAGGTTACTAAGAAAGGAGACATCCTGAGTTGTCCTATGATACCCCTCAGAAGAGTCATCAGAGACACCACAGACTGCCCGTCATCAGGGCTGCCTTCATCAGTGTACATGCTGGACAGTCACACAGGAAGGATCTGGAAATCAGAAGGGCTCCGTGCTTGGTTTCCTGCTCTGCCATCACATCTTGAAACCCTTTATTATGTTTGACCTGTCTTCTCTTGCCCTTCCTTTCTTTTTTTTTTTTTTTTTTTTTTTTAAGACAGTCTCACTGTGTCACCCAGGCTGGAGTGTGGTAGTGTGATCTCGGCTCACTGCAACCTCGGCCTCCTGGATTCAAGCCATTCTTGTGCCACAGCCTCCCAAGTAGCTGGGATCACAGGCGTATGCCACCACACCCAGCTAATTTTTGTAATTTTAGTAGAGATGGGGTTTCACCACATTGGCCAGGCTGGTCTTGAACTCCTGGCCTCAAGCGATCTGACAGCCTCAGCTCCCAAAGTGCTGGGATTACAGGTGTGAGCCACCATGCCTGGCCTGTCTTCTCTTGTTCTTCTAAAACAGTGTTTCTCAACCCTTTTTTCCCCCATTTTCACTCTTCCAACAAGGCTTCTTAGGCATTTTTTTAACTAATCAATCCTCCCATGAAATTGTAATATAAGTACACAGTATTTCTGTTTATATATTTTATGTTTATGTTTCATACATTAAAAGAATAAGATTTTTTTGTTTCCCAATAAACAAATTTTTTTCCCTATTGGGAATGATATTGCACCCAGTGAGAATGCAAATTCAAGATCTAGGTAACACAACTCAACCACAAGCATCTATGCAGGAACACGAGTGAAAGTAATAATAATAATAATAATTAATATTAATAGATATATGTTATTGAGTCAGGCACCATTCTAAGTGCTTTACATTTATTAACTCATGTAATACTATTTTAAAATTTTATTCTAATACCCATTCTGCAAATGAGAAAACTGAGGCACAGAGAATTTAATAACTTGCCCAAGGCCAGTCACATAGCAAATGACAGAGCTGGAATTTGAACATGTGTTTCCTGGCTCTGGAACCCCATGAGAAGTGCAGGTTCAATTATTGAGCACACACCAAAAGGTGTACATTTCTCAGTATGCAGTATGCCGTTGGTAGACAGAGACCTTTTGAATAAAGACACGGTGACAGCTCATTGGCACGTGCTGGTAAATCTTCAACTGCACTAAAGCCTCTGCAGAAGAAGCAAAAGCTCTCCATGGGCCTAATGATGCACAATGTTCATGGTGATTTCTAATACTCGAAAAATGCTAAGTTTTCCTCGAGACGGGAGGTATGGATTTACAGCAAAATATTTCCAGATTGTCTCCTGGGACATGAGTTGGCCAATTCTTCTTTGCTTTCATTCTCAAAGAAATGCTGCAGGGCTTGAATTGGAAGAATCTTGAGTTTGGGGTTTTAACAACTTGTATGAACCTGGCAAAGTCACTTTTGGGAGCTTCAGTTTTCTCTGTAAAATAGGTGAATTAAATAATCTCCAACATTCCTTTAGGCTCTGAAGGAGACTTCGGTTAAACATACACAAAAGCAACAAAAACACAAGCAAAATAATTGTCATTACATAATTCTAGCAAATGTTTACTATGGGACTTGTAACCATAAATGGCAGAGTGAAGCAGTTGACACAAATGAATAAACAATTAGACAAAATCAGAGAGGGGAATAATAGAAACTCAGGGAGCATGTCTAACCAAAGGGGGTTGTCAATAGCCCACTCCTGCGGGCTGATGTCAGGTGAGAATATGGCCCCAGTGTCTACTCTGATTCTTTTTTTTTTTTTTCAAATGAAAGTGAAAGGCCGGACTCGGTGGCTCACGCCTGTAATCCCATTACTTTGGGAGGCTGAGGCAGGCAGATCACGAGGTCAGGAGTTTGAGACCAGCCCGCCCAACATGATGAAACCCTGTCTCTACTAAAAATACAAAAAATTAGCCAGGCGTGGTGGTGGGCACCTGTAGTCCCGGCTACTCAGGAGGCTGAGGCAGGAGAATCGTTTAAACCCATGAGGCAGAGGTTGCAGTGAGCCAAGATTGTGCCACTGCACTCCAGCCTGGACGACAGAGCTAGACTTTGTCTCAAAAACAAAAAAAGAAAAGAAAAAGAAAAAAGAAACTGAAAAACTAAATTCTGTGCACTTTGCTAATTTGTATATGTAGTCAACTGTGGTGGGCAGACCCAACAGAAGCTCCCATGATTCCTGATACGTTGTGTGACCCCCTTCCTTGGCTGTAGGATGAACTTGTGACTTGCTTCTAGCCAAGAGAATATGACCTAGAGGGAAAGTCTTTTTCTGGATGTAATTAAGATTCCAAGCCAGTTGATTCAGAGTTAATCAAAAAGCAAAGAATGATGGTGGATGAGCCAGACTCAATCAGGTGAGTGCCCTTAAAGGAGAAACTTGTCCCTCCCCGAAGTGAGATGAAGTAAGCAGCCATGGCAGAAAAGCCCACAGGACAAGCAACTGTGCCTCTAGGGCCCTTGAGCAGCTTCCGGCTAGCAAAATGTTAGAATCTTCAATCATACAACTGATAGCTGCACAAAGTGAATTTCATCCACAACCTGATTGAGGTTAGAAGTGGCTTCTTCTGGCCGGGCGCGGTGGCTCATGTCTATAAACCCAGCACTTTGGGAGGCCGAGTTGGGAGGATCACAAGGTCAAGAGATCGAGACCATCCTGGCCAACGTGGTGAAACCCTGTCTCTACTAAAAATACAAAAAATTAGCTGGGCGTGGTGGCACGCATCTGTAGTCCCAGCTACTCAGGAGGCTGAGGCAGGAGAATTTCGTGAACCCAGGAGGCAGAGGTTGCAGTGAGCCAAGATCACACCACTACATTCCAGCCTGGGCGACAGAGTGAGACTCTGTCTCAAAAAATAAAAAAAAGAAAAAAAGAAGTGGCTTCTTTCCCCTGGCGCCTCCAGATGAAAATGCAGCCTGGCCAGCCTCTTGGGTTGCAGCCTGGTAAGACCCTGAGCAGACTCGGCTAAGCCGTGCCTGGACTCTTGAGCCGTGGAAATGATGAGATAATAAATGTATATTGTTTTAAGCTGCTGAGTATGTGGTAATTGGCTACACAACAGTAGAAAACTAATACAGCAGCTTATTCAAATTTCCAAAAACTCTCTGTAGGCCCAACAAACCTGAAAAAGAGATGTGGTCCACGGGTAGCCATTGTGTGCTATGATTGCAAAGTGTCCCTAAAATGTTACGCATTGCATACAGTATTAGTCATTCAGAGATGAAAGGCAGAGTAGTGAGACAGAGAGAGAGATTTCACAATTCAAAACATTGTGATAACTGCAGGACCCTGGACTGTGGGAAGATGGACCTCAGGGAGAAACAGCTATTGGAACCTAATTGCAAACTGCATGAAAGCAGGAGCTGGCATTTTCCCATCTGATCTGGGTGCCTTTTAGAAGAACTGCCTTATCTCCAGTTTCTGTTTCTTGCCTCATCCTTATTATTTTCTTTTTCCCCATGGCTCTATCTGCACTTTGCTTTAAAATTTACTCATCAGTGATTCCCAGTTTTGTTTTTTGTTTGTTTGTTTTCTAGACAGAGCCTTGCTCTGTCGCCCAGGCTGGAGTGCAGTGGTACAATCTCAGCTCACTGCAGCTTCTGCCTCCCTGGTTCAAGGGATTCTCCCACCTCAGCCTTCCAAGTAGCTAGGACTACAGGCGTGTGCCACCACGCCTGGCTAATTTTTGTATTTTTAGTAGAGACAGGGTTTTGCCATGTTGGCCAGGCTGCTCTTGAACTCCTAACCTCAAGTGATCCATCCACCTCGGCCTCCCAAAGTGCTGGGATTATAGGTGTGAGCCACCGCACCCACTCTGGTTCTCAGTTTTCTTAAAACAGACAAAGGTATTGCCTTTGAGCCCAATGGTAAGAAAATTAGGCTTATCCCTTACCTTGTTAACTCAAGAGTATTTACACAGTCTTTCAATTTTGTTATCAACTATCCAATGTTAGAATTTTCCTAGTTCAAAGATTACAACAGGATGGGGAGAGAAGAGGTGAGGTTTGGGCAAGTAACACGTTCTTGGTGAGAGGCCATGTTCCCTAAACTTTCAGATGGCCAGCACTGATTGCATTATGACATCTGGAAAATTGGGACCAAACTTCAACAGTGTGGCTTGGAACCAGGCATGTAGATTTTCTGAGCCCTGGTAACTTTAGGCCTAATTACCCCTTGTCTGATCTCAAAAACAAAAAGCAAACTAACTGGACTCCATGTTTCTACTGATCCCTCCACAAGTACCTTCTCAGCACATCAGCTGAAGTGCTCTTCTTCAAATATAATTCAGATCATACGTATCCAGTGGTGCTCTATCATGTTCAGATTAAAATCCCAACTCCTTCCCGTGGCCTAGGTGCACTGGGCCACTACCTACTTTCTATCCTCTCCTAACACTCTCCCCTCCATCTCTCAGCTCCTGCTGTACTGCCTTTCTGCTCATGTAACATGCCACAGTCCTTCCCACCTTGAGGACTTTCGCACATAGTGTCACATCTGCCTGGGACTCCTTCCCCAGAGAGTTGATGGCCTGTTTCCTCTTTTCATTCAGGTCTTTGCTCAAGTGTCAATTCCTCAGAAAAGTCTTCCCTGACGCCTAATCCAATACCCTTTCTCAAGCCTTCTTCTCTCCACTGGCCTGTTGTGCTTTGTTTTTCCTCAGCACTTATCACAACCTGAAATCACATCATACATTCTTTTTTCCCTTTTTATTTGTTGTCTATCTCCCCTACTAGAAGATAAGCAGGAATTTCTTTTTGTCGTATTCACCAGTATCTTACCAGTACCTTGATAAGTGTCCAACATATAGTGGATGCTCAATAAGTACTTATAGAATTAACAAACGTGAGAGATAAGGAGACTGTATCAGTTAGTCATCAGGGTCTCTCTGTAGCTTCAAGTATACTGGTCCCGTCACCACATTCTAGAAACAAATATCAGCCTTGATAATGAGCCAGTATGCACTGATATGAGCATCTCAGTATAGTAAATATTTCTCAGTATGTAAATATTTCTATACCACTTGGTAAACTAGCTGCTACCCTGAATCCCCTTACCATATCTTCTGCAGCCTCTTGAACTCACCACAATCCCACAATTAAACTGTTAACCTTTGGGCAGAGCAGAGGGCCCCTTGTTTTCTGCTCCAGATTAAGGTCGATGTCCATTCCAGTTGTTCCATACCTGAGATGCATTGGTTGTTAAGTATTTTAGCTATGATTCCTGATGGTAGCTGTGCTATTGAAAGAAGATGACACATGGAGGGGCACCCAGTCACCAAACAAAGAAAGGGAGGATTGAAAAGAAATAAAAGGAAAGGAAAAAGCTTCCTGAAGCCAAGAGCAGCTATCTTTCAATGTGGTGGAATAAAACTTGCACCGTCACTCTGTTTGGGGAACAATAAATGGGAAATCTGGAAAATAAATACAAAGTACACACTTGTTTTTTGCACTACCAATACCACATGAAGAGCAGAGTAATTATGTATTCGAATATCATTGCTGGGAAAAACTCTGTGTGACCCAAAGTTCAATACTCAAACACATTGGTTCCAGGCAGGATTGCTTTTCATGGTAGTATACCCTTTCTCTTCTACTGCCTTGCTTCCAAAGGAAATTAGATACTGCTCCTATTTACCAGAATGGGAACTAATAAGGGCGTCTTCTTGATTATAGAGCTACAAGATCAGCACTTTCCCTCTTGCTCATAAGAAACCACATAAAGTAAAACAACAGAAACCTGTAAGCATGTCCCCAGCTAATCACCCTGACCCAGCAGCAACTTTCTAGAGGAAGGAAAGTGACCAGAGTGAAACAAGTTGATATCAGCACCATCTTCATTTTTTTCATGCTGCGTCTCCCGGTCTGGATAGATCCAGATGGACTCACATGGCGTCCCAGCCCCTACAATTGCTTTACCAACTTCTCCAGGGTGGTGAAGGAGGAGATTAAAAACAATTCAGTGTTCTCACCCCCCAAATCTCGTGGTCCAGAGACTAAATCTAGACTCCTACATTGTGTTCCAACTCCCCACTCCCTACCTAAGTCTCCTTTATTCACCAAACTTCTATCCAGGAGGTCAAACGGATGACCTGAGTCTCTTTGGAAGTTCTTTCCTCTCTCCAACTCACAGCATCCCTTACATTTTTTTCTATTTTAGGGCATGGTACTGAGCTTTTGCCTTGGGTCAGTGCTAAGCAAACCAACATCCATATTTATCCTTGTGAGTGAAGGCCCTATTCCAACCCCTGGATTTCATAGCTGGCATCCTATTATGTGACCTGGATTTGTCAATCCCCCTAAATGGGATAAAATCCTTAAAGTCAGAGTTCCCACAACACCACCTACAACACACCTAGACTGCCCACCACATGTGCTCTGTCATCCAGAGTGGACTTTCTGGTGTGACTCGCTGGATCTTAATTTGGCTTTTTTGTCCTTTGGAACCTGGACTTGGGACTGCCCAGCTGCCATTACCAGGATCAATCTCCCCAGCAATCTCTTAGCCCTGTCTCACCTGCCTTTTCTCAATAAATAGGTCCCAACGTGATTCTAACTTTATGAGCTCCCCAGCAGCCCCTTGCCTCTAACATCCCAACATATTTCATCTTCCAGCCCCTTTATTCTGGACCATGAAGCACTCCATCTACTTGAGTTGATAAAACACACCTTGAGGATTTTTACCAGTTGGGAGAGCCCAAAAATTACTCATAATTTTATTACTTACAACCTCATCCCTGAAAACAAAAAGGGAAGATGTGCTCTCCACACTATTAACAGACGGGCTAAGTGTCATTGTGTAGCCCAAGCAAAAGTTGTTTACCTCTTAGTGCCTCAGATTTAAGTTTTTATTTGTTTCATCTTGTTACGATAAAATGTGACTGGAGCATTCTGCTTTCACATATATTTATTTAAGAGGATTTTACTCCATTATGTAAAATAAAACAAAAAAGATCAGTTGGGGGGAAATGTAACATAAGTCCATCATTTAGTAAACTTTTCCAATTATATCTATTTGACTCTGACTTTCTGCCCAGATACGAATGGAAAGGTTTTTTGTTTGTTTGTTTTGTTTTTTGTTTTTCCATTTAAAAAGCAACTATTGGCCAGGCGCGGTGGCTTACGCCTGTAATCCCAGCACTTTGGGAGGCCAAGGCAGACAGATCACCTGAGGTCAGGAGTTCAAGACCAGCCCGGCCAACATGGTGAAACCTCGTCTCTACTAAAAATACAAAAAATTAGCCGGGCGTGGTGGCGGGTGCCTGTAATCCCAGCTACTCGGGAGGCTGAGACAGGAGAATCGCTTGAACCCAGGAAGCAGAGGTTGCAGTGAGTCGAGATTGCACCACTGCACTCCAGCCTGGGCAACAGAGAGCGAAACTCCATCTCAAAAAAAAAAAAAAAAAAAAGCAACTATCTTCCACTGAAAATAGTGCAAACCAAAAATGTATCTTTTTTTTGTTTTGTCTAGCCATATTTGCTGTCTTTATCTCACAATGACCTTTCCCCAGCATATTTTTCTGTTTCTCTTTAATTAATGCCCAGTTTCTAAAAATAAAATGGCTAGTGGATCTTTGGATAATATTATTATTTCATTGGTACATACAATCAGGAAACGTATTTCTGTTTATACTCTTAAATCAGTTGAGAGTTGTAGATGAAGCCACATTCTGTCAGCACATTTTTTTTCCCAAAACCTGGAAAATGTAACAAAATCCAAAACAGCTGTAGGAAGTAGAGTATACACTCCATTTGCACTCAGCAGGAGAACTAACAGGAGGTAACGGGATAGTTTCCACATGAAAAAGTTACAAAGAATTTAACCTGTAATGAAAACTCTGATAATCTCTAGGAATGAAAGGTGCTTGGATGATGGGTTAGGGGTTTTTCATAAGTTCAAAGATCTGGTTTTCCCTATAAATGCTATGCAGGAATCGGAGACGTCCATGTGGTCATTGTTAACGTCTGATGGCCAACAAAAGTTCAGGCTTCATCATTAAGCCATTAAACTGTGACTGTGTGTGCATTTTAAGACTATGGATTACCTGCCCAAGCCTGTGTTTTCGAAAAGCATAGAAAGCAGAATCTCATCAGCTTATCACCATCTGCTCCAAGATAGAGACTCCGGTGCGTGGGTGTCAGTTTAAAAGTAGTTTCCTCTAAGATTCATTATGTGAAGCTCCTATAGCCTAGAGCTTCTCAAACGTTGGTATGCACATGAAGAATCTCTGGACCTTGTTAAATGCAGATTCTGATTCAGCTGGCCTGGGTGGGATTGGACCTGAGATGCTACATTTCTATCAAGCTTTCAGGTGGTCTTATGCTGCTAATCCGTGGGCCACCATTGGGGTAGCAGGAGCGCAGAGGATTTCTGCCACAACACCACTATCACATCTGTGGTAGGCAGTCTCTGAAATGACTCCCAGTGATCCCACCTTCCTGATATTCAAGCCGACATGAAATCCCCTTCACTTGAGTGTAGGCTGGACCTATTAATAATGACTCACTTCTACTGAACTGAATGCGGCAAAAGCAATGGTATGTTTCTTCTGAGGTCAGGTAATAAAAAGACTGTAACTTCAGTGTAGGTGTCACTCTCTCTCTCTCGAACCCCTGCTCTCGATAAAGCAAGCAACTGTCTACGTTGTGAGTGGCCCCTGGAGGGTCCCATATGTCTCCAGCCAATAGCTAGTAAGGACCTGGGCCATATGAGCAAGTTGGGAAGTGGATCATCCACTAGTCAAGCTTTGAGATGAATACAACCTCTTCTAACACCTTGTTTGCAAGCTCAAGAGAAATCCTGAGCCAGAGGTACCCAGTAAGGCCATGCCCAAATATCTGATACAGAGAAACAGAGAATAAACATTTATTGTTTTAAGCATCTAAATATTGGAACAATCAGTTATGCAGCAATAGATACTAATACAGCATCACTCATAAAACGCTCTTTACAAAAGTTAAATTTTTAAAAATCGGTACTTAGAGAATATTTTATTAGCCATGACTAAGGGCCAAACATTTTGGATGCTCAAAATCCACACTTTTGTCACCCTGCTTCTGAGGGTATCCATGCACCACTGAGGCTGGACTCATCTTTCCTGATCGCTTTGAAATTGGGATTGAGATTTATAGACTCTCTTTACTTTGGGATTCAAATCAGTTTAGTTAGAGCTAACTCAGAGAACAATTAGTTCAGGATCCTTTTATAATGTGAAATCCTGATCTTTTGAGGATAGCTTAAACCAGAACGCAGTGTGGGATATGTGAGATATGGCCCTCTAGTCTACCAACTTAGCAGAAACTCGTTGATTTTCTAGAGCTTTCTGAGGCAAGAGCAAAGTAATTCCACTGTAAGAAAGACAACGCGTATGTACAAAAGAGGCAGGGCAGAAGAGTTAAAAATAAACCAAAGATAGCTGTTCGCCGCCTTATTGACTTGCTTTTGATTCCTGTTCTTGGACACAGAGGTTCCCACCCCTTTGTCTTAATCTGCACTTGAACTGACCTAGGTTCCTCATGAGGACTCAGTTTCAGAGAACTGAAATTCTCTGGCTCTTAATTTCAGCTTGTGATATCTGCACTTACTTTTTTCTATATTTACCTTACTTTCGTGCAATCAGATTTTTTAGAAGGGAGGAGAGATCAAAGAAGAAAGATGTATTTGGAAACTTAAGGCAAAATTGTGATATGTTTTGATGGCTTGAAAGGATATACTATATGTATATCTGATTTCAAAATATGCCCACATAACTCTTTTCCTTTCCGTGTCCATGGATATGACAGCAGCTTACTTAATTATTACCACATCTGGACTATGCTGCACTCATTAGTCTCCAGTCTCTTGATTTTCTGAATCACAGTGTCACTCTTCTGCACCCCAAAACTTGGACAGTGCTGCAGGATCCATAGGTTAAGCTCACCGTTCACATCTCCCTAGATGTCCCATTCAATATACCTTTCCAACATTATCATCCATTGCTCTTGTCCTTGGACCGTTCAATCCCGCAAATCCTTTTCTATACCATTGTTCATGCCATTCCCCCTTCATATTCCATCTCTCTTTTCTTCCCACATAAAAAAAATTATCCTCAAATCATCCAGATCTAGACCAAATTCTGCCCACTCCAGGCCACAATGGTATCTCCCTTCTCTGAAGAAGGTGTGTTTAGTTTGTATGGCACTTGCTTAGAATCTTTCTTTGCCCCTTCCTTCCACTGTTGTAGGCAACTGTCATTTCCCTCTTGCATCACTACATCCTCAGGTGCTCATGTATTATTATAATGCACTGTCATTCAAGTGTTCACAGATTCCTTTCACAAAGAAATTGTTAGTTCCAAGATTAAAGGGACGCTGTGTTTACGTTATTTACTTATTGATTAAACATCTAATTTCTCACATTTTAGAAACTCACTTAATTGATGCTCAATCAATATTTGGAGGGGGGAATCTAATTTATTTTTCCAAATTTTTTTCTTATTAACTTATTTTAATTTTAGTTTTAATTTAAATATGTATTTATTTAGCTTATTTTTCCAAATGTCTTGAGCCTACCCAGAAACTTCTTTCTTGTACTAGGTAGTACAAAAAACACAGTAACTAAATCAGTGACTAAACAAGACCATGAAGCGGCTAAATTATGTATATTTTAAAAAATCTGACCACACTCAAGGTGACTTTTTTCTGTCTACATGCTTAATTAGCCTATCTCATCAGACTCTGTATTTACCGGTGTGTGGGCACACCTACTTCCATGGATTTCAACCTGCCTTATCTACAGATAACAGTCAAGTTTAAGGAGAACGAAATATCTCACATTCTGAATATACTGCTTTAAAGCTTAGATTCACAGATTGTTAAAACTAGAAATAATCATCAGGACTTGTTTTCCCGTATCCTGATTTTATTGAGGACTGGAATGGCTGTGGCACTTGCAAATACTCATAGGGATATGCACAGTAGGGCATGAGCTCCTGATTCCCAGCCCTGGCGCTCACAGCCTCTCTGTGCTACTCCTGGTCCTCCAAACGCCAAGATACACCATTTAATCTTTTTTTTTTTTTTTTAATTGAGATGGAGTCTCACTCTGTCACCCAGGCTGGAATGCAGTGATGAGATCTTGGCTCACTACAACCTACGCCTCCCGGAGTCAAGCGATTCTCCTGCCTCAGCCTCCCGAGTTGCTGGGACTACGGGCATGCATCACCACACCCGGCTAATTTTTGTAATTTTAGTAGAGACAGGGTTTCACCATATTCGCCAGGCTGGTGTCAAACTCCTGACCTTGTGATCCACCCGCCTCGGCTTCCCAAAGTGCTGGGATTACAGGCGTGAGCCACCGTGCCCGGCCACAATTTGAATCTTTAATAAGCCTTTATGTGAGGATATTATTGATAGAAGCTGAGAAAACTGATGTTAAAGGTAAGTCCTGGGAGGATTTACTAACTGGCGTCAAAGGCTAGGATGGCAATGTGTATTAAAATAAGTCTTTGAAAAACAAACAAAAAAAGGCCTTGAAAGGCAACCAGAATGAAAGGGCACCCACTTAAAATATGAATTATTAGTGTCCACCCTACTCACGCCACACAACTGCTACACATGTGTATACACGCACACTCACAGATGCTGATTTTGGCACTGTGTGGCCTTAAGTATTGATTGATCAAATTGAGCTAGGAAAAAAAAGTCTACAGTCCTGAATTTTTGATTTGTCAATCAAGGAAAGGGAATTATGTCATTATTCAACAGTGAAGATTATGTTCAACTCATTTATGTACATAGACAACTCATTTATATTGACTTATTTTAATACACATTGCTGTCTTTTCCTTAGACGCCAGTTAGTAAATCTTCCCATGCTATATGACAGCCAGTCCTGGAGAAGAAGAAAATCACCTATCCCAGGAAAAGTGGGTAGGCACTGAGAAAGAAGAAAAATCAACACACAAGATGAAGGCCATGGACCTTTGAAAGGCTGTTGCCCAAATTGAGAAGGAAATCCTATTTTTGCTTGCTAATTTCAGGGAGAAAAAAAATAAGGCAGTGTAACTATACATAAGGTGAGTGGGTTTTTGTTGTCGTTGTTGTTTTTGGACATAGAATCTCACTCTGTTGCCCAGCATGGACTGCTGTGGCACAATCTGCATTCATTGCAACCTCTGCCTCCTGGGCCCAAGCGATTCTCCTGCCTCGGCCTCTCAAGTAGCTGGGAATACAGGTGCATGCCACCATGCCCGGTTATTTTTATTTTTATTTTTTTGTATTTTTAGTAGAGAGTGTTTCACCACATTGGCCAGGTTGGTCTCAAACTCCTGGCCCCAAGTGATCCACCTGCTTTGGCCTCCCGAAGTGCTGGGATTACAAGTGTGAGCCACCCCACCTGGCCGAGGTAAGTGCAATTTTAAAATCCATGTCACAAAGGATTTTCTGGGATCAGTTTGCCCTGCTTGTATGCTTAATGTTTGATATAGAGCTAATTTAATATTTTCTGTAGGTTATGAGACAATCTCAATGATGGACTACTTGTCCGCCATTTGAAGAAGTCAAAGAGGATTAGGACACGCATGCATGCATACACACACACATATTTTCAAACTGGTATCACAACATCTCAATAATTCATAGTGAAATTGAGTAAAAGTCCACCAATACAAGTGTGACAAGAACATCAGTAGTGACCTTAAATACCATCATTTTAATCATTCCCAAATACATCAGACTTAAGGATTAATTTATGTCAATCCCTGAAATTGTATTATTCTCTTTATCTGTTCCTAAAAGGAAACAAAATAAAAATTCCCCTCCTTAACTCAAAGACCTCAGAAGATAAAACTATGGAATTTTCCCTGACCACCTGGAAACCTTGGGCATGTCTTCAGAAATACCATGTTCTATCGCCATCTGCCACCAACAAGCAATCAGGCACATTGTCACCCTGTCGCAGGGACATGTGTGTATATATGCCTCTGGGTGAGTACGCATGAGAATCTGTGCGTGTGAATGTACATGTGTGTACATGTGAGTGTGTGCAGGGGTGTGTGAATGTGTGAGTGCATTAAGAAAATCTTCCTAAGAAGGAAATGGAAAATTACTGGTCTAGATGGAAACTAAAAATAAAAACTTAACATATGAGAGGTGTTTTTTTTTTTACAAACAGAAACATTTTATGTATGCTACTTTGCTCCAAGAATTTATGCCACAAAGATTCCTGTTTTATTGAAGAATATCATTTGTCCCCAGAACAATGTGAATTTGAACGATGGTAAAAGGGAGATCTCAATCGTTTCTATCTTGGCCCCCAAGTCCTGTGACATCTGATGGTAATGTAAGCGTCCTGGAAACAGTAAACTATCTCATACATATTTATATTGGAAAATGTACCCATAAATATTCAGTTTGAAGCCCCCATCTGTACTGTTCTTCTGAGGTAGGTAAGATTATGCTAATCTCATACAGGTAGCCACTAAAGTGCAAAGTGATTGGTTTAGCAAAACACAACTATTTTACTTGCAAAATATTATATTTAGAGAAAAAGCTCTGGATTAAAATCTTGACTTCACCACTTACTAGCTCTGTGATTTGATTAACTTCTCCATGCCTCAATATCTGCTTTCCAAACATTTAGTTGATAGTATGAATACCTGCTTTACAACATTATGGGTAAAAAATGAGTTAATGCATGATAATTTTAAGCTCTTAATAAATGCTTATTATTATTACTGTAATTACTACAAATTTAGAACTAGCAATAGTACTTTTGACGCCTAGTCCTATATCCTTCACATTGGCAATGTGATATTGAGTGCCTTAACACTACAACCTACAAATATAGTTGTTTTCAGAGGAAGAAAACTTAGGTAACAGTCAGGCATTTAACAAACATGCATTGAGTGTCTCCTTGTGGCTTGATGAGTGTTGGAAATGGTGAACAAGATAGACATAGACTCTGCCTCTTTGAGCTATTGTTTCTGTAACCTATAAGAAACTTATTTATTGATTCTACTCAAAGAGAACAATGGTGGATACATTGGGATTTTAAAACATCATTCTTCAGTATTAACATCAAGTACATGGCTTAAGGACCATTCAGGTATGCTCGATGTCCTTTTTCTAAATCTCAAGTACTTAAAGAAAAGGTAAGGTAAGAACAAGATCTCTAAGGTGGCAAATATTTCTTGAATTCATCAATCTTTTCAAGCTCTTTTTCTTTACCTTCAAAGAAACTTATCCAGCCAACCAAAACTTTTCAATAAGAAAGTGTGGTGCCCCAGAAGAAATACAGAATGATTTTTTTCTTTTTCTAGAGGTTTACTGCTGATTGCTCTAAAGATAGGGGAAGAAGTAGGGGAGGAAAATAACCCCAAATTCTCTTTGGATCAAGATGAAATGCTCTAGCAACATGAACCAGAGGGAGGCATCTAAGGGAAATGGTAATAAGCAACTCTTCATTGTTTTGGAACAAGTGTGCCTTCTTTGCTCACTAACAATCTATCGTTGAGTGCCACGGTGCTGTTTCATATCAAGATTGCAAAAACCATTACAAGCTGCATAGGTATTGGAGGCTCAACCAGATGTGATGAATTTCCATTGTTTTACTTAGTGCATGGAAAATATTACTAATGGCTGGTGTCAGGGGAGGCTTAACTGACCCCAATTGGCCAAACTCATCTGGGCGCATTTCTGTAAGTCAGACCCTTTAAATACTCTCTCCTGTTATTTCACAGGCCCCTCTCCCGTTTTATGAGATGTTTGACTATATAAAGCTCATTTTAGTAAAGGAGAAATTCCATGACTGCATGAACAGGTGGTCTGGGAACCTGGGAGAGGAGAGGGATATCTTTCCTTGAGACCGAATTTTATTTACAGCCAATTCTTGATTATCTTTGGACACACAAGACACACTTGAGCACAATGAAGAAAATAAAGTCTGAAAAATTCCATTCAGTCTTTTTCCCTGCCATTATCTTCACAAGAACTGCTAAAGGTTACAACAATTACAAATCTAATTGAGCAAAATTTCATCTCCTGTTGCAATTCAGGAGATGAATTCACTTCCTATTCCGTTTTTCCAATGCATCAGCTGAGCTACAATCAAGCAGTTAGAAGAAAAAGAGAGAAGGCCTTTGAAAATCCCTTATACCTATACCTAGAGTTGACATTCAAGTTTTGATTTTAATATATGATTTGCACTTTGAATTTTCTTGGAGATATTGATAATAACACATATCAGATAAATACCTGACTTCCACTTTCTTAATATATCAAGGTTTCCAGAACAACCCAGTTCTTGCTACAGTCACAGACCTGTTCTTTCCTTTTAGTTTAGAAGGCTTCAGAATGTGTCAAATTCTTCATTTTCTGCCTCTAGAAGTCTCATTTACAAAAGACATCCTCTTTTGTAAACTTGACATTGTCTTTAGATATTAGCTCATCAAGACCCAGAGTCCAGTTTCAGTTTAGAGGAACATGGAAAAATTTAAATACTTTTCTAAACCTTGTGTAACTTTATCTGAACTCCTGTGTCTTTATGTGAACTCTTCTTATTGGCAATGAGTTGGAGATCCCCTGAGTATAAGTTTCCTTGTAAGAAGTTTTCTGGCATCTAAAATTTAGCCTTGAAATTATAAGTTAAAGAAAAGGTTAAGACAATAAAATGTGACTATGAATTTGGAAATGAACAACATTTTAGTGAGCTTCCTATTTTTTTTTCTTAAATGTGCAGCTCATTAAACAGAATTTTAGTGTGCCGTGGCATTGAATTTTGAGACCTTCTTAACAGCTATTACATAAATGTACAATGGGCATTATTTAAAAAAAATCAAAACTCACACACCTCTAGCCTCTGAATGATGGTTTTAAAATATAGAATAGGAGTATCATTGGCCAGGCGTGGTGGCTCACGCCTGTAATCCCAGCACTTTGGGAGGCCGAGGCGGGTGGATCACGAGGTCAGGAGATCGAGACCATCCTGGCTAGCACAGTGAAACCCTGTCTTTACTAAAAATACAAAAAATTAGCCGGGCGCAGTGGTGGGCGCCTGTAGTCCCAGCTGCTTGGGAGGCTGAGGCAGGAGAATGGCATGAACCCAAGAGGCGGAGCTGGCAGTGAGCAAAGATCGCGTCACTGCACTCCAGCCTGGGCAACAGAGCGAGACTCTGTCTCAAAAAAAAAAAAAAAAAAAAAGAGTATCATTAATGAAAAACAAAGCCCTTCACCATGCATGACAAGTACCTGCTTTTGCTGTGCAGTTGATGTATTTTCATTGGCTTCTTAATTGTTTCTGTTAATAGTGTGGGTCCCTGCAAAAGATTACTCGTTGCTAAACTGGGTACTCAACTGGAGGTTTTGCCTCAATATTATGAAAGTTGACAGAACTGAAGAAGGGAAAGAAAACAGAGTGACTTGTCTCAAGAGAACCACTACCAAGGCTGAAAACATCAAACGTCATCACAAATAGTTGGTCTGAATTCCGCTGGGTCCTGCAGTCTTGTTTTTAAATGATCCTGAAAAACCAAGGTCTCAGAGCCGGCTTCAATACTTAGAGCATGGGATGAGTTTAAAAACTGAAGGGAATAAATGAATGTGGCATGGAAGAAAGCCTTACTCGAGAAGTACCATGAGTATTTCCCAGGGCATGCTGCTGTCAGAAATCACTGCAGAAATATAATGGAATTTCTAATTTGCTTTAATTAGAAAAAAGTAAACACCGCCCTCAACATGTCATCATGTTTATATAGAAGCCCAACCAGCTGATTTTCTGCTGGGATGGCCCTGGAACCACTCAATTAAATCTCAGGGCACAGTTTCTTTTTATGAATGAAATACCATTAGTATGAGGCCAGAGAATTTTTTTTTTCATCTGCTTCATTGGCTGTGTCTCTACAAGGACAAGTGACCAAACACAGCACCTTCCGATTTTAATTAACCAATTATAATTTCCAAGACTAGATCATTTAGGATTCTTCTTTTCAAGGCATTTACTTTTTTATTTTATTTATCTATTTATTTATTTATTTATTTATTTATTTAGAGATGAAGTCTTGCTCTGTTGCCCAGGCTGAAGTGTAATGGCATGATCTCAGCTCACTGTAACCTCTGCATCCTGGGTTCAAGAGATTCTCCTGCTTCAGCCTCCCGAGTAGCTGGGATCGCAGGTGTGCACTACCATGCCGATTAATTTTTGTATTTTTAGTGGAGGTGGAGTTTCACCATGTTGGCCAGGCTGGTCTCGAACTCCTGACCTCAAGTGATCCGCCCGCCTTGGCCTTCCAAAGTGCTGGGATTACAGGTGTGAGCCACTGTGTCAGGCCTGACTTCTTTATTTTAAAACTTTCCACTTTGCAAGACTAAGGAAACAAAAATACTTTATTTCTAGCATCCAATGATAACAGCAAAAAAATAAAAATTAAAAAATAAAAGAGAGAAAGAGAAGTTTACTTCTTAATATTTCAGGTATTTAATAGTTTTATAAAGTAAAACCGTAGGACTGTCAGATCCCATGAATTAAAATATTGATAGAATTTCTGTGGAGCCGGAAAGAACCTTGGAAGTTATCTTCATGTTGCAGATTTTACAACAGATGCTCATTTTTCATAAATGTCATTGTTGAAGATATGGCCATTTAAAAATAGCTTTGAGTCAGCCCTACAGTTTTTCAGATCTATGAAACATGAATCAGAGTTGAACAAATTGGGAATTTTTTTGTTTGAGAAGCTTAGAAGTATTAATAAATAATCCTACACATTTTTCCCATGAAAAAGGAATGAGACTATGGCAAATATTTCTAGTAATTTAGAGCAAGGTAATATTATAAATTGTTATAATAAAAAGTTTTTCTGTTATTAATATGAAAGGAAGCAATAGTATTATGATTCTCAAAGTCCCTCAAACACCTGCATACTTTAAGCAAAGTGACAAGAGATAAATCTAATTCTGGAATGCTGGGGACTTTTTCTCCAACTCATCAGCTCTACACCTATTTCAACCTCAAGGTGAGTACAGCTGTATTATGTGCATCCCAGTGGGGTATGGGGAGGGGACCAAGGGAGCTCTTGCAATGCCCAAGTTCAGTCATTGAGATTTGCTAAACACACGTGAACAAGATCCACACTTGGGTTTTGGAAACACTCTCAACCAACACCTCTGATCTCAAAGCTGTGTTTCATACAAAAGACAGGGACAATTGCCTTTCGAATTGTCCTTTGCCTAGTTAATTTCAGAACTTCAACAAGTCACAATCATATCACCTTTTTTTTCCATTTTTTTTAAACATGAGGAATACTAATGTTTGCCCTACATAAAAGGTTCTTGCAACTCAAAGATCCACACATGGGCATGCACATTCATAATATTTGTATAGTTTCTTTCAAGTTTTGAATACTCCATCAGTGCAGAGGTCAGGTCTGAAGAAAATTGGGCCACCCAAAAATGAAAGATAAACAATAAACAAAACAAAGCTGAATATCTTTTATAAGAAAGTACATATAATATTCTTGATATATTTCACATCACCTTCCAAGTGTCTAACCTACACATGTGTACTTGAGTTCTGTTCATCTTTCATTTCAAAATCCAAAATGGACTTAAATTGAAAGATTCAAGAGCCAAATTTACCTAGAATAAGTGATAAAAACAAGACAATGGAGTCGCTTCTACAGGGGCTTTTGTGTATAAAATGAAAAGTGAAGTTCCACCTATCACACACACACACACACAAAATTATTTTTTAGCCTGTAGTATTCAAATTTTATTTTACTTCCCATATTGAATCTTAAATTACTTCTTCCCTGAGAAACAGTAATAATCTTTACTGGTTTTATGGCAGAGTTGATTGTATCCAAGGCAAAATGCACCATCCATCAACATCAGATCTTACCACTTTTGATCGTCAAGCACATTGCGTCTTAATTTATCGGGACTGTCAGATCCCAAAAGGGCAGCTTGTAAAATTTTTTTTTAACCACCCTTCACACTAGACATCTCCAAACATCTTGCTTGGGAGGAGAAGTTCTTAAGGCATTTCTCCAGATAAATCAGGATAAAAATCCAGAATTAGACTACATTTCTGGTCTTTGAGCCACACAATCAGGATGAGTGGGGAATACAGTGAGTGCTTGATATTTCTAGAACCATGAGTGTACTAGAGATACGTGGGTGATGGCTAGTGCTCCGCGGCCCACACCGTCACTGCAGGCCAGCTACCACCTCAGATGGCAGCTGCTTATGTGAAGGACCAGCTTGTGTAAATCCTGATACCAGCTCTTTGTCAGTGCCTAATGGTTATCTTCAGCTCAACATGAACATATCTAAAACTATCACCTTCTCTCTAAAACTTATCCAACATTCCCCATCTCAGTAAATGTCCCCAGCACTCATTCAGTTTTACAAGACAGATGCCTGGTAGATTTCTTAACCTTCTATCCTTTTTCACATTCAATCCATGACCAACTTTTTATGTTCATTTTTCTGAGTTAACTATCATATTTGTCTATCTCTTTCTCTATTGACTGTCTCATCATAGTTAAAATTATCTTCCTCTTTCCTAACTTTTCTTCATGTACCAGTCTAATTCCATTGCAGTTCCCTGTAAATAGGGTGACTGTATGTCCTAGGTTGTCCAGGGCAGCAAGAGTTTTAATACCCGTAGTCTCAGCATAATTAGCAATGACACCACTTTTTATTCTCCAAACTGCCCTGATCTAGATAATAAATTATGTTATTACAACACATACAAACAGTGTCTCCTTTCAAAACTGCAAGTCTAATTATACCATTTCCTACCTAAAACTCTTTAATGGTTTCTGCTAGTCCTTGGAACAAAGTCTAAACTCCTTGACCTGGTTTTTAAAACTCTGATTAGCCAGGGTTCTACCTTACTTGCCAGGCTCATCTTGGGTAAATCTTTAGCTGCCTCACATTCTAGGATTCTGTATTTCTCCTGTGATCATTCTAATCTCAATTTTTTTTGAATTTCTTGGTGGTTTGTTTATCCCATAGAGTTTATAACTTAAATGCACAGATGATATCTAACTGCTCATTATTATATTCTCAGTACACAGTGCCTATTAGTCATTCAAATATCAGGGTCATAGCAGAAAAGAATACCTAGTTGCAAACATACAATTAAATGAGAGATAACAGCCCCAGCAACCTGACCCTATTTGGTCAAAGTCGGATGACAAAGGATGCTATATATAGCCAGAATTCAATTATAAAATTTTATGCAAATGTAAATAAGCTTCACCAAAAAGAGAAAATGGATGTCATCATTATTAATTTATCCTTGTATTATTATATATTTTCATTATTGTCATGTCATCACTAAATAGACATCAAATGCAATCATTTGTCAATTATCTATATGCAACATCCTCTTAGAATAATACCACAAGTATTTTACCACTTGGCCTTCCAGCATTAGAAGATAATGGCCTCATCCTACACAAACTTGATATAACTTAATTATATGAAGAAAAAACAATGAAGAAAATCTGCTGCTTAAATTGCTATATATTCTAATGCATTTTAAGGTCAAATATGAATTTTCCTTTTTTATTAAAAGTTAAACATTAAACAACATTAAAAATGTCATAGAAGCATTAAAGATGCTATTCCAGATTATATATGCAATGAATAATGCCCCTTTTAGTATGTCTTATTATTACAGATAATTTTTTACATATGAATACTTTAAAAACACAGATCAAAAAGACAATTGTTTTTGATCTGGTCCTAACGAGATCAAAATTACTCTATTCTTTTTGCAGAACTCCAAACTCCATCTTTGCTGGCTGGGAGCTCTCTAGTCTGCCAATGAGCTGACACCAAAGCCTTCTTTTCCCAGTAGCTCATCATTCATCATGATCTTTAAGATGGCATTACATGTCAACCTATATATTTCTGGTTCCAAAAATAAATATTGCTGGTAAAGTAACAAAAACAAAACAAAAAAAGCTATCTACACATTTTCTTCTCAAAACATATGCCAGCCCTTTCTCAAGACTGCAGAGGCTGAGTCTTGAAAGAATACCATACCTAGATCCCTGTAGCACATTTCTCAAATATGACGACCCCACTCTAAGGACGCTTGCTTCTGGTCAATTCTCTGTCTTTCATGTTCAAGCACTGAGAAAATCCAGAAAGAAGACAATGAATAATGAGTAGTATTATTTCTTAAATAAAACACATCATTTTTCATTTCCTCTTTAATAGTTTTCCAATGGGAATTGAGTCATTAACAAAAGAATTGTTCTAGGAGGTGTCATGACAAAAATTTCCTGCATTATGTAAGAATAACAATAGTATGAACCAAAGTATGCAAAAAAAGCTCTTACTACCAAGCCTGAAAGCTTTTGAGTAATTGACAAGTTACATTTTTGAGATATAATTCACATATCATGAAATTCACCCATTAAACTATATAGTTTAGTGCTTTTTAGTATTTTCACAAAATGGTGCAACCAACACCAATGTCTAATTCCAGAACGTTTCTATCACCCCCTAAATAAGCACTGTACTCATGAGCAGTAGTTCCCCATTTTCCCCTACCTCAACCCCTAACAAACATTAATCTTTCTGTCTCAAAGGGTTGGAATATTCTGGAGATTTCACATCAGTGGACTCAGAATGTATAACCATTTGTGCCTGGCTTCTTTCACTTAGCACACTGTTTTCAAGGTCGGTTCATGGTGCAGCATGTGTCAGTACTTCTTGTTATGACTGAATAATCCCATTGTATGGACATAGCACATTTTGTTTATCTGTTGATCCATTGATGGACATTTTGGTTCTTCCTAGTTTTTTGGCTATATAAATAATGCTGCTACAAACATTCATGTCCAAATTTTTGCGTTGACATGTTTTTCAGTTCTCTTGGGTATATACTTAGGAGTGACATTGCTGAATCATCTGGTAACTTCATATTTAAATTTTTGAGGAACCACCACAGTGTTTTCCATAGCAGCTGTACTATTTTACATTTCCACCTGCAGTATATGAGTTCCAATTTCTTTATATCTTCACCAACAATTGTTATTTTCCTTTTAAAAAAAAACAATTATAATCATTCTAGTGGGTTTGAAGGGGTGTCTCATTATGGCTTTGATTTGCATTTCCCTACTGACTAATGATGTTGAACATTTTTTCATGTTTATTGGCCATTTATATATCTTCTTTGTAGAAATATCTATTCAAATACTTTGTCCATTTGTCTATTTTTAAATTGGGATTTTTATATTTTTATTGTTGAGTTGCAGGAATTCTTTACATATTCTGCATGTTTGTCCCTTTTGATATACATAATTTGCAAATATTTTCTTCTGTTCAGTGGATTGCCTTTTCACTGTCTTGATGATATCCTTTGAAACACAAAAGTCTCAATTTTAATGAAGTCCAATTCATCTATTTTGTTGTTGTTGTTGCCTGAACTTTTGGTATCATATCTAAAATCAGTTGTCTAATCCAAGGTGAAAAAGATTTATACTTTTTTTCTAAGAGTTTAATAAATTTAGTTTTCACAATTAAGTATTTGAGCCATTTGGGGTGAATTTTTGTATATGGTATGAAATGGTTTGGCTGTGTCCCCACCCAAAGCTCACCTTGAATTGCAATAATCCCCACGTGCAATCCCCACGTGGGGCCACGTGAAGATAACCAAATCACAGGGGTGGTTTTCTGTATACTGTTCTTGTGATAGTGAATACGTCTTACAAGTTCTGATGGTTTTATAAATGGAAGTTCCCCTGCACAAGCCTTTTGCCTGACTCAATGTAAGATGTGCCTTTGCTCCTCCTCTGCCTTCTGCCATGATGGTGTGAGGACTCCCCAGCCATGTGGAACTGTGAGTCTATTAAAACTCTTCTCCTTTATAAATTACCCAGTCTCAGGTATGTCTTTATTAGCAGCGTAAGAACAGACTAATACATGGCATAAGGTAGGAGTACAACTTTTCCCAGAGCTATTTTTTTGAAAAATCTATTCTTTCTTCATTGAATTATCTTGGCACTCTTGTCAAAAATTGACCATAAATATAAAGGATTATTTCTGGGCTTTAAAATCTATTCCATTGATTTATATGTCTCTCATTATGCTACCACTTCCTTTTTTTGATTGTAGTTTGTAATAAGTTTTGAAATTGGGAAGTTTGATTCCTGCAGCTCTGTTCTTCTTTTTCAAAATTTTTTGTCTAGTCAGGGTGCCTTGCATTCCCATATAAATTTGAGGATTCACTTGACAAATTCTAAAAATAATGGTAGCTAGGATCTTCAGAGTGATTGTATATCATCTATAGATCAATTTGGGAAGCACTGACATCTTAAAAATGTTTTCTTCTAATCTATGAACACAGGACATCTGCCCATGTATTTAGGTATTATTTAATTTATTTCAACAATGTTTTATAGTTTGCAGTAAACAAGTTTTACAGTTCTTTTGCTTAATTTATTTCTAATTGTTTTATTCTTTTTAATGTTGTCATAAATGGAATTATTTTCTTAATTTCATTTTTGAATTATTCATTTCTATTATATGGAAGCACAGCTGATTTTCATATATTGATGTACCCTGCAACATTTCTGGACTCATTTATTACCTCTAATAGCCTTTTATTAGATACCTTAGAATTTTCTATATACAAGATCGTGTTGTCTGCAAGTACAGTTTTATTTACCCTTTCTAAAATGGATGCTTTTTAAAAATTGCCTAATTACCCTCACTAAAACTTTCTGTATGTTAAATAGAAGTGACAAGAGTAGATATCCTTGTCTGTTTCTGATATTTGGGAAAAAGATTTCATTCTTTTTTCATGAAGTATGATGTTAATCGGAAGTTTTATCAGAGTGAGGAAGTCCCTTACTCTTCCTAGTTTGAGTGTTTTTTGTGTGTGTTTTTTTTTAACATAAATAGTTGTTGAATTTTGCCAAGTGCTCTTTCTGCATCAATTGAAATGACCATGTAAAGAAGTTTTCTTTTATTTTATTAGTTTGGCCTATTACATACTGATTTTCATTTTGTGATCCCCCTTGCATTCCTGAGATAAATCTCACTTGATCATGTCATACAATCTTTTTTATATATTGCTGGATTGGTTTGCTAGTATTTTGTTGAGTATTTCTGCAATTATATTAATAAGGGATATGGTCTGCAGTTTTATTTCCTTGTGATGCTTTGTGTGGTTTTGGTATTTGGTATAATGCCCTCATCGAAGGCGCTGGGCAATGTCTCCTCCTCCTATGTTTCTTGAAAGAGGTTGTGAAGGATTGATATTCATTCTTTTTTAAACACTTGGTAGGATTCATCAGTCATTCTTGTCATCATGTCCCAGGGTTTTCTTGTGAAAAATTTGTTATTACTAATAGTCACTTTATTGTTATAAGTATATTTAGCTTTTCTATTTCTTCTCAAGTCAGTTTAGGTAGTTTTTGTCTTTCTAGGAATTTGTTGACATACAACTGCTTATATTCTTTTTATTTCTCTAGGTTCAGTAGTAAGTACTCCCATTCATACCTGATTTTGATCATTTACATTTTCTCCCTGTTTTTCTTGGTCAGCCTACCTAAACTTTGTCAATGTTGTTGATTTTTCCAAATAACCTACTTTTGATTTTATTTATGTCCTCTATTGTTTTTCTATTCTCTATTTACTTCTACTTCAATCATTTTCATTTCTTTCTTTCTGTTTACTTTGCATTTAATTTGCTTTTGTATTATTAGCTTCTAAAAGGAGAAAATCAGGCTATTGATTTGCGATCTTTATTATTTCTTAATATAGGCATTTACCACTATCAATTTCCTTCTAAATGACTGTAATAGCTGCATTCTGTAAGTTTTAGTGTGTTGTGGTTTTGTTCTCATTTGTAAAAATAATTTATGTTCTTTATGCTGTCTCTTTTGGCTTTTTGGTTATTTAAGAGTGTTGTTTAATTTTCCTAAATTTCCTTTTGTTATTAACTTCCCATTTCATTTTCTTATGATCAGAGAACATGCTTTGTATAATTTTAATTTTTTTACATTTATTGAGACATTTTATGGCTTCACACATGATTCATCTTGGGGAATGTACCTTCTGCACATGAGAAGAATGTAATCTCAAGTTTTTGGGTAGGGTGCTAGCTATATAGATCTCTTTTAGCTTTGCTATTCAGACATTCTATTTTTTACTGGTCTCTGTCCAGTTATTCTAGCCATTATTAAAAGTGAAATATCAATGTCTCCAACTATTAACGTTGAACTATTTATGTCTTCCTTCAATTCTCTCAGTATTTGCCTCATGCATTTTGGAACTCTGTTGTTCAGTACATATATGTTTATACCTAGCATGTCTTCTTGATTAACTCTTTTATCATTAAAAAGTATCCTTCTTTGTCACTAATGACAGTTAGTCTTAAGGCACATTTTGTCTGATATTAGTATAGTCATTACAGCTCACTCTGATATTAGTATAGTCATTGCAGCTCACTTTGGCATTTTACAACTCTGACTTAATCTTCACTTCCTGCTTGCATAGAGTCTCCAAGTAAGCCAGAAGTGAGAACTCAGACTTTCTAAGAAATTTTCTGGAAATTTACAAAATTCTATGTAGACCTATTGCCTCCTAGAGTCTCAGAAATATGTTGGAGGTCTTCCAAGTCTCCATGGATATCTCATTTTCCAGCTTTTCTTTTTCTTTTTAATTCAGCTCCTTGTTTGGCCCAACTGTTATCAATGCCTCAGGCATCTGCAATGATGAGTAATTACTGCTGATTGTTTTCAACAAATGCCTTGAGAAAAAGGCCTTTCACACTGGCCAAGCTTTGAGTCAGGTCAAATAAAAACAAGTGCTGTCAATTGCACTTCCAGTGTACTGCCCTACAGAATCAAATAAAGCTCAGGGATTGGGGTTTAGGGGAGCTCCACACTCATTCTTCCCCTTCTAGTGGTTTCTAGGCTGCTAGTTGTCACCATGATTGCAGGGCTATGTTTTCAATGCTGCTGTAAATCCTGGAGGAGAGGATTTCACAGGGTAACTTACAACTGCACATAGATTGCTGTTTTTCCAAGAGATGCAGCAGGTTTTTTTCTGAGTAAATGCTCCTTGGATTTCTGCGAGGTTTCCCAGGTCTGGAAAAGCTGATTTTGGAAATTTTGCCAGTGTTCTTATTGTTTTTATAGAGAAGCAGATTTTTAGAAATCTTTACTCTTCCATTCACGCTGATGTTACCCCCATTACAGACATGGAGGTAGCCTATTCCTAGAAATTTTAGGAAAAAAAAACCTTGTCGCCAAGTAACCTGGAAGCCTGGTGTATGTTTCTATGCCTTCATTTCCAAATATACTAAAAATAATGCAAGTGACCTCTTACAGGTGAGAAAAGGCACTAATTTAATTGGCAATTAAATTCCCTTAACTGACTTTGAGTAGGAATTACTGTGGATAGAAATGCGAGAAAGGTGAGCTCCAACTTGGTTTCTGTTCTCAGAAAGCTTTTAGTCAGTTTTATGTGCTTGTAGCACGTCTTCTATGGGAGTCCACATATTTCCATTTTAAAAAGTTTGTGGTGTCCATGTTCCCAAGATGTTGGTTTGGCAAGGCGTGTGAGAAAATCTAAAGGGCAAAGTGCAGAGATGAGAGTTGTCAATTATTCAATCAAGTTGTATAGACACCAATGTGGACTCTTCTGGCTTGAAAAGGCAGGGAAGAGTTTCAACTTGGAAGGTGTTTTTCTATTTGAACCTGAGGATCAAGATTAACATCTTCTCTTACCAATACGTTCTGGATAGTTGTATTTTATTTTCAGGCTTTGATAAACCTGGAATGCCACTGCTTTATGGGTAGCCACAAGGCTGGACTTCACATGAGAATTCGGCTTTTGTGAGTCTAGCCTTAGCGCCTTTTCTTTCCCTTCTCTTCATTTTGCAAATGAACGTAAACAATTCATTTCCCATTTGAAAACCTACCTATAAAATCAAGGAAAAAAAATGTGTTTAAGTTCCCTTAACTAGTATCCTCTACAGTTTCTCTTAAGTCTTGATTTATATTGCACAATAAGGTAGGCTTTTTCCAAACTACATTAGGGTGATAAATACAACAATGTATTTTATCCTAGAAGAAGTTAATTCCTATCTGGTAGCTTTGATAAATGTGCTTCTGATACCTCTTATTCTAATTATGCAATAAAATAACTAGGCTTTTTCAATTCACTTTTCTCAAGCAAACTTTAGCTTACTGTCAGAGGCATGTGAACCAGAGCAACTCCATCTTGAATAGGAGGTGGGTAAAATGAGGCTGAGACCTACTGGGCTGTACTCCCAGATGGTTAAGGCATTCTAAGTCACAGAATGAGACAGAAGGTTGGCACAAGATACAGGTCATAAAGACCTTGCTGATAAAACAGGTTGCAGTAAAGAAGCCAGCCAAAACCCACCAAAACCAATATGGCCACGAGAGTAACCGCTGGTTGTCCTCACTACTACACTCCCACCGGCGCCATGACAGTTTACAAATGCCATAGCAACATCAGGAAGTTACCCTATATGGTTTTAAAAGGGGAGGCATAAATAATCCACCACCCCTTGTTTAGCATATAATCAACAAATAACCAGGGCAACCAGCAGCCCTCTGGGCTTCTCTGTCTATGGAACAGACATTCTTTTATTCCTTCACTGTCTTAATAAACTTGCTTTCACTTTACTCTATGGATTTTCCCTGAATTCTTTCTTGCAGGAGATCCAAGAACCCTCTTTTGGGGTCTGGATTAGGACCCCAGTAAAATTACCACACACCACTAGAGTAATTGACTTATATTCTCTGTCCTCAAGATGGGAGGTTCTTGAGAACAGGAACTTGGTTTTATATTTCATTATATCTCTGATATCTAGCATAAAACCTGGTGCATAATACGTGTCAATAGGTGTTGAACAAATTGTTGCAATTAAATTTAGTAAACATTGATTGAGTGCTTGCCATTTGTCAGCTAACGTTTTAGTAACGGGATACAGGGATGTGTTTAGATTCTCATTGAGAAAAGAAAATATAAGTGCACAAATGACATTAAGCAATGGTAGATGATGCTAATTCCTGTGAAAAACGTAAAACGGATAAATGGAGTAGAGAGTAACAAAAGGAGAATTGGGAGAGTTCTTTCAGTCCAGACAGTTAGAGCCGGCCTCAGTGAAGAGATAACAGAGGAGACAGATTCATGATCGTAGGGAAGATTAATCCAGGCAGAAAAAGAAACAATTGCAAAGGCTCGGAATTGAGCCTGTTTTATTATGTCACACCCAACATGGAATTTCTTCCTAGAATTAGAGGAGAGGAGAGAATTTTTAGATTATGCATTTCTTTAATTTTTTTAATTGCAAACTTCTACTGCTGAAGAATAGGAGCTCTCAGACAACAGGATATTTTGCCAAGACATGAAAACAGCTTTGCTCCTGGAAAATTATTTTAATTGTTCTGGTGGGAGGTATTGAAAAAATATTTACTGGAGATTCACTTTAGGGCCACAAAATTAAAACAGCAATTTAGCAACAGGATCATAGTTAGTGATGTTCGGAGACGTATTTGGTTGTTTCGGTTTATTTTATTTTATGGTAATTTAGCTGAGGTAGCTTTTATTTATTCAGAAATATTTACCCCTTTTCATTAATGATATGTGCTCTTACAATGAAATTTTTTTTTTGCTTTTTTTTTCTCCCAAGTACATCTTAATTAAAGTTTAGCCAATTTTATGCATTGAAAAGTGTAAAAGTATTCCCTGAGCTGAAATTCCTCTGAAAGAGTGGAATAGAGCATGCTTCTTACTGATCCCAAGTGTTCCAAATTCTGACCCAAATAAGACCTTTGGGGGTTCAAGCTCATTTACATTTCATAAAATGTAACTTCCTATTTCTGGAGAATAAAAGGCTTTGAAAGTCACAAGGAAACGGCTCAAAAGGCATCCAGGGCATGAAATAGCTTTAACAAATCCTGCTTGATGAGTTAAGTGTAAAGGAATCAGAAACATATGGATTACATTTCCCATAAAATACACATAGGCTTAATAGCGAAGAAGAAAAAGTGGCTGTGGCCCAATGTGATTCAGGTTTTTTCGAACCTAAAACATTTGGAAAATAGTTCAAGATGGTTAATAAACCCCAAAGCAAGCCCAGTCTGTCCTTCCTACTGTAGGGAGGAATGTGCTGGATTTCAATGCAGTACAAGAGGGTGTCTGCTGGATTACTGACAACTCTCTTTGTCACACAAACAGTACCTCCTAGGGAGACAGAGAGAAAGGCAAGGCAGGTTTGCACTTGTCTGAGATATGCAGAATACTTTGGACCCCACTGGCAGAAAGTGCATGTTTCTTGGTCCTAACTCCTCCTAACAGCCATAACCTTCTGACTCGGTCATTTCAAGTCATGGTTATGGAAAGCCTCCTCCTCTCCTTTCTTTCCATGGCCACCTCCATCCTACTCACTCACCCACCCCCTGTAAAAAAAAAAAAAAAAAAAAGAAGAAAAGAAAAAGAAAAACATCAACATTTCTAAAATTGTTCTTTAAGAGATTGTTCTAATCTGAGCTCATTTAGGAAATGAGGAGTTTGAATAAATTGCATTCCCAGGCTTAAATTACTGTGTCATTCTTGGTGACACAATGAACCCTTTCACCTAGCATTGTGTCCTAGGAAATTACAATTCCTGCCTTGAATGGACCTGCTAGAGAACAAGCAGAGGGTCAGTTGCAGATCATTAGTCAGAGGGGATCCAGAGCCCATGAGTCAGGACCTCTCACTGTTGCAGGAAGCAATCCTGACCACTTACCCCCAAGTCTCTTCAGGCCCACTGCCCTGGGGGAGCTACCACACACTGCAAAAGAATGTCCACACTGTGACTGCAGTGTGGGGACCAGAGACGCACTGAGTCAGGCCTGCTCTTTCAGGTGGAGGTCAATGCTGTTCTGTCAGGCAGAACCAGTACTCCTTTGAGATGCAAGATTTTGAGGAAGTGCTTTCCAGCAAATGCTCCACTTTCTTCAACTTCACAAATTCTTTAAGGTTATCATCTACTTTCCATTTTCACAATCACAACCATTATTCGGGGATTCTTATTCTACCCATTATGTCCACAGTCTTCAACTTAAAGCACCAATCCAACCATATCACCTTTCAGTAACTCTTTCTTCAAACATTTGGTCATCTAACTACTGACCTGTCAGATTCTTACCAAAAAAAATGACCAAGTAATATTGAAACCTGGGGAAGCCTTAGCATTTTCAATCTTAGAAGGCAACTGAAAACAACCTACAGTGAGTAGTTATGTAAATGAGGTGTGTTTAGATTCTGAAGATGATCAGACCAGGCTATCTTTGCCAGACTTCTGCAGGGACTCTGGAGTCTAGAGAGAAGGCAACTGAATATCCATGTGCTGCCTTAACCTTGGAGTCCTCAGGATTCTAACTTGCAAGTTTTCTGCTTAGAACTCAGCATTTGGGGCAATGGCTTCCAGCATTTTTTTTTTCCTTTTCCTTTAAGTTCTGGGATACATGTGCTGAACATGCAGGTTTGTTACATAGGGATACATGTGTCATGGTGGTTTGCCGCACCCATCAACCCATCATCTAGATTTTAAGCTCCGCATGCATTAAGTATTTGTCCTAATACTCTCCCTCCCCTTTCCTCCTACCCTCCGACGGGCCCCGGTGTGTGATGTTCCCCTCCCTGTGTCCATGTGTTCTCGTTGTTTAGCTCCCACTTATGAGTGAGAACATGCGGTATTTGGTTTTCTGTTCCTGTGTTAGTTTGCTGAGGATGATGGTTTCCAGCTTCATCCATGTCCCTGCAAAGGACATTCTTTTTTGTGGCTGCAGCATTTTTGAATATAAAAAATCTTACAGTTCACTATATTCACTTCCCCATTTTAGATCAATACTCAAGACCGAAGGCTTTCTAGTTATCTAGCCTTCCTCATCTTGTCCGCAGGATTATCTGTACTTTCCTGTCATTAGACACCTCTTCCACAGATTACCACTCACTCAAAGCCACCTCTGCAACTCTGTGTTGTGTCTTCTGCCTGACAGACTCTTCCTAGTGCTACCTGCAATATCTGTTCCCTCTCTTCCCCCAGTGCATAAAGCCACTCCTTAGCAAGTTTAACTTCTTCACTTTCTCTCAAAATCTTGTGCCTTCAATTTACCCGGCTGGATGTTTTGTTTGTTTGTTTGAGACAGTGTCTTGCTCTGTCGCCCAGGCTGGAGTGCAGTGGTGTGATCTCAGCTCATTGCAACCTCCGCCTCCTGGGTTCAAGCGATTCTCCTGCTTCAGCCTCCCGAGAAGCTGGGACTACAGGTGCCCGCCACCACACCTGGCTAATTTTTGTATTTTTAGTAGAGATGGGGTTTCACCATGTTGGCCAGGCTGGTCTTGAACTCCTGACCTTGCGATCCACCTGCCTTGGCCTCCCACAGTGCTGGGATTACAGGCGTGAGCCACCGCACCCGGCCTGGATGTTTCTTTACTAAACTCATCTCTACCTGATGCGGTTTGGATATTTGTCCCCTCCAAATCTCATGATAAAATGTAGTATCCAGTGTTGGAGGTAGGACCTGGTGGGAGGTGTTCAGATCATGGGGGTGAATCTCTTATGAATGGATTATCACCACCCCCTTGGTGATGAGTGAGTTCTCACTCTGAGTTCACATGAGATCTGGTTGTTTAAAAGTGTGTGGGCCCTGCTCCCTCTCTCCTTTTCCTGCTCTGGCTGTGTGATACACCAACTTCCCCTTTTCCTTCTGCCATGATGGTAAGCTTCCTGAGGCCTCACCAGAAGCAGAAGCTGGCACCATTCTTCCTGTACAGCCTGCAGAAGCATGGGCCAAATAAACCTCTTTTCTATATATATTACCCAGTCTCAGATATTTCTTTACAGTAATGCAAAAACTGGCCAACACACCACTTGACATATTGTGTACAGGTCAGCCATCTCTTATTCTTATTCTTATTCTTTTTGTTTGGGGTTTTTCTTTTCTTTTTCTTTTTTTCTTTTTTTTTTTTTTTTTTTTTGAGACAAGGTCTCACTCTGTCACCCAGGTTGGATTGCAGTGGCACCATCATGGCTCACGGCAGCATTGAACTTCTGGGCTCAAACCATCCTCCTACCTCAGCCTCCTGAGTTTCTGGGACTACAGGCATGCTCCACTATACCCAGCTAACTTTTTGCTTATTTGTAACGATGAGATCTCCCTATGTTGCCCGGTCTGGTCTCGAACTCCTGGGCTCAAGCAACTCTCCCACCTTGGCCTCCCAAAGTGCTGGAATTACAGGTGTGAGCCACCATGCCCAGCCACCATCTCTTATTCTAAACATATAAATCCAAACATCCTTTTGACAAAGTTCTCTTTTTTTGCAAGTTCTCTTCTTTTGCAACTCCTATTAACATCTAATAAAGACTAAGTTTATCCAAGTTAGTAAGATAACGTGCAATTTATGAATATGCAGTATATATACAATATTACTTTGCTACAATTAGCAAAACAGCAAGAGGATTGTAGGTAGGTATGTCTGTGTATTTGAATATCATTCTATGTGATTTTCCTCTATCTCCCTCCAACTAGAATGTAAAAACTTTATGGATACTGTAAATTAGCTTATTTTGTTTACTTCTGTATACCCAGTTTCTAGAATAGTAAGCCCCCCAAAAATATCTTTCCTGAATGATTAGATGAAATCCATTCTTCCATGGGGGTAATCCCATAGCAAAATAAACTCCTACATCTTTAACCTTTCTACTCTATATTTCTCTGCCTCACTGTGGTGATTACGACCTGATTCTCCCAGAGGTAAAATTTCTTCTGCAGATCTTCCAAATCCATGAGTTTATCTGCCTGGGGTAAAACCTCTTTTCCCTTTGAAGTTCCTGCATTTGACTCTCCTCTGCCCTGCCATGTTGTCCTCATCAATCCACTCCCCAGTACCCACTCTTCCTTCATCAAGGACTTTGGCATGTGGCTTTCCATCTTCATTGCCATCACAGTTCCTACCAACACTCTGCGAGTCTCCAATAGGCACAGGGATGACACCTCTGATGCCCGGCCCTCTTGGTTCCTCCACACTCTCAGCACTCCAGTCCCCTTTCCCTGCACACTTCATTAGCTCCTTGTTCCCACAGTCAAATGTCATCCTTATTACAGTAAATGCCACCGATACTTCTTGGACGGACGCCTACAGTTTTAGCTCCCTCTCGGGTGCTTCTCTTTACCTGTACTTCCCCTGCATACAATCTCCAACCCTTTGAGCCTTTACTTATTCCCATAAGCCCCTCCTTCCTCACTTCCTTCCCTATGCAGCTCACTGTTCACCAGCCCAGAGACTTCTGTGAACCCCAAAAATCTGAGACAGGTCTCGGTTAATTTAGAACGTTTATTTTGCCAAGGTTGAGGACATACACCCATGACACAGCCTCAGGAAGTCCTGATGACATGTGCCAAAGGTGGTCGGGGCACAGCTTGGTGTTAATACATTTTACGGAGACATGAGACATCAATTGATATGTGTAACATACACATTGGTTTAGTCCAAAAAGGTAGGACAGCTTAAAGGAGGGGCTTCCAGGTCATAGGTAGATAAGAGACAAATGGTTGCATTCTTTTGAGCCTCTGATTAGCTGCTCCAAATACATAATCAGATATGCATTTATCTCAGTGAGCAGAGGTGTGACTCTGAATAGAGTGGGAGGCAGGTTTGCCCTAAGCAGTTCCCAGCTTGAGTGATTTTGGGGGCCCAATATTTATTTTCCTTTCACACTTCTTTGTCAGTACCTTGACCTCCCTAAGTTTAATGTTTTTGCTTTTTTTGTTTGTTTGTTTGTTTTCTGTTCCAGCCACCCAGATAAGTCAAAATGTCACCTTTTTCCCTGCTTAGAGAAAATTATGCTGTCTTACAGGTTGATGCCTTAAAAACACCTAACCTCTAACCTCAAGCCCCTAACCTCAAGGCATGCCTGATGCTGTCCAGCTCTCTCTTGAATTTCTTTATTCAGCCTTCATTTTCCAAAGGAACTATTTAAACCCTCTTAAGCCCTTCAACATTTTAACCCTGTCATTTGCCCCAACACTATGCAGGTAAACACATCTTCCTGTTTCACAGAATAGCCAGCACACGGGAGCTCTTGACTTCCTTCTAGGCTTAGGAGCTAACCAGGGACAGATTCTCTTCATTCCATTCTAAAGGAAGAAGTGCTGTCCCCAACCTGCATTCTAAAACCCAACCTTTGATCCTTCTGATGGGCTTGGTTATCTTGATTATTTCATTTCTCTTCCAAGTTGTTAACTTCTCCATATATGTTGGCTCCTTTTCAATAGCATTTAAAGATGGGCAATCCTATCTTACCAAGACAAAATAAACTCTCCTTGAAACCCACAACTTCTGCCATACGCCTCTTATCTCTGCTCCCTTTCATTGATAAATGTCCTTAAAAGAGTGTTTAGAGCTGGCCAGGTGTGGTGGCTCACACCTGTAATCCCAGTACTTTGGGAGATCCAGGCGGGCGGATCACCTGAGGTCAGGAGTTCAAGACCAGCCTGGCCAACATGGTGAAACCCTGTCTCTACTAAAAATACAAAATTAGCCTGGTGTAGTGGTGCTTGCCTGTAATCCCAGCTACTTGGGAGGCTGAGGCAGGAGAATCACTTGAACCCAGGAAGTAGAGGTTGCAGTGAGCCGAGACCATGCCACTGCACTCCAGCCTGGGCAACGAGAGCGAAACTCCATCTAAAAACAAAAAACAAACCAACAAAAGAGTGTTTAGAGCTGCAATAACCACCCCCTCACTTTCCAGGGGACCACTTCTTCCTCCTGGAGCTCTCTTCCCTTGCAATCTCCACATTTGCCACCTGCTTCTCTAGTTCGTCTACTCAGTGTCCTCTACAGCTGTCCTCTTCTAACCCTGCCTGTCTTCCTGATGATGGTGTACCTCAGAACACCATTGTAGCAGAGACACATCTGTTTGCATCCCACCAACAATTTCAAGGTCACCTTGACATTTCCACAATACCCCCTCTTTATCCACAGCTCATTACAATGAACATTTTCTAAATGGCAACCAGAATTCAAAGATGAAAAAAAAAAAAAAAACATGATCGCTGCTCCCAAAAATCTCACAGTCTAGTGGAAAAAGCAAAAATGTACACATTGAATTAGTGTACATAGCGTGTGGTAATCAGATGATTTCCTAGCTACCTAAATTGTAGGGTAATTATGCAGATTAACCAATCTTGTTTCCACATTTTAATGACTCAATTTACAAAATAAGCTTTCATACAGTTTCTCAGGATTACAGTTCAAACAAAAAATTTTTTGTCTTTGAAAGTTATTCCTACTCATAGCCTATTGCATTAGTGAAATAACTATTTATTTTTACGTATGACTAAAAGATTGCCACACATATTCCTAAATTAAACAACATACTTTTCAAAATATATCATTTTTGTTTCTACTTTGCAATTGGAAACAGATAATGAGACAAATTTAGAAACTAGTTGGCTGGCAAACTAATTTATCTGTCTCCTATATTAGCAAGTTTATAAGAATTTTGACATACCATAACATATGTATGTATTCAATCAAACCAAATTGGCCCATCAACAAATAGCAGCATGGGTTGAGAATAGCACTGAGCGTTGTTACAAATTATATTCCTGAGAAAACATTAAAAACAATTCTGAAGAAACTAAGTGAATGAATTACAAAAAAGAAAACATTTATAAACTAAGCAATAATATTTAATATTTGTTATAGAATTCCTTTCCAATGTTGTCGTAAACTAGCTCCAAGCAAGCCATCAAGCCAAGCTTTCAGTTTTTGCCATCTTTTTACATCTTTAAAATAACGTTTTCCTTAAATAGGATCATCATTTTACTCACCTTTTTTTTTTTTTTCCTTTCGTTTTGGAGAGACAGAGTCTCACTCTGTCACCCAGGCTGGAGTACAGTGGTGTGATCTTGGCTCACTGCAACCTCTGCCTCCCAGGCTCAAGTGATTCTCCTGCCTCAGCCTCCCGAGTGGCTGGGACTACAGACGCATGCCTCCATGCCTGGCTAATTTCTTTTGTATTTTAGTAGAGGTGGGGTTTCACTGTGTTGCCCAGGCTGGTTTCGCACTCCTGAGCTCAGGCAATCCATCCACCTTGGCCTCCCAAAGTGCTAGGATTACAGGCGTGAGCCACTGCACCCGGCCATTTTACTCACTCTTAAAGGATTAACTTTTAGTGACAGATATATTGTGTTCACTTGAAGAACAGAAACCCAGAGCCTAGAGGCTGCCTGCAGAATAGTCTAGCAGGTCGCTTTCTCTAAGAGATTGATTTGGATCTTTAAAGATAGGTCTCATCTCAACTTACTTCCTTTTCATGTACACTACCATGCATGTCACAATATATAAAAGGTTAGTGTCATGCCTTTTATCTAAAACCACATTTTTGACTTTATGAATTACCTGTTAAACATGTAAGCAATGCTACTACAGAAGAAAAATGATCATTTTGTTTCACTCAAGAATAACTCCAGATAATAATAATTATAAATATTAGATAATACTTTGGTGTGTTGATGATAGATGGATAAAATAGATATATAAATCAATATATAATATTTACCTATATATCACTATATGATTTACACCAATATATAAATATGTAATATATACCTATATATTATATATAACATATTAATATATAACATATAACATGTTTTTGATGGTTAATATTGAGTGTCAACTTGATTGGATTGAAGGATGCACAGTATTATTCCTGGGTGTGTCTGTGAGGGCATTGCCAAAGGAGATTAACATTTGAGTCCGTGGACTGGGAGAGGCAGACCCACTCCCAATCTGGGGGGGCACCATCTAATCAGCTGCCAGTGCCGCTAGGATAAAGCAGGCAGGAGAAGATGGAAGAGCAGATTTGCCCAGTCTTCCGGCCTTCATCTTTCTCCTGTGCTGGATGCTTCTTGTCCTCAAACATCAGACTCTGAGTTCTTCAGCTTTTGGACTCCTGGACTTACACCAGTGGTTTGTCAGGGGCTCTCGGGCCATTGGCCACACAATGAAGGCTGCACTGTCGGCTTCCCTACTTCTGAGGTTTTGGGACTCAGACTGATACACTACTGGCTTTCTCGCTCCTCAACTTGCAGACAGCCTATTGTGGGATTTTACCTTGTGACCATGTGAGTCGATTCTCCTTAATAAACTCCCTTTCATATGTTTACAAAAAGAGTGGAACTCTGCAAAATATTTGAAGAGATTTATTCTGAGCCAAATGTGAGTGACCATGGCCCATGACACAGCCCTCAGGAGGTCCTGAGAACATGTGCCCAAGGTGGTCCAGGCGCAGCTTGGTTTTATACATTTTAGAGCGGCTTGAGACATCAATCAAATACATTTAAGAAATACATTGGTTTGGTCCAGAAAGGCGGGACAACTCAAAGTGGGGAGTGGGCGGGGGGCGTGGTGGGGGTGGGGTGGGCGGTGTTCCAGGCTGTAGGTGAATTTAAACATTTTCTGGTTGACAATCGGTTGAGTTTGTCTAAAGACCGGGATTAATAGAAAGGGAATGTTCAGGTTAAGATAAAGATTGTGGAGGCCAGAGTCTTCTTTTTTTTTTTTTTGAAACAGAGTCTAGCTCTGTTGCCCAGGCTGGAGTGCAGTGGCGCAATCTCGGCTCACTGCAAGCTCCGCCTCCCAGGTTCACGCCATTCTCCTACCTCAGCCTCCCGAGTAGCTGGGACTACAGGCGCCCACCACCATGCCTGGCTAAATTTTTTGTATTTTTAGTAGAGATGGGGTTTCCTCGTGTTAGCCAGGTTGGTCTCGATCTCCTGACCTCATGATCTGCCCCCCTTCGGCCTCCCAAAGTGCTAGGATTACAGGCGTGAGCCACCGCGCCTGGTCCAGAGTTTTTTTGAAGTCTTATAGTGGCTGCCCTTAGAGACAATAGATGACAAATGTTTCCTGTTAAGTTCTTAATCTTTTTAGGATTGGAAGAACCTGGGAGAAAAAGATCTAGCTATATTAATAGAGATTCTTTACAAATGCAGATTTTCTCCCACAAAGAACAGCTTTGCAGGGGCAAAATAGGGCAAAGAAACATGTTTTGGGGTAAGATATTTTGATTTTCTTCCTTGTCTGATAATGTTATGCCAGAGTCAGGTTGGAAAATAAGTCATGATATATAGGGTTAAATAAAACCCATCTGATGAGAATTTATGGTTTGTAGGGCCTGACTCCCCAGACCTCTTAGAAAGGAATTTGGGCAAGATAAAAAAAATCAGAGTTTAGTCCATATATGTATATATATATCTTCTATTAATTCTGTCCCTCTAGAGAAACCTAATACAATGTTATATGTAATATATACACACATATATAAATGGATACACACACACATACACACACATATGTATATACACACGTCTCCATTTCATAGATGAGGACACTAAGGCATAGAGAGACTGACAAACTTGCCCAGAGTCATGAAGCTAGTATATTGTGTTGCTGGGATTTAAACCTAGGCTTTCTGGTTCCAGAAATAATGTCTTTCTTGTTCTAAAAGTGTCCATTTTCCTTGAATATTTAAGCAAATATAATATCTCTTAAGTTTTATCCTTCTCGGAAGTTTTATCAAACTTGGGAGCAAGTTAGCTTAGCTGAAACCGACTTGTCAGGATCAGCCAACTTGGTTCTATTATTGGTTTTGGTTTGGTTGTGCTTGTTTATTTATTGTGATGGTGGTAATTGTGTGTGCATATGTTATTAATGATGGTGAATTTTCTGTGAAGCAAAAGAAGTTTGCATTTCAGGGCCTCTTATTTGTCTGGGTCTTTTCTGTAATCAAGGTCCCTAGTAATATGGTCACATGGTCATGTTTTCATAAATTTTATAAAATTAATATATTGTGACTATAAACAGTTTAGGCCACTGTGTCTATCCACTCTGATTTCTCTTCATATCAGTTGTTAAGTGGCCATAGACATTTTGGTAATTCAAATAAGAAGTTAAAATCAAAATACAAAAAATCTGAGCTGTGGGTTTGGGGGCTATGTAGATAATTCAGTCATGTCCATGTATGCCTAAATTATTGCTAGACATCCCTACATAAGAATAGGTTCCAGGAAAATTTCTACAGTCATCTCTACTGACTACACAATGTCATCACACGAAGAATGAGAGCAGAGGTTTAACAGGAATAGAGCCAGATAATAGGCAATATAAAGTCCTTCCAAATAATAGAGTTCAATATGTGAAAGAAAACATGATGGAGTTTTTCTCAATATCACAATAAGCCTAAAAATGTATATGCATTATTAATAATTAATTAGAAACAAAACTGTTCTAAATAATAATTTTCACAAAGTTTGCCTTTCAAGTAGGATATAGTATGTTTGGCAAATATTCGCTCCTACTAAAACAACTAGGGAGAAAAAAGGATAAATTAGAAAATTATATTGTTAAAGTCATCAGAAAACTATGGAAGCAATGAGAACTAGATGCAGTAAAATTCCAAACAGAGAAGAGCCCTTCCTAAGAGGGCTGGCAATCAATAGTTGTTTCTTCTGTGAGGGCATTTGCAAGTTTGGGCAAAAGCTGAGGCTCAGGCTTGGCACAGGTGGAGGAATTCCACTGCAGAAAACCAAGACGAATAATGCTTCTGAAAACTTCCGAATGGTAGATAGAGATCTGAAAGAGCGCAGACACATGACCCCAAAGGACATTTGCTGAGTGCTGAGGCAGTATAGGAAGTGGGGTGTTTATCTGTTCAGGGTGCTTAGGTGACAAAATCCTTCTATAAATACAACAGATTTGCAAGGTTATGAACCTGTTTGGGTGGAAGGTTAAAGGGCTTAATTTAAAGGATCCAAAAGATACACATTATATTACTGAAGAAGTAGAGACTCATTAGACTTTTCATCAAAACCCTGGTAAAGCCACAGTCAAAAAGGATGGGGCTGAAAGGGAGAGTAAAATTTTGCTCAATTTCTTGGTACTTAGGATAAAAGGTCCTGTTTTAAACCATGGCTCATCTCTTCCTCAAGATGTTTGACAGATATTGAAGCTACATGGGGCTGGAGGCTAAATAGTTAAGCTCAAACTCAGAAAAATTGAATTGAAGGGTTTAAGGTCTGAGGAGACACACATCTACCAAGATCACAATCAGAAGATCAGCGATATAGCAGAGGTGGGCTGAATCTATCTAAAACTACAATCCAGTTCTGACCAAGCTCAATTACTGATTAGATTTAAATGACCTGGCCAGCCACTGTGGCTTATGCCTGTAATCCCGGCACTTTGGGAGGCCGAAACAGGCAGATTGCTTGAGCTCAGGAGATTGACACCAGCTTGGGCAGCATGGCAAGACCCTGTCTCCACTAAAAATACAAAAAACTAGCCAGGCATGGTAGTGCATGCCTGTAGTCCCAGCTACTCAGGAGGCTGAGGTGGGAGGATCGCTTGAGCCTGGGAGGCGGAGGTTGCAGTGAGCCAAGATCACACCACTGCACTCCAGCCTGGGTGAAAGAGTGAGGCCCTGTCTCAAATAAAATAAAATAAAATAAATGAAATAAAAAAACCTTCCCCTCATATTATCTTCCCAAGAAAAGAAAGAACAATTCCCCTTGGGGAAAAATGACATTATAGTCATTATTTATAGATTTTTAAAATCTGTCATAAAATTTAAATTTAAAAAACCAAGAAACAAGATAATTTACCTCATAGTCAAAAGAAAAATTAAGCAAGAGAAGTAGAACCTCAGTTTATCCAGATAGTGAAATTTGTAAATAAAAATATTAAAATAACAATTATAGCTATGGTAAAACAGAGGAAAGGATGGTTAAAATAAAGAAATGAATGAAAAGATGCATAATGTAATAAACAACTTGAAGCTATAAGCATCAAATATACCTCCTAGAAATGAAAAATGCAATTATCTGAAACAAGGAATCCATTAGAACAATCTAGGCAATGCAAAACAAAAAAGATTAGTGAACTCAAAGACAAACCAATAGAAAAACATTCAAGCTGAAGAATGGAGGGGGTAAAGCATAGAAACAACAACAACAAAAGAGAAGAAAATTCATATGGGAGACATTCAATTGTAACATATTGTATTTGGATTTCCAGGAAAGGGTAGAAATGGACCAGTGAAGTATTCAAAGAAATAATGCAAATATTTTTTGGACTGATGAAAAGGAATAAATTGCAGACTTATAAATTCAGTAAACCCAAAGCAGGGTACCGTTCTTTTACTCTCTCCCTCTTTCTGTCTCTGTCTCTCTGTCTCTCTCTCTCTTTATCTCTGACACACACACGCACACACACACACACACACAGAGACACACTCCTAGGCAAAAGTAGGTTAAAACCATAAAGATCACATGGAAAATACAAAACATGAGCTACCAATATCAGTAACGTGAAAAGGGACATCACTACAGATGCAACAGATCTTTTAAAAATAATAACAGGATAATTGTGAATGACTTTATGCCAGTGAAATTTCCAGTAAAGTAAAATTTAAAAATTAAAAAAAAATCACAACCTATGAAACCTGACAAAGGAAGAAATTTAAAAATCTGAATTAAATATGTAATTATAAGACCTTCCTATGAGAATGACCCAGATCTGGAATGATTCACTAGTGAATTCATACATACATTTATGAATAAAATAGACCAATCTTATACAAACTTTTTTTAGAAACTAAGGGGAATAAAGGAAGTACTTCCTAACTCCTTTCTGAGAGCTTGGGACAAAACTTGATTCCATACCCTGAAAAGAAAATTTTAAAAAGAAATACTACAGACTAATCTTACTCATAAACTTAGAGGCAAAATTTTTTTTAAAAATTGGAAAAGTGAATTCGGTAATATGTAAAATGAGTAATACACCATTTAAACAAGGCTTATTTCATGTAGCCAAGAGTGTATTAATATTCAAAACTTAATGTGATTTACTTAACAGTAATATTCAAAACTTAAAGTAATTTACTTACAAAAACTTAATGTAATTTACAACACAGTAGAAAATCATGCAATCATCTTAATGAATGCAGAAAAAATGTGACAAAATTTAACACCTGTTTATGGTTTTAAAAACTTATAAAATCATGAATAGCAGAAAGCTTGTTTAAACTGATAAGCACATCTACAAAAAGAAAACCCCTCATATTTAATGGTAAAATATGGAAAATTTTCCCCAACAACAAAAATGAGGCAAAGACTATTACTATTTATGTTCAATGTTGAAACAGAGATCTTGGCCATTTGAACAAAGCTATAAAAGTAAAGAAAATAAACACTCAAAAGGCCTATTATAAAACCACAGTAATTAAGACAATGTCATATTGGCACACAAATAGACAAAATGACTAATGATACAGAATGGCATTGATATAGACCAACTCATGTATGCTTCCTGATTTATGACAAGGCAGCACTGCAGTGAAGAGGGGGAAAGGTAGCCATTTCATTAAATGGTGCTGGGTCAGTTAGATAACCATATGGACAAAATGAGTCATCCCAGAAGGTTGGAAAGCATGGAGCTGTTGTGACCTGGCTTGTTATTGTTACATCAGCCAAGTCTATTGCATAGTCTCAGCCACCCAGTGTTTCCAGCTTAGATGATCCAATGTTGTTAAAATAGTAAATTTTTTTTTGCATCAGGATGAACATATGGTGGTCTCTTCCCTGTTCATCAGGATGTACATACAGTGGTCTTTTCCATGCTCACTTCAGAATTCTACTTGAAATTATTTCAAAAATTGCCTGAGTACCTGCAGTGTTCTATTATAAATTTGGCATGAAAGAACAAAAGAGAGGGAATAGTATCAAACAGATACACACAAAGTGAGTAATATTTGTCTTGCCAACATAGACTGCACAATGAAAGAAAAAAAAGGAAGAAAAAGAAAAGAAAAATTTGTCAAATTTCCATGAATTTGGAATTCAATCTGAACCATATGTAGCTCCAGATTAGGTCATATTCTCATGATAAAATTACTAATTTTGTCTTCAATTTTGTCTGCTACTCAGTATTTCCATGATCTCTTATTAGCTGATCTCATGCATTATTTATTTGGTCTGTATCATTCGAAGATAAGGGACTTTGAAGCCCTGAAGTTTCACCAGGAGGTTTGGTACTCAGTGATTAAGGTACAAGTGGAAAGGTAAGAGAGTTGGGTACAGTGGCACACAGACTCTGGAACAAAGTCCCCTTACTTGCTAGCAGTGTGATCTTGGGCAAGTTACTTCCTCTCCCTGTGCCTCAGTTTTCTTGTCTGTGGAATGAGTTTAATAATAGGACCTACTTCATTAGGTTGTTGAGAATATTAAGAGAGTTTGAGGTTAAGGCACTTAATATATAGTGCCTGACACATAATTAGTCCTAAAAAGATATTAGTTACCATTTTTAGGTTGTAAGAACCATACAGAAAATTCTTGTCCTTTAGACACTGGCTTTTTCTAATTGCATATTAACCCAGGCTTTCCACAAATTGTGGTGATTTGGAACGAATTAGTATTTGCCCCTTTAAGCTCAGTTTTCCCATTAGCAGAGGGCAACTATGCCTTTCTGGTTTCCCATCAGAGGCCAGTTGAGAATAAGAGGCAGTAGAGCAGAGTAGCAAAGATCTTAGGCTTTGGAGCCAGTGGCCTTAGTTTAAAACTCCTCTGATGGTTTCCAGCTGTGCTACCTTGCAGTGAATGATCTAATTCCTCTTCTCATCTTTAAAATGGGGACGTAATGGCATCAACTTCATAAGATTGTCAGGAGAGTTAAATAAGAATGCATTTAAATTGTTTAATGATCAGTTTATGTGATTACTAATAGTCATTGTGCTATTATTATTATTATTATTGTTAACAACATTGGTCCCAACATAGAAATGCTTTGAATTCACTGGTAAGGATGCATTTGAATAATTCAAAGAACATTATTATCTTTCAATTTTCAATAGCAGAGACTTCTTTTTTTTTTTTTTTTTTTTTTTTTTTTTTTTTTTTTTTTTTTGAGATGGAGTCTTGCTCTTGCTTTGTCACCCAGGCTGGAGTGCAGTGGTGTGATCTTGGCTCACTGCAACCTCTGCCTCCTGGGTTCAAGTGATTCTCCTGCCTCAGCCTCCCAAGTAGCTGGGACTACAGGTGCGTGCCACCACACCCAGCTAATTTTTTGTGTTTTTAGTAGAGACGGGGTTTCACTGTTTTAGCCAGGATGGTCTCGATCTTCTGATCTCATGATCCGCCTGTCTTGGCCTCCCAAAGTGCTGGGATTACAGGTGTGAGCCACCGCACCCAGCCTGAGACTTCACTTCTTTTAGCATGGTGTTGGTTATGCTCCAGGCACTTGAGTCTTTACCCAATTAAGATATTCATTGCAGACTCTTTGCAGTTATTTGTTGACACAGGTAATGTACAATATTCAGGCTCTCACCTAGTTAAATATTAGACGTGGTCCATAAAATATGTGTATAAACCAAACTCTCTTTAAAATGTAGTGTATCATTCATTTGCTCCAGAGTTTATGGACTATTCTTACAGAGGATCAAAGCTGATGATTTATATGTAAATAATTGAAATTAATCTTATTACCTTGTGATTTTAGGCTTTCTCCCAATCCCTATTACATTTCCATGACTCTCCTGATACTGATAGTCCAGTACTTGACTATGAAAAAAATACAAAACAAAATAAAATAACAAAACAAAATAAAAACAAACACCTCACAGGGCTCAGTTCTATCAGCTGATTATGCAGCAGATGTCCATGAATAACAGAGAAGAAGAAAAAGAAGAATAAGGAAAAAGAGGTTTCACAATTCCAAATGGAGTTAATTAGGAATGAAAGTTGCAATGGAATGGAGTGGGAAAGTCACCTGGACTTACCAAGGGCTACCCTAAGAGGGTGTCCAAACATCATTGAACTTCTCTCCAACTAGTCTCTAGACGGTTGTTAGCACCCGATTCCCTGGTAAGACAGCAGTGCAGTGGGTCATCAGTAAGACCAGAAGTTCTACAGACAGTTATAAATTATGAAAGTAGAGATTTACTTGAAAGAGTAAGCCAGAGTGGCCTCCAGAAATTTTTGAAACATCACATTGGAGCAGACAGTGAAATCTAGTAGTTGTTAGTAGCATACAAAGGGCCTGAAGCAAAGTAATCAGAGAAAAAAATTATAAGGTAGTGGGTATATTGGCTCAGACCCAGTAACATAAGACATTCATTACACCGAGACACTGTAAGTCTCTGAACGCTCCTCAACTCTCTCAGCTGTTAATATAAGATGAGAGTGAATGTTTGGGTCAATAAAATTATCTGCTATTTCCATATCCAAAAAGCAGACGGGGCTCACTAGTGGAAAAATGTAGAGGTTAACAGTGAGCTTTTAAATAAACAATTTGGCCTTATGTCATTCTATGCATAAGTCTTTCACTACCAGCAAAGAGTGGCTCCTTCAAAAAGTTACTGAGCCTTTGAGTTTTTCCAGGACAGAGGAGGCTGAATTTCTCACAGGTTCAAATGTCAGCCACCACTTGCAGAAAGGGTATTTGAAGGATGAGTGTTGTATAACCACAGGCTGAGGCTCAAAAGCCAATTCCAGTTAAGCCTGATAATAGTTTTTGACATTTAGTGACACTTTATCCTTCAAAAGTCTTGGGTAGCTAAACTGCTTGCCTGCATTTTCTGTTTCTATGGCAACTGGAGATTTTAAAATGTTAATCTTAGTTGACCTCTTTTATTCTTTTTTATTTTGTCTCTTCCCTAAAAATTCAGCCCAGGGCTAAATGATTATCTGTTCTCTAGCCTCAATTAAATTTTCATCTTACAGTATTGCAGTGGTCTCCCAAGTGGGCTACTTATACTCCAGATTTCCAAGACAATTCATTGTGGGTATAGAAAGAACATATTAGAACTTCTATTTGTATTTATTTTTAACCTAAAAATAAGGAAACTACATTTTACTAAGTCTTAGCATTAGTGTAGACAGGCATACGCAGTGATTTCTTGAATCAGAAAGGGCTGTGCTCAGCTAGAAAAAGTGAGGTTTCCTACAGAAAGGGGAAGTGTTCTGCAGAACTGGAAGAAGGCTGACCGTGGCAACCTTATCCTCATGTTTTCTTTTATCTTATTGCAATTTATCACAATTTACTTGCTTCTAGTTATGAATTCTCTTATCTAGTTTTAACTAAACTAATCTTCACAAAATGGACTAGTAGCTCATACAATCCATGCAAAGAAACCATGGCTTGAAAATGCATTGCTAATGCAAACACAAGAAAAGAAAAACAACAACAACAAAAAACAGAGCCAAAACAGGACAGCATGGGATAAGAATGCAATTCTGAAGCCAAACTGCCTGGCCTCGCATTCCTGACACTGCAATATGTTAAAGTGACTTTGGGCAAGTTACGTAATTTCACTGTGTACCAGTTTCCCCTTGTCACATAAGAATGTAATATGAAGTTCTCATCCTTACAGCAATGGTTTGTTGGGCAAATTAAATGAGCAAAGCCCATAGTGTATAGTTAATGCTTTAAAAAAACAGCTTTTATCATTATTCTAAGAAGGGCAAAAGCACTGATGATCTAATGGTTTAGATCATCTAAAATTATCAAGACTAGTTGTAACATGGGTTCCCATCTACTATCATTAACAATAAACCTCTCACTATGGTTATGTAGGCATGTGACATAGCTAAATAATAGCATGTATCTGAATATGCATGTATGTATGTATGTGTGTACTGATACATATATACAGTCATGAGTCACTTAGCGATGGGGATATGTTCTGAGATATGCATTGTTAGCTGACTTTACTATTCATGCGAATATCATAGAGTATGCTTACACAAACCTAGACTGTATAGTCTACTACACACCTATGCTATATAGTAAGGCCTATTACTCCTAGGCTACAAACTTCTTAGGCCTGTTACTTTAGTGAATAGCATCAACAATGAAAACACAATGGTAAGTATTTATGTGTCTAAACATTCTATCTAGAATTCTGACATTTCTAGAATGACATTCCATTCTATTTCTAGAATGTCTAGAAGACATTCTATGTCTAAACATAGAAAAGGTACAGTAAAAATACAATATAAAAGAAACCTGGCCGGGCGTGGTGGCTCACACCTGTAATCCCAGCACTTTGGGAGGCTGAGGCGGGCGGATCACGAGGTCAGGAGTTGGAGACCAGCCTGGCCAACATGGTGAAACCCCGTCTCTACTAAAACTACAAAAAATTAGCTGGGTGTAGTGGCGGGCGCCTGTGGTCCCAGCTATTCAGGAGGCTGAGGCAGGAGAATCGCTTGAACCCATGAAGCAGAGGTTGCAGTGAGCTGAGATGGTGCCACTGCACTCCAGCCCAGGTGACAGAGTGAGACTCTGTCTCAAAAAAAAAAAAAAAGAAAGAAAGAAAGAAAGAAATCTGGTACACCTGTATAGGGTAGCTCCATTATAATCTTAGAAAACCACTGTTACATATGTGGTCTATTTTCGACCAAGACGTCATTACGCAATACATGACTACATCTGTGTGTATACACACACACACACACACACACACACACACATATGACAGAGTGAAAAGCATCTGGAACAAGAAAACAAACCTACAATTTTCTCACCATTTCTAAAGTCATACAATGCACAGTAAATTGTACAAAATCTCACTGAACTTGATAATGAATGTTTAGAGGCCCCATTTACTAGCAAATGACTAAACAGCCATATTCCATGGGAACAACTGTGTTGTTCCCAACAGTGTTAAAAACAGCTAAGATAATACATAGAAAGCTTTTCTTTTTTTTTTTTTTGTCAAAAGGTTCTTTTGGCACACACAGAGAAATTTAGCTAAACATTTGAAGAACCAACTGTTAGATTACTATAAAAGTGATTTGCTATACATCAAAGGAACTAAACCACTTTAGCATGTCTTTGCTGAACGTACTTGATAGGTTAAATTCCAATAATGATACATGCTTTTTTGAATCAATAAAGGCAAGATGCAATTGAGAATATATATTCTCAATGATAAATGACTACTTAATTTAAAAGAAAAAGTTTATGGGAATGCCACGTAAGAAAACACTGAGGAAGAGGATGCTTTGAATAAAATCTTGGGAATAAAAGATCATAAAGTAAGCTCACGAAGACAACGTGACACTCAAAATAGATTCACAGCAGAGAAATTGGAGTCAAAAGTGTACAAAGTAGTACCAGATGTCTTTCCTGAGCTTATTTTTACAGACGTAATACTTCTAAAACATAATACTTCTAAACTATAAATTATTTTGTATCATAGTTTAATTATTTTTAGCCAGATTTAAAATAATTGCCATATTTAAATTTGAGTTATGGGATTTTTGTTTACAAAATTATATGCCCTTTTCCGTGTTAGCAAATGTCTAGCAGGGTTCTATTTTGTACATTAGGGACACATTCTCAAACATGGGTCAGAATTATTACAGACCATTGTTTAAAGGGCAATAGAAATTCCACATTTAATAAATTTTAAAGAGACTTACTCTTTTTTGAGGAAAATGGTCTATAACAATTCTCCACAACTTGTTTTAGTATTTAACATTTGCTGGATGAAAGACATTTCTCATATCGAGCTTAAATCTCTCATATGCTACATTTTGAGTGCATTGTTTTAGTGTATTTTTTTTAAGTTGTACATTGTCCTCATGAGGAAAAAAATTCACATACCTAAGGGAGTGCTATCCTTCATTAAATGTTTTTCTGGGCTTCACTAAAAAGAGATCACCTTAGGCCAAAATATTGAGTTTTAACTACAAAGATAGAAAGCAAATGTGAAAGTCTGCATACCGATATTAGTTTGAGGGAGTTATAGAATCAGGATCCTTTGAAGGAGCTGCTCATGGTACAACATAGCTTGGTAGAGCCATGTAGATTTGGAGCTGTAGTTGACTGTGTATTTGTACCAACATCTTGGCAGCCAACTGCATGAGCTTTCACATGTCGGCGCAGCATAACAAAGACAGAGACTCTTTGGTAGTTCTGGGTAGTACATTCCACATATTAGGAGTAATCTTGAAAGCAGGTGAATGTTGCTTTCTCTGGGGGATAAAGGAAGAGGTGCGGAAAAGAGAAAAAAACGGTGCAATTTCTATTGCTGAAGTTTGAAAAGTGAACCTGAAAGACATATGCAAATGGCCAATATCCACATCCAAAGATGCTCAACATTACTAATTATTAGGGAAATTCAAACCAAAATCACAATGAGATATCATTGCCCACCCATTAGGATGGCTATAATAAAAATAAAAAAATAAATACATAAAAGCAAAAACAGACAATAACGATTGTTGGTAAGGATATAGAGAAATTGGAAGCCTTGCAAACTGTGGGTGGGAATGCAAAATGGTGCTACCATTAGGAAAAACAGTACGATGGTTCCTTAAAAAAACTAAACATAGAATCACCACATGATTCAGTAATTCCACTCTTGGTTACATACCCAAAAGAACTGAAAGAAAACCCTCAAAGAAATATTTGCACGCTTATGTTTATAGTAGCATTATTCACAATAACTGAAGATGGAAGGAAGCAACTCAAGTGCCCACAGTTAGATGAATGAACAAAATATGGTATGCACATGCCATAGAATATTATTTGGCCTTAAAAAGAAAGGAAATTCTGATACATGCTACAACATATATTAATCTTGAAGATATGTTAAGTGAAATAAGTTGGTCACAAAGGGACAAATACTGCATTCTTCCACTCATACGAGGTATAGAGTACAAATTCATAGAGACAAAAAGTAGATTTCCAGGGTCTGAATGTGAAGACAGAAATGAGAAGTTATTGCTTAATGAGTACAGAATTTCAATTTTTCAAGATGAAAAAAGGTTCTAGAGATGAATGATGGTAATGGTTGCACAACAATGTGAATGTATTTAATGCCACTGAACTGTACCTTTAAAAATGGTTAAAATGGTACATTTTATGTTATGTATTTTTAAAATCACAATGAAAAGTAATTTTATAAAAGTCAACCAGGTTTTCTAAATTGCATAGTGTGTTCCTAGCTAATTTTACCGATGCCTTGAGTCACACATTAGAGATCACTTTCAAACTCATTTTTAGTGTTTTCATTGGCTTCTTCATTCAAAAATGAGCATTTATTGAACCTTTTATTAAGGATCAAGGACAGAAGTTGATTTTAAAAGGAAATACAATTCTGATTAAGACACAGTCCCCAGTAATAAGAGAAAAAGCAAATGAAGAACAGGATTAATACTTGGAGAGTCACCCTCACAGTTTGCAATTTTATGTACATTATTTCAGTTGTTCTGACTCAGGCAATTATAATTACACTCTTTGGTTCATGAAACTGAAGCTCAGAGAAGTCCAGTAACCTGCCAAGGTCACACAACTGGTAAGAAACAGAGCCAGGACTCAAACTTGGTGCAACTCCTAAATCTTTGCTCTTCTGTTACACCAAGAACTCTTAGATCCATCCTTGATTCCATCCCGCCTGGGCAAGTCACCCTATACACATGTTCTAAATCCATTAGATCATTTTGGGCAACGTCTTCCTCTCATATTGGATTTGCCTTCGAAAACAGGTTGCAAAGATTCTACTTAAGCTTGAGAACCTTTGGACTTCTCACTTCTATCTCATTTCTAAAATCAAAGCTAAAGATACAGCCTCCTTACATAAGAATCATCCATGATATTCCATATTGGCTCTCATTCAAATTCTTATTTAGGCATACCCAGGATCATGTGTTCATTCATTCATTCATTCACAAGGATTATTATGTTTTTGTAATTTCCCCAAGCATCAGAGTCTGACCCCTAGTGTATTAAAACCTACTTAGTACAGGCCATGTTCTAACTAATAAAATACTTTGCTTCTTTAAGCATATAACATCTTGTTTAACGAATAATTACAAGGCTGTTATGAGTTTCACAAGTTGCATGGTAATTATCTAGATTCTTACCTAATCACCCCAAATGCATACTTGCTGATACATTTTTAAAAAGATCTCTCTGTAGTCAATTATCACCCTCAATTATCTTTAACTAATCAGAATGCACCAATGAATTTTGCATCCATAATTCCTAAGGCAAGCTGTCCACATTTCTATCTTCCAGTTTCTGTGACATTCTGTTTAATTCAGACCTTTGCTGCCTAATTCATGCCTTTCTTCGCATCAAGGTTACTAGCTAAATTATTTCTTAAACTCCTAACTGACCGTTAATCTTAACATAGGCCTTCGGGTCTAACCAACAATGTATCAGGAAGCCTGAGTGTCATATTTCAGCAGTATTCTCTTAGTTTACATCACAGACACAATTTGGGGGCTTGAAGAGGAAAAAAGAAAAATAGCAAATTTAGGATGTTTAATCTTAATAACTAGTCCTAAAAGCAAGAAAAAAAATAATGTTTGAATGTGGGATTACATAGAAGAAACTATTGGTGTTCTGATTTTGGAATTAAATAACAGAACATTTATGAGGAAAATGTGGTTCACAGTGAACTATAATGAACATTTGGGATGCACCCATTATTAAGTATTGCTTTTAAGTATTGTTAATGTCCTTCTGAGATGACACCTCGATCCACTGTGAAATTGGAAAACTGCTATGGAATAGGATTTTGAAGCCTCCTGTTTTTTAGTACCTGGTGCAGAAAGAGCCGGCCCACAGCACAGATTGTCAGCTATAACACCTTTTTTTTTGGTATTAACCCATTTTAATGAAATATTCGGAAGAGGCAGATCTATAGAGAAAGAAAATGGATTTGTGGTGACAGGGTCTGAGCGGCAGGGGGAAGTGGAAGGTACCTGCTTAATAGATACAGTTTCCTCCTGTGGTTACGAAAATGGTCTGGAACTAGACAGTGGGGTTGGTTACATAACATTGTGAACCTACTAAATGCCATTGTATTGTATACTTAATATGATTATTATGATACGTTTTGTGTTCATGTGTATTTTTTTAAAAAAATTTTATTTCCATAGGTTTTTGGGGAACAGGTGGTATTTGGTTACATAAGTAAGTTCTTTAGGGGTGATTTGTAAGACTTTGGTGCATCCATCAGCCAAGCAGCATACACTGAACCCAATTTGTAGTCTTTTATCCCTCGCCCCCTTCCCATCCTTTCCCCCGAGTCCCCAAAGTCCATTGTATCATTCGTATGCCTTTGCATCCTCATAGCTTAGCCCCCACTTATGAGTGATAACAAATGATATTTGGTTTTCCATTCCTTAGTTACTTCACTTAGAATAATAGTCTCCAATCCCATCCAGGTTGCTGTGAACGCCATTAATTCACTCCTTTTTATGGCTGAGTAGTATTCCATCATATATACATACCACGGTTTCTTTAACCATTTGTTGATTGACGGGCGTTTGGGCTGGTTCCACATTTTTGCAATTGCGAATTGTACTGCTATAAACATGTGTGTTACAAGTATCTTTTTCACATAATGACTTTATAGCACCTTTTTGAACTAAATAATTGACTTTGGAATTTATTTTTGTTGGTGTTGCAAAGGAAGCAACTCAGATCCAGCATTACGCTCCCTCTGAGCAGAGCATTGAGGATAAAATTGACTAACAGAAAGACTACACTAGCCTTGGCTCCCTGGCATGGTAATTGGTCGACCTAGGGCCAAGTTGTATACAGTCTTTGAGCTATAGACTTTTCAGCATGGCTGTAACAGCTGTGTGAACTTGGGCAAGATATTTAACATGTTTGACTCTGTTTTCTCATCTGTAAAATAGGGCTATTTATGTAGAATCCCTAGTTCTTTGATCAATGTGAAAATTAAATAAGATAATACATGTAAAGATCCTACAAAGTAAAATTATGCTGTTAATAAAATATTATTATTAATATAGTATAATAAAAATATTATTATGCTCTTAGTAAAGAGCATAATAAGAAAGTAAAAGAGCATAATAATATTTTACTTACTCAAATAATAGAATTGGTATAAAGCTCAAATGAGTTTTGGCATCCATAAATGAGGAAATAATCAATGTGTTCTATCCCATAGGATAGCTGCGAAAATAAACATGTTAATATATGCAAAGCATTCATAACAGTGCTGAGCACATGGAAGGTGCTCAGTTAATGAGGTAGTAATACTTGATCTACCTTGCAGGGTTGTTACAAAGGATACAAGAAGTAATGTATAACTTTAAGTTACCTTGAAAATTTAGAGAAACACATAAAAATTATCTAACCAAAATGTTAGTTTTGAGGCTTTTGCCGGGTGTTTTATGTTCCCATTATTTTTTAAGAAAGTTTTATTTTGGTTTTAATTGACAATAATCATACACATTTATGGAGTACAATATGATGTTTTGATACCGCTACTTTTCAAAGTCTTTCTTGACAACTAAATCTGTTTAAAAACTAATGTTATGACTGAGAATTTACAGATATGGATTTTTTTAAACTGTGCTCAGAGGAACCCCCTCTGTAGCTGCCAAAGAGAAAGATATAGGAGGGTGTATACATTAACCACATCCACAGTAATGCTGCACAACAAACAAAAACCCAAATAGTGGCATACAACAATAAGCATTTATTTAGCTCATGCATCTGTGATCAACCAAGGGCTGGCTTATCTCACTGGACTCGGCTAGATGGTTTTATTGACCTTAAATGGAGTCACTCATGCTTCTGGGTGTTAGCTGGGAGTTGGATGCTCTAAGCTGGGGTCTCAAGAGCAGGTTGGCTGGGGCAGCTCTGCTCCATATGTGCTCCATCTTTCTCCTGGGCTAGCCTGGTCATGTTCTTCTCATCATGATAGAAGACATATAAGTGAGCAAACATTTTAAATCTTTTGTCATTTAACATTTACTAATATTCTCTTGGTCAAAGCAATTCCACAGACAAACTTAAAGTCAAGTTTTAGGAAAACGCAGTCCACTTCTTTAATGGGAAAACTTCAAAGTCACATGGCTAGAGTCAGATATTCAAAGAGAGGAGAATTGAGGCCATGAATGTAATTTATCATTGTAGAAGAACATGGTGACTGGCCAGACCTTTGGAAACCCCACATCTGCTGTAATAATTTGTATGTTTTATCGGCATATACATGTTGATAACATATAAATTTAATTAGGAGTACCCCAGCTATAAAAGACTTGAACACAGTTCAGAGAAATTTTAAAAACAAAATTAACATATACTATTTGGATGATATGGAATTAGTACTAAAAAAAATAAGCTTTGATAATGAGGGCCTAGCCATATCCATGGGATGTTCCACTGGAAAATTGTTGGGAAGTTAGAAGAAAGTGTAAAAGCTCAGGGCATTGGCCATCTGGTAGGGTAGCGCATTGAACAATGAAGAAAGGCTAAAAGTGAAAGATGATTAGCAATTTTTAAAAAGCCAAACTTTGGCCCAAAGACAGCCCTAAAGGCAATTTTCTGTCAAACCTATCTGGCCATCTAATGTCATTAAAATGGAAATGCTGATGGTATTTTCAGTGAAAAAATTTTCCTCTTGAGATAAATATATAGCTACCTCTGCAACAGCTGAATTTTATTAAGGAAGTTCCAAAAATATTAGGTTGGTGCAAAAGTAATGGAGGTTTTTGCCATTAATAGATGCTTACCTTCAAAGTCAGAATGTTCAAGTTTATTCTCTCTCTCCTTTGGGCACCTGGACAAATAAAGGCCAAGAAAACCAAAACAAATGATAAAATGAGAAATGGGCAAACAACCTTTTGTTCATTCAGATTCAAAAAAATCTCTTGAACTGGTTTCAAAATATTTGATTCAGAAAACCTAAACCATGTTTGTCAACTGCATTCTTGTTCTCATTTAAAAAGAAAAAGAAAAAGACAAAAGGGCCTCCTATCTTCCCATGAGTATAATGGTGGAAATTCAACCTGTATGTTTTCTGATTCATTTACACTTATCTCATCAAAATATTTTGTAAGAGCTGAGCTCTTTGGTGGCCAAAGATGTTTTGTGGTCCTTTTCCCTTGCAACAGAAATATTGTGGTTTATCATCAGCTTACACAAATTCAAAAGAAGGTTGAGGAACACTCCTAAATTTATTATCTCATAAGGCTGGAGTGAGTTATAAGCTTGGAAAATCTGTTTTCCTAAACTGGCTTCCTCTATCTCATAATTTATCATAATATTTCAATTCTACCTGTACGGTGCTGATCTCATTTTCACCATTCACGTTAGTACCAATGCTCTCACTGATAAGGACAAACCAAATAGCAAAGGATCAAAGTCTCAGAAACGATCCAGGAAAGAAAGGAGGAGGCTTTGTGCAAAAATTTCCGAGAAATTTTGGAGGAATATGAATGTTTTGGAGTGTAGTATGATTCTGTAGTCAGATTTCAAAGGTAAAGAGCATGTCTTCTATTCATCAAAACTCAAACGGAATGGCTGGGCTTTTCATTACGTTTTGGGGCCCAGAATTAATGCCAAAACCTAATATGCATTTATCAAAAGAAAAGAGAAATTTTTCCTTTGTTTTATGTAACTGATCTGTGGCCCTGTCCAGTGAGGTGAACAGCTTTTACTAATAACATGTCAGGGGGAGATTTTAGGGAAATGCAAACAAAGTCAGAATAGAAATCATTCTACAGGTAGAAGCAATAGAGAACATAATTGAGCAATGGTACAATAAGGGAGCAAACCCAGGTTATGAGACACCATATACATGATTTTTCTATGCAGCATATACTGCTGAAAATTAAGTCAAAATATTTATGATGAATTCATTTATATTATTACTTTGTCTTATGATATTCACTTAGAGTAAGAAAAGCTTAATAACAGGTAGACAAAGTCAATAGTGATACAATTGTTGACTTTTCTTCTTTTATGTTACCCATCCATTGATAGGCAATGCTCTTAGTCCTACATTCTCAAAAATCATGTAATCTCTGATCTTGAGTTGCTACCTTTTGTTATTTTCAAGCCTAACATTGTATACAAGTCCCCATCCCACATCTTCAGGTAACTCTCAGTAATATCAGATAAAAGGGTTCCTTTGGTTTTGGACTGCATCAACAAAAGAAGCCTTCTTCAAAGCTGGTCAAGTGACTTTCTTTGCTCTTTTTCCCACGAACTAATTTTCTTTGCTCCAGTGATGAATAAAGTTAAACTCAAAGTTTCATAACAAGAAAAATTCAATGATGAAAGTTATCTTCTCATCCCAGGTATATTGTTTCAATTTGGTGAGGAGCACTGGGGACAGCAAGTTTGCGATTCTTTTTTTTTTTTTTTTTGAGGCAGAGTCTCGCTCTGTCGCCCTGGCTGGAGTGCAGTGATGCCATCTCGGCTCACTGCAACCTCCGCCTCCTGGGTTCAAGCAATTCTTCTGCCTCAGCCTCCTGAGTAGCTGGGATTATAGGTGCCCGCCACAACACCTGGCTAATTTTTTGTATTTTCAGCAGAGACGGAGTTTCACCATGTTGGTCAGGCTGGTCTCAAACTCCTGACCTTGTGATCCACCCGCCTCGGCCTCTCAAAGTGCTGGGATTACAAGCATGAGCCACCACACCCGGCCTCTTTTTAAAACACCATCCACACAGAAATCAGGACTTTGGAGGCATGAATCCACCAGAATGCAAGCACTGTTTGTTTTGTTCAGTAGGGTACCTACAGTATCTAGAACAGCGTTGCTATGGTTTGAGTTTTCCCCTCCAAAATTCATGTTGAAATTTGATCCCCAGTGTGGAGGTGTTGGGAGATAGGGCCTAATTGGAGGTGTTCCGGTCATTAGGGTGGATCACTCATGAATAAATTAATATCCTCCTATGGGAGCAAGTGAGTTCTCACTCTCATGCATCTGGATTACTTAATGGAGAGAGAGTTGTTATAAAAGTGAGTTCAGCTTCCAGAACTTTTGCTTCCTCTATCAGTGATCTCTTTGCACACCTGCCCACTTTCCTGCTTCCACATCGTGTTTTGACCCAACATGTGCCCTTCCCCAGAAGCTGGCCAGATGTGGTGCTATGCTCTTGAACTATTGCAGCCTGCAGATTCATAAGCTAAATAAACCTCCTTTCTTTATAGATTACTTAGCCTCGGGTATTCTCTTATAGCAACATAAAACAGACTAAGACAAGTGCCTAGCTTATAGTAGGTGCTCAATAAATACTTGTTACATAAAAAAGTTAATTCTAAGAGAAATTCCAAGGAGATCAACAGGTCAGTACCCACATGACCTTAGAGCTTAAACTTCTTTTCTCATTATAATTTCCACCACCCAGCATTTGACCATGAGTGCCCTGGAATTGACCCATCCTCATAAGCCCTCTTCCTTCTTGGGTGTTAAATGACAATAAGGCTCTTGCCATTCCCTGCTATTTCAGACATATACTTTCAGGGCTGCATCTTGGATCTTGTCATCATCTCAAATTCTTTCACTTTCAAAATCCTCATTCATGAGTTCCTTTTCTCCCAACTTGCTTTACAGTCACTTCCACTATGACAGCTTTTCAACTTCATCAGGACCTCCAGTACCCTGGACCACCTGCATTTCCAAATCCATCCATCCCTTTATTCAGTTCCTTCTATATACAGCTTCAACTCCTACTTTCTGTTTTATTTTTGCCTACTGCCAAGCAACCAAGAGATGCTAGGAAAAATACTGCATGATAGGGCAAATATAATCCATTAAAAATATATGGTCACCCAATTTAAATGGACCCATAACCTTGCTCAGCAATTCTACTACACTCTTGGTACTGGAAATGTCACCTAAAGACCAACAACATCGGTATCACCTAGGAACTCAACAGAAATGAAGAATCTTGGGTCTTATCTCAGATCTACTAAATCAGGATAGAAATTTTAAACAAGATCCTCAGCTGATTCACATGCGTAAGAAAGTTTCAAAGCACTATACTAGACCATCTATTATCTTTTTCTCTTATGTAATCAAGATCTTCATCTCAGCTGGATTCTTCCCATGGAAAGAAGACATGCTCAATGCCTATAACTACACATCTCCCTTGAACTACTGTTCTTTCTCTTCCGTCATTTATGGCCAGCTTACTCAAAAGAGATATGTATAATCACCAACACCATTTCTTCCTCTAACACTCCTCTGAAGCAAATTCCTGTCTGGCTCCAATTCTTATCACTTTATGGAGACAACTTTTGATAAGTTTGCTGGTAACATCCATGTCACAATACCTAATGCATGTTTATCAGTTTTTATCTTACTTGATCTCTGATGAGCATTTTGACATTGTTAACGTTTCCTTCCTTTTCTAATAGCTGTCTTCCCTCCACTGCTACATCACACACTCTTGGTTTTCTTTCTATCCATGTAGTCACATACTCTTTCTCTGTCTCTTCCATAGGCTCACTGCCAGCCCCTCAACATTGTATTTTAACATCTAGCAGAGTGCCTGCCACCAAATAGTAAATCAATAAACAATTATTGGATGAATGAATGAATGTGTTCTGTATTGAAGAGGTGCCTATTGTACTCCAGAGGCCACTCTTCTATTTGCTATTTGTCTCTACTACTCAGTTTGAAACATAGCCCCCTGCTGTTGTGTATTAACCTTAAATCTTCTATATTTCTTGTCTTTTTAATTAGGTATTACATTTCTTAAGGATAATGCACTGAGTATTACAAATCCTTATTATTTACTCTTTTAAAAATCCTTCATAACCATTAAAAACATCCTTTTCTTCAGTAGCATTGATAGTGCATGGAAAGGAGAGAGAGCCTGAGAAGATGAAAAAAGTTATTCATTTAATTTTTCCAGAAAATTGTTTGAGAAATAAAAGCCATTGGCCTGTGTTGTTGAATGATACATGCTAAGCCATCTTACAGATTTCAGACCCATAGATATTGTAATTGAAATAGATTTGAGCAATCATCCACCCAACCTCTTCATTTCCAAACTAGACAATGGAAACCCAGACAGACAAAATCATCTGGTACATGCAGCAGTTTTTGTAAGATAAAATGGATGTAACAGAAACAGTATGAGCTATTCTTTAAAGTCTGTCTCTGAAAATCATAATGAAAACTTTTTTCTATCAGAAGTAATTCTTTCACAATTCTAGGAAAATAAAACCAGGCAAGCAAACATATTTGGCACCCAAACTAAGTTGGGCTTTCTAAAACCAGGTACGTTTCCCTGAAAGCTTTGGTGTCTATGTAGAAAATGTTTGATTTGGTAGTAGGTAGTAGGAATATCCCAGTACGTATGCCTATTTCTTCAAATTGTTGTTTTCTCATATACCTAATAATTAATTAAATTTACAAAGGATAACCCGATTGAAGTAATGTTGATAATTCTGCATCATTGTGAATCAGTGTCTGTCACTCTTCTGAACTGCGTGGAAGGCTGAATCATATGGAAGCAGTAAAAACTTCACCAAAAATGTATTGGTGAGATGTTCTCACTTCATTTTCTGAAAGTATGGATCCAGTATCCAATACAATTTCCATCAATGTTGAAATTCACCAGCGAAGGAAGAGAGAATATTACACATCTGCACTGTAACAGCCTCGCCACTTAAAAGGTGACCTGTGCCACCAGTGGTATCTGCCTCGTCTGGAAGTTTGTCAGAAATGGGACCTGGAAATCTGTTCTTTAAAAGCCTTTCAGGCAATTCTTGTATATGCAAAAGCTTCAGAAACACTGTGTCGAAACACAAGTTTCTATAACATCAATTAGCTCACCATGTGGAGGTTGTACTGATTCAGATGCAGTTTTGTTAGGCAATAGGAGAAAGAAATAGTGAAATGAGAATCATAAACTTTAGCAGAAAGGAAAAAATTCCCTCAGCTCATCTATAGAAGAAGTAGAAACACTTTCAGAAAGCTCTATTATTATTATTATTTTCTTTTTTTTTTTTTTTTTTTTTTTTGAGACAGAGTCTCGCTCTGTCACCCAGGCTGGAGTACAGTGGTGCGATCTCACCTCACTGCTGCAAGCTCCGCCTCCCGTGTTCATGCCATTCTCCTGCCTCAGCCTCCTGAGTAGCTGGGACTACAGGTGCCCACCACCACGCCTGGCTAATTTGTTGTATTTTTAGTAGAGACGGGGTTTCACCATGTTGGCCTGGATGGTCTCGATCTCCTGACCTCGTGATCCACCCTCCTTGGCCTCCCAACAGAAAGCTCCATTTTTAAAAAAATTAAAAATGAATGCTTCATTCAGGGCCTCCTTCCAGAAAAACACACACACTGACCTTAAAAAATTAAAAATGAACGCTTCATTCAGGGCCTCCTTCCAGAAAAACACACACACTGACCTTGGCAGTTGCATTTCCTCCTGTTCTCACCTTTAAGCAGCCCAGCTGATCAGAGCTCCTCTTCCATTTGCGTTGCCTCACTGCCTGTGTTTCCATTTTACTTACTCTGTGCATTTTTAATATTCTGTGAAGCAGCTCCAGGCATGCTGAGTTGCTGCCTGCCAGTGTCCAAGGTACCAATATTCATTTTTGTGAGTGTTCTGGTTATAAAATTGCATAAGTTGTGTGTGGTCTCCCCAGCTCTATTTCCCCCAAGAGTCTTGTTATTTTTACCATATAATTTTGCACAAAAAAGTTTTTTTTTAATTTTTCAGGAATACAAATATTGTGTATAGTAGAAATCCTAGTGCTTATATGAAATGTGAATAATTTTTTCTATAATAATAAACTACATTGATAAAAAATCAGATCTTACTTTTCTACTAGTCACATAGAAAGTTAATAGCTGCCATAAATGACTACTAATTCAAATAAGTGTTACTGTTAAATCGTGTATATGTATACTCATATCTTACCTGAATATAGCTTTTGAGCTTTGTTCCAAGAACTGTAACATCAGAATGAAAAACTTAAAAGTCACCTTATTTAACATTTTGAGACACTTAGAAACATCTATTTTTTTAATCTAGATGTTTGCAAACACACAGACACAACTGAAAAAACACTTAATAGAAAAACGGATGTAATGCAGTTAACAATGTCTGTTAATAAGTAGGCACCAGGAGGAATGCAGAATTTACAAATTGAGCACTCCAGGTTAAAAAATATAACTGAAACCAAAATGGAAATAAAAATAATATTCAATATTATATTTGAACGAATCAATATCATTCAAAGAAATCTAGTCATTTAGATCTTGCACATCAGAAAATGAAGGCTAAATTTTCTTAAAAGTTACTTGTTCTGGCAAGAATATACCATCCGTATTTCCTTAAAGTGTAATTTAAATTTTCTAATTGAAAAAACTTGTATATATTTATTGGGTACAACATGATGTTCTGAAATACGCATACATTGTTGAATGGCTCAACTAAGCTAATTAACATATGTATCATCTCACATATTTTTTGTAGTAAGAACATTAAAAATCTACTCAGCCATTTTCAAAATACAATACAATATTATTAACTATAGTCACCATGTTGTACAATAGATTTCTTGAATTTATTCCTTCTAACTGAAATTTTGTATCATTTGGCCAACATCTTTCCAACCCCCGACCCCAACCACTGATAATAACCACCATTCTTTTCTCTAACTCTATGAGTTTAACACTTTCAGATTTCAAATATAAATGAAATCATGTGGTGTTTGTCTTTCTGTGCCTGGCTTATTTCATTTAACACAACGTCCTCCAGATTCACCAATACAGTCACAAATGACAGAATTTCCTTCTTTTATAGGGCTTCACACTATTTCATTGTGTATATGTGTCACATTTTCTTTATCTCTTCATCCACTGATGTACACTTAGGCTGATTCCATATCTTGGCTATTGTGAATAATGCTGCAATGAACATGGGCGTGCTGATATCTCTTCAAAATATGAATTTCATTTTCTTTGGATATATATTTAGTAGTGAGATTTATGATGTTAGGGATCAAGTTCATTATTCTGCATGAGGATATACAGTTTTTCCAGCACTGTTTATTGAAGAGACTGCTGTTTCCTCATTGTGTGTTCTTGGCACCTTTGTCAAAAATCAATTGAGCATAAATGTGTACATTTATTTTAGGGCTCTCTATTCTGTTCCATTGGTCTATGTGTGTTTTTTATGTCGGTATCAGACTGTTTTGATTATTATAGCTTTGTAGTATATTTTGAACTCAGGTGGTATGATGCCTCCAGCTTTGCTCTTTTTGCTCAAGATTGCTTTGGCTATTCAGGGTCTTTTGTTGCTGCATATGAATTGTAGGATTGTTCTTTTTCTATTTCTGTGAAGAATGTCACTGGTATTTTGATAGGGATTGCATTGAATCTGTAGATTGCTTTGGGCAGTATGGACATTTTAACAACATTAAAGATAACTTTGGATAGTATGAACATTATAACAATATTAATTATTCCAATCCATGAACATGGGATATCTTTTCATTTATTTGTGTCTTCTTCAATACAATTCTTGTTTAATTTACTGTCAGGCTAGTCCGATTGGTAGATTATACAATATAATAATTTACTTGAAAAATAAAAGAACCATACATTTTAATAGATCTAACAATCCAGAAGAAATAATTTTATGATTCATGGAATTAAGAACATTTTGGCCGGGTGCAGTGGCTCATGTCTGTAATCCCGGCACTTTGGGAGGCCAAGGTGGGTGGATTACTTGAGGTCAGGAGTTCAAGACTGGCCTAGCCAACACGGTGAAAGCCAGTCTCCACTAAAAATACAAAAATTAGTCAGGCATGGTGGTGTGCACCTGTAATCCCAGCTACTCGGGAGGCTGAAGCAGGAGAATTGCTTGAACCTGGGAGGCGGAGGTTATAGTGAGCCGAGAATGTGCCATTGCACTCCAGCCTGGGTGACAGAGTCAAATTCCGTCTCAAAAAAAAAAAAAAAAAGGAATGTTTTGTGTTGGAGGCAACTTCAGAGACTCTCTAGTTCAACATTTTTTCCTTAAGGATTACTTAAAAATGTTTCTGACAGATAGTGACCCAGCTTCTTCTTGAACACAAACACTACAGATTTGTGTGTGTGTGTGTGAGAAACTCTATTTGGGGGAATGCTTCATTTCTTAGTTTTTCCTTCCATTAAGACAAAACATGACTCCTCATATCTTCTAGTTATTAATCCTAGTATTACTTCTTTATAATGTTACATTGATGAATCTAATTCTTTTTCCATAGATTGCTTTAAGTGTTTGAGATAATTATGATTAGATTCCTCAGCCTTTGAATTTTTCAACTGTCCATCATCTGTCTCTATTTTTTTAAACTATAAATAATGTTCAGTCATCACCACCTGCTAGCCCTTTTCTGTATGTGGTTCAATTTAAAGTCAATGTATTTCTAAAAATGCAGCATTAGAATTAAACACAAAATTAAAGATGTGATCTTTCTGATAGGGGGTACAAATATTCTGTTATCTGCCTACTTCTAGACTAGTAAACTTCCATCCAAGCTGTTTAGTGTTAGCTGTTTTTAAATTTACCATATTAAAATACTATTCATAAGTTCCTTACAGTTATCTAAAACCTCCAGGATTATTACTAAATTATTATAAATTATTACTATGCTATTAACTTTCTGATACTGTGTAAGTTAATAGCCGTTTGTAATGCTATTAAGGATATTGAGACTGTCTTCTCACCCATCCACCCCGCTAAAAAAAAGCTGAAAGTGGTTCATTAAGAAAACTTATTTTGGGCTGATTATCTTCCCTACTCTTTTTCTTGGAACGAGGCAATGTAGACGGTCATGTTTTTTCCCACCATATAATTATTTCATGCACATTACTTTACCTGGCCTACAGAAATATCCATGAGGATCTTTACTAAAATATTTGTATAAATAAGATTTAAAGCATTTGTTCAATCTATCAATATAGTATTACTTGAAAGAAAAGAAAATGGGAAGGAAGGAAGGAAGGAAGGAGAGGGAGGGCAGGAAGGAAGAAAACAGGAGGAAGGGCAAACATGTGTCAGGTTTCAAAAGATTGGATGTTAGTAAACCCTTAGCAGCCCCTAAAGATCCTCGCTTTCTTTCTAAGTGTTCATTAAATAGGCAGTTTAAAAAAAAAGTTAAAGCAAACACATAAACAAAAAACAAAGAAAACAAATAAAAAGTTAGTACTTTTTATAAAGCATCACATTTCCAGATTAATAACCTTGGTTAAAAACTTTGCATTCTTGTTCATTTTCAATTTTTGTACTCAAAGAAGTATAGCCTTTGAGAAAAAGGATACAAAAGTCACAGACAAAGGTAAACCTCCTAGGATCACCCCTTGAAAGAGAAAGCCAAGCCCTCACCCCAAAATTCACTTGACCGCCACTTTTGGACAGGGAACTGAACTAAAGAAGTGACTAAAATTGCAGTAGGTAGAAATATATTAGCAAGCAGAACTATTTGCACATTGTATGTAGCCAATTAGTTCGTATTCTGAATAGCACTTTTTGAAGAAGAACAAGTCACAGTATCATGATCTTTTCTTTAGATCCCTTTCATTTGTCATTTTTGCCTTGGGACAATCTGAGCTAATCCTCAATCAAGGCAATAATGTTAGATAATGTTTGTGATTTTATTTCTCAGGTAAAATTTCAAATACCTAACATAATACATATTATATTTAGGATTATTAAGGAGATATAAAATAGCATTTAGGTCTTGTTATCTGATTCTACATGTGATTCTTAAAGAACCCAGCTTTGCTACCAAAGGGAGGAAAGTATTTTATTACTTAGAGAAAATTCAAATTTGAGTCTTCTCAGTGCAAAGTCAAGTTGAGGGTCATGTAGTCATGGGAGATTGGTTGATGGTCAAGAAGGCTTTCAAAGTTTTAGAATTATGTAGAGAGTGTGTTGACTTGTGTGAACTGAAAATAGCAGGACACAGATTATAGATAAAATATAATAGCAAAATGATGGTTAAGAACTTGTACTATAAAGTTAGACTATCTCAGTTTAAATCAGAGCTTCACTACTTACTTTGTCACACTAGGCAGGTTATTTTAAAATCTCTATGCCTAAATATACCCACCTGCAAAATGGGATAATAATGCTACCAACCTCATGTATTGTTCGGGGGATTAAAATGATTTAATGCACATAAAGTACTTAAACAGTATCTAGTATACCATAAACATTCAATAATGGTAAGCTGTATTCCTACAATTTTAACCATGTAACTTATGCTTTTAAAAAGAGTAGACAGAAAGACATATAAATCTGTGTACAATGTTTTGCAATGTCTACAATGGTTTATACAATAAGTTCCAATTGTTTATTCAATGGCTTTTGTAATTGTGTATAAAAGCACATGTTGCTTTTATAATCGGGGTAGGGTAGATGGGTAGGTATTTAGCAAAAATGTTTGTTATTCTTCTTTACTCCAGAGTTTTGTCTTTGGGGTTATATGTGTATTAAGATGATATTTAATGATCGGCTTTGTCAGTGGTAACTAGGCACAACAGCAACAGAAAAAAAAAAACCAGCTTATGCAACTCAAACTCACATGAGACTGATTTGTGTCAAAGAACCAACAGAGTAATTTATGAGGCTCTGACTGCCAAACAGACTGATATTCATGTTGGCTATTCAACACATTCTCTTCTTAGTAGAGAAATTTACTCCAGAAATGACATGAAGATCAAGCTGCCTGGTGAGTAAGAACTGGGAAGAAATCTACAGCAATAGCCCCGCTCACGCAACCAGAGGTTCTACCAGTTAGTTAGGATAACTTCTTCCCTGAAGGGCCATGAAGACATACTCCTTCAGTCTTTTCCAAGTTTTCTTTTCAGTTATTGGATAATATCAACATCAGTGTCTTCTGTTTACTTCAGAGAGAACAGCTCTAATCATTTGTCTTCAATTGCAATTGACCTCCTATCAAGAAAGCTGTGACTGTACCTCCTAAGACACTAATGGAACCCTTGGTTCACCATGGTTCCCAAAGAGTAAAGATAATGTCTCTAAAGAAATGATCCTATCCCATTCATTATTTGCTATGCTGTGCCATAAGATGTATCGCTAAATGTCTTTACACATAATCACAAAATAGAGAATTAAAGATATCTCTAACAAAGATATACAAATGCACATGGATGGAAATGTTTATAAAGTGATGAATTCAACAACAATCTCAGTATATCTGAGTACCTTCATTATTTCCAGAAGCTCTACTAATCTTAAATTCTGCAGATGCATAAAAATTTATTCTGAAATCTGAAGGTGTTGAATTCACCTCATGAACTCACCCTACCTGCCTTCCATCACAGACCACAGATTGAGCAGCTCATCCTTCTAAAAGATAAGAATCTGAAAATCCATACACTTGATAGGAGAAAGGTACAAATGAGATGCATGGAAAAATATGTCCACAGACAAATTAACTGACCAAAATACAATGGGAGGAGAGAGAGGTTAACACTGGCCCAGTGAGATTTCAGCCTCAACAGCGTTAGACAGTATACTGAAATATTACAACAATGATATGGCTCATGCTGAATCACAAGAAAAAGAATATCTGAGTAATTATTCTGAATGTTCTTCATTTTAAAAAATTACATGCAGAAATATTCAGAAAATTCTGGAAAATTAACACTATTTTTTGTATGTTTGTAAATATTTCCCAAAAAATCTCCAGGATGTATGGTCTTCTCATTTTTGATTTGGTTAAATATGCCAGTCACACTTCAACCAAAGCTGTTTGCATATTACACAAATAAATCTTAATACCCCCCACACACTTGCATTTGAGAAAATGTTCAAATACCAGATGAAGCCAACTGTTAAATAACAAATCATAATATTTGTTAACTAACTTTTAAATTGACCTGCTGTTTTTCCCCTCTAAGCTAAATGAGTTCCCTGTATCATTATTTTGCATGTGCTCGAGAAACACATTGTGTAATGTCTACAAAAACATGGCTGAAGGTTTTTAAGTTCTTAATTTTAAAAAAACTAGTGACACTACTGGAGAAATAAACATGATGTCTAGGAACGGGCTCTTTTAACAAATATGAGGAACAATTTTCAAGTTGTTGTAAGTGATTCAAAATTCTCAACTTACATAACACTGATCACTTTGCAAAGAGTTTAGGAAACATAACACATTCAGCTTTGGACATTTCACAAGGCAAAATGTCAGATCCCCTCAAACCAAATATGATAAAGGCAAGCACTTTATTTTCCATAGATCATAATACAAAACAGTTCATGGATTTCAAAGGGAAACTAGGGGTCCCAGTGTTTTTGTGTGTAATGGGCCAGATGCTGCTTCTGTGCCCAATTTTGGGGCAACCTCCCTGAGAGATTTTTATGCAATTCCCTAAACTGGATGAATATTTGTTCTCCTAGACTCTCACACCAGTTTATTTTCCCAGTGGTAAAAAATATTTTTTGTGTGCCTACTTGTGTACTTCATCTCTTCCTTAGTAGATGGGATGCTTTTAACAGCTGAAACCCTGTCCTATTCATTTATAACAAGGCTTCCTAGAGGTTTTCCATTGGCAGAGATATTCAGTAGTTTACCTTTCAACCCCCCAGCCACCTCATGCTTCATTTTATTCCTCGCTCATTTTGATATCTTTGTACATCCTGCTCCTCTTCTCCAAAAGATTGCTCATTTCCCACACTCTATTAGCCTCGTTCACACACATACTCTACTTCAGCACTTCTCATGTTTACGGTACTTTGTTCATACATCTGTCTCCCCGTCTCCAATTTGTTAGCTCATTGATGATAGAAAACAAATAAAATTTTATTTCTCTTTACCTAGGGCCAGGTGCATAGTGGTCATTCAATAAGAAAACAAGTTACTATAATGGTTAAGAAATCAGGCTCTGGGATCAGACTAGACATGTAAAACTCCAGGCTTTGCCCTTTCTAGTGGTATGAACTGGACCATTTAAAAAATTTCACTAAGCCTGTTTCCTCATCTATAAAATGGGGCAAGTTATAGAGTCTACCTTATAGAGTTGTTGGGAAAATACAATGAGAAAAAATAAAGCAGTTAGGAAATGCACAATGACTCTTAGATATTAATACATTCATGGAATTAAATGTAATTTCATAACCTCTGCCAAATCACCTATACTCTAGGATGCTATATCCTCAATAAAAAATAATAATATGAAGGGTATAAAAAACTTTTATTCTTATGCCATTATAAAAAAATTAAAATGTTATTAGCTAGAAGACAGGACCAGCTACTAAGTAGTTAATACATGTTTAAAATGCTTTCAGCCGGGCGCAGTGGCTCATGCCTGTAATCCCAGCACTTTGGGAGCCTGAGGCAGGGCAGATTCCTTGAGCCCAGGAGTTTGAGACTAGCCTGGGCAACATGGTGAAACCTCGTCTTTACAAAAGATGCAAAAAAATAGCCAGGCATGGTGGCGCACACCTGTAATCCCAACTACACAAGAGGCTGAGATGGGAGAATCTCTTGAGCCTGGGAAGTCAAGGCAGCAGTGAGCGAAGATCGTGCCACTGCACTCCAGCCTAGGCAACAACTCTGTCTCTCTCTCTCTCTCTCACACACACACACACACACACACACACACACTCTCTCTCTCTCTCTCTCTCTCTCTCTCTATATATATATATATATATATATATACATATGCGGTCTGTTTTAAATATTTTAATTAAGACAAATTATTTCCTTCACTTCAAATTTGCCTTAAAAAAGAAAGAAGAATATATTAAAATAAACCAATATAACAAAGGAAGTCCATTTTAAAGCTGTATGTTACATTTCTGTTTTCACCATGAAGGAATAACTGGCACCAGATTGATCTTCCCATCACAGAAAACTAGAATGTAGAAAAAATGTATTTGTAAAATGGCTTTCAAACATTTGGCAGCTGGCTGGGAAGGACTGTGGTCTTCAAGAAAAGAGAAACAAATGAAATGATTTCTCTGATCATCCTGGCTTTCTATCTTGCTATCTTGAAGGCTTTACTGAAAACCAGCACATAGCTCAGATACCCAGAAAGGGCATGACATTCTCCATAAGCTGGAGAGAAATGATGAGAGGGAAGGGAGGGAAAAGGAGAGGGAGGGAGGGAGAGAGGCAGGCAGGGAGGGAGGGAGAGAGGGAGAGAGAGAAAGAGAGAGAGAGAGAGAGTGAGAGAGAGAGAGAGAGAGAGAGAGAGAGAGAGAGAGATCGATCTCGGAACTCAGGAAAGCAAAAGCAGCTAGAATTTGTGGAGCTATGTACCTGAGAAAACTAGGAAAATACCTCCAGAAATCTTCATAAGAGTCTTCTTAAGCCTTTGGCTGAACTCTAACCTGCACGTGCATAGGGTGAGACTCTGAGATTGGATAAAAAACAAGCAGTTGGAAAAGAACAATTATTTCTGGAGCTTAACAAGTAGGAGTTATATCTGTTCTAACCAATCAGTGTAAAGGAAACTTGTTGATCACTAGGGCATTCAGTGGACATTCATGAAAGACTATGTTTCAGAGGAGGACTAAATTAAGCCTATACCCAACTCTACATAAAGTAATAATATAAAGCATGTGGAATAGTATTAAAAAATTCAAGGACCAAATATACAGAAAAATCTGCAGACTTAGAATAAGCAAAGATTTCTTAGCTAGGGCATAAAATGAATGAACAATGAAAGGAAAACAATATGTATCAATTAGACTTCATCAAAATGTAGAATTTCTGCTCTTGAAAAGACACTGTGAAGAAAATAAATGGCAATTTAGAGACTAGAATAATTTTCAATATATCAACAGAGAGGTGGAATACAGAGACTAGATAATCTTTAGAAGATTTGTATCCAGAATGCATATATTTATATATACATAGTCAAATATTACAAATGGCTCATTAAAAAATAGGTCAAAGATTTGAACAGATATTTCACAAAACAAGATAAAGGAATAGCCAATAAGCATATGTTCAATATCATTAGCTATCAGGAAAACACAAACCAACAGTGACACTTCACACATATATAATGGCTAAACTGAGAGTCCTGAGTGTTGGCAAGGGTATGGAGCCATCCAAACTCTACTATATTGCTAGTGGAAAAATGATAAAATCACTTTGGAAAGCAGTTTGACAAGTTCCTGTAAAGATGTACATCTATACATTTACCATGTGACTTGGTAATTTTAATCCTAGAGAAATAGAAACCTATGTCTACACAAAGAATTGTAATTCAATGTTTATAGCAGATTTAAACATAATAGTCAAAAGTCTGCAAACAGTCAAAATGTCCCACCTCAAGGGAATAGATGGCAAATTGTGGATATTCATGACATGGAATACTAGTCAGCAGGAAAAAAGGAACAAGCTACTGTTTTGTGCATGTATCTTGTACAGGAATGAATCTCAGAAATATGCTGAGCAAAAGAAGACAGAAGCAAAAGAGTACATACTATATGATTCTATTATATAACCTTAGAATAGGCAAAACTAATCTAAAGTTATGTAAATTAAACCTGATTGCTAAAGGTGGGAGACTGCAAACAGTCATAAAGAAACTATTTGCAGTGACAAAAATATTCTGTACCTTGATTTAGAAGGTGGTTATACAGATGTATACATTTGTCAAGTTGAACTAAACATTTAAAAGAGACACATGATTATGTGCAATATTGTAAGTTGTATTTGATTATCTATAAGCTATAGTTCAATAACATTAACATTTAAGTTTTCATGAAGAAAATCCTCTTGTGTGAATAAAGAAATAATCCTCTTGTATGAATAAAGGAAAAAATAATAAATAAGATTTTCTTAAATTTATCTTTTTTCTTTTTCTACAAAAAAGGCATTATATCATAGCTATTTAATACAAAGCTTTAGGAATGGAAAAGACCTGTGGTCAAAATCCTAGCATTGTACTTTACTAGATACAGACTTTTGGCCAAGTTACTTTACCTCCCTATACCTCTGCTTTCTCATCTGTAAAATGTGAATAATATTACCTCCTGGGAGAATTATTGTACAACTTCATTGAGACAATGCCTCCAAAGCATTTAGCACAATGCTTGCATATAAGTACTCATTACCTATAGCCATTATTATTTTAAATGCCATTATTAGTTATTTCATCATAGCATGATTTCAGGAGGAACTTATAAGTAAGCATATACGTCAAGTCTATTTATCAAGCCAAAGTAAATAATAAATAATGACTTGATCTTATAATGATATCAATAACTAAAGGCTTAAGCAACAGCTCGAACTTTTAATATCACTTGTTTGCCCCCACTGAAATTACAATCAATGAAAGAAGAATATGGATTTTGATTTCTGAACAAACAAGAATTACTCAGCAGCTCAGTATAACAAAACATAGAACTTCATCTCCAGCAGAGGATGTCCCTGTTGCTAACTAGAATTTTCACACCTTAATAGCTGCAGTGTCTAAAGCTCTTTTTTAGATCATTGTATTAATGTTGCTGGCTTAGATGTCAATTCAATACATGGCATGGAAAAACATTGTCCAACGCAGCGTTTCTTACCCATGGGAGTCTATAAAGCCCAGGGCTTTTCAGGAGTTCTGCTACTTACCTGAAACTGTAGGCAAAGCTGGGCAAATGTATTTATGAATGTATTTTGAGGATGTGGTTATAAGTCAGACATTTAAAAGAGTCTATGAACCAAGCAAAGATAACTTAAAGCATACTTGAGAGACAAACACATTAGTAGCCCTGAAGGTTCCCCAGAAAATATCCAGGAAAACGTCTGAACACCACTATTGTTTTCCTATTTTTAAAAATGGAATTTCATTTGCTATAGTAAAGTGTCTTGGAAATTCCCTTGATGTTGATGATACTAGATTAGTCCATGTGACTGAGTGATCATACGAAGGGTAGCCCCAGATTAAAAGCATTGCATAGAACAAGCTGATCGGAAAGGAATTCTATTTTTAGCCTCCAGCTTTGTCATATGTCTAATTTTCCCTGTGGTTACAGTGGCCCGTTGCCAGTGTCCTCTGAGGATGACTGGGCTGAGGAAAATAGGGATTCGCTTCCTACTGCTGACCACCAACAAAGGCAGGATATATTGGAAATCCTGGCATGAGATGCTATTCTTTATTATGAATATTATTACGTTATTTCATTATTTTTTAGGTGCTGAAGGGCACAGTCTATTTTTGAAACACAGAGGAAGAAAAACAGAAATCTCATATGCTACAAATTTGTAGACTTCAGAACCCAAACAGGACTAACATGCTTTCTCCTTCGCCTTGGAGGTGGAGGGGGTGCTTTGAAGGTTGTCCTGGCATGTTCTAGGCTCTGGACTCCTAGAAAGTTTAGTGACATAATGGGCACCTGTACCTTCATAGGGTTTATCTACCACCCTGTGAAAGTTGTCAGAAGGAGTCACTAATGTTAAGAAAATCCTGACAGATAGGGCCAGTGAAGGCCATGAAGAGAGGATTCTCACACTTGTATGCTTGATAACAACAACAACAAAAATGAGACAATCCACAACCTTCACAAAGACCACAATAACTTTACACAAAATATACTTCTGCCAGGACATCTGCCCAGCAACTGCCTCCCTAACCTCGACTGTCGTCACTCTTGTTATTGATCTTTGTTACAAAGGATAATTATTTCAAAACAATTAAGTAATACTCCTGAGTTTTTCCCTTTAAAAACCTTTGTCTTCCTTTACCTCCCTGAATATGCACATATTTACTATGGCATGCATATATTCCCATCGCAATATTTTATTCCCAAATAAGTGTTTTCTTTTAGAAAGCCTCTGTTTGTTTTTTAGGTTGGCAATCCTTTCAAGTGCATATATCTTACCAAGACTTCCAATAGATTTTCCATTTCCTGTTCATCCATTCCAATAATAACAGTATCACCCATATAGCTGACCAGTGTAATGTGCTGCAAAATACCAAGGTGACCCATATCCCTTCAGACTTTATTCTGATTATGGGAGGAAAATTAGTTTGGCCTTGGGACAAGACTATAAATATATACTGTTTTCTATCCCATGCAAATTTGATTCTGTACTGTTTCTGGTTGTCCTTCCTAAGAGTGATGGAAAAAAAAATGTATTAATTAAGTCAGTGGTCACATGCTATGTACCAGAAGCCATATCAATCTGCTCTAGCAAAGATACAGTATCTACCACCACTGCTGCCATCAAGAGGCTTCTAGTTGATGGAGTCTGTGATATCCTACTGTCGTTCAACAGAGTCTGTGCAGCATTGTAGCAGGCCCGAGAATGGTGGGTTAAACAGAGACATGATGGGGATCATCATTCTTGCAGCTTTTAGCTCTTTAAAGTTGGCATCAATTCTGTCATTCCCCCTGGAATTCAGCAGCATTATTTTTCATTTACCTCGAGTAACATTTACTGCTTTTGGTAGACAGATCTGAGTTTTTATACACACATAAATTTTTGTAACTATACTGTATGTAGGATACAGGATAATTCCAACACACCGAAGAATTCTCTTGTGCCGTCTCTTTCATTCCAATCCCCCACAACATGCACACATAGACACATAGACACATATCTAACCTCTAACCTCTGGCAATCACTGAGCTATTCTCTCTCTTGCCTTTTCCAGAATGCCATGTAAATGTAATCATACACAAGTAATTTTTTGAAACTGGATTTTTTCACTTAATAAAATGCATTTAAAATTAACCCAAATTGCATATAACAATGATTCATTCCTTTTTCATTGCTGAGTAGTATTCTATTGTGCAGATGCACCATAGTTTATCCGTTCATCTACTGAAGGACATTTAGATTGTTTCCAGTTTGGTAAAATTATACATTTTAGAGCTGTTTTAAACATTTATGTACTGATTTTTATGTGAATCTATTTTAAAATTTTCCTGGGTTAATGTATTTATCATCTATTGCTATGTAACAGATTATGCCAAAACTCAACAGCTTAAAACAATATGAATTTATTTCTCTTTATTTCTTTGATCAGGAGTCTGGGCATGGGATGGCTGTGTCTTCTACTTCAAATCTCTCACAGGATGCAATCAAGTTTTATCAACTGGCCTAGGGAAGGATTCAATTCTTAGGTCTTCCATGGTGGTTAGTAAGACTGTTCCATGTGGCTTTTGGATGGTCTGAACTCATTCAACATTGTCAGTGGGTAGGTTTTCTGACCTTCAGTTGCATATCCAATTGGCATGTCCACTTCTCTGAGCCTTTTGAACCCTTCCTCTACCATTTTCCATGGCAATCCTGGCATTGCTACTTCACTTAGTAGTGGCTATCACCTTTTACTTGTTTTCTTTTCTTTCTTTCTTTTTTTTGAAATGGAGTCTCACTCTATCACCCAAGCTTGAGTGCAATGGCGCCATCTCAGCTCACTGTAACCTCTGCCTCCCAGGTTCAAGTGATTCTCATGCCTCAGACTCCCCAGTAGCTGGGATTATAGGTGTGCACCACCACACGAGCTATTTTTTTGTGTGTGTATGTATTTTTAGTAGAGACAGGGTTTCACTGTGTTGGCTAGGCTGGCCTCAAACTCCTGACCTCAAGTGATCTGCCAGCCTCAGCCTCCTAAAGTGCTGGGATTACAGGCGTTAACCTGTAAAAGGAGGCCCGGCTTCCTTTTACTTGTTTCCAAAAGTCATTCTAGCAGCATATTAGTACCATCTCCCAAGGTTGCTACCAAGGTATAAAATCCTACACTACAGGAGGGATATCCTGTATCAACACACTCTACTTCATCCAACTTTACATATTATCCCCCTTGATCCACTACCCTCAAGATCCAGACCCAGATATACTACCCTGGCTAGGTCCTGCAACTCCTTCTGTCCATAGTCAGTGTCTTCCTTAACTAATTTATCACTTCCTCAGCTGGGCCAATGCCACATTGCATTTCAAATCTATTAGTCTATTGGCTAGCAGAAGAGGTGAGAGTATCATCTGAGATTAATCAAATGCAGATAAACCTCATCAGTAAAAAGTGGGCTACTTCTGCAGGGCCAGAATGTCCAAAGAGATTCAAGACACTCATGTGCATCAGCCCAGGTATAACCAACCCAACTTTCAGGGTCTCACTCTTTCCCAATAAAGGCCCTGACGATGGCATAATAGATCTGTTGGGATTAAGAACTTGACTTTCTCTGGAGCTTAGCTACTCTTGAAATTAAGTTCTATGTTATAATCACCTTTTTCTGTCCACTAGCTAGAGATGTGAAACTTTATATGTTGCTATGGAGACTGGCTTTCAAGCTTTACCTTATATTGATTATTCATCACAGGCTTTTTGTTATTTTCTAATAAATTGATAACCATCATAAATAAACATCCAATTCCACAGTATTTATAATTAATACCCTCCTCCAACTTCTAAAATGGATAAAACAGTGTTTCTCTAAGGACATTTTCTTTCACTGATTTCCCATCACAGTCAGCTTCCTGGGTCCACTTTCAGTGCAACTTCTAATACCAACTGTCATAGGTCAGGTTCACTAGGAAATAAACATTGAGATTCTGAGTTTTATGTGTAGCAAGTTCATTGGAGAATAAGGAAAGCAGGATTTGGGATAGAGAAGTGTTTAACTGTGAGGCAATGCAAGAGATGCCTCAACCAATCCAGTCGGGGGTTTTAGAACTTGGAGAGTCCTTCAGAGTGATCCCCTTGGAGCAAGAGGACAGAGCTTTGTGCTCTTATGTCAACCAGTCATTGGATATGGGTCAACCACAGGGATGGAGCATAACCTGGGATGAGGCAGTTTTCTTACACTGAGGACAGTTTCTAGAGAATAACTATGCTGCTGGCCATTAATGGGCAACACCTCTGGCAGCTAGAAGAATGAGTTCCTTGGTTCTGAAGTGGGGGTCAGGGCAGTGTTTACTGAAAGGCAAAATCCCAAATTGTTTTAAGTACTTATAACTTATGCAGATGGAGTTAAAGAATGTAATAGAGAGCCTTATTTCCATTGGAGATTTGGGAATTCCTCTTGACAATAGGCATTTACACTAGGGGGTAGGGGTGTTGAAGGTAAAGCATGTGTGATGGTCCTGGGGTAGGAAGAGCTGGGCAACTCGAAATCTAAGATTTCTGGAGCACTGATTTCAATTGGGAGAGGATGAGAGTAAAGATGTAGGAAGGTAAAGGTCACATGGAAATTTATAGACCACTTAAGAGATTTTGGATTTTATCAATGGCAATAAACTACTGAAGAGATTAAAGCAAGAAAGTGTCATTATTATTACTGCAGTTAGAAAAGCTCACTTTAGCTAGCTATTGTATGCCAAATGAATTATAGAGGAGCATAAATAGAAGTTAGGGAACTAAGAGAGTTTGTAATAACCCAAGTTAGAGATGTTGATTTAGTGTGACAGAAATAGGTTTGGAATAAGTGGACTGATGTGATATGGATTTTGGAAGAAGACTTGTTGCTTAATTACAAATGGAGAATGAGAGAGTGAACCTTGTTAGGAATGACGTCCCAGTCTCTTCCTCCTCTGTAGCAAAAGAGAATGAGGAGAAATGACCTATAAGATGAACTAAAAATAAAGAATTTTACATTATGTATTCCCTCATAAAGATACTAGATTGGTACCAAGAAAGAAACAACATAGTTTAAGGACATTATTTTTTTCTAGACTCAAATTGGGCAGAAAAGAAAAATATTTTGTCTAGCTGAGCCACAAACTGTTTCACCTTCACTTTTGAAGAAACTTTAGGCCGGGCACTGTGGCTCATATCTGTAATACTAGCACTTTGGGAGGCTGAGGCGGGTAGATCACCTGAGGTCAGGAGTTCGATACCAGCCTGGCCAACATGGCAAAACCCCGTCTCTACTAAAAATACAAAAATCAGCCAGGCATAGTGGCGGGTGCCTGTAATTCCAGCTACTCAGGAGGCTGAGGCAGGAGAATCACTTGAACCCGGGAGGCTGAGGTTGCAGTGAGCCAAGATCACGCCACTGCATTCCAGCCTAGGTGACAAGAGCGAAATGCCTTCTCAAAAATAAATAAATAAATAAACAAACAAACTTTAGCAAATCCATGAGGTTTTCCTTATCTGCTGGTTTGTTTAGGACTAGGTTTGGAGACTTACTGTAGGTGGCATTTAGAGAGATTTTATGAACAAACGTGATCCCTGCCCTCTAGAAGCTTATTAGAGAAATGAAGTTATCTATACACTGGATGTGTAGTGAGTATCCTAGAGAAGGAAAAAGAGGAGGGAAGGCATGGGCTGTTCTTATAGCTATCACTCCCGTGTTTATTTCCTCCTTTCTATTTTTTTTTTTAAGAGAAGATAAAAATGTTTTTTAGTGAAAGAAAAATTGCTAAAAGGCCATACTGAAAAGTACATAGAAAAAAATGTGGCTTTAATGGCAACCAAAAATATCAAGTCCAAAGACTACACTAGTGTTACAGGATTCTTGGGGTGTCAATTTTTGGCCAGAAACCTCTGTGGCCAGTGGCACCTTGGCCCGGGTTTTTCTCGGGCCTGCTGGGTTCGTTCTGCCCACTTAGCCTGGTGGGCTGCGCTTAGCTCATGCTACCAGTCTGGATCCCACGCCTGCCAAGGGCAAGTCAACCACAGAGCGGCGAGGGGTGTGTGAGTGAGCATGGACTCTGGCCACTGCATAATCAGACATGCCAGGTGCTGCAGTGGGGTGGGCAGCTCCAGGTGCTGGCATGGGTGCCAGCTCTCTGTGAGGCTGTGGCTGGATCAGACACACTGCAAGCAGCTTCCACAGCTAGCACTGGGGAACGTGGTGGTGCACAGAAGCTTGGAGATGCCAGGAACCACAGGATTCCAAAGAGGGAGTCACAGCTCTGGGGAGTTCCCAGATCTGGGCTCCCCAAAGGGCTGCAGCTCTTCTTTCCTTCTCTTTACCCACAATGTGGTAAGCAAGGGACATGTTTCAACCCTGTTTGTGTTATAGCTCCTTTAGCCCCACCATTCAATGGGTTCTGAGTTCTTGTCCTGTGACCATGAAGAATGAGGTACACAGAGAAGTGGAGGGTGATCAAGGTGAAGAGGACCATGTTGAGTGATAGAAGAGCTCAGTGGAGACCTGCAGTGGGTAGCTCCTTTCTGCAGCCAGGGTGTCCCAAAAAGTGTTCGGCTCCTAGCAGAGAAGAGACCCTGAAGTGAGAAGCTCCTCTCTGCAGGCAGGTCATCCTGTCATCTCTGCAGCTCTCAGCAGAGAGGAGGCCCTGGAGAGGGTAGCTCCTCTCTGCAGCTGGTTGTCCTGACATCTCTGCAGCTCTCAGCAGAGAGGAGGCCCTAGAATGGGTAGCTCCTCCCTGCAGCTGATCATCCCAATGTCTGATGAGGTCTATCTGAGCCTGGAGCTTTTATGGGCCTTAGATGTGAGGAAGTGCATGCCAGTTGGTCCATGAACGGCCATGGGCAGGCCCAGAAAAGGTACCACAAGTTCCTACTCCAGTCTGCAGGACTGGCAACCCAGGCACCAGCCTTGAGGCCCTCCCTGGCCTGAAGGTGAGGCCTCACCAGGGACCCAGCCCCTTCCACCCAGAAACCTGTTAGCCTCCTGCTGCTGTTCATGGTGCCCAGGCTGTAGGTGCCAAGGGGTGCCTGAAGGCCAGCACCAAGCTGCTCTCAGTTTCCCCTAAGCTTCCTCCCATGCCCATTGGTGCCCAAAGTTGGCACCGTTGGGCCAAGGTGCCAGGGAGCTGGTGTGTCAGCACTGCCCTGTGTGTGCACACCTAGCCAGGCTGCAACAGTGCCTGAGTACAGCCTCGACTTTGCTTCAGAATCGGAGTGGATGCCAACAGCAGGGAGAAGCCAGGCAGTGGGAGCAGGCACTTCTGAGCCTGCAAGTGAAGGGGGGCTTTCCCAGGCCCCCAAGAGTGCAAAGATACCTGGGTTCACAGTCATGGTTTGGGCAGGTGCCACTGTGCAGGAGTGAGGCGGTGGGTGGCTAGAGTCGGACTCCTGCCTGCTCCGTGGAGGTGGAGGCCTGGGTCTACAGCCATGACTTGGGTGGCTGCAGCTGCACCTGGGAGGGTGGGCCTCCTGCCTGCTTCTGGGCCCCAGGAGCACAGAAATGCCTGGGTCTGCAGCTGTGGCTTGGGCAGCTGAAGCAGCACCTTGGGAGCCTCTGCCCTAACACAGAAGGGGCGGGGCTTTGCTTGTTTCCAGCTACCACTGGCTCCATAGACTATGCAGCCAGGCCGCACCTCCCTGCTGCAGCTGGCATGGTGGCAGCAGCTGCTCCAGATGGCCTGCCACTGTCATCACTAGAGTTTTATGTAATGGCACTTACGAGGTTATGATTTGTTTCAGGAGTTTTCTAGGAGTTGAGGTTCCCATCAGAAAACTCAGAGGCCAATAGACCTTCAGCCTTTCCAAATCCTGACTCGGTGCATCAAAGCACACGTCCAAGCAGGCTCTACCCAGCCTTCTCTTCACAAACTCTGCAGATGAATGAGTAGTATGAAGGGGAAAGAAATAAAAGGACCCGAAGTTAGGTTTATACAGTGCATGTCCAGGAGTCTACTTAGGCAGTATTAAAGGCACTGTAGTCCAGTTTTCTCAAATCCCATACTCATTCTACAACTGGCTATCTACGTAACCTCAGAAAAGTTCCCTAAGCCTCCATTTTCTCATCGGAGAAATGAGGACAATAATGTTGTTCCATTAGAGTTCCTACAAAGATTAAATGTGACCACTGATACAAAGAGTAGAGGCTTGCTCCATCAAGGCTTCTCAATACATGTTAGCTGTTATTACCAGTACCACTAGGCAGAGAAGGAGGATACAAAAGTAGTAAAACAGAGTCCTTGCAATTCATTAAGGAAAATAAAACATTCATATAAAATAATTTTATGGCCAATAGAGGTAAGTCACCATAGGACTCAGCGATATCAAACCAAAAAGGTAGGAATGAATAAGTGGAATGTTTAGGATTTCCAAGTAGTGACATTTGGTCATATAAATAGAAAAATAAAGAAGTTCACTCAACACATAATATAAATTATTCACCAAGTCACCCAAGAAGACCATAGATATTCAATAATGTCAATTACCTCTACATCTATGTTCCAGTTACTATAAGTGGTTTCATAGACTATCTTACAGGAGAAGAAAACAGGTTTGGGGATAGAATGAGTTGATACACAACAGTATTTTCTGTGAAATAACTATTAACTTGGTAGCAGCGGGATTTCTCTGTGACCTTGGTTGCTTGCAATGCATGAAGAACAGGAAGTTAATTAGCAAATGAGGCAGAGAAAAAACCATATACTGATTTTCTTTTCTACATGTGCTCAAAGGTTAGTAGGAGAGGGGAGAAAATGGACTGACAGTCCCGTGATGGTGAGCCAGACCACTCAGCCTTTGCTGTTTGGAGCAGCAGCTGTGGCACAGAGTGAGCAGCCTGTCACCAGAAGAATGCAGCAATTCCTGGGCATAGAAAAAATGTTGTGAAAGTCTCTTTAAGGGAAAATGTACACCCAGCCATTGAAAAAAAAAATGGAAACAAAACATAAATAGATTCAGAAGTGTGGTATTTTGATTGCTGAAGTTTAGGAAATGTGGAAAATAAGAAAATGGAGATGAAATTAAAACTGAAGCAAATTATCCTTTTTAATTTATCCATATACAGAAATTAGATGCTGGTGGACTCCCAGGGAAAGTTCAGATTCCCACAAATGATTCAGAGTTTGGTTTTAAGTAGCAGCCGATAAAAAGGAGCCATGTGGCTATTTTGGTGTTCGTGGTTAAGGGAGGCTTCAGGGCTACAAAACAGTCCAGTTTTTAAACCACTTTAAAATAAATAATAGAAAATGACTTTACCAACTTACCCAAATCTGTTGACATTGTTTCAGAATTCCTTAAATATCTGTGTGTAAGAAAATTCTTGTGAACTTAAAGTGACGCTTTTAATAGTATTAGTTATTTTTTGTTAAAGTGCCCAGGGACCTTGATTGCCTGTGAGATCCAAAGACTTACAATGGGCTATCCTTTCAGTAGAATCAGGAAAATCACCATTTTAAGAAGAAATTGAATTTTTCCACCTTAAAAATTCATGTACTAAATTGCATTTACAGAGATTTGAAGAGTGTTGTTCTACTGCATGTAGAAAGCCACGCAAATGATTTTGCTGCCTTAACTATTTGCCATCTCTAAGCAGTTTCACAAGGAGATTGACCTGGGATACACACCCACTCACCTGGCAGAACTCTGAATGGGGGTACTTACAGAAGGCAGCTACTATAAAAATGTTGGATTTAAACTGTTACATGTAAATAAGAAAAAGAAAAAAATGAAAATATTTTCAAATGTACTAGAAAATGAAAGTTCTGAGTGCACTAAGCTAGCTTCTTAAAAAGTTGTTTTGGTAAACAGTAATTTCAAAAGAGGCTTGAGGAGGTCCATACCATATCCCACCTCTAGAATTGCAGGATCCTCCCAAGTCAATAGGGTTCACTCGCTCGGTAAGGTATCTGGAGTCAGGACACACAGGAATCAGCCTGCTGTTCTCTTTTTCATCTCAAGGAAAGCGAAGAAAGTGCAAAGTTATTTCACTAGTCCCTGGAAGCATGCCCACATTTTTACGGAAACATCTTTAGACACGAGTCTCCAAAAAGATAAGAAGTTCTTATGCATGACTCTTCTCCACTCCTTTATCCCACTCTGAATGTGTACATTTGGAAATGATTGAAAATATGCCACAAATGTGTTTTTGACCTGGATGTCTTTGAGTTGAGGCATCCCTCCTTTGAACAAGTGCCTAAGACACGGGTTGAGCACTGTGGGTAAATGTAAATATAAATACACACTGTCCATGCATATTATGTAACATTTACATTTACCTATGGGAACCAGATGAGAGGGCAGACTGAGGATCTTAAAAGGAGATACTTCTTGGAGACAATGACTTCATAAAGAATATGTGAAGGAAATATCACAGGCAGGATAACAAATTTTGTACTTCAGAAGCCTGATGTCAATCAGCCTTAATTAAATCAAGACCTCAGGATTTCTGATGTTTCTGTGAATGAGTGAGCAGTAGATATGTTTTAAATATTGTAAAAAGGTTCCTTAAATAAAGACTTTTATGTCAGTTCAAGGCATGAAAAAGATTCAGGATATATCCAAGGACAGTTTTCCCAGTGGGACATACCACATCAATCTTTTATTGTTTCATGTCAACCTGTCTTCTTTTTTGTTTTGTTTGGTTTTATTATTATACTTTAAGTTTTAGGGTACATGTGCACAATGTGCAGGTTAGTTACATATGTATACATGTGCCATGCTGGTGTGCTGCACCCATTAACTTGTCATTTAGCATTAGGTATATCTCCTAAAGCTATCCCTCCCCCCTCCCCCCACCCCACAACAGTCCCCAGAGTGTAATATTCCCCTTCCTGTGTCCATGTGTTCTCATTGTTCAATTCCCACCTATGAGTGAGAATATGCAGTGTTTGGTTTTTTGTCCTTGCAATAGTTTACTGAGAATGATGATTTCCAATTTCATCCATGTCCCTACAAAGGACATGAACTCATCATTTTTTATGGCTGCATAGTATTCCATGGTGTATATATGCCACATTTTCTTAATCCAGTCTATCATTGTTGGACATTTGGGTTGGTTCTGTCTTCTTATAAATATTGGTAAATAGTTAACTGAGACTCAGAAATAAAAGAAAAAATATCAAAATATAAGATTACAGGCTATGTTCTAGAAATGCCACATCAAAACCATAGACAAAGCCAGCTTTACAGCTGTGAAATCATACTTAAAAAATACTTTATTTTAGTCACCAAACTCACAGATAACTATGATAATTTTGTGTAAATAGTCAATGAACACATAAGTCACCTCTATTGACTCAAGTTTATTTCCCAATTTCCATCGGAGCAATGGATGGATGATATGTGCTTAATATTTGTTAATTGTGATTGAGTTTGATTAACAAGATAAAATAGCGATTGAAAGTGAAGTTATTTTTTGTCTGCACCCATCAACTACCCATTCTCCAACTGACTTTATATGATCAAAAATATGTAAAATGTGAATCTCAGTTAAAATTGAACATAAGGTCAGGCGCCGTGGCTCACACTGTAATCCCAGCACTTTTGGAGGCCGAGGTGGGTGGATTGCTTGAGCCCAGGAGTTCAAGACCAGCCTGGACAACATGGCGAAACCCCATCTCTACAAAAAATACAAAAATTGTGCAGGCATGGTGGTATGCACCTGTGGTCCCAGTTATTCAGGAGGCTGAGGTGGGAGGATCTCTTGAGCACAGGAGGCGGAGGTTGCAGTGAGCGACGTCACACCATTGCACTCCAGCCTGGACAATGAGAGTGAAACCATGTCTCAAAAAAAAAAAAAAAAAGGAACATATTTTCCCATCCAAACATTAGCCCTCTGCCAAACTTAGAAGAAAGTGCATCTTATTCTTCTACTATAGTCTCCAAAGGCAGCCGCAAGATTATAGTTCTGAATGTAGACAGAACTGAGAACATTGTGTTCACTTTTCTGTTCTCTTCATAATCATTGCAACAGGGATAGTTATCAGTGAGAAATAGCTGGACAATCAAATGACAGTAATCACAAGAGTGTAAACAAATCAAGGAAGGCAGGAGGGTGGGGAATGAAAAATGAGGTTTTTTCTTTCAGGGAGTTCATGCACTTTTTGAACATCAGTTGAGTTTAAATAAGTGGATTAACAGGACACCAAAGATAAAACCTTGAAGATTGCTAAGGTCTCAAATAATGTCTCAGGTCACACACGGATAGAATCAGCAGGAGAAAATTTAATCATATATAATAGTTAAATTTTCTGTGTGTGTGCATGCGTGTGTGTGTGTCTGTGTGTCAAGTCAACACCAAATCTCAAAGAAATTTCTATGACTTCCCTTTCAGAAAATTTCTTACCACCTTTCTTCTATGAAGTGTTAAAATCAGTATTGTCTAAATAATTTTATTCCAAAGAAAATTGGTTCTTTGGATTGAAATCAATTGGGGACACACCAGTTCCCTGAATATCAAGACAATTTTGGCTAAAATGGGAAAGATCACCTATTATTTTTATGTAACTAACCAAAGAAACAGGTGGATGATTATGAAAATATCAGTAGCATCCAAGAAAAATAATAATCCAACATTTTAAAAGAAAGCCCAAGGAAATTCTGACACCTGAGTGCACGTCATGCGCAAACTCTATTTCCCCTTCTGCCTATCTGCATTGACATTTTACTTCACTTTCAAAGGCCCCATGTCTTTCCTCTATAGCACAACCAAAGCACCAAAGTTCATTTGCCTTCTAAATATTTCAAATTTACATTTCAACAAACGAAAACCATCAACAGAGTGAAAAGACAACCTACATAATGGGAGAAAATATTTGCAAACCATACATCTCGTAGTGGAATGAATCTCCAAAATGTCATATATGTAACTCCTACAATTCAACAGAAAAAAAGAAACCTAATAACCAGAATTTTTTGAGGAGCTAAGGGCTTGACTAGATAGTTCTCTGGAGAAGACATATTAATGCCAACAAATATATGAAAAATGCATATCAAAAGCACAATGAGATATCCTCGCACATCTGTCAGGATGGCTATTATCAGTAAAACAAAAGACAACCAGTGTTGGACGAAGATGTAGAAAAATTGGAACCTTTCCACACTATTGGCGGGATTACAAAATGGTGCAGCTGCTATGGAAAACAGTGTAGAAGTTCCCCCCTTAAAACAAAAATAGCACTACTATATAATTCAGCAATCCCAGTTCTGGATATTTATCAAAAATAATTAAATTACAATGTGGAAAAAATATTAGCACTTTTATGTTTATCGAGCACTACCTCATAGTAGTCAACATTGGAAATGACCTAAATGTCTTTTTTTTTTTTTTTTTTTTTTTTTGAGATGGAGTTTCACTCTGTTGCCCAGGCTGGAGTGCAGTGGAACGATCTCGGCTCACTGCAAGCTCCGCCTCCCGGGTTCATGTCATTCTCCTGCCTCAGCCTCCCGAGTAGCTGGGACTACAGGCACCCACCACCGTGCCCGGCTAATTTTGTTTTTGTATTTTTAGTAGAGATGGGGTTTCACCGTGTCAGCCAGGATGGTCTCTATCTCCTGACCTCCTGATCCACCCACCTCGGCCTCCCAAAGTGCTGGGATTACAGGCATGAGCTGCCACCTCCCGGCCCCTAAATGTCTTGAGAGATGAAAGGCAGATAAAGAAATGTGGTATATACATACAATGCAATATGATGCAGCCTTAGAGAAAAGAAGAAAATTCTGCAAAGACAACATAGTTGAACTTTTATGAAATAGGCCATCCACAGAAAGACGCATACTGCATGATTCCATTTCTATGAGGTACCTAAAATAGTCCTATTGATAGAATCAAAGAGTGAAATGGTGGTTGCCAGCTGCTGAGGGGAGAAGGAAATGGGGAATTATTAATCAATTGGTATAAAGTTTTAGTCAAGCAAGATGCATAGGCTCTAGAGATCTGCTGTACATTGTACCTAGAGTCCATAATAATATATTGTACACTTAAATTGTTAAAGGAGTAAGATGTCATGTTAAGTGTTCTTATCACAATAAAATGAAATAAAATTTACATTTGATTATGATGGAAATGAGATATTACAGGGTGAGTAGCTGATACCTAAAAATTCATGCAACTAAGTAAAATTTTGAAGTATAGTGTATGTTGAAGTATTTTCAAATCATTATAAAAACTAAGGAAAATGATACAGAATGAAAGTTGGCTAACAATTTAAATGAAAATCACATCCTTTAAAGACAGCAAAAAGAGATAGATGACTAAAACATAATTAAAGACTAATCATTTTAATTGCTTCTGTCTTATGGCTGGGCAAAATGAAGTGAATCCATGGAATTGTCAGGAATTCATAATCAAATTAACATCTTTGCACTTGGAGAGTTCATTGCATGACCTTATACTTCTTCATTCCCAAAGTCTGAAACCATGTCTCTGTTACGATGAAGCACAGACTTGGCCCCTGCAGCATTTTGAAATGTGTTTGGTCTGAACATGCACAGGCTATCAGAGACCCAACCTTAAAACCACAGAGGATTCTAGAATAACCTAATGCTTTCACCTGTCTCTAATCAAACCCTTTCCACATATCCAGAGTTTGGTTTTAATTTTCTAGTGCAATCAGGGAAAACTGTTGAGATTTTATATTTTTGGTCTCTACACATCAGCACGAATGGTAATACATCATCATTTCAGTTGGTTTTTATTATTAATCACCTTCCTGCTTACAAATGCCTCTTGTAATTTGTGTTCTCCAAAAGAATCCAATAAAAATAAAGAATGGGGTGAAGTAAGCAGGCTTCTGAGAAACAAAGCAGATTAAACGCTGTGCTTTCATGACCAGTAAATATTTTCCAACAGCATATATGTTTTTGAGTTGTTATAAAAGAACTCATAGCAATCATTGGAACTCATAGGGGCTCTTTGTTTGTCTGCAATTACATTCTCCTGAACTAGTGTAATACTTCTACTTTGTGGAGCCACTGTTTTGATCGTTCTGGTGAGAGGCCTGATTCTTAAACTATAACATTTCACTTGTAGATGTTTGTGGTTTCTAATATTAAATCAATTGAAAAATTAATATCAAGAGCAACTAATTTTGGTTTTGTCTCTCTCCTCTGTCTATCTGTTTCTTTTTCTCCTCCTCCTCCCCTCTCTCTCCAGATACCAACGTGCCTGTTGGAAGCAAAGTGAAATGTCTTATTAAAGTGACTTTTTTTCTATATTTTAATCTTACATATAACTTTATACACTCTTATGATGATTTTACATTTAAGAGTACCTTATATGGCATTAGTTCCTTATCTTTAGCTGTTTCATCCCGCCCATTACATTCATCCAAATAAGATTAATTAAGTCATTATTATATGCAAGTCATCCCTCACTAGCAATTGCGGGATTGACTGCAGGATGCCTGTAGATATCAAAATCCAAGGATGCTGAACTCTAGTATATAAAATGGCAAAATATTTACATATAACCTATGTGTACTCTCCTGTATACTTTAAATCATCTCTAGATTACTTATAATACCTAATACAATGCCTACACATGACTTCATTCACAGGGATTCAACATAGTAGTACGTTTAGCATGGCAAATTCAAATTTCACTTTTGGGAACTCTGGAATATTTTTTCTAAATATTTTTGGTCTTCAGTTGGTTTAATCTGCAGAACCCATGTATATAAAGGGCCCACTGTACTAGCACTGGGTGAAGCACTGGAGACGTAGAAGTATAAATAAGGTATCACTGACCTCCAGGAACTTACAATCAATCTCCTTCATAAGCACATCTATTCAAGAGAAGCCTTTGGAGAATGCAATTATCTTACCTCCATCAGCTTCTAATATATAATCAGGCACTTACGGGTTTATTAAAGAAGAGTGGTAGTGATACCAGTGTGCTAAGGGAGGTCCTCAAACACCAGTGGGATGTCAACCCCAGTGGTTTCAAGGCTCTTGACACCATCGTGAGAAGGAATTCAAGGATGAGTCAGAAAATAGTGAAAAGTATGGAGATGTATTGCAAAATGAAAAGTACACAAGAAATAAAGAGGGGTGTGGGTGCACTCAGGAGAGTGAGTTGTGCAATGAGGTTTGAGGTTTCTACCTTTATGGGTTTGTTTAACCAAGGAGTGGAATATTTATGAAGATTCTTGGAAAAAGGTAAAGATTTCTTGGAAGTACAGTGCCACCCATTTTTACACTAGATATACGTGTTCCCAGAACTGTCCTGGTGCTGGTGGGTGTGTAATTGAGAATGTTAATGAGCAGATAATGAGGTCCTAGGTGAAACCTAGGTCAAATCTAGCACTATGTAGGGACCAGTCAGTCTTAGCCAGCTTGGCCCACACTCTGGTTTTTTAGGGGTTTATCAGCTATTACCTAACATACACAGCTATTTCACCGGCTTCCTTTTGCTAGTCATGTAAAACTGCTGCCTGAAATTTTCTATTCTCCTGCAATCACCCTGTATTATTCCTGTCTCAGTAGAGTAAAATGATAACTCACTCTTACCCTCACGCTTACATCATATGCATTTTTTCTGGTAACCAAGTGGTATCGATGCTGTCAAATTATTATACATTATATCATAACATGTAAGGTATAGTGACAAAAACTGAAGTTTGGAGTCAGACACAGCTTTTGATGCTGAATCTGTATTTTTGTTTTACCTGGGCTGGCGCTGCCTTTAGAAGGAGTCATCTGTACTTGATTGTACTTCACTATCTAATTCTAAACTCATAAGCAATCAAAACTCATTTTCTCCCTGATCATATCTCATGTTCAAGCAAATCCAAGTATTTTCAGCCTCAGGAAACACACCTTAACTTCTAATCTCCATGACTTTGCTCATGCTATCTCTTCTGCCTAAAACATCTTTCTAATCACCTGTGTCTGGCTACTTCTTGCTCATTGTTTAAGATGATGCCTAGATGTCACCCTCACAAAAATTTTTTTTAGTCCTGAAGATTGATTTTAGTACCCTTCCTATGTACTCTCATAATAACTACCAATTCTTTCTCATTGCAGTCTAAATGAAAAAAAAGTGATTTATTTATCTTTTCTACATAACTTCATGGTTTTCTAATCTCTATACATTTGATTTCTAATATGAAGGTAAGATAATCAGCCTAGAATCAGTAGGCCATATATAGTATCATTATTTTAATAACAATGATGAATTTGCCTAAGCCAAATATATACCCAATCAGCAGGCTTAAGGAAGAGGAGTGGCCTCAGAGAAAAGGTAAATATTTCAAAGAGTCCTACATAGTTCCAGCTAAAGAGAAATAAATCTCTAACTAGATAGTAGATAATGTAATTTCGACAATGATAAAGAAATTGTATTATCATGATAACCAGAGTAATCTCAGAAAATAGCAAAGACTAAAACTGCCCATGAAGACATAATGGAGAACTAAAAGAAGTCTGTTTGCGTTACAAATTCATCAATTTTTAGAGGTCGTTCAAAGTTTTTATTACACAAGTTTAGAACCTCAGGCCAAGAGATGATATGATATTCGGAACTGCCTACTGTTTTGATGAATTATATTAGTCAGAGTTATCTGGAGAAATAAGATAGATAGGATACATATTATATATCCTATTTTATAATATAAAATAAATAGGATATAAATATTAAATATTATATAAATATTTTATACATAATGAAGATTATAATATACAGTATGCATAGAACCAATAGTGTGAATGTGTGCATATACACATGAGATTTATTATGGGAATTGGCTCACAGTCTTATGGAGGATGAGAAGTCCCATGATCTACCATATGCAAGCTCAAGACCTAGGAAAGTCAGTGATGTAATTCAGTCTGACTCAAAAAGCCTAGGAACAAGGGAAGATGAGGATGTAAACCCCAGTCTGAAGGCAGGAGAAGGTGAGATCAGATGTCTCAGCTCAGTGAGCCAAGAAAAAAAAAAAAAAAAGCAAATTCCTTCTTCTTCTACCTTCTGTTTTATTTCTTCTTTTTCAATGGATTAGATGATGCCCCCCGCCCCCGCCCCATTGCGGAGGGCAATCTACTTTACTGAATCCACCAATTGGAATGGTTGTCTGATCTGGAAACACCCTCACAGATACACCCAGAAAGAATGTTTACTCTGAGCATCTCATGGCCCACTCGAGTTGACACATAAAATTAATCATCACATGAATTCGACTTTGTTTCACAGGCCAAGCACTCTACAGTATCAGCCTCAACACTAGGTCATCATAAACAAGAAAGGTACCAGCTAATACTCAACCATTTCAGTGGTTCCTACTCTTGGCTGAATGTCAAAATGAAATTGGGAGTTAAAAAATAACGGATTCCTGGATCACATCTCAGATCTTACAAGATGAAAATTTCTTGAGCGTAGACACCAAGCCTAATACTTTTTAAAGTTCCAGGGTATATTCTTATATATCTTTTCTCACCTCAGTCACTGGACCAGCACTGGGGAACCCTCTTATATCTGAGACACATTTTGAGACACAGCCCTAGAAAGAAACCTTAAAGGCATGAAGTAAAGAAAATAGGTGAGGGTCAAAATCAGAAAGATCTATCAAAATGGTAACAATAAACAGTAAATTTGAAATTAGTAAATAGATATCTTTTACATGGCTAAAAATAAGCCTTCGTATTTTAATAAATTGTTTTTATGAATGCAATGAGAAAGCTCTCATAGATAAGGTCTCAATAGCATGCAATACTACAATATAGAGGAAGTTATATGAATATTTGTATGCTAAATTTGTCTCAACTCACAGATACAATGGTGTATGAAATACAATACAGTACTTATTTTTCCACTTCGTACACACAAAAATACAGGATTATTGGCATGTTAAGGTTTTCCTTCCATTTTCAATTGATGGTCACCAAAACAGCTGTAAACAAACTAATCTTTCAGAAAAGTTTTTAACAAAGCAAAAAAAAAAAAAAAAAAAAGGAAGAAGTCTCACTCAGAGAGGCATTCTCCCAAATTACTAAAATTATATTCATTTCAGAATTAAATACTGAATCATCTATTGTGCCAGCACATTCAGCATTTCAGGCTTAATGTGATTGTATTTGTTTACAATTCTTGTTATTACAAAACATAATGCTACTGAGACATGTTCTAACATTTCAAGCAATGTCTGGACATTACCCCCGTAGTCACAGACTGGCTACAGTTTCACTCATAGCTGAGTTATGTGCTATGCCAGCAAGAGTGGTCTGTTTTCTGAGCAGTAGGAATCTACATTGCTTGTCTACATTTTTGTAAATTTTCTCTAAAGATAATAATTGATGGCTACATGTCTTCAGCCCAATAAGAAGAAAATTGGAGAATCTGTTCATTTTAGGCAAAAACAATGATGCTTGATGCTTTAGTCAAGGTTGTTTATGACCTTATTTTATTTAATTTATAGTGCATATAGGTTATCAGTCTATGTTATTATATGACAAAATTAGTTGACAAGACATTAGAATACTGATCATCAATCAAAAAAGCAACCCAAATAATGAATACCTAGATATGCTAGTTAGCTTGGGTCACCATAACAAAATACCAGAGACTGTGCAGCTTAAACAACAAACATTCATTTTCTCAAAGTTCTGGAAGCTAAAAGAATGAGATCAGGATGCCAGCATGGTTGGGTTCCGGTGAGGGCTCTCTTCCTGCCTTGCAGACAGCCGCCTTTTTGCTGTGTCTTCAAGTGATGGCGAAAAGGAGGGGAAGCAAGCTTTCTAATGTCTCTTCTCATGAGGACATTAATCCTATCATGAGGGCCCCACATTTTTGACCTTACCTAACCCTGATTACCTTTCAAAGGCCCCATCTCCAAATACCATTTCATTAAGGGTTAGGGCTTTCACGTAAGAATTTGAGGGTGAAACATTCAGTTTATAACCCTGCAGTATATCAACAAGGCCACCCAATTATAGACAGATTATTGGGCCAAAATACCCAGGCTACTATTACTCAGTGGAGATTGAGGTAAGGATTCATGTTTAACGGCTTTAGACAAGTTAAGCCATGTTCCTGAAGAATGGGTAATCCATTTGATTGACACATGCTAAGCAGAGAGATTTATCTTAAAGGGTTTTAAACATGACTCTCATGGCCTTGGCCAGATAATTATTAATACTGCATAGAAAAGGAAAGCCCGGGCCGGGCGCGGTGGCTCACGCCTGTAATCCCAGCACTTTGGGAGGCCGAGGCGGGCGGATCACGAGGTCAGGAGATCGAGACCATCCCAGCTAAAACGGTGAAACCCCGTCTCTACTAAAAATACAAAAAATTAGCCGGGCGTAGTGGCGGGCGCCTGTAGTCCCAGCTACTTGGGAGGCTGAGGCAGGAGAATGGCGTGAACCCGGGAGGCGGAGCTTGCAGTGAGCCGAGATCCCGCCACTGCACTCCAGCCTGGGCGACAGAGCGAGACTCCGTCTCAAAAAAAAAAAAAAAAAAAAAAAAGAAAAGGAAAGCCCGGAGTGATTCTGTTAGAGAAGCAGAAAAATAGAGCTCTGTCCTGCCATTTTCTATAACAAGGAGAAAAGGTGGCCAAAAATTAGCAGAAAATATTAGATGAAAACAATGGCTTCCCAGGAACATGGTTAATATATTCAATATAAACCTTACACAGGTACATAAGCAAAGATTACGAATGCTTTAGTAGTTAATAAGTGTCCTGAGCAAGAATTGTGTAATTGTATTAGACTAAGTGGACTATCATAACAGATTCCAAAAATCTATAAGAAAATTTCAGTTCTGGCCTGAACTGTATCTGTAATGTTAATAGTTAAGAATTATCACCAAATTTCTAGGAAGGAAAAACTGAAGATTCATAATAGAAAACAATTTCAATGCCAAAATTTTCTTGAGAAAGTTGAGAATATTTCTGAAGTATAAATTCGCATATTAAATTATGTATAGTTTCAATTACAAACTATGCTATTAGTGAATGTCAATACATTTCTTTCACCTTGATATGAAGTCCTGAGTTAAAATACCACTCTAACATTTCTTATCCATGAATAGCTGCATCAGGTGAACGCTTCCTATTAGATTCAATTTTTAGGAACCCAGAGTGAGCAAAAACAAAGCAGGTTGCTCTCCTTACAATTTTTTTTTACCCAAACTTATTTCATATTTATATGATAATAACTGCTCAAAATAATAATGTTAATAGTAAGGATTAAAATAAAAAGTGCTAACAATTCTAATTTAAAAACAAAACAAAACAAAACAAAACAGTGATGCCGATGATTTAGTTGTAAAAGATGCTGGTGGCCAGCGATAGAGATGTCTGGAATCCTACTACATGCCTAAGTTGCTATCTGAAGACAGCATACTGCAGAGGTTAGCAAATACTCTTAGATTATAACACTCTCAGTGTTTCAGAAGCTTTTTCAAGGCAACGATAGGCCAAAAGAAATAGCAATTCCATGTACTAAGTCAGGTTTAAATGACTTAGATATAGTCATCTATAGTGTCTAATAGATGTTGCTGTGTTTCTCTAGAAAAATTAAAATATCCCAAAGTAACTCCAGGAGTTTGCTTACATTATCCAAGAGTGTCTCAGTACACAGTTTGAGAACCATGGGTATATTGCATAGGTTAATTCAGGTTTTCGAGCCACACTACCTGGATTTGAATCTGGTCACCACTAACAATTATATATGTAACCTTGTGCAACTTGTGTGACTTGTAGTTAAACTTTCATACTTTGGTTACTCAATTATAAAATGGATTTGATAATAATACTTTATGGAGTTGTTATTATGATCATTCAATCAATAAAATCTATGTACAATTAAAATGCCTGGAACTTAGATCAATAAATATTAGCTATTTTGTTATTATTGAGCATGATATATCAAATAATATTCTCATTCTTGTGATTGCAATAGATTTATAGAATACAAGAGATTCTTAGAAAAAGCTGTACATAAGAATGGATACAAGTTTTCACCTCTCCCTTATTTGTAACAAGCTGGAGTTACAAAGTTCTGAAGATAATCTTACCAAGGGATTCTCATGGGTATTTCCTCCCAAAACATACCAGAAGTGGAACTAAGTCTTCCATGCTGTTCCTCCTTGAAATAAAATTCTTGTGTATTTTGTTTTTTGTTTTTTTTGAGATGGGTTCTCTCTTTGTTGCCAAGGCTAAAGTGTAGTGACATGATCACAGCTCACTGCAGCCTCTACCTCCCCCGGGTTCAAATGATGCTTCCACCGTGGCCTCCCAAAGTGCTGGGATTATAGGCGTGAGCCACCACGTCCAACCCCTTGTTTTAATTAGTGCTTGAGTCATGCAAATAGTTGGAGTTTCCTCAACTATAATGTCTCTATATCTTTAGCATCTAATTAAATGCAAAAAGAAATGCAAGAAGTTAGCCAAGCTTTTGACTGTAGACGTGAAGATTTTCCAGCCCACTCAATGAACTAGCATTTCACTCCTGCACTTTTATCAGCAGAAAAAGGTAGTGAGATTATGATGCCTTTGAAAAAAGAAATTGCCAATAAAGGAAAAGAGTAAATGTAGTGAAATTTTGCAGATATGTGTGTAGTTCACTGCATGTACTTTGTTTTGTTTAACCACTTAATTGGTTTATAGTTGTAGGATATAGCTTTAGAGAATGGAAAGCACATGAATTCCAAAGTGTGGTCATTGCCTAGCTCATTTTTAATACTAACATGATCTTTTGGCAATTTTATGATGATATAAGCTATATATTTCTATTACAAAGATTGTCTTTTTAAGCTTTGGCAACTGGTTTACAATCTTCCTCTTCAAATTAGGAACCCATAACATTTGTAACAACCTCATTATCTGTATTATCAACCACGGTAGATTAAATTATTTGTTCACCATGTTTCCGTAGAAGCAAAATGTACTTATTTTGCCCCATTGGTTTTGGGGTAGGTCCTGTAACTTTCTTTGACCATTGGAATTTAAATGAATAGGAGGTATACTGCATATGGGCTGAACCTCAAGGTACAGCTTTATTGTTTGATTCTGTCTCATTCCTTTTGTCCTGACCAACAGAACAGCATATTCCAAACACTGGCTGCTTAACGGGTTTGCACACAGACCTGAGCCCAGCAGAGCCAGGTCATAACCAACTTCATCCTGACATCAATGAAAGAGGATGTCTTTTTTTGCAAGCCCCTGAGATATTGAGGTTGTTTGCCACCACCGCAAGAGTTGACTAATACCCATTAAAACTCTACTTGAAAATTACTCTAATCTCCTCTCCCTTCACGGCATTCATCTCTATTATTCAAAAGCTTACTATACATGTAATCATTATTCCCCAATTTCTTTACTTCTGAAATTTTAATTTCCAGGATTTTACTCCCTTTCTTACTACAATGTCCTGACTCTTCAGATTCTCCAACTTTTTCACTTCTTTGCTCCCTCTGCATGCAGCCTTAAGATGAATTGAGATTTCTGTATCTTTAACATCTCATATTTTATTCACTCCATTACCCAGTTCATGGGCCCTACTTCTTCCTCTTCCTAGCCTGGTGCCAATGGTGCTTCCTTCTATACTATTTATGCCATTAACTCTCCAGGGAACAATCCTACAATTGCCCCCTCTCTTTTTCTATATCCATTCTAATTTATTCTGGAAAAAGTCCACACACCTATTTCTATCAATGGTTACTATTCTAGTTACTATTGCTACATGTCGAACTGCTCACACGGTTTTATTTATTGTATCCTTTGGATCAAGACGTTGCCCACACAGTTTTATTATTTATTGTGTCCTTTGGGTCAAGAAGTCAGGAGTAGGACTCAGCTGAGTGATTCTTCCTAGTGTTGTGTAGTTTATTGGTTACAAATAAGACATAAAGCCAGCCTGAATTCATGAGGAGGAGAGTTAGACGTTACCTTTTCAAAGGAGGATGGCAAGTGTTACTGAACCAAACTAGGTTATTTTGTCTGCACTCATTGGAAAACCAAACACCAAAGCACCAGTAAACTGGGAAGGACATAGGAAGAAATGCTCAAATGTGTCTCCTTGAGCAGGGCTGGGTCAGGTTTTATAAGCATAGGCTGAGATGTGATTTGATTGGATCTCACAATGAGGTGATGCCAAGAGGCATGATCTGACTGGATCCTCCCATGGGGTGACAACAAGGCTCCATTTGATTGGATCCTGGGTTCTGCTATAGGGCATCTGTTTTGTAATTCAGTCCCCACTCAATGTGAGCACTTACATTCTACCCAGGGTGCACTCTTGGTTCATCTGGGCATGCTCAGGTTATGTGACCTTCAAACTGGGGGCACAGGGCAACTGAAAAACATCTCACTGCTTCATGACATAAAAGTTGAACCAGATTGGTCTGGTGTGGTTACACAAGGCCACATCTCAACATTGCACGTAGAATGGTTAAAATTGTTGAAACCATCTATGGAAAATACAAAATGCCATTCTAGCCCCCCAAAAAGTGGATAAATGGCTTTAATAAGTTTGAATGATGATATTATATTCATCTCATATTTGTCTCAAAATTATTATGCTTATAATTTATTCTGCTCATAATTATTTGGGTCATAATCTCATTTCCTAACAAAATTTAAAACAAATGTTAAGTAACAGTCCCGAGTATTGAGAAAATCAGTAGAGTCCACTTATTTTCTAGGGGCATGGGAACAGCAGGCCACACAGACAATGTTCTACAGGTCAGGAGATCTGAATTAGAGCAAGTAGACCTGAATTTGAATAAAAAATAGCAAAGAAAAAATAACAAATCTGTGTAGGAGACTTTATTTTTATATTACATCTCATATTAGAATCAGCGGGGAAAGTCTCAATAACTAAAACGTGCTTTCTTGAAGGCTTGCTTTCATTACCTTACATTCATGACTGATAACTGTGTGTCCCATCACACCAGGCAATTTCACACACACCATTTCATTTAGTGCTGAGTTGCGTCAGGTGAGAATTATGATCCTGACTTCCATCGAAAAACATTGTAGTGAAAATAGAGCATGTAGACACACTGTAGTGTGTAGTGAAAATAGAGCATGTAAACACACTGTAGTGTGTAGTGAAAATAGAGCATGTAGACACATTGCAGTGAAAATAGAGCATGTAGTTAGTAAGTAGAAAAATAAAGATTCAAAAATGACACCTTTGTGACCCAAACCCAGTGCATGGTCTACAAACATAAGATTCATTCTGAAGAAGATGCAGAGAACTCTGTGAGTAGTAACACTAAGAGTGACAGGATTATATACACAGGGTAGATAACAACTGAAATAGCATAGTAGCAACTGCTAGAGAAGAAGTACTCTCACTGACCCACATGAAGGGATTTCTGGGCTAAAGGGATGCATGTTCAAAATAAGATTGCATATTCATGAGCTAGCCCTGCCAAAGGGCTGTACTAACTTATTTGGTCACAACTGTGAAGGAGCGTGCATCTTTCTCCCACCCTCACCAACACAGAGTAGAACAAATTATTTTCTAACATGTATCCATCTCCTAGACAAAATATATCTCATTTTATTTGTAGTAAATTGGCTATTATTGATAATGTGCACCTTATGTTTATTAATCACGTGGATCTCCATTTTTATGTATGTATACTTCATTCTTCCTGGTGCTCTAGTGAGAATACCTCTCCAGCAGCACACTACTGAGAAATGTCTTCCAAGTCCAGTATCTCAAAGGAAGTCTCTCTTCATCTCTGAGAACAGTGGGCCATTCAGTCTCCCTACACTTTCCAGCTTAAAATATTCATAACCCCCCTCTAAAACTCCATACAAAGAAAAGCCTCACATCTCTCATCACCCTAGTGTTACAGATCTTTGGGGTGTCACTTTTCTGACTGGAAACCTGTGGCCAGTCGTGCCTTTGCCCAAGTTTTGCTTGGGCCTGCTGGGCTCATTCTGCCCACTCAGCCTGGCGGGTGGTGCACAGCTCACGGTGCCAGCCTAAATCCCATAGCTTCAAAAGAGACGCAAGTCAGGTGTGGAGCAGCAATGGGTGTGTGAGTGGGTGTGGGGTCTGGCCACTGTGCAGTCAGACCCACCAGTTGCCTGCCAGCTACCATGGGGCAGGCAGCTCCAGGTGCTGTCATGGCACTGGCTCTCTGCGAGGCTGTGGCTGGACCAGGTGGACAGCAAGCCACTTCCCTGGCTGGCCCCGGGGAATGCAGTGGCACGTGAAAGCTTGGAGATGCCAGGAACTGCAGGGCCCCAGAGAGAGAGTCACAGCCCTGGCTCAGGGAGCTCCCACGTCTGGGCTGCCTGAAAGGCTGCAGCTCTTCTCTCCTTCTCTTCACCCACAATGTGACAAGAAAGGGGCATGCTTCAGCCCTGTTTGTGTTACAGCCCTTTTAGCCTCACCATTCAGCAGGCCCCAAGTTCTTGTCCTGAAACCAGGAAGAATACATTATGCAAAGTGAAGGGTGAGCCAGACAAAGAGGAGCTTCATTAAGCAATAGAACAGCTCAGTCTCCTGAAGGGGGCAGCTCCTTTCCACAGCCAGGGTGCCTTGTTGAGTGTTCAGATCCTAGCAGAGAGAGTAGCTCTGCTCTGCAGGCAGGTTGTCCCAACAAGTGTTCACTCCCAGCAGAGAGTGTAGCTCCTCTCTCCAGCTGGTCATCCCACCATCTGTGTAGCTCTCAGCAGAGAGGAGGTTCTGTAGTGGGTTGCTCCTCTCTGTAGCTGGTCATCCTGATGTCTGCAGCTCACAGCAGAGAGAAGTCCCTGGAGTGGGTGCCTCCTCTCAGCAGCCAGTCGTCCCAATGTCTGCTCAGCTTTGGCTGAGCCCAGGGCTTTTATGAGCCTCAGAAGGGAGGAAGTGTGTGCCAATTGGTCCAGGGGCAGCCATGGGCAGGCCTGGAAAAAGCACCACAAGTTCCCACTCCAGTCTGTGGGACTGGCATCCTGGCCCCCAGCTTTCAGGCCCTCCCTGTCCTGAAGGTGGGGCCTCACCAGGGACCTGTTCCCTTCCACCCAGGAACCTGCCTCTCTCCTGCAGCTGTTCATGGCTCCCAGGCTGTAGGTGCCAAGGGGCACCTGTAGGCCAGCATTAAGCTGCCTTCAGCCCCCTCATCAGCTTCTCTCCTATGCTCATCAGCATCCCAAGTCCGGAGGTGGCCAAGGCAGCAGAGGTCTGGCATGTCAGCATTGCCCTGAGCATGTGCACACCTGGCTGGGCTGTGACAGTGCCTGGGCTTGGCCCTGAATTTGCTCTGAGATTGGAACGGACACCAACAGCAGGGAGAAGCCAGCAGTGGAAGCAGCTACTTTCGAGCCTGCAAGGGTAGGGGGAGCCTTCTCAGATCCCCAAGAGTGCAGCAATGCTTGAGTCCACAGCCATGGTTTCAGCAGTTGCAGCTGGGCCTGAGGGGTGCAGGACTCCTGCCTGCTCCTAGCATCCCCAAAAGCACAAGGAGGCCTGGGTCCGCAGCCACAACGTGGGCAGCTGCAGCTGTGCCCAGAAAAGTGGGGCTCCTGCTGTTCTTTGGAGCAGGAGGCCTGGATCTGCACCCATGACTTGAGTGGCTGCAGCCCTGCCTGGGAAGGTTGAGCTCCTGCCTGCTCCATGCAACAGGAGGCCTGGGTCTGCAGCCATGGGTTGGGCAACTGCAGCTGTGCCCAGGAGGGTGGGGCTCCCACCTGCTCCTGGGCCCAGAGAGCACAGGGGTTCCCGGGTCCGCAGCTGAGGCTTGGGTGGCTGCAGTGGCACCTGGGGAACTCTCGCCCCAACTTGGAAGGGGTGGGACTCCCACATGTCCCTGGCTCCCACTGGTTCCATGGAGCAGGCAGCCCCAGCCATGCCTCCCTGCTGCAGCCAGCATGATGACAGCAGCTACTCAAGACAGCACACCACTGACATCAATAATCTCTAAGACTCCAGCATGAAGCCTCATCCATCTTCACCTGGAAACATATCCTTAATCTGCTAATCTAACCTTGTATCATGTCATCTTCCCTATAGTCCCAAACTCTTACTTTGACGTATGGAACTTGTGGCCCAAGCATGGGTAAGCACCTCTATATCTTCAATCTCTATTCTGATTTGTTCTTTCACCTTTTTTCTCCTAAGTCCACTTTAGGTCTCCCTGAGAACAGTGCCAGCTTGGCAGTTCTTTCACTGAAAGTTGATTTTTGTTTAAACCCCAAGTACCTCAGTGTCTGGAGGTGAAGGGATTATGCTTTCTTCCCTCCTAGTTGTCTCTTCTAAACTCTTTTCTCTCCTTCCTCCTTTTCTTTCCTTCCTTGTTTGAATTGAATGCAGCCAGAACATACCTATCCCCTGCCTTTATTATCATCATCTATGATCTCTCTCTCTCTCTCTCTCAATTTCTCTCTCTGTCTCCCATTTGTTGGATATTCTATTCATTGATTCACTATTTTCCTCCTTACTCCTACTTCTGTCGTTCCTGTGTGACTTCAACATGAATCCACGTGAATGCCTCATCAACTACCTTTTCCCCTCAATCTTCACTCCTTTCCTTCAATAATCTTTTCTTCAGCCTTACTTCAGCACTCCCAGGGTCCCAACCTTGGTTTTGTCATTCCCAGTAACCTCATGGTCTTCATAATTTTACTTTTAAGCACCCTACTTTCTCATTTCCATGCCCTATTCTTCAAACTTACTTGTACTTGTTTTCTCATGCCAACCATTCTGTGTGTGGTCAGCTAAACATATACTTTGTTGATCCAACAATCTTTTTGTTACTTTTATTATACCTTTCTGTGTTCGTCTGCTAGTGCTGTCCTGACAGTATCACAGACAGGATGGCCTATGCAACAGAAATTTTTTTTTTTCTCACAATTCTGGAGGCTAAGACTTTGAGGTCAAGAAGTCAACAGGGTTGGTTGGTTTCTTCTGATGCCTCTCTCCTAGGCTTGTAGATAGCCATCTTCTCCTTCTGTCTTCACATGGTCTTCCCTCTATTTGTGGCTGTGTCTTAGTTTATACTTCTTGTGAGGAAATGTGTCTTTTTGGATAAAGGCTTTTCGCTAATGGCCTCATTTTAACAGACTTGCTTTTTTTTTTTTTTTTTTTTTTTGAGATGGAGTTTTGCTCTCGTTGCCCAGGCTGGAGTGTGCAATGGCACGATCTCAGCTCACCGCAACTTCTGCCTCCTGGACTTGCTTCTTTAAAGGCCGTGTCTCCAAATACAGTCACATTCTGAGGTACTGAGGATTTGCATTTCAATGTAGAATTGAGTGGGACACAATTCCACACATAACACTCTCTCATCTCCACAGTTCCCTCTTTATCCAGCTTAGATTCCATGTTCTGTCCCTTCAGTCACTACTTTGCGAAATCCATCAGCCCCTTGCCTCTATCTTCCTCTGCTACAATAACCTAGGAAAACCCCAAACTCTGTGAACCCTGTTATTTCTTTATTCCATACTTATGCCCATGTAGTATACCTGGCAGGAAATGTATACACACATACATACAGCCACGCCATTTGGCCTCCATTTAAATTAATAACCACGGGTCATATAAGCACTTAACACTAAGCATCTTACCACATCTAGTGTTCTTCTGAAACAATTCGTTTATACTTTTTTGTATCACCTCAATTTCCACCACCTTCTTCTCTCACCACGGTTTTAGCCTCCAGTCTCGCCTCTAACTACGCTGTAGGGGAAAATAGTTATACTTTGAGGACTTCCTTAAAGAATACCACCAAGTCTAGTGGCCTATGCATGTCTGGTGGACACTGCCCGCCATACTCCCTGGCATAACCACATCTTACAGTCGGCCCTTCCGCTTCTCTTCTGGGTTCCAGCTCCTTTTACCTAATCACCAGTGAGGCTCCTTGGTTTTAACTGACCTCTCTTTCATTATCAATTTCTTTCTCCCTACAGGGTCACTTCCATCAGAGTATCAGCAAGTTTAGAATATTTTATTTTTCGGCCAGGAGCAGTGGCTCACACCTGTAATTCTAGCCCTTCAGGAGGCCAAAGTGGGCGGATTACGAGGTCAGGAGTTCAAGACCAGCCTGGCCAACATGGTAAAACCTCATCTCTACAAAAATACAAAAATTATCCAGGTGTGGTGGTGGGTGCCTGTAATCACAGCTGCCTGGGAGGCTGAGGCAGGAGAATCACTTGAACATGGGAGGCAGAGGTGGCAGTGAGCTCAGATTGTGCCATTGCACTCCAGTCTGGGCAGCAGAGCGAGATTTTGTCTCTTAAAAAAAAAAAAAAAGAATATTTTATTTTTCAAAGTGTCTTGCCCTTTATGCACTGCCACATTTTTTCTCCCCATAAAAGTAAAATTTCTGAAAGAATTGGCCATTGTGGACTTCCTTGTAACCTAATCTCTCCTTAACCCTCTTTGACCAAGACTCCATCTCCACCACTCTACTTAAACTGCCTTTCTTAGGGTCACCAGTGATGTCTGTGTTGCCAAATCCAGGAGACACTTTGCTGTATTCATTTTACTCAGACCACAGTAGGAATTTACACAGTTTGCTGGTCTTAGTTACTAAAACACCACCTCTTCTCGCTTCTGCGATACTCATGCTCCTGGTTTTCCTCCTACCTCACTGACTACTCCTGCTTAGCCTCCTCTGATGGCCACCACCCCCTTCTGCTCAGTCTTTAAACCTTTGAGTGCCCCAGGGACTAGTCCTAAGCCCCCTACTTTTCTCTTTCTATACTTTCTTTGTAAGTTTTGTCTCCAGTTCCAAGCCTTTAATACTACCCTTCTGCTGATAACTCATTTCTCTAAGTGTTTATCATTTCCCTAAGTTCCGAATTCAGATATCCAGCTGCCTGATGCATATCCATACATGTGTCTAAGAGGCCCTTCAAGTTTAGTATGATGTAAGCATATTACAGGTTAAGAAAAGTATTCCTAATCCATAACCCCACTTCACAAAACTCCTTGGTCCAACTCCCCCTCGGATTACTGAAATATACTCTGATTCATTTCCCTGTCCTCTCTCTTGACCCCAAACCTCCCCCAAACACACATAGCAGCTGGGACAATCCGTTTAAACTCACGATCTCAATATAAAACTCTCTGTTGGCTTCCCAATGCGGTAGGATGTTAGCCCTAACACTTTACAATACATACAGTGCTTCACATGACCCGGCCTTGACATGCATCTCAACCTTAATCCCCTGCCGCTCTCCCCACGTCCTGACATACAGGAAGCCAGACATACTGGCTTTCTTCCTGTCCCTCGAACAGGCCAAGATCTTTCCTATTTCAAGGTCTTTGCACTTGTTTTTCTCTCTACTTGTAGTGCTCTGCCTTCCATTTTTATACATGAGTACATATTTTCACATTTGGGTCTCAGCTCAAATAGTCCCTCCTTATTGAAGTTTTTCTGTCCACTCCCTCTAAAGTGAGCTACCAATTACTTTTAAAATAATCACCTTATGTTATTGTTGCCATAACACTTATAATCTGTTGATTGTTTGTTTGCTTATTTATGATGTTCCTTGCTTCGAAAAATGTAAGCTCCACAAGGAGAAGGTTTTTTCTTTCTACCCCTGTAAATCCCCTGTGCTTAAGCTAATACCTATCTTTCTGTATAAATGTTTATTGATTCAATGAACAAATAAATGAAAGAACGAATTCTGCCTCAAGAAATTTATCCTAATAAGATAATTGAACTACACATACAAGGATGTCTATGATAGTACTATTCAAAAGTAGCAAAGAATTAGAAACAATCTAAATGACCAACAGATCAACTCCATGACTTGTATATTACCTATGTCACAGAATAATGAATAAAAGAATAAGAATTGAATAGATTTATATTTATTGACTCGGGAAAATGTTAACTAGATATTGTTGAATGAAAAAAGCTATGTAACCAAAGCCCAAAGTGTGCACCCATTTATATAAAATTATGTCTACACAACATTATATTGAACTATGCATTAATACAATGTATGTACGGACAGATGTCCAGAATTATGTCTGGAAACATTAACAGTGATTATCTTTGAGAAATCTGGGACTGATTTTTACTTTGTTCCTATACTTTTTTGAATCATTTCAATTTTTATATGAGCATCTATTGTGTTCACAATTAGAAAAACAAAGACTAAAATTTCTACTACTAGCCTTTGGCTCATCAGATTGACAATCCTAGGATTTTTCCAAGTAATTTTTGAGAAAAAAAAAGAAGTTTTTCAATATACTTCTTCTAAAGATCTCTATTTAAAGTTTATTTTTCCTGTCTTGCTTTTCTTATTGTTATTTGAAATGTGGAAACACTGTAAGCATTGCAAAACAATAATAATAAAATAAATCAAAAAAATATTATTAGGCTAAGCTTTTCAAAGTGTATTTTAATGTAGCATCAAGCATGTTCCCATTTTTATTACTGATTATAATGTTCAACAGTCTGTGACACAACAATTCAGACTTCTTGGCAGACAGACCCCTGTTTCCATTTCTTTTAGTACAAGATGTAGGGTGTGGAAACTTTCTACTTCCTTGGAAACTCTTCTGAAAACGGGTTTTCACTCAATGCAGCCTCTAAGTGTTTAAGAGGTGACTGAATTTCTGAAAGTGGTCTGACTGTTTTAGTGCTGCTGGCAACCACTGTAACTTTCACACTATGTGAAAGGGGGAAAAATCCATATTATTAAAAATTTGCCCTAGATCTCTTTCCCATTTCCTTCTTTTTTTTTTTTTTTTTTTCATACAGAGGCCAAAATATCAGGATAATTTTTCTATGGAAACATTTAAGCTCAGCATCAAAATATTTGCTTATATGACTACACCTCTGAATAATAATGATCATATTAATCACTTAATTGTTATTGAAAAGGCAGCTACAAAAAAAAAAAAAAAAAAAAGATGCCTAAATTCCATGCAGGTTTTTCTTTTCTTTTTTTTAACCTCTGTACTGCCAAATAGAATATCCATTTCTATTCAATTTCCTGAGGCTCAATAGGATACCTAAACCCTATATATTTTTTATGGAAGAAAACAAAACAAAACAAAAAACCACTGCCTTTAATTAACTTTTTAACTGGGAAAAATATATTATAGCAATTTTTTTCAAATTAAAATAGTCTCTGTCTGCTCCTATCATTCAGAAGTTGGCTGGTGTATTAGTCCATTTCAGCTCCTATAACAAAATACCAAAAACTACGTGGCTTGTAAAAAACAGATATTGATTTCCCACAGTTCTGTAGGCTGGTAGATTTAGTGGCTGGTGAGGGCTGTGACATTCTGGCTCACAGAGAGTGACTTGTTGCTGTGTCCTTACATGGTGAAAGGCATAAAAGGGCTCTCTGGGGTCTATTTTATAAGGGCACTAATCTCATTTATAAAGTCTCCACCCTCATGACCTAATCACCTCCCAAAGTTCCCACTTTCTAATACCATCACCTTGGGGGTTAGGATTTTAACATACTAATTTGGGGGGAACACAAGCACTCCGACCATTGCAGTTGGCTTCCTAGGACAAAATCCTAAAACTAGGCAACTTTTATGTCTGATCTGGATGTAGCTATTTGCTTTGCTGGAGTAACAAGTTAGCGTTCCAACTTCCTAGAGAGTCCTTTTGCATTCTCTGCTGATGGAGTTCAGGAAGAAGCTGGCCATGAACTTTTGGGGACACTGTCTCTGTCCTCAAAGCTATCTTTCCCACTCCCTTAGCAGGGGGAAGAAGATAGGTAGACTGTGGTGAAGGATCCAAATTATCCAACATGTTTTAGGGCATAATCAGAGATGGAATATAGGTTTCCATCTGTGTGTATCACTGATTTTTTTTTCAATTCCAAAATCTCATCAGCTCCTATGACTTTGATTATCAAGTCATCATTGATGCACTATACATCTTAATCCCCAGCTTCATTTCTCACTTCATTCCTGAACTTCAGGCCCATGTTGACAAATGCCTTCCTGAAAATTCAGCTCATCACAAATTGAATCTGTCATGTTCTCCACAAATTGGATTGCTCTCTTTTGAGTTCTCTATATTGGTTGATATGCATCACTCAATATCCATCAGTGCTGATATCTAAAATTGAAACTTAAAAGTCATGGTCAACTCCATCATGGTCAACAGACCTTCCTCAAGACCTGTAAATTCCACCCTGGTGATGTCTCTGGTATCTATTCTTAGCTTTTTATTCTAAGTGTCATTTTCACAATCAAGTCCCCATTATCTCTTGTCAATTCCAAGAATTGGCAGTCTCTGGCCTGTAGGCCAAACTTTAGTCCACTGCCTCTCTTTGAAACAAAGATATTGGACTATTTGTGGCTGCTTTCACATTACAAAGTCAAAGTCGAGTAGTTGTAACAGGGACTATGTGACACATAAAGTCTAAAATATTGACTATTTAGCCCTCACCTTCATGGTCTAAACCATAGCAAAAGCCTTCAAAAAGTTTACATTGCTTATGTAAAATACTCAATAGGAGGAACCAATAGATAGTTACGCAGAGAAAAGGAAAGAAACAAACACAACCTTTCAACCCACAATAACCACTATAAATCTTTCTGTGTTTTTCCTGGGCACATAATATTATTCTTTACAATAATTGAATCTTATTGTACATACTATGTTTCCCAAGTTGAGTCTTATCTCTTAGTAATATTAAATGAGTTTTGTCCTGATAAGTTTTTACAGTTATGTAATATTCAATATTATAAAGATTTTAGGGCTCTGAACACTTTCAATAGGCATTTTCAAATTACTTTCTGGACAGGCTGTATATTTACATCACCACCAGGATTGGGACTTAAAGCTAAACCAAGTTTTAGCCTCTTCAATTCTAGCTAAATATAAGCATCACTTTTTATGATATGGTAACTCAATGCTATTTTTATTTTTACCTCTGTGATTAATAGTAAAATTGAGTATTTTATAATATGTTTAATAACCACTTGCATTTTTCTTCATGTGAATTGATTAGGCTTATTATTTTCCACTTTGCAATTTCAGTGAACATCTTGACCTTAATTACTTACTAGTATTTCCAATAAAACAAAAATAATCGTGGTCCACAAGATCACAAGGTAATGTACAGTGATGCACAATATCAAGATTCTAGATATGGTTCTTCTCGATTGACAGACTTATGAACTAAATAACTAGTTGTCTTATTGTATTAGTCAATTCTTGCACTGCTATAAAGAAATACTTGAGACTGGGTAATTTACAAAGAAAAGAAGTTTAATTGATACACGTTTCTGCAGGCTGTACAGGAAGCAAGACACTGGCACCTGTTCCACTTCTGAGGAGGCCTCATGAAACTTACAATCGTGGTGGAAGGCAAAGGGGGAGCAGATACGTCTTACATGGAAGGAGAAGGAGCAAGAGAGAATGAGGCGGGAGGTGCTGCATGCTTTTAAACAACCAGATCTTATGAGAACTCACTCACTATCATGAGAATGGCACTGGGGGGATGGTGCGAAACCATTCATGAAAAATCCACCCCCATGATCCAACCACTTCCCCTCAGGCCGCATTTCCAACATTGAGGACTACAGTTTCACATAAGATTTCATGAAGACACAGATCCATATCCATATCACTTATCCACAGACACCCAATATATGCAACAGTCATTGTTAATAAAACAGCAATAATAATGTAAGACTTTACATACATTTACTCACTTCAAATCTCACAACAGTGCCATGAGCACGTATCATCCCCATTTTATAGATAAGAAAACTGAGGCACAGAGCACTTAAGAGATCCAAGGTCTCGCTTGGCATCAAAAGCCATCCTTTTAACAATACACTACGCTGCCTCCTATGCTGATAGTAAAAGTAGGAATCCTCTGTTTATCTTATTAGCCTTAAATATTGTGGACAGTGGCCCTTTAATTTTTTTTTTGTTATATGTGTGCTTGAAGGAAATTTTTTGTTATATAGAAATTTCCTATGAATACCTATGAATACATAGTTAAATATAATCATATTTTCATATTTATTTTTTCTTTCTTTTTCTTTTTCGACAGAGTCTTGCTCTGTCTCCCAGGCTGGAGTTCAGTGGCGCGATCTCGGCTCACCGCAACCTCCGCCTCCCAGGTTCAAGCAATTCTCCTCCCTCAGCCTCCCAAGTAGCTGGGATGACAGGCATGTGCCACCAAGCCCAGCTAATTTTTATATTTTTAGTAAAGGCAGGGTTTCACCATGTTGGCCAGGCTGAGTCAAACTCCTGACCTCAAGTGATCCGCCTTGGCCTCCCAAAGTGCTGGGATTACAGGCATGAGCCACAGCACTTGGCCACGTATTTATTTTCTTTCTTTCAGATTGTTTAGAAAGACATGCCCAAGAATAGAATTTACTTATTTTTTTCTATTTTGACTATAGTTGTATTTTCAAATAATTGTTACATATCTCTGATTGTAGAAAACTTAACTCTACGTTGTCAATTCCAAATCATCACTCACTGAGGCATCATGTGTATTCTTAAAATCTCAATCTAGTCATGCAACATAGCTTCCCCAAAATCTTCAGTAACACCCCAGATCATACAGAAAAAAAAGATAATTTTTTTTTTTGAGATGGAGTTTCACTCTTGTTGCCCAGGCTGGAGTGCAATGGTGCATCTCTGCTCACCGCAACCTCCGCCTCCCGGGTTCAAGAGATTCTCCTGCCTCAGCCTCCCGAGTAGCTGGGATTACAGGCATGTGCCACCATGCCTGGCTAACTTTGTATTTTTAGTAGAGATGGGGTTTCTTCATGCTGGTCAGGCTGGTCTCGAACTTCTGACCTCAGGTGATCTGCCTGCCTTAGCTTCCCAAAGTGCTGGGATTACAGGTGTGCACCACTGCACCGTCTGATAATTTTTGTTTGTTTCTTTGGCTTTCAAGATCTTGTAGGATCTAGTTCCAATCTACCTCTAATACTCTCCTCACTATTTCTCCAATTTTCACTAGATAAGCTATTCAGCATTTCCAGAAGACACCCCATATTTCCTATCCTCCTGCCTTTTCTTATTACCTGTTTCATTTTTAGAGGATGACCTCCCAAATTGGACACCTTATTTGCCATCAAGCTCAAATACTGTATCTTCTCTGCAGACTTCCTGAGTCCTTACTAGGAATTATCTCTTAGGTTGTCATTTCATGGTATACATGATTATTGCATCAATTACATGGAATAATAAAGCCCACCCCACATCCTCACAAATGTTCATTAGCTCCCAAAGGGCAAGGACCAAATCCTACTCAGTTATCTTTCCATTACAGAGCTCAGCAAATGAGCAAATACTCAATAAAAACATTGTGCAAATCAAATGGAATGAAAATGCTTGTGTCAGTTCACTCATTTGTCTCTAATGCAGTTCTTTCATCTCCTATTTTATCTCTTCTCTATTCACATCATTGTGTACCATATGTGAAGTTATCTGCAGCAGCATTGTAATGCATTATTCATATCCTAGAGCCCTTTTATGGAACGATTAATTTGAGGAATAAAAATATTTGGAAGTTTTCAGCTTTCTCTTTTACTCACATTTTGACTAAAAACGTTGGATAGCTATTAGCAGCAGGACTCTTAAAGGTAATGACATCTTATGAATGTGAATAAACTGTAGTCTAAGACATTTTAGGCAAAAAAGGTGTTTTGAAAAGCTGACTTTTCCTGAATCAAGTTGTTTTAAAAAATACCCACAATAACATGGTCATAAATATTTGCCGGCTGAAAGCTATACCTCTATGAAAATTGAGTGTTCAAAAAAAATGCTGTATGTATTTTTCAGGAACCTGAAGTCGTACTTACCTTATTTCTTTTATTAAATAGCCTAGTAACAAAACGTGTACTCCTTCAGAAGATGTAGGGTATTAGTTGAAGCTGTACTAGGCTTCCAGAATTGCAGTTCTCTTCCAGCAGTACTTCACAATTAGTATTCAAAAGCACTCATATAATAAAATAGAGATTATCTTATTTGAAAATACTATTTATGTCTTTTTCTAAAGAGGGCTTCCTTTTAAAATTAAGCATCAATCTCTGAAGTGAAATATGCATGTAACGGGCATAAAGCAGTTAACTGGAAAATCTTTTGTGACCACAAAACAATTTGGGAATACTAAGAGAGCACACATGTGAGAGCATCTTGCAGTCAAAATTCAACTAAGATGAATTTCAAAACTACTGTAGACAATAAACATCCTTCTCCCAACTTCAGCAACAGATATTTTAAAGCAGTAAGAATACTTTTAGGAAAGTTTAGCAAAAGAGAGTAAGTAGCAGAAATGGACATTTCTGCATTGCACTCATTGGATACATTTCAGGATCTCTGGTTCGGCACATGAACTTGCCACAGCCTCTTTCTTCCATATCATCATCTTCTACCGTTCACCCTTCATTCCACCCACACCAGTTTGTGCTTTTCTTTTTGCCTCAGCGTATTTTGGACTAAAAGGGCCAGAGACATTACAAAATTAAAAGAGGGTTTGGGCCTCTGAATTCTATCGACAGGAAACAGGCTGAAAATACTACCACTCAATTGCAAACACAGGGCAATGCTCATTGAAAAGGAAAGATGACCGGGTGTGGTGGCTCACGCCTGTATTCCCAGCACTTTGGGAGGCCGAGGCTGGCAGATCACTTGAGGTCAGGAGTTAGAGATTAGCTTGGCCAACGTGGCAACACCCCGTCTCTACCAAAATTAATACAGAAAATTAGCTGGGCATGGTGGCGGCTGCCTGAAATCCCAGCTACTCGGGAGGCTGAGGCAGGAGAATCGCTCGAACCCGGCAGGCAGAGGCTACAGTGAGCCAAGACCGCACCATTGCACTCCAGCCTGGGCAATAAGAGCAAAACTCCATCTCAAACAAACAAAAAAAAAAAAGGAAAGAGTACTCAGAGGTCAGAGCCAAGAGCCATGGAGAATCATTTCTAGGATAGAGGACTAAACCCTAACCTAGAAAGCCATAACTGTGTCCAGATGGATTTCAGAATCACTATGGACTAGGGATGAAAGTGTCTTCCAGTTTCTTCCTTTTTGAACTGGAGTGACTATAGCAGTTATCCTATGCCTAGCCCACATTCCATCATTGTATGTTGAGTGTGTGGTGAGCAGATAATTTGTCTTCATTGTTCACAGGCTCTCACATTGACAAAAACTGTATTAGAGGATTTGTAGTCAGTGAACTGCAAGGAGCCTCATGGACTTGGATCTAATGCACTTGGACCTGATTTGGATTGTGGGATCCTGGACCATGAATTTGAGCATAATGCCATAACAGAATGAGATAAGGGGAGCCTTGAAGAGGATAGGAGTTTATCTTACCAGTGAAAAGGTTTGAATTGTGTGGCCAGAGAGCAGACTGTATTTTCAGAAAATGTCCACAGCAATTCTTCCAGGCCAGAATCTTGCCAACCCACCAGAAAGCAGTAAAGCTGTATTTTCCCTACCCTTGGAGCCAAAGAGCCTTTGTGACAGCTTCAAAGAACAGAATTTGGTGAAGTAATGATGCAAAACACCTAAGGCGAAGTCATAAACAGATACAGCTTCTGCTTGACTCTCTCTCTCTCTCTCAGGATACTTACTGTTAGGACTCAGCCACCCTGTTGTGAAGAAGCCCAGGCCACACATGGAGAGGCCACATAAAGCTGTCCCAGGCAACAAACCCAGCTAAGTTCTCAGTTGACAGCCAGCCTCAAAGGGCAGATGTATGAATGAGCAGCCATTAGCAACTGCTAAATGCCCTTAAAGACTCTTCACTGGCACTGCTGCTTTTGGAAAGCTTTCTCTTACGCCCATGATCTGGTGTGGATTCCCCTCCTCTGGGTCCCTAGCATCCTGTGCCATTTCTAGTGGCACAAATCACACATACATTGACTGTTAGGTTAGTATCCATCTCCCCCATCAGAAATAAAGATCTTATTGACAATACCTGCCTTTTTTATTTATATTCTCAGCACTTAGCATAATGCACAGTGGATAGTTGAACAATGGTAAATAAATGTGTTGGACCAATGAGGTAATAAATATAAAACCAGAAATAATAAAAATAGCGTAAGTGATTAACTAAGATAGTTGAACGAGGACACCAGCAAACCATTAAATTTGTTTTTAGTAGACAGACAGTCTGAGCGCACTCTGCAAACAGACAATAAGACTGATACCAAAGTCTGAGGTACGGATGAGAGAGGGATGCCAAAATGACCAACTCAGTGTTTGCCGCCAAGGGGTTTTTTATACCTTGAAAGATCATTAGGAGTCCCAAAGAGATTTTGTTTGCGTGGGTTAAGATTTTCGGTATCTGCTACATTAAAAAATTAACACTGAGAATTACAAAATATATTTGTTTACTTACTCATCTTCCAATAACAATAAGAAACCAATTACATGCTAATATAAATAACATTTTATGAAAAATAACTATTATTCAAAAATAATTTAGTGAGAAGAGTGGCATTGCTTTATAATTTTGAAAATTCCTTTAATGTCTGGCAGAACAGAGAAAGCCAGATTCTCATACCAGCTTGGGCATTCCAACTGCTATGATATATTGTTTTGGTTGACGTATATAAAGAAAATCCATCCACACACAGCTATGTAGTTGAAAAAATTAACTTTCTCAGATAATTGTGATACTTACTTTGATACCTCATCAAAACCCAAGTGATAATTTCCTAAGGGTTAGTTGCAATATGGAATCTAAAACAATATTAATGACCTTTCACTCTCAGTTATATTAAAATCCGTTGATCTATCCTGCACTTTGAATCGATCTTTTAGTTGTCCACAAGTTTGTAACATCATATATTGGTCATTTAGAAAATGTTGATTCATTGAGTTATACAGATTCTTCAAGTATTAACATATTTTATAATTCAATATCAAAAATTCAAGCTTGACACTTTCCCAGTATTTAAAGACTTAGCTGATAAGATCAGAAGTGATATTAACAATGATTAACAAATATTAACAAGGATATTAATAATGTTTAACAAATATTAACAATGATTAATATTAACAATGATATTAACAATGATTAATAGTAACAACGATTAACAATGATATTCACAATCATTAATATCTCTGATTGTATCAGCTAAGTCTTTAAATACCAGGAAAGTGTCAAACTTGTAGTAACAGGCATGGTTTTTAGAAATTCTAATTTTGGTTGAAAATCTGAATTTTTAACATTAGCATCAGATATTGTTAATTGTTTCCCTTGAAGTGAAAGACTCACTTGATCCTTTTCAAGAAAATGTCACTTAAATACTCAAATCTGAATATCCACAGTTTATCTCTCAGCTGTTCTTTCAAGTAAAAATTGTGTTCTGTGAACAAAAAAGTGTCTATTCCAGCTCACAGCCCAAACTATCATGCACATACTTCTTCTTGAGACAATCATCATGCTTTGGAATGCAGCAGAGGTGCTTAATGTGAATTTCCCATTTCATCACACAGACTATTGGGGGCAAAGGTAATCAAACTTTGAGATGTAATAAAGTCAATAATTATTACAGCTTTATCAAGGACATTTGTTAGTAAAACCGATTGCTTTCTTTTTTCCTTCCTCCCTTCCTCCCTCCCTCCCTCCCTCCTTTTTAAATTGTATATTATTGGTATTGAGGTTTCAGCATCAGTAGCTTAACTCTCCATTGCTTTTGCAACACCAGTAAAAATGTCAACAGAATAAGAGAAAATATTGTCTCAGTGTTAGAAAAATAGTTTCAGCCTCACAAACCTCCTGCAAGGACTTGGAAAAAAATATACTTTTTGCTTCTTCTTCCTTGCCCAAGGCTCCACGGAACACACTCTGAGAACCATTGTACCATCTTTACACAGTCCTCATTAAGAGCTTTATTTGTTTTCTAGCATTGAAAAAAGGGTAAATTGCAGAAATGCTATGTAGTTAAACCTCAGATTTTAAAATTCAATGTACCTGTCATCATTTTTAGAACAACATTCACATAACTCTGTTAACAGAAATTAACATTTGCATCTCAACTAACTAATTTGATGTGAACAATAATATTATATTAAAATACAAACAGAGAAACAGGATAGGGAAAAAAGAAAGACGAGTAAGTCTGCGAGTTTGTAAATAATAAAGAAATTTGATACTGGCACCTTATTACAAAAAATGTGCTAATTCTTCTCAGATATTAGGTATTACTATATATACCTATATATGGGTGTATGTGAATGAGTCTAAATAGACATATAGTTGTAACCATATGTAAGTTTGCGTACAATTCCTCCCATAATGTGAGTTCAAATCTTTTCAAGAAGACTCTTTCATCTTTACACAGTTGCAAGGTAAAGTGTCTGTATTGGTTTAATTGTGTTCTCCCTAAATTTCCATATTGAAGTCCTAACCCTTTGTACTTCAGAATGTGACTCTAATCCAAGATGACTTGTGTACTCATGGAAACAGGAGATAAAGACATAAACATACAGAGAAAGGATCATGTCTTCTGTGAAGACAGACGAAGTTGACTATTTACAAGCCTGAAAGAGAGGCCTCAGGAAAAAAATCAACCAGGCTGACACCTTGATCTCAGACTTCTAGCCTCCAGAATTGTGAGAAAACAAATGTCTGTTGTTAAAACTTCTCAGTCTGTGGTATTTGTTATGGCAGCTCCAGCAAACTAACACAGTGTCCTTCAAGTTAGTTGAATAGAGGTAGTTCAGTGGAGCAGACTAAATAGACATGTATTATGCCCTTAGTGTTCTCATCCGGTAAGACCAGTTAAGGGAGGATACTCAGAACCAGCGGAACTTCACATTTTGAAACCTCCAAACTCTAAACCTCAGCTGAAACTTTTCCAACATGGAAGTTTCTTCTTTGGGGAAGTGTATTAGTCCGTTTTCACACTGCTAGTAAAGACATACCCGAGACTGGGAAGAAAAAGAGGTTTAATGGACTTACAGTTCCACATGGCTGGAGAGGCCTCACAATCATGGTGGAAGGCAAGGAGGAGCAAGCCAAGTCTTACATAGATGGTGGCTGGCAAAGTGGGAGCATGTACAGGGAAACTCTCGTTTTTAAAACCATCAGATCTCGTGAGACTCATTCACTATCACGAAAACAGCACAGGAAATACCCTCCCCCATAATTCAATCACCTCCCACCAGGTTCCTCCCACAACAGGTGGGAATTGTGGAAGTTATAATTCAAGATGAGATTTGGGTGGGGACACAGCAAAACCATATCAGGAAGTAAGCAAGTTCTCATATATAGTATTTCTCTGACAACTCTGTTTTGTTTGATCACAAAAAGAGAATCCAACCAGAAATATGCCATGACTTTCTGTCACCTATTGCTTCTCTCCTATCTACTGTGATCTCTAAATTACTTACATTTAATGAACCAATGAGCTTGAACCTATTTCACATCTCTCATTCATTCATTCATCGTCTTTGTCATTTAATAATTTGAAAAACCTACCGAGAGCTAACTAGAATTAAAGAACTATTCTATATGCTGGCAATACAATTAAAAACATAGTTCCTGCCATTATGGAGCTTACATTCTATTAGGGGAGACAGAAGATAACAACAATATCAATATCAAAGAGAATAATATGCCAGCTACTTAGATTTTTCTTTTTTAGACAGAGTGTCGTTTTTGTCACCCAGGCTGGAGTGCAATGGCATGATCTTGGCTCACCGCAACCTCCACTTCCCAGGTTCAAGTGATTTTCCTGCCTCAGCCTTCTGAGTAGCTGGGATTACAGGCACCTGCCACTATGCCCGGCTAATTTTGTATTTTTAGTAGAGACGGGGTTTCTCCATGTTGGTCAGGCTGGTCTCGAACTCCCGACCTCAGGTGATTCACCCGCCTCAGCCTCCCAAAGTGCTGGGATTACAGGCGTAAGCCACCGCGCCTGGCCTCGCCAGCTACTTAGATTCTATGAAGAAAAGTAAATTATGCATAGGATGGAGACCAGGTGAAGCAATCCTATGTTACTTAGAGAGGCATCTCCGATGAGGTGAGAGTTAAGCCCAATCTGGAAGGAAGTACAGGTGCAAGTCAGGCAGATATCTAAAGAATTTCATTCTAAGTAGAGGAAGCAGAAACTTCTAAGGCCCTGAGGTGGAATTTGTGGAAGAATTTGGGGACACCTGGATTAGAGTATGCAAGAAAGAGAATAACAAGAAAATAGGTTTGAGATATTGGGAGTTGGCTTTGGAGGTTACTCTAAGGAGCATTTGATTTTTATTCTTAGTGAAATAAGAAACCATAATGCAGAGAAGTGATCTAATCTAACATTTTCTTAATTAATTAATTTATTTATTTATTTTGAGACAGAGTCTTGCTTTATTGCCCAGGCTTGGGTGCAATGGTGTGATCTTGGTTCATTGCAACCCCCACCTCCTGGGTTCAAGTGATTCTTGTGCCTCTGCCTCCCGAGCAGCTGGGATTACGGGAGTGCACCACCATACCCAGCTAATTTTCATATTTTTGTAGAGATGAGATTTTGTGGTGTTTCTCAGGCTGGGTCTCAAACTCCTGACCTCAGGTGATCCAGCCTTGACCTCCCAAAGTGCTGGGATTACAGATGTCAGCCACCGTGCCCAGCCTCTTAATTTATTTTTTTAATTGACACATAATAATTGTACATACTTACCTGGTACAATGTAATGTTTCAATAAATGTATACATTGCATAATGATCAAATGAGAGTATTTAGCATATTCATCACCCCATACATTTATTATTTCGTTGTGGTGAAAACACTCAAAACCCCCTCTTCTAGCTATTGTGAAATATGAAACACAATATTGTTAACCATAGTCTCCCTACTGTGCAATGGAACATCAGAACTTCTTCTAATTGTAACTTTGTACCCCTTAACTAATCTGTCCCTATCAGCCCCTCCTCTCTCCCTTCCCCATCCTCTGGTAACCGCTGTTCTACTCTCTACTTCTATGAGATCAATTTCTTTTGCGTCCATGTATAGTGAGATCAGCTGGTATTTGTCTTCCTGTGCCTGGCTGATTTCACTTCACATAATGTCCTCTAGGTTCACCCATGCTGCCACAAATAACAGGATTTTATTCTTTCTAACGGCTTGCATTTTCTGGCCCAGTGTGGTGGCTCACGCCTAATAATCCCAGCACTTCACGGGGCTGAGGAGGGTGGATCACTTCAGCCCAGGAGTTCAAGACCAGCCTGAGCAACATGGTGAAACCCCAACTCTACAAAATACACTGCACTCCAGCCTAGGCTACAGAGTGAGATCCTGTGACAAGCAAACAAACACATTTATAAAAAGAATACAAAATAAAAATAAGAGCCTGAATAGTATTCCACTGCATATATATACCACATTTTTTTATCCATTCATCCATTGATGGACACTTAGTTTGATTCCAAATTTCAACTATTGAGAATAGTGCTGGAATAAACATTGGAGTGAAGTTATCTCTTTCACACACTGATTTTATTTCCTTTGGATATATACTCAGTAGTGAGATTGCTGGATCATTTGGTAGTTCTATTTCTAATTTTTTTAAGGAACCTCCATACTCTTTTCCATAACAGCTTTCCTAATTTTCGTTCCAACCCCTAGTGTATAAGTGCTCCCCTTTCCCCACATCTCTCCCAGCATTTGTTATTCTTTGTCATTTTGGTAATAGCCATTTTAATTGGGATAAGGTGATATCTCAATGTGGTTTTAATTTGTATTTTCCTGATGATTGGTCATGTTCAGTATTTTTTTCATATACCTGTTGGTTGTTAGTAAAAATATCTCCTCAGGACTTTTGCCCAATTTTAAACAGGATTATTTGCTTTTTTCTGTTATGGAGTTAGTTGAGTTCCTTCCATATTCTGGATATCAACCCTTTGTCAGATGCATAGTTTGCAAATATTTTCTGCCATTCTGTACATTGTCTCTTCACTTTGTTGATTATTGTCATCATTTTTTGTTGTGCAGAAAGCTTTTTAGTTTGATGGAATCCATTGTCTATTTTTGTTTTCATTGTTTGTGCTTTTAAAGTCTTATCTGAAATATCTTTACTCAACCCAATGTCTTGAAACATTTCTCCTATGTTTTCTTCTACTAGTTTTATCAGTTCAGGTTTTATATTGAAGGCTTTATCCATTTTGAGTTGATTTTTGTATGTAGTAAGACATAGCTTCAGTCTGCATATAGATATCTAGTTTTTCCAGCACTGTTTATTGAGGAGGCTAATTATTTCCCCAGTGTACATTCTTGGCACCTTTGCCAAAAACCAGTTGGCTATTAGTGTATGGATTTATTTCTGTGTTCTCTATTCTGTTCCATTGGTCTATGTATCTGTTTTTATGTCGGTACCATGCTGTTTCTATTTCTGTACCTTTGTAGTATATTTTGAAGTCAGGTAGTGTGATGCCACCAGCTTTGTTCTTTTGGCTCAAAATTGCTGTGGTCATTCAGGGTCTTTTGTGGGTATAGGTGATTTTAGAATTCAAAAATCAAGCAAGAACACACACACACACACACACACACACTCAAAAACAGAAAAGAAAACTACAAGCCAATATCTCTGATGAATATAGGTGCGAAAATCCTTGACAAAATACCAGCAAAACAAATTCGACAGCACAGTAAAAGATCATTCACTATGGCAAGTGAGACTCATCCCATGGTTGCAAGGATGGTTCAACACACAAATCAATAAATGTGATTTATCATATTAACAGAATCAAGGACAAAACTCATACAACCATTTCAATAGACATAGAAAAAGCATTTGATAAATGTCAACATCCCTTCATGATAACAAAACAAAAAAACTCTCAACAAACTCAGAATAGAAGGAATATACCTCAGCATAATAAAGGTCATATGTGACAAACCCACAGCGAACATCATACTTCACTGGGAAAAATAGAAAGCTTTTTTCTAAGATCTGGAATAAGACAAGGATGCCCACTTTCACCACTTTTATTAACATAGTACTGGAAGGTCTAGTCAGAGAAAGAGAAAGAAATAAAAGACATCTAAGTTGGAAAGGAATAAGTTAAATTATTCCTGTTTGCAGACTACATTTTCTTACAGATAGAAAACTCTAAAATTGCTACTATGAAACTGTTAGAACTAATAAACAAATTCAGTAAAGTTGGAGGATACAAAATCAACATGCAAAAATCAGTAGCATTTCTATATCCCAATAGCAAACTCTCTGAAAAAGAAACAGAAAGCAATTCCATTTACGATGGCTACCAAAAAAAGATACCTAGAAATAAATTTAACCAAAGATGTGAAAAATAACCTGCAATGAAAACTGTAAAACCTTAATGAAAGAAACTGAAGAGGATATAAATAAATGGAAGACAATCTGTGTTCTTGGCCTGGAAGAATTAACATTGTTAAAATATATGTACTACCCAGTGATCTATGGATTCAATGCAATCTCAGTAACATTCTACACAGAAATGACCTAGCTTTTTATTAGGACCCCTTTGATTGCCATTTAGAAAATGGACCAGAGCTGAAGCTGGAAGATCGATTAGAAGATTTTTGCAACAAGCCAGGTAGGAAAAATGACAGTGGATTTCTGCAAATCTCATACTTGCTTGACAAGGGTCACCTTGGACCCTTTACAAACTTTGATTTAATCATTCCACATTGTATACATTTATCAAAATATTGTATTGTTGCTCCATAAATGTGAGCAACTATAATTTGTCCTTTAAAATATTATCCATTTAAAAAATAGACAAATAAAAAATACAAGACTTGCAACATTTGAAAAAATTTGGATTCAATACGCTTGAGATGGAGCTCAGCAATTCATGTATTCAATAAGTTTCTCAAGTGATTCTTCTCACTGGGCAAATTTGGAAGCACAGGCTTGGAGCAAGTGGCGAGGAGAGAGGCAGAAGACATCAGAATCTGGATAGATATTTTGAAAGTTGAATAGACAAAAATAGATGCTGACATGACAAAGGACAAAACCAAGGCTGATTCCAAAAGCTGGGGCCATTTAGAGCCACAGAACTGGGCAACAAATATGGGTTTTCTTTTGGCAGAAACATTTGGGGAACCCCTAGCAAGGACAACCTACCTAAAAATTTTAAAAGATTTGCTTGAATCCCCACCTCCAATCCACTGAACCCAATAATTTGTATTGACTCTTGACCCACCCTATCCATCACATCCACCCTGCTTAGAAGCATGGGCGAATAGACAAGGCTGAGGAGCTTGTTGGAGGGGGTGGAAACAATGGGTTCAATAACTTACAATAACTTTTATGCATTCTTCAGGCAAAGCAAAAATTATCAAATTAAGTGACGTTTAGTAAAGCATTTTCTCACATTCTTTTAAAACTAATCTCTTTTTCTTATTGTGAATCAACACATTGGAACAATACATTAGAATCAACACACTGGAATTCAATCCATTACTATCAATACACTGGAATAAACCATGTGATGGCTGATTTTTGTCAACTTGACTGGGTTAAGAAATACTCATAGCTAATACAACATTATTTCTGGATGTTTGTGAGATTGGCATTTCAATCAGCAGACTGGGTAAAGAAGATCTGCCCCCTAACGATGCAAATTAGCAGCATCCAATTGTTGAGGACTCAAATAGAACAAAAGACAGAGGAAGGGCAAATTCTCTCTCTCTCTCATCTTCATCTGGGATGTTGTTTTTTCTTGACTTCAGAAATCAGGGCTTCAGGTTCTCAGGTCTCTGGACTCTGGAACTTAATAGCAATGGTCCCACCAGTTCTCAGGGCTTTGACCTCACACTAAAAGTTACATCCTTGGCTCCCCACGTTCTCAGGCCTTCGAAATCAGGCTGGATTACACCACTGGTTCTCCTGGTTCTCCAATTTGCAGACGGTAGAAGGTGGGACTTCTAGGCCTCTGTAGTCACATGAGTTAATTCTCAAAAGAAATCTCCTCATAGATATGCATAGATCCTATTGGTTCTGTTTCTCTGGAGAATCGTGACTAACACAAACAATAGTACAAGTTGCTTCACACTTTAACTTTGGGTAACCTTCTTTACGTAACAAAAGCCTGACTGGACAAACTAACTGAGTAGTTAAACAAATAATTCCTTTTTCGCATAGGAAATAGCTAAAATTCTTCTTCTAACCCAAGAGAAAGAAACCTTAAATTTGATATGATTTAAAAAAGAGATTTATAAAGTGATTCATGTTTTCCTAGTGAAGAAAAGTAAACTTATCCATTATAACTCTGATATATCTTATTTATGGAGAGGCGCTCATTGTTTTGTTCCTCTGTGTCTTTCTGTACAAAGGCCAACGCAGTTTATACCATCAAGAGCTGTCTTTCTGAATGTAAATCACATTTAATGGTATCACTTACACATAGAAAGTTTTCCATTTTCTTTAACTTACAGAAAATAAGATGAAAAGAAAAAGACTCCATTTCCCAGAAGTCATGATCAAATTTCAGATGACTTTTTCTACTCCATAATAAGCAAATATCAAATTTAAGCCAGAGAATCATCTGAAAAGGCTTGGCAACATTATAAGAGATCATAGTTTTGAGGAGCTTGTTGGAGGGGGTGAAAATTCCAAGATTGATAACTTACAATAGCTAGTACGCATTATTCAGACAAAGCAAAAATTGTCTAAGTGGTGTTTTATAGAAAAATTGTTATCAGGTTAGTTTAAAATGTTGAATCTCTTTTTCTAATTGTGAATCAACACATGTTTACATGCAGATATCCAAATTTTACACTTGATCATAGGAGTAGCTAAAGACAGATTACAACATTTTATTCCCAGAAGCCATTTTTCTTCCATTGCATTGGCAATCTCTTCAAGTTTTTGTGGGGCTTTTTAAGCAGATGCTTTAAGTTGCAATTTGAGTTACCGTTCGCATTTCATTCTACCATTGATTGGTAGATTCCAGGCACCCAGAATCTGCTAGAACATTCCCACCTTTCATCACCTTTTGCTAAATATTTGATGGACACGAAAGCATCCCATAATAGTAGAGAAGTAATCAGCTAACAAAAGGAAAAAATTATCCTTCCCAGCATCATTCCCTTTTTAACTCTTCCATGGGCATGTGCTTCTTTTCAAAATTCATGAATAAACAACATGCAGGCCATATCAGCCCTGCCTTCTAGGAGCATTTATCCATTCCTTTCTTCAACAAATATTTAGCACCTTCTCTATGCTAGACAATTTCCTGAACATTGAGGGCCTAGTGACAAGAAATAAATTTGTTACCTTTACAGAGATTATATGCTGGTGAGAAAATGGAAAATTAACAAATAAAAGTAAACAACAATACAATTTCTGATGGTAATGTGACATGACAAAAATAAACCATAATCTTTTTAATTTTAATTTAATTTTGTTGTTGTTGTTGTTGTTGTTGTTGTTGTTGAGACAGAGTCTCGCTGTATTGCCCAGGCTGGAGTGCAATGGCGTGATCTTGGCTCACTGCAACCTCTGCCTCCAGGGTTCAAGTGATTCTCCTGCCTCAGCCTCCCAAGTAGCTGTGACTACAGGCACCTGCCACCACATCTGGCTAATTTTTTTTTGTATTTTTAGTAGAGACGGGGTTTCACTATGTTGGCCAGGTTGGTCTTGAACTCCTGACCTCATGATCTGCTCGCCTCGGCCTCCCAAAGTGCTGGGATTACAGGCGTGAGCCACAGTGCCTGGCCTAATTTAATTTTTTTTTTTTTTTTTTTTTGAGACAGGGTCTTGCTCTGACACACAGGCTGGAATGCAGTGGCTGGTATGATCACAGCATGATCACGGCTCACTTTCCAGGTTTAAGCAATCCTTCCACCTCAGCCTCCCCAGTAGCTGGGACTACAGACACACACCACCACACCTGGCTAACTTTTTTCTTTTCATAGAGACAGTGTCACGCTGTGTTGTCTTGGCTGGTCTCAAACTCCTGGGTTCAAGCTATCTGCCTGCCTCGGCCTCCAAAAGTAAAAGCAGAATTTTAAAACAGAGAAAGGCCATTAGTGAAAAAGTGGTGAAATTTGAATAAAATCTTCGGTTTAGTTAATATTACTGAAACAACATTAATTTTCTGTTTATGATTATTATACTATGGTTAGGCAAGATATTAACGTAAGGGGAAGTGGGATAAGTGGTATAGAACTCTCTTTTTACTATTTTTGCAACTTTTCTCCAAGTCAAAATTAGTTCAAAATAAAATTGAAGCAAAAATAAACAAAGTAGAATAAGAAGAAAAAGAGTAGGCCTGGCGCGGTGGCTTATACCTGTAATCCCAGCACTTCAGGAGGCCGAGGAAGGAGGATCACAAGGTCAGGAGTTCGAGACCAGCCTGGCCAATATGGTGAAAGCCCGTCTCTACTAAAAAAATACAAAAATTAGCTGGGCATGGTGGTGGGCGCCTGTAATCCCAGCTACTCAGGAGGCTGAGGTGGGAGAATTGCTTGAACCTGGGAGGTGGAGGTTGCAATGAGCCAAGATCGCGCCACTGCACTCCAGCCTGGGTGACAGAGCAAGACTCCATCTCAAAAAAAAAAAAAAAAAAAAAAAAGAAAAAAAAACAAAGAAAAGGAAAAAAAAAAGACTACTATTATAATCCTTGAATTATACAAGGAACAAGAGGTTTCCAGAGTTCATATGAGTCATCCGTGGCAGAGTTGGGAGCAGGATGGGGAAGATTTTAAAGAAGGAAACAAATATAAAAGACAAATATAAACAAGCTTCTATTAACTATAGAACTATGGTAGTGCTGGTATTTGAAGTAGGAAGATACGTATGAATAGATACAGATACTGATAAGGAGATAGATGTAGTTGTAGATGCAGACATAACCTGTCCTGTAAAAGGTAAAACTATTGAGCCTGCACAGCATTTTCACTGATATGCAGTCACACGATGGCTATTAATTTGCGGGCAGAGGACAAAACAGGTATAACTAGACTTCTTCTAATGTGAAAAAGCAAAGGAGAAAAGGGTGCACTCTGAAGAATCCATTAAGACATAGAACCAGAGCTGTGTGTATGCTAAAAGAAGTTAGAAGTTCACGGTTAAGGAACAGAAAACCCTAAGTCAGCCTTAGTCAAAGCCAGGCAAATTTTTTTAAAGAAAAAGCTGCAGGGTTTAGAAGCACGGTGTTAGCCATGCAATCAAAAAGATGTGTATGAAGGACATGGGTTTTAGAGTTAGAAGCCTCACTTCAAATAGCAAGTCTGTTACTGTCTTGCCTTGGTTAAGGTTTCTAACTTATCTGAACCATAGATTTTCAACTGTAAAATGATCATAATAATTATAACCATTTCTTAGCATTGTTATGATGAATAATATGAGAAGATTTAGGAAGTGCGCCTACACAGTATCTAGAAGTTTAGTAACTGATAATATCCTTTTGCTTCCCACCTTCTCCTTACCAATCACACGTCTGTATACCTCTCCTATTCCCAGAACTTACACCAAATTTTCAGAGAGCAATGCTTGCCATACAGCAAAAAATGACATGATTACAGAGGCTCTGGGGCAGAAGGCCAAGAGAAAGCAAAGGTGCACACCTCATAGATTCTGACAGAAACATCCTTTTCTTCCAGATAGCTACCAACATTGCCACCGACATTGAATCACATATCACGTGGGGCACTGCAACGTGGTTTTTTACCATGAAATTTATAGTGTTTGTTGGCTTTTTTTTTTTTTGAGGGGGGGAGTTGTTTCTTTTCTACCATCTCAGATTAAGAATGCAAGAAAATAATGGTGATTAGTTTGTACAGGGATTTATTTTATGTTAATTCCTGGTTTTCCAAGTGTTTGATCAAATAAGAAAAAATGTGATAACTCCCCAGAATAAGAAATTATTGTGATATTATACTCCTGTGTACATAAGGATGTTCCATGCTACATATCAGAAAAGATGAATTTAACACTAAAAAGATGAAATGTTATGTGTAAGTCCTCACTTCTAATTAAAAGTACAAATTTCAAATATAAGAGCTGATATGAAATCAAATCTCCTTAGAGAAACTAATTAAGGCAGCACACCACCCCATTTCATTTCTCCAAAAATATGTTTAGTGCCCCCTCAATTACGATTTTCATTCATAAAAATAACAGATGAAGTAGGGAGTTGATACAGTTACCTAATTCATTTGGACTTCAAACTTACAGAACAGACAAGACCATGTAAAATTCCCATGAAATAGGGGCATGTCATCCATAACCCACAGAAGTGATAGCTTTCCATTCCCTACCACATGCATCATTTTTGCTATTCTCTTCCTTCCCGTATAGTCTTCTCCTAATCTCACCTTTCGGGCTAAGGAGTATAAATGGAAATTAGTGTATAATAATGGGAATAATCTCAGGAGTTCTATTTGTGTAAATGAACATGTGTGAGAATGTTTGGTTTTTGGCTATACAAAAGAGAAATGCAGATGGCACAGGAGAAAAAAAAGGACTATTTTTGGAAATGGCATTTTTTAAGTTTGAGGCACACAAAGTGTTCCATGGAATCCTTACAAAAATATGAGAGATTGAGAGATCAAGGTTTGGGAGAAAACCACCTGCCATCACAGACCTTTATTTCTTCTTGACAACTCATCAAAACAGAGGTGCTGAGGGAATGCAGGGGGAGCAGAGTTGGCAGTGTGAGGAAACAGACAAGGCAGAGGAAGAGAAGACATGATTGTGGTTATTTTGTGATCATTGTTGGTGCTGCTGCCCACCATTGAGTCTCACTCCAGTGGCAGGAGCACCCTGTATTTGCTTTAAGGGGAGTACACTCCCTTACTTTCAGCCTTCATGTTTGTGGTGGAGCTAATACCAGTTCTCAGCTCCAAGAGTGGAGAATGACGCCAGGTGAAGGCAATCAGTGCATTTCATCTCCCAGGCCACAAATTCAGATGTAAGCACCTACCCCAGGCTAGACCAACCAGAGCCCCAGGCTCCATTTGGAGATTCTACTTGAGCTTTTGAGGAAGTCAACTCTCCCTTCAAAATTTCCCAAAATATCATGTTGGGTAGTTGCCACCACCAAAGTGTGACAATAAAGACATCCTAGAGAAACTGATGCCGGCCTTTGAGCCTAATTCAAGTGATGCAATAAGGTACAGGCAGACCTCAGAGATATTGTAGGTCTGATTCCAGAATACTGCAACAAAGTGAATATTGCGATAAGGCACGTCACACAAATTTTTGGTTTCCCAGTGCACATAAAAGTTATGTTTACACTATACTGTAGTCTATTAAGTGTGGAATAATATTGTATGTAAAAGCACAGTGTACATATCTTAATAAAAATAATGCTAAAAAATGCTGATCATCATCTGAGCCTTGAGCAAGTCATAATATTTTTGCTGGTGGAGGGTCTTGCCTTGTTGATGGCTACCGATTGATCAGGGTGATGATGGCTGTGGCAATTTTTCTAAATAAAACAACATTGAAGTTTGCTGCATTGATTGACTCTACTTTGCATGAAAGATGTCTCTGTAGCATGCAATGCTATTTAATAGCACTTTACCCACAATAGAATTTCTTTCAAAATTGAAGTCAAACCTCTCAAATCCTGACACTGCTTTATCAACTAAGTTTATGGAATATCCTTTTCCATATTCCATATGCCATTTCAAGTACGTTCACAGCATCAGCAGCAGCAGTTTCCATCTCAGGAAATCACTTTCTTTGCTCATCCATAAAAGCAATTCTCCCACCATTCAAGTTACATCATGAGATTGCAGCATTTCAGTCACATCTTCAGGCTCCACATCTAATTCTAGTTCTCTTGCTATTTCCACCTCATCTGCAGTTACCTTGTACACTGGTCTTGAACCCTTGAAAGTCATCCATGAGGTTTGGAATCAACTTTTTCCAAACTCTGGTCAATATTGATATTTTGACCTCCTCCCACAAATCATAAATGTTCTTTTTTTATATAATTTCAACTTTTATTTTAGATTTAAGGGTAAATGTGCAGGTTTGTTACATGGATATATCACACAATACTGAGATTTAGGGTACTATTGATCTTGTCACTTAGGTACTGAGCAAACAGTCCAAAACAGTTTTCCAACCCTTGCCTCCCTCCCTTCTCCCCGTCTAGGTGTCCCCAGTTGCCATCCTTATGTCCACAAGTGTCCACTGTTTAGCTCCCACTCATAAGTGAGAATATGTGGTATTTGGTTTTCTGTTTTCACATTAATTCGCTTAGGATAATGGCCTTAAGCTGCATCCATGTTGCTGCAAATGACATGATCTCATTGTTTTAATGGCTGTGTATTAATCTACACATTTTCTTTATGTAATCTACTGTTGATGGGCATCTAGGTGGATTCCATATCTTCACTATTGTGAATAGTGCTACAATGAACGTATGAGCATGTATTCTTTTGGTAGAACAATTTATTTTCTTTTGGATCTATGCCCAGTTAAATAGGACTGCTGGGTTAAGTGGTAATTCTATTTTAAGTGATTTCGGAAATTGCCAAATGGCTTTCCACATTAGCTGAACTAATTTACATTCCCACCAACAAGGTATAAGTGTTCGTATTTCTCTGCAGCCTCACCAGCATCTATTGTTTTTTGACTTTTTAATAATGGCCATTCTGACGATTATGAGATGATATCTCATTGTGGTTTTGATTTACATTTCTGTGAGGATTAGTAATGTTGAGCATTTTTTCTTATGTTTATTGGCTGCTTGTAAGTCTTCTCTTTTGAGAAGTGTCCACTCATGTCCTTTGCTTACTTTTTAATGGGGTTGTTTTTTGATTGTTCAATTGTGTAAGTTCCTTACAGATTTTGAATATCAGACCTTTTTTGGATGCATAGTTTGCAAATATTTTCTCCCATTCTGTAGGTTGTTTGCTTACTCTGTTGATAGTTTCTTTTGCTGTGCAGAAATTCCTTAGTTTAATTAGGTCCCATGTGTCAATTTCTTTTTCTTTTTTTTTTTTTGGCAGTTGCTTTTGAGGACTCAGTCATAAATTATTTCCCAAGGCCAAGGTTCAGAATGGTGTTTTCTAGGTTTTCTTCTAAGATTCTTAGAGTTTGAGATCTTACATTTAAATCTTTAATTCATCTTGAGTTAATTTTTGTATGTGGTGAAAGATAGGAGTCCAGTTTCCTTCTTCTGCATATGCCTAGACAGCTATTCTAGCACCATTTATTGAATAGGGAGTCTTTTCACCATTGCTGAGGTTGCCTTTGTTGAAAATTATATGGCTGTTAGTGTGCAGCTTTATTTCTGGGTTCTCTATTCTGTTACATTGGTCTATGTGTTTGTGTTTCTGTACCAGTACCATGTCTATTTTGGTTATTTCTACCCTTCTATTAATAGTTTGAAGTTGGGTAATGTGATGCTTCCGGCTTTGTTCTTTTTGCTTAGGATCCATTGGGCTATTTGAGCTCTTTTTTGGCTACTTATGAATTTTAGAATAGCTTTTTCTAATTCTGTGAAAAAAAAATGACATTAGTAACATGATAGGAATAGGATTGAATTTGTAGATTGCTTTGAGTAGTATCGTCATTTAAATCATATTAATTCTTCCAGTTCTTGGAATACTTTTCCAATTTTGAGTCATCTATGATTTCTTTTACCAATGTTTTGTAGTTCTCCTTGTAGAGATCTTTCCTCTCCTTGGTGAGATGCATTCCTAGCTTTTTGTTTTGGTAGCTTTTGTAAATGGGACTGTGTTCTTGATTTGGCTCTCAGCTTGAATGTTATTGGTGTATAGAAATACTACTGATTTTTTTATACATCAATTTTGTATTCTGAAACTTTACCAAAGTAGTTTATCAGTTGCAGCAGCCTTTTGACAGAGTCTTTAGGGTTTTCTAGGTATAAAATTATATTGTCAGAGAAGAAAAATAGTTTGATTTTTTTCTTTTCCTATTTGGATCCCTTTTATTTCTTTCTCATGCCTCATTGTTGTGGCAAGGATTTCCAGATCTATGTTGAATAGGAATTGTGAGAGTAGTAATCCTTGTCTCTTTCCAGTTCTCAAGCGAAAAGCTTCCAGTTTTGCCCATTCAGTACAATGTTGGCTGTGGATTTGTAATACATGGTTCATATTATTTTGAGATATGTTCCTTTGATGTCTAGTTTCTTGAGGGTTTATATTATTAAAGTATGTAGACTTTCTGTATGGAAAGCTTTTCCTGTATCTATGGAGATCATCATATGGTTTTTGCTTTTAATTCTGTTAATGTGGTGAATCACATTTATTGATTTGTGTATGTTGAGCCAACTTTGTCTTCCAGAAATGAAGCCTACCTGGTCATGGAGAATTAACATTTTCATGTGCTGCTGGATTTAGTGTGCTAGTATTTTATTGAGAATTTTTGTGTCTATGTTCATCAGGAATATTGGCCTGTGGTTTTCTTTTTTCATTGTGTCATTGCCAGGTTTTGGTATAAGGGTGATGCTGGCCTCATATAATGAATTAGGAAGGAGTCGCTACTCTTTGATATTTTTTGCAGTAGTTTTAGTAGTATTGGTACCAGCTCTTCTTTGCACATCTGATAGAGTTGTTGTTGTTGTTGTTGTTGTTAGTAGTAGTAGCTTTTTTTTTATTACTGGTTCAATTTCAGAAATTAATATTGGTCAGTTCAGGGCTTCCATTTCTTCTTGATTCAATCTTGGGATCTTGTGTGTTTCCAGGAATTTATCCACTTCCTCCAGACTTTCTAGTTTGTGTGCACAGAGGTGTTCATAACAGTCTCTAAGGATTTTTTTGCATTTCTGAAGGACTGGTTGCAATGTCACTTTTGTCATTTCTAATTGTGGTTATTTGGATCTTCTCTCATTTTTTCTTTGTTAATCTAGGTAGCAGTTGATTGATCTTGTTTATCCTTTCAAATAACCAATTTGGGGTTTTGTTGATTCTTTATATAAATTTTTGAGTCTTAATTTCATCCGTTCTACTCTGATTTTAGGTATTTCTTTTCTTCTGCTAGCTTTGTGGTTAGTTTTCTCTTCTTTTCCTATTTCCTCTAGGTGTGACTTCAGATTGTTAATTTGTGATATTTCTAACTTTTTGAGGTAGCCATTTAATGCTATAAACTTTCCTTTTAACACTGCATCCCAGATATTTTGGTATGTTATGTCTCTGTTTTAATTTACTTCAAAGAATTTTTTAATTTCTCCATTGAAAATGAAGGAAGAAATAAACATCTTAAGAAGAAATCAATCAGAGCCTCTGGAATTGAGAAACTCACTTAAGAAATTTCAAAACATAATTGAAAGCTTTATCAATGAACTAGACCAAGTAGAAGAAATTGTTTTACAGCTTGAAGACCCATCTTTCAAACTAAGCCAGTCAGGCAAAAATAAAGAAAAAAGAATTCAAAAAAATGAATAAAGTCTTTCAGAAATATAGGATCATGTAAATCAAAACCTACAAATTATTGGCATTCCTGAGAGAGGTGGAAAAAAGAAAACAACCTGGAAAATATATTTGAGGGAACAATTTTAAGAAAATTTCTCCAATTTTGCTAGAGGGGCAGACATCCAGGTACAATAAATCCAGAGAACACCTGTGAGATACTATACAAAATAACCATCACCAAGGCATATAGTCACCAGACTGTTCAAAGACAATGCTAAAGAAAAAAAACTTACAGGCAGTTAGAGAACAAGGTCAGATCATATACAGCAGGAACTCTATCAGGCTAACAGGGGACTTTCAGCAGAAATCTTTCAAGCCAGGACAGATTGAGAGCATATTTAAAGCATTCTTAAAGAAAAGAAATTCCAACCAAGACTTTCATATCCCACCAAACTAAGCTTCATAAATGAAGGAGAAATAAATTCTTCCTCAGACAAGCAATCCCTAAGGGAATTCATTACTACTAGACAAGCCTTTCAAGAGGTCCTTAAGGGAGTTCTAAATATGGAAACAAAAGAATAATACCCACTATCAAAAAAACACACTTAAATACATAGTCCACAGACCCTATAAAGCAATCACACAATGGAAACTACAAAGCAACTAGCTAACAACTTTGTGATAAGTTGTTGTTATCACACCTCAATATTAACCTTGAATGTAAGTGGTCTAAACACAGCACTTAAAAGGCACATAGTGTCAAGTTGAATAAAAAATAGGAACCATTCATCTACTGCCTTCAAGAGATCCATCTCACATGTAATAACACCCATAGGCTCAAAGTAAAGGGTTTAAGAAATATCTATCACATAAATGGAACACACAAAAAAGCAGTGCTCACTATTCTTATATTAGATAAAACAGACTTTAAACCAACAACAGCAAAAAAGGACAAAGAAGGGCATTACATAGTAATAAAAGGTTCAATTCAACAAGAAGGCTTAACTATTCTAAATATATACACCCCCAACATTTGAGCACCCAGATTCATAAAACAAGTACTTCCAGTCCTATGAAAGGACCTAAACAGCCATACAATAATAGTGGGGGATTCCACCACCCCACTGATAGCATTAGACAGTTCATCAAGGCTGAACACCAACGAAGAAATTCTGGACTTAAATTCGACACTTGATCAATTGGACCCAATAGACATCTACAGGGTAACTCCAACCCGTCAGACACAGAATGAACATTCTTCTCATATGCATATGAAACATACTCTAAGAACAACAACATGTTCAGTCATAAAGCAACTCTCAATAAATTCAAAAAAACAAAACCATACTAAGCATACTCTCAGACCACAGTACAATAAAAATAGAAATCAATACCAAGAAAATCTCTCAGAACCACACAGTTACGTAGATATTCAGTCTTGCTCCTGAATGACTTTTTGGTAAAAAAAAAAATGAATGTTTTTAATGAAATCTAAAATGGTGAAGTCTTTCCAGAAGGTTTTCAATTTACTTTTTCCAGAACCAACAGAAGAATCAATATCTATGGTAGCTATAGCCTTACAAAATGTATTTCTTAAGAAACAAATTTTGAAAGTCAAAATTACTCCTTGATCCATGGACTACAGAATGGATGTTGTGTTAGCAGGCATGAAAACATTAATCTCCTTGGAAATTTTCAGCACAGTTCTTGGGTGACTAAGTGCATTGTCAATGAACAATAAATTTTGAAAGACTTTTTTTTTTTCTCAACAGTGGGCTTCAAATATTCAGTAAATCATGCTGTAAATAGACATGCTGCCATTCAGACTTTGTTGTTTCATTTACAAAGCACAGGAAGGGTAGATTTAGAATCATTCTTAAGGGCTATAGAATTTCTGAAATGGTAAATGAACATTGACTTTGACTTAAAGTCACCAGCTGCATTAGCTTCTAACAAGAGAGTCAGCCTGTCCTCTCAATCTATGAAGCCAGGCATTGACCACTCCTCTCGAGCTATGAAAGTCCTAGATGACATCTTCTTCCAATAGAAGGCTGTTTTGTCTACACTGAAAATCTGTTGTTTAGTGTAGCCACCTTCATCAATGGTCTTAGCTAGATCTTCCAGACAACTTGCTGGAGTTTCTATATCAGCACTTGCTGCTTCACTTTGCACTTTTATCTTATGAAGATGATTCTTTGATTAAACTTCATGAACCAATATCAGCTGGCTTCCAACTTTTCTTCAGCTTCCTCACCTCTCTCAATTTTCGTACAATTAAAGAGAGTTAGGGCCTTGCTATGGATTAGGCTTCAGCTGAAGAGAATGTCATGGCTGGTTCATCTCTTATCTAGACCACCCAAACTTTCTCTTTATCGGCAATGAGGCAATTTTGCTTTCTTATCATTTGTGTGTTTGCAGAGTAGTGTTTTTAATTTTAAGAACTTTCCCTTTGCATTCACAGCTTAGCTAACTGTTTAACACAAGAAGCCTAGCTTTTGGCCTTGCCTGGCTTTTGACATGCCTTCCCCATTAAGTGTAATCATTTTAGCTTTCAACTTGAAGTGACAGGTGTGCAATTCTTCCTTTCACTTCAGCATTTAGAGGCCATTTGTAGGGTTATTAATTGGCCTAATTTCAATATTGTTGTGTCTCAGGGAATTGGGAGGCCTGAGGAGAGGGAGACCAATGGGGGAACAGCCAGTCATTAGAGCAGTCAGAACACATATAACATTTATTGATTAGGTTTGGTGTCTTAGAGGGGCACAGTTTGTGGTTCCCCAAAAGAATTACAATAATAACATCAAATATTATTGATGACAGATCACCATAATAAATATAATAATAAGTTTGGAATATTGTAAGGATTACCAAGATGTGACAGACGGACATGAAGTGAGCATATGTTGTTGCAAGAATAGCACTGACAGACTTGCCCGATGCAGGGTTGCCACAAACCTTCAATTTGTAAAATCACATATTATCTGTGAAGTGCCTTAGAGAAAAGTGCAATAAAATGAGGCATGACTGTAGTCATAGTCGTAGACTGTAGTAGTTCGAATCGTTTCTTTTGGTTAAAGCTAATTTGAGTTGGGTTTTCTAACACTTGTTAGAGAAACAAACCATATTCTCAGAACTCCCCAAGTGGTACCCACTTCAATTATTCAGTATCATCAGTCTCAGGAATGATCATATACCTCTGTGGTCATAGTGAGTGCAAGCACCTTCTACAGACTCCTGTATTGGGATGAGGGGGAGGTGCTATTAAGGACTCTAGAAATCTAAAAAGTAGGATGTCTTGGGAAATTTGAAGTCCTTAAATGGAAATATAAAACATCAAAGACCAATTCTGCCTGACTCAGATGTTTCCCTGGAGCCAACTCAGTGTCACAACTTAATTCAAATTGCCAAGAGAAATAGCTGTCAAAGACACGTAGATTCTTAATAGCAAACTGGGACTATGTGACATTATAAGATCTGTCTATGTCTGTTCAATGGGTTTAAAGCCCAAATGAATCAGATAATTAGATCAACTCTCTGCTCTAGCTGAAAACCCTGAACTAAAAAAAAATTAAAGCTCTCATATATAGTAGAAATGAATTTCCTAACCTTTAAAATGCCCTAGCATAAACAACATAATTGCTGAAGGTGATGGTTGAAAACAAAGGTATAATTGAAGAAGTTTAGTGATTAGTATCACTGAAAAATTGGGAGCATTTCTTTCTGTTTGTTGATGTAAAACTGAGTTAGGCAAATTGAAACAGCATTTTGCAATAAAAGTAGAAAATTTAAAATTGATGTTAAAATACTGATCCTTTGATGATTGTCTTTGAAATAATAGCACACATGGAACAACAGAAAATTAAAACATCAAATATTAAAAAAAAAAAAAAAGTGGCCAGGCACAGTGGCTCACGCCTGCAATCCTAGCACTTTGGCAGGCCAGTATGGGCAGATCACTTGAGCTCAGGAGTTCCAGATGAGCCTGAACAACATGGCAAAACCCTGTCTGTAATAAAAGTACAAAAATTAGCTGGGCATGGTGGTGCATGCCTATAGTCTTACCTATTTGAGGGGCTGAGGCAGGGGGATTCCTTGAACTTAGGAGGTCAAGGCTGCAGTGAGCTGAGGTGGTGCCACTGCACTTCAGCCTGAACAACAGAGTGAGACCTTGTCTCAAAAAAAAAAGAGAGCCCTGAGGGTGAGGACAAGGGTTCTGTTACAGAAATCTAGTTCATAAAACAAAAAGGCAATTTGGTAGATTGTCTCCTAAATGGTCACCATCAATTAATTCCTTTCCTCCCTGTACATATGTGCCACATCCCGTCAAGCTCATTCCTTCCATCTCCTTGAATCTGGTCTGGCCTTAGTGACTTGTTTGACCAATAGAATATGGTAGAAGTGACATCCCAGGACTTCCAAGACCAGGTCACAAGAAGTCTTGCAGTTTCACCTGGGCCTTTTCATGCTCCCTCTATGGGAAAGCTTCTTCTGGGAGAAGCCAGCTGCCATGCAAGAAATCTGACTTCCCTGAAACCACCATGCTGTGAGGAAGCTAGTCATGTGAAAAAGTCACATGCAAAGAGAGAGAGACAGAGGAGGAGAGGGAAGGGGATTGTGGAGGGGCAGGAGGGGAGCAGGGAGGGGAGAAGGGAGAGGAAGAGAGAGGGGAGGGGAGGGGAGGAAAGGGGAGAGGGGAGATGAGAGGGGGAGGAAAGGCGTAAGGATGGGGAGGGGAGTGGAGGGGAGAGAGTAGAAGGGAGGGGAGGGGAGAAGGTAGAAGGGAGGGGAGGATAGAGGGGAAAGGGAAGGGAAGAAGGGGAGGGGAGAGGAGTGGGGAGGGGAGGGGAGAGAGGAGAGGGGAGGGAAGAGAAGAGGGGGAGGGGAGAGAGGAGAGGGGAGTGAAGAAGGGGATGGAAGAGAAGAGGGGGAGGGAAGAGGGGGAAGGGAGAGAGGAAGGGAGGGGAGGGGAGGAAAGAAGGGGGAAGTAAGAGGAGAGGGGAGGGAAGAAGGGGGAAGGAAGAGGAAAGGGGGAGGGGAAGGGAATGGAGGGGAGGAGAGCAGAAAGGAACGGGGAGGGGAGGAGGAGGAGGAGGAGAGGGGGAAGGGGAGGGAAGAAGAGAGGGAGGGGAGGGAAGAAGGGGGAGGGGAGCACAGAGGAAGGAGGGGAAGGGAGGGAAGGGGGAGGGAAGGGAAGGAAGAGGGAGGGCAGGGGAGGGGAGCGACTGGGGGAGGGGAGGGGGAAGGGAGTAGAGAAGAGGAGAGGAGAGAAGAATGCCTGGCCAGCTTTACCTTTTCCAGCCATTGCAATTCAAGTTCCAGACACATGAGTTAAAAAGCTATTGTGGACATTTCAGCACAGCAGATGTGTTATAGAGAAGAAGTAAGGAAGGCAACCACCATCCCATACCAATATCCTAGTCTAGCCATCCCAGCCAACTCCAGCCATTAAAGCCATAGCCATATGCCACCTGAGGTCCCAATCAGTATCGAGCACAGATCAGCAATCCCAGATGTATCCTGCAATTCCTGACACACAAAGTGATGAATATGATAAAAATGATCGTTGTTTTGTACCACAGTGTTAGAGTCATTTGTTACACAGTAATAGGTAACCAGAGCAACAACTGTCAGCTGAAGTCAATATTGTTCATCTGAAATTAGCACTTTCAAAATTGATGGCTCATGAAGGTCTAAAATATGCATCAAGAAGCAGGAGAGTCATATGTTTAACAGAAGCAAAGTCAAAAATGAGGTACCAAGTTTTTTAAATGGTCATATTGCACTTTGTTAAAGCCAAGAGCAAATAACAGAGATCTTATAGAATATTTTAAGGAATAAACAAATAGAAAGCAATACTTACAAACCTGAGTTCTGAGACTGCGTCTTAAAATATTAAAGATTATGAAGATCATGCAATCAGCAATTGATGACTTAAGGAACAAAAGCTTCTCACCATCTGTTTCAGTTAATTTGGCCAAGTTAACACATCTGAGATTAAGTAGTTTTGCCAACACACACTTTGTTTCAGATTTTCTAAACTTACACTACCTCTGACCTTTATGATTAAAATCTAATTAAAAATGTAGTTATTTTTAAAAGATAAAGATGGTGTAATTGTCTCATCTATTAAAGTTATGACTAATTGTTAACCTTCTTAAATTGCTGATTCACTGCCATGCCTTTCATTTCAACCTTTTCAAAGCAAAGTCCAAAAAATTCAGATTGCAAAACAAACTCTGCTGAAAAAGAAATGCAATTCACTTTCATTGCATGATCAAAGCAATTTGAAAGACTTTTACAGATTTACGGGTCTAACCTTCAGAACCATGAATTAACTGAATCTTTGATTCACTTACCCAACTTTTCAATTTAAACTTATTAACCAAAAATATGTATTTTACAACTGCTGTATGCCTATCCCTATCCTAAGTGCCATGAAGAATTATAAAAGAATTAGAAAGCATTGCCTCTTGCTATCTTATTGGGAAAATAAAACTGTGAACACAAATCAATCTAATAATAACATGAGACAGGTCTGCTTTCTTCCAGGGACATAACTTACCTACAGATGGAAGAGGAAAATCATATATGCAGATGGCAATCTTGTAACCCACTGAATACCACAAAGTTTTTCCCAGTGTTTTCTCTGGATACTAGTTGGCCTTCTCTGCTAGGCACAGAAGGATCCTTATTTTTAAGTAAGTCCCTCTCTGCTGTTACCCTGGATCATAAAGTTGCCCAGTGAGAAACAGCTGTCACCGAAATTCCAACATTTCAGGCTTCGTTCTTGAGACTTGATTTGGGGCCCATGTGAGGACCCACCATGTTCTCTGTCCATGGTCCTCAGTATAAATGCCATGTCTGTTCTGAACCAGGCCTCTTGTCAATCTTGGCTTTAAACTTTTCAAGAAGATGACTCAGTGTCTCTTTGATGTATTTCCCAGGGAGTCTCTAAAGTTAATTCTTTGTACGCCACATAACTGTATGTGAAATTAGGTCACAGAAAAATGCTGTGCAAATTTGATGAAAACACTTCACAGCCATACTCACATAAAGCACTAACAAATACAATTTTCTTAGTTTTACTTGTTAAAATACATAAAGCATTTTAGGAAGGACTAGGTGTATTTGAATTGCATTTGGCTTCTAAAAAGAGTTAGGAAAGATTGTGTATTTGCTCCTCAAATAAGGTTTTTCTTTGTTAAGTGTAAGTGCTTTCAGAAAAAAAAAAATCCTAAGCAGAAGGTGAAAATAAAACAGATTAATTAGTATTGTTCTGATGCCCTTTAAAATACCATCTACCTTGTCTCCAACCACTTGGCTCAAAGGCTTCACACAGAGCCCCCACTGTACAGTACTCCCCAGAAATGCTGAAACGCCACTGAACCCCCCAACTACATATTCTCTCCTAATTTCTAGCTCATTCCTCTCTCACACATGTGTCATTGAATTAATGTTTTTTTCTTTAGAACCACCATAACCTCAGATTCATCTCTCCAGAGATCAAAGATAGGCAAATTAAGAATGTCAAAAGACTTTGCTGAATGCAGCTCCTTATAAAGTATGTCAGGATTAAATGTTCTAAAGCCAAGATTATCTAGCCCCACCTCCACCCTCCAAAAAAGGAAAAAAGACAAGAAAAAAAGGCACCAATCCTTTAACAGCATCTGTGTATTTACGGAGAACTTACTTTGCTTTCTCATCCATCCGATTCAAAATTGTCCATGTGGATTTTAGTTTTGTGGAAGAAAGCTCATTTTTTTTGAGACAGTACCCCTAAATGTACACATTTAAGCCCCTGACACAGACAATTTGTATCATTAAAATACTTCATCTGAAGCACAGGGCTTTGATTCTTTGATTTGATTTGACCTGTATTTACCTCTTGCTTTCCCTGTCTCCTTTTCTTCCATTTAGCTACAATTAACTATAACATGTCTAAGTCTTCTTCATTCCTGGGCTAGCACGTCCAAGTATGACCATCCATCATTCCATTCCTGTAAGTTTTCCTGTCTCTTGGTATCCACTTGGGTAAAACTTGAATTAAGAAAAGTGATTTTTGTTTTACATCATTGGGCATCTTCTATTGCTTCTTTAAAAAATGATTCTTAGAAGTCTTGTGTACCTCACCCCAGTTATGCTGTTATATCTGAGATATTTTTCCTCTCCAAAACTAAACTGAGTCTTTTAAAAAGGAATAGAGACCTTTGTAGAAAAAAAAAAAATCTATGGTCCCAAGAATGGGTAAACATTCCAGAGAGGTTCTTGTTTTTCCCCCTACAGGTCTGCCCATCCCTACAAATTGCATTCTTGTAAGAATACTCTCAAAGTGAGTCACAACAACAAAGTAAACAGAGGGTTTCTCAACGTGACAGAGGAAGAATTTTTTTGTTTGAATTTGCATGTTGTTTATATTTTCAAGCAGGAACTGGAAGAAAGAGGTTTCACTCTCATTGAGGATATCCAGTCATGAGTTCTTTTTAAGCTTTGCTGTTGGCTCAATTCCCTTCAGCAGTGCATATTTGGACTGGGGGACTATGACTCAATTTCCCTTCCTTTCACCTCACTTACTCTTTCATCCATCTTTCCCAACACGCCATGAGGAGATTCTTTGCCAATGTTCATTCCAAACTTCTGTTGTAGCCACATCTCTCCACCAATCTATTCCTACCTTCAAAAGTCCAAGTTTCCACCCTTTCAAAGTTCCTCATAGCCCTTCCTCATTCTCTGCTCATACGCATCCTCTGTTGCTCCCCTCGCACACTGCTACCCCAGCTAACCTCCTCTGTGTGTCTTTCTTCTTGCCTAAAACAATATTTTTCTAAAATTCCTAATTCCTTTCCCCTTTATTATTTGGTCTCCAGGTCCATAAATAACTATTCTGAATTTCACCTCTAAGAATAATTCTTAGAGCAACACCTTTGCCCTCAATTATTATATTTTTCATATTTTTGCCAAGTACATAAAATACTGCCTTTTATGGCTAGGCTTCCCATATTTCTTAAATCAATATATAAATAAATCATGTTTGTCCTTGTTGTTGCCAATTTTATCAACAATTCTCTCTCCTTGGGTCAAGAATAATGAGAATTCTGATTGTATATCCTACTGCCAAGATCGACGTGTAAGGAACACATTTGGTATGTTATAGTGAAGCATGGCTATGTAGTAGCCCAGAAGACGAGAAAAAAGGAGTTCTGTACCTGGTCAGATTTGAGAGAAAAGGGAAAGGAAGGGAGGTGTTAGATAGAGAAGCAGGAGGACAGGATGAGAGCAACATGGTGGGAAAATGACTCAATCTAAAATAATTGTAATTCCCAGTCTCATTTTAGTCAAGTGATCTGTGCCAGAGTTGCAAGATGTAGTAGAAGGACATCAACATGTAAGGAATCCTGGTGAGGCATCAGGCATAGGAGCCCAATTCAAAGTATAGAAGAACTGCAGCAGAGAGAAGTATAACATGGGGGAAATTCTGGGTCATTCAAAATAGAAAACTTTAGGAAGCCTCACAGGTTATGTTGGGGTGGATGGGATTGGGACTGGCATTTATTTAAATACTTCTTAGGTCAATATCAATATTAGGGATGTACAGTGAGACTGGTCCTATATATGAGAAAATTAGTAAGCCCAGCTTTGGAACTAGGAAGCATAGAGAAAAAAAGAGAGTGAGACTGACAGTAACTTTGATTACTCAGACATTTCATGTGCAATGTGTGAAAGAGAAGAAAATCTTCTGTGTCATTCAAGCCCTAGCTGCCATGCGTTTGTGGTTTAGTTTTGGGGAGATTACCACTAGGGCCTCAGTTTTCTCATTGGTCAAATCTGGTTGTTGAGTCAGGTATTCTCCAAGGGTTTTCTAATTTCTAGAGCCCTCTAAGTCTGTGAAGAGTCTCTCTAGCCCTGTTTACACCTCAATCCAATTCACCATCTCAGCCAAACTAAATTAGTGCTTAGAAAGGCTTTGCTCTTTCTTTGACTATTCTTTGGTATACATGGTCCTGCCTAGTGTTGTGTTGGTAAACACTTAACATTACCTGATTTAAAATGTTTCCCAACTTTTATGGTGTGAAGATTCCCATCATAGCCAATGTCAAGCTACCAACGTGAGGTCAACTGACTGCATGGCAGTGCCCCACCATATAGCATTTCTGCCACATGAATACATTAGGCATCAGTAACCTCAGTGACTAGTTTTGAGTATTCTTTACCTTTGTCTTTAATATCATCTATTTATATAATTTAACTTTTAATAAGGGCTCACAGTTCTCCCTCCTCCCCCCACACTGCTGAGTTCAGGTGGGTAACTTACTACAAGTCTGGCTCTCTATATAAGAAAATGAACAAATCAAGCTTTGGATCCAGGAAACACAGAGTGAGGACAAATGAGAGCAAGACTAATAGTAGCTTTGGTTAACGGGTGGTTGTATTCCTCTGGTTCCATTTCTTACTCTGTAAAATGGAGAGAGTAAGATTTGCCCTTTTGCCTAGCTGGATTTTTTTAAAGTTCAAGTGAGAAGAATGTGAAAAGACATTGAAAGCCAAAAGATAAATTATTATTGTTGCTATTATTTTCTCTGTTTGGAATTGAAAGTTTCCATTAGAAGTCTAAGTCTGACACAAAATGGTAATATAAAATCAGGAATATTAGAAAACCCCCGTGTAGTAGAAAGCAGTTAATCAACTCAGAGAGGCTGAAGACCTAGTTTCATCCACTTGGTTTTAAAGCTCTATGATGCTCAATGGTTTGACAGAAGTTTAATTTGAGCTCAGAACCACTGCTATAAAAAATACCACACTGGATGCACCTGTGTTCATTGTATTAAAATAAAGACCAAAAAAAAAAAAAGAGGGCTTTTTGGCATTTCTGTATTTCTGGCCATTTTCTAATGATTTATGCAGCTGCTCACTGAATAGGAAAACTTATTTAAGGAAGTAACGGTTAAGAATTAAGGGAAAAAAGAGAAATCTGGAGGTAGTGATAGAAGCATTATTTTCAAGATCTTGGTAACTTTGTCAATGTTTTTGTTGTTGTTGGACCATTATGGTACCAGCTTACTGAAAATTAAATAAGTAAATGATGTGTGATGCTACCTGGATGAAAGCCAGGCTCATATGGATGAATGAAATATTCAAAATGATATCCTGACTTTTATTAAAGTAAAATATGTTGTGGAAAACAATTCTAAGACCATGAAAACCATTATCTCATGTTCAGTCACTTTGCATGATTGAAACTGATGGTGAAATTTCACTTGGAAAAAGTTACGATCATTCGCTGTGTTTCTGTTACTACCCACATATAGGTGGTAGGTTACCAAAAAAATGTAGTACAGTTTGAACAAGAGGTAACAGTTTATAGAGCTCCTCCCAATCCACATTTGCAATAAGCAGGGTAGCTTTGATCAAATGAGCAACTTCTCACAACTAAGTCAAATACGTAAGATGTATATTTGATAAGAAACCATGAAAGTGGGAAGAAATGATAACTATGTAACATTCTAAAAAGGCTTCATGTACTAACAGAGCTCCATGGGAAACAGTCTCTGACTCTATTGAAAAACATTATTTATTTGAACTAAAAGATTAAAACCTTTTTCTTGGAACTTAGAATAAAGTATGCTTGTTTATTTTAATAAAGGTCCTAAGGTTTCTGTGGGCATGGCATTTTTGATTGATATTTTTGTTGCACTGTATCTAAGGAAAGGCAGTACAACACGTGGCTATGTAGGCTTCCAAATGCATGCTTAACCCCTGGAGAAGGATCAGACAGAGGTGGTGTATGTACAGCCCAGGTGCTTACTTCTCTTAAGCAAAATGAAATTTAATAATAGGAAGAATTCTGATGAAAATTTAAAAGTTGTGTTTAGAACGTAAAATAGGAGTTGATATTGATAGTGTGACTTTTTGAGAAATGGACAAAGGAAAATATGTGTAAGACTGAATTAAGGCAGATTAATGGGGAGGCAGGTATATGATACACAGAAATGGGTTTTGGAGTTAGTCAAACTTGGATTCAAGTTACTAGCACTGTCAATTACAAATTAGATGACCTTGGGTTAGTTAGTTGACTAAACTGTCTTGTTTTTAGCTTCCTCATCTACCAAATGGGAATTTAATGTCCAACAGAACAGGACAATTATGAGGAATCAATGCAGTGATAATTGTGAATTACCCAAAACTTGGTCACTATGAGGATAAAAAGAAATTGTATAACAATCTCCCACTTGCAATTTCTGTAGAGTCCATGGGTATGAGGCACCCACCCTAGAATGAAATCGAAAAATACTTGAGCTAGGTCACATACAGTACTGTGTCTTTCTATAAAGAATGGGATAGTTGAAAGTGATTAAACGCAACAGTCTGGAACTAAAAAATGGAAAGATTGGGCAAGATATTAAAAACAAACCAACCACAATAACCTCCCAAGTCGTAACAAGAATTGGGCAATAGAAGGGTAGCCTGAGTCACCATGAGGAAGATGCAACGATAGGTTAGAAAGTAGATGAAACCACTCTGGAATGACTACAGATGAAGACTGCTTGAGGTCGATGATATGAAATGGATTTTCCAATCCCAATCTAGTTTATTTTTATCTTCCTCATGAAAAGTAAAATAATTCACATGACATTTTGATTGAGACCTTATGAGTACCATTTCCATTGTGCAAGACAGGAACGTTTAGGGCAGAAAGCTTTTGCCAAATAGTAACAGAAGATGGCCAGTATGAGTGAGAGTCAAGACGAGAGTTGAGCAAGAATTTAGTGAATTTGAGAGAAAAGGCCACCAGGGTAATCCAAATCAAAATGTGTCACTGTCATCATTAAAGTCTCCTTTCATTTGTGTCACTCATAGACTTAATGAGGGAGGAAATAATAAAAGCCTAGAAGTCAGGACCTTTATCAATGCCCTCTGGTCTGTATTGTGGGGTTACCCTTCAGGGAGTGTCTGCATATTATATACTAAAACAAAGCCCTAGGCAGCTCTCAGATGCCCCCAAAGCCTCTGTTTCTATAGCAATTCCTGAAATCTATGGGAAATTGCAAAATTAATAAATTTGGCTTACAAGTCACTAGCTGTGTGTCCTTCAGGATTACTACTTGGTACCTGTGACAATCTAGATGAGATTTTAAATTCTCTAAAAAAAGTCCAAAGACCAACGTAGACCCAGTTTTAGACAATCTGTTCCTAATTTTTCTTTGCCCGTGGAGGACTGTTAAGAGTTTTATAAAAGGATTGCCATTTCAGTAATGGCAAGCTCAGACAGTTTACGTCTCCAATGTATGGTTGAGAGTGAGAATAATTAGAGTTATGAAAAATCAGTCTCTTCCATCAATTTCCAGGTACAAGCTGTACCATTGTTGGGCAATTTCATAATCTCATTTGCACATCTGTGTTTGTTTAATGTTTGAGTGTGCTTGGATATGCTGGCCATCTATAAATCCCCATCCATTAGGTAGCCTGGACTTTCATTAGGAGATCCAAAGACCTAATGAAAAGAATATTTTGGTACCAATTCTTTGTTTACAGAGAGCATCTTTTTCTTTCCCCCAAAGAGCTCAAAGTACTTTTCATTAAAACATTACTGCATGTCTATGAAATAGGTAGTAGGTTGGAAGCAGAAGCTCTATATTTTATAGATGAGCAACTAAGCCTCCAGCCAGCATGACAGAATCCTTAGAAGACAGAACCCAAACTTCCAAGCCAGCTAAGCTCAGTTGTTTTCCACACAGTCACTTAGTAATACACAAGCCAAACAAAATTTAAGTTTAGACTAACTGCAGAAAAATGAAGACTTAACCTGAAAAAAAGTGTATTTCCAAAGCATTTCCATGATGTTTCCTTTTCAGATGTGTATTTTTAATGCTATTCTATTAATAATAACTATCATGGAGTTCTCATTTACCTTTCAGAAGTAGGGAAATACCTCTATATACGGTAGGGAGATAAGACCTGAAAAATCAATCATAAAAATGTGAGAACAAAAACACAATTCTAAATACTCATTTTCAGGGAAAATTGTTATTAAGACATGTTTTATAAAACACATCTGATAATGTTCACCATATGTATGCAAATGTGTGTGTGTGTGTATAATTGTAAATGTAAGAAGAAATGGCTTAAGATAAAGTAGGGAAAACTTCTGTTTGATACAAGAAAAATATTTCAAATAACAGAATGACAACCACTAGAACAAGTTACCGAGAAAGATTGTAGGCAAATCCGCCCTTAGTATTTTCAGGGCTCGAGCAATAGTAAAAATGATGCTTGATTTAAATATTCTATTCCCCAACTTTGACAAATAGACCTTTGTAATCACAAAATAAGAAACGCATTAAGTTATGGTTTGTCATAAGACTAAGAATTGACCAAATATCTAAGAAGATTGAGCATGGACTAATGGAGTAAAACATAAAATGTAATTGTATTCAAAGTATTCAAGTTTGAGTGTATTTTCATCTAAAACTAAAATTATATGTAAGATATAAAAAATAAATTGAATATATTTTTTAAAAGTCATTTTTCTTTAAGAATTCAAAATTATAGAGTAAGCTATACAAATAAAATTACAAATTAAAAATATTTTTGTAAAAATGAAATTATTTGCAATTCTAGTATTTGGGACCTATCTAGTCAGCATTATAAACACCAGTATCACACATCATGCATGCTATTTACATATATGCAAATTTAAGAATAATATGGATTGTTTAATATAATAAGATAATTTTTGAGCTAATCCTTGCAAATCTTGCACTAATTTAAGAGTTTCTCTGGAATCGCAAATTAAAACATTAAGAGAAGCAAGAAAATGAATAGTTGGCACTGTTGAGAAATGATATTTTATCATGTTATAATCTAGTATTCCTATTACATAATGCATCATATTATTGGACAAATTAGTTGATTTGTCTTTCCTCTAAATCAAGCCCTTCTACTGCTCAAATTCTCCCTGCACTCTGAAGCAGTGTCCATCTCTGATGTCAACAGGGTTGCAATCCACAAACCTGCATGGCCTTTGGACACAACTTCTTTTGTTTTGTGGACACACAGCAAGGAATATAGAGGAGCTTTTCTCTGGGATTTGGACAGTGTTGGTTAAAAGAGTAGATGTTTAGGATTATTGGTCACACTATGCCAGCACCAAGTGCTGGACCCAAATGACAAAGAATCCTGTGTGTTCTTTAATAAATTTTGTGTGTGTGTGTGTGTGTGTGTGTGTGTGTGTGTGTGTGTGTGTGTTATGTAGGACCCTCTAAAGTTCAAAGCTCAGAAGAAACCTTTTGCCTGGGTCTCAGGATGTTATTGGTTATAGAGTCTTAGCACCATCAAAACTTTCAAGAAGCTTTTTATAGAGCCATAAGTTATTCAAGAACTTTTGTAGGGCTAGGGGAGAGGAGAACCTCCATATTAATGCTGATTTGTTTTTCTCCTTATAACTGGATATGTGGGCAATGCACCTCAGATCTATAAACCAGGTTGCAGGACTAAAACATTTGCATGCAATCTATATAAGGATCTTTGTAAGATTTGTAAAATGGGTATGGTGAGGTGTCCTGGTTTAATGGTAGCAAAGGAGAGATCCTGTTTTATTTTAATCAATTAAGACCATACTCCATGATAACAGTGTATACCTAAATTCAAATCTCTCTGTACATCCACAAAACACCAGGTAGGTCAGCAAGCAGAGTAACTAAAATCTACCATAGTTCATGCCTCTAGCATAACGATAAAACAGAAATGCTACTGACTCTGATGTTCATATAAGTAGATAAATATCCATTGAGACCAGTGGTGAAAGATCTGGAGTCATGCCCGAGCAAAGAATCAGGTGAGGGCTATGTAATAAAGAAGAAAGTGTAATAGGGTTCAAGTGGCGAAAGAAACCAGACAATGTCACTCACAGAAAGAGAGGAACCAGTCCTGAGTGGGAAAACAGAGAACAGTTCTGACACCCGAGGAATCAGAATTCTGGCACTGCAGCTTCTAAAGGAAGAATACTTGAGAATGTGTAAGATCAGAAGTGGCCCTGTGAGAAGGCAGCACTCCTTGGGGAGAAGGAGGTGACATATAATGGAAAAGCTTAGTATCTCTATTGGATCAGGAGAAGGGAGGGAGTGCTGGACAATTGGGATTCTGGGCTAATGAAAAGCATTCAAATGGAATAACATGCTAGTTCAGTAGGATGGTTTACCAAGTACATTCTAAGCAATTGAGTAGAGAAGATATTCCAGATGCATGTAATATCATCTGGAATATCTTCCAGAGCATGTAGATGGCCAGGGTTGCTCTTGCCTGCTAAACACACAGCATACCAAGTACTGTGATGTCAAAGAGTAATCTGCTTTATTTTCTCTTTTATACTGACAACTTTTGGGATATTAGACATTCAATAGACGCTCCTAAAGAGATGATTTGAGATGAAGTAATAATTATTATCACTTCAAATCAAAGGGACAGTAGGTATAAGCGAACCCATTTATAATCCTCTTTGTGTTTGTTTGGTTTTTTTCATTTGTGAGAATTCTGACACTAGGACAGAGAATAGAAGCATCCCTGCAATCACAGAGCAAGTAATCAGATAGTTAGAACTTTGAACAACAAGAAAAAATCATCTGCTCCCTTCTGAACCAAATTGTCATTTTCTGTCATAATGACCTCAGAATTCTGCTGATAGAGGAAATAAAACACTTTGGACTAGGGTTCTTTCCCTCTTAGGAAAAAAAGAAATCTGCTTCCAAATTCTGCCAAATCAATGTTGATCCAAAATCCAAGAGAAGAAAACCCAACGTACTTGGAGTATTTTAAAAAGACATTTCTACTTTTGTCTACCCACCCCCACCACTTCAAAAAGCAAACACATTTGAAAAAATCATGAGAACAAAAAGCACTAGCACTAGCAGGTTATACAAGTTGCTTCTGGATATATTTTGCCTAGAATTCTGCGTTCTTTTAACAGATGTTTGACTTCCAGACAGTTTTATTTTGCAAAAAAGCTTGGATGAGAGCTCACATTTATACACATGTTACCTTTGACCCAGCTGTTAGATAAACCTGGAACTTATTGGCAGTTTCATCACCTGCCATTACTGAGATCAAAATGGAAATGATCTTCTCCAGAATCAGTTGAGAGAATGATGGGGAAAGACAAACTTTCGCCTCTTTCTTCCTTATCCACCAATTCAAGAGTGAAAGAGCAAAGCGTCCATCAGCAACCAGGCTTCCCAGCTAACTATAATGACAAGCCATCAAGCTCATCATGGGTCAGAATGAAAATAAGGGTGACTTGCTATTCTCCTTTAATGTCTGAGACAAGAAAATGGCAGTAATTAGGGCTGGGAATAATTTGATTTAGACTGAAAAAGGCAAGCTTCTAAATACATGAAATTTGGAACCATTGAATGGATCCAAGATAAAATGGAAAGCTTCTTACCCCAGGTCCTTTAGCAGAGAAAGAAACCATATTAGTCAGCAATAAGAAAGAATGAAATCTTGTCATTTGCAGTGTCATGGATGGAAATTAAGGACATTATCATGAGTGAAATAAGCCAGGTTCAGAAAGACAAATACTACACGTTCTCACTCATATGTAGGAGCTAAAAATGTAGATCTCATGGAGACAATGAGTAGAATGGTGATCACCAGAGGCTGACAAGGGTATGTGGGAGATACGGATGAAGAAAGGTTGGTTAATCAGTACATGCAATTACATAGAAGGAATAAGTTCTGGTGTTTAATAGCATAGTAGGACAACTATATTTATCAATAATGTATTGTGTATTTCCATATAGCTAGAGGACAAGTTTTGGAGTGTTCCCAACACAAAGAAATGATAAATGTTTGAGGTGATGGATAGCCCAATCACTCTGACTGGATCATGATACATTGTATGCTTGCATCAAAATACCACATGTACCTTGTAAACATGTACTCTTATGTAGATAAAAAATTAATTTCAAGGGGAAGAAACCAGAAAATAAAAGATGACAAGAAAATAATGTAAAATGAATATCTAATATGTATTGATTACTTACTAAATATGAGATACAATGATAATTATGTACATGCATTATTTCATTTAATCATTACAATTATCTTTATAAGGCTGATATTACTATTTTCCAAATGTCCATATAGGAAAGTTAAAGCTCAGGGAGGTAAAACAACTTGTCTAAAATTAGAGCTGAAACTCAAGTCCAGAACTTTCTGATACTACAGGTTATAATGATTCTCATTACTATATCCTATGGGGGAAAAAAAAGACTACACACAAAAGACTGAAAAAAAATTTATAAGACAAACAATTGGAGAAAATATTGGCAACATGTGACTGAAGAATGGTTAATATTCTTAATTTATAAAGAGCCTTTAAAAAGCCATAGGTAAAAAGTTCAGCAATAGAAAAAAATAAGCTAAGGGTGAAGGGGAAAGCAAATATGAAAAGAAGAAAGAAGGCTGGAGCAAGTTACCACAAAACAGTGGATTCAAAGAGCATAAATATATTATCTTAGAGTTCTGGAAGTGAGAATCTAAAATGGGTCTGCAAGAGTGTTGATATGGTTTTGCCTTTTCCCTCCCCAAATCTCATCTTGAATTGTAGCTTCCATAATTCCCATGTGTTGTGGGAGGGACCCAGCGGGAGGTAACTGAATCATTGGGGCAGGTCTTTCCCATGCTGTTCTCATGATAGTGAATAAGTCTCATGAGATTTGACGGTTTTACAAGGGGGAGTTTCCCTGCACAAGCTCTCTCTTTGCCTACTGCAAAGAGAAAAGACTTGCTCTTCCTTGCCTTCCACAATGGTTGTGAGGCCTCTCTAGCCATCTGGAACTGTGAGTCCATTAAAGCCTTTTCCTGTATAAATTACCCAATCTTGGGTAAGCCTTTATTAGAAGCATGAAAATGGACTAATAAAGATGTGTTCCTTCTGGAGGTTCTTTGGGAATCTGTGGCTGGCCTTTTCCAGCTTCTAGAGGATGCCCACATTTATTGGTTCATGGCCCCTTCCTCCAATTGCAACAGCATAGTATCTTCTCTCACCTCTGACCTCTGCTTCCATCCTCACATCTTCTTTCTATAACTCTTGCCCTCCTCTTTTCCCCTTATAAGGACTCTAGAATTACACTGGCCCCAACAGGGTAATCCAGGATAACCTTCCCATCTCAAAATCCTTAATTCAATCACATCTATAAATTCCTTTTTACTATATAAAGTAACATATTCTTTATTATTATTATTATTATTATTATTATTATACTTCAAGCTCTGGGATACATGTGCAGAAAATGCAGGTTTGTTACATAGGTATACACGTGCCATGGTGGTTTGCTGCACCCATCAGCCCGTCATCTACACTAGGTATTTCTCCTCATGCTATCCCTCCCCTAGTCCCCCACCCCCTGACAGGCCCTAGTGTGTGATGTTCCCCTCCCTGTGTTCATGTGTTCTCATTGTTCAACTCCCACTTATGAGTGAGAACATGCAGTGCTTGGTTTTCTGCTCATGTGTTAGTTTGCTGAGGATGATGGTTTCCAGATTCATCCACATTCCTGCAAAGGACATGAACTCATCTTTTTTATGGCTGCATAGTATTCCATGGTATATGTGTGCCACATTTTCTTTATCCAGTCTATTATTCATGGGCATTTGGGTTGGTTCCAAGTCTTTGCTATTGTGAATAGTGCTGCAATAAACGTATGTGTGCATGGGTCTTTATAGTAGAATGATTTATAATCCTACAGTAACCAAAACTGCATGGTACTGATACTAAAACAGATATATAGACCAATGGAACAGAACAGAGGCCTCCGAAATAACGCCACACATCTATAACTATCTGATCTTTGACAAACCTGATAAAAACAAGCAATAGGGAAAGAATTCACTAATTTATAAGTGGTGTTGGGAAAACTGGCTAGCCTTATGCAGAAAACTGAAACTGGACCCCTTCCTTACACCTTATACAAAAAATAACTCAAAATGGATTAAAGACTCAAACATAAGACCTAAAACCATCAAAACCCTAGAAGAAAACCTAGGCAATACCATTCAGGACATAGGCATGAGCAAAGACTTCATGACTAAAACACCAAAAGTAATGGCAACAAAAGCCAAAATTGACAAAGGAGATCTAATTAAACTAAAGAGCTTCTGCACAGCAGAAGAAACTACCATCAGAGTGAACAGGCAACATACAGAATGGGGAAACTTTTTGCAATCTATCCATCTGACAAAGCGCTAATATCCAGAATCTACAAGGAACTTAAATAACTTACAAGAAAAAAACAAGCAACTCCATCAAAAAGTGGGCAAAGGATATGAGCAGACATTTCTCAGAAGACATTTATGCAGCCAACAAACATATGAAAAAAGCTCATCATCACTGGTCGTTAAAGTAACATATTCACAAGTTCCAGAGATCAGGACATAAGCAGTTTTTTTGGCGGGGGGAAAGGTGGGGGAAGTATGATTCAGTCTACCACAGTTGAAACCAAAATCTTTAAAACAGCAAAGAGACGCCATTTTTTGCCAATTGAATTGGCAAGAATACAGAAAATGAATACATTCACACTCTATTGGTAGGAGCACCAACTGGCACATGTTTTTTGAAAGGCAATGTGGCACTATATATCAAAAAAATTAAAATTCTACTGCCCCTGACTCGGAATTCAATTTGTTGGAGTTGATCATAAGGAAATAATCATAGCCATTAGCCAAGGATGATAACATAATTGGCAAAAATCCAAATTGCTTCAATACATTATGGTTTATCATTCAATGGTACTCAAAGCTGTTTTTAAAATCATAATGTAGAAAAATACTTAAAGATATGGGAAATGTCATTTTATATGAGAAGGGCTATAAGCAAAAAGATATATTTCCTTTTTAAGAAGAATATTAATAAATAAAAATTTGCATATTTGAAGTTATTTTTCTATTCTCCAGCTTTTCTTCAGTAAGCATGTAAGACTATTATAATGTAGTAATATCAACGCTATTTATCAAAGAACCCTCTTCAGCTTGATACCGAGCAGGTAGAGTTTCTGTCTTGCCAGGTACCAGGGAGAAGGATGTGATCACCTTCTGGGTCCTGACCAGCCTTGGATTTCTCTAATTTTCCTCACTATCAATAAAGTCTATGACAGTTCATGAGGATGAAACACTAGAAGCCAGGAAAACAGTGGAAAGAGAAAGGACCTTGAATCAATGACCTAAATTGGAAAGTCAGTTTGGCTATTTATGAGCTGTGTGATACTGGACAATTTATTTAACTTATCAGAGCTTTGGTTCATGAGTTGCAAAGTGGTTCTAATGATACTTATCTTCAGGATTCTCATGAGGAGTACATGAAATTATGAAGAATGTAGAAGTCACACACAAGTGCTTTGGGGTGAGGCAGCTGGTATTCAGAGCCTGGGTTTTTCCTTTACTGAATACATGGATAAATTAAGTATGATTTTGCCCTTTCTTTCTCAGCTTTCTCCATTTTTTATAGAGCTAATAATACTTAGAAAATAAATGTATAAAGCACTTTAGAGTTTAGCACAGTGTCTGGTCTCCCATACATAGTGAAAAAATAATAATAACTGATATGGTTTGGCTGTGTCATCACCCAAACCTCATCTAGAATGGCAGTTCCCATAATTCCCATGTGTCTTGGGAGGAACCAGATGGAGATAACTGAATCTTGGGGGTGGTTTCCCCCACCCTGTTCTCATGATAGTGAGTTAGTTCTCACAAGATCTGATAGTTTTATAAGGAGCCTCCCCCTTTCCTGAGCACTCATTCTCCTTCCTGCTGCCCTGTGAAGAAGGACGTGTTTGCTTCCCCCTCCACAATGATTGTAAGTTTCCTGAGGCCTCCTCAGCCATGCTGAATTGTGAGTCAATTAAACCTCTTTCTTTTATAAATTACCCAGTCTCAGGTATACCTTTACTAGCAGAATGAGAACTAACACAATAGCAAATATATCAGATATTCAGGCAATTATCATGTTTTTGTTATTTCTAATTATTATAATGTTACACAAGCATGTTTTGACAGTTCTTGGTTAACATCTTGATGACAAAAATCAGGTTACTTATGTCTTGTTTTATTTTCTATTTTTCCTACTGCCTGTATAATTGCAGAACAGGTTACTCATCTCTTTATCACTTAATTTTGGAATAGCCAAGCGGCTGAAGCTTCATATTGGTCAGATACATGGCTTGAGAAAATATATTCTTTCAGACTCTCTACAAGTCTTCCTTCTGTGTCAATGAAGATGTGAGTGTTTGGTATAAATGTTCCTAAATTGGTTACCCATGGTAATAAGCCTAAGAAATTGCTTATGGAGATCCCTGCAGGAATAACTATTATTATACTCTCTACCTCCATGAGATCAATTTTTTAAGCTCCCACATATGAGTGAGAATATGCAATATTTGCCTTCCTACATCTGGCTTATTTTACTCAAAGTAATAATGTCCAGTTCCATCTGTGTTGCTGTAAATGATAAGATTTCATTCTTTTTTATGGCCAAATAGTATTCTATTGGCTGTGAATAGTATATATTGGCTATATATATAATATATATCACATTTTCTTTGTGCAATCATCTTTGATGAACACCTTTGTTGATTCTATATCTTTGCTATTGTGAACAGTGCTGCAATAAACATGGGGGTAAATGCAATAGCTTTTCAGCCTACTATTTTCTTTATTTTCTCCCAAAATATCCCCTTTCATTCTAATTCTCACTCATTTTCAACAGTAATTTTTGCAAAATTTGGCCAAGCCATTTCCAAGCTATCTCTACAGAGAATCCTTGAATAATTCCCCTTCATGCTTAGGATGAAAATTCAAACTCCTTATAACAATATGCAAGGTTCTTTAGTAAATCACCAGGTCATCTATTTAGTCATATTTCCTATCATGGTTCTTCATGCATCTTACCCTTCAGAGTTGCAAAATTACTAAAACTCTACAAGGCAATTTCAATGTCCTGGTCTAGGATGCTTTTCCCAGTTTCTGACTCTTGCCATAATTCACCCCAACATTTACATGACTAATTTTGAATTGTTTTGCAAGTCATCTCAGTTGCCACCTCCTCTATGAAGCTTTTCTCAAAGAAGACTCTTCTTGAATAAAGTCTCACTTCTAGTCATGAACATTTGCACAGACTAGAGAATCACTGTTAATAAAATTTTCTGTGATGATCATAATATTCTACTTCTGTCCTATCTAAAATGATAGCCACTAGCTACATGTGGTTGTTGAACACTTGAAAGGTGACTATTGCAACACAATTGAATTTTAATTAGATTTAATTCTAATTGATATCCATTTAATTTTAATTGATGACACTTATCTTGGGCTGCACAGGTCTAGAGGATAATTAGGTACTTACAGTCTATATGTGACCCTGGATACTTTCTACAAGTTGCAGCCATACCTTCTTGGAGCAATGTTTTCTCATTATAGGGGGCCTCTCTGACTTTGCAAAGGGATAGACAAAATCTTTAAATCAGGAACCCTTTTACCTTAAGGAGAGTTCCCATTTGCCAACTGTTGTTCTGATCTCAACTATAGGTTCTTCCTGAGAGTATGCACACTTGGCCAGAATTGCATAGACACACAGGACATCTAGTTGCCCGTTCTTATCTTACTGCCCAGGTGTGCCTCAAATTCTTGTTTCTTTGTCATTTCAGGTGGCTTGAAATTTGAAACACCATATGAAGGTTGGGGAGTCTCAGGGACAGCCCAGCTGGGGATCTGAAGTTGCTGGAGAAGATTTTGCCTAGGCTGGCCAGCAACTGGCAGACAAGAGTCATCCTTTCACAATGCTGGAGACAGTAGACCTTCTTCAGGACCACAAGCAAGTCACCATCTCTGGGTCACAGCTTCCTCAATTAAAAAGTTAGAAGATAGAATCACATTGCCTTTGAAGTTCCCTTTACCTCTAATAAAACTTTACCAATAGCCACTCCTAGGTTTTACCCTATTTCCATTTTAAGAAGTTTTCTTTTCCACACAAAGTAAATCTCCTTTCCAGATGTGCTTTACATTGGAAAGAACAGAAGAGCTGAGAACAGAAAGATCTAAGTTTAACTCCTGCTCTCTACTTCTTAGCGTTATGATATCTGTTAGGTTTCTAGCTCCATTTGATTTGTCTGGAAAATAGGATGATAATGTTGTAGGAAACAATGGCACTTAATGTCCTTAGTATGAGACACATAGTAAGTACTAAATAAATATAGTTTATTATCATTTGTGTTATGGGAAAACCACTCAAGTTTACAGGCTTTCCCCTAATGCACAAACTCCTATTTTTTCTGGTTATCTTTAATATCTAAGAAATCTGAGATAACCAGTTTGGGGCCATCATTTTATTTCCACATTTGAAAGATTCTTCCTTTGTCTACTTATGATTCCCAGCACTAGCTGTGCAGTCCGGACCAACAGATAAATTTTCTTTCAAGGGAAAAAGGGTATTTACAAAACAGAAAGAAACCATTTGAGAATGGCTGCCTCCCTTACTCTTCCAAGAAAAGATGGGTCAACCCCTTGATTCCTGTAACTTAAAATTATAAGTCATGTGTATACTCAACATTTAATTATTATTCTGAGCTCGATTTAGTATTATACTCAAGCATGAGACCTGGATCACATCAGCAAAGTCGAAAAGCATAATGTCTATCTTATTCAAGATACCAGACTATGGAAGAAATATTTAAGATATACTAGAAGGCACAGGGTTCAAAAATCAGGCCTGGAATCTTTCATATGACTGACATTTGTAAGAATTCCCTCACTGCTACTCTACCAGAACTAAGATCAGGATATTATCAAAACCCAAGATGGAGATCTCTCTGTTTACCTTTCATGACTTTTTCAAATGTCATATGGTTCTCCAGAGAAGGAAGATTTCAATGAACAGAAAACTGGGGACTCTGGGAAGATGAGCCCTACTTATCTGGCAAAGTACTTGAGAACCCCAAGATACGCTAACTTTACCAAAAGAACAAATACAGTCATTAATTCTGGGTGGAGGAGAGAGAGTGCCCTCTGCACCTAGGACAGAATTAGCCATGAAAACCTAGGCTGCTTACAGATTAAAGATACCACTTAGCTCTTACCCAGTGTCTGAGCAACATGCTCCCTGTGTTGTTATTAATGAAAATTTCCAGGTAGCTTTTTCATCCACAGCATCCCTGGCCAGAATAGTTGATTCCTACCTGTCCCAGCTATAACCCAAATCTGCATTGACTGCATCTATGGCCCAAGTCCTGCTAGTAAACCTAATTCGCACTGATGCCTACCTTCCCCACCAGGCCTTTGTGTCCAGTGTAGGCTCAGCCCTTCTAAATTTCAGTGTGCTGTCCTGGTACCATCACACAGCCCAAGAGGTAAAAGTTCAAAGCCAAGATTTCTTCTAACATTATATTCAGATAAAGCAAAAATGAATTAATTAGATCATATTCCAACACCAGTTTTAATACTTTGTTATAGATTGAGTACTCCTGGAAATGAGAAGTTAACAATAACAGTGGGGCAGGCCAAGAAGGACCATCCCTGAGGATGGACTCCTGCCCACTCACACTGCCAAGAGTGTTAGCACACAACACCCCTGTTCCCTCAACCTCACCTCCCAAGATGTTGATCTCAGTCCTGACCCTCAACACATCTGGCTGAGATCTGATTGCCCTGGGCTTTCTGAGAACAGCAATCTGAAAAAAGAACACGTCGTCCAACAGTTTCATGGCAGGCAAGAATTTTTGCCTTTGGCATCGTTCATAGGCCATCAGAAGATTTAAAGATCTTTCAACCCAAATGTACTGCTCTGACTTTCCCACTTTTTCAGAACTCCCTTCTCACACTGTGCTCTCTGGCTTCCATCCCCCAACACTCCACTAACACTGTCCTTTCCAAGGTCATCAGCGACCTCACTCTAAATAAATCTCAAGGCGATTTCTCTGTTCTCATCTTCCTTCACCACACCCTTCTACTTAAAAGTCTTTCTTCTTTTTCTTTGCAATTTGCAAGCTCTTCTGTTCTTTTATCTATCTATCATCTATCTATCTATCTATCTATCTATCTATTTGTGTGGGTACATAGTAGGTGTATATATTTATAAGGTACATGAGATACTTTGATACAGGCAAGAAATGTGTAGTAATCATGCAATCATGTAATAATCATGGAGAATCGAATATTCATTCCCTCAAGCATTTATCCTTTGTGTTACAAACAATCCAATTATACTCTTTTAGTTATTTTTAAATGTACAATTAAATCATTGTTGACTATAGTCAACCTCTTGTGACTAGTAGGTCTTATTCATTCTTTTTTTTTTTTTTAGTACCCATTAACCATTTCTACCTCCCCCCAACCCCCACACTACCCTTCCCAGCCTCTGGCAAACATTCTTCTATTCTCTATCTCTATGAGTTCAATTGTTTTGATTTTGAGATCCTATGTTTGTTGCAGCACTGTTCACAATATCCAATATTGGGGAACAACCTAAGTGTTCATTAACAGATGAATGGATAAAGAAAATATGGTACATACACACAATGGAGTACTATTCAGCCATAAAAAGAATGAGATCCTGTCATTTGCAACAACATGAATGGAACTTGACATTATATGAAGTGAAGTAAGCCAGGCACAGAAAGGCAAGCTTTATTCTCTTGACTCAACATCTTTTTGCCACCTCTTTCCTCTTCCTTTACTCCCTTATTTTTCTCTGACACATTTGTGCTATAAATGTCTTCCCAAGTATTAATCTTTTTTTCTCCCTGTACATGCACACCCTCACCAAACACTTCTATGGTAAGACCACTCAGAGCTCCCTAGAGGAACTTTCATTTGCCACCATCCACAGCTCTGGCCAGGCCCTCTGCTTTGGCCACCAGTGTTACCAGGCCCTTTCTGCCTTGGTCACAGGGCTACAAATCTTGATCTGTCCACACTTGGACAGAGCAAACTGTGACAAAGAGAAAATGCTCTTGAACAGGGCAAGAAGCCCTCTGGCCAGAACTTGGGGGAAGGCACAAATCTGGTGTGCAGACTCCACAGGCAGGGGAAAAACCAAGCCCTTTTATTTTGCAGCTGGGAGACGGGTATCCTGGGGCAAGTTCTCAATCCCACCTTGCTCACCGCCTGGAAACAGACTCAGGGCTGTCAGGGCACAGTGGGAGTGAGACCGGCCCTTCAGTTTATGTGGGAGCTGAGTAAGGCCTGTGACTGCTGGCTTGCCTTCACTTCCCTGACAAACTGCATGACTCAGCAGAGGCAGCCATAATTCTCCTAGGTACACAACTGCACTGACCTGGGAACCTCACCCCATCCCTCACAGCAGATGCAGTAAGACCCACCCAAGGAGAGTGTGAGCTCAGACATGCATAGCCCTGCCCCCACCTGATGGTCCTTCCTTACCCACTCTGTTAGCTAAAGACAAAGGGTATATAATCTTGGGAGTTCTAGATCCCCGCCCACCACCGGTTCCTCTCCACACTGCCACAGCTGATGCTCTCTGGAAAGTGCTGCCTCCCATCAGAAGGCCAGCCAGCATGAAAATAGAGCATTAAGCCACCAAAGCAAAGAACCCTCATGGAGTCCACTTCACCTCACTGCCACCTCCACCAGAACGGGTGATAGTATCCACAGATGAGAGACCCAAAGATGGTTCACATCACAGGACTCTGTGCAGACAACCCCCAGTACCAGCCTGGAGCTGAGTAGACTCACTGGGTGGCTAGACCTAGAAGAGAATCAACAATTATTGAGTTTAGCTCACAGGAAGCCACATCCAAGAAAAGTGGGAGAAAACTACATCAAGGGAACATTCCATGGGACAAAAGAATCTGAACAACAACCTTCAGCCCTAGACCTTCCCCCTGACAGAGCCTACTCAAATGAGAAGGAACCAGAAAACGAATTCTGATAATATGACAAAACAAGGCTCTATAACACCCCCTAAAAATCATACTAGCTCACCAGCAATGTATCCAAACAAAAAAGAAATCCCCTTTTTACCTGAAAAAGAATTCAGGGGGTTAGTTATTAAGCTAATCAGGGAGGCACCAGAGAAAAGTGAAGCACCATGCAAGGAAATCCAAAAAATGATACAAGAAATGAAGGGAGAAATATTAAAGGAAATAGATAGCTTAAAAAGGGTATTCAATTAGGAAAAGAGGAAGTCAAATTGTCCCTGTTTGCAGATGACATGATTGTATATCTAGAAAACCCCATCGTCTCAGCCCAAAATCTCCTTAAGCTGATAAGCAACTTCAGCAAAGTCTCAGGATACAAAATCAATGTACAAAAATCACAAGCATTCTTATACACCAACAACAGACAAACAGAGAGCCAAATCATGAGTGAACTCCCATTCACAATTGCTTCAAAGAGAATAAAATACCTAGGAATACAACTTACAAGGGATGGGAAGGACCTCTTCAAGGAGAACTACAAACCACTGCTCAATGAAATAAAAGAGGATACAAACAAATGGAAGAACATTCCATGCTCATGGGTAGGAAGAATCAATATCGTGAAAATGGCCATACTGCCCAAGGTAATTTACAGATTCAATGCCATCCCCATCAAGCTACCAATGCCTTTCTTCACAGAATTGGAAAAAACTACTTTAAAGTTCATATGGAACCAAAAAAGAGCCTGCATCACCAAGTCAATCCTAAGCCAAAAGAACAAAGCTGGAGGCATCACACTACCTGACTTCAAACTATACTACAAGGCTACAGTAACCAAAACAGCATGGTACTGGTACCAAAACAGAGATATAGATCAATGGAACAGAACAGAGCCCTCAGAAATAACGCCGCATATCTACAACTATCTGATCTTTGACAAACCTGAGAAAAACAAGCAATGGGGAAAGGATTCCCTATTTAATAAATGGTGCTGGGAAAACTGGCTAGCCATATGTAGAAAGCTGAAACTGGATCCCTTCCTTACACCTTACACAAAAATCAATTCAAGATGGATTAAAGACTTAAACGTTAGACCTGAAACCATAAAAACCCTAGAAGAAAACCTAGACAATACCATTCAGGACATAGGCATGGGCAAGGACTTCATGTCTAAAACACCAAAAGCAATGGCAACAAAAGACAAAATTGACAAATGGGATCTAATTAAACTAAAGAGCTTCTGCACAGCAAAAGAAACTACCATCAGAGTGAACAGGCAACCTACAAAATGGGAGAAAATTTTTGCAACCTACTCATCTGACGAAGGCCTAATATCCAGAATCTACAATGAACTCAAACAAATTTACAAGAAAAAAACAAACAACCCCATCAAAATTGGGCAAAGGACATGAACAGACACTTCTCAAAAGAAGACATTTATGCAGCCAAAAAACACATGAAAAAATGCTCATCATCACTGGCCATCAGAGAAATGCAAATCAAAACCACAATGAGATACCATCTCACACCAGTTAGAATGGCAATCATTAAAAAGTCAGGAAACAACAGGTGCTGGAGAGGATGTGGAGAAACAGGAACACTTTTACACTGTTGGTGGGACTGTAAACTAGTTCAACCATTGTGGAAGTCAGTGTGGCAATTCCTCAGGGATCTAGAACTAGAAATACCATTTGACCCAGCCATCCCATTACTGGGTATATACCCAAAGGACTATAAATCATGCTGCTATAAAGACACATGCACATGTATGTTTATTGCAGCACTATTCACAATAGCAAAGACTTGGAACCAACCCAAATGTCCAACAATGATAGACTGGATTAAGAAAATGTGGCACATATACACCATGGAATACTATGCAGCCATAAAAAAATGATGAGTTCATGTCCTTTGTAGGGACATGGATGAAATTGGAAATCATCATTCTCAGTAAACTATCGCAAGAACAAAAAACCAAACACTGCATATTCTCACTCATAGGTGGGAACTGAACAATGAGATCACATGGACACAGGAAGGGGAACATCACACTCTGGGGACTGTTGTGGGGTGGGGGGAGGGGGGAGGGATAGCATTGGGAGATATACCTAATGCTAGATGACGAGTTAGTGGGTGCAGCGCACCAGCGTGGCACATGTATACATATGTAACTAACCTGCACAATGTGCACATGTACCCTAAAACTTAAAGTATAATAATAAAAGAAAAGAAAAGAAAAGAAAAATATAATCAAAAATTCAGGAAACATTGGACACACTTATAGAAATGCAAAATGCCCTGGAAACTCTCAGCAATAGAAGTGAACAAGTAGGAGAAGGAAATTCAGAGCTCAAAGACAAGGTCTTCCAGTTAACCCAATCCAACAAACACAAAGAAAAAAGAATAAGAAAATATGAACAAAGCTTCCAAGAAGTCTGGGGTTATGTTAAACAACCAAACTTAAGAATAATCGGTGTTCCTGAGGAAGAAGAGAAATCTAAAAGTTTGGAAAACATATTTGTGGGAATAATTGAGGAATACTCCCCTGGCCTTGCTAGAGATGTAGACATACAAATACAAGAAGCACAAAGAACACCTGGGAAATTCATGGCAATGTGCCTAGGCACATTGTGATCAGGTTATCCAAAGTTAAGACAAAGGAAAGAATCTTAAGGACTGTGAGACAGAAGCACCAGGAAACCTATAGAGGAAAACCTATCAGATTAAGAGCAGATTTCTCAGCAGAAACTCTACAGGCTAGAAGTTACTGGGGCCCTATCCTCAGCCTCTTCAAACAAAACAGTTATCAGCCAAGAATTTTGTATCCAGTGAAACTAAGCATCATATATGAAAGAAAGATACAGCCTTTTTCAGACAAAAAAATTGCTGAAAGAATTTACCACTACCAAGCCACCACTACAAAAACTGCTAAAAAGAGCTCTAAATCTTGAAACAAATCCTGGAAGCACATCAAAACAGAACCTCTTTAAAGTATAAATCACACAGGCCCAATAAAACAAAAATACAAGTTAAAACGCAAAAACAAAAAACAAAAAAACCAAAGTACACAGGCAACAAATAGCACAATTAATGCAATGGTACCTCACATCTCAATACTAACATTGAATGTAAATGCCCTAAATGTTCCACTTAAAAGATGCAGAACTGCACATGGATAAGGACTCACCAACCAACTATCTGCTGCCTTCAGAAGACTCACCTAACACATAAGGACTCACATAAACTTAAAGTAAAAGGGTGGAAAAAGGCATTTCATGCAAATAGACACCAAAACCGAGCAGGAGTAACTATTCCTATATCAGACAAAACAAACTTTAAAGCAACAGTGGTTAAAAGAGGCAAAGAGGGACATTATATAATGGTAAAAGGCCTTGTCCAACAGAAAACTATTACAATCCTAAACATATATGCACCTAACACTGGATCTCTCACATTTATAAAACAATTGCTAATAGACCTAAGAAATGAGATAGACAGCAACACGAAATAATGGGAGACTTCAATGCTTCACTGGCAGCACTAGACAGGTTATCAAGGCAGAAAAGTCAACAAAGAAACCATGGATTTAAACTATACCTTGGAATAAATGGACTTAACAGATATATACAAAACATTTCATTCAACAACCAGATAATACACATTCTATTCAACAGCACATAGAACTTTCTCCAAGATAGACCATATGATAGGCCATAAAACGAGCTTAAATAAATTTAAGAAAATTGAAATTATATCAAGTACTCTCTCAGACCACAGTGGAATAAAACTGGAAATCAACCCCAAAAGGAACCTTCAAAACCCTGCAAATACATAGAAATAAAATAACCTGCTCCTGAATGAGCATTGGCTCAAAAACAAAATCAAGATGGAAATTTAAAAAATTGAACTGAATGACAATAATGAAACAACCTATAAAAACCTCTAGGATACAGCAAAGGCAATGCTAAGAAGAAAGTTCATAGCCTTAAACACTTACCTCAAAAAGACTGAAAGAGCACAAACTTGAATTCTAAGGTCACACCTAAAGGAACTAGAGAAACAAGAACAAACCAAACTGAAACCCAGCAGAAGAAAGGAAATAACCAAGATCAGAGCAGAACTAAATGAAATTGAAACAAAAAAAATACAAAAAATAAGTGAAACAAAAAGCTGATTCTTTGAAAAGATAAAGTTGATAGACCATTGGCAAGATTAACCAAGAAAAGAAGAGAGAAAATCCAAATAACCTCACTAAGAAATGAAACAGGAAATACTACAACTGACACCACTGAAATACAAAAGATCATTCAAGGCTACTATGAACACCTTTATGCACGTAAACTAGAAAACCTAGAAGAGATGGATAAATTCCTGGAAAGATAACCCTCTTAGCTTAAATCAGGAAGAATTAGATACCCTGAACAGACTAATAACAAGCAGTGAGATTGAAATTGTGACTAAAAAATTACCAACAACAAAAAAAAAAGTCCAGGACCAACAGATTCATAGCAGAATTCTACCAGACATTCAAAGAAGAATTGGTACCAATCCTTTTGACACTATCCCCAATACAGAGAAAGAAGAAACCCTCCCTAACTCATTCTATGAAGCCAGCATCACCCTAATACCAAAACCAAGAAAGGACATAACTGAAAAAAAAAACTACAGACCAATATCCTTGACGAACATTGATGCTAAAATCCTTAACAAAACACTAGCTAACCAAATCCAACAACATATCAAAAAGATAATCCACCATGGTCAAGTGGGTTTCATACCAAGGATGCAGGGATGGTTTAACATATGCAAGTTAATAAATGTGATTGACCACATAAATATACACACATAAAATCACATGATCATCTCGATAGATACAGAAAAAGCATTTGACAAAATCTAGTATCCCTTTATGATTAAAACTCTCAGCAAAATTTGCATACTAATGTAATAAAAGCCATCTATGACAAACCCACAGCCAACATAATACTGAATGGGGAAAAGTTGAAAGTATTCCCTGTGAGAACTGGAACAAGACAAGGATGCCCACTGTCACCACTCCTCTTCAACATAGTACTGGAAGTCATAGCCAGAGCAATCAGACAAGAGAAAGAAATAAAGGGCATCCAAATCAGTAAAGAGGAAGTCAAACTGTCTCTGTTTGCTGACAATATGATCGTTTACCTTGAAAACCTCAAAGTTTCCACCAGAAAGCTCCTAGAACTCACAAAAGAAGTCAGCAAAGTTTCTAGATACAAGATTAATGTACACAGATCAATAGCTCTTCTCTACACCAACAGCAGCCAAGCAGAGAATCGAATCAAGAACACAAACCCTTTTACAATAGCTGCAAAACAAAAAATAAAAATAAAATAAGTAGGAATATACCTAACCAAGGAGTTGAAAGACCTCTACAAGGAAAACTACAAAACGCTGATGAAAGAAATCATAGACAACACAAACAAATGGAAACACATCCCATGCTCATGGAGGGGTAGAATCAATATTGTGAAAATGACCATACTGCCAAAAGCAATCTACATATTCAATGCAATCCCCATCAAAATACCACCATCATTTTTCACAGAATTAGAAAAAACAATTCTAAAATTCATGTGGAACTAAGAAAGAGCTCACATAGCCAAAGCAAGACTAAGCAAAAAGAACAAATCTGGAGGCACCACACTATCTGACTGCAAACTATACTGTAAGGCCATAGTCACCAAAACAGTGTGGTACTGGTACAGAAATAGGTACATAGACCAATGGAACAGAATAGAGACACAGAAATAAACCCAAATATTTACAGCCAACTGAATTTTGACAAAGCAAACAAAAACATAAAGTGGGGAAAGGACACCATTTTCAACAATGATGTGGGATAATTGGCTAGCCACATGTAGGAGAATGAAACTGGATCTTCATCTCTCACCTTATACAAAAATCAACTCAAGGTGGATTAAAGACTTAAACCTAGGACCTGAAACTATAAAAATTCTAAAAGATAACATTGTAAAAACCCTTCTAGATATTGGCTTAGGCAAGGATTTCATGACCAAGAACCCAAAAGCAAATGCCAAAAAAAAGAAGAGATAAATAGCTGAGACTTAACTAAACTAAAGAACTTTTGCACGGCAAATGGAACAGTCAGCAGAGTAAACAGACAACCCACAAAGTGAGAGAAAATCACAATCTATACATCTGACAAAAGACTAATATTGAGAATCTACAATGAACTCAAACAAACTAGTAAGAAAAAAACAAACAATCCCATTGAAAAGTGGGCTAAGAACATGAATAGACAATTCTCAAAAAAGATATACAAATGGCCAACAAACATAAAAAAATGCTCAACATCACTAATAATCAGGGAAATGCAACTCAAAACCACAATGCAATATCACCTTACTCCTGCAAGAATGAGCATAATAAAAAAATCAAAAAACAGTAGATATTGGTGTGGATGCAGTGAACAGGGAACACTTCAACACTGTTGGTGGAAATGTAAACTAGTACTACCCCTATGGAAAACAGTGTGGAGATTCCTTAAAGAATGAAAAGTAGAAAACCATTTGATCTGGCAATCCTACTACTGGGTGCCTACCCAGAAGAAAAGAAGTCATTATACAAAAAGATACTTGCACATGCATGTTTATAGCAGCACAATTCGTAATTACAAAATCATCAGACTAACCCAAATGCCCATCAGTCAACGAGTGGATAAAGAAATTGTGGTATATTTATATGATGGAATACTACTCAGCCATAAAAAGGAATGAATTAATGCCATTCACAGCGACCTGGCTGAGATTGGAGACTATTATTCTAAGTGAAATAACTCAGGAATGGAAAACCAAACATTGTATGTCCTCACTGATATGTGGGAGCTAAGCTATGAGGATGCAAAGGCATAAGAATGATACAATGGACTTTGGGGGAAGAGTGGGATGGGGCGAGGGATAAAAGACTACAAACATAGTGCAGTATATACTGCTTGGGTGATGGATGCACCAAAATCTCACAAATCACCACTAAAGAACTTACTCATGTAACCAAATACCACCTGCACCCCAATAACTTGTAATATATATATATATTTTATATATATTTGTATATATATGTAATATATATGTAATATATAAATTATATATAATATATATCATATAAATATTAAATATATATTATTAAATATATATAATATATTTATATATCTGTTTTATATATATATATAAATAAAAGAAAATGCCCTTTGTTTGGAGATGAGTGATCCTACCTCTCTAATGCTGTCTCTGAACCCGAGTCAATTTTTAACTTCAAAATGAAGTTCAGAGCCTGCTTCACTGGAAATTCACATCTTGTCCATCAGCTCCTTCAAACTAAAATTGATACTGATCTTGACTTGTTTGCTTTAAAGCCCCTTTAGAATTGTTTTCCTCAGTTGCTTTTCATTCTGCTTCTTTTTAACTTTAAATTTGGCACCTCCTTCTTGACTTGATTCATGCTTTCTTTGCATAGAGTTCACCACGGTCTTCCTCCACCAGGGTCATGATAGTGCTGGAAATAGAGTCCTTGTCTTTATTGAGGAGGAAAAGTAGGCATCAGCTAAGTACTCCCTACAAAGTCATCCTACAAAGTCATCTTGTAGGATGACAGATTGTGATCAGAGTTAAGAAGGAGATTTACAGATGCTGTTTGAGGGAGTGACAGGGTAATCTGAGTAAGTCTGGAAATTAGGGAAGAGAGTAAGCATGAGCTGAGATTTGAAGGATAAGAAGCAGTTAACTTTTACAGAGACCAGTGGGAAGAGCATTCCAGGAAGCTGGAATGGAATGTGCAATGGTCTTGTGGCAAGAAGAATCACATGCATTAGACAATCAGAAGAAAAGACCAGCAGAAAAGACTGAATTGTGGAGAATGGGTTTGTGAGTGCCTGAGAGATGATACTGGTGCCAAATCAGGTAGGACCTTTTCGGCCATGCTAAGAAGGCTGACCTCAGGAAGCACGTGTGATCTTTATCCCAAAGATAATAGGATAGTATTAAATTAATTTAAGCTTGTCATGATTAGAATTGCCATGTATATAGAACAGATTGAGGATAGGGGAAAGGGACCCAGGGACGGATGCAGGGAAATCAATTAGGAGGCAAGAGATACAGAAGGCACAGTAACCACTTTTGAGGTTCTCTGAGTTTATATGGGAAAATTATTAGCAATTAATAAAGCAAGACTGCACTTCTCCCACTCACAAGGAAAGATTAAATGATCTGTAGTAATAGAAATCACTATCTCCAACATCAACTACAAAGTTAACTTTTTATGTATTTTCCTAGTAATTTTTCCCTTCTGTATGACAGAAATAACCCCTTCCTTAATGTCCACACCTAAATATTAAAGTATAATTACACAACGATCATAAGAGAAAATGCCATAAAAATATGTGACATTGCTGCTGCCTGTGATGACATTTCAAATTGGAGCCTGCACTGGAGATAGTAACATATTTAGGGAAACTATGTACAAAAGCAAGCTGGAAACTATTGTGTCTGTGTTCTCTTAAATGCAGCAACAACAGTAATAATGGTCTCTATAATGCCACACCTGAAAGAGAAATTTGGGGAAATAGCCAACCTTGGCTAGGAAGCAAATTGTAGAGGGTGGTACAGTCAGTTTGTCCAAGGCTGTGGAAGACTGGCTCCTGGCTGCCCACAATCTCATAGTCACATGTTGCTTCAGGCTTCAACAAGCTTAGTACAGTCATAGGCAGGAAATAGCAAAGTCAAAGGGATTAAGTGACTCTGCTGCCTGCATGTGTGTTGGCCCTATAGCAGACTCAGGAGCTGCCAACTGGCACTCGAGCTGCAGCTTCCATCTTAAAGAGAAGCAAGCTGTCCCCTTACACAAACCCAAATTTCCCGCTTCTGAATTAACCTGTCCTGGAAAGCCATCCTTGGCTTTGCAAACATTGGTAAAAACACAGCCCATCTTTTCTCCTCTCCCCACTGTGCATCTGCAAATCCCTACTGGGCACAAATGCAAAACAGTTGCCAATGTCCTTTTTGGGATTTGTAGGGCAAGCAGCCAACTGGCTGCCTGTAGGTTATTCACACTGCAATAGGGAACAAATTTCTTGCTGCAATTATCCCTAAAGTTCTACTGTTTACCCCAGGAATAAACTAATTGCTGCTGTAAAACACTGTTTCCCACACTGTCCGGCACACATCTGTAAATTCCAAGAGGAATGAGGGTGAGCAGGTTACCAGTTCAACACTTTTGGGAAGGAATGGAGATTGGCCAACTGGAATTCAGCTTATTATTCATGGTGGAATAGAATTTGAGCTTCTTATTGCAAATACTCTTGCATGTTTCAGTGCTTACCTGTGTACTTAACCCAACTTGGATCTCAATTTGTAATATGCCCTTGTTTACTACTGGCTGTGAACTGGAGGAAATGAAAAATAAAGACAATATGCACACCTCGAATATTTACTGAATACCTGCTAAATGCCAAGTAGTGTGTTTGGTGCTGAAAATTGTCCACGGGAATTTTATATTACTTAAAGAATTCAGTAAGGTATACTTTTTCCATCACCATCAACTATTTGACTTGTAAGTGGAGATTTCATTCCAAATAGCTTTTCAACTTCCCTTCACTAAGCTTCAGTCATCAAGCTTGGTGGTCTTCTTATTCCCAGCCAACATTTCATACAGTGTTTACTGAAACCACCTTCTGAAGTAGCTCGCCTTTAGAATGCTTATGCTTCTGTCCCTTTAAATAGACTATTGTTTTTGCCTGGAATACCCTTCTCCTGCCTCTCTGACCATGAAAAGCCTACAAATCTTTGTAGACCCATCTCAAGTATGAGGAGGCAGGGAGAGACACTGATATCCCTTAAGGGTGTGGTAAGAAATTTCACAGGCAAAGACTAAAATGAATACAGAGTTGCAAAGATTGGAACTGGGAAGCCCCTTAGGAATCTATATTTTTAAATATGCCTTTCAAATATTGTGATCTGTTTCTCATCTGCTTTCTGTCTGCCTCTCTTCTGATTCTTCTTTTAGCTGACCAACCACCTCTGATTGCACAGTGTCCAACATAAACAATAGCCTCATGGCTTTATCATCTTCAAGGCTCAGTGATCACCATTAATGATTACATTCTCTGTGTTGTTTAACTAATGTTTAAGGGAGATTCTAATGTGTTCCTGGTCTATAATGGCTCCAGCCTGGACCAGTGTCTCACCCTGGATGAATTGCCTATGTCTGGGAAACTGGGTTCCATGGTACTAGCCAGCTAAAGCTGTCATTTCAGTGAGACCACAGACAGGTTCACGGAGGAAGATTTTGTGAGCAACGCAGAAAACAGTCTGTTGTGTAACTTACCACACTTATGTTGTCACTAATGGATGTGTCTTTCTTCCCCCCACACACACTCCAATCTATTATGCTATAGATGCCTCTCCAGAGCCATATGTTATTTTTCTGCTACAATATCACTTGGCAGAGTCCTTGGCAAATAAATAGATTTTCAATCAACATGTGTTGAGTAAGCCTTTTAAAAATATAAATTGGATTAAGTTGCTCTTTTTCTTAAAAACTTCAGCGACTTCCTACTGTATCTAAAATAAAATTCAAATTTCTTTCCATGACCCCAAAGGCCCTGCAGGTTCTGATCCCTCCTACCTCTCCAAGTTAGTCAGGTGCATCTCCCCTACCTCTCCAAGTTAGTCAGGTGCATCTCACCTCTTCATTCTCAGTGGTCCCACTAACGGAATTTTTTTCCTTTTATTTCCTCTAACACATAAAAATTGTTCCAGGCTCAGCACCTTGACAAATATTGCTCCCTCTGTCTGGGATGTGGTTCTGATCTTCTCAGGGCTGGCGCCCTCTCAGTTCCCCTTTGGGATGCAGCTTAAATTTTATATCACCAGAAAACCCTTTCCTGACTCTCCATGTTTCCAACACCATTCTCTATCATTCTGCTCTGTTGGGTTTGTTCAAAGTGTCTATCACAATTTTGGATGGTTAGTTCACTTATTTACTATCTTTACCCTAGGTTAGACCATAAAGGCCACAAAGTTGAGGGCATATCCCTTTTGTTTTCTTCCATATATAACAAGCGTCATATGGTGCTTAACACTCAATACATATTTGTGAATGGATGAATGTATCAGAAAAAAAGTGGTTCCAATTCTCTATTGCTCACTGATGGTGATTTTAGGCAGATAGCTTTTCCTTTCTAAGCTTCAGTTTCTTCTTCTGCAAAATCAAGAGATTCCAGAACTGACAGAATGGTTATTTCTCTTCACCTAAGAACTTCTAAGGCTTTCTCTTCTGCGATGCTTTCCCAAGCTAACCGATCTCATTCTGGGCCCACTGAATGCCTAACCTGAAATACTATTTTGCAGTGGTTGTCTTAGTTACTGTAAGGTCCCTGGAGACACGAACCGGGGGCACTTGGAGAAAGAGAGAAGGCTGGGCCACATAGAAATTTTGAGAATCCTGAAGAATCTTTTAAGAATGAAGAAATACCCAAATATGGTAACAAAAAGTGTCAGAAATGTAACCATTTTAATTTTGATGAAAAAAAACTGTCAAAATTTCCTTCAACAGAAGTACTATTCAAATGTTTACTGAGCATTAACTACATGCATTAAAGACCATAAAACATTTTTCATCTATTATCTCATTTAATGTGACATTTGGGGGATCCCATTGAACGATGACTCTCAGATGCATACACTTGTAAGTCTCTATCCATTTGGAGTCTGACTTGGCCCTGTGACTAGCTGTGACCAATAGGATGTTAGCAAGAATAATGCAGTGGAGGTTTGAATACGTGCTTGCACACTGGGGCTTGTCTTCTTGAACTGTTCCTCCATGAAACCCAGCCACCATGCTGTTACTAAACCCAAAAAGCGACCTGCAAAGGCCCACAGAGAGGAGAATCAAGGGCCCTGGTCCATAGCCCCAGTAGGGCTCCCAGGCCACAGCCAGCACCAATTGCCAGCTATGTGAGTGAAGACATTTGGGGCCTTCCAGACATCCCACAGTGACACTCCATGAAGCAGGACTGCCCAGTCAATAATCTGTAGAATCATAAGAAAAACAATGATTTCTTTTTCTAAGCCACTAAATTTGGGGGTGATTTGTTACTACCCCAAGCAGTCTCAAGACTAGATAGTATCTCACTTATACAGAAGAAAAACAGACTCAAATGGCAAATGATCAAAATCCGATTATTATTTTAATTCTGGTTTATATTTGCCACCTTCTCTGGAGACTAGTGAAAGACCCTTCAAAATAGCTGATTTACCTAGAGCTCCAATTGAAGAGGAATCCTTGTATGGATCACATGACCCAGTTCCCTCCACCTCAAGCCACAGGTGACTAAAACAAATTGGCAACTAACTCAAAAACAGCCAAATCATCAGCTGGCCAGCAACCTACAGTGTGGCTTGGAGTGCAAGTCAAAATAACAAGTCAGACTAAACCCCATCAGGTTTCCTGTCTGAAGAATTTTAACTGAAAATTCTGAATGACTAAGGCAGCTAAGCAGTAGAACCTGAAGTCAACATGACAGCATGTGTTAGGCAGAAATATGACATATTGCAACACACCAAAGTTATGAGAAAGCATAATATAAAGTAATATGAGCAAGCAGAAAGTATAAAGAAAAACAATATGTAAGAATACAGGTGAATATTGTATTGATTGATACCCAAAAGCAGAAGGAGGCAGAGGGAGCTGTGCAAAGACACAGAAAAAGGAAAAACAGCCATGTGTCAGGGCCTCCATATGACCCCCCATACCTGCCTAGTTTCCCAGTGGTTTTTCAGTTATGAATTTAATTCGTTGTCTTTTAATGAAGCCATCTTTCCTTAAAATAATTTGAGTAATTTTCTGTCTCTTGCAACCTTGACAGCCAAACTAAAACAAATTTCAAACAGGAAATAATTTCCACCATGAAAAATTTACCTAGGAATGATTATGATTTTTTCTAGTTCCTTTTAACAAGCATTTATTTAATTTTTAACAAGCAGGCTTTTGCAATTGTTAGATAGAGATAACGGAAATGGGGAACCCTGAGAAAAATTTATGTCCCAAGATAATTTCTATCCAGAATGACTTTAAGCTATGCAGAATAATTTGAGCTATTTGATTACCAAAACGTTCAATTTAGAGTTCAAGGCCCCAGCACCTTCTTCAGACACTTGCAACCAACAGCTTCTCATTTGACCCAATTTGCCTTGTGAGTTAGTATGCACATAAGCATGATAACCAGCCCCCCAAAATTTATATCATCCATGAGTAGCTGTATCAAACTTTACAAGTCTAGAAAAGAAATGAATAAACTAGTCAAAGGAAGAAGGGAAATGTTAGTGCTGCAAAATAAGTTAATTCTACAAACAATTTTTTATATAATTTTAAACCTGATTTTGATTAGAAGATTTAAACCCTTAGAATTATTTACTTTGGTTATTCTTTGTCAGATTTATGAAGTTCTGTCTTTAAAAAATGTGTATATTGCTGAAAGATTGTAAAATTTAATAGCAAACAGATTACGTACTTAGGAATAGACTAAGCACAATTAGCACTCACATTCCTCCCACTCCTATAAATAACTCAGTTTCCTTTCCATGTCTGCAAATTTCATTAGAGTAGTGGAAAAAAAGAGGGGGGGAGAATAAAAAGGGAAAAAGAAAAGGCTTCTGATTCTCTTTTACTGCAAAGTACAGATCCAATCATTCAATCGGGGTCTTTGTACAGCCCTAGGAAGGGGCACAGGGAAGGAGTGGGGGCAGAGTAAAATGATTCTGTCTCTGGGTCTTTGGGGAGAAACTTTTCTACATGTGGCTTTGGAATTAACCTGCTAAAAAAGTGTACTGGCCTTTCCAGCAAGCAACCTGCCTCATGGACTTCTCCAAGATGAGCTTCAGTGATCTCAGAACAAAACACTTTGTCCCTTGCATAGTTTCAAGTTATATTTACTTTAGAGATTCTACTTAATTTAGCAGTTTAGTGTTAATCGTGTCTATAAAAAGAAAAAGACTGAGACAGGTGTTAGAGGAAGGTATCTGGAAGAAGTGAAATTCTGGAAGCATGAAATGTACAAGTTCCTTCAGAGACTCTTGTGCCCCACCCACCATGTCACTCCCCTCTAGGGAAAAGTCTGTGCCTAAACATATTTTAAGCACCTGGGTTTATGTTCAGTTCTTGGAGAGGTCTGTTTGTGTAAGGTGAGGTGGAGAATAGAGAATTTTCTTCATTTTTGTACTGTGTGAAGGAAAAAACTCTCTGTTTTCATAATCTGGATATTTCAAAACACTCTTAGGTGAAAGTTTGTATTTAAAACGTGAAAAAAAAAATCTAGTTTAAAAGTGGGTAAAGGACTTAGTAGATATTTCTCCAAAGAAGAGATAGAAATGGACAGCACGTATATGAAAAGATTCTCAACATCAGTAATCATTAGGGAAATACAAATCAAAACCACAATGAGATACCACCTCATACCCACTGGGATGGCTATTATTAAAAAAAAGGAAAAAAAGAAAAACAGAAAATGACAAGTGTTGATGAAGATGTGAGGAAACTGGAACCCTCGTGCATTTTTGGTGGGAATGTAAAATAGTGTAGCTGCTGTGGAAAACAGTATGACAGTTCTTTAAAAATTAAAAATATAATTATCATATGATCCATCAATTTCATTACTGGATATATACCAAAAAAAAAATTGAAAGCAGGATCTCAAAGAGATATTTACATATCCATATTTATGGCAGCATTGTTCACAATTACCAAAATGTGGAAGCAACTCAAGTATCTACTGACAGACAAATGGATAAATAAAATATAGCATATACATATTATTCAGCCTTTAAAAAGAAGAAAATTTTGTCTCATGCTACAACATGAATGAATCTTGAGGAGATTTTTATAAGTGAAGTCAACCAGTTACAAAAAGACAAAAACTATATGAGTCCACTTATATGAAGAACCTGGAGTAATCAAATTTGTAGAAAGTAGAAGGGTGGCTGACAGAGACTGGGGAAGGAGAGAATGAGGAGTTGCTGCTTGATGTGCAAAGAGTTTCAGTTTTGCAAGATAAAAAAAGTTCTAGAGATTGCTTGTACAACAATGTGAACTAATTTAATACTAGTGAAGTGTATGTTTAAGCATGATTATGATGGTAAAATTTATGTTATGCCTATTTTTACCATAATTAAAATTTTTCAAAACTATTTAAAAGAAGTAATTACCATAAAGTTACTAGAAGATTTTTATAGGACCCACTTTCTGAGAAGTAGAGTCTGATCCCTCATGATAATTAGAAAAATCAATAAATCAAGGTTTCTTTCTTCTTCCTCTTCCTCTTCTCCTTCTCCTCCTCCTTTATCTATACTCGCATCCCACCCCCTTCTCTCTCTCTTTCTTCTTAGATTTTCTATTTCTGCTCTGTGGCAGACACTCTTTAAGATGACCCTCAATATGACCCCTGGCTTCTAATAGCCACACACTTGTGTAAGCACCTTCCCTTGAGTGTGGGCACAACCTGTGTCTTGCTTCCAATCAATAGAATATTGCAAAGGTGATGGGGTGTCACTCCTAAGATTACATTACTGTATATTGTAACTCCTGTATTGCTTGCAGATTCTTCCATTGCTGGCCTGATAAAGCAAGCTGCCATGCTGTAAGCTGCCCTAAGGAGAGACACACATGGCAAGAAACTGAGACTCTCAGATGACGGTGAGCTAGGAACTAAATCCTGACAACTATGTAAGAAAGCTTGGGAGTGGACCTTTCTCAGAGGAATGTTTGGATGAGACTTCAGTGCCAAGCTGACATCTTGATTATAGCCTTGTATAATCAGAAAACTCTAAAACAAAGAACCTAATAATCCCTGCCCAGATTCCCAACTCATAGAAAAAAAATGAGATAATAAACTTATATTGTGTTAAGCTACTAAATGTATGATAATTTGTTACAAAGTCATATATAAAAAATACATGCTCTATTCCCCTCCACAGACTAGCTCCCTTGATAGGATTTTAGTTTTTATGAATATGCATAATGTGATTTGCCCCAGACCTTGTCAAGGATTGCCTCAGCTCCACTATTGCTTCTCGTAAGCAACCTAACTGATCTCTGGGTCTCAGGTCCTAGTACCTAGGAGCATCAGCTAGCCCAACTAGGATCACACCCATTCACCATGGCAGATGAGCACCTGCAGCTAACAGATCTGCCTTCCCATCAGTCATCAAGACTGTAATTGAAGGCAGATATTTTATAAAAGGGAGAGTGGCCTGAAGGCCCTGACCAGTGTCTTCAGCACGTTATACTGGCCCTCTCTCTGTTTTCTTTTGAAATGAAGTTGAGGGTCAGATTATTGTAAAAGTTGTCCTGAGACTTCAGAATTCTTCCATATAGATGGAAGAAATAGTATAAATAATAGTAATTATCTAAGCTTTGCAACTCAATAAATAAATTTTTAAAACTAAAACTATATAAACAATATATACAGTATTTAATCTAGCAACTAAAACCCAACATCTCTGACATTTGCAGATTATGGTGGCCTTCACAGGTGCCTGAAACTAAATTTGCATCCAAACTAAGTTTTCATATTGGAAAAACACTAAATAGTGAAATATTCCCAGTGCGAGCAGTTCAATTTCAGTTAGAATAATTATTTGTAACATTTATCAAAACCTTATTTTGCTAAACATAAATACTGAAAAACCATCCAATAAACCTCTGTATAATTATTTTTTCTTTGGTATGTATTTTCATTAGCTGCCTGAATTTTTTTGAAACAAGGTTATATTTATAAAATAAAGGGAGAAAAGTTATTCTCTTTCTCTAAAGTCTTGTTATTGGGCCATCAACAAAGGATCAAGAAGATATTTTGGAATTCTAGCCAGTGGAGCAGCAGAATTGAAATGCTTGGGACCTTTGGCTTGCCTAAATGTCTTCTAAGCTACTCGTGAGTAGAAATCAGCTGCATATATTAGCAAGTGAGATAAGTTTTTCTTAAATCAGGAGGTAAATTGTTAAATTCTTTGGTGTTTCCAAACATGGAGCAGACTTCTATCTCTTCTCCAAAAAAGTTGCATAATTAATAAAATTCATATCATTGAACCAATTCTTTGCTCTCTTTGCTTGCAAAAGTCAAAGTTTATTTTCCTACTCTCCCTTTGAAGAAAGACGCTTGTGATAGATGGTGGATGACAGTCCAGGAATCCGACCAAAATGACAGTACACGCCCTATAAGCAGCTGTGGGTTGGCTATGATTCTGTTTTTTGTGCACATGTAGTACAATGCAGCCAATGGAAAGAAATAGTCACATTTGATCATGCCACTAATCCAGAAGGCATTTGCTTTGGGTGTCAAAGACACACAAGATGCAGTCAGTAGAGGTCACTCCAGCTTACAGAAATGGGAAGACAGGTAGGACAACTTTGATAAACTAGTTTAAAACTTCTCTGCATATATGTCTAATTCAACTGTATCTAATTTTAACCATTTAAAAATTGTGGTACATAAAGGTGGGCCATGGAGAGAAGGCATGGGAGGGTGGCTTAGTTGATGTAGAGCATGTACGTGCAGATGGGGAAGAGAATCAGGTCGGACTCCATATAAGGAGGTATGCAAGAGTCACCACCGTGCCCACCTTCTGTGTTCCAGTGGCTTGGCTTGCCCGACTGCTCTGGGTACACCAGCATCCTCGCTTGGTCTGCACGAAGCCCCACAAGGGGTAGTCACTTACAAGTGGTGGCAGGGTTGGGATGGAAGACAGCTGTGTTTGCTTTTTCCTTCCCACAATGAGTAGTCTCTTACAGTCTGGAGAAGAGATGGAACCTCAAATCTGAAGGTCACCACCTATGATCTCATTATTGGTAATTTACCTAAAATCACATAATTCAGTGGTGTGATACACCCATACCCATGATCTTGAACCTTTTGTAGATTTATATCTACAATATTCAGCTGAATCCCAGGTTTTGTTGTTGGTTTTGTTTTTCCTTTTTTCTCCCCTAAAGAACTGATGTAACATAAAAAAGGTATTTTTTAGCCAGTGGCTCGAACTAGTTGAGAAAAGATGAAACAGTATCTTATTATATTTGTAAAATGGTGAATGTAGTGCAAGCTCAGCATATTTGGGGTCCTTTGTTGAAAAAGGCATGTGCCCTGGCCCCATATCAGAGGAGTCTGATTCAGTCCATCTGGGCCTGAAGCCCAGAAATCTGTATGTAATACAGTGCCCTCAGGTGATTCTGATGCAGCCAGTCCAGGGACCCATATTATAGAATTAGCATTTAGAGCCCTCCACCACTCCCACACCATTAGATTATTACAGAAATATAATATTCTGGGCTTTTGAAAGCCTGTTGTTTGGGAGAGTTCCCCTGTTCATTATTTCCTGATTCTACCAAGTCAGAGAAGGCAATCTATAGCCCCTGGCAACATTGTTGACATCTATCCTTCCTCCCTATTCCCTTCCCTCTTTTACTTTCCATTTCTTCTATTTTTGTTCCCTTCTCAAACTCTTTCTTGTTTTTTATTCTTTTATTTCTAATATATTTCCCATGCTTCAGCCATGGGACCATATGGGTTTTTCTGATATAGCTGCCTAGTCAAAGAGTGAGCTGGCCTAGAGTGTTGGTGCCCTAGAGTGTTGCTCTAGAGTGCTGCACTCTGCTGCCCTAGAGTGTTGGTGTAAGGAAATGCATTCTCAGGAGTAGAGGGATGTATGGTCCCAAAAAGCTATTGTGAGGATCTGGCATAAACTTCAGTGGCTGCCATTGCATTGTCCAGTGTGTCACTCTCTCACTGGGATTCAATGAGAAGTCAGGAAATTATTCAAACTGATGACCCACACAGTTATAGTGCCAGGAGTCTCATCAGAGTTTCTCCATAGCAAAGGTGTCCAGGACAAAAATTCAGCCTAAAATCGGTCCAGCTTTCATCAAAGGCAGAGTTCCAGAGCAGGTAATCACTGGGAGGCAGCCTAATATCTGTTGAAGGTTGTGGACAATTGGATTATAAGGGCCAAGTCCGGCTAAGATCACACTAGCAAACTGAGCCAGCCACATTCAAGGGGATGAGAGAAAAGGATGGAAGACTGCCAGTTGAACCCTGCTGTGTGTCAGGTGCCATAGGATACATTTGCATAGGTAACGCCCCATGTGATCCTCATGAGGGACCTGTGAGGGTGAGTGGTTTTGTCCTGTTTCCCAAATGAGGGACATGAGACTCAGAAAGTAAGTATAATTCACCCAGGGTGACACATTTACTAAGTGGAGTGGACTAGCTCCAAATTCAGAGCTCTTTTTATTCCATGACACTCTCCCTCCAATATCTCAAAGGTTCTGGGCTTCGGATTACCATCAAGTATTAAAAGAGAGATGGCGGGGGGATGGGGGGAGTTGCCTTGTTCAAATTCACTCCTCTGTGAGGATATTTTGGATTCTTCTCACATCACAAAATTATGGAGCTAGAAAGGATCCTAGTGGTAATTTAGCTATAATCCTCATATTTCAGATGAAGAAACAGAGACCCAAAAAAGACAAAGTGCTTTGCCCAAAGTCACATGGTTACTGATAGATCTGAATTAAACCCAACTCTTCTAATGTGCACTTCAGTATTTTTCTTCTTGTTGCAGCGTTTTCCAAAAGACTATCATACACATTTTGAAAATACATCAGAAATTAAAATGTGGCCATGTAAACTTTTCCCCAAGTTTCTATCCTAGTCCCAGCATGAAACTTGCTTAGCATCTTTTGAAATACATGCTCTTAAAATCCCATTATGTGAAGCTGTGTGACTCTGTCTCTAGGTCTCTGTTCCAGTTGGAACTATCTAGAATTGCTATAAATTCTATTACTCGTTTTAAGGATCTTGCCACATAGATGCTCCCTGCCAAAGCTTGACCTCCCAAATTAACAAGACATTAGTCATAGAGATCTCTAACTTTAGGGAAGTCCTATGCCCCTTTTATGTGAATGTCGCTGGCATCAATAAAATGGGAAGCTTACATAGTGGTACCTGCCCTCTCTAACTCTCAAATCCCAAGACAAAAGATGAGAGAGGGAGGACTTAATGATCTTCTGCCACTTACTCTTCCTCACTCAGTCCTTAATCCCTGCAGGGAGTCAGCCTTGAGATAGATAGATAGATAGATAGATAGATAGATAGATAGATAGATAGATAGATAGATAGATAGACAGACAGACAGACAGATAGATAGATAGATTTATATATGTTTGTGTGAAGTATATACCAGGCAACTCCTAAAGTTAATCTTCTCTTGCTCCTTTCCTATACCTTATTAGCAGAAGGGGTTGGGAGGCTGAGTATATTAGATGTTAAAATCCCTGCAGGGAGTCAGCCTTGAGATAGATAGACAGATAGATAGATAGATAGATAGATAGATAGATAGATAGATAGATAGATTTATATATGTTTGTGTGAAGTATATACCAGGCAACTCCTAAAGTTAATCTTCTCTTGCTCCTTTTCTATATCTTATTAGCAGAAGGGGTTGGGAGGCTGAGTATATTAGATGTTAAAATCCATGGGATTTAAGTATAACTCTTGCATGAAAATGATAGCTTTAGCATCTGTCTTTTAGCCCAGTATGTGCATTTCTCCTTCCCACTTGTTCTAACTTGTAATGACTAACTTGATGCATATATTTCTTAGTAGTTGATGGACTCCACCAATACAGAGACCAACCTGTCTGATGTTTTAAGAGACAGCGTTTTGCTCTGTCACCCAGGCTGGGGTGCAGGTACATGATCATAACTCAGTGCAGCCTCAACCTCCTGGGCTTAAGTAATCCTCTCACTGCAGCCTGCTGAGTAGCTAGAACTATAGGTGCATGCCACCACACCTGGTAAATTTTTATTTTTTTTATTTTTTGGAGAGATGGGGCCTCACTATGTTGCCCAGGTTGGTCTCAAACTCCTGGCCTCAAGTGATCCTCTTGCCTCAGCCTTCTCAAAGCACTGGGATTACAGGAGTGAGCACTGCACCTTGCCCTGTCTGATCTTTTGATAATCAATCTTCAACACCTAGAACAGTGTCTAGAACTAAGGAAGTAGTTAATAAATACTTCTTGAGTGAATGAATAAGTGACATGGCATAACATGGTATGACACAATATTGAATAGCAAAATGTATTCACTAATCCCACATGATCAGTGTCTCAAAACCCAAGACTCAGTTTTCCCAAATTAGCCCACGTTCAGTGAGTAAAACAGGTTAACACCACTCTCACTGCTAACTAGTGTCAGATCTAAGAGAACTTCATAAAGATCTTATAAAAAATTAATCAAGCATCTCTGAAGTCAGAGATCAGGCAATATATAATAATTAAATTAGAACAAAGAGAAAATTTCCAACATGCAGTTGAAATTCAACAAGCTGATTCGAGGAAAGAGAAAGGAACAATACTCATTTTCATGTTAGAAAAAAATTTACATGTATTTCATATGATTATAGTTATATTAATTTTTCTTCTCCATATTTTATATTTTAAATGTTCTATAGTAACCATTTGTTACCTGGGATGGAAAAAGAATAAAATGTGTTAAGAAATAAAAAGAATGAAAGGGATGGAGAGAGAGAAGAAGAAGAAAAAGGAGAGAGAGACAGAGAGGGTGAGAGAGAGAGAGAACGGAGGGTGGAAAACACCTCATGAGATGAAAAAGGACAGTCTATTTCCCCATGACTGTAAAACCACTGATTGAAAATGGAGAAAAGTCAAATCAACTGGTTGTTTTGTCTCCATGACACTAAACACTACTGGTTTTACTTTTTCAAAGGATATCTTGAAATGATTAGCTATTTTGGCATCATGGAGACACACCACCATGTAAACAAGGAAAACAACATATGAGCAACCAAGGAGGGCCATAGCCCACGTTGAATGACTTAAAGACACCACAAAACACATTGGTGTATCCTCATCTTGAGAAATTGACACAATTAATTAGTTTCTCCAGAGAATCAATATGGTTCAGTCAGTGGAAAATATTCGAGACTTAGGAATCTGAATCCCTGGGTTCTATTGTCTACCCTTTCAACAAGTAAATCTGGGAACTAAAGCAGGTGATTTAACCACTCTTCCTCTTCTATGAAAATTAGGATAATAGCTTCTGTCTTATTCATTCTCACACTGTTGTAGGTAGAAGTGTTTAGAAAATTACATTTTGTAAATTAGGGAAAAGTGGCATTTTAAATATAAAATAGTTAATATAAAATGGTTGCATAAGTATGACCTTACCATGTGCAATCAATTGGATACTTTAAAGTGCTCCTCATGAAATGATAATGTGAAAGTCTTTATAGTTGTTTGTTAACATTTGTTTCACAGAGAAATGGCAACGGAATTAAGTGCAGTAGCTACAAGTTAAAAGCAGTATATGGTCGACAGACATGAACAAAGCTATAACCCTACATGATTGGCTACAGATTATTAGTTTCTGGAGCACAAGCTTTGCACTTACACTCATTTGTATTCCTTTAGTATGGCTTTGATATAGTAAAGTAAGGACTGAATGTTTTGACACTTAATGATATTTAAAATATCTTAATAAAATAAAAGGGTTAAAGTAGCCAGTCTCTACTATACAAGAGGATTTTCAAAAGGTATTTTATCTGAGGACAATGGTAAGGAAGTAGGTAGCACCTTAGTGATTCATGTCAAAAGGAAACTAAGAAAAATAGGTTTTCCCTGCTGCACCTGACCCGATAGCATCTCATTAAGCCAGTCCAGGTCACGGTCGTTCCTGACGTCATCTCAGGACAATCTTCACAAATGTGTTTGTGTGTTAGGCTCCTCCACGGACCAACAGAAACTGATGCCCACGACTAACCAGATGCAGCGGCAACCACCCCTGCTTTCCACAAAATTCTGTAAAATGCTGATGGAGCAGGAAATAGCTATAAAAGTTCCCCTGAAATCCTCTAGGGATGTCCTGTAACATTTTCCATGGAAATGTCATAAAATATTCCATGCAATTAGTTTCACTTAAAGAAACATTTGTCAACTTGTTTTACCTTCTTAAAGGTGACTTTTTTTCTTTAAATATGTGTCATGTATAAAAAGGTTTTTGTTGTTTAACAAAATACATCAACAGCATTACCACCGTGGGATTCTGACTGACAGAAAGATAACAATGGCAAGATTAACTTCAACAAAAACCAAAGTAAAATACCATAAATGAGGAGCAGAGTTGGGGGTGGTGGAGTATAGAATGTGGACGAAATTTTTTTAAAGATTTTTTTAAATCAAAGTCCTGCCTTTTTATGGGGCTATTTTCATTTTCAGAAAATATGAAATTACCTAAGAATAGAAAGACTCACTGTTATCCATGTAACCCTAGAGAATTCATATGAATTAAAATTTATTCCCAGGCTCCTAATCTGACATTAAGAAAACATGCTACAAATCAAACTATATTTTCCCAAGAAGACAGTAATGTTACCATGTCGTCCCCACATGCTTGGGATGGAAAACAGGTGTATGGGTGAGGTTTCCTGAATGCAGCTATTTGACGCTCAATCCCCAGGTGGCTCATCTATACCCTGCTCCACACATAGGTCACTCCAAAATCGGCATAGAGTAATTTTCCACTGGGAACCCCAGGGTTTTCAGAGTGACTGTGGAAATGCAGGATTATCCCACAACACTTTCCCTCCCTGAAGCCATGACACCTTTATATGTCTTTCCATTTCACCAGAAAGTCTGCCATCTGCAGGCCCCCATGACCTTGCCGGGTTCTGCCCAACAGCAACCAAAAGCTAAAAATTCCCCCGTCTGGACTGATTGGGTTGTTTGATTAGTAGTTGTTGCTCAAATGCCTTCATTTCACCAGTTTCCCAAAAGTCTTCTTGCTCTTCTTCTGCGGTTCACCTTTACCGTATAAGGGGATGATATGACTAAAAAGAATTATCCAGCTTCAAAAGGCATTTTTAAAAGTTTAGAGAGATTGGAACAATGGAGAGGGGGAAAAAGAGGTAGACGAAGGAAGAAGTACCAGATAGAAGTCTTAGACTCTGTGTACACAGTCTTTAGAAGGAGTCACTGTTGAGCAAGGTGCAGGAAAACTGGAAATATAACTTATACACAGAACTGAAATCAGTCATCAAAAGACATGGGCAAAAGACATACATCAAAACTTACTTTGTGAAGCAAAAGCAGACTTAAGGATGTGACAAACCAGGAGATACCCATCTGAGGTGAACAAAGGCAACATTTAGAAGATATAGAGAAAGGTAAGATTTATTAAGAGAATGAGCTCAAAAGTCATCATGGGCACATAATTTTTTCAGACAAATTTCTAGAGATTAATCCCATGTCTGCTTTTAGGTTCTTGGAGGGAAGAATAGTATGAGGCACTCTCTGTACTACCAGATTCTGGAACAGAAGTGACTGGCTTTCCTTCCCATTTAAAAACTTAATGAGACTTTTAAGGCCTATTATTGTACTTTTCTTATTTGTATGTTCATATCAACAGGCCCCAAATCATTTTAGTCCTCCCAGCATGCTGGACATGGAAAGTTCTTTTTATCAAGGTCATTAATGAATTCACACTAACAAAGAAGCTTTATCTGTGTTACACTCAATATTTGCAGAGGCAAAATAGTGAGCTTCTCTAGAGAAACCCTAGCAAGTGATAATCAAAAGTATCGAGGAAACAAATGAGAAAAGAAGATAAGTTGGGCAAATCACATTCGTATTTTAGAAAAGCGAAGTTGAAAGAGACAGATTTAAGGCGAACTCAGAATTATACAATGGAAAAATACTGCACTGAAGATTAAAGGCCTGCCTGGCAAATAGATAATGCCAAATTTGATGAGAAAATACATTACATTTCCTTTTCTTTGAAATCTTAGTTGATATTTTCCACTTTAACTGGAAAGAAATAAGCTCTAAGATGTCAGTCAACACTTGGAAAGAGAGGCCTCCCTTTCCAGATACAAAAACATGGAGGAAATGCCTAAATGTTTTTTCTATGAAGCACAAACCCCTGGAAAGTTCAAGATCAGCTCACAGGCTGTGAAAAAAAAATCTGCTTCGGGCCTTTTGTTTGGCTGTTAACATTTTTTTCTCTCTAAGGAAAACTGCTGAAGGGGCTGGAAGCAGGAGAGAGAGGTGGGTGAAAAGAATATACTTTCCCTCTGCTTTTCAGACAGGTCCTCTCCCTCAGGGCCTTTGCTTTGATCTTGCCTTTGTATTTACTTGTTACCTGGGCTTTAATTTACCACCAGGTAACTGCTGACCTTGCTCTGTCTAACCTACATAGATTAGGGGAACATGCTCATGAACTTAGTCAAAATAATCTCAGGAGACCTGAGACATTTTCTCACTACTCTCACCTGGACCGTCTTGGATCACTGGACCCTTTGCTTGTCATCTATAACTCTGCAACTAAACTGAGTTAAACTCTCAGCTCTCTGTTATTTTCCCCCATTTTAGAAGCACCACAAAGATTAACCTGTTCGTTTCCAGCTGGATGCTATGTGCTCTGTGATCAGAGTCAATTTCATATATGTGCTACACAAGTCTCCAATCTTAAAAGGGCTCTGCTGATGGTTCCTTGAAATTCTTAATGTTTGAATAGTTGCACACAAGGCCAGCACGAGGCCCTGCAAATTATACAGCTGGTCTTGTGTGTAACTCTTTTTCCCTGCCTGAAATCCAAAAGCACAATCACATTCCTGATGTGACGTGACAAAATCCAGTCTAATGGGGTAAAACATGCATTATCAGTTGAGAAAGCACCTAGATTAAAAAGCTAAGCATAGCCAGCTGCAACTCCAGCCACACAGGCTGTCACGCTTGTTAAATATTCAGGAGCATGCACTCATTTGCTTGGTCACTGCACTAAGCAAAATAAAGGCCTCCAGTCATGTCACATGCTAACATCGAGGAGAACCAGAGACTACGGTTTGTATTAATTGAAAAGTCATGTCCGGACTTCAGCCCTTGCTTCCAGAAAGTTCAGGGCAAAACTCATGAATTCCAGGAATGCACGGAAAGAGAATCAAAGAACAAAACTGGATTTCTACCTAAGTTTAGAAATCAAAGGCTACTGATCTAATGCTTTAGCTGAAATCTTTTATTAGAAATGGCAATAAAACCCAACTAAACAGCTAGAACACAGATCATGTTTTATTCCTTTACATAATCATTTCTTAACTTCATGTTGACAAGAACAACGTGATCATGAGTTATATTATTTCCTGGCTTAGAGTAAAAATGCCTACCTTTTTACAGCTGGGGAATGATTTGTCACCCTTCCTCTCCATACCACACTTCTTCTCTTCCACCAGAAACCCATTATCTGTTGGAGGGACTGAGGCAAGGAGCTGAATCATATATTTTCCTAGTGTCCTTTACTTGTTACATCTGTCTTGTTAAACACAGAATGGAAACTGTTATGCTTTGGCTCTGTGTCCCCACCGAAATCTCATCTCGAATTGTAATCTCCATAATCCCCACATGTTGAGGGAGGGACCAGGTGGGAGATGATTTGATCATGGGCACGGTTTCCCCCATCTGTTCTTGTGATAGTGAGTTCGCACGAGATCTGATGGTTTTACAAGGCAGTTTTCCCTGCTCACTCTCTCTCACCCACCACCATGTAAGATGTGCCTCTTCCTCTTCCGCCATGATTGTAAGTTTCCTGAGGCCTCCCCAGCCATGTGGAACTGTGACTCAATTAAACCTCTTTTCTTTATATATTACCCAGTCTCAGGTATTTCTTTATGGCAGTGAGAAATCTGACTAATACAGAAACCTATGAGGCACTTGCTTCTGAGGGACCCAAGGGACCCAAAGGCAGGTTTCTATTTGAAGAATTTAAGACAAAATTGTTGTGGCAAGATTTTCAGAGGGGGTCAACTACATCTACCAACCTTATCACACGCTTGTACCTCAAACTCTTAGTGTAGACCTGTGTTAAAATCACAGCCCCATAATCAAACAAATTCAGACACCAACTGGATATTAGATGGTAGTTTTTAAAAATCATTGTTTTAATTTAGGTATAAAGTGATGTTTTCACTATACATTAAACAAATATTTCTCTTTTGGAAATATATAATGAAATATGCTATCTATAACACATCATAGCATCTGCTATGTGGGGAAGGACTGGAGTAAGGCTGGTAGAGATGAATAGAATTGTTTATGAGTTAATAATTTTTGAAACTCAGCGATGCGTTCAGGAAAGTTAATTGTGATGTGCTTTCAACTCTTCTATGCATATGAGATTTTCCATAGTGAAAATTATAAAAAATATATTTTGATGTGTTACATGTTATTGTGGTCCTGATGCTACCATTTCTCAGCTGTGGAATATCAGGCAAATAGCTCTCTGAGCCTGTTTCATCTGTGTACTTTTCATAGTCATAGCTACCTCTTGGAGTAACGAGAAATGAATGAGATAGTATGTATGAAGTGACCAGCAAAGGGTAGTTACTCAGTGAAGGAAAAGGCATCTTCATCGTGGCCCGATTTCTTCTTCCACTCCAGATCATCCTTCAAGTAGAGTCTGCTACTGGCCCTCAGCTGAGTGTATACCTTTCTTTTGTCTGCTGGTCAGCCAGAGTCTAGACTGAGCTCCAACTTCTGCTTACTTTATGAAATCAGATAGGACTTTAAGAATTCAGCTTGCCGAGTGGAAAGATAAAGTCTTAATCTCCTGTGTGAGCTCCCTTCCAACTCCCACCCCTTCCAAAAGAACACAAATATACATTTGGATTTTCCATAAACAAGAGCACGTGCCAAACAGGTTTGTGTAGATTGCAGAAAAATGTTCTTTTGATTCAGATCCTGAAAACACATCACTGAATGACTGTACTAAGAAACAGCATTCACCAGTTCAAAGTTGCAGCTGCCTGCAAAGAGCTAATACAACAGATAAAGCTATAGAAGTAACTTGTGACTATTTTAATCATGCTGACCTGAATATTTTTAAATTAATACTTTTTTTTTTTAACCAAACACAGCATTGAATCTCCCTGAATGTTAATGGCGTAAACCAAGCTTGTCCAACCTGTGGCCTGAGGGCAGCATGTGGCCCAAGACAACTTTGAATGTGGCCTCACACAAATTTGTAAACTTTCTTAAAACGTTATGAAGTTTTTGTTTGCAATGCTTCTTTAGCTCATCAGCTATTGGTAGTGTTAGTGCATTTTATATGTGGCCCAAGACAATTCTTCTTCTTCCAATGTGGCCCAGGGAATCCAAAAGATTGGACATCCATGGCTATAAGCAAAAGTGAACAGTGACCTAACGGTGTTTGCGTAGTGGACCTTCTACTATGCTGAATTTCCTTAAGGGAGGTAAATCATTGTAAACAAACACTGTGTTCTTCCAAGAGAGTTGGTAGAGAGAATTGTAAATGGAAAACTATCTCAGGTTAAGTTACACAGAAAAGGTATTTTTCCAGCGTTTTAACCCTAATTTCATCTTTGGAGGATTGGAGTATTATTTTCCCTCACACAGCATCTTCTTTCTGTATTCTAGCACTGTGCTGGGTATTGAAAGTAGAAAGACAAACAAAGTCCTCACTTTAAAGAAAAATTACGCAAACAACCAACATTGACTAAGGGTTTAATGTGTCCCAGGCATTGCAAGGAACACTACATTTATCCACTCCTTTAACAAATATCAAGCATCTACTTTGTGTTAGGCAGTGTTCTGGCACTGGGGATGCCGCAGTGAATGAAATATAAAATTGCTTCCCACGTGGTGCAAACAGTAAGAAAATAAAATGAATTTACTTATTAAAAAATTTCTATGAGATGGTGCTTTATAATTCCCGTTTACAGATGAGGAAATTGAGGCACAGAAAGGTTGAGTCATTTCCTTAATATTCTAGCAAACAGTAAACCTGGATTTTGTATCTAGTGATTCTCTCTCCAGAACCCAAACTCCTTATTATTCTATTGATGATTCCTCTGGTTCTGTTTTGCCACCCAAAAATGGGCCCAATGAGACTGGACCCAGTGGGGTGCTGCAGCTAGAACACCATGCCACCCAGAGTCACACCTGGACAAATTACTAGACTAATGAACTGGGGGAGATATTTCGGAGGCAGGGTCAGGTCTGCTAAAACCCATCCTGGCCACTCTGCTCATCAACCCAGGCCAGCCTCACCAATTTGGCCTTCTGCCTCTGACCTTTTGCTTTTCGTCTCAGTCATTATTATCATGTAATCTTAAACCCTTAAAGATGGGAGAAATCTGAGATCATTCTTAATCTGGTTTAAACTGAGAATGAGCCCGTGGTTGGCATCTCTCTTCTCAGAGCTAAAATTAAATCTGCAAAGCCCTGTATCAAATTTCTAATTTTTTTTCTCCCTACCCTTTCTGCCACTTTAATCTCTTAACCCCAAATCACAATTGGTGCAACAGCTTGGGGCCAAGCCACTTCAATCAAATTCCTACTGGTGATAGGTTTTGCAATATACCAAGACTGCAAGGGCAATTAACTTTGGCAAAATAAGGGTCACACCTAATTTCCTGAGAAACTCATAAACTTCATGTAATCCTGAGTAACTGGACATCTATCAAAGGGTTCATACAGTAATTCTCTTGAGAGATCATTGTAATCTGCCAGTTTGATTAATTCCCCAGAAATATAAAGCTGAAGTTGATAAGCTTAGCCCTCATCCTGCTGCACGGAGAAAAACTTGAGCTGTGGCAACCTTCTAAGACACTGCTTAGGCCCTCCTTTCCCGTGGGAAATTGTTTTCACACTTTTGTAATATTTTCCATTGACTCTGTGCTCAGGGGAAGAATCTGAAGCTGTATAGACACAGATTCACTATGTTTACTTCTCAGCTTCATGAGATCTCCGACTTCACCTTTAAACAACACCCATCTATTTGGTAACTCCAATATTATGAAAGAACTGGTGTTGGTATAAAGATGTGAGTTTCCTTGTACATATTGTTAAAGTCAAAGAAAATCATCCAAATTGTGATAAGAGAGAATATACGCCAGTTGAGCTCTCTGCTGTCAGACAGCGGAATAAAGACATGATATGAAACCAGGAAAGATACCTAGAAGCCCACTGCCTCCTTGGCTTGATGCTTGGATGTTCTGGTGTTCGCCTATTACTTGATTCCTCAAGGTTGCTCAGAAACTTACACTTCTGTGTCACCAGGAGACACTTTGAATATTTTGCTACTGTTCCTCATTCAGCTTTGACCTTCCTAGCAGATAAAGGACAAGAACATACCACATTTTAGGTATTCACCAAATAATCTCAACATAGGCTGTTTGCTCAAGCAATTAGAAACATCTGTGCTGTTTTCAATGTGTTTTTGTTTGGTTGATAGTTTTGCTGGTAGTGGAGGGGGCTGTGTTTTCTTTTTTTAAATTTCTTTCAGCAATTATACAAACCTTGATACATTTCTTCGTCAAAGGATTTGAATCAAGTATTAGGAAATTGCATGGAATATTTTGGGCATCAGCTCCTTCTACCAGGACTGATCCTTAAAATCAAAGGCAAAAACTGCTCTATTCCCTTTTCATGCTTGTTTGCAGTCTGTTTGTCAAATTATCTGTTTGTTTTTAGCAAAGGCTATTAAGAATTATTTTTAGTTTAGATACACAGACCCTTCTTAAAATGTGGTGATGTTAGTTTCCTGGATACTAGATATGACATTTGCAAGTAGACATTGGTTTTCCACACTATATTTTTTAAAAAATTATTATATCATTACCCATGATTTATTCCACTCCAAGGGGCCTCCCAGGCATTAGTAAGTGATGCTTGCCCGAGCCAACTTTTAAAAGTCATAATGCCCTTCTAGTATTTATTCAGGGACATTCCATCTATTCTTTCCCTGAAAAAAAAAGACCACATTGCTTTTCTTCTGCGTTTAATAGCCCAACACAAATCACTAACCAGTGTTAAGGCTGACAAGCTCAGCGAGGGCCGTCCATTCAGCAGCCAAGCTCAGCAAAGGTGCATCTTCCACAGCAAACAAAGGGCCCAAAATTGAAAACATCTGCTGGCTGCTCTGGTCCCAATCTGTTAATATTGTGAAATGAATGATTAAAACCACTTCATTAACTGTAGGTACTAGAAATGCTACATATAGGTGCATTATCACTCAATGTGTGGTTTAATTTAATGTCTTGATTCCACTGGGAAAATGCCTAATCCATAGGCTATCAGTGATTTATCACTATCCTCAGATATCTACAGTATTGCTAACATTTTTTAAGTTAAAACATTCTTTGTCAATGATGTTTAAAAGGAAATGGTATGGAGCTGGTTAGTGGAGGAGAAAATGTAGGATAGAGGATTACTAGATATTGATGGCTTGCTTACAAAATCATACGGGTTTTTTTTTTTTTTTTTTTTTTTTACAATATACAGATCTGCTGCTTTGGACATCAATGATGATATTTTGCACAAGTTAGTCACCTGCCCTTGCTGCTGACTTTGCTTTGATTCACCTCTCAGTTGACTCATTGATTTTTGGACTCCAGTGCAAGCAACAACAAACTATGAAAATACCAAGGTTTAAGGCACTAGATGAATTAGTCAATGATTCTCTATTACTGCCACCGAGGCTCTGAGCAAAATACAAAGTATAGAAGTGTAGATTCCCCAGTTCAGTTTGTGTATTTGATCAGTTTCTCAACAAAAGCACACTTAGCCTGTGGGCATGACAATTATTTGTGTCATCTTACTGCAACTGTAGGATGTTTAGTATTCATGGCCCCAGAACCAGACGGTAGTATTCCCCTCCCAAATGCACGCACACCTACAAACTCAGTCACACCCCGCATTTCCAAAATCCTAAATATCTCACTCTTTCTGCCATCTTGTAGCTGTCCAAAGTACACACCCAAAATACTTCATTCTCCCATGTTTTCCCTCCCTTTTCCATGCCCCTTCCCCACCCTCCTCCCCGCCAAAAAATTGCCTAAGTCCTGGTAAAATGCCTCAGCCCAAATTGTTCACTATAATATTTGTTGATTTAAGGATCAATACGTGTTCTGATCCTTGCCATTTGTAAAGATAAAAGCAATTTAATGATCCAATTAAATTAACTCACAGTAAGGTCTCAATGACTAATAGACGTAATCTTTTTAGGGGTAATTACACATGAAGAAAGAATAGCCCCAACTACAGCCTTCTCCCAATGCCTGTCATGCAAGACAAAAATCATGAACTCAAGACTCCCTTTATGAAAGGTTGATGACTCCCGGTACAGTGGAAAACTCAGGAAACCCTCTTTTTGACTACAAAAAGTTTATAACAAAGAGATTTCATTTCTCCAGTGTCATCAAAAACACCATATCCAGATTAGTGTTATTATTTTCCCATTCTCTAAGAGCAAAGCAAAGTTAAAACTAAGGGAGAGGAATAAGAGGACTTGGATTTTCTGGTTGTACCTTGATTCTGACAAGTCTTTCTGACTTGTCTTGTGACAAACTAACCAGAAACCCCAGACATGTCTTCTCAGCAAATCTCCTAAGTTTTTATTTTATTTGGCTGCAGAAAAAAAGCAGTTTTATTTAAGTTTTTAGGTTTTACTAAATGCAGTCCCTCTTCCCATAAAAATTACAGCAAAATTCAAAGTCCAACGAAACGACAAATGGTGTTGCATAAATTTTAGTACATAAATTTTCGGAGGGAAAAACAGGTTTGACTTTCATTTTATAAAAATTTCATAGTCAGGACTTTCTTCTTGTGGAATTGCATTGCTGTCTTCAGCATTACCTCACAAATACTCAGAGAAAACACTGGTGCTCTTAAAATGATTTGAGTTATTTGTCTTTCTTGGTACGCCTTGGTACATCATTACGTTGAAGGATTTAATTGCAAGTGAAGAAACTCAGTATGTTCTCGGAGTTATTTTCCATTTTTCCCTTAGCATGGGCATTTTACTTTGACGTCACTAACAGTCAGTGAGAGCAGAGACAGGCAGTGGTTAAAAGAAACCACAACTAGCGGAAAATACACTGATACTGTTTCTTTTGTAGTTGTCATTCATTGGTGGTGTCATTCATCATGCACTATTGTATAAGTAGTCATTTTTAGCCCTACTGTGCAAGAACAGAGGCAGATTATGCTGTTATTCCTCGAAAACTGGTACAAGAAAGAAGGTTCACAGCTCCCCCTTGGAGCTGCTGATGATAAAAACCTGTTCACAATGTTTAGCTGCAGCTCTGTGACTGGCTCGTTTGAGGAAAATTCATCTTAATAGTGCTATTTTTGGAGACATTTTTGTAAAAATTACTTTAATCATTTATTTCTCTAAATTCTGTGATTTTTGCCTTCTATAATCCTTTGCAAATGGAAATTACAACTCACTAGTTAATTAAAATATTATTATTGGGGCTTCAGTATAGACAGCAAGAAAGATATAACACATGAGAATTATTTCCTTACTGTTGTCTTATGTCAATATATGTGTATACATGTGTGTGAAAAAAATAATTTTTAAATCATATTGTAAAAACCCTAAGTTGAGTTTTTTTTAATCAATAGAACATCATGTTTAATATAGCTGATAATTGACTATTATGCATCTCAAGAGAGGAAATTTCTAGTGCTCTCATTACAAAGTAGGTGAAGTATTTGAGTGGATAAATATGTTAATTCACTTAGTTTCCTCATTCCACTTTATATTGAAAAAATCATAACACCAGTTTGTGCCCCATAAGTATATGCAACTATGATTTGTCGAATACAGTTAAAAGTAAAAAACAAAACAAAAAATCCCTCTAAAAAAGAACCTGTGGAATCAACTTAGCTAGTTCTCATTCTTCTATTTATACCCTGAGTCATCAAGTTCTATGCTTTAACATGTTTTAAAACATATCTTGAGTTCATTTAGAAATGCCAAAAATGTATAATTACAAAATGAGCAGCAATGTACCAACCACCCAGCTTAAGAAATAAAGTGGGCAGGGTGAGGTGGCTCATGCCTGTAATCCCAGCACTTTGGGAGGCTGAGGCAGGCAGATCACCTGAGGTCAGGAGTTCAAGACCAGCCTGGCCAACATGGTGAAACCCCATCTCTACTAAAAATACAAAAATTAGCCGGGTGTGGTGGCAGGCAGCTATAATCCCAGCTACTTGGGAGCCTGAGGCAGGAGAATAGCTTGAACCCAGGAGGTGGAAGTTGCAGTGAGCCAAGATCGTGCCACTGCACTCCAGCCTGGGTGACAGAGTGAGACTCTGAAAAAAAGAAAGAAAGAAAGAGAGAGAGAGACAGGGAGAGAGAGAGACAGAGAGAAAAAGGAAGGAAGGCCGGCCAACATGATTGAAGCCCCAAAGAACCACTTCCCAATTATATCTCCTCTCTGTCCCTTAGAAGCTAATTATTGTCCTGAATTTGGAATTTATTATTCTAATAAGTTTCTTTATACTTTTGCTACCCACATCACACAATGCGTGTCTCTAAACTATATGTAAGTGGCACGCTTTTACCTTTATATGGCATTATACCATATATTTTCTCCTGCACCTTGTCCTTTTTGATGCTCTATGCTGTATTTGTGAGATTCATCGTAGTACAGTACATTCTTAGTATGGAATAGTATATAGTAGTGAAAGAAAAAGTGTAAATGATGTTCTGTATTTGTTCTTCCTCTGCATTGTAATGACCAGTGCCTTATTGCAGCCTCTCTGGCCTTTATACTTGGACCATTATCACTGCCTCAGGTCTCTACCTACTCTAAAGTAACTTCCATTATACTGCCAGGCATGTGCTTAGAAACACTACTTTCAAGATACTAAAGTGTGCAAAAATATTTAGTGAATCTCTGCTCTTTAGCACATCAGGGCCAAGCTCCCATGCCTAACTTTCAAAATGTCAGTGCCATGCACACATCCTTCAGCCCACCCTGAAGGTCACCTGCAGCATCAGGGGGCAGTTGCCACACACATTCATGGTTTTCTGCCTCAACTGTCTGCACCGCTTCCTGCCTGTGGCTCTGGCTACAGGTGTGAGCTCAGCCTGCAGGAGGACCGGCCAGGTAAGTTATTGCCCCAGGCAATAAGGAAGCACAGAAGCTGGTAAATATACGGTGGGGCCCAGGTGAGAAAGGCCCACCTGTGTCCTGGCTGAGGGTCTTCAGGGTTCTTTAGGGCCCGAGGATTCCTGAAATAATGGATCACCCACCTATGCTTTAAGACATGCTTTAATTTTTTTTTTTCTGGAAGCCCTGTGACTTCCCTAAAAACTGAATGAATTCTAGAACAGACCTGCGGTGCCAATGGGTCATGTTTGGTTAGAAGGTGATAATCTACAGAATTCTATGGATTCCAGGTACTATGGACCTATTCCGTATGGACTAATAAGAGGACGAATCTTCTTTAAGATTTGGCCTCTGAGTGATTTTGGATTTTTACGTGCCAGCCCTAATGGCCACAGATTTTCTGACGATTAGTAAGTATTTATTCTTTTGACTTAATTATTGTCTCCTTTTCATGTGAATTTATTACTCCCGTTGAAATCATGTACTTACCAATAAACTATTTGCTATTCAAAAAAAAAGAAGCTGGTAAATAAAGACCCAGCTTTTTTGCCCACAGTGGAACACTCCTGAGATATGCTCTGTGTGGCCTTTTAGAAAGTCTCTAGGATGATGGAGCCCCAGTTGTCCATAGTGATAACCCATTCATTCACCTAAACTGTATTGGCTTTTCTCCCTTCCTGTCTCACCTCCCCACTGTCCACGTGTGCCTCACAGGTTCACCTCCCACAAAAACTACTTATACTTGAGTCCTTTCCTGAAGGTGTGCTTTTTAGACAATTGCTACCAAAATTGGCCCTTGATAGTTACCCTCAGGATAAGATTCTGCAATTGAATCACTTGCCAGTCAATGGCAAGGGGCATCCTCCTGCTGATGGTAAGTGTGGTCATGATAAGCCTGGCGGGCTGCAGCCTCACACTTACTAAGATGCTCACCTGTGGTGGGTCAAGTCCAGGTAGAAGGTATCATGCGTTTACTCTGGCACTGGAAATTTATAACACTAGCTTATGGGAGTTCTCTAGCTCTGGAAAGATATAAGAGCAATGTAAATTGTAAAGATTCTAGAGTTAAAATAGTTTTTGTCAAATGTCCTAAGCAGCTTAAAGAAAGAAAATTACAGTCTGGAATAGCTAGCCATCAACTCATGGCAAGCTATAGGAGCCAGAAAGCCTACAGGCATCTACAGAGTTGTAGGGAAACCTACACATCCTGCAGCCAGCAGACAGACTATGCTGAAAGGCATGCCTAAGCTTTGATCTTAAAAGTGGCGGAGTTACAAAGAGATTGAATTCACAGCTTACAATGTTCCCTAGATAAAAACCCAAAGGGCTAAAAAGGTAGCAGTAGGACCTATAAACTTAAGTGGAAATTTTGTAGGCTGATGACCTTAGGAATTTTGAACTACCTAAATGCCCTTAGGAACTTTGAACTTTGGAGTCTGATGAACGCTCCAGGTGTTCAGAAACAGCACCTTGCCCTTACTAGTAAAGAAGAGCATACCACGACCTGAATACTATCGCCTAAGACAAAAGCCATGCAGGATGGTATTTGACTGCTCAAAAATGAGCCTTGGCTCCCCTCATTGTTTCTAGATCAAAAACTAGGGTCAATTCTCAGTACAGCCCAGGTGAGGAAGTGCATTGCTGCTGTGGGAGGAAATGAATTATCACCAAAATAGCTGAGGGATATGGCTTCTCTGTACTTGGGATAACCAAGAGAAAATGCCTGGAAATTGAAATGAGGACACGGGACTAAGGATGGTGAAGGGCACAATATAAGCTTGGATAGGAGTTAATTTACTGGTAAAAGGGAACTTTTGTTTGACTTAAAATTTAACCTCCTGGCAAAGACTCCTCGAGCCTTTCCTAATACATTGCTGGAATAATAGCCCCTTGATGACTGGAGAGGATAATGGCCTATAGCAAATTAGGTGGAGATGCCAGAACAGGCTTAGCAAAGTTTTAAAGGGATCAGAAGGTCTAGTTTTAGCATCAGCTTGGGGTTAATATCCTAAATGTTGGGGTATTGTCCTTCAAAATGTGGTATATATGTTGATCAGACAGCCCATTATATGGTGCTATCTCCCCAAGAGCTAGAATATATGGTCTTGGAACCAAAGTTCTGCTTTATCTTATTAGAAATTAAAACTGAGATACTTATAATAAATTTATTTCCTGATTTGTAGTGATATAAGCCTATTACATGTTAATAAAAATAACATTTTATTAATAATAACTGTATTTGCCTAAAAAAATTTAGTGAGAAGAGTGGATTGTTCTGTTTTATAAATCTGTCATGTCTGGCTTGATTAAAGACATTTAGTCTTTGTTAATAATGTAAGGACCTTCTATTCTGCCTTTCATTGCCCATGTAATGTAACTGTTGATAAAACTCATCATCGTAGAACCAACAACACATCCATGATGTTGTTCTCAAGAAATTCAATCAGCTGAGAAATGCATGGGAAATGGAGAAGTGAAACTTCAATAGAAGACTTTCAATTGACTTCCTTAGAACTCAACTTATGGACTCCATAAATGATCTATTTCTATTTTTGTTAAATGACTCAATTATTAATTTACAGATTATTTGCTTCTGTAGTCACTTGCTAAAAAGCTGTATTACAATTATTCATTTACATATTTATTAATCATCATGAGTTTATTTACACATCTGTCAAGCACATAATATATTCTGGATGTTCATTTTCAAAATGAATAGTGCATCATTTCTACTTCTGAACAGCACCAAATCTAGCCAAGGTAATAGACTGCAAAGAAATCATAACAGTAAGTGGATATAGATTATACTAGCCATAGGAACAATGGAAGCCCATTTAACTCTACATTTAATATGTAAATGGTAAACATTTAACGCTACCTGGAAAGGTCAAAGAAGGTTTTGACAAGGAAGCAGACTTCAAGATGAAATCAGAAAGGACTAGTAGATTATTTTTCAGGTTGATAAGATAAAGAAGATGGCAAAAGACGTTTTATGAAGAGTTAACAGCAGGTACGAAATCATAGGGGCTTGAGGGACCACTGCAATTGCAGACATACAAGCAATTTTGTGGTTGGGATATAGGGAGAGAAAAGAGGGAGATGGGCACTGAGAAGATCATAAAGGCCTTGCACAGCATAATGAGGAGTTCCTACTTTGTCCTGTAGAAGTGGGTTTCATGACCAGGCATGGTGGCCCATGCCACCTGTAATCCCAGCACTTTGGGAGGCCAAGATGGGAGGATCGCTAGAGCCCAGGAGGCATAGGTTGCAGTGAGCTGAAATTGAGTGACTGCACTCCAGCTTGAGCAACAGAGCAAGACCCTGTTTAAAAAAAAAAACAACTTAATTTTATAAGAAAGAAGTGAGTTTCACATCTGCCCACACATTAGCCTAACAACAGCACATGCATTTGTGAAATTGCTAGGGTATGAACATGCAGATATTCTTTCAGATATTCCTTAACTTCTTACACAGAACATAATGATTGTCAATCAATAAATTTACATTGTCTAAAAAAAAATATGTGGTGGGACAGTGGTAGCAGCAGGAAAGAGAAGGTGGACATGGTAGCAAAAATATACCATATCACAGCCCCCATCACAGCAGGTGAAAGAGATTTACAAGGTACTCCAGAATGTCAAAGGATGTCAAGATGCAAGATCGAGATTGCAAGAGCTCAGGCCACTGCTGTTTCCTTACATCTGGAGTGGGGTGGGTGGGACTGATACAAATTCTCACACAGACCTACACTCAAAAATTCACAAATGCCTATTCAGTCTTCCCCAAGTTAGCTATGACCACTAGAAGGGACAGGTCAGGAGTGGTGCCATGGGAAAAAAAGAAAAGCTGCTCTGTTTTTTGTTCATGCTCCATAATCAATAACCACATCACCATGGTGTGCTGCTCTGTGCCCCATAACATGGTCCCTTATTTTAACTTTAATGTTCCTCAGACCCTTCCAATTTACCAATAATAACATTATAAGTTTCTAATGATTCAGTAGATGTTTCTATGGAGATCTTTGTAAAAATTTCTTCAATTTGTGAGGCCAAATAAAGAATATAGACATGCACTTTTGGGAGGCCGAGGTGGGTGGATCACCTGAGGTCAAGAGTTCAAGACCAGCCTGGCCAACATCTCTACTAAAAATACAAAAAATTAGCCAGTTGTGCTGGCATGCACCTGTAGTCCCAGCTACTTGGGATGCTGAGGCAGGAGAATTACTTGAACCCAGGAGGCGGAGGTTGCAGGGAGCTGAGATCATGCCATTGCACTCCAGCCTGGGCAACAAGAGCAAAACTTCTCAAAAAAAAAAAGAATATAGACATGAATAACTTAAATACATGTCATATGAAAATATTGAAAACAAAAAAATTAAAGATTATTCATATTCCTATCATTTTTAGTAAAATAATACAAGAAGTAGAACTATCCTCCATGTTCATACTATGATGGTGGTTAATTTTATGTGTCCAGTTGACTGGCCACAGGGTACCCAGATTCAATGTTATTTCTGGGTGTGTCTGTGGAGGTGTTTCTGGATCAGATCAGCATTTGAATCAGTGGACTCAGTAAAGTAGACGGCTCTGCCCAATGTGAGTGGGCATCATCCAATCCACTGAGGTTCTGAATAGAATAAAAAGTGGAGAAAGGAAGAAGTCATTCTTTTTCTTTCCTCCCTCACAGTTTGAGCTTGAACATCCCATCTCATCTTCTCCGGCCCTTGGACTGGGATCTACGACATTGGCTCCCAGGCCTTTGGACTTGGCCTGAGTTATACCACTGTATTTCTAGGATCCCCAACTTGGACAGCTGATTCTAAGTCTTCTCAGCCTCCTTAATCTGTGAGCCAATTTCTCATTATAAACATAAACACACACACACACACATACACACACACAAACACATACATATCCTACTTATTCTGTTTCTCTGTAGAATACTGACTAATACTAATCATTTAGGACAACCTCCTAATATTACTCTATTTATAAACATATATCTATCTAAGCTCACATGCATTTTTTAAAAGAAAGAGCAACAGCAAAAAGACTGTTTTATACCTACAGACATGTCCCATCCTATATTTTTTCCTCCTGATGATTTAATGTACATACTTCCAGGTCTCTGTACAGTAATCCCCCCTTATCTGCAGTTTCTCTTTCTGTGTTTTCAGTTACCCACTATCAAACAGGGTCCAAAAACATTAAATGGAAAATTCAAAAAATAAACAATTCATAGTTACAAATTGCATGCCATTCTGAGTAGATTGATAAAATCTCAAGCCGTCCCTCTCTATTCCACCTGGAACATGACTCATCCCTTTCTCCAGCATCTCCACACTATAAACACTACTCACCTGTCAGTCACTTAGTAGACACCTCAGTTATCAGGTCAACTGTCCAGGTATTGTGGTGTTATGTTCAAGTAATCCTTGTTTTACTTCATAATGGTTCAAAAGTGCAAGAGTCTTGTGCCTAATTTATAAATTATACTTTAACATAGGTAGTAAGTATGCATAGGAAGAAACATAACGCATAGAGGGTCTCATGTTATCCAAGGTTTCAGGCATCCACTGAGGGTCTTGGAATATATTCCCCATGGATTAGTGGGGGACTATTGTACATAGATGTGCCTCTTCTGAAGATTCAACTGATTATAAAACACTGTCTTTGGGGCTTAAGAAATGGGGGAGAAGAAATGGAGGAAAGAGAAAGAGATTCATTGAAAATAAGAATTCTTATATGATATTTACTACATAAAGTATCTCATTTTGTTGCTACGTAACTATACATATTAGTATCCCAGATTTATCAATGAGGGAACTGAGGCATAAAGGAGCTAAACAGATATTAAATGATAAGGTTGGGTGGGATAAATCTTAGGCAGTGTGATGGTTAGTATTGTCAATCTTGATAGATTGAAGGATATAAAATATTGTTCCTGGGTGTGTCTGTGAGGGTGTTGCCAATGGAGATTAACATTTGAGTCAGTGGACTAGGAGAGGCAGATCTGCCATTAATCTGGCTGGGAACCGTCTAATCAGCTACCAGCATGGCTAGGATAAAAACAGGCAGAGGAACTTGGAAAGACTAGACTGGCTAAGTCTTCTGGCCCTCATCTTTCTCCCTTGCTGGATGCTTTCTGCCCTCAAACATCGGACTCCAAGTTCTTCAGCTTTTGGACTCTTGGACCTACAGCAGTAGTTTGCCAGTGGCTCTCTGCCCTTCAGCCACAGACTGAAGACTGCACTGTCAGCTTCCCTACGTTTGAGGTTTTGGGACTCGGACTGGCTTCCTTGCTCCTTAGCTTGCAGACGGCCCGTTGTGGGACTTGACCTTGTGATTGTGTGAGTCAATACTCCTTAATAAATTCCCTTTCATATATACATTTATCCTATTAGTCCTGTGCCTCTAAAGAACCCTGACTAATACAGGCCGTCTGTTTCTAGGATCTTAACAATCAATCTCGGTACTGTTCTACCTTTGAAAAAGAAAGTAATCAATATATCTGATATTATGGCAAAGAAGAAGTCATATCACACTTGGATTTAAAAAGAGAAAACACTTAAGATGTATTTTGGCAAACACTCTCAGTACATACAGGTTTGTTTGTTTTTAAGAACTATTACTAACAGCCTTCAATGGAACACAGTCTTGTGAACACTATTCTGGAAATCCATGTGTTATAACGGAATACTCGATGCTTGTTCAAGCTCCTGCTTTTCACCTTTCCTTGAAGCCTCCTAGAAGTTTATCATCTGGGGCTCTTGCTCTGGCCTTTGAACTAAGGCTGAAAGTTGGGAAACAGGACATTTCAGGAAAACCTAGAAACTGTGTTTCTCAGAATATTAGGACTGTCCAGAGGTAGGCAGTGCTCTCACCAAAAACCGTCACCTCCCCTGGAGTCCTAGCTCCATTCTAGACTTTACAAGTTGAAAACAAAGAAACAGTTCCCTCTTCTCTCTAATCCTCAAAAGGTTGGCACCCAGAAAACCTCTGGGACTGAATAGAGAAGCTTGGTGGGATACAGGTGAATTCAGAACCTCTTAGAAACCAAGACTTCAGGTTGCACCAGTGCATTGGTGAGTTGATTCTCTGCTGGACTAAAAGTGAGTGTATTAGTCCGTTTTCATGCCGCTGATAAAGATATACCCAAGACTGGGAAATTTGTAAAGAAAAAGAGGTTTAATGGACTCACAGTTCCACGTGGCCTGGGAGGCCTCTCAATCATGGTGGAAGGTGAAAGGCACGTCTTACATGGTGACAGACAACAGAGAATGAGAACCAAGTGAAAGGGATTTCCCCTTTTTATAAAACCATCAGATCTCATGAGACTTATTCACTACCATGAGGACACTATGGGGGAAACCACCCCCATGATTCAATTATCTCCCCCGGGTCCCTTCCCACAACACACGGGAATTATGGGAGCTACAATTAAAGATGATATTTGGGTGGGGACACAGCCAAACCATATCACTGAGAAACAAACATAAATTTGAAAAAATTGTTCTCAATAAATCCTGGCCAGAGCCTCTCTTTCCTGAATATCTCATATTTTGAGGGAAGCAGAGTACAAGTAACAGGATGACAAAAAGAGCAAAATAAAGAAAAAAGAGGAAATGACAGGGATAACTGATGCATGGGTGGGAGAGAGACAGGGGTGGTCAGAGAGAAGACAAAGGCAAAGAAGAGGTGTAAGAAAAGTCAGAGAGGAAGGAGAGTGTAGTGAGTATTTGGGATTGCTTATCAACTTACATTTCTCCCTTTTTCCTGGTTGGCAAAAGCCTCATTTTGTTAAGGTATCTAATTATTACCGCCTCCATCCCACCCCACATGTATGATTCAAAAGAGGGTCGGCTATTCCTGCTGAGGGGGAGCCCTGATTGACACGGGTCAGTCATGGTGATACTGTTTTCCTTGCCAATGATGAAGTTCAGGGCAAAGTTCTACTAACTGATGCTCCAACAGAGGCCTGCCATGTGGCATCTGCAAAATGTTTCCACTCTTAAGGAAACACAGAATGAGACAGTCCCTGATATGGTTTGGCTGTATCCCCACCAAAACCTCAACTTGAATTGTATCTCCCAGAATTCCCATGTGTTGTGGGAGGGACCCAGGGAGAGGTAATTGAATCATGGCAGCTGGTCTTTCCCATGTTTTTCTCATGAGAGTGAATTAGTCTCACAAGATCTGATGGGTTTATCAGGGGTTTCCACTTTTGCTTCTTCTTCATTCTCTCTTGCTGCCACCAGGTAAGAAGCACCTTCTGCCTTCTGCCATGATTCTGAGGCCTCCCCAGGCATGTGGAACTATAAGTCCAATTAAACCTCTTTTTAATCCCAGTCTAGGGTATGTCTTTATCAGCTGCATGAAAACAGACTAATACCGTACATTGGTACCAGTAGAGTGGGGTGTTGCTGAAAAGATACCCAAAAATGTGGAAGCAACTTTGGAACTGGATAACAGGCAGACGTTGGAATGGTTTGGAGGGCTCAGAAGAAGACAGGAAAATGCGGGAAAGTTTGGAACTTCCTAAAGACTTGTTGAGTGCCTTTGCCCAAAATGCTGATAGCAATATGGACAATAAGGTTCAGGCTGAGGTGGTCTCAGATGGAGATGAGGAACTTGTTGGGAACTGGAGTAAAGGTGGCTCTTATTATGTTTTAGCAAAGAGATTGGTGGCATTTTGCCCCTGCCCTAGAGATTTGTGGGACTTTGAACTTGAGAAAGGTGATTTAGGGTGTCTGGTGGAAGAAGTTTCCACTTAGCAGCAAAGCATTCAAAATGTGACTTAGGTACTGTTAAAGGCATTCAGTTTTATAAGGGAAGCGGAGCATTAAAGTGGAAAATGTGCAGCCTATGTGATAGAAAAGAAAAACCCATTTTCTGGGTAGAAATTCAAGCCTGCTGCAGAAATTTGCATAAGCAGCAAGGAGCCTAATGTTAATCCCCAAGACCATGGGGAAAATGTCTCCAGGCCATGTCAGAGACCTTCATGACAGCCCCTCCCATCACAGGCCTGGAGGCCCAGGAGGACAAAATGGTTTTGTGGGCCAGGCCCAGGGTCCCTGAGCTGTGTGCAGCCTAGGGACTTGGTGACCTATGTCCCAGTTGCTCCAGCCATGGCTGAAAGGGGCCAACATACAGCTTGGACTGTGGTTTCAGAGGGTGGAAGCCTCAAGCCTCAGTGGCTTCCATGTGGTGTTGAGCCTGCAGGTGCACAGAAGTCAAGAATTGAGGTTTGGGAACCTCTGCTTAGATTTCGGAAGATCTATGGAAACACCTGGATGCTCAGGCAAAAGTCTGCTGCAGGGGCAGTGCCCTCATGGAGAACCTCTGCTAGGGCAGTGTGGAAGGGAAATGTGGGGTTGGTCAGAGGCCCCACATAGAGTCTCTACTGGGGCAGTGCCTAGTGGAGCTGTGAAAAGAGGGCCACTGTTCTGCAGACCCCAGAATGGTAGATCCACCAACAGCTTGCACCATGCACCTGGAGTAGCCACAGACACTCAATGCCAGCCATGAAAGCAGCTGGAAGGGAGGCTGTACCCTGCAAAGCCACAGGGATGCCCAAGACCATGGGAACCCACCTCTTGCATCAGTGTGACCTGGATGTGAGACGTGGAGTCAAAGGAGATCATTTTGGAGCTTTAAAATTTGATTGCCCTGCTGGATTTTGGACTTGCTTGGGCCCTGTGACCCCTTTGTTTTGGCCAATTTCTCCCACTTGGAATGGCTGTATTTACCCAATACCTGTACCCCTATTGTATCTAGGAAGTAACTAACTTGCTTTTGATTTTACAGGCTCATAGGCAGAAGGGACTTGCCTTGTCTCAGATCAGACTTTGGACTGTGGACTTTTGGGTTAATGCTGAAATGAGTTAAGACTTTAGGGGACTGTTGAGAAGGCATGATTGGTTTTGAAATGTGAGGACATGAGATTTGGAGGGGCCAGGGGTGGAATGATATGATTTGGCTGTGTCCCCACTCAAATCTCAACTTGAATTGTATCTCCCAGAATTCCCACATGCTATGGGAAGGATCCAGGGGGAGGTAATTGAATCATTGCGGCTGGTTTTTCCCATGCTATTCTCATAATAGTGAATTAGTCTCAAGAGATATGATGGATTTATCAGGGGGTTCTGCTTTTGCTTCTTCCTCATTCTCTCCTGCTGCCACCATGTAAAAAGCACCTTTCACCTTCTGCCATGATTCTGAGGTCTCCCCAGCAATGTGGAACTGTAAGTCCAACTAAGCCTCTTTATCTTCCCAGTCTAGGGTATGTCTTTACCAGAACATGAAAACAGACTAATACAGCCCCTTTCTGCCTCTGGCTATTGTCACATCTGGAGGTGATGCTTGAATCTGCTCCTGCCCTTCTCCCACCACAAGGAAAATGAGCTTTAGAAAGCAGGCTTTACTGGCAGTGACAGAGATGGAAGTATGGAAGAACATTGGATTCTAAAATTAGCTTTTCCTGCAACCATAAACAGCTCCAATGTGTTAGTGGCTTAAGGCAACACACTACACACTTTTCTTTCCCTTTGTCATGTGAGGGCTGTGGGACTTCTGGCCTCCATTCACCCCCAAGTGTCTTCTCATTTCAGACCCAGGCTAAACAGCAGCCACTACTGAGACCTGCTGCTCTCAATATCCAGAGGCAGAAAGGGGCTGTCTCATTCTGTGTTTCCTTAAGAGTAGAAACATTTGGCAGAAGTCGTAAGGCAGCAGCTTGCAAAGGGAACTGGGGCCAACCTACTCCAGAAAACTTTCTACATGGATGTGTCATGCTTGCTGTCTCCCTACTGTCCAGAGCATGTTATGTATGGGCTAAGCCCAAAGTCAATAAGGTGAGGGCTAAGGGGGTTGGTGGGGGAGTGAAGAGAGTGGAGAATCCTCTTCCCATAAGGACAGGGCAAGTCATGTGACCATAGGCAGAAACATTTAATCCTCTTACAGAGAAGAAATAAAAATTTGGGAACAAAAATCCAATCAGCCAAAGTCCTTGGTGGCATTATTGAGCCACTAGTGAAAGTACCCCCAGGACCCTATTTCTGGATTTCCACTTCTGTGAGATAAGATACTTCCTTATTAAGTCTGAGTTTTCTGTGATTATGCTTTTTTAGAAAAGAGCACCTTAATTATGCAGAGAAAACACCAAATGATTTGCTCATATTCAGAAGTGGAGGAAGAAAACGCAAACTGTCAATGGACCAGGCAAAAGACAAAATGCTAGGCACTGATTCTCCTTCCCAAACAGATCAACGCTTTTCTCTCCAACTGTGAAAAGAAAGACAAGGCTTCCTAAAATGTTGGGGTAGTTCTGAGGCTAGATAATGAAGAACAAATACAGCCAGGAGGTTCAGGCAGTATGATGGGTGTGTATGAGTTTTTACAGGTTTTGTTCCCATTCAGTTAAGTACATGTATATGTGCCAATGAATCTGAGAAAGAAAGAAACTCAAATTGACATTATTTTTCCTTACCAGTTCAATCAGATATATCTTACAAGAAGAAAAATAAAATGTATCTCTTTATATCTTCTGTGGAGTCCTAATTAGGAAAAAAAAAAAAAAAAGTCAGGCTGGTGGGACCGAGGAAAAGCAAAAAGAGAAAGCAGATAGGCTATGAGTCTGTCTTGCCTTTCTTCATGGTCCAGGACATGCCCTCCTGCACAAATAACTCACCATCTTCCGGCGCCCAGCTATCACCAGACCCACGGCTGATAGAAAATTGTAAGTTAGCTCACTGCAACCTTGGCGTTATCAGTATTGCACAAAGCCCTCTTCAGCACACAGCACCATCCTATAAAATCCCCAGCAAGCCTTCGTCTCCTCACAGTCAGCCCCTCTCTTACTCATCTGCCCATTGCACCCTTGCAACATATTTTCATACTTTAATAAATCTTTCTTTTTCTTTTTTCTTTTTTTTTTTTTTTTTTTTGAGATGGAGTCTCGCTCTGCCACCCAGGCTGGAGTGCAGTGGCACAATCTCGGCTCACTGCAAGCTCCGCCTCCTGGGTTCATGCCATTCTCCTGCCTCAGCCTCCCAAGTAGCTGGGACTACAGGTGCCTGCCACCACGCCCAGCTAATTTTTTTTGTATTTTTAGTAGAGACGGGGTTTCACCGTGTTAGCCAGGATGGTCTCGATCTCCTGACCTCATGATCCGCCTGCCTTGGCCTCCCAAAGTGCTGGGATTACAGGTGTGAGCCACAAACGTGCCCGGCCAATAAATCTTTCTTTACCTACAACTATCTTGGTAAATTATTTTACCACCCACTCCATCGGCCTCAGATAGTCATGAACCACCTGCAACATTTTCCACTTACCCATTCCTTCATTTCAATATGCTCCAACATGGTCTCTCTGCCAGGCTAAAAAAGTATATAAATATATATCCATACATATCACTAAATATATAATTGTAGTTATATGTATGGTATACGCATATATGTAGATGGATTGATTTTTATATCTGTGTATGTGTTTTTTAACATATATGTACAATTTACATGAGAGAGGGCAGATTTTAGAGTCTATCTGATAAAACACAATCTTTTTTTATTATACTTTAAGTTTTAGGGTACATGTGCACAACGTGCAGGTTTGTAACATATGTATACATGTGCCATGTTGGTGTGCTGCACCCATTAACTCATCATTTAGCATTAGGTATATCTCCTAAAGCTATCTCTCCCGCCTCCCCCCACCCCACAACAGGCCCCAGTGTGTGATGTTCCCCTTCCTGTGTCCATGTGTTCTCATTGTTCAATTCCCACCTATGAGTGAGAACATGCAGAAAACACAATCTTATCATACGGAGTCTGGGAAGAGAGGTAGACCTAAATGATCTGCTTAAGCTACTGCTACAACCTAAAATGGCCTGGTAAGAACTTTTACTGAACTCACTGAAAGAAAAAAAAATTAATGAAAACATTCGAGCTGTACAAGAGGACAGAATCTAGGGAGTTACAACAATCATCTTTTGTTTCATTTTGCTTTATTATTTTTCTTTCTTTTTTTAAGAACATTGAAGCTGTGACCACAGAGGTGATTGGAGAATCACAGCCCTCCTGAAATGATATCCAAACAGAAAATTTTCCAATACATATCCTAAAATCACAGAGCATGTAATTCCACATCAGCTCCAGGAAAGCAGCATCTTTGCTTAGGATATGGAAATTTGGAAGCTCATTGCTATAATCTGTGGTTATGATTTCAAGCTCCCCCAGTGATGCCGGGAATCAAACCACAGACTCCTAGTGCTAGGAGCCTTTATTGTAATCCAATAAAACCTTAACAACTAGTCTTCATTTTTATGATAAATTAAGGGCCTCATTTGCTTTAAAGCAGCCCCTCTGCCCTGGAGTTTACCTCACTGTGGAAGCAGTCCTAGAGAAACACTCAATTCAGATGGGGTAAAGACGGTGGGGGAAAAAGAGCCCAGATTCCCCACCTTGGTTGGTTTCATGGGTTCAGAAACTTCAAAACAAGTGAAAAGCTCTCTTTCAAAAGAACTGATCTTTTAGTATGAGACTGTGCTTGGGATTTTTGACAATGTCTTATGGACACTGACTTCTTAACCTGGCACTTCAGTCAGTCACAGAATGTCACCTTGAAATCATAAAAGGGACATCTGGAACTGAGGCCATGTGTACTATCCACCCACTTTCAATTTAACTTTTTTATTTTATTTTATTTTGGCTAATTTGAATTTTTATTCAGAAGCTCAAATTCTGCTCCAAGTGCCACTATTTGCTTTGCTGTTATGTCATCTTTGTGAACTAATTTGTTGCAGAATGACCTTTAAGTCCAAAACAAACTTAAAACAAGGATCATATTTATTTCACAACATGAATTCCTTTCTAAGATCCAAGGCACTGGGACATCAAGCTACCCCAACATCTACATGTGTGTTTTTAAAGAATTCCAAAGGTCAGCTTAGAAGGGTCAAAAATGTTTAAAACCTACATTAGAGAGAAAATAAATTATGGCAAATTTGAAATGAAAAGTTTTTCAAATTTAAATTCAAGGTCTCAATTAAACCTTCCCCAAATTAAGAACAAAGTATAGGCAGCCATCTTTGCATCTCCCAATTATTCCATAACCAACACCTTAAAAAAAAAAAACATTTTAACGTTGAAGTTTCTGCATTTATTCAATTACTAATTAAATGTATTCATGTCATGTATTCATTCATGAGTAATGCATGTAGTAGGAAATGAATACGTTACACCAAAGAAGTTTCAAGACCAATATTCTAGTTCTAGGCAGCCAATTCACCAGCTCCGTATTCTCAGAAAATCAATCATTGTGAGAACTTAAAAATGAGGTAATTACTCTAGAGCTGATCTTTAGAAATAAGGTCTCCTTTTCAATACTACTAGTCTATTATTGAACACTAAGATTATCGATTAATATTAAAATTTGAATTTTAATTATATAAAAACATGTTAAATAGAAACATGGAGAAAACATTACTAAAGCATGCTCAGTTATCTATGAATAATCCAATTCACATTTAGATGATTCGGAGTCACTTGTAAATAATTATAATAACGGCTAATAGTTAATGCTCACTCTGTGATAGGCGCTGTTTTGTCCTAAATGCTAGACACACATACACTCATTAATTCTCATCCAAATCATGAGTTACATTCTATTAATATCTCTCATTGTACAGATGAGGATGCTGAGAAACAAAGAATTGAGTACCTGCTTATGTCTCATATTGCTATAAAGTTAGCCAATATCTAAATCCAGAAAATTTCATTCCCAAGTCTATGTCCTTAATCTACATTTAATGTCCCCAGTAAGTGAAGGGGAACTAGATTAAAGCAGTAAATATTGAATATGTTTCAGCAACACAGTTTATTCTGAATGCATACATTTAAATACCTATGTTTCTATACCATTCATATTTGGAGGAGATGTTTGTGTTTATTCAGAAAGTAGACAGTATAATGTATAGCTCTCCAAGCTTATCTCAGAAGCCCATTGATCCCTAGTAAACATGTCTTTTCTTCTGTTATTGACATATTTTTGGATGAAAGTATTCATAAGATAACTCATTTATAAAACACATACCACTTGTCAGGCAGTATGGATGGCAGTCTACAAACATGGTCCAAATAACTGGTGTCCCTGCATCAATGCTCTCAGTTAGTCATCTCTTACCCTCACTCTGGGCTTGGTGATGTGACCTTCCATGGCCAGTGAAATCATAGCAGTAGCAAATGGGATACTACCAGACTTGAAAGGTACTTACTCATTGGGTACTAGCATATCCTACTGTTCCTGGAAACACTGCTGGTTGGTAAAAAATTAATGGTCAAGTCTTCCCTGTTACCCCAACTGAAAACAAACCAGTCACCAGATATGTGAGTGAGGCCATCCTACACCAAAATATTCCAATCAAAAGACCCACCCAGACAATCCAGAGATTCTTAAGAAATAATACATGTTTGTTGTTTTAATCTACTAAGTTTTGGAGTGGTTTGTTATACCAAAAAGGCTAAATGATACATGCATTATGCCAAGTCCTTAACAAACATCATCTCATTTAATCCTCACAATAACCAGGCAAGGTTAACATAATGTGATTATGTTGTTTTCAGTATAAATAAAGTTGTGTCAATGAGGTACTTTAAATGTAGTTAAATTGCATGGGATCATAGAACTTAGTGTATCTCAAACCATAAGACACAAAGCATTTACTCATGACATTTGTCACTTAAGAGCTACACTGAGGTTGATACTACAAAGGAAGAATTCTATATAAGTGTATCCTGCCCCATTTGCTTGTTTCTTACCATGCTAAACTTTGTGTAAAAATTATACTTTGAATAATTTCCAAAAATCATACTTTGGATAATTTCTCAGTGAGTAGTAAATTGGACACTATGATTACTAATTCTTTGGCAAATTAAAGATGTTAACTTTCTGCAAATGCTGAACTGTGGCTGATATTTTGACTCTGCTTATGTATGATAGCAACCCTAGTGCAGATAATTAGTTCATCTATCACTACTGTTATATTCTAATTTCTAAAATGTTTTTTGTCAAATACCAATTAATATTCTCTCTATAGCTATGATGTCTCAAAAAAGTAAACATAATAAAAATGTTTTTAAAAAGATAAAATACCCTAATGAATAAACTATAATAATAAATCTTATGGGGCCCAAAGGTTCATCATTGACATTTATCGCATTAGTTAAAAGTAAATCTAAAAGATGATCACCTATTAGACTCTTTTTCTAACATCCTTAAACCTAGCAGTGGCCCTAAAAATAAATATTCATTTCCAGGACTTTCATTTTAATATTCCTAGTTATATTAAAATGAAAAGGAAATGGAAAATGAAAGCCTAAGAATATGGAAGAAGGAGACAAAAGAGTTTGAGGGAGAGAAGGAAGATGAAAATGACCTCGTGGCTAGCATGAAACTCAATGTTCAGCTCCATCTTCTATATCCAAATATCAGGAATGGCCAGTGATAAATTCAGCCCCTGGGAACTCAGCCCAGTTCCTACTGCACTTGTTAGTAGGTAGAAACTTGATATATACATTTAAAAACCTGGAAACTCTTTTATGCACGCACAGCTTTTCCATGTCCAGTTTATTCTCAATTTTATGATTTTCAATAAATGGGAGAAGAAAAAAGGAGAAAGAAATGAACTTATCCAAGCTGTGAAATTTTAAATATTATAAAATGCTTCAAAATTAGTGGTTTGAATGAGGTTTATACTGGTTTATGCTTTTTTCCTTTCCACCATCTCCCCAACAAAAGAAAATCCCACATTGCTGATTCCAAGGAGGTAATGTTTATTTAAAGATAATTGACAGCTTCAGCCAATCATTTCCCTTCTCTTTCCAAAGGAAACAGTGGATTTTGTAATTCCAGATGCCTTTCTTTACACACTGCAGCAGTCATATGATTTTTCAGTAGTAAATTGGACATTATTATTACTAATTCCTTGGCAAATTAAAGATGTTAATGTATTAAACTAGAGCACAATATTTTTACTTTACAATGTATTCGCAATTAGTAGCTTTTCTTGCTCTCCCTATGATTCTAACTTAATTATCAGTTGACATATCAAGTCCATTTTATTTAAATAGAAATTCCATTTGAAAATAACATGTATTTTCTGGGTTTTATCATCCCATCAATATTTGCTCAACTGAGAAATCAAAACTTTCAGTTTAATTTGGTTGTATTTATAATCCTAACTATTCCACTCCAGACCCTCTTAAAATAATAATTGTTAACATTGTTGATATTAATAACAAATTATCGTGCTGACAATGGCTGTCTCATCATATTGGTCTCCCCACATTTGGTTCTCATCCTGCCTTCTCTTTTAGAAATGTAATTTATCATTGTCATATATTCATGTAGTATAAAAAATTAAATGGGTCTACAGAACTCATTTTGAAAATCCATGTATTGTATTCCCATTCCCCAGAAGCAACTACTTTACACTCTCTTAGATGTTTCTTTTGGTATTTACTTTCCAATATCTGAGCAACAAATAATATTATTTCTTAATTTTCAGTTTTAGAGATCTGCCTATTGGCTTTTGCTATAAGAGATATAAAATCTTAGCTATATTTTATTTTATATTTATATTTAATTTTATATTTTATAACTATCACTCTAAAATCTGAGGTTTTAACTCCTAAACTACCTCTACCCCCAACAACTACTCTCCATATGCTCACCCTCCCTGCAGTCTCTCAACATTGCTATATCAAAATTTGTTAGATTAGTACTCAGTCATGATATTATTATTACTATGCAAAAATTTTTCACAACTAAGCCATGACATATAGGTCAAGCATATTATCTTTGTCTCATACGTGTGATCATCATGGAGTTGATGTTTATTTTGTTTTGGTTTGTTTTGTTTATATTGTTGGTGCTTATTTTTATACCAATCAATCACGATTTTATATCCAAATTCTCCATCAGAAATATTCTCTCCTCAATTACATTTCAGGTATTCTACCATTTTCAGCCACTTAAAGACTATCCCTGGGATTCTTTGTTCTGTAGTTGCAACTGAGACCAGTTGCTCTCTACATTCACTATTTTGCTCTCATCCCGGACTCTTCTTTCACCACCTTCCCGGAGATTCCTTTTACCGCCTTGAATTGCAAGCCCTGTGTCCCCCTTTGTGTTTGTTTACTACTTTAAATTGTGGGAGTACATTCTTTAGTAGCACCAATGAATAAAAACGAGGTAAACTTTTTGAGATTTGAATGTCTAACATTTTCACTTGATTCATGGATATAGAATTCTAGGTGCAAAATCATTTTCTCTCAAAAATTTAAAAACACCATTCCATAATTTTCTAGCTTCCAGTTTAGCTGTGGAATCTCAAAGTCACTTTGCGTTTTCCCAGGCAGTCAGCCACACAGTCTCATTATACATCAGGAGTGTCTCTTGAATTTGTTTTCTTCTCCTTATGCTGCTGTCACTGCTCCAACCAAGACATTTGCCATCTCTTCTCTATGCTGCTATGATAGCCCTCTCGTGGATTTCCCTGCTTCTAGACTTTCCTTCTCCAACAGTTTTCTATTTCCAAACACAGGTCTGATCATGCTACTCCCAAGCTGAAAACTGGAAGGTGACTTTTCATTGCTTGTTTTTTAGAATAGCAGCCAAGATCCTTCCCCTCGTCCTACTTTACCATCACCTCCCACTCCCAACCATCATTATTCTCTCCTCTAACCACAGTGAAGAACATGATTTTCCATTTATCTACATCATACATGCTTTCATGCCTTGGAAGATCTTTGTGGAATGCCAAGCTGTCTGCCTTTTCTATCTGGTGAACTACTTATCCCTAAATACAACAACGTGGTGTAGAGAAAAAAGCACAGACTTTAGAACCCCAGCTTTAATACCAACTATCTGCATGGCCTTAGGCAAGTTAAATAATTTTTCTGAATATACTTCTTTATTTGTAAATTAGTAATAATAATGCCTCCTTCATAGGATTGCTACAAGATTCAGTGAAATGATGAATGTAAAGAAATTAGCGTGGTGAGAGGCTTTTCATGAATAAATATTGTTTTTTATTTTCATTTATTCAATCTGACATCTTTTCTGTAGAAAACTGAATTCCCTCATTTTTATTCTCATTACCAATTACCTTCACTCTCTTTCACTCATTTTTATTCTCATTACCAATTATCTTCACTCTCCTTTTACTCCCATTTTTGTCCACTTCATAATAACATTTAAACTCTCTTATCTTTAAAAAAAATTCATGGTGCCAACATTGTCACTGGTATGAACATGTGAACAGACACTGGTGGGCACCCCCCTGCAGCACCTACACCCCCCTGCAGCACTGCCACTGCTGGAATGACTGCCCAGAGGCTGGAACCTTTGCACCTGCCAGCGTTCCACAGCAGCCAACTAGAATGCATCCCACCACACTGCTACCACTGCTGGCACATGTGAATGAGCATGGATTCCACTGCCACTGCCTGATGAAGAGCTTTGGCTGGCACCACCCATCAGAGTGTTGTGACCAGTGGTCTGTGACCACCTCAGACCCTGCAGTGCAGCAGGTTTGTAAACTCCAGGGGCTGAAGAAAAAAGTCAGGGTCCAACAGCAGCCCTCCAGAGCTACAGTATGCAGCCCAGGAATCCTGAGCTGAGCCTTGGTCCCTTAAAGTCTTCCAGAAATAAAGCCAGTTGATGGAATTCATCTTATACCATAATCAAACCCCAAAGGACATCAAAGAGGATAAAAGAAAAAAAAAACCATCCAAAAAAACAGCAACTTCAAGGGTTAAAAAAACACCAGCCCACAAAGACGAGAAAGAACCAGGGTAAGAACTCTGGCAACTTGAAAAGCCTGAGTGTCTTCTTACCTCCAGACAACTGCACTAGTTCCCCAGCAATGGTGGGGAACTAGGCCAAAACGACTAAAATGACAGAAATAAAATTCAGAATATGGATAGAAAATAATATCATTGACATTCAGGAGAAAGTCAAAACCCAATCCAAGGAAACTAAGAATTAAAATAAAATGATACAGAAGCTTATAGATGAAATGGCCATTATAAGAAAGAGACAAACAGATCTGATAGAGCTGGAAAACATACTGCAAGAATTTCATAATGTAATCACAACTATTGAGAGCAGAATCAACCAAGCTGAGAAAAGAATACCAGAGCTCAAAGTCTGGCTCCCCAAAATAACTCAGTCAGACAAAAATAAAGAAAAAACAATAAAGAAGAATGAACAATAAAATATGGGATTATGTAAATAGACCAAATGTATGACTCCTTGACATCCCTGAAAGAAAGGAAGAGAAACCAGCCAATTTGGAAAACATATTTCAGGGTATTATCTATGAAAATTTCCCCAACCTTGCTAGAAAGGGCAACATTGAAATTCAAGAAATGCAAAGAATCCTTGCAAAATACTACACAAGAAGACCATCCCCAACATACATCGTCAGCAGATGCTCCAAGGTCAAAATGAAACAAAAAATACTAAAGACAGCTAGAGAGAAGGCGTAGGTCACCTACAAATGGAAGCCCATCAAGCTAACAGCAAACCTGTCAGCAGAAACTCTATAAGCCAGAAGAAATTGAGGGCCTATCATCAGCATTCTTAAAAAAAATTTCCAACCAGGAATTTCATATTCAGCCAAACTAAGCTTCATAAGCTAAGGAAAAATAAGATCCCTTTTGGACAAGCAAAAGATAAGGGATTAGTTACCACCAGACCTACTTTACAAGAGGCCCTGAAAGGGACGGCTAAACAGAAAGGAATGACTATTACCAGCCACTACAAAACATACATTTAAGTAAACAGCTCAGTGATACTATAAAGCAACCACCCAAACAAGTCTGTGTAATAACCAGATAACAACACGATGACAGGATCAAATCCACACATATCAATACTAACCTTTAATGTAAATGGACTAAATTCCCCCAATTAAAAGGCACAGAGTGTCAAGCTGGATAAAGAAGCAAAACCCAATGGCATGCTGTCTTTAGGAGACTCATCTCACATGCAATGACACTCATAAGCTCAAAGTAAAAGGATGAAGAAAAACCTATCAAGCAAATTGAAAACAGAAAAAATACAGGGATTGCCATTCTAATTTCAAACAAAACAGACTTTAAAACAACAAAGATCAAAAAAGACAAAGAAGGGCATTACATAATGGTAAAGGGCTCAATTCAACAAGAAGACCTAACTGTGCTAAATATATAGGCACAGAAGCACCCAGATTAATAAAGCAAGTTCTTACAGACCTATGAAAAGACTTAGATAACCACATAATAATAGTAGGAGACTTCAACACCTCACTGATAGTATTGGACAGATCATCAGGGCAGAAAACTAACAAACATATCTGGGACCTTAACTCAACACTTGACCAAGTAGACTTAATAGACATCTACAGAACTCTCCACCCAAAACAACAGAATATACATTCTTCCCGTCTGCACATGGCACATACTCTAAAATTCACCACACAATTGGGCATAAAACAATATACAGGACATTTTTAAAAAAAACTGAAATCATACCAACCACACTCTCAAACTATAGTGCAATAAAAATATAGAAATCAATGCTAAGAAAATCACTCAAAACCTTACAATTACATGGGAATTAAACAACCTGCTCCTGAATGACTTCTGGATAAAAAATGAAATTAAGGCAGAAATCAAGAAATTATTTGATACTAATGAGAAAAAAGGTACAACATACCAGAATCTCTGGAACACAGCCAAAGCAGTATTAACAGGGAAGTTTATAACACTAAACGTCCACATCAAAAAGTTAGAAAGATCTCAAATTAACAACCTAACATCACAACTAGAGGAATTTGGGCCGGGTTTGGTGGCTCACACTTGTAATGGCTCACACTTATAATCCCAACACTTTGGGAAGCTGAGGTGGGCAGACCACTTGAGGTCTGGAGTTCAAGACCAGCCTGGTCAACATGACAAAACCCCAGCTCTACTAAAAATACAAAAATTAGCTGGGTGTGGTGGCACATGCCCATAATCCCAGCTACTCAGGAAGGTGAGGCAGGAGAATTGCTTGAACCTGGGAGGCAGAGGTTGCAGTGAACTGAGATCATACCACTGCACTTTGTCCTGGGTGACAGAGATTCCATCTCAAAAAAAAAAAAAAAAAGACTAGAGTAATTAGAGAAAAAAGAGCAAACAAACCCTAAAGCTAGCAGAAGACAAGAAATAATCAAAATCAGGCCAGGCATGGTGACTCATGCCTGTAATCCCAGCACTTTGGGAGCCTGAGGCAGGAGGATTGCTTGAGCCCAAGAGTTTAAGAACAGTGTGGGCAACATGATGAGACCCTGTCTCTACCAAAAAAAAAAAAAAAAATTAAAAAACAAAGAACCCAACTCAGAGCTGAAGAAAATTGAAATGCACAAAAGTATGCAAAATATCAATGAATCCAAGAGCTTGTTCTTTGAAAGAATTAATAAGATAGATTCAAGCTAGACCAATAGAAAAAAAGAGAGACAATCCAAAATCCAAACAAACACAATCCAAAATGACAAGGGAGATGTTACCACTAACCCCACAAAATACAAAAACCTTCAGAGACTATTATGAGTATCTCCATGCATGTAAGCCAGAAAACCTAGAAGAAATGGAAAAATACCTGGAAATATGCAGTCTCCCAAGATTGAACAAGGAAGAGAATAAATCTCAGAACAATCAATACGAGTTCTAAAATTGAATCAGGATTAAGTAAAAAGCCTACCAACCAGAAAAAGCTCAGGATCAGATGATACATAGCTGAATTCTACCAGATATATAAAGAAGATCTGGTACCATTCCTACTGAAACTATTCCAAAAAAACTGAGGAGGAGGGACTCCTCTCTGACTTCATAACCAAGTAGGCTTCATTCCTGGGAGACAAGGTTGGTTCAACGTACACAAATCAATAAATGTGATTCACCAAATTAACAGAATTAAAAGCAAAACCCATATGTTCATCTCAATAGATGTAGAAAAAGCTTTCCATAAAATCCAATATCACTTCATGATAAAAACCCTCAAGAAACTAGGCATCAAAGGAACATATCTCAAAATATGAGCCACCTATGACAAACCCACAGTCAATATGCTGAATGTGCAAAAGCTGGAAGTATTCCCCTTGAAAAACAGAACAAGATAAGGATGCCCTCAATATTCCTATTCAACGTAGTACTAGAAGTCCTAGCCAGAATAATCAGGCAAGAGAAAGAAAAAAAAGTATCCAAATAGAAAGAGAGGAAGTCAGACTATCCCTGTTTGCAGAGGATATGGTTCTCTTCCTAGAAAACCACACAGTCTCTGCCCAAAAGCTCCTTGATCTGATAAACAACTTCAGGCAAGTTTTGGGATATAAAATTAATGTACAAAAATCAGTAGCATTCCTGTATACCAACGACACCCAAGCTCAGAGCCAAATCAAGAATGTAATTTTATTACAATAGCCTCAAAAAGAATAAAATACCTAGGAATAGAGCTAACCAAGGAGGTAAAAGATCTCTACAATGAAAGTTACAAAATACTGCTTGAAGAAATCAGAGATGACACAAACAAATGGAAAAATACATCATGCTCATGGATAGGAAGAATCTATATTGTTAAACTGGCCATAGTGCCTAAAGCAATGTCCAGATTCAATGCTATTCCTATCAAATTGCCAATAACATTCTTCACAGAATTAGAAAAAACTATTTTGAAATTCCAGTGAAACCAAAAAAGAGCACAAATAGCCAAGGCAACACTAAGCAGAAATAACAAAGCTGGAGGCATGACATTTCCCAACTTCAAACTATACTACAAGGCAACAGTAACCAAAACACCATGGTGCTGGTACAAAAGCAGACACATAAGCCAAGGAAACAGAATAGAAAGCCCAGAAATAATTTCACACACCTACAATCATCTGATTTTCAACAAAGCTGACAAAAGTAATCAATAGGGAAAAGACCCCCTATTCAATAAATGGTGTTGAGATCATTGGCTGTCCATATGCAGAAGACTGAAATGGGACCACCCTTTCCTTACCCTATATACAAAAATCAACTCAAGATATTTAGATTAAAACCTAAAACTATAAAAACTCTGGAAGATAACCTAGGAAATACCATTCTGGACACAGAACTTGGCAAAGATTTCAAGATGAAGACACAAAAAGCAATTGCAGCAAAAACAAAACTCAACAAATTGGATCTAATTAAATTTAAGAACTTCTGCACAGCTATCAATACAGTAAACAGGCAACCTACAGAATGAGAGAAAATATTTGCAAACTCTGCATCCAACAAAGACCTAACATCCAGAAACTGTAAGAAACTTAAACAAATTTACAAACAAAAGCAAACAACCCCATTAAAAAGTGAGCAAAGGATATGAACAGACACTTTTCAAAAGAAGAAGCTGGACATGGTGGCTCACACTTGTAATCCCAGCACTTCAAGAGGCTGAGGAAGGTGGACCCATTGAGACCAAGAGTTTGAGACCAGCCTGGGCAACATGGTGAAACCCGATTGCTACAAAAAATACAAAATTAGTCAGGCATGGTGGTGTTCACCTGTAGTCCCAACTACTATGGAGGCTGAGGTGGGAGGATTACCTGATCCTTGGAGGTTGAGGCTGCAATGACACCTGATCATGCCACTACACTCCAGCCTGGGTAACAGAATGAGACTGTGTCTCAAACAAAACAAAAAAGACATATGCATGGCCAACAAGCAATGCTCAACACCATTAATCATTAGAGAAATAAAAAAACCACAATGAGATACCATCTCACACCACTCAGAATGGCTACTATTAAAAAATCAAAAAATAATAGATGCTGGCAAGGTTGTTGAGAAAATGGAACACTTATACACTGCTGGTGGTACTGTAAGTTGGTTCAGCCATTTTCAAAACCAGTTTGATGATTTCTCAAAGACCTTAAAACAGAATTACTATTCAATCTATTTTTTTTTCTTTTTTTTTATTATTATACTTTAAGTTTTAGGGTACATGTGCACATTGTGCAGGTTAGTTACATATGTATACATGTAGACATGCTGGTGCGCTGCACCCACTAACTCGTCATTTAGCATTAGGTATATCTCCCAATGCTATCCCTCCCCCCTCACCCCACCCCACAACAGTCCCCAGAGTGTGATGTTCCCCTTCCTGTGTCCATGTGTTCTCATTGTTCAATTCCCACCTATGAGTGAGAATATGCGGTGTTTGGTTTTTTGTTCTTGCGATAGTTTACTGAGAATGATGATTTCCAATTTCATCCATGTCTCTACAAAGGACATGAACTCATCATTTTTATGGCTGCATAGTATTCCATGGTGTATATGTGCCACATTTTCTTAATCCAGTCTATCATTGTTGGACATTTGGGTTGGTTCCAAGTCTTTGCTATTGTGAATAGTGCTGCAATAAACATACGTGTGCATGTGTCTTTATAGCAGCATGATTTATAGTCCTTTGGGTATATACCCAGTAATGGGATGGCTGGGTCAAATGGTATTTCTAGTTCTAGATTCCTGAGGAACCGCCACACTGACTTCCACAATGGTTGAACTAGTTTACAGTCCCACCAACAGTGTAAAAGTGTTCCTATTTCTCCACATCCTCTCCAGCACCTGTTATTTCCTGACTTTTTAAGGATTGCCATTCTAACTGGTGTGAGATGATATTTCATTGTGGTTTTGATTTGCATTTCTCTGATAGCCAGTGATGGTGAGCATTTTTTCATGTGTTTTTTGGCTGCATAAATGTCTTCTTTTGAGAAGTGTCTGTTCATGTCCTTTGCCCACTTTTTGATGGGGTTGTTTTTTTCTTGTAAATTTGTTTGAGTTCATTGTAGATTCTGGATATTAGCCCTTTGTCAGATGAGTAGGTTGCAAAAATTTTCTCCCATTTTGTGGGTTGCCTGTCTAGTAATCCCATTATTGGGTATATACCCAAAGGAATATCAATTTTTTGCCATTAATACACATGCATGTGTATGTTCATGGCACCACTGTTCACAATAGTGAAGACATGGAATCAACAAAAATGCCCATCAACAGTAGACTAGATAAAGAAATGTGGTACATATACACCATGAAATACTATGCAGCCATAAAAAAGAATAAGATCATGTTCTTTGCAGCACCATGGATAGAGCTGAAGGCCATTATCCTAAGCAAACTAACACAGGAACAGAAAAACAAATAGTGAATGTTCTCACTTATAAGTGGGAGCTAAACATTGAGAACATATGGACACAAAGAAAGAAACAACAGACACAGGGGCCTTCTTGAGGATGGAGAGTGGAAGCAGACAGAGGGTTAAAAAAGTACCCATCAGGTACTAGGCTCATTACCTGGGTGACGAAATAATTTGTACACCAAACCCCCATGACATGCAATTTATCTATATAACAAACTTGTGCATGTACTCCAAACCTAAAATAAAAGTTATTTAACAAATTAAAAAAATATTTATCTTATCTCCCCCTCCCTCTTGCTACTGTCCTTCCTATTAGGTTGGTGAAAAATAATTGCACATTTTGTGTTTTTTGCACTAACCTAATACTTTCTGTTACTGCCAGGCCTCTTTAATAAACAGATTCACTTCACTGTTTCTATTTCCCCTCCCACTAGTTACTCCTTATCCCACTACGATCCAGTTTCTGTACCAACAGCCTTCTGATACTACTGTCTTCAAGGACATGAATTTTGTCTGTGTTGCTGAATCCTATATATATATATTTACATTTAGATATGCTGAATTTCATGTAACATAAAAGTGGAGATGCTCATTATGTTGTTGAAAAATGAGTCTCAGGCTCAGGAGAAAGGTTCAAATTGAAGATATAGACTTGCAAGTCTTCAGGATATAGGAAGTAAATACATCTATATCTATCTATCTATCTGTATCTATATATCTATCTATATCTCTATATATCTATATCTATATATCTATCTATAGTTTATAGAAAATGAACAGACAGGTAGAAGGTCAAGCTCTTGCTTTGCTTGATAGATATATAGACAGACTGTTCTTTCTAGTCTACATCCAGGCTCCCTCCAAGAGGAAAGAGATTACATTTGTCTTTATCATCATTTTAACCCCCAATGTCTTACACTGTGCATGCTTTTTACATGAAGAGGAGGTCTTCTAACACATAAAGGCTGTAGAGTATAATGATTACAAACAGGCCTCTGTGCCAAACTGCCAGAGTTCAAATCTCACTTACCAACTGTGTGAGTTGGGCTCCATTTATAGAATTAGGAAATAGTCTTACATTTTTAGATTATTGCAAAGATTACATGAGTTAATATACAACAAACACTTGGGAAGAATCTGCCAAATTGTAAATACTTTAAAAAGTAAATTTGCTATTATTATTTATTGCATTGAGTTTGAACTTTGATATACCTATTTTTTTCTAGACTTTGAAAGCACTCGTTTTATTCTGACACATTGAATACATCTCAAGGATAGCTTGTGTAATGACGCGTGAATGAAAAAAAATGCAAGATTCATATACTCGAATTAGGCATGGATGAAAGTCATGGTAAATCCAATCCATCACAGCCAAGCCATACAATTTCAATGTGATGAGTAAGTTCCAAAATGTGAATCTTTGACATTGATGAGATGAAGTTCACAAGTAACAACGACAAAAATTCAGACAGACTCATTGCATTTTAATTTCATTGTAGCTAATTATCTTGTTGAGGATGCATAAATAGCAAGAAAGCAGATTTTTTTTGTAAAGCTGTGCCTAGACATCCATTCTCCATCATAAAACCAAGAAACTTCTTTCAAATAGAAAAATGAAAGAAAAGTACCCACGATCTTTGCATTTTATTGAGTGGACCACTTTGACTTCCGAATTATGAATAGAACCAAATATAGAAAAACTGGATTATAAATTATTGTTAAACAAATGAAATTATGCTACAAATCAAACCGTATCACTTATATTAATATATATCCTATATTTTTAAAAGCCTTAGGCTAAGATGTTAAACTTGACGATTAACACTAGAGCTAAAACAAATATTTTATGATTATATATCTCTGATTTTTAAAAATCATATTGCTACAATTTTTTGTTATGCATCAATATAGATGTCTATTTAATCTAAACTAATTTATAAATTTATGCAATTCCAACAAACGGTATCAGATTTTGCTTTAAAGCCGGACTTTATGAGTTGATTATTCAGGTTATTTGGAAAAACAAATAAGCAAAAATAGTAAAGAATACCATGAATAAAGATGAATATGTAGTAGTGAGAGAAGAGAGCCCTGCCAATATCAAGGCGTACTATGAATTCTCTAGAATTAAAACAGTATACTAACAATACAAAAATTGTCACAAACTAATGGGAGTTATTAGAAAATCCAGAAATATACCCAATTAAAGGTACAAATTTAATATGCTGTAAAAGCAGCATATCATATCATTGAGTTAAAGATGGACTATTTAATAAGTTGTGTTGAGCTAACTGGGTAACCATTTGAACAAAATAGCACTGGATCCTTTTCTCATATCATACTCCAGGACAAATTCCAGATGGATAAGCTATTTAAATGTAAAAATTTAAATCTGTGGTACTAGAAGTGAATTCCTTTACAACCTGAAAGTAAGAGAAGCTTTTCTATGACTGAAGTCTTAAAGACATAAGAAATTGGAAAGATAAATTTGATAAAACAAAAATTAAAACTTTTACACAGCAGAAGATTACCAGAATTAAACTAAAAGACAAATGACAAAATATTAAAATATTTTAAATTTTTAATCATAAAATTTTAACATGAAACACTTCTAAACATAGGGAAATTCAAAACACTAGCAATCCAATAAAAAAAAAATGGGCTAGATTAACGAAAAGAAAGTTCACAGAAAGAGAAATGCAAGTTACTCTTGACTACCATAACAGAAATACAAACCTACACAAAAGAAATCAAAGCTACATTGAGCTACCTCTTCTCAATTATTTATTTGTCAAAAGCCAAAAGTTTGAAAACACTCTGTGTAGAAGTCGTGAGGAAACAGTCTCAATGTTGTTGGTGAGAATAGAAAACAGAGGATAATTTTGCAACATATGCCAATATGATATATGCATCTACTGTTTCACTCAGCAATCCCACTTCTAGGAAGCTATCCACAAAGCCACACTTACACAATACACAAGGGGTACATGCACCAGATTGTACACTGCAAGACTTTCAAGTAGCAAAACACAGGAAACAACCCAACTGTCCTCTAGGAGTCTGACTGAATAATCTACAGCACATTCACACATGTAAACTGTGCAGTTCCACAAACGCACAGGGAGTCCCTCTATATAATACCAAGGCATGATTTTGATGTGTATGAAGTAAAAAGAACAAGATGAAGAAAAGTTGTTTTGGTGTATCACCACTCATATAAGACAGGTTGATATAGGAATACATTAAACTATCTGCTTATAGCTTAAAACAAACAATAAAATAATAAATCTTAATTTTTTAAAAAATCTGCATATATGACAGGAAAAAAAAGAATGGAGTGGACAGACCAAGAGAAGAAATTAGCTTTGTATGAATCTACCTCATTCTAGATATTTGCCTTTGAAACCATGTAAATGTTTTACATAATTATAAAATACAGTTATTTGTAATGCAATGTCAAGAAATTTAAAAATAAATAAATAGTCTTAAATATATAACAGGTACAAATATAGTTGGTGGCATAGTCACATGCAGAGAAACTAAACTATGTGACTCTAAAACACAACAATTTGTCTGCACATTCTGGAAGGGTGTACTCTAACGCTGTAATATGCTGAGGACAAAGACAACTTCCAAAAAATAAAGTTGTATACTCTTTTCTATAATTATATTGTTGGTATTAGCATTGATGTTGTTATTTCCAGACTGTTGTGTGTACATTATAGGAACAAAGAGATGAATATTTATGTGATACTCTAATTCTATAATCCCCTATATTATTGAGAACAGGATTACTGAATTGGAGAAAGAAGATAAAGACGTGATATCAAAATAGGTTAAGTGAAAACCTCAAGTAGTTGTGAATTTTAATTGGAAGATCGATACAAACTCATGATTTTTTATCTTTAAAACATATCTATATATTTCTTAGTACTGCCGACTAAGAAAGCCAACCCAGTAGCAATGATGACCCCTACAGACTAGACTGTAGCGTCCAAATACTTTTTCCCACTGAAACGAACCAGGGCTTCTTGTAGAAATGGTTGTGTACAGATATAGAACAGGAAATGTACAAATTAGACTGGAATTCTACCATATGAAAAGAACCCTCTAGAAGACAATAGATGTCTTGTAAAAGCACTCAGGAGCCACCCGAATCAGCTCCCGCTGGTCAAAGTGGGGGATAATTTGAACACCAATAAGGAGAATAACTGCAATGGATTGGCACATCCCAAGGATGTATTTCATGTATGCATGCCTGCATTTTTATATGTATGTATAATATATGAGATCACAATAATCTCCCCAAAATAAATAATCACACTAATTGATCATAGTTGGATGATGCTTACTACCTCATTATTTTGAAAACTAAAAAATACATAGAAAAAAATTCAGCATTTATTATTTTCCTATAGAAACTGTACCATTTGGAAGAAGAGTTGTAAATGAGGCATTTCTCTTTATAGAAGTTCCTAGCTAATGCATGAAAAAAAATGTTAGAATTAGACTATAAGAATTTTTCAAACCCCAATGAATTCACCTAGGATGTAGGTTGCTAACAACAGCATCTACAAACATCATAAAAAGAAAATAAGTCTCCCTCCAGAAGAAACTAAAGCTACCCACAAGCCTCCCCCTGCCCACAACCATACCACCAATTAATTTTCAGATTTATTTGATGAAGTCTTTACACATAACTATCGATTTATAGGAAGCTCAGAGGACAGAGCCGTGTGAAATACTATCTGCAAAATCCAGACTACAGACAGAATAGCCCAGTTTATTAAATGAATAAATTGCAAAGAGAGAGAGAAAGAAGCAGAGAGAGAGAGCAAGAGAGGGAGCCTATAAATTAAAAGTTATTTGAAAGACTTCAAATATCAACCTATTGTAACATGGAAATTATTTGGATCCGAATTCAAAGAATTTGTAAAAATTTAAAATACAAATAGTCACTGACTAGATATTTGATGATACTAAGAAACTACTGCTAATTATTTTTAAGTGAGATAATGGCACTGTGGTTTTATATTTTTGAGACCTTGTCTTTTAGAGATGCAAGCAGAAATATTACGGATGACATAATATGATGTCTAGGATTGCTTTCAAAATAACATGGGAGGAGGGTATCAGTGCAGAGATAAAATGAATTTGGCCATGAATTGTTAGTTGTTGAAGCCGGGGGTTGAGTACTAGCCAGATCACAATAGTGGTCTGTTTTCTTTTGTATGTTTGGAATGTTCTATGATTAATATTTAAGCAAGGAAAAAGATCTTGAATGTGAAGTATTTAGACAGTACCTGTCACATAAGAAACAATTACTTAGGGCCGGGCGCAGTGGCTCACGCCTGTAATCCCAGCACTTTGGGAGGCCAAGGTGGGCGGATCACCAGGTCAGGAGATCGAGACCACCCTGGCTAACACGGTGAAACCCCATCTCTACTAAAAAAAAAAAAAAAAAAAAAAAAAAAAAATTAGCTGGGCATGGTGGTAGGCGCCTGTAGTCCCAGCTACTTGGGAGGCTGAGGCAGGAGAATGGCATGAACCCGGGAGGCGGAGCTTGCAGTGAGCTGAGATTGCGCCACTGCACTCCAGCCTGGGCGACAGAGCGAGACTCCATCTCAAAAAAAAAAAAAAGGGAATATTCATTTAGTTATTGGTAATTAACTATTAATATTATTTTATTACTTTATAGATGAGAGTTCATAAGGTTAGTTTTCCCAAAGATATTTATTTTAAGTAAGGTATATACATGTGTATAAAACATACAGCAATTCAGTAAGTAATACATATATATGTATACCACAATAAAGCATTATTATCAGTATCACCTCATGTTCCATATCATTGGGCTCTTCAGAGGTATGGGTTATTGAGTTCAAGACTAGCAACCCACTTCACAAAATGGCTTTTGTAAAAAGATATTTTAGAATTCATTTATTGAAACATCATAAATTTTAACAAACACTATAATGAAATGTAATTGACCAATTTTATTATCTCTTTATAAGGAGATAATTACTCTTTATAAACAGTAATTTACTGTAATTTTACTGTAGTAAATTATTTTGTAAAAAGTAATAAATCATGAGAAATTGACATGTTTTGTTGTTCAGTTGCATAACCACTTTCTCTATTTGTCTCACTCCAACTGAAAATAAACAAGGTCTACCCCATGCAAAGCCCTGATGTATTGTTGCTTGCTTATATGCCCAACTTCCCCTTTCTGTACCTGTTTTCCCATTGTCCTGCCTGATAATCTTTCTTACAAACTCAGTCATCCAACACCCTCCTGCAATCTTCAGTCCCTATGCTATCAAAAGAGATCTAAGTGGTTTTCACTGGTCAAATTGGATATACTTTGATTCACACTAAATCATACCAAAAATCCTGCTTTAATCTGGTATTTACATTTTAAAGATTTTGTTTCTTTGTTTTATAGAAGAATACACTAAAGCACTTCTCTACTTTTATTAAGGGGAGATTTGGTGATCAGAAAAGATCTATTCAGGCCTGGCACCCTCTGTCCCAGGTGGTGGAGACAAAGCTCATCTCTAAGTCAACATAGGTAATAAAAATAATTTCAGGAAGGTGGCAATGGAGATGACATTCTAGGCAAAGCGAAAGGCAGACATAAGCACACAGCTGCAGGTGATATGCAAGTGCATAACTTGTTTGGGGAGAACGTTGTAAAGGATTTGGTGGTTGGGGGATTTATGCTTTAAGCTATAGGTCAGCAAACTGGAGCCAGAGGCCCAAATCCAGCCTGCCACCTGTTTGGGAACCATAAGCTAAGAATGGTTTTTACAGTCTTTAATGGTTGGAAAAAACATAAGAATAGTATCTAGTAAGATGTGAGAATTATATGAAATCCAAATTTCAGTGTCTATAAATAAATTTTCTTTGAGCACAGTTTACCTGTATTCTATGGCTGTTTTGTGCATGACAGCAGAGCTGAGTAATTGAAATAGAGACGACGTGGCCCGCAAGCCCTAAAATATTTTCTATCTTGCCCTTTACAGAAAAAGTTTGATGATCCCTGCTTTAATTAAGAGGGAACCAACAGAGGATTATAATGCAGAAAACCATGATCATGTTTATGTTTTAGGATAGGTAAAATAATATAAAGAGTTGAAATTCTGAATGCGTATATTACCAAATTGGCCTTTAGAAAGTTATACCAATTTGGGCTAGGTGTGGTGGCTCATGCCTGTAATCCCAGCACTTTGGAAGGCTGAGAGGGTCGGATCACCTGAGGTCAGGAGTTCAAGACCAGCCTGACCAACATGGTGAAACCCCATTTCTACTAAAAATACAAAAATTAACTGGGTGTGGTGGCATGTGCCTGTAATCCTAGCTATTCCTGAGGCTGAGGTAGGAGAATCGCTTGAGCCTGGGAGGCGGGGGTTGCAGTGAGCTGTGATCACACCACTGCACTCCAGTCTGGGTGACAGAGCAAGACTCTGTCTCAAGAAAAAAAAAGAAAGAAGGAAGGAAGGAAGGAAGGAAAGAAAGAAAAAGGAAGGAAGGAAGGAAAGAAAGAAAGAAAACAAAAAGAAAGTTACACCAATTTCCAAGGCAACAAGAAGTTTAGAAGAATGCCTGCTTCATTAATTGGGCACTTGATTTCAATGGGTATCATTATTGAATATATTCTTCCTGTTTACGCTATTTACTTTAATGGGCCCAAAAATAATGCTGTCATATTACTTTCATTAGAATTACTTGCTTGTCAGAGTGAACATTTTTTCAAATGTTTAATAGTAATTCCACATTTCCTGCATGTCTGTACTCTATTTCCAACAAACTTTTAAATTGATGTGTAAGAACTCTCTATGTGATGTTTAACCTTCAGCCTCAAGTCTGAGCAAATAGGTCAACCAATGTCTCCTGGAAGGGAAGGTCTCAGTAGGATGTCCTAGTGTGATGTCCCCTTGTGGGATATCAATTTGGTGAGCTCATGCTCTCAATAACACTGATACAAAATTGCCATCTGGAGAGTTAGACTAAAAGAAATAATGCACATATTCATCTCTTTGACTTATTTTCCTTTGATTTTGTATATTAAGAGACTAGTTTGTTCTTGTTTCTGGTTTTGCTGTTTGTTCATTTGCCTGTTTGTTTTTCCTTTGAACACAAAATTTGTTTCAAAAAATTCCAAGGCAATAGAATCAGCACCTTCTTAATGTATCTTATCTGCCACTAACCATCTGTCTGGGCCAACTTGGATGCCTTGAACAAGCTCAATGGCTTACTCATCAGGAACACATTTTCCTGCTAGGACACTGATAAGCCATCAGCAGTACAACTGATCTTAACTTCCCCAGACTAATTCCAAGGAAATTTACCCACATTGACTACTTGCAGAAAGCCATTTAACTACTCAAAGACAGTGAAATTGGCATAGAAACACTTTGCAGGAAATAAACGTAAACCTAAAAAACCATCCAGTCACAGTTAAAGACTTGGCTCTGTATAACTCCAAACCTGAAGTTCCTATTTTCCGACCTCTGGGTTTTCTTTTCTGCCAAAGGACTAAGAAGAATAAGTGATAGAACGAGAGACAGAGACAGAGAGAGAGAGAGGTATTTTCTTTCAATAATTATCAATAAAAATCATGAATAGAGTTATGAAAATTGTATGTTTACTAAAGAAACTGCAATGTGACATCTCACTTCAGACTCCTAATCTTCAGTCCCTTTATTCCAAATATTCAAATTTCATTAGAAAATAACAATTCCAAAATCTAAAATTCTTTAATTAACATGTACTTAAAATTACTAAATAATAGGAAATTTGAAGATAGACTTTGCTGCATTAAATTTTCTCAGCTTTTGTACTCTGTCATGTTGCATAATTTGAATTTTAAACTTTCTATGGAAAAGCTAATAATCTATTGAGATAAAAACTCATCTAAGTTTTGCAGCCAAGGACATTGAGGTAAGCACATTCTATTCTGTAGAAGAGAAATAAAACTTTACAATATTCACTAGAAGGAATACAGTGAAAAACTAGCTGCATGAAACTAATTCCCCCAACCCAGAAAGAAGTATGGACAGTTGAGGCTTAATTGCGGCAGTCATGAAGAAAAAAGGTCAAGTCAAATTTACAATGGTAACAATTTTTAAGGGAACTCTGAAAGTTCATTGATTGTATTAGAAGAGTATTGCTTATGTGGCCCTCATTGTCCAGGGTGGAAATCAAAAGCTCAGTTTACTAGGGGTCTCCACGTTGACACCATGTAGGCTCTCTTCTCTACCCATTCCCACCCTGTAACTATACACAAGTGTTTCTAGGCTTCCAACGTAGCCAGGTTTCATGGTGCGATGAAAGTATCATTCCAAATTCACAGTTATTCAGGAATAGTGAGAAGCCCCAAATCTCCCGGTTCATTGCCCCAGACAAAAGCATTGGCTTCCTCCTCGGTCCCAGGAAACTATACTGCTTGGGCAATTGGAGGGTGTAGATATACTGCATTTGGATCTCAATCATTGTGCTCAGTGGTTGCTCTCCCCATTCAGAGTTCCCAGGGCACTCAGTGGTGGCGTGACCCAACATCACTTTCTCAGACCATCTGTAGAGGCAGCACCTGCTAATTCCCTGCTGAGATTTCTATTGGCAAGGCTTGCTCAAAGCACTTGTTCAAAGCTCTGGGAAATTGCATAATATTGTGTTAACTTTCTGACTGCACTTTCTGCTCCTGTCTGTGGTTCTTTAAGGTAAGGTACATTTTCATTCATCTTCTGTTGAGTGAAAGTCATACAAAATTCGAATTTCCTTACGCATTCATTCAACTTCTGTTGAGTGAAATTCATACAGAATTTGAGTTTCCTTAATGGCCCTCACAGACAGCAGCAATATATAGTTTATCAGTCACCTCTCCTGGGATAGAATGCTGTATTATAGTCCCTTGCTGTTGGAAGGGTAGTCTGAGGACCAGTAGCATTGGCATCACCTGGGGGTTGAATAGAAATGCAGAATCTCGTCCCCCACCTCAGCCCCATTAAATCAGAATCTGTATTTTATCAAGAACTCAATGTGATTCATATGCACCTTAATGTTTAAGAAGCATGGCATGCTGGTGGGGCTGTGGAGAAATAAGAACACTTTTACACTCTTGTTGGGAATGTAAATTAGTTCAACCATTGTGGAAGACAGTGTGGCGATTCCTGAAAGACCTAGAACCAGAAATACCATTTGACCCAGCAATCCCATTACTGGGTATATACCCCAAAAAATGTAAATCATTCTATTATAAAGATACATGCACAGCTATGTTCACTGCAGCACTATTCACAACAGCAAAGACATGGAATCAATCCAAATGCCCATCAATGATAAACTAGATAAAGAAAATGTGGTATGTATATGCCATGGAATACTATGCAGTCATAAAAAGGAACAAGATCATGTCCTTTGCAGGAACATGGATGGAGCTGGAAGCCGTTATCCTCAGCAAACTAACAGAAACAGAAAACCAAACACCACATGTTCTCATTTATAAGAGGGAGCTGAACAATGAGAACATGTGGACACAGGGAGGGGAACAACACATACTGGGGCCTGTTGCGGGGAGGTAGGAGGAGGGAGAGCATCAGGAAAAATAGCTAATGCACGCTGGGCTTAATACCTAGGTGATGGGTTGATAGGTACAACAAACCACCATGACACACATTTACCTATATAACAAACCTGCACATCCTGCACATGTACCCCAGAAATTAAAATAAAATAAAATGAAGTGTGGCAAAAAGAAATGTTTACTTCAGTGCATCCCACTTACATATGAAACAAAGGAGCATACATCCAAAACTCCTTTTGGAAATAGCCCTTACTTTTATCCAGTAAATTTCCAAGGGAAATGCACAAAAAACATTCTAATATGTGTGGGTTATACCTAAGTGAAGAATCCCTTGAGGTTAATCAATGGTTTTCTGTGCAAAAATGGAAATCAATGGCATTTGATATGAGCTGATTTAACTTGCAAATGATACGGCATATTTATGCAAATAATGGCAAGTAGGCCCCTAGTCGTCTCTACCAAAACCCACACTTTATGTCACACCTGATTTTTGTCTCATACTCATGGAACTGTTCATGATGACACTTTCATGAAACTGTTCCTAGTGAGAGGAAGAAAACCTGAAAATAATTTTTAATATTATTTGTGAGTTACCTATAATAGTTCTTCAATAAATGCCAGAAATTTTCCAAATTTGCCTCTTACCTCAATATTCCTCACTGGTATTAACTATGATAAGAATAACTCAACATATAAATCACCCGGTTTCATCTCCACTCAGCATCTTTAGTAAAAGGGCCTAAAAGGCTGAATGTTTAACAAGCACCAGCATGATTCTTAGCAACAAGGAATTCTGAAAAACTTGGCAAGTTGTTCCACACTCGAGAGGGTATCAGATTCACCAGTATGCACTCTGTTAAAAAGATCAGGTTTCTGGATCCCAGCCTGAGGTCCTGATTCAGTAGGTTGATGGAGGAGCACAGGATCTGCATTTTAAACAAATAGCCGAGGTGATGCTCAACGAACTATTCCAAAAACCACCCCCTGAAGGGCATTGCATAGGGGTATTACCCTACTGCAAATTTGTCCCCATCCTGTTGTCTGGGACCAAAGCCACTCTCAAGTCATAGTCTACTGGATCATATTTCCCATGGTTATGGTTCAGACCTTTACAGCCCAATTTAACACAAAATGTGTTCTTGCCTCAATGACGTTACTAACTAGTTCCCTGTAATTTTCCTATCAACAACTAAACTCCCTACCAGTCCGTTAGATCCTTAGTAGTTAAGGTTCCCGTCCTCAAAGCCCAAATTACCCCTGATAAGGTCATGGAAAAATTCTTCCGGCTCTGTCCAATGCCAGCTTCTTGAGCAGAACTTTGCTGTCTACCTGCTGCCTGCAATTGGGGATCCTTGTTCATTGTTGTGATCTTTTCTTTGCTTAATTGATCAGAGGTTTTCATATTTATTTTTAGCCACAAAACTTTTCCAAGAAAAATCTTACATGGAACTCCAGTAAATTATCAACCAAGCAAAACTGCTCTGAGATCGTGGGAGAAAGGAAAGTGCAGGCAGAATCTAAGTAGGCATTCTTCCCCCTCCCCAGTGCACACATGCATGCACACAGTCACATCCTCATTCACCCATTTACACACACACAACTATTTGCTCACATTTATGCACACTTGCATTTGCACACTCCTGTTCACACTTACACATACACAATCACATGTACATCCTCATTTATACAAATACACTCATATGCACACACCTTATTTGCTCACATTTACACGCACACATACACACACGACCCTGAGGCAGTTCTGCAGAACCTTGTGGATCTATGGAACACAGTCTGAAAATCTCTACTCTGGGTCACGGATTCAATTTTTTCGCCATTGTCTTATTGGACTGCCTTCCCAGACTTGAATTCCTGACTTTAAATCTACCTTCAAAAGATAAAATGTCTCTTCTTGAAAAACAACTAATGAAATTAGCTCCCGTGTTTACACTTCCAGTTCCATCTTACTCTATGGATTGGGTAAAAGTTCCCATCCAAACAATTCCTATTCAGGCCTACTCAACCATTTATCAAGCTTGGGCTGTTATATGCTCATAAATATTTTCTGGAAAAATAAATTAACAAATTAAAGTTAGAAATCATCATGTGCAACTGAAATACCTAAGTATTTAATGCTTTGGTACTATTATAAATTTTATTTTTTAAATTTAAATTTATATTTTTTCAATGCTAATATATTGAAATATGTTGATTTTTGCACATTGACTTTGTATCCTGCAATCTTGCCAGGCTCATTATGACTTTTAGTACCCTTTTGAAGATTCTTTAGACTTCTCTACACAGGCAATCATGTTGTCTGCAAATATAAACATGGCTAGTTCTTCCTTTCCAAGCTACATGCTTTTTATTTATTTTGCTTACATAATTGCACTGGCAAGGACCTCCAGTATGAGGTGGATTAGGAATGGTGAGAGCAGATATCCTTGTCTTGTTTTTAATATTAGAGGGAGAACATTCTATCATCAAGTATGATGTAAGCGCCAGGCCACCTTTTAGTATATGCTCTTTATCTTATATAAGAAAGTTTCATCCTACCCCTGGTTTACATAAAGAGTTTTTATCATGGGGCAAGGCGGGGTGGCTCATGCCTGTAATCCTAGCACTTTGGGAGGCCAAGGTGGGTAGATTGCCTGAGCTCAGGAGTTCAAGACCAGCCTGGGCAACATGATGAAACCCTGCCTCTACTAAAAATACAAAAAATTAGCTGGGAGTGGTGGTGCGTGCCTATAATCCCAGCTACTCTGGAGGCTGAGGCACAAGAATCGCTACAGGCAGAGGTTACAGTAAGCCGAGATCGTGCACTGCACTCCAGCCTGGACGACAGAGTGAGACTCTCTCTCAAAAAAAAAAAAAAAAAAAGAGTTTGTACCATGAACAGGTGTTAAGTATTATCCAGAAGATCATATGGTTTTCCTTCTCCAAGCTGTTGATATGATGAAGTTCATTGATTGATTTTTGCATATTGAACCAGCTTATATATTTGGCATAAACCCCGGTAGGTCATGATATATTATCCTTTTTATATAGCACTGGATTCACTTTGCTAGTATTTTCTTCAGAATTTTTACATCTATGTTTATGAGTGATATTGGTCTATAGTGTTCATTTTTTGAAATGTCCATGTCTGGTTTTGGTATCATGGTAATGTTGGCCTTATAAAATGAGCTGAGAAGTATTCTTTTCTTTTCTTTTTTTTTTTTTTTTTGAGACTGAGTCTCACTCTGTCACCCAGGCTGGAGTGCAGTGGTGCGATCTCGGCTCACTGCAACCTCTACCTCCCAGGTTCAAGCGATTCTTCTCCCTCAGCCTCCTGAGTAGCTGGGACTACAGGTGCCTGCCACCACGCCAGCAAATTTTTTGTATTTTTAATAGAGACAGGGTTTCACTGTGTTAGCCAGGATGGTCTCGGTCTCCTGACCTCGTGATCTGCCTGCCTCGGCCTCCTAAAGTGCTGGTATTACAGGCGTGAGCCACCATGCCCAGCCGAGAAGTATTCTTTCACCCTTTATTTTCTGAAAGACTTAGGGTATAATTCGTTTTTGGTTTTTTGTTGTTTTTTTTTCTTAAATCTTCAGTGTAACTCACAAGCAAAGACATCTGAGCCAGGAGTTTCCTTCATAAGAAGATTTTTAATTACTAATTCAGTTGCTTTACTTGTTATAGGTACATTCATATTTTTCTCTTTCTTCTTGAGTTGGTAACAATAATTTGCATCTTTCTAGTAATTTGCCCATTTTATCTAAATTGTCAAATTTTTAAATTTAGTGTGTTCTAAGCTGCTATTTTATTTAAGCTCTTTTTTCTAAAAAGGGTTACTCTATTACAATAATCAATAATGTTCTTTCTCAATTTTTTTAAGAAAAGATATAGAGTACATATATTTCATCATTACATTTGAGTATCTTGACTAAATTCACAGAAACTACATTTTCTTCTTTAAAAATTTATTTTTATAGAAGAAATATATGTCTATTATAGAAAACCTAGCAAATGATACAATCAAGATCTTACTCATTGATAAATATGGGACATCCTTCAATGTATATTCTCCCAGTACTTTTTCCTGTGAAAAATATTTTTCACCAAAATGAAAACATGTTGAACAAAATGCATTGTTGGATGGTGGATTAGTTTCCTATTGTTGCTACAACAAATTATCACAACCTTAGTGGCTTAAAACAAAGACAACTTTGTAATTTTACAGTTCGGGAAGCCAGAAGTCCCAACGAGTTTCACTGGGATTAAATTAAAGTGTCAGCAGTGCATGTTGGAGACTCCAGGGAAGAATCTGTGTCTTTGCTTTTTCCATCTTCCAGAGGCTGCCTGGTTTTCTTAGGTCATGGCCGCTTCCTCTATCTGCTAAATGAGTAGATGTTAGCTCTCTTGCCACAAAAAACAAAAACAAAAACACCAAAGGTAACCATGTGAGATGATGGATATGGTAATTAGCTTTTCTATAGTAACCATTTTACTATCCACATTTAACCAGTAACATCATGTGATATACCTTAAATATGCAAAATAAATTTTATTTTAAAGGCCATGAAATATTGCCAAGTTTTTGGCACGAATTTTTTACAGTATTTCTTGATAATCATTTTATTTTCTGCGGAGTTCATAGTGATGTCTCCTTTTTCATCCCTGATTTTGCTAATAGGTGGCTTTGCTCTTTAATCAGTCATTTTAGCTAAGCGTTTATCAATTTGTTGATCTCTTCAAAGAATCAACCTTTGCTTTTATAGATTTTCTCCACTGTTTTTCACTGTTGTTTTATTGATTTTCAGTGTAATCATTATTGCCTTTCTTCTGCTTCTTTGGTTTTAATTTACTCTTGTAATTTCTTATAGTAGAAGCTCAGGTTATTGATTACAGCTATTTCTTCTTTTCTAATACAGGTATTTAGTTTATAAATTTCCCCCTGGGCAATGCTGTAGCTCAGTCCTCAAGTTTTGATATGTTGTATTTTCATTTCATCTCATTCCTAATATTTTCTAATTTTCTCTGAAAATTCCTCTTTGACCATGGTAGTCTTTTTAAATTCCCAAATATTTAAAAAATTTCCGTATACTTTTCTGTAATTCATTTCAGGTTTAATTCCATCAGAGAGCACAGTTTGATTAATTTCAATTATTTTAAATATGCTAAGACTTGTTTTATGGTCCATCTTGAACTATCTTGGTAACTGTTTCCTATGTGCTTGGAAAAAACATGTTTTCTGCTGTTGTTGGGTGGAGTATTCAATAAACATTAGATAAGTTGATTGATAGTGTTGTTCTGGAATTCTATAGTCTTACTGGTTTTCTGTGTACTTCTTATAGCAATTCCTGGGAAAAAAGGTTGTTTATGTTTTCTTCCTTTTGCTTCTAACCTATCTATGTCTTGATATTTAAAGTGTAGGCATCATATAGTTGGGAATTATCTCTTTTTTAATTCAATTAGACAATCTGTTAATTAATTTGTTCAGGTCATTTACATTTAATGTATTTATTGATATGGTTGAATTTAGGCCTATAATTTTATTATTTGTTTTCTCTTGTCTCTGCTGTTTTTCCCCCTCAGTTTCCCTTTTCTGCCTTTTAAAAAATTGTTTGAGTATTTTAATATTCCATTTAGTTTATCTACTAAGCTTTTATTTATACCTCATTATATAAATTTGTATAGTGGCTACTCTAAGTTTTACTATATACATCTAACCTTTCATGGTTAGATCTAGAGTTAATAATTTAATATTTCAAGTAAAATGTAGAAGCCTTCCTAATATATAGATGCCTTTACCCTCCCACTTACATTCGTCAAACGTATATCTACATATACTGAAAAGCAAATCGGAAAATGTTGTAGATTTTGTTTTCAAGAGTAATGCAGACCTTAAAGAACTCAAGAGGAGAAAAACTCATTCTAATATTGACCTAGACATTTGTCACTTTTACTGTTTATTCTTTATTGTTTCTCTTCATTCTAAAGAACTTTATTTAGCACTCATTTTAGAGCAGGTTTATTAGTGATGAATTTTCTTAGTTTCACTTCATCAAATATGTTTTATTTTGCCTTCATTTTTAAAAGAAAGTTTCTCTGGGAATTCTGGATTAATAGGTTTGTGTTTTGTTTTCTATCTTTTGTTATGTGCCACTGGCTTACTGGTCCCAATGATTTTTGTTCATTCAGATTGCGTTTTCTCTTGCATACAACATGTCATTTTTCACTAGCTTCTTTCGAGATATTTTTGTCTTTGTTTGTATTTTTGTCCCAGCATTTTGACTATGATATGTCTGGGCATGGATTCCTTTGCATTTATTCAGTTTGGGGTTTGCTGAACTTCTTGAATCTGTAAATGTTTGTCTTCCCCCATATTTGGGGAGTTTTAAACCATTATTACCTTAGACATATTCTCTCAATCAACCTTTTTCCTATCATTCTGAAACTCCAATGATACATGAAAATTTTTTATATTATTCTATAGGTGTGAGAGACTCTGTTCATTAGTATCCTAATAAATTAATCTCCCTTTTCTTCATATTGAATAATTTCTATTAATCTAGCTTCAAATTCACTGACATTTTTTCTCATGCCCATTCTGGAATTGGGTCTATATGGTGGCTGTTTTACTTTAGATATTGTCTTTTACAGTTATGGAATTTTTATTGCCTTTTTTTTTTTTTTAACAGGGGCTCCGTTGCCTGGGCTGGAGTTCAGTGACACAATCTCAGCTCACTGAAACCTCTGCGTCCCAAGCTCAAGTGATCCTCCCACCTCAGCCTCCTAAGTAGCTGGGACTACAGGTGCATGCCACCGTGCCTGGCTAATTTTTGTATTTTTTATACAGATGAGGTTTCACCATGTTGCCCAGGCTGGTCTGGAACTCCTGGGCTCAAGCAATTCTCTCACCTCAGCCTCCCAAAGTGCTGGCATTACACTCACAGGCTACTGCTTTATTTGCCTTGGAATCATTTCTATTTCTCAGATTAGAATTTCTTTCTGTTCATTTCAAGTGTGTTTACCAATACTTTGTCTGATGCTTCCAACATTTATTTAAGCTAGAAATTTAATCGATTAATTATCTTTTCTCTTGAGAATTAGTCACCTTTTTCTGCTTCTTTCTTTATGGACTAATTTTGAATTATATCCTGGACATTTTTAAAATTATGTTGCTTAAGCTCTAGATTTTGATAAAAATCTATTGGGTTATGTTCATTTGTTGTAGCCAGCAATAAATGCAGTTGGATTTATAATGCATGTTGGTCTCACTTTTTGTGTTCAGTGATCTTAAACTCAGCTCTGCTGTCAAAGGCTGTGCTGTGCTGCTTTGGGTCTGTCCCGTAGATGCACCACTCAGGGATTAGCCTGAAACTTGGGCAATGGTTTAAATCTTCATTCAGTTCTCAAGGCCTTTGCTATGTTGTTTGGTCTATCTCTCAGATGTATCTCTCAGATGTGCTGCTCAGAGATAAGCCTTGGACCTTTGGGGGTCCAGACACAGAATTAGGCATTGTCTTCTTCAGCCATCTGCTCTCTGTGATGCCCCCACACCCCCATGAACTCATAGACTGTTTTTTTTCCTGGTTGCTCTGGCTGGGAAGATAAGACTTCTGTCTGAGTTTTAGCTGCCTGCACTGACAATTTCATGCTTCTCTGTCACTGAGGCCTGCCTTCAAAGCAAAACAAGAGAAAAAAAAAGAAATAAAATAGACATCTGCTCACATTATTCAGACTACAGGGACAGCTTTTTCTGCTCCCTTAAGGTAAATAAATAAGGTTGCTATTGGGGTTTTCACCTCCAATTGCACCTCCATTGCATAGTTCAGGACTATAAGAGTGAAGAACAGGCCAGGCGTGGTGTCTCATGCCTGTAATCCCAGCACTTTGGGAGGCCGAGGCGGGCGGATCACCTGAGGTCAGGAGTTGGAGACCAGCCTGGCCAACATGGCGAAACCCCATCTCTACTAAAAATACAAAAATTAGCCAGGCATGGTGGCAGGCGCCTGTAATCCTAACTCTTCAGGAGGCTGAGGCAGGAGAATCACTTGAACTCAGGAGGCGGAGGTTGCAGTGAGCCGAGATTGTGCCTTTGCACTCCAGCCTGGGGGACAAGAGTGAGACTTCATCTCAAAAACAAAAAAAGTGAAGAACAACAGCAGCAAAAACACATTCCCTTAAGGTTCACTTCTCCAGTGTTTTACTGTATTCCACAACACTCTAGTTTTGTTGACTTTTAAGTAACTTCAGAGAGTTGATTTTATTGTTTTGTTTTATCCAAACATTTTTAGTTGTCATCAGTGGAGGAGACAGGCTTACATTATTTCATCTTGGACAACACCAGAAGCCAGAGAAATCTATAAGTAAAACTTAATATACATGGTCCCACATGAAATATCAGGTTATCATAGGTCTTAATTAATCTACTTCTAAAGTGTAATGACCCTGGATTACAACTTTATTGAAAACTTTTAACAGCCTGGTTATTAAATATAAGTTACAGAGGACAATATAAGAACATACCAGAAGATACTCCCCAAGATTATTTTGGTAATGCTCAAGTATCTTAAATCATTTTCAAAAGGTTTTGAGAAGCAAAAAAAAAAAAAAAAAAAAAAAAACCTAAGACAGGCTGTGCCTTAATCCTCTCTTATACCTTAATTTCACAATTTGTGTGTATTTTGAAGGAAATCAAATCCATCCATATCTAATCCCTTAAACTTTCATCAATCAAATATTGCTTTTTAGAGCCATTTGATATTTCAGACCTTAGTAGAGGTTGTTTTTTTCTTCCTTATAAAAACAGGGAGTGGTCATCTGGCAAAAGTAAATTTACTTGAAAATTTTAAGTTGGTCATGCTGAGTTCACAACTTCAAATGCGTGGTTCATGGGCACATTCTTGACGTGCCAACACTAACTTATTTGTTTCCTTCAGTCCTAAAAATCACCTGGAATTAGATGTTTTACAGAAATTAGAATTCATTAATTTTTTTTTTTTTTTTGGAGTCTCGCTCTTGCCCCCCATGCTGGAGTGCAATGGCGCGATCTCGGCACATTGCAACCTCCGCCTCCTGGGTTCAAGTGATTCTCCTGCCTCAGTCTCCCGAGTAGCTGGGATTACAGGCGCCTGCCACCACATCCAGCTAATTTTTGTATTTTTAGTAGAGACGGAGTTTCGCCATGTTGACCAGGCTGGTCTCAAACTCCTGACCTCAGGTGATCCACCTGCCTCGGCCTCCCAAAGTGCTGGGATTACAGGCGTGAGCCGCTGCGCCCAGCCCACTAATCTTAAATAAATATCATTTTTTATAAAGGAAAGGGATTGGGTGGGCACTGAGGAAAAAGCATAGGAAATTTTCATTGAATATAAAAGCTGAAACAATCTGAGTAAAATAAATAACATAACACTGTTGACCTTTGAACAACACAGGGATTAGGGACACTGACCACCCATGCAGTTGGAAATCCAAGTATAACATTTGACTCCCTAACATCTTAACTACTAATTGCCTACTGTTGACTGGAAGCCTTAGCAATAACATAGATAGTAGATTAACACATATTTTGTATATATATCTCTAGATATAGATATAGATACAGTATTCTTACAACAAAATAAGTTAGAGAAAAGAAAATTGTAAGGAAGAGAAAATGTATTTACTATTCATTAAGTAGAAGTGGCTCATTAAAAAGTCTTCATGTTGAGTAGACTGAGGAAGAGGAGGAAGAGGAAGAAGAGGAAGACTGAGGAAGAGGAGGAAGAGGAAGAAAAGGAAGGGTTGGTTCTGCTCTCTCAAAGCAGAGGCAAGAGGAAATCCACATACAAGGGCCCATGCAGTTTAAACCTGTGTTGTTCAAGGTCTACTGTATTGAATTATTCCCTAACATGTAAAATAAATACTTATGAGTGCATACTGACATAAATATCATTGAATGAATGGATAAAAAAATAAACACATAAATATAAGGAAAAAACAAAATTGTTTCCTTTTCTACACTCACAACACTTCTAACACCAAATGTGTATGGGTTTTTTTCCACCACAAGAAATTTTTCAGGTCTCTGTGGACCCAAACAAGGTATCCTACAATTCAACTCAATTCTGACGCTATTCACCTGCAGTTAGCTCAGACCCCACAGGTTAAAAGCTCAGACCCATAAGACTGCCCCTCACTTCAGACACCAACCACAAGTGGTGGGTCCCCTGGTTACTCACTACTTCTATCCAATGGGCTACAAATCAGAGGTACCCACAACCCCCTTCTCAGGTTCAAGCATTTGTTAGAATGGCTCACAGAACTCAGGAAGACAGTTTACTTGCTGGATTACCAGTTTGATTACAAGAGATACAACTCAGGAACAGCTAGATGGAAGAGATGCATAAGACAGGGTATGGAGAAAGGGGCATGAAGCTTCTTTGCCCTCTCCAGCCATCCCACCCTCCCAGCACTTTCACCTATTTGAAACCAAGGGCTAACCTGATTAAGCCCATCAAACTTAATCTGCCTTGCTTGCCTTTAGTCACTTCTTAATCTTAAAACATATGCAGCTAAAAGTTACATAGCTAAGCAATCCACTAGCTTTCTTATAGATAACATCTCTGACATATACATCTCCATGGTAATGGCTGCTTAGAGTTGTTTTTCAGGAATTGGGGGTTGGGGGTAGGCTGGTTAAAGGTAGTTGAAACCACCAACTCTCTGAGTGGGCCTGCTCAAATGCCCAAGAGGTGACTTTTTTTGACATCAGAGGGCCAAAACGTGCTCCCTTGGAACATGCTAATGCCACCATTTTCTGAACACATGCTCTATTAAGAACCACGATGCTTGACTACACATGGCACATCAACAATTACCTCGTGATGTAGTTTGGATGTTTCATGCCCTCCGAATCTCATGCTGAAATGTAATCCTCAATGTTGCAAGTGGGCCTAGTGGGAGATGTTTGGGTCATGAGGCTGGATTCCTTATGAATGGCTTAGTGCCATCCCCTTGGTGAAGAGTGAGTTCTCACTCTATTAGTTCAAGTAAGAGCTGGTTGCTTAAAGAAGACTTATATCTCTCTCACTTCCTCTCTTACCATGTGACATGCCTACTCCCCCTTCAACTTCTACCATTATTGTAAACTCCTGAGGCTTCACGAGAAGCCAAGCAGATGCAACTACCATGCTTGTACTGCCTGCAGAACTGTGAGCCAAATAAACCACTTTTCTTCATAAATTATGCAGTCTCAGGTATTCTTTTATAGCAATGCAAAATAGACCAGTAGAAAATCGTAAGGAAGAGAAAATATATTTACTATTCATTAAGTGGAAGTGGCTCCTTAAAAAGTCTTCATGTTGAGTAGACTGAGGAAGAAGAGGAAGAAGAGAAAGGGTTGGTTCTGCTGGAAAAGCATACCTTGCTTTTCCTTGTCCCCAATCACCTTTCCCCGTGTTTTGGACCACTTTGCACCTTTATCCCAAAAATATCTTTAAAACCCTATCTTTGGGGAAGCAGATATGAGATTTGCTCTCCCTTCTCCTCGCATGGCAGCCTTGTGCATAAAATCTTTTCTTTTTTCCAAAACCTGTCATCTCAATAATTGGCTTGCTGCACACAGGCATCTTGAACCTGGTCACTAACATACTCACCATTTTGGAAGCTCTCTGAAAATTATCCTTGTGGGTTTCTATGGAGGCTTTATTATATAGTCATGATTGATTACATCATTGGCCACTGGTGGTCAACTGAACCTTCAACCTCTCACCTCTATCTGGAGGTCAGAAGATAGGGTTGAAAATTTCAGTCCTCCTTGGTTGGGTGTGGTGGCTCACGCCTGTAATCTCAGCACTTTAAGAGGCCGAGGCGGGTGCATCACCTGAAGTCAGAAGTTCAAGACCAGCCTGGCCAACATGGCAAAACACCATCTCTACTAAAAATACAGAAATTAGCTGGGCGTGGTGGTGCATTCCTGTAATCGCAGCTACTCAGGAGGCTGAGGCAGGAGGATCGCTTAAAGCCAGGAGGCAGAGGTTGAGTGAGCCAGGATCACACCACTGCTCTCCAGCCTGGGCCACAGAGCGAGACTCCGTCTCAAAAGAAAAAAAGAAAAGAAAAGAAAAGAAAAGAAAACCTCAGTCCTCTGATCACAGGCTTGGCCTTCCCTGTAACTAGCCCCCATCCTGAGGCTCCTCAGGAGCCACGAGCCATCAACCATCTCATTAGCATGCAAAAACACACATCAGTTAGGGGATTTTAAGAGTTTTAGGTGCCATATGCCAGAAAATGGGGATGAAGACCAAATATATATTTCTTTTTATAAATCATAATATCACACTAAATAAGGAATAAGAGATAATTTTCCCCTCAAAGAGATAGACCATAACTCCCCATCCCATAAGTGTAAGCTACATATATTGACTTCTTTCCAAACAGTAAAGAAAGGAAAGCTGGCTGTGGTGGGGAGAGAAGGAGAGCATAACTTTATAGTAGAGAAACCTAATAAACCTCATCTCAGCCAAGTGATCAAAGTTAGCAGCAACAGTGATGTCATGTTAATACCATGTACCTTTGATATGATTTAATAAGAATAGCCCTTTACCTCTGTGTTCTTCCTCCTCAAAATCTGTAACACCTGTATAACTGAAAAAACATCATAAAAATTGCATACGGATGCACCCTACAAACTGACTACTACTCCTCAAAACTGTTAAGGCTGGACCGATGTGATGGGTCACACCTGTGATCCCATCATTTTGGGGGGCCAAGGCAAGTGGATCACTTGAGACTAGGAATTCAAGACCAGCCTGGCCAACATGGTGAAACTCTGTCTCTACTAAAAAATACAAAAATTAGCCGGGCATGGTGGTGCACACCTGTAATCCCAGGTACTCGGGAGGCTGAGGCACGAGAATTGCTTGAATCTGGTAGGCAGAGGTTGCAGTGAGCCGAGATCGCACTGCTGCACTACAGCCTGGATGACAGAGCAAGAGCAAGACTCTGACTCAAAAAAAAATAAAAAAATTAAAAATTAAAATAAATAAATAAAAACTGTTAAGGCTATTAAAAAAAATAAGAAAAGTCTGAGAAACTGTCACGGCTAAGAGAGGCACTAGGAGACATGAGTAAGTATAATGTGATATCCTAGATAGAATGCTAAAAGGATCACTAGGTTAAAATGAGGGAAATCTGAATAACATACGGACTTTAGTTAATATATCAACATATTGGTTCATCAGTTATGACAAATGTCCCATGCTAAATGTATGATATTAATCATAGGGGAAACTGAGCACATGACATAGGGGCACCATCTGGACTACTTTCACAATTTTTCTGTAAATTTAAATCTATTCCAAAATTTAAAAGTTTACTTAAAAAATCCATTCTGAGTTATCTTCTCCAACTACCCACTACCAATCTTAAGTAAAGAATGTCTCTACTCATTTTAAATTTGTAAAAAGTAAATTGAAACCAACATTTTCAAAATGCCCCTTTTGATCATCCTCAATATTGGCATGTGGCAAGTTTATTGGCAATGATAAAAGTGTGTGTTTTGTTTATCTGTATTTCTCCCTGCAAGGAAATAGTCAAACTTTCATGCTCTATTGTCTGACAGTGTTCCTGTTGCAAGGCAGAAGTCTGAAGTTGTCTGAAGACAACTTCATTTTTTGGCTTGTGTCTTCAAAACCCTAAATTTTTTTTTAGTAGATCATAGTAAGTGTATTTCATATAGGGTGAAAGAAGTGAGAGAAGTATTAAAGAAAATGAAGTATTAGGAATAGAGAGAAATAGGAAAATGTATAGTTCCCCAAACTCAGGTATGTTACAGAGATCCTTGAGTCCTATGACTAGTAGGGATCCCAAACCTGTTTCCTCTCAGCTTCCTAGAAAATGACCAGGCCTCAGTAGACTGAATGGATCAACCTAGGAAGGCTTCACTCAGAACACTAGCAATCCTGATCTTTCCAAAGATGCCAATGCCCAGACAGAGAAGCAGCAGAGCCCCTCTACAAGGGCCCACACCAGGGTTAGCCCTTGAATGTTTTCTATACTGCCTAAGATGCCGGGAACTTTCCTTCAACTCCCTAGGAACCCCAGTTTTGATTGACAGTCAATTCCCTGCTAAGCCAGCAAGTTAGAAACTGAGAGTCAAATTTAATTAAATTTTTGTAAAAATAATCTAACCTTTCCTCTGAATTTGTACAGTAAGTTTTGCACCTGCTTCAGAAACAAAGTGTAGAGCTATCACTGAAAGAGCATCAAACACTGCACTTTGAGTTGAAGAATAAAATGTTGCATACGAATATCATACCAGATAGAAGGGAGACAAAGGACTCCTGAAAGATGCTCTCAGCAAATATTTTATAATAAATATAATATCATTTACTGAATCCCTAATTGGACACGTCCCTATGTAAGCTAAAAATCATCAAAAAAAAATCATCTACCAAAAAAAAGCCTACAGCTTACATCATACTTAGTCATTAATGGATTATATGATAAAAATATGCTAGGATTGTGCATACATAATTGCAGTTATCCATACTGTATGGAGGGAACCAGACAGAATTAGCCCACTTTGAGATGTGAGAAATGAGTCTCTATGCAGAAAAATAACTCACCCGAGATCGCACTGCCAATAACTGTCATAGCTACAGAGATAGAAGGAAACTCTAAACCTGTCCTCTCTTGAATGCTAAGGTTCACCTCCCTCTTTGGCCTCAGCTAGGTCTGCCATTTTTATCACGGGACTATTTTTATGCAAGATTTGCCAACCTGGGAAAGAGTGGCTTTGTTTTTATAGGTTGTGTCTTCTTCGGGTAAAGAAAGATTTGGGTCAAAAACAGTTCCATTTCATTTTGTAATCAGAAACGTTTCATGGAAAATTAAAATTGCTACACAAGCTATACTGCACACATCATGAAGTGTTCACTCATAAGAGATCATTGAGGCACCCCAGGACACTTTGCCCGTCTTCAGATCACACTCCTTTCATTCGATGTAGAACATTTGGTCTGGGCTTCAGAACCCATGAAAACCGAGCTGATACTTCAAACGGTGGATACTTCGGGTCAGGCAAAATAGCATGGAAACTTGTACATGCCATAAGCACCTCATCTATCCGAGCCAGAGGAAGACATCCACTGAATGTCTGCATTCAGCTCTAATCCAGCCTCCCTAGGACCCACAAAAACACGAGCATGTCCCTCCATTGTAATGCAGACTCTACCAAATAAACAAGCACCTATAGATTTAAAAACTTTTGAGATAATGTATCACATTTTAAATGATAACATAAATAAGCTGCTTCAAGATTAGGACCTTACATAAGTGGTATTAGAGTCACTGCAGCTGTTCAGTGAAAGTGTCTCTTTCTACTTCTTCCTGCTGATTTTTTTTGTCCTTCTCTGCCAAAAAAGCATTTACTACATTTTTTTTCAATATTTTCTCCGTGTCAAGTGGAACTTTTTCATCCAAATTTCACTGCTCAGGTCCATATGTCTCCTTTTTCTTCTTTTTGTATTTTTTTTTAAGATACCACATAACAAAAATGTTTCTCTTATATTAATTTTGTTACTCAGGCAAAGTAAACCATCAGTCCTTGGTATGTCATACAAAAGCCAGAAGAGTAGTGACTCACTCATGCAGAGATTTTATTTAAAACATTTGCTCTGTGGTCAGAGTAGATTAAAGACAGATCAGGTTACCCTCAGAGCAGTGCAGACATAGTGAGAGTGAGAGATGTTGCCACTTGGTAGATAAACCACACACCACTCACATGACAGTCACTTTCCTTGGTCCCCTCCTTCAAGACTGGAACACCTGCATTCAGCAGACTTGGGCTTTACTGACCTTGTAACTCTGAAGGGTTCTTGAAAGGATCTGACATTTTAATTTTGTGATAAAAAATGAAATGGCTGCTGAAAGATCTGAATGTCCCTTAGGGACTCCTGGTACATGAAGAAATGAAAAAGAGAAACTGGTGGGGAAGAAAAGGGAAAATAAAAAAGAAAAATGAGGGAAAGGAAATAAACCAAAAAGAGAGCACTATGACAAGTTTCCATTGTTCTTTTTCTGTGCCAGAGAGAGTGGAATTTTAAATGATTGCAAATTGAGCGGCTCATGGGTAATCGATTTGGTCTCCACCAATAGAGGTCAGAAACCCATGACATGTAAATAATATTTATGCAGTTGAAACAAGGAACAGATGAAGTCCATGGAAAAGAATGAATCTCTGCTTTTTGATTTTTATAGAAGAGCACAAATTTCAACATCTGAGACCGACATAGTAAGAAAACTGCTCATAGTAAAAGCTGATGTGTGAATGAATATCCGTAACTGCCAGTATTTATTAGTCTATGTGCTATTTAGCTCAGGTCTACCAACTAAAATTAGTTAATAGTCGACCAAATTCATTGGTCAATTCATAAAAATCAGCTAATTAACTGATTTTGTGTGTGCGCGCGCATCCATTTTCAAACATACTTGTCCTAGAGCAACTTTTCTTCTTCCCTTTCATTCTTCCTCCCTTTTTTCTTTCTTTTTTTAAATATGCAAAAAAACACTAATTCTTTCACACTTAAAACAGCTTGTGACCTGCTGAAGATGGAAACTGTCAAGAAGATCATAGGATCTGCGGATTAGAAGAAATTCCAGTGGTCATCTAGCTGGACCTCTGATAAGGGCAGGAATCCTTTCTACAACATCTGGTAGTATATGGTCACCAAAGAAAGCCTGCTTGTATATTCTCATTGATAAGGGACCTGCTATTTTGTGGGGCATTTAGTTTCATTGTTTATGCATCTATGTGTTAAATCCATATTTTTAGGTGTGGGTAATAAATTAATAAACAAGAAAATCATAAGATAGTGATAAGTATAATTCAAAGCATTAAAACAGAATAATGTGAGAGTGTGTAGATAGCTACTAAAGACTGGGTATTCAATGATGGTCTATTGCAGGATATGACATTGGGGCTCAGAAATAAGTGTTTTCCAAGCAGAAGGAATAGGTAAGATGAAGAGTCTAAGGTGGGAATCAGCTTGGCATGGAAAAATAAATAAGCAGGCTGGAGATGATGGGCTAGGTTCAGGGTACTGAAAGACAAGCCTGGAATGGGTGCAGAGATCATTCAATGCTGGGCTTTGTGGGCTGTGACGAGGATTGTGTGTTCTATTCTAAGCACAATCAGATCTATTAGGCAGTTTTAAACAACATATTTTAAAATATTGCTCATGTAGAGAGAATAGAATCCAAAGCAGCAGAAATAGAAGCAAGGAAACCAATTATAAGGCTATTATGATAGATCAGGGAAAAGATTTTGATAGTTTGGATTGTGGTGGCAATGCAAGAAATGGAGAGAAGTGGAAGAGTTTGGATTATGCTTTGGGGAGGTTAGATTGGCACAACTGGCTAGGTCGACTTTGCAGCATGGGGTGGAGATGAGTTAAAAAAAAAAAAAAAGAATCACATGCACTGTCAAGATACCTGGCTTGAGCACCTGAGCAGGAGATGGTACAAGTTACTGACATGTAGAAAACTGGGGGATGACTAGGTTTCCAGGCAATAAAAGTAACCCAAGAATTCTGCTTTAACCTCACTATGTTTGATGTCTGCCATGTAGGGAGTTGGCCAAACAATTCAGATGTTCCAGATAGAAGCCTGATATTTTTAGGCATCTGCATTTTGTAAGATAATTAAATTATTAGTAGGTTAGTCGTAATATTGAACTGAAATTTTCTCCTTGTAATTACTACCCACTAGTCCTAGTTTTGTCTTCAAAGGAAAGACCACTTCTCACATGATGATATGGTTTGGCTGTGTCCCCAGCCAAATCTCATCTTAAATTGTAGCTCTCATAATCCTCATGTGTCGGGGAGGAGGGACCCAGTGGGAGGTAATTGAATCATGGGAGCGGGTTTTTCCCGTGCTGTTCTTATGATAGTGAGTAAGTCTCACAAGATCTAATGGTTTTACAAGGGGCAGTTCCCCTGCACATGCTCTCTTGCCTGCTGCCATGTAAGACATGCCTTTGCTCTTCCCTCACCTTCTGCCATGATTGTGAGGCCTACCTAGTCATGTGGAACTGTGAGTCCATTAAACCTCTTTTTCCTTAAAAATTACCCAGTCTTGGAAATTTCTTCATAGCAGTCTGAAAATGGACTAATACACATGACAATTCTCCAACTATCTGAAAAACTGAAGGTTGATATTTACTGTACACCTGGTATGAGCCAATTATTTTGCTGATAGTCTCTTATTTGGACTTTCTAGGGTATATGAGGGCATGAATTATTTCCCCCTATTAAAGAAAACGGAACTGAAGTACAGAGAGAGTCTCTTGTCTAAGGTCACAAAGCTACAAAGTAGAGAAGCTGAAATTCAGTGCAGATCAGTCTTATTCCCAAGCTCATCATTGGACTGTATCTCTCAGACCCAGGTGAGTTAATACTAGTGCTCTCAAGTGTTTCTCAGATAGCAGGGCTTCCAGAATGTTTCACCATTCTCAAAGTCTTCTGCTAGCTTCCTACTTCAGCAACATCTCGCTTAAAATGTTGGTCCTTCCAGTGAACACATTTGACCTGACCAAGGAGGAATACACCCATTTTCTGAACAGATGCCTTCATAGAATGATGCTGGACATTGCATTAGAGTAACCACATCACACTGTTGGCTCATATAAAATTTGTGGTCAACTGCTGTCTAGCCAGGGCTCCCACATCCTATACTTGTGCTATAATTTTTTTTGCCTACATTAAAAACGTCAGGATATTTGAAACCTGAGTCTTTTAACTAGCAAATTAGTTGTTCCCTCCACTTTTCTTCCAAAAGCAGGTCTGATAAGTGAGCCTTTTGTCTTTGTCTCATTTATTGATTAAAATGACATTTATGTTATAGAATCAAAAATTTCAATATAATAAAAAATAAAGCTTAAGATTTATTGTGTGCCTACTGTGTTTCCAATATTATTTTAAGTCTCAGTTTTCTCATCTTTAAGATGGAAATCATAATAGTACCAAAGAGCGAATGACAAATTGCCTGTGAAATTCCTAACTATAAGGTCATACTTATCTATCACTCAAAACTTTGGAAGACCATCTTATTTTAAGACAATGTCCAGCCTTTGATATTAAGCCACTCTCTGATGTAACTAAGGAATATTGTATTGGGAAAGTATATGGAAACTAAAAATTAGACCGCCAAAAACAGTTTGCAATGGAAAACAAGAGTAAATGATCTTATTATGTCACTGAGAGTTGCAACCACTGCTTAATTGCCCACCGATAGTCTGGTAAGTAAGGCATTGTTAATGTGCTTCCCATTCTACCCCAACAAGGAAAGGGGCCTCCAGGAAGAAGATCCTAGGGAAGGACAGTAATGGAAGGAATGTGCTGAAACTCCCCCCTCTGCCCAAATCCAATACATCTATTTCTTTGTGCCCTGCACATAATCTGTGCTTCCCTTAGTTCAGATTCCCAGAAGCAGATCATGAGACAAGGGCTCAAGTGTAAGTTGTTCGTTTGGAGGAGATGCTAGGAAACGCCAGAAAAATGGGAAAGCGAGCCAGGAAAGGAAAATAAATAAAAGGTGCATTACTAAGGTAGTTACTACTGAGAGTAAATGTGACATAATCCTGCTGCGGAGCTCTAGGAGCCAGTGTAGAATTTGTGTCTCAGCGTTATCCCATCCTAGTTAGTTAATTATACACTAATTCCCATCAGTCATTGATTGAGACTGTCAAGGTAGGGAGTTATTTCTCAAGCACTTCCAGAATGCCCTGTGCACCAAAGAAAGCTGTCAAAGAGTTGGAACCATGATCAGGCCTGAGGGAATGTAGAGTGGGAATAACAGAATATGCTACACCCAGTGAAGGTTTTTCAAGACCTCCAAGCTCTCCAATAAGCTAGATGATCAAATGTATATTTTTCTGGCACGGTGCATGGCCAACAAGAGCAGTTAAAATAATAGAAGGGTGGCCAGGCGCCATGGCTCATGCCTGTAATCCCAACACTTGGGACCCTGAAGCAGGCAGATCATGAGGTCAGGAGTTTGAGACCAGCCTGGCCAACATGGTGAAACCCCATCTCTATCAAAGATAAAAAAATTAGCCGGGTGTGGTGGCACACACCTGTAATCCCAGCTACTCAGGAGGCCGAGGCAGGAGAATCATTTGAACCCGGGAGGTGGAGGTTGCAGTGAGCCGAGATTGAGCCATTGCACTCCAGCCTGGGTGACAGGGTGAGACTCTGTCTCAAAAAAAATAATATAAGGGTGTACTCTGGACAACTCAACAACAGCAACCACAAAAATTTGTAAATGGGCAAAAGGACTTAAATAGACACTTCTCCAAAGAAGATACACAAATGATTATTCACTGTGCTTATTGCACATGAAAAGATGCTCAACATTAATAGGGAAATGCAAATCAAAACAACGGTGTGGTATCACTTCATGCTCATAAGGATGGCTCTTATGAAAACAAAACAAAACAACAACAACAACAACAACAAAAACTAAAAATAACCTGTGGTGGTGAGGATGTGGGGACATTAGAACCCTTGTAAACTGGTAATACAAGTGTAAAAATGCAGCCACTATGGTAAACAGGAAGTTCCTCAAAAAGTTAAACATAGAATTATTATACTATCCAGCAATTTCACTCCTAAGGATATAACCAAAAGAACTGAAATTGAGGACTCAGACATATATGTGTGCACTAATGTTCCTAGCAGCATTATTCACAATATTCACATTATTTATATTATTGTTCATATTTTCCCACCAAAAGGTGGAAACAACCCAGCTGTCAATAGATTCATAGATAAACAAAATGTGTTATATACATACAAAGGAACATTATTCAGTTACAAAAAGCAATAAAATTCTGATACGTGTTACAACCTGGATGACCCTTGAAAACATTATGGTAGATAAAATAAGCCAGAAGGACACAAAAGGACAACTATTGTACAATTGCATCTAAATAAAATAACCTAGAATATGCAAATTTATAAAGACAAAAAGTAGAATAGAAGTTACCAGGGTTTGAAGAAGGGGCATTAGTGTTTAATGGGTACATAGTTTCTATTTGGGAAGATGAAAAAGTCTTGGAAATAGTTAGCAGTGATGATTAGCCAATACTGCAACTGTCTTTAATACCACTGAATTGTACACTTTAAAGTGGTTAACATGGTACATTTTGTTATATATATTTTACCATAATAAGAAAGGTCAAAACAACTTGATTTTCTTTTAAATTACAAGTTGAAGAATAGTTTTTCAAACACGGGCACATAGTGAGACCCCATTTTTCAAAATGAAAATAAAAGGGGAACTTTGGAACAAATAAATGCAATGCATTACAACTGGGACCTACATCCCTCATTGTAGATTATGCTATCTGAGTGCCAGAAGCTTCAGTGAATAAAAACATGAGTTTGCAAAGGATAAGATTTCAAATGTGTGAACACATACACTAAAAGACCAACAACTCTTATACCTATAACCAGATTTCTCTTTTTATTGCTATAAACTTGGTAATAACATTAATATTACCATTTTCTCCCAAAGTTCTGTAACATCTGCATTACTAGGTCTTTCTTGGTCAAAACGAACATGTCGTCAAGTCCAGAGTAAGTTCTTGCTAAACTATTTTTGATACAAATCTATTTTCAAAAGTTGTATAAACCAATAATTTATTAATGGCTCAACTTTCTATTTTGCCTGCTCCCTCTCTCTTATTCCTTCATAAAATTCTCTTACCCCTTGCATAAAATGTATCTCTTTTTTTTTCTTAGTTGAACAAATTTTGCCATGAACATGAGGCTTTGTGCATGAAAGGTACTCCAATGGCAAAGTTTGTCTCCCACTTCCTCTTCCCAGTGGCACAGTCTTTCAACTGCCAACTCCCCTGACTTGAACCTTGGTGCTCCCTCCAGAGTGGCAGCATGGTTCAGAAGGAAAAATACAACTGGTGGGTACAATCAGACCTAGGTTCAAATCCCAACTCTACCATCTACCATATGATCTTGAGTAAGAAACATGGCCTTTCTGAGTCTCAATCATATCTTACATAAAATGAGCCTAATACTACCATCAAAAGGATGATGAGCAGCATATATTACACTAAAAAGCATTTGGGGCTGGATGCCATGGCTTACACCTGTAATACCAACACTTTGGGAGGCCAAGGTAGTATGACTCCTTAAGGCCAAGAATTCAAGACCAGCCTGGGCAACAAAGCAAGATGCCATCTCTACAAAAAAATTAAAAATTAACCTGGTATGGTAGCACATGCCTGTAGTGCTAGCTACTCAGGAGGCTGAGGCAATAGAATCACTGGAGCCCAGGAGTTTGAGGCTACAGTGAGCTATGATTATGCCACTGCATTCCAGCCTGGGTGACAAAGCAAGACCCTACCTCAAAAAACAAAACAAAACAAACAAAAAAACCTGGTTTATTACATGCCATATTCAGTGCTTAATAAATTATTTCCTTTTTTCCATAACTTCCTTCCCAGATTGTAATTGTATTCTATTATCCTACAGCAGACAATGATATTGGACCCACGGTACTCATTTCCCTCTTCTTTAATTGTAATAGTATGTTTGGCTCGACATGGGCCATTCATAATAGAGATTCCATGATCCTTGCAGCCAGTTATGGTCAATTAAAAGGAAAAAGCAGAATGCACTCTCTGATATGAACCAGATTGTTAAACGAGTAAGTTCTAGAGATCTGCTGTACAGCGTAGTGTCCATAGTTAACAATATAATATTGTGTTCTTCAAATTTGTTAAGAGAGTAGATTTCATCTTAAGTGTCCTTACCACAAAAATGAGGGGGAACACAATGAAACTCTATTACCTTGTTTATTAGTCTGTTTTCACACTGCTATACAGAATACTTCCTGAGACTGGGTAATTGTAAAGGAAAGAGGTTTAATCAACTCACAGTTCTGCAGGTGTAACAGAAAGCACGGCTAGGAGGCCTCAGGAAACTTACAATCATGGCGGAAAGTGAAGGAGAAGCAAGTACATCTTACATGGTGGCAGGAGAGAGAGAGCATGTGTGAAGGAGAAACTGTTAAGCACTTATAAAACCATCAGATCTCGTGAGAACTCACTCACTATCATGATAACAGCATGGGGGAAACTACCCCAAGATCCAATCATCTCCCACCAGGTCCCTCCCTCGACATGTGGCGATTATGGGGATTACAATGAGATGAGATTTGGGTGGGGACACAGAGTCAGATTGTCACTTTGATTGTGGTGACGGTATGTGTCCCAACTCAGCAAATTGTACACATTAAATATGTGAAGTTCTTTATCAATTAAACTCAAACTCAATAAAGCTCAATATACACCTCAATAAAGCTATTTGTTATTTTTTAAAAAAAGAATGCAGGAAGCTTCCCTAAGAATGGTCGATAGATGAATGAACCCCTTGCTCTCTTCTTTTCCAGTCTGCTGACTGGGACACAGACACTGATATTCTGGAACATGAAGACAAAGGCTTGGGACAAGGGATCAGAGATCTGGAAGAAACCTACATCTGAAGATTCCATGGAGAAAAGCAGCCATATTGTCCTAACCCACTCACCCTCAAGCATTATTTATATGGGAGAAATAAGCTCTTTTCTTCTTAAAGCCACTTTATTTGGAATTATCTGTCACTCATAGACAAATTTTATACTAACTCACATATCTTTCTAGGAATCCTACATTTTCTCTTTTGGGTAATGAAAGAATCCTCCTCAGAGTTCTTTCCTATTTCCCATGAGAGGAACCATACAGGTGTGCCAACTGAGGCCAATCTAGCAGGCTGTGATGAACACTAAATGGCTGGGGACTTTTGCTCTGACATACGTCATCATCGAAGTGCATGAGCATTTTATGAGAAGATCAATGCTAAATAGCAGACATATTTTGCTACAGCATTAAATAGACTAAAACCGTCTTTACAAGGAGAAAATGATATATTGAAGAGGATTATCTAAGAATCTAAAGGAAAGTTATTTTTATGGTCATACTTGTTATGCTGTAGTAATGTAATATGCTGCTAAAATCAATTTCAAACTGCTATTTCTGTAAGAATCTGTCACACTAATTCTCACTTGCTATACACAAAGACAGAATTGAGTACTATTGATGCAATGAAGCTCTGCGGTAAAAGGAGTCAGGCTCCAATCTGTGTTGTGCAATGCTGTAGCAGTGTACTTTGGGGGAGTTTTCTTGTGTCTCAAATTCTTCATCTATTTTATGGATTTATAATAATCACTAACAAGATTAATATGATTCTTAAGTGCAATAATAATGTATAGTATTTAACATAGTACCTATAGAAAGCACTAAATACATGTTAGTTGTCATGTTTTATATATATATACACATATATACACATATATACACATATATACACATATATATACATATATACACATATATACACATATACACACATATATACACATATATACATATACACATATATATACACATATATATACATATATATACACATATATATACATATATATACACATATATACATATATATACACATATATATACATATATACACATATATACATATATACACACATATATACACATATATATACATATATACACACATATATACACATATATATACACATATACACACATATATACACATATATATACACATATATACATATATATACACATATATATACATATATACACATATATATACATATATACACATATATATACATATATATATACACATATATATACATATATATATACACATATATATATATATGGTTTTTTTTGTTTTTTTTTTTTTTTTTTTTGAGACAGAGTCTCACTCTGTTGCCAGGCTGGAGTGCAGTGGCACGATCTCGGCTCATTGCAACCTCTGACTCCCCGGTTCAAATGATTCTCCTGCCTTAGCCTCCTGAGTAGCTGGGATTACAGGCATGCGCCACCATGCCCAGCTAATTTTTGTATTTTTAGTAAAGACAGGGTTTCACCATGTTGGCCAGGATGGTCTCGATCTCCTGACCTCGGGATCCACCCGCCTCAGCCTCCAAAAGTTCTGGGATTACAGGCGTGAGCCACTGCACCCAGCCTAATATTTTTTAATACTTGTTTCTATAAAATTTCTCTGTTCAAAGAAAAAAAAATTCCACAAAATCTAGCATATCGTGGCACTAAAAATTGTAAAATATACTAAATACAATCTGGCAAATGAGTTATTTGAATATATTTCATCTTGAAGGTGACTCCAGCTAAAAATGTGCCAAGACCAATGAATGCTAAATTTGGTGAGCAAAAATTTTAGGAGAAACAGGATTTACATAGTCTCACTGTACCTCCTTCAAAGGTATTTATTAAGACCAAAAAGGTAAGATGGTAACTTTACAATCGGTATACCCAGCAGATATTACCTTAACCAAGTGATCAAGGTCAACATCACCAGCAACAAGACAAGTCAACATCATGAACCTCTTATTAATTCATGCTTAGAACGCAGTATCGTTTGTGTAATATTTTGCCAAAAATGAATAACTTCACTCCAAACAGGAGAAAACATCAGACAAACCCAAACTGAAAGAGACTCTACAAAATTTGTTCAAAATTGAAAGTCTTTAAAAATTTGGCAAGGAAACCTGGACGAACATGAGGTATAGATATTTTCATTGGTAACAAATATAAGTAAACCTATATTTGATAGCCAGCCTATATTTGAAAAATGTCAGAGAATAGATATCCGCTTTATCTAATGCTTTCACACCTTAAAAAAGAGAAATTTATTTTGGAAATGAAGTAGATCTATAAGTGTTGATTTAAAAAGATTTTGAGTGGAAAAAAACAAATTATTATAATTATATATAAGACTATGGTCTGGGCGCAGCAGCTCACGCCTGTAATCCCAGCACTTTGGGAGGCCAAGGAGGGGCGGATCACAAGGCCAAGAGATGGAGAACCATCCTGGTCAACATGGTGAAACCCCATCTCTACTAAAAATACAAAAATTAACTGGGCATGGTGGCACGCGCCTGTAATCCCAGCTACTCTGGAGGCTGAGGCAGGAGAACCGCTTGAACCCGGGAGGCAGAGGTTACAGCGAGCCGAGATTGTGCCACTGCACTCCAGCCTGGCAACAGAGAGAGACTCCGTCTCAACAAAAAAAAAAAAAAAAAAGAAAAACAAAAGGACTAGGCACACTATAATCTCATTTATGTAAAACATGATTTACATCTGCATGTGCATTTTTTACCTTTGTATATAAAATGTCTGAAAAGATAAAAAACACAATTTGTGATTAGCTCTTTGGGTGAAAATGGGAAGCTGAGAGATGAAGAGGGAAAGTTACTTTTCACCCTGCAAGTCTATGTACTATTTCAATTTTTTAGCATAAAGATGTATTATCTTTGTAACAAAAATAATATATTTATTAAAAATGAATGTAAATCAAACCTGGATCCGTTTCTCATTTTTGTCACATGTCTGCTAAGTTACTTAACCTTTTTGGACCTCATTTTTCTCTTCTGTAAAATGAAATTATTATTTTATATTAGTGATTTAACTGGAAATCCCTGCAAGCTTGTCCAACTTGCCTTATTTTGTTGTTATTGTTATTGTTGTTCTGTTTTGTTTTGTTTTAGGCTTTTAGCAGCTTGAAGTCATGGTTTTTAGTTCCTGTCTCTGGTGATAAATGGAAAAGAGGGATGAGGAAGGGGCTTTACTGGCCCAATCAAAAACAGAAACTAAGAACCTATGACTGTATTCTTTCCTTTGAACAGCTCTGCTAGGCTGTTGTGCAAATACAGATTCCTGGGCCCCACCTCAATTCCTATTAAATCAGACTCCTCAGGCATGAGGCCCAGAAGTGAAATCTGTAAAAGCTCCCCAAGGGATTTTGTTGGCCAATGATGGTTCTATTTCTAGATTACTTCCCATGCTTTGTTCCTTTCCTGCATTAAGTCATTCAACAATATCTCCTGAGAGCTTGCCATACGTATGATCATGTGTACAGAGTTAGAAGGAACTAACTATACAGACCTGTCATAGTTTTCAGTCTAGCAGGGAAAATGAATAAAGCAGAAACGACTTGAATGTACCAGAGCATGTACCATGTGCCACAAGATAAACTCATTTCAAATTAATTCTCCCCAAAGTTTCTTCTTCCTTATTCCAGCAGGGCAGCTTGGCCCATTTCAATCTCTCTTACCAGCAGATAATTCCTGACAGATTCTTATGTTTGTAAAGCCTGGAATATATGATGAGACTTTGTTAGAGGCTCTCAACCTGATGGGCACAGAGACAGAAGGCTAGTGATAAGAAGAGAGAAGGCAAATTCACCCAAATGGAGATGAGATCACTTCTCAGTCCACTTGACAGTCCACTGAGTGGTTGGGCTTGGGCACTGCTTGTTAGACAGCGAGACCTCAGAGGGTGTAACTTAGAGTGTCTTAGGAATGTTAGGCCCAAGGTGGAGAGTCTACAAGCCTTGGAAAAGATGCCTGTGTCCCAATGTGGCACAGAAATAGCAGAGGACAAGCTCTGAAGGAACATAGAGGCTGGGATAAAAGGTATCTTGGGGGTAACCAGTATTGACTGATTAGGAGAAGGAACTATCTATTTCCTTTCTCCACGTCCACTGGATGCTGTGCTGACCTTGGCATCTTTACGCAATGCTAATGAATGTGGATAAGAAGAGGGAAGAAGAGAATAGGAAAGACAGGGAAGGATTTCAATAATTAATGAGATATTATTTTTCTTTTCTTTTCTTTTCTTTTTTTTTTTTTGAGACGGAGTCTCGCTGTGTGACCCAGGCTGGAGTGCAGTGGCACGATCTCAGCTCACTGCAAGCTCCACCTCTTGGGTTCATGCCATTCTCCTGCCTCAGCCTCCCGAGTAGCTGGGACTAGAGGCGCCCGCCACCACACCCAGCTAATTTTTTGTATTTTTAGTAGAGACGGGGTTTCACCGTGTTAGCCAGGATGGTCTCAATCTCCTGACCTCGTGATCTGCCCGCCTTGGCCTCCCAAAGTGCTGGGATTACAGGCGTGAGCCACCGCGCCCGGCCTATTTTTCTTTTTTTATGGTAAAACCCCGTCTCTACAAAAAATACAAAAATTAGTTGGGTGTGGTGGCAGTCACCTGTAATCTCAGCTACCCAGGAGGCTGAGGCAGAAGAATCCCCTGAACCCGGGGGGCAGAGGTTGCAGTGAGCTGAGATCACGCCACTGCACTCCAGCCTGGGTGACAGCGAGACTCCATTAAAAAAAAAATAAGAAAAAGAAGAAGAATACTACAAAGAATACCACTGATTTTTTTGTACATTGATTTAAAGTATCATAAAACTTTACTGGAGATGTTCTAGGAGCCTTTAGGTGGAGTCTTCAGAGTTTTCTGTGTATAAGATCATATCATCAGTAAAGAGAGATCATTTGCTTTCTTTTCCTAGTTGGATGTCTTTTTTTTTAATTTTTTTTATTATACTTTAAGTTCTGGAGTACATGAGCAGAACGTGCAGTCTTGTTACATAGGTATGCAGGTGCCACAGTGGTTTGCTGCACGCATCAACCCATCCCCTACATTAGGTATTTCTCCTAATGCAATCCCTCCCCTAGCCCCCCACCTATATTATTTTTCTTTAGCAAAGGGCAAGATGAGGTTAGGGTCATAAGTAAGTTGGTTTAAGGAAAAGAAATATAAAATATTGTGCACACTGATTTTCTGACCAAATTAATGCACAGTGTTTAGGTATTACAAGGTCTTGGAAAAGAGAGAATATGCAAATATATTAATAACTTGAGAAATAAAGAATTTTAAAATATATGTTAAGTTTCTATTCATTTCACCCTTGCACAGTGGCTATATGCTCTTTGGAGTATCATCCTACTTTAAAATGTATGCTATTAGAGCAAAGTTATTATTTATCATTTATTTGAAATAAAATATTTCCTTCCTTTAATTATAATTTAATAAACAGACTTGAACTTCACCTAAAGTCACCTAATTTGTATTAATTTTAGAAATTTCCTATTCCCAAATCTTACCTTGCAAGTGTTTCCCCAGTTCCCCTTAAACAAATTGTCAACCTTTCAGAATATTAATTGTGCAAAGACATTGTTAATAGACATAACTTATTAACAAGCACCTCTTCATTTCACAGGCTGTATAAAAAGGTAAAGGCTATAGTTCCCATCTATAGAAAAGTTAGAATCAAATTAGAAAAACATGATTATTGGGAATGACTTAAGATTATTATCAGAATAGACAAAGCAGGGGAAAAAAGGAGGTGGCAAACGAAGCCAGTGAAGATATTCTTAAAACACAGTTTTTTAGGAAGTAATAAAAGATAAAGTAAATTATATATAGCTCTCAGAATAGCTATTCTCAAAACCGGGCATTTGGAATTGGAATACAGAGAGTATACGCTAGAGCAGGGTTGTCAGAGTCCTAGCAAACTTATATTCTCCTGCCTTGAAAGTTGTCCAGGTGTTTAATTCTGAACTTACTGACTCAATATCAGGAATCTAGGATTAAAGCTGTGTGATGATTGATTTTATGTGTCAACCTGAGTAGTCCATGGTATCCCATTGTTCGTTGAAATATAAGTCTAGATGTTTCTGTGACAGTATTTTTTTAGATGTCATTAATATTAAATCAGATGTAATTAGACCTTGAACAAAGCACATGACCCTCCATAATGTGAGTGAGCCTCATCCAACCAGTTGAAGGCCTTAAGGGAAAGGACTAAGGTCCCTCAAAAAGGAAAGAATTCTGCCTCCAGATTGCCTTTGGACTCAAGACTACAACATCAGTCCCTGTCAGAATTTCCAGCCTGCCAGACTGCCCTGCAGATTTTGGACTTGCCAGCCTCCAAAACTGTGTGAGCCCATTTCTTAATATAAACCTCTCTCTATAGATATAGATAGATACAGGTATAGATATAGATCCTATTATGTGTGGTTATACACACACAGACACACAGACACACACACACATACATGCACATCCCATTGTCTCTGTTTCTCCTAAGAGCCCTGACTAACACAAACTCCTTCAGGGTTAAGCAATACTGCAAGACTTAACATTCTCTTCATTATCAAGACAGCTACCCTGGGATACATTAAATTCTCTTTCTCGAATGCCATTTCCCTTGCCAATGATAGCTATGCCCAGTCTATGTAATTTTAAGTATTTGAACACTAACCAATTGATGCTAGACATACATAAAGGAGCTTTCCTAAAGCCAAATTGTGGAGATAAATGTTTCTAGACAAAGAATGTTCACAGTGAAATATGGAAAGTCCCCTCCTATGGCAACGATTTCCATGTTAAGGATAAAGGTAGCAGAGGTGGCCTAACATTTTTCAACAACCCTCTTTTTCTGGGTATTGGGAGGTGACTGAAATGTAAATAAAATACTGTAATGGGAAAAGGTTTTTTCTTTTTATTAGCATTGTTCATCTATTTCCGTGGAAGAGAGGCTCCTATTCAATCAAATGTTGCACAATCAACTAGATCTCCAAAGATTATAAGAACAGGATTGCATTTTGTTTTATTTCAGTTACCCAAGGATTCCAAATATCCATGGCTAATGAAAAAGAAGGTCCTGTTACCACTGAAAGTTTATATCTCAAGGAAGTGAAAATGATTACTGGCCCGCATGCTTGTGAATATTCCCCTTTAGTAAAGCCAAGAATTTCAATTCCAAGTGTTCAGGATATTCTGTATGCTTCAAAGGTTTTGTTTCTACATGGGTTAAAGAACCATTTATCCAAGATCACAAATGCTAAGCACCAAACAAACAGTCCAAACGGATGCTATGGTGCAGAAACACAAGGAGACTGAAGGCATAGAAGGGTATCTTGGGCTTTAGGTTGAGGTATGGAAGAAGAATATGACTTTTTTCCATGGAAAAATGTAAAAACAATTAAAAAATGGCCACACATGGATGATTAGGAATTAATAAAATAAACCAGTTTGGTTTGAATAAGGAGGCATGGGAGAAAATGATAGAGAGAAGGAAAAAGCCAGAACACAGAAGGTCTCGAATGCCCAATTTAGGACCTTCACCTTTGTTTTGCCAGAGAGATAGATCCATTGAAGATTGTGATCAGTTGACTGGCACATGTATGGTAGATTGCAATTTTGTGTTAATTCTTACTTCCTCTTTGTATTAAAATTTTATATCCACATCACTTTCCACATGACTTATCAGTGCCTCCCAGTAGAGAAAAAAGCATAATTATGCCTGCCATTTTTACTTTGGGATTGGTCACGGGAATTGACCAGTGAAATGTTAACTCCATGAATACCAGCAGGGATGTTCACATGAGTGCATGGATTGGTTTGTTTGCATGTCTTTATTTAGCCATGAGAAGAACATATACTAGGTAACAGCTGATCCACAAATAAGGAACTACAGGGAGCAGACTTGAATTCAATACATATGTGAAGTCAAGCACAGGTAAGCAATCCTAGGTAAGCCCTCCAAGACCGCTACTGACTCACAGACCTATGAGTGAGTAAGAAATACATTCATTATTGTAAGCCACTGAAGTTTGGGGGTGGTTGTTACACACACAGCATTGCTACAGCAGCAACTGTCTAATAAGAGTGGAAAGTGGAATTTTGGAGAAGTCAGTCCACCAGCAGATTAAACAAGGAATAAACTGGAGACAGGAAGACAATTTAGAGGATTCTTATAGACCCTCTAGAGATGGCTTTGTTCCTCTGAAACGATACTCTACAATGCTTAAGATGCAGTTTTTCTATCTACCTGGCCTCCAGAGTGAGGAAAAGTGGAACAAATCCCCTATTCAGTCCACACTGTACATATAGTGTATGCAAGAAATTAAAATTGCTCTTATAAACCACTATAGATACAGGGCTTGCTTATTTCTTTGGAGTATCTCAGACAATCCTGACTAATACAGGAAGGAAGTTCCAGGATTAATTCAGCAGTTCTGCAATGTCATGGAACATTAAGCTTTCCCTTTTTCCATTTTTCCTTGTTCTGCAGACCACTGTGTCATCCCTTAAAATTTCAAGGTGGCTGTAGCGGATCCAAGCCAGAATCAGGTAACAGGCCCATGTCCTGACTGTAAGAGGAGAAGCTAGAAAAACAAGTGGTTTTGCCTTTTCATTATATTTACTGGAAGACAAGTTTTGCCAGCCATGAAGAAAGTAGGAGGAACAGGTGTTGCGTAGGCAGCCAACAGGTTCTTTGAATGTAGGATGGGATACTATCTACATTTGAGATTCTACTATTTATTGAATGCTTTCTCTATGTCAGTTTATTTTCATAGCTCATAGACATTATTTCATCCCCCGCCACCCATTTTACTGATGAGAAACTGGAACACAGGGAAGCTAATTGGGAATCACAAAGACAAAGCAACATGTTTAAGATCACCCAGATTGTAGATGACAGAATAAAGGTTTGAACCCAGGCCTGACTGTCTATATTGAAGCCCTCTTATCCAAACACCCTTCATGTAAAGACTTCTGCTTCTCTCCATTGTTCAGTACTTCAAGACAGCTACTGATTCTGCTGCATGACTCTTCTGTACTACAAAAGAGGTGCAGGACACAGACACAATGACAAAGTCCCTCCCTGGGGCACTAAATTACACCCCCCCCCCAAAAAAAAAGACAGATGGTGATCTTTTTTCTTTTTTTTTAATGTGAAAGCCCATTCCAGTGAAACAAGTGCCTGCTGTCCCATGACTTATAATACCAAGTGATGTTCAGATTCTGTTGGGCTCCTGAGCAAGCATGCCAAGTCTGTTTGCAATTTCCGCAGCACATAGCATGCTTGTCAGAGGCTTTCCATTCATTTTCACTAACGCTTCCCTGGCCTTTTGAAGGCTTTTCAGCTGAAAGCCAAGAGTCCAGGCCCCAGATTCTCAGAGGCTGGCAGCCTTCTTAAATGCATTGTTCATGTCTCTGTCTCTGTCTCTCTCTCTCTCTCTCTCTCTGCTTTTTCCAAAGAAAGGACATCTTGGTACAACTCAAAAAGCTGTAAGCTGAAAACTCACTGAGAGTTTGGGCAGTAAGTCCCTGGTGTTGCTCATACCCAGAGCATTATTATCCCCTTAATCACCTCTCTCTCTCTCTGGACAGTGGTCTGTCTTGATCTTTCTGGGAGAGGCAACAAAGCAGCTGTGGTAGAATTTGATGCCATGTTGATGGCGTTGCACTGTTTCCTCAGATTCTCACATGGATGTGCTCCCTCGTGGCTGGCCTTCCATGCAGAACAGAGCAGTCTCTCTTCCCAGAAAGGCAGCTGAGCTTCCCAGCTGTGGTATCTTGGGGAAATGAAGCACATTCCCACTGCTGTAGAATCATCTTAGCTTTTTCCACTTTGAAAGCTGGTTCCCAGAGAAAAGATACTAGGCAATTTTTTTTTAGAGTGCTGATTGTATTACTGTCAAATCAATGGACTAATCACCTATATGCATTCTTCTCTCTCCAACTATGAAATTTTTAAATGGGAGAACAGAGAGCTTGGGAAGAAGGAAGCAACAAGGGCTTTATGCCTCGGTGGTAGAATTCTAAGATTGACCCTCAGTGACCCTAACCCTTGTATAATCCAATCCCCAGCCATTTGAATGTGGGTGGAACATGTGAATATGATGAGCGGTTATAAGGCAAGAGAGAGAGATTATGCAGTTGAGCCTGAATTAATCACACTAGCCCTTTAAAAGTATGGAGATTTCGATGGCTAATAGCAAAAGAGAAGTCAAACGACTATAAATTTCAGGAGGATTCTATTTGAGAGATCCTGCTACCAGCCTTGAAAAGTTAAGCTTAACTGATGAGAGGGTCTGGGAGAAAGTCCATGGCAAAGAGCTTGCAAGGGGCCTCTAAAAGCTGAGAAAGGCTCGCAGCTGAAAGCAAGTAAGGAAATGGGGTTCTCTGTCCTACAGCAGCAAGGGACTGGATTCTGCCAACACCCTGAATGGACCTGGAAATAGATTCTTCCCCAGGTCTCCAGGGAAGAGTCCAGGCCAGCCTTGAATTCAGTCTTGTGAAACTCTAAGCATAGAACCCAGTCAGAACCTCTCACCCACCCTTTTCATTTATATAACTGGGAGATGATAATTGGAAGTTGTTTCATGTGGTGAGTTTGCAGCAATTCGGTGTGCAGCAATAGAAAACTCACATAGCCTTTTTTACCCATTCCCAGGAATCACAACTTTCAATTGGCAACAAATTGCATTCAGTGAGTACAGGCTCTAAATCATATAGGCCCTATTAGTTACATTATCTTCAGGCTTCCTTATGCGTAGTAAGTATGAAATCAATCTTTGTTGATGAAATGAATGAGGCAATGCTTAAAAGCATAGGCTTTAAAGTCAGAGACACATGAGTCCAAATCTCAGCCTCATTACCTAGTAGCTCCATGATCTTGAGTGGGTCATTTAAGCTCTCTGAGCCTCAACCGTTGTTTCATTTGCAAAAAGAGGGTGAGCACAATACCTGCCCCATTTTACTGGTTCCACTACTATGAGACACAGTTGACTACTAGCTTATTTTTCGCCTTCTCCAGTGGATTTGACAAAATTAGACTCTACTAATTTCCCACCTACATGTAAGACCTTTTTTTTTTTTTTTTTTTCAGTCTCTTGTTGGAGAGCTTTCTTTCCCATCTATTCCTTATATGTTGGAGTTCTTCAAGGTTTGGCTCTTTCCCTTCTTATGAAGTTGTTGCATAAATTGCCATGGCTTCAAATGCCACACACTTATCAACCTTTCTCAAGATTCTTTCTCTATACTAGCTCTTTCTTTGGGGCTCCAAGCCCTGAACCCATATATCTAGCAACCTGAGAACTCCATTTGTATCTTACTAGTTTCTCAAACTAAAAGAAGGCCTATATTGAATTCATGACTTTTTCTCCCCAGAATTACTCCTCCCCTAATGTTTTCAATCTCCATAATGTCTCTACCATTCACTCCTACTGGAAACCTGGGAGACATCCTTGAAAACCTCTTCCTCAAACATTCACATTCAACCCAACACAAAGACTTTTCAGTTGTACTTCTTAAAGATATTCCTTATCTACCCTTTTCTGTCCATCTCCACAGCTATTCTTATACCCATCCAAGCCACCATGTTTTGCTTGGACCATGACAGCATCATCTAAATGATATCCCACTACACTCTCGTTTCTCTAAAATCCATTCTCCATTCTGTGCCCATGTGATATTTATAAAAGGAGAATCTAAGAATATCATTGCTCACATTAATATTTTTAATCTTATATTGGCCTTAAGATAAATTATTAATTATAGATTAAAATTCATGAAGTTATTAGTCAAATATTAGGTCAGTTGTTCTCTAATTTCAGCATAAAATAAAATACATGAGGTGTCTGCACAGCTCATGTGCTCTTATTTGGAAATGTTTTTGTCACTTTTGCTGAAGAAGTTGCCAGATTTTTCGACCTGGTTGTCCTGTAGTTCTGACCAGAACTGGCTAAATAGGAGAGGGAAGGAAAGAAAGAGACAGAGATAGAGAAGCATCTGATATCTTTGTAGTTCCCATGATGCCAGTAGTACTTCCCACAGCTGGCTTTCATGAAATTTCCCTTCTTTACTTACAATAAATTTCCTTTTGGCCAACGTGAGTTTGTTTTTCTTTCAACCAAGTAACTCTTAAATGGAAATAAAATTAGCCTTTTGCCTTTCCTTCTCAACATAATCCCAAACTTGCTTCCAAATTTTAATTTGCAAAGTCATCATAATTTGAAAAGTACTGGTGGATTTCCCAAGTCCAGGGATTCATTTGCTGAGTTCTTTAGAAGCAAGCAACCTTTTGCCAACAGAAACACAAATTACCCAAATCAGTGATATATTTTTAACTTTTTATTTTGAAATAACTTGAAATTTACAGATAAATTGTGGAAATAAAAATAATATGAAAATCCCCACTTACCATTTATTCACATTCACCTATTTTTAACATTTTACCCCATTTGTTCTATCATTAAGACTATTTGTCAATGTATATAGCTATCTAGCTACATCTAATTTCTTTTCTGAACCACTTGATGGTAAAGTAAATAGATCATGGCCTTCGACCTATTAATATATCAGTGCGTATTTCTTAACAATAGGAATATTCTGTTATATAACCAAGAAAAGTTGTCAACGTTGGTGAATTTAATATCGGCAAATGTTTTTCTCTATACTTTGTATTCCAATTTTCTCATTTGATCTAACAGGGCCATATATCACATTGCCCCACCCACCACTCCAGTACAAAATTTAGTCTAAGATCAGGTATTGTATTTACTTGTCATGTCTCTTTGGCCTCTTTTAATTTTTTATTAAATATCATCACCATGTTGTAAAATAGATCTCTTGAACTGATTTCTCCTGTTTAACTGAAATATTATATCCTTTTCCCCAATTCCATTCTCCCCCAACCCCTGGTAATCAGCATTCTGCTCTCTGATTTTATGAAGCTTACATTTCTGCATTCCACAGATGAGTGAGATCCTATGATATCTGTCTTTCTGTGCCTGGTTTATTTTACTTAACATAGCAACCTCCAGGTTCATCCATGTTGTTGCAAATGACAGACTTTCCCTCTTTTTTAAAGCTGAATAGTAATCCATTGTGTATAGATGCCACATTTCTTCATTCATCCATGGACGAACACTTAGGTTGATTCCATATCTTGGCTATTATGAATAGTGTTGCAATGAACATGGCAGTGCAGACAGCTCTTCAACATACTGATTTCACTCCCTTTGTTTATATACCCAGAAGTGGGGTTGTTGAATGATGTGGTATTTCTTTTTTTTTTTTAATTATACTTTAAGTTATAGGGTGCATGCGCACAACGTGCAGGTTTGTTACATATGTATACATGGGCCATGTTGGTGTGCTGCACCCATTAACTCGTCATTTACATTAGGCATATCTCCTAACGCTATCCCTCCCCCCTCCCCCCACCCCACAACAGGCCCCGGTGTGTGATGTTCCCCTTCCTGTGTCCATGTGTTCTCATTGTTCAAGTCCCACCTATGAGTAAGAACATGCGGTGTTTGGTTTTTTTGTCCTTGCGATAGTTTGCTGAGAGTGATGGTTTCCAGCTTCATCCATGTCCCTACAAAGGACATGAACACATCATTTTTTATGGCTGCATAGTATTCCATGGTGTATATGTGCCACATTTTCTTAATCCAGTCTATCACTGATGGACATTTGGGTTGGTTCCAAGTCTTTGCTATTGTGAATAGTGCCACAATAAACATACGTGTGCATGTGTCCTTATAGCAGCATGATTTATAATCCTTTGGGTATATACCCAGTAATGGGTTGGCTGGGTCAAATGGTATTTCTAGTTCTAGATCCGTGAGGAATCGCCACACTGACTTGCACATTGGTTGAACTAGTTTACAGTCCCACCAACAGTGTAAAAGTGTTCCTATTTCTCCACATCCTCTCCAGCACCTGTTGTTTCCTGACTTTTTAATGATCGCCATTCTAACTGGTGTGAGATGGTATCTCATTGTGGTTTTGATTTGCATTTCTCTGATGGCCAGTGATGATGAGCATTTTTTCATGTGTCTGTTGGCTGCATAAATGTCTTCTTTTGAGAAGTGTCTGTTCATATCTTTTGCCCACTTTTTGATGGGGTTGTTTCTTTTTTTCTTGTAAATTTGTTTGAGTTCTTTGTAGATTCTGGATATTAGCCCTTTGTCAGATGAGTAGATTGTAGCGCAAAATCTTCTTAAGCTGATAAGCAACTTCAGCAAAGTCTCAGGATAAAAAATCAATGTGCAAAAATCACAAGCATTCCTATACACCAATAACAGACAAACAGAGAGCCAAATCATCAGTGAACTCCCATTCACAATTGCTTCAAAGAGAATAAAATACCTAGGAATCCAACTTACAAGGGATGTGAAGGACCTCTTCAAGGAGAACTACAAACCACTGCTCAACGAAATAAAAGAGGACACAAACAAATGGAAGAACATTCCATGCTCATGGATAGGAAGAATCAATATTGTGAAAATGGCCATACTGCCCAAGGTAACTTATAGATTCAATGCCATCCCCATCAAGCTACCAATGACTTTCTTCACAGAATTAGAAAAAACTACTTTAAAGTTCATATGGAACCAAAAAAGGGCCCACATTGCCAAGACAATCCTAAGCCAAAAGAACAAAGCAGGAGGCATCATGCTACCTGACTTCAAACTATACTACAAGGCTATACTAAACAAAACAGCATGGTACTGGTACCAAAACACAGATATAGATCAATGGAACAGAACAAAGCCCTCAGAAATAATACCACACATCTACAACCATCCGATCTTTGACAAACCTGACAAAAACAAGCAATGGGGAAAGGATTCCCTATTTAATAAATGATGCTGGGAAAACTGGCTAGCCATATGTAGAAAGCTAAAACTGGATCCCTTCCTTACATCTTATACAAAAATTAATTCAAGATGGATTAAAGACTTACACTTACATGTTAGACTTAAAACCATAAGCACCCTAGAAGAAAACCTAGGCAATACCATTCAGGACATAGGCATGGGCAAGGACTTCACATCTAAAACACCAAAAGCAATAGCAACAAAAGGCAAAATTGACAAATGGGATCTAATTAAACTAAAGAGCGTCTGCGCAGCAAAAGAAACTACTATCAGAGTGAACAGGCAACCTACAGAATGGGAGAAAATTTTTGCAATCTACTCATCTGATGATGTGGTATTTCTATTTTAATTTTTTGAGAAACCCCCAATTGTTTTCTATAATGGTTGTATTAATTTACATTTCCACTAACAGTATACCAGGGTTCCCTTTTCTTTATAACCTTATCAACACTTATCTTTTATTTTTGACCTCTTATAATCTGAAACATTTCCACAGTCTTTCATGACATTGATGCTTTGGAAAAATACATTCCTATTTTTGTTTCATAGAATGTTTCTCCTTTGGATTTTATTGAAGTTATGTGTTCTCAGATGGAATACTGCATAGGTAATGTGGTGTCCTTCCAGGAGTGTCACACCTGGAGGGACACAAGGCCACCTGTTCATGGGTGATGGTCACTGGGACCACTGGTCAAGGTGCAGTTAAGGTGTGATCTGATTCTCCACTGCATAATTACTGTATTTTTTTGTCTTCCTGTATTAGTCAGGGTTCTCTAGAGGGACAGAACTAATAGGATACATATATATGTATATCTGAGTTTATTAAGTATTAACTCACATGATCACAAGGTCTCACCGTAGGCCATCTGCAAGCTGAGGAGCAAAGAGAGCCAGTCCGAGTCCCAAAACTGAAGAACTTGGAGTCTGATGTTTGAGGGCAGGAAGGGTCCAGCATGGGAGAAAGATGCAGTCTGGGAAGCTAGGCCAGTCTAGTCTTTCCACGTTTTTCTGTCTGCTTTATATTCTAGCTGCACTGGCAGCTGATTAGATGGTGCCCACCCAGATTAAGGGTGGATCTGCCTTTCCCAGCCAACTGACTCAAATGTTAATCTCCTTTGGCAACACCCTCACAGACACACCTAGGATCAATACTTTGCATCCTTCAATCCAATCAAATTGACACTCTATTAACCATCATACTTCCTTACAATAGATAAGCAGTCTGTAGAGAGACACTTTGAAACCATACAAATGTTCTGTTTCCCAACAAAATTTCCTCTAATATTAAGAATCCATTGATTATTCTTATCGGATCCAATCCATACCACGATGGTTGGAAAATGATAAGTTTTCAACTCCAGTGCTCCCCTGACACTTACCAACTGGCCCTCAATATTCTGCTATTAGCAAGAGCCCTCCTCTCCCACTTATTTATCTATTTATTTTTGGTATAAACCCATGAGTTTCTTTTTTCCCAGTGATTTATACTTTATTATTGTACTCCATTATTTGATGCTCAAATCAACCTAGATTTTCCCAGTGGTAGCCCCTTCGAGTTGAATTTTTTTCCTGGTGACAGGTCATGATAGGTAGATGGATGTAGTGCTTTTTTATTTTATGGCATAACAATATATTTCAGGCTCATCTTGTGCCCATCCTGCCCCAGCTCTGAAATCAGCCATTTCAATTATATTTTTAAATTGATGTATTGTAGTTGGGTTTTTATTAAAATGGTGCATATTTATATCTGTCTCATTCTTTGTTATCAGAAAATTTTAGTAATACATTAGAGCAAAACAAAGAAGTTTCAGTGGAAAATTCTTCTAATGGCTTATTTCCCCTCAGTTCTTTGGATAGGAAGATAGGCTGTAATATGGGCTGAATTCTACTTATTGAAAATCAGTGTATTATTATCCTGCTCCTCTGAGAGCCAATGCTTGGCAGACATCCTCAAATTTTATTGTGAGTTACAATGCTGGTGATCAACTAATCCAATAAATTGCTCAGTTCTTCCAGTTCACTTAGACAAAATACGATTTTTCTTTAAAAAAATGCAAACTTGTTGGAATTCATTTCTTCATCTACAAGTATAATGATTTTGACTAATTTTACACAAAAATATTGCCAAGTGTGGGCTTCATAAATCTGTCTCACTTTGTTACTTGCTACTCTCCCCAGCTGCTTTGAACTTAGCAGAAAACTGCCAAATTAAAAAAATAATAATAATAAGCTATCATGTGCTGTAATTTCCTCTTTGGGGGCATTTTTAATTTTTGTCATTGTACATCTTGTGCTTTAAAATATATTAAATACATCTGATCCAGTGCCAAGAAACAATTATTTCCAGTGTTAAAAACAGAATTGAGAATTCAGGGGATGGGAAGTTAGAACTTGAACTCTGTCTTAGATTTTATGTGACATGTGTTAGCATCTCATCTAATTACATTCATTAGATTATTCGTCTTTAGAAACAAAATATTAATGAAAACTGAAAGGACTGAAATAACAAAAAATGGATTTTTCTGGCCTTTATATTCATACTGAATGGAAGTGTACAATTCATTGAATGATACCCAGTTAGGTTGATGGGATGGGTTTTGTGATGGAGTTAGATACATTCAACAGGATATAATAAATAAAAAACACGTAATGGGTCTGGGCATGGTGGCTAACGCTTGTAACACCAGCATTCTGGGAGGTCGAGGCAAAAGGATTGCTTTAGCTCAGGAGTTTGACACCAGCCTGGGCGACATGGTAAGACCTCATCTCTACAAAAAATGTAAAAATTAGCGAGGTATGGTGTCATATGCCTGTGGTCTCAGCTACTTCGGAGGCTGAGACAGGAGGATGGCTTCAGCCCAAGAGGTTGAGGCTGCTGTGAGCTGTGATTATGCCATTGCACTCCAGCCTGAGTGACAGAGCAAGACTCTGTCTCAAGTAAAAACAAAAACAAAAATGAAAAACAAGAAACGCATAATGGAGTGTAAACGACTAAAAGTTTAAACTGGTTACCATTGGCTCAGAGGCTCCAGCACCATAATCCACGCTATCATTTGTCTAATTATATTTCAAAACTCAGAAGGGCTGAGATGAAAGGACGGTTATTTTAAAATAATACTCTCATGAAAATATAATTTACATGCCATAAAATTTACCCTTTTAATGTGTACAATTCAGTGATTTTTTTTAGTATATTCACAAAGTTGTGCATTGATCACCACTATCTATTTGCAGAATGTTTTCATCACCCTAGAAAGAAACCCCATAGTCATTAACATTCATTCTCCTTTCCCCCTTCCCTTCAGCCCCAGCCACTGCCGGCTTACTTTATATGTGTGAATTTGTCTATTCCGAATATTTTACATAGATGCAGTTATACAATGTGTGGTGATTTACATCTGGTTCCTCTCCCTTAGCATCACGTCTCTAAGGCCCATGCATGTTGGAGGATGTGTCAGTGCCTGATTCTTTATTATGGCCAAATAATATTCCAATGTTTATATGTATTATAAATATTTTGTTTGCCGGGCACGGTGGCTCACACCTGTAATCCCAGCACTTTGGGAGGCTGAGGCAGGCAGATCACGGGGTCAAGAGATTGAGACCATCCTGGCCAACATGGTGAAACCCTGTCTCTACTAAAAATACAAAAATTAGCTGGGCATGGTGGCGTGCACCTGTAGTTCCAGCTACTCAGGAGGCTGAGGCAGGAGAATCGCTTGAACCAGGGAGGCAGAGGTTGCCGTGAGCCAAGATCACACCACTGCACTCCAGCCTGGGGACAGAGAGAGACTCCGTCTTAAAAAAAAAAAAAAAAAAAAGAACAAATATTTTATTTATCCACTCATCAGTTGATAGATATTTGGATTGTTTTTACATTAGCAATGCTGCTATGAATATTTATGTACAAGATTTTGTGTGGACATGTATTTTCAGTTCTCTTAGGTATATACTTAGGAGTGGAACTACAGGATCATACAGCAAATCTGTTTTTAACCTTTTTTTTAATTTAATTTAATTTAATTTTTTTTTTTTTTTTTGAGACGGAGTCTTACTCCATCACCCAGGCTGGAGTGCAGTGGCGCGATCATGGCTCACTTCAACCTCTGCCTCCTGGAGTCAAACAATTCTCATGCCTCAGCCTCCCGAGTAGCTGGGATTACAGGCATGCACAACCATGCCCAGCTAATTTTTTGTATTTTTAGTAGAGATGGGGTTTTACCATGCTGGTCAGGCTGCTAACCTCAAGTGATCTGCCTGCCTTTCCCTCCTAAAGTGCTGGGATCACAGGTGTGAGCCATGGCGCCCAGCCCATGTTTAACTTTTTGACAAAATCCCAAACTGTTTGTCAAAGCAGCTGTGCCATTTTACATTCCCACCATCAAAGTCTGAGCCTCCAATTTCTCCATTAACTCACTGACGCTTCTTATTATCTGTCATTTTTATTATTCCCATCCTAGCAGGTGTGAAGTGTTAACTCATTGTGGTTCTCATTTTCATTTCTCTGATGACTAACAGATGTTGAGAATCCTTGTATGTGTGTATTGACCATTTGTATGTCATCTTTAGAGAAATGTCTGTTCTAATCCTTTGCCTGAATTCAAATTGGGTTCTGTGCCTTTTCATTTTTATTTTTTTCCTGAGTTGTAAGCGTTCTTTATATGCTTTGGATACAAATCCCTTATCATATACATGACTTGCAAATCTCTTCTCCCCATCTGTGGGGTTGCCTTTTCACTGATGGTATCCTTTGTAACACAGAAGTTTTTAATTTTGATGAAGTCAAATTTATCTATTCTTCCTTTTGTTGTTTTTGGTTATGTCTAATAAACTACAGCCTAATCCACTATCACAAAGATGTACTCTTCTGTTTTCTACTAAGAGTTGTATAGTTTTAGCTCTTACATTTAGATTTTTATCTATTTTTGGTTAATTTTTGTATATAAGATAGGGATCTAACTATATTCTTTTACATGTAGGTAACACTTGTCCAGCACTATTAAAAAAAAACTATTATTTTTGTTTGTTTGTTTGTTTCTTTCTGAGATGGAGTCTCGCTCTGTCGCCCAGGCTGGAGTGCAGTGGCACAATCTCGGCTCATTGCAAGCTCCGCCTCCCGGGTTAACGCCATTCCCCTGCCTCAGCCTCCCGAGTAGTTGGGACTACAGGCGCCCACCACCGCGCCCGGCTAATTTTTTGTACTTTTTTTTTTAGTAGAGAGAGGGTTTCACCGTGTTAGCCAGGATGGTCTCGACTTCCTGACCTCGTGATCCGCCCACCTCGGCCTCCCAAAGTGCTGGGATTACAGGCGTGAGCCACTGCGCCAGGACAAAAAAAAACTATTATTTTACCCTTGAGTTGTCTTAGTACCCTCATGAGGAGAAAGCGTTTTGGTTGAGTTTGTCTCCCACAAAAATGTAGAAGACCTTTGAAATTCCTTTAAAATCCACAGTAACAAGTTTCTGGTTTCCAGAGGATTGAAAAAAAAAGGTGTTCCCTCTCCCCACTAAGAGGCTAGGTGCTGGGTGTGGTGGCTCACATCTGTGATCCTAGTACTTTGGGAGTCTGAGGAGGGAGAACTGCTTGAAGCCAGGAGTTCAATACCAGCATGGCCAACAAAGTGAGACCCCATCTCTAAAAAGAAATTTTAAAAAATTAGCCAGGCAGGGTGGTGAACCCTGTACTCCCAGCTTCTTGGGAGGCTGAGGTGGGAGAAATGCTTGAGCCCAGGAGTTTGAGGCTACAGTGAGCTATAACTGCACCACTGCACTCCAGACTGGGCAATAGAGTGAGATGCCATCTGGAAAACTAATTAATTTATTAATTCATTAATTAAATTTAAACAAAAACTTAAAAACTAATATGTTTGGATTCTTCTTTATTGAATACCTGCAACAGATTATCATTCCATCTAGGAACTTATCACAATCACTGTTGTTCTTTGGCCACTGAAGACCATGAAAAAACTTGCCCTGCCACAGAACGTGTGTTTCAAAGCTTAGCTGAGGCTCCAGAATCACAAGAAATGCCTTTATTACTGAATCACTGGATAAGATTTGGAAAAAGTGGTGCTGTCATTGACACACTATAAGACTGCAAATCTACTGTACGATCGAATGTTCAAATAAGGATGAGACACTGAAAGATTGGTGAGGCCATTCTACCTTAACCAACACTTCAATTGAGAGAGAGTCAGGTAAGGTGCCAGGTAACTTCTTTCCAGAAAGCCCATTGAAGAAAGTGAATCAAAAAGGTCAATCTGAGGATGATAAATCATTCTACTTCCTTATAGATCCGAATGCCATGATTCATAACCAATTCTTCTTTTATGTCATGTTAAACTCTCTCTCAACAACTTTACCTCTAATTCTTTGTTGAGAAAGAGCAACTCGTTTCTGGTGAACCACTTTGGAGTAGACTACTTCTAAAATAGCCCCCAGTGATCCTTGCCTTCTGGTAGGTATGTTCTTGTGTAACCCCTCACCATGGGTGGCCTAGACCTAATGACTTCCTTCTAAGTAACAAAAGTGATGGGCTATTACTTCTGAAAGTAGGTTATAAAAGGCTGTGACTTCTATCCTGCTGGCACTCTCTTGCTCTTTCTCACTTTCTCACTTTGATAAAGTCAGCTACTCTATTGTGAGCTGCCCTCTGGAGAGGCTAAGTACTAAGAAACTGTAGCTCTTAGTCCAATAGCCCAGCAGGAACTGAATTCTGCAAACAGCATTGTGAGTAAGCTTGAAAGCAGATCTTGCCCCAGTTACGCCTTGAGATGACCGCAGCCTTGGCTGATACCTTGATTGCAGCCTTGTATGAATCCCTGGGCTGGAGGATCCAGTCAAGCCATTCCCAGATTCCTGATCTACACAAACTGTGTGAAAATACATATTCTTGTAATCCACTAACTTCAGGGATGATTTATTACATAGCAATAGATAACAATACATGATATTACTTGATCCACTGTTTTCTATTCTGTGCCCCAGTTCCTCAGCAAACTGCAAGTGATATCAAATAAACGCTTCCTAAATCCTGGGTTTTCAAATCCTTTCTTGAAACTGTATCTTTCCAACCTCTCATCAATGTTCAATTACTGGACCATTCTAACCCTACTCGCTCCTACTCAGTGTCAATGAAAAGTCTCATTTTCACTGCATCATCTGGATGTTCATTGTCTCACCACTAAATTGCACCTTTCTTCTCACAAACTCCTTCAATTTCCTAGTGTTAACCAAAACCAGGTTTCTTCAAAACCATATCAAAGCCTTCTTCAACGGAGAACATTCCTGCTGTCATCCGCTGCCCAACCCAGCATCCTGCTCTGTGTTTTTGCCATTTACTAATCATGGGAACTCGAGTCATTATTAAAGCCCTCAAAACCTCAATATCTTCATTTCTTAAATGGGGATAAGATCTAACTCACTGAATTGTTGGAAAATTAGTAAAATGGTGTAGGCAAAAGTGCCTGACATTGCTCATCTCTCAGCACATACCCGATTGATAATTGGTTTTTTTCTTTCCTGATATCCATTTCTCATTCATTTATGTAATAGTTTCTTACAGACTGTATTATGGACCTGTTTTTTTAGGCAGGTCCTGGTGATACAGAGATGAAGATACTCACCATCTTGAAGATACTCATCATCTGCCAGGGGATACAGCACTTTTATTGAAGTTATTGGTTGGTCCATGATGGACGCTCATATTCTGGGAAAACAAAAACAGGGTACTTCATTATCCCAACAACTCTTTAGTAATTCATGCCACTTACTTATGTCTGCCTCTTTTTTTCATCTTTATTATAATCTACAGAATTCCACAACATTTTTCATCTCTCACTCTCCAACTTTTGGCTTGGAGTCTTTATTTCCACTCTCATCTGGCCATTACTCCCTAATACAATCAGCTACCATGTTAAAATTATTTTAACATAATGATTCTCACAATTCCCAAACAAATCTTATTATTAGATCCCAAAGATCTAATTAATTCATTAATTATTATTAGATCCCAAAGATCTAATAATAATCCTACCTTTAGTATTGATTAATATGGCTATCTTCACTCTTCTCCCTTAGACCTCATCATCTTTATTCAAATCTACCTCTTCTTGCACTTGCTGTGTCTTCTAGAACATTTTTTCCTTCCCTATTTCTTGACTAATTCCTAATCATTCTGTCAGTCCTTGCCCTCCACTATATGACCCCAGCTAATCACCAAATCAATCATTGTTTCCCTACAGACACCTGATGCTTCAGGTCATTGTACCATTCCTGGTTCCCAGAGACAATGCATACCATCCTCCTTCTAAAATTACGTTCAATCATTTGCTCCATGAAGGATGCCTTCTCCCCTCAACCAATATTAATCCATCAGAATCTCAATCATCCTTCAAGGTCCATCACAGACACCCATGATGTTTTTCTTGTTTTAAATGCTTGTGCTCTTTCTTTTAACTTTCAAGGATGTTTACAACACTTTTTTTTACAGTATTTAAACTACATTCTTGAGGCTCGTGTGGTAATTTTATAGTTACATGTTTATTGTTTAAAGTATATCTCCTAATGTTTGTTGTTGTTGTTGTTGTTTTTGAGACAGAATCTCGCTCTGTTTCCCAAACTGGAGTGCAGTGGATCCATCTTGGCAAGGGTGACACCTCCCAGGCTCATGAGATTCTCATACCTCAGCCTCCTGAGTAGCTGGGATTACAGGCACACACTAATGCACCCAACTAATTTTTGCATTTTTATTTATTAAGTTTTTTTCTTTTTTTGAGACGGAGTCTCACTTTGTCACCCAGGCTGAAGTGCAGTGGCATGATCTCGGCTCACTGCAAGCTCCACCTCCCAGGTTCACACCATTCTCCTGCCTCAGCCTCCCAAATAGCTGGGGCTATAGGCACCTGCCACCACACCCGGCTAATTTTTTGTATTTTTAGTAGAGATGGGGTTTTACCATGTTGGCCAGGCTGATCTCGAACTCCTGACCCCAAGTGATCCACCTGCCTCAGCTTCCCCAAGTGTTGGAATTACAGATGTGAGCCACTGCACCCGACTGAAAGTACATACCCTAATGTTTGAAAGCCAAAATGATGTCTGTGGCAGCATGAGAATGTTCCTCACAGATCTTCCAAGACAGGAGGATAATAGAACAAGCTCTGGAATCCAGCATCAGGTTTGTGCCAAGGGTATACCTCCCATAGGCTGCTCCTGGCCAATGACTGATTGTATCAAGGCTAACCCATTCTTAGGACACAAAGGCTCTCCTCTGATGGCCAGCTTTGATTTAGGACCCCCCAGGGGCACTACTGAACTTCCCTCAGAAGGAGGGGGATATCCATTCAGGGTCACACTTGCTTCTCAGGGTCACACTTGCTTCACACTGTGAAGGCTCTCCAAGTCTATCTCAGTCCCCTCCCCATTTTCCTTCATATGGCATTTTCCCAGATGTTTCCAGCTGTTTCCCCACATGTTTAATCCAGTCTTGGCATCTACTTCCCAGAAGACCTGGAATAACAAAAGTGGTGCCAGGAGTGATCCTCAGAAACAGGCAATGAGTTGAGGATTAGAACTGGCTAACCACCACCCAGCAGAGGAAGAAGACAGCACCCCAGTTGGAAGGAGGGGCATGGATAGTCGCTGGCATGAGGTAGCCCACCATTCCTCTAATAAGGACTAGCATTTCCCACTGCAGATGCCCCTCTCCCATAAAACAACACATGCCAGTGGTAAATGAAATAATAGCCCCACGCCCTCCACCACCCTGCCACACACACAAAAAGATGTCAGGTCCTAATTTCTATAATCTCTGAATATGTTACGTTACATGGCAGAAAGGACCTTGCACAAGTAATTAATTAGAATACTGCGGTATGAAGATTATCCTGGATTATTTGGGTGGGCTCAAAGCATTCTAAACACTGATGAAAACAATTGAAGACGATGCAAACAAATGAAAAGACATTCCATGCTCATGGGTTGGCATAATTGATATTGTTAAGATGACCATACTTTCCAAAACAATCTACACATTGAATGAAATTCCTATCAAAATACTAGTGTCATTATTAACAGAAATAGAAAGAAAATCCTAAAATTCATATGCAATCAAAAAAGAGCCAGAACAGCCACAGCAATCCTGCATAAAAAGAACAAAGCTGGAGGCCTTACACTGCGTGACTTCAAAATATATTACAAAACTATAGTAACCAAAAAAGCATGGTATTGTTATAAAAATAGATACTTAAACCAGTGCAACAGAACCCAGAAATAAATCCACACATTTATAGTCAACTGATCTTTTGATAAAGCCATCAAGAACAGACACTGGAAAAGGACACCCTCTTCAATAAGTGATTCTAGGAAAACTGGATAATCATATACAGAAGAATGAAACTGGACCCCTATCTCTCACCATATACAAAAATCAACTCAAGATGGACTAAAGACTTAAACATAAGACCTGAAATTATAAAACTATTAAAAGGATATTGATCTAGGCAGAGGATTAATGGCTGAGACCACAAAAGCATAGGCAACTAAAACAAAAATAGGCAAATGGAACTACATTAAACTAAACAGCTTCTATACAGCAAAGAAAATAGTCAACAGAGTGAAGAGGCAACCTCTTGGATGGGAGAAAATATTTGTAAACTACTCATTCGACAGGGAATTAATATCCAGAGTATACAAGGAACTCAAACAACTCAACAGTTTTAAAAAAATCCCATTTAAAAATGAGCAAAGGACATGAATAGACCTTTCTCAAACGAAGACATACAAATAGCCAACATGTATATGAAAAAATGTTCAACATCATTAATTATCAGAGAAATGCAAACCAAAACCACAGTGAGATAACTTACCCCAGTTAGAATGGCTGTTACCAAAAGACAAAACATAACAGATACTGATGAGATTACAGAGAAAAGGGAAAAGGGAGCTCTTATACACTGTTAGTGGAAATGTAAGTTAATACAGCCACTATGGAAAACAGTATGAAGATTCTCAAAAAAATTAAAATAGAATTGCTATATAACCCAGAAGTCTCACTGTTAGGTATTTATCCAAAGGCAAAGAAATCAATATATCAAAGTGATTACCACACTGCCATATTTGTTACAGCACTATTCACAATAGCAAAGATATGGAATCAACGTAACTGTCCATCAATGGATGAATGGGTAAAAACAAAAAAACAAAAAATCTGTGGTATATATACACAATGAAATATTATTTAGCAATAAAAAAGGATGAAATAATATCATTTTCAGCAAGACGGGTGGAACTTGAGGTTAATATGCTAAGTGAAATAAGCCAGGCACAGAAGACAAGTATTCCATATTCTAATTCCTATGTGAGAGCTAAAAAAAAAAAAAATGATCATATAGAGGTAGTGAGTGGAATAATAGATAACAGAGACCGGAAAGGGTGTATGTGTAGAAGAGGGAATGAAGAGAGTTGGTTAATGGGTACAAACACAGTTAGATAGAAGAAATACATTCAATCTTTGATAGAAAAGCAGCGTGGCTATAATTAACAACACTGTATTATACTTTTCAAAATAGCCAGAAGAGGACTTGAAATGTACCCAACACATGAAAATGCTAAATCCTTAGGTGATGAATACCCTGAATACCCTGAATTGATCATTACCCATTCTATGCATATAACAAAATTTCACATGTACCCCATAAATATGTACAAATATAATGCATCAAAAAGTATTTAAATATAAAAAAAGTTCTTGTAAGAGGAAGGCAGTAGGGTCAGTGTCAGAGAGGAAGGCACAACAATGAAAGCAGAAGTCAGAGAGAGAGAGAGAGAATGGAGATGCTATGTTGCAGGACTTGAAGGTGGAGGAAGAAGCCATAACTCAAAAAAGGCAAGTGGCTTCCAGGAGTTAGAAAATTCAAAGAAACAACTTCTCTCTGGCTAGCATCTTGATTTTAGAACTTCTGACTTTCAGAACTAAAAGACAAAATATTTGTATTATTGTATGTCACGAAGCCTGTGGTAATTTATTTATTTTTTTTAATTTTTTTTTTTTTTGAGACAGAGTCTCACACTGTTGACAAGCTGGAGTGCAGTGGCGTGATCTCGGCTCACTGCAACCTCCGCCTCCCAGATTCAAGCAATTCTCCTGCCTCAGCCTCCTGTGTAGCTGGGACTAAAGGCATGCACCACCACGCCCAGCTAATTTTTGTATTTTTAGTAGAGACAGGGTTTCAACATGTTGGCCAGGATGGTCTCAATCTCTTGACCTCGTGATCCACCTGCCAAAGTGGCCTGTGGTAATTTATTACAGCAACCACGGGAAACTAATACAGTGCCCCACTCAGGAGCTGCCACATCTTCTCTTCTGCCTTCCGGACTGCTAAATAGGGAAAAATTTCATCATAACCAGGCTAGGGATATGCTGAGTCTGATAGGAGCAGAAAGCAATTATATGCCTAAAAGACTACATCCCTAAGAACTGGCAGGAGTCAGGGAAGTTCTCCTGTGATTTGAATTTGAGGATGCTTGATCAAGGAGACAAAAACGTAAAGCTGGATAAGCAAGATTTCATTGAATTAGAAGTATTTTATTTAACACAGTTTAATGTTCTAGCAAGGTATGGAGGGAATGAGACAAACTCATTGCTACTGTGGCTCTTAGAAACCTGGAAAAAAACAATGGTCAGCTTTCAGCAATGTAGAAATGCCTGCATTTCCCTAGCAGGTGATAGAGGAAGAAATAAAGGAGCTAAGGGAATATACTTGCTAAAATGGATAAATGACATGAGTCTAGAAGGTCCAACAGATAAGCATGTTCCATGGGAAGCCCAGAGAACACAGATAGCTTTCACCAAGATCGTCAGGAATGCACTGGTGACGAGGGGACAGACTGCCATCACTAAGAAGTTCAAAGGCAGTTTCTTCGCAGACTAGGGTTGAAGGGAGGTGAGGCAGTCACAGGTCTTAGCTTAGTAGCATGCATGGGAAGGATGGGACTGTGTAGAGGACTACGTTAGCACGTTCCATAACAACACTGAGGGTCTGATCTATAGTTTCGGGAATGGGGCTTCAAAGAAGGTGAGTTCAATCTATCAATAAGAAATGTAGCTAAAAAAAAAGGTTTCTATTTCACCCATCCTTTAGTAATACACCACTGTGTTCACTTCAGTAAAGTTTTCATAACACATCTAAAGCCTCTGTGAGGCTCAGAAATATTTGTGAAACAAAATTCTGGAACCGCAAATAAAATGTTAAATGGTTGCTTTAAATAGAAAATAACATATCTGGAAAATTTTCCTGTAACTGTGTGCTTTAATCAGCCTTTCCTTTTCTAAGCATTATATGTTTAAGTAATAAGCAATAGAAATATACTTTAACTAGGCTGGGATCAGTGGCTCACACCTGTAATCCCAGCACTTTGGGAAGCCAAGGCGGGTGGATCACCTGAGGTCAGGAGTTCAAGACCAGCCTGGCAAACATGGTGAAACCCCATCTCTACTAAAAATACCAGAAATTACCCAGGCATAGTGGCAGTTGCCTGTAATCCCAGGTACTCAGGAGGCTGAGACAGGAGAATCACTTGAACCCAGGAAGCAGAGGTTGCAGTGAGCCCAGATGGCACCGTTGCACTCCAGCCTAAGCAACAAGAGTGAAACTCCATCTCAAAAAAAAAAGAAGACGAAATATACTTTAATCTTTGGCAGTCAAATATTATGTCCTGTAGCCAGATCATAATCAATATATACAAATGTCTTGGAAGTTATATAGTGTGTAATCATAATATGTTGGTTTGACATCTCATATCTCATCAAAGAGGATGCCTACCTGCAATGCTCTCTTCAGTACCAGAAGCTGAAAGGTCAGATACTTCATCTTGTCCAGAGGCCTCATGGTTTAATGGGGAAAAAAAAGGGGGGGTGGGGTTTGGAGTCCTACAAAAAAAGATATGAATGTCAACTCTGCCACTTCCTAGTTTTGTCAACCTGGACATGTTTATTAACTTCTCTCACCTCTGTTTAATCATCTATAAATAGGAAATAGACACAGGCTTCTTGCAAACAATATATGAGATAATATCAACTGATACCTGGTCAACAAATGCTAATTCTGTTCCAAACCCCACCCTCTCTCCTTCAGTTTTCTTTCTTAAGCATCTCTGTGCCCCATGGTATTTAGCCTTATAATGATAGATTGTGAGGAAATGGACTAGAATAGATACATAGCCCCATCTTTGAAAGCCACTTCCATTCACAATGGTCAGAAAATATTGAATTTAAAGAAAAGAGGGGGCAGCCAAGAAGGCTAAATAGGAACAGCTCCAGTCTACAGCTCCCAGTGTGAGCGACGCAGAAGATGGGTGATTTCTGCATTTCCATCTGAGGTACCAGGTTCATCTCACTAGGGAGTGCCAGACAGTGGGCGCAGGACAGTGGTTGCAGTGCACCATGCATGAGCCAAAGCAGGGTGAAGCATTGACTCACTCAGGAAGTGCAAGGGTTCAGGGAGTTCCCTTTCCTAGTCAAAGAAAGGGGTGACAGATGGCACCTGGAAAATTGGGTCACTCCTATCCTAATACTGTGCTTTTCTGACGGGCTTAAAAAACCACGGACCAGGAGATTATATCCCGCACCTGGCTTGGAGGGTTCTACGCCCTCGGAGTCTCGCTGATTGCTAGCACAGCAGTCTGAGATCAAACTGCAAGGCAGCAGCGAGGCTGGGGGACGGGTGCGCCATTGCCCAGGCTTGCTTAGGTAAACAAAGCAGCCGAGAAGCTCGAACTGGGTGGAGCTCGCCACAGCTCAAGGAGGCCTGCCTGCCTCTGTAGGCTCCACCTCTGGGGGCAGGGCACAGACAAACAAAAAGACAGCAGTAACCTCTGCAGACTTAAATGTCCCTGTCTGACAGCTTTGAAGAGAGCAGTGGTTCTCCCAGCACATAGCTGGAGATCTGAGAACGGGCAGACTGCCTCCTCAAGTGGGTCCCTGACCCCTGACCCCCGAGCAGCCTAACTGGCAGGCACCCCCCAGTAGGGGCAGACTGACACCTCACACGGCCGGGTACTCTTCTGAGACAAAACGTCCAGAGGAACGATCAGACAGCAGCATTCGCGGTTCACGAAAATCTGCTGTTCTGCAGCCACCGCTGCTGATACCCAGGCAAACAGGGTCTGGAGTGGACCTCTAGCAAACTCCAACAGACCTGCAGCTGAGGGTCCTGTCTGTTAGAAGGAAAACTAACAAACAGAAAGGACATCCACACCAAAAACCCATCCGTACATCACCATCATCAAAGACCAAAAGTAGATAAAACCACAAAGATGGGGAAAAAACAGAGCAGAAAAACTGGAAACTCTAAAAAGCAGAGTGCCTCTCCTCCTCCAAAGGAACGCAGTTCCTCACCAGCAACGCAGCAAAGCTGGATGGAGAATGACTTTGACGAGCTGAGAGAAGAAGGCTTCAGATGCTCAAACTACTCTGAGCTACAGGAGGAAATTCAAACCAAAGGCAAAGAAGTTAAAAACTGAAAAAAAAATTTAGACGAATGTATAACTAGAATAATCAATACAGAGAAGTGCTTAAAGGAGCTGATGGAGCTGAAAGCCAAGGCTCGAGAACTAAGTGAAGAATGCAGAAGCCTCAGGAGCTGATGTGATCAACTGGAAGAAAGGGTATCAGTGATGGAAGTTGAAATGAATAAAATGAAGCGAGAAGGGAAGTTTAGAGAAAAAAGAATAAAAAGAAACGAACAAAGCCTTCAAGAAATATGGGACTATGTGAAAAGACCAAATCTACATCTGATTGGTGTACGTGAAAGTGACAGGGAGAATGGAACCAAGTTGGAAAACACTCTGCAGGATATTATCCAGGAGAACTTCCCCAATCTAGCAAGGCAGGCCAACAATCAGATTCAGGAAATACAGAGAACGCCACAAAGATACTCCTCGAGAAGAGCAACTCCAAGACACATAATTGTCAGATTCACCAAAGTTGAAATGAAGGAAAAAATGTTAAGGGCAGCCAGAGAGAAAGGTCGGGTTACCCACAAAGGGAAGCCCATCAGACTAACAGCGGATCTCTCGGCAGAAACTCTACAAGCCAGAAGAGAGTGAGGGCCAATATTCAACATTCTTAAAGAAAAGAATTTTCAACCCAGAATTTCATATCCAGCCAAACTAAGCTTCATAAGTGAAGGAGAAATAAAATACTTTACAGACAAGCAAATGCTGAGAGATTTTGTCACCACAAGGCCTGCCCTAAAAGAGCTCCTGAAGGAAGCACTAAACATGGAAAGGAACAACCGGTACCAGCCGCTGCAAAATCATGCCAAAATGTAAAGACCATCGAGACTAGGAAGAAACTGCATCAACTAACGAGCAAAATAACCAGCTAACATCATAATGACAGGATCAAATTCACACATAACAATATTAACTTTAAATGTAAATGGACTAAATGCTCCAATTAAAAGACACAGACTGGCAAATTGGATAAAGAGTCAAGACCCATCAGTGTGCTGTATTCAGGAAACCCATCTCACATGCAGAGACCCACATAGGCTCAAAATAAAAGGATGGAGGAAGATCTACCAAGCAAATGGAAAACAAAAAAAGGCAGGGGTTGCAATCCTAGTCTCTGATAAAACAGACTTTAAACCAACAAAGATCAAAAGAGACAAAGAAGGCCATTACATAATGGTAAAGGGATCAATTCAACAAGAAGAGCTAACTATCCTAAATATATATGCACCCAATACAGGAGCACCCAGATTCATAAAGCAAGTCCTGAGTGACCTACAAAGAGACTTAGACTCCCACACATTAATAGTGGGAGACTTTAACACCCCACTGTCAACATTAGACAGATCAACGAGACAGAAAGTTAACAAGGATACCCAGGAATTGAACTCAGCTCTGCACCAAGCGGACCTAATAGACATCTACAGAACTCTCCAGCCCAAATCAACAGAATATACATTTTTTTCAGCACCACACCACACCTATTCCAAAATTGACCACATACTTGGAAGTAAAGCTCTCCTCAGCAAATGTAAAAGAACAGAAATTATAACAAACTGTCTCTCAGACCACAGTGCAATCAAACTAGAACTCAGGATTAAGAAACTCACTCAAAACCGCTCAACTACATGGAAACTGAACAACCTGCTCCTGAATGACTACTGGGTACATAACGAAATGAAGGCAGAAATAAAGATGTTCTTTGAAACCAATGAGAACAAAGACACAACGTACCAGAATCTCTGGGACGCATTCAAAGCAGTGTGTAGAGGGAAATTCATAGCACTAAATGCCCACAAGAGAAAGCAGGAAAGATCCAAAACTGACACCCTAACATCACAATTAAAAGAACTAGAAAAGCAAGAGCAAACACATTCAAAAGCTAGCAGAAGGCAAGAAATAACTAAAATCAGAGCAGAACTGAAGGAAACAGACACACAAAAAACCCTTCAAAACATTAATGAATGCAGGAGCTGGTTTTTTGAAAGGATCAACAAAATTGATAGACTGCTAGCAAGATTAATAAAGAAAAAAGAGAGAAGAATCAAATAGATGCAATAAAAAATGATAAAGGGGATATCACCACTGATCCCACAGAAATACAAACTGCCATCAGAGAATACTACAAACAACTCTACGCAAATAAACTAGAAAATCTAGAAGAAATGGATAAATTCCTCGACACATACACTCTCCCAAGACTAAACCAGGAAGAAGTTGAATCTCTGAATAGACCAATAACAGGATCTGAAATTTTGGCAATAATCAATAGCTTACCAACCAAAAAGAGTCCAGGACCAGATGGATTCACAGCCAAATTCTACCAGAGGTACAAGGAGGAACTGGTACCATTCCTTCTGAAACTATTCCAATCAATAGAAAAAGAGGAAATCCTCCCTAACTCATTTTATGAGGCCAGCATGCATCATCCTGATACCAAAGCTGGGCAGAGACACAACCAAAAAAGAGAATTTTAGACCAATATCCTTGATGAACATTGATGCAAAAATCCTCAATAAAATACTGGCGAACCAAATCCAGCAGCACATCAAAAAGCTTATCCACCATGATCAAGTGGGCTTCATCCCTGGGATGCAAGGCTGGTTCAACATACTCAAATCAATAAATGTAATCCAGCATATAAACAGAACCAAAGACAAAAACCACATGATTATCTCAATAGATGCAGAAAAGGCCTTTGACAAAATTCAACAACCCTTCATGCTAAAAAACTCTCAATAAATTAGGTATTGATGGGACATATCTCAAAATAATAAGAGCTGTCTATGACAAACCCACAGCCAATATCATACTGAATGGGCAAAAACTGGAAGCATTCCCTTTGAAAACTGGCACAAGACAGGGATGCCCTCTCTCACCACTCCTATTCAACATGGTGTTGGAAGTTCTGGCCAGGGCAATTAGGCAGGAGAAGGAAATAAAGGGTATTCAATTAGGAAAAGAGGAAGTCAAATTGTCCCTGTTTGCAGATGACGTGATTGTATATCTAGAAAACCCAACTGTGTCAGCCCAAAATCTCCTTAAGCTGATAAGCAACTTCAGCAAAGTCTCAGGATACAAAATCATTGTACAAAAATCACAAGCATTCTTATACACCAATAACAGACAAACAGAGAGCCAAATCATCAGTGAACTCCCATTCACAATTGCTTCAAAGAGAATACCTAGGAATCCAATTTACAAGGGACATGAAGGACCTCTTCAAGGAGAACTACAAACCACTGCTCAATGAAATAAAAGAGGATACAAACAAATGGAAGAACATTCCATGCTCATGGGTAGGAAGAATCAATATCATGAAAATGGCCATACTGCCCAAGGTAATTTATAGATTCAATGCCATCCCCATCAAGCTACCAATGACTTTCTTCACAGAATTGGAAAAAACTACTTTAAAGTTCATATGGAACCAAAAAAGAGCTCGCATCGCCAAGTCAATCCTAAGCCAAAAGAACAAAGCTGGAGGCATCATGCTACCTGACTTCAAACTATACTACAAGGCTACAGTAACCAAAACAGCATGGTACTGGTACCAAAACAGAGATATAGATCAATGGAACAGAACAGAGCCCTCAGAAATAACGCCGCATATCTACAACTATCTGATCTTTGACAAACCTGAGAAAAACAAGCAATGGGGAAAGGATTCCCTATTTAATAAATGGTGCTGGGAAAACTGGCTAGCCATATGTAGAAAGCTGAAACTGGATCCCTTCCTTACACCTTATACAAAAATTAATTCAAGATGGATTAAAGACTTAAACGTTAGACCTAAAACCATAAAAACCCTAGAAGAAAACCTAGGCATTACCATTCAGGACATAGGCATTGGCAAAGACTTCATGTCTAAAACACCAAAAGCAATGGCAACAAAAGACAAAATTGACAAATGGGATCTAATTAAACTAAAGAGCTTCTGCACAGCAAAAGAAACTACCATCAGAGTGAACAGGCAACCTACAGAATGGGAGAAAATTTTCACAACCTACTCATCTGACAAAGGGCTAATATCCAGAATCTACAATGAACTCAAACAAATTTACAAGAAAAAAACAAACAACCCCATCAAAAAGTGGGCAAAGGACATGAACAGTCACTTCTCAAAAGAAGACATTTATGCAGCCAAAAGACACATGAAAAAATGCCCATCATCACTGGCCATCAGAGAAATGCAAATCAAAACCACAATGAGATACCATCTCACACCAGTTAGAATGGCAATCATTAAAAAGTCAGGAAACAACAGGTGCTGGAGAGGATGTGGAGAAACAGGAACACTTTTACACTGTTGGTGGGACTGTAAACTAGTTCAACCATTGTGGAAGTCAGTGTGGCGATTCCTCAGGGATCTAGAACTAGAAATACCATTTGACCCAGCCATCCCATTACTGGGTATATACCCAAAGGACTATAAATCATGCTGCTATAAAGACACATGCACACATATGTTTATTGTGGCACTATTCACAATAGCAAACACTTGGAACCAACCCAAATGTCCAACAATGATAGACTGGATTAAGAAAATGTGGCACATATACACCATGGAATACTATGCAGCCATAAAAAATGATGAGTTCATGTCCTTTGTAGGGACATGGATGAAATTGGAAATCATCATTCTCAGTAAACTATCGCAAGGACAAAAAACCAAACACTGCATGTTCTCACTCCTAGGTGGGAATTGAACAATGAGAACACATGGACACAGGAAGGGGAACATCACACTCTGGGGACTGTTGTGGGGTGGGGGGAGGGGGGAGGGATAGCATTAGGAGATATACCTAATGCTAAATGATGAGTTAATGGGTGCAGCGCACCAGCATGGCACATGTATACATATGTAACTAACCTGCACATTGTGTACATGTACCCTAAAACTTAAAGTATAATAATAATAAAATTAAAAAAATGATTATAAAAAAAAAGGAAAAAAAAACTGACCTCTTTTACCTAAAGGTTTTTTATTTTTCCCCCACAAGGTCATACATACTGTTTTTTTTTCTTTTTTAAATTTTAATGTAGTAAGGAACACTTAACACTTACCACATCTACCCTCCCACCAGATTCTTAAGTGTTCAATATAGTAATTGCTGTGCACATACAGAATGTTGCATAGCAGATCTCTGGGGCTTATGCATCCTGCATAACTGATTTTTTGCCCTTTGATTAGCAACTCCCCATTTTCCCCTCCCCTCAGCCCCTGGCAACCACGATTCTCTTCTTTGCTTTCTTGACTTTGGCTGGCAGAGACAAATTCTTAGTAATCACCTATAAAACTGCTAAATTTAGATTTCTGAAGGTTTTAAACTACTGAGAGGGCAGTTGGCAAGGCTTTATTCCTGATTCTCGACTGCACTTATATATATCTAACTACTAGCACCTGCCTTGGCCTTCCTCCTTTCAATCTTGTATTAGTCTGTTCTCACGCTCCTATCAAGAAATACCTAGGCTGGGCATGGTGGCTCACACCTGTAATCCCAGCGGTTTGGGAGGCTGAAGCAGGTAGATCGCCTGAGCTCAGAAGTTTGAGACCAGGGTGAAACCCTGTCTCTACAAAAAATACAGAAATTAGTCACGCGTGGTGGTACACACCTGTGATTCCAGCTACTCTAGAGGCTGAGGTGGGAGGTTGGCTTGAGCCTGGGAGGTGAAGGTTGCAAAGAGCCAAGATCACACCACTGTACTCCAGCCTGGGTGACAGAGCCAGACTCTGTCTCAAAAACAAACAAAAAAAAAGAAATAAGAAAGAAAGAAAGGCCTGAGACTGAGTAATTTATAAAGAAAAGAGGTTTCATTGGCTCACAATTCTGCAGGCTGTACAGGAAGAATGACAGCATCTGCTTGGTTTCTAGGGAGGCCTCAGGAAACTTACAATCATGGTGGAAGGCAAAGGGGAAGCCAGCACTTCATATGTCCAGAGCAGGAGCAAGAGAGAGAGGGACGGGGGAGGTGCCACATACTTTTAAACAACCAGATCTTGTGAGAACTTACGACACAGTACCAAGAGGGGATGATACTAAAGCATTCATGAGAATTCCACCTCCATGATCCAGTCACCTCCCACCAGGCCCCACTTCCAATATTGGGGATTACAATTTAACAGGAGATTTGGGCAGGGACACAAATCCAAACCATATCAAATCTGTGATGTTGCTTTCTTACCACCTATATCACTACCTACTCACAGCTATAAATAATAGAGAAAATAATGCATTTACAATAGCATATCTCATAGTTTCTATCTGCCTGCCAATGTAATGACAAGCAACCTCAGCAGAAACTCAAAGATAGCAGAATGCAATTCTAATCAGAAAAATGCCCCTAACAGTTCAGTGGCTCACTCCAATCTGTAGCAAGCTCACTCACATAACACTCCACCCAGAGATCTCTGCAGCTGATATGGTTTGGCTCTGTGTCCCCGCCCAAATCTCACTTTGAATTGTAATAATCCTCATGTGTCAAGGGTGGGACCAGGTGGAGGGAATCGGATCATGGTGGCAGTTTCTCCCATGCTGTTCTCGTGATAATGAGTGAGTCTCAAGAGATCCGATGGTTTTATAAGCATCTGGCATTTCCCCTGCTTGCATTCATTCTCTCTGCTGCCACCCTGTGAAGAGATGCCTTCCACCATGATTGTAAGATTCCTGAGGCCTCCGCAGCCATGCAGAACTGAGTCAATTAAACCTCTTTTCTTTATAAATTACCCAGTCTTGGGTATTTCTTCATAGCAGTGTGAGAACAGACTAATACAGCAGCTGTTATCCATCAGCAACATCAGCCTTACTTAGATGGTTAAAAATAAAATGTTGTATTTGGGGTGGGGGTCAGGGTGAATGGGGAAGGCAGTGGCTAGCCCAAGGCATTTTCTTGCTCAAGGAATGATTTTTGAAGATTTACAATTGTTTCTGTTCCTCTTCACTGGTATTTTCACCAGATGGATTTTTTGCTAAATGCCGCAGAGAAAATCATTAGCCAGCTTATATCCCTTGAGTAATGGTATTTAATGGTTTTATGCAGAAAAGTTACATTAATATAAATCAGTGGTCCTCGACAGGTGGCAATCCTTCCCTATCCCAACATTTAGCAAATTCTGGAGACATTTTAGGGGCAGGAAATTCTAGCGGCATCTAGTGGCAAGGGCCAGGGATGCTACTAAATACCCTACAATGCACAAGACAGTCCCCCACAACAAGGAATAATCTGACCAGAGGTAAATCATGCCAAGGGAAGGAAACCCCAGTCACTCCATAATTTAGCTATGAATGCATGTATGCCAAAAGGGGAAGGAGCTATAATGCAATATCAAAAAAAATCACAATGTAGCAAAAAAATTAAGCTAACACGATCTTTGTCATAGAAGAAAACTTGTGACATTGGAATAGGGAGCAAAAAGCCTTTGAAACACAGTAAGGGAACTTGCATTTATAACAGGTCACAAAATTAATTCAAAAGATAACAGTGCCCTGAGCTTGCCAAGTATGCCATCGTGACTGTAGCCTCATGGATTCATAGGCACGCCTGTAAGAATACAGAAATAGGTTTATTTAATCCTGACTTTCTTTTGAGCACTGGCAACAGATGAGTTCTCTGCGCCAAATCCTGCCCATAGAAAGCTAATGGGTGTTGCACGCAGTTATCCAAGAACACAAATTGGCTTTGTGGTTTCTTGTGGCATTTGGCTAGCTGAATCAGAGGAAACAACTAGAAGCTGAGGCAGATGGTTCACAGGCAATATGCTATAATGTCTTCTTACAAATATGTAGTTATGTATTAATAGGTAACCTCTTGGGAAACATGGACAAATATATCATTTTTTGCAATTCTCAGTTTCTAATACAGCTCTGTATGTTGTTGGTGCTCAATACCACTGGTTTCATATTTGTTAACTATCTCATACTCTATTCAAACTCATATCCTCATATCTTTGGAATGTGGAAGCAGACACAAACAAGCAGCTTAGCAAGGAGCACTGACTAAATACCAAGTACTGCATCAAGGGCCAGAAACCCAGTGATAAATAAGATGAGTATGTTGTCCACCATTTCTGAGCCTATTACTCCTCTGAGTTTATTGTGGCCCTTTCTATCTAAGTGAGGCTGAAGGCCACTCCTGTAACAGAAGTAAAAGTTGAAATTCTCAACTCCATGCTTCTTCCGTGAAGCCCTCCATCAGTAACATGCTAACAGGTTGGAAAAAGAGTTGACAAATATGTACACTGGTCAGGTAGAAGAGGAGACATGGTAAAAGAGGAGTAAAGGAGAATGGTATTCTTTCTCAGGTAAAGAAACTATCTTCAACAAACTCCTTTGACAGTAGGCAAGAGGGTGTATAACATGGTATTGAGTGGAGGCAGAAATATTAACCTAAACCAGAGCTACTGGTGCTGAAACAAAGATTCTAGCAATTCTGAGACCAATGGAAAAAAAAAAATTTTATAACCCGTCTGCCAGCCTGTAAGCCTGTTTCCACTTCAGAATTAATTAGTATCAACATTTTACCAGCCAATATGTCTCAAAAAAAAAAAAAATCAACAGTGTGCTCTGCTTTTTTTCTTGTGCAATAAACCCCTAGGGATTACAGATATATTTATACCACATCTTTCAGGACAGTTGGAAATATTAACCAAAAGTACGTACCTAATGATTGTTTTCATTGTAATGCATTTGTATTATTTTCAATGAATGAAATTTATTAAATGACTATATAAATGTGATATGTCTATATATAAAACAAGTTCCATAAGCATACATAAAGCAGAAAATTTTGTCAGACTATTATATTCTGACTTAGGCATGGTCATCTTCCACTTGTAAGATTCGTATCTCCCATACATAAGCTAAATGACTCTGTAGAAGATTATCTGGTCAGAAGATGTGACTAGAAATTCATAAATGTTCTATTTCTATTAAACCTGCCTCACTGACACAGCCCACTTTTGTTCTCTCCTATTCTGCAAGACTTCGAAGGCTGGTTTAACATTCCTGTGTTCTCAGCTATATAATTCTGGTCTTTCCACCAAAGCAGTTTTATTTCCTGACAGTCACTACAGCTTATGAAAGCCAGTGCTATTGGGAAAATATTCCAAATGCACAGGTTATGTGGTTGTGGAAAATAGGCATTAATGGAAAAGGGACTGAAACCAAGTTCTCTTCCGATTGCTATTTTGGAACTTCTGGTTTTTCTGTGGAGCTCCAAGTCAGTGGTGATTGCAAAACCAAAGAGACCAAACAGAATATTCAAAAAGCAAATGACCAGGAGGAGTTTATTTAGAAAATAGATAAATACAAATTGTGCTTTATGGGTTTTCATGTTTATGTCAGAAGGAATGGGTAATGTTGGACAGTCTGAAAGTGATGCTGTGGAATTTCTGTATTTCTCTTTTGTTTCAAATCATTCTCCCTGTATCTGATACTAAACTCTTCAGAAAGGTTTCACAGCTGTGTCCTTTGGGCACAGGGCATGTTCTGACATGCAGAGGATTATCTTGTGCAGCCTGTGGCCGCCAGCGCCACCTAGCTTCTGTATACATTTCCTCAACTCAACAGTTTTCCAAATTGTTCAATTAAATGAGCCAGTCTTCCATGAGAGCTCAGTATCGGTCTCACAGATTTTGAATGATGAAATTGAGGACGCGAGTTGGAACAGCCAAACTGCTCTGAATGGTTGTCAGGTAGAAAGACATGTTCTCTAAGTCTGTGGAACTTTAGGTAGGATTGACAACAATTCTCAATGCATTCATCACCTGCCTGTCTTTTATTTGACAAACCTTTGTGTGCCAAGCAGTTAGATAACGTGCACAGAGACCCAGCTTCTGAATTTTAACCACTATGTTTCAAATTAGGGAGGATTTCTAAGAAGAGAGTCTTTGCTAGGCTCACACTCAGGGACTGCTTCCCAATGAAGGAGATCAGAATATGTCACCCCAAAATATGCCGGCATAAGAATTATTTTGAGCTGGGGGCAATTGAGAAAAAGCAGACACAGAAGAGCTCTGCCGTCCCCCTCTGCTTAAAGCAGGGCATAAACTTCCCCTCGTGAAGGTGTTAAAAGAAAAACTTTAGACAAATTAGATTTAACAATTTAATTAAGCTCATGAATCAAGCAGCTCCCAGAAGCAAAATAGGTTCCCAGCGACTCTTGGGCTGCCACATGGTCAGATAACATTAATCGACAGGAAATGGAAAGTGAGGTTCAAAAAATAGAAGTGAGGTACAGAAACAGCTGGATTGGTTACAGCTCAGCATCTGCCTTATTTAAACGCAGTTTAGACAGTTGGCTGCCTGTGATTGGCTGAAACTCAGCTGCTGTGATTGGCTAAAACTTGGCTACTTGTTTCAAGAATAGGTTACAGTCTATATTTCCACAGCCCCTTGAGTTACAGTTCACTGTATATGGCGAAACCTTAGCTTTAGGCTAAACAAAGGTGTCCCCCACCCTCCCCTATTAGAAAGAGGAGAACAACCCTTATCAGGAGATGGAGATAGCACCAAGATGTGCTGTGTAAGCAAACTTTAGTAAATAACTCTTGTTTATTATTGCTTTTCCTCATAAATTTACCTTCCCACCATTCACCACCCCTGGAAGCCCAAACCCTCTTTCCTCTGTCATAGTCGCTTCTCCCCAGGTTATCATCCTTTGCTAAAATGTTATAGATGCCCTCCAGTTTACCTGCTTTTTGGGGGGTTTTCACCTCTTTTCTATGAAAACCCTGCCCACATAAGAATATTAACATCACATACAATGTGTACAATTTTCTTCCATTCATCTATCTTTGTCAGTTTAACTTGCAGGCCCACCCTCAGAATATAAGAAAGTAAAGAAAAACTTTTACCTCCCATACATTTAGAGTCAGTGAATGATTGATTACTAAACAGAAGAAAAGTTAGAAAATCTAGGGAAAATGTCATGAGGTCATTCGCTCTGTCTCAGAATGTCCTTCATTGTTCTGATGTCACCTTTGAATGGAGTTTATGATTCTTATCTCCTTAAAAGATAACAGAGATCTCATCCAAAGAATCATATGCTTCTCTCTTTGGGCTAACTTATGACTATAATGTGAGAAACAGAGGAGCACAGAATCATGGGTCAGGCTCATTCTTTGTAGATGAGACCAATTGCTTGAGGGCATGATTCGGTATACTTTAGAGGCAGTGGGTGTTTGAAATATATAAATGAAATCGACACAGATAAATAGAGCAGTTCGACAAATAGCCTGCTTGGATTGTCTAGAAGCCCTTATCGTTTTGTTTTATTTTGAAAGCCAGGACAATATGATTACCAACTATTAGTTTAATGACGAAATCTTCCAGATGGTTATGATGATTAGAATGATCAAGAAATTAGAAGCTGTTCAATCCTCATAGGAAGGCTTCAGTGGAATAGACTCCCTGCTGCCTCCTGTAGACTTGGACTTATTTAAGGAAAACCCTACAATGACTAGTTTCCAGTTGTAGAAATTGGAAGAAGAAAGAAATAGCACCTGCAAGCCTAAAAGTTCTCTTCCTTCCAATGAAAAAGGAGCTTAAACCTGTCCAAAGTCATGTATGTTACCTCGGCAAGTAAAATTTTATCATTCTGTGTACTGAGTGAGTCTTCTTCCCCTCCCAAGAGGCTTTAACTATAGAACCTTTAGGTTTTTTTTGTTTGTTTTTTAAGAAGGGGGTCTAGCAACAACCTCAAGTTCCAGGACAGTCATTCTTTACTGACAAAGGAAGCAAAGATGAAAGTCCAATTAAAAGCCCATGAAATTTCCATCATGTTTCTTTGAATTGAGTTTGGAGTCTTTGGAATTCTCAAAATAATTCACATGAAGATCTCAGATGCCAATGTATTTTCTGACTCCCTTCAAGGTAGCCATATGAGGAAAGGCAATGAGTTTTATACCAGCATTTGCTGACAGTAAAATATAATGAAAAACATTTATTTGTAATAATGTAGACCACATTCTAACTGCCATTTAATGTAACCACACTATATTTCATAAGGTTTCAATTTAGCATAGCTAATCACAGGGCCAGTTCTACTCTGATGTAGACCTTTTGCATTCTGCCTGAGAAAAATCTACTAAAGTGCTGCTTAGGAGAGAGACCCAGCCAAAGTCACATTTGGAATTAAACACGTTAGAGTTTTAAACTTTTTGAAATTTATAAATGATAAAACAGAGAATTTTTTTAAAAAAATTATTGTTAAATATAAACCATTAGCAAAGGTAAATGTTTGTTACTATATGTACTGGGTTAATTGGTGGCCCACAACAAAATATATGTCTACCCAGAACCTATAGAGGGGACCCTATTTGGGGAAAGGGTCTTTGCAGATGTAATTAAGAATCTCAAGATGAGATCATCGTAGATTAGAGTGGTCCTAAGTGCAAAGACAATGTCCTTATAAGAAGAGGAGAAAACACAGACACAGAGAACGAGGCCATTGAAGACCAAGAGAAAGACAGAAATGGTACTGCCACAAGCCAAAAATCACCTGGAGCCACCAGAAGCTGGAAGATGCAGGGAAGGACCTTCCTCCAGCACCTTTAGAGGAAGCGTGGCCCTGCCAACACCTTGATTTCAGACTTCTGGCCTCCAGAACTGTGAGAGAATAGATTTCTTTCTTTTTTTTTTTTTTTTCATTATACTTTAAGTCCTAGGGTACATGTGCAAAACGTGCAGGTTTGTTACATATGTATACATGTGTCATCTTGGTGTGCTGCACCCATTAACTCGTCATTTACATTAGGTATATCTCCTAATGCTATCCCTCCCCCCTCCCCCCACCCCATGACAGGCCCCAGTGTGTGATGTTCCCCACCTTGTGTCCTTTTAAGCCACCACATTTGTGGTCATTTGTTACAGTTGCCCTGGGAAACTAACACAGTACATTCAAATATCACAACAAAAAAATCAATTAAGAGGAATGAATGTTTAAAAACAAATCCTGGCCAGGTGCGGTGGCTCACGCCTGTAATCCCAGCATTTTGGGAGGCCGAGGCAGGTGGATCACGAGGTCAGGAGTTCAGGAGCAGCCTGGCCAACATGGTGAAACCCTGTCTCTATTAAAAATACAAAAATTAGCCGGGTGTGGTAGTGTGCACCTATAGTCTCAGCTACTTGGGAGGCTGAGGCAGGAGAATTGCTTGAACCTGGGAGGCAGAGGTTGCAGTGAGCCGAGATCGCATCACTGCACTCCAGCCTGGGAGACAGAGCAAGACTCTGTCTCAAAAAAAAAAAAAAAATCTTCTCCACCAATCAGTGGAGGAAGCCTTTCCTCACATCCATCCTCCACATCTACCAGCATGGGAAGCTGCAATGAGAAAGTTTACATCTTTTAAAGCAGTTAAAATTTAGAAGTATAAGAATCAACGAAACTATAGAAAGTACTATTGACTCACCATTTCCTAAACATGTCTTGTTCTGTTACATTTCCATAACTTTGCAAATACTGTTCTCTTAGCCCGGGATGCCTTTTTCTACCTAGGAAATCTCTGCATACCCTTCGAGATGGGGGACAAGTGCTGTCACCACTTCCACAAAGCTACGTTCTACACACACACACACACACACACACACACACTCACACACGAGGCTACCACTTTATTCTGGCTTCTACAACATTTTTTACTCACCTCTAGTACAACACACATTACAATGCTTTGTGGTTTTTGGTTTATGGAACTGTCTCCCCCACTAGACTGTGAGGTTTACACGTGCAACACTATGACCTACTTATTCTCAACCCCTCTATATATGGTCTCCAATCATTCAGTAGTCTAGCCTGAATTTCCTTACCGCATAGTGGCTAGGTTTCAAGGCCTAAGAAGCAGAAGCTGCCAGTTATCCTAAGGCCTAAATGCCAAAGTCCTAGAAAGTCATTTCTATTTTATTCTATTATGCAAAGCAAGTTATGAAGGTATTCTATATGAAGGGGTGGGGACATAATTTCCTCTTCTTAATCTGAGACACTGCAGGCATGTACAGAGATGGGAGGAATTGTTGGTGGCCATATTTAGAGACTGACCTACCTCACCTGAATTCTAATCCCAGCTCTGTCTCTTACTATGACCTTAGCCACAGATACATAATCTCTATGCCTTTACATGCTCTCCTATAAAACTAGGATAATACTATCTAGTTGAAAAGACTGTTAAAAAGACTAAAGGAGATATTATAATTTACTTAGTGTGGTTCTTTACACACAGTAACCTTCTAACAAATGATAACTATTTTTTCTCTTATAAAAAGGGGTGTGTTAGAAAACAGGAAGTTAGTAGACTGCTAAAAGGAAATGCTGAGAGAGACCTTCATGGGGAGAAAAAATGAAAGGCAGAAGGACAATAAAGACAGCCTTTATCTACTTCAATCAATTTTGACCAATTTTGTTGCTACTAGGCAACTGTAGAAGAAATACCCAAATCTGGCCGGGCGCGGTGGCTTGCGCCTGTAATCCTAGCACTTTGGGAGGCTGAGGCGGGTGAATCACGAGGTCAGGAGTTAGAGACCAGCCTAGCCAACATGGTGAAACCTGGTCTCTACTAAAACACAAAAACTTAGCCGGGTACAGCAGTGTGCGCCTGTAATCCCAGCTACTCAGGAGGCTGAGACAGGAGAATCACTTGAATCCAGGAGGCGGAGTTTGCACTGAGCTGAGATCGTGCCATTGCACTCTAGCCTGGGCAACAGTGCGAGACTCCGTCTCAAAAAAAAAAAAGAAAAAGAAAAAGAAAAGAAATACCCAAATCTGCAAAATGAAGTATTTTGAGTATTCACCAGCAAAGTATATGCATGTCTAGGAAACCTCACAGTTGAATTTCAGGGAATATATCATAGCTTTGCACGATTTTTTAAAAATCGTACTTTCCTTTAGAAATAATTTTGTTTCTGTCTTTTTGTTTGTTTGTTTGTGTGAAATAGTCTTACTTTGGAGTGCAGTGACATGATCTTGGCTCACTGCAGCCTTGACCTCCTAGGCTCAAGCGATCCTCCTGCCTCAGCCTCATGAGTAGCCAGGACTACAGGCCCATGCCACCACACCCAGCTAATGTTTTGTATTTTTAATACAGACAGGTTTTTGCTATGTTGACCAGGCTGGTCTTGAACTCCTAACTTCAAGTGATCTGCCTGCCTCGACCTCCCAAAGTGCTGTGATTACAGGAGTGAGCCACCATGCCCAGACTTGTTTCTGACTATTAAAGCAACCCATGGCCATTGAGAAAATTGTAGGTAGTATCAAAAAGTAGTAGGAAAAAAATAATAAACATCCATAATGCTATCAAAAAGGGTAGCTACAAGAAATATCTGAACGTATCTTTTTGTAGTAATTTTGTCATCAACATATTCATCCATAGCTGATTTTATGAGCATACACTGTGTAGTCAGATAGGGCCACACACTCAGAAGAATCCCATTCTTGGTTTAATCCTCTCCTATCACCGTCTTGAAATTCTTAATAATTTTTGAAAAAGAGATTTCAAATTTTTATTTTGCAAAGAGCCCTACAACTATGTAGCCAGAGTCCTGAATGCAGGTATGTCTGTTTCTTGGTACGTATCTGTGTATAAAAACATGGAAGCCAGGCACGGTGGCTCACACCTGTAATCCCAGCACTTTGGGAGGCTGAGGCGGGCGGATCACAAGGTCAGGAGATCGAGACCATCCTGGCTAACACGGTGAAACCCCGTCTCTACTAAAAATAGAAAAAAAAAATTGGCCTGGCGTGGTGGCGGGCGCCTGTAATCCCAGCTACTCCAGAGGCAGAGGCAGGAGAATGGCGTGAACCCGGGAGGCAGAGCTTGCAGTGAGCCGAGATCGTGCCACTGCACTCCAGCCTGAGCGACAGTGCAAGACTCCGTCTCAAAAAAAATATATATATATATGGAAGTAGCTATATATGTATGCATGCATTAGTATCCCAAGCATATTTAGAATTATATACTTTATTTACATATCTTTATGGTTACCTATATTTTATCTATGAGCATGTCATGTTTTAATTAACTATTCCATTCCTCTTACATTTTCAGGCTATTTACATGGAGAGATGCTTGTCCTCAAAAGTTATCATAAGATGTGCTACAATTTTAAATACAGTGTTCAGAGAAGCTTTGCTAATGAGATGACACTTAACTAAAGGAGAAAACTCTCTAGGAATCTGAAGGCAGAATGTTCTAGGTAGAGAAAACAGCAAAAGGAATGGCCCTAATCTAATAGGTGGTTAGATATATTCAAGTCAAAATACAACTGTGGAAATTGGATTGAGGCAATATCCCCTAATGTAATCCACAGATGCCATATGTCAAGAAGAGTTAATGGATCAGGGATGGAGGAGGATGGGGAAAATAATTGAATAATAAAAATGTGATTAAAGGAAGAAGGAAGCTTGCTTGGATTAACCATACGTATACTAACAACTCAGTCTTGTGGACATGAGGTCAAACAACAAAACAATGACAACCAGAGCAAAGGTATCTAGGATACTGGCAAAAAAAGTGAGTCAAGAAATGAAATGTGTGAAGCTAAGCTAAGCAAGAAGAGAAGTAAAGACCAGAGGGAACTGATAGAAATGTTCAAAGGACCAGAGGTCATGAGAGGACCAAAGAACAGGTATAATAGGAGCTCCTGTTAGGAGTTAACCAGAAGCTAAGTGATCAGAGTTAGAGAGAGGGAACTCTGGGTTTCTGAAGTGGAACAACTCGAATTGTCAACATGGCCCAAGGTACAGTCATTGAAAGTGGTATAGAGGAGGTCATTGCGTTAAAGAGGTTATCAAAATTAACAACCAGGGAAAGGAACTCAACAATTGGCAGATTTATTTTTATTGCTATTATTATAACTCATCACAGCATTCTTAAGGACTGCAAGGAAAATATAAAACTATATGTAGAACAGAATCAGAGTCTTAGCAAACAAATGTTATCTTACAAAAGTAGTAGCAACAGGTTCTGTCTCCAAAGCGAGCTTGTATTCAAATCTATGGTGTCCGAAAGAACAGAAGAGAAAACAGGATTTCAGACAGATCATGTATTAGACCATTCTCACACTGCTATAAAGAAATACCTGAGAATGGGCAATTTATAAAGGAAAGAGATTGACTCACAGATTCACACATCTGGGGAGGCCTCAGGAAACTTATGGTGGAAGGGGAAGCAGGGACATCTTACATGGCGGCAGGTAAGAGAGAGGAGTGTGTGTGAAGAAGGAACTGTCAGACACTTATAAAACCATCAGGTCTCGTGAGAACTCACTCGCTATCCCAAGAACAGCATGGGGGAACCGCCCCCATGATCCAATCATCTCCCACCAGGTCCCTCCCTTGACATGCGGGGATTCTGGGGATTACAATTTGAGATGAGATTTTGGTGAGGACACAGAGCCAAACCACATCATGCCACTAATTATGCTTTTTCATCTTTACTGATTTATATGGAAGGTGCTTCTCTGTCTTTATCTATTTGTTGCTAGTGTTTTTAATGAGGAAATTTCACAACTGATGGTGCAAGAAAAAAGAATAATTATGAGGTCATCCTGATTTGGAGGGTGGAGAGGAAGGAGAAAAGGAAGATTAAGAAGATCTTGGAAGGAAGATGGCTAAACAGCCCTCACACAACTATGAGATAGATGCACTAGTGAATCTCAATAGCTAACATAAAGAAAAAGGGACTAGCTTTCCATTCTTTCCCATTTAAAACATTTCTACTTTGTTCCATACAGAATAATCCAGTGAGATAAGTTTAAAACAACTGAGAATGTCTCTTTTCAGAATCACTCCCTGTACAACATTGCACATAACACATACTCTAACATCTAACACAATATAACATCATTTGGGATGTGCTTGACCAAGTGTCTAAAATTGTCATAATAAAGGAATTCAAAACTCCAATTTTTCTTTTTTTCTAATCATTTACATTTTCCATCACTCCCTACAAACTCCAATTTTCCTTCTTGAATTTCATCTTATTCTACCACTGAAAGTGTTTCAGAATAGAAAGCATAATTAGCAGCTTCGTTTTATTTATCCAACAGTGTTTCTTGCTCTTTACTGAGCCACTGGTTCCCATAGCCTGATTTTGGAGGAGGCAGGATAGCTGAAGGCAGGTTATTTCCCATGCATTCTCTGAATCTGTCCTACAGGCTGTTTAATACCAGTTGAAGGAAGCACATTCCGGGAAGAAAGTTCAGCATAGGATGTGGTACAGGCCTAGGGATAGCCTATACAAATGACACAAGGTCTTAGTGTGGCCGTCAAAACAAGGAAGATGGGAGGCTGGGTGTGACTCAGTGACTAACTCTCCACCTTGGGAAACCATGAGTTCTTGTGAGTAAGCCCTGCCCAAGATAATGAAAGTATAAAAATATATTTACACAATAGTCATTGAAGTTAAGTGTTTTTCATCTTGTTTTCTAGTCTCCTGGCTAAACAGGAAGTTTTTTGCAGGATGCTCCGATATCCTCTGTTCAGAGTAACAACTTTAGCACTTTGCTTTCCTTTTCTCCCACGATACACTTAATGTTTCCGCTCTAGGTCCTGGATTTAGTTACAGATTTCCTGCAGGAAACTAAGGCCCTTTAGCTTTTTTGCAAGAATCAGGCATACTCCACATAAAAGAGTCACAAGGAACCTTTTGTAGATAGATTCGTCTTATTGATGTGCCTTGGGGAAAGTCAGAGTGGGTGAGTTAAAACTGTGCAAAATACAACCAGCACCCCTGTCAATCTCCACAACACTCACTGGAAGTCAGGTACTTAAAATAGTTCCTGATCTTAGGGGAAGGATAAATGATTCACTGGGTTCACTGCAAAAGGAAGCTCTTTCTCCAGAGCTTATCTTGGCACCTGAAAATCATTACAAGGGCTAAATGCTATTGGCATATAAAGATGATGATGAAAATAAACTTAAGCCAGTGTGTGCTGGCTATATTGTATTAACATCTACAGTGATTATATTAACGGTTGCCAATTTTCCTTTAAACTAATATTCTATTCATCTGGACATATTTAATTGTAAGTTCTACCCTTCTGATTCAGTAGAGCATGGTGACAGATCATGTGGACTTGGAGTCAGGGGCCCCTTCGTTTCAATCCCAGTTCCAACACATTTATCTACATGATATTTAGGAAATCTGTTCATTGGTTGCGGAGTGGATTTCTCTTTTTCTTCATCTTTAAAATGGGAATAATAATTGTATTTGGTTGAATCAAAAACTTAGTCATTTTTGTAAATTAAAATCTACATAAATTTCTTGTAAAGATTAAGGAGCTAATACATGTAAAGTGCCTGGCACACTGCTAATACCTGTGAAAATTTAACAAAGCAATTATATTTTTATTATTATCATGTTCCACCATTTGTTCTTTTGATCTACAGTTATTGAGTAGAAATAAAATGTAGACCACTTAATAACACTCTGGAATATAAGATACTGGAGGACAGCAGTTTTTATATTGGTTCACTGCTGCATTCAACCCTGGAAAAATGCCTGGTACACAGCACATATTCAGTAAACATTTGCTACATGAATGGATGAATTAATAACATGAAGATGACTACAACAAGATAGAATTTAGCACCTGTCTTAAAATCTTGAGCTACTTTATCCCATTTCTTTTTAGAGAAATGTGCTATTTGTTGAAATAGTAACTTTTCTAATTAGACCAGGTGGGCAGGTGCATTTTCAAGATGGTCAGGTACATCTAGTTCTGAAAGACTTAATCTCTAGAGATTTCAGGTCGTCCCAGAAATGTCAGTGGCAATCCAACTGAAGAAACAGCTGAAGTCATAGGAGGGTTCTGCTCTGAATAGCAGGAACCAGCTTGGATGTCCACCATTCTTAAAATCTCATGATAGTTATACCTGTTCAGAGGTAAGAATGACACATTTACTTTTGACATTTCCCTTCTCAATTTGTCTTCTGCCTCAGTTTCTTTTCCTTGCAATAAACAAGGATACTACAAAGAAGTTCTAAAGTAGAGATATTACTTTTCATTTTCTTTCTTTTTATGTTATTTTTGTTTTGTAGAGACAAACTCAGGATGGTCTTAAACTCATGGACTCAAGCAATCTGCCCACCTTGGCTTCCCAATGTGCTGGGATTACAGACATAAGCCATCACACCCAGCAGATTTTTCTTGATAATTGATAGCAAAAGGTCTTGGGCCTGATCCTTAAAAACTATGTAGTGGCATTGACTGAAGGCCATAGAAATATTAAGGAAATGGCTTTTGGCATGAAATGTTATTGGTGTTTTGGTCTACAACTAAAGAGACATTGATAATTTGAAGAAACGAAATTAGCATACTGATCATGGCTTTTTAGTTACCAGCCACAGGGTCTTTTTAAAAGAGTATGGACACAATACTGATGCAGAAGTTTTTCTCGACCCCTCCCGTTGGACTTGCAACAGAGGTGCCCTGTTTATTTGGCTCACTGCACTCAACCTATTGTGGGAGGGAGTACATGAGTGAGTGAGTGTTCCAGACAGCCGCTTTGGGTGCTGGCAGGAGCATGCTCCATGCAGGCCCCGTGGCAATGCCAGGGTGGGGGTGCTTGTGACCCGTGAAGCCCCAGAGGGCATGTTACAATCCTCTCTTAGCTCTGCCGTCCATGGACGGCAGCGTGTTATCAGCTCAGTAGATTCCTTGACTCGTTGTGTAGGGCAGCTGCCCTCCACCAGTGAAAACAAAGAGCCAGTGTGACAGCCTTTTTTGGGTACCCGCATTCAGTGGGTCCCAAGCTCCTGTCTGGCATCCAAGAAGAATTAGGTTGCACGGACACTTGAAGGTTGGTGGAGGTAGAGAATTTTATGTAGCAATAGAAATGGCTCTCAGCAGAGAGGGATGATTGAGAGGGGACAGGAAGGGAAGATAATCTTCCCTGATGTCTGGCTGGCTCTGGCTGGCTCTTCTCCAAAGTTAAACTGTCTCTCCTCCAAAGTCCAGCCATCCCCCTGAAGTCAAGTCACCTCTCTCCAGTCAAGCCACTTCTCTCCTCTACTGACTGAGTCTGGGGTCTTTACAGGCACAAGATGGGGATCCTGGCAGGCCATAGGTAGTTTTGGAAAAGGCAATATTTGATTGTTAGAAAGACATTATTCAGAAAGAACCAGTTGAGAGAGAGTGAGCAAATAGGGATAGAAATTCTCATTTTTGGGCCACGGGTTTCAGGATTTTTGACTTGAAGGTGGGATTTTGCCAGGGACCCACCCCTGTCTGCCTAGAATTTCTCTGCCTCATGCCTCTATCAATACAATTCTTATTAAAATGTATAAATGGTTCTATCAATATAATTCTTTTTAAAATGTATAAATGGTACAGATAGGCAAGAGTGTAAAGGACAAGCAAGCCAGCTCTGAGCCACACTGCCTGGGTCTCAGTCCTGGCTGAGAGACACTAGGACTTACTAGCTGTGAGACACTAGGAGAGCTACTTACCCTCTCTGTGCATAACTTTCCAGAGTATTAAATGAGATGCTACCCAGGAAGCACCTTGCACAATGCCTGGAATGGCAAACACTTAATAAATGTCATCTTTACTAATCCTATGATGTTTAACAAAGATAACATCTGCTTTGGAAGAGATGCTTTTAGAGAGACAGGATCATCGAAACTCTTTCTTCTTTTTGTTTTGTTCCCATTTACATCATTTCCCTTAAAATAGTGTCAGTTCTGAGGTATTTAAATTTTTATTCAGCTAAAAAAAAAAAGTTCGACATTGTAGATATGGCATGGTTGGTCATACTCATGTGTTTAAAAATAAAAGATCAACAACAACAACAAAAAAATCCTTTTTGATGGTGTCCACTGGAAATCTTGACACTTTGATTCATCTTTTGACCATCTTCCTGTTTCAGTAAGATTCTCATGAGACTCTTGGAAGAATATAGTCGAACACACTCGAGAGTGAACTGTGCACTTACTTGTGTTGTAAGGATGTTGTTTATATTTTAGATCCTGTTTTCTTCCTGGATGAAGTGCCGCTGTTACCAGGTGCTTCTCCCACTGTTATCGTCTCCTCCTCAGGACTCAGACTGCTGGAAGCAGCTTCCTGCAGCCTCTTTGTGAAACTGGCCACTAAAGAATAGGAGAGAGCCTGTCAAAGGTTATCTCCCACCTGGGTTGCAGTTTCCATGAATATCAAGGTTCATCAGAATCTGGTGCAGCAATTTATAAGATGTGTCACAGGGCACATAGAAGAGACAGAGTTCTTGCTGAAGGAGAGCTCAGAAGGGAGAAAAAAGATAATGACGGTGGGCAAATGAGATGCTCAAGGGAATTCCTGCAGTCAGATGCTGTAGACACCAGTTAAAATACAATGCCTAACCCTTCTGGGGAAAATAATGAATGCATGACACCCTGTACAATTAATTCTAAATTGCTTTGCACATATCTGATGGTCATGTTGCTCCCAAGAACAACTTTGGTTCAGCTACACAAATAGAATGAACACCTACCTCAAAGAAAAAATGTTGTTACCTTCTTAGATAATTCACCTCCAAAACTGAGACAAAATGGACCAATTTTACTCTAAGGATTAAGAGGCAATTCATGAGCTAATCAGAAAGCAAGGATGCTTAATTATGCATTTAAACCTCCTGATTCAGCTATGCCATGCCACAGAGCCAAAAGGAAGACCGATCTCTGTCCAAGTCTACTTCCCAGACTGGGAAGATTAGCAGGAGAGCAGAGGCTCACAGGGGTACAGAAACTGACAATATGGAAGCTCCACTGAAGTCCTGTTAGATACTTCAATATCGGCCAAGAAGTAAGCATCATGCCTGTAGAATCCACTTACTTAAGGAAATGAATTACTAAGGTTGCATCCTCTGAGTTAGCAGTTATTGATGGTAACAGCAAAGACTTGACTTAGGAATGGGGAAAATATCACTGGTTACACTTCCTTTAAGCCAATCTCAGCTATTTCCTCTTCACTACTCATGACTTCCTTCCAGGCACAGACAGCCTCAAGTAACATTCCTATAATTCCCAAACCAGCCCATCCTACCCCAAACCAGTTCACTGATCTCAAGGGCAAATCATAAATGGTAGTCATAACAGCAAAACGCAAAGCATCAACAGGAATTTTCCCTTTGTTGACAAATTAGGGGAAAAAATGGAACCAAAGAAGGTGATGTTGAATAAGAGAATATCATTATCATTTCTTAGAAGTACTATTGTGATCAGTTTTTATAGATTTCAGAAAATAGAGATTTGGAAAATACATAGAACTGCTTTTATTCTGAATTAGTTGTTCTGGAGTCAGGTAAAAATCTTTCCTGAATCCCTAAGACAATCACTTTCCACCACTTGGATAACACTAAGAAGGTTTTAGACCACAAGGGAATTTGGAACACTTCCCACTAAGCGAGAACTAGAATATGTCTAGGGAAAGCCATGTTTCGGATAAAGAGATTTCAGTCTCAAAAGCAAGTGAGAAAAAATTGATTAAATTTTTAAAAATCAAGTGAGCCTCACTACTCAGAAAATATTAATCAAAAAAGAAAAAAAAATCATGGTTTTTGCTCACACTGGCTATAATACTGAAGCTATACTCCAACATATGCCTAATACATTGTCTAATCCAGTGTTTAACATTCCATATTTAGTGGTTTAGTCATTTGAGTTAGGACCTGCATTCAAAAAAATATTTATTGAATGCCTAACATTTCCATGCACTATACTAGGCAACAGCTATGCAGAGATGTTTGAAACACAGCGTTTGACCCTGAGTATTTCAAGTTACTACCTAATGAATCATTGTTAAAAGTAAAAATTGTCCTAGAACATTTTGAGCATCAAAATAAACAACGATAGTTATAGATTATAGACCACAAAATAAAATTAAAAATCCGTGGGATGAAAGAAATAAAGAGAGAGAGAAGAAAAAAATGGAGGGAGGGAGGAAGGAAGGAAGGAAGGAAGGAAAGATGTGAGGGAGGGAGAAAGAGAAGAAAGGAAAGAAAGAGAGAAAAGAGAAAGAGGGAGAAAGAAAGAGAGAGAAAGAAAGAAAGAAGGAAAGAGAAAGAAAAAAGAGAAAGAAAGAAAGAAAAAAGAAAGAAAGAAAGGAAAGAAAGAAAGAAAAGAAAAAAGAAAGAAGGGAGGAAGGAAGATCCTTGCTAAGAATAGATTTCACACTAGTAAATATGGAACAATAAAGGAATTTCACTATATTGGCCAGGCTGGTCTCAAACTCCTGACCTTGTGATCCACCTGCCTCGGCCTCCCAAAGTGCTGGGATTACAGGTGTGAGCCACCAAAGCGAATTTTAAAATTCCTTTATTCAGCTGGGCACAGTGGCTCATGCCTGTAATCCCAGCACTTTGGGAGGCTGAGGTGGGTGGATCATGAGGTCAGGAGTTCAAGACCAGCCTGGCCAATATAGTGAAACCCTGTCTCTACTAAAAATAAAAAATTAGCCAAGTGTGGTAGCAGGTGCCTGTAATCCCAGCTACTGGGGAGGCTGAGGCAGGAGAATCTCTTGAACCCGGGAGGCGGAGGTTGCAGTGAGCCAAGATCACGCCACTGCACTCCAGCCTGGGTGACAGAGCAAGACTTTGTCTCAAAAAAAAGAAAAATCGCTTTGGGCAACCACCATAATAGTAATTGTTATAGAGATGAACTATCAGTGGATGCTAAAACTACTGGTGGAAGTTTGATTTAAAATATGATACTTACATAAACTCAAAGCATTTTCCCACAAGATACGTATTAAGGACAAAGGGAAAAACAATTTTACAGTGGAGAAACCTTATCATCTTAACCAAAGGGATCAAAATTACCACCAATAATGAGAAAAATAGACATCATGTGCGCCCCATTAGATTGCACTAAGAAAGACAAAACATCACATCTGAGTATTGCCAAAAATGCTTAACATAAATCAAATCACGAGAAAAGTTCACAAACCTACACTGAAATGTGGTATACAAAATAAATGTCCTGTATTTATCAAAAGTATCAAGGTCATGAACAATAAAGAAACACCAAATAATTGTTTTACAATGAAAGAGAATAAAAAGACATAACAATCAAATATAATATGTGATCACGGACAGGATGCCAAATGAGAATTATTTTTTTTTTTTGCAGTAAAAGACATTATGGACAAATGATAAAATTCGATAAGATCTATCAACCAGATGAAGCCTCACAAGTGTTTCCTCTAGAAGATCAGATGGTAAATGTTTTCAGAGACTGCAGGCCATGTAGTCTCTACCACAACTATTTAACAATACCATTGTAGGCAGAAAGCAGCCAAGGATGGTCCATAAACAAATGGGCATGGCTATGTTCCAATAAACCTTTATTTACAAACATAACTGGGAAGGCACATTTGCCAACTGCTGGACTAAATTAATACTAGATCAATATTAATTTCCTAATTTGCTTATTGTACTGCAGTTATGTGAAAGAACATTTATTTTTAGGAAACATGTACTTAAGCATTTTGGGATAAAAGACATCATATTTGCAACTTACTCCCAAAAATTTCAGAGAAAGAAAAAGAAGACAAGTAATAAACAAGCTGAAATTTGAATATTTGGGGAAACTGGTGAAGGATATATGGAAACTCTCAGTACTATTTTTGCAAATTGTCTTTAAGTCTGAGATAATTTCAAAAACAAAGAGTTAAAAGCCAAACATGGTGGTACGTGACTCCTCTAGTCCCAGCTACTCAGGAGGCTGAGGTGGGAGGAGCCTAGGAGTTCAAGACCAGCCTGGGCAGCATAGGGAGACCCTCTCTCTTAAAAACAAATCAATTTAAAGTTGAGAAAATGAATTATGGGAGGAAGCCCAAGTGGAATAATGCCATGTAGATACAGAAGATGACTTGAGAGGTAGGAGTGTAATAGACAGTCAGCAGCAAGACATAAAAGTTGCAGTTGACAGAGATAATGGGGATAAAATTTCCTCTAGGGCTGCCTTTTAAAGACCAACTTAAATAAAACTGATTCCCATTTTCTTACAGGCCATAACTTTCAATGATGCCCCAAAGGCACAATTCACATAAATGTTCCGCCCACTATGCATTGTGTGCAAAATGCATAACTCTGAAGGGAAATTGCATCTACATTTTCTCCTCCTCAACTCCCACATTGTTGGGGTTGTCTGAGCATTTCAAATGCCACAGAAATACTTTGCAGAGCACAAAGAGCTGCCAAACACTGCAACCAAAGTTTGTCCAGACATATGCATAAGTAACTGGGATGTGAATTATGAGACTGTGGAAATAAAATCTTTACCTCTCAGACAGTTTCTAAGGCAATGCCTTAGAAATGATAAGAACAAGAGGCAGGAGGGTGGGGGTCCCCAGCAAAGGCCCTACCCTCAAGCCTAGATACCTGAGGCCCTAAATGGGAACAGGCATTCCAGTTTTTGCACCCAAAAGTTGCCTTTTGTCCTGCCACACTCCCCTATCCTTTGCCCATATAAAACACAAATCCCCAGCTCTAGGAGGAGAGAAGCAGACAAAGAGAAGAGCAGAAGAGTAGTAGAGAAGGGGAGAAGAGAAGGAATGTCGGGAGGAGTTTGGCTGGGGACGGTTGGAGAATCAGCCACTGGACAGCCAAACCCCAGGGAAAGATCATCTTCCCACTCCATCCCCTTCCCAGCTCCCCATCCACCCCCTAAGAAAGACCTCCACCACTCAATAAAACCCCTGCATTCACCATCCTTCAAATCCGTCTGTGACCCAATTTTTCTGGGATGCTGGACAAGAGCTCAGAATACAGAAAGCTGTCACTCTGGCCCTCCATCCTTGCAAAAAGGCAGAGGGTCCACTGAACTGGTTAATACTTAAGCTTCACATGGACGGCAAGGTTAAAAGAGCTCACTATAACACACACCTGCTTGGGCTCCTGCCCCTATCTGTCTGTGTGCTCCCCCTCCCATAAGGGGTTTGAGCAGTGGCAGCTACCGAACAGATGAGCCACACCCCTGTCACATGTCCTGCAAGGGGGGTCAGGGAACTCTCCCATTTCAGAACTATGATAAAAATTTGGACAGTCATCCTGATATTATACAAATTTGAAAAATTAACCTTCCCTCTGGTAAGGTAACAAGAGAAACCCAAAATATGGGGGGAGGGGTGCTCTACACCGCAAAGGTTCAATTCTTGCTCATGCTAAGTCCAGTGCAGAATTTTTTACAGGAAAATTCTCTCCAGGACTTCTCCATCTCATGTTGCCACCATTTCCCCATCTCAGCTCCCAAGGCCTCTGCAGCACAGGAGGAAAGAACCCAAGAGTCATGGAGGGATTTGGGGGGCAGAAATCAAAGGAGCAGACATCACTTCTGCTCACAACCCGTTTGCCAAAACGGGTCCACAGCTCGAACTTAATCGCAAGCAAGGCTGAGAAAGGAAGGCAAGGAAGCCCTGATATTTTGTGAGCACTAAATATCTCTGCCACCAAATCTCTTCTGGTTTTTGTTTAGTAAAAACCCATAAACTTTTATCAAGATTGTCATTTAATAGAGAATGGAATTGGATACATACCAAGACTCCCCCATACACATGTACTGTGTTTAATAGGACAAACTGACTGACATGTGATCAATAGGATCTTAAACTACTGTAACAATCCATCCTTTCCCCTACCCCCAACTTCAAGTCATGAAATAGAAACCAATTGAAAAGTATTTCCTTGGCATTTAGTCTCAAATGATCCTTAGCCACACGACTAAGTTTTAGGGCACTCAGGTCTCTGTTCTAAACCTAAGGTAAACCCTATAAATGTCACAATGCATTTTGGCACTAAATCTCCAGGCTTTGAGAAGGTTCATGTGACATTTTCTTTGTGACAGAAATGATTGCAAGAGTTGATTTTGTTGGTTGGCTTCTTGTTTCAATTGCAACAGAGGTCTCAAAAACCACCCGGCAACAAGTAAACAGAATACTGCTGTCCCCGTAATAATACTGCAAGAGAAAAACATCTCAGGGAGAAAGAAGTCAGTAAATTTCTGACATTCCAAGGTGTGAAAGGAAGCAATCTGACGTCTGAAAGCCGGAAAAAAAACAGTTCCTTGGCCCATGCTGTTCATACACACCAAGGTCACCTAGAAAGTTATCAGAACTCAAAAATAAATAAAATTCAAAGTCTATTTTAAATGATCTCCTGTATCCAAAAGCTGCAGACAAGCACGTGAAGATTTCAACATTTTAGCTCTCTTGTTTGAAAGTCCTCATTAATACTATATTATGCTGAGGGGTTATTGAACTCAGGTAAACACTAGAATTACAGAATGATTTCCTAACAAACACATTGCTCACTATATATAATGAAGACCATAAGAGAAAAATCCTGGGAATGTTGTTAACTCAAAGGTGCAAAAATGAGGAAATGTCATTACTGAAGAATAATTAGATTAACTGAAAAGACAACTCTTAATAGAACTAATATCATACGAAAGCAAAGGAAGTAAAGCAAGCTTTGTCTTGAAAGTCAAATGGTCTCCTTTTATATATGTTCATTTCTATGGGAAAGGGTGGTTTTAAGCTGCCAAATCAGTATAAATAAAAGTCCCACTTATGGCCGGGCACAGTGGCTCACGCCTGTAATCCCAGCACTTTGGCAGGCCAAGGCAGGCAGATCATGTGGTCAGGAGTTCAAGACCAGCCTGGCCAATGTGGTGAAACCCCGTCTCTACTAAAAATACAAAACTTAGGGCCCGGTGTGGTCACACATGCCTGTAATCCAAGGGACTCGGGAGGCTCAGGCATGAGAATTGCTTGAACCCGGGAGGCAGAGGTTGCAGTGAGCCGAGATTGTGCCAGTGCACTCCAGCCCGGGCAACAGAGCGAGACTGTCTCAAAAAAAAATAAAAAGTCCCACTTACATTAAAATTTGAAGAGTCCCAGTGCAGGTGCTCACGTGCACACATGCACACACATACACACACAAACTGTATATTAACTGGAATATATTTTTAATATATATTTAGTGTGGCAGATGGTAAAGATTATTGTATGAAACAACCAAAGAGGAGAGATACTAGAAAAAAATAGAAAAAAATCAGAAACACTAATAGCATGAAATGATGGAGAGTGTCCTAGCATATCTTCTCTGTACCTTGTTTTTGTCATTTGTTATTTCTGTAATCTGAGAAAAATCATACTTTATTTCTCCAAGCCCCTGGTTGATCTTCTGCAACATGGGAATGGTAGCATGGATTCTGGACGATACATGGAAGGATGAAATAACAAAATATGTGTATATGACTGGAGTTGATCAAGCACTTTCTCGCTTTTCTTACCTCAAGGATATCACTAATATGATTGTGACTGAAAAATTTCTAACCACTCACAGGTGTGTTAAACAATAGATTGAAACCAAGTAACAACTAAGTAATATACAAATAATTAAATGAAGAGTCATTGGCTGGCAAAGATATAAAGAAAGTGTAAGAAAAACAAGATGCTAGGAAGGTTGTATTGTGTTTAATAGGACAAATTGATCTACATGTAACCAACAGGATCTTAAAGTACTGTAACAATCCATCTTTTCCCCTGCCCCCAACTTCAAGTCAGGAAATAGGAACCAATTGAAAAGTATTTCCTTGGCATTTGGTCTCAAATGATCCTTAGAAAATCTACAAATGTGGACATCTATAGGCTCATGATTCTGAAAAGTTATTTGACTCAAAATTTTGGCTCTTGCTTTCCTCATATATAAAGTGATAGGCCAGGCACAGTGGCTCACGCCTGTAATCCCAGCACTTTGGGAGGCCGAGGCGGGTGGATCACGAGGCCAGGAGTTTGAGACCAGCCTGGCCAACGTGGTGAAACCCCGTCTCTACTAAAAAGTACAAAACTTAGTCAGGTGTGGCGGCGTGTGCCTGTAATCCCAGCTACTCAGGAGGCTGAGGCAGGAGAATTGCTTGAACCCGGGAGGCGGAGGTTGCAGTGAGCCGAGATCGTGCCACTTCACTCCAGCTTGGGTGACAGAGCAAGACTCCGTCTCAGAAAATAAAATAAAATAAAATAAAATGTGATAATGATTATCGTAAAAATAAGGCATTATAGAGAGAGAGCCCCTAGCACAGTGCCTACCAGAAGAATTGCCCTTCACTTCATCCTTTCCCTCACTTCATATATTCAGTTTCTGTGACCTGTAACTTCAACACATACCACACCACCCATTTCTTCTCATCTTTACTCTTGTCACTTTAGTCTCTCCTCCTTTCAACTTATTATTCATGTAGTGTATTAGTCAGGGTTCTCCAGAGAAACAGAGCAAACAGCATGTGTGTGAGAGAAAGAGATTTACTTTAAGAAATTGGCTCATGTGATTGTGGAGGCTGGCAAGGTGAAAACCTGTAGGGTAAGGTAGCAACCTTGAGATCCAGGGAAGCTGATGTTTCAGCTCAGGTCCAAAGACAGTCTGCAGGAAGAATTTCTTCTTCCAGAGGAGACACCAGCCTTTTTTCTCTTAAGGCTTTCTAGTGATTGGATGAGGCTCACCTGCATTTTCAAGAGTAATCTGCATTTCTCAAAGGGTTTTTTTTAAAGAATAACTTCTATTTTAGATTCAGGAGGTACATGGGCAGGTTTGTTACCTGGGTATACTGCATGAGGCTGAGATTTGAGATATGAATGATCTCGTCACCCAGGTAGTGAGCATAGTAACCAACAGTTAGTTTTTCCACCCTTGTTCCTTTCCTTTCCTCCCCACTCTAGTAGTTTCCAGGGTCTATTGTTGCCATCTTTATGTCCATAATTACCCAGTGTTTAGCTCTTACTTGTAAGTGAGGACATGCAGTATTTGGTTTTCTGTTCCTGCATTAATTTACTTAGGATAATGGCCTCCAGCTCCATCCATGTTGCTGCAAAGAACATGATTTTGTTCTTTTCTATGGCTGCATAGTATTACATGATATATATGCCCCATTTTTTATATCTACCACATTCTCATTTTCCAGTCCACCATGGATGGGCACCTAGGTTGAGTCCATGCCTTTGCTATTGTGAATAGTGCTGTGATTAACATAACAGTGCATGTGTCTTTTTGGTAGAACAATTTATTTTCTTTTGGATATATAGCCAGGAATGGGATGGCTGGGTCAAATGGTAATTCTGTTTTAAGCTCTTTGAGAAATCTTCAAACAGCTTTCCGCAGTGGCTGAGCCAATTTACATTCCCGCCAACAGTGTATAAGCATTCTCTCTTCTTCACAGCCTACCAGCATCTGTTGTTTTTTAGCGTTTTTAATAATAGCGATTCTGACTGGTGTGAGATGGTATTTCACTGTGGTTTTGATTTGCATTTTTCTAATGATTAGTGATGTTGAGCATTTTTTCATATATTTGTTGGCCGCTTGTATGTCTTCTTTTGAGAACTGTCTGTTCGTGTCCTCAAAGTGTATTGATTTACACAGAATCTCATCTAAAAAATATCTTCACAGCAACATCTAGACTAGTATTTGACTGAGCACCTGGCTACCATGGTGTAGCCAGGTTGACACATAAAATTAACCATCATACATACAACCACCAAACTCATTATTTCCTCTGGGCCTTAGAGCCGCTGTTCCCTCTGTTTGGAAAACTCTTCCTTACATGCTTCATCACTCTCACATGCTTCATCACTCAGATCCCAGCACAAATGTCACCTCTACAGAAAGACCTTCCCTGCCCAACCTATGTATTGCATTTTCCCTACCACCTTCCTCACCACAACATGATCTCTTACGTCTCCCAATTTTATTTTATTTATATTATTTATATGCTTATTACTACCTACAGTCATCTCATTTCTGCATTCTCCCATTTGTTATGTTTCCCCATTGGCTACAGGATAATTAGCTCTGTATGTGCAAGGATCTTATCTGCTTCCCACTCTATCTTCAGTATATAGAACCCTGTCTGACACATAGTAGGCACTCACTAAGTATTTGATGAATGAATCAATCAACCAATCAATCCTAAGTACTCAAATACTATTTGATTATTATTTTTATTAATAAATAATTTATATAGCTTATTATCCCTATTATTATTATTTGTACTCTGGGCTTTAAAAATCATACCCATCCTGCCAGATGTGGTGGCTCACACCTGTAATCCCAGCACTTTGGGAGGCCGAGGCAGGCGGATCACCTGAGGTCAGGAGTTCAAGACCAGCCTGGCCAACATGACGAAACCCCGTCTCTACTAAAAATACAAAATTAGCCAGGCGTGGTGGCACATGCCTGTAATCCCAGCTGCTCGGGAGGCTGAGGCAAGAGAATCACTTGAACCCGGGAGGTGGAGGTTGCGGTGAGCCAAGATCGGGCCATTGCACAACAAGAGCGAAACTCCATCTAAAAAAAAAGCATTCCCATCCCATATCTGGATTACATTTTAATGACAGATGCTGAATTTATCCTCAATCCCACTATAGTGATGATTTCAAATAAGTTTGTGAAATTTAAATTTTATTATATGAGAAGCAGGAGATAGATTATTAAGAAAATTGAAATAAGAGTTATAAAGCTTAATATTTCATACATTAGCTCATCTGATTATGGATATAAAGAATAGAGCCCTAAAATAGACTGTGCCTACACACACAAAATGACTTAGAAATGATTCAATAATTCTGTATAATTCAGGCTGAAATAACCAAGATTTTAGATATTCAGGTAAGTAAAGTAACAGTGAGCTCCTATTTCTTGGATTAGCTTGTTGGCTGGTTGTATTTCCTCCATTACTTTGTGCATGCAGACCTAACTGAGGAGTGTTTCAAAATTTACACTTGGCAGAGAAAAGGAGCTTCCCTGAAAATTTACTTTCTTTGCAAAGGATGAAAGTTATGGCTTCATTATTTTTGGAGAGAATGAAAAGATGTAGGTAGATGTTGGACGGTGAAACCAAGTAAATCTCTTACTGAGGCATCTTTTCATATTTCATTCTATCTATACGATATAAAACTAAAGTTTTTGATGTGCTAATGAATATGGTGGTTGTTGCAGAAACAGATCTTTTTTTAATGACTGAGGCTAGATTTTGTTAACATAAAGGTGTATGTAGAAATAATAAAGTCCCAAGGAGGTCTCTTCTACAGGGAAGAAGCCCTTCTTTCCCAAGAATCTCCTGGATGCCTCAGCTTCGTCTTTTCTCTCTGTTTTACCTGAAACCTTCACACGAGCATCTACATTTAATCTTTTTGGTTTTTCATCTTTGAGGAGAGTTGCATTTTGCCATGAGGCTAATTATTCTTTCAAAAAATGTATAACTTGATGAAAATACAGGAACAGAAATTACCTACTTTCTTTTTCCAAAAAAAAAAAAACAAAAACAATATGCTAAAGCAGGAAAGAGATAGGCACTGCCTTGATACCCATAGGACATCCTGAGAACCACTTCCCTGTAGAGCATTTATTAGTATTAACTGAAAGCAAGACAGTAAAAGAGACCTTCTCATCCCTGTTGTTCTCTTCTTTAGAGGAACTAAATCAGTATCCAGTTCATTTTGAAGATAAGAGGGAGAAAGGAAACTAACACCCTGCCCCTCCTTTATGACAAGCCTAGTCCTGAGCTCTAGACCCCTAAGCCTACTAGTTATTAAACAACACTGTGAAATATGGATTATTATCCCGATACACAGACCTGGGCAACTGATTTGTCCTCTTGGAGTCTCAGCCAATGTGAGACAGAAGTGAGGCTTAAGTTAGTCTGTCCAGCTCCAAAGCCTGCCTAGAAGCAAGCCTCATATCCAGTGACAGAAAATGCCATCCAACACAAAAAGCAGAAACCATAAAGGAAAAGATGAATATGCCTAGCCACTTAAAAACAAAGGAAAAAAACATTGTATGGCAGCAAAAATGCAAGTGACAAACTGGGAAGATATTTGCATATATAAGAGAAAAATAATTAATACCCAATAGGAAAGTGATTCTTATCAATCAATTAGTAAAAGATAACCTCACAGGAAAAAACAATGGGAAAGGATTAAACAATTCATGAGAGACAGATTTAAATAGCTCACAAATATACACAAAGATACTCAAGTTACCCAATAACAAATAGGACAGCCAAAGTAACAAAGATTGAGAAGCAGGCAAACAAAACCCTCTGTTGGCAAGAGTTTGAGAAAATGGAAATTTATATACACCTTTGTAGAAACTGTAAATTGGTACTGTCTTCCTGGAGAAATGGGTGTCTGTAGTTGATAATAATATACTGTGTACTTGAAAAACTGCTAAGGATGTAGATGTTAAATGTTCTCACAACAAAAGTAAGTATATTGTGGTAATGGAGATGTTAACTAGCTTCATTTAACCACTTCACGACGTATGCATATATCAAAACGTCGCATACCATAAATATATATAATTTTCATTCATCAGCTATAACTTAATTTTAATTTAATTGTGTATGCCTTGAGTCAGTAATTACACATTTAGAATTTAATCTGAATGATAATGATAGAAAAGTTCACTCATAAATGTAGGAGGAAATTAGTGGCACTAATATTGATAATACCTCTCCAAAAATAATATCAATAGGCAAGTGGTTGAATTATAATAGCCCAAAAATGAATTCCGATATTGAAAAAGATACTGCATGCTCATATATTTTTCTATTTTTATATATTTCTATTTCATTTGAATATATATAGATACATATATATTCATTTCAGAATCAGAAAAAACAAACTATAATTTTCGAGATCTTTAATATACCTAGCACTTTACAAAATTTGCAAAGCAATTTCTCATATTTTATTTCATAGTAAAAACTAAGTTTTCTGTCCAATGATGTTATAGTGTGATATGATTTCATGCTGAAAGCAATACTTTCTCGTTTTGCCTGTGAATTTCTTTTAATTATTTCAAATATTTAAAAGTAGGCAGGCTGCCCAGGTGTTTGGGTTCAGCAACCATGATCAAAAGGAGAGGGAAAATGTGGTTTTCTTTTATTGCATTTCCCTTGAGCATCTTCAAGACCCTTTGAAAGAACAGCTGCCTAGCCCAGGCAACCTCTCTTCTTAGCCTACACGGAAGAAATGAAATTCACTCCCAAAGTGCGGGTGTTTTCAGGACCCAGTGAACTGGAACTTGCAGCGTCTTCTGCAAGCTCCGTTGGGCCGGCCTTTCATGTGAGCAGGAAGGAAATGACTGACAACTTTCTCGTCTTTATGGAAGGCGGACTTTATTTCCAGCTCTCAGGTCAAAAGGCGGCGGAAAGAAAACAAAACCACTAAGAGATAAAGGCTAAAAATAATGTCCTGTGGGGTGAATCAACCCAGTTTGGGACCCTGAAGACAGCAACAAGGCAAGGATGTGCGTAGGGCTAAATCTGCGTCATCCTTCACAGGTGGTCGTGACCAGAATCAAAATGCCTGGGCAAGAGAGGAAGAAGTTCTGCAAACAGGTGTGCTGGAGGGAAGGCGTGGGGAGGGGAGAGGAAGAAGCCATTGAGTCGATCCTGGGCTTGAAGCCCACACACTTTCCCAGCAGTTCACCTCCGGGAGAGCCCAGGGACTGGACATGGCCTCGGAAGGAGCTAAAAGTTGATTTGGGGTTTTGTGGTTTGGGTGAATGCACTTTCAGTTTAAAATATAAATAGATGTGTTTATGCAGTTGGGCTTTCTTTCTCTTTGCTTTTAATTGTCACTTTAGAAGAAATAAGTCTATGATTCACAGGCTAATGCCAAAAAAAAAAAAAAAAGGAGTTCTCATTGGGTGATTTCCTACTTTATAGGAAGCAATGGGAGAATGGGTTTAAAAGTCACACGAAAGACATCCGCTAAGGACTTTGATGATGAGTATAAGAATGATTCATTTTATTTATATAGCACTTTAATTGTGTTTTTAGTCACATTCTAATTTGGACACACAACTATTCCAGGAGATAGATAAGGTGATTATTATTCATCGTATTTTACAAGTTAGAAAACAGAGGTCAGATAAGTTAAAGATTGCACGTTCCCTTATAGACTGAGCTATAATACACACACACACACACACACACACACACACACACACACACGAGGCAGAATCATTATCATTATTTCCCTAACTGCACCACTGGGCAAACCTCCAAAGGGGAAAACTGGTATTAGATGCTGCTAAGGAGAATAGCGCAAAAAAAAAAATACTGAGTACAAGAAGTATGAGAAGGATTCTAGCCTACATGGATTTAAAAACAAACTAAATCCCAACGGGATTTGAGCAGTGCTACCTTACAAGGTCTTTCCAACTGGCTGCTAAATATTTCCACCAGAATGTGCCACTAGTCCTAGATACCACGTCTATATGTACTAAACAAGACTGATCATCTTTCTTTATCCTTCTCCTTCCTTCCATTTCTATGTTAATGATGTCACTGTTTTCCCAGACTCCCAGACTCCAATGAGTTCTCCAATGTATCCACCTTCCCTGCCTTCTAAATTCAATCAGTCCTCTTGCTTCAACCACTGAAATGACTCTTACATGTTTTCTCTCTTATATCCTAATACGATCTAGGATTCCTCCTACCTAGACAAATGCAATAATTTGTTCTCGCTTCCCACTGCCTCCAGGTCTAATACAGCAGCTCCAGTTCATCTCAGGATCTATTCCAGCCAATCTTTCCTTAAATGTGACCTGATTATAACACTCTGCTGCTCAACACTCTCCACTTGCCATAGAATAAAGTCTAAATTTGTTGGCCATGACATTTGACATTTGAGATCATTCATACAATGGTCTCCAATTGTACATTTACAAAGATCCCCAATTTAAATAACACTGTAAGACCACTTTCCCCAAATATTTCCTCTTACCTCAATATCTGCCTGCTCAAGGTTACTTTACCCTAAATATGCCTTCTTACCTCAATATCTGCCTACTCAAATTCCTACATCTCCCTTCTTTGTCTTCAGAAATACTCACATCCTTCAAGGTCCAGTTCAGATGTCCTCTACTTGACGGAGCGCTTTCCAGTTCTCTGAGTCATTAGACACCCCATTCTTTCCTTCTGCTCCCACTAGACTTGGCATCTCCCTTGCACCATCTATCACATTTGGCCTCTTAATAAAATTGTTTTGTTTGTTTCCTAATAAATTGCAACCTCTTTCAAGGGAAATCATATTCTATACTTTACATCCTGGAAAGTGCTTGACATAACCCTTTGCTCATAGAAAATACCTAATATATATCAGTTGTAATAAATTAGAAAGACTAACCAAAGCTTGTAGCATAACTTCCACGTTATTAAAGCATGCAATAATAACTCCAAGCTACTTGCAATTCCCCAGACATTTATAGTGAAAGCAATAGCTATTATTTACTGAGCATTTATTATATGCTAAGGATATCCTATGCATCTTCTAGCTCACAACAACCCTGTGAAATTTGTCATGTTCAAATTTTACATACAAGGAAACAGAGGATTAATAACCCCTACAAAGCTACACAGATGGGAGGCAAAGGACAGAGAATCAAGGTTACCTAATTCCAGAATGTGCTCCTCACCGCCATGCTATTGCCACAACTAATGTCACGGATGTGTTTCCACAGGTATCCTGGACAGTATAACCAGTTTCCCTAAAGAGGTAATACTTTTTCACCAAGGCATACACATCCTCTTGCCCAGCCTCCCCTTGAAAACAGCTGGATAAAGTCATGATGGGTATAAACCATGGCTCAACACCAAGCTGTGAGCTAAAAGAAGGAAGAGAATCTAGAGCCCAAGAGTAGAACGGGGGTCACCAAAGCAAGGCCAAGACAGGAGCAGACCCAGTAGCTGATAGGAATTGAATCCAATGACAGTGAAGCTGGAAACCTGACTTGGAACAGACAGGAGCAGACATATGGACAAGTGCAAGGTCTGAAGAGGCCAGCAGTAGACAGGAACAAAACAAAAAGCTGACCTGCAAGGGGTCCAGAACACAGACATGAAGAATGGGCAAGGAGTCAAATTCAAGCAACCCCAAGGCCACAGCTCCAGATGTGCTGATGTTTCTGGGAAGGCAGACACAATCTCAAAAATTATCTGACTTGGGATTTTTAGGTACAGTTAAATGGAAAGTCCTGCCTAGAGAAGAGAATGGTGTTTGGGGGGAAAGTAATTCAGAAACTTCCGATAATTTATTTTTATGTCCCCAAAAGGGCATGGCACAATTGAAAGTGCACAGTAAACACTCCATAAACATTTGTCAATTACCTAATAGAGACGGAAGTTTGTTTATTTGTTTTTCTCTTGTAAACACAAAGTAAATCATACCCAGTCAAGTGCCCCTTGCTTAAACTAGCACAATAAATCCAAAGTACCCTAAAGAGGCCATTCTTTTGCAGAGTGCAGAGTTGAGTCCTGCGGGAGAAAACTGCTCTATTTCCTAAGCCTGAGTAACTGGAAATGCCATACATCGCTGCCAGGGAATAAGCAAAGATCCCCTGCCTACTTAAGAGCAGTACAAGCATTCTCCAAGATGTTATGATTTCAAGCAGCATTTGGGAAGCTAGCTTGAATCAAAACTAGACTCTTCCAGAAAGACCCATTCCATAACAACACTTCAAAAACTCATCTTTCCCAGATAAGAAAATTCACTATACATCATCATCAAATTTCCCAAAAAATCCAAGTTATCTCTGTTATAAAGGTCAAAATTCAAGGCCAATCATTCACTCCAAACAGAACTTTTTCAGAGGTCTGAAATTCCCAGATGAGTTAGACCAGACAAGATAAACTCTGCCCTTAGAGATTGCAGGAGAGGGGGGTTTATCTTCAGCAATTTTCCCTTGTAATCTTTGCTCTCAGATATCCTGAACTGAACCCATTATTCTATTTCAAATAGTATCAGTAACCAAAGTCAACAGAGAAAAGATTATTTTTATTGTTTATGAAATACTTAATATTGTATGATATTGAAGGCTTAAACAAAATATCCTTCTTCATGGGTTACTCTATAATAATAATACCACCTGTAATAGCTTCCATTCAGTCCTAAATAAATTCTCCCTTCCTGCTAAACAGGAATATAAAACTTTAAAACCCATGAACAAAATTAACATTTTTAACTAGGTCATTTTAACTAGCCAGTTCTCTATTTATCGAGGATGTTGTGATCTAATCATTATTTCCCATAATAGGTTTTGCTTCTTTAATGATTTTAGTAGGAAAATCAGCCCCTTTTATGGGAGCTAGGATAATACACACATCCCATAACCGGTATCAGCCCTGTCTAAGTCACAAAACAAAAAGGCAACACAGTCATTTAAATCACAAATGAATACTCACATTTAGGCTAGGAAGAATATGTCCTAAGCTTTACCATAAGCTAATGGCCAAACTGTTAAGTCTACATAGATGTTTCTATGAATCTACTGAAAAGTAATGAAAGTATGAATATAGGAGAGGGTTCTCACTGAAGTCTAAAACATAGGTTAAAAGTTTTTTTTCCTTTACCCTTACAGAAAGGAGAGGAAAATCAGAAAAATATTAACATAACGTAACTGTCCTATGGAATAAATGCAGGTGTCCCCTGATGGGAACATAGTTCCCTCAACACTGTAGTTAAGACATTTTCCTCTAAGGCTAAGTAGAAGCAACAACACGGGTCTTACGCGCTTACCCATGCAGAGGCAGAACCAAAAAGTGTGTTCAACCGTCCAAACTCTGCTGGCCAGCCAACCTTAGACATTCGCGGAATATCACTTCTTCACCTGACTGGGTAGAAAATAACTGACATTAAACACCTGGAACCCACAACATTGTTCTCATCTGGCAGGCAGCATCAGAAAAACCTAACTGTCTATTTACAGGAGAATGACCACATATATAGAGTACATCCTACTATAACATGCAATCTGCAGTTTAAAATTAAAAGTGGTTCTGAGTATACTTATACAGAAAGAGCTTCAAGAGATACTTGACATGTTACAAGCACGTTTATGTTTGGGTGTGCAGTGGGATACCATTTACAGAAAGCCCAAATCACAAAAGAGCATAGCTCATCTAGAAGGATAAGTCAATCCAGCAACAGTGCCAGGATTGAGGGTCGGCCACCAACAAGGGCTTTGGGTTTATTTTTATATTTTCACAATGAGAAGTGTTGATGTATCTTTTATGTAAATGCCTTCTGCTCTTCTCTCCTTCCTCCAGCAAGGGTTCTGGCCAGTCATGGTCGTCATGTTTAGTTGCAAGAAGGGCAGCCTCTCATGCAGCAAGCAGCCATGATGGGCCATGTGGCTTACTATGTAGGATACATCACCTGTGTCCATCTTCTTGGGAGATTTCTCCTAGCACTTAGCTCTGGCTTCTTGAAAGTTATTTTATTTTATTTTATTTTATTTTATTTTATTTTATTTTATTTTATTTTATTTTATTTGAGGCGTAGTCTCGCTCTTGTCACCCAGGCTGGAATGCAGTGGCACGATCTCGGCTCACTGCAAGCTCCACCTACCAGGTTCACGCCATTCTCCTGACTCAGCCTCCCGAGTAGCTGGGACTACAGGCACCCGCCACCATGCCCGGCTGATTTTTTTTTTTTTTTTTTTTTGTATTTTTAGTAGAGACGGGGTTTTACCGTGTTAGCCAGGATGGTCTCAATCTCCTGACCTTGTGATCTGCCCGCCTTGGCCTGTCAAAGTGCTGGGATTATAGGCGTGAGCCACCACGCCTGGCCCTTGAAAGCTACTCTTAAACTTTTTAGCTAAATGACAAAAAGTTTTATCTTTTTGACCCCATTGCCTTTCAACTTCTTAGAAAATGCTCCATTTCAATCAAACAAGGTAGTTTGTTGCTCATAGTACTATTTTCCTGCTTAAAGACCTTCCGGAGCCCCTCTGCTCCCTGAAGCTTCCTCTGGTGGTCCTCTGAACCAGTATCTTTTTTCCTGAATTAACAAACTTTTTAGTAGATTTCCAAAGCACTTTAGTGAGTACTGCAGCTCATAAACTAGGATTAAAAACAACAACAACAAAATCTATGCCTTTTTTATTTCCTCCAGTTCGCTAGGCTTCCCCACAGCAGAATGATAGCATCAATAATTTATAATAATTCTCCAAGTAAACTAATCATGCAAACCACACTAATAAAACATTGTAAGCCTAGAACTGTGCTAATGACAACACAGTGGTTACAAAATTAATGATCTCCCTCAACTCTTTATCCAAAAATATCCCACAGCACTTTACGGTTTTAAGATATCAAGAAGCATTTTCCCTCTGCACAAGCAATTTGCTGGCTTCCCCCAGAAAGCACAAATGGCCAGGATAGGAAGTGTATGCTCAAAACTGGAAAATTACAAATATGTGAACCAGCTCTTGAAATTCCCCTTTGCACTGGATTAGAGCCAGGATAACGAGTCTTACACTTCCAGCCATGCATGAAAGATGTTTGGGGCTTTTTCTAATCCAAGACCCAGAGCACTTTTTCATGTTGACTTCCAGGGGACAAGGCACTAAGTGAAAGCATATCTTGCCACATGATTGACTTTTCTATTTTTTCTATTTATTTAAATGTGTCATCACAGCTAACCACATCCTTCATTTTATCCCATCCCATTAAGAAATACGATAAGAGATTTGAGCCCATCATTGGTTTTTTTTAAGTAAGGATTTAAACAGTAGACATGAAACAGAAGGAATAGTCAGAAGGCCTGAAATTGAGCACTATTCAAACACAGGTAAAAAGCATGAAATACCACCAAATCTGACCACCCATCGTACATTCACTTATCAATATGAAAACACTTCATCCACGGTAAAGGGCTTTGAAAATGTAAGTATTATTTTAAAGGCTATTATAAAATGTCCAATGAGGACTTTGAGCTAAGCATATTGTATAGCACTAAATGTAGTGTTGATAGGCACTCGGGATTTTTAAACATCGTTACTCATTGTTATTAAGATGAATAATTAGTGTAGCAGCTGTTGGTGAGCCAAACACTGATCTTTGATATGGACTTACCAGGAAGAAATGCCCATTTTCTCAGCCTCTTTCCTCTCCCCTCCCCTTGGACCCCAAAGCCACACAGGATGAGCAAAGCAGATCATGTGTTTGATGCATTGTATATGTGCAAACCAGACTGTGTACACATCAGTCTTCTTTGAGGAACTTGCACTAAGAGGATGGTAAGGAAGGAGCAAAGCTGACTGTCCGAGTTGACTTCCAATCAGGATATCCCAGCTGGAAGCAAGCCAGCTTCCGCTCCTTTGAATAAAGCAAGAAAGACGTGATCTTTCTTATAAATGAATGAACAATACCATCGGTGTGACCCCTTTTATAGGCTTCAGCCTTCAGTGTGACTCTAAGTCATTTGGTAACAAGTGAATTCCCGAAAAAGACTGGTCTGGCAATAAAGTCTGAATGTTCCAAAAGGCAGAATTAAACTGCCTAGTCATTCCTCTTCAAAAATCCACTTTTAAGTATTTCCTTTAACTTCAATGATTACCCTCAGGAGTAGTGAGAATCTAGGCATCTCATATACTGCTGACAAAAGAATGTGTGGGTGAGACCTCTTGGTGTCTTCGCATTACTTAACAACAAAAGCTTTCAGAATGTCCTTAACCTCTAACATAGAAATCCTGCTTCTAGGAATTTATCCTAAGTAAACATTTGTAACGTCACAAACACTTGGCTACAAGAACAATTTTTATAAAGCAATTTATAAGAAAGAAAAAATGCAAGACATCTTACATACACAGTAGTAATAGCCAGTTACATTCACTATAGTACACTCATATGATCACATATTTTGCAGTTATTAAAGAATGAGTATGCTTATTAAGAGTAATAAGAGCAAATATGTTTTCATTTTGGTAAATTTATATTTGTATTGGTTGTGTGTAGGAGAGAAAGACACACACACACACACACTTTGAGAGTCTAAACCCAAAAAATATAACCAGAGTTATTTCTGAATGCTAAGACTGTGTTTCATCTTTTTCTACTTGCTTATCTACATTTTCCCAATGAATATCTTTTATTTTAATAACAATTTCTTAGTTATGTTAAAAACCTGCAACCCGGAGCAGTACAAGATAGTTTTTGTTTTTGTTTAGTTTGGTTATTGTCATTGTTAATATTTTGTTTCTGGTTCTTATGTATGCTTTTTACTTGTTTGTTTGTTGTTTTAAAGGCAAGGTTATTAAGGTATGTTTAGCTCATGGACAAAAAGAGTTCTCCCAGCACATTTCCAGATTATCCTGCTTCGTATGCCTTTCCCTGCTGACCTGATGAAAGAGTTCTCAACTGCACTGGGGAAGAAAAATAACTTCAGGATGGAGAGTCAGAATAACCCAGATGAGGTTTACAGCCTGGGCAAGGGTGAAGGTTGTTGTGTGGACCCTTATGAACACAACTGAAGTTCCGGACTGGTTGGTAGTTAGCACACACCCTCCAGTTTCCATAATTGTACTTCCTTAGGCCACTGGTGTGAGATCCTTACTCTACCCCTTCTCCATGGGGTCATGAAGTTAATCCTGTTAAAACACATACACAAGATTAAATCATCTTTTCATTTTTCAGACAAGCACATAACACCACCCTGACACTGAGCAGATCATCTCCAGCTCCCTTCATATTATGCTACTGGAGACCAATCTTTATAACCAGAAGAGGAGGAGGAGGAGTTATTCTAACCTGTCGTTTTCTTCCTTTACATCACTTTTTCCTTTTAGGTCATATCCAAAAAAGGAAGGTAAATATATGTTTTAAATCATCTGCAGCAGTGTCTTAAATTATGTCATTTCTTAAAGGAGGAGGAAGAGGGAGTAGAGGAAGAAATAAGAAAGAAAACGGGAAAGAGAGGGAGGGACGTGGAGGAGAGGAGAGGGGAGGGAGGGGAGGGAAGAGGGGAGGAAGAAAGGGGACAGGAGGAGAAGGAAGGAAAGGAGAGGGGAGGGGAGGAGAAGGGAAGGGAAAAAAGGGGATAGGAGGGGAGGGGAGGGGAGACGAAGGGAGGGGAGGAAAAGAACATTAGTGATTATCTTTCTGGTTCCTTTTCTGCTGAAGCTTCACCTGTGAATTCTTTCTATGAGATCCACTACTGGGAAATTCTGGGAGCTCCAGGGAAGAGCTGCACAGCACATTTCTGGCTAAATAAATAAGGTTTTCTATCTTGATTTATTCATTCAGCGAGTACATGTCTCCATGTCAAAGGCTGACCTAAGAATCTTCCTTATAAAAATTCAGCAAGCATATCATTGCATTTTTTTTAATTAAAAGGATTGTGTGACAAGGGAAGCAGTATTCTACAGTTTATCAAGAATGAGTAGAGGAATCACTATACAAAGTATAATTTGTGCCTTTTTTCATATCTGACTATTCTATGTACTTTTTTTTTTTTTTTTTTGAGATGGAGTCTCACTCTGCCACCAGGCTGGAGTGCAGTGGCGCGATCTCAGCTCACTGCAAGCGATTGTCCTGCCTCAGCCTCCTGAGTAGCTGGGATTACAGGCATGCACCACCACACTCGGCTAATTTTTGTATTTTTAGTAAAGACAGCGTTTCACCATGTTAGCCAGGATGGTCTCAATCTCCTGACCTCGTGATCCACCCGCCTCGGCTTCCCAAAGTGCTGGGATTACAGGCATTGAGCCATCGCGTCAGCCTTTCTATGTACTTATTTTGTAGAATTCCTTCTCATCTGCTTAAATAACCATAAGTGATGAGAAATCTACCAAGTATAATATGACTTTTCATTTGCAAGTGTGTACCGCCCCAAGAAACATCATGGCGCCTTCTTCAAAGTACGCAGAGAGTACTCTTCAGATTGTAAGTCTGGCTCAAGAATAAAGAATGGAGAGATGTTCCTAGGCAAGTTGGAGGCTTCTAATCCCCACCCACACACTGCCACACCTTACCCCACATTCTGACACAGTCACCCAGACCCCTTGCTCTGTAGACAGACAAATTCACAGAAAGTCAGTATGTGCCTCAAGGCCCACCCTCAATAAGAACAAACGGGGTCCACTTAGAATTCTCCCCAAACCACAGCAATTTAATATCAAGGGCACCAAAGAGAAAAACAAGACAATTCCCATTTAGGACATAAATGAATACTACTGTTAAATATGATTTTTAAAGTCAACAGATAATTAAGAGGATATTTTAAGAACATTTGCCATTTAGATCTAACCTTTTGAAATTGGTGTCACAGTGGCCAAGTGCCAAGGGGCAGTCTCAGCAGCAGACTATTTACCAAGAGGGATCTTGCTCAGACTCTGTTTTACTCTGTGATGTTCACTGTATTACAGGAGTAAGTGAGGATCTGAGGATAGCTTTTTTTCATCTTGAGGGACCCCAAAGTTTCTATAAAAGAACGTGGGAAAATCCATAGGTACTAAAGGGAGTATCTTCTATCATTTCCATATTGTCAGTTGAAATAAGGAATAAGCATGTATATAGGTCAGCAGGCTTTTTCTTTGTAATTCTCTGCGGTCATCTCTCTTAGGGGCGTAACTACTGCTCTACAATAACAAAGAATTGGTGGATAATTAAGCTGCTTTACACAGAGAGGGTGTTTTTTGTTTTGTTTTCTTTTGTTTGTATGTTTGTATTTTTAATTTAAAAAGTGCATTCACAGCCAGGTGCGGTGGCTCATGTCTGTAATCCCAGCACTTTGGAAGGCCGAGGTGGGCGGATCACCTGAGGTCGGGAGATCGAGACTAGCCTGGCCAACATGATGAAATCCTGACTGTACTAAAAATACAAAAATTAGCTGGGTGTGGTGGCACATGCCTGTAATGCCAGCTACTCGGGAGGCTGAGGCATGAGGATCGCCTGAACCCGGGAAGTAAAGGTTGCAGCAAGCCGAGATCGCGCCACTGCACTCCAGCCTGGGTGACAGAGTGAGACTCTGTCTCAAAAATAATAATAATAAAATAATTAAAAGTGTATTCAGTGTGGTTTCTCAGTGCACATGGTGAGGACATGCTTCTGTAAGCCTGTTAAGTAAGAGTGCCTTCTCCAATTAAACATGCAAAGAAGGGTCTTTCCATTTCCATATTGAGAGAGAGCAAATAGAACAAATTCTATGCACTTAAATGATTATTTCAAGACTTAAAAACCTCGGGAACATTCTGATTCCAGACATCCATATAGCTCTTCACCATAGATGAGTCAACTCATTTCAACAATCACTTGCCCCCATAGACAAGGATGACACTCGATGATGTAGGAGATACACAAATAAGTGCTCATGAGTTTAAGGTATGTTGCCTTGGAGAGATTTTTCCAGGTGAGACTGATTTGGGTTTGAGACATGGGGGTAATACTTGCTTCCTCCATGATTACTAGAAAGTCTTTCCTCTCCTCCGTCCCCACACCCTGGTCTGATTAGTGCATGAGAAGACTCATGCGATCCTGCCTTGTGCTGGCCTAGTGGAACTTCTAACTCATTCCAAGATCTATTAGGTGACTTCAGGTGACTTTAGGAGTTACCAGGAAGAGGGGGAAAAATATGATGGTAGCCTACCTACACAGGTGTGGTTGAAAGTACCTGAGTCTGGGAGTCAGAAAAACGATAGGTTCAAATCCTAGCTTTTCCGTTTTATTTATATTAGGCAATCAGTCCTTTTGAACCTCAACTTCTCACCTATAAAAATGGAGAGAAATAAAACTGGTCTCTCACACTAGTTGTAAGAATTAAATGAAATTACATATAATCATTTAGTTACCAAGAAACAATACTGAGTAATACCACATGCCACTCATGTATGATAGTAATTTTATAACTGTTAATTCAATTCTTATCATATGTCAGCCACTGAGCTGGCATATATTATTTTACTTAATCTTTAAAGCAACCTATAGAATTAGCCTCATCTTACAAGTGAAGAAACTAAGACATCTAAAGGCGAAGAAATCTGCCCGAGCTTGTACAGTTTCACACCAAGAAAGCCTGACAATAAAATCCAGGTTCGACCAGTACCCTGGACTCTTCCCTGTGGAACAGTGCCTGATAATTGATAAGTGATTCATAAGTATTTACTGCTTCTGCAAGAGGGTCTGTTTCTTATTTTTAAAAGTTAAATCTAACTGATACTTTACCTATTGTTATTTGCCCCTGGAATACAGAGAAATCTTTATAGGAGAAGGAGGAAGAGGAATTTACAATCTGCTCCACTGGTAAGTATCATGAGCCACTGACAGGTTTTCGCCCTCCCTGGGTGCAAATCACAGTAGCCCTTCATAAGAAATACTTAGAAAGGGGCCGGGCACGTGGCTCAGGCCTGTAATCCCAGCACTTTGGGAGGCCGAGGCGGATGGATCACCTGAGGTCAGGAGTTCGAGAGCAGCCTGACCAACATGGTGAACCCTCCCCACGACTCTACTAAAAATACAAAAATTAGCTAGGCGTGATGGCGGGTGCCCGTAATCCCAGCTACTCCGGAGGCTGAGGCAGGCGAATCGCTTGAACCCGGGAGGCGGAGCTTGCAGTGAGCTGAGATCGCGCCACTGCACTCCAGCCTGGGTGAGGGAGCGAGACTCCATCTCAAAAAAAAAAAAAAAGAAGAAAAAGAAAAGAAATACTTAGAAAGTTGGTGTCTCATATATTATTCAGTTAGGAAGTATAGCGTCTCCCCTGCCGGCTTCACTGTATTGGTACTAGAAATGCCAGTGTTTGAAGACGGCTCAAACGCCAGGTACTTTAATTCGTTCTTTCGTTTGCCTTCGTAAGACACAGCGAAATGTTCCTGCGTCAGTGGATTCAGGGAATCCTGTGTGTTTTGCTGCCCCCTTGTGGCTATTTTAAATGTCTCTCAAGTGATTTATAACCTGGATTAAAATTTTCCAATTCAAACTCCTCACGGCGGAAGGTTAAGTATGCATTCTTGGTACCATTGCCTTTGATGTAAAACATGCACATACACTAGCACACTGAATTTTAATTTATCTCTGAATGATAGAGTTATGGCTAAATTCTCAACTGCACTTGAAAGAGATCTTTTAATTCAAACTTCCACAAGGTAGGATATTACTTGTCTCCAAAGTTTAATATTGGAGCTTGATCATTCACCATATTACCAACATAAATTGACCCCTGTATACAAAGGGACAGGAGGAAGATTGTAAACTTACCATTGTGTTACCTGCTTCCTAGAAAGATGTTAAACAATTTTAATACTTTAAATTGAGAGAGAAGAGAGAAGACCACACAAGACACAAGATACAGTCATTTTAAAAGGGTTTTTTCATCAATGCTGTGGAGATGCCAGAGATCGCAGCCACAGCTGAGAAGCGGATCAAGAAAGGAAAAAAATAAAACAGGAACCAAACTGATCAAAATATGCCTAACTTTTTAAGAGAAATATTTATTGGATAGTTTAAAATCAAGTTTGTTAATTTAAACATTTATCAACCCCTTCACTCCAGCTTTTCCGCGCTCATCAAAGAATTCCTACATAGGAGCCTTAACATTAAAGGGTTTTTTCCAAGAAATATGAAACAGATAAACTAATATTGTAAGGAACTACAATTATATACTATGAAACAATAATCAAACATTTGAAAAGAACTTTTTGCTGTTCCATTTTCTGTCAAAATTTACTCTCCTCCACTTCCACTTAAGTTAGTAAACTCTAAGTTTTGAAATAAATTGCCTTTGGATTAGCCAAAATGTTATAAAGTATAATTATTAAGGTGTTATATATTAACATACTTCATATATAACATATATGAAGTCTATATAATACCTCATATGCATTATATTATATAATAATATAATATATATCTTATATAGTATATATCATATATAATATAAACTTCCACAATGTAGAATATTTCTTTTCTCCGAAGTTTATTACTATATTATATATTGTTATATATTATATATAATAGCTCACATATAATACATTATATATGAAGTATATATTAATATATATCTATATATTTATGTCGTTATATATTATATATGAAGTATATAAATAATATATTCTATATGTAATATAGTTATATCATATATTATTTATATAACTAGTCTAATATATTAAATATTAAGCATATGTTAATATATTATGTTAAATAATATATATGATTATGATTATTAAATAGTATATTATATATTTAATACATTATAATATAGTATCACATAATATAAATTATTATATAAGGTATATGTGAAGTATATTATATATACCAAGTGTAATATACCTATATATTATATGTTAATTTATTAAGGTATAATTGTAAAACATTTAAGGAATGTAAGGTATATTTAATATGTAGTCAATGCATACAGAGACCTTGTTTTACTTTGTGGAAAAGTTGACACGGATGTTTGGGTATTAACAGGTTACAATCATTTAGTTACCTGGTCTGGATAGGAGATGGGGCACATTACTATAATTTGTAAATATTAGGGTACCCTTTATGAAAATTGCATTTCTTTTGATAGGAGTAAAGCAATAGATTTTATCCTTTAATTTTATTGGTTGCAAGGTTTCACTGCTATGGATCTTCTTGGGAAAATGTGCACACAATCATATACACGCAATTTTGCATTTAATTTTATGAGGCTCACAGCTCCTTAGAAGCCATCCGTGGGTCCTAGACACCCACGGCCACCTTGATCTGAATGCTATCCAGAGCTGTCCATTCAGCACCAGTGAGGCCGCTTGCATTGATGGAAAGAACACAGGTCCACCAGGCTGAGGGAAAGAGTAAAATTTCAGTTCCTATTATGTGGTGATGGGGATGTACAAAGCTGAGCACCTAAAGTGTCATTCTTGGGATGCCATATTCAAATTTCACTCAGGATTTTTTGATGTCAAAACAGTCTGATTTCCCTAGCCATAGGTCCATGAGAATACTGCCTATAGATTTTATTACATAGATATTATTACTGTCAACACTAATGGTACACCAACATAAATGTATCATTTAAAGAATGCACTACACCCTCAGTAAATTATTAAAATCAGGATATGTTACCAAAGGTAATTTTACAATTTGAAAGAGATGCAGTTTTCTGATGAAAAAAGATGGTTATTCCATTTCCTATGAGCTTGATAATTTCTTGCCTCAAAAGACATAATTCCTTTGGGGGTGAAGAGAAGAAATTTGCTGCATTAGCTGAATTGTTGGCGAAGGTTAGAATTATCATCTACCTGATATGAAGCAGATCATGACCATGGAAATACAATGGGAAGAACTGAAGCACAGCTTTTGTGCTGCTCATGTTCACAAATGAGACAGTTGCTTCTAAACCTTCTAGAAGCCATAGTATAAAATATGATTTCCCCTTTTGGATTTTTGCTAACTAATGAAGGATAATGCAGCACTCCACTGGGTTCACTTCTGTAAGGAAAATGAAAATTCATGTTACAGGCCCATGTGTATTATAAATCTTAAAATATTTCCATCTGCTTCTGAAGTTTCCATAAGAGAATGCCTGAAAGTCTTTTACAGATTAACAAGAGAGCACATGTAGAATTTCAGTGGAGGTTTGTCCCACCTCCCCCTGCCTGCCACCTCACACACACCTAGTAAATGTTTGGTATAATTTAGCTCTATTCACATGCAAAAGTTATTACACTTACATTTTCCATAACTTACTCTGACCACAAAACATTCATTCACTAACACCAGACTATCCAGAACACAGACGCTGTTTTCCTGTCTTCATCAGGACAGAATTGCCTTCACAGGTCTTCCAATCTGATGTTAGAAAATGTTGCCATCTCATGAATCACTGTAACTATTTAAAGGAGCTAAACCTAACTGGGTACTTTTTCAGTCCAGAGGCATGATTGCATTTCCAAATAATGGTGGAATCCGTCTTTGACATGGCTCTTAGAGAATGAATTCCTTTCTTTTGCTCCTTTGAATTGAGGCATAAAAGTAGTTCACATGCTCTATAGCTACTGGTTTCAACAAGTGAACCTGATTTTTTGCACTCTACCTGAATGGCATGGACAGTGCTGCCTACAACAACCCCCAAGTTTCAAAGGGAAAAAGACATCGTGCCAGGTGACAGCCCTCACCTTTCACATTTCTTAAGGAGTTCCCAAAAGGGAGGAACACATGGCCAGAGATCTCTTTTTCCCAATCCTCTTGTCCTACACTTTGCATGGAGTCAGTATGGGATCATCCATTCCCTCCAGCTGGGAAATAGAATTTGTTGCCACTGCTACAAGCTCAAGTTTATAGGTTCTGGCTCCTAGCCCCTCAATCCCCTACCTTTCCTTAGTTGGCTCCGCCAGTCCCTTTCACCTTAGGTCTCAGTCTCAGCCTGCCAGTCGTGGCTGTGACTGGCCCCTCTCCACCCCTACATGCTGGGGAGTTGGCCTGTAGCCCTGCTCTCAGACCTGGCGGCCCTACTATCTTGACTGCCGGGCCGCTGGGTTGCCTCTGTCTGGCCCGATGTCCCATGATCTCCTCCACTGCAATTTTTTAAAGTAACTTCAACTTTCATTTTAGAGTCACATGATGCATGTACAAGTTTGTTACATGGGTAGATTCCTTCACCGCCATTTTTATATGAGATCAAGTATAGAGGGAAAAGTTCAGGTCTCCTACTTACTCTTCTCTGTCTCCCTTACGTTGGTTCCCTGGTCTAAGTTTCTATTTGCACACTCTGTCTCAGTCCTGATCAAAATCCAAGTCTCTATTCTGCCTGGCCCTACTCTAACAAAACAAGAGCTCACCCTAAAGCCTGCCCAATTGCTGACGTCCTGGTGATCTTCCCCGATGTCCACTGGAATACTACCTGCCCATCCAACTGAGTCTCCTAATTCTACCCTTTGCAACGCCTCTGCAGTTGAACTGGCTGAGCTGGTCCTGACCCCTTATGGGATTTGGTCCTCAATAATTTGCTCTGGAGTTTGATCCTCAATGATTTGCTCTGCCTTTCTGGATCATCCAGAGTACCAAAGTCCCAGCTTATCCATCTCCCCACATTGGCCCATATAAAACATTGCTTCTCCTGCAAAACGGAAAGCCCAAAAACGTAGTCTCAGGGTCAAGAAAGTGAGAAAACCTTGTCTTTGTTTTAACACAAATCCAAAAGAGACAAGATAGAGAGGTTAGCCCCTCTCTATCTGTCTGGCTCGTCTGTTGACTAGCTGGGTAAACTTGGTTATTGAACCTCCGGGTCTCCTTTTCTCCAGTTGTAGAAAGGGTGTCAGTAACGGTTCTTGCCTTGTTGACAATTTTTTAAGGATTAAATGAAACAATGCTCAGTCATTAATTTTATTGTTGTTTCAGATGTTTCCTTTTAAAGTGAAATGTTATATTTTCTTTTTTTTAATTTTTCATTTTTGAGACAGAGTCTTGCTCTGTCACCCAGGCTGGAGTGCAGTGGCGCGATCTCAGCTCACTGCAGCCTCCACCTCCCAGATTCAAGTGATTCTCCTGCCTCAGCCTCCTGAGTAGCTGGGATTACAGGCATCCGCCACCACGCCCGGCTTATTTTTGCATTTTTAGTAGAGATGAGATTTCACCATGGATGGTCTCAAACTCCTGATCTCAGGTGATCCACCCACCTCTGCCTCCCAAAGTCCTGGGATTACAGGCGTGAGCCACCGCTCCCAACCAAAATGTTATATTTTCTTATTGACATTTTTAATATATTGAAATTATAAAACTGCCATATATTAAAAACTTTTTATAGATTTTGTTGTTCTGCATGTTGCAACACGTGCAGAAATGTGCATAACTGAAACGCACACACAAGGGAACGGTGTTCCATGGTTCCATGATAACTAAGATCATCACCTGCAAAGGGAGGTTTGCCTGCCTGTGACAGGCACGGTGCCAGATTCTTTACTTCTTACAATTTCCACTCCCCTCTCTTCCATACAGTTCTTAATCCTTTCTCTTATTTTAGGTTGAAAACTGAGGCTTAGAACGTTTAAGAAATTTATCCTCGGCCGGGCGCGGTGGCTCACGCCTGTAATCCCAGCACTTTGGGAGGCCGAGGCGGGCAGATCATGAGGTCAGGAAATCGAGACCATCCTGGCTAACACGGTGAAACCGCGTCTCACTAAAAATACAAAAATTAGCCGGGCGCAGTGGCGGGCGCCTGTAGTCCCAGCTACTCCGGAGGCTGAGGCAGGAGAATGGCGGGAACCCGGGAGGCGGAGCTTGCAGTGAGCCGAGATCGCGCCACTGCACTCCAGTCTGGGCGACAGAGCGAGACTCCGCCAAAAAAAAGAAAAAAAAAAGAAAGAAAGAGAGAGAGAGAGAGACAGAGAGAGACCGAGAGACCAAGAGACAGAGAGAGAGAAAGAGAGACAAACAGAGAGAGAAAGGAAGGAAGGAAGGAAGGAATTTATTCTCGACCCCAAAAGCTATTAGGCAGTAGAGCACAGATTCGAACCCAGGTATGGGTGGCGCCAAACACGACACACTTTCTACTGACATATGCTTTGTGCTTTCTCTGAGAATAAAGTTAGCGTATTAGTCCATTTTCATGCTGCTGATAAAGACATACCCAAGACTGGGTAATTTATAAAGAAAAAGATGTTTAATGGACTCACAGTTCCACGTGGCTGGAGAGGCCTCACAATCATAGTGGAAGGTGAAAGGAACGTCTTACATCATGGCAGGCAGGAAAGAATGAAAGCCAAGTGAAAGGAAAGACCCCTTATAAAACCATCAGATCTCGTGAGACTTACTCGCCGTCATGAGAACAGTATGAGGGAAACTGCCCCCGTGATTCAATTACCTCCCACCAGGTCCCTCCTACAACAGGTGGGAATACTGGAGCTACAATTCAAGATGAGATCCGAGTGGGGACACAGCCAAACCGTATCAGTAGAATAGCAAAGTATATATGTCTTTTAAGCCTCAAATCCACATGAAATCCTTTCTCAAGTATTTGATAAATTTGAAAAAAAAAGTTTATTTAAAAATATTTGAGGTCGGACACGGTGGCTCACGCCTGTAATCCCAGCACTTTGGGAGGCCAAGGCAGGTGGAGCACTTGAGGACAGGAGTTCGAGACCAGCGTGGCCAACATGGCGAAACCCCATCTCTACTAAAAATACAAAAAATCAGCCGGGCGTGGTGGTGTGCACCTGCAGTCCCAGCTACTCAGGAGGCTGAGGCAGGAGAATTGCTTGAACCTGGGAGGTGGAGGTTGCAGTGAGCCGAGATTGCACCACTGCACTCCAACCTGGGTGACAAAGGAAGACTCTGTCTCCAAAAAAAAAAAAAAAAAGAAAAAGAAATTATTTGTGTGTATTCAGTATTTAAAGCATAGCCCAGCAATCTATAGTGTTTTAGCATCAGTGGCCTAATCTCTGTTAAAAAAAAAAAAAAAAAAAAAAAAAAAAAAAAAAAAAAAGCAAATATTGAGTCTGCCTCTTTTTCTGATGTATTATATCTCAATCTTAATGAATACCCTGAAAATGTTTTTCAATATACATTGCATTTGCTATTTCAAAAGTGGTTGTCACTGTTTTAATCTCATAATACAGGATTTGCAATAGGAAAAACAAATTAGCCCTATCACTTACATGAGAGGGTGAACAAAGTTTTTAGTGTAATATACAAACTGAAAAATACGAACATTTTTTCGAAACATTGAGATGTGGCTCAAATGTAAGCTCTGACACGTTCAGCCAACAAAAGCCAAGTATTATTGGGCTTGAGGGTCTAAAATACCTTCATACTTAAAATTGCTGGGTTATCTTTCCTTTACATACATATTTGTTTAATCACATTTGTTGCAAAAGGGGTTTGATTAGAGGATAATACTAAGAAAAATGTATTGAGTGACAATGATGTGGCCGACACTAAGTGCTTACACTTACAGATGATATTTTATTTAATTCTTATAAGAATTCTAAAGTAGTTCTTATGATTATCTCCATTTTAAGGAGGAATAAATTGGGGGCACAGAGAGCTTAAGACATGTGTCCAAGATTTTAAACACCATACTTGGCTGTAGCTCTAGACTGGAGACCTATTCCCTTTTACTTTTTTTTTTTTAGACAGGGTCTTACTCTGTCTCCTGTCCAGGCTGGAGTGCAGTGGCATGATCACTGCTCACAGCAGCCTTGACCTCCCTGGCCTCAAGCGATCCTCCCACCTCAGCCTCCGCCAGCAGCTGCGACTACAGGCACATGACACCATGCCTGGTCAATTTTTTTGTATTTTGTTTTAGAGACAGGGTTTTGCCATGTTGCCCAGACTGGTCTCGAACTCCTGGGCTCAAGAGATCCTCCCACCTCAGCTTCCGAAATTGCTGGGATTACAGGGGTGAGCCACCGTGCCTGGCCCTTCCTTGTTTCAGTATCAACAGGAGCTCCATCTCTTGTTGAGTGAGTTTTCAACCAGTGTCATTGTTTTGAAATTATTATTCACCCATTTTATTAGCATTATCAAGTCATATTTCAACTCATATTATGCAAAAGTATGTCATGAATCATGGATGTTTCTGCACACAAATACAACTGTCAGAGAAACTAAATTAAAGCTCACTGGCTCCTTTGATTCTTGAGAAATTACTTAGATAAATGAAGAGAATTCATGTTCTTTGTTATTGGCAAACAGAGTTGCCACTTGCCCTAGGCTTGTGTCTGGAAACAGAGCTAATCTATCCTTCTCTATCAGCTACGATTTAGGGAATTGGAGGCTCTGGCAAATAGATATTTATGTTTATCTCCAGCAGTGACTCATTTGATTCCAGTGAAGGAGTCCCAAAAGCCAACCAGCTCAAGGAAAGGATGACCCATCCAAAGATCACTATCTGACTAGCAAGACTAATTTAGCCACTTTATGGTGGAAGTTGTGAATTGTCCAGAAGTTTTCTAAAGCACACGATGTCACTGGCTTGACTTTTCTGGCTGCCAAATTGCAAGAGCCAAGAGAGATGGCATGCTCCTGATAAACAGTTCTGCAGCTGTTGAAAGGTCAAGTGGTTTAGCAAGTTCTTGTCTAAGAACAACTCTTCGCCTTCCAGTCTGCAGGGTCATTCTGGATCATAGGAAAATGCTCTGAGCTGAGCTGATTACTTTTAGGCAAATAGCATCATGTTCCAAGTCTGCCTCTTGTCTCTCCTTGGAGGACAGAGAGCCACCACTTGCCAAGGAAGTTTTTGACCAGACTGTCAGTGCAAGGAACTCCAAGGACCCAAGGTGGGGCACATTAAGTCTCAGACAATACCAGAAATTTCCTGAATTTGGAGAGAGCAAAAGCAGCATTCTTTTAGATCATCTCTAAGCTTTGAGGTCACTATCTCCTAGACTTCCTTCGCTATGAAGCCTACACAATGTTTTGCATCCCTAAAACAGCATTAAATTTGAATCTATAAAATAATTTTATCTACAACTGATATAAATGTATGCAAGGATAAGGGTCACCTTTTCTCCTTCCCATTACTTCTTTTCAATAACTCTACAATTTAAAAGAAAAAAAAAAAGAGGCCGGGTGCGGTGGCTCACACCTGTGATCCCATCACTTTGGAAGGCTGAGGTGGGTGGATCACCTGCGGTCAGGAGTTGAGGCCCACATGGTGAAACCTCATCTCTACTAAAAATAGAAAAATTAGCCAGGCATGGTGGCACACACCTGTGTTCCCAGCTACTCAGGAGGCTGAGACACGAGAATCACTTGAACCCGGGAAGCAGCAGAGGCTGCAGTGAGCGGAGACTGTGCCACTGCACTCCAGCCTGGGCAACAGAGTGAGACTCCATCTCAACAAAAAGAAAAGAAAAAAGAAAAATGTGGCATTTAACCCAACATTAGAGTGCAAATACACTTAAATACACTTTAACACAAAAATCCTTCCATCGAATATAGATACTGTACTTTATACATCTAACACCACCAGAAGCACCTTTTGTCTGTAACACAGGGTAAATATCAAAAGTATTGCAGTAACAACTGAGGTCTGACAATCAAACATTCACAGCTGGATGAGACGAATAGACCAGCACTTCTTAAGCTATCATTTGAATACGAATCACCTGGGGATGGTGTTGAACTCCAGATTCTTCTCTGTATTGTTAATGAGCTCCCAGGTGATTGCAATGATGCTGCAGCGTTGATGTACAAGGATGGAGAAGGCAAGTTTCAGGACCGTGTAGAGCTTCTCAAACAACATGAGGACTATAGGTAACAAAATATGATTCACGCCCAATGTGCAGATTTTAGCTGCTCTTTACACAAAACCAAAAAAAAAAATTGGGTCATTATGTGACATGATGTGCATGTTAATTTGCTTCACCATAGTAACCTTTTTAAACTACATGTATCCTTGCACACGTATGTTTATTGCGACACTATTCACAAGAGCAAAGACTTGGAACCAACCCAAATGTCCCTCAATGATAGACTGGATTAAGAAAATGTGGCACATATACACCATGGAATACTATGCAGCCATAAAAAAGGATGAGTTCATGTCCTTTATAGGGACATGGATGAAGCTGGAAACCATCATTCTCAGCAAACTATCGCAAGGACAAAAAACCAAACACCACATGTTCTCACTCATAGGTGGGAATTGAACAATGAGAACACTTGGACACAGGAAGGGGAACATCACACACCGGGCCTGTCGTGGGGTGGGGGGACGGGGGAGGGATGGCATTAGGAGACATACCTAATGTAAATGACGAGTTAATGGGTGCAGCACACCAACATGGCACATGTATACATATGTGACAAACCTGCACGTTGTGCAAATGTACCCTAGAACTTAAAGTATAATAAAATAAAAATAAAAAAACAAACTACATGTATCTTATAACATCATGTTGTATACTTTAAATATACACAATAAAATTTATTTTTTAATAAACTAGAATAGCTGTGCCATATCTGGAAAGGGTTTCTAGGGCTAATGACCATTGAGTAAGTGATGACTGGGTTTGGGCTTTTTTAGGTTGTTTTTTTCGTTGGTTTTTTGTTGGTGGTGGTGGTTTTTGTTTGTTTTTGCAGAGTTCTAGCTCTAGCTTCATGTAGACTTACGTGGCTTTAAGCGGGTAGAGTGTGAACCAGTCAAACTGGAAATTCTCTGCTTGCTTCTTACTGGCTTGATGTACTCATTAAACAAAAACTGCTAGTTTAAAAAAGGCAACCTTTTGCTTCTCGGGCAACCTTTTGCTTCTCGGTGGCAGATTCCATTTCTCTGTTCCTATGCCCTGTACTTTTCTTTCAAGTGTTTCTTGCGGAACATTTGTTCCTATGTGGGCATTTCTGAAAGACATTGCTTATACTCTATTGTACTCAAGGAATACAGCTTTAGGACCAGGAGGACATGATTATGTGGGCAAATTCTAGCACTGCAAATTCCTGATTTTGGTTTATTGCCAGGCAAATCTTTTCTCTATGTTAAAGCTGGACCTGGAAGTGGGTAGGCATAGGCACCACAAAAATGGAAGGAAAGAGCTGCGTTGAGACAAGCAAAATATTGCTGGTGTTCAGCCCTGGGGAAAGTGGTTGAGGTCCTTCAGCTCTTTAAAACCTCTCCAAAACAATTAGACTGGTGTATAAAGATGTAAGAATATTTTTCAGAACAATCAAAAGGAAATAATCAAAACTTTCACCATGGAGGAGTAGTTAAAATGTGTATGTGTGTTTGTGTTTTAGGGAAACATATACAGAACTATATATATATAATTTTAATTTTTACTTCAATATTTTGGGGGTGCAGATGGGTTTTGGTTACAAGGATACATTCTTTAGTGGTGATTTCTGGGATTTTGATGCATCTGTCACCCAAGCAGTGTACACTATACCCAAGATGTAGTCTTTTATCCCTCAAGCCCCTCCCACACTTCCCCTCCAAGTCCCCAAAGTCCATTATATCATTATTATGCCTTTGTATTCTCATAGTTTAGCTCCCACTTATAAGTGGGAATATACAATATTTGGTTTTCCATTCCTGAGTTAATTCACTTGGAATAACGGCCTCCAGCTCCATCCAAGTTGTTGTAAAAGACATTATTTTATGGAGTAATATATTTTTAAGTGCATAAACAATTAACTTGGCCAGGCGCAGTGGCACACACCTGTATCTCAGCACTTTGGGAGGCTGAGGCAGGCGGATCACCTGAGGTCAGGAGTTCGAGAACAGCCTGGGCAACATGGTAAAACCCTGTCTCTACTAAAAATACAAAAATTAGCTGGGCGTGGTGGCACATGTCTTTAATCCCTGCTACTTGTGAGGCTGAGGCAGGAGGATCACTTGAACCTGGGAGGTGGAGGTTGCAGTGAGCCGAGATCGCACCATTGCACTCCAGGCTGGGCGACAGAGCAAGACTCCATCTCGAAAAAAAAAAAAAAAAAAACACAGAAACAAACAATTAACTCAGAATCGTAGAAAATGTTTATTTCCCTGTATGTATTCTCTAGGTTTTCTCAGAATGTATTATTTCAAAAATACAAAACAAAGCTATCTTCATTTGGAGGAAAAACACCTACTCAGCAAGTATTTATGAACCATGACCGTCTGGGGTGGTGGGGAAGTATAGATAGGAGATTTGTGAGTCATTTGTGTCAATGTTTAATTCTCTTCTGTGTCATTTTAATTCCAACTATGGCTTAAGTCTTTCAGGCAGAGATGGCCAATTTACCCTCTGTAGGATAAGATTATTTTGATCAAAGTGCTTTCTTTGACAAAACTGTAGATAATAAATAAATGGAAACAAATTTTAATATTAATTTTAATACTGTTTTTCCACTTTCATCATTGATTTTAATACATCGTTTCCACTGCCTCTTGGCCACCAATTTTGGAAAGTAGGAATAAGATCAGATTTTAAAGTTTACTGGCATATTCTAACTGTATTAGACTAACCAAGCATGGTAATTAGTTTTCAGACATCCTCACCATGAAGCATAACCTCCAACTATTCACAGTGGAAATTACACTGTGTGATTAACTTGGAGCTTCTGTGTGGGCCTTCTGTATCACTAAAGCTGGGGAAGTACAACTTCCATGAAAGAATTGCAACTACTATGAGATGCCCAGGCTATGAGCAACCCAATCTAGCCATATAGAGAGGCCACATGAAGCAAGAGATGCTCCACTGGCCCCTGGATATTCCAGCTCCCCTGGTCCAGACACCAGACATGTGATGGACAAAGCCCTCCAAGACTCTCACCCCAGCCACCATCTGACAACACATGCATGAGAAACACCAAACAAAACCACTCAGCTGAGCCCAGTCAACCCTCAAGATTGTCAGTAATAAACTGTTGTTTTAAGCTACTAAGTTTTTGGGTTTGCTGTGTTTAAGTACATAATCAAAACATCAAGAAACAACCCCAAAATGCTTTTGTTATTAACCCAATTTCCTTTCTCCATTTTCTACTTTAATTCAGTTTCCTACAAAATCTTGAGTAAACAGGGAATCATTCTGATGGGGCAAATTAGTATCAGTCAACATGAGGAGGGGAAAAGATGGAATTATCCAAATCAAAAGAAAAATACTTCAAAATCTAATTATATAAAAATCAAGAATGGCTGTGGAGAAGTGGATAAAATAACCTTCACATGTGATGTCTGAGAATCATGTTTGTTCATGCCCTCCCTCTCCACATACCTGCACCCTTATAGGAACTTAAAATTTGTAATGTCAAGGAAGGCCTGTCACTTAAGAATGATGAAGGATTATGACAGTCTTGATACAGTTTAGGGGAGAAGGACTCCAAAGTCAGCATAATAGAGTTCATGGTCCCTGGGAAGTCATTTGAGTAACGTACACAGAAGTAGAGTGAGCCCTCTCCTTTGGATTCTAACTCTTGAAATGATTTAAATCTGACGTGAAACACCAAGGGCTTTTTAAAAATCTACTTCTGATTCAGCAGCATCAGTCTGTTTAAGAAGCAAACTAGAATCCCATTACTGGATATACAACCAAAGGAATATAAATCATTCTTTTACAAAAATATATGCACGCATATGTTCACTGCAGCACTATTCACAATAGCAATGACATGGAATCAACCCAAATGCCCATCAATGATAGAATGGATAAAGAAAATGTGGCACATATACACCACAAAATATCATGCAGCCATAACAAGGAATGAAATCATGTCCTTTGCAGGGACATGGATGGAGCTGGAAGTCATTATCCTCAGCAAACTAACACAGGAACAGAAAACCAAACACCGCGTGTTCTTACTCATAAGTGGGAGCTGAACAATGAGAACACAAGGACACAGGGAGGGGAACAACACACACTAAGCTGGGAAGTAGGGGGTGGGGGGAGGAAGAACATTAGGAAAAATAGCTAATGCATGCTGGGCTTAATATCTAGGTGGAAGGTTGATAGGTGCAGCAAATCACCATGGCACACAGTTTACCTGTGTAACAAACCTGCACACCCTTCACATGTACCCTGGAACTTAAAATAAAAATAAAATTAAAAAAAAGTTTGAGAAAAACAAAAGCAGCAAGCTAGAGATAAATGTGTGCTTCCTGGTATAACTGGTGATCCACTCAAACAGGAACACTCAGGTCTAGCAATTTTTCTCTAAACTGGATTAATATGGATACAAGTCAAATGGATCTAGTCCCTCCATTTATAGGAGAAATCAGAGAACTGTGCCTTGTACTATATTTACTTGTACTAAGTACAACTATATTTACTTGTACTAAGTACAACCATATTTACTTGTACTAAGATTTTCTTTCCCAGAACATCTGGATCATGGCACTGACTGATCACGTAAAGCAAATATCCTAATATTACACCTATAGGACCAGGAAAAACTTGAATGACTAGTTTGGCCCCATAGTTCAGTGTCAGCAACACATGGAAGCCAAAAGACAGTTGGTCTTAATCTTTTCATTTGATCCATCTGGACTCATCCTCACCAAAAGCCATCTGATTTTAATAATAAAATCTTGGCCTTCACTTCCAACCTAGGCTGCCTATAATAATATTGAGTCTGAGGCTGGGCACGGTGGCTCACACCTGTAATCCCAGCACTTTGGGAGGCCGAGGCAGGCGTATCATGAGGTCAGGAGTTCGAGACAAGCCTGGCCAACATGGTGAAACCCTGTCTCTACTAAAAATACAAAAATTAGCCAGGGGTGGTGGCACATGCCTGTAATCCCAGCTACTCAAGAGGCTGAGGCAGGAGAATTGCCTGAACCCAGGAGGCGGAGGTTGCAGTGAGCCAAGATCGCGCCATTGCACTCCAGCTCTGGGCGACCAAACAAGACTCTGTCTTGGGGAAGAAAAAAAAAAAAACAAATATATTGAGTCTGAAGTAGACTAGAAATGATTTTTTTTTTTTTTTTTTTTTTTTTTTTTTTGAGACAGAGTCTCACTCTGTCATCCAGGCTGGAGTTCAGTGGCATGATCTCTGCTCACTGCAACAACCTCCGCCTCTCAGGTTTAAGCAATTCTTGTGCCTCAGCCTCTCAAGTAGCTGGGATTACAGATGTGCACCACCACACCCAGATAATTTTTTGTATTTTTAGCAGAGATGGGGTTTTGCCATGTGGCCTGGGCTGGCCTCAAACTCCTGAGCTCAGGCAATCTGCCTGCCTCTGCCTCCCAAAGTGCTAGGACTACAGGTGTGAGCCACCACGCTTGGCCTTGAAATGATTTTCTAATGAGTCTTCAGGGCGGCTGATATGGTTTGGCTGTGTCCCCACCCAAATTATTTTAGCTCCCATAATTCCCATGTGTTGTGGGAGGGACCCAGTGGGAGATAATTGAATCATGGAGGCAGTTTCCCTCATACTGTTCTCATGAGAGTGAGTAAGTCTCAAGAGATTTGAGGGTCTTATGAGGGGTTACCCTTTTGCTGGGCTCTCTCTCTCCTCTTGTCTACCACCATGTTGAGACATGCCTTTCGTCTTACACTGTGATTGTGAAGCCTCCCCAGCCACGTGGAACTGTGAGTACATTAAACCACTTTCTTTCGTTAATTGCACAGTCTCAGTTATGTTTTTATCAGCAGCATGAAAACAGACTAATACGACTGCAATACTGTTGTGTTGTTAGGTTTTGTTCTAGTCTGTTTGGGAAGTGCGGTGGTAGAAATAGGAAAAGCATAGAGAAAGAATAACAAGAATATATAGTCCAGGAAAGCTTTTACCGGGAGAGCCTTTTATACCATGTTCCTGGAATATAGGGTTTCCAACAACTCAATTAATGTACAGACTCACTACGCTTTTTAAAATGTCTTTTATTGGTTGTACATTTTCTTATGAGATCAACACACCATTTTCTTTCAAGAACACTTTGCTCCTGAATACTTAATGTTACTTGTCCCAGCTATGAAAGCCATAGCAAGCACTTTGACGGAAAAAGGTGGTTGGGTGTTTTTTTTGCCATTATCACTGTCTTCTCTATCGTTAAACTGTTGTTTGAGTCAGTTTGTAGATTGACACAACATTGAACACAACACACACGGTGTGAAGTTTTACACGCATATACACACATCTGGAGACCAGTTACAGTGTCTGCAGCTTGTTCCTTTCTCCTCAGCAGTATGAAACTGAAGAATATCCTGAGATAGGAAGTCAACGTGAAAGTTCCTCATTAAAAGAGGAGGTCAAGCTTGATTTAATCTCCCAATTTCATTTTCTTTTTGAGGTGGTCAGAGGGGACCCAGAACGGTAGCCAGATGAACCGTGGAACAACCACATGGTTTAATATCTCAGCTGTTTCCTTGGTCAAAAACACAGATTCACAGAAATATTTCATGGCACATCAGAAACCTACTTTTTAAAAATATGATCTTGGATTAGAAAGGAGGGAAATGAAAAGGTTGTTTTTTACTAGATGTGATGGGAAATCCCACCACAGAATGACCTACATACTTGTAAGGCAAAATTACCCTCACCTTTGGCAATTATTATACTTCCTTGTCTACTGACTGATAGAAGTCAATCATCCAGTCTTGTCCCCCATCAATGTTATTTGCATGAAAAGATGAATTTCTCAAGAATAGGGACCCAGGACAGGTGGCTTCTCCAAATGTTAAAAAGAAACATAATTTCTTTAAAGCTACATTATCCCTCAATTCAGTATATTTCTGGGAACACTAACAAAACTTAACCTATGTTAACACCAATGCTTATATCTACTGCAAGTCCTGCATACTGGCTATTTCCTTGGCTTTGGGATTTGGAGATAACATCATTAATAATGATAAACAATAGTTCAAATGAAAAAAAAAATGCACACAACCTGGGTGACAGGAAAGCTAGCCTAAAATGAAAATGTTTGGAGCCACCAAAGCCAACAGGCAAAGAAAACAAAGGCATGCTGTCCCACAAAACAGGTATTTTAAATACAATCCTGAGGCCTTATTGAAGTTATCACTTGATGCTCATATATTTCCATATAGAAAAACACAGTTAGATATACACCCCCAACTCCTTCTTTCCTTCTTCAGCTCACAAGCAAAGAGTTCCCAAAGGCCAGAATTTAAATTTAATATTCACCTCAAGAGCATGGAAACATTCCACCCACATGCTTTACAGGTCTTTACTTTATAAACTTCTAATGAGTTTCATGCTCTACAGTTCAGCCTGCCTCATTCACAAAGAGACAATGCGGCAATCCGTAAAGAAGAGATGATTCCAACCAGAAAAAGCTGCACCTGGCAGGAAAGATGGGAGCCTCAATGAGGGAATCCACTGAATAGCATTCATTCTTTTATTTTAAACTCTCCAGAGACACTACTTTGAAGTGCTGGAGGTGGGTTTTGAAAGACAGGGGTGCATAGGACCTCTCCGATATCCTTTCAGAATATTTCAGGTACCAAGAAGAGGTAGCAAGCTCCTAACTAGCTTATGGAACTACCTCATTCTAGCATCAGGGCATTTTCCACTTGCCCAAAGGCTCTCTTTGCAATAAACATGGTTTGAAAATAACTTTAGGGTGCAACAGGCAAACAATCAATCATATATACAAATAACATGTGTCTATCACAAAATTTACAGAAGGTAAGAAAACGTGTTGTTGTGTTTCCTTACAAAGTCCATATTAATAAACGGAAGCAGCATTTTCAGCTATGAAACTGAAGCACAAAGAAAGCTGAAGAAATCCACCTCTTTTATTAAAATTCTTGTAAAGTTCAATTCCATAAAGAAATTCTAGTGTCTCATCAAGATTTTCACAAAATATATAGAAAACTGTTCATGTATTTAAATAATGTGAAACTACATTCCTAACACCTCTTTCAGCTTTAAATGACTCAATTTGATGATTCAGTATCATAGGAAGTATGTCCTAGTTGTGTAAGCAAATTACACAAAAAAATACTTTTCCTCTAAAAATACCTATTATTCTATTAAAACATCATTTCAGTTCATATAGAAAATCAGTCCACTCAGAAAATAAATTTGAGACTAAAGAATAAATCAAACACAGAGGTAATACAGGAGATAAACACAATTTTCTTAATCAAACCTCCTCAAGTGGCTTTTATGCAGATTGGCCAAGAACACTATAAACTGCTGCCCAATGTAAATTTTTGGCACATATAGTTTTCTAAAACAGTTGCTGTGAAACCCCAGCTATTAAATTTGCTCTAGTGGCAAACAGAACACTGTCAGAATTCACCAGACTCTTTATGTGTGTGTACAAGGCACCTGATATGACTCAGCTGGTGTTTAAGCATTCCCTTGTGTGCAGTTCATGACAGATACACCACCATAGCTTCCAACTTCTAAAGGCTGTACCAGGTTTCCATTACCCTTCTCCACCTACAACACCTTTGCAAAAGGCAGCAAGGGGTAGCTCTGTTAGCTTGAGTCTCAGACCGTACCCCTGTCTGTGTCAACATTGTCCAAAGGATTTGCTTTTTTCTGATAGGTCAATGAACAAAAACGGTAACTCCTGCCTCTGCAAACCTAGAGATGCAAAAATTCCACTGCATATGAAGAGCCCAGTCACTCCACGCCTTGTCACTGAGACGGTGAACAAAGATCAGGTCATTCTCAACCACTTTAGGAAAATGTCGCATGTAAGGATCTATAATGCATGGCTGTCATACAACAATTCCTTGCATTTTTCTTTCAAAATGATTTATGCTCAATTAAAATTAAATGACCCTGTCTTCTGGCCACCTATCTCCCTATCTCTGTGAGCATACTCAGTACGGCAAAAGCCAGGGACTCACAGCCGTGGTTGGCTATAAAATTTCCCATATTTGAGACTGTTTAAAGTCCTAAAGTGGTCATTTAATCCAACGTTCCCAAGTTTTTAATGGCCACAGAGACTTCCAGTTAAAAGGAACAATACTAGAAGCCAGATATTCTGACTGGAGGTTGACAGAGGTTCAGATAGGCAGAGTTCACCTTCATCACACTCTTTTTCCCTTCTGTTCACAAGAGACCCTCAGGGGCACCACTGAATATGGTCTGAAAACCACAGCTGTACCTCGCTCTTATCTCCCCAAGTATTGAACATACAACAGGACAAACAACTTGAGATCAGAAAAATAAAATAAAATAAAAAACTACTCCTTCCCCATAATTCATGGCTTCTGAAACTTCAAACTAGCTTTCAGTATTATATTTTAAAATTATAAAATCTAGTTCATCTGGTGAAGACCTGTAGTGTATTTCTAAGTACATTCACAGTTCTCTGAATTATGGGAAAGAAGCTTGCTCATCAGGTAACCTTCTCTAACATTCACCTTTCTTAAAAATGTCTGCCCTCTGGAACAAAAGGTTAAGGAGCTCAGGCTTTGGTATTTGTGTTTCTTTACCCAGAGGTGGCTGATGGATGAGGGGTATATTCTCAAAATGCTTTAGGCATATCGTTCCTTTTTCTCAACCATCAAATTTCCCGTTAATCATTTACTTTTGTTCAGCCATCTGTCTGAAAAGGTAACTCTTTCAAATCAATAACACTAGGGATACAAAAGAAAATGTTCTGATGCCCAAATTAATGCCACTCTCTGAATCTTCTTATAGCTCAGTATTTTTAAGGAAAAATAACAATAAAGGTTTGGCTTTTTGATGGGTTTTCCCATAGGAAATCATCTCTATAATATAGCAACACTGCAAATAAATTAAAAGATATACTTGTCTGCCAGCTTTTTTTTTTAATCAGCTTGCTCCTTCAAGGGGTTCCTAATTTAGCACCAACCTTTGCATTTATCACTTCTTCCAGCCCCCAAACATGACTTCACATCACTGTTCAGCCTTATATTCCAAAGTCCAGCAACAATCCCCTAAGATAGTGGTTTGGCTTACTTTGTTGAAATATCTTGCAGACTCCAACACAAATATTGATAGTGACCAAATGATGCAAATTACCCATTTCTGACCACAATAGAATATTACTTAGTGAAATCAGATACCCAACCTTGCTGCTCATCTTTAAAGGAAGTTCTTATTATAAGGTCGCATGTTTGGAATGAGGGTTTTGCTTAAACTTTTCTTAGATAGCCCTTAAATTTTTAAGAACTGGAAACAATAGGGTTCATTTAGGCAGCCTGATACAAAATTGTTGACTTTGATTTTTGTTATATGAAAATGGCCAGATCAGTTCCTTACCACAAAAGCATTCAGTCAGTCCAGGTCATCTGTGACCGGCAGAGAAATAACAAGCAAATTGTAGCAAAGGAAAACAGAAAAGACTTTTGAAGGCCTGGTCTAAGCTACAAACTCCAGAGATTACTTAGAAAGTTCTGTTTCCCACATTAAGACACAAGTAAGTGCCTAAACTTGCCAATACGCTCCCTGAATTCAGCCTCCAGGCCTTAAACATTAGCCTCCTTCCTTGAAAAAGACCCTGAATCTCAGAAATGCAAAAGTGTAAACTGGAGAAAGCTATGGAGCACATCAAGATTAACTGTTCACAAAAAAATTCTGTTCATACTGACAACATCTAAGAAAGAAATACAACACAATTCTTCCAAAATTTAACTGTAAACTCCCAAAAATAAAGGGCTCAATGTCCAAGTTCAAATGATAATACAAGTGATGTCAAGATACTGAAAGTCCCAAGGAATTAGGCTGAGTATTTTTAAGTTCTATTAACACGTGTTTGTGTTACAAGATGATACTGATTTCTTACCAACAAAAATTCCCTACTACAAAATTTTTTACTTTATGTTTCTGCTTAGGCTAGCAAGTGCCTTCATCACCTCTATAGCAAAGAGGCTTTCAGAGGAGTTTTGCTTGAAAAAGAAATCTGGGTCAGAAACTGAAAAGATTACCTTCCACTAAAGCCTTGATTTCAAACTACTTCATTAGAAAAATCTGTAATAGTACAATATTTGCATAGCTGTAAACAGTGACTTTCTAAACCTCAGAAAAATAACACATCTTCTATGTAGTCACCAGGAACAGGTAGTGAGTGATGTATTTGGTGGCAATGTGCTTCCCCTGGAAGGATAATTTCATTTTGAAGGCTCTGAAATTCAGGTTTTATTTCCCTAGGTGAAGAGCAAACATTCTTTTAGGTAAGTTGCTGGATCAAATACTTCAATATGCCCTGTTAAGGAGTTTCCAAGTATCATTCTAAGCATAATGTATGTTTGCCTAATGGTGCAGCAGGAAAAAGAATATTTCTGAATAATAAGGAGACTATAGCTTTAACCAAGATGTGTGCTATTGTTCTGGAAGAAAAAAAAATGAGAAAGCTTCGGTCACTGGCAGACTGTCCTTTTTATAGCATTCTGTATGGCAAAGAGGGTGCAAGTCCTAACAGAAGGTGAAGCAAATTACATAGCTGTTCTCGTTCTATAGGGAAGACAAGATTTCCACTAGAGGCTTCAGGGCCCATAAATTCAACTAGGGCCAGCAACCCAAGAAAATCACATCAGAAAGGAGGCATTTTGCATAGGCCCCTTAAAATTGAAATTTACTGATGATTTAAAAAAAGAGAAGTACTCCTCTCACTTTTGTGGGACAGCACAAAATGAGTAGGCCTGAGTCTTCTGTCGCAGTGAGAACAGGGAGCTTTAAGAACACCTGAGAACAAATTTTGTGACTTCAAACTACTCTTTCCTACTTCCTTAAAATGTGAACAAATAATTGAGGTGGCTAAGTTGAAAAAGGTTAAGAACTCTATCTGCCTTCTTCTACGTTTGAGGTAAGTCTGACCTCCCAAATTCCCCAATCTCAGTACAAGTCAGGGAATAGAGAGATTGACTAGTGTCTGGGTTCGTGATTCTCCTTGTGTATAAACCACACTACAGAAAGAAAGAAAGAAAATGCAAATAACCTAAGCCAAGGATACAGTTAACAACTAAGAGAACTGTGACATTTATTTCCAAATTGAAGTAAATTATGTTGGTGATTGCATAGAAATGGAAAAAGTAAGTACTTCAGTTTGATCTGAAGAAAATTGTTCTATCAGCTTCCAGAACAATTCATACTTACCTGAGGACATTAACAAGCAACTTTCATGGGACTAAACAGTCCTCATCCTTTCTGAATCCAGTTTCCTATGTCCATCTTCCTAATCTGCCTCAACAGCAGCTGAGCTCAATAGTCACTAAAATGGAAGAACTCTACATATCTAGTTAATCAGAGTTTTATATTTAATGCTCTAAGACTGGTGTTGGCAAACCATGGCCTGTGGGCCAAATTTGGCCCATTGCTTGGTTTGTAAATAAAGTTTTATTGGAACACAGCCACCAGGCTCATTCATTTGTGTATTGCGTATAGATGCTTTCATGATACAACAGCAGAGCTGAGTAACTGTGACAGAGATGGTATAACACACAAAGCCAAAAATATTTACTATCTGGTCCTATACAGAAAAAGTTTGCCAACCGTGGTCTAGGATGTCACAGTCAATATTCTACAGAACAGAGCTACTAACCCCGTGGAGTATATAAACTGCAACCCCCTCCCAACAACAACCAAAAAAAGTTTGCAAAATTATGTGCTTCATATACAATGTAAATTTTCCTGGGGAAAAGGTCCTAGCTTTCAACAAATTCCCAAAAGAATCCATAGTACCCAAATTAAAGCCAAAAAAAAAACCCAAAGAGCATCTTTAGCTGTCAGCACATTTAACAGTGCTAGAGGCACTCAAACACAAGAGGAACATAGACCTCCGAGAATAAAATAGCTTTCTTTCTATTCTATCGGGTCTGGTAGCTCCTTCTTCCTAGATTTTACTCTGGCATTTTTCCATCTGACTATGTAAATTTTCAGAGGCCTAATTGAAAACTGCACCTTCCATTTGAAAAGTTAAAAAAAAAAAAAGTCCTATGAAGTTGACATTTATTCAAATACCTTTTCACTTGCTAATTCATTAAAAGCAGAAGATCCTTTGAGCCAACAAATCCCTCTTCAAGTCATAGATAGATGTTAAGGCAAAATCCCAGCACAATTGACATTTAATCCATTTTACTAGATCTGACTACCAGCTCCAATAAATTTTGTAAATATATAAATCTTAGCTTCGAGGGCAGAGGGAGTAACACAGCCAAAACAGCATTTGGGTAGGAAATTAGGAACTAGGTATCCATTGTCCTTTCAGGCCAAAGAAAAAAGTGTTTTGTTAGACACTTTTAAGAGAAACAGAATTGTTTCTCTGAGCATAATTAATAAAGCCCCTTGGTCAACAAAGACATTTTAGTGATAAATTATGCAACATTAACCCCTCTCTGCCTCCTTTGAGATTATAATTCCCAAGACACTAAATCAAGTTCAATGAGAGAAATCAGGAACCCTGTCCATCTTAGCACCAGCCTCCTCCAATGCTGGGGCTTTTGAGTATTGCATTTTTCTAGACTAAGACACTACGGCATTGCAGGGCTGATGAACAGCAAAGAAGAGTAGGGTTGCAGTTAAAAAATGAATTAGCCAATGGCAAGCAAGAAGAATACTAATAATAACAAAACAAAGAGTGAAATAATGTGGAGAGTTGAGTGGCCAAGAATTTCATTTTGAGGGTCACCAACAGCAGACAGTGCAAACATTGGCATAATAGATATCTGTGGTCCCCAAATTATGTACTGAGCTATTCCAAGGTACCACAGAACACACACAGGCTAAGCAAGATGTTGTACATTTTTTTTTTTTTTTTTTGAGATGAAGTTTTGCTCTTGTTGCCCAGGCTGGAGTGCACTGACACGATGTCGGCTCACTGCAACCTCCGCCTCCCGGGTTCAAGCAATTCTCCTGCCTCAGCCTCCTGAGTAGCTGGGATTACAGGCATGTGCCACCATGCCCAGCTAATTTTGTATTTTTAGTAGAGACGGGGTTTCATCATGTTAGTCAGGCTGGTCTCAAATTCCTGACCTGAGGTGATCCACCTGCCTCAGCCTCCCAAAGTGCTGGGATTACAGGCGTGAGTCACCATGCTCAGCCAATGCTGGAAATTTTTAAGGGAAATATAGTGATATATGCAGGACACTGTGCAAACTGCTATTATTAAGCTGTTGGGACCTAATTACTTAAAACACTGAACTATTAAGTATATATTTTGACCTGGGGCACCATGAAAAAAGTACCAAGACAACTAATGGCACCCTGAACACAGAAAGTTTAGGAATCTCTGGCACATACAATTTTTTGTTAGGCTTGAAGGATATACAAGAACTGTAAAATACAAACAATTTCAAGCCATGCCCATACATACTCGTTTCCATTTCAGATGGCTTAACTGTGATAAAAGCTGCTTATTTAACCCATTTGTTCTGATTAAATCAGTGTGACCAAACACAGTCTTTAGAAAAAATAGATTATTCCCCCACATCAGGACCTTCAATCATAGAAGATAGGTGACTTTCACTTGCAAAATCCGTGATGACCTGATATTTTATCAACAAACATATACCTTTATGGGGGTTCTATCTCCTTCAAAGTAGTCATTTTGGGAGATTACACTTATTCTGGTGGAAGAATGACTCTGGTTAAAAATAATCATGCACTTTGGGCAGGGGTGGTGGGGGCGGGGTGTGGAAATCTTCATTTGAAATTATCTTCAGAGCCCATGACATGGCGTTTTACAAAGAGTCAATGATGCTAAAACTCCAGCTCTGAGGGAAGATTTAACTTCTAGAAATTGTCAAACACAACTTTGTGCAAAATCTGATAAACAAGGCAGGTAAATCAAAGAGGGAAACATCTGCTAAGGATTTTTGTAAAAAGCAAAACAAACAACAACAAAACCTAAGTAAGAATTCTCAAATGATGACACACATCTCAGAGGAGGGAGTGGATTCTAAAGCCTTTTCTGAAAGAGGAGTGGCAAAAATAATTTAATAGCATTATGAATATAAATATGTAGTCTCTCAAGATGGCTACTCTGGTGGGCAATATTCACTCATACGTACAAACATAGGGTAATAGTCTTAAAAGTTATGCATATTACTTTTTTTGGCACACCTCTTAAACCAATAATATCAAAAAAGATGGCTATTTTAATAAACATTTTCAAAAATTATAACATGGACAATTATATGATACAAAATCAAATACATCTGGGGAAATAAGCATGATCTCTTTTGTAGAGCTATACTGATTTTGTAATACATTGATAGGTGTAGACAGGGCTGATATTCAGATGGTCTATGCTGGTGGGGCATTAACTATTTTGAGGGTCATCCGTGAACACAGATGTCTTTATATATAAGTCTATATGTACAGAATACTCCCCATTTATATATAGTTTAGGTATCTTGATTTTTTCAAAAGTTGGTTGATTGGCACTTACAACACAGTTTTCCAAAAACAAAACCATGCTCTAAAATTTAGTCTTGTGAGGCTATCAGGTCATTCTTTTGACTTTACCGTGTAAGATATTTAATAACAGTGCAAAATATTGCTTCTCTGGGGAAAAGGTGTTCTACACTTCCTATCAGTATCCCAGGTACATGCCTTCTCTCAGAGTGACAAAGAGATTTCCACTGATGAGGACAGGGAAAGAAATAGGACCTGTTTTTGTTACTTTCTGCAATGGCATGTTACTCCCTGCAAATGTTCAAAAGAAAGTAAATTTAAGTCAGTTCTCTTTAGAAGGTACTAGATAAGTGTTCTGAACCCAGCTTCACATCAGAATCACATGAAGGTGTGTAAAAAACAAAACAAAACAAAAAAACACCAATTCCTAGGCCCCACCAGTTAAATCCAAATCTCTGGTGGCTGGAACATTGGCAGCGACAGTGTTCACAGCTCCCAGATGGTTCCAATGTACACGAGGGTTGAGAACCATAGACTAACTTTTTCTCTACTCTACTATTAATATGATTGTTTTTGCAACTTTGGCCTAGGTTCACAGATGGGAGAGGCATACATATGAGAAGTTACACATTCTGTTTAGAATGTCTCAAAGTGGAAAAACAGGTAAGAGTAATCGGACCTAGACCAGAGAGACAATTTGCTCTACATCGTTCACCAAAAGCTAAAATGGAGTAACCGGATTTTTTTTCCTATTGCTTCCTGTTTTCATAGGTGGGTGAATAAAGTAAGGAATACAATTGTAATTTTTCTCTTGATCTCCAAGAGAAGAACTTCCAGATTTAGGAAGATAGATGGGAAAGTGAACAGCCATAATCACTAGGGTGATACTCCTTTTCTGGCTAGAATAAAATGAGGACAGAGGTAGCTTCAGAGCAGAGGAAGCTCATGTTTAATCAAGCAGATATATCTTGGAACTGAATATGAAGAAGTGTTCGGAAGTGTCACGCTCATTCTGGGCAGGAGCAACTCCTCCTTGTCAAGAACAAGGAGGAAAAAATGCAAACAGAGAAAAACATATGATTGCACTTCAAAATCTAAAAGGGGAAGGAAGAGAGGATTCAGGGAAGCAATCCTCTCCATATTGAACTTGAGGCCAAGAAAGAAAAAATAAGGTTTTTTTTTCTTCTTTTTAAAATCAAAACCCTCTGTCCTTCCTTGTCCAAAAGCAATGCTTCCTGGTTATTTATCATAGGTCTATATTTTCCCTGTCAATTACTTCACTCCTTGATCATCAAGAAACCTAGAGCTACAAATCATAGAACCTGTGGGTATATTTACCCACGAGAAAGAACTTTTGCTGTTTAGTCAACTTGCTAGGAACTCCCAATGAAGCTCATCTCCTATAGAGGAGCCAGCTATTGCACGCTGCTGAAGAAAGATGCGGCCTCAACGCAACTTGTGGTCATCTGGTAGTCCATGCCCAGGAATTAATTCAACCTTTCCCATTATTTCCTCATCTTATCAAAGAATTACTCACTACCTTTCATTTTCTCCTATTCTAGCCCTTCTATGAATAGTAAGGCTGCTTCACTGAAGAAGAAAACAAACAAACAAAGCCAAAGAGTACATTAACTACAAAGGCAATCCTTACAACTTACACATGGCAGGAGGGACAAACGCAGAAGAAGGCACCATTTTTTTCTGTGATTTAACACATGTCCCCCTCAAAACTGACAATTGTCCTCCTTACCAAACAGAGATGCTCATAGAAACCACTTGGCAGGACTTGTGAATTGCCAAATAGACACACAAACACACACATACACACAGGTAGATGAATAGGTAGGTGGATATAAAATCATATTACAAATCACTTTCCACTAATACTATACCACAAGTGTCAGAAGAACCAAATGTTTTACTCTTTGAGCTGTTATATGAGTGATTTTTATGTTTTCCAAAGTTGGGAAAAAGAGTATGACCAGAGCATCTTGTCACTTCCCCTAAAAGATGTGGTGATCACCCAGGATTGGGCAGATGTTTGCAAAAATGGCAGCAGTCACAACAGCTGGAACAGACATTTCACAAGAAGAGCTCCTTTTTGATATTTTTATAATATTCTCAAAGATGCATATTAAATAATTTCTTCTGGACCACAGACACAATTGAACTTAAAAAATAAAAGCCCTATAAATATTGCTAACCCAACCTTATATTTTTTTTTTGAATCTCCCTTCTTGTATAAAATGGAATCTTTTCAACCAAGCACTTAAACATAAATATTAAAATAATAAATGGGACAAACTACAAATCTACTTATAATTTCATCACTACCGTAGCACCTTTTTGTCAGGGCCAATGCATTCATTTTGTAAAGAATAAGAGAAGTCTGAGAAGCTTGAGGACTCATATGACACATCATTAAATATTTAATCACCTTTTGAAGTCCTAAGCCTTTATCATAATTCATCCATCTAGACAGTTCATTCTATACTATAGATTCCAAGGCCCCCTTAAGAGGGGGAGTAAAAAGAAAATTGGGAGAGAAAACCCTCTGAGAGGCAGGGTTAAATTATCTCAAAGATGACTTTCTATTGATGCTGTAGTGAACTTGCTTCACCCCGAAACCCACCAATCCACAGTAGGGTCAACCGATTAAGTCCACTGCTTTTTAGTCTCCAAGAATCAGTTTTACAAAAGATGCCACATCTGTTCCTTTGGATTCATGTAGGGTGAAAAATGGATGTTGCTGGAAAAGAAAAAGAAAAAACATGGTATTAATGTCTTACTGACAATCAATATATGAGATTAGCAAATGAATAGATCTGCTTGGTACAGGGATTAAGTATCCCTATCAGAGCTAGGCTGGGCTTTTCCTACCCTTTCCAAAATCAAGCACACATCTAGTGATGCAAACATTTTAAAGATATCTCTTAGTTGTCACTCTTTCCATCTTGATATCTCTAGGTTTCCACTATATTAAATTTTAAAAAAAAGTGTAATTATGCTACGTAAGTCTCATCTACAGCAAAATACAAAGATTGACAAAAAACAACCCAAACTCTGATTTACAAATAGCCCTGGGCCCCACAAGGTCATTTTAGGCTAATATAGTAGTAAGATAATAAGACAATTCATAGGTGTATGTACTTTTTTCTTTTTGAGATGGAGTCTCGCTCTGTTGCCCAGGCTGGAGTGCAGTGGTGCGATCTTGGCTCACTGCAAACTCTGCCTCCCGGGTTCAAGTGATTCTCCTGCCTCAGCCTCCCGAGTAGCTGGGATTACAGGTGCATGCCACCATGCCTGGCTAATTTTTTATATTTTTAGTAGAGACAGGGTTTCACTGTGTTACCCAGGATGGTCTTGATCTCCTGACCTCGTGATCTGCCAGCCTCGGCCTCCCAAAGTGCTGGGATTGCAGGCGTGTGCCACCATGCCCGGCCAGCAGTATGCACTTTTATTTCTCAGGAAAAAGATGATGGAATGAGAAGCCAATTTTGTTGAACAGTAAACGTGCAAGGAAGGTAGCCCTCGCCCTTGACGTTGGAGAATTGGTTTAGACTAAAACAGTTAAAGCCATTTGCCAAGCCACGAGCTTTATTTATGTCTCTCCTGATGAAGAGTTGATCCATCTGAAAAATAATGTAGACTGCCAAACTCTAGTTATGTGCAGAGAAAACTGAACTCGGAGATTAAAGATTGAAAAGGGAAAAGAAGAGTCTCTATCCTCACAGCTCAGAACAAGTAAACTCTAAAAACATAACAAGTCTTATGCTTTGCTAGGGGAACAAGCATGGTATGTGATTCAAGAGGCCATGCATTTCAAAACAATCCTGAGCAGGAAGCCATTTTCTCTGCACTAGAACAATTCTCCCCAGATTGCTCAATTTTGTTACAATAAGTGCCCAGCTCTCACAGTGGAACCTGCCACCTCTACTTAGAAAGATATATCAGGTCATGAGCCACAGTTCTTATAGTGGAAATAGAACCAACCAAACCTACCCCAAATGGATAATTCTTACAGGTAGAACTTAGTCCCACGTGTCTCACCTCCCATGCTCACTCCCTTGATTGCCTGGTAGTCTATTTTCAATGACCAGTTGAGTAGCTAAATGTAAGCATTTTTACATCCAGACACATAAGTGACTCACTCTGTTTCCCCTGACTTTAGGGAGTTTAGTTTACAACCTTTATGTTGCCCAGCTGTAGGTTTTCTAATTATATTTGTTTTAAACCTGACAGCAGAGGGTTGGATGAGTCAGCTCCGTGGAAAACTGAGTTCCTGCTCATGGAAACTCTAGGAAACAATGCAAATGGGAAAGGAACAAAGAAATAAAAACCCCAAAGAAGATAGCTGGTCGCGATTAAGTATCATGACTCAGAAAATGGAAAAGAGATTTTCTCCCTTTGCCCATCTGAGGACACAGGTTGAGTGCTGGCTCCGATCCTTACACTCATGAAATCAACTGAAGCTCTGAGTGCCAGGTCCTTCCTCCTGAGCTCCCTCAAAAACTAAATAGCAGCCATACTTCTGATTAGTCACCACATACACAGCACACTTACCAAGGACTCTACCATCATGCTTATTAGCTTTCCCACATCCTCTGGACATTTGGAAATCTTTTAATGTACTTAAAAGCTTTTTACTATCAAAACAGGACATGCCAAACCTCAGATTATCTTGGTGACTGCTTCCAACACCTGCCAGCCCCACCTTGCCTTTTGTTCTGCTAGTGGCTATTAGCTCAGTAGATGTTGCCTGAGTCTGCAAATGAATTAAATAACCTGACTTGAAGTCTTTAATCAAAAAAAAAGAAAATCGCTAGGCATCTTTCCATTTATTCCCAGGTTGAGAAAATGCTATGAGAGCCAGAAGGGCAGGGGGAGGGGAAAACGGGTAGGCATGACAAATGGAAAGTGTGACTTGCCTTCTTGTGTGGGTTTTGAGGCTGTAAAAGGTTAAGAGGGAACCCAGTCCCTCCTATAAGCAATGGATTAAGATTAGCAAGGGCAGCAACCAGGAAATTGACAAATGAGGGACTATGAATAATACTCAGACTATAATACCAGGCTGGGTTTCCCAAAAGAGGAGCCAGGGAGACAAGAAGGGAGGACTTTACACCATTTAGTCTCACTGATGTGCCTGAAGAAAACATGGAGATCCGTGAACATACTACGAGGAATAGACAGACAAGCTACAGTCACCAGCAGGTCTCCCTGTCCCATGCACAGCACCTCATCCCTTAAGACTATGGTTTTGAATGGGTCAGGCATCTTTGTTTAACATACAGTTCAATCTAGAACTTCCTAAGATAATTGGAGAACATTATTTCACTGGGCAATCACTTGAATGAACTGGTTATCTTTTCTGGTGATTATCATCTAGGACAGGGATCAGCTACCTATGACCCAGAGGCCAAATTTAGCCCACTGCTTGTTTTTTTAAATAAAGTTTTATTGGAACACAGCCACACACACCCCATTTTTTTTTTAACACATCGGATATGGCTGCTTTCACATTGCAACACTGAATTAAGCCATTGTAAACAGCAACTGTATAGCCTACAAAGACTAAAATACTTACTATTTAGTCCTTTACAGAAATCGTTGGCTGCTACCTACTTTAGAAGAACAAATTCTACTGAGTCATACTCCCCAGTGACATTTGAGAGAAGAAGCAAATGACATGATCTTAAAGAATACACACCCTTCAATCCGTGTTAGGGAGAGAAACATTTGGGATTTCTATAAGAGGGACATGTCTAGGTTAAGGCCTTAATTAAACTGTCCTTCACCTGGAAAAAGGATTATTTTTTTCCTTCATACTTCCTCACCAACTCCTAAAATCTAAACAATTGCCTCTCAGCAAGTGTTTTCCCAATGCTAAAGTCAGGGAGTTTGGACTCAGATTTTCCGTTTGAAAACCTCAGTTCCACAGGAAAGCAGGGAACAGTTATAGTCTTAAAAGGCAAGTCCATTTCCAGTACCACAAAGACTAATGCTGTAAGAAGAAAAGGGGGACTGACATGATTTTATAACATTGATATATATGTAGGCCATAAAATATCACAGGGTTAGAACATATTACAAATGTAGAATTTGACATCAGCTGCCCATGTATATTAAGCATTCTTTTCTCAAGTGTGTTTCAGTGAAATTTCTGATCCGAAACCATTTGGAAGAAGAAAAAGTAGCCAGAAATATATAGAAAATGTTCTTCTTATCTGAACTTAGTTACAAAACATGGCAACTTTAGAATAGGAGTACAGGTGCACACTTGTAGTCCCAGCTACTTGGGGGGCCCAGGCCGGGGGATTGTTTGAGCCCACGACTTCGAGACCAGCCTGGGCAACATAATGAGACTCCATCTCTAAAAAATAAAAATTAAAATATAAATAAATAAATAAAATAGGATTACAGGCTCCATAGTATCCTACAAGAATAACTGTATATCTACTGTATTTTATATGAAATTAATTTTAAAATGGCCTAGCGGGTGCATAAGCATATTTAAAAAGAGTAAACAGAACCAAAAAAGCCTTTGACTGGCTATTAAAAAATAATCGGGAAGAAAATATTCAACTTAAACATGTACTATGCTAGGATTTTCTCAAACATTACTCATATTTCCTTCTTTAACTGTGAGTTTTAGTTGAATAAAGATGGTAGAGTGCTGAGCACCAGGGGCTGCCTTTTAATGCACCCAATGGAGGCCCAATGAGATGGTCTCATCTCCAATTCATCCAGTTGCAAAATGGTTCAATCTTCAATCAAAGCTTAGGCAACAGAAGTGAAAACCTATGTGATTGGCTGTAACTATCACGCATCTTCCTGATCAGCTTTCTGTAACTCTTCCTGACTCGACATTTCCAAGCTGTGCTTCCTCATATCTAAGCCACCTCACCACAGCATTTGACACTAGGAATCCATGCTTCTAAGACATGCCCTGAGTTGGTCTTGAAGACAGCAGGGCTTGTGGCTGGGATAGCAGAGGAGCAAGCATTTAATGCCTGATGAATAACTGTGTTCCAGTAAGAAAGGGTGTCAGTGTTTTATTGCTTTTGAAATTGTGCATGAACGTAACTCTTCCTTCCCCTGCTAAAATGAAAACCTTGATAATTGAAACAAATCTAGGAATTAACATAAATTAGCAAATAGTCTGAATTTTATATATTTCTCCCCCCCAAAAATGTGTTTCTCCTACATTCAACATATACTTAGATAAAGCAAAGCATTGCCAAGTTTAGGTCCTTGCCATTTGTATTTAGCTTTTAGAATCATTAGTAATTAGCTTAGAATTGTAGTTACCAGAGTTTTGTTTGTTTGTTTGTTTGTTTTTCTTTGAGACAGGGTCTCACTCTGTTGCCCAGGCTGGAATTCAGTGGCACAATCACGGCTCACTGCAGCCTTAACTTCCTGGGCTCAAGTGATCCTGCCACCTCGGCTTCCTGAGTAGCTGGGGCTACAGGCAAATGCCACCATGCCCGGCTAATTTTTTGTACTTTTTGTAGAGGTGGGGTTTCGTCATGTTGCCCAGGTTGGTCTCCAACTCCTGGGCTCAAGCAATCTGCCCAACTCGGCCTACCAGAGTGCTGGGATTACAGGCATGAACAGCCACCATGCCCGGCCTATAGTTACCACAATTTAAGAAACGTTATTTTAATACAACAAACAATGCTAAGATATTACTTTCTTCACTCTTGCTTTTTATAGACACAGCAAGTGATAAACTGTGAATGCTGAGGGAGTATAATTTAAACTAATCATGCTTTGTCTTACTTTTTTCCACCAAAGTGAAAACAAAAAGCAAAATTTTTTTTCCTCCTTAGCTACCCCCCAAAAAGTTGTTCATCTAATTTAGCCCAGATATTTGATCAAAAATTGATCAGTCAAAGAGCATTTAAGTTTTCCTCAGTATTGAAATCTCTTAAATCATACTTTCCTTAATTTTATCTTAGTAATATGAGGCTTCTCATATCTTTTAAATTCAAAAATATAAATTGTATACACATAATTTGCTCTGTATCATGACAGGTTTATTAGCCTGGAAAAAAACTACTAAGAATAGTGACAGGTCCCAACCTATGTTTAAGAAGGATGTAGGATGAACTCTTTAACTCTCTTTCCTGGAGTTCAATTCCTGTCACTGATGTATCAATGAACCAACTCTTCCAATATGGTGATGTGATGATAATTTAGGTCTTAGTGACTTTGCCTTTTGTAGCTATCAGTATAGTCATGTTTACGTTGCTAACAATACTCACCATTAGCTCTGGGTATGTAGGCCGTTCTTTGGAATTCTTCTTTAAGCTTAAAGAAAAAAAAATAATCATTAAAATCTAGAAGCCATATATATTTTCATTAGACAAGGATTTCAGAACCTGTAGAACACTAAACATAATCAGCTTTAAAAGTGTATTGAAAACACAGCCTCCTATCTTGACTTTCCTCTTCTGTAACACTTATGTATCATGTTTTAAATCACCCTGGTTGTGCCTTAATGGGAAAAATAGTTGTGTGTGTGTGTGTGTGTGTGTGTGTGTGTACTTTCCTTTTGATACTTTACCGATGATATGCACACTAATTTTTCTGATCTATAGCCATTTTATTTCAAAAAATCTACTTTCCTTCAAAGCAGCTTTAATGCCATTTCCACAGACAAAGAAATTGGCAAGTGTTTCTTACATTGCCATTTGTTATCTCTTCACTGTCAGGTACCTGGTTCTTTTTGCTTCTGTTTCCCATGAATGTATAATTTGCTTTTATATAGTCCTAACCAAATCTGCCTGAGATAGAAGCAATAAACCCCTAATATTTATTTTCTTTTCCTTGAGACAGGGGCTGGCTCTGTTGCCCAGGCTGGAGTGCAGGGGCATACAATCTCGGCTCACTGCAGCCTCCACCTCCCTAGGCTCAGGTGATCTTCCTGCCTCAGCCTCCTGAGTAGTTGGGATTACAGGCACGTGCCACCATGCCTGGCTAATTTTTGTATCTTGTAGAGGCAGGGTTTCACCATGTTGCCCAGGCTGGTCTCGAAGTCTTAGGCTCAAGTGATCCACCTGCCTCAGCCTTCCAAAGAGCTGGGAGTACAGGTGTGAGCCACTGTGCCCAACCCCCCATAACATTTCTAAGGTAATACTACTTGTTTATGACAAAGGTAATAAGACCTGTTTATGACAGCTGATAAAAGAGAGAGCGCACTCAGTGACAGCAATTATTCTTGTTAGAAATACTTTATGGTCATGCGCTATTGTCAGGTGACTTCTGGTTATTCTGCTCTCCATTGACACAGACATTTAATAACATTTGATACCGGAGGCAATAAATGCTGTTACTTATTATTTAACAGTAATAAAACTGTAAGATGAAGAGACCAACCCATCACCCCATTCTCAGCCCATCCCTATCCTCTATCCAACTCTGGCCTTAAAATGAAAAAAAAAAAAGAAAAAGAAAGAAAGAAAAGAAAAGAAACAATTTACTTGGAGTTGGAATCCCAGGTTACAGAATGCAGAAAAAGATGATTTTGAAAACTATGATTTGCAAGGCAACCTACAGACTCCTGTGCCCAACGGACCACAAAATCATACATGAATGGAAAGGAGCTTTGCCTGGCATTGGAATGGAAAGGAATTTTGCCTGGAGTTGGAGGAATCAAAATGTAACTGATTGTTAGGTTGCTGGGATTTGAGCTAAGGGATCATTTTGAGCAAATGAGACCTAGCATGTGTGACGTGAGCTCTGCCTCACCCTCCGAAGCTAAGCATGACGGGGTAAGGTACAGAACCATGAGAGAGCGAAGTAGTTCAGGCACTTTGAGAAACTGTGGTTTAAAACGAAATAAAATTAAAAAAAAAAAAAAGAGAGAGAGAAAGTTTTTGAACCAAAACAACTTAAAATCAGCCTACCAGTTTGTTCCAGGCAATGCTGTGGGTGGAAGCCAGGGAACCTGAGACAGGCTACAGGTAGATGTGAGGACAGAAGTTTCAACCTGGAACTGAGGGCAGACCTAGGACCTAGTGACCTCAGTGACCAGACAACCTATGAGAGAAAGTTTCATCTCAACTGAGGATAAAAATAAGAGCGCATTAGAAAGAGGAATTAACAGGCGGCAAAGTCTGATTGATATGGGAATGTGTGCTGAGTGAAATGAATGAGTCCGTGTAACTCCCACCGATGGTTTTGTAGGTACCTAGATGCTGAGAGTCTACGTGGGTGGTTCTCAGCTGGAGGTCATTTTGCTCCCCAGGGGATATATGGAAAATGTCAGGAGGCATTTTTGGTTGTTACATCTGGTGGCAGGGTGTTACTGGCATCTAATAGGTAGAGGCCAGGGATGTTGCTAAGCATCCTGTAATGCACTGGGCAATCCCGCACAACAAAGAACACTCTAGCCCAAAATGTCATGAGTGCAGAGATTAAGAAACGCTGTGCTTTGTGTAATAGGTGGTCCCTCCTTGTTGCGGCTTCCTCTCCCCTTCACTTAAAAGGACCATCTCCAGCTGGTTTGTCTTTGTCTTTAAGCACATTCTCACCACGACCGTCTCCTGCCCTCAACCCCAGGAAGCAAAAGTGTTTCTTTCTAAGTTCAAGAGCTAGTTTACCTAGAAAGAAACACAGAAGAAGCAATGTGATCCCAGGAGCGTTGCTGACTTGCACACAGACCCTGGTAAAAAAAAAAAAAAAAAACAAACAGGCTAGAAGCCCTGAATTTCCCACTATTGTTCAAAGCAAATCAAAAACCAGAAATGCTTCTCTATCGCTGGAACAATGTAACACGCTAAGTAAATAACAAAAAGTGCAAGCACAACATTAAATCCACACTCAATATTCAGATGGTTGATTCTGGCTGTCTCTATTTAGACCTTAAACTCCGCATTGCATCTGGAACACTCTCACTGAGGACCCAGGCCCACTCCGTTACTAGCTTTCATTGGTCAACAACAGAACCAAGGCAATGTCAGGAAGAAAAGCTTGTTTCTCAAATGTAAAAATGTGCTGATTTTTTACCTTATATTTAGCAGAAAAGATAAAATGACTGTCTCTTTCCAACAGATAGATGAGCTTAAACATCTCCATTTTTAAAAATACTGTATTTTTTTTAAATGCTGTATTTTTTTAAAATACTGATTTTGAGTCAGGATATCTTATCTTTTCACTTCTGGAACAGCTTATAAAGATTTCTCGACCAGGTGCAGTGGCTAATGCCTGTAATCCCAACACTTTGTGAGGGTGAGACAGGTGGATCACTTGAGCTCACTTGAGGTCAGGAGTTCAAGACCAGCCTGGCCAATACGGTGAAACCCCGACTCTACTAAAAATACAAAAATTAGCTGAGCATGGTGGCAGGAGCCTGTAATCCCAGTTACTAGGGAGGCTGAGGCACAAGAATCACTTGAACCTGGGAGGCGGAGGTTGCAGTGAGCTGAGATTGCACCACTGCACTCCAGCCTGGGCAACAGGGTGAGACTGTATCAAAAAAGAAAAAAAAAATCTCCAGATTTTTGTTAACTCTGTATAAAGAAAATATGGGGAAAGTACCCTAGTTGATCCATCATAAAGTGTTAAGGATTCCTGAAACCTCCAAGACTAACTGGTCAATAGGCTATTCCTTGACTCATGGCCCCTGATTAGAAAGCTCACAATCTACCCCAAACACTACTGCAGAATATAGATGGAAAATACTTACACCGCAAAGCAAGGCTGTTTATTAAATTAATGGAACTGATATAACCCATTCTCTCCATCTTTTAAATCAAGAACACTTCAAAACATGGGCTAAGAATAGCAATACACTCAGGATAAGGTTGGGGGGAAAGCAAATTTTCCATGTTTAGTAGGAAGTACTTGAAATTCAGTATACAATAACAACTTTGGAGTTCAAAGCAACACCAATTTCTTTTTGAACTGGAATCAGACTTTTGAATTTTCAAAGAGCTTCTCATTTTCAAGCGTGCAATTAGCTAACTGCCCTAATTCCTTTTCCAAATGCCACAACACACGCTTCTGACCATAGCTGACACTAAAAAACAGCTCATGCTGTCTTGAGAATTGCTAGCTTGTAGTTTGTGCTGACCAGAGGATTTCTGCCTATTTGAATTCCCCCGATCATTTCCAAGAAGGGCTATTTGGTACATCCACAGAATAAAAACACATTGCGCGTTTCAAGGCATACATTTGTCAAAAGCTAAATAAACATCTAGTGCCTCTTTTTACTGTCCTTCCTACACAAGTAGGAGACTGTATTTGACTGTCTGTGTTTTATGCTAGTTTCCCTGAGTCAGACAATATTGATGCTTGAGTGGGCCTCCACTACCCTTCAATATGCCATCAGACTGGTCAGTTGGGCCCACAGCTTCTTAAATAGGCCTGGAGAAAAAGCCAAAGGGAAGTCCAGCTGATCTGGCACTCGGCAGTTGACTTCCAGTGACTTCCTTCTGTGAACCTATAGGAAGAGTTTATAATGAAAAGTGTAAACCGGCTAAGATTCCAATCTTTTGCGAACTCGTTTGTTAACCCTTCTGCAGGACTAGAAAGCAAGACTTCTCTATTAGACTTCTCTATGATGAATCTCAAAACAAGGCTGACATGGTCAACACAACCCAACTCAAGAACTCCTTAAAACCCCTACGATAAGAAAGAGATATATAGGAAAAAGAGGAAGAAAATCTCATTCTGTAGTCCTATCTCAAAATAAATACAGAAAAGAAGGGTTTGTAAGAAACCATTGTGGGTTTGCTTTTTTCCTTTACGTTCATATGGTTAATTCTTCCTTCTCCTTCAAGATAACATTTGTCAGATGTTACTGCAAAAGAAATGCAAAAACTGGAACTCTGGACTCTAGGTCTAACTTTGGGTGTGGTGATGATAGCCTGTTAGAGCTTTTCTACTTCACCCTACAAACTAAGTGATTTACTGTCAACTAACAAGCAGTGATCAATACTGATGGGCCAGACAAGAGTGGCTACCAAGTCAATTCCCTGGATACAGAATTATGGTACCTTGCAACATGGTGATGGCATCGTGCCAAGTTGATTCCTTGGCACGGGTATGATACCTAGGCAGGTGTATGATACCTAGTAGCTTTGTGACATCGAATGCTTAGGTAGGATACACAAGTTCACAAATACTCTGACAGTTACCTAGGCTGCGGGTATAATGGGTTCTTTTTCTGCATACCAAAGACAGATGTAGGCAATAAAAACATAGATGTATCTATCTTGAAATTTGAGATTAAATATTTCACTTTTGAAATCCGTAGTCTCCCTTCCCCACTTAGCACATAGAGCGGCCTTTCTGAGAAGTCTGGGAGGACCATAGCCTACATAATAAAAATATAAAAAACATGGAGCTCACGAAAAAAAAAAAGGTCCTTTAATGAAGTTATGTCTCAATAACACAGCTTTATTCATGAGAAAAATAAAAGAATAGCTGATAAAGGGGAGTTACGTGCACAGGGAATGTTCATGAAGAGGTAGAAGAGGTACTCTTCTGTTAACATTATCACTTTTCCATTCTTTCCACCAAGCTCCAGATCAAACCTCAAGCTTTCAGTAATCAAACAAGTAAAATCACTAGATGGCTAATGGCTGGAGGTATGTACCCATATATTAATATATGTATGAAAAATAAAATTGCTTCCGTAAAGTTCTAGGCCAGTCATAAACTCTAAAAGAAAATCAGTGCTACTTTTTGAGTATAAGATGACTTTTTCAACCCAGTTGAAAAATAATGTTCATACTTAAGGGATATCAAAGAAAATATATTGGTGGTTTGTGGCAGGGAAAAAAAGTTATTGACCTGGGATCTGAAATAGGAGAGCTTGCATGCTGAAAAAGTCAAACTGAGGATAAGTAAGAATGCTCATAAAATTCAGAATTAACGATTCCCTTCTATTTCTTAATTCCCATACCAACAAAATGACTATTTTAGACAACTGATATTCTTAAGTATAGCATTCTACCAGAACTATAATACTGACACTTTGAGGAAGGAAAATTTATCTTTTAATGACTTCTAGGGTAAAGTGATTTGGGTTTTGTTTCTAGATAGTTTCATATTTTATTTTATTTTATATTGCATTTTGTTATTTATTTAATTTTATCTTATTTTGGCAGGATCTTGCTCTGTCACCCAGGCTGGAGTGCAGTGGGACAATTATGGCTCACTGCAGCCTCAGCCTTCCAAGCTCAAGCGATCCTCCCACCTTGGCCTTCCAAGTAGCTGGGTCCCCAGGTGCACACCACCACACCCAGCTAATTTGTGTATTTTTTGTAGAGACAGAGTATTGTTTTTAATATACCCAGATATAAGACAAACTGACTTACTTGAGTAGAAATGACATGACACCGAGCAAACAGTATTAATAGAATTAACAGTTTCAGGAAAGCTGAGACATGTCTACGGCTCAAAATTTTTTAATTAATGAACTGTGGTAGCTGGGATTAAAATTAAAAGAAAATGAGAGAGAAGGGGATATCTTTGCAGGCAGCCATGAAGGCACTATGGGTGTTATAAGGAGAGAGAAGGCACAGGGCAGTCATTATATGAAGAGCAATGATGCCGGTATCTGGAACTTCCATATATGTGTGCATACATTAAAATTAGAAAAATTGGCCGGACGCAGTGGCTCAAGCCTGTAATCCTAGCACTTTGGGAGGCTGAGGCGGGGCAGATCACGAGGTCAGGAGATCGAGACCATCCTGGTTAACACGGTGAAACCCCGTCTTTACTAAAAATACAAAAAATTAGCCGGGCGTGGTGGCGGGCACCTGTAGTCCCAGCTACTCAGGAGGCTGAGGCAGGAGAATGGCGTGAACCCAGGAGGCGGAGCTTGCAGTGAGCTGAGATCGTGCCACTGCACTCCAGCCTGGGTGGCAGAGCAAAACTCCGTCTCCAAAAAAAAAAAAAAAAAAAAAAATTAAAAACCATTTATTTCTCAAGATGTTCATTTTAAAATATCTCTAAAAAGTTTCAATGCTCTGATTCTTCGGAGAAAATTCCAGTAAGAGAAAAAATACACTGGTGAAAGAAAATTCAAGCAATTGGATGATTTTTTTTAAACAAATTGAAGAAAATAAACCTTCTAAACAGAAACTAGTTGATGGCAGGTCCATAGATCATATGTCTAAACCTGGGGTTATCACCGCAGCTGTACATAAAAATGACTTGAGAACATTTAAAAATATATTAGTATCTTGGCCCCTCCCCAGATCAGTTAAATCAGAGTCTATGAGGATGAGGCCTAGGGGGCAGTGATTTTGAAAGCTCACTAGAGTTTTATAAATGAGCAGCCACAGTTGAGAATCATTGGATTAAACTGGTGATTCACAATGGTAGACTCAGCTTTCTCAAACTTTTCACACCAGCCTCGTTCTTACCAAAATTTCCTAAAGCACCCAGAATCTTGGGAAAAGGGGATAGGTGGGAGAAAGGTAATAGGGAGAATAATTTGAAGAGACTTAGCTAGATAAGATCATTCCCCATTACCACCCCTCTTGAGAACTACTGTTCTGTACTACCCAAGATGCCTCATCTTTTTTTTTTTTTTTTTTTTTTTTTTTTTGAGATGGCGTCTCTCTCTTATCACCCAGGCTGGAGTGCAGTGGTGCAATCTCAGCTCACTGCAACCTCTGCCTTCTAGGTTCAAGCAATTCTCCTGCATCAATCTCCCGAGTAGCTGGGACTACAGGTGTGTGCTACCACACTTGGCTAATTTTTGTATTTTTAGCAGAGATGGGTTTTCACCATGTTGGTCAGGCTGGTCTCGAACTCCTGACCTCAAGTGATCCGCCCACCTTGGCCTCCCAAAGTGCTGGAATTACAGGCGTGAGCCACCACGCCCGGCCCCTCATCCCTTTTTTTGATGTGACCTTAAACATCTGAGGATAAGGCAATAAATAAATAAATAACCAACCAACCAACCATCCACAAAAAACAAGTCTTTGAATCCAGAAGGCAAAATCATGAACCCAGGTCAACCTGGCAGAGGTACTACCACATCCAGCACACTCCCTCAAGGAAAACAGACAGGAAGCAGCCTAGAAGATATATCTTTTAAGAGGCATCCAACAACTATTACACTAGTGCTCGAGGCTCCAGCCCCTCTCTAGTCATCCAGCCAAAAACAAAAACAAACAACTGCAGACCAGCCTCATACATCATCAGGGAAAAGTACCAGAAATGAGAAGGGGCCTAGGGCTAACAAAGAGTCGAAGAGCTCTTAGGTTCACAAGCAACAGACAGTTGCTTTGTTTTATGTTTCTTCCATGTTTCCTGATGAATGCTGTATTCACAGCTTTTTTTTTTTTTTTTTGAGACGAAGTTTTATTCTTGTTGCTCAGGCTGGAGTGCAATGGCGTGATCTCGGCTCACTGCAGCCTCCACTTCCCAGGTTCAAGCGGTTCTCCTGCCTCAGCCTCCCGAGATTACAGCTGTCCACCACCATGCCCAGTTAATTTTTTGTATTTTTAGTAGAGTCAGGTTTTCACCATTTTGGCCAGGCTGGTCTTGAACTCCTGACCTCAGGTGATCCACTCGCCTTGGCCTCCCAAAGTACTGGGATTACAGGCGCGGGTGCCCTGCCTCACAGCACTTCTAAAAACCATGGAGGCTGAGGAATGAAGCCACGGGGAAGATGTTCCTTCAGCTTCCTCAGTACCTCAAACAGCCTTCAGAGCTCCAGGCCCTTCCCCAGCAGTGAGTACTCAGAACGGCTCCCCTCCCAGGGTCACAGCTGGGCCTGCCACCATCTCCGAGCCCCCTTCCTCCTAATTCTCATCTACTTCTCCCGGATGGCCAAATACGCTAACCTGGCTCAGGGGTGTGCTTCACTTCTGGCATCCTGCTTCCAGCATCACTTGCCATGATCATTACTATCAAGCCATGCTAGGCATCATGACCTCTATGCAGATAGAAATTACTGGATTGTCTAGAGAATACTTTCCCCTCTTGCTTTTCTTGACTGCCCTGGCAGTTTTCATGAAAATATAGTTCACCTCATGAGTATGGCTCCCTCCCACTTTCCACCCCAACTTCCTTTGGATTCCCTTCCCAGAACTTCAGCATTGTCTCTTATGGTGGGCAAGTTTCTCCACAGTTAGCAAGTATTCAGTAGCAACCAAGGTTCTACAAGACTTCTGGGGACCTAAGAAACACTCTCAAACTACCCACTATCTTCTCACCGAAAGTAATTCTTTGCCTCTACTTCCTATCCCCAGGCCTCTAGTGGGTCCTATCAGCTTTCTCTTTATGCTTTAATCAACATCAAATTGCTTAAAGCTCACATAAAGGAGTTTCTTGCTTTCGTGACATTGTGAATGATGTTCCTTCTGTTTGGAATATGTTTCCTTTCCTATTTCCCTTTTGTCTGGAAAATTCCTCTCGTGATCGCAGCTCCAGATTTATCTCCTCCAGAAAAGCCTATCCTGAGGTCTTCCCTCTGAGTTCCTTAAATCGCCTATGCCCCTATCTCTATCACTGGACTTGCCACATTATACTATAATTATTCATTTATGAGACTTCTCTACTTGACTTTGGGCTCAGTGAGGGCAGGGAGTGTGATACGGTCATCTTTGCTTCTCCAGCAGAGAGGGCATACTCCACAAATGCTTTCGGAATGAATGTATGCATGATGGATTCAACCCCGATGGAAGAAATTCATGAGAACTCATCTTCTTCTTTCACACTGACACTTGGGAGGTGAGGCTGTCTTACCACTGTGAGGTAAAGTCAACAAACTCTGCAGAGAACTTGTCTGCTGGGAGTTGTGGCGATGGCTCCTCTACCACCTGTTTGAGCTGCTGAAATGGAGTTCCCCATGAATCATAGGGAAATCGAAGGATGGCCAACTCAATCTGGAGAAAAGAAGAAAAAAGGAGACAACAGTTTCAACAGGGCTGCTTTAGGGAATCACCCACGTTTCATTTGTGGATAGACAGCAGGAAACACAAGGCAAAGTTCAAGTATAAGTCCAGGGGTAGGGGGGCAGGAAATAAACTAATAATTTGTTCTCTAGCAATTTTCCCCAAATTCCTAGTGCTAGGGATTTTTAAATATTACTTACTAGACACAGCCACTTAAGCCTATCTAAAATGGGGACCCTCACTAAAACCCACTGTGGCACTTCATAAAAATTGTAAGCCAACCGTATTAAACTTCAGGATGTAAAGCTACGAGGATTTCAAACGTTTGGTCTGACAAGTAATTCCCAGCCTAAGATCTTTCCAGAGCCGAGCATCTACTGCCACCTTCAGGTCCCTTGGTGAAATGACAGGGAGAAAAAGCAACCTAGAACCAAATGACAGATCTTTTTTTGGACTTGAGAAAAGGCCACTTTGCATTACAGGATCATGTGCTTTCTGGGCAGGCAGGAGAAATAACTCATGGGATTTATTCAGCTGCTGTGCCTGGGGAGGAGCCAGGACCACAGTGGATAATTCCAGACCTTGGTGATCCACTGAAAATGTATGACCACCAAAGTTATGAAATTTACAATCACCAAAGTTATGAATAAGTTATGAATAAATCATATAACTTTAGGGCTGTGTCTAAGGAAATCATCCTATTGGTTATCATGTATTGAGGATATACCTGACTGATACGGTTGGGCTGTGTCCCCACCCAAATCTCATCTTGAATTGTAGCTCCCATAATTCCTACATGTTGTGGGAGGGACCCAGTGGGAAACAATTGAATCATGGGGGTGGTTCCCCCATACTGTTCTATGGTTCTCATGGTAGTGAAAAAGTCTCACGAGATCTGATGGTTTTATGAAGCATCTCCCTTTTCACTTGGCTGTCTCATCTCATTCTCTCTTGTCTGCCGCCATATAAGATGTGCCTTTCACCTTCCGCCATGATCGTGAGGCCTCCCCAGCTGCATGGAACTGTGAGTCCATTAAACCTCTTTTTCTTTTAAATTACTCAGTCTTGGGGATGCTTTTATCAGCAGTGTGAAAACGAACTAATACACTGACCTGATCAGACTTTGACTTCTACTTCTCCAATAAAAATATCCTGGGAAGCATAGTCTATGTCCTGGATAACACGGCCCTATCAGGGTTCACGCACATTAGCATTCTTTGCACAGCTTAAGCTTCTTGCCTTGGCTCGAATAATTTAATTTTAAACTATAAGGAATCTGGTCAGATCCTCTCGTTTTACAGAGGAGGATAGGAAGATAGTCCATGTGACTGTAACAATTACTCAAAAAGGCATACAGCTCGTCAGAGGTGGAATCAAGAGAAAGATTGGTTTCCCCAATCCCATATCAGTGTTTTTATTGTACCACAATACAAACAATTATTACTCAAAATCTCCTACCAGCTCAGCAGGAGAGGGCGCCCCAAACCAGCATTTAGGGCATTTGTTTCTTGAACCCAACGTCCACCTCATTCTAGTTTCATTACCCACAACCTCATAGTTCATGATGATTGGCATACACTACCATCGTGATGCCCAGACTCCAAATGTCAGACTTCACACTGTATCCCTTCTGGTTGAGCTCTGGGTTTATTCTTTCAGGCTGGAAAGAAGACAGACAACTGAGAAACTGGGAAGACAATTGAGATAACGTTCTTAGCTCAATAGTCTCTGGGGATGGGGGTAGCACCAGCTGCCAAGTGAGTTGTTATAAGCTGTTAACATGCCACCAAGGCCAAGAAGACCCGGTTAACTACAACAAATATCAATGCCTCCGTGGGGTTTCCCTTCTTCTGTGTTTGTCTTTTCTTGGACACAGTAATGGATCAAGTTCCTTTCATAACAAATTTAAAATTTGCCTTAAGAAGAAACAGGGTATACATTATAAAGCTACTTTGCCCATCTAGAATTATCCTTGTTTAAAACATGAACAGTCCAGAACTCAATAAAACAAGTGTCACTGGGCTACTGTCCCATGCTAATAGACCTGAGCAATTTTTAGCTAAACACAGACAGGAAGCTTTTCAATTCAAAGCACAAGTCCATTTCCAGGTAGAATCTAGTGGCCGTTCCTCCAGTTAAAGGGGATTGCAAGGTCTCTGCTAATGACGGTGAATCTTCACAGCTGTGAGGTCCTCTCATAACTAATCTAACTGCCTTGTTTGGGTAATTTAAGCTCTATTTACTATTTTGTCCTCAACAAACAAGGTAATACTCCCCTGCAATACAGTGTGGAAAACTGTGCAGGCTATATGTATTGTGTATATATTTTTTCAAATAACGTATCTCTTTCACTTGATTTTTTTAAAGTAATATATATATAACTATGTCTGTGCCCCACCAAAATCCACAGGTTAAAACCTAATCGCACATGTGGTGGCATCAGAAGGCAGGGCCTTTGGGGGGTGATTGAATCATGAAAGTGGAATACTAATGAATAGGATTGGGGCCCTTATTAAAAAAGCCCTAGAGAGATCCCTCGCCCCTTTCACCGTGCGAGGACTAAGCAGGAAGGTGCTATGTATGATCCTGAGAAACGTGAGCCCTCATTGGACACCAAATCTTCTGGTGCCTTCATCTTGGATTTCCTAGCCTCCAAAACTGTGAGAGATAAATTTCTGTTGTTTATATGCTGCCTGGCTTACATTACTTTGCCATAGCAGCCTGAACAAACTAAGACAATATACGAAGCAAGTGAGTAAAGATTTCAGACATAAAATTTTGAAGAAATACTAAGAGGCAGACTACTTCTGGAGTCTTAGGTACATTTCCATTTTCCCTCTGTGGCCATCCATTTCTTGTTTCCCAGCATGATTTGTCGGCAGTGACATTACCAGATGCCACCCTAGCTAATGTACTTACGGCCATGTATGGTTTGCAACCTGCATCAATTGTTTTAGCAACAGAGTCCACCAAGTAGCCACTGATTCCAAAATCGCACATCTTCACTTGACCGAGAGCATTGATGAGTACATTAGAAGGCTTGACGTCTGAAAGCGAAAACAACCAGGATGCCATCATTTCAGCCTGCTTTCAAGGTTCATTTCTCTGCCACCAGAGGGCCTAAAATCTCCATTTGTCCTTCATCTTCCTTTCCCCAAGCTGCCCAACACAGAAGTAACTGCCATCCCTGACCCACAGTTAACAACAGCTTATTGCTTTCAACTTGATTTTCTATTTCATGTTTTGTTCATGCCTTGTAGAATTGTGAATTTCTCCATACAAAGAACTGTTTTCTCCACTGATTTTATGATCTTCATTACCCTCATACTTGTAGTAAGAGCCTAAAAAATTATTACTGAATCAAATGTCCAATTCAAAATGATCTATTGATATTTAACGTAGGAGTAATAAAACAAAGAACAAAAAGGCAGACTGTGACACAATGATACACCAAATATGACCAAAGCAACCTTTGTTTTTGTTTGGTTTGGTTTTTTCTTCAAGATAAGGTCTTACTCTGTCACTCAACCGGTGTGCAGTGGTGTGATCATAGCTCACTGCAGCCTCAAACTCCTGGGCTCAAATCATCCTCCCGCCTCAGTCTCCTGAGTAGCTTGGACTACAGGTGGGAACCACCATGCCCAGCTAACTTTTTTTTTTTTTTTTTTTTGACAGACAGGATGTCTCTTTGTTGACCAGGCTGGTCTCAAACTCCTGGCCTCAAGCAGTCCTCCCACCCCACCTCCCAAAGGGCTGTGATTACAGGTGTGAGCCACCAAGCCTGGCCCAAAGCAACAGATTTTGATTGAAACCTCTGCTAGCGATGTGTCAGAGGTCACATAGTGTAAAGGATCATAAACCCAGGTATTCCAGACCACAGGGCAGGTTACTGAAGAAGCAGTATTACAGACCAGATTTTAAACGAATCCTTTTGACTAGAAAAATTTAACCCACCCGCCCATATGCCCAAAAAATGGAACTACGATTATCTCTGGATAATAACATTTGAAATTACAGCTAATTTTTCCCTTTGTGATACTTTTCATAACACCCATAAAATTGGAAGTAAAAGATTATTACAAAAGCTTTAAAAATTATCCTTTATAATTTTCCCTTTAAGCTAGAAGATACACAAATTTCATTTTATTATTTTTATACCTTACATATTTTCTCTAATATGAATTACATATTTCATAATGGTGAAATAACCCTTAATGTTAATTTCAAAGTTGTGAATAATCTACAGTCTTTTTCCTATCTGTATTCCTTCCTATTTTCTTCTCATCTTCCTTCATCCTATTTTTCCAATTTTTAATAATAACAACTAACAATAATAGGCACACTGTGGAAGGCATTTTACATTATTTCCAGGCTCAGAGAGTTTAAGAATTATCCAAACCACAAGGCCCTCTTACTTACCAATACATTCCATTATTCTTCCCAAAGACAGGGTTCTGGTTATCTCTTCCCAGAAGTTTCCCTGACTACAATCACCACAATCACTACAATCACCTGCCTCAGCCTCCCAAGTAGCTGGGATTACAGACACCCACCACCACACCTAACTAATTTTTGTATTTTCAGTAGACACGGGGTTTCACCATGTTGGGCAGGCTGGTCTCAAATTCCTGACCTTAGGTGATCCGCCCTCCTCGGCCTCCCAAAGTGCTGGGATTGTAGGCATGAACCACGGCACCCAGCTTGGTACTTTCATATTTCTAAGGTGGTTTTTTTTTTTTTTTTTTTTTTTTTTTGTACATTTATCTTACTTCCCTATAAGAATCCTGATGCATAATTTAATCAGAATATATTTTCTTCTCAGATACCTCTCAGGGGATCTATTACATTTTAAAAGTGATTTTAAAAGATGAATAAATGGATGAATGGGGGGATAGAAAATGAATGAATGGATGGATGGATGAATGGCTGGTTGAAGAGATAACAGGCCAATAAGAAGGAAGAAAAGGAAAGAGGAAGAGATAAATCATTATATCCTGCCTCCTGTTGTCTGAAAGGGCTCTACTTTATACCAGAGTTTTTCACACTTTCATGTGCACAAGAATCACCCGGAAATCTTGTTAAAATGCAAATTCCAATTCATTTGATCTTGAGACCCATGATTCTTTTCCAACAAGCTCTCATGTGATGGCCAATACAAGATCAATTTTTATCATATTCTCTAAAATTCTCAATGATATGATCTCATAGCTCTGCTTGCTAACAAGTGTTTATATTCAATTTGGATGTAAGACAAAGATCACGTCTTCTTCTTATGTCCTCAGCCATGATAAGGAATACTACTTATATGGTTTGCTATCCAATCTCAAAGGAAAGCCCCTTAGTTCTCTTGCCTGAGTCAATTCTACTTCCACCCATGGGGGACTGGGGGTAGAGACGGACTCCAGGTGAAAGAGATGAACTTTATCAAAGGAACAGCCAAGGCAGCTCATGGATGCTTACCTCTGTGAATGACAGACAGCTTACTATGTAAATGTTCTAATGCTTTTACAATCTGCAAGAGAAACACAAGATAGATTTATTTATCACATTGCTGGAAAGAAATTGAATGTTAAGTATATCAAGGTTTATTATCCTTGGCTTTAGGTTACCAGTGAGATATTTTCTCAAATAGTGGTGGTCCTATCTAGGAAAATACATAGGAAGTTACACAAATTGGACTCCATCCACCAGAGAGGACTGTATCTTATATCAGAGAGGATGTCTCCCTCATCTGTCTTGTTCATTTGTCCTCCTTCTTTTTCTCTCCACCCTCCTGAGCCTGAATAGCCATGAAGGTAGAAGACCTTCTTTCTATTTATTTTCCTTCTGCTTTCTTCTATGCCTACTAGTCTCAAGAGAACATTTTAAAAATCCATAAATGAAAATCAAAATAAACTAATGTCAGAATATAGACACCAGGAATGTGGTCATAGCTGATGAATGCAGCACTTAGAGTCATTTAACCTAGAGTCTGCCAAACCAAAGCAGTGCTAGAATCTTCTACACAGTGCTCAGAAAGGAAAGCATGTATTTATCCATCCACCAATAAATGTCAACAGACATGTACGAATAGTAGCTGTGGCCCAGGTAGTATTTCTTCATACTGAGGTCCAAAGACACATAGGGACTTTATTTCTCACATTATCCTTGCAGTAGGGATCAAAATGTACTCACAGAAACTGCTATTTTCCCTAAGATGTCCTCTGGAATTGTCTGGCCTTTATCAATAACTTGTTTGTAGAATTTATCTAGTGATGTATCCATGAGCTCCATGCAGATCCACACATCACCCTGGAGACCAATTGTTTCAGGAATTGTTTAAAAGGATGAAAAAGGGAGAAATAAAAATAAAAAAAAAAAACAGTAAACCCTATCCTGAAGAATTAACTATTTCTTTCTTGAATTTTGGGGGGAAATACAGTGTCTTCTGTCAAGATCATAAAGGAATTTACAAATAAGCAAGGTTATCTACAAAGAGCAAACCAGTAGGTAGCCAAGCAGAACCTGCATGTGCTCTCCTACCCCTTAATGAAAAATGGAATCTAATTACTAACAGACATAAGCAATACAACCCCAGATATCCAGGCCTTTACTGATACCACTGTCTAGGAGTTAGGTCTAGATGCCTCCTCCATGTCGTATCTCTCACACTAAATACCAGCAACAGTCAGTCAAAAAGCTGGTTTTAATGAGGTGAAGCCTCATAATCCATATAACGCTAAAGTGGAAAACAGAGGTAGAGAAAAGAGATCAAAGTAAGTCTATATAGTACACAAGTAGGCTAGATGAAGCTCCTAAAGCAGTCAAAAGACCAGAATATTTCAAATTATAAGAGATCTAAGCAAATCAGTCTATAGGCGATATAGAAAGTTCTGCCAAGATAAACAAAACAAAAAAGAAAGGAGACGAGAAACTCCACATCTTAAAAAGGCTAACCACATTTGAAAATACCATAATTTCAATCCAACCTTGCTCCAGGGCATGTCATCATTGCACACACGTAAACCCCCGTATACAAGATGTGTCAAACAAGAAAGAGCTCCATGATTGTGAAGGCATTTACGTGATCAAAGAAACTTCTTTTTAAGTTATTGTTCCTCTTGGACTTTGAATTGAAGGGTCACCTACCTCCCGAAACAGTGCGCCATAAAAGGTGACAGTGAATGGACAGTCCACCGTCCTCATGGAAATATCCAAATCCATCAGTAGCCGTTTCTGTTCCTGGCTATTTACTGTGGCTCGGATCCGCTGAATGGAAATGCATGGAAAATTTATGGTTACTACTCTGAGGATGAGGCAGGCAGGGACCTGAAGGAGTCCCATCGTGAAAATAGTTCATGACACAAGTTCTGGCGATGACATTGTGAATAGCCACCCAAAGTGATTAGCTATTTGTAACACATGAAAATAAGGAAGGCTGTTACTCATTTGATTTCCTGAATAGTCCTGGTAAGAAACAAATTGATAGTGTGTTTTGGAGAGTGACAAAATGTTTTGGAATGTATTTCCAAGGTATGAAAACAATCTGGTTTACTGTATTATGTCTGTTCAGTGCAAAGAGGGCACAATATTAAGGACTTTGCTGCTTATCTGGGGTCCCAAGAAAATAAAAAGCCAAAAGCTCTTCTTTGGGAACATGTAAGAGTATTTGGAGGGAACAGCAACTGTAAGAGAATTGGTACAGCTATACAAAATAGAAGCAATTAGAGAAATAGAGAAACTGTTCATTCCTATCCCAGTGCTTCTGAGGGAAGAACAATCTGTCACACTAGGAAATGTAGCCTTACAGAAACATGATTATGTCATTAAATGATAGGAGAGATACAATATCACTGGGACTTCACACTTTTTGCCTACTTAGCAAGTCAGCAGAAGAACAGACTGAAAAATCTACAAGATAAAAGTATTCCCATTCTTTAAAAGCAAAAGGATCCAAGTCACCTGATTATTCCTAACAATAGCCCCAATCTATTAACTCAGCTAGAGATGTTAATTCTTTATGATCCTCCAAACACCTACTCAATAATATGAAATGATTTTAAATTTCCTTTCATAGCTCAAAAACTATGCAAATTTACTCTAGATATATTTTACCCTCCTTTTTCCACAAATGGAGACAATTTTCTCTCCCAATTCTGGTTTCTTGATTTTCAGAGGCAATTCTTTAAAAGCAACAAAATATAGAATAAAAGAGATCTATGAGTCATAACAGCCAAATGCAATACGTAAACTTTCATTGGGATGCTGATTTGAAAATCCAACAGGACAAAACAAACACACACACTTTGAGATGATCAAGGAAATTTTCATTTGGACTCCGGATTAGATGAAGGAAGTATCATTATTATTATTATTATTATTAATATTATTTGAGATGGAGTCTCACTCTGTTGTCCAGGCCGGAGTGCAGTGGCACGATCTCGGCTCACCACAACCTCCACCTCCCGGGTTCAAGTGATTCTCCTGCCTCAACCTCCCAAGTAGCTGCGACTACAGGTGTGTGCCACCATGCCTGGCTAATTTTTTGTATTTTTAGTAGAGACGAGGTTTCACTATGTTGGCCAGGCTGGTCTCGAACTCCTGACCTCGTGATCCACCCGCCTTGGCCTCCCAAACTGCTAGGATTACAGGCGTGAGCCACCACACCTGGGCCATTAATTATTTTTAAGTGTGATGATGACATGGTAGTTTTGTAAAAATTAAAAATGGTAGAAGAATGGGTGGAGGGAGAGTTAAGAGTTAAAAAAACAAATAAAAAGTAGATACAACTCACACCAAGGAAGACTTTTCCATACCTTTGGAGGAAAATACTGTTCCCTGCAAATAATCTTTTCTGTTTTACCCTACGGAAGATGGTTTTGCTTCTATTAAAAGGGCTGGTTGACAATTGAGGTGGACAAATGTATACACAGCAGATATAAAACATTTGGGAGAATGTCAACTCTACCTTCACTGCCATGATCTGCCCGCTGGGCACGTGCCGCATCTTCTCCACCACCCCGTACGCACCTCGTCCCAGTTCCATTATAGGCTCCAGGTCATCTGCCTTCACCTCAAAGTTCTGCAAGAGAGAAAAGGAATAATGCAATGGGAAAGAGAAAAATAAACAGAACAGAGAGCACATTATCCTCTATCTCGTTTCTCTCAATGTTCTAAGGATTATTTCTGGGCCAGAAGATTTTCTAGCATGTCAAAGCAGCCTCTGAAAGCAAGAAGCTACAAGAAGGGCCAAGAGATGTCTAGGAGCTCCCACGGTAGCCCACCTGCTTGTCCCAGGCAACACAGAAACCCAACTTGGACTCAGCTTGCCAATGTCTCAGTTGAAGCTATTTCACTGAAGTTCTTTAGCCATGACCCTTCATTGTGTCTGTAACCCACTATTGACTGATGGCAACTAGATTATGTCTGAGCTTTGAGAAATGCCCTCCCAAGAGAACCATCTACTCTATTCAAATACCTTCCATCAAAACCACAATAGCCTGATTTCAATTCAACATTCTTTCAAAATAGCAAAAACTTTGCATACCACTTCCCTTTAAATGCAAACTTTTTTTGACTCATCCCCTGACAGCATGCTAGGGAAAATAAATTTTTCAGTCAGAAAGCATACATATAAAATGGCCAACGTATTAGGTGGCAGACATGATTTTTTCTTACCTGATTTCCAATAGAAATGCAAGCCTTGGAGTCTAAATCTCGAGGTGGTCTAAGAAAGATAAGGGGGAAAAGAAGAAACATAAGCTATTGAGTCAATTATGTCCTTCCCAAATCACACACCACTGAGGATATTTTTTCCTTAAGAAGAAAGTGGAAGTTCATGAGTAAACTAAAGCAGCCTATGAGTGTGAATAAGAGGGGATTTGAAATAAATCACATTTGGGTTTAAATCACTTAATCTCTTTGGGGCTCCCTTTCTTCTTTAACATGGGGATATTAATATACCTATATTGTGAAGCAGGAGTGAGTATTAAAAGAGACAATACAAGTAAAATGCTTAGCTGAATGTCTGGCATACAGTAAATATCTAATTCGTATGAGCTATACATGTGCTATTATATAGATTAGGGTGCCCAACCCCCAAGCCATGGACTAATACCAGTCAGCAGGAGATGAGTGGTGGGTGAAGGAGAGAAGCTTCACCTGTACTTACAGTAGCTCCCCATCGCTCACATTACCACTTGAGCTCCATCTCCTGTCAGATCAGCAGTGGCATTAGATTCTCATAGGAGCACAAACCCTACTGTGAACTGTGTATACAAGGGATATATGTTGTGCACTCCTTATGAGAATCTAATGCCTGATGATCTGTTGCTGTCTCCCATCACCCCCAGATGGGACCATCTAGTTGCAGGATAACAAGCTCAAGGCTCCCATTGATTCTACATTATGGTGAGTTGTATAATTATTTCATGATGTATTACAATGTAATAATAATAAAGTGCACAATAAATGTAATGTGCTTGAATCATCCCGAAATCATCCCCCCACCCAGTTCATGGAAAAACTGTCTTTCAAAAAACCAGTCCCTGGTGCCAAAAAGGTTGGGGACCGCTGATATAGGTCATTGTGCTACAGCAGTAAGTCTCAAGCTTTTTCTTTCACCCAAGAGCACCAATATATGTAATTATTTCACCACATGTCTCACAATTGTTTTAAGAAACAAATAGTAATGGCATATATTCTGTTAACTCACAAAATTCATAGAACATAAGAATTTCAAATCTCGTCCCTTCTTTTATAGATGGACAGAAGGTCCAGAGAAGTAAAGTGACTGCTCCCAGCCCACAGCTGCCCCAGGTCTCCTGATATCCAGTTCTGCATCCTCTCTACTCAACCAGGCTGTCTTATCAAGCCCAGCAATATTTCTTCTGTGCACAGCACATATACAATTCTGGGGTCTTCTTAAGAGCCAGAGGTTTGCTGATTTTGTTTCTATAGTCACTTCCTGAGTATTTATTTCTACCACTTCAATGATCTCTCAGGTGGTATCAATCTACTTAAGAGAAAAATGTTTGGCTCTGGCTGTGCACACAACTAGGAGCTGAGAAAGGCATTTTCCTGAAAGAAATGTACCAACAGTAGTACAATAAACATAGCAAATGCTGGCCGGGCACGGTGGCTCACAGCTGTAATCCCAGCACTTTGGGAGGCTGAGGCAGGCGGATCACCTGAGGTCAGGAGTTCGAGACCAGCCTGGCCAACGTGGTGAAACCCCATCTCTACTAAAAACACAAAAATTAGCCGGGCATTGTGGCGCATGCCTGTAATCCCAGCTACTTGGTAGGCTGAGGCAGGAGAATCGCTTGAACCCGGAAGGCGGAGGTTGCAGTGAGCCGAGATTGTGCCATTACACTCCAGCCTGGGTGACAGAGTGAGACTCTGTATTAAAAAAAAAAAAAAGCAAATTTCGAGAAACAAATTGTTAATGTGATCAAACAAAAAGAACAACTAGAGGCTAAAGACGAAAGAATCCTGGTGCTGCCAGAAAAGAGGGAAAGAGGGTGAGCAGACAGGTAAAGACTCATGTCTCTCTGGAAGCACATTCCATGCCAGAAAAAGGCAAAGGAAAATGGAAAGATGAAAGTGAGAGAGAAAAGAAACCTTTGCCAATGAGGATTTTTTCTAACTCTCAGGTATTATGATTCTAACCCTTTTGCTGAAATTGAATACATAAATAAAATTAAAAAGTAGGAATATGGGCGGAGGCGCAGTGGCTCACGCCTGTAATCCCAGCACTTTGGGAGGCTGAGGTGGGCGGATCACCTGAGGTCAGGAGTTTGAAACCAGCCTGGCCAACATGGTGAAACCTCATCTCTACTAAAAATACAAAAATTAGCCGGGCGTGGTGGCGGACACCTGTAATCCCAGCTATTCGGGAGGCTGAGGCAGGAGAATCGCTTGAACCCAGGAGGCAGAGGTTGAAGTGAGCCAAGATCGTGCCACTGCGCTCCAGCCTGGGTGACAAGAGCGAGACTCAGTCTCAAAAAACAAAACAAAAAAAAAGAGAAATACAAATACAGATATAAACATGACTCTAAGATTTTAATGGCAAGCCTTCTCTCACCTCAAAATCCTTTTGGAATACATAGAATACTTAAAGTTTCTTATACTAACTTAAAACTGGGGACTGAGAGGGAGAGAGAGAAAAAAACAATGCAAAACAAAACACACACACATGCCCCACAAACAGCAGTGATGTGTTTATATATCTTGTGTTTCTGAGCAGGGAATTTTTCTTCAGAAAAGGTTTCTGGAAGAATCAAATTTCTAAAATTCTAATTCCTCTTTCTCAAGATTTCCAAAGCTATTTTTCCTCAGTTGTCAAAATTTGCTTGTACTAATTTGTAATGGCACTTTGAAATAAAGGCAAATATGACTTGAAACATGTGACTAATATAAACAACAAAAATCCTTTGCAATTATTCAACACCCTGATTTTTTTTTTTTTTTTTAAGACAGAGTCTCACCCTGTCGCCCAGGCTGGAGTGCAGTGGCACGATCTCGGCTCACTGCAACCTCTGCCTTACCGGGTTCAAGCAATTCTCCTGCCTCAGCCTCCCAAGTAGCTGGGATTACAGGCACCACACCTGGCTAATCGTTGTAGTTGTAGTAGAGACAGTGTTTTGCCATGTTGGCCAGGCTGGTCTCAAACTCCTGACCTCAAGTGATCCGCTTGCCATGGCCTCCCAAAGTGCTGGAGTTACAGGCGTCACCCACCATCCTGACTTTTTAAAAATATGAAGCAACAGAAAGGTCACTAATTATTTGGGGCTGCAACTGTTTTTTTGCCATCCAATGAGGTTATCGAAAAATGAGTTCTTCCAAGTCTAATATTCTTATATTTTATATATATACCAGGGCTCAGCAAATTACAGCCTGTGGTCCAGCTAAGAATGACTTTTCCAAATTTAAATGCTTGTAAAAAAACAAAAAATAAACAACGGCATCCTCTGTGGCCCATGTAGCCTAAAATATTTAGTATCCGGCCTTTTACAAAAAAGTTTGCTGACCTTGGCCCTATACTAACTTTGCATTACCCCTGAACCTAATAGAAGGGTCTGGTGCCATTTTCCAGATTGAGAAAAATGAAACCCAGAAAAGCTGGGTGATTTTCTGAAGCCATACGGTCATCAACGGAGCTGAAAATAAAACTCAAGTCACCCGAATCTCAGCCTTGATTTAAGGAGGAGAAAGAGGAAGAAGAGAAGGAAATATAAAAAACTGGGCTAAGAGCTTTTTACCTGCTCTTGCGATTCCCATCGAGGCAGACTGAATACAAGGAACTTGCTCCCAATACCCAGGCCTCCTCTAATGAAAATAATCAATTCGCCTGTGCCGCAGGCCCTTGGGCTCATCAAGTGGGCCAAAAATATCAAATGATGGGGCCAAGACTGACAAATCAGATTGGATTAGTTGACACTGTGTTCTCTCCAGGGCTGGGCATATTAGTTTGCCAGGGGCATTGCGATTCTGCAGGAAGTTTATACTGTGGGTGGATGTTCTCTGTCACTTTTTCAATATTTTAGTCCTCTGGGGAAAGAACCAAGCTTATTACAAAAATTCTTCCCCTGGAAGACCAAAGGTCTTCCAAAGGTCACCTAGTATTCATTTTTTTATATGAACAACCAGCTTCGGTTTAGTATGATAATTATTCATTTATAATTTTACATGAGGAATCAGTTCACTGGTTACTATCGCAATCACTATTCATTGATTCAGAAATATTTATTAAGCACCTATTTGGGCAAGAGACTGCGTGAGACCATTTACATAAAATAGCTTCCTTAATTTTTACAACTCTCAGAGGTGTTATTACCTCTATTGAAATAGAATAGGGTATGAATTGAAATCAAGGTATAATACCTCATTAATACCTCTTTCAACAATTAATATTGAAAGTGACTAAATAATTTAAGAACACTCAGGCCGGGCGCAGTGGCTCACGCCTGTAATCCCAACACTTCGGGAGGCTGAGGCAGGTGGATCACGACATCAGGAGTTCGAGACCAGCCTGGCCAACATAGTGAAACCCCGTCTCTACTAAAAATACAAACTTAGCTGGGCATGGTGGCGGGTGCCTGTAGTCCCAGCTACTTGGGAGGCTGAGGCAGGAGAATCGCTTGGACCCAAGAGGCGGAGGTTGTGGTGAGCCAAGATCATACCACTGCACTCCAGCCTGGGCAACACAGTGAGACTCTGTCTCAAAAAAAAAAAAAAAAAACAAAAAAAAAACACTTAGAAAGACAATGAGATTAGAACCCAGAGCTGCACCATTATGGCTTCTCATGCACAGTATGCTGTAAAGGATACTACCTCTCATTTCACTAGCCATAAACTGTTTGCTCACAGCCTCTACCAGTCTGATGTGTGGCTAAGAGTACATAATTGAGAGTCAGAGATTCCTGAGCTTATATGCCAGTTCTTCCACCGAGAAGCTGTGTGATAATACTAACTTGGAGTTACCTTTCATTGAGCAATTGCAATGCACCAGGCACTACACTAGACACTCATATGGATTATGACATCTAATCCTCATGACAGCAACATCACTGTTATTCCTGAGTTTTGTTTGTTTGTTTTTTGAGATGGAGTCTCACTCTGTCATCTAGGCTGGAGTGCAATGGCACGATCTCGGCTCATTGCAACCTCTCCCTCCTGGGTTCAAGCGCTTCTCCTGTCTCAGCCTCCCAAGAAGCTGGGATTACAGGTGCCCGCCACCACGCCCAGCTAATTTTTTGTATTTTTAGAAAAGGAAACTAAGGCTTAGCGCAGTTAGGTATTTTGCCTAAGATATTCAACTAGTGAAGTTTAGATCCCAAATATAAACCTAAGTGTTCTGGCTCCAGACCCTGAACTCTTACCCATGAAGCTATGCTCAACAGCTTGGAGCAATGCACCTGACCGTTGCATCGTTCTGTTTGTTCACATGTCAAGTGAGAGTAACAAACACTGCCTCTGAGTTTCTTGTGGTGGTTAAATGAAATAATATGAACTAGCATCGAACTGATTTAGAATTGGTCACTATCAATCAAGGGAAGGGACAGCTCACACTGGCATCGGTAGCTCAAAGAAAGAGCTCAAACAGAGGGGCCACACACGTTGAACTCGGGAGAATGGAGCTTTGTCAAGGCCTATTTATTTTTGTGAAGCGCAGCAGAAGGAGGCAGGGTATGAATGGGAAGAAATCACCAAGCCAGCCTTCAAAAATTGCCAAGAAAAACACAAAATGTGGGAGCTACTTCTTTAGGAGTACAAATTTAAGCCTTGGCATTAAAGTAATAACAACGAGACTCTTTGAGCTACAGCGGTATACTCTACAATAATGAAGTGATACTTTTTGCTTCACACAGTGAAACAGATAAGTATATTCACAGTATACCTTATTAATACCATACGAGGGAAAATATAAACTGCTTTTATCCTTGTTTATACCAAGAAAGGGTTTATGGTAGCCTTCCGAAATTCATAAAATTTATAAAATTAACATATAATTTATGCTATAATGTAAACTAATATAAAAGGTAAAGAATAAAAATTGTAAGGGGAAGGGATGTAAGACTCCTGGCAGGTTGATGTAAGAATAAATCCCAAAGGAAATAGCAAAAATAAAAGCAGAAAGCAATAAAATTGAAAATAGGAAAATAAAACAAAGCTGGTTCTTCAGAAGAAAAAAAATCAATAAAGTTGATAAACCTCAAGCAAAATTGACAAATTTAACAAAAGAAGACACAAATTATCAGTATCAGGGAAAAAAAAAAAGGATGTCACAACAGATTGTGCAGCCATTTAAAGGATAGGCAGGAAACACTATGAACAATTTTACTCTCATAAATGTGACAACTTGGAAGAAATGGACCAACTCCTCAAAACCACATACTACCAAAACTCAGCCATGATGAAACAGATAATCTGAATAGTCCTATAACTACTAAAGAAATTGAGATTGTGATTAAAAAGTCCCAGAAAAAAAAAATCCAGGCTCATTTTCTTTCATTGGAGAATTTTAGCAAACATCCAAATAATTAGCACCAATATTATACAATGTCTACCAAAAAATAGAAGCAACACTTACCAATTCATTTTTATTAAGCCATTATTACCTTAATACTAAAACTAGAAAATAATAGCACAAGAGAAATAATAAATAAACCACCACAGACCAACATCTCCCAAAAGCCTAGAAACAAAAATCCTCAACAAAATTTTAGCAAATCGAATCCAACAATGCACAAAAATATATATACCATAACTAACTGGGATTCATTTGGGGTATGCAAAGCTAGCTGAGTACATAAAAATGAATCAACATAATCTACATATCGACAGATCAAAGAAGAAAAATCTTATGATCATATCAATTGATGCAGAGAAAGCATTCAACAAGATTCAATACCCATTCATAATAAAAGTTCTCAGGCAGGGCACGTTGGCTCGCGCCTGTAATCCCAGCACTTTGGGAGGGCCAAGGCAGGCAAATTGCTTGAGCCCATGAGTTCAAGACCAGCCTGGGCAACATGGCAAAACCCCGTCTCTACAAAACACAAAAAAAAATTAGCCGCGTGTGGTGGCATGTACCTGTAGTTCCACCTACTTTGGAGGCTGAGATGGGAGGATCACTTGAGCCAGGGGAGGCTGAGACTGCAGTGAGCCATGATCACACCTCTGCACTCCAGCCTGGGTGACAGAGTGAGACCCTGTCTCAAAAAAACAAAAACAAACAATCAAAAAGAACCTCTCAGTATACTGAGAGGTTTTATATAGTTGGGAACCTTTTCAACCTCATAAGTAACATCTACAAAAAACCTACAGTTCGCTTCATACTTAATAGTGAAAGACTAAATGCTTTCCCTCTAAGATGAGGAACAAAGCAAGTTTGCCTGCTCTCATGAACTTTATTAACCTAGGACTGGACATTCTTGCCACTTCAATAAGGCAAGAAAATGAAAGTAAAAATCAAAGTAAAGATTGGAAAAGAAAAAATAAAACAGTCTCCATTTACAGATGCCATGACTGTTTATATAGAAAACCCTAACGATTCGATGACAAGCTTCTAGAACTAATAAGTGATTTTAGTAAAGTCACAGAATAGAAGATCAATTGCAGAATCCACAGAATTCAAGATCAATACAGAAAAAATCTATTGCATTTCTATATACTGACAATGAACAAGTGAAAACCAAGTTCACAAATCAAATTCCACTTAAAATTTGCTCCAAAAAAAACTTAGGTATAAATTTTAACAAAATCTAATATAGAGGAATTGTATTATAAAAATGCTGATGAAAGAAATAAAATTTTTAAAGTTGAAGAAATATACCATGTTTGCAGATTGGAAGAACCAATGTAGTAAAAATGTCAATTTGCCCTAAATTGATCTATAGCTTAAACACAATTCCTACTAAAATCTCAGTAAGTTTCTCTGTGGACATAGATAAGCTTATTCTAAAACTTATATGAAAAGAGAAAGGCCTTTAGAATAGTCAACATAGTTCTGAAAGAGAACAGAGTGAGAGGAATCATGTTTCCCTGTTATGACTTACTCTACAGCTGTGGTAATCAAGACAATGTCATACTGGCAGAGGGAGAGACAAATAAATCAGTGGAACAGAATAAACAATGCGGAAATAACTTCAAACAAATATGCCCAATTGGTATTGACAAAGGAGCAGAAGCAATTCAATGGAGGAGGGATAGCCTTTTCAACAAATGGTGCTAGAATAATTGGTAACCCACTGGCCAAAAAAATAAAGCTCAACCTAAACTCATACCTTGAACAAAAATTAACTCAAAATGGACCATGGGCTTAAATGCAAAATGCAAAACTACAAAACTTCTAGACAGATCTAGGACTAGGCAAAGGGTTCTTAGACTTATTATCAAAAGCATGATCTGTAAAAGTAATAATTGATAAGTTGAACAAACTTTTGCTCTGTGAAAGACCCTGCTAAAAGCATAAAAAGACAAATTACAAACTGGGAAAAATATTTTCATATCACATATATATCGGACAAAGTCCTCGTGTCCAGAATATACAAATAACTCTCAAAAGTAAACAATAAAAAGTATCTAATTAGACAATGGGCAAAAGATATGCACAGACATTTCACCAAAAATATATAGATGGAAAATAAACACCTAAAAACATATTCTACATTATTAGCCACTAGAGAAATTGTAAATTAAAACTACATATAGGCTGGGCACAGTGGCTCACGCCTATAATCCCAGCACTTTGGGAGGCCAAGGCAGGTGGATCATCTAAGATCAGGAGTTCGAGACCAGCAGACCAGCCTGGCCAATATGGTGAAACCCCGTCTCTACCAAAAAAAGAAAAAAAAAAAATCAGCTGGGCATGGTGGCAGGCGCCTATAATCCCAGCTACTGGGGAAGCTGAGGCAGGAGAATCACCTGAAACCAGGGGGCAGAGGTTGCAGTGAGCCGAGATCACGCCATTGCACTGCAGCCTGGGCAACAAGAGCGAAACTCCGTCTCAAAAAAAAAAAAAAAAAAAAAAAAAAACTACATATATATCACTACACATCAGAATAGCTAAAATGAAAAACACTGATAATACCAATTGCTGGCAGAGATCCAGAAAAACTAGATTATTCGGACATTATTGCTGAGAACATAAAATGGTACAATTACTCTGGCCAATAGTTCAGCAGTTCTTTCAAAACTAAAGATGGGCTTACCATATAACCCAGCAATTGCACTATTGGGCTTACACCCCAGAGAAATGAAGACCTATTCTCATGCAGGAACTTATGCATAAATGCTCATAACAGCTTTATTCATAATAGCCAAAAATGGAAAACTACCCATATCTCCTTCAAAGGCTAAGGTGTTGAACCAACTGTGGTATAACCATACCATGGATGGGTACTTAGCAATAAAATGGAACAAACTATCAATACATGCAATTATTTACATGAACCTCAATAAAATTACATTGAACAAAAAAAAATCTCAAAAAGAGATGCATGATTTTGTTTATATAACAATCATGAAATAACAAAATGGCAAAGGAGAACAGATTAGCGGTTGCTGGGGATTAAGGACGGAGATGGGGAGAAGAGGTGGGTTTGATTATAAGAGGGGAGCATAAAAGAGTCTTGTAATGTTGCTGTAGTGAAGTATCTTGATTATAATAGTACTTATGCAAGACTTACACAATGTGATAAACTTTATAGAGCTACACGTGCACACACACACACACACACACACAAAGGAATACTTGCATAGCTGGCAAAATTAAGTTCTATGATTTGCACTACTGCCACATTCTTGATCTTGATAATGTATTATAGTTGTGTAAGATGTTAACTTGGGATGGCGGGGGAGTTTGGCATGGCCTGGGGAAAGGGATCTATGGGACTTCCCTGTACGTTTCTTTGCAACCTCCTGTTAATCTACAATTATTTCAAAATAAAAAGTTTTAAAAGTATATCCCATAAATTCCTATACAGGTAGTAAAAGTAGGCCACATATTTGACTGTAAGCTCTTGAGAAACCAGTCAGAGAGGAAACAATAGTAATTACACAGTTCACAGGTCTACGAGAAAAAGAAATTGCTCAGAGAGACCGAAAAAAAAAGAAAAAAAAAAGAGAAAAAGAAAACAATCTTGACAGCAAGTATGGGAAGACGGATCTTCCTCCTGCAGATTCTAATGAAAGGAACATTCTATCTTGAGTTTAGACTCTTGAGCTACAGTCCAGAACCCTGAAGAGTAGCCCTCAACTCTACTTTGTCCTTAAAAATTCTCCAGTGGAAAGTGTCTGTATACTGCTTCACGCAATGCAAGGACCAGTGGCTTTAACAAAGTCTTACAGCAGACATGATCCCATTTAAGAACACATTCCAACACTAGGGGTGCACTTCCTGATAGCAGATCATAGCTAAGATCAAAACCCATCACAAAGGGAGGCACTTTTGTAGACATGAACAAAAGCCTTACCAACTCACTTTTCCATTAGGATGCCCTCTCTTTGCCCTTGCCCTGTCTCTCTAACACCTCTATTGTGAGTTTCCTTGGAATTTCCATTCCTCTCATGCAGATGCCTTGGTAGGTGGTTGTACCTCCAGCTGGACAGGAAGTACCGTTCCCACCACACAGAGACAGATAAAAAATAAAAATAAAAAAAAAAAAAACAAGAAGGAGACATCCTCACAGAGAGGATGTCATTTACACGATGTCCTTCACTAGGACTTGAGCTGACTTAGGGATTTGGGCCAAAACCTCAGCTAATAAAAAAAAAGTGTTCCTTTACCTCATTCTTCCTTCTGTTTATATGGGACAGAATTTAAGTGTCAGGATGTGGGTCCTCACCAAATACCATCTTTCCATCTCAACCCAAGTTTTATAGTAGTGGCTTTCACAGGGATTTGCCTGTTTGCTCCAATCTACAGGGAAAAGGCAAGGAAGTTCACATCCAGGGGCCTTTCTGGCCTTACATAGAGCCCCATCTGCCAAATATATGTGACATTCACTTCCTACTCAACCAATAACTTAAGACACTGAGTTCAAAACTACCCATTCAACGTAACTGACTGATAAGATGACTATTTCAGGTCTCAGAACAGTGAGCAAATGGCTTCCCCCTTAAAGGGCTCTTCTAAAGTCAAGGCATTGCTCAGCAGTCCAAAAATAAACCCCCAGGAGGAATCTGAAAGCACAAGGATTTGGATTCAGATGATGGTCTTGTCAACTTACGTGGAACTGGTCTGAGGTTGTTCAAATGCTTCTTTTGGAATTTTAAGGCCAGGGTTTCGCTTCTTGCCTATGGGGAAAGACAAAAGGAAAAAGTTAAGGACTAAATCATAGCAAGATAGCAGAGAAAGAGACTGCGGCAAAGGAAAGAGCTGACCTGCACAGGCAGCTCTCATGTCTCCATTCAAAGCGCCACTTCCTACCCAGGAAGTCTGTGAGTGTTAAGAACCCAAGCACCAGGTAGGACAGAGCTTCTCAAATACAGACTGTGGTCATGAATGAGGTTTTTCATTAGTCCAGGGGGCAAACATCAGGATGAGAATGCCAACTCTCTTTTCCTAGGAAGATCTGCCCTTTCTCCCCACTGAGAATTTGTCATTGCAACTTTTTTTTTTTTTTTTTTTTTTGAGACAGAGTCTCACTCTGTCACCCAGGCTGGAGTACAGTGGCACAATCTCAGCCCACTGCAACTTCTGCCTCCTGGATTCAAGCGATTCTCCTACCTCAGCCTCCTGAGGAGCTGGGATTACAGGCATGCACCACCATGCCCGGCTAATTTTTATATTTTTAGTAGAGATGGGGGTTTCTCCCTGTTGGCCAGGCTGGTCTCGAACTCCTGACCTCAGGTGATCCGCTGACCTTGGTCTCCCAAAGTGCTGGGATTACAGGCATGAGCCACCATGCCTGGCCTTGTTTTTTGTTTTTGTTTTTTTTTTCTTTTACACTATAATGGTGATGGCAGACACTTGGTTATAGCTTTTTTTTTTTCTTTTTAGTGTTAGTAAAGGGTGGTCACCCTTATCTTAGTAACCCACTATTTTCTAAATCGATCTGTTAACTACTACAAAGTTAGCAATGGAAGTAGAATAAAAAATGCTTTTCCACTGTTCTGCCCTCCCCTTTTCCCAACCACCTGCTGTAATTTGAAAAACTTAAGAGAGGGATAGAGTAATACTTATTTACATTTTCCCTGTTCCAGAAAGGATTAAGATAACAGATGAGCTTATGCAAGGAAGTTATAACTTCTTCTTGGGCCAAATGGAAAGGTAACTTGATGTTGATCACACCTGGGCTGAAATTACAAGAGAATTTGGCTCGAATACTTTTGTTGATGAGTAAAAAAGAACAGACTGAGAAATGCCAGCTCAGGAAGCAGAACAGAGCAAACAAGGGCCTGGGGTTTTCCTCATGCATGGAGATCCTGTGTCTCTTTGCACTTGGCAGGGGAAACCAAGGGAGAGCTGCATAGAATGGCTGGAAAGAATGCTACCTTCTGCCCAGGCGCGGTGGCTCATGCCTGTAGTCCCAGCACTTTGGGAGGCCGAGACGGGCGAATCACGAGGTCAGGAGATGGAGACCATCCTGGCCGACACGGTGAAATCCTGTCTCTACTAAAAATACAATAAATTAGCCGGGCATGGTGGCAGGCACCTGTAGTCCCAGCTACAGGGGAGGCTGAGGCAGGAGAATGGCGTGAACCTGGGAGGCGGAGCTTGCAGTGAGCTGAGATCACACCACTGCACTCCAGCCTGGGCGACAGTGCAAGACTCTGTCTCAAAAAAAAAAAGAAAAAAAAAGAATCCTACCTCCTTTCCCACCTCTTCTCTACATTGCAGATGAGCACTCAGAGATAACACAAGCCCTGGATATGGCCCTGGATAGATCCTGAAGCTGCAAAGAAACTTAAACCAATTAAAATAACCTCCTTGCAGAAAAATAACATCCAAAGACTTCAGTGACTTGCTCCACATCACAGAGGTCAGCAATGACCCAGTCAGAATCAGAATCCAGGTCTCCTGACACCCAGGTGGGAGTTCTTTCTACTATCCTGCAATAGAAGACGTTTAGAGATGACTGGAGAGGGGGCAGGTGAGACGTACCCGGGATTTTGAGTTTTAAAATACCCAGCTGACATCTGGTTCTTCCACGCATCACGCAACTTCTAGAATCACTTTTCATCTGACTCTCAGTTTTCTCAATTGTAAAATGAGGAAGTAACAACCATACTCACCTCACTGGACTGATATGAGAATCAAAGCAGATAACATATATGAAAAAACATTAAGATACCTTAAGTAGCTGTTAATTAGATTCATTTAGGGAAACAATCAGTACTGTCTCATTTTTTTTAAAGTCATTTAAAAAATTAATGAAGAGAACTGGCCACATCATTATAGCCCACTATAATGTATAATGAAATTTTTCAATTCCTTCAGAATCCAAAATCAGATCAATTCTGCCAAGTTGTATATAGCCAGGAAAAAATATGCTTCGCAGTAATCAGCCTAGAGAAAGCCTTTTAGGACCACCTTCAGAATAAGAGGCTTTCTCAATTCTCTCCTCATTTGGGTTTACTTATGTATTTTATAAGGTTCAAAACTCACCATTCACTTTCCTGCTCTTGGAACTCAAACAGCTGTTAAGGATGTTACTAAATTAGTCAGTTATTGACATCGCATAGAGCTTTCCTATGTACCAGGAACTATGCTAGGTGCTGGACCCAGTTATGAGAATCCAAATAGATATATGGCCTAATTCCAACAATTCCCATCCATGCACCTCAGCCAAACAGACAGGGAATGTTACTTTCGATGAGATTCTTCAGTGAGGAATGAATGACGGATTCAACTTGTTTAGATAACTATACAGATAACTACATACAAATTCCAGTGCAGGTGACAGATAATTCAGGTAATCCCAAAAGGCGACCCTACAGTTCTCTCAACGAAAACAAAAACTAAAGTAACATATATTTTGCCTATGAAAACTGGTCTCCAGTTGTCATTTAAGCAAACCAAAAGCAGAAGTTACTCTTAAATTCCTACATCTTTCTCTTCTTTACCTCTAACTCAGTTCTTACAAGATAGATGTAAAGAGAAATAGCTATTTATTGAGAAAACCCCTTTGGAAAACTTTAATATAGCAAGTAATTAGTAGCAATTCTTAACAGCAATTAATTATTACACCATAACTTAAATCACCAAAACATCTATACAAAGAAACAGTAAAAAAGAGAGAAAGTTTTTAGCACAGAGACCAAAGGAATAAAAGACCAAAATAATAGTAAAGTCTTCCAAGTGGGAGGAGAAGGCCTTTGATTCTCTCCCCAGATCACTGTTACACCCAGCCACCCCCACAGCCCCCCACATCAACATCATTCTTACCCTGAATTTACTGCCTCCTAGTTGAAATTGCCAGCCTCCTGTCTCCAGACTCTAAACCCTTGACTATGTATATAAGTTGGACATCTGCATATCTTAAACCTAATATTTCCAAGTATATCAGCTCCTCAGAACAACAAGAAAAAAAAATAGATCCAGGAGACACAAAACCTAGTTGAATTACAGTGTTAGAAAATACTCTGCCTTCACGTTTACATCAAATAAAATACAAATCACAAGCACACACAGCAACACTCTGCAGTTCGCTTACTTGCCCATCTCTGACAGAGCAGCACAGTAAGAGACCAGCAGAGGCGACTCTGGTGAGGTTTTCGAGGCTGCAAGGAAGACCAGCAGAGGAAAACCTAACAGAAGTCATTCTTCACTTAGCTCCAAAGACCACACTTCGGCAAGGAGAAACAGAACTGAACAGACTCCACCCCCTCCTCAAGTTCGGATTGCAGCAAACCTCTGCAAGCTCATTGTTCCGAGGAAATTGCAGCTTCAGGAAGGGAGAAGGGAAGTGGGTCTATGTGGACACCCAGGCGTGACATTAATCATTAACCAGACTTGGAGGAATAAATCTATAAATCTGGACAGTACCATGTTCTGCAGCTTTTCTATAAATGCCTCTTTGATTTCTTAAAAGAAAGAAAAACAATATGTGGTCAGTTTCCAGCTGTGTTTACTTCACAGCAATCTGTTCCCCCAGGAAGGCAGCCAACACCTGACGCTAACATTGAACACTGTTAAAAAAAAAAAAAAAAAAACATGGGAGGGAGCACTATGAATAATAAAGCTAAGTGGCCAACTATGTTCAACAGTCTTTGCCTTTGATATTCTAAAGCAAAGCAGAAAAAATGTCAGAAAAAAAAAAAGGCTTTCTATGATGTCATATGCTAGCAACAAGCCTTCTCGGAAACAGAGAATTCTGTAGATTTCTGCAGATCGCAACAAGCCTCGACTGCTTATTGGCACAGTCTGCAAAGGGTAAGCCTCGTCGGCCTGATTGGGCATATGCAGCACTATATTGCATCAGACCCTGTTACCCGCATGACTGTGTTCTCTGAAAATAGTGTAATCCCACCACACACATATATTTGCAAAATTCATCTGAAACCAAAGCAAAGCTGGGTCATTATAATCCTGGCCTGGAGCAAAATGGCACTGGAAAAAAAAATTTAAAAAGCCTTGCCAATAGTTAGAAAATATTTACCAGGCCACAGAAATGTTCGCTAGCTTTGACTGCACCGAAAATGATGGGGTACACGAGAGGTCTTGCACACACTCTGAGAGGGTAAGCACAAAGCACTCCTCTGATGTTCCTCATTACATAAAACAGAAGATTATGTTCCACTGCCAACCCAAACAGCATGAGAAGCCCACGCGGTCAACAGAAGGTGGCATCGTGAAGATATGCTGATGCCTAAATATTTGTTAGCTTGGCCGAGGGTTGGGGGCACGACTATGAGAGTTTATGATTATTGACACAGCTTCACAAAAGGATGGCAGTGTTTCCAGTGCCAAATTTATTTTAAAAATCTGTTTCCCAATATGAATGGGATTTCCAGCCAAGTAACTGGCAATCTAGAGGCCTTGGCTGCCCTCTCCTTACTACTTGCATCTAGGCTTACGTTCCAAGGGTAGTTGGCAATAAAACCAGCAGTGAAGTATCATTCAGTGTTATTAAATTGCAATCATCATATGCAAAGCAACGAACGAAGCAGGGCAGGGGAAGAGGCATGCAGGAAGAAAGCTGGCTTTGCAACAGCAATGTAAAAGTGAACAGGGACTCTGCCATCCTCCAATCTTCCAAAACCACTGGCTCTTATATACCACTGAGATTCCAAACACTGAAGACAAATCTCTCTGGAATTACAGAAAGTTTAGAGAAGAAAAGCTGAAAACCTCTTTTTTTTTTTCTTTTTTTTTTGAGATGGAATCTTGCTCTGTCACCCAGCCTGGAGTACAGTGGCACAATGTCAGCTCACTGCAACCTCCGCCTCCCGGCTTTGTGTGATTCTCCTGCCTCAGCCTCCTGAGTAGCTGGGATTACAGGTGCCCGCCATCACGCCCAACTAATTGTTGTATTTTTTAGTACAGATGGGGTTTCACCATGTTGGTCAGGCTGGTCTTGAACTCCTGACCTCGTGATCCACCTGCCTCAGCCTCCCAAAGTGCTGGGATTATAGGCGTGAGCCACCATGGCCGGCCTTTTTTTTTTTTTTTTTTTTTTTTTTTGAGACAGAGTCTCACTTTGTCACCCAGGCTGGAGTGCAGTGGTCCTATCTAGGCTCACCGAAACCTCTGCTTCCCACGTTCAAGCAATTCTCATGGCCCTCAGCCTCCCGAGTAGCTGCGACTGGGAATACAGGCACGTGCCACCCCACCCGCCTAATTTTTGTATTTTTAGTAGAGATGGGGTTTCGCCATGTTGACCAGGCTAATCTCAAACTTCTGACCTCAGGTTATCCGCCCGCCTTAGCCTCCCAAAGTGCTGTTACTGGGATTACAGGTGTGAGCCACTGTGCCCAGCTGAAAAGCTCATTTTAAAACCTGCAGTCAGTTTGATTTCAGAGTCAGAATGAATCTCCTAAGACCTTACCTTTGCTCATACTGTTCCTTCTACCTGGAGGGCTCTAGCTGTCTTGCAGACAAGAACTCAACCTTCCAAATTCAAAACCTCCCTCATAGAACCTTCCCAGAGCTTCCTGAACACAATCTAAGGATTACTATCCACACATTCCTGCTTTCACATTCTGGCACCTTACACTCAGCCTGCAACACAATATGAGCTCAAAGCAGCTTCCCTGAAACTTTGATATTTTAGTTGAAAAATGTCCACTCTCTCTACAATAGATCTCCACGACCATCTTCCACTCATTTCCCGCAAACCTTTTCTCACAATCTAGAATTATTTTATTTTTGTATTTATTTATTTACTTCTGCATTTATTTATTACTTGTTTATCTACCTTTCTCCACTAGAATATAAGTTCCATGATGGCCAATGATTTTGCCCAGCACCTGCACATCATAAATATTTGTTGACTGAATGTTTGTTATTCTTTTCTCAACTGTTTTGAACATTTGTACAGAGCTCTTCAAAAAACAAACAAACAAAATGAACAACCAAGAATGGAATGGAAATTGCACAAACCTCTGCATCAATAAGAATCATTTCAAATCCCAGCTGTCCCACTTAGTGACGTAATGTTGAGAAAGTTTCTTATCTTAAACTGAGTTTCCACACCTGCAAACTGGAGATGATGTACAATCTCCGCAGGTCATTAAGAGACTCGATTGACACAGTGTGTGTGAAGAAGCCTAGCAGGGTGTAGCATAATATAGGTGCTCAATAAATACTTCCTTTTGTCCCTTCCATGTTTACGCTTACATTTTTAAAATATGAGTTAAGCAGAATGTTCCCTGGATGGCATCTTATTTCTTCAAATTCCGTGCTCCATTCTCCCTCTTTCGTGTTATTTACACTAGAATTACATTTTTCAAACATCTCATCAATCTTGAATCTACCTCTCTTTGTGCCCACTGACTATGGGAACTTCTCCAGGTCTATAGACTCAGGATTTCTGGGACTGAGTGTAGTGAGTGCTTATAATTTTACATTGCCTCAGTATCCATTTTTAAACCTAAGTTAAACTATCTCACATCAGAAGCAGGGCTCAGTCACTCTTAACACGGTGTCTAATACCACACTCCACCAGATTGGCTCCAAACCAGTGGCCAGACATGAAACTTAGAGACATCTCTCCTGCCTAGCAGGCTGGCCTCCCTACTTTCCTGCCACTCCCTTTAAACAGACCATGCAGACATTTGCCCACAAACGTAAGGTGACCACCTCTCAGTCACGCTGTGACCTCCTAGAACTAGTGCCTGCTTGCTTTAAACCCAGCAATTAAAGCTCCCTGCAGGAAACTGGATAACGCCCTGTACCCAATAAAGACATTGGCTCAGTGGTCCCTTCTCTCTCTCTCTGCGTGCACGTGTGTGTGTGTGTGTGTGTGTGTGTGTGTGTGTGGCTTCCAGGTGTGTGTGTGTGGCTTCCAGGCGTGCTGGGTGCCATACAGAGTCTCTAAGTGCTAAAAAGTCTTAAAATCTCACATTGTAGTTGTGTCACTGAAGCCACACTTGCAATCCTATCCCTATGGGTGAAACTGCCCCAAAAGGACCCATGCAGGTGGGTCCCCTGCTGATGCCCTTTTGTCCAGGTCTCTCAGCTACTGGGGACAGTAGTTACCAGCTAAGTTGATAGAGTGAGGCTTCAGGATCCATATATTTTTTTAAGTTTCACAAGTGTCTGAGAAATCAGCCACAGTTAAGTAGCCCTTGTCTACCACATGTCTATGTAAAGTTGTTTTGTGTTTGTTTGTTTGTTTGTTTGTCTTGTTTTACCATTTCTCACTTTATGTTGCCAACGTCACTTTCCTCCAAGGCTCTTGTCACATCCCCCACAACCCACCAGTTCTTTCTGATTAGTAAGAATTAAATTCCAAGCTAGCTCCTCACTGTGTTATCTCTATCTTTGAGCTGAAATTGTCAATCATTCCCCAGGGTACACATTGCAAGGGTCAAAACTTATTAAGATGCAATTCTGCCATCGAAGCATCAGGAGATATGAAAACCCAACTCCATAATAACAGCGGGTATGTGTGATGTGCAATACAAGCATTGCACCCTGAAAGCAGGAGAGAAGAAGCAAGACAAGCAACACTGAGAAATGGTCTCACATACGAAGTGGTATTTGAAGTGGCCCTTTGATTTTGGTAGGATTTAAGGGTACCTGAGGGTTTGTTATACTGTATGTCTTCTTTATATATTTAAATATTTCCAAAATCAAAGTTTAAAAAGACCATGGGTGGGATTTTGACAATCAAGACTTGGAGAGACAATAAGGGGATTCAAAGTAAAATGAGGATGAAATATCTTTGTAAGGAGAAGCACTGTGGTATATTCAAAGAATTCTGAGTTTTCTACTCTGGACAAACTGAAAAGTGGTGGAGAGAGAAACCTGGAGGAGGAAGTTGGAGTCAGAGATCAAAATACTGTAACAAATATATTTTAAATTTCAGATGTAAAAAGAGAAGTCATGTATGTTTTTCAGTAGAGGAACATCATGCCACATCCATGCTTCAGAAAAAAAAAAAGATGTAACAAGATGAACTGATCTAATAATATCAGGATGTTTTGAAACTGTGCTACACACACACTCATGCATAAACCCACATACTCTCATGCCTTGATGTTTTATGCCTCCAGGTCTTTGCTCTTATTTTCCTCAGAATGTTGTTATTACCTGTTTTCCCCAGTCAACTGCGACACTCAGCTCAAGTATGTTTTTCTCCAGGAAGTCTTCCATGAAAGTCCCCAATGCAATAAATACCTTTCCTCTGTGTTGCCACAGTACCCTGAACCTTCCTATGCTGATTAAGTGAACCCATCTGTTCATCCATGTCTTCCACTAAAAATGCAAGCCCTTTGAAGTCAGGGCCCATGTCTTCTTACCTATGTACAGAGTTTAAGCACTAGACCCAAAAATAAGAGGTAGAGACCACAGCAATCTGGCTCACAAATAAGCTGCTTGAATTTTGCAGAGGCAAAATCTATAGGCTCTGGTCACTTACTGCATAAGAGGAACAAAGGAACAGAAGCATAGTAGTAGTACTGGAAGTAGTAATAGTAATAGTAGAAGTATTGCTACTAGTAATAGTAGTGGTAATAAAAATGATACTCGTCATCTGGCTTTTCCACCCCCAAATGAAGTTAAGTGAAAGAGGAAAGTCAGGTCAGTGGGGGTGGCCAGTGGGGAAAGGGCAGATCATGAGTTCCAAGTCAGATGTATTAAGTATAAGATGCTGCAGGGACGGGACGCATGGCAGAATTCAAGCAGGCAAATGGAGCTTAAGAGAGGGACAGGAGGAAATGAGTAGATCTGGGAATGACAAACAGAGAGGTAGAAAGTTGCCTGAGACAGACAGGGAAACAAGAAGAATGAAAGAAGGTGGCCAGGTGCGGTGCCTTATGCCTGTAATCCCAGCACTTTGGGAGGCCAAGGTGGGCGGATCACTTTAGGTCAGGAGTTCGAGACCAGCCTGGCCAACGTGGTGAAACCCCATCTCTACTAAAAATACAAAAAATTAGCCGGGCGTGGGGCACACGCCTGTAATCCCAGCTACTCCGGAGGCTGAGGCGGGAGAATCGCTGGAACCCCATCTCTACTAAAAGTACAAAAAATTAGCCGGGTGTGGGGCACACGCTTGTAATCCCAGCTACTCTGGAGGCTGAGGCGGGAGAATCGCTGGAACCCGGGAGGCAGAGGTTGCAGTGAGCCGAGATCGCACCACTGCACTCCAGCCTGGGAGACAGAGCAAGACTCCCTCTCAAAAAAAAAAAAAAAGAAGGGAAGGCAGCCAGCCAAGCTAAGAACATTTCGAAGAATCGGTGAAGGACACAAAGAATTACGTTCCTGTCAAAGAAGAATGAGCCAGCCTGTCCATCCGCTAATTGGGAAATGGCCCCATTTTAAGAGAATAAAAGTGCTCAAATGGGTTTTATTACAGCTTCATGTGATTAAAGCTAAAAAAAAAAAAGTCCTAGTAGACCTTTTATGTCATGTTAACAATTTGGTGTTGACTAAGATGTTCTTAAAAGAACCTAAAAGCAAATCACAGCCAATGCCCTGAGTTATGTTCTAGGCCCAGGGAAAAGGCAGGAGGCAGGCAGTAGGGAACTCCTACTGTCTCGGTTCATCTCCTTCCTCATTTATGGGCTGCTTCACTCATTAGCATTGATCGCAAGGAAATGTAGTCATAAGGGTGTTAAAAACATCACTTTAAAATAAAAAATGGCAATGGGTTGCAAAGAAATTTAGTGGCGTGCTCGAGCTTTTCAAAATACACACTGGGTTTTGGTTAGGTTTTAAAAAATAAGTATTTTTTTTTTAGAGATAATACTGAAATGTTTACGAGTGAAATGATATTATTCTAGAATTTGCTTCAAAAAAAAAGGCAGAGTGGGGGATAGAGATACAGATAAAATAGGATTGGCCATGAGCTGGTCATTGTCAAAGCTGAGTGCTAGATACCTGGCAGTTATAATACAGTCCACTTTTGAATATGTTTGAAATTTACCAAAATAGCCAGGCGCAGTAGCTCAAGCCTGTAATTCCAGCACTTTGGGAGGCTGAGGCGAGTGGATCACCTGAGGTCTGGAGTTTGAGACCACCCTGGCCAACATGGTGAAACCCTGTCTCTATTAAAAATACAACAATTAGCTGGGCGTGTTGGTGGGCGCCTGTAGTCCCAGCTACTTGGGAGGCTGAGGCAGGGGAATCACTTGAACCTGGAAGGTGGAGGCAGTGAGCCGAAGTCTCGCCACTGCACTCCAGCTTGGGCGACAAGAGCGAGACTCCAGCTCAAAAAAAAAATAAATAAAAGAAAAAATAAAACGAAATTTACCAATATATAAAGATGTTCTTAAATAGTAACAGAATCACAGAAAATTCTGTTTTAATAGTTAAAAGAGTGGCATAGCGAATAAGAGGGGTGAATTTGTTGTTTTTTTTTTTTTTTTTATGTGGAAGTAATGGATTCTTTTTTTCCTCTGGTCCAAGACCACAATTTTGGGTTTTTGTTTTGTTTTGTTTTTTGGTTTTTGGTTTTTTTTCTAGACAGAGTTTCGCTCTTGTTGCCCAGGCTGGAGTGCAATGTCGCGATCTCGGCTCACGGCAACCTCCACCTCCCAGGTTCAAGCGATGCTCCTATCTCAGCCTCCCGAGTAGCTGGGATTACAGAAGTGCGCCACCATGCCCGGCTAATTTTGTATTTTTAGTAGAAACAGGGTTTCGCCATGTTGGCCAGGCTGGTCTCGAATTCCTGACCTCAGGTGATCCACCCGCCCCAGCCTCCCAAAGTGCTGGGATTACAGGCATGAGCCACCACGCCCGGCCCACAATTTTAATAGCACTCTGATCACCTCCCTTTTAACCAAAGGAAACTCCAAGATAGTAACTTTAATTCAACCAGCTGCTTGAAGACTAAGGGGGTAATAAAGAAACAAAGGAACGTTCTTCATCTGCAACTCCTCCCCTAGAATGCTATCAGTACAGGGTCTTATTTCCCTTTTAATCCAGGGGCTCTCCATTCATTTTGTTTTTTCCTTTCTTTTTTTTTTTAAAGACAGAGTCTCACTTTGTCACCCAGGCTGGAGTGCAGTGGCACGACCTTGGCTCACAGCAACCTCTGCCTCCTGGGTACAAGCGATTTTCATGCCCCAGCCTCCCAAGTAGCTGAGATTACAGGCATGTGCCACCATGCCCAGCTAATTTTTGTATTTTTAGTAGAGATGAGGTTTTACCGTGTTGGCCAGGCTGGTCACAAACTCTCGGCCTCAGGTGATCTGCCCGCCTTGGCCTCCCAACATGCTGGGATTACAGGCGTGAGCCACTGCACCTGACCTCCCTCCATTTCTTTTTGCCTCTCCCTTTCCTCTCCTCCTGCAACTTCATGCAATTATTTTGTTGAAGAAATGCAGGCCATGTGTCCTGTAGTTTTTTCCACTGGATTCTGCTGCTCTTATCCCTTGTTATTGACTCACACATCCCTCTGTTGGTTAGAAATTGATCAGATTCAACTTGATCAGATTGTTTGGCAAGACTACTTTGCAGGTGGCCTCACTTACTTTTAATTTATGCTAAATTGCTTAATTTTATGCAACCTAGCAAGCTAACTTAAACTCTTAATGAAAAAAGGAAAAATGAATAAATATAAATAATCCCTCAGCAAATTAACATTTTCATCTCTGTCAATTTGATGGGTACAAGGGTACAAGGGGTGTCTCATTGTTTTGAATCACATTTTAAAAATATTTAATGAAGCTGAGTATACATATATTTTTTTTTTTCTTTTTTCTTGAGATGGAGTTTCACTCTGTCCCCCAGGCTGGACTGCAATGGCACGATCTCAGCTCATTGCAACCTCTGTCTCCCGGGTTCAAGAAATTCTCCTTTCTCAGCCTCCCAAGTAGCTGGGACTATAGACGTACACCACCATGCCCAGCTTATTTTTGTATTTTTAGTAGAGACGGGGTTTCGCCATGCTGGCCAGGCTGATCTCAAACTCCTGACCTCAGGTGATCTGCCTGCCTCAGCCTCCCAAAGTGCTGGGATTACAGGCGTGAGACACCACGCCCAGCTGCAGCTGAGTATTTTTTATATATCCACTGTCATCTGTATTCATTTTTCTGTGAACTCCCTGTTCAAGTCATCTGCTCGTTTTTATAACAGGTTATTATTATTGTTTTCTTTGTAAAAGAAGGCATTGCCCCTTTTGTAGTTAGTGTTGCAACACACACACACACACACACAAACACATACACTGTTTTTTTTCCTTTTTGGTTATATAAAATTTTAAATTTTTACATTCTTTTATGTTCTCTGCATTTTCATAAGGTAAAAACATTCTTTCCGCTTCCCCAATGGCTAGATAGTTCTTCCAATATCACCTATTAATCTGTCTACTTGTTTCCAAATGAATTGTACACAACTTTTTAATATTTAAGCCTCTTATTCTTTTGTATAAGTTCATTGGCTGACATGTCCAAAACATATATGAAATATTCATGTAGACATCTTCATTTGATCCTCACTTTAAGAGAATTCTTTCTTGCTTTTCACAATTAAAAAAAAATGATGCTGGCTTTGGATTCAGCTGAATAGACCAACTGAATGATTTTTCTCATGTTGAGGAGGTATATCACTCTTTTCATTTTACTGAGTGGGCTAGGCTGAGGATGGTTCCCAAGTTCATGCCCATATCCTAATCCATGCAACCTATGAATGTTATCATGATAATTTTTTGCAGATGTGATTAAATTAAGGCTTTTGAGATGAGAAGATGAGCCTAAATTATCCAGGTGGGACTTAAATGCAATCAGAAGTGTCCTTACACAGAGGGGCAGAGGGAGAGTAGACACACCCAGAGAGGAGAAGGAGAGGCGAAGGCTGAGTCAGAGACTTTGGTGATGCAGCTGCAATGTAAGGAATGCCAAAGGCCAGCAGCCACCACAGGCATGGATCCTCTCCCAGAGCCTCTGGAGGGAGCCTGACATGCCAATACCTTCACTGTAGACTTCTGGCCTCCAGATGTCAGAGAAAAAATTTCTGGTGTTTTAACGGGACAGAATACAGAGCCCAGAAATAAGGCTGCACACCTACAACCATCTGATCTTCGACAAAGTGGACAAAAACAAACACTGGGGAAAGGACTCCCTATCCAATAAAAGGTGCCGGAATAACTAGCTAGCTATATGCAGAAGGTTGAAACTGGATCCCTTCCTTATACCATATACGAAAACCAACTCCAGAGGGATTAAAGATTTAAATGTAAAACCCAAAACTATAAAAACCCTGGAAGACAACCTAGGCACTACCACTCAGCCATAGGAATGGGCAAAGATTTCATAATGAAGATGCCAAAAGCAACTGCAATAAAAGCAAAAATTGACAAACAGGATCTAATTAAACTAAAGAGCATCTGCACAGCTAAAGAAATTATGAATAAACAGACAACCTACAGAACGGGAAAAAATTTTTGCAAACTATGCATCTGACAGAGGTCTCATATCCAGCATCTATAAGGAACTTAAACACATTTACAAGAAAAAAGCAAACAGCCCCATTAAAAAGTGGGCAAAGGACACAAACAGACACTTTTCAAAAGAAGATATACATGTGGCTAACAAGCATGTGAAAAAAAGCTCATCACTGATCATTAAAACCACAGTGAAATAACATCTCAGACCAGTCCGAATCAAATCAAAACCACGGTGAAATAACATCTCAGACCAGTCTGAATCAAATCAAAACCACGGTGAAATAACATCTCAGACCAGTCTGAAAGTCTATTATTCAAAAGTGAATAATAATAATAATAATAATAATAACAGATGCCAGCGAGGTTGCAGAGAAAAAGGAATGCTTATACATTGTTGGTGGGAGTGTAACTCAGTTCAACTATTGTGGAAAGCAGTGTGGCTATTCCTCAAAGAGCTAAAAACAGAACTACCATTTGACCCAGCAATGCCATTACTGGGTCTATATCCAGAGGAATAGAAATCATTCTACCATAAAGACACATACACATATATGTTCACTGCAGCACTATTCACAATAGCAGAGACGTGGAATCAATCCAAATGCCCATCAATGATAGACTGGATAAGAAAATGTGGGCCGGGCACAGTGGCTCACACCTGTAATCCCAGCACTTTGGGAAGCCAAGGCGGGCAGAATAGTTGAGGTCAGGAGTTCAAGACCAGCCTGGCCAACATGGTGAAACCACGTCTCTACTAAAAATACAAAAATTAGCCGGGCGTGGTGGCACGTGCCTGTAATCCCAGCTACTCAGGAGGCTGAGGCAGGAGAATTGCTTGAACCCTGGAGACAGAGGTTGCAGTGAGCCAAGATGGTGCCATTGCACTCCAGCCTGGGCGATAGAGTGAGACTCCGTCAAAAAAAAGAAGGAAGGAGGGAAGGAAGAAAGGAAGGAAGGAAGGAAGGAAGGAAAAAAGACAATGTGGTACATATACACCACGAAGTACTATGCAGCCATAAAAAAAGAACGAGATCACATCCTTTGCAGGAATATGGGTGGAGCTGGAGGATATTATCTTTAGCAAACTAATACAGAAAGAGAAAACCAGATTATCTCATGTTCTCACTTATATAAATGAGAACTAAATGATGAGAACACACGGACACATGAGGGAACAACACACACTGGGGCCTATCAGAGGGTGGAAGGAGGGGGAGGGAGAGGATCAGGAAAAATAACTAATGGGTACTAGGCTTAATACTTGGGTAATGAAATAATCTGTACAACAAATCCCCATGACACAAGTCTACCTATATAACAAACCTGCACATGTACCCCTGAACGTAAAACAAAACTTAAAAAAAAAAAATTCAGGGGTTTTAAACCACCAAGTTTGTGGTAATTTGTTACAGCAGCTACAGAAAATTATTAAATAATATGCTGTTATCAGAAATGGACAATGAATTTTGTCAAATTTTCTTCCAACATTTATTGAAATAATGCAGCATCCTTCCTGCCACACCCACACTGCCACACTCTCTAACAAATGTATTTCTTGCTTTTCCCATGCTCTTCTCTTCCTTTCCCTACCCCACTTTCACTCTCTTGCCTTCTTAACTCCTGTAGCATTTGGCCTTCAGAAGCATCTTGTGATCCTGCATTGCTAGTGGCGACAGAAACAAAGAACTGGCTAATCCCTGGACTCAAGAAACATCTACAGAGTCTCCATTTGACAATATAAGAAGGCAAAACAACCAAAGTTGAGAAATTAACTGCAAACTATAAAGAATGGATATTAGCAGAGGAGTCCCCTCCTGCTCTTCAGTGGAGCAAGGAAGGAGGAGAGGCTGACCCCCTTCCAGGTCTTTCTAACTCAACGCCATCTTGGAGGAAAAAGCATAAGGAAGAAATGCAGCTCTTTCCCCAGGCCTGAAATTCCTCATGAATTCTGAAACTCTTCATGTTCCCTACCAACAAGAAACAAGAGGGTAAAGAAACCGCGGCCAAAATAATAGAAAATATATGGCAAGATTCTTTACCCTGTAACTCAAATCCTGCAACCTGGAAAACCTCAGTTTAATCCTTTGCCCCATGGCTGTTTCTGCAATGTCTAGTTACCTTTCTTTCCAGAGAAGCTGGACGTTTGTGAGAGTCATGTTTTGCAAACCATAGCCTAGCAAAAGAACACAGTAGCCTTTGCCTTTTGTTCGGCTACATACTTTCCTGGCTTAGCGCATTTCCCACTGGTGACACTTCTGGCTAAGGGTTCGTGATGCCCAATTAAAAAGCAAAGACAAAGAAATTGCTTCAAGAAAATCAAAAAATTTAAATCTGAGATTTTCTAAAAAGAGAACGCTAATCTACAAAAACTAACAACTTATTTTCAAAGTACTGTAGTTTGGTTCATGCAAGTGTACTCATTTCAATATTAACTAGTTCAGATCCTCACGTAACCCTTAAAGTGAAAATTCCACAGTCCTATAGAAAGATTTAAACTCTAACTTTTTAACTCCTGAAGAAATAATCATTACCGTAATTAACAACTATTGCTTCAGGCAATGCCATAACTCAGGGTGTCAAAAGAAGTGGAGTTCTGTAGTCTTAGGTAATAAGTCTGGAAATTGTTCCAGGCAGTCACCTTGAAATATCTAAATCAGTTAATTGCGAAGACTGAGCACAAGAAAAAGTATATAAATTCTCTATTGTACCAGAACAATGTTCCACCTATGTGATCACAGAAATGTGGGTGAAACGTATTAGAGTAAATATGTTCCATGTAGTCTCATATACACTGTAACCTATGCAATGTTCCCAAACTTATTTTATTTTTCCTTTTTTCCTTTTTTTTTTTTTTTTTTTGAGACAGAGTTTCACTCTTGTTGCCCAGGCCGGAGTGCAATGGCGCAATCTCAGCTCACTGCAACCTCCATCTCCCAGGTTCAAGTGATTCTCCTGCCTCAGCCTCCTGAGTAGCTGGGATTACAGGCATGCACCACCATACCTGGCTAATTTTGTATTTTTACTAGAGACGGGGTTTCACCATATTGGTCAGGCTGGTCTCGAACTCCTGACCTCAGGTGATCCACCCACCTCAGCCTCCCAAAGTGCTGGGATTACAGGCATGAGCCACCACACTCAGCCTTATTTTATTTCTATAACTGCAGTTTTTATTTTAGATTCAGGAGGTACATGTGCAGGTTTGTTACATGGGTATATTTTATGATGCTGAGGTTTGGACTGATCTCATCACCCAGGTAGTGAATACAGTATCCAACAGTTAGTTATGCAACCCTTTCTCCCCTCCCTCCTTCAAGCTTCTACTAGTCTCCAGGGTCTATTGTTGCCATCTTTATGTCCACGAGTACCGAAGTGGACATAAGTGTTTAGCTCCCACTTCTAAGTGAGAGCATGCAGTACTCGCTTTTCTGTTCCTGCACTGACTTGCTTGCCTCCATGTTCCTGCAAAGAACATGCTTTTGTTCTTTTTTATAGCTGAATAGTATTTCACGGTGTATATGTACCACATTTTCTTTATCCAGTCTATTACTGATGGGCATTTAGGTTGAGTCCATGTCTTTACTACTGTGAATAGTGCTGCAAGGAACATATGTGGGCATGTGTCTTTTTGGTAGAACAATTTTTTTCTTTTGGATATATACCCAGCAATGGGATTGCTAGGTCAAATGGTAGCTCTGTTTTAAGTTCTTGGGGACATTCTCAAACTGCTCTCCAGAGTGGCTGAACTAATTTACGTTCCCACTAATAATGTATAAGCATTTCTTCTTCTCTACAGCCTCACCAGCATCTCATTTTTTGACTTTTTAATAATAACCATTCTCACTGTCTCATTGTGGTATTGATTTGCATTTCTCTGATGATTAGTGATGTGGAGCATTTTTTTGTATGTCTTCTTTTGAGAAGTGTCTGTTCATGTCTTTTGCCCACTTTTTAATGAGGTTATTTGTTTTTTGCTTGTTGAATTAAGTTTCTTATAGATTTTAGATATTAAACCTTTGTTGGATGCATTGTTTGAGAATATTTCCTCCCATTCTGTAGGTTGTCTGTTTACTCTAGTGTTAGTTTCTTTTGCTATACAGAAGCTCTTTAATTCCCAAACTGATTTTAATGGCTAATCAAAAATATGAGGAGGTAATTTGTAATATTTCCTGCATACAGTAATTTCATAAGATTTTCTTTAAGTTGTAGGTTTTTATTGGATTGATTTTAAGTAAATATTATTGATGGAAATTCTCACAAGTCTTCATTATTGGGAAGCAGAATTAAAGACTGAAGGAAGTACCCACTCATATCTATACAAAGTCAGATGATTTTAAAGTCTCCAACAAAGTTATATGTAGTAAATTGGAAAACAACACAACAAGACCCTGTGAAAAAGAGACCTAGTGGGAAAGGACCAAGCCCGTCATTAGCAGTGAAAACTTGGGATGTTATTAATGTAAGCCTCACCCTTAAAATGGGAAAACCAATATCTACCTTGGTGGCATTAAAGGAGCAAATCAATATAGGCTGTGATGCTCAATAAATATGTCTGGGATAAATGAACGCTGTAAGTTACCCATCAGCTACACTGCCGTTTCTGGCAGGTACCTTCTTATTAACAAGTGGTTGCTCATGAGAATAATAATAGCACCTAGAATTTATTGCGTATGTGTTACATGCAAGGCACAGTTCTCAGCATTTCACACGAATTGCTTAATTTAATGATCACTACAGCTGCATGGGGTATTACTTCCTCTGTTTCGAGGACCTTGTCCACATACACAGAGCTTGTACAGATGTAAGCAGTCGGCTTTCCCATATAATTGTATTTAGTCCTTCAGCTGAAATTACTCTTCATCACAAGTCTGTTTCCACTAGCTCGTGTAAGGATTATTGCTGAACTATGTCAGGGCTATATATAAATTCTGGTATCCAAAGGAAAAAGTCCAGGATTAAATCCACTGTACAGGCTTTCTACTCACATGTCCAGGCTCTTCTGGATCACAGAGGCAGGTTATAAAACTGTTTACCAGAAACTGTTTTGACACGACCCAGGTCTATCCAGGGAGATCTAGACTCAATCAAAAAACTAAATTGCCACGACCTTTGCCCAACATATTTTCACCTTCCTGGACTTTGGTTCCTCTGATGCTAAAATGGAAAACGTTTGGGCAATCGACTAGCTGATTTTCTCACTAAACGGTGCTCTGGTGTTTGAGAAGGGTACCACACCAGCTTTACAGATAAGGTCACCAAGTTTTGTATTCTTCAATAGCTCTGTAGTGTGTTTACAAACGAATGCCCCTTCCCTAAGCAGGGGGTTTGGATGACATTGAAAAGCCTATTCCCTACTTGACATAAATTACTTTAGCAGAAGGGTAAGGCTGAAGTGACTATTTGAAAAGTTGTGTCTGCGATCCTTATTTGCAGATGCTGAGCAAGATCAGTGCTGTTTGTATCATGTGTGGCAGTGTCCCCTCTCAATATCAAAGTAAAGGGCTCTTAGTCCCTTAATGGATTCCCTGCTCACCTTATCCCAATGATATTCTCAACCTGATGCTTCTCACTTCCTGGTAGAACACTCATCAGTCTCAGACTAGACTAAACACTCAAGATCACTGAGATTCTGAAATCTGGCTTCATGCCAGAAACCTTAACATTCAAAGTGAAATGAACACACTTAACCAAATACATCTTGATGACTCTCTCAGGGCATTTTCTGTACAGGGAGAACTTCCATCTCTTAATCTCAAGAATGGTACTTTCTCCCCCAAGAAACTGGTCCATTCTCCAATGCCTAAAATATAAACAAACAAAGTGGGACACCAAATAACACTCTCACTGCATCCAGCCCTGTAGCCAGAATACGAGTCTAATTACAGTCGTTGGGCTTCAAGTACCACAACGTGGAAAAACAATTTAGAAAATGCCTTCTCCTCCTTGTGGCCACCCCACTTCTCCTTCACATGCAGAATGCTTCCAAGTATGATATGTTCTAGACTTAATTTTAGCACAAGGCTCTTTGCTTTGTAACTCTGGTCTCTTCATTCAAAGTTTACATAAATGGAAATAGGAAAATACACAGACTTTTCAAAAAAAAGTTGACTGTGAGAAAATAAAAAGATTGTAGTCTATTGAGAAAGACATAAACATCTAAGGAAAGTTTTGATGCTTGGGACTTTTTGTACATTTGTTACTACTTTCTTAAAAAATGATGGGAAATTTGAGCAACTGTCAAGCCAAGAAAAAAAGCCCATGAGGGAAAGGGTCAAAAGAGGCCAGAGAGGTACACAGAAATGATGAAGCAGTGTCCCAAGGGACAACGTGGGATCAAGAACACAGGAGACAGGTAGCCTCAGAGACAGGAGTGAAGGATGTCTCTCTTTAAGACAAGAAGGAAAAGGGGCAAAAGCGGGTGACAAACAGAAAAATCTGATGTGAAGGGAAGCTGTGAGAGGCACTCAGTATAGATGTATAACAGGGTGTTCTGCCAAGATTTCCCATGGGGTCCTAAGCAGCATGAAGCCAAGAAACATTAGGAACAGCCACAATAGGTCAGCAAAGGAGTTCCCGTAGTTTCAAATGAAATTTTACCCAGTACTCTAACAGTGTATAAGCTTCTGAGGAAGTAGTCAATGTTCCATAGAGATAAGAGAAAATTCAAACAGGCAAACAACTCTGCAAGGCTGAATTGCAGGCATGATCTAAAACTTCCTTCTTTCTTCTAAAGGCCTCCTCCGTTCCAAAGTTGCTCATCCTAAAACCTGAAAAAAAAAATGACTCAGAAGTGGTTCCCATCTCAAGAACTACCCACGAGTCTCAGTGGACACATGTGAGTATGAGATGTGAGTATGGGATACTTTTCTAGAGATTTTAGAATGTTTGCTACTGAAGAGTTTGAATTGTTAATTTTAGAGTTGGTCCATGACATTACCTTTGCACTCTGACTCTTATTAAAATACCTTTATTGAGATATAATTTACCTATTCACTTATTTAACATGTATTTCACCTATTTTAATTGTACAATTCAATGGCTTTTAGAATATTCAGAGCTGTGCAACCATCATCACAATCCATTTTAGAACATTTTTATCACCCACATAAAAAACACCATACCCATTATCAGTCACTCCCTCTTTTCCTTCAACACTACCCTTCCCTCTAGCCCCTGGCAACTACTAGCCTACTTTCTGTCTCTACAGATTTGCCTATTCTAGATATTTCATATAATGAAATTATACAATATGTGCACTTTTGTGACTGGCTCCTTTCACTTTGCAAAATATTTTCAAAGTTCATCTGTGTTGTAGCTTGTATCAGTAATTCTTCCTTCCTATTGCTGAAAATATTCCATTGTATAGAATACCTGTGCCACCTTTTATTTATTCATTCATCAGATATGTATTGTTTCCACTTTTTGGCTATTATAAATAATGCTGCTAAGTACATTCATGTACAAGTTTTTTGAGTGAGCATACGTTTTTAATTCTCTTGAGTATATACCTATGAGTGAAATTGCTAGGTCCAACAGTAACTCTATATTTAACCTTTCCTGAACCTGCCAACCTGTTTCTCAAAGCAGCTACACCATGTTACGTTCCCATCAGCAATGTAAAGGGTTCCAATTTCTCCACATCCTCACCTACACTTGTTATTTTCTGTTTTTGTTACAATTGTCATCCTAGATGTGAAGTAGATCTCACTGGGGTTTTGATTTGCATTTCCCTGATAATCAGTGATGCTGAACATAATTTTACGTATTTATTGGCCATTTATAGATCTTCTTTGGTAAAATGTCTGTTCAAATCCTTCACTCATTTTTTTAGTTATCTTTTCAGTATTAAATGAAAGGTTCTTTACATGGTCTACATACAGGTCCTTTATCAGATACATAATTTATAAATATTTTCTCCCATTCTGTCAATTGCCTTTTCACTTTCCTGATTGTGTCTTTGCCACAGAAAAATTTTTAACTTTGATGAAATCTAACTTACCTATCTTTTCATAGGTGCTTACGGTTTTGCTATTATATCTAAGAAATCGTTGACAAATCCAAGGTTATGACAACTTACACCTATGTTTTCTTCTAAGAGTATTACATGTTTAGCTCTTATATTTAAGTATTTGGTTAATTGTAGTTTTTGTATATGGTGGGAGGTAAGGGTCAAAATTCATTCTTTTACATATGTATATCCAGCAGTCCAAGCAACATTTGTTGAAAAGACTACTCCTTTCCCCCTGAATTGTCTTGGCACTCTTGTCAAAAATCAACTGATTGTAAATGCAAGGATTTATTTATGGACTTTCGATTCTATTCCATTTGTCTGTGTCTATCCTTAATCCAGCATCACGCTGTCTTGATTACTGTAGCTTTCAGTAAGTTTTGAAATCAGGAAGTGTGATTCCTCCGAGTTCATTCTTTTCCAAGGTTGTTTTGGCTATTCTGAGGCCTTTAAATTATCTTATGAATTTCAGGATTAGCCTATCAATTTCTGCAAAGAAGTCAGCTGAAATTCTCATGAGAATTGCATTTAATCTTCAGATCAATTTGGAAACTACTGCCATCTTAACAATATTAAGTCTTTTGACTCATGAACATGGTACGCCTTTGCATTTATTTAGATCTTCTTTAATAATCTTTCAACAGTGTAGCTTTCAGAGTATAAGATTTGCATTTCTTTCGTTAAATTTATTCCAAGGTATTTTATTCTTTTTGAGGATATTATAAAGGAAATTATTTCACCATATTTTATTTACAAATTGATCATAGCTAGTGTATAAAAATACAATTGATTTTTGTATGTTAATCTTGTATCCTGCACCCTTGCTGAACTTGCTTGTAAGTGCTAATAGTTTTCTTAGTGGGTTCCTTAGAATTTTCTATCTACAAACAGAGATCTGTTTGTGTTATCTACAAACAGAGATCATCTTACTTCTTCTTTTCCAGTGTGGATCCTTTTGATTTCATTTTCTTGTCTAGCAGTACAATGTTTAACACAGATTGCAAGAAAAGACATCCTTATGTTGTTCCTGATCTATGGGAGATGTCCTCTGATTTTTGCTTTGACTCCTGCCAAGCCCTCATGAAGACAGTCATCACTAGATTAATAAATTAGGGCCTGGTCTAATATATTTGGAAACTACTGCCATCTCCTCGTCATTAAAAGTTCCATAAGATGATAGTGAAAATATAAATTGGTAAAGTCCTTTGAAGGAACGCTTGGCAAAAATCTGTCTTATGAATGCATAGTCCTTTTGTCCCAGCAATTCTACCACTAGGAATATATACTAAAGATATAAAGATATAACATCTCCCACTCATGCAAAATGATGTATGTACAAGTTTTTTAAACACAGTATTGTCTGTAATAACAACTGTCTTAATAACAGGAGATGGCTAAATGAGGAACAGGGCATTCAACAATGGAATGCTATGGAGCCAAAACAAGAATGTAGAAGTTTTTTTTATGTATTGATGTGGTACGATCTCCAAAATACATTAAGTGAAATAAGATGCAGAAGACTACAAATTACCATTTGTATAAGAAAATGGCAAAAAAAAAAATACACAAATGGAGTTGCTTATACATGCATAAAATATCTTTGGAAGACTACATTAGAAACTGGTAATATCAGTTGGTTATGGGGAAGGCACACTGTTGCTGGTGGATAAACATAAGAGAAAGACATTCTACTGTAAACCTTTATAAACTTTTGCAATTTTTGAACCAAGTGAATATAGTACCTATTCAGAAAACTAAGTTTAAAAAAATAATAAATCACATACCATAAAAGCCAGAAAATAGTTAATAGCAAATAACTGAACAGTCTATGAAGGACTGAAAAGAAATGGTGCATGGTGGTATCAACAGTCCTGACATTGCCAAAACCTAGGTTATTTTTCTGAATCTGATGCTAACCAGAAACTTGAAGACATAAGTTGCCTAACTTTTGTGGACTCAATTTCTTTGCCTAAAAATCCAGGGATCAGAATAGTTAACTTTACAGTTTATACAGCTAATTGAAGTCAACTTTTTCTGGGGCCAACCCTACACTAGAAATTTTACGGGCATTTAAATCTCACAGCCACCCTATAAAAATGAACTATGTCCTTTAAAAAAATTAAAAATAGGATTACCATATAATCTAGCAACTCCACTTCTAGGGATATATCCAAAAGAATTGAAAGTGGGGTATCATGGGCCAAATTGTATTCCCACAAAATTTATGAAATCTTAACTCCCAGTACTTCAGAACAGCATTTTATTTGGAAATACATTTTTAAAGAGGTAACTAAGTTAAGATATGGTATTTAGGATGGGTTCTCATCTAATATGAATGGTGTCCTTATATGAAGAGGAAATTTGGACATGGACACACAGACACACACACAGGAAAGATCATGTGAAGATATAGAGAGGGACAGTCATTTATAAGCCAAGGGGAGAGGCCTCAGAAGATATTAATCCTAATAACACCTTGATCTCAGATGCCTAGCCTGCAGAATTATGAGAAAATAAATTTCTGTTATTTAAGTCACTCAGTCTAGGGACTCTGTTATGACAGCCCTAGCAAACTAACACACGGGTCTCAAGGAGATATCTGTACACCCATGTTCATAGCAGTATTATTCACAATTGCCAAAAGGTGGAAGCAACCCAAGTGTCCACTGACAGATAAATAGATACACAAAATATGGTATATAAAGACAACATGCAGATGATGGAAGATTATTCAGCCTTAAGAAGAAAGGGAATTCTGACACATGCTACAACATGGATGAACCTTGGAGACACTATGCTAAGTAAAATAAGCCAGTCATAAAATGACAAATACTGTATGATTCCACTTAAACAAGGTACCTGGAGTAGTCAAATTCATACAGACAGAAAGTAAAGTGATGGCTACTAGGGGCTGGAGGAGGGGGAAAAAACTGGGGAGTTACTCTTTAATGAGTGTGGATTTTCAGTTTTATAAAATGAAAAAAGAGTTCTGGGGACAGATGCATACCAATGTGGATGTACTTAATGCCACTGAATTATACTATAATGATTAAGACGATAATTCTATGTTGTTGTGTTTTACCACAATTTAAACATCTTTCAAAAGGGCACAAATGAACTATTATTCTCTCATTTCACATTTCATCTAAACTAAGGTTTAGATGCTAACATTGTTTTCTCAAGTTCTAACAGTTAGTATTCCCATCCAGGTCTGAATCCAAAACCAAGCTAGAAGTACTACTTTCCCATCCTACCATTAAATTTTTCCATTTTAAATAAAATTTTTTAAAAAACTTTTTTTTTCTATTACCTCCAAATTCAGGTTGTTTTCAGATGATTTTGCTTCCCCAACAAGCATTCTGCTTGTTTAGCTACCCTGGAGGTGTACGCTTTCTTCAGAAGTTTACTTGAATCATTCCCATGCTTCCCAATCTCTATATTCCTGATGGCACTATAGCTTCTTGTTTCAGGATCCAAAAAGAGGAAGAATGAAATGGACTTTTTCCAAAATACCCAGTGGCTCTAATGACAGATGCCAAGACAGCTTCCTCCTTGTATGCCAAAGGCTACATTCTCTGCAGTTGAACATATTACTACTTCTCCTCAATTGTCTCAATTTCCAAATACTGTTGGACCAGAAGCTTTGCTCTCTGAAAAGCTGAAACTAGTCCCCGGGGTAAGACTGTGGAGAGTCCTGTTCCCCGTGCTTGCCAAGTGGCAAACAGGTTAGGGCTGGTGAGAAGAACGGAATGTCCTGTGAAAAAAAGGAGGGACGTAGAAGTAGCCACAAGCAATAAGGGTTGCTGCCATGGTGTTTCATGTGCTGGGGAACGAAAGTTAAAGAACATGAAGGAGCTCAGGGTACCGATGCAAAATTCTAGGAAATGATGCTACGTTCTTTAGAATGCTCGGCTCTCCAGAACATAAGGCCCTGAATTGCTGGAAGATTTTAAAAAATACTTTTTGCTTAAATTTTATGAACAAATAAAAAAAATTCAACCTGGGAATATCAGATTAATTCTCCAAATCCCTTTATACTGTGAAAGAGCCAAGAGTTAAGTAACTCTGCAGCTAGAGTTGGGAGGCCAAGCCGGGTGGATCACTTGAGGTCAGGAGTTCGAGACCAGCTTGGCCAACATGGTGAAATCCCATCTCTAGTACTAAAGATACAAAAATTAGCCAGGCACGGTGGTGTGCGCCTGCAATCCCAACTATTCGGGAGGCTGAGGCAGGAGAATTGCTTGGAGGCAGGAGAATCGCTTGAACCCAGGAGAGGTTGCAGTGAGCTGAGATCGCACCATTGCACTCCAGCCTGAGCAACAGAGTGAGACTCCATCTCAAAAAAAAAAAAAAAAGAACAAAAGGAAAAGTACATTTCCTGGGCTCAGCTCCCCAAATATTCTCACAGTAAGGCAAAATCAGTGACATAAGCCTCCAAGTCATTGCTCAGATTCTGTCATGTTACTGAAATTTTGTTACATTTAATACAGATTGAATATACTTTATCTGAAATGCTTGGGACCAGAAGTGTTTTGAATTTTTTTTTTAATTTTGGAATATTTGTACATGCACACTGAGATATTTTGGGGATGAAACCCAAGTCTAAACATAAAGTTTATTTATGTTTCACAGACACCCCTTTACACATAGCTTGAAGGTAATTTTATACAATATTTTAAATAATTTTGCACCTGAAGCAAACTTTGTGTTAAGTACCCGAGTGTGGCATTTTTCACTTGTGGCATGATGTTGGTGCTCAAAAAGTTTCACATTTTGGAGCTTTTCAGATTAGGGATGCTTGACCTGTACTGCTTGGAAGAAGTAGGCCATGAACTAGGGCTAAGAATTTTTTTTTATAAAATAAATAGCTACAGCTATTGTAGTCATCTCTTTCATCGCAGAATGCATCCTGTTCTAGATATTCTGGCAGAAGCTGTGATCACCGGTCACACCACACTTCCTTCTGAGTGTTTACACAACCACATTATTTTTCAGTGAATTGAATACTGTATAAGCACAGGCTGAAACACAGCCACATCAGACCTAGAAAGAAAAATGGAGACACACACATTCAATATGCATCTAAGCTCAAAACCTGTCCAAAGTCTTCAACCTCAGAACCTAAGAGAAGTTCGCCCCTGTGCTAGCTCACGGCTGGCTCTGGCACAAGGCAGGCAAATGTCTTACCCAAGGAGCCACATAAGCTAACAGTGCCACCAAGAAAAGAACTGGAAGAGATAAATACATAGCACTTTCATTCACTCATCCTCTCCTCAAATATTTACTCAGTACTTACTATACGTTAGTTAGCACGGGGCACTATACACTACGCCTTGAAAGTAAAATATGAGGCCAGGCACCGTGGCTCATGCCTGTAATCCCTGCACTTTGGGAGGCCGAGGCAAGTAGATCACCTGAGGTCAGGAGTTCGAGACCAACATGATGAAACCCCATCTCTGCTAAAAATACAAAAAATTAGCTGGGCATGGTGGCAGTCGCCTGCAATCCCAGCTACTCAGGAGGCTGAGCCAGGAGAATCACTTGAACCTGGGAGGCAGAGGTTGCAATGAGCTGAGATTGAGCCACTGCACCCCAGCCTGGGCAACAAGAGTGAAACTCGGTCTCAAAAAAAGAAAGAAAGTAAAACATGAATGAGAGCTAGCCCCCTACTCCTGCCCACCCCCATCTTCCCATATGTCTCTTCTGGAATGAGTAAGTTACACAGTGATATCCCCAGAGGCTACAAGAAGGACACATATGCAATGGTAACTTCCTGCGTGGCCTGAATGAGCTGAGGGAATGGGGAAACTAGAAAGCAAACTGGCCTCTTTGGTTGAATTTCCAGTCTTTGGAGAAGTTGTCTATAGCTCCTTCTAGGCTGCCTACCAAGTATAATTCAAACTATTCAAACTGGCGTTCAAGCGCCTACCCCAGCTGTGCTGTCTTCTGTGTCCACTCCTAAGAAATAACTATAAGGCACTCAAATGGAAGTCCCGCTATTTCCTGGAACACACCCAATCTTGGTCTGGACTCTACTTTGACCATACTAATCTTGCCACCTTTAACACCTTTACCTGTCCTCTCTCCCTGTAACACATGCACACCACTCTCTGTTTATGAAGAGTTCTTTTTCCTGCATTTTTGTCCAATGCCCTCTTCCTATGAACCCGTCCCTCATCCACTATCTCCTTCCCTTCCCTTCCATCTACAAGACTAGAAAGTTATCTGTGCATCTGCTGCTTTGCATAGTCAATACCAGGCCCAAAGCAGGAACTTAACAGATGTCACATCTGCTAACTCTCCCAGTTGCATAACGAGTTGATATCCTCATTGTGCAGACGAGAAACTGAACTTTAGAATAGTCAGGTAAATAAACCAAAGTATTACAACTAGATAAGAGTGGAGCCAGGTGTGGCTTGTTCAAAGCCTGCATTTTCCTCATTAGACCCTTTGGAGTGTAGTGTGTGCATGGGACACAATTTATGTAACACTCCTAATTTATCTCCTCTCACCTCCCACTTCAGTCCCCGATGCAGCCTTCCAATCCAGCAGAGGTTCCAACCAACTTCCAAACAGGTGCAACTTGATGGCACCTCATTTTTGGCTGTACCAGATGCCTTCTATCTCTGGACTCCTGCCCTCAGACTTCTCCGACACCTGAAGAAAGCTTCTGGGACAGCTGACATGCACAACCTGGGAGCTAAAACATGTGGGACCAGCTGTGACCAATGAACAATGATGGACAGGAGACGATAACCCCATTAGTTCCTTACAGTGCTGAGATAAATTTCATGAGTCTCCTAGAAGATCTGATGGGATTGAACATCAGTTGTACCTAGCATGGCCGCTGTACTGGCTTTCCTTCCTTCCCTATTTCATCCCCCCTCGTCCCTCCTACTCCTTGGGATCACATTGACAAATAAGTCTCTTGCATGCAATTCTTTATTTCAAGCTCTGTATTCAGTTAGCAGACAGCAGAAATGTGGTCCAAAGCAGGAGAGGACTCAGCAGCAGCAGGCTCTGGTACAATCTGCCCTGTCACTCAAGCCATGTGAATGAGAAGATCCAGTGGTGGCTGGTTGAATGCATGACTCCCCTGTGGATGTCAGCCAGAGTCTTCTTCTCAGACAACCAGTGCTAGCACAATGGGCCCATGGATGAGATGGCTCAGGTGGCAGGATAAAGGCTGTATGTGGGCTCGGTATTGTGGGCTTTCTCTTAGCAATGACCTAGCTATTACCACTGCTGAATGGTCCAGCCAACCAATGGCAGAGGGAGATGCCAATCTCTATAGCACCTTCACAGATATCAGCCAGGCCCTTGGGGAAAGGCTGATCATAACAGACCACTTCCACCCCAAAAAGGAGAGGGGAGATAGAAATTCATGCTTACATAAATTGACATGTACTCCAGGTTTGGGTTTGCTTTCTCTGCCTTTAGGGTCTCTGCAAGTGCCACTATTTGAGAACATAAGAATGCCTAATCTATCAGTGTAGTATCCCACACAACATTGCTTCAGACCCAGGGATCGATATATGTCAAAGGAGGTGCAGCAATGAGTGTATGAGTAGGGACTCCATGAGTTTTCTCATATACCACCTCATTCACAAGCATCCAGCTTAACTGAAGACTGGATTGGCCTGTTAAAGGCTTAGTTAGGAGACTAGCCTGAGAAACACAATCTGCGATTCCAGTATCACCTTGATTCACGCCCCGGCCCTGGAATTTCTGCAAGGTAGCTTGGTTTTTTGGTTTTGTTTTTGAGGGGTTTTTTAGTGAAGAATGGTGTCAGAATCTGGGTAGCAGGTGTTCTCATTGTTATTGGGATCTCATTTCTTCTTGGTCCTTTTAAGAGGCAGAGCTAGGAAATATATGACCGTATGTATACTATACATATATATGTCTTCACACATATTTATAAATATACACATACATACATCTGCACATAAACACACATATATGCATTCACTTGCATATTTTAGAAATCATAAATTCAATTCACACCAATATGCCAATTCCAATCCACTCCATAGGGCTATTTCTGCCTTTTCTCATTTGCTCAACCTTATTATACACCTAAAAAGGGTTTCGAGATTGCTTCATCCATACTACTACATGGTTCGCATCTTAAGAGTGATGAAACTTTGTCCCAAAGCTACCCGGCAGGATTACACTCCTCTTATTTGTGAGAAATGTATCACATACCCATGGCTGAACCAGTCTCTAGCAAAGGAGACAGGGGACCATCATGATTGGTTTAGACCAATCATTCTCCTCCATCCCCACCACCCCTGGGACCAGAGGCCAGGGCCCCCTCTCAAACACACCATCCCATGGAGGAGGGTGAGCTACCTGGAGATAATAAGGTTTCTCCTAGGAAGAAGGAATGCAGGCTACAGAGCATGGATATGGGAAAGGCAACCAACTATCTCCTATATTAACCTACAATCCAGAGTGGAATAGGCAACATAAGACTTCTGAAGTTATATATAAAATGTTCTTTGTGTGTACACACGTGAGAGGAGAAAATCCTCAGTCATCATTTTCTCAGAGGGCTCAGTGACCCAAGAAAAGTTTAGAACCATTTTCATTTTTAAACAAACACAGGGCCGGGCGCGGTGGCTCACGCCTGTAATCCCAGCACTTTGGGAGGCCGAGACGGGCGGATCACGAGGTCAGGAGATCGAGACCATCTTGGCTAACACGGTGAAACCCCGTTTCTACTAAAAATACAAAAAATTAGCCGGGCGTGTTGGCGGGCGCCTGTAGTCCCAGCTACTTGGGAGGCTGAGGCAGGAGAATGGCGTGAACCCGGGAGGCGGAGCTTGCAGTGAGCCGAGATCGCGCCACCGCACTCCAACCTGGGAGACACAGTGAGACTCCGTCTCAAAAAAAAAAAAAAAAAAAAAACACAGATTTCAATCTTAAATTAAACAAGAACAAGAGGTTTCCAGGAACTTAAACCCTAATTCAGAAAATACAAGTGTTTTCTCAATCTCATTTATTACACTCTGCTTTGAGGGCAGGAATCAGAAGACTGCACAGCTTTTGTCAAAATACAAATGTTTGTCTCAATTTGAGTCCTCTGAGCTTATTCCTAGAGCCTGACTTTTCAGGCTTCTAAGGCAATTAAGGGGCACTGAATCCTCAGTGAATTAGACATGCTGCCTTTTAAATTCTCATTCTTCTAAAGAAAAAAGGGGATGGAGCAGGAGTCCCTGAAGGAATAAAGGAAACAGAAGTGCAAACCGCCATAAAGAAGAAGTGAATCCATGGCTTAGGAGCTAAAGAGCAAATGTCAAGGCAGCTTGTCAGTTTCAATGTGCTCTTGGGATTTCATCCCATTGGCCCCAAATGCAGCATTCAGGGTCCTAGAAGTATTACCACCATCTGGAACAGCTGTGGTCATAGAAAGAGATCAACTTGTCCAGAGCTTTAATCCTCTAGGGCTTCTTCAACAGTTCCATTTAATCTATCTGAAAAGGCTTAGTACAAAACTGCAGCCATTACGCAGGGTAAGAAGGAGAGAGGGAGCATTAAAAAGCATGTGCTTTTGGGTGTGGCTCTTACATTTTTGCCAGGCAGACAACTGCTGTTCAGGCAGAGATGAACGCATGGAATCTAGAAGATTTTACTCAGCCACCTCAGTCAAAAAGTGGCCCTATAAAACAATCATCCAAATGAAAGACTTTTGAGAGTAAAAGAGGATACTATTAATGATTAAACCAAGACAAAAGCCACGAAGCAGGGCAGACTCAGCCAACCTATGACATCCTCATCAATCAGTACTTTATATTACTCTCCTCTGCTCTGGTCTCTGTCATTGACTCAGCACTTTGTACATGCCCAACATTGTGTTAGTATCATAGAGAATACACAAAATTAATTAAAATGAAATAGCATACCATAAATACCATAACACACCAAAACATGTAGCCCTTGCCCATACGGAGCCAGCTCTTCACATTAACATCACTCTGGCCGCCTTAAGCAATAGCCATTTGGCTAGCCTTAAAATTAAAATTAACTGATGTTTACTCTGAGCTAAGGCATTAGGAGCATTTATTTGCATGCTTTGGTTTTTAAATCTTTGATTCAGAATATGTCCAAGTGACTCACTAGTCTATTTTGGTCTTGGGCATTAAGCTGCATTCAGAAAGTCTGGCTTACGATCACACATACCAGGGTAGAGGGAGGCTCTCCTAAGAAACCACTGGAACATCTGCCAGAGGTGATGAAACCAAACAGATCTGATCAATAACACCTTGAAAATAGATATATTGAACCCTGAACACATTTTTACATTTTAAGTCAACTCCAAAGCGTCTCCTGGATCAATTATCATTGATGTACATTAACTGCCATTCTCTAGTCCTCTTAGCTAAAAACATTTCAAACCTAGGACTCCCAATTTCTTGCACTCTTCAACACTGGAGGGGGACAAAAGTAATTTTACCACTGATGCTTAAAGAAAAATTTACCTTGAAAAATAAATACCATAGATTTCCTGAGTTCAAAAAGAAAATATTTATTATAAAATTTAGAAAATAAAGAAAGGTATAAGGAAGAAAGCTGAAATTACCCAAATTCCACTACCCAGGCAAAACTGCTATTAGTATTTTGGTGTATTACTTTACAGCCATTTTTGTACACAAACCTATAACTATATATGCTTGCATAGATATAGAATTTTCTCCTAAAATTAAGACCATACTGTGTATATAATTTTTAATACCATTTTTATCCCTTGGCATTTTACTGTGAACATTTTCTGCAGAAATTAATCCTATTTTTGTAAACTTTTTTCAGTTGCAAATTATTCCACTCAAAATACAGTTAAGTACTCACTTAACATTTTCAACAGTTTCTTGAAAACTGTGACTTTAAGCAAAACAACATATAATGAAATCAATTTTACCACAGGCTAATTAATATAAACAAGAATAAGTTTCCTACGGCATATTTCTGATCACAAAAAATAACCAGATTTCTAAATAAAGACCAAGACACATCTAATATTAACACTGAAGTGAAAGTGGGCTATGCATACATTTAAGAAAGATGAATAGGCCAGGCGCATTGGCTCACGCTTGTAATCCCAGCACTTTGGGAGGCCGAGGTATGTGGATCACTTGAGTCCAGGAGTTCGAGACCAGCCTGGAAAACATGGTGAAACCCCATCTCTACTGAAAATACAAAAGTACAGAAATTAGACGGGCATGGTGGCGCATGCCTGTGGTCCCAGCTACTTAGGAGGCTGAGGCAGGAGGATTGCTTGAGCCCAGGGAGTAGAGGCTGCAGGGAGCCGAGGCCATACCACTGTACCCCAGCCCGAGCAATAGAGTGAGACTCCATTTCAAAACAAAAGAATAAAACAAGTAAGATAATGATGTTGCCAATTACTCCAGTTCAGGGTGGCCAGATCTTATCCCAGTAGCTCAGAGTACTGAGCTGGGACCCAACCTGGACAGGATGCCATCCCGTCTCAGGGTGCACCCACCCTCACCCACACTCACTCAGATGGGGACAATGTAGACATGCCCACTAATCCACATGCACATCTTTGAGATGTAAGAGGAAATTTGAGTGCCCAGAGGTTACCCTTGCAGACACGGGCAGAATGTACAAACTCCACACTGACAGCGGCCCTGGTTGGGAACCGATTTTGTTTTCTCATCAACACTATAATAAAACAATGTTGAATGAAATGGCATTATTCAAGGACCTACTGCACTACAAATCTTGCTTATAACGATGCATATTTATTTGTAATTTATTATTGTTAATGTTAAACTTTTTTTTTAGATTCGGGGGTACATGTGCGGCCTTGTAACAGGGAGTATGGTGCTTAATGCTGAGATTTGAGCTTCTTTTGAACTCATCAAGTAACCAAATGCAGAGCTAGCATGCATTTGTAGCATGTGTGAATATGTTTGGCTCTTTAAAAACACCAAGTTGAAGAACGATATGTTAAGTCACTCAGCTTTACAGGACTTGAAATCAACATGCTCAGAATAACCCAAGGCCTCTGAAATGGATAAAGAGATAAAAATCAGGGTGGTATCAGACTACTTTCTCTAAAGGCCAATCAGAACAGAAGGACATCCCCGCGGGGAAGATGTGCTAGATACTGCAGCTTCTAGAAACAGATAGTAATTTTTAAATCATACGAAATCATTCATCTAAACATTTTAATACTTTCTACAGGCTTTATATTTTGTGTCAAGTACTGACAATACAAGGAGGGCTGAACCATAATCTTTTCTCTCACAGACTTTACAGCCTACAGAATAATACAGATTTAAAGCTGACACTTTGTTGTGTTTTTTAACATATGAATTATTTATGGAATTTTTTATTTGCTATTTTGGGTTTTTTTGTTTTCCTTTATTTTATTGTATTCTATTATTTTAGATTCAAGGGTACACGTGCTAGTTTGTTACATAGGTGTATTGCATAATCATGAGGTTTGGGCTTCCAGTGTACCCATCACCCGAATAGTGAACATTGCGCCTAGTAGGTAATATTTTTAATCCTTACCCACTTTCCACTCTCCCCTTTTCTGGAGTCCCCAGTGTCTATTATTTCCATCTTTATGTATGCACTGTTTAGCTCCAGCATATAAGTGAGAACATGCAGTATTTTGTTTTCTGTCCCTGAGTTACTTCACTTAGGATAATGGCCTCCAGCTCCATCCATGTTGCTACAAAAGGCATAATTCCATTCTCCTCTGTGGCTGTATAGTATTCCATGGCATATATATACACCACATTTTCTTTATCCAGTCAACCACTGATGGATGCTTAGGTTGATTTCATGACTTTGTAAAGTTGACATTTTGAATGCTTGAGCCCACTGAAAGCTGGTGGTTGAGAGTGAGCAAAATGAAATCATACCAAGTCATCAAAGAGTATAACAACAGTTCTTTTCCGCTTAATACAGTTCATTTTTTTCCTACCCTATTTTGATAGTTTGAGATATATGCTCAATCAATTAATTTACCTGCAATGAAGTTATTATATTGAAAAACATATACTGAGCTCTTCCTGTGTGCAGGTACTGTCCTAGGTGCTGTGAATTTCACAATGAAAGCACCAGGGCCTCTGCCCCTATAAACAGCCAGGGTGAGGGTGTGTTTCAAGGCTGGTTCCTGGAAAAGGAGTGTGCATTGGGAGGTGGGGATGGGAGACGGTAAAAGGGAAAGTGAGAAGAGGCAAGGCATTCTGGTAAAGGCCATAAGCAAACACACCATCAAAAGCAAAGAGGTGTGGTGTGTCCAGAGGGCTAGGCAGAATGTGTGAGGAGGTAGTGTCAAGTTCTAGGCAGACAGCACCAGGAAACAAAAACAGAGGTAAGCAGGTAGTGCCGTTGAGGAGTTTGAAGCAAGGTTGGTATGGTCACAGTTCTGTTAGATGATGCCCTGCTTCATACTTCATTGACAAAATAAAAGCCATGAGATGGCACTTCACTTATCTCCCATCACAATGTCACAAAGCATCCAAATCCTCCATCTTCCCTTCTATACACAAGGGGGCATGTCCCTCCCATCAAAGGCCAAGCTCTCTGCTGGCTCTGGATTCATCCACTCTTGTCCTGGGAAAGATTCCAGTGCTTCCTTGCAGGGTTTCCTCCCTTCCCTGACGGATGAAGCATCTATCCTCCCTGGATGAAGGATTCCAGGGCCTCATCTTGGTGATGCTCCGAGTATCATCATCATGCTACTTTTGCCTGGTTTATTCTTATCAGTAAACATCATTTGTATTTGCCTAAAAAAATGCTTCAGTTCATTCCACATCCCCTCCAGCCATAATCCAAGTTATCTAAAGAGTTGTCTACACACTACATTGTTTCTACTTTATGGTTTTCTTTCTGCAACAGGGTCTCGCTCTGTTATCCAGGCTGGAGTGCAATGGTGTGATGAGGCTCACTGCAAACTCTACCTCCTGGGCTCAAGGGATCCTCCCACCTTAGCCTCCTGAGTAGCTAGGACTACAGGCACACACCACCATGCCCAGCTAACGTTTTGGATTTTTTTTGTAGAGATGGGGTTTTGCCATGTTGCCCAGGTTGGTCTTGAACTCCTGGACTCAAATGATCCACCCGCCTCAGCCTCCCAAAGTTCTGGGATTACAGGCATGAGGCATGAGCCACCATGCCAGGCCCATTGTTTCTACTTTCTAACTTCTGCTTTCATTGCTCCACCGACCATGATGTGGCTCTCCTTTGCCATCATATGTCCAAAAAAGCTCTTGTCAAGGTCATCAACCACCCCAAAGATACTTTTCTCTTTATTTACTTATTTATTTTTTTGAGATGGAGTCTCACTCCATTGCCCCCAGGCTGGGGTGCAGTGGAGCGATCTCCATTCCCTGTAACCTCTGCTTCCCAGGTTCAAGCAATTCTCCTGCCTCAGCCTCCCAAATAGCTGGGATTACAGGCGCCTACCACCATGCCTGGCTAATTTTTTGTATTTTTCGTAGAAACCAGGTTTCACTGTGTTGGCCAGGCTGGTCTTGAACTCCTGATCTCGTGATCCGCCCACCTCGGCCTCCCAAAGCACTGGGATTACAGGTGTGCACCACCGCACCTGGACCCCTATAGATACTTTTCTCATTTGACTCTACCTTTGTGGTAGGCAGAATAATATCCACTCCACTCTCAAAGCTGTCCATGTCCTACTTCCCAGATTCTGTGAATATGTTACCTTCCATGACAAAACGATCTTTGCAGATGTGATTAAAGTTAATGATTGATCAGGATTACTTGGATATTTTGAGCGGGCTCAAAATAGTCCTTAAAAGTGGAAGAGGAAGGTAGAGGGGTTGGTTAGAGAGATGCAATGTGAGAAGAACTTGACCAGCCTTGCAGGCTTTTAAGATGAAGGAAGGGGACAGAACTCAAGGAATGCATGTGGCCCCTAGAACCTAGCGACAGTCCTCAACTGACAGCCAGCAAGAAAACAGGGATCTCATTTCCACAATTACAAGAAAGTGGGGTCTATTCTCCCCTAGAAAATAGGTCCTGCACTCTCTGCTGCAGACCACAAGGGCCTCTGTAACACGATTCTTGCCCATTTTTCTGATCCCATCTCCCATGACTTGTTCAATTGCTCTGTGCATTAATCACTCTCTTCTAGTGTTCAGTTCTTTGAAACCAATAAGCTCTTACACATCTTTGCACAGACTGTTCATTCTGTCTGGATTGCTTGTTCAACCCGCCTTTTGTTGTTTTTGTTGTTCTGTTTTCTTTTGTTTTGTTTTAGGCTTTTTGCAGCCTGAAATCATGGTTTTTAGTTTCTCTCTCTAGTGATAAGCAGAAAAGAGGGATGATGAAGGGGCTTTACTGGCCCAACCAGAAACAGAAACTAAGAACCCATAACTGTATTCTCTCCTTTGGACACCCCTGGCTCCCTTCATTCCTCTTCTAGTTTCTTCGCACCTTTTCGAACTCAGCTTCGATGTCATCATCAAGGACAGCCCTTGTTCATCAACCCTACGCAAAGGATACCTTCCCTTTCATCCTCCACCTCAAATCCTGGTTTGTTTCCTTTGCAACAGTTTATAAACACATTAGTTATGTTTGCGTACACAGCTTTATTGGCCTTCAGTACTAGAAACTAAGTTTTGCGAGAGCAGAAACAGTGATTCGTTGGCTGTGTTATCCCAGCCTGAAAAGAGTAATTGGCTCGTAAATGGTTGTTGAATTACTTCCTTAGTCATTCTGGTGGCAGATGGAGAGTGGGTCAAATAGAGGATGAAACTGGAGTCAGGAAAACTAATTGAGAGATTACAGCAGAGGCTCAAATGAAGGATGAGAAGGGCCTGGATTGGATTAGTGATGGTAGAGATGGGGAGAAGGAACTCTGAATTACACTAAAGGTCCTTCTAGGGAAATAGCAGGTAACAACTGAGAACACTATCACAGGAGAAGCAATCTAGGAATGCGGGAAGGGGTGCACTTGGGCTGAAACAGGTTAAGATTCAGGCACCAACCAGGTAAAGAAATCCAAGGCCAGTTGTGATGGCTCATGCCTGTAATTCCAGCAGTTTGGGAGGCCAAGGCAGGTGGATCACTTGAGGTCAGGAGTTCGAGACCAGTCTGGCCAACATGGTGAAACCTCGTCTCTACTAAAAATACAAAAATTAGCTGGGCGTGGTGGCACATGCCTGTAATCCCAGCTACTTGGGAGGCTGAGGCAGGAGAATCACTTGAACCTGGGTTGTTGCAGTGAGTTGAAATCACATGCCACTGCACTCCAGCCTGAGTGACAGAGTGAGACTCTAACAAAAAAAAAACACGAAACTAAGAAAAGAAATCCAGCAAACAACTGCTTACTCAATTCTTAAGCTTCAAGGAAAAGACTGAATAAAAACTGAGATTTGGGAGTTACTGTTATACATAGATATGTACACATTAACATTTTTATAGTATGGTAGTTCCAGGATGTTCTCAGTTGTCTCACCAAGAAGTCTAAAAGCATTACTTAACAGTCAACCTAGCAACAGTGAAAATGGAAAAAGACTCAGTCCAGAGCTGTCCTCTAGAAAACCCAATCAATACACAATGAAAGGAAACTCACCACAATGGCATTTCACAGCTCCATACAATCCATTCTCCTCCCACTTTCCCCCTCCTGATTATCTCAAGCCTTCCTGGCTACAGATGGCCCACTTCCTAACAAACATCAGCCAATGAGCACCACATGGCTGTGCTCCCTGCAGAGCAGAGCAGTCAGATATCATTAAGTATTAGGTAAAACATCATCCCAGGAGTTCTCCCTGACAAGTATCAAAACACAAATTCTAACATGTTTCAGTCTCTTCTTGTACCTATTCATATATGGTACCTCGCTTACTTAATTCCATATTCTTTGCCTTATATAGAGACCCCTTTATTACTGCCTAGGATGCAGGTATGAAGAAATAATTAGTGGAACAAAACTCAGCTTCAAGTAAAGCATTAACCAGAAGGATAGAATGGGAGCCGCTGAGATTACCAGTTCATGAGTCATTACCAATTCTTATTGTAATCCATGTAAATATTAAGATGCACTTTTCTGCTTTGTTAGTATTATCTTTGCAACAGATTTCATGGTAGAACCACCATAATAAACAGATGGTACATCAAAAGTTCACTCGTTAATCTGATTGTTTAGCTCTGCATATATTTCCCAGATACACAATATTTCAATGGGGAGCCTCCACCATCAGCCCAACAAAAGCCTATTTAACTGATAACATAAGTGAATCCTAGATCTTTGAACCTGGAACAGGCCTTAAGTGAGTAGAAGTCATTTTATGAGGAAAAATGAGGAAAGATGAGGAAACCGAGGCTGCTCCAAGTCATACAATTAGTCCTGTGAATAATGCTTTAAACCCATCCACCCAGTATAACCTGTTTCTGTAAGAAAATGCCACGGGATTTCCCGGCATTCACAGGGATTGCTAAGAGCATCTGATTTCCACTTTTGCTTTGGAATGCAAAGTCTTGCCCGGTTTCAAACCACTGGAGGGGATGCAGTGCCGATGGCTTGAGAAACAAATTCCAGAAAGGAATGGGCCAAGGAATAGAGCTGAGGGATGATAAGGAGGGTCTACACACTTTCTGGGAAAACGGAGATCATAGTAAAAGTAAAAATACAGAATACCCTCTTGCATTTTTGACTTCTTTAATTTACAATATGCTTTTCCATAGAGGAAGGGAAGATAAAGGACAAGCTACTAGAGGAAGGGGGTGGAAAGAGGAGGTCTATATATTTCTTTTTTTCTTTTCTTTTTTTTTTTTTTTGAGACAGTCTCACTCCGTCACCCAGGCTGGAGTAGTGGCTTGCTCTTGGCTCACTGCAACCTCCGCCTCCTGTTTCAAGCTATTCTCCTGCCTCAGCCTCCCGAGTAGCTGGTAGCTGGGACTACAGCTGTGCGCCACCATGCTTGGCTAATTTTTGCATTTTTTTTTTTTTTTTTAAGTACTGATGGGGTCTCATCATGTTGGCTAGGCTGGTCTTGAACTATTGGCCTCAGGTGATCCACCCACCTTGGCCTCCCAAAGTCCTGGGATTACAGGCATGAGCCACCACACCCAGCCAAAGGTCTATATATTTCTAAGAAGTGGAGGAAAAGGCTCAGAAGAATTAGAGGCACTAAAAAGCATCACCAGGGCTGGGTGCAGTGGCTCATGCCTGTAATCCCAGCACTTTGGGAGGCCAAGGCGGGCAGATCACCTGAGGTCAGTAGTTTGAGACCAGCCTAGCCAACATGGTGAGATCCCATCTCTACTAAATACAAAACATTAGCTGGACATGGTGGCACACGTCTATAATCCCAGCTATTTGGGAGGCTGAGGCAGGAAAATCTCTTGAACTCAGGAGGCAGGGGTTGCAGTGAGCCGAGATTGCACCATTGTATTCCAGCCTGGACAACAAGAGCGAAACTTTGTTTCAAAAAAAAAAAAAGAAAAAAACAAAACATCACCAGGAAGGGCACATCCCTCCTCTGCATCCCCTACCTTGTCACCTCTACCATTAACAAAATCAGCAATAAGGATGTATCAGGAGGTGGCCTTTTGTCTTTCAGCCTGCTGCCAAGTGTACAGTAGGTCGCTTCACAAACATTTGCTGATTGAATACACATACACTGGGAATCTTAAAGCAAAAGGAAGAAATGTTTACCTTTGCTGAAGTTATTAAACTTAGGTTGCTTTTGATACAAAATGCAAGAGGGCAGGAAAAATTTAAATAAGGGAAATAAGGGCAGGCTGTAACTTATAGATTTATAGAGCATAGTAATATCATTTTATTAAAGACTTTGTGTTCCAGGCAGTCATTTCAGTTAACCCAACTAGGGTACTGACAAGGACAGGATGAATCTGGAATTCTTGCCTGGATATGGTCCAATCTCGTATGCATAGATTGCAACTTAAATGAGTCCAGGTGGCTCTGACCATTAAAATAGCTACCATTCATTCAATCAACAAATATTATCAAGGAGCTATTATGCATCAGGCTCTGTGGGGGTCTGTAAAAATGAACACAATATTTATTCTCTTAAATAAATGCACAGTCTGGATGGGGGCAGTGGCTCACGCCTATAATCCCAGCACTTCGGGAGGCCGAGGCGGAGGGATCACAAGGTCAGGAGTTCGAGACCAACCAGACCAACATGGTGAAACCCAGTCTCTACTAAAAATACAAAAATTAGCCGGGCGTGGTGGCACGTGCCTGTAATCCCAGCTACTCGGGAGGCTGAAGCAGGAGAATTGCTTGAACCCGGGAGACAGAGGTTGCAGTGAGCTGAGATCACACCACTGCACTCCAGCTGGGGCAACAGAGCGAGACTCTGTCTCAAATAAATAAATAAGTACATAATCTATCAAAGATAAAAGGACATCTTACAAAAATAAGTAGCGGCGGCTAACACCTGTAATCCCAGCACTTCGGGGGACTGAGATGGGCGGATCACTTGAGGTCAGGAGTTTGAGACCAGCTTGGGCAACATAGTGAAACCTCATCTTTACTAAAAATACAAAAATTAGCCAGGCGTGGCGGCGCACGCCTGTAGTCCCAGCTACTCAAGAGGCTGAGGCAGAAGAATCACGTGAACCTGGGAGGTGGAGATTGAAGTGAGCTGAAATCGTGCCTCTGCACTCCAGCCTGGACTCGAACTCCAGCCTGGACAAAAGAGCAAGACTCTGTCTCAAAAGTAAAAAATAAAAAATAAAAATAAGTAGTGAGTGTTTATAAGGGGAAAGCACTATACTAAACGTGCAATAACTCATTTAATCTTCATGAAAATTATGTAATCAACTATTACTGTCTCCATTTGACAGATGAGGAACCTAAGACCCAGACACTGTAATCCCAGCTACTCGGGAGGCTGAGGCAGGAAAATCGCTTGAACCCAGGAGGCAGAGGCAGCAGTGAGCTGAGATCACACCACTGCACTCCAGCCTGAGCAAGAGTGAGACTCCGTCTCAAAAAAATAAGTAAATAAATTAAAAAATAAAATAAAAACATACAATATTTTAAATATTTATTTATCAATCAACAAACTGGTTTTGTTGTACTGGTGAGCCTATGCAATGTATAGCTGGAGTGCAGTGGCGCAATCTCGGCTCGCTGCAACCTCCGCCTCCCAGGTTCAAGCGATTCTCCTGTCTCAGCCCCCAGAGTAGCTGGGATTACAGGCACACGCCACCATCCCTGGCTAATTTTTTGTATTTTTAGTAGAGATGGGGTTTCATCATGTTGGCCAGGCTGGTCTTGAACTCCTGACCTCAGGTGATCCACCCACCTCGGCCTCCCAAATTGTTGGTTATAGCTTATTTTCAAAATAAAATTCTTTCTAAGTAGATTCACTAATATACATATATGTATTTGTGTGTATATATGTGTGTGTGTGTGTATATACATATATGTATGTGTATGTATGTATATACATATATGTGTGTGTGTATATATATAGAGAGAGAGAGAGGGAGCTAGCTACTCTGGGGGCTGAGACAGGAGAATCGCTTGAACGTGGGAGGTGGAGGTTGCAGCGAGCCAAGATTGCGTGTGTATATATATATACATATGTGTGTGTGTGTGCATATATGTGTGTATATATATACACACATACATATATGTATATTAGTGAATAATATACTTATATTCACTATTATATAGTGATATATATACATATAATTATAGATACACATATATATACACATACATATATGTATATTAGTGAATAATATACATATATTCACTATTATATAGTGATATATATATACATATAAGTATATACACACACATATATATACACACATACATATATGTACGTGAAAGCAAAATGTAAAAAAATGCTTCATATTGATTATCTGAACATTATAAAATAACAAAAGCCGAATCATTTTTTCTTGGCACACGTTCACACACTTCAAATCAGTTTCTTAGCCATAAACCTCTAACACTGTGTCTCATGGAGGTGTCCCGGTGGCTGGTGCACCCACAGGTCAGCAGGGGCAGCAGTGTCAAATACATCTCCCATTACCGTGAAGGAGTCAGCCAATCCTGACCGTATGGATTTATCAGCCAGAAAGCACCCTGCGTGCTGCCCATGAAAGGCAAAAAAAAAAAAAAAAAAAAGACAAGTCATTGCTGGGCCTCTTTCACATGGGGTTTCACTGTGTTGGCCAGAATGGTCTCGATCTCCTGACCTCGTTTTCCGCCCGCCTCAGCCTCCCAAAGTGCTGGGATTACAGGCATGAGCCACCATGCCCGGCCAAAAACATGACTTCTTAAAGGCAAATATGGAGAAAAGGGCATTCTAAGGGCAAGGGGAAGGAAAGCAGCAAGAACAAGAGCATGAAGGTGGAAAATCCAAGGGCTTTGCAGAACATCTAGCTGACGCCCGGAGTGTGAAAAAGGAGAATAGTGCAGGAGAGGCCCAGAAATGAGGCCGAGACTTAATCACACAGGGTCACGTATGCAGGGCAAAAATATCCATGGCCTATACACATATTGAAAAAGAAACCGTAGTTCTGAGTGGTTGAGAAGGTGACCCAAGGCCGTCAAACTCAAATGGGGTGGAAATGGGACTTGAACCTAAAGCTCCTTAGATGGCTGGTCTAGAATTCACTTGAAAAACCATCTTTGTCATGGCTCTAGAGGAAAACGTAGATGGCTCAATACAGATCTAGTGGCGTTCAGTAGCACACTGTGTTCTCTTGTCGTTTTATGGAGGGACTGCATGTGCTGGAGTCCACAGAGACCAGCCAAGCATCTCTTTACTCTCGTAATAATGTACGTGCCACCAATCAGCTGACCAGAGTCCATCCCCTGGATAGAGGAGGTGCTAACCTGTCCCCTGCTAACTGAGGTAGAGGTTCTCGTGTCCTCTATGGCCAGTGTTGTGCCTTGCTATATTTAAACCCTGCCTGTGAAGGATTCTGCAATGTGCCCAGGGCTATGAGATGAAGCAGGGGGCGCTGAGAAGGAAAATGCAGCATACTTTCGCATGCCACCATCCCGAATGTCTGTAATTCGTCCCAAGTGCGAACTAAAACCTCACTAATTTCACCTTCCTTTCCAAACTGCCTCCTTGCGAATTTCTACACATAAATTCTGACTAAACCTGACATCGTGTTTTCTGCAAAAGAAAGCAATCTGACTGCCAACCACGGAGGAAAAGTTATGAAGAGTGGCACACAGCTGCAGCTTTTTCTTTCTTTTTTATTTGGTAATGTGTGATTGACGATTAAAATGGAATCTTGCTGGCCTGAACTCCTTCCTGACTACTATTAAGCTGGTGAAGCTGGCAACAGTTTCTCTCCCCTCCACTATCTGAGTTAGACTTGGGACGAGGATGCAAAGGGCCTCAGATGACCTCCGTGAGCAAGGGGTGCCTGCGGGATGCTAAATCGCAGCTCCCTGGGGGGCCTTGGAGATATCCCCAGAAAAAGTGGAGCCCCACAGCTTTCTCAGCAGCCTGCTTTATCAAATGAGCTCTCCCCAGAACAAAAACAACCCTGTCAGGCACCATAAACAGTCAGGAAAACATGCCCCTAAACAAAGCTAGGCTATTCAGTGGTCCCAGAGCTGTCTCTTCCACCCCTCGGGTTCACCAACCCAACAACTCCCACAGAGTTGGCTGCAGAAATTGGAAGAAATAAATCTCCGCTGAAGGAGAAAAGGATGAAGACAGGGCCAGTCACTGCCCTCATTCTTTCCATTGCATCGGGACCACGTGCTGCTGGCTATGTTCACAGGGCAGGTGAGTGGTTTAGAAACCATGTCACATACAGAGCAGTGAGGACACCCAGGAGTACATAAACCAGGGAGGAAGAGATTAAGGAAAGTCATGAGAGTTTTCTTTCAATCATTTCAAGAGCTGTCTTGTTGAAAGGGGAGTCAATTTGCTGTGAGTTACTCCAGAAGGCAAAGGAATAAGGGAATACCACTCACATCTTTTACTATATGCTTTTTATAGTAGAAAAAGGACTTTCTTGTTAGTCAGAAAGGGATATTGAGTGTTTTGAATCTGTATCACATCCTACTTCTCTAAGGAGCTCTTCCTTCACTCCTCCTGATCAAAGGTTGATTCTGTCTTCAGCCTATTCTTTCCCCGTGCGGCTCACCCACGGCAACCTATTCTCCAGGTTTCTACCACTCTATGTCACTTCTTAATACTGCACCCCAACCAGGTATGGTGGCTCAGGCCTGTAATCCCAGCACCTTGGGAGGCCAAGGCAGGTGGATCTCTTGAGCCCAGGAATTCAAAATCAGCCTGAGTAACATGGGGACACCCCCTCTCTACAAAAACACCAAAATTAACCAAGGGTGGTGGCACACCCCTGTAGTTCCAGCTACTTGGGAGGCTGAGGTGGGAGGATCACTTGAGCCCAGGAGGTCAAGGCTGCAGTGAGCCATGATCATGCCACTGCATTCCAGGGTGACACATTGGGACCCTATCCCAACAACAACAACAAAATACTGTGCCCTGGTCTAACAAGTCTTAGCTAGACTTTTGCACTGGTTTTCTTACTGATCTCTCATTTTTGAGGAGTAAACTTCTCCTATCCACTGTCCTCCATCACAGACATATGTTCATGCTACTTCCCACATTAAAATCCCAACACGTTCCTCCTTGCTTGCCCCAGCCTCATCTCTCAATACTCCTTCAGCTGCACCAGGTAACCTCACACCTCCGGGTCTTGCTCATGTATCTGCAGTGCGTTAAATACCTCCGTCTTCCTAATGGTGCAAACTTTTGACATTCAGCTCAAGCACCTGTCCTTCTAATATGAGTTTCCACCCTTTCTCCATGTACCCCACCTTCATGACACCCTCCCCTCACCACTGGACCCTGACTTTCCCAGTATGTTTAGCAATCTGTTATGTTTATTTGATGACAGGACTGCCCCATGCTAAGCTGGAAGCATCTCAAAGGCAAGGGGCCACTTTTGTTTCATTGCTCTATCCCCAGAGCCTAATGTGCTATCTGGGATGTGTCTGATGAATACGTAAAAAGAAAGAATGGAGGAAAGAAAAAGATGAAGGGAGGAAGGGAGAGAAGGAGGGTAAAAAGGAAAGAAGAAAGGGAGGGAGGGAGGGAGGGAAGGTGGAAGGCAGGGAGAAGGAAAGGAAGGAAGGAAGAAAAAGAGGAACGAAGGGAGGAAGGAGGGGAAAAGGAAAGAAGAAAGGGAGGGAGAAAGGGAAGGCAGAAGGCAGGATGAAGGAAAGGGAGGAAGGAAGAAAAAGAGGAAGGGAGGGAAGGAGGCAGCGAAGAAGGAAACAAAATTTTTTTTTTAAGAAAGACACCTTGCAATCTATGTATTTCTTGTGTATTTCTTTTTTTCCTCTTTTTTTTTTTTTTTTTTTTTTTTTTGAGACAGAGTCTTGCTGTTGCCCGGGCTGGAGTGCAGTGGTGCAATCTCAGCTCACTGCAGCCTCCGCCTTTCGGGTTCAAGCGATTCTCCTGCCTCAGCCTCCCGAGTAGCTGGGACTATAGGCACGCACCACCACATCTGGCTAATTTTTGTATCTTTAGTTGAGACAGGGTTTTACCATGTTGGCCAGGCTGGTCTCGAACTCCTGACCTCAGGTGATCCACCTATCTCGGCCTCCCAAAGTTCTGGGATTATAGGCATGATCCCCAGTGTATGTATTTCTTATTCTATTTCCTTTTAATCTAAGTTCTTCTCTTTTCCTTGAATTGTAAAGATTTAGTTCCCATATTCTCAAAGGAAAGATAATGACTTATTTAGTTACTCTGAATATGGGTGCATTCCAGAAAACAAGGGAAAATTCTAGTTAGAATCAACTACATAATATTAACCATCACAAGAAAAGTACAGGCAATTATTTGCCTGAAGGAATTCAGTAATCAAAGGAATTAGAAATTAAAATAACTAGCTTAATGTTTAAAAAAAATCACAGTAAACCTGAATTTGTAAAACACGTTTTTAAGTATAAAAACTTTCAGTGACCAACTACTTTCCTACCCTGGGGGCTGGCAAGTAAAGACACAGTAAGATCCAATTTCTCTCTGGCTTAGAGGTTGCTATTCATGTTCAACTTTGCACACCAGCAAAGGAGGTTAGAACCAAATACAAATTTTTTTATAAGGTTGCCAACCTCTAAGAGGTTTGCTTTAATGTGCTCCAAAAGGTCAGTGAATTTGAAAATAAGGAAGTCCCTGGTGACTTTTGAGAGAAGAGTTTTGGTGGAGAAGTGGGAAGAGAAGGCAGACTACAACAGAGAACGAGGACAGGGGCGACACACCATGAACTTGACAGGAAAGTAACACCTGCAAAGAAACAGGACAATTACTAGAAAAGGCCACAGATGCTAACAAAAACTTCTTCTTTTCTTTCCTGAAACGTGGAGACACTGCACAAGGTAAGAGTATTTCAATAATGGGAATGAAAGCCAGGTAGAAATCTAGGGACAGTAGGAGAACGATAGTGCTATTAACAGCAACAGGGAAACTGGAAAGGTAGATGGGTATAGACCACAACAGAGTTAACACTAATTTTGAAGGTGAGCATCTTCAGTCCACGGTTTTGGGGAAAATCAGAGACAACTAAAGAGTTAAAATTTGCCCTGGAATGTGGTCCTTATACTTCAGGGTGATAAGAATCTCCTGAGGTATTTGTTTAAAATACAGTGGCCCTCCCCACTGGGATTCTGATTCAGTAGGTAGAGGGCAGGTCCTTGAATGTACATTTTAAGAAAGAAGGAGCGGCAGGGTGCAGTGGCTCACGCCTGGAATCCCAGCACTTTGGGAGGCCGAGACAGGCAGATCACTTGAGGACAGGAGTTTGAGACCAGCCTGGCCAAGATGGTGAAACCCCATCTCTACTAAGAATACAAAAATTAGCGGGCTTGATGGCGGGCACCTGTAGCCCCAGCTACTTGGGAGGCTCAGGCACGAGGATCACTGGAACCCAGAAGGCGGAGGTTGCAGTGAGCCTAGATGGCACCATTGCACTCCAGCCTGGGCGACAGAGCAAGATTCTGCCTCCAAGAAAAAAATGAAAGAAAGAAGGAGGGACAGAAGGAAGGAAGGAAGAAAGGCAGTTGCAATTTTGTTAGGACTCCCTTAATTCTAAGGTATTGTGTTATAGGTAGTAATGGGCCATAATTTGAGACCAGCCTAGAGCAGTGCTTCCCGAACTTTAATGTGCACAGGAATCTTCTGCAGACATTGCTAGAAGACAGATCCTGATGCAGCAGCTCTGGGGTGAGATTGGAGATCCTGCCTCTTTTGTTTTGTTTTGGTTTTGGTTTTGTTTTGAGACAGCATCTCACTCTGTTACCCAGGCTGGAGTAGTGTGATCATAGCTCACCACAGCCTCTATCTCCTGGGCTCAAGCAATCCTCCAGCCTCAGCCTCCTGAATAGCTGAGATTCCAGGCACAGGCCACCGTGCCCAGCTAATTTTTGTTTGTTTGTTTGTTTGTTTTTAGCTCAAGTGATCCTCCTGCCTCGGCCTCCCAGAGAACTGGGATTACAGGTGTGAGCCACTGCACCCAGCTGCAAGCCTGCATTTCTAACAAGCTCCCTGATGTTGCCAGGCTGCTGGTCTGCAAGTCCAGGGACCATACTTGGAGTAGCAAGCCCCCAGGGAAGGACAGACTTTAATAAGAAGAGGATCCCCTATGAAAATTCCAACTTGAGCTCCTATGTTCATTCAGACATTCATACAAATACCAACTGTGGGCCAAACACTGAAGATTTCCAGGTAAATACCACTCAACCTAGGGGATAAACGTGTCCACAGGCATCAGATAAGACAGGGAAAATAGTGTAATGGTGCTGGCGTGGGAGTCCTTCCTCAAATGCTTCCTGTTAATGCACAAAGGTAATTAGAAGGACTAGCAGGGGCCATGCTTTGATCTGCTAAATCCCAAGCTGCATCCTTCAACAGAAGAAACCACCATTGTAGAGAGATGCTGAAGTCTCTCTGGGGTAGGAACTCTTGCTGAGGAGGTCTCACAGAGAAGACATTTGATTTAGATCAGAGAGGATGGTTCCACAAGGAAAAGGAGATGTTCTAGAAGGGAACAGCATATGCAAAAACGTGGGTTGTGAGAGGATTCCGTATGCACGGCCGTGAAGCAGTAGGTCAGGTAGGGCGTCCAAGCTAAGAAGCTGGCATTTATCAGTCAAATGGAAGTGTCCAAAGGAAGCAGCAGGGACAACTTTAAAACGGAAGCGTGGGGACAGATGTGTTGTAGGAAGATAGTCAGCAGCAGTGCAGGGCAGGGATTTGTAGAGTGATGAAAAACATCTCTAGATAAGGGCAGGTGGGGTAAGAGTACTCATGAAATGGTCAATACCCACAAGAAAGCAATTAACTAGGATGAAGGAGGAAGGCTAGGTGGGGAGACATCTCTGGGTAGAAATAACAGGGTTTAGTGGTGACAGACCAGTGGGGAAAAATCACTTAGGGCAGACATCACCAGATGCCTAGACCCCACTGAGAAAACAATTGATCCAGTCAAGCAAATCTCTGTACACAACAACACCTCACCCTCCAATTACCATCCACCTTATGAACGTCACAGTTGGGTAGCTCTGAGTAGACCAAACTCTAATGAGTTTCAATATCTGATAATTACAATGGAGAAGGGTAATTCAAGCCAATCTCTAGAATCAATGATTTCCTGAAGTTCTAAAGACATAAAATTGCCTTACTTTAAAATAAGACTCAATACAAACCCCAGGCCATCCCTAACCAAGTTTCTTCTCTGTAATGGAACAGAAGAGACATCTCAAGACACAGGTGTTATTTTCCGCCAAAGAGGCCCGAAGCATAGGCACTCACCGCTCCAGACCAGCCACAGCCAGGTTCCTAGAAGGTCCACTAAACAGGATGATCAACTACACCCAGTTTGCTCTGGATGTTTCTGGGTTTAAAACTGAAAGGCCAGGACAGGAGCTGTGGCTCACGCCTGTAATCCCAGCACTTTGGGAGGCCGATGCGGGCGGATCTACTGAGGTCAGGAGTTCGAGACCAGCCTGGCCAACATGGTGAAACCACATCTCTATTAAAAATACAAAAATTAGCCAGGTGTTGTGGCACGCGCCTGTAATCCCAGCTACTCGAGAGGCTGAGGCAGGAGAATTGCTTGAACCCGGGAGGTGGAGTTTGCAGTGAGCCAAGATCGCGCCATTGCACTCCAGCCTGGGCAACGAGAGCAAAACTCTGTCTTAAAAAAAAAAAAAAAAAAAAAAAAAACTGAAAGTCCAGGAACCCACTCAGTCCCAGGCATATCTGCAGGGTTGGTCATGCTATAACTAAACAAATCAGTTTTTAGAACTTAAGCTCCAAAAAATGATTTTTGCATTTTTACAGGGTTAAGGGCGGAGGGAAAAAGAACAAACAAGAATATGCAGAGACCATATGTGGCCCACAACACCTCAAATACTCACCATCTCACTGTTTGTAGAAAAAGTTTGCTAATCCCTAGTTTACACCAACCATAATGCCCCGCCTTTGACAGGACAGGTTTGAGAATGAAAAAGTGACACAGCTTTGGGCTCCAGGTTCGAAACCTAAGAGAAAGTCGGCTGGGAGCTCCTGAAAAGATTTCCTTCCTGATTAAAAATAATGAGACTCAGGGGAGAAATACTGTCCTCTCTTCCTGCCTTTCGAGGTTGTCATATTACATCATGATATTTAGAGCTACAGTAGCCCTCCTGTGACCAGAAAGAAAAAGTCAGGTAATCAGGAATTGCAGGGATACCATCCCTCACCAGGGCATGGCTAAACTACTGAATTAATCAGCCCTGGAACAGTATAAATCCAGTTATCTTCATAAAGGGTGTAATAAATCCCTATTGTTGCAACCACTTTTGTTGGGTGTTTGTTTACATGCAGTGGACAGAATCCTAATCTCTTTCCATTATCCCTCACTAAATGAAGCAACTCTCATATCTCCAATATAATGGAGCTTGGGAAGTTGCAATAGGCATTAAAAATAGTTTGCTCCTAGCTGGAAAATTCTTCAGAACATTGTACCCTTACCTCCCCTCCACCAAAAAAAAAAAAAAATAATAATAGTAAGAATGACTCTCCAACTCTTGCTTAGGAAAGAAAGCACTAAGTCTTTGAAATTTAGCCTATTAAATGCTTGAGCAATTCAGTGTCATAAGATTAGACCTTCTATTTGTAAAACGAAAAGAACGATGTTTGTAAGCAAAATGCCATAAGATCCCTTTAAAATGTTCCTACCTGCAAAATATTATTATACCCATATCTATATCTTCAAATGAATTTCCACATATTTTTATCAAATAGTCCTTGAATTTACCTTTTGAATTGTCCTATGTTGCCTTAATAACAAAAATTACCTTTAGCTTAGTCAAATAGGTTATCTCTAAGAAATATCATCAGTTAGGCTGGGCATGGTAGCCCACACCTGTAATCCCAGCAGTTTTGGAGGCAGAGGCGGGTGGATCATGAGGTCAGGGGTTCAAGACCAGCCTGGTCAACATAGCGAAACCCCATCTCTACTAAAAAAAAAAAAATACAAAAATTAGCCGGGCATGGTGATGCGTGCCTGTAGTCCCAGCTACTCAGGAGGCTGAGGCAGGAGCATCACTTGAACCTGGGAGGTGGAGGTTGCAGTGAGCCCAGATTGTACTACTGCACTCCAGCCTGGGCAACAGAGCAAGACTTGGTCTCAGAAAAAGAAAGAAAGAAATATCATCATTTATGTATGCACCCATGATAATGTTAGAAGGCTATGCCCTCCGGACACAGTGAGAACATCTGCCCTGATCATTTTCTCTGGTAAGACTGGCTTCTAGGAGTAATGGCTTAATCACTGGAACCTGGAAGCTTTCACAAAGCTCAAAGGCTGTCACCACACTCACTGATGGAGGAAGCGCTTCTGGCTAGAAATATAGACATCAGTCAAATCCCAATAGCTTCCTGATATTTCTTTTATTGCTCCTACCAAACCACAACAAAGAGTTTTTGACCGTGTCACTAGGAAATACGTTTTTCTGAAAATAGCCTTTAAAATCTGAAAACTCCTATGTTTGTGGCTATAACTGGAGGGCCATAAAGGTTACCTACATGGGTAAATTTCCTTCTTTATTCCAGCATCTAAAGCAAATGTTCAGGACTTTTCTTTCTTCTTTAAATCCAAGGACGTGATTCTCAGCCTTGGCTGCACATTGGAATCCCCCGGGAAGCTTTAAAATATAATGATGCCTGGGCTATCCCTGGAGTTCTGATTAATTGTTCCAAACTCAGCCTGGGCATTGAGATGTCTAAAAGTTTCCCAGGTAATTGTAATTTACACCCAAGGTGAATGGCAAGTAGAAGAAAATGTAACTAAGAACTATACCCAAGACAAAAATTGCTAAATTGCATTTACAAAGGGCTAAAAGAGAGGACTAGAAAAGGTTTCTCCTACTATTCAAGACTTCCAAAAAAGAATAGAAAATTATCAATCAATAAGCAATTCAAATATATATGCATACATATGCATTCTAAATTACTTAAAAGGAGAGAGGTGAGCAGGAGAAAGAGGCCAAAATAAAGGAAAGAAAATGAATGTGTTTGACCCCCTTAATCATCAGTCTTACAGTCGAACCTACATCTCCATGTCCACACCTTCCTTTAAGTGCAGCAAAATCATTTTTTCAAGTACACCTAACAGCAAGCTACTGCCCAAGGGCCAAATCTGGCCCACCACCTCTTTTGGTAAATAAAGTTTTATTGGAATGCAGCACTTGGATTCATTTGCCTGTCATCTGCCTGCCTTCACAGCAGCAGAGTTGCCACAGAGACTGTATGGCCTGCAAAATTTTAAATATTTACTATGTGGCCTTTCACAGAAAAAGTTTTCAGACCACTGCTCTAGTTCTATCACGTAGTTTGTCATACCAGGAATTAATGCATCTCCCTTTTATTCTCCTCCCACTAGTGCCTATCCCAGAAATCTGCACTCCTGTTCCTGCCAAACTCCTGCTCTGCGTCATCAGGTAATTCCCAGCAAAAGGCAAAGTGTCTCCATGAGTCACTTCGTCCCAACGCTTAAATGGTGTTGGCTTCTTAGCTATGACAGGGACATCACAGAGCACCTGGTTGAGGCTGTCACTCTATGCAATAACCAGCTTTCGGCCAAATGAAAGACAGCACCAAAGTCATCACCAACTGACTATAATTGAATATGCCAATGTTAAGACGCAAACAAAGACATTTTATATTATGCTTTGGTACGACCTAAATCCTTATCGCCCTAATCAACTTCTGCTTTTGCCTAATTAAATTTAATTGTCATCATCTGCTTTGCTACTTTGCTAAAACCTAAACAATCCATTTTAAAATTATCCCCATAGTTCTACTATTTCTTTGCAAAATTTTTACTATGGTAGCAAAAAACAGAGGCTATTGTAAGAGCCCCTCATCTGTCTTATTATTTGCTTGCTTTCACCTACACCTATCTCTGTGTTTTTAAACAGAAATGAAACTCCACTTTAATCTTCTGGAAGGAAGACAGTGGGAAAGACATGTGAATCTACTGTTATCTAGATTTCTTGAAATTTTCCTATGAGGCAGGTAGGGCTTTAAAAACAATGTGATACGCATTTGCTTACAAGATGAAAGGTCTCTTCTCTATCCACCTGTAAATTATTATCTTCCCTTTAGCTATCTGGTAATGAATTGTGGATTCAATACTCAGACATCCAAGGCAGGAACAGAGAAGGTAGGCATCTTATACTTCCTTTCCCTTACTCCTAATATCATTAGGGCAGAATGTGTCAAATTCAGTACTACTGACATTTTGAGCTTGCCCATTCTTATTGTGGGGATGGTCCTGGGCAGTATCAAATACTCAGCAGCATCCCCGGCCTGTACACACTAGATGCCAGTAACACCCTCCCCCTACCCCAGTTATGAAAACCTAAACTGCTTCCAGATGTTGTAAATGTACCCTAGGGGTAACCTCCCACCCTCCGTTGAGAAGCACTGCGTTAGGGGAACTTGTCCATAGACTCTACCTACACTCTTGTTGCCGCATTCCTACTGCCTCCATCCCCACCGCTGCTACTTTAGCTCAGGCCTTCATCATCTTCAACATGGACTATTACAGTACACTCCCAACAGCCTCCTTGCCACCCACCTCCAGGGATCTCATACATTCTCCAGACTGCCAGCGGTGTGCAGTGCATGCTGGAGTGCACCACCAGAATCACCTTCAGCCTGAGGCACTCTCTCCTCTAGTTGCTGAGCCTTCTCCAGGAACTGCCCTCAGGGAAAGAGAACCACTTCACTATGGTTATGTGCCCCTCTGCAGGGGCAGCCTGTATCCAGTCATGCTCAGCACAGGGGTATAAAGGCCTGACCTCTCTGCCTCTCTGGATAGGGCCACTCCACCTCCAAAGCTTCCCTGTGGGACCAGGTGAATCTGTTACAGCTGGTTCCTCATTCAACTCCTCCTTTGCCCAAACCTGCTTTGTTAGCGTCCCCTCAAATGCTGGTCCCAAGAACACTCCCCAGTAAACTTCCTGTATGCAAATCTCCCCTCTTGGGTCTCTTTCCTGAAGGGCAAGACCAAAAACAGAGAGCTGTCTTTCTAGATTACAAACCTGACCATGTTTCTTCCCTGCCAACCTTTCCACATTCACTTCTCATCGCCTGCACTGAAGAGTCCTAAAATAATTTTTAGAGTCGCATCAAGGGGTCACAATCAGTGATCTGCTGCGAAAGCAGCTCTTTGGTTTGTGGGGTGGGGAGAGAAGGCCCTAATGTGTAGCATTTGCTGATTTCCACGGTGCAAATATTTCCACCACTGTTGATCTCCAGCTACCACCGGCTTGCAACCGGCTTGCAAAATGACTGGCTATTTAATACCCAGTTCCCATAAGCCAGACACAAGCCAGCTTGAGCACACCACTGATAGCCCCTGACCATTCGCTATTGTTAACTCTAATTGTTTGCCTTCGCTTCAGCCATGACAAATTCTTGCAAATCTCAGACCTCCAGGATGCGCTGAGGTTCTGTGCCCTTATTCACGCTGTTTTCTCTGTCTAGAGTATGTTTCCTTTCCCTGTCTGACTCATGCAAACCTACTCAATGCTCTGGATCCAGCTCACATAAAATCTCTTCCATAAACATTTTCAGGATTCACCTCCACCCATCCCATTTCACTCAAAGGTGAAGCAGAACCCTCCTTTTTGTGTGTCTGCATGTGTCATAAATACTTTCTATCATAGTGCTCTTCTTATATTTTATTACATATTTCTGTTTACAAAACTCTACTGTCTAGACTGTAACTACTCTGAGGGCAGGGTCTTATTTATATTTTTAGTAACTGGCAAAAAGTATACTCATGAGATGTGTTTAATGAATAAACTAAAAAAAAAAAAAAATTGGCCCCACTTCCTAGCTCAACTTTATCATGAAGTACAAGTCTTAAAAATGTCTCAAGGAAAAGACATTCCGTTGCCCCAAATGTGAATCATAAGTTTGACCTCCCACGTCCTACTTCCAGATTGTTTCAGAGAGGCAAAGCATGGATGAAGGCTGGGACAGGGCATGACCTCTAAGGCTTCATCCCAAACCCAAGGGTCTCTGTATCAAGGAAAAAAGCACTTGTGGAAACAGGAGCAATTTTTGCTGGTCCAAGGGGAGGGTGCAGGTGCACCATCTGGTTACCTCCTGGCCAGGCAACTTGGAGACCAACCTTTTCGGATGCTACTGCCTCAGACTCAGAGTCAAGCCGAGTACTTTATTGTGATTCATTTTTAAATCAAACTACATGAATTCATGCAGTGCCTACTGCTTGTAAAATGCTGTATCTTTAAAATAAGAATAGAAAGGCCAGGTGTGGTGGCTTAGGCCTGCAATCCCAGCACTTTGGCAGGCCGAGGCAGGTGGATCACCTGAGGTCAGGAGTTCAAGACCAGCCTGGCCAACATGGTGAAACACCGTCTGTACTAAAATTATTAAAAAAAAAAAAAAAAAAAAAATTAGCCAGGTGTGGTAGTGCACACCTGTAGTCCCAGCTACTTGGAAGGCTGATGCAGGAGAATCACTTGAACCTGGGAGGCGGAGGTTGCAGTGAGCCAAGATCGCGCCACTGCACTCCAGCCTGGGTGACAGAGTGAGACTCCATCTTGAAAGAAAGATAAAGAAAGAAAGAGAGAAAGAGAGAAAGAGGCCGGGCGCGGTGGCTCACGCCTGTAATCCCAGCACTTTGGGAAGCCGAGGCGGGCGGATCACGAGGTCAGGAGATCGAGACCATCCTGGCTAACATGGTGAAACCCCGTCTCTACTAAAAATACAAAAAATTAGCCGGGCGAGGTGGCGGGCGCCTGTAGTCCCAGCTACTCAGGAGGCTGAGGCAGGAGAATGGCGTGAACCCCAGGGGGCGGAGCCTGCAGTGAGCCGAGATCGCGCCACTGCACTCTAGCCTGGGCGACAGCGAGACTCCGTCTCAAAAAAAAAAAAAAAAAAAAAAAGAGAGAGAAAGAAAGAAAAAGAAAGAAAGAAAGAAAGAAAGAAAGAAATAAAGAAAGAAAGAAAGAAAGAAAGAAAGACAAAGAAAGAAAGACAAAGAAAGAAAGAAAAAAGAAAGAAAGGACAACCAACACCTCAGAGGACTCTGAGGAGTAATAATCATCCCTGCTTTTAACTCAAATATACCTCCCCACACAAAAAAACTTCTGCAAAACAAAGAAAAATAACAGTAAACTCTTCCACAGCACCTGCTTGCTGTATACCACTTCTTTTTTAAAGCCTTTACATATATTAACTATCTATGTATAGTTTATGTACTATATATTATATGTAACATTTATATGATGTATATTATATAGCATATAATACTAGTATTAACTCTATGTCCTGGATACCAGTATCATCCCCATTTTACAGATTAAAAAACAGAGATGTTAAGTAATTTGCCTAAGACTACACAGCTAGTAAGTGGAAGAGCAGGGATTTGAACCCAGGTAGCCTGGCTCCAAAATCCATGCCCTTCATAATGCTAAAAGAAAGAGAAAAACGCTCCTTTACAGCTTTTCTCCACTGTCATCGAAAGATCGGTAGTATCCCTTTCAAAGACTGTAACCCGGGAGTGCCGGCCTTTGCCCTTAACCTTGGCACGCCACACATGGCTGATCACCTGCAACAGCTACACCCAGCCAGCCCTACACCTACTAACACCTCCGTTGTCAAGGAAGCCTTTATTTTTAACAACTTCAGTGTGTGGAAATGCCATGAATCCCAAGGACAGAAGAAAAGAGAGGCGAAAAAGGAAAGGCAACTCCACCTCCGGCAATGAAGACAAATCCCTCTGAGCAATGCTGCAAAGCGCCAGGATGAGTTAAAGCAGCAGGAGGACATCCGGCCCCGCAAACAATCAGTTCACTGACCAGGGAGAAGGAGCCTTCTCATTACCTGGGGATGGCTAAAAGAGTGAGCCACAGGGGGTCAAGAGTGGAGATGTGGCTGAGAAAAAAAAAAGCAGAAAGAAAATACAATGGAGAATGAAAAGAGCCCTGGCCAGGGCCGGCTGCAACTGGGAGTGAGGCCAAGGCAGTGATGGGCAGACTCGGCAGCAAGCAGCAAGACAGCCATGGGGGAACCACAGACCTCCAGCTTCGGGCTGGGAACAGAAAGGTCCGCACCTTAGCAACCTTAACGGACTCTCCATGCACTGCAGACAAGCAAAATGACTGTGTTTCCTAAATAAAAAGTTAGACTACATTTAAGTGACAAGAAAAAAAAGACAGTGATTTTTTAGAAAGAGTCCAGTGAAAAACAGAGTCAAATTAGGCCTCTGCACTCAGAAAACTAAACTTGAATTTGAAAAAAAAAAAAAACAAAAACAAAACCATATTACAATATTTCCCTACAGGGCTAGATAATTGAGCCATTGCTAGTGGGGTAAGGGGTCCTGGGGATATACATTAGAAACAACAAGACAAATTAGGGAAACGCTGTAACAATATTTAGGTGAGTCTGTCAGGGTTTATTGATAGAAGAGGCATTTAAAGATGCCTCCCTGTTTCAGTCCCAGGCTAACGGGCTGACTTCCCTTCATCTCTACCCCAAGAACGGCTCAGTCCTCTTTCTGCTGTATTCCAGATGCAGCCTCTCAATTTCGGGTTGAAACAGCCCTGTTTGCCAACTGACCTCAACAGTCTGGCAGTTCTGCACTCCCCTGGACTCAGCCCAGTCTCTCCTTCAGCAAGTCTCCCCAGCACAGGCTCCCCGCTAGGAATAAGCGTCCCTCAGCTCCTGCTCACTCCTAGTACACCTTCATTAACTGTCTCTTCCCTGGCCCACTAATGCTCACCCTTCTGAATGCCCCAATGGCCCAAACTAAGCCATTGCTCTATTTCTTTCTTTCTTCATCTCCTTCCTCCTCCAATGCCTTTTACTCAACTGCCTTCCATGCAATCATCAAATTCCAATTCCTAGCCGGGCATGGTGGCTCACGCCTGTAATCCCAGCACTTTGGGAGGCCAAGATGGGCACATCACTTGAGGTCAGGAGTTCAAGACCAGCCTGGTCAACATGGTAAAACCCCGTCTCCACTAAAAATACAAAAATTAGCGAGGCATGGTGGCGGGTGCCTGTAATTCCAGCTACTCGGGAGGCTGAGGCTGGAGAATCACTTGAACCTCGGAGGCAGAGGTTGCAGTAAACCAAGATCATGCCACTGCACTCCAATCTGGGCGACAGAGCAAGACTCCATCTCAAAAATATAAAAATGACATTAAAAAAATCCAATTCCCAAACCTACTTCTACATGAAACTGTTTTGTATGTAAGAAACAAAGGTTAGGCTGGGCGTGGTGGCTCACACCTGTAATTCCAACACTTTGGGAGGCCGAGGCGGGTGGACCACCTGAGGTCAGGAGTTCGAAACCAGCCTGGCCAACATAGTGAAACCCCGTCTCTATTAAAAATACAAAAAATTAGCCAGGCGTGGTGACGCATGCCTGTAATCCCAGCTACTAGGGAGGCTGAGGCAGGAGAATTGCTTGAACCTGGGAGGCGGAGGTTGCAGTGTGCTGAGATCATGCCATTGTACTCCAGCCTGGGCAACAAGAGTGAAACTCCGTCTCAAAAAAAAAAAAAAAAAAGAAACAGAGGTTATAATAAAATACAAAGTTATATAAATCATCCACAACATCAAGTGGTCCAATGAATGACCACTTCAGATAATTGCATAATTCAATACCTTTAAAAAAAAAAAAAACCTTATTCTTAAGTCTAGCAATTGTGTTTTCCAGTACCCATTCTGCAATAAGCTCAAAGCACAGCAATTGTAAAAGGGTGGAGGAGGCGTTCGTGCATGTACTTTGGCGTCTGTGGGGGGTACTCAAATGATACCCAAAAGGCAGGGTAAGCAGAAGCAATGAGACTGAGTGGCTCTAGAGTGCCCCTGATCGAAGTTGGCATCCCGACTCTGCAATTAACTACTTCTGTGACTTCAGAGAAAATTACTTAACCTCCCTGAACTTTGGTTTCCTCACCTGTGAAAGGAAGAAACAACACATACCTAATAGGTTAGTAGTGAAGGAGCAATGAGCTGATACACATGAGAGCTCTGGAATACAGTAAATATCTATCAACATTGGTGGAGAAACTGAGGTACAGAAAATGGCTTAGCTCAGCCAGTCCTACTTCTGATTTAGCCTGAGTAACATGATTCTTAATCCAGCAATTCAATCTCTTAACATTTAGTATAGCTTAGGCTTTCTGTGTGTCACTCAAAAAGCTTGTTGACTAATGTAAATCCAGGCTGTATCCTTGTATTGTGTTCCCATTCCCTAGCAGAATGCTAGAGTTCTGTTGCTTAATGGAAAACTGTCAATTATTGGCTTGATTCTTGATATTCTTAGGCCAAATGATAGATCCACCCTCCCCCATCCTGGTGTCTATTAATCACCAGAAGAGACTACAGCAATAAAAGTAAATATAACGCTAAGGTAGCAGCTGGTAAAACAACATGCTGCATACCCAAAATACCTTTATTGCAGGGTAAAAAATAAGCACTTCTTTTCTTGCTTAAAACCCTTAACTCCTTAGGTGTATGTGTACCCATTTGATTTCTTATGCAGTGTTCAATACATATTTTAATAAATTGAAGTAAATTGGAACTAAACCTAAGATTGATGCATTTGAAACTGAAGCTGATAGTATAAATATCTCAAAATAAGAAAAAGAGACCTGCACAAGCTTTACTTTTCCAAGCCAGATTAGAGAAATGCACCATATCTCTCATCTAAATAACTATTAATGAGAAATAAAGGTAGTGTGTATGTCCTGTCAACCCAATTATTACACATAAATCAGGAGCTCTTTTAGTATTCTTAATGACGCAGGCTTTAGAAACAATTCATTGTTACCCAAAGAGAATTCTTATAGGGAAATACTCATGGTTCAGTGAGAAGAATATTTAAAAAAAAAATGGAGAGATTCGGTCCTAGCCTTGGGTTCACCAACTGGTAGTCATGTAAGCCCAAAACACGTTACTTCCTTTAAATATGCAGAAGTTTTCCCATCTACAAAACAAGAAAAATATGTATTCTTCTTTGTTAACTTTTTAATATGAACCAAACAACATTTATCCATGATTTGATCTTTGATTTCTGAAAATTGTTCACAAATCAAGGCAGGGCTGTCCACATTTACAATTTCACTTTTGTTAAATGAACCAGAATTAGCTTACTGACAGACAGACTTAGCTAAGGCTGAGCCAGCCCTTTTGCTTTTGAGGTCAGGAAGTAATCTAAGACCCAAGAGTTTTCTCTCCACTGCTTAACTTCCCTGAGTCAAGTTTCCTTCCTCTACCTCGGAGTTGGTAAAATTTCTTTCTGATGAAAATGTACTTTGGGGCTGGTGTGGTGGCTTATGCCTGTAATCTCAGCACTTTGGGAGGCCGAGGTGGGCAGATCACCTGAGGTCAGGAGTTTGAGACCAGCCTGGCCACCACGGTGAAACCCCATCTCTACTGAAAATACAAAAATTAGCCGGGCCTGGTGGTGCACACTTGTAATCTCAGCTACTTGGGAGGCTGAGGCAGGAGAATCTCTTGAACCCGGGTGGCAGAGGTTGCTGTGAGCCAAAATCGTGCCACCGCACTCCAGCCTGGGCAACAAGAGTGAGTCTTCATCTCAAAAAATAAAAATAAAAATAAAAGAAAATGTGCTTTGGATTTCCAGTAAGTCTCCAGTAAATGAAAGTTAGTGGCATGTATGCAACAGCCAACTTGGAGAGTTCAGTGGACGTTTGTCATGCATTTGCCATCTTCATTCCCTTTTATGTTTGGTGACTCTTCCACCTCTTGAGGCAGAGTCTGCTATCCCTTATAGAAGCTTAAAGTGCTGGATACTCATCTCCCAGCATTCATTGCAGCTAAAGTGTGGGCCCTGGGCAACCACTGAAACCTCAGAATCAGTCCCCAGTGATGCAGACATGGAGAGACTGCAAAGGATCCATTTTGGGACTTGACAATGATAGCAGCAGCTCCATCCGGTTGGGGAGGCTTTATTGGCAGCAGTTTGGTGAACTGGTGGTAGCTGTGTTATATTGCACCAGACCCCTTCCTTCGATATGTTTCGGGGCTTCACTCCAGCTGGATTGCTTCTGATTCTAGTTCTCTGGCCCTGTGGAGTGAGCTACACCAAATTCTTTTGATGGATTCTTTTTCTTGCCAAAATTGGTAAGAATTCGTTTCTTTTAACAAAAAACTCATTGACCCAGAAATCATCCTCAAGGCCAAGAAATCAACCAGGACCAGCAGAGTACCCTGCTCTATCCTAAAACCTCCCAGTGAGGTGCCACTAAACCTCCTGACTCCATTCAACCTTTCCATTCACAATATATATCACACAGTGAACCACAGGGATGAAAGGGGGGAATCCCAAAAGTAACCAAATTGTAGTTCAATGGTACAGAAAGACAAACCTAGGAGATTAGATCATCTAAAATATTTTAGGACCAACCCTACTCAGACCTTTTATATGGAAGCAGAATGGGATGTTAGAAGAAGAGCATGGACTTTTTAGTGAAATAATCTTTAAAAATCTAGTTTTGGTCATTCCCTTCATCATCTCTTGTCCTTCAATATCCTAAGGACAATACACCCAGACACATCCCAGTTGTAGCAACAAACTGATACCCCACACAGGACATGTTTATGCCTCCTTTGCTTTTCCCAGGCCTATCACTGTGACTAAAATGCATTCCTCTTTCTGGAGAACTCTTATCCTTCAAAATACAGCTCAACAACCCCTTCCTTTGTGAATCTTTCTTAATTCCACCTCTCCCCCTACCAACTTATCACTACTTTCTCTGCATTATCGGAATCTCTACTGTGGCCACTGTGCTTCCCTCGGTTTTGAGAGTGTCAGTCAACCCCTTTACCCTAAACCCCAGTGATGAGCTCCCAAGACAAGTGAAAGTCTTACTAGGGCAAGGATTAGGGTAAGACAAGTGTGGCACCTAGGGCACAAACTTCATGCAAGTACATAAAACTGGTCCTTACCCATCTTTCTTTCTTCAGTAACTACCTCAGAGAACTACTGTAGAATAACCGCTCAGATTTTTATCAACTGAATGGTCAATAATATAACAAAGTGTATAGGATTCAGAGAATATTTTATATGACGTAGAGAGGGCAGGGTCTAACACTACCACAAACAGGTCGGATAACCTTCCTGAAGCTTGTAACCTGGCCAAATGGGAAGAACTACACAGCCTCCATGGCGCCTTACACTGCCATGGTCTATTGCTTGGTTACTCCAAGTTCAAAGGAAGTTCACAGAGGAAGAGATCAGGACAGAAGGGAACAGCCACAGAAGACTCCAGCACTTGTGCTGAGGCCTGACAAATGCATGGATGGGATTTGAAGGGGAAGGAGGGGAAATGGACATTCTAAGAATAAACATAAGGTATGAGAGAGGTACAATAAATTCAAGGTAAATAAAGATAAGAGGCTGACTAGAGGAAAGAATGCATGTTTGGGTGTGAAAAACAAGCTGAATATAAACTGGATGGTCTGGGTGGGAAGAGACAATAAAACACCTTGGAAAATCAAGCAGGAAAATTCTGGGGTTTGGGACTGAGCAATAGGATGGAAAATACTGTTTTATATTAATAGAAGACCAAGAGCTATAATTATTGAATCTCTATTAGATGCCAGATATGTTTAGGTATTACATATAAATAAACTTATTGCATCCTTGAATCAAACCTCTGCAGTTGCTATTATCATCATCCCCACTTTACAGATGGGGAAACTGAGATTACTGAAGTTAAGTCAAGTATTCAAGGTTACACAGCTTACAATTGGCAGAACCAGATTTAACTTGTGCTTTTTGCCCTAAATACACACCTTAGGTAATGCATGTTGAAAGACAAAGGGACAAAGGGAACTAGGTTTGTCTTTCTGTACCATTGAACTGCAATTTAGTTACTTTTGGATTTCCCCCTTCCATCCCTGTGGTTCACTGTGTGATATATATTGTGAATGAAAAGAAAGAAACCAGATGATTTAATGTCCACAGGCTTATGAAAACAATGCTATTATGGACAGAGGTTGGGAAATTGAGAAGGAAACAAAATTGGGATAAAGAAAGCAAAACAACTGCATTTTTTTGTGATAGTTATCAAGTATGAAGTGGTGGCAGATGAAGTCAGAAGTGTCTTTCAAGGAGGGAGACCATCAGGATTAAGGATCCAAGGAGAGGCAAGATCTAGGGAGCAAGATCTGGAAGTTGCCATCATGAGAGGTAAAATCCAGAGGTCTGGAAACAGTGAAGTGCTCTTAGAGCAACAGCATACCTCAAGAGAAAAGCCACTCTGGGAAGCGTCCACATTTGGAAGGTAAAAGATGAAGAAGGAGTCGAGGTAACAGAAGGAATAATCAAACTAACAGGAAAGTAAGAATAGCACTGTGTTTATAAAAAGGTAACTAAATGGATTTTCAATAAGTACAGATAGCACAAATCAAAGAAAATGTCCAGAAGAAAGTTACTTCCTCTCCCCACAGGGAGAGTGTCAGATAAGACCTAGTAAAAAATCAAGACCTCTACCACTGTTCAGTGGTAGCAAAACCACCCTCTCTACAGCATCAGTGGAGGCCAGATGGGGAGTAGAAACCAAGTGCCTTTCTCCCTCCCAGCCAGAGAACTGTCAGTGGAGGCCTAGGAGGAAGCCTGAAGCACCCCCACCTATCAGTAACAGGGAGTCCCTTCTCTCCAGGTGCCAACAGAGGCCCCGTGGAGAATCTAGATGTCTACACCCACCTGGCAGTAAGGAGGCAGCACCCCCTTTCAGCCACCAGGTTAGTGTCAGAGGAGATCTTCTAAATCATAAGGTTTAGGTAAGAATCATAAGAATTAAGTAAGAATCGGATATCACAAAATGTCCAGATTTCAATCAAAAGTCACTTGTCATACCAAGAAATAGGAACATCTCAAACTGAATAAGAAAAACAATCAATATTGAAACGACACAGAAGTGAGAATTTCCTGACAAGAATTTTAAGGCAGCCATCAACGAGCATTTGAATATGCCTGAAACAAATGACAAGAGGACATCTCAGCAAAGAAATCGCATATACAAAGAAGAACCAAATGGAAAATTTAGAACTAGAAAAATACAACAACCAAAATTCAAAAACTCAATGGATGGTCTCAAGAGCAGAATGGAAGATACAAAGCAGAGAATCAATAAATTTGAAGACATAGCAATAGAAATTACCCAATTTGAAAAATAGAGAGAAAATAGACCTGAAAAAAAATCTTCAGGGACATATGAAACTATAACAACAGATATAACATTTGAAATCTCAAAAGAAGAAGAGAAAGAATTTGAGGCTGAAAAGTATTCAAAGACATACAATCTTCATTGGTTAATTGAGGGACTAAAAAACAAACAAACAAAAATACAGTCACACCCCACATCATGACATTTCTGTCCTACATACACAAGGGTGGCCCCATAAAAGTATAATGCCATATGTTTACTATACCTATAGTCACATAACACACGAATGTAATGGCTGACATTTGAGAAAGGTATATATTATCTGCACACACACATACACACACACACACATATATACACACTCACGCATGTGCCCCTATGGATTCATGCTGTGCAAACTCCAAATAGTTTAAACTCAAAGAAATTTAATGAAAACATATCATAGTAACCAGAAAACTAAAGAAAACAATCTTGAAAGTAGCCAGAAAGAAACAGTGCATTATGTATCAAGAGAAAATAAGTTGAGTAACAATAGATTTCTAATCAGAAACAATGGAGGCTAGAAGGATTCAGCACATTTTTCATGTGAAAAAAAAAAAACAAAACAAAACCTGTCAACCCAGAATTCTATATCCAGAGAAAATACCCTTCAGAAATGAAGGAAAAATCAAGAAATTTTCAGATGAAGAACAACTCTGAGAATTTTTCACCAGCAGATCTACTGTTTTTTTAAAAAAAATGGCTAAAAGAAGTTCTCTAAAGTGAAAAGAAATGATAAAAGAAGTCACAGGTGAGCTGTGAAAGCAATGTTAGTATTAAAGAGAAAGTAAGTATCACACTATGAGATGCAGAACAGAATGGGTGGTATTGAAAAGGAAGAAGCCAGAGGGGACCACTGTAAGTCACAAGAGGAGATGAGTTATATTGGGTGAGGCTGGGGTAGGGATAGGGAAGTAAGGCATACTGATTGGAAAGTACAGAGGGTTCAAGTCTAGGCCAGGCGTGGTGGCTTATGCTTTTAATCCCAGCATTTTGTGAGGCCAAGGCAGGCAGATCACCTAAGGTCAGGAGTTCCAGACCAGCCTGGCTAACACAGTGAAACCCTGTCTCTACTAAAAACACAAAAATTAGCCAGGTGTGGTGGTAGGTGCCTGTAATCTCAGCTACTCTGGAGGCTGAGGCAGTAGAATCACTTGAACCCAGGAGGTGGAAGTTGCAGTGAGCCGAGATCATGCCACTGCACTCCAGCATGGGTGACAGAGCAAGACTTCATCTCAAAAAAAAAGAAAGTACAGAGGGTTCAAGTCTCTATTCAGATTCTTTCCAACTATATGCCCTTGGATAATTTCTTACCCTTTCCAAGGCTTGGTTTCCCCCTTTTTAATGGTAATAATAGTAGCAACTTCGTAAAACTATTATGAAATTTAAATGAGACAACACTTATACAGTATTTAGCACAGTGTCTGGTGTGTGAATGTAATGGCTCAAGAAATGCTATTCCTATTCTTAGCAGCTAAAGTAGCTATTTTAGCTAGAAGACGAGCTGGCCTAAGGGAATGTTGTTCTCAGGAGGCAAACTTAATACCAAAAGAAATGATTAGAAAAAGAAGGGAAGAAATCAAGAGGGCATACACAGAAGAACAGGGTGGAGTGTGGTGTGGAGGAGATGGCTTTTGGTGCACAGAGAGCAAAGATAACATCAGACAAGAGAAGTAAAGTCCCTTTGATCAGAAAGACGTGTTCAAACTCTGGCACCACAACTTACTAATTGACACAACCTAGAAAAGCAATTTGACCTCCTCAACCTTCAACTCCCTCACCCCAGAAATGGAAATAATAAGCCTGACCTTACATTTATCATCTCTGAACCTTCTTCACAACTCTGTAGAATGCTAGAAATCTCAGGCATCTAATAAATGGTAATATTGTTATTTCTCAGAATAGAGGAAATCGAGAATTGATGAAAGGACACATACAGAGAGAGAGATGGGAAGTCAGCATATGGATGTATGACTGGAGATGAGGCATCTATTTTAGATAGACTCAATCTTTTTAAGAAAAGAGGCAAACTCAACTGTTGAGAATGAGAGAGGGCAGGGAGAGATGGAGACCTCATAGGAAAACAGAAGATGTAAGCAATTTTCTCTGCAATTCTCAGAACATTTAAGTTGAAAGGGACCTGAGGAATGACTTAATTCTTTCTCTGCCTCCATTTTATGAATGATAACCAGCAAATATGTTCTTTAAAGGGCCAGATAGTAAATATTTAGAGCTTTTGAACCAAAGAGTTTCTGTGCCAATAACTCAACTCTATCATTGCAGTACAAACACAGAGCTATGCAAGTAGGGCTGTGTTCCAATAAAACTTTATTTATAGACACTGAAACTTAAACTCCATGTAATTTTCAGGTTCATAAAATATTCTTTTGACTCGTGTAAAGCATTTTAAAATGTACCAGCTGGGCGCGGTGGCTCATGCCTGCAATCCCAGCACTTTGGGAGGCTAAGGTGGAAAGACCTCTTGAGCCGAGGAGTTCAATATCAGCCTGGGCAGCATAGTAAGACCCCATTTCTACAAAAATAAAATAAAATAAAAATTAGTCCAGTGTGGTGGTGCACCTGTAGTCCCAGCTACTTGGGAGGCTGAGGTGGTAGGATGGCTTGAGCCTGGGAGGCCAAGTGAGCCAAGATGGTGCCACTGCATTACAGCCTGGGTGACAGAGCAAAACCACATCTTAAAAAGAAAAAAAATAAAAGTATCAACAATTTTAGCTCAGAGGATGTACAAAAAAATGCAGAGATTCATAGTTTGCCAGCTCCTACCATATAGTGATTATGAGCTCAGGCTAAAGAGAGTCAGATATGAGTTTGAATCTCTCCCTCACAATTCACTGAAAGTAAAACTTCAGCTATTGTATTTAGTCTTCTATGACTTCCATATAATTTTTTGTGAAGAATTAAATGAGATAATGCATGTAAATGAGCTTAGCAGAAGGCCTGATAGAAAGCCAAACCCAAGGTAACCAAAACAACAAGCAGAAACATTGGACCCATGGAAATGCAGGCAACCCAATTAGTTACATCTAAACCAGAATCAAAACCTGTGTGTCCATCTACTCAATGCAATGCTTTTTCCAGTCCCATAGCTATTGGTAGACTTAGCTTTACAACAAGTCAGCCATTCATGTGGCACCAGAAAGTCTCCTGTCCCCCTCGGAAAGGTTTCCTCATCCCTGAGATTCCACCACAGGAGCAACACACATTCCCCTGGATGAGTTCTCAACTCACTTTCTATTAGCTACACTTACGTGTAATTTATTGGCTACTTTTTCAGCGGCTCTCCAGATACTAGGTTTTCATAGGAAATATAAAGAGAAGAATGTGGTAAAGCAATGCAACAGAATTATTATTCAGCTATAAAAGGGATGAACCACTGATACATGCTACAACATGGATGAACCTTGAAGACTTTTTGCCAAGTGGCAGAAGTCACACACAAAAGGCCATACATTGTATAATTCCATTTATAGGAATATCTAGAATAGGTGAATCCAAAGAGGCAGAAAGTAGATTAGCGGCTTCCAGGGACTGCAGGAAGAAGGGTTGAAGAGCAACACCTTAATAAGTACAGGGCTTCCTTCTGTGATGATGATAGTGTTTTGGAATTAGATAGTGGTGATGATTGCACAACCTTGTGAATAAACAAAAGGCCACTGAATTGTATACTCTAAAATCATTAAAATGGTGAATTTTGCATTATGTGTGTTTAACCACAATAAAAATATATACATATACAGTTGGCCCTTGAACATCAGGGGTTTGAACCACACAAGTCCACTTATATGTGGATTTTTTTTCAATAAAAGTTTCACCAAATGTGTCTGCCTCTCCTGCCTTCCTCTCCACCCCTGCCACCCCAAGACAGCAAAACCAACCCCTCTTCTTCCTCCTCCTCCTTAGCCTACTCAATGTGAAGACGATGAGGATGAAAACCTTTATGATGATCCATTTCCGCTTAGTAAATATATTTTCTCTTCCTGATGATTTTCTTAATATCATTTTCTTTGCTCTAGCTTAGGTTATTGTAATAACATAGTATATAATACACATAACATACAAAATATATGTTAATCAATTGTGTATGTTATTGGTAAGGCTTCTGGTCAACAGTAGGCTATTGACACTTAAGTTTTAGGGGAGCCAAAAGTTATATACAGGCAGGCACGGTGGCTCACGCCTGTAATCCCAGCACTTTGGGAGGCCAAGGCGGGAGGATCGCCTGAGGTCAGAAGTTTGAGACCAGCCTGGCCTACATGGTGAAACCCCGTCTCTACTAAAAATAAAAATAAATTAGCCGGGCCTGGTGGCAGCAACCTGTAGTCCCAGCTACTTGGGAGGCTGAGGCAGGAGAATCACTTGAACCTGGGAGATGGAGGTTGTAGTGAACCGAGATCATACCATTGTACTCCAGCAGCCTGGGTGACAGAGTGAGACAGTGTCTAAAAAAATAAATAAATAAAAGAAAAGAAAAGAAAAAAAGAAGAAAGAGAGAGAGAAAAAAATTATATGCAAAGTTTCAGCTGCATGGGGGGGTCAGTGTCCCTAATCCTTACATTGTTCAGGGTCAACTATATAGAGGACACATGAGGATTCTGCAGGTGTGACAAGATATTCTCCTATGAGAAGAAGGAAGAGGAAAGACTAGAAAAGGGAGGATGAATTTAGCAAAAACCAACTTAGTCCACTTTATAAGTTTGCATAAGGCTCGCCCTGGATACTGATAAAAATAATTTATTTATTCTAAAGGTACTTGTTGACCACCTACTACGTGCCAGGCACCGAGCCTGAATCTGAGGATAAAACATTGTAAACAAGATAGAAAATTCTTAAAATTCTTAAAATTCTTTCCAAGGTTTAAATAACCAAAGCACAAACTCCCATATAGGTATTTTTGTAAAACTATATAAAAAATATTTACTGTACAATCACTATTATAAAACAAAAATAATTATAGTATTTTTTTTATCAATTTTCATTTAACCCTACCTATTAGCATATCCAGCAGTGAGCGAAAGGAAGTAAAAGTTCTTTGGATCAAGTAAATCAAAGGGCTGTGCTCTTGGAGGGTGAGGGATTAGGATAGCAGAAGCTCCAGGAAAAGGATGGAATTTAGATGAGATCTGTTAATTTACAAACTTGTTATCTTTCCAAAGCTAAATCTCTACAGAGGACAGAGAAGTGTGACAGCTGTTCACTTCTTTTAAAGTGTTGTTTGCAGTCTAACAATCTAATGCTGGCAGCACATTTGTTTTTTTTTTTTTTATTTTAAATCGATTCCAAATGATTGGAACATATTTGAAATTATTGTTTTTTCGGCTGGGCACAGTGGCTCACGCCTGTAATCCCAGCACTTTGGGAGGCCACAGAGGGCAGATCACCCGAAGTCAAAAGTTCGAGACCAGCCTAGCCAACATGGCGAAACCCCATCTCTACTAAAAATATAAAAATTAGCCAGGCATGGTGGCGGGTGCCTATAATCCCAGCTACTCAGGAGGCTTAGGCGGGAGAATCACTTGAACCTGGTGGAGGTTGCAGTGAGCCGAGATCACGCCACTGCACTCCAGCCTGGGCGACAGAGCAAGACTCTGTCTAAAAAAGAAAAGAAAATTTTTTTTTTAACTTTTACTAACATCAGATCTAAACCAACTCACAAAGCCAATGCTGTTCTTTCCTTGAAAACTTCACAACCTTTCTTAATTTTACATTCTACCATTTACAACTCTTTCTTTTCTTTTTTTTTTTTTTTTTGAGACAGGATCTCACTCTGTCACCCAGGCAGGAGTGCAATGGCACGATCTCGGCTCAAAACCACCTCCACCTCCGGGTTCAAGCAATTCTCCCGCCTCAGCCTCTCGAGTAGCTGGGACTACAGGCATGTGCCACCACACCTGGCTAATTTTTGTATTTTTAGTAGAGACGGGGTTTCACCATATTGGCCAGGTTGGTCTCGAAATCCTGACCTCATGATCCGCCTGCCTCAGACTCCCAAAGTGCTGGGATTACAGGCTGAGCCACGGCGCCTGGCCGCATTTACAATTCTTATTCAAAGGCCATTCTTCCTCTATCTCCATTGTTTATCTTTTATTCCTAGCAGAGTGAAAATGGAAAAATGCATTTTGGAAAACAAACATGGGTCAGTTTTATATATAAATTCAGGTTACTATTAGAATATGGTTTAAGTCATTTATTTTTTCAAGCTTCAACCAAAAACAAAAGCATGGATGATATCCTTGAGCCCAACTGGAGTGCAGGAAAGGTAAAATGTTTGAGTTATTTCATCTGCTAGCATTCACCTGTCTTAATTTTACACTTTTGCTTTTGTACCCTATCTCTGTATTCACATTTTTTGGGCTTAATGGATTTTCTTAATCAAATTAGGTAATTCTTTAAATAATAGTATGTAGTGACCGTCCAGTTACAGACAAAAAAACTGAGGCCCAAGGCGGTTAGAGGATGTGGAGGAGATCACAGATCTTGTTAAAAATATAGATAACTAATTTTTTTCTCTGATTTGTTGCTAAGTTTGTTGCTAAGAACTATGCAAGGCTGTGGATACAGACTTTGGAAATTTCAAGATTAAAAAAAAGAAAGTGGAAAAATAAAAAATAATGTGAACTGCTTATGAAATTTGGAAGAGCCCATGTTAGGTGTGGCTTTGCATTTTATCATAACCTTGGTGCATTTTCCTGCACTTTTGTAAGACTCTGGAACCCTGGAGCACTCTCCTGTTTCAGAGATTAAGACTGACTTCCAAAGGCCCAGAAGCTCCAGCTCTAGAACACAGAGGCTGAGTTTTCTGTTCTGTAAAACCTCCAGAGTGGCAGGCACTCAAATGTGAGTGAGCAGCACTCACATGACCTCATGGAAGAGGCCAATGGGGAGAGCCAGCAAGCTCCCTCGTTCTTGGCAGGCAGGAATGTTAAGTTACAAAAAGCAGAGGGGGAGACATGTCGTATGAATGAAAACCGTATAATCAGACCTCAAGGCATGCCCTGTTGAACAGAGGCAAGTGCAAGTTGGAGAAATGCCAACAAAATGTCATTATGAGTTGAGTCATCAAATGGTAGTTAAAGAAAACTACATTCAGTACTAATCAACCCATGCAAACTCTCTTCTCTGTAAAGGTTGGTATCTTTTAGGGGTAGATTTGCCAGAGGAAAGCTCTTCAAAGCCAATTTGGCTATCCATTCCATTCTGAGCTCAGAATATTAACAAAAACCTGTTGCTAAGGGACATAGATGCATAGTTGAGTCTAAAATACAAAATGATGCTAATCTAGCTGCTGGAAGAAACCCTCTCTCGGCAGCACTTCATAGTATATTGAAGTCAAGCAATCAATGCCTCCTCAACTGCAAGGCCTTCTGTACCCTGGCTCCTGTCTATTTCTCCTATCTCATCTCTCACGGGTCTGCTAGGTGACCCCTACATCCCAACCATACAGAACTTTAGAATTTTCTAGATACTCGTGTCATTTCACTTGCCCCACAGACCAAAGCTGTATCTGCTTTGACTGTCCACTCCCAATCCTTGATTCTCCCATTCACCTTTCAAGATCCAAGCAGTTAATAATCACTTTCCCTTTGAGGTATCATTACATCACAAACATTGGCAGAGACATCTGTCCCCCATTAGAATGTGAGTTTCTAGAAAGTAGGAATCATCTCTCTTTACACTCTCCATGCCTAGCAGTGAACCACACAGTGAAGCAGCTAATACATGTCCAAGGAATTAATAAATAGAGGAATGGCTACATGCACGATTGAACAGACCCACTCAATCAGCAGATGACCGACTGAATAAACAGAGGTCCTGATTTCCACCATGCCTGGTGTTCTTGTTTGTTTTATATCTTTAAGCCTCAGCAGTTAGTTTCTGTCTTTATAGGAAGACTATAAGGGCTCCCCAGAGAGTCAAAGTCTGACTTAGCTTCAAGATGCACTGAGATCCTAACAAGAGCCCAGGCATGAGTTTTACAAGATCTGTGTTCCACACTTGGCTTACCGCTACCTTGGCCTTTCCAGTTACATAATCTCTCTCGGTCATAATTGCTGCATCTATAAAATGAGGTGGTTGGGCTAGCTGATTTCCAAAGTCCCTGCTATGTGTAATATTCCATGATTCTGAAGTCTTGTCTTTAGATTTTGCCTGATATCTCTTGCCCTGACTCTTTGTACCACATATCATTGGGCAACTGTCACATCATTGGACAATTAAGCTTGTACTTGTCACTTAACCATTAGAGAGCATCAATGTGCCTTTTCTGGTTCTCTTGGTTCAAGAGCATTGCCTCAGTTTGTTCACCAGAGGGTATTGTAGCCCTTTTTACTGTTCCAGTGGTCTTGTTATAAAAGTAATCAGCAACAGAACAAATCATAGTGTATATGGTCTGAGTCTCTTCCCCTCACAAAGAATATAAGCAAATCCAAGGAGATGCATCTGTAATAACCAAGATCCTTTTTTTTTTTTTTTTTAATTTTAGGTTCCAGGATACATGTGCAGAACGTGCAGGTTTGTTACATAGGTAAACGTGTGCAATGGTGGTTTGCTGCACCCATCAACCCATCACCTAGGTATTAAGCCCCACATGCATTAGCTATTTGTCCTGATGCTCTCCCTCCCCCACCCCTCCCGATAGGCCCCGATGTGTGTTTTTCCTCTCCCTGTGTCCATGCGTTCTCATTGTTCAGCTCCCACTTATAAGTGAGAACATGTGGTGTTTGGTTTTCTGTTTCTGTGTTAGTTTGCTGAGGATGATGGTTTCCGGCTTCATTCATGTCCCTGCAAAGGACATGATCTCATTCCTTTTTATGGCTGCATAGTTATTCCATGGTGTATATGTGCCACATTTTCTTTATCCAGTCTATCATTGATGGGCATTTGGGTTGGTTCCAAGTCTTTGCTATTGTGAATAGTGCTGCAATAAACACACTTGTGCATGTATCTTCATAATAGAGTGATTTATATTCCTTTGGGTATATACCCAGTAATGGGAATGCTGGGTTAAATGATATATCTGGAGTAAAAATCAAGTTCTTCATGATCAATAGTATGTAACCTTATGCAGAGTTTGTATTAAAAGAATGATGTAAAATGCCACATGTCACAACACTACAAAGCTTCATTTAAATATCAGTCTAACCAGCCATATTCGTTCCTTTCATTTGCTTAATGCATTTCCTTTCAGTCTGCGTATGACATCAGCCATTTGACTGTTCCTTCTGTGACCCCTACCCAGATAAGCTGGATCTACAGCACCTCCAAGTGGGTAGTGAGCCATGGGGTTAATGCCTCATATGCACAGGGGTGAACACCTGACTCAGATCCAGCCAATCCGGCAGCCACTCCTCATCACATTATCCCATTTTTCTCTTTTTTTCTGAAAGACAGAGAATGTCATCTCAGACCAGAAAGTTTAGCCAAAATATGGTGGGTACTGGAACAACTACACATCATATAGATGCAAGAAAGTCACAGAAGGTGAGTCTTTTAAACTATGTGCATGTTGATTGATGAGTGAGCAAAAAGCCTGGTCCACAAGAAAAGCAGAAAGCAGAGAAGACCCTCAGAGAAAAGCCGAATGAGGGACCCTGCAAAGGGAGGGGATAGACCAGATAAAGAAAGAGGGAGGGAGTCAGAGAATGCCTTACTTAGCTCCTACCAGGCCTAGCTATACCTCCTGCAACTGGACTCCATGAAATTCTCCTTAACGCAGACTCTTACTTAAGGTAAAACAAAATACACATAAATACACAAACACATGCACTTATTTGTAATCATAGTCCAGATATATTTATATCCACTCCTCCTGGGTCACAGGCATCTTTCCATTAATGGTACTGCCATCTCCTCACAACCTATTACATCAAGTGAGTATTTGATAACTTAAGCTATCCCCTTACTATTATAATTATTATATATAATTATAAGACATAATTATATGCATAATATACAATATAGTATAATTGTATATTATACAATAAGGGTGTTTCTATTTTTCACTGTTTGGACACAGCAGTGGTATAGAAAAGAAGCATGAACTTTAGTGTTTAAATAAACTAGATTCAAATCCCAGCTCTGCACCCATTAACGGTATAATCTGAGACAAGTTATGCACCAAAGTTGCAACTTCCTCCTTTGTAAAAAGAAGATAAATATTGCCTACTGCCCAGGTTTTGAGAAGGATTAGACCTAATTAGCAAAGTGCTTATCACAAAGACTCGCACACAGTAAGCACTCAATAATCACTTTTATAGACTAGATTCTCATAAATAAAAATGCTGGATCAAAGGGTACGAAAATTGTCCAGGTTCTTGATACGGGCCAAATGCTTTCCCAAAGACTGAGTGAGTCGCTCTACATCCCCCTGATACATTGTTAGAATAGAGTAGCAGTATAACCCTTCCTCTAGCACTTGCGTTTCTTCTATCCAGCTTTGCCTTGAATGTAGAAGTCCAGAGCTCAGGGTTGCTTGTTCACATTAGACTGCGTGCTCCCTCTAACCTGACAGAGAAAACCAGTAGCTGGTTTCTGTCTTAAACGAAGTGGCTTGACAGTCCAGCTGATTCACTGCTTCCTGTTTTCCTCTGACTCCATTGGTCCCACTTAGAGAGCTGTGTACAGGTACTCAGCATGGAAGATAAGTCCGGGCTTGTTTGAAACAAGCCCCAAACTAGTTTCTGTTGCTCTTTTTCTGTGTGTCCTTCTACACCCTACCTACTCAGGCTTCTTATGAGTGCATCTTCACATAATAGCTAGATGAACAAAGATTGCTGCTGAAGCTGAAAGAATCAGAGATGTATAATCATTTCTTTCAGGCAGAACTAATATGGAATAAAAGCTCACATGATTGCCTGGATTCTGCAGCATAGTTTCTTGAATCTCTTCAATCTCTGATTCCTGGTTTCCAATTGGCTTCTCTATTTTATTCTTTCTTTTTTTTTCTCTTTTTGACAGAGTCTTGCTCTTTCACCCAGGCTGGAGTGCAGTGGCACGATCTTGGCTCACTGCAACCTCCACCTCCCAGGTTCAAGCGATTCTCATGCCTCAGCCTCCCGAGTAGCTGAGATTACAGGCATGTGCCACCACGCCTGGCTAATTTACTTTTTTAATATGTTTGTAGTAGAGACGGGGTTCCACCATGGTGGACAGGCTGGTCTCGAACTCCTGACCTCAAGTGACTCACCCACCTCAGCCTCCCAAAGTGCTGGGATTACAGGCATGAGCCACTGTGCCCGGCCTATTTTATTATTTCTTTCTTCCCCTTCCACATTGACTCATCTAATTCTTGACTTTCTGCTGAGCCTCTGCTGCTCACCTGTTCTTTTGTTATTCGGATCACCTGTCCCACGACTATCCCTCTACCTAGCTCCAAGGGATGCCCAGGCCCCACACCCCAGCTTCACCTTCCTGTGACTTTCTCTGGGTTGCCCACCTGGCCCCCACACTTGAAGCCTGCTGCCATCAACACCCCAGCAGGATAATCTGATGGATGATGGACATCAGCTCTCAGCTGGAAAAGTTCCTTTCCACTGACCTGACCCCCAACCACCTCACACAACATGCCTAACAATTTCTTTCCTTAGTGCCCTTTCTTACTGAAACAGCTTCTGATATTTTACTCATAATTTTATACTAAAGGTACCCAGATCACATAAAGAAAATAAAGCTGCATATTAGCTCTAGGAAATATACACATAGTTGAAAAGACCTTTGTTAATAATCAATATTGCAAGAGCTTGGTAACACATGAATACTTTTTTTTTTAAGACTTACAGGCCTTATCTAAAAATCAGCTTTGCCATGGCTTGGTTCTTACTCTCTCTCTCTCACTCTCCTTTTAGAGGCAAGGTCTTACCCTGTTGCCCAGGCTGGAGTGCAGTGGAATGATCACTGCAAACTTGAACTCCTGGGCCCAAGTGATCCTCCCACCTTAGCCTCCCAAGCATCTAGGGCTATAGGCATGCACCACCATGCCCGGCTAATTTTTTTTTTTTTTTTTCACTTTTTGTAGAGACAGAGTCTCACTATGTTGCCCAGGCTGGTCTCAAAACTCCTAGCCTCAAGTGATCCTTCTGTCTCAGCCTCCAGCCTGACTGGGGTTTACAGGCATGAGCCACCAGCCCAGCCCACTCTCTCCCTCTGAAACTTTGTCCCAGTAGGACTAGGACCATTTGTTACAATGGGAAGGATGATCCTTTCTCCCAACCACCAAGTCCTGTCCCTGTATCTGTACATCAAAGCTGCCTGTGACAACCACAGGGAGTGTTGTGTAGGTCTCATTACCACTAAACACAAATTCAGTTTTGGGAATCAATACAACAACGTGTGTGTGTGTGTGTGTGTGTGTGTGTTCTCTAATTTAACACACCCCAGTTTAGAACCATCCAGTCTGTCATTAACAATTAAAAAAAAAAAAAACAAAAACAAAAACAGAAGAAAGGGCAGGTAGTCTGTCCGTTCAAGGACCAGATGGGAAGTCTCTTGTTTTACTTCCTTATTCTCCTGAGAACCACACTGCAAGTTCTGCTATACCAACTTAAGGTCCTTCCTCTACCAACAGACTCCTGATCTTCCCAGGCTGAGTTATGCACCCACCTTCTTTGGTATCCTACTCGTATCTTATACCAGAACTTACGTGCATTTCACACAGAGTATCATTAGTTTGCTGACCATGTTTGCCTGCCATGTTATGGGTTGAACTATGTCCTCCTAAAATTAATATACTGAAGTCCTAACCCTCAGCTAACCCTCAGCATCTCTGAATGGGATCTTACTTGATGACAGATGATGTCATACTGGAGTAGGGCGGGCCCTAACTTTAATATGACTGGCTTCCTTATAAAAAGGGGAAATTTGGATACAGACACAGACAGGCAGAATGCCATGTGAACATGAAGGCAAAGTCTGGGCTATGAGTATACAGGGGAAGAAATGCAGAGATTGCCAGCAAACACCAGAAGCCAGGGAAGAAGCACAAAACAGATTTTTCCTTATGGCCTTCAGAAGGAGCCAGCCCTGCCGCCAACTTGATCTTGGACCTCTGGCCTCCAGAACTGCGAGACAATTAATTTCCGTGGTTTAAGCCACCCAATTTGTGGTACTTTGTTACAGTAGCTCTAGCAAACATAGACATCCCACTAGAATATGAGCTTCTTGAGGGTAGTAAGAGGATTCTGTTCATTTTTGTATCAGTCTAGCACAGAGTGAGGTACAGATAATTTATTTGGTTGTTCTATAATGCTTGTTAAATGCAATCCAGAGACAGCTAGTCCTCTACCTGCCATGTCTTGCTCAACACTGACTAGCTATCCTGTCCTTAGATAGGGTTACATCAAAAAGAAAGAATGAAACTCGGGATGGAAAACAATTATTCCAGACTGAATATATCAAAATTTCTCAATCCCATTCTTAAACCAATTTCAGAATTAAATCTGCATTGTTTTCCTCTACTTTCCTTACAAAAATAGAGGCTCATTCAGGAACAAAGTCCCAAGCAAGAAGACTTTGCAGGCCACTTGAATGAGATGATATGGCTGACAGGTCTTCTACCTGGCTGGGTCATATGTTATCTTTAACCACACAGCAAAGTGAGGCCAAAACTGCCCTGTGGCTTACATGAATCTGAGGAGGGGTGACTCAATTCACCTCCTTCACACTGTACTGACTCTGTTTAAATGGAGTTATTGAGGGAAAGAAGGTGATTAAATGCTAGGTTCACAGAGAAACAGCCCACTGTGAGCCCCAGAGCTATACGTCACTCTGTTTTTGAAACCAAAATAATAAAAGAAAAAATGTATTTAATCTATTAATTGTATTAAATATTTTATCTTTTATCCTGTATTTTTATCTTCCTTTTTATTTTTATATGTTTATCTTTTTATCTCTTAGAACTGTATTTTTCTGAAATTAAAAATAGAAAATAAATTATGAACTCCCTTGCTAATATCCAGTATCATGCTTGAGAAAGTCAATTTGGTAATACGAAGAACTTTCCAGAACACTATTTTACTTGAGGTAAATAAAATGAGAATTCAAAAGTACATTGAACAGGTTTCCTTCTCTTACACTGATTTCAGATGATTCGAGAAAAACAAAAAGAAATGGAAAAGGCAGGTTGGCATGTTAGCAGGTTATAAAAAATGAAAATTACAGCCGTGGCCAAGCTCTGGAAAATATTCCCTGACCCAGCTAGACGTTGATTATTGAACCAACAGCTTGCTTATATAATTACAGTGTGTCTATAAACCTGGTTGATATGATATACTTGTTTAACTATTAACCTCTAGATTTCCTGGAGTTTCCACAATCCAAAAAACACCTAAAAGTATGAGATATGATATATTCCATTTATTCACCTATTGCAATCACAAGCAATAGCTACAGTATTAATCTTGGTAAGAAAAAGGAAGTTCTTAGAAAACACAAGTAAGGTCTCTTAAGCTTCAGATACTTTGCTGGGGCATTTTCTTTTCTTTTTTTTTTTTTAAATCCTTCTAAAGAATTGCTCTATTTTATTGTTCTATTGTGCCACTGGATACTAGAAGTCAAGAGTCCTTCCCGTACCTATGTTGGATCTAATTTCCTCATTGATTCTAAAAATCACATTGATACCTCCACACCTGTCAACACTTTCCTGATCTCTCTCTTATTCATAGGACTTTCCCACTCAATAGTACCTCTTTTAAGCTAATCTAGGATTCCAGTTTAGATTCTACACATTTTTATGCTTTTCTTACCTCCTCCTAGACAATAACCTCCTTAAGGGCTGGAAGGAAAGGAAGAGTGAAGCAAATGTATGTTTATAGAGAGAGTACTATAGCAAAGTACCTCAAATATAAAGTGCACTCATAAATATTTGTTGAATAAATGAATGCCAAGCACTGGCCAAAGCATGTTACATATATGACCTTGCTTAATCTTCATAAAGACCTCGTGAATGAGTGTCAGTCTTTTTATTTAGAAGGTGAAGAAACCGAAGCTAGAGGTTAAGTAGATTTTCCAAGGCCACATGGCTAATCACTGGAAGAGTAAAGTCAAATGCATTTCTGCCTATTTCTACCCAGCATGATGTCTTAAACATAACAATAGATCAAAAATGTATTATTTGAGCCGGGAACAGTGGCACTGGCTGTAATCCCAGCTACACAGGAGGATGTTTGAGCCCAAGAGTTGAGGCCAGACTGGGCCACATAGAAGACCCTGAATGAAAAAAGCAAACAAACAAACAAAAACCTTTGTTGAATTGATCTAAACAAACTCCTTATCCAAGTCCTCTTTTTAGGTATATGCAGAGTTTGTGATTTTTTTTTTTCAAATGGCAAAGGTGTTTCGGGTACAGGAAGGGGTAAATAAACTGTGAAGACTGCCTCGCAAGGTTTACAAATATCACAAAAAGGTTATCTCTACATTTACTTCAAACTAATTTCCATACTCTGAACTATTCTGTTCCCACTGATTCTTCAGATTCTAGCCCTACGCTTACAGCTATCTCCTCTCATCCCATTTGAAATTGGAGGAGGGAGAATAAAGGAAGGGAATAAATAACTTGTCACTCAACAACCAGACCATCTATTTCCGCAGCTTCGACATGGGATCATGAAAAACAACTGAGGCATAGGTATAGCTGTTCTGCTTTGGCTGGAGAGAAAGCCGAGAAAGAATTCATTGGTTTAGGCCGGGTGCGGTGGCTCATGCTTGTAAGCCCAGAACTTTGGGAGGCCGAGGCGGGCGAATCATGAGGTCAGGAGTTCAACACCAGCCTGGCCAACACAGTGAAGCCCCATCTCTACTAAAAATACAAAAAGTAGCTGGGTGTGGTGGTGGGCGCCTGTAATCCCAGCTACTTGGGAGGCTGAGGCAGGAGAATCACTTGAACCCGGGAGGCGGAGGTTGCAGTGAGCTGAGATAGCACCACTGTACTCCAGCCTGGGTGACAGAGCTATACGCCATCTCAGAAAAAAACAAAAAAAAAAAGAATTCATTGCTTTAAAAGGAAATTCATTTCCATCCCCATCTACCTCCTCTGCCACAAAAACAGGCAATTCCAGTTTCCTCCACTCTGTCCAGTACAAGAGGAAAACACTGGAGATGTGGGTTCATTCATCATTTCAAGGAAATTGTTACATTTACATAGAAACAACCAGGAAGAAAAAAAGTCACTAAGCCAAAAAGGGGCTGCAAAATCCCCACACTTAGGTATGCTGCCACACTGGCCACGTTCTTGTTAGTTTTAATACAATTTAACTTAGATGTGTAAGGAAACACACAAGGTTTGAGTCGGCTTAGTTTCTGTGTGATACAACCTACAGAACAGCAAATGGAAGCAATATTTGTTACCTACATTTTAACATAACATTCCTGTATATCCAGACCAGTAACTATCAGTGGGCCAATTGTAATCAGCCTCCTTCAACCAATGGGCAGTTTCTATTTGGAACTCAACCTTAAGAGTCAAAATGAGTCAGACTCTGTACTCTGTGATCAAAAGACATATAAAGGGACATGTCAAAAAGAACCTATAAATAGCTAGACACAGGTCAGCCCTTCTTAATTACCATACTTGGCCCTGGTATGCCCAAATCTATCCAAATTCCTACAGAATACACTCGTTTTTCATTCTTCGACCATGTCTTTGGTGTAATGGATTTCATACCTTTATTTTGGAGTGACGTCTCAAGTGGAGTCGCCAGGAGCTCAGATTCTGAGGTCAGACAGACCTTGGCTAAAACCTCTGCTCTGCCACTATCGGTTTGGTAACTGAGGCAAGTTCTTAACCTCTCCGGCCTCAGTTTGCTGATCTACAAAATGGGATATCACCTCACTGATCCATAGTGAGAGTAAATGATAGAATTCACATTCATCACTAAGCACAGTATCTGGAGCACAGAAAGAATCACAGCAGTGATACCATCTGGGATGGTAGAAATTAGCACTTCTTTGTACGTGACTTAAATTTACATCATTCTGGATGTGGTGAACAAATCTGGGCTCATTCTACCAAAGCTCCTCTGTCTACATGTAGCTTTCACCTCCCTTCATTTTCAGACCCTCTATCAAAACCTTCTCTCCTAAATATACCCAATATCCACGATGTAAGCGACTCTGTGAGCACAAAGAATATTCGTCCTCAAAAGAAAATTGCCCACCCGGGGTTAGGGGGTTAATGTAAGAAAACAGCTCTAAACTTTGCAGGAGATGATAACTGGAAACCTCTCTGGTCCCATGCAGGGAGGCTTTCACGTTGACACAAAAGAAATGATGGAACCTCTGAGCTGGGTCATGATGATAACCAACAAGCCAGGCAATGGTGGTAGCAGGAGAGTTATTTTTGATTTCTTACGTCGGTGCAAAAGTAATTGTGGTTTTTGCCATGAAAAGTGATGATAAAAAACAATATTACTTTTGCACCAACCTAATACTTTCTAAAGAAATGTGGGATCAATAAGGGGAGGATGAAGAGTCTCAGGGAAGAATTAATAAGCAGCTTCTCATCGAAGGGAAGAAAAAAAGGAAAGAAATATAAAGCAAACAGGAAGAACACAACTAAGGGGAAAAGACCCCAGGACGGGCAAAAGGAGACGGGTAACTTAGTTCAGAGGAAATGAGCAATGACCTACAATTCTTATAACTAGGAGAGACACCACTCAGACGTTTCCTGTGGGCTGGGCCCAAGAGGTCTCTGGCTGAGCAGCAGAGCAGTAGTTATCCAGGTTAACAACTTCCAATTAAAGCCAGAGAGGAATGTTTCTGGGAGCTCTGTCATGAAGAGACCCCAGTATTCGATGGAATAAAGTCATAAAGGAAAGGGTCAACAAACATTTTCTGCAAGGGACCAGATAGCAAATATTTTTGGCTTTGTGGGACATAGGGGCTCTGGCGCAACTACTCAACTCGACAGCTGTCGAGCAAAGAGCAGCCATGGAAAACATATAAATGAATGACCATAGCTGTGTTCCAATAAAACTTTGTTTGTCGATGCTGAATTTGAATTTCGTATCATTTTCATGTGTCATGAAACATTGATTTTGATTTTTTTTCAATCATTTAAAAATGGGAAAACCATCTTCGCTCACGGGCTATACTTAAAAACAGCTGAGGCTTGGCCGGGCACGATGGCTCACGCCTGTAATCCCAGCACTTTGGGAGGCCGAGGAGGACGGATCACAAGGTCAAGAGATCGAGATCATCCTGGCCAACATGGTGAAACCCCGTCTCTACTAAAAATACAAAAAATTAGCTGGGCGTGGTGGTGCACACCTGTAATCCCAGCTACTCGGGAGGCTGAGGCAGGAGGATCGCTTGAACCCAGGAGGTGGCGATTGCAGTGAGCCAAGATCGCGCCATTGCACTCCCAGTTGGGCAACAAGAGCGCAACTCCATCTCAAACAAACAAACAAACAAACAAACAAAAACAACAGCTGAAGCTAGATTTGGCCCAGGAGCTGCAGTTTGCTGCACAGGCCCACCAGTCAGACATCCATCCTGCCTCTGCCACTGACTCGCTATCCAGCCATGGGCAAATTGGTTAACAACAATTGATTTCCTCACTCGTAAATTAAGGATAATAACACCAACTTTGTCCATAGTGTTTATGGGACATCCTAAAGCATACTATATGAAAAGTAACTGGCTTAGGGTAAGTGATGATGACAACAGCCTTGGGAGTGGTACAGGGAGGGGTTGTGATCAGCAGCTCCACCTGGGGCTAATGGTCTGTCCAAAGAAGACTAATCTCAAGAATCTGACTTAAGAAGGGATGTACAGACCAGAAAGTAAAACAGATGACAGGGATGCTGCAAATGCTTATTTAATGCTTCAACTCAGACTGGAGTTGACTAAATTACGATGATTTGGCCAGGCGTGGTGGCTCATACCTGTAATCCCAGTGCTTCGGGAGGCCGAGGTGGGTGGATCACCTGAGGTCAGGAGTTTGAGACCAGCCTGGCCAACATGATGAATCCCTGTCTCTACTAAAAATACAAAAATTAGCCTGGTATGGTGGCAGGCACCTGTAATCCCAGCTACTCGGGAGGCTGAGGCAGGAGAATTGCTTGAAACTGGGAATCAGAGGTTTCAGTGAGCTGAGGTTGCACCACTGCACTCCAGTCTGGGTGACAGAGCAAGACCCCATCTCAAAAAAAAAAAAAAAAAAAAAAAAATTACGATGATTTCTGATAGACTTCATTGTATGGGGATTATAACCTGAATATCCTCCTCAACTCAGAAAGAGGGAGATTATGGACTACATACTGAACCGCATGGGCCAACTCAGGAAGACCATCAAAGGAGACAGAGTGGGGTACAAGCCAGGGAGGAAGGGGCTGGGCAGAGGCAGTGGAGGTGGTCAAGGAGGAAGTGAAGAATCATTTCACTGGGAGGTGATCCTTGCGAAGTTCCCTGTTTTGTTAGAGGGCAGCCAGCTGTTAAAAACACTGTCTCTGGGCCGGGCGTGGTGGCTCACACCTGTAATCCCAGCACTTTGGGAGGCCGAGGCGGGTGGATCACGAGGTCAGGAGATCGAGACCATCCTGGCTAACACGGTGAAATCCCATCTCTACTAAAAATACAAAAAAAATTAGCCGGGCATGGTGGCGGCAGGCACCTGTAATCCCAGCTACTCCGGAGGCTGAGGCAGGAGAATGGCGTGAACCCAGGAGGCGGAGGTTGCAGTAAGCTGAGATCGCACCACTGCACTCCAGCCTGGGTGACAGAGCGAGACTCTGTCTCAAAAAAAAAAAACAAAAAACAACAACAAAAAAAGGATTGTCTCTGACAATCCTTCAGAAGCCTCATAGACTTAAAAACCAGCTCCTAAAACCAGCACAGGATGCAGAAATCACTTCAATTCTATTGGATGGGATTCTTCGGACAATTCATCTTCTCATATTTTTTAAAAAGAAAGTTAGCAGAGAATTGTGCAACCTTTAAATCTGTTCAGAAGGCTTAGGTAGGAGAAATGACACTTCGCCAGCCATTATAAGTTGCTTTTCATGCTGTTCTTGCAACTTCCAAATAATTAAGCAAATACATAATGGGAATATCAGTGCAAACAAAGAAGAAGCACAAGAAGAAAATTGCATTGTAATTTAATTACCCGAAATCTTTCATAAAACTTAGGAGCAAATGAGAGCTTATCCCTACTGATGAAAAATACTTTCATTGTCAGACATTTTTTGAGCACCTATTATTTATAAGGACAATGCTATAAGAGTCAGAGATGTAAAGATATATAAGAAAAGGTTTAGTTACCCAGCAAGGGCTTTCAAACAAGACAGTCCATAAAAGGCAAACAACCATTACAGTGGTTAAAACTTGCAGCTGTACTATGTAGGCACTGGGAATCAAAATGAGAGCATTTGCAAAATATCCTTTGGCAGAGAACTGGTAAGAAACCCCACCACCATGATTCACATGTCACCATTTCTTGGACACAGAAAAATAACCCCTGCTCATTATACCATCAGCTCCCCCTTGCCAGACTGCTCCCAACAAAAACAAGCAAAGCTAAAAATGTGAAATATACTAAAGATTCTGAAGAAAAAAAAATTTTATAAATGTGGATTATTAGTGTTCACGTGTGGTTTAGTGAAAAGAACTTACGGACAGAGAATCTGTAGATCTGACTTCTCCCTGTGACTCCACTCTACTGTCTTCAGGAAAGTCACTCACTTCCAAGGCCTCAGTTAGCTTATGTGTAAAATGAAGTGATTGGACTATAAAACTTTCATAGCTCTAAATTCTATCACTTAATATCAGGATGCATAAATAGGCGCATTTATTAAGGCTATGTTAAGGATATGTTAAATCTGATTGACTTATATGACTTGTGAGGTCATTAAAATTGATTCTTAACAAGAATCTTAAAGATTCTAGACTTAATTATTTTAACAAATGTAGGAAATTTAAGTCAACCACCTTTTGTGATTAGGCATTGCACAGGAAGCTAAAAAAAATTAGATTAAATTTCTCTGCAACAATGCATATAACACAACCAGGTGCTATGTAAGAATTATTTATAAACCTAAAGAAAAACTAATTTTGCCTGAAAAGATAACTGAAAATGCAGGAATGCCCAAAAGTAAGCTATTTCTCAGACTGGAATTTAATCAGATCACTACATTTTTCTTATTATTTTCATATAGGTCTGGATAGCTATAGACTATATAAATAAAATGAGTTTATAAAATATGTGATAGCAGCTTAAGACATTAGGTTAAAATTAAAATTAGAACTCATCAAGGAATTAAATTGTTTAGATACACAGAACCCAACTATCAATCCAGGATTACCTAACCTCTACAATATTGCTATTTTCTGGCTAACTTTGAAAATAATTTGATCCCCAAATTAATTAATTTTTTTTTTTTTTTGAGATGAAGTCTGGCTCTGTCACCCAGGCTACAGTGCAGTGGCACAATCTCTGCTCATTGCAACCTCCACCTCCCAGGTTCAAGCGATTCTCCCAAGAAGCTGGGATTACAGGTGTGCACCACCACGCCTGACTAATTTTTGTATTTTTAGTGGAGGCAGGGTTTCACTATGTTGGCCAGGCTGGTCTTGAACTCCTGACCTCAGGTGATCCACTTGCCTCGGCCTCCCAAAGTGGGGTTACAGGCATGAGCCACCATGCCTGGCCACCCAAATTAAAATTTTAAGGATATATTTCATGAGAAAAAAAGAAATTTGGGCACATGAAACACAAATGTCAAAAAAACTGAAAAATGCAACTGCCTTATCACTAATAATATTAGAGTAGAATATTAATAGCTTTCATCAAACTGCCAAAGATTTTTTCAAATTGTTATACCCAGGATGAAGAAAGGTACCATCTTCCTGAAGAGCAATTTACTTGGCAATATGTACCATTATGCTTGAAAGGACAGAATGGGCACGTCTAAATATTATTGGTAGAAATGAGAATTAGTGTTACCTCTATGAAGGGCAATTTAGCAATATATCTATACATGCCCTTTGACCCAGGACTTCCACCTCTAGGAATCATCCTAAAGAAATAATTGGGCAAATGTATAAAGATGTATGTTCCAGGTATTCCTTACAGTACTGTGTATAGCTGTGCAAAAAAATGGAAACTGTTTGAAAACTCAATATGACATTAAGTAAATGGCTACATTCTTACAAATTAAAATTCACGGTTGTTAAAAAATAGGTAACCTTATGTGTACTACTACAGAAAGATATCCAAGATATATGGTAGAGTATAAAAAAGCAAGTTACAAAATACAATATATAGTGTGTAAAATAACATGTACATACAAATATGGAGATAGTACCCAAAAAACTAACAGTAATTAGCTCTGGGTGGTATGACTTTGAGTGAGTTTTATATTCTTATTGTGAATTTATCTTTGGTTTGAATTTTTTGATTAGCATATGTCATTTTTTTTTTGCAATAATAAAAAGCTATTTTCAGAAGGAAGAAAAGAGAATGGAGAGTGAAGAAGAACTGGACATTCAAAGCCTGTGGTTTTGCTCCCTGGAATTTAATCTAAGGGCATAGTATGCATGATAATGTAGGAACTGGTATGATCATCACGGAAATATTCACAATAGTGAAAGTTAATAAACATTAAGATTCTATTTAAATAAATACAATGGAAGAGGATACTATGAATGTAGAAATATATAAACTTGGGAATATTTTGCCATATATTGGTAAGTGAAACAAGAGGGAACGAAATAGACTTAGTTTTACACACATTTTGGATGCTTCATACACATAGATAGAAAAAAAAAGTCCAAGAGAATAAATGCCAAAGTGTAGACTGCAGTAACTAGTCATTCTTATTTTTCCTTTTCTATGAAATGTTTCTATAATGAACAAGGGTTATTTATGAAATTTCTTTTAAGTTTTAAAAATATTCCTTGTAGATCTTTCAGATTTTAAAATACTGGGGAGTCATTAAAGTAACACTAATCTGAAAAACAAAGACAAGAGAATCTCAACTCTTTTCTCCAACATTAAATTTACCAACCAGAGACCCCTGAAGCCCCCTACAGTTAACAGGCCGCATGCTCTAAAGAACTGAATGCAATGCTAATACAAAGCAAGCTCAGGAAACCCAAGCTACCTATTCTGATTTTGTGTCCTGAGATGTACGGGGTTATAAAACATACTGGCTCAGATTACAGGCTAAGCATGACAAGTCCGTCTGGTACAACCTAACAAAGGAATTTATAGAGAACAAGAAATTTACACATTTCATTTCCCAAGGGTGGAATGAATTACAGAAGCAAAGAACCCCAGTAGAGTTAAGACCTTTCCTACCACTCTGCTATATGCTTCTGAATTGTGCCTCATAGGCATTTCTTACATGATTTACTTATTGCTCTCTAAAACTAAAATAAACTAATATTTTTTAAAGGTGAATAGGAGGAGAAGTGAGAAAAGTGTATTTTAACAGGGTCAAACTTTTTGTGTATTTTCAGGTGAACTGGGGGATGCCAGATCTCCCTACCTCCCTCTTTCTCTCCCTCCCTCCGGAGATCATTATGGCTGATAACAATAGTTTTTCTCTCCCGGGTAGTGTAGATGACACATTTTTCCTGTAGCTTGTCTTCCTGTAGTGTGCAGGAATTCCTGCACTTTCTGGGTGCCCTTCCTGTTAACTTACATTTCAGATTTCCTCAAAAGGCATTCTACTGCTTTAATATTTGAAAAATGTCAACTCAACCCCAGACAGCTAATATAAACAAGCTGAAAAGCATACCACCTAAAGTTACAACTGTGGAAAACAAAATTTCTTTTTAAGAAATTCTTTCTCGGAATCTCACTGTTGGTAAGGCTGTAGAGCAGTAACCCAGTCCTTCCAGCTTCCAGAGAGTCTGTAATTCCTTTGCCTCTGCTGTGCCTTAAATTAGAGGTCTGTTAAACCGAATTATAGTGATCTAGAAAGTTCGTAAAGGTCCTTGAATTGAACATATTGTTAAATTCTTCAATACTATGAGATTGTATCCACTTTTCACTTTTCCTCCCATTTCTTGGGTTAGAATATTAAAAAAGAAGTTTGGTACTGCAAAAAGTATTTTGGCCATTTGAGAATAGCGTAGCTGAATAAGGCCAATTCCACATTTAAAGTCCAGGCCAAGGCGGCTGGCTCTTTTGCCATTTCTAAAATGATCACCCACTTCTTTCTACCAATAATTTTCCTTTCGGACAAGAACCCCATGTTCATTCCAGATGTACTTTCCAAGCAGAATCCAATTAAGAAAACTCATCTGGGTAAATGGGAATTGATTTGAAGGACCACCAGTACCTGATCCATTGTAAACACATCCATAGGGAAGAGTGCAGTGCTAATATCTCCTTTGGCTTCTCAACTCAAAAACTGGCTCTACTAAGAGGGAGCCACGTTCATAGTGAGCCCAAAAATATGCAAAAAGGAGCCTGATTTAGTTTAGACCCTAAAGTCCAAAGATAAGATCACAGTAAACACCACCCTCTTCATAAACCTTCCTGACTATCCCCCAAATAGATAAATCACTTCCATTTTTAAACTCCAATAGCACCATTTCTCTTCAATACCTGTCCTATTATCTTGTATTATAATGATTTCCTTACATTCTTGTTTTCACCAACCCGAAGGAAAAACTTCATTTTAAATATTTTTGTGTGTCCCTAAATCATGTGCACACATACACACACAATACATACATATACATGCATATATATACACACATACATATGTATATACATGCATATCACAATATATTACACATATATTAAACTGAATTGAATGAATGAGCGAATGTTTACCAAATACAAAGTAACTAAATGCCATCTCTTTAATACATCAAAGCATGGACTGCCTCTTCTGAACTATTATTTCTCTACTCAATAAGGAGATTTTTAGGTTTTCCCCACTTGAGGAACATCTCCACCTGATATGTCAATTCCTAGGTTCTTCAGCACTCTTAACTTTTCAGATTTCCATTCTCCCCTAATACTCAAAGAAAAGCAGAGTGCTACTTTGAATGCTTGAGATTACTACTTCCTTCTTGGGCTGCTGAGATATATGACTCCCATCAGGTAGAATTAAAAAGCGGTGCAACAACTCCCCACACTCCCTCCCAAAAAAGTAGCAAAAAGCTTGTTAGACCCTTTAATTTCACCATGTCTTACTCAAAGAGTGCCCCGGGTAGCCTAATTCAATAGTATCTAACACCTCTCTTCATCATCCCATACTTCTCATATGGCATATGCTTTCTCTATGGTAAAGAAACAATTGTTCTGAAACAAGTGACTTGGGGTCCCAGGGGCACCTGACAGCACCTAGTCTGCTCTTTGATGTCATATCAGGAATTTTTTAAATCCCCTTCCCAGGGTGACATTAAGCCTGCAAAATACAACTGTGTTTAAAAACAAAAATTAAGAAAAGAAAATAAAAGAACATAAAGAAAACAACCATAACGTGAACTTCCAACCTATTACAGCTGACTAAATACACGCAGTTACACACTTAAAATATTTCATTATGCTTGTCAATGAAACAGTGCAGTCCCTTCACACTACTGTAATGCTTAAAAGTACAGTTTTACCCCCAATATTTTCCCCCAAGATGCAAAGCATCCCCCAAATGGGCAGACATAAAACATTAGGTCTTCACTGCTGCTTCTAAATTTTGCGAGCCAATAAGCAATTGGTGTAAAGTGCAAAATCTCAGAAGAGCAAGACTCGTCTGCTTTTTTGTGATATGCTGTTATTCACCCTTCACCTTTACTTCCTTTAAAAATCAAAAGTTACCTAATGTTCAAGGCGATATCAATGGAAATTTAGCTAAATACTGGCACCGCAACGGTCTATTTCCCCCAAAGAATATAAGATTACATTAATTTCCTAGTAGTTTAACTCAAGTTTTACCTTTCATCTTCACCTATAGAGTTTTTAAAAGTTTCTATTCCTGTTGCATACAAAATTACTTACAATATCTGTGCATAGTAAAGAATTTTACAATTATATAAAGCCTTGCACATTTAGACGCTACCAACCTGCTCTGTCTCTCCTGACTGTGCAAAAGGCAAAAAGAGCTCAGTAATCCTAGCAGAAGAATGCAAATAACGTCAATGCACAGCTGAACTGCAAGCCCTGCCTTACAGGAACTCTCTGTGTCTGCAAAAAAAGACACATACTAAACAGGAAATGCAACTGAGCTGTGGAAAACCTCAAACTTAAAAATGCACTCGCCAGGCGAAAATTGCATCCATGCATTCATAAATGCATGCACAACCCTTTGCATTTTTGCAACTAATGCAAACAGCCTCTTACCTTTCGACTGAGACATTTTCCCCTTTCCTTTGATGGGGGAGGGGAGCACAAAAGACTTTGCCTTGCTTCTCTTCTGTAGCTAGTTTTGCAACAAAGATGCAAGCTGCAGGCGTGCAATCTTCATGCAAGTGGAGTTTCTCTTGACCGATGCAGCAGATGGACTTTCAGGGAATCAAGATGGAAATGCACACCTTGCAAAACAGACTGGAAAGTGATTTTTCCCCCAGTTGCAACGTTAGGGAAGGCTGTGCTGCAGCTACATGATGGGCCAGGGCTGGCAGCTAAAAGCTCCAAACTTGGAACTGAGTATCTTAGTGCGCAGACGTCCTTCCTGCGAAGGGCGCGAAGGCCGCTGGGTAATGTAGTTCTCCGGCGGAGTCCACGGGGCTCTGATTTAAGGAAACGTGGTCGCCCCGGTCGCTGAGCGAGATAACTGGGTGCGACAAAGATTGCGTCCAGATAAACAAGTCAGACACACACTCAGTAGAGTGATGGGTGAAAAGCGGCAAGGCCAAGACGGGGCGGCAGTTTTGTTCTCGAAAAGCCTCTGAAACAACAGCTAAAGAATATTAGGTTAGCTAAAGAGCTTTTGGCTTGTCGAGAAGGTCTGTTTGGGAGTTTAGTGTGTTGATTTTGCAGCTCAGCACCTGTTGTGCTGTTCTTGCCTGTAGACGTTTTACCCTCACACCTCCGTTTTTTGTTTGTTTGGGGGTTTTTTTGTTGTTGTTGTTGTTGTTTTTTTCCCGAGAGGGAGTCTCGCTCTGTCGCCCAGGCTGGAGTGCAGTGGCGCGATCTCTGCTCACTGCAACCTCCGCCTCCCGGGTTCAAGCAATTCTCCTGCCTTAGCCTCCCAAGTAGCTGGGATTACAGGTATGCGCCACCACGCCCGGCTAATTTTTAGTAGAGACGGGGTGTCAACATTTAGCCAGGCTGGTCTCGAACTCCTGACCTTATGATCCGCCCACCTCGGCCTCCCAAAGTGCTGGGATTACAGGCGTGAGCCACCGCGCCCGGCCACACCTCCATTTTTAAAAACATTTTTTCTAGTAAGAAAAATGTATGGATGATTGGGTTGGCTGGAGGTAAGGTTACCTTTGCTCTGTGGAGAAGATGCAAAGTTTTATTTTGTCAGAAACAATCCAGGTCAGTTATTTCCAAGGAACCCGAAACTCAGTAGGGGGTAGGTGTGGGGAAGAAGATTGGAGGCTTCTCATTTCTCACAGGGTTACAGAGGAAGTTCTGCTTTTTATACATCAACGCTAACTTTATCAAAATTAAGGTATCTAGATGATTTTTTCTCACCTGGGAGGAGAGTCCCTGGCCTAGGGGGAAAGTGGGTGGAAAATGAATACAGTCGAATATCTTGAATTTATTCATTAAAATTAAAAGATACTTGTTGAGTGTCCAGGATGTGCCAGGCGCCTTTCTAGGGCCCTGGGATGTTCATTCATTCTGTACCGCTCACACATAGTGGGTACACAGCACCCTGATGGAGAACGGCATCACCTTTTTCACAAGGAAGCCAGAGATGCTTAGCACAATTCACTGCAAGGAATGGAGAGGAGTGAGCAGGGCATGGGCAAAAATGAGCTCGGACTTATACTTCATGGAGCAGACAGACTCAGAAATGTTCTTTTAAGACAGAGGGAGGAATTGAGGAATTCAAGGAGGTGTGGACAAAGCACTGTGGCAGAAATAAGGACAACCTTACTCAGAAGCTGCCAAGGAGACCTTGTTGCCTTGTGTGCAGGAGTGGTGAGGGCGGGGGAGATTTACAGGTGAGGACTCCACAGGGCCTTAAAAGGTGGGCTAGAGGTTTGGACTTTATTCTGCAGGTACTTGCGGGGAGGTGAAAGGGTCTTGCAAAGGGGCGTAACTTAATCCAAGCATTGTTTTAAGAAAGTAAATTTGCCCTCAGCAATCAAGGTGGGTTGGAACTGGGAGAGGCTAGAGATAGGTTAGGTCAGTAGTGAAAGGCAAAAAGAGGCACTTTGAAAGAAGATTCAGCTAGATTTGATGATTACTAATGAAAACTATTGGAATTGTATTTAGGATGCTGGAAGCCAGGACCATCTGCATAAGGGATGCATTAGAGGGAAGGAAGCCGTCTTATTTCAGCTGCAAACCAGCAAATCAAATCTTAAATATGCAATAGGTTGTGAGACTAACATTAATTTACTTAAGTTGGTCCCCTTTACTGACATTCTTGACAATTAGTGAAGGCAATCTAATCTCCATATTAGCTTCTGCCCCTAAGAGGAAGGCATTGCTGGTCTGTGAACACAGGTGCAAGGACTTTCTAACTCTTTTATTGTCCTTCTAGGCTAATCCATGTTGTCCCTTCCCTCCTATCGTATACACACAAGCTCAGCACCCCCTCAAACCAGCATGGTTTCCTAAGTCTCATTTAACCAGGAGACACGTGTGAAAATCTAGTTCACTTTCCCAAACACTGATGGAGCCAGGCCCTGGGATAGCTGCTGGAGCTTTCTGTAAACTGGCTTAGCCCAGGCAGGGCCTGAACAGCCACCTAGAGCTTGCTTCAATTTGCATTTTATGTGGTCAGCTGCATTGCTCTTAAGTAGCCCCAGACTCCCTTCTTTATGGAAGAGTTCTAATCACAACTTGTCTGGTGCATTTTGCCACTGTCATTACTGCTCTTACTTTCTCTGCATAGGCGTGCGGAGTCCACAGCTGGCAAATGGATTGTAGCTTGAAAGTCAATCTGCAATTCATTTTCCCATAGCACCAACAATATGTTCAGCAGCTAATATACACACACAAGCACACATGCATACACAAAACACCTCTCATCCATAAATTGGCTGAATCATCCGTTTAAAAATAGCAAAATTTTGTATCATATTTCTTTCTGGGAAAAATGTATCCTGAATTTCAAGTAGGAAATTGGGATGACAGGGAACTCAACCTCTCTGTGAAGTCTTGGTTCCCAGAAGAAAAAGTTCTTCTTCCTGCCTTGGTGTTCAAAAGTTTCCTCTCCCACATACGTGGGTGGTGGAAGAGGAGGTACCTGTGCTCTTCTTCCTGCCAGTCTTCGTGGTATCATTGGTACTAGGAGGAGAATCCTCCCCATTGTGGCGTAAGAAGGCAGGAGTGAATTCTGGCAGGTGTCTCCTTTTATATGCACATCAAGTGTTCATCTTCAGGTGGCCCATGCTTCTGTTTTAAATCCCCCATCTTTTTTTTTTTTTTTTTTTTTTTTTTTTTTGAGATGAGTCCTCGCTCTGTCACCCAGGCTGTAGTGCAGTGGCGCAATCTCGGCTCCCTGCAACCTCCACCCCTCAGGTTCAAGCGATTCTCCTGCCTTAGCCTCCCGAATGGCTGATGTTACAGGAGCTCACCACAACACCCAGCTAATTTTTGCATTTGTAATAGAGACAGTGTTTCACCGTGTTGGTCAGGGGGTCTCAAACTCCTGACCCCAAGTGATCCACCCACCTTGGCTTTGCAAAGTGTTGGGATTACAGACGTGAACCACCGCGCCTGGCCTCCCCCATCTTTTTAATTGTTTGTTTGTTTTTATTTTTTTTTTTAATTTTTTGAGACAGAGTCTCACTCTGTCGCCCAGCCTGGAGTGCAGTGTCATGATCTCAGCTCACTGCAGCCTCCACCTCCCAGATTCTCCCACCTCAACCTCCAGAGTAGCAGGGATTATAGGTGCATGCCACCAAGCCCAGCTATGTTTGTTTGTTTGTTTTTAGGGACAAGGGTCTTGCTTTGTCTTCCAAGCTGGAGTGCAGTGGCCTGATCATATAGGTCACTGTAGCCTCAAACTCCTGGGCTCAAGAGATCCTCCCACCTCAGTCTCCCAAGTAGCTGGGACTGCAAGCGTGAGCTACCATGCCCAGCTAATTTTTGTTATTTTTTATTGTAGAGACAGAGTTGCTGCGTTGCCCAGGCTGGTCTCAAAGTCCTGGCTTCAAGCAATCCTTCTGCCTCAGCCTCCAAAAGTGCTGGGATTACAGGCACCAATCTTTGTAATTTTCTGTACTTCAGATCTTTCTAAAATGCAAGTCAGATGCACTCTCCTCTCAGTTTCTAAATATACTCAGGATCTATTCCAAACTCCATGGCATGGTATAATTGGTTCCTCAAGACCTGGGCCCTGCTTTATCTCCAGCTTCATTTCTCATCGTATGTTGACATTAGAGTCAGGAGAAGGCAGCTTTTCTCACTCCTTGCCATTAGGTACATGCTCTCATGCTCGCTCTCTCTCTCTTTTTTTTTTTTTTTTTTTTTGAGACAGTCTTGCTCTGTTGCAATGGCATGATCTTTGCTCACTGCAACCTCCACCTCCCAGGTTCAAGCAATTCTCCTGCCTCAACCTCCTGAGTAGCTGGGATTACAGGTGTGCACCACCACATCCAGCTAATTTTTGTATTTTTAGTAGAGAAAGGGTTTCACCATGTTGGCCAGGCTGGTCTTTAACTCCTGACCTCAAGTGATCCACCCCCCTCAGCCTCGCAAAGTGCTGGGATTGCAGGCGTGAGCCGCCGCCCTCAGCCTGGTACATGCTCTCTGTCTAGCAAGACTTTTCCATTTTCTTCCTAGTTCCTTCTGACTTGTCCTTGAAGACTCAGCGGGCACGTCCTTTGGACTTTCTCAGCCACCCTCTGTAACACATCACCCTGGATTCCAACAAGGTAGTTACCACTGGCAGGGAAACCTGAGCACCTCGCCTGGAAAGAGCCTTGTGCTGTCAGGTTCGAGGTGTGAGATCCTTGGAGGGAGGCCTTTAGGTTAGGTCAGACTGGCATCTGAAGGAATTATTCTAGAGGCATATGCAGGGAGGAGGAGGTCGGGGAGGTGTCACATATATTCCACAGGCCAGGAACAGTACTTGTGACTTAATAGCTGAATATCAGTGTTTCTCAACTGGGGGTAATCTTGCCTCCCAAGAGATGTTTGGCAAGTCTGGAAATATTTTGGGTTATCACAATAGGGGGAGAGAGTGTGATACTGGGATCTAATGGGTATATTGGTATACAGGGATACTGGTAATCATACTATAGCATACAGAAAGCCCCACAACAAAGAATTATCTGGTCCAGATGTCAATAGTGTGAGTTTGAGAAACCCTGCTACATACCATGGAAAGTTACTAGATGCTCTTCTTTTTTCTTTTTTGAGATGGAGCTTCACTCTTTTTGCCCAGGCTGGAGTGCAGTGGTGCAGTCTCAGCTCACTGCAACCTCCGCATCCCAAGTTCAAGTAATTCTGCTGCCTCAGCCTCCCGAATAGTTGGGATTATAGGTGTGCACCACCATGCCCAGCTTATTTTGTATTTTTAGTACAGACGGGGTTTCACATGCTGGCCAGGCTAGTCTCGAACTTCTGACCTCAGGTGATCCGCCCGCCTCAGCCTCCCAAAGTGCTGGGATTACAGGCATGAACCACCTGGTCTGGCCTAAATGCTCTACTTTTAAGTTAATTTAAAGCTAATGAGATTTAGTAATGGGATATTTTGACATAGGAAAAACACTAGAATCTAAGAGATCTGGATTCTAATTCCGGCTGTAGAAAAAGTTAGCTGTGTCTCCTAAGGCAAGTCATTTTACCTTTCTGGGCCTCTTTTAGTTCCACTATAAAATAAGGAGACTCAGACTAAGGCCTCTTCCAGTTTTAATATTCCATGTCTCTAAACCCAACTCACCTGTTTGATTAAAACCACAATGATTTAAAGAGAGAAGGGAATTGTGATCACACATTCTATTTTATACACTGGCTAAACATCTTCCTGATCCCTTGCTTTGGCAAGCCACTGATGACTCTCATAACAACGTCTCTTAAGAGATGAGACAGGCCAGGCGTGGTGGCTCACGCCTGTAATCCCAGCACTTCGGGAGGCCGAGGCCGGCAGATCATGAGGTCAGAAGATCAAGACCATACTGACTAACACGGTGAAACTCTGTCTCTACTGAAAATACAGAAAAATTAGCCAGGCATGGTGGTGGGCTCCTGTAGTCCCAGCTACTCAGGAGGCTGAGGCAGGAGAATGGCATGAACCCGGGAGGCAGAGCTTGCAGTGAGCCAAGATTGGGCCACTGCACTCCAGCCTGGGTGACAGAGAGAGACTCCGTCTCAAAAAAAAAAAAAAAAAAAGATGAGACAAGAAATACTTATATTACCATTTGAAATACTGCCTTCAAAGTAGTAATACAAATCTGCACGTGACATTTATGAATGTTTTCCAACAGTGTCTACTAGATGTCAGAAACAAGAGAAAGGAAGCTACCAAAGTTCAAGCTAAGAACTCAAGTCTAAATATCTACTTTTCCAGACCCTAGAAAATCATTGCATATACAGGTGTGTTATATATAGTGAAGTATATGGGGGAGAAGCAGGTGGAGGATTCATTTAAGGGACTGGATGGCAAGTTGTGATGGTAAAATATTTTTAAGTACAGTTTTGTTTTTTTTTTACTGCACTAAAGTGTCACAATGAACTATGATTACCAGCAGAAATTCTAGAAATCTCAGTGTGATTCAACTTACAATATGGCTGGCTATAGCTGTTTAGCCTTATGTCTCATTCATCCACCATAGGATTCCTTTGTTTAAGCAATCCAGTCCAAACAGGATTACTTATCCCAATGAGCCATGAATTGACATGGCACCACTTCTATACCTTAGTGCATACTGTCCAATGACTTTGTTCTATGACTTTGCCTTTTTCTGGCCTCCACTGCCATCTCTGTTTTCTAAACTCTGTTCTTCATTTGAGGTTCTAGCTCATCTCTTCCATGAAGATGTCCTTGATCACATCCCTCTGTCCCATTAAAGAGTATCCACCCTTTTAAATTCTGGTGGCATCTATTAGCTCTTATGCGCCATATATCTGATATTATCTCTCAGTAACATTACTTAACTACAAATTTTACCTTTTCTACAAAATGGTGTGTTCCCTGCACCTTCCTAACCTACTCCTTTGGGAAGACCTTGCTTGTCTGTATTTGGCCCTTGACTCTAAGCTTAAGCAGGGACAGTTTCATCAACATCATGTAGCCCCAGGTCTGGCATTTGTCATGCATATAATATGTGCTCAACCAATATTTGTTTATCTGATGTTTGCATGGATTTATTATCTACTGAATGAATTCATCTAAAATAGGTTGATTATCTGTTAGCTTATCTTAGCCTTCTTTGTTAAAAGTTAAAGAAACACCAGCATAAAGATTTGCTAAGAAGAAGAATTTCTTTTTTTTTTTTTTTTGAGATGGAGTCTTGCTCTGTCGCCAGGCTGGAGTGCAGTAGTGTGATCTCAGCTCACTGCAACCTCTGCCTCCTGGGTTCAAGCGATTCTCCTGCCTCAGCCTCCCGAGTAGCTGGGACTACATGTGCGTGCCATCACACCCAGCTAATTTTTTTGTATTTTTAGTAGATACAGTGTTTCACCATATTGACCAGGATGGTCCAGATCTCTTGACCTCATGATCCACCCGCCTCGGCCTCCCAAAGTGCTGGATTACATGCGTGAGCCACCACACCCGGCCTAAGAATTTTTATTTAATTATCTCATTAAAAACATTTTGGCTAATACTTTCCTGAAACTCGTATTAAGATTCTAGATTTTCAAATTACTGTCAACAAATCTTTATAATTAACAGTGCCTAATATATCTTATGGAAATGCCAACGAACTATCTAGAGTCCTTATTGGATGACATTCTCATTGAATTAAAAAATGTATAAACTGAATGTTCAACATTTCTTAGTAATTAAATAGCCATTTAGAGCCCCAGTGTGATGCTGTTACATACTTTTCCTCCAAACCACATTGCATCTTGGACAGGCATGTTAGCATGAGCCAATTGACAACAAGATGTAGGTTCTGGGAAAGTAAGAATAGACATTATTCCAGCCTAGCATTCACCCTTTAAAAGTGTCAGCATATCATCTGTGTATTAAAGCACTGGCAAGTAGTGAACTATGCTGAATCATTAGATTGAGTAATACAGGGCACACAAAAAATTTCAAGTTCTGTTAAGAGAGAAAATTGGAATGGTGTCTAATCTCACAAACAGCATATATTTTTCTCTTCTACCCTAATCAATCAATTTCTCTTTCCTGATACAGTTGTCCCTTGGTATCCACGGGTTTGGTTCCATGGCCTCCCTCAAATACCAAAATCCATTGATCTCTGATGCAAAATGACATAGTATTTGCATGTAACCTACACACATATTCCCATATACATTAAATCATCTCTAGATTATGTATAGTACCTAATACAATGTAAATGCTATGTTAATAGTTGTTAGACTATATTGCTTAGAGAATACTGACAAGAAAAAAAAGTCTGTACATGTTCAGTCCAGGTGGAAATTCTTTCTGAGTATTTTTGATCCACAGTTGGTTGAATCCTTGTATATGGAGAGCCAACTATATATATATCTATATATATATGGATATATATATGGATATATATATGGATATATATATGGATATATATATGGATATATATGGATATATATATGGATATATCTGGATATATATATGGATATATATATCTGGATATATATATGGATATATATATCTGGATATATATATATATACATATCACACATCTGTGTATATTTTTCTCTTTCTTACCACACTCACTCATTTTCTGCCTGTCCTGCCCTGCCTGGCTTCAGAAAATCTGAAGACACCAGAGCTCTACAGAAAGCCAAATAAATGGCTGTGCTCTCTGTGTAAAGTTTCAGTTACACTTAGATTCGGAACTCCTTTGGAACTCACCTAATCAATTTCATATTTAACTAATTACTGGCTTGTCTTGTATGGGGTCATTGAGAAAGAATTGCACATTGGTCACCCAGAGTCCTAGTTTCTCACTTTATCACTTCTCCCCGAGAGGATGTCTTCATAATCTCGTGTTTATACTGTATTTTCTTTTTCAAACGTAAAGAATTGAAGAACCTCACTGTGGCTACCGCTTCAGCTTTCAAAGGTAATATGCTACAGAGGGCTCAGGGTGATCGATGGATGCCCAGTGACATGAGGGGTGTGTAGTGAACATTTATTAAGTTATGGAGAGAGCAGAGAGAATTCCTTTAGAATGAGGGTTGTCAAATTGTGGCCTATGGTCCAAATCCAGCCCACTGGCTCTTATTATAAGTAAAGGCTTTTTTGTTTTTGTTTTTGTTTTTAGTTTTTTTTGTTTGTTTATTTGTTTGTTTTTTAGTCTTGCTCTGTCACCCAGGCTGGAGTGCAATGGCACGATCTTAGCTTGCTGCAACCTCGGCCTCCCAGGTTCAAGCGATTCTCCTGCCTCAGCCCCCCAAGTAGCTGGGACTACAGGTGCCCACCACCATGCCCAGCTAATTTTTGTATTTTTAGTAGAGACAGGGTTTCACCATCTTGGCCAGGCTGGCCTCGATCTCCTGATCTCAGCTGATCTACCCGCCTTGGCCTCCCAAAGTGCTGGGATCACAGGCATGAGCCACCACGCCCTGCCATAAGTAAAGTTTTATTGAAACACAGCTATGCCCATCCATTTAAGTATTGTCTATGGCTATTTTTGTGTTTCCCCAGAGTTGAATATTAGCAACAGAGAGCATCCGGCCCCTGAAGTCTAAAATATTTACTGTCTGGTCCTTTACAGGATAAATGTGTAGATCCCTGCTTTACAAACTGGTCTTGACTGCATGTTTCCATAAACTCGAGTTACTGACAAATGCGTCATAAGTCATGAATCTTGCAACATAAGAAAAAAGGATTGGCCAGGTGTGGTAGCTCATGTCTGTGATCCCAACACTTTGGGAGATCGAGGTGGAAGGATTGCTTGAGCCCAGGGATTCAAGACCAGCCTGGGCAACATGGCGAGACCCTGTCTCTATTTAAAAAAAAAAAAAAAAGTTAATAAAATAAATAAATAAAATTTTATAAACAGACAAAAGGATTTCTCAGTTTTCCTTGAGTATATATCTGAATTTCCACCTATTTTACTTTTCTTACCTATCTCTCAGGATGTCCAAGTCCTGGTACATTTAAGTAGTCGGTCTATGTATTTAGAGAAGGACTAGGAAAAATCAAAATATAGAATTCAGCCTAAGAAATGCCAGCTGTAAAAGACATATCTCACAAATCTGCTTTTTAATCTCAGGGACCAAAAGAAATAAGAGGGAAACACCTCAGTTTATTATATTTCATTTTTTAAGTCTTAAGTCTTAAGCCTTTTCTTAAGACTTACAATAATGATAGGGTATAGGTTACAAAAATGTAAAAGTATGATTTCTGGTCAGAGAAGCTTAAAATTCTGAGAAACCCTGCTATACACCATGAGTAATGTTAATAACATTTTTGTAATATTTTACAGTTTACGGTCTCTTTCCACACACACCATATCATTTTATCCTTACAATGACGCTGTGAAATGGGTTGTCCCAACAGCCCAGTTTGTCATCATCACCTCAGGGTGCTTTACTTTCGCAAGATGGAAAAATCTGTGACCTGAAACCATCTTGACCGCAGATGTAAAAATGTGTCTTCTGATTCCTACTTCCTAACTTTAAACGATCTAATCTAGTATTAAGCTAGGTAACTTTTCCTAAGTGCCCTGGAAATGTGTCCTTTTCAGGCTAAGAGTCATCTAGCAACATTCTGGCTCATTTTATATTAGTTGTTAATGGGACAAGCTCAATTCAGGACTTACAAAGTCCACAGCAAATCTGTTTATCTCCTTACCACCCTGTACCTTGGCCAATACACTGTGACAATTCAATAAATGCTGTACTATTTGAGGATGAGTTAGAAACACTGATATAGGACAAAGTGTTGTACCCTTCAAGGCTCCTTGGTCTGTTCACATTGATATTAATAGATGGTTCTCAGCTTCAGTCACAGAACTGAATAATTCAGGTCATACTAAACTACTGCACTTTTTTAAAAACTATAAAATATTCTGGGAAATTTTTTAGGTAAGTGACATATGCAAGTTATAGAAAAAGTTTAAAAGTCCACAGAAAATGAAGTTGTCTGAACTACAATTGTGTAGAAATAATCAGATCCTCAATATAAGAAATAAACTTGTTCTTAAGCTGTTTCATCTGGATTTGCATCTAGAGTGAATGTTTTATAATTAACAACATATGGCAGATAAGTAGAAAATACTACTGGTTTTTAAATATTTATTCTCTTTTGAGATTGGTAGACTAATAATTGTATCTGTAGACCAAAGTCAAAAAACCAATCAGTTTTATCTGTTGGGATTTTTGTTTCATTTTTTTGTTTTGTTTGAGATGGGGTTTCACTTTATCGCCCAGGCTGGAGTGCAGTGGTGCAATCATAGCTCACTGCAGCCTTGACCTCCTGGGCTCAGGTGATCCTCCCACCTCAGCCTCCCAAGTAGCTGGGACTACAGATGCACATTACCATACCTGGCTAATTTATATATATATACACACACACATTTTGTAGAGTCGGAGTTTCATCATGTTGCCCAGGCAGGTCTCAAACTCCTGGGCTCAAGCAATCTGCCCACCTCAGCCTCCCAAAGTGCTGAGATTACAGGCATGAGCCACTGCACCTAGCCTAGTTCTAACTGTTTTTTAATTAACATATCACACGATTGGGTAGTATTTAATCAGTATTATGTGGCTGTGTAGTATTGGAAAGTAGCTATTTGAGAGTACAATGAACACTAATGGCATTTTATAAATTGGGCTTCCTGTTATCCATAAAGATGATGGCTAACCTCGTAGCACAGCAGCATGAGCTACATACTGTACATTTGTTAATGATTCTGTATCAGACAGTACAAGAAGTAAAACGGCAGAGACATTAGATTGTACTTTACGGCCACCAGAATTCTTTGGAAGTGTGTCCTGGAACCCCTTTCTGGCAGCCTTACCTTACTGGCATTTAGATGGAAAATGAAGAGAACCTAGAAACCCTGCACGTTTGCTAAAGATAACTGAAGATGTCCACTTTATAGGTCCTTATTTATTCTTTTGGTTCTGGTTTGTTTTTTGACCCAAATAAATATCAAAATGAATTTATTAAACATTTTTGGGGGCATATTGCCAAATCGGATGCTACTATATATAAAGAAACTGTGTGGAGTATGGTAACACCATCTGGCACGATGAATAAATTTTGGGATGCTTGTGGAAATTTCAAAGAAAAATGTAGGAAATTTTGTGCATAATTTTCTTAAACTTATTTGTATGAGATCTAGGATTATACAGGTTTCCAATAGACATTTGGATGAATTTTGTTAATACTTAGATAATCCTTTAAGAAAAAAATAATGCCTGGCTTTTAACTTTTAAAAATTCATTGTTTTGGGGCCAGGCGCGGTGGCTCATGCCTGTAATTCCAGCATTTTGGGAGGCCGAGGTGGGTGGATCACAAGGTCAGAAGTTCAAGACCAGCCTGGCCAAGGTGGTGAAACCCTGTCTCTACTAAAATACAAAAAATAGCTGGGCGTGGTTGTGGGCGCCTGTATTCCCAGCTACTCAGGAGGCTGAAGCAAGAGAATCACTTGAACCTGGGCAGCAGAGGTTGCAGTGAGCCGAGATCACACCACTGTACTCCAGCCTGGGCGACAGAGTGAGACTCCGTGAAAAAAAAAAAAAAAATCCATTCTTTTGTACAATAGGGGCTTCTAACAGTAGTTATTTAAAATATGCTGTGTAAAATATTTTTAAAGGATTTGTGAACATCGTAATGCAAGCATACCTCAGAGCTATTGAGGGTTTGGTTTCAGACCACTGCAGTAAAGCAAATATTGCAATAAAGTGAGTCACACGAGTTTTTTGGTTTCCCAGCGCATAGAAGTTATGATGACACTATACTATAGTCTATTAAGTGTACAATAGAATTGTGCTCATAAAAAAGTATACACATTAATTTTAAAATACTTTTTCTTTTTTTTAAAAAAAACCGTTTTTTTTTTTCCTTCAGACGGAGTCTCACTCTGTCAACCAGGCTAGAGTGCAATGGTGCGACCTTGGCTCACTGCAACCTCTGCCTCCCAGGTTCAAGAGATTCTCCTGCCTTAGCCTCCTGAGTAGCTGGGACTACATGCATGTGCCACCATGCCCAGCTAATTTTTGCATTTTTTAGTAGAGACAGGATTTCGCCATGTTGGCCAGGCTGGTCTCGAACTCCTGACCTCAGATGATCCACCCGCTTGGACCTACCAAAGTGCTAGGATTACAGGCGTGAGCCACCGTGCCCAGCCCTTTTTTTTTTTTAGAGAGATGGGCTTTCGCTCTATTACCTGGGCTGGAGTGCAGTGGCATGGTCATAGCCCACTGTAGCCTTAAACTCCTGGGCTCAAGCAATCCTCCCATTTCAGCCTCCAGACTGGCTTGGATTACAGGAGTGACCCACCATGCCCAGCACAAAAAAAATACTTTGGTGCTGAAAAATACTAATGAGCACCTGAGTCTTTAGCAAGTCATAATCTTTTTTGCTGCTGGACAGTCTTGCCTTGACGTTGATGGCTGCTTACTGATCAAAGTAGTGGTTGCTGAAGGTTGAGGTGGCTGTGGCAATTTCTTAAAAGAAGACAACAATGAAATGTGTGACTCAATAGGCTTCTTTTGATGAAAGATTTCTCTGTAGCATGCGATGCTGTTTGACAGCATTTTACCCAAAGTGAAACTTCTTTCGAAATTGAAGTCAATGCCCTCAAGCCCTGTTGCTGCTTTATTAACTAAGTGGATGTAATATTCTAAATCCTTTGTTGTCATTTCAACAATGTTCACAGCATCTTCACTAACAATAGTTTGCATCTCAAGAAGACACTTTCTTTGCTCCTCCAGAGGAAGCAACTCTTTATCCATTCAAGTTTGATCGTGAGATTGCAGCAATTCAGTCCTATCTTCAGAGTTCACATCTCATTCTAGTTCTCCATATTTCCACTACACCTGAAATTATTTCCTCTACTGAAGTCTTGAACCCCTCAAAGTCATCCATGAGGGTTGGAATCAACTTCTTCCAAACTCCTGTTCATGTTGATGTTTTCACCTCCTCCCATGAGTCATGAATGTTCATAATGCCATCTAGAATGATGAAGCTTTTCTGGAAGGATTTCAATGTACTTACTTTGTCCAGATTTATCAGAAGAATCACTGTCTATAGCACCTGTAGCCGTACAAAGTGTATTCTTTAAATAATAAGACTAAAAAGTCAAAATTACTTTTTGATCCGTGGGCTGCAAAATGCATGTTGTGTTAGGCATGCAAACAACACTCATCTCTGCACATCTCCATCAGCACTCTTGGGTGACCAGGTGCATTGTCAATGAGCAGTAATATTTTGAAAAAAAGTATTTTTTTGAGCAGTAGGTCTCAACAGTGGGTTTAAAATATTCGGTAATCCATGCCATAAACAGATGTGCTGTCTGTCATCCAGGCTTTGTTTTTCCATTAACAGAGTCCAAGCCGAGTAAATATAGCATAATTCTCTCTCTCTCTCTCTCTCTCTCTCTCTCTCCCCGAGACAGTCTCACTCTGGTGTAATCACAACTCACTGCAGCCTCAACGTCCTGGGCTCAAGTGATCCTCTTACCTCAGCCTCCCAAGTAGCTGGGACTACGGGTGCATGCCAGCCCCCATGCCTGGCTAATTTTTGTTTTTGTTTTTTTTGTAGAGGCAGGGTTTCAACATGTTACCCAGGCTGGTCTCAAACTCCTGGGCTCACCACCAACCTCAGCCTCCCAAAGTGTTAGAATTACAGGCATGAGCCAATGCACCCAACCCTAGCAAAATTTTTAAGGCCCTAGGATTTTCAGAATGGTGACTAAGCACTGGCATCAACCTAAGTCACCAGCTGCTTTAGCCCCTAACAAGAGTGTCAGCCTGTTCTTTGAGGCTTTGAAGCCAGGCATTGACTTCACCTTTCTTGCCGTGAAAGTCTTAGATGGCATCTTCTTCCAAGAGAAGGCTGTTTCATCTATACAAAAAATCTGTTGTTTGGTGTAGCCATCTTCATCAATGGTCTTAGCTAGATGGTCTGGATAACTTACAGCAGCTTCTGTATCAGCCTTTGCTGTTTCATCTTGCAGTTTTGTGTTATGGAGATGACTGCTTTCCTTAAACCTTATGGACCAACCTCTTAAAGCTTCAGAGTTTTCTTCTTCAGCTTCCTCACCTGTCTCAGCTTTATAGAATCCAAGAGAGTTAGTGCCTTGCTCTGGATTGGGCTTTGCCTTAAGGGAGTGCTATAGCTGGTTTGATCTTCTATCTAGATCACTCAGAGGCTATCTTCACATCAGCAATCAGGCTGTTTCACCTCTTCTTCTTCTTTTTTTTTTTTTTTTTTTTTTTGTGATGGAGTCTCACTCTGTTGCCCAGGCTGGAGTGCAGTGGCACGATCTTGGCTCACTGCAACCTCTGCCTCCCAGGTTCAAGCAATTCTCCTGCCTCAGCCTCCCATGTATCTGAGACTACAGGCACGCACCACCACACCTGGCTAATTTTTTTTGCATTTATAGTAGAGATAGGGTTTCACCATGTCGGTCAGGCTGGTCTCGAACTCCTGGCTTCAAGTGATCTACCCACCTCAGCCTTTCAAAGTGCCGGGATTACAGGCGTGAACCACTCACTTTTTTTATCATTCGTGTGTTCACTGGAACTGGAGTAGGTAGCACTTTTAATATGTTTTGAGAACTTTACCTTTGCATTTACAACTAGGGTAACTGTTTGGTGCAGGAAGCCTAGCTTTTGGCCTACTTCAGCTTTCAACATGCCTTCCTTACTAGGTTTAATTATTTCTAGGTTTTTATTTATTTATTATTTTATTTTATTTTGCTTTGTTTTTGAGATGGAGTTTCACTCTTGTTGCCCAGGCTGGAGTGCAATGGTGCGATCTTGGCTCACTGCAACCTCTGCCTCCCTGGTTCAAGTGATTCTCCTGCCTCAGCCTCCCTAGTAGCCGGGATTACAGGCACGCTCCACCATGCCCAGCTAATTTTTATATTTTTAGTAGAGACAGGGTTTTGCCATGTTGGCCAGGCTGGTCTTGAACTCCTGATCTCAGGTGATCCACCCGCCTTGGCCTCCCAAAGTGCTGGAATTACACACCTGAGCCACAGTGTCCAGCCCCTAGGTTTTGATTTAAAACGACAGATCTGCAATTCTTCCTTTCACTTGAACACTTAGAGGCTATGATAGGGTTCTTAACTGATCAAATTTGAATACCGTCATGTCTCAGTTAATAGTGAAGCCAGAAAAAAGGGAGAGGAGACTGGAATGGCCAGTGGGTTGGTGGAGCCATCAGAACACACATAACTTTTATGATTAAGTTCAATGTCTTATACAGGGGTGGTTCAAGATGTCCCCCCAAAATTACAATGATAACATCAAAAATCACTGATCATAGATCACTGTAACAGATATAAGAATAGAAAGCTTGAAACATTGCAAGAATTACCAAACTGTGATGTAGGGACACAAAGTGAGCATATGCTGTTGGAAAAATGATGGCAATAGACTTGCTCCACTCAGGGTTGCCACAAAACTTAATTTGTAAAAAAAATGCTGTATCTTCAAAGTGCAACAAAGCAAAGCACAATAAAACAAGGCATGCCTGCGTTCATTCTGACCCCATTTTAATGAGGTAGCCAACCAAAGTGCCTCCCAGTTTGAAGCTAGGGAAACTGAAGTCAGTCCACAATATATATTTGATTCTTATAGAATCAAGAAAGAAAGTATGGTACTACTAATTTTAGGTCCCAGTTTTGTGTTTTAAAGACTTTGATAGAGATAGTAAAGTATCAAATAGCAAATATACATTGCTTATGACATCTAACTACTTACTTAGCTAGGACCTTAAAAATTACTAAAACTCAGCTGGATGCAGTGGCTCATGCCTGTAATCCCAGCACTTTGGGAGGCTGAGGTGGGTGGATCATGAGGTCAGGAGTTTGAGACCAGTCTGGCCAACATAGTGAAACTCCGTCTCTACTAAAAATACAAAAATTAGCCAGGCATGGTGGTATATGCCTGTAATCCCAGCTACTTGGGAGGCTGAGGCAGGAGAATTGTTTGAACCCAGGTGGCAGAGGTTGCAGTGAGCCGAGACCATACCACTGCACTCCAGCCTGGGTGACAGAGCAAGACTCTGTCTCAAAAAAAAATAAAATAAAATAAATAAGTAAAATAAAATTACTAAAACTCACAAAATGTAAGCAAAATGGCAGCCTCAATGTAAATTACATTGCTCTATTTATTCCTTTATCTATAGATACTGTTGATCTGTTCATCAACACTGGAGGAGTCAAGTTGATTCGGCTTTTCATTTGGTAGGCTAAAGACACTGTTTTAGTTTGCAAACTAAGAATCATTGTCACAATTTTAAGTGGCCTGATTTTATATAACGTTGATCTAGAAGTAATATCAAGGTAAAAGGAAACAAATCATTACTGACTATTCTCTGTTATATTTAAAATTAAGTATCAGAGCAAAACTTGTTTTAAAAATATGATTAAAATAAGATTAAGCTATTTGGATGTTACCAACATATTAGTACATCTCACAGCCCAGACACATAAATCTTGTGTTCTACAAAGAAGTTTAGTTATTTTACATTCAAGTCTTTACATAACCAATAGCCATGGTTTTTTGAAGGACAGTAGGTAACTCTAAAATATGGAATTTATTGGCTGATAGAGATTTTCAAGTGTCCTTCTAAATAAAATGTTTCATACGTTATGTTTGAAACCCATTTATTATAACAAATGTTACAACACCATTTGTTACAAATGTTGCATAAAAAAATTATTCTAAGGCTGCTTGCTAGTTTTTTCTCCCATTCACATATGATTTGGGAAGGGATTTTAGTATTTAATACCTATCCTATGTATCTTTAAGGTTAATATAGTATATATTTCAAGATAGCTATAAAATAGGATCTTGAAAGTTATCATCATAAAGAAATGATAAAGATTTGAGGTGCTTGACATGCTAACTACCCTGATTTGATCATTATACAATGTACACATGTATTGAAACATCACACCGTTTCCCATAAACATGTACTATTACTATGTGTCAATTACAAATAACATCTTTTTTAAAGTTTATGTAAATAGAAGAGTCAGGTCGGGCACGGAGCCTCACACGTGTAACCCCAGCACTTTGGGAGGTTGAGGCAGAGAATCACTTGAGGTCAGGAGTTCAAGACCAGCCTGGTCAACATGGTAAAACCCATCTATACTAAAAATACAAAAATTAGCCATGTGTGGTGGCACGTGCCTGTAGTCTCAGCTACTCGGGACGCTGAGGCAGGAGAATTGCTTGAACCCGGGAGGAGGAGGTTACAGTGAGCCATTATTGTGCCACTGCACTCCAGCCCAGGGAACAGAACTAGATTCCATCTCAAAAAAGGAAAAAAAAATAGAAGATTAGATACGATGAGTATTCCTTAAAGTCAAGTGCTTTATTGAAACCAGTTTAGGCTGGAAAAAGTAGCAAATATCCAGATGACAGTATATCATATTAAATTACAAGCAACTATTTCATGTAAGTTAGTAGATATGGTCAGATATTAACAAAGAAAAATAAGAGTTTCAGTTTAAAGCATATTTGATCTTCTTATAATTTATACCTTGAACACCAAATTAATATACCAAAAAAGCAAAGTAATCAATTTCAGATTAAGGGAAAAAATTAGGTTCATTTCATGGGAAATTGTCCCTGCCTCATATCTCAGAGTAAATGAGCTTCTCTGTTATTTCAGCTCCAATTATGATCATCATTGTTTTCATTCGGCTGAACAGTTAGATGATGGTTAAGACTTAAGACGTTTCAGCTGATGGGATACTATTCATTGTGATTTAGGCTATAAATACCGTGAAGCATTATATACAATAAAAATTCAAGCGAATGTGAATTTGGAGCTCCGCTTTTCCATTTGAAGACTTTGGTAGAGATTTAGTAAAGTGTCAAATACCAAGAACATATGCTTGGAAGATTTTGTTTTCCTGTACTGTACTCCGTAGAAGCAGATAAATTGACACAATGCTGGCACTTGCTTCCATCACCCATTCTGGTTTCCATTATCTTCTTCAGTTGTCCATAGATGTAATTTGACTACACTATAGCTATATAGTTTGGCCATAGTTGTGAGGGGATCAAAGCACAAGCTCTGAAGCCACACTGCCTGGGTTGGACTCCCAGCTCCCAAATTGCTAGTTCTGTCATGTCAAGCTAAGCAAATCACTTTCTATGCCTCAGTTTCCCCACCTGCAAAAAGTTGATGACAATAGTACCTACCCTATGGCGTGGTTGAGAAGATTAAGTGAATTAATTACACTAAAAGCACTAAAAAGAGTGCCGGGTACAAAATAGTGCCTGGTGCATATGTACTTAAGAGCTATTAGCTATTGAGGTTTTGGCTATTATTATTGGTATTAAATTTCCACACATTGGCTTCTTTCTTGAGAACAAAGATATAGTATTTGATATGGAAGAAAATTAGGATGTAAGAACATGTGTCCTACCAAATGATAAAAGAAAATCTTTTCTTCTTTTTTTTTTTTTTTGAGATGGAGTCTCACTCTGCCGCCCAGGCTGGAGTGCAGTGACCCGATCTCGGCTCACTGCAACCTCCGCCTCCCAGGTTCCAGCGATTCTCCAGCCTCACCCTCCTGAGTACCTGGGATTGCAGGCGTGCACCACCACACACAGCTTAATTTTTGTAATTTTAGTAGAGACAGGGTTTCACCATCTTGGTCAGGCTGGTCTCAAACTGCTGACCTCAAGTGATCCGCCTGCCTTGGCCTCCCAAAGTGCTGGGATTACAGGCATGAGCCACCGCGCCTGGCAGATAAAAGAAAATATTTTAAGACCAGAGATAAGAAAGCTCTGAAATTAGAGAACTGTTAACACCAATGTGAGGAAATATTAATAGAAATGCTTAGTCTAATGAAAGGGGAAGGGAGAAGAATTTTTTTTTTATTGAGGGAAATCAAAACACTGTTGGATGCTTGTGAAGAGGAAATGGAGGCCATCTGGAGAAAACAATTCCATTCCACAGTGTGGAATGAATTTAAAGGACAGCTGAATAGCCTGGACATGCATTATATAGGCCCTCGGCCATATAATGTCGTAGATTAACAAAGTGAACAGCAGGGGGCGTAGTGGTGGTTAATGAGAGATGGTAAGAGTTGCTCAGCTTCAAGGATCGGTGTTTATACTGGCCAGGCGTGGTGGCTCACGCTTGTAATCCCAGCACTTTGGGAGACCGAGGCGAGAGGATCACCTGAGGTCAGGAGTTCAAGACCAGCCTGGCCAACATGCTGAAACCCCGTCTCTACAAAAATACAAAAATTAGCGGAGCATGATAGCAGGTGCCTGTAATCTCAGCTACCCAGGAGGCTGAGGCGGGAGAATCGATTGAACCCGGGAGACGGAGGTTGTAGTGAGCTGATACTGCACCACTGCACTCCAGCCCGGGCGACAGAGCAAGACTCCGTCTCAAAAAACTCTCTCTCTATATATATGTGTGTGTATATATATGTATATGTGTATATATATGTGTGTATATATACGTATATGTGTATATATATGTGTATATATATATGTGTGTGTGTATATATGTGTATATATATGTGTGTATATATGTGTGTATATATATTCACACACACATACACATATATGCGTGTATAGATAGATAGATAGATAGATAGATAGATAGATAGATACAGATATAGATGACATTATTTTGGTCTTTCCAACCATTTGAGTACATTAGGACCTTAAGATTCAACATTCTTCCATTTTATTTATTCTGGCTATGTATTTCTTACACCCATTAACTTTTTTTTTTCTTTTGAGACTGAGTTGCCCAGGCTAGAATGCAGTGGCATGATCTTGGCTCACTGCAACTTTCACCTCCCAGGTTCAAGCCATTCTCCTGCCTCAGCCTCCTGAGCAGCTGGGACTACAGGCGCCTGCCACCACAGCTGGCTAATTTTTGGTATTTTTAGTAGAGGCGGAGTTTTGCCATGTTGGCCAGGCTGGTCTTGAACTCCTGACCTCAAGTGATCTGCCTGCCTCAGCCTCCCAAAGTGCTGGGATTACAGGCATGAACCACCGTGCACTACCCCATTACCTTTTTATTAATTTTTTCCTTGTAACCATTACTAGTGGTTGCTGCCTTTTCACTAGTTAACTTGTTAATTAACCAATTGGTTCAATTAAAAAATTTATGTTAGGCATTGTATGTATTTATTTATTTTTTAGAGATAGGGGTCTTGCTATGTAGCCCTGGCTGGTCTCACACGACTAGGCTCAAGCAGTCCTCCAGCCTCAGCCTCCAGAGCGGCTGGAACTACAGGTGTGTGCCACTGCACCTAGCTGTTAGGCATATTTTTAAAATATGTTTTCCCTAGTGGCCTGGATACCTGATGAATAAATAACAGAGAGGTTTAGGCATGTATTAAGGATATTTTATTATTATTTAAAATGGAGAAATTCTTATTAAAGATTTATTCATTGAATATTTGTTTAAAATAATTGTTTATTATCTATCCAGAATGATCTGCATGGATTGTTTGGGATTAGAGGTAAGAAGAACCAGAAAACAAAGAAAAATTAGATAATTTTGTATTAGCTGAAATATTTACCTTCCATCATAATGAGTTAAAAAACATACATAGAAAATAACTCTTCTTCCTTTATCAATATTAAGAGAAATCCAGATGTGAAAGCTATCCTGTAAGAATCTGCAGGATTTCAAAAAGATATTCATAGACTTATATTGAAGCTTTAATATATTCAAAAAGACTTTAAAGCCCAACCTACAGGTAGCATGCTCTATTGCTTTCTTTCCATAATATTTTTATCATATTCTTGGGTTCTTATAGACTCTAAAGTTAAATTTTTGACTTGACTAAAAATGTTACATTTAACCCCTTTTAATTTAAATCTTTTAAGTTTAATCTAACTTTAACTTTTAAATAGTACATTTTTAAGAAATTTATGATCAGTGCTAGTTTTGAGTAGATCATAAGTGAAGAAAATTAATTTTTTTTTTTTGAGACGGAGTCTCGCACTGTCGCCCTGGCTGGTGTGTAGTCGCGTGATCTCGGCTCGCTGCAACCTCCGCCTCCCGGGTTCAAGCAATTCTCCTGCCTCAGCCTCTCAAGTAGCTGGGATTACAGGTGCTCACCACCACACCCGGCTAATTTTTTGTATTTTTAGTAGAGATGGGATTTCACTATGTTAGCCAGGCTGTTCTCAAACTCCTGACCTCATGATCCACCTTTCTCGGCCTCCCAAAGTGCTGGGATTACAGGCATGAGCCACCGAGCCCAGCCGAAAATTGAGTATTTTTAAGATTTCATGTTTACAGTGACTGAGATTCTTTCAAAGAAAAAAAAAGTTTCTGCAGCAAGAGCTGAGCAAATATCTATTGGGGTGCCTTCCAGAAAATGAACTGAGCCTTGTGTCTTAAAAACAGCACTTTATTTGCAGCAACTGGGATGGAATTGGAGACCATTATTCTAAGTGAAGTAACTCAGGAATGGAAAACTAAACGTTGTATGTTCTCACTTGTAAGTGGGGGCTAAGCTATGAAGACACAAAAGCATAATAATGATAAGATGGACTTTGGGGACTCAGGGGAAAGGGTGAGAGGTGGGTGACAGATAAAAGACTACATATTGGATACAGTGTACACTGCTCGGGTGATGGGTTCATCAAAATCTCAGAAATCAGCACTAAAGAACTTATTCATGTAACCAAACACCACCTGTTCCCCCAAAAACTTATTGAAATAAAAATAATAATACATAACAATAATAACTGCACTTTACAAATGTCATGAGGGGGATGAAGAACTAAGCAGAAACCTTCATCCGTGCTGGATGATATTCTATTCCAGTTTCCTCTTCAATCAATTTTGTATAATGCTTTAGAAGCAGAATAACAAGTAATATGAAATCATTTTTCAAGATGCTATATGTACACACTCTTAGTTCTATTTCTGTACATCGGAACAGACAATTTATGCCATGCATTTGTAATACTCAGGAACAAAGACCTATTTCCCCGAAGGTTATGAGCATTCTTGAATGTTACAAATGCAAAAAAAATATTATTTTCATGTTGTCACATTTAGATAATGAAATGTGCTAGGTTTACAGCATCTCCACGATGAGTCTCAGGAAGTATGCCCACGGTGTATGTGAATTTTATTCTGAGATTCCAAAAGTGGATGTAGGCAGTTCTTAACAAGCATCGACAACAGTAATTAAACAGTGAGTGTTGGGGAAGATGGAGGGAAAGCAGGATCTGGACCTCAGCTTCTGAACATGAGTATCTTTCATCCTTGGAAAAACAGGTATTCAGTTGATCTGTTTCTTATCTTTCGTCTGAGTTTCAGGATGGGAACATGAATCAGTGTGTGACTGCAATGAGCCACCTGATTTCTTCAAATGGAAGTAAGGAAAAGGGTCCAGTAAGGATGACATATTAATCCTTTTGGCACATGATAGCCATTTTGCTTATTTTGTTTTACTTTGAGTGGATGTGTCGGGCTGAGGGTAGAATTGCCACACATTTGGACCCTCATGATTCTACCCAAGATGATTGCATGCTGTTAAGCATGCACTAGCAACGTAGGAGATTCCAAAGTTCAAAAGTAGCCGCGTTATCTTTGTTCCTTCTGTTATTCCCATTAATGTTTACATGGAGTTGTTTGCTCTGTAATTGTGCCAATGGTGTTGTGCTGTAGAACACATGCAACATATATAGAAATAATATTCATGTTAACATTTTCATAGCTACCCGACTAATAATCAAATACAGAAACCCATGCATTGCCAAGAAGCACAGATATTTTATAGCTCTCTTTCTTTTTCATAAAATCTAACCCGAATGAACAGAACACAGATCTTGGTTGATTACTCTCTCCACCAACTTCCCCTGAAGTTCTCCTATCTTTGGGGGCACAGTTCTGCCTAAACTCGTCTCTGTCACATTTCAGATGCACGGCAGAGTTCCGCATGTGTAAACACCCTACCCCTGCTTTGTACCATGTTATGTAATGACCGTAAATGCTCTCGTGTACCTGAGCATAAACTAGAAGGAGGAAGAGGCAGAGGCAGGTGCCGATCTAAGCCTTCATGAAATTTCTACCAGAAAAAAAAACCTGGCCGGGCTCAGTGGCTCACGCCTATAATTCCAGCCCTTTGGGAGGCTGAGGTGGGCGGATCACCTGAGCTCAGGAGTTCGAGACCAGCCTGGCCAACATGATGAAACCATGTCTCTATTAAAAATACAAAAATTAGTTCAGTGTGGTGGCACGTGCCTGTAATCCGAGCTACTGGGGAAGCTGGGGCAGGAGAATTCCTCGAAGCCGAGAAATGGAGGTTGTAGTGAGGCAAGATTGCGCCACTGCACTCCAGCCTGGGCAACAAGAGTGCAACTCTGTCTCAAAAAATTAAATAAATAAAATAAATAATTTGCTTTATAGCTAATAGTTAGCTGGCATGCCAATCTCAGATTCCAGCAGCTAACGGACTACCATGTTCAATCAGGTATATCCAACTGTTGGAGTTGTCTTATTCAATGACTAAATTTGGTTGGAGAAAAGAAAGGAGAGGGGAATAAAAATACGAGGAGCTGGCCGGGCGTGGTGGCTCACACCGGTAATCCCAGCACTTTGGGAGGCTGAAGCGGGTGGATCACCTGAGGTCAGAAGTTTGAGACTAGCCTGGCCAACATGGTGAAACCCCGTCTCTACTAAAAATACAAAAATTAGCTGGGTGTGGTGGCGGGCGCCTGTAATCCCAGCTACTCAGGAGACTGAGGCAGGAGAATTGCTTGAACCTGGGAGGCGGAGGTTGCAGTGAGCTGAGATTGCGCCACTGCACTCCAGCCTGGGCGACAGGGCAAGACTCCGTCTCAAAAAAAAAAAAAAAAAAAAAAATACAAGGACCTAAACTGAGACTAAAAGAGAGCTTTGAGGTCAGCTATTGTGAGGTTTCAGTTATAACTTCACAGATGGTCCGGGCAGATAAAGAAGAAAAGGATAGTTTCAGAGATCTGGTAGTCAGTCTCTTGAGTTCTGCTACCAATGTTAAAGGTGTTTTCATTTATTTATTCATTCATGTATTCACTTACTTGTTCATTCACACACCCATTTGTTCATTCTGCTTTGCAGGGAAGATGAAGTGGGGATAAGAATGAGTTTGGGCACCAGGCATGGTGGCTCATGCCTGTAATCCCAGCACTTTGGGGAGCTGAGGTGGCAGGCAGATCACCTGAGGTCAGGAGTTTATGACCAGCCTGGCCAACATGGTGAAACCCCATCTCTACTAAAAATACAAAAATTAGCCAGGCGTGGTGGTATATGCCTGTAATCCCAGCTACTCAGGAGGCTGAGGCAAGAGAACCATTTGAACCCAGGAGGCAGAAGTTGCAGTGAGCCAAGATCGCACCATTGCACTCCAGACTGGGCGACAGAGTGAGACTCTGTCTCAAAAAAAAAAAAAAAAAAGGAATGAGTTTGGCCATCTGACTTGATGATCTTATTCTTCCTGAGAGCTTTACCCACTTGTCACTGATAGGAAAAACTTTGATTGTAAAACCAATTACAGATCACTCTATTTAGAGGTGTGGCGATCATGGCAATCATTTTGCTTAAAGTTACCCTTAGCCCCCTTTTCTATATACTTTGAGAATCCAAGAAGCTATCAGAACCAATGATGTTGTAGCTGAACTGAGCCTCTGGCAAAAGAAAAGATAGCTGATGCAAAACAAAACCACAATTAAGTGATGCAAAACAAAACCACAATGAGATACCACCTCACACCTATTAGGATGGCCGCTACAAAAAAAAATAAACAGAAAATAATAATTGTTAGTGATGACGTAGACCAATTGGATCTCTTGTCTACTGTTGATGAGAATGTAAAAGGGTGTAGGCACTATGGAAAACAGTGTGGGGTTTCCTTCAAAAATTAAAAATAGAATTGCCATATGATTCAGCAATCCCACTCCTGGGTATATATTCAAAAGAATTGAAAACAGATGTTAAAGAGATATTTGCACGCCCATATTCATTGCCGCATTACTCCGGATAGCCAAGAGGTGGAAGCAACCTAAATGTCCATCTAGAGATGAGTAGATAAAGAAAATGTATATACATACAATTGGGATTCGATTCAGCTTTAAAAAGGAATGAAATCCTGTCACATATCTCAACATGAATGAACTGTGAGGACATTAAGTGAAATAAACCAGTCACAAAAAGACAAATACAGTATGATTTCACTTATATGAGGTATCTAAAGCAGTCAAATTCATAGAAATCAGAAGTATAATGGTAGTTTACAGAGACTAGGCATAGGAAAAAAGGGGAATTGTTCGATGAGTATAGAGTTTTGGTTTTGCAAGACAAAAAACTTCTAGACATGCGTTGTACAACAATGTGCATATAGTTAACACTACTATAACGTATACTTAAAAATGGTTAAGGTGGTAAATTTTATGTTATGTCATTTTTATGCAATAAAAAAGTAGGAAAGAAAGAAGGAAAGTGAGTGAAGTTCCCAGTAAAACCCTAGTTGTAACCTTTTTTTTTTTTGAGACAGAGTCTCGCTCTGTCACCCAGGCTGGAGTGCAGTGGCACAATCTCGGCTCACTGCAACCTCCGCCTCCCAGGTTCAATCAATTCTCCTGTCTCAGCCTCCCAAGTAGCTGGGACTATAGGAAAGTGCCACCACGCCTGGCTAATTTTTGTATTTTTACTAGAGACGGGGTTTCACCATATTAGCCAGGATGGTCTCCATCTCCTGACCTGGTGATCCACCCACCTCGGCCTCCCAAAGTGCTGGGATTACAGGTGTGAGCCACCACACCCAGCCTTCCCTAGTTGTAATCTTAAGGCTGATTGGCTCTATAAATTCTTCTAAATGTATAATTGCTTAATCAATACTTTGTTACATTCATGACTAGATGCCTTTTTTGCTAAATGGCCTCATATCTTTTTGAAAGTATGCTGGGTAGAAATGATCAATGAATGAAGAATAAGCATCCTTGTAATTTCTCTCTTCAATTTTAATGATCTTTATCTCCATTCATTTCAGCAAACCTAGCCTTCTCATTCTCTTTCCTAGTTCTAGGGCAGAGTTTCTCAGCCTCAGCGCTATCGACATTTTGTGCCAGTTAATTCTTTGTTTTAGAGGACTGTGCTCTGCAGTCCCCTAGTCATAGCAAGCAAAAATATCTTCAGATGTTGCTAAATGTCCCATTGCGGGCAAAGTCATCCCTGATTGAAAACCACAGCCCAAGGGTGAAGAAGTTTTCTAAGATAGTCCTGGATTACAGGTGTTTTCCCAAGTGTATGGCATCCCTTTTCATTCTCAACAGTGTTGTAATTTGACAGTGAATTAAATGGTCACCCAATTTATCTCAGTAAATAGCAACTCCATGTTTCTAGTTGCTCATGCGAAAACTTAGAGACATTCTTCACCCCTCTCACTTTCCCATTTAGCCATTAGTAATCCTGTTTTTTTGTTTTGCTCTGTTTTTTGTTTTTGTTTTTGTTTTTGTTTTTTGAGACAGAGTCTCACTTTGTCGTCCAGGCTGGAGTGCAGTGGCGCGATCTCGGCTCACTGCAAGCTCCGCTTCCTGGGTTCAAGCCATTCTCCTGCCTCAGTCTCCCGAGTAGCTGGGATTACAGGCGCCCACCACCACACCTGGTTAATTTTTTTGTATTTTTAATAGAGACGGGGTTTCACTGTGTTAGCCAGGATGGACTCGATCTCCTGACCTCGTGATCCGCCCGTCTTGGCCTCCTGAAGTGCTGAGATTACAGGCGCGAGCCACCGCACCTGGCCAGAAATCCTGTGAAAACCACTTTCAAACTATATAAACTATCCAGCACGTCTCTCTTCAACCACACTGGTCCAGACAACCTCTTCTTGCCCAGAAGAATATGTGTTCTTCTTCAGACTCTTCCTGAATGGCTGCCAAAGTTATTATGTTGAATTAGTCATTCGGATTATGCACTCCTCTGCTCAAAACGCTCCAATGGCTTCCCATTCCACTCCGAATAAAAGCTAAAATCATTACAAGATCTTCAAAGCAGCCTTACAGGACTCGCTGTTGCAGCCACATTGGCCTCTTTGCTACTTCTTGAAAACCTCACACTGTCCTCTTTCTTTTTTTTTTTTTTTTTTTTTTGAGACAAAGATTCACACTGTCACCCGGGCTGGTGTGCAGTGGGGCGATCTCGGCTCACTGCAGCTGCCGGGTTCAAGCGATTCTCCTGCCTCAGCCTCCCGAGTAGCTGGGGCTACAGGCGTGCGCCACCACACCCAGCTAATTTTTGTATTTTTAGTAGAGACGGGGTTTCACTGTGTTGGCCAGGCTGGTCTCGAACTCCTGACCTCGTGATCCGCCTGCCTCAGTCTCCCATAGTGCTGGGATTATAGGCATGAGCCACGGCACCAGGCCAGCACTGTCCTCTTTCAGGTCTTTGCTTTGTCAATTCCTTTGGCCTACAATCTTTCCCCTAAGATACCGTAAAGCTTGAGCTCTCAATTTTCAAGTCTGTTTTCTAATGTCTCCTTCACAGTGAAGCTTTCTCTGGCCATCCTATTTCAAAATGCACTCTCTGCTCTCCTCCCTCATTTCGTTTTTACTGTAACCCTTATTACTATCTGATATACTAAAATTTTACTTGTTTATTTATTTGTTTACCTGCTTATTTATTGTGTGTCTCTCTGAATTAGTATGCAAAGTCCACAAGGGTATGGATTTTTCTTTATTTTGTTCACTGTCATACACTCAGTGCTTATAGCAGTTCCTAGGAAACACATAGTAGAAACTCACCAAATGATTACTGGATGCATGCAATGATGAATTTATTGAATACTTACTATCTTCTAGAGGTCAGGCTAGATCCTGAGTGTACAAAAGTGAGTGCAATATGGCATCTGCCTTCAAAAATTTACAATCTAACTAAGGATGCAAGTGCATAAATAAACAAGCACAGTAGAGTACGATGCCTGCCATAAAGAGAATGCATGGCTGTAGCACAGAGGAATTGATTTGTGAGGCTCAAGGACTGCACTGCAGATTGAGAGGAGTAAGAGGAAGTGAAGGGATACTACTTTAGGGGCCCTTTCTTGTCACCCAGTCCCCATCTATTATCTGTGTAGCTGCTGCAATGCAAACGTACTCTAAATGGCAATGTAAAGCTGTGTTCCAGTGGCTCATCATCTTACACACCTACACCTGCAGTGAGAATTCAAACTCTTCAGCATGGTATATAAGACTTGTCATAATCTGACTTCCTGTCCAAATCTATTTGCCATTCTCCTTCAAAGAGCCTTTCCCTCTAACTAGACTATTGGGAACAAAATGTGTTCTCAACATTTTTAGCTTGTCTTTGTTCCTTGAATGCCCTCCCCCACAAAATGGTCTGACATGTTTCAAGAGCCAAATAAAATAGAATCAATTCTACTAAAGGCTTTCTTTCTTTTCTTTCTTTCTTTTTTTTTTTTTTTTTCTAAGGCAGGGTCTCACTCTCTTGCCCAGACTGGAGTGCAGTGGCACGATCTCGGCTCACTCTGCCTCCCAGGCTCAACCTCTGCTTCCCAGGCTCAAGTGATTCTCCTGCCTTGGCCTCCTGAGTAGCTGGGATTACAGGTTCACGCCACTACCACCTGGCTAATTTTTGTATTTTTAGTAGAGATGGGGTTTCACCATGTTGGCCAGGCTGGTCTGGAACTCCTGACCTCAAATGATCCACCCGTCTCAGCCTCCCAAAGTGCTGGTATTACAGGTGTGAGCCACCGCGCCCAGCCTATATGCATAAATTAAATGTGTACTAAACTATATGAAGTTGTATCATTTATAACCACTAATTTCTATTATCCTGATGAAGCCATGAGTTGAAAGTTCTATTCAAGTGTTTTTAAAGGTAAATACCACAATCAAATAGACCACAGTGATGGTTACAATCAAGATTCAAGACTGGGCATGGTGGCTCATGCCTGTAATCTCAAGACTTTGGGAGGCTGAGGTGGGCAGATCATTTGAGGCCAGTGGTTCAAGACCAGCCTGGGCAATATGAAACCCTGTCTCTACTGAAAATACAAAATTAGCCTGGCATGGTGGCACATGCCCGTAATCCCTAATCCCAGCTATTCGGGAGGCTGAGGCAGGAGAATCACTTGAATCCCAGAGGCGGAGGTTGCGGTAAGCCAAGATTGCACCGTTGTACTCCAGCCTGGGCAACAAGAGTGAAACTCAGTCTCAAAACAAAACAAAAATTAGCTGGGCATGGTGGCACATGCTGGTAGTCCCAGCTACTTGGGAGGCTGAGGCACAAGAATTGCTTGAACACAGGAGGCAGCGGTTGCAGTGAGCCAAGATCACTGCCACTGCACTCCAGCCTCGATGACAGAGCAAGACTCTGTCTAAAAAAAAAAAAGAAAAGAAAAAAAAATTCAAGCAACCATAGTCAGGCCAGATGAATTAGAAGCATACTTTATAGAATAGTATCTCTATATGACCTATTACTCCTTGAATATTTATTCAACAACTGAATAATTCAATACTCAATCGAGCAATCCTCCCACCTCAGCCTCCCAAATAGCTAGGACTAGAGGCTAATGCCACCACGCCTGGCTAATTTTGTATTTTCTTGCAGAAATGGGAGATAAATTCTCACTATGTTGCCCAGGCTGGCCTTGAACTCCTGAGCTCAAGTAATCCACCCACCTCGGCCTCCCAAAATGCTGGGATTACAGGAATGAGCCACTGCACCTGGCCACTGTATTAATTTTATCACATTCTCAAGAACCCTATGACTCAGGAGGCTGAAGCAGTAAGATCACTTGAGCCAGGAGTTCAAGACCAGCCTGGACAACATAGCAAGACCCTGTCTCCAAAAATCAGACCCCTATGAAATAAATTCTATTTTCTTCACCCATGAAGCTGAAGCTTTAGGGAGGTTTAAGTACCTTCAGTAGTCAACACATGGAGGACTTAATATCTGAACCCAGTCCTTTCCAAAGCCAAACTTCATTCTTTACTCTGCACTTCTGCTTCTGTGTTATGTGTCTAGATGATTTCATTTCACAGGCATTTATAGCTGAATTGAGGGTACTCTTTTTCACCACATGTATATGTTTTTTGATAGTAATCTATGTATTAGGAATCATGGTTGGTCACAGAAATTATCTAGCTCATTTATAATTGTTAACTTATTAAGATTAATACATTGACTGATAATAATGTTTGAGTTCAAGTTGTTAGCTTGAGCCGGTGTACAGCAGACTGGTGTTTAATGACATAACATGCTTTTGTGAAAACAGACCAGTTGTAAGACCATTATCAGCAACTCATGAGGGAAGATTCCAAGAAGAAGCTGACAAGACTTAGAAATTTCCCTGGGTATTACGGACTTTATTTCAAGTGAAATGCAAAGCAATTAAGTTTCTTTTAACTGAATTCCTTAATTATACATAATTGTTACTCTTATTTACTTTTTATTTAAAAGTCAAGAACCATGATTTCTTGCAACTATACAAAAATACTAGTGAAAATGGAAAAAACATTGGAAGATGATAGGCCAAAAAATATATATATATATATATATATTTGGTCCAAGAATAGTAGGAAAAACAGGATGAGTTTTTTCCATTTATTAAAAATTTCATATCATTTTAGTTTTTCTTTACTTTTCTTTCTTTTTTTTAAGACAGGGTCTCATTCTGTCACCCAGGCTAGCGTGCTTCCACTTCCTCAGGCTCAAGCGATCCTCGCACCTCAGCCTCCCAAGTAGCTGGGATTACAGGCATGCACCATCATGCCTGGCTAACTTTTGTATTTTTCATAGAGACAAGGTTTCATCATGTTGCTTAGGCTGGTCTCAAACTCCTGGGCTCAAGCGATCCACCTGCCTGGGCCTCCCAAAGTGCTGGGATTACAGGCTAAGCCACCACAGCTGACAGTTTTCCATTTTTTAAAAGAAATAAATGTAAAATAAGCAACACCATTCTGAGATAATGTGATGTATTTACTGCATAAAAGAGCATAGTGAATTGTATTCTAATTTACAGTTTATGTGATATTATACAAGCCATTCAATTCTCTATACACAAGTAAAATATTTTTCCTATATATAAAGTAAATATTATAGTTAGAAATATGGAGTCTAAGATGTATATTTAAAATGTTTTCCTCTAAATTCAGCCAGTCCTGGTGGTTCACGCCTGTAATCTCAGCACTTTTGGAGGCCAAGGCAGGCAGATCATTTGAGGTCAGGAGTTCGAGACCAGCTTGTCCAACATAGTGAAACCCCGTCTCTAATAAAAATACAAAAATTAGCCGGGCATGGTGGCACATGGCTGTAGTCCCAGCTATCCCAGCTACTCTAGAGGCTGAGGCAAGCGGGCCGCTTGAACACGGGAGGCAGAGGTTGCAGTGAGCCGAGATCATGCCACTGCACGATCAAAAAATTTAAAATACAAAAATTTTTCTCCAGATTTCTCATTAATTTTAAAATAGGTATTTTTCCAGCCTGTTTTAGGGTAGAAGTACAATTTAGATGTGTCTTGGGTGATACTAATGTCTAAAGCAAACTTGTTTTCAGTCCACCATCTTGTATTCTTTATTTTATTTTATTTTTTTGAGACGGAGCCTCGCTCCGTCACCCAGGCTGGAGTGCAGTGGCGCGATCTCGGCTCACTGCAAGCTCCGCCTCCTGGGTTCATGCCATTCTCCTGCTTCGGCCTCCCGAGTAGCTGGGACTACAGGTGCCCGCCACCACGCCTGGCTAATTTTCTGTATTTTTAGTAGAGATGGGGTTTCACCGTGTTAGCCAGGATGGTCTCGATCTCCTGACCTCGTGATCCGACCACCTCGGCCTCCCAAAGTGCTGGGATTACAGGCGTGAGCCAACGCACCCGGCCTATTTTTTATTCCCTTAAACCAACACCCTCTTCTTCCACTACAAACCCTATTCAACCCACTCTATTCCTTAGGTATCCAGTGCTTTCACCTTTTAGAAATCTCCCCATTCCTGACCAAAAAAGAAAAAAAAAAAACCACCTAGGAAAATAGACGGAAAATCCCTGAATGGACTCCATAACAAAACTCTACACGTTATCCCCATGCCCTCTTCCTCCAGTAGGTTCCATTGAGGGAAAACACCTATTCTAGGTTGAATTGTATCTTCAAAGAGGTATGTTCAAATCCTACTCAGTATCTTTGAATGTGACCTTATTGGAAATAGGATCTTTGTAGGTGCAATCAAGTTAAGATGAGATCATGCGGGACAGGGTGGGCCTTAATCCAATGATTAGTGTCCTTTTAAGACAAGAGAAATTTGAGCACAGAGAAGACACATATGGAGAATGCCATGTGACAATGGAGGCGAAATTGGAGTGATGTGTCTTCAAGCCAAGTGATGCTAAGGGTCGCCGGCAACCACTGAAAGTTAGAAGAGAGACAAGGAGGGATCCTCCCCCGGAACCTTCAGAGAGAGCATGACCCTGCAGACTTCTGAACTCCAGAACTGTGAGACAACAAATTTCTGTTATTTGAAGCCCTGCAGCTTGTGGAAATTTGTTACAATAGACCTAGAAAACGAATATACCACCCAAACCTACAAGGTCTGTGTGGAATCACCATTTATTTGGGTGAAGTGAGGAAAAAAATGTGGTATCTGAAAAGAGAAAATAAGAGATGGAGGATCCCAAAGTCTGTGTAAAAAAGGATCCCTAAGTCACTGACAGGCACTCACTGAGAACATCAGCTCAAATCAGGAAGGATTCTGCTGTATCCAGTTTATAACTGTGTGCAAGAGGTCGTGATAGGATATGGTCTAATAATGTCTAATAATACTTGAGAAATCCAACCTGCATAAAGCTAGCCACGAGGCCAGGCACGGTGGCTCATGCCTGTAATCCCAGCACTTTGGGAGGCCAAGACAGGTGGATCACCTGAGGTCGGGAGTTCGACACCATCCTAGCCAACATGGTGAAATCCTGTCTCTACTAAAAATACAAAAATTAGCCAGGCATGGTGGCACACGTCTACAATCCCAGCTATTCAGGAGGCTGAGGTAGGAGGATTGCTTGAACCTGGGAGGAGGAGGAGGAGGAGGATGCAGTGAGCCAAGATCGCATCACTGCACTCCAGCCTGGGCGACAGTGTGACATCCCATCTCAAAAAAAAAAAAAAAAACAAAAACTAATACACCAAAGATCCGTGCTTTGAACTCCTTCTGGTCAGAGGAATCAAAGAAAGGGCTCAGGAAAATCAGAGCATTCAGAGAGGGAAGGGAGAATCCCAGAAAAGATAAAATGAGAGATGGAGGATCCCAAAGTCTGTGTAAAAACTCTGCCAAGTCTCTGGCTCACCTTGGGATCGTGCAAGAACAGAACCAGCTGAAGGCAGTCTGAACTGAGATCTGAGGTACCTCCCACACAGAGTCAGTGAGTTGAACCAAGTTAATTGCCAACTAAAACATAAATATCAACACTTGGAGGAAAATAGCAGAATCCATAATGTCCAGAATACAACGCAAAATTACCCAGTAATAGCAAAACTAACAAGAAACATCAGAAGCTTACATAAGAAAAACTATAAAACCTTCCTGGAAGACACAAAGATAAACTTAAATAAATATACACATTCATGTTCTTGGATAGGAATACTCAATATCATGAAGAACTTTTCTCTTCATTAACTTATCAATTCAATGCAATGTCATTAAAAATTCTATTATGTTTTCTCCTGGAACTAGACATGTGGTGTATAAAACGCATTTGGGAGAATTAAACAACCAAGAAGACAAAATAGAGCAATGGGTGGAGATGGCAGTGCCAAATATTAAAATATACTCCAAAGCAGTGATTCTCAACCAGGGACTATTTTGCCCCCCAGTGTTTGGAGACATTTTTCATTGTCATAGCCAGGAGTGGGAGTAAGGGTAGAGACAGGGGGCACTACTGGATTTTAGTAGGTAGAGGCCAAAGATTACACAGACCAGCCCTCAACAGCAAAGAATTATCTGGTCCAAAATGTCAATGGTGTTGAAGTTGAGAATCTAGGCACTAAATCTTCTCTAATTAAACCATCTTGGTATTGGCGCATGAGTAGATGGGCCAGTGGAACAGAATAGAAAATCCAGAATTAGATCCACTTGTATTTTTAATTTAGTATACTTTAATAAAGGCACATTGTGCCAGGCACAGTGGCTCACGCCTGTAATCCCAGCACTTTGGGAGGCCAAGGTGGGCAGATCACCTGAGGTCAGAAGTTCGAGACCAGCCTGACCAATATGGTGAAAACCCCTCTCTGCTAAAAATACAAATTATTTTTAAATTTTAAAAATTAGCGGGGTGTGGTGGTGGGCGCCTGTAGTCCCATCTACTTGGGAGGCTGAGACAGAATTGCTTGAACCTGAGGTTGCAGTGAGCTGAGATCGTGCCACAGCACTCCAGCCTGGGCGACAGAGCGAGACTCCATCTCAAAAACAAACAAACAAACACAAACAAACAAACAAAAAAAACCCAGCACATTGCAAACTCATGGGGGAAAGATCAACTTTTAAGTACCAAATATAGTGATATGTGGATAGCTATATAAAAAATGTTAAAAGTTGGACCCATTCTTCAGACATACTTTAGAATAAATAAAAAATAGATCAGCTATTTAAATGCAAAAAAAGAAACATAATATACATACAGAAATTTTTGTTCAACATATAAAGCCAACTTTATAAATTATAATGAACACCCACTATCCACGTTAATAAGTAAAATATTGCTCTCACTACAGAAGCCGCTCCTCTATGGTAACTTTCTAATCACAACCCTTTCCCTCACTCCATAGGTACTCATTATCCTAATGTTTTGACCTTTATTTTTATTTATTTATTTATTTTTTTGTGATGGGGTCTCACTCTGTTGCCCAGGCTGGAGTGCAATGGCGCTATCTTGGCTCACTGCAACCTCCACCTCCAGGACTCAAGCCATCATCCCACCTCAGCTCCCAGAGTGGCTGGGATTGTAGGCATGTGCCACCACGCCCAGCTAATTTTTGTATTTTTAGTCGAGATGGGGTTTCGCCATGTTGCCCAGGCTGATCTCAAACTCCTGTACTCAAGTGATCCACCCACCTCGGCCTCCCAAATTACTGGGATTACAGGTGTGAGCCACCACGCCCAGTCTATGATATTCTGACTTCTAGGGAAATCGCTCTCTTGGATTTCTTTATATCTCTAAGAATCTAAATACAACTGTTGAGTTTTGCCCTTTATCATATTTTATATAAATGAAAGCATGCTATATCTCTTTTTATGTATCTTGCTTTTGTGTCTTTTAATCAAGATTATGTTTGCGTAATACTTCTATGTTGGCATGTGTGACTATAGTTCGTTTTGGGTTTTTTTGTTTTGTTTTCTTTTTGAGATAGAGTCTCCTTCTGTGACCTAAGCTGGAGTGCAGTGGTGCAATCTCAGCTCACTGCAACCTCCGCCTCGCCAATTCAAGCGATTCTCCTGCCTCAGCCTCCTGAGTAGCTGGGATTACAGCTGCCCACCACCATGCCCGGCCAATTTTTGTATTTTTAGTAGAGATGGCATTTCACCATGTTAACCAAGCTGGTCTCAAACTCCTACCTAAGGTGATTCACCCAGCTAGGCCTCCCAAAATTCTGGGATTACAGGCATGAGCCACCGCACCCAGCACATTTTGTTTTTTTAATAATATTCTTTTTATGGATTTGTTTATCCAGTATACTGTTGATACATAGTTGGGTTGTGTCCAGATTTTGGCTCTTATAAATAATTACACTATGAACATCCTTGTATATGTGTATGGTGTTATGTCCATGCCTTGTTCCAAATTATATAAGAGCATCTTGGGTACATGTATGTCTATGTAAATTCTTGAAAAGAATGTGCATTCCACTGTGGTTGCAAGCCATGGTCTATAAATGTCCATTAGTTCAAGTTTTGTTAATCATGTTGTTCAAATCTTCTGTATCTCTCTGTTCCGACATTTTAATGTGTTTGTTCCATCAATTACTGAAACAGTTGTTTTCGTTTTGTTTTTATAATATAACTTACAGATTTTTTTTCTTCTTCTTTTGGTTCTTTTTTTTCTTTATATATATATATTTTTTTGTTTGTTTGTTTGTTTGTTTTTTGAGACAGAGTTTCACTCTTGTTGCCCAGGCTGGATTGCAATGGTGCGATCTCGGCTCACCGCAACCTCCACCTCCTGGGTTCAAGCGATTCTCCTGCCTCAGCCTCCTCAGTAGCTGGAATTACAGGTATGCGCCACAATTCCCGGCTAATTTTGTATTTTTAGTAGAAACGGGGCTTCTCCATTTTGGTCAAGCTGGTCTCGAACTCCCGACCTTAGGTGATCCGCTCGCCTCGGCCTCCCAACGTGCTGGGATTATAGGCGTGAGCCATCGCACCTGGCTCTTTATATGTTTTTAGGCTGTATTATTAGCTGCATATAAAATGTAAAATGATTACCTTCCTTTTAAATTGAGTGCTTAATCCTAATGAAGCAACCCACTTTATCCCTAGTGTACTAATCCTTTCTGTCTTAAAGTCAACTTTCTCTGATATCAATATGGCTACCCCAGCTTCACTGTGGTTAAAACAATCTGATGCATATGATCGTATTTATCTTCTTATTTGCCTTCTTGGGATTTACCAAGCCACTTAAATCTGTGGATTGGTACCTTCACCAATTTTGGAACACTTTCAGCCATTATCTCTTCAAATATTGCCTCCATTACTTTTCCCTTTTCCTTCTATAATTGATCAAATGTGTTAGGCTTCTCCACATCTCTTAAGCTGTCTTCTGTATTTTGCATATTTTTTTCTTCTGAGCTGAAATTCTGAGTAATTACTTCAATCTTCTCATTAACTAATTCCACTACCTTGTTTTATCTGTTTCCTAACATATCTGTTGAGTCTTCATTTTAGCTATTACATTTTTTATTTTGAGACAGTCTGGGTCTGTTTGGTTATTTTTCTAATCTTCAAGGTCAGTCTTGTAGGTTCATGCTGCCTGCAAATATGCCCAAGCTTTCGTCACTTATTCCTTTGAGCACATTGAGGATATTTGTTTTATAATCTGTATGTGGCCATTTGTGGGACTGTTTCTGCTGTCTCTGTTTCTGCTGGTTTGAGTTCATGTTGCCTTGTTACCTGTATCTGGGTTATCATCATTGATGGAGCGCTGGCCATTGTCCTTGAAAAACTCTGTGAGGATTCTTCAGTGCTTATGATGATGGTAGCCTCTTCCTGAGAGATCTGTTATTTTATCTGCAAGTACTTGAGTGAACTACCAATTGGGAACCATCTCAAACCAACTTCAAGGCTTGGGAGTCCCCATCCCATCTCAGTTGGGCATACCTAGAGTGCAGATCTGCTGGTTTGTAGCCTTATCATGTCAAGAATAATAATTTTGTCCAGGCGTGGTGGCTCACGCCTGTAATCCCAATAATTTGGGAGGCCAAGGAGGGCAGATCATGAGGTCAAGAGATTGAGACCATCCTGGCCAACATGGCAAAACCCTGTCTCTACTAAAAATACAAAAATTAGCAGGGTGTGGTGGTATGCACCTGTAGTCCCAGCTACTTGGAAGGCTGAGGCAGGAGAATCGCTTGAAACCGGGAGGCGGAGGTTGCAGTGAGCTGAGATCATGCCACTGCACTCCAGCCTGGCGACAGAGTGAGACTCCATCTCAAAAAAAAAAAAAAAAAAAAAAGAATAGTAATTTTATCTCTATCCCATTTTCTTCTCTTCCATACCAAGGGAATATTTATGCCAATGCAACTCTGTGGCTGGGATGCTGGATAGGTCAGTTGTAGTTTAATTTACCCCGAGAGTGTATCCTTTGGGAATCCTGGCTATTATATGGAGGGAGAGAGACTTCTAAGACCCCCTACTTTAGATGTGCTTTGGCCTTGACTTCTGCCTCTCCATTCCCCTACTTAAGGCCATGGGACTGAAGCCCAGCTCTGACATAAAGCTTGGCTAAATTTTTTTAAAATAAAAATTAGATAAAAAATCAAATAAGAGAATCAACTTTTTTTTTTCTGCCACCTACAATTAACTACTATTTATTGGCTGGGCACCGTGGCTTACATCTGTAATCCCGGCACTTTGGGAGGCCAAGGCGGGTGGATCACTTGAGTCCAGGAGTTCGAGACCAGCCTGACCAACATGGCAAAACCCCATCTCTACCAAAAAAAAAAAAAAATACAAAAAGTTAGCTGGGCATGGTGGAGAGGGCCTGTAGTCCCAACTACTCAGGAGGCTGAGGTGAGAGGATCACCTGAGCCACAGGAGGTCCAGGCTGCAGTGAGCCATGATCACACCATTGCACTCCAGCCTGAGAGAAAGTGAGACCCTGTCTCAAAAAAACAAACAAACAAAAACAGCAAAAATAAACAACAACAACAACAAAAAAACCCACTACTATTTATTTGCTTATTTTTATTTATTTATTTATTTAGAGATGGGTTATCACCCTGTCCTCTAGGCTAGAGTGCAGTGGTGCAATCATAGCTCACTGCAGCCTTGACCACACACCACAACGTCCGGCTAATTTTTTTTAGTTTCCTTCCTTCCTTCCTTCCTTCTTTGCTTTCTTGCTTTCTTTTTTTAAAAGACAGGTTCTTGCTATGTTACCCAGGCTGGCCCTGAACTCCTGGCCCCAAGGGATCCTCCCACCCCAGCTTCCCAAGTAGTCAGGATTACAGATGCAAACCACCTCACCTGGCTAATTAACTACTATTTATGTCTTCTCATATTTGTTTTGCTATATTATTTTTTAAATTATACATGTTCTTTTGAAATAAGTTAGAAAAGGAAGAAATATAAAAATATGAACATTTAAATACTTGTGTTGTCAACATTAAACATCATTCTAGATACCACGAATGCACATGCAACTCTTTGTGCATATGTGCTGATAAAAGGTCAATGATGGGCCGGGCGCAGTGGCTCACACCTGTAATCCCAGCACTTCAGTAGGCCGAGGAGGGCGGATCACGAGGTCAGGAGATCGAGACCATCCTGGCTAACACGGTGAAACCCCATCTCTACTAAAAATACAAAAAAAAAAGTTAGCTGGGCGTAGTGGCGGGCTCCTGTAGTCCCAGCTCCTCGGGAGGCTGAGGCAGGAGAATGGCATTAACCCAGGAGATGGAGCTTGCAGTGAGCCGAGATCATGCCACTGCACTCCAGTCTGGGTGACAGAGCGAGACTCCGTCTCAAAAAAAAAAAAAAAGATCAATGATGGATGGATGGAGGGTTAAAAAGAGAAAGATCAAAATGCTTTTGTAAAAATGTTAACTATAAATGCTGTGACTATAAAAATGGGCTGGGTGTGGTGACTCACGCCTGTAATCCTCGCACTTTGATAGGCCGAGGCAGGTGGATCACCTTAGTTCAGGAGTTTGAAACCAGCCTGGCCAACATGGTGAAACCAAGTCTTTACTAAAAATACAAAAAAAAGTAGCCGGGCATGGTGGCACATGGCTGTAATCCCAGCTACTTGGGAGGCTGAGGCAGGAGAATTGCTTGAACCTGAGAGGCAGAGACTGCAGTGAGCCGAGATCACGCCACTGCCCTCCAGCCTGGGCGACAGAGAGAGACTGTCTCAAAAAAAAAAAAAAACCTATAAAAATGATAACTAAAATGTTAAATTTTCTTGAATTTAGTATAACAAAAATAAAAGGAAGTGAAATTGTTGAATTTCTTGTGTCTTTTCACCACGGATGAACTCATTTCCTAAAATTTGTCTGTAGGTTAATTTTTTTTTTTTTTTTTTTTTTTTTGAGACAGAGTCTCACTCTGTCTGTTCCCCAGGCTGGAGTGCAGTGGCGCGATCTCAGCTCACTGCAAGCTCCGCCTCCCGGGTTCACGCTATTCTCCTGCCTCTGCCTCCCGAGTAGGTGGGACTACAGGCACCCACCACCACGCCCAGCTAACTTTTTTTTTTGTATTTTTAGTAGAGACAGGGTTTCACCGTGTTAGCCAGGATGGTCTCGATCTCCTGACCTCGTGATCCGCCCGCCTTGGCCTCCCAAAGTGCTGGGATTACAGGTGTGAGCCACCGCGCCCGGCGGTTAATTTTTTTTTTAAGGAACAAGTGTAAACAATAGAAACATTAAGATATTGGAGTCATTATGCTTTTTAGAAAACATAATATGCTTCGATTTTAGACAGTATGTATAGTCTGTCTTCTGTGAAAGAGTAAAATATTCTTTCTTTTCTCTTCCCTGTTATATCATTTTTACTTCATCCAGTTTATTGCATTCACATTAACTTCCTTGACTACAACTGTCATGGCTGTTTTTGCTCTATATTCAGATGAACTCAAAGTTATCACAGTATTTTCACTTCTTGCTTCTTTGTTTTTGAATTCTTTTTTGAGACATGAATGTTTGTTGTCAAGCATTCAGAAGGGCACCTGGGGGCTAATTCCCTAAGTCATTTCATGTTTGAGAATATGATCTTATAAATGGAATGACAATAACTGCAATTGAATATTCCTGGCAATACCTTCGTTCCATAAAAGCTTTGTAGGTTAATAATTCTCAAACTTCAATATGCAAAGGGAATTTTCTGGGGGCTTGCTGAAAATGTAGATTCAGTAGGTCTGGCACTGGGCCTGAGATTCTACATTTTTAACAAGCTTCCAGGTAATGTTCATGCTACTGATCTGCAGACTCCGCATTGAGTAGCATGTTTGTGGACTTTGCTTTATCATCTTTGGACTCCAAAGGCTGTTATAGAGAAGTCTAACACCAACTTTTTCTCTGTCCTCTTGAAGGTGATTTGCTTTTTCTACCTGGATGCCTAGAGAATTCTTCTATCATTGAGATTCAGTCATCATGTTGAATTTGAGCCTTCTTTATCAGACTTTCCTAGGAAAAAACTGTGTCCTTGTAAATTGAGAGATGAAGTTTTTTCTAGATGTATAGGATATTCTCTTGAAGTCTATTTTTAAATACATCTCCTATACCATCTGATGGGGTCTCTATTTCAGGGAAAGAAATTATTTTTATTGGATTATTTTAGTCTGTGTCCTGGATCTCTCTTTTAAAAAAAAAAATTTTTTTTTTTTTTTAGAACCTGGATCTCACTATGTTGCCCAGGCTGTTCTCAAACTCCTGGCCTCAAGCAATCCTCTGGCCTCGGCCTTCTAAAGTGTTGGGATTACAGGTGTGAGCCACAGTGCCCAGCCATGTGTCCTGAATCTTCTCGACTTCATTTATTGCTTCATTCTCTATATTCTTTATATTCATTTACGTTGATTATCTAAAGCCTTTCCTCTATGTCAGTAATTCAATTCTCAATAGTATATATTTTGTTATTTGTTATTTCAGATTTTTTAAATTTGGTGGTGTAATTACGTTGTTTTGAATCTTGTAATGCTTTTCCTTGGGTGAATATTATCCCTTTTTATATTGTTGTTGACCTATGATTTCCTTTAAGGTGGCTGTTTGCCTCTTTCATGCTACATTCCCTCTTCGCCCATAGGATACTTATATTGTTACCAAGCTATTGCTTTTGCTAAGATTCGCATGGCTCTACCTGGACCTCGTGTTTGTCCTGATATAGTACAGGTGACTTCTTGTCTCTTTTTCTACAGTGCATGTCATCTGTTTATTCACCTTTTGCGTCATTCCACTCGATTTGTGTGGCCCTGAGTTTTATATCCATTGGAGACTGAGCCTCCTTGTTCATTCCTCTATCTCGCCCCTGCCCCTTCAACAATAGTTTTTACTAATCTTCAGTTCAAAGAGAAAAAAAGCAAATGAACCAACTCAATTTGATTGTCCCCAGATTTGGGGGAGGATTCTTTCCAATATGCCTTTTGGCAGTAGGAGGTTGGGGTGAGGGCGGCATAGGAACAAGGTTTAGAGACAAGCACTTCTCTGTTTCTCGTTATAGACTTGTCCATCTCTTTCTCTGTTGACCCCTTTCACTTTTGGATCACAATTGCTGATGCCTTTTCTCCCCCCAGTGATCCTTTAGAAATTTAAGGCAGGTGATATCGCCCCATGGTTTCAAATTCTCCAGTAGCTCCCTATTTCATTGAGATTGAAAATCAAAGACTTCTGACTGGCTCACTGGGCCCACAAGGATCTGCCTCCATCCTTACCCCATTACTTTTCTGCCTTTGTCCACTTTTCTTGACCTTGCTCATTCTGCTGAGGCCAGCTGACCTCCTATTCTTCAAGCAGGGGCGTTTACTTGCCTCAGGGTTTTCTACCTGAAACATTCTCCCCTCCCCCCACCCCACCCCACATGCTTAGGGCTTGCTCCTTCCCCTCCTTGTCTTTGCTCAAACATCACCTCAAACTGACCTCTGACCAAACTATTTAAAACTGCAGCCCTCAGCCCTTTCCCTGCTTGATGTTTTCATTTTTCTCCTAGCACCTACCACTTTCCAATACACCATGTCATTTACTTCATTTCATTCCCTGTCCCCCTCTCCTGCTCTGATCCTCACCCCCTCCCAAGGTGAGCTTCCCAAGGACAGAGAATTTCCTGGCTGTAATAGTACCTGGCACCTAGTCAGTATTTAATAAATGTTGGTTGCATTTCTTTATTTGTTTTGGGGACTAAACTCAAAAGATTTTGGGGGCAAAAAATAAAAAAAAAATTTTATCTTGCCCAAGTTCCTATCTAAGGAGTCTGGGGAGTCATGCCCTAAAAAGTCATAAATTCAGATGGATTTTAGTTAACTCTATATATCATGATTTACTTTCCAAACTGACTCTGGCATAACATTACAAGACAAAGAAAAAAATCAAAATATTTTACCCCAGAACATGTTTATTTGCCATATTTTGAAATGGCCCTGGCCGGGCGCAGTAGCTCACGTCTGTAATCCCAGCACTTTGGGAGGCCGAGGCAGGCAGATCACTAGGTCAGGAGTTCGAGACCAGCCTGGCCAATATGGTGAAACCGTGTCTCTACTAAAAATACAAAAATTAGCCAGGCATGGTGGGGCGCGCCTGTAGTCCCAGCTACTCCAGAGGCTGAGGCAGGAGAATCACAGAAGAGTCGCTTGAACCTGGGAGGCAGAGTTTGCAGTGAGCCGAGATAGTGCCACTGCACTCCAGCCTGGGCGACAGAGCGAGACACCATCAAAAAAAAAAGAAAAAAAAGAAGAAAGAAGAAGAGGAAGAAGAAGGAGAAGGAGAAGGAGAAGGAGAAGAAGAAGAAGAAGAAGAAGAAGAAGAAGAAGAAGAAGAAGAAGAAGAAGAAGAAGAAGAAGAAGAAGAAAAGAAAAAAAGAAATGGCCCTGCAAAGCTGTTCTTTGTAGGGGAAAATTTGTATCTGTAAAGAATCTCTATTAACATAGCTAGATCTTTTTCTTCCAGATCCTCCCAATCCTAAAGAGATTAACTAAGATCTGAGCAGGAAACATTTGTCATCTATTGTCTCTAAAGGCAGCCACTATAAAACTTCAAAAGAACTTTGGTCTCCACAGTCTCTATCTTGAACATTCCCTTTCTGTCTATCCCAGGTCTTTAGACAAACCCAACCAATTGTCAGCCAGAAAATGTTTAAATTCACCTATTGCCTGGAAGCCCCCCACTACTTTGAGTCGTTCCACCTTCTGGACCAAACCAATGTATTTCTTTCTTTTTCTTTTCTTGTTTTGTTTCGTTTTGTTTTGAGACGGAGTTTCGCTCTTGTTGCCCAGGCTGGAGTGCAATGGCGCGATCTTGGCTCACTGCAACCTCCGCCTCCCAGGTTCAAGTGATTCTCCTACCTCAGCTCCCTGAGTAGCTGGGATTACACCCATGCGCCACCACGTCCAGCTAATTTTTTGTATTTTTAGTAGAGACGGGGTTTCTCCATGTTGGTCAGGCTGGTCTCAAACTCCCGACCTCAGGTGATCATCCCGCCTTGGCCTCCCAAAGTGCTGAGATTACAGGCATGAGCCACTGCACCTGGCCTAATGTATTTCTTAAATGTATTTGATGTCTCAAGCCTCTCTAAAATGTATAAAACCAAGCTGAGCCCCGACCACCCTGGGCACATGTTCTCAGGACCTCCTGAGGGCTGTGGCATGGGCCATGGTCACTCAAATTTGGCTCAAAATAAATCTCTTCAAATATTTTACAGAGTTCAACTCTTTTTGTCAGCAGTTTGCATGTTTATTTTGCTCATCCTAGTATTCAGGAGAGATGTTCTTTGAAGACATTTCTATTGCCACTTTCACCCTTCTCATTTCATCTTACAACCTATTTAATGTATTTCAATGAAGCCCAATCTTGTTCCTAGAAAACCTGTTGGAGTATGTTATAAGCTTGTAATCAGGAAGCCTTCCTCTTTATCCAAACCATATCTTGAATGCTAGCCAGCTCAGATTTCTTTGCTCAATGGAATAATATAGAAACACATACAGAAAGAAAATATTCTTCACTTATCTGCACTGCAAAGTCTGTTTATTTTTGTGATAAGTTAGGCTTGGAGACTTTTAAAAAATATGACAGTTGGACAATTATTTTTATATCTATTTATTTATTTATTTTGAGCCAGGGTCTCACTCTGTCTTCCAGGCTAGAGTGCAGTGGCACAATCACGGCTCACTGCAGCCTCAAACTCCGGGGCTCAGGTGATCCTCCCACCTCAGCCTCCTGAGTAGCTGGGACTTCAGGTGTGTGCCACCATGCCCAGCTAATTTTTTTTAAATTTTGGTGAGTTTTGCCATGTTGCCTAGGCTAGTCTCAACCTCCTGAGCTCAAGCAATTCGCCTGCCCAGGCCTTCCAAAGTGCTGGGATTACAGGTGTGAGCCATCGCACCTAGCCTGGAAGTTAATTTTTACTCCCTTACTTTGACTCTTATTTGCCCTTTCCCCTTATATTTCCCCCCATGGTGACAAAAGCCATATTATTAATTAATCTGCAACAAGTGAGTGATCTCTGTAAGTGAGAGAACTGTGAACAGTGGGAAGATGGTTCCCTTCAAACTCCACTGCATATATTTCCAGGAGTTTTTCCTGAGCCTCTGCACCCCTAGGCACTTCAGGTAGTAATAAATCTCTGCTAGCCCCTTTGCGGATTTCAAAAGCATTTAATATGAAATCAAAACATGGTTTTAAGTGAGATATCAATACTTGAACATTGATAACACAATATATGTATTTTAATGAAATGTAAGTCTTTCTCTTAAGTCTACTGTGGTCTTCACTATTTTTAAACCATCTCAGCTAAATCTTTTATGTTATTGTATTTTTAATTCTGGTTTGATCCCTGGAGGTGAAGGCTACAGTGAACCACGATTACACCACTGCATCTCAGCCTGGGTGACAGAGCAAGACCCTGTCTTTTTATAAAGAGAGAAAGAGAGAGAAAAAGAGAAAGAGAAAGAGAGAAAGAAAAAGGAAAGAAAGAAAGAAAGAGAGAAAAGAAAGCAAGAAAGAGAGAGAAAGAAAGAAAAGAAAGCTGTGAAGATGATACTTGTTAACCAGAATGAAAGCTCATTTGGTCAGTAGATTAAATACAAATAATAATTCTATCATTATGTCTCAGGCAGTGTGCTATAAGTGATTATTACGTGTCATCTTATTTCATCCTTACAGTAATCTGTTTTGGGTAAATTTTAGGATAATTTCTGGCTGGGTGCAGTGGTTCATACCTGTAATCCCAGCACTTTGGGAGGCCGAGGTAGGGGATCCTTTGAGCCAAGGAGTTCAAGACCAGCCTGGGCAACATGGCTAAAACTTTGTCTCTACAAAAAATACAAACATTAGCCAAATGTAGTGGCATGTGTCTGTGGTCCCAGCTACTCTGGAGGCTGAGGTGGGAGGATTGCTTGAGCCCAGGAGGTGGAGGTTGCAGTGAGCCATGATCATGCCACTGCACTCCAGCCTGGGTGACAGAGCAATATCTTGTCTCAAAAAAAAAAAAAAAAAGGATAATTTTTTCTTTTCCTCCCAGATTATGTGTACATAAAGGATACTTTTTAGAAAGGTTAAAATCATGACTCAAATACAAACATAAAATGAACACGTGCAAGATTTTATTTAACTTATTAATTAATAAGGCAATGAATAAGATGTTAGAACTGAGTCAAAGGAGAATTCAAAGACTACACATGTATAGGTATTAGGAATGCTGGAGTGAATAAATAAATGTAAATGTAAAACAAGTTAATATCCAAAGGCAATGTTCAATTGCATATCAGTGAACACAATTTGCATTTCTGCAGATAAGAATCATTTGTATCACTATCTGTATTTTATATCTTACGGAGTTATAAAATAGCTCAAAGACAATGAAAGGTGGAGATAGCCCAAAGGGTGTTCTAGACAGGACACTCAGTACTCTTTGTCCATTTCAAAGTAAGAAAGGAGTTCAGCAAGACTGGTTTCACAAAGTACAGGTCACGAAAGCCCTGCTGATAAAACAGGATGCGGTAAAGAAGGCAGCCAAAACCCAGATGGCAATGAAAGCAACCTCTGGTCGTCCTCACTGCTCATTATATGCTAATTATAATATATTAGCCTACTAAAGGAAACTCCCACCAGCCCCAAGACAGCTTACAAATGCCATGACAACATCCAGAAGTTACCCCACATGGTCTGAAGGGGAGGGACCCTCAGTTCTAGGAATTCCCCACCCCTTTCCTGGAAAAGTCATGAAAAATCCACCCCTAGTTTAGCATATGATCAAGAAATAATCATAAAAATAGCCAACCAGCAGCCTTCAGGGTTGCTCTGCCTATAGATTAGCCACCCTTTTATTCCTTTACTTTCCTAATAAACTTGCTTTCACTTTATTTCATAAGCTCACTCTTGAATTCCATTCTATGCAAAGCCAAGAACCCATGCAGCCTCCCAGGCTGAACCCCAATGTTGGGGTTCACCATATGACAAAAGAAGTCTTTCACTGTTGTTCTAACTTTATAGATTTTAGAACTCAATACACAGCCTGGCCACAATGACAAGTCCCCATCTCTACAAAAAATTAAAAAATTAGCTGGAAGGCCGGGCACTGTGGCTCACACCTGTAATCCCAGCACTTTGGGAGGCCAAGGCAGGCAGATCACCTGAGGTCGGGAGTTTGAGACCAGCCTGACCAACATGGAGAAACCCTGTCTCTACTAAAAATACAAAATTAGCCAGGCGTGGTGGCAGAAGCCTGTAATCCCAGCTACTTGGGAGGCTGAGGCAGGAGAATTGCTTCAACCCGGAAGGTGGAGGTTGTGGTGAGCCGAGATCGCGCCATCGGAATCCAGCCTGGGCAACAAGAGCGAAACTCCGTCCCCCAACCCAAAAAAAAAAAAAAATTAGCAGGGCATGGTGGCACGTGCCTGTGGTCCCAGCTACTCAGGATGCTGCAGTGGGAGAATGTCTTGATCTCTGGAGGTGAAGACTACAGTGAACCATGATTATACCATGGCATTTCAACCTGGGTGACAGAGCAAGACCCTGTCTTTTTATAAAGACAGAAAGAGAGAAAAAGAGAGAAAGAAAGAGAGAGAGAAGGAAGAAAGGAAGAAAGAAAGAAAGAAAGAAAGAAAGAAAGAAAGAAAGAAAGAAAGAAAGAGAGGAAGGAAGGAAGGAGGAAGGGAGGGGAAGGAAAGAAAGAAAAAGAAAGAGAGAAAGAAAGAAAGAAAGAAAGAGAGAAAGAAAGAAAGGAAAGAAAGAGAAGAGAAAGAGAAAGAAAGAAAAGAAAGAAAGAAGGAAAGAAGGAAAGAGAGAAAAGGAAGGAAGGGAGGGAGGGAAGGAGAGAAAGAAAGAAACTCGATACATAAAAATAAAAGATCAATTTAATATATACAAGATCTTTAATTTTTGGAAAACAAATGATAATCTTTAAATAAAGCAAATAGGCCAGGCACGGTGGCTCACACCTGTAATCCCAGGACTTTGAGAGGCCGAGGCAGGTTATCACTTGAGTCTAGGAGTTTGAGACCAGCCAGGCCAACATGAAGAAACCTCGTCTCTACAAAAAATACAAAAATTCGCTGGGCGTAGTGGCACATGCCTGTAATCCCAGGTACTTGGGAGGCTGGCTGAGGCATGAGGACCACTTGAACTGGGGAGGCGGAGGTTGCGGTGAGCTGAGATCGTGCCACTGCACTCCAGCCTGGATGACAGATGTCTCAAAAAAATAAAATAAATAAACATAAAATAAATAATAATAAAAAAAGCAAATAATCACAGAAATTAGATTTCAACCAAATAGTACAAATCAGTCTTCACAATTTATAGATGAAGATCAGTCCTCACATTTTATAGATGAAAGTATCCAAGGTTAAATAATTTGCCCCAAATCAGAAAGCTGGCTGCTGGCAGGGCTAAGAGAAGAACAGGGAAACTCGGGCTTTCTAGAGAATTATCAAAATAAACAGAAACAAAAAATTAAAAACTTTGTGTATTAAAATTACCTTTAAATATTTTACACTTAATGAATTACCCATCTAAGATAAGAATAAACTGAAGCAAACATCAGTTAGGAAAATTCCTAAGGTCATAGGGCTGGATAAAACCAGAGATTGTTTTGGTATCAGAAAACTTATTTTTGACAGGGTGCGGTGGCTCAAGCCTATAATCCCAGCACTTTGGGAGGTCGAGGTTGGAGGATCACTTGAGGTCAGGAGTTCAAGACCAGCCTGGCCAACATGGTGAAACCCCATCTCTACTAAAAATACAAAAATTAGCTGGGTGTGGTGGCACGCGCCTGTAATCCCAGCTACTCAGGAGGCTGAGGCAGGAGAACTGCTTGAACCTGGGAGGCGGAGGTTGCAGTGAGCCAAGACTGCGCCACTGCACTCCAGCCTGGGTGACAGAGTGAGAATCCATCTCAAAAAAAAAAAAAAAAGAAAAGCTATTTTTTTTTCCATCAGGGCAAATGTGCTGAACTCATATTGCTTAATTACATAATGATCATTTGTACAATTATAACCATTTTTAAATTACAAATATGTTCTCTATTGGGTTTTACTGACAAACTCAGTGTTTCTTTGATTTGATTGCAGCGTAAGCAAGGAAGCTTTTTCTGAGAAGATATACTCATTCACAGACATTTTCTTTTTAATTAAGTCAAAGTATTCCCTTGCCTTATAGATAACATTAACAAAGAGATTATTACTTCAATTACAGATGTGAAGGCTGATCTAGTAAATTAAGGATGTGCCTGACTTATTTATTTTTTTTTTTGAGATGGAGTTTCGCTCTTGTTGCCCAGACTGGAGTGCAATGGCGCAAACTCTGCTCACTGCAACCTCTGCCTCCCGGGCTCAAGTGATTCTCCTGCCTCAGCCTCCTGAGTAGCTGGGATTACAGGCGTGCACTACCATGCCCAGCTAATTTTGTATTTTTAGTAGAGACAGGTTTTCTCCATGTTGGTCAGGCTGGTCTAGAACTCCCGACCTCAGGTGATCCGCCCGCCTCAGCCTCCCAAAGTGTTGGGATTTCAGGCATCAGCCACCACGCCTGGCCAGTGTGCCTGACATTTAATCCAACAGATAGCTAAACTGAGTTCTACAATATTTAAATTGAAAATTAAGTCATTTAGTGGAGTGTGGTGAGGCATGCCTGTAATCCTAGCTACTCAGGAGGCTGAGGCATGAGAATTGCTTGAGCCTGGGAGGTGGAGGTTGCAGTGAGCCAAAATCACGCCACTGCACTCCAGTCTGGGTGACAGAGCAAGACTCTGTCTCAATAAAAATTAAAAAAAAATAATAATGTCATGTTCAGATTTGATTTATGTGTAAAAAATTTTTGTTAGAGTTAAGAGGCATTTTTCTCAGGTACTTGGGCTGCTGAAACACAAATATAGGCAATCAATGCAACTTCATTTAACATTCAGACACTTTAACAAGTGTGTAAGTATTGCAGACTCATGGATCTGCTTGTTCAGATTAGCATAACCAATATAACAATACAGTAAATACTACTGATAATAATATCTACAATAAATATATACAATATATAATATACAATAATATACACAATATATTGTATACAATAATTGTATATTATATATAATAAATAATATATAATAAATACCAATATTACCAATATAATAATGTATACAATGAATAACATATACAATAAATAATATATACAATAAATACCAATATTACCAATATAGTAATACAATAAATAGATACCATAACTTATTATTGTGAAAAATACGCAAAGGCTCCTGAGTCATACAGCTCTGTTCTTTGGACTTACCTGTTCTATGTCCCTATAGTTATAACCCTTAAGTTAGAGTGAAATAATCACTCTAACTTGGAGGAAGCATTTCTTCTTTGATTAGTCAGTGATCCGTCAGCAGTAGTTTGGGAGAAAGATTGTTTAACCATTCTATAACCTAAAGGCTGGCACACATCTGTTGTACAAAGAAAAGGAGTGTTGCAACCTTCCTTTGGAATAGAGATTGCCTGCTTTTGTGCTAATACATGTTTGGCTTAAAAATTATTTCTGTTGGCAAGGGCATAGGCTTTTCCAACATAGTGAGATTTTCTTTCCAGGTACATCTTACATTTGGAGAAAACATACACGTAGGAAGGACTGCTGTGAAGCCTTTTCACTGTACTTGTGATTTTGATTGACCTCTCTAGTACCAAATTGAATTTTAGACACCGCAATTTGAATTTTATATTGAAAACTTTGGGTCTGTAGGAGAAGAAAAACTATCATTAAAATTGCAAAGTGGGCCGGGTGTGGTGGCTCACACCTGTAAACCCAGCACTATTTTGAGGAGAGGAGGGCCCAGGGCAGATCGTTTGAGCTCAGGAGTTCAAGACTAGCCTGGGCAACATGGTGAGACCTTGTGCCCCACAAAATAAACAAAAGCTTAGCAGGGTGTGGTGGTGCATGCCTGTAGTCTCAACTACTTGGGAGGCTGAGATGGGAGCTTGAATCTGAGAGGCAGAGGCTACAGTGAGGTGAGATGGTGCCACTGTACTCCAGCCTGGGCAACAGAGTGAGACCCTGTCTCATTTCATCTTATCTCATTTCATAAAATAAAATAAAATTCCAAAGTGGATCTTGAGAATATAGAGTGTTTTATTCTGCTCAGGCTGCTATAACAAAATACCATAGGCTGCAGGGCTTCAACAATAGACATTTGTTAATATTTCTTCTGAAAGTTGGGAAGTCCAAGATTGAGGTGCTGGCAGATTCTGTGTCTAGTGAGGGCCACTTTCTGGCTCGTAGACAACCATCTTCTCCTTGTGTCCTCACATGGCAAAAGGAAAGAACTCTGACCATTTCAGAGTTCTGTGTAAAAGCACTAATCCCATTCATGAAGACTCCACTATCATGATGTAATTACTTTTCAAAGGCCCTGCCTCCTTATACCATCACACTGGGGGGTTAGGGTTGCAGCATATGAATTGGAAACTAGGGAACACATTTTGTCTATGGTACTAACCCACATCCAATTCATGAGCAAATCCATAGGCTCCACCTTCAACATTTATTCAGAAGTTAACTTTGATCACCACCTCCACAGCCACCATCTTAGTCCAGGACATCATCATCTCTTACTTGGATTATTGCAGTAGCTTAACTTGTCCCCCTGACTGTGCCATTTCTAAGGCAGTCTGTCCTCAACCCAGCAGGTGAGAGTGAGTGATCCTTTTCAAGTAGAAGTCAGATCACCTTACGTCTCTGCTCAAATATTCTCCAGTGGCTCCCATCTCACTTTGAGTAAAAGCTGAAGTTCTGGCCGGGCATGGTGGCTCATACCTGTAATCCCAGTACTTTGGGAGGCCGAGGTGGGTGAATCACTTGAGGCCAGGAGTTTGAGACCAGCCTGGCCAACATGGCGAAACGCTGCCTCTACTAAAAACACAAAAATTAGCTGGGCGTGGTGGTGCACTCCTGTAATCCCAGCTTCTTGGGAGGCTGAGGCAGGAGAATCTCTTGAAGCCGTGAGATGAAGGTTGCAGTAAGCCCAGATGGCACCACTGCACCCCAGCCTGGGTGACAGAGTGAGACACTGCCAAAAAGAAAAGAAAGAAAAGGAAGGAAGGAAGGAAGGAAGGAAGGAAGGAAGGAAGGAAGGAAGGAAGGAAGGAAGGGGAAAGGAAAAGAGAAGAAAAGAAAAGAAAAAAAGAAAAAAAAAAGCCAAAGTTCTTACTATGATCTACTAGTTGTCTTAGCTCTGGTTTCCTCCCCACCCAAAGTAGAGCCTGGTATAGGGCTGTGTGCAGGTAGTTTATGGTTAAAAATGATTCCCCAAATGAAGACTGTTTGAAAAGTGAAACAAGGAAGGAAGGAAAGGAAATCCAAGTGTGTGTTATTGAGCTGACCTCCACAATGGGCAAAATTGGAGCTGGGTCCCTCTGAGGAATCTCAACAAGCTATCTCTGTATTCCCTCAGAATGGTCCTGCAAAGGATAGAAGAAGGATGTAATTATCCATTTGCTCCCATACCCCATAAGGATTCCTGGCATGCACAGGGCTAAGGGGTTCATGCAAGTGTTCCATGCCACAGTGGGGAAGGAGCAAGAGATAAATAGCCATCAGAAGAGGTGCTGTGGGATTACATCTGTGCTGCTAATTGCCTAAGCAGTAGCTGGAGTTAAAGGATGGCTGATAGCATGTAAGGTGCAGCTCTAATGGGGTCTGATACAAAGCCCTGTATTGCCCTCACTTCATTACCTCTCTGACCTCATTCTCATTCTTTCCATCAGTCACTCTTTCCCACTTCCTCTGCCCTGCTTGTTGTTCTCAGAACAAAATGGACATGCACCCTCCTCAGGGCCTTTGCACTTACTATTCTCCCTGCCAGAAAAGACAGCTGGCTGGCTTGAAATTCACACAGCTGGCTTCCTCATCTTCTTCAAGTTTCAACTCCAAAGTCACATTTTTAAAATGTATACATAATATTTTACATATTTTCAGGGTACATGTGATATTTTGTTGCAGCAAATGTGTTACGATCAAGTCAGGGTATTTGGGGGTACCCATCACATTGAGTATTTATCATTTCTATGTGTTAGAAACATCTCAAGTTTTCTCTTCTAGCTACAGGTTTTTTGTTTTGTTTCATTTTGTTTTTTGAGATGGGGTCCCGCTCTGTCACCCAGGCTAGAATGCAGTGGCAGCGATCTCAGCTTACCGCAACCTCAGTCTCCAGGGTTTAAGTGCTTCTCCTGCTTCAGCCTCCCGAGTAGCTGGGATTACAGGTGCCTGCCACCATGCCTGGCTAATTTTGCATTTTTTTTTTAGAGACAGGATTTCACCATGTTGGCCAGACTGGTCTTGAACTCCTGACCTCAAGTGATCTGCCTGCCTCAGCCTTCCAAAGTGTTGAGATTACAGGCATGAGCCACTGTGCCCAGCCTCTCTTCTAGTTACTCTGAAATATACAATAAGTTGTTGATAACTATTAATATTATCATCCTACTCTGCTATCTAATACTAGAACTTACACCTTCTATCAGCTGTACCCATTGACCAACCTCTCTTCGTCCCCTCCCCTCAACTCATACAACCTTCCCAGCCTCTGGTATCTACCATTCTGTCCTCTACATCCATGAGATCAACTTTTTTAGCTTCCATATATGGGTGAAAACATGAAAAATTTGTCTTTCTGTGTCTGACTTACTTCACTTAACATAATGACCTCCAGTTCCAGCCATGTTGGAGGCAAATGACATGATTTTAATTTTTTATGGTTGAAAAGTATTACATTGTGTATATATATTACATTTTATTTATCCATTCACCTGACGATGATCACTTAGTTGATTCCATATCTTTGCTTTTGTGAATACTGCTGCAATAAACATGAATGCAGGTATCTCTCTGATATACTGATTTCTTTTCCTTAGGATAAATGTCCAGCAGTAGGATTGCCGGGTCCTATGGTGGTTCAGGTTTTTATTTTTTTGAGAAGCCTCCATACCGTTTTCCATAGTGGCTGTACTAATTTACATTTTCACTAACAGTGTGTAAGAGTTTGCTCTTTGCATCCTCACCAATATCTGTTATTTCTTTGTCTTTTTAATAATAGCCATTCTATGGCTGGGTGCGGTGGCTCACACCTGTAATCCCAGCACTTTGGGAGGCTGAGGCAGGTGGATCACCTGAGGTTGGGAGTTTGAGACCAGCCTGACCAACATGGAGAAACCCCGTCTCTACCAAAAATACAAAAATTAGCTGGGTGTGGTGGCACATGCTGGTAATCCCAGCTACTTGGGAGGCTGAGGCAGGAGAATCACCTGAACCCAGGAGGAGGAGGTTGCAGTGAGCTGAGATTGTGCCATTGCACTCCAGCCTGGGCAACAAGAGCGAAACTCCATCTCAAAAAAATAAATTAATTAAAAAAAAATAGCCTTTCTAAGTGGGGAAAGATGATATGCCATTGTGGGTTTGATTTGCATTTCCCTGATGATTAGTAACGTTGCACTTTTTAAAAAAATTTGCCTGTTGACCATTTGTATGTCTTCTTTTGAGAAATGTCTGTTGATGTCCTTTGCCCAATTTTTAATGGGATTACTTGCTTTTTTTTTTACTGTTGAGTTGTTTCAGTTCCTTGTATAGTCTGGATATTAGTCCCTTGTAGGATGAATAGTTTGCAAACATTTTCTCCCATTCAACAGGTTATCTTTTCACTCTGTTGATTGTTTTATTTGCTGTACAGAAACTTTTTAGCTTAGTAGAGTCCCATTTATCTATTTTTGTTTTTGTTGTCTATGCTTCTGAAGTCTTAGCCATGAAATCTTTGCCTACAATGTCACATTTTAATTGAGGTATCCTTAGCTATCTCATCTAAAATTTAGATTCCCACTCTCCCAATGCCATAGCTCTTCTGTCAGTTTGCCAGGACTTAGACTTCTATGAATCCATGAATGTGGGCTGGCTCTGCGAACACTGCTGTGAAGGCTACATTTTTTTGCGGACCACCTAGGCACAGGTAGGTTGGTCTGCCTGGTTTGTACTGCAAGAGCAAAATAACACAGACTGGGTAATTTATAAATAATAGAATTTTTTTTTTCTCACAGTTCTGGAGGCGAGCAAGTCCAAGATCAAAGCACTGGCAGCTTCTTTGAGGGTCTGTTCCAGTAAAAGCATCTTCTTGCAACAACATCCTCACATGACAGAGGGGGGAAGGGCAACAGGACATGAATGCTGTGCCCTCACCTGGTGAAGAGAGGAAGAGCAAAAGGGTCTCAGCTAGCTCCCTCCAGCCCTTTTCTAAGGTGCTAATTCATTCATGAGTTAACCACTTCCCAAAAGGCCCTACTTCTCACTACTACCACAATGGAGATTAAGTTTCAACACATGAATTTGGGGGGACATTGAAACCACAGCATCTCTCTTGCCAACTTAATTATTTTTCTCCTTCACATGGGGTAACATTTCATATGCTTTACTTTTTATCTTGTTTATTTTTTTCCCTCCTCCACTGAAACTCTGTGTGTGTGTGTGTGTGTGTGTGTGTGTGTGTGTGATGTGTGTTTTGTTCATTGCTCTACCTTTAGCACCTAGTACAGTGCTTTGCACATAGTAGGCACTTAATAAACATTTGTTAAATAAATGAATAAAATGAATTGAAATGAATCAAGATAATGCTGGCAAACCTTAAATTCCCTTATTTACGAACAGTGTGGACAGTACAGAGGGAATGGTGTACCCTAGTTTGAAGCTATGATATTCTAAACAGAGGTACTTGACTCAGAAACAGAGCAGCTACGTTTGCCAGGACTTAGACTTCTATGAATCTATGAATGTGGGCTGGCTCACGATCACTGCTGTGAAGGCAACATTTTTTGCAGACCACCTAGGCACAGGTAGGATAGTCTGCCTGGTCATCTATGATACCTGCAAGCAACATAGTTGGTAGTTTTATGTGGCTTAGATGTTCTGAATTATCTGGGGATCATGAATTTCCAGTCAAGCCAGGGGCCATCACCAGCATCCTGGAGAACACAAAAGATGTTTCACCCAAGAGCATTGGTTCTTTTCACTTGCAACCATGGGTTGAATGTGGGCCTTAGTGGCACTCATTTCACTGTAGATGCTAATGAGCAAATGTGGCCAGGTGGCTGGTCTCTTCCAAGCAAACACACGAGGCAATCAGTTCAGCTGGCTATCAGCTTTGGGAGTTCATAGTATCTGGCTCCAACACGTCCTAACAAACCCTTCTATAACTACCCACAGAGGGCAGTGCTTTTCTAGGCTATGTCAAAATATTGCTCTAGTGTGGCTGCTGAGTTCTTATGCCTGAATGAACCATTGAGTAATCTGTGCTCTCAGCTTAGGACATGCTTTTATACAGTCAGCACAGGTGGGCCAGGAAGCCTGTCTGGTTTTCACTAAACTAGACCCTGTTAGTTTTACAGCATAGTTCACCTTCCACAACAGAGAACGGCATGACCAAGTATAGAATGTAATTTCTATGCAAAGGTGGGAAAATTAACCTCAGGCCTTATTTAGAAACTATTTTATTGTGCTATGATATAAAATAATGACTTACTATGCCAAAAATTCTAGAAAAAATGTCAGTACGGAAAGTTGTGTATTTCTAATGTTTATTCAAAACAACTGTTTATATAGCAGTCTTGTTATTTACAGAACCAAGATGAAAGTCAAAGTGTGGATTTCTCTAAAAGTTTTACACTTGTTATATGAACTTAATACATAATGGGGTAAGCTAGTAATGGCATCTAATGGCAATTAATATGTATTTTATTTTATATACATGAAACATCATGTTTATTGAAATTGTTATGCAATTTGAATTAAACTGGTTTGGCTCTTATGCATTATCATGCAAATATGAATGTATGTTTTTAAAATGAGTTTGGTTAGCCCTTTTATGTTTGCTTTTTGTTTGTTTTCCAGTGCAGAATTTTATTGGCTTGTCATGAATTTTCAGCAGAAAGTTAACAGGTATCTACTTAGTAAAAAATGTATTTATTTATTCCAATGTTTATCCAAACAAATGTATTTTCTAATAAGTTAGAAGACCAAAAAATCTGGCAACTTCTAGCTTTTTATTCAAGTCTTTGTATTCCTGCTGCTACTACTCTTATTGACTCTAAAATAACATTTCTCTTTGAGTCTGTTTTGGGTTTTTCTTTATTTTTTAATTTAACTGTATTATTGTTATTTTTAGACTCGCTCTGTTGCTCAGGCTGGACTGCAGTGGTGTGATCTTGGCTCACTGCAACCTCTGTCTGCCAGACTCAAGCAATCCCCCAACCTCAGCCTCCTGAATAGCTGGAACCACAGGTGCGTGCCACTGCACTCAGCTAATCTTTGTATTTTTGTAGAGATGTGGTTTCGCCATGTTAGCCAGGCTGGTCTCCAACTCCCAAGTTCAAGCGATCAGCCCGCCTCAGCCTCCCAAAATGCTAGGATTACAGGAGTGAGCCACCACCTTCGAGTCCGGCCTTCGAGTCTGCTTTGAATGCACTGTTATCACATCTAGTGCTCACAACTGAAGAACAACATCTATAATAATCTGCATTTTGCAGATATTGAACAGTTATCTACCCTCGGTCACATTGCCAGAAGGTGGTAGAATTAGAATTAAAACTCAGGAGTTTGTTTCCACACCAGATACTCTTAACCATTTTATTAAAACTTGACAAAACTTAAATATATATATATATATAGTCCATATACTGTGCATTTCTTATTAATACCACTTTATTATGTTTATTGAAAAAATATTCTCCCAACTGAAAACCTTTGGTAAGGTATAAGATCTCCCCAGTGAAGAAAACTTCCATTCTATGTAGTGTGTGTGTGTGTGTGTGTGTGTGTGTGTGACAGAGAGGATGTTTTAACAGCCTGTTGCTCTGTTGCCCAGGCTGGAGTGCAGTGGCACAATCATAGCTCACTGCAGCCAGAACTCCTGGGCTCAAGGGATCCTCCTGCCTCAGCTTCCCAAAATGCTGAGATTACAGGTGTGAGCCACCATGCCTGAGCTAGTTGTGTGTTTTTTTTTTTTTAAACTTAATTAGAATCTCAAGATGAGAAATTCGTAATGCAATAGTTCACCCTGAATTTATTCTTACCTCCCAAGCAGGAAGGATTCTCTTCTTCTTCAGAAGGCCTATGTCATTCTATCAGTATCACTTTTATAGAATTTCCTCCTTGCAACACATTATTTCTATAAATGTATTTTCTCCTCTTCCAGGTAATAATAAACTCTGGGGGCAGGAGATCTGTATTCTATGTCTGTATACCTTTTATCCACTACAAGAGTATACTCCATACTTGTTTTGTATGCTTAATAGTAATATCATGGCCGGGTGTGGTGGCTCACACCTGTAATCCCAGCACTTTGGGAGGCCGAGAAGGGTGGATCACCTGAGGTCAGGAGTTTGAGACCAGCCTGGCCAACATGGCAAAACCCCATCTCTACTAAAAATACAAAAATTAGCCAGGCGTGGTGGTGCATGCCTGTAATCCCAGCTACTCTGGAGGCTGAGGCAGGAGAATCACTTGAACCTGGGAGGCTGAGGTTCCAGTGAGCCGAGATCACACCACTGCACTCCAGCCTGGGCAACAAAGCGAGATTCTGTCTCAAAAAAAAAAAAAAAAAAAAAAGGAGTATCATATATGACCTTTGCCACAATCTCCTTATATGCACACACAAATACGTGCCCTGCCTAACTCAATTCATTGGATTTTGGGGGTGGAATTGATGAATAACACAAGAAAAGGAAAAAAGAAAGAGAAATGTTGGAGAAGGAAATAACTAATACAGGAGGTCTGTTATGGGTTGCACCTGTTTGAGGAATAAAGGAATTAAAACTCCCAAAAGAGGACAAATATTAACAAAAATGTATGGACAGACGCAAAAAAACAAATCCTCATTTGCAACCCAGAACTAATTGTTTAGTATGATTTTTGACACATATAAGAAGGAGTATTAGGCCAGGTGTGCTGGCTGGTGCCTGTAATCCCAGCACTTCGGGAGGCCAAGTGGGAGGATTGCTTGAGACCAAGAGTTCAAGACCAGCCTGAGTAACATAGTGAGACCCTCGTCTCTACAAAAAAAGCAAAAATTAGCCAGCCATGGTGGCACACACCTGTGATCCCAGCTACTCAGAAGGCTGAGGTGGGAGGATCAACTGAGCTTAGGAGGTCAAGGCTGCAGTGAGCTGTGATCACACCACTGCTCTCCAGCCTGGGCGACAGAGCAAGGAAAAAATAAAAAAGGAATAGTCTGATACCTAAGACAGGTTAAAGTTATGGGGGTATTGATAACCATAAAGGTTGGCTCCAAGCCTGTAGAGCTGATCATTTAAAAGCATAAAACCAGCCTGGGCAACAAGATGAAACCTCCTCTATAAAAAATACAAAAATTAGTCAGGCATGGTGGCATGTGCCTGTAGTCCCAGCTACTCAGTAGGCTGAGGTGGAAGGATCGCCTGAGCCCAGGAGGTTGAGGCTGCAGTAAGCCATGATCATGCCACTGCACTCCAGCCTGGGTGACACAGTGAGAATCTGTCTCAAAAAACAAATAAATAACAAAAATAAAAAATAAAAAGCATACGACATGGGGAAATTTTCAGCTATGTTGATTTACTATTCCAGTTTCATGTTGGCATAATACATCGAGATGGACTTTTTTTTTTTTTGGTTAAGCCTTTTATCTTGAGGACATAATGTCTGGATTTGAAGGTAGTGGTATATCCCATGCTATTCTTCAGTGTGACAACTTATGAACAAATATGATTTGAACTCATTTGGGTTTAGAGAGGATGTCAGAAATTGAGAGCCATTTATTTTTTAAAATGTAGAGAATTTTTGAAAGTGGCATCAGTATGTCCATATTCAAGTGGAGATAAAATGAACCAAAATAAAAGAACTGTGGGCAGACAGGACAACTGTGGATTATGCATCAATTCTTTTGAAAAGCACTATCTTGAAGATAAATCTTGACTCAATCTTTAGAGAAACTAAGGTAACCTTGATGAGCAGGGAAGGAATCACAAGATGTGAAATTCCTTGAAGAAAAAGGTATTGACTTTAAATAATTTTGTCTAGTAGTACACATAATTTTTAAAACTCTTTACACTGTATAAAGTCAGCATGTATTTTTGGCTCAAAGTTTCTCTAGTGTTTTCTGTAGAGCGAATAAAAATTAAATTTAACAGTTTCAGTTGTGGTATGCTTTAGGCTTGAAACACTGAAGTCCCTCTCCCCATCTGCCTGCTCCCCTTATAAATTTTTTCCCTTGCTCTATTTTGGGTACAATCTTCTTGCTTTGCTTTTTCTAACTTTTGTTGTTTCACTTCAGCTAATTAATTGTATAATCTGTAAAAAATTTATATAGAATTAAGGACAAATACTGCAGGAAAGTAAATTACTAAAATAAAGGAAACCCTATAAAAAAATAAGGCAAGTATTAACATTCTCATACTCAAATACTTACCAGTTAGACTGACCTTATTTAACTCCCCCCAATGATTATAGCACCAATTAGATGATAAGGGAATAAAGAATACATAACTCTTATCAATGAAGAACTCCTAGTTTATCAAGAGACATGTGGTTCAAAGGAAAATCTAAAATGCTAACGATACGTAGGCAATCAGGAATGCTGAAATACATTTTAAAATAGCTGCAAAACTGGTGAAAGTTGTCAATATCCATAGGGCAATAATCAGTTGCTTTCTGCCAGCACACAATTCATCTGCATTTCTATGGTCAGAAATCATGTGTATTATTCTTAGCTCTCTACAATTTACAGAGTTATAAAATACCTCATAGATAATGACAAGAGATAACCCAGAAAGGTGTGCATAATATGACACCTGGTACCCTTTTATGCCCATTTCAAAGTCTAGTAATATAATACTATAGTATAATACTAATGTAATAAAATCATATTAATACACTTGGGCTTGTTGGTTTCTGTACCACTTTGTACTTGTAGGACTTACTGAGTATCTCAAAGAACTTTTGTCTATGTGGATTATAACTATCAACACTTAATGTTTTGGTAATTGAAACAAAGAAAATTTTAAATATTGATTGATTTTAAAATAGCAATGATGAACATGTTGCATATTAACATTCTATCTTGGCATTGTCAGGAGGAAAACTAATTAATTTTTTCCTAAACTCCTCCTAGTTCTTAGCTGGGATTTCTATAATGAAAGATAGATTAACAAGAGAAAAGTTAAGTTATTGATGAATATAACACACATCATGCAGAGAAATCTCAATGAAAAGTAATTCAAAGCAGTGGCTTAGAAACTGTGGGAAGGTAAAATATATGGGAGGAAACTAGTGCAGTAAAGTTTGTTTGCAGATTCCTCTGGTGCCATGTCTGGGCTGGTAAGAGTCTAGGGTTGTCTCCAGTAAAGAAAAATTAAGGGAGAAAAGGGGTTGGATAGAGATAGCTTTTCTTCTGTTTGCTGCTTTGTAATGCCGTCAGCCTGAAAATAATTTTTATGTCAAAGCAGCATATTTTGGGGTGGCATATTCTGGTTTCCTTCAGTATTATTATGTTTGTATTATTTGGATGTTACAGATACCCTGAAAGAGAATCACTGTCTTAAAATGTTGTTTCCAGAATATGAAAAAGCATAATTAAGTACTGTCTTAGTTCATGTTGCTACAACACAATATCATAAACTGAGTGGCTTATAAACAATTAGCATGTATTTTTTACAGTTCTGGAGGCTGGGGGGGTCCACCATCAAGATACTGGCAGATTTCAGTGTCTGATCAGGGCCAGCTTGCTGTTTCACAGGCAGCTGTCTTTTCACTGTGTCCTCATATGGTGGAAGAGCAGAAAAGGAAGGGATCTCTCTGGAGTTTCTTTTTTTTTTTTTGAGACAGTCTCACTCTGTCGCCCAGGCTGGAGTGTGCTTGCATGATCTCAGCTCACTGCAACTTCTGCCTCCTGGGTTTAAGTGATTCTCCTGCCTCAGCCTCCCAAGCTGCTGGGACTACAAGCATGCCATCACACCTGCCTAATTTTTGTCATTTTAGTAGGGATGGGGTTTTGCCGTGTTGGCCAGGCTGGTATCTGAGCTCCTGGGCTCAAGCGATCCACCCACCTTGGCCTCCCAAATAGGTGTGAGCTACTGCCCCCAGCCTGGAGTTTCTTTTATAAGGGCTCCAGCCTCGGTCATTGGTCACCTTCCAACGACCCCACCTCGTAATCACATCACATTTTGGCAACAGATTTTAACATATGAATTTTGGCAGAACACAAATATTCAGTCTACATCACTGAGGATTGCTGCTTTAGGACAATACCTGGTTTTTTTTTTTTTGGTTTTTTTTTGGAAAAGGAAAGCACAGTTTTATTTTTCTGTCACTATTACACTTGATGGAATGTTATCCTCTTTTTTATACTGTTCAATAAAAGTAATCGATTTTATTTTTAAGACAGGGTCCTGCTCTGTTGCCCAGGCTGGAGTGAAAGGTGACCAATTTCTCTTTCACAGAGAAAACTAGGGAATGGATAACTGAGAACAGTCCATCATCGACAAGCATTTTTCAGCAGACTGGCAGCACTCATGAATACAAATAAAACAACTTGCTGCAACCACATACATCTCTTCTACATCTTCTTAAAGTGGCCAAAAAAAATAAAAAGAGGCATTAAAAAGAGGTCATGAATATGACCCAGAGATATGCCTCTCTATAGCATATACAAATAAAAATCAAACATATGTAAAGACTACCTCACTGATTACCTCGATTTAGTATGAATCTGAGCCTGGATGGGAATTGTAAGCTAGAAGGATAGTGATTCAGACACAAAAATCAAAGACAGCTTTGAGGTTCTGAATCTGGGAGACTTGGAAGAGGAAGGAGTTTAGAAGAAAAGGGATGGGGGTGGTGCCATGGTGATCACATGCACCATGAAGGGGGTGCATATGATTACAGCAGGATAGATACATTTCCAGGAAGGTGATGTCTGGGACATCGTGAGTTTGAGATGTCAAAACAGTCGGGGAAAATGGCCAGCAAGCATTTGGTGATGCATCACTAGAATTTGGAAGATGTGCCAAGTCATTTGCTTGGGCTGCTCTTACGGGTTACAGATTGAGTATTGAGGTGATACTTGAGGCCATGCAAATAGAAGAAAGCCAAGAGAAAATAAAGAGAAACGAATGTGACTTAGAACTTCGTTGTTATTCAGACTGTGCATAAGTATTACTTAATTTGTTCTAAAATAACTTATAACTTATATAAGTTGCTTATAACTGTCTTGAAAGTGCAAAAGGAGCCAGGCGCAGTGGCTCACATCTGTGATCCCAACACACTGGGAGGCTGAGGGTGACAGATCACTTGAGCCCAGGAGTTTGAGACCAGCCTGGCCAACATAGCGAAACCCCATCTCTACCAAAAATACAAAAATTAGCCAGGCATGGTGGAGCACACCTGTAGTTCCAGCTACTCGGGAGGTTGAGGCAGGAGAATCACTTGAAGCCGAAAGGCGGAGGTTGCAATGAGCCGAGATTGTGCCACGGCACTCCAGCCTGGGCAACAGAGGGAGACTCTATCTCAAAAAATAAGAAGAAGAAAAAAGAAAGAAAGAAAATGCAAAAGCCAAAAAAGATTATTACACTAGCATGATTAGGCTTGAGGCCACTGACACAATGTCAAACATTATATTTAAGTATTCATCAAGATTGGTGAATACTTAAATCCACACTCAGAGAATTATGCCAGTTTCACCTCCCTTCTATTTTGAATTTTTTTTTTTCAGACGGAGTCTCATTTTGTCGCCCAGGCTGGAGTGCAGTGGCGTGATCTCAGCTCACTGCAACCTCCACCTCCAGGGTTCAAGTGATTCTCCTGCCGGGTTCAAGTGATTCTCCTAGCCTCCCGAGTAGCTAGGATTACAGCTAGCTAAAATTAGCCACCACGCCTGGCTAATTTTAGTATTTTTAGTAGAGACGGGGTTTCACCATGTTGGCCAGGCTGGTCTCAAACTCCTGACCTCGTGATCTGCCCACCTTGGCCTCCCAAAGTGCTGGGATTACAGGTGTGAGCCACTGCGTCCAGCCCTATTTTGAACTTTTTTATGCATTGGTTTCCTCTTAGTCTGTGACTTGCTTGCTTTTTTTTTTTTTATTAGCTCATTAATCTCTTGTTTGCCTGAGTTGGATTTGTAACACTGTTTGGTTTACCTTGATGCCAATCTGGAAATCGATTGGGATTCTGCTTTTGTAACTAATTCATGGTTTTATTCAGGTGGTGATATGCTCATATTCTTTGCCTAGGTCCCCAGAGTACATTATCTGGTGTTCAACCACCAATGAATTATTGTAGTACAACATATATTTGGGTCACCACTTTTCTTTCAAAATGTTTCAGGGAACTTATTACATGCTGTGAAAACCAACTGTATTTTTATCTTTTGAAGTATACCCATCAGTGTTTAGGACAATGTCTAGCACATAGTTAGTGCTCAACAAATATAGGTTGAATAAATGAGTGTGGTCTTGAACACACAGATAAATTTTGAGTTATTTACTGAGGTTGTTCCCATCTTCTGTAAATTATATTATGAAATTCGAACTACCCAGTATACTTAACATAGAGATGGAATAGTCAAATTGGTGGCATTTGTACTCCAAAATAAGCTTTTGAAAAACACAAATAAAAAAATATTTCTGAGGGGCTGGGTATGGTGGCTTATGCCTGTAATCCCAGCACTTTCGGAGGCCAGTGAAGGAGGATCACTTGAGTCCGGGAGTTTGAGACAAGTCTGGGCAACATAGTGAAAAGTCGTCTTCACACACACACACACACACACACACACACAATTAGCTGAGCATGATGATGCACACCTGTTGTCCTGCTTATTCAGAGGGCTGAGGTGGGAGTGTTGGCAGTGGCGAATCCATACAGGTCTGCAGCAACGTCAATTCTTGTTCCTCAGAAGAAAGAATCTGATGGAGGGGCATAAGGCAGAGTGAGAGACTGAGGCAAGTTTTAGAGCAGGAATGAAAGTTTATTAAAAAGTTTTAGAGCAGGAATGAAAGGAAGTAAAATACACTGGAAGAAGGCCAAGCAGGCAACCTGAGAGATTCAAGTGTGCAGTTTGGCCTTTGACTTGGGATCTTACACACTGGCATACTTCCAGGGTTGCATTACTTCTCCCCTGATTCTTCCTTTGGGGTGGGCGATCTGCATGCACAGTGGCCTGCTAGCACTTGGAGGGGCTGCACTTGAAGTGTGTTTACTGAAGTTGTACACATGCTCACTTAAGGTGTTCTTCCCTTACCAGTCAAGCATTTCCAGAGAAAGGTCATATACCAGTTAAACTCTGCTATTTTGCCTCTTAGTGCACATGCTTGAGCCCAGTTGCTCAACTCCTGAGATCTTATCAGGAAGATGCTGATCACCAGTTTCAGGTGTTTCTATCTGTTGGGCGACTGCCTTTCCCTGCCACCAGCTGCGACTAATTATTCTTTTAAAGAGACAGTGTAACCACTGACTGACCATCACCTGATGGTCACCTGACATTCCTGATGTGGAGAGGAGCCTCTCCTCCTCTGCTCATATCAGACTAATTACCTACTGTAACAGTAGGATCTCTGGAGCCTAGGAGTTTGAGGCTGCAGTGAGCTGGGATCATGCCACTGCACTCTAGCCTGGGTGACAGACCAAGACCCTGTCTGAATACACACACACACACACACACACACACACACACACACACACACACACATATTTGAAAGCCTAGACTTTTACTTCTCAGAGCTGGGCTTTTTGGAAAGTGTAAACCAAAAATAAAATTCTAAATCCCCCAACTAACTGAATAGACTCCACTTCTTGAAATCGCCTTCACAAAAATTATAAAAGTGAGAAAATTATGACAGTGAGAGGACTAACCAACCCGCATCTTGCCTTTAATCCCCAAACTGCCCTTAATTATTCCTGGGCTTAGGCCAAGCTAACTTTGAGAGACATTTAGCTTATAGTTTGTTTATTTATTTAGAGACAGAGTCTCACTCTGTTGCCCAGGCTGGAGTGCAGTGGTGTGATCCGGGCTCACCGCAGCCTTACCTCCCAGGCTTAGCCTCCCAAGTAGTTGGGACTCCAGGTGCACGCCACACCTGGCTAATTTTTGTATTTTTTTGTAGAGACAGGTTTTGCCATGTTGCCCAGGCTCACATTTTCAGGGAAATTGATTGGAGTAATAAATTAGTCTCCCATGGGGTGTGACCAGCCTCATGTCAATTAAATTCTTTTTTATTGCAATGCCATGGTCTCAGTGAATTGGTTTTGTCAGTGCAATGGGTAGGAAGAATTCATTAGGCAGTTACGCTGTTGTCCAAGGACATTCTAAAGTAAAACCGGGCCGGGCATGGTGGCTCACACCTGTAATTCCAGCACTTTGGGAGGCCGAGGCGGGCGGATCACCTGAGGTGAGGCGTTTGAGACCAGCCTGGCCAACATGGTGAAACCCCATCTCTACTAAAAATACAAAAATTAGCCGGGCTTGATGGCACATGACTGTAATCCCAGCTACTTGGGAGGCTGAGGCAGGAGAATCACTTGACCTCGTGAGGCAGAGGTTGCAGTAAGCCGAGATCATGCCACTGCATTCCAGCCTGGGTGACAGAGTGAGACTTTATTTCAAATAAAAATAAAAAAAAAATAAAGTAAACCTGAGGCCAGTTGCGGTAGCTCACGCCTGTAATCCCAGCACTTTGGGAGGTGGATCATGGGGTCAGGAGTTCGAGACTAGCCTGGTCAACATGGTGAAACCCCATCTCTACTAAAAATAGAAAAAAAATTAGCCGAGTGTGGTGGTGCATCCCTGTAATCCCAGCTACTCAGGTAGCTAAGGCAGGAGAATCACTTGAACCCGGGAGACGGAGGTTGCAGTGAGCCGAGATCACACCATTGCACCTGGGCGACAGAGCGAGACTGTCTGAAAAAAGAAAAGAAAGACAAACCAATCCACAATAACAAAAGTCATGTTTCAGTGTCAGGCAGAATTGTTTGTAATAATGAACTCCTCTCCCCTCCTCTCCTCTCCTCTGCTCTCCTCTTCCCTCCCCTCCCCTCAGGCAGAATTGTTTGTAATAATGACCTCAACTCCTCTCCTCTCCTCTCCTCTCCTTTCCCCTCCCCTCCCCTCCCCTCCTTTCTTTTCTTTTTTCTTTGAGACAGAGTCTCGCTCTGTCAACCCGACTGCAGTGTAGTGGCGCTATCTCAGCTCACTGCAACCTTTACCTCCTGGGTTGAAGCAATCCTCCCAACCTCAGCCTCCTGAGTAACTGGGACTACAGGCATGTGCCAATACGCCGGGCTAATTTTTGTATTTTTAGTAGAGATGGGGTTTCACCATGTTGGCCAGGCTGGTCTCAAACTCCTGACCTCAGGTGATCCGCCCGCCTCGGCCTCCCAAAGTGCTGGGATTGCAGGCATGAACCACTGCACCCAGCCCGAACATTTATTTTCAAAAGGGATCTCATCAAGCTTAAGGATAGAGAGCAGCAGGAGGAGATTCTTTAATAGCAGAAGATCAGGTTTCATCGTTACTTCCACTGAAGCCTGAAATTCAACTCTGTTGTAAAGAAAATTTGAGGACCCCTATGTTGGAAATAAGGCAAGGCATAAAAAAAAGTTACATACAAAAAAAAATGGCTTTTCGTGTGTTCCATTCAGCAGCCCTATCTAAAAGAACAATAAATTCAATTTACACACTGTAAACAGAAGCATTCTCCTTATTTTTCTATCTCCAACCTGTAAACATGGGCAGAATAAGGAAGGAAACCCTTTGGGGATTACAAAGAACAATAGAGCTAAAATAAATAAATAAACAAACAAATAAATACAGCCTAAATTTATTTACCTGAGATTTTATTAGAAAATTCATTTCATCTCATCATTAAGATACTTGGTGGGTTTCCTAGATAATCATACACATTTAGCTTTCCTATTTTGACTTTACCCCACATTTACATATTTGTTCACTTTGAAAAAATTTTTTAATGTTATCAATACACTGTATGCTTATTGCAAAAAATGTGATAAAAATTCATATAATCCTGCTACCCAGACATAATCACTGTTAATCTTTTGTAATATATTTCCTAAGGCTTTTCTCTATGCATCTATACATATATTTTACATTGTGGCTGTCACAGTACATAAATAACTTTTTATTCTACATTTTTTTCTTTTTTCTTTTCTTTTCTTTTCTTTTTTTTTTTTTTTGAGACAGAGTCTCACTCTGTTGCCCAGGCTGGAGTGCAGTGACTCGATCTCAGCTCACTGCAACCTCCACCTCCTGGGTTCAAGCCATTCTTGTGCCTCAGCCTCCTGAGTAGCTGGGATTACAGATGTGCACCGCCACACCCAGCTAATTTTTGTATTTTTAGTAGAGACGGGGTTTCATCATGTTGGTCAGGATGGTCTCAAACTCCTGACCTCAGGTGATCTGCCCGCCTCAGCCTCCCAAAGTGCTGGGATTACAGGCGTAAGCTACCACACCCAGCCATTATCCTACATTTTAAAATAGAATGTAATCATTTTCCCATGATTAAAAAAATTAAAAGTTTTGGCTGTCTAATTTTCTATGTTGTGCCACAACACACTCAACTATTTTTTGAGCGTGTTAGGGTACAAACACAGACTTGTGTATTGTGTATTGTGTATTGTGTTCAAAATATCTTTTGAACATTGTGTTGTTTTTCTATTTTAAATTGTAAATAAAGAATATGATGAATATAAATAAGCTCACATCTAGGGCTACATTTCAGTTCTCTCCCCTTCCTCCCCACCCATACCTTACACTATGCACACAGGATAGATTGCTAGAAGTTGAATTACTTGATCTAAGGGTAAGAACATTACTGAATTATGTTCCCCACCCAAATTCCTATGTGGGTGACTAATCTCCAATGTGGCTATATCTAGAGAGAGGTCATTAGGAAATAAGGTCACAAGGATAGGACCCTAACCAATAGGAAGGACTAAAGTCTTAGAAGGAAAGAAAGATATTTCTCTCTCTCCCTGCAGCCCTGCTCTGTGAGAACACAGCAAGAAGGCAGCCTTCTATAAGCCAGAGAGAGAGCCCTCACCAGAAATCAAATCAGCTGGCACCTTATCTTGGACACCAGCCTCCAGAACTGTGAGAAATAAATTTCTGCTGTTTAAGCCACTGAGTCTACGGTATTTTGTTATGGCAGCCTAAGCAAATAAATAAAAACACTTTTTTTTTTTAAGACAGTCTCCTTCTGTCACCCAGGCTGGAGTGCAGGCGCATGATCTCGGCTCACTGCAACCTCCGCCTCCTGGGTTCAAGCAATTCTGGTGCCTCAGCCTCCCGAGTAGCTGGGATTACAGGCATGCGCCACTATTCCCGCCTAATTTTGTATTTTTAGTAGAGACGGAGTTTCTCCACGTTGGTCAGGCTGGTCTCGAACTCCCGACCTCAGGTGATCCGCCCGCCTTGGCCTCCCAAAGTGCTGGGATTACAGGCATGAGCCACTGCCCCCTGCCAATTTTTGTATTTTTAGTAGAGACGGGGTTTCACCATGTTGGCCAGGCTGGTCTTGAATCCTGGTCTGAAGTGATCCACCTGCCTTAGCCTCCTGAAGTGCTAGAATTCAGGCATAAGCCACCACACCTGGCTTAAAAACATTTTTAAAGTTCTTGACACATGTTGATAAATTACTTTCGAGAAAGATGTTACCAGTATGCACCACTCTGGCAGTATATAAGAACCTCTATTGCCCTGTACCCTCATCAACATTCAAAAAATTTTTTTTAAACTTAATTCTAAGATATATATCTTTAAAGTGTTTAAAAGTTCATACTTTTAAAGTTTTGTTTCATCAGAATTGTCTTCATTTTTATGGCATTGCCCCCTGAATCTGCCCCTGTATTTTCAAGTTCCCAGTGTAGTAATATTTCATAGCGATAAAAATGTCCACTCGGGAATCCCAAAACAAAGCAAACAAACACATACAAACATTTAAAACTTTTCAGCATTTTATCATCTCCATTTTTATAGTTATGTAAAGGAAAAGCTAAGAATTAAGAACCTGAGATTGTTCCAAAGCCATGTAAAAACAGGATCAACAATCAAAGACTATGATATAGGCTCTCTCATTTAAAGCACTCACCTATTTTGGACAGAAAGATTTCATTTTTGTTAGAAAGTAGTCATACAGAAAAATTGCCATAGAAGCAGCAAATACACTCTCTCTTAGTAAATTTAAATAAAGCCTTTACTAGCAGAACACTCCCCTTTTCCTGATAAGCACCCTAAATTCTCATAGGTTTCATGCAAAATAATTTTTCTCTCCTTCAGCTTGAAATAGAAATAAGTGATTTAAGAGATAGGTTGGAGTTTGAAACTAAATTCCACTTCCCCATCTAGGTTTTACACCAAGAACATTGTAATGTTCTCTCCACAATATGCAAATATTTGTAGCATTAATTAGTTTACTGTTAAATAGTAACAGAAATTTGCCAATTAATGCCACTGATAATTATCTTGAGGACAAATTCAGGGTGTTGTGACTTTATGTCTGACTCACTTTTCCATTCTTACTCCATTCTTAACTCACCTGTTCCATTCAGTATTACTTTACAGTACATCGTGGACTGTTTTCCTAACTTGGCCTTGAGTTGGCACCAAGTGCACGGAGATGAAAATATCTTTCACGTCAGTCTGTCTTGCCTCATAACATTCTCAAGCTGTTTTCCCCATTTTAGCATTTCAAGGGCAATTCTCTCCTACTGGGTCCTCTTAAAGAGGTGCCTGCAGTTCATAATAGAACAAAGAAAAGAGAAAATTAAATTCACCTGTTCTGATCAAGCAGGCAAAAGAGAACAATCCAATGTCAAACAAAGGATATTTCAAAAGTCAACAGACTTTTGTTGTCTGAAAACCCAGCCAGAAATGTCCTCAACCCAGAAAGATTTTCTTATGGGCTTTGAGTGTGCATCTTAATGTTATTTTTATAACATCAATGTTAGTTTTCATCTACTATAAATAGAAAAAAAACCCACAACAACAACAAACCACTGAGTTGAGGAATTGGAATGATAATTTGAGCAGAGTGATGAGTGAGTAGGGTATGGAATTAAAATGTCAGTTCTTCATATAGAAAAATGTTACATTTCAGAAAAAAAAAATCTTCATGGTTCTAAAAAAACTCAATTCAGTGATACTTTTTTTTTTTTTTTTTTTTCAATTTAGAAGTGCAGGGGTCAGAGGTGTTTGAACCAGAGCAAACTCCATCTCGAATAGGAGCTCGGTAAAATAAGGCTGAGACCCACTAGGTTGCATTCATTAAAGCATTCTCAGTCATAGAATGAAACAGGAGGTCAGTATATGATACAGGTCATAAAGACCTTGCTGATAAAACAGGTTGCATAAAGAAGCAAGCTAAAACCCACTAAAACCAAGATGGTGATGAGAGTGACCTCTGGGGGTCCTCACTGCTACACTCCCAACAGTACCATGACAGTTTATAAATGCCATGGCAACATCAGGAAGTTACCCTACATGGTCTAAAAAGGGGAGGTATAAATAGTCCACTCCTTGTTTAGCATATAATCAAGAAATAACCATGAAAATGGGCAACCTGACGCCCTCAGGGCTGCTTTATTCCTTTACCTTCTTAATAAACTTGCTTTCACTTTGCTCTATGGACTCACCTTGAATTCTTTTTTGCACGAGATCCAAGAACCCTCTCTTGGGGTCTGGATCAGGACTCCTTTCCAGTAACAGGGTATAACAATTCTAATTTCTTAAATGTCTAATGTGTGCTCTAAATTGAACAGAAAAGATGCAACTAAGTGTCTGTAATTTACTTGAAATAAAATTAGGTTCAAATTTAATTATTCTTCTGTGTTCATTTGTTTTTTTTTTAATTGTATAGAACAAACATGTTTCCTTATATTAGGTTCTAATAAAATTGAATCTATACTGGAAAGTAATATTTGCATAGTGTCAGTTGAGACTTTTAGAAAAGACTTGAGTGTCATTCAAAGAACATTTTGATTCCTATAGAAAATTAGATGGTGTTCCTCTTCTTTCCACTAACCTAAATGTTCACCCCAGGATAAATGGTACCAAAGGATACCTTAGGAGAGGTGTGGCAATTCCATGTCCCTACACTTCAGCAAGGTTCTAGAAAATTGAATGTATTGGTATTTCCCACCAAGATATAACTTTCTCTAATAAAACACAAATGTGACATAAATATAGTAACTCACAGCTTTATCAAGAGTGTCCAGAATCATATCTTGGCAAATTTTAGACAAATTAGATGTTATCAAGTCCCTGATCTAAAAGAAAAATAACAGACCTGGGGGTAGTGGCTCACGCCTGTAATTCCAACACTTTGGGAGGCCGAGGCAGGTGGATCACTTGAGGTCGGTTGTTTGAGACCAGCCTGGCCAATATAGTAAAAACTTGTCTCTACTACAAATATAGAAATTAGCCCAGCATGGTGGCAGGTGCCTGTAATCCCAGCTACTTGGGAGGCTGAGGCCCAATAATTGCTTCAACCCAGGAGGCAGAGGTTGCAGTGAGCAGAGATCATGCCACTGCACTCCAGCCTGAGCAACAAAGCAAGACTCTGTCTCAAAAATAAACAAATAAATAAATATCTCAGCTCACTGCAACCTCTGCGCTCCGGGTCAAGCGATTCTCCTGTCTCAGCCTCCCGAGCAGCTGGGACTACAGGCGCCCACCACCACGCCTGACTAATTTTTGTATTTTTAGTAGAGACGGGTTTTCACCGTGTTGGCCAGGATGGTCTCCATCTCCTGACCTTATGATCCTCCCACCTTGGCCTCCCAAAGTGCCGGAATTACAGGCATGGGCCGCCGTGCCCGGCTGAATTTCCACAAATTTTTAAGAAGACCAATAACAATGGAGTAAAAATAGTGTTGTCAATAAATAACCCCTATGAGGTGCCAGGCTTAGACACTTTCAAAAGTAGATTCTCTTACATTTTCAAGAAAGAGAATACATATGGCTAGCTGTCACTGGAGATTTGTAATCCTCCTCCCATAATATGGAACTATAGCTGGGAAGTGGCCACACAGCCAAGACTGGCACTTGTCTCGCATCTAGGTAGAGCCACATAGCTGTTTCTCATAAAACAAACGCAGGCTTGAGTGATAACTGTCACTTCAGGGTCTGGACTGTTAAGAAGGGGGTCTTTTCTCCCTTTGTGCCTTTTCAACCCACTGCCCCCGACTGGATGACAATGCCTAGGGCATCCTTTTGAATTACTATGTAAGAATTAAATATCAGTGGTATTTGGCCTGTTGCACATTTTTGGGTCAATTGGTCTATTTGGTCTATCAGTCTATCCTAAGCCATATGTTACATAATGTGTATCAGAACAGCTAGAGTTAAAATGTTTCCTTTACTTTAATTCACACTTTTCTTCTTTTCCTTAGTTTGTAAAAGAATGAATACAAGCCATTTTAACATCATGAAACAACAGTAAAAATAAAAATAAAAAATTATTTGAAAAATAAAAATCTTCACAAGAAAATAAAAGGTCTACACAAAAATAGGTAAACTCAAGGAATCCTACTTAGAAAACTTATCTGACTAGATAGACTGTCTTTTTAGAAAATGACACAAAAAATATGCCAAAAATAATAGTTGAGTTACTTGAAAATAATTGACAATCTAGGAACCAGAAGTGTACAAATATGATTTTTTTTTAATTAAAGTTTCCAATTTAACAAGCGCTCTTCCAAGTCAGTCCTCAGGCTTAAGTGCAGACATAGAGAAAGTTAAAAAACAGGACCGGCCTCATGGCACAATTTGGACATGGGTCATGTTTATATTTCGTATCCTGTCCCTTCCCCCAACATGCTGGGTGAGTTTGTACCTCTATTCCCTCTTGTCATCAAATGATTTCATAGTGTTCTCTGGCACTCCAGGGCTGAACCCATGTTAATATTCTATCTTGCAAGTTTATCCTTGTAAGTTTATCCTCCTAAGGAAATGTACTCATATTACGTTCCCTTTCCTTGAGAACTAGGGTCATAAAACAACTGCAATAAAGTAACATAAGCCACATTCTTCTAAGTATTAATAGCATAACATTTATCATGGTTGTTCACAAATCTGGCTAAGTATCAGAATCATATGGAAGCCCTTTTAAATCTATACATTTCCAGATTTCATATCTTAGAGATTCTTTTTTCAGATCTTGGACAGGTTCTGACAGTCAAAAATAATAAATACACAAACAAAAGCTTCTTGGATGATCCTAATACCCAGCTAGATGTAGAATCTACTGACATTATACTGTTTTACAGTTGACTATGTAATGGATATCTCCTTCACTATTAAATTTCTTGATGGCAGGGACTATGTTTTTAAATTTTGCATCCTTTAGTAGAGTTCCTTGTGCATGTCACAGTAAGAGCTCAATGACCATGTGTGGAATTCAGTTGAATAATGGCTGAAATTTCTTGCCAGTTATAGGCATATTGATGGACTTTCTTTCCTATGTAGTAACTAAAAATACTATCTTATGATTTTCACACTGTTACAGATACTATAAATATTCGTATTTGAATTAGTAGTATATGAAGTAACTTCTCTCAAACATATGAAAAGATTAGGCATAAAAGCATCAAATTTACAAAAACTAAAATAAAATATAATTGACTTTTTGAGAGCTTTGGGAATTGGTGGTGATTTTTTAAGCTTAGAAAACCTGGATTAATAAAGACACGTATGTACTCCTCATATGATTTCAGCTCATTTCCAGTGCCTTTGGGTAGATATTGCCAACAGATGAAGGCACTCTTTTTTATTAAAATGGGACTTCGCTTTAGAATCCTTCTTAACCACGTATTTTACAACCAATAAGAAATTATGTGATGAGGTAGGTGAATTAAAAATGAGTTGTCTATCTTTGAAATAAAACAAAAGGTAATCAAGTTTGATTTTAAGATGCCATTTCTTAATTTTTTAGGCCTTTCTTGCCTTCCACTTGAGTGATTTTTTTCTTCTCCTTTTATCTTTTACTAATTTACAAGTTACATATCTCTACCTTTTAGTGGTATGTTAGTGGGAGATTACCTTGATGCAATGGTGTCTCCAAGTCCTTTACCAAAGGGCTGGCCCAGACAGGCTCATGGACCCAAGTAAGATGCTGAGATCACAGTTTATTGAATCAATTTAAAGGATACAGCAAGAAGCAAGGGGAAAGGGGCAGAGTAGGTTAATAATGTACTTAGGAAAGGGTGCAATTAGTATACGATTGAGTTAACTGAAGCCTATTCTATAAAATGTTTATATGTCCTCTCTTCTATTTTTCTATATTAATTCTTCCTGCTAACATTGTGGTTATAAGGACCAGAATTGCAGATAAACAAAGAAGACTTGGCAGATGGAGGGTGCCTAGAGCCAATTTATATTTTCTCTGCAAGAAAGACTCAGGGACTGGTCCGCCTGGCTATAGTTGTAACTCACCACTGTTACCTGTTGAGCACCCATGGATTTTATCTGTCTTGAGCAGAGGATACATGGAGCCAAAATGAGTCCTCATTAATATTTGGTGCCTTGGGTGTTTCATGAATATTTGGTGCTTACCCAGTCCTTCCATATCTTCTTATTTATGCACTCAGTACACACATACTCTACTTACCTTATATATCTAACATATATATGTATCTCTTAATTAATTCTTCCTTTCTTTCATTTTCTAGTCCCTGAATTGAATATTCTTAAATAATGTAGCAAATACACATGACAGATGTCTTGAAATTTTTAACATGCATACTCCAATTTACAATTTCCAAAATTAATAATAACTGTAGCCTCCTCTCAAAAAATGGAATTTAGAAACAGAGTATTTTCAACCTGACTTCCTCTTCTTTCATGTTATAGCATCTTAATTTTCTTGGTTATAATACATTATTTATATGTCAATACTTAGTTTCTCCAAATTTTATTCAGTTTCCTTGTTCAATATTTCTTCTTACATCTTGCTTCTTCCTTTTGGATTCAATTTCCTTCTTTTTGAAGTACATCTGTCAGTAGTCGTTTCAGCCTACGTCTGTGAATGGTAAACTCTAGTGGTCTTTATCCGACAACTTTTCTCATTTTCATTTTGACAGCTTAGTTGAGAATAGAATTTCCCATAGCCCTTTAAAAATTTTATTTTAATCTTTCTTTTTACTAGTGGCACTTTTATTGTCAATTTTATTTTTGTTTCCTCATAGGTAGGTTATTGTTGTTGTTGTTTGAGACAGGGTCTTACTCTGTCACTCAGGCTGGAGTGTGGTGGCAAGATCATGGCTCACTGTAGCCTTGACTTCCCCGACTCAAGTGATCCTCCTGTTCAGCCTCCCAAGTAACTGGGATGACAGACATGGGCCACCAAGCCCAGCTAATTTTTTAAATTATTAATTTTGGAGACTCCATGTTGCCCAGGCTGGTCTTGAACACTTGGGCTCAAGTAATACTCCTGCCTCGGCCTTCCAAATTGTTGGATTATAGGCGTGAGGTACTATGCCCAGCCTATAGGTATGTTTTCTTTCTTGCTTTGTTCTTAGGAATTGTTTTTCTTGTTTTGGTGCTCTTTAATTTTAACTAGAAGTGTTCTGATATTGATTTCTTTTAAAACATGTATCCTGTTAAGGACTTACTGCATTCTGGTTCATATCTATCTTTGTATCTCACACATTCTCTGCTATCTTCTCTTTGAATCAGGCCTCCCCTCCATTTTATTTCTTTTCTTTCTTTTTAGATCTTCTATTAAATATGTGTTAGATCTTGTTATTATACTCTTAAGGATATAACTTCACTTTTATACTCTCCATTTTTTAATCCTCTGTATAATTTCTTCAGATTTATTTTCCAATTTAATAATTATCTCTTTCACTGTATCTAGTCCATCTATTTAACCCATATGTAGAGCTTTTTATTTTTAATAGAAATAAGCTCTATGACAGTAGGAAATTCACGTATCTTATTCACTATTTTATCTTTGGAACCCAGAACAGTGCTAGAACTCTGCAGATGTTCAATAAGTATCAAAATTATTAATAGATCAATAAATTCCTTTTTTCAAATATTTTTATTTTTTCTTATACTTTTCCTTCATTTGATTTTTATTTTCCTTTATGTTTTTAATCATTTTATGGATTTTTCTTTGATAGTCACTTCCAGGTTTTTTTTTGTTTTGTTTTGTTTTGTTTTTGATAGAGACAGGGTCTCACTATGTTGCCCAGGCTGGTCTCAAATCTAGGCCTCAAGCAATCCTCCTGCCTTGGACCTCCAAAGTGTTGGGATTACAGGTGTGTGTCACTGCACCTAGTGGTCAGATTGCTTTATTAACTCAAGTGGTTGGGGCACAGATTTTTCTATTTGTTGTGTCTTCTCATATGCCTTTTGGTAGATTGTTTCTTTGTGTAGTGTGCAAATTTTATTGAGAGCTCACCTTTACTGAAAGCCATTTATTCTGTGGGATTCTTTTGTTTCCTGAGTTGTGTATATGTCCTCATCAAGGATTTTATATTTGCTTCTATAGGGCCTGGCTCTTTCTTAGGATTCTCTTTTCAAATGATAAGGTAAAATTAGATTTCCATTGGCAGAGGCTTTCAATATTCACAGGAACCATTACTCTCACCCCTACTCATCCTAGACTTCTAAGGCTTCAAAAAGTGAAAACCTCTTTAGGGTTCTAGTTTATGTAGGAATGTTAGTTCCAGATCCTCATAAGTGGCTTTAGGACCACATCTTTTAGTCCCAAATGGGGTTAAACCTCAGCTCCTGGACCTTATTATTGTGACTTTGAATTTCTTCTTCAATTCTGGTATCTGAAGCCTTTGCTGTCTCTGTTTTAAACTCAGCTTTATATTTTAAAATACTCATACTCTATTCATTATTTCTATATATTTGGAGAAGGCAGGAGTCTCATGCCATGGGAAAAAAGGGAAAATGGGGAAAAGATGATTTGATTCCACAGGTTTTGCTAATGAATTTCATCCAACTCACACATGAGACTACCATTAAGAATCACCGTATTATTTTGTTATTCTTAGAGTTTTTTGCAATAGTCTTATGGATATTAACATTAAACCCAATTCAATAAATAATAATATGTAAAATATTTCAGGATATATAGACTACTAAGACAGTCTCTGCACTCAAGAGGCAAACATTGTATAGTACAGAGATTAAGTAAATTTCATAAATAATCACAATGCAGGAAGCCTAATTGCTATGGAGATGCATATAGCTCTTTAGAATAATACATTACACGTATTATCAAACAAATTACTAAAATTGTTAGAAGAATGGAAAAGGAATCAGAAGAAGGCATTTTCAAGTAATAGTAACAGGAAAAACTTCATGATAGTGGTACTAGTTGAAATGTGCCTTGAAGAATGACTAGGATTTCTGAAAATAAAAACTATGAGGGAGGGGTCAGAAGGGAGGTAGTGGCTTTTCAAAGTAGAAAGAAAAGCATTAGCTTAGACAAGGAGCTTGGAGGGTGGAGGGCCTCCAATAAGGAACAAGTAATCCAATTTTCCAGGTTAGGATGTTAGAAAAGCAGTATCATTAGAAAGTAAAAGTAAAGAAATGTAAAAAAAAAAAAGGGGTATGGGGGTTGGTAAAAAATGGGCAAAAATTAAAGCTAATTTAATTTAAAATGTTTTACTGTCATATTTATCTAAAGAGAAAAGATAATGTTGGGTTAATTTTTAAGGATAAATTTAAAAACCGGGATCACTTACATCTTAGGTTGGGCAAGTTTCTTCTTCTCAATGACCTGATCCTCTGATTGGTTAGTTTTACAGTTTCCAGGAAGGTAAACGGAATCAGCATTTTGGTCTCTCAGGCATACAAGTACCATCTAGTGGCAAAGGAAAGCAACCACAAGAATGAAATTATACAGGAAACATTTGCTTGTTTATTTTGAATTTTATTTATATTATAATTAGCTAATAACAGAAGGCCATGTTCTACTTGAATAGGGAAATAAAGTACCCTTTAATCAAACATTGCTTGATTATTGGATTAAAAGAATGTGAGATCAGACAAACATGGGTTATAAAGAGCTTATTAAATATGAAATGTTTGAAAATTTTACAAGAAGTTAATATCAAATTATATTTTGGGAATAAAACTTAAAGAAGGATCTACTTGAGTTTAAAGAGAGAGAGAGAGAAAAAGAAAGTCAATGTAAATGACGAAGAGGCAGAAATACTGAAGGTAACTATTTCTTTTTTTTTTTTTTTGAGATGGAGTTTTGCTCTTGTTGCCCAGGCTGGTGTGTAACGGCTCAATCTCGGCTCACCGCAACCTCCACCTCCCAGTTTCAAGCAATTCTCCAGCCTCAGCCTCTTGAGTAAGTGGGATTACAGGCATGCGCCACCACACCCAGCTAATTTTGTATTTTTGGTAGAGACGGGGTTTCTCCATGTTGGTCAGGCTGGTCTCAACCTCCCGACCTCAGGTGATCCGCCCGCCTTGGCCTCCCAAAGTGCTGGGATTACAGGCATGAGCCACTGTGCCCGGCGAAGGTAACTATTCTTTTGGAATTTTCTCTGCTTCCACTTTGCCTAACTCCTACTTAGCCTTCAAATCTTTAGATATGTCTTCCTCTAAACAATGTTCCTTGACACCCCAGGTCTGTATTAGATGAATCACCAATGTCCTTCTATGGACCACTATTCCCATGATGCTACTGACCACACTTCTTTGTCACTTCCCATTTTATAGCCCTCATTGCAATCAATAATCCTAAACAGCTAGAGCCATGTCTGTTTCATCCACTGTTCTATCCCAAAGGCTTAGGATAGTACCTGACATGTAATAGGTAATTCACAAATATTTACAGAATGAATGGACAGATTAATGAAGAAAGAGAATAACTGTGATGGAAATGTTCAAGGTACAAATATCGAAAGCTAGTATCAGTAAAGTTTAAGAAAACAAAAAGTTTCCAGAAAATTATTAGTTGAAAAAACTTTTTTTCTTCATTGTACATTGATTCCCTACAGGACATCCATTTATTTATAATTTCTGGTACTTTATAGTTTTCAGAGTACTTCTCTACCTCGGTGAAGAAAAAATAATAGTTCACAGCTCACATATCATTGCAGAGATCAAATAAAAGGCTACACATAAAGCATATAGAAGAGTATGCAGCACATATTACATGCTCAACAGTTGGATTTTATTATTTCCTATACCTCATCTCATAAGTTCTTTGAAGCAGCACAGAGTCAAAGAAGGAAGCTATTTTAGATTTCTGTTTTACAAATTAGGAAACAGTGATTATGGAAACTAACCATGAGTAATATATGATCATGGAGTCACATCAGTTACTAAGTTTCTAAATCCACAACATCTAAGTAATAGTTATTGTCCCTTCTATGGCATCATGTTGCTTCCTTAGAGAGACAAGAGAGAAGAAAGGACATGTGGATGCTAAATAAGCACAGCATTGCAATGCAGAGAAGGAAAATACAATATAAAAAGTGTACTAGCTTTTCTCTTGCTTCCCTGACAAATTGCCACAGCCTTTAGTGATTTAAAACAACACAAACTTATTATTACAGTTCTGTAGGTTAGAAGTCCAATACAGGTGGGGCACAGTGGCTCACGCCTGTAATCCCAGCACTTTGGGAGGCTGATGCAGGAGAATGGCTTGAGCCCAGGCATTCAAGACCAGCCTGGGCAACACAGTAAGACCCCCATCACTACAGAAAATTAAAAAATTAGTTGGATGGGTGGCATGCACCTACAATCCCAGCTACTTAGGATGCTGAGGCAGGAGAATCGCTTGAGCCCAGAAAATTGGGGCTGCAGTGAGCTATGATTTCCTCACTGCACTCCAGATTAGGCGACAGAGTGAGAACCTATCTCAAAAACAAACAAACAAACAAACAAACAGAAGTTCAACACACAGATCTCTCTGCGATAAAGTCAAGGTGTTCCCAGGGCTCTCTGTTCCTTCCTGGAGGTTCTAAGGGATAATCCGTTTCCCGGCCTTTTCCAACTTCTAGAGGCCATCCACATCCCTTCCTCCATCTTCACTGCCAGCAGTGGTGGATTGAGTTCTCCCATCACATAATTCTAGTCTCCTCTTCTGCCTCTCTCTTTTACTTTTAAAAACCTTTGTGATTATATTGCATCCACTGAGATAATCAAGGAAAATCTCCTTGATTTTAAGATCAGCTAATTAGCAACCTTAATTCCATCTCCAATCTTAAATCCATTTCTCCACATAAATGAACATATTCACAGGTTCCAGGGATTAGGACGAGTGGGGGTGGGGATCATTATTCTGCCTATTCCAGGGGAATATTGGCAAGGGGATGAAAGGGAGGAGGAAGGTAGGGCAGTATTTTCAAATGGAAGTGTTAGAGGTATAACTTCAGGCTATCCTCACATTGATCTTGGCAGACACTAAAACCTCTGAATGTTTTTCGCATGGCTAAGCTACAACCCATCCCACTTTGTACTTGTGCTATTGTATTTTTCAACTTGAATGCAGACATTTTCATATATTTATGTTAAATTTTATCTTTTAGGTTTTAGCTCACAGTTCAAATTGTTAAAATAATTTTGTTTTCTGGTTCTGTCTTCAGTCATATTTGCTATGCTATGTAGTTTTTGTTTCACCTGTTGATTTGACCACAATGATTTCTTCACCTATGTAATTTATGAAAAATATGAACAAAAATCAGGGTACAGTTATCCAACTAATTTTGAATTTACCTAATCATAATTAAATCAGGCCCCTATTTTAGGCACATCCACAAAGATATGAAAGACTGGATTAAATGCTTTGCTGAAATTAATTTATATCATGGCCATAACATTCCATCTTCTCTCAAAGATCAAATAAAGAAGTGTGGTGTGACTTGTCTTATTTTAGTCAGTCTGGTTCCGAGTGACCACCAAATTCTAATACATTTAACTATGGACTCTGGAGTTTTACTTTTCTGTTCTACAGTTTTCAATGTCTACCTTTTCACCATGTTTTAAGCAAGTGATCTATCATCTTTTTCCTTTTTTACAGTTTCTCAGAACTCACCAGCAATAGATCTTAGGTTACTTGTAAACAGCTGTGGGACGTAATTTGTCCCTGGAAACATGAACTTATTTGAAACAGATGGGTGTTTTCTTACTACCTCCTCACCTGTCTCAAGTTTCAGTCCTCTTTGTATGTTGTTTCACCTTTACCAACGTAAAGTCCATTTTCTTTACTGAAAAGGAAAAGAAAAGAAAACTTGAGTCAAATTTCTCTTTAATGTTTACATTATTCTCTTAGGTAAATTACAAACTGTGTTTATAAAAATTTATGAAGGTTTATTTCTCTCTGCCCTCTATTATAATTCTTCACTCTAATTAAACCAATCTTCCCATTTTTCCCTCTTGAAGTTAACAGGTATCTCTAGTTCTCAAAGATTTCTCTACAGCATTTTATAATTTGCACCACATAATTTAACAGTGGAAGAAATATTATCTTCCTTATTTGATGCTTTTATAGTATTTTTTAAAAAACTCTCAGAACAATTGTTGATTTCTTTACCTTTTTTCGTTTGGTTCACCTAGAAAGTTGGGAGATTTTACCAAACAAGAATACTGGACACTTAATAAATACTTGTTGGTTGGTTAAGTTTTAAACAACAAATTTGGCTGTACATTCTTCAAATATCAGTCTCTTTGACTAATTTTTCTGTTTGGAGAAACAAAAAGGGTAAAATACTTAAAATTATTTTTGTTGTAATAAAAACAATAGTAATAATAATATTAGTAGTAATAATAAAAATCAAACTAAAACTACCTTTAGAAGTCATTCTCTTCTCCAATCCCTCCCCTGTAACCCTCCAACAATTATCAATTAATCATATTACTGAGCTATTTAATAACAATTTCAGCCACATTTGATATGCTAGTTTGGAATTCTATTTACTGGTAAAGCTGCTTGATTCCCTGCCTACTTTGTCAGCCAAGGCTGCATTTCTTTATATGTTTTAACTCATTCTAGACAAACGTACCAATTTGAAATAGCGAATACTGAATCTAAACTCTGAATATATAAACCACATCATTTCTCTTGAAACCTTTTTTTACCCTTGTAGAAATGTTAAATGTTTAAAAACAAATAATAGCATTTAATAATCACAGATTTTAAAAAATAGTCATGTAATTTTCAATGTATTTTAATCATGCAAATTAATGTACTAAGTTGATAGTAAAAAAGGTGCTGTAACAATTTAACAATTTTGCTCTTAATTTTGGCAAAAATGGCATAGAGACTCCATTAAATAAGGCTTTGATGTCTAGCAAATTAAAAAGTAACACAAATAGAATTCATTGTTCACCAGCAGGAGGAGGGTAGGTTGTAGGTTCGTATCTAGGGTAGCAAGCCTTATTCTCTTACTCTACATTAAATACTGTCAAAATTCCGGTTCACCATTAATTTTGTACAGCTAGGCAACTTGTGAAATCTCAATCTACAACTCCCATGATTTATGTATTCCCATCTGATTTATTTGTCTAAGAAATGTATTAATGAGATGTGGGGACTAGAATTGCCACCATGGCAACCCATCAGTATGGCTTGTTTCCCTTTCCTAGATACGGAAGCTCAGAAAGGAACATCTTCCCTGAAGCTGCTTACTTAGTACTGGGACCTGGTAACTATGGAAATTTAGATTGAGATTATATGGCTACATTGTTTACAAGGTACAAATAGTTTGATAAATAACCTGTTCAAACAGACAGTAAAATATGTCAGGGTCCATACATCAATTTGTGGCAATCTTTTTATTAATAGGTCTTATTTAGTATTCCCTCTGTTAAATTATTCTTACAACTGCATTACATCTGTATTAGTCTGTTCTCAGGCAGCTATAAGTACATACCCAAGATTAGGGAATTTATAAAGAAAAGAGGTTTAATTGACTCACAGTTTCACATGGTGAGGGAAGCCTCAGGAAACTTACAATCATGGTAGAAGGCACCTCTTCACAGGGCAGCAGGAGAGAGAATGAGTGCCGAGTGAAGGGGGAAGCCCCTTATAAAACCATCAGATCTTGTAAGAACTCACCCTCTATCATGAGAACAGCATGGGGAAAACTGTCCCCAGGATTCAATTGTCTCCTCCTGGTCACCTTTGACATGTGGGAAGTATTACAATTAAAGGTGAGATTTGGTTGGAGACACAGAGCCAAACAATATCACCATCATAATTTTGTCATTCATCCTATAAGGGGAATTTGATATCTTCCCTTTTATGAGTAGGTAGCCCTTGTTGAGTGGGTGGTGACATTTTGTGGGGGAAATGAAAATATTTGAATATTCTTGCTTATTATATGTGTTTTCTCATTGGAAGCATTAATAATATTTACTGTATACTATGATGCATAGGACTTGGAAATTTAAATCGGTATAAGAAGAAGCTTTCGCCTGGGTGCTATGGCTCAGGCCCGTAATCCCAGTACTTTTGGAGGCCAAGGACAGAGAATCACTTGAGCCCAGGAGCTTGATACCAGCCTAGGCAACATGGAAAAACCCTGTCTCTACAACAAAATACAAAAACTAGCCTGTGTGGTGGCATGCACCTGTAGTCCCAGCTACTTAGGAGGCTGAGATGGAAGGATCACTTGGACCTGGGAGGTAGAGGTTGCAGTGAGCTGTGATCATGGCACTGCACTCCAGCCTGGGTGACAGAGCAAAACTTTGTCACAAAAATAAAGAAAGAAAGAAAAGAAAAGAAAAAGACAAGTCAAGAAAAAGCTCTTAACCTAAGACTATTTACAATTTAATTGAAGAGATGGTAAGTAAATAAAATGATGTGAACAAGATGGTAGTATGTAGGCAATTGGGAGGAGAGTGAGATCATTTTGTCCAGGGTGATGAGATTTTTGGAGAATTGGGTTTTGGTCATGTCATTTAGAAACAAGAGTAAAAGCATGAGCAGACAGAATGAATGACAGAGAACATTACAAGGATAAGAAATGTAAGAAATAAATGCCTAGAATAGTAGTAGAAATGAGTAGACTTCTGAAGTTAAGGCAGGTTAAGGCTACTAGTGAGAAGTGTTGGGGTGAAAGTATGGTTCAGTAACATGTTAACCAAGTTTATCTTTCATGTATATTTCTTTACTTGGCCCCAAATCCTAGGCCATTGAGAATTTGTAACTAAAATGTTCTAGATGTTTCCAAAAGAGACAGAATATATCAGGGATAGTTTTCATTACATGCCTTCTTTAGTTTCCTGGTGTAGTTTTTTGAATATACTTATCTCCCTTTCCCCCATCCCCATTGCTAGATCTTTTAATCCAGGGGTCCCCAATCCCCAGGCCAGAGACTGCTACCGGGATCTGTGGCCTGCGAGGAACCAAGCAGCACAGCAGGAGGTGAGCGGAGGGCAAGTGAGTGCAGCTTTATCTGTATTTACAGGGGCCCCCCATGGCTGGCATTAGGGCCTGAACTCCGTTTCCTGTCAGATCAGCAGTGGCATTAGATTGTGATAGGAGCGAGAACCCTATTGTGAACTGCGCATGTGAGGGATTTAGGTTGCGTGCTCCTTATGAGAATCTAATGCCTGATGATCTGTCACTGTCTCCCATCACCCCCAGATGAGACTGTCTAGTTGCAAGAAAACAAGCTCATGGCTCCCACTGATTCTACATTATGGTGAGTTGTATAATTATTTCATTACATATTACAGTGTAGTAACAGTAGAAATAAAGTGCACAGTAAATATAATGTGCTTGAATCATCCCCAAACCATCCTCCCTCCCCCAGAAAAAACTGTCTTCCATGAAACTGGTCCCTGGTGCCCAAAAGGTTGGGGACCGCTGTTTTAATCATCAAGGATTCTGACGAACCTCTTTGAATTTTCTATTTAATTCATATTCCATAAGTAAAACTTGATTCCTTGTTTGTTTGTTTTTCCCCTAAGAATTTAGAAAGCAGAGTGCATGTTGGGGAGACCTGGTTTAAATTCGAGAAGCAGATAACACAAAGACAAGTAAAAAAAAAAAACATGATGTACACAGGATTGACAGAATAAAAAAAAAGTCTTTGTGCAAGGGAATGTGACTATACAGAAATGTGGAGAGGAAAATACGTAATGTTAGTGTTAATAACTTTTGACCCCATTTAGGTCACTTTGAGTAATGAAGCTCAAAACACTAGATTATATTTTTAGCAAAGTAAGTGCAGTATCCAGTCTCTCACAGATGTCATGTGTCTCAGGCCGTTTGGAAAATTCAGCATCTGCCGCATTCCCAGTCTTTGATGAGGACACTCCGCGAACTACAAGCACCCTCAGTGGGAGGACCTCCCAGGTCGGGGTGTGAGGGCCAATGAGGAGGCTGGGGAGGGGAGGCAAGAGTTACGGAAACGGGGCCACAGCACTCCAGATGCCGCGGCGGGAGGAAGCGGGGCTGCAGAGGACTCAAAACGCGTTCAGAGAGGCCCATCCAAATGCCAGGAGACAGACGGCAAGGATGCTTAAGAGGAGACGTGACTGGGCGAGGCAGATGAGGAGAGGGCCGTGGGCCAAGGTCACCCGCTAAGAGGCGGCAGGTTTACCACTGAGACACGAGGCCGTGGTTTTTGCCCGTGCCTCCAGAAAGAGCGTGGCGAGATCCCCGCAGAACCCAGGCGTGGGAGGCCCTGGGGAAGAGCCACGAGGCCCGACTCTAGTGGCTCAGGGGCCCTGGGCAGCGGCGCGCCACCGCTCGCCCCACCCTCAGCCGCTCTCCTCTTCCGGGCGCGCTGCTTGCCTGCGTGCGCCGGGACGCGCGGGGCCGAGCGTCTGAAGCGCGCCCGTACGCGGAGCGGCGCTTTCTAGGAGCCCCGCCCTCAGGTGCGCTCTGCAGGAGGCGGGGCGCGACTTCGGCGCCGCCAGCTCTGCCTGCGCCAGGAGCGCGCGGGTGCGCGCGGCCGCGCCCTCGCACAGATCCCAGCTGGGTCACCCGCACTGAGTCAACAGACTGAGCGCGTCCAGGCCTGACAGCTCTGCGGCTCGGGCCCTGAGGTGAGGCGGGCGTCGCGGGCGGCGGCGGCGCTTGAGGCTAGCCTGGGACAGCCGTCCCTGGGGGAGTTGAGGGGACGAGGAGGGGCTGGCCAGCGAGGGACGGCGGGGAGAGAAGGGGAGTTCGGCGTCTGAGGTGTGGGGTGAAGCGGGCTCGGAAGCGGGCAGAGGCGGCGAGCTGAGGGAAACAGACCTCCCTCAGCTCCCGGGAAGCGCGGGTTGCCAGCCTCGGGGATGCGGTGGGAGCGCCCAGGATGCGGACGTGAGGGGGTCGGGGCCCTGCGGCGGGGGCTCCGCGAGGCTCCCCTGGGACCGGGTCCGGCCGTGGGACTTCGGGACACTGCCTTTGCCTGGACGCTGTCGTTCCACCCTCAGCAACCTCAGGGAAAGAAGGAAAACAAATATTGATGTAAATTTCCGTCTGAACAGCTGGGTAATGAGCGCTTGCTCTTCCCTGCGAGGTTACGCGCGGATCATTACCTTGCGTGTTAAAAGGAGTTTCAGTGAGAAGAAAATGCGCAGATCTCATGACACAGTTTGGGAGGGAAATTCCCTGATCCTAAAACACGAATAGGAGCTCCAGGCATGGAAATACTTAATTGGATCGGAAAGCTGGGCAGGCTGGAGCTATTAAGCTGAAGGAGGTTTTCCCCTGGGCTCCTCAGGCTTCGATTTACGTTTTAAATAAATAAGTCCGAAAATAATGAAGATAATAACCACGTTTACTTTCTACAAGGGCGTTCTGAAGGAATCTAAGGGAAGAGGAGTATTTGCTGGACTACAGCTTTAAGCCAGGCTCGGTATTAGCTCTTTTCATTCTGACAGCAACCCTGTAGGATTGGAGGGGGTTATTCCAGTTGGGCAGGTGTGGAGAATGGGCCTCAAAGAGGTTAAGTAACTTATTAAGGTCTCAGCTAGTAAAAGGATGGAGTTGAGATTCCAACCCGGGCTGCCAGACCCTAATTCTGGTGCTTTATTTAGTATATTTTGTGTTTGCCGGGAGAGCAATATTGTATGTGTTTTAGGGAAGACTCCATAGTAGGGAACATTATTAGGGCAGTTAGGGCTTTGTGGGTATTTGTGTTAAAATCAAACTAAAGAGGCGTTAATCTTTGCATATGTGCTGTTTGAGTATATTTCCTTTCAAACAGATTTAGTGTAGGGAAATCTTACATTCACTATAAGAGCAAATTTATTAGTACATTCCATGTGTATTGCATGTCTTTTATTTTTAAAGAGACAGCGTCTCGGGCTAGAGTGCAGTGGTGCGATCAAAGTTCACTGCAGCCTTGAACGTCTGGACTCTAGGGACCCTGCTGAATAGCTGGGGCTACAGGCGTGTGTCACTGCGCCCAGGTAATTTTTTATTTGTTTTTCAGAGACGAAGTCTTGCTATATTGCCCAGGCTGGTTTGTTGCATGTCTTTTACATTCCAGATACCATACTATGTGCCAAGAGTACCGATATGAATACAATTTATAATCTCTGTCCTTGAGTTTAGTTGAGAGGGTGATTGCATAAAAGAATTTTATGATATTGTACTAAGTCATAACTTTTCTAGTATGTAAATTAGTTGGATTAAAAATAGTTTTAAGGGCAAGCTTTTAAGGACCTATTATGCATAAGAAAATTTATTGGATGACTTGTCCTCTGTGTACCATTGCATTGTTATTTTCTCCCTCAGCAAGAAACACTGTGATAAAATTTAGGTTAAATTATATTGACAACTAGCATTTTTTTTTTTTTGAGACAGGGTCTCATTCTGTCACCCAGGATGAAGTGCAGTGGCAGGATCTTGGCTCACTGCAGCCTTGACTTCGCAGGCTCAAGTGATCCTCCCACCTCAGCCTCCCAAGTAGCTGGGACCACAGTTGTGTGCCCCTACGCCTGGCTATTTTTTTTTTTTTTTTTTTGGTAGAGACAGTGTCTCTCTATGTTGCCCAGGTTGATCTTGAACTCTTGGGCTCAAGCCTTCCTCCCACTGGGATTGCCACGTGAGCCACTGCACCTGACTGCATTTTGTTTTATTATTGCACCACCTTACAGTAAATTTTAAAGCAATAAAGAAGATGAGAGCATTTATAATTTATCCCTTTTTAAGCTAAAAGGCATATTTTGTAGTGCTTTTATTTCATTGATTGAGAAGCAAATGATGTAGCTAGGCAGGAGTTTGTTTCATGTGCCAGATATGTTCCTAATTTCTCATTCCAAAAATATCTTAGTTTAAAAGTGTAGCTAATACCAGATTGCATTTAATTTCTTGTGTTTCAGAGTTGTAATGAAATCAGTCTTCAGTTTAGGCTGAAATGGCACATTGTTGAAATGTATAACATTACTTTGTGGTGGATTTTGGAAATCTCTTTTAATTGCTTCAGTTTTCTCAGTAAAGTAGGATTCAAGGTCATAATCTGAGGGTGATCCTACAGATGGAAGCTTTGGAGATTTGGGGATTGGGAAAGTGATGGACTAGTGGAATATGTGATTGCTAGGAAATTAAACATGACTCACAGTTGTGAAAAGTACAGTAGAGGAAAGATATGAGTGCACAAATTAGGGTGTCTAATTTTGGATACCAGAAACTTCATAATCCATTCCCAATGCCTGCCTTTACCGTGTTATCTAGAACATACATCTGCACCCCTTGCTCCGGTTCACTTTGCCTTATGCCTCTGCCATATGGCAGGTATCCCTGTTCTTCACAAAAGTCAAGCCCTTTTGTTTGGGAGTCTAGCTTTACCATTCTTTTCTTTCTGCCTGGAAATTCCATTCCACTCCTTTCCAGGCTCTTTCTCTCTTATCACATTATATTAAATTTTATCTCTCTGCAAAGTTAGTGACAGTGTCTAACTTTATTTTTTTTGCCTCATAATGTTGGATGCATAAATCCTTCAGTAAATGTTAAGTGAATATGCCACTTTTCTCACTTCCCCTCTTCTTCCTTTTTACAGGAGTTGACCAACGTTTTTTGTAAAGTGCCAGATAGTAAATATTTTAGGTTTGCAGACAGTATGGTCTCTGTCTCAATAACTTTACTGTTGTAGCACAAAAGCAGTCATAGATAATACATAAATGAATGAGCATGGCTGTGTTCCAATAACACTGTATTTATAGACACTGAAATTTGAATTTCATATAATTTTTGCATGTCACAAGATATTATTATTATTTTTCAACCTTTTAAAAATGCAGAAGCAGTGTTCCTCATGGGCTGTGCCAAACAGACTGAGGGTTGGATTTAGCCCCCACCTCTTTCATCATAGTTTGCACATCCTTGATCTTTAAGGACTCTCAGGAAGCCTTGATAAAGGAATCTGTGGTAAGATGATACTGGGTTTAATATTTCCATTGGTGGTGGAGAAACAAAGATAAATAAGACTGTTGTTTTTTTCATCAAGGATCTCATGGTCAAGTTCAAGATGAAAATATATAAATAAATAATGGTGACAGGGTATAGTTACTGCAGTTACAGTTATGTTTACTGGGTATAGAGGTAAAACAAAGGAGTGATAATCAGCTCCATGTCAATGTTAATAATGACATTTAGGCAATATGATTAAAAATTGAGTTTATTTGAGCATAAAACTTGAGGATGGTCACACAGGAGGACACAGACTCCTGAAGGATGAGGTAAATGCTCCAAAGTGGAGAGGTTTGAGGGTCCTTTACATAGGCAAGGCCTGGGGATGCTTAACAGGGTTACATCATTTTTCGTACGAGGTTAGTGCATAGTTAGAGCAATTCAATTAGTTATAGGCAGTGTTTCTTTTTGGGGGAAGGGTATATTTAACATTTCACATTAAGGATGTAATGGTCAAAGGGTCTTTTATCACAGTCAGCGGTCTTTTATCCCTGGCATCATCTGGTGTGATCTAGGAACAAGAAAATAAGGAAGGAATTTCATGTATAACAAAAGGTCAGTAATTAAGAGGTCAAGCTTCATGACCCAGTCTCCAAAGTCAACCTTCAGTGCCGAACAACGTTTAGAAGCCCCAAGTAGACAGACTATCCATTTTCTGTTACATCTGCTTAGGTGGATGAGAAGTAACCTCTAACAGTCATTTGTTGGAGGTAGGGAATGTATTTTCAGCTAGCCTTTCTGGAAATCTTTTAAGGATGCTAAGAAGGTGACCACGTTTCTTATCAGGATGGCTCTAAACATCAGGATGACTCAACTTATTTATTTTATAGGGTATAATCTTAATTTGTTTCTCACAGAAATAAACATGGATATGTTTTTAATCAGGTCTCTATGAAAATAATTTAAAAAATTTAAAGTTATTTTACCTGCTACATAATAAATGGATTGTTTATTCCACAGGTATTTAGTACCTCCTCTGCTGTGCAGTGAGTTGTTTTACTAGCTGAAAATATTTGAAGGAGATAATGGTATCATTAGATAAGTGATGGATTTTGCGGGGGAGGTGGGGGAAGAGAGAGGCTCTTCTAAGGAAAGCACTGCTTTTAACAAAGGCAGTAGGTATAATAGTAGAACTACCTTAGATTTTAAAAAATACTTTATAGCTTTCAAATTTCTTATTTTAATTAATTAAATTCATGCATCCTAAATAATTTTTCTCTAACAATTATTTCTAAAGGTTATGTACATTTTTATTACTTTTAGTGATGTGGAATATGTTTCGTAGGACTTGGAACGTAGTAACCAGCACTTTTTTTTTTTTTTTTTTTTTTTTGAGACGGAATCTTGCTCTGTTGCCAGGCTGGATTGGCACAGTGTCAGCTGACTGCAACTTTCACCTCCCGGGTTCGAGTGATTCTCCTGCCTCAGCCTCCTGAGTAGCTGGGATTACAGGTGCCCGCCACCACACCCAGCTAATTTTTGTATTTTTAGTAGAGACAGGGTTTCACCATGTTGGCCGGGATAGTTTCTGTCTCCTGACCTCGTGATCTTCCCGCCTCAGCCTCCCAAAGTGCTGGGATTACAGGCGTGAACCACTGTGCCTGGCCGTAGTAACCAGTACTTTAAGATAAATTAAGAAGTGAATTTTTGATATTGAACTTTGGATTATGCAACTCCTGGTCTTTAAGTCAATTAATACATTAGAAAAGGAAGATGGGCTTTAGTAGGCTTTCCATTTTCTTGCAACTTATTGGATTTAGTATAAATTATTTTATCTAGTAAATTATTTATCTAGGAAAGTTAAATTTGATTAAATCTTTAGAGATGTTAGGTGTTTAAAACTCACCTAATTATTATTTAAAGCCCTACAACAAACTTAGCACATTTCTCAGGTATGCTGTGGAAGTATGGAAAATAACTTTTTTTTTTTAGATTTTGAACCCGTATTTCTCTTTGTGCCACTGTTTTTTAACAGCTAAGAATTGGCTTTGTTAAAGAGTGTTTTAAAGTATTTCATTGGTAAGATTTTGAGTTGGAACCATACAAATTCTGCTTTGGTCTTGTATTAACTCAGCTGCTAGTGAGTGAACTCCTAGATATTGCCATTTAGAGGCAATTAAACTTAAACAGTTAAACTTGAGGCAGGCCATGCATCTTTTTACTGCGTTTTTCTCTTATTCTTCCAAAAACCATCACATAAAGCTATAAAATTTTGGAATTCTAGTATAGAAAGAGGAAATGTATAGCTCCATGCTAAATACGGGGTTTCTTGTATCCCAAGAAAAGGCACCTGATAAGTCAAACCCTTCATAGATGTCCCCTTTTTGGTCATGCCTCATTTGTAACTTTGCAGCCCTGTTTTCAGATATATGCTTCTGTCAGGAACACCGCTTTCATGTCACCTCTGCTGTGTGGATCTCCACCTTTCTTTCTGGAAACCTCATTCTTTCATCCACAAGAGTTGTTCCCATCTCAAGATATTAACCCTTTAGTTTTGGGTGTTCGTCAATATAGAAAAGTACTGCCTTCCCACATTCTTCCTTCATCCCAGTTTTCCCACCCTAACTCCCTGTTAGGCTAGTCAGTATTGTCCTTTGGGATTCCAGACCCTGCAAAACAGTGGAGGATGTGGTGAAGAGAGGGGCCTTTGTGATTACCATATCAGTGAGAGTTGTAATCACCCCTTTTTTTATTCTATCTTGTTTCTCTGTCTTCTCCCCAAAGGACAGGTATAATCTCTCGACCAATTGTCGAGAGACAATGTGGTCTCGACACCTGAAAAGGAAGCCAAATATTTTCCCCAGCACCTCATCATTTGCAAAGAATTTATAGGGTAGAGTTAGTGTTTACATTATTATGCAGACCAGTCCTTGCTTATTTATTCGCCATATCCCTTTTCAAATTGGGCCTGCTTAGACACTGTGGACTGGCAGGTTGGAGGATGCAGCAGGCAAAGAGGAGGGTGAATAGGTACGTTGTTGGGTTAGTTTACAAAGACCTGACTATAGCTTTGAAGTTTCTGTTTTAGATCAACGTTAAAGTTTAAAGGTTTATGAAGAATTAATGTTAAGAATGTTTCATTCTTTTCAATCAAACAGCTAAACCATGTATTTCATACTATGAAGAAAACCAGTGATCAGATGGGCTTAAGAGATTTTTTTTTTGTTTCAATAACTTGAATTGAAGCTCAAGATTATTGAAAGTTAATATTTTCATATGATTAGACTAAAGCTTTTGAGTATAAGAAAAATCAGATTGTTGAGGTCATTCATAATACTGAGTCATTGGTATAATTTGATGACAGAGTTAATACTTTCATCATTTTTTTCTCTCTGTCCTTTTGCAATTCATTCTGTAGGGTTTCTTTGACTCACGCTTCAATTTAGCTCACTAATTCGTCTTTAAATGAAGTTCACCCCATCTTTTAGTGCTTTTTTATTTCTATCAGTTTTTTATTTCATTTCTAAGTTCTGTAATTGCTTTTTTCTTAATTATCTTTCTCTTGTTCCAAGAATATGATATTCTCTATTACTCTTTTAAGGATATTAGTTATACTTTTATACACAATCGTGATCAATGTGTATAATTAGTTGCCATGTACAAGCCACCATTTTCAGCTTTTCATGTATTAATTCTTTTAGTCATTTTAACAACCCAAAGAGGTAGGTACTACTATTGTTGTATTTTACAGATAATAAAACTTAGGCGCAAAAACATTAAATAACTTGCCCAAGGTCTTGAAGTTAGTATGTAGCAGAGGCAGGATTCATGTTTAGTTGGTTTGGCTTCAGAGGTCATACTCTTAACCTATACTACTTTGGGCATTATTAGTTCTTATGTTTGTTAATTTTGGTGCCTTTGTAATATTGGTTAAGATGCTTTTTTGCAAGAAATAGAATCTGATACTGGTTAGCTTAAGTGAAAATGAAAATATATTGGGAAGATAATAGGACATTTCACATACTCCAAGGAAGAAAAATCGAGTTGTGAGCACAGTAGGTGTGGTACATTAGAAGAAAGCTTAGAGTAAGAATGTGTAAACTTTCTTTCTTAAATGTTGCCATTCATGTAATTCAGTTTCCTTGACTTCCATCCAGTCTGTGGGTCTCTTAGTTAATTCTGCCAAGAGAAATTTTAACTGACACAGCTCAAGAGTAGTGGTGGTGGTGGTGATGGTTTGTGTGCGTTGGGATGGTGTTTGGGGAGTTGGTTTAGTTTTGCTTTAAAAAGCTGTGATGAGAGGTGGAGTGGGTGGGCAGGTTTTTTAGACAAGGCCCTTAGAGACTCAACCTTGAGTTCAGGAAGCAGTTCTCAAAAAAACAAAAAATTCTGTGAATCCATCTACTCTATGAGTCTGTTATATAAAAATGAAGAGTTAAGCATCCAACATTCAAAGTGGATTAATAATTTAGTAGCATTCACAAAATCAATGTGTTTTGGCAAGTAACTTGAGAATGTTCATGCTGCATTAGGTTAGTGTTTCTATGTTTGTATTGTAGCAAATAATGCTTGAATGAGTACAGCTTTCTTCCTTCCTTCCCTCCTATTATCAACTCTTTGCTAAATGTGATATAACATAGTTGAGACTGTTAGAAGAATTTATTTATTGACCATTACAGAAGTTTATTTAACAGAGTCTAATATGAAAATATACATGACTTAATTTTTACATCATAGTAAAACAGGCCCTTTTGAGAGGGAGACATGGGTTTTTCTGCTGAACAGCCATTATTTATACTTGTTCCAAGGCTTCTAACATGATGATGCCATTACATCGCATTACCACCATTCCAATATTGTTCTGTTGCCCACTAGTTGCCATCTCCACACATTAATCTATCACAAGATTCATAAAGGGATCAAATCCCCACAATATTCCTTGGACATGTCTGCCACCATTTAATTTTCAATGATAACTTTTTGTCCATCAATTTTTTCAACTCGGGAGTGTAAGCTTTGCTCATGGTGTCTACTCCACAGGTTCACAGATGCCTTGGAATGGAATGCTGGAAGAATTTATTTTAATGTATCTTCTATTCTTGACTGCTTTTGTTTTGCTGTTTTTAATTTACTCATTTAGTATTTTTACAGTATGTCTAATTGTTTAATTGCTTTTTTTTTACTATGTAAGTAATACATAGAAAAAAAGCATGAAGAAAATAAAAGTTGTCTTTAATTCCATTGCTAATTTAAACAGTTCTTTCCAGTCTTCCTTCTGTGCATATAAAGAAGATGCTCATTTAAGCCAAACTTTAATTATATATATTTACTGGAAAAGACAAACTGCCTCTCAAAAATTATGGACCAGGCACGGTGGCTCACTCCTGTAATCCCAGCACTTTGGGAGGCAAAGGCAGATGGATCACCTGAGGTCAGAAGTTTGAGACCAGTCTGACCAACATGGTGAAATCCCATCTCTACTAAAAATACAAAAATTAGCTGAGCATGGTGGCAGGCGCCTGTAATCCCAGTTACTTGGGAGGCTGAGGTTGGAGAATTGCTTGAACCCAGGAGCCGAGACTGTGCCATTGCACTCCAGCCTGGACAAAAGAGTGAGACTCCATCTCAAAAAAAAAAAAAAATTGTGAGTTTTCTTTATTTAGGTGTAGACAGTCTTCCAGCTTGCAACAGATGGTCCTTGTTTTGGAGGAGAGTTATAGCAGTGGCCTCACTAGATAGGTTTATTTAAAACAAGGGCACAGCAATTTCTCTGGAAGGTTTAACAGGATTTTTTTGTTGTTGTTGTTATTTCCCCTGCTATCTTCTCAATACTTCTTAGTATGCAGAGATCCTAGGTTACTGGGTTGAGTGTATTTGAATAGGGGCAGTGGACATTGCAGTTGAGACTCTGACCACTTCTATTTTGAGTTCAGCTGGAATGAAACCTCTGAAGAATCGAGATAGCTCCAATAGAGGTCCACAGGCAGAAAGGATTTCAAGGATCTTCAAAGGGTAAATGTACCCTGGAAGAGGGATACTGGACCTGTGATAGGTACAATGATTTAGATCATTCAATGTTATTTTTTGAAGTAATTTATTAAGGTAAAATTTATTTCCAAGGTAAAACTCCTTACCTTGTAAGCAGTTTCTCCTCATTCTTTACTCTCCCTGGCCTCTGACAATCACCAGTTGGCATTCTGTCCCTACATTTATCTTTTCTGGAAGTTTCCTATAAAGGGAATCATATAACATTTGACATTTTTAGTCTGACTTTCACTTGACATAACGTTTTGTATGTTCATTTTAATTGTAGCATATAGCAGTACTTCATTCCTTTTTTTTTTTTTTTTTTTTTTTGAGACAGAGTCTTGCTCTGATGCCCAGGCTGGAATGCAGTGGTGCAATCTCAGCTCACTGCAACCTCTGCCTCCCAGATTTAAGCAATTCTGCCTCGGCTTCCTGAGTAGCTGGAGTTACAGGAACGTACCACCATGCCCAGCTAATTTTTGTATATTTTTTTTTAGTAGAGACGGGGTTTTGCCATGTTGGCCAAGCTGGTCTCAAACCCCTGACCTCAAGTGATCCACCCGCCTTGGCTTCCCAAAGTGCTGGGAATACAGGCATGAGCCACTGCACCTAGCCACTTCATTCCTTTCTATGGCTGAATAATAATTGTATGTATATGCCACAGTTTGTTCATTTATCTGTCGGTAAGTATTTGGGCTGTTTCTACCTTTCTGCTATTCTGAATAGCACTACTGTGAACGTGTGTGAACATGTACTCAATTGAGTCCTTATGTTCATTTCTTTTGGGTGTATACCTAGGAGTGGAATTGTGAGGTCATATAGTAAAACTGTTTTTCTCAGCATCTGAACCATTTGCTTTCCCGCCAGTAATGTATTCCACTTTCTCCGCAGTTTCTTATGAGAAGTCTGCTCTCATTCAAATTGTTACTCTCTGTAGGTAATACATCATTGTTCTCTGACTGCTTTCAAGATTTTTTGTTGTCTTAATTTTCAGCAGTCTAATTATAATGTGTATAGGCATGGATTTTCTTTATGTTTTCTGGGCTTCACCAACTTTCTTGAAACTTATGTGTTTATATCCCTTGCTAAATTGGAAGTTTTCAGCCATTAAGTCTTTAATTTTTTTTTTTTTTTTTTAGCATTAATACTCTTTCTCCTCTCCTTTTATAAATCTGATAATATGAAAGTTAGACTTTTTGTTATTGTCCTATAGTTTTCTTTTTTCTTCTTTTTTTTTTTCTTTGAGACAGGGCCTCACTTTGTCACCCAGGTTGGGGTGCAGTGGAACAATCTGGGCTCACTGCAACCTCCTCCTACTGGGTTCAAGCGATTCTTTTGCCTCCCCAGTAGCTGGGATTACAGGCGCCCACCACCACACCTGGCTAATTTTTGTATTTTTAGTAGAGATGGGGTTTTACCATGTTGGCCAGGCTGGTCTTGAACTCCTGACCTCAGGTGATCTGTCTGCCTTGGCCTCCCAAAGTGTTGGGATTATGGGCGTAAGCCAGTGTGCCCAGACTGTCTCACAGTTTTCTGAAGCACTGTTAATTTTTTAAAAATCTTTTTTCTCTCTGTTGTTCAGATTGGATAATGCCTATTGATAATCTTCAAGTTTCCTGACTTTTTTTCTGTTGTGTTCATTCTGATTTTGAGCCACTCCATGAGTTTTATTTATTATTGTGTTTTTCTGTTCTAAAGTTTCCATTTGTATTTATTTCTTATTGTGTTTTTGTGTTCTAAAATTTCCATTTGATTCTGCTTAATGTCTTGTTTCTTTGCTAAGATTTTCTATTTTTCATTGCTTTCAAGAGTACTTTCGATTGTTTGCTGAAGCCCTTAAATAGCTGCTTTAAAAGTTTTATCAGATAATTTCAAAGTCTGTGTTATTTCAGCATTGGTATCTTTGATTTTATTTTCTTAGTAGAGTTGCTATTTTTTTTTTTTTTTGAGGCGGATCCTTGCTCTGTCACCCAGGCTGGTGTGAAGCGGTGCAATCTTGGCTCACTGCAACCTCCGCCTCCCGGGTTCAAGCAGATCTCCTGCCTCAGCCTCCTGAGTAGCTGGGATTACAGGTGTGTGCCACCACACCCAGCTAATTTTTATATTTTTAGTAGAGACAGGGTTTCACCATGTTGGTCAGGCTGGTCTCAAACTCCTGACTTCGTGATCTGCCCACCTTGGCCTCCCAAAGTGCTGGGATTACAGGCGTGAGCCACCGCACCCGGTCAGCTATTTTCTACATGCTTCATTTGCAGTGTAATATTGGATTGTATGAGACTTTGGGTTTTGTGTTAATACCTACAGAAAATGTTGATATTTTCTCTTAGCAGGCTGTCAACCAGGTTAGGTTCAGGTCATAAGTTTCTACCCACATTCTTTGAACTGTAGTTGTCATTTTAGTTTATTTTTCAAAAACTTTTGCAGTACCTTTTTGGTCTGTCTTGTGTGTGCCTTGCAGTGAACAGTCTGGATTTGGACAGTGGTCTGTCTGTTAGTTCAGTTTCTCAAGCCTTTGTCACACTAATAGGATTGGATTTATGTATGTCCAGCTTGGGAATTATTACAGGAATTAAAAACAACTTTTTAGAGTGCTTTCCTGAGCTCTCTTTCTATTTGTTCCCCCTTCTACTTTTTGCTTCCCTGTGGCTGCTGTTTCTATCCTCCAGCCAGAGAGCTAGTGTTTATTTTCTCCATTGTGTTACACACTTGTGCAGCTGCAACCACCATATCCAGGGCCCAATGGTAGGAGGTAGAGAAGAAAAGCAAAAGGGATTGGCCTCATCCTCTTACAACGATAGTTCCATTGAATAGAGAGAAAGGTTTTCCTGCCTCAGAGTGTTGGCTGCACTAGGCTTTTGTTACTGTAGTCTGGCCCTGTTACCATGGGATTGCTTGCATGTGGGGATACAGGAGAATTCAGAAAAGAAAAAAAGATTTGCTATTTCTACATTCTCCCTGAGCATTAAGACTTCCCTTGCCCATTCCTCAATTCAAAGCTAAGGCTTCTTCTGGAGCTGCCTCTGTGGGCGGTTCGGGAGATACCAAAGGAGAAAAAGTACCACTGTTGATATGGTGGTATTTCAAATTCTGGTCTACCCTATTTCACATGCCTTGTTTACTTTTCAGAGCTGACAGATTGCTGCTCCATGCATTCTGTCCAGTTTCCTAAGAGAGACAGCTTGGAGTATGCTTAATCCATCTTACCTGGGACTGAAACAGCTGCTTATTTTGCCGTTAAAAATTACATGCAGTTTACTGCGTGGCTCCGGGTTTGTTTGTTTGTTTTTCCTCTTTAATAGGTTTATTCAGAAAACATGTCCACTGCAATTAGGGAGGTAGGAGTTTGGAGACAGACCAGAACACTTCTACTGAAGAATTACTTAATTAAATGCAGAACCAAAAAGAGTAGTGTTCAGGTAAGTTAAATAACTCTTTCTTATGCTTTTTTGCAGTTTATTTTGCTTGATATATTCTATCTTGAAGTGATGATTTATTTTGCTAAATATATTTTTATTATAATTTTATTTTTCTTTGCTTGTAAAGTAAAAGCTTGCCATGTTAGCCACAGAAAAATAACTGAATTACTTAATGCTTTCTAAATGTTAAAAATTTTAATAATAATTTCTACATTTAGTTAATTTCTAACATCTGTGCTTCATTTTCAGCTTTTAGGCATGTGTTTCCTAAGTTTCATGAACTAACATTCCACAATAACTTTGATTCCAGAGTTTTATATCCCACAACCTCGTATTTTATGGACTCTAGATTGAGTTGCCCATGAGTATTAATATTATGACACAGATTTGTACCCACAGCATACATTACTTTTGATAAGGGTAAAAGAAAGGAAGAACTTGGGTAACCAGCTAGTAATAATTTCAAAGGATGAAAACATATTATTCATCTTCCCTGAAACTGGTAAAACAATTAAACAGCAAGATGATATAATAGCTCATTTCTACTAAAACTGACCGTAGAATTTAATTCAGTATGGTTTTGGTAGTATACATTTAGGTATAATTAAAGTATGATTTCTAATTCAGAATTGAATAAAGGCATTTTTATGGTGAATCCATATAGGGATGTTCGGTAAATTGCTTTAGATAAAATTATATGAGTAAATTTATTATGTTTTATGTCAATAATCTAAGATGTTTAAATATTATCTTTTATGTCACCTTAATTTATTTTGTGACTTGAATTTTAAAATATTTCAGTAAAACTAAATACAAAGGAAAAAATAATATGCATGTTGGGTTGGATGAGGTGTTCAACACAAAATTCTTTTGGGATAGAATTGCTTTTATTTTATTCATAAGAAAGGACAACCAAATTTCCTGTTTTTTCTTAGTATTATATTATTTGCCAAGAAATCTTGATGATTTTTGCTGCCATTGTTATACTTTGTAATTACTTTGTTTCTTTTATTGTAGGAAATTCTTTTTCCACTATTTTTTTTATTTTGGTTAATATTAATTAGCATGATGCATCCAAATAAGAAATATGAAGAAGTGCCTAATATAGAACTCAATCCTATGGACAAGTTTACTCTTTCTAATCTAATTCTTGGATATACTCCAGTGACTAATATTACAAGCAGCATCATGCAGAAAGTGTCTACTGATCATCTACCTGATGGTATTGTGAGCTTATATATATATTCTGTTTATAATATTAAGCCTTTTCAATATTTATCAGCTTGCTTTATTGAATGAATAGCAGTCTTAACACTTAGAGATGTGTTCCTCCACCAAAGTCAGTTTTATAAAAATACTAAAATTATTTAATTCTGTTGCCTTATTTTTCTTGTGAAACATTAATTTATATTCTTGGTGGTAGGAAGCATATTTTATGTACTTTTATATTTAATTCTTAGACCATTTATAAAATAGTTTAAGTATACTTGTATAAGATACAAGCTTTGATGGGCTATTTCATTTTGATTCTGACTTTCATATAATTATGAAGCTAGCAATGTTTAGCTGAATGTGGTAGCATGTGCCTGTAGTCCCAGCTACTCAAGAAGTTGAGGTGGGGGGATCCCGTGAGCCCAAAAGTTTGGGGCTGCAGTGAACTATGATCATGCCACTTCATTCCAGCACTCCTTACTCTGGGCAACAGAATGGGACCCCCATCTATAACAATAAAAAATTTAAAAAGGAAGCTAGAAATATGTGATAAAGACTGTAAAGCAGTCACCTTTTCAGCTTACCATGCTTGTTTATAGAAGTGTATGGTGTAAACTGAAGAAGTACCTAACTTTGGAGACTACAACTATGACTATGGCTAAGTCCCTAACTCTGTTTTATTTATTTATATATATATTTTTTGTAGAGATGGGATCTTGCTATGTTGCCCAGGTTGGTCTAAACTCCTGGGATCAAATGATCTTCCTCCCTTGGCCTCCACCTAAAGTGCCACCTAAGTCTTTTTTCTCAATGTGCACTTCTCACAAAGAAATGAACTAGAAAACAGTGTAAGCAGTGAAGTGCCACTGAACTTAAAGTGGCTGTGAGAGAACCTAAAGCAAAAGCTGGAGAAAGTGACAGAAATTCTTATGCTATTAATGATTAAACAAGGAAGTGCTAAATTGTAGAAAATGACAGATTAGCATGTTATTTTTTGCCATATGGGATAGTTGTAATTAGCTTATATGTCATCGCATTATTGGATTTTATGTCATTGAATGGAAAGTGTTAATTATACAGTCAGAAGCCAGGTAACTTTTATTCCATTGGTTTCTTTCTCTGGCTATTTCTATTTAATATTTTGATTAAATACACTTCTTGTTATATGGTAGTGTATCATATTAGGTACAAGTAGTATAGATTACCATGAGAATTTAGTGTACAAGCTCAAAAAGCTGATTAAAAATGTTGAAATGAAATTCATTGGTAATTCTGAGTAGGAGGAAAGAATATAAACCAAAGAAATATGAGGCCAGGCATGGTGACTCACGCCTGTAATCCCAGCACTTTGGGAGGCCGAGGTGAGCAGATCACCTGAGGTCAGGGGTTTGAGACCAGACTGGCCAACATGGTGAAACCCTGTCTCTACTAAAAATACAAAAAAATTATCCAGCCATGGTGGTGGGTGCCTGTAGTCCCAGCTACTTGGGAGGTTGAGGCAGGAGAATTGCTTGAACCCGGGAGGCGGAGGTTGCAGTGAGCTGAGATTGTACCACTGCACTCAAGCCTGGCGACAGAGCAACACTCAATATCTCAAAAACAAAAAACAAAACAAAAAAAGAACAAACAAACAAAAAACAACTAAGTCAGTGTGTATTAGATGCCAAAATAGTGTATACATATACACAAATTTTTTTAGACTTCTGTATTTTTAACAACAGAACTATCTGAAAATGGGTTATGCATACATACATAACATGACTGGTAGGATGTTGAACTAACACCCTCTTTATTCATGTAAATCCTGGAGTTCCCTGTCCCTCTTAAAAGGCCTGGAAAATCTATTAATTAACATTTAAGTAATACTTTAGAATCTATGAAGCATTTTTTTTTTGTCTTTTTCTTCTTTTGTTTGAGATGGGATCTCACTGTCAAGCTGGTTTGCAGTGCTGTGATCTCAGCTCACTGCAGCCTCTGCCTCCTGGGCTCAAGTGATACTCCCGCTTCAGCCTCCTGAGTAGCTGGGACTACAGGTGCACACCACCACACCTGGCTAATTTTTGTATTTTTTGTAGAGACAGGGTTTCGCCATGCTACCTAGGCTGGTCTCAAGCAATCTACTCCTGGACTCAAGCAATCTACCTGCCTCCACCTTCCAAAGTGCTGGCATTATAGGTGTGAGGCACCACATCCAGCCTACAAAGCGTTTTGATGTTTGTTACTTCACTTGTTCTTCACAACAACCCAGTGTCATCAGCTAGGCATTGTAGATGAGGACACTAAAGTCTGAAGAGTTCAAATCGCCTGTCTGTGCTCACACAGTTAATACATGAAGACGTTAAGTACTAATTCTATATTCTTTCCATTTCACCACATGTTTGAAGCTTCTGTAGTGAAAATTAGTTGCTTGTAAACAAAACTACAAGAAAATATTTAAAAATTAGTCTTATCTGATGAGAAAGAATGATTACAGTATTTTTTCCACTTATCTTCTAAGAAAGGAACAAGCAATATTGGATTTGAATGACAATTTTTATTTAAGGAGGAGTTGTGTCATAGTTACTAAAATGCCTATTTAGTTTCTGAGAAGGATTGTGGAATTTTCTTTATAAGAAATATTTAAAAATAAAAAATTCATATATTTACTAAAAAGTTATTTTTGTGCAGGTGCACTGGCTCATGCCTGTAATCCCAACTAGTCCGGAGGCTCAGGTGGGAGGATCACTTGAGGCCAGGAGTTCAAGACCAGCTTGGGTAATGTAGTGACACCTCATTTCTACCAAAATTAAAAACAAAAAATTAGCCAGGCATGGTGATGAGTGACTATCGACCAAGCTCTACTCCAGAAGCTGAGGTGGGAGGATCTCTTGACCCCTGAAGTTTGAGTGCAAGATCCAGTGCACTGCAGGCTGGGTAACAGAACAAAGCCCTGTCTCTAAAAAAATATAAAATAAAATAACGAAGTTATTTTTTAGTTTAACTTCGAGATAGATAAATGAACTGCATTACTAATAATTTTTATAATTTTATTGCTGCCTGAAATTAGTATAATTAATTGAGGTTTTGAGAAACAGCAATTTCTTGAAGAAATATGAGTTCTGCATATTGTTTTATACTATATTTCATATATTTATAACATAAGTATAACACTGACACATTTCTGTAATCAAATGACAGCTGAGTAGTGTCTGCAACATTGTACCATTTTATTATTATTATTTTGTTGGAAGAATTGTCTTCTTTTTGTTTGTTTGTTTTTTTTGAGACATGGTCTCACTCTGTTGCCTAAGCTGGAGTGCAGTTGCTCAGTTATGGCTCACTGCAGCCTCGACCTCCTAGCTCAAATGATCCTCCCACCTCCGCCTCCCAAGTAGCTGGAAGTGCAGGCACACATCACTACACCTGGCTAATTTTTTTATTTTTTGGAGACAGAACCTCACCATGTTGCCCAGGTTGGACTTGAACTTCTGAGCTCAAGCAATCCTCCCATCTTGGTCTTCCAAAATGTTGGGATTACAGGTGTGAGCCACTGTGCTTGGACTGTTTTCATTTTTTAAGAAGTAAATATAGCAAAAGTGTTTATAAAATATTCCATTCATCAAAATAATTGTAAACTTGATCTACTGTATTGTGGTATTTTAATTTGTGAGCTAACTATATTGTTATGATATCTTACAGTCATAATTACTGAAGAATATACAAATGAAAAAGAAATGTTAACATCCAGTCTCTCTAAGCCGAGCAACTTTGTAGGTGTGGTTTTCAAAGACTCCATGTCCTATGAACTTCGTTTTTTTCCTGATATGATTCCAGTATCTTCTATTTATATGGATTCAAGAGGTAAATAGCCCTACATAATCATTGAAGATCAATTAAATGCATATCTTTGCTGCTTGCAGTTCATAGTCAAAATTTTATATAGTTCAATATTGGCATTTTCAACTATTCTTACTTGTTCCAATAGGAAAACTGAGAAGTATAGCATAAAAATATTTATTTATAAATACCTATCTACTTCTACACATAAAACATTTTTATATATACCCATTTTGATTTAATACATTTATATATATTAAATACAGTAGCATAAAGCAAAATTGCATTTTGGGTTATATGACTTTCTAAATCTCTTTTTTTCATGTAATTGTTTTTACTTGTGGTATGTACAAATCTTTAAAATCTTGAGGTCTTCTACTAGTGAACTTGATTAGTTTTATATTTGAAACATGGGAAACAACCTTTGGTTGTTTAAATCTATGAAGAAATATTATCAACCACAAACATTTATTGAGCAATGTTAAAGTCACTATGCTAAATACTGAATTTGTGACTTTATTTCAAAAAGCCCTTCTGAAAATTCTTTTTTCCTGTTTGCTTAACTTTGACTTTTCCTTGCTTCTGGAAGTGCTTTAGAGCTAAGTCATGTAGAATGATTTACTTTAAAACAAAAAAGTAACTTGTTTTAAATAACTACAATTAATTTCTTTCTTTACATTTTTATTCATTTACTATTTAGTATTCTAACACATATAACTTTTATTTCAAAATTTCAAGTAAATGATCAGAAATCTTGTAAGTATTGTTTACCTTTGAAAGTCAGTAGCTTATTTCTTTGGTCCTGTAAAGATTGATTGATTATATTGTTTTGGTAGGTATCTCTCCATATAATATCTTTAAAACGATGCACTTGCATGTTGTACAGAATCTTAGATCTCATATTCTTCCCCCCATAGCTGGCTGTTCAAAATCATGTGAGGCTGCTCAGTACTGGTCCTCAGGTTTCACAGTTTTACAAGCATCCATAGATGCTGCCATTATACAGGTAAATATGATAAAGGAAGAAATACAAAAACTATGCCATTTTAAAATAAATATTTCCTTATTCTTTACAATAGTATTTGGTTTGACTACTGTCAAATGTACAAAATATGTAACCTACTACAACTCCTTTGAGAAAAAAGATAAAAAAGTCATATTTTCTGATTTGGTACTTTTTGTTGTGTTTCATATTTTAGCAGAAAAACTGGCCATGAAATTTATTTTTAAAAATCTTACTTTTGTGTCTGGGCTAGATAACAGTAGATGAAGTTACCTTAGAATTCAAACTATTCAAATTAACCATATTTCATTCTTCCATGTTCTGTATGGATCTGTGGCTTTTTTTTCCATTTGCCCTTTCTAATTGAATTTACTATGCTACAAAATTTACTATGCTACAAAATATTGTAATTTCAAAATGTATATCAACCATCTTGTCTGCTAAACAATACGTTTAAAGTATGTATGAATAATGATGGAGCTGGAATCAAAATCTGAACAGGAGTCTTGTCTCTGTTGTTACACTGCTATGTAGTAAAATGACTATTATAATAGTACTTTACTTGACAGCATTGTCGTAAGAACCAAATGAGATGATTTATGTATAATTGTCTTGTAAACTTTTGTAGTACAGTATAAACATATTAGGGACGTGTAATATTGCACAAATTCAATAATACAGAAATTTAAGGTAAAGATAGTGAAATACGGATCTATTACATTGATGATGTTGTATCACCTATTTGTATTTTGGCCAAAGTTTTTAGCCATCCACAGCACAGACCACACTGGATGAATAGGCAGGATAGATTTCAATTTAGGCATTAATTGGAATGTTAGAAGTATTATGTGGCATAAATAGTTTTATTATTTGGTCTATATGTGCTAAATATATAGACTTTAAAGCAGTAGAAGGGCATGGTATTTAGAAGAACATTTTTTAAACAATCATAGGAATGATGGCACTAATAATCACTCCTAAATTCCTAAATTTTGAAGATGTATATTTTTACTAAGATACATATAATTGTCTGCTTAAGATGATAATTGTGCAATTTTATTTTATTTGACAAATTATTTAATCAAAATTTATACACTTACTGACTTTAAACTTTAAACTTTATGGTATACTTTTAGAATAAATTGAATGCAATATTCTACTCAGAATTATGATATTGGGGTCACTCACTTTATTTCAGGTATGGAGCTTTTTGAGGATTGTATTTGTACTAGGTTACTGACCAAATTTAGGGATATAGCTGTCCCGTTTTACTAGGGGCTGCTATCATAACTAAATTAATTTGATGTATTTACATTTTCTAATTATAGTTGAAGACCAATGTTTCTCTTTGGAAGGAGCTGGAGTCAACTAAAGCTGTTATTATGGGAGAAACTGCTGTTGTAGAAATAGATACCTTTCCCCGAGGAGTAATTTTAATATACCTAGTTATAGCATTTTCACCTTTTGGATACTTTTTGGCAATTCATATCGTAGCAGAAAAAGAAAAAAAAATAAAAGAATTTTTAAAGATAATGGGACTTCATGATACTGCCTTTTGGTATGTTATTAAAAATTTATTACTTAATATAATTAAAAATTGTATTAAATATACAGATTTTCAAAATTGTAATTTTGATATTTACCTAACTTGATGATGTGCTTATCCTGTTTTCTTACAATGATTGCCTTAGTCTTGGAATTTGAGATTAGTCAAGAAGTTTCAACAACTAATTGGCTTCATTTAACATAAGGGATGAAGAATGTCAAAGCTTGTGTTGACAATACGTGTTTAAATTTTATTTCACATTTTATTTGAATCATGGGCACACTCCGTGTATATTTCAGTGTATTTCAATATACTCCACGTATATTTCTGTGTATTTCAGAGTTCAGGAAATGTGAAATCTTGGAACATTAGAAATTAATTGCTTGTTACAGTTCTTCCATAATATAGCATATATATAATATTAAAAATTTAGTTATAGTGATTAAAGTCTGTATATGTGGTATATGGACTTTTTTTCCCTCGAAAGTTTTAGTTATTTGGGTGAATTAAGATGAATATGGAAATAATTTTAGAGAAAGAAATGAGAAAACCATGTTTTCACTAGTGACCTTTAATGTATCAGCATTTTTGTACAGTGATAATTTTACAAAGGCATGCATTTTTATAAATCTAAGTGTAGTTTCCTTACTCTTTTCACTATGTAATGAAGTTCATTCTGGGGGGAAGGTTAATACTGTGCATGTGAGCTGTTATAGTCTGTTTTACAAAATTTTATTCCAATTAGCCCAATGTAACAATTAATCATTAACACTTTACATAATGGAATTATTGTATATAACATATTTCCTTTGCTTGTTTTTCTTTCATTTGTTATTTTAGAAATTATTGGTTTTGGATTATTTTTTGAGACAGGGTCTTGCTCTGTCACCTAGGCTGGAGTATAGTGGCATGATCATGGGTCACTGTGGCCTCAAACTCCCAGGCTCAAGAGATTCTCCCATCTCAGTCTCTCAAGTAGTTGGGACTACAGGTGCATGCTGTCATGCCCAACTAATTTTCAATTTTTTTGTAGGGACGGGGGTCTCGCCATGTTGTGCAGGCTGGTCTCAAAGTCTTGGCCTCAAGTGATCCTCTCATCTTGGCCTCCCAAAGTGCTGGGATTACAGGCATGAGCCACTGTGCCTGGCCAAAGGATTGGTTTTTAAAATTTATTGGGTTATTAAAGTATTTTATGGAGAACCGGTAGCTGGAAGAATTTAGGCAAATCATTCTCTCAGGGTCTCAGTTTTGCCTCAGTAAAATGATGGATTCAATTTTGATAATTTCGCTACCTTTTTAGCCTTAACTCAGTGATTTCATGACATCATTAAATCCTGAGCTAACTTGGAAAAATATGTAAAATAAAACTTAATACTGCAGCAATTCCATTGAGCTCTGATTTGTAAAGAAGTCTTGAGCAAAAATAGTGAATTCATTACTGATCTTGTTGATTTCACATTGTGTAATTGTAGTAATTATGTCATTGATTAGTGAGGTAAGGTAGCCTTTATTGTTTATAGTTACAGAAGCCATCAGAGGTTTAATTGTAGCACATGCCATAAAGAAAATTGTTATCTTGACTCATTAAACTCCTACATTTTAAGAAAATCAGAGACATTGTGTGCTATTGAACTTTTGAGAATATTAGATTTAAATTAATTATGAATTACTATTCATTTTGAAAGCTTTTTTAACTCTGGAAGATAGTATTTTTTATCAGATTACACTTTTACCTATCACTTAACCAATACTATTTTTAATTACTTACAAGACTATTAATTTTTAGTACATAAGCATACACAGAAATGAACAGTGACTTAATTTTAAGAATAAAATGGCTAAAATCTAAAAATTTTGTTTAAAATGATTTTTTAACTGGTTAAGCCTATGCATTTGACCATAACTATATCTGTATTCTCATTTTAGGCTTTCCTGGGTTCTTCTATATACAAGTTTAATTTTTCTTATGTCCCTTCTTATGGCAGTCATTGCGACAGCTTCTTTGTTATTTCCTCAAAGTAGCAGCATTGTGATATTTCTGCTTTTTTTCCTTTATGGATTATCATCTGTAAGTATTTTAACTTGTGATAGGAATAAAGAACTGTCAAAATGTTTGATAACATAGCAAAGTCTTTTTCTTCAGTTTACTTATAGTCAATTTGCCATGAAAGACAGATTTTACTAATTGATAAGTGACTTAATAAATAAATGATGTGGCATCACTGTATTCCTGTATTTTTAGTAATGTTACAAAATAGTTTTAGATTTAGATTTAGCTTTTGTCATATGATGTATTTCACATACAACTCCTCTATCTGTTGTCTTTATATAATGATGTATATAATTAAGACTGTCAAGTATTGGACTATTTTTGTTTGTCTTCATGGAATCCTTACTCTTTCAAGTTAATTTATGCTCCAGGATGATGATTTTTAAAGATACATCTTTGCAAATGTAACTCTTTAGCAGTCTTGATATTCATTTGATATATTGGCTGAATGAGAGGTTTTAATGACCAGCCTTTGTTTTAAGTGGTTCCATCTTCCATTCTGATTGGTTTATGTGCCCACCCTGTATCAGTTGTTAAATGTTTTGGCTATCATTTCTGCTCTTTAAAATAATAAATTGCAAATAACTAACATACTTCCATATGTAATTGCCTGGTTTTTTTTTAAATGTTTAATTTTACTTTTTTGAGACAGGGTCTTGCTCTGTGGCCCAGGCTGGAGTGCAGTGGCACACTCATGGCTCACTGCAGCCTTGACCTCCCAGGCTCAATCCTTCAACCTCAGCCTCCTGAGTAGCTGGGACTACAGGTGTGTGCCATCACACCTTGCTAATTTTTGTGTGTGTGTATGTATATATGTATATATATATATACATATATATATGTATGTATATATATATATACATATATATATATGTATGTATATATATATATATATATATATTTTTTTTTTTTTTTTTTTTTTTTTTTAGAGTCGAGGTCTTCCTAAGTGTCCAAGTTTGGTCTTGAACTCCTGGGCTCAAGTGATCCACTTGCCTTGGCCTCCCAAAGTGCTGGGATTACATGAGCGAGCCACTGCAGCAGGCCTTCTGGTTTTTTTTTTCTTTTTAAACTGTTTTTTTTATCTTATGAATAAATTAAGTTTAAAATATGGGTCTTGTACTTAAAATTTTTGTTGATTTATTATTTTTTCACATATTTTATGCATCTTACTGCAGAAACACATGGCTATTTATGGTTTCTGTAATGTAGAGGTGGTCATGTTTACCTATGATACAGATAAAAATACAGTATTTAATATTTGTTAGTTTAAGACCAGATGTGGTGGCTCACACCCGTAATCCCAGCACTTTGGGAGGCAAGGCAAGAAGATTGCTTGAGGCAAGGAGTTTGAGACCAGCCTGGGCAACATGGTGAAACCCTGTCTCTACAAAAAAAATACTAAAATGCTGGACGTGGTGCCCCACGCCTGTAATCCCAGCTACACGGGAGGCTGAGGTGGGAGGATCACCTGAACCCAGGAGGTGGAGGTTGCAGTGAGCCAAGATGGCACCACTGCACTTCAGCTAGGGTGACAGAACAAGACCCTGTCTCAAAAACAAAATCAAAACAAAAACACAAAAATATTTGTTAGTTTAAATTTTTAAAAGGTATATCACTATTTGTTTGAAAATAAAATACCATAGCATTTAGAAATTATAGTTGTATTTTTATGAATGCATTTTTCATGAAAATAGCTTGTTCTTTCAGAAGCAAACTTTAATTTTGTTTTCATACTGGTATATATGAACATTGCACTAACCTTAATATTTGTATTTTATAGGTATTTTTTGCTTTAATGCTGACACCTCTTTTTAAAAAATCAAAACATGTGGGAATAGTTGAATTTTTTGTTACTGTGGCTTTTGGATTTATTGGCCTTATGATAATCCTCATAGAAAGTTTTCCCAAATCGTTAGTGTGGCTTTTCAGTCCTTTCTGTCACTGTACTTTTGTGATTGGTATTGCACAGGTAGGTAATATATTAATCTTGCATTCACTAAATATTTTCTTTCTGTTTTATGTAGCTTCTTATACTACCATGAATACTACCTTTGATTTACCAAAAAAATTATTTTAAAATTTTAGCATGAGGAAGAAATGATTTCTAGAGTATATTTTATATCTAGTTTTATTTATGTTTGTCCAATTTTAAGTTTTTAGTTAAATGTTCTGTTTATAAATTTTTTACTTTTTACTTCAGTGTATCTCAGTGATTTATTTCACTGCAGAAACTCAGTTTGATAGTAATGTGTTTAAATGTCAAGTAATTCTTATTGCCTATGGCCTGGTTATATTGCTATCATTTGTACATTTATCTCAGAAGAATGCATGGGAGAAAATTGTGTGTGGAGCAGAACAAATTTACCGTGAGTGTAGTGGTGGAATAAGTAGGCCTGGTGGATTTTGTTGGCCCAGGCTTCATGGAATTGTCATTCAAAATAACATTCAGACTTACAAATATTATTTTTATTAGTCCTTACAGGAGTAGTTAGGTTCTAAATGGAAGAAGTCTTATAAGAAATGGCTTTGTAGTGGAACATGAATTTGGCTAATGTACAAAGAAAAAAATGTAATTACTAAATATAAGAAATTACTCATGTTGGTTGGATAGAAGTTCTGATTTATGAGATATAATTAAATATTGAGTTAATCATTTTACTTTTTTGAGACCTGAGAATGATTGTTATACATTTTGAGAGTTCATTGAGTCCCCGAGTCCGCGTTCTCTAGGAACGAAGAATTATAGATTCATAGGTTTTTGTTGTGAGTGGGATGGCCTTTCAGTGTCATTGAATTTATCTTCTTCATTTTATAAATGAGAGGACTGAAGCCTAGAATAGTATAATTAAAGCGTATTCACTTAATGGCAGGGCTAGGACCTAAATGAGGCTTCAACCTCCAGTACATTTCTCTTTCCATGCTATCACAAATATCTACTATGAATACTTTAATAATTGTGTTAATTAATCAAAATACTTGCTTTTCTCTATTGGAAAGATGCTAACCTAATTTTATTCCCTAATACTTAATTTGTTTGGCTTTCATATGGATCATAACCCTTTTGTTTGCATTTGTTATTATTAATATTGCAGTTTGTTTTTATTTCATTTGTTAGTAATTACATTGGAATTAAATGCCCCTAGAGTGAATATATCCCAGTTAAAGAAGCACAACATTAAAAACATGATTGAAAGGAATTGGTTTGATAAACTTACATTTTTGTAAAGTCTTTATTGTTTTCCTTATAAATTTATATTATTAATTTGGTCAAGTGTTTAATCTATTAAAAGGCCCAGTTGGTTACTATCACTCTGGATATGCTAAATAACTCTTAAGTAGTGTTAGCTTTTGCTTGTTTTTGTCATTTTTATGTAATAAAGTTAGTGTTTGTATTTTTCAGGTCATGCATTTAGAAGATTTTAATGAAGGTGCTTCATTTTCAAATTTGACTGCAGGCCCATATCCTCTAATTATTACAATTATCATGCTCACACTTAATAGTATATTCTATGTCCTCTTGGCTGTCTATCTTGATCAAGTCATTCCAGGTATGCAGATGGTTTTTGAATTTTACTTTAAAGATTTTTAGGCTTTTTTGCCCACATAGGGTCAGCTTAATTTTAAGATTTTTTTTCCTAACCAGGGTACCCTAAGTCATATTCATTGTTAAAGCTTTTAATTTGACTTTAAATAAGTATATTTTGTACCTTAGGCTATAGCCACTAGTGAACATAAAGAGATCGTGTAAAAAGAGAGCAGTTTTGAAAGCCTTAAGTCTCTAGTTGATCTTACCTTGGTCCTTCTTTATATCAGTCTTTTTTAATTGAAGTATTTTATTTTACCCTCTAAGGTCTAAAACTATGAAGTGATCTTGTAACTCCTACCATTTTCTTTATCTCCTGTCCACATCTATAGCCAATATAGCAAACTCCTGTAGATTCAATAGTAATATTAAGTATTGAGCATATTTCCTTTTCCACTTGTATTCCTCATTACCTGTGTCTGTATTCTACACCTGTACTGTCCTGTATGGTAACTACTAGCCATGTGTGGCTTTTAAAATTTAAATTGATTACAATTAAATCAATTAACAATTTATTTTTTTCAGTAGCACAGGCCACATTCCAAGTGCTCAGTAGCCATATATGGCTGTTAGTTACTAAATTGCATGGTGCAATCTAGATGTTCTGTAGAACATTTTGACCATTATAAAAGTTGTATTGTGTAATACTAGTCTAGACTAGAGGTTCCCAACCCCCAGGACACAGATCTTACTAGCTGCCTGTGAGGAACTGGGCTGCACAGTAGGAGGCATGTGAGTGAAGCTTCATCTGTATTCACAGCTGCTCCTCATTGCTTGCATTACCACCTGAGCTCCACCTCCTGTCAGATCAGTGGCAGCATTCAATTCTCATAGGAGTATGAACCCTATTGCGAACCGCGCATGTGAAGGATCTAGGTTGCATGCTTCTTATGAGAATCTAATGCCTGATGATCTGTCACTGTCTCCCATCACCCCCAGATGGGACCGCCTAGTTGCAGAAAAACAAGCTCAGGGCTCCCACTGATTCTACCTTATAGTGAGTTGTATAATTGTTTCATTATATATTACAATGTAATAATAATAGAAATAAAATTCACAATAAATGTAATGCATTTGAATCATCCTGAAACTATCCTTGCTCCCTGTCTGTGGAAAAATTTTCTATCACAAAACCAGTCCCTGGTGCCAAAAAGGCTGGGGACCACTAGTCTAGACCATTGCAGTATCTCTCATCTAGTTACATACCTCAAGTCTGTCTGAGCACTTCACCCCTTTTTTTGAGGTTTTATTATTTTTTAATAGATTTTTGGGGAACAGGTGGTGTTTGGTTACATGAATAAGTCCTTTAGTGTTAATTTCTGAGATATTGGTGCACCTGTCACCCTAGCAATGTACACTGTACCCAGTGTGTATTCTTTTATCCCTCACCCCCCTCCCACCTTTTCCCTGAGCCCCCATAATCCATTGTATCGTTCTTATGTCTTTGTGTCCTCATAGCTTAGCTCCCACTTATGAGTGAGAACATACAATATTTGGTTTTCTATTCCTGAGTTACTTTACTTAGAATAATGGTCTCCATTTCCATCCAGGTTGCTGCAAATGGCATTATTTTGTTCCTTTTTATGGATGAGTAGGATTCCTTTGTGTGTGTGTGTGTGTGTGTGTGTGTGTATGTGTGTGTGTGTGTATCACATTTTCTTTATCCAGTTGTTGGGATGGGCATTTAGGTTGGTTCCATATTTTTGTAATTGTGAATTAATTATACTGTTATCAACATGTGTGGGGAAGTATATTTTTCACATAATGACTTCTTTTCCTCTGGGTAGATGCCCAGGAGTGGGATTGCTGGATCAATCGGTAGACTTACCTTAGTTCTTTAAGGAATCTCCACACTGCTTTCCATAGTGGCTTTACTAGTTTACATTCCCACCAACAGTGGAAAAGTGTTCCCTTTTCACCACATCCATGCCAACATCTATTATTTTTTGATGTTTCGATAATGGCCATTCTCGTAGGAGTAAGGTGGTATCACATTGTGGTTTTGATCTGAATTTCCCTGATCATTAGTGATGTTGAGCATTTTTTCATGTTTCTTGGCCATTTGTATATCTTATTAGAGTTATCTATTCATGTTCTTAGCGTACTTTTTGATGGGATTGTTCGTTTTGTTCTTGCTGATTTGAGTGACTCATAGATTCTAGATGTTAGTCCTTTGTCAACATATATATATAGTGAAGACCTTCTCCCACTCTGTGGGTTATCTGTCAACTGCTGATTATTTCTTTTGCTATGGAGAAGCTTTTTGGTTTAATTAAGTCCTATCTATCTTTGTTTTTGTTGCATTTGCTTTTGGCTTCTTGGTCATGAAGTCTTTGCCTTTTTTCTGATGTTATCGTCTCAAATTTTTATGGTTTCAGGTCTTAGATTTAAGTCTTTTATCTATCTTGAGTTGATTTTTGTATAGGGTGAGAGATGAGGATCCAGTTTCATTCTTCTACGTGTGGCTTGCCAATTATCCCAGCACCATTTGTTAAATAGGGTGTCCTTTCCCTACATTTATGTTTTTGTTTGCTTGCTGTTGGAGCAGTAACAGTTCCCAGAGGAATGCCAAGTACTGATAAAATCAATTGGAATCCTCTGTACTTGGCATCAGATCCCTTTGAAATGTGGCCAATCTAAAAGAAGAGTAGATATTTGAAAAAAATGAGGAGTGTAGGTATTTTGAGAGGGAAAAGGGAGAAAATGGAACATGTTGTCTGGGCAGTTACCACTGTATGCCCTTTCTTTCCTTCTTTCCTTCCTTCCTTCCTTCCTTCCTTCCTTCCTCTCTCTCTCTTTCTTTCTCTTTCCCCTCCCTCCCTTCCTTCCTTCCTTCCTTCCTTCCTTCCTTCCTTCCTTCCTTCCTTCCTTCCTACCTACCTTCCTTCCTTCCGACAGGGTTTTGCTGTGTCTTTTTTGAGACAGGGTTTTGCTGTGTCTTCCAAGCTGGAGTGCAGTGGCACGATCACAGCTCACTGCAGGCTCAGCCTCCTGGGCTCAAGTGATCCCCTTGCCTCAGCCTCCCAGGTAGCTGGGACTACAGGCATGCACCACCGCATCTGACTAATTTTTTGTATTTTTTGCAGAGACAAGGTTTTGCCATATTGCCCAGGCTGGTCTCAAACTCCTGGGCTCAAGCAATATGCCAGCCTCTGCCTTCCAAAGTGTTGGGATTATAGGTGAGAGCCACCATGCCTGGCCTCATTGTATACCATTTCTAAGTCTCATATTTCTATCCTGTTGTTTTGTTGCTCTCCATAATTCTGTAGTCTTTTCCATGAAGCATATCCACTTTTCTAGTTACTACCTATTTTCAAAGATCATTTAAGATGGTGCCCATTCAAGTCTTCAACACATTCAGCCTGTGTTGTGTTCTTGCCATTTGCTATCTACTTGTACTCATAAAGGCATTAGTTCCTTTAGCATAGAAGATGTGCTTTATTCACCTTTACCTCCCACTCAGCAATTCTGAAACTATTTATGGACTAGAATTATTTATCAATAAAACTTTGATTCATACAATATTGATTTAATACAATACAGCTAATCTTTATTTACTTATTACTTTTCAATGACAAATGAAAATTGTATATATTTATTGTGTACAACATGATGTTTGGAAATATATATATGTTGCGGAATGGTACCTAAACTTTAGATGCAGGTTGTCATATGTTTGAAATGCTGTCTTTATGATTTAAAAACTAATTATGGTAACTCAGTTTTTTAATGTTTATTTTTCAGGGGAATTTGGCTTACGGAGATCATCTTTATATTTTCTGAAGCCTTCATATTGGTCAAAGAGCAAAAGAAATTATGAGGAGTTATCAGAGGGCAATGTTAATGGAAATATTAGTTTTAGTGAAATTATTGAGCCAGTTTCTTCAGAATTTGTAGGAAAAGAAGCCATAAGGTATGGTTCAATCTTTGGCAATTTAGGTATAAGAACTGCTGATGAAACATTTAAATCCTATTCTTTAAATATGTATGTAAATATGGTATATTAGATTTGGTACATATGCCATGATTTTAAAACATTAATAAGGGCTACTTTTCTCTTTTTCTTATTTTCTTTGCAACCATTTAGAATAAAGTTGGTGCTAGGTTTGAAATTTTATGTTTCTTTCTTTCTGTTTTTTGAGACAGAATCTCGCTCTGTCGCCCAGCCTGGAGCACAGTGGCACAATCTCGGCTCACTGTAACCTCCACCTCCCAGATTCAAACAATTCTTGTGCCTCAACCTCTCAAGTAGTTGAGTCTACAGGCATGCGCCACCATGCCTGGCTAATTTTTGTATTTTTAGTAGAGACAGGGTTTCACCATGTTGGCCAGACTGGTCTCGAATTCGTAGCCTCAGGTGATCCACCTGCCTCGGCCTCCCAAAGTGCTGGGATTACAGGCGTAAGCCACCACACCTGTCCCCTGAAATTTTATGTTTGGATGGAAAATTTTAAAAGTAATAAAACCTGATGTTTATACAATTAATGTTTAAAGCTTTTCCCATTATGTAGACTGAAACATGATAAATATTAACTATATAATTTTGTTCATGCTACATTGTTTTATACAGCATATTAAATTGTCATCTGTTAATTTCATAGATTTTTAGGGTTTGAGGCATAATTAGAACATTTCATTACTTTAATTTTTAAGAACCAAAGAAATTCATTACGATTCCTTGTTAGGTCAGTCAGTACCAAATTTAGAAATAAAATTAGGTGAAAGAAAAGAAATAAAATAAAATGAAATAAAAAAGTGAAGCATAATATTTTTTAAATTTAAGAAAAATGTAAAAATTCCAGAGAAAGTCAAAATACTTAAGATGTAATTCATTGGCCAGTGGCCTGCTTTCTTAACGGTAAATTTTAACTGATTAACAAATCATTTCCTTAAAAAAATATGAAAAAAATAAGGTAGAATAAGAAAATCACTTCACATTTGTTAATGGTTTGAAATTTGTGCTGACATGAAATGACATCTGGTTTATATCCCCCTTCACTGATGTAACAAGTGTTTGATAATCAGAAATGAAAAAAAATCCATAAATTGCTTAAATCAGATTCTTCACTTAGTTTTAGAAGTTGGGTTGGCATGAAAAATGAATCAATGACGCTTACAATGGAAAGGAATACTATGCTTTTCTCTTGTACCTTCTTTAAAATAATTTTATAGTTGATCCCTGAAAAATACAAGTTTGAACTACACCAGTTCACTTATATGTGGATTTTTTTCAGTAAATATATTGAAAATTTTTTTGGAGATTTGTAACAATTTGAAAAAACTCGCAGATGAACTGTTAGCCTAGAAATACCAAAAACAAATGTTAGGTATGTCATGAATGCATAAAATATTTATAGATATTAGTCTATTTTAACATTTGCTACCATAAAATATACACAGATTATAGTAAGTTATGCTTTATCAAAGCTTAATGTACACAATATTGACAGACCTACATTATGCCAATGCCCAGTTGAGAGAAATGTAAACAAATGTGAAGATGCAGTATTAAATCATAGCTGCATAATATTAACTACAGTATTACTGTACCACTGCAATAATTTTGTAGCACCTTCTTTTGCTGTTATGGTGAGCTTGTGTGTTCCAAGCATATACTTCGAATGCCATGTGACTCAATTATCTCCTTGTGAGCTGTTCATCTCTCCAGTAAATTGCATATCATGATAAAAAGTAATGTCTCAGGGTTCTTGCTTATTTTTTATTATGTGTAGTGCAATACCGTAAGCCTTGAATAGCATCATGGGATCCATAGGAATTGCCACTAGTGATGCTGGAAGTGCTCTCAAGAAGCAGAGAAAGGTCATGACATTATAAGAAAAAGTTGAATTGCTTGTATGTACCATAGATTGAGGTCTGTGGGTGCGGTTACCTGTCATTTCAGATAGACTGTGCATCTTGTTCATCTTATAAATAGATGATGTGAACTGACGGCATTGATAAATACAGTATAATAATGTAAATATATATTTTTTCCTTATAATTTCTTAACATTTTCTTTAGTGTACTTCATAAAAATACAGTGTTTAACATGTAAAACCTACAAAATATATGCTAAACAACGGTTTATGTTATCTGCAAGACTTCTTATCAATAGTAGGCTATTAATAGATTAGTTTTAGGGGATTAAAAATGTTATATGTGTATTTTCAACTATGTGTGGCAGTTGGCACTCCTAACCTGTGTTTTCAAGTGTCAATTGTATTTTCATTATCAACATTATTTGGTTCATTGTTTTAGTAGGAAAGTACTTTATTATTATTTTATTATTCTTATAAAATGTGATAGCATTGATAAAAATATGCATGGTAAATAAACACACATACTTATAAATTGCTTTAAATACTTAAAATATAAAACTTTATATTTCAGAATTAGTGGTATTCAGAAGACATACAGAAAGAAGGGTGAAAATGTGGAGGCTTTGAGAAGTAAGTAGTTTTCCTAGTATTCAGGCCATAGTATTTAAAGTACAACTAGAAAAATAATTTGCATAGCTTGTGGGAAATTTAAACTTCTCTACCATGATTTTCTGTCTTGCTTTTATTTTATTTTATTTTTTTTGAGATGGAGTCTCGCTCTGTCACCCAGGTTATAGTGCAGTGGCGTTCTCTTGGCTCACTGCAACCTGCGCCTTCTGGGTTCAAGTGATTCGCCTGCCTTAGCCTCCTGAGTAGGTGGGATTACAGGTGTACGCCACCATGCCCAGCTAATTTTTGTATTTTTGTGGAGACGGGGTTTCACCAAGTTGGCCAGGCTGGTCTCAAACTCCTGACCTCAGGTGGTTCGCCCGCCTCAGCCTCCTAAAGTGCTGGAATTACAGGCATGAGCCACTGCGCCCAGCCCCTGTCTTGCTTTTTTGAGATACTTTCGTTTATGTGATTAATATTCAAAATAAAACTAACAACATGACATTTGTAAAAGTAAAATGTAGTATCTATTAAAATGAAAAATACTCAATTATTTGAATAAGGCTATGTCCTTGTTTCAGTTTATTATTTTGCATGTATATGCAATACATGTTAGTTACTTTTTGAAAAATTCATTTGGCCTATCGTAGGGTTTTTCAACCTCAGCACTACTGACATTTTGGTCCTGATAATTCTTTGTTGTGAAGAACTGTTCTTTAATGTAGAATGTTTAGCATTGTGTCAATGTGTTAGTCAGTCCCCAGAACCAATAGAATACACACACACACAAACACACACACACGCACACACACACACACACACACACACACACACACACACACCAGTATGATTGTAGGGTGGGGGATTAGGGGAGGTTTGTTTTAAGTAATTACTTCATGAGATAGTGGGCCCTGGTAAATGTAGAAATCTGTAAGGCAGGTTGGAAACTCAGGCAAGTGTTGAAGTTTCAGTCTTGAGCTCAAAATTTGTAGACAGGCTGACAGGCTGCACACTCATGTAGGAGTCTGTTACATTCTTGAGGCAGGACTCTTCCAAGGAACCTGTTTTTTCTCTTAAGGCCTTCAACTGATTGGATAAGGTTTACCATTATTATCAAGACTAATCAAGTTTAACTCAGATGATTATAAAAGTTAATGACATCTACAGCAACTTCTACATCAGTATTTGACCAAATAACGGCACCATAGCCTAGCCAGGGGGACCCATAAAATTAACCTTCACAAGCAGCATCCCTGGCTTTGATCACCAAAGAGAGAAGGAGTTCTGCCTCAAGAATGAAACAGATTCTTGCGTGAGTTTCCAGCCTGTCAGCCTATGAATTTTGGACCCAAGATGGCAACTTTAACTCTTGCCTGAGTTTTCAACCTGCCCTACAGATTTTTGGGACTTACTAGACCCCACAATCTTCTGAAGCAATTTCTTAAAATAAACCTTCCCTAATCCCCCAACCCCACACTCATACTTGCTCCATTGTGTGTGTGTGTGTGTGTATTCTGTTGGTTCTGGAGACTGACTGACACGCTGCTAAACATCCCTGGCACACTGCTAAACATCCTCTCCCAGTTGTAACAACCAAAAATGTCTCCAGTCTTTACCAAATGTCTTCTAGGAGGCAAATTAATTTATTAAGAAGAAAGTAGGTATAGTGGTATACTAATAGGGTTTTAGTTTGCATTTGCCTAATAACTAATGTTATTAATCACCTTTTTATATGATTATTGGCATTTGGAGGTTTTCCTTTATGAAATGCCTATTCAAGTTCTTTTCACATTTTTGTTTCAAGACCTTTGTTAGATACAGGTATTTAAATATTTGATCTCAGTCTGAGGCTTGCCTTTTAATTCTACTAGCAGTGTCTTTTGACAAACACAAGTCTTAATTTGAATGAAGTCCAATTTATGAATCTGTTCTTTTATGGTTACAGTGCTTTTCACGTCTTTTTATTCAACATTGGAGATTATATATAACCTCCAATGTAAGTTATTGGTACAACTAGTTAAGTATAATTATAATTGTAATAACAATTACAACTAATTGTTTCTAATGCAAAGAAGCAAGAGAATGAAATAAAAGGCATCCAGATTGGAAAGGATGCAGTAAAATTATTTGCAGTTGACACAATAATCTATTTTTAAAATCTTTTAGATTGACAAAAAATAATAGTGGAACTAAACAGTGAGTTTTGCAAGATGATAGGATACATGATAAATAATGGAAAAATCAATTGTATTTCTATATGTTACCAACACATAATTGGAAATTAAAATTAAAAATAGCATTTAGCATCAAAAAATATGCTTACAGGTAAATAAGACAAAAATGTAAAAGACATATCCTGATAAGTCCAAAACATTGCTGAGAGAAATTAAAGAAGATTTAAATAAATAGAAATACCACGTTCATGGGGCAGAACACTTAACGTTTAGTTGTTGAGTTCCCTTTCTTATTTTAACTTAGATTATTGGCGTTAGGATCTGAGACTTTTTCCTTCTTGTTTTATATGTTAGCCTTCTTAGTCTAGTTTTTGTTGTTGTTTGTTTGTTTTTGAGACAGGGTCTTGCTCTGTCCCCCAGGCTGGAGGACAGTGGCACAGTCTTGGCTTATCATAGCCCTGACTTCCCAAGCTCAGGTGATTCTCCCACCTCAGCCTTCCGAGTAGCTGGGACTACAGGTGCCACCATGCCCAGCTAATTTTTATATTTTTTGTAGAGACGGGATTTCGCCATGTTGCCCAGGCTAGTCTCGAACTCCTGGGCCCAAGTGATCCTCCCACCTCAGCCTCCCAAAGTGTTGGGATTACAGGCACGAGCCACTGTGCCTGGCCAGCCTAGTTTTTTGATAAGCCATTTCTGCTTCATCATTTCAGGTCCCCATCTCCTGTCTTCCTTCATTCCTTTACATATCCATTCAGTGATATTGCTTCATTAAATCTAACCTTTCAAGCCATTTCTATGCTATTGGTTAATTTCTTGTTTTTTTGCCAGTTTATTTAAATGCCTATAAATATCCTTGGGAACAAATTTTTGTTTAATTCCATTGGTTCCATTGGTAATTCCCAAAAATTGGGACACAGAAAATTCCCAAATATTTTGTATACTCTTAAATCTTACTGTATGAACAAATAAAGTTTATTTTTATTTACTTTCATTACTGTTTATATCGTTGACTGTAACAAAGAAGCTGTTTTACCTGCTATCAAATATGCTGGTAACTTTAAATATGTATTTATAGATATAGTGCCTTGAAGATTGCTCAAATATTATGAATTATCATGCATAGCTGAACAGACATAAAAATTACATTTGAGTCTTCTTTTTTCCTGAACTAGATTTGTCATTTGACATATATGAGGGTCAGATTACTGCCTTACTTGGCCACAGTGGAACAGGAAAGAGTACATTGATGAATATTCTTTGTGGACTCTGCCCACCTTCTGATGGTGAGTTTTCTGTCTTAAAGAAAAAAAAACTTCATTATATATATTCTTTAAATGTGTATTGAATAATTTTTGTCAATGGGACCAACTTCTGTATCTGTAAAGGTGTTTTCTTTTTTTCTTGATTATACACATGTGGTTGTTTTTAGTAGAAGATAAAAATGATTCTATCATGTTTAATAAAGTAAAAAGGATCTAATTTTGTACATATTTCTATACATATACACACGTAGATGTGTATGTATGTGTTTTTATTCATCATTTTCAAGGGAGGATAAATGAGTAACTTATTGGAAATTAAATCAGAACTATAGACTATTTGAGGTTGAGAAAATAAACACAAATATCTAAATATACAGCAATAGTTCAGCAGGAAATAATTGTAAATGTTCATACTATCTTCTAAAATAGAATTTTAAAGGCATACCTCAAAAGTATAATTTTGATATGTGATTGTTTGGTAGGTGAGAATTCATTATAGTAGCTCCATATTATGACAGTAACCAAATAGAGTGGCAGTACAATAAATATTTTACTTTACAAAAGGGCTGAATTGTATTGAATCTGCATTTCAACTCTTTAAATGTTATTTAACTTTTAAAATTAGTTTGATTTTGTTCTTTGTCCTTAGTTGTATCACTCTTTGATGGTAGTCATAATATCTTACATTTGTATAAGAATTTATGATTTTTCCTCATGATTCTTCATAATGTATGATTGTTTTAATTTTCACTATTAAAACAATGAATATATTAGTGTTCACTGTATAAAAAAGGAAAGCTGGAATTTAAAGAGATTAAGTAATTTGGCCATGACCACACAGCTAGTTAGGATAAAATTTATAGTTCTTTAATCCCTCCACTATTGCACAGTGTCTAGAAAATTGTTACTGGAATACAAGTGTAAATAGTGTATCAATAGATATTTATGTTTAGTGTCAAGCTTTTACTTTCTTGCTTTTCCCACTATGTTATATGACCTGTAAGTGATGGAAAATGAGATTGAAATATAAGTGGATGCGGATCACCAATAATATTGAAGGGTGTGTTGTGCCTTGTAAATTTATATTAATTTTTACCTTATATGTCTGTTATAACCAAATAACTAAGTTATCAGGATACTTGAAAACATACACATTATAAAATAATTAATGTACATTTAAATATATATTTTGCTTTTAGGGTTTGCATCTATATATGGACACAGAGTCTCAGAAATAGATGAAATGTTTGAAGCAAGAAAAATGATTGGCATTTGTCCACAGTTAGATATACACTTTGATGTTTTGACAGTAGAAGAAAATTTATCAATTTTGGCTTCAATCAAAGGGATACCAGCCAACAATATAATACAAGAAGTATGCTATTCATATAGAAATCTTTACTTTTATTTCCTGTAATCAATAACCTTTTGTAATGACTTGTGCAATAAAAATATGCTTGAAAATCTAAATATAACACTTGTTCTGAGCCAGCAAACAGAAAGCTATTACAAAGAATTAGACAGAATTTGGAGTAAATGTTTTAGCACACATAAAAGTTTGTTTCATCTGGAGGATGCTTGCCTGCCTTATTCCTGCCTTCTCTTGCTCTCATCTCCTCTACCCCCTCCCACTTCCACACATACATTAAGAGCCATCACAGTGATCTCTTATTCCTTCCCTACCACCCAAGAAGGCACAAAATTAAAACCTTTCCCTCAAGAATCTTGTTACCTGTTGTTTTCATAATTATATATGAGTATATGTCAAAGGCAGTTCCATGCTAAAGGATCATTTTTAAAGTTGATATTAAAATTATTTAAAAACCTATGTTACTTAAATATCTAACACATTAAAACTTAAAATATTTAAAAAGTAATATTGATAATTATATAAATGGTATGATTTTTAAAATAACATTGTTCATGCTTTACTTTTACAGGTGCAGAAGGTTTTACTAGATTTAGACATGCAGACTATCAAAGATAACCAAGCTAAAAAATTAAGTGGTGGTCAAAAAAGAAAGCTGTCATTAGGAATTGCTGTTCTTGGGAACCCAAAGGTAAATAAATATTACTTTTACAGATGAGCTCATTTTAAATTATGTCGAATTAAAAAGCAGGTTGTAGAAAGATATAATACATTATGTAAAGGTTAAGTGTACATAAAATGCTGTATGTTATTATGGATATAATCATAGTAATGAGATTTTAAAAGTGAAGTCAGAAAGATGTATAACTTTTTTTAATTTTAGTAGCTGTCAAGGTACTAAAGGTTTTTGGTTACATGGATGAATTATATAGTGGTAAATTCTGAGGTTTTAGTGCACCCATCTCCTGAGTACTGTACATGGTACTCAATATGTAGTTTTTTTTATTCCTCACCCCCTTCCACCCTTTCCTTTCTGAGTTATAACATCTTTATGATAACTGGTTACTTTTAGGAAGGAGAATGGAAGAATAGACTTTAGTTATGACTGCCATGTTTTCTTTCTTTCTTTCTTTCTTTCTTTCTTTCTTCTTTTTTTTTTTAATTTGTAGAGACGAGACCTTGCTATGTTGCCCAGGCTGGTCTTGAACTGGCCTCAAGCGATCCTCCCGCCTTTGCCTTCCAAAGTGTTGGGATTACAGGCATGAGCCACCACGCCTGGCCTCCATGTTTTATTTCTTTAAAAAATGATCTGAAGAAAATGTGGCCAAAAAATAACATTGCTGAATTGGAATGGTAGCTATAATAGTATTACTCTCTTGTTCTCTATAGTTTAAAAAATATTTGTTATAGTTAATAACAAAAGTTAAGAAATAGAACAAAATCAAAGGAGTGATTCAGTTTATCACTGTCCTGCTTTGATTTTGTATGTATTTGTTTTATGCTGTTCTCTGTCATAGAAACAGAGAAACAACTGATGTACCACTTTACACAGGGCATCAAAACTGACAGGTGCATGCATGCAGCTAGGATGATCTCCTATTGATCCCCACCATCCTGCCACATTCCCCCTTGCTGTTGCAGCTGGGGAATGATTCTGGATCCTGGCTTTATGTTCATTAGTCTTCCTCTCAGCCACCACCACCATGTTCTTTTTTATATTAAAAATAGTCTTGAAACAAATTGCTTCCCTTGAACTACTATAAAACCATATATTCTTCTCCAAAAAAGCAAGTGTTACATCTACAAATTTAATTGTTAAGGATAATAGCAATATACTTAATGTTTTGTTTTTAGTTTGTTTGTCTGACTGTTGTTATACTTTTGTCTTGTGTATTACAGGCAGTCTTTTAGAATTAAACCTGGGAAAATATTCACATGTCAAATTTATAATTTTAAAAATTTATGTGAACTCAATTATGAATGAAAAAATCTGATCTAATATATTTCTGATTGAAAATAATAATTTGAAATGGGGCAGTTTTTTAGTGTCCACATGCCTGTTTAATATTTAGTTTTTCTGAGGATTCCCTGCCCTTCTTCACCTCTTTTCACACAGATACTGCTGCTAGATGAACCAACAGCTGGAATGGACCCCTGTTCTCGACATATTGTATGGAATCTTTTAAAATACAGAAAAGCCAATCGGGTGACAGTGTTCAGTACTCATTTCATGGATGAAGCTGACATTCTTGCAGGTGAGATTTTTGTTTTATTTTCGAAGGCTGAGATCATGGGCCAAAAGGAAGATGGATATAGAGATGCTAATTCCTGAGGTATAAATAGAGAAGCTTTTACCTAGTGGTATGTTTCCTTCACAAAAAAAGTTCTAAAAAATTTTAAAATGATACATTTTTGTGTTGAGAATCTCCAAGACCATCCCAGGTTTAGTGATGTCCTAGAAGAACTCATATGACTCAGCACATAGTCATACTCATGACTATGATTTATTACAGCAAAAGGATACAAAGCTAAGTTAGCAAAGGGAAAAGGTATATGAGGCAAAGTCTCGAGGAAACCAGGTAGAAGCTTCCAAGAGTCCTACTCCCAGTGGAGTAGACAGATGTGCTTTAATTTCTTCAGCATTGAGTTGTAACAACATGTGTGAAATATCTACTTGGGAAAGTTAGTATATACTCAGTGTTCAAGATTCTTATTGGGTGCTGATCACATAAACATCTTCTGCCTAGCACATACCAAAGTTCCAGATTCTCAGAAGGAAAGAAGTTGTTTGGCATAAACCACATTGTTTGTACAGTTTAGGCACTGAGCCACTCTTACCTGTTTTGAGAATAGTAGGAACCCTCCCAAATCCAAGTTCTCAACTAACAGCCAAGGGCCAACCTTGTAAGCAGGCCTTTCTAAGGATAGAAGCCTCTGACCTGCTATGTTAACTCTTTTCTGCACAATTTTATACACATACATACATATAAAGAATCCAAGTTGAAGTCAACACATGACTTTTAATAGCTATGACAGATATAGAAGTTTGAAATTCTTGAGCAACTTCTGTCTGCTTATAATATAATCTAATAAAATTGGGCAAGTCATTCATGTCTTCAGTAGTACCTTTATTTTTAAAAACCCAACAAACTAACATTTGTTCTTCTTATTACTTTTGTTGATTTTTGGAGTTGTTTCTACATTTGGTTATAAAGGAAATTGTGAAAGTGCTTGTATTGGTAAGCCTTTTAGGAAAAATATATTTGGAATAACATATGGTAAGTAGACTCTAGAGTCAGACTCCTTGAGTAGAGTTCCTGGCTTTGTTACTTAATAGCTGTATGAAACATATATAAGGAATGTATTTTCTTTTTACCTTAGTATTCATATCTGAAAAATAGTTGATGATAATCTAGTACCATCCTCATAAGACTTTTTGTGATGATTAATGATATCATAATGTGGATGACTCTCATATGAGAAACCATAAAATGTAAATGCCAATTATTAATGCTGTTGATACTTTAGAAATTGAAATGTAAATATTTATCTGCAGATAGGAAAGCTGTGATATCACAAGGAATGCTGAAATGTGTTGGTTCTTCAATGTTCCTCAAAAGTAAATGGGGGATCGGCTACCGCCTGAGGTATCATTCATTTTTATTGACATTATTCTATATTATACTCTTGCTATACTGTTATTATGTTGGAGGCTTGCTGTTATATGCTTTGACCATCATTTATGGTACTAAATTTAATTTAAAGCCTTCATAATTTACTTTTGGCTGTTTATTGTATAATCATTAATTGTGATTTTTGGTATTCTCTAGCATGTACATAGACAAATATTGTGCCACAGAATCTCTTTCTTCACTGGTTAAACAACATATACCTGGAGCTACTTTATTACAACAGAATGACCAACAACTTGTGTATAGCTTGCCTTTCAAGGACATGGACAAATTTTCAGGTATTACTTACTTTAAGTCTCTTGGTGTTTGAACTGGGATCCTATATTGGGAATAGGTTTCATTGATTTCCTTTTTGTTTCCTTCTCCATGTAGTATTGCCATGCTCCCAGGTGGCCAGAGTTAATATTCTGTTTCTGCTTTATTTTGTTTTTGAAAGCCAGAAAAAACACAGCAAAATTTTTTTTTTTACAAACACCATGCAAGAAACTGTAACTAATATATTAAATACTTAAGAAAATGTTAAAAAACGTAAAAATAATTGTGTTTACTTTGTTGTCAAGAAAAAAAAGAAATTGCTTGTAGGCCTCCTGAGAGTAAGGCATATATGTATATAGTTTATATACATTCTCAGGTTCTTTTATAGTTTCATGATTTCATAATGAATTATATGATAAATCCTTGAATTCTTTTAATTGAGGCATTATTTTTTAATTTTTTAATGAGGAACTCAAACTCAGTCTCCTTCCTCTGTTTAGGAATTGCTTGATAGACAAAAGGATGTTATTGATGTAAGTACATTGTGCAGAATTTTCATAGCATTTATCTCATAATCAGAAAAATACTTGTTTTTTTTTTAAAAAGAAATCACAAATTAAGTGGACTGAAGTACACTTGCCAACTTAATGCACTCTGCCTATCATTCTATCTACTTATACCCACCTATCTCCTATTCTTTAGTAACATTTATATGTGCTTATTTTCTACCAGATGCTGGTCTGTGCCTTTTGCAATTATTAGTTTATTTCATTATCCCAATATTTCAAGAAATACATGAGATAAATACTATTATTGCTTTCATTTTACAAATGAAGAAACTGAGACATAAAAAGATTTAAGGAACTTGCCCAAGGTAACACAGGTAGAAAGTGGTGGAGCTGAGTTTTGAACCCAGGCAAATCAGTTCCAGAACTCATGGTTTTCACCACCATACTTTGTTGTTGACTCTTACATTTCTTTGAAAAATTGTCACGGTATTTCACTGGATTTCACAGTGTCTTCTGGGATCTCCTGTAGGATGGACCGTAAGACCTCTTAAGGGAATTCATAATGTCAGCACTTTTTCTAATAATACCAAAATGTTATTTGCCTTATTGACCCTCAGCTTCTCATGATTATACAGTGTTTTCCAGAGACTGCATAATATGTGCTATCACAACAGATTGAATACAGAAACAAATATGAGAACCCATCTGTCTTCTGTTAAGACAGACATTAAAGAGATTTGCAGAAATGTAAAACAATATTCTCTTCTCATTATTTTTGTTTTAAAAGATGCAGTTTTTAAAAATAAAATTGTGTTAACCCGTAATAGGTTTACTTTTTTATTTTTTAAAAGATGAATAAGTATTTAAATGATTACTGTATGTTTTCTAATGTACATATTTATTTTATTATTCAATATAGTAACATTCTCAGTTTTAATTTCAAATACTGTAAAATTTTTGTTAGTTTATAATATGATATAGATATAATATGGTAATAGATATGATAATAGATATATTCCCATATATAAAATTTCTTTGAGGTCCTTAATTTATAAGAATGTTAAGCCTGTTACTTAGGCTGGAGTTCAGTGCCACAATCACAGCTCACTGCAGCCTCAAACTCCTGGGCTCAAGTGATCCTCCCACCTGAGTCTCCTGAGTAGCTAAGACTACAGGCTTGCATCAGTATTTATGCCTAGCTAATTTATTTTTATTTTTTGTAGAGATGGGTCATGATATGTTTCACAGGCTGTTCATGAACTTATTTTTAAAGGATATTTTACAATAATTTATGATAATATGCTTAAAGATATACTATTCTTTCATTTTTTTCTTTTAGGTTTGTTTTCTGCCCTAGACAGTCATTCAAATTTGGGTGTCATTTCTTATGGTGTTTCCATGACGACTTTGGAAGACGTATTTTTAAAGCTAGAAGTTGAAGCAGAAATTGACCAAGCAGGTAAAAACAGAACTAACAAAACATTTTAGGCAATGAATCAGACAGATGGTGAATAAGACAAAAATTATATAAATGTAATTTTATATTTTTTTTAGAATAAAGGGTAGAAATAAGTAAATAAGTAATGAGATACTGATAGTGATAGGAGTAATGCAGGAAATAATGGGGTGGTCTTAGAAGGCAGCGAACTTAGATTATATCATCAGGAAGGACTTTGTTGAGATGATACTTGACCTGAGGCCTGTATAATGAGAAAAATCAAGTAGGTGAAGATTTTAGGGCAGAAATTTTCAGATAAAGAACTGCAACTGCAAAGGTATTAACTGAGGAATGAGTTGGATGTCTTTGAGGGATAAAAAAAGGCTACCATGGCCGGAGCCATAGTGAAGCTATTACACAGCAAAGTCAGGAGGATACTCAAAGGGATAGATCATGTTCTGCCTTTGAACGTCTGGAAAACAATTTCATTTGTTTTCCTATTGTAGTGTGGAAGCTATCAGAGAGTTTTAAAGCAAATAGGTACCATGATCTGATTTGAATTTTTAAAAAAACACGTTCTGGTTGTTGAATGATAAGAGTATTATAAAGGAAGTGTGGAAGTAGGAAGACCAGTTAGGAAACTGCTATAGTTAATACTATCTTGAACTAGGGTGTCAGTGAAAATAGGGAGGCCGGGCGCAGTGGTTCATGCCTATAATCCCAGCACTTTGGGAGGCCAAGGCAGGGAGATCGCTTGAGCCCAGGAGTTCCAGACCAGTCTTGGCAACATGGCAAAACCTTGTCACAAAAAACACAAAAATTAGCCAGGTATGGTAGTGTGTGCCTATAGTCCCAACTACTCTAGAGGCTGCGGTGGGAGAATCACCTGAGGCCAGGAGGTCAAGGCTGCAGTGAGCCATGATTGCACCACTGCACTCTAGCCTGGGCATCAGAAGGAGACCCTGTTTAAAAAAAAAAAAAAAAAAAAAAAAAGGGAAAGAACAGATATTTGGGTTATACTGGTGGTAGTGGTGATGAGTTGCTGATAGATTGAGTGTTAGAGGCTCAGGAGAAGTTGGAATGAAGAATAATTCCTAAGCTTTTGATAACTGGGAATGAGATTGCCATTTCCTGAAAATAGGGGAAGAATAGGTTTGTGGAAAGAAGGAATGCAGGCATGAGTTTTTTCCTTTTTTTTTTTTTTTTTTGAGTCTTGCTCTGTCACCCAGGCTGGAGTGCAGTGGCACCATCCCGGCTCACTGCAACCTCCGCCTCCCAAGTCCAAGTGATTCTCCTGCTGCCTCAGCCTCCCAAACAGCTGGGATTACAGGCGCCCACCACCACGCCCAGCTAGTTGTTGTATTTTTTAGTAGAGACAGGGTTTTGCCATGTTGGCCAGGCTGGTCTTGAACTGACCTCAGGTGATCCGCCCGCCTTGGCCTCCCAAAGTGCTAGGATTACAGGTGTAAGCCACTGCGCCCGGCCGAGGCATGAATTTTGAGTATATTGTTTGAGATGCATCTGGAGTTAAATGAAGATGTTACGGCTGAAGATACAGATTTGGAAGTTACTCACAGGTAGATGGTGCTATGGAATTGGATGAAATCTCTTAGTTGGGTAAGGAGTGTAGATAAGAATTGAGGGGCAAGCCTCCTGGGTGAGCAGTGGAGAAGGAGCCAAGAGGGCTGACCGTGAATGAGCAATTATTACTCTACTTTTTCATGAAAGAGTGGAAATGGAAAAACCTAGAAAAATGGTGTTTAGGAAAGAGGAAGTGGTCAGTTATTTGTCAATTGCTGTGAAGAATAAGATGAGGACAAAAAAGGTAGTTTTGGTAACAGAGGACGGTGAGGGATTTGGTAGACTGTAAGAGTGGTGATCTTGACAGATCAATTTCATGATGCAGTAAGGAGCAAGGTGGATCTATTCAGTTTACGGTAAGAACATGAGTTGAGGAAACTTTCTTATGATCGAAGGTTAGCAAAATGTTTGTAGTGGCAGGTGAGGAGAGCAAAGGAAACCAGGATGTTAGTTCACAGTTGTTAAAAGAGTTGAGATGCTGCAAATACACATTTTGCATGAATGCCGAGTGGGTGATGATTAAAATCATTGTGATACCAAAGTCAAGAATCAAGCTGAATATATCATCATGAAGTAAACTTGCTTATATTATGCTAAAATAAATCTGGAACTTAAAATATTACTAGAATTTAATTATTCATGGTTTGGTAGTCAAATTTTAAAAGATTGGCCTTATTGTGTGGGAACAATAATTTGTCAGCATTGCTAACTGTAAAGTTGCTCCTGTAGTCCTACGTTTATGATACCAGATGCCCACTTTCAAATGCAGTGAGGAGAAGCCATATATTTTTGAGTTCTTAATTTTTCTTTTGTTATTATGTCTGGATCAAAGAAGATTTATCTGAAAATTAATGTATGTGATTTTGTAGTTTCTCCTTCTTTTGAAATTTTTAAATGATGAAGTGGGCATTCTGCTTTTAGTTCACCCTCACAAATTGTGGAAGAATCCACAATAAAACTTTTATATTGAAAGTGCGTGGCCTTAATGGAATTAAATAACTAAAAAAAGAAGCAAGTCTCCCAAATTTGTTTTAATATCTTGAGTACTAATATACTGAACCACTACATAAAATTAATATTATATAATCTGATTTCTTTTTATATTATTATCTAAATTAAAAAATACATGTATTGGCCCAAAAGTTATAATGTTCTTCCTAAAGTTATCTCACTAGTACATTCTCTTTAATATTTGCATTAACTGTTAATATTTTTCTGTGTTGAAAGTTCTGAATGTTTTTGAGTTTAAAATAAACCTCAATTGTGTAGTATTTTATTCTTGCCATTAAATAAATATATGTTTATGGTTTAATTGGTAGAATTTTATTTTTTTATTTATTTATTTTTATTTTTTTTTATTATTATACTTTAAGTTTTAGAGTACATGTGCACATTGTGCAGGTTAGTTACATACATATACATGTGCCATGCTGGTGTGCTGCACCCACTAACTCATCATCTAGCATTAGGTATATCTCCCAATGCTATCCCTCCCCGCTCCCCCAACCCCACAATAGTGCCCAGTGTGATGTTCCCCTTCCTGTGTCCATGTGATCTCATTGTTCAGTTCCCACCTATGAGTGAGAATATGCGGTGTTTGGTTTTTTGTTCTTGCAATAGTTTACTGAGAATGATGATTTCCAATTTCATCCATGTCCCTACAAAGGACATGAACTCATCATTTTTTATGGCTGCATAGTATTCCATGGTGTATATGTGCCACATTTTCTTAATCCAGTCTATCATTGTTGGACATTTGGGTTGGTTCCAAGTCTTTGCTATTGTGAATAGTGCCACAATAAACATATGTGTGCATGTGTCTTTATAGCAGCATGATTTATAGTCCTTTGGGTATATACCCAGTAATGGGATGGCTGGGTCAAATGGTATTTCTAGTTCTAGATCCCTGAGGAATCGCCACACTGACTTCCACAATGGTTGAACTAGTTTACAGTGCCACCAACAGTGTAAAAGTGTTCCTGTTTCTCCATATCCTCTCCAGCACCTGTTGTTTCCTGACTTTTTAATGATTGCCATTCTAACTGGTGTGAGATGGTATCTCATTATGGTTTTGATTTGCATTTCCCTAATGGCCAGTGATGGTGAGCGTTTTTTCATGTGTCTTTTGGCTGCATAAATGTCTTCTTTTGAGAAGTGTCTGTTTATGTCCTTTGCCCACTTTTTGATGGGGTTGTTTGTTTTTTTCTTGTAAATTTGTTTGAGTTCATTGTAGATTCTGGATATTAGCCCTTTGTCAGATGAGTAGGTTGCGAACATTTTCTCCCATTTTGTAGGTTGCCTGTTCACTCTGATGGTAGTTTCTTTTGCTGTGCAGAAGCTCTTTAGTTTAATTAGATCCCATTTGTCAATTTTGTCTTTTGTTGCTATTGCTTTTGGTGTTTTAGACAGGAAGTCCTTCCCCATGCCTATGTCCTGAATGGTAATGCCTAGGTTTTCTTCTAGGGTTTTTATGGTTTTAGGTCTAACGTTTAAGTCTTTAATCCATCTTGAATTGATTTTTGTACAAGGTGTAAGGAAGGGATCCAGTTTCAGCTTTCTACATATGGCTAGCTAGTTTTCCCAGCACCATTTATTAAATAGGGAATCCTTTCCCCATTGCTCGTTTTTCTCAGGTTTGTCAAAGATCAGATAGTTGTAGATATGCGGCATTATTTCTGAGGGCTCTGTTCTGTTCCATTGATCTATATCTCTGTTTTGGTACCAGTACCATGCTGTTTTGGTTACTGTGGCCTTGTAGTATAGTTTGAAGTCAGGTAGCGTGATGCCTCCAGCTTTGTTCTTTTGGCTTAGGATTGACTTGGCGATGCGGGCTCTTTTTTGGTTCCATATGAACTTTAAAGTAGTTTTTTCCAATTCTGTGAAGAAAGGCATTGGTAGCTTGATGGGGATGGCATTGAATCTGTAAATTACCTTGGGCAGTATGGCCATTTTCACGATATTGGTTCTTCCTACCCATGAGCATGGAATGTTCTTCCATTTGTTTGTATCCTCTTTTATTTCCTTGAGCAGCAGTTTGTAGTTCTCCTTGAAGAGGTCCTTCACATCCCTCGTAAGTTGGATTCCTAGGTATTTTATTCTCTTTGAAGCAATTGTGAATGGGAGTTCACTCATGATTTGGCTCTCTGTCTGTTGTTGGTGTATAGGAATGCTTGTGATTTTTGCACATTGATTTTGTATCCTGAGACTTTGCTGAAGTTGCCTATCAGCTGAAGGAGATTTTGGGCTGAGACGATGGGGTTTTCTAGATATACAATCATGTCATCTGCAAACAGGGACAATTTGACTTCCTCTTTTCCTAATTGAATACCCTTTATTTCCTTCTCCTGCCTAATTGCCCTGGCCAGAACTTCCAACACTATGTTGAATAGGAGTGGTGAGAGAGGGCATCCCTGTCTTGTGCCAGTTTTCAAAGGGAATGCTTCCAGTTTTTGCCCATTCAGTATGATATTGGCTGTGGGTTTGTCATAGATAGCTCTTATTATTTTGAGATATGTCCCATCAATACCTAATTTATTGAGAGTTTTTAGCATGAAGGGTTGTTGAATTTTGTCAAAGGCCTTTTCTGCATCTGTTGAGATAATCATGTGGTTTTTGTCTTTGGCTCTGTTTATATGCTAGAATTTTAACATAAAGTACGTAAATAAATTTTTATTCCAAATACATTTGGAATGTTTAACTGTAATTTAAATGAATATTAAATATTAAAATGAAATCTGAATGACATACCTTATTCACACTACTGAATTTGTTATACCTTTTAAGTGTTGTGCTAATAATCTGTATGATCACACTGTCATTGATCATGTACAACCTCAGTAATCCCAGGAAATTATATTGAAGTAGGCATTGGCTCTTAAACCTTCCAAAGACTAAAGATGAAGTTGAAGGGCAGAATTTGGCTGAAAACTGAGCCTGAGGCTAAATTTTAATTGAGAAGTAATGTAAAGCCAGGAGAGGACTCTCAAACATGGTGATAAGAGAGAAGTCTCGTGTATGATCAGGATATGATGCTAAGTTGTGGTCAGAGAGGAAAAGTTCACATAAAAGTTGGATATTATACAGATACAGAGATAATAAGATCTTAAATATGGATATGTATCCAGTTTGATTTTGAACTAGTGGAATTATACCATGTGTCTCCTTTGCATCTGTCCTCTTTCACTCAAAATGACATTTGTGAAGTTCAGCCATGTTGTTATGGGTACAGTAGTTTGTTCATTTTCATTGGTTTACACTATTCCATAGAATAGTGTTCTTGTTCTTAGTAGAACAAGAACATTCTCATGTTCTTGTACATGTGTTTTGGTGAAACCTGTATTCATATCTCTGTTGGGTTTATACCTGTTGGGGATCTCTTGGGTCATAAGATATACATATGTTCAGCTTTAATAGATACTGCCAGAATATAAGAGAGTTCCATTTGTTCCACATAACTGCCAGACCAATGCTTCTTTAAATGTTCCTGCTTCAGAAAGTTTGTATCTTTTTTAATGAACATACTGAAATGTTTGTTTTGTTTTGGCAAATAGATTATAGTGTATTTACTCAGCAGCCACTGGAGGAAGAAATGGATTCAAAATCTTTTGATGAAATGGAACAGAGCTTACTTATTCTTTCTGAAACCAAGGCTGCTCTAGTGAGCACCATGAGCCTTTGGAAACAACAGATGTATACAATAGCAAAGTTTCATTTCTTTACCTTGAAACGTGAAAGTAAATCAGTGAGATCAGTGTAAGTATAATTATCACCCTTATACCTGATGGATTGCTTTTTAAGGATACACATTGGTTTTACCATCTTAATTTTTAAAATGTTAACATATGTAAATAATTTATATAGTTTCGAAAGATTACCACTGTAATTTCACAATGTTAGAGAAAAAAATTACAATAATTTCATCGAATACCCTGTCTTACACTTTTTAAACTAGCATTTATTGTCTCATCTATAAAGTGAGGAAATAACAAATATTCCCTAATTGTATAATTTTTTAATTACTGTCATTGTATCTTTTTCTTTCTTTCACCTGGGAGCACAGATTCAAGTTTCCTTGAATATATTAATACACTCCCCATTGTATCTTAAATTTTGTTTTGCGTTTCTATTTTTTCGCTATTTTTTGCGTCTATTAGTTAGTTTTTATAACCACTTTTTGTAAGTAGCAGGAAAAATGAGTTTTACCTCTATTTATCCTATGAGGAAACTGAAAAATAAAGAAGGCTACATAGCTAGTAGATCTGGGATCAAAATGACATCTCAAGTTAGCTTTAGCCCTTCTCAGTTAGGTTCTCCTAGGGTACTAGGAACTGAATAATTTGGAAATAACATTAACCACTTTCATATACCACACACCTATCTTGTTAAGTCCAAAATGTCAGTAGTAATAAGGCTTAATCATTAAGATTAAGAATATTGTTATATGTTTGGAATATGCTAAATTTATATGCTCTTCTTTGACCAAATTCAGTGTCAAACAAATGTCAATCACGTATCTGATTTATTCCCTGGTCGGCATTACTGAAAGAAAAATGTTTATTTAAATCAGCATGTTTCAATTTATTTTATTATTTTTTTATACTTTAAGTTCTGGGATATATGTGCAGAACTTGCAGGTTTGTTACATAGGTATGCATGTGCCATGGTGGTTTGCTACACTCATCAACCTATCACTACGTTAGGTATTTATCCTAATGCTATCCCTCCCCAGTCCCAACCCTCCAACAGGCCCCGGTGTGTGATGTTCCCCTCCTTGTGTCCATGTGTTCTCGTTGTTCAGCTCCCACTTATGAGTGAGAACATGTGGTGTTTGGTTTTCTGTTCCTGTGTTAGTTTGCTGAGAATGATGGTTTCCAGCTTCATCCATGTACCTTCAAAGGACATGAACTCATCCTTTTTTATGGCTGCATAGTATTCCATGGTGTATATGTGCCACATTTTCTAAACACCACTCTCATAAAATACACTCAGAAAAATAATTAAAATACCATCTGGGCTCGGTGGCTCAAGCTTGTAATCCCAGCACTTTGGGAGGCCAAGGCAGGCGGATCACAAGGTCAGGAGATCAAGGCCATCCTGGCCAACATGGTGAAACTCCGTCTCTACTAAAAATATAAAAAAATTAGCTGGGTGTGGTGGTGGGCGCCTGTAGTCTCAGCTACTTGAGAGGCTGAGGCAGGAGAATTGCCTGAACTCGGGAAGCGGAGGTTGCAGTGAGCCAAGATCGTGCCACTGCACTCCAGCCTGGCAACAGAGTGAGACTCCGTCCCTGCCCCCCCGCCCCCCCAAAAAAAGAAAATTAAAATACCTTAGTCAGCTTTGACTGCCATGACAAAATACCATTTACTGGGTGACTTAAACAGAGTATTATTTTCTCACAATTCTGATGGCTGCAGTTCTGAGATCAGGGTGCCAGCATGGTGATGGCTGTCTTCCTGGCTTGCAGAAGGCCACCATCTCACTGTGTGCTCATATGACCTCTTCATGTACACTGGCATGCACCCTCTGGTGTCTCTTTATAAATGTACTAATCCCATCATGGGGACCCCACCCTCATGATGCCATCTGATGCAGATTACCTTTCCGAAGTCCCATTTCCAAATACCATCATATGGGAGTTAGGGCTTCAACATACAAATTTGGGGAGGCACAAACATTCAATCCATAACAAAATGTGTTCCATGGTCAAATACATTTAGAAAATATTACTCTTATATTCCCTATATTAAAGAGTTATTCATTAGCATAAAAAACATGAGATGTTCTCTGGTAAAGAAATTCCTTCAACTTTGTTTAACCTCATGTTTCCAAATATTATTTAATTGTGAATATTTTTTAACCTAAATCACTTCTTAACTTATTATGGAACTTGATCAATGCCATATGCTTTTGAAATCTTAGATATAACAATTTAAGAATTTTTTTAAAAAAATTACGGGGTATGTGAAATTTATAAATTGCTGAAGTATGATAATCTAAGCTCTCCAACTGCTTGTTAGGACACTTATTACATGTGATATATAGATATTTTATCAGATAAGTAGCTGCTCTTCAGATAAAAGGGCATTGTAGTATACCTTGCTTTGCCTCCTGAGAGCAGCAGTGGCAATTAATATGATAAAATTGCGATTAGGATGAGATTTCAAAGATATCAGCCATTCAGAGTTTAATTGTATTTTTATTTGCTTCTCTATATCTAAAATATTTTTCTTGTTACGTGAAAAGTAAATGGGGCTGGGTGCAGTGGCTCACACCTGAAATCCCAGCACTTTGGAAGGCTGCAGCAGCTGGATCACTTGAGGCCAGGAGTTTGAGACCAGTCTGGCCAACATGGCAAAACCCTGTCTCTACTAAAAATACAAAAATTAGCCGGGTACAGTGGCACATGCCAGTCGTCCCACCTACTTGGGAGGCTGAGGCATGACAATCGTTTGAACCTGGGAGGCAGAGGTTGCAGTGAGCCGAGATCACACCACTGCACTCCAGCCTGGGTGACAGAGCAAGACTCCATCTCAAAAAAAAAAAAAAAAAAAAAAGTAAATGGTTAAGATAGAGACAGGACAGGAAGTAATTCCTTCAGGAGTAGAGACAAATATTTGAGACATAATGTCTTGTGTTTTAACAGTTATAACTACGTGTTTACATACTCTTAGAAAAATTTAAGGGCATCACTGATCTAAAATACACTTTTATAACTTTTAATTTTGTCGTACAGTATTGGCTTTCTCTCCAGTATTGTCATAAGATCATTTTGGGGAATACGATTTCTTATTTTTTTTTTTCAGTTTTTTTTCTTTGTTTTTTTCAGTGATTATCTTTTAACTATCTAGAGTTTAAATCTATACCAATGTAGGCTGGTCAAGGTGGCTCACACCTGCAATCCCAGCACTTTGGGAGGCTGAGGCAGGCAAGCTCCTTGTTTGAGCTCAGGAGTTTGAGACCAGCCTTGGCAACATGGCGAAACCCCATCTCTATAAAAAATAACAAAAATTAGTTGTGTATGGTGGCGTGTGCCTGTAGTCTCAGCTATTTGGGATGGTGAGGGGAGAAGATTGCTTGAGCCTGGGAGGTGGAGGTTACAGTGAGCTGAGATCATGCCATTACACTCCAGCCTGGGTGACAGAACCAGACCCTGTCTCAAATAAAAACAAAAAAAGTCCATATCAATGTGAAGGGAGAGTTTTAATTGATTTTCATATTAATGTACCTTTGTACCCTGAGCTGTGTTGTTTTTTTTTTCTTTTCAGGTTGCTTCTGCTTTTAATTTTTTTCACAGTTCAGATTTTTATGTTTTTGGTTCATCACTCTTTTAAAAATGCTGTGGTTCCCATCAAACTTGTTCCAGACTTATATTTTCTAAAACCTGGAGACAAACCACATAAATACAAAACAAGTCTGCTTCTTCAAAATTCTGCTGGTGAGAGTGTGTGAAGGTCTGTGAACGAGTGTTGGCATGGAGCATGGGGTTGAGGGGTGGATAAAGGTCTGGATTTTAAAACTATATTTAAGGTAAAGGCATGGTCTGTCTGCATGAAATCTAAATTATAGTTCAATACGTATCTTATTGATGCTGAAGAATATATTACAGTAAATTTTGGTTTACAAATAAATGACAGTTTTGGCCAGGTGCGATGGCTCCCACCTGTAATCCCAGCACTTTGGGAGGCCAAGGCGGGTGGATCACCTGAGGTCAGGGGATCGAGACCATCCTGGCTAACACGGTGAAACCCCGTCTCTACTAAAAATATAAAAATTAGCCAGGCATGGTGGCACGCGCCTGTAGTCTCAGGTACTCGGGAGGCTGAGGCAGGAGAATCGCTTGAACCCGGGAGGCGGAGGTTGCAGTGAGCCGAGATTGCACCACTGCATTCCAGTCTGGGCAACAGAGGGAGACTCTGCCTCAAAATAAATAAATAAATAAATAAATAGTTAAAAAAATTTATACTTTGTATAATAGTAGAATTTCCTTTTTTAATAATAACGTTATTCTTACTAGCATGTTTTATGCTGATAAGTCCATGATGAGCAAAATATACTTCAAAAGTTGAAAAACCCTCTTTACAAAGAGTTGTAGTACATAATATTTATACAGGTATGTGTCTGCATAGAAGTGTTTTAATTCTTCAAGGACAGTCTGAAGAATTAGTTAAAACTAAGAAAAATAAGACTTAAATATAAATATCTCTAATTGAATATATTAGATTTGTAATGGATATTTTTGGCTTTGCTATTAGTATTCTTACCATGTAGTTGTCAAATATGAAAAAAATTTAAACATACAGACTTGAGCAAAGCTCAAAACAAAAAACTGACATAGTGTTCTGATTTTCAAAATATTAAAAGCTAATACAAACTTTATTCATATGTGATCAGTTGTTCCTATAACATCTCCTATTCTGTAGCAGACTCTTTGGGGTTTAACCTTTCTAACACTTCACCTACATTCTAGTATCATTCCTTTTTGATTCACTAATTCAAAAAAGACTTTGCCCAGTATTAAAATAATAAGCATGGCTAGGAATGATTATAAATTAGTATTAAAATAATCACTGTTAAAATCTGGTGCGTGTTATATTACATAACCTTCATTCTTTCTGGTAAAGATGTATTTATTGATGGATAAATGAGTGAGAACATGGAAAATTACCTGGAGCATGGAAAATTAATGGAAAATTACTCGAATGGAAAATGTTAGGTTTTGCAATTTTTTTTCTTTCATTAGGAAATTTCATTATGAATTCTCGTTTTGGTTTTAAAATACATTTTATATTGCTAATATATAATCCTTACACTGTGCTAATCTTGACATTTTTTATATGTGTCCAGGGAATTGTACATGTATCTCAAATATTTCTTTTTTTTTTAAAGGAACTTGGATTCAAATCATATCTTTTTGCTTTGAGTTAATTCTCATTGATCTGCAGAAATTCTAGTATTTTCAGTTTGTCTCTTAATTTTTTATTATTCTTAGAGTTGCTTGCTTATGCATGCCATATTTTCCTAAGCCTTGTGTGTGTTCCAAAATAAAACCACTTTTTTTTGAACCACTGGCCTCTGTGTGTATATATATTGGGTGGTATCTTACCCACCTTGCAGAGCTTTTTGTATCTCTTGTGCTGTGGTTCCTTCACTTATAATGTGTCTCTCTTCTCAGGGTACATAGCTGGTCTTGCAAGTTAGAGATAAGAGATCAGTTAAGGTACTAGGTTGGGAGTAAAGTAGTGTCACCATTCTCTATGACACTGAGATCTAGTGCTGTGTCTGATCCACCCTGCCATACTATTCAGTTACTAGTAATGTTTTGCTTTGTTTGATTTAAATTTCTCTCTAAAGTCACATTTGTCCTTCCCTGAATCCTGATTTTTGTTATGATGGAGGAGAAACTGCATCTATTCGGCAGACATGTTGGTATAGATTTAAATCCCGACAGGATTTAAAATCTTACTCTTGGCTCCAGGTACTTTAGAGAATGTAGAGATGTGATTATGTGTTTGAATATTTTAAGGTAGTTAAGGCAATTGACATGTCTGCCCAGAGCCTACAAAAAATTCTCTAGGGAGTGATGTTACCACACCTATACCTTTCTGAACTTAGCAGGTTATCTTGTTACCTAAAATTGTCAGATAGATTTTTATTCTTATTATTTAACCAAATTTCATGTGTTATAGGTTAACTTTTCAATGTTAATAATAGTTGTAGCAGCAGCAGCAGTGGTGGCAGCAGCAGCAGCAGCAGCTAAAATATGCGCAGTTACTATGTGTCAGGTTCTAAACTCTGTGTATATATTCAGTCATTTAATTCTCAGGATGATCACTCTACCTATAAGGCAGATATACTTATTTTACCCACTTTACAAAAGAGGGAACTTAAGGTCCAGAACATCTAGGTAACTTGCTTGAAGGACGAATAGTTTAATGTTACAACTCAACTTTAAAACCAGGCTGACTGGCTTCAGAGCCAATGTACTTACTTGCGTATTCGCTAATGAAAATAAAATATTTCTCTAAAAATAGAATTATCTTCCCAGTGTTACTAAAAGCCTCGTTTAGACTCATTTTTTATTATTTGCTTATTTTCTAACACCAGACTCAGATATCAGTGATCTTATTAGCTTTTTCACAAGCCAGAACATAATGGTGACGATGATTAATGACAGTGACTATGTATCCGTGGCTCCCCATAGTGCGGCTTTAAATGTGATGCATTCAGAAAAGGTAAGATGAATGCAGTGAATGAATATCCATTTGGGAGTTATGCAAGATTAAAACGTTTCTTCTAAAATTAATTATTTGTTGATTTGACCTTATGAGTTAGAAATTAGATTTTACTTTTGGAAATAACTAGCTGTCTTTATTTATGATATATTTCATTACTTCACAGATGACCAATATATAAAGTTACAGAAATTTAGTTTTTTAAAAAATTATATGCTTGTTTAAAATATTAAAATATCTGTACATTCCAAACCAGATTGTCTTTATCTGTCATTGAGTATTATTTCTGTGAGTTGTTGAAGCAGTTTTTCTGTATGAGAATTAGCTTTGTTGGTGAGAAAAGCTTGGTACATATCAATAATATATCCGCTTATATACAGTATGTAATAAGTGTCTTTTTTTTAATTGTAGGACTATGTTTTTGCAGCTGTTTTCAACAGTACTATGGTTTATTCTTTACCTATATTAGTGAATATCATTAGTAACTACTATCTTTATCATTTAAATGTGACTGAAACCATCCAGATCTGGAGTACCCCATTCTTTCAAGTAAGCCAATGTATATACAGATAAATTTCCATATGCATGTCATATATATAATAACCATTAAAAACTAAGCAAAAATAACAAAATATGTAGAAATTTATCTTGTGAGATCTCTTAGACTTCTTAAAACTCAAGTGAGAAACGGTTTACATTAAGGTTTAGGATTCCCCAGTAGAAGTATGTTTCAGGGTAAAGGAGATTCTGTTTTGGTATTAATATTTGTATAAGGAATAAGTGTGTTCTATATTGATCATAGAATAAAATATAAGATAATTTTTAAATGAATATTTTTTACCTAAAATCCAGGTATTGGGTATTGAAAAAAACTTGAGAAGTCACCCAGGCAACCATTTTTCCTCTAGATAGAACTGTTGGATTGTACATATCAGAATCAAGATTACAGAAAAGTATCCAACATATTTTCTCTTAATCCTTTTGATTTTCATATGCTAAAAAATAAATGGACAAATATCTGTAACAATATTTTCTATCTTCTTCTTTTCATACTTTTAAAAACAGCTTCATTGAAATATAATGCCCAATCAACCTGACCATTATTCAAAGTATACACTTCGGTGTCTTTTATTATGCTTATAGAGTTGTGCAGTCATCACTACAGTCAGTTTTAAATATGCCATCACCCCCCTCCAAAAAAAATAACCCTTATACTCATTAGTAATCACTCATTTCCTCTCATACCCACTCCCAACCCTAGGCAACCACTAATGTACTTTCTGTTTCTATGGATTTCCTTATTTTAGACATTTTATATAAATGGAATCATACAGTATGTAGTCTTTTTTGTCTGCTTTCTTGTACTTAGCATACTGCTTTGAAGATTCATCTGTTTTGTAACACGTATCAGTGCTTCATTTATTTTTACTACCAAATCATATTTCATTGTGTGGAATGTATGGAATGTTTATGTGAAATACTGCATTCTACTTATCTGTTCATCAGTTGATGGCATTTGGGTTATTTCCACCTTTTGGCTATTATGAGTAATGCTTATGAATATTTGAGTAGAAGATTTTGTATGAGCATATGTTTTTATTTCTCTTGGATATATAATTAGGAGTGGAATTGCTAGATCATCTAGTAACTCTATGTTTAACACTTGAAGAACTGCCAAACTGCTTTCCAAAATGGTTGCATCATTTTCCATTTCCAGCAGCAGTGTCTGTGGAGAGGTATCTCATATTATGAAATATTTCAAACGTACAGAAAACGAACCACCTACTATCCAAATATTTCAAATGTTAATATTGCATAATATTTGTTTTTAGTAAAACTTTTAAGACACAGGTGAAAACTCATGTTACCCCTCTCCAATCTTGTTTCCTTCTCTCCTCCGTAGGAGTAACCGCAATTCACAATTTCACAATTTGTAATTCCCATACGTGTTTTTTTGATGTTACTACATATGTCTGTATCCATAACTATTACACAAGATTTTACAACTTACAATTTTCAACAACACTGACATATAATCATACTATATTTCGAAAGAAATACATGGGAGTTTTTGAAGCTAACTATTCATATATAGTCGTATTAATATTTCAAATTTGTTTCTTCATTAGATTCTGTATGATTGGATCCAACTGTAGTCTCATTCATTTCCACTTCTTGCACTACTAGTCTACATATTTGTGGGTTCTTTCTGAGCCTCCACTGTCATATTACGAGAGTTTCAGACAAATTCTGCAATGTCATATGACCTGAACTTTGGAATTGACTTAATTGCTAAATAGGAAAACTCAGAAGGCTAGGTTTCAGCAAGACAGTGATGTACTCTGTCTCTATGTCATCCCATGGAGGGGTGTGCCAGTGCGAGGGTATCTGCTAGGCACTGCGGATTCTATTCCAGTGCAGAGTACCTTCTCTGTCCCACGGGTCTGTATTCTTATAGAACAAGGGGAGGAAACTGACCTTGGTGAGGGTGGCTGATAATATAGTATCCTTGGACTTGGGTAATCTGCATTTGAAGTGCTAGCTGTTTATTGATTGTCTGGGAAAGTTAGCTGACTGCACCTGGATCCCTGGGGAAGCTAACGACATTGGGGCCTGTGGGAGTTAATTCCTCTTCTGCTTGGGAGAAGAAGTTCTAGTTCCATAGGAAGCTGAGCTTGGATATAGCTTTTCCCAATTAAAAAGACAAGAGCAACAAATATCATTCTTAGATATTTATTATTATTTCATAGGACCACTATGGTGGACATACTAACTGCTTTTCAAATACATCATTCATTTTTATGAAATTGTGAAGCGTAATTTATATGCCTGATTATTCTGTGTTGTAGACAGGAAAATGAAAGTAAAATGATTTGCTTAGGATCAGATAGTTATTAATAAGTGGCAGAGTTGGTAATATTGTCCACAACCACCTGTTAATACATCTGCCACTCATTCTTTCATGTAGACTATGCCTGGGTTAGATATTCTAATACATTCTTTCTGAGGTTTTGATTTTTTTTTGATATAAGATATATCCTAAGATATATCTTAAGATATAAAATGATTCTCAGTTCCATTTGTTACTCTGTGGTTGTCTTTCAGGAAATTACTGATATAGTTTTTAAAATTGAGCTGTATTTTCAAGCAGCTTTGCTTGGAATCATTGTTACTGCAATGCCACCTTACTTTGCCATGGAAAATGCAGAGAATCATAAGGTAATGACTCAGTTAAAAATATATAATTTGCTAATAAGAAGTGTCATATAAAAATAACCTATTTGCTTGATTGCAAGGCTTAGTATAATTGTTATTTCAGAAATAAGTAAATGGAATATAAATACATTTATTATAGTTTCTTATTGTAATAAGTGATAATTAATATTTATTATTTGAGACTTGCTACATGCTTTAAAAATTATATTCTCTAATTCTCACAACATTGTGAGGTAAGTTTTTTGTTACTGATTTCTTATAGATCAGGAAATCAAAGATGGGATTGTTCATATGACTTGCTCAGGTTGACTCAACTTGTTTAAATTGTGGATTTGGGAAGTGACTGTGATCTTTATGTTCTTAACTGGCAAACTAACATGCCCGTCCCTTTTATCCTTTAACAGAGGTATTAAGTAGTCAAGGTGCTAAATTCTTATTAATGGAAAAAAAATAGATGAAAGTGATTGTCATCATTAGGGCCTTGGAGAAATTGCTAAGTATACAGAGGTTCTTTGGTATTCTTTCACTTTCTTTTTACGCCTTTCCCTTTTGTTTTCCTTCAGGCATATAGCGATCTTGTACAGTCTTTGGTTGTTCAAAGCCTCCCACTTTTTCACTCTGCTGAGATTATATCTTACTGCTCTAATAAAAATTCTGATCTTCTTCATGGATGATCTTAATTCAGTAAAAACAAATTTGTCTAAATTAATTTACAGACTGTGATGAATAATGAGCTCATTATTTTAATAAATTCTAAAAAAATAAATTGTAGGCCAGGCGTGGTGGACCACGCCTGTAATCCCAGCACTTTGGGAGGCCGAGGTGGGCGGATCACCTGAGGTTGGGAGTTCGAGACTAGCCTGACCAACATGGAGAAACCCCGTCTCTACTAAAAATAGAAAAAAAATTAGGGCGTGGTGGTGCATGCCTGTAATCCCAGCTACTCAGGAGGGTGAGGCAGGAGAATCACTTGAACCCGAGAGGCGGAGATTGCAGTGAGCCGAGATCATGCCATTGCACTCCAGCCTGGGCAACAAGAGCAAAAACTCCATCTCAAAAATAAATAAATAAATAAATAAATAAAATAAATAAATACATTCTAATAAAAATTTTGTTATTTGTTTACTATAAAAGTAACACATATCTCTATTTTTAAAATAATATTCAATTTTTGTTAAATATACTCATTGTAGTAATGTATAAATTATAGAAAAGTATAAGGAATATAGAAATCCATAACCCACTGCACAATAATAAAATTTACTGGACATTTGCATTTTCTTTCTTGTTTCAACTGAAACATTTTTTTTCCAATATAAATTTTTTATTTTTATTTATTTATTTTTTAATTTTTTTATTTATATATATATATATTTTTATTATACTTTAAGTTTTAGGGTACATGTGCACATTGTGCAGGTTAGTTACATATGTATACATGTGCCATGCTGGTGCACTGCACCCACTAACTTATTTTTAATTAAAGTTTCTATTTTGAGATAGTTGTATATTCATGTTTGTTTGTTAGAAATGACAGAGAGATCCTGTGTACTCTTTACATTTTGTCCCAATAATAACATCTCGTAAAATTATAGTACAATGTAACAGGGTATTGGCATTGACACAGTCAAGATACAGAACATTTCTGTCACCAAAAAGATTCCCATTTTTTGCTCTTTCCTAGCCTCTCTGACCTGTGGCAACCACTACTCTGTTCTCTATTTCTGTAATTTTGATAGTTCAAAAATGTAAAATGGCATCACAATAAGTTTTCTTTTGGGATTGGCTTTTTTCAAATAGCATTTTTTTTGAAGTTCATCCTATTTGTATTTATCAATAATCCATTCCTTTTCATTGCTGAGTAATATTCCATGGTATGGATACATCACACTTTCTCTAACCATTTGCCTGTTGAAGAACATTTGGATTGTTTTCCGTTTTTGGCTTTTGTAAAGTTGCTGTGGACATTTGCATACAGGTTTTGTGTAAACATCATTTTCATTTCTCTGAGATAAATGCCCAAGAGTGCAATTGCTGAATTATACATGTTAATTTTATAAGAAATTGCCAAATTATTTTCCAAGATGAGTGTTCCATTTTATGTTATCCCTACCAGCAGTGTGTGAATGACAAAAGTTTGAATTATCCAAAATAATTGCATTTGCCTTAGCTTATGTTTTTATTCTTGTATTAGAATTTACATGTGTCTCATGTTCTCATAATTCATTGAACAGAAAACTTGCCAATTTTGTTCATTTCTCCTCTTCTTAACTAATCTTTATATTTCATGCTTCCTTTATCTCTGTGGACAGCTCTTTCATATAATACCTTCAGTTATTAGGAGTAGATATTTTTATAGATGACAAAAATCAACTAAATAAAATTGTTAGGTATTTGGATTTATGAAATATTTTAGAAATTTCAAATTAAATGAGAACATGAGATAGGAAAACTATGATCATTTGAGTTTACCATTAACAAACTTGTGACGTAAATAACACCTTAGATTTATATGCTATACCAGTGTACACAAAAGGCTTTGAACATTTCAAAAGCTTTCACTTAAGCTGAAAGCCTTATGTAAATCCAAAGGATACTTGGCAATTTATTAGTGTTTTTATTTATGAAAGGTTCATTTTTAAAACTGAGAATTCTTTTTCTGTGTAAACATGTCTTCCCATCTGTTTCCACAGTATTTCAAAAGTAGTAATGTTTTGGCTATTTATTATTTGTATAGCTGTAACCCCAACCGCCATGACACCTTTTGCTTTATTTTAATCTCAGTTTCTTGGCAGCACTACTGTATTCTGATTCTTAAAAATTTTGTTGAAATTGTTACATCTCAGAAATAATGAGCCAAATTAAAGGCTAAATGGAATTTGTATTTAGTGTGAGGGGGACTTTTATTACCTATAAGCCTGGAATGTAACCTTTTTGGTTTTGCTGATGTAAAATTAAGAGATCTACAATAATTTACTAATTTATTTGTGTGTTTCTAAAGTGTCTAAAATTATAATAAATTGTTTTTCATTTTTTTTAGATCAAAGCTTATACTCAACTTAAACTTTCAGGTCTTTTGCCATCTGCATATTGGATTGGACAAGCTGTTGTTGATATCCCCTTATTTTTTATCATTCTTATTTTGATGCTAGGAAGCTTATTGGCATTTCATTATGGATTATATTTTTATACTGTAAAGTTCCTTGCTGTGGTAAGTTAACGTTAGTTGTACTCATGCTATTTATAGATAGAATGTTATTTAAAATCTGTTATAAACATGACAGTTGACTTATTGCATAATTTGGTTATTAATTTGTTAAAGAAAATAGAGCAAGTGTGTCTGGTATTTAATACATGTAATCATTTTATATGATAAGTGACTTTTAAAAACAATAACTTACCACCATTTTAAAATAATTTCTTGAAACTAAAGTGATCTTTCATGTAGACCACCTACTTGGGTGTAATCAGGAACGTTTTAATATATTCCTTCCTTAAAATGCCTTCCTTCGTTTTTCTTATGCCTGAAAATAATTTCACAAAGGATAAGCTCTTTTATTCCATAGTTTAAAATATAGCTTAACATTTCTCTATCTCAATAATGGGCAGGCTGCGAGCCAGATGAAGAACACAACTCCATTTACAATAGCCACAAAAAATTAAAATACCTAGGAATACATCTAACAGAGGAGATGAAAGATCTCTACAGGGAGAACTACAAAACATTGGTGAAGGAATTCAGAGATGATACAAGCAAATGGAAAAAAATTTCATGCTCATGGATTAGAAGACTCAATATATTAAAGTGGCCATACTGCCCAAAGCAATCTACAGATTCAACACTATTCCTATCAAACTACCAACATTATTCATCACAGAATTTTAAAAAGCTATTCTAAAATTCATATGGAACCCCAAAAGTACCCAGATGGCTAAAGGAATCCTACATAAGCTGGGCGCGGGGGCTCATGCCTATAATCCCAGCACTCTGGGAGACCGAGACGGGTGGATCACGAGGTCAAGAGATCAAGACCATCCTGGTCAACATAGTGAAACACCATCTCTACTAGAAATACAAAAAAATAGCTGGACGTGGTGGCATGCGCCTGTAGTCCCAGCTACTCAGGAGGCTGAGGCAGGAGAATCGCTTGAACCGGGGAGGTAGAGGTTGTGTTGAGCCAAGATCGTGCTACTGCACTCAAGCCTGGGCAACAGAGAGAGACTTTTTATCAAAAAAAAAAAAAAAAAGGAATCCATGTAAAAAGAACAAAGCCAGAGGCATTTCATTACCTGACTTCAAACTATACTATAAAGGCTCCAGTGACCAAAACAGCATGGTATTGGTACAAAAACAGACATGTAGACCGATGAAACAGAATGGAGGACCCAGAAATAAAGCCACACATCTATAGCCATCTGATCTTCAACAAAATTGATAAAAATAAGCAATAGGAAAGGACTCTGTGTTCAATAAATGGTGCTGGGATAGCTGGCTAGCCATATTCAGAAGAATGAAATTGGACCTCCACCTTTCACCGTATGTAAAAAGTAACTCAAGATGGATTAAAGATTTAAGGGTAAGACATCAACTATAAGAATTCTACAAGAAAACATAGGAAATACCATTCTGGACCTTGGGAAAGAATTTATGGGTAAATAAGTCTTCAAAAGCAATTGCAACAGAAATAAAAATTGACAAGTGGCACCTAATTAAACTAAAGAGCTTCTGCACAGCAAAAGAAACTATCAACAGAGTAAATGGATAACATACAGAATGGGAGAAAATACAAACTATGCATCCAACAAAGGCCAAGTATCCAGAATCTATAAGGCACTTAAACAATTCAGCAATCAAAAAACAAAACTCCATTAAAAAGTGGGCAAAAGATATGAACAGACACTTCTCAAAAGAAGACATGCAAATGGACAACAAATGTATGAAAAAATGCTCTACATCACTAATCATCAGAGAAATGTAAATCAAAACCACAGTAAGATACCATCTCATGTCAGTTAGAATGGCTATGATTAAAAAGTCAAAACCAACAGATGCTGGCGAGGCTGCAGAGAAAATGAAATGCTTATATACTCTTATATACTCTTGGTGGGAATGTAAACTTCAGCAGCCATGGAAAGCAGTTTGGAGAGTTCTCAAAAAACTTAAAACAGAACTACCTTATAACTCAGAAACCCCATTACTGGGTATATATCCAAAAGAAAATAAATCATTCTACCAAAAAGACACATGAGTATGTTCATTGCAGCACTATTCACAATAGCAAAGACATGGAATCAACCTAGGAGCCCATTGACCAGTGATTGAATAAAGAAAGTGTGGTACATATACACCACGGAATACTGAGCAGCCATAAAAAAGAATGAAATTATGTCTGTTGCAGCAGCACAGGTGCAGTTGGAGGCCATTATTCTAAGTGAATTAACAAAGGAACAGAAAACCAACTATTGCATGTTCCCACTTATAAATGGGAGCTAAATTGGGTAAACATGGACATAAAAATGGCAACAGTAGACACTGGGCACTACTAGACGGGGGCAGGAGGAAGGGGAGCAAGGGTTGAAAAACTAACTGTTAGGTACTGTGTCCAGTACCTAGGTGACAGAATGAATTATACCCCAAACCTCAGCATCATGCAGTATACCCATGTAACACACCTGCACATGTATCCCCTGATTCTAAAGTAAAACTAGAAATTACTTAAAATAAAATATAGCTTAAAATATCAAAGAAGAGACTGATTTGCATTCATGTTCACATGTAAATGACTGACAGCAGGCCCTTTCATTGATTACTTTATTAGGAAAAAGGGAAAACAGAGTTACATGAGGTTGATGCTGAAAGTAAATTTACCGATTTTGTCAGAGATCATAATGACCTTATATATTAGTTTCTGCCATATAAAATAATAATGTTTTTCTTACACATTAAAAAATAAAGTGCTGTATATTAAAATAGTAGCTAATATTTGAGAGAGAGAACGTTGTAGCTAGCTATACTTGCTTTTTATAATAATGAGAGATAGTATTTTACTTGGTACAAAAAACTACAAGTAGTGTTCAGTTTAAATGATTTATTTAGGATTATATTAATAATTTCATATTTTAATATGGCTAGTATTTCATGTCATGTGTATTGCAAGCTATTCATATTTTTATAGAAACATATTTCTGATTTACAGGTTTTTTGCCTTATTGGTTATGTTCCATCAGTTATTCTGTTCACTTATATTGCTTCTTTCACCTTTAAGAAAATTTTAAATACCAAAGAATTTTGGTCATTTATCTATTCTGTGGTAAGTCACATTTTACATTATTTCAACTTTCCATAGCAGTTTAATTAACATGAATTCTTTCCTGATTATACTAAAAATGTTACATGTCTTTTGTAAGTGAATAATTTAGATAGGTAATTGGCAGCTTCTTTTTGTGTGTACATTTGTCTTCTGAATCATCCTTTCCACGTAGGAACAATATGGAAGAGATTTAGCAACTAGTGTATCAAGGATACTAGCTACAAACAAGTGGTATTCTTGTTGCTTGCTGGCTAAATATCATCTCTTGTTCCATGTTTTATTAGAGGATTGAAAAAATAGTTTAATGCGTAGACACCAATTTGTAAGAAGTTTCTAAACACTTTGTCACTTTTATTTATTTATTTTTTTCTTTAGGCAGCGTTGGCTTGTATTGCAATCACTGAAATAACTTTCTTTATGGGATACACAATTGCAACTATTCTTCATTATGCCTTTTGTATCATCATTCCAATCTATCCACTTCTAGGTTGCCTGATTTCTTTCATAAAGGTAATTCTGCTAAATATTTTAATATGTTAAAAAACATAAAATAAATATGGTCTAATTTGGGGATGTTAGTTCTTGTATAGAAAACAGTAAAATGCATTGGGCTAATGGCTACTACTTGATTTAGATATTATTAATGCAGCATAAATTATTGTGAGCTCTTGTCAAACTGTAAATTCTCAAAGGAAAAGGGCTATGTTCATTACAGGTTCTCTCATGCTCAAAATGATGTATATAATTAGAAGTGTGACATGGTTTCAGTCAGTATTTGTTTTTAGGAGTTTATCAGTGATTAAATAACGTATTTCACTATAAAGGGATGAGAAAGAATAAAGTGTAAGAGATTTTCTCCAAGAAAAAATAGAGACAAAAACCAGATTGATTTTATTAAGGCTGGATAATTGAAAGAAATTTCCATGTGATTAGAAAAAATATTGTTATGAATTCTTGGTTTGGAATTGCTAATTAATTCTACTTACTAATCCTACTACCCCTGCTTCCCTTTTTAGGTCTCAGTTCAATGTGTTTAATTTATACTGATCCTCAGAAATATTTTGGGACAGGGAAGATTTTAAGTAAAAAACATAACTTACTAATATGAACAGCTAACTTATTATAGAAAGTACACGTTTGCTAAACAAAATACATTTTTTCATTTTAATCCAAATATTTCTACATATTGCAGCGTATATATTTTCAAATCTTTTTGTCTTAGATTTCTTGGAAGAATGTACGAAAAAATGTGGACACCTATAATCCATGGGATAGGCTTTCAGTAGCTGTTATATCGGTAAGAAATAAAGTGTTTTTGTGAATTAGCATGTACCTTAAGAATGGTTTGGTCCTATGGTTTTAACTATGTTTAGTTTTTTATCCTGTTGCATGAAAAAGAAGGTGCATAAAAAGTTAAGCATGTTAGTTAACGCTAGCTAATCTGTATTTCAGTGGGGAGTACCTTTCATTTACTGAATATGTTCACTTTAATATACTTAGCCTTTTACATGTTATTAATTCTGTTTAATTACAGTTCTGTCTTAGAAGCAAAAACAAAGTTTTTGTGTTCGATTATATTTTATGAAGCTGACAATAAATGAATGATACAGAGGCAGAAAATATGTGAATAATTTGCTAAAAATAATTCTGCTTTGGTTTGTATTAAAATTTATTTTTAATTATCTTTATCATGTAAAATATAAAAAAGTTGTGATTACTTCTTTTGGTAATGGCAAGGAACTTGATGTATGTAGTCTTAGTTCTGTTGGCAAAGGAAAAAACAACAACAACAACAACAAATCTTTTAGTCATGAGCTGCTACATGTTCTTCTTTTAGCCTTACCTGCAGTGTGTACTGTGGATTTTCCTCTTACAATACTATGAGAAAAAATATGGAGGCAGATCAATAAGAAAAGATCCCTTTTTCAGGTCAGTTGATTTTTTAAAAATTTTAAATGTTTTTAGTATATTTACAGAACTGTGTAACCATTACCATAACATAATTTTGGAACATTTCCAGCACTCCAAAAAGAAACTTTGTACCCATTAACAGCCACTTTCTTATCCCTATTCCCATAGCTCCCAGTCTTAGGTAACCACTAATCTACTTTCTGTTTCTGTCAGATTTGCCTGTTCTGAACACTTTATATAACTGGACAATGGAAATATGCTTTGGAAAACTTGAGTCAAAAGACCAACAATTCTCTTAAATACCTTGTATTTAACTTTTATATCTGTTTGCTTTTTACCATAGTTGGTTGGCATGTTATTTTAATGTTGGAAAATCATCAGATTTGCCAGATAACATCTTTGAAAAATTGCTAGGATTTGGGCACTATAATTAGTATCTAGCATATGGTTTTACACTTAGTATAATGTTTGGAGGGCTTATCATGTAGTCGTGTGTAGCACTTTTTATATATCTTAATGAGTTGCTTTTACTTTTCAACTATTATGAACAATGCTGCTATGAATTCAGCTATTATGAACAATGTTGCTAGTTTGTATACAACTGTTTGTATGGACATATATTTTCATTTCTCTTGGGTGGATACCTAGAAATGGGATTGCTGGGTCATTTGAGGAATTGCCAGACTGTTTCTAAAGTGGTAATACCATTTTACACTCCCGCTAGGAATGTTTTAGGGTTCTATTTTCTCCACATCCTTGCCAATGCTTGTTATTGTTTGTCTTTTTTACATATTCTTCCAAATATATTAGCTAATTTGTTTTTACTTTTTCTTCTATCCAGCCTTGCTTACATGATTCATCACTTTATTATCATTTCAGCATCCTCAACTTTTGTCTTTTCGAACTGTCCACTAAAAATTATAATTATTGGTGAATCGAATTATATGCTGGAAAAAATAACATAAAAGTTCCATTTGATAATACTACATATTTATTCCATATAAATTCAGCTGGTTTTTTAAAAAAAATATTTTAGATTTGGGGGTAAATGTGCATGTTTGTTAGCTGGGTATATTGCATACTGGTGGGGATTGGGCTTCTATTGTAACATTACCCAAATGGTGAACGTTGTACCTAATAGGTAGTTTTTCAACCCTTATCCCCACCCCCTTTTGGAGTCCACAGTCCTAGTGTTTCCATGTTTATGTTCATGTGTATCCACTGATAAGTGAGAACATGTTGTATTTGATTGTCTGTTTATAAGTGAGAACTTATAAGTGAGAACATGTGGTATTTGATTGTCTGTTCCAAATTAGTTCACTTAGGATAATGGTCTCCAGTTCCATCCATGTTGCTGTAAAGAACATAATTTCATTCTATTTATGGCTGTGGAGTATTCCATGGTGTATATGTACCATATTTTCTTCACCCAGTCAACTGTTGATGGACTCTTAGGTTGGTTCTATGACTTTGCTATTGTGAATAGTACCATGATGAACATATGAGTTCAGGTGTCTTTTTTATGTAATGATTTTTTTTTTCCTTTGGATATATATCCAGTAGTAGGATTGCTGGGTTGAATGGTAGTTATATTTTAATACTGTTTGGTAACGAATAACATTTTCCTAGTTAGCACCTTCTTATCTCTTTCTTTTCAATAGTTATTCAAAGCTTTCTCTTTATTCCTTGTATTCCTCAAATCACCTTATCTTACTTCCTACTTCTCAGTAAATAATCTTGTCATTTATCTCAGAAAATAGAAGCACTTAATTATAAGTTATAAATTTCTACAAACTTACTCACATCTTCCATCATTTTTGCCTTTTCCCAGTCCTAGAGGAAGCAGCAGTCCATCCTATTACCCAAATCTTCATTTATTCTATATACTTGGAATATTGCTCAATTTTCTTTTTCTCTTTTTCTCTTTCCTTTCTGGATCTCAAAAGTGTATTTTTTCTCTTTTTCTCTTTCCTTTCTAGATCTCAATAGTGTATTTTTTTCTCTTTTTCTCTTTCCTTTCTGGATCTCAGTGGTATATTTTTGGGGTTGGGGAGGGTCACCTTTCTTTCATATATGAAAGAACCCATGGATCTCATTTGAACATGAATCCATCCCTAATTCCTATTCTATATCTCTCTTTCCTTTCATAGCCAAAATTCTTCTATCTCCAGTTACTCACCTTCCATCCACTCCTATAACTCCCTGCAATCTGGGTTTTCCCTTACCTTTCCATTGATACTATTTTCAATAAGATAACTAATGATTTTGTCTTTTCATTGTCTAATAGGCTCAACTTATTTAACTAATCTGCAGGCTTTAATATGATTGACATTGTTCTCCTTACACATTTTTCTTTTTTTTTTTTTTTTTGAGATGGAATCTCACTCTGTCACCCAGGCTGGAGTGCAGTGGCATGATCTCAGCTCACTGGTTGAAACGATTCTTCTGCCTCAGCCTCCCAAGTAGCTGGGATTACAGGCATGTGCCACCACACCTGGTTAATTTTTGTATTTTATTTTTTAGTAGAGACAGGGTTTCTCCATGGTGGCTAGGCTGGTGTTGAACTGCTGACCTCAAGTGATCTGCATGCCTCGGCTTCTTAAAGTGCTAAGATTACAGGCAGGAGCCACTGCGCCTGGCCACATTTTTCTTGTTCCTTTGTTTTCCATTATGTCTTCTGTTTGCCTCTGTACTTCAAAATTGCCTTTGCAAGCACTTCATCCTCTGTCTATCCCTAAAAATGGTGTTACTGTGGGTTCTGATGTCAACCCTCTACATCTACTCTTTCTGGGCAATTTCATTTATACTCAGGTTGTAAATTTTTTGAGGGCAAGGTTCATGTTTTTTCATCTTTCTTTCTGTGTAATAATACCTGACACCTACTAGTCATAAATAATATTGTTGAATAAATGAATGAATTTAGATAATATCGTCCAAATGTTATCAGTCATTGAAAAATAATGCTTGTGGCTGGGCATGGTGGCTTGAACCTGTAATCCCAGTACTTTGGGAGGCTGAGGCAGGTGGATCTTTTGAGGCCAGGAGTTTGAGACCAGCCTGGGCAACATGGTGAAACCCTGTCTCTACTAAAAATACAAAAATGAGCCGGGCATGGTGGCGCGTGCCTGTAATCCCAGCTACTCAGGAGGCTGAGGCAGGAGAATCGCTTGAACCCAGGAGGCAGAGGTTATAGTGACCTGAGATCGTACCACTGCACTCCAGCCTGGGCAACAGAGTGTGAGACCCTGTCTTAAAAAAAAAAAAAAAGAAAGAAAGAAAGAAAAAAAAAGAAATATCGCTTATAATTCCACCTTTCAGAGATAATCCTAGATCTTATGTTAGTGTATTTTTTCAGTCTTTTCTCTACCTAGTATCTGAATTTCTTACTATTTTAATTATTTGAAAACCTACTGTCTTTTATATTTATTATATATATGTAGAAACCTTTCAACGAAGTCTAAAAATAGGAAGCTTCCAGAACCACCAGACAATGAGGATGAAGATGAAGATGTCAAAGCTGAAAGACTAAAGGTCAAAGAGCTGATGGGTTGCCAGTGTTGTGAGGAGGTAATTTATTCTTTATGGCTAAGTCATAGTAAATATGAAATGATCAATTCCCGGTATATAGAAATTAATCTGAAAAATATTTTTCTTTGCATATGAAGCAATCTGAAAAAAATCTTTCTTGGAAAAAAATACTTCGTTTACTTACTTTTGAATAAGCCAGAATTTCAGTCATAAATGGATATTTATTTGTACAGTATCCCCTTATTAGCCAATATAATTTTTGTAATATGGATATGAGGTATGTGCAGCCTGTCATTTCATGATAAGTTTTATAACTTTCTTTTTAAATACAATTTTTCTTATTAGAAACCATCCATTATGGTCAGCAATTTGCATAAAGAATATGATGACAAGAAAGATTTTCTTCTTTCAAGAAAAGTAAAGAAAGTGGCAACTAAATACATCTCTTTCTGTGTGAAAAAAGGCTGGTATTTAATTTTTCCTTACATAACTTTTCTAGAAGAGTAATTTCTACTTTTAGTATGATTTGATTATGATTTTTTTTTCTTTCAATTCCTTTAGGAGAGATCTTAGGACTATTGGGTCCAAATGGTGCTGGCAAAAGCACAATTATTAATATTCTGGTTGGTGATATTGAACCAACTTCAGGCCAGGTATGATATATAAGAGTATAGGATATGTTGAATGTGATTTATATTGTTAATTAACATAAACTTTTAGTGACAAATTCGGATTTTATATTCAATTTTTATGTATATTTTTAGAATTTTTTGTACAGCCTGATCAAATTATGATCTTTTGGGTTATCTGTAAAAATAATGTGCATGGTGAAATTTTCATAGACACATGTAGACACACGCATATACAGTATTTCTGCTTTTGTAATGCTTACATGCGTGAGTTATTTGTCTACCAACTTAATGGAAGACAGTTTTATTAGCTTCAGGAGATATGGGAGCTTGTTTTGACCTGCCATCAGCTAGTCTTTTATTATAAGCATGTCACTGACCACTTTGTGGATACTTCACAAAACTACCCTGATCCCATTTCCTGCTTCTCTCCCCTTGCTTACTTTATGCCAGCCACACTAACTCATTGCTTTCCTGGAAAATGCCAGGCATACTCTTTTCTTTGGGTTTTTGCCCAAGATGTTTTCTTTGTTTGGCTATACCTTATACCCTAGAAATACATATACTAAATTCACTTACCTCTTTGGCTCAAATGTCACCTTCCAGTGAAGCTCCCTGATCATTAGAATTACATCTTGCTTTTTCATCCAACTCTGTATTACCCTTTCTGACCAAGTCTCTGAACTCTGACTTAGCTTTATATGTCCTTCCATCATCAAACATCAAAAAGGAGTAAAACATCTGGGCGGGTGCAGTGGCTCATTCCTGTAATCCCAGCACTTTGGGAGGCTGAGGCAGGAGGATCACTTGAGCTCAGGAATTCAAGACTAGCCTGGGCAACGTAGTGAGACATCTTCCCTCCTAAAATTCAAAAAAGAAAAAAGCAATAGCCAGGCATGGTGGCACATGTTTGTAGTCTCAGTTACTTAGTGATAATAATAATAATGACAATAAAGGAGTACAAATCTGACTTGATATTAGTCTGGCTGTAGGAAGGGGTTTTAATTAATGTACTTGCCACTTCCTTCACAGTGTAAATTAAGCAAAATAATAAAAATTGGTTTGTGTTTCTATAGGTATTTTTAGGAGATTATTCTTCAGAGACAAGTGAAGATGATGATTCACTGAAGTGTATGGGTTACTGTCCTCAGATAAACCCTTTGTGGCCAGATACTACATTGCAGGAACATTTTGAAATTTATGGAGCTGTCAAAGGAATGAGTGCAAGTGACATGAAAGAAGTCATAAGTCGGTAAAATAATTGTCTTTAGATTCCTTTTGTTACTTAGAGGAAAGGTTTGCATTTCATATTTTTAAAATTTCATAACAAGCATTTCTGTGGACAATGATTTTTATAGAAAATGTTTATTACTTTTTCATATATTCTTTATGATATATGAAAATATACTGATAGCTGTAAATTATGATAGTTATAAAAAGGTCATTTTTTAATTTCTAGTTACAGGATAAATATACCTATAGATATCATGAAACTTATTTTAATTCAAAGTGAACCATTTTATCAAGATATTAATTTATTTAAAATGATGTAAATTGGAGACTTTTGCCCTTACCTACTTATAATAAGCTTCGACTAAGTAACTATTCTAGAGAAAACAACATCAGGGATCACACCCAGTTGGTATTTGTGTTTATATATATCATGGTATTCTCATTTTGTATTGTTCATTTTGCAGAATAACACATGCACTTGATTTAAAAGAACATCTTCAGAAGACTGTAAAGAAACTACCTGCAGGAATCAAACGAAAGGTACTTTCATTAAACACCAAATAATGCCTGTATTTTTATTGATAGTTTAGTACCTGATATTGTCTTGATAGATTCCTTATAGTGAACCTTTGTTAATTTCCCACCCATCTTTTTCTTTCCATGTAGTTGTGTTTTGCTCTAAGTATGCTAGGGAATCCTCAGATTACTTTGCTAGATGAACCATCTACAGGTATGGATCCCAAAGCCAAACAGCACATGTGGTGAGTATGGTACTTGTGACACAGTACATGATACTTTAGAATAGAACAGTTTCTTTTATTATAATAGTTTAATGTTAGTTATATGTACATCTTGATTTTAAATCCTATTCAAACGATACACTAGTAATTAAAAATTAAATAGATTTAGAGATTTCCTTAAGCTTTTAAAACTTTGCATATTTTTCATGAAGTGTTCATAATATTTTACATATTCCGAAACAGAAATAAGCATGAGTCATTATTAAGATAAAGAGTTCTAGTGTTCTGAATAGTTTTTAAGTTTTTTTCTAGTCATTTAGCATACAAATGATCTTTTCCATAATAATAGTGTCTTAAATTTATGTTGAGACTCTTTCTAGGACAGTCATGCATTGCCTAATGACAGAGATACATTCTGAGAAAGGTGATGTTGTCGTTGTGCAAACATAATAGAGTGTACTTATATAAATCTCTGGGTGGTTATAGCCTACTACACACCTAGACTATATGGTATAGCCTATTACTCCTAGGCTATAAATCTGTAGAGCATGTCACTGCACTGAATACTGTAGGCAGTTGTAACACAATGGTATTTGTGTATCTAGATGTATCTAAACACAGAAAAGATACATTATAAAAGTATTATAATCTTATGGAATCACTGTTGGAAATGTGTTTCATCATTGACTGAAATGTCATTATGCAGTGCCTGTAAAGTACTAATTAGTTGAACAACTCTTTTTTTTTTTTTTTTTTTGAGTCAGAGTCTTGTTCTGTTGACCAAGCTGGAGTGCAGTGGTGCCGTCTTGGCTTACTGCAACCTCTGCTTCCCAGGCTGAAGCGATTCTCCTGCCTCAGCCTTCCAAGTACCTGGGACTACAGGCAAGAGCCACCAAGCCCGGCTAATTTTTTGTATTTTTGGTAGAGACAGGGTTTCACCATGTTGGCCAGGCTGGTCCCGAACTCCAGACCTCAGGTGATCCGCCCCCTTCGGCCTCCCAAACTGCTGGGATTACAGGTGTGAGGCACAGTGCCTGGCCTTGAACAACTCTTTAAGCCTCAACTTCCATGTCTATAAAATGTAAGGTTTGGTTTGGATGCATGTTACGGTTTTCTTATGATTCAAAGCCTGTTTTGGTTATAACATGAAAAGGCATCAATTTTAAAATTTATTTGTTGTCATACTTTTAGCCCATATTAACATTTGAAATCATAGATTTTTTTTTTCCATTTGACAAGCTTTCAAAATGAAGGGAAAATAAATTAGAATATAAAAGTCATGGCCTGGCGCAGTGGCTCACGCCTGTAATCCCAGCACTTTGGGAGGCTGAGGCAGCAGACCACGAGGTCAGGAGATCGAGACCATCCTGGCTAACACGGTGAAACCCCGTCTCTATTAAAAATACAAAAAAAAATTAGCCGGGTGTGGTGGCAGGCACCTGTAGTCCCAGCTACTCAGGAGGCTGAGGTAGGAGAATGGTGTGAACCTGGGAGGTGGAGCTTGCAGTGAGCCGAGATCGGGCCACTTCTCTCCAGCCTGGGGGACAGAGCGAGACTCCGTCTCAAAAAAAAAAAAATCATAGTTGGGCAGGATGTAATAGCCATAGCAATTGATATTTGGTAAGTTTTAATTAACTTAATTAACCAACCGGTTGGATTTTTAAAAACCCATTTTTTTTTAACAAACAGATGTGTTCCTCTCTTTTTGTTTTATTTATGTTTTATAGGCGAGCAATTCGAACTGCATTTAAAAACAGAAAGCGGGCTGCTATTCTGACCACTCACTATATGGAGGAGGCAGAGGCTGTCTGTGATCGAGTAGCTATCATGGTGTCTGGGCAGTTAAGGTTGATGTCTAAATAGCGTGCCATTCAGGGGAAGAGGTTGGGGGTTGGATTTTGAAAGTCATCATTTCAAAAACATGGCAATAGTTAGTAATTTAAATGTTAAATATTTTAGTTTTTGAGTTAGCTTTTGATAGATTGACTTGGAAGTATGTTGAGTTTTTTAAAAATATGGCTGTCTACTTTGAATTTGAATTCACTTAATATTTCAATAACTTGGAATATTATTTTTAGGCATAGTACTTGTTATTTCAAAAAATTGTTATATATTGGATTAATTATGTAACACAAATATGAAATAAACATATGAGTTTCTACTTACATAAATAAATAATTGAGTAAAGAAATGTGTCAGAGAAGAGGTACATCTTCCTTACAGAACAATTCCAAATAATAATATATGTAGATAATACCCACTTCAAGGGAGGAGGCTTAATCTCCTATCCCCCAAGTTTGGACGGGACTTAGCCAGTTTCTTGTAAAAAATGAACGACAGAAGGAGAAAAATAGTAACTTTACAGTTGAGAAAGCTGGCAAATACTACCTTAACTAAACGATGTTGTGCAGATATCATGTATTCACTGATATGATATGATGGAAAAAGTACTACAGCTGTGTAATATTCTCTCCAAAACCCATAACCCAAGTGTAGTCATGAGAAAAATATCAGACTAACCCAAATTGAGGGACCTTCTAACACACACCTGACCAGTACTTCTCAAAACTGTCAAAATCATGAAAAAGACAGAAAGAGTAAGAAACTGTCACCCACAGTTAGAGACTAAGGTGACGTGACAGCCAAGAACACTACGGTATCCTGGATAGAACCTGGAATAAACAAAGGACACTAATAGAAAATTGGTGAAATCTAAATAAAGTATGGAGTTCAGTGACAAGGAATGTACCAATGTCGGTGTCTCAGTTGTGAGGAATTTACCATGGTAATATAAGATGATAAGATTAGGGAAACTGAAACCGGATAAAGAGTGTATGGGGATGCTGTATTTTCTTTGTAATTTTTCTCTAAATATAAAGGTATATTTTTTTAAAATGTAGTTATATGTGTGAGAGATTATTCTTTGAAGCTGTCATTTTATATCTGAGCTTTCTTTTAAAAAATTACTTCAGATGTATCGGAACAGTACAACATCTAAAGAGTAAATTTGGAAAAGGCTACTTTTTGGAAATTAAATTGAAGGACTGGATAGAAAACCTAGAAGTAGACCGCCTTCAAAGAGAAATTCAGTATATTTTCCCAAATGCAAGCCGTCAGGAAAGGTAAAATTTTAAAGAATGTGGTTATATTTCTTTATAGAGCAAAGGTTATAAAAAGTTATTATATTAAGGATTAAGTGAAAAATCATCTTTTCATTCATAGACCATATATATATATATCTCTGTGTGTGAATATATATGTATATTTTTTCATATATATGAAATATATGTATCTGTAGATAGATAATTTATATATCTCTCTCTGTATTATCACCAATACTGGACTAATGAAGTCTGATGGCTGGTGTTTTATATCTGCCTTAGTATTAGATTTTTCAATATTCAGTAGTATTTAAATTTTTTTAACATTCTTAGTAGTAATGAGAGTTGTTTTGCATGAAAATGTTATTATTTTAAACAATTTTCATCCAACTAAATACCAAAATAAGTTATTGAATTTAATTTTGAATTTTAAACATGTTGAACTTTAGCTTTAGAACATAATAGTAGTAATTTTTAATTTTTTTCCATATTTTATCTTTTTTTCCAGTTTTTCTTCTATTTTGGCTTATAAAATTCCTAAGGAAGATGTTCAGTCCCTTTCACAATCTTTTTTTAAGCTGGAAGAAGGTAAGTAGTATCTTCTATTTTGGCTTATAAAATTCCTAAGGAAGATGTTCAGTCCCTTTCACAATCTTTTTTTAAGCTGGAAGAAGGTAAGTAGTTGAAAAGCACTTATGTTGTAGCTCTCAAATTATGAAAGAATTTTATTTAAAAAGTTTAAAACTGGGGACTCGGTTTATTTTAGAAACTATGGCAGATAAGAAGATAACCTTTTATTCATTTAATCTAAGACACAGGTAAACACTAATGTCATAGGGATTTTGTAGATAAACTCTATTGTAATGTAAACCTTTTACAATTTTTAGAGAGCATTGACACAGTTTATCACATTGCATCTATGAGAAGGGTCAGCTTAATTATCGAGTCTTTGCAGTTAGTCCAGCAGCAAGAGCTCTGAGTTTCTTGAATCCTTACTTCATACTGGTCCATAGAAGTAGCAACACTATCAAGACTCCAGTGGCAAAGAGAATTCTGAGTGTAGCGAGGGGTGGGCAGTCCCCAAAATTTTAAGGAAGCTTATAGAATCTTGGCATTTAAAAAATAAGTGGTATGTAGGATAAATATATATATGCTGGTGACAGTTGAGGGAGATCACCTCCTGGAAGAATCAGGTATTCATATGCAGATTATTTTATGGCATTTATAAACTGTGAAACAACCTATATTTATGTATAAGGTTTATTATTAATAATTTTCAAAATAACTACAGGATTTTTATGATTGTTCTTTATGTGATTACTGAATACAAAAAGATTTCCTGATACTGTATATATTCTTGTTGCAGCTATGGATTAATGGGTTTACTTTTGCCAAGAACACTAATTAATTATTTTTTGGTCTGTAATATATGGCCTGCATGATGTTCATTGTTTATTCATGTTTATTGGCCGGCATGGTGGTTCACACCTATAATCTCAGCACTTTGGGAGGCTGAGGCGGGAGGATCCCTTAAGCCCATGGTTCAAGACCAGCCTGAGCAACATAGTGAGACTCTGTTTTTACAAAATATTTTTTAAAATTACCCGGGTATAGTGGCATGTGCCTGTAGTCCCAGCTAACTCAGGAGGCTGAGGTGGGAAGATTGTTTGAGCCTGGGAGGTCGAGGCTGCAGTGAACCATGATTGTATACTTGCTGTGTTGCCCAGGCCACTGTATACCAGCCTGGGCAACAGAGCAAGACCTTGTCTTAAAAACAAAACAAAACAAAACAAAAGGTTTATGGAGATAGGACCAATATCCAGAATCTAGTTCAAGAAGCCAGAATAGGCTACAGTGGAGTTGGAGAATGGGAGATAAGAGAGCAGGGATCAAAAGAAGACATGAAAAGAATCACCAGGAAAAAGATAATGGAGGAGAACTTAGAAAAAGTGAAATAAGACAAGTAACATTCAACATACAGTACTTAGGGCTATAGAGGAATTATAGGTGTGGGGAAGAGAAAGGAAGTAAGCGGGAAAAATAACATGTTTTGGCAGCTTCAAATTTAAGTGGGTTGATTACAGAGATATTTTAAAACATTGTTAGCCACTTTGGTAGGTATTGCCATTTTTTTCAGATATTGATAAGTAAAATACTATTTTTATATTTTAATAGCTAAACATGCTTTTGCCATTGAAGAATATAGCTTTTCTCAAGCAACATTGGAACAGGTACTATAAAGTTAAATTTTTAAAAATTATTTTATAGAAGAAAGTATCTGATATCGATTGTTTTGGTTTATATTAGAGAGGGAGAGATATCGTAAACCAGTGACAAATTGGTACAGAATGATCTTAAACTTGGTATAATTTTAATCAACCTTAGGTTCTTCACTTACTAATTTTTTAAATTTTATTTTTTAAATTGATATTATTTTAAATTGACAAATCACACTGTTTATTGGGTACAGTGATGTTTTGATACATGTGTGCAATATGGAATGCTTAAATCAAGCTAACTTTCATTTGCTGATTTTGAATATCTGTTTTTTTCATTTTGTAAAGAAAGTGAGTCATGATGGTGGTGTTTCACATTAGTGTATTTGAAATTACATTGTTTAAGTAGTTATGAATTATTTTTTAAAAAACATATCTATTAATCTAAAATAGTATTCATCTTTGCATGTAACTTTTGAAAATAATCTGTTTGAATAATGTTAATGTTAATAAATCTCTTGATACTTGTTGATATAACTAGATATAGCCTTGTACCATTTCTGATTTAGTTAAAAGTTCTTTGAGGTACTTGAGATACAGCATACTGTATTCATTTATTTCTTTTCACCTAGGTTTTTGTAGAACTCACTAAAGAACAAGAGGAGGAAGATAATAGTTGTGGAACTTTAAACAGCACACTTTGGTGGGAACGAACACAAGAAGATAGAGTAGTATTTTGAATTTGTATTGTTCGGTCTGCTTACTGGGACTTCTTTCTTTTTCACTTAATTTTAACTTTGGTTTAAAAAGTTTTTTATTGGAATGGTAACTGGAGAACCAAGAACGCACTTGAAATTTTTCTAAGCTCCTTAATTGAAATGCTGTGGTTGTGTGTTTTGCTTTTCTTTAAATAAAACGTATGTATAATTAAGTGAAGCTGCATGTTTGTATTGAAGTATATTGAACTATATAGTTTGTATGTCATCTTTTTCACCATTCAGAAACAGTGCTTCTGAATTTGTGATTTAAAGGAATTGTAATAGAATAGTTTTATTTTTAAGTTATCTTTAAGTTTATGCCATCTTCTTAAATAAGTACGTAATGTTCCAATCTAAATAAAAAACTAATTCATAACTAATGCATAGAAAAGATACATAAAGCAATGTGAAAGTTTCTTGCTTCTCCTTTTTAATTTCTAAAAAAGCCACTTTGAATGGAAGTTGTCATCCGTAAAAGCTGAAGTGTAAGCACTAGGAAATCTCAATATAGAGATTTGAGGAAAGTTATATCCACTAGGTGGCAGTCATTGATCATAATAAGTGAAATGAGCCCTTGTTCTAGTACATGATTTTAGGCTTAGGTAATTAGGTATGTGAAATTACATTTCTTTAATTTAAAGTAAAATTCAGAAGGTTTTAGTTATTATAATTAAAGGAAGACTGTGTGTAGAATCTTACGTAATAGTCTGATTCTTTGACTCTGTGGCTAGAATGACAGTTATCTATGGAGGTGGTAGAATTAAGCCATACCTTTTCCTTCATCACTCTTGGAACATATAAATTTTTTGTCATCTTCCTTGCAAAGGGCACATTTAATTTTGTTCTTGAATAAAATATTTTATTGGGTATTTGTTTTTATTGGTAAACTTTAGTGAATCTCTTCTATAAAATTGTAAGTAGATCAGTGTGTAGATTTATTTAGTAACTTACCTCATTGACTTTGGAACATGGTAGGATATGAATAAACTCTTTCAAGGGTTAAATTAAGAATTGTAAGTGCAGTGCGCCTATTTCTTTTTAATAAGAACCAGAATTTCATTTTTGATAGAGTTAAAGGCATGGCTAATATTTTCTTAGAAATACTTCCTTGTACAACCCATGTATTGGCTCAAGGTATAAAATAGTGTAAATAATGCTAGTTGACATTACATTTCAACCAAATGAAAGTATTAACTTCATAAAACAAATATATTGAGAGTGTGATTATTGTATTAGACAACAACAACAGCAATGACAGAAGGATTTGGTACTGAATTACTTTAAATAAGCAAAACCTTTCAGTGGCATTATTCATTCTTTAATGTAGGCAAAATTTAATGAACTTTTAGCTTTATTGTGTAATAAGACATCTGTGATTTTAGGCTCTAGCAGTGGATTTAAAAGTGTTCTTTCTCGGTACAAAGTACGTGGCTGATATTTTCCCCCATTGCTGGGGGCAGTTGCTATACACTTTCCTAAAGTATATATAATGTTCACATAAATACCCAGGGACCTCTTTTTTGGGATGTGCTTTTGTAATTATGTGTAACCTTGAATACTTAAGTTTAGTAAAAGCAACAAAATTATATCTATAGTTTACTAAGGCAGTCACGAAAAAGCATAGTTTTTTTTAGAACCTGACCATCCTAAGAAAGTTATGTCATCTGAAGATAGAGCATGACTAATGAAGAAAATTACCTGCTTTTGCACGTAGATTTGGTAACTTTCACTTTACATTTGTGAATGTGTAATTGGTGCAAAGTAAATTTTTTTTCCTGCAAAGTGAAAGTTGAGTAGTCACAATCATGTTATTTATTTTGTTCATTTAGTTACTTTGCTTTTAATGTATATGAATACATGCTCTTGTAAACAATTTTAAAAGACATTCAAATTTTTTTTTAGTTTTTATATACTCAGAATATATTTTGGTTGTTAAATTAAATTATGTTCCCTTTTTCACAGTAACAAAATCTGACTCAGGAGAAATATAACTTAATTCTTAGGAAAACAAGGGTAAGTGAGCTGGAAAGCAAAGGAGGCAAAAAGTGAAATATATTTATTTACAGTGTACAGTTCATGTTTATGAACATACTAATTTTAAAATGTCTTAAATTACTGATCTCAAAACTTTTTTCTATGTCAGTACAGATAAATAAATAAATATACATATTAGGCAAAAGCAACATCACCAACCTTATATTTCCCATTCATGGTCAAATTTTCAAAGGAAAGTAAAAGCTGAGCTTTACTGAGTGAGTGTTTACTGACTAATAAGGCAAGAAAAAACATGATGAGTGTACTTTACATCTTACTTTTGTGGGCTCTTAATTTTTTTTTCTAGTTTGTTTTCAGTAAAGACAGTGGGTTTTCTTTAAAATAATTTTTTTCTTTTAAATTTGCACAAATTATCTTAGGTCAGTATTTTGGTTTTAATCATTAAAACATTTTTAGAGTAATGTAATTTAACAAATATTTTAAGTGATTATGTTTCCAGAAATGGATTCTTTGGAGAGAACTCGGATGACTATCAGTTTTGGCCCTGTAAGATCGTGGAGATCTGTAAGATAGATACTTATATAACTTACATAAAATATATATAATATATTACTTATATAACTTATATAACTAGCTATTATTTTATATAACTAACTATAATATGACAAATCCTTTGCTAGTAGTACTAACAACGTTTTATAGGAGCACAATTAATTTTACTTAGGATAAGTGTTGTTATTATTGTTTTTATTGTTGTTCTGTTAGTTACTCAAAACTTCATTCTAATTGTGCCCTGAGTTTGTTAAAATACCATACTGTATTTTTGTGTAACATGTAAATAGGCATTAATTTTTGAGAAATAGAAATGTTTATCCTTAATGTATTTTTAATTTGCTAACATTGATTTTTTATTTTCTTTCCTGAAATAGCTTATTTCCTAAAATGAAAGAATTTATTCTCAGATGAATAATTTTTATATCAGCTATTCTTATCAGGTAAAAGTTTAATTATTTTTTATTTATAATATATGTAAGCAATTCTCAATGCTGCTCTTTAAGAAAAATAAATATGATTATATTAATAATAAGCTTTAAGAGTTGAAAATTTAAGACAAGTCATTTTGTATACTGAAGTGAATTCTTTGTTATTTAGTGCTGATAATTGAATAATGAGTAGCTCATATTAAAAATGATGCAAAAACCTGGCACTAAAATTGTTAGTAATTTTTTTTAAGTATCTGAGGCTAGTTTTCAAGTGCAGAAGGAACATTGACAATTACTTTGTTTTAATTTACATTCAGATTTTAAACATAAACTAGGTATGTTTATAGATCTTTTTGTCTTGAATGTATTTTTTTGTAAATAGAAAGCAATCACTTTAACTTACACATTATCACATATAACAGGTTCAGTTACTCTCAGATATTTAACACTACTTACATATTTATCACTTTCCTTAGAATTTTTGAATGAATTGATTCATACAAACACTTAGGCAATATTTTAAACTTAATGAACAGATTCTTCCCAAGTGCCTAAACAACTCTTGCAAATTAAATTACCGTTTTAAATTAAAAAATCAAGTTCTCAAGAATTTCAAGCATCATTTGGTGTTTCTTTCGTTTTTGAGATAGGGTCTCACTTTGCTGCCTAGGCTGGAGTACAGTGGCACAATCCCGGCTCACTGCAGCCTCAAGCTCCCAGGCTCAGGTGATCCTCCCACCTCAGCCTCCTGAGTAGCTGGTACTACAGGCATGCACCACTGCACTCAGCTAATTTTCGTATTTTTTGTAGAGATGGGGTTTTGCCATGTTGCCCAGGCTGGTCTCAAACTCCTGGGCTTAAGGGATCCTCCTGCCTTGGCCTCCCAAAGTGTCGGAATTACAGGTGTGAACCACTGTACCTGGCCTTCAAGCATCGTAAAAATAGGCAAAATACACAAAACTTCCTGGTTATAAGGCTTGCAGCCACACTTGCATAAATATAGTAATGTGTTGCATAACAACATTTTGGTCAAAAATGGGCCACATAGTAAGATGATAAAATATAATACTGTATTTTTCTTGTACCTTTTCTATGTACACAAATATTTACTATTGTGTTACAGTTGCCTACAGTATTAAGTATAGTAGCATGCTGTCCAGGTTTGTAGCCTAGGACCAACAGGCTGTATCATATAGCCTAGATGTGTAATAGGCTATTGCCTTAGCACAGTGACAAAATTGCCTAATGATGCATTTCCCAGAACATATCCCTGTTGTTACGTGATGTGTGTGCAAGATTCTCAAATAAATACAGTATCAGTACACTAATCAGAAGTAATTTTTTCACCGTGTCTACATATATACCTTTGCAGAGTTACACATTTGCCAATAAAAGAGCTATCTCACACTATCAAAATTTATCCCTTTGATAATTTGAGACCAAGAGATGGATGCTAATTAGGTTTCTCAGTTAACAATTGGGACTGATCAAGGGGTATCTATCAACTAAACTAAATAATGATATAAGCATAGAACCTGGATCTGCCTTCTAAGACTAAACTGGCAACTGTTGAGGTGGCCCTTCTTTTATGTTCAAACTTTGATTTTTGAGCTTTAAGTTGTGAGTTAACCCAATCTAAGTTTCAGGTTTTTGCAACCCAGTATTTTCCGCTAAAACAAGATGTTTTTTAGGTTTTATTATTACGTTTCATCCAAATTCATGATAATAGGACTTTCCAGCTTCTGTGTTGTGACTATAGTATAACGTGCTTAATTAATGAAAATGAATTCCTCAGACCGGGTGCAGTGGCCCACACCTGTAATCCCAGCACTTTGGGAGGCTGAGGGTCAGTAGTTCGAGACCAGTCTGGCCAACATGGTGAAACCCTGTCTCTACTAAAAATATAAAATTAGCTGGGTGTGGTGGCACGTGCCTGTAATCCCAGTTAGTTGGGAGGCTGAGGCAGGAGGATTGCTTGAACCCAGGAGGCAGAGGTTGCAGTGAGCCAAGATCGCGCCACTGCACTCCAGCCTGGGCGGCAGAGCGAGACTCTGTCTCAAGAAAAAAACAGAAAGAAAGAAAATGAATTCCTCACCTGGGTTGCAATTTTACTTTCCTTTCTGTTTTGTAATTCTTATATGTCTAATTAACCATAATACTATAGTCATTTTACTGACAGAATAATACCATTATTGTTTTGGTTCACCTTATCTAATTTTTATTTATTAACATATCTTTGTCATATAGTTGTAGGAAAAGATGTTGAGTGCTAGTTGTGATGTATATGTATTGGCTAGTAATTTCTTTGGCCAAATTATACTATTGATATTGTTATGTGATTATGATGTAGTTGATATTGGTTTTCTGTTGACTACATTTAAATTCTCATACATCAGTGTACATGAAATCAAGTTTGTGATAGAATGAGATTAAAATTATACATCAAGCTTTACAAATTGGTAAGAAATCTCAGCTTCTAGTGTTATCATATCTGCTAATTTTAAAAGGCCTTATCTGTATCTTCTAATTCTTTAGTAAGTAGGCATCCTTTGAATTTACCTTCACCAAATTAAGACACTAGATAGTTTTTAGAGCCGTCTATGATGGTGCCTAAAGTCTTTAAGTTTCAAAGAAAGACTGCTTTTCATTATTATTCAGTATTCACAAATATTTTATTGTATGTCAGTTAAGAATCAAGCACTTTTCTAAGCACTAGGCATATACATTATTGAAACAATAGACAAAAGTCTCTGCCCTCACTGAGCTTTTATTATAGTAAGACAAATTACCTACTTTAAAAAAATACATAGTATGTTAGATGATGGGGAGGGAGATAAGGACTCTTGGTGCTGCAGATGAAAGCACACTGATCTCATGTAGGCAAGACTACACTGAGAAGGTGAGTTGGTACTGCAAGTACAAAGGCCCTGAGGCAAGGTGTGAGTGGCATATTTGAGAAACAGAACCAGTGAAGCTTTAGCTAACTGATTAAGGGGGACACTAGTGGAAGATGGGATCGAAAGGGCCCTTATGGACATTTTATTGACATTCAATGAGATCAGAAGTCATTGGAGGGTTTTGAGTAGAGGTGTGGCAACATTAGGCATATTTGAAAGGAACAGTTTAGCTGCTGTGTTGAAAATAATCAGATATGAGGGGACAGAGCACAAGAGACCTGTTAGGAGGCCATTGCATTTGATGAGGCAAGAGATGGTGAGTTGAATCAGGAAGGTGAATAAGAAGTGGTCTAATTCTGAATATTGAGAAGGTGGAGATTATAGTACATGGAGTATGGGAGAAAGGGAGTCAATGACACAAGGGCTTTTTGTTTTTTGTTTTGTCTGAGCCTCTGGAAGAGTAGAATTATCAGCAATTATGTCTCTGAACGTATCTTCTACTAGTATCATCAAGTGGATGAAGAAGACCGTGGAAGTTTAGGTTTGAGGATTTGAGGGAAAGATCAGTTTTGTATTTGTTAAGTTTGAGATGCTCATTAGACATCCAAGTGGAGATGTCCAGTGAGCAAAGGAAATAAATACTGGGAGCAGTGTTAGTTTTGGAACCCATTCACAAGCTGAGAGTCAGGGGGTATTGATGGTACAGCAAGGCCCTAGCAGTAGTGAAACATAGGTAATGTTAACTGAAGCACACTGCCAGAAGGCAAGGGGTCTTACCCAGAGTAAGGAAATTCTGAGAACAGATTTGAGACCCAGTGGCACAAATCTTAGCTACTGAAGAACTGAAAAGAAGGAAATTGTAAAGTGAAATTGAGTTTGTGATTGATTTCTTGGGAAAGCACTGCTGGGAAAGAGGAAGACAACTTTGGAAGGGGCCCATCCCTTGGAGGCTTGATGATGTAGAGAAGTCAGGCAGCTGAAGAGTTCTACAGAAACAAGTTAATATCACAGTCAGAAGACAGACCACCAAAATCTCACCACATGGTACTATTTACTAAAGAAATTGCATTTCACTGTACCAACCGAAGAGTGCTTTAGTTTGGAAACTAGGTTAGCCACTCCAAACCCTCCATTTCCTCTATTCTGGGACCATAGAATGGCCCATTGTTCAGGCTCCTGTGGATGCTGAAATGAACTGCCTATATTCCCCTTCAGAAATAAAGAACTTATTTCTCCTGCCTCTGAGAGTGCTACCATCAAACGGGTCACACTTTTCAACTCCCTAGGGCAGCCTTAGCAAACTAATACAAGCCCCATTCCAGGATCTGCTCCTAACTTCCTTCCTAATGGCCAATAACAAGGATTAAGACATAAAGTAACTTGGCGAAAGTTGTGCTGGTATTTCTGAGGGAAGAAATGTACTGTATCACACAAGAGCTGCAGGAGCTAGCCACATCTACCCATAAGAGCTAGGAGAATGTGCATGGGACTGGATTTTAAGGGTGCATGATCAAACAATGCAGAACATAAAGTTGGATAAGAGTTTATTCAGAGTACTCTTCTGGCCTAAAGGATTTTTAATGTCCTGGCAAGAATCCCAAGAGATGGTTCTTAGCAAGAACACACTGTTAAGATGCTTCCTGCATGGAAAAAGCAATTGCCCACCCAATGTCATGTATAAATATTGAAAAGCCATGGTACATGATGCAAGAAAAGGGTGAAAACACCCAGAAAACCAGGCATCCTGCGTGGGTGTACTATATGAGTTTGGAAAACACAGTAGATGACTAAATTCAAACGAACAAGGAAGGTACTATTGAAGGGCACGCCAACGTCACTATACAGCTAGAGGTGGCTGTCCTGTGAGCTGATGGTAAGTGATACCATGATAACACTGGGCTCACAGAGAGCAATGGGGGTGATAAAATCCTGACTAATAGAGGCCGGGTGGCAGCACTCAACAATTAGAAACCTAAGAAACCATGGGGACACAATTACTGTAAAAAGAACTGCAGAGCTCTCAACACAGAACAACTCTGTCGAAAGCCTGACACTGAGAGACTTGACCAAATTTTAGCACGGCCTCTAGCAGCATAAGGCAGTGTCTGTAGGGTGATCGCAGGTCCCTACCCCCATTTAAATAACAGTCTGAGAAAGCTCAATACTACCAGAAAAATCTACTTTTTGTTGTAGCCAACACATGATAACAGGCCCCTGATCTGATTTCTTAGAGCATTTATTTACTAAAAGGAGCTTACAATTATAAATATGTATCTTTTGCAGCTCACATGTTTCTTTCTCCAACGACCTGGGAACCATTCTTTTTAAAAATAGTTATCAAGAAGGATAAGGCCTCTGTCTTCCAGTCTCTGTGAGAGGATAGAATCCTAACTGATAATTGCCAGCTAAGAAACACAGCTGACCTAATCACATTCACACTGACCAACCCTTTGTACTTTTCTATTTCTCTGACTCTGCTGAGCCCCTACAACCTCCCTACTCCCACTCTCCTTTTTAAACACCCCAATCACCTCTGTACAGATCAGAAGGCAGCTCAGCTCTTTCCCCTACTGTCAGTAGTTACCAAATAAAATTTGTTTTCACTGCTTTAGTTTTTAGGCCATGTTATCTTTGACAACAGCTAGGCTGTGGGGGATGGGGACAGTGATCCACAGTTATGGAGATATTTAATAGAACATTGCATCTGTAGGGGCCAAATGAATGGATCATCAATGGAGTACTCATTCTTTACAATTAAATCAATGATGGGTGATCAGAAGGTTGAAGACAATTGCCTCAACAGAAGGTCATGAGTCCTCTCTGGTTTCTGGATCTGAGCCAGTTTTTGTACCCACAACCAATTGAAAGAGAAGTTGGGTCCCTAGGAGGAGGGACCCTGCAAATGATATATGGTATTGGTTTCCTCAGACCTCCTCCAAAGTAATCTATAGCCTTTAACTCAGGTAATTATATACTGGAGAAAACAGAATGCCCAATCATTTTAAGGCCTGTTTACCACAGGGTCAAAGTTGACACAAGTCCAAAGACTCAAAGTAAAGTATCATCATGCCCTCTCTGACAGAGTAAGAGGCATTTGAGTTCTAGATAATAACTAAAATCCTAGCCTAGAGCTAGTTCATAGAGAATCCACTAGTCTGTAGACCTATCTGTCATGTCTCTAGTCCCTGATTTGTAATTGGAATAGATATACATGGGAGTTGGCATAACCCCCATTGTTTTCTTGACCTATGGGGTAAGAACTATCATAGTGTGTATACTAGTTTTCTAGGGCTGCTGTAACATAGTACCACAAATTGAGTGGCTTAAAAAAACAGAAGCTTATTCTCTTACAGTTCTAGAGGCCAAAAGTCTAAAATCAAGATGTCAGCAGGGTTGGTTCATTTTTGGATACTCAGAGGGAGAATCAGTTCCATGCCTCTTTTCTAGCTTCTGGTAGTTGCTGGAAATTTTTTTTTTTTTTTTTGACAGAGTCTCACTCTGTTGCCCAAGCTGGAGTGCAATGGCGTGATCTCAGCTCACTGCAACCTCTGCCTCCCGGGTTCAAGCGATTCTCTTGCCTCAGCCTCCCGAGTAGCTGGGATTACAGGTGCCTGCCACCATGCCCATCTAATTTTTGTATTTTTTAGTAGAGACAGAGTTTCACCATATTGGCCAGGCTGGTCTCAAACTCCTGACCTCATAATCCACCCACCTTGGCCTCCCAAAGTGCTAGGATTACAGGTGTGAGCCACTGTGCCCGGCCAGTTGCTGGAAATTCTTCATGTTCCTTAGCTTGCAGATGCTTATCTCCAATCTTGTCACATAGCTGTCTTCCCTGTGAATGTCTTGTGTCTTCTTCAAAGGTTGCCAGTCATTTTGAATTTAGGGCCCACCCTACTCCAATATTACCTTGTCTTTTTACATCTGCAAAGATCTTTTTTCTAAATACAGTCACCTACTGAGGCTTTTAGGAAGGACATGAATTTTGGGGAAATTACAGTGAGAAAACTGTACTAGCCGCAGTCAAGATAGGAAATAAAAACATTTCATTTTGGGAGAGGGAATGGGAAAGGAATGGAAGAAGTTAGTGCCACCCTTAAAGACCTAAAGATGCAAGTGGGAGGGGGATGGTCTTTATAATATTTCCGTGTTAAATATACTAATCTTGGTCCTGCAAAAATCCAGTTCTAGAGGAGGATATTAGTCTAGAGCAAATTCAGCCAACTGTTGGCTTCAGTTGAGTAGATTAACCAGATGTGCTATCTTTGCCAGAGCTGATTAAGAAGAGCTTCTGTCATGTGGTATACAGCCACTGATTTGGCAAATGGCCCATTTTCCATTCCAATCAGAAACATTTTGCATTGATCTGGAATGTACAAAAGTATACATTTTGCTCTGCCCTAAGGCTACGTTTAGGGTTTTCTTTCTCTCTGCCAATAAATTCCAAAAGAGACCTGGATCAGCTGGTCATTTCATAGAACGTAAGACTTGTCGACTCCATTGATGACATCATGAATTAAATGAGTAAGAAGTGGCTAGTATATTGGAAGCCTTGGTTAGACATTGTGCTACAGAAGGAGTATATCAAAATCCCATGCCATTAATATTTGACCAGAAAATAATAACTTTTGCCATTTCCTCTTCACTATCCAAAATATACTGGATTTCTCCTTAGGAAACTTATTTTGCACTGAAGTGATTTGCTATTGTTTAATACAGGGTATCTTAACCTTGGTACTATTGACATTTTGGGCTGGATAATTTTTCGTTGTGAGAGACTGTCCTGTGTGTTACAGGGTATTTGTAACATTCTTAGCCTCTTCCCACCAGATGCCAGTAGCACACTCTCCCAAGACCAAAAATGTCTCCACACTTTGCCAAATATTTCCTGAGGGAGGGTTGGGGTGGGGGTAGGGGGAGGAAGACAAAATTACTCCCATTTGAAAATACTGATTTAATGCATTGATTTGGGTTGAAAATTGATTCATTTATCCAAAGGCGTCAGTGGAAAAGTTTGTTTTAATTATTTTCTGTAGTTTTTCCATACACAAGTAATGTTTCATACTCAGTGCTGAAAGGAGGTAGATTCTTGATTCTGGTTCACTCAGATTGAGGTAGTAGGGAGAAAATTTCGATTCTAATCTTGTAATAAATACATTCTATCAGTTTCATAGACTCTGTCTGCAGACTTATTCTCAAGGTCTTTGTGCATATTTGAATGCATGTCTTCTTTCAGTGCTGTTTTCAGTTAATCTTAGGTTGTCTTTGAATATTATGTGAACTATCTTCTTACATGTGAAGTTACTTATTTGCTATTCTTAAGTCATTTCTCAATGGGGTTCCCAATTTGGGACTACTCACTTTGGGCAGGGGGGATTTACAAGCCTGCATTATAAATATTAGAAGTAGGTGCCCTGGATAAAAATAAACTGTTTATAAAGACAGTGTGGCCGATCCACAAGTTTGAATAGCTTTGCTTACATTTTGAAGTTCAAAGAAAGAATCTTTTCAAAAAATCCTACTACTATTTGACTTGGCCATATATATATAGGTATTGTAAGATGCAAACCCAGGATCTTATCTTTGTCCTCATGGTTATTCCCATGCAGCTGAGGATACAAAACCTATACAGCAGACAACTGAGACAAAAGTTGAGAACTGAATTGTATAGAAAGCCACTGGAAGTTTTCTTTTGCCTAGTTAAAGCTCAAAAGAATTTACAATGTACAATTTAAATTCAGAGTTGTAACTGTGCTGGGGGACAATGAATTTTACACTGAAATGTGACAGTGTCAAGATTATTTAAAAGTATTGCATCTCTAACTTTAAAATTAAGGTTTTGTTTTTGTTTTTTTTGTTTTCTTTTTTTTAAATCTCAGTAACCATGAGAGATACAGTTTCTAATCCTGCCAGGTGGAAGCAGCACAATGCAAGGTGTGGGTGGGTGCCTAGTAGAAATGGGACAGAAAAAGAGTGAAACTCTGACCACCAGATGGCAGCAGAGGCTTGTGCCAAAGGGATACCTTTCTGGTCCCAGAAAGGGGTGGGGTAAGGCCGCTTGAGTAGTGGCAGTGACAGCAAGGCAGTCTAAGAAGCCAGAACTGAATGAACTAAGAAGCCAGAGCAGAACTCTTCTGAGCCAGAGTCACCCAAGTGCTAGTTCATTTGAGAAATGGTGAGGCAGTAATAGAGTTCAAGAGGTTAGAACAAAGTAAGAGGGGTGAGCCAGAGGATACTCCTAGCCATTCAACAAACTTAAAGAAGGCAGAACAGCTAGAGGTTGAAAAGGACAGGAATGGTTCTTAGATAGGACAGGACAAGAACCTGAAGTTAGATTGTAATCACCGGTTATAAATCCCTCCTTTGGTCTCTTTGAGGAGCCACAAAATAGGAAACGTTTCAGGCACTCTCCAAATGGCACAGAATCTAGTTATCTCTAATATTGAAAGTAAATTTTATTGATAACTGGGATAACTTGGAGGGAGATGGGCAGAGATGGTTAAAGGAAACCTCCAGAAATGGTGTTGTTTATCGTCTTTTTAAATAAAGATGTAACCATAGTCTCAAATCTAATTTTTTACTTCTCATTTCTTTTGCTTCAAAAGGGAAAACCAGTGATAGTCACATCCTTCAGAAAAATTAGTTAATTTTTTTCCTTAAACAAATCATTACTTAAGAATTTAATTGATAATTCCCACTGGGAGAAAGCATCAAGATGAGCAAAAAACAAGTGGCATTTTATTTGGAATATTTAAGAAGTAAAACAATTCCAATTGTTAGAAGAGACTTGACGTATAAGAACTAAGCATTAAAAATGGTAATTAAGATTAATTGAAGGTTTACTCTGTGAACGCCATTGTTTCATTGCTCTATGCAAATTTTGTAGAGCAAAAAATTCATTGACCAGCAGCATCAAAATTAACTGGGGAGAGTGATGCCAGCAAGATGACATAATAGAAGGTAACCCACTCATTACCCGCCACCCCCCATAACAACAATAATTCTGCACCACCACAGACCAAAGTCTCTGTGCAGGAGCCTCAGGATTCAGGTATAAGATTGTGAAACCCCAGTGGATCCCAAGACCTAGAGGTTGTTTTGAGAGTGCAGACTAGCACCCTAGTGGCTGATCTGCTGATTTTGCTTCTGGGTTCAAGCCTGGAAATGGTTCCATTCCCCAAGGAGCTTGGCTAAAAACTCATTTGGTCTTGAGCCTACAACCAAAACCATCTGCCAAGGAGTCCAGAAAGAATCATGTACACTAGTGCCTCAACAGAGAGCCTCCTCTGACTGCTGACAATGAATCTGAAAGTTGCCCTGTGACTTGACTTCAGCCCTTCTCTGCTAAAGTCCCAGCTCAGAACTGCTCACACAAGGACCTAGAGTGAGACTCGCCCATGTCTTGCATCCTGGGAGTCTGAACTTCCATGTTGTGCTCTCCAGCCTCTGTCCCATAATAGATCCTGAGGGAAGCCAGCCTCAGTTCTGACCCCTCTGCAGTCAGGGAACTAGCCCATCTGTGCAGAGACTTGCTGGGAGATGCACACTCATCTGAGCCAATAAGATAGGCTTGCCAGCTGCCTTCTGCAGGAGATCCAAGGGTCCCCAGTCTCAGCCCTGGCCTCACCTGCTACAATCAATGAACTACCTCACCTGTCCAGGGACTGTAGGAGATGGACATCCATCTTAGCTACCAGAACAGTCTTCTGGGTTTAGGTTTCTGGCCAGATTTTTCATACAACCTGGGTACCCTTCTTTGGTCTTCCCCAGGTCTATCTGGGCTAGAAAGCTGCATAAATCTCAGAGCTCTCCCAAGACTCATAGCAAACCTGGGCTTAGCATGCCCTTTAATGCTCTAATGCTGAGACAGCTGTACTGGTCTTGGGCTCAGGGAAGACAACAGTCAGTCTCCTTAGAGTCTGTGGAAGATCTCCTGAAGAAGAATGGATATAAACAAAGCCAGATTGGGGAAACTAGAATAAATGCCTAATCCGTCAATGTGCAGACATTGTCACACATCCACAAGCATCAAGAACATTTAGGAAAATATGACCTTACCAACTGGACAAAATGAGGCACCAGGGACTGGCCCTAAAGTGATGGGGATTGTGATCTTTCAGACAAAAAATGTAAAATAGCTGTTTTAAGGAAGATCAATGAACTTCAAGAATATACAGAAAAACAATTCAGAAATTTATCAGATAATTTAATGAAGATTGAAATAATAATTAAAAAAACCACAAACATGCCGGAGTTGAAAAATACAGGGAGCATAATGAAAAATGAAATAGAGACCATCAAGAGCAGAACTGATCAAATAGAATAAAAACATTAGGGAACTCAAAGACAGGCTGTTTGGAAATAATCAGAGGAGGTAAAAAAAAGAATGAAAAGACAGTGAAGAAGGCTTATGGAATTGATGGAACAACATTAAAAGAGAAAATATTCCAGTTGTTGGAGTTAAAGAGAGAGTTGAGAAAGACAAAGCAGTGTGAAGGTTATTCAAAGAAATAATAATAGGACTTTCCAAACCTGGAGAAAGATATAAATATACAGGAACTGGAAGATCACAGCTAATCAATCAGATTCAACCCAAATAAGAATACCCCAAGATATATTATAATCAAACTTTGGAAGGTCAAAGACAAATAGAGGACCCTGAAAATAGAGAAATAAAAGAAGCAAATAGCATATAAGGAAACTCCAATACACCTGACAAGAGACTTTTCCAGCAGAAACCTTACAGGCCAGGATGGAGTGGAACATGATGTATTCAGAGTACTGAAGGAAAATAAAACTGCCAACCATGAATACTGTATCCAGCAAAGCTGTCCTTCAGAAATGAAGGAGAGATAAAGACTTTACTAGACACACAAAAGCTGAGGGGAATTCATTACTATCAGACCTGTCCTATAAGAAATGCTGAAGGGAGTTCTAATCTAAAGAGAAGAATGCTAACATGATTGTTATTCTAATACTGTAATTGTGGAGCATAAACCACTTATATCGTTAGTATGAAGAATAAAAGTCAAAACTATTAAAAATAATAAATTATTTGCTAAGAGATAGGCAATATAAAATGTAAAATTTAAAAATTGTGACATCAAAAATTCAAAATGTGGGAGGAGAATGGAATTAAGTGTACAGTTTTTTTATTTTTCCTTTGCTATCAAAGTTAAGTTATTTTAAAATAACTTGTTAGATGTTTTTTTGTCAGCCTTACGGTAACCACAAAGCAAAAACCTATAATAGATATATTAAAAATACAAAGCAAGAAATCAAAACACTACTAGAGAAAATCATTTACACACAAAGGAAGATTGTAAGAGAAGAAAGGGTCCACAAAACAACTAGAAAACAGGTATCAAAATGGCAGCAGTAAGCCCTCATCTATCAATAATTAACTTGAATATAAATGAAATACATTCTTCAATCAAAAGACATAAAGTGGCTGATTGAATAAAAAACAAGACCCAACTATCTGCTGCCTACAAAAGACTCACTACACTTGTAAAGAGACACATAGATTGAAAATGAAGAGATGGAAAAAGATATTTTATGCACATAGAAACAAAAAAAAGAGTAGGAGTAGCTATACTTATATCTGATAAAATAACCAAAACTTTAAAATGAGATAAAGCCATTATATAATGATAAAGAGGCCAGTACAGCAACAGGATATAATAATTATAAATACATATGTACTCAACATAAGAGTACCGAAATATATAAAGCAAATATAAATAGATCTAAAAGGACAAATATACTGCAATAAATAATTGTAAGGAACTGGAATAGACAGATCATCCAGACAGAAAATCCCAAAGAAACATTATAATTAAACCACATATTAGACCAGATGGATATAACAGACATTTATAAAACATTCTGTCCAACAGCTGCAGAATACACATTCTTCTCAACAGCACATGGAATATTCTCCAGGAAAGGTCATATGTTAGGCCACAGAACAAGTCTCATCAAGTTTAAAAGAATCAAAATTACATCAAGTAGCTTTTCTGACCACAATGGAATAAAACTAGAAATCAATAACAGGAGGAACATTGGAAATGGTACAAATACACGGACATTAAACAACATCCTCATGAGCCACTAATGGGTCAATGGAGCAATTAAAAAGGAAAATATTTAGAACATTCTTGAGTCAAAAAGGGGGAACATGATATACTAGAACCAAAGGGATACAGCAAAAGCAGTTTTAAGAGGGAAGTTTATAGCAATACTTGCCTACATCAAAAAAGTAGAAAGATCTCAAATAACCTAACATGGCAACTCAAGAAACTAGAATAACAGGAGCAAACTAACTCAAAATTAGTAGAATGAAAGAGACAAATACACAGGAGAATGCCATTTGAAGACACAGGCACATAGAAGAGAGAATGCCACGTAATGACAACACAGATATTAGAGTTACGTATCTGCAAGTCAAGGAATGACAAGGGTTGCTGGCAATCACCAGAAGCTGGGAGAGAGAGCATGGCTTTTCAGATAGGACAATGATTTTTGGACTTCCGGACTCTGACACTTTGAGCAAATCAATTTCTAAGGTACCCAGTTTGTGGTACTTTGTTATGGCAGCCCTAGGAAACTAATACAATGGAAATTTGGGCAGGGAATGTAAGAAGATGAGCTAGTTTATAAGATATTTTATAAGATAAGGTAGCTTAAGAAAGCTGGCAGTGACAATATTTTCTCATATGTAATTGCCAGTCATATGTAAAGAAAGATGGAAGGAGAGAAGAGATTGTAATAGAAATTAACAATAAAATAAAAAGAGATAACCAAGAGAGCTAGATTTTTAGATTAGGTAATAGAATTTGATCGAAGGATTCTGCAGTGGTGTTGAGTTTAGAAAAAATTGGCTGAGTTTCCTCTGGGAAATTAGAATGAAATAGAGGTATGTGGAGGAAAACTTCTGCCAAATTGCCTCTGATTGTTCATTAATATAGTACATTTACCTGCTGAAAGCCATCGTGCTTTCAGGGGTCAAGGACTCAAGAGTAAGGAAGAGTTTGATGAGGAGGTGCTAGTTGGTATTATGTAACGTGGATGTGCATAAGCCTAAATCTGGAGTATTTCAACATTCTGACTCTGTAGCAGAACTGTATAATTATAAATATGTAAAGGCTAAGAATGAAAAGGGTCCAAATCCTATTATAAATGTGTAACAGAGACCTGAGGATTTTATATGACCTCTCCAAGGGACACAGACAATGAGTGACAAGTCTGCAATGCAGGTCTCAGACTCCCAACTGTACCGTATTGGAGATTGAAATCCCTAAAATTATTGTCTTAGCTTGTTTTTTATTGCTATAACAGAACACCACAGATTTAGTTGTACCCAGCAGACTGGGTAATTTATAAAGAAAAGAAACTTATTTCTCACAGTTCTGGAAGCCGAGAAGTCCAAGAGCATGGCACTGATATCTGGTGAGGGTCATCCCACAGTGGAAAGGTGAAAGGTGGAAGCATGTGCATGAGACAGAGAGAGAGAGAATTGGGCCTAACTCATCCTTTTATCAGGAGCCCATTCCCAAGATAATAGTGTTAATCCATTTATGAGGGTGGAGCCCTCATGACCTAATCACCACTTCTAAAGGCTACACTTCTCAATGCTGTTTCATTGGTAATTAAATTTTAACATGAATTTTAGAGGAGACATTCAAATCACAGCAATTATGGAAATAAAAAATATTTTAAAAATTTGGTGATTAAGAAGGGTGTATGTCTGTATTATAGTATGATTTTAATTGTTTTCCCCACCCATTTAAGTGAATATTACCATTAATGTCTGGGATCGGAACCAGGTTAAGTTTCATGTTTTCTATTTCATGAACTTTTACTTCTAGTAATGATTTTGCCTGAATAGGAAGAGAAATGTCACTAACAACAAAGGAAAGCAATTAAAGTATGCTTCCTTTGTTGTTAGTGACATTTACAATTAAAGGAACCATTTATTTCCATATTCCTAATGAAAATGGTAATCATTTGAAGAGTCTCTGAGTCCTTTACCCTTTCTGTCTCTGTCACTTTCATGAATGGGCATTAGCTTCTGTATGCATACCAAGAAGTGTATTATTATAGTTAAAATCACATAAAAAGATTTTCAGGGTTGATAAAGAGGCATTATTTGCCATTCTGAGAATATCCAATTTAGTTGTAGCTGAAAAAAAAGTAACAAAATCATTAAAGTTATGCCATCTAGTCTATACCACTACACTTTTTAAATGGGTATCAGATATCATTGTCTTGATTAGCACCATTTTCATAGTGGTAGTTAAGAGTGAGGGATCTTGGAGTCCAGATACTATTCTGGACTCATCTGTTGGCTTCACACTTATTTAAACATCTGCAAATAACTTCACCTGTTAGCCCCACCTTTCAAATTTGTTTAATGGATGTGAGTAGAGTACCAACTTTGTAGGTTTGCTTTGAGTATCAAATGGGAGAATTCATTTAAACCCTTAGAACACTTTCTAGTACATAGGAATTAGTGAATACAAGGAACCATTTAACTGAAATGCAGTTAACTTTCAGATGAAACTTTCTCATTGGAATGATTCAGATTTCTGAGATGAGCAATCCTCATTTTCTCTCTCTCTGTTCAACTTTATCTTTAATTTGCTCCTTTTTTAGCTTGGCTGTCAAATTTTTAATTATTAAAAGTCATGCAATTGTAAATATGTAGTTATCCATGCAATTGTAAATATGTGGGTTTTTCTTTTTGAATTTGATCTCTTTTTTTGTGTGTATGCCAAAAAGAGCAATAAACAAATACCAATGATGCGCTCAGCCAACAATTCATTACACTCTCTGAAGAGTAACTGGACAAGGAGAAAAACATAGGGAAAAAACCAACAGAATTTGTTGGCATGTTCTACACACAGACCATGGCTTTTCAGAAGCCAAGCTGAATCAAAACAGTTTTAAAAGAGGCAACCATTTGTAGAGGAGTCCTTGAAGGATTCTTCATTGTTTTCTTGGACAAAAAGAGACCAGTGGATCCAAGTGCTTCAAATACTTCTCTCTTATTTTCTTAACTGTAAGTTAAAATTTGTTTTACATTTTCACTTTGCATAAGGTTTTAAAGATATAAAGTATATAGCCAAAGCCAAACATATTGATTGAAATTTTTAAAATTATATTATTCAGATGCTCTAAATTATTTTATGCTTTATGTTATAGTACTAGTGAGTTATTTTATTTTAAAAACTTATGTAACATTTTAGTGTGATAAATGAAAGATGGCTAGATTCAGAGGTGTATATAAATATTATCAGACAATAAATTCTCTCTCTGACACTGCTTTGAATATCCTTTTGAGAATTTGTATGGTTTTACTTCTTTAGAATGTGTGAGCATTAGGGCAAGTTCCTTTTTTCTGTGTTCTTTTGTTCTTTTAAAATGTTTTTGTGGTTTGCTTATGGAGCTGTTTAAGTAGACCTCTGTATCCATAAAGTGAAGATTGGTGTTTTAATGTTTCTACTTTCTTAAGTTAGAATTTAGAGATTATATTGGGTTTTGCTGGCTTTGCCTTTTATTTTATGAAAAAGGGGAAATATAGCAAGTTCTCTCTGAACATTGTAATTTGTATATAATATCAACATTTATTCAAATGGACTTCAGTAGTCATAGTTGTGACACCAAATGATCAGCTCTGGATTTTCAAATTGAAAACAAAGAATAAGGATCATTATTACAAATCAATTACTCTAGTCATATTAGCCAATATTTTTGGTTTTAATCTGTATGTATCTTACATATTTACTTCATAAATGGAGATTTAAAAAAGAGGAATTAGCTTTTTGGGATTCTAAGAATGGCCGTAATGTTTTCGACTTTGCTTTGCCCAGTGGTTAACAAGATATCAAATACATGTGCCCAGATGTGCAATTCAAAATAAGACAGCTTGTGGTCAAATTGCTGACTGACAAGGAACTGCAAAGTGGTTTCTTCCTGTTAAACTTCTTTTTCTTAACAAGTAAAGAGAAAGTGTTTTTTGGATTCTAAAAATTACTAAGATCTTATTGAGGGATTTACTTTAGGTGGATGTAATGTTAAGATTTCATGGAAAAAAAGTGACTTCTGAGACAAAAGGAGAAAGGTCTTATATACTATCTCCTTTATCTCCCTCATAGCCATAAAAGCCTGGAGAGAAATAACAACTGAGAAGACATTTTATAATTACTAATACTTTATATTCTTTTTTAAAATCCTGATTGAATATGTTGCTACAGTGTCATATAAGGCATTTAGTTGGCACATCTGAAAATTATGCTTTCAAAATGTTCAAAGGCTTTCTGTAACTGAACTTTTTTTTTTTCTTTTTTCCCCTAGCTATTGCTCTGCAATATTTACTTTACCCTGTTAATGAACAGGACAAAATGGTTAAAAAAGAGATAAGCGTGCGTCAACAAATTCAGGCTCTTCTGTACAAGAATTTTCTTAAAAAATGGAGAATAAAAAGAGAGTTTATTGGTATGATTCACTATATATATATATATATATCCATAATTAATAAATGAAAATCCACCATATAGTATTATGCCATTTTTATTACTTTTCTTGTTTATAAATTCTGATTTTTAATTATCATACTGGCTAGTTGATTTGAGATTCTAAATACTGCAAAACGATATATATTTTGCAAAATAGGATAATATTTGTGTCAAATGTGAAATTAACTAAAAAGCTCATCTGACAGCTCCTGAAAAATAATCTTTTGCAGAATAGAACCAGCCATTTTCCACATAATTAATGCATTCAAATCTCAGAGTCATTCTGATTTACTCTTAGCTAACTTCTGTGTTGGGGGCAGGGACAGCCAGGGGAAAGATAAGCTAGGCAAAATAAAATAGATTTTTACGTGGGCAAACCCTGATACTATTTGGGGACATTTCGATTAATGTCATGTTATTTGGTAAGGCTGGGAAAATATCTATGAGTAAAAATCTGCAAACTTTTTTGGAATCTCTTCAAAGCCGTGCTTTTTGTAAACATAGAATGGTTTCATGGAATAAGATCACAGATTGTCAATACCTTTGCATTCTGTTGAGTTTCTTGTATGCTGACATGAATATTAAGACATTGCTTTGTGTTACTATGAGATATAACTGGATCTGCCTTGACCATGTAGAGATTGCAGTCTGTTCAGAAATAGTCAGTACCATTTCAGTGGGAGCTAACAGGATTTATATCATCCTTTTAAATTTCTGCAATAGCTTCCGAAGCAGTTCGATCAAATATTTTGCTTCGTATATTGAAGAAGGATACATCTATATTTATTACTCACTAGAATTTAAAAAAAGTATGTCAATCCAGAAATGTGAAAATATTGGTACAATGAACACCTATACATCCACCATCCAGATTTGACAGCTGTTAACATCTTGCCATCTTTGCTTCATCTCTCTGTCTCCTCTTCTTCCCTAAAATATATGTAATGGCTAAATATTTTAGTATCTCAAAAAATTAAGAACTTGGTTCCCTACATTACCACTATCCCACTACACAAAATTAAAAATAATTCCATATCATCTAGTTCCATGGCCAAATTCAATTTTCCAAATTTCCCCCAAAATGTCTTTTAAGGTTGATTTGTTCAGGAACCAATGAGACAAAACTAGTTATCCTGTTGAATATTCCATGTTCTCTTTTTATCTGATTGCCTCTCCATGCTGTCATTTAAGTCATCCCTTTATCATCTATATTTTTTGTAAGCAGTGAGCTGGATCTAAAAGCAGGATCCAATTCTGGTTAAATATTTTTGGCAAGAGTATCTTCTGTGTGATGCCATATACTTACGTTGCTTCAAATATGAGGGCATAAAATCAATGGCAGTCCCACTAATAGGGGTGCTAAATCACTGGGTTAAGATTGATTGCAATTGTTGATATTATCTCAAAAGTTGTGTATTTTTGAAAGGGTGTTTTTTTCTTTAAAAGGTAGATATTAATTTGGGCAGAAAAAAATTACAGACTGAAATGAAGTCATGCTCAATGGCAATACATTCTGCCTTAAAAATGTGTTTGGATGTTTCTCACTGGTCTGGACCACGTTATAACATGGCTCATTTCTCTTTTGTGTGCTGGAGGAATGGACAATAACATTGTTTCTAGGGCTATATTTGTGCATCTTTTCGGAACACTTCAGAGCTACCCGTTTTCCTGAACAACCTCCTAAAGTCCTGGGAAGCGTGGATCAGTTTAATGACTCTGGCCTGGTAGTGGCATATACACCAGTCAGTAACATAACACAAAGGATAATGAATAAGATGGCCTTGGCTTCCTTTATGAAAGGTGTGTTGTCCAATAACCAATGTTTCAGTATTATGTGACTTAATTTTCAAGTTCTTTTTGCAGGTTGAATTTACTTACCTAGCCTGTGTGTCAGTGATTCTCAACTGAGGCAAAGATTCTCATTATATATGCAGTACAGGGGTTGGTGTGAAGCTAAGGGTAGGTGGGCAACAGATGAAATGATTTACTTTTGTTTGTTTGTTTGTTTTTAATGATATGCATACCGTTTGCCCTTTATACTAGAACATATTGTTGCAGTAGGAAAAAAAGATTGGACCCATTTTAGATGATACAAATTTCACTTTTCCAAAACTTAACTTAAAAAACTTTATATTTGGGTTGGTATTCTATAATTTAAAGAGTTTCAAAAAATTTTAAGGATTTAATTATTTTCAATTGAGATTGAAATAAATATAGTTCCCAGTATATAGGAATTATAAATCAAAGGTGTTTGAAATTCAAACTCAAGCTTAGCAATGGTGTTGAAAAAGCATTACTGTTTGGTGTATAAAAATAGTTAAAATGTACAGCTCAGGGCATTTAAAATTATTTAAAATCAAATCAGGTATTGGCTACTGAAAGTCAACAAATTCACAGCCCTTGATCTTAGAGTAGTGAGGCTTTTTTTTTTTTTTTCCCATAAGACTTTTTCTGCATATCTGGACTCAGAAAATAGATGTCTCTATGTTATGTAGGATGCTGCATTAATTTGATGTATGCATCTCATAAAGAAATAAGAACACCTGAGAGTCCTACTTACTATGTGAGACCTTTGCCTACCATCCTTTATATCTCTACTGCCATTAGGAGTAACTATTGGTGGTCAGCTGTGGTCTCTGGACTCTCCATAGAGGCCTTTGCTCCTGCATAGGGAAAGTATCAGGATAAAATGTTCTTTTCTTCAGCAATCTTAGCCTACTATCAAATTTCTCTTGTTGTTAGCCCTCATTCTGCCAGGGTTCTGAACATTGGCCATTTCATCCTTTTGTACATTTTATCCAATCTGTTAACGTCTCAGCTCTAATCACTGCTTTTTCTTGTCTTTCTGAAACTTTTATTTAGTTTTTTGGTGTCTGGATTGCCATGCCAAGGGACACCTCCAAACTCTGAATTTTAATTATTTTATGTGAGTTGCTAATATTCTGTGCCTAACCTATCCAAGCTTTCGAATGGGTATTGTTATCCCTGGCTGCTTTACCCTGTTTTGTAATTCTTCATTGCAGTTTCTGGAGCTTTGACTTTGGTGGGCCTCCCTTACTTGCATTGTTTACATGTTCTGCCTGACCACAGTGTTGATTCTGCCCTGATCTGTCTCTATTCACTTCCTTTGTGTAGTCATTTACCTCATTTTTTCTGAACTCATGAAGCATTTACTGAAGCCTCAGGGACTATTCTTCCTGTATGCACAGTGTAAGCTAATAGCCACTTTCTGTCTTAGTCTCACGGACCACTGGACTCTGTCTCTTTCTTATATAAAATATCTCATTCCAGCTACCATGCTCGCCTGTTCCAACCACAGCTCCTCTCTCACTGTCTTATTCTACATTTATCTAACTCTTGCTTTTTAGCATAAATATTCATGGTTTGGCCTTGACAGTATTTTTTATACCCCTAGAGAAAATCAGTGATGTTAGCACTGTCCTCATAAAAGTTTCACCGCCTGACTCTATATTGGGAAGGATGAGGAGTTTTGAAAGGTATGGCTACAGCATAAAATAAACAGCTTTTTCATCTTAATGTAGATTTCACCCTGAGTGAGATACAAAGTTAATAAAATTTTTAGAACATAATACATAAACGTGAAAAAGGAGGCACTAATTGGACCAGTGATTTTCAAAGCTTCTGTTAGTAATAGATCTATTAAACACTTAGTGGGTGGATTACTCCTGCAGATTGTAAACTCATTCATTTATGCACTGATTACTATACACTTAATTCTTAGAGAGTGTTCTTGACCTCAGAGAATCTGTAGGTAGACTATATTTTTTATTTTTGTACTCTGATTTTTTGTATACAATTTACCTCTAGTGTACTATTTTCATGTGATATCAGTTTATAATCTTGGCAGAAAAAGAGAAAACACCAAATTCTGAGTATTTGTATTGCTTACTTTAAATATTTTTCCTTTTAATTCTTAAATTATTTTAGTCACTAAAGTAATATCTACTTTAAAAAAAGTTGAATAGTACAAACTTGTATGAAGCAAAAATATGAGAGCTTTTCCTTTCATCTTCACCACTACTTCCTCTCCTCCCCTACCCCCTCTCCTCCCCTACCCCTCATTCAAATTGTGTATATCCTTCAAGGCAAATATGCACATGGTCATATATAGAGTATGTTTCTATGCTTACATAGGCACATAAATTCAGTTTTCTTTACCAAAATGAGATCACACTAAAAGCAATATGCTGCAGATTTTTAAAAGACAATGTGTCCTTTGTGTCTTTTCATGTATTTGCATTGAACTTAAAACAATAGTTTCACTCAGCCTTTTACTAAGAGGCAGCTATCCAGAAATAATATATAATACCACTAATTTTATATAAAACAAGCAACTGTATTTTGTTTTTGTGTCCTCTAGTAATAAGTTTACATGATTATTTATTTATGTTTTTCATACATGGTAGGAAGAACAGTCATTGGGACACCAGATGAAGAGACCATGGATATAGAACTTCCAAAAAAATACCATGAAATGGTGGGAGTTATATTTAGTGATACTTTCTCATATCGCCTGAAGTTTAATTGGGGATATAGAATCCCAGTTATAAAGGAGCACTCTGAATACACAGGTAACTATAAAAAAACTGATTATAATTTTTTTTTGATACTTCATGGAATCCCCTGTTTGGAATGACTGATAGGAATATTAATACAACCAAGTAAAGAATTAATATACATTTCCCTCTGAACTTAATCATCAGTCTTTAACTTAGGATGAGTCTCATTATTTTGGCAACTACTCATATGTCCTTTTTTTTTTTTTTGAGATGGAGTCTCCCTCTGTCACCCTGGCTGGAGTGCAGTGGCGCGATCTTGGCTCACTGGAACCGCTGCCTCCCGAGATCCAGTGATTCTCCTGCCTAAGCCTCCAAAGTAGCTGGGACTACAGGCTAATTTTTTTGTATTTTTAGTAGAGATGGGGTTTCACCATGTTGGTCAGGCTGGTCTCGAACTCCTGACCTCAAATGATCCACCCGCCTCGGCCTCCCAAAGTGGTGGGATTACAGGCATGAGCCACTGCCCCTGCCATCATATGTTCTTTTTTTCTCCAATTCTGTAGAGTACTTTAAAAATCCTCTATATCATATAATCATAGGCTTTGAGCTAACATTTAGATATTTTGATTTTTGAGCCAAAGTTAAAGTTTTAATTCCAGGAGTTGACTCCATTATATAACTATGGACATGTTTTTCTTCTTCCTTAAAGAACACTGTTGGGCCATGCATGGTGAAATTTTTTGTTACTTGGCAAAGTACTGGCTAAAAGGGTTTGTAGCTTTTCAAGCTGCAATTAATGCTGCAATTATAGAAGTAAGTGCCTAACTTCAAAGCTATATTTTAAATCTGTATTCTTCCCTCTTTTTAAATATCTGCCTCATCCCCTACCTTACTCTTACACTCTTAGGAGGTGATACTTTGCCTGTCATCCTCAGAGAAAACAAAAGCTGTCACATGGGAATATCTCCCAACTTCTAACATAAACCCTGTAAAACTACAGACCTATGACCCCCTACACACATTCTCTTTCTTCATCCCTAATGTCTTTCCTCAGTTCATGGTCTGGATCCCATCCCTCCCAACTTCATCAGCAAAGTTCAACTATGGACTTTTGTTTTTGTCTCCTCTTTTCAATCTCTGCCTTTCTGCTAGATTCTTCTCTTCAGGATTTAAAATTAATTTCTTCACTTATGGTCAAGACCTTCCTTTATCCACTTTCCTCTTCACACAACTACCCTAACTTCCTTCTATTAATGGCTAAGTTTCTTGAAAGGGTTGTCCTCCTTTGACTCAACTCAACTCAATATTATCTATCCCTACCACACCATCAAAAGGGCTTTTTCTAAGGTAAATAACAACTTCCATGTCAATTAACAGCTTCTTTATTCCTCACCTTACTTGATATTTCAACTAAATAACATAGATTCACCTGATTTCCCTTCTCCATTTCTAGCCTTTCCCTCTCAGTCTTCTTGCCAACTTATCTCCCCTTACACTCCTACATCTTTCTATCTGTAGTTCCACAAAGTTCTATCTCAGGCATCTCTTTCTATCCCATATGTTTTCTCTAGATGGTCTCATTTATTCCCGTACTTCTCATTATAATTTATATGCTGATGACTCCAAGAACTCTAACTTGTAGACTAGCAACATTTTTCTGTAAAGGACCACACAGTAAATATTTTAGGCTCTGGGGGCCAAATGTGTTGTAACTGTTCACCTCTGCTGTTGTAGTATGAAAGCCGCTGTAGATAACACAAACAAATGAGTGTGCCTGTGTTCAATAAAATGTTATATACAAAAACAGGTGGTGGGTCAGATTTGGTCTGGGAACTAAAGTTTGCTGACCTCTAAAGGAGCTAGGGACTAAAAGAGCTAGACGTCTGCTCTAGCTCCATGTATCTGACTGTGTGCTGGATACCTCTACTTTGATGTCTCAAGCAATTCAAACTTAGTATGCGCAAAAATGAACATGGATGTTTTTCTGTAAATGTGACTGAGTCTTATAAAATTTTCCCTATCTCAGTGAATGCTAAAACCACCTAGCTGAGTAAAAGGAACTGGGGATTATCAGAGAAAATTTTCTCTGTCTCACTCATCACATCCAATCTTTTACCTGGCCTCTTATTTCTAAGCTCAAATCTATGTACTTCAGTTCTGCCACCTGCACAAGGGCACATCTTTATCATATCTTGCCTAAACTATGGGAGTGGTTTATTTCTTCAGCCTTATCTACAGTCTATTTATTTGTTTTTGTGGCAGGAACCTCTTTTCTGTGCTCCAACGCACTATACACCTTCTTTCCTTTTCATATACTGTTTACTCTGCTCACAGTTTTCTTCTCCATCCTCAACCACCCCCCCTCCCCCAATCTTTGTTTAGGAAAGATCACAGCCTTCAACACTCAGTAAAAATGTCACTTCTTTAGGGAAGCCTTTCTTGATTTTCCTACACTTTTCTTTGAACATAGTTGCTCAATTGTAACTAAACAATTTATTATGCAATGATTTATTTAATATCTCTCCTTTCTTCTGCTGCGCTACAAAATGTAAATCTCTATGAGAATGAAGAGTGTTTCTGTTTGAATTGCTGCTGTTTCCCCATTACGTAGCACAGTATATTATGCATGACAGACCTTCAGTAATTTCTCAAATGACTCTTATAATTAATGTCAATTGGTATCAAAAGTTATTAAGATTGTTCTGATATTAATAGTTCATACTTTAAAATGATGAGAATATGTAAATATTGAAATCGAAAATAAAAAGTGTATAGTTTTCTAATATATTTTGTCTATAGTTCACATAATAAATTTGCTAATGTCCCAATTTAGGTCACAACAAATCATTCTGTAATGGAGGAGTTGACATCAGTTATTGGAATAAATATGAAGATACCACCTTTCATTTCTAAGGGAGAAATTATGAATGAATGGTTTCATTTTACTTGCTTAGTTTCTTTCTCTTCTTTTATATACTTTGCATCATTAAATGTTGCAAGGGAAAGAGGAAAATTTAAGAAACTGATGACAGTGATGGGTCTCCGAGAGTCAGCATTCTGGTAAGTTAAGTTGCTACTTTACTGTATATCATACATTAATTATTAGAGAAACTAACTAGGTTCTTAAAAAATTGGACGCACTCACAAGTTTTCTTGCACGTATTCAATTTAATCACCTTACTTGCATTAGAGTTTAAGATGCTTGCAGTAGAAAGTAAGTAAGGATTGTGCTTATGTTTCCCTGAGTTGAAGAAAAATATGTGATCATTACATATTGCCCGAAAAATGCCGCATAAAAACCACCCCAAACCCCACGACCTCAAGCAGCAATTATTTATTCTTTCTCATTTGTCTGCAGTATGGGTGGACTTTGGCAGATCTAGTCTGGGCTTGGCCAGGCTTGGATTCAAGGTACAGGTTAGATCCAGGTGTTCTTCCTGTGACTCACTTCCTTCTTGGGCCAGTAGGCTAGCTGGCCATGGTCTTCTCATTCAATCACAGAAACACAAGGGGGCAAGTCTCTCTGCACAAGCACATTTCAAGCTCCTGCTCACATCATATATAATAAAATCTCATTAAAGTAAGTCACATGGACAGAACTAAAGTCAAGAGGGGAAGAAGTGTGTTCTGCCCACCATGAGGTCAAAGCTAGTCAAAGTGACAACCTCACATTTAGTGACATGGGAAATTATGCTGCTTTTCATAACAGTGAGGAGCAGAAAAAAGTTCAAATAATTTTGGGCAATAAAGGAATTTACCACAGTGTCACTGAGGCCCGGTCACATAGTCTGTAAAAATGTTATTTGGTTGGAATTCATCAAACGGTATCAGGATTAAATGAGGCAATATGTTTAAATCACACAGCACAAACAGTGTTCGGTGTTTGTTAGTGCATGGTAAAAGACATCTCTCTCCATCTATATAGTCTATGCATTTATATATATATCTATGCTCTCCATCTATATAGTCTATGCATTTATATATATATCTATGCATTCATCCATTCCTTTAAGTATTGTCCCTTTTCCCCTAGACTTTGAGATAGTATACAATTATAGTAATAAATATTTAATAATAATGAGGTATTATAGTCTAATAATTATAGAAATAATAATGAACATTGTTTAAGTACTTTACCGTGTTCTAGGGATGACAGAACTATTATCCACATTTTACAGGTAAGAAAAATAAAGCAGAGAAAAGTTAAGATTTTTCCCTAAAACCTATAACTTATAAACAATAAAGCCAGAAATCAAACCTAAGAAAACAGCACTCTTTTAGAGACTGTGCTACAAAACTCAAAAATATTAATAAAATAAATTTAATGACAAGGGGGAAAAGGAGATAGAAAAAGCCTTTTGTGAAACTGGCCTACAGAAATGCATACCATATTATTAGCTTTACGGTAGGTAAATACTAAGTTTGGATTCAGGTTTGTTTTTCCTTTTTTTGCTATTTTTAACTGATGCATCATAGTTGTATATACTGTGGGGTACATGTGGTATCTTGATACATGTATACAGTGTGTAATGATCAAATCAGAACAATTGGAATATCCATTACCTCAAACATTTAATCTAAATTTCTGAATGATTCTTCCCTGATATAAAACCATACAAGGGTACAAGATAGCAGATTTTGTGTTGGATATAATTTTTTTATTAATTGATATGTTGCATCTGTTATTGGGGAGGGTGTCTTAGACAAGCTCTTTCTCCTCTTTTCAAAGACAAGGAAAATAGATTTTTAAATAATAAAATGATATAATTTTCTTAAAAATATATAGCTTTGTGAATTTTGGTCTTTAAATTTTTATAAGAACCCATTGCCAAATGCAAGTATCCCAAGTATTAAGGTAAAACTGCTATATTTCTTGTAAAGCCCTCACACTTCTTGTATATTATCCCTTCTACTTTCTATCTGATCAGGCACAAATTTACTACTTAACTCAGTAGATTGTACTGCTTTGCCCAAATAAGGCTCAAGTATGCCAAATTCTCATTTATCAATAGCTTGTTTTTTCTTATTGTTGAGTACTATTCCATGGCATGGATGTATTTCTGTTTGTTTAATTCTTCAGCCTTTGGAGGAGATATGGGTTGTTTCTAGTTTTTGGCATTTATGAATAAAGCTGTGATTAACATTCATATACAGGTTTTTGTGTGAGCATAAGTTTTAATTTTTCTGGGAAAAATGCTCAGTGGTATATTTGCTGGATCATGTGGTGGTTGTTTAAAACATACCTTTCCATCTACTTCCAGAGATTTTCAAAAGCAACAATGTTTTGGCTACTCCGACATTCAATCACAGTTATACAACTATAATCATCATGATACCTTTTTTTTTTTTCTTTTTTTGAGATGGAGTTTCGCTCTTGTTGCCCAGGCTGGAGTGCAATGGCACGATCTTGTCTCACTGCAACCTCCACTTCTGGGGTTCAAGTGATTCTCCTGCCTCAGCCTCCCTAGTAGTTGGGATTACAGGTGCCCGCCACCTCACCCAGCTAATTTTTTGTATTTTTAGTAGAGATGGGGTTTTACTATGTTGGCCAGGCTGTTCTCGAACTCCTGACTCAGGCAATCCACCTGCCTCAACCTCCCAAAGTGCTGGGATTACAGGCGTGAGCCACCGTGCCTGGCATCATAATACCTTTCCTTTTATTTTAGTTTCACATTTCTTAATAGCACTATGGTATTCTGATTCTTAAAAATAATACATTGTCTAATGTCCATAGCCATACAAGGATAAAAAATGAAATGAGCTTTACTTAAATTGGAAAGATTTCTGTTAAACATTCAGAAGAATGGTATACCTTAGAAAGCTTTAGTATAAGGAAGTTTAAAGGGGAGATTGTCGTTGTTTTTCCACTGACATTTTATATAGTCATTTAACTGAAAGAATAAAAGTATATTTAATTATATTAAATATAAAATTTGTTCTACAGCTATAGAGGTAATTATAGTAATGGCTACTTTCTGTGCCACATGCTAAACTAACATCTTCAAAAGCATTATCTCATTTATTTCTCAGAACAACCATATGAATAGCTACCATGAAAAACTCCATTTTACAGATGAGAGTGAGAGAAGATAAATAACTTGCTAATAGTCACAAAATGTGTATGGCCACCCATTTAGAATAAATTTAGTCCTGATTTCAGAGCTTTTACTCTTAACCATTTCGCACATTACCTCTCCAAACATTTATGTTTGTGACAGTTGAACTAACACCTTGTTTCTACTATAGGCTCTCCTGGGGATTGACATACATTTGCTTCATCTTCATTATGTCCATTTTTATGGCTCTGGTCATAACATCAATCCCAATTGTATTTCATACTGGCTTCATGGTGATATTCACACTCTATAGCTTATATGGCCTTTCTTTGGTGAGTTGGTAAAAGCATATTACCTCTTAACCTGTTTCAGATTACAGATACATGAGCAAATAATGTTTCTTTGGGATATTAGTGTAATCACTATATTTTCTATCCTATTTTCTATATGTTTTGAGAAAATTTTTGACAATGTGAGAAATCGATGAATATTGCTATTTATGAATCTTCAAGGAAAAATATACCAATCAGACCTCTTTCTTCCTTCAGATAGCATTGGCTTTCCTCATGAGTGTTTTAATAAGGAAACCTATGCTCGCTGGTTTGGCTGGATTTCTCTTCACTGTATTTTGGGGATGTCTGGGATTCACTGTGTTATATAGACAACTTCCTTTATCTTTGGGATGGGTATTAAGTCTTCTTAGCCCTTTTGCCTTCACTGCTGGAATGGCCCAGGTAAGAACATAATTATTTCAAGATTTTATTATTAGATTTTCAAAATATGTTCTTATTCAAGAATTTGGTGCCTCATGAAATTTAATAATCAGCCACTCTGTGTTTTAAGAAATTCTGCTGTTGAGAAACTAAATAAGAACAACAAAAAAGTTTTATCAAATGGATAAACAAAGCAGGCAGATCATTTGTAAAATCCTAGCAAATTTAAAGAAGAAAAATAATTGCCCATTATCTGACCACTGAGAAATATCTGGTTTGTGTCCCCCTTTAAAGAGGCAGTAAAATGTGAGGTTATGAATAACGAGTGAAGCCAGATGGCATGGATAAGGGTCTCATCTCTGTTGCCTACCAGCTGGTGACACTGGGCAAGTCACTTAATCTCTTTAGCCTGTCTTCTGCAGAATGAGGATGTCAGTAGAACCCACCTCATGGGGGTAAATTTTTAGGATTAATTGTGCTATTATATACATATAGCACTAGTACAGAGCCAGATACATACTATCTAAATGTTAACTGTTATCATTATTATCTTTCTAGTTTTTTCTTCAAGTCTTCAGTACTTATTTAATAATTGAATGTTTCTGCAATATCTTATACTTAGAATTTTTATGTTTCTTTAAATGGGCTCTAATTATGTTGCCCACTTCAAGTTTTCCTTCCCAAAGTATGTTATATTTGGTTGCTTGTCCACTTCTCCATATTTTCTTTGTTAAAATACCCATGATTAATGATGCAGTTAATTTCTCTTTTTTGTTTTACTTTCATATATAGCATTTTAAAATTTTGTGAGAATACTTACATTTTTTAAAAAGCAACAATACTAATAGCACATTTACTATGCATATTTGAAAAGGTATTAAAATATTAATTACATATCTCTAGGTACCACTATTTTTTAAAAAAAATTGTTTTATTTAGTTTTATAAGTTCATCTAACATTTTATTTTTTCTTTTAAATCTCAGATTACACACCTGGATAATTACTTAAGTGGTGTTATTTTTCCTGATCCCTCTGGGGATTCATACAAAATGATAGCCACTTTTTTCATTTTGGCATTTGATACTCTTTTCTATTTGATATTCACATTATATTTTGAGCGAGTTTTACCTGGTAAGTTAATAGTGTGGTTAAAGTTAAATTTAAAGCAATTCTGTTTCTTAAAACATGTATTAATATCTGTTTATTTGTAACTTAAGAAGCATTTCTGATAGTAGAGAAGAAAAAATTTCAAAACAATAGAATTTCCTCATTTCCATTTTACTATTTAAAGGTATGAACTGAATCATTTTTTTTTTTTTTGAGACGGAGTCTCGCTCTGTCGCCCAGGCTGGAGTGCAGTGGCGGGATCTCGGCTCACTGCAAGCTCCGCCTCCCGGGTTCACGCCATTCTCCTGCCTCAGCCTCCCAAGTAGCTGGGACTACAGGCGCCCGCCACTACGCCCAGCTAATTTTTTGTATTTTTAGTAGAGACGGGGTTTCACCGTTTTAGCCGGGATGGTCTCGATCTCCTGACCTCGTGATCCGCCCGCCTCGGCCTCCCAAAGTGCTGGGATTACAGGCGTGAGCCACCGCGCCCGGCCGAACTGAATCATTTTTAAAAATCATTTTAATTAAAAAGAACTGTATTTATTTTGGTTTTTGTCTTTCGTAAAGGTAGGATGTATGTGTGTCGGTATGTGTTTTAGTTTGAGAGAGGGAGGAAAACACTTAAATCACCTATTGAATAATGATGCTTTTTAGTGCCTAAATTGAACTCACTTATGTAAAATAGTTCATTAATTGGTTCTTGTTAATATTTGGCTCAAGTATAGTTGTTCTTCCGAATCTCAAAAATATGAAGAAGGAAACACAATATGAAGTTAATGGATTATTTCTTATTCTCTCCCTTTTGTCGAAACATCAGCCCAATAAGAATGCTTTCTATAATGTTATTAAAGGTAATAAAATAGGGGAGGGGCCACAGAGTGAAGGAAGCTCCTAGCTGAATTTTGTAATAACTTTGAGCATGAATTTTCCTGAGCAGAATCGGAAGGGGCCAGGGTGGGGGTTGGTTAGGGGGTTGAACAGGAAATGTAGGTACTAGCGCAGAAGCAACAGCCAAAGGTGTGGGCAGATGGGGAGGGCCCAGCCAGGCCCGAGAGCCCTGCTTGCTTTCTCAGCAGGGAGGCTTATAGCCTGGGGCAAGATCTCAGCCTTGCTCACTGGATGCCTGAATATAAACTCAGTGCTGTTGTGGGGGCACAGTGGGAGTGAGACTGGCCTTGCTGACTGTGTGGGAGCTGGGTGAGGCCTGTCACTCCTGGCTTTCCCCCACTTTCCTGGCTATCTGTATGATGCAGCAGAAGTAGCCATAATTCCCCTGGGAACATAACACCGTTGGTCTGAGAACGACCCTCCCCCCACCCGCAAACCTGTCGCCCACAGTGGTCACAGCAAGCCCCACCCAAGGAAAGTCTGAGCTCAGACATGCCTAACCCTGCCCCCACCTGATTGTTTTTATTCTCCCCACCGCTGGTAGCTAAAGACAAAAGACACAAACTCTTGGGAGCTCTATGGCCCCACCCATAGCCTGAGAAACCAGAGTACTTATCCTGGCCACTGTAGGGCGCTACAGCAGCTGGTGCTGTCTTGAAAGTTCCACCTCCTGGTTGGAGGCCAATGAACTCAAGCCATTACACAAAGTCATAACAGAACAATCCTGCACCAAAGAAGGAGAAAACAACAGATAATTCTACCACTTGCAACACCCTGGCTAACCAGAGGTCCTGAGTCTGTCCACGTGGCAACTTCACTGCTAGCATAACCAGCATTCTAGAAAACCAGCATGATGAATAGCATAGTACCTCACATCTCAATACCCACATTGAATGTAAATGGCCTAAATGTGCCACTTAAAAGATACAGAATAGCAGAATGAATAAAAATTCACCAACCAAGTATCTGCTGTCTTCAAGAGACTCACCCAACACATAAGGACTCACATAAACTTAAGGTAAAGGGGTGGGAATAGATATTCCATGCAAATGGACACAGGAGTAGCTATTCTTATATCAGACAAAAAGACTTTAAAGCAACAACAGTTAAAAAGACAAAGAGGGACATTATATAATAATAAAAGGACTAGTCCAACAGGAAAATGTCACAGTCCTAAATCTGTGTGCACCTAATACTGGAGCTCTCAAATTTATAAAAGCAATTACTACTAGACCTAAGAAATGAGATAAATGGCAACACGATAATAGTGGGGGACTTCGATACTCCACTGACAGCACTGAACAGGTCATCAAGATAGAAAGTTAACAAAGAAACAATGGTCTTAAAGTATACCCTGAACTTAACAAATATTTACAGAATATTCTACCCAACAACTGCAGAATATACATTCTGTTCATCAGCACATGGAACATTCTCCAAGATAGACCATATGATAAGCAACAAAACAAGTCTCAATAAATCAACATTATATCAAGCACTGTCTCAGACCACAGTGGAACAAAATTGAAAATCAACTCCAAAAGGAGCCCTCAGAACCATGCAAACACACAGAAATTAAATAACCTGCTCCTGAATGATTGTTCGGTCAACAATGAAATAAAAATGGAAATTTAAAAATTCTTTCAACCTAATGATAATAGTGACACAACTTATCAAAACCCCTGCGATACAGAAAAAGCAGTGCTAAAAAGAAAGTTCATGGCATAAAATACCTACATCAAAAAGTCTGAAAGAGCACAAATAGACAATCTAAGGTCACACCTCAAGGAACTGGAGAAACAAAAACAAACCAAACCCAAACCCAGCAGAAGAAAAGAAATCCCCAAGATCAGAGCAGAACTAAATGAAATTGAAACAAAAAATACAAAAAATAAATGAAACAAAAAGCTGGTTCTTTGAAAAGTTGAACAAAATTGATAGACCATTAGCAAGATTCACCAAGAAAAGAGAGAAGATCCAAATATGCTCAATTTGGAATGAAATGAGAGATATTACAACTGATAACACAGAAGTACAAAAGATCATTCAGGGCCACTATGGACACCTTTATGTGCAAAAACTAGAAAACCTAGAGGAGATGGATAAATTCCTGGAAATATGCAACCCTTCTAGAATAAACCAGGAAGAAATAGAAACCCTGAACAGACCAATAACAAGCAGTGAGATTGAAATGGTAATTAAAATATTCCCCCCCGCCCCCAAAGAGTCCAGGAACAGATGGATTCATAGCTGAATTCTGTCAGACACTCAAAGAAGAATTGATACCTATCCTATTGACACTATTTCAAAAGATAGAGAAAGAGGGAATCCTCCCTAAATCATTCTATGAAGCCAGGATCACCCTAATACCAAAACCAGGAAAGGGCATAACAAAAAAAGAAAACTACACACCAATATCTCTGATGAACATTAGATGCTATCAACCAACGAGTGGATAAAGAAAATGTGGTGTGTGTGTATATATATATATATATATATATATATATATATATATATATATATATCATATATATGATGTATATATATGATATATATATACCATAGGATACTACTCAGCCATTAAAAAGGAATGAAATAATGGCATTATTTAAAGCTGGTTCCCTATTTTTGCAATTGCAAATTGTGCTGCAATAAACATTCATATGCAAGTGTCTTTTTCATGTAGTGATTTCTTTTCCTCTGGGTGGATAACTAGTAGTAGGATTGCTGGATCAAAGGGTAGTTCCACTTTTAGCTCTTTAAGGAATCTCCGTACTGTTTTCCATAGTGGTTGTACAAGTTTACATTCCCACGAGCAGTGTAAATGTGTTCCCTTCTCACGACATCTGTGCCAACATCTATTCTTTTTTGATTTTTTAAATTATGGCAATTTTGCAGGAGTAAAGTGGTATTGCAAAAATATGGGACCAGCCCAAATGCCCATCAATCAATGAGTGGGTAAAGGAAATATGGCATATATATATATATATATGTGGCATAAATATGTGGCATATATATATATGTATATATATGCCATTGTATATATATACATATATATAATGAAATACTACTCATCCATAAGAAGGAATGAAATAATGGCATTTGCAGCAACCTGGATGGAGTCAGAGACCATTATTCTAAGTGAAGTTAACTCAGGAATGGAAAACGAAACATCATATGCTCTTGCTTATAAGTGGGAGCTAAGCTATGAGGATGCAAAAGCATGTGAATAATGAACTTTGGGGACTTGGAGGGAAGGATGAGGGGTTGAAGGATAAAAGACTACACATTGGATGCAGTGTATACTGCTCAGGTGATGTGTACACCAAAATCTCAGAAATAACCACTAAAGGCCGGGCGCGGTGGCTCACGCCTGTAATCCCAGCACTTTGGGAGGCCGAGGCGAGTGGATCATGAGGTCAGGAGATCGAGACCATCCTGGCTAACAAGGTGAAACCCCGTCTCTACTAAAAATACAAAAAATTAGCCGGGCGCGGTGGCGGGCGCCTGTAGTCCCAGCTACTCGGGAGGCTGAGGCAGGAGAATGGCGTGAACCCGGGAAGCGGAGCTTGCAGTGAGCCGAGATTGCGCCACTGCAGTCCGCAGTCCGGCCTGGGCGACAGAGCGAGACTCCGTCTCAAAAAAAAAAAAAAAAAAAAAAAAAAAAAAGAAATAACCACTAAATAATTTACCCATGTAACCAAACATCACCTGTTCCCTCAAAACTATTGAAATAATAATAATAATAATAATAATAAAGTAATAGCATAAGCTCTACAGATGGCTTTTAAATGACTATAAAATTTGTAGATAGTGTGTGCACATATAATCCTAAAACCTAATGTACAGTCATGTGCTGCATAACAATGTTTTTGTCAATGATGGACTACAGACACCACAGTGGTCACAGAAGATCATAATCCCATATTTTTACTGTACCTTTTCTATGTTTAGATATGATAAGATAGAGATACCATTGTCTTACAATTTCCTACAGTATAGAGTACAGTAACATGCTGTACAGGTTTGTAGTCTAGGAGCCATGGGCTACCACATAGCCTAGGTGCGTAGTAGACTATATCATTAGGTTTGTAGAGTGCACAATGACAAAATGACACATTCTCAGAAGGTATCCCCATTGTTCAGTGACACGTGACTGTACTTATTTAGCTCCATAAAAAATCTATGTTTTCCTCACACATAATTTCTTACATGTCAGAATCTGACTATTACTGTTATTTTCAAACCCTACTTATTTTAGTATGTTCATCTGATTTCTAATTCAGGTATTTTATTTGAAAAATATTTATAGCTTTCTTCTAGACTTATTTTATATTTGCTTAATCTTTATTGTACTATCGTTTACAGTTTAGTCCCTATGCTTCTTACTGGCAAATAATACAGTTTTCCAATTTCGTGATGTAACATGTTCATATGAGTAATTTCTTATGTATGTGGCAAATTGGCTTCAAAATTACTTTGAAAAATTATTCCTGTGAAGAAATGAATTGAATTCTCTAATTAGATAAAGTTTCTTCTTTTGACTAAAGAGCAGCATGTAGCATACATAACCCACATAAAATTATCTTAACATGTTGCCCTAACTTGTTACAGATCACAGTGAAAGCACTCTCATATTTGATAATTTAAAAAATTACTTTAATGTTATTTTTCAAACAGGCAAAATGGAACTTGAAATCCCAAACCTTGTCTACTTCTGTATGCACTCATTCTGTCACTTATACATATGGCAAGAGCATTAAAAACACCCTGTTCTTTAAATTCTTTTTATTTGTTTTGAAGATAGGGTCTCCCTGCTACCCAGGCTGAAGTGGAGTGGTGCCATCATAGCTCACTGCAGCCTTGACCTCCTAGGTTCAAGCTATCCTCCCACCTCAGCCTCCTCTGTAGCTGGGACCACAGACATGTGCCACCACACCAGACTAATTTTTTTAAAAATTTTTTTGTAGAGGTGGGGTCTTGCTACGTTGCCCAGGCTGGTCTCAAACTCCTGGCCTCAAGGGATCCTCCCACCTTGGCCACCTAAAGTGCTGGGATTACAAATGTGAGCCACTGTGCCTGGCATCTAAATTCTTAAAAGTGTCCTTCAACTAATTGGTTTAGGCTCTACTCTACTTTCTCATTGCTTTCTTCCTTTTGGAATCTCTTGTTTTATCCTTTGTCCATCATTCGTTATCCTTTATAATATAAATCAAATTAATTTTCTTTAGCCCCCAAAGCCCAGGAACCTAGCAGACAAAATGAGAATTTTTTGTAGTGGGTAGAGGAAGAAATAAGTTGTATATTGCCAAAGTTAAATTTTTTCTGTTTTGTAATTCTGTGCCATACTAAATTTTTGGTTTTCTGTAGTAAACATAATTTTTTTCCTAATACATTCTTTTTTTTTTTTTTTTTTTTTTTTGAGACAGAGTCTCGCCCTGTCCCCTCAGACTGGAGTGCAGTGGCGCGATCTTGGTCGCTGCAAGCTCCACATCCCGGGTTCACGCCATTCTCCTGCCTCAGCCTCCCGAATAGCTAGGACTACAGGCACCTGCCACCACGCCCAGCTAATTTTTTTGTATTTTTAGTAGAGATGGGCTTTCACCGTGTTAGCCAGGATGGTCTTGAAGTCCTGACCTCTTGATCTGCCCACCTCAGCCTCCCAAAGTGCTGGGATTACAGGCGTGAGCCACCGCGCCTGGCCTCCTAATACATTCTTATAAAATTTAATTAGTAATTCACTGTCTCTATACTTTATTGACCACAAAACCTTTTTAAAAATAATTTAATTGCCAAAAACTTGATATATTTACCATGTACACATGATGTTTTGAAATAGTATACATTGTGAACTTAGTCAAATCTAGCTAATTAACATATCCATTACCTCATATACTTATTCTTTGTAGTGAGAACACTTAAAATCTACTCTCTTAGCAATTTTCAAAATACGTTGTTATTAGCTGTAGTCAACATGTTGTACAATGGGTCTCTTGAGTTTATTCCTCCTATCTAACTAAAACTTTGTATCCTTTGACTAACAAACATCTTCCCAACCTCTCCAATCCCTGCTCTCTCTCCACCCACTGCCAGGCCCTGGTAGCCAAGATTCTATTCTTTATTTCAGTTTGTTCCACTTTTTAGATTCTACATATAAATGAGATCATATGGTATTTATATTTCTGTATCTGGCTTACTTTACTTAACATAATGTATCTCCAGGTTCATGCATGTTGTCACAAATGACAAAATTTCCTTCCTTTTTTTACAAGCTAAATAGTATTCTATTGTATATATATATATATCTATCTCACAATTTCTTTATCCATTTATCCATTGATGGACACTGGGTTTGTTGTTTTCATATCTTGACTATTGTGAATAATGCTACAACGAATATGGGAGTGCAGATATCTCTTCAGTGTAATGGCTTCCTTCCCTTAGGATGTATACCAGAAGTGTAATTGCTCAATCATGTGGTAGTTCTATTTTTACCTTTTTGGGAACCTTCATCATATTTTTCATAATGGTTGTACTAATTTACATTTTCACCAACAGTGGCAAGGCTTCCCTTTTCTCCACATCGTTGCCAACACTTTTTACCTTTCATCTTTTCGATAGCATCCCTTGCAAGAGATGTGAGGTGCTATCACGTTATGGTTTTAATTTGCATTTCCCTGATGATTAGTGATGTTGAGTACTTTTTCATATTCTTCTTGGCCATTTTTATGTCTCCTTTTCAGAAATGTTTATTTAGGTCCTTTGCTCGTTTTCAAATTGGGTTATTTTTTCTTACTATTGAGTTTGCTGTATATTTTGTATATTAACCTCTTATCAGATGTATCATTTGCAAATATTTTCTAATTACTCTGTTGATTCCTTTCCTGGCTGTGCAAAAGCTTTTTAGTTTGATGTAATCCCATGTGTCTACTTTTGTTTTGTTGCTCATGCTTCTGGGGTCCTATCCAAAAAAATCATTGCCCAAACCAGTGTCATGAAGCTCCCCTCTCCCCCGTTTCCTTCTAGTAGTTTTACAGTTTCAGGTTTTACTTTTAAGTCTTTACTCCATTTTGAGTTGATTTTTGTACAGATGTTCCTCAACTTATGATGGCATTTCATCCCAATAAATCTATTGAAAAGTTGAAAAATCATAAGTTGAAGCTTTGCAAGTTGGGACCAATTTGTATATGGTGTGAGACAGAGTCTACATCAAACTAAAATGCTTTTGCACAGACAGGAAACAATCTCTCATTTCCTCAAGTGGTGAGTATCTCTTTTCATGCTGTGCTGCCTGACAGGTTGGGAAGGGGTGGCACAGGTATTGTAAAACTGTCCTTTCTGCCCTCTTCAATGCATCTTTTCTTGCTTCTGATCTACTACACTCAGGTGCTGTACTCTGTCAGCTGGTTTCCTTAGCGCTTGTGAAGGTATTTTTGAGTGTAGATAGTCATTTCAAGTTAATGTTTCTGCTGGGGAACAAGTGCTGGGAAGTCCTATTCCACACCTTATTGATGTCTGCTGTACCAACTTCATTTTTTTCCTTTAAATGATACCTCTGATCATGTCGGGGGACAAATTTTACATAGAATATATTGTTTAAAAGAAAAGTATTATTCTAGAATCACATTTTCTGTGTCATTTGTATCTACCTAATTTCTGGAGGTCCTAAATTTAATGTAAGTTTCTACAACATGATGATGGGTTTTTAAGCTTTAATAAGAACAATAATGTTCTTTGTTCACAGACATTGTATGCTCAAATTCTGTCTACTATGAAGCTCAATTATAACAGTTAGCTATAAAGATAGAAACTCCAGACTTATGGTAATTCTAGGGATATTACATTTGTGCTTTTACCATTTCCGCTTCATGATCTTCTGTTGTGATTAGAATTACAAGTTTTACATCGAACTGAGAGCTTTTTGATAATTAATATGGTAACACAAATTCCTCATCTCTAGACTTTAATTAGCTTTTAATAGGCAACATTTTCATGTTTCTTTAAGTCCTTCACTTATTCATAGTCATCTTGTTTTTCTTTTCCAATATTCCCCCAGCCCCACTGCCCAGAAGCACAAGTAATCTTTAAACCTGGGAAAATTGAATTTGACTTTTTCTTTTCAATTCCTGTTTGTATAATCTATAATTTTAATAATCAGCTTTTAGTTCATTATTTAGTCCAGAACACACATCTTAGAGGTGCCAAAACAGTGATCTAGAGAAGTTGCATGACTGGCCAAGAACACACTTAGCAGAATTTGGACTAGAACTTTGAAACTCTGACCTAATGCTCTTTCTTTTTAAATATTAATAGAATTGAATATTTTATTGTTTATTCTGTTTTGTTTCCCTAGAATGTAGATCCCCACAAGGGAAGAGATATTTGCTTTTTATGACACTGATGCATCACAACAGTGTTTGGCACCTAGTAGATGCTCAATAAATTCCCAGCAAATTAAATAAATGCATATATGTGCCTTTCCATTTGAACTTTATTCAGGATGAACAAAGTGTGTTTTTCCATCTAGAGGCTACGTTGTGTATAGGAGGCTCTCAATAAATATTTGATGAAGTAAGGCAAGAATGAACTCTTTTTCTCTCTCAGCTTCAAATTAAAATTCTTTTTTAAAGTCCTTACATTTGATTAAATTTCACTTACCTTTATTTGGGTATAATACGTATTTTTAAATCTAATTTATTTATTTATTTTTTTGAGACAGGGTCTCACTGTGTCACCCAGGCTGGAGTGCAGTGGTACAATCTCAGCTCACTGCAACCTCTGCCTCCCAGACTCAAGCAATCCTCCCACCTCAGCCTCCCCAGTAGCTGGAACTACCAGCATACACCACCACACCCAGCTAATTTTGGTAATTTTGTAGATACGGGGTTTTGCCATGTTATCCAGGCTGGTCTCAAACTCCTGGCCTCAAGCCATTTAGCTGTCTTGGTCTCCCAAAGTGCTGGGATTTCAGGTGTGAGCCACTGTGCCTGGTCAATCTAAATTTTTATAAGCATCTTTCAAATCTTTATTTTTAGACCAGATTATATGTAAATGTTTTTACACTTATAATTCTTTTACTGAACCAAAACAAGCCAAGAATTGCTAATGGTATCTGTACCAATTAGACATCAGGTTTAATCTACTTATCCATTTAAAATGTAACTGCTTATTGAAGCCTATGATGGGTTAAACAGTCTGAGTCTTCAAGGCTTTTGCAGTTAGCATTGGAAATACTTATGTAAATTGGTAGTTAAATGTAGTGTAAGAAGTATAATAAGAGGATACCACAAGGTTCCATGAGAGGGTAAGTTCTAGGGTTGTCAAATTAGAAAAGGCATGGAGGAAACACCTCAAATTGCATTTAGAGGATAGGTAAGTTTATCTTGTGGAGAAGAGTCTTAAAAACAAATCATCTTAAAGAGTCTTGAAAACACATTTTGTCCACAGCCATATTGTCAACAGCATGTATGCCCAGCAACACATTTTAATTTTCTTCCTTTCTATATCCTTTCCTATTTGACAACAGTTATCCAGCCATATAGTCACCAGCATGTATGCCCAGCAACGTGAAATAGTATATCATAAGGGAAATTAAAAATTGTTTGGCAGAGCTGGTGCATAGTAGGAGTCTGTGATGTAGAAATTATTAACCAGTTTACAATAATTACCGGGAGATTTTTCCAAATGTACATGGCACAGGACAATATAGCATGTAAAGATCCCTGAGATTCTGAGGCTTGTCTCCAATTAAGCCCCTCTATAGGTGCCTGGTGATAATTTTCACTTGATAGGGAATGTACAGAATTTTGGATTGTGTCCTCTTGGGCAACTCAAGTATTGGTGATGATCTGTGACAAAATTTTCACCTTGTCAGATAAGAGAAAGAATGTGAAATTTATTTATATACCTTAATTCTTCAATTTGAAATTGTCTTCTCTATTGTGAGATCATAGCTTTTCTCTATCTGTATTTTGTAGTAAAAATATCATTTTATTTTTGCAGTGATGGTTATAGCATAGCAGATAGGCTTTTAAACTATCCTTAACACAACATATTTGTTTCTTGAACTATCGTTTGTACAAAAAATCCAAAAGCATTAGAACGACTGGTGCAAAAAATGGAGACAGACTGAAGTAGTAGTGTATGTAGGCTCTTTCACTGGTGAGATTTGCCTTTTAGGAAGCTCTCTCTGGCAGCTGCATGAAGAATGGGCTCAAAGCAGGTGGATACTAATCTGTTTGAGAGGATCAAATTAAGATGTCATTGTAATGCAGAGGGGAGAACAGATTCACGAGGTTCTTAGGAAATAGAAATTTGATTTGGTGGTTAATTATGTAGAAGTTGGGGGAAGTGAGAGGGAAAAGAGATGAGGATGGCTCACTGGTTTCCGGCTTTGGCTACTAGGGGTGAGGCACTGACCAGGACAGGCAATAACTACAGTAGTAGCAAAACAAGAATATAAAACATTAGTTTGATTTTTGATATGTTTTTAAAAATACTATAATTTCTATGAATAAAATGAATTCATTTTTGAATTTTAATTTGTTTCCCCTTCTAAAATTTTTTCTTTGTTTTTTCATAGTGTAATTTCTCTTTTTGGCTAGTTCAACTCTAGATCTGTTTACATATTTTCATCTTTGAACATTTCTTCTCTCCCACATAATATCTCTAAAACTGCAATACTATTTACATTTCTCTTGTCAAAGAATTTCTATCTATAACTTTTCCATTCTTTCCCATATATTTTTCTACATGTCATCAACATCTTTTGCTTTCATACATCAAGAAGTTTATATGTTGTGTCTCTTCTTCCTTAGCTCTTCTTTTGCTCAGCTCCATCCCCCTACATTATATTAGCTTTCAGTAACAGCTTGCAGTGAAATATTACATGTGAAAATTCTGTATTGTTTTAATTATCCTACAGTTTCTGAAAAATCTTTTAAATTTCCTCCTCTTACCACCAATAAATTCCTATTTTGTGGATATATCATTAAAACACCATCTCATTTATTTTCTTTCCTTCTTTAGATCTGCACTTGTATTCTCTACTCTAATAGATATGTCCATTTAACTGTCAAGCCATTTTTAATTGATTATACATAGAGCCCCTTCTACCTGAGAATGAAATGAACTATCTCTTGATAAAGATCCCTGTATAATTCCAGATCATAAAACGTTAAAGAATTATCTATGTATTTGGTTGAAAAAAATTTATATAAAATAAAACATGAGAAGACTTGTGGCAGAAACAATTTAATCTGTGCTTATTTAATTTTTCTAATGAATTAAAAAAATTTCCCATGCTTCCTACATCTGATCCTTTAATTTTAATTTTCTTCCTTTCTATGTCCTTTTCCTATTTGACAACAGTTGTCCAGCCTTACGTCTACCTTAACATTCTTAATATGTTCATTTTTGTGCTTTTGTTGTATTCTTAGGACTTGGAAAAAAGTTCTCTTTTATTTTACAGTGAATTATATACTCACTATTTTCAATATTTGTTTTTTTCTATATTATCAAAATAATATATCTTCATATGCTATGGCAGGATCAGCTTACACATCCCTTTTTTTAGCATCCAAATGTCTGGAAATCCAAAAAGTGAAGTTCTTGATGTTTGATATGATTCCCTACAGCTAGAACTGTATTCCCTTTCATGAGCTCTTTTATTTTTGTCAATCATAGCTGATAACTTATCGAAAGCCACAGCACTGTCTTAACTTTAATGCACCTGTAATGCTTTATTTTTAACATTATAGCCGGGCACGGTGGCTCACGCCTGTAATCCCAGCACTTTGGGAGGCCGAGGTGGGCGGATCGCCTGAGGTTGGGAGTTCGAGACCAGCCTGGCCAGCATGGTGAAACCCTGTCTCTAATAAAAATACAAAAGTTAGCCGGGCGTGGTGGCAGGTGCCTGTAATAGCTACTTGGGAAGCTGAGGCAGGAGAGATCGCTTGAACCTGGGAGGCGGAGGTTGCGGTGAGCCAGGATCGTGCCATTGCACTCCTGCCTGGGCAACAGAGCGTGACTGTCTCAAAAAAAAAAATTATAAATATAAATGCCCAAGATAAATAACTTAAGTTCAAAATTGATATCAAGTAAAGGACAGATGTCCCTTTTTATTGGTGTGGTATAATTGATGCAATATGTAATTGTATCTTAATTAATTAGATAAAGATGGCCATGGGGATTCTCCATTATTTTTCCTTAAGTCCTCATTTTGGTCCAAACATCAAAATACTCATCATGAAATCTTTGAGAATGAAATAAATCCTGAGCATTCCTCTGATGATTCTTTTGAACCGGTGTCTCCAGAATTCCATGGAAAAGAAGCCATAAGGTAACTAAGAAATTACATGACTATGTACACTTATAGGTAAAAGCTTAGTAAATGAAGCTGCAGGTCAAATGTTGATATAGATTATGTGTTCTTTTCTTTTTATTATTTCTCTGCCATCATCCTAAATTCCTCTCATTCACCATTTTCAAAGTGAATACTGTTGATACTATCAACAGTAAAATTTAAGAGACCTATCATTTTCTTGCCTCTCATCTTCTGTCTTCCATATTATCATCTCCCACTACTTATACTCCCTCTCTGCTTTGTCTTCTAACACACACATGGCTATGTTATGTATATGTATACATATGCAGTATATAAGTATATATTATACACGTTTTTCAAACTTAGACTATCTTCCCATAGGGAGTATAGGGACTGAAATTTTGAAGTCAAAAGGTCTCTTCACAATTTAATAGCTTTGTGACTTTCAGTTAAACTATATGATCTAGCTAAGCAGCTTTTTCATTCATTTCTAAGAATATATGGCCAGGTGCAGGGGCTCACACCTGTAATCCCAGTACTTTTGTAGGCTCAGATGGGCAGATCACTTGAGCTCAGGAGTTTGAGACCAGCCTGAGCAACATGGTGAAACCCTGTCTTTACAAAAAATACAAAAATTAGCCAGGCATGGTGGTGCATGCCTGTAGTCCCAGCTACTGGGGAGGCTGACGTGGGAGGATGGCTTGAGCCCAAGAGGTGGAGTTTGCAGTGAGCCAGTATGGCGCCACTTGCACTCCAGCCTGGGCGACAGACCCAGACCCTGTCTCAGAAGTAAATAAATAAATAGAATAGAATGCCTCTCTTTCATCTTTAATAATATAAATAATCCATAAGATAATTAAGCATATATGCCTGTTACATAATAGAAACTGCATAAATGTTAGTTGTATATTCAAACTGGTTTGATTGACTGAAAGTAAACAAATAAGAAATAAAGCAGGGAGAGCCATCAGTAAAACATTCCTCTATAATTTAGTGCATACTTCCCTAGGTATTTACTTATTTTATTCAAGATTTTTGGGCAGTATTCTTAAGTGACATTCTATTTGTGTGAAGTTATCTTTTTAAAAGTATATTTTCAGGAGACAGTAGATCATAGTGATTATGATGTAGTCTGTAGGTTTAAACCAACTGGTTTGAATCCTGGCTTTGCCCCTTATTAATTTCAGCTAAAGTATTAACCTCCTATGCCTCAGTTTCTTCATCTTAAAAATGAGCATAACAATAATACACAATTTGTCATAAAGAGTCAATGAGCTATCACATGTAAAGCTTTTACATGGCCTATTGCTAGGTGTTCAATAAATATTAGCTGTTAGGAATATCCCAAATATACTAAATCAGTTAGACCTATCTCAGTTCACGTTATTTTGAAACAGATACGTAAAAGGTGATTGGTGAAATTATCTGGGAGCAGTGGGAAATGAGGAAGGAGACAACAGGAAAAGGAGAATACTATAACCTAATATGAAAAGATCAAGGTGAAAGTTCTCTATTCCCTGGAGTTGAGGAAATTTCTCAAATTCTATAATTTTTAGTAGTCTTTCAAGTCCTATCTCCTGCATGAAAACTTTTATAGCTATTCTGTAGCTATAGTTTATCACTTTCTTTGGTATTAATTCTTATAGAAATTACGTTGACAACAGAAAATTTAGTATTGTTGCACATAACAAATTAAATTAGGACTAAATTATATTATTTCCTCTTTTGTCAGGCCGAAAGCTCGTCTTTTAGGACATGGTTCAATAAATGCCCAGGATCATGAGTTTGATCCATATTAATCCAGTGAACAATGGAGATGGGTGTTGTTGTATGGTATGAAGAGCGGTTATTTAGGTCTCCTAAGTGGTTGATGCTAGTCATCCTATTCAGTGGTCTTGGGTCTAATTTGCCCTTATGACATTAATATGAATTGAGTGTACTCTCAGATAATTGTGACAGTTCTAGCCTGTCTAAACCTGCATACAGTGTCATCCACCTTGATATTCCCTCTATATGTACCTAGAGATAGAGGGAACATCCTATAGGAAGTGGCCTAACATGCCTGAAACCAGGAACTCTTTGATCATTCTGGACCAGACTGTTCCTATTGACAAATTAATTACTTTTTTAACTTATTCATCATTAATCAGTCCCTCTGCTAGAATTAGGATACAGAGATTAATGATAGTCTTTAACCTCAGGAAGTACAGAGTCTAAGGAAATAGATACTAAAATAGATAACTGATAAGTAGTAGAGCTGAACACAGAGAATTAAAAGAAATAAAGAAGGATCATCCAACCTAGTGTAGTGTAGTGGGGAAAGTCAAAAGGAGGTGACTCTTAAGGTGAGTCTTATGAAAGAGAAAGGTCTTGGTCATATAAAGTATGGTGGGGTATGTGAAGGTCCTTCCACACAGGGGATATGGCATAAGCCACCTAGTAGAGCAAGACACAGTGTGTATGTATAGGGAACACAAGGAACTAACATTTCTGACCTTAAAGTACAAGAAAAGAGAGAGGTTAACTTTAAGAGGTAGGCACCAAATCTGATCATGGAAGATTTTGCTTGCCAAGGTAAGGAGATTAGGCTATCCTGTATAGTGTGGGGAATCACTGAATGATTTTAAGGAGGCAAATTAGGTAACCAGAACTTTGATAGATCACTTTGGCAGCTTTATGAAGAATGGATTTGAGGGTGACACAACTGGAGAAATGGAAATATTTACGATATTTTACCAGTCTAGGTCTGGTCAGGAAAAGTGAGTTGCTGGAAATATTGTGGGAGTAAAGGAGTTTAATACAGGGATTAGGGATTCACAAATGTACAAGAGTTAGAGGAGAGAAGGTTAAGTTACAACCAGAAAGTCAGGAAATAGCCACTGAGGACCTTAGCCTGATGCACAGAAATGGGTGTTTTTCAAGAAGTTTGTCAGTATACTGCTGCAAATGTCAGGGATTTTCTGGGAAATCTCTCACCAGTTATCTCAATCTGCAGTAGCAAAGCAGTCCTTGTCAAGAAGTCTGAGAAGCTGCTGCAAACCTCGAGCCTGCGTATATGCTTGGCTCACGTGACCCGAGAATAATGACCTTGCTTCATTTCTGCTCTCCAAATCTTGCCCAAGTTCTTCTCATTAGCAAAATCTGATACTGAAAAGAGGGTTCCGTGAAATGTAGTCTCTGATATGTCCTCCGCATTGCAGAAGGAAAGAGACTGTTGCTGATAGACAAGGGACAATTAAAAATAAAGCACAGAGGTCATAGCCCTGGTTGAGGTGAAAGATGACAAGAGCCTGGGCAAGAAGGCACAAGAAAAGTAGTAAAGAGATAAATTCAAATAGATTTATAAAGTTAAATTCATAAATTCTTGAAGTTAAATTGTAATAATTTTGTAGGTCACAGGATGGGGTGAAAAAGGGAGAGAGAGAGAGTTAAGGATGCCTCTCAGGCTCTTAGCTTGAGTTCCTGGGTAGATAGTAGAAATTCTAACTGAGATAGAGAATGGAAGTGGGCCAGTTTAGAGGAAAATATAATGCGTTCAGTTTGATATCCAAGTGTAGATATATAGTAAAAAGCAGAATATCTGAAACTTTGAAGAAATCTCTAAAACACAAATTTGGGAATCATTAGAATTTAGGTAGGAGTTGAAGCCATGAGAGTGGGTAAGATTGTATGGCAAAGGTTTGAGAATAAGAAAAATAGTTGGCCAAGTATAAAATCCAATTTAAGGAGTCCATAAAGTACGCCAAAACGGAATAGTAAGAGGAAGATGTGGAACCAAAGTGTAGAAGCCAGGGAGTTAGAGACTTAAGAAAACAAAAGAGTGAGTAATAGTTTAAAACAGTGATGAAGTATATCAAATAAGGACTAAAAAGTGTTCATTAGATTTGGTAACTAGAATGGTCATTGGTGAATTTCATTGGGAATAGTTTTTTGTGGAGTAGTATAGTGAGAAGCTATGTTGTCTTAGGTTGGGAAATAAATGTGGGATAAAGCAATGGAAATAGGGAGTAAAGATTATTATTTTGACAAATTTGCCTGTGAAAGATAATGATTGAGAGGGATTCAGGATTGAGGGAAAGCCTCTCTCCCTTTTTTCTTTCGCTCCCTTCCTTCTTTCCTTCTTTTTTTTTTCAATTTTAGCTTTCCCTTATTTATTTGATAACTTAGAGAAATAGCTGGAATATATGAAATGCCAAGTTTGATAAGAGTATTAGCAGGTCTGTGTAAATCTCTTTTGGGAGTGGTCAGGGGAGGGCTTTTATTACTGCCCTCCTTACATCCCACTGAGAGTGATACCCTTTACTGTGAAGTTCAGGCTTAGTTATGAACTGTAATCTGTGTTATTAATACTAGAAAATGCATTTACATGAAAATTACTTCATCTTCTTTCAGAATCAGAAATGTTATAAAAGAATATAATGGAAAGACTGGAAAAGTAGAAGCATTGCAAGGTAAAAAGAAAAACTCCCTCTCCCTCTCCCTCTCCCTCTCCCCCTCCCCCTCCCTCTGTCCACGGTCTCCCTCTGATGCCAAGCGGAGGCTGGACTGTAGTGCCGCCATCTCGGCTCACTGCAACCTCCCTGCCTGATTCTCCTGCCGAGTGCCTGCCGAGTGCCTGGGATTGCAGGCGCGTGCTGCCACGCCTGACTGGTTTTCGTATTTTTTTGGTGGAGACGGGGTTTTGCCGTGTTGGCCGGGCTGGTCTCCAGCTCCTAACCGCGAGTGATCTGCTAGCCTCAGCCTCGCGAGGTGCTGGGATTGCAGACGGAGTCTCGCTCACTCAGTGCTCAGTGTTGCCCAGGCTGGAGTGCAGTGGCGTGATCTTGGCTCGCTACAACCTCCACCTCCCAGCCGCCTGCCTTGGCCTCCCAAAGTGCCGAGATTGCAGCCTCTGCCCGGCCGCCACCCCATCTGGGAAGCGAGGAGCGTCTCTGCCTGGCTGCCCATCGTCTGGGATGTGAGGAGCCCCTCTGCCCGGCCTCCCAGTCTGGGAAGTGAGGAGCGCCTCTTCCCGGCTACCATCCCGTCTAGGAAGTGAGGAGCGTCTCTGCCCCGCCGCCCATCGTCTGAGATGTGGGGAGCGCCTCTGCCCCGCCGCCCATCATCTGGGATGTGAGGAGCGCCCCTGCCCGGCCGCGACCCCGTCTGGGAACTGAGGAGTGTCTCTGCCCGACCGCCACCCTGTCTGGGAGATGAGGAGCGTCTCTGCCCGGCCGCCCCGTCTGAGAAGTGAGGAGCCCCTCTGCCCGGCAGCCACCCCGTCTGGGAAGTGAGGAGCATCTCCGCCCGGCAGCCGCCCCCTCCAGGAGGTGGGGGGCAGCCCCTGCCCGGCCAGCCGCCCAGTCCGGGAGGGAGGTGGGGGGCAGCCCCCGCCCGGCAGCCGCCCCGTCTGGGAGGTGGGGGGCCCCTCTGCCCAGCCGCCACCCGCTCTGGGAGGTGTACCCAGCAGCTCATTGAGAACGGGCCATGATGATGATGGCGGTTTTGTCCAGTGGAAGAGGGGGAAGTGTGGGGAAAGGAAAGAGAAATCAGATTGTTGCTGTGTCTGTGTAGAAAGAAGTAGACATGGGAGACTCCATTTTGTTCTGTACTAAGAAAAATTCTTCTGCCTTGGGATGCGGTTAATCTATGGCCTTACCCCCAACCCCTTGCTCTCTGAAACATGTGCTGTGTCCACTCAGGGTTAAATGGATTAAGGGCGGTGCAAGATGTGCTTTGTTAAACAGATGCTTGAAGGCAGCATGCTCCTTAAGAGTCATCACCACTCCCTAATCTCAAGTACCCAGGGACACAAACACTGCGGAAGACCGCAGGGTCCTCTGCCTAGGAAAGCCGGAGACCCTTGTTCACATGTTTATCTGCTGACCTTCCCTCCACTATTGTCCTATGACCCTGCCAAATCCCCCTCTCTGAGAAACACCCAAGAATGATCAATAAATACTAAAAAAAAAAAAAAAAAAGAAAAACTTCATTGTTTGATAATGCTTCAAATTAAAACACAAAAACATTTCTGTGATGTGAAAATATCATTATTGTGGAAAATTAGAGAATAAAGAGAAAACAAAAAAATTAAAATATGTTTCTGCCATGAGGGATAATTACCAATAATATATTATCTTTTTTGTATATATACATTTATATATAAAATATTTTTTCAACAATAGGAATACACTGTTTATACCGGTTTATAATCTTTGACCTGACTTTATCAAACTAAGCTCGAAGTATTAGTGAAACTGGTTTTACTTTCATAGAACTCTTCATCGTCTATTTTGGCCTGTGGTTTGCCTGATTTTTGACGCTCTGACAATCTAATTCCCTCTGTTTTCTGTCTTCAGAGAATCTTTTAAAATTTCCAGCATGCTAACTGAATTCTTATTTTCCGGTGGAGTTAAGTTTTCAAACATTAAAGAAAAAGTTGTCAAGCCTTAGGCACATATATGTGAAAATGCCTGTGACATGTCTTAGATCCCAGCAGATATTTCTAAATATCATGCCCACACTTTTGTGATATAAAGCAAAATGATGACCAGTACCAGGAGATACTTTACCAATGTTTTCTTTATCAGTTCTACCTCCCTCCGAATATGAAATAAACTCTTCCCCTTTTCTCTATACCCAGCCCTTCTGTTTCCAGCTCTGCAAGCCTCAGGGAGACAATTTCTTAAGCCACACTTCTTTCCTTTGCCTAGGAAGCAAATAAACTACGTTTTGTTTTTATTTCTAGTAGTCTTTGTTTTATTATTTAATATTAAGTGTATAGATTCTTTGACATTCAAAGGATTTGAAGGAAGCAAGAGGGTAGAAATTTATATTCCCAGTCTTGATCCAATTTCTCCAAATTGAAGCTTTGTCTTCAGGAATACATAACTTATACAATTAAATGTATAATTTTATAGGGGATGTATTAAAATACCAATGAAATGAAATGCTGAGATATATTTTACTTTTCCAATTTTAAGGTCCATTCCATCTGCATATAATCCAAAATCTAATTTCCACTTTTTATTCTAAAACAGGCATATTTTTTGACATATATGAAGGACAGATCACTGCAATACTTGGGCATAATGGAGCTGGTAAATCAACACTGCTAAACATTCTTAGTGGATTGTCTGTTTCTACAGAAGGTGAGAAAACAGTTTTATAAAGTAAGTTGGCTGAAAAAGCAAGTTGTAAATTGGTTTGATTATGTAAAAAATGTTTCTCTAAATTGGACTTGTTACACAGTTGAATAATTTAGAGCAGGAAATATTGATTTCATATGCACATAAATTCATGAAAACATTTGTATCTCTATTCCACTATTATTTGACATTCCATGTATATTTTGCATTGCTGTGGACACAGATATTTACGTTAACAGTAATCTGAATTATTCAATGTATTAATTATGCAATTGGAAAATGTGAAGTTTCTTTAATAAAAACAAGTTTTTTGAACAAAATCTAAATACTAACATATATTATCACTCTGCATAGAATTAACATTCTGGCAGTAAAGCCTTTTAAATTTCTATTTATAGGATCAGCCACTATTTATAATACTCAACTCTCTGAAATAACTGACATGGAAGAAATTAGAAAGAATATTGGATTTTGTCCACAGTTCAATTTTCAATTTGACTTCCTCACTGTGAGAGAAAACCTCAGGGTATTTGCTAAAATAAAAGGGATTCAGCCAAAGGAAGTGGAACAAGAGGTACAGGAACACATTAAGATTGATGGCTTTGGAAATAATTTACTTTTGACTATATATTTTTTTTGTTCAGCTATTACTCTACTCTTTGATAGGTAAAGCTTAATCAACGAAGTTCTAGACTAAATCCTTTTCATTTTTAGAGAGTAAAAACTCCTTAAAGTAAAATATTTGATATTGTTAACACAGAGTTTTCTTTGATAGGTAAAAAGAATTATAATGGAATTAGACATGCAAAGCATTCAAGACATTATTGCTAAAAAATTAAGTGGTGGGCAGAAGAGAAAACTAACACTAGGGATTGCCATCTTAGGAGATCCTCAGGTGAGAGAAAAAATATATTTTTACAATTAATTTAGATTGAAGGATATACAACTATTATTAAAGTCCAACTTCTACTGTAATTACCAAATGTGAGGGAAAATTTATAATAAAGTACCATGCAAGCTTGTTAGGGATCTGGTGGAGGACTGTATTTGAGTCTAGAAATCATACTTGTTTTCATGGTGCTTTCTGAAGATCCTCACTGTGAAGAGGAAGATGCTTTCATACGTTTCCTCCTCTGTAGGTTTTGCTGCTAGATGAACCAACTGCTGGATTGGATCCCTTTTCAAGACACCGAGTGTGGAGCCTCCTGAAGGAGCATAAAGTAGACCGACTTATCCTCTTCAGTACCCAATTCATGGATGAGGCTGACATCTTGGCTGGTGATTCTTGGCTTCTTTATTCCAACTAGTTATTTAAGGATTTAACATGAGAGTTATTTTTCATAGCCTGTTTTCAAAAGAAGAAAATCTTGTTTGCAGTTTATTTGCAGAAGCCCATTTCAAGCCTCCACATGCCATTGGCTACAACAGGTCACATGGGGTGTAACCCTGCAAAGTTACATGGCAAAGTATGTGGACAAAGGAAGAGGTGAAGAATCAGGCCATCCTTGGAAAGTTTTGAGGCACTGGATTAGCTATGGGGAATGCAGTGAATTTCTGAGGCCTGTTTCACAATAGGCATGGGGATTAGAAATGATACTGCACCCAGGGGCTTAATGATATTACAGTTGTATTGATATTACAAATTTCATTCAGTGTTTTAGTATCCAAAGTAGAGAATATACCATATAAGGAATTACTCTTCACATAATTTTTTGAATCTTCCTTTCTACTCAGATAGGAAAGTATTTCTGTCTAATGGGAAGTTGAAATGTGCAGGATCATCTTTGTTTCTGAAGCGAAAGTGGGGTATTGGATATCATTTAAGGTATGTATTCTAGGTGTAGTTATTTTTAAATGAGCATATTAATATGAGGGTGACATTTTGTAGAAGCCTTTAGAAATATAAGAAAGGCAACTTAACTTCTGGTAGAAACTGTTTTGCAATAAACAGCTCAAAATGTCTTCCTCATTAACATTTCCTTTCTTGGTTATCTCTTGGTTTTAAGCATGCTAATTAAAAAACAAAGTATACTTCTTAATACAACTTTTTTGTTTGTTTGTTTGTTTGTTTGTTTTTTTGAAGACACAGTCTCGCTCTGTTGCCAGGCTGGAGTGCAGTGGCTGCAACCTCCAACTCCCTGGTTAAAGCGATTCTCCTGCCTCAGCCTCCCGAATAGCTGGGATTACAGGCATGCGCCACCATGCCCAGCTAATTTTTTGTATTTTTAGTAGAGATGGGGTTTCACCATGTTGGCCAGGATGGCCTCGATCTCCTGACCTCGTGATCTGCCTGCCTTGGCCTCCCAAAGTGCTGGGATTACAGGCATGAGCCACCGCGCCCGGCCTATACGACATTTTTAAGCCAATATTTGTATAGAAAAAAATTATCTTTATGTCCTCAATAAGCCATTGTTTACTTTTAGCAAAACAATTTGGCCTAAATTTCTGTAGTTATATTCCAAATCTAATTGATAGAATGGCAGAATATCACATGGGAACATTTTAGAAAGCATCAAATACTCACAAACAAGCTCTGCAAATAGAAGTTGTTGACATTAAGAGAAACCACTTAATGCATAGAAAGCAACTGTTTATTAAAAACCTTATGAATTTTCCAGTTATTCAGAAGCAATGTTTCATGTATCTTATATCCTATCATGATTGTTTTTTATGTATATCACACATGTAGCACAATAATGATAGTTTTATATATGTATATATACACACACATAAAATAACTTTTATACACATGTATTTGCATGTGTGTATGTGTGTTTGTGTATGTGTGTATGTATGCTAAAATGTCACTGTGCTTTAGTTACATTTAAAGGAATTGGTGTTGATATGTACTATAATTTTTCCATTTGAAATAATGCAAAATAGGCTACCAATTAGCACTTTGAAGTTGAATTAGCAATTTGAAGTGGAGTATCTGATTTGCAGGAACCAATTACTAGAGTTAAGTAGAATATGCCTGTAATACATATAAGCTGTTTAATAGAAAACTATCTTTTCATGAGTGGTGGTGTTGGAAAAGAATTCAAGAGACTTATGGCTCTTTTGAAATAATAGTTTACACAGGAATGAAATGTGTGACACAGAAAAAATCACATCCCTTATTAAGCAGCACATTCCTGATGCCAAGTTAACAACAGAAAGTGAAGAAAAACTTGTATATAGTTTGCCTTTGGAAAAAACGAACAAATTTCCAGGTAACTTACTGTGTAATCACATAGAATATATGTAAGTGTTCACGATTGTGCTGACTGCATTTTCTGTTGTTCTATGAATCGAGTTCTAAAGCTTATACAAATGAAAATATTTATTCATAAGTAATCTGTTCCTATTTCCAATATGATGATCTATGTTACCAGGGACGTATTATAGCAACTAAAATTTCCATGAATATAGAAACCCCGATTTGCACTCTTTGTCAAAATTAAACTTTGAAATATCTCTTTTCTGAAATAGCAGTTTCTGTTAGAAATACAGATGAAATGAGACTTTATCTTTTAAAATATATGTAAGCAGTTCAATAGAGTCTTTGAAAATTATAATAATTTTATTATATATATAAAATGGTTAGTATAGAAAAGTTAGAAAATACAAAGGATAAGGTATAACTTAATAAATTTTTAGATAGACATACAGATACATGCTTATACAAACACACACAGCAATAATGATACAAGAATTTTAAAGTTTATGAAACAAAATGGAAATGTAAAATATTAAAACTGATTTGAATGACAAGAGAATATCTTACAGAAAAGGTTTCCTTGGATTATTGTGATTGCTTTAATATGAAAACATTTGTAGACATCTATTTTGAGTAATATTTAGAAATTAGTATTTTAATATACTCATTGATAATTTTAATTGCGTTGACTTATTACTATTGGCTTTTTAGATCTTTACAGTGACCTTGATAAGTGTTCTGACCAGGGCATAAGGAATTATGCTGTTTCAGTGACATCTCTGAATGAAGTATTCTTGAACCTAGAAGGAAAATCAGCAATTGATGAACCAGGTATAAAAATGTGTGTCTAGCAGAAAATTAAGAAAAAAAAGAGAAGAGAAAAAGATGATGTTCTAATTCATATTTGTAGATTTTTATGTGGATTTCTACCTATAATATGCATTAGATAGAAAATAGCATTGTCCACTAGATAGAAAATACTAGCATTGTCCAGTATTATAATCATTTTATATCGAGTATAATCAGCCTTGGTGCTAGGCAAATTGCTTTCCAACATCTGTCTGCTTCCCATGTCAGTGACAGGCACATCTCTTTGCAATGACCACTTCTTCCTTATTATCAAAAGCTCTCTGCTATAGCGATGAATTCTGCTATTGCCTCTTACTTGCCATTCCTTATAAAAATGTGCTCTTAATTAGCTAATAAACTAATTCTAATTAATGTATTAATAAGAAGTAATAAAATAAGATGTTATTTCCTTAGTTTACTTTGTAATAAAAATTAGAAGAATTTAGGAGGCTACTATACATAGACCAACGGAACAAGTTAGAGAACCCAGCAATAAAGCCACAAACCTACAGTCATCTGATCTTCAACAAAGCCAGTGAAAACAAACAATGGGGAAATGACTCCCTATTCAATAAATGGTGCTGGGATAACTGGCTAGCCACAGGCAGAAGATTGAAACTAGAGCCCTACCTTTCACCCTATACAAAAATAAACTCAAGATGGATTAAATACTTAAATGTAAAACCTAAGACTATAAAAACCTGAGAAGAAAACCTACAAAATACCATTCTGGACATTGGTCCTGGCAAAGACTTCATGATGAAGACTCCAAAAGCAATTGTAACAAAAAGAAAAATTGACAAGTGAGACCTAATTAAACTAAAGAGCATCTGCACAGCAAAAGAAACTATCAACAGAGTAAACAGACAACATACAGAATGGGAGAAAATATTTGCAAACTATGCACCCAACAAAGGTATAATATCCAGAATCTATAAGGAGCTTAAATCAGTAAGCCAAAAACAACCCCATTAAAAAATGGACAAAGGACATGAACAGATACTTCTCAAAAGAATACATACATGCAATCAACAAGCATATCAAAAATGCTCTGTATCATGAATGAATAGGGAAATGCAGATCAAAACCACGAGATACCATCTCACACCAGTCAAAATAGCTATTATTAAAAAGTAAAAAAATAACAGATGCTGATGAGGTTGTGGAGAAAAGGGAATGATTATGCCCTGTTGGTGGGAATGTAAATTAGTTCAGCCACTGCAGAAAGCAGTCTAGAGATTTCTCAAAGAACTTTAAATAGAACTATCATTTGACCCAGCAATCCCATTACTGAGTATATAGCCAAAGGTATATAAATCATTCTGTCATAAAGACATATACAGATACGTTCATTGCAGCACTATGCACAATAGCAGAGACATGGAATCAACCTAGATGCCCATCAGTGGTGGACTGGATAAAGAAAAGGTGTTACATGTACACTATGTAATACCACGCAACCATAAAGAATGAGATCATGTCCTTTGCAGCAACATGGAGTAAGCTGGAAGCCATTATCCTAAAGAAATTAACACAGGAACAGAAAACCAAATACCATATGTTCTCACTTACAAGTGAGAAGTAAACATTGAATACACACGAATACAAAGAAGAGAACAACAGACACCAGGGCCTACTTAAGTGTGGAGGATGAGAATTGAAAAATGACCTAGTGGGTATTATGCTGATTACCTGGATGACAAAATTGTCTGTACACCAAACCCCCAAATCCCCATGACACGCAATTTACTCATGTAACAAGCCTGCACCTAAATGACACACAGTTTACCCATGTAGCAAGCCTGCACCAAAAATAAAAATTGGAAAGAAAAAAAAGAATTTAGGAGGCTACTAGATACCAGCCATTGTACTCAGTCCTTGAATTATATTGTTTTAAATTCCCATAATAACATCAAGCTGCCCATGAGAAAACTGATATTTGAAGTTGTGTGATTAGCCAAAATTATACAGTAAATGTGTGGTATATGTGGGACTCAAACAGGAGGCCTTTCCATGAACTTTCCATCATTTGAAAGCACAATGTCTTGAACTCGTTACTGAGATGTCAATCATCAGTGTTGAACTAATCCTGTAGGGGAAATTCCAGATGACAGAGGAGGCCTGTTGGAAACTCAGCTACATAAATTTGTCTTTGTGCTTCTGCATAAAACTTGCTCTGCAAAAGTATCCATTAGTGAAGAGCTACTGTTATTGGTATGAAAGAATAAATGCTTGTTAGGAAGCCTTAATCATCCTCAAAAATTAATTTACTGTCTCATTGGAACTGAATCCATTACATATGTTTGAAGGAAAGATTTTTAACGTAAATTTTGATTATGGATATCAGTAGCTTAACTTGTTGGAAGTGCTGTTTCAAATAGTCTAACATCATTTTCAAAGTTTTTAAAGAGAAAGTTCAGATAACATAGCCTATTAAAATGTTTTATTACATGATTGTAGATTTTGACATTGGGAAACAAGAGAAAATACATGTGACAAGAAATACTGGAGATGAGTCTGAAATGGAACAGGTTCTTTGTTCTCTTCCTGAAACAAGAAAGGCTGTCAGTAGTGCAGCTCTCTGGAGACGACAAATCTATGCAGTGGCAACACTTCGCTTCTTAAAGTTAAGGCGTGAAAGGAGAGCTCTTTTGTGTTTGTGAGTATCAGATTACTTTATATCTATTTGGTCAGTATATGAAAAAACATTCAAATATTAAGAAAGTAAATATATTAATTTATTCATTCATTTAACAGTTTTTTTGTATGTTTACCTATCCTGCTGTTACTGAGGAAAAGGGCCTGACTGCCTCATGTGCTAGAAGCCAATACTGTGACACTGGATTTTTGAGGAAAGAAAAGGTTTTTATTGCTAGTTGACTCACAAGGAGACAGGAGACCAGCTCAAATCTGTCTCCCTGTGCTGACTTTAAGGCAGTAATTTTATTAGCAAAGGTTTAGGGGGTGGGTCCTGGGATTAGCATGGTAGAAGAAAAGGAGAGGTCTGGAAAGTCCTCAGGCATGTACAGATATCTCTTCATGCCTCCTCATGTATCCCTTGTGCAAATTCAAGCGCAGTTGGTATGAAATATATGGTGGAAATTCAGGCTGTGAAGTCGGCAGGATGATTCTGGACCGACTGTAATTGGCCATATTGGTTTCAGCTGATTTCAGCCAGTTTTATTATCTTACAAGCTGAGGGAGTTTCAGTGTTTCAGCAAATTGTTTCTTTTTTTTTTCTTCTTTCAATCTGACACCCTACAAACTCAATAATTTCTGCTAGTCATTGATTTCTTTAACTCTTTGGGGCACAGTTTTACTACTGTAGTGAACAAAATTGATAAGGCCTTTAAACTTGTTCCATTATATCACAAATCTTTATTGAAGCCTGTTATAGTATACTAGGCATTGTTCTAGGAGCTTTGGTTATATTAGTGAACACAAAAGGCACAGATCCCTACTCTAATGGTGTTTACATCTGGTTGGGTGGAAAAGATGAAAAATACTGAATATAAAACTAAATAACTTATATGCCAGGTTATACAAACTAGAGTAGAAAAGGGGATAGGGAGGGATGACAGGAGTTGGAGGTACATTACAATTCTAAATAGGTTTGCTGGTGTTGGTCTTACTGAAATTGTTACGTTTAAGCCAAGATTAGAAAATATGGAGGGTTAATAACAGTTGAGAAACAAAGCATCCATTGGATTTGGCAAAAGGGAAGTTATTAAAGGTTTTAGCAAGAGAAGGTCTGAAAGTAGACAACTCTTTTGCGGTGCTTGACTGTGGAGCGGAGTAGAAAGAGCAGAAGCTAAAAGGCAATGTGAAGTCGGGAAGAAAGTTGATTTTATAATGAATGAGAGATAGACGGAGGGTGGAGAGTTTGGATTCATCGCAATGTTGACAAGGACTGATCTTTTTGTTAGGAGCAAAGATCTATTATCTACTTCAACAGAATAAAAGAATGAGAGGATGACTGAATCTGTGTATGTGTTTTCTTTTCTTTTGGCGGCGATAAGATGAAGGAGTTTCTGTCCTATAGACTCCATTTTTTTTTTCTATGAAATATATGGCTGATAGGGAGAAGGAGGTAGAGTATGAAGTCTGATGGGAAAGTAGTCATTGCAGAGTGGACTCATGGCTTATTAGAGAAACAAAGATTGCTTGGAAGCATTTCACTTGCAATTTGAGTTGGTGGGATGACTTCTAGGATATAAAAATAGTGTTTTAAATATTGCATTTAGTTTCCTGAAAATTAAAATATTTGTAAACTAACAATTGAAGAAAGTTAAAATTTTACTTGCAATTGTGCACATAGCAAGCTTGAGGCTGCAGTGTAAAATAGGGCTTCTTTCTCATCAAAAGTACCCAAGCAGGCAATTTGTGGCCCCTGTTATCTCATAAAATCATTTCCTGTGTTTTCCTGGTAAACCAGCATACCTGCAGAGGATTGCCCCTGGATTCCACCTTTTCTCTTGATGCTCTGTTACCCTTGAATATCTTCCAATGTGATACAAAGTATGTAATTTTTTTGTGCTGATTTTCAGATTACTGTCACTGTATGTTTCATTTTATCTAACTAAACACCACATATGCATGTGGACTTTCCATAGTTAGCACTTATATAGCATCTTTGTGACTTAAATAACCAGAGGAAAATTGCTTCAGACTCATGTTATAATTTTGTTTTACTTAGGTTACTAGTACTTGGAATTGCTTTTATCCCCATCATTCTAGAGAAGATAATGTATAAAGTAACTCGTGAAACTCATTGTTGGGAGTTTTCACCCAGTATGTATTTCCTTTCTCTGGAACAAATCCCGAAGACGCCTCTTACCAGCCTGTTAATCGTTAATAATACAGGTGAGAAATGGGGCTGAAATTTAGTGTGAGTTTTTATTATCAAAGATCTTTAGAAAGCACATACCTGAGAGACAATTGAAAACAAAAATGGTGTCTATCCAGCTTGCTCCATTTTCAAATGAAGGAAACTGATGGGTTAATTTTCTTTTTTAATATTTTTTATTTTGTATTATCTTTATTTCAATAGGTTTGTGGAAAACAGGTGGTGTTTGGTTACATGTATAAGTTCTTTAATGGTGATTTCTGAGATTTTGGTGGACTCATCACCTGAGCAGTGTACACTACACTCAATGTGTAGTCTTTTATCCCTCAACCCCGTCCCACCCTTTCCCAAGTCCTCAAAATCCATTGTATCATTCTTATGCCTTTGCACCTTCATAGCTTAGCTCCCACTTATAAGTGATAACATATGATGTTTGGTTTTCCATTCCTGAGTTACCTTCACTTAGAATGATGGTCTCCAACTCCATCCAGGTTGCTACAAATGTCATTACTTCATTTCGTTTTATGGATTAGTAGTATTCCAAGGTGTGTGTGTGTGTGTGTGTGTGTGTGTGTGTATTTAAAAAGTTATATATATGTATGTGTGTGTGTGTATATATATACACACACACACACACACACACATATACATATATATATAACTTTTTTAATCCACTTGTTGATGGATGGGCACTTGGGCTGGTTCCATATTTTCACAATTGTGAACTGTGCTGCTATAAATGTGTGTGCAAGTATCTTTTTCATATGACTTCTTTTCCTCTGAGTAGATGCCCAGGAGTGGAATTGCTGGATCAATCGGTAGACTTACTTTTAGTTCTTTAAGGAATCTCCACACTGTTTTCCATAGTGGTTTTACTAGTTTATATTCCCACCAACAGTGTAAAAGTGTTCCCTTTTCATCACATCCATGCCAACATCTATTATTTTTTGATCCATCTTCAGGTCTCGCAGCCGTGGGTACCAGCACCTGTTCTGGTGGAGGTAGCAGGGGAGTGAAGTGGACTCTGTGAGGGTCCTTGGTTGTAGTTTTGTTTAGTGTGCTGGAACAGTGTTGGTCAGCCTCCAGCCTGGAGGTGGCACTTTCAAGAGAGCATCAGCTATGGTAGTATAGGGAGGATGCAAGCTTGCCCTAGGGTCGCCTGGATAAGTATTCAGGTTTCTCAGGTGGTGGGTCAGGGCCATAGAACTTCCAAGAGATTATGTTTACCAGGGCGGGTGGAGAAAGACCAGCAGGTGAGGGCAGGGTTAGGCACGTCTGAGCTTAGACTGTACTTGGACAGGGCTTGCAGCAGCTCCTGTGGGGCATGGCCGATGGAGTTATGTTCCCAGGGAGATTATGGCTGCTTCTGCTGCATCGTACAGGTCGCTAGGGAAGTAGGGGAAAGCCGGCAGTGACAGGCCTCATTCAGTTCCCACACAGCCCGCAAAGTGGTCTCAATGCCCCTACAACAGAACTGAGTTTGTTTCCAGGCAGCTGGTGAGCAGGACTGAGAACTCACCCCATGCTACAAGACTCCCTTTGAGAAAGCAAGCAGGGCTCTCCGGTTATGTGCCTTCCCCCTGCCATGGCTTCTGTGCTTGAATCTGCACTCCCTGATCATTCCTTCCCCAAGATTCTGTCCAGGAAACTATGCATTTGGTTAAAATTATTACAAAGTTCAGCTGGAAGTTTCCTTCTTCCTGTGGTCTTTCCCCAATTCCACTGGCAGCCCTCCCCAAGGACCCCTCTGAGACAAAGTCAAAAATGGCTTCCCTGGGGGCTGAGAGTGCCCACAGGGTTCCTCCCACTGCTTCCTCTACCCCTATATTTCGCTTGGCTTTCTAAATTCGTCTTAGCTCCAGGTAAGGTAAAATCCTCCCGTGATCTCAACCTTCGGATTCCCCAGTGAGGATGTGTGTTTGGGGACACACATTGCCCTTTCACACCGAGGGCACTCAGTTTTTCAGCTGTCTCATGGAGCCTGCAGCTGCAAGCCGCCTCTTTCAAAGGATCTGTGGATTCTCTCCCTGATGGGTCCTTTTAAATCCAGAGCTCCCTTGGTGCGGGGGTGGTTGATTCAGATGTGGAGGCTGCATCATAGCTTGACTTCTCCCTGTGACCAACTTGACTTCCTTTCCATCTATGATGGAAATCAAGTCAAGAAAAATAATGGGCACAATGGCAAATATCAAGTTAACTTAATTCCATAAAGATGTTTTGAATGGGTTACTAGTACTTTAAATATCATGGCAAGGTTAGTGCCATTTAAGGTTGACAGGATCACTAGAACAAGCCTGGGTCATGAGGTATATTTTGTATGTATTATTCATAATTACAAATATTACAGGGTTCTGGTAAAGTTTATAAAAGTCACTCCTAGCAAATTTTCTTCCTGTGAGAAATGCAATCTTATTTTCATAAACTCTTTTCACCTGGTGAGAATTATAAGATAAATGAATATATTTCTGAAAAGAATAAAGGAGTCCGTCACATTGAAGATAGTAAATGGAACTTAATGTGGTAGCATCAGAATGAATAGTATTGTACTCCTAAAGAGCAAGGCTCTTTACTAAGCTATTCTGGGTTTTTCTTAACACGATTGGCAATCATTATTATTTTAAGCTTTGACTTTGATTTTCTTGCTTTTTTTTTTTTTTTCTTGTTGCCTTCCTTCCACTATGTTAGGATCAAATATTGAAGACCTCGTGCATTCACTGAAGTGTCAGGATATAGTTTTGGAAATAGATGACTTTAGAAACAGAAATGGCTCAGATGATCCCTCCTACAATGGAGCCATCATAGTGTCTGGTGACCAGAAGGTATGTTTGCTTCTATGCACTGTTTTTTTTTGGTTTTTTTTTGTTTTTTTTGCCACGTCCTAATACTTAGAACTATAGGAAACTTAAGTATGTTTTCTAAATTGGCATCATATTAGAGGAGGCTTGAAACTTTCTTTGTCACATAAAATATAAATATTTGACATCTTTTCATGTTAGTAAATGTTAATCCATTTCATTTACAAAACAAGTCACTTGAATTACAAAAATAATGCATTCTTGTACCAATTCAAAGAAGGCAGAAGTGTCAAAGAAAAATTAATAGTCTCCTTCTCATTCTAATTCCACTCTGGTAATATACAAAGTATACAATAAATATATTTACTATAAGAATTTATAACTTATATTTGTGTACTTTTTTTCAAGGATTACAGATTTTCTGTTGCGTGTAATACCAAGAAATTGAATTGTTTTCCTGTTCTTATGGGAATTGTTAGCAATGCCCTTATGGGAATTTTTAACTTCACGGAGCTTATTCAAATGGAGAGCACTTCATTTTCTCGTGTAAGTAGAGTATTCGACTTATATAAGAGGCAACACAGCAGAGGGATAAAGGATGAGGGCTCTAGAGCCTACCATGTGAGTTCAAATCTTGTTTCTGCCACTTAACAGCAAGTTTCTTAGCTACTCCTTGCCTTTGTGTCTTCATCTGCAAAGTAGGGAGCGTAATAGTACCTACTTTATAGAATTATTGTGAAGATTAAATGAATTTACTGAGTACCTAGAACATAGCATGGCATACATATATATATATATTTACATATAAATATATATACACATTTAAATTTATTCAATAACTACTTCCTGAGTGTACTATTTTCTGGTACTTCTAGATGTTGAGAATACAGCATGAACAGAATAGACAAAAATCTCACCCATATGGAGCTTACGTTCCTATAAAGGAAAGAGGAAACATTCAAATACATGTTTGCTATTACTTATTCTGAAAGATCAAGAATCTTTCAAGTACTGTTATGTTTAGTCTAATTAAATTTTTAAAATTCAAAAGTTTTATGGAAAAATTTAAATATATAATTATTTACTTAGTAAATTAGATGTAACCTATCACTTCCTATCCCTTATCCTGATTTATTTTTTCCATTACATTTATTACCACTTGGTATGCTGTAGAGTTATGTTTTATGGCTGGCCTCACCCCTCTAGTTTAAAATCTTGTCTGATTAAGAATCACAGTCCAACACAGAACATTAGAAGAGCCAAGATCCAAAAGGACACTGCAAAATTTAAAATAAAAGAGAAAAAAATCATAGGACTGTTGAAAACTCATAATTTTGACTTTGGTTTACCATATACAACTTACTAGGTACTCAATGCGTATTTACTTAAATCAGTGAATGGATTTGGTTGGAAATGAAGAATATCAGAGATATCTTAAACCTAAATCCTTAATTTTATGTCAGAGTGTCAGATTTCCCTGGAGAGTTAGATGAATATAAGACATATACGCTGATTAATGCAAATGCAAAAGAGTGTGTATGTATGTATACACACCCACATATGTATATGTATATCTCCACCAAAGGGATTTATGATAAAATATGGTCCAATTCTAAAATTATGATTTTTTAACAGTTCTATTGTTCTTTGTCATTTAAAATTCTGCAGTGCTTTTTTTTGGTTTGGCTTCTTTATGTTTTATAACTTGGGGTGTGAAGTGCAATTTTTGATCAGATGCAATTTAGTTATTCTTTCTAAATTGTCAAATTCTTAACTGGTGTGTTTGATTATGATAGATAAAAAAGGGAAAAAATTATAGAAATCATGTGGATGTTAGCAAGAATATGCATAGTGGTTTTAGATAATGAAATTTTATTGGAAAATTGCATAATAAGAAATTAATACCATATAATGCAAACTCTAGTTTTCTGCGAATGAGATAGGGTGATTTAATTGTAAGTAGAGAAACTATCTAATATAAAACAATACAGTGTCTCTCTGGATGGTAATAGCAATGTGCTACCAGTTCAGAGCAAAAATAAGAAAAATATAATCAAAACTTAGTTCTGGTAATTTCTCAAGAGTGAGATCTAATATAATTTCATCTATTTCCCAGTACTTCCAGAGTTAATCATGCCTTTATTTACCCTTAATTGTTTACTTTTAATATAGAATCGATGTTGTCTTCCCTTTTTTTTTAATCAATCTCCTAACATCCTCCAGGACTTTTCAGCAGATGCTTTAATGCTTAAAGACCCTCCTAATTTATTTTTCAGTGGAACTGAGTTCAGACTCAGTTTGTCATTGTTTTTCAAATATGAACTTCTTGAAAGTAATAATTATACTTGACTTATTTCTAGCACAAAGGATGATGCATTGCACGGAGCAGAAGCTCTATAAATATTTGTTGAATGGATGAATGAGTGGGTAGACTGGATAACTGGTTATGCTGTGCACCGTTTGTTACCATTATGGCACAGCTTTCTCTTCTGCAAGATGGGAACTGCAAGCAGATAATCTGTAATAGTCCTGTCTTTAAAATTTTTTTATTTTAATACTTGCTTTTTCTACCTCATAAAGTAGACGTAACATTCAACTAAGATATTATTTTTAAAAGTGTTTAATGTATCGCACAACCATGAGCCATTATTATCATTACTGTGGAAGCATGTTACAGTTAGCCTTTGTCGGACAAACTCTTCATTACTGTAAAGACATAAAAATTATCTTGCAACTTTTAAGTAATATGATTTAAAGGGCTTTCGGATTTTTCAGAATTGAATGTATGCTGGGTTTACTGAGTGCAAACCACTGTAGTTCACCCTGCATTTAATAAAAAAGCTTTCTCTGTAGGGAAAATAGGTCTGGCTGAGCATGAGCCAGCTCTGGAGGAAGAAAGATGGTATTTGGGGTTTTCCCCTCAATGGTAGCAGGAAGCTTGCCAGGGCCTCTGGGTGTTGCTAAAGAGAATTCCGTAGAGAATATCAAGATAAAGAAATTCTGCTCATGCAGAAAGTAGCATGGGTTGACCTCCTTATCACCTGCAGTCTGATAGAGGGTACCTTTCCTTTTGACTGTTCTGCTTCTTCCTTCCTCCTTTCTTTTCCCCAGTGTTTTGGGGAATGTTATGTTAATCCTTAGGTGGAGTAAATAGAAATGGAGCTGAGGAAAGAAGTTACTCTTGAGGCTTTTGCTTCAGATGCAGTATGACACACATTTATCTTTTCCAGGTAGCCTTTCACCCTGCACAGAGCTGAATGGGTCTCATGTGGCCAGTGGGCCCCAGAGGGACCCATCAGTTACCTGAGTTTAGTTTCTGAATCTGCTTACTAAGATTATTACTCATGAACTCACAGAATATTTGTCTTAGCATATTACCTCCAGACATCAAATACATTCGTTGTTGATTGCTCCAACATGTTAGGTAGGTCTCTTACATGGGGTTCTATTTTTCCCTTTTGACGAGGTTCAGATAGAGGTTTTTTTTTTGTTTGTTTTGTTTTTTTGTTTTTTTTTGAGATGGAGTTTTGCTCTTGTCACCCAAGCTGGAGTGCAATGGTGTGATCTCGGCTCACTGCAACCTCCGCCTCCTGGGTTCAACAGATAGAGCTCTTTAATCTACTTTTTTGCTAAACCGAATCAGAAAACAGAGGAGATGATGCATAGATACATAACCTTCTTCTCTTGCAATGTATATAAATCTAGACAAAATTAATGTTCGGAAGGCTTGTCAAGGAAGCAATTTGGATATTAAATTGTCTCCTGTGGATCCAGGGAAGGTGAGTTCTCTCTTAGTCCCTCATGAATAACTTTTAAAATATTCAAATGGAAATTGTGTTTCTTTAGGAAAGTTAAGAATTTCAGTCTTTTTCTAGTTGTTGCATTTTCACCAGAAACAGGTATTTTCTTTTTAAAGAAAACAATAATTATTCATTCTTTTACTCATGCATAACCAAACAAAATGATCAATTATAGTAAGAATAGGGATTAGTATAGTATATTTTACTGCTCACCCATTGTGGAGGATAATTTATTTTTATTTTCAGTCACAATTTCCCTTTTACTCAGATTTAATAACATCCTTTCTCAGGGACACCTCAAATCTTGGGGCTGATTTATATGCCAGCAGAAGTCATAGACCAGAGGTGCTTCCACTTTAACATACACTAGTATCACCTGCTGGGCTTGTTAAAACAGATTACTGGACACCATCCCCAGAGATTCTGATTTAGTAGATCAGATGTGAGGTCTGAGAACTTGCATTTCCAGTAAGTACCGGGTGACGTTGATGCTGCTGGTCTGGGACCACACTTAGAGAACCACTAGCATAGAAGAGTCACTATCTCCACAATTCTGTGAGGCTCACTTGCGTCTAGATTTGGCTGTACATTGCCTCTGATTGCTGAAGGTGTCTTCTAAAGCTGTCATGACTTCTCTTAATAACCTCATTTTCCCACTATTTTAAAATTATGCCCTTTTTGTTTCTTATTATCCTTCTAGACTTTGAAATGTGTACTTCACTAAGCTACGTGTCATCTGTTCCTTAGCTACTTGTTGGTTCTTGCCTGATATTGCTTCCTGGTCTGTTTTAAATTCTAGTGCTTTCATCTTAAAAACAACTATTCTTAGTTATTGAGCACCTCCCATATAGCAAATGCTACATGTAGCAAATAAAAATATTATTATTTCACTATATATATATATAACATATATATATATATATATTTTTTTTTTTTTTTTTTTGAAATGGAGTCTCATTCTGTCACCCAGGCTGGCATGCAGTGGCAAGATCTCAGCTCACTGCAACCTCCACCTCCTGGGTTCAAGTGATTCTCCTGCCTCAGCCTCCCAAGTAGCTGGAATTACAGGCATGCACCACCATACCCGGCTAATTTTTTTGTATTTTTAGTAGAGATGGGGTTTCACCACGTTGGCCAGGCTGGTCTCAAACTCCTGACCTCAGGTGATCCACCCGCCTCAGCCTCTCAAAGTGCTGGGATTACAGGTGTGAGCCACCACATCTGGCCTCACTATACATTATTTAATTTAGTTCTCACTAATGCCTCTGAAGTTGATATACTTAAGTTATAAATAGAAATATACTAAGGAACGTAATTGGACATTCACAAGTCAAGTTCTAATATGGCATTGGAATCCCAATGGTGAAGGATTCAAATGCCTATATTAGAACTCTGCCTAATAATGACTTTCACTGGTTAGCTCTGACCTTCTGTGTATCTGGACCCCCTGATCCTCCTACCATATATTAATATTCAAATGCCAGTCAAGGACCAACAGAAGCTAACAAAAGTGTCTGGACCAGCATACAGGAAGAGGAATAAGTGACAAAAGAAAAACTCATGTGAATTTCATAGAATAGTAGCATTAAATGGCAGATTGAAAGAAGTATAAAAAAGAGGTATGCATGTAAGAAGACAATTTTGTAGCTTAGGAAATTGAAACAGTCACAAAACTACTGATAGAAATGGGGAAGTTGAAAAGGAAAGTTTATTTGGAGGAGATGCTAGTATTAGTTTTTGACTTAGTATATTAGATAAAGCAGAGTATACCCAAGTAGATACTTTCTGTAGAATATTTTAAAAGCAAGGAACCCAGAGAAGTAGATGGAGATAATGCATACTTTGGGAATCATTAGGATGAAGTTGAGGATATGCAGAAGAGAGATGGGGGAGCAAAGAAAAGCAGAGATTTAGGGTAGCAAAATTAAGCAGTACACCCAAGTAGAGAGTGCAGGATATAAAGGAGAAAAAAGGTATCTCTTTAGTTGGACCCAAACTGCTTGTACACTCTAAGTACAGTAGTCCCCCTTTATCTATGATTTTGCTTTCTGCGGTTTCAGTTACCCTTGGTCAACCATGGTTGAAAAATATTAAATAGAAAATTCTAGAAATAATTTATCAGTTTTAAATTGCACACTGTTCTGAGTAGCATGATGAAGTCTTGTCCGATTCTTAGAGAGGAAAACAGATATGTGCATCAACCAATGACATTGGCCCATTTAATATTAAGCAACAGGATCAACAACATGGGTAATATCCTTTCCCAGGGGTGATACTGGGAAGCAGGGATATGGAGTCATAAGTGTTACCCTTCCCTTACACTGATGATTGTGCATTTATTTAGCCCCTGGTAATCTGGTTCTTCCCACATCTTTACTAATACTCTTAGAACAACCTTTTCATTGCTTCTTTTTTGCCCTTCCACCTGCACCTGCATTTATGACAAAAACTTACCTTTTCTGCACTCCTTTTCTTTAGATTTTTTTTGTCATAATAATAATAAATTACAGTGTCTTGAAAAAAACTTAAAGACCCCTCAATGCCTTGACAATTGTTTAATTTAAACAATTTTAGAAGTCAAATTATGTAGGCAGGGAAGATTTGCTCTCTTCTAATTGTATCTTGCACGTAGTTAGGCATAATGCCTAAGCATAAGTCCAGCTTCACAACAATCACTATTAGAGGCCAACTTGGAAATAGGGAACTGGAACAAATGACAACTTAACTCAGTGCTTCAGATATGATAACTGTAGCTCCCTAAAATATCAGATGTAAATGTAAAAGAGAAACTGCTCATGCCCTCTAAGTACAATAGTCCCCCTTCACAGTGATTTTGCTTTCTGATGTTTCAGTTACCTTTGGTCAACTGTAGTTCTAAAATATTAAACGGAAAATTCCAGAAATAAATAATTCATATGTTTTAAATTGCATGCTGTTCTGAGTAGCATGATGAAATCTTGCCCTGTCCTGCTTCCCACCCAGGAAGTGAATCATCCCTTTGTTTGGTGTGTCCACACTGTATATGTTACCCATTAGTCACTTAGTAGCCATTTCAGTTATCAGATTAAAAAAACATATTATGTATAGGGTTTGGTACTATCCAGGTTTCAGGCATCCACTTGGAGTCTTGGAATATATCCCCTGTGGAAACGGGAGACTACCGTATATACATATAAAATTGAGATTTTGAATTTCTTTTATATCATGCTGTTCCTGGGAATGGAACCTGCCACTAAGGTTAACAAAACATGTTTGCTTGTCTCTTTGCTTCTTAAATCAGGTGAATGCTTCTAGAGTTTTTCTTTATTTCCTGGAAACGTATCTTATAATGTTTGTATAATTTGTAACAATTGCAACAGCTTACTGATGTGTTTTCATCTTTCAGGATGACATAGTGCTGGATCTTGGTTTTATAGATGGGTCCATATTTTTGTTGTTGATCACAAACTGCGTTTCTCCTTTTATCGGCATGAGCAGCATCAGCGATTATAAAGTAAGAGGGAGAGAGAGGAAATTAGATTGAGATTGATTTTATTTGACTGTAGTAATTGCAATTTTATTGTTTTATACACACACAGTTGTACTTTGGTTAATGTTTTTACACATACATTACAATCTAATATCAGTATAGATTATAGTAAACACATGATTTCAAAGAGGTCAGAAAGTTTACCATTTAGCACAATAAAATTGCCACAGCTGTAAGGGAAATCATGCTAAATAAACTTCAGGGATGAAGATGTGGTACTGTTTGATCCATGCAGTTATTTCACAGTTCCAAAGGGAATTTAGATTTTTAACTATAGCATGAAATGTCAGACATACAGTGTTTCCAATTATTTAACTACGCTTTAATAAACTGGGCTTTAAAAATATATAGTGTAGTCATCTTCATTAATCTGTATCAATGGGTAAATTAACTTTAAAAATAGCTGAGACTTTTCTGTTGAACCAATAACTACACATTTCCATTGGAGATGCTAGATTTTTAGGAGGATGCTTTTTGTCACACAGACACTATAACATACTATTTCTAAAATTTATTAAACAATTTTTTTTACATAACCACAAAATCTTTTCAAACTAAGATCCCTTCCTCTATCCCTTCTATTCTTTGTCAGAAAAATGTTCAATCCCAGTTATGGATTTCAGGCCTCTGGCCTTCAGCATACTGGTGTGGACAGGCTCTGGTGGACATTCCATTATACTTCTTGATTCTCTTTTCAATACATTTAATTTACTACTTCATATTTCTGGGATTCCAGCTTTCATGGGAACTCATGTTTGTTTTGGTAAGTGATCATTTTTTCCACAAGCCAATTATAATAGTAGAATCAAAATGAAAATTCATTTTCATGAATGTTTTGTCATTAGCAAAAGGCATGTAATATGCAAGAAAATAAGAAAATTGCCTTAGGCAGCTTTATGACCTGATTATCTCCCCTCCTCTTTCCCTCTATGACCTGCCATTTCTAATCTTGCCATTGATCCTCATTATTTGCAGGTGGTATGCATAATTGGTTGTGCAGTTTCTCTTATATTCCTCACATATGTGCTTTCATTCATCTTTCGCAAGTGGAGAAAAAATAATGGCTTTTGGTCTTTTGGCTTTTTTATTGTAAGTATATATACATGCGTGCACATTTATATTAAATTTCCTTGAAGTTTTTTTAAATGCAAATTTAAGTATAAATACTTTGCTTAGAAGAGAATGGAGGGTTTTTTGTTTGTTTTTCTTTTGTACTTTCATTATTGTTGTACCATGTTTATGGGTTCAGAATGTTTTGTTCATTTTATTTCCTTTATTTCCCATTTGTTCTTTGAGGTTTCTTTTTTAGAACTCTGTTTCTTTGGAAAGAAGTAAAATATATGTAGGAACCATGGCATGTAACAGCTGAAAGACTAGATCATTCAGGACATTTCTTCATTTTACAGAGTGGGAAAAACTGAAAAGAATCAGACTTAAACGCAGGCCTCTCAACTCAGTGATGTTTTTCTCTTAAATAATTCTCCTTCCTTAAAAAACAAACAAACAACAAGCATGATAGGGGGCTATATAGATGAATAAAATAAATAAGAAACTGTTTTCTTAATAAATAATTTACTTATTACTTCAGGCATATGCTACTGCATCTCCTTCCCTATCACTAGCTGATATCTTAAGCAGTTACTATAGCTTTCTGACCATTTCAAACATTAAAACAGTCCAATTTTGTTAAGTAAGATTCACTTAAAGAACTAAAAAAAATCTAAAAGGTTGGTCAAGTCCAAATCATAACTTTCTTAAGCAATGTAAAACTCTCTCCCCAGGCTCATCTTAGGCACGCCCTTAGTTTGGGGATCAGCGGTGAGAAAGAGAGCAAGGTCTACACTTTGACTCTCTCTTTTTTTCTTCTTCTTCTTCTGGATTTTCCTTTCTCTTTCTGTGGACAGGGTGAAGGGATTAGGGTAAAAGGACCAAAGTTTTACTTCACTGGAGCTGTTACAGTTACATTGGTTGGCCTTTGTGAGTAGTATTTAAAAGTTGGATTTAGTATAAGCAGGAATATCACAAACACAACCAGTTGGAGAATTCAGTATGTCAGCAGAAATCCTAAAGGCTACTAAATTGCTTCTAAGCTTCCAAATCGCATCCCTGTGACAGCTAATCACATAATTCCTTGGGCCAGTTTTATCAATGGTTGTACTACAATGGTCAAATATCATAACCAAGGGTAATGTCTTCTTAACCATCGGCATTAGTCATTGATCTTTATTTTTTTCTCTTCTAATTCCATTGTAAAGGTAGGCTTGTCAGTTTCACTTTTTAATTTAATCCAATTTTGCTTTGTATAGTTTGAAACTATTTTGTTTGGTGCATTGAAGTCTGGAATGATTATACACCAGCCCTATTTATTCTTATGGTTTTTGGCCATAAAGTCAAATGTGTCTCATATTAATATAGGTACACCAGATTTCTTTTGTTCAGTATTTGCTTGATAAATCTTTTTTGCCACTTGTGTTTACTTTTAACTTTTATTGTTCTTATGCTTTAATGCCTGTCTCTTGTAAAAGAAATATAGTTGGATTTTATTTGTTTTTTAATTCAGACTTAACCTGCTTTTAATTTAATGAGTTTATTGTGATTTTTGATATTCTTGAAGTTACACTATTTTACTTTTTGCTTTGTGTATGTGATTTCTCTTTTTTCTTCCCTTTTTTGTTTGTTTGAATTTGTTTTTATTCCATATTTTTCTTTTTTTTGGTTTGAAAGTCATAATCTATATTTTATTACTTTGTATTAATTTGCTAGGGCTGCCATAATAAAGTACTACAGACTGGGAGGCTTAAGGAACAGAATTATTTTCTCACAATTCTAGAGGTCAGAAGTCCACGGTCAAGCTATTGGCAAGGTTGATTTCTTCTGAGGCCTCTCCCATTGGCTTATAGAGGGCCATCTTCTTCCAGGTCTTCTCATGGTCTTCCCTTTGGACGCGTCTGTGTCCTAATCTCCCCTTCTTATAAGGACAATAGTCACATTGGGTTAGGGACTCCTGCAATGGCATCCTTTAAACTTAATTACCCATTTAGAGACTATTTCTAAATATAGTCATGTTCTGAGCTACTGGGGGTTAAAATTTAAACATATATATTTTGGGGAGGCAAAATTCAGCCCATAACACCCCTGAAAAATTTTTTATGTGCTAAACTTAACAAAGCCTAAAGTTAATAAATATCTTAATTACTTCCAACACCATATTTTGAGGATTTTATTATTAATAATTTCTTACCCTACTTACATGCTATTGTCTAGTGTTTTGGTTTTCTTTTTTTAATCCCTCAAATAAGCATTTTTATTAACATTTTAAGAACTTAAAAAAGATTTGTGTACATTTTAAATCAATCTATTTGTTCACTATTCATACTTGGATTTTAGTCTTTTTTTCCTCCCTTTTGAGATCAATCTTTTTTTTTTTTTTTTTTTGGCTTCCCAAAATGCATCATTTATATATTCCTTTAACAGGTCAGTTAGCTATAAACTCTCGTAGTTTAAAAAAAATCTTTTTTCACCCTCATTCTTAAAACATAATTTAGCTGCTTATGCATTTCTAGGTTGACAGTCATTTTCTCTTATCACTTTGAAAATTCACTCTCTTGTTGCTTACATTTTAACTGTTCAGATGTCTGCTATCAGTCAGTTGCTATCCTTTGCAGAGGCTCTCTCATTGACTAACCTTCTCTGACTTTAGCTTTCATTACAATGTTTCTAGGTGTGATTTTCTATTTATCTTTATTTTTGTATAAATTGGGATGCCTGGAATTCATTTCTGTCTTCAGTTTAGGAAAATTCTCAGCCAATACCACTTCAGATATTGCCTGTCTGACTTAAAGTCTCTACTGAGATAATATTAGCTTTTCATACTATTCTCTACATCTGTTAGCATTTCATTCAAATTTTCCATGTCCTTGTCCTTGCTGCCTTCTGGGGAAGCTTCAGACGTTTCTTCCAATTCACTTGTTTTAAATTCATCTGCATCTAAATTATTTTTACTCATTGACTACTTAAAATTTCAATTTTGTTTTCCAAAACTCTTTTTGGTTCTATTTAAAATATGCTTAGTTATTTCTCCTAATCTTTTGTTACTTGTTATTGTTCTATATTTCATATTTGATTTATTTCAACATTTCATTGAAAACAACATTTCTACTTGTCGTTTGACAATTCTAGTCTCAAAAGTCATCTAGTGCTTATTGCCTTATATGTTTGATAAGTTTTTGTCGGGGAGAGGAGCTCATACTTGGTTGACCTTAAAGTGTGGAACTCCGAAGACTCTGTATTAGGGATGTTTTCATCCCCAAAAGATTTTCACTTACTTTTGTGAGACATGCAGTGTAGAATCCATCTACGATTGTACAAGCCAACTTAGAGTATCATGCCTCAATATGGGATTTACAAGGAATTCCCATCAAGAGGGTTTCATTTTAGTCTCTTAAAGGTCTTTGCAGGGAATGACTTTAAAGAGAACCCAAATCATATCTTCCTAACTCATGGGCTGATATGGGGACTTGTCCTCAGCCCAAGCAGATTTTGTGTTTACTTAATGGTCCAAGGTGGGTTTCAGGCTTTGTTTTTGTCCTTGAAGAATTTCCTCACTTTTTTTTTTTCCCTTGAAACTAGCAGTGTATGTAAGGGACAGTTGTTTCAATTTCCCAAAATTTAATTGTACAGTATGGGTAAGACCCTTTAGGGTATCTGTTACATCATATCTCTACATACAGATGTCTACAACTAACTTTGAGACTGCAGTTTTATAAAGCAGTGAATGCAGAATACAGTTTGTAGCAGATGGAAGAATAAATATAGAATGCAGAAGCAGAAACAGGAAGTGTTTAATTACTCCTTACAAGGCATTGTTGTTGCTATCATTGCTTGCCAGAAGGAATGGTTAATGGAAGACTTCTTTTTTTTTTTTTTTTTTTTGATGAGTAAAACAATATAGATGTGGTAATTAGTGTAGTAAGAAGACAAAAAGGAATGGAATAAAGGTGAAAGAAGCAAGATGGTCAAAGATACATTCTTCACTTGCATTGTTAGATTTACAAAATGTAACGTAATTTTTTTTTTTTTTTTGAGACGGAATCTCACTCTGTTGCCCAGGCTGGAGTGCAGTGGGGCGATCTTGGCTCACTGCAACCTTCACCTCGCGGGTTCAAGTGATTCTCCTGCCTCAGCTTCCTGAGTAGCTGGGACTACAGGTGTGCGCCACCATGCCCAGCTAAATTTTTTATTTTTAATAAAGACAGAGTTTCACCATCTTGGCCAGGCTGGTCTTGAACTCCTGACCTCAGGTGACCCGCCTACCTTGGCCTCCCAAAGTGTTAGGATTACAGGATTGAACCACCGTGCCCGGCCAGAAAATCCAACTTAATTTTTATAGAATACTGAAGATATATTGCTATATATTTTGTTAGAGCAATACCTTTAATAATTACAAATACTATGGCCACGAAATCTTTGAGGAGATTCTGAAGTATACACAATGTTTATAAAATAAGCTGATGAAACCCTGAGCTTATTTCAGTTTATATTGTTTATTCCTTCAGAAAATTTTTCTTGTACATACGGAAGAAACACTGTTTATATGCCTTTTTGATACGTATCATATTTATATATCCACTTGTCCATATCATTATCTCACTGCTTTGCAGTGCTACCTTTGTTATCAATCAAGACTATTCCTGGCCTTTCTGATTTCTTCCATTAATCTGTTTTTCTATTTGTACATCAATACCATGCTGTCTCAATTATGGTAGCTTTATTTGAGAGAGCAAACCTTCCCACCTTGTTCTTTTTTAAGTATCTTGGCTGTTTTTGATTCTTTGCATTTGCGTGCACTTTTTAGAATCTTCTTGTCAAATTCCACAAGAAGTGATATTAATTGGGATTGCATTGAATCTATAAATTACTTTGGGGGAGAAATGATATCTTTACATAGTGAATCTTCCAGTTCACAAATGTCTGCTTCTCTGTTTTAGGCTTTTAGAAACATCTGTTTTGTATATATAAGTTCATGGTATCCAGTACATTATATATTGACTTGATGTATGGACAGTTGACTGATACAATATCCCTTAGGAAAGTATAATGATTAAGAATTTTGGCTCTAGAGTTAGATAGCCCCAGGTTTTAATCCTCAGTGGTCTGGCACTTAGTAGCTATAAGAAATTGAACACATTATTTCAGTTCTTTTGAGGTTCAGTTATTTAAACATCAGAATATATGTATAATAACAGTAGTACTTTCTAGTGTTTTAGGATTGAGATTTTAAAAGAGCATAAACTATTATAGTGCTGGTAAACTGCTCATTAAAATATCTGATAAATAGTAAATGTTCATGAAGTACTCAATAGGAATTATTATCCTCTTCTTCTGTATTAGTCTGTTTTCACACTGCTGATAAAGATATACCCAAGATTACAAAGAGGCTTAATGGAGAACTCACAGTTCCATGTGGCTGGGGAAGCCTCACAATCATGGCAGAAGGCAAGGAGGATCAAGTCACATCTTACATGGATGGCAGTAGGCAAAGAGAGAGCTTGTGCAGGGCAACTCCTGTTTTGAAAACCATCAGATCTTGTTGGTCCCATCCACTATCATGAGAACAGCACAGGAAAGACCTGCCATCATAACTCAGTCATCTCCCACTGGGTCCCTTCCACAACACATGGGAATTATGGGAGCTACAAGATGAGATTTGGTTGGGAGACAGAGCCAAACCGTGTAATCTTCCTTTTCTTCCTCCAATTTTATTCCTGTAACTACAGTAACTATTTAACAAAGTGTTTTGTATCAACTGCACTGTTAATATGCATATTTTTTGATTATTTGGTGAATAAAAACAGAGAAATAGAAATCCTCCTTATTGTTTGCCCTTCCCAATATTTATTCATTCATTCATATTGATTGTATCTTCCTATGTGCCAGATACTTTGCTTGGGATATAACCATGAACAAAGCAAATTTTCTGCAATCAGAGGACTTAAATTCAATGGAATATAAAAGAGAATGATTCCTGTTCAAATCAAAATATATTTGACCCTTGAACAACGTCGGAGTAAGAGGCACCAACCCCCTACCCTCATGCAATTGAAAATTCATGTGTAACTTTTGACTCTCTAAAACTTAACTACTCATAGCCTATTGTTGACTGAAATCTTACTGATAACATAGTTGCTTAACGTGTATTTTGTATATATATATTATATACTGTATTCTCACAATAAAGTAAGCTAGAGAAAAGAAAATGTTATTAAGAAAGTCATAAGAAAGATATATTTACTATTCATTAAGTAGAGGTGGATTATCATTCTTGGTCTTCATTCTTGTTGTCTTCATATTAAGTAGGCCAAGAAGGAAGAGAAGGTAGAGCAGGAGTTGGTCTTGCTGTCTTAGGGGTGTCAGAGGTGAAAGAGGTGGAAGAGGTGGAAGGGGAGGCGGGAGAGACAGACACACATGGTGTAACTTTACAGAAATATATTATAATTTCTGTCTTACTTTTTGCTTTTTTATTTCTCCAAAAATATCTCCATATAGCTCCAATCCTTTTCCCTCTGTTTGCTTTTGTTTCAGTGCCTGTATCATAGAAGATTCCATGTCATAAAATAAGTCAAAAGGAGCCTTGAATAATCAGAATCCTTCTTTCAGATTGTCTAATGTCAATTCTTTTTCTGGCACTGCTTCTTCTACATCTTCTTTCTCATCATCTGGCAATGGAAACCCTCCTTTCCATCAAATTGTCTTGTGTTAATTTCTCTGGTGTGGTGTCTATTAGTTATTGAATTTCTCCAAGATCCAGGTCTTGAAACCCTTCACTCCCCACCCTATTTGCCCTGTCTACAATCTCTTTTTTATTTCTGTGTTTAGTTCTATTGTAAATCCTGTGAAGTCATGCACAACATCTGGACACAATTTTCTTCAGCAGCAATTTATTGTTTCATGCTTGATGGCTTTCACAGCTCTTTCTATAACAATGGCATCTCCAATGGTGGAATCCTTCCAGACTTTCATGATGTTCTCTCTATTGGGTTCTCTTCTATGATGTTGACAATCCTTTCCATAGAGTACTGTGTGTAATGAGCCTGAAAAGTTCTTATGACCCCTGATCTAGAGGTTGGATTAGAGATGTGTTTGGGAGCAAGCAGACCGCTTTGTTGCCGTCAGTGTTGAACTCACATGGTTCTGGGTTAGCAAGGGTGCTGTCCAGTAGCAAAATAACTTTAAAAGGCAGTTCCTTACTGGCAAGATACTTGCTGACTTTAGGGACAAAGCATCCATGGAACTAATCCAGAAAAAGGGTTCTCATTGTCCAGGCCTTCTTGTTGTATAACCAAAAGACTGGCAATTGGTGTTTATCTTTTCCCTTCAAGTCTTGAGTGTTATCAGCTTTTATAGATAATGGCAGTACTGATCATCAACCCAACTGCATTTGCACAAATAGCCTATCCTTTTCTACGTTAAATCCTGGTGCTTGATTCTGTTTTCTACTAATCAGTGTCCTTTGTGGCACTTTTCCCCCCAGAATAGGGAGGGCACTTCCATCTGTATTAAAAATGCGTTCAGGCAGATACACTTACTCTTCAATGATTTTATTAATAGCATCTGGGAGCTTGTCTGCTGCCTCTTGATTGGCGGAAGCTGCTTTCTCTGTTATCTTGACATTTTTTAAGTTAAACCTCTTTCTAAAATTAACAAAGCATCCTTTGAGGGCATTACATTCTCCAGCCTTAGATCTTTAACCTTTTATTTAAGTTGTCATATAATGACTTCACTTTTTCTCAAATTGTATTAAAGCCTATAGGTATAAAAGTTGGATCATCAATGTGAGATTTCAAAGTATTTCAAAAAAAGTGCAAGGTTTTTGTGCCTGCTGGTGTGGCTACAGTGACAGATGCATAAATATCCTTTTCTTATTTTACAATGGTCCTTACACTGGATTTATTTATTTTGAAATGGCAGGCAACTGCAACTGCAGACCCCAATCTATGGTACATATCAAGCAATTCAACCTTTTTTTTTTTTGTAATCTCATGACTTTTCTCTGCTTCTTGGGAGAACTTCTGGAATCACTAGTGGCAATTCCTAGGTCCTACGGTATTATTCAAAGTTTATGGTATTGCACTAAACACAATGAAAGATCTGCAAGAACCATGAGAAGCCACTTTTTACTGAGATATGCCATTTGCTTGAGAATAAGATGATTAGCCTCACACAGCATTTTAAGGGAATATTTACAACACTTGAGCTCATCACAGTAGCAACATGAGGTGACTACAAAATTATTACAGTAGTACAGTGTGTTCTACAGTTAATTTTATGCAGTCATGATTTAATTCTGCATCTTTATGTTTACATTTTTCTTGATTGCTAATGGCAACATGTATGGTATGTAAGAGTTTCTATGCATGTTTTGATATAGTTTAACTTTTCATAATAGATTTGTTTATAGTTTACAGTGGTAAATGACAAAATAGACTAATATCTACATATATTTTATGCATTCATGATATACCTAATTTTTCTTTAATTTTTTTCAATATGTCTAGACAATGTGGTTCATCTGTGAGGTTTTCAAATTGTCACAAATCTTCCCCCAAATTTCTAACATATTTATTGAAAAAAATCCACCTACAATAAACTAATGTTATTCAAGAGTTAACTGTATATACTCTTTGGAATGTCATATGAATTTTGAATGGCAGAAGAACTGGAGCCAGGGAGCCATTTTAGGAAACGACTAACAGTCTGAGTGGGGATATGGGCTGCCCTTTAAAGTGACAACCATATAATTTACCTCTGGGAATGTTCTAAACTGTTCAATATTCCTACCTTGGATATCAAGACTGATAATTCTTACATTTCTCTGACTGCTTAGATATGGCAATAAACACCAACCTCAAAGTTTATTTTGCCTTTTAAGTTCCCAAGTCATATCATCAGTTAATTCTTCACTGTATCCTTGTACTGAAAACATATTAAGATTTATTATAATAGACAAAATAAATAATGTTACATCACCTTCTTTTATTGTTGCTGTTTATCCCTACTGGGTATTGCAAAATCTTTAAGGTATTTATGACAGACCTTATTGTAATCCTATGTTTTAGTTGCAGTGAAAGTTTGAGACTTCCTAAAGAGGATATCCTAAGAATATTTCTATCTGTGAGGTAAAAGTTGAAAATGGCAGTATCTCCCAGGAAAACAGGTTATTCACAGGAAATATCTTAAGATATCAAATATAACTGAGAAAATTATAATACTTCTGGATTTTTTTCTAGATCTTAATATGTGTATCCACAATTATGGTATCAACTCAATATGAAAAACTCAACTTAATTTTGTGCATGATTTTCATACCTTCCTTCACTTTGCTGGGGTATGTCATGTTATTGATCCAGGTAAGCAGTGTTACCTACTGTGTCTCCAGTCTTGACCTTGTAGCCCATTAATAAAATCCTTACCCATTGTCGGAACAGGTGCATTTATAAAATTTTGAAGTTATTCAATGCTGATAAATTCTAAAAATAAGATTTTAAAGCTGTATAAAATTGAAAGCTGTCAAATTTGCTGAGATCACTATTCATACTAGCAGGAAGAGGGTCAATCCATGCAGAAATACAGCAGGAAGCCCAACCGTGGTTTATGAATTCCAGAGGTGATTCTGAGACAGGACTAAAACTTTTCCATTGTTATAAAACATGCTCTCTTGTGGTGAATCCATCTTGCCAGGGGATAGAAGTTTTTCATTTCAATGTTGATCAATGTCTAAAATCTTATTGGACTTATTGATTGCATACTACTTAGTGTCAATAAATTGCTTTTGGAGTGTATGACTTGTGAGTGAGGGAAAGAAAACATGATTCTATTAACCACTTCTGACAGAAACTAAATACCACTGAGAATTTTGGGGAACTGTGGGCAAATCTTGCCTACTTCATAGTTCTGTACTTTGTCACTCCCACTAAAGAGAAACTTGGAAATCCCTATTACATACAATTGGAAAATAAACAGTGTTGGAGTTCATAACTAAGGAAAGATGTCAGGTCATCAGTAGACTTTAGCATCAGAAAACAACTCTTCTCATCTCAATTCATGGAATACTTACTGTTGTCCCATAGAACATCAAGTATAATGTGGGTGTATTTAATGTGTAAATTTTATATTTATAGAGAAACTTGCATTTAACTGTTGGTGGGTTTTTTTTCAGCTCGACTTTATGAGAAACTTGGACAGTCTGGACAATAGAATAAATGAAGTCAATAAAACCATTCTTTTAACAACCTTAATAGTAAGGAACATTTTCTACCTAAATATATATATTGCATAAGATTCATAGCCCCGTGAAATCTTATTCAAGGTATGCCAAATTTAAATGTCTTAAAATACCCACTCTTTCTGTATTTTCCATTCCAATATAATGGCAGCAAGAACTAAAGATATTTTTAAAATAGATTCACAGATAATATAATACATACTAGAACATTTAAAGGTTTGGTTGCTGTTATTGTGATAGACATTGTTGATATGTATCCAAAGACAATTTGAGGCAGTATGTAAGAAATGCAGCATATGGTGTATGGCTCAGAATCAAGTAAATATGTGTTAATAACAACTAATTTGAATAATGAGGAGGAAAGGAGAAAGATTAAATGAAATTTTATAGTGGGGAAAGACAATGAAAGCGAATATAAATGTTATTTCTGTGTATTATGGCAAATGAGGCAGAAGGAGGAAACATACTCTTGTTTGCACACCTCTTGTTTCCTCTTTAATAGCAGAACAGCAGTTTATCAAGGAAGAAACCTCTAAATTTGTTTTGATTTATAAACTTTTATACATTTTTACCTGGGTCTTTGTATAATGAATGTATATTTTTCCTGTTTTGTAAATACATGCAGAGATGTTCCATATATAGTCATTTTTAATTGACCATTGAATTCTAAAGGCATACAGTTGTCCAGCTGGGGAATATATGTTCATTGCAACTCTGACACAGCAAACAAACCCTGGAACCTTCAAGACTTAATAGGGATTTATTTTTCAAATAAATTCTATTGTGTATTTGGCTGCGCACCTCCATTTGGTGGCTGTGCTTTTTGACACCCCTCAATCTTCAGGGTTGCCTTTGCAGTGGAAGAAAAGGTTAGAACATTAGACAAGATGGGACTCCAAAATCCTCATGGGAAAATGGAACTAAAAGTTGAAAATAAAAAAATATAAATTTTGGCCAGGCGCAGTGACTCACGCCTGTAATCCCAGCGCTTTGGGAAGCCGAGGTGGGTGGACCACCTGAGGTCAGGAATTCAAGACCAGCCTGGGCAACATGGTGAAACCGCATCTCTACAAAAATACAAAAATTAGCTGGGCGTGCTGGCATGTGCCTGTAATTCCAGCTACTCGGGAGGCTGAGGCAGGAGAATCGATTGAGCCAGGAGATGGAGGTTGCAGTGAGCTGAGATTGTGCCATTGCACTCCAGCCTGGGCAACAGAGAGAGACTCCGTCTCATATATATATATATATATGTATATGTATATGTATATGTATATGTATATATGTAATTTTTTCAACATAAACCCCATCAAAGTGAGGACACTTTTGTAAGCAACGATACCAATCATTTAGTTCATTCCTACAGAACTGAGGATCCTGGGAATTTAACCTTGTCATTGAAGTATCTTTTACGTTACTAACTGAACAAAAATGGGTGCCATTTACATATATTTTAAGATTAGGAAACAAAAAGAATTCAGAAGGAGCCAAATCAGAACTGTAGGTGGATACCCCTCAATAATTTCCCAAAGGAACTCTCACAGAATTGCCCTTGTTTGATGAGAGAAATGAGCAGGAACATTGCCATGATGGAGAAGGACCTTCTAGTAAAGATTTCCTGGATGTTTGTCTAACTTTCTCAAAACACTCTCATAATAAGCAGATGTTATCATTCTTTGTCCCTCCAGAAAGTCAACAAACAAAATGCCCTGAGCATCCAAAAAACTGTTGCCCATGACCTTTGCTGTTGACTAATTCACTTTTGCTTTAACTGGACCCACTTCTACCTTTTGGTAGCCATTGTTTTGATTGTGATTTGTCTTCAGAATCATACTGGTAAAGCCATGTTTTATTTCCTGTAAACAGTTATTCAAAAAAATTGCTTCAGAATCTCGATCCCATGTGTTTAAAATCTCCATTGAATGCTCTGCTCTTGTCTTCTGCTAACCTGGGCACAACAGTTTTGTCCTGCACTAAGTAGAAAGTTTGATTAACTTTAATTTTTCAATCGGAATTATGTGAATTGAATCAGTTGAGATGTCTGTGATTTGACTATTGTTTCTGCTGTTAATTGTCAGTCCTCTTCAATTAGGAGATGAAAGAGATGAATTTTTTCCTCTCAAATTGATGTGGATGGTCTGCTGCTATAGGACTTATTTTCAACATTGTCTTGTTCCTTCTTAAAACCACTTAACCATCTGTAAGTTGCTAATTTCTTTGGGCCATTGCCCTCATAAACTTTTTTACAGCATCGATGATTTCACCATTCTTCCTTCCAAGCTTCTCCATACACTTGATGTTTGTTCTTGCTTCAGTTTTAGCAGAATTCATGTTCTGATAGGGGCTCTTTTCAAATGAATGTACCTATTTTCAAATGAATGTACCCTTCTTAGTACCTCAAACCAGATCCTGTTCAAACATATTATAAGAAGTTAGGATGAGTTTATTTTGTTGCCCCCCAAATTTGAAATCCACACATAGGTTTTTCATCATATGAATTTTTCATGGTATTTTTGAAGTCCCCTTGTTTTAACGGCCAGGCCTAGAAGCGGCTTTCGTCACATCCCACCACATTATACTTCATGGCTATTTACCTATTTGTTTCTAGTCAGTGACCTGTGGTGGTAAAAACAACTGCAATTATTTTTCACATATAAGTTTTTTCAGCTTTTCAAATTGTAATAAAAAGACACGTAACATAAAATTTACCATCCTTATGATTTTTAAATATATAGTTCAGTTTTTTAAGCATATTTACAATGTTGTGAGAAGAATCTCCAGAACTTTTAATCTTGTAAATCTGAAACTGTATAGCCATTAAACAATTTCCCTTTTCCCCTTTGCCCAAACCGGTAATCACCATTCTACTTTCTGCTTCTATAAATTTTACTACTTTATATATCTTATATACATGAAATCATAAAGTATCTGTCTTTTTGTGACTAGCTTATTTCACTCTGTATAATGTTCTCAAGGTTTATCCATGTTGAGACATATGTCAAGATTTCACTCCTTTTTAAGGTTGAATAATATTGAATTATATGTATATACCATAATTTAAAAAATCTATTCATTCTGTCAATAAACATTTGCATTACTTCTACCTCTTGGCTATTGTAAGCTATGAACTTGGGTGTGTTAATCTCTCTTCAAGATGCTACTTTCAGTTCTTCTGGATAAATACCCAGAAGTGGGAGTGCTGAATTATATGGTAGTTCTAGTTTTATTTTTTGAGGAACCTCCATACTGTTTTCCATAGAAATTGCACCATTTTGCAGTCTCACCAACAGTGTACAAGAGTTCCAATTTCTCCACATCCTTACCAACACTTATTTTTTTATATAGTAGTCATCCTAATGGATGTGAGGTGGTATGCCATTGTGGTTTTCATTTGCGTTTCATTGACATTTAATGTTGGCCATTTATATATCTTCTTTGGAGAAATATTTATTCAAGTTATTTGGTTTTTTTGTTTGTTTGTTTGTTTTTCTGGAGTCTTGCTCTGTCACCAGGCTGGAGTGCAGTGGTGCAATCTCGGCTCTCTGCAACCTCCGCCTCTTGGGTTCAAGTGATTCTCCTGCTTCAGCCTCCTGAATAGCTGGGACTATGGGTGCATGCTACCACACTTAGCTAATTGTTGTATTTTTAGTAGAGAGGGGGTTTCACCATGTTGGCCAGGATGGTCTCAATCTCCTGACCTCATGATTCACCTGCCTCAGCCTCCCAAAGTGCTGGGATTGCAGGCGTGAGCCACCGTGCCCGGCCATTATTTGCCCATTTTTAAATTGGGTTATTTGAATTTTTGTTGTTATTGAGTTGTAGGAGTTTTAAAAATATATTCTGAATATTAACTCCTTATCAGATATATGATTTGAAAATGTTTTCTTGTATTCTGTAGGTTATCTTTTCACCATGTCAGTTGTGTCCTTTGATGCACAGAATATTTTAATTTGATGCAAACACATTTGTCTATTTTTGGTTTTGTTGTTTGTGTTTTTAGTGTCGTATTGAATAAATCGCTGTCTAGTCCAATTTTATTAAGTTTTTTTCTATGAGTTTTATAGTTTTAGGTCTTCCATTTAGGTCTTTGATCCATTTTGAGTTAATTTTGTGTATAATATAAGGCCTCCACTTCATTCTTTTACATATTGACATCAGTTTTCTTAGCACTATTTGTTGAAGAGATTGTCTTTTTCACATTGAGTGGTCTTGGCACCCTTGTTGAAGATTATTTGAGCATATATGGGAGGGTTTATTTCTGGGTTTTCTATTCTATTCCATTGGTCTATTTTAAAATAAAAATTTTATAGCTGATTTATTTATTTTATTGTCTCCCTTTTTAATGTAATGATGGCCACATTAAGGCAATTTGGAACAACTTGGGAATGATTTTATTTTGAAAAATTATTTTACTGGATATACAATTTTTGGATACTTTTTTTCTTTCAGTTCTTTGATTACATCATCACACTTTCTCCTGGCCTCCATTGTTTCTGAAGAGAAGAAATTGTATTGTTGCTTCTCTCTGAGTGATGAATCCTCTCCCACTTACTGTTTTCTCTGCCTTTGATTTTCAGCAATCTGACTCTGATGTGTCTAGATATGGATCTTGTTGTAATTATCTTACCTATGATTTGTTAAGCTCCTTGAATGTGTATATGAATATTTTTTAAAACAAATTTTGGAAGTTTTGGGCCATCATTTCTTAAAAAAAATTTTCTGTTCTTTCTCTCTCCCCTATCTTTTTGGAACTACCATTACATATATTTGGTATGCTTGATAATCTTTGAGGCTCTGTTTATTTATTGCTCATCATTTTTCTTTCTGTTCTTCAGATCAATTATATAATAGAAAGTCTGTATTTGAGTCATATTTTACTTTAATTTTTGAAATATGACTTTATTTAGTTTAGTGAATGTATAGTAGCTTTTCTACATCTTTGATAACACTCAAAACCAATTTCTGTTAACTAATTTTTTTTTCTGAATGTGGGTCACCCTTTCCTGTTTTATAATTTTTGCTGTTTCTTAAAATACTTAAATGTTTAATCTTCTGGATATATTTTATGATTTGTTTTTAGATATAGACTAACCTTTGTATTTTAAGTTTTTCCAAAAAAGGGCATTTAGTTATCTCAATGCCATTTATGAATACTCCATTTTATGTCTTCCAACATGAAATGACATCTTTATCAGTATTAAATTTGCTTATATCTATGGACTGATTGTGTTGATATTCTCCCCATTGATCCATTTGTTTACATCAGTGTCAGGACTACATTGTTTTAATTATGGTAGCTTTATATATTTTGATCAATTCAAAATGATACATATGTCCTATCATCCTAATTTTTCAAAACTTTTCTATTTTCCTACTCAATTTTATTGATGAAAATTAGAATGCAGTCAAGTGCCAGAAACTGGTATGTGGACTTTTATGGACATTATTGTTAATGTTTATTTTGCTAGAGCAGTATTTGTGAGTTGAAAATATTTATGTTTAAAGGTTTATCTGCATTTAAGGTTTATTTTATATACTTTAGTATTTTATTTTATATTTTTACTTTATTTCCCTTTTGTGTATATTCAGTTACATTTATTTATGTATTTATTTATTTGCCATAAAATTTTGTTCCCATTGCACGTTCTAGCTAGGTTTCTATACAAAAATATAAAATTCTTGTACAATTATCTTATATCAGTTTACCTTACTGAATTTTCTTATTTCCAATTTTTTTTTCAGATTCTTATCTTGCATTTTCCGGTGAAACAACCATGTTATGAAATAATTATATTTTTATTTTGAAAATATATACTGCATTATATATTCTTGCTTTATGACATTGGCTTGAATCTCTAAAAATCATCCACTAACACTAACACTGTTGCAAGAAGGCGTCCTTACATTGTTTCTGATTTTACTGAGAATTTTCTTAGTGCTTAACCATTATCATCATAGTAACTTTTAAAAATATAAACTATTTATCTTACTAAATCCCTCAATTCCTGAGTTACTGAGAGCTTTTGTCTTTTGTTTGTTTCTAGTATTTATCAAGAATGAATCTGGAATCTTCTCAAAGCCTGTGAGCCTCTGTTAAGAATGATTAATTTATTTTAAATAAAACCATTAAAAATTAATAAATTTTATTTTATATTCTGTAATGTTTAAGAAATCCCCCCCTCCCTAAGGTCAAGAAGATATTATTTTATATTATTTTCTAAAATATTTATATTTCCCTTTCACATTTATGTCTTCAATCATCTAAAATTCATTTTTTTTTTCCTGTGGACTTGTTTTATTTCTATCTTTAAGGATGTCCAGTTGTCCCAGCAGTTGAGACAACTGTTTTGAAAAGTCTGTGCCTTTCCCATTGATATTCAGAGCTACTTCTATTCATATATCAGTTGCCTATATATGTAGAGTCTGTTTCTGGGATAACTATTACATTTTGTTTGCTTCTGTCAAGTTCACAGGGACACTACCAGTCTGGTACCATGTTAAACCATGTCCTAGGCTTGAGGTTTTGTTTTGACCATCCAGCGATGTGAATTTGGGCTCCAAGTCTGTGTAAAAGCTGGCTTGTATTTCCACCTTCACTTTCTCCTTCCATGATGAGCACTCAAGGCAATGATGTTAGCAATATCCTGAGGGTTCTTTTCACCCCTCACTAAAAATATAACCCTTTGAGGTCCATCCTTTATTAGAGAAAGAGTGACCTATCTACCCCTTACTTGGGGAAGACTCTCTGCTTCAACAGTTTCTTCTGTCTTCTGCTCCTGGACATGGCATGAAAACGGAAGTTTGAGTATTTCAAGGATAAAGAATAACTCTAGGACAAGAGTTGCTTTGGGGCTAAACCTATCTCCTGTATTCATTTAGATTTGGCTTTAAAAGCCCATACTATTTTATTAGCTCTTCTATGCTTTTTAAAAGTTTTTAAAAAAATTAATGTGGGCTTTTTAATTCTTTCTCAGTGGGAGGGTGAGTTTGAATAAACCTTTCTTCCACATGAGAAGTATTTTACAAGTTGCTTGTCAAATTTAAAAGAAAATGATCAAATCTTCAAGAAAATGATCAAATCTTCTGTGACAAAAAAATGGACAAATATTCACCATTGAGTGTGAATGCCATGGTGATGCTAATTCTGATTATTTTTCTTTTCTTTTAGCCATACCTTCAGAGTGTTATTTTCCTTTTTGTCATAAGGTGTCTGGAAATGAAGTATGGAAATGAAATAATGAATAAAGACCCAGTTTTCAGGTTGGGAAAATATTAATTGAGATCTGAATATAATCTAAATATTTAGTCTTTTTAAATTTATAATTTCATTTATTTATTTGTTTTTGTTTTTGAAAATAGAAACAGGGTTTCAGGTTGGGAGAATACTAATTGAGATCTGAATGTAATTTAAATATTTAATCTTCTTAAATTTATAATTTTATTTGTTTTTATTTTTGAAAATAGAGACAGGATCTTGCTATATTGCTCAGATTGGTCTCAAACCCCTGACCTCAAGTAATCCTCCTGTTGTGATCTTAAATATTTAGTCTTTATTGCAGTACATTTAACATCAGTTTATTAAAATGGATTTACTACCCAACACTTGGCTAAGCATATTGCACAGTGCTATTTTCAGAAAAAGAAAACAGAATTAGATTGGATGCAGGGATAGTTTCTAAGTCATAGGTTCTGATTTTAGGCAAGATAAGTTTTTGTCCTGTACATGTCTGTAAGTAGTGTTTAAGCATCAAAGCTTGCTTTTCTCCTGGTTGTGGCCATTATGGGTCCCTAAGGAGAAGGTACAGTAAAAACTGGTTCCATATAAAACCAGTTAGGATGATCTTTTATGAGGAATGTGGTCATGATCTGGATGGTGACAGACTAAAAGACCCGTATGTCTACATTTGAGTGATTTAAAAGAACGAAGTGACAGAGCCAGTTGACAGATAGGATACAATGTTTTAAAGAGAAGAAATAGTCAAAGAATATTTCAAGGGACTTGGCTACCGGAGGTGTTATTACTGCCAAGAAGAATCTTGTAGGTAATAAATTAATGATGTGATAGTCTTTTTTAAAAAGGATAATAATTTAATTATAGGGGTTTACATTTTCTTAACAGTTGTACAGCCAAAATTGCATTTTTATGTTATTTTATTTCCTCTGTAGAATCTCTCCACGGAGTAGAGAAACTCATCCCAATCCGGAAGAGCCCGAAGAAGAAGATGAAGATGTTCAAGCTGAAAGAGTCCAAGCAGCAAATGCACTCACTGCTCCAAACTTGGAGGAGGTGAACAGCAGGGATTAGACCCTTAATAAAATGCTCAGATAGTTTGTCCTCTAGAATTGATGAGATGTTGGTTTTTATTTTGAAAAGCTGCTTTAGTTTCTTTAATATTTCTATTTATAGCTTATATTCAAATTATTCTCTTTAAAAGTAACTACCCTGTCCTCATTCTTTTAATTTTTTCTTCTTCAGTTTTCTGTGGGTCTTACTCTTCCAGCTCCTCATTCATCAGTGTAATCAACAAGTTCTCGAATTTTTTAATCAATTTTAGCAAAATCGCACATTTTTCAAGAGTTGCAATTACATTTTATATTATAGTATGCTTGTAATATTAATAACTGAATAGCATATGAACAAGAGCAAATGAATTTACAATGCATGGAAATCAATAAGGAATAAACTGGGAATGAAATTGTTGAAAGGGCAAAGATAGCTGCTAGCATAATGCAAAGGGAATGTATTTGATTAGGAATTAATTTTATTAGTAGTTGATTAAGTAGCCCTTATTTATGAACATACATTTGGGTATTTTATTTGAAAAAAGAGGCTAAAGCTCTTCAGCCTGGCATTAAATTTAGTTGGGTTTATAGACTAGGGAATGGAAAATAAAACATCAATTCGTAAAGTATCTGAAATTTAACAGGGAAATCATGCTTTGTCATGTTTTCCAGGAACCAGTCATAACTGCAAGCTGTTTACACAAGGAATATTATGAGACAAAGAAAAGTTGCTTTTCAACAAGAAAGAAGAAAATAGCCATCAGAAATGTTTCCTTTTGTGTTAAAAAAGGTTTGAACAATTGTTCCTTTTATTATTATTATAATGTTCCTTATTCTCTAGATTTAAGACTACAAAGGGGACAAATTTTTATTCATTGAGACTGTTCATATATCCTGGTTAATGTGTAATTATAAAACTTCTTCACATGTCAGCAGATAAGTCTTTTCTACTTCAAAATCATGTCCCAATTCAAATGGCAAGAAACCCAGTCTTGGATTAAGAAGACCCTGATTCTCTGTATTAATGTTGTAATACAGGAGATTTTTCAAGGTGCTAACTAAGCATTTGTTTCAGAAATGTTATTTTGAGGTGGCCACGGTGGCTCGTGCCTCTAATCCTAATACTTTGAGAGGCTGAGGCGGGAGGCTTGAGGCCAGGATTTCGAGACCAGCCTGGGCAACATAGCAAGACTCCATCTCTACAAAAAATTTAAAAATTAGCTGGGTGTGGTGGTGCATGCATGTAGTTCTGGCTACCTGGGAGACTGATGCAGGAAGATCGCTTGAGCCCAGGAGATCAAGGCTGCAGCAGGCAATGATTACACCACCACAGTCCAGCCTAGGCAACAGAGCAAAACTCTGTCTCTGAAAAAAAAAAAAAAAAAAAAGTCATTTTGTTTCAAAATGTTATGCAACCAACCAAGCAATTTTAGATTAGTCAACCTTGAAAATTCAAATATTGATGGTGACTCTTTCTTCCAGGTGAAGTTTTGGGATTACTAGGACACAATGGAGCTGGTAAAAGTACTTCCATTAAAATGATAACTGGGTGCACAAAGCCAACTGCAGGAGTGGTATGTGACATGTGAAGGAAATTTTATTTTAAATATTGATGACATCTTTCTATTATTCCTATCAGTAAATCAAATATCTTTTTAAAAAATAGATGAAAGAATTTATAAAATTTCTCTTGCGTATTCAAAAAATATTGTAGCTTAATGGCCACTTTTATCTCCTTTAGTAGAAGGGGGATTGGAGCAAAAACCAAAGGTGAATCTGACATTCATTGTCTTGTGCAGGTGGTGTTACAAGGCAGCAGAGCATCAGTAAGGCAACAGCATGACAACAGCCTCAAGTTCTTGGGGTACTGCCCTCAGGAGAACTCACTGTGGCCCAAGCTTACAATGAAAGAGCACTTGGAGTTGTATGCAGCTGTGAAAGGACTGGGCAAAGAAGATGCTGCTCTCAGTATTTCACGGTACAGAGAGAAGTCTCACAATTTGTAGCAGGAGGAAGGGGAAAATATGTCATTTCTTCATTATATATTAAAAGGAAATTATAAACAATGTCTTTAAATTTTCATGCAAATAAAATGATTCAAATACCTGAATAAGAACCAAATCATAAGATTTAGCATTTATGAAAACGTTAAGGAAGCTTAAATTTACTATCTAGAATAATAGTGCTTAGAGTTTCCTACAGTTGTTTTAGATAGGTCCATTTGCCATATACTTCATGTATAATCACACTGTTTTTTGTCAGATTGGTGGAAGCTCTTAAGCTCCAGGAACAACTTAAGGCTCCTGTGAAAACTCTATCAGAGGGAATAAAGAGAAAGGTATGGGCCAGGCTCGGGGTTTCCCTGTGCACCCATGGCTGGGTGCCGACGGGCTGTTCCTTGCATTGCAGCTGTGCTTTGTGCTGAGCATCCTGGGGAACCCATCAGTGGTGCTTCTAGATGAGCCGTTCACCGGGATGGACCCCGAGGGGCAGCAGCAAATGTGGTAAGGAGAGTGAATATTAAGTGTCAGAGTCAAGAGAATACCTCTAGGATATTTTGTTTTTGTTTTTGTTTTGTTTCTTTGTTACATTTTGCTCCATTAACCTTTGATGTGCACATCTTCTATTATGTAATTCAGTGAAACCTAATATAGCATTCAAAATTCCTGCAGGAGGGAAAAAATAGATATTTTAAGACCCAAATAAACTCTTGATTATATTTGTTTGGATTTCTCTTTCTTATTCCTCTTCCCCCTGTCTTTTTATTTTTCCATTTCATTTTTCAGTTATTGAAAGTCATATAGTATGATGTTTCTGTATTTTTTACTCCAACTTTCCTACTTTTCTTCCCCAATAGTGCATTATTTTAACCAATACTCTTCTTTTTTATGAAGCCTATTAATATGGTACTATCATTAGGCAATATAACACAATTTCTATTCTTTTTCTCTATGGCAAAGATTTTCTCTTGTAGCCTATTTATTTATTTATTTATTTATTTATTTACTTAATTGTATTACTTGACACAGGGTCTTTCTCCATCACCCAGGCTGGAATGCGGTGGTGCAATCACAGCTCACTGCAGCCTCGACCTCCTGGGCTTAAGTGATCCACTCATCTCAGCCTCCCAAGCAGCTGGGACCACAGGCATGTGCCACCATGCCTGGCTAATTTTTAAATTTTTTTGTGGAGATGGGGTTTCACCATGTTGCACAGGTTTCTTGCATCCTAACATAACATTTTCTCTTTAGATTTCCTGCTTTTTTCTATTTATCTATTTCCCCAAATTACTTTCTAAATGCAAACAATCCCTTACTTTATCTTTAGGCAGATACTTCAGGCTACCGTTAAAAACAAGGAGAGGGGCACCCTCTTGACCACCCATTACATGTCAGAGGCTGAGGCTGTGTGTGACCGTATGGCCATGATGGTGTCAGGAACGCTAAGGTGGGTGCCTGTCCTGACCAGCATGGGACTAGCATGTTCTTATAGAGAGAGTTTCAGTTTGCTATGAACAGCTGATGCTCTACAGCTCCCTAACCTGTAATTAAACACCTTCCTCTACAGTGAGAACCGAGGAAGAAATTAAGAGACAAGTATTTTTTCTTTATTTCCCCTGAACTAGGTGTATTGGTTCCATTCAACATCTGAAAAACAAGTTTGGTAGAGATTATTTACTAGAAATAAAAATGAAAGAACCTACCCAGGTGGAAGCTCTCCACACAGAGATTTTGAAGCTTTTCCCACAGGCTGCTTGGCAGGAAAGGTAAAGGATGTTTTCGGTTTGAGTGACAAGTATGAGTGTTTTCCAGTATTAGCATCAATTAGTTTTGTGCTAGTCTAAACCGGAAGAGAAAGGCAGAGTGGACTTATTCATCACAAAACAACCTGTTTGAGGATTGCTAGGATGCGTTACAAAAACTAAACAGTTATTTTCAGTGAGTGTTTTAGACCTCAGAAAAGGTGAATGGTGTGTGTGTGTGCATTCATATATGTGTGTAAATGGTGGAATGGCTTGGAGATTAAGAACAAAGTACAGACAAATTAAACTATCAACTTTTTAATGATTTTTAAAAAATAGACAATGAAAACAATGCTTTCACCTACAGGATTTTGCTGAATATAAATTGCATCAAGAGCTCCGTAACACAGACTTCCATGCTTGAGAAGGATTGACTCTATCCTAAATTATTCAATTATAAATCATTTGATCCTCCCAATGTTTCTTTTAAAGTTGTATGTGGTCAACCATGTGTTACAAGTAATGGTAATCAAACCCTTGTGAATAGCAGAATGAGGCTGAATTTAATTGAAAGATGAACAGAATTTTCTTGTATACCATTTCTACTCATTTATTTTTATAATATTTGTTATATTTATTGAATACGTATTATCTGCTGCCGGCTGTGTATTGAATAGTCAACAAAATAGACAAGGTTCTTCCTTTTGGAGGTGAAGATATTAAGCAAATGAAGATACAAATAAATGAGGATATGACATTGAGGTAGGACTTTAAGACTGAGCAGGGTTTGGTCAGCTGAAGAGTGGGAGTAACAGACACTGTTTCCAGGAAACAGCACATTTAAAGAACTTAGGTCAAGAATGAATTCTACAAATGTCAAGGATGAAACAAAAGCTCATGTAGTTGATGTGTAAAGAGATATCCAAGTGGAGATGCCAAAGTAAGAGATGTAGACCTGTGGCTCACAAGAGAAGGAAGAGGTCATTGAGATCTGGTCTGGCAACAAACAAAGTGGGGGATTTTTTTTACCATATAGAAGACCATTAAACTAGGAGAATGTTGAGGCCAACAAGAGAGATAGGAAGTCGGATGAACCCCAGGAGCTCTCAGCTTTGAGATGGGATTGAGGAAGAAAATAAATCTTCCTGTGTGGACAGTACCACCACAACCATACCAACAAAGACTGAGGAGTATCTAGAACAGCATTGGCCAGTAGAATTTTTGTGATAATGAAAATGTCCTTTCTGTGCTGTCCAGGATGGTAGTCACTACACATACGTAGCTACTGAGTACTTCAGATGTGGCTGGTGTGAATGAGGAGTTGAATTTTCAATTTTATTTATTTTAATTACTTTAAATAGCCACATGGATTTAATAGCTACTCTATTAAGCAGTGCAGGCCTAGAGAGTTAGAAGGAAAATCGTAAGTGTGGTTGTCTCAGAAGCTAAGAGAGAAAGAGTATGTTTGTTTTAAGGAGGGTGTGTACAATTTTATTTAATGCTTTTGAAAAGTTTGCAAAATGAGGACTGAAGAGTGTTCCTTGGATTGTGCAACATGAAAGGGGGTCTGAAGGTCAAGAAAAAAATTTTTTTTTAGCAGGAGAGAGTTCAACATATTTTAATTTTTATAGGAGAGATTGAAAATTAAATCTCAATCTCTCCTATGAGAGAGGGGAAAGGTAATGTAAACATTCTAGAAAGGTTGCTTTTTGAGAGTAAGTAAGAAATATAGCACAATAACAAAGTGCAGGCTGAGTGGGAAAGATTCTTAATCAGAGCTATTTCTCAGAATTTATCTTTAACATAAAATTAGAGGCAACCAGATTTTTGTTGTTATAACTTTTTTTATGATTGAATCTGTAATTTCACACTGATTCATGCTATATCAAATCAGACACTTATTTAAAGAACACATTGAAAAATTATTTTACTTTGCCTATTAATTCCTCCCCCGTATTATCACACTGAAACTTAGTAATAAATCTCACTCTTCTTCCTGACAGATATTCCTCTTTAATGGCGTATAAGTTACCTGTGGAGGATGTCCACCCTCTATCTCGGGCCTTTTTCAAGTTAGAGGCGAGTAAGTTTGGGTATATATAAATAAGACTTTATGTATTGGTTGCATATTTTCATGTGGAATATAGACTATGTAATTTGAAGTAGAACAATGAAATAATCAATCAAAACTTGAAAAATCCCTACCAGGATAGTCATAACAATCTCAAAGGAAATGAAGTCATGGTCCTAGATGTTGGTTTGTTCCACCTGATTCTTCCTGTGCTGACCAGGAAGCCCAGCCACAAGTCAGTCAGGTTACTCTATCCTGCAGGATTGAATTGGGGTACCAGGGCTGTTTCTTACCATGACACCCGTGCATAGAATTGAAGGATAATTATGAGAATGTTGTCCCAAAGAATATCAAGGGGAGCTCTTGAGGTCTCTATGTTTCTAAAAGCCAAGGTACCAGGAGCAAATGTACAGAGGCAACAGTTGGAGGACTGAGTGAAGGTCAGCGAAAGAAAACACAGAGGGGTGAGGTGTAACAAGTCACTATTGAAGAGGGGCTTCTGAACTAGTTCCAGAGACACTGCGTATTTATGGCTATTGACGCAGAATGTACAAGTGTGAAAAGGGAGCCAGCATGGAGTGGACTCCTCTGTAGATTTACAAATATAGAATAAATTATTCTCGACAACTGATTTGGAGTCCAAAGCATATATGTAAAGAATCAAAAGGATAATACTAAAATAGGACACAAGGAGCTTTTTCGAGTTTATAGGAAACTGAATATGTTCATGCATGGCTATCTTTTATTAGCCATATCACCACTCTTCTTTATCCTTCAAGAAAATGTAATTATTTGGCCTATATCTTACAGTATCTAAACAATTTGAAGCTACTGTCTCTATTGTATGACTTTACAAACACTTGGTGAAAAATATATAAGCCACTAATGTCAGTCTCTTTACATGCAGTGAAACAGACCTTCAACCTGGAGGAATACAGCCTCTCTCAGGCTACCTTGGAGCAGGTGGGTTTTCATTGAACGAGTGAGCACCATCCAGATGACCTCTGTGTGAATCCATCTTTCAGACACACCCTGACATTTTTGTATCTTTTTTATTTTCTCTTACTTAGGTATTCTTAGAACTCTGTAAAGAGCAGGAGCTGGGAAATGTTGATGATAAAATTGATACAACAGTTGAATGGAAACTTCTCCCACAGGAAGACCCTTAAAATGAAGAACCTCCTAACATTCAATTTTAGGTCCTACTACATTGTTAGTTTCCATAATTCTACAAGAATGTTTCCTTTTACTTCAGTTAACAAAAGAAAACATTTAATAAACATTCAATAATGATTACAGTTTTCATTTTTAAAAATTTAGGATGAAGGAAACAAGGAAATATAGGGAAAAGTAGTAGACAAAATTAACAAAATCAGACATGTTATTCATCCCCAACATGGGTCTATTTTGTGCTTAAAAATAATTTAAAAATCATACAATATTAGGTTGGTTATCGGTTATTATCAATAAAGCTAACACTGAGAACATTTTACAAATAAAAATATGAGGTTTTTAGCCTGAACTTCAAATGTATCAGCTATTTTTAAACATTATTTACTCGGATTCTAATTTAATGTGACATTGACTATAAGAAGGTCTGATAAACTGATGAAATGGCACAGCATAACATTTAATTATAATGACATTCTGATTATAAAATAAATGCATGTGAATTTTAGTACATATTGAAGTTATATGGAAGAAGATAGCCATAATCTGTAAGAAAGTACCGCAGTTAATATTTTCTTTAGCCAACTTATATTCAATGTATTTTTTATGGATCCTTTTTCAAAGGTAGTATCAGTAGGCATAGTCATTTTCTGTATCTTTTCACCTCACAGTTCATGAACATTTCCCATGTCATTATAGCACTTTTGTGTTATATAATTGCTGCATTAATGTTATAGCTGTATTGATGTAATACCAGAGTTGTTACGTTCGGGTTATATGCAAGTTTATTTCTTAGAAATAAAACTTTGATGGACTTTTCTTATGTTTTGTTCATTAGAGTCTTAAGGTAAGTGGTTAAGATATCAACTGATGGTTCTCTCTCTTCTGTAAGATCCATATAACTTTATTCTCTGACCTGTAAAAAAAAGTCACTATCCATCTGCTATCATTTGGATATTTGACCCTGTGAATCTCATGTTGAAACTTGATTCCCAATGTTGGAGGTGGGGCCCAGTGGGAGGTGTTTGGGTCATAGGGATGTATCCCTCATGAATTGCTTGGTGCTGTCCTTGCAATTATGAGTGAGTGCTCACTCTGTTAGTTCCCAGGGGAACTGGTAGTTAAAAAGAGCCTGGCATCTTCTCCCTCTCTCTGCCTCTCTCACCATGTGATCTTTGCACATGCTGGCTCCACTTCACCTCTGCCAAGTAGAAGCAGTGTGAGGCCTCACTGGATGCAGATATTGGCACCACGCTTCTTGTACAACCTGTGGTTTCAGAATCCCAACTGAAAAAGTCAGCCTAAAAGTGTCCTGTGAAACACCTGGGAAGATAGGACGTCAGGCAAGCAACAACTTCAATGCAAAATGTGTCTTGTTCCAAAAGTGACAGGAGGACCACTGCCACAGAAACCACCCTAAAGTCAGAAGCAGCGGTAAGAAGATAGGCCTGATGGAAGCAGAGCTGACATGCAGTTGCTGACTTTCACATGCTTCCAACAAGCAGATTTTGCAGCAGAGCAATATGAAACATTGATTGGATGAATACAGAAGCAAATGAATCAGAAAATTTAGCAGGATTGTGTTAGATTGGGCAAAAAAAAAAAAAAACAACTGTTGCAAATAAAATGAATATAGAGTTATTGCCCATAAATTCTCAGTGTCTCAATCCATTTAATTTTTTTTATTGTGGCAAAAATATAATAAAACAAAATTTGCTTGAAATCAGACACAGAAGGAAAAATATTGTATGCTTACATTCATATGGAATATCTATTAATAAATTAGGCACATTCCCTGAGGCAGAAAGAAATTAAAAATTACTAGCGGCTAGGGGGAGGAGAGAGTGGGAGTTATCACTTAATGGTTACAGAATTCCTGTTTGGGTTGATGAAAAATTTGAGAACTAGACAGTGGTGCTGGTTGCACAATTTTGTGAATGCAATTAATGTCACTGAATTGTACACTTAAAAATTGTCAAAGTGGAGAATTCCATTCATTTAACTTTAAAAAATATAATTTTTAAAATCTTATATGTTTTGCCATAAAAATTATAGTATTTATACAATCTAAACTGGAAAATACTCTTTCTTAGCTAATACATTTTTCTATCATATACACACAGGATAATATTATATCTACTATTATATAATTACTTAACATCATACTACGAACATCACACCTTCCTTGTTTATTGTATACCTATGTCAGTTTAAGTCAGTTTTTTTTTTTTGTAGTGTGTATGTAGTATTTCAGTGTTTGGATGTACCAAAACTTTTTAGTTGAGAATAAATTGAAAGATATACAGGTTGTTTCTCAGTTTTCCTGTTAGAAACAATGCTGCAGAAGTTCAGTCCCTCTAGAGAACCCTGCCAAAGATACACATGCAACATTTTTCCATATATATATATATATATTCCATATATATATATTCCATATTATATATTCCATATATATATTCCATATTATATATTCCATATATATATTCCATATTATATATTCCATATATATATTCCATATATATATATTCCGTATATATATATTCCGTATATATATATTCCGTATATATATATTCCGTATATATATATATTCCGTATATATATATTCCGTATATATATATTCCGTATATATATATTCCGTATATATATATTCCGTATATATATTCCGTGTATTTATATTCCGTATATATATATTCCGTATATATATATTCCATGTATATATATTCCATGTATATATATTCCATATGTGTATATTCCATATGTGTATATTCCATATGTGTATATACTCATATATATTATTATATATGGGAGTTTATATATATGGGAGATATATATATCTGGGATATATATATATATGGGAGTTTATTTAGTAATATTAACTAATACAATCACAAGGTCCCACAATAGGCTGTCTGCAAGCTGAGGAGCAAGGAAGCCAGTCCGAGTCCCAAAGCTGAAGAAACTTGGAGTCCCATATTTGAGGGCAGGAAGCATCCAGCACAGGAGAAAGATGTAGGCTGTGAGGCTAAGCCAGTCTAGCTTTTTCACGTTTTTCTGCCTGCTTTTTATTCTGGCCGAGCTGGCAGCTGATTAGATGGTGCCTACCCAGATTAGGAGTGGGTCTGCCCTTCCCAGCCCACTGACTCAAGTTTTAATCTCCTTTGGCAACACCCTTACAGAGACACCCAGGATCAGTACTTTGTGTCTTTCAATCCAATCAAGTTGACACTGGGTATTAACCATTACAGCAATTATCTATGTAATCACTTCAAATATATTCCTAGAATGTCTGGGTCATTGTGTGGAGTTGTACCAATGCATTCCATCCCTAGCTGTCCAGAAATTTCCCCAGAGAGGAAGAAATTAGAGACTGTTGGCAGTAATGCCAAGTGAAGTGCCCATTTCTATAAACAAAAAAAAATGGCAGAAATATACAGCTAAAATGGAACTAAGAAAGGTCCCAGGCTCTTATTATAACATTGTTAGCATCCCAAATAATTATTTAGTAGACTAAAGAAAGATGCCAGGAGCTAGCACATACTGCTCCAATCTGTGATTAGATTGGGAAAGGTGGAAAGTGAAGAGAAATTTGAAAGCCCATATTGCATTCTTCGACCTTGGCTGGGGGACTTATGAAATCATGATCCAGCTAAGGGAAAGCCTGTAATATCACTGAACAGAACAGAGAGTTTAGTCAAGGAAGAAAATGCTCAGCCTCATGATCATTCTACCATGTGGTTTCATTTTGTTGTTGTGTTTTTTTCACTTGCAACCAGTCTAGGGGGTCACCCAGAAAGAAAAAAGTCCTACCAAGAACCCTGGCTACTCAGCCAAAACCATCTCCAGGCTGTGGTAGTAACTGAAGTGAAGAGGACTTTTGTTTCTGGTGAACCTTGTATCTGTCTTACAAAGAGAAATGAAGGGGAAGGAAAAAAGGGGTTAGCCTGTCAGGAAAAAAAAAAAGGAAAAAGAAGAAAGGGAAGGAAGGAAGGAAGGGAGGAGGGAGGAGGGAGAAAGAAAAGAAAAGAGAAAGAAAGGAAAGAAAGAAAAGAAAAAAGAGAAAAAGAAGGAAGGAGAAATTATTACTGACCTAATCAATGGCCAACAGAGTCCAAGCACCATGCTGATGAATCTAGACTTCTTTAATATTGGTCATTAATGGGAAAAAATCATTGGCCAGATGAGAAAAATTAGACTACAGAATGATCAATCCAAGTGCGATAATCAGCAAAGTTCCCCAAAGAAACACACATAATTATTAAAAAAAAGGGAAGATCTTAAAAATACTACTACTTAGAATTTTGTATTAGTCACATTTGAGAGAGCTTGCTTAGCTCACAATAATTTCCCCCTTAGTTCTTAAGTTTTCTAATAGTCTCATTTGTTTGTCCTACTGATTTGTTTTCATGTTAGACTTTTGATTATGAGTTTATCTTCTGGGAGGAATATTTCTTTTACCTCTGTTGCTTTGTGTTCTGAAATTTGGATGTATCTTTATGGAATTTTTGTGTTTTCTCTGTGACACTCCAGGATAGTAAGAGGAGGAGGGAGGAAGAGGAGGAAGGAGGAGGAGGAGGAGGGGAAGTAACAGCAAATAACATTTTTTGAGCTTTTACAATTTTCCCTCATTTTTCTATGTACTTACATAGATGAATTTAACCCCTACAATAACCTTATATATATATTAATACTGTTGTTTTTCCACTTTTGGGGGGTAAAAAACCTGAGGGCGTGAGAGTTAAATGGATTGTGCAAGGTCACACAGCTAGTACATGGCAGAGCCAGAATTTGGACACAAGTTTGGCTCCAGAGTGTTTACACTAACTCCTGTAATACATCTCTGGACAGGTTATTATACTGGGAGAATAAATTCAGATCCTTCTCCTGTCTCTTGTACCTGATACATGCTCTACATACTTTGTGGTTTCATTTTCTATGGGCGATCTATCTATCTATCTATCTATCTATCTATCTATCTATCTATCTATCTATCTACTATCTGTCTGTCTGTCTTCCAGAAATTGGGCAGAGAATACAGCTTTGCTCTCCCCTGAGGTTGTAGGTGAAATTTTCCTAGTCTGTTTTTAGCACCGGACAGTCCTATAAACCCTCTGGATTCCTGCAGGAATATGAACTCCAGCTTACCAACCTTTCAAGGACCAAGTTCAGGCCAGAGGGTCATTAAAACACCTGAGGCTTGGTTTTCAGTCCAGTATATCCTTGAACTGATGGAGTGTCTGAAATGCCACTCACAACTTAAGGGAAACTTTAAATTCCTTTTCAGTTTTAACACCTGGAAACATGTCTTTCTGTCTTTTTTTGTTTCTTCCATTGTTGTTTACATTCTTCATCTTTTTTCTTCCTTTTTTGAATTTGACTATATATTGGAAATTCAATTTGGGGATATATTTTACCCACCACTTCCATGCCCTTCTAGCTGGAGGCTGGGCACTTTAGTATATTAGATCACCATTTGTGGGGAAATTGTCACATTACGTAAGGAAAACAGCCTCCCAAAATGAAAATAAGTAAGAGGAAACAGGTCAAGAAAAAGGAAAAGAAAGCATACACAAGAAACAATGGTAAGAAATGAAACTAATAAATATATTTAATCTAAATAATTATCATTGATATTGTAGCTGTGAATTTTAATACAATTATAAGAATGGCAGAATGAAAATGATTCCTAAAATAAAGTATAAAGGGTCTAAAACAATGATAACAACAAAAAAATTCATAAAAGCCTTAACTGTATTCCAGGTGGTTTAAAAGTAACTTTGAGTTTTGTTATATTACTATTACAAAATGTTAAGTGTTTATGACCTCCCTTCCCACACCCCATGAGAACTTTAGAACACCTTTATTAACGGTGTTTGTGCCAATTTTCAATGTAAAAAAAGTGGCATTTCACTGTTGACTATTTTTAAAAACAGAAGTAATTGCCAAGGAGAGAAATTTTATATATATATATATACACACACACACACACACACACACATTATATATATACACATATGTATACATTATATATATATACATTTTATATATATACACACAGGCACACACATATACACATAATAGTATCATGGCTGTAGTTGTCATTGTTGTTTAAATTATCTGCTTTGCTCCAGAAAGTTTCTCAGCTTTATGATTATTAACATCTGTGGATTGGGAGCCGTGTCAAATATTTGAGATTTCCCAATTCATGGACTTTGATTTCCTGTTTTGCCATTCACTGTGGCAGGTCAAGAAAAGTTTGCAACTCTTTACAGAGCAGAGAGAGACAGACTATGCTATATGAATTAAACATGTTTCAGTTTGTTGTAGTCTTCGTGCACAAAAATTTATCTGAATCTTTTTATATGTTTTGTAGACCTGGGCAAACCACTGGCTTATTTTGTTCATAAGTATTATGAAATCCTGTATCCACTGTGAAGAGGGTGGGAGCAACAAATTTGTTAAAAATTCTTCATTTGTCTGTCCTAGGAGTTTCTCCAAGGCGTACTATGGATTGCTTAGCTTTATTAGGAAAAAAAATCAGCTCCAGAATACTCTGCTAACTTAGTCTGAATTAGTTAAATATACAACTAACTGGCAGTTGTGTTTATTCATCAGTAGTGAAAAGAAAATAGATACAGATTTCTTATACAAATTTAACTGCTTTGTTTGGTTAGTTATTGTTTTTACTCTTTCTTGTTCCTGCCTCCATCTTGGTCTCATCATTTCTGAAGAACTAGTTCCATTTTCCTTGTTTACCGTTTTCCCCCTTATCCCTGTAGTTGAAAGGCTAAGTGAACAAACACAGAGTTTATTTTATTCCCAACCAACCACGGAACAGTCATTTCCTTGCAGAATAATTGGCTTAGGGAGAAAGAGACACAGAAAACAAAACAAGTTCATCATGTACAGCTTGGTCTGGCTACACCCCTTTTCAGAAACCAGGCTGTGTAAGAGCTGCTGGAGTAGGCACCCATTTAAAGAAAAAATGAAGAAGCAGCAATAAAGAAGTTGTAATCGTTACCTAGACAAACAGAGAACTGGTTTTGACAGTGTTTCTAGAGTGCTTTTTATTATTTTCCTGACAGTAAGTAAAGCTCTATTTTGTTGTGCTGTGCCAAATATGTGGGTGGACACTGCTAAAATCAATCTATTTTTCAGATGTTTCCCAATTCTTATGTGTTTTATGTTAAAGACCTAAGACTAAATTTTTCTGCTTTTTCCCAACCACTTTTTATTGTGTAGATTGTAACAGTAAGACATAGAAAAATGGAAAAAATTTGCTTCTGTGCTAGCTGAGGGAGAATTATCTGAATATTTTGATGTAAAAATATGAAAGAATTTCATTTTGAGGTTACAGAAACGAAAAAAATTGTGTTTCTTGATTTGCAAATCTTTGGGCAAAATTACTTTCCCGTGTGATTTATTTTTGCTTCTTTTAAAGCTAATTTTGTAGTTTCATTAGTTATTCAGGGACTTCTGAATTCAGAAAATTGAGAGAAATTGCTTTATTCTTCCTGTATCTCAGAATCAAGTTTCAAGTAGTTTGAGCCTGGATTATGATTTACAACCTATCTCTTTTCATAAAAGTTGATTCAATCTGAAGGTAAAATTACAAGAAAACACTTTATTGAGGTTGTATCTAGTGGATGTAATTTATTATTCAGACAAATTTAAGTAATCAGACTTTTGATGTTAATTTGATTAGCTCTGAGATTTCTGTTTCAATGTAAAGAACAAGAAATGGCTATTAACAGGATGAAATTAATTTAATCACTCTATTCATGTACTTAAAGTTCTCTCATACAAGGCCAAAAATGTGAAATTATAGGTTCTGAAGTTGAATTACAGCTTTTCCATTTCAGTACTCCAAGTTATTGCAAAATTGTGATAATAATCACTCTGCCTTCCCACCATCACCCACTCCCCTAAAAAGCTTAAGGTGAAATATTTGAGGTGAAATTTTACAGTCATAAATTATTGAAATAATATTTTAAATTCATGTTTACACTTTTTAAAGGTAGTAAATATTTTCCTCAACACTATGATCAAGGTTTTTCTTATTACACTTATTTTTTTCTAGGTTGTGTTCCACCATGATTACTTTCTCCTTCAGCGAATAGGCTAAATGAATATGAAACAGAAAAGCGTGTATCAGCAAACCAAAGCACTTCTGTGCAAGAATTTTCTTAAGAAATGGAGGATGAAAAGAGAGAGCTTATTGGTATGTTTAAAAATTTGTCTCTTTCCACGGTTAGCACTCTTACAGTGTTTCATTACCTACTGATTCTCTTATGTTCTCTTTTAATTAGTAGATGGGATTTATTGATTTTACCAGTTCTCTCTAGTTGTATTTGTTGAATTGAGAGACTGAAGAATAACATAAAATTATTAAAGACTAAAAGAATTCCTCATATAAAAAGAGATTAAGTGAACATTTAATTATATGGTAAATTACAGCAACTGCTAGAGCTACTACCAAATGTTATACACTTAGAGCCAAGAAGTACAAAAAAAATGTTGTCAGAAGAAATGGAGACATTTTAATTTTGTGGATTTATTTTCAAGGACATGAATTTTCTACACAAAAATTGTTTTTAAGAATTATGATCAACTAACACCACTGAAAGTCAGTTTGCATCAAGCAGGTGGGCTAATCACAGATGACTAGCCCAAATCTCAGTGGCTTAACACAGCAAATGTTTATTTTTTTATTTTTTATTTTTTTATTATTATTATACTTTAAGTTTTAGGGTACATGTGCACAATGTGCAGGTTAGTTACATACATATACATGTGCCATGCTGGTGTGCTGCACCCATTAACTCGCCATTTAGCATTAGGTATATCTCCTAATGCTATCCCTCCCCCCTCCCCCCATCCCACAACAGGCCCCAGAGTGTGATGTTCCCCTTCCTGTGTCCATGTGTTCTCATTGTTCAATTGCCATCTATGAGTGAGAACATGCGGTGTTTGGTTTTTTGTCCTTGCAATAGTTTACTGAGAATGATGATTTCCAATTTCATCCATGTCCCTACAAAGGACATGAACTCATCATTTTTTATGGCTGCATAGTATTCCATGGTGTATATGTGTCACATTTTCTTAATCCAGTCTATCATTGTCGGACATTTGGGTTGGTTCCAAGTGTTTGCTATTGTGAATAGTGCCGCAGTAAACATACATGTGCATGTGTCTTTATAGCAGCATGATTTGTAGTCCTTTGGGTATATACCCAGTAATGAGATGGCTGGGTCAAATGGTATTTCTAGTTCTAGATCCCTGAGGAATCACCACACTGACTTCCACAATGGTTGAACTAGTTTACATTCCCACCAACAGTGTAAAAGTGTTCCTATTTCTCCACATCCTCTCCAGCGCCTGTTGTTTCTTGACTTTTTAATGATTGCCATTCTAACTGGTGTGAGATGGTATCTCATTGTGGTTTTGATTTGCATTTCTCTGATGGCCAGTGATGATGAGCATTTTTTCATGTGTCTTTTGGCTGCATAAATGTCTTCTTTTGAGAAGTGTCTTTTCATATCCTTTGCCCACTTTTTGATGGGGCTGTTTGTTTTTTTCTTGTAAATTTGTTTGAGTTCATTGTAGATTCTGGATATTGGCCCTTTGTCAGATGAGTAGGTTGGGAAAATTTTCTCCCGTTTTGTAGGTTGCCTGTTCACCCTGATGGTAGTTTCTTTTGCTGTGCAGAAGCTCTTTAGTTTAATTAGATCTCATTTGTCAATTTTAGCTTTTGTTGCCATTGCTTTTGGTGTTTTAGACATGAAGTCCTTGCCCCTGCTTATGTCCTGAATGGTAATGCCTAGGTTTTCTTCTAGGGTTTTTATGGTTTTAGGTCTAACGTTTAAGTCTTTAATCCATCTTGAATTAATTTTTGTATAAGGTGTAAGGAAGGGATCCAGTTTCAGCTTTCTACACATGGCTAGCCAGTTTTCCCAGCACCATTTATTAAATAGGGAATCCTTTCCCCATTGCTTGTTTTTCTCAGGTTTGTCAAAGATCAGATAGTTGTAGATATGCGGCGTTATTTCTGAGGGCTCTGTTCTGTTCCATTGATCTATATCTCTGTTTTGGTACCAGTACCATGCTGTTTTGGTTACTGTGGCCTTGTAGTATAGTTTGAAGTCAGGTAGTGTGATGCCTCCAGCTTTGTTCTTTTGGCTTAGGATTGACTTGGCGATGCGGGCTCTTTTTTGGTTCCGTATGAACTTTAAAGTAGTTTTTTCCAATTCTGTGAAGAAAGTCATTGGTAGCTTGATGGGGATGGCATTGAATCTATAAATTACCTTGGGCAGTATGGCCATTTTCACGATATTGATTCTTCCTACCCATGAGCATGGAATGTTCTGAGCCAAATCATGAGTGAATTCCCATTCACAATTGCTTCAAAGAGAATAAAATACTTAGGAATCCAACTTACAAGGGACGTGAAGGACCTCTTCAAGGAGAACTACAAAGCACTGCTCAATGAAATAAAAGAGGATACAAGCAAATGCTTATTTTTAACTCCTCATGGTCTAATGAAAGTTGAGAGTGGAAGTAAAGTAGGTTGGGTGGGTGAAGAAATCTTCTCCACACAATCATTCAGGCACCTAGGCTTCATCCAGGACCTCTGCCACCATCTTGGACCTTGAAGACCTCTAGAGGATCCTATGCATTCAGTCAAAAGATCAGGAAATAGTGGGACCAGGACAGTGAGAATATAGAAAGTTGTATATGTCCATGAACGAGGCCTGGAAGTAGTGCATATCACTTCTGCCCATATCCTGTGGTCCAGGAAATCATTCGGTTCCACTTAATTTCAGTAGGCTGAGAATGCAGTCAAGCATGGTGCCAAAGAGGTAATGATGATTGACATTGGTGAACAGCAATAGTAGTAGCCTCCACCAGCCAGTTCCTTTTCATTTTCTTTAGTTTACAATACAAGGATATGACAACTGGCAAAAATATTGCTATTTGCCACCATAAACTCTATCTAGGATACTCCATGTCTTATAAATTCTATAGTCAGCTGCCCATGCATATAGAGATTGTCATCCTGTTATTCACTCCATTAGTTTCTATGACGGCTTCTGCAGGAGTTCATGATTTAATGCAAAAGTTTTGTTCTAGTATTAGAGAATGATAAATGTGGCTACTGTCTCAGTATTTATCTTTCATTTGATTCTCCATGCTCTGAGGCTTGGAGAGCAGAGAGAACATAACTGTATAGCACAATTGGAATTTGTTTTCAACAGTATTTTGTATTAACTGAGATCTTTAAGTGAATGCAACCTTAATTCATTATTTTTCTTTTTATATGCATTACAGGAATGGGGCCTCTCAATACTTCTAGGACTGTGTATTGCTCTGTTTTCCAGTTCCATGAGAAATGTCCAGTTTCCTGGAATGGCTCCTCAGAATCTGGGAAGGGTAGATAAATTTAATAGCTCTTCTTTAATGGTTGTGTATACACCAATATCTAATTTAACCCAGCAGATAATGAATAAAACAGCACTTGCTCCTCTTTTGAAAGGTAGGTGTACTCATGGCAAAAAAAGAGTTACTGATAGATGTCTATATACTGTTGATAAGTTGTCTACACATTAATTTGAAGTTAAAGTCATATATTATGCTAATAACTTAAGTACTAAAATAGCATACAAATCTGGTTAGATTATTGCTTTCTCTCACAACAACTAGCCTTTGAAATATTTTCAGCTTGTTGGGAGTCCAGTTTAGGGAGGTCCATATTTCTACTGGAATATAACTAAACCCAGATTTATACTTTTAGATTTGCAGGATAGTATCTAGAAGGAATATAGTAATTGAAAATTGTGTGTGTTTTTAACATGGCATACAATGATTAAGATTTGTATCTCAGGAAAAAAACATCTAAATAAATAAAATAGGTCATGGTTATTGAACAATAATTTCATAACTTTGAAAAGCAGAAATGAATAATCTGATGATTATTCTGTTCTGAATATAGTACAATCAGTAAACATCTTTAAAAGTCTTTATTCTAAATGAGATCATTATGATGTAACCAAAATAAGCAAAATGCATATTTCATTCATGGGCAAATTGGGTGCAATTTGGCTATTTACTCTTTAATCCTCCATTCCTGACAAGTGAAATTCCTGGCTATTGAAAATAGAGTCACTTTTAAAAAATCTTGTTTTCTGCAGAAGGCAAAGGTCATATAAATTGTCTTTGCTTCAGTAAATCTGAAATAAGGAATCCCTGACTGTATAGTAACTACAACAATTAATTCTGTTTTTGTACTCTCATTCTCTTATGCATACTTAATTTGGCACAATTTTTTCTTTATGTACCTAAAACTTGCCCTGATACTTGTCATTATGAAAATAAAACATGTAATTCTTATGCATGTCTTCTGACTGTAGAATCTAAACCATTAAATTTCCCCCCTTGCATTTGGGTTAAAATTGATTTAAATGGAAAATGATTTTAATTTAAGTCTAATGAAATTATATGGGGAAACAGTTGAATATCACATTATGTTGTGGCAAAACTCTTACAATTTTCTATGTCTATTTTTACCTTGTAATTCACAGGAACAAGTGTCATTGGGGCACCAAATAAAACACACATGGACGAAATACTTCTGGAAAATTTACCATATGCTATGGGAATCATCTTTAATGAAACTTTCTCTTATAAGTTAATATTTTTCCAGGGATATAACAGTCCACTTTGGAAAGAAGATTTCTCAGGTGACTTTCCATATCAAATATCATTATGGAATTTTTCATGTTTTCAACATAAAGAACAGAGGAGGTTGGGCAACAGAGATGCTTTCAATGACACATGAGAAAACAGGGAAAGCCCATTTCATTGCTGAACTTATTTCAAGGTCAATCGTATGTTCCTACTACAGGATGACTGCAAAAATTGTAGAGTCATCCAACATATATGTGTTGAGCATGCAGATGCATGTGTCAAAGGACACATGAGTAACCAAGACTGACAGGCCCCAGCCTCAGGTGAGATTCCAGGTTAGCAGCAAAGACAGACATTGAACAATTAATGACAAGTACAAGAAAAAGTGTTTCATGGGCACTTAGACCAGGGGTTCCTAATAGTGGGATTAGAGAAGTCCTACCTGGGGAAATGATGTTTAAAGGGAGACCAGAATGAATAGCAGGTGTGAGGTGCTAGAAGCATTGTGTTTCAGATAGAAGAAAGGTAATTGTGAAGACCCTGAGGTGAGAAAGGACATCTGTTCCTAGATCTGGAAGAAGAGCAGTATAGCTGAACAAGGAACATGAAAAGGAATGTAATGGGAGAGTGAAGCTGAAGTCACTCAAGTGCTACCTCCTGTGGCATCTTGTAAACCTAGGCAAGGAATAGCCACTGAGTCACTTTAATCACGGCAAAAGTGTAATTCGGTTTCCAAAATTAGGGGAACACTCCAGATATAGCCCGGGGAATAGATTGCCAAGAGGCTATGGAGAATGTCAAGAAACAAGGAGTCCATTATGGCTGGAGCAGAGTGTTTGCTTTCATCTCCTTTTTATTTTCTAAGACTTTCTAAGCATGCTGTGGTCTGCAAGAATAAAATTGCTTTATTAAAAACTTTCATTTATTTGCTTCCTTTTTCTATGTAGTTAAAAGTCTACTGGTGGGCCAGCCATGGTGGCTCACACCTGTAATCCCAGCACTTTGAGAGGCCGAGGTGCACGGATCACCTGAGGTCAGGAGTTCGAGACCAGCCTGGCCAACATGGTGAAAGCCTGTCTCTACTAAAAATACAAAAATTAGCTAGACAACGTGGCCTGTGCCTATAATCCCAGCTTTGGGAGGCTGAGGTAGGAGAATCACTTGAACCCAGGAGGTGGAGGTTGCAGTGAGCTGAGATCGCACCACTGCACTCCAGCCTGGGCAACAGAGTGAGACTTCATCTCCAAAAAAAAAAAGACAACCACAACAAAAACGAAACACCACCACCAAAAAAGTTTACTGGTAGAGTCTCCTCTAGATTGTTTTCTTTTCAATACTTGTTTCATATTCTCCAACTGCCCTCGTCCCATAATGTTGGCTGTGCTTTTCTTTGTGCTTACAGCTCATTGCTGGGATGGATATGGTGAGTTTTCATGTACATTGACCAAATACTGGAATAGAGGATTTGTGGCTTTACAAACAGCTATTAATACTGCCATTATAGAAGTAAGTGCTTGATTGAAAAGTTCTACTAATTAATGTCAGCTACTTCCAGAGACCTCAAGATTTTTGATGAAAGATAATTGTCTTAGTCCGTTTGTACTGCTACAACAAAATACTTGAGATTGGGTAATTTGTAAAGGACAGAAATTTATTTCTGGAGGCTGAGAAGTGCAAGATCAAGGTGTTGGCAGGCTCAAAGACTGGTAAAGGTCCATTCCTCATAGATAGCACCGTCTAAGTGTCCTCACGTGATGAAAGAATGGAGAGCAAAAACTGCCTCAGCTAGTTCCCTCTAGCCTTTTACAAGGCACTAATCCATTCATGAGGGCTCCACCCTCATGACCCAACCACTACCCCAAAGGCTCTCCCTCCTAATACCATCACAATGGGAATTAAGTTGCAACAAGAATTTAGGAGGGGCCACTTTCAAACCGTAGCAATGATATATAATCAGATTTTCCTGTGGTTATATAATGAAGCAGATATTCAGACCAAGGAACACATTGCATATCTATTTTAAAACTTTAAAACCAATTTTATTGGTTGTAAAACTAATTTTGAAGTGGTTGTAAAGACACAGGAGGCTGCAAATGTAATGTACAGAGAAGTCCATGTACCCTTCATCCAGTTGCCTTTACTGGGAACATCTTGCATAACTACAGTACAGTAAGAAAAATTGGAGAACCGACATAAGTAAAATACACAGAGCTTACTCATAGTTCACCAGTTTCTATCTTTTAAATAATAATTATGTTTGTTTAAACTCTACTTTAGATCACAACCAATCACCCTGTGATGGAGGAGTTGATGTCAGTTACTGCTATAACTATGAAGACATTACCTTTCATAACTAAAAATCTTCTTCACAATGAGATGTTTATTTTATTCTTCTTGCTTCATTTCTCCCCACTTGTATATTTTATATCACTCAATGTAACAAAAGAGAGAAAAAAGTCTAAGAATTTGATGAAAATGATGGGTCTCCAAGATTCAGCATTCTGGTGAGTGACTAATTCAAGTAGTGCAAATTAATAAACAGGAAAATTAAGAAGCAGTGAAAAAGTGTTATTGTTTCAGAGCATCATGGTTTAAACTTGATGCATTGGCTACTTTTTCTTTTGTTCTGAGTTTTTTACTTAGTCTGTTAAATTTTGCCATGCAAAATAGTGCTTATAATGTGCTGAGCACTTTTTCTGTGCCGTGAATGTCTTAAGCCAACACTGATACAGGGGGACTGTCATTCATTTTATAAGCAAGGAAAATGAAGTTCAAAGAGAATAAGAGAATTGCCCAATGTGAGATGGAGGGTGAGTGCCGGAGCTGAGACTCTAACCCAGGTGCCCTGACTGCAGCTTGTTTTCTCGCCTGGTCTTCTTACAGTTAACAGTTGATTTCTCCAGACTTTCTCATGTTGAAGAGAGTATAATCCTGTAAAAGTTGACTTGTGTTCAGGGGTTTGGCCACAAGGCATAGATTTTTTGGAGCAAGTAAATACTATATGTTGGAATAAAATGAGAGAGCCCACATAATATTCCTAGGACATACAACACAAAGGCTGGCATGTAAGAAGACCTTAGCAAGGGCATTTGCTATATATATTGATATTTATATCTTGCCCCCCACTCCACATTCAATTTAAAGTGATTTTGAAATCATGAGTGCGTGTACACATACATATGTGCTATGTATACATATTTACATACATTACATATGTATGCATACATGAGCATGTGTACACATACATACACACATATATGTACACACACACTCATGTATGTATATATGTATGTAGGTAGATAGATATGTATTTGTGTCATAATAAAGACAAATAATTAGGAGTAGAAATAAAGACCTAGCAAATAGGCCAGGCACACTGGCTCACACCTGTAATCTTAGCACTTTGGAAGGCCCAGGCGGGTGGATCACCTGAGGTCGGGAGTTCGAGACCAGCATGACCAACATGGTGAAACCCCATCTCTACTACAAATACAAAAATTAGCCAGGTGTGGTGGCGCGTGCCTGTAATCCCAGCTACCTGGGAGCTGAAGCAGGAGAATTGCTGGAACCTGGGAGGCAGAGGCTGCAGCGAACTGAGATCGTGCTACTGCACTCCAGCCTGGGCGACAGAGTGAGACTCCATAAAAACAAACAAACATACAAACAAAACCAAACAAACAAAAACAAAAACAAAACACCTAGCAAATAATCAGTAAGTAAGATTAGCAGATAGGAATGCAAATCATACAAGCTCCAAGCTTCCAAAAGGCTTTTGCAATACTATCAATGACAAAATCCATACTGTCTGTCTAGAAAAAGTAAAAAAGGAAAAATAATACCCCAAAAGAAATATAACATTTGTTATATTAAATCCTGGGAGATGTTTTTCTATCTATGCCCCATATCAAGCAAATACTCTTTATGGTTTTGGAACTACCTGGAATGGATGAGAAATTATGTATTGAACAATTCCTTGGGAGCCACGTGTTACCTGAAATAAAACTATGGTACAGTAAATTTTTAATTTTCTATAAAATATATTTTATTAATGGAGAGAATCTTAATTCTAATATACATAAATTGTAAGATAGAAAAAGAGGAACCTGTGTCTTCAAATAAAAAAGAGAGAAGAAGTTTTTGCAGTGGAACTTTGGGAAATACAAAAGAATGGACTTAGAGCCTCCCATGGAGTCTGTTAGGAGGGAACCCCTGTAAAAGGGGCCTTCTTTCTGTCCAGGGCATGTCCTATGGGACAGTGTCCCTGCAGTCACCTGAGACCAGGGAGGCATGAGTCAACTCTATATTAAAGTCAGAAAGGTATGGAACATTTGGGTGTGAATTCATTCTCAGGATAAGTGATTCTTAGTATGTATGTGACCTAAAAACTTAGCAAAATAAATTCATATATACGTCCTTAAAACTAAGAAGAAAAAAGATTCTGAAATGTTTCTACTAAGTGCAGGCTATCTAGTGGAAATAAACTTTATGACAATTTTTTTACCAATGTAATAAATGTGAAATTTAATCAGTATTTATTCTTTAAGTATAGTGTCTGAATTGCTTTGTTTTTTAGCAAGATAGTTTTTATACACTTATTAACATCTGACTTTCCACTCCACCCCTGCAAGTGGTTCCTTTTTCTAAGTAGTGGCAATTTCTAGGTAATTTCTTTCATTTGTAATTTTCATATCCTGTGTTTTTTCAATTCCTACCTAAAGTAGTTCCCTTCTGAATTCAGGAAGTAGGTTCTACAGAATGTGATATGTTTTTTAAAAGTGCTGATGTTTCTAACACAGGCTTAATTATTGTAATGGCATGAAATTTAAAAAGAAGTCAAATAACCAGTAAATCTGGTGTGAACATGTTCTACTGGGACATATTGATGCAAAGTCCTGGTTTTAATACTTGTGCTATATGCTTCAGCTATTGAATTCTCATTTAATTAGTCAGTGTTAAGTAGATGAACTTATCTCTGGACAGAGATAAGGCCTGCAACTTCATGAACTTTGTTACCGATTTATTCTGTGACCGTGGATAAACCCCTTAACAAATAATAGGGATTGCAGTTTCCTTATTTGTAAAATGAGACACGTGGGCTAAAACACTCTATAGTCTTGTTAGATCTAAGATTGAATACTCTTTCTTAATAACCACTTCATAAAAATATCAACACTAGCACCTCTAAAGCAAAATCGTGCAAATATTTAAGGGTGCAGCATACTTTATACAAATGTAAGTGAAGAAATCATGAATAGGATTAGAGAGAATAGAATGGGCTTAGTAGAGTTGTGAAATTTCAATTTTCTACTACGAAAGAGACTGGAGGTGCTGCCTGCTGAGATCCCCATGGATAGTCAAATTATCAACTGCCCCAGTGTTTATAGAGTTACTTGATTGATCAGAGGCTTTTAAGTTGCTTCCAATTCTACAATTAGGACGGTATGGCAATATCTAACAAAGCTGAAGTTACAAAATGCTTAGAAACACTCTTGTACATTTTTCTCAAAAAAGACAAGTACGAGAATGTTCTTGGCATTGTAATAGAAAAAAATGGAAAACAACCTAAATTTCCATGGGCAGCAGAATTTTGGGTCATATTCTCATAATGAAATATTATACAGCAGTGTATAATATTGTTGATTGATAAAGACATCTTGCAGAATAATACATACATATGATATTATTGATACTGTTTAATACAATAGTCATACTATTTACACAATACATGCACACAGAGCTGTTGCCTAACACGTAGGTACCAACGAGGCACAATGGCCCAGCTGTGCTTACAGTCACTTAATTAATTTTGGCATCCTTTTTTTTTTTTTGAGATGGAGTCTCGCTCTGTCACCCAGACTGGAGCGCAGTGGCATGATCACAGCTCACTGAAACCTCTGCCTTCTAGGTTCAAGCGATTTTTCTGCCTCAGCCTCCCGAGTAGCTGGGACTACAGGCATGCACCACCATGCCTGGCTAATTTTTTTGCATTTTTAGTAGAGACGGGTTTCACCATGTTGGTCGGGCTGGTCTGGAACTCTTGACCTCAAATGATCTGCCCACCTCAGCCTCCCAAAGTGCTGAAATTACAGGCATGAGCCACCGTGCCTGGCCTTGGCATCCTTTCTATTGGTTGGTGCCTATACCAGTGTTCAGCATCTATCATCTCTGTATGCATATATGGTAAAGGTAACGAAGATGAATGGCAATTATAAAGAAGGAGAATTGCGATTGAAAAAGGATATGCAATGAGCTTCTGCTGTAGGATTAACAGTATAGTTATTAATCTAGAAGGTACAAGGGTAGTCATTACATTGTTCTTTAGATGCTTTTGTATATATTAAATATTTTGTAAATAAGTTAACATAATTTATATAACTTTTTGTCTTTATTTAGGCTCTCCTGGGGTCTAATCTATGCTGGCTTCATCTTTATTATTTCCATATTCGTTACAATTATCATAACATTCACCCAAATTATAGTCATGACTGGCTTCATGGTCATATTTATACTCTTTTTTTTATATGGCTTATCTTTGGTAAGTTGATACATTTATTACCACTTTCTCTGCTTTAGATCTTAGCTATATGTAGCTAATATTAATGCCCTAGTAGGTTACTGCAATCACTACTTTCATGTCCATTGTGTGTGTGCATGTGTGTGTCCTTGTGTGTACTTGAAATAGTTTCTATGGAGTGAAAAAGTTATGTAATCCAAATAAAATTTGACTTGCCTTTTGCATAAAGGTCTGAACTAATGAAATGATGTATCAAAAAGAAAAAACAATGCTGACTCTAAAATATCAAAGTCTTTTCTGTATAATTATTGAGGTTATTTTTGAGGGGTGGACCCAATTTTTTTTCCCTTAAGGGTGCTCATCACATGGTAGCTGATCACAATATCTCTTCTCCCTCTAATATTCTGTCTCATACTTACTTCTCGTTTCACTCCGCTCTGCCTTCTCTGAACAAGAACCTCTAATTTCCATCTTCCAGGTTGTTTTCTGCAGAAAGTATGTAGATGCTCCTTCTTACATTAATTTAGCTTCATTACATTAATTTAGACCCAAGTCTGCATTTCTACCCTATCCTCAGCTCTCATTCCAGCTTTTCCCCCACCCTTTCCTAGCAACAAAAGCCTGGCATTTGAGTAGGACAAACAAGGATCCTTTTTCAAGAGAAGTTGAGGAAAGAACAGACTCATTATACCTTAATATTTTCACCACTTTCTCACTGATAAATATTTATGTTATGATATAAAAATCCTTATTTGATTGGGCTGCCAATGATTCTCAGTGAGCTAAATATTTTTTATAACAGCTGAATGTCTTCTCTCTCTTGCAGGTAGCTTTGGTGTTCCTGATGAGTGTGCTGTTAAAGAAAGCTGTCCTCACCAATTTGGTTGTGTTTCTCCTTACCCTCTTTTGGGGATGTCTGGGATTCACTGTATTTTATGAACAACTTCCTTCATCTCTGGAGTGGATTTTGAATATTTGTAGCCCTTTTGCCTTTACTACTGGAATGATTCAGGTAAGAGCCTAGTTAATTGGTTTATTACTGAAATTTCAAAAGAAGTAGATACTTCATACGCTGTAGGATCAGCACTACTCAAACTAAGAGCTTTTATTCTAAACAATTTTTCTAAAGTTAAGCTTTAAAATGTTATTATTACATTGTAAAAAAAAAAGTCACCTCACAAAGAAACTTAAATTTAAAAAAATCCTTCAGATTTTACCGCTCAGATATATTTTCATTTTGAAGTATTTTCTTCTAGGTTTTTTTCCTATATACAAATATTTACTTTTATTACTATTCATTTAACATAATGAAAATATCTGCTAGTTTATTAAAATTGTTATATATGAACCCACTTTTATTGTATAAACTATGAATATGAAAAACTTTCCAAACACAAGTATAGTTTAACAGATAATTATAAAGTAAATTAAAGTATCTATGAACTAGATCAAGGAATAGGATGTTGCCACCAGTCACAAACCCCTCAGAACACTCCTCCTTCGTAAAGGTAAAAATTTTATGATATTCACTTATTTGCTTTTCATTACCACTTAAGTATGTGTTCCTAAAGAAAATTTTTGGTTTTGCATGTTTTAAACTTCATAGGAGTGATGTTGCACAAAGTGTATTTTTGAAAATCTCTTTTTTCATTCAACATGACGTTTTTAGGTGGCAGCATAGTTTCTGTGTAGCTATAGTGTAGAGTTATGTAGCATCCTATTGTGTTAACATACTATCAATTTTCTTATCAATAGATTATGATAATTTTTAGTTTTTGAGCATTTTTAATAAAGCTGCTACAAACATTCTAGTACACATTTCCTACTGAATATGGACATTTCATTCTGTTCATTACGTTAATATAACAAACAGAATAGTGGGGCTGAGAGTATACAAATATTAATCTTAGTAGCTACCACCAAATATTTTCCCAAAGTGGTTGCATCAATTTAGTTTTACATCAACAGTGTTTCAGAATTCCAGTTTTTCTAACACTTCACCAGGATTTAGTATTGTCAATCTTTCAAATTTTAGTTATTCTGATGGTTATGCAATGATATATCATTGTAGTGTTAATTTGCATTTCCCCGATTATTGATGACGTTTAATGCCTTTGTATATGCTTAGTGGATTACGAATTTTCTTTTTTATAAATTACCTATCCAGTTCTTTGGCCCATTTTTCCTCTGAGTTTTCTATCTTCTCCCAATTGCTTTATGATAATTCCTTATACATGTTGAACATCCGACATTTTTCCATTATTTGTTGCTGGCTTTTTTCCTCTCTTAATGGTAACTGTGATGAACAGAGATACATAATTTTGATAAGGTCCAATTTTTCAAGTTTCTCTTTTATGTAGAATGCTTTTTGTAAAAATCAATGTAAGGAATCATTGCCTACACCAAGTTTACAAAGATATTTTCTGGCTGTTTTTCTAGAATATTGACTGGTTCAGCTTTTACATTAAGATAAAAATCCACTTCAGTGTAACTTTTGTGTGTGTATAGGTAGAGGCAATATTAATTTTGCTACACAAATATCCAATTTCTCCAGCTCAATTTATCAACTAGACTATCCTTTCCTTGAATGAATTGCAATCTTTCTTTTATCGTAACTCAGCCAATCATGTATTGGCCAAAATGCCTATCCTTGCACTGTGGCCTCATTGTCTTAATTGTTTTGCTTTATCATATGTCTTGATATCTGGCAGTAACAGTTTTACCTCTTTAATCTCTTTTTCAATAGAGTCTTGTCTATTCTAATTTCTTTGCAATTATGTAAATTTTAGAATTAGCTTATCAAGTTACATAATCACACACTTATGTGCCTGTGCAAAGCCATTAAGAGTGTGATGCAGTTGAATTATTCGATCAGTTCGAAGAAAATAGTCATCTTTTTTTCAGCCATGAACATAATATATCTTTGCATTCATTTCAGTGATCTTTGATTTTCTTTAATAATTATCTTTTTTTATTTTTATTTTATTTTGAGACAGGGTCTTGCCCTGTCACACAGGCTGGAGTATACAAACACAGCTCACTGCAGCCTCAACCTCCTGGGCTTAAGTGATCTTCCCGCCTCGGCCTCGCAAGTAACTAGGACTATAGACATACACCACCACACCTGGCTAATTTTTAATTGTTGTAGAGAGTTGGTCTCACCATGTCACTCAAGCTAATCTCAACCTCCTGGGCTCAAAAAAGCGATCCTCCCAACTCAGCCTATCAAAGTGCTGGGATTACAGGTGTGATCCATGCACTTGGCCTGTTTTAGTTTTCACTGTAGAGGTCTTACACATTTTTATTTGATTCATTCTGATGCTTTTGATATTTTTCATGCTGTTATAAATAGCATCTATGTTTAAATTCTTATTTTTAAACATTTGTTGTTAATGTAGAGAGATGCAACTGATTTCTGTACATTGGCGTTCTATCCAGCATTCTTGCTATATTCTCTTACTAAACCCAATATTTTTCTGGGTTTTATACATATATAATCATGTTGTCTTCAAATAATGATGGCTTATATTTTTCCCATCGCAATCCTTATGCTTTTTATTTCTTTTTCCTACTTTCCTGCACAGGTCCGGACCTCTAGTACAATAATGAATAGAAATGCAGGCAAAATAAAAGCTTTCTACATTGTGCCATTAAGTATGATGCTTATTGTTGGTCTCAGTGCATGTAATTCACCAGATTAAGGAAGATTCATCTTAGTTTATGAAGATATTTTCTTTACTATGAATAGATATTACATTTTACCAAATGGTTTTTCTGTGTCTATTATATTGATCACATTATTTTCCTATTTAATGTTTGATGTTGAATTACATTGATTGATTTTCAAATGTTGACTCAATTTTGGATTCCTAGAATAAATTCAACTTTATCATGAAAATGTTAACATTTTAACATAGACTGAGAAGCTGTAGAGTGTGCAGGGTAAGGAACTGGCCCTAAGAGTAAGACTTTCTTTGTTCTAATTTCACTTCGCCACTTTTGGCTACTCAACTTCGCTGTGCCTTAGTTTTATCATATGTAAAGTGCAGATTAAAATCTTATTATTTTTATAAGCCTTATTGCTTATCTGATAGGGTTTTAAGGAAGATTAAATGGGATAATATACAAAACACTTAGGACAGTGCCTAGAACATAGTCGCTGTTATTATGTGGCAAAATTCTAAATACAAACTTTTATTTGAAATAATAACTAGAAAAGGAGGTAAGTTCTCTTTTTATCTAATTAAAGGCGTCCAAGAATTTCTTATATTCTTTCCAAAATTTATATCTCCTTTGTTGCCCAGAATAGATATTTGTAATACTGCAATGATTTTCTGAAAACAAACAAATGAATTATAATTTAAATTATTATACTTAGAACATTGTATTTATTAAATAAATATTTCTTTCTAATTATTTTTCATTGTAAAATAGAAATATTTTGACCAATACCTTTATTTACTTATTTATATATTTGACTAGTAACTACTAAGTGCCTCTTGAAAAAGCTAGTTAATAAATTAATACTTTTTCCTGCTATGCCAAGCTATTTATTTATTTATTTTAAACATTTATTTTTATTTTTTGAATCTTAGATTATCAAACTGGATTATAACTTGAATGGTGTAATTTTTCCTGACCCTTCAGGAGACTCATATACAATGATAGCAACTTTTTCTATGTTGCTTTTGGATGGTCTCATCTACTTGCTATTGGCATTATACTTTGACAAAATTTTACCCTGTAAGTAATAGTGAGTTTTTCTCTGTCCTCTACAGTTATTAATTACATTGAATATATTTTTTAAGATTATATAGACTTTTAAAATGAATATTAAATATTTCCCATTTCAAACTAATAAGTTCATTATTTCTACTTCATAGTTCTAATGGTCTAATGAAATTTTTATGTAAAAACAATTCTTCTTATGACTTTACTATAGCAATATATTATAATTATATGACAACAATAATTATAATACATCTTGTAATTGTGTGGTAATTAAATAATGTTAGGTTTTCATGGATCCCTGAAAGTGTTTTGAAAGGGTCATATTAGGATTTATGTCAAAACAAGATAAAAGAAATTAGTTCTTATGGTGGTTTGGCTCTCGGGAGGCCATTATACTGTGGAAGAGCTTTCTCATGAATATTTGTTCAGCATCATTCTCAAAATGTTTTATATATTGTTCATATTTACAGAAGTATATTGATCGCCCAGTTAAATTATCTTGCAAACAACCAAAAATGTCACGTAAGCCCAGAATTTTTTCACACATTCTAGAATCAGAAAGCTTTTTTTCTGGCACAATCTTCTTGTTTATCCTCTTATTTTATATGTTCCTTCCACTATTTAAGGTTGTCTTATAGGTTTTCTATGTATTTACTTGTATATATTCCTGTCTTTCTGTGACTTCTGGTTGATATGTGAAGGCCCTTAATAATAAATTCAACTTTGTTTTTTAAACTGGAAAAATATATTTAAAATATCACTATAAATTTATTCTAAACAAATACAGTTTCTCCATGTATTCATGCCTAAGCAGGAATATATAGATTTCAATATTATGTTCAATTATGTTGCTGTGGTCAAATTATTTAAGTTGACAAACATGTCTACAATTATTTTTATGCACTGTATTAAGGCTTTGTGTCTTCCCAAATATTTGGTTTCATTCATTCTCCTAAATACCTTTTAGATCACATTTTAAAAAAATTTAATAAATATGTTTATTGGGTGATACAAATCTGTTTTTCATGAGCCTATTAAGGATAATGCAACCCATTGTTAAGACTGGAAAAAAAGGACATATAATGGTTTCCTTGTTGGGTGTCCTTTTCTACAGATGTAGACAACAGAGGCTCTAAGATCTGTACTAATGTCTTGATCAGGGAAAAGCTGGAGTCCAACTCAGCTGGTCATACACCTAATATTTTATTCGAACCTCACTTTCCTATTGACTTTCTTTTTTTTGATCACATTCTATTTATACTTTGTTGAAAGCTGTATTATATTGTTTAATTTTGCAATATGTTATTTCCTTTGAATTCCCATTGTTTACTTCATCATCAAGTTTTCTTCTTAATAATAAATTGAGTTTTAGAAGAAAAAATGTCTCTATGATGCTTAAAACTTCAAGGCATTCTGCATTGTTGTTAGCAAGGCTTCTTTGCGCATTCTTTTACTATTACTGATCATATTTTGTTGCCTCTTGGTTAATTAGATGGAGATGAGCGCCATTATTCTCCTTTATTTTTCTTGAATTCATCATCTTGTTTCCAACACCAAAGGACTAATGCTAAGGTTATTGAGAAAGAAATCGATGCTGAGCATCCCTCTGATGATTATTTTGAACCAGTAGCTCCTGAATTCCAAGGAAAAGAAGCCATCAGGTAATCACACTTATAAGTAATACTAATGCATGAGCACAAGGCTGAAGAATTATTATTATTTTTAATTTTATTATTATTATACTTTAAGTTTTAGGGTACATGTGCACAACGTGCATGTTTGTTACATATGTATACATGTGCCATGTTGGTGTGCTGCACCCATTAACTCGTCATTTAGCATTAGGTGTATCTCCTAATGCTATCCCTCCCCCCTCCCCCTACCCCAGAACAGTCCCTGGTGTGTGATGTTCCCCTTCCTGTGTCCATGTGTTCTCATTGTTCAATTCCCACCTATGAGTGAGAACATAAGGCTAAAGAATTATTAACCGAGAGCATCAGGGTGAGCTTGAGGCAAAATATTGAAGGAGAAGATATTTGTTTTTGTCAATGTCACTTTGAACTGCTCCATTTCCATCACCACCAATTTCTTCTGTTACTTGAAAGGAAAATCCTCCTTGTTTATCAGCTCTGTATCATATTATCCAGCCACACTTCATCTTGTCCCCCTTTCTGCCTCTTTCTCTTGTGCCCACCTCTCTTTTATACTTGCTCCTTTCATTCTGTGAACCCCTCTCTCCATGGTTTCATCTGGTTTTATATGATAAGTTGGAAGAAGTAAGAAATTCTGAATCAGAAATTCTTAGATCCTAATACTCTCCTCTCTCATTTGATGTGTACTCTTGGAAAAATGAGTAAATTTTATGAGTCTCAGTGTCTTCTATGAAACAAGATTAATATTGACTTTGTAGGGTTGTTATGAGACTTGGTATATCACAGAATTGCATGAGGAGCATTTAGAATATCTGTTTTTAGCCAGGGATTCTAACTCAGCAGTTTTGGGATTGAACCCAAGTATCATGGATTTCAAAATAGCTTTGTAGATTTTTCTACAAAGTTTGGTACAAAGTTAATGGATCAGCGCTTTAAATAGCAATCGTTTATTTATTAACAGATGTTTACTTAGTGCTGACTATGTACCTGACTTGCACATAATTCGCACAAAAAGCTTACGAGGTAGGTATCTTTATTTTCCCCATTTTGAGAATACAAAAAGTGAAGCAATGAAAGCTTAAGCCTTTTACCCAATATCACACAACTCGCAAGTGGGGAACTGGAATTGTAATCCAGATAGTCTGGCTCTACAGTCTATGCTCTTAACATACTATTGAGATGTCAGGAGGCAAAGAAAAATGAATAAATAGAGAACCATATCTAGGAAGTGAAATATTTCCAAGACAAAGAGGCCTAACCCATATACCTAAGCTTCCTCCATCTAGTTCTTAACCAATTTTCCGTTTAAGTTTTCTGAGAGGGGCAACAGCGCTTCCTCTGCTCTAGCTAGGAGTATACCAGCTCCATAGAAAATTTCTATCCAAACAAGAAAGGCCAAGTGAGGAATAATTCCATAAAACTCAGTTCCAGTGTCATCAATCCTTCTTTACCAGTTGAGGGCACAAAATAATATTGTATTATATTATTATTCAAATTATAAAAATTTTCAGATCCAATCTTCTAACAAAATCTTTTACTTACAAAGACCTCAAAATTTTCTTTGTTCTTCTACTGCTGCCTAGTGACCTAGGAAAGAAAGTAAAATGTGCTCCACCCCCACCTTCCCCCAACTTCTCCCTTCTTCTCCCACATCCCCACTGTGCCTCCAAACCTAGCCAATGTATACAGTGTTGACTGGGTACACCTGTCACTTGGTCTGGATTCTTAGCTCAGGTGGAGACCTGAGGCTACTGACAAACCAGGGAAAGAAAGTCATTTGATGCAAGGACTATTCACTAAAGCTTTTGGCTCCATTGTGGGGCACCTCACCCCAGATCCACACCAAAGCAAGAAAGTAGGCTTAGGCGGTCAATGTTGTAGCTCTTTAATGGCAAGGTGGTACACACTCACTGAGTGTTAAAGCAGGTCTGGGGCTGCAAGGCAGTCTAAAACTGCCTTTTGACCATCCAACAGTATATGCAGTTTCTAATCCACAAGTTTTATCTCTTCTTTCTTCACAGTGATCATTTCTTAGTGGCATCATTACTCTTCCCCACCTGTAGACAATGTCAAATCTTTTTCAATCAATTCCAACGTGTGAATTCTATTTTGTATGAATATAAAAGGCACTAAGCCATTGATTTTTTTCTTCCTATGTGGTCTCTGCTTTATATAAAAATTGACTCTTCCTCTTTATATAGAAATGCTTTATATACAAAGGAACTCTTCCCCTAAGATACATAGAGCTTACAGGGTATGTAATCTTTAAGCTCTATGTATCAGGGGTATGGATGAAAGTTTGTAGAATTCTAACCAGAATCATGATTCTGGGTTTGTAAAAATATACATTTTTTATTCACAACTGGCTCTTCCTCATTCATAACTCCCAAGTCACATTTTCTCTGGGGGCAATTGTGTACACATATGTGCATTCCTGTAACTATAGACCATTCAGGCAATATTCCCAGAACACAGGTAGAATGTCTGCCTCAAATGTAAATGACTGATTTCATGTCTAAAATCCAGAAACAACAGCTCCTCCTAAATGGAATTTTCTTTATTAAAACAAAACATTAAAGTTTCACTTCAACAGGGATTCCATTTTACAAAGAAATGCTGAAATAAAATACCTGGTGAGACTCATCATCTTTTAACTTTGCTTCATTCATTCATTCAACAAACATATTGTTGCTGGGTTCTTTACTAATCTTTAGGGCAGCAAATATGAACAATAAACTGTCTTTCAAGGAGCACACAACACAGGGAACAAAATAAATAGGTACATGAAATTCAATCTGATAAATGTAGGGATAGAGATATTAACTACTGTTATTTAGTCAATAGAAGTGTTAACTACCCTAGTTTAGGGAAATCGAAGAGAACGTCTATTTTTGTTTTAAAAAGTTAAAAATTACTGAAGAAATTTAGGCTTTTAAAGCTGACATATTCACCATCCGGGTTGAGCAGATATAAACATTATTGTCATATTTGCTTTGTATTTTTAATGGATATATTATATGTTTATTTAAAGTCCCTTTTGATCTCTTTAAAATATTTTCTCCATCCTTCGTCAGAATTTACCTTTATAATGGATTTGGTGTTATCACTTTCCATTCATATATTTACATATTGCACCATACACTTATAGCCCTAATCAATATGTGATATAGATATATGTGATATAGCTCTGTGTGTTTTTGATATAATCTATAAATGGTATCAGACTGTACTTAAGTTTCTACATATTGCTTCTACACTCAGCATTTTGCTTTTTGGGGTGTATTCATAGTGATAACTATGGGCTAATGCATTGATTTTAATTTTTATATAAAAGTATTCTAAGATATGAATCTACCACTTTTATTTATCTTTTCTGACATTGAAAAATATTCTAGTTGTTTCTAATTTTTTGGTCTGACAAATGATGTTGCAATGAACATTCTAAGAATAAGACAGATAAAAAGGTGTGTTTGTGCATATGTACATATGTGTGTGTGAGTGCATGTATATATGTATATGTGTATGACACACCCAGCAGAAAAGACAAAAAGCACTAAGCTTTGTGCAGGATATAAATGGTGGTTTGGTGATCCTGACACATAAAACATGAGGCCGAGGATGCCAAAAGATGTCACTGGACAGACCATGAGTGGCTGCTTCATGTGGTACAAAGTAGCCTTGACTTTCCCTCTGAGGCTGATGAGGAACGTTGAGGAGTAAATAAAATGGATTTTAAAATAAATCACCCTGTTTCCTGTGTGAAGCATGGATTCTAGGGGAATAAACTGAAAGTAGGGAAAGGAACTAGAGGCAGTGAACAAGAGAAGAATAGTTGAAGACTTAAAAGGGACCCAAGACTTGAACTATTTTAGAGTTAAATTTTACAAAAATGATACCAGGTTGGATGGGTGATGAATCTGAGTGAGAATCAGGAAGAGAGTAGTTGAATGTCCATGCTGCCAAATAAGATCCTGCGTGATGGGGAAATGGGTTTAGGTGACAATGCAGTGAAGTCTGTTCTGCATATGCAGTTTTAGAGCAGTTAATTCTCAAACCTGGCTTCACATTAGACTCATTTGGAAGAACATTTAAAATATCCCAATCCTCAGCCTTCACTGCCAAGAAAAACTCATCACCCCAGATCAATTAATGTGAATCTTTTTTCTGTGAACTCTGCAGAGAAGTAATTAATGTGAATATAATATGAATCTCAGATGTTGTTTGCAGGCATCAGTTCCCTTTGGAATTCTAATGTGTATTCACAATTAACAACCACTGATTAAGAGCTGTGTGTCTGTGTGTGTGTGTGTGTGAGAGAGACAGAGAGAGAGACTATCTATGCAGCAAACCATTAGATGTGTGAATCTAAAGATCAATGAAAAGGGTGGGGTCAGCATTAGGTTGATGCTAAAACAAAAAATCCAACGAGAAAACTTCTGGAGAGAGTCTCAAATGAGAAGATCCATCATATACATGGAGAACCCTGTGGAATATCAAGCTGATGTGTCTGATGAAGGAAGAGGACTTTATTAGGAAACAGAGAAGGAACATTTAGAAAAATAAGAAGCAAAGCAATTAAGTCACCATTAACAAAGAGAAAGTCATCAACAGTGACTCATAATCCACTGTAAGAATGGAAAAGTATTTGTTGTATTTTATAATTAGGAGGTCACTAATGATTTCATTATGAAGTGGTTCACTGGAGTGGTGAGTTCAGAAATCAGAGTGCAATTGAAGAGGAATTAAAGGTCAGGAAGTGAAAATGGCAAGTTTACAATGGCAAGTTTATTTTGAGAATTTTGTACAATACAGGGAGGAGAGAAATTAAATTGTGTCCAAAGTAGAGGTGAGTTCAAAGAGGAACTATTAGAGAGAACACTATAAAAGATGCAGGTGACAGAGTGTCTGACTCATAAACTAATAAGCAAGACTTGGAGACGATGCAGGATGCCAGTTCAAGACCCTAGGTAAATGAGCTGATCTTGAACAGGGGGAAGAACCAACTGTTCTAAAGCTAGAGGAAGAAAGTGAGGATAATTACACAGCATTCTACTTTTCTAGGCAAAATACTAGTAGTTTAATTGTAACTTGAGAGAGACTCCTCTATTTTCTACCTCAGGGGAAATAAGTAATCAAAAATAGGGTTTTTTCTTTCTGAATAGACTGTTTATGCCATCCCTTATTTCACATAAAGTGGTTGGCTGCAGTTATCACTATGACTAGGGCTATAAATGGCCCGTGCTATTTTCACTTCTGTGTTGGCTAAGTAAGCACCCTTTTTGTTATTTCAGAATCAGAAATGTTAAGAAGGAATATAAAGGAAAATCTGGAAAAGTGGAAGCATTGAAAGGTAAAGAAAAACATTGAAAAATTTCATTCTTTCACTTCTTTCTTTATTATAAAAAAGGGAAACATTCAATGTGAAAAAATTTGAAATATGTAGATAAGCAAAAGAAAAAAGAATATAAATAACGCTATCACTTGGACATTAATCATGATTAAGAATATGCTGTAAAATTCTTCCAGATATTTCATGAATCTATTAATTTATAACAGTGGTATCATACAATGAAAGATGTAATTTCTCTTTGTTTTTAAAGATTAATCTGCTATGAACAATATTTTATATATTGTCACTGTGAGGAAAGAACATCTAGACTGAAATCTGATAAAGGTTTTATACTAGCCGGTGAATTTACATAGTTTATATGTACTGGTGAGGTTAACTAAAGCAAGATGAGTAAAACCATTGACTATGAATTAAATTTCACAAGTCAATATCCTATAACAAACCTAAGTTATAATTTGAAATGAAAAAACACATTTTGATACAAAATATTCTAACATACAGTTTTCTATAACAGACATTTAAGCAAACATCAAAGTGAGTAGCTAGATTTCATGGAGGACTATTTACTTTTATTAAAAATAATTTTTAGGAGGGATAAAAATGATTTTTATAAAAGACAGAAGCCTTAAAAGCTGAAAAAGAAGAGCCATGAACCTTCCAGAAGTGTAGAGTTCTCCGACCATTGTGTTTATATTGCGTGTATTTTCTAATAAATACAGCATCCTCTAATTCAGTCTTATTCATTGCTTTTAGATTAGGTCTTTGAGAATTTAATGTATTTGTATGAGCAATTTTATTCTCTCTCTAGGTTTCTCTCATCAAATACCATCTAGAGCTGTGATTTCTTTCTTTAATGTTAGCTCAGGAGATACTGAAATAATTTTAAATTGATTACTTAAAGTTTTGGAGCACATTTTGAACTACCTTTGTACTCATCAAGTCATGAACTTCTTTTTGTCTAAACAAAAAACTTCTTTAAGAATTTTGTTCATTTTAAAAATAGCAGCACCTTAAAAAATTAAAAGCATTGGACATCAACACATTAAAAATATGATTATGAATTCAAACCAAGTATAGCTGCTCTTTGGGAAATCAGGGAAGAAGTTGCAATCCCTTAGCCTCCTCTTCCTTCCTCATGGAGTTAGTTTCTGGAGCACATCTGCAACACCTTTGGGACACACTTTTGAAATCTTTTATCTATGGCCTACTTTTCAGAAGCTAAGTACCATTCCATTATATGGATACCACGACTAACTTATTAACACACCAATGTATGAGATTCAATTTGTTTCCAATTTTTAGTGTAATAAAAAATACTAGAATGAACAGCCTTGTTCAATCTTTGTAAATGTCATAAATTGTTTCTTGAATATAAATTTCTAGAAGCAGAATTATTCAAAGGAAGCATACTTTCAAGATTCTTGATTCATATTTCAAATTATTTCCCTCTAAAATCATAAAAAGTCATACTCCCACAAGCAATACATAATGAATAATAATGACAACGACAACAATAGCAATAAACACTTAGATTTCATTGAGGATTTGGTGTGTGCGGGAAACTATGCTAAGTGATTTACATGTACCATTTTACATTTAGGCCTGTGAAAGACATGTTAATATATCTCTCACTTTGCAGATGACGAAACTGAGGCTTCTATTTAATTTTTCCAGTTACTGTGGGTCAGTCCCAACAGCCAGTATCACTTCCCTCTTACCCTGGAAAACACCGTATACTTTGCATTTAAAAATTACAGGCCAGGCATGGTGGCTCACATCTGTAAATCCCGAAGTGGGTGTATTGCTTAAACTCAGGAGTTTGAAACCAGCCTGGGCAACATGGCAAAACCCTGTCTCTACTAAAAATACAAAAATTAGCCAAGTGTGGTGGCGTGGGCCAATAGTCTCAGCTACAGGGAGCTGACGTGGGAGAATTGCTTAAGCGTGGGAGATTGAGGCTGCAGTGAGCTGTGATTGCTCCACTGCACTCCAGTCTAGGTGGCAGAATGAGATCCTGTAACAAAAAAAAAAAATTACAAACATAAAATTTGTTAATGTATTTGTTTAGTTGTCCCAATATTATTTATTAAATAAACCATCTTTCTAATACATTTGAAAGGTCATTTTATTAATCTTTATTTTTATATTTTCTTTGGTCCATATTAGACTTCTGTTCTGTTCCATTGGTCACTATATCCTGCACCAGTAACATATTATTTTAATTATTATAGTTCTGTCACATATTATTTTGGCAATTAGGAAAATATTGATCATTGTGTATTTTAAAGTATTGAAATGCTGAGAAATATGCCACTAAACTAAATAGCCTTGTTCTATGTTGGGACCAGGCCTGTCTAATGCCTTTCTGTTTATACTGTTAATAATTTGTTAACAATTTGTTCTAAAAATAGGCTTGCTCTTTGACATATATGAAGGTCAAATCACGGCAATCCTGGGTCACAGTGGAGCTGGCAAATCTTCACTGCTAAATATTCTTAATGGATTGTCTGTTCCAACAGAAGGTGAGTAAAAAGAAATTTCTCAAAGGCAAGATGTCTTATAATAGAATGAGGTCAAGCATATGCCTCTCATTTTAAATTTTAAATTTGATGGCTTAAGAGAAATAATGTTTATCTAAAGTTGTTTCCAAGAGCTACATAATTTTGAATATACTTCATATTTCTGCAATTTTATAAAAATTATTATCTTTATTCCATTGTGTGATATTTCAGGGTAGATGTGCAGTTCTATAAGCATATGTTTGTAACAAGAATAATTAGTAGTTCACAAATTGTGTTCACATATATGCAGTTCTATAAGCATATATTTATGTCAAGAATAGTAGTTCACAAATCATTTTAGACATTTGTGAACATATGCCAATATTTTCTTAAATGAGATCTATGAATATTAATAGAATGTATTATCTTGCCAATTTTATTTTTAACTTCTATTCTTAGGATCAGTTACCATCTATAATAAAAATCTCTCTGAAATGCAAGACTTGGAGGAAATCAGAAAGATAACTGGCGTCTGTCCTCAATTCAATGTTCAATTTGACATACTCACCGTGAAGGAAAACCTCAGCCTGTTTGCTAAAATAAAAGGGATTCATCTAAAGGAAGTGGAACAAGAGGTAGGAGGGCATGCTTGGATTAACTGACCTGCCAACCACTTACCAAATTAAATCATGACCACAGAATTCTCTTCAATGATTTATTTGCCCTGTTATGAATAAAATTTAGGCAAAGAGGTCCCATAACAAATATCGACTGCTTTAATGAGTGGTTAAAATTGCATAATATGAATCATTTTGGATTTTATTTTTATTTTTTATTATACTTTAAGTTAGGGTACATGTGCACAACGTGCAGGTTAGTTACATATGTATACATGTGCCATGTTGGTGTGCTGCACCCAGTAACTCGTCATTTAACATTAGGTATATCTCCTAATGCTATCCCTCTCCCCTCCCCCCACCCCACAACAGGCCCCCATGTGTGATGTTCCCCTTCCTGTGTCCATGTGTTCTCATTGTTCAATTCCCACCTATGAGTGAGAACATGCGGTGTTTGGTTTTTTGTCCTTGCGATAGTTTGCTGAGAATGATGGTTTCCAGCTTCATCCATGTCCCTACAAAGGACATGAACTCATCATTTTTTATGGGCTGCATAGTATTCCATGGTATATATGTGCCACATTTTCTTAATCCAGTCTATCATTGTTGGACATTTGGGTTGTTTTCAAGTGTTGCTATTGTGAATAGTGCCACAATAAACATACGTGTGCATGTGTCTTTATAGCAGCATGATTTATAATCCTTTGGGTATATACCCAGTAATGGGATGGCTGGGTCAAATGGTATTTCTAGTTCTAGATCCCTGAGGAGTTGCCACACTGACTTGCACAATGGTTGAACTAGTTTACAGTCCCACCAACAGTGTAAAAATGTTCCTATTTCTCCACATCCTCTCCAGCACCTGTTGTTTCCTGACTTTTTAATGATCGCCATACTAACTGGTGTGAGGTGATATCTCATTGTGGTTTTGATTTGCATTTCTCTGATGGCCAGTGATGATGAGCATTTTTTCATGTGTCTTTTGGCTGCATAAATGTCTTCTTCATTTTGGATTTTAAAAGTTGCGTATTTTCTCATATAGGTACAACGAATATTATTGGAATTGGACATGCAAAACATTCAAGATAACCTTGCTAAACATTTAAGTGAAGGACAGAAAAGAAAGCTGACTTTTGGGATTACCATTTTAGGAGATCCTCAAGTAAGTGAGATTATGCATGGGGAAGGAAGCAGGTCGAATGTCTGCAAAATGTCAAGTTCTTTTACCACTAAAAGTGGTAGAGCTTTCATTGTAATGCATCAAGAGAGAACCTGCTATGTTTAACTATAAATAGAAGTATATTGGAGAAAAATGGCTGGATGGTTATTATTTTATGGTATTTATTGTTTTTCATGCTATCTTCTGGATACAGTTAATGTGAAAGAGAGACATATTTTATATATCTTCATTCTCTGTAGATTTTGCTTTTAGATGAACCAACTACTGGATTGGATCCCTTTTCCAGAGATCAAGTGTGGAGCCTCCTGAGAGAGCGTAGAGCAGATCATGTGATCCTTTTCAGTACCCAGTCCATGGATGAGGCTGACATCCTGGCTGGTAATTGTTGGTTTTATCTCAGTGTTACCATGATGCAATTGGGGAATTTAGAAGCGAGGTCTATTCCCAGGGTAAGAGCCCTGCTCTCATTATGGTGATGTTCCTACATTCTATAGCAGTCAGGAGGACGACAGGAGTCTAGTTCCACTGTGGAATTCCTTTCTGGTTGTACATTTGCTAGGTAGTGACAACTAATGAAAAATTCTGATTACCTTTTTTTTTTAGATCAGCTGTCAATTAATTTAAACATTCAAATCTTTTTTTATATATATTTAATTGAAAAATAGACACTTATTCTTTAGCATCAGAGTATACAGTATACCATGTAATTTATGTGTTTTTTTTTTCAGAAAGTATTGGAAGGTGCAGATAGACTGGTGTTCATGAGCTTATTTTATTTTAAATTTAATTTATTTGTATAAATTTAATGAGTACAAGTACCGTTTTGTTACATGGATATATTATGTAGTGGTGAAGTCCAGGCTTCTGGTGTATTCATCACCAAATAATATACATTGTACCCATTAAATAATTTCTCATTCCCCATCCCCCTCTGACTCTCTCACCCTTCCGAGTCTTCAGTGTCTATTACTCCACACTGTATGTCCATGTGTACCCATTTTTTAGCTCTCACTGATAAATGAGAACATGCAGTATTTGACTTTCTGTTTCTGTGTTGTTTCACTTATGATAATAGACTCCAGTTCCATCCATGTTGCTGCAAAAGACATGGTTTCATTCTCTTTTATGGCTGAATAATATCATGAGTTCATTTTAAATGCATCAATTTTAATATGTATTTCAAATGTTAAAATGCACACTAGATCTAGTTATACCCTGTTGAATACTTCTCCTTTGCACTTCTGAGCCTTGGCTCCTCGTCTTTCTTTACTAGAGAAAGAAGAAATGACCCCCAATATCTTTTCTCCCTTGATTTCTTTCATTCAGATAGAAAAGTGATCATGTCCAATGGGAGACTGAAGTGTGCAGGTTCTTCTATGTTTTTGAAAAGAAGGTGGGGTCTTGGATATCACCTAAGGTAAAGACTTTGGGAATAGATTGGATTTATGTGTTTGCAATACTGGTATATGAAAAAGGTGGACAATTATGAAACAGAACTGGCCTCGTGCTTCATCTCTACCATACTGGATTGATCAGTGTTTCCTGAATACTTTTTTTTACTTTCCTTCCTCCTGTGTCTTTACAATGTTAATCATTGGCAACATTTCAACATGATAAACCAAGCCTGACTTTTCACAGCAAGACTACTTCATGTGCCACTTTTCTAGGTAGCTGTTCTGTGCAGCCTAAACCTCTACCTGCTTCCTACCCACATTTTCCTCAGCTGATCCATAGAATTCTGAAATATGTTTTCATTCTTTCATAGGGCAAAAAGGCAAATAATTTCAGAAGCCAGTATCAACAAGGAGAGAATCTAGGGGCAGAAAGTAATGATAACTGTGGCTAACAAAAAAGTGTATATATTAGTCTGTTCTCATGCTGCTAATGACATACCCGAGACTGGGTAATATATAAAGGAAAGAGATCTAATTGACTCACAGTTCGGCGTGGCTGAGTAGGCCTCAGGAAACTTACAATCATGGCAGAAGGGAAAGCAAACACGCCCTTCTTCACATGGTGGCAGCAAGGACAGATGCAGACTGAAGGCAGGGAAAAGCCCCTTATAAAACCATCATATCTCATGAGAACTCACTATCATGAGAACAGCATGAGGGTAACTGCCTATGATTCAGTTACCTCCCACTGGGTCCCTCCTATGACATGTGGGAATTATGGGAACTACAATTCAAGATGACATTTGGGTGGGGACACAGCCAAACCATATTGGTGTATATCCAGGCTAAAATAATTGTTTAAAATAACCCTATGGCCAAACAAAGCATGCATGTGGGCCAGATTTTCTCTACTAGCTAATGATATGGTCTGGTATAATAATTATTTTCCCTAAGAAGTCTCTTCTTCCTAACATTCTCAGCTTCCTACATTTATCTATAACTATACATATAAAACTCTATATAGTTCCATTTACATTATATATTTGTTTGTATATTTTGTAATTGTTCTGAGCTTATACATTTTCCATATATAGATTATAAAATTTTCAAACTGATAGATTACTATCATGTTAGTATTTACTCATCTTTTTGTTCCATAAAGCCAAGTAAAGTTGTGCTCAACAGCTAGGTGTTCAATTAAAGCTCTTCTTTTGTGATAGTGGTGGAGAAAATGCAAATGACTTATCTTTTCTTTTAAATATTAGTTTACATAGGAATGAAATATGTAACCCAGAACAAATAACATCCTTCATTACTCATCACATCCCCGATGCTAAATTAAAAACAGAAAACAAAGAAAAGCTTGTATATACTTTGCCACTGGAAAGGACAAATACATTTCCAGGTAACTCAACTATGATTACAATGAAATGAAATATGGGAAAAAATGTTCACATTATTATTAAAATAATTTTCTTTGTCCAATGAATTTAGACTTTTTCTTAGTTTTGGCCACCTGAGAAGCAGAACTCAAGAGGAAGGATTGAGTGCCACTGATTTATTGGGTAGTTGCTTCGTGGAAGCACCAGCAGATAATGGGGACAGGAGAGAGGGAAGGGAAGGCAGCCAGGGAAGTCTGAATTCTGGAGCAGATTACTGTGGTAGGCAATTGAGGTGCAATGCCCACGGGAGGGAAATAAATGAAGTAAGTGGGCTCAGCGTTTTGTCACCAGAGGGGTGAGTAAGCTGGGGTTCTTACCCACTGTTCCCTATCCATTGTTGATTAAGGGATGCCTACGAGAGCATTAACTTTCTCATCCTTCTGGCTTACTCTGAACATGAGCTTAGAATACTTCCAAGTACAGAAAAAGGACCTCAGGTAGGTGTTTTTAATAAGCAGATTTACCGTGTACAGGTGAATGCAGAAGAGGTGTTGGTGGGGCATAAAGGTTTCTGCTACAGGTTTCTCTTTGTAAGGTAGCCCCCCATTATTCACAAGGAATAGATAGTTCCAAGATCTCCAGTTCATGTCTGAAACCGTGGATAGAACCAAACCTAATTGCCATCGATCGGAAAACATTTCTGTTCATGTCTTCCACCTACACACTGAATGCCTTTTCTATCTTAACTAAGCACTTAACACGCATTGTGGCTGTAACTTTTGCAGTTTGAGGTGCAACAGCAAAAGTAGCATGAATTTCTTCTGCCTTCTTCACAATTTCACAGACAGAAGATTCATTCTTACGTTAGATCTTAGCATCAGCATAAGATTTTTTTTTTCCTTGTTGAGAACTTTCACCTTTTCACTTACAGGAAGCATTTTATGGCTTTTCTTTGGCATATCCAAATTGCCAGCATCATTACTCTTGCACTTTGGGAACCTTATTAGGTAAAATAGGGGTGCCTTGAACTGCAATACCGTGACAGTTGCTCTGATATCCCAGAGGGCTACTAAGTGACAGGTGGGTATAGCTCGGTTCTGCTGGACAGGGGATGATTCACGTCCTGAGCCTGAGCAAGATGGAGTGTGATGGCGAAGGATTTCATCACACTGCTTACAAGGGCACACAACTGAAAACTTATGAATTATTTCTGGAATTTTCCATTTTATGTTTTTAGACAGCAGTTGATGGTGGATAATTGAAACTGTGGAAAATGAAACTGTAGATAAGGCAGGATTACTCTATTTTAATTGTGCATGTACTATTTTGCAGAGAAAAACAACTTACATAGTCTACAAAAGTGTTCAACCCTCGGTTCCCTGCCAACTGGGTAGCAGCACCCATTCAGACTTTGTTTGATAAGAAATCCTAAAGATTACTTGCTCTTTGTGTAATGTTTTCTACGTGTTAGGCACTGTTCTAATGGTTTCATATATATTAACTCCTTTAGTTCTCACAACTGTTCTTTCTATGAGATGGGTGCTATAACTTGCCCTATCTTACAAATGAGGAAATATATTTCAGTCTCTTGATTTAAACAGCTTCCCTTTGGTTTAAACATCTAGTTTGTTAAAGGTATAACTCCCTATAGACCTACCTTAAATAAGCTCTTTTGCATAATTCGGTTTCATTAGGCAAATACTCAGGAATTCCCAGATTTTAGCTTCACTCCCCAATGTGGCAGCTCTCTATGTCCTTGTAGTAGCATAGAAGATGGTGTTCTTCTCAGATCAGTGGACTATGCCATGTTATTTTGTTCTTGGACTAAGGCCCTGTGAGGTGCAACTGGTCCACTTTCATTTTTGGTCAGAGATGGAGAATAAGGAATTATATGTTGGTACTACCACTGGAATATGTTACTTTGCCAGAGTCTCTGGTGTTGACCTCCTGGCCCATGGCAGCCTCTTTACACAGACCCAAGGCCTCTGCTGTCTAATGGCATGCTTATGTCCATTTCCGGACATGGGACTCCCAGGTCCATTGCTGCCATGTGCGGGTCATAGGGAAACACAGTGTTTGCTACAGTCTCATCCACCTCTTTCCTCTCAATAATGTCATTGGCCCATCCTCCCACCCAAACTAGAAAGTAGCATCTAAGAGTCTTCTAGAATCCTGCAGTCTCATGCAAGTATCTCCATAGAAGAGTTACCCAATAAATGTGTACTGGGAAACTATTATATAAATGGCACTGCTCCAGGAACTAGAAATACCACATTAAATAAGAGATATGTGTCTCTACTCTCATGGAGCCTACATCTAACTAGATAGGGAAAAGTAGACACACAAAATACACAAAATTTTTCAACAATTGTACACTAAAATAATAAACAAGGCCAGTGAGTTAGAGTGATGACTGGTGTCTGGCTGAGGTTTATATAGAGTGGTCACTGAAGGCCACAAGAAGAAAATGGTCAAGGGCACTCCAAGTCAAGGGGAAAGGAGAATGGCTGGAGGGCAATGAGTGAGGGAGCAGAATGGCAAATGGAGGTGGGTAAGGCTGTGTGGATAGATGGAGACAGGCTCTTTTGGAGCCTCAGAGGTTGTGTTATTGACTTTAAATTTTATTTTAAATGCATTGAGAAAGCATTGAAAGACTTATACAGAGAGAAGACCCAGAATATAGGTAGAGATATACGTGGGTTTGTAGTGTGGAGGTGAGAAGATAATGGTCTTTCTGATTGTTCAGATTTCTGCAGAGAAATCTGCAGGAAGCTCATAAACTGAGAATGGAAGATGAAGTGAGACAGTTTGAGGATGGAGGAAGAGGTCTTCCTTAGTCATTTCAGAGAAGGAGAGCATTCTCATGAAATTTTGCTTTTGACTACTGTGATACTCCAAGGACATAATTTTCTTAACAATATTATGTATTGTCTTTTAAATAAGTATTAATTTACTTGGTTTAGTTCTCAATGTGGTTTTCCAAAGTATCTATTCATATTTTTTTGCCTTAGATCTTTTCAGTGATCTGGATAAGTGTTCTGACCAGGGAGTGACAGGTTATGACATTTCCATGTCAACTCTAAATGAAGTCTTTATGAAACTGGAAGGACAGTCAACTATCGAACAAGGTAAAGCCATTTGTATAATTCACAGAAAACCAATTCCCAAATGATCATGTGTCAATTTAGTATTTATAATTTCTTATGGGTGATTCACACTAAGAAATGTGATTTCATTCCAAATTTGGCTCTGCTGTTTGAGATGGGCTGTCATTATTTCTTAGCGTCATTACTAAGACTGATCACAGATCCCTTCATGGCATCTACCAAGTTTCCTTTTGGAAACTATTTCCTATCCTCAGATGTTCCCTGCTTCTTAGATACCTTCAGGCTGTGAAAGGCTCTTAATTAGGGGAATGAGGTCTGAATATATTTTTTAAAAATAAAAATTGCTGTTAGCTTGTTAATATACAAAATTCCACTAAAGTCTTAGTGGGGAGAATTCTCAGTATCCACTCTTGTATATTTTAATGGGTGATAATAATCATTGTCATTATGGAGCTCCTCTTATGCCAGACACTTAGATTAATGTATGGCTATACATTGATATATATGCCTTCAACATTATCTTTCCTATAATAACCTTTCCAAGAAGTGTCATTGGCACTGGTTTACAAATGAGAAAATCAGACCTATGAGCAGTTAAGTGATTTTCCCCAATCACAGATGTAAGATACATGTACAGATCTGGTAGTTCAGAGCTGATGATCTTTCCCCTATACTACTAAATGATTGATACCTTAGTAGTAGATATTTAGGTGTAATGATTGGCTATTTTTATGCAGAAGATTTTTTAAAAATCCCTCAGAGGAATGATACTCTTGGGAATTTCTTTGCTTTTCAAAGATTGGGCACAATGAGATCACCATTTTTGTGAATTATTCTTTTGGTATGAATTCAGTGTATTTTCTCACTGAGTATAGAATATGGACATCATAACATGTTTCTTATATTGTTTGCACTGTAACCACAAGCAATCTAAAACTTTGTTTTATTTAAAATTTTAATTTTTTATCACCATTGGCAATTATAAAACTTCACTATAGAAAGAAAATATAGATGGCAGTGGTGAAGTATAAACAATAAATATTGAAAAATATTGTCTAAATAATTCCTTTGAATTGGTTATAAAAATAAAAACAAATGTAAAACTTTTTTTTTTTTTTTTTTTCGAGATGGAGTCTTGCTCTGTCTCCTAGGCTGGAGTGCAGTGGTGCAATCTCGGCTCACAGCAACCTCCCCCTCCCAGGTTCAAGCGATTCTCCTACCTCAGCCTCCTGAGGAGCTCAGATTACAGGCACCTGCCACCACGCCCAGCTAAGTTTTGTATTTTTAGTAGAGACAGGGTTTAGCCATGTTGGCCAGGTTGGTCTTGAAATCCTGACCTCAGGTGATCCACCCACCTTGGTCTCCCAGAGTACTGGGATTACAGGCATAAGCCACCATGCCTGGCCATGTAATACTATTTTTAATATTACTAAGGAAAATCTGTGATGCCTCCAGGATGGCATTAATATTATAATATGTGTGTTTGTGTATGTGTGTGTTTATAGATTTCGAACAAGTGGAGATGATAAGAGACTCAGAAAGCCTCAATGAAATGGAGCTGGCTCACTCTTCCTTCTCTGAAATGCAGACAGCTGTGAGTGACATGGGCCTCTGGAGAATGCAAGTCTTTGCCATGGCACGGCTCCGTTTCTTAAAGTTAAAACGTCAAACTAAAGTGTTATTGACCCTGTGAGTAGGAGAGTACTGTGGTTTTGTTAGATCATGAATTTCAAAAGAGGTTCAAACCAGAAGATAATTTAAAACTAGAACGCAATATCTGACATTCCTGCCACGGGGTGGATAAATTCAGCATTTAATTTTTCTGACAGTGGGAATACCTGTATGTTCACACTCGATTAAGCTTATACGTGCAGGTGTGTTTTGTTTTCATGGTTTGATAACCTGGTGTTTATATAGTAATGCCTTCTGGTACTGTGTAGCATGCTAGGGTATTATCTTCAGAATTTTAGCACCTAGAATCATGATTGGCATAAGGCAGGCTTGGCACTCAACAAATACTTGTGGAATGTCTTACTAAATAAATAAAATTCCTGGAGATTAATATGCTAATTTTTCTTTATTGTTTAGATTATTGGTATTTGGAATCGCAATATTCCCTTTGATTGTTGAAAATATAATGTATGCTATGTTAAATGAAAAGATCGATTGGGAATTTAAAAACGAATTGTATTTTCTCTCTCCTGGACAACTTCCCCAGGAACCCCGTACCAGCCTGTTGATCATCAATAACACAGGTGAAAAGAAAAATAAAATTTAAATCCAGAAATAAGTTATTTTTATTGTTGAATAGCACAGGAGGTGGGGGGGGGAAGTGAATCATAAGAGAAGAAAATGGGTATTTAAACTTCATTTATAGAAAACACCTTATGAGGAACAGTGCAGATTTACTCTGATTTTGGAGATGACAGGGATGATGAGGACAAGAGAAAAAGAACTTGGGTCACTGTATAACCTGGAAGAGTAAAGACGTCTCTCTACCTGACTACCCTAAGCTATTACATGGCAAATAAACTTCTATATTGGCACACCCGTTCTATTTTGAGATCCCTTTGTTACACAGCAGCCTAACCTATACCACAAAGGCAATACACACTGGTTACCATGTGAAGATGGCCTATCTATTCCCCATGCCCCTTCATTAAGTACAAGATACAGGAAGATGCCTTATTTTGTTATCCCAAACAATGGGTAATTGGTTTTGTTTTTGTTTTGTTTTGAGACAGAGTCTTGCTCTGTCACCCAGGCTGGAGTGCAGTGGTGTGATCTTGGTTCAATGCAACCTCCACCTCCCACGTTCAAGCGATTCTCCTGCCTCAGCCTCCCGAGTAGCTGGGATTACAGGCACGTGCCATCACGTCTGACTAATTTTTTTTTTTTTTTTGTATTTTTAGTAGAGATGGGGTTTTGCCATGTTGGCCAGGCTGTGTTGAACTCCTGGCCTCAAGTGATCTGCCCTCCTTGGCCTCCCAAAGTGCTGGGATTATAGGTGTGAGCCACTGCGCCCGGCCAGTAATTGTTTTTTTGTTTTTTTGTTTTTTTCCTAACCGCTTAATTAACTTTGAAGAAGGAACTTTTATGTTAGTACCTCAGATGTTAAAACAAACAAACAAACAAAGAAACAAAAAAAAAATCACAGTAAGAGTCTTCCCTTGCTGAGTTCCTCATTCATTTGATTTTCCCATGGATTTGCGATTCAGGCCTGCGGTGTATGCTCTTTAAACAAAGACAGTCTTTCCCTTTCCGTTTCTCATTCTTGTTTTCCATTTGGGTTTTGGAAAGTAAATTTTATTCACCTCACTACCTTAAATGCTAATTGTATGTTTAATTTCTGAGATCTAGAAAGGTTTCTTTACCTATGAGCTCATAAGATAAGTAAATTAGGTCTCTCTTTTCCTCTTTGGTCACTCTTGAGGGCAGTGGGCTTGTGTTAATATATTTATTTTGTCTCTGTACTTAGGTATTTTATGGTTTAAGTTTGAAGCTTCTGTGCCATTTTGTTCCTCTTTTCTCAAAATCTGCCAATTATTGGTAACACGTTTATCTTTTAATGTGAGCATCCCTGTCTGCCTAGGTGAATGTGGGTCACCATATGGCATTGCACCTCAAGTGACTGTGGAGGTGGAGTGGGGTGTGTGGCTGCTCAAGGTGCATGGAAAGCTTATTTTCTATGTGCATGTTCCTGTATCACTTGGTTGGGGGATCCTAATTCATCTAAGGTTTGGCCTTATTTTTCCAATCCCAGAGCCCACTATAAACTCCCATTTCAAAGGCAAAAAAAAAAAAAGTCCTTCTTTTCCTCTTATTCATTCCATCTTGCTCAAATTATTGTCTGCAGTTACTTCAGGTTTGCCCAGCTGTGCTCCTCAGATAAGGTCTCTCAGTAAGTAAATATGGGACTGTTACCCTGGGGACAACTGCGGCTACTGTGTGTTCTGTGTGGAACGTGGGGAGGGGCCTGACGGGTCATCTTTTCCCAGGTATACGTCACGACCCTGACTATAGCTTCAGAGCATACCTTACCCCCTTGCATTCATCCACTCTGAGTTCAGGTATCCTGGAAATTGGTTTTACCTTCAGCTGCTTGCTCTGGTGTGCTCTAGGCTGTGAATTTTTCTCAGCTCGTATTTCACGGTCAGACGTTCTCATCTGCTTTCTTCTTCAGGGTCATATCTAAAAGTTTGATCTGATGATGGCATCCTTTTTCATTTCCTAAGAAAGATTATATTTATACAACATACATGTATGGAATATGTACGTAAATGTTTAGAATAAAGTAAAACATATGTATGTGTTATACAGACACATATATATTTACTTGTCCATTATTTGGAAGAACAAGGAAGAGAGAAGAGTGTTATCATTGGCTGTTTTAGGCTGGACAATCTGAAGTACTCCTCATAAAATTATTGTATCTCCACAGATTATTCAATTCAAATGTTGTTGTTGTTGTTGTTTACCAAAAGTCATACAATAGAATTAGCTTATTTTTATGATTACATGTTAATTTGCATTAAACAGATTTATAAAGCTAATTCATTGTGGTATAAGATTTGCTAAATAGAAGATGGTACAGTGTGGGTCAATATTATTATTGTGATACCCAAAGAAAGACATTTATACATAGTATTCCATAAATATTAACTTTAATTATGTATATGACTTATTTTAAAAGTTTGATATGTATTTTCTTACTTTTCTATGGCCTTCTCTTATTAACTTCATATTAGAATCAAATATTGAAGATTTTATAAAATCACTGAAGCATCAAAATATACTTTTGGAAGTAGATGACTTTGAAAACAGAAATGGTACTGATGGCCTCTCATACAATGGAGCTATCATAGTTTCTGGTAAACAAAAGGTATGTTTGCCTTTTTGCTTTTATGAAAAAAACAAAAAGTACTACATTTTAGCTGTTTTAAAACTGCAGAAATTAAAGCTAGTATACAGAAACTTGACTCAGAAAAACATTCTGGGTTGTTATTTAATAAACTGTGAAGTTTACCTAAGTTTTTGTAAAACATTTTCTATCTTAGTTTTGTTTTGAATTAGATAACTTTTACATTTGAAAGGATCTAAATTTAATTGTACTGTTTAAACTCAATAAAAATATTATAGCTTATAATTATCAACCAATATAATTATGGATTTAAGGAATTTTATTCAGTAGCTAACTACCTGAATAAAGTTTGTTTTTATATATTGAGAAAATACATTAAATACTATAATATCTACACGAAATAACTGAGAAAAAAGTATTCTCAGTCTGCTACCTTAGCATATGTCGATTTGGGTAAAAGAGTCAAGCCATAGAGATTCATTAGAGAACAAGACTATTGAAAATACTTTTTTTGAGGCAGAGTCTTGCTGTGTTACCCAGGCTGGAGCTCAGTGGCAGTATCTTGGTTCACTACACCTCTGCCTCCCATGTTCCAGTGACTCCTGCCTCAGCCTCCAGAGTAGCTGGAATTACAAGCAGGCACCACCATGCCCAGCTAATTTTTGAATATTTGGTAGAGAGTGGGTTTCATCATGTTGGCCAGGCTGGTCTGGAACTCCTGACCTTGGGTGATCCTCCCGCCTTGGCCTCCCAAAATGCTGGGATTACAGGCATAAGCTACCGTGCTCGGTTTAAAAATACATCTTAATGTTAAGAACTCTTCAGTCTTATTTGCATTCTAATAAAAGCAAGGGGCCTAATTAAGTGAAGCTCCCTCTTTATTTCATGCTACAAAGTAAATTTTTAAAAAAGAAAAGCCTTTGAAGTTGTATTACTGAATTCCGTTCTACATAAACTAAATATGCTATAAAAAATGTAATCGCTTTGTGCCAGTTTTGGGAAATTACTTTGTCAGCTACTACGTTACATACCTCACATATTTACTACATGAACTAGTGGTAAGATTTAAACAATAAACCTTCTAATAGATTAATGAACATTTTCCTAAACATGAAGTACATAAATATAAAGATTGCTTTAGGAAGTGGGGAAATGCTTCTTTGGCAGGGTAAGGATGAATATTTAATGAACTCCATGCTTATCTCCTATCCAGAAGGCCAGCATTCCTTTGCTGCTGCTGCTGCTTTTTTTTTTTTTTTTGAGACAGAGTCTCGCTCTGTCACCCAGGCTGGAGTGCAGTGGTGTGATCGCAGCTCACTACAACCTCTGCCTTCTGAGTTTAAGTGATTCTTCTGCCTCAGCCTTCCAAGTAGCTGGGATTACAGATGTGTGCCACCACACCTGGCTAATTTTTGTATTTTTTAGTAAACATAGGGTTTTGCTATGTTGGCCAGGCTAGTCTCAAACTCCTAACCTCAAGTGATCTGCCCGCCTTGGCCTCCCAAAGTGCTAGAATTACAGGTGTGAGCCACCATGCCCAATCTTCCTTTGCTTCTTCATCATAAACTGACAGCATCTCCTTGTCAGGGAGACTTTTAAACTCTACTAAATGAAATTTCCCCATCAGCAAAATGGAGACAAAATTATCTAAAATTAGTAATACAAATAAAAATTCATATTGATTGTATGCTGACTCTGTGCTAGAGCTTAATGTACATGAATAGAGTGTCATTTAAGCCCTATAACAACCCATTTAGTATTTCCTTTTCATAGATGAGGAAGGTAAAGCTCAGAAAGTTTAGTTCACTTGAAGATGGACACACAACAAGCATGTGGCACTGTTAGGATCTTTTATACATAAACCTTGCCTTTGTTCTTTAAGAATTTAGCATTAACATTATTTATTTGTTTCTGTTTTAAGGATTATAGATTTTCAGTTGTGTGTAATACCAAGAGATTGCACTGTTTTCCAATTCTTATGAATATTATCAGCAATGGGCTACTTCAAATGTTTAATCACACACAACATATTCGAATTGAGTCAAGCCCATTTCCTCTTGTAAGTATTGGATTTACTGAGTCTAAACAATTAAGAATTGGACAAATAGCCTATGTTTTCTCTCTTTAGCTTTTAAATATCCATAAGTGATTGTTAAGCCTGAAAATTATTATTTTATCCTAATATTTTCAATGGGTTATAGCAAACAAAACAGGATTTTTTTTTCCTGCCAAGTTATCAGATAATTATCGTGAGGGAATACTTTTCAATATTTTGTCAGTCTTCTAGGCAATGTTTTGAAAAGTTGTACATACTTGATTGTGGAAGTGTATGAGAAAGAGAAACAGAAAAAAGAAAACACTGACTTGGAAATCAGGAGAACTTGTAACCCTGGTTACATATAAATCTATTATAATTAGTTAGTGGACCCTCCATTGACTAAATGTGTAGTAGACAGACTAATATGAAGGAGAATCTGCCAGTTCTGGGGCTATCTGTTGATTTATTTATTCACCTACTCATAGTTGCTCTATGTTGTGAGGGAGCCTAATACACACAGGCTGCATTGGATTCTGTGTCAGTTGGCTATAGTCTGGCTTCAGACAGTTTGGACACTAGAAAGCAGTGGTGGGAGACAGAAGAGCAGAGGACCCCCTACATTGGGCTCCAGTCACATCACCTCCTTCTGCTGTTCCTGAAGCCCAGAAGCAACAATAGCTTGCTTCTCACTTCACCATCTTTGTGGGATGCTCATCACCCACCTAACCATGTCATAAGGAATTGCACTCTAAGAACTTAACGTAGTCATGGTTTTCTGGTTAGACCCTGCCTGATACCAACAGGGGTGTCTCAAAGCTGACTCCAACTGTTTCACACCAGAAGTCTGAAACATCAAGAAGCAGGATTAGAAATGAAGCCATCCAAAGGGAAGTCCATTTTGTGACAAAAGTGTGAAGCTCAGTTTTGGCTTCACTGAATCAGTGGTGCTGGGAGTATATGCAAGCACAGGTTTTCTGTAAGCCATGGGAACAATGGGGATGAAATATACAGTACTTGAGATGTTCGTGACAGACACATACCTCCGTGAGTTGAGTATGACCGACTGATCACGTAAACAGGTCTGCTGCACAGGATGACTCGAGGGAAGGGGTGTCTGAAGGGAATTCTCCAGAAAGTGGAACCAGAGGAGTAGCAGAAAGAGACAGTGATTACCCTTCCTCTTTGGAACGATAGCAGCATGAACCTGTCTCACTGCAGAATTATTTTGAGACAGGCTTATGCTGCTATCCTTCAAAAGAACACATCCACCCAGCTACTGAGGTTTCCATCTCTGGGTTTGCTCAGAAAGACATGCTGCTCAGGCCTGAATTATGTGTTCATCAAAGGTCCTAACTTCTGAATTATTAGCTTCCTAATGCCATTGTGTTTGCTCAGGATCAAAATGGACTGAAGCCCATAGCTACTCTATTAGAAACCTGTTCCCCACTCCCACTTCCCCATGGCACACACCTTTCCTCCCTCATTCCTATGATGAAAAACAGAATTTATAGACATAGCCCTCAAAGTCTTAAATAAAGTTAAATAATTGTGGAATTATTTTGAGACAGGCTCATGCTGTTATCCTGTAATTATATCCATGAGGTGGTCCTAGATGCTGCTAGAGTGTCCACTTGGCCTAGCCTCAAGTGGATGCTGATTTGGGGGTAGTGATTTAAAGTTCCTTTCCCTGAAGTTAAGACAAGCAGCAACAAGTTTTCTTCTTGGTTCTGTGCTTCAGAACACATCCACCCAGCTACTGAGGTTTCCATCTCTGGGTTTGCTCAGAAAGACGTGCTACTCAGGCCTGAATTATATGTTCATCAGAGGTCCTAACTTCTGAATTATTGTTTTTTTGTTGTGGTAATAATACATGATATAAAATTGACCATTTTAGCTGTTTGCAAGTGTACAGTTGAGTAGTATTAAGTATATTCACATTGTTGTGAAATGCATCTCCAGAACTTTGCCGTCTTGCGGAATTGAAACTCGATGCCAATTAGCTTTCCCCCTCCCCCATCCCCTGGAAATAACCATCCTATTATGTTTCTATGAATATTACTAGTTTAGAAACCTTATATAAGTGGAATATTTGTCTTTTTGTAACTGGTTTATTTCACTTAGCATATTTTCCAGGTTCGTCTATGTTGTAGCATGTGACAGGATTTCCTTCTTTTTTTTTTTTTTTTTTTTTTGAGACCGAGTTTTGTTCTTGTTGCTCAGGCTGCAGTGCAATGGGGCGATCTCTGCTCACTGCAACCTCTGCCTCCCAGATTCAAGCGATTCTCCTGCCTCAGCCTCCCAAGTTGCTGGGATTACAGACATTTACCACCACACCTGGCTGATTTTGTATTTTTAGTAGAGATGGGGTTTCACCATGTTGGTCAGGCTGGTTCAGACTCCTGACCTCAAGTGATCCTTTTTAAGGTTGAATAGTATCCATTGTTTGTATATACATACACATTTTGTTAATCCATTAATTTGGACTTTTGGGTTGCTTCCACTTGTGAGTATTGTTGGTATGAATATGAATGTGAGGGTATCTCTTCGAGAGCTTGCTTTCAATTCTTTTGGAAATATCCCCAGAAGTAGGTCCTAAATGACTTTTGACTTCTCTTTGTTCTTTGAGTTGAAGATCAGAGTCACTTTCCCTCCCACCTTCGTGCCTAGATGGTAATGAGCTACACCTTTACTTTGATTTTTCAACATTTCAAAAAGTGCATTTTTGTGGCTATAATTATTTGTTTCATTTAACAAATATTCACTAGTTTAAGCTACCCTTTATATTTTCAGAGCCACATAGGACTCTGGACTGGGTTGCCGGATGGTTCCTTTTTCTTATTTTTGGTTCTATGTAGCATTTCTCCTTATATCACCATGGGCAGCATCAGTGATTACAAGGTAAGAAAAAGCAGGGAAAAGAAGAAATTTCAGGAATTTCAATATCTGTATTTTGAATGCTATGTGTTCAAAATGTTTTCTTCTGACAAAAACATTTGAATGTATGTTTAATTTAGATATTGTAGCTAAACCTTATTCTTGGCAAGTCAGATAATTTACTTCTAAAAACTCAAAATGCTTTTTATTCCAAAGTCACCTGAAAAGTACAGTGATTTTTCAGAGACTCCAATTAGTCTAAACCTTCAAAGGGAAATATTATAAATCTTTTGACCACATTATTTCCCAGCCACAAGAAGGAAATCATTGATGTTGAAATCAAAGGCCAAATTTAAGACTTGAATTCCTTTTCCACTCTGGAAATTGCAATTTTATGTTATATTTGTATTCGATTATGCCCATTATTCAGACAAAGCAGTTAAATCTATCAACGTTCACCATCCTGAGCCAGAAACTCTCCAAGATGTTTAGGTAAAGGTAAATGTATTATGTCCTCCAGGTCACAAAATAATACTTTTTTTTTTTTTTTTTTGAGATGGAGTCTCACTCTGTTGCCCAGGCTGGAGTGCAATGGTGCAAAATCGGTTCACTGCAAACTCCGCCTCCCGGGTTCAAGCAGTTCTTCTGCCTCAGCCTCCTGAGTAGATGGGATTACAGGCTTGCACCACCATGCCCAACTACTTTTTGTGTTTTTAGTCAAAATGGGCTTTCACCATGTTAGCCAGGATGGCCTCAATCCCCTGACCTTGTGATCCACCCGCCTTGGCCTCCCAAAGTGCTGGGATTACAGGCGTGAGCCACCATGCTGGCCAATACTTATTTTTATAGAGTTTAATGCCTTGAACATTATGAGGTCCACTTTTCATTATTCATGAGCTAAAGTTGTGTTATGAGTCAGGCCTATCACAGTATACATTTTATTTTTGATAGACACCTTGTAAACCATGGAACTGGCTCTATAAGCCTCATGTTACTAAGCAGTATATGCATAATTTTTTTTAATATTAGAAGATTAGATTATATTTATCTTAAAAATTCTTCCAATGTGTTTGTGTTTATTTTAGATTTGCATTTTAATTGAATCTATATACATTTCTTTCTTTCTTTTTTTTTTTAATCAGAAAAATGCTAAGTCCCAGCTATGGATTTCAGGCCTCTACACTTCTGCTTACTGGTGTGGGCAGGCACTAGTGGACGTCAGCTTCTTCATTTTAATTCTCCTTTTAATGTATTTAATTTTCTACATAGAAAACATGCAGTACCTTCTTATTACAAGCCAAATTGTGTTTGCTTTGGTAAGTAACACAGTACATAAACCAAATTTCATAAAGTAATTAATAATAAATTTTAACATTGTTATTTTAAGTAGTTAAGATGTTTTAATTCATATTTTGTAATAAACCAAAACAAAAAACATGCAAAGTGCATGTATGATAAATACTAATAGTTTCAGATACCAAAGATGTTTTATACTTATGCCAGGTTACTTGTTTTTTAAAAGTTGTAATCTAATTTTTCCCTCAGTAATATTTGATTTTTTGACTATGTTATTATTTCTTTTATGCTCAGGTTATAGTTACTCCTGGTTATGCAGCTTCTCTTGTCTTCTTCATATATATGATATCATTTATTTTTCGCAAAAGGAGAAAAAACAGTGGCCTTTGGTCATTTTACTTCTTTTTTGTAAGTATATAATACATACAAATAGAGAAATAGTGTTATTTTTTAAACTTCTAATGTAATCTTAAATACAGATGTCTGCCTTAAGACAGTAGGGAAAATTAATACTTCAAAATTACACCATAGAAAAGAGAGGGAAGTGTAACACTGTTACTGAATCAATAATATTTCTAAAGAAATCAGGTGCTACCCATTGAACAGAATTTATGGAGAATCTTACAGAAGACCTGACGTCTGAAACGTCCTGTTGAGTTTATGTCTCCAGAATACAGGGCTTCCTGCCAACACTAGAAAATTGGCTTCCTAACAGTTGACATTACAACCCATCTCTACAGTCTTCAAGAAGGTCTCTCTTAACCTTAGCTGCTAATAGTTTCAGATACTAAAGATGTTTTATACTTATGCCAGGTTACTTGTTAGTATAAAAGTAAAGAGCTTGTCCAAAATCATGGAAAACTTTGCTGGAAATGTTTGCTGAAATTCTAGAGACACCAGAGTGCCCTGAGTCCTACACTTCAGGCCTCCTTTAACTGATATCCTCAACTGGTGATTGAATGTCTGTCTGGAAAACAGCTCTCAACTCTTGGAATGGGAATCTTGAATCCATGAGAAGAACCCAACCAAAGATCATCTATAAGAAATGATATATTTAATATTAGGTTGGTGCAAGAGCAATTGCGTTTTTTTTGCTATTTAAAGTAATGTCAAAACCGCAATTACTTTTGCACCAACCTATACGACCCACTGACTTCTACAAGAAATTAGTCTGGGACTCTTTTGGCCAGCAGGTAGCTGTTGTTCCTTCTCAGTGGACAGCACTTGGGTTTGACTTCTCTGGGCTATATTTCTTTGTATTCAGCAAACAGTGTCTATAACTATATCTCTTACCACCATCAGCACAATCCAGTGGAAGTACAGAGGCTACAGAAAGAACATTAGGCTCACCTTACTCGGAAAAACTGGCTTTGAGGCAGCCATGAGGATCTGGTGCACAAAAGGTCTTTCCATTTATCCTTTCCATGGAGACTATTTTTTGTTCAGTCAACAGACTTACTGCCATTGTCCAGTGTAATCTCAGGTGCTAGATCAGATGTCTGTAGAAGAGAGTCTTACTGACACTTGGTTGGTTTCTTTTCAGTCAGCACTCTTGTATCTGTCTAGCAAAGGTGAACAAAGAATTCACATTCATTCTTAGTGTTTGCCAGTAGTTTTAGCTCTGAACGAAGTCTACCTTGGAGGTGATAGCCAAGAAATGTCAGGGTTATTGTCCAGCGTGGTTGCGCATGGGTCTGCTCCTGCCAGCCTGAGTGATGCTGCAGATGCCCTAGTGAGTGCCCCTCATAGATGCTTTTTCAGCAGCTTGTCCTTCAGTCCTAAGTAAACAGCATGCTGGAATCAAGCTTCCTTTTGTGGCTTTTGCCACTCCTTGTGTTGACCCTTATTACACAGAAATCATTCCAAACTGGAACAAATGCACATCTAGATGGACACATTTTTTGCTATGTGCCTCATGAAATAGTTGCCCCTGGCTTACCGTATACTCACAACTTATCCCAGTTTGTATAGAGCTGGAAATTTCTCAGACAAGAGAGCATTCAGCATCAGTGATAGAAACATACCTCAGCCCTTGCCTTTTAGCTTTTAGTGGAGAAGCTGAGCAGGTTTAATTTCCTCATGGCTGCAGGCTCCATAGTGATGCTTTGGGTTGGAAAACATTATAGACAAGATTTTCTCAGCCAAGTTCCAGGATTTCAAATCTGTGCATCAATTCCATAGACTGTGACAGAACTTCTAGAACTTAATAGGCCAGAATCTTCCAAAACAATAAGTTTCATCTCTAGGCTTAGAGAGCAGAAACCATTTTCCCATTGTGGAGTAAGGAGTGAGAGTCCAGTGAGAGGAACTTTCCTTCAAAAAATGGCAGAAGACAGAATCTGCATTATCATATTATGAATGCCCCTTGTATATACGGCAGCAAGTGAATAGATGAACAAAAGAAGAAATTTGACTTTGTTCTTTCTAAGGAAAGATGATAATGCAGAACCACTTCTTAGGCTTGTGAACTAACATGGTGATTAAGGTGTTCTCACTGTGATTTGAAAAAATTATCACAAATAAAAGATCACAGCAGAAAATCAGACATGACACTGAGAAACACTGTATTTTTAAAATCAAAACACATACACGTATGATTGCATGCCTTTTATCCTTTGCTGCCATTTATGCTTAAGTTGTTATGGATTCAAATAAGGCAAGACAATATTCCAGAGGCAAGGTACGTTTTGGAAAACAAAGACTGTTCAAAATATAAAAACAAAATTACACCGCAGTGTAATAGTAAAATATGTATTTATATATTTGTAATTTCTGATTGTTTTTCCTTTGCCCTTCTTATGCTTATCTATTTCAGTATATTTATTTATTTCATTTTTCTATCACTGAAAGGAATCTACATATTTCTAGAATGGTGGAATGTCAGACTTGAAAGAAATTCAAAATTGTCTAGTATGATTTACCAAATTTTATAGTGTTGCAGGAAATTAAGGAACTAGAGAGACCGATCGGGATACAGGAGAGCTTTTATTTTAGGTGTATATCGGCTCAGCAGACATGTGTCCTGAAAGTCTGAGCCCCTAACAAAGAAAGCGAGCAACTTTTAAGCATTTTGGGGCGGGAAAAACTTGAAGCAGGAAGCAGGTTTGCAGAAGTGAGAACAAAGGCTGTTTATCATTTATGCCATGACTTGCATCTTAGGAAAAATATGAGTTGCAATTTAACTTTCACTTACTTATCTTGTGACCTTGCAGCTGCACAGCAAGAAAAACAGGGACTTACAGAACTTACAGAATATGTGGGAAGTAGATATGGTTAATGTTTCTTGGGACAGTTAGTATTCTCTTTTAACTTTAACTTCGGCGGAGGTGGGGGTGCGCAACTTAAATTCTTTTCAGCCTTGGTTAATACAGCAATTCATTCTATGAGCTATTGTTATTTTTCTGTTACTATAATTTTCACTATTATTACTTATGCCATTATTCTGTTATTTTCTTAATTTCCTACTTCAATAGAGGAAAAAATTTAGTAACTTGCTCAGAAAAACACAAAAAGTAGTGACAGGCTCAGGAATAAACTTGAAGTCTCAGACCTTATGTCATTCCTCATGTTAAAAAATATGAGACAGTAGCATGGTTGGCAATACTGATTCAGAACTTGTGCTGATGAACACATCTTGATTTCAGTAGGCTAAAAAGTTTTAAAATTATACCTCTTCACAAAGACCTCAAGCAGTTTGCACTAAAATTTGCATTTGCATACAAATAACTTATAATTTATTTCTAAATATGTGTTGAAAATATATGTTGTGAGAATTTATCATTGTACAGCTAGTATCAACTTAAACGATGCTAGTCCTAGGACTAAGGCAATTTGTTTACTCCTCACAGGATCATATGTCAGAAGGTATAGTATGTTGATATTCAATGCAGTTGTCCTTTGGTGATCTGGGATCCATTTGGAAGGACAGTGTAGGCAATGTTTCTCCATCATTGAGTGAAGCCACAGTCAGTAGTTAATTTGTTTCTAGAGTCCAGTGGAATTCCATACCCCCAGGGTTGTGGTGCTTTACTGGTACCCTAGACCCCTGCCTGATAAGGAAGTATCTTTTCAGCCTATTATGCTGTGTGGTGGAGGTATAGTAGCACATCTTAGCACACGGAGTTCTGGAGTATCCTCTCACACTGTCAAAGTTTAGACTCCTCTCTTGTTCCAGTGGATGAGAAGAGAGGAAAGAAACTGTAGAAATATGGAGGTCTGGTAGAATAAGAGGAGTCAGCTAAGTGAACTGAAGGACTTAAGAGTGAACCCCAGATTTCTCATTTGTAAAGGGAGAGATAATAAAAGTACTACATTATGGAGTTGTGAGGATTAAATAATTCATGCTAGATTATTAAAACCTGGCATTTATGTAATATTCAGTGAATTTAGCAATTATGATTCTATTTTTATTATAATCAGTACATTAATAAGATCTGGGAAAGAAAGGGTAGTGCTCAATACATACTTGGCTGATCAATTGATTCTTAAAACAAACAAACAAAATTATCCTTATTCCTTCCCATTTGCCAGTAAAAAAAATTGTAAAATAAAATAAGTCCATCACAATAAAAATACACAATCTCAGAAAAGTCATTTGTTTGGAATGGGGAAGAAATGGAGCAGGAAGGACAATGAGAAAGCTCCACAGTAGTCTGGTTGAGAGACAGTATGGATTGTTTGGTTTTTTTTTATAATAGCCATGTAACTTTCAACATATACAGGTTTTTATTCATTAGCAATATTGTTACCTTAGCCATAAAAAGGTAATCCCTCTATCCTCTTGTCTTGGATTAAATTTAATAATACACGTCAAGAAGTCTATTTGGGGCCGGGCGCGGTGGCTCACGCCTGTAATCCCAGCACTTTGGGAGGCCGAGGCGGGCGGATCACGAGGTCAGGAGATCGAGACCATCCCGGCTAAAACGGTGAAACCCCGTCTCTACTAAAAATACAAAAAATTAGCCGGGCGTAGTGGCGGGCGCCTGTAGTCCCAGCTACTCGGGAGGCTGAGGCAGGAGAATGGCGTGAACCCGGGAGGCGGAGCTTGCAGTGAGCCGAGATCCCGCCACTGCACTCCAGCCTGGGCGACAGAGCGAGACTCCGTCTCAAAAAAAAAAAAAAAAAGAAGTCTATTTGGTCATTTTAGCTTTCACCTTAGTCGCCAGTCTTTATTAAGAATTTTCTATTGGGGATCATAATGTATTCTTGTTAACAAAAGCTTCTTCCCTATTGTCTCTAAAAGGAGAAACTATCATTGTCAAATGGGTATATCTGCATATGGGAACATTATGATATACATCATGAGAACACCTGCATCTTAAATGTTTTACAAAATATCAATGGGTTGAGTATGTCTGATACAATATATTTGAACTTGCCTTGTAGGCCTCCACCATCATGTTTTCCATCACTTTAATCAATCATTTTGACCTAAGTATATTGATTACCACCATGGTATTGGTTCCTTCATATACCTTGCTTGGATTTAAAACTTTTTTGGAAGTGGTAAGAAATGTTACCAACTGTGTCATTAATTTTGAATATGTAGCTTATTAAAGTGCTTTTCCCAGATCAAGAGAGACAGAAAGTAGTGGAACTGGGGAGTAACAGCAAATGGGCATAAGAGATTTTGGGGGGATGATGAAAATGTTCAAAAGGGGAATCGTGGTGATGCTTGCACAACTCTGTAAGCTTACTAAACATCCTTGAGTTCTACTCTTAAAATGAGTGAATTTTATCAGATGCAAAATTAAATCTCAATAAAACATTTAAACTTTTGTCCTATTCACTTTGCAAAATATAGGCATTGTCAAATGCCATTCAAATATGGGTAATGCCAGATTGGGGGAAAAATGTGCTTGGTTTGACAGGTAATTTGTTAGCCGCTGAGGATAAACTCATATGCGATTCCATTCAATCATTCAAAAATATATATCAAATACTATTCTCTGTTAGTCACTGTGCTAGTAACTGGGGACACCTGATGAGCAAGATAGCACAGTCCTGACTTTCCCAAAGCTTAGTGGAGGCAAAGGCAGACCAAACTTACTCAAGTTAATACAAGAAACTTAAATGTTACAAAGGACAAGGGCAAAGGGCCAAGGGAGGACACACAAGGCACAGCTGGTGTGTTCTAGCGAGTCAGACAATTCTTCTGGGGACGTTATATTTAAATACATGGCTAAAGGATGAATAATAATTAGTTAATGGGACAGGAGGTAAGCATGTTCTGCAGAGGAAAGCAAAGGCCTTGAAGCAGGAAAAGCCAGGAGGCATTAAAGAAACTGAATGTGGTTCAAGTGGAGAAAAGTATACGATGAGGCCAGGGCAAGAAAGTTAAGTGGAGAACACACTTTTTGGAGCTCTGTACCACTCTGGATGAAATGGCTTTAAGGAAAGTAAAGAGGGCTTCTGTAATCAGGGGTGTCCTTGGCGAACTGGAAAAGCCTTCCATTTGCAAAAATACATCTCCATTGGCTGAGCAATGCCTGAAGTTCTCGATTAGAAACTAATCCCTTTGCTTAAAGCATTTTCCTCCTAAGTAGACCTGCAAGGTGAAATACATTCATCTTGATCTGTCATGTATTATATAGGAGGAATGAGTAACTTTCTGAATGAACTGATTGATGAAGAAAGAATAACGTGCTGGAACTAATTATCATTATGGGAAAATAGTCACCATTGGGATAAGAAGGGGCTCTGAAAAGGCTTGTCTGTGGCACTTAAGAAAAATATTGTCAACCCCCAGAAATTTTACCAGTGCCAGCACCTCTCTCTGCTATGCTTTCAGTAATAGCATATTACTGTTTCAGTAATAACATATGCTTCAGTAATAACATATGCTTTCTGCAAATGTTAAAACCAAATTTTTTTAAACAAAGAATTGAAGAGAGGAACAGACATAGGTTACTTGCTTATTGAGAGACAGTAAGAGTTGAGTAGGAGGTTCTCTTTTCTGTGGGGAATTACTTTGTCACTAGTGCACACAAAGAAATTGAGATCTATGAGGAAAATATTCAATATGTGAATTTTATATTATTTAAGTGCAAATCATAAAGCAGATGAATTATCATTAGTGTGTGTGTGTTTTGTTTTGTCTTTTCAGAGAGACCAGGAGCACTACAGAGAATTTCCAGAGGCAAATTTTGAATTGAGTGCCACTGATTTTCTAGTCTGCTTCATAGTAAGAAGGGCTTTCCACCTCAGCACACATTCTTTTGGATGACTGTCATTCACTATAACAATTTGATCTTGTCCAAAGTGTGCCATTTTGAAAGTGTTTTTATATGATCTTAGATAAAGCACTTACCTTCAGACATGTTTCTAAACCTTAGAGTTACTTTTTACATGCTTGGATTGGCTATATGTGTCCAAAAGTTAATATTAAATTAATTTTTTGTTTGCTTATCCTGTTTACTGTCCCTCCTCTAAATTTGAGAGAGCTTGTAAAAAATAGAGATGCAATATAACTTACTTCCTTTGAATAATAGATTAAAAAGGCAAGAACTGAATAATAAAAGTGAAAGGGAAAATGATTATTTTGGTGTATTTAGGCTGAAGGGAACTACTGTCTTTGAATCCTATGTGTCAGTACTTTTCTAGGTACAGGAGAAAATAAAGACAGCGGTCCCTGCCCTCATGGAGCTTATATTCTGGTGGAAGGACATGGATAATAAACTAAATGGATAATATGTGTGGTGTCAGATGGGTGGTCAGGAAAGGCTTCGAGAAGAGCACTTCAGTAGGAAGTGGCAAGAGTGACCCCGGCTCAATCCAGGGTCAGCCAGGCCAGTGTGGTTGTGACTGAATGACCAAGGAAGAGAGTGATAAGAAAGATGGCCACAGAAGTCATGGGATAAAGCGAGAGGTCAGGAGAAAGGGTCACACAGGGTAATCTAGATTACTCTAAAGGCTTTGACTCTACTCTGAGTGATGGAGGAGGAGTCATTGGAGGGTTTTAAGCACAGTGATAAGTTCAGGCTTATGTATTAAAAAAGTAGCTCAGGATACTGTATTGAGAACAGATGTTTAGAACAAGAGGGGCAGAGATAGCCCAAGTAGGAAGGGGTTGCAACAATCCAGGTGAGACATTATAATGACCTAGGCCTGGGTGGGAGTATCATGAGTAGGGGTGAGAAATAATTGGGTTATGGATAATTTTGAAGATAGAGTAGATAGAATTTACTTACAAACTGAATATGGGTGGCGAGAAGAAAGGAAACAGGTTTCACTAACCTGGATTGTGAATGTATAGCTACATTTCTCCCCCAGCTTATGAGAATGATCCACAACTATTTACCCAAAGACAAAACACCACCAACTTAATTCAAATATTTAAATAATATTTGTGAACTTATGCCTAAATATAACTGTATTTCTTTGCTCATAGCCCTACTTTCAGACTTTGCTATTCGTTTTTGTTCTAAGATGCATGGAACTAAAATGTGGAAAGAAAAGAATGCGAAAAGATCCTGTTTTCAGGTTGGGGTGAAATTTAACTTTATACTTAATATCATATTTTAACATTCCTAGATGGTGTCTGTGCTATCATCTTGTTAATACAGATTTACATTTACAGTGGAAGCACATGTTGATTGTCATTAGGGAATGTGGATTGCTGCCTTACTGCCAAGAGATAGAACTCCCAGGCAGAGTTCTGGCTGTAAGCAGCTGTAAGAAACCTTCACTCCATCCAAAATTTAATAAGGACCCAAATATGCCATTCTCTCGTCTGAGATAATTGTGCATCCTTGAAAAGAAAAGATGGGAAGGAATCGATTTAGCAACATAGTTGAGTGTTTTAAAAATGGAGGGCTGTAGAAAGGGTGAGCAGTAAATGATGTTGAAAAAACATCTGGTGTGATGAAGATGAGCTCAGACTGAGTAGAGAAAATGAGAGTGACATGAATTTTAAAGAGAAAGGAGCAGTACCTGCTGACAGATTTGAAAGGGTCAAAGATTCTTACCAGAAGAATGGCAACAACATTAAGAAAAGGATTCTGGCTAGTGGGACAGGAGTTCTTGGCAAAAGCAGAAGCAATATTGACAGTCATCATCACATCATCACCTGCACATTAGAGAAGAGGACAGTAGTAAAATCACAGGAATGCTGATTTTTGACACATCTTTTAACAGCTAGAATACCACATGTAACACATTTCATTTTCTCCATAGAATTTCCCCCCAAAGTAGAGATGCTAAGCCAAATCCAGAAGAACCCATAGATGAAGATGAAGATATTCAAACAGAAAGAATAAGAACAGCCACTGCTCTGACCACTTCAATCTTAGATGAGGTAAAAAAGCAAGGGGCAAAATGGATATTAATGGAGATATTCAAGAACTGTCAAGAGCAGGATTTGATACACTGGGTTTCATTTTGAGAGTTTGGAGTTTGGTGCATTTCTGTATTATGCGTCCAGGACACTCCAAAGAAGTATCTGCATAATCAAGGCACTCCGCTTATTCAGAGTGTCCTAGAAGCTAAAAAGAACACAAAACCTAATGGTTTTAATTTTTCTTTTGAGAAAAGTGGGCTTTCATAATTAGGGCTATAATTGCAAAACCAACAAGACCTCATGAGTTAAATAATTTAAGTTAGATTTGTCGAAGAATGCGAAGAATGCTAAATAGAGATTAAGATTTTAAGGTTTACTCTATTTGACTTAGATGTGATGGTTCCATGAGGTTAGCCACCCCTCTTCTGGCAAGACAATAAGCTGCTTCCATGAAACTCAGTCTATTTAGAAGCAAGAAATATTTTCTACATTAATGAATGCATATTACATTTAGCAGCATGAATTACTCTCAACTCAAAATATGGTTTGGCTTATGACATAAGGCATGAAAGGTTCCAGCAGAGACCTAAAGTCTCTGAAATTTAAGAGGAAAATCATGCTGTCATCTCTTCTAGAAACCTGTTATAATTGCCAGCTGTCTACACAAAGAATATGCAGGCCAGAAGAAAAGTTGCTTTTCAAAGAGGAAGAAGAAAATAGCAGCAAGAAATATCTCTTTCTGTGTTCAAGAAGGTCTGTAATAATCCCTTTTAAAACTTACCATTACTTTTAGAACTACCTACCGAACATCTATGTCATAGGCACAGTTTTACTCGCTGAAGCATTCATTCATTTATTCTATATATATATATATATATATATATTTAGTGTGCCAGGGAGTGTTTTAGACTCTGGAAATACAATTATGAAGCCACTAGACAAAGAGCATCCAGGTAGAGGAAACAGTGAGGGCAGGGACTCAGACACATTTGGAAACGTTGTGTCTCTAGCCAAGAGGCCAGTGAATGCATCCATAAATGGAAGGGATAAAGCTATAGAGCTGAGCAGCGCCAGATTAGGTACAGCTTTTGAAAACAGCAATGAGTTTGTGTTTTATACAAGTTAGCATAATACCATTGGAGAGTTTTTAGCGGACTTGTGTCATATTTAATTTATATTTTGAAAAGATTACAGATTGGCTATTGTTTGTTTGTCAGTTTGGGTTGGGGGGGACAAGTTCAGAGGCTTTTATATCAGTTGGGATGAAAGATGATGGTAACTTGGACAGAGGTGGTTGAATTTGGGATGAAGAAAATATCCCTAACTTCTCAAGTTTGAGAATCATTCATACATGTACTCAGTGCATCGGCCATCTATTACGGAAAACAGTTGGACACATTTCCAACTGAAACAAGTAATCTGGGGGGAAAAGGACAGATGTATTGACATCAAATTCATTAGCTTTGCAGTAACATTTGGCATAATTACAGAAAATAAAGAACATGCTTTGGTGACGTGGATTACATATATGTTATCAATCTCAAAATGGTACTAACTGAAGGGTGCAGAAATCTCAGAAGATTTCACTGGAGCAAAAGGTTTATGTTGTTCAGTATTTCACTTCCAATATTGATAGTCTGATTCTTTCTTTCAGGTGAAATTTTGGGATTGCTAGGACCCAATGGTGCTGGAAAAAGTTCATCTATTAGAATGATATCTGGGATCACAAAGCCAACTGCTGGAGAGGTAGTGAGGAAATGGTTTCCATTTCCAAAACAGGAATTTCATGATACGTATAGATTATATCTTTGTAAGACTATACTATTTTTCTTTTCTTTTTTTTTTTTTTTTGCCTTTGGATAAATTTTATTTTTCCCCTCTTTAAATTTTTACTGGGCATCAGGTGTTTATAACAGGACTTGGAATCTTACCAGAAACCAATTACCTTTTACTCATCAGTTTCTCAAGAACTACCTGAGCTTATTAGGTCTCTTTTCTTCTCTGCATGTAAAACTATATTTTTATATTTGTACTTTAAATCATTTTCTGTAATAAATATATGAAGTAATTTCTATAGTATTTATTTGATGCTTAAACAATTTAGACGCTTATATATGTCAGTTTCTGGAGTAATTACGCTATTGGAATAAAGGCTGCATGCCTTTCTAAAGCTCTTTTATTTTTTTAGGTGGAACTGAAAGGCTGCAGTTCAGTTTTGGGCCACCTGGGGTACTGCCCTCAAGAGAACGTGCTGTGGCCCATGCTGACGTTGAGGGAACACCTGGAGGTGTATGCTGCCGTCAAGGGGCTCAGGAAAGCGGACGCGAGGCTCGCCATCGCAAGGTACAGACGGGACCTGCGATTCCTTTGTGTCAGAATGCAGGGAGACTGTAGCACTGATGATGAATTCACTAATAAAGAACCGAGAGTCAATATGCTATCTCCACCTTTCCAGAGTGTCAGTGGCAGAGCAGGGATGAGGGACAAGACCTGACTTCCTGCATCCCTGAATGAGAGATCTTTAAAAAATGATTATATAAAATAATTGACAAGGAATAAGTGAACGAATCACCATGAATCGTCATCCATTTCAGTTTTCTAATTTAAAAAACCTGGAAATGAAATAATCATCCATTGTCAGTTTCTCATTCAGAATTCTAGTTTTTCCTAAAACTGTTTATGAGGCAAAAAAAAAAAAAAGTCTTTCATGTTCCAAAATAAACCAATCTCTTTTTTAAAATTATGAGTTAGGATTTTGACAATAATATTACTAAACTTCCCTCTAATGCTGTTACTGTTCTGTGTGCTTGGATTTTCCAAAAACCTTGTCTTGACCAGATATTCTCATTCTGTTTTCTGTCAGATTAGTGAGTGCTTTCAAACTGCATGAGCAGCTGAATGTTCCTGTGCAGAAATTAACAGCAGGAATCACGAGAAAGGTACGTGCGGTGTGTGATGCTCTATGGAGAGCTGGTGTGGTATGGCAGCAAACAGGGGTGTTTTTCTACATTGCAGTTGTGTTTTGTGCTGAGCCTCCTGGGAAACTCACCTGTCTTGCTCCTGGATGAACCATCTACGGGCATAGACCCCACAGGGCAGCAGCAAATGTGGTGAGCATCATTATACCCCAGAGCTGCGAGCATGCACATTAGGGAAGGTTGCATATTTTAACTGGTCTTGGAAAATCAGCCCTCAAACCCACTAGTTCCTGATTCAGTGGAAATAATTTATATTATCAGGAAAACAAATATTTAACCAGTAGATGATCTAATCTGCATGATGTTCACGTGGTATTCAGGTTAAAAAGACCCAACATTTTCTTGGGGTTTTAGGTTTTTAATGTGGACTGTTAAAATACAAAAATATTTTGCCTTTTAATTATTGAGATGTCTATAACTGTTTCTTCTTTTTTCCCTTCTACTTTGTTTCCTGGGAGACTATTAACTTCCTGACACAATTTTCCTGTTTGTTTTTTTTCCTTTTTAATGTGACCTGTCAAATTTGTTCCTCCAGTTTTTCTCGGGTTTATTCTTTTACTTACTTTTCCCATCTAGGATTTACCCTTTGGAATAATAAAATCTTCAATCTAGTTTCATATTGGTCACTGTCCGATACTTTTCCAACTTTAACAAAAACTTTGTTATGGTAATTTTATACAAATGTAGAGAATCGCTTATGAATCCATTATTCCCATGGACAAGTTTCAGCAGGTATCAATAGAACCAATCTCCTTTGATCTATATCTCCACCCACTTCCTTTCTCCACCCTCCAATTATTTTGAAGGAAATACAAAGCAACATATTCTTTAATTTATAAATATTTCAGTTAGTATCTTCAGAAGATAACTCAACTACAATATGATTAGCACATCTAAAAATACTTAAAAATGTTATTTATGTTATCAAAAACCTAGTCAGTACTTACATTGCACTATTTTTTTGCATTAGGATCTGAATATGATTCATATATTGTATTTTATCTTTTTTTTCTTCTGCACTTAGTTATTTTAAATACTGTTAATTTTTTTGCTCACTGCAGGCAGGCAATCCAGGCAGTCGTTAAAAACACAGAGAGAGGTGTCCTCCTGACCACCCATAACCTGGCTGAGGCGGAAGCCTTGTGTGACCGTGTGGCCATCATGGTGTCTGGAAGGCTTAGGTGGGTGTCTCTCCGAAGCCTGCATTTGATGCTCAAAATGAGATTTCCCATGGAAAGGGCAAAAATCCCTGTGTGTGGCTGGAGCCCTTCCGTTTGGCTTCCTTGGTGACACCTTTTCTTCTACATTTGAAATTTAAGAATAACATTAAAAAATTAAGGGCAATATTTTTTCCAACATATTCTCTTTCTTGCCCATAGATGCATTGGCTCCATCCAACACCTGAAAAACAAACTTGGCAAGGATTACATTCTAGAGCTAAAAGTGAAGGAAACGTCTCAAGTGACTTTGGTCCACACTGAGATTCTGAAGCTTTTCCCACAGGCTGCAGGGCAGGAAAGGTGAGACGGGCTTTTGATTATGGAGAAATATGGAGGGTTTATCCACTCAGTGGTTTCCTTTTTGCTGTGTGAGAACTTCATAGTGATTTGGCTTCATAATAAAAGTTAGGGACCTCAGAAAAGGATTTGTTCAGTATTCCAGATTATAAGAGATTGAGACCTACCCAGGAAGCTGTGTCCCCTGGGGCAGACCAGGCACACTCTCCTTGGCCATCCCAGGCTGATCCCCAGCTCCAGAGGGGTACTTGGAAAGACTTGGGAGAAGGAACTTCTAATGACTCAAACCCACACAGGACCACAATGGTGTCCTTCCTGGGCCTCCTCATAAACGCTTAACATATATAAATATTTAAAATTTAAAAGATGTAAATATTTAGGGTGAATTTTCCCCATAGGAAACAAATGGCAATTGAGATAATCAAAGAGTCTTTCTTTAATGGAATTTTCATACCTTAAAATAGAGAGTGGAAAGGGGTATGTGTGTATGTGTGTGTGCATGCCCACATATCTGTGTGTGTGTGTGTGTGTGTGTGTGTGTGTGTGTTTGTGTATGTCTGTATGTTATTTGGGGGAGGGCAAGAAGGTGGAGCAGAAACTGAATTTGAAATTCCCGTGGAGAGATAAGTACATCAAAAAATAGGACATAAAAGCTACTATTTTATTTTAGCACAGTGTAAATGTAATTAAATTTTCTAAGATAGATATCAGAACATGTAACTTTGTCCCATTCCCAGACGTTTGGTGTCACAAATCAGAGAAGTGGTTCTGATATAGGTGGGAAGATCAAAAATGATAAAACAGAAAGAGCAGTGGCTGGTCTGAAAAGGGCCAATCTTGGACATCTGGTCAACCTTAGTGCCACCTGGGAGCACCAAACCCCTGTTTGGGAATAAGCTGGGAATAGGGCATGAGGGTTTACAGCCAGAAGTAGCACACGGAAGCAAGATGCCCCAAATCAATTACGTCTCTTCCTTAGAGGTCAGGAAGTATTTTGTTAAAGTGTTTTATGTCCTTCCTCTACTGCAATCTCCAACTCTCCCAACCTCATATTATTCTTTACAAGTTAGACTTCTGGGAGGAGGGGGAATCAAGGAGATTCCGAGGTTTTTTGGTTGGCAGCCCAAGCTCTATTGATTTCCTTACTTCTAGATTGCCCTAGGGCCTAGAAAAAGCCTTCAGAATAAATATGTCTTCCTTACAGATCTTTCGCCAATATCAACCTCCATCTCCAAGATTTGCCACTATTTATGGTTTTACAAAATAGTCCTGAATTTACTTTTGTTTAAGTGTTTATATTTTCCATTGTAAATGTAAAGCAAATTGCTGGAAATGTAAGAAATAAAGAAAAAATTCATTCATTAAAAAAAACAAAACAATGAATTAGCTTTCTGATGACAAAGATGAACATTTATTTTGGGGTTAATTCCCAACCTAATTCGAACTAATCAAAGGGAATAGTTCAGAATACCTGATTTTCAACACGCAAAGGTTTTGCATAAGCTGAGCACATATATAATTATGCTGAGTTATTACCAGGAGAGCTGTCTGCAACAGCCAGATACCAAAAAGCAATTCAAAACAATGCTGTGATTTCATATTTAAGCCATACATTAATTTGCATTACTTTTATTTTAAGAAGAAAATTGTTGGTAATATCAATATTTATTCTGATGCTCATTTTCTCCCCTTGAAACTCAGAGCTGAAAACGACATCTTCCTGTTTTCAGGTATTCCTCTTTGTTAACCTATAAGCTGCCCGTGGCAGACGTTTACCCTCTATCACAGACCTTTCACAAATTAGAAGCAGGTAAGAGTGACCACATTCAAATAAATCTTTTGAAGAATCAACTAATACTAAAATAATAATTTAATGGAAGCTAATTGTGTAACAATTTTTTAAAATAGGGCTGTAGGGCATGATTTTTAAGAATTCTAACTGTAGGTAATGGTGAGATTTAATCCCAATTTAGGTTACTCTGACTCTGTGAAAAGAGGTTAATCTCCAGTGCAGGGACCGAAGCTGCAGGAAACACACATGCTTAACTGTTCTTACTGTGAAACCATGGCATCCCCCTCTAAAAGCCCCTCTGTGTGGCCTGCTTTGCCTACATGTATATAATCCATTCACACCAAGTGTCCCAAATTATTACTTTACTCCCTTTCTTTCCTTACATATCCACCTCCTTCCCACTTTTATCCCTCAGTTGATGCCCTTGCTTTATATTTCACTAATAAAATAGAAGCAACAGAGAAAGTTTCCATCCATCCATCAACCTCCTTGTGTCTGTGCAGGTGTATTTGGCCTTCCTATTTGAATGATAGCTTTGACCGTCCCCTGCATTGTGTGTAACTCCTTTTGCTGGTTGTAATTGTCCACACTCTCTCTCCTGTCATCATTTTCTCTGCTTTCAACCCCGTCATTCCCAACAGCAGACCATTGGGTGTAATTTCTCAGCACAGCATAATGGTGAAGAGCTCAAACTTTAGAGCCCATCTTTCTGGGTTCTCAGCCCAGGCATGCTGCTTACTAGCTGGGTGACGTTGGGTGAGGTACTCAATCCCTGCATATCTAGATGGTTCGTCTCTGCAATGATGGATACTATTAGTGCCCACTTGGCCATGTTGTTAGGATTAAATGAGTAAATATTTTAAGTGCCTAGAACAGTGCCTAGCTCATTGTGTTTGACATAATATATATCATAATATATATCTCTGCTTTGTTCCTTCCATGCTAGATAGATGACTTTCTAGTTCTTCCTAAATGCTGCCAGACATGTAAGCTCCTGCCTCAGGACTTTGTACTTGCTAATCCTTCTTCCTGGAATTCTCCTTCCTAAACATCCAGGCTTCTTCCTCCCATTTTCAGATGTTGGTTCAATTATTACCTTATTAGTGTGGCCTTCTCTGACCATCCGGTAAAAAAGAGTGCCTAGCGCTCCCTATTTATTTTTACCAACTTTATTTTTCTTTAAAGCCACTATCATCATTAACTTTATCATATATGCAGTGCTTGTGTATTTAATGTCACTAATTCCTCCCACTAAAATGCAAACTATATCAAGGCAGGAGTACTTGTCTATTTTCTTGACTGTTCTGTTTCTGCCATCTAAGAGTGCCTCACATGTAGCAGATTCTTAGCGTATAAATGGTGAAGTATGCACATGTGGATATGTGAATCTGGTGACAACTGTCATGCAGACTTTTTGGTGGGGAAGTCCAGCAGAGAGGTGATATAACAGATGAACTGGCTGAAGGGAGTTTTGAGTTCTCTTAAAGAGGATGGGATAGGATCTTCCTCATGTGTAAGAATATTTTGATCAATGATGTAGTTCTTCAAAGAACATATGTATCTTCCAAAGACATACGCACGCAATACCAAAACAAATATTATTGAAACATAATATGAGAAAATAACATCAATATTAACATAGTATATATTTATATTAATTCTGTATGGCTTTCATTATTTCATCCTTACATCAAGCATTGGCTTATTCAGCTTTATTTATATTAATGATTTACATTTTTATTCTTTATGATTTTGAAAAAATTCTTGGTAATAAATTGTAAGCATCTACTATTAATACTAGTCTTTTTTTTCCTCCAGTGAAGCATAACTTTAACCTGGAAGAATACAGCCTTTCTCAGTGCACACTGGAGAAGGTAAGTCAAGTGGTTTGACTTTGTATCATCTGGTAAATTTCACATGAAAGCAACATGCATTTTCCTGTTCATTTGGAAGACCAACAACTTGATAATCTCTCTTCCTTCTTTCCTTCTTCTTTGTCTCCTAATTAGGTATTCTTAGAGCTTTCTAAAGAACAGGAAGTAGGAAATTTTGATGAAGAAATTGATACAACAATGAGATGGAAACTCCTCCCTCATTCAGATGAACCTTAAAACCTCAAACCTAGTAATTTTTTGTTGATCTCCTATAAACTCATGTTTTATGTAATAATTAATAGTATGTTTAATTTTAAAGATCATTTAAAATTAACATCAGGTATATTTTGTAAATTTAGTTAACAAATACATAAATTTTAAAATTATTCTTCCTCTCAAACATAGGGGTGATAGCAAACCTGTGATAAAGGCAATACAAAATATTAGTAAAGTCACCCAAAGAGTCAGGCACTGGGTATTGTGGAAATAAAACTATATAAACTTAGAATTTTTTAAAAATATGACTTTTTTACCTTTTACAAAACATTCTCTTGCTGAAATATGTGAAGGGTATATTCAGTAGCCAAGAGTTGCATGACTACTTCACACCAGTTCATGATACAACAGGTATACAGGTTTTCTTTTATAACCAACTACAACTCAAGAGTCTTCTGAAAGTGTTCCAGAAATTGCTTTAAAACTCAAAAGTAAGGGGCCAGGTGCAGTGGCTCACGCCTGTAATCCCAGCACTTTGGGAGGCCGAGGCAGGTGGATCACAAGGTCAGGAGTTCGAGACTAGCCTGGCCAATATGGTGAAACTCCATCTCTAATAAAAATACAAAAATTAGCCGGGCGTTGGCATTTGCCTGTAGTCCTAGCTATTCGGGAGGCTGAGGGAGGAGAATTGCTTGAACCCGGGAGGCAGAGGTTGCAGTGAGCCATGTGCTAGTGCACTCCAGCCTGGGTGACAGAGTGAGACTCTGTCAAAAAAAAAAAAAACAACAAAAACAAAACCAAAAAACCTCACAAGTATTAGGAGGTCCTTGGACACACAAGTAGACAAGCACTCATGTTGAAAAGTAGTTCCATTATACCTTTTGAAAATAAAGGGAGTCACAGTAGTATTTGTTCAGATTTTTTAAATTTTGCATACTCTTAACAACATTAACTTATTGTTTTCAGGGGGTGCTAATTTTCCTTGTCATCTTTGAATAGTTTTATGGGATTTGATATTTTTTAAAATCATTTCTCCCTTATATAAGTGTATGTGCATGTAGGTGTATCTATATATTTTCCACATATCTTTTATATTATTTAATTTTTAAAATACCTGTCAGTTTAACATATTACTTTATTCTTTCCCTTAAAAATAGCTATTTCATTCTGAATATCACCAAAAAAAAAAATTCAAAGACCAAGCAGTATTCCTTCTGTGATTTTTTGGTGTTCACATATTGTACATAATAAGGGGTTCAATTCAACAAGAGGAGTTAACTATCCTAAATATATATGCACCCAACATTGGAGCACCCAGATTCTTAAAACAATGATTTCTAGATGTATGAAAAGACTTAGAGAGCCAAACAATGGTAGTAGGAAACTTCAACACCCCATTGACAGTGTTAAATTGACCACTGAGGTAGAAAACTAACAAGAAATTTTGGACTTCAATTTGACACTTGACCAATTGGACCTAACAGGCATCTATAGAACACTTCACTGATCAGCACAGAATATACATTCTTCTCATCTGCACACAGAACATACTCCAAGATTGGCCACATGCTCAGACATAAAGCAAGTCTCAATACATTTTAAAAAGTTGAAATCATACCAACCATACTCTCAGACCACAGAAGAATAAAAATAGCAATACCAAGAAGATCTCCCCAAATCATGGAATTACATGGAAATTTAAAAACTTTCTCCTGAATGACTTTTGGGTATGATGAAATTAAGGCAGAAATTAAAAAAAATTTTTTGAAATAAATGAAAACAGAGATACAACATACCAAAATCTCTGGAATACAGCAAAAGCAGTGGTAAGAGGGAAGTTTATAGCACTAAATACCTACTTCGAAAAGTTAGAAAGATGTAAAATTAACACTCTAACATAACACCTGGTGGAACTAGAAGAACAAGAACAAAATCCCAAAACTAGCAGAAGAAAAGAAATAACTAAAATCAGTGCAGAACTAACAAAATTGAGGCCCAAAAATCCACATGAAGAATAAGTGAAACCAAAAATTGGTTTTTTGAACAGATAAACAAGATCGATAGACAACTAGCTAGACTAAAAAAGAAAAAAAAGAGAGAAAATCCAAATAAGCACAATCAGAAATGACAAAGGCGACATTACAACTGATCCCACAGAAATACAAAAGATCCTCTGAGACTATTATGAACACCTCTATGCACACAAACTAGAAAATCTAGAAGAAATGGATAAATTCCTGGAAACACGCAATCTCCCAAGATCCAACCAGGAAGAAATTGAAACCCTAGCAGACCAATACCAAGTTCCAGAATTGAACCAGTAATGAAAAATCTACCAACCAAGAAAAGACCCAGACCAGATGGATTCACAACTGAATTCTATCAGACTTACAAAAAAGAGCTGAGCAATTTTACTGAAACTATTCTAAAAATTCACAGATGAGGGACTACTCCGTAACTCATTTTATGAAGCCAGCATCACCCTAATACCAGAACCTGGCAAAGACACAACAAAGAAAACTACAGAACAATATCCCTGGTGAATATAGATACAAATATCCTCAGCAAAATGTAAGCAAACTGAATTTAACAGCACATCAGAATTTAGTTTACCATGATCAACTTGCCTTAACTCCTGGGATACAAGGTTGGTTCAACATACACAAATCAATAAATGTGATTTACCACATAAAGAGAATTAAAAATAAAACCATATGAGTATATCACTAGATGTGGGAAAAGCCTATGATTAAATCCAACATCCCTTCATGATAAAAACCCTCAACAAAATAGGCATTGAAGGAACTTACCTAAAAATAATAGGAAACATCAATGACAAACCCATAGCCAACATTATACTGAATGGGCAAAAGATGGAACCATTCCCCTTGAAAACTGCAACAAGACAAGGATGCTCACTTTCACCACTCCTATTCAACATAGTACTGAATTTCTTGCCAGAGCAATGATGCAAGAAAAGGAAATAGAAAGTATCCAAATAGATGGCCACACAAAAAATAAATTCCTAGGAATACATCTAACTTATCTAACCAAGGAGGTGAAAGATCTCTGTAAGAAGAATTACAAAACACTGCTGAAAGAAATCATAGATGACACAGAAAAATATGACATGCTTATGGATTGAAATAATATAGTTAAAATGGCCATACTCCCCAAAGCAATCTACAGATTTGACACTATTTCTACCAAACTATTAATGTCATTTTTCATGGAATTAGAAAAAATATTTTAAAATTTATATTAAAAAGCCTGAATGGCCGAAACAACCATAAGCAAAAAGAACAAAGCTGGAGGCATCACATTACTTGACTTCAAACTATACTATAAGGCTACAGTAACCAAAACAGCATGATACTTGTACAAAAAAGGCATATAGACCAATGGAACAGAATAGAGAACACAGAAATAAAGCCACACACCAATAGCCATCTGTTCTTTGACAAACAGACAAAATAAGCAATCGGGAAAGGACTCCGTATTTAATAAATGGTCCTAGGATAGTTAGCTAGCAATATGCAGAATAATCAAAGTGGACCCCCACCTTTCACCATATACAAAATTTAACTCAAGATGAATCAAAGATTTAAACATAAGACTTCAAACTGTAAGAATCCTATGAGAAAACCTAGGAAACACCATTCTGGACATCTGCCTTAGGAAAGAATTTATGACTAAGTCCTCAGAAGCAATTGCAACAAAACCAAAAATGGACAAGCGGGACCTAAGTAAACTAAAGAACTTCTGCACGGCAAAAGAAACTATCAACAGAGTAAATAGACAACCTAGAGAACAGGAGAATATATTCATAACCTATTCATCTGACAAAGGTCAAATATCAAGTATCTATAAGGAACTTATTTCAACAAGCAAAAAACCAGTAATCCCATTAAAAAGTGGTCAAAAAACATGAACAGACACTTCTCAAAGGAAGACATACAAGCAGTCAACAAACATGAAAAAATGCTCAACATTGCTAATCATCAGAGAAATGCAAATCAAATCCACAATGAGATACCTTATTATACCAGACAGAATTGTTATTATTAAGAAATTAAAAAACAGCAGATACCAGCAAGGCTGTGGAGAAAAGGGAACACTGCCACTGTGGAAAGCAGTTTGGAGATTTCTCAAAGAACTTAAAATAGAACTACCATTTGACCCAGCAATCCCATTATTGGGTATATAACCAAAGGAAAATGCACACAAACTAGAAAACCTAGAGGAAATGGATAAATTTCCAAAAAAACATGACCTCATATGTTAATCACAGCAGTATTCACAATAGTAAAGACATGGAATCAACCGAGATGCCCGTCAGTGGTGGATTGGATAAAGGAAATGTAGTACATATATACCCTGGAATCAAAAGGAATACCCAGCCATAAAAAGGAACAAAATCATGTCCTTTGCAACAACATGGACACAGCTAGAAGCCATTATTCTAATCGTAGTAATGCAGGAACAAAACCAAATACCACATGTTCTCACTTATAAGTGGGAGCTAAATATTAAGTATTCATGGACATAAAGATGGCAACAATAGTCCCCCAGGGGACTAACAGACGAGGGAGGGAGGCAAGGAGAAACTAACCATTGTTTACTATACTCACTATCTGGGTGACTAGATCATTTGTATCCCAAACACAGCATCATGCAATATACTCATGTAAGAAACCTTCACATGTATCTCCTGAATCTAAAATAAAAGTTGAAATTATAAAAATAAAAATATTTTTATAGTCAATGAAGAAAATTTGTATAATAGAGAAAAATATAGAAATTAAATAAAATTGAATAAAAGAATCACCATGTCAAGGAGAGAATGGAGCAAGATGGTAGAATAGTTCTCACCAGTGATTGTCCTTCTATAAAAACATCTATTTGAATAACTATCCACAAAAAGGTCTTCACAAGAGCTAAGAAAACCAGGTGATAAATCACAATACCTGGTTATAGCATAATAAGAAAAGAGGCCAGGCATGATGGCTCATACCTGTAATCCTAATGCTTTGGGAGGATGAGGTGGGAAGATCACTTGGGACCACGAGTTCAAGACCATCCTGGGCAACATAGCAAGACCCTATCACTACAAACTACAAAAAAAAAAGTAAAAGTTAGCCGGGTGGTATGTGCTTGTGGTCCAAGCTACCCAGGAGGCTGAGGTGGGAGGACAGTTTAAGCCCAGGAGTTTAAGGCTGTCTCTGTCTCCTTCAGTTTTACTCTGATCTTAGTTATTTCTTGTCTTCTGCTAGCTTTTGAATTTGTTTGCTCTTGCTTCTCTAGTTCTTTTAATTGTAATGTTAGGGTGTCAATTTTAGATCTTTGCTGCTTTCTTGTGTGGGCATTTAGTGCTATAAGTTTCCCTCTAAACACTGCTGTAGCTGTCCCAGAGATTCTGGTATGTTGTTTCTTTGTTCTCACTGGTTTCAAAGAACTTATTTATTTCTGCCTTAATTTTGTTATGTACCCAGTAGTCATTCAGGAGCAGGTTGTTCAGTTTCCATGTAGTTGTGCAGTTTTGAGTGAATTTCTTAATCCTGAGTTCTAATTTGATTGCACTGTCTTCTGAGAGACTGTTTGTTATGATTTCCATTCTTTTGCATTTGCTGAGGAGTGTTTTACTTCCAACTATGTGGTCGATTTTAGAGTAAGTGCTGTGTGGTGCTGAGAAGGATGTAATTTCTGTTGGATGGAGGGTGGAGAGTTCTGTAGATGTCTATTAGATCTGCTTGGTCCAGAGCTGAGTTCACGTCCTGAATATCCTTGTTAATTTTCTGTCTTGTTGATCTGTCTAATATTGACAATGCAGTGTTAAAGTCTGCCACTATTATTGTGTGAAAGTCTAAGTCTCTTTGTAGGTCTCTAAGAACTTGCTTTATGAATCTGGGTGCTCCTGTATTGGATGCATATATATTTAGGATAGTTATCTCTTCTTGTTGCATTGATCCCTTTACCATTATGTAATGCCCTTCTTTGTCTCTTTTGATCTTTGTTGGTTTAAAGTCTGTTTTATCAGAGACTAGGATTGCAACCCCTGCTTTATTTGCTTTCCATTTGCTTGGTAAATATTCCTCCATCCCTTCATTTTGAGCAGCCTATGTGTGTCTTTGCATGTGAGATGCATCCTGAATACAGCACACTGATAAGTCTTTACTCTTCATCCAATTTGCCAGTCTGTGTCTCTTAATTGGGGGCATTTAGCCTGTTTACATTTAAGGTTAATATTGTTATGTGTGAATTTGATCCTGTCATTATGATGCTAGCTGGTTATTTTGCCCATCAGTTGATGCAGTTTCTTCATAGTGTTGATGGTCTTTACATTTTGTTTTTTTTTTTTGCAGTGGCTGGTACCAGTTTTTCCTTTCCATATTTAGTGCTTCCTTCAGGAGCTCTTGTAAGGCAGGCCTGGTGGTGACAAAATCCCTCAGCATTTGCTTGTCTGTAAAGGATTTTATTTCTCCTTCACTTATGAAATTCATTTTGGCTGGATATGAAATTCTGGGTTGAAAATTCTTTTCTTTAAGAATGTTGAATATTGTCCCCCACTCTCTTCTGGCCTGTAGGGTTTCTGCCAAGAGATCCACTGTTAGTCTGATGGGCTTCCCTTTGTGAGTAAACCGACCTTTCTCTCTGGCTGCCCTTAACATTTTTTCCCTCATTTCAACCTTGGTTAATCTGATGATTATGTGTCTTGGGGTTGCTCTTCTCGAAGAGTATCTTTGTGGTGTTCTCTGTATTTCCTGAATTTGAATGTTGGCCTGTCTTGCTAGATTGGTGAAGTTCTCCTGGTTAATATCCCGAAGAGTGTTTCCCAACTTGGTTCCATTCTCCCCGTCACTTTCAGGTACACCAATAAAATGTAGGTTTGGTCTTTTCACATAGTCCCATATTGCTTGGAGACTTTGTTCATTCCTTTCTATTCTTTTTTCTCTAATCTTGTCTTCATGCTTTATTTCATTAAGATGATCTCCAATCTTTGGTATCCTTTCTCCTGTTTGATCGATTCAGCTATTAATACTTGTGTATGCTTCACAAAGTTCTCGTGCTGTGTTTTTCAGCTTCATCAGGTCATTTATGTTCTTCTCTAAACTGGTTATTCTAGTTAGCAATTCCTCTAAACTTTTATCAAAGTTCTTAGCTTCCTTGCATTAGGTTAGAACATGCTCCTTTAGCTCAAAGGAGTTTGTTATTACCCATCTTCTGAAGCCTACTTCTGTCAATTCATCAAACTCATTATCTATCCAGTTTTGTTCCCTTGCTGGCAAGGAGTTTTGATTTTTTGGAGGAGAATAGGCATTCTGGGTTTTTGAATTTTCAGCCTTTTTACACTGGTTTTTCCTCATCTTCGTGGATTTATCTACCTTTGGTCTTTGCTGTTGGTGACCTTTGGATGGAGTTTTTGCGTGGTCGTCCTTTTTGTTGATGTTGATGCTATTGTTTTCTGTTTGTTAGTTTTTCTTCTAACAGTCAGGCCCCTCTTCTGCAGGTCTACTGGAGTTTGCTGGGGGTCCACTCCAGACCCTGTTTGCCTGGGTCTCACTGGCGGAGGCTGCAGAACAGCAAAGATTGCTGCCTGCTCCTTCCTCTGGAAGCTTCATCCCAGAGGGGCACCCGCCAGATGCCAGCTGAAGCTCTTCTGTATGAGCTGTCTGTCAACCCCTGCTGGGAGTTGTCTCTCTGTCAGAAGGCACAGGGGTCAGGGACTCACTTGAGTAGGCAGTCTGTCCCTTAGCAGAGCTCAAGCACTGTACTGAGAGATCCACTGCTCTCTTCAGAGCCAGCAGGCAGGAACGTTTAAGTCTGCTGAAGCTGTGCCCACAGCCGCCCCTTCTCCCAGGTGCTCTGTCCCAGGGAGATCAGAGTTTTATCTATAAGCCCCTGATTGGGGCTGCTGCCTTTCTTTCAGAGATGCCCTGCCCAGAGAGGAGGAATCTAGAGAGGCAGTCTGGCTATAGTGGCTTTGCTGAGCTGTGTTGTGCTCCACCCAGTTTGAACTTCCTGACAGCTTTGTTTACACTGTGAGAGGAAAACCACCTATTCAAGCCTCAGTAATGGCAGACACCCCTCCCGTCACCAAGCTCGAGCACCCCAGGTCGACTTCAGACTGCTGTGCTGGCAGTGAGAATTTCAGTCTAGTGGATCTGACATTGCTGGGCTCTGTGAAGGTGTGATCTGCTGAGCTAGACCACTTGGCTTCCTGGCTTCAGCCCCCTTTCCAGGGAGTGAACGGTTCTGTCTCACTGGCGTTCCAGGTGCCACTGGGGTACAAAAAACATTCCTGCAGCTAGCTCGGTGTCTGCCCAAATGGCCATCCAGCTTTGTGCTTGAAACTCAGGGCCCTGGTGGTGTAGGCACCCAAGGGAATCTCCTGGTCTGTGGGTTGTGAAGACCATGGGAAATGCATAGTATCTGGGCCGGAGTGCACCATCCCTCAAGGCACAGTCCCTCACGCTTCCCTTGGCTAGGGGAGGGAGTTCCTTGACCCCTTGTTCTTCCCGGGTGAGGCAACGGCCCACCCTGCTTCTGCTCCCCCTCAATGGGCTGCACCCACTGTCTAACCAGTCCCAGTGAGATGAACTGGGTACCTCAGTTGGAAATGCAGAAATCACCCGTCTTCTGCGTTGATCTCGCTAGGAGCTGCAGACCAGGGCTGTTCTCTTTTGGCCATCTTGCCCGGGAGCTGCATTTTATTTTTTTAATTTTTGTATTTTTTTGATCATTTATATTTATGCTTTAATCTTTTTCTTATCTATTATATAAGCATTTTATGTAATTAAATATTTTATCTGTATATTTTACAGATATAATTGTATCTGAAGAGTTACATTTCCAAACCTGTGATAAATAACCTATAATTTGTTCATTCTGGAACCATTAGTGCTTTATAAATGTAAATTTGTTTTACAATGATAGTTGAATTTATTTAAATTATTTCTAAAACCCAAGCAATAAATTCTCCTGTCTTGCTCAAATGAATAACATGACAATATATATAACCACTTTCAATAACAATATAATGAAATCTTTGCTTGTGTTTTTGATAAACTATAAGTTTTCTTAAGTGTTATGGAAATGTTTACAAGATACCGAATAACCAACATCAGATATAGTATAAAGGTTTTAAAAGTTTTAAAATGGACATAGTTTGCTAAAAATATCATAATATGGTTGTTTTTCAAGCTATTAATGGGTTTTTATTAAGATTATATTTAGGAGCAGATTAATGATTCTGAAAACGGAAGATCAGAATAAAACAAAAGAAGGGATCAAGAGAAAAATGGAAAAAGAACTAAACTATTTCAACGCTGTCGTAGAGAGATCTAGTGCAGGCTTTACTCTCTATTTCCCTAACACACCCCTTGTAAAAGAAGCTGACCACTGTGTACTGCATCACCAATTCTCTTCTTTGATGCCTGGATTCCAGCTGGGTTTGATTAATCCAACAGGAAGTAGCAGCAACAGATTGAGGATAGAAGGAAAGGGAGGTCAGACCCTCCTCCCCTGCTTTGGTACCAGATCTAGTGGTGAATGGATCCTTGAGGCCCACAGGCTTTGCCCTCCTCCAGTTACACTCACCTGTTTCTTCCCCTTAAGGGGACTGACCCCAGGAATGTCTCCCCCGGCTGCAGGCCACACTCAACCTCCAGCAATTCATCAAAATTACCATTTATGCATTCCGTCCTACCAATTTCTGGCTCTAGTGATTTCTGCTCCAGGTAAGCTGATCTTGGCTGTGATTCTCTGTATTCACTTGTTTCTCTGGATTTTAGGGTTGTAGTTTGCCCTGAAACCTCAATCTCTGATGGGTCCAAGAAATATCACTGATTTTCAGTTTGCTTAGGTTTTTTCTTACTGCAAGAAAGCGAATAATGACTTCCACGCTCTTTACATGTTGGAGGTGAAGAAATTGAATTTTAAATTTTATTGATTTTTAATTAATTAAAATTTACATTTAAATACTCACATGGGGCTAGTGGCTACCTTACTGAAGAATGCAGTTTTAAAGTTAATCATATCTTTGTCCTCTTCCTAAACTATAAGATTTTTAGGGAACTTAGCTCTGATCATGGCTCTCTCCTCCCATATAACTGCTGTTTGATACTTGAGTTGTCCATTGTGTTTAACACTGCCCCCTGCACACATTAGTCATTATCATCATTAGTTTGCACAATCAATATTTATTTAGTTCACTAATATATTTATTAGTTGCTAGCATTCACCTACTTCTTTCTGGATTCAGTTTTTTCTTCTTCTTGGAGGATATTTATTAGTAGTTCTTTCAGAGATGTCCATAAAATAGAAATCTCAGTTTTTTGGGGTAAAGATATATCTATTTTATGCTTACACATGAATTATATTTTAGCTGGTTTGTCAATCAGCCTTTGCCAAACCACCTTAAAACTTACTGGCTTAAAATAGCAATCTCCTTTTAGCTTTGTTTTCCTGTTTCATTTCTGGCATCTGGGTATTTATTTTTCTTTAAATGTGATCTCTGTTTTTGTTACTTCTTATTTAACCATTTTATTTATTTCCTTGTTGAAGGAGCATTCACATTAGCATAGTTCAACAATAGAAATAGAAATAGCAATAAAGATTTTGCTATTATCTTACAAAATCCCACTGTGTGGTATTTTGGTACAAATAAATTGAAAAGTAACTGGCTTGATATCTTCTTAAGGTTTTTTAAGTTGTATGCTAAATACACTAGAAAACTTGCATAAAATACTCCCAGGATGGGCTCAGAGGAATAATGATTGTATATTGGAAACAATAATTTTAGATGACCAAATACATTTTTGTTTGAAGTTTCCGTTGAATGTTTATAAAAAGGCTGAACACCTGAGATTCCTATGTAACAGTAAATAATTTCTCTGGAGAAAAAAGACCTAGGCAAAATCTAACATATATTAATTTAATCAAACATCTTAAAACAAATACAGAAAGAATTAGTGCCCCCCAGATATTGTGGAGTGGGGCCTAGATTTCCTGGCCTATAAGATAAGGAGCCAAGATTTCCCAGTGTTTCTGTTTAGGTTTCCTGCACAGAGATGAGCATCTACTATAACAAAATAAACTCTTTGTTTTTATGTACTGCCCCCAACAGAAGCTGACAAGAAATGCAATGGCAGCAATGTTTAGTTCTTTCAAACCCAGTGAGCTCTGTGAGGCTTCTGAACTCTGACTATAACTTGTAATGTAATTGTAATTGTTGGTGATGTTTGAGGAGCCCAGGCTTACTAGTTAGTCTTATATAGGGTAAGAATAAAAAAGAAACCTGTATAACCCAATTTCTTTCCTTCTTTCCTTCTTTCTTTCTCTTTCTTTTCTTTCTCTTTGTTTCTTTCTTTCTTCTTTCTTTCTTTCTTTCTTTTTTCTTTCTCTGTCTCTCTCTCTTTCTTTTTTTTTTTTTTCCAAGGTCTCACTCTGCTTACTCTGTTGCCCAGGCTGGAAGGCTGTGGCGCCATCTCAGCTCACTGCAACGTCCACCTCCCAGGCTCAAGGGCTCAAGTGATGTTCCCACCTCAGCCTCCAGAGTAGCTGGAACTGCAGGCATGTACTACCACACCTGGCTGATTTTTTGGTATTTTTTGTAGAGACAGGGTTTCACCATGTTGCCCAGGCTGGTCTGAACTTCTGGACTCGAGAGATCCTCCCACCTTGGCCTCGCAAAGTACTGGGATTACAGGGCACAATGACTTTCTTTTATAAATTCAAAGTTGAAGAATATAAATTTAAAAAATATTAAATCATATTTAATTATATATTAAGAAAATTTCCATTCATACAAAAATAGCAAAAATATTACAAAATTTAGCATTAAATATGTCAATTCTTTTTTTATTGCTATTTTTGTATTGGTGCTAGTGTCTTAGGTATGAGTAACTCAGTTTATTCCATAAGTACGGCTTTTCTCTTGTACATTTAAAGCATTTTTCTGTCAAGTCTTTAAGTCACTCACTATTTATCAGTTTCAATAGCTATCGATGCCTTTCCTGATCCATCAATGATTTTAATTAATGATAAATAACTTCTAAAAATATGTTGTTTTGAGCCATCAGTTCAGAGATAAACCTTACAAATTTTCCTTTAGTTTCAAGGAGCATTTCTTAAGGCAGCAGGACTTATGAGTTCCTGACATGTCTAAGGCAATCTTCCACTCTCCTTGATACCTATTTGAAGACTCCTCACAGTATCCTCAAGTGCCCAGCACATCTGTTGGTTTGTTCTTAGAATTTGCTTCCTACTTCACAGAAAAATCTTAACCCTGAGGACGGAAATCTTTACTTCGTGTTGTCACATTTTTTAATCCTCTCAGCTTTCACTGGCACTTCCTTTTTTTCTTGTGACAGAGAAAAAAAAAAACCTGTCCCATCTGATCCAATACCGTCTTACGCAGCCCCTCCAAAAAAGCAGCACTCCACCTGTTACTGCGTTTCTCCTGCGTGTTCAGCGTTCTCCTCCTCACTTTCCCTTTTTAAATGTTGTCTTTAAAAAACAAAATAACAACCTTTTCTTGACAAAAACAACTCACTTAAACTACCACCCAACCTACAACCTTTCTTTTATAACTAAGCTTCTTGAAAAAAAAAAGATACTTTTTTTCTTTTGTTTTCCTACCTCACATTCAATATTATACATTTAAAACTTAAAACATATGTATTGAGCAACCTTCATGTTCCAGGCTCTGTGAGGTACACAGCGGTGATGATTTTGTACCCTTCAGTTGTTTACAATCTATGGTGTGGGAGAAATGAGTATATTTAGCCTAAAAGACAGTGAGGTACATACTACAATAGCAGTAACCACAGCGTGCTGTGGGGGCACCTGGAAGGGGCATGGAACCCATATGCAATGAGGGCAAGGGTATCAGTTCGTTCTCACGTTGCTAGTAAAGACATATTTGAGACTGGGTAATTTATAAGGAAAAGAGGTTTAATTGATTCACAGTTCATGGTGGCTGGGGAGGCCTCAGGAAACTTACATTCATGGCAGAAGGGGAGGCAAACATGTCCTTCTTCACAGGGTGGCAGGAAAGAGAAGTGCCGAGCAAAAGGGGGGAAAAGCCCCTTATAAAACCATCAGATCTTATGAGAACTCACTCTCTATCACAAGAACAGCCTGAGGGTAACTGCCCTCATGATTCAATTACCTCCCACAAGGTCCCTCCCACGACACATGGGGATTATGGGAACTATAATTTAAGACGAGATTTGCCGGGGGGACACGGCCAAACTGTATCAGCAAGGAAGGCACCTTGTGGGAGGAGAGATCAGAGCTGAAACCTGAAGGAAAAGTAGGAGCTGAGCAGATAGTTGTAGTCACCAGAGAAGTCCACTTGTGAACCGGAGTTAGTTACAGGAGAGCAAAGAGAGGTAAATGAGAACATGATGTACTTATTAAAAAAGAAAATCATGTAGAAGTATCTGGCTTGAGTTGGAGGAAGGAGACAAGGCAAGGGAAGAGTGGAAAGAGAAGAAAGGACCAGATAATTAAAAAAAAAATTCTTGTACATTTGCAAAGAGATCAGGACACAGTCAAGGCAGTAGTGGGAATGATATCATAAAAATTCTATGTCAGAAAGATTGTTTATATGTGATGTGGAAATAGATTGCTTTCCCATTTCAAGATGGCAGATAAGCAAAGGATAGACACAAGGACAACATTGCTCAATATCTAATAAACTTCCAAGAGAAAAGAATAGAGAGACTAGAAGGAAAGCAATATTTGATGAAGGTATTAGTTAAAATTTTCCCAGAACTTAAAAAGGAGACACAAGTTCTTTGATTGCAAGTGAACACAAAGTGCCATGTAGGACAAAACCCAAAAATCTATACCTGAGCACACTGTCATGAAATTCCCTACACTTGTGGTTAAAGAGAAAACCCTAAGATGTCTTCACAAGAAAAACAAAAAAACCTCAAACTTACGAGTACCAAAAGCACTTTATCATCATATCTGGATGAGAAAGCAATAACATGCTATTTTTAAAGTGAGAAATATAAGACATTTTCAGTCAGAGCTATAAACAAAAACAGAAAACAATAATGGAATGACAGAGTAACAAAAATACAGATAGAGAAAATGAACAGATTTGTTATAGTAAAAAAAAATTTACAAATGGCCAAAAAGTATATTAAAATATGCTTGACACCACTAAGAAATATAAGTTATCAAGGTGGTACTATTTTTTATTAATCAGACTGGTAAAATTTACAAACACCTATAATGTCTAGTTTTGACACAGCCGTGGAGAGTAGAGTCTCTAGCATTTGGTGAGTCATCCCTCATTGCAAGCTACTGCACTCAATACTTTACATATGTTATTTCCTTTAATCTCTACCATCTCCCCTCCACCCCAAACCTAAATTTATAAATTCTAAAACACCCTTGTTAGATACTATTGTGTCCTCTGGATCTCACAGATGAGAAAACTAAAGCTTCCTGGGTAAATCATTGGGGCTCCAAGGTAAGTTACTTGCCTTGCATTGCAATTAGTAAGAAGTAGAGCTAATGTTTTAAGTTCAAATATGCTAACGGGTGTATCCTATAAGGAGCAGGAAGATGGGGGAGAAAGATGTATAGAGACATAGGCTGATTTTTTATATTGCCAGAGTAATGTAGATCCTGATACGTTTGTTAACATTTGAGGGTTATCACTAGTAGAACAAAATACTGATCCAGAACTTTATAGATGATAGTTGGGGAAAAAGGAAAAGGGGAACCTGAAAAAAGGAACAGAGAAAACACAATCACTACAGAAATGGATAAATGGGAAATAACAGGAAAGCGTAATTTAAAGAGACCATAAAATAAGATGACTGGAAGAAAAGGATTGGGTAACCAAAGGACTTACATCCCCTTCCCTGCCCTGCCCATGGATAGTAGAAGATTTGCAGATAAGGTAAAAAGAGAAATGCAATTATACTACTTCAACAGGCATCCTTTAGGCATGTAATAAAAGTTTGTCAAAATATATCTGAGAAATGCAAATTGCAAATGAAAGTGGAGGGCAGGAATATATCACACAAAGGATATTTCAAGGCAAAAAAAGCACAAAACAAGACCAAGTAGAATTTATTACATTTTTAAGAAACAAAGAGGGCCAGGCGCGGTGGCTCACGCCTGTAATCCCAACACTTTGGGAGGCCGAGGCGGGCGGATCACGCGGTCAGGAGATCGAGACCATCCTGGCTAACATGGTGAAACCCTGTCTCTACTAAAAATACAAAAAATTAGCCGGGCATCGTGGCGGGCGCCTGTAGTTCCAGCTACTTGGGAGGCTGAGGCACGAGAATGGCATGAACCCGGGAGGCGGAGCTTGCAGTGAGCAGAGATCACGTCACACACACACACAAAAAAAAACAAACACAAAACAAAACAAAAAACAAAGAGAAATGTTTGGAGGATATCTGACAAAACTCACATGCAGGCAGTGCAGCCAGATCTGAGAAAGAATGAAAAGCAAGAAGATAAAAGCCCCTGGAAAACAAGCAGACATTCTCAGTCTTTATCAGGCAGCTGGACCGCTTCATCCTTCTCTCTTTACAGATCAGGTTTTTCTGTTTTTGCACAGTGTTGAGAAGGGCTGCACACAGGTCTTGGGGTGACAAGTCCTCCTTACAAATAGCCAGCAAAGATTCCAAGAAGAATGTTGTAGTCTGGTGCAAAACACATCACATGAAATTTATAAGGTTTCTGGCACTGGAGAATACTGCCGCAAAATAAATGAAGCAAAAGGCAAGGAAAATTGTAAAATATGTGCACATAAAGTAAGAATAATGGAATAAACAGAGATATATGCAAATGAGACAGCATAGCATTTGTAATTTGAGCTCATAGACTCTACAGATTGTCTGAGTTTTAACTCAGTTTCCGCTACTCACCATCTGTGTGAATTTGGGCAAGTTATGTAACTCCCTGGGCCTCACCTTTCTGGTCCGTAAAATGGGTTGATTAGAATAATGCCTACCTCATGGGATTATTCTGTGGATTAAATGTTTTAATATTTAAGTATGTCTTAGACACAATAAATGCTATATGTAGTTGCCAAAAAAAGTGTACATTATGGTATAAAATCAGTGTCATTTCATTTTTGAACTCCCATGGGATTGTTTTTGAATTGGTAAACTGATTCAAAAACTTCTTTATAAGAGTAAATACGTCGGGCGCAGTGGCTTCTGCCTGTAATCCCAGCACTTTGTGGGGCCAAGGTGGGTGCATCATTTGAGGTCAGGAGTTCCAGACCAGCTTGACCAAAATGGTGAAACCCCTTCTCTACTAAAAACACACAAAAATTAGCTGGCCGTGGTGGCAGGTGCCTGTAGTCCCAGCTACTGTGGAGGCTGAGGCAGGAGAATCGCTTGAACCTGGGAGGCAGAGGTTCCATTGAGCCGAGATTGTGCCACTGCACTCCAGCCTGGGTGACAGAGGGAAACTCCGTCTCAAAATAAATAAATAAATAAATAAATATTAAATATTGTTTAATCTAGAAAATATTAAAAAGAAGATCAATGAGAGGGAGCTTGCTCTGTTATAGTGCCACAGAGATTACAGTGTGGTACACTGAAGGAAACATTGAAAACAGAATTTAGAACCGAAAGTCAAAATCAACTAGGTCCAGAACTCATAAGCTCTAACCTAGGTACAAAGTTCTTCTAGGAAACAAGTTACTGAAAAAAAATTTCCTAAATTATATTCTCTGTGCACAAAATGTTGGCGATGTTATTAAATGTATTGAATGTGATAATTTTGTATTTTCTGCAGAAAATCAACCAACCTATAACCTTTTCTGTAGACATATGGAAACAATCAGAAGTCTTTTTTTTTTTTTTTAAGTTTGACAGTCTCATGGATTCAGGAGTTCAGCCTACTTCCACAGACTGCTTGCTGAGCAACTTCTGGATCGCATATAATTAGAAAAAGGATAAATATAATTGAATCAATATTGAGAGAATGGGAAATGGGTAAGGAAGATTTCATTTGGTTATCATGGTCCATGAGACACAGATAAGAGGCTGATTTAAGAATTGCATGCATTTATTGTTTCCCTTTCAGCTGTATGTTCAGGAAGAAATTACAGTACTGAAGAATTTAACAGACTTACTGGCTGTAAGCAGAATGATAGTGGTCCTTTCCCCCCTCTTCTTCAGCCAAAGATGAACTCCATGAATTATAAGAATTTTGGAACAGTCTTTTCTTCTACTTACATAAGATGCTCAAAAATAGACAGAATGGCATCTATTACCAGTTAAAAATGTTTCTCTAACAATACTGGAAAGCAGGACATACTAAAATTCAGTAGTTACTGGTGGAGAAAGTAGTTTGTTTCATGGGAACCGTTGCAGAGATGACAAGCCTGGAGGCTTTGAGAGCACAGGTAATTGTTATGTGAGATTTCTCTAAAGATTCTGCTCGCTTCAGTACCATGAAAGATGAAAGATGCTACAATTAGTATGCACACAATGAAACTGAGATGCAGATGGAAACTCAGAGTTTCTTTTGTTACCCTGAAGAAAATTACATTGCTTTATTGCCGTATTTCTGGATTCAAGTTTTAAGAATCTGTTGAAGGTTTTAAATAGTTTCTAACCCAATTTGTATGTATTTACTTGTCACTTAAAATATATATATATATAACATATATATTTATGTATTTTTCACTTTGTTCTGCTCTACTCTTCTCTGGATTGGCTTCTTACTTATCTTTGTTTAAATCATTGTGTTGGGGTCAACTCTCCCATTAGGGCCTTGTATGAAAAGACCGATTGAGAAAGGCTAGATTCTCCTTGGTTTGATAGTTCCTAATGTTTTGATATGTCCAGCCAACCATCTGCAACTACAAACTCCCTGCTGAGTAACTAGCAGGAAACAAAGAAATGGAAAACAGCAAAGAAATCACCACGTGAGCAGAAGATATTTTGGCAGGCTAGCTGAACTGAGACCAGATTCTCCTGGGAAATTTGTATAAAACAGAACTATTCACAATGAATGTGAAATTAAAAGCATGATGTAGTAGTGACCCAAAAGGAATGTGAATTCTCCTCCAGAACATGCAGAGACCCATGGATGAACTGTGTTTCTAGATTTTTCCTCCAGCTTTCCTGAGAGTAAGTTAACCTCTAAAATTGTGGTTATTTTGCATATAGAAATATAACATAAGACTATAAATAGGCATGCCAGACGTTTAGGTAGAAACCATTAAAAGCAGTAAGTTATTAACGAGTCATTTTGACTTTTTAAATCATCTATTTTATTTTGTATGTCTAAATAACCAAATGAAGAACTAAGAATTTAAATTTTTACCCCGTAACTAAAACATTTTTGGACAAATAGCATACATTATCTAATAGGCTATTGAATAAATCAAAAGAAATGTCACGTTATGTTGCTTCTTTACAAGTATGAACTATTTCCAAATTTATTTGAATTACTTACTCTTCTTTGTTTGTTTTTAATTTTACTGCCAGAGGAATTGTAAGCATTGCAGGATGCATAATTTTCTGAGTTTTGAATTGTTTTTAAATGGCTTGAGAATATTTTCATCAAGAAAACTTAAGGAAAGATTTTTATTGATCTTGTTTATTATAGTAACTATTTTAAAATTTTGATCTAATTTGTTGCCCAGTGCAACAAATTAGAAAAATTTGTTCTGTGAATAACAGGAATTTTATCTGACTGGGAAATGATTGGCTTTTTATAACCAATTTATTATTTCTAAATTATACAATTTCCTATTCAGAACAATTTAAGCTAATTAGATGTTTTATATTATTACGGTGGGTAGTATATTTTTTCTCTGATATTTACACTAAGATGTTCAGTGGGGGGAAAAATCAGTCTTAACGCTCAGAGATAAATAACCACATTCATGACAATGAGATTATGTAATTGTTTTTTATTCACAAATATTTTCTGGCACACACATTAATTCACAGAAAGAAAGAACAGTAGTCACGTGGGCACAATATTTAACCCTTTCAGATACTGAGGTTTATCACCGCTTGATTTCTTAGTTGGAAATGTTGCAGTTTGGTTTCAGGCAGGATTTCCAGGCTATCACAGCCTGCTCCGATGGCATGATTATTAGGAGCTCATCTGCATCACTGGTGAATTTCTTTGGTCACTTCTGGACAGTTTTTAAACATAAGTCCATGCCCTTCTTTGTTCTGCTGATGAGGCACGTCATAAAATAAATGTCCAGCAATGTCTTCCTGTCTTGTTCTCAGGCCTCAGGCTCTCGGACTCCTTCCCCCAACCCTGCCCCCATGTTAACTTTCTATTGCTGCTGTAAAAAAAAAAAAAATGACCACAAACTTAATGGTTTAGAACAAAACAGAGTTATCATCTTACAGCTCTGGGGGTTAGAAGTGTGATGTGGTTCTCACTCGGCTAACATCAAGGGGTTGGCTAGGCTGTGTCTCTTTCTGGGGGCTGTAGGGGAGAATCTGTTTTCTTACCCTGTGTAGCTTCTAGAGGTTTCTTGCATTCTTTGGTTCATGGTCTTCCTCCTCCATCTTCAAAGCCGTAGCAGCAGAATGAACCCTTCTTCTACTGCCTCACTCTGATCTTGTCTGCCTCCCTGTTTTACTTTTTAGCACCCTTGTGATTACACTGGGTCTACCCAGATAATCCAGGATGATCTCCCTATTTCAAAGTCAGCTGATTAGCAACCTTAATTCCATCTACTGCCTTAATTCCCCTTTGTCATGTACTGTAACATATTCACAAATTCCAGGATTAGAACGGGACCATTATTCTGCCAATCACATTTCTCTTCAACTATGCCTTGTGATATAGTTTGGCTCTGTCCCCACTCCAATCTCATCTTGAATTATAGTCCCCATAATCCCTATCTGTCATGGGAGGGACGCAGGAGGAGGTAATGGAATTATTGGGGCAGGTCTTTCCTGGGCTGTTCTCATGATAGTATTCAAGTCTCACGAGATCTGATGGTTTTATAAAGGGGAATTCCCCTACCCAAGCTCTCTTGCCTGGCACCATATAAGACGTGACTTTGCTCCTTATTTGCCTTCAGCCATGATTGTGTGGCCTCCCCAGTCATGTAGAACTGTGAGTCAGTTAAACCTCTTTCCTTTATGAATTACTCAGTCTCAGGTATGTCTTTTTTTTTTTTTTGAGACAGTCTCACACTGTCACCTAGGCTGGAGTGCAGTGGCGGAATCTCGGCTCACTGCAACCTCTGCCTCCCAGGTTCAAGCGGTTCTCCTGCCTCAGCCTCCCAAGGAGCTGGGATTACGGGCACTCGCCACCACACCCAGCTAATTTTTTGTATTTTTAGTGGAGATGGGGTTTCACCACGTTGGCCAGGCTGGTCTCGAACTCCTGACCTTGTGATTCACCTGCCTCAGCCTCCCAAAGTGCTGGGATTACAGGCATGAGCCACGGTACCTGGCCTCAGGTAAGTCTTTATTAGCAGTGTGAGAACAGACTAATACACCTTGCCCTTCAGACTTCAGTAGCAGCACAGTATTCCCTGCAATAGACCATGGATAGGCTCCATCTCTGGTACTACCCCCTTGAGGCTGACTTGAATAAATCGTCTTCCCACTTGAGCTGTCTCTTGAATACCAGAAGGGGTCAGCATATTCATGGCTTTGCTCCTGCCATGAATATGGCAGGATGAACCATGAACCTAGGATCCAGGAGCACCCTCATTAATAAAACCATTGAAGGGGCAATAGCAACCTTATGATTGCCACTCCTGTTCAACATGGCACCAAAAGAGGATACCATTGATGTGAAAACACAGGCCTTATTAGTCAACTGGCCTTGTGCTCCACTATACCAAGACTTGAACTACTACCTTTGAATCATTTCCTGGGTGAGTTTCCCATCCTAGAATGTTGGGTTTGTTAGCTAAGATTAGGTCTTACGTTTTCTTTATCAGTTAAAATAGTTCATGTTCACTAAAGCTCTACAACTTTCAGACCATCGTTGTTATTCTCCCTTATATACGACACCATTATGTAAAATGGTGTCATATTTGCATTTAACCTATGTATATTCTCCTGCGTACTTTAAATCATCTCTAGCTTACTTACAATACCTAATGCAATGTAAATTCTATGTAAATAATTGTTATACTTTATTGTTTCAGGAATAATGACAAGAAAAAAAAAGCTTCTACATGTTCAGTACAAACCTAGCCATCCTTTTTTTCTGAGCATTATCTACCGCCAGTTGGTCGAATCCACAAGTGCAGAACCCACAAATACAAATGGGTGACTATAGTTTTTGAGCTGTGTTAACATGAAAGAGTATAAATAATTACATTGTACCCGCACTACCAAACTGAAACTGTCATATCTGAAGTAAGTTACCTTCATTATGTTGTAGTAGGTCAGTTAATGGCTTTTGGACAGACATATCCTGAATTCTTTGTTTGTTCTCTGCAAACAATTCTATAAAGACTTCCTAAAGCCTATAAAGACTTCCTAAAGCCTAGGCCCATGTTTTAGAAAGTGAAAGTCTGGCTGACTGGTGGATCTGTGTGCAAGCCTAAAGGCCACTCTCTCTCTCTCTCTTTCACTCTTGTAAGCCTAGGCCCTTATGTGGGTTACCCTCAAGGCCAAGGCTGAGCCCATAAGCAGGCAGGCATGGGTGATTGTCTCTCATTGAAAATAGCAGAGCAACATTGGTGCCTACAAATGATTATCCCTATATTGATTTCAATAATACAATGGTAGAATGAGGTATCTGTTTAAGTACCTTCAAGGACAATTTTATGTGATTTGTTTATCTCTATTTGGCTGATTCATTCTCCCTAACTCCACCTCCCACCTATCCACATATGTATAGGAAGGTTATAGCCATCATAGATGTGAAGATTAGTTTGGGTGCTCTTTTCTATCAACAGTAAAAGCGGGCCATCTACTTTGCAAGAATAAAGTTTGTCTATAATACACCAAACCTATTCCTTGACTCAACAGTCCATTCCACAATAATTACATTTTTATGCCCATACCGTCTCCCCAAAATGCATTTTCACACCATTGAACACTAGTTAAAACTATGAGTTCCAAGTCTTCCTACCTCTTGGGATGTTTCATAGGAAAATCTCTATTGACCAAGTGACATAGATCTGGCTTTTATTTCTGTGCCTCTTCATCACCACATATTTAACTATTCCAAAATAGTTATTACCACCATCACTCTACTCTAGTTCCTTCTGCTCATTATCTCTTACACAGTATATCCTATCTAATTAGGCTTCACCTTATGAAGTAGGCTTTTGTAAATATCCCAGGGGATGAAGGACGAGGAGTTGAAAGATACAGAACAAAGATTCAGAATTGTATTTCATTTTCTGCTTCTAGCATCTAGAAGAGATTGTAGAGTGTTGAAATAATTTCTTCCTTAACAGTCTGATAGAATTTCCCAGTGAACCCATTCACTGGGGAACCACCAGTGATGCTTTCTGTTTTGAAGATTATTGATTATTAAATCAGTTTCTTTGACAGATAAAGGTTAATTCAGATTGTTTATTCTTGTGTGAGTTTTGACAGATTGTCTCTTTGAAGGAACTGATTCGTTTCATCTAGGCTATCAAATTTGTAAGCCTAGGGTTGTTCATAATATTCTTTGATTGTCCTCTTAATGTCTATGAGATCTGTAGTGATGCCCCCTCTTTCATTTCTAATATTAGCAACTTGTGTTCTCTCCCTCTTTTTTCTTAGTTAGTCTTGGTAGAGGCCTATTGATTTTATTGATCTCAGAGAACCAGCTTTTGGTTTTACTGATTTTTATCTATTGATTTCCTGTTTTCCGTTTCATTGATTTCTATCATAATTTTTACTATTTCTTTTATTTTGCTTTCTTTGGATTTAATTTGCTTTTCTTTTTCTAATTTCCTAAGGTGTAAGCTTAGATTGTTTGCTTTAGATCTTTCTTCTTTACTAATGTATGCATTGGATGCTGTAAATTTCTCTCTAAGCAAAGCTTTCACTGTATGCCACAAATTTTGATAAGCTGTGTTTTCATTTTTATTTAGTTCAAAATAAGTTTTAATTTGTCATTAGATTTTTTTCTTTGACTTTTATGTTATTTAGAAGTGTGTTTAACCTCCATGTATTTGGGAGATTTTCCAGTTATCTTTCTATTACTGATTTCTAGTGTAATTCTACCATTGCCCAAGAGCATGCATTGTATGATTTCTATTCCTTTAAATTTTCTAAGGTGTGTTTTATGGCTCAAAATTGGTCTATCTTGGTGAGCGTTCCATGTGAGCATGAGAAGGATGAATTTCCTGCTGTTATTGAGTGAAATCGTGTGTAGAAATGTTCATTTTACCCAATCGGTTGATTATATTGTTGAGTTCAACTCTGATTTTATTTATTTTCTGCCTGCTGGATCTGTCCATTTCTGCCAAGAGAGGTGATGAAGTCTCCAACTATAAGAGTGGATTCATCTGTTTCTCTTTGCAGTTCTCTCAGTATTTTGACACTGTTGTTAGCACACACATGTTAAAGATTGCTATGACTTCTTGGAAAATTGACCCCTTTAACTTTATGTAACTTCTCACTTTATCCCTGATAATTTTCCTTCTTTGGAATGAAAAGTCTGTTCTGTTTTAGAATTCTACTCCATCTGAAATTAATATAGTTATTCCAGCTTTCTTCTGATTATTGTTAGCATGGTCCATCTATATTTATCCCTCTACTTTTAATCTATATGTGTCTTTATATTTAAAGCTGGTTTCATGTAGACAACATGTAATTACATCTTTTTTGTCATCTACTCTGACAATCTCTGTCTTTTAATTGGTGCATTTAGACCATTGATGATCAAAGTGATTATTGACATATTGGATTAGTATCTACCAAATTTGTTACCATTTTCTATTTATTGCCTTTGTTCTAGTCTTCAATTCTATTTTTGGTCTACATTTTTTCTGCCTTTTGTGGTTTTAATTGAGCATTTAATATAATTTCATTTTTCCTTCTTTCTTAGATTATCATTCATTTAGACTCATTTTTTTTGTTTTTTGTTTTTACTTTCTTTCATGAATTTTCCAAAAGAAAAGCAAATTAAATCCTTAGAGTTTGCAATATATATTTACAATTAATCCAAGTCAACTTTCGAATAACACTATACCACTTAATTGGTAGCGTATCTTATAATAACAAAATAACCCCAATTCCTCCTCCCTCCTGTCCCTCATATCATTACTGTCATTCATTTCACTTACAGATAAGCATACAGGAACATTATATATGAATGTAATACATATATTGTATATATGGCATTATATACATATATAAACATAAGTATACACAATTGAATACATTGCTATTATTTTCTATTATGTTTCAAATCAGTTAAAAATAAGAAAAAGTTTTTATTGTACCTTCACTTATTCTTTCTTTCTCTCATGCTTTTTCTTTATGTAAATCTGAATTTTCTTTTCTTTTCTTTTTTTTTTTTTTGAGAGAGGGTCTCACTCTTTGCCCAGGCTGGAGTGCGGGGTCACCATCACAGCTCACTGCAGCCTCCACCTCTCAGGCCCAAGTGATCCTTTCTACCTCAGCCTCCTTAGTAGCTGGGGCCTCAGGCATAAGCCATCATGCCTCACTAATTTAAATAATTTTGTTTTTGTAGAGACAGGGTCTCCCTATGTTGCCCAGGCTGGTCTTGAACTTCTGGGCTCAAGCCATTCTCCTACCTTAGCCTCCCAAAGTGCTGTAATTGCAGGCATGAGCCACTGTGTCCAGGCTTATATATAAATTTGTGACATATCATTTTACTTCTTTTGAAATAACTTCTTTTCATATTTTTGCAAGGCAGGTCTACTGGCAACAAATTCTCTCATTTTTTGTTTGTCTGAGAAAGTACTTCTCTTTCATCTTTTGAGGTTAATATCACAGAGTACATTCTACTAAGGGTAGAATGCTAAGTTGGTGGGTTTATTCTCTGAGCACATTAAATACTTTATTCTCTTCTTGTTTCCATAATTTCTGAAGAAAAGTTAGATAAAATTCTTATTTTTGCTCCTCTATAGAAAAGATGTTTTCTTCCTCTGGCTTCTTTAAGATTTTTTTCTTTATCTTTGATTTTCTGTAGTTTGAAAATGATATTTCTTGGTGTAGTTGTTTGAGCAAATATTCTGCTTGGTGTTCTCTGACCTTCCTGAATCTAAGGTTGGGTGTCTAGCCGTTATCTGGGGAAATTCTCAGTCATTACTGTTTAAAGTATTTCTTCTGTTCCTTTCTTTCTCTCTTTTTGGTATTCCCATTAGGCATATGTTACACATTTTCAATTGTCCCATAGTTCTTAAATATTCTGCTCTGTTTTTTCTTCAGTCTTTTTTTGTTTTCTTTTCAAAAAGTTTTGGATTCTTTTCTCAGCTGTGTGTAGTCTACTAATAAGCTCATCAAAGATCAAAGGCATTCTTCATTTCTGATAGTATTTTTTAATATTAGGCATTTATTTTTGGTTCTCTCTTAGAAGTTTTATCTCCTTTCTTACCTTGCCCATCGTTCCTGCATGATGCAGCATTATAAGAAATATATATTTTGTCTCTGCCCCCTAGTTTTGGCACAAAACCTCTAAAACCCTTGTAATTTCCTGAGTCATAGGGGTGATGGGAATAGCGTTAGTTATAATATTTGGTCCCTGTTCCTGACACAGAGCTTCTAAGACCAGGAATCTCTGAAGTGAAATGAGTATCTTCGTGTTAATGAGATATCTGATGGCTGAAATCCCCTAGATTGCTTCAGGATAGGACTGGTTGCCAGGGAATCACCCATGTGATTAGAAGGTTTCAGCCCCATCCCCAGATGTCCAGGAAGAGGAGAGGAGATTGAGTTCGAGTTAATCTCCAATGGCCAATGATTTTATTAATCATGCCCATGTAAAGAAGTCTCCACAAAAGCCCTAACTGAAGGAGTTTGGGGAACTTCTGGTTTGGTGAACATCTCAAGGTGCTGGGAATGTGGTGCACCCAGAGAGTTAATGGAAGCTCAGTGTCCTGTCCTGCACACTCTGCCATGTGCATATTTTCTATTTGGCTGTTCCTGAGTTTTATCCTTTGTAATAAACTGGTAATTGCAATTAGACTGTTTTTCTGAGTTCTGTGAGCTACTCTAGCAAATTATCAAACCCAAGGAGCGGGTTATGGGAACCCCTAATATATAGCCAGTCAGTCAGAAGTACAAAAGACCCAGGCTTCTGACTGGCATCTGAAGTGGGGGGCAGTCTTTTGGGACTGAGTCCTTAATCTGTGGGATCTGCTGTAACTCCAAGTAGACAGTGTCAGAATTGAAGTGAATTGAATTTTAGGTCACCCAGTTGGTGTCCACAGAGAACTGGAGAATTTCTTTGTGGGGAAAACCCAAGCATTTGTTATCAGAAGTGTTTTATACAGAGAAACAGGTGTGGACTTTTTTTTCTCCCTCGTTACATATTGTCTACTTTATGCATTGAAGCCCTTAGTATTTTAATCATTGTTGTTTCAAATTCCTAGTCTAATAATTGCAACATTTCTGCCACATCTGAGTCTGATTCTGATACTTTCTCTCCTTATACTGTTTTTTCTTTTTTACCTTCTAGTATGTGTTATAATTTTTTCTATTTGTTTTTGAGACAGAGTCTCTCTCTGTCACCCAGGCTGTAGTACAGTAGCATGAAGATGGTTCACTGCAGCCTCAATCTTGTTGGGCTCAAGCAATCTTCTGCCTCAACCTCCCAAGTAGCTGGTAGCTGGGACTACAAGGACCATGTCCAGCTAATTTTTTGATTTTTTAAAAATAGAGATGGGGTCTCACTTTGTTGCCCAGGCCAGTCTCTAACTCCTGGCTTCAAGCAATCCTCCTGCCTCAGCCTCCCAAAGTGCTGGGATTACAGGCATGAGCCACCTTATGCAGCCTGTAATTTTTTCTTGGTAGCTGGACATGATGTCCCGGGTAAAAGTTAATCAATCTCTTAAGTTCGTGGCACACAAAATAATTGATTCAAACAAAGCTCCTATCTTGTTTTGGTTACTTATTTTCTTTAATTTCCAATTCCCACTTTTCACCCAACCTCCATTCTTATTTCCCACTTCCAAAGATAACCTTTTTATTGTATTAGGGATGGTGATCCTTTAGTTCCTGAATATTTTTGGAAAATGTGTATCACATGTAATGTGAATTGATATCAATGATATTTTGACCTAATGCTCAATCTTTTCTTTTTCTTTCTTTCTTCCTTTGAACTGGAGCTATATTTTTAAGATGTCTTCATGTGGATGGGTGTGTGCCAATCCAGTGCTCCTGAATCCTACATAGTAATCTTTGGACTGTATCCATCAAAATTTGTTTTATTAACACCATGCCACAATAATCTACATTATAAAGAACATCCTTGCACTGGTCCCCTCATGACCCCATGTGAGAATCTCCATGGGCTGCATATCCAGGAGCAGAACTGATTGATGGTAGGATATTGCTAAGTAGTAATGAATTAGTAATGAATCACCCATGTGACTGGGTTAGTTTGTACCCCCAACAACAAGGCGGAAAGTTCCTTTCTCCCCATTAGACAATTTAACAACACCCACAGTTGAGGAGATAGCAACGATCGACACTATTCACTCTTCTGATTTTTCTCAATCCAATGATGGAGAAATAATATCTGATAGTTGTTTTAATTCTTATTTCTTTCAATATTGAGTTTAAACATTTCCTCACATGTTTTTATTTTAGCCTTTTGGCTTTCTTCTTCTCCAGGAATGCAACTGGAAACAGCTGTTACAATGTTTCTTTTATGTTTGATTGCACAATGTTTTCTACTTTAGACCTTCACATGTACTTCATTTTTTTTCTGTCTTTTTAAAGGAAACAGGTCAAAATGAGCAAGAGACGCATGAGCGTGGGTCAGCAAACATGGGCTCTTCTCTGCAAGAACTGTCTCAAAAAATGGAGAATGAAAAGACAGACCTTGTTGGTATGCTTCAGAGTCTATGTGTTCTCATATTTAGAGGATGAAAAAGTATTTTATCAGGCAACATAAACACTTTATTTTCATTATTTAACATTGCACATATGTGTAGTCTAATTAACAAGCTAGATTTTTTTTCAAATTCTGGGCTTTGCTATTTGTTCAGGTAAAATTTATTTTTTCAAATTACATTATGTATTATTGTTTTATGTCTTACTAGAGGCATTTTTTTAAAAATTCATATTCAGAAACTCCTTGAAAAATAAAGCCATATCTTTATACTTCAGAGATAACAATTCTTAACCGCTGAGCTCATTTGAATCTCATGAACGCATTTGTATAGAAGTTCAGGGACAAAGTAAAAAAGAAGCAGGGAATCCAAAATCTAACAAACAATGAAAAGGCAAATTGTAGCACTTCTACACAATGTCATTATAGACACAGACAATGTCAGTTTGAAAGAAATAATAATCATGTAAATAAATGGGAAAATAGTATTGTGATCTTTTACTTCTATTAAAATAGTACTTATTTTCTTCTGATCATAAGAATGATTAGATGTGCTTTGTGCAAAAAATTTAGTAAACTCAGAAAAATATAATAAAATCACCCATAGAATACTCATAGTTCAAAACTTATATTAACATCTGATCTTATGAACGTGTGTGTGTGTGTGTGTGTGTGTGTGTGTGTTCGTGTGTGTGTGTGTGTGTTCATGCAACAAATATGTATTGAATGCTTGGATAGGCAGGGAATAAAGTATACAACAATTCCTGCATAGGGAAAAGATTATATAAATGTAAAAGTTGTGATCCCGCCCTACATAGATGTTTTACCTTTAAACTTTTAGCTCTTTTTTATATAAACATTATATTTATTTTTCTATTAAGATAGAAACAGATATAGACCAACACACATAGCTAAAAAAGGATCATATGATGAAGATGACATATAACTCTTTTAAAAAGGACTTATGTGTAGTATCATAACTAAATAATTAACTAGGTTCTTATCACTGGGTTTCAATTGCATTGTGCTGTATTTCCAATTCCCGAATGTGGTCACGATGACCACATTCAAAAAAACTTTGTTTTTTTATGAGCAACATTTTGGGACTATCTTCTTCCACATACCAGCAACAGAAGGTAAAAATATGATATGATCTTGCTCCTGTTGATGGAAGCTAGTTACCTATTCCACATCACCTACTATTTATTTATCACTGTCACTAAAATTTTAACATGACTAAACTGTTGGGCCATTCATAAAGTAATACAGGCTTTATCACTTGCACTAGAGTGTGGTAAACTTAGATTCTCAATTATAACTGGAATTGATGTTACAATTCTGTCTTGGTAGACAATGTGCATATTTTAATATATGCAGATTAATGGACAAAGAAAATCAGGATATTTAAAAACTAGGAGAAAGAATAAATGGAATGCAAGCCAAATAACAGAATTAAGTATTTCAAACTGTTTGTGGATGATTGATCTGTGGTATAACATCTACCAGTTTGTTTCCTTTTTCTCTTATTGCTATATAGGAATGGCTCTTTTCATTTCTTCTGGTACTGTTTCTGTACCTATTTTTCTCCAATTTACATCAAGTTCATGACACTCCTCAAATGTCTTCAATGGATCTGGGACGTGTAGATAGTTTTAATGATACTAATTATGTTATTGCATTTGCACCTGAATCCAAAACTACCCAAGAGATAATGAACAAAGTGGCTTCAGCCCCATTCCTAAAAGGTATGTTCCCTGGTTGTTCATAGTAATTTCCTTATTTGCAAAAGGCACAAATTCATTTTGAGATTTCCTTCATAAATTATGTTGAATGTTCAAGTTTCTAGAGTTTATTAACAACATTAACGTATATTCCTTCCAAGTCTCAAAATTTTTTGTAGTTTGTTCACTAGTGTCCCATTTAGGAAATTCCATATTAAAAGGGTTATCTTCATAATTGTACATATCAAAATGAGATAGTCCAGGGTTATTTAAATGTATGTTTGTGAAAAGATTCTGGAAACATTGGACTGTAGTGACAGCATGATTTTTCAAATACATACATATTAAGAGAGAAACTATACATCATTTTGAAAACCCATGGGCAATATTTACAATGAAAAGAGGTGACATGTTTCCTTGTACCACAAAGTATATATGTGGGTGGGACACAAAGCTCTAAAAGCCACAAGATTGGCGTGGTTTTTCCTGTGGGTGTAGGAAGAGAACAAAGAGAAACAATAAGGTATCTGATGGTCCTGAAGAAACTTCTTTAAGAGTTCATAATTACCCACCAGAAAGCAGAGAGGGCCAATTTGAGAATCGCAACTGAAACCATATTCAGAAATTTTATTACTAGTATAGTTTTGGAATGCTATTGAAGCTGTTAAATGTGTAAAGTGTGATAGACCAAATAAGTAAGTATGGAATAGTCTCATTCTCTCACCCATGTGTCCTTAAAACTTGGGAGTCACACTATGGAAGAGAAGGTCTAGGGCAGGACATTTACAAGGTGAAGAACCTTGTCATTCCAGATAGCTTAGAGACTAGCCATCAAGACCTGATCGGTTATGCCAAAAGAACTCAGCAGCCAATGTGGCGTAAGTCCATGCTTTCGTCAAGTTATTAAATGAAAAATATAACTAACCGTTTTACCGTTAGAGGATGATACAGGTTGAGCACCCCTAATTCTAAAACCCAAAATCAGAAATGCTCCAAAATCTGAAGCCTTTTGAGCCTGACATGATGCATAAGTGGAATATTCCACACCTGACCTCATGATAGGTTTGACTCTGTGTCCACACCCAAATCTCATCTTGAATTGTAATCCCCACATGTGGAGGAAGGGACCTGTAATCTCCATGTTTTGAGGGAGGGAAGTGATTGGATCATGGGAGCAATTTCCCCCATGCTGTTCTCATGATAGTGAGTTCTCACAAGATCTAATGATTTTATAAGGGGTTTTCCCCCCTTTGCTTCCTGTCTCTCCTGCCACATTGTGAAGGTGCCTGCTTCCCCATCTGCCATGATTGTAAGTGTCCTGAGGTCTCCCCACGTTGCAGGAATCAGGAGACCAGAAAGACCATATGGGTGGAACAGGAGGATTTTATTTAGGTGGCCACTGGCCCAGCAGATTAATATCCAGAGGCTGAGCCACGAACAAAGACAGGGCTTGACTTTTATTCATGCAACTGAAGTGGGGTGGCTAGCCAGTGGCGTGAAATTTGCAGGATGGGGAAAGTGAGAACAGAACAAAGGCAGTTAATCAAACTGTGACAGGTTTTGCAACTTAGGCATGTCTTGTGACCTTTGCCATCCTGCACAAATGGGAAAACAGGAACTTACAAAATCCTTGCAAACTTGCAGAAATAGTTACAAAAGTAATTATAAGAGCAGAACAAAGAATGATAGCATGGGGAGAGAATTTCAGGCAGAGACTGATAAGAACTTGTTTTTCTCCTCCCTGCTCTTGGAATCCATTTCTCTGGGGCCCCTGCCTGGCCTTGCAGATAATGTTATCATAGCTCCAGCTGCACTTTGGAGTGAGTCAGCCTGGTCAGGGAAGGACTTGTTTTCTCTTTACTTGTTTTTCTTATATTTCCTGCTTCACCCAGCCATGCAGAACTGTGAGCCAATTAAACCTCTTTCCTTTATAAATCACCCAGTCTTGGCTATGTCTTTATAGCAGTGTGCAAACAGACCAATACACCTCATGTGATCGGTCACAGTGAAAAAGCAGTAAAAACTTTGTTTTATGCACAAAATCATTTAAAATATTGTATAGGCTGAGTGTGCTGTAATTCCAGCACTTTGGGAGGCTGAGGTGGGCGGATCATCTTAGGTCAGGAGTTCTAACCTGGCCAACATGGTGACACCCCATCTCTACTAAAAATACAAAAATTAGCTGGGTGTGGTGGCATGTGCCTGTAATCTCAGCTACTTGGGAGTCTGAGGCAGGAGAATCACTTGCACTCAGGAGGTGAAGGTTGCAGTGAGCCGAGATCGTGCCACTGCACTCCAGCCTCAGTGACAGAGTGAAAGTCCATCTCAAAAACACAAACCAACAAACAACAATTATATATATATATATAAAATTTTCTATATATATAAAATTTTATATATATATATATATATATATATATATATATATATAGTATAAAATCGCCTTCAGGCAATGTGTATAAAGTGTATGTGAAACATAAATGAATTTCACATTTAGACTTGGGTTGCATCCTCAAGATTTCTTATTATGTGTATGAAAATATTATAAAATCCAAAAAGAAATTGAAACCCAAAATACTTCTTGTCTTGAGTGTGTGATAAGAGATACTCAGCCTATTGTGATGAGTTCTTATTATGGAAAATAGCAAATAAAGAGAAAATACAAGCACATATCCCACGTGAACTATTGCACAACCAAATAGATAATAGAAAATATTATTTTATAAATGTTTTATATTAGTAGATGAAAAAGAAATGATAGAAATAAAACATCACCATTTTGAAACTCCCATTGAATTAATGGACCTAGGCACTGAGGGTCAACAGCTGGAATATCTCAAAAAGAGAAACAACTAGAAATTATAAGCCTCTCATAAAACAACACATCAACACCTATCGGCTGGCAAAAAAGGATTAGACCTGAGTCTGGTTAAGCCTCTGGATCTAGCTGCTGGATTGTAGGAAATACCGAGGACAAAAGAACTTGCTGAATTGCACCAGGAGGGTGCGCTTATATGGGTTAAATGGCCTGGGTTAGATCAGTAACAGTCAGCCATTTACACTACATATTTTAGAATAAACAAAGTCTCTTAAGGAAACACTATCTAAATGCAACAGTTTTATTCTGTCTTTGGAAATTTGGCTACATTGACATCACTTCCAAATGAAGATGTGTACTATAATTGCAGCATATATTCCAACTTTAGATAGGTTTGTTTGTATATGAATTTAAATTGATGTATTGGTATTTCCAATATCAATATTTATACCAGTACCAATACCAATGATTATTTCCAATACCGTTGGAATTTCCAATAGCAATAATTTTTTGAAATTCATTGTGCGTTAAATTATTGTTTGATATGGTTTGGCTGTGTCTCCACCCAAAATTTTATCTTGAATTGTAATCCCCATAATCCCCACAATCCCCATGAGTCAAGGGAGGGACCTAGTGGAAAGTGATTGGATTATGGGGGTGGTTTCTCCCATGCTATTCTCATGAAAGTGAGTGAGTTCTCATGAAATCTGATGGTTTTATAAGCATCTGGCATTTCCCCTGCTTGCACTCATTCTCTCTCCTGCCTCCCTGGAAAGAGGTACCTTCTGCTATGATTGTAAGTTTCCTGAGGCTTCCCCAGTCATAGGGAACTGTGAGTCAATTAAACTTCTTTCTTTATAAATCACCCAGTCTCGGTATTTTCTTATAGCAATGTAAGAACAGAATGATACATTGTTTAAATGATTTATTTGGAAGGGTAAGTTATATTTGCAATACAAATGTTTGCCATAAATTTCTGATTTTATCTAGAACATCAGAAATTCCCACCCCCCTCCCCTCCATGTCTTATTTAGGCCCAGCACTGCCTTTAGGAAGGAATAGCTTTAACATAAAATAACCTCAACATAATTGAATATGGCCAGGTAGAGATTTTCTTGCTTAACTATTTCTTTTGTTTTCTTCACATGGCAGGAAGAACAATCATGGGGTGGCCTGATGAAAAAAGCATGGATGAATTGGATTTGAACTATTCAATAGACGCAGTGAGAGTCATCTTTACTGATACCTTCTCCTACCATTTGAAGTTTTCTTGGGGACATAGAATCCCCATGATGAAAGAGCACAGAGACCATTCAGGTAACTTTTGAAGAAGAAAAAAATTTTTTTTGCTATTGTATCAGTAGCCACAAAGGGGGCATACCTGATAGCAGAGGTGAAACTACACAAACATATACAACCACAACATAGAGCTTTAATTTCTGAACATAAAGGAGATTCATATTTATTAAATGAAGCTTATGTGCTTAAGTACATTGTTTTATTAAGAAATTATATTTACTCTTATTTCTAAGTTGCTCCTAAAAAAAACCTGAACAAAATGATCTTGCTCATTGATTCCCAAACATTTTCTTAAAGTTTAGTGCTTTCTTGACGTAAGCAACAGAAGATCCAAGCTCAAGGAAAGCAATCTTGACCAATGGAAAGAATTATAAAATATAATGAAAAATCATTGAGAACTGGTCTTAAAAATATTCGTAAAGTAATTCTGCTATATTCCGTTTGGGTGTGCTCTGCAACTCTCAACTGAGAAGACTTACCATCCACTATATTATCATGGACTTTGCATTTTGAAACATTTGAAATTTTGTTTTTTTCTGTAGCCAAGATTGTATCATTCCGTAATAATGGATGTGTTCTTCTTCTAAAGCTCACTGTCAAGCAGTGAATGAAAAAATGAAGTGTGAAGGTTCAGAGTTCTGGGAGAAAGGCTTTGTAGCTTTTCAAGCTGCCATTAATGCTGCTATCATAGAAGTGAGTATAAAGTTAAAGGAATCTAACCACATTGCATTTGAATTTTGCTGGATGGTGATTTAATGGATTATCCTATTCTATCATTTATTCACTTCATTAATAAGGCACAATATACAGAACAACTTCCATAATAAAACCATTGTACTAAGTACTGGGGATCAGAAAATAAGTAGAACACAGGCATTTTTCTCCAGGGATACTGGTATAGGGGGAGATAGAAACATGGATATATAGTCATAATAAGAGTTTAGATTCTATCATAGAATTTTTTATTTTTAACTTTGTTTTTCTTAGAGACAAAGTTTTACTCTGTTGCCCAGGCTGGAATGCAGTGGCTATTCACAGACATGATTATAGCTCACTGCAGCCCCCAAACTTCTGGGCTCAAGTGATCCTCCTACCTCAGCCTCCCAAGTAGCTGGGATTACAGACCATGCCACCATGCCTGATTCTATCATGGAATTTAAAATGGTGTACTAGGCAAACAATGAAGCAGGATATACTCTGATAAGAAACATCAGGGAAAATTTGCTAATTGAAGTGACATTTCAGCTAGTCTTAAAACAGGAGTAGCGTTTTGTCCAGTGAGGTTGATGATGTTCTAAGGAGTCACGACAAAACCTAAAGTGTTCCAGGAACCACAAGGGGCCAGATCATGAAGGGCATATAAACATAAAATACATAAATGTAGAATGTACGTGATTCCTTATAATTTAGAGAAAAAGCCTAAGGTTGGAATTAGATTGATGATAACAATTTGTTCATTGATATCTTTCTTCAGATCGCAACAAATCATTCAGTGATGGAACAGCTGATGTCAGTTACTGGTGTACATATGAAGATATTACCTTTTGTTGCCCAAGGAGGAGTTGCAACTGATTTTTTCATTTTCTTTTGCATTATTTCTTTTTCTACATTTATATACTATGTATCAGTCAATGTTACACAAGAAAGACAATACATTACGTCATTGATGACAATGATGGGACTCCGAGAGTCAGCATTCTGGTAAATCATATGACTCCAATCCATTATACAGCATAAACAAACAGAACAACTTAGCTGGTTGACTCCTTAGACCAGGGGTCCCCAAGCCCCAGGCCACAGACTGCTACTGGTCCATGGCCAGTTAGGTACCAGGCCACATAGCAGGAGGTGAGTGGCAGGCAAGTGAGCAAAGCTTCATGTATATTTACAGCCACTCCCTATTGCTCACATTACCACCTGAGCTCCACCTCCTGTCAGAATAGCCACGTTATTAGAGTATCACAGAAGCTCAAACTCTATTGTGAACTGTGTATGTGAGAGATCTAGGTTGCGGGCTCCTTATGAGTATCCAATGCCTGATGATCTGTCACTCAAGAGATCTAGGTTGCGGGCTCTTTATGAGTATCCAATGCCTGATGATCTGTCACTGTCTCCCATCACCCCCAGATGGGATCTAGTTGCAGGAAAACAAGCTCAGGGTTCCTACTGATTCTACATTATGGTAAGTTGTATAATTATTTCATTATATATTACAATGTAATAATAATAGAAATAAAGTGCACAATAAATGTAATCCACATGCATCATCCCAAAACCATCTCCCCACTCCTGTTTGTGGAAAAACTGTCTTCCATGAAACTGGTCCCTGGTGCCAAAAAGGTTGGGGACTGCTGCCTTAGATCTCTAAAGCAATACAAATGTTGCCACTTTCATAAAGTAGTATGTTTATAAATGAGTTGAGCAGATGACCATGCAGACTTGGTGACTTGAAACTTTCCAAATTTATTTGACTTAAAGACAGCCTTATCCTGTAGATGTTTGCCAATACTCAGGGCGCCAGATGATTACTTGGTCACTAGTTACCATATATGGGTGAACCCAAATACACAAACACGTGAGGTTTCCAATATTCAGTAAAATACATGTTTCAGATACCTTATGTTAGGAATGGTGATTGATTTTTGACCCAGTGTTGGATGAGTCATCACTTTTATGACACTGAGCAAAAAGAAAACCTTTTATGTTCTTTAAACATTGAGATATTTTAGCTGAGGCCGTAGAGCACTGTGGTAAGCCTGGGAGGCAAGAAGCCACGGGTTGTCTCCATCTCAGCATTCAGTAGCTACCATCTTGGAAAATTACTTAAACTCTTTAAACTTCAGTTTTCTCTTCTGTAAAACGTAGATAATAATATGCACCTCTCATTGGTCCTGAGAATTAAAAGAAAGAAATGTATCTAAAATGTTTTACATGGTGGTTAAGAATAAACACTCAATATTAAGTGTCAGTTGATGGAGATATGGGGAGCTTTATGGCCAGAGATGACAGTAGAGGCAAGTTAGGAAACAAGGGTTGAATTGTCAATTAATGGCAAGATAGTTTCAAGAGTTTAGCCAAGTGATGCATTAGAGACAGATGCAGTAAAAGCCTGAGTTCTGGAGTCAGAAAGAAATGGCTTGAATCTTGAATTTGCCCTTTACACACTGTGATATTATCTCCCTGTTAAATAAGATATGTAGAATGCATATAAGGGTTCTGGGCGTATGCTACATAGGCTTTCAAAGAATATTAGACATTACTGAGTAGAAAAAAATAAAGTTTATGTGATTTTCTACACAAGTGTTCAATATACCGGGTGGAGAAGTGGAGAAGATGAATTACTTCTTTGGTTTATGATGAAAGTTTTTCTCTGATGTCCTTTTCTGTATCAAAATTGAGTTAACTCAGTACTAAAAAAATTTGGTCAAGATAGATAGATAGATAGATAGATAGATAGATAATTTCTTTCTTTTTTTTTATTTTTTTGAGACAGAGTCTTGCTCCGTCACCCAGGCTGGAGTGCAGTGGCGTGATCTTGGCTCACTGCAACCTCCCCCTCCCGGGTTCAAGTGATTCTTCTGCCTCAACCTCCCTAGTAGTTGTGACTACAGGCGAGTGCCACCATGCCCGGCTAATCTTTGTACTTTTAGTAGAGAAAGAGTTTCACTATGTTGGCCAGGCTGGTCTTGAACTCCTGACCTCAAGTGATCCACCTGCCTCGGCCTCCCAAAGTGCTGTGATTACAGGTGTGAGCCGCCACCCCAGCCTATTTTTTAAAAAATGATATACAAAGAATTATAGAAAAATAACCAAGATGATTTTAAAAATAATAATCCAGTGAGAAAGGATTAAAAATCAGGGCATTTTTTTTCCTCTCATAAGAAAAGCCTAAGGCATTTTACTTGTACAGCATTTAAGTGGAACTAAGGAGAGTTTATAGAATATAGATGAACAATTTCAGATGAATGAAAGTGTACTGTGCAAAGGGAGTTATTACAATTAGCCCTTAAAAATAAGCCATCCCAAAACATGATGGCATTTTCTACTTTAAATAAAAACTAACTGTTCATTGTGGACACACTATAAGCCAGTTGCCATATTAAACCCATAAAATAAATAATTTCATTTAATTTTCCTGTTTTCCACCAGAAAAAACTGAAGTTTGAAGAGATTAAATAACTACCTCTCAGGATTATATAGTTACAATGTAGCAGGAGAAACTGGAACTAACTCAGATCTGTGATTAGAAAGCTTTTTCTCTTTCTCCTTTAAAGAACTTTCTTCCTGTTTATTTGGCATTGATAGTAAGGGAAAAGATATCTTCATATTCGTCTATATGTCTGTATCTATCTGTGTCCTGTGGGTATGTATAAATGTGTATCTATATCTAATTATCTATATTGGGGATTGGTAATCTATCAGCTGTTTTTGTACAATTTGCAAATTAGGAATTTCTTTTACATTTTTTATCATACTTTAAGTTCTGGGATACATGTGCAGAATGTGCAGGTTTGTTACATAGGTATACATGTGCCATGGTGGTTTGCTGCAACCATCAACCTTTCATCTAAGTTTTAAGCCCCACATGCATTAGATATTTCTCCTAATGCTATCTCTCCTCTTGCTCCCTACTCCCTGAAAGGTCCCAGTGTGTGATGTTCCTCTCCCTGTGCCCATATGTTCTCATTGTTCAACTCTCACTTTTGAGTGAGAACATGCGGTGTTTGGTGTTCTGTTCCTGTGATAGTTTGCTGAGAATGATGTTTTCCAGCTTCATGCATGTCTCTGCAATTGACATGAACTCATTCTTTTTTATGGCTGCATATATTCCATGGTGTATATGTGCCACATTTTTTAAATCCAGTCTAGCATTTATGGGCATTGGGTTGGTTCCAAGTCTTTGCCATTGTGAATAGTGCTGCAATAAATATACGTGTGCATGTGTCTTTATAGTAGAATGATTTATGATCCTTAGCGTATATACCCAGTAATGGGATTGCTGGGTCAAATGGTATTTCTAGTTCTAGATCCTTGAGGAATTGCCACACTGTCTTCCACAATGGTTGAATTAGTTTACACTCCCACCAACAATATAAAAGCATTCCTATTTCTCCACATCCTCTCCAGCATCTGTTGTTTCCTGACTTTTTAATGATCACCGTTCTAACTGGTGTGAGATGGTATCTCATTGTGGTTTTGATTTGTATTTCTCTAATGACTAGTGATGATGAGCTTTTTTTCATATGTTTGTTGGCTGCATAAGTGTCTTCTTTTTGAGAAGTGTCTGTTCATATCCTTTGCCTACTTTTTGATGGGTTGTTAGTTTTTTTATTGTAAATTTGTTTAAGTTCCTTGTAGATTCTGGATAGTAGACCTTTGTCAGATGGATAGACTGCAAAAACTTTCTCCCATTCTGTAGGTTGCCTGTTCACTCTGATTGTAGTTTCCTTTGATCTGCAGAAGCTCTTTAGTTTGATTAGATCCCATTTGTCAATTTTTGCTTTTGTTGCTATTTCTTTCAGTGTTTTAGTCATGAAGTCTTTGCCTATGGCTATATCTTAATGGTATTGCCTAGGTTTTCTTCTAGGGTTTTTAAGGTTTTAGATCTTATGTTCAAGTCTTTAATCCATCTTGAGTTAATTTTTGTATAAGGTGTAAGGAAGGGGTCCAGTTTCTGTTTTCTGCATTTGGCTAGCCAGTTTTCCCAACATCATTTATTAAATAGGGAATCCTTTCCCTATTTATTGTTATTGTCACGTTTGTCAAAGATCAGATGGCTATAGATGTGCAGTGTTATTTCTGAGGGCTCTCCATTTGTCTATATATCTGTTTTGGTACCAGTACCATGCTGTTTTAGTTACTGTGGCCTTTCAGTACAGTTTGAAGTCAAATAGTGTGATGCCTCCAGCTTTGTTCTTTTTGCCTAGGATTGTCTTGGCTATGTGGGCTCTTTTTTGGTTCCATATGAAATTTAAAGTAGTTTTTTCTAATTCTATGAAGAAAGTCAACGGTAGCTTGATGGGAATAGCATTGAATCTATAAATTACTTTGGACAGTATGGCCATTTTCACAATATTGATTCTTCCTATCCATGAGCATGGAATGTTTTTCCATTTGTTTGTGTCCTCTTTTATTTCCTTGAGCAGTTATTTGTAGTTCTCCTTGAAGAGGTCCTTAGTATCCCTTGTAAGTTGTATTCCTAGGTATTTTATTCTCTTTGTAGCAATTGTGAATGGGAGTTCACTAATGATTTGGCAGTCTGTCTATTATTGGTGTATAGGAATGTTTGTGATTGTTGCACATTGATTTTGTATCCTGAGACTTTGCTGAAGTTGCTTATCAACTTAAGGAGTTTTTGGGCTGAGACGATGGAGATTTCTAAATATACAATCATGTTGTCTGCAAACAGAGACAATTTGACTTCCTTTCCTCCTATTTGAATACCCTTTATTTCTTTCTCTTGCCTGATTGTGCTGGCCAGAACTTCCAATACTATGTTGAATAGGAGTGGTGAGAGAGGGCGTCCTTGTCTTGTGCTGGTTTTCAAAGAGAATGTTTCTGCTTTTGCCCATTCAGTATGATATTGGCTACGGGTTTGTCATAAATAGCTGTTATTATTTTGAGATATGTTGCATAAATACCTAGTTCATTGACTGTTTTTAGCATGAAGGGGTGTTGAACTTTATTGAAGGCATTTTCTGCATCTCTTGAGATAATCATGTGGTTTTTGTGACTGGTTCTGTTTATATGATGGATTACATTTATTGATTTGCATATGTTGAACCTGCCTTGCATCCCGGGGATGAAGCCAAGTTGATCATGGTGGATAAACTTTTTGATGTGCTGCTGGATTCCGTTTGCCAGTATTTTATTGAGGATTTTTGCATCAATGTTCATCAGGAATATTGGCCTGAAATTTTCTTTTTTTATTGTGTCTCTGCCAGGTTTTGGTATCAGGATGATGCTGGCCTCATAAAATGAGTTAGGGAGGAGTCCCTCTTTTTCTATTGTTTGGAATAGTTTCAGAATGAATGGTACCAGCTCCCCTTTGTACTTCTGGTAGAATTCAGCTGTGAATCTGTTTGGTCCTGAGCTTTTTTTGGTTGGTAGGCTATTAATTATGGCCTCAATTCAGAACTTGTTATTGGTCAATTCAGGGATTCAACTTCTTCCTGGTTTAGTCTTGGGAGGTTGTAGGTGTCCAGGAATTTATCTATTTCTTCTAGATTTTCTAGTTTATTTGCGTAGAGGTGTTTATTATATTCTCCGATGGTAGTTTGTATTTCTGTGGGATCAGTGGTGATATCCCCTTTATCATTTTTTGTTGTATCTATTTGATTCTTCTCTCTTTTCTTCTTTATTAGTCTGACTAGAAGTCTATCTATTTTGTTAATCTTTTAAAAAAAACAGCTCCTGGATTCATTGATTTTTTTTGCAGGGTTTTTCATGTCTCTATCCCCTTCAGTTCTGCTCTGATCTTAGTTATTTTGTGTCTCCTGATAGCTTTTGAATTTGTTTGCTCTTGCTTCTCCAGTTCTTTTAATTGTGATGTTAGGGTATCAATTTTAGACCTTTCCCGTTTTCTCCTGTGGGCATTTAGTGCTATTAATTTTCCTCTAAACACTGCTTTAGCTGTGTCCCAGAGATTCTGGTATGTTGTGTCTTTGTTCTCATTGATTTCAAAAAACTTATTTATTTCTGCCTTAATTTTGTTATTTACCCAGTAGTCATTCAGGAGCAGGTCATTCAGTTTCCATGTAGTTGTGCAGTTTTGAGTGAATTTCTTAATCCTGAGTTCTTATTTGATTGCACTGTGGTCTGAGAAACTGTTTGTTATGATTTCCGTTCTTTTGCATTTTCTGAGGAGTGTTTTACTTCCGATTATGTAGTCGATTTTAGAATAAGTGCTATGTGGTGCTGAGAAGAAAGTATATTCTGTTGATTTTGGGTGGAGAGTTCTGTAGATGTCTATTAGGTCTGCTTGGTCCATAGCTAAGTTCAAGTCCTAAATATCCTTGTTAAGTTTCTGTCACATTGATCTGTCTAATATTGACAGTGGGGTGTTAAAGTCTCCCATTATTATTGTGTCAGAGTCTAAGTGTCTTTGTAGGTCTCTAAGAACTTGCTTTATGAATCTGGGTGCTCCTGTATTGGGTGCCTATATATTTAGGATACTTATCTCTTCTTGTTGCATTGATCCCTTTACCATTATGTAATGGCCTTCTTTGTCTTTTTTTAATCTTTGTTGGTTTAAAGTCTGTTTTATCAGAGACTAGGATTGCAACCTCTGCTTTTTTTTTTTTTTTTTTTTTTTTTTTGCTTTCCATTTACTTGGTAAATATTCCTTCATTCCTTTATTTTGAGCCTATGTGTGTCTTTGCACCTGAGATGGGTCTCTTGAATACGGCACACAAATGGGTCTTGACTCTTTATCCAATTCGGCAAATTGGATACTGGCATCTGTGTCTTTTAATTGGGGCATTTAGCCCATTTACATTTAAGGTTAATATTGTTATGTGTGAATTTGATCCTGTCATCATGATGCTGGCTGGTTATTTTGCACATTAGTTGATGCAATTTCTTCATAGTGTCGTTGGTCTTTATATTTTGGCTTGTTTTTGCAGTAGCTGCTATTGGTTTTTTCTTTCTACATTTAGTGCTTCCTTTAGGAGCTCTTGAAAGGCAGGCCTGGTGGTGACAAAATCCCTCAGCATTTGCTTGTCTGTAAAGAATTTTATTTCTCCTTCACTTATGAAGCTTAGTTTGGCTAGATGTCTTTTACATTTATAAATGCTTGGGAAAAAAATTCAATGAACAATAATATTTTGTGGCATGTGAAAATGTATATGAAATTCAAATTTTGTTGTCCATAAATACATTTTATTGAAACACAGCCACACATCACTAACATATTGTTTATGACTGTGTTTGTGCTACAATGGCAACAGAAACTGTACAGCCTGCAAAGCTGAAAATATTCACAATGTGGCTATTTAGAAAAAAAGTTTGCTGAACCCTGCTCCATTATCTACTTTTTTGTCCATATTATTTATACAATAACCTTACTGAAAAACTTGTCCAGAGCTGAGAAATCAGCATAGATGTCTTCCCAGAAAAGCTCTCTCTGGAAACCTCTCCCAGTGACATCCATTGTATCATCCAGCTTTACTTATTTTGCAATTTAGTTATCAATTTTCCTCTCTACTTGTTTATTGCCTACCTTCTTTTATATTATGTGATCCTGAGGGTAGGAGATAAGTTAGCTATTGCATTTTCTTTTCCTTTACCCTTGATAAATGGTGAGCTTCACAAATCATTTGCTGAATAAATGAATCAAGGAAGTGATGAAGTAACAACATTCTAACTGACGGCTTTGTTTCTCTGCTAGGCTTTCCTGGGGTTTGATGTATGCTGGCTTCATCCTTATCATGGCCACTTTAATGGCTCTTATTGTAAAATCTGCACAAATTGTCGTCCTGACTGGTTTTGTGATGGTCTTCACCCTCTTTCTCCTCTATGGCCTGTCTTTGGTGAGTTGGTTAATTTCATCTAAGTCTTTTATTCTCTTTCTCTCTCTCTACTGCCAATAATTTATCACTAATTCTGGTCTCACCTCTTTTGTTCTCTTTGTAGTATTTGCATGAAACAGTGTCTAGGGGTGGAAAAATATAAAATATACTTTTATAATATAAAATTCCTTTTTTGTGCTACTGTTCTCACAGAATTATATACCAGCTGAAGTCTTTCTCTTTTCTCAGATAACTTTAGCTTTCCTGATGAGTGTGTTGATAAAGAAACCTTTCCTTACGGGCTTGGTTGTGTTTCTCCTTATTGTCTTTTGGGGGATCCTGGGATTCCCAGCATTGTATACACGTCTTCCTGCATTTTTGGAATGGACTTTGTGTCTTCTTAGCCCCTTTGCCTTCACTGTTGGGATGGCCCAGGTAAGAGTTAAGGTAACACTTTCACTTTTTACAAACCGTTCTACACAGATTCCCTCTTAATAATTCACACAACATGCTCTAAGCATTCCATTCTATAACTTTTGTAAAAATAAACATGTATGAGACAGGAGTGACTTTAATTTTTCTCTCTCAGTGTAATTAGTTTCCCCATAAGTCACTAAATATAGGATCATACCCTTATTATTGAGATGTTTCAGCTTCTACTTCTAATTGGTTGTCCCAGAGAACATTTGTCTCATTCAGTGCTCAGGAAACATGACCCTTAATGTTATCACAAGCATTTAAAAACCAGGAATTTGGAATAAATATATCTTTATTTTTTAATTGCTCATTTCTACATGAAACTGAACCTTGTCTCAGAAAAGTTAATTTTAGTTATGATATCATAACTATAATATGCTAAATGAAAGGTTCTGCTAGATATAAACTCATTGTATCCTACCGCAGTCCAGTTAAGACATTATTCTTCTGTCTTCTGCCCAACTACTGAAGTATTTTACTGTTTCATGTTTTCACTCTGAAATGGACTTCCTTGTTGAGAATGCCCTCCTTTTTTCTCATTCTAAGCCCAAAAAAGTCCTATTGCAGCACAGTCTGTAATAAGATTGAAAACAACGTAAATGTCCATTGGTAGATTACTGGTTAAATAAATTACAGTCCATCCATACAATGGAAAATGTGCAGCCATCAAAAAGAATTTTTAAAGACTGATGCTGTGACTCACACCTGTAAATCATAGCACTTTGGGAGGCTAAGATGGGTGGATCTCCTGTGGCAGAAGTTCAAGACCACCCTGGGCAACATGGTGAAACCCCATCTCCACAAATAAAAAAAAATTAGCCAGTCATGGTGGAGTGCATCTGTAGTCCTAGCTACTCTGGAGGCTGATGTGGGAGAATCACCTAGGTCCAGGAGGCTGAGCCTGCTGTGAGTTGAAATAGCACCACTGTACTCCAGCCTGGGTAACAGAGTGAGACCCTGTCTCAAAAAACAAACAAATAAACAAAAAATTTAAAAACACTTCTTGTACTGACATACAGAGTTTTGTAAACTATATTAGGTCCAGCTCAAATATCACCTTTCTTGAGTTTGTACTTCCTCCTAGAAAATGTACCTGGGGCTGCCTGTGGGTTTCTTAGTACTCAGTACTAGTACTAACTTCCATTCATTTCCCAAATTGACATCACTTCATTGCTATTAAAATTGTCTTCTATAATAGTAGACAGAGCTCTGTAGAGACAAGATTATATCTTATTTATCTTTGCAAACCCAGTTGTAGCAGAAATAAAACAATAATAATTCTTAATGCCATATTAATTCTTTTAAAATTCACTGTATCTTTCTTTTTCAGCTTATACATTTGGACTATGATGTGAATTCTAATGCCCACTTGGATTCTTCACAAAATCCATACCTCATAATAGCTACTCTTTTCATGTTGGTTTTTGACACCCTTCTGTATTTGGTATTGACATTATATTTTGACAAAATTTTGCCCGGTAAGTACTAACATGGCTGTAATTTAACACAATTTCAATAATTGCATGTCTTTAAAACAACTCTACAATGTACTAAATAAAAATTAGCAAGCAGTTTTTCAAAATTTCTACAACAAGCCTAATGATATTCTATAGTTTGTTTATAGAATCACTTTCTAAGACTTGGCTCTGCTATAACACTCCAGAGTGTTTCTTTTTAAAAAGAGACACTTGTGAGAGATTATGGATGATGATACTATTAGTGTTTATGTCAGAACTAGATGAAGAATGCTGGTGCTTGATACTTGATCTTAGAAATCTCTAAGTGCTTTCCCATTTAACTCACTTGATATACAATAGTGGGTTATTAGTAAAAATATTATAATTGCATAGTCGATGTACAATCTTTCCTTTCTTTCTTTCCTTTTTTTTTTTTTTTTTTTGAGAAGTCTCGCTCTGTCACCCATGCTGGAGTGCAGTGGCGCGATCTCTGCTCACTGCAACCTCTGCCTCCCGGGTTCAAGTGATTCTCGTGCCTCAGCCTGCTGAGTAGCTGGGACTACAGACATGCCCCACCATGCCTGGCTAATTTTTGTGTTTTCAGTGGAGACGAGGTTTCACCATGTTGACCAGGCTGTCTTGAACTCCTGACCTCAGGTGATCTGCCCCTTTGGCCTCCCAAACTGCTGGAATTACAGGCATGAGCTACCATGCCGCCCTTATGTACAATCTTTCCTATAGAGAAACAAAATCTTCATCTGTGCATCTCTGGGGTCTGTCTGTCAATTCCTCGTATATACTAGGTAAGTGCTAAGGAAGAGGCAGAAAGGGAAATTGGGAAATGAAGGGAAGGAAGAGACCTTCTGAATAGTTTATTCATCACGTTTCTGGGAGTACTGATACAGAATAATGACTCGCTGATTATTTTAAAACTTCCCAAGTAAGAAATTTTGGAATGTATCATTAGTGTTATGACATTTACTATTATTCTTGGTGTATTGACCTTATCTAATCCAAATGGAGGAAATCACAAGCAGGAGAATTGCTTGAACCCGGGAAGCAGAGGTTGTAGTGAGCCGGGATCATGCTACTGGACTGCAGCCTGGGTGACAGAGTGAGACTCCATCTTAAAAAATAAAAAATAAAAAGGACACATAAGTACAGCTAGATAGAAAATTGTTCTTAATTAGATTTAAATTCCTCCTGAGACATCTCTCTGCATTTTGAGGAGCTTTTTAGTTAGTTAACAATGCTACATGCTTCTCATGTTAAAAACGTCATATTAGCCATCTCTGTTATTTTCTCCTCACTGTTCTGTGTGTGTCAAAAGCACATTAAAACAGTAATTAATACAGACCTTAATATGATAATGTGGGTTCAGGTTTAATGTCAAAGGGGCTGCACTGATATGCTGATGGAATCCTTGAAGCGATGACTGACCCAGTATTCAATTGCCTCCTGCTCACATAGCTGAATATGGACATCGATGTTCTCCCTTGTTTTTCCTGAAATCCTGTTTTTGGTTTCAACACGGAAGGGCTAATCATGTGGTCCTTGAGAATGAAACAGATTCTGATCCTACACCTAATGACTGTTTTGAACCAGTGTCTCCAGAATTCTGTGGGAAAGAAGCCATCAGGTAACCAATAAATTACTTGGAGGCACCAATGGAGAACAGGCAGAGACTGGGGATCTGTCAGGTGACACACTAGGAGCAAAGATCGCCTTCTGTGCCCTCTGTACCCACCTACAGCCAGCCTGCTGCACTCATCAAAGGCTATACTCATCCTTCATAGCACTCTATTTTCTCACATTCTCAGCACTTACATTTACTAATATTTCATGGTATAGTAACAACCGTCCACAAGTAAATAATTTTTGAATTTCCATTTTCCACATTATCTTTCTTATTTCTCCTCTTTGTGTTTTTCTCCCCTGAGTTGTTCTCTTTGTGACAAACACTGCCATCGTCTCCCTTGCTATTATTCTCAACCCCCTTTTTTATTAATTCAATTTGTCCCTCTCATCTTCCCTTCCTGGCTTATAATTAGATGAGGAGAAAGAGGCAAGCGATGCAGGCATGGGAAGAGGACACTCCAGAGAGATGGGAAGGAAACATCAGAAGTCAGGACTGTTAGTTTCATGCCTATCTTCCCTCTTAGATGATGGACATGCTTTATTCAATTCTGGTTGCTTTGATTTCCAAACAGCTAGAAATCTCTAATACCCCAGATCTTTGCTCAAATTTTGTTCATCATTCAATGTTGTATTCATCTCACTCCTCAGTAATACCTTTCTGATATATCTCTTTCAGTAATATTTTAACTCAGGACATTTATGATACAGTCTCTGAACATAGGTCCAATATGAACATACAACAAAGAGCAGCATTTGCTCATTCCTTATGAGCATGTAAACATAGCAATCTTTTCAAGAATCATGACATCTTTCTAAGCTGGAACTCTAAGTTTTATGTTCTTTCCAGTGCCTATAACAGAATTAGGTCCTATCAGAGAGATCATAGGAAGCCTTGAATGATGAAATAAGGGGTTTTAATTTATCCATTGGGCAAGGAGGAGGGTATTGAAGATTTGCAAATTGTGGGTAATAAGACTAGTCTTATGGTCTAGAAAAATTATCCCTAGCAACGGGTGGAGATTGGAAGCAGGGTCTCACATAGCTGACTGTTAGGAAAGTGTAGGAGATTTTATCTGTGGCATGGCTACTCAAGACTGCCAGTCCTGCGTCATTACTGTGGCTGGTGCGGCACCCAACAGACCAGTGCACAGAGTTCTGAAGACTGCACCATTCTATCCCAGAGGTGAAGCCAGCTGGACTCATAATCACCTCTCAGTATAGAAGGCAGAAAAGTGAAATGTCAATTAAAAGGTATTATTATACCAACCACAGTATAGATTCTAATCTAATAATCTACAATCTAAACATGAAAGTTAAATGCTATCAAAACATATGGAAAAAATTTATCATTTCTATTGCTTAGATGAAATGAAGGAATAAAGCAAGCTGATACCTATTATTGTTTTAAAAAGAAAAGATAGGGAAAAAGAGACTAGGAAAAACCAACTTGCCCAAGGCTACGAAGTTTAAAAAGAGAAACAGTATTTGAATCCATACGTGCTCAACTTGAAAGTCATTGCATCTGAATGCCCAGTCTCTTCAGTTACTTCTGTATTTAACTGGATTGTACCTCTTCGATAAATTGAATTATATCCCCTCAAAATTTATATGTTGAAACCCTAACCCTTAAAATGATGGTATTTGAAGATAAAGTCTTAGGAAGTAATTAGGGTTAGATGAGATCATGAGGGTGGGGCCTTCCTGCTGGAACTAGTGTATTTATAAGAAGAGGCACAAGAGAGCTTGCACTTTTTCCCTCTCTCTGCCATGTGATGACACAGCAAGAAGGCAGCTCTTTGCAAGCCAGGAAGAGAGCCCTCATCAGAAGCCAAATCTATTGACACCTTGATCTTGGAATTCCCATCCTTCAGAACTATAAGAAATAAATGTCTGTTCTTTAAGCCACCTAGTCTATGGTATTTTGTTATAGCAGCCCAAGCAGGCGAATACAACCTACCTGCTGGTTTGTTGTGATAATGTAAGTAAAAATGTAGACAAAATGCTTTGGATCTGGCTTATAGTAAGTAGTCCTTGAACTCACTTAAAATCTTTTTTCTTCTTTTTAACTTCTATTTTAAGTTCAGGGGTACATGTGGAGGTTCATTACATAGGTAAAGTTGTGTCATGGGGGTTTGTTCTACAGATTATTTTATCACCTAGGTATTAAGTCTAGTACCCATTAGTTATTTTTCCTGATAAAATATTTTTCTTTGCCCTCTTTTAAGAATCTTTCTTTGTTTTAAATCATTTTCCTGGTCTTTTTCCTCCTCTCTCATCTTCTTTGGAAGTTTACTAGGTTCCAAGTATTTTGTGTTCTGCGTATATTATCTTATTTACTCTACATTCCAACTCTGTGTGATAATTAATGTCATCCCCATATCACTGCTGAATAACTGAACTCAATGAGTCTTGAGTACACAGCATTTGTAACAGAGCTGGTGTGTAGCACAACTGGGACTTCACCAGTTGTGAATCATTTAATGATTAGATTCCAAAGCCCTACTGTTTCTATTATGGTGTGTTTTTTCTCTTCTTTTTTCCACCATAGTATCTCCTCACCACTGATTTTATCTTCAGCTTTCCTCATATCCAGTCATTTGCCACAATTCTTCTAACAATATATTTCCGTGTGCTAAGCTGTGCCCTCCATATTTTAGCCTGTTCATTTTGGAAAGATCAGGGATTCTGCTTCTAATTAGTTGCCCTGGGTGCTTCTGCCAGTGCCTGTGTGAAAGAAAATAATCCCCAGATTTTCTTTGAGGCTTTACAAGAAAAGAATCCCAGATTTTCTTTGAGGCTTTGATTAAGCCTCAAAGACTTGACTTATCAATCCTCTGCACATTTTTACAATTCTCTGAAAACATTTCCCTCTTTTTTTCAGAATCAAAAATCTTAAAAAAGAATATGCAGGGAAGTGTGAGAGAGTAGAAGCTTTGAAAGGTAATAAAATAATATTTTATTTAATGGGGCTGCTTGATTTAGTGGCTGCCTTACTGTTGTAATTTCTTGGTAGGGATTAAGCACAGATATTCCAGATATGTCTCTCCTTTATTTGAACACATTATGTTTCCTTCAATGTAAAAAAAAAACCCATAAAACAATTTTTAAAAGTATCATTAAAATGTATCATTAAAAATCGTGTGGGTTTGAAAGATATATGATAGTATTATGAAATTCTTTGTTTCAGCTCATCTTATTCTCCAGCTCTAAAATTGTATTATTGTTAGCCTCTATTTATTGACAAAACTGCTTTTATCAAAAAAATTAATTGCATAATAACATATTGACAATACTATCACTACAAAATGTTGAAATACAGTTTTAAAAGAAAGAATTTTAAGATGAATTTTATTTTGAATATTGCTAGCTCAATCTATTCATGCTGCAAAAAATTACAACAGTTTCAGAGACTGTAAAGTTAATATGTAGGCTCTGAGTGTAATTTTTTTTAAAATCATGCCAGGTGTGGTGTTTGACATATATGAAGGCCAGATCACTGCCCTCCTTGGTCACAGTGGAGCTGGAAAAACTACCCTGTTAAACATACTTAGTGGGTTGTCAGTTCCAACATCAGGTAAGAAGACAGTTATCCAAGGACAAGTACCTGGACAAACACATTAATATGCATTTAATTATTTAACTGGGGCTGGGCACGGTGGCTCACACCTGTAATCCCAGCACTTTGGGAAGCCGAGGCAGGTGGATCATGAGGTCAAGAGATGGAGACCATCCTGGCCAACATGGTGAAACCCCGTCTCTACTAAAAATATAAAAATTAGCCAGGCATGGTGGCAGGTGCCTGTAGGCCCAGCCACTCAGGAGACTGAGGCAGGAGAATCACTTGAACCTGGGAGGCGGAGGTTGCAGTGAGCCTAGATCGTGCCACAGCACTCCAGCCTGGCGACAGAGTGAGACTCCATCTCCAAAAAAAAATTATGTAATTGGTTTTATTAATTAACTTCAATAGTTTCATTACTCATTATATAAGAGAAAAATTTTAGAAGTTTTTCTTATTCTTTTATTGAATTGTATTATACCTATTTAGAAAAATGTTGTTCGTGTTTTAAATATGTCATAAATAGTTTTATGGTTATTAAGTTACTAAGTAGCATTCCAGCTAGATCAGATGTTATTGTGAACATTACATTTTTAATCAGTTCATTGCATATTCCTTACAAGTAAACAATGTTGAAATGAATCTAATAATTGACATACAGTGTTTTCCATTTTAAAAGATCTTCAATGAAGCATGACACATTTTCCTGATGGTCACTCTCTGCCTTCTGCTTTCAGGTTCAGTCACTGTCTATAATCACACACTTTCAAGAATGGCTGATATAGAAAATATCAGCAAGTTCACTGGATTTTGTCCACAATCCAATGTGCAATTTGGATTTCTCACTGTGAAAGAAAACCTCAGGCTGTTTGCTAAAATAAAAGGGATTTTGCCACATGAAGTGGAGAAAGAGGTATGTGAGCATATTAGATGTCACATAGCCATAAAAAAGAGACGGTTTATCTAGAAAATATTGTGCTAAGTTATACATAATTCCTCATCTAAATTTCAGGCAAAAAGGCCCTTTGTAAAGAACAGAAAAATGATAGTGTTTTTAAAATAAACTTTCTGGGTTTTGGACTAAATATTCTTTATTTGATTAGGTACAACGAGTTGTACAGGAATTAGAAATGGAAAATATTCAAGACATCCTTGCTCAAAACTTAAGTGGTGGACAAAATAGGAAACTAACTTTTGGGATTGCCATTTTAGGAGATCCTCAAGTAAGTCAAACAAAAATTACTGGTGAAATCAGATTGAAGACTATAAAATTATTTTATTAGGTCAAACAATTTTCAAATGATAAATGTAAGAGAACTTTTAGGATGAAATATTAAGTACTAACAAGTTTCTCCCAAATACTTTTAAAAGTACAGTGCTTTTTAAAAGGATCTTATCCGAAAGGGTGGAATTACTTTAGGACTTTCCTCCTGTCCAGGTTTTGCTATTGGATGAACCGACTGCTGGATTGGATCCTCTTTCAAGGCACCGAATATGGAATCTCCTGAAAGAGGGGAAATCAGACAGAGTAATTCTCTTCAGCACCCAGTTTATAGATGAGGCTGACATTCTGGCGGGTAATTTTTTGTTTCTCTTATGTATCTTCATGAGAGGTTAGAGACAGTGTGGAATATGAACAGGTATGCTCCACAGCTGTGTCTCCCTGGAACTGCCATGGCCCAAGACAGGAGAATTTTGCTCTTACTCATTTGTGGGTCTGCATGCCAGAGTACTTGGCCCCATGGAAATATTCTGAGCCCATTGCAGAGCAGCTTTCTGGTTGTAAAATACATATCACACTTTCTAAGATACAATTTGTTTTAGGCAGTCTTGATGTCAGTGTAACTGAAACAGATCCTTTAAATGTATAATTTTTCTCAATACGCTAAAGAATAAGTTGACATAATTTATCACTCATTCGAGCTGTTGGATGACAAAAAAAAGTGGTTTACGTATGGCCAGAATTAGAGTATATCTATTTTAGTGTGTCATGCTGCTACAATACATTGTTAATAGATTTGTGTTTTGTGAATAGTAAAGAAATAAGTCCTTCATGTAACTTATCTTTTGATTATTTCTAACTAGACAGGAAGGTGTTCATATCCAATGGGAAGCTGAAGTGTGCAGGCTCTTCTCTGTTCCTTAAGAAGAAATGGGGCATAGGCTACCATTTAAGGTACAGCCCTGAATGTTGGAGACGTGTTGACAGATGCTGAAAATGCTGGAGGCAGGTGGTATCAGCATCAATGTGTAAAAGTAGGCCCTATAACCACTAAGTTCATTTCAAGGGAGCTATGGTAGAACTAAGGCATAATTGCTTTTTTAGCTAGAATGCAGGATATATGAGATTATAGACATTGAGCATGCAAGGATGATTAATCTAGGCTTAAATAAAATTTTTGAAAAATATTTTCACAACGTGTTGCTTGCTAAGAGTAATTTGTTGATATTCCGACCCTTTCTCTTCTCATATTTTAGATGTTTTATTTTTGTTCATCTTGACAATTTCAATACCCTGTATTCTCCCTGACTTCATTTCTTTCCACCATCCTTTTGTGGTTTTTTTCTCTTACTGATAATAATTATTATCATTACTGAGTAATGTCTACTACTTTTTAAGTATTGGCTATGTTTTAGGTACTTACTAAGATATTTACATATAGAATATTCATATTATTGTATTCAATCCTCTAAATAACTTTAAGAAGATACTATTGTTATTCCCCTTTGACAAGTGAAAATACCACTTCAGATAGTTTTAACAATCTGCCAATCTCCACGACTTGTAAATGATAGTCTTTGTTTCAAAATTACAGGTGTGATATGAATGGCTTCCTATATTTTGCATTGCAATGTAGATATTTTTTAAAAAATGATTCAAATCACTTCATCCTGATGGATAAATGGATCCCCTCATTTTTTACTCAAAGTGGCTAATCTGATCAAATCTACCAATCTATCATTACTACTTGTTACAAATCTACCAATCTATCATTACTACTTGTTACAATCTAGTAGAATCAATACCCTCTATTGAATACTCACTATTCTCTAGCTATGTTTCATAGTTCAGTTGTCTTGTTTCTGCTTGAGAGAGGATATCTGTCAAACATGTTCTTCTTCAACCCATTTAACCATGTCCAAGTCTTAACCATTTCTGAAAGTATTTTCTCCTTAATGAGTATCCTCTTTTCTGGAACGCTGAAAGCACTATTTTGAACTGTTGCCTTAGGCAACTTAATTAACTTCTTTGATCCTCAGTAACTTCATTTATGTAATAGCAGTAATAATACCTACTTTGCAGTTAAGGCTAAGAAATATTGAGTGAATGAATACTTGACAAGCTGCAAAGTGCTCAACTGAGTTAACTCAACTTCCTTCTCCCTCACATCTTCTGTCATATGCTGCTTTATATTATTTTTATGTTGGAAGCTTCTTTAGAGAAGGTACTGCATTCTTCCTATTTGGTATTCTTGATAGCACTTGTAAGTACTATACCTTGTAAGTACAGAATAGCCTTTTTTTCAAACTGATTTTTTAGGTTTGTATCATCAGTCAATTGTGATCTTCTCACCACTCTGTCACCTCAGCACCTTTCAATGTATGTGATTAACAGTGGAGTTTCAAAAATCAAATAATTTCATGAGTAATTTTATATATTCTTAATAAAGACAGGCCAGATTTCACTTGAATAAATTTTGGGCCCCAAAATGATAAAATTAGCTTTAGCAGAATCTGCATTAGCATGACATGGGGCCACATTCTTAATGACTGTATCACATCACCTCCATTTTTTGTTTTCTCATGCTCAAGTCTGAGTTTCGGCAGAACTCATACATTACTACAAAGGGAAAGCTCAAGGTTGGGAGGTTGGGTTTTTGAGTAGATGCTGACAAATTAAACATTTCCCTTTACCTCACCCCAGGCAAGATCTGGCTTAATATCTCATTTCTCCAAATAAGAGTCCTTGAGTTACCTCTTCCCACTCTAATCATCCCTTATACTAATTCTTCTGCCATGTTGCATAGATTTAATGGTTTGGACTTTATTAGTAGTTTTACATCTTACTTTGTCCAGTAAACTACACATTTTTTTGTCTCATAAATATTAATAAAGTGACAAGCACATACTACATAATTAGGAAATTGTTTTATAGACACAGTTGGATAAAAATAACTTTTATTCTTTTTAAATGTTAGTTTGCATCTGAATGAAAGGTGTGATCCAGAGAGTATAACATCACTGGTTAAGCAGCACATCTCTGATGCCAAATTGACAGCACAAAGTGAAGAAAAACTTGTATATATTTTGCCTTTGGAAAGGACAAACAAATTTCCAGGTAACAAAATGTAAAGATGACAGAATGGTTTTGGAATGGTGTTATTAACAATAACAGTGGTGATAAGAATGATGGCTAGTTTTAATGCTTGCTAGATGAATGGCACAATGCGTTTACTCATTTAATATTCCCAACTCCAAGGTCACTTATAATATTACCCCTTAGTATTATCCATATGCTACTTATGAGTAAACCAAGGCATGTAGATGTTAAATATGCTTCAAGTCAATTAAGTGCAATTAAGAGGCGTAGGCTAGCAGCAAGATAAAATAAGAATTATTTGGAAAATTTGTTTCAGTAATGAATGAGAGAGTGTGGTCAGGGCAGGAACAGGTATATAAATACAGTGGCAGACTATCGAAGAAGAGCTGAAAGAATTGTACACAATAAATAGGTTGTTTTAGAAACACCAGCACATACTGATATAATCCAAGTTATTGAACATAACTTGGATTGGCGTGCATTCTGCCAAACACTTCAATGTACAACTTTGCTGCAAACACAGAAGCTTGGAGAACTACTGGTGTTATTACTTTTCTATGGTATCTCCCAATGCACTGTTTCACTTCCTAAGCGTTTTGAGGTAGAATGCTTCTTAAGTTTACTCTGTAAAAATGTGTTTGCCATATCAAGTTCAAGAAATTATACCGGGGCCATTGCTGCATGCTTGAATCAATAAGCATGACATAACCTTGGTCCATAAAGAAACACAGAACCAGACAATAAAGTGCAGAGATTGAAACTCAATGCTAGAGCCAGTCTAGATTCAAACACCAGCTATGCTATTATTAGCTCTATAATCCTTAACAGGTTATAGTACTATTCTGTATCTCAGTTTCCTCACTTGTGAAAAGAAAATTAAAATAGTACTCTAGGGTTGTTATGAGGATTAAATGATTTAATACCTTCAAATGTATTGAAATATTAAATATAAATAAAGCACTGGAACAATACCTGACATGCAGAACCTATGGTATTTCATCAGGTGTAAGAAGCCCTCAACTACAGGATGTACCACTAAGAAAGAAACACAAAGAAATAATGCTACCATTTAAAATATGATCTACTATCATTTAAGATCCATTATTATTTCAGATATATTAAAAGATGATGAAATATATCTCTTAGAATAAGTGAAATAATGGTTCACAGTGCATACACAATATCTTTGAGATATGTATCCTTATAAAAACAGAAATCTTTGTGAAGATCACACAGCAAAGTTTTAGCTGATTGCTTATTAAATGCATTCCAAAGTGGATGAGAAATTTGGAGAAAGACTGAAAAACAATTAACCCTTAGGTAAGTTTAAGGACTCATTAGAAATTTTGACTACATCTCTATTTTTCTTTGTCCAACACATAATTAAGATTGAAGTCTTTAATTTATCCCAATATTGAATTAGTTTATCTTTTATCCACCTTTCAGTTTTCCTGAATTTTCACACCATGGTCAGAAGTTGAAAGAGAGAGGGAGAGAGAGACAGAGAGAGGAGGTGCAAAGTTACATACATATTTTGTCCTTTTAAAAACTTTACATATTTATGGGCTGGGCGCGGTGGCCCATGCCTGTAATCCCAGCCCTTTGGGAGGCTGAGGCAGGCGGATCACTTGAGGTCAGGAGTTCAAGACAAGCTTGGCCAACATGGTGAAACTCCATCTCTACTAAACGCGCGCACACACACACACACACATACACACACACACACACACACACACAAAATTAGCCAGGCGTGGTGTTGTGCACCTGTAATCCCAGCTACTCGGGAGGCTGAAGCAGGAGGATCACTTGAATCTGGGAGGTGCAGGTTGCAGTGAACCAAAATTGAGCCACTGCATTCCAGCCTGGACAACAAAGCAAGACTCTGTCTCAAAAAAAAAAAAATAGAAATTTTACATGTTTTTAAACTATCAAAGAGTCTATACTTAATTATTTCTATAAACATTAGTTCTTTTACATTTGTTATTATAATTCTCTAATAATTAATCTCAACAAGAAAGCACAAATCTCTATTCTCTGGAAAATATTTTTTTAATTAGTTGAAATTGAGAATTAAACACTCCCTGTAATATAACAAAAATAAATTTTAAAAAATATATTAAAATATGTTTTTCAAAAAACACATAGGTAGTTTCCTAAGAGTGAAAAAATAAATGTTTAGATTAGACTTTGATCTCAAAAAGACATGAAAAGTAACATACTATATGGATCATTTTAGAAATGAGATCATCTGTATCACAATTTTGTTTCTGATTAGTACATTTGGCCTATTACCAATATTTTACATTTTTGAGAAATATGGTTCTCATTATAAATTATATTCTTATAATCTGTTTTTGTATCCACTTTTAGAACTTTACAGGGATCTTGATAGATGTTCTAACCAAGGCATTGAGGATTATGGTGTTTCCATAACAACTTTGAATGAGGTGTTTCTGAAATTAGAAGGAAAATCAACTATTGATGAATCAGGTAAGAAAAAATAAGAAAGAGAAAGAAAGGGAGAAAGAAAGAAAGGAAGGAAGGAAGGAAGGACGAAAGAAAGATTTTATCTTTGTGTGCAGTATTTTATCTTGAAAATATGCCCAAATGATGAGATTATATACTTTTGTTGGTGCTATGATTCAGGCTTGTCTTGGGAAAACTTAGAGAAGAAATATATCTCTGTGGAATATAGCAATGTACAACACTAGTTCCTTATGCAGCAAACAATAAATATATGGTATGATATTACCTGAATATACATGCTATAGAGAAAAGAAAATTAGAGTTCACAGAAATGCTACTTTTCTGGTAGCATTTCAGTGATATTATTCCAATGTATCTGGGATTTAGTTGTTGCTTTTGGAAAGTTTGCTCTCTGTCTCATCTTTATTCCTTGGGAAGCATTCTGTCTTTTCTCTCTTATTGCTGCTAAGATAATTTTTTTTACTGGTTCACTATCATCTTATGGTGTTTACTCTTTACTGTGCTCTTTATTTTCATTTTTGCAATTTTCTGGGGGTCTTTTTGGATTGATCAAGCATTTTTCTTTAATCCTCCTTTTCCTCTCTTATTCATTTTTGAAGTTATATACTTGTTACTTTTTTAGTGTTATACTAAATTTTAATGTATGTACATATTTTATAGCTTTCTAGTAGCCAGAGTTAGTCATTTTCTCTAGGCTTCACCTCAAAACAGGTAACTTTTATCTTGCTTTTAACCATGGTTATATTTTAAAAATATCGTTTCTCCCATTTTTATGTTCTTGAAGGGTAGAGGAGGGGTTTCTGTATATACTAACTCTCCTACCTTGGTCAGAAATACTAAGTGGTTTATCTTTTACAACAAATAGATTTCTTAATGAGTTTTTTTTCATTGATTTCCTTAGAATAAATAAAGTCCTATAAAGCTGCAGACAGAGGACGTTTAAAATCAGAAAACACAAGATTTTCTTTTATTATATCAATACTTTCTGCTTCTTTCCCATTTCTTCAATAGTTGCTCTAATAATGTCATACATTAGATTACTTGTATCTTGGCCCAAGAGGGTAACTTTGACACCTTTGTAGGAAAATTTATCATAGGAAAAGCTAAATAATGCATAACTAAAATGGCACTTTATAAAATATTGATCTTATGTTTTAGATATTGGAATTTGGGGACAATTACAAACTGATGGGGCAAAAGATATAGGAAGCCTTGTTGAGCTGGAACAAGTTTTGTCTTCCTTCCACGAAACAAGGAAAACAATCAGTGGCGTGGCGCTCTGGAGGCAGCAGGTCTGTGCAATAGCAAAAGTTCGCTTCCTAAAGTTAAAGAAAGAAAGAAAAAGCCTGTGGACTATGTGAGTATCTGAGTGTTTCAGATTTGTTTTGTCTGTGAACTAAAAATAAATTTAAGAGAGCAAAACATAAAAGAAACTCAGATAAAATAAATTTCAGTAAATGCACATTGTCTTTTAAACAAAGAAATCATTTTTTAATTAAAGAAACCATTTTTAATCATGTGGATATATAATTAAAACAGATACGGGTTGGGATTGTTCTTTTTTTAAATTTCACACAGATTTTGTTTTTACCAATGGGTTGAAGTAGTTCTTCAAAAGCACGTGGATATTAGTACTTAGGTCCCATCCTAAAGACCCATTTCCTCTTTTCCCAAGGTATCAAAATCTGTAGCTGTCAGGGTTCCCCAGGGAAATGAAACCAATAGGATATACATATATAAACATACTTACTTTAAGGAATTTCATTATGTAATTGTGGGGCTTGGCAAATCTGAAATCCACAAGGCAGAACACCAGGCTGGAAACTTGGGTTAGAGTTAATGCTGTAGTTGGAAGACTGGAAACTTGGGTTAGAGTTAATGTTGTAGTTGGAAGACTGGAAACTTAGGCACAATTTCCATGTTACAGTCTTGAGGCTCTATAAAAGAGTCTGCCTTGGCTTCACGATCATATCTGGAACCCACTATAAGGTTCACATGTACCCCCAGAGCTTCAGCCTTATCATCAGGAACACTCATTCACTGAGAACATTCATTCATCCAAAAATATTAGTGAGCACCTCTATGCAACACTCTATTATTAAGTGATTATAACATATATCAAAAGAAATCAGACATGACAGTCCACCCTTGAGGGTGATTAGACATATAGTAAATAACAGACAATCCTGTGAACTATGGCATTTAGTAGGAGGGAGATTATGTCAAAATAGAAAGCTCAGGGAGATTTTGAAGAAGAGAGAGGAGAATGGAAATTCAGGCTGAGGGAGTAGTACTGAATATGGGGATACATGAGAAATCTAAAGAACTATTAATCTGAGTTAATTGCAACATAAAGTGTATGAAAAAGTAAAAATATTTTTGAAATATATTCAAAGAGCTAAGGAGTTTGCATTTTATGAATACTAAGGAAGTATTAAGACTGTATTTTTTATTTTCAATAGGTAATTGACATAATGTCAACAAAATGTTAAGAAGCTTAATTGGGTAATTGTGCAAAATTGTTTGGTAATGGTAGAATATGGAGACAATGAAAACAAACATTTAGAACAATATTGAAGAGTCAGGAAGGAGTTAATAAAAGCCCAACTTAAGAAGAGGAAGAGAGAACAAGGTTTGGAGGCAAGCAATAAAGATGCTATGATAGATATGAATTTCCAAATATTAGAAAATAAACTTAAGGGAGAGAAATGGGTGGAAAATGATTGAGCTCTTGGTGCCCAGGGGAATGAGAAAATGCTGTAATTTACAGAAATTGGAAACAGGATGGGATAAAGTTCAGAGTGTAGTAAGTATGGGTGTTAGTGATATGCCAATTTCAGTAGTGCAGAAAAAGAAAGAAATGCATGACTGAAATAAGGCAATGAGTTAGGGATTGTGAAGAGAGATTTAAGAGTCATAATCCACAGACTTCATAAACCCGAAGCCAAGGTGTCCTGCTTGGCACTTGAGAGAGAGCAAAAGACTAAAGGTAGATACATATGACCCATCTCATTTTAGAAACAAGGAAGTGGGGCAAAGTATGATTCAAATGTTTGGTTATTGATTATAATTTATTTCTGTTATTATATTCATTATACCTTCAAACTTAAAAACCCACAAAAGTTGCTAAAATTATTTTTTTCTTTTACATTTTCCTCTGCATAGATTATTGCTTTTTGGTATTAGCTTTATCCCTCAACTTTTGGAACATCTATTCTACGAGTCATATCAGAAAAGTTACCCGTGGGAACTGTCTCCAAATACATACTTCCTCTCACCAGGACAACAACCACAGGATCCTCTGACCCATTTACTGGTCATCAATAAGACAGGTGAACATGGGGCTGAAATGCAGCTGTTAAATGTTGTTCTTGTTGAGAGATTCCCCCCAAAAAACATGAACAGCCAAGAAAAAAATAAACTCTGTATGTTTTAGAAAGCATATATGAGGCCAAACAGAAAATAAATTAAAAAATGAAAAATACGACATGGGAGAGTTTGTTTTAGAAATAGATTCTGCAAGTTTACTTAACCTTAATGTTTGTTGCACAAAGCAACTAAAGAGGAGGTAGGGAGGTAAATCATTGACTCACCTCTGAGGTCTTTGTGTATCATTTTGTAAATCTGTGCTGTGCTGGGCTCTGGAAAAAAATGTTTCAAATTTAAAAAGATAGATAGACTATTAATAGCTTCAAGGATTATAATGTTAACAGCAATTCTTATTTCTATACTAATAGAAATTATAATGAAATGCCTAGGCTCTAGATAAAGTAACCTTGTCATACCTATGATGTTAGACTGGATTGTTGTACCAGAACATCAATTCTGCTTTTTTAAGAAAAGCCTTAGACAGTCCTTTTGTGTGATATGCTTTGTGTGATGTAATGTATTTTTAATATTACTTGACTATTGTTTTATTTCATTTTTGCTTCCTTTAATCTTTGCCTTCATGTAGGGTCAACCATTGATAACTTTTTACATTCACTGAGGCGACAGAACATAGCTATAGAAGTGGATGCCTTTGGAACTAGAAATGGCACAGATGACCCATCTTACAATGGTGCTATCATTGTGTCAGGTGATGAAAAGGTATGCTGGACTCCAGTTGCTGCATTTCACCAAAGGTGGACTATGGGTGTACAATTTGAATAATTCATATCAGCTGAATGAAAGGCCAATTTCACACAAACAAATGGGATAGTTCTCATTTTTATAGAAGAAGCTGGACTACAATTATTTCCCCATAGCCTTCAGCATGGCAATATGAAATGAAATTTATTTGATTTTATTCCTGATTAAGTTGAATGCACTGCTATAATAATTTATTTAGATCGTTATTATCAATTGGATTCCATTCCAATAATTAAATTAAATCTCATTCTCAGTTGGAACTGAGAACAACTGCCCAATGTAGACTTGGCCTTTGCTTTTCTGATTTCTATGTCTGCATACTGCTTTGCTCATTCATATCACCTGCCTAGACCCTGTAGGAATTTGAGTCAGAGATCTCTACAGTAGGCAAATTGAAAAGATGAGATAATTATGTTAAATGCATAAATCATAGCTGTTAGGTGTCACGAAGTGTGGCCATTTGTAATTTGTCACAGTTAATTTTCAGGAATAAACTCCATGCCAAAAATAAAGTAAGAAATTACCTTCAAGATAGTTCTCATTATATCTTAAGTTTATTTTTCAGTATGCTCAGTAAAATAGTTTTAACATCAATAAACATTGCTTTAGGTAATTAGGTTAAATACAATACACTTGATTTATTTATGATTGCAAAAATGTGTTCTCAAAGCTTGCCCACATTTTGGGCAATATGGATAATGAATTTACTTATATTTTTCTCTGAGGGAAAAATAATCACATTATACACACACACACACACGTTATTTTAAGGGAGACTTTACAAGTAAGCACAGGATTTATGAAAACCTATACTTTCATTACAACTTTCTGCCTGCCTCCTATTTCTCAAGTATCCAAACATTATATACTTATAAAATGAATGTGTCACATTTTGAAACAAAGTCTATAGCCAGGTTAAACTGAGGTTGCACTATGGAGTTTCGTAGTGTTGCTGCTAAATATCATTTGAAGTATTTTGTTTTGTGATGTTTGGGCATAAATAGCCACATGGTTGATGTTATGGTGGGTAGAAACCAAAATACCGGATTCTTTAAGTATACTTAAGAATTAATCAAATATTATGAGTGATAGTGATATTAATCACATTCAGTGCTTGGGACTTATTATATTATCAGTAACTTGAATGATTTTCTAACATGTTCACTCATTAAATTTTGTCTTTGCTTTATGAAGACTTCGAATTGGTACTTGTTGTATTTCAGGATCACAGATTTTCAATAGCATGTAATACAAAACGGCTGAATTGCTTTCCTGTCCTCCTGGATGTCATTAGCAATGGACTACTTGGAATTTTTAATTCGTCAGAACACATTCAGACTGACAGAAGCACATTTTTTGAAGTAAGTATAATTATATCTCATTTATACTGTGCCATGATAAGTTTTCAAGAAAATTCTTGAAATGCTAAAATAATGTTATATTACTTTTTGTGAATCTATTCTTAAACTTGTGTGTGTGTGTGTGTGTGTATATATATATATATATATATACACACACACATATAAATCTGTGTGCAATATTTTATATATATATAAATCACTGTATATGTAATATACATACACACACACAATTTAGAAATGACCACGCAACATTATAACACACACACACACACACACACACACAATTTAGAATTGACCACACAATATTATAACCTTATTCAGATGACTTGGTGTCAATAGAGCAACAGAAAAATACAACTCATTATGACTTTTGGTCTAGATCTGTCACCATCTGTGGCCCTAGGTAGTGGGACATTGTTGAAACAGACTTAAAGGTCAGACTATGTGACCTTCTTAAGCAACTTGACTTCTACAGGCTATAGGTCATCAATTTACAAAAAACAGATTAAAGACTTTATCACAAAAGTTTCTTAAGAAGTAAATGAGGCAATGTGAGCACCTGGCTAAGTTGGACCAGTTATTGTAGGAACGAGTGATGAGGCACCTAAAATAGGACAACTGCAGGTGCTCAGTAAATTATATTTCTCATTATTATTGCTATTAAAACTATTTTTCTTGGGATGCATCAAAAGAAGTTTCCATTAAATAATGTTCAGCTTTATTAGATCTGGGGACTGGCTGAATGAGAACTAAGGCAGTTCTTGTTTAAAATCTAATTTCTCAGGCCTGCTTAGATGCCCAGAGGCAGAAGATCTGGGGTAGAGATGTGGGTGTGCACTTCTATGTCTTCAGGTCACCTCTTTCATCTTGTTATGTTGAAACACACTTCGTCTGGTGAAAATGACACCCTGGCCATATTCTATAGCTTCTTGGTTACTTTTTGTTATGAAGGATCATTCTAGTGCAGTCCCAAACTTCAATTTTCTATTCAATTTAAACTTTGCAGGGTCAAATTGTGGCCTAAGGGGCATGGAAGAGGGTGGGTAGTTGTGGTGTGATTTGCTCTTCCATTTCCCTTTGCAGTCTAACACATGGAATAGAAAAGGGAGGGTGTCCTAGCTCTCAGACAATCCCCTTTCCCTCCCCTTCTGAGTAAAGCACTGCTATGCTGGAGGCAGAATGGAAGAATGGAGAGCTGGAGCTCTTCCTATGGAACTGGTGCTGGGGAGACATCATGCTTTCTCTAGTTGCTAGCAGTTTCTACGTATGTGGTCACCACAGCCCAGGTGACCCATGTAATTGTCTTGGGGTGGTGTTTAGCTTGGCCCCAGACCCTTCTGTAGGTGATGACACACCCAGGGTTGCAGAGTCTCTTTAGGCTGCTGCAGGAAAGTCCATACTGTCAAACTTTCTCCAGTCTACATTGTTCATTGTTTGATGTGTCCATCCTCCAGGTAATTCAACAACTTCTGCCTTGCTTTAACCTCTGTGCTTCCTCAGAAAGAGCTATGAGAGCTGTTGAGTGCTTCTTGCATGCTGCCTGAAAGCTACAGAGGTTTGGGGATGTGAAGGAGATTGCCCTGTCTTCTCCAAAGCACATCATACCATTGTTTTTTTCAAGCCACGTTTCAGCAGTCCTGCTTCCTTCAAAAATTTCTTGGACAAAACCAGATATTTCCCATGTAATTTATATGTATTAGCATGTTTAAATGTCCCAAGCAGACTTTGAAATAGTTGTTACTATTCCTATTATAGATTGAGCATCCCTTATCTGAAACGTTTGGGACCAGAAGTGTTTCGGATTCTCGATTTTTTCAGATTTTGGAATATTTGCATTTACATAATGAGATATATTGGGGATGGGACCCAAGTCTAAACATGAAATTCGTTTGTTTCATGTGCACCTTTTACACAGAGCCTGAAGATATTTTTATTCAATGTTTTTAATAAACTCTGTGTTGTGTGCCTATGTTTTGAATGTGACCCTTCACATGAGGTCAGGTATGGAATTTTCCACTTGTAGTGTCATGTTGGCACTCAAAGAGTTTTGAATTTTGGAGCATTTCAGATTTCAGATTTTCAGATTAGGGATTCTCAACTTGTGTTATTATTAGACAGCTGAGGAAACTGTAGCCCACTGAGGTGTCACTGTGTTTCATTATCTATTATATTTGAGTAGGCTAGCCAATTATCTGGATGACAAAGAATAGGATGTTCCCAAGAATGAGCAAGTGACCTGAATTCCCACCTTTAAAAAGATGTCTTCACTACAGAATATTGGCTACCCACCAGCCCAGCTGACCTTGAGTTCATAGGTAGACAAATTATCTCTTTGAATTGCCACCTCTGGTTTCCCCACCCAGCTCCTGGCATTCTCTGTTACAATTTTGTAAGCCTATTCCACTTGATCCTAAAGTAAAGTACCAGGCTCACTGTAGCTCAGGTCTTGCTGCTGATCCCTCTCAATAATTTTTATCATCTATCGGAGTGTCCTACAGCACTCCCATCCAGCCATTCCTGCAAGTCATCACCCGGCCAAACTACCCAGGAGGCATCCAGTGTCTTTCAGCTTAGGAAGGACCCTGTCAGGCTGAGTCACATCAAACTCTGACTGTGGGTGGATATGATCTAACACAGACATAATATGTCATTTATGAACCCAGTCATGAGTAAGGAAGCTGGTTGTCAAGATGAATTGTGATTTTTTCCTCCCCCAGAGGTCTTCCAAATCAGGAAAATCAACAATGGTATCCACAGGCAAAGATATGAGATGGGGGATGTAGTCTTTGGCACCCTTTTTTCCCCTCCCAGGGCCTTATCTACACAAACACATCTTTAGACAAGCAAGTTTTATATGCTGTAATGTCTCAGAGGGGTGCTGAGTTTTAGGAGGGAGTAAGAGAACAGAGAAGTAAAGAAACTTCAAAACTCATCATACCAGATGACTTGCAATGTAGTGAGGTAACTGATGATAGATCAAATTAAGGTTTGTACTACCATACAATCCATCAATCTCACCTTTGCTACCCCCACAAAAGGAAATAAGTATATCAAAGAGATATCCACACTCTCATGTTTGTTACAGCACTGTTCACAATAGCCAAGATTTGGAAGAAACCTAAGTGTCCATCAACAGATGAATGGATAAAGAAAATGAGGTACATATACACAATGGAGTACTATTCAGCCATAAAAAGGAATGAAAACCTGTCATTTGCAACAACGTAGATGGAACTGGAGATCACTATGCTAAATAAAATAAGCCAGGCACAGAAAGACACACATTGCATGTTCTCATTTATTTGTGGGATCTGAAAATTAAAACAGTTGAACTCATGGACGTAGTCAAATGATGGTTACCAGAGGCTGGGAAAGGGAGTGGGAATGGTTAATAGGTACAAAAAATAGATACAGAAAGAATGAATAAGACCTAGTATTTTATAGCACAACAGGGTGACTCTAGTCAATAATAATTTAATCATATACTTAAAAATAACTAAAAGAGTATAATTGGATTGTTTGTAACGCAAAGGATAAATGCTTGAGGGTATGGATACCCCATTCTCCATGATGTGCTTACTTCACATTGCATGCCTGTGTCAAAACATCTCATGTACCCCATAAATATATACATCTACTATGTACCCACAAATTTTAAATTTTTTTTTCAAAATTAAGGCTTGTAGCAAAACTCAAGATCCTCTTTAATATGTACAGGGTTTTGATTTTTTTTTTTAACATAGTGCCTAACATGGAGGGCGTGCTGACCATTTTTCTCCTAGCCCCTCCACTGACAGTCCACAATCTCTATTGTCTCTTAAAACATCAGCCTTGATGTATATAAGCAATGCATGTAAGATTGTAACCATAAAGTCAGAGAAAAGACGTTTCATGCCTACCTTACAAGTTATTAACTGTATGACCTTAGACAATTCGTATCACTTGGTTGAATTTGCTTCTTCATAAGTAAATCAGGCTACGTGTTCAGAAGGTCCTAGTTGCTGCAATACAGGATTGAAAATGAATGTGGGTAAGAAGTTGCATATAGGACCTTGAGAAGCACTTTGAGTGATCAGCTCAATTCATTTATTTGAGTGATTTAGTTAAGAAAGTACAGATGAAACAGATGCCCAATCGCCATCAGCTCACCATGTTCCACATGATTTCAGGAGCATATGGATTATGAGTATGGGTACCGAAGTAACACCTTCTTCTGGATACCGATGGCAGCCTCTTTCACTCCATACATTGCAATGAGCAGCATTGGTGACTACAAAGTAAGAAGAGTTAAAGTCTTCACATGTTTTTTATATCTAGAGAACCCTTCCCACACCCTTACGACTATAAATTTACATGCAAGTGGTAAATCTAATTTTTGTACTTGATGCAATGAATAATCAAGCACTTTAATAATAATTGTCAAATATGAAGAAAATGCTATCTTTCTGAAACAAATGTGAGACCTCAGGAAGGACAGCTTAGATGTCATCTGCTAACAGGGAATGACAACTTTCAAATGTTTATCACTTAAAATTTGACTTATAAGACTTACTCACAGACATAATCACATCTCATCTCTCAATGGTGGTTTCTACTTTCCAGATGGTGCTAAAGCTACTCAGTTTAAAAGCCCTGACCAACTCACCACAGCACTTTGACTTGTTGTTGGAAAATATTGTCCATTTAAAGCTCCATTTTTGTGAGTTTTTAAAAAATAAAATTCGAGGAGCCTGTAACAGAGTCTATCTGCTACTCTCCCATGTCTTCATGTCCTTGTCATCATCCACTGATGCTCAGGACATGTTTTTGAAGGGCTTGACTTAATTTTTATTTATTCTGCTCTTAAACTGTCCCTATCTTTAGTGACTTCTCCCATAAGAAACACAAAATACTATTTTTCCTTTACTTTTATAAGACCACACATTCACTGTCTTTTTCCTCCTGCTCTTGTCACTCTTTCTCACACTTTTTTTGGGGTAAACTCCTCTGAGTTCAAATCTCAATATTTCCATTGTCAAGCTGCATGAATCTCAAAAGTTACTTAATCACTCTATGCCTCATTTTGATCGTCTATAAAATGAGATACTAGTTACATCTATTTGAAATAGGTTTCTGTGAGGATGTGGTGATATAATACCAATGAGTTACTTAGAACCATACTTGCCATATAGTAACTTTCCCATAAATGTTAATGCTTGATGTCTAAATGTCCAGGCTTTAGTTCTAGGGCCCTTTTCAGCTAGTTCCAGAATTCTTGACTTCTATATGTACAGTGGCCTATGTGATATTACCATATAGCTGAGTAATAGATATTTCACACATGGGCAAAATAAAACTTTTTATTTTCCTAACCAGTTGTGCTCACTTCATGATTTTCCTGTTTTAGCAAATGGCACTATTGTCTACAGTTGCTCTAGCATAAAATTTTCGCATTATCGTTGTCTCTTTATCTCCTTTATTTAATCCATTGGAAATTCTTTTAAGTTCTACTTCAAACCCATCCATTTCTCTCCCTCTCCACTATTTTCTTCGTGGTCTAAGTCATCATCATTCCTTGCCTAAACCACTGCAAGAGTTACCCATAGGTTTCCTTATTTGCAATTAATTCCTTTCATACAACCAGAGCAAACTTTCAGAAGTTTAAATTAGATCATCTCATTACCTTATTTAACAACCCCGGCAGTTTCTCTTTGCAGGTAGAATTAAATTCTAATTATTTATGTTGTCTGGCAGAGCCCTCCCTCCCTCATTTGTCTCTTGTTTATCTCTCTACCTTTCCTCCTTGTACTCTCCTCCTCTAGCTACCCCACTTTTCCTTCTGGTTCTCAAATATGCCAATATCATCTGGGCCTTTACATTGGCCATTTCTTCTGGCTGGAATGCTCTTTCTTCTGTTCTTTCTACAGCTGGCTTTTTTGTAATTCAGATCTCAGCGCAAATATTTAAGTATTTCAGCCAAGACCCCTTCTCTGCTTAACCAGTCTGAAATAGATTTCCCATAACTATTATATGAGCTTATCTTAAAAATCTATGCATGGTACTTATCATTATCTGAACCTTTGCTTTTTTTTTTTTTTAATTAACTGTCTCCTGTCAACTAGGAATAAACATCATCAGCACAGGAATGTTTTTCTCTAAATTTTACGTACTTCGTTGTTACTCATCTCTATAAATAATGGATCACCTTTCATTCTTTTACTCTTGACTGAAACCTAAGAGCTATTTTTGTTAGGATGCCAGAATTAAGCAAATAAAATTACAGACACCCAGTTAAGATTTAATATGAGAAACAATGAATTTTTTTAGTATAAGTATTTTCCAGATATTGCATGGGACATATTTATACTCAAAAAGTTATTTATCTAAAATTCAAATTTAACTGGCAACCCCACGATGTCAATGTCTTTCTTTCTCTCTCATCTTCATAGCTGGCTAATGGTGAAGTCACGGAATATACTTCTGAAATATTTATGGAATCTTTCTAGAAAGTTTTCCTCCATCTCTCCTACAAAACACCAGCCAGAGCCATCATCATCTCTCTTCTGGATGAGCACAACAGCCACCCTATAAGTCCATATTAGTCGTCTCTATTTTTCATCCAGTGTGACAGAGTAATACCTTAAAAACACAAAGCTGACCATGTTAATTCTCTGTCTAAATCTCTTCAATGGTTTCTCGTCATACCAAGGAGCAGGATTGAAATCCTTGCCATTGTCTGAAAGCCATGAGTGATCTGGGCCCAGGTGTATCTTACTCCCTTAATCTGATGCTACTGACACCTTGATAACCATGCTCCAGCCACACTGGCTTCTTTCTAGCTTCCCAGAACATCAGCCTCTTTCCACGGAAGGGTCTTCTCTCCTGCTGTTCTCTCTGCCCACAGTGCTTTCTGACCGGTCACCCAGATATATCCTATTCACTGCCCATACCCTAACTCATGACTTCACAAGGGAACCTTCTCTGACCTGACCCCCGAGTTACAATTCGTTTCTCTTTGAAAGGCTGTAATACAACCCTGAATTCTTCTTAACACATGTACAATTTTACTTAGGTAGCTATCACTATATTTATTTGCCTATTGCCTCTATTTCCTCTTCCCCTGCAACTTAAATTTATAAGTGCCCCGTGACCAATATGAAGCCAGCCATACGGTATACATTCTGTAAATATATATTAAATAAGTTGATGAATAGAAAATAGCAAGCTCTCTAACGGTCCTCACTATCATCCTCTTTCCTACTTCCTTCCAGATGTACTCTCCTTTCCAGAATTATTTGCATTCCAGTTTTTTGCTAATGAATCTCCTTATATAGACTCAATTTTAGATTTGAAATTTTAATTGCCTTTATGCTTTACTGTTTAAAATAGTCCAGGTCACATTTTCAAGACCTTGTGTTATGACAATCACTGCAATAATGTGACTTATAGTGGTCACAATAGCAAAATCCACTCACCAGTTTTCACAGTGTGATGATGAAAAATATGACTTACGGCAAGACAATAAGAATAGTGCAACATTTTAAAGGCAGTCTTGCCGATTCCAACCTAAACAGTTTTTAAATGAAATCAACTAGAGGACCATTTCTTAGACCCAAAATAAAATGCCAATGATAAATGCACTGTTTACATTCAGCATAAATTTTAAGTGTCTTACAGGAAATGGTAATCCTACTTCTGTTGAACCTTTGTGCAATGTGCAAGTTTTCACGTCGAAGGAAAGAATAGTCTTGCAAAGAAAAGATGTCTTCTCACTGAGGCCATGCCCAATCATTCTGTGACATAACATTAGCTAGTTATGTTGGTGCGTTTTCCCTTTAGACAATGAAATAATGACGTGGCTTGCAGCATTATCAATGCCTCTGAACAAGGGTGTGGCGAGTGGTGGTATCATTTGCTAAATCAGGATAATATTTCTAAAAGGCGAAGCAAAAATGAATGCTTTCATGACTGTATATTTGCAATTTCCCAAACTTCAGCTCTTCAGAACCTTTTGATGATTCTTCTATTTCTTTATCAGAAAAAAGCTCATTCCCAGCTACGGATTTCAGGCCTCTACCCTTCTGCATACTGGTTTGGCCAAGCACTGGTGGATGTTTCCCTGTACTTTTTGATCCTCCTGCTAATGCAAATAATGGATTATATTTTTAGCCCAGAGGAGATTATATTTATAATTCAAAACCTGTTAATTCAAGTAAGTGGCAGCAATTTTGAAATGGTTTTATTAGACTATTTTTTCATGAATGCAGTAATATCATTAATCTTAAACCAAAGAACTTCAAATTACCTGTGCTATTGCATAGTTTTGGAAAATTGAAGAGTAAATATGAGTACTCTTCTAGATAGTATTTACCTTATTGGACCTTAACATTTCTGTTTTCAGATCCTGTGTAGTATTGGCTATGTCTCATCTCTTGTTTTCTTGACATATGTGATTTCATTCATTTTTCGCAATGGGAGAAAAAATAGTGGCATTTGGTCATTTTTCTTCTTAATTGTGAGTATGCATATACTACCTATTATTTTACCATTTTTCATAAATCCAAGAACATGTTTAATCTTTGTGCTAAGCAGAGTGGCAAATTATTATTGCTCTCTAGAAAATTTTAATTCTTCTAAGATAATCAAAGTACTATTTAAAGTCTACTCTATGAGTGAGTGTATGTTATCTATAAACTATGCTCTTCAAACATATCTCCAGGTCTAACTTCTCCCCTGAGTAGAGACTTCTGCTTCTAGCAATTCACTTGCAATTTCACCTGAATATTTAAAGAAGACCTTAGTGATCACATACCGGAAATGTAATTGTCACCTCAATCTTATTCTTCATCATTTCTTTTTTTCTTTTTCTTTCTGAGACAGAGTCTCGCTCTGTCGCCCAGGCTGGAGTGCAGTGGAATGATCTCAGCTCACTGCAACCTCCGCCTCCCATGTTCAAGCAATTCTCCTGCCTCAGCCTCCTGAGTAGCTAGGATTACAGGTGTGCGCCACCACACCCGGCTAATTTTTGTATTTTTAGTAGAGACGGGGTTTCACCATATTGGCCAGGCTGGTCATGAACTCCTGACCTCATGACCCACCCAAAGTGCTGGGATTACAGGCGTGAGCCACCGTGCCTGGCCTTCATCATTTCTGAATAGATTACATTATTGCAGCAGAATCCACCTAGCTATTTTCTCATTCTAAAAGTTTGGAATCATCCTTGATCACGCCCCATTTTTTCCTTCATTCAATCCACATGCATGTCATTTAAACTCTAGACATTTCCCAGTCTGCCTGATGTGTCCCAACTTCACTGCTCTATCCATTGCCTATGCTTTCATACTCTGTCACCTAGAGTAGCGCAACATATCTGTAACTGGTCTCTCTGTTTCTACTCTTGCCTCCTGTGAACTATTTTCTATATAATATCCAATGAGATCTTTTCAAAATAAATTTTAGTTGAAAAGTATAGCCTACATTATAGAAAAGTTCACACATTTTAAGCACACCTAGTAATGTTCTATTTATTGATGTGTCTGGTAGTTTTTTTGAGCACTTCCCCAAAACTACCAGGTACATCAATAAATAGAACAATACTAGAACCCTAGAAGCCCCCTTCCATCCCATTTCCAATTTCCCTCCTCCTTGTAAAAATCATTACTCCTATTATATTAACATAGGTAATGTAGCCAGTTTCTGAACTTAATAAAAATGGAATCATGTAGAAGGCATAATTATATATCTGTATATAATCGACAATAGGTTATTTAGAATCATCCATGCTGTTGCATTTGATAACAACCAGAATAGTTTATTCCTTTTCATTGCTGTAATAGTCTACTGATGAATGTGCTATAATTTATTTATTCATTGTTGATGGACATTCAAGTGGCTTCTTGTTTTGAACTGCTATAAATAACACTGCCATGAACTTTCTTGTTCTTGTATGTCTTTTGTTGCATGTGTGTGTATATCTTGAGATGTAAACCTAGCAGTGGAATTACTAGGTCACAATGTATTCAACTTTATGTTCAACTTTAGTTGATCTTGCCAAACAGTTTTTCAAAGAGGTGGAACCACCCACAGAGTATGAGAATTCCAGGGGATGATATGGGGGATGCCTCACATTTGAAAGAAACTAAAATAAAATACCATGAGTAAATACAAATTAGAAAATAAGAAGAAAAGACAATGACTTCCAGACTGGGTTAAAAAAATTAGCTATATGTTTGTTAAAATAAACACATCTAAGTCATGGGCAATGACTTAACAGGCATTTTTAAAATGAGGAAATTAGAAATGGCTGCCCAAATAGCAGATGAAGTCAAGTTCTAGACCTAAAGTCTTAAATAAGGAAAGAAATATGTTGACAAAATGCAAAATCCATGCAGAAAATGGAAGTCTCCTTATTTGTTTAGCAAATAATACACAACAGCAAAATACATCACACAATCCTCTCCAAAGATCCAAGTGGAACTTAAATCACCTGTTTCAGAACTAGAAGATTAGTTGGAAAAAAAAATAAGCCAGCATGTAGAAATTTAAATTAAACATCATACAAGTTATATTTGATTAGGTATGTAGACAGAGAACCTCTTTGTTCGTAGAGCAGGGTAGAACGAAACAAAGAAAACCGAAGTGGAAATGTGGTGGCCAAGGAACGAAGTCCCTGATACGGAGCTTTTCCTAAGTCTACTTCCATCCTCAACAAGCAATTTTGATGAGGAAAACTTAGTTGATAAAATGCTAATAATTGGCTCTAAAAAGGTATACATGAGTGACTGAGTTAACATCCTAGCACAGGTAAATAAAAACCCTTGAGAGAAGAATGCTTCACCTGGAGAGGTGGGATGCTGAGGTTTGCTATTTTACAGGGCTCTGGACTGAATTGGACTGTGGCCCAACGTCTAATAGGGTGCCCACCCCTTGACAATGAGATTCACTGCCTACTAGGTAGGGTGAAAACTGGTGCAGAACACTGGACATGACCTAAAGGAGAAAGCAATAAGGCTACACACAGCCTAAGCTGAGGACGCTGTATGCATCTAGGCCTCCAGGCTTCAAAGGTACTGATAGAAAGCAAGGCCCTACATCAAAATATTACTCAGAGAAAAAGATAAGCCAGGAGGGACGAGCCAAGATGGCCGAATAGGAACAGCTCCGGTCTACAGCTCCCAGCCTGAGCGACGCAGAAGACGGGTGATTTCTGCATTTCCATCTGAGGTAGCGGGTTCATCTCACTAGGGAGTGCCAGACAGTGGGCGCAGGTCAGTGGGTGCGCGCACCATGCACGAGCCGAAGCAGGGCGAGGCATTGCCTCACTCGGGAAGCGCAAGGGGTCAGGGAGTTCCCTTTCTTAATCAAAGAAAGGGGTGACAGACGGCACCTGGAAAATCGGGAAAATCGGGTCACTCCCACCCGAATACTGCACTTTTCCGACGGGCTTAAAAAACGGCGCACCACGAGATTATATCCCCCACCTGGCTCAGAGGGTCCTACGCCCACGGAGTCTCGCTGATTGCTAGCACAGCAGTCTGAGATCAAACTGCAAGGCGGCAGCGAGGCTGGGGGAGGGGCGCCTGCCATTGCCCAGGCTTGCTTAGGTAAACAAAGCAGCTGGGAAGCTCGAACTGGGTGGAGCCCACCACAGCTCAAGGAGGCCTACCTGCCTCTGTAGGCTCCACCTCTGGGGGCAGGGCACAGACAAACAAAAAGACAGCAGTAACCTCTGCAGACTTAAATGTCCCTGTCTGACAGCTTTGAAGAAAGCAGTGGTTCTCCCAGTACGCAGCTGGAGATCTGAGAACGGGCAGACTGCCTCCTCAAGTGGGTCCCTGACCCCTGAGCAGCCTAACTGGGAGGCACCCTCCAGCAGGGGCACACTGACACCTCACACTGCAGGGTACTCCAACAGACCTGCAGCTCAGGGTCCTGTCCGTTAGAAGGAAAACTAACAAACAGAAAGGACATCCACACCAAAAACCCCATCTGTACATCACCATCATCAAAGACCAAAAGTAGATAAAACCACAAAGATGGGGAAAAAACAGAACAGAAAAACTGGAAACTCTAAAAATCAGAGCGCCTCTCCTCCTCCAAAGGAGTGCAGCTCCTCACCAGCAACGGAACAAAGCTGGATGGAGAATGACTTTGACAAGCTGAGAGAAGAAGGCTTCAGACGATCAAATTACTCTGAGCTACGGGAAGACATGCAAACCAAAGGCAAAGAAGTTGAAAACTTTGAAAAAAATTTAGAAGAAAGTATAACTAGAATAACGAATACAGAGAAGTGCTTAAAGGAGCTGATAGAGCTGAAAACCAAGGCTCGAGAACTACGTGAAGAATGCAGAAGCCTCAGGAGCCCACGTGATCAACTGGAAGAAAGGGTATCAGCGATGGAAGATGAAATGAATGAAATGAAGCGAGAAGGGAAGTTTAGAGAAAAAAGAATAAAAAGAAATCAGCAAAACCTCCAAGAAATATGGGACTATGTGAAAAGACCAAATCTACGTCTGATTGGTGTACCTGAAAGTGATGGGGAGAATGGAACCAAGTTGGAAAACACTCTGCAGGATAGTATCCAGGAGAATTTCCCCAATCTAGCAAGGCAGGCCAACGTTCAGATTCAGGAAATACAGAGAACGCCACAAAGATACTCCTCGAGAAGAGCAACTCCAAGACACATAATTGTCAGATTCACCAAAGTTGAAATGAAGGAAAAAATGTTAAGGGCAGCCAGAGAGAAAGGTCGGGTTACCCTCAAAGGGAAGCCCATCAGACTAACAGTGGATCTCTCGGCAGAAACCCTACAAGCCAGAAGAGAGTGGGGGCCAATATTCAACATTCTTAAAGAAAAGAATTTTCAACCCAGAATTTCATATCCAGCCAAACTAAGCTTCATAAGTGAAGGAGAAATAAAATCCTTTACAGACAAGCAAATGCTGAGAGATTTTGTCACCACCAGGCCTGCCCTAAAAGAGCTCCTGAAGGAAGTGCTAAATATGGAAAGGAACAACTGGTACCAGCCTCTGCAAAATCATGCCAAAATGTAAAGACCATCGAGACTAGGAAGAAACTGCATCAACTAACGAGCAAAATAACCAGCTAACATCATAATGACAGGACCAAATTCACACATAACACTATTAACTTTAAATGTAAATGGACTAAATGCTCCAATTAAAAGACACAGACTGGCAAACTGGATAAAGAGTCAAGACCCATCAGTGTGCTGTATTCAGGAAACCTATCTCACATGCAGAGACCCACATAGGCTCAAAATAAAAGGATGGAGGAAGATCTACCAAGCAAATGGAAAACAAAAAAAGGCAGGGGTTGCAATCCTAGTCTCTGATAAAACAGACTTTAAACCAACAAAGATCAAAAGAGACAAAGAAGGCCATTACATAATGGTAAAGGGATCAATTCAACAAGAAGAGCTAACTATCCTAAATATATATGCACCCAATACAGGAGCACCCAGATTCATAAAGCAAGTCCTGAGTGACCTACAAAGAGACTTAGACTCCCACACAATAATAATGGGAGACTTTAACACCCCACTGTCAACATTAGACAGATCAACGAGACAGAAAGTCAACAAGGATACCCAGGAATTGAACTCAGCCCTGCACCAAGCGGACCTAATAGACATCTACAGAACTCTCCACCCCAAATCAACAGAATACATTTTTTTCAGCACCACACCACACCTATTCCAAAATTGACCACATAATTGGAAGTAAAGCTCTCCTCAGCAAATGTAAAAGAACAGAAATTATAACAAACTATCTCTCAGACCACAGTGCAATCAAACTAGAACTCAGGATTAAGAATCTCACTCAAAACCGCTCAACTACATGGAAACTGAACAACCTGCTCCTGAATGACTACTGGGTACATAACGAAATGAAGGCAGAAATAAAGATGTTCTTTGAAACCAACGAGAACAAAGACACAACATACCAGAATCTCTGGGACGCATTCAAAGCAGTGTGTAGAGGGAAATTTATAGCACTAAATGCCCACAAGAGAAAGCAGGAAAGATCCAAAATTGACACCCTAACATCACAATTAAAAGAACTAGAAAAGCAAGAGCAAACACATTCAAAAGCTAGCAGAAGGCAAGAAATAACTAAAATCAGAGCAGAACTGAAGGAAATAGAGACACAAAAAAACCCTTCAAAAAATTAATGAATCCAGGAGCTGGTTTTTTGAAAGGATCAACAAAATTGATAGACCGCTAGCAAGATTAATAAAGAAAAAAAGAGAGAAGAATCAAATAGATGCAATAAAAAATGATAAAGGGGATATCACCACCGATCCCACAGAAATACAAACTACCATCAGAGAATACTACAAACACCTCTACACAAATAAACTAGAAAATCTAGAAGAAATGGATAAATTCCTTGACACATACACTCTCCCAAGACTAAACCAGAAAGAAGTTGAATCTCTGAATAGACCAATAACAGGATCTGAAATTGTGGCAATAATCAATAGCTTACCAACCAAAAAGAGTCCAGGACCAGATGGATTCACAGCCGAATTCTACCAGAGGTACAAGGAGGAACTGGTACCATTCCTTCTGAAACTATTCCAATCAATAGAAAAAGAGGGAATCCTCCCTAATTCATTTTATGAGGCCAGCATCATTCTGATACCAAAGCCGGGCAGAGACACAACCAAAAAAGAGAATTTTAGACCAATATCCTTGATGCACATTGATGCAAAAATCCTCAATAAAATACTGGCAAACCGAATCCAGCAGCACATCAAAAAGCTTATCCACCATGATCAAGTGGGCTTCATCCCTGGGATGCAAGGCTGGTTCAATATACGCAAATCAATAAATGTAATCCAGCATATAAACAGAGCCAAAGACAAAAACCACATGATTATCTCAATAGATGCAGAAAAGGCCTTTGACAAAATTCAACAACCTTGCATGCTAAAAACTCTCAATAAATTAGGTATTGATGGGACATTCAAAATAATAAGAGTTATCTATGACAAACCCACAGCCAATATCATACTGAATGGGCAAAAACTGGAAGCATTCCCTTTGAAAACTGGCACAAGACAGGGATGCCCTCTCTCACCACTCCTATTCAACATAGTGTTAGACGTTCTGGCCAGGGCAATTAGGCAGGAGAAGGAAATAAAGGGTATTCAGTTAGGAAAAGAGGAAGTCAAATTGTCCCTGTTTGCAGATGACATGATTGTATATCTAGAAAACCCACTGTCTCAGCCCAAAATCTCCTTAAGCTGATAAGCAACTTCAGCAAAGTCTCAGGATACAAAATTAATGTACAAAAATCACAAGCATTCCTATACAACAACAGACAAACAGAGAGCCAAATCATGAGTGAACTCCCATTCACAATTGCTTCAAAGAGAATAAAATACCTAGGAATCCAACTTACAAGGGATGTGAAGGACCTCTTCAAGGAGAACTACAAACCACTGCTCAAGGAAATAAAAGAGGATACAAATGGAAGAACATTCCATGCTCATGGGTAGGAAGAATCAATATTGTGAAAATGGCCATACTGCCCAAGGTAATTTACAGATTCAATGCCATCCCCATCAAGCTACCAATGCCTTTCTTCACAGAATTGGAAAAAACTACTTTAAAGTTCATATGGAACCAAAAAAGAGCCCACATCACCAAGTCAATCCTAAGCCAAAAGAACAAAGCTGGAGGCATCACACTACCTGACTTCAAACTATACTACAAGGCTACAGTAACCAAAACAGCATGGTACTGGTACCAAAACAGAGATATAGATCAATGGAACAGAACAGAGCCCTCAGAAATAACGCCGCTTATCTATAACTATCTGATCTTTGACAAACATGAGAAAAACAAGCAATGGGGAAAGGATTCCCTATTTAATAAATGGTGCTGGGAAAACTGGCTAGCCATATGTAGAAAGCTGAAACTGGATCCCTTCCTTACACCTTATACAAAAATCAATTCAAGATGGATTAAAGACTTAAACGTTAGACCTAAAACCGTAAAAACCCTAGAAGAAAACCTAGGCATTACCATTCAGGACATAGGCATGGGCAAGGACTTCATGTCTAAAACACCAAAAGCAATGGCAACCAAAGCCAAAATTGACAAATGGGATCTAATTAAACTAAAGAGCTTCTGCACAGCAAAAGAAACTACCATCAGAGTGAACAGGCAACCTACAACATGGGAGAAAATTTTCGCAACCTACTCATCTGACAAAGGGCTAATATCCAGAATCTACAATGAACTCCAACAAATTTACGAGAAAAAACAAACAACCCCATCAAAAAGTGGGCGAAGGACATGAACAGACACTTCTCAAAAGAAGACATTTATGCAGCCAAAAAACACATGAAATAATGCTCATCATCACTGGCCATCAGAGAAATGCAAATCAAAACCACAATGAGATACCATCTCACACCAGTTAGAATGGCAATCATTAAAAAGTCAGGAAACAACAGGTGCTGGAGAGGATGTGGAGAAACAGGAACACTTTTACACTGTTGGTGGGACTATAAACGAGTTCAACCATTGTGGAAGTCAGTGTGGCGATTCCTCAGGGATCTAGAACTAGAAATACCATTTGACCCAGCCATCCCATTACTGCGTATATACCCAAAGGACTATAAATCATGCTGCTATAAAGACACATGCACACGTATGTTTATTGCGGCATTATTCACAATAGCAAAGACTTGGAACCAACCCAAATGTCCAACAATGATAGACTGGATTAAGAAAATGTGGCACATATACACCATGGAATACTATGCAGCCATAAAAAATGATGAGTTCATGTCCTTTGTAGGGACATGGATGAAATTGGAAACCATCATTCTCAGTAAACTATTGCAAGAACAAAAAACCAAACACCGCATATTCTCACTCATAGGTGGGAATTGAACAATGAGATCACATGGACACAGGAAGGGGAACATCACACTCTGGGGACTGTTGTGGGGTGGGGGGAGGGGGAAGGGATAGCATTGGGAGATATACCTAATGCTAGATGACGAGTTAGTGGGTGCAGCACACCAGCATGGCACATGTATACGTATGTAACTAACCTGCACAATGTGCACATGTACCCTAAAACTTAAAGTATAATAATAATAATAATAATAAAAAGATAAACCAATATCAGCCAAGAAAGAAAGCCTGTTCAGAAATAATAAGCACTTTATCAGAGCAAATAGAAGATCTCAGTAGACCTACATATGTTATACATGTCCAAGATAAAAAGGTGCTGCATGACTTCCCAATAAGAAAGAAATTAATAAAGTATTCCAAAACAATGCAGAACAAATAAAACTTCCATTCAAGCATTCTCTATAGATTTTTTAAAAGAATACACATTTAATAAGACAAAAGCTCAGAGTCACAATGATAAAACATCTTGAATACAAAAAAAAAAGAAATTTTAGATCCACATAAACACACTAACCATCAGCACAATTTCAGAATTAATAATGAATTCTGAAAAAGGCTGAAAATCTAATTACATATATAAATAAAGGATTAAGATAATCCCCATAATCAGCAAGACAACAATAAGAAAAGATGTAAATACAAAACCAATCCAACAAAAGAATAATTAATATTTTTTATGTAGCAAATCCATTGTTACACATATGTATAATTCTTTTAAAATAATTCTATGTATAAAAATATAATAGAAGAAATTCTTAAATTTAGAAAGAACTGTTATGGAATGATCAATATTCATTATGATATGAAACTTCCAAATAAAGGCTCCCAAGAAGTAAATGAAAACCAATCATAAAAGAGAAAACTTCCAACTGCCTCAGATTTATCTCCTACAATTCCATGTGTCACTTTTCACACATCTGAGGGAAAGGAAATGGAATTTCTCTCTTCCAAAATTATATCTACCAAGTTGCAGTTCTAGGAAAGGTCAGACATAATCAAATATAAAATGTGGAAGTAAACGTTTTAAAAGCCCTACTGAAAAATATTAGTTGGTCCACACAAAAACCTGCACAATGATGTTTATAGCAGCTTTAATTATAATTGTCAAAACTTGGAAGCAACCAAGATGTCCAAGATGGTGAATAGACAAACTGTGTTACATCCAGACAATGGAATATTATTTTGGGTAAACAGAAATGTGCTCTTAAGTCACGAAAAGACATGGAGGAAACTTAAATGCGTATTACTAAGTGAAAGAAGCCAATCTGAAAAGTCTACACACTGTATGATTACAACTAAATGACATTCTGGAAAAGGCGAAACTATGGAGACAGTGAAAAGATCAATGGTTGCCAGGGGTCATAGGGAGTGAGGGATGAATAGGTGGATCACTGAGGATTTTTAGGCCTGTATGATACTATAATGGTGGATACATATAATTAAAAATTTGTCCAAACCTATAGAATGTCCAACAACAAGAGTAAGCTCTAATGTAAACTATGGACTCTGGGTGTTAAAGATGTGTCAATAAGGCTCATCAATTCTAACAAATGTACTGCTTTGTTGGGGAATGTTAATAATGGCGGAGGCTGTGCCTGTATGAGGGCAGTGGGTATATGAGAAATCTCTTAACCTGCCACTCAATTTTGCTGTGAAGCTAAAACTGCTCCAAAAAATGAATAAATAAATAATAAAATCCTTTTAACAAAAAAAAAAAAAAAAGAAAAAAAATACCCAGGAACAAATTACAGCCACATGAAAGAGGAACCACTTAGGGTTAAAATTAATACAACCAGGAAATAAAGAATTCAAGAAAAGAAAAATTGCAAAAGCACTGATAAGGACCACTGAATTCACTTAAACATTTAGGAAGATCAAATAACTTTGGGAATCATAGAATACTTAAATATTTAATAGAAAAAATTCATAAAGTTGAAGAGTTCCTTTTGTAAAGCAAGCATAAATTTAATAATAAAACTTTAAAAAGCTTTGAAAACCCATTGATAAATTCACTTGGAAAAATTAAAGACAACTCTCTAAATAGAAAGAAAGCAAACACAGAAATAAGTTTGCAAAAGAATAATTTGGCCGAGCTCAATGGCTCACGCCTGTAATCCTAGCACTTTGGGAGGCCGAGGTGGGTGGATCACCTGAGGTCAGGAGTTCGAGACCAGCCTAGCCAACTTGGTGAAACCCCGTCTTTACTAAAAATACAAAAATTAGCTGGGCGTGATGGCATGTGCCTGTAATCCCAGCTACTTGGGAGGCTGAGGCAGGAGAATCGCTTGAACCTGAGAGGTGGAGGTTGCAGTGAGCTGAGATTGTGCCATTGCACTCCAGCACTTGGGTGACAGGGCAAGACTCCATCAAAAAGAAGAAGAAAAAAAGAATAATTTAAAAATAGTCAAGTATGATTTATTTCAGAACACAATAATGGTTCAGTATTAGCAGCTAAAGGAAGAAAACTATATAAGTCAAGTAAAGACCATATAGTTCCTTAAAAAGACCTAATATAAAGAAAATAGTAACACAAGAGGGACAAATTACCCAAACCAATGGTAAATGTCATATTAAATGGTAAAATTATAAAGTTATTTACTTAATATCAGCAATAAAATCAACGATGCCTACAATAAATAATATGACCTCCTGTGTCAATGATGTGTGGTGTGACGTGTACTCTAATTCATGGTTTGTAGAATAGATGTCACAAACTTTACACAAAATGTTAGCAACTGTTAAAATTTTAAGTGCACATAAATTTTAACCTGCAGTTACACTTTTCAGAATCTCTCCTTCCAGACTAAAAGTGTCCATACATAAAGACCTATGTAGACCATCATTCATAGGAGCAGAAAAATTAAAAACATGTTTTCTGAAGGCAAAGTTGTTGAATTTTGCACATCCATTCAAACAAATAATTGCCAAGAAAACAAATAGCTGGTTTGCCTAAGCCTAAAAGGATGTCTATGAACTATTGTGAAATGAAAAAAAGAAAAATGCAGAGTAATGTACAATAAATAATCACTTTATCAGAATCTAAATTTTAGCAAGAGTCTCACCTGATTTGTATGCCATTGAGATTGAGAAGCATCACTGTGTCTTTTAAGAAATTAATAATAAATCCCATACAAAACTGTGATGAAATTCCATGTTGCAAAGGAAAGAAATGATATAAATACTGGTTTGGGGAGTGAAATTGAAAATAACAACGTTTATAAATGAATTCCCACCCTCTTAGAAAACATCCTAAAATTCAGATTGGTACACTTTAATGACGCTATACTGTGCATTTGTTTTAGGTGGTCATCTTCTCGATAGTTGCTACTGATCTAAATGAATATGGATTTCTAGGGCTATTTTTTGGCACCATGTTAATACCTCCCTTCACATTGATTGGCTCTCTATTCATTTTTTCTGAGGTAAGTAGTTCCACTTCTGTCTGAGGGTCATGAAATGTGTGGTCATTTGAGAAAGCCATGAATATTGCAAAAATATAGATAGAGTCCTCAGCTGTGCAAAGTTTAAAAGTCTCTGTCTTTGGAAAGTCAGTTCTCTTGCCACGCATGGATAAGGGGCATGTTCTGATTCAGTAGGAAGCCAGCTTTGGTTTATGACAAGTCAAAGGCAACTCCAGGAGAGTGGAAGTTTAGTTCTCATGATAACTCTCACTGCTGGGAACCCTACTGGGAGGCCAAAGAGATGCCCCTTTTTTGTTAAGTTTTGGATATGTTAGGTTTGAGAAATGTCAAGTAGCCAGTTAGATACATGAGTCAGGAATTCAATGTGTCAGGGTGTGTGGAGATGGGGGTTAAAGCTAGATATTTGAGATTGATCAGTTTATAAATGGTATGAAAAGCCATGCGACAATAATATGACCTACGCGGTGAGTAGAGATAGAAATAAAAAGAAGGCCAATGACATGACCTTAAACTCCAAAATTTAGAGATTGGAAAGCAAATACATGATCTTGAACTCCAAAACTTAGAGTTGGTGAAGAGGAGGAGCCAGCGAATCCATTTGAGATGGAGCCAGGGAGATAAGAGAACAAAAATGGTAGCCTTCTGTGTGCTGGAGGCTCTTCTCAGACGCTCATAAGGGTGTGTGCCAGATGGCAATAAAGAACATTTCAAGAAGGAGGGAGTGATTAAACCATCAAATGCTATTGTGAGTTCTAGAAAGATGACAACTGAAAAGAGACCATTGGCTATGACTACACGAACGTCATTGGTGAGCTTCACAAGGTCGATTTTAATGAAAGTGTCAATGCAAAAGCACAGTAAGAGTGAACTTAGTAGAAAATGTGAGGGGAGGATGTGGTGACTGTGAGTACAGGCAAATATTTCTAGGAGATGTGGCAAAAAGCGTAGCAGAAAAATTCAAGAATAAATGAATAGGGAGGGTAGATTTTTGTCTGTGCTAAGAAGGAAAATACTATGCTGATGTTAGAGAAACTCATGCTGGAAAAGAGAGATAGAGGTTACCTCATGAGTCAAGTCCATGAATAGGTGAGAAAAAATAGCGTAAAGTCCACAAGTGGAGGGGGTGCTGTCCATAAAAGCAGGGACATTCCACATGCTTAATATGAAATTATAATCAGAGAATATGAACATAGGAGGCAGAGAGTTTAGTGGCTTTGCTGGTAGAAAGATGAGATGATTCTCTTCTGACTGATTCTACCTTTTTTAGGAAAGTAAGAGGGGAAGTCATTAACTTGGCCAAGGGGGCTTGGGATTTGGAGAAAAAAAGATGTGAAAAACTATTTCAGAACGTAGGTCATTAGGATGGACAGACAGTGCCGAAGACCCTCTGCCCTACTTTTCAGCGAAGTCAGCAAAGTAGAGAGTTTCTCTTATTACAGCCTGCTTTTAAATGCAGTTTAGGAAAGGCAGAGAGTTGGGTTCAATCAGGGTTGGACACTTGGCAGGCAAATTTGACAAAGAAAAGAATATGTGAGCAGTAGTTCTATATAAAAAGGAATTGAAGATATAATGGATTCTAAGCTAGAAAATGAAGTTAAGGACATGAGGGTGATTATGGACAGTGGAAAAGGAGTTGGTGGGTTAGAGGTTCTCCAATTCCAAATTATGGAGTAAGAACACTAGCATAAGGATGCCAAAAAACTAAAATGTACTGGCAGAGGCCAGGTGCGGTGGCTCATGCCTGTAATCCCAGCACTTTGGGAGGCCGAGGCAGGTGAATCACCTGAGGTCTGGAGTTCGAGACCAGCCTGGCCAACATGGTGAAACCCCATCTCTACTAAAAATACAAAAATTAGCAGGGCATGGTATTGGGTGCCTGTAATCCAAACTACTCGGGAAGCTGAGGCAGGAGAATTGCTTGAACCCAGGAGGCAGAGGTTGTAGTGAGCCAAGATCATGCCACTGCACTCCAGCCTGGGCAACAGAACAAAACTCTGTCCCATAAAAAAAAATATAGTATCAGCAGAGAGAGTAGAGATCTGGGAGCCAGAGGTTCAGTTTGGATGAGGTGCAATTATTGAAAGTGGGCAACTGGGGCACCTAAGAAAACAAAATCATTTGAAATGATGTCAAGGTCGTGCACATCATCCAATGTGGAAAAGTCATCTTTTCTAGATGGTGGATGGCTGTGATAGTTAGAAATCTACTGCAAAGCGTTTAAAATTGCTCAGGAAACTTGTTGGTAAATATAGCTCAAGAAACAAAATTGTCCTTTTACCTTTTATTTGCAAAAGAGTGGGGAATGTTGGAAAAATGCACTTATATGTATACGTGTGAAACTCTAGGGGAAGAACTTTGTCTTCAGTTTGAAAAGATTGTCATAATTACTCTCAAAAGTGGCTGTAAGAGGGCAAGAGCAATATAAAGATTCCAGGGCCCTTGGGGGCATAATCGAGGGAAGAGCACAAATGAAGACAGAAATACAGGTAAGGTTAGGGGAGAGGGTTTGTCTTAAGACAGACTTGGCATTGCTTCAAAGGATCCTGCCAGCACCAGCCCAGGATTCTCCTAACAGAGCAACTCCTGCTGACTCACAGTGTTACATACAAAGGCATCCCGGCCTAGAGACACACTGGAAGCAAAGAAGACATACTGCACAGTCCGAAATTAACTTTTACATGATACCCAAGGGAGCATCAGGTCGAATGGTTGTAAGGCCATTGAATAGGCATCAGTTTATCTTAAGTGGGATAAATTCCATGAATAAATAAAGAAGGTTCACCTGAATACACTTACTGCTCATTTTACAGATTTCTCCTGATTCCATGGATTACTTAGGAGCTTCAGAATCTGAAATTGTATACCTGGCACTGCTAATAGTAAGAAGACTTTTTTTTTCAACATTCTTGCATGAGGGAACACAACTTTTGTATGTTTTGAGTTTCTCTGAATTGCATCAAATTAAGAAGGTTTGGACATTTTAGGCATTTGAAGCAACACACACATGCACATGCATGCATGCGTGCACACACACACACACACGATGGCTTTTAACCTGGACCCCCCCCCTTTTTTTTTTTTGAGACAGAGTTTCACTCTTGTTGCCCAGACTGGAGTGCAATGGCGCTATCTCAGCTCACCACAACCTCCACCTCCCGTGTTCAAGCAATTCTCCTGCCTCAGCCTCCCAAGTAGCTGGGATTACAGGCATGCACCACCATGTGTGGCTAATTTTGTATTTTTAGTAGAGATGGGGTTTCTCCATGTTGGTCAGGATGGTCTCGAACTTCCGACCTCATGTGATCCACCTGCCTCGTCCTCCCAAAGTGCTGGGATTACAGGCGTGAGCCAACGCTCCTGGCCCTGGACTCCTATCTTTACAATAATTATCTGTCATGGGTAGTACTGGTTTCACTTGCTACTATTATATTTCTGTTAGGCTCTCTCTGAATAGCAGTGAGGCTAACTTTGACAGTTTCAAAGAATATTACAGGTTGTCTTTCAGCCTTGTAAAAATGAATGCTATCAAATCGAATTTTTATATAATCAAACTCTTTAAATCAATTCCAATATTGAAATCATTGCATTTATAGTGATACTAATTGTGATTGTCTTTCTTTTTCCCTAGCCTTACCTTCATTTTCTCATTTTTCTTTTCATTCTGCGATGCCTAGAAATGAACTGCAGGAAGAAACTAATGAGAAAGGATCCTGTGTTCAGGTTGAGAAAATCAAATCGAATTTCATGTTTCATTTTGATATTCATTCTTTAAGGACTTTTTAATGTGCTGAATTAATTAAGTAAAAGACACTTCACAGGATGGTTTTTAAAGACTGTGATATACAAAATTCTTATAACCCATAATATAGGAATATATACTGAGCTTACAATCTAGAGAGAGAAACCATATTAGCACACACGAGACACTGGAAAATTAAGGCAGACCATAATTTTACTATAGAGGAAAGTTATGTGTAAGAGGTGGAATCTCTAAAATAATGGGTAAATATAGATAAGCATTGGGAAAGTTAATCCAATCCGGGAAGGAAGAATAGTTTGTGCAATAAAACCAAGGATGAGATGAAGGCACCAGGAGCTCCTTTGTAGGCTTATGTTGGGGGATGATGAAAAATGAAAGTGAGGCTAGATATTGGAGGATCTTGAAACAGAAAAGTATAGGAAAGGTTTTGCAAATTACATAATGTGAAACCAAGACACCAATGTGTCTTGAACACTTAGCCTTCCATATAAAATATAAACCAAGCTTAAGTCTAATGTTTGTGGTAGCAGAGAAGAGTGACAAGATGACAGCCATGTTTTAGGAAACCAACAGGCAACCAGAATGTCAGAGCGTGGCATGAGGGAGAGATAAAAGAATGAGCAGGAATCAATGGTGGGATGATGAAGGCAAGAACGAGTCTGTAGCAGAGAGGAAAGAGTGATTCTGTCACACATTCCCAAGAAGTGACTGTGCTCAGTAACTAATTAGGCATTGGTATGGTGATTAGATATCCTGGATTCTCTGGGACACATCCTTGATTCCAAATCTTTGGACTCATGGCTCTCACAAAGACCTCAGAATTCCAAAATATCTGTTGTCAAAACTATAGTTCCTAGATTCCTTTCCTCATGCAACTCTGCTTCACAATCCTTTGCCAGAGGGTGTATACCACTTTCTTCTTTGAAAGAAAACTGTCACCATCAACAGGGAGGATTAAGCTTTGGTAAAAAGCGAAGATGATATAAGGATATCATTACTCTACTCACTGAAGGAAACTAGGGTGTTTGAAAGGCGGATGGTGCAAGTAGAAGAATAGAGAGGATGTTGTGCTCTGAATGAATCTACTCCAAAAATTGGAAGTATAGAGAAAATTCATTAATTTTGATACAAGATTTTTAACCCGAAGTTTATCATTATCACACTGTTTTGATTTCAGAATTTCTCCAAGAAGCAACGCTATTTTTCCAAACCCAGAAGAGCCTGAAGGAGAGGAGGAAGATATCCAGATGGAAAGAATGAGAACAGTGAATGCTATGGCTGTGCGAGACTTTGATGAGGTAGAACTCAGAAATGTTCTTCGTCAACTATTTTTTTTTCTGACAGATAAAGTGAGAAACTTTCTAAGTTTAGTTTTCGAAAAACACTTGGGGTTCTTTCATTCTTACACATACAGCTTATTACTTGACTTCAGCAGGTATGCAAGGCCCACAAATGTAAGAGAGCAAAGAAAACACACACAATGCACTTTGGGAGGCTGAAGTGGGAAGATCACTTAGGGTCAGGTGTTTGAGACCAGCCTGGGCAACAAGTAAGATCCCATTTCTACAAAATTAAAAATAAAAAAATTAGATGAGCCTGGTGGCATGTGCCTGTAGTCCTAGCTACTCAGAAGGCTGAGGCTGGAAGCTCACTTGAGCCTGAGAGTTCAAGGCTACAGTGAGATATACTTGCACCATTGCACCCTAGTTTGGGTGACAGAGCAAGATTCTGTCTCAAGAAACACATGCATGTGCATACACACACACAGATATTGACTTGTATTGATTTATTTTTCAGGGTTGTGGTTTTGATAAGTACAGCTAAACATTACAAAACTTAAGTAAGATTTTGTGTTTTATAACCAAAGTGAAGCTTACTGCAAGTCACTGAGAGAGAGCTTGTCTGCGGTGCGTGTGTGTTTGTGTGCATGATTGTTTATGGGAGTGTGTGTCTTATCAAATCTGTTGGTTCAGTGACTGTCTCTATTCCTGCTCTCCAAAGAACAAATCCCAGGATATGGTGCAAATGCCCTTTCCTTGCAGGAATGTAGACTGTAAGAGTTCACTTGAAAATGGCAGTTTCTAGGGGAAGAAGTGGTTTGATTCATGATTTTTTATAAGGAAAGGTTTGGTGACAAGAGTGTGGAACACCCTCTCAGTTCAAGATGCGAATAAAGTCCCGTTGTTATTTACTTGTCTTTACAGACACCCGTCATCATTGCCAGCTGTCTACGGAAGGAATATGCAGGCAAAAAGAAAAATTGCTTTTCTAAAAGGAAGAAAAAAATTGCCACAAGAAATGTCTCTTTTTGTGTTAAAAAAGGTTGGAAACAGTAGTTCCATTAGTAGAGCAATCTTGAATCTGAAGACTGGATTATTCAGGGAATAAGAGTATCTGAATCTGGGGACATCTATTGACAAACGCAGCAGGCTAAGCCTGCTCCTCCTGCTTAAAAGCCTCAGTTGAAATGATAACGACCTTTTTTTCTTTACATAGGAAGACAGTTATGTCTGTTCTGTAACACAAACAAACAGAACAACAACAATGAAAAGAGGCGGTCTTTCTGTTAAGAAGGATGGTATAGTTTTTAGGTAACAATGTTATTGCAGCGAATACTACACAGAAGGGAGCCAATGGAGGCATAACAGTGCTTTCTCCATTCCCCCAAAACAGCCCATTTCGTGAAAGTGGGGGGTTCGTACAACAGGCTTTGAAATCAAAATATGTTACAACTTCCAGCTCAGCCTCTTACTGTCTGTATGACATGGGGCAACTTATTTATCCTCTTTAAGTCTTAGCTTCCTCACCTGTAAAATGAAGCTAGTTATAATGCTCAGGGGTGTGTGTGTGTGTGTGTGTGTGTGTGTGTGTGTGTGTGAGAGAGAGAGAGAGGAATAAGGGAAATAATATATATAGCACATTTCACATAGCACTTGACACACAGCCCTCAAATGGTATTTGCTTTTATTTTTGTTGCAATTATTTGTATATTTCTGAGCATACCACTTTCTTTCAGGTGAAGTTATAGGACTGTTAGGACACAATGGAGCTGGTAAAAGTACAACTATTAAGATGATAACTGGAGACACAAAACCAACTGCAGGACAGGTCAGTAAAACGTACAGGAATATGGTCATTAGTGCTACCTACAAAGAATATTGATGGCAATAATAGACTATGTAGTTGATCCATAATCACTTAGTGTGATTTATGCATTGAATAAAGAAGATTGATTAAAAATTTATATACTTAATTCCAAAAACAGTTTGTTTCTGAGAAGGGCTACATATCATATATACTATGCCTTTTATTGAGTGAAAAATAAAGATTTTAAAAGGAAATATATCTTCCTTAAAGTCAGATATCTTTGCTTTATTGATTTATGCATCCCATGAACTTTGTCGAATTTAATGCCCTCACCCAGCATGACACCAGAAACCACTGTCAGAATAATGACAACTCCTGCCTATGTGGTTGCAGAGCCATGAGTCTTCATATTTAATGACTGTCCTCTAGCTATATGCTATAATTAAAGATTATGTGTGACTTGTGTAACAATAAGAGTCCATTAGCGAGTAAAACCTCATAGGTCTTTAAGAAGGTATATACCACAGAAACTTTCCTACAATTATTGAAACATTTCTTGGCCCTGATGATGTAATGTAGTGATAGAGCAGTTGAGGGTATTATTGCAGATACACTGAAATTCTTGAAGGACAATGGTGATTCTGGGCTAATGGTAAAAGATCCAGGATTTAAGACAAGAGAAATCAGATTTAATGAAAAAAAAATGGATAATTATCTAAATTGCAAAACAAAAGCTAGAATAATATATGAGTACCATTTAGTGGTATGTCTAGGCCAAGTTTGGGTAAAATGATGGACAGAAGCCAAAGGACCACAACTTCCAAGAGGAAATGCTATTGACCTTGAACATGAGCTCAATGTCAGAGGGAGTGTTTATGAAGGAAGGTCGCACAGTGGCGTTCAATGCTACAGAGGTTTCCTGTCCTTCCATTTCCACTCTTGCCTCACACTGCAGCAAGAACAGTCCTTAAAAATGCAAATGAGGTCCGGGCACGGTGGCTCCTGCCTGTAATCCCAGAACTTTGGGAGGCTGAGGCAGGCAGATCACCTGAGGTCAGGAGTTAGAGACCAATCTGACCAACATGGAGAAGCACCATCTCTACCAAAAATACAAAATTAGCCAGGCGTGGTGGTGAATGCCTGTAATTCCAGCTCCTCGGGAGACTGAGGCAGGAGAATTGCTTGAACCCGGCCGGGAGGCCAAGGTTGCGGTGAGCTGAGATAGCGCTATTGCACTCCAGCCTGGGCAACAATAGAGAAACTCCATCTCAAACAAAAAAACAAACAAACAAACAAACAAACAAAAAAAAACGCAAATGAGGTCATGTCAATCTCCCATGTACAACCTCTCACTTAGAATTGATCCAAAATCTTTACCATGGCTGCAACCAGCCCAGCATGATGTGGTCTGTTGACCGCCTGCTCACATTGGCCTTGAGGCACCTTCTCGCTGTGGGATCTTTGGGTTTGATCTTCCTGTGGCTAGAGTGCCCTTCTGTTGGCTCCTCATGTGCTTGGCTGTCTCCTTCTCATCGCTTAAAAATTTATCTCCCCAAAATGCCTTTTCCTAACTACACTGTCAGCTAAATTAAATCCTCCCTGTTATTCTTTAGCATATCTATTTCCTTGAAAGCACAAGGCAGAGGTTATAAATTGTTCACTTACGTGTTTACTTACTACTTATATTTTATGTTTCTTTCTCCAAAATGAAAGCTCAATGAGGCAAGGTTAACTAGCTCTCTCCTTTGTACTGGGGGGAGACAATATAGCATCAAGGTCAAGGACTTGGATTCTGAAGGTGGATCCCAGCTTCAAGTCCGAGATTTACCTTGTTGTGACCTTGTACAAGTTTCATAATCCATGCTTGTGATAATTTTCTGTATGTAAAACATCAATGATAAAACAAACACCTAACACATACAGGGGTTCTGTAAGGATAGGATAATGTAATTAAAAATATATTATATGCTTAGATTCTGGCACATAGGAAGCACTGAGGACACATTAGATGTTCTTATTATTGTAAAGCATAGCCTGGCTAATAAAAATAATAAATGCTATCATGTGTATATTGGTTCCTACGGGCTAGATACAGTGCTAAAAGTTTTTTGTTTATTTCTTAGTTCAGAATTTCTCAACCTCGATATTATGGACTTGATAATGTCATTTTGCTGTGGGGAGCTGTTCTGTGCATAGTAGGATGTTTGGCAGCACCCTTGGCCCCTACTTACTAGATGCCAGTAATACTGTTTTCCCAATGCATACACACATGAATTGTGACAACCAAATGTGTCTCCAGACATTGTTAAATATCCCCTAGGAGGAGGATTCCCCTGGCTGAGAACCACTGCCTTATTGCAAGATAAATCCTATAATTATAACTATCACTGGCGAAACAGAATTCTCAACAAGTATCTATTCCTTTGAATGTTTGGATCAATGAATGAAGCCAAGTAAAAGACACTCAAATCAGCAATCTTGAGTTCAATCACGGTCATGGAATTGGTAGTAAAGTCTACACTACAATGGATAACCATGGAATGTCTGCCTTTTAAAGTGGGCTTTTACCACCTTTTCCCCAAAGTTAAGTGATTACTGATTTGCATTTGTGCACTTAGCACCTGTGTGTGTGAAGAGAAGGGCATCTCTGAAGTACGGCTTACATGCATATACATATACGTGACATTTGGGATAGAATCTAAGAATGAACTTATTTTGCATAGGTGATTTTGAAAGGGAGCGGTGGAGGGGAACCCCTGGGCTTCCTGGGGTACTGCCCTCAGGAGAATGCGCTGTGGCCCAACCTGACAGTGAGGCAGCACCTGGAGGTGTACGCTGCCGTGAAAGGTCTCAGGAAAGGGGACGCAATGATCGCCATCACACGGTACCTGGGACTGGGGGGCACTCCCCTTTGCTGGAGGGGATGTTGTATTAATAACATACACACAAAATGAAGACAGGGAGGTTGTAATTGATGACCCCATGCTTGTGGGAGAAGATTTGGTCATCTAGAACTCTGTTCAGTGTTGTTTTCTCTCACTTTGAGCCTGGAGAGAAAAATGTTTATTGATTTCTTTTTCTTTTTCTTTTTTCCTTTTTTTTTCTTTTGAGACGGAGTTTGGCTCTGCCGCCCAGGCTGGAGTGCTCAGTGCAACCTCCGCCTCTTGGGTTCAAGCGATTCTTGTGCCTCAGCCTCCCTAGTAGCTGGGATTACAGGCACCCGCCATCATGCCGGGCTAACTTTTTGTATTTTTGTAGAGACGGGGTTTCAACATATTGGCCAGGCTGGTCTTTCAAGACCCTCAGGTGATCTGCCCACCTTGGCCTCCCAAAATGCTGGGATTACAGGTGTGAGCCACCTGGGATTACAGGTGTGAGCCACTGCACCCAGACTGATTATTCTTGGTTTTTGTTTGTTTTGTTTTTTGAGACGGAGTCTTGCTCTGTCATCAGGCTGGAGTGCAGTGGTGCGATCTCAGCTCACTGCAACCTCCACCTCCCAGGTTCAAGCGATTCTCCTGCCTCAGCCTCCTGAGTAGCTGGGACTACAGGTGCACGCCACCATGCCCAGCTAATTTTTGTAATTTTAGTAGAGACAGGATTTCACCATGTTGGCCAGGATGGTCTCAATCTCTTGACCTCGTGGTCCACCTGCCTCAGCCTCCCAAAGTGCTGGGATTACAGGCATGAGCCACTGTGCCCGGTCCAGCCTGATTATTCTTAATATGGAAAGACATCATTGAAAATATGAGTTTGATGACTATGAAAGGTTCATAAAGTACCTAGGTGGTTTAAATTTTATGACCACTCTGACCACTCATAAACACCTCCCCCACCGTCGTGTTTCTCCTGATTTGCTCATTCTCCCATGTACATTCGCCAGTGTTGGGATTATGTGGATTGACTCTGTTTTCTTCAGGTTAGTGGATGCGCTCAAGCTGCAGGACCAGCTGAAGGCTCCCGTGAAGACCTTGTCAGAGGGAATAAAGCGAAAGGTACGGGCAGGGCTTGTTGTTGCTCTGCAAGTGCCGTAGATGGGAACCAGAGGGGCTGTTCCTCCCGTTGCAGCTGTGCTTTGTGCTGAGCATCCTGGGGAACCCGTCAGTGGTGCTTCTGGATGAGCCGTCGACCGGGATGGACCCCGAGGGGCAGCAGCAAATGTGGTGAGGTGCTATCATGAGCAACCTCTGCATGAGTGTATTGATCCTGTGAAAACTGGCCTGCAAAATCATTGTTTACTTAGAAAGGAAAAGACACAGTATCAGGAAAAGCAATATTTTAGGAAAAAAAATTATCTGATTTCAAATCACAACCAGCTTTTATTGAGAAGAAAAAGCTATATTATCTCACCCTAATATTTGCTCGAATAATTTTTGTGTCTGTGCCTACATGGAACATTTTTATACAGCCAAATCAATCTATAATGAAGCTTTAAATCTTTCTGCAACATCACCTGATATACAATTCCTATGGAGGAAAAAAAGAAACATTCCAAATCTTCAATATATTTTAAAATTATTTTTGGGAAGTTTCTGAATTCTGTCATCTTGTACCTATAGGGAGTATGTCATGATTATCAAGCTTTTTAGTAAATTCTCCTAATTTTCTTTGTTCCTACTGCATTCTCATAAATATTTCTGAACTTAGTATTTTTATAAACAGCATCTTACCCAATATCATTTTCTACGTTCTGAATTATATACTCTATCCAATAGTTTGGTTTCCGTGCCTGTCATCCCTACACACACCCCTTTTTTGTCTAGTCTGAATTCGCTGCATGTTTCATCTTTGCGTCGATGGAAACTTCTTTTTAAAATTCCAAATACCTTGAGCATTCCCATGAGTTCACGTTTTCTCTTGACTTAACTTTAGGCAGGTGATTCGGGCCACCTTTAGAAACACGGAGAGGGGCGCCCTCCTGACCACCCACTACATGGCAGAGGCTGAGGCGGTGTGTGACCGAGTGGCCATCATGGTGTCAGGAAGGCTGAGGTGAGTGCCTGTCCAAGCCGGCGCTCAGCCCCTAGGTTGTGTGCTGTGAGCAAAGTTTATTTCCCTGCACCAGGCTACCCATCGTGAGGAGCTAGCATGGTTGCTTCCAACTCTATGTGGCCTTACTCTGGCCTCCAGAGGCTGAACATCACAAGCCATACATTTTTCTCTTTTCTTGCTTGACTTTATCCTTCTGTTACCTTCAGATGTATTGGTTCCATCCAACACCTGAAAAGCAAATTTGGCAAAGACTACCTGCTGGAGATGAAGCTGAAGAACCTGGCACAAATGGAGCCCCTCCATGCAGAGATCCTGAGGCTTTTCCCCCAGGCTGCTCAGCAGGAAAGGTAGACACAGGTGTTTTGTTTTATCACAGTCCTTGGTTTTTGTTTCCATATTTCTGCTATGATGACGGAATAAGAGCTTTATCTTCTCGTTCTTTAACTCTATGGTAATTGCAAGTACTTTACTTAAGAGAAATTCAATTCCAAGGGCTCACACAAGAGGGAAATAAGAGAACAAAGTGCTGATTTGAAAGCTGACCCTTGTAAGAGAATCAGCATGCATGGGGGCTCTAACATGCCAAATACTGATGCATGCATGCACTTAGGTCATCTCAGGGGTTCCTTCTAGAGGGTAAAACCATCCCTCATTAAAGGAAATCACCTGCATAAAGCCCATGCCAGAGTGCCAGGCATCAGTCAAAGCTCAGTGAATGGTGTCTCTTAACATTTCTATATATTATTATCAGTGAAATCAACTGAGGCTCAGAGTGTGGAGACAGGAGTAGAATCTAGTTCTTTTTACTGAAATGCTACTCTCTTCTCACTAAGAAGAAGGATAAGAAGTTCTGCTTCTTCCCTTCATAAGGCATAGGGGCTGTTAATTTCCTTCCCTTTGTCTTTCATTCCTCCTCTTAGTAGATTGACTTCTTGTTGATCAAAGAGCACTTACATTATGAGTGTCTCTCTAACACCGCACAGATGTGACTATTTAGACAGATTGTTGACGATATTGTTGCTCCTTTTCATTTTTTTATTTTCATTTTTTGAGACAGGATCTCACTCTGTCGCCCAGTCTACAGTGCAGTGGTGCAATCACCGCTCACTGCAGCCTCAATCCCATGGGCTCAAGTGGTCCTCCTGCCTCAGCCTCCATGGTAGCTGGGAATACAGGCACACACCACCATTCCTGGCTAATTTTTAAGTTTTTTTGTGGAGATGGGATCTCCATCTGTTTCCCAGACTGGTCTCAAACTCATAGGCTCAAGCAATCTTCCCTTCTTGGCCTCCCAAATTGCAGTGGTTACAGGCATGGGCCACCATGCCTAGCCTTGTTTCCCTTTTTAGACTTGTACCCATCGGGGTTTCAACCTTGACACCTGGAGTTCAGCCTCACTGTCTTCTCTTCGCAGGTTCTCCTCCCTGATGGTCTATAAGTTGCCTGTTGAGGATGTGCGACCTTTATCACAGGCTTTCTTCAAATTAGAGATAGGTAAGAGTGACTGTTTAGAGACAAAACTCTGGGAAACAGATAAGCCTAAATCTGACATAGAACCAGTATTTTAAAAATACATAAACATAGAATTATGCTGTTATATCATTAATACATTACTAAGACTGCTAATCCAGTGTTTTTCCATAAGGGGTGATTTGGCAATGTCTGGGAAGATTTGGGGTTCTTACAAGTGCGGACAGAGAGGTTGGATGCAAGTGGTTTCTAGTGGGTGGAGGCCAGGGATGATGCTAACTACCCTACAGTGCATTGGTCAGCCATCACAGGAAAGAGTGATCAGTCAAAACGTCATTAGTGCTGGGGCCAAGGTACCCTACTGTAATTGAACAAGGCTCTGGGAGAAAGAGACCATGTACATTCAGCGGTAGATTATCCACAAACTCATACAAACAGAAACATATGAATTTGGTTTTTGCCTCTATGTATTGTTTTATAGCCATCTATTGATAGATGCAGATAAGGAGGTTCCTGTCTCTGTTTAGGTGTGTTAATCTGTAAGTCATTTTAGGCCCTTGGATTTTGGTCTTTGCATACTGCATCAATGTATCAGGGGCTTGGTTTTTCCCTGTCATGTTAGTGTATGAAATCTGATGAGTTAGTGTATGAAACCTCATGCCCCTTCTTGAGCTGTACTTTCTGGCTTGTTACCTGCCTTCATCAGAGGCCTCAAGCATCCTAGCTTTTTTTTTTTTTTTTTTTTTTTTTGAGAAAGAGTTTTCCTTTGTCGCCAGGCTGGCAGGCTGGAGTGGTGCAGTGGCACAATCTCGGCTCACTGCACCTCTGCCTCCTGGGTTCAAGCAATTCTCCTGCCTCAGCCTCCCGAGTAGCACACACCAGCACACCCAGCTAATTTTTGTATTTTTAGTAGAGACAGAGTTTCAACATGTTGGCCAGGATGGTCATCCTAGCTTTTAATGAGATTCTTCTTGAGACAGGGTTAGGATCACCCAAATAGGTTTTTGTTTCACTTTCTCATCCTGTTGGTCAACCTCACCCTGTGGTCTATGTGGCCGTTTTTCACATTGACCACACTGACCATTATGCCCCAATGGCTGGTTGGCATCTTTCCAGTTGGAAGGATTCCGCAGTGAGATCAACAGGAAGTATTTTATAATGGATTAGGAGCAGAGATTGATGTTTCAGGAAGGCTGCCTCCCTAGAGGCTTTTTAAAAAAGGCTGCTCATGTTTCTGCTTTCTTTTTTCTTTTTTTTTTCACATCACATACTTAACATTTATTTGTGCTGAGAATATTTTAGATTTACCCACTTAGCAAGTTTCAAGTATACAATAAATTATTATTAACTACAGTCATCATGTTATACAGTCAATAAATCTGAATTTATTTATCCTGTCTGACTGAAACATCGTACCCTTTAACCAATATTGCTCTATCCTCCCTACCCTCTATTGTTGCCTTCCCTTCCCTCCACCCACCCCTGGCCATCTCTTGGCAACCATCATTCCACTCTCTACTTCTGAGTTTGACTTATTTAGGTTCTACATATAAGTGGGGTTATGCACTATTTGTGTGGCTGTGCCTGGCTTATTTCACTTAGCAAAATGTCCTCTAGATTCATCCACAACACGATTTCCTTCCTTTTTTTTTTTTTTAGTTTTTTTATATTATTATACTTCAAGTTTTAAGGTACATGTGCACAACGTGCAGGTTAGTTACATATGTATATATGTGCCATGTTGGTGTGCTGCACCCAGTAACTCGTCATTTAACATTAGGTATATCTCCTAATTCTATCCCTCTCCCCTCCCCCCACCCCACAACAGGCCTTGGTGTGTGATGTTCCCCTTCCTGTGTCCATGGGTTCTCATTGTTCAATTCTCACCTATGAGTGAGAACATGCTGAGTGAGTTTGCTGAGAATGATGGTTTCCAGCTTCATCCATGTCCCTACAAAGGACATGAACTCATCATTTTTATGGCTGCATAGTATTCCATGGTGTATATGTGCCACATTTTCTTAATCCAGTCTATCATTGTTGGACATGTGGGTTGGTTCCAAGTCTTTGCTATTGTGAATAGTGCCGCAATAAACATACGTGTGCATGTGTCTTTATAGCAGCATGATTTATAATCCTTTGGGTATATACCCAGTAATGAGATTGCTGGGTCAAATGGTATTTCTACGTCAAGATCACTGAGGAATCACCACACTGACTCTCACAATGGTTGAACTAGTTTACAGTCCCACCAACAGTGTAAAAGTATTCCTGTTTCTCCACATCCTCTCCAGCACCTGTTGTTTCCTGACTTTTTAATGATCGCCATTCTAACTGGTGTGAGATGGTATCTCATTGTGGTTTTGATTTGCATTTCTCTGATGGCCAGTGATGATGAGCATTTTTTCATGTGTCTTTTGGCTGCATAAATGTCTTCTTTTGAGAAGTGTCTGTTCATATCCTTTGTCCACTTTTTGATGGGGCTGTTTGTTTTTTTCTTGTAAATTTGTTTGAGTTCATTGTAGATTCTGGATATTAGTCCTTTGTCAGATGAGTAGATTGCAAAAATTTTCTCCCATTCTGTAGGTTGCCTGTTCACTCTGATGGTAGTTTCTTTTGCTGTGCAGAAGCTCTTTAGTTTAATTAGATCTCATTTGTCAATTTTGTCTTTTGTTGCCATTGCTTTTGGTGTTTTAGACCTGAAGTCCTTGCCCCTGCCTGTGTCCTAAATGGTACTGCCTAGGTTTTCTTCTAGGGTTTTTATGGTTTTAGGTCTAACATTTAAGTCTTTAATCCATCTTGAATTAATTTTTGTATAAGGTGTAAGGAAGGGATCCAGTTTCAGCTTTCTACATATGGCTAGCTAGTTTTCCCAGCACCATTTATTAAATAAGGAATCATTTCCCCATTTCTTGTTTTTGTCAGGTTTCTCAAAGATCAGATAGTTGTAGATATGTGGCATTATTTCTGAGGGCTCTGTTCTGTTCCATTGATCTATATCTCTGTTTTGGTACCAGTACCATTCTGTTTTGGTTACTGTAGCCTTGTGGTATAGTTTGAAGTCAGGTAGCATGATGCCTCCAGTTTTGTTCTTTTGGACTAGGATTGACTTGGCAATGCAGGCTCTTTTTTGGTTCCATATGAACTTTAAAGTAGTTTTTTCTAATTCTGTGAAGAAAGTCATTGGTAGCTTGATGGGGATGGCATTGAATCTATAAATTACCTTGGGCAGTATGGTCATTTTCACGTTGTTGATTCTTCCTACCCATGAGCATGGAACGTTCTTCCATTTGTTTGTATCCTCTTTTATTTCCTTGAGCAGTGGTTTGTAGTTCTCCTTGAAGAGGTCCTTCACATCCCTTGTAAGTTGGATTCCTAGGTATTTTATTCTATTTGAAGCAATTGTGAATGGGAGTTCACTCATGATTTGGCTGTTTGTCTGTTATTGGTGTATAAGAATGCTTGTGACTTTTGCACATTGATTTTGTATCCTGAGACTTTGCTGAAGTTGCCTATCAGCTTAAGGAGATTTTGGGCTGAGACGATGGGGTTTTCTAGATATACAATCATGTCATCTGCAAACAGGGACAATTTGACTTCCTCTTTTCCTAATTGAATACCCTTTATTTCCTTCTCCTGCCTGATTGCCCTGGCCAGAACTTCCAACAGTATGTTGAATAGGAGTGGTGAGAGAGGGCATCCCTGTCTTGTGCCAGTTTTCAAAGGGAATGCTTCCAGTTTTTGCCCATTCAGTATGATATTGGCTGTGGGTTTGTCATAGATAGCTCTTATTATTTTGAGATATGTCCCATCAATACCTAATTTATTGAGAGAATTTCATATTCAGCCAAACTAAGCTTCATAAGTGAAGGAGAAATAAAGTCCTTTACAGACAAGCAAATGCTGAGAGATTTTGTCACCATCAGGCCTGCCCTAAAAGAGCTCCTGAAGGAAGCACTAAACATGGAAAGGAACAACCGGTACCAGCCACTGCAAAAACATGCCTAATTGTAAAGACCATTGAGGCTAGGAAGAAACTGCATCAACTAACGAGAAAATAACCAGCTAACATCCTAATGACAGGATCAAATTCACATATAACAATATTAACCTTAAATGTAAATGGGCTAAATGCTCCAATTAAAAGACACAGACTGGCAAATTAGATAAAGAATCAAGACCCATCAGTGTGCTGTATTCAGGAAACCCATCTCACATGCAGAGACACACATAGGCTCAAAATAAAGGGATGGAGGAAGATCTACCAAGCAAATGGAAAACAAAAAAAAGGCAGGGGTTGCAATCCTAGTCTCTGATAAAACAGACTTTAAACCAACAAAGATCAAAAGAGACAAAGAAGGCCATTACATAATGGTAAAGGGATCAATTCAACAAGAAGAGCTAACTTTCCTAAATATATGTGCACCCAATACAGGAGCACCCAGATTCATAAAGCAAGTCCTTAGAGACCTAGAAAGAGACTTAGACTCCCACACAATAATAATGGCAGACTTTAACACCCCACTGTCAACATTAGACAGATCGAGACAGAAAGTTAACAAGAATATCCAGGAATTGAATTCAGCTCTGCACCAAGCAGACCTAATAGACATCTACAGAACTCTCCACCCCAAATCAACATGCTTCTGCTTTCAAAAGCATTCCCTCCCACCTCAAATTCCTCCTGCAGTACTTAATTTGCTAAAAGTGAAGTTCTCATTTAGGGGGAAAAACAAAGTATTTATCAGAGTTTCTTGCTCCAATATGTGAAGACGACACAAAGTACAAAATGTGGAGATGTAAGCTAGCATTTTTTCCTCCAAATGTTCTTGGACACTGTTACATTCTCAGGTGCAATACACTTATTGAATGGGCTAGGCACGGTGTCGTCCAAGCCAAATGCCTGCTCCATGGCAATCCTTTTACCTTGTTGCATAGTTTCATTCTTTCCTACCACCAATCTCTGCTGGGTAATGTAAACTCCAGCAAAACCCTAGCCTCACATGCCCCTTCTTGGTCAGACTTGCTTCGAATTTGAAGACCTATAGCTTAGAAGGTGAAATGGTCAATTTTATGTCTTTTCTTTCTCTATTTCCTCCATGACTCATAAACGAATGTTTTGGGCCTCTCCAGGGTGTAGTGTAAGTGGAAAAAAGAAGAGATAATATTGCATCAGAGCTTGATCTGATCATTAGAGCTATGATATCACATTGGGGTCTCCAGTATAGAAATGAAGAATTGCTGGCCCTTTCTTTCATTGGGTACTTTTATGGGTTCCTTGATGACTTTCTTTCCCCCCCTCATCTATTACCTCTGATTACAGCTCCCCGGGGTGGGTGATGCATCCTGCTTTTGGCTCCTGTGACCACCTGGCGGCTCCTGTGACCACCTGGCAGCTCCTGAGTCCCTTCCTTGAAACCCCTTTCCCTTTCCAGGTGATCTTCTCAAGATACCTCCCCTTTGAAATCCATGAGAAACACACAAGCATCTTTGCTTCTCTAAACTCTACAAGTGCAGGGAAGTCAGCCACCCACTGTATTTCTTCTTCACATGTTTCCAGATATAAGATAGGGACTAGTCCTATGTCCAAGGAAAGAAGAAAGAAAATGCCACAGCAGTCTGACACTGTCCAAAAGAAATATTTGCCTTCCAGTCTCATTTTTCCATTCATTATCTTCCTCTTCTTATGTATCTACATGGTTGAGGTCTCAGTCATGGTCCAAATTGGTATCAGATGGTAAACTCAAAATAGGATAATTCAAGGAACGTTTGTTTATCAGAAGACTCTTTGCAAAGGTACATGGAACAGTGTAACTACCTGAGACGAGAAACAATAGAAGTGTTACCATTCTTAGGTCCAGAGGGACTAAGAGAGGAAGCAATGACCTGAACTTGAGGGTAGAGTCATGTAGAACTTACTACCTTGAGAGAAACAAGGCACACACTTGGTGTCAGGGAGGAAGTGAAAGAATAAATGCCTTGACCTCCTGTCTCCCCTGTCCTTCCTAATGGGCTTGCCATTGGTGATGTCCACCAGAAGACATCTGTTACATCAGCCTTTGGAGTAGACAAGAATGAGGGCTGGTACAGAGGGGTACGTGGTCATCGTCTAGCACAGAGGGTACCATCTCTTAGCTTGTTCTGCACAGATGCTCTGGAACCTCTGATATTGCTTTCTAGTTTTGTGGTGCCTCTACCAATACTCTAGATGAAAGGGATGGAGTTTCCTCCTGTTATATGACTATATCGCGTTTGCTTTCCCATATTTAGTCTAAGAATACTTATTACCTTATCTTTTATGTTTAAGATCTACTTGTATGTATTTTGGTTTGTTACTTGGTAAAACTCACTGAAAAAAAAAATAGAATTCCTAATGTATGCTCATTCTTATGCAGTTAAACAGAGTTTCGACCTGGAGGAGTACAGCCTCTCACAGTCTACCCTGGAGCAGGTGGGTCATTTTTAGTGATTCTATATCATCCATGGAATATACATGTATAATGCATTCGCCTGGAGCTGCAGGAGGCAGTATGGCATTGTTCTCCTCTCTTTATTTCTTTCCTTCCTTTTAGGTTTTCCTGGAGCTCTCCAAGGAGCAGGAGCTGGGTGATCTTGAAGAGGACTTTGATCCCTCGGTGAAGTGGAAACTCCTCCTGCAGGAAGAGCCTTAAAGCTCCAAATACCCTATATCTTTCTTTAATCCTGTGACTCTTTTAAAGATAATATTTTATAGCCTTAATATGCCTTATATCAGAGGTGGTACAAAATGCATTTGAAACTCATGCAATAATTATCCTCAGTAGTATTTCTTACAGTGAGACAACAGGCGATGTCAGTGAGGGCGATCATAGGGCATAAGCCTAAGCCATACCATGCAGCCTTTGTGCCAGCAACCAAATCCCATGTTTCCTACTGTGTTAAGTTTAAAAATGCATTTATTATAGAATTGTCTACATTTCTGAGGATGTCATGGAGAATGCTTAATTTTCTTTCTCTGAACTTCAAAATATTAAATATTTTCTTATTTATTTTTTTGATTAAAGTATAAATTAAGACACCCTATTGACTTCCGGGTAAGGGGAGTCAATTGATTACCCAGCAGCACAGTATTTGCTTTTTATAATTCCCTTTTTAAATACTTGTTCTTAATTCACTGGTTTTCCTTTTCTGTCATTTTTCAGAGTTTAGATTGTGAGTCCATGTTTTGTCTGTTGTGCCTATAAAGGAAATTTGAAATCTGTATCATTCTACTATAAAGACACATGCACACGTATGTTTATTGCAGCACTGTTTACAATAGCAAAGACTTGGAACCAACCAAAATACCCACAAATGATAGACCGGATAAAGAAAACGTGACACATATACACCATGGAATACTATGCAGCCATAGAAAAGGATGAGTTCATATTCTTCACAGGGACATGGATGAAGCTGGAAACCATCATCCTCAGCAAACTAACACAGGAACAGAAAACCAAACACCGCATGTTCTCACTCATAAGTGGGAATTGAACAATGAGAATACATGGACACAGGGAGGGGAACACCACACCCTGGGGCCTGTTGGGGGGATGGGGGCTAGGGGAGGGATAGCATTAGGAGAAATACCTGATGTAGATGATGGGTTGATGGGTGCAGCAAAGTACCATGGCACATGTATACCTGTGTAACAAACCTGCACATTCAGCACATGTATCCCAGAACTTAAAGTATAATAAAAATAAATAAATAATTTCAGTAAGAACCTGATCAAGTTGAACATGTATATATATGTTATACACAAGTTTGAAACATATTTCTGTTTTTATATGTTTTCTTATGATGCAAGGGCATACTCTTATGCAAATAATTAAAACTTCATAGGTCTTAATTTCCCATATCTCTATATATTATTATGACCTATCCAACTGGTAACCCTATGAACACCTTAAAATAAACTTGTATACTCTTATTTAGGTGAGTTTTTCTTGTTAATACTATTATTATTGCTATCTAATTGAATACTTGAAGGAAGTTGTGTGAAAGACCTTGGCTTTGATTTTAGTTCTTATATTCTTCTAGTTTTTGAAAATAAAACACTTCCATCAACCCGTAAGAATATTCGTCTGAGACCTTGGGCCAAGGGCCCCAGACTTCTTATTTTTTTTAAAAAAGAGACATTAATACTGATCCTACTGAGTCACTTGACTTTTATAAGTCACAAATGAGTTGATACAAGTCAACCCATTGAAAACTATAGTTCACTTTACGTACATCAGTAATAGAGTAAGTGTTTCTTGCAGTGAGCCAAATTTCCAAAGACTGTGCCATTATCATTGTATATAAGGCCTATGCCTTAAATAAGACTTGATTTTATAAGACTGGGTTCATCCGCACTAATGACACACTCAGACTCAGGACTTCAGTGAAGCAGTTTTCAACAAGAAAGTGTCAATGTGCTATATGTTGGGAGCTGATGAAGAAACACATCATTTCAGTATTCTAAGAGTATGTTCCCAAAGCTAAAAAAAAATGCCAATAATAATCTCAGTGAAAGTGTGTTAAGCAAAGGATTTATATCCAACAGTTCTATAAAAGAAAGTGAAATAGTAAACTTGGAAGCATAATATGATCATGGCAATATTATCATTATTTATTAGACTAAGAATACACATTATAACTAGGTTCTGTACATATATTGATTATTTTATGCAATCTTCATAATAACATTACCAACAAATATTCTTATTTATATTTGGCACTGTGAGAGGCAGAATTTCCAAAATGGCCCAGTAGAGATCTGCCTCCCTAATCTCTGGACCCTAAGAATATGACACAATATTGCTTCATTGTCTCTGTTATATTTCATGACACCTTTGACATTAGGAAAAGAAAGATTATCTGTGTGGGCCTGATCTAATCATCTGATGCCTTAAACGTAGAGAGCTTTCTTAGAATAGTGGCAGAAGGGGAAGTCATAGAGATTTGAAACATGAAGACTTGTTGCTCTGTGTCTGTTTTTGAAGATGGGAGGGTCATGGGGAAGGAAGGTGGGTGTCCTCTACTGTGGTAACTTAAAGAAAACAAACAAAAGAAAAAGAAAACCCTGAACTGCCACAGACCACTGTGAGGTATTAAGATATAGAGATTGTTGAGATTTAGGGGTTGGTTACAACAGATAGTCAGCATTACATCGACTAGTACAGTAGTTCATGCCAAGAAAACAATGAAAGCAAAAACCTAGGGTAAGAATCTCTCAAGCATGCAGGGCACTGATGCAATTGCAATTGAACTGTTCCATGCTTCCTATTGCCATTCCTTACCTGGTGCAGAACTCTGCAAGAGTGATCCTTCCTACTGTCTTCCCACGTGTTTATCTGTGTTGACTCTCTGGCTAGTGGATACTTCCTTCATTCTCAGTGTATTCACATTGCACCAACCTGAAAGTGTCTAGCCAAGCAATAGTAACTTGCCTATTACTAGTGCTAAAATAAATTATCTTCTTGTTTTGATTTACTGAGTTATATTCATGGAAATTGCAAAGCAAAAGAGTGGAAATCTTGTGCTAAAATCACTGTCTTGACCGGGTGCAGTGGCTCACACCTGTAATCCCAGCACTTTGGGAGGCTGAGGCGGGCGGATCACGAGGTCAAGAGATCGAGACCACCCTGTCTCCACTAAAAATACAAAAATTAGCTGGGTGTGGTGGCGCGCACCTGTAGTCCCAGCTACTTGGGAGACTGAGGCAGGAGAATCGCTTGAACCCAGGAGGCGGAGGTTGCAGTGAGCTGAGATCCCACCACTGCACTCCAGCCTGGCGACAGAGTGAGACTCCATCAAAAAGAAAAAAAAAGTCACTGTCTTGAAATGAAACTCTTATCATAAGTTGGTGGAAATATTTTAATGTCTCCTCCAAACCCCTCTTCGGACACAATCCAACCCAAGACACAATGCCTTTGGATGAGTTTATCCTTTAACTTAATATAAAAAAACTAGGAAGGAATATCTCCACTTAGATTAAAAGTTATATTGCATGAATGTTTGGAGTATTTGAAATAGAAGGTAAGAATAACTTATTTTGAAGCCTCAATAAATGAAAATATTACAAGGATTATAAAGAAATAATTTTAATGATACTTAGTTTATTCTTATATGAGATGTGAGTTTCTCAACAGTGGCACGATTGACATTTTGTATTGGAAACTTCTTTGTTGGAGTGGTGGTGGGGGAGGCTGTCCTGTGAATTGTAAAATATTTTGCAGCATCTCTGCTCTCTTATCCACCAGATGGCAGTACCACTCCCCAAGTGTGACAACCCAAAATATTTCCAGAAATTTCCAAAATCTCCCCTAATCCTCTAGATTTATATGTTATTTAAACCAACTGCTCGATAATTTTATCTTTAGTAAAAAAATGAGGAATTCAGAACAGTTGATCTCCTTTATTTAGAAATTTTGGGTTCTGTGCTTAGCACATTCGGCCAACCTGCAAAAATTGTCCTTTGAGAACAAATCTAGTAAATTAGCAATACAAATGTTCAGTAATTAATAGAAATATCTATAGACATTGGAATACATTTTGTTTGACGTTCACGTCCCTTTGAATATTTTCAAGACGGCACGGGCCTCAGTGATGTCACATAATAATCTGTAGATTATTTCTGTGAGGGAAAATAAAGACCTCAACAAACTGTAGTATATACTGAATCAGCAAAACTTCTGACAAAGCAAGTGTGGCAAAGACTGTTGAAAATAAAATGAAGTCTCTCTTTCTGGGGTGGCACCGTAAAAAGCCATTCCTTGGGTTGTCTTGACAGGAAAGGTTAATGCTGAAGTGGATGTGTTAGCTTACTGGGAAAAAAAGACCTTGACTCAGCACCGACTCCTCACATGAACCCTGGGAGTGCATTTAAACCAGCGCTACACAATAATCTTAGAATTCTTGGTGGAAAAGGACCTCGAAGGCCGGACACACACCTGTAATCCCAGCACTTTGAGAGGCTGAGGTGGGAGAATTGCTTAAGGCCAGGAACTTGAGACTAGCCTGGACAATATAGCAAGATCCCATCTCTACCAACACACACACACACACACACACACACACACACACACACACACACTCACACACAAACACCTTTTTAATTAGCTGAGCACAGTGGCATGAACATGTAGTTCCAGCTACTCGAGAGGCTGAGGTGGGAGGGTGGCTTGAGTTCAGGAGTTTGAGGCTGCAGGAAGCTATAATTGCACCACTGCACTCCAGCCTGGGCAATAGGTGAGACTCTGTCTTTTAAAAAATAAAAATAAAGGACCTCAGCGATCCTACTGTGATTTGCTTGTTTTACAAATGTAGAACCTGACAAATTTCATTACTTGCTCTTAGAGAATAGAGAGACGTTTATCTCAGGTCACAGTAAACTTTTGCAGACTTATTTTTGGGAAATGCACTATAGAATATAAACTCAGTTTTAATATCTCTTTACATATAATAAAATATAAGATTGTAACTAGAGGCTGGATAATGGCTTACAGTTCTTCCCTCACTAATAGATGCATAGTAAATCATAATGAGTTTGACCAGGAGAAGAGTCTCTTTTATGATTGGCTTAGTTTGAATTTTTACCCTTCCCTGTATAGGTTCATGCTTTCCTAGAACCACACTGCCCAGTCCTTCATTTAGGATCCTTAATGCTGAACAAATTTTAAGGTGGAGCCCATTGACTGACATGGTTGAGTTCAGGAAGCAATGAGCTGAAAATGGTGGAAAAGACTGTCCTATTAAAAAAAAAAAGGATGGAAAATTTAAGCAAAAATGTTTCTATCAGATAATGTGGATTTCATATTGTCCTTTTTATTATTTATCTTCTGCTAAACTCATGTGTTATTCTAACACTTTGAGTAGCTCCATTTGCTAAATATTTGGTTATTATCTCACTATTTTGAAACTCTGTCTTGTTAATTATGTCATTCATTTTAGATAATCAAAAGAGAACTTACAGTTTCAAGGCCCATCCATACTTTGACCTGCCTTCCAACCCTAACTAACTTCATCTCCTTTCTTTGTCACTTAAACTATATTTTCAAGGTCACATTTTGCCTTCCCCCAAACCCATCCTAAACTCCCAAACTCAAGTCTTGCAGTTTTCCACTTTTCCAGTCGGAGCTGAGCATTGCTGGAGAAAATCATTTATCATGCTTGCCGAATGCAATAGATAGAACAGTGTGTATATGTATTTAATTTGCATCTGTCAATATACTACAGGATTAATGTCCTTGGGGATTCAAGACACATGAAAATTGTATAGGTAATGTTGTTTTGGCTTAGAAAAAATAAACTCTACATTCTTAAAAAATGTCCCATGTTACATTTTTCTCAACTAGGATTCTGATTAAATTTTACTCCTATTATTCAAATTGAAAATCTTTCTCAACACCCTAGAGAGTAGGTATTCTACGTTGCTAATCAGAAGACTGATATTCTTAAAGCTCAGCTGAACATGTGTTAGGTTTATGAACACTAAGTAATAAAATAAAGGAACTATGACTTTAAAATATGTTTCCAAAGAAAGTCTAGACCACAGCAGGATTCTAGGCAGATACCTGGAGTTTCATGTGCTGCAGGCCAAACCAGCTATTCCCTCCTGCTCCCACTCCACTACCACAAACTAAGGAACAATCTTCTCAAAGACAGTAATTGGAATTGATTATGCACCTCCCACTAAAAAAGCAAGCAGGCCAGGTGCAGTGTCTCACAACTGTAATCCCAGCACTTTGGGAGGACGAGGCGGGTGGATCACGAGGTCGGGAGATGGAAACCATCCTGGCTAACACGGTGAAACCCTGTCTCTACTAAAAATACAAAAAATTAGCCGGGCATGGTGGCCAGCACCTGTAGTCCCAGCTATCCGGGAGGCTGAGGCAGGAGAATTGCTTGAACCTGCAAGGCAGAGCTTGCAGTGAGCCGATATTGTGCCACTGCACTCCAGCCTGGGCAACAAAGCAAGACTCTGTCTCAAAACAAAAACAAAAAAAAACAAAAAAAAGCAAAAGCAAGCAAACCCTTTCTAATTAACCACATCAAGTTTCTGTTTACTGAAATCATCATTAAAAGTCTAAGACTCCCAGATTATCCATCAGCACTAGAGCTCTTATCCGCATGTAGTCTTCTCATCCTTAGATCTTTGCCTTCCACTTTGTTCAACCCCACCCATCTGACAACCAGAGAAAGCCGAGCCTTAGCTAATAATTCAACTTCATTTGGAAGGTGTAAGTCTAGGGCAGTGAGCGTAAGAAAAAGGGGAAGAAGGTAAGGAAAGATATGAAACAGATTTTATGTGCGCTGCTGGGCTGGCTGCTGCTCCATCATGAGCTGAGAAAAAAGCAAGCCGGTTGCTAAGCCAGTATGTTCACTCACTTCATAGGATTTCTCTGGAATGGCTGCAAGTGGGTACTTGCAGATGTAGTCCATGAAAGAAAGAAAGAAAAGTAAATTTATCTTCCAAGCAATATCCTATTTCTATTTTCCTGTTGTATAAGGTTTAGCCCACAGTGTATTAGTTTTCATGCTTTTTAAAGATTTCCCCCTTGGGAAAATGGATCCGATAACTGATTGTGTGTTGTTAAGTCACAAATTGAGGGCCAGCCCTTATCAATAAGGCTTGGCAGGCAGAGAATAAAGGCCACCAGACCCAGGGCTATACCTGGGATTACAGTCCTTTTGGAGAGCTCTGCAAGAGCACCAGCAAAGGGGGATATGGCAGTACAGCCTGGCAGGTGGGTGGTGGCTTTCTAAAGAAGGAGATGGGGCCAGGTGCAGTGGCTCACGCCTGTAATCCCAGCAATTTTGGAGGCTGAGGAGGGCGGATCACCTGAAGTCAGGAGTTTGAGACCAGCCTGACCAATATGGTGAAACCCGTCTCTACAAAAAAAACAAAAATCAGCCGGGTTTGGTGGGAGGCATCTGTAGTCCCAGCTACTCGGGGGGGGTGAGACGGGAGAATTGCTTGAACCCGGGAGGCGAAGGTTGCAGTGAGCCAAGATCATGCCACTGCACCCCAGCCTGGACAACAGAGCGAGACTCCATCTCGAAAAAAAAAAAGGAGGTGGAAGGGGACATCACTATCTTATATAAATTGAAATGATTATACGGGAATACTGTGAGTAAATGTTTGCCAACAGATCAGCTAACTTAGGTAAAATGGATAAATTCATATAAAGTCACAAGCTGGCAAAACTGACTCAAGTAGAATAGAAAACTTGAATAGACCTATAACATAAAGAGATTAAATTAGTAATTTTAAAACTTCCTAAAGAAAATAAGCCCGTGCCCAGATGACTTTACTGATAAATCCAAATATATATTTAAATAAGAATTAATACCAATTCTTCTCAAACTCTTCCAAAAAATACAAGAAAAGTAATACTTCTCAACTTCCCAACTCACTTTATAAAGCTAGTATTACTCTGATACCAAAACCATACAAAGATATCACATGAAAAAGAAAACTACAGATCAATATCTTTTATGAGTATAGATGCAAAAATCCTCAACAAAATACTAGCAAAAATAATTCAGCAACATACAAAAAAGATCATACACAACGGCCAAGTGGGATCCATCTCATAAATGTTAGTGGTTTAATATCCAAAAAATCAATCAATATAATACATCACATTAATAAAATAAATATCAGACGAAAACAGATGCATTAACAAACAATCCCATCAAAAAGTGGGCTAAGGAGGTGAATAGACAGTTATCAAAAGAAGATATACAAATGGCCAACAAACATATGAAAAAATGCTCAACATCACTAATGATCAGGGAAATGAAAATCAAAACCGCAATGTGATACCACCTTCTTCCTGCAAGATTGACCGTAATAAAAAAAAAAAATAGATGCTGACGTGAATTTGGTAAAAAGGGAACACTTCTATGCTACTGGTGGGAATGTAAACTAGTACAAACACTATGGAAAATAGTGTGGATATTTCTTAAAGAACTAAAAGTAGAATTAGCATTTGGACCACCAATCCCACTACTGGGTATCTACTCAGAGGAAAAGAAGTCATTACATGAAAAAGATACCTGTGCACGCATGTTTATAGCAGCACAATTCACAATTGCAAAAATGCGGAACCAGCCCAAATGCCCATCAGTCGACGAGTGGATAAAGAAACTGTGGCATATATTCCATCATATGATGGAATACTCATATGATGGAATACTACTCAGCCATAAAAAGGAATGAATTAATGGCATTCACAGCAACCTGGATGGGACTGGAGACTATTATTCTAAGTGAAGTAGCTCAGGAATGGGAAACCCACCTTCGAATGTTCTCACTCATAAGTAAGAGCTAAGCTATGAGGATACAAAGGCATAACAATGATACAGTGGACTTTGGGGACTCAAGGGGGAAAGGTGGGAAGGGGGCGAGGAATGGAAGACTACAAACTAGCTTCACTGTATACTGCTCAGGTGATGGGTGCATCAAAATCTCACAAATCACCGCTAAAGAACTTACTCATGTAACTAAATACCTCCTATTCCCCAAAAACCTATGGAAATAAAAAAAATTTAAAAATAAAACAAGTATCAAAACTACATAGTCATCTCAATTGAAACAGAAAAACATTTGACAAAATTCAACATTCTTTCATGATAAGAACAACAGTGTAGGAATGGAAGGGAATTTTTCCAACCTAATAAAGGAAACCTTTGGAAAATCTGTATCTAAAAACATGCTGATCAAAGAATGAATGTTTTCCTCTAAGATCAAGAACAATAAAGGGATGTCTGCTTTCCACTCAACATTATACTCAATATTTTAGCTAGGTGGTTAGTTAAGGAAATGAAATAAAAAGCATCCACTTCAATAAAACCTCTAAGAATACTTCCCCAAAGAAGTTGTACAAATGGTCAGTAAGCATATAAAAAGATGCCCAATATCACTGGACATTAGGAAAATGCAAATCAAAACCACAATGTGACACCACTTCACAGCTCCTAAGACAGTTATCAGAAAGGCAGAAAGTAACAATTGTTGGTGAGAATGTGGATAAATTAGAATAGTCATGTATTGCTGGTAGGAATGTAAAATGGTACAACCACTTTGGCAAAGTTTGGCAGGTCCTCAGGATGTTAAACATAAAGTTACCATATGACAGCAATCCCCCACCTAGGTATATACCCAAGAAAGATAAAAACATATACCCATGAAAACTTGTGTGTGAATGTTCATATAGTACCATCATTCGTAATAGCCAAAAAGTAGAAAAACCCAACAGTCTGTCAACTGATAAGAGATCAAATAAAATGTGGCACATCCATACAATCGAATATTATTTAGTGATGTAAAGGAATGAAGCAAAGGTACATACTCTAACACAGATGAACCTTGAAAACATTACACTAAATGAAAAAGCCAGCAACAAATATTATATAACTCTATTTATGTGAAATATCCAGAATAAACAAATTATTAGAGATGGAAAGCAGATTCTCTCTGCAAGATAGTTCTTTATAATATGATGAAAGTCAGTGATATGGTTGGCTGTGACCTCACCCAAATCTTATCTTGAATTGTAGTTCCCATAATTCCCACATGTTGTGGAGGGTCCTGGTTGGAGGTAATTGAATCATGGGGGTGGGTCCTTCCCGTGCTATTCTTGTGATAGTGAGTAAGTCTCATGAGGTCTGATGGTTTTATAAGAGGAAATTTTCCTGCGCAAGCTCTCTTCTCTTGTCTGCCACCATGTGAGACATGCCTTTCACCTTCCGCCATGATTGTGAGGCACCCCCACCCACTTGACACTGTGAGTCTGTTAAACCTCTTTTGTAAATTGCCAAGTCTCAGGTATGTCTTTATGAGCAGCATGAAAACAGAGTAATACAGTCAGTCAACCAAGTACAGCTGATGCTTCTCGGCCACAGGACCTGGCTTGCAGTCACTAAAAAAGGAATTTTTCCCAAGAGTGATCATGTAAATTTCATATTCAACAGGCCAAGGATCACAATCTTTCTGGAAAACAGACTCAAGCAAGACAAGTCAAACATAACATAGAGATGACATAGAGACCATTTTCCTAAAAATAATGAGACTCAGGGATAAACTGAGTTTGTAGGTCACTTTCTTCAGATGTCCCAAAAGTAAGTTCTTTTTTCTGTTTTGTTTGTATTATTCAATTATAAATGATTTCATATACTAAGTGCCAAACATCTCTAGAGAAATTATTTTTAAAACAATGAATTAATGTTTCTGAATAATGGCTGATATAGTCTACAAGAAAAAAAAACTTGGTTAATTATTAATTTTTAAATTTTTTTAACTATTATATCATGTTAAGACAAAAAATGCGAATATGTGAAGAAGCTGGGAATTTATGGACTGACTATGAGGAACTTAGTGAATCTTTTTGGTGCATTTGATGTGTGGATATGAATGTGGCTGCATTTACAAATCTGAGTTACAAATATACATACATTGGCCGGGCGCGGTGGCTCACGCCTGTAATCCCAGCACTTTGGGAGGCCGAGGCGGGCAGATCACGAGGTCAGGAGATCGAGACCAACCCCGCTAAAACGGTGAAACCCCGTCTCTACTAAAAATACAAAAAATTAGCCGGGCGTAGTGGCGGGCGCCTGTAGTCCCAGCTACTTGGGAGGCTGAGGCAGGAGAATGGCGTGAACCCGGGAGGCGGAGCTTGCAGTGAGCCGAGATCCCGCCACTGCACTCCAGCCTGGGCGACAGAGCGAGACTCCGTCTCAAAAAAAAAAAAAAAAACAAAACAAAACAAAAAAAACAAATATACATACACACACACATATATATATATGATTTTATTGCACAAAAATTCACAGGCATTTTATATATACTTTCTATTGCTTTGAGACTTTTCCACCAATAATATTTAGAGAAAGGTTTTTATTGTCTCTGTTTTTCACTCTCAGACTTACATTTTTAAAACATAAGATGCTTTTCTATATCTTTTACTCTACGGGTACAATGTATTGAATGAGATTGAGAAATATGTACTTTTTCATTACAACCCTATTATTTCAAATATACATCCTTTGCTGTTTAGAATCGTTTCTAGTAAGCAGTTTTCTGCACTCATGGTGAATAGCAAAGCGTTTTCTTCTGACATGAAGATCAGCATGACAGGAGAATAATCAGAAACTTTACAGTTAGAAGTAAACCACGACATGCATAATAACAAGTCCATGTTATTATTTTTTATTTAGATATGAGCTACAGAGATTACATGAATCAGGGAATAAAAGAAAATGTAAACAGGAGGGGTAGTTTAATGAACTTGTTTATACTTCAAGACTGATTTACAATGGTAAGCCTAACCATTGCGAGTCAGACTCAGTTATCCAGGACATTGGGCGGTGGTTGATTCCACAGTTAGCAGATCACCTTTTTGGCCAGCTCACCCTCCTGTCCAGCCTTGCACAATCTCTTTAAGTGTCTACACAGCCAGGACCAATCCTTGGGGATCTTAGACGCCCTGACCTAATGCTTTTATTCTTGGACTAACTTCTTCCCTCCAAATGTTTTTCATGGGCTTTCTGACTTCTTTTTTATTTTTATTTATTTATTTATTTATTTTTTGAGGCGGAGTTTCACTCTGTCACCCAGGCTGGAGTGCAGTGGCCTGATCTTGGCTCACCACAACCTCCGCCTCCCTGGTTCAAGCAATTCTCCTGCCTCAGCCTCCTGAATAGCTGGGATTACAGGCGCGTGCCACCACACCCAGCTAATTTTTGTATTTTTAGTAAAGACAAGGTTTCACCATGTTGGCCAGGCTGGTCTCGAACTCCTGACCTCAGGTGATCCACCTGCCTCTGCCTCCCAAAGTGCTGGGCTGACCTCTTTACTTGGCCTGCTTGACCTAGATTTGCCTTTCAACCTCATTAAACAGCCAGGTGTAGATTCTTCCTCTGGCAATACTCTTTGAGACTGCCTTGGCTAATGTGCTTCATGTTGCAACTGGCCCCTAAACACCTTACCTGAGCTTTGACTCTAGTGAGTAGCACTGCCTTGAGGGTCATCCTGCCTCATGAATGGGATGAGCCCTTCAGGCAGGGGCACAGCCACTCCTTATCTCCATGCAATATTCCATGATGACTGTGTAGATCATTCTTGGCCAACATGATATAAAAGGAGGAGGCCACATCCCTCAAATATAGGACCTAAAACCCACGAGGGGACGCGGTGGAGGAGGGTTGCTGTCCACCCGGGGGCGTGGGAGTGAGGTACTGGATTCAGCCCATTTGGCCCCGAAGCCTCTGTTCTCGGAATCCGGGTGCTGTGGGTTGAGGTCCCGGTTCCTAACGGTGGGACTGGTGTCCTCGAGATGAAATTTGGGGTTTCCTCGGGGCTTTGGTGGGATCGGTGTCCTCAGGATGAGATTTAGGGTTTCCTTGGGGCTTTGGGGATCTTCACCTAATATCTGCGATTATTTTATGAGAGGAGTGGTCTTGGCTGTCAGAACTGGATCCCTGGGGTGATATTTGGGAGTTACTGGAGTGATCTCTGAAGACCTAGGGCTATGAGCTGGAGCTGCTGGGGCTGAAATTTGGGGCCTTTGAAGTGGCATGGAGATTGAGGTCCAGAGAGCCTGAGATCTTGAGGGCTGACATTTGGAGAGATGGGGTCGAGGGTTGTCTTTGGGCCTTGACTGCTTTGGGCCTTTCTCACTCTCATTCCCGGGATGCTTTGCCAGAATCTCTGCTGGATTGGCCGTAACCCTGTCCCGGAGCGGGCTCACAGGGTCTGAAGGCCAGGCACGAGGCAAAGGTAAAGACTCAACTGACATAGGCCATGACAGAGGTGCTGACTTCGTGCCTAAAACTTCTGATTCACTTATGCAAGCCTTGCCCCAACCTGCTTCCCGGAGTACCAATGTTCCTTCTAAAATCCCTTTTTCTTTGTAATTCACACAAACAGTCTATTTTCTTAAGCAATTAAAACCTTTCATGAACACTTAAGTTGTCCAGTTTTCAGGAGAGGCTCAGCAAATCAAAGTTGTATGGGATTTGTATGAGCTACGGAAAGATGCGATATTCAACTCTGCACTGAAACGTTTCCTTCTGGGAAAAGTACAAAACGTTAAACTGTAAAGATTTTGCTGCAATAAAGTGTATATATAAATTCCTCCCTTGTGATGGTGAATTTTATACGTCAACTTATCTGAGCTATGGTGCCCAGATACTTGGCTGAACAGTAGTCTAAATGTTGCTGTGAAGGCGTTTTTTAGTTGGGATTAATGCTTAATCCAGCAGACTTTGAGTAAACCGGATTTCCTTCCATAATGTTTGTGCTTCATTCAATCAGTTGAAGACCCTAAGAACACAGACTGAGGTTTCCTAAAGAATATGAAATTCTTCTTAAGACTGCAACCTAGAAACCTTGCCTGAGTTTCCAGCTTGCTGCCCTGTGGACTTTCGACTCAAGGCTACAATATCCACTCTTACCTGAATTTCCATCCTGCCAGCAAATTCTACAGATGTAGGATTTGCAGCCCCCACAATCATGTGAGCCAATTCTTTAATGTAAATCTCTCTCATTCTCTCTCTGTCATATCTATAGATCTATTTGCTATATCTATCTATGTATCATCTATTATCTATCATCTATCATCTATCTATATCATCTATCATCTCTATCTATCTATCTATCTATCTATCTATCTATCTATCTATCTATCATCTATCTAACATATTTATCTCATTGGTTCTGTTTCTCTACACAACCCTGACTAATAAACCCACCAAATTCTAAGAAGTTCTCCTACCCCTCCCAGGTGCAGCATACATTTCTTTTGCTACAGGTGAGAAGTGCTAAGGCTGTAATTTGCTGTTTCCACCAGAGGATGGGACTGGCCTACGACTGCACTTCTGCTTCCTGATTATGCATGCACAGGGCTCCTTTCAAGGGCCTCCAAATATAAATTCATTAGATTCATCTCTGCGTCTCTGCACTGCTAACTCCCTCACCAATATTATTTACCCACACACCAACCACACATGCGCATGCACACATGCATACACATACAATAAAAAACGAAAGTCATATTTGTGTCACATTTTTGGAAATGACAGCTGTTGCTCTGTCTCCCCGGGGCAGGGTGCCTGGGCCTGCCAAATACTGAGTACGTGGCAACAGCCCATCTGTGCCTGTTTTCACAACATGCTGTTCCACAGCAATCCCCGCGTCCCTATCTCAGCAAGCTCCAGCACCACTCCAGGGAGCCGTCAATGTCTAGAAGAATCCCATCCTCCCAGGGCACTCTACAGTAGCATCTCTCAAACTATCTGTGCTGAAGGACTCTTTTATTTCTAGTCTGCAGATGAATACTTTTAAAAAATATAAAACATGTACCACGACATTGCAGAAATGTTAAGTTGCTACAAAAGCTTCAAAAGCAGACTCTCATTTCTTTACTATTTCTTCACTGACCAGAAAGCAATCATGCTTTGAACAGAACTGTCCTAAGTGCCTAACACAGAGTGGCTGAGGATGGTGCCTAGGGCAATAGACAGCACTGATCAGGGAAGACTGTGCAGGAGGATGTATATCCTGGTGGGGCTCATGTTCCATATCATCTGCATCCTCAGGCTCGCTATGAACGAAGCCTCCAAAACAGGAAATATTTCTCTGCACCCCAGTTTTTCCCATCCAAGCACACTCACCCCATTTTTATTTAGTATGCCTGCCCTACTAATTGTAATCACTTTATAATCCAGGCCATTTTGATTCTCCCAGATGATCAATGATGGGAAGTTGAAGAAGACAGGCCATGGGTTTTTAGTCTATCTAAAGCCTATTCAAATCTCAGTTCAGAGGGAGACTCTTTCCCCCACCTCGTCCAAACATATTATGGTCTTTCCATGGTAACTGTGAAATCAGTTTATATATTTAATCACCTCATATCTGATTATCTACTCTTATGTATTATGAACAGAGAAGGTGGAACTAAATTTCTATTCCACAACAAGAAGGAGGTTGAGATTGGAAATTCTATACCCAATATCGCTGCAATTTCTTTTCTGGATACATCAGCTCGACATAGTTTCACACATGTGCACAAGGAGTCAATGTTATTCTTGATATAATCTTTACATTGTCAAAAAGCATAGAAACATTGAGGTCCAAAATTCTATTCTATTTCAATAGTGTAATGTTTTTAAAGAAAAAATGTGAGGGTTAAGTTTTACTTTTTATTTTATTTTATTTATTTATTTTTTTGAGACAGAGTTTCACTCTTGTTGCCCAGGCTGGAGTGCAATGGTGCAATCTCGGCTCACTGCAACTTCTGCCTCCTGGGTTCAAGAGATTCTCCTGCCTAAGCCTCCCGGAATTAAGTTTTTCTTATAGGAAAAAAGGAATTTGATTGTCTCCTCACATCAAATTAGTGTAAATGAAATGACTCCTGTAATCATAAACAAATTACCCCTTAATTGTGCTAGATACATCAATTTCTAAAGGCTTTTATTTGTTGATGTAATTAAATGGTTAAATATTACACAGAATCTAAGTGGGAATAATAATGTGTTAAAATACATTTATGTCTATGTGTATTCAATGATTAGCTGCCAGTTATAAGTGAGAATATGCAGTATTTGGTTTTCTGTTTTTGTGTTAGTTCACTTAGGATAATGGCCTCCAGCTGCATCCATGTTGCTGCAAAGGACATGATTTCATTCTTTTTTATGACTGTGTAGTATTCCATGGTGTATATATACCAAGTTTTCTTCATCCAAACCACTGTTGATGGGCACCTAGGTTGATTCCAAGTCTTTGCCATTATGAATGGCACTGCCATGAACATACAAGTGCACGTGTCATTTTTGTAAAATGATTAATTTTCCTTTGGGTATATACCTAGTAAAGACATCGCTGGGTTGAATGATTATTCTGTTATTCTTTTTTTAAGTTATTTAAGAAATCTCCAAACTGCTTTTCACAGCGGCTGCACTAATTTACATTCCCACCAACAGTGTATAAGCACTCCCTTTTCTCTGCAGCCTAGCCAGCATCTATTATTTACTGGCTTTTTAAAAATGGCCATTTTGACTGGTGTGAGATGGTATCTGTATTAGTCTGCTCTCATGCTGCTAATAAAGACATACCTGAGACTGGGTAATTTATAAAGGAAAGAGGTTTAATTGACTCACAGTTCCACATGGCTGGGGAAGCCTCACAATCATGGCAGAAGACAAATGAGGAGCAAAGTCACATCTTACATGGTGGCAAGCAAGACAGCATGTGCAGGGGAACTCCCCTTTATAAAACTATCAGATCTTGTAAGACTTACTCACTATCATGAGAAGAGCACGGAAAAGACCCACTCCTCATGATTCAGTTGCCTCCCACTGGGTCCCTCCCATGACACGTGGAAATTATGGGAGCTACAATTCAAGATGAAATTTGGGTGGGGACAAAATCAAACCATATCATTCTGCCCCTGGCCCCTTCTAAATATCATATCCTTATATTTCAAAACCAGTCATGCCTTCTCAACAGTAACCTAAAGTCTTTATATATAATATACATATAAAATTTAATATATATTATATAATTATATAATATATATATGAGTCAGTATGTATTTATGAGTCAGTATACATAATATATATTATTATATTATTATTATTATATTATATTATATTATATTATTATTATATAATAATAATATATAATATTATATTATTATATTATATTATATTATTATATTATATTATATTATAAAATATATATATAATATAATATATATATAATATAATATATATTTTAATATTATATATTATATATAATATAATATATATTTTAATATTTTAATATTATATATATTAAATATTATATATATTTTATATACTATATTATATTATATAATTATATAATATATAAATATATATAATATATAATATATATAATATATAATTATATAATATATAAATAATATATATAATATATAATTATATATTATATATAATTATATATTATATATTTTATATATATATTATATATTATATATAATTATATTATATATTATATATTATATATAATTATATATATATTATATATTATATATAATTATATTATATATTATATATATTATATATATAATTATATTATATATTATATATTTATATAATATAATTATATATATATATAATATATATAACCAGCCATTGAATGTGTTGCCATTAGAATCTAAAGAGACATCACAGATGCTGACCTTTCTTCTTACTGGTTGAGGCTGCAAGATACAGTAATTTTTCTTTCACTTTGAAGGAGATAGGCAAAGCACCCCTAGCCACTGGATCCATAAAACCTTTGCCGAAGTGAAAACCTCCAGAATCTTCACAGGGTTTATCTCCCACTTTCTAAAACATGTGTACTACCAAAACCTCCAGCATGCTAGTCACATCTTGCTCATCTTGTCTGATCAGCATGATGCCATCAATGTGTCAATATGATATTCTGTGGATGTCTACATGGTCCAGACCTCTTAAGACTATATTATAAAAAAAGCTAGGGGGTCAATAGAGCACTGAGGGAAAACTGTAAAGAAATAATATTACCTAATCTATCTGATTGTGCACTGTTTTTGATGCTCTTTTCTAATCAGAATAGAGAAGAATGCATCTGACTAATCGCTGGCTAAAAATCATGTATCTGCTCTAGGAATAGATACCATGTCTGACAAAGCAACTCTAATTAGGACCACTAGTTGTTTGAGCTTGAGATAGTCTAAGCATTCTCTAGAATCTTTCTGGCTTCTGCAAGGATCAGGCTGGCAAATTAAATTAAGGTGTGCTAGGCACCACTACCTTTCATCCTTATGTCACTATTTGTGGCATTGGTCTCTGCATTTCTTCTCCCCATGTGGAATACTGTTCTTGATTAAGTGTCATGGCTGGGGATAAAGTTGGGAGAATTGTCAAAGGTGCCCACTTTCCCTTCTGCATTATGATAGTTTTTACCCTACAGGCCAAGGACTCAGCATGGAAGTTATTCTAACTACTAGATATGTCAATTCTAACAGCACATTTGGTGACAGCAAAATCACCACTGGGTATGTCCATAAGTCCAGTGAGACGAGGCAGAGCTGCTTGTTAACCGGAACTCCATTTACGACCTTGGCTCTATATTCTCAATCTAGCTGTAGGGCCTTAGTGTGGGTTGCAGTTATCAATGTCCACTCTGACTTTATGCCCAACAACCCTTGACATGTCTGGGGATTTTTCTTTCTTCAGTGTATAATCACCCAAATAATGGCTTTAGGTCCCTTTGAGGGAGGACTAGGAAGTATAATCACCACAGTATATACTTGTCAAGATGTTGCAAGATCTTTTCTTCTAGGGGTCTGACTAGTTTTTTAATCAATATGTTCTGTATCTGAAAAGTAGCTTAGGACTAGGAGCTGAGCAAGAGATCATGACTTTTTATTGGGGTGATGGAGACCATGTTGAGCCTCTTACTCCTCTATTTCTTCCCCTTCTGGTTATATAGTTACTGAGCAGCACCCTTGTTGACCTCCTTCCTATTTTGTCTGTATATCATAGTAAGGTTTATATATTTCACTTAAAATGAAGAAATATTAATTCTGGGTAAAGCATGTCAAGTTAAGTATGTCTTTTGTAATCCTGAGAGTGACCACTAAAATAACTATACAAATAGATACAGTTAAGAAACATAATAGATACGTTGAAATGCAATACCAAAAAATAATTTCAAATAACCAACAAGAAAGCAGAAAATGGGAAATAGGAGAATTAAAACCAGAGAGAAAAGAAGCAAATAACAAAATGGCAGATCTGATTTTAAAAATCAATAGCTACATAAAATGAAAATAATTTAAACACACCCATTAAAAGATGTGCATTGTCAAATTGGATTTTAAAAACCAAACTCATGACTCTATTATATGCCATCTACAAGAAACTCACTTGAAATACAATTTAGAGCTGGGTATAGTGGCATGTATCTGTAGTTTCAGCTACTCAGGAGTCTGAGATGGGAAGATCACTTGAACCCAGGAGTTCAAGTCCAGCCTTGGCAACATAGCAAGACCATCATCTTAAAAAAATAATAACAAACACAGACGCACACACACACATACACACACACGCATACACATATAATATGAATGTGATGTTTGGCAGGGCCAACAGAATTGAGATCATAACTGCCACTCTGAAAGCATATAGTGTGTGTGTGTGTGTGTGTGTGTGTAGATAAAAATAAACGGATGAAAACAAAATACCACGAAAACAATAATCACAGGAAAGTAAGAATGGCTATATTATTAATATGAAACAAAGTAGACTTTAGAACACAAAAGTTACTAGAGATAAAGATTAACATTACATAATGATAAAAGGGTCAATTCACCAAGAAGACATAACAATTCCAAATGTTGCAAAATACATCAGGCAAAACATGATAGTTTTAAAGGGAGAAATTTGAAAGTCCCTAAGTTTTGTTAAAATCTTCAACATTCCTCTCTTAGTAATCAACAGAACTAGGAGACAGAAAATTAGGAAAAATATAGAAAAAACTGAACAATATCATCAACCAACTAAATGTAATAGATATTATATAATATTCCACTCAACACCAAAAAACTATACAACTTTTCAAGTGCCTATGGAATATCTGCCAAGATAGATCATATCCTGGGTCATCAAATAAGCCTTAACAAATTTGACATACAAAATATTTTTTCTGAGTATAATTGAACTTCTGATTTAAAATTAAATCAATAACCAAAAGATAAGAAAATCTTCAGACACTTGGAAATTAAGCACATTTCTGATTAATCCGTGGGTCAAATAAATTGGAAAATAGTCTGAACTGAGTGAAAATGAAGCTGGGAAGCAGAGGAATGAAAATTTTGATTATCTAGGTAAAGCTGTCAATTAAGCAGACTAGAGCTCTGGGTAGAGAGAAGAGCTTTTCTCTGATTAAGCTGTTTACTTTCTCATGGCTTAAAGACAGCACTTTAAATTTTGGTATTAGCCACAATAATCTTGGACGTAAAAGAGAAATTGCTCCCTATAATATGATATAGCCAGGCAACCCAGTATAAATGCCACTGCTCTGCAGGAACTGGCCGAATATCAATGAGAAGACAAACAGTCCAAGCATGATGACGTGAATGTGATGTTTGGCAGGGCCAACAGAATTGAGATCATAACCTCCACTCTGAAAGCAGTCTTCACAGAAACTTTTCACAGAAGTCAAATAGTTAAAGCAAATTCTAGATACATGGTAGAGACCAGGAGAAAATATGAATAACTTTCTTCTAAACAAGGAGCTCAGTGGATAAACCATACCTCTAGATTCCTTGCTTCCATTTTCCCAGAAGTAAGTTCACTGTATTTTTTCTGTTTTGTTTTGTATTTTGCTTTTGTGTGTGAGTTTGTTTCAGAGGTTTTGTCTTTTCTTATTCCTATCACAAAATTATAAATAAACCTTTATAAACTGAATGACAATCATCTATGCAGAAATTATTTTGAAAAATATTGGGCTACTTTAAAGATTTTATATCTGGTAATTAATATTAGATAAATAAAAACATTGAGTTAGAATGTTTTTTAAAAAATTATGCAAACATTATGTTGTTTTAAACATAACTGAGTGTAGAAATAAGTTTAAATTGGCTAAAAATTTTTTGTGAAGAGCTTAGAGTTTTAAGAATTGGGTTGGAAGACTGAGTTGTTTTTGAAGTTAAAGTTATCTACTTTGATTGCACAATAATGTAGGGCATTTTGGATAAGTGTTCTTCTGACTTTAAGACTGTTTACCAAGAGCACTTACAGAAATATTTTTATTGTTCCTATCGCTCACTCTTAGTCTATAAGAATTTTAGAAATGTAAGATTCTTTCTAGGATCTTTTACTCGTTGGATACAGTGAGTTGAATCAGAATGTGAAATATGTAGCTTCTCTTTACCACAATGTTATTTAAAATGTACATTGGTAAAAAGAATTTTCATACTCCTATAGTGAATACATGTTGTTCTGAATTTTACAACAGTATAAGAGGATAAAAATGAGTCATTACAATTTGAGACTATTTGCCATATGTATAATAAAGTATTCATGTTTTTGCTAGCCTTTACATAAACTGCAGAACATACAAAAATTGGAAAGAAACAAAGTTGGCAATAATACTTTACGATGGAAGATATAAGGGATTGGAGTCAGACTGGAGTTTGCATGCTACCTAAGACTGTAGCTGATTCCATAGTGAGGAGATCATCCTCTTGGCCAATGTCTATTAACTTCGCCAGTGAATTATGCATTTCTGTAGAGAAGCTGTGATATATTTGGGCTTGTGCATGAGGTGGAGTGTAGGGAAACATCACACTCTGGGGACTGTTGTGGGGTGGGGGGAGGGGGGAGGGATAGCATTGGGAGATATACCTAATGCTAGATGACGAGTTAGTGGGTGCAGCGCACCAGCGTGGCACATGTATACATATGTAACTAACCTGCACAATGTGTACATGTACCCTAAAACTTAAAGTATAATAATAAAACGAAAAAAAAAAAAGAAATTCCTCCTGTACAGAGCTTGCATTGGCGGCAGCTGCTTTAAGAACCCAGAAACTTTTGCCCTCTCTGTAGGCTAGCTCACTGTGAAAATATCCCATGGATTTTACCTAAAATTGCTTACAGAGAGCGGCATTATACTTCTATAGATAATTGCATCAGTAACCAGAGAGGAGAAGTACAGCAGCAGACTACCCTCTACCCCCGGTAGGAGTAGTAGCACATCACAGTTTCAGCAAGTTCAATCTTGAGCAAAGAACATGATGTGATTGTTTGTGGGTATGTCTGTATACGGAGTGTGATTTTAGGTAAGGAGAGCCTTGCACAGCTCTCTTAAAAGTATCCATGCTGAATTTTCTGCACCTTAACCTAGGCTGCTTTACTCTTGGAACTGTCTTTCCCTCTTCTCCTTCCATGGGCTCTCTGACCTCTTTACTTGGTCTGCTTCCACTTAGGCCTGCCCCTCAGCCTCATTGCATGGCCATGTGTAGGTTCTTCTTCTAGCAGTGTTCTCTGAGACTGCTGTGGCTAATGTGCCTTCTGTTGCAACTGACCCCTGGACACCTTACTTGAGATTTGGCTCTAGAAAGTAGCACCACCCTGTGTGTGATCCTGTCCCATAAATGAGATGATGGCTTCAGTTGGGGCTCATTCACTTCTCATCACTATGGAGGAGTTCATAGAAACTGCATGGCCAACATGGCATGCATACGGAGGGAGATCACTTGCTTCAGAAGTCAGGACTTATGAGCCAAATGATGGTCTTCAGGGTGGAGCTGCTGGCTTTGTGCTCAAAAGTCTGGACCCATTCTTCCAAGTCATGTCCTTCACATGCTTCCCAGAAAACTGATGATGGTACCTTCCAGAATCTCTTTACTTTCTATAATTCAGCTTAGGTAGCCTGTTTTCTCCCACGGCAAAGACCATTTGAAAGCACTCTAGTCCTACAGTTTTCAGGAGTGGCTTAGCAAATCCTATTTGTGTAGCAGTGGTTGATTGAAGTTCTGGAAAGATGTGGTGCTCTTATTATGCACTGAATTATCTTCTTCTGGGAAGTATTTTATGTGCCTGCTGCAATAAACTGTATGTATAAATTCCCCTACAAAATCACCCCCCATATACAGACATACCCAGAAACAATCACATCATGTTCTTTGCTCAAGATTGAACATGCTGAAACTGTGATGTGCTACTACTCCTACCAGGGGGTAGAGGGTAGTCTACTGCTGTACTTCTCCTCTCTGGTTACTGATGCAGTTATCTATAGAAGTATAATGCCACTCTCTGTAAGCAATTTTAGGTAAAATCCATGGGATATTTTCACAGTGAGCTAGCCTACAGAGAGGACAAAAGTTTCTGGGTTCTTAAAGCAGCTGCCGCCAATGCAAGCCCTGTACAGGAGGAATTTCTACACTCCACCTCCTGCACAAGCCCAAGTATATCAAAGCCTCGCTACAGAAATGCATAATTCATTGGCAAAGTTAATAGACATTTGATGGTAAAAAATGAATCTACTTTGTATGTTCTTTAAATTGAAAATTGAATCACATTTCTACACAACAACAGGCGGATCACAAGGTCAGGAGATCGAGACCATCCGAGCTAACAAGGTGAAACCCCATCTCTACTAAAAACACAAAAAATTAGCTGGGCGTGGTGGCGGGCGCTTGTAATCCCAGCTACTCGGGAGGCTGAGGCAGGAGAATGGCATGAACCCAGGAGGCGGAGCTTGCAGTGAGCCGAGATCGCACCACTGCACTCCAGCCTGGGCGACAGAGCGAGACTCCATCTCAAAAATAAATAAATAAATAAATAACCAGGATAATTAGATTGGAATTCAGCAGAGTGTTAAAATAACTAGAAGGCATTTGTTTGTAAAAAGAGAACAGAGATAATAAATACTTTTGAGTTTTCATAAAATAAGTTATAGTTTCTTAGAAAAGTATTTAAGAGTAACCATAAAAGACATATAACCACCTTTTACATCTTTGGGACAGGAGAAGAAGTGAAGAAGGAGAGGAAAACATTTTCAATTCAATAGAAGGTAAAGATGTAGACAAAACTAGAAGCAAAAGAAAAGTAGGTTTAACGTGAGAATAAGATAGAATGAGAGATCATCCAAAACAAAAATTCATACATGGTTTAATGCATCTCTTAAAATATAGTTATCTATCAGTTTAGATTTCTAAACATAATGCATTGATAGTTTTTTATATAGTAACCAAATATTTAAAAATGCAGCAAAAGGTTAACAACAAAGAGATAGAAACAGATACATTAGGCAAATATTAACCTACAGAAACCTAGTGTCTCCATATTATCAGAAATAGAAGCAACCTATTACTGAAACATAAAAAAGCAATGTTTTATGCACCTAGCTACCTATGCTTTAAATGCACTTGCTGAAAACTAACAGAGATATAATAAGAAATTGCCAAACCTATTATTAGAGTGGAAATTTTTAATTGAACTCTATTATGAAATGATTGATCTAGGAAATATAACATTAGAAAGGATGCTGAAGATTTGAAGAACACAATGAAAAAGATTGAATAGATACGTACAAAACACTTCACCTAAATGGTGAGTTACAGGTATGTTAGGTGCACGTGGAACACTTTCAAATATTAAAATATGCTGCACCAGCGAGGAAGTCTTAAGGAATTTTAAAGAAGCAGTATCTTACTGAGAAGTCATTTCTTTGGTCACAATATAATTGTTAGAAATCAAAAATAAAAAGTCACTAAAAACAAAGAAACTTCAATATAGTGAATGCTAAAGAGGTAATCCTAAGTAACATATGTATGGTCTATTGCCACATTTATGTTACATAGCAAAAAGGAAATAAACCCAAATAACAACACACAGCAATAAGCATTTGTAGTGTGGTGTCTGCAGTGGTTCCTAAGAAACTGCTGATCTTGGATAGGCTTGATGGTATCTCTGGGAGGGGACTGGCTAGCACTCTCAACTGGATGACTGAGAGGACTCAGCTTGGTTTCATTCCGCAGTAGGCTAGGCCAGGTCTGCTCTCACAGCAATGGAAGAAACAAAAAAACAAGCAGATACACTCAAGGTCTCGGGAGGCTGAGGTTCAGAACTGGTGCGACATCACACCTCCCTTCTTCTCTTGGCCCAAGTACTAGCCTGCCTTGATGACAAAAACTCCAAAATTACCAGACAAAGGGTGGACACAGACAGATGGATAATTGGGTCACTGATGCAATCAATCACTCAACTCCAGAATCCATTTTCTCAGCCACTCTGCTAACATTAGTTCGTTATTTCAGCCAAGAAGCCAAAGGAAAAAGTAGCAAAACCAACCCCCAAAAAGAGTAGAAATAAAACCGTGAAAAGTAAGAGGATAAATTAATAAATTAGAAAACATAGTAAGCAATGAAAATGATGAAACAGTAAACTGCTGTTTTGTTTAAAAGGCCATTAATACATTCAAAATTCTAGCAAGACTAATGAATAAAAATAAAAAGAAGCTTAAAAATAGAAGAAAACATACATCCATTTATAATAGGTTTTCAAAAGTATTTTTAGTTATAGATATTTTAAATTCATGCTAATAAATCTAAATATAGTTTGAAGCCAGGTAGCAGGATGCCTCCAGCTTTGTTCTTTTTGCTTAGGATTGTTTTGGCTACGCGGGCTCTTTTTTGGTTCCACATAAAATTTAAAGTAGTTTTTTTCTATTCTGCAAAGAAAGTCAATGGTAGCTTGATGGGAATAGCATTGAATTTATAAATTACTTCGGGCAGTATGGCCATTTTCATGATATTGATTCTTCCTATCTATGAGCACGAAATGTTTTTCCATTTGTTTGTGTCCTTTCTTATTTCCTTGAGCAGTGGACGGCTTTTTGCTTGTCTATTGTTGGTGTATAGGAATGCTTGTGATTTTTGCACATTGATTTTGTATCCTGAGACTTTGCTGAAGTTGCCTACCAGCTTAAGGAGTTTTGGGGCTGAGACTATGGGGTTTTCTAAATATAGAATCGTGTCATCAGCAAACAGTGACAATTTGACTTCCTCTCTTCCTATTTGAATACCTTTATTTCTTTCTCTTGCCTGATTGCACTGGCCAGAACTTCCAATACTATGTTGAATAGGAGTGGTGAGAGAGGGCATCCTTGCCTTGTGCCAGTTTTCAAAGGGAATGCTTCCAGCTTTTACCCATTCAGTATGATATTGGCTATGGCTCTGCAGTAAAGAGCTCTTGTTATTTTGAGATATGTTCCATCAATGCCTAGTTTATTGAGAGGTTTTAACATGAAGGGATGTTGAATTTTATGAAAGGCCATTTCTGCATCTATTGAGATAATCATGTGGTTTTTGTCATTGGTTCTGTTTATGTGATGGATTACATTTATTGATTTGCATATATTGAAATAGCCTTGCATCCCAGGGATGAAGCGACTTGATCATGGTGGATAAGCTTTTTGATGTGCTGCTGGATTTGGTTTGCCAGTATTTTATTGACGATTTTCACATCGATATTAATCAGGGATATTGGCCTGAAATTTTCCTTTTTTGTTGTGTCTCTGCCAGGTTTTGGTAGCAGGATGATGTTGGCCTCATAATGTGAGTTAGAGAGGAGTCCCTCTTTTTCGACTGTTTGGAATTGTTTCAGAAGGAATGCTACCAGCTCCTCTTGTACCACTGGTAGAATTCAGCTGTGAATCTGTCTGGTCCTGGGCTTTTTTTGATTGGTAAGCTATTAATTACTCCTTCAATCTCAGAACTTGTTATCAGCCTATTCAGGGATTTGACTTTTTCCTGGTTTAGTCTTAGGAGGGTGTATGTGTCATGGAATTTATCCATTTCTTCTAGATTTTCTAGTTTACCATGCTAACTGACTTCAAACAACACTAGGAGGCTACAGTAACCAAAACACCATGATACTGGTGCCAAAACAGATATATAGACCAATGAAACAGGACAGAGACCTCAGAAATTACACCACGCATCTACAACCATCTGATCTTTGACAAACCTGACAAAAACAAACAATGTGGAAAGGATTCCCTGTTAAATAAATGGTGCTGGGAAAGCTGGTTAGTCATATGCAGAAAACTGAAACTGGACCCCTTCCTTACACCTTATACAAAAATTAACTCAAAATGTTTTAAAGACTTAAATGTAAAACCCAAAACCATAAAAACCCTAGAAAAAAACCTAGGCAGTACCATTCAGGACATAGGCATGGGCAAAGACTTCATGACTAAAATACCAAAAGCAATTGCAACAAAAGCCAAAATTGACAAATGGGATCTCATTAAACTAAAGAGCGTCTGCACAGCAAAATAAACTATCATCAGCGTGAACAGGCAACCTACAGAATGGGAGAAAATTTTTGCAATCTACCCATCTGACAAAGGGCTAATGTCTAGAATCTACAAGGAAATTAAACAAATTTACAAGAAAAAAACAATCCCATCAAAAAGTGGACACAAAATATGAACAGACACTTCTCAAAAGAAGACATTTATGTGGCCAACAAACAAATAAAAAAAACTCATCACCACTGATCACTAGAGAAATGCAAATCAAAACCACAATGAGATATCATTTCATGCCAGTCAGAATGGCGATTATTAAAAAGTCAGGAAACAATAGATGCTGACAAGACTGTAAAGAAATAGGAACACTTTTATACTGTTAGTGGGAGTGTAAATTAGTTCAACCATTGTGGAAGACAGTGTGGCGATTCCTCAGGATCTAGGATCAGAAATACAATTTGACCCAGCAATCCCATTACTGGGTATATACCCAAAGGAATATAAATCATTCTACTATAAAGACACTTGCACACATAATGTTTATTGCAGCACTATTTACAATAGCAAAGACTTGGAACCAACCCAAATGCCCAACAATGTTAGACTGGCTAAAGAAAGTGTGGCACATATACACCATGGAATACTATGCAGCCATGAAAAAGAATGAGATCATGTCCTTTGCAGGGACATGGATGAAGCTGGAAGCCATCATTCTCAGCAAACTAACACAGGAAAAGAAAACCAAACACCACATGTTCTTACTCGTAAGTGGGAGTTGAACAATGAGAACACATGGACACATCAAGGGGAACAATGCACACCAGGGCCTGTTGAGGGGTAGAGGGCAAGGGGATGAAGGGCATTAGAACAAATACCTAATGCGTGCGGGGCTTAAAACCTAGATGACGGGTTGATAGGTGCAGCAAACCACCATGGTTACATGTATACCTATGTAACAAAACTGCACATTCTGCACATGATCCCAGAACATGAAGTAAAATAAAAATAAATAAATAAATAAATAATCTAAATATAATGAATACTTTTCAGTGAAAATTATCAAAATTGGATCAAGTTGAAACAGACAACTTGAATAGACCAGTCATATTTAATTAATTGAACCTTCGTTAACAGCAATGATAATTTAGCCCATCCTTATCCCAGAAACAACAGGCTCATAAGGTTTTATCAGCAAGTTTACTAGCCTTCTAAGATCAGATCTTCCATGTGTTACAAACTGCCCTGGAGAACAGAAAAAGAGAAAATGCTAGCCATAATAAAGCTAACATAACACTGAGGCTAAAAGCAGACAAGCACATTGTATAAACAATTAAATTATAGTACACTGTAACTTATGATTATACACAATCCCAAGTAAAATATTGGCAAATTCAATTAAGTAGTATTTAAAAATACCTTATGACAAATTATAGTATTTGCTGGAAAACATGAGAGAAAACATCAATCTAATTTACATGTTAGTAGATTATATTAGATATAATCATAATCACAAAAGAACATAAGAAAATATCTAATGTCCATGTAGAAGAAAACTCAATACCATAAACATTTTAATTATATCTGAATGAATCAATAAATTTAATGCAATAGTAATCAGACCTTTATTTATCATGAAACTTGTCAAAATGTTTCCAATATGCATTTAGAAGAGTATAAGTAGCTAATATAAATTGAACTGTAGAATAAATCTAACAAAAATTATTTAATGGCTCAACTACAATACAATTTATTTTCTTTCTTTCTCTCTCTCTGTCTCTCTCTCTCTCTCTCTCTCTTTCTTTTGATGGAGTCTCACTCTGTCGCCCAGGCTGGAGTGCAGTGGCGCCATCTTGGCTCACTGCAACCTCTGCCTCCTGGGTTCAAGCGATTCCCCTGCCTCAGCCTCGTGAGTGGCGGGGATTGAAGGTGCATGCCACCATGCCCAGCTAATTTTTTTGTATTTTTAGTAGGGACAGGGTTTCACCATGTTGCGCAGGCTGGTATCAAACTCCTGAGCTCAGGTTATCCGCCTGCCTCAGCCTCCCAAACTGCTGGGATTACAGGCATGAGCCACCATGCCCGGCCAATACAATATAATTTCTTGCTCATTAAACTAATATATCAGTTTATCTTCCCATGATAATCTAGGAAACTGAATTCCATCCGTCTTTTGGCCGGCTGTCTTCTAAGGCATCTACCTATCAGAAGGGAAAAGAGGATATAGAGAGACTCACCTACTTCCTAATATCATGACTTAGAAATGGCACATTATTTCTTCTGCATATATTCCATTGACTAGGAAGCAATCTTATGTCATTGTGAATGGAGTATAGCTCTGTGCTCAGAAAGAAAAAGTAATAAATTTTGGTAAAAAGCGGCTGGGTGCGGGGGCTCACGCCTGTAATCCCAGCACTTTGGGAGGCCAACGTGGGCAGATCATGAGGTCAGGAGTTCGAGACCAGCCTGGCCAATATGGTGAGACCCCATCTCTACTAAAAATACAAAAATTAGCTGGGCATGGTGGTGGGCGCCTGTAGTCCCTGCTACTTGGGAGACTGAGGCAGGAGAATCGCTTGAACCTGGGAGGCGGAGATTGCAGTGAGCCAAGATGGCGCCCCTGCACTCTAGCCTGGGCCACACAGTGAGACTCCATCTCAAAAATTAATTAATTAATTAATTAATTAATTAATTTTGGTAAAAAGCTAGCAGTTTCTGTCACAAATAGTAAGCTCCCAGAAGAGCCAAGACAATTTTGAAAAAAATAAATAAGATGAAGAACCTGTTCTAGAATTTATGAAGGCTTATTATGAAGTTCTAGTAACTGCTAGTAACTAGACTATGTGTGAGAAGTATACAAAGAGATTAATTGAAAACTAGAATACTTCAAAGTGCATACACGCATAATATATATACATATGCGCACACACACACATATACACACAAACATAAATACAAACACACACATATCTGCTATTCGAGAGAGAAGGAATAACAAATGAATACGGAAAGAAGGAACCAGAAAGTAGTTCATGTTGGAACAATATGCTTGAGAAATGCAGAAAGAAAAAAACTCATCACCAACGACTTAGGTCACTCTCTTAGGTCTTACACAAAAATAAACTCAGATGTATGAAAGAGTACATCTTTCATGTACTCTTGACAAATACTTGAGATTATTAGAAGAATATGAAGGAATGTGCATTTATGACTTCTGAAAAGGAAAGTGCTTTCTAAACAGGACACACACACCAAATACACAATCACCAAGGAAAAGGTTGTTTGACCACAACAAAACTTAAACTTGAATACAATAGAAGAAAATTAGAGATTGACAAAATTAATAACTAGCAGCAAACAAATATCTAAAATACATAATGAACTCCTGCAAATAGGTATGACAAAAAAAAATCAACTGAGTACAAAAAGCTATTTCCAGAAGTCTAAGTGGCCATTCAACATATAAGACGACGCTCAAATTCTATGAAAAACAAGACAACAGACAACACAAATTCTAATACTGAGATACCCTACACACTCCATGTTTGTAAATAATTTGGCTCTGAGAAGCTGCAAATTGTTTTCTCTGTGTTCCTGTTCCACCCTCAACTTTCAAAGGCCTTGTGCACCCAAGCAGTAAAGGAGACCCCCTCCATTATCTTACCCTTCCCCCATCCATAGACTGCCATAGCTTTTTGCTCAGTGCAGTGCTTGAGATATGGGCAGGAGGAACTCTAGATTTCCTGCTCCAGCCTCAGTATTAGGTACTATAGATCTGGCCCTTGAGATGGGGCTTCCTCAACATGTTTTTCTCCCTACATACCAGCCAATTCCTACCTTGTATCTGTTGAGAGGTTCTGGACCTGTGAGAGCGTCCTCTCCCCCGCCGTGGTGAGAGCCTGTCTCTGCTTTGTATCCGTGCTGGGTCCTTGTTGCAAATCTCAGCTGCAAATTATCTTTGCTTGGGAATGGGAACTGGAAGCTTCCTGCCCCACCTGCAGTGGTAGCAGGCTGTTGCTTTTTACCAGGTGCAAGGCTTTTATCATAGAGCGACGTGGTTTCCTTCCTCTCCCTCCACAAAGTGGTTTTTTGCTTCTACCCATAACTTAGCAGCAGAAATTCACTTGGAACAGGAGTAAAGGTTGGGGGAAGGGGTGGTTGGTGGTTTACAGATTGCCCCTCATTAGCTGCTGATTTTTGCTTTAACTCCTCCCCAAGATGCAATAACAGCTTGTTTTGTGGGGCTGACAGGGATTCCTGTCCTTCTACCAAGGTTTCTAGATTTGCCCTTTGGAAAAAATGTTCTGAGACATGGGTAGATTTTGTGGCCTGTGAGCTACTGGGGGTCTTTCAGGTCTCTTGTTTGCATATGTATGTATATGTGTATATATATATATATATATATATATATATATATATATATATATAACTTTAAGTTCTGGGCTACATGTGCTGAACATGCAGGTTTGTTACATAGATATACATGTGTCATGGTGGTTTGCTGCACCCATCAACCCATCATCTAGGTTTTAAGCCCCACATGCATTAGGTATTTGTCCTAATGCTCTCCCTTCCCTTTCCTCTCACCCCCCAACAGGACCCAGTGTGTGATGTTCCCCTCCCTGTGACCATGTGTTCTCCTTGTTCAACTCCCACTTATGAGCGAGAACATGAGGTGTTTGGTTTTCTGTTCCTGTGTTATTTTGCTGAGGATGATGGCTTCCAGCTTCATCCATGTCCCTGCAAAGGACACGATCTCATTCTTTTTCATGGCTGCATAGTATTCCATGGTGTATATATGCCACATTTTTCTTTATGCAGTCTATCATTGATGGGGATTTGGGTTGGTTCCAACTCTTTGCTATTGTAATTTTTTTTAATGAATACTAGGTGAAGCCTGTAAAAAAAGAGTTGACAAATGTGCTGGGGTCCTGGTAATTGTAAACAAACACGCAAGCTGTGGGTCCACACTCAGCCATTAAAAATTTAACATTTCAGCTGCTTTCTCCCTACCTGCTTTTATAGTAGCCATGTCTTTCTCTAATACTCTACCAATTCTGAAACTGTTCATGGGTCCCTTTTATCCCTGGAGAAGGCTTTTACCCTTTGGACTTTAGTTTACCTAGTTACCTGTGAACTCAGCTCTTTGATAGACCCAAGAAAAGTTATAATTTTATAGATTATCTGACTTTGTTTCATTATTAGGAAAGTAGCAACATTCTCTTGAGAATTTATGCATTGTAAGTGAAAGAAAAATCCAGGAAATCTTATAGAGAATGGCAATATGGTTATAGATGAGAATGTGGAAAAGATGAATTTTGAAATACTTCCTATCATAGTACAAATTGCTACAATGATTTTAGAAAAAAGTATATCTATACACATACACGGAGATCATATATATGGAAATACGTGTGTGTATTTTTCCTGATGACTCTGCATAATAAACATAAATAAATTCTTAAAGATGGAAACAATAAATAAATGTCACTTTAAAATGACATTCGATTAAAGTGACATTTTAAAAAGACAATGTAAAGCTTTTTCCAGGCCAAACTATGGTGATTATCCTATATTAAGATTTTAATTCTTCAAAGAAAGATAGTAAAAAGTTCAATTTCTTTCACTAGGGAAAGAAAATTTTCTTTCATCCCACAACAAATTAGTAAAGAGAGCAATTATTTCTGCCAGAAATAACAAAGATCCCATTAAATTGTCTTAGATAGATCAATTCCTAAAACAGATTATTTATTCAGGTTCTTAAGCTAAATATTATAGAGTCATTAAATTGGGTGTTCAAGGATGTATTTATTGAAATTAAGAGTGGTGTATGTGTAGGTGTTGGTCTGGGTGCAATCTGGGGACAGAAACTACATAGTAATTAAATGAAGTAAGTTTAATATACAGAACTATTGAATAGTGACAGGAGAATAACTATAAAGATGGACTGAGAGCTCAAGAGGGCTTCCTAGGGCTGAGGGAGAATATCCAAAGAAGAATAAACATGAGGAGATAAGGTATTGACAATTGGATAAGAAGTGGTTGAAACCCACCGAATGGCAAAGAAGTCTGAATGGCAAGCTGTGGACACCAGTACTAGAGTGCACTCCTTTTGCAACAGGACGGCCAAAGGAAACAGAGCTTCGAGGAAAGGGATGTAGCTATCTGGGGCTCCCAGATATACTACTGCTACCCAAGTCAAGAGCTAGAGGAAACACACAGTGAATCCTGCACACTCTAGGTACTTTGCATTGGAGAAAACAATTTACTCAGTGGGGAAAAATACATTCTATAGCAACTCAGCAAATGAACTATTCTGATACCTGGATGGCATCAGATGCCTGCAGTGTCTCTACTGTCCTCTCTGCTGAAACAGCATAACATCATGCCAGCTGGCAAAGGAAAGTACTTAAAGGATTCAGATCCATTTTTATAGAGCAGGCTATGCAGAGTGAATTTAGGGCTGAGAGACAGTAAATTGATAACAGGCACAGGGCATCACAAATAAATGATGGAACAGAGTCTGCAAGTGGGGACGGAAGGAGAGCATGGGAGTAATACAATGCTGACTTGGGAACACTCAGACTCTTTGCACTCATTTGGAACATTGGAGTATTAGGCTACGTTTTTTTGTTGTTTGCAGGATATTTCTTTTTCTTAAGAACTTCATATTAATTTTATCTTCTTTCTTTTTCATTAAACAAGACAAGATGAGGAAGAGAAAGATCAGTGTGTGTCAACAAACTTGGGCCTTATTATGCAAGAACTTTCTTAAAAAATGGAGAATGAAAAGAGAGTCCTTAATGGTATGACTCAATATCCGTGTTATTCTCTATTTATGATAGGAAAATACGTGTTGCCTGGGAGTTATCTATGCCATGTGTATCTCCCCCGACACATACACCAAAAACACTAAAATACAGCAACGTTTATACAACAGAAAACGCTATTCTTCAGGCCATGAATCTGTTTGAAGATATTTCAGTTGACATGGGCTCATAAATTGAGGTCTGAAACCACTGAATCTGGTAGCAATTGAGAAATCAATACATGTTTTAAAAGCCAATGGTCACATTTGTTACTAGTGTCCCCAGTCATGGAGACTAGGGTTAAGATACTGACATTCCAAAGATATGGTAAACAAACCAACCCACCACAATGGGTAACTGGCATTTTCTCTTTGAGATCTTTTTCTCTTCTTGAAACAATTAGTTTTCTTCAAAAAAGTAGAAAAGTTGGAATTGTATTAAATTCCAAGAAGAAAATTAGCATTAGCTCTTATAATCTTACCATATAAAAAATCTTGATTAAACTTTGGTATATTTTAAAAATCAGATCGATATAGCTAGGTAGCATTTTTAACTAAATTGGAATTCCACTATACATACATCGTAAAGTTTTTTCCCCTAAGATCATGCATTTTGGAAATAAAGTGATTTCTTATTGGGAGTTCGCATGTGATCAGGATTTATAACTAACGAAGATACTATCCCTCCGATACTATCTTATTATTAGAATTATCAGAATGCCCTTACAAACTGGTATACTGTTGAGTTTGAAATTCCAGAATCTTGGCATGTAACCAGTATATCATTACTAAGCTAGCAATGCCTTGGAACTATCTCTTAAAACACATTGACTTTCAGCAGACTTTAAACAGTTTATAATATGGGATATATTGAAGTTAGAAAAGTAAAAAAGAGGCAAACTTTATGACAAAATGATTGTGGATGACTAATTTTAAATAAGACTTTTCTTTATCTTTTTTCCTGTATTATATAGGAATGGCTGAATTCATTGCTCCTACTACTTTGTTTGTATATATATCCTCATAGTCATCAAGTAAATGATTTTTCTTCACTGCTTACCATGGACCTGGGACGGGTAGATACATTTAATGAATCCAGATTTTCTGTTGTATACACACCTGTCACCAACACGACCCAACAGATAATGAATAAAGTAGCCTCTACTCCCTTCCTGGCAGGTAAGTTTTCTAGTTACTTAAGAAGAATGTCTGGTGTGAATATTTGGTTTATTTGACCGCAGATTTATACATTTAATTTGTATTTCAGTTTGATAATTAAACTTTCTGGAGTACATGAATTGGGAATGTGTCTTCCCTTTATTGGAAGTAACATCTCACCACTCAGTATCTAAGTTAAAACTACATGTATTGCTTGCCAAACAAGGGTTTACCATTTGGGGTGCGCAGTCTCTCAAAAAGAAACTTGTTGATCTGGTATAGGATTTGAGGAAGCATGAAATTATACAGACTGGTGCACATTTAGAGCAGTAGTGTTTAGGGATATGTTGACATGTGACTCTGAAAGCATTGTCACCAAAATGAAATCGTTGCTGTAGTGTTTTCTTGTTCTTATAGACAAAGAAAAACCAGTCTCTTCTTTTCCTAAATTTGATTATAGGAATTTTAACCCTACCTTTTAACACCAAAAACATGTGCTTGCTCTATTTGAATATTCCTTTGAGTATTCTGTATTTCAGATTTTCATCCTTCAGCATTAAGGTACTTAACGAGTTAAGGTTAAGTAGTTGTTAAGTTGAGTTAAGGTTAAGGTTAACTTAACGAGTACCTTAAAGCTGAAGGGTAAAGATCATTTTTATAACAATCATTTTTACAACAATGCTCTGAAATTAGAGGAGATGCAGCCTGGTACAAAGGCAAGAGAACTAGACTTAGAGTCAGAGGACATTTGATTAAAAGTAGTTCTAAGAGTCCACTCAGAACTGCTGTGATACATATGTGTCTGGAGTGCATTTTGAAAGCCATCAGCTTCTCTTAGCCTTATTATTAGCAAACGCAAAATAAGATTAACAATTTATGCAACAATAAACTCTTACAGTTTGAAGAAATAAGACCTTGTGTTCGATAGATCAGTAGGGTGACTAGTTAACAATGATCTATAAAAAATAATACTATATTTTTCATAAATATTTCAGTTGAGCGTAAGAGGCCCAACTCAATCTGTCTTAAGAAAAAGAATCTTTTGTCTAGCTTAAAAGAGCAGAGTATTAATGCAAGGCAGATTAGAGGTTTATCACCAACAGAAGTAAATCTCTGCCCCTCCGATATACAGCTTTGTGTGCTGGCTTCATTCACAGGTTGGTTCTCCCAGAGGCAGAGTTGGTCTGCAGACTCTCCAGATTTAAGCCCTCCCAGATTAGCAACTCCAGTGAAAAGATTACAGATCATTTCTGATAGTTCACAATAACTTCAAGGATTTTATCCACAGGAACAAATAGGTGACTTTGGGTTAGTGTTGATCTTGGTTCACCGAGAACTAATCTCTTTGGATAGGGGATATGCGGTATTTTCATTGCCCACTTGTTGAGTTCCCAGGTCATGAACCACATTGAAACCACAGGATATGTGAGCAGAGGAAGGGAAGTATCCCAAATGGATCATAGTGTGTTTTTATTAGAAGAACTGGATGTCAACAGATAAAAACAACATATGTCCTTTACAACTATAAATGCATACTTCAAAGGGAAATCTGTGGTGATCGCCCTGTCATTCATTCATAGGCTGGGTCGAGGGCTAAGGTAAAGATTAAAATTAGTGCTATAGTGAGTATAAGTTTTAAGTTGTTCATTTGAGATGCTCATGGTAATGGTAACAGGAGGATGGTTTCTAGATCAGCTAGTAAAAATGTAATGGCTACTAAGAATTTTGTAGAGAATGGCAAATGGTGTGTCCTGTTGGATCGGACCCACATTCATATGGGCATGATTTTTCTGTATAAATATTTAGTTGTTATAACCAGAATAACTACAAAAATAATGCTAGCAATGTATTTGTCAATAAAGTTAATAAGAAGTTAGTTATTCTGTTTTGGATTATACCAAACCTAACTGATTGAAAGCCAACTACGCTAATACTAAAAGAAGATTCTCATTAACAAATGGAGGTAGAAGTACAGGAACAGTCAGACTATATCTACAGGATGTCAGTATCAGGCAGCAGCTTCAAATCAGAATTGATGGTTGGATGTAAAGTGAGATTTAATTTGATGAGTTGAATAATTTTTTATGAGTTGAGTTATAATTTTAAAGTGACTTCGAGTTTGTACAACTGTGTGAGTATTCTAAAAACCATGAAATTATTAAAAGGGTGAATATTATGGTATGTGAATTACATCCCAATTTTTAAAGGAATATAAAAATTTGACTTAGAAGGTACTGACTATTCATTTTAAGCAACATAACTCCCACCAAGGGCGTTCTTCTAAGGAGAACCTATGCATCTTGCTCCACCAAGTCACTGGAAGCCTGCATAACCTCTTTTTTTCCTTTCTTTGTCAACTTCCGTCCAAATTCCACTCAAGCTTAAGTAATTATTAATCTTATGCCTGGATTCTGACCCCTTCACTGGATTCTGTATCCAGTAATCCAGTTCATGCACTTGCTATTTGGACTGTCTATGGCCAGAGTTTCCAGAGTATGTTGGACTTTTCCTTCCTGTGAGTTATCCAAAATATGCTTTCCAACGGCGCCTCACCAAGCATCACACCATTAGTTCCACATACATTTTAATGCCTATATTGTGCATCTTACCTACCAACACTGAATCCACTTCTGATTCAAGATTATAATGTGATATGAACTATCCACCTAAGGTCCAGTCTCCTAAACGGCCCTGAGACGTGTCTGCTCTTGCTGTTTCACAGACGTCCATAACAAGACCCAATGTCAGGAACTTGTGCTTCTCGACATTACCTCATTCAAAACCACATGCAATTATAATAATAAATATTCATTAAATGCTACAATATGGTATATTTCTACAAAAACTGTATTCTGTAAAAAGAGAATATTTTGTAATGATATTATTCTATATTCTGTACTCTATTAATATTCTATAATAATAATAATAATGGTTATTAAGTTTATTTTACAAATATAGAAATTGAGTAACAAAGGGTAAGGAATTTGCTCATGATGACATAAGTTTGAGAATAAAATTAATTCTATCAAAATACATACTTCTTGCTCCCTCTACATTCATCTTCAACACTTCCACCCCAATCCAGAACTTTTCTTGTATTTTGTCTCATTTTTCAGTATTAATAAAACATCCATGTGGCCTCAGACAAAATACCTACAGAAAAGAGGGATTCTTTCAGTGATGTCAACATAGTTTCTTAACATGTTTTTAAATTTATCACCTTTTTTAGCTTATTAACCATACCATCAGGATTATTAAAGAAAAATAAATTTGTATAGGTATGTCCACCTGATACAAAACAGTGCCTAATTGCAATTTAAATATCTATCTCTCTATATTTACCATTTCAAATTTATAGGAATGATAACTATTTTTGAACAGTTTAATTGGTATAGTAGGACATTGTATGTGATTGAAATTGGCTCAGTAATCACAACATATGAAAATAAAATAACTAATTTTCATGTATTTCTTCTGATTGCATCTAGATGGAACTTTAGAAATTTCTCTCCCACCCAACATTTTAGTCTAACTTTCTAAAAGTTAATACTTGATAATGTTTTATTTCCATAGAAAACTCTAGTAAAAGCAATTCAACATGACATCCTGAAGTTGTGTCTCCTAGTAATTTACTAACAATAATATTCCTTCTTGTAACAAAAGGTAAAGAGGTCTTGGGACTGCCAGATGAGGAAAGTATTAAAGAATTCACAGCAAATTATCCTGAAGAAATAGTAAGAGTCACCTTTACTAATACATACTCATATCATTTGAAGTTCTTGCTAGGACATGGAATGCCAGCAAAGAAGGAGCACAAGGACCATACAGGTAATTTTATGGCTCTAAAATTTCACTACTCTCTATTTCAATTATGTCATAAGTCATGTGTGGGAATAGAGGTTAGTATGCCAAATTAGAGCATCACTATCTGTCATAATGATGTATGCATGTCCCTCAACATTTAAAAAAAAATTCATTTTTGGGCATAAGAACATATCGATAAGTGGTCATTATATATAGTTATCTACATACATTTACATAGATATATATTTATATATGTAAATGAAATATGTATTCATATGTACACACATAGATATTATATGGAATATATGATTGTTAAAAGAAAACAAGGTAGTTTATGGATAAGATAGAACAAATTTCCCTTCAAATAAGCTCAGTTGTTCAAATTATACTACAAGGCTATAGTAACTAAAACAGCATGATACTGGTATAAAAATAGACATGTACATAAATAGAACAGAATAGAGAAACCAGAATGAAGCCACATACCTACAATCAAATGATATTTGACAAAGTCAACAAAAATATACACTGGGGGAAAAATCCTTTTCAATAAATTGTACTGGGAAAATTGAATAGCCTTATGCAGAACAATAGAACTGGACCCATATCTCTCACCATATACAAAAATTAACTCAAGATGGATTAAAACCTAAACATAGGACCTGAACCTATAAAAATTCAGGAAGAAAAAACTAGGAATAACCTCTTCTGGACATTGGGCTAGGAAAAGAATTTGTGACTTAGTTCTCAAAAGCAAATACAACAAAAACAAAAATAGAAAAACGAGACTTAATTAAACTAAAAAAAACTTCTGCAAAGCAAAAGAAACAATCAACAGAGTAAACAGATGACCTACAGATGGAAAAAAAAATCGCAAACTATGCATTCAACAAAGAACTCAAAGAACTCAACAAGCAAAACAAATAACCCATTTGCCTATTTTTCAGTGCAGTTATTTGAGTTGTTTGAATTCTTCTTTTTTCACAAGAAGACATACAAGCAACCAACCAACGTAAAAAAATGCTCCACATCACTAATTATCAGAAAATGCAAATTAAAACCAGGAGATAACCATTTTACCCTAGTCGGAATGGCTATTAGTAAAAAGTCTAAAAAAATCAGATGTTTGCAAAGATGCGAAGAAAAGATAACACTTATACATCGTTGGTAGAAGTGTAAATTAGTACAACCTTTATGGACAACAGTATGGAGATTTCTCAAAGAAATAAAAACAAACTACCATTTGATCCAGCAACTTCACTACTGGGTATCTACCCAGAGGAAAAAAAATCATTATATTTAAAAAGATACCTGCACTCATATGTTTATTGCAGCACTATTCACAAAAGCAAAGATAGAGAATTAACATAAGTGTCCATCAACAGAGGGCTGGATAAAGAAGATAATATATATATATATATATATATATATATAGGAATACTACTCAGCCATAAATTAAAATATTGATAAATTTGACTAGACATAAATTTTAAGAACGTCCCTTTATCAAAAGAACCATAGAGATAGTGAAAAATAAAGGCAAAAATTGTGATAAAGTGGCCGGGCGTGGTGGCTCATGTCTGTAATCCTAGCACTTTGGGAGGCCAAGCCGGGCAGATTGCCTGAGCTCAAGAGTTCGAGATCAGCCTGGGCAACATGGTGAAACCCCGTCTCTACTGAAACACACACACACACACACACACACACACACAATTAGCCAGGCGTGGCAGCGTCTGCCTGTAGTCCCAGCTACTCAGGAGGCTGAGGCAGGAGAATTGCTTGAACTTGGGAGGCAGAGCTTGCAGTGAGCCGAGATTGCACCACTGTACTCCACTGAATGCCAGCCTGAGTGACAGAGTGAGACTCCATCTCTAAAAAAAAAAAAAAAAAGGTGATAAAGTGTTTATAACAGAAAAATCTAACAAAAAATTAATTCCAGAATATGTAAATATTTACTTTGAATAAATAGGAAAAAGATCAAAAATAGAAAAATAACAAAAGGACATTAATAGGAATTTCATAAAACAACACAGATCAAGAATAAGCACTAGGAGAGGTGTTTTTCCTCATTAGCAACCAGGAAACTGCGTGTTGAAACCACATGTTATATCACTTCATGTTCATAAGATTTGCAAAAATTAGCAAATAGAACAATTCGAAGTATTGACAAGGATATGTAGCAAAGAGAACACCTATCCAACTTTACAAAATTTGTAAATTCCACAAAAATTGAGAAATTTTATCTTAAAGTTGAAGTGCACATAACTTATAACTCATCATCATAGAAATCTTATTAGTGAAACTCTCATACCTGTGTTAAAGATTTGCAGCCTATTCTCCTCTTCTTCCAGAGGACATAGAATAATTACTTTTTGTAGTCATAATAAGATAGCTAGACCCAAGGCATTTAAATGCAGGTATAAGTTCTTCATCTTTTCTCACCTGCTTCTGCAAACTAAGGAGTTGTGTATAATACAGACAGTACAACTCAACCCTCCTACCAAACACCTCTGCTGAATTTGTAGCCTGAGTGAGAAATACACGTTCACTGTGATAAATCACTGAGATTTAGGGGTTATTACTGTAACATATAAGAGACTATCCTGACCAATACAGATATATTTACAAGAAGACATATATACAGATTTTTATAGCAGCAGATTTTTTTTTCTGGTAATCACAAAAAGAAAAAAGGAACTAACCAAATTGTTATCAACAGGAGAATGGATAAATATATTGATTTACATTCCTGCAATGGGATTCCATAACCATAAAAAAGAAGAAAAAATTAAATGAGGCAATTTATTTACATTTCAAAATCATAATATGGAACAAATGAACATAGTTCATAGTAATTATTAGTAGAGTTTAATTTTTTAAATTACATATATAGTTTAGAGATATGTAGTGGCATATATATATACATAACGTTCAGGAAAGCAGTTAGCTAGTTAGAAACTTGGTGCTGGGGAAGTGCACAAGAGATTCTAATTGTATTTGAAATGATGCATTTATTTTGCAAATTTGTAGTGAGTCCATGCGTGTTTATTGTATTTTTATATCATTCGTATATCTGAAATATTTCAAGATGATTTCATGTAATATGCATTTAATTCCTATACTCAATTTTAATTCATCTTATTCAAGGATATCTCTTTAATATAGTTTACTATTAAATGGACTGACAGCTCTTTTTGAATAAATCCTTTTCTTCAAAAGATATTCTGATTGGCATGATTTAAGCGTAGTAAGTAATCTTACTTGAACTTCCATTGGCCTATTATGCCCGTGTTATATCCAGTGTTAGAAAAAGCTTTAGTTTAGTGTCTCTCAATCCATGTTAGGCTCTGTGAACTTTTGAAAAACATTAAAATATGTAGTTTTCACAATACAAATCAGAAAAGAGAAGAGACCAACAAAATTCTTCATCAGCAGAAAAGCACAGGACACGGTATGAGAAAGCTTAGAGTGTTATAATTTAATGTAAAACATTTCCTAAGAGTGCTCCACCTCATGATTCTGCCTGATTCATTTTGAGAATCATTGTTATAATTTATGTTTTCATAAGCTTTGAGTCAAAATAAGAACATTTGGAATTTGGGGTCATTGTAAAGTCCACTGTTTGCTATAATCAGTATTAAAATCATATTTCAATAATATAGATAGTGATGTAATGATAGTTATGATTTGTTTTTTCACAAAGCTCATTGTTATGAAACAAATGAAGATGTTTACTGTGAAGTTTCAGTATTTTGGAAGGAAGGTTTTGTGGCTCTTCAAGCTGCCATTAATGCTGCTATTATAGAAGTGAGTACAAAATGTTCAAAGCAAACTAATGTTTAATGCAAGTTAATGATATTAGAGGCATCAAAAGTTTCATGGAAGAAAATATAAGTGGATAGCCTTGTTATTTCCTTTGCTCACTCTGAAGTTTACTGAAGTTACTATATACCACGGAATGTAGATACAAACAGAAGAAAAAGTATCTCATTCATGGACTCAACTTTGTTGGGAAGCCAGGAATATAAGAAAATTATTAGAACAGAAGTAGACTATTACAGAACTATAAATCAGGTCCTCATAAGTAAATGAGTAAAAACCTCTCAGCCTTAGAATGCCATGGAAGAATGCCTAATTGAAATAACATTCCAGCTTGAAGCTTGAGATGAGGGGTGGCTTACTGAATATATAAATTGAGAAAAGCCATGCCAAGCAAATCATAAAGTAATGTTAGGCAGGGAGGTAATGAAACACACAGTAAATTCTGAGAGTGGTGAGTAACTCAAAATGCCTGGACTCCGAGGTCCCAGCAGGTCAATGACAGGACATAGAAGTGGAAATTTAGGTTAGTATCAAATCCCAATAGGCCAATCATACATCCACAAGAAAATAGATGGTTAAAAGAAAACTGCATGCTGTTCATTAACGTACAAATTTTGCTTATTAATGCCTTTCTTCAGATCACAACAAATCACTCAGTGATGGAGGAGCTGATGTCAGTTACTGGAAAAAATATGAAGATGCATTCCTTCATTGGTCAATCAGGAGTTATAACTGATTTGTACCTTTTTTCCTGCATTATTTCATTTTCCTCATTCATTTACTATGCATCTGTTAATGTCACAAGAGAGAGGAAAAGGATGAAGGCCTTGATGACAATGATGGGTCTTCGGGATTCAGCGTTCTGGTGAGTCAAACGCAGCACAAATAAATAAACGGAGGAACTCAGGAAAACTGGGAATCTTCAATGCATCTTTTTTTTTTTGAAATGGAGTCTCGCTCTGTCGCCCAGGCTGGAGTGCAGTGGCGTGATCTCAGCTCACTGCAAGCTCCGCCTCACAGGTTCACGCCATTCTCCTGCCTCGGCCTCCCAAGTAGCTGGGACTGCAGGTGCCGACCACCATGCCTGGATAATTTTTTGTATTTTCTGTAGAGACGGGGTTTCACCGTGTTAGCCAGGATGGTCTCGATCTCCTGACCTCGTGATCCACCCACCTCGGCCTCCCAAAGTGCTGGGATTACAGGCGCGAGCCACCACGCCCGGCCTCTTCAATGCGTCTTTATTAAAACCTGTTTCTCCACAACCAAGGGGTACAAATGAGAGATACCTACACAGAATAATTTCAGATCATGAACAAATTTCCACTTAGTTAATTTCAGTGGGGAGAAATGCTCTGCAGTGATGGACAAAAAAAAAAAAAAAAAAAAAAAAAGGAAATGTATTTTGCTTCTGGAAATTTTACAGGACTAAGTAGAGAGGCTGGTCATTTAATATATTTAACAATCTCTGACCCAATTTTATCTAAATCTATTTCAGATTCACTGTACTGTGAAGGAACTGCTATAGGAAATAAGATAAAAGGGGACAGAATGTGCTAACATTTAAGAAAATACAACTTCCATTACGAATAATATTGACTTTTTTAGAAAGGAGGAAGATAATCTTTTAAAGAAACATAAAAAGTAAATAAAAAAACTTTGAGAAAACAAATAAGGAGCCAAATGCAGAATTTTACAGAAAAAATAATGTCACAACTATCACACATCAATGTCCATTTAAAAAAATGTGTTGCCATGAATAAGAAAATGCCACTTTTAAACATTCTTTAGTAACAAGGAAAGAAATATAAAAATCCTTTATCCCCATGAATGGTATAAACTGTCATTGGTGTAATGTTTGCCAGGCTGAGGCTGCGTCTTACTGTGCTTCTCTGAGTTAAGGAAGAAGATTGGGGTTAGGTTATTGGTTGATTGTGAAGAAGGTGTAATGAGGAATGGCCATGGCAAGAGAGGCGTAAACAAGATAGACAATGGTGTCTGTGCCAGACAGAGGTGAGATGTGAGCTAGGAGGGGATTGAAAGGGAAAAAGAAGCCGAGGACCAGGAACTCCTTTGAGACTGAGGAACATGCTTGGTGTGCCTGAGGGAATGAGCTGGCAAAACAGGATGGTGAATAGGGGCTGGGTAGTGTGGGTTTAAAATGTCAGAGGTTGGGTGATTCCAAGAATGGACAAGGTTCTGTGTGAGAACTTATGAATAATTGACTGAAAGAGCATGGAGGTGATGTTTACAGGGAGTAGGACATTAAATAACAGAGAGGCTAGGGAGGCAGATGGGCTGTGCATAGGGCAACAAATTAGGAGTCTGGAAGAGTTCCTTCCAGTATTAACATCTTATACATCAATATTGACCTCTTGTTTGAATTAATACTGGAGGGAAACGTAGCAGAGCAGTGAAATCTAAAGACTATAGAGCCAAAACCCCTGAACTTGAAACATAGTTACATAACACCCTTGTTCATTAGGTTCTCTATCAATAAGATGAGGAAAATAATGGTATTCTGAATAGGGCTATTGGGAGAATAAAATGCTTTAATGTTTGCTAAGTTTTCTTCAATGCATATTAATTGCTATGTGTGTGAGTTATTATTGTGTTGGCTTTGCAGCTGTTTTGTTTTTGTTTTTTAAAATTATTATTTCATTATAGTTTTCAAAGAATATTGTAAAACAAAAGAAAAGAAATTGATGAGGAAAGGAAAGTGAATTATTCTGACATAAAAGAATGGGATTCAAAAAAAATCTTTCTTAACAAAAACAATGAACGGAACTAAAGGCAAGTATGTAGACTTTTCAGTGAACACATCCAGAGAAAGATGACAACAGCTTTTGGGGAAGGAGTGACATGACCAAATTACACATAAGGAAGAATTTCTTGTCTCTGAGGAAGCTTGTGATGGTCCTGAACTTGGAGAGACTCCAGAGAGGAGAGAAGGGTCTGAGGTTCACTGAGGGGCTACCCTGTATTAAGACAGTGCCCTACATAGCCATCATCTTATTTAGTCTTCAGTGGTAGTATTATTCCTGGTGTCCAGAGAAATAAAGGAATAATAGAGGGGTTACAGAGGTTGCCCAAGGTTACAGAGCAAGAATGCAGCAAATAAAATGTTCGATCCAAAATCTATTACACTGGAAACCTAATTCCCCCCCCACCGCCCCCACCCCCCAGAACAATGTGCATGTGTGTGTGAATGTATTTCTGAAATCAATTTTAGGAAAAACAATTCCTAATTCCCAAAGAATATTCCTAATTCTAAAGAATTCTGCCCAAAACTTTTACCTTGTATTTATATATCTTAGAACACCCAATAAATAAATGTTGAAAGAGAGAATGAATGGATGAATAAGTGAATGAAGAGTTATCTTAGAATCCATTTCAGGTCTTCCTTTTCAAGTGAACATAAAATACTAAAATAACATTTTGTTTCCACATTAGGCTCTCCTGGGGTTTGCTCTATGCTGGTTTCATCTTCATTATGGCCCTTTTCTTGGCACTTGTTATAAGATCTACCCAGTTTATCATTTTGTCTGGCTTCATGGTAGTCTTCAGCCTCTTTCTCCTGTATGGATTATCTTTGGTGAGTTAGTGAATTAAATATCTTTCCATCCACCTATAGCCTAAAAATTGTTTGTTTCCGACTGATTACTCTGTATGCCTCCTTTTTTTTCTACCTACTCTGTTTGCATGTGAAAAATCTATAAACAGGTACAATTTGATTTGAGGTGTTTTGTAATGTCAATTTTTAGTGCAATTTGCAGAGCATAGTTTTGTATGTTATATACAAAATAACTATAATATACAACTGTTACATACACAAAATAACTATAATTTTGTATATCTATTTTATTATGCTAGTAATAATGTTAGAGAAACATAAACCAACTAGATCTTCTCTCATTTTAGGTAGCTTTGGCTTTCTTAATGAGCATCTTGGTAAAGAAATCTTTCCTCACCGGCCTGGTCGTGTTCCTCCTCACTGTCTTTTGGGGGTGTCTGGGGTTCACATCACTGTACAGACACCTTCCTGCATCCTTGGAGTGGATTTTAAGCTTGCTTAGTCCCTTTGCCTTCATGCTTGGAATGGCCCAGGTGAGATGCCATCTGAATGTCTATTAATGGCATTTCTGAAACATCTGTCCCTCTGGAATCCATAGGCTGTAATCATTTACAAACTCAGCATTGTAAGGCTTAAAATTCTAGCGAAGGCTGTTGTAAAGTTGCAAAGACAGAACTTTTAAAAGCTTGGAAATTATTTAGCCCAGCAAAATAAGACATTTGGAAAGTGAAAAAAAGAGGATCAACATACAATTATTTAAAGGCAATATAAAGTATTTTCTTAGGCTATTAATTAAATATGGACATGTGGCAAATCTAATTATAAATAACTATTCCAGTTCATGTTTTTACCTAGTAATTGAAGAGAATACGTGATTAAAAACCATTAAATCAAATTAAATTAAAAATTTAAAACATCTGGAAAATTCATTAGTAAATTATGTTTCTATTCATAAAATGTCTTTTCTGTTTATGTGATTCTTATTGAATTCCCCTTGCCTTCCCTCTAACTAAATGGAAATGTCAACCATTAAATATCCATTATTTAGTGTTTAACAAAAGGATTGTTAATTATAAAGAGCTCATTAACTTGAACATCATAGACAAGCCCACTTCTGGTTCTACTTAAACACAGCAGTGCCTTTTGCCCAGAAATTCTCCCTCATGCCGCCAATTTACATGGATCACCACACCTTTTGACTGTGTCCTATTTGGTAAAAGTTCATCTAAGTTCGATCTCAAATGTCATCTCTTCCCATACTTCCCTACTTCCTCCTAATGTTTCAATTTCATTTGGAACATATTTTTATCATAGCAATTACTAAATTGCATTCTAGTTGCTCATATGTCCATGCCTTCCAAGGCATAGATTTGAGAACCATAAAGGAGGCAGTCTCCCTATATAACTCTATTCTCAGTATGAGGCAATAAGTAGTCATTTCATTACTATGCTAAACCTAACTGTTTAAAATGTATCTTATACCTAATTTCCCTTAATTAATTACTTTTTAATTTTCAGCTTTTACACTTGGACTATGATTTGAATTCTAATGCATTTCCTCATCCATCGGACGGCTCAAATCTCATTGTAGCAACAAATTTCATGTTGGCATTTGACACTTGCCTCTATCTGGCATTGGCGATTTACTTTGAAAAAATTTTGCCAAGTGAGTAATGATATGATTAAAATCATATATCATTTAAATAGTTTTATTTCTGAAAACAAATCTCCTAATGGATATACTATTTATATTTTAAGAACTATTTTGTGTATCAACAGCAAAGAGAGGAACAAAGTCGTCGCTACTGGCCAAATTATTTCTTCATTTCTTTCTCACTACTTGACTTGTCAGAACTAAAGCCTGAATTTTGTTTATAGAATCACTAACCTTCATTTGAACTTCACTTTAAGTATATGGTATTTTTTTTTTTAGACCTCTTAGAAAGCTAGTTCCTAAACAGTTCTGGTAATCATGGTCATTTATAGCTGCTTATGTCTAACTGTTTAGCTCGATGGTTCTGAGCTCCGGCTGGACAACAGAATCATGTGAAGAATTTTAAAGCAAGTCTAAGCCCAGCTCAACCTGAAGAGATTCTGATTTAATTAATCAATGCATCTACGTTTAAAAAAAAATCTCCCCAGAAGTTCACAATAGGAAAGCCAATATATCATAAATTTTCATTTGTATCACCTTGCAACATACAAGAATATGAGTTACACAAAAGCAGGGATTCGTTTTGTTCACAGATGAGATTTAAGCACCCACTGCAGTGTCTCATGCACCCTAGATACTTGTGTGCTTCACTTTCTTTTTTTTTCTTTTTGAGACAGACTCTCACTCTGTCATCCAGGCTGGAGTGCAGTGGCACAATCTCGGCTCACTGAAACCTCTGCCTCTCCAGCTCAGGCAATTCTCCTGCCTCAGCCTCCCAAGTAGCTGGGATTACAGATGTGTGCCACACGCCTGGCTAATTTTTCTGTTTTTAGTAGAGACGATGGGGTTTCACCATGTTGATCAGGCTGGTCTCGAACTCCTGATCTCAGGTAATCCACCCGCCTCGGCCTCCCAAAGTGCTGGGATTACAGGCATGAGCCACAGTGCCCGGCTTGCTTCACTTTTTTCTCCCTCCTTTTATAACCAAAGGCAGGCCCTGATTCTCCCTTCTGCGTTTCCTATTCAAGACAGAATGCCAAGGGCCCTTTATTCAAAAAGCAATGAATACACACTTTTGGAAAGGGAAGAAGGGGAAAGGGTGAGCAGGAAGACAGCCACATCTTGAGGCAGGAAATTCATCCTGTTTTGTTTTTGTTTTTGTTGTTTTTAAGACAATCCTTTAAGAATTACTGTCTCTTCCTTTTAAAAGAACCCAGAACAAAAGATGTCAGGATCCACTATTGTTGGCTAGCACACTTATTACACAATTAGAATTGTTTGAATATGGTATGTTTTCATTTGATTTTTTCCAGTAGAGGTAAAAATTACATAACTGATTAGAAAAATTACTTTTTTGCCTACTAATATTTTAAGGCTTTCTACCCCTTGTTAACATTGCTTATTTAAGACACATACTTAAATATATTTTCTCTGTTCTACTTTTGTTTTTATGGCAAAATCTCACTGACTTTTTTTTGTGTTTCTATCATACTGTATATCCCTGGCATGCTGTGTATAGTTCAGGAAATTTACTCGTGTGACCCTTGTGCTTACTAATTCTTCCTTTTCTCCTTCTACTTATTAAAACATCCTGGTTGTATTATTTTTCATTTTTGTTTATTTTTCCAATGTGTTTATTCTCAGTGGATCCACAAACAGATGTCACTGTGTTTACAATTGCTTATTAGTATCCTCTTAGGTAATTGTTTTCTCTAACCAATTTAAATTTTATTTTGGTGTGCACTATGTGATATATTCCATCTTTTTTTAGTCCTTGTTTCAAACATACTCTAATGATATTACTTTAAATATTCTCTTTGTACATGTTTTATCAAGTTATATCACATATTGTTACATTTTCATGGCTGCATTTTATTTTTTACTTAACATTATGTCACAAAAATATCTTTCACATCCATGCTTTTTCCAGTTTCAAAAGCATAGTATTTTATTATTATAACTAGAAAATTTATTTCATCCAAATAAGTGAGTTGCTCCATTTTCTTCCTAATTGTCTCTGCTCACTAAGCTTGAACTTAAGACCAGAGGTGACTTTGTTCAAAACACTTCTAAAGATAATAAATAAGAATGACAGAAAAATTAACTGGATAAAATGACAGCATTATTTCATGGTAAATCTGGTGGCAGAAGGTATCCAGTTATGGTGGCATGCTTTTATTTGCTAGATTTTTCTTTTGTCAAAAGGGAGAGATAGGTGCTAACAACATACCATGTGGCAGGTATACAGAGAGTGTAAGACATTTATTGCATGAATGAAGGACTGAACATGTGAGAAATACACAGAAGTTTGAAAACCCATAACCTTACAGTGGGGATAGTTGCAGAATATTAGTGAAGTACGATTCTTCCGTTTCATAATGTTTCCTAATATGAAGAAAAACAGAAGTGATCATAGAATACTAATACAGCTGGATTCATTTCCAGCAAGATGTTTATGAGTAATATGTCTTTAAAGCAGATCATAAATTTGCTTAAGAGGAAAATTATGGTTTGGGAATGAAATAAAGCAGAAATACAAAATAGCTTTAAAAGTATTCATTTTGTGTTAAGTTTCAATTAATTATTTTATCGTGTTCTTTTTCTTTCTTACAAATGTGTCATTTACTTTTCTTAAATCCTATTCTATCTTCTTTTGGATTTTTTTTAAAGGTATCCAATAGTCATTCTCAATTTCTTCTTTCTTTGCCTATGTAATGACACCTGGTCTTCTAGACAGAATTCAGCATGCCTGCATATCTTACATTAGCAATTCAATCTGTCTTTCTTGAGGTTAAGAAATTCTAAAACATTTATTTAAATTCCTTTTGAAATATTTAAAAATCACAGTTTCATTGCTTCCGATAGGATTTATTATAGTAGAGACATCTGGTATTTTTTTTTCCTTATGAAGCTACATGTGTCAAAACGTGCATTACCTGCTGTTGACCACATGTTCAGGTTTAGCAACAAAGGGCTGTGTTGCCGTGCTACATTACTGTGACTCTCTCTCCCTAACGTGGTCATTGACCCAATATTTAATTGTCTTCTGGCCATGTAGATGAATATGGACATCGACGTCCACCTTTGTTTTTCCTGAAGTCCTCATTTTGGTCTCAAACACAAAAGACTGATCACGTGGCCCTTGAAGATGAAATGGATGCCGATCCTTCATTTCATGACTCTTTTGAACAAGCGCCTCCAGAATTCCAAGGGAAAGAAGCCATCAGGTAATAAGGCTGCAGGTGGAGAACAGGGCAAAAAGGCAGGAAGCTAAGAGATAGCACCTGAGGCAAGCAGTGTTCCCTTTTGTGCTCTGTAGACAGTTCCCACCTGTCCTCACCTATGCTGCTTCTGTCACTTTCCATCTCAAGTTCAAAGAAAGATCCCTTTACCAACCCCTTACAGCCTAACATTGTCGACATTTACACTAAATAAAAGCTTAAATTTTACCAGCTAAGATAATTCAACAAAACCCTTGCCCGGATTCAGTCTTTTACTTGTTTCTCTTCACCCTCATTGCTTTCTGGGTCTCAGTTATTCACTCTTTGTCCCCACCTCATCTATCTCCCTTTTTTTTTTTTTTGACGGAATTTTGCTCTTGTTGCCCAGGCTGGAGTGCAATGGTGCAATCTCAGCTCACTGCAACTTCCACCTCCCAGGTTCAAGCGATTCTCCTGCCTCAGCCTCCCAAGTAGTTGGAATTACAGGCACCCACCACCAAGCCCAGCTAATTTTGTGTTTTGAATAGAGACGGGGTTTCTCCATGTTGGTCAGGCTGGTCTTTAACACCCAACTTCACTTGGCCTCACAAAGTGCTGGGATTACAGGCATGAGCCACCGCGCCTGGCCTTTTCTCTCCACTTTTTAAACTTCTTATTTTTCTTCTATTTTTTGTCCTTTAAAAGAAGATGAAAGAGTAAGAAAGAAGGACAAAGAAAAGGCCTAGAGGTAGATACAAAGGGAATTCAGGGAGAGGTGCCCTGCAGAGTTAAGCCTATCTCATTCTGTGTGACAACAAAATGTCCATTTTGTTTGGTGCTGGTGACTTTTATTTCTAGATATGAGAAAATAGGAAGAAAGTCCTTAAGATCCTTGGCTGTCCAAGTCATACTCATCATCAATGACCAGCCTGTGTCAGTCCCCTGTGAAATGTCTCAGATTATCCCAGGTTGCTGAACTTCTAAGGAGCCCATTTCATTTTGTTCTTTTAACCTGTTCCATATTTATCTTCCATATTTTTATTTGTCCCACAACTAAGCTAGGTTTACTCTAGCAGAGCAGCTCAGAGCAAAACAGTGGCTTTATTTGAGGTGCTTGTGTGTTTCTTTTTGTTCCTCTTTGATCGCTTTAACACCTTGCCCAATTATAAGTGCTGTGGAATGAGAGTAAAATGGAATTTAAAATAAGAATATTTAACGAGACAGTTTTGGCCAGGAGCGGTGGCTCACACCTGCAATCCCAACACTTTAGGAGGCTGAGGCTAGTGGATCACTTCAGCTCAGGAGTTTGAGACCAGCTTGAGCAACATGGCAAAACCCCATCTCTACTAAAAATACAAAAATTAGCCAAGCATGGTGCTACACGTCAGTAATCCCAGCTACTTGGGTGACTGAGGCACAAGAATCGCTTGGACTCAGGAGGCAGAGGTTGCAGTGAGCCAATATTGTGCCACTGCACTCCAGCCTGGGTGATAGAGCAAGACTCTCTCTCAAAAAAAAAAATAATAATAATAATAATATCTAATTAAATAGCTTTATATGAATAGAGACTGAATATTTTATGAATAGTAGATGATAAAATAAGAAACATAAATTTGATTTGGCCTATGGATTATATACTTACCTGGTAGAATAAAACCATGCAGATTTATCGCCTAGAATTCCAGACCTATAATAGTACTAAGCATAAGTTAATTTCATTCCTTTCTGTAGCCATCATCACCATGTAACCAATATCATCTTATATGCACTGTACATGCGAGATGAAATATTTTACTTGCCTTCCAACACAGCCCTAAAGCCCTGCAAAAATTTTCAGGTTGTGAAACCTGAAGCTGATCTGGAATAAGTACGTTGGTTAAGGTAACAGAGCACTAAGTGGTTGTAATGGGATAAGCTTAGATGGGCAGTACTGTGAACCCCATGCTCTTGCTATTATGATACATTGATTGTCTTTCTTACTGTAGTTCTTAATGAACCTTGGGAGACCTTGAATCAGGATGGCCAAAGATCTTTCCAACCTGTGCCAGTGGTTCACAGGAGCCTTTGGGTATCGAATGTCCATGTCATCTCTTGGCCTTGCTTTCTTAGCTTTGCAGTTCAGAGGTGATCCCGTTCTCAATACTAATATTAGCTTATACCCCAATCTATGGAACCTTTGCTTATGGGTCCCAATCACAGTGAAATTCTTATAACTCCTCACATGTAACTCCTCACATGACGCCAATGTGCAGACAGGGTTGGCAAGCGGTATTCTAGCTGATTCTGTCACACAGCTATGACTGTGTGAGAGTGAAGACCCAGATCTTCATGTATCCTGAAGTTAAGATTTATCCAATCCTGTCTACCAAACTGGAAATTACAAACTGAAGAAAATTGTCACTTTGAAGTATCTTTTCTTTTTTTCAGAATCAGAAATGTTACAAAAGAATATAAAGGAAAGCCTGATAAAATAGAAGCCTTGAAAGGTAAAAAAAAAAAAAAAAAAAAAAAAAAAAAAAAAAAAAAAAAAAAAGAGAGAGAGAAAGAAAATATTTGTTATATTAGTATTGATTTCCTGATTTTAATTCAGTTTTGCTTTCGGTGATTAATTAGTGGTGGTATTTTAGACTTGAAAAGAGTTATTTGAGCTGCATAAGACTTTTTTTTCTAATGTATTGCTTCTACTTTATAAAAGTTAGAAAAAAATGAATATGTTTTAGAAATAGATGTATTTAGAATCTATACTGGGTAATATTGAGGTAGTCTAAGGATATTCTGGGTTTTTTTTTCTACAAACTCAAGTTTTTTGTCTGTAATCCAAAAGCTATTGGTAGATACTGTATGTTTTTCTTTTGTGTGAAAATGTCACTTACCTCAAAGGAGTTTTAGCCATGTAATAACTTACTATTAATCTATTCTTCCATTTAATAAATACTAACATTGACCTACCATATGCAGGCAATGTCAATCAACCTATTATATAGATATGTTTCATTCATTTAAACTAAGTAATTTCAAAATTTCAAAAGAAGCTATTTTGAGAAATAAGTTTATAGAGGGAACTTTTAATGTTTTATTTTGAATTTAACAACCCACTATATTTATATATAGAAAAGACAACCATTCAAGAGAATTAATAACAATTCATTGGCTCCATAATGGAATATTTTTTGTGGTTTTAATTGTTTTCCATCCCTTTATCTTATCTTTCTTTCCTTTCTTTTTTTCTTCCTAGATCTGGTATTTGACATTTACGAAGGCCAAATCACTGCAATACTTGGTCACAGTGGAGCTGGAAAGTCAACACTGCTAAACATTCTTAGTGGGTTGTCTGTTCCCACCAAAGGTACAAACTAGTTTGTTTTCTTTTTTTTTAAATTATACTTTAAGTTTTAGGGTACATGTGCACAACGTGCAGGTTAGTTACATATGTATACATGTGCCATGTTGGTGTGCTGCACCCATTAACGCGTCATTTAACATTAGATATATCTCCTAATGCTATCCCTCCCCACTCCCCCCACCCCACAACAGGCCCTGGTGTGTGATGTTCCCCTTCCTGTGTCCAAGTGTTCTCATTGTTCAATTCCCACCTATGAGTGAGAACATGCGGCGTTTGGTTTTTTGTCCTTGCAATAGTTTGCTGAAAATGATGGTTTCCAGCTTCATCCATGTCCCTACAAAGGACACGAACTCATCATTTTTTATGGCTGCATAGTATTCCATGGTGTATATGTGCCACATTTTCTTAATCCAGTCTATCATTGAGGGACATTTGGCTTGGTTCCAAGTCTTTGCTACTGTGAATAGTGCCACAATAAACATACGTGTGCATGTGTCTTTATAGCAGCATGATTTATAGTCCTTTGGGTATATACCCAGTAATGGGATGGCTGGGTCAAATGGTATTTCTAGTTCTAGATCCCTGAGGAATCGCCACACTGACTTCCACAATGGTTGAACTCGTTTACAGTCCCACCAACAGTGTAAAAGTGTTCCTATTTCTCCACATCCTCTCCAGCACCTGTGGTAAAAACTAGTTTATTTTCAAAGTCAATTGACAAATAAATCAGCTGTTAATATGAAATTCTTTCAAGTGTTAATCACAAACACACATACCTAGGGAAAAATGGAATTTTATTTAATAGTAATATTCTGTGGAAGTATGTAATATTTAATTGGTATACTGCATATGGAATCTGAGTATTTCATAATAACTATTTTCATGCTCATTAGTTGCTATTTGGCATTCCAGCTTCTATCTGTCAACTCTTTTTTTTTTTGTTAAGCAATAAGGTATTTATTTTTTTATTTTTTAAAATTTTTATTTTAGGTTTGGGGGTGCATGTAAAGCTTTGTTACATAGATAAACACGTCATGGGGGTTTGTTGCCTATATTATTACATGACCCAGGTATTAAGCCCAGTACCCAATAGTTATCTTTTCTGCTCCTCTCCCTCCTGCAACCCTCCCCCATCAAGTAGACCCCAGTGTCTGTGATTTGCCTTTTTGTGTTCATAAGTTCTTATCATTTAGCTCCCTCTTATAAGTGAGAACATATGGTATTTCATTTTCTGTTCCTGCATTAGTTTACTAAAGATGATAGCCTCTAGCTCCACCCATGTTCCCACAAAAGATATGATCTCATTCTTTTTTATAGCTGCATAATATTCCACGGAGTGTATGTACCCCCATTTTCTTTATCTAGTCTGTCTTTGATAGGCATTTAAATTGATTTCATGTCTTATTGCTCCTCATGATTCTGTGGGTTGACTGGGCAGTTTTTCTATTCTGGACCAAAGTGACAGGGGCTGGATGATTTAACATGGCCTCACTCACATATCTGGGGCTTCAGTTAGGACAGCTGCGTGTCTTTTCCCACATGGAAATATATCTTTCAGAAGGCCTGCTGGGATTCTTCACCCAATGATCCCCATGATCCCAGCAGCAAGCAAAGACAAATCACTAGGTGGAAGCTCTTCATCAGACTCTGCTTGTATCACATTTGCTAGGATACTACAGGGTATATAGGCAAAGCTAAATGTGAGGGGCAGACAAAGGGACTACACCTTGATGGGAAAAGCTGCAGATGAGAACATATTTTGAATATACTATGCAACTAAAGTAGAAGTTTCTAATGCCTGAATTGTATAAACTGTCAAGATAAAGTCATACGTACATTTAATTAACAGCGATTTTATTAAGAAATATCTTAAGCCTTATCTTGATATTAACTTTTCCTTTGTTACAGGTTCAGTCACCATCTATAACAATAAGCTTTCAGAAATGGCTGACCTAGAAAATCTCAGCAAGCTGACCGGAGTTTGTCCACAATCCAATGTGCAATTTGACTTCCTCACTGTAAGAGAAAACCTCAGACTCTTTGCTAAAATAAAAGGGATTCTGCCACAAGAAGTGGATAAAGAGGTACAAAAATATGTTAAAGTTAATGTGTTGGTCAAAATGAGATTATTAAAACCATTTGCACTGAGTTTTAATTTTAAATTATTTGTGCGCAAATCATTGTACAATTGTTGGACAAGAAAATCCAATTTAAACAATAGCTAACATTGCATATAATTTACAATGCGCCAAGCATATCCTTAACTTTAAATCTAATAAATCATTTATTCCTCATAGCAACCCTATGAGATAGGTGCTATTATTATCCCTATTTTATACATGTGGTTCAAGAGAGCAAGGAACTTGACCAACTTAGTAGTCAATGTGTGTGACATTCAAACCCGGAAAGTTTGGCTCCAGTGTTTGTTCTTTTTTTTTTTTTTTTTTTTTTTTTGAGACAGAGTTTTGCTCTTGTCGCCCAGGCCGGAGTGCAATGGCCCTATGCCGGCTCACTGTAACATTTGCCTCCCAGGTTCAAGCGATTCTCCTGCCTCAGCCTCCTGAGTAGCTGGGATTACAGGCACGCCGCCAGGCTTGGCTAATTTTTGTATTTTTAGTAGAAACAAGGTTTCGCCATGTTGGCCAGGCTGGTCTCGAACTCCTCACCTCGTTATCTGCCCGCCTCAGCCTCCCAAAGTGCTGAGACTATGGGTATGAGCCACCGCGCCTGACCCAGTGTTTGTGCTTTTAACCATTTACACTTTACAGCCTTGTATTTATAAATTTTTAAAAAAGGAATAAATTTTGGTGTATGACATAAATACTGTCTTTTGGTTAGATACAAAGGGTTCTGCTGGAATTGGAAATGAAAAATATTCAGGATGTTCTTGCTCAAAACTTAAGTGGTGGACAGAAAAGAAAGCTAACCTTTGGGATTGCCATTTTAGGAGATCCTCAGGTGAGTCACATTGAATTTGCAGGTGAATTCAAAGTTTAAAAAATGGAACTTTTGGTAATAGTTCAAATATTTTATTCGCAAAGGACATGTGTTATAAAATATTCATAATAGAACATTAAATAGAGTATCTAAATCCTAACCGTAATACTCTGTTAAATATAATCAATATGGTTTTTGCGTTGTTTTCTGGAAGAACTTCACCTTTGAGGAAAACCGCCTTATATACTTTCCTCGTTTATAGATTTTCCTGTTGGATGAACCAACTGCTGGATTGGATCCCTTTTCAAGACACCAAGTATGGAACCTTCTGAAAGAACGCAAAACAGACCGCGTGATCCTCTTCAGTACCCAGTTCATGGATGAGGCCGACATCCTGGCGGGTAATCACTGGTTTCTGTTAAGTATCCTGAGGAGGACTTTAAGAGATCTAAAAATATGGATTGGTCTCTGAACAGTTATATTTTGTAATTCGGTAATCTAGCTGTATCTGGTAAATTGAATGGCTGGTGGTAATTTGAACTGGACGCAAAGCCTCTTGCAACCATTTCAGTGTATCTTGCAGAATTTTGTATAATTTGGTCACATAGAAGCATGATCTGCCAGGAAACTCGCTTATTGCAAAATAAGTGAAGTTGAGTTTCTAAGAGATCAATCCTTTTACTCAGAATTGAGGGAAATCCACTTGAAATATTCAAATGATTTTAATGTTTCATCTGTTAAAATATATAATGGGATAATTTTCTATATTAGAACATATATCCACAAAATTTAACCTCCCTGATGGGATGGATTGCAAAATTCACGTAAACGAGATTAAAATGTGTCTATTTCATTGAGTCCTTATCGAGTCCTGCATTTAAAACCTTAGAAGCTCCTGAATTAAAGTTTGATTATATAGATGATTACCTGTCTTTTCTTGGAAATGGATGGGCCACTTTTTAACAAACTTTCTTCTTTGCTCTTCTTCTTTTTCAGACAGGAAAGTATTTCTCTCCCAAGGGAAGCTAAAGTGCGCGGGCTCTTCTTTGTTTCTAAAGAAGAAATGGGGGATTGGATATCACTTAAGGTAAGGTCACTTAAGAAGGCTGGGAGTAGATCTAGTGTAAGGCTTGATGCTTGAAGCAAAACATTACAACACACAAGAAGAATTTGTATTATTGTTATTTTTTGTTTTGTTTTGTTTTTGAGACGGAGTATCGATCATCTCGGCTCACTGCAAGCTCCGCCTCCTGGGTTCACTCCATTCTCCTGCCTCAGCCTCCCGAGTAGCTGGGACTACATGGGCCCGCCACCACGCCCAGCTAAGTTTTTTTGTGTTTTTGGTAGAGTCGGGGTTTCACCGTGTTGGCCAGGATGGTCTCGATCTCCTGACCTCGTGATCCGCCCGCCTCGGCCTCCCAAAGTGCTGGGATTATAGGCGTGAGCCACCGCGCCCGGCCAAGAATTTGTATTATTATACACAGGTGTTTGTACAAACATGTACACGTATTTGTGTCTACCTAGTTAGTATGTATATGTAAGAGATATTGATCTGGAGATTTTAGATATTGAGAATATAACAACAAAAGTTTAGATAAATATGACTAAAAAATATATATCTGCAACACAGGTTTTATTAATGGAGGTATGTATTAAGGGAATCTTTTCAACTGACACACTTGTATTTTACACCTTCATCATCTCTCATCTTCCCAGGGTGTTAATATATTCTTAAGTCGGCTACTTGCTTCCACTCCTTCTAGATCTTCCCCTTCTTTCTTGTTCTTCTCCTCCCATCCATCCTCTTCATTTTATTATCTTTATTTTGAATAGCAGCATATTCTAACTGTAATTTACTGAGTGACTCAGATAAGATATTTAACATTATTTTACTTAAACCTTCTATCTTTTAACTTTTAATTTTAAAGGGTATATAGTAGGTGTATAGATTTATGGGGGTACATGAGATATTTTGATACAGGCATACGGTACATAATAACATCGGATAAATGGGGTATTCATCACCTCAAGCATTAATCATTTCTTTGTGTTACAAACATTCCAGTTATATACTATTTTAGCTGTTTTAATATATGTTGACTATAGTCAACAATATATTGCAATATTAATATAGTCTGTATAGTCATATTAATATATTGTACATGTAATAAAATCTGTGAAGAACGTCACAGTAATATAATATAATTATATTCACATGTAATATAATCTGTGAAGAATGTGCTATCAAATACTAGATCTCATTCTACTAACAGTATTATTGTACCCATTAACCATCCCCCCTTCCCCACCACCCCACTACCCTTCTCAGCCTCTGGTAACCATCCTTCTACTATCTCCATAAAATCAATTGTTTTAATTTTCAACTCTCACAAACGAATGAAAACGTATGAAGTTTGTCTTTCTGTGCCTAGCTTATTTCACTTAATATAATGATCTCCATTCCATCCATGTTGTTGCACATGACAGTATCTCATTCTTTTTATGGCTGAATAGTACTCCATTGTGTGTATGTACCACATTTTCTTTACCCAATCATCTGTTGATGGACACTTAGGTTGCTTCCAAATCTCGGCTCTCGTGAATGGTGCATCAATAAACACGAGAGTGCAGATATTTCCTTGACATATTGATTTCCTTTCTTTGGGGTATATACCTAGTAGTGGGATTGCTGGATCATATGGTAGCTCTATTTTTAGATTTTTGTGGAACTTGAAAACGTTGTCTATAGTGGCTGTACTAATTTACATTCCCACCAACAGAGTACGATGATTCCCTTTTCTCCACATCCTTGCCAGCATTTGTTATTGCCTGTCTTTTGGATAAAAGCCATTCTAACTGGGGTGAGATGATGTCTCATTGTAGTTTTGATTTGCATTTCTCTGGTGATCAATGATATTGAGCCCTTTTTCATATGCCTGTTTGTCATTTGTATGTCTTCTTTTGGGAACTATCTATTCAGATATTTTGCCCATTTTGAATTGGATTATTAGATTTTTTCCTATTAAGTTGTTTGAGCTCTTTATATAGTCTGATTATTAATCACTTGTTAGATGGATAGTTTGCAAATATTTTCTCCTACTCTATGAGTTGTCTCTTTACTTGATTGTTTGCTTTGTTGTGCAGAAGCTTTTTAATTTGATGTAATTTCATTTGTCCATTTTAGCTTTAGTCACCTCTGCTTGTGGGGTAGAGAAATCTTTACCCAGACCAATACCCTGGGAAGTTTCCCCAATGTTTTCTTGTAGTAGTTTCCTAGGTTGAGGACTTATAAGTAAGTCTTTAATCCATTTGGATTTGATATTTGTAAACAGTGACAGATAGGAGTCTAGGTTCATTCTTCTGCATATGGATATCCAGTTTTCTTAGCACTGTTTATTGAAGAGACTTTCCCCAATGTATATTCCTGGTCCTTTGTTGAAAATGAGTTTACTGTAGATGTATGGATTTATTTCTGCATTCTCTATTCTGTTCCACTGGTCTATGTGTCTGGTTTTATGCCAGTACCATGCTGTTTTGGTTATTACAACTCTAGTATAATTTGAAGTCCGATGATGTGATTCCTTCAGTTTTGTTCTTTTTGCTAAGAATGGCTTTGTCTACTCTGGGCCTTTTGTGGTTCCATATAAATATTAGTTTGTTTGTTTTTTATTCTGTGAAGAATGTCATTGGTATTTTGATAGCGATTGTGTTGAATAAGTAGATTGCTTTGGGTAGTATGAACATTTTAACAATATTGATTCTTCCAACCCATGAGCATAGAATATCTTTCCTTTTTGTGTCCTCTTCAATTTCTTACATCAATGTTTTATGGTTTTCACTATAGAGATCTTTTACTTCTTTGGTTAAGTTTATCACTAGGTATCTTATTTTATTTGTAGCTATTGTCAATGGGATTACTTTCTTGATTTCTTTTTCAGCTTGCTTGCTGTTAGCATGTAGAAATGCTATTGATTTTTGTATATTGATTTTGTAACCTGCAACTTTACTGACTTTGTTTATCAGTTCTAATAGCATTTTGGTGTAGTTTTTAGGATTTTTCAAATATAAGATCATATCATTTGCCCACAAGGATGATTTTATTTCTTCCTTTCCATTTTGGATGCCATTTTTTTCTGCCTCTTATCTGATTGCCACAGCTAGGACTTCCAGTACTATGTTGAATAACAATGGTGAAAGTGGGCATCATTGTTGTGTTCCAGATCTTAGAAAAAAGGCTTTCCCCCATTGAGTATGATACTATCTGTAGGTTTGCCATATATGGCTTTTATTTTGTTGAGACATGTTCCTTCTACACCTAGATTTTTGAGGGTTTTATCATGAAGAGATGTTGAATTTTATCAATTGCTTTTTCAGCATCAGTTGAAGTGATCATATCTTTTTTGCCCTTTATTCTGTTGGTATGATGTATCACATTGATTTCCATGCATTGAACCATCCTTGAATCTCTGGGATAAATCCAACCATGACCAAGATGAATGATTTTTTAATGTGTTGTTGAATTCGGTTTGCTAGTATTTTGATGAGGATTTTCACATCAATATTCCAGTCATATCTGGCCTCATAGAATGAGTTTCAAAGTATCCTCTCCTCCTCTATTTTTCAGAATAATTTTGAATAGGATTGGTATTAGTTATTCTTTAAGTATTTGGTAGAATTCAGCAGTGAATTCTCTGCTGAAAGACTTTTTATTATGGCTTTAATCTTGTTGGTTGTTATTGGTATGTTCAGGTTTTGGATTTCTTCACGGTTCAATCTTGGTAGATTGTACGTGTCTAGGAATTTGTCCATTTCTTCTAGGTTTTCTAATTTATTGACATACAGTTGCTCATAGTAGCCACTAAATATCATTTGAATTTCTGCAGTATCAGTTGTTATTTCTCCTATTTATCTCTGATTTTATTTATTTTTGTCTTTCTCTTTTTTTTCTTTTTTTTAGTCTGGCTAAAAGTTTGTCCATTTTGTTTAACTTTTCAAATTTTTCAACTTTTTGTATTGTTTATTTCATTTCAATTTTATTTATTTCTGCTCTGATGTTTATTATTTCTTTTATTCTACGACTTTTGGTTTTGGTTTGCTCTTGCTTCTCTAGTTTTTAAGAAGTGTCGTTAGGTTGTTTGTTTGAAGTTTTTCTCTTTTTGATGTAAGCACTTATTGCTATAAATTCTCCATTTAGTAATGCTTCCACCGTATTCCATAGGTTTTGGCATGTTGTGTTTCCATTTTCATTTGTTTCAATAAATTTTTCAATTTCCTTCTTAATTTCTTCCTTGACACACTGGTCATTCTAACACATATTATTTAATTTCCATGTGTTTGTATAGTTTCCAAAGTTCCTCTTGTATTGATTTCTAGTTTTATTCTATTGTGGTCAGAGAAGCTATTTGGTATAATTTCAATTTGAAAAAAAAATTTAAGTCTTGTTTTGTGGCTAGCATATCGTGTATCCTTGAGAATGATCCATGTGCTGAGGAGACGACTGTGTATTCTGCAGCCATTGCATAAAATGTTCTATAAATATTTATTGGGTCCATTTGATCTATAGTGCACATTAAGTCCAATGTTTTTGATTTTCTGTCTGGATCATCTGTCCAGTGCTGAAAGTAGTGTGTTGAAGTCTCCAGCTATTATTATTGTATTGGGTCTCTCTCTCTCTCTCTGTCTTTAGCCTTAATAACATTTGCATTACATATCTGGGTGCTCCAGTGTTGGGTGCATATATATTTACAATTGTTATATCTTCTTGCTGAATTGACCCTTTTATCATTATATAGTGACATTCTTTTTCTCTTTCTATGGTTTTTGTCTTGGAATTCATTTTGTCTAATATAAAGATATCTATTTCTGCTCTTTTCTGTTTTCTATTTGCATGGAATGTTCTCTGTTATTATCCCTTGAATAAACTTTCTATCTTTATCTCTTTCTTTATCTCCTCCTTAAGGCCAATGACTCTTATACTTGTCCTTTGGAGGCTCTTTTTTAGATCTTGTAGGCATGCTTCATTCTTTTTCAATTCTTTTGTGTTTTGTCTCTTCTGAGTATTTTCAAATAGCCTGTCTTCAAGCTCATTGATTCTTCTGCTTGAGAGACTTTGATACATTCTTCAGTATGTCAGTTGATATTTTAGCTCCAGAATTTCCGCTTGATTTTTAAACATTATTTCAATCTCTTTGTTAAATTTATCTGATAAGATTCTGAGTCCCTTCTCTGTGTTATCTTAAATTTATTTGAACTTCCTCAAAACAACTATTTTGAATTATCTGTCTGAAAAGTCACATATCTTTGTCACTCTGGTATTGGTCCCTGGTACCTTATTTAGTCATTTGGTGAGGTCATGTTTTTTTGGATAGTCTTGATGCTTGTGGATGTTCATCAGTGTCTGGGCATTGAGGAGTTAGGTATTTAATGTAGTCTTCACAGTCTGGGCTTGTTTGTACCCATCCTTCTTGGGAAGGCTTTCCAAGTATTCAAAGGGAATAGAATGTTATGGTCTAAGTCTTTGGTCACTGCAGCTGTATCAGCACTAGGGGGCACCCTCAAATCCAGTAACATGGTGATTCTTGCAGACTCTTCGACGTACCACTTTGGTGCTCTTGGAGAATACTTTGGATTACCAGGCAGAGATGCTTGTTCCCTTCCCTTATCTTTCTCCAAATGGAGTGTGTGTGTGTGTGTGTGTGTGTGTGTGTGTGTGTATTGAGCTGTCTGGAGCTGGCAGAGGGGTGACACAAGCACCCCTGTGGCCACCACCACTAGGATTATGCTGGGTCAGATCTAAAGCCAATACAGCACTGGGTCTTTCCCAAGACCCGCAGCGACCACTGCCTGGCTACCGCCAATGTTCACTCTAAGCCCAAGGGCTCTTCAGGCAGCAGGTGGCAAATACAGCCAGGCCTGTGTCCTTCCCTTTATGGTGGCAAGCTTCCCACTGGCCCAGGGTGGGTCCAGAAATGCCTTCTGGGAGGAAGGACCTGGAGTCAGAAATCTTAGGAATCTACATGGCACTGTATTCTGCTGCAGCTGAGCTGACACCCAAACCAGAAGACAAAGTCTTCCCACTCTTCCCTCTCCTCAAGGAGAAGGAGTCTCTCCCCCTAGTCACCACTGCCCCAGGCCTGCAGCGAGTACTGCCTGGCTACCACTGATGTTCACTCAAGGCCCAAGGGACTTCAGGCAGCTTGTAGTACATGCTGCCAGGCCTGGGTAGCAGCTCCCTTCAGGGCAATGGGCTCCCCTCTGGCCTGGGGCAAGTCCAGATCCAGGAGCCAAGGCCTAGAATCCAGGACCCCAGGAGTCCGCTTGGTGCTCTCTACTCCACTGTAGCTAAGCTGGTACCTAAGCTGCAAGACAAAGTCCCCTTTACTCTTCCCTCTCTTTTCCTCAGGCAGAAAGTCTCTCCCCACAGCCATCACAGCTGGGAATGTGCTAGGTCAAACCTGAAGCCAGCAGAGCACTGGGCCTCACCCAAGGCCTGTGGCAAGTACTGCCTGGCTACTCCTGGTGTTTATTCAAGGCCCAAAAGTTCTTTAGTCAGGAGGTGATGAATTCTGCCAGAACTGGGTCTTTTTCTTCAAGGCAGCAGGTGCCCTTCTGGCCTAGGGTATGTCTAAAAATGTCATCTGGGAGCAAGGGCCTGGAATGGGGTCCTCAGAACTCTGCCTGGTGTCCTATTCTGCTGTGGCTGAGCTTGTATGCAAGTTGGAAAACAAAATCCTATTTACTCCTCTCTCCTCTCCTCAACAGAAGGAGGGAGTCTCTCCTGGAACAGCGAGCTGCACTGTCTGGTGTTGGGGGAGGGGGTGAAACAGGCACTCCCTTGGCTGCTCCAGCTGGTGTCTCTCGAGGTCTTTTGCACCCCAAGTCCATTGGCTTTGAGCCCAGAACAGCATCAGGACTTGCCCAGGAATTTCAGTCCCTGTGGTCCTACGTTTATTTAGATCCCCAGAGCACTTTAGTCCATGGTAGTGGGATGAATGCTTCCCCTCTGGCTAAGGCTGGTCTAAATGCTCCCTCTGTGGGCAGTGGCCGAATTCTGCCCTACGTTGCTTGTCACTGTGACAGGCAACACTGAGTTCCAATGCAAAGTCCCACAATGACTGTCCTCTCCCTCCCCCAAGCATACAACATTCTCTCTCTGTGCCACACAGCTGCTGCCAAGGATGGGAAGTTGTGTCAGCAATTCAAGACTGTCTTTCCTATCCTCTCCAGTGCTTCTTTCCTTATATGATGTTAAAACCACTATCATTGCTCACCTGATTTTTTTGTTCTTATGAAGGTGCTTCCTTGTGTGGACAGTTGTTCAATTTGGTGTTCCTGGGGGATGGGAAGATTTCTGGAGGGTTCTATCTGGCCACCTTGCTCTACCTCCCCTCCTAAATCTTCTATTGTTTAAAATAGAAGTGTTGTTACTTTTATTTTACAGATGAAATTACAGACTCCCTAGATTAAGAAGTGCTGGAATCAGAAATTGAACCTGAATATTTTTAAATTCTAAATCTAGTAGTCAAATCCATATTTTAAACTACTGTTTTTGTTACATGATTGGTCGTTTTTGTAAATTTATACCATCTATACTTAAGAAAGAAAACAAACCTATCATGACAACAATACAAAGAAAATAGGATGACAGTTTCCTTAACTCATCTGCACTTGTTTAAGTCCTAGAAAGTTATTTGAAAAATATCTCATGTAGATATTTTTCCAGTTCTGTGTAATGTCCCAATTTTTTTTTATTTCTTATAGCACTTTGTTTGCATCTCTTCTTGGAAATTAATTAAACTATCTGAAAGTCAGTGTTTCCACCTACAAAGTGAGAGTAGCAATTCCTACTTACAAGTAAAGGTTATAGAAAAATAAATAAGAGACTGCCTGGCACACTGCATGGAAACATAACATGTTTTCAAAATAAAAAGTGCTAGTCAGGATCCCTGCCCAATTTGCGAGTCCATTCATGGACTCCTATTTGTGCAATTGCCTTATTTTCTTCTAATCTAAGGGCCAACAAATTATAGCTCATGAGCCACATCCAGCCTACTTCCTCTTTCTGTAAATACAGTTTGGTTGGAGCCCAGTCATGCCCTTTCTTTTACACACTGCTCTGGCTGTCTCCATGTTACAACAGCAGAGTGGAAGAGTTTCAACAGAGTTCTAACAGCCTACAAAGCCTAGAAAATTTACTATCTAGTACACATTTTACAGAAAAAGTTTTACAACCTCCCCTTTCAAGCTTCAAGTTCCTCAAGGAATGACTTTCTGCATGACTCATTCATTCCGCCCCAGCACTCAGCACAAGTTCCTACAAGTGGCCAAGGAATAATTCTTAAATTGTTTTCATTTCAGGAGTCAGCATCATGGAAAACAGCTACGACATTTTTTGCTTCACTCTTCCAGTGGATTTCACTACTTCTAAAAAAATAGCATATATTCTTTTAAGTTCATACATGACTTATGTGTCAGTGGAATAATTTTTGACTTATGCATTTGGTCAAATAAAATTGCTACCATTTTTAAGGGCTTGTCAAGTGCAAACTTCACTATTATTCCATTGTTCGAATAACCCTAGAGGCTGGGAATCATTATTCCAGTTTTCTAATAAAGTAACTGTTTAGATAAGTTAAATAACACGTTCCAGATGCTAAAACAATATTTCAAAGCCAAGTCACTACTGATATTTTGCCCACTGTATAATTTATAACCTCAATTAATAGAATATTGTGTTTGTCTGTTTCTCTATAATGGAGAAATAGCTGTGGTATTTTTCAATGGATAGACTGATTTTCTCAATGATACTTTGTTCTTATTCAAAGTTCTGGGCTTAGCATTACAAGAAAAGCAAACCACATTCATCCATTATTAGTTTCTATCTATAATCCAGTTTCCTTCATAGCACTTACTACTATTGATAATTATTTTACTCATCTGGTTGTCTACATGTTTTCTTCCTGACGCCCGCACTAGACAATGAACTCCATAAGAGCAGAATAATGCTGCTTTAGTCACCATTGTATCCTCAACACTAAGTATGATGTTTGTCACATACTAAGAACTTAGTAAATTTGCATTGGATGACTACATTGAGTAACTGAAACTGTTTGGCATCTATACTTCTCACAAGTCTCTTGTTCCTTTGAAGCGATACAACAATTCTATTTAGTCAGCTTAAAACTGAACCTTCAACTGCAACGTTATCCATTTTGCATAGTCCTGACCTTTGCTGTACTGCAACCCTGGTATTTTCCACTCTGTGACCACCCTCTCTTCAGGAGCTTCAATCAATATGAAACTTCTCTGGGCACTACTCCTGAGTAACCTCACCAGTAACTCTCATTAGCTCATTCTTTTCTTTTGTCCATCACATTTATATGATTTGGCTGGGTTTTTGTCCTCTTATTTCTTGGGTTTTTGTCCTCTTATTTTGTGTTTGTCTGACCTATTTCTGGCATTAGATTTTAATTGATTTTCTTTGTCCTATAGAGACTAGTTAATTATTTTCTTGCTATTGGAGACTATGTCGAGTAACATATGTCTTTTTTTTTTTTTCTGAATGCCAGCTTGCAGTTAAATGAAATATGTGTTGAGGAAAACATAACATCACTTGTTAAACAGCACATCCCTGATGCCAAATTATCAGCCAAAAGCGAAGGAAAACTTATTTATACATTACCCTTAGAAAGAACAAATAAATTTCCAGGTAATGTGCATGAACACTGTGAAATAAAATATGTGAATAATAGTCATCATCATCATAATTATTATCATTACAACTAACATTTATCAATGTCTTACAGTATGCTCAGGTACTGAAACATAATCAAAAGAATAGTACAATAACTGAATTATTTTCTGTATAGTGGGAAATAGAATTACATTCTAATAGTTGTATTGTAATGCCTGGGCATTTTAGAGGGCTTCTTTTAGTCCTTCTTCCCTAGTAGTGTGTAACATAATATTCTAGTATTCATAAATGTACACAAACCCAAATGGTTGAAAACCTCTGGCTTATGCACTACATTAAACAGCCCTGTGATGTGGCTATCTGTCTCGGTGAGACTTTTGCAATAACTTTGGGTTTTTCAGGCTAACGCATAAAAGTTTACTAACTATGTTTGTTGTTCAGGGAACTTGTTCCTTAACAATGGGGCACTATAAGGGCCCACATTAGTGGTTGAAACAATTAACCTTGCTGTATATGTGGTTAACAAAGACATATACATTCATTCAAATACACATTTTATGGTGACAACACAAGCATTCCTTAGAATCATCAGGAAAGTGTTACGCAAATTCTGATTAGTACTTTTTAACAGTAATTATAATTTAAAGAAAATTTGTAGACGTTTTAGGTGGAATGAAGAATGATGCATAATACTCATTATTAGCTTAAATCTTACTTCTTTTCTACCTTTCTGTATGAGGTATTCTAGTCAAGACAAAAAGCTTTTAACCTATCCTTTTGCCCAAGCAGGAGCTCCAGATGGAAGCCTCAGGACTTCTGTAATCACCCTAGTATTAGAATTAGGTTTTTATTTAAGCTTGATTTAACCACTGTAATTCAAATCCATGCAGGCAGGGGCACTGTTCACTGCTTCATGAACAATGACAGATGCGTAAGTATATTTTGGTGAACGAACTAAAGAATGAATAGATATAAAATTGCTAGAGCGAATAATCACTGTCACAATTCCAGGAAAATTCCCTGATTCAGTTCCACATTCTCTGCCTGTTAGGTCTTGTGAATTTTTTCTTCCATTGTTAGAAACAGAAAATTTTTTAATGGTTTATATTCTATGTCTTCTCTTTAACAAATATTTTCTAAACTACAGAAGATTCTACACCATCCAATTAATTCTCAAAAAATTAATTCCTTTCCTTTTGTCAGTTAGAACATAAATGGCTCCCATTTATATCTGTTCTCTAGAAAAGACTTTTCAATTAATTAGGCTTAGAGTTGAAAAACCCAGAGTCTCACAATTAATTAAATTTTAAAAGGAAGTCAGAAAAAACTAAGATTAAACTTTAATAGAAATGCAAATGAATATAAATTAATGTTTGACAAAGTAATATTTGGGTTGTAACACATGATGTAAAATAGAAAATAATATATAGAATTTGCAGAATAAGATGATCTATTATGAAATGTTAATTTTCAAATGTTTTTGACATATCACAAGTATAGTTTCATAGATTTGTGCTTATTAGTTTGAAAAATTGTCTTCAGTTCACTTGTGATTCTTGTTTTAATTCACTGCTGTATATGTATTCTTTAGAACTTTACAAGGATCTTGATAGCTATCCTGACCTAGGAATTGAGAATTATGGTGTTTCCATGACAACTTTGAATGAAGTATTCCTGAAGCTAGAAGGAAAATCTACAATTAATGAATCGGGTAAATAAAATGCATGAAAATTATTATGTAAAAGCACATATTTCAAGAACACACTGTTCCAAAGATGTGATTACAAAATGTGGGGTTCATGATTAAGGCTCTTCTTAGACAAGCTTGTGTAAAAATGAAACGCATCCCTGTCAACATTGCTTTGTAGTTAAAAATAATCCATTTTTCTACATCCAAGGCTCACTGCACTCATATTAGCTCTAGGCTTCTAAGGGCAATTTCAGATAAAACATTTATTCTAAATCATAAATTAATATAAAACATGAACCCACAGATCTAAAACACTTAAGAACCCCAAACAATACTTTAAAATGAAACTATTAAATTCCTGTAGGCCAGCAATAAAGAAGAGAGTCTTAATTAGACATATTGTACTGTTCCACAGATATCAGATTCTCTGGTGTCAGGTTTTTCTTTTTTTTTTCTTTATGTTAGAAATTGGACACTATCTATCCACCTATTTTCAAGGTCACAAATAACTTATTCTCTTGTGTTCAGACTGTTTTGAAGCCGAACATAATAAACTCTCTATTTCTGATACTGCACTTTTTCATTCTAACATTTTCATTTGTTCTTTTTTAGAGTTTCAGTTCTTTACTATTTCTCATCTGCTCTCAATATTGTCCATATTTTCCAGTAGATCTTGTAACATATTTATCATAGTTATTTTTAAACTTGTGTATTTTAATTCTAACATGTGGACCGTGTGACTGATGACCGTTATCAGTAACTGACTCTGATTTTTTTTCCTCTTCCCTATGGGTTATATTTCCCCGCTTCTTCATATGTCTTGAAATTTGTATTTTATCATGGATGTTACTTTAACAAAACAGGAACACTGAGGTAAACAATGGCCAGAAAATGGCATGACTCTTCCTCTGTCAGACTACTGATGTGGATGGCAGAACTGATCTAATTTGTATTTGGCAAGTGCCTGGGCTTTTGCACAGGTTTTATTAGATTCAGTCCACTCCCAGCTTCGAATGTTTTAAAGGTAGAATCAGGTCTTTCCCTTAGACGTGACTTTGAATTATAGCACTGGAAAAATTCTATATATTTCTCTATAGCCCTGCTATCAAATATCTCAATAATGATTAATCTCACTGATTTTCAGCCTGTCATCACTTTTTGTTTATTTATTTGTTAGTATACATCTCTCCACTCCTCATTCAGTGACTGGACCCTAGTGGACTCATGTATTACACAAAAGGAAAGACCCATGAACCCTGATGATGTCTTGCTCAAGACACTATGCAGCTTCTTGTGTTTCTCTCTCCGTTTTTCTGAGTATCTGCCCCCAGCTACTGCTGTACTGTTCCTATGCACTTAGGAAAGGCTCCACGAAAAAAAGTTCGTAGATGCTGTAAACTCGTTTTGTGACTTAGGTACCCCATGATTCTAGTCAGTTATATCAGCCCACATATAATCACAGAATTTTTAAATCTGGGCTGCTTTCTTTTCACCTACCTATGGTGGTTTTCTCCTTTTTCCTTTTTCTGCCATGTCCCTAAAGATGAAAGCTTCCACAGGAATCTTCTCCCCCTAGAAATGTTTCCTTCCTTTATACATGTTAGTTTTTTAGCTTTCTTTGTGCTCTCGCCCATCTGATGGATTAAAAATAACTAATATTTATTCCCTTGGTAAGACAGGTTGACAGTCTCTTGCAACTAACGAGAAGCAGAATATCCCTGAATTATTATTATTATTATTATTATTATTATTATTATTATTATTATTATTATTTCTTTTTTTTGAGATGGAGTCTCGCTCTGTCACCCAGGCTGGAGTGCAGTGGCACGATCTCGGCTCACTGCAAGCTCTGCCTCCCGGGTTCACGCCATTCTCCTGCCTCAGCTTCCCGAGTAGCTGCGACTACAGGTGCCCACCACCACGCCCGGCTAATTTTTTTAATGGACTTTTGACCACTATCTTAAGATCCTTATATCTTCATTCACAGTGTGTTTTGTGTCCTGTCACTGTACTTATACATTTACGGGTGTGTGCTTTTTGAGGTTTGATATTAGGCTTATTTTAGCATTATACAATGGACAGCATCCTGGGTATCCAGAGATTATAGAGAACACACAAATGAATGCAGTCTCAGAAACTATTCAAAACTGAATAGTTTTGAAATCTCTGCAGTAACAATTTATAGCTAACTCCCAGTTTGTAGCTTGCCATTTACAGTTTACTCCCTGTTCAGAGCATGTCAATTTGTAGCTTCATTGAACATGTAAGATATTTGTTTCCTTTACTGACTTTCCATGTCATTTCTAACCACTGTGATGACCTTGCCTATTTATCTTGACCTCTGTAATGTATTGTCTGTATCCAAATTACCTAAGGTCTCCTTTCTATCCCTTTTGTTCAAGAAATAAATATTTCTTCTATTTCTGTATTTTAAGGCAGTAACCAGCAAAACCACGTTATACCTATAGTAACGCGGAAGAGTCTAATCATGAGATGCTTAGCAGAGCCAATCTCTATAGTAAGCTCAATAAAGTACATATGAGTTGCTTATTTTATGTTTTGCAGACATTGCTATTTTGGGAGAAGTACAAGCGGAAAAAGCTGACGACACTGAAAGGCTTGTTGAGATGGAACAAGTCCTCTCTTCACTTAACAAGATGAGAAAGACAATAGGTGGTGTGGCTCTCTGGCGACAGCAAATCTGCGCAATTGCAAGGGTTCGCTTGTTAAAGTTAAAGCATGAAAGAAAAGCTCTTTTAGCACTGTAAGTATCAGAGTTGCCATAGGTTTTCTTTTTAAGTCAATGCGTTAAAAAGCAAATCTAAGGTATAAAGGCAAGCAAAAAAACACAAAGATATGATGAATTAGGCAGCAGAAAGGGAAAGCATCACAGTGGAAGAAGCACAGGAGAGAGGCAGAATCTTGACATCCAAAGGACAAATATTGCATGAAATTTTATGGGATATCCAATGGCCAAAAAGCAACAGGAGAAATGAACAAAGGACAAATCTACGGTTTAACATCTTGAATTTGGAGTTAGTAAAAGGACAAAATACTCAAGAAATGTGACAGTTAATTGTGTTTAATTTTTATAATTTCTTTATCCCATTACATTATAAACTGCTCAGAGAGTATTAGATCAGGAAATGACATTGCATTCATTTTGGCAATTTTCTTTTGTGTAGGCTATTAATTCTAATGGCTGGATTTTGCCCTCTTCTTGTGGAGTATACCATGGTGAAAATATATCAAAACAGTTACACCTGGGAACTTTCTCCTCATTTGTATTTCCTTGCTCCTGGACAACAACCACATGACCCTCTCACTCAACTACTGATCATCAATAAAACAGGTAAAATGGTGGATACTTGATTTCCAAATACATTTACTGTTCAGAGCAGTACTTAGAAAACATAACCATGAGAAAGAAAATAGCTTTTCACTTATTCAGCATGTGTTAAAAAACAATTTATGAAACTTAAAGATAATAAATACAGGCCCCCAAAGAAGCAGGAATAGGTAAAGTATTTTCTAAAGGAGAAACATCTGGTGGCATCTTGCTAAATGAAAGCGTTTGTACCAAAATAGCATTTTTAACAGGTTCATTAAGATATACTTCACAGGCCATACAATTTATCCATTTAAAATGCACAATTCCATGGTTTTCAGTGTATCCACAGAACTGTGAAACCATCAATACAATCCCTTTTAGAATATTTTCATCACCCCATAAAGAAACCCCATACCGAATAGCAATTACTCCCATGTCGTCCCTCCCCCAACTCCTCAGCAATCACAAATTTACATTCTGTTTCTATTGATCTGTCTACTCTGAACATGTAATATCACTGGACTCATACAACATGTGGTATTTGGTGACTGACTTCTTTCGCTTAGCATGTTTTCAAAGTTGATCTATGTTGTAGCATTTATCTATGTATCAATACTTCATTTTTATTGTTGAGTAATATTTTATTGATGGTTATACCACAATTTATTTATCATTCATCAGCAGATGGATATATTTTTTCCCAATAATTGGATATTACGAAAAATGCTGCTACAGATGTTCATGTACAAGTTTTTGTTTGAACATATGTTTTCATTTCTCTGGGGTGTAATCCTAAAAGTAGAATTGTTGGGTCACGTGGTAACTATGTTTACCCTTTGAAGGACCTGCCAGACTGTTTTTCAAAGTGACTGTACCACTTTATATTCACACCAGAAATTTTTGTGGGGTTTTTTTTTTTTTTTTTGAGATGGAATCTCGCTCTGTGTCACCAGGCTGGAGACCAGTGGCACAATTTCGGCTCACTGCAACCTCCGCCTCCCAGATTCAAGCGATTCTCCTGCGTCAGCCTACCAAGTAGCTGGGACTACAGGAGCTTGCCACCACAGCCAGCTAATTTTTTTGTATTTTTGGTAGAGACGGGGTTTCACCATGTTGGCCAGGATGGTCTTGATCTCTTGACCTCGTGATCCGCCCGCCTCAGCCTCCCAAAGTGTTGGGATTACAGGCGTGAGCCACCGCGCCCGGCCTCACATCAGCAATTTTTGAGGATTCCAGTTTCTACGTATGCTTGCCAACACTTATTTTTTGTTTTTTCTATTACATGCATCATCGTGTATGTCAAGTAGTATCTTGTGATTTTGATTTGTATTTTGTTAATGGCCAGTAACGTTGAGCATCTTTTCGTGTGATAACTCGTCAATTGTACACCTTCTTTGTAGAAATGTCTGTTTTCTTTTGAAAAAATGGATTGTATTTTTAATTGAGTTCTAAGTGTTATGATAAAAATTCTTTTATCAGATACAGTAGGTGCTCATATTCAGATTCTGTATCTAAGAATTTGCCTATTCACTGAAATTTATTGGTAACCCCCAATTACATATCTGTTGCATTTCATGATATTTACAGATATGCTCAGAGAAGTGAACATTTTTAGTCACCTGATGTACACATTTTCAACTGAGATTGAACAAAATAACACTGCTTTCTTGTTTTAGCTCTCATACTGTAAACAAATGCCTTTTTGCAATCTATTTCATGCCACATTTTTCACATTTTTATGTTTTTTTGTGATGATTTTGCTGTTTAAAATGACACAAAGAATACTGCTGAAGTGTCATTTAGTGTTTCTAAATGCAAGAAGGCTGTGACATGTCTTTTTCTAGTTTTTTTTTGTTTTAGGGTTGTCATTATGAACAGATGTTGGATTTGTCAAATGTTTTCTCTGTGTCTACTGAGATGATCATGTGGGTTTTATACCATATTATTTTCAGACATTAAACCAACCTTGCATTTATAGGATAAATCATACTTGGTCATGGTGTATAATCCTTTCCATTTTCTCCCAGATTTGATTTTCTAGGGTTTTGTTGATAATGTTTTCCATCTCTATTCATAAGGGATATTGGTCTGTAGTTTTATTTTATGCTAATGTCTTTAGATATCAGGGTAATACTTGCTGCATATAATAAGTTGGCAAATGTTCCCTGCACTTCTTTTTTTTTTTTTTTTTTTTTGAGACTTTGTGAAGGATTGACAATTTTTGTTTATTAGGTAGAAATGTACTAGTGTAGCTATCTGGGTGAGGGATTTTCTTTATGGGAAGTTTTGTAATTAGCAATTTGATCTCTTAATTGTTACAGGTCTCCTTACATTTTATATTTCTTCTTGTATCAGTTTAATAGTTTCTGTCTTTCCAGGAATTTTTCCATTATACTATATTATCTAATTTGTTGTTACACAAACATATTCCATTTTAATCCTTTTAATCTGTAAGACTGGTATTCATGCCCTCTTTTTGTTCCTGATCTTAGTAATTTTCATGTTATTTTATTTTTCTTGGTCATCCTAGCTAAGGGTTCCTCAATTTTGTTGATGCTTTCAAGGAACCAACTTCTAGCTTAACTGTCTCTATTGTTTTTCTATTGTCTATGTCACTCATTTCCAAACCAATATTCTTGGTTTCATTTCTTTCTGTTTGCCTTGTGTTTAGCTTGTTCCTCTCTTTTCAGTGTCTTAACACAGAAGTTTCACTCACTGGTTTGAGATTTTTCTTCTTTTATTTAACATAGGTGTTTACAGCTATAAACGTCCCTCTAAGCTATGCTTTCGCTGCATAGCATAAGTTTCGGTATATCATGTTTTAATTTTCATTTATCTCAAAATATTTTCTAATTTCCCTTGTGATTTCTTTTCTGACTCATTGGTTATTTAGGAGTAGACTATTTAGTTTCCAAAAATTTGTGATTTTCTAAGTTTTTGTTGTTGAATTCTAAATTCATCCCTTGTGGTCAGAGATCATAGTTTATAAAATTTCAACCGTTTTGGATGTGTTGAGGCTTGTTTGATGTCCTTGCCTTTAGCTCATCTTGGAGAATGTTCCTTGTGCACTTGAGAAGAATGTGCATTCTGCTGTTGTGGGTGAAAATTTGTATATTTCACTTTTCAGTGCTATTTTGTATTTCGAGTCTCTCTTAAGTGTATATACGTTTATAAATGTTATAACTTCCTGCTGTTTTGACCCTTGTATCATTAGAAAATGTCTCTTATGCTTTCTAGTAACATTTTTTGTTTTCATCTATTTTGTCTGATATTAGAAGAGCCACTCCAGTTTTCCCATGGTTTTATCTTGCATGATGTATTGTTCCACCTTCTGCTTTCAATTTGTATCAATGAAATTTAATATGTGTCTCCTGTAAATTTAATTTGATATGTGTCTCCTATAAACAGTATATAGTTGGATAGTGTTTTTAAATACAATCTAACAATCTATGCCTTTTGAGTGTATTATTTTATTCACAAATCATATTTTTACTAATAATGTAGGATTTGTATCTGCCAGTTTATTGTTTGTTTTCTGAATGTCTCATGTCTTTTTTGTTCCTCTATTTCTTCTTTACTGTTTTCTTTGGCATTGAATATCTTCTAGTTTAATGATTTAATTATTTTAACGATTTTTTATTATATTTTTGAATTATGTTCTTGGTGATTGTTTTTGGGCCTAGAATGTACATCTTATTTTAATCTACTTAAAGTTTACACAGATTTAAGATTAATGTAACAAAGTCTACAAATATGTACTTACTCTCCTTTCTTCTCTCAGCTTCTTTAAAAGATATGAAATCATACTGAGTAATAATTGTACCAATGTATTGCTGGTTTAAAAACATATAGATGTGATATGTGTAATAATAACATCAAAATGGGGAAGAGTGAATACAGCTATATCAGAGGAAAGAGTCTGTAGCTCATTGAAATTTTTATTTACCATTTCTTGTTCTCTTCATTTGTTCCTGTGAATTCATATTATCATCTTATGTGATGTCCTTACTCCAATACAGCTAGGCTTCCACCTGCCTCCTTTGTGCCATTGTTTTCAAATATTTTACATGTCTATGTTTTACGCCTCAACAATAAAATTATATACATACTGCATTATACATTTGCTTTTAAAATGAGTTAATACAAGAGAGGGAAAAATACGCATTATACTACCAATTATAAGTACATAGTTGTGTTTGCTGATCCTCTTTGGCCTTTTCACTTGGATTCAAATTGCCATCTGGGGTTATTTGCTTTCAGTTTTAAGTATTTCTTATAAGGCAAGTCTGCTATAACAAATTCTTCATTTTTGTTTATCTTGGAAAAAAGTTCTATTCTACCTTCATCATTTTTTATTCTTTATTATTTTTATTTTTATAGATTTACAGGATAAAAGTACAGTTTTGCTACATGGATATATTGTGTAGTGGTGAAGTCTGGGCTTTTGGTGTAACCATCACTCAAACAGTGTACATCATACCTATTACCACCTTCATCTTTGAAAGCTAGTTTTGCTAAATATAAAATACTTGGCTGAATTTTTTTCAGTACTTTGAATATGTCATTTTACTGTGTTCTGGCTTCCTTTGTTTCTGATGAGAAATCAGCTGGGTTCTTATTGGTGTTTCCTTACACATCACCAAGGAAACATTCTCTTTGCCTTTGTCCTCACCATTTTTACTCTGATGTGTCTGGGTTTGGATCTCTTTGCATACATCCCACGTGGAGTTGGTTGAACTTCTTGGATGTATAAAGTTTTTAATTAAATTTGGTAAGTTTTCAGTCATTATTTCTTCAGTGGTTGTTTTTCTCTTCTTTTATCTCTCTCCTCTCCTTCTGTAACTTCCATTGCATATGAAATAATGTGATTAATAATGTCCCACATTTTTCTGAGGTTCTGTTTTTTTATTGTTGTTGTTCTTCAGGTTGCATAATCCCATTTAATATATCTTCAGGTCTGCTAATTCTTTCTGCTGATCATTCAAATCTACTGTTGAGCTCCTTCAGTGAATTTTTCATTTCAATTATTGTACTTTCAACTCCAGAATTTCTATTTGGTTCTTTATTACTTGAAATAACTTTTTATTGGTATAATCTGTTTGGTGAGACATTGTCATCATACCTTTCTTCACTTCTCTAAACATGCTTTCTTTTAGTTTTTTGAGCATACTTACAATACCTGCCTTGAAGTCTTTGTTTTTTAGGTTTGCTATCTCAGCCTTCCAAAGGCAGTTCTTGTTGCCTACTTTTCTTCCTGTATAAGAGTGACACTTTCTTATTTTTTAGCATGTCTCATAATTTTGGTTGAAAACTGGACATTTAAAGTAATAGATTGTAACAACTTTGAATAATGACCCCCAGCTTGTCTTGAAGCTTGTGATTATTGTTTACTCATTTCCCCTGCTTTATACAACTCTGATGCCATTCTTCAGAGGCATAACTTTGGCCATGTGCATTATTCCCCTGAGATGGCAATAGATTTAGCAGACCTTTCTTTGTCTCTTTTCCTGACCTCTCCATTACACTGGCTAACTCTACTGGTATCACATTCAGTTGTTAGGCACCACCAGTAGCAAGCTGATTGGCCTATTGTTTTCAAAAATGCCCATATGCATAAGTTGCTCCACAGTTTGATCCAATTACAGTAATTCCCTCTCATCTGAAACATTACAAGATCCCCAGCAGATGCCTGAAACCACAGATAGTACCAAACTAATGGCCATCCATAAGAACACGTTTCTGTTCATGTTTTTTATCCACAAATTTATCGCCTTTTCCATCTTAACTAAGCACTTATCATGCACTATGGCTATAACTTCTACAGTTTGAGGTGCAACAGCAAGACTAGCATGAGTTTCTTTTTTCTTCTTCACAATTTACAGAAGAGATTTGCTCTCAGAGTAGATCTTAACAACCTCAGCATACAATTTTTTTATTGTTTCCTTATTAAGTCAATAACTTTCACCTTTCCACTTAAAGGAAGCAATATATGGCTTCTCTTTGACATATCCAAATTGCCAGCATTACTCCTCTTGTGCTTTGGGGCCACTATTAAGTAAAATCAGGGTTAACTGAACACAAGCACTGTGATGTCTTGACAGTCGATCTGATAACGGAGGTGGCGACTAAGTAACTAATGAGTAGGTAGCATATGCAGTGTGGACACAGAAGACAAGGGGCTGATTCACATCCTGCACAGGACAGAGTGGACGATACGAGATTTCATCCATCTGCTCAGAATACCATGCGATTTAAAACTTATACAATGTTTATTTCTGGAATTTTTCATTTTGTATTTTAGAGATGCAGTGGACTAAAAGTAACTAAAACTGCAGAAAGTGAAACCATGGATAAGGGAGCACTACTATAAATATGGTCTTGTTTGTAGGAAAAGTCTTTGAAGCCAGTTATTGAGGTGTGTCCTCTCCACAGAAGGGCTCTTCTTAACTCTCTGTTTTGCTGCTCTCTCTAGTAAACTTTTAGCTGGTGTATGGTTCAACCAAGGGAATTGCAATCTCCTGTCAATTGCTTACCAACAAAATCTTGATGGTTTTTGGTGCACTCTTAGGCCTGAACTTCCCCAAACTCTGTTCCAACTAAAGTCAGTTTATTTAGGGAGAGTTTCAGCACATACTGTTCTTATGGCTTGCCGCTGTTCCTGAAACAAGAATCTCACCATTGCTTCAGAGCTGGAAGCATGGATCGTGCCTGATTCTCTTGGTGTGGAACCCCTGATTTGTGAGCAGGGTACTTGGCAGGGGTGGTGGCCTCTGGTCTTCTCAGCTTGCCTCTCCTGTCGTGGAAACTCTGCCCTACACGTGAGATGGGACAAGGATGATTGTGTCCCGGTGTTTTGGGCCTCTTATTCCTAGGGTAGAGCTTCCACCTTAGGATTAGGGAATGGGTGGAGGAAGAGAACTCCAGATCTCTTAGCCACTCTTGCCTGGTATTGATCTTCTGCAACGCAGATGTGGGGAAATGAGAAAAGTCGATGGGAAGCCCCTCCCGTGAAGATACTATAGCCCTGAACTGGGCTTGGGGAATAGGGATCCCTGTTCTTGCCCACACCCTTTCAGAGTGAAGCTTCTATTACACAGATCTGGGAAGGAAGTGGGGAGTAGACGGATCAGGCTGTGGCTCAAATGCCACAATTTCTCAGTGTTCTTACTGAGATTTAATACATTTTATTAAATAAATGTGTCATCATTTTCTGTATGCTCTTATAACAATTTCAAAACATTTTAATTTGTTGGTTTTTTAGGAATTTTTATAAGTTATGATTGTTTTTCTGGGGAGAAGGTCTACTGAGCTCCTCACATTGCTAGTCTACATGTTGTCTTCCAGTATCAAGAAAATTTTGAAAATTAATTAATAATCTAGCAGTAGTAAAATGACTTAGCAAATTTGGTGGTTAATCAATGGAAGTTATCAGTATCATTAAAGCTTTATTGGTTATGGACATTCATTGCAAGATTCTAAAATCTATTTTGAAAGACACTTGGAACTAAAAAAATCTTTTACATTAATAATAATCATAAGCAAATAAAAATATCATGAAGGAATTCCATGAGAAATAATAGATGTTATGTATGTTATGTAGAAAATATCCTGACAGTCCATATTACTGCTTCACATAATGACATTAACTGTAATTTGACTACACAACTTGACATTAATGTTTTTAGTTTTGTGATACCTAATATCTTTAACTACACCTTAGGGGCAAGCATTGATGACTTTATACAGTCTGTGGAGCACCAGAACATAGCTTTAGAAGTGGATGCATTTGGAACTAGAAATGGCACAGATGACCCATCTTATAATGGAGCCATCACAGTGTGTTGTAATGAAAAGGTATGCAGGTCTCTAATAATCTTTCTGAAAAATGTGAAAAGCTAACATAATATCAATATACTCAGGCTTCCAACTTAAGAAATAAAAATGAAAAGCAAATACTGTTTTCATTTATTACTTAGTGAATTGTATTCACTGGCATAAACAATTCATATATCCATCATTGTCTACTGGCACAAACTATTAGCAAAATACATACTATAGAATACCTACTATCAAGACTATATATAAGTTCGAACATTTCATGTTTCCCCTCAAGGATTTTATAACACATGTATTCCAAAACTTCTGTTTTGTTCTTAAACAATAAACACTGAACATATGATTCTGGCCTCAAGCAAGACATCCGGTGTCCTAAATATCAGATACATGATTTAGTTTTACTATATACATGTTTTGATTTACTTATACAGTATTTGATTTTACTTACACAGTGTTTGGCTTTTTATTGTGATTATTTAACACCATATGAAAAACATAACCTCTTAATTTAACATGTCAAATTTTGACTTTTTTAGAGAACAAAATGAAGATATTTGAGAACTTATATCCTACTTGTTATATTTTAGAATTACAGCTTTTCGTTAGCATGCAATGCCAAAAGATTGAATTGCTTCCCAGTTCTTATGGACATTGTTAGTAATGGGCTACTTGGAATGGTTAAACCATCAGTACATATCCGAACTGAAAGAAGTACATTTTTGGAGGTAAATATATATAATCTTACAATTCCTGACTCTCCTCTATCAGGAATCTCCCAGATCACCCTTTTAAGTGCTGGAATCTTGTTTTTATTGAGTAAACCACTGCATAATAAATTAACATTTGGACTCATTCTAGTTCTGTGACTTTGGAAAATCAATACGTTTTCAGAGCTTCAATTTGTTTAAAGTAAAATAAAATGAACAAAACATTTTTCAAAGAGAATAATGAGATCACATGGACACAGGAAAGGGAATATCACACTCTGGGGACTGTGGTGGGGTGGGGGGAGGGGGGAGGGATAGCATTGGGAGATATACCTAATGCTAGATGACGAGTTAGTGGGTGCAGCGCACCAGCATGGCACATGTATACATATGTAACTAACCTGCACAATGTGCACATGTACCCTAAAACCTAAAGTATAATAAAAAAAGAAAAGGAAAAAAAAAAAAAGAGAATATGAAGCAATAAAAATGAAATCTTACAGCACTGTGACCAGCACAAGAATAGTGAACAAATGAAACAAAGGAGAAAGGAAGGAAAGAATGAAGGAAGGAAGGAAGGAATGAACGAATGAATGAAGGAAGGAAAGAACAAAGGAAGGAACAAATGAAGGAAGGGGCTTTATTATTACTTTTAGAAATTTTACAAAAGAAATTCAAGACAAAGTTCAGGCTAGAATTTCAGACTATCTACATTAGAATTACTGCAGATTCTTGTCAAAAATATTAATTCCCCTGGCCTACTCCAGACCAATCAAACCACTTTTCCTCATGGGGGTGGTGAAAGGAGGGAATCTATTCTTAAACAAAGGTCCAAGTGATCGGAATGTATATAGCCCTTTAAGTTTAGAACCAGAATAACTAAAAGTTTGTAATGATTCCTTTTTAATTATTGAATACATACATTTCTCCCTTTCAGAGAGTTCTTTGAGCACATAGATCATGTATTTTTAACACTTTATAAATACCTTGTACGTAGGAAAAAACCTGTAACATGATAAACATGAAACAACTTAATTGTTAAATACATAAGTGAGTGTTAGGCTCATCAACTTATCTACATCTCATTCTAGGGTTTTATGATAATATATATGGCCAATAATCATATACTCATGTATACATAAAATGGATCACATATCTGTCATTCTTTTAAATTTATTTTTAGAGGCAGGGTCTCGCTCTGCCACCCAGCCGGAGTGCAGTGGCAGGATCATAGCTCACTGTAACCTCGAACTCCTGGGCTCAAGAGATCTTCCGATGTTGGCCTCCCAAAGTGTTGGGATTACAGGTGTGAGTCACTGCACCCAGCTGCCAGTATTATTTTCATATGGTCCAGCAAGATCTTCAGTTTCCTTCTCACACCATATCTCACTGTACTCAGGAAGTAAAACTTCCTTTCATTAAGGATGTGCGAGAAACTTAATCATTAAAGTAAATGATTTTAGGGACCCACCAAGTATTAATTAATTTTGGAATATATGCTATGGTTCACTTCATTAACATTTTGTGACTGTGAAGACCTTTTAATTTTCTGGTTTCTGAGAGTAGTATGCAATAATTGGGCAAATTGCCTCAGACTTCTATCTATCAAGATATCCTGTTTCAACTAGGATTAATTAGATACCAACCAGCTCAGCTGACTTTGTATTTATGTGCCCAATATAGTCACTTTAACCAATATCCCCAGCAACTCATTTTATTCTCTATTCTACTTTACCTGCTCATTGCCCGCAAAGTCAGAGTTGCCCAGATTTTCAGAACTTGCTTGTATCCTGCCCAAAGTCAATAGATTGGCCACTAAGTATTGACCCTACCCAGTACTCAGGACATTCTGGAAGCATCCAGACAATAAGCTATAACCTTACCATCTATGGTTAGCAAGTGTCTTTCTGGTGACCAAGCTGAAGACCACCAGGCTCTGGTTAGAACTTTCTTCAGTAATGTGTTTAATCAAAGAAGCAACTATGAGAATCATGAAAATAACATGGGACTGGCTTTCAAGAGAGTTTGTGATCTTTTATCCTTAAAGATTTTTACAAACAGGAGTAACAACAGATGGAACTAGGGCAAAGATTTTCTTGGTGATTTTGCTCTCCCTTCTAGTACTTCATCTCTCCTTTTGCGTCCTCAACCAATATTTATCTGGTCTCATGATGTACCTAAAAAACTGACTTATTATCACTGTACCCATAAAATGTTGGATATTTTTTGAGTTAAGCTGTCACATTTGAGATAAAGATCAGCTAAGAAATTGAATGTATCAACTGTGAATTATAATGTATTATTTAGCACCAAAATAAATTTTAGAATCATAAAGCAAGAAAAGAGAAAAATCTTGTTCTTATTATTTTCCAAATGTTATCAGTGCATTCATCTTTTCAATCACTTATCTGTAAATTTGAGTAGAAAGCCAAAAGTTAAGTGTGAAAACTGGAAGGATAATGAAGGAATCTGGGAATCTCAAAAGGGACCTAAGGCAGAATTATGTAAACTTAGTCTAAAATTTTAAAAATGTATTCCAGAAAATTAACTTTAAATTTCTTCATTCAGTTCATTGTATTCTTTGGGTTTTTCAGAATGGACAGGACAATCCAATCGGATTCCTGGCATATATCATGTTCTGGCTGGTTTTAACATCGAGTTGCCCACCTTACATTGCCATGAGCAGCATCGATGATTATAAGGTAATAATGAGTAATTGCAACTTCCATTATTTTGCATAATTGAAAGCAGAAGGTAATTTTACAATTTTTCATAAGAATATTTCTACATGCTTAATTGAACAGCCAATTCAGACATAAATTCTAAGTTATAAAAATGAAAGAAAGTTTTATAAGTTGAAATATATAGATAAATAGGTAATAGAGAATTATTCTGAACTTTATCTGGATATTCCAACAAGCTAGAATAGACAAACCAACTCTGAAAAAAAAAGCAAAGCTGGAAAATATGCTTCTGACTTCAAGGCTCACTACAAACTTGTAGTAATTAAGAATGTGTTGTATTAATTAAGAATAATTATGTAGATATTTTAAATGAAATAGACATTTCAGAAATAAACCCACACATATATCAATTGATTTTCAATAAAATTACCAAATAACTTAAATAGGGGTAAGATTAGACTTTTCAACAAATTGTGGTGGAACAAGTTGGTATCATTCTGAAAAGAAAAATGTTCTTAACATCCGTCACATGCACAAAATTAATTTGTAATGAATCACAGATCTTGTGATAGGCAATATTTTTCAGATGGGGAAGAAGAAGCATATGCTATTTTAAAAAAGATAACTTGAACTTCATCAAAGTTAAAAGCTTCTGCTCTTTGTAAAACACGAATAAAAAATAAAAGGCAGCCGAGCTTGGTGGCTCACGCCTGTAATCTCAGCACTTTGGGAAACCGAGGTGGGCGGATCACCTGAGATCAGGAGTTTGACACCAGCCTGGCCAACATGGCAAAAACCTGTCTCTACTAAAAATACAAAAATTAGCTGGGTGTGGTGGTGCATGCCTGTGATCTCAGCTACTCAGGAGGCTGAGGCAGGAGAATCGCTTGAACCTGGACTGCGGAGGTTGCAGTGAGCTGAGATTGCGCCACTGCACTCCAGCCTGGGCAACAGACCGAGACTCCATCTCAAAAAATAAATTAATTAAATAATTTAAAAATAAAATAAAAGGCAAGCCACAGGCTGGGAGAAAAATATTAACTATACTTATATATGTGACAAAGATTTGTATCAAAAATATGTAAAGAACTCTCATTCCTCTGTAATAGAGGATAACCTAATTTTTTAAATGGACAAAGTATTTGTATATATACTTTACCAAAGAAGATGTACAGATGGAAAATACTCCCATGAAAAGATGGTTAATGTCATGAGCAATCAGGAAGATAGCCTCAGTGAGATAGCTCTACACACTCAATAAAACTAATAATGTTAGAATGACCAACACTATCAAGAGTTTATGAGGATGTGGAGAAACCGGAACTCTCATGCATTGTGGGTGGGATTGTAAATTGTACAATCACTTCGCAAAATAATTTGGCTGTTTCTTATAAAGTTAAAAATATGCTTATTGTTATAACCTAGCAATTCTTCTCCTAAGTATTTACTCAAAAGAAGAAAAAACATCTTTCCACATAAACACTTGAGCATTAATGTTCTGAATAGCATTAATCATAACAGCCAACAACTTGAAACAACCCAAGTGTCCCCCAAGCAGTGAACTGATAAACAAATTCTGATATAGCCATACAATGGAATACTATTCAGCAGTATAACAGAAGGAACAACTAATAAATGCACCAACACAGGTGAGTCTCAGAACCATTACACTGAGGGAATGATAACCACAAATAATTAGGTACCTTTAATTAGGATGATTTAATTTATATAAAATTCTTAGAAAGGTAAAATTAATCTATAGTGACAGAAGGCAGGCTCGGGGTGTGGGGGGTCACTTGTAACCAGTGGTAAAGGCTATTGACTGCAAAGGATCATGGGAAACTTCAGGGGTTGTTCTACACCTTGCCTATGATTGTGGTACAGAAACATGCATTCATCAGACCTCATTCAGCTATATACTTAGTATGGGTACTTTTTCTTGTTTGAGAATTATACCCCCCAAAATTAAAAAGAGATTGTTGAAATAAAAGGAAATGATATTTTTGGAAATGCGAGAACTTGAAAAGATAAAGAGAAAACTTCAATATTGAACTGACAACTTACAAATGTTTATTTACAGACACTCATTAATCCAAACGAATCTATAATGTGTTTACAAATCACCTGAGCATCTTGTTTAAAAGATGATTCCGATTCAGCAGTTCTGCAGTGGAGCCAGATTTTGAGTGGCAATCTTAGGCGGTGAATTTATATGATTAATAACCCAGGCCAACTCCCATTTTTGTGACTTTATGGAAAAAGTCTATGAAACCTTGTGTAAGCATCTCTACTATGTCATCTTCATCTGTTTCGTTTTTTCTCTCTCTCTGTTGCCCACAAAAAGAGTGTATGGTTTATGTAATGTTCCCTTTTCATGTGGAACATGCAGGAATCTCAAGAAATTCCATTTACTAGTTTGATGTAACTATAAGTCTTTCTGGTGTTAACATAATCCAAACTTTAAAACTTCCTCCGCAGGAAACATGAACACTTTCTTTGGCTTTTGTGATGCCACAATTTCACCATGTTTATCCTAAGACTGTCCATTGTTTGTCTCCTTTGGAGATTCTCATTCCTCTATGTAATATTTAAATTTTGGAAATCCTCAGATATTGGCCCTTGGCTGTCTTCTCATGTTAGATACCATTCTGTCTTAGGCAAACCCATCTAGCTCTATGGCTTCGAATCCCCTCTACTGGCTGGTCACTCCTAGATCTGACTCTACCCCAGATCTCTAATTGTATCTAATTTGACCTCCAAGGTTGATACAAACTCCCTTCTCAGCATTTCCACAGTAGGCAACACAGATGTCTCAAGTTTCATGCTTCCAAAACTGAACTGAATGTAGAGATACTTAAATGTCTTCCCCCCTTGCTATTTTCTCCATATATAGCAGCACCACATGCTCAGTCATTTCCTAAAGATCCAAAAATTATCCTCAATTCTTCTCTTGCCTCTAATATGTTGAGTCAATCATCAATTCCTTACCAATTCAACTACCTGCATAGACCTGTGTCTGATGTTGTGAGGCTCTGATATGAATCTTTAGGTCAAATTATGTCTCAGGCAGGAGCATTATTTAGCTCATCAAAGCCCATCAACAAATGAATTTAAGTATTTTTTAAAAGAAAAAAATTCACAACTCTTAGAATAGTTTAATATACAAACCTATTGATTATACTGAAAACCACATCACTTCATAAGTAGTTTTAAAACATGTAATTTGGTATGTTTATTTAGGGAATGACAAATAATGTAAAATACATTTACATTTGTAAATGTATTTATATTTATGTAGATACACATAAATATTTGAATCAGTGATAAATACTTGAATGTGGACTATGGCAGAACAACACAATTTCTTTTATTCCAATTAAAGGATAAAGCAATTATATATGTGTGTGTGTGTGTGTATGTGTGTGTATATATATGGAGTGTGTATATATGTGTGTATATAAAATAAACACACATATATACACACTCCATATATATATCCATATATATGTGTGTGTGTGTATATATCCATATATATGTGTGTGTATATATATCCATATATATAATATATATATCCATATATAATATATATATATATATGGATATATATATATATATATATATATATGGAGGAGAGAAAAGAGAGAGAGGAATCACTGTGATGAGAAGGTAGTTGTTTAAGGGAATAAACTGTCCATCCCATTCACCCCTACCCACCTGTAAGTCATTAAATCACTGTTTTGTTTGCTGCAGTGTTCATGCTTTGATCATTCTAAGGTCTTCTTTTACATATTTCTGCCAGGTGTGTGATGAACATCAATGTAGTTCATTAAAGCAGCAGACTGGTTATTTATGTTTGTAACTATCCACATCCCTTAGTCCAGATTACATTTGTAGACATAATCTAGAATTGTTACAAATAAAGGTTTTGTTTGAATAGTTCCTTGCATAATCCACATATTCTTAAGCCACAAACTTTGTATCTTTGCTGTCTCCTAATTAGAACAGAGCTCGGTCCCAGCTACGGATTTCCGGACTCTCCCCTTCTGCTTACTGGTTTGGGCAGGCGCTGGTGGATGTTTCCCTGTACTTCTTGGTCTTCGTTTTTATATATTTAATGAGCTACATTTCAAACTTCGAAGACATGCTACTTACAATAATTCATATTATTCAAGTAAGTGACAATATCCAAGTAAGTGACAATATTCACAATATCATTGTGTGATTTAATTTGAAATTTTGGAACATTTCTATCAATATTTATATGGTCATAAATTAAAGAACTATAAAATCCTGGGCTATGACAATGTTTTGAATCCTAAATATTTTCCTTGATTGCATTTGTATTTAACTAAGCTTCACATTCCTGTTGATTTTAGATCCCATGTGCTGTTGGTTATTCCTTTTCCCTCATCTTCATGACATACGTGATTTCCTTCATCTTTCGCAAGGGGAGAAAAAATAGTGGCATTTGGTCATTTTGTTTCTATGTTGTAAGTATATTTCTTGTGGATGTATACTGTATATATTTGATATACAATTCTGAGCTAATCCTTTAAATTTTGCCCTCTGTAGGATGATAATATTATGGTCTATAATAAACACAAGATTACAAATTCAGTTACTGACATGGTCAAAACTAGAAATTACTTCACCAAAGTCCCTAATAAGAATTAATTCCATAAAGCCTCTCTTCTTTTGTCTAAATTAGGAGGAAACGTGTATAATTTAAGAGTGTCTATTCTAATTTCCTATGATTTCAGGATGCCAAAAGGTAAGTTATTAATTCAATAAATAATTGTTGACTTCTGCAGTGTGTCCAAGTTAAGATTGATAATGGGAGGAAGGAGATTAAATGGACAGTTTCAATCCTGAAAGGGCTCTCAAAAGATAAACAGATGAGTAAGCAACCACTTGTTAAAATAGTCACGAGTTATTTTCCATCTTAAGAGTCTATTATACAACTGAATAATAAAGAGGTCCATGAAAAACAGATAAGGGAGAGATTCATTTGTGAAAATGAAAGCAGAGATTTCTTTTAAAAGATGAAATCTGAAAAAGAGTAAGATTTCAGCCAAGAGAAGTATGAGGTACAAATAGAGATAACGAACAGAAACCTAGCAGAGGAAAAGCCCAAGCTGATCCTAGGAACTGGTAATAATCTCTCCTAGATATAGACAAAAAACAAGGTGCACAATGGCCATGGTCCTAGGTATGGCAAAAAATAAAATCATGGCGGCCCTTAAATGATGTTCTCAAGGATTTAAAAGCTTACAGAGCAGAACAGAAATAGGATTAGAGATAAACTTGCAGGAAGAATACTTTGATAGCCATAAAAATGATGGTTTGGAAGACAGAGAAATTAGAAGTACAACAACTTTTAAGTAGTCATTACAGTGTATTAGAAGGTAAAATATGAGGGCTTCCAGTGTACCTATCACTTTCTGTTATCCCTAATTTTGTATTTTAGTACTTCTGCTTAAGCCATTCCATGTTGTTAAATGCTTCTATTTCCCCATTGGTATAGTTACCAAAAGTCCTACCTTTCATTTTTGTTGTTTTATTCCTGTTAGATATCAATTTCAATGTTTTCTTTGATTTTTGATCATCTACTTTTATTTTTTAAAGTTTATTTACTGTAATTAAAATATTATATCTATGGGTGCTGGGTGTGTCTTATACCTGTAACCCTAGCACTTTGGAAGGCCTAGGTCAGTGGATCACTTGAGCCCAAGAATTCAAGGCCAGCCTGAGCAACATGGTGAAACCCCATCTCTACTAAAAATACAAAAATATTAGCTGGGCATGTTGGCATGCACCTGTAGTCCCAGCTATCCGGGAGTCTGAGGGAGGAAGATCACTTGAGCCCAGGAGTTTGAGGCTGCAGTGAGCCATGATCACGCTACTGCACTTCTACCTGGGCAACAGAGCAAGACTCCATCTCAAAAAAAAAAAGAGAGAAAAAAATTCTGCATATCACATCCTAGATTTATCAAGTGATACCTCATTTGTGAAACTCTAGGCCAAAGGAATTTGGCTAAGTCACTAAAATAAACTGTTAATGGAGATATACTGATTTCAGCTTGGTTTGCAAGATTGGAGTTGAAATTAGTAATATCTTCAAGATGAGCCATCTCGATTTGGAACTTACATTGAAATTCAGAGTGATTAACCTTCATATTTGCTTCTTTTAGGTCACTGTATTCTCTGTGGCTGGATTTGCGTTCAGTATCTTCGAAAGTGATATTCCATTTATCTTCACTTTTTTAATACCACCTGCCACAATGATTGGCTGTTTGTTCTTATCTTCTCATGTAAGTAATGACACAGTCTGTCCCAGTCCCTTGAAACTCATGACCAATTGTGAAGCTTTGCCCAATGTTGAAGGTCTACTACAACATGTTTAAAGTGCATGGGGTTCAAAGATTTCTGCCTGACGGAATCCAATTGATTTTCTCCCAGATAAAACAATATGTTCCAGCTGACTGGTAATGGAAAATTTGGTCCTGATTAATATATGGGAAGGAAGGGTAAGGGGTAGTGGGAAACAGAGTAGTCCTTATACTCATGTGGGGCCTTATTTCCTCCTTGATATGCTCGGCTTTAGAAGGAAGCAAATGAAATGTCCCTAATCTTTGGGATTTCAGAGTTCTAAAGAAGCACCCAAGATAAGCAAAGTCCTTTTTTCTGGCTGACTGATACCTATACCTATGCAAAAGGAAGGAAGTTACTGTACATGAGTGAAGAGGTATCTATGGGAAGGGGAAAGGAAGAGAAGGGGCCCCACAAAGAGAAACGATGGGCACAGGAAGGTATGTGAAGTTCTGTGTGAGAAGAATAAACACTGTCTCTCACTGTTTGGGGAGGTTAGCACGGATCTCCAGGATTCTCTCGCCAGGTGATTAGTAATTGATAAATCCTATTGCTTCAAACAAAAGCTCATAGACCTTGGGAGGAAGGAAGACAGCCCCTTGCTATACACTTTAGAAAGGACACTTAGGTGATATTCATGGTCAAATGTTAGCAGGGCTGTTTAGGGCCAATTCACGTATATGTGGACAAAATTCAGGAAACAAAAAACTCCCTGTTTAGCAATTGTCTTTTCTTTTGCAGCTTCTCTTTTCTTCTCTCTTTTCTGAAGAACGAATGGATGTACAGCCATTTCTGGTATTCCTAATTGTAAGAACACACTGTTCTTTAAAAATTATCACTTTTTACTAAATTTAATAATTTTCAGTTCTGTACACACTGTGAAACTTCTTTTATTAAGTTAGAGATACAGGTATCTATAGCCCAAGGAGATATAATGCTTGTAAAATCCGGAAGAATTATTTTTACAAAGATCAAATGACCAGGTAATGTGCCTCCCAAATTTTAAGGACTCTGTACAACTGTTAGAGGAAATGAGAAAGTAATAATATCACATAACTATAGTTGTTTCCTACGTTTCTATAAAAAAGATTGAAAATGAACTTGATAGTTTCACAATTTGCTGGATAGGTTATTAGGAGTTTGTAATTATTTCACTGAATGTATTTTTTTAGAAGTTCGGTTATTATTAGTATATCTTTGATATTGAACAATTATCTTTTTATGTTTCTAATTGTGCATCTCTCTTTATTCCTAGCCTTTCCTTCATTTTATCATTTTTCTTTTTACTCTTCGATGTCTGGAATGGAAGTTTGGAAAGAAATCAATGAGAAAGGATCCTTTCTTTAGGTTGGAAAAAACACATCAGATTTTTATTTTGTTGATCAATATCGTAAAATATTTTTCATGCATAAATCAATTCATTAACAAAGAGGTGCCGTTGTGCTAGGATAGGCTGGAGTAGGAACCATGTGCCCATACAAATAATACAGATCCAGATACCTAAACCCAAGAAGATTATGATCTAGTGGAAGAAACGGACCTGAAACATGGAGTATTAAGGCTCTATCTGACACTATCCACAGTGGAGCACTGGGGAAAGTTAAATGTGGCAGGTCCCATCTAACAAACAATATATTGCCAGTTGAATAAATGCCATTCATCCAGGAGGAAGGAACAGAATGATCCACTGGCCAAGGACAGCAATAGCTGTGTTCTTTTCCTGGTAGTGAGCATCCCAGCCAGTGGATCACAGACTGGTTCAGTTATTAATGGGACTTAAAAGCTGAGACTATTTTCGGCACCATACAAAGAAGAGTGACCATAAGCATCTTGCTCCCTCTGTGTCTCCCAAACCACATCAGTTTCATCTTTTGCTATTACAGAAAGTTGGATGGGAGACTGCCAAGATGAAAGCAGACCTTTAATAAATCTTCTGAGATCAGTATGAAGGAGGCACTCAAGGGAAGAGAGACTAGAATAAGTATATCCTGGATATTATCAGACTTAGAATGGAGAGGAAAAGTCAATATGCCACATATTCTGAAGAAATGAGAGATCAAGCATCTAACTTGTATTTTGCTAGAAACTCCTGATTACAAATATTCTGGCCCATTTTCCCCATGAAAACATAATGATGTCAACATGGTGGTGTCAAAGCCAGGGTTCCCAGAAAAATTACTTCATTGAGCTATGATATAAAAATTCTTCGTCAGCTATTAGGTTTCAAGTTGATATTGAAAAAAACATATTTCTATAGATAAGATAAGCAAGGAGGTTTTAAGGGGATGAGAGTTGTGAAGGGAGATTATGATGGTTTGTTAATTGCTCGTACTACTCAAACATATGCTTTAAATAATGCAACTTTTGATACAAAGATGAAAGCCAGAAATCAATATTAATGGATGGTTTTGACTCTAGAATTTCTCCAAGAAGTAGTGATGTGTGTCAAAATCCAGAAGAACCAGAAGGAGAGGATGAAGATGTTCAGATGGAAAGAGTGAGAACAGCAAATGCCTTGAATTCTACTAATTTTGATGAGGTAAAACATAACACAAAGGTTTTTTTATTAGTCAGTCTACCAGTCTAATTCTCTAATGATTTTGAGTTTCTCTGTTCCTTACAAATGAGGATCACTATTTTAGTAGGTAATTGCCATTTTTACGATTAAATGAGCGACTAAAAGTCATGTTAACTCTTTTGTTCTTAGAATAAATTAAAAATAGAGTGCAATAGAAATTATTAAAGCCAAGAAAGAATTTCAGAATCTGAGCTAAGCAGCAGACATCATTGCTTGTTGGAGAAAGTGCACAGTACAAATTCAGGGTCAGGTCCAGCCCACAGCATTTGTTTTGTTGTTTGAGGATAATCAGTGCTTCTCTAAGTTTCATTGCCCCCGTTTGATCTGAAAGGACAGGCAAGCTGTATAAAATACTGTGCTCCTGAAAAAACTGCCTTTGTAGGAGAGGAAAATGAGTCTCTCCTCTCCAAAAGCAAGTGTTAGGATAGGGCATGGCCAAGGAGCATGTCACCAAATAGAAGGTCTTCTTTGATGCATGGCTGGGGCAACAAAGGGTCCAGCCAATGGGAAGATGGAATTTTGTTTCAAAGCTAATGGAGAGAATTAAGGTCTGACATAATAACTTCTTGTCATTTACAGAAGCCAGTCATCATTGCCAGCTGTCTACGCAAGGAGTATGCAGGGAAGAGGAAAGGCTGTTTTTCCAAGAGGAAGAATAAGATAGCCACGAGAAATGTCTCCTTCTGTGTTAGAAAAGGTTGGCCATAGGGATCTTCCACTTCTGGCTCAGAGCCCTCCTCAGAGGTTCCTGGTTCCTAATGAGCATTATTCTGGAAACCACCTCTTGGTTCACATGCAGACCCAGAGGAGAATGACAATGACAGCTTCCTTTGTATGTTTCATTTCTAACTTAAATTAACTCACCTCACAAAGAGGAGCCTAGTCACATCTACAACTAAACCATAAGCTCTCTAATAAGATGAACTTTTGAAGTAATAACATTTCTATTAAATGAACACAATTGATTTCCTAAAGTTCATTGTTTTTCACAAGAGAACCAAGATGTGCTAGCACACTCTGAAGGCTTGGCCAGCAAGTGTTAGATGACCTCAGTTTGTGCCATTATTGCACCAAGGTTAGGATCACAGGAGACAGAATCTGAAACACTTGGCTTCCAAGAGTGGTTTTGCCACTTTCCATCAGTGTGACTTTGCACAGGTAACCCCATCATTGAGAGCTTCTGCCCCAACTACATAAGAAGGGGCTAAAATAACAACTTCTCAGGGTGGTTGTGACAATTAAATGACAACTAATAGCAAATGCTTGTCACATAGTGAGATTTCAACTATGTTTTACTCTTAATGTTACCATTAAAATAGATTAATATTAAGTGTAACCTTTTTTTCAGGTGAAGTTTTAGGATTATTAGGACACAATGGAGCTGGTAAAAGCACATCCATTAAGGTGATAACTGGAGACACAAAACCAACTGCTGGACAAGTAGGTGAATTATGTGGAAAATATGTTATCTAATGGTGAAATAGATTGATAAGATTTGATGACCTTAAAAACAACAGATTCCACTTAATCCTTATATAACTGAAGTGATTAATGAACTACCCAAGAGAATAAATTCACGAATTATCACATAAATGCACACAAAAGCTAAGCACTGAAAGGTTGTCACAGAATCCTTAGGGTGTCGCTTTTCCAGTCAAAACCTCTGGAGCTGGTGGCGCCTTTGCCCAAGTTTGGCTCAGACCCGCTGGGCTCATTCTGTCCACTCAGCTCAGCAGGCTGCACTCTGTTCATGCCACCAGCCTGGATCCCAAGCCTGCCAAGAATGAGCCAGGTGCATAGCGGTGATGGGTGTGTGAGCAAGCATGGGGTCTGGCTGCTGCACACAGCCAGGCATGCTGGTTGTGGTGGGGCAGGCTGCTCCAGGCACTGGCACAGGCGCCACCTCCATGCTTGCATACTGCAAGCGGCTTCCACTGCAGGCACCAAAAAATGTGGTGGCACCCAGAAGCTTGGAGGTGCCAGAAACCACAGAGCCCTAAAAAGGATGTCACAGCCCTGGCTCGGGGATCCCCTAAGTCTGGGATCCCCGAAGGGCTGCAGCTCTTCTCTGCTTCTCATTGCCTGCAACATGGCAAGTGGGGGGCATGTTTCAGCCCTGTTTGTGTTACAGCTTTTTTAGTCCCACCATTTGGCAGGTCCTGAGCTCTTGTCCCATGTCCAGGAAGAATGAGGTATGTGAATAACTGGAGGTGAGGAGCTTCACTGAGCGACAGAATAGCTCTCAGGAGACCCAAAGTGGGTCTCCTATTTGTAGGCAGGTCATCTCGATGAGTGTCCAGCCCCTAATGGAGAGGAGACCCAAAGTGGGTAGCTCCTTTCTGCAGCTGGTAGTCCCTAAGTCTGTGTGAATCTGGCTGAGTCCAGGATTTTTATGGGCTCAGAAAGGAGGAAGTGTGTGCCATTTGGTCCATGAGTGGCCATGGGCAGGCCTGGAAAAAGCATCATAAGTTCTCACTCTGGGTCACAGACTCCACCTAGAACCGGCAGCCTGGCACCCAGGCTTCAGGCCATCCCTGAAGCTTGAAGGTGGCTTGAAGGTGGGGTTTCACCAGAGAACCACCCCTTTCTATCCAGGAACCTGTCTGCCTGCTGCCATCAACATGCCATCTATGGCACCCAGGTGGTTTGTGCTGAGGTGCACCTGCAAGTCCATGCTGAGCTGCCCTCAGCACCCCCCCGGACTCCCTCCCACACTTGTCAGGGCCCAAAATCCAGAGCGAGCTGAGGTGGCAGGAGGCTGGCATGGCAGTTCCACCCTGGGCACGTACACACCCAGCAGGGTTGCAACAGCACCTGGGCTTGGCCACAACTTTGCTCCAAAATTGGAGCATGCAACTGCCCCTGAGATTCAGTAAAGGATGCTCCAATTCAGCGAAGGGCAGGGCTCTTACCTGTTTCTGGCCCCTGCCAGTCCCCCGGAGTACACAGCCCCAGTCACACCTCCCCTGCTACAGCCAGCATCTTTGCTGTGGTGGCTCCAGACAGGCTGCCACTGCCATCAAGGAGTAACTATTAAAGGTATTAAGACGTCTCCCTTGCTGCAGCCAGCATCTTTGCTGTGATGGCTGCAGACGGGCTGCAGCCACCATCAAGGGGTAATTATTAAAGGCATTAAGAGAGAATGTCCAGCATCAGAGCTGAAATTAATGCCAGAATTCACACACATCCTATTTATACTGCCATCAGTCACACGGATTTGCACTTTCAGTGAGCATTGTCTTTCCAGTATGTAATATTTAATCTTTCATAAAACTGTTTTTAAAAAACTGTATTAGACAGTTGTCCTTCACAAAATGCTTAGTTATTGGAACATACATTTTTGTGCAAATGCAACTATTTTTGGGGAGTGTTTTCAAGAAATAGATCAAAAATTAGATACAAGGGGGTGAAATTGACTTTAATTGTACTTCTAATTTAGTTGTATAAGGTGGCTAGGCAAACAGAAAAAGAGCTCAGGTTTATCTAAGAGAGACATCATGGGGTAGAGATAAAACATTTTCTCCTAAATTCTATGGCAGAAGATAGAAAACCTTAAGAACTCTTTTACAAAGAATGTCCAAGGGAAGTACAGAACAGAATATAAGGCAGATGCCTGTGAAACTGTACCGTGGGAAAGGGGCTAGTAGTCAAGCCAAGAAAGGAAAAGACAGCTTGGAATGCTATTGACAAATACTCCACTAATGAAAGAAGAGAAAACCGATATTCACAATCCCTCTGTAGCCACAGTGAGAGCAGATGTTCATGAAGGTACCTCTCTGCTGGTGGCTTGGCCAACTCTAATTTAGTCCTTAACTTCAATCATGGACACCCTCCAACTCAGTCACCACCTGGGCCCAAAGTCAGTATTTTATTTCTCATTAAGCATGGGAGGAAAGGAGATAACTGCTCATTAATACATTGGAATGAAATCTTGTAAAAGGTAAGTCTGACCTGAAGTAGAAAGCCAGCCATTTGGGTGTCACAAAATAAGCTTAATTGGATCAGCCAGCGTGAGTTTTTTTAATCCATGCATTCTCCTGATTAAATACTTTCAGTGAACGCTTGCTGCTCTATGGCTGGAAGGACACATCCCTGCTTGTCTTGCAAGCAGCTGCAGGAACTGGCTTCCCTGTCCCTCTTGCCACATATTTGTCCTCCCCGTCAAGCTTCCACATCAAGCTTCATCCCCACACAGGGCTTTGGTCTCGCTCTTGCTCTGCCCCAGATTCCTTGCTCTTGCCTTTTTTTCCATGACTAGCATCTTCTCCTCTTTGTTGAAATGGCCCTCAGAAGACAGGCTCTTTCTAATTACCCTACCTACTGCCACTTCCCCAGTTATTCTTACCCCAGCCTCCTGAATTTCCATAACAGCACCACTTTTGATCTGTCTTTATTCTGCATGTTCATTTCTCTACTTGTTTATTGCCTGATTCATTCAGTAGAATGAAAACTCCAGATAACGAAGCACTAGTTATTCCACCCTCCGCTGTACCCACAGGCAACACAGCACTTGTTACATAGGAGGTACTCAAAAGATGTTGATCCATGAGCGAAGTTAAATAGTAATTCAATCAATATGCTTCATTTTGACAGTGATTTAAAAAAAATGGATATAAACTGTTGGCCAGGATGGACAGGCACCACATTTATGGGATATTGGATTTTTCAGCTGAGATTGGATTGTTGGCTGTGGACACACTTATTTTCCTGTATTTGCTCTCTGACAACCTTTCTCCAATGCAAAATGATTACAGATTATTAAACCCAATGAGGTTTAGAGTTTCTCTAGTTTTTCTAGGTTCGTGAAGAGAATGATGTCATGGAAATACTCAAAGAAGCAGTGCAGAAGGTAGGTTCTGAGAGGGAACTTTCATCTGCAGGTGCTACTGAAAGGGAGCGGTGGAGGGGATGCCCTGGAGTTCCTGGGGTACTGCCCTCAGGAGAACGCGCTGTGGCCCAACCTGACAGTGAGGCAGCACCTGGAGGTGTACGCCGCCGTGAAAGGGCTGAGGAAAGGGGATGCTGAGGTTGCCATCACACGGTACACAGAGGAGCCACATCTGTTCTATACCCAAGGGAGGGGTGGAGGAGGTTGAGAGTGATGACCCTCACAGGAAATTCAGGATGGGAGACTCTAAATGCTGACCCAGGTCACACTGGGTAGATTTACAACTAGAAACTCCTTTCCTGGATATCAAAGTATTAAGTTTCTTTCTCATATTAAATAAGAAAATTTAAAAAGGCTGGGCGCAGTGGCTCATGCCTCTAACCCCAGCACTTTGGGAGGCTGAGGCAGGTGGACTGCTTGAGCTCGTGAGTTTCAGACCAGCCTAGGCAACTTGGTGAAACCTCATCTCTAAATTAAAAAGAAAAATACAAAAATACAAAAATTAGCCGGGCATGGTGGTGCGCACCTGTGGTCCCAGCTACTTGGGAAACTGAGGTGGGAGGATGGCTTGAGCCAGGAGGCAGAGGCTGCAGTGAGCCAAGATTACACCACTGCACTCCAGCCTCGGGGATAGAGTCAGACCTTGTCTCAAAAAAATAATAATAATAAAATTTAAAATTTAAAAAGTAATTATTCATTGCTAAAATGTATAGAAAATACTAAAATTTGGACTGTCATAGAACAACTATTTGGATATCATGTCATGTCCTTCTATTTCTTCAAAAAGCAATATTATCTTTTGTAGGGGAGCAAGTCAGCCAGTAATATCACCCCTCCTTCCCTGCCCCCCGACCACATGTATTTCCAGAACTGCATTTTTGAGTTCTGCTTCTCCACCCTTGCTTGGGTTATCCTCTTATCTATTTCCTCTTGTCAAGAAGACTGTACGACTCTCCTGTTTCCTTCAGGTTAGTGGATGCGCTCAAGCTGCAGGACCAGCTGAAGTCTCCCGTGAAGACCTTGTCAGAGGGAATAAAGAGAAAGGTACGGGCAGGGCTTGGTGTTGCTCTGCAAGTGCCATAGATGGGAACCAGATGGGCTGTTCCTCCCGTTGCAGCTGTGCTTTGTCCTGAGCATACTGGGGAACCCGTCAGTGGTGCTTCTGGATGAGCCGTCGACCGGGATGGACCCCGAGGGGCAGCAGCAAATGTGGTGAGGAACATTACCACGGTCAGGGACAGCACGGATGACTTGCATGGAGCCTGTGAACCATTTTTCTTCTGTAAAAATTGTCCCTTAAACTCTTTTGTGGAGAACAAAAAAACTATCAATGTCACTTGTAAAACCAATACTTTGCAAAAAAAAAAGATCTTTCCCTGATGATATTTTACAACCATTTCTTATTGAAGAAAGAATTACCATTGTTAGGGCCCATAGGTCTCACTCTTGAGTTTCATAAGCGCTCAGCTGATCTTTTAGGTGCATTTCTAGATCACAATCACGTAGTGTTCCATACTTAGCATGAGAACAGTAGTTCTCATTAAGGTGTAAACATGGTTGTCATTGTACGTGTTTACTGTACATTTTATTTTCTTCTCACTAGGTTGTGAGACGCTGTTGTTAAATTTTATGTCATTCTGTTCCCCTTCACACAGACTTCTCACAAACAAGCCTCTCTTGCTTAGCACTTCTCTTTGAACACAACCCTATAATGAATGTTGTGTTCTGTAAACGCCCCTCTTCCAATGCATGATTCCAGTTTAACAGCTCTCACCTAGCTTGTCCTTCCTCATCCTACCTGCCCTATTAAGAACCCTCTTTTACTTAATCTCTTTTTGCTAATTATTCACACGCATGCCAGTTAAAAATTCTTTTCTCTATCTCTTTCTGATTAATTAGAGGATTTCCTAAATTGCAAATAATCTCTTGACATTATAGGCAGGCCATCCGGGCCACCTTTAGAAACACGGAAAGGGGTGCCCTCCTAACCACCCACTACATGGCAGAGGCTGAGGCCGTGTGTGACCGAGTGGCCATCATGGTATCTGGGAGGTTGAGGTGAGTGCCTGTCCTGGACCCACACTTGAGCCCAAGGTGCATTGCTGGAAATTTTTGTCTGTGGCAGGGAGAGATCACTGAAAACAGCTGAAATGACTGTGCCCAGGTCTAACAATAGGGACCTTGAGACAATGCTAGCAGCAAATCAAGTTTCTCAAACAACATACTGAATGGTTTTTTTTTTCTCCTTTCTCATATGACCTCATCCTCCAGATGTATCGGTTCCATCCAACACCTGAAAAGCAAATTTGGCAAAGATTACCTGCTGGAGATGAAGGTGAAGAACCTGGCACAAGTGGAGCCCCTCCATGCAGAGATCCTGAGGCTTTTCCCCCAGGCTGCTCGGCAGGAAAGGTAAACATGGTTGCTGTTTTGGAAATGGTACCAAATGTTCACTGTTACTTGTCAGTTATGTTGAGTGATAGTCATTCAAAAGGAAAACCTAAAAGAAAGAGATTATTTGTTGGATTCTGCAGGAAGTAAACTAGAGAAGAGAAAGCAGACGTAAGAGCTGATATAGCAAATGTCATGGTTCCACTATGCGCCAGGGGCTGTCCTGGTATTGTGTTATCCTATCCAAAACTTACAGAGACTTTTCACCGTAGACATAGCTATTCCAGTAAAAAAAATGAGTAGACTTCAAAAAAGCGTTGTGAGTATCCTTCGTAAATGAAATTGATTATTATCTTTATGAAGTGGAAATTGGCTGAGAGACAGGTTAGGTCACATGAGAAGTTAACAAGTGGCAGAACCAAGAGGTAAACCTAATTATTTTATTTCAAATCAATTAACATTTCCAATTTTATGTAAATTCTGGTAACAGCATCATCCTGATGTATTTATTTTCATAGACAGAAAAAAATTAAAGAGTAGCCTTAGGATCATTTTTAACACCTAGAATTTATAGCAGATGATAGATAATTTAGGAGTTAGGTGAAAAAAATGATAACAAGGAGAAATAAGTCATCATAACAATGTGGGAAAATATATTTCTACAGTGTAATATAAATGGAAAAGCAATGCTATAATTCAATGTCCAGCTCATGGCTGTATAGAAATACATCATGAAGCCACAGGGAATAAGCGAAATAGGTGAGAATGACTGCACCATAAATATATGTAATGATGTCTTGTGAAATGAAATGTAAATCTTCTTAATTTTCAAATGATGAAAAGACAAACATTTATCTGAGAAACAAAATATTAAAAAATGTTGTTGCCTACCTTATTTGGTGCTGAATTTCTGCTCTTCTAACCAGAGGCTCAATTACATTATCCTCTATTAGGAAGGCAGTTTGAGTAGGATGGAGGAGAAGGAGAGATATGTGACTTGTGGGAAATATATCTAGATTTCTACCCTATTTGAGGAACTTTAAGAAACTATGCAGTATAAATTCCTTGTTGAAGGATGAAGTTGAAGATCAAGTATTCAGTTAGAAAACAAGGTGGAAGATGACTTTGGCAAATCTTGAAATATCATCTGGACAGCACCTACTCACTTCCATCCAAGGGGCCAACAACACTAAACTGTCTGAGTATTACACTCCCTTCCCCCAGTTCTCCTTGTGAACTGCTTCCTTTTGATTATTATCAATTCACCTTACCCTTTTTTCCTACACAAAACTGACTCTCATTTATAGAAATAACAACCCACATACAAAGCTACACAAATCAAAACAATATGGCACTAGTGTAAAGACCAACATATTGATCAAAGGAACAGAATAGACAGCCGAGAAATAAATCCCTGAATATATGGCCAACTGATCTTCAAAAAGCGTGCCAAGAATACATGATGGGGAAGGGATAGTCTCTTCAACCAATTGTGTTGGGAAAACAGGATATCCACATGCAGAAGAATGAAACTAGACCCCATCTTATGCCATACACAAAAATCAACTCAAAATGGATGAAAGACATAAACATAAGACCTGAAATTGTTGAACTCCTAGAAGAAAACATAGGAGGAAAGCTTCATGACATTGGTCTTGGCAATGAGTTCATGGATATGACAACAAAAGCATAGACAATAAAAACAAAAATAAACAAGCGGGATGATATAAAACTAGAAAGCTTCCACACAGCAAAAGAAACAATTGACAAAGTGAAAGGCAACCTATGGAATGGGAGGATTATTTGCAAATTATATATATGACAAAGGGTTAATGTCCAAAATACAGTCATGCACTGCTGAACAATAGGGATACTTTCAGAGAAATGGGTCGTTAAGCAATTTCATCATTGTGTGAATATCACTGAGTGAATTTACACAAACCTAGATGGTGTAGCTTACTGCAAACCTAGGCTATATGGTATATCCTATTGCTCCTAGGCTACAAACCTGTACAGCATGTGACTGCAGGGAATACTGTAGGCAATTGTAACACAATAAGAACTTGTGTATCTAAACATAGCAAAAGATAGAGTAAAAATCGGCATAAAAGATAAAAAATGATACACCTGTATAGGGCACTTACCATGAACGCAGCTTGCAAGACTGGATGTAGCTCTGGGCGACCATTGGTGAGACAGTGGTGAGTGAATGCGAAGGCCTGGGACATTACTGTACATGACTTTTATAAACACTGTACACTTAGGCTACACTAAATTTACTTTTAAAATTTATTTAATAAATTAACCTTAGTGTTCTGTAACTTTATAAACTTCTAAAATTTTTTTAACTTTTTAACTTTTTTGTAGTAACACGTAACTTAAAATACAAACACATTGTATGGCTGTACAAAAATATTTTCTTTTTTCATATCCATATTCTATAAGCTATTTTCTATTTCTAAAATTATTCATTTGTTTTTTCTACTTAACATTTTTTATTAAAAAGTGAGACACAAACACACACACATTAGCTGAGGCCTACACAGAGTCAGGATTATCAACATCACTGTCTTCTATCTCCACATCTTGTCCCACTGGAAGGTCTTCGGGGCAATGACACATGTGGAGCTGTCATCTCCTGTGATAGCAATGCCTTCTTCTTTTTTTTTATTTTTTTTATTTTTTATTTTTTATTTTTTTTTAATTATACTTTAAGTTTTAGGGTACATGTGCACATTGTGCAGGTTAGTTACATATGTATACATGTGCCATGCTGGTGCGCTGCACCCACTAACTCGTCATCTAGCATTAGGTATATCTCCCGATGCTATCCCTCCCCCCTCCCCCCACCCCACAACAGTCCCAGAGTGTGATATTCCCCTTCCTGTGTCCATGTGATCTCGTTCAATTCCCACCTATGAGTGAGAATATGCGGTGTTTGGTTTTTTGTTCTTGCAATAGTTTACTGAGAATGATGATTTCCAATTTCATCCATGTCCCTACAAAAGACATGAATTCATCATTTTTTATGGCTGCATAGTATTCCATGGTGTATATGTGCCACATTTTCTTAATCCAGTCTATCATTGTTGGACATTTGGGTTGGTTCCAAGTCTTTGCTATTGTGAATAATGCCGCAATAAACATACATGTGCATGTGTCTTTATAGCAGCATGATTTATAGTCCTTTGGGTATATACCCAGTAATGGGATGGCTGGGTCAAATGGTATTTCCAGTTGTAGATCCCTGTGCAATGCCTTCTTCTGAAACACCTCCCGAAGGACCTGCCTGAGGCTTTTTTACAGTTAACTTTTTTATAAGTAGAAGTAGTACACTCTAAAATAATGATAAAAAGTATAGTATGGTATAGTATAGTATATACATAAACTAGTAACATAGTCATTTATCATTATCAAGTATTGTGTACTATAGATAATTGCATACTTTTTTATGATTGGCAGCACAGTAAGTTTGGTTACACCAGCATCCCGACAAACACATAAGTAATATGTTATGCTATAATGTCATCATGGCTATGATGTCTCTAAGCAATAGAATTTTTCAGCTCCATTATAAGCTTACGGGGTCACTGTCATATATGTAGTCCATTATTGATTATGACATCATTATGTGGCCTATGACTGTGTATAGGAAATTCCTAAACTCCAGTAGCAAAAAAAAACTAATAACCCAATTAAGAATGTGCTAAGGACTTGAATAGACATTTCTCCAAAGAAGATATGCAAATGAACATGTATATGAAAAACTGTTAAATGTCATTAGTCATCAGGGAAATGCAAATCAAAACCACAATAAGATATCACCTCACATCTGTTAGGATGGTGCTATCGTTTGAGTGTCCCCTCCAAAACTCATGTCGGAATTTAATTACCATTTTGATGGTATTAAAAGGTAGGACCAGGTGGGACCTTTAAGAGATTATTAGGTCATGAAAGCTCTGCCCTCATGAGTGGATTAATCTATTCAAGGATTGATAGGTTATCTCGGGAGTAAGTTAGTTATCTTGGGAGTGGGTCTGTTATAAAAGCCAGTTTGGCTCTCTCTTGAGTGCCCCTCCCACCCTATAATGCCATCTGCCAAGTTATGACACAGCAAGAAAACCCTCACCAGATGTATCCCCTCAATCTGTAACTTCCCAGCCTCCAGAATAATAAGAAATAAATTATTTTTATTATAAATTGCCCAGTCTGTGGTATAGTGTCATAGCAACAAAAAACTGGACTAAGATGGATGGCTATTCCCCCCAAAAAAATAACTGTTGCTAAGGAGGTGGAGAAATTGGAATGCTTGCACACTTTTGGTAGAAATGCAAAATGGTGCAGCCACTATGGAAAGCAATATGGTAGATTCTCAAAATATCAAAAATAGAACTATCTTACGTCCTAGCAATTGCATTTCTGGGTATGTATCCAAAAGAACTGAAATCAGGATCTCAAAGAGATACCTGCACCCACATTTTCATTGCAGCACTATTCTTAATAGCCAAGATGTGTAAACAGTCTAAGTGTTCACTGAGAGATAAATGGATGAAGTAAATGTGTTAGGTACATGTAATGAAATACTATCTGACCTTGAAAAGAAATTCTGCAACATGTGACAGCACAGATGAACCTTGAGGACTTTATGCTGAGTGAACTAAATCAGTCACATAAAGACAAACTCTGCATGATTCTACTTATAAGATATCTAAAATAGTCAAATTCATAGAATCAAATAGTACTAGGCTGGGGAGAGAAGAATATGAGAAGTTACTCATCATAGATGTAAAATTTTAGTTAAGCAAGATGAATAAGCTTTAGAGATCTTCTGTACCTCATTATACTCTCTTTTGTCCCACTGAACCTGCAGCCGGAATCACCCCAAACACAGTGGCAGGGGAGTTTCCACAAGAGAGTTCCCCAAACTGTCCCAAGATGGGGCCGGTTGGGATTCCAAAAAGAGAACTAAGTCCACAGTGATCAGTCCAAATCATTTATCAGGGCAACTTCCTTACAGAGTGGGCTGCAGCAATTTTCGAGATGAACAGTGAGAGAAAAGGGGTGTTCTACCTAGGCATGTCTACAGTGAGGGGTCAGGTTATGGAGTTTTTATGAAGGTTTAAGGAATTTGGCACAGGGTCAGGGTTAGTTGTTTTGGACAACAATCTGAATAGCTTTATCTGTTCCTGGGAATGTTCAAGGCCCTAGCTTGGGTTCAAACCAGCTGGGAAAGACCTTCTGTTGGCCAGATGACAGAGCAGTCAAGACCCTCTGATTTTTGGTCAGAACACAGAAAAATGTGAAGGAAACTGGGGGACCCTACATACTCATAGTCAACAGTACTGGATTGTTCACTTCGAAATTTGTTAACAGGGTAGATCTCATGTTAAATGTTCCTAACACCATTTTTTAAAAGAAAAAAAAAGACCAGAGAGATGATTGCCATCAGTTCACATCTGGCACAAGTGGTATCACTCTTCTTACCTCTCCTTTTCTCTCAGGTACTCCTCTCTGATGGTTTATAAGTTGCCAGTGGAAGATGTGCAACCTTTAGCCCAAGCTTTCTTCAAATTAGAGAAGGGTAAGAAGTATGACTTTGAAGTACGACCCTGGAAAGAAGATAATTTCAAATCATAAAATAATCACCTTTATGACAAAAATGAAATGTGACAAAATGCATTACATTTTAAAGTTACAGTCTCAAATTGAATTTTAGGAAGACCCAAACCAAGGAGATAGAGGGATTCTCTGTGTCTGTGCCAGGGGATAATGAGAGTGATTTTTTTCACTTTTGCTTTGTGGGGTTTTGTCATGTATTTTTGCATGTATGTTGGTAAAACCTAAGTCAAAACTCAGTTATATATGCATTTAAGAAAACTTTCTTTTGAAACATCTATGCATACATATTTAAAATTAAATTTTTCCGTGGACTGGCATATTATTTTACTGTCTTAGCCTGTATATTAAGAAACTGACTCCTGTCTGGTCATTGAAACAATCTCCTCGCATCTGTCACATTTTAGAACTAACTTCCCTGCATCTGTCATCACAGGTTCATGTTTTCCTTGCAATTTTAGCTCATTAACTCTGCTACTCTGAACTGTGCTAGTCAGAACTCTCTCGCTATACTGTTTTCATTGTCACTGCTCAGTGATATATCTTTGCTTGCTTATCCTCTGCCCTAAGGAAGAGATTCAGATCTTCTAGTTCTAGAGGAATTGTCTAACTTGCTAGAGCATCAGGAATTGTCTGATTCTCTCCTTGAGAGCATCTGTGGTCACAGTAATGCATCTTCTTTTCATTCTCTGATGTATGTGAGCTCTCCAACTTTCTGGGCCACGTAGTCATTCACAGCACTCTCCAGGTTGGCATTAAGCCCAGTACTGACCTGAAACTTTTGGTGGCATATTTCCAATCTGCTGAGCTCCTATTAGAGCTCTAACCGCCTCTCCCAGTCTATTTTGGTCAAAAGAACAGTTCCTAACCCAATCAGAGGAAGCTGCAATGGTTTTTGGATAGAGGTCCGTGAAGATACCTGCTCTCTAAAAAGGCTCACAAATCCTTCTCCATAATCTTCTGATACAAGCCTTTTCAAAATATGTCTGCCTTCCACCTGTTTCTGTGTTGAATGTGCAAAACCCACTGGCCCACAGGCAAGAAAGAAAGCTTACTCAGTAGCATTTTCTCCTTTAAATACAGTTCGCAAAAACTGCACAACATACAAGCATAATTCAAGCGCTTTTTCTCCCAAACCTAAGTAAATGCATTGGTGTATTCTTAACTGAACGATGTACTTAAGACATGAATGAATATTACCTTAACCTATTTAAGATTTTTAAAAAATATATCATTTGTACTATATGCTGATTTATGAGACCTCTAGATATGAAATATATGAACTAATACATGTTCATCCCTATGCAGTTAAACAGAGCTTTGACCTAGAGGAGTACAGCCTCTCACAGTCTACCCTGGAGCAGGTGGGTCATTTTTAGGGATTCGTATCATCCATGGTATATGTGTATAAAACATTCCCTGGGAGCTGCAGAGGCAGCACGGCATTGTTCTCCTCTCTTTATTTCCTTCCTCCCTTTCAGGTTTTCCTGGAGCTCTCCAAGGAGCAGGAGCTGGGTGATTTTGAGGAGGATTTTGATCCCTCAGTGAAGTGGAAGCTCCTCCCCCAGGAAGAGCCTTAAAACCCCAAATTCTGTGTTCCTGTTTAAACCCGTGGTTTTTTTTAAATACATTTATTTTTATAGCAGCAATGTTCTATTTTTAGAAACTATATTATAAGTACAGAAATGGTTCTCCGTGTGGTGGGAGGAGGAGGTTCGGGTGCTGGGTAAGTGCCATGTCAGTGTGGACAGAGGCATTTGACTAAGCCAACCTCCTCTCACAGCCTCTGTATCTCTGCAGGCCATACTGGTTCCATTGTTCTGTATAATACTGAATAAATAAATTTACTTTTACATGATCGTATAAGTTTCTAGATAAGATAAACAAATTTTGTTTAAATTTTTTTAATAAAAATCTTAAAACACTTTTTTTCTAACCTAGACTGAGAAATTCATGTTTACTTTTCTAGGTGTATGATACTTTGTAAAGTTGATACTTTCCTAAGAATTTAACATGTCATATTTTTGAAATAGATTTAAGTGTGCTTCTTATTGCTAAAAATACTAAATGTCATGGGTCATAGTATCTGATATCAATATCGTTGATAACATATCCACAGGTAACACCATGATGTAGGCATAAATGGAAAACAAAAACCCTACTATTTCAAATATATTGTACTTTTTTATTTCTGTAAGCCAACTGTGTGCCATTTTCACTGGACTTTTAAATCTAGACTTTAGTGATGTCTACATTGTAAATGATCTTTTGTGGATATTTGTCACTTGGTTTCAGAAAGTTCACAAATGTAGCAACAGCTCACATGACTGAGTAGGTAGAAAATGTGAAATAAATCTCATATATATAGTTTTGAAATACGTTTTCTATTTCATGTGTCTTTTTCTTAACTCGGTGGCTTCCTGCTTACAAATTTCATTAAAAATATTTTCTAATATAAGCATAATTACTGGACTTTAAGACCATCAAAATAGGATTTTCTGCTAAACTAATATTTAGGCCAATGTTTGTGATATTAGCCTAATTATTACTCTTGTTTACCAAGTATAATAATGAAACACCAACTCCACATACTTCCTGGTACTGCACTCCTTCATGTTTACAACCATAAAACCAGACAGTTAACATAGAAAAGAATACTCATATTTCTATTTGCTTGGGCTTAAGTTTGCCTATCTAATTCAACTTTTGTGTTATACAGAAATATGCTGGGATTTGGAATCCCATGAAATATGTCTTATTTTTTAGATATGCATTTGGAGTAAATCCTACAACCTTGTCAAGCCTTAGTGTACTCCATTGCTGCTAGTTGGGGTGGATTTCACAGGAATTAAACCCTTCTCATTTTTAGATATGCAAATCTGTGTTCAAAGAGGATGAGTAACTTAACCAAGATCACTAACTGGTAATTAGCCCATCCAGCATTCAACAACATCTGATACCAAAGCCCATGTTTTTCCCACTACCTCAAGCTGACTCAAGCACTTATTGATAACTTAATTCAGAAGGCGGTGGACATAGAAAGCCCGGAAGCTTCTTGATGTGCTTACAATTTAATCAGAAGTGAAATTACACATACTTAGTAGAAAGCAAAAAGATAACGATAATCAAATGTTACATGGCATGCTGTCAACAAAGGTACTGTCTACAAAAATCAAGAAGATCCATTTTGAACTAAGGCTATCTAATGAAGATGTTTATGAGTGAAAAGGAATTTAACCTTCATTTTAAAGAAAACTTTGAATTCATAAGGGGAAAAAAGAACAACAACATTCTAAGCCAGAAAAACTGAAGAGCATCAATATACAGGGTACTTCACCATTGATAGTTAGGATTGCTTACTCTAGCCGTATTACTAAGCTAAACAAGAAGACATGGTTTTTATGTTAGTGGAGTTTTCATCCAGACTATGAGAAAATGTTGAAATTAATATTAAAATTGCATGTATTTCTTGAGCAAAGAAGTTTATTCCTTTGTTGAGTCATTCCTGGAAAAGGTACATAATTAAATACTTAATGTAACAACAATATATTTTGGCTAACAGTCTCTCTCAAATAAGTGAGTGACTCTGGAGATCCTTGGACCAAAAAAAAAACTTTATCTGTGCTTTGCGTGCTGCCCCTCATGTATAGATTCAAATTGCTCTCTTGAACGCACATGAAAAACCGATGATCACTTTTATTCTCCATAGTCTTCATAATATTGGTTCTCAAAATATAGTTCATGTGCCAATATCATCACCATATGTGGGAACCTGCTAAAAATGCAAAATCCAGAGGTTCACACAGAATTACTGAATTAGTAACTCTGGAGATGGGACCCAGCAATCTGTATTTATCAAGCCCTCCAGGTAATGCTGATGCATGCTAAATTTGAGAACCACTAGATTATAGCCCATGGCTCCTTTTGTGAATATCAAGTAAAAATGCAATACTCTATAGTCAATACGACCTTCTTAAAATTGTTAAGAATAAGAATGACTATTCTTATTGATGGCAAAGTACATTGAGAGAAGGTTAAGAGTAATGGATACCATTCAGGACATAGGCATGGGCAAAGACTTCATGTCTAAAACACCAAAAGCAATGGCAACAAAAGACAAAATTGACAAATGGGATCTCATTACACTAAAGAGCTTCTGTACAGCAAAAGAAACTACCATCAGAGTGAACAGTCAACCTACAAAATGGGAGAAAATTTTTGCAACCTACTCATCTGACAAAGGGCTAATATCCAGACTCTACAATGAACTCAAACAAATTTACAAGGAAAAAACAACCCCATCAAAAAGTGGGCGAAGGACATGAACAGACACTTGTCAAAAGAAGACATTTATGCAGCCAAAAAACACATGAAAAAATGCTCACCATCACTGGCCATCAGAGAAATGCAAATCAAAACCATAATGAGATACCATCTCACACCAGTTAGAATGGCAATCATTAAAAAGTCAGGAAACAACAGGTGCTGGAGAGGATGTGGAGAAATAGGAACACTTTTACACTGTTGGTGGGACTGTAAACTAGTTCAACCATTGTGGAAGTCAGTGTGGCGATTCCTCAGGGATCTAGAACTAGAAATACCATTTGACCCAGCCATCCCTTTACTGGGTATATACCCAAAGGAGTATAAATCATGCTGCTATAAAGACACATGCACACGTATGTTTATTGCAGCACTATTCACAATAGCAAAGACTTGGAACCAACCCAAATGTCCAACAATGATAGACTGGATTAAGAAAATGTGGCACATGTACACCATGGAATACTATGCAGCCATAAAAAATGATGAGTTCATGTCCTTTGTAGGGACATGGATGAAATTGGAAATCATCATTCTCAGTAAACTATTGCAAGAACAAAAAACCAAACACCACATATTCCCACTCATAGGTGGGAATTGAACAATGAGATCACATGGACACAGGAAGGGGAACATCACACTCTGGGGACTGTTGTGGGGTGGGGGGAGGGGGGAGGGATAGCACTGGGAGATATACCTAATGCTAGATGATGAGTTAGTGGGTGCAGCACACCAGCATGGCACATGTATACATAAGTAACTAACCTGCACAATGTGCACATGTACCCTAAAACTTAAAGTATAATAAAAGAAAAAAAAAATAAGTACCCCACCCCCCCAAAAAAAGAGTAATGGCTACTCAGTATCATTAAAAATATCTATAAAGCAATTATTGAAAATGGAAGCTATGTATGTATGCATTATTGGTAAATAAAAGGTGATGATATTTTTGTGGAAATAAATTGTACCCATTTATTCCTTCCATTTTTAACATTCAGAAGAGTTCATCATTGGGTTTTAGAGGATGAGTATTTTTATTACAGTGTAATTTATATACAATAAAAGTCAGCAATTTTAAATGTATAATTTGATGAGTTTTGACAAACACACTGATATATATTTTTTGACAAATATATGCATTTGACAAATATATGCATTTGTCAAAACTCATCAAATTGTGTGTGTGTGTGTGTATATATATAGGATTTATATATATATCATCCAATGCCTCAATTGTGGTATACAACTTTGCCATTTGCAACAAAAGTTCTCTCACACCCTTTGCTGACAATTCCGTCCTCTCACCATTGTTTGCATTATTTAATTTGTATGTAAACAGATCTCACTAGGCATCTCAGAGTGCAAATACTGGGTGTTAACTATGCGTATCTATATAGATGTGCTTTTTAAAATGTGTGTTCCGCTGCTGTTGTTTTAGTGTTCTGTAAATGTCAATTGGGATAAAGTCATTGACTGTCATTTAGACTTTCTATATCTCTTTTTAGATCTGATTATTCTGTCAGCTACTTAGAGTGTGTGTTAAAGTCTCCATCCACGTTTGTGGATTTATCTGCTTATCCTTATTTTTCTTCATAGATTTTGTCTCACATATTTTCACAATGTTATTAGGCAAATATACATTTAAAATTGTTATATCTTCCTAATGCACAGACCCTTTTATCATTTGTAGTGTCCCTCCTTATACTGAAGTCTATTTTTAATATTAACATAGTTCCTGCAGCTTTCTCCTGGCTATCTTGTTCATGGTATATCTTTTTCCATGTGTTTACCTTTAGTCTATTTGTGTCTTTGTAGTTCAAATGTATCTCTTGTACACAGCATATACTTAGTTCTTGCCTTTATATCAAGTATGAGTCTTTATCTTCTGATCGGAATGTTAAGTTCATTTACATTTAATGTAGTTATTCATAGGATTGTATCATTTAATATTTGTGTCTCTTTTTTCAGATATTGTAGTTATTACTATTGCCTTGTTTTTTCCTATCTTGCCTTTTACTGGCATTCAATTTTAATTTTTCTATTGGCTTTCTAGCAGCTTCTCTTCACATACATTTTAGTGGCTGCTCTGGGAATTACAACACATATTAAATTTATACTAATCTATATAGAGTTGATACTGACTTTCTTCTTGCATAATAAAGAACCTCTGTGATAGTATATTTCAATTTATTCCCATCCTTGCACCACATTTTGTTACATATCTCAACTATGTACATTATAAAAACCATCAATATAATGTAATGTTTTGCTTTAAAAAGCCATATTATATCAACAAAATTAAGGAAACAAAGAAAATACGCATCATTTATTTTATTTGCATATATTTTTACAATGCCTGGTGTTCTTTGTTTCTCCCTAAAGAACTGAAATGCCATCTAGTCTCATTTACCTTCAGATGAAATCATGTCCTTTAAGTTTTTGTTTTGTTTTATAGCAGGTCTATTGGCAATAAATTATTATTTCAGTTTCCATTTATCTGAAAATGTAATTTTTTCCAATTTCACATTTGAATAGTAGGTAGGCTGGATATCAAGTATCTGATTCACAGTTTCTTTATTTTCTTTCAGCACTTTGAATATGTTATCCCAGAGTCATAAATACTTCTTATATACTGATAAGATTTATACCTATTTCAAAAGAGCTAAACTTTTACTGGCTTAAATTCTAATATCACTATCTTGAATAGTATGGATATCATATGGACAGTGAATCTTAAAATACCATACGTGTGTGTGTGTGTGTTTGTGTGTGTGTGGTGTGTGTTAAACTAGCATTTAACACTGGTGTGTATTTGAATCTGTCAAATTTTGAAATTTGCATTGACTATTCTTTTTAAAAATAAGACCACAGTTTCTACTGTATCTTGAGGTTATTTAGGACCAATAATAGTAAAATTATGTCATTGCCATATACCTTCTCTAAGAGGTACAACCAAGTGGATTCTCTCTTAAGCCTGAAGTTCATAAAGTTTCCATTAGCCCATTTTGCTTCCAAGCATTTATTAAACACTTTTTGGAGAACTCAATATGAGTTGGATATAGTTCTGCTTTTTGAAATGCTTGTAATCAAATTAGGAAGAGAAAATATAAACACTTGGGAAGATTAAAGAATATTTATAAGTACACAATTAGAGCTAGTTTGCTGCTTTAATCAATCTTCTACCAAAATGTAAACAAAGAAAACACCACATCATGATTAAGGCAGTAAAAAGTGGTGGAAAGCAGAAACACTTCTTAGAACAATCCTCTAAAAGTACAAGATACATGATTATCTACATGTGTAAAACATAATTAAGCAAGATTTTCTGAGTCAGGGAGATGATGGTCTGAGCTTTCTCTGCCAGTTTTGTGCACACCTTTCCTTCTGGGAAACAATAGATGACTAAAATTCACTCTCTTCCTGCAGTGAATGCTGCTGAATGGCACAGTGATTAAGATCTTGACCTAAATTTAATCTGGGATCTGCCATTTATCATCTACACAGACTTTGTTTCATTACCCGGAAAATGGAAATATCAGTACCCACTTCAGAGGGTGACCATAGCAACCAAAAATGACAAAAGCAATACCAGCACCAAGCAGCTGCCTGGCTGTTCCCAGAACTCCAAGTTCTCTCACATCCTGGATGGTTCCCTTCCTGCTCCTATTCCCTCAATTCTTCAGTGACACATCAAAATGTACCTGTTTTTTCTTTCTTTTTTTTTTTTTACTTCATTTCCCAAGGGCCAACTGAGATGTCTGCAAATAATGCACTAAACAAATTTATTTCAATGGAAGAATTCATGCTGTCATCCAAAGAAACAGTACAAACTAGCTCAATCTTTGTTATCTGAAGGTACTTGGGAGGTCAGTGGGAGAGATATCCCGGGGCAGGCAGAGTTTCAGCACCAAAAAGGATTTTTATTCAGCCTATGGATCCAACTAGCATTGATACCACAGACACCCACATTTTTGGGAAAATGAGACTGACAACTGTGTCAAATGAGCTTATGTTTTGTACCTGCTCTTTTGCAAGGAAAACCCTGCCCAACTCTTCACGTGGCTTTATGTGAGCCCAAGATCTGGTGCTGTTGTCACCTGATATATCTGCAAAGGAAATCCATTATTACAAACCTAGAACCACACAGAGCATGGTGAACTGTAAAAAGTTGATGACTGACTGGCAGATATTTACATTTCAGAGGCCAGTGAGAAAACTGGAACTGAAAACATTATATTACTCCCAACATGTCATAACTAGTTATATTTATAGGCCACAAAAGGCAGGAAACATATTGCTGCGTGAAAGGTAATTCCTTTTGCTTCTTATGGCCAATCTTATACTATCCTTCTTTTCTTCTCATAGTCTATAAAATTATTTTAACTTCTCTTTGTTTTCTTTTTACTCTGTGTAGACACTATACCAAATTGTATTTGAAAGATACGTTCAATTAAAATTAATTTATTGGCATGGAAGAAACAATTCTGATGCCTAATGAACCAACTCTTCACTTTTCTTTTTTCTTTTCTTTTTTTTTTTTTGAGATGGAGTTTCGCTCTTGTTGCCCAGGCTGGAGTGCAATGGCGCGATCTCAGCTCACCGCAACTTCCGACTCCTGCCTCAGCCTCCCGAGTAGCTGGGATTACAGGCATGCGCCACCACACCCAGCTAATTTTTTTGTATTTTTAGTAGAGACAGGGTTTCTCCATGTTGGTCAGGCTGGTCTGGAACTGCCGACCTCAGGTGATCTGCCCGCCTCGGCCTCCCAAAGTCCTGGATTACAAGCATGAGCCACTGTGCCCGGCCAACTCTTCACTTTTCAGCCAGGTAAACTAGGGTCAAGGAAATATGGTTTCTGTCTCTCTGTCCTGGGCTCCTGCCTATTCCAGTTTCTGTGCTTTAAATTGCTTTTCTGCTTTCTTACCTCTCCTTCTCTCTAGGCCTGTGCAAATTTCAAATTTCAACGAAGTCTTTTAAAGACTTTATTGAATTAAAACTATAGGGGAGGATTTTTCCTGCAATTAAAAAAATATGTACAATCGTCTAAGATCCCAGAGAGGCCAAGAAATACATTGAACAAGAGATGCTAAAGAGAACAGGGAAGATATGCAGTGTCTTTAAGTGGTCGGAACTGAGTGTCTCAAGAGACATCCTTTTTCTCCTTCAATAAGGAGACCATTACCAGCTGTGAAAGGATTGAGGGAAGAAATTAAACCATCACCACCACAGAGTAGAGGGCAAATAGCAAGATTTTGAAAGATGAGAGGCTTAATGTTCTTTTTATAAATTCCAGAATGTCCTTACTCTTTTTTTTTGATAATTTAAAATTTGTGTCCTGATCCTTCCCCTCACAACTAAGAAAAATATAGATGAGACCTACAGGAAGACCTCGAAGATATTGTAGGTTTCATTCCAGATGACCGCAATAAAGTTAATATCAAAATAAAGCAAGTCACACAATTTCTTTGGTTCCCAGTGCATATGAAAGTTATGTTCACACTCTAGTTTACTGAGTGTGCAATAGCATTATGTGCAAAAAAATGCACATATCCTAATGAAAAAGTACTTTATTGCTAAAAAGAAAACGCTAACGATCATCTGATCCTTTAGCAAATCATAATCTTTTTGCTGGTAGAAGGTCTTGCCTCAATATTTATGGCTATGACTGATCAGGGTGACGATTGCTGAAGATTGGGGAGCTGTTGCAATTTCTTAAAATAAGACAACAACGAAATTTGCTGCATCAATTGACTCTTCCTTTCACAGAAGATTCCTCTGTCTCATACAATAATGTTTGATAGCATTTTACCCACAGTAGAATTTCTTTCAAAATTGGACTCAATCATCTCCAACCCTGCTGCTGTTTCATCAATTACATTTATATAATATTCTAAATCTTTGTGTCCCTTCAACTACATTCACAGTATCCTCATCAGGAGTAAATTCCTCTTGAAGAATCCACTTCTTCATCATCTATAAGAAGCAATTCCTTGTCCATTCAAGCTTTATCATGAGATTGCAGCAATTCAGTCACATCTTCAGGCTTCACTTCTAATTCTAGTTCTCTTGCTATTTTCACCACATCTGCAGTAACTTCCTCCACCAAAGTCTTGGACTGCCTCAAAGTCATCCATGACAGTTGGAATCAACTTCTTCTAAGCTCCTGATAATGTTGATATTTTGATCTCCTTCCATGAATCACAAATATTATTAATGTAATTAGTAAATGTAATTAATCTAGAATGATGGATCCTTTCCAGAAGGTTTTCATTTACTTTGCCAAGCTCCCTCAGAAGAAAAATTATCTATGGCAGCTATAGCGTTATGAAATGTCTTTCTTAACTAATAAGACATGAAAGCTGAAATTCTTCTTGATCCATGGGCTGCAGAATAGATGTTGTGTTAGCAGGCATGGAAACAACGTTCATCTCTTTGTATATCTCAAACAGAGCTCTTGACTAAGTGCATTGCCAATGAGCAATAGTATTTTGAAAAGAATCTTTTTTCTGAGTAGTAGATCTCAACAGTGGGCTTAAAATATTCAGTGAACCATGCCATCAACAGATATTCTGCCATGCAGGCTTTGTTGTTCCATTTATGGAGTACAGGCAGAGTAAATTTAGCATCATTTGAGGGCCTGAGGATTTTTTTGAATGGTAATTGAACATTGGCTTCAACTTAAGCTACCAGCGACATTTTTATCACCTAACAAGAGAGTCAGCCTGTCCTCTGAAACTTTGAAGCCAGGTAATAGCTTTGATTCTCTAGCTATGGGAAAAGTCCTAGATGGCAGCTTCTTCCAATAGAAGGCTGTTTCATCTACATTGAAAAACTATTGTTTAGTGTAGCTATCTTCATCAATTATGTTAGCTAGGTCTTCTGGATAATTTGCTGCAGCTTCTATATCAGCACTTGCTGTTTCACCTTGCACTTTTATGTTATGGAGATGGCTTCTTTCCTTAAACCTCATGAACCAACTTCTGCTAGCTTCCAATTTTACTTCTGCAGCTTCCTCACCTGTCTTAGCCTTCACAGAACTACAGAGAATTAGGGCCTTGCTCTGGATTAGGCTTTGGTTTCAGAGAATGCTGTGGCTGGTTTGGTCTTCTATCCAGACCCCTAAAACTTTCTCCATATTGGTAATAAGGCTGTTTTGCTTACTTATTCATATGTTCAGTGAAATAGCACTTTCAAATAGCACTTTTCCTTTGCATTCACAAATTTGCTGTTTGGCACAAGAGGCCTAGCTTTCAACCTATCTCAGCTTTCAAAATGCCTTCTTCACTAATCTTATGATTAAAATGAGAAACATGTGACTTTTCCACTAACTTAAACACTCAGACGCCATGTAGGGTTATTATCTGGCCTAATCCCAATATTGTTGTGTCTCAGGGAATGGGGAGGCTGAAGGAGAAGGAGAGAGATAGGGAAACAGCCTGTCAGTGGAGCAGTCAGAATACACAAATTTATTCATTAAGTTTGCTATCTTACATGGGAATGGTCTGTAGTGGCCCAAAACAATTGCAATAGTAACACCAAAGATCACTGTTCACAGATCATCATAACAGATATAATAATAATTTAAAAGATTAAAATATTGCTAGAATTACCAAAATGTGAGACAGAGACATGAAGTGAGCCTATGCAATTGGAAAAATGGTGTTGATAGACTTGCTCTACACAGAGTTGCCACAAACCTTCAATTTGTAAAAAAACAGTATCTGGGAAGTGCAATAAAACAAGGTCTACCCCTAAACTAAATAGAGGTTCTGGAGTTGAGAGTTTAGCCTTTGGGAGCCTGAGTGATTGAAGTCTTGGTGCTGGGATTGAGAGGTAGCGTGTATCCAAGTCCTTTTTTTTTCGATGCGGTCTCAGTCTGTCACCCAGGCTGGAGTGCACTGGCACGATCTTGGCTCACTGCAACCACTGTGGTGGTTCTGAAACTAAGGAGAGGAGGCTTTGTAGCACCTTAAATTCCAGGCCTTTGCAATACTGGAAAGCACACAGGAAGGGGGCGGGAGAAATGTTGAAATCCAATCTCTTAAAGCAAAACTTTCAAATACCAGACAGACCTTTCTTTCGAGCCTCGCTCATATATCCAACCACTTGGATGTTTTTTCCTGTTGAATATCTGGTTGGCATCTCAAAGAAAATGCATCAAAAATAGAAGTCTTAACATTTCTTTGTCTTCTCCATCTCAGTAAATAGAAACACCCTAGTTGCCAAGCTAGAGACTATTCTTTACTTCTCTCTCCCCCATTCCCCTCGGGTGATCCAATGGTACTGTTGACTGCTTTCAAGAGGTATCCCAAAGATATTCACTTCTTTTTATCTGCTGCTACCACCCTAGTCCAAACTGCCATCATCTAGCACGCAGATTTCTGCATTAGCCTCCACCCTGTTGTTCCTGAATCCAATCTTGCACCCTGCAAGATTATTATTTGGGTTATTATCTGGTCTAATCTCAATATTGTTGTGTCTCAGGGAATAGGGATTCTGCAGTTCAGAAAGGTGAAAAGCCTTGCTCCTTTAAGAAATCCCAGCAGGGCAGAAAAAGAATGTTGGCAAAGAACCCAGAAAGGAAGAAAATGAGCCCTGGGATGACAGGATGGGGCTAAAGGATCCCAGGCTGGAGAGGCAGGGAGCTGACTGGCTGCCATTTTGAATCACAACAAAAACTTGCCAGAGCTCTCTAGAAAAACAAAAGTTTGAGAAGTTTGAATTTAAAGAAGCAGGAAAAGCCTATTAAACTATTGGAACCTCTAATACTACTGACGAAGAGCTAATGATGCAATTAACATAAATATTCCAATTTAAGGTAAAACCACAATAAGCATTATTTCTTCTCCACTCAAAACCACGATGCAAGTTACGTCTGATGACCCAGACTTCAAAAACAATGCTGCTTTTGTTTGTGTTTTTATTAAGCCATGCTGCTTAAGTGTATACTCCAAAGGTTTCGGGACAAGGAATTGGTAAGCACATAGTCTGAAACCATTTCCTTATTTTTTGATAGCAATAATAGTAAGTAAGTAAGTATAGAGTATAGAGTATTGGTAAGTATAGAGTTGGTAGTACTCTTTTGGTTTTTGGTTGTTTTTTGTTGTTGTTGTTTGTTTTTTTGTTTTTTCGAGACGTAGTTTCACTCTTTTTGCCCAGCCTGGAGTTAAAAGGCGCACTCTCGGCTCACTGCAACCTCTGCCTCCCAAATTCAAGTGATTCTCCTGCCTCAGCCTCCCAAGTAGCTGATTACAGGCACACGCCACCACGCCTGGCTAATTTTGTATTTTTAGTAGAGATGAGGTTTCACCATGTTGGCCGGACTGGTCTCGAACTCCTGACCTCAGGTGATCCGCCAGCCTCAGCCTCCCGAAGTGCTGAGATTACAGGCATGAGCCACTGTGCCCAGCCTAGAGTTGGTAGTAATCCAACAGGTCACTTGAGCAGGTAAGGATCTGGGTTCTCAGCCCCTCCCAATGCATTCATGTTGCATTTGAGACTTTGATACCATTAAATCAAATTAGCTACATTTCTTTTTCAGAACATCTAATTACATTTGTGAATTAAAATAGAAGTAGAGCAATGTTCCAAGAGGCAATATTAGAACCTTAACCTCCTCCTCCATTGGAGTTCAAAGATATTAAGCTGGGCCAGGCACGGTGGCTCATGCTTGTAATCCCCGCACTTTGGGAGGCCAAGGTGAGCAGATGGCTTGAGCTCAGGAGTTTGAGATGAGCCTGGGCAACATGGCAAAACCACATCTCTACAAAAAATAATAAAAATTAGCCGGGCATGGTGGTGCATGCCTGTGGTCCCAGCTACTGAGGAGGCTGAGGTGGGAGAATGGATTGAGCCCAGGAGTTTGAGGCTACAGTGAGCCAAGATTGCACCATTGCACTCCAGCCTGCACAAGAGTAAGATATTGTCAAAAAAAAAAAAAAAAAAAAAAAGATTAAACTGTTAAACGTATAGATTAAGGTACTCTCAAATTAACTGAGGTTGTTATATTTTGTTGTACATTTCACATAACACCAACAGCACAATGAGAGTATGTTTTCTCATTTAAAGGGATCTCAGATTTTAAAAGACTGAGAAACACAGGTTGAAAGGTTTATTTGCTCCTTCTCCATTACTCTGTTGAGCTTTTTGTAAGTATCAGATGCAGAAAGCAGATTGTGGGTTATTCCACAGCTCTTAGTTGCCCCATGTAATGAATGTGTCTCAGCGTAAACATGGAAGAATTTCAAAAGAAAATGATTGAATTATTAAATATAGTGTTCTCTTTTTTTATTCATACACTCTCATATTGATAAAAAGGAGTTCAAATAGCTTATTTAAAAAGTACAACCAAACTATTGGGACAACAGTAAAATGACAAAAAAAAAAAAAACTAAAACAGCAACAATATCGAGAAAACACATAATGAGAGGAGGAAAAGGATGGAGAAAAATTTAGGAACATGTAAAATGATACTCCATTTGTACAAATGATTTTAAAAGAAAATAGCGTCTTTTGCCATTAAAAATGGCTGCAGCTGTATCTCAAAGGAATTAACCTACTCTGGCCAGCCAGATTTAATAACAAATGAACCCTTGAAAATACTGCAGCTGCAAAAGACCTCTAGAGAGAGAGCTGTATCAGTCTGGAACATTCCACAAAACAAAAAAGAAATCTTAAAAAATAACCCCTGTAGGTATATCAGAAAATAACTCCATAGTGGTGACATTCTATCAAGAGCAACTTTATTTTTTCCATGAGAAATATAATAAACACTCATATATGAGAACTGAGAGTCCCATAAAAATTCATTTGTCTTCTTTCCCAGAACAATTGTAAGACTATTTCCAGTAAAGGCAGCATGAGGTCAGATAATTCCTATTCCTAGAAAACAAGCACAAAACTGGACTAAATTATTTAAAATAATTATTTTGAGGTACTGAAAAAAATGACCAACAACAAAAAAAAATGAGACACAAGAAACTGTGAAGATTTTCCTCTTGAAATGGTGCTGCTGTATCTGGTATAGTAGTGGTGGGTATGTGGCCTTCTTTCCTGGAGCTGTGGTCGTCCTTTCCAACACACTCAGTCTTCAGAACCTGCATCATTACAGGTAGGGAGAGATGGCAATGCCAGATTGAAGCTGGCAGCAAAGACCCACAGCTCTACAACTGCAGGCAGGGAATGCAATTCAGAGCAGTAAGCAGACCAGTAAGAAATTTAATGGAGGAAACATGGAAGTCCACAAGCATAGAAAATCTGAGAAACTTAACTCTCCATACATACCTGACTATCTACAAACCTATGAATGCATGGGAGATACCCATGATAGCCTGGAAAAATGTGAGCTATTTGAGAACTTGCTGATTCTGTGAAGGCATTCCTCAACTCATACATAGCTCATGCAGGAGAAGGAAGAAGTCTTACAAGCACAGTGTCCACAGTATAATCTCCACCAAAATTGCCATCTGACCTCCAAAGCAAAAAGATACTGGGGAGAAGAAGCAGCAGCCTCACATCTGAAGAAGAAGCCCCTAAGAAGCCAGGGATAATCTGCGTGCCTGTTTTGCCCTATCCCATGACTCATTACCGAGGGTTTTCTCTCTCCCTTGGCTCCAACTCAACCTTGTTTTTCGTGTCGCTTTGGGGCAATTGGGATTGAGGAACAGAGTTGCTTATTACAAATCATGACTGTCTGAGCAACAGGAGCAAAGGGTTGGGTAGTAATGGGCATGCACCATAAAAATACACCCAGTGAAGACACACAGAACAAGGCAACATGTGGTTCTCACCAGAAACTCAGGAATTTGGAACAGCACATGGTATGAAAATATACCCATTGGGAAAAGAAAAGCACAAGAATGTCTAAATCAGAAGAGTTCCTCATTGGAGACAGGCACCAACAAGGGTCAGTGGACACACATAACCCTCTGCCTTCCTGATTCCCTTAGTCTACATAGTTCAGTTTATAGAAAAATAATCTGAATCAAGAAAGCAAAGTACACTGACACGTTGAATCTCCTTTTCTCTCTGCCAACTTTCTGCGAAGAGAAGCCAACTATTCTACATAATGACCCATGAATACATACGTATATGCCTCGGTGCCAAAACCAGAAACACAAGAAGGGTCCCACTATAAGCCAAAGCCTCGAAGAATTACTTTGTAGGCAGTGTAACAATCTTGGTTGAAATAATAGGAGTCAAATCTGCCAGCTGTTAAAGGCTTTATTGTAAAGAAATAGAGAGTTCACAGGAATGTTGGGAAAGCTATAGGCTTAGCCTCAAAATGTGGTCAAGAACTAGAAGAAGCTAGATAGTTGGAAAATACAACTAATGTCACACTGCAGGGACAATCTGTTTCACGGTCAGAGCGCCAGACAACTACCGCAGGATTGTCAATGCCAACAGCGTTGCATGCGGCCACTGAATTCTCGAAGCTGTCATTGCTGCTGGGCTCTCAATATGGACACCATGAAATGGTATCTCTAACATCTTTTGTTTTTTTAATTTTACATTCCAGGATACATGTGCAGGATGTGCATGTTTGTTACATAGGTAGATACGTGCCATGGTGGTTTGCTGTACCTATCAACCCATCACCTAGATATTAAGCCCAGTATTCATTAGCTATTTTTCCCAATGCTCTTCCTCCTCCCACCCCACTCCCTGACAGGCCTGAGTGTGTGTTGGTCCCCACCCTGTGTTCATGTGTTCTCATTGTTCAGTTCCCACTTACAAGTGAGAACATGTGGTGTTTAGTTTTCTGTTCCTGCGTTAGTTTGCTGAGGATACTGGCTTCCAGCTCCATCCATGTCCCTGCAAAGGACATGATCTCATTCCTTTCATGGCTGCATAGTATTCCATGGTGTACATGTACCACATTTTCTTTATCCAGTCTATCATTGATGGGCATTTGCGTTGATTCCATTTCTTTGCTATTGTGAATAATCTCTACCATCTTTTATCTTTGCCTCCCCTCCTCTGGTTCCAAAGACTTGAGCAGGAGCATCTTATTAGTTGGGCTTGAGTAACCTGCCTGCCCCCAGGTTAACAGGGGAAGGCAAGAGGGAAGATTGGCTTCCTTCCATTTGGCTGCCAAAGTGGACAGTTTTTGCCCTCCACCAAGACTTCAAGTTTATAAATTGTTCAGTTTAGTGTCCAAAAGAGTTGTGCTAAATTTAGGAAAGTTTAAATGAGGATTAGGAGAATGGCTTGTTTTGAGCAAGTAATACTTTGGGGAATGGAAAAGAATGATTTATCTTGAAGGAACATGAACCTCTTAAAAGACAAGGCTTCACAAGAGAGAACATCTGGAAGATGAACAGCTGTGGAAGTGTATAGGAGAAGAGAAAAATTGCTCGATGACAAACAGAATCAAATTTATCATAGGAGTTTCTTGTTCTATTCTTTTCTGTGTGTTTTTTGTTTATTTGTTTGTTTGTTTTGGTCACTACTCCAGGATCTCCATACTCTTCTTGGTATGCATCAATTATTATCAATCTTAAATTTAAATATTTAAATATTCAGACTGCATAAAAGATTTTCTTTCTTATCCAAAAACATATCCTGAACCAAAACAAAGCCACTTGCCATAGGATTCTCACCTCAGAAACTTTTCTAGTTTAATACTCTTATTTTTTTAATGATAGAAAGAAGAATTTAAAAAATCATATGCTGGTGACCAATTCCTTAGATTAATTGAAAGTTCCCAGCATCATGACCAAGGACCTCTGGAAATAATGGGTTTTATCTACTTCGTTGTATTTGTAAACCATTTTGTTGGCTGCTTTTTAGACATTACAAATATTTCAAATAACTTCCTGTATGTTGACAAGGTTGATGGCCACCTTGTTCTTCTAGTCCTGAGCCTCTCTAATGACACCAGTGATACAGAGTTGAGACTCTCCAGAACACCAAAAATGTGAATGGATTCCATGTATCTATTTAAGCTGTATTCTGGAGCTTTTCTCTCTTAAGTCCAATGTTGCAGTGCCTGTACATTTTTGAGCCAAACATTGAATGCTTTCCTCAACAAGAAATACTCTACAATTCGAATAATTTGCCAAGTAGAGCTAAGGTCAAGGTCAAGAGGGAAATCTAAGGTTTCACCAACTTTGGATTAAATATTATAAACAAATGAAAGAAAATCTTCACAATAGTATTTGCTTTTAACTTATTTCAACTGGGAAACTCTGTAGTCATGTCATTAAGAACTTCATATAACTTATTTTGTGCCTTTTATACATCAGAAAAAGTTCAGATTTGAACTATAAAACATCTTTGATAAGTGCTAAAAGAAAAATAAATCACTTGGATTCTTACACAAACTAGCTTTAAAAAAAGCAATTAAATGCATTTTATCCTTTGCTTGTTTTGAGACTTTGCCATGTAGTAAATCCAGTTTTCACCACCCTATCCTGGGATGACTTGAAGAATCTTTCCTATGCATGCTCAGGATTTTGCTTAAAAAGGATAATGGGGCCTTACTTTCCTTGGTTACCCCTACTGTTCAGTAAAGTCTTTATGAGGAGTCTTCGGGGGGATAAAGAGAAGGAAAGTAAGAAATATGTGATCTGTCCCTAGCCAATGTACATCTCCCCTGAAGCTTGTAATGAGGAAGCATAATATAACAAGGTAGAATTCTAAGTCATGAGCAATAGCAAACTATGGAGTTGTCCACAGCGAGCCTGGAGCAGAAAGCAAGAGAATCCCTGCAGAGAAGCTACTTCAGTTGGCAGTGAGTCTTTTTGAGCATGGAAAGCGAAGAAGAGAAAGAAGAGGCTGATTCTTGATCCCCTTGTTATTTACTATCACAACTTAAATGGAAGATTTATGTTTCAAGATAAATGCATCCTCCCCTCCCACTCTAATCTTCAGAGATTATGGGAAAACAGCTGTATAGTGAGCATGGTGTACCAGAAACTGAAGAATTCCTGAAAAAAAAAAAAAAGCTAACAAGAGCACATTTGAAAAGGAAACTTGGCCTGGAATGGTTCTCCACACTCAGCTTAACACTTGGGGGCAGGGGGCAAGGCAAATAACAGGACAATTTTTTTTCAGTGGGTCGACCCTTCGCAACACCCCTTGCTTGGACCACTAATGTTCATGCAACGTGGCTGGGGAATAATAGAGAGAAAAACGCAAGACAAGTGAATGGATGTAAACTCACTAGGTTTAGTTGGGACTAAAACTGCATTTCTAATAGACTGGTCCTGAATATGTCTTCCTGCAAGCTTTCACCCTCACTTGGTACTACTTAAATCAAGTCCACAACATCTGTTCTCCACATGAGTGGTTTGCTTCTGCTTCTTAGTGATAAATTCTTACCATTGAAGTCATTAAGCTTTGCCATTCATTCTTCTTTCCCTAGCCTGATTCTTTTTCCTTTAGGTAAGTCTGATCTGATTTTTCAGGGGTTGCTCGGTTAGTTGGGGATATTCCAGTCTTGACTGCTCTGAAAAGGCAGCTCAAGCGGCATCACTTCCTGCCTGGGCATGTTGACCTGGCATGTTGCCAATCTTTACCTGCCAGCATCTCTGGCCCTGATATCCCTAATGGCTCACACCCTCTGCCATGTGTAGACCCCTCCCTTCTACTCCCAAAATGCAAATTTACAGAGAATTCCCCATCACTGGAATTCTTCATGCCTAAAGGACTTCAGCAATACATGGGCACAGATTTAAACATGGTGTCTATTGGGACATGCAGATGGGAGAGAAATGAGCTAGGGCGACCCAGGAGTGTAGCATCTCCTGTTACCTGTACCAGTGGATATAATTTGCAAACTATGTGTACCTTTGAAAATAATCCCTTCCAAACCAGATATAGTGGACAGTTTTACTGTTTTTTTTTATGTTTTGATAAACTATATTTTTAAGGGCAGTTTTAGGTTCACAGCAAAATTATGCAGAAAGGTAAGAAATTTCCCTTTCCCCACCCTTCCCCACACATGCACAGCCTCCCCCATCATCCACATCCCCCACCAGAGTGGCCCATTTGTTACAACTGATGAACGGACATTGACACCTCATGATCACAAGAGTCCATAGTTTACATAAGGGTTCACTCTTGGTGTTGTACGTTCTATGTTTTTAGACGTGTATTCACCATTACAATATCATACAGAATAGTTTCACTGCCCTAAGAATCCTCTATGCTGCACCTATTCATCTCTCTCTTTCCTCTACAGACATCACGTTTTGATACAACACAGTCACTTCGATTACTGCTTGTTTGAATTATGACATTTAAAAAGTAGATTGAAATTGAAACAGTCTACGGTTCATAATAAGCATAACTCATACTATGATGTAATTAGACAAAGAACAGTTTTAATACCTGGCTTTCCTGAGAGCATGAACATGAATGAACCCTGATCATTGGGGAACTTATTTTCGACATTAGAGGTGCTAGGGATAAATTGCGTGTATTTTCTTTTTTCTAATTAAACTTTTGATCTTTGTCCACACTTACATGACTTAAGTATTGTGTCAGCTTCATCAAGAATTTGGCCTTTCATTTATTTTGGGATAATGTGTTCACATTAGCACGAGCAAGTGTTAAACTAGTTCTTTTGGTTTTAATGGTTTTGTCCTAGTCTGTGTTAGTGGTTTATAGAAAAACTTTATTTTTCAGTAAAATATAAATCTAGGTATTAAACCATCGACATCTATTATTTAGTTAAGTATTTAAAACCCATTAAAAATTTCTAGGTTCCTTCCTAAAAGAGTATTATGGTTTTGTCTTTTAGATAATGAATATTTACCATTTTTTTGCAATGGCTTAAGTTTAAGATATTTGAAACTGAAGTAAGACAAATATTCAGTAGTAGACAGCTGTTACTTTTAGTTTCTTAGCATCTCTTTTCCCTTTATTCTTTTCTTTTTTTTATAGAGACAGGGTCTCACTATGTTGCCCAGGCTGGTCTTGAACTTCCAGGCTGAAGCCATCCTCCTGCCTCAACATCCGAAAGTGCTGGGATTACAGGCATGAGCCACTGCACCCAGCCTCCCCTTTATTCTTTAACCATGCCCTTTTTCTAGAAGGAATTTCATCTCCTCCATGACAATTGTGGCGTTCTATTTGATCCTGGCAAGCTGAGACAATCATGAACTTCACCCCTCTCTCTGCAGCAGTTGGTTCAAAGCAGTGAGCCTGTGACCCAAGAGAGAATACCTAGATTCAGCACTCTGGTATTAAGAATTGAAGCAGGATTCCATTTCCTTTGTGATAGTTAAGCTAAGGAGGCAAAAGCTTGGAGTTGTCCACAGATATGGCTCCAGAGTCAGAGAGAAAGGCAGTTTGAGGAAACGAAGTTAGTATGCAGAGCCAAGGAGAGATCAGAGAGCTTCAGTTGTACACAGGATACTGCATTACATTAGATGAGGCTATATTGGGAGTAGCAATTGGAAAGAAAGGCCTTTGTGAGAATGGGCAGCCAACAGGTGCACTGTAGCAAAAGTCACTTCCTCAATAAATCCTTCTTTCTAAAATAGAATATGACCCATAAAAGTGAAGAGTACCCAGTGAGTGAAATTTGACACTTGGTTCACAAAAGTAACATTATGTATTACATGTGTACATGCCAGGAGATATACACAGATATGTGTGTGTGTGTGCATTTGTGTGTGTGTAATCTTTACTAATTCATCTGGTAAGAACAAACTGTAAAAAAGAAATGGAAAAGAGATACAAAGTTAAAGAGGAATTTTATAATTTATCAAGCTGTTTTTTCCCTCCTAACTACACTCCCCTCCATGTAAATTAATTAAGATTACATATGTGCCATTTATAACACATTTCCTAGACAGCTATGATAATATAGACATTTTAGGTATCTAATATAATCATGAGAAAGATCTCCAGAGCTTGTAGGCATGCCTTTAACGTGTGGAAGAATGGTCCTTGTAATAATTTGTACTTGTTTTTCCCTCCTTGGATCTAAGTAAAGTGTGAGGAACTCAGATATATAACATGAAACGGAAATAGCCTAATGTTTAAAAAAAAACCACAATGTTCCCCAATCAGAGAATCAATATAGAGGCAAATAATATTATATTTCATCATCTTTGATATGCATGTGAACCTTTCTAGCAATTCTTGAATAATTATAAAGTGAAAAAGATTCATTATTCCTTTTCTACTTGAATATTTTTTATGAAAGGAATCTGTTGTTTACAATTACATAGAATTCCAAAAAATCCATTTCTACCAGTCAAGAAATTCACTTACTTATTTTTGTTCTTAGCAATGTCTGTTGTTGATGTCCTTTTTTTAAAATTTTATTTTATTTTACCTTAAGTTCCAGGATACATGTGGAGAATGTGCAGGTTTGTTACAAAGGCATACACGTGCCATGGTGGTTTGCTGTACCTATCAACTTGTCATCTAGGTTTTAAGCCCTATGTGCATTAGGTATTTTTCCTAATGCTCTCCCTCCCCTTTCCCCACAGCCCCAGACAGCTCCCGAAGTGTTTTGTTCCCCTCCTTGTGTCAAGGTGTTCTCATGGTTCAACTCCCACTTATGAGTGAGAACATGTGGTGTTTGGGTTTCTGTTCCTGTGTTAGTTTGCTAAGGATGATGCCTTCTAGCTTCATCCATGTCCCTGCAAAGGACATGATCTCATTCTTTTTATGGCTGCATAGTATTCCATGGTGTATATGTACCACATTTTCTTTATCCAGTCTATTATTGATGGGCATTTGGGTTGGTTCCAAGTGTTTGCTATTGTAAATAGTGCTGCAATAAACATACAAATGCATTTGTCTTTATAGTAGAAGGATTTATATTCCTTTGAGTATATATCCAGTAATGGGATTGCTGGGTCAAATGGTATTTCTAGTTCTAGATCCTAGAGGAATGACCACACTATCTTCCACAATGGTTAAAGGAATTTACATTCCTTCCAACACTGTAAAAGCGTTCTTATTTCTCCATAGCCTCGCCAGCATCTATTGTTTCTTGACTTTTTAATAATTGCCATTCTGACTGGCATGAAATGGTATCTCATTGTGGTTTTGATTTGCATTTCTCTAATGATCAGTGATGACGAGTTTTTTTTCATATGTTTGTTGGCACATAAATGTCTTCTTTTGAGAAGTGTCTGTTCATATCCTTTGCCCGCTTTTTGATGGGGTTGTTTTTTTTTTTGTAAATTTGTTTAAGTTCCTTGTAGATTCCAGATATTAGACCTTTGTCAGATGGGTAGATTGCAAAAATGTTTTCCAATTCTCTAGGTTGTCTGTTCACTCTGATAGTTTCTTTTGCTGTGCAGAAGCTCTTTATTTTAATTAGATCCCATTTGTCAATTTTGGCTTTTGTTGCAATTGCTTTTGGTGTTTCAGTCATGAATTCTTTGCCCATGCCTATGTCCTGAATGGCATTGCCTAGGTTTTCTTCTAGGGTTTTCATGGTTTGGGGTTTTATATTTAAGTCTTCAATCTATCTTGAGTTAATTTTTGTATAAGGTGTAAGGAAGGGGTCCAGTTTCAATTTTCTGCATATGACTAGCCAGTTTTCCCAGCACCATTTATTAAATAGGGAATCCTTTCCCCATGGGTTGATTTGGTCAGGTTTGTTGAAGATCAGATGGTTTAGATGTGTGGTGTTATTTCTGAGGTCTCTGTTCTGTTCCATTGGTCCGTATTTCTGTTTTGGTACCAGTACCATGCTGTTTTGGTTACCATAGCCTTGTAGTATAGTTTTAAGTCAGGTAGTGTGATGCCTCCAGCTTTGTTCTTTTTGCTTAGGATTGTCTTGGCTATACAGGCTCTTTTTTGGTTCCATATGAAATTTAAAGAACTTTTTTCTAATTCTGTGAAGAATGTCAATAGTAGCTTGATGGGAATGGCATTGAATCTATAAATTACTTTGGGCAGTATGGCCATTTTCATGATATTGATTCTTCCTATTCATGAGCATGGAATGTTTTTCCATTTGTTTCTGTCTTTTCTTATTTCCTTGAGCAGTGGTTTGTAGCTCTCGTTGAAGAGGTTCTTCACGTCCCTTGTAAGCTGTATTCCTAGGTATTTTATTCTCTTTATAGCAATTGCGAATAGGAGTTCATTCATGATTTGGCTCTTTGCTTGTCGACTGTTGGTGTGTGGGAATGCTTGTGATTTTTGCACATTGATTTTGTATCCTGAGACCTTGCTGAAGTTGCTTATCAGGTTAAAGAGTTTTGGGGCTGAGACGATGGGGTTTTCTAAATATAGAATCATGTCATCTGCAAACAGAGACAATTTTACTTCCTCTCTTCCTATTCAAATACCTTGTATTTTTTTCTCTTGCCTGATTGTGCTGGCCAGAACTTCCAATACTATGTTGAATAGGAGTGGTGAGAGAGGGCATCCTTGTCTTGTGCCAGTTTTCAAAGGGAATGCTTCCAGCTTTTGCCCATTCAGTATGATATGGGCTATAGGTTTGTCGTAAATAGCTCTTATTATTTTGAGATATGGTCCATCAATATCTAGTTTATTGAGAGTTTTTAACATGAGGGAATGTTGAATTTTATTGAAGGCCTTTTCTGCATATATTGAGATACTCATGTGGTTTTTGTCATTGGTCCTGTTTATGTGATGGATTACGTTTAGTGATTTGCATATGTTGAGCCAGCCTTGCATCCCAGGGATGAAGCTGACTTGATCATGGTGGATAAGCTTTTTGATGTGCTACTACATTTGGTTTGCCAGTATTTCATTGAGGATTTTCTCATCAATGTTCATCAGGGATATTGGCCTGAAGTTTCCTTTTTTTGTTGTGTCTCTGCCAGGTTTTGGTATCAGGATGATGCTGGCCTCATAAAATGAGTTAGGAAGGAACAATTTCAACTGTTTGGAATAGTTTCAGAAGGAATGGTACCAGCTCCTCTTTGTACCTCTGGTTGAATTCAGCTGTGAATTCATCTGGTCCTGTGCTTTTTTTGGTTGGTAAGCTATTAATTACTGACTCAATTTCAGAACTTGTTATTGGTCTATTGAGGGATTCGACTTCTTCCTGGTTTAGTCTAGGGAAAGTGTGTGTGTCCAGGAATTTATCCATTTCTTCTAGATTTTCTAGTTTATTTGCATAGAGGTGTTTATAGCATTCTCTGATGGTAGTTTGTATTTCTATGGGGTCAGTGGTGATATCCCCTTTAGCATTTTTTATTGTGTCTATTTGATTCTTCTCTCTTTTCTTCTTTATTAGTCGAGCTAGTGGTCTATCTATTTTGTTAATTTTTTCAAAAAAAAGCTCCCGGATTCATTGATTTTTTGAAGGGTTTTTTGTGTCTCTATCTCTTTCAGTTCTGCTCTGATTTTAGTTATTTCTTATCTTCTGCTAGCTTTTGGATTTGTTTGCTCTTGCTTCTCTAGTTCTTTTGATTGTGATGTTAGGGTGTTGATTTCAGATCTTTCCCGCTTTCTGATGTGGGCATTTAGTGCCATAAATTTCCCTCTTAACACCTAACTAAATTGATATGCGACCAACAGTAGCCTCGTCTTAGAACTATGTCCTACATTTCTGAATCAATTTAACAGGAGGAGGCCAGCTAGCATCTGCTTTGATTCACATTGCTTGAATCAGTATTTGTCTCTCTGTTGATGTGGGAATTTCGTGTTGTGGTCATGCTGAGCAAATTAGGTATTTGTGATGTTTCTTATTAAATTGTTGACTTCCTGCAGCTGTTGAAAGTCCCTAATTAACATTGACTGGAGGCCAGAGGAGTCTGACCTGGAGGACTCTGACCCTACTGTTAGTATTTTGCTTCTCAGTGCTGCATGGAAGTGAAAATAAATTCACATCCCCAGCTGGTTTGGCAATTTTAAAGTTAACAAATCCAAATTTATGTCATTCTGAAAATAAGATGAACAAAAAGATCATCCTATTTTGCTTCAAAATTAACTTTAAGAAAGTTTTGCTTTAAGAACCGAGACAATATATACTTCTGTGTTCTACTATTGGGGAATTGTAAAAATAAAATTATAGGTGCTGAAGGAGGTAATATAATTAGGTTTGAATTGGAACCTTCAGGTCAAGTGACCAAGACTCCAGATCATCCCTTAAGAAAAAGCATCTATTATTTGCTGTTAGTCTTTGTTCCAGACTGTGTGTACCCTGGTATCAGCATCCTCTCAATTTACTGCCACCTAAATTTGACTATAATACAGCAATCCAAACATAGCAATCATGAGTGTTTCCAATACTGGTCTTCATTCATTGACTCCTATAAACCTGTGCAACTCTAATGTAATTGCCCTGGGGCTACCCCGATCTTGCCTTACCACAGTGACACACAACCAGAGTGTCAATAAATGAAGAGTGAAGTCCCACTCCAAGAGTGCTGGAGACTATGAGAGATGCGTACTGAAGTTTTTGGTTTACTTTTACTTTTATTTTTATGTTTTTTTTTTGAGATAGAATCTCACCATGACTCCCAGGCTGGAGTGAAGTGGAAAGATCTTGGCTCACTATAACCTTCGCCTCCCAGGTTCAAGCGATTCTCCTGCCTCAGCTTCCCAAGTAGCTAGGATTACAGGCGCATGCCACCATGCCCGCCTAAATTTTTTTGTAATTTTAGTAGAGACGGGGTTTCACCATGTTGGCCAGCCTGGTCTTGAGCTCCTGACCTCAAGTGATCCACCTGCCCTGGCCTCCCAAAGTGCTCAGATTACAGGCGTGAGCCACCGTGCCCAGCCTGAAAGGTTTTTTTGTGAAGCTGGAGCACAGATGGTGCCTCACTTATCACATACCAAAGCTTCTTCAAACTCCTTGTTAAAATCCCTGTCTCAAAACCCTCCCAAGGCAGGTGCCACATTTTCTCCTTTTTCCTACCTCTATCATTGACCACAGCCACTGCAGCTTTCTGGCCCCATAATCATACCTCTTCTCACACCCGAGATCACTCAGGATCTGACTGCTGTTTTCTTAGGGAGAATGAGCCTCTTTAGGCTTCTCAGTTCAGCAAAAGGAGAAGATATTTTGAAAGTCCTTTGTTATTTAAAGCTCAAAGTGCCTCACATTTTGATGACAGGCTAGGCCATACTACCCAGCTATTCATACAAATACTAACCTTCATGTTGCTAAGAAGATGTTTTGCAGATGTGATCAACATCTACAATCAGTTGATATTAAGTAAAAGAGGTTATTGTTGATAACTGGAATAGGACTCATCCAATATATTGAAAGATCTTATGGGCAAAACTGAAGTTTCCCCAATGAGGACAAAATTCTGCCTGTGGATTGCAGGATCCAATCCTGCCCAAGAGTTTCCAGCCTTCCCTTCCCTAGCTCAGATGTACCAGATATGCCCAGCCACCCCAGCAATCACATAATCCAAAGGTTTTCAGTGTGTGTGTGTGTGTGTGTGTGTGTGTGTGCATCTTGTCGGTTCTGTTTCTCTGGTAGAAAGTGAGTAAGGCACACTTAAGATTAATATTCATCCCTGTTGGGTGCAGTGGCACACACCTGTAATCCTAGCATTTTGGGAGGCCGAGGTGGGTGGATCGCCTGAGCTCTGGGATTTGAGACCAGCCTGGGCAACATGGTGAGACTCCATCTCTACTAAAAATACAGACTAAAAATTAGCCCAGCATGGTGGTGCATGTGTGTAATCCCAGCTACTTGGGAGGCTGAGATATGAGAATCGCATGAACCCAGGAGGTGGACGTTGCAGTGAGCTGAGATGGCACCACTGCACTACAGCCTGGGTGACAGAGCGGGACTACAGCCTGGGTGACAGAGCGGGACTCTATCTCAAAAAAATAATAAATAAATAAAATAAAAAAGAAATATTCCTCCTATATTTAAATTCCTAGAAAAGTGCTTTAATTATGAATGGATATTGAATTTCTTCAGATGCATTATTTAAGGGACCAAAGAGAGGATTGTATGATTGATTATTTTTTTAATATTTCAAATCGTATTAATAGATTCCCTTGTATTGTGCTATTCTTTCAATAAATTACACTCATTTATGATTTAATGTTTTAATTTCAAATATATATATATTTTATTTTGCAAGGAGACTTGTTAATTTCTACCCACATTGATCTGATGTCAAAGACAGGAATAGAGTTGGGAGGTCCCCGATCCAGGCATGCGGACGAGCATCCTGGTTAACCCATCTAGCAGCCCCAGAAGTCTGTGCCTTACATATTCCTCCCATGGTCATGTGTGAGAACAGCACTCAGGAGGTTTTTCTCTTTTGAAGCTTGCTCAGGCTTGGTAGCCCATTCTCTGTTGTTGGTACCTTGCGTGATCAGGACCCACCTGAGGGAGTCAGCAAATATAAGCCACTTTTTCTCAGGCCTAGTAAATGTTTGATATGGTTTGGCTGTGTCCCCATCCAAATCTCATCTTGAATTGTAGCTTCCTTAATTCCCATGTATTGTGAGAGGGACCTGGTGGGAGATAATTAAATCATGGGGGTGGTTTCCCTCATACTGTTCTCGTGTTAGTGAATAGGTCTCACGAGATCTGATGGTTTTATAAGGGCTTTCCCTTTGTACTTGGCTCTCATTCTCTCTTTGCCTGCTGCCACCATGTAAGGCATGCCTTTCACCTTCCGCCATGACTGTGAGGCCTCCCCAGCCATGTGGAACTGTGAGTCCATCAAACCTCTTTCCTTTATAAATTACCCAGTCTCAGGTATGTCTTTATTAGCAGTGTGAGAACATACTAATACAAGGTTCTTCAGCTTCCTTGAAACCCGATTGGGTTGCTAGACATTTTGGCTTTAATTTCTAGGGAAGGTATAAGAAGCCTATAGCATTTTGTGTGTTGGTCTCTGAACCTGAGCCTGGCACAGATGTGAGGGTTTCTACCATTAACACCCGCCCCCCTTAGGCTCACTGGCTTTTCTCTAGGGCTCTGCTTCTGACCCTGGGGAGGGAGAGTCAGGCAAGACCTTTCAAGGCTTCCAAAAGTGACCAACACACTCCAAAATCTTGATAGTTTTCTAATAAATCTCCTCATCTTTACTCTCGATAGACATCTGTCATGAGCTCCAAAGCATAGCTGCCAGTTTAGCCAGCTGTGCCCTTGCCACGTGGCGAGGATTGCCACACATCCAGAAGGATGGGATAACATGCAGTAAGTGAGACAGCAAAGCAGTCATAACTGGGAGGCCCAGCCTACGGTGTGAATGTCAGCTCCAGTCTTACACAAGACTGATGGATGGATGTCAGCTCCAGTCTTACACAAGGTGGATGGATCCCTTGGGGCCAGGAGTTTGAGACCAGCCTGGGCAACATGGCAAAACCTACCAAAAAAAAAAAAAAAAAGACACCAGTCCTTTTGGATTAAGGCTCCACTCTTGTGATCTTATTTAAACTTACTTACCATCTTAAAGGGCTGATCTCCAAATACAGTCACATCGGGGGTTAGTGCTTCAACATATGGATTTTGGAGAGACGCACTTCAATCCACAGCGAACAGCAATAATAGAAGGTATGCAATTCCTCTTCAGGCTCTTCAGGGTCCTCAATGTGATCCTTCCAGTGAGCATATGGCAGCCTAAGGGGTGGGATCTGAGTGCCCCCAGTGAACTTCGGAATTGCTTAAAATCCCCACCCCTTCTCACTGAAAGCATAGAAGGACTTTATTTAAAAGTAAAGTATACTTTGATTGTGAAAGAAGTGTGACAGATGCAATCACTATCTCCCCACTATGGACGAATTTGTGAGATCGTCTTTAGTCATTTTGCTTGCCCATCAAGACATAGACAGATAGCAGGTGAGTTTGTTTGTTTGGTTGGTTTTTGATGGAGTCTTGCTGTATCACCCAGGCTGGAGTATGGTGGTGCAATCTCGACTCACTGCAACCTCCACCTCCCAGGTTCAAGTGATTCTCCTGCCTCAGCCTCCCGAGTAGCTGGGACTACAGGCATGTGCCACCATGCCCAGATAATTTTTTGTATTTTTAGTAGAGATGAGGTTTCACCATGTTAGCCAGGATGGTCTCAATCTCCTGACCTCATGATCCACCTGCCTCGGCCTCCCAGAGTGCTGGGATAACAGGCGTGAGCCACCACGCCTGGCCCACAGGTGAGTCTTGATGAGATGTGAGGAAGCAAGCAAGAGAGAAAGGCCCAGGGCTGCTGAAGCTGCTTCATAAACAGCAACCCTGAGGTCCTCGACAGGGCTTGTCGTTTTTGTGTCTCAGGACAATGTTGTAAATTGTTTGGAGGAGACACTAGAGTGAGCAGACAACACAGTCATAGCTCTTGAAGAATGAGGGACTCAGGAGAGATACAGCAAGAGAAGGCCTACAAAAAATCGATAAAAAGAAGCACTGAAAATGACCTTATACAGGATCAATTCTCATTCGACTATATTGTTGCCATAATTATTATGTTAGTTATCTTTAGAATGTTGTTCTAGAACCAGGCTGCTTTTCATAAGAGTGATACAATTAAAAGATGGACTTCATTTGTCCAACAAATATATTCAGCAATGTAATGGGATTCTGATTAGGAAAGGGAGCAACAAAGATACCATGTGGGTACCGGTCAGAGCGTGGCCAGTGCTGAACATGACCAGCGTGGCGAGAGTGTTAAAAGTCCACGCAACAATGTTTTCTTAGTTCTATACGTGCCTTTACCCACTATTTAATTAACACATTTATAAAAAGTACTTCCCAAAGCGTGGATTGAATTCTCCAATTCACTATTTCTATCACGTACAAAAGAAAGGAAGGAAGGAGAGAGGGAAGAAGGGCTCTGAACTCCTGTTTTCCTTAGTGTTATCATGATTGTCTTGTATATTTCACTGAGACTTACAGGTCCCCAGCTACACAAAACTATCTTTTTAAAAAAATGTCACCTCAACAATTCGTCAGGAGTTATTGCTTTTTTGAGATTCTCAAGAAAGTTTTGCGTTATTTTTTCAATTCCTAGCTCTCAATGGACAATTATTATCAATGCATTTCTTGTCAATACTCATGCCCTCTCTCATTTATATAAACACAGCATTTGATACTTGTAGATACCTTGGTGGCTATTATTACCACACTCCTTCCTTTAGAATTTTTGAAATAGTTCATTAGAAGTTTTAATTTTAATTAATTTTAATGCTTTAATTCTAGTTAACACACACACATACATATATTTATAGTACTGTTGATATTTTGGAGTGCCACGTGTGTTCCTTGGGGTTTCATTTCAATCCTGTCACTCATACCCATCTATCATCTAAATAAACCCTGTGGAAAGGCCGCTCCAGGTCTGGCCTCCTCACCATAGATACACAGAACTCTGTCCAGGACAAACTCCCCCCTTCCAAGGCTGGGCAGCCCTCATCTGCTCTCTATATCGCTCTCTCTTGTCTTTGTCTTTTTTTTTTTTTTTGACACTATCTACTGTATCATCATTGTATCCTATAGAGCTGACCCAATGGCTAACACCTAGAAGGTTCAGTAAGTGGTTTCTGGAATGAATAAATGGATGAATGGAGTATAGCATGATGACTCTCACTTGGATTTATCTGAATTACAAGGAGGCTGAGAGATGTTAAATGGGAATATATGGCTCTGAACTCCCAGCAAGAAATAGACGAAGCAGAACTGTTTTTGTGTGCTTAAAGCAAAGAATAACAGAGAAGAGGACGTGGCCAGCTCTCCACTCCTGCCCTGGCACACGGAGGGCTCCTGGGAACACAGAGCGGCTTGGGGACTCGACAGTCCCCTGTGTTACTGAACATCTCACCCCAAGGGGATTATGTGCCAACCTCAGAAAATGGGGGAGTCTGGATGAACTCTGAGAAGTAGAGGGGGACCCAAATAAAGAGAATGGAGTGAACAAAAACATAGAGTTGCCATCATTATATCTTCACTGAGAAAATGCTGAATACTGAATTCATGATTAAATGAACTAAACATTTTAAAATCAAGAAAAGGTTGCAGATGCTCCACAGGCAACTTATGGACGATCTTGAAGGAGCATGTTCCAGGATGAGAGTGAAATTTTCCTTAGGTTTTAAGGCTATAACCAACAATTCATAAAATGATATAATCCTCTGGGAAGCAATACTACAGCAAATAGCATTTTATTAATGCACTTATTCATTCCTATATTAAGTAATTCATTCATTAGCTTCATTAGCATTCATTAGCTTATCTTTCATGATATAGAAAAATCTAGCAAGGATCAAAGGTTAAGTACTGATGGCGTTCAATGAACACAAGTTTTAGAGTGATCGTGACCTGAATGCCATACATTTGATGCTCTTAATTGAGAAGCTAAAGAGAAAGTTGGTGTCAAAAGAGGACCTATGCACACCCAGAAGAGACTCCTACTGTTTATGTGATGTATTTGTCACACATGGGTAGTTCTAGAGTCACTCTGGATAGGACAATGTAGATATCCATAGAAATCAACAGGGTCACAGTTGACAATGAAGAAAATTAGAGAAAAGAGAACAGAAGCCTCTAGCAGCTCATGGCAGTTTCTGAGACATCAAAATAGAAAATATGAGACCTGCCCCTCGAACATTCTGGGGTCGTCTGGGGCACACTCCACACCCATTCCTGGATCCCATCTTCCCAGCCACGAGCTCCGTCGTAAGATACAGAACTAAAGCAGAATTGCAAGTGTCAGATAAGATGGCAGCTTGGCATCAGGGCCTGTCTTCCTCTCTTAAAGCCAAACCTAGAGATGTTACAGATTTGACATGCATTTCAATAATCCCAGTACTGATGCATACACCAAAATAGAAAGAAAAAAAAAGAAACACACCTTTGAGAAACTCTTGAAGCAGCAGAAGGTGGCTAGGGGGTTGGTTTTGGAGGAGGTAAGAGGAATGCACACTCAAGCAGCACACAGCCATGTGTAATGGGAAGACAGCTATGGAAAGAGGACAGGTTAGAAAGGAAAGCTCATGTTAGACTGCAAGGAATGTTCCAGGTATACTGCTTTCTCTCTCCTGCAAAATACATGGGACAGTAAAAACTGCAGGGCCCCTGGAATAGGCAGTGGCAGAGAAACATCAAGGCTGCACTGCAGCCTGATTTAGGAAGAGATGGGCAGGCCAGTCCCAGAGCCTTCTCTACCCTCTACCCTCCCATACCTCTGCAAAGAGCATAGGCTAGGGCCTGAGCTTTTCCCCTCCTCCCAACCCCCCCAGATACTCCCTACAAGTCATGACACTGTGAGATCAGAGGGAAAAGTAGAAATATTCTGCAGAGTGCAAGATTTAGAAATGAATGACAACTGTACAGTCATCCCAGAGAAATAAGAATAGATTAAACAATAAAAATTATAATAGGCAAAGAGAAAATAAGACATATTAGAAATATAAAATAGAAAAAGAGCCAATTAGAGAGTTGATGTAATAAAAGATTGAATAGTTAAAGAACCCCACACAGGGGCTGGATGACTGAACGGGTTCTGCTGAGAAACGAACTGGGAAGCCCGTTAGTCCAATCAGGGAACTCACCCACAAAGCCCCAGAAAATAATAAACAGATAAGAATAAATTTTTAAAAATTTGAGAGGCTTGGAAGATTAAAAGAGGAGTGTCCAAATAATAGAATAGGCCCTCTTAGGCAGGACAAAATAAAAGGAAGGGAGGGAATATTTGAAGACATATTAACTGACATTTCTAGAACTAAAGATGGAAGATTCAAAATTAAAGTGCATAAAGCACTAAGCAGGAGAGATATGAAAAATGAAATCACATTTAATCACCCTGTCACGAAACGTCAGATCATCAGATACATAAAGAAAACTGAAACACATTGTTAGAAGACAAGCAGAACCAGGAAAGTACGAAGACCATATTATTAAAGGTCTTTCAACAGGATTATTAGATATGAGATGATAATAGGTAATACTGTGGTTGTGTGGAAGAAAAAAAGAAACTCTGAAGCTAGAATTTTATACCAATAAACTATCATTTGAATGACACTGAAATAAAAATATTCTTAGCATCCAAGACCTTTCAAAGTTTACCAAACAAATACTTTGTTGGAACATTCTTGGAGGAAGCATTAAACCACTAGAGAAAAATAATGCCAGAGGAAGCAAAATGATACAGGAAGTGAGAGTAAGTGGATAACTCAGTACAGTTTATTTTTGTTTAAGTAACCGGTAACACCCCATCCCAGCACACCAATAAATTTATTTATAACATTCCAGAGCTAAACTCAAGATATCAACAAGGAGGGAGCAGGAGGAGAGAACAGACAGAGGTAGAAGAGTCGGTCCAGGAATTTAACCATTTTAGGACAAAACATAGAAATTCTAACCTTAATTGATAGTACAAAATAAATATATGCATGAGTCATATTGAGTTAATGCTCATCAACAATGGAAACAAAAGAGAAGAAACCCTAGAGTAGGTCAGGCTCAGTGGCTCACACTTGTAATCCCAGTACTTTGGGAGGCCAAGGCGGGTAGATCACTTGAGCCCATGAGTTTCAGACCAGCCTGGCCAACACAGTAAGACCCCCATCTCTACAAAAAATACAAAAAAATTAGCTGGGCATGATGGCGTGCACCTGTAGTCCCAGCTACTTGGGAGGCTGAGGTGGGAAGATCGCTTGAACCTGGGAGGTGGAGGTTGCAGTGAGCCAAGATTGCACCACTACACTCCAGCATGGGTGACAGAGCAAGACCAGGTAGAAAGAAAGGAAAGAAAGAAGGAAGGAAGGAAGGAAGGAAGGAAGGAAGGAAGGAAGGAAGGAAGGAAGGAAGGAAATTAGATAAATATACCTCTAGAAAGGAAAGAAAGAAAGAGAGAGAGAGAGAGATGGAGGGAGGGAGGGAGGAAGGAAGGAAGGAAGGAAGGATAAATTAGATAAATATACCTCTAGAAAAATTATCCGAAATGCCAAAATTGACCCACACAAAAAACAGTAATAATAATTAAATCCTTTACACTCAAAAAGCCTCAGACACAGATAGTTTTGCTGATAAGTGCTACAAAATTTATAAGAGCAGATAAAGTTATCCTTGTTTTATACATATTAAGTTTACATATCCTTAATTCTTTTTTTAAATTCATTTATTTATTTATTTATTATTTTTGATCATACTTTAAGTTCTAGGGTACATGTGCACAGCGTGCAGGTTAGAAAATGTGGCACATGTACATATGCTTAATTCTAAATTATGGCTTGTCATTAGGAAAAGAGAAACGGACATCTAAGTCCAAAGAATAAAATAGAAGAAAGAGTAGAAAGTTCAGAATCTGGAAAACTAGAGAAGAAAAGACAAACAGTTTGAAGAATAGAGCAGGGCCAATGGTTCAGTGAAAAGGGGCCTCTTTTATATGATGGAAGTGCCTGGCTCAATGGTGGAACAAAGTGTAGGAAGACCATGTGGGCTTGAGTACAGTCTCCTTCTTTGGCCACTTCCCCAGTTGCTACCATTCTCTTCCACCTCAGCTGGGCACATAGAGCTAGAAATTCTCCTGGATTCCATGACTGAAAGCAGTTGCCAGGTGCATGAGAAGTAGGCAGAGTTTAGCATTAATATCTCTCCAGCTTCCAGCAAACCAGGACTTAGAACTGTTGGTTTTATGGAGAACCCAGGACTCCTTGCGTGCTATTCTGTATCCTCTTGACCCCAGTCATCTGAGAGAGCCAAGAAGTGAAAAGGTCATAAGGAAGGATCCAAGCAGTCCAGATACACTAAGAAAAGGGCAGCAAATGGAACCAGAAGAACCTGGAAATGGAAAACAATGGGCTCCTTATGTTAGGTTTGCAGTGTTGATGATATGGCCCTTTCCATATATTATTTCATTTAATATTCTCGACAACCTTGTGAGTCACTATTATTACCTCCATTTTACAGATCAGGAAGACAAGGCATAGGAGGTTAGGTAACTTGCCTGAGTTCACAGAGCTGGGTAGTGGCAGAAAAAAAGACTGGAAGCCAAGAATTCTGACTTTTAACCATACCACTGCCAAGGTGGTGAATGAATGCTAGACTTAAATCAGCACCAGGATGATCCCGTCTGCCAACTGGGAACTTTCACCATTGGAAGGTTTGGTGGCCTAGTTGCCTTGACTACAGGAGATATGGGTAATGTGTAATTTCCTATAATACAATTCAAATTGGGATCATAAAAATAATAACTAACATTGATTTAGCATTACTGTCAGGAATAGTTCCAAGTGCTTATAATGTATTATTTAATTTATTACAATTCTACCAGATAAGTAGAATGTTCTCATTTTTCAAATGAGAAAACTCATGCACAGAGAGATTAATCTACTTGCTCTTGTCCTTACAGTTTGTAAATGATAGAACCAGTTTCACACCCTGATGGTCTCACTCTGGATGTTTAAATACCACACCATGCCTTTCCTGAGTGTGGGGTGTGTGTGAGAGTGTGCGTGGAGAGAGGAGTGGAAAAGGGGACCGTGTCCTATTTTTCAGTGGACAGAAAACAACTTCCTATGCAAAGCCCCATTAAGAGTAATTTAGTTTCTCCAAATAGAGGACCTTGAGGGGCCTTGAAACCAAGGCAAGAATTAGGGTTCTCAGTTAATCTAGATAACTCATAGGGACTATAAAGTCACAATGTTTTCTGCTTTGGAGTCAAGCACATCAGCTTGGACTTTGCATGCCCCACCATGCTGACCTAGCGGGAAGATGTGACCAGACATCTGGCTGCAAACACAGGGTTACTCCTCATCCAGGCCCCCAATTCCTCAAGGAGAGGAGCCAACTCTTCCTGGAACACAGACTAGAGCAGCAGACTGGAGTCTGCATCAGCAAACGAGATGAGGAAGCAGGGCAGCTGACCCAATAGGGGAAGCAAGTCTCAGGGTCAGTATTTTTGATCTGGGACAAAACAGGGTTAAGGAAAGCAAGAAAAAAAAAATACTTATATACATAGCTTAGTGGATGTCCCAAAAGAATGTGCTGACTGCACTTGCAGGATGGCTCATCTCTCAAACCTCATCAGGAATAATTAAAAAGAAAATATTCCAAATCTTTTATTCTTTTCTGAGAATTAATGAGTTGCAAATCTCTGAAATGTCTTAACTGCAGAAGAAAATGCAGAATCTATGCTGAGACAGCAGAATACAAAACCCTGGAGAAAAACCCTCCAGGAACATTATTACATTTTACAATTTAGTGGCATAGTTGTCTCATTTACTTATCACTCAACACATATTTATTGAATTTTTACTATGAGCCCAGTCATTGTTCTTGGCCCTAGAGATACAGCAGACAAAAATAGCTCTCCTCATAGGAGACACAGTGAAGGAAAACAGAAAATGTAATATAATAATAAACAAGTAAAGCATGCAGAACATCATGAATGAAAAGTGCTATAGAGAAAATGATACAAGAATGAGGAATTAGGAGTGTAGAGGAGGGATGGGATACAATACTCAATTGGGAGTTGGAGAAGACCTCACAGTTGACCATTTGAGCAAAGACCTGAAGAAGAGGATGGGGATGGAATAAGCCATATAAATACGTTGGATAATAAGAATCCCGGTTGAAGGAATGGCCAATGGCAAGGTCTGGAGGGAGGAGCCCACCTGACGTGCCTGAGCAGGCCAGTGGAGTTGGAATGGAGTGAGTGAGCAGAACAGTCCAGAATGACTTTAGAAAAGTAGGGACCAACCACGTATGGGATTGTGGAAATTTTAAGGAGTTTGTCTTTTACTTTTTGAGAGACAGAGAAAAAAAATCGGTGCTGGAGGGTTCTTCTCTTCTCTGGTGTGTTTTTAAAGAATTCATTAGGCTGCGGTATCAGGAACAACCCATAAGAGATAGTATTGGAGACCAAATTTTGGAAATTGAAGGTAGAGCCAACAGCATTGGCTGGTAGCTAAAGAATGACTCCAAATTAACTTTCATGGGGAAGACTACGGAAGAAGAAAATTAGGGAGGGGGAATGTAACAGTCCGTTTTCACGCTGCTGATAAAGACATACCTGAGACTGGGTGATTTATAAATAAAAAGAAGTTAAGGGACTCACAGTTCTGTGTGGCAGAGGAAGCCTCAAAATCATGGCGGAAGGCCAAAGGCACGTCTTACACGGTGGCAGACAAGGGAGAATGAGAACCAAGCAAAAGCAGAAACCCCTTATAAAAACATAAGATCTCATGAGACTGATTCACTATCACAAGAACAGTATGGGGAAAATCGCCCCCATGATTCAATTATCCCTCACTGGGTCCTTCCAAAACACATGGGAATTATGGGGGCTACAATTCAAGATGAGAGTTGGGAGAGGATGGAGCCAAACCATATCAGGGAGCAGGTTAGAAGTTTGGTTTAGGACAAGTTAAGTTTAAGATGTCTGCTAGACATCTCACTAGGGACGTTATGGAGAGAGTTTGTTATATGAATTGAGTGCTCACCAAAAGATCCCACTATAGAAAAAAAAAATCTCTGGGTGCTGTCAACCTATTGGTGGTAGTTCAACCTATTGGTGGTAGTTAAGCCATGGAAATGGATGAGATCCCCAGGAGAAAGAATGTAGCTTTCTGAGGACTGGTTGGAGCATTCAGGGGTGAGGAAAAGCCTGCAAAAGAAATTTAAAAGGGATGATCAGGGAGGGAAGGAGGAAAACTGGGAGAGTCAGGCACCCTCAACAGGCAGTTATTAGAGCAGGCTATATCAAACGTATCCAAGAGGTAAACAATCATAAGGAAACAGACTCCTAAGCCCTCAATTTCCTATGCATGCTTTGCTAAAATCACTAGATTTGAGGATGTTTCAATGATGAACGTGCAGATTCTTGCTTCCCAATGCTTCTTTTGTAACAACTCTTCTCCCACCTAATAAACTGCAGTCACTCCTCACCCCCTTATGAATCTTACCATTAGCATGGCTCTGGGTATAAAAACATCTGGAATGACACACAGTGAGATTACTAAAATGACAGTGTCCCTGTTGAGAAGGTGAATGATGCTAACAATTAGAAAACCATCGAGTCAAATGGTTTCTAATTTTCTCTTTCAGCCAAATTATAAGATAAACTAGTTGAATTGCCAGCTGATGCATCAGTTAAAAGAATTTTTAGTAATAGAATGCTTTGTGACTTTTGCCAAATATCTTGGGAGAAACATAAATAATTTAGTAACAGTACAATAACATTCTATTCCTATTTACTTATTTGTGTAAGTTAGTTTTCTCGATATTTAGGTATATATAAATGAAAAAAAGGAACAGATATTGTTCTAAGAGTTATCTTATTCCAGCAATTAGCAATATTCATTCATAAATAAGTGAACTAAAAGAAAAATAAACTTCAATTCACCTCATTAAGATACACATTTCCAATAAAATTTAATTTTAATGTTTAATATTTACATATTAACATTTATATGATATGCATGTTTTTGAGAAATTGTGAATAATAATTATAATGATAACCCAATACTGCAGAACGTTGGATCACATAGTCTTTTGGTAAAAGAAAATTTAAAATTAAATTTGTATCTTACTTTTTTTAAATGGAAAGATATCTTGGTGATATCCTTTGGGGGCTCACATAGAAGTAACTTTTATGTTTTTTTGCAGAACTGAGGATTTGAAAAGAACCAACCAAAATCTCAACGGTACAGGAATGCTCCTCCCCAAGAATGCTGTTATCTGCAAAGACTTTCAGTGCTCTTTACTTTTCAATTACCTTGCCATAAGGATCTTATCACACCTCTCTCCACGTTCTCTTCCAGCCAAATTATAACAGAAACTAGGTGAATAGCCAGGTGATACATCAATTAAAATAATTTTTGATAATAGAATGCTTGATGACTTTTGTCAAATATCTTGGGAGACAAGCAAATACATCTATTTTTGCTCAAATAAGAGGATTGTTTAGATCTCCAATAATTTAGAGCACGTTATTGATATAGTGCATTGCCATACATACCCTGGGGTCACAAGATTTTCCAGAGTATATGTGAGCATAAGAAGCTTTAAAGAACTCAACTTCCAGATACACAAACTCCTTTTGACCACTTTCCTTAAAAAGATGCTTGAGAAGGCATTTGTGGACTTCCAGTTCTTCTTTTCCACTTCCGTTTTTGCATTTTTTCTGGTTTACAAAAGAAAGGCATTCCTGGTACTGATTCTGAATCTTACTGTGGAACATTACTCCGAAAAATAATTAAAAAAAAAAAAAAAAGCAAGCGCTTTTGATCATTCCTGAGTGTGTGTTTTCTAAAAACAAACACTTTGTAAGAAAGGGTAAAAGGAAATACCCAAAGCTATCCCTAAGTAAAAAGAACAAAACTGGAGGAATCTCATTACCTGACTTCAAATTATACTACAGAGCTATAATAACCAAACCAGCAGGGGACTGGCATAAAAACAGACACGTAACAATGGAACTGAATAGAGAACCCAGAAACAAATCCACACACCTACAGTGAACTCATTTCCCACGAAGTTGCCAAGAATGTACACTGGGGAAAAGACTGTCTCTTCAATAAATGGTACTGGGAAAACTGGATATCTGTATGCAAAGCAATGAGACCAGACCCCCATCTCTCACCATATACAAAAATCAAATCAAAATGGATTAAAGACTTAAGTCTAGAACCGCAAACTATAAAACTACTACAAGAAAATCTTGGGGAAATTCTCTAGGACATTGGCTGGGCAAAGATTTCTTGGCAACACCCCACAAGCACAGGCAACCAAAGCAAACATGGACAAATGGGATCATATCAAGTTAAAAAGCTTCTGCACAGCAAAGCAAACAATCAACAAAGTGAAAGAGAGCCCACAGAATGGGAGAAAATATTTGCAAACTACCCCTCCGACAAGATATTAATAGCCAGAATATATAAGGAGCTCAAACAACTCTATAGGAAAAAATCTAATAATCCCATCCAAAAAATGGGCAAAAGATTTGGATAGACATTTCTTGAAAGAAGACATACAAATGGCAAACAGGCATATGAAAAGATGCTCAACATCACTGATCATCAGAGAAATGCAAACCAGAGCTACGATGAGCTATCATCTCATTCCAGTTAAAATGACTTATATCCAAAAGACAAGCTTTGTACATTTTTGGTAGAAATGTAAATTAGTACAACTATGGAGAACAGTTTTGAGGTTCCTCAAAAAACTAAGAATTGAGCTACCATATAACCCAGCAATCCTACTGCTGGGTATATACCGAAAACAAAGGAAATCAGTATATTGAAGAGACATCTGCACACCTTATTTGTTGCAGCACTGTTTACAATAGCTAAGATTTGGAAGCAACTTAAATGTCTGTGAACAGAGGAATGGATAAAGAAAATGTGGTACATATACACAATGGAGTTCTATTCCGCCATTAAAAAAAAAAAGAAAGAAAGAAAGAATGAGATCCAGTCATATGTAACAACATAGATGGAACTGGAGATCATTATGTTAAGTGAAATGAGCCAGGCACAAAAACATAAACATTGCATGTTCTCACTTACTTGTGGGATCTAAAAATAAAAACAATTGAACTCATGGACATAGAGGGTAGAAAGGTGGTTACAGGCTGAGCGGGGTTGCTCAGGCCTGTAATCCCAGGACGTTGGGAGGCCGAGGCGGGCAGATCACGAGGTCAAGAACTCGAGACCATCCTGGCCAATATGGTAAAACCCCGTCTCTACTAAAAATACAAAAATTGGCCGGGCCCAGTGGCTCACGCCTGTAATCCCGGCACTTTGGGAGGCCGAGGCGGGCGGATCACGAGATCAGGAGATCGAGACCATCCTGGCTAACACGGTGAAACCCCGTCTCTACTAAAAAATACAGAAAATTAGCCGGGCGTGGTGGCAGGCGCCTGTAGTCCCAGCTACTCAGGAGGCTGAGGCAGGAGAATGGCGTGAACCCGGGAGGCGGAGATTGCAGTTAGCCAAGATTGCGCCTCTGCACTCTAGCCTGGCAGCAAAGCGAGACTTCGTCCAAAAAAAAAAAAGGTTGTTACCAGCCTGGGAAGAGTAGTGGAGGGATATAGGGGGAGATGGGGATAGTTAATGGGTACAAAAATAATAAAACAAAAGAATAAATCCTACTCTTTGATAGCATAATAGGGCGACTATAGTCAATGATAACTGAATTGCATATTTTAAAATAAAGAATGTAACTGGATTGTTTGTAACACAAAGGATAAATGCATGAGGGGATAGATACCCCATTCTCCATGATGTGCTTATTTCACATTGCATGCCTGTATCAAAATATCTCATGTACCCTGTATTAGTTCGTTTTTATGCTGCTGATAAAGACATACCCGAGACTGGGCAATTTACAAAAGAAACAGGTTTATTGGACTTACAGTTCCACATGGGGAGGCCTCACAATCATGGAGGAAGCCAAGGAGGAGCAAGTCACATCTTATGTGGATGGCAGCTGGCAAAGAGAGCTTGTGCAGAGAAACTCCCGTTTTTAAAACCATCAGATCTCGTGAGACCCATTCACCATCATGAGACCAGCACAGGAAAGCCCCGCCCCCGTGATTCAATCATCTCCCATCGGATCCCTCTCACAACACGTAGGAGTTATGGGAGATACAAGATGAGATTTGGGTGGGGACACAGAGACAAACTATATACCCCATAAATATATATACCTACTATGTACTCACAAAAACTTCAAAAGATAATTTAAAAAAAATAAGTAAAATTAAAGGCATTGTGATGAATGCCAAAAAAAAAAAAAAAAAAAGAGTAAAAGGGAAAAAGACAGCACCTTAGTATATCCAGGGAACGAATTCATGAGAAGGTTTTGTGCTATGGCTATACATCTGTCTGTCTTTCCATGCATTAGAATTTGGAGGTGAGAAGTTTGTGACAGAGATGTGTATTAAAATGTTTATCTTAATTAAAATGAAGCCAGTTTTTTTTTCTGACAGAAAAAATATGCTTCCCTGCATGGTTGATTTTTACTGTGAAGACTGGTTTTGCCAGTTAGATTATATGGCAGATATTTTTCCATACATTAGATATGTATAAATATGCAACTCTAAGATTCTGAGGGAAACACACACGCACAAACACACACACACACACACACACAGTGCTGAAATTCAGGTAGTATACGAATATACAAAGATTTAAACTTAAGAAGAAAATTTTCGATGTCAACTTAAAAATGTATGAAAGGTCGTGAAGGCAGCAGAATAATGATTATTGCAGGTGTGATCTACTGATGAATGCTGAAATTAGTGGCCAAAGACTTAAGAAGAAACAGTATATTTGTATAACATCCAAGAAACTCCCCATAGTCTGAATTAACTACAGTGGATTAAATTCCTTGAGACTCCTCCCTTCAAGAGAGGAAGTCTAATTCCTTCTTCCTGGGTGAGGGTAGGATTTAATAACTTGCTCCTAATGAATAGAGTGTGAACAGGAGAAAGTGCTGCCTTTATAGTGGAGAAATCTGGCAGAAACGCCTTAACCAAGTGACCAGGGTTAATATCACCAGTAATAAGTCATGCTAACATTGTATACACTCTTTACACACATTGTGTATGCTGGAATCAGAAACACTATTTTCCTCTATGGTAGAACTTTTCCCCAAACTCCATAACACCAGCCCAATCATAAGAAAATTTTGGATTAACCCAAATTGAGGGGTATCTTATAAAATACCTGAGTAGCATTCTTCAAAAGTGTCAAAGTCATGAAAAACAAGGAGACTGAGAAACTGTCACACATTGGAAGAGACTAAGGAGGCATGATGACTAAATGCAAAATTGTAGGTCCTAGATTAAATCCTGGGACAGAAAAAAGGACATCAGTGAAAAAAACTGGTGAAATCAGAATAAAGTGCAGTTTTGTACCAATGTGAATTTTTTAGTTTTGACAAATGGACGATGGTTATATAATATGTTCACGTGAGGGGAAGCTGGGGAAAATGTTCATCAGTATTCTCAGTACTATCTTGGCCACTCTTCTTTGAGTGCGAAATAATTTCAAATTTAGAAGTGTTTTAAAAAATACTATAACCCGTCGGGCACAGTGGCTCATGCTGGTAATCCCAGCACTTTGGGAGGCCAAGGTGGGAGGATCATGAGGTCAGGACATCGAGACCATTCTGGCCAACATGGTGAAACCCCGTCTCTACTAAAAATACAAAAATTAGCTGGGCATGGTGGCACATGCTTGTAATCCCAGCTACTCAGGAGGCCAAGGCAAGAGAATCACTTGAACCAGGGAGTCAGAGATTGCAGTGAGCCGAGATCACACCACTGCACTCCAGCCTGGCAACAGAGCAAGACTCCGTCTCAAAAAAAAAAAAATAAAATACTATGACCAATTAAATGACAGCAAAATGAATGTGTGAGAGGGCATATAGTTTTCCAAAATGTAATGAGTATGAAAGGAATAATAGTTGAACCTCCCTGTCCTGGAAACAAAAGTAAAGAGTCAGTGTTTCGTTATGTCAAATGCTAGTGATAGAGCAAGTGAGGTGATGAAAATGGATTAACTGATCCGCTGAAAATGGATGAATGGATTGAGCAATAATAGAAAGGTCATCAGTAACCTTAACAAGAGCAATGTTGATGGATTGCAGTGCGGAATCCTGGAAGTGAGATCAAAAGAGCATGGGAACAGAAGATAGGAAAACAATACAGACAGCTATTTCAATGATTCTTTTCTGTAAAGGGGCACAGAGAAAAGGCATTGGTGCTGGAAGGGATTTGCATGTTCAAGAAAGAGTTTTATTTAAAGTGAGAGAAATTACAGCATGTTTGACTGTATGATAATAAGAATGGTCTAGCCTGGCATGGTGGCTAACACCTGTAATCCCAGCACTTTGGGAGGCTGAGGCAGGCAGATCATGAGGTCAGGAGTTGACCAACATGGTGAAACCCCGTCTCTACTAAAAATACAAAAATTAGCCAGGCATGGTGGCACACGCCTATAATCCCAGATAGGAGGCTGAGGCAGGAGAATCACTTGAACCTGGGAGGCAGAGGTTGCAGTGAGCCGAGATCACACCACTGTACTCCAGCCTGGGCAACAGAGTGAGACCCCGTCTCAACAAAAAAAAACAACAACAAAAACAACAACAACAACAACAACAACAAAAAGAATGGTCTAGAAGAAAGAAGACTGGAATGATGAAGCAGAAGAGAAGGGAGGCTTACATAACATCTTGCGGTAATGAAAGGGGATGGAATCTGGTATAGGATCCAGATCCAGTAAGTGAGTAGATGTGTGGATGGGAGATGACAGAATTCTCTTCTGCTAGCTTTTTTTTTTCTCAGTGAAGTGAAAAAAGGAGAATAAGAAGGGGGAAAGTGCTATAAATTTGGAGGAAGAGGATAAGGAGAGTGAAAATATTAATACAATTGAAGGTGGTAGGATTTCTGGGCAGCACTAAGGTCCAGCTTGGGATTAGTGATTATGAATTTAAAGTGAGAATTTCAACATGTTCCATGATTCTCTAGAGTCATGTTCTGGTGCATAAAGCAGGTGTGCAGAAGGCAGAGTTAGAAGAAAGACAAGGATATCAAGGGTATATGCAAGGACTGATATAATGCTGAAACCATTTAAGCTGGGCAAGGAATGAAGTGATGACATGCAAATGGAGAGAAATCGTGAAACGTTAGTCACATAAATAGATTGTAGGTCAAGTAATTAATAGAAAGCAGGATATTATCAGGATAGGAGGCAGTGGTTAGAGGTTGGAATGAGGGAGGGATTGCAAGTATTGGTGCTGACCAAGTGTCCTGTCCAGGAGTGTGCTGGTAAACCTGCGTTCTCTTTCATTTCTAGCTGGAAGAAGGATCAGAGGCACATTACGTTCACTTAAAGTCTGTCCCCAGGGCTGCATTAATTGCCCTACCCTCTGTCATCCCATAGTACAAGGGAATGAGACCAGTTGGACATTCCACAGAACATCACATTAATCCACCAAATCAGCACCATCATGGTGATCCATACACACGAGCAAGAGGTAGCAAATAGATTGGAGGCTTTGGTAAGAAATATGCACCCCAAAGGGTGGGAGATAAACCCTGTAAAACTCAAGGATCACCATATTTTTTCAGGGACCTAGAGATCTGGATTTTACTGGGACTTGGTCTTCTCAGTATTTTTAAACATCATGTTTAAATCTTTATTTACTAAAAAGAAAGCCCAGTGCTTGGTAATTGTCTTCAAGATCTGGAAGCAGTATATTCCTCACTTAGGAATATGGCTGCAACTCATATGTCATTGCAGTTACACATTTGGAAATCAGGGAAATGACCTCCAGGTACCTACAGGGCCCCAGTGGACCCAGTTTAAGACAGACCTGAGTCAGAACTTCAGTTATTACCTGATCCTCACACATACACCTACTCTAACAGGAGCAGGGGGCATCATGGCTCTTGGGGTTTCCAAGTACCAGCATCAAATCAGGCTCTGTGTTGAAAAGCCCTCAAAAGATCTGGGTCTTCCCCTTTCCTTAATATGTGGTTACCTGAGTAATTTCTGGAGGTCCCTTTAAGGAAGGTCGGAGGGAGAATTACCGTACACACTGTGGTAGAGTCTTTCTTCATGGGGCTCTGGACTCTCTGTCTGTAGATGCTGTAACTGAGAAATGACTTCGGTCTGGAAACTGGGCAAGATCAGGAGACTTCCTGTTGGGTCAGCTTCTTGTTTTCTGCTTGTCTGTTCTTGATTTCTTAGGGTATGTATATTAATAATATTGTCACTGAGTTCCCATCTTTCCCATTCTTATGGACATCATGTTCTATTAGCCATCACCGTAAATCCCTGTGGATCAGGTTCCCCTGACTGTCATCCCAAGTTGCTTTGCATTATGCTAATTATGCCCTTCTAATTTCCATTGGTTAAGTGCTGTCTGTTGGCCTCTGCTATTCTAAAATCCTATCATCCACATTGCTCCTGGGAGGCACAATTACAGCATCTCCTACTGTCAACCCTGCCCATAAAGGACAGCACCACTGGGCTTCTCAACAATACTGACACCTTCCTCACCAGCTCATTCCTACTGCTTTGATAAAGTGTCCTCTAAGCCCTCCCAAGGAATGTACACATTAGTGGGTTTCCCAGTTTTATACAGTAAATACATTCTGGCATGCCAAATCCCCTGGGTCCTTGAAATATTTTCTCTATAGACTTCCATGGAAGTTATAGCATCTTCACTTTGTTTAATATGCATCATCACTTTTTTCATGCTTCCAGGAACCTTCCTAGCAGCTTACTAAACCTGTCACTCAGAGCCATTGCCATGGTGTTTAATCTTGTGTCACAGAAAAGGGATCTCATATTGATAATCTCTTCTTTCTCCAGCTTTTATTTGACTGTCCTTGATCCGGCATGCGGATGATTCACTTCCACACTCTCCTACTTGCACACATGAATCACGTCCTGCATTTCCTTTGATATATGATCCCTCTCTTCAGCAGGACCAGATCTCCAGTAGAGTTATTCTGGTTATGCTGAACTCTTGCCCTATTAATGAGTCTAGTGTCCAAGTGGTTGCAAATCCTGGGGAAGGCAAGCATTTTCTTATAGTGCACCTGATTCATTTAAGGCCTCTGCATAGTCTTTGAACAAGTAGAAGGGGCCACTTCCACCTTTCAACAAAGAGAGTGGGACACTTCTCAGTGTCTACATATATGTCCCCATTCCATGTCTCAGAGTCCCACTTCTTCTATACCAGGACCCGAACTTCAACATAAAAGACTTGTTTGGGCTAAGAATTCAGCCTTCTTTGATGTTCTTTCATTTTTAAAGTTAACTCCTGAGTCTTGTTTTTAGTATTGCTGTCCTCTGGCTGCAAAAGACAAATATCCCTTTAAATGCTACCAAGAAGATTCTCTGACTTTCACACTTTGTTTTTAATTTATTTTTAATAGAACTGAGCCTTTTTGTTTCTCTCCTCAATGCATTATTAGTCCTTATCAATGGCCACTCAGTTTCATAGCCCTGATAGTTACTGTTCCCCTGTGCTATCTCAACATAGATAAAGTTGTAACCTCCTAGAGCATGCCAGTAACTATCAATACTCCAGCTGCCACCAGTAATAGGCTCCTACTTGCCTTTGAAGAGACAAGTGATTAACCTCTGGAATCCCATCCTGCCTGTGTCTACTTCCTAGGAACAATTGCAGAACCAACTGGCTTAGTTTGGGTGCCCTGGAAGCAGCTCCTAATGTAAGGATTCTTATGAAAGTGATTTACTGACGGAACACTCTCAGAGAAGGAGAGTAAAGGAAGCAAGGCAGATAAGGAGGAAAAAACTAAGCAAGGAATGGTCTAGGATGGAGAACAGATTCAGCCTGGAGCTCTGGAGAGTGGATTGCGACACAGAGTTGGTGTCACTTAAGGCCCGTGTGCTGGTCTTTGTACCCTGCATGTCACTTAGTCAATGGTCGCTTGCCATCATGGGGGATGATGAGATGGCTCCGATTTGGCCCAAGGCAATTATTGGAAGAGAGCGGCTAAGAGCCAAGAGCAAACAAAATTCATTGCAGCTGGAGATGCGTGCACTGACCCAGAAAAGGAGATCAAGGCAGGTATCAATGTTATCTATTATACACAGTTTGTAAAAGCAGAGCCGGGATTCCAACCCAGGCAGGTTGGTCTGTTGTTTGAACAAGCACATATATTGCTTCATGCAACTGCAGAGGATGGAACATGTTTATGTCTTGATTTGTACAACTGAAATATTATAGTATTATCTCTAACCTCATTTTCAGGTCAAAACCCTGCAATGACTTTGTTTATCTTGGGCTAAAATACACTCACTTGCTTAAGTTCAAGAGGCACTGCTCTCTCCAGTTCCCACAGTAAGGTTCTGTTTTCACCGTAATCAGATTCTGGCCGCCGAGAAACCTATTTGTCTATTGTCTACAACAGTTCGGACCCCATGTTCCCTCTTGTAAACATTCGGAGGAAAACTTCAAACCTAAGTTATCTCACCTTCTAAAAATATTTTTTCCAAAGGAACAAACAATAATTATTGCTACCTTTTTTTAGTTATTTCAGAATGATATTTCATTTTAGTGTGCTATTGTTGAAAAATGAAACTAAGTGGAAAGACACAATAACACAGTGGTTTATAATTTCAGCAATATTATGAAAATACTAAATTTGATTTTTGAAGAATTTACTCATACATGATTGCAGAGATACAATATTAAATAGGATGAGATTACCAACAACATGGTTTCTTTGGAATCATTACCATTTAATATTTATTGAACAACTAGGCAAGTTAGAATCAACTTCACATTGAAAGTTATTGCCTTAAGGATTCTTACAAGGATCGTGATGGTTTGGGAGCATCATTCATGGTCTTTTCTCAATGCCCCTTGGTTCAAATAAATTAGAATAGTCATGACTGGTACTTAGCAATCTGAGTATATGTGTGCTGATCAGAGCATATGGCATAAAATGGCAAAACAGAGTATGAAGAAATACTGAACACAAAGTGAAGATGATTACAGGTTTTAAGTGTGAGTTTAAATATAACATGGCAATTCAATTTTGCATATTTAAATTTGCTTTCTCTCAGAATCCATAGAATTGACCAAAAAATATAAAAAGAAGAAAGTCATTAGCACTAAGAATCAGAAAAGTGGCATTAATAAGTCAGTAATGATGTTGTGTAAGTTATGTCAGATGGAGGAAAATAAGAGATTTAACACAGAAAGTAAATAGAAGAAAATAGATGGAACATCCCTGGGAAACCCCCCAGTGAGTAGCGAATGGCCAGTAAGGAAAATAACTAGACAGTTGGCTTGGGATAAATCAAAGGATTTTGGCAGCTGCACCAGGACAGTGCACACAGGACATCTGTCCACAACGTTTGACCTCAGCTTTCACGTGGCATGGACTGGCATCACGTTCTTGTAAGGAGGGCATTCAAAGACGCTAATGAGGGTCCCTAGTGCTCCCCCTGACTTCAGATGGCCACCACAAACAGAAAAGGAAGATAGTGCATGTAATGGATGCCTGTTGTTTTTTCCTGCCAAGCATTCATTCACCCTTCTGATTTTCCTTGGGAAAAAAACACCTGTCCCAATCATAGTTTCTGTGGCTCAGATGGGACCATCTGTGAGGTCCAGGCCTAGCTGATCCACCTCGGCCTTCCAGTATACTCCATCCATCCTAGACATTTTTCTCTTTTTAAGAAAGGTACTCAATTTTAAATCTCTTGGCATGGGAAATTTGGGGGAATAAGTAAATTTATTTCTATTGGAACTAGAAATTGAGAAAAATTGAAATTTTTTTAGCATTCTATCCTTTTTCATAATACAGAAATGCAAACATAGAAAAACAGGGAAAACCTCTGAAGCACTGCTGGAAAACAAGATGAGAGTACCAAATAACAAAAGGTACTAGGAACATGTAAACCTGTGCTGCTGACAGCTACCTGGTACCAGGAAAAAAAAAAAAAAAAGGAAAATTCTAGCTTTGACCTGATAAAGATTCCCCAGGTTTAGAGACACATGGACTGGACCAAATGGCAGGACTGGAAGCCCTCCATAGGAGCAAACCTTGACCCACAAAACACTCTAGGAAGTGGAGACACCAACCTCTTCATTCTGAGCAGCATAGGAGAAAAGATATGGGTGAACTTCCCCACTGCATGACTGTATTCAAATTGTCCAGTAAAACCTCCTTCCAGCCTGCACCCACAATGTCTCAGGCAGTGTGCTAAGTGACTTTGAAAATAGGACTTCATTTACTCTGAACAATGATCAATTTCCATGCTACATGTGAGACAGCTGGGGTGTGTGTTGCAGTCACTCGCCCCTGTCGTATGGGCAGAAAGTGGACCAGGCTTTGAGTTTGGGCTGCTTGGATGAGATCATATTTCTCAAACCACTGGATTCAAATGATACATTTATACAACTCACAGAACCCATCAGAGAAGGTAGCTTTTCAGTTTTAAGATGGCAAAGTGAGAAACTTTTTAGCACCCCATCCCTCTCCATAATACAGAAATCCAAAAACATAAAAACAAAGAAAACTTCTGGAGCATTGTCGGGAAACAAAATGAGAGTACCAAAAAACAAATTAGAAACAACTTCTGGAGAGCAGAAAGCAGATGGCATCACAGGGACTGAAATGTTTATCACTCTCGGTAATTTAGACATGCGGAGAGGCCCCCCTCATCCCCCATGAGTTAAGGAAACATGTTACCCTATTAAAATCTTAGAATGGCTTCAAGTAAAAAATTAAGGGCTAGAAACAGAGATTCAGGCTAGCAAATTGAAGTTTTCTTGGACTGAGCTGATGGCTCAAGATCTCGTCAAGAATTTCTCACTAAGCAGAGTGGAGTGGAGAGGAGGGGAGAAAATGTAAGATCAGAACTTAGTGTGGGTGAGTGCCCTAATACATGGGCCGGGGGATAATGCCAGCTAACTATCAGAACAAACCTGGAGTACATTTTTAAGAGTTATTTAATGGGCTCAGCTGTCTCAGGATATTATTCACTAGATTTCACAGCCAGTTGCAGCCTCACGCAATAGACTTCCTGAAAGACACGGCAGCAGAGGGTGGCAGGAACACCAGGGAGTAATTGGCAGGCAGCAAAGTGAGGGTATTCAGGAGCCCAGAAGACCCCTGCACAGAGTGTAGAGTGGTTGCCCTTAAGCTGAGACCTCATGATGTAAGAAAGAACACACAAGTTACAGTGGAGTTATATAGTCCAAAGATCTGTAGAGTCACCCACCTAATACAGGAAGGCCCCTTACCCAAAATATATTATAGAATGCAGCAAAAAAAAAAAAAAAAAGATGCAGAAAAAACTTCCATGAAAATGACGGACAAAACACATACTGAAGTCTTCCTTTCTACTCCAAGGACACAAAGGATGATTTTTAAAAATGTTTTACCAGACAAAACCACTTGGAGGCCACAGGTTGAATGCGTAAGAGCTGTTTGAGGAGTTATGGGTACAGAAGCCAGACCAGTGTGGGTTAAGTAATGAGTAGTGGGTGGGAAAAACTAAGATAGCGAGTACTGGCAACGCTTGAGAAATTGGACTGCGGAAAGAAAGCAAGAAATGGATTGGTACCTGAAGGGCATGTTGGTTCAAGGAATTTTTTTTTTTTTTTTTTTTGAGACAGTCTTGCTCTGTCGCCCAGGCTGGAGTGCAGTGGCACGATCCTGGCTCACTGTAAACTCCGTCTCCTGGGTTCAAGCCATTCTCCTGCCTCAGCCTCCCAGGTAGCTGGGACTACAGACATGCGCCACCACACCCGGTTAATTTTTGTATTTTTAGTAGAGACAGGGTTTCACCATGTTGGCCAGACTGATCTTGAACCCCTGACCTCAAGAGATCCGCCCACCTCGGCCTCCCAAAGTCCTAGGATTATAGGCATGAGCCACCGTGCCTGGCCTGGAATGGTATTTTTAAAAAGAAAAAATATGAGCGTGTGTAAAATCTAAGAGAGTTCTCTAAGGGATTGCTTATAAAATGACCTTAAAAATGAACATGTTTATAGAAACTGGAGGAAGGAGGATGAGTAGATGCCTATGGTGCCAGGTCTGTAGATTTGGAACCTGGAAAATGGGAGCTGCACTCTGATGATATCTACTGTGTGTGGGTGTGATAAGGAAGTCAGAAAATGAAGGAGAGCAGGAAATATTTGAAAAGCCACTGTGTCACGTAATTTTCTATTTCTTATAGTGATTGGTGGGCACCTGAGTGTTTATGGTATCAATATCCTTTACACGGTATAGCCATTGTATTCCCTATTTATGCAAGTGATAGAGTTCACAACAGTTGTTTTAAAGAGAGATATCATTTGTGGAAAATATCAGAGTGGATGATTAGATCTAAATATGGAGCAGTGAAAATTTGCAGGAATAGGCTGGTGGGGCACAGTGACTCACACGTATAATCCCAGCACTTTGGGGGAGCCAAGGTGAGAGGATCACTTGAGGCCAGGATTTCAAAGGTTGCAGTGAGCTATGATAGCACCACTGCACTCCAGCCTAGATGACAGAAGAAGGCTGTCTCTAAAAAATAAAAATAAATAATTTAAAAAATAAATGTGTGGGAGTGAATCTGCTATTGGTGTGACTTTATCATGTATCTCTTGGCTGCTTGAATGAAGGCATGGAGTTAGAAAATGGCTTAGTTTATCTTAAGTGTTATCATATGGGTAAAAAAAAGAAAAAACAGAGAAGCAAGAGAGTTTGGCATTTGAGGCAGTATCACGGAAATAATGAATTATATATTTTGAGCTATTAAGAGTGAAAGGGAAAAAATAAAAAATTAAAAAATTAAAATAATTAAAATAAATTAAAATAAAATAAAAAAGAGTGAAAGGGAAGAAAGGGAAAAGCCAACAGTTTGGGAGAAAGTTGAAGATTAAAACACCAGACATTGTGAAAATGATCAAAGATGGTCTACAGGGGTAGATTAATAATCTGAAAGTAGAGGGGGCTATGGTGAGAGGGAAAGATGCTTGAATTATTAATTCTGTCGGTGGGATGGTTTTTGGTGATGATATATTTCCAAAATGTTCTTGTGGGAGTGGGTGGTTGAAGGGGTACGGAGGAGAAGGAAACTGGAAGAGTGGGGGCTGGAAACCAGAAAGCCATGGTATTCACTGGGTTGTTCATGCAGTCGTTGGAGGACTGAGGATACCCAAGAGGATAGCAAGGTTAGAGTAGAGAGGAAGGTGACGAGACAAATGTCAATGTCTTTGATGAATGACGGATGGTGAATAGGTGGTCATTCGAGGGCAGCTTTGAGGAGGGGCAAGGGTAGAATAAATAAATGCCATGGGTCTCAAATGAGTAGTTTTTGTTTTTAGAGATGGTGATATACTACTCTGCAATGGAGAGCAAAGAGGATAGGTAGCCCACCCCTCAACCGTGAGGTAAGCGAGGTTGAATGCATAAACAGACACTTCCTGAATGGCAGTAAGACAGAGCCAAGTTTAAGCTGAAGCAAATTATCGAAAAGAAGTGGGAGATGTTGTAGCTATAACAACATCTTACAACATGTTGCTGGTTATCAAGTGGCAATTCCAGAAGGCTCACTATAAATATTCTGTGCCAGGAGGAAATTTGAGAACTAGATCAAAGGCAAGACCATGCAAAACTGAGTCTTTCTACCTCCAGCAGTGTTAATTCATTCCACATTTATTCAGTCAAAATTGAGTGATCTATTTACATCAACCTTGAAGTTACTAATCTATTTATAATAATATTTTAAGATGTTTATCAAATTGATACTTTCTAAAAACATAATTCAGAATGGCCCACCACAATTCAGAATAAAACCACCGAATGAAATGAGGATCATACACAGTTTATAGAACAGTTAACCTAAACATATTTGTGCACACAACAAATGAAAATTGATATAAAATGTAAATATGATATTAATTACCAAGCCCCTCCTTGCTAGATTACAAAAACATCCAGTAAACTCTGAGGTTCTATAAAAATGGACAGGATTTATTTATGTTTTTACCTAAAACCTAAAGAATGATTGGCAGTATAGTTACATTTTGATGGATACATGGCCATCAAAAAGATAAGCCTACACTTATCTGTTTTCCCAGTACCATATGCTCCAGATAATCAGCTTGAAGTGAGGGATCTATCTAACTTACATAAATGAGAGGTTGAGGGAAGGTACAAAAACATGTTTTTTGTACATGTTCCAAAATGTTTTCTCAATTAGGATAAATATTACTTCTTTAGAGTTCAGATAAAGGGTTGACACATTTTAAAATTCTTCTTTGTTAGAATGAATTTTGCCCTATGAATATCCCAAAGCCAAATGTGCAAGTATAAGTAAAGAAGCTAGGAGACATCAAAACACCCATTTTTAAAAATTAGTAATGGGTAGTATTAACAACTATTTGGTTCATAAATGAATGCCATTTGCAATTCCTTTTTTAAGAGATATCTTCATTCCCATGTTCATTACGGCTCTATTCACAAAGGCCAAGATATGAAAGCAACCTAAGTGTCTATCAACCGATGAGTGGATAAAGAAAATGTGGTATATATGTATGTTTTCACTCATAAGTGGGAGCTAAATGATGAGAACTCATGAACACAAAGAAGAGAACAACAGACCCAGGGCCTACTTCAGGGTGAAGTGTAGGAGGAGAGAGACGAGCAGAAAAAATAATTATTAGGTAGTAGGCTTAGCACCTGAGTGATAAATCTTTACAACAAACCCCCATGATACAAGTTACCTATGTAACAAACCTGCACATGTAACTCCTGACGTAAAATAAAAGAAAATGTGTTATATATACGCAATGAAATACTATTCTGCCCTAAAAAGGAAGAAAATTCTCCCATTTGTGACAACATGGATGAATCTGGAAGACATTAAGTGAAATAAGCCAGTCACAGAAAGACAAATACCACATGATCTCACTTATATGTGGAATCTTAAAAAGTTGATCATACATAATTAGAGAGTAGAATGGTTGTTTCCAGAGGCTGGGGTGGCTAGGGGAAAGGAGGGCTTAGGAAGATGTTGGTCAGCAAATACATATTTACGGAGCAATAAGTTTGAGGTGTATTGTACAGCACAATGACTGTAGTTAATGACAATGTATTATATTCTCAAAAAATGCTAAGACAGTGGGTGTTAAGTGTTATGCCCACAAAAAATGATAATTATGTGAGGTAATGAATTTAATTAGCTAGATTTAACTATTCCGCAATGTATATATATACTTCAAAACATCATGTTATACACAATAAATATATACAATTTTATTATGTCAATTTAAAAAATAAATCAATGTGGAAAAAAGTAATTTATTTTCAAGAAGCATGGAAAGGAATTTGTTAGAGTTTTTCCCCACTCTTCCTCCCAGACCCTGTTAGAAAGCAAATCTTGAAGTGAATCTATTTATAACCAGAGTGTCTCTCCCAATTTACTGTGGTTTATGATAAATTTTTATCTTATCTCCTCCTTGACAGTTTTATAATAGAGATGTGTTTACACTTAATGAAATGTGTGCAATATTTCTAAAACAGAGAACTAGAGGCACACTCCAGAGCTGAGCAACACATTCTCAGCATGACAGTGACTTCCTGTAGCTTCTGTGAAAAATTATTGCTTCCTCTCAATGCCTTGTCTCTTTTTCTCAAGATGTGAAGCCTTTGTGTTGACAGTAGTTACAAAATCTAATTTATACCACTCTTTGATCTTTAGATCCAGGATACAATCCCTTGTGCTTTAAATCTGTCACTTTTCACTTGAACCTTGGGTGGGCTTTATTCATGTGAGGTGAAAAATTTTAGATTCAGGTAAAAGCTAAAAAATGCATGGGAACTTGGTTTTGCCAAATCCACAGGGTGTTACAATGTCTTATTTAATATTCAATTCAGAGCCAAGTACTAGTTTACGATTTTTTTTTTCTGAAACAGCATAGTTTTGCAATTTGCACTGGCTTTAATAGCCTCTTCTCATGCTAATGCTTCTGAGTTACATGATTTTCTAAACACTCAAAGATTTTACCATTATGGTGACTGCCCATTTATAGCAGCATCCCCATTATATTCCAAAGAATAAATGAAAACCAGCCTGGTTCCCAGAATCTAAACATACTTCATTAACTTAATGTTGCCTATCTAAATGTATTTTATTACTGTGATATCATTCCCAAGTCTCCCTCTAGTCAGTCCCCTCTCCCAACAGTACAACACCAAAAAGTAGAAGAAATCCGTTGGTCGCATTCTTCCTGAATCCTATCCAATACTTTCATAAGGGCTTTAGATATCTCATGAACTACAGCACATGTCAACTAGCATTAGCAAAGTTTCAGATGCACCTGTGCATTCCCAACATTTGGGCCCCAAGTTCACCAGTCACATTCGTTCCTCAACGTCCAACATCCATTGTATTCAATATCTTTCACTGTATAATAAATAATCCTAAAATTAGTGGATTAAAACAACACACATTTTTTGATTAGCAATTTTGTGTGTAAGGTATTTTGAAATGACTTAGCTGGGTCCTCTGCTTCATGGTCTTGCAATCCCATGAAGTTGGCTCAGGGGGCTGCTGTCCCATCTGAAGGTTTGACTGGGGAAAGGTCTGCCTCTAAGTTTACTTCATAGTATTGGCAGTTTACTCAGTTCCCCTTGGGCTGTCGGACTGAGGGGCTCAGTTACTAGCTGGCTGTTGTCCAGAAGCTGCCCTCAATTTTAAGCTATGTGGGCCTCTCGAACTTGGCAGCTTGCTTCTTTTATACTGTAATCAAGGAAATGACATTCCATTATCCCTTCTGTATTCTAATGGTTAGAACCAAGTCACCTTGTCCAGTCCACACTTGAGTGAAGCATACTTACACAGGGCATGAATACAAGAAAATGGGGATCTTTAGTGACCATTTTACAGGACATTCATATTCATACAGAAAAATTAGATATTCATGAATCCTGTGTAAGATAAATAAATATGGTTTACCTCCATGAATATAATTGTGCCCTAGTAACAAGGAGTAAGAGCTCCAAGGAAGAAAGAGAATGTGACATGCCTCCTTAGGTAAGAAAATGCAAATCTTAGTCACATGATAAGGGTTGGCTGTGTCCCCACCCAAATCTGATCTTGAAGTGTAATAGTACCCATGTATCAAGGTGGGGCATTGGATTTGCATTGCTATAAAGAAATATCTGAGACTGGCTAATTTATAAAGAAAAGGGGTTTCATTGACTCACAGCTCTGCAGGATGTACAGGAAGTATGTGCAGGAAGCATGGCTGGGGAGGCCTCAGGAAACTTACAATCATGGCAGATGATGAAGAGGAAAGAGGCACATCTTACATGGCTGGAGCAGGAGGAAGAGAGAGCAGGAGGTCTAATACTTTTAAACAACTAGATCTCATGAGAACTCACTCACTGTCATGAGAACAGCAAGGGGGAAATCTGCTCCCATAATCCAATCATCTTCCACCAGGCCCCTCTTCCAACACTGAGGATTACAATTAAAAGACTTGGCGGGGAGGGACACAAATCCAAACTATGTCACAGCCCTATGTATCTCCCTTTGATGAGCACTACAGTCCCACTTTACCCACAATGCAGACAATGCATGCAGCTATTGGTAGCATCTAAAAACACAAAATTTTGTATAAAGGGCTTCACACCTCAAATACAACTATGCAAAGCCCACAGCAACCATGGCCCCAGTGTAGCACTGTTTCAGATCTCCTGGCTCTGTCTTCTAAAGTTAGTCTATACTTCAATAATGGGAAGCACATCAGTGCTTGCAGATGAAGGAGTAGTTAAATACTGGGGTTTGAAACCCACAAATAATTACCTTGCAATAAACCAAAATCAATGTATGAAGTTTCAAACAATTTTCCACAATTGTAAAAACAATCTGACTTTCTAATGCCTGAAGAAAATGTAATAGTGTTAAAAAGTTTCTGAAAACACCTACAGCTTATTACAAAGGTCAATATCTATTGATTGATATGAGAATACTCAATATAAAATCATCACAAAACCAATGAAATAAAAATGCAAGTATAAACAGGCTTTTTGATTATAAAAAAATCAAGAGCCCTGATCAAGTTCTGTAAAGAACACATATTTTTTATAAGAACCCAGGTTAGTTCAGCAAACCAAGCCATCAGGAGTTTCTGCGTTTTATTTATATTTGTTCTTTCATTGACATTTTTGTTTGTTTTGGCTACAAGTTCATCTAATGATGGGTTCAAATCTCAACATACACAGTTACATTGAGATTTGAACCCATCCTAGTTTTACTGTACTGTGCAGGGATGTGTGCCTGTTGAGGGTACGTTGAGGTGTATTTGGTACTCAGATGCTGGAAATGCACGGATGCACTGGAAACTTGACCTGTCTAGCTGACAGGCATTGCCGGTCACAAGCTGTCTAGAGACCTTAAGAAGAATCACTTTGGGAGGCCGAGGCAGGCAGATCACCTGAGGTCGGGAGTTCAAGACCAGCCTGGCCAATATGGTGAAAACCTGTCTCTACTAAAAATACAAAAATTAGCCAGGCATGGTGGCAGGGGCCTGTAATCCCAGATACTCGGAAGGCTGAGGCATGAGAATTGCTTGAACCCAGGAGGCGGAGGTTGCGGTGAGCCAAGATCACACCATTGCACTCCAGCCTTGGTGATAGAGAAAAAATAAATAAATAAATAAATAAACAAGAAAATCTGAGGACTGGATGGGAATCACGAAGAATAACACCAAAACCTTCCTCTCGCTTTTTGTTGTGATGGGGGGAAAAAGTTGAATAAGAGGAGGCTAGAATAAGGCATTACAATAATGAAACTTGCATGTCCTCAGAGACTCTGGGGAACACATATTCATGTGCAGAATAATGGCTGGATGCTGATAGATGGGAAAAATATAAGCAGAAAGAAACATCATGACTTAAGGTGCAGAGGCAGAAAATTATGAGGCAATTTCAAAAGCTTTTGTTGTCTGGAATGGCAGGAATTTTTTTGCCTGGTGGACAGCATGGTACCCCAAAAACATAGCAAATAAGACAGTCAGTGTCCAATACAGGATAGAAAAACAAATCTATGAACATTATCCATTTGTATTTTTGTGAATGCATATTGTAAAATGCAGAGATTAAATGATACGGAAATTATTTACCTCCAATAAAAGTTTAGTAGGACAAATCTCATCTCTAGGAAATAAGAAAATACAGTCAGCCCTCAGAAAAGTTGCGGTGCTATCTCTTGGAAACTAAACTGTCCTCTCTGGTCCTTCCCCTGTGTATCTCTGGAGCCTGATGCCTCCATGTACTGCTTTAGTGTGAACCAAAATCACCCTTTCCCCTAAAATTACCTTTTATCCTCCTCTTCTTCATCCACTGAACTGAAATCCACTTCTTAGTGTAACATTAAGACATTTTGGGAATGCTTCATATAAAAGAGCTGGGTCAGAGAATAGACTTGGCAAAGAGATCACTTAGGACTAATGAGAGCAGGCAAAGAGGGCTGGGTGCACATGGGTGAAGGGACAGGAATGGATTTGGAGGCAATAATAGCAAAAAAAGGTTCTCCTTCCCCACATGCAGAGAATACAGTACTATAATAATGTGCTATTTTTATAAGGGACTTGAGCATAGCAGATTTTGGCATCTGCGGGTTGTCCTGAAACCAGTGCCCCACAGATATGGAGAGCTGACTGCATTCCAAGTGAAGTTCATGAGGATTCCTAGAGCAGAAAAGAAGACAGCAAGCTTAGAGGGTGAGTTCCTCAAATTTTGGAATAGTGTATTACATTTTTCATCTTATCTCCGGCCCCAGAAAAATGATTGGTTAGGGAAGACCTCCCTCATAGTGAAATTCCTTCATTAAAATTATCTCAAGTCAAGCAAGAGCATCCTTAAAGCTAGGAATATGGAAATGTGAAAGAAATAAAAGAATTTTTCAATTTTCTATAAGAGTAATCTGAGTAAATGTTAAATTTTGTTTTCTCGTGTTTGGACCTATCAAACCTTCCAAACTATAGGTACAGAATATGAGTATCATCTGATTTACAGTAAAAGCTATTCCCACAACCTACAGCTTCTAAACACAACAGGATTTTAATTAAATTCTTATACTGGGCACTCTTGGTTCATGATGGGAAGATCTAATGAGGCTTAGTGCTAGGTATTAGAAGTTGATTAGCTACACCTACAAGTAACATTGGTGCAAGAAGTCTCAGGACTTAGAGCCTTATTTGTCTTCCTTCTTCTTTACCCAGTAGCTATTCTTACCTAGAAAAAAAAAAGAATTAAAAAAGCTCCTGACTGTGTGCTGCTATTTAGATTTTTAAAAAGGCTTTGCTTGCAACTTTTTTTGGGCCTTATGTAATGTCTACAACTTTCCCAGAAGGGACATCTGAGAGTCCTTTGCCAATTTTTCGAAACTGAAAAACAAGTTAACAACAACAACAAAAATCCCTGAAAGCTTGAAATCATCAAAATGTCATCTAAAGTCTTTTACAAAAGCTGTTTCCTTCCCAGCCCTGCATTACTTCTCTGGAATTGACATAAAGAACATGTTTCTACTGTTCCTTTGTTTTGCCAAGCTAAATTTTCAAAGGATGCCATCTTTTCATCTGATTTTTCAAATGCCCATGGACCTCCAATTCCAGAATGCGTTCTACAAGCTTGATATTCAGTGGCCCTGCACTACCCATAAGATAATTGCTTTCCACTTCCAGCCACCTGGGTGGCACCAAATGTCTCAGTCTTCTGAGAATCTGACCCATGTTTCTTGGCAGGCACTAGCTGGAAATGCATTCCAACAGACTGAGAATTGCAAACTCTTAATGGCTGCAGATTGGAAGGCAGCTTTCAAGTGTTAACATTATGTCTTACAAGTACATTTCATCTCTACACTGGGGACAGGTTGCTGTCCTCAAAGTGCTCTTTACTGCCAAAGGAACCAGAAGTCCACAAGCCATGTGCTTTCCAGCTTTTCATGCATGTTCAAAATGGCATCAATCCTGTAACTGAAGTTAATTCAAACACAAAAATACTTTAATGTCTCATATTTACTTGAGAAACTAAATAATTTATCATGCCAAATTTTAAAGTCCTGTCTTATTTCTCCAAGTGCAATGTACCACTTACATCCTAATCAATGAGTGCCACTTCCAATCATGAAACTATCACTTTGTGTCAGATTAAACCTCCTGATGATAATAATTACACAAGTTGTTTTAAGGTAAGGGTAAGGGAAATATTTAAAGGAATGAAGAACAAGCAAAGCAGACAAAAACTAGATGGAACATGACCCTTGAAAGAAGGGACTCAAATGAGGTAACTGCCATATTTACCCAAATTTCCTCCTAAGAGAAATTTCCAATATTTGCCAAGTCTGGGAATAGAGCCTAAGAAGAAAACAGCAATGTTACTGAAATTTGGGAGGCAGAGGTCAAAGTTCAAGGCTTCAGTAGTGGCTGGAAATTAATTCTGGAGAGGAGGAAACCACGAAGTGTTAGCTCTAAAATCTGCACAAAAATGCCAAACAGGAAGACCCAACTGCCAATCCCAAGTGAGATTCCCTCTGCATGGAATAGCATGGATCACAGCAGTGCCAACCACTAGAAGTAGGAGCCCAAGACATCTTCTATGGGTTCAGAGCTGGGGGGCCTGTGTCAGGTACAACTGCTGCAGGACCACAAACCACCCTAGGAAGAGCATTCCAGAGGGGAAAAAAATAAGGAGTGATTGTGTATACTGGGGTTCCTCAGGTTCCTAACTGGACAACTGCCAGGTCTTCCACCCCTGCCACGCTCGGTATTCCAAAACGTGTTGGAAGGGCATGCTTCCCTTTCGCAGGAATGAAGTACTGAACATCCAAATGGTCCTAGTGAGGCAGACAGCATCTTGCTAATAACGCTTTCTGGTGTCCCTTCTTTAATTCTCTTAGTCTTCCATGCCACTCTTCAAGGGCTCCATTAGTGTGTGGGTGGTATGGAGCATGATAGGTTCAGCCTATGCCATGGGATTGTGCCCATTGTTATGTGTTGTGCTGTAAAGGAAGTGCCCTGGTCTGATTGGAGTCCACTAGGGGACTCAAACATATGGTAAAGATCTTTCTCTGAGATGACTATGGTGGCACCAGCATCCTCATGCTGTAAGGGGTTGGCAGTTTCATATCAACAGTAAGTGTCAACTGCCATGAAGCACCAGCAGAAACCACAGCTGGGTGTTAAAGGTCCAATATGATCAATCTGCCAAACCCAAGCCAGGCCAATGCCTGTGATAATATGTCCCAATTCTCTGTGCATTGTACTGCTTGGGCTCCCTGGCAGGAATTGCAAAACTGTTTGCATAGCATCCTTGGCTTCTGTGTCTTCAAAATTCACGTTCCTGGATTTGATTGCTGCACACGAGGCCACCTTCCGTGACCACTTTGCTGATGCACCTGTGGGTGGCCATTTCAACTTGCGCACAAGCCCCGTTGGCTGGGGAATTCCATTTGTGTTCTCATTTGAAAAGCTGGTTTTGTCATGAGCATCCACATGAGTGACAAAGATTTGTCCATTCTATGCAACAACTTGTTGCGATAGTCCTTGTCCTCACACAGGGGATTCCTTAAAATTCCAATCATGGCCGAGCGCAGTGGCTCATGCTTGTAATCCCAGCACTTTGGGAGGCCAAGGCGGGAGGATCACGAGGTCAGGAGATCGAGACCATCCTGGCTAACACTGTGAAACCCTGTCTCTACAAAAAACACAAAAAATTTAGTCGGGCGTGGTGGTGGGCACCTGTAGTCTCAGCTACTCGGGAGGCTGAGGCAGGAGAATGGCATGAACCTCGGAGGCAGAGCTTGCAGTAAGCCGAGATCACGCCACCGCACTCCAGCCTGGGCGACAGAGTGAGACTCCATCTCAAAAAAAATGTCCAATCATTTAGTTGCCTATCTCCTGATCAATGGCTAGACCTCTTGCCACATCCCAAGAATCCCTAAAGATGTAGTGAAGATATTTGGGCAGGGAGGCTTACACAGCCATCACCATTGCATACAATTTGGCCCACTGGATGAATTCTTCCATTTTTAGTACATTCCACTCATTTTGATTAAGAGGCAGCCATCCACTCTGAGAATAGCTCAGAGTGGAGTCTGCAGCCTTTCAGTTTCACAGAAGTTAGACCACAGCTTCATCTGGATCCTCTAGGTGTTCACGGGGTTGGTTCTTTCTGAGGTTGGTGAGTGAGAATCTGTTCCATGCCTCTCTGGTGGTTTGCTGACCATCTCTGGTGTCCTTGGCTTGTAGAGCTCTGCCTTCATCTTCACATGGCTTTCTTCCTATATATGTGTCTGTGTTCAAATTTTTCCTTTTTATAAGGACCCCAGTCATACCACAGTAGGGGCCCACCCTACTCCAGTATGACTTCATCCCAACTTAACTAATTACATCTGCATCAACCCTGTTTCCAAATAAGGTCAGATTCTGAGGTACTGAGGGTCAGGACTTCAGCCTATGAGTTTTGGAGGCTGTACACAGTTCAACCCCTAATAGGATCTGTCTGAGTGGGTCCATTTGTCTCTCTCTGTCTCAAAGCAACAGTTCCCAATTTATCTTTTCTCAGCAATGGTGTTATTTTGGTCTCTACTGGCTTCTCTCTTGTTTTGCTTCTAAATTTATTTCAAAGCCAGTCAGAGAAGAAGTGTGATTTCTGGGGAGGTGGGTGAGGATTTCCCTTTGGAGATCCTAAAATGGTACATAGAAGTATGTTCCACAGCCACACTTTCAGTCTCATGAATAATAAGCTTCAGAAACCTTAGAGCAATTGAGAGTGATTTGGATAACTCGTGCTCTCTTCTTTAAGGCATAAGATTCTCCTATCAGCCTCTCTTTCATGGTTTTGTCCTATTGCCTCAACTTCTTCCTACTGCTATTGCCTTCTTTCTGTGTGCCTCACATTCAGAAACTTTCTAGAGAGTCATGTACTGAGACAGTTTTTCCATATCCAGTATGGAGTTCCCTTATTCTTCAGAGCTCTAGGGTCAAGCTCCTGTCTAAGGTCATTGGCCTCTCTCATATCCAGGCTACAGATGTGTGCCTTTAAGCCATGGTGCTGATGATGAGACAATGAACTGTGGTCAGAATAATACTAGCACAGAGAAAACCACAAAGCTTAACCTATACAGGGGGTCTTTACTCAAAAGAAGGTGTTGGCATCTCAGATAGGATATTTATGGACTTGTCATTGCAAATTTACTACATAGTAGTACATTCACTTAGCAAATGCCATTATGATGTTGAAAATAAGAAACGTATGTTTTCCTGATACTAGTAAACATTGACTGATTCTATGCTCTGAAGATCTGGTTCTTAAGACAAATGCATGAAAATTGGAAGTTAATTAGGAAGTATATCCTCTATTTCCCAAAGAATAAATAATTAATTGACATGGATATATTATTTCAACAACATTTTGTTCAGTAAAAAGAGATACACTGTCAGTTAAATATTAAAAATTATCTCTATACTTTTGTAGTATTTATAACTTCAACACAGTAACGGAATAGGCAAATACAGACACCAGAGTAAATCTTACCCATTTACGACTCTATTTATGTAAAAATTTTTCTTCATAAACTATCATTTCTTGATTTGTTCTGCTATTAATTAATTGGTAAGTCTTTATTTTTATTTATTTATTTCGAGACAAGGTCTCACTCTCATCACCCAGGCTGGAGGGCAGTGGTGTGATCTCGGTTCACTGCAACCTCCACCCTGCCAGGGTCAAGCAATCCTCCCATCTCAACCTCCCAAGTAGCTGGGACCACAGGTGCACACCACCATGCCCAGCTATTCTTTTGTATTTTTGGTAGAGATGGGCCCTTGCCATGATGCCCAGGCTGGTTTCGAACTCCTGAACTCAAGCAATCCACCCTCCTCGAACTCCCAAAGTGCTGGGGTTACAGGAGTGAGCAACCATGCCCAGCCCCAAGTCTTATTTTTTAAAGGCTCCTTAGAAGGAGGTGTTTTAATAACAATTTCTGTGTTTTGTCTACCAGCTAAAACATTTTGTTGCCAAAAGTATTTTTGTGTGGTTCAAACACTGAACTATATTGTAAATTCTGTCATCAATGTCAGTTACAACCTCCTCCTTTTATGCTGTTTTCTAGTGCAGAAACTAGAAAGCTACAGATTATCTTGCAGCCAGAACTGTCCACGGGACTTCATGCCAACCAATGAGACAACCAGAAGTCTGCTGTTGCTGCCTCTTTTATTCCTCTTTTTTCCTGCCTGAATGGTTTACTGATTATGGATGCAGCGCCCATTGTTAAGGACAGAGGAGCAGGGAGAGCAAGAGCTTGCTCCTTGGTAGCATTATTGAGCCACAGTACAACTAAGGATTGTCTACTCCCAGATTTCCTGTAGTGTGAGACTAACATATGCCTTTCAGTCTAAGCCACTCTGTCTTGTGCCTGAAGCTGAACATAATACTGTTACACCTTTTTATTACTAGCATTTTGGTCAGTGTCTCAAAATCATCTACTTGACAATAGTGTGTGCCAAGTAGCAGGGTAGGATAAATGCTGTAGCATCTAACTGCAAAAATCAATGACTTAACAAAATTAAGATTGATGATTCATTCACGTCATAGTCTTTTCAGGTGTTTGTCTGGTGCCCTTCTAAGCAGTGTTTCAGAACTTGGGCTCCTGCCTGACTCGTGGCTCCTCTGAGTGTCCTCTAAAAGCTCTGTACCATATTGTAACTGAGTATTTCAGCTTTGAAGTGCATTCTAAAATGTTTTTTGTCCTTTCTCCCTAGTCTCAGGGTGTAACCTTGAAGCAAATTGTAAAAAAACTTTTTCCCTCTTAGTCTTAAAATATGGCCTTGAAATGTACTTTAGAACACTGTCTCTCCCTCCTTTTCCCACCACACCATGCACACTTATCTAACTATATGCTTGTTAAGAAATTCCAGGGGCTAATTTTAAAACAAACTGGGGGCTGGGCACGGTGGCTCACGCCTGTAATCCCAGCACCTTGGGAGGCCGAGGAGGGTGGATCACGAGGTCAGGAGATCGACACCATCCTGGCTAACGCGGTGAAACCCATCTCTACTAAACAAAATACAAAAAATTAACCAGGTGTGGTGGCAGGAGCCTGTAGTCCCAGCTACTCGGGAGGCTGAGGCAGGAGAATGGCGTGAACTCAGGAGGCGGAGCTTACAGTGAGCCGAGATCGTGCGACTGCACTCCAGCCTGGGCGACAGAGCGAGACTCTGTCAAAAAAAAAAACAAAAAACAAAAACAAAAAAAAACTGGGTATGGGGGTATGGAGAAATTCCCTTCTCCCCACTTCAAGATGGATAATCTACAGCTCGGCTGCAACTGAGATGGTGCCAGCTGACACACCAGGTTGACAATAACTGAAGATAGCCATAGGAGCAAGACGTGTGGACCTGCACCCTGCATCACTCTTGCATATTTCCCACACCAAACTTCCCCTTTTGTTGTTGTTGGTTTGTTTTGGGGTCTTGTTTTTGTTTTTTGAGACAGCGTCTCGCTCTGTTGCCCAGGCTGGAGTGCAGTGGCGTGATCTCAGCTCACTGCAACCCCCGCCTCCTGGGGCTCAAGCAATTCTCCTGCCTCAGCCTCCCAAATAGCTGGGGCTGTAGATGCACACCACCACACCCAGCTAATTTTTGTATTTTTAGTAGAGACGGGGTTTTACCATGTTGGCCAGGCTGGTCTCAAACTCCTGACCTCAAGTGATCCACCCACCTAGGCCTCCCAAAGTGTTGGGATTACAGGCGTGAGCCACTGCACCTGGCCTGGACTCAACTTTTTTAAAGCTGCCCTCAGCCCAGAATCTGAGATGGTTCATTTGAGAGTTAAGCCTGGGCCATTCTCCCATCTGCTAGCATTGGAATAAGCTGCTTTCCTTGGACCACACCTCGCTTCTCATGCTTTGACTTCCCAGTGGCGAGCAGCCTAACTTAAGTTGGTTACAATATTAGGAACAGGTGAGGGAGAAACTATGGCGATTCTTCAGGGATGATTTAGGGGCCAGAACCAGAAACTGTGTATATCACATTCTCCTGTATTCCGTTAGCCAGAACCCAATCCCACGACACACCTAACTAACTACAAGGGAGATTGGAAAAACATAGTTTAGCTGCAAATCCAGGAGGGCAATGAAGTGGGTCTCATGACCACAAAGCATCTAGATTACAGATTCATAAAATTCTAGGTCAGGAGTTGGCAAACTATATGGGCTATGGCCCATCAACTGGTTTTTATAAATAAAGTTTTATTGGAACACGGCCACACTTACTTATTAATGTCTATGGCTGTTTTCAAACTACAACAGCACAGTTAAGTATCTGTACCAGAGACAATATTGCCCACAAAGCCTGAAATAGTCGCTATCTGGTCCTTGATAGAACAAGTTTGCTAACTCCTATTATAGAGTAATAAGTAACTTTAAGAAATTTTTTTTTACTCCTTTTGTTTCTGGCAACACTACTACGGAAAAAAAAATTGTTTGCTAAAATTATGTCTCCATAGAAATAAAGTATTTTGTCCTTGAAAATATTCAAGCCTTTTTCAAATATTCATGTAAACATTTTTATACATTCCACCCTTTCAGTGTTGACAACAATATATAATTATTTTTAACAGAAAACAGAACAAAATATTAAATAATGATTTCATCAGATATGTATCGTACAAACATTTCTCTTTTCTGCAAACTCCACTTTTCTTTCTTTTTTTTCCAATTGTGTGATTTACTATCAATGTTAAATCTCCAGATTATTTAGCACTTCTATATATGTTTTCTATATAATATTCACCATTCTACTACTACCTCCTTTTTCTCTTTTATTTCTTAGTTTTATACATCCTTTATTAGAGGTATAACTTCTAACTACTTTATTTCCCAAGCATTTAGCCAACTATTTTCCAAACTATTTTGCAATTTTAATCTCTTGGGCAAGTGATTTTTCTGACTTCTCCAACTTTTCTTTTGCTCTTGACCAAGTGTAATGTATTGAACTGAATTGTATTTTTCTATTTTTTTCTCTTACCTCAAACATGGTTACAAAATGGTTAGTTGTATCATTCTCTCTGGGAGGTCTGCTACTCAGCTTTCTTGGCAGACTGTTAGCAAAGAAGTGGGAGATGAGGAAATGATGGAAATGAAAACAAGATTAACTATGATAAACTTGACTCTTAAAGGAAGAAGGGTAATAGCATCATCATTGCAAGATGTAGGAAAAATCTCATAAAATGTTGTTGTTTATGTTGTTGTTATCATTGTCGTCCTTGTTCTGGTCCCCTGGGAGCTTGCATGGCTAGATGGTGACTTCGTGATCTCCTTCACTCACTTACATAAACAACATACTTCACCACCACTGATCAAAACACGTTTTCTTATGATAATGGCCAAGCGATCCCGACAAAGCTATATATATATATATATACATACACATATAAAATGGTAATTGCAAAAGAACATGCTCATTACTTCTTGCTCATGCTTCTATAAGAAGCTGTCATATTACTACATCAATAATCTATTCTGTCTTATATACATAAATATTAAATGATATTAGCAAAAGAACACTCTCATTACAGAATGTGATAGCCTCTTATAGAAATGTTATGAACAAACGATGGAAAAGAAGCCACAGAATTTTATTTATTTTTTATTTTTTACTTTTTATTTTGCAGTTATTTATTTATTTATTTATTTATTTATTTATTTTTGAGATGGAGTCTCGCTCTGTTGCCCATGCTGGAGTGCAATGGCACGATCTTGGCTCACTGCAACCTCTGCCTCCCAGGTTCAAGTGATTCTCCTGCCTCAGCCTCCTGAACAGCTGCGATTACCGGCGCGCACCACCATGCCCAGGTAATTTTTTTGTATTTTTAGTGGAGACGGGGTTTCTCCATGTTGGTCAGGCTGGTCTTGAATTCCCGACCTTTTGATCTGCCCACCTCAGCCTCCCAAAATACTGGGATTACAGGTGTGAGCCACCAGACCCGGTCAAGAAGCCACAGAATTTTTAAAGATTTCTGTGGAAAACAAAGATTACAAAACCACTTAAATAAGGACCTAATGACAACATCTAGCAAATTCAGAATGTCTTATTCTAGCAACTGAAGTGAAAGGTGGGAAAAGGGATTGGATAAAGGAAAAAGCATGCAACAAAGTACCAGAAAAAAACACAAAAGATTTTGAAGTGGGGAAAAAACGTAAAAGATGGCTGCGTGTCTTGTTTACTGCACCCTTCTGGATTATCTTTGCCTTTCATCATCTTGGAGTTTTTATCTTTTCAATATCCTTATCTGTGAAATAAAAGTGCTTACCACATTGGGTTTTAGTGATAACTGAATGAGGTATCTTTGTACATACTTAGCACTCCATAATAAGCATCCAGTAAATACTAACATAACAATACTACTAAAAGACCACTACACTCCAGCCTCAGTGAGAGATCTGTGAGATCTGATGTTCCGTCTTGTAAGGAATCTTCTTACAGACAGTAAAGAATTTAAAACGGGATTGGAAATTAGTTCATCAACCCTCTTTCTTAGAATGTCTGTCTCCTTCATCATAATTTCAACTCAAGAGTTGAACTGAGCGTCTCCATGTGCAAAGGGCATTAAAGGGAACATTAGACTGACACCAAAATCCTATTCTCAGGTTACTTCCGGCTTTGCCTTAAGGGGAAAGAGAATGTCCCAATCAAATGGAAAGTATACATGCAAATTGAGGGAAAATTATAGTTTCTTGTGTTAAAAGATAATTTTAAAAGGAGTTTATAATTATGACCCTTAAATAGATATAAAATAATAGCATATCAAAAAATTTATTTCAATCACTGATTTATAAGGGAACTAGTAAGAGATTACAACCAGTTCAAGAGAGAACTCCAGAGAATATACATACACAGGCAGATGAGGAAAACTGAAATGACTGTACAAAAGGACATGAGAAGGATCTATCCATTGGATAATAATCATTTGCATTCCACTGATACAACTCATTTTCATTTCTTTGTAATCATTTGCCTTTTTTTAAAATCAGTTTTCTTCCATTTACAGAGATATTAAGGCAGAGAGCAGTTAAATAACTTGCCAAAAATTCTCAACAGGTGAGTACCAAGAGCTGAGATGAGAAATCAGTTTAGAAATCAATCTAGCTTCCCCCAGGAACAAGTCTCACAGCTCCCTTGTATCAACCTCTTTTTTTCTTTCTCTCTTTTTTTTTTTTTTTTTTTTGTAGGGACAAGGTCTTGCTATGTTGCCCGGCCTGGTCTCAAACTCCTGGGCTTAAGCAACCCTCCCCAGTCCTGCCACCATAGCCTCCCAAAGCCCTGGGATTACAGGTGTAAGCTGCAAGAACTTCTTGAAAGGCAATTCAACATAGTGTTTAAAAGCATGCAGGAGTCCTGGGTTCAAATCTCCATTCCAGCTCTATCCAGGTATGTAAAACATGAATAATAATAGAACCTGCATACAGCATTTCGTGAAGATTAAATAGATTAATATATAAATTCTTAGAACAGTGCCTGACACATAGTTAGTTCCCAATAGGTTGTGATTATCATACTAAGAGCAAAAAATAAAATGAAACAATCTGGGTGCACCTGGAGTTTCCATCGGTTGCAAACTTTGTAAACAATCAGATAGTAATTTAAGCTTTGTGGGCTAAAATGGTCTAATGTTGCACATTCTTTCACCTTTTTTTTACAACCCTATAAAAATATAAAAACCGCTCTTAGCTCATGGGCCATATGCAAACAGGCCACAGGCTAGGACATCACCTATATTATGATATTTACCAGAAAGAAGCTAGTTATTGTAATAACCAAACTGGTTAAAATCTGTTCGTAACACATATGATCTTTCTACATACTCAGTACCCAAAATTGTCATTGTCAGGCCTCTGAGCCCAAGCTAAGCCATCATATCCCCTGTGACCTGCACATATACATCCAGATGGCCTGAAGCAACTGAAGATCCACAAAAGAAGTGAAAATTGCCAGTTCCTGCCTTAACTGATGACATTCCAGCATTGTGATTTGTTCCTGCCCCACTCTAACTGATCAATTAACTTTGTGACAATACACCCTCCCCACCCTTGAGAAGGCACTTTGTAATATCCTACCCCAACCCACTGCCCTTAAGAAGGTACTTTGTAATATTCTCCCCACCCTTGAGAATGTACTTTGTAAGATCCACCCGCTGCCCACAAAAAAATTGCTCCTAACTCCACTGCCTATCCCAAACCTATAAGAACTAATGATAATCCCACCACCCTTTGCTGACACTCTTTTTGGACTCCGGCTGCCTGCACCCAGGTGATTAAAAAGCTTTATTGCTCACACAAAGCCTGTTTGGTCGTCTCTTCACACGGACACACATGACATTTGGTGCCGAAGAGCTGGGACAGGAGGACTCCTTCAGGAGACCAGTTCCCTTGTCCTCGCCCTCACTCCATGAGGAGATCCACCTATGACCTCGGGTCCTCAGACCAACCAGCCCAAGGAACATCTCACCAATTTCAAATCAGGTAAACAGTCTTTTCAGTCTCTTCGCCAACCTCTCTTGCTATCCCTCCACCCTTCAATCTCTCTCTTCCTTAATTTCAGTTCCTTTCCCTTTCTGGTAGAGACAGAGAAGATGTGTTTTATCCATGAACTCAAAACTCCAGTGCCGGTCACGAACTCAGGAAGACAGTCTTCCCTTAGTGTTTAATCACTGCGGGGATGCCTGCCTGATTATTCACCCACATTCAGAGGCATCTGATCACCATGGGGATGCCTGCCTTGATCCTTCACCTTGGTAGCAAGCACCACCTCCTCTGGGTGGCAAGTACCACCCCCACCCTCTGTGTCTCTACCCTCTCTTTTCTCTGGGCTTGCTTCTTTCACTATGGGCAACCTTCCACCCTCCATTCCTCCTTCTTCTCCCTTAGCCTGTGTCCTCAAGAATTTAAAACCTCTTCAATTCTTGCCTGACCTAAACCCTAAGGGTCTTATTTTCTTCTGCAGCACTGCTTGGCCCCAATACAAACTTGATAATGGCTCTAAATGGCCAGAAAATGGCACTCTCGATTTCTCCATCCTACAAGACCTACATAATTTTAGTCGAAAAATGGGCAAATGGTCTGAGGTGCCTGATGTCCAGGCATTCATTTACACATCAGTCCCTCCTTAGTCTCTGCTCCCAATGCAACTCATCCCAAATCTTTCTTCTTTCTCTCCTGTCTGTTCCTTTAGTCTCCACCCCAAGCTCTGAGTCCTCTGAATCCTCCTTTTCTATGGACTCATTTGACCTCTCCCCTCCTCCCCAGGCTCCTCCTCACCAGGCCGAGCCAGGTCCCAATTCTTCCTCAGCCTCCACTCCCCCACCCTATAATCCTTCTATCACCTCCCCTCCTCATACCAGGTCTGGCTTACAGTTTTGTTCCACGACTAGCCCTCCCCCATCTGCCCAACAATTTCCTCTTAAAGAGGTGGCTGGAGCTAAAGGCATAGTCAAGGTTAATTTTTAAATGAACAGTGTTGTTTTTACCTAAATCAATCTGGCCTGGTATATGACAACATAAAAAAAAAAAACTCAAGGATAGAGCCCAAGAGCTCACCAAACAAGCAAAGAATTATGCTGAACCCCCTTGGACACTCTTTAATTGGATATCCTGGGTCCTCCCAATTCTTAGTCCTTTAATACCTGTTTTTCTCCTTCTTTTATTTGGACCTTGTATCTTCCGTTTAGTTCCTCAATTCATGCAAAACTGCATCCAGGCCATCACCAATCATTCTATACCACAAAAGCTCCTTCTAACAACCCCACAATATCATACCTTACCCCAAAATCTTTCTTCAGTTTAATCTCTCCCACTGTAGGTTCCCATGCCGCCCCAATCCTACTCGAAGCAGCCCTGAGAAACATCGCCCATTATCCCTCCATACCACCCCCAAAAATTTTCACCGCCCCAACACTTCACCACTATTTTGTTTTATTTTTCTTATTAATATAAGAAAACAGGAATGTCAGGCCTCTGAGCCCAAGCTAAGCCATCATATCCCCTGTGACCTGCACATATACATCCAGATGGCCTGAAGCAACTGAAGATCCACAAAAGAAGTGAAAATAGCCAGTTCCTGACTTAACTGATGACATTCCACCATTGTGATTTGTTCCTGCCCCACCCTAACTGATCAATTAACTTTGTGACAATACACCCTCCCCACCCTTGAGAAGGTACTTTGTAATATCCTCCCCCCACCCACTGCCCTTAAGAAGGTACTTTGTAATATTCTCCCCTGCCCTTAAGAAGGTACTTTGTAATATTCCCCCCACCCTTGAGAATGTACTTTGTAAGAACCACCCCTTGCCCGCAAAAAATTGCTCCTAACTCCACCGCCTATCTCAAACCTATAAGAACTAATGATAATCCCACCACCCTTTGCTGACTCTCTTTTTGGACTCCACCTGCCTGCACCCAGGTGATTAAAAAGCTTTATTGCTCACACAAAGCCTGTTTGGTGGTCTCTTCACATGGACGCATGTGACAGTCATCTCACTGGCAATTATATTGAATCAAACTATATAAAATTGCTATTTCTGTAGGTCAAGGGTTAATTTTTGGAAATTTTGTGTGGCTCAACCTGCCAGCAAAGGCATGTGAGCCGAGACCTGGATCACTCCTTGTCTTACTTTCCCTTTCTGTTTGCATCTGTAAGTTTTTTTGACGGGAAAATAAAGCCCATCAAACCTAATGTTTTGCATAATGGAAAACAAAATATATGAAAAGAGTTTGGGGGGAGGGGAAGATTGTTTTGCTGTTTTGTTTTGTGACTTTTCAGCCCATTATCTTCACTTCCTCTTCCTTGTTCTCTAGCTTCTTCCCTGGTTACCTCTTTTCCTGCCTTCGTATTTACCAGCTCTTTACTTTATTTCAATCATCTTCTTTCTAGCTTGTTTGTGTTTGTTTTTTCCTACCCTTAGGGGATTATACAGACTTTCAGACTACATGGTGGTAAGAATAATGGATTGTTCTGTGTTAAAAAAAATTCAGAATGGGAGAAAGTAGGGCTGTGTTCTGGAAGCAATGAGAGCCTGGGGCCTTGGAGGACTTTCTATGCCCAAGCCTCACAAAGAGAACATCTGGTGCGACACGCAGCTGGGAAAAGATCTAGTTTTTAAAAACAGACAAAGCCCTATTATATAAAGGGAAAAACATATCTTTTTTGTTGTTATTTCAAAGTTACAAGTGCTCCCTCTTCTGTCAACCTTTAGAATTTGTGCTCTCTTGGGCCACTCTGCATATCAAAGAAAAAAGTGGATAAATAAAAATAATGAAGCAGAATAAAGTTCTTCACTCATGGAAACTTGAATGTTGTAAGCAATGGAAGAATTCAGGGACACTACACGAGGAGTGATCCCTCTGTATTAAATGCAATGTCCCTGCCGGGGGTGGTGGCTCACGCTTGCAATCCCAGCACTTTGAGAGGCTGAGGTGGGCAGATCACATGAGGTCAGGAGTTCAAGACCAGCCTGGCCAACATGACAAAACCCCCTCTCTACTAAAAATACAAAAATTAGCCCGGCGTGGTGGCGCACACCTGTAATCCTAGCTACTGGAGAGGTTAAGGCAGGAGAATTGCTTGAACCCAGGAGGCAAAGGTTGCAGTGAGCCAAGATCATGCCACTGCCATGCAGCCTGGGTGACAGAGTGAGACTCTGTCTCAAAAATAAATAAATTAATTAATGATTAATAAATGCAATGTCCCATGGTGCTGTGGCCTGTGCTATTTGGATGGTCAGCTACTTCATTGCAACATGCACCAGTTTCCTGGAGGTTAGTTGCTAATTCTAAAAGGCTTCAGATAATTCACTGTGTATTGAGTCATGGCTTGATGACGACCTTGTTTACAAAGCTCATTCAAACAGCCCAGTTCCTGCCCGTTTGCTCTTTGACCCTGACCGAAATCCACCAGAAGGCGAGTGACTTACAATGGGATTATTCACATTTCTGCTTTTTGTTGCATTATTCACTTGAAACTAAAAAAAAAAAATCAAGGAGCAATTACTTCCAAGACTTTTCCAAACACATCACTGGGCGGGGGAGGGGTCTTCATCTGGGGGCAAGGCACTGCAAACTTCCAACATTAGGATATAATCTGTGAATGAGATAACCTATCAGTGGTGGCCTAGGCTCCAGCCTTCTGGTCAATCTCAGCAACTTGGAAGCAAAAAAGCAGAAACTGTTACATTGGTTGATACTTCTTTTACAAAAGGGATGCTCTGTTCTCTTTTGCAGCCAAAATCCACAGTGATCCACATAATACTCAGGAATCACCCAGAAGGGATTTCTATCTGAAAGGAGAAAGAAGCTCTGGGGCATGAATATACGTTGTCTTGTAAAAAAATAAATCAGTAATTCATGTGTGTATATTTTATACTCAATGGGAAAAAATGTTTTATTTAAAAAAACACTCAATATTTTACATGACATTGTGAAAAGGCAGCACGGAATTACTCATTTGCTTCCTTTTTTAAAGTTTTAGATGAAAAATAAACATTTAATCCCATCACTTGTTCTTAAATGTAATATTATTTTGTTGTCCTTTACACCCCAGTTGTCACAGGTCAGAAACCCTGAGAGAAGCCAAGATTGCTAAAATGAAACTTTACTTCTAGAAACAACCCCAGAATTAAATGTTTCTCCACTTGGCATGGAATTTGAAGATTGACTTTGAATGCCACCTTGGAATCTAGCATTAGCCAGTTACTGCAATAAAGAACAAAGGAAGGCTCAGAGGAAGTTGTAGGAAACCTCAGTGTGTCTGAGATGACCTGCAGCAGAGGCCATGCAACAAGGTCCCACCCCTGGGGACCTGGAGATGTCACCTGATAATTACGGTTTTGGTGAATAGTGATAAAGATGCCAAAAACAGTTTTACCAGCAAGCATGACTACCTAGCAATAGGATTAGACCTGTGGTAACTTTGTAACTTTGGTCTGATGTCATAGTTTTGTGTGTGTGTGTTTTTTTGTTTGTTTGTTTGTTTTTGGTGTGACCGGAGTTAGTAAAAGCTGAGAGAAGTAGAAAGATGAAATAAAACAAACAGTCCAAGGTTACCCTGCAAAAATTAACTCCAAGCCTGAGAATCAGTATGCAGAAAAAATAGCAACGTGTATAGTGTCAATTTCTTTTTGTCAGCTCCAGTTTATGAGAAGAAAATGATGGTAAAGAGTATAGCTAAAATTTTGGTCTTCTTTCAAGGTTTGCCATGTAGATAAATGTGTCTAGGAGTTTGTAAACCACAAAACAACAGGGAAACTCAATCCTCAAAACCTTCCATTTACAAATGAAAGCCTTCTCTTTACAGGGCTTACAGAAATAACCATACAAAATTAGCCACTTACTGTTATTTATAACCACATGGAATATGGCAAAATAATTTTGGCTTGATTCTTATTCCTGTTTATACTGATAATCCCAACTGCCATATATTCAAATTCCAGATAGATGAGGCACTAGAGGTCTTATGGAGTCTCTTTCTCTCTTTTCCTTTTTCCTTACCCAGTACTTTTTTTTTTTTACCCTTTCTCCTTGTAGTTCTGTGTGAAATATAAAACAATTTTTGAAAATGATGAAACACCCTGCATAATTAGATTTCATCATTTGTTCTCTTGCTTCTTTTGCCCCTCATTGTATAACAATTGCAGATCCTTTCTTTTCCTGAAATCATTATGTTTTCCCCCACTCCCTTACGTTACGCAATAAACTTGGAGTGATATTAACGTCTTGTTTTGAAATGAGGGAGAAAGAATAGAAAAAAAATGTCAAGGGCTTTTGGCTTTCTTAATGCCTTGTAGAGCATTTAGTGTTGTTCAATGCCTCATTTGATTCTCAAAAATATTAATCAAGGGTAACAAATGAGATGCCTTACTCAGAATGTGAGGACTAGCTCAAGAAACTGCCCAGCAACTGAAGTGAGTGCATTGGCTATGCACCTTGTTACCAGAATCTTTCTGCTGAGCTTGGAATTTAGTGTTTTGCACATTTCTTCTAACCTGGACATCTTACGTGGATGTGACTTTTAGTTTAGATTTAGGGAGGACATGTGTAGGTTTCTTATGTTGGCATATTGTGTAATGCTGAAGTTTGGGGTATGATTGATCCCGTCATGCGGGTGGTGAGCATAGTACCCAACAGCTAGGTTTTCAGCCCTTTCCCCTTCCTCCCTCCCCACTTTTAGAGTCTCCAGTATCTATCATTTCCATCTTCGCATCCATGTGTACATCCAGTGTTTAGCTCCCACTTATAAGTGAGAACATGTGGCATTTTGTTTTCTGTTCCTGCATTAGTTTGCTTAGGATAGCGGCCTCTGGATGCATCCATGGTGCTGCAAAGGACATGATTTCATTCTTTTTATGGCTGCATAGCATTCCATGGTGTACATGTACCACATTTTCTTTAGCCAGTCCACCGTGGATGGGCACCTAGGTTGATTCCATGTCTTTGCAGTTGTGAATAGTGCTGTGATGAATGTACAAATGCATGAGTCTTTTTGCCAGAAGTATTTATTTTCCTCTGGGTATGTACCCAGTAATGGGATCACTGGGTTGAATGGTATTAATAGTTCTGTTTTTAAGTTCTTTAGATGCTGATTTCTTGCAGCTGTTAATATATTTTTAGACTTTTGAAAGCGATAGCCAAAAAATACTTCCTCTTATCTCTTAATGATCCACATTGCAGCTTAGAGTCCAGTGGTCCACACGTTAATGTTACATAAGCTGATGGCTCTGGCCCATTTTGAGCTGTTGAGATGTCAGATAGGAGTAATATAACTATCTCTGCCAGAGGTCACTCTAGGATTCCTGGCAGATTGAGCGATCAACTGTGCGGGGTGGTCCAAGACTGAAGAGGTTCCCAGAACAAAGGACTTTAACTTTTAAAACTGAAAAAGTTCCAAGCAAACCAGATGAGTCTGCCCTGACTCAACCCACAGTGGGTGTCCGAGTCTGTGCCGTATGATGGTGCCCTGGGTCTGCCACAGCCTTCCCCTTTCCAGTTTCTCATCCCTTGTTACCCTTATTCCCACCTTTGAATACGAGCCCCTCTAGTCATTTATCATTTCCTTTCACAAACTTTCAAATCCTCAACCCCAAACACAGAGCTGAACTAGGATGTTGGCTAATCAAGGTGAAGGTCTGAGATGGATGGGGATGTCTCTACTTAACCACCTTGCTGCTGCAGACCTCACTCAGTTAACTGTGAACACATCTCTTACCAGCATTGACCGGGCCTCATTGCTGTCTGAGAGGCAAGTTTCCAAAATCTGATTCACTTTTGAAACCTATGTGAGTTTCCTGTAGGGCCCTCCCCACTGCCCAATTTCCTAACATAAGAGATAGAACTTCCAGCCCAGTTTCTGCCATTAGCAATCCGTGCATCCCACGGCCTCTTGCTACTGGCAACCCCTCATCCTAAGGACAGCTCTTGTGGGAGTCAAGATGGTGCAAGCCCAGTTGACTTCCTTGGTGGCCCACCACATGACCTGTGGAAACACTGCAGACCCTTGGCACAAAATGGATGGGAGTACAGCTGCTCTTCCCTCATGCCTCTCCCCACCCTACCAGTTTGTTCTAATCCTCTTCTTCCTTAGGAACAGATCAGCAAATGCAGTGTCTAAGCAGAAATCCAGTTAAGGAAAGGAAGGCAAGTGCTCCCTTCTGGGCATCACCCTCCCTATCATCTTTATTACAGATTCTCTTGGAAACTCTCTCCCTCTCCCATTCTTGGATGTAGTGAGGGGAGGGAAAAGGGGAAACCTCTCACTACAAACTCTGCATTTCCCATGTGGCCAGTGACAGGATCCTTCCCCATCTCCTCAAGAGTGGGGGGCTAAAATAAAATTAAATACCTAGGAATTAACTTAACCAAAGAAGTGAAGGATCTCTATAATGAAAACTATAAAACACTGATGAAAGAAACTGAAGAGGAAACAAAAAAATGGAAAAAGATTCCATTTTCATGGATTGGAAGAATCAGTGTTGTTAAAGAACACTGTTGTTACTCAAAGAAATCTACAGATTCAATGCAATCCCCATCAAAATACCAATAACATTCTTCACAGAAATAAAAAACATCCTAAAATTTATATGAAACCAAAAATGGCCCAGAATAACGAAAGCTATTCTAAGCCAACAGAAAAAAAAAACTGGAGGAATCACATTACCTGACTTCAAATTATACTACAGAGCTATAGTAACCCAAATGGCATGGTACTGACATAAAAACAGACTCATAGACCAATGGAACAGAATAGAGGACCCAGAAACAAATCTACACACATACAGTGAACTCATTTCCACCAAAGGTGCCAAGAACATACACTGGAGAAGAGACGGTCTCTTCAATAAATGGTGCTGGGAAAATGGGAATCCATATGCAGAAGAATGAAGCTAGACCCCCATCTCTCACCATATAAAAAATCAAATGAAAATAGTTTAAAGATTTAAATGTAAAGCATCAAACTATGAAACTACAAGAAAACATTGGGGAAAATCTCTAGGACATTGGTCTGGGCAAATATTTCTTAAGCAATGCCCCACAAGCATAGGCAACCAAAGCAAACATGGACTAATGGGATCACATCAAGTTAAAAAGTTTCTTCACAGCAAAGCAAACAATCAACAAAGTGAAGAGACAATGCACATAATGGGAAAAAAACATTTGCAAACTACCCCTCTGACAAGAGATGAAAAACAAGAATATATAAGGAGCTTATACAACTCTATAGGAAAATAATCTAATAATCCTATCAAAAAATGGGCCAAAAAATTGGATAGACATTTCTAAAAAGAAGACATACAAGTAGCAAACAGATATATGAAAAGATGCTCAACATCACTGATCATCAGAGAAGTGCTAATCAAAACTGCAATGAGATATCATCTCGTCCCAGTTAAAATGGTTTATATCCAAAAGACTACAATAACAAATGCTGGAAAGAATGTGGAGAAAGGAGAACCCTTTTACACTGTTGGTGGGAATGTAAATTAGTACAACTACTATGGAGAACAGTTTGAATGTTCCTCAAAAACCTAAAACTTGAGCTATCATATGACCCAGTAATCCTACTGCTGGGTATATACCTAAAAGAAAGGAAATCAGTATATCAAAGAGATATCTGCACTCCTGTATTTGTTGCAGCACTGTTTATGATAACTAAGATTTGGAAGCAACCTAAGTGCCTATCAACAGAAGAATAGATGAAGAAAATGTAGTACATATATACAATGGAGTAAGATGAATGGATAAGGAAAATGTGGTACATATACACAGTGGAGTACTATCCAGCCATAAAAAAGAATAAGATCCAGTCGTTTGCAATGATATGGATGGAACTAGAGATGATTATGTTAAGTGAAATAAGCCAGGCACAGAAAGACAAACATCACTTGTTCTCACCTATTTGTGGGATCTAAAAATGAAAACAATTGAACTCATGGACAAAGAGTGTAGAAGGGTGGTTGGTTACCAGAGGCTAGCAAGGGTAGTGGGGGACTTGCAGGGGTGGTGGGAATGGTGAATGGGTACAAAAAAAATAGAAAGAATAAGATCATAAGACCTACTATTTGATAGCACAACAGGTTGACTACAGTCAACAATAACTTAAGTGTACATTTTAAAATAGCTTAAAGAGTGTAATTGGATTCTTTGTAACATGAAGGATAAATGCTTGAGGGCACAGATACCTCATTCTCCATGATGTGCTTATTTCACATTGCATGCCTGTATCAAAATGTCTCACGTACCCCAAAAATATATACACCTACTATCTACCCACAAAAATTAAAACTTTAAAAATTGTTTAAAAGAGTGGGAGACTTACAGCGTGGGTCTGGTTCTCCTATATCTTTGGACTCCCTGGGGCAGGAGTTTAGGATCTTTAGGGGTCTACTTCTAACCTGTTTGTTTGTGCCAAGTTCTTCTTTACCAAAAAAAAAAAAAAAAATTATTGGTGAGAAATCTAAAGTACATAGCATACTCTTTCAAACAAGGACCATTTTGTTAAACATTTAGTGAATGTCCACTGAATGTCTGATGCTGGAGTTACAGAGAACCTGATGGTTAACTGAGAGAGACACTGAGTCACAGAGTAGCTCAGATCATCTCCCCAGTGTGTGAAATGCACTGAGCCCAGAGAGTGGGGCTGACTCCCCTGAGAGAGATCATAGATTCCCCCCTCAGCGTGAACCACAGAAAACAACCTGGTGTTGGCAGCAGAATGGGAAGTGGATGAAGATACATGAGAACAGCCAGTCATAGCTGACATGTTAGCACCAAAAAATGCTAATCTCCATGTTGAAACATGACATTATAGACTGGACATGCAACTGAAGATCATAAAACTTGATTTACTCAGCACCTTTGTGACCATCACAATCAGGTGTTCCTTGGCCTCGGTGCCAGCTCCCATACCTGCAAACCTGCGTGTCCCAAACCCAATATTTGACTTCACATGCATTCTGCTTATTTGTCTCTGATGACGACTAACTTCATTTTTCACATCCCCCACTTTGGCCTTGAAGACCCCTCTTTGGGTGCTGTCTCCCCATTTATCTGCACTGTGTAATAAGCTTTTGTCATTGTTTCGCTCTGAGTGTGGAGCTTCAGTCTCAATTTCCCCCTCACACACGTTCTAGCCAAATGAAGCAGCCTCACCAAGGGTCCTCAAAGCATGGTGAAGCTCTCCTATGCTCTGTTCCTGTTAGTAACATGATGCCCACATTAGCATAGACGAGCACAGAGCTGTGAAGAAGATGTTGGAACATCTCTTGCCTCTTGTTTTCCCAGCTTGACCTCTTAACCTATTCATGACAATGATGTTCATCTCCAGCCACCACAGTTCCCTGCACACAACATGCACCTGGCTGGCTCTTCCCATATATCTTCATCCACTTCCCATTCTCCTGCCAACACCAGGTTGTTCTCCGTGGTTCACACTGAGGGAGGAATCTGTAATCTCTCTGGCAGGAGTCAGCCCCATTCTCTGGGCTCTCACTGCGCTTCACACACTGGGGAGATTATCCGAACTACTCTGACTTGATGTCTCTCTCAGTTAACCATCAGATTCTCTGTAACTCCAGCATCTGATGCTCAGTTGGTATTCACTAAATGTTTTAAAAAAATGGTCCTCATTTTGAAGAGTATGCTATTTACTTCAGATTTCTCACCAATAGAGTCTTTTTTTTTTTTTTTTAGGGAAAGAAGAAATAAAAAACAAACATCATTAATTAAGCAACTGCTTATATACCAGGAATCAGCCTCTTCTATTCTTTGATGCCTTAGTGAAATGGTTGAGTAATTTCACGTTTTTTTAAATAAAGAAACTGAGACTTAAAAAAGCAAGGTAGATACCTCATAAGTGTCTGAGCCTGATGTGCATAGTAGGCTATCTGGCTCCAAAGTCTTGGATCTTTCCACTATGCCTTTAAAAATATATAAAGGGAAAAAAGGAAGGAGGGAAAGAAGGAAGGAAGGAAGGAAGGAAAAAAGAACAGGAGGGAGAGAGCGGGGAGAGGAAGGAAGTAGGGAGGGGAGGAGAGGAAGGAAGGAAGGAAGGAAAAGGAGGGGAGGGAGAGAGGGGTGAGAGGAAGGAAGGAGGGAGGGAGGGAAGAGGGAGGGAGGGAGCAAAGAAGGAAGGTAGGAGGAAAGGAAGGAGGGAGGAAGGAAGGTGGGAGGGAGGAAGGAAGGAAAGAGGAAGGAAGGAAGGAAAAGAAACAGCAAAGCCATACTTGTATATTAAAGCTGTTTTGCTCTGGTTTGGTTATGATAGGAATACTAAAAAGAATGTGGATTGGAAAATACAGCCACCTGATGGTTTCATTGGAGCTCTGCAGGAAATGCTGGTTAAATCACCTTCAGGGTTGTGGAGACATCTTCCCCACTTGCTCGCATTCATGGCCCCATGAGACTGGTACCAGTGACTTCTCTAGACCCCTGGACACACTTCTGAATGTGAAGCCAATGCTTAACTTAGCCCATTCTCACCATTCACTTCCTCATCTGCAACTACCATTGAATTACGTTAGGTTCCCCCAGAATACCGTTTATGAGCCAGTGTTGCTTTCACATTCTCCAGCTTCAGTCCAGCTTTAATTTCTGCCATCTTTGCAAAGGCAGCTACTGACTATTCGATGGATCCACATACTTTATCAGTGTGTTGCAGGGGCTGGCATGTGGTTCTATCATCGTCCACAGTCACTCACAGACAAATCTCATCTAGAGGAGAACAGCTGATGGCTTCTTGAAATGATTCTTACTGTGCAGTTGTTTGGATGGTAAATACAGATGTGGTTTCCGATCACCAATATTTGCTTACAAAATGCTAAATATCATCCCTTGCAAAGTACACAATAAAATAAAAGACCCAAGAGCATTTTATAAGCTATAGAATCTGGTAAACATATAAGGAATTAGATGAAGAGGGCAGATCTTGATCTCAGACCACTTGGTCCAGTCATTTACTCCTTAGGCAATTTGGGACAGGTTCCCAAGGCTCTCCGGCCTCCATTTCCTCATGTGTGATATACAGCTGATAAGAGTTCCAGACCTTATCATCCAATCATAATGATTAAATAAGGTAAAACCCAGAAAGCCTATTATTAGCATGTATTTGGCTCCTGGTCAGCACTCAATAAATGTTAGCCAAAGTATCACCATCATCATCACCTCCCTAGAGTTGAAAAACAATTTATGACAATTCACAGATACTTCAAGCTTCTACTATGGAAACTTCATTATTACTGACACACAGTGATAGACATTACTGCTTGCTAATTATCTCAAATTTTTTTTCATTTTCAAGGGCTATTAATTTAATAAATGTATTTGAATTCAGTGGAGGAAAACAGAAAAAAAGGTAGAAAAGTATTTCAAGCTGTATGTAATAAGGTAGACAGATTATGAACATTAAACCTAGCCCATGTGGTTTAAGAGCAGTGATTTCTAGCACAAAGTATAAAATTCTAAAGCATAAAAAATTTAAACGAAGATATATGGCTATCTCCGTTTCATGTAACAAAAGTTGGTGGTAGTCAAGATTTAAAATATGATCAGTGAATAACAGACCTTGGGCTTTGTTTTTCAAAAAGGCTGGAAATTAGATTTTGGTACTGCAGGTATTTCAGGTAGCTAAATGAGATTCCCTCCATCTCAACTGCAGTATTGGTCTGTGTTTTAGATAAAATGAGAATCTTGTTTCTAAAATCATGTGCCGCATGTTCAGAGTATGTTTGTTTCTTTAGTAACCTCACTTGTGGGGGTAAAACTGTACATATTAACCCAAACTGTTATTATGTTTGTACTTAGCTGGAGAATAACAGAACTATTAATCCCTGTTGCCGTAAACATCAGATAGCAGGGGCGACTGCATGTATTTATGTCTGCATGCCAGGACATGGTGTCTTATGATACCTGAGTAAAGATAATAAATACTTCTTTCACAGTAGGAGTTTACTAAAGCTGTAAGTCTGTGTTTTCTACCAGAAATTTAAAACAGTAATCAGAATAAATGCCACTCAGATGTTTATTGTCATTTGCAATGAACAAATAAGTGACTGGGAGAAATAGGCTGGGAAAAAAGTCTCAGAGCCAACAGAACAAGTTCTCAGAATAAAGGGGTTCCTTTGGTTTATGCAGAGGGTAAAAAAGAGTCCCTGGCTCTTCATTCCTTTGTCACCTTTCTATCCAATGTTTAAAGCCACTGTGTTCTCAGAATGGCCGCAGAACGTGGGCAGCTGGTGCCTTGGACGCTGTCCTACTGTGGCACGCTGAAGTCCCCTCAGCCCTGCTAGAAACTGGCACACAGTGCCACATAAATAGCATGGGCTTTATTTATGCAAAGGGAACAAGTGGTCCCTTCTCTAGGAAGGTTACACCCTTAGGACTGGCATTTGGTGGCAGATGGGCAGTCTTCATTTCATGGAAACCTAACTCCTATCACCCTAAGGGGTGACACAACATTCCATTCTAGACCCTTGGACATGGGCCAGGACAATTCACATTTGTTTCATATGAAACAGCAAGTCAGAGGAATAAATAGCCCTTTAACCTTATTCAAAGGATCTGTCTGTGTGGGACCTTTTGGGCTGAGCCCCAAGGGTCAAGGAGGCCTCACATTTTAACCACTCTCCAATGACAACTTTTTTGTCAGTAGAGATGAAGGGGACTTGCCACAAATATTGATCCTAATTTAATTTTGGACACGTAATAGTAATCAAATTTAAGAGTAGTGAGGTGGCTGTAAAAATGGGGCATCCCCACCAAAGCTCTCAGAAACCTGACTTTTCATTGTGTTTTGAAAAGAAACAGTGGCCAGGCTTGGTGGCTCATGCGTGTAATCCCAGCACTTTGGGAGTCTGAGGCGGGCAGATCACCTGAGCTCAGGAGTTTGAGAACAGCCTGAGCAACATGGTGAAACCTTGTCTCTGCTAAAAATACAAAAAAAAATTAGCCGAGCATGGTGGCACATGCCTGTAATCCCAGTTACTTGGGAGGCTGAGGCATGAGAATTGCTTGAACCCAAGAGGCGGAGGTTGCAGTGAGCTAAGATCATGCCACTGCACTCCAGCCTGGGTGACAGAGCAAGACTCTGTCTCAAAAAAAATTAATATTAAAAAATAAAATGAAATAAAAAATAAAAGGGAGAGAGAGAGCGCGCTTACCTATTACTGAATAAGAATAAAATCTCTTAATGCCACTCACTTTAATCTCTGCATCTCCTTTTCTGGAAATGGTGGAATTTTTAGCATGTTTCTGAGTCTGATATGTCTCATATTTTTAAGTGCCTATGGCATGCAGGAAAGAAGAGAGACACTCCCCAGAGGAAAGCCTGCTGCCCTCCCTGAACTTGGGCCATGAACTGACCATGTCATTACATTATCCCTCTTCAGTCCCAGGACTCAATGTTGCAAGATCCCTGCAAGCCGCATTCCATTATTCAAATGCCATTTCAGCCAAAATCTCCATCTGCCTAAAAGATGTCTCTGTCCTAGCCAATGGCTCCTCCACTGGCACATCATCTGAAGCCTCAGAATTCTATACAGAAAAGCCATCATGATGATTTAAGAGTCCTTGGGGTTTGTAAGAATGAGAGTCTGTTTCATAAAAATTGGCATCCAAATCATGGTTCCAGCTACACATGTTTAATACTGAATTTAAGTAATCAGATTCCTAATTTGAAAATTGCTTAGTTGCCAAGACTCTGATAGACCTTTTCTCAACACAAAAGTACAAGACGAGAGGGCAGCTTAAGATATCCATATGAAAAAGAATAAAATTGGACCCCTACCTCACACCATATACAAAAGTTAACTCAAAATGGACCCAAAATGTAAATGTAAGAGGTAAAGCTAGAAATCTCTTAAAAAGGAATATAGGTGTAAATCTTAGTTACCTTTCTTAAACATTATACCGAAAGCACAAACAAGGAGAAACTGACAAGCTGAACTTCATCAAAATTAAAAACTTTTGTGTGTCAGTGAACACTATCAAAGAAGTGAACAAAGAATGCACAGAATAAGAGAAAATATTTGTAAATCAAACATATAATAAGGGTCTAATATCTAGAATATATTTTTTAAAATTTGAAACTTGACATAAGAAGATAAATAGCCCAATTTTAAAATACACAAAAGATTTGAATAGACATTAGTCTAAACAAGATATACAAATGTCCAATAGGCACATAAGAAGATGCTCAATATTATTAGACATTAGAGAAATGCAAATCAAAACCACAATCAGATACAACTTCATACCAACTAGGATGGCTATAAACAACAACAATAATAAAAACAACAAATAAATAAAAACAGAAAATAATGTTGGTGAATATGTGGATGTATTGAAGTCTTCATGCCTTTCTAGTCAGAATGTAAAATGGTTCAACACTGTGGTAAACAGTCTGGTGCCTCCTCAAAATGTTAAGATTTACCATGTGGTCCAGCAATTCCACTACTGGATATGAATCCAAGAGAATTGAAAATGTGTGCTCAAACAAAAGTTTGCACGTAAATGTTCATAACAGCATTATTCATAATAACCAAAAAGTACAAACAACACAAATATCTACTAATTGATGAATGCATAAACAAACTGTGGCATAATCATTCAATGGAATATTACTGCACCATAAAAAGGAATGAAGTGCTGATACATGCTAAAATGTAGATGAACTTTGAAAATCTTATGCTAAGTGAAAGAAGCCAAATACAAAGGCTATATATGGTGTGATTCCGTTTATCTAAAATGTTCTAAATAGGCAAATCTATGGAACCACAAAGATTAGTGGTTGTGAGTTACTGGTAGGGGGACTGGTGGTGTTAGGGGAGAGTTGAGAGCGACTGCTAACCTTTTGAGGTGATGGAAAGGTCCAGTAATTAGACAATAATGATAGTTGTACAACATTTTGAATATATTAAAAACCACTGAATCATGTACATTAAAATAGTGAGTTTTAGGGTAAGAGATTTATATCTTAAGTTTTTCAAAAAAATAAAAATAAGATAAAACCACACACAGAGAACAGTAAGTGCTCAACAAATCACTAAAACAGCAGTCACCAGCTGGAACATCCATAAGTAGACATCAATAGAATGAACCAGAAAGCCCAGAAACAGACCAGGGAAACAGGAGAATTTTTTTAATAGGATACAACGCCATTTCAAGTTAGCTAGGAAAACACAGATTATTCAACAAGTAGTGTTAAGACAAAGTTTAACCATCTAAAAAAATAAATAAATAAGGCGGATCCAGACCTCACACTCTACACCAAAATAAATTACATAAAATATTTAAATATAAAAAACAAAATAACAAAAATGCTTTTAAAAATTGATAATATTCTATAAGGGACTGCATCTATTTTATAATTCCAGGATAAATTTACAATATAAAATATTTTAATAATTCTTATTCAATATTTGCTTTTATTGTTATTATTAAGTATATATTTAGTTGTTATGTTCATATGTAATGGCGTGTTTTTCAGTATTGCGGCAATAGAGGGGACAAAAAATAAAAATAAAAAATTGTAGTATTGATCTAGAAGCACACGAACAGCTGAATATGTTACAATATGTTCAAGCCATGTTTCAGCAATCTGTTTCTGGTCTAATGGAGACATTCCCAGCCAGGAGGGATTTTGCCTCCCAGGGAACATTTGGCAATGTCTGGAAATATTTTTGATTGTCCCAACTTGGGCAGTGCAGAGGGTGATGCTACTGGTATGTGGTGTAGAAAGGCCAGCAACAATCTAAACAGGGCAGCTACCCAGAGCAAAGAATTATCCAGCTCAAAATATCAATAGCGCCTCTGTTCAGAAGCCTTGCACTAGTGGAAGGATGGTGCTTGATGTTCTTAATAATAAACCTGTTTCCTGGGACCCGTGGAAACTCCCAGGCATTGAGACACCAGAAACCAGAAGCTCCTTCTTTGATGCTTCTCTTTTATTATTATTTATTGAGAACTTATTGTATGCCAGGCACTATGCTAAATTACTTAAGTGCAGTATTTAATTTTAATCTTCACAATTACCCTATTCTACATACTACCTTATTGTACACATTTGTTATTTCTTATTCACAATGAGGAAACAAATGCTTTGGGTAACTTATCAGAGGTTCCTAAATATTGAACAGTGAAGGTAGGACTGGAACAAAGATGAATCTGACCCCAGGGTCCGTGTATAAAACTTCCATGCTTTGCCATCTTATAAGACCCTGAGCCTATTCCATGGGTCCAGTTACATGTCTCTGTCCTCCAGGGTAAAAGTTAAGGCAGGAACATGATCAAATAACTGAATGTGATTATCATTGATCATCACTGATAAGGAAAGATTCCTGGACCACACTGCCCACTGTTGAGGGACTAAGTATTAAAGAGCACTAGTAGACATCTCTCTATGAAGAGCAGCATTTATTGTAAGGTTACACTCTACCCATCAGGGGTACTGACATAGCACCCCTGACCGTGGCTTAGGAGCAGGGAGACTCAGGGTCTGGCAATGTGCAAATTCTCAAGAAGCAGAAAGTATGTTTTCTGTCAGCTAATGGGTAGAATTTGGCTCTGAACCTAGAAGCATGAAGCAGTGAGTCTGTGGCTCTGGATCTACACACAACAGGAGGGATGAAAACCAGGGAAACTTAGAGAAAAAAGGACTTTAAAATACATTACGTGAGCACATAGTAGCTTTTAAATAAATAATGAACCAATGAATCAATGAATGGATGGAGAGTTTTGCATTCCATGCTAATCAACAATATGACTTTTGATATGCAATGAATCTCTTGGTAATGGCATCAGCATGATGTTTTAGCACGACAGAGTACTTTTACATGCATTGTGTTGTTTGTTTCACACAACAATCCTATGAAAGAAGAAGAGAAGCTATAATTAATCCCATTTTGGAGATTCATTATTTCATCAATTAAACAGCTGCACCATGCTGGGAACCAAGCAAGGCTCTGGAGGTCTGTGATAAACAGAAAAGACCTGGCCTCCACCCTCACAGAGCAGGAGTCTAACGGGGAAGGCAAATGTCCAATGAGTAATTGCAAGTCTCAGAAAGTCACAGAAGGGACAACAAGACCTACAAATAAACAAACAGTATCCCAAAGGGGTTAAGGGCTCAAAAGTCATGTCTTGGGTTGGGCATGGTGGCTTAAGCTTATAATCCCAGCACTTTGGGAGGCTAAGGTGGAAGGATTGCTTGAGCCCAGGAGATCAAGACCAGCCTGGGCAACACGGCGAACCCCCATACTTAGTAACCTCTGGTAAGTTACCCAAAACATTGGTTTCCTCATTGTGAAAAAGAAATAACAAATGTGTACAATAGGGTAATATGCAGAGACATGGGCATTCGGGTCCAGGAGCCTTTCCTAATTACAAAAATTAGCCAAGCATGGTGGTACGCATCTATAGTCTCAGCTACTTGGGAGGCTGAGGTGGGAGGATTGCTTGAGCCCAGGAGGTCGAGGCTGCAGGGAGCTGTGTTTGTGCCAGTGAACTGTAGCCTGGGTGACAGAGCAAGACCCTGTCTCCAAAAAACAAACAAACAAACAAACAAACAAAAACAAAAAAAAGTCATGTCTTTTAGGAGGGCAGTTGGAAAGCTGAGTCTGTTTAGCCTAAAAAAAAGGGAATTAACATTAAGACACGATCATAGCATTCAAACATTTGAAGAGATGTCATGTGGAGGAAGGAACAGACCTCAGACAGAGGAACTGAAGAGCACAGGATAGATCCTGGTGTCCTGAAAGACAGATGTGTCTAATGACATTCAAATAAAAATGCTCAGGTGGCAGGTGAGAGAATTGGATCCCTGCCAGGCCATCGACACACACTTCAGTAGACTCAAGAACACTGTGGTTCAGCGTATGAACTCTGGGTCAGCCAAACATGGCTCAAAACAAGCCCCCTGTTACCACTACCACTGCTTTTGAGCTGTGTTTCCTTAGACAATAATCATTGTCCTTAACCTTTGTTACTTAATCTTTCTAAGCACCACCTTCCTCAGCTGCAAATGGGAGATAAAGACAGCACCTGTCTCAGGTGCTCGTCGTAGGATTCAATAAGATAAGGCATGTAATCTGTTTCACTCATTGTTTGGCACATGAAGCCCCAGGTAAATAATCATTAAATGAATATTCCTTTAATGAATGGATTTCATAAAGAAAGTACCCAATAAGCATTATTAGCAATGATGTCAGTAGCACAACGAAAACAACAAACTCGCCATGCAGATATGAGGATGAAGTGAAAGACGGGTGAATGTACTATTGACCCCACCGAGGTTTGCAAATAGGTGGTGTTTCTCTTATCAGTCAGAGAGATAACAAGATCAACTTCTGCACCGGGTAAAGTTTGGACCAAATGTCCTCAAAAATCATCTCCAATTCTTAAATTCCGTGAAAATCAGAAGTGTCTAATAGTCCAATTGTAGAAGTCAGGAAGTTTCTATTCCCTCAGGACAGCAAGAAAGGTCATGGAGCTGCAATCATAAAGCTGTTTGTTTCCAGAAAGGAAATGAAAAGTCCTTCTCCCAGTCCCTATCCCAACTTGTTATTTACAACAACATAAAAGTGCTTTGTTTTTGTACCTTTCTCTGAAAGAACGTGGCCAATCGTCTCTAAAATTCTCAGAGTGTACATATGAGATTTCTTTTGCTTGTTTATTTTTTTCCCAAGCCCTCCCAAAGAAATGCCCCCAAGGACTGCAAGAATCTTCAGGATATGAATTATAGTCTTTTACAATATTTGGTCTTCTTCCAGTTCTACTTGGAATCTTTGACCTGAATGTGAAAAACACAGAGCCCTTGTTTCCACTGAGATGCAGAAAAGGGTTTTCAGATTGTGCCACCTTCTGGCCAAATTTGGAAACCAAAGTGACAGATTTCCTTCATGCCTTCCCAGCAGTGATTCTGCCCCACCAGGGAAGTGGGGCAGGAAATGTCTGCCTGCTGGGCCTCCCCGGAGGTATCATCTTGAACTAATTCAAATTAAACCATGGGACAGCTTCAAAAGCTCATTGCTTATGTATTTAGAAGCACATGTTTGTACTAAAGAGCAATTACTCATGGTGCTCTGATGTAGGTTCAACCTCTGGAGTGGGAAATCAAATCGGGAACTTTCTCAAACGCTTTTAGCTGCCAACCTTAGCAGATGTGTAAATCAGTTGTTGTTCAGTTGCCTGAAACACTCACAGCTACTTTTGTAACTCTAATAAAGAGAGATTAAGAAAGAGAGAACAAAGATCCAGGATCTGAAATCCCTGTCTACTTATGATGACTGAAGATTGATACAGGATTCGTGCAAAGGAGCCACTCTAGAGAAACCCCTTCATCTATAAAACTCATCCGAGTTTTGGGCCCAGACCCCTATGCAGAACTCTTTCTATGAATGAGACACCAGGATGCCTCTCGTGCCTCTGCTTTACGCACAAAAAAAAAACAGAAAATGGAATGATCTCCTTGATGTGTTTTCCCTAGAACCCACATCTTAACCTAAGCCAATATCTGTGGGAAAGAAGAGGCAAGGAAAGACTAACCCAGGTTATAGAGTCCCATAATTAACAAAGTTTCAAAAGAACCTAGATTAAATCATCCATTCCAGGCCTTCCCAGGGTGAAATAGAGAAGAAAGAACGCAGGTTTACCCAGGAGGGAAACAGCCCCATATCTACCTAGTAGTGAAGCTTCATGGAAGATCAAAACCTTAGGAGGCAGAGAATGCCAGACTCTGAGCCCCACAGTATCAAAGCAATGATGAAACCTAAGTATGTCTCATCAGCAGGTTCAGTTCAGCTCTGCGGCCCTGGCAGGCCCTGAAACCTCCTTCTCTAAACAGTGCCTCTCTTAACAAGAGCAGGGGAGAGAGGGATGCTTGAACATACTTTATTCTTCCTGGAGCTGGCGTATTTCACCAGAACAAAATTCATCAGCATTTTTTTAATCTGAAAGAGCTTGGGTTTATAACACACACTTACAACTAATATCCAAAAGTTTGCCTTCCAGGTGGTTGAAATATCACTATGCTGGTGGTCTATTCTAGACATAGATAGCTGACATAAAACACACACTTCCAAATATGCCTAAGATTTTTTTGAGAAAAATATTTTCAAAAACTATTAACCATTTCAAAAAAACAGGGAAATGTCTTGTGAATTGGCTATTCTCTATGAAACACATCAATACAGACGGTTTTTAAAGGAACATGATCTGAAAACACATAGGCTTAAATATGTACCTGATTTGTTATGAGGTGGATCCTTGGACTTTGTCTATTACTTAACACATTTTTTCATTAAAACCTTAATTTGTAGGCTTTTTGGGGACTAGATGTCTAACAGGAGAAGTTGGTTTTAACGCACAGGTTGAAGTAACAGAGCACTTCCCAAAGTATGTTCTTTGGGACACTAGTCCCTCAAGATGTTTGGCAAAAAGGGCATCTGTACCCAAAATTTGGAGAAATGTTTCATGTTATATATGTCTTCTAGGAGATTCACAATGCACATGAGCTTATAAAGAATCTGAGAAATTTGGAAGTAAAGGAATAACAGATTAAATTTGCTTAACTTCAAAATGTTCAAACTTCATTGGCCAAGGAATACTTATATAGAGAAACATCTAATGAGATCTCAAGGAGCTGAACACATCACAGGAAATTCTGCTAATACAACAAGCAGATATATGAGGTTTTCATTCTTATTGATTATGACTTCCCAGAACCAGGAGAAACAGGCCTCAACACTGAGACCAATGCACAATTGCTCTACAACACCAAAAACAACTTTCTATGGCAGGAGAACAGAGAGGAGACTGAACTAATAGGTCCTTGAACTGCTGAGGGCCTTTATAGACCATTTTCCTAAGCCTTTGCCCATAAAAACTAAGTTCCAGGAAACAACAGCACAGCTTGTAGTTATGACAACAGGAATGAAAAATCAGCTTCTTCATAAATCATTTAGGAAGTGAATCAACCAAGCCATATTTGAAGAGCTGGATTCTAACACAAATCTTGTCTTCACCTAAATCTCATAGGATTATTCTTCCAGAAAGGGTTGGATTTCTATTTCTTCTCTGTAAAATCAGAAAACATGGATTGCAGTATCTTAGAAAAACTCCTCTGCCTTAAGAAGTTGTAATACTCATGAATCATAAAAAAGAAATCAATCATGTTTTCTTTTTTGCTGCCTTTCCTAGAACTTTAAACTTGCAAGGAACCTCTTTGTATATTCTCTATACTAGACGTAACTACTTTTTATTTCTGGGTTACTGGCATAGGACATTGTATTTTCTGGTTTTAGGGAAAGAGGAAAATTGAGTGCTGTAGGGACCAGACCTACAGTGTTTGTGGGTTTTTCTCCTCGTGTGCAGAGATGAGAGATCATAGAAATAAAGACACAAGACAAAGAGATGGAAGAAAAGACAGCTGGGCCCAGGGGACCACTACCACCAAGACGCAGAGACCGGTAGTGGCCCCGAATGCCTGGCTGTTTGGTATTTATTAGATACAAGGCAAAAGGGGCAGGGTAAGGAGTGTGAGTCATCTCCAGTGATTGAGAAGGTCACATGAGTCACGTGTCCACCGGACAGGGGGCCCTTCCCTGTTTGGCAGCAGAGGCAGAGAGAGAGAGAGGACAGCTTATGCCATTATTTCTTCTATGCATTTCAAAGACTTTTAGTACTTTCACTAATTCTGCTACTGCTGTCTAGAAGGCAGAGCCAGGTGTACAGGGCGGAACATGAAAGTGAAACAGGAGTGTGACCACTAAAGCACAGCATCACAGGGAGACATTTAGGCCTCCAGATGCCTGTGGGCAGGCCTGACTGATGTCAGGCCCTCCACAAGAGGTGGTGGAGCAGAGTCTTCTCTAACTCTCCCTGGAAAGGGAGACTCTCTTTCCTGGTCTGCTAAGTAACGGGTGCCTTCCCTAGGCACTGACGCTACCGCTAGACCAAGGTCCGCTAGTTAACAGGCGCCTTCCCAGGCGCTGGCATTACCGCTAGACCAGGGAGCCCTCTGGTGGCCCTGTCTGGGCGTAACAGAGGGCTCACACTCATGTCTTCTGGTCACTTCTCACTGTGTCCCTTCAGCTCCTATCTCTTTATGGCCTCGTTTTTCCTAGGTTATAATTGTAGAGCAAAGATTATTATAATATTGGAATAAAGAGTAATGCTACAAACTAATGATTAATGATATTCACATATAATCATATCTATAATCTATTTCTAGTATAACTATTCTTATTCTATGCATTTTCTTTATTATACTGGAACAGCTTGTGCCCTCGATCTCTTGCCTTGGCACCTGGGTGGCTTGCCGCCCACAGAGTGCCAAAATAATCTTCTAGGAATTCACAAATGGTTTCCTTTGGCTGAAACTTGTTAAGGGTTAAGCAAATCCCCCTGGGGAAACTCAATTTGCTTCACCTCTCAAGAGTAAAGTTAATCGTAAACTGGCCACATTTTCCCTTTTACTTCACCTTCATCTCCCACAGAGAACTCCTCTGCAAGGATTTGTTTCTCCTTTATTTTTCTACTTCAAGCAAAAGTAGATTAACCACCACGTTCTGAAAACCTACTCTTATTGGTCTTCTTTCTTAAATACTTATAAATGCACTAAAAGTCATCATTAACCCCTGAGAAGTTTTTCTGTTTTGTTTTTTTACTTTAAGTTCTGGGATACATATGCAGAACGTGCAGGTTTGTTACATAGGTATACATGTGCCACGGTGGTTTGTTGCACCCATCAACCCGTCATCTAGGTTTTAAGCCCCACATGCATTGGGTATTTGTCCTAATGCTCTCTCTCCCTACCCTTGCCCCCCAACCCCGCCAGGTCCCTGTGTGTGATGTTCCCCTCCCTGTGTCCATGTGTTCTCATTGTTCAACTCCCACTTATGAGTGAGGACATGCAGTATTTGGTTTTCTGTTTCTGTGTTAGTTTGCTGAGGATGATGGCTTCCAGCTTCAACCATGTCCCTGTAAAGGACATGAACTCATTCTTTTTTATGGCTGCATAATATTCTATGGTGTACATGTGCCACATTCTCTTTATCCAGTCTATCATTGATGGGCATTTCGGTTGGTTCCAAGTCTTTGCTATTGTAAATAGTGCTGCAATCAACATACTGTGCATGTGTTTTTCTAGTAGAATAATTGTCAAATGCTGTTGGAAGCAGAGATCCCATATCCTTTCTACCATTTTTGGCCCAACCTAAAGTGCCATCTATGGGGGGATAGTTCTGACTAAGAAGTGTTTATTTCAAGAGATGTCAGAGAGAAACTATACTTTTGGTTTCATGGGAAGTCTTTACTTCCATGCAAGGATGCTGGAACAAATTTTTCCAATCTTTTTTCACTCTGCTATGGAAAAATCTACATGCAACCAAGGAGGTGCTCATTGTCCCTTCTGCCCATGCTGAGCAAAGGATGAGATGCTTTCTGTTCACAAATTGCTACAACCACAAAGTGTGACAAAATAAGAAATTTGAAAAGTAAAAGGGCCAGACGAAAAATTCAAAGAACTTTTCTTGGGCTCCCTTTGAAAATAAGAGCCATTGCTTTCTGTACCTCAGTAAGTCTTGTACTTTTGCACATTTCTAAGACACCTTTGGACTTTTACAAAGAAGTCTTTGCCCCCACCTGCCTCTAGGGACTTGTGTAATCACAAATATTCTAAAGGTATACACATTCATTGAATTTGTGGTGGCCACATCCTTCTGTTCATCTAGCTATGATTATGGAGAAGAGAAAAGTCTCAGAGGAGTTCAATCTGAAGCTTGGACACACCATTTGTGCCTCTCTTTGGGATCCTGGAAAAAAAAAAACCAAGGATCAGAAAGCTGAGGTGATGCCCTGGGCAGGATTCCCCCAAGTAAACTTCCCACCTCATCCCCCTAGAAGTTTGCTCTCCAAAAGTTGAAGAAGGCTCTCCTTTCTATGTCACTGGGCTCTAAGCACTGGGATTACCAAAGTTTATTTTCAACAAGCCTTAAAATCTAACCCCTTATTGGCCTTGTGAACAGGGCAGGCCTCTTACAGAGGGTAGAAGCGGAATGGAACGACACACATTCAGCCTGTACTGGAGATTGTGGTAGCCACTCGGCCTCATGAGCAAATTCCCAGCTCTCACTGTTAACATCCTCCCACTTCTTCTTACAAGCTTCTCTCTTGCTTTCACTCTGTCTCAATCTTTCTTAAAGTGAAATCCTCAACTCTAGCCCCAGGAATCTAAAGGAAGAGATTCTAGCAATAGTCAAGGCTATCATCGATGATTTCTCCTCTCCAGTGGGCATTTACAGTCAATACTGAACCCAGAAAGCTTTCTTAATTTCTGCCCTCTTGGGATGTCGCTCCTTGGACTTACTGATGCTTTTCGAATAGTGAAAACATTTTAGGCAAGGGGAAACATTGCCCTCTACAGGGCGTATGAATCTCAACGTTTTAAAGGCCATCACTCAGCAGCACAGCACATGTGATTTTCAGGGATTCTTCATTCTTCCTCTACTTTTAGGTTAATACAGCTGGTGACAATCTTTTTTTTTTTATTTTTTATTTTATTTTATTTATTTATTTTTTTTTTGAGACGGAGTTTCGCTCTGTCGCCCAGGCTGGAGTGCGGTGGCGCGATCTCGACTCACTGCAAGCTCCGCCTCCCGGGTTCACGCCATTCTCCTGCCTCAGCCTCCCGTGTAGCTGGGACTACAGGCGCGCGCCACCATGCCCGGCTAATTTTTGTATTTTTAGTAGAGACGGGGTTTCACCGTGTTAGCCAGGATGGTCTCGATCTCCTGACCTCGTGATCTGCCCGTCTCGGCCTGACAATCTTGTTGGCTAGAATGACTTCTGCACACATTTATTGCTCATGTATAAAGAGAAAGAGAACGCCAAGAAAAAATTTTAAAGTTCCATTCTTTTTGCAAAAACGTGTTGATGCAATACTTCCCAAAATCAGGCGAAGGTGAGGACATTTTGAACTTGAAGTTGCTGAGGGTCCTTCAGTGGTGCTGGGAAAGCTAAATCCTGTCAGTCCATTTCATAACACCACACAGCTAACAGGAAAGGGAGTGTCATGGGTTTTTCAGGTTTTCCTTCCAGGTCCTGTATAGAAAATAAGAAGCTATGTCTCTGCATAGCAAAAGAAACTACCATCAGAGTGAACAGGCAACCTACAGAATGGGAGAAAATTTTTACAATCTACCCAACTGACAAAGGGCTAATATCCAGAATCTACAAAGAACTTATACAAATTTACAAGAAAAAATCAAACAACCCCATCAAAAAGTGGGCAAAGGATATGAACAGACACTTCTCAAAAGAAGACATTTATGCGGCCAACAGACACATGAAAAAATGCTCACCATCACTGGCCGTCAGAGAAATGCAAATCAAAACCACAATGAGATACCACCTCACACCAGTTAGTATGGCGATCATTAAAAAGTCAGGAAACAACAGGTGCTGGAGAGGATGTGGAGAAACAGGAACACTTTTACACTGTTGGTGGGACTGTAAACTAGTTCAACCATTGTAGAAGACAGTGTGGCGATTCCTTAAGGATCTAGAACTAGAAATGCCATTTGACCCAGCCATCCCATTACTGGGTATTTTCCCCAAGGATTATAAATCATGCTGCCATAAAGACACATGCACAAGTATGTTTATTGCGGCACTATTCACAATAGCAAAGACTTGGAACCAACCCTAATGTCCATCAATGATAGACTGGATTAAGAAAATGTGGCACATATACACCATGGAATACTATGCAGCCATAAAAAAGGATTAGTTCATGTCCTTTGCAGGGACATGGATGAAGCTAGAAACCATCATTCTGAGCAAACTATCGCAAGGACAGAAAAACAAACACCGCATGTTCTCACTCATAGGTGGGAACTGAACAATGAGAACACTTGGACACAGGAAGGGGAACATCACACACTGGGGCCTGTCATGGAGTGGGGGGAGGGAGGAAGGATAGCATTAGGAGATATACCTAATGTAAATAATGAGTTAACAGGTGCAGCAAACCAACATGGCACATGTATACATATGTAACAAACCTGCACGTTGTGCACATGTACCCTAGAACTTAAAGTATAATAAAAAAAAGAAAGAAAATAAGAAGCTACGTCTCCCCTGATGCGTAGCCCCACATATCACCTATAATAGAACTCTTTAAAAATGCATGGTTAGGCCTGGATCGGTGGTTCACCCCTGTAATCCCAGCACTTTGAGAAGCCAGGGTGGGCAGATCACTTGAAGTCAGGAGTTTGAGACCAGCCTGGCCAACAAGGTGAAACCCCGTCTCTACTAAAAACAAAAATTAGCCGGGTGTGGTGGCACATGCCTGTAATCCCAGCTACTCGGGAGGCTGAGGCAGGAAAATCACTTGAACTTGGGAGGCGGAGGTTGCAGTGAGCCGAGATCACACCACTGCACTCCAGCCTGGATGACAGAGTGAGACTCCATCTCAAAAAAGAAAAAAAAAATGCAAGGTTAAATTAAGAGGATTTCATGATGTTAGTCTCTATGACTTCAGTTAAGTAAAATCACTATGAAGGTGAAAATAAATACTTACCTCAATGGTCATAGAGTCCTAACCAACAGAAGTTTCAGAGAAAATATAAGAAATAATACATGGGTTTTTTTCTTTAAAAAAAAAATGAAGGGAATTATCAAAAGCTAAAGATAGCCTGAAAAACAGTGGATCGATTAGAAAATATTGAGGCAAAGTAATTAGTGCTAAACTCTATGCAGAGTAGCCTCTGTTAGCCAGCAGGGAAAACTAGGCTGAAGTCAAAAACCAGAAGGCAAAAACTTCAGGAGTTCCTGAGACATAATTATCAAATACATGGAGTTTAACTCTGTATCTTAAATTACAAATATCTAAATGTGGGTGTAAGTCTTCACCTAGGTCAGGTTTCTGAGAAAAGGCTTCTCATGCATATTCTGTGAATATAAAAGAGATTTTCAGAGGGTTCCCTAAGTATTTTACATCTGAGCCCTTTAAAAAAAAAAAAAAAAAAAAAAAAAAAAGTTTGTTTTAGGCCAGGAGCAGTGGCTCACGCCTGTAATCTCAACATTTTGGGAGGCCAAAGTGGGTGGATCACTTGAGGTCAAGAGTTCGAGACCAGCCTGGGCAACATGGTGAAACGCTGTCTCTACTAAAAATACAAAAATTAGGTGGGTGCAGTGGTGGGCGCCTGTAATCCCAGCTACTCAGGAGGCTGAGGCAGGAGAACCGCTTAAACCTGTGAGGTGGAGGTTGCAGTGAGCTGAGATCACATCACTGCACTTTAGCCTGGGTGACAGAGCTAGACTCTGTCTCAAAATAAATGAAAACTAAAAAATCTGCTTTAGAGGGCCAGCTCCTCCTCCCACCTTTCCTGTATCTATAAACAGTACTATTGTTTCCAAGACTCAACGTTGTCACCCACACCCAGCAATTCACCAAATCCAATGGCTCATCCTGCTTGACGTCATGTTTTTCTAGGGATATGTCCCTTCCTTCGTAGAGCCAACACTCTTGAAGTGTGGAGCAGAGAAAGGATTAAAAGGGAAACGGGATAGGTATTTAGTGAATTCTAATGAATTTTTCATAATGTCATTCAATCGCCACAAAAAAAAAAAAAAATCCTCACAACAATCCTGTGAGGAAACTGAGGCTTGGAAAGTTTAAGGAACTTTCCCAGGGCTTCCTGGCCCATCAGACGTGGAGCAACAATCATGCACCCCGGTCTGCGTTACTCCAATCCCATGCTTTCCCACCATCTCATTCTGCCCCCCAAGCAAGTGCCTACATAGAGCCGTGCATGGATCGCAATGCAAAAGGGACCTCTGTGTTTTTGCACTATATACTCAATCCATTACAGCAGCCCAGCCTCAAAGTTAGGCTACGATTTCCAGTTGACAGAAATAGCCCCATAATTAATCTGTCTACCTCTTCTTGTACTCTCCTTCAAGCTGTTCAGATAATCCCTTTCTTTCTTTTCTTTCTCTCTCTCTCTCTCTTTTGTTTTTCTTTTTTTTCTTTCTTTCTTTCTTTTTTTTCTTTTGAGACGGAGTTTCACACTTGCTGCCCAGGCTGGAGTGCAATGGTGCCGTCTCGCTCACTGCAACCTCTGCCTCCTGAGTTTACGTGATTCTCCTGCCTCAGCCTCCCAAGTAGGTGAGATTACAGACACTCACCAACATGCCCAGCTAATTTTTGTATTTTTGTAGAGATGGAGTTTCACCATGTTGGCAAGGCTGGTCTCGAACTCCTGACCTCAGGTGATCCACCCGCCTCAGCCTCCCAAAGTGCTGAGATTACAGGTGTGAGCCACAGTGCCTGCCCCAGATAATCCCTTTCAAATTAATCTTACTGCAACACAAGTCTGTGCCGCCCATTAGCCATAAAATTAAGGCCAAATGTGTTGATCTTGAACCATAAAGCCCTCCACAATCTGGCATAACCCATAATTATTCCTGGTATCCCTATGCAAATGCCTCACCAAGGCAAATGAGAATCTTCACATTCCCTAAGCATATTTTTATGTCCTTTCCAGTTTTGAACAAATGCTCAGTACTAACAGAAGCATTCTCTTCCCCTCTGCTTCCTTCAGGAATGATTTCAAGGCCAGGCACAGTGGCTCACGCCTGTAAACCCAGCATTTTGGGAGGCCGAGGCGGGCGGATCACGAGGTCAGGAGATCAAGACCATCCTGGCTAACACAGTGAAACCCCGTTTCTACGCCGGGCATGGTGGCGGGCACCCGTAGTCCCAGCTACCCTGGAGGCTGAGGCAGGAGAATGACATGAACCCGGGAGGCAGAGCTTGCAGTGAGCTGAGATTGCACCACTGCACTCCAGCCTGGGCGACAGAGTGAGACTCCGTCTCAAAAAAAAAAAAAAAAAAAAAAAAGAAGAATGACTTCAAATGCCAAGATTCATCCTTGTCCTTCCCCGGACACTGGAGTTACACTGCCTTCCTTCCACCCCACCTCTGCCACTTACTAGCTGGGGAACCTTGGACAAGTCACATAACCTCTCTGTGTCTCATTGTCTTCTACTGTAACATGAGGGTACCTACCTCATAGAGTTGTGAGGCTTAAATTAGTGAATATATGATACTTCAAACACTGTCTGACACATTGTAAATGCTCTGTAAATTTAATTGTTATCAAAATCTTCATCATTTCCATCATCATCATCCTCATTATTTCTTGTTCAAAATTTCCATAGACCTTTTAGTACCTGAATATATTTGGCATGAATACATACATTACTTCGGGCAGGGTTTTCTTTAAATAGTTTGTGGTTTTGTCCTGTATCTGTTCCATCTATTTTTGTTATGGCCTATAGAAATTCAAACAGAATAAACCTCGCTAAGACAGAATCTACAAAGACAACTGTGTTCTTGTGTCTCCCACGCTGAACAGCAGAATCTTGACTCAAAGAATACTAAAATCTATTTTATTGAGCTAACATTTGTTGAACACGTATTTTTTTCCAGGAACTGTGCTAAACACTCTTTTTACACGTTCTCATTTAATCCTTGCAATAACTTTATGAGTTATAATTAACCCCATTGTATAGATAGGAAAACTGAGACTTAAGGAAGTAAGCTATACACGGCCAAGGAAACATCCCAAACTCAGGTGATTAAGGCCTCTGTATACATTCCACTTATAGTTACAAGCACAAATAATACAACTGACTGACAGGCTGCTATAGCTTGGATGGGTACCCCTCTTCCCCAAGTTTAATGTTGAAATGTAATCTGCAATGTGGTTGTGTTGGGAGGTGGGGCCTAGTGAAAGGCGCTTGAGTCCACGAGGGTGGATCCTTTATTATTGCTGTAATTCCCTACCTTGGGGGTAAGTGAGTTCACACTCTTGATTATTAGGTCGGCACAAAAGTAATTGCGGTTTATGCCATTACTTTTCATGGCAAAAATCGCAACTACTTTTGCACCAGCCTAATAGTTTCCATGACAGCTGGCTGTGAAAAAGTGTGGCACCTCCCCTTTTCTCTGTTGCTTCCTCTCTCGCCATGTGGCCTCTGCACACACCAGCTCCCCTTCACTTTCTGCCAGGAGTGGAAGCAGCCTGCAGCTCTCCCCAAATGCAGTTGCCCAATCTTGAACTTTTCCAGACATCAGAATTTCTAAGCCGAGTAAGTCTTTTTTCTTTATAACTTATCCAGTCTCTGGTGTGTCTTTATAGCAACACTAAATGGACTAAGACACATGCCATACTTAAGTTCTCCTGTGAAAATTCAGATCCTCTTCATTAAGGGATTAGTGAGAACCCTTGGCCAATGTGGCCAAGAACCTCTGTTCCAGAATCTTCCTTTTCTTATGTTGCCTCTCCTCATGGTTTTAAATACCATCTATATGCTGATTTCTCCCCAATCTTTATTTCTAAGTCAGACTTCCCCTAAACTCCAGAATAATACAGCAAGCCACCTTATCAAGATCTTTACTTACATTATATCTCAAACATAACATGTAAAAACCTAAATTTCTGATTTGGCTCCCTCAAATTTCTCTAACCATAGCCATCTCCATTTCAGTTAAAGGAAGTGTCATTCTTCAGGAATTTGGTCCCAAATCCTTGGAATCATACTCAACTCTGCTTTTTACTTTTTTTATTTTTATTATTATTTATTTATTTATTATTTTATTTTTTTGAAAGGGAATCTCGCTCCATCACCCAGGCTGGAGTGCAGTGGAGAGAGCTTGGCTCACTGCAAGCTCTGCCTCCTGGATTCAAGTGATTCTCCTGACTCAGCCTCCCAAGTAGCTGGGATTACAGGTGCCTGCCATGATACCCGGCTAATTTTTGCATTTTAGTAGAGATGGGGTTTCACCATGTTAGTCAGACTGGTCTCAAACTCCTGACCTCAAAAGATCTGCCCGCCTCGGCCTTCCAAAGTGCTGGGATTACAGGCATGAGCCACCGTGCCCTTCCTCAACTCTGCTTTTTCTCTTATCTTCCATATTCAGTGTTTCAGAGGTATGGGAGGCTCTACTTCCAAGATTTTTCTAGAATATGAGCGCTTCCCACCACTTCTGCAGTCATCACCTTGGTCTGAGGCACCATCATCTCTTACCTGGTTGTAATTCCTGTGTCTCTGACAGGAATTGTTCTCTGCACCTGGAAGGCTTTTCCACTGCGTATCTCACAGCTTGCATTGTCACCTCCTCAGGTCTTTGCCCAAATGTTATCTTCTTAGGGGCCTACCCTGTCCACCCTACTGAAAACTGCAACCTCATTTTCTCCCCCTTCCCTGGGCGTTTTTCCCCCATAGATCCATCGCTTCCAAATATAATAATTTCCTCATTGTTAATGCTTATGGTTAGCCTTCTCCTAGAAAGTAAGTTCCACAAGGATTTAGATTTTTGTCTTTTTTATTCACTGATAAATCCCCAGCACAAAGAACAATATCTAAAATGTGGCAGGTGCTCAGTAGACACTTACTGAATGAATCAATTAGTAAAGCTGATACTCAATCCCTGGCTGTCTCAGCTCTTGACAACTTGATTACTGTGGTGCCCTCTAGGAGAAGAGAGGGGTCTTTTTAACTAGATCAGAGACCCTCTGATGCGAGCTGCATTAAAAACAAATAGCCTGTAGCTGACATTCCTGGGTAATACCATTGCACATCCACTGGCTGTCATTGCTTGGACACATCACAAATTAATAATGTATTGCCCAGTGTTATCTAGTCCATATCAGGACAGTCTTTGGTATAGAATGTACACAAGCAAACATTTGTGTGGCTTCACAATAGTGTGGGCAAAGCTAAAGGCTGAGTTTGGGGATAATGTGGAGAAAAGGCAAGAGGCAAGACAGGGACAAGTCACTAGGAACAGAAGTCGTCACCTGGCAAGAAGCCCCAGGAGAGAACGCCATAAATGTGAATCTGGGTTGACCCAGAGATTGGCCCTCAGCTGTGGAGTACAAGCTCAGGAACCCCATCTGTTTATGTATTTGGAGAAAATCTGAGCCTCATGAGTGGACAACATTAACTGGAAACTCCAAAGTGATGATGAAAATCAAAATGGTAATTTAGAATTTAAAATTTCCAATGAGTACTGCAACTTCCAGGGGCACTAGGTACCCATTTCATTAGTCAATGAATTTTCTCCTGCGAGTGAGCTACTTAGGGGGCCAAAGCATAATCCAATGCCAACATATTAATTTGCCATGAAAAAAATGAAATTATAGGCTGGGTGGGGTGGTTCATGTCTGTAGTCCCAGCCCTTTGGGAGGCTGAGGCGGGTGGATCACTTGAGCTGGGCAGCATGGCAAAACCCCATCTCTACCAAAAAATCAAAAAATTAGCAGGATGTGGTGGCATGTGCCTGTAGTTCCAGTTACTCAGGAGGCTGAGATGGGAGGATCGCTTGAGCCTGGGAGGTCAAGGATGCAGTGAGCCATGATTGTGCCACTGCACTCCAGCCTGGGTGACAGAGTGAGACCCTGTCTCAACAACAACAACAAAGAAGTAAAAGAAAAAATGAAATTGACATGGACCAAGGTAAAACATCTTGAGAATGTGCTGCCACCCCAGGTTGGTCTAAATCTGTGATGAACAAATTCATACCTGCAGCTGACCCAGCAGAAAGTGAAAGTGAGTGATACAAAGTTTCCTAGAAAACCCTGGAAGTGGCTGTACATTTGTGTTCAATAGTCCATGAGTAGCTAAAAGTGTAGAATGAGTCATTGAAGGAATGAGCACAGCATGTAAGGAGGATGATAAATAGGGTTGGTCAGACAGAAGGAGATGGTCCACCTTGAGGAACTGTGAGATGTCAGCCTGGAGCCTGGGTTTGGGAGGTCTTATGGGAGTCGACAGAGCAGCATCATAAAAGCTCTTGAGTAGAAGTCTGAAATGATGAGCCAGGATGTATTCTGTGACCCAGCATCAGTTAGGATTTTCCTGTTGTGTAGCAGGAGATCCAGCTGCAACAATAAATCATATTTATTTGTTCTTACGACTTGAGGTATGAAATGTTTCAGGTACAGTTGGAACATGGCTCTGCTTCCATTCCTCCACAGTTCCATCAGCTTTGTCCTCCACTCCGTATCCATTCCATGTTCAGGGTAACAAACACTCCCCGTGACAGTGAAATGCCTGCAGAACTTCCAGGCTTCATTTTTACATATTGGACAGCAGTGTTACCCAATAAGAATATAATGTGAGCACATTTGTAATTCTTAATTTTCTAGTAGTCTCATTCAAAAAATGTTTTAAAGGGCAGGGCACAGTGGCTCATGCCTGTAATGCCAGCACTTTGGGAGACCAAAGCAGGAAAATCGTTTGAGGCCAGGAGTTCAAGACCAGCCTGGGCAGCATAGCAAGACCCCATCTCTACAAAAAATTTAAAAAATTACCCAGGCATGGTGGAGTGCCCCTGTAGTCCCAGCTACTCGGGAGGCTGAACTAGGGGAGGATTGCTTGGGCCCAGATCAAGGTTGCAGTGAGCTGATTGTGCCACTGCACTCCAGCTTGGGTAACAGAGCAAGACCCTGTCTCTTAAAAAATAAATAAATAAATAAGAAACAGGTAAAATTGATTTTAATAACATTTTATTTTTCCCATATGTCCAAAATTTTATCATTCCAAGATGCAATTGATATAAAAACCAATTATTATTTATGAAACATTTTACATTCTGGGGCAGGCATGGTGGCTCACACCTGTAAATCCAGCACTTTGGGAGGTTAAGGCAGGAGGATCGCTTGTGTCCAGGAGTTTGAGACCAGCCTGGGCAATATAGCGAGACTCTGTCTCTACAAACAATAACAAATTAAAAAATTAGCCAGGCATGGTGGTGCATGCCTGTATTCCCAGCTACTCAGGAGACTGAGGCAGGAGGATTGCTTGAGCTTGGGAGGTTGAGGCTGCAGTGGGTTGTGACTGTACCACTGCACTCCAGCCTGGGCAATAGAGTGAGAGTAAGACTTTGCCTCAAAAAAAAATTACATTCTAGTTTTAATGAGACTTTCATTATATTACGTCTGTGAATATGTATGCATTTGTGAATAAATAAAATAAATGTGTTACTACAGGCATTTCAAAAAGTTTGCAAGCCACTGCTGCCTTAAGGAGAACAAGTCTTTGCTACACATGCAAACTCAGACCTATTGAATGACATTAATCTTAATAATCTTAAAAACCTAAGAGAAAAGAGAATTGTAGAGTGTCACATCATTCTAATGCTCATCAATTATATAGCAGTTCTACACACAGCACATTTTGAATTAACCGTATGCATCTGATTAGAGTTTTTCAAACAGATGAGTTATGATGTGAACCACTATAATATGCAAGACTATGTCACATGGTACATAGGATAATTTTTTAAATTTTGTGTTTATATTAGGAAAATATACCTAGCACATTCAATAGCAATGGAAATGGACAGTGAACAGTTGGAGTTAGGGAAATATTGAAATATCTGGCTGGATGAGTTGCAGAAACTAGAGATACACACCAATAAATATGTCCTCTCTGCTGTCTATAGAGATGACGTAGCTTCTACTTCCTTCCTTAGCAGACTCTCTGGGATTTTTTCCTCCTTTGCCATTTGAACAGAGAATCCCAGAGAAATCCAATTTCCCCCTTTTTCTTTCCAGCAAGAGCAAACACCAAGAGACTTGGCCATTTCTTATCCTCCTCTTCCGTGCTTTCTGAGTGTCTATAAAGGAGAGATTCTTGGTGTTTGAAGACCACAGATGCCTCCTTCAAAAGTCACATGAAGGACTGGGCCTGTGGGCCTCGTGGCTCATGCCTGTAATCCCAGTGCTTTAGGAAACCATGGTAGGAGGATCCCTTGAACCCAGGAGCTACCCAGGTGTTTGAGGTTACAGTGAGCTGTAATCATGCCATTGCACTCCAGCCTGAACAACAGAGCAAGATCGTGTCTCAAAAAAAAAAAAAAAAAATTACACGAGGTGAAACCCCAGAAAATTCATCAAAATATCAAAATAGTGTGGAGTCTTGTGGAGTCTTTTTTTTAAAAAACAGATTCAAATAGGAGAGCTATCCGGACTACCCATTCCTGCTTCTAACTTCTGCCAGAAGTACTGGACAGAAAAATACCAATGTCAAAGGACAAAGGGTGTCACTCCTGGGAAGGAGCTCTGACCAGCCTTTTAAACTTTGCCTTACCTTGCATGGCAAAGAGTTCTGATTAGAGAATTGCAAACACTTGCAGGCGAATATCCTGCAATAGCAACAACAGCAACCCTGGGAAAACACCCTATTTACTATGAAACGTATTCTACATGTCTTCGTTATGATGGTACTGGGGGAAGTCATACAATGCATATGGTAGGCTGGTAGCAACACATCAGAATCTAACCCAATGTTACAAGGAATATAACTAGAAATGGTAATGCACCTGGTCCAACCTGAAGTGTTGTTGAATCCATATTAATGAATCAAATGAAAAATTATTTATATCTGTTAATGTTCAAAAATATATTTTTCACCTATGCTAATGTTGCTATCAGTTATGGTTAGGTTTTGTTTGTTTGTTTGTTTGTTTGTTTGTTTGTTTTTGAGACGGAGTCTCGCTCTGTCGCCCAGGCTGGAGTGCCGTGGCACAATCTCGGCTCACTGCAAGCTCCGCCTCCCGGGTTCACGCCATTCTCCTGCCTCAGCCTCCCGAGTAGCTGGGACTACAGGAGCCCGCCACCACACCCAGCTAATTTTTTGCATTTTTAGTAGAGACGGGGGTTTCACCGTGTTACCAGGTGGTCTCAATCTCCTGACCTCGTGATCCGCCTGCCTCGGCCTCCCAAAGTGCTGGGATTACAGGCCTGAGCCACCACGCCCGGCCAAGAGTGATGGTTTATGTGTCGACTTGGGCTAGTACCAGTTATTTAACCAAACACTGGTCTAGATGTTGCGGTGAACGTATTTTGCAGATATGATTAACATCCAAAATCAGCTGACTTAAAGTAAAGGAGACTATCCTAGATAAAATTTGTCGACCTCATTCAATCAATTGGAGGCCTAAAGAGAAAAAAACTGAGACTTCCCAGGGAAGAAATTTTGCCTCAAGATGGCAACATCAACTCCTGCCTGAGTTTGCAGCCTGCGGCTTGTCCTACAAATTTCCAACTTTCCAGCCCCTACATTTGCACCAGCCAATTCCTTAAAATAAATTTCTCCATCTTATGCACGCATATGCTCTTGGTTCTGTTTCTCTGGGGAACTCTGATTGATTTATTACATTTTGCTAAAAAATAATTCCGGGTGTCAAGACACAACCCAGGCCTGATAGTGCTGCTTTTTGTTGCAAAAGGGAACCAGTCCCATTTGCTCCATCCCTCGGAACTGCTGATCATGTCAAGTAGGGCTCGGCAGTGCTCACACACAACTCAAGGTGGCGTTCATGCTCTACTAGAAAGAGCCAGGCTTCCTAGTTGCCGGCCACGCCTCACAGACTTTTCCCCTCAGATTTCAAGACAGCCCAGTGACTCAGCAATGGGAAAGAGAAAGCATAAAATTTGGACCGTGAATACTGCAAACATATCCAACACTATCAACAGGAAAATTCACTTTGGGAATGAATGCTTTCTTGGGAGCCCCATTTCTTTGGTAGGATTTAACCTACTCTAAGCAAATAGTCACTCGGACAGTCCTACAAAATCCCCCACATAATAGGAATATGGTTAACTCGCCATTTTGTCTTGTTTCTGCCTGCCACAAAAGCTAGGCCACCTACTCATTGTTCTAGATTTTCTTACTTTTCAAGTTTTCAGGGTTGTCTTTTGGAAATTTAAGCCCCTGGAGCCCGAGGGTGCTGCACGCATGCCTGCATGTTCATGCACACAGGGCATGACTCACCCTGACCCCAGGATGTCAGCTGCCCTACCCGCGGTCCTGGAGAGACAGACACTGCCTGTGCCTGCTCTGCAAACCCCTTGGTTAATCCTGCTGGTGGCCAGGACCATAACCTGCCATTAGGCCATGTCCTTGACCACAGAGTGCAAAACAGTTTAATGGTACAGGCTTGTTTAATCCCTGTATTGTTTTGCAAGATAAGTTTGAGATGTCTTTACTTTTTAAATTTCTGCTTTGCATGTGGGGAAACAGGACCAGATATGCTGAACGTAACGCAGTGATTCAGAATTAGAATGAAGGACTCTTACCTTCAGTTAAAGGTGCTAACCTCCCTAAATCTCTCCCACGAAAGTCTTCCCTTTTCCCCGCCACTGCTGACCTTCACCGTATACATATAGTATTTGCTTGTTTATTTTTTAGAGTGTACACATTTACATAAGCACACAGATCAATGTCTGTGTTCCTGCAGTTTTAAACCATGTGCCAATGGTGCAGTGTTACTGCCATGACCCGAAATTAGAATCTTTTACATTAGAATCTGACTTTTACAATATACACACAGTCTCCCTCTTAAAGATACATAATTCAGAATAGCAGGTGGAAAGCCCTGAGAAATCCTATCCAAAATAAAAAATGTAATTCTATTTAATCACATAATTTCTTAATTTACTTGAACAGAGATCATTTTTTTTGCACTGTACTCTTTAATTTAACATCAGTAACATTCCCTGTAGCACCCTTTTGGAAATGCTGAATAAAATTAGAATTTTTTTATAACATAAAGTTAGGTGTGTAGACAGTGACCACCCCTCCCCTCCAATAGTCCACCTTACTATGCAGAGGAATTTCAGAGTTCACAGAATTAGTCTTAGAGATAGTTGGATTTCTGTGGCTTCCCAAAGCATCCCAATGGTTGACAAAAGCCAAATCCCATAGCAGTTTTCTAATCCTGAAATTAAGGAGCAGAGATCAGCTTACGTGGGTTAAATAGCACTCTCTTGGACTTTGGATAGGCCCTTCCCTTCCTAAGCACACAGGCATCTCCCAAGGTCCCCTTGAGGCCCCTCCAGCTGTTCCAGCCTTGGCATCAACAGGTGACTCCCACTCCTAATCCTTTGGAAATGTCCTCCAGCCATTTTCATTCCCTTAATTCTTGAAAGGTGACTTGATTACTGGGATATTCCTAAAAATCCACTACATTTTTTACTTTTTTTTAATTTTCATTTTAAATTCTAGGGTATATGTGCAGGATGTGCAGGTTTGTTACATAGGTAAACAAGTGCCATGGTGGTTTGCTGCACCTGTCAACACATCATCTGGGTATTAAGCCCAGCATGCATGAGCTATTTTTCCTAATGCTCTCCCTCCCCACATCCCACTCCCTGACAGGCCCCAGTGTGTGTTGTTCTGCTCCCTGTGTCCATCTGTTCTCATTGTTCAGCTCCCACTTATGAGTGAGAACATGTGGTGTTTGGTTTTCTGTTCCTACATTAGTTTGCTGAGGATAATGACTTCCAGCTCCATCCATGTCCCTGCAAAGGACATGATCTTGTTCCTTTTCATGGCTGCATAGTATTCCATGGTGTATACATACCACATTTTCTTTATCCAGTCTATCATTGATGAGCACTTGGGTTGATTCCATGTCTTTGCTATTGTGAATAGTGCTACAATAAACATATGCATGCATGCATCTTTGTAATAGAACGATTTATATTTTTTGAGTATATACCCAGTAATGGGATTGCTGGGTCAAATGGTATTTCTCGTTCTAGATCTTCGAGGAATCGCCACACTGTTTCACAATGGTTGAACTAATTTACATTCCCACCAACAGTGTAAACGCGCTCCTATTTCTCTGCAACCTCACCAGCATCTGTTGTTTCTTGACTTTTTAATAATTGCCATTCTGACTGGTGTGAAGGGGTATCTCATTGTGGTTTTGATTTGCATTACTCTAATGATCAGTGACACTGAGCTTTTCTTTTTTTAATCTAGCCCCAAATGAAAGCCAACTCCAGGCAATGACTTTTCTCCACAATGATAAAAGCCCTCATTCTCACAGAGGAACACACCCTTCATCCCTTTTATTTGTCCAAGAGAGTGGGTAGCTTTGTACCCACTAACGTTTCTCACACTACTCCTGGTGGTCTTTCATACCCATAGGAGCTAGAAAGAGGTATGGACTTTGTTTGAAGTGTTTTAGGGGTCAGAGACCTTATAACAATGACCCTACATGGCCAGGAATTTGTTGTTGAATATAACTGTATGTTAGTTTTCAAACTCTGGATCATCTCAGAAAAACATTGACTTAGAAGGAATAAAACTACTGGGCAACGGTGGTCATCCCACGCTGAGTAATTTCCTCTGGCTTCTTTGTGAGCTTGGGGACCATCGATAAGACTGGTCTTCAGTTTGTGGCCCTTGCAAACTTTTTTTATCAGGATAATAATCTTAGTTTTCTTTAAATAATTATAAGAGTTAAGCCCAAAAGGGCAAGGAGACCTGATAGAATCGGCCTCTTTTCTGTTAGAAATGTGATTTCTATTGATCAAATATATTTTCTTTATAATCAACCGACTCTCCCCAAATCCCAGAAAATGAAACAAAACAAAGCCAAGCCACTTACAGGACCAGTAACATCTACATCTAGAAACAATCCTACTCAAATGTTTCTTCCTTCCTAAAGCTCAGGATCCAAAGTAAATAAAAGAGGCTCCTTAGTGAAGATTTTAAGAAGACAGAATCCAACTAACTTGAATGATTTGAGTTCCGTCCTGCTAAGAGAGAAAGAAATAAATTCATCTCTTAAGACTTGGTTCAGGCCTGCTTCCTCAAGGAAGCCCTCCCTGACCACCACCCCATGCAGCCTAGCTTTAGCAAGGGGCACTTTTCTCTGAGCCCTCAGCCCAGAGACAGAGCTCCATGCACCCTGTGAATATAGCACAAAGGGTTATGATGATCTTCTCCTTGCCACAAGGCTTGATGCCCATTCACCTTTGTAGGCCAAGCACATAAAGGTTTACTAAACTGAATTGGGCCTCGCAGGCTGAGGATTCTGGGAGTTCAAGCATGAGTGATGGCAAATGCTGCCTGTAGAGTTCAGCTTGTAGCCCTCCCCACTCACCCTGCATCTGCCGGTTAACACGGCTTCATCTCCACCGGTCAGTTTGTCAAGAGCTGCTCACTCTCACTCTGGAAAGATGACCATGAGGACTGAGTATGCTTTGCTTCCATCATTCTCACAACAGTCTATTTGAAAAGCCTTTCGTTGGGCCACATGGACTCTCAGGCATCTTCAAGATAGAGGATCAACTGCCCTTATTGTAGTCTTCATGGTTATTTTATTATACTATCTATGGAATGCATGTTATTTGCCAGACCCTGTGCTTAGACCTTTGCATATTTAATTTTACTTAACTCTAACCTGTTAATGTAGGTTTTCCTATTCCAATTTTACAGATGAGAAAACTGAGACTTTGAGAGGTTTAATACCTATTCAATATCACACAGCAGCCAGAACTAGAAATCACTCATGTGAAAGTTCATCTGTCTATTTAATTTTACTTAACTCTAACCTGTTAATGTAGGTTTTCCTATTGCAGGTTTACAGATGAGAAAACTGAGACTTTGGGAGATTTAGTACCTATTCAATATCATACAGCAGCCAGAACTGGAAATCACTCATGCAAAAGTTCATCTGTCTTCTGTTATCAAACTCCACTGCTATCATAGAAGATACATTAAAATGTGAAATTGAAATATAAAAGGAAGAGGTGGAGAAGGGAGAGGAGAAGGGAGAAAGAGGGAAAGAAAAAGGAGGGAGAGTGATACGGTTTGTCTGTATCCCCAAGCAAATCTCATCTTGAATTCCCACGTGTTGTGGGAGGGACACAGTGGGAGGAATCGAATCATGGGGGCAGGTCTTTCCCATGCTGTTCTCGTGATAGTGAATAAGTCTCACAAGATCTGATGGTTTTTAAAATGGGAGTTTCCCTGCACAAGCTCTCTTCTCTTGTCTGCTGCCATTTGAGATGTGCCTTTCACTTTCCACCATGACTGTGAGGCCTCCCCGACCACATAGAATTGTGTGAGTGCATTAACCCTCTTTCTTTTGTAAATTTCCCAGTCTCAGGTAGGTCTTTATCAGCAGTGTGAAAACGGACTAATACAGAGAGGAAGGGAAGAATAAACTGAATAATTTTTTTAATTAACTCCTTTGAAAGAAATTAAGGACAGAATTTTAATTTGAGTGATGCTGGTAGAAGTGATGCAGGTTAAATGTTACTATAAAAGACAAAATAGTTATCTTAAAAATAAGTAACTTCCTGCATTAATTATCTATTTCTGTGTAGCAAATGATCCCAACACTTAGCCATTTAAAACAACCAATATATACTATCTCATATTTTCTGGGTGTCAGTAATTCGGGAACTGCTTAGTTGGATGGTTTGGGCCCAGGGTTTCTCATGAGGCTGTGTCAAGCTGTCAGCCAGTGCTGCAGTCATCTGGAGGCTTCACTGGGGGGCTGAAGAATCTGCTTCTAAATTCACACCCATGACTGTTTTCAGGAGGCTTTCATCCTTGCTACATGGGACTCTCTATAGGTCAGCTTGTGACTTAGCAGATGACTTCCCACAGAGCGAATAATTCAAGATAGAGAGTCTGACCATGACAGAAGTCACAATGACTTTTATAACTTAATCCTGGAAGTGATGTGCCATTGCTTCTGCCATGTTCTGTGTGGTGCAGAGAAGACAACACAGGATGTAAATACTAGGCAGAGTCCATTGGGGATCATCTTGCAGGCTATAGCTTCTACCCTCTCTAAGCTACAACCTCACAGAAAATTGCATTGCCTCTGAATCTGGGGCCTACTGCTGAGCATCCAGCTGATGAAGTTCAAATGTTCAGTAGGCAAAAGCCACAAAAATGGGCATGTCGGGGGCACTTTCAGACAGAAGGCAGATGTTTAGCATCATCCACGAAAAAGGAGAGAATCAAACAGGTCATTTGTATGCATAAATGGAGGCAAGAGAATCTCAGACAGACTTCAGTACGGGGTATAGAGGAATGAGTGGAGACCACTTCATTGGAGACCACTCAGACCACTTCAAGAGAGATGACTGTATGCGTCTCTTTTCTACTCCATCTTCAGTGGAGTTGAAATCAGCCATGGAGGAGTATTTCATCATGCAAACCAGCCAATGCTACAAACCAGGACTTTTATTTGTTTTTAGGAGAGTGATTTGTTTAAACATTTGCCAGGACACCAGTGAAAGAAACCCACTTTCATCTTTTTTTTTTTTTTTTTTTTGAGATAGAGTCTCTCTGTGTCACCCAGGCTGGAGTGCAGTGACACGATCTTGACTCACTGCAACCTCCACCTCCCAAGTTCAAGTGATTCTCCTGCCTCAGCCTCCTGAGTAGCTGGGGTTACAGGTGCCCGCCACCATGCCCCACTAATTTTTGTATTTTCAGTAGAGACGAGGTTTCACCATGTTGGACAGGATGGTGTTGAACTCGTGAGCTCAGGTGATCCACCAGCCTCAGCCTCCCAAAGTGCTGAGATTACAACCATGAGCCCGGCCTCCCATTTTCATTTTGATCAGGACCCACTGAAGCTCACACAGTCATAGATAAAGTTCTGAGTTTGGTACCAATCAACTCTAGGTCTTGATAATAACAGGATAATTGCCTGACTGTAACAATCCACATTAAACAGATTAAGTCCCTCATATTGCATTGGTGGCCACCAATGCTGTCTTTTTACATATGTAAGTCAGGCTTTGCAAGGAGTACATTCATTTTTCAACAAATATTTTTAAGTTGTAGTTTTATCTTATCATCGAAACTCACACCAGGCATCTTGACCAAGGAAAGTTTACAGTTTATGGCAAACACCTGGAAAGAATGACAATGTTTCTAACTTTGATCCCTTGCCAGTACCGCATAGTTAGTAACTAACTAACTAACTAAATAAATAAATAAATATTTTTAATTGCATTGGATTCCAATCTTGAGGAAGGTTAGGGATTTTAGTTTGTTTGCAAGAATGTAAGATAGCAACGTCTCTTAATTTTTTAAGTCTAACTTTCAAAAACTGCCACATAGCATGGAATAAACCCAGGGTCCCATCCACACTGGATCAAATAAAGAAAATATGGTGCATATGCACCATGGAATACTATGCAGTCATAAAAAAGAACGAGATCATGTTCTTTGCAACAATGAGAATCAGCTAGAGGCCATTCCCCTAAATGAGCTAACACAGAAACAGAAAACCAAATACTACATATTCTCACTTATAAGTGGGAGCTGGCTGGGTGCGGTGGCTCACACCTGTAATCCCAGCAATGTGGGAAGCTGAGGTGGGCAGATCACCTGAGGTTTGGAGTTTGAGACCAGCCTGACCAACATAGAGAAACCCCGTCTCTACTAAAAATACAAAATTAGCTGGGCATGGTGGCGCATGCCTGTAATCCCAGCTACTTGGAAGGCTGAGGCAGGAGAATCACTTGAACCCAGGGGGCAGAGGTTGCAGTGAGCCGAAGTCACACCATTGCACTCCAGCCTGGGCAACAAGAGTGAAACTCTGTCTCGAAAAAAAATAAGTAAATAAGTGGGAGGTAAACATCAAGTATACATGGACATAAAGATGGGAACAATAGACACTGGAGAATATAAGAGGGGGAGGAATGGAGACGGGCAGAGGCTGAAAAGCTGCCTATTGAGTATTGTGCTCACCACCTGGGAGATGGACTCATTAATATTCCAAACCTCAGCATCATGCAATATATCGTTGTAACAAATCTGCACATGTACCCCCTGAACCTATAATAAAAATGGAATTGCCAAAACAAAACAAAACAAAAAACTGTCACATAGAACCTGTCAATTCAATTCAACTGACAAACACTGATTGGTTACCAACTGTTGGCTAATGCCTTGGACCAGGTACATTCTAATAAGACATAGTCCCTGTCCTTTGGTAGCTTAATCAGAGTCAAGGGCATTCAAATATGTAGGTGCTGCTCTTAAAAAAAAAAAAAAAAAGTGTTAAATTAAGTTTAGCCTAAAGCTGCCTCCCTGCATATTTTAAGCTCAACCTAAAGGTTTCTCTGTCCATAGTGAACTGTAACCTCACTGGATGTATAAATAGACTATAACCTAGTCTTATATCAATCACCAAGTTTAGGCCAATAACAGACAGTCAACTATTCAAACCATGTTCAAATAGGACAAACGCTGAGCAGTTGCCAGTACAGCTATTCTGTACCTCACTTTCGTTTGCTGAATGTCATTTTCCTTTTTCTGCCCACAAATCCTCTCCAACCATGCCACAATGCTGGAGTATCTCTGACCCTATTCTAGTTTGGGCAGCTGCCTGAGTCGTAAATTCTTATTTGCTCAATTAAACTCTGTTAAATTTAATTTGTCTAAATTTTGTTCTTTTAACACACACTTGGCCAATACTTCCCTAAGTAAATAGCCACAAGTTTTTTAGCCCAGTCATTAAGAAGAGTACAGCCTCTATATTAGAGTCCCAGTTCAAGACCCAGTTCCACCATATAATAACTGCATGACCACAGTCAAATTATTTAACCTCTTTAAGTTTTAGTTTCCTCATCCATGAAATGGAATAATCATAGTCCCTGTCTCTAAGCTTATCATGAGGATTAGATAAGATAATGCATCCAAAACACTTTGTACAATATCTAGCATATAGTAAACTCTCAATTAAAAATAGTATTTACTATTCATCTTCTTCTCCCTGCCAACCTCTGCTCAGGATTGTAAAAAAACACAACCACTTTCTCAGCTTTAACTACATCTCTATTCTCTACTATAAAGCCATTTCCCAACCTGTACATTCCAGAAACACAGGTCATTTCATTCTCCACCAGTCCCCAAATATTCATCGTAATCGTAGACATCAACCAAAAAGAGAAAAACCTATAAGTGAAGTATTAAAAGGGTGAAATCAAGATCTACCCCAGATACCGTGAAAGGGGCAGGAGGAGAGTGCCACAATTTTGTGGTATATCCCCTCACACATTCTTATGTTATTGTCGTTTACTCTCCAAGAAGTCATGTACTTTGACTATTGCAAGTCTCTGAACCTCCCTGGGAGGACTACACAGCTCTGTACAACTGTGAAGTTCCTGCATCATCGATCACCCAACAGCCATTCTCCAAGGACATTGCAGAGAGATTCTGGGAGTCACCATCTATGAAGCTCAAGGGCATAAGCTCAGCGATCCCCAGGATGCAGTGAGTAGATTATGCTTTCATTGGCTCTCACTGTCCATGGAACACGCCTGATGCTCTCCCAATGCTCCAGGGAGAGTAAGATGGTTTCTCCTGGCTGCTTTCCCTTAGTAGAGAAAATCCTGCACCTCCCTCCTTTAGGGAGCGGGGCACTAGTAGATCACCTGGAGATTCACAGCTGCTTATACCAGCAGCAGCAGCCCTTGGACAGCTCTAGTGCCAGGATTCCCAGACTTGTGGCTTATCACACATAACACCAGTGCAGTTTGATAAGTTTGTTAGAATATGGCGCTCATGTAGAAAAGATCCTCGTTCATTTTCTTAACAATGTTCTACATTCAAATACCTTTAAAGAGGGATAGAATAGTTTGAAATGAAACCAAACCAACATGACTTTTTAAAGAAGTTGAAGGGTGGCCGGTGCAGTGGCTCACGCCTGTGGTCCCAGCACTTTGGGAGGTGGAGGTGGGCGGATCACAACGTCAGGAGTTCGAGGCCAGTCTGGCCAACACCGTGAAACCCCGCCTCTAGTAAAAATACCAAAAATTAGCCAGGCATGGTGGCGTGTGCCTGTAATCCCAGCTACTCGGGAACTCGGGAGGCTGAGACAGGAGAATCACGTGAACCCGGGAGGCGGAGGTTGCGGTGAGCCGAGATCGCTCCACTGTACTCCAGCCTGGGCGACAGTGTGAGACTCTGTCTCAAAAAAAAAAAAAAAAGAAGTTGAAGGGTACAGGATCAAAGAATCACAACTAATTGATAAAGATTAAAAAAAATAAAACAAAAAAACTTCCATAATAGTTTATCATTGATCAAGTTCTTGCTACATTCCAGGCAGCATACTAAGTGACTTACATAGTTTCTCATCAAATCCTCTCAAAAAAACTCTTTAAGAGGATGCAATATTATCCCCGATTAAAACTGAGAAGACAGGGCGGCTTAGTGGTGTTAAGCAACTTGCACAAGGTCATGTGGTAAGTTTTCAATGCCTCGTCGTTTCTAAAAACTTGTATTTAGAGAGTTTCAAAAGCCCTGGAGAGGAAGAGAGAAAACATAATTTCAACATTTCTTGGGTTGCATTTGTAATGGGTCGGGGTACGGACTGGTTGAATGAGTACGATCGTCAGTACCTTTAGGTGTTTGCTGGTTGAGCCGTCTTCCCTCGCAAACAACTATTTCCGAAGCATGGACTGACGTCATCACCTAATTCTGAAAGTAAATATATGGTCTAAGTGGTTTTACAGTGGTTCTTAGCCTCACTTCAGGCTGGGACGATCTTCTGCTAGAAGGGAGGAGGGCCAGGAGTTCTAAACAGAGCAGAAAAACTCAGTAACCTTCCCTTCTTAAGCCCTCATGGGCTTGTTTTCCTGTTTGAGGCGTAGACACAGTTAACTCCAGCAGTCAGAGCCCTCAGAGTACTGCTGATTCCAAATGAGAGAGTCGTATTTCTATTATGTTATATTCCCAGATGCCCCCTCAAGCTCTCCATTTCTGTTCATCTGCTGAAGATCCCTTACTGAGTTTAAGATTATCCTTGAGTGTATGTACATTCTAATGCAAATTAAAATGGTGATGAAGAACAAACAAGTGTCACAGGAAAGAATCTGCCTTCTTTAACCTCAGAAAGTAGAAATACACCGTTGAAAGAGATTCCACAGTTAACAAACTTTACAATTAAAAAAAAAAGTCCTAAATTTCACTTGGAAACGCAGCATGTGAACTCACTGGCTGATGAGAAGCAGCTTGCAGAGGCTCAGCTTTGACAGCAAGGAGGCCAGCATTCTGGTTCTAGCTGTGCCACCAACTGGAAGGGTAGCTTTAGAAAAGCTAATCCACTCAAGAAACAACAGATGCTGGTGAGGTTGCAGAGAAATAGGAGCACGTTTACACTGTTGATGGTAATGTAAAGTAGTTCAACCAGTGTGGAAAGACAGTGTGGTGATTCCTCAAAGACCTAGAACCAGAAATACCATTTGACCTGGAAATCCAATTACTGGGCATATACCCAAAGGAATAGAAATCATTCTATTACAAAGATACATGCACATGTATGTTCATTGCAGCACTATTCACAATAGCAAAGACATGGAATCAACCCAAATGCCCATCAATGATAGACTGGATAAAGAAAATATGGTACATATACACCATGGAATACTATGCAGCCATGAAAAGAAACAAGATCATGTCCTTTGCAGGGACGTGGATGGAACTGGAAGCCTTTATCCTCAGCAAACTAACGCAGGAACAGAAAACCAAGCACCGCATGTTCTCACAGTGGGAGCTGCACATGAGATCACATGGACATGAGGAGGAGAACAACACACACTGGGGCCTGTCAGGGAGTGGGATGTGGGGAGGGAGAGCATTAGGAAAAATAGCTAATGCAAGCTGGGCTTAATACCTAGGTGATGGGTTGATAGGTGCAGCAGACCACTAGTGCACACGTTTACCTATGTAACAAACCTGCACATCCTGCACACGCACCCGGGAACTTAAAAATAAAAATAAATTTAAAAAAAGAAAAGCTAATCCATGTCCTAACCTTCCTGTAGAGAGGAGCAAAGTCACATGAAACACATTTGATAAATGTTGCATTTTGCTTTCATTATCATAATATTAATCATAGTTTGAAATATCATGACTTTTCATGATGTCAAGTGTACTGGTAGCTCTCTCCCAATTGATGACCTCACTTTGCATTTCTCTAACTGGAAACACTCAGCCAAGAACTATCTCATCTTTCCAGTTGTCTCCCACCTGGTCTCCCTAATTCCGCCCTTGTTGCCTTGGGCCCTTTCTCTGACCAATAACTAGAATGAGACTTTCAAGTCCTAAATCAGGTCACGTTGCTCTGCCACCAGAATCTACCAGTGGCTCCCCTTCATTCTTGATGTAAAATCTAAACTCTTTCTCTTGACCTACAAGGGCCACAGGATCTGATCCCACCTCTGACCCCTTTTCCTCCTGTTCTCTTTCTCTTGCTCTCTGTGCTCCAATCCTGCTGACCTTGGATACACAAATTTTGGGGCTTATATTGTTCTAAATTTAGATTCTAAATCTTTGCACGGGTGGCTAGTTTACCATCTATCTAAAACTGACCTCCCATTTCTATGGCCTACTACCCTGGTTTATTCTTAAAAGTATATTATTTCTTCATTTGTTTACTTTTTCTTGTAGCCCTCACAATTCCCAAGTGTCTAAAATAATGACATGTTGTAGGTATTCAATAAACGTTTATTGAAACAGATGGAGAGATGGATGGATTCAGTTCCAAAGCCTACATGTGTGTATGTGTGTGTTCATTTATTTACTATTCTGGAAGACTGACACTTAGCTCTACAACACTAGAGCATCTAATTGATCATTGATGCTGTGTTTCTCGACAGTGACCTCAAATGGATTACTGACTGACCACCTGCAGAGGAAATTATCATCACTTCCCTTGTGGGACTCAGTATCAGAAATAGTGAGAACTAAGGAGTATCTGTGATAGGACAAGTAAACCAGAAATCAAAAGACGTATGTCTAAATAGAATAACTTAGGACCCAAACTAGAGGAATACAGAAATGAGCGAAGGAGTCCTGAACCTAGATGAGAAAAATCACAATCTCTGTTGGAGAAGAAATTTCTTCATTTTCCACCATGTTCCAAATTATGGATGCCTTATGTCTTCTGCCCACTCTAGCCCTGCTCCTCCTTATCTATGTCCTAGCTTAGTCAATGTTCTCATCATTCACCCACCCACCCTCCCATGCCTACAACCTTGGTGTCAGCCTACGATTCCTTCCTCAGCTTCATGAATGTTCCTTGTATTCAGTCGATTTGCATATCAGGTCAATTTGATCTCACCTTCTTCTTGCAACCACAATCTTAGTTCCTGAGCTCTTGTCTCTAAGCGGACCTCCACATTACTTCTCAAAGGATCTTTCTAAGTAGTAAATCTGATTATATAACCTCCATACTTAAAACCTCTTGAAAGGATAAAGTCCAAATTCTGTAATATGGTTTTTAAGGGTCTTCTGCTCATCTCTCTGGCTTCAATATCTGCTTTACTCTCTCACTTTTACCACCGTGAGCCACACGTACACAGTTGCTCTCCTTAATCTCTTTCTATCTCTCACACATTCTCTCTGTCTGTAACATTCTGTTTTTGTTTTGGGGGGTTTTGGTTCCGTTTCTGCTTTGGAGATGGGGGTCTCCCTATGTTGCCCAGGCTGGTCTCAAACTCCTGGCCTCAAGTGATCTTCCCACCTCAGCCTCCCGAGTCGCTAGGGTTACAGCCATGAGATGCCACATCCATGTCAAACATTCTTGCTGCCTCGCCTTTCCTAATTACTTAAAGCTCCCTAAACACATCTTGGTCTTTCTAGTCCTTCCTTAGCACATCTTGTTTCCTCTACTCATCTTACAGGACTCAGTTTAAGCATCTTTATGTTCAGAAAAAAACAGTATTTTCCCTGATGTATGAGAAGACATTTTTTTTTTTGCTTTTTTTTTTTTTTTTTTTTTCTGAGACGGAGTCTCACTCTGTTGCCCAGGCTAGAGTGCAGTGGCGTGATCTTGGCTCACTGCAAGCTCCACCTCCCAGGTTCATGCCATTCTCCTGCCTCAGCCTCCCAAGGAGCTGGGACTATGGGCACCCACCACCACGCCCAGCTAATTTTTTTGTATTTTTAGTAGAGACGGGGTTTCACCGTGTTAGCCAGGATGGTCTTGATCTCCTGACCTCGTGACCCACCCACCTCGGCCTCCCAAAGTGCTGGGATTATATGAGTGAGCCACCATGCCCTGCCTTTGTTTGCATTTTTAAAATAAACCCTTTTTACATGATATTCTAATTATTTATTTACACGTCTGTTTTTCTAGCTACACTGAGTGTTTCTTGAGGGCGAGGATTATATTTTACGTTTGTTTCTCCCAGAACCTAGTTCATAGTCAGTACCAATAAATGTTTATTAAATGATATAGACAAAGGTAAGATTAAAATGTATTATTGATTTATGTCTTTCTTTGGCTGCTGGACACAAGCAATCGCCATCCGTCTTAAATAGATAACATCAGCATAAGGCTCTTTTCCGTTTCTATACATATATCTTAGCCATCAAATTAAATGGGTTGTCATTGGAATGAATCACAGCCAACACACTACTATATATTTAACATTCAGGATGTTGTGGGTACACAAGCCTCTTAGAAGTGAGTTAGGATCTTCAAATAAAATAACTTAAATCCAAGAGCCACAAACACAGGGGATTTAGATGGGTTTCCTGATCTGCATAAGAATGACTGACATAGGATTCTTTAACATTAACACAATCCAGAAACTCATGGAAATGTTGACTTTTATTCTTTCTTTTATGATGAAAGGTTTCGGGCATCCTCTCCTACAAGTGTCTGCAGACCATGATGCTGAAGGATCATATCGCCCACACCTGAATGACCCTCCAGAGGAGCAAGGCAACTTCTCCCTTGTGCTTGTCCAGCAGCCTGTTCCCTCCTTCTGATCTCCTGTGCTGATTCAGCCAATCTGCTCAAATTGATGCAAGAATCAACCTGCATCAAGGCGCCACTGTGTGAGTCTTGTATGATAGTTACCACCAAGTTAGACACCACTGAAACGGGAGAAGTTTCTTTATCCCCCTTGCAGGGCATGAAACAGGAGTGTGGCTCACTTCTTCAGTGCCCTGCTGCTCAAACCCCTAGGGGAAGCATGAAGATGGGCAGGTCGTGGGGTGTGTTTTGGGGCTCCAACCCCACAGCAGCATCTAGGGTTGAGTGTTTACAGCTCCCAAAGCCCCAGTGGACATGTGTTACATTGTGCTCCTTCAGCTTTGCCACCTGCAGGTGGCTTGTGTTAATCAGCTCAATTAGACCTTCTGCCTTATTGCAAGGACAGAGGGCTTTCTGTATCCTGGGTTCTTGCCTTAGTGTACAGGAAAAATTGGATCACTCGTGGGCTTGGAGAATAAGTGCAAGGTTTTACTGAGTGGTGAAAGCAGCTCTCAGTAAGGTGGATGGGGAGCTAGAAAGGGGAATGGAGTGGGAAGGTGGTCTTCCCCTGGACTTCGTCCACCCAGCAGCCAGACTCACCTCTGACCGTCCCTGGCCAAATACCCCTTGGCATCCACGTTGTTCCACCATCGATGGCTTGCTGGTGTCTACTGGTGTCTGTCAGTGTGTTCTGGACATTGTGCACCTCCCAATGTCCAGCCACTTGTGTCAATGCCTGCTATGGTCTCGGATTTTTATGGGCACAGGATGGGGGGCATGGTGGGCCAGAGTGGTCTTGAAAAATGCAATATTTGGGTTCAAAAACAAGAGTGCCTGTTCTCACTTAGGTCCATGGGCTTAGGCCCGAGGGTAGAACCCTCACCAAGGACCCCACCCTTCTCTACCCAGCACTTCCCTGCCCCCTTCCTGTATCATTATGATTAAAAACTCTTAGGGTCTAAAGCCAGGCTGATGAACCAAGCAGAGGATATGACAAAAGTAGATTTGGCCTCTAGTCTGCTCCTCAGTTATGCTGGCCATGTCTGATCTAAACGGTGAAAGTAGGGATGTATGAGATGAAAGAAAAGGGAATACAACCTTCGTATGAGTTCAAAAATGACCAAATGAAGGTGATCTGGAGTAGATATCTGCTCTTCAAAACACTTAGCCATTTGTGATAACTTGTGGTTATCTTCTTGCTTTCACTTCATCTGCAGACCTCAAACAATAGCCCCTGGAATCATATGTGACTCAAACACTTCTTCAGTTGTGATTCCTAAATAGAAAACATTATTCTCTGGCAGAAACAAATGCTACGGAGCTGCGAAAAAGGAAATCCAAGTACAGCCAATGTCTCAAAGAGTGTTTTAAAAATGAAGGAAAAAGAAGCTTTCAAATACACTATTACTTCTCAACAGCACAATTGCTCCTTCAATGTTGAAAACACTCTCTCTGGTATCAGGAAATAAATTACCTTCATGCTAAGTCAAAGGACAGGCTGGAGAACTGGGTAGGAATTTATCCCATTTTCCCCACCTCCACCCCTCACCACTTTTCCAGGAGAAATTCTAAAGTTACACCCCTTCTCAGCCAGGGATCCTGCAGGGAATTAAGCCCTCAGATCCTAGGACATGCATTGTATTAACTTATCTTGTTTGCATCGAAAATGCTCCTAACTCTGTACTATCTATGGGAGAATTGAGAAAATAGTCATTCAAAGCATTTTCTGTAGGACTTAATTCTCTCAAGGAACACCGGTTGAATAAGTCTGTAGGTAAGAGACTAGATTTTGTTTATTAGCAAGCAGAGCTGAACATCTAAGTGAATATTGTCTCTTATAAAGTAAATATCTTCCTCTGATTCTCATATCTCAAAACAGCTTTGGGACTACTTTTTGGGAATGAACTCCATGGCCCATAGCAACATTCCTTTGACTCTTCAGCACTGGCAAATTTTCATCTTTTCTATGAATTGCATTGAACTAAACACAAATATAGTGAAATGTGCAAGCCTTAAGTATGCAGCTCAAGAAACTTTTACAATGGCAAGACATTCACTCAACGGCCTCCTAGAACCTCCTACATTTTTTATTTTATTTTATTTTTTTGTAGAGACAGGGTCTCACTATGTTGCCCAGGCTGGTCTTAAACTCCTGGACTCAAGTGATCCTCCCACCTTGGCCTCCCAAAGTGCTAGGATTATAGACATGAGCCACTGCACCCGGCTTTTCACTTTTTTTTTCCAGTCATAGCCTTCCTCCCAAAGAAAACCACAATTCTGACTTCTATTACTATAAATTAGTTTTTCTGTTTTGGTACTTTATATTAATGAAATTTAACAATATATAAAAATTTCAGTCTACTTTCTTATTGTCACACGTAGCCCTCATTTGTAATTTTTCATTACCATATGATATGCCACTGTTTGAATACATCATATCCATCATAATTTGAAGCATATTTGGGTTTTTCTCACTTTCTGGCTACAGTGATAATGCTTCCGTCAACATCTCTCATACATTCTTTTGGCAGACGAAATGTTTTATTTCTATTGTTTATATATCAAATAATGTAATTGATGGGTAGTAGGGCATGCATATATTCATAGGTTTAATAGATATAGACAAACAGCTTTTCAAAGTGGTTATATAAATTTACACTGACTAGTATTGTATGAACATTCCATTTACTCCAAGTTCTCAACACTGCTTAGTAACCAAAACACAGGGTCAGTCACTCACCACCAGCAGAGTCTAACTAACAAGAGTGAGGTCTGGTATAAAGAAAGTGACTTTTTATTCCTAAAGTAGTATAGGGGAAGTACAGGCTTCCTGCCTTAAGTATCCTTAACGGTACTGCTTCACTTTTGCAGCAGAAAGTGGGTGCTTTTAAAGAGGGAGTCTATGCAGAGGTGGAAATGAACAAGTCGGGGCCTGCATATCACATTGGTGCCTTACCTATCGGGCAGTAGAGTTGGCATTTTCATGGGCAGAAATAGGTTGTAAAGGTGGCTGAAAACTCTCTGGGTGGGAGAGAGTTTTGTAGCAAACATACTTTGGGTTATGAGTTGACTATTATCTCTCAAGGCAGTCTCCTGGTGGGTGAGAGTTCCTCTCTGGAGCTTCTAAGCACATAGTTACATGAACTTGATCTGCAGCAAGTATCTGGTGAGGGGAGGTAAGAGGTTATAATTGCATTTCTAAAGGGCTAAGTAGGAAGTCAGGAATGGGGGAAATAGAGTAAACAGAAATGAAGAGAAAACAATTTTTAAAAATAGTAACTCATTCTCTTTTTTCTTAGAAAAAATAATATTGCCTTTTGTACTAGGTTACACTAATGACAGTTAAATAATAATGTTGCATGTCGTACTAGGTTACGTTTTTGGTTTTTTTAATTTGGGCCATTTGGGTGTCTAATAGTATCTCATGTAGTTTTAATTTGCATTTTCCTGATGACTAATAACGTTGAACATTTTTTCTTTGTTGAATGTCCAGTTAAATAGTCTCTTTGGGAAGTAATTTGTTTACCCTTTTTTTTGAGTTTTTTTCCTTAATGATTTGTAGAAATTCTTTATAGATACTAGATATAAGTCCTTTGTTAGATATATATTTCAAATTTCTTTTCCCAGTAAATGAGTTTTCTCTTTTATTATAGCATCTTTTGAAAAACAGCAATATTTTATTTTCATGAAGTCCAATTTATCAAATATTCTTTCCTTTCGTTTATTGTGAATCCTGTTTAAAAACTACTATCCACCCTAAGTTTAAGTATTTTCTCTTTTTTATAGAAGTTTATTGTTTTACCTTTTATATTTTCTAGAACTGATTTTCCTATTTGGTGTGAGTAAGCAATCGAGATTATTATTCCCATGTGAATATCTAATTGATTCAGCAACATTTATTAAAAATGTCATCTGTCTGTGATGCTGTAACGTCGTTGTAAATTAGGTGACTGTATATGTATGGAATTGTTTTTGCACACTCTTCTCCTCTACCATTGGTATACCCTTAAATCAATAACATTCTTCTATATTTACTGTAACCTCATAATAATATTATCTGTAGTGTAGAGCCTCCAACTCTATTCTTCAAGATCATCTTTAACATGGTTGGTCACTTGCTTGTCTATATAAATTTTAAAATTAGTTTGTCAATTTAAAAAAAACTTCAAAGATTTGATAGGATATTGGATGTATAAGTTGGTTTGGTGAGCATTACCATCTTTACAATATTTAATCTATGACTATAATATGTTTTTCCATTTATTTAGAGTATTACTAATTTCTCTTGAAAATTGTAGTGTGTTAGAATTGTGGGTCCCCCAGCCCAAAAGATATTTCCACCCAAAACCTGTGAATGGGACTTTGAAACAGGAGAGTTCCCTGATCGCCCTCACAAGACATATAACAGGGGTGTGGCTCCCCTCTTTGGTCTCTGCCACTGCTCACACCCCTGACAGGAGCAGGAGCACACAAACAGGTAGGTGCAAGAGCCGGGGTGAGTGCTTTGGGCTCTGGCCCCATGGTGGCATCTAGGGGTGGGTGTCTGAGGCCCCAGTGTTACAGTGCTCTTATAGCCTTGCCATCCACAGATGGCTTAAGTGTTAACCAGCTCAATGGACACCTCTGCCTTTTCACAAGGGCAGAGGGCCAATGTGACAGCTTTCTTTATCCTCAGCTCTTGCCCAGCATCCCAGAAGAATCAGGTCACACATAGGCTTGAGGGATGAACATGGAGTTTTACTGAGTGCTGGAGGTGGCTGTCAGTGAGTTGGATAGGGAGCTGGAAGGGGGATGGAGTGGGAAGTTGATCTTCTCCTGGAGTTTGGCCATCTAGTGGCCAAACTCTTCTTCAACCAAACCCAGCCGGACTCCTCTCAGTGTTTAGACGTTCCTTCTCTTCTCTGCTTCTCTGTCATGCCATTCCACCATTCATCTGCTTGTCTCCTCATCTCCTTGTCTCCTCATCTGCTCATCTGTCTGCTTGTCTGCTTGTGGAGCCTGGGATTCGGAGTTTATATGGGTACAGGATAGGGCGTGTGGAGGGCCAAAAGGCAACTTTTTGGGTGTGAAAACAGAAATGCCTGTTCCCACTTAGGGCCACGGGTCTCCAGGCTTGAGGGTTGTGCCTTTGCCAGGGAACCACCCTCTTCTACCCAGTGTTTCCCTTTCTCCTGTTCATGTCATACTTATCAGGAAAAGAGTCTTTGTAGATATAACTAATGTTAAGGATCTTGACATTTAAAATTTTTCGAGATCATCCTGGGTCTAGCATAAGTCTTAAATCTAATGTCAGGTGTCCTGATAAGAGAAAAGCAGGAGATTTCTCTCACACACACACACACACACACACACACACACACACACACACACACACACACACACATACGGGAGAAGGCTATGTGAAGATGGAGGAAGAGATTAAAGTCATGCAACCAAGGAATGCCCGGAGCCACCAGAAGCTGGAAGAGGCAGGGAAAGAGTTCCCCCTGGAGACTCCAGAAGGTGGATGTCCCTGCCAACATGTTGGCTCAGACTTCTGACCTCCATAACAGTAAGAGAATAAATTTCTATTGTTTTAAGGCACTAATTTGTGCCTTAAAAGGCACTAATTTGTGGTAATTTGTTACAGCAGACCTATGAAACTAATACAATAATTTTTATGGTGTTCTATGCAAAGATAATAAAATCTCGTTTAGACATATTTCTAGATTTTTTAAGTTATTGGTGTGACTGTAAGAGGTGTCATTTAAAATTTTTCATTTGTAATTATTGGTACTGTATAAAAATACAGTTGATTTTTCTATGTTGACCTTTTATCCATCAACCTTGCTAAATTTACTTATTAATTCTAATTGTTTGCTAGTAGATTCTTTTGAATTTTGTACATGCACAAATAGTGTTTATATATGTGGCTTCCTCAAATAGTAATTGTTTCATTTATTCATCTGCCATTTTTAAAGGCTTTTTTTTTTCATTGCTTTATTGCACTGACCTTCTATGCCATACTGAAAATAGGTGGTATTTGTAAGCATCCTTATCTTGCCCCTGATCTCAGCGGGAAAGCTTTCAATATTTCACCATTAAGCAGGATGTTTGCTATAAGTCCTTTATAAATAACCTTTATCAAATTTAAAAAGTTCCCTTTGTTTCCTAGTTTGTAAGGTGATTTTTTATCATGAATAGGTGTTGAATTTTATCAAATATTCTTTCTGCATCCAATGAGATTATTATGTTTTTTAGTCTTTATTCTGTTAACATGGTGACTTACATTATTTGATTATCAAATGCTAAACCAAATTTGCATTCCAGGAGGCAAATTTGCATGATGTGTTACCTTATACGTCACTGGGTGTGATTTGCTAGTATAATGTTTAAATTTTTACATATTTTTGTAAGAGAGATTGGCCTATAGTTTTCCTTTCTAGCCAAGTTTTTGGTATCATTCTTTTACAAAATGAAAATGAATAACCTCCAATTTTTTTAATCTACAAAATTCTTTCTCAAAATGTCTATATTTCATCTTCACTTATTAAGGGATAGTTTTTCTGGGTGTAGTTTTCTATATTAGCACCTTTTTCCTTCGGCACTTTAAACTTATCATTTTATTATCTTCTGGCTTCTATAGTTTATGTTGAAAGACAGCTTTTGGCCATATAATTTCTCCTTTGAATATAATATGTCTTTTTTCTCCAGCTGCTTCTAACATTTTTTTACTTTCTTGGTCTTTCTGCAATTTTAATAGGTTGGGCTGTCTTTACATTTACTTCGCTTAGTGTAAGAGATTCTTCAATTTGTGAATTGATGCCTTTTGTCAACTTGGAAATTATCAACCAGCATCTTTTCAAATACTGTTTCTCCCTAACACCATTTCTCCTCTTTTTCTGGCACTCCAATTACACATGCTAGCCAATTTCAGAAATTTTCATAGGCTTCTTATACTTTTTCTATATTTTCCATTCTTTATTTTAGTATCTGTGCTCCAATCTGGGTATTTTAAAAGAGAATTTACTAGCCATTTCTTCTTCTGTGTCTAATCTGCTATTAAATCCATTTATTAAATTCTTCATTTCTTATGTTATTTTTTAACCTATAAATTTCTACGTCTTTTTATCCACAATAAAATCATTTCCAATTCTCTAGTGAAATTCTCTATATGTTCATTTGTTTTTTAACATATTTATAATATTTATTTTAAAGTCTGTGTCTCACTACTGTCTGTTTTTCCTCTTAGGACTGGGTTGATTGGCCGTGCTTCCTGGTATATCAGGTCATTTTAATTGACTGTCAGACATTGTATGTAAAAACTACAGTGGTTCTAGGTGATGTTATCTTTCTCCAGAGATGATTAATTTTCTTCTGGCAAGCAAATATGGTTAGTCTCATCACCTTGATCCAACAAGGGATGAAAATCATGTGTTTTCATCCAACAACGGATGAAAGCTCTGTTTCAGGCTTTGTGAGAGCTGGTCAATTTCTGGTCACCTTAATCCTAGTGCATAGCACCTGATGAGGCTCAACTAAAAGCCTAGGATGTTCGCCAGGCCCCTCCTCCTTGGCAAGCTCTGAATTTCAATGTTTGTCTCTCCAGCAGTGAGACTGCTGAAACCTCTGCTTAGCTTTTTATCTTCTAAGCTACTATTTTCTGCTTGTTTTTTTAGATCAGCGCTCTAGGCATGTGGAATTTAGTAATCAGTAACTGCTTCAAGTAGAAATAGCACTTAGAATGTGAGGCTTATTTCTCTCCAGTTTACTGTGCTCTGGGACATTGGCACCTCACGTCCTGGCTGCCTTGGTAATCCTAAGCTCAAGTTTTACCCTTAGTCCAGTATAACTGCTACAAGCTCCAAGCAACCTCATTTGGTTCTCTATGACCCATGATGTACATTTGCAAATTCCCTGAGGGGAGCATAACACGTAAACCTCACTTCAAGGTATTTTCCTTCTCACCTGAATCTGGGCCCCTCTTGTTCAACTGCTTTGGCTAACTTCCAATACCTTCACAGAAATGTTTATGAATGTTATCCATCTTTCCTAGTTATTTTCAGCAGGATCGTTAATCTGCTATAAGTCATTCCATAGTTGTTGGAAGCAGAATCTTTATTTTACATTTCAAATTTTTGAAAATGAGCAAATTAGCCACAAACAATTTCAGCAAAAATGTTATATATATACACACACACACATCTAGGGTTGTATTTTGTAGGTTAAGAAAAAGGATGGCTATAAAACAATTTTGCCAGTATGTGCAAGGGTTAAATGAAAATACAGATGATTCATACTGGCCAGATGTAAGACACTAAGAAATGGAAGACCTCTGCTAACTACTAGAGACTGTGTGTGTCCCGTGTAAAGGGGTCAATAGCTTTTCAGCCCTAGATCTAATCAGCCAAGCTTTTCTGTAAGGGCCAGATATTAAATGTGTTAGGCTTCGTGGGCCATACGGTCTATCAAAACTACTCAGCTCGGTCATTGAAGTGTGAAAGCAGTCATTAGACAATAAGTAAACGGTGGGTCCGGCTTTGCTCCAAGAAGATTTTATCTACAAAAACAGGTGGTGGCTATATTCATGAGAGACATTGGCTTGTTGTTTCTTTCTTTGTACTGTTGTTTTCTGTTTTGGATATCAGAAAAATGAGTTGGGAAGTGTTTCCTCTTCTATGTTTCTGAAAGAGATTTTATAGAATTAGTGTTAATTCTTCCTCAGACATTTGGTAGAAATCTCCAGCAAAACCATCTGAGCTTAGAGATTTCTTTTTATGAAGTTTTTAAATTAAAAAATTCAATTTCTCATATAGTTAACAAGGCTATTCAAATTATCTATTTCATCTTTTGCAGTGGTTTGTGCCTTTGGGGGAATTGGCCCATTTCATTTAAATAGTCTATTTTATGTTTGTAGTGTGGTTTGTAGTATTCTCTTATTAGCCTTTGGATGCCTGTAGAGTCTGTAATGATATCTTCCGGTTCATTTCTGGTGTTGGTAATAGGTGTTTCCTTTCTCTTTTTTCTTTGTAAATTTTGAAATTGAGGTTTCTCAATTTCATTGATCTTTCCAAAGAATCAGATTTTTGTTTCATTTATTTTTACCTATTTTAGATTATTTTTTAAAAAAAGCACTCTGCCACTCTCTTACTTTTCTTTCCTTTTCTTCGTCTTGCTCTTCCTTTTATTTCTGAAGGATATTTTCACTGGATGTAGAATTGTGAGTTGACAGTTCTTTTCCTGAGCACATTATGCCATGTCCTTCTGGCTTTCATGGGTTCCAAGGAGAAATTACAGTGAAAATGTTATCTTTCTTTCAATCTTTTGCAGACTTTTTCTTTGTTCTAAGTTTCTGGATTTCGCTTATGAGGTGTGTTGGCATCAATTTCCTTGGTGTGGATTTCTTCAGGTAGGGGGCTGGATTTGGCCCACAGGCCCTGGCTTGCTTTACTCTGCCTGGATGATTGATGCTACATGAAAATCCAGGCTCAGTATTGTCAGACTTTCTGATTTCTTTAAGAGAAACTGGAAATCCAGAGTTCTTTAAAACTTGAAATCACCTGAGTTTTTAAGTCTCCCAATAAATTCTAATTTTTTTCAGCAAAGAACTGGACAAAAAATGAAAACAAACAAAAAATCTTCATACCTTCAAAGGCCATGGGACATATTTGTTAGATATTAATGTGGTACTCTTTAAAATTGTAAAGTGTCATTCTTTGTTTCATTTAATGCTTTTTTTGTGCCTTTACTTTAACTTTGATACAAAAATAGAGATTCATACTTTTTTTTTTTCAAGACAGGGTCTCACTTTGTTGTCCAGGCTGGAGTGCTGTGGTGCAATCACAGCTCACTGCAGCCTCAACCTCTCAGGCATAAGCTATCCTCCCATCTCAGCCTCTGGAGTAGCTGGGACCACAGGCATGCACCAACCACCAAGCCTGGCTAATTTTTAAAAAATTTTTTTGTGGAGACAGGATCTCACTATGTTGCCTAGGATGGTCTTGAACTCCTGGGATCAAGCAATCCTCCTGCCTTGTCCTCTCAAAGTGCTGGGATTATAGATGTGAGCCACCAAGCCTGGCCCATACTTTCTTTTAACTTATATTTGCTTGTCATGCATTTTCCCATCCTTTTATATTGAATTTCTATGAGTCACTTTGTTTTAAACATGTTTTTTTCTCAGCTTATAGTTGGGTTTTGAGTTGAGAAGTGTTTCCTCTTCTATGTTTCATATTTTTAAATCATATTTTTAAATTATGGGTTTTAGCTCAATTATAGTAATTGACATGCTAGATATGATTAGTCTTAATTTGTTTCTTCTCTGATGAATGCATGGGCTTTTATGCATGGCTTCTGAAGACAAAGAAGTAACGATTATAGAAAAGGCCTACTCCAGCAAAGATCTGGAATAAGCATGTCATCAAGATGACTACATTGATAGGGTTTAATGATGTTTAATGCTCCCAGGGATGTACAGCTTTTGACATAGCAGATATTTAAAAGGCCATTCTCATTTATTTATAGTTAAATCACAGATTCCTTTCAAAGAAAATCATTGGAGAATAAAGCAATTATACTTCCCTCCTTTCTTTCTGCTTCCAATGCCCAAAGGAGCCACAAACCAGTTAGGGTGGTGGGTTTTTAATGTTTCCCATACACCAACTGGCACCTCCACATCCCTTAGCTGCTGGCTGTCAAGCAGCTGGCCCTAATTTCAAGAAGTGGAAGAGCTCAGTCATGTGACATTTGGGACTCACTCTGCTGCCCAAAGCAATTGGAAAAACCTGTTCTGTTTTTGCATTCCTAAAACTCAAGCTGCCAAAAGGCAGAAAGGAATCATGAGAAAATTACTTTTTCATCTCAGGCCTTCTTTTTGTCCTAAATAGGGAAAATTGATATGGGAGAGCTATGTCATCCCTTTGTCCAGTGGCCCCTCTCCTATATCATGGACCCTGGATTTACTTCCTTCCTCCCTTGTGCCCTATGCTTTTTGGATCCCATGTTTACACTGAGAGAGGCAGGAATCAAGGGGGTTGAGGGCAGAGGGCTGCTGCCAGGAAATATCGAGAAGCAACGGAAAAGCAGAGCATCTCTTTGGCACATGGTTGATGAGATAATGGACTCTCCAGGTGAACTCCCAGGCACCTGGGATGGAAAAAAAAATCACCTCTCCTTCCACTGAAACTGAAGGGCTCAGAAGGATCAAGTCATCCTGATCCCAGCCAACCTGAGCTGGCAAGGACCTGACATTGTGTTTTCTCAGCCTTAAAGACCAGCTGTGTTTTGTACAGCACAGCACAGTGAAGCAGCAAGCCCAGTTACTTGATTCTCCATTAGTTCCTCACACAAACAAGAGTATCCATGATCCAAGTTCTAGTGAAAAGGCCTCATTGCCTGGGGTGGCACCCGAAGTTCTTTGTCTGACAGCCAAGGAAATCAAGGACGCAGACACACCAAGGGTGAGGTTAGAGCAGAAGTTTACTGGGCAAAAAAAAGAGAACAGCTCTCTGCTGCAGAGCGGGGTCCCAAAAAGGGTTGCCATTCTGCAGTGAAATGCAAGGGTTTTTATAAATGAGCTAGTGGGGAGGGGGTACCTTATCTACATAGGGTACAAAAAACAGTTAAAACGAGGTGTGTCATCTGCATAGAGCATGAATCTCTGGCAGTCCCCATCCCAATCTTTTATTATGCAGGCGGGTCCTTAGCCTGAACTACTCTGTCTTGTTTATCTCTTTCCTACAGTGCATGTGCTAAAGGAGAGGGGATGGTGCTCCCACAATGAGCATGCCTGGCCCAAGGTAATCCTTTCTATCAGTGCAGCTGCAGGCATTCCCCATGCAAGTTTCCAACTTCCTTATCTGAGTATGCCTAAAAAAGGAAAGGAATGTGCTTACTAAGCCCCACTGTGCTTGCTGGGACCCACCGTATGTATGTGAAGCTAGCTGATTACCCAGGAAGCTCCCTCTCTGTGCCAGAGTGCACTTCCTTATCTATGTTTGCAGCCCAATCTTCCAGGCTGCTCTTTGTTAGAAGAGAAGTGATTTCTTGGGCTGCTTTTCGTTAGAAGGAAAGTTCTGCCGAGGACTCTGCCCTATCTGCCTTGCTAGTTTCTTTCTACTGTCTCTCTCACTAGTTTTTCAAAAGTCCTTTTCTGGGCCCCAAGGAGGGTGATTTGATGAGGATAACATGGGACTTGATGTGGATTTGAATATTGTCTCTACCACTATTTGTAACTATTTGACCTTCAACAATCAATGCCCTTAAGAATGCAGTGAGATATGCACAGAGTGCCTGTGACATCACTGTATGGGTCTGAACTCTCCAGAGAAACAGAATCAAGTGGATATGGAGAGAGAGAAAAAGATTTATCTTAAGTCATTGGCTCACACAACTGTATAAACCTGGTGAATCTAAAATCTGACTGGGGAGGCCAACAGACTGAGGACTGACTCAGGAAAAAGTTGAACTTCAAGTCTGAAGACAGTCTGCTGGTGAGCCAGGAAAAGCCAATGTTGCAGATGAAGTTGGAAAGCAGTCTGCTGGCAGAACTTCCTCTTGCTCATGGGAGGTTAGTCCTTGTTCTACTCAGTCCTTGAACTGACTGGATAAGGAGAACTCATATTTTGGAGGGCAATATGCTTTACTCAAACTCTACTCACTTAAGTGTAAATCTCATTCAAAAACCCCCTCACAGAAACATCCAAAATAATGTTGGCCAAATATCTCAGTGCCATGGCCCAGCCAACTTGACATTACCACTGCCAACAAACACTGGAGATCCAGTAAATATAATTCCTTCTTTCTCATTTCCCTAATTCCTGAACTATTAACTCCTCTTTCTCCCAGCTCCTTTACTTTTTTCTCTGTCTTGGGCCCTTTGGTCACTGACAGTCTCTGTCACTGTAACTGCCCAATGGGTTCTTCCTTACTACTGCACAAACACATACCATGGCATTGCAGTGAGGAAAGCATTTAATTGACATGAAGCCAGCCATATCACACAAGAGACGGAGTTATTACTGAAATCAATCTCATTGAAGGTTTATATGTTAGGGGTTTTTCAAAGATCATTTGAGGGAAGGAGTAGGGGCTAGGCAATGGGTGCTGATGGTTGAGTTGGAGATTAAATCATAGGGAGTTGAAGCTTTCTTCTTGCACTGAGTCACTTCTGGGTGGGGCCACAGGAGCAGCTGGCAGATCTAGGTGGAGCCATGGGTGTCAGACATGCAAAAAAACCTGAAGATATCTCAAAGGCCAATCTTAGGTTCTACTGATAGTGATGTTATCTGCAGGAATAATTGGGGAAGTTGCATATCTTGTGACTTCTAGAATAATGGCTGGCCATTGTTTATGTTTACACCTTAGCAGAATTTAGGCTCCTCTCCTCCTCCTAGCCTAGTGGTCTCTCATTAGCTTTACAAAGGAAGTTGAGTTTTGGGAAAGGGCTATTATCATTTAAACTAAATGTGTCCCAAAGTTACCCAGCCTAAGCCCAGGAATAATTAAGGCAGCTTGAAGGCTAAAGGCAAGAAGGAGGTTAGCTAGATCAGATCTCCCCCCCTCCCATTTCACTGTTATAATTTTTGCAAAGGCAGTTTCATGATTGCTGAGTGAGAATTGTCTCCCAGAATGCTTGCCCCCAGAATATTCTGCATGTGCTTTTAAACTGCCATCTGCTTTGCTCCTGATAACCCTCTGTCCTTCACTGTGCCCTTGCCTTCTTGTTCTACTGGCCTAGGCACTTACCAAATGTTTACTCATCCTCAAGGCCACCTGTCTGACATTACATGCAGTCTCCCCTCCACATTTTTATCTCCTCTCAAGAAAATTAATGATGATTATACATAAAAATAACCATGAAGAGGAAATAGCAAAGACTGAATTTAAATTCTTCTTGATAATCACCTGTTTCAAATATTTCTGTGTTCCATTTCTCTTATATTTGGCTTCCTGGTCTTTACTTTTGAGAAAACTGAACAAACAGCCTCCCCACTTGGTTGCTTTTCCCTTGCTGCTCCTCCTCTTTCGGTCAAGGCAGTGGAGCTCATTTTGCAAATCTCTTCAGGTGTTTTCTTTTAACATATGCAGAGTGAATGAAGATTTTCTCTAGGCCATCAGTGACCCACTGATATGGTTTGGCTATATCCCCACCCAAGTCTCATCTCGAATTGTAGTTCCCATAATCCCCACATGTCATGGGAGGGACCCAGTGGCAGGTAATTGAATCATGGAAGCAATTACTCCATACTGCTGTTCTCGTGATTGTGAGTGAGTTCTCATGAGATTTGATGGTTGTATAAGTGGCTTTTCCCCCTTTTGCTCAGCACTTCTCCTTCCTGCCATCATGTAAATAAGGACATGTCTGCTTCCCCTTCCGCCATGATTCTAAGCTTCCTAAGGCCTCCTCACCCGTGCTGAACTGTGAGTCAATTAAACCTCTTTCCTTTATAAGTTACCCAGTCTCAGGTATTCCTTCACAGAAGCATGAGAATGGACTAATATACCCACTGACCAATTAACAGAAAAAATTAATTTGGGTAGAGAAAAACTTTCTCAAAACTAGAAAATATGCAAAGATTTATAAATGCATATTAATCTGTAATCTGTCTCTAAGAGATAAATGTAATGGTCTTCTATATAAATTACAGAACAGGAAAAGAAAGATCACTTCTTGAATATACAGTTTTACAGAGCTTGATCTGGGGTACTGGGAAGGCACTCTAAAGATAAAGAAGGCACAAAAGGCCCGTCACAGTGGCTCATGCCTGTAATCCCAGCACTTTGGGAGGCAAAGGCAGGCAGATCACTTGCGGCCAGGTGTTCAAGACCAGCCTGGCCAACATGATGAAACTCCATCTCTACTAAAAATACAAAAATTAGCCAGGCATGTTGGTGCAGGCCTGTAGTCGCAGCTACTTGGGAGGCTGAGGCATGAGAATCACTTGAACCTGGAGGCAAAGGTTGCAATGAACTGAGATCATGCCACTGCACTCCAGCCTGGGTGAAAATGTGAGACCCTGTCTCAAAAACAAAGAAAGCTACAAGAAACAATAGACAATGAAGATGGAGGAAATTTAGAAAATACCTTAAATGGCAACCAATGCATAATTGAAGGAATGCAAAGAGTAACAAGCACTCCTAGATTCAATAAACACCCAGAAGAGCATCAGAAGCACTTCATCCTCTTCTCCAGACAGCTAATTTCTACCCAACTTAAATCCCCAGATCAAAACTCTCCTCATTCTCAAAGATTTCTTAAAGCACTCCAACTCACATGTTATCACTTTCTTCTCCAAACTCTTAGAGAAGTGTGTTGCCATAAGCTTTGTTCAGCACAAGATTGTGATGTCTAATAAACTGCGACAGTTTGCTTTGCTATTGATTGATTTTTCATCCTTCTATGTCGTGCTTTTCTCATTAGACTGGAACATACTTGAGGACTGTGCATATGACTTGTTTCTCCATGTCACTCGGAGAACATAACACAGTGACTGCAATGGTCACTCAAGACATATGAGTTGTTTGTTAAAATGTGTCCTATTTTACCCACACTATCAGGAAATGACCCAAGAACACCCACCTAGTATGGTGAATTCTTAGAATTTTATGTTGCCTCGGCATTCATTTTGAACATAAGTTTAGCTTTCTCATACCAAAGCAGGGCTCAGTCACGCTTAACACAGTTTCTAGTTCTATATCTCCTTACAGTACCTCAGTGAGGCTGATCCAGTTGTTTGCCTGTAACAGGAATGGCACAGCAGAGATTACTGCCCAGATATCAGAAGTAAAAAACACCATACCTAAATGGCCCAAACCAGTGGCCAGAGATAAGAACTTAGAGGCATTCTTCCTGCCTACTACACTGGGCTCCCACTTTTCAGCTGCTTCCTTTAAACTGATCATTCAGACATTTACCCAGGAACTTAAACGTGATCCACATCCTATTCTTCTATATTCACTGCTAGTTGTTGCACTCTCTCTCAGGCTCCTTTTTTTTTTTTTTGAGATGGAGTCTCACTCTTTCACCCAGGCTGGAGTGCAGTGGTGCGATCTGGGTTCAAGTGGTTCTCCTGCCTCAGCCTCCCAAGTAGCTGGGACTACAGGCATGTGCCACCACATCTGGCTAATTTTCTTTATTTTTAGTAGAGAGGGGTTTCACTGTGTTAGCCAGACTGGTCTCCATCTCCTGACCTCATGATCCACCTGGCTTGGCCTCCCAAAGTGCTGGGATTATAGGCATGAGCCACCATGCCTGGCCTCAGCCTGACTCTTTATTTCTGCCTTGCCTGACCTGGAGATGGAGGACTGCCCTTCTGACTCATTTCTCTAATGATTAGTGATGTTGAGCATTGTTTCTTATGCTTGTTGACCACACATACATCTTCTTTTGAAAAGTGTGCCCTCCCTACCTAGGATCTGTAAGTAATAAATCTTTGAACTTATTTCCTGCTGCAGTGGTGGATTGAATTTGTGCCTTCCATCTGAGGAACCCAGGCTGAGTTTTCCCTAGGACGTTGGGAAGAACGCAAGGCCAGGCTCCCAGTGCCAGAGAGATGGTGATGTGGGTATAAACTGGAAATGGCTCATACAAGAGCCATCAAGATGTCTGCCAGTACAAACAAGTTTCCCGTGTGAGGGTCAACTGGTCATAGGTTGGGCAACTAGGCATTAGGCCGTTCATAAGGTAAGAGAAAGATCCCATGAAAGGCAGTCACTTACAGACACCCACTCCCAGCTCCCTTTTATTTACCACTATCACAGGGCTGCTAGTTGCTTTGGTACTGGAACACCAATTTAGCTAGGAGCTCTCAAGTCACCTCGTCATATATATAAATTACAGAACCGGAAAAGAAAGATCATTTCTTGAATACACAATTTTACAGAGCTTAGGTTCACCCTTAGCTAAACTAAGCTCTTTAGTTTAATTTAGCTCTTTAGCATTTTTCATGGCTGCGTAGAATTCCATGGTATATATGTACCACATTTTCTTTATCCAGTCTATATTGATGGCATTTATTATTCTATCTTTGCTATTGTGAATAGCGCTACAATGAATATACATATGCATTTTACACGTTTCTTTATGGCAGAACGATTTATATTCTTTTGAGTATATACCCAGTAATAAGATTGATGGGTCAAATGTTAATTCTGTTTTAAGTTCTTTGAGGAATCACCACATTGCTTTTCACAATGGCTGAATTTACATTCCCACCAGCAGTATATAAGCATTCCCTTTTCTCTGCAACCTTGCCAGCATCTGTCATTTTTTGACTTTTTAATAATAGCCATTCTGACTAGTGTTGGATGGTATCTCATTCAGGTTTTCCTCTGCATTTCTCTAAGTATTAGTGATGTTGAGCATTTTTCCTTATGCTTATTGGCCACATGTACATCTTCTTTTGAAAAGTGTCTGGTTCATGTCCTTTGCCCACTTTTTAAAGGGGTTGTTTGTTTTTTGCTTGTAAATTTGTTTAAGTTCTTTATAGATACCGGATATTAGATCTTTGTTGGATGCATAGTTTGCAAATATTTTCTCACATTCTTTAGGTTGTCTGTTTACCCTGCTGATAGTTTCCTTTGCTGTGCAGAAGCTCTTTAGTTTAGTTAGATCCTATTTGTCTACTTTTTGTAGCAATTTTTTTTGGTGTCTTCGTCATGAAATCTTTGCCAAGTCTTATGTCCAAAATGGTATTTCCTAGGTTATCATCCAGGGTTTTTATAGTTTCACGTTTTACATTTAAGTCTTTAATACATCTTGAGTTGATTTTTGTATGTGATGTAAGGTAGGGGTCCAGTTTCAATCTTCTGCATATGGCTAGCCAGTTATCCCAGCACCATTTATTGAATGGGGCCATTGCTTGTTTTTGTCAGCTGTGTCAAAGATCAGATGATAGTAGGTGTGTGGCCTTATTCCTGGGCTCTCTATTCTGTTCCATTGGTCTGTTTGTTTCTGTACCAGTACCATGCTGTTTTGGTTACGGTAGCCCTGTAGCATAGTTTGAAGTTGAGTAACATGATGCCTCCAGCTTTGTTCTTTTTGCTTAGAATTGCCATTTCTATTTGAGCTCTTTTGCAGTTTCATGTGAATTTTAAAATAGCTTTTTTCTAGTTCTATAAAGAATGTCATTGGCAGTTTGTTAGAAATAGAATTAAATCTGTAAACGGCTTTGGGAAGTATGACCTTTTTAACAACACTGATTCCTCCTGTCCATAAGCATGAAATGTTTTCCATTTACTTGTGCCATCTCTGATTTTTTTGAGCAGTGTTTTGTAATTCTCATTATAGAGCTCTTTCACCTCCCTGGTTAGCTGTATTCTGAGATATTTTACTCTTTTCATAGGCAATTGTAAATGGGATTGTGCTCCTGATTTGGCTCTCAGCTGGGATGTTGCTAGTGTATAAGAACGCAATTGATTTTTGTTTGTCAATTTTGTATCCTGAACTTTTGCTGAAGTAGTTTATCAGATCAAGGAGCTTTTGGACAGAGACTATGGGGTTATGGGGTTTTCTTAGAGTGCAGTGGCCTGATCTCGGCTCACTGCAACCTCTGCCTCCTGGGTTCAAGCGATTCTCCTGCCTCAGCCTCCCAAGTAGCTGGGATTACAGGCATGCGCCCCACGCCTGGCTAATTTTGTATTTTTAGTAGAGACAGGGTTTCTCCATGTTGGTCAGGCTGGTCTCGAACTCCCGACCTCAGGTGATCTGCCCACCTCAGCCTCCCAAAGTGCTGGGATTACAGGCATGAGCTACCACACCCAGCCAGGGTTTTCTAGATATAGAATCATGTCATCTACAAACAGGGATAGTTCTACTTCCTCTCTTCCTATTTGGATGCCGTTTGTTTCCTTCTCTTGCCTAATTGCTCTGGCCAGGACTTCCAATACTATGTTGAATAGGAGTGGTGAGACAGGGCATCCTTGTCTTGTGCTGGTTTTCAAGGGGAATGCTTCCAGCTTTTGCCCATTCGGTACGATGTTGGCTGTGGGTTTGTCAGAGATGGCTCTTATTACTTTGAAGTATGTTTCTTCAGTGCCTAGTTTATTGAGGGGTTTTGTTTGTTTGTTTGTTTTAACATGAATGGATGTTGAATTTTATCGAAGTCCTTTTCTGCATGGCCCAAACCTTCTTATTACTGCTGACCCCTATACTCCAGAGCTCTGACAACATTCCACCTACTTTTCAAGGCCCAGCTGAGATTTGCCCCACCCAGGAAACTTAGCCTTCTATTTCTTTCCTCATCAGAATTTATCCTCCTCTCCCCCTAAAAGATGACATTTGTAATAATTTCACCACTGATGACTTGCATTCAGATAAGCTTCCTAACACAGATGAGAGGCACAAAGCCAGAGCTGGTAAGCTGGTTGGCACACATACATCACCACACCTTATGTCTCAGCTGAAATGAAGCAAGCACTCCTTATATAGATTCACAGGGGTATGGGGGACATGTGCATCAGGAAAAAAAATTTAAGTTGGAAACTACATATTTATGTGAGTTTCACACACATAAATAATGCTAGAAAAATTATGAAGGGTTATAGTCAAAATAACCCTGAATCCACTTAGATTTACTTTTCAATTTTTTTTTATTTTGTTTTGTTTTTATTTTTTTGAGACAGGGTCTCTCTTTGTTGCCCAGGCTGGAGCGCAGTAGTGCCATCTCATTTCATGCAGCCTCGATCTCCTGGGCTCAAGTGATCCTCCCAACTCAGCCTCCCAAGTAGCTCAGACTACAGATGCACACCACCATGCCTAGCTAATTTTTGAATTTTGTGTAGAGACGGGATTTCACCATGTTGCCCAGGCTGTTCTCCAACTCCTGAGCTCAAGTGATCCTCCCACCTCAGCCTCCCTAAGTGCTGGGATTACAGGCATGAGCCACCGCACCTAGCTAGATTTATTTTTATTAGTGCATTTTATTCAGCACTTTAACTATTATTTGTAACAAACTGCTGATGACATGTCTCACAACTGATAGAGCCCACCAGAATGTGTTAACAGCAAGGCTGAAAGCTGCTGAACTGATAATGCCTCCTCTTGCTTCAAAGGCTTTGGAAGGCACAGACTGTATCTTCTTTGCTTAAAGGTCTTAGCCCTGTGCTTCAGTCATAGGAGGAACTTATGAATTGTGAATGGTATTGACCCGAACTGACTTTACCAGACCTGAATGAGGGTTTAATCAGAAAAGCTCCCATAGTAGAAGAGAGAGCATTCTGAGGAATCCAGCAGTTGATAAACAAGCCTTTACTGCACTCCCTCGGGAAATGAAGCTCTGTAAGTAGGCACTCTAGATAATGGATGGTGGGGAACAAGCCTGTCCCCACCCTGTAAAGAGGGCGTATGGGAGACAAGACCAACAAATATGTAATCAGCATAAACACAACGAGAAAAATACAGTCATTCCAAGAGTATGTTGAGGGGGAAGAATGAATGGGTAAGGTGGGAGAAATGAACCACAAGATCACTGGAGAGAGAAGAGCCTGGTTGTTGTGTGTCTGGCTCAGCTAGTCATTAGCAACCTGAAAGCAGAGAAATCCCAGAAAGCAGTCTTCCAGGGGCCTCACACTGCCCATTCTCCACCAGTGCAAAGGGCTGGGATTAGCAAAGTCCTGCTCTGAACTTCATAAGGCTTTGTTTGGAGTGTGGAGCAGTCAGAGCCACTCAGTCCACTAGGGAAGGGTGACCCATCCTCACTGGGAACCCAGATGAGTCTTTTCCTGTATGGTTCTTTCTAGAGCATTCACGTGGTCACCAACACATGAGAATGGGAGGACAGCTCCACACAGAATGCGGCTTAGCTGTGGATGACTGTCCACCTCTTGATCCCTTTGCTACCACTAGTTTTGATGGAGACATCATTGTATGGAATGTGGAGACCCCATTGGCCTCTGCTGCTTCCAAAAGACACTACGTGTCCCTCTCAGAGAGAGATGCCAAATGACAAAAGAAGGTTGGAGATCCAAGCTGACTTCCTTTCAAGTTATATTAGTTGATGATTAGGTGAAAAAGAATCTTTCTGCTGATAGACTGGCTTCCCTGTGATCAAGTTGACCCTTTAACAACACAATTTTGAACAGTTTGGGGCCACTTATATGCAAATTTCCTTCTGCCTCTACCACCCTCGAGACAGCAACACCAACCCCTTCTCTTCCTTCTCCTTCTCCCCCTCCTCTGTCTACTCAACATGAAAATGACAAGGATGAAGACCTTTATGCTGATCCACTTCCACTTAATGAATAGTAAATATATTTTCTCTTCCTTAGGATTTATTGGTAACATTTTTTCTCTAGCTTACTTTATTGTAAAAACACAGTACATAATACATATAACATACACAATTTGTGTTGATTGTTTCTATTATCAGTAAGGCTTCTGGTCAACAGTAGACTACTGGTTAAGTTTTTGGAGAGTCAAAAGTTATACACAGAATTTTCTACTGTGCAAGAGTTAGCACCTCAACCCTCACATTATTCAAGAGTCAACTGTATATTCACTATTTGTATATAAATCTCAGGAAATATCCTTTTATATGAAAGGTTCTTATTAACATCTTCCTGCAATATCATTTTAATGAGCTGGGGAAATGAGCAGACTTGCTCTCCTATATTTGACTATCCCAAGAATTCTCAAGTGATACAACTTAGCAATATTTGTGCGGCCTCTAAAAAAACTGGAAAATCAGTTCTTAAAGAATTAAACCATTCCACTGAGCAGTTTTGCAAATATTCAGTTGCCTGTCTGCTGCAGAAAAGCAATTAGGTTAGTAGAAGAGTACTGCATGTACTTTTCTGCTTGTACTAGATCCTGGAGGATCTAGGACTGCTGTTTTTAAAAAACTTCACAAGCTAATTTTTATTTATTTATGACCTCTTATTTCCAGTATCATGCAAAGTGTTTTTATGAAGATCAGTCTTCACTACCACAGATTCATTACTTTTTGGTCCAAAACAATGGGATAGAGGAAAATATTCTAAATGTCCTGGACTTACTAATGACTTATGTTATTAGTAATGATAGTAGGTAAGTCTTATAATCTCTGGACGTTAATTTCTCCCACTTCAAGAATGGAGAACTAAAGTGTCCCATGCAGGATTGAGGAGATCAAATAAGAAAATGCGTATGAATCTCTTTTGTAAAGAATAAGATATACCAATGTTAATGACAGTGTTGCTGTTACTATTTTTACCCTCACTGTGATCACAGGGCATTGGCCACCAGATTCAAGAGTGTCATTAAAATCCACATTTAAGGATAAGCAAGATCCCACTCTTTTCATCAAAATGTAATAGTGTGGCATTTGACTATTTAGCTTTGATTCTCAGAAGTATAATTCATTGAAACTGAACTGGGCTGAAAGATTATTGGATAATCTATCGGCTACCCATGTTTTTATTTATGAGTATTTTCTCTGTGTCAAAGCAACTAACCTTTTCTTAATTCTTCTTTAAGGAATAAAAGTAAGTTTTAACCCATTTCTATGTTCATTTTTCCTTCTGACATCCTGTGAGGCTGGCAGTTTTTCATTTGTGTAGGATGGGCTCAGATCAGCCTGATTCAAAAAGAGTAAGAACATTATCCCAGAAGAAATAAGAGTAAAGCTGAAATGGTCTTATCCTTCCATATGATGGAGGCAGCCTACATAATCTGTCTAGTTCTATTTTTTATTTCACTCTAGAGCTAATAAAACACATTCAGTGATAATTCTGTTAGCAAGAGATAGTGCAAATAATGGCAATAAATCTGCAGGACAATTCAAGCTTCTAGAGCTTCTATGGATCATCTAAAAGAATCAAGTTAATATCTGAATGCATTAATATATGTGTGCCTGGCACATAGGATGCTTCACGAACTTGGTAGCTTTTAATATTGAGTGACAGCAGTTGCTTTTTGTTTGCTTTTTTAGACAGGGTCTTGCTCTGTCACCCAGTCTGGAGCACAGTGGCGCAAACACGGCTCACTGCAGCCTCGACCTCCTGGGCTCAAGCAATCCTCCCACCTCAGCCTCCCAAGACACTGGGATCAAACGTGTGTGCCAATTTGCCCTGCTGATTTTTTTTAATAGGCATGGGGTCTCCCTATGTTGCCCAGGCTGGCCTTGAACTCCTGGGCTCAAGTGATCCTCCCACCCTCAGCCTCTTAAAGTGCTGGAATTATAGGCATGAGCCACCACTCCCAGCCAACAGATCTTCATTTATGAGGTGGGACAATGCAGCACAACTAGGCCTGTCTTGTGTTTCTTACTCTAATTTTCATCTCCTTGATCCCATTCGGTAAAGTGGAAGCCCAATAACAGAAAGTACTTCTCAGGTCCCAACTTCACCTCCTGTCAAACTCTGGCATCCTTTAAAGTCCTGATGGCACCATCTAGGGGTCCCCAGGTAGTGTCTCCTGATGAAAGATAAACAAGTCTTGTCTTCTAAAAAGGACTTGCATCTCAGCCTTCCCACAAACAGACCCATCCAAGAAACCCTCCAAGACATCATTAAATGTCAGGGTAAATACAGTATCATTTGCCAAAATAAGACCGGGCTGACTTATCATAGTTTCCCCACAGGAGACAGCACAGCACCTAGAACCAAGATTTTGGAATCTGACAGACCCAGAATCAAATGCAGCCACAGCTATTTACTAAGTGTGACATTAAGTCATTTAACCTTTCTGATCCTTATGTTCCTTGTAAATGGGAGCTATTTGAAACCCACAATATATTTGGTCAATCTGTTGCTTCTGTACAAAATTTGTATTTTATCAAATACTTGTATGTAATTTATTAAGTGCTTAGCAAACGTCAACTCATTTAATTCTCCTACCAAGCCTATGGTGTAGGTACCATTTTTATCCACATGTTATAGACGAAGCCAGCAAGACACAAGAAGATAAAATAGGTCACAAGGTCACACAGAGTGTGGCAGAGGCGAAATTCAAACCCAGGTATTCTGGCTACTGAATCCTTATTTTTAACCATCATCCTAGCTAATCTTTAATAGCCAAACAAGGAAGTATTTTTTAAAACTTTTTCAGGGAATTAGTTTTTAAAATAAGAAAGTATTTTTTAAACCATGTTGTCATGGACATTTTCAAACACACAAAAGCAATGAGAATTCCTTGTGCATTGCATTTTCCTCTCATTGCAATAAAAAATATCTTTGTTATTCTTTTTGATCTTGCTCATATCATTGGCTAAATTACAGTACTTACCATAATTTACCTTTTGTCTCCTCACACAATCATAAAAGTAATCATGGTGAGTTCTTATATTTGTGCAGTACTTTCTTTCTTTCTTTTTTTTTTTTTCTTGAGATAGATTCTTGTCCTGTCACCCAGGCTAGAGTGCAATGGCGCGATCTCGGCTCAATGCAACCTCCACCTCCTGGGTTCAAGCAATTCTCCTGCCTCAGCCTCCCAAGTAGCTGGAATTAAAGATGCATGCCACCACTCCTGGCTAATACATATATATATATACATTTTGTATCTTTAGAGACAGGGTTTCATCATATTAGCCAGGCTGGTCTTGAACTCCTGACCTTGTGATCCACCCACCTCAGCCTCCCAAAGTGCTGGGATTAAAGGCGTGAGCCACTGTGCCCAGCCTTGTACAGTTCTTTCATAGTATTATTTTCTACATTACTTTGGAATGTTCACTAAGTACTTTTATTTTACTGTTTCATTGAATTCTCCAGCAATCTTCTAAGGCAGGCAGTGAACTTTCTATAACCCCATTTTGCAAATAGTCAAATGCAGCTCAGAGAGCTTAAGGAATTTTCTCAAGTTCACACACCTAACAAATGATGGAGTCTATTAAAATATCAATCTGATTTTTAAAGTTTTCAGCTCATTTATTCTCTGGACAACAATATATAGTGGAAAAATTAGTGAGTTCTGGAACTCAATGGACTTCAGCACAAATCCTCATTCTTCCTCTTAAAAGTATGACCTTACACAAGTAATTCTCTAAGCCGAAGACACTTTATCATTAAAATTGGCTAATACTACTTATATCACAGGTATTTGGAAAGATTATATTTTAAATTATTATAATATATAAAATATATTATAAATACATATAAAACACGTGCACATATAATGTGTGTAATCTAATATGTACATATGCATAAAATCTATACATACACATATGTAAGCATGTGTGTATGTGTATGTATAATCTAATACCACAGCTATCCCAAAGCAGATGCCCATTGAATGTAAGTTACTTTTTCCTGCTTCTAGATAGGATCAATCAGAAGAAACACCCTACTGATTGCTCAGTAGTCAGGTGCCCTACATCCAAATCTCCCCAAACTTTTTCAGCATTAGGATATTCACCAAAGACTCCTGGATGCTTTTTTTCTTTCCCAAAATTGCCTACTTCTTTGGTGCTCAGTTTCCCCATCAAACTGAAGATGTTCCAGTTTTATTGATTACATTACATTCATCTCTTTGGAAAAACTAAGCAAAGCCTCCATTATTTTATTTCAACCTGGGGGTCAGGTTGGAGGCTATATGTTATATTCTTATAGAAAGAATCATTTGTGTAAAATCAATTTTAAAAATGCATTACAAGGCTGGGCACGGTGGCTCATGCCTGTAATCCCAGCATTTTGGGAGGCCGGGGCAGGCGGATCATGAGGTCAAGAGATCGAGACCATCCTGACTAACACGGTGAAACCCCATCTACTAAAAAATGCAAAAAATTAGCTGGGCGTGGTGGCGGGTGCCTGTAGTCCCAGCTACTCGGGAGGCTGAGGCAGGAGAAAGGCGTGAACCCAGGAGGCGGAGCTTGCAGTGAGCTGAGATCACGCCACTGCACTCCAGCCTGGGTGACGGAGCAAGACTCTATCTCAAAAAAAAAAAAAAAAATGCATTACAAAAGTGGTCTTCCCACCCCTGAACTAAGCCTTCTCTATGTCAAATAAACATATCTGTGGCTTCATGTCTTCCTTCTATATTTATGAATAGTTTATTAAGAACATCATGGATGAATACTTTTTAGCTGAAAAATATTAGACTTTAACAGGAAGGCACAATTTGTCTTTTGTGACTGGATATGTCAGCTAGCCTGTTTCTTTACTCATATGTTTGCATTTAAACTCTCCTAAATCAGTAGAAACATAAGTGACTTTTAAAGAAGAAATTCAAGAAAAGCGGTTCTTTTCACTTGTTCCATTACAAAATGAAACTTCCCTGCTTAGAACTAGATGGCATAATGCCTGGTACGGAATTGGCACTGAATATACTTTTGTTGAATGACTAAATGAATGAATGAGATCATCTAAGTATCTTACTGAAGCATATGAATTATGACACTTTCCAGAAATCTGCTTTTTGATTCTTTTCCATATATATGTGAAGTAGTTTCAATTAGAGCTAATAGTTTCTTCAAGTATTAATATTTTGAAAACCTATTTTAATGAATAGTGATAATATTTAGTGAATATATTGATCATATTATACAATAAATCTCTCAGACACACACTGTTGCTCTCTCTTTCTTTCCTAAAATAAAAAACATGAAGGTAAATATCAGGTTTTCTCCTTCTAAATAATTACAACTTCTGAATTAGTGAATTAAGTGAGGTTGTATTGTATCTAACTTTAATACTTTATGTTTAAATTGGAATCCATTTTCATACTGAGATATGAAAAACATATGGTTGCCAACTTTGTAGTACCAGCCCCTGGGCAGGGTGCATCGCTTTGCCAAGCGAATGCTGAACTCACATAGACCAATCCTCAGCTGTTCCACTGGTTGAGCAATTGCAGCTCCTTAAGGCTTTTCTCAAAAGGCCTTCTTTTCTCCCTTTTTAGCTTAGTGTTCAGTGGAAAAATTCTTGTTTCTCTAGCATCATCCTACCCTTTCCTCCCTAAAGAAGGCTGCAGTCCTGATAAGCTCCCATTCAGGGTCCCTCCACTGATGGAGTGTCTCTGAGGAGAGAAAGAAGTATGACAATACATAGTTCACAGTAACTATGGCCTCAAGGCACAGGGGTACACTGGGGGGTGGGAGGAGACTTGGGTGGCCTTTATATCTAGAATGGTGAATTTGGAATCAAGAAATCAATAGTCCAGGTCTGGTTCTATCATTAACTGTGAGATCCTCCTCTTCTGTATTTAAGAAAAAAAACATCAAAACTCAGTGTTTTAAATAACCTCAAATATCATCCAATCTGACTCAGAGGGAATCACCACTTCCCAGTGCAATAGGCTTAGATTTTTTGGTTGAAATCTCCTGTTTTCACAGTCTCTTGCAGACAAAAATGGAAGTAAAATGATGTGAACCAGACCTGGCTTAGTTATTATTTCACTGTTTGGAACCTCTGTGCCCTGTATCAGAGTAGCATGTCTTTATTTTGGTCTTCTGTAAAAGATTGAGATTCTTGATGGGAAGTTTCAGTAGTTTTTTTTTTTTTTTTTTAGATGGAGTCTCGCTCTGTCACCCAGGCTGGAGTGCAGTGGTGCCATCTCGGCTCACTGCAAGCTCCGCCTCCCGGGTTCATGCCATTCTCCTGCCTCAGCCTCCCAAGTAGCTGGGACTACAGGTGCCCACCACTAAGCCCGGCTAATTTTTTTTGTATTTTTAGTAGAGACGGGGTTTCACCGTGTTAGCCAGGATGGTCTCGATCAGCTGACCTCATGATCCGCCCACCTCAGCCCCTCAAAGTGCTGGGATTACAGGTGTGAGCCACCATACCCGGCCTCAATAGATGTTTTTTTCCATCTCCAACGTTTTATGATTCTGTATCCTTTGGATACTGAGGATTGTTCATTATTGGTAACTTCAATAAGCCAAAGCTAACCCCACAGCTAACACTGATACATAAAAATTCTATGTATCCTCTTTTCACCCACCCTGCTACTGTAAAATACAATAAAACCTCAAATAAAAAAATCAGGTAAGCTTATGAAATGGCTAATAAATACAGGAAATATTTTATCATAATTTTTAAAAAATCATAATGAAACTACATCAGCATCAAAGTTAAACTCTTATAAAGAGAATATTAATAATAAATACATCAATTATTAAATTAATAATATTTGTTATTTTTAAACTACCAAGTACTGAATATTTATTGTGAGTCAAACTCATAGTAAATAGAAAAAATAATAATAATATGCCAGACATTAGTCCAAATAGAATTTAATCAGAAGAAAGATATGTGGATTACATTTTTTAAATACTGATCAAAATAAAGATGCTCTAACCATATAAATTGGCAGATGAAATAGACTTTAAAGTAAAAACATTATCACACAATATGTCAGAAAAATATTACAAACCTGAACCAACAAACATGAGCAACATAGCTCCAAAATATTACATCAAACTGTAAGAAATTCCTAATAGTTGACCACTTTTTGCCCTACAAAAGCAACAACTCATATAAAGTAAAGGTCAATAAAATTATGGTATATTGAATTTCTTAGAGTGTAATTTTTAATACTTAATTATTACAGACTGATCGATCAAGTGATCAAAAAATTAATGATGTTGGTGAGTTAAACAGCAGGAGTAAGACATTTGGTCAAATTCACATATTTAGAACTTTATGTCAACTCTTAAATAATCTGAATTCTTTTCAATTTTCCAGAGAATATTTTCAAAAACTGAGCACATACCAGACCATAAAGGACATTTCAATAAATATTAAGGAATTGATTGATAAAACATGCAGACTATATTCTCCAACACAATGCAATGAGAACTCAATTTCAAAGAAAAAAACAAAAATACTTTTGTGTGTTCAGAAACTGAAAGAAATATGGTTCTAAATTATTCATGACTCACAAAGGAAATTATAAAAGAAATTAGAAATAATGTCAGTCCAGCTTATCACGATCTGATTTTCGTATTTGATTTGGTCAGCATGACTTAAAATCTGGTAATGCTGCCAAAGCTAATGTAGTGGGCTTCAGGAACAACAAAAAGAAAATTGCTTGTTTATTTCACCCATTTGTCCATAGCTTTTGCCTCTAGGTTTGATTCAGTCTTTTCTCTATTTTTTTTTCTCCAGGGTTTATCTAAGTGTCACCCCCTTCAAAGCTGAAAAATACACAGGAACATCATCAACGGTGCTTAGTACTTCTCATGTGGCCCCATGATCATCATGTTTGAGATACTTCTGCAAGAAGCTCCAAACAGTGAACTACTGAGAGAACACTTGTGGGAATATTTGCAGAGACAAACAAATGTCATCTTAAAATACCAGCTACTGTAACTTACCCACAACAAGTAGGCTTCTTGGTCTGTATTAACCCTGTAGGTACTATTGTTGAAATAGGCATCTCCCCTACTCAGGAATGTGGGCAAATCTGATCATGCCTCTTTAAGGTTCTAATTTGACAGAAGCACGTGAATAAGCAATCATTTAGAAGAGTATATGCCTCCAAATCAGAGCAATACAAATAAGAGCAGGGAAAGCTATTTCACTTCACTGCTCATTTCCCAAGTATCCAAGTAAAACACTTCCTTAAAGTGTCACATGCATTAAAACACAAAGGAGAAAAACAGGCAGAGGTAAGCAAAGTTTAAATCTGTAAATCTGTTCTTTAAGACTCCAATTAATAAAAACTCAGGGATTCTACTTGGAATATCCTACCCATAACATCATAATGTCAATAATCCAACAGTCAAGAGCCCCAGAATCAGGGTCTAGAATGCCAGATGAAGAATAGAGAGGAATCCCCGTGAATCCTGGGGTTTTGTATAATGGCAAACACTAAGAAGTAAGATAGAAAGAGTGAAATCCTATTGACACTGTTGAGTCTGGACACCATCCTAAAAATGTCCTGTTTCACTAATTGGAAGGGCATCCAAGTAAGGAGAAGCTTGATGCCATATGACAACATCAGGTACTCAGCTCATTTCTCTCTCTCTTTCTCTCTCTTTTCCTTTACGTCACCAAGGACAAACTCAGGATGTTGACAGGACAGACTTTTGTAGGCAAACGGTTTGGCCAATCTCTCACCAGTATATTAACCACATGGGCAAAGAAAATATTTTTTCAAAATGGATGTTTTTGCTTTAGGGTGGAGGGATATGATATTTTTCTTTCTATCTTAATTTCCTTCCATGTTTATGTTTAAAATTACTTAGTAAGTAAAAGTAATGGTTATGTTAGATAAAATTCATTCACCACCCTTAATATGACTCAGTGACTCAAAGACAAAGTTCCAGAGCAAAGGGTCAATCTTGTGAGAGAGGTCATGCAGAATTTACAAAACAAAATTTATACAGAACACTCAGAAGTATAAAAAAGATGAAGTTCATTATTGTTTATAATTACTCACTTACTCTGAAGCTACCTTTCCTCCTGCTGGCAGAGAAAAATTCAAATTAATTAAATTAATTTTAATTAAGGGCAACTGACTTTGTTCCTGTTTAAAACATTTCACTTTGGGATTAACTCAGCTTCATTTGGGTAAATTGCCCAGGAAATTCAAAGACTGCTTCCCTCCTCTCTTAAGGGGTCACTTTGCCCATATCTTCTTCCCAAGGTGATATCTGGGGGCAGAGAAAAGCTGGCATATAGTCCTTGGAGTCCTGAGTCTTCAGCTACACGCTGGTTTTGTCCCTGAATGTCCTTGGCTGGTGTTTACTTAGGTGTGGCCAATTTCACTGTCCTTTATGGGCATCCGCTGGCATCTGCTGCTGATGTCCAAGGTCTCTGGGTCCCTCAAATCACCAGCCCTCTATGGTTTGTGGCCTCTTGCTTCTTAGCCCTGAAGTCTATACCAAGACAACATTGTTCTCAGCACCTTGGTGTCCTCTCCCTGGGGCAGACAGGAACTCTGGGCCATAAGGAACCCTCTACCCTGGAAGAGGGATGGTGGAAGTTTCACCACTTCCCTACCACAGTAGTCACAGGGGGGACACGGGGGACAAGTCAAGATGTGTTGACTCTCCCTCAAGCTATCTGGGCTTTCTGTGAGGGTTTCCAATGCCTCATCACACCCTGCCCCAATTTTGCTTAAGTAAGGTGGGGTTGGGGAGGAAACAGTCATTTCTCAGTGACCAAGCTGCGGTACACATCCTGGTTGTGCCCTCTCAAAATCTCCCTTCCTTCTCCAGGGCAATGGTTTCTATTTTCTCTTCCTGTCTGGTGGAAATTTCCCACAAGTCATTTCTCCTGCCTGCTCTCCACTTGTGGCTTTGATCCTCTGTGACCTAGCCTGGCTTTCTATATGTTAATGGAAACCTCCAAGAATTTTAAAAACTTTTTTCTCTCTCCATGAAGCCTGATTTCTAGGACCATTACCTTGCTGTAGATTCAAAATATTGTCTTGAGATTGGAACCTTAAAATTAACTCCTTTTCTTTGATTTTTACTTTATTCTTTTTTTTTTTTTTTTTTTTTTTAAGACAGAATTTCATTCTGTCACCCAGGCCAGAGTGCAGTGGTGCAATCTTGGCTCACTACAACTTCCACCTCCCAGGTTCAAGCGATTCTCCTGCCTCAGCTTCCCGAGTAGCTGGGATTACCTGTCACCATGTACTGCTAATTTAGTATTTTTAGTAGAGACGGTGCTTCAGCATGTTGGCCAGACTGGTCTTGAACTCCTGACCTCAAGTGATCCACCCACCTCGGCCTCTCAAAGTGCTGGGATTACAGGCATGAGCCACCATGCCCAGCCACAATTCTAATTTTTTTTTCAAGGCAATGGAAGCTACATCAGCTGATGATTTACTCCAAGTAGGATAAGTAGAAATTGTTTTGATAAAAAAGATTGTCTACAAAAGGTTCAAAGACATATGAGAGCACTGCAAGAAACGTGACAGAGCCTCAGGGCTAGTGAGAGTGTCATCATTACCACCCCAGGTCCAGGACCTCATGGTCTGACGGAAGGGTTACCAAACTCAGAAGGAGAGAATATTTGAAGGGAAGTAGTAATCTTCAGTGAGGGTCTCAGCAGGCTCAATGCAATGCCTTAGGGAAGAAGCTAGACAGGGGAATAAATAGTGACACCATTATCCTCTACTGATATAATCCAAACAAGTCAGCGTGGAATAGGGTGAAGGGTGGATGTGACAGCAGAAGATTCTCTGTCAAATGCTTTTCCCTAAGAGGAGAATATAGAGAAGACCAACTACAAGAAAGTAGGAAAAAAGAAAAATTCACTGTATTTTTCAAAAATATTATGTCCCTATAACAAATGTGTGTGTTATCCACAGTTTAATTTCTGTCGGTGTCCACTTAGGTATGTATTTCAATTAGATACCCATTAATTTGCAAAGCTGCCTAATAATGACCATAATAATAGCTAACCCTGAGTTCTTTCTCTCCACCAAGCACTGTGAAAAAAACTTTTTAATTGAGGTTTTTTAATCCTCAAAAGAAACTTTTGGGATAAGCGTTAATGATTATCATCTTCATTTTACAGACGGGATAACTGAGACTAAAAGAGTGAAAGTGTTTGTCCAATCACATGAGCTGGTCAGTAGTCAATATAAGAGGTAACACTAGGTTATCTCTAAGATAGAGCACTAGGAAGAAACAGTGGAGAGAACTGGAAAGAGCCTGCCCTTCTAAGTTACAGCTGATGGTCATGATCTGGAATGCAGGGGGTCTTGTGTTGCCAGATCTGGTTTTTCAAAAGAAGCTTGTCATCCACATTGCATAGGAAAGGTCTCCATTTTTTTAACTTAACTGGTCAATTTGAATTTTTAACACAATTTGAAAAATAAGTGAGTTAAACACACCAGGAGCTTCCCTTTTGCAACATTTGCTAGACTGTATCAGAGAAGCCCTACCCCATCACTCCGGTGCCCTCTTACCATGGTTTTAGTGCTTGTCAACAGCCCTTACAGGGCTACAAACCAAGAAGGTATATTTCCTGTCAAACTGACACCATTATATTTGTATATTCAATGATAATAGCATGACAGACTATTTGTGGTAACCAGCATGAAATAAGTATCATCTAAGAACTTTACATATGTCATATTATTTACTCTTCACAACAACCCAGCCATTTACATATGTATAATTATCCATACTTTACCGACGAAAACACTGGGTTCAAAGACATTAAGTCACAAGCCTAAAGTTGCAAAATAGAAAACAGCAGAACTAAGGACTGAACTCAGGGCTCTCTGACTCCAAAACTTAAGCCTTTTCTATACCAACAGTAGAGGAGTCTCCCCTGCACCATTCTGAGATTCTACACACACAAAGCAGAAACCTGCAGGGTCAATCTCCTCTTCCAGGTCTGGTACCAATGCTAACATCAAAGTAATGTATTTTGCTTTGCAGACTGTTCACTAACCAACCAAATATTATGGTTTCGAAAAGCACCATGGACCCCTTTTGAACACCAAACAGAAAGAGATAAGCAAAGAGTGGGACAGCTTGTACTTGGAAATGGGCAGGCAGGTAGAAAAACAAGCCCAATCTGCTGAAAATTAATAGGAAGGCAGAGACTCCACTGAAGAAATGTTAAGAAGGGCCTCAGGTCATTTTTTTTTCATGCCTGATTTACAGAGAAAATATCATTTTAAAGAGTAGCTTTAAAAAAAATGGGCTGCACTCCATAAAACTCAAAGGACAATATTAAATAAGTACATTGTATCATTTCCTAAGCGTACCTTCCAACCCTGGAGTACTTCCTCCTCTCCCTGAATCATAAAGCTTATCTTCCTTGATGGACGTTTTGGCCATCCCCTCTCAGCACAAGCAGCCCTCACACTCCCTGCACCCACATCTCAGTCAGCACATTTGTTTCCAATACAGAAATAAGGTCTAATCAGACAGGAAGCTACAAAGGAGAAAACCCATGTTTACACTTTCCCATATGCTATGTCATTTGCTAGATTTATTGCTAACCCTGAATCATCTCTGATTTTCCGGACTTCAGTTGTCTCAAGTGCCATCTCATGTTTTTCCAAACGTTTCCATCATTACGTTGAGAGTTACAGCAATGAGTTACAAGGTTTGCCCTTTCAAGAGATACATTGCCAAAAGACTTCTTCATTTCTACATACAGCTTACTAACAGGTCTTCCCAATTAATGGGTTCAAGATGAATTTCCATTCCCCACCTTCCCACAAAACAGTCGTTCCTTCCCTAGGACTCTTCTCACAGTCACTAGTACTGTCAGCGACCTCATTGCAGGTCAACACGCTAGCAGCTCCCTTGAGTCTTCCTATTGTCTATCTCCTCTATCCAATGCACCCACAAGTCTTGTCAATTCTACCTCCAAAACCTCTCTCAAGCTCATCCTCCTCTCCCAGTCTCCAATGATACTATCCCAGTGCAAGCTGCTGTGGTCCTCTCTCACCTGGACTGAGCCAACCGCCTCCCACCTGGCTTCCCTGCTTCCCCCTTCCCCCTTCCAATCTGTTCTTCATAGATAAGCCAGCCTAATTCTCCTAAAATGTAAATCCAAACATGGCATTTTCCCTTGGCTTTCCATTGCTTTTGGAATAAAATCTAAAATCATGAATATTTCTCATAAAACCTGCCTGGGCAGGCTCAGGTTTCTCTCCAGCCTTATCACCTGGCATCCCTCCATGCCATTTTCCCCCTCTCTGTCCACTCCAACTACATTGGCTGGTTTTCTGTCCCTCAGATACTGCAAGCCCTTGTAGCTCAGCATTCCCATCTATCATATTAGGAAGCTATGCGGTGCATTTTTAGTCAACCTCAAGTCCACAGTGATGACCAGAGGCTTTGATAGGCTTTGACTATCTCAAAGCCTTTGCAGATGCTGTTTCTTCTGCCTGGAATCCTCATCCTTCCATTTCTATTTGAGAGGCTTGTTCTTAGCCTTCATGCCTCAGCTCTAAATTCTTTTCTAACCACCCAATCTAAAGATTGTCCTTGACAATCTTGGCTTGATTGTCTCTGTCTCCCATGTTTATTTCCTTTAGGGCAACTTTTGCAAACTATAATTACTTTACTTATATATTTACTTACTGAGTATCTTGTTCCCACTGTATCCCCAAAATGTAGCATAGATTCAGGGGCATGACAGGAAACAGAAAATAAGTGCCAAATGAATAGAGCCCACCAACATCATGCTTTACCTCCAGTAAAGCACAACTCAGAGTCAAAATGAAGGAAGAAATATCGCTGGCTTGTGTAAGGAAGCAAGCAGCCAGATAAACTTATAAAAACATGCTTTCCGCTAAGATCACAGAAGATCTTTTTCTAACTGATTATGCTGAGCTGGGGAGCATGACGCAAAGATAATAAACACGTTTAATTTGAAACAGATGGAAATCTGGTCAGTTCCCCCACAGGTTCTTTGACATGGGGGCCTTTAAAAAGCATTCTCTTCTCTTCAACATTTTATGAGTATGATTTTTAAGTGCCAGAATTTGTTCCCAGGGAGGGCATCTCAGCTCACCAGCAGTCACTGGATAACTATTCATCTTGACAAGGCATGGCTTAACTGAGTCCTGTGGGCTCACATCATTTGCATATCTTCTTGATACGATAGATGGGAATGCTGAGCTACAAGTTTATAAACAAGAATCCCAAAGCGAAAGAAGCACTTTCAGATTCTTCAGTGGGACACTGGAGAGATGTATAATAACCTATTTATTGAGCATAGATTTCCTTAATGTTCCGAAATATGCCTTAGGGTTGTCAGTTCAAATGTCACAACTTGCTAAAAAAGTTGGCGGAATCTAACGAACAGACGCAGAGCAGATGTTTTTCCAAGCCTAACAATTTTGTTTTCCTAAAAAAAAAACTGCCCAGCTAGTCACAACTGTGCAACACATAAACCGCTTAAGCTGAGTCTTTTGAGAGGAGTAAAAGAACCATCAGAAATGAATAGAAGCTTCAAAAAACACAACTGTAGGCACCAAGTTGCAACTCAAATGAAAAATGATGCATCTTTTTTTAATCTGGATGGCATGAGAAAATTTCAGGTTTCTATCCAATATGGATGAGGATAGTTCCCATGTCTGATGTGAGTATAAGGCTCCAGTTGGGACTCTATTATTAACCATTCTCTTCTAATTATCACCTCCAGGATCCTTGTTTTCAGATTAAATTTCTTTGGCTCTCAGGGAAAAAAATATATTAAACCTACCAAATATGTTGCCACTTAGTGCTTCTGTAGGTGGGCTACCCAGAAAATGCCAAAGCAACGTCATGGCCTGTTGTCTGAGCCCTTACTATGCAGCAGGACACTCTTGAACAATCCCAAACACAACCTTCTTGGGTGAAGAAGCACGCCCTTGACTTTCTGCTCCTGACTCACTCTGGTCATCACTGTGGACTTGAGGTTGATTAAAAATGCACCACTATCGGCCGGGTGCTGTGGCTCAAGCCTGTAATCCTGACACTTTGGGAGGCTGAGGCAGGCGGATGACTTGGAGGCAGGTGGATGACTTGAAGTCAGCAGTTCGAGACCAGCCTGGCCAACATGGTGAAACCCTGTCTCTACTAAATATACAAAAATTAGCCAGGCGTGGTGGCACAAGCCTGTAATCCCAGCTACTCAGGAGGCTGAGGCACGCAAATGGCTTGAACCTGGGAGGCGGAAGTTACAGTGGGCTGAGAACAGGTCAGTGACCTCCAGCCTGGGTGACTGAGCAAGACTCTGTTTCAAAAAAAAAAAAAAAAAAAAAAAAGCACCACTATTAACTCTCTCTTCTTCATAGTTAATATTTAGAGTCTACAGTCTACTATCTATGTTTCCTCTCTACCTTCATCCAATACTTTGTAATCCATCCATCTATCCCTCCATCCATCCATCCAACAAATACAAATTGAGCATCTACCTTTTGCCAGATATAGTACTACATGGTAGGGGTACATTGGTGAACAAGGTTTGCAGAATTCTGACCTCATGGAACATATAATCTAACAGTGGAGATAGGCATGAAAACTGACCATTACATATAGCACAACTGGTCATTACTAAAAATATATAAATGAATAATTAACATAATGTGAACTGAAAAACAGAAAACACAGTCTAACATGCAGTATGTTGACCCTACTTACTCTAAAATGAAATACTTTGTTGTCACCACTGGAAGCATTAGTGTGGAAAACCTGTTCTCCAATCGTCTTACTATTTAGAAGAGTATTCCCACTTAATGAGACTATTAAGTGGGAATTACTATCTTTTGCAAGAATAAGCTGACAGTATTCTTTCTTTCTTTTTTTTTTTTTTTTGAGACAGGGTCACTCAATGTGGAGTACAGTGTCACCCAGGCTATAGTGCAGTGACGCCACCATAGCTCACTGCAGCCTCAACCTCCTGGGCTCAAGTGGTCCTCCTGCCGCAGCTTCTGGAGTAGCTGGGACCACAGGCATGCACCACCACACCCAGCTAATGTTTCAGCTTTTTTGTAGAGACCAGGTCTCGTTATATTGCCCAGGCTGGTCTCAAACTCTTGCCTCAACCTCCCAAAGTGCCGGGATTACAGGTGTGAGCAGCCGCGCCCGGCTCATTTCTTTCCTTTCTAGATTAAGTCATTTTTCATGAAGTTGGGGGTTCCAGTTCAACATCTTCCTCTTGTGACCACATGATGGGTCACCCACTGAGGTTTGTTGAGTCACTCAGCACATCACACCTGAGGGTGGATGTTTCTCTGTCCAGATTTCTCCGTGAGAGGAAGGATGGGAACAAGAGGCAAGAGGGCCTACCTGAAGACGGGCACTTGCCTCCCAGTCAGGCGTTGCAGAAGTGGGAGGGTGCCTGGAGCACTGAGGACAAGACAAAGGAGGCAGAAGATAAGGCTGCCGAACAAAGCCCTTCTCTCAGCAAAGCAGAACTGTGTAAAGATGCAAAGGGTAAGGCCAGCCCGGGGCTGCAGACCCAGCCCTGGTGCATTTCAGTTTATGAAATGGAGTCCTGGAGCTAGGGCCTTTTGGGACAAGGCCAGAGCTAATGTCCTAGGACAAGACAAAGAAAAAAAAAAAAAGCCAGGCACGGTGGCTCACGCCTGTAATCCCAGCACTTTGGGAGGCCAAGGCAGGCAGATCACCTGAGGTCAGGAGCTCGAGACCAGCCTAACCAACATGGAGAAACCCCGTCTCTACTAAAAATACAAAATTAGCCATGTATGGTGGCAGGTGCCTGCAATCCCAGCTACTCGGGAGGCTGAGGCAGGAAAATTGCTTGAACCCAGGAGGTGGAGGTTGCAGTGAGCCAAGATTGTGCCATTGCACTCCAGCCTGGGCAACAGGAGCAAAACTCCGTCTCAAAAAAAAAAAAAAAAAAAAAAAAGTTGTAAACAGCAAGTCTGCATAGCTACTACTACCCACGACTGGAATCTGGCTTGAAAACTCTAATTCTCATATTTAGGTATTATCTGGTGTTGGGCCAAAGAGGACGACTTCCAATAAAACCAAAGCCTGTGCATGCCACTAGCTCAGTAGCTGCATATGGCATCCTGGGTCCTGGAGACTCAGCCCCATCTTCTCAATGAGAGAATCTGATCATTTGAAGGAAATGTAGAGAGCACCACCTCCAGGGACTAGCTTGATTCTGGCCAAGGGCCCCCCACTCTTTGTCGCATTTATTGCCTTTGTATCTGTGGAGTTGGGCTCCTCCCGGTTGGGTTCAGTCTCCAAGCTTAGCAAACCACATATCTGAGCCCCAGGCACATCCCATTAAGGCAGGGAGCAGTCACTAGCCAATGAGGCATCTCTTCAAGAGGAATGAATCAGCTGGGGATTTGGTGTCTAGAGCAGCAGGCCACAGTCATGAGCTGATGCACAGAAAGGCAGCTGAGCTGTCTGGAAGCATGTTACCACCTCTCCTCTTTTCTCGTCTTGTAAATTTTTTTCTCTTTTTTCCGCCTCTCTTTGTCCCTCCTCCCCTGCCTAACCTATTACCTAAGGAATCACCTATCCTTGCCATGGCTCTCAGAGCTCTGACTTACTAACCTTGGATTCAACACACAGAGGAGCCTGTGCTCTCTATGCCAAGAGAGCTTGGGAAGGCACATAGGCAAGTCGTCTTTGTGTTTCCATTTCTTTCTCCAGCTAAAGAAATCAAGCCTTTTGCAAATAGCTCTACATGATGTTTCTGCTAAGTGTGCCTTATTGATGGAGGAGGGAAAGAAAGAAGGTGTTTTATCTTTAAGCCTCATTTAGTAAGTAAAATATGCAACCCTTTGTGACTATTAACATAGAGCTATTACTCCAAGTACTAAAGAGAGTGACAAACTGCAGCTGGCAAAGGGGGGGTACATAAATTCTCCAAATTTCCTCTAGAGCTCCAGTCACATACAGTCAGAGAGGGTTTTTAGTTATGCAGATGCTGTGTGCTTTTTGGAAATCACAGTTTCGATTCCCTGAAGTCTCAGCTTTAATCACATTCAGGCCAATGAAAGCTGTCAAGATGTGAATTTGTTAAGAGAGAGTTTCGAAATGGGTCTTTCGCGAAGCCCAATCTTACCATCCAGAACTGAAACTAGCTATTAAGGAGAATTGCAGTGTAGGGAAAGAGAAGAAAAGAGATGTAGCGAAAGTGATAGGAGAGAGAGGGAAGACCCTTGATCTCAGGATAAAGGCCTTGGCCTTGAAGCAAAGCAAGGGCAAAATCTTCACTGCAGAGTTCAGAGTGAGATGCAAACTTCAAAGGTATGTGAGAGAAACGACAGGCCTATACCAGGCTGAGACACTTTCCAATGGTCTGCATATGAGCCGTGGCCTCGCCAAACATCCCTACGCAGCGATGTTGGCTCCCTTATTTTCTTTCAGCCTCCCCAGTTTATATTTCTCTCAAGTTCTGTCTAGAGATCAAAATTCCTTTTTTCTATTGTTGTTGTTGTTGTTTTTAACCTCCATTTCAGATATCAACCAAATACAGAGCCAACTAAGACATAGAAACTTTAGAGAGAGCTTAGGACACAAAAGTGCATTCATTCTGTCATTCAACAAATGTTTGTTGAGCACCCACTATGTGTCAGGCACTGTTCCGGGTGCTGAAAACTCGTTGGTGACTAAAACCAAGAAAGATGATCCAATACACTAACACAGAGAACTCACTAATGGGCTCCGATCCATCATTCTCCAACTCATCTCCAGCCTTACAGAGCAATGTTGGGAGGGTGAATTTGATCACCACTCCCACCCACATATGGTCCAGTCTGTGCCAAATAAATCATTTCATGAGAAAGTGAGTTCTTGCTCCCTAAGAAAGTATTGCTTTGGAAACATTTACCCCAGAGGCCTGCAGTTCAGAATCCACACACTGCACCCATGCGAGCTTGTCTGTTTCTTATTTTTCTCCCACTTGAAAGCAATTAGGCTTTTCTTCCATTTGGGGGTTTCTACCCACTTCTGACCCTAAATGCTCAGGAAATTACAAAGCAAGTTTCCCAACAGATGCTTTTACCAGCGTCAGACAGTCTTACACAGCTGCTAATTTGCTCTTGCTACATCTTGCAAGCCTGATGCACCACGGAGGAATAGAGGCTTGAGCTGAATGGCCCTGCTCCTTCCTTATGAGATGCCCAGCTGCAAAAGTAAGGTTGGCTTTCATTGCCTGATGAGGTGCTCCCAACCCATGGAGGTTCTGCCAGGCAAGAGGTCCTAAAAGAGAAAAGCCACAGATATAAGATGTAAAGATTGGCTATGGAGTGGGGTAGTGTGTGTGTGTCTGTGTGTGTGTGAGAGAGAGAGAGAAAGATTCACAAATGTTTAAAAAGAAATTGGCTTTCTTGGAGGTGTGTGGTTTCTACAGCAATTTTTGGAATGTAAGTGCAGAGAATAGCGGGGGCGACTGAATCTGAAGAATCCACAGCCACGCCCCAGTGAGAAAGCCATGTGTTCCATCAAATCTGAACCACAGCCCTTGCATATAATCTGCCTCTGCTTGGGGGTATCTGGGGAAATTTGGAAGATTGCAGATCAAAGGGAGAGCTTGCTTCAATTTGTCCAGAGTCAGGAAAACACATCTTTCCGACCAATACTGGGTAACTGCACATCCTCCCCAAACGTGCTCGCCAAGCCCAGATGGTTTTTTTGCGTGTTTTTTTTTTCTCTGAAAGAAACAGCCGTTTGAAAAAGAAAGGAGACTAGAGAGAGCAAAAGCTCAGAGAAAATGAAGAGTCCGCTACATATGTGTTCCGTGGCTTTGTACAACTCACTCCGGATCTTGGTACATCAGTTTCCCCCATGCAAAATGGAACTAATTATACTCAGAGTATCAAAGAATCACAAAGTTAGTAGAGATTTCAAAGGTTGTAGTCAGTCAGACCAGGCTGTAAGAGCCTGACACATGGCAGGCACCACTAATTGTTAATTAACTATTAACAGTTAATTAACTGTTAGTTAATTAACCATTAACTAAAAGAAATCAATTAGTTCATTGAGTGAAGAAGCCAACAGGTGAATGCATGCTGGGATCCCTGTACAACATCCCAGCAAGTGGTAGTTCCATATGTGCTTAAATACCCCCAGCAGTGGGACCAGCCACTGAGATGGGTCACTGTGTCTTTGACATATACAGATCCAAATCCCAACCCAAATCCAAATATTGCAACCTGGAAGTTTTTACCATTGGTTCCAATTCCACCCACTGGGACTGAGCCAGAGGAGATTGATCCTTGCTCTATGTGGAAGCCCTTCAGATTTGAAAATAACTGTCATGTCCTCCACTGGGTCCACTTTTCTTCAGGCCATTATTCCTACTCCTATAGTCATGGCCCTAAATAACAAACAGGGTTTTGGTTTTCTGCCCCATCCTCATCACTTTCCTCTGACTGAGCCCCAGTTGGTTGGTCCAGGTGCCTACTGGAGTCAAGCCCTTGAGCTAAATTCAGGGGTTTGGCTGTGACTGGACTGAGGAGAGAAAAGTGTGCTCATCCCCTTCTTGTTCCATAATATCTGGTGTCTATTGATGCAGATGATGTCTGATATGGTTTGGCTGTGTCCCCACCCAAATCTCATCTTGAATTGTAGCTCCCAGAATTCCCATATGTCATGGGGGGACCCAGTGGGAGGTAATTGAATCATGGGGCCAGGTCTTTCCTGTGCTGTTTTCGTGATGGTGAATAAGTCTCACAAGATCTGATAGTTTTATAAAGGGGAGTTACCCTGCACAAGCTGTCTTGACTGCCACCATGTAAGACATGGCTTTGCTCTTCCTTCATCTTCCGCCATGATTGTGAGGCCTCCCCAGCTACGTGGAACTGTGAGTCCATTAAAATGGCCTTGCTGGGGTATACATTGGTTACTGCCCACTTGTCTTACCCCAAATCCCTACATATTTTCTAGATCTCAAGTGAACTCTCTCTCAGGCAAGGGGTGTTCAAAGACAGAGAGCAACTCTTTCTTGGGTCTTCCCTGCCTCAGTCAAAATTAGACACATTAGGCCTGATGGGCAATTCGTTACTCTGATTAAATTATATTTTGGCCACACATTCCCATACCATACCAGGATATTTACTTCCCACAAGTCAGTACTGAAGAAGAGAGACATCCCTGTCTCTTCTCCTTTCACACTGATTATATCTCTAGAAAGGGATCTTTAATAATAAAGTTGTCAAATGACTTCTTGCATATGTTAACATCTGATGGCTCACTGAGTATTTTCAAATATTTGGGAAGGTACCTTATGAGGCAGGTTTTTACATCAGCTAGAATTGCATTTGGCCTGAAGGGATAAAAAGAAAAAAAAAGATCACCAATAGAAAGAGAAGTATATTTCCACCATGTGTTAAGATGTCCAAAGGAAGGCAGGGAAGGGCTGGTGGGTGGCTCCATGATGCCATCAGAGACCCAAACCATTCATAGCTTTCTGCTCCTCCTTATCCTTAGGCTCACAGGATGGCTGCTCACCTCAGGACATCACATCTACATTCCAGGTAGGAAGAGGACATGCAGGTAAAGGGAAAATGAAAAGGAACATTCTAGCTGAGTACAGGAAAATGATAACTTTCCAAGACACCCCTTCTTTACCAGTAGACTTTCACTTCTCACTAGCCAGAGATAGGTCTTACAGCCATCCCAGCATCAAGACAATGAAATGGTTTTAGTTAGAGCACACTAACTTCATCCCACAGTTAGGCTCCTCCTACTGAAGAAGAGAGGAGAATGGATACTGAGTAGGAGGTCCGCCCAAACATTATTATCCCTGTTTTATAGAAGAGGAAATGAAGGCTAAGACAAGTCAAGTGACTTGCCCAAGGTTACACAGCTGCCAGAGGGTAGAGTAGGGTTCAACTACCTTCGAGTCAAAGTCCACGTCGTGGGCAGTTCCAGAGTTACATTGCTCATCGGAGCTCACACAGCACCATTCAGCTTATAAATACCTATGGAATGCTCTGGTGCAGGACACCCATGGCCTTTGCACAAGATGACAGAGGGGGTGGTGACCACCTCTCTGAGGAACCATTTAGAAGCCAACACAAGAACACACACCTCTGTTGACAAAAGCTGGCTTTGGCCACCCAGCACAGCCAATATCCTGCAAGAGAGCCCATGTGGCCCCAGTCTGAGAATAACCAAATCTTAAAAGTTCTCTCTATCAATCTCCTTAAGAAAATGGAAAAGCTGGGCCGGGCGTGGTGGCTCATGCCTGTAATCCTAGCACTTTGGGAAGCCAAGGTGGGCAGATCACGAGGTCAGGAGATCGAGACCATCCTGGCTAACACAGTGAAACCCCATCTCTACTAAAAATACAAAAAAAATTAGCCAGGCATAGTGGCGGGCACCTGTAGTCCCAGCTACTCGGGAGGCTGAGGCAGCAGAATGGTGTGAACCTGGGAAATGGAGCCTGCAGTGGGCTGAGATCGTGCCACTGCACTCCAGCTTGGGCGACAGAGCAAGACTCCATCTCAAAAAAAAAAAAAAAAGAAAAAAAGAAAATGGAAAAGCTGGACTAAAATGTACATTACTAATGAAAGTAAAGCTTAGCTTTTCTTTAAGAAAGGACCACTGTATAATTATGATGTTTAAATTCTGGATCTGATCAGAAATGTAGGCCAACACCCTCGCCTCTCAGCTGGAGCAAAGCAGATATGGTTGTCACCAGGCGACCACAGCCCCATCTCTTTCTTTCTTAAGGTTTATTTGATGTTCAGTAAATTGGCCTTTGAGGTCCCAGTTGTGATTAAAACAGCCTTCTTCAGTCCTTCTCTTGTTCACGACTGACATACGTACCAACTTGGGGGCACAGCTTGGAGTGTGGATCTGGAAAAGACACCATTTCCACGCCTCTGGCCCTGACCCTCCACATGTGTGGCATATGCTGGCAGCTCCTGCCTCTAATTCCACATCATTGCACAAAGCAAGCAAGACTTTGAATCCACCTTGGTTTTGTCCCAGTTTATAGCTTTCAGAAAGCCAGTGGGCTAGTGCAAATGAGCCTCATTTTATAAATAAATGGTGGTGATGGTGACATGATTAAACAGCTTGGGGTCAGAAATGTCAGGGTTTCACTCCCAGCTCCACCAGCTCATAATGTGGATCATTGGCCAAGCCCTTTAACCTCTCTGTATCATGACTTTTCCACTGGTGTATTAGTGTTCTATTGCTGCATAACAAATTATCACATATTTAGTGGCTTAAAACAACACCTGTTTATTATGTCATGGTTTCTGTGGGTTGGGAATCTGGGTGTCTTAGCTAAGTCCTCTTACTCAGAGTCTTATCTGGAGCTCTGGGATGTCAGCAGAATCTATTTCCTTACAGCATTAGTACTCACGGTGACTTGCTTATTAGCAGGCCTCCAATCTCTAACACTTCTTTTAAAGGGCTCACCTGATAAGGCCAGGCCTACCCAAGATAAGCTCCCTTTTGATTACTTTAGAGTCAGCTGATAAGGAAACTTAGTCACATCTGCAAGAGTTCTTCACCTTTGCCATCATATAATCACAGGAGCGACATCCCATCATATTCATGGGTCTGGCCCACATTCAAGGAGAGGGGATTATATAGGGCAGGCACAATAGGGGGCAGAATGTTGGCATCGTCTTAGAATTCTGCCTTCTTCACCTTCCTAAAGGAAGATACTAATAGGACCTACCTCATATGGTTGTTTTGAAGATTACATGAGGTGTTCAGTGTAACAGTAGGTACCCAGCAAGCAGCAGCTACTGTAATTATTGTAGCGTTTTTGACTAGCTACCACATGGCAGGCCTCATTCTAGGAGCTGGGGATTCGGAAAACTGTAACACAAACCTTGCTCTGAAAGAAATCATGACATTTCTCTAGCACTAATAGTTTCCACCCAATTCAAAAGTTGGCAAAAAGCAATAAAGCTTTAATCCAACTAAATGACTTTTTTATATAAAGATTCAGGGTTTGCTTGACTTGTTGGAACCACTGCCAAAAATAAAAAGTGCTGACTGTAATCAAATACTGTAATCCACAGGATTATTATTTCCACTCTCCAGAGCCCCCTGGTTTGACTGCTATTTTGCAATCGGAGGAGCAGCTATTTGGCGCTAGTGCTCCAGCATGGGTAAATGCCAACTCAGGGGTGTCTCAGCCTAGGCTGCCCACATCTGAGTTACCTGGAGAGCTTGTCCAGGATCCCACTTGCCAAAACTCAGATGCAATTGGTGTAGAGTGCACCTGTGTGTTGGGATTCTTTTAAACCCCTCAGGAGGCTCCAGCATACCACCAGGGTTGAAAATTCCTGCTCTAGCCAAAGCTTGATAGTTTCCCAGTGGTCTGAAGACTGAATTCCCTTTTTAACAAAACTGTTAAAGACATGATAAGCCAAAGAGACACGAGCAGCGATAACACATTTTTCCATTTATTTTCAGCAAAGGGATTGAAATTCAACACGTCGCACACCTTTTCAAGCCACTATCGCAGGTCTGGATGTTGAATGTAATTCTGCTACTTTTTGCAGATAACAGCTTGTCTCTGGGTAGAGAAAGGCTGGGATCGTATTGAGAAAAGATTAAATTTCCCACATATCCAGAAAAGCTGATGGTGCTCAGCATGTATTCTGCTTGCTCATCTGATGTTCACTCTGTCACCTACAAGTATTAAGCACCTACTCTATGTCATGCTTCATGCTGGATGCCAAGGCTTCAAAGATCAGTAGAACCTGAATTTTACCTTAAAGAGACTAGAGTCTAATGTCAACATGCAAACTTGCCTTTTCTGTACCAGAGGAGAAATGCTTCTGGCATCAAGGGCATGGAACTAATTTTGAGGTTATAAACAATCTTTAGAATTTGTCTCAATTTGGCTAGGCGCAGTGGCTCATGCCTGTAATCCCAGTACTTTGGGAGGCTGAGGTGGGCGGATCACGAGGTCAGAAGATCGAGACCATCCTGGCTAACATGGTGAAACCCCATCTCTACTAAAAATACAAAAAATTAGCCGGGTGTGGTGGCAGGCACCTGTAGTCCCAGCTACTCAGGAAGCTGAGGCAGGAGAATGGTGTGAACCTGGGAGGCAGAGCTTGCAGTGAGCCAAGATGGTGCCACTGCACTCCAGCCCAGGGGACAGAGCGAGACTCCGCCTCAAAAAAAAAAAAAAAAAAAAAAATTTGTCTCAATTTTCTTTGAATATGTCTTCTCTCTTTCCAGGGTCTCATAACTTCCAGAGAGCAACCCCTTTCCAACTTCCCCTCCTTCTCCGCCCACTCCCCCCAGCAAAAAAAACAAAATTGTAATTAATGATGGGAACTTAAAAATTGCCCAGACTTCCTAGTTATCTCACAAGGAAACAGGGCAACACAGAGCCCCAGCCTCCACTTCTCCCACCCCTCCGAACCCCCAGTTCCTTCTCCCCTACAAAGGAACAGTCTCTACAATCCAGAACAAGTCCTGAGCTAGGTGGGGGCTCATGGCTTCTACGTGCTCAACATTCCCTGCTGCCAGTAGGGCCAATTGCAAATGCAGCAGAAAGCAGATGCTTATTGATTTGGGCTTTGGCAAAAACCAAGGAAGCTGGATTCCTCTTTTGAGATAATGCTGAGCCAGTAGCAGCTGTTAGAAACAGGAAGCCGTGTGGACTCTGGTGTCATAAAAGTAAGACTGGATTTGACGTGCCAATTGCCTGGGATCCAAAGGGGAACTTCTCTCCACTCCTCAGAATGTCATATGTTTCTACAAAGACCTGAGAGGCAACCCAAGAGGCAGTTCAGCTGGAAGGAAACCAGAATTCCTGTTCAGACAAAATGCTCTCCTAAACCCTCACCCCCTTCATTTGTATAGTAAACCTTTATGGAGAGCCTACTAGATACAAGATACTGCACTAAACTATGCCAGTCCATCACCTCCCCACCCCCACCAACGAACATTTTTTTAAATATCAGAATCCCACCATGGTCTCAGAATTCAGCGCCTTGGCAGACTCCAGAAAGAATCATCCTGAGTTATTTTTTAAATGCCTACTCTGGTGTCTTGAGAAAACTGCTACATTAAGCTTACTTTATTCTCTATTTTTAAATTCTGTTATAGTGGTGCTTCACTCTGGGCTGCTGGAAACATTCAGGAACCACATCAGCAAACACCACCCCCGTTCTCCATAACATCAGCTCCTTCCATCTAGGGAAAAGGAAATGATCCACACCTAAGGTCATAGCTGGCCCAGTAGAGGAAAATGTCAAATAAAACCCAGAAATGGAGAGTCGCCATTATTTACCCCTTTGGTGCATATGTGTAGGGGAATAAACAACTCTCTCCATTACATTACATCATTACATTACATTACATTACACTACTCATCCACAACATTAGGAAGTCAGATTGCATCACACCCCTGAAAGCTGGCCAGTGTGAAAATGAGTGCTTAAGGGACATGAGGATGAAATTGTTTACTCTAGGAGTTAAGGTATGTTTTCCTCTAACAGACAGGGGCTGTGTATCCCTAAGTTGGTTTAAATGTGGTCATAAAGTCTAGAATATGACCTGGAAGACTTCAAGGTCCCTGGAAGCCACAGATTTCATAATGGAGTTAGGCAGGCAAGTCCAGGCTTGTTTCTTTTCAGACTTATCATGGACCAGTTATCTAGCCTGAAAATGGATTTTGAAATTGCTGGGGAAACTTCAAAATTACTCATTTCTATCTTGGAAACTAGCTCCAATCTCCTTACAACAGGAGGTGCACTGAGGCATCCCCTAAGACAGGAGTCAGCAAACTACAGCCCACAGGCCAAATTTGTTCTACCACTTTGTATGGTTTGTGAGTGAAGAATGGTTTTCCATTTTTAGATGGTTGACAAATAAATCAAATGAACAGTTTTTTTTTGACACATGGAAATTATATGGAAGTCAAATGTTAGTGTTCATATGTAAAGTTTTATTGAAACACAGCCATGCCTACTCATTCACATATTGTTACTTTTGTGTTCCAACAGCTGTGTTGTATAATTGCAACAGAGACCACATGGCCCACAATGCCTACAATATTTGATACCTGGTCCTTTAAGAGGAAGTTGATTGACCCTTGCACTAAAGTAAAAAATAATAATAATAATAAGCCTGTACACATACAGAAAAATGAGAGGGTCACATAATTTATTCTTTAATTATCTAATTAAACAATCCTATTGTAGCTCCTAATTATCTTCTCCACTCAGTAAAACCCCCACAATGAGAATCAACTCATGTGGCATTAGCAGAGCAACTTACCAATAATGCACCTGGCAAAGAGACTTTTCCACCATGTTCATCACATTCTCAGAACTTCTAGAAAAGCATATCAGAATATCAGGTAGATTCTGTTTATCTCCTAACCAGAGTTTTCATTCTTGGCTATGGGTTGGGGGTCTGCTTCCTTCTCAGCTGCACAAGCCTCTTTCTTGTTATGCTGTAAGGTCAGGCACCCCTAATCTAGCCATGGAAGAAGTGAGTGCCATATATGGAATCCTACGGTGTGGCATTTCTCTCCCTGCTTCCTGGCAACAGATTGGATGCTGCCACTTTCCCTGGGACCTGTTTATCCACCATTAATCTCTTCAAGTCTGACCACCAACAAACCTGTGGGATGAAGCTGGGAATTGTCTTCTCCAATAGCAAAGAGCTTCCTAATGCGTGACGTAAGTCTTTCAAGGATCCCTTTTTATCTCTTATCCTTTGCAGACTGAGAAGTGACAATGTACCCTATACAGGGGTGGGCTGAGTAAACAAGGTGTTGTGATAGACCAAGACCAAAAAAGCAGGAGTAAGGGGTTTCTGTTCACCACCATCCCCACTCTCACCACCCCCACCCACCCCCGTCACCTCTCTGCCTCCGTGTAAGGGCAGCTCGGGGAGAGAAACAAAGCCCTTGAAGTCAGTCATAATGCACAATAAACCTCTCCAGCAATCCTCAAAAAGAGAAAAAAAAATAAGAAATTCTTAAAATCGAACGGTTTTCTGATATTCCTAATGATTTTTTCCAACCCCCTGGGCACCCCTGTTCCTCTTCCATACCCTAAATTTCTGCTCCATGTTGACTACATACGCTGTTATGAGTCTCATCCCCTGATACCTTATCCTGTAGTTACTAGGCTCATTTTGCTTTGTGTGAAAGAGGCATTTTGGAAAAGTTTGGTATTATCCTAACTTTCTTCCTATTATGTTAAAATCCAGAAACGTCCTCCTTCAAAACTTAGTCGTTTAATGTGACAAACTCCTGGTGAGCACTTCCTACATGACATGTAATTCATGTAGAAAGATAAAACGCAGGCATCGTTCTCAGGGACCTTGGAGTCTGAGTGGGACATTATTAAGTATCTCTACTTGATCACTTACACAAGCAATAAATCAACTCGGGGACACAGACCCTTGAAGTAAATGGTGTGGAAGCCCGGAGGAGGAGGAGCTAATTCTGATTTGGGGGCCAGAAAGGCCTGCAGTAGAGGTGACACTTCATTGGAAGCCCAGATTAGGGTCCTGAAAGATGAATAGGAGTTAGGCAGGAGGAGGCAGGAGAGCAATGGGTGGAGGGCAGTGGGTGATACAGCCAGAAGAAGAGATACATGCAAGCTTCAGCTCCTATAGTAAAAATGTAATGATAATGGTGATGATGGTGGTAGTGGTGATGATGGTGATGGTGATGGTGATGTTGAGGGTGATGATAATTATAATGGTGATGGTAGTGATGATGATGACGATGGTGATGGTGATGATAGTTGTGATGATGGTGATGATGGTGGTGATGACGATGGTGACTCTTCTGAAGAAAGGCAAGATGACAAATCAGGAGAAAGAGAAGAGCCAGAGAAGTCCAGGGATGGAGGCCTCTCTCATGTTTCACTGCAGGCACAGCTCTGCACTAGGTCAGCTCTGAACCAATCAGAATGACCAGTTGGGCTGGCCCCTTTGAGGTCCACTGGCATCAAGCTGCTGCTCTTCAAGGTGAACTCTGGAAACTACCTTTTTTGGAACCCAGTCTCCAACCTGACGCTGCCTAAATTAATTTAAACTTGATGCAAGAGAGTGACAGCCCTTGGGAAAATGCTTGCTTTCACTTTGCTGGGTCTAAGTTTCCTCATCTGAGAAGGAGGATATTTGATCTCTGAAGTCCCCGATGACCTCTGATTTTTGCCAGCTCCTCTGTCTCCTGCCTGCCTCCAGAGCTTCTATCTCAGTTCCTGTCTGGCATCTTTATGGTCAATGCTGGAAGAAATAAAACAACACACATCTTTGTTTCCTGCTGTGTGGGAGGCAGGAAATGGCCTAACTCCCTAATTGCCATGAGGTTCTTGTGGTGTGTCCAGCTGCCCACTCCTTAGCACACCCCCACCCTCCCAGGTGTCTCAGCCAGAAAGGAGGGCACGCTCGGCCATCAGAAGCTGGAATCCATTCACCACAACCACCAGTTGCCAACCACACCCCTGGCTGTGTGGAGTATAAAATAAGTCAAGATGTGGGTAGAGGTAGCATTTGCTGAGCCTCCTCTGAACACAAGGCGGATGGTCAAGCATGGCTGAGGAAGGTTTTCTGGTCAAGAATCTAGGCTGGGCATCATTCTCCCAGTGACCACACGTGGACAGAACAAGAGCAGGTATGAGCTCCAAGGGAGAAACTGATGTACAAGCCAAATTTGGGCCTCTGTTGTCAGTCCAAATGAGCTAGACCAGAAGAGAGAAACCAGTTGAGAGTGAGATAGTCAGGAACTAGGAAAACCAGCGGAGATCTGGGGTCAAAGCAATTGGAAGCCAAAGTCTGGTGCTGCTGGAGCTGTGGCCCCAAGCACAGGAGTTGCTGTTGATAAACCAACCTGTAGACCTGTCCTGGGCAGGAGGCTATTGTTAAGGAAGACTTCCTGGTTGGCAGAATTCACTGGGCACCCTATGTTGGTGTCTTTCCTAGTGGAAGGCAAATGGGGTTCCTTTGCTTCTCGGTTTCTAATAGAGGCAAGATGAGAATTGCAAGACAGGACCCCTCATCACACATCAGATCCTACCTCCTGACTCTGGGAAGAATGACTCTCAACCCATGACATTCTCGTCATGCCTTTTTTTAACGTAAATCATGCAATCTCATGGCTATAAAAAGATCTTAATCAATAATGCACTGCAGAGATGAGTGACGAGGCAAGGTCTCGTAGTGAGTGGCACAGTTAGAGCTAGAGCTCAGTCCCAGGTTCCCAGCAGCAAATAAGGGGATGGCTCTTGTGTCTGCCTCCCCAAGCCTACAGAAAACTTTGTGTCTGCCTCCCCAAGCCTACAGAAAACTTTGGTCTGCCTCCCCAAGCCTACAGAAGACTAAGAAAGATAAATGGAAGTCCACTAATAAACGAGAGGCATGAACAAGAACCGCCTGCTTTAGAAAGTACACCTTGCCTTGGAGTGGGCACGTGGTACTTGGTAACCACATGCTATCTGGCTCCTCTGCAGGCACTGCAGGTCTGCCCCAGCAGGGCCCTTTCCAGCGCTTCATGAACAAGAGGTGGAGAAGAGACTAGCCGGCTGGAAGGAGCGCCGCAGTCTCTAAGGAGACATTGACGTGCACAAGTACTATCAGTCTTGGCTGGTCTTCACCCCTTTCCAAGCCCTCACCACCATGGTGAGCCCTTCTTTTGTAATATGTTTTGAAGTCTTTTGGTGGGACCAGTGGCAACCCAAATTCTTTATCTTTTGAGAAGTGAATTAGTTCTGGCTGCAATCATGCTGAGAAACATACGACCCTAAAACTGAGTGGCTTGCAATAGCAAATATCAATGCTTCTCAGTCATAAGAAGGTGAGAAGCATTCTCTTCCACTTCTGTTCACTGCAAGCTCACAGAGCAGAAGAAAGTCAAGAGCTGAGAACAATAATCTCATCTGCCACAGGAGACTAAATCTAGCCCACTGAAGGTCAGTGACCTGAGGTTTAGGGAAAAATCTGAGAGCAGACAGCTGCAGCTGTGTTGTTCAGAGACACAATCATTTCAAGGAGAGGAGGAGATCTGGGGAAAAGGGAGGTTTTTGTGATATAAAGGAAAATGGTTCTGGTTCCCATTCCTCTGTCTCACCTGTGATTTTCTGTACCCAAGTCAATTCAGGCAGGGCTATTCTGAAGTTCATTTCTTTAAGACTATTACTATTATGTTTTTGCTATACTTTCTATATATACATTCTTGTGATTCTAAAATTTGAGCATGCATGTGAATCACTTGGAAAGCCTGATTCAAATGCAGATTCCCAGGCTTGTAGTCATTCCACTTTGGATGGTCTTGAGTGGGGCCTTTAAATTCCCTTTTTTAATAACTCTCTATTCACCACCTTTATGCATTATTACTCAGTCAGTGCTTCCCAACCTTGTGCATGTCATAGCACACACAGAAAATGGCACATTTTGGAAGGCACACTGGAGTGAAATGAGAAGGTTGCTAATGGGGCTAGACAACCAGTGCCCTTGAGTCTGAAGGGAGCCAGTTTGTTAGCCCCCTGTAACCCATCCACAGCTCAACGATGTGCACTGCAACCCTGTCAGGAGCTCCTGCTCATCAGCACTTCTCATCCTTTTCTGAACATCAAAATCACCTGGGTTATTAGACACACTAATGTCCAGGCCTCACCCTAGACCACAGCTTATATCTTAAGCTCTGGGGCTGAGTCCCAGCCATCACATCAACATGTTTTAAAGTTCCACTGGTAGGGTGACCACTCATCCCAGTTTCCCAGGACTTACTTTCACACCTTTCCCAGGACTTTCCAACTTTTAGCACTGAAAGTCCTGGTTTTAAAACTGAAAGTCCCAGGTCCTTGGAAACTGGGCAAACGATGGTTGGTCACCCTATCCACAGTGACTCCAAGGTATAGCCAAGTGTGAGAACCACTGCTCTCTGAACTTTCTAGAAACTAGCCCCAATTCTTCATATCACAGGTAGTTGCTGCCCATCTACCCAATCCCTGGCCAACATTCCTTGCACATGTGCATGTGCGCAGCCCAGAGCTCTGCATTCTTGAGAACCCAAGAATGGAAATCCCAACTCTTCCCTCAAGGAGCTTCTCATCTGCTAGGGAAACTGAGTCACATGCCAAAATCATGCTACAAACACAAATACAATTAAATGTGAATGAGAGAAAGAGCTCCATGAGTTGCCAGACCCACAAGAAGAGGGTTATCCAAATTTGAGCTGCCATCTGCTAAATCCAACTCCAGAAGGTCTTGCTAAAGAACAAATTATCCCGATAGAGACATTTTCTCCCAGTCACAGTGACACTTGGAAACAGCAGTTGTCCCATGTATTGTGAGTAGTAGTACCCATGTATAGAGTTCTTACTACATATTAGGTATAACGCTAAAGACTTCACACATACTTCATCCTCATGACCTCCACCATATTACCATCATACACATTTTATAATGAGAAAACAAAGTCAGAGACATGTTAAGTAATTTGCCCCGAATTCTTATTAGTCACTGGCAGAACCAGGATTTGAACCTGGTATTGTGGAACAGGTGCTTCCAATCCCCACGCTCTATTTTATTGCTATTATTCTGTGCCTCATAGGACATGCAAAGATTGGTGCTTCCCTGAGACCTGCCCACTAGTCACCACATGCAGAGAATGGACACTTCATGCCTCACTGATGTGAACCTCCAGGACTGACCCTTGTCTTCCACAGAGCTGGATTTGTGAAAGGATGACAGCAACCACAGGAAAAAGAAATCAGTGAGCCACATTAAAACGCCTTTATTCCCTGCAACAGTTAAAGCAACAAAATCTAATGACATGAAATAAACACTGCAAAACTGCATTCTGACCCCTTGCTGCAAGGTTTTTCATTAAAACAATTAGAGCCCATGGCCCCAAGAATGCTGAGACACTTTCAAACTTGACAACATTTAGATAACTGGAGGAACACCAGCATCATGCCTCTGTGTGAACATTTCGGAGAAGGTGAAATAAATTAGGACCTGCAATACAATTGGAACTGAATCCTCAATAAAAACACTTTCCTCAGAAGTGTGAATATGGGCTGAGGAGATGGTTATATTTTGATGAATCAAGGACCCCACTCTTTGCATTTTTCTGTTCTACCATCCTCAGAGTACTGGATGGTAACCTCAGGTTTTGCTCTTCATGGTCATAAGATGGCTGCCACTGCACCAAAAACCACATGCTCAAAGGGTACATCAAACACTGGAAGGTTGATGCTTTTCCTCATGTTGCACATGCACACACACACACACACACACACACACACACACACACAAAGAAGGAGAACATCTCCCAGGAACCACTCAGAAGATTTCCCAGCAATTCTTGGCCAGGATAGGGTGGCTCGCCTATTCCCTAACTACAAAGGAAGCTGGAAAAACAAGTACTGGGCATATACTGGGAGGCTAGTTCTACCATCAGGAAAAGAAAGCAAGAAAATGGCTGATGGAAAAGCGATTAATATCTGCCCCCAGTGGGAGATTCAGTAGTTTGCATGTCAGATCATTACAATGAGAAATTTTTATTTATGCTGAGTGAAAATCTGCCTTTTTATAATTTCTAAGCATCAGTCCCAACACTACACCTCTGAGAAGGTGGCTCCACCCTAAATAGTTTTTATTTTCCTTTGACATTTAAAAGTAATACATGCCAATAATAAAAATTGCTGAAAGGTATAACAAGAAAATAATTACCCAAAATCTTACCATTTAGAAATAAGTTGTGTTTGCATCTGAGAACTTTCAGACCTTTTTTTCAATCTCTTGTCCCTATTTATAGTGTTGAGGTTGTCTTTGGGCTGAGAACTCTTTTCCATAGTTTTTATTAGGGAGTCTTCTTGGAACCATTGCCCCATAACTCTCAAAGGATCATCCAGTCCACTTCTGGGTCCTGTGGTCCACTTCCAGGTCCTGTGGTCCACTTCTGGGTCCCCTTCCAGGAGGCTACGGTTACAGAGGCTATGGCATCCATTTGCATTACAACACTGTACCCAGGCGAGTGCCCATCCTCCCCTTGCTACAAACTTCTGCACAGACTAAACAACCCCCCAAAACAAAAATAAAACCTATTCATTCTTTTTTAAGAAAATCATTAACCTTTTTACTAGATTCATGGAAAGCTTAGCCTTTTTCTTTTTTTAACATCATCATATTTATTTCTGAACTACATGATACGCGGAAGACACCACAATTTCCCTACTTTTTGGCACGTGTCGTCTTTCAGTCTGAGGTAAACAGTTCCCACTGAAGCTATGTTGGCTCATTTAATAATTGCCTTGTTAGTTTTCAATTTGCTGTCATCATTTACAATGACACAGGCAGAATTTTGTATTTTCCTGTTTCCCATTCCTCATCAGCCAAGGGTCCACAAACTATACAAACCTGTTTTTATAAATAAAGTTTTATAGGAACACAGTCATGCTCAATTGTTTACACATTGTCTGCGGCTGCATTTGTGCTACAATGGCAGAGCTGACTAGTTGCCATAGAAAGCGTATGGCCCACAACGCCAAAAATATTTACTACCTGGCCCTTTACAGAAAAAGCTTGCTGAACTGTCTTAGGCCAAAATCCCCTCTATGTTTTCTACTTCATTTATCTTTGACTTTTTTAGTTAAAAAATTAAAGTTTTAGTTAAATTTTAATTTAAAAGTTATTTTTTAGATTTCCCTAAAGTCTAGGGCCCATGACTCTCCATCTAAACTTTCCCTCACAAGTATGAATTCAAGTAACGATCATACTAACAGCTAATGTTTATTGAATATTTGCCCTGTACTAAATGGACTGATTTGATTTTTGCAACCATGACATGACGTAGGTACTACTATCATCCCCATTTTTCAGAGGAGAAAACAGAGACACGATAAGGTAAAGGAATGTCGCTGATAAGTAGCAGGGCCAGCATTTGGACCATGGGGCATGATCTCAGTGCCTATGCCCTTACCACTGTGCTATCTGCCTGCCCAGTGAGGTTATTTTCTCCCAAAGCTTCCCTCACCTTTGTGCTCCCAATCAGTTTTTCCTTACTGGTTTAAGTTCCAGATAGAAGATCTCCGTGTGGTTTTCTTTACCTTCTCGAAGATTAATTTGCCAGCAAAGAAAGTCAAAGACTTATCTAGTTTCCTTCTACTTTTGTTTAAATGTTTGTCCCCTCCAAAACTCATGCTGAAATGTACTTCCAAATATGGCAGTATTAAGAAGTGAGGCCTTTAAGAGTTGATGGGGTCTGCCCTCCTGAATGGATTAATTGGATTAATGGGAATGATGGGTTATCTAGGGGGTGGGACTGGTAGTTTTATAAGAAGAAAAGAGGACATGATGAGCATGCTCAGTTCCCTAGCCATGTGATGCCCTATGCCAGTCACTCAGGACTCTACAGAGTCCCCACCAGCAAGAAGGCCCTCACCAGATGTGGCTCCTTGATCTTGAACTTCTCAGCCTCCATAACTGTGAAAAATAAATTTCTTTTCTTTATAAATTACCAGGTTTCAAGTATTCTGTTATAAGCAACAGAAAATGAACTAAGACACCTTCCTAGAAGGACCTATAGTTGGCATCTGCCTAGTGTCATCCCCATCACGGCTCTACCTGCCCACAGGCTAATTTATCATCTGTATTCAGAAACCAGCCTGCATACCTTGTGCACGACCTGGCAGTTTGTGTATAACTTCTGTCTCTCCTATTGTTCTAGCCATGAGCTGCTCTATTCCATCTGTGGAGGGAGGGAAGGTTCCATACAGTTGGCCCCATACAGGTGCCAATGAGGGCTTAACATCAGTGTTCCCCTACCTACATGTTTTCTTTTAGACAAGGAATAGCCTTCCAGAACCCCAGCAAAGTTCAATGGAGACCAACAAGTGCTTGAGACCCACAGAGGAGATTTCCAACACTTAGATCACATGCCCAAGCATTAAAAAGAAGAACTGTCAATTTAGTTTCACAAGTGACAGTAGACCCAAGGTAAATACAGCTTTGCAGGAGCCCATTAATTACACAAAGCAAGATCTACATTTTAAAAAAAGTGTATCTTCTACTCAGAGGACTCAGGAAAGTAAGAACTCAGAAGTGAAAATTAGTAATATTTGTATCAGCCAAAATATTCTGAGTAATTACTTTGCTCCATGCGTATGTTAAAAGCTTTTGCGGATTCACCTCTTTTAATCCACACTATTGTTCCACTATAATAATCCAGTATTATTAACCATGAAAAAACGGAAGTTTCAAGATATTTTAACAGTGCTCCCATATACCTACCTCCCTCTCTCTACCTGATCAGCAAAAACTAATCCTGCACATTTGTGCCCAACCACCACACACATTCTTACCCCACCCTCCCTGAAGTTTATTTGTTCTGTGTTCTTTTCTCAGTTCTCTTGGTAAAACAGCCTGTGCACCTACAATAAACGCTAATGGATTCGTCTGCCACTGTTTCTTCTTTTTTTATAATAAAATCCAATACATTTGTTGAATAATTAATACATGCTGATACATGTATACAAATTCATTTTATTTCTATCTCTTTCTTTGTTCTTCCAATTTTGACTGCTGCCTTCCAGAGCTAAGACATAAAAGTGAGCACATTAACCTCATGGCAGCTGAGTGGGGCAGGCAGGTTCCATGGTAAGAGCCCTGTAACGAAGATGCTAGAGCTTTGGAAGTTGGGCAAGTTCCATAGGAGGGGAAAAATCAGAGGAAAGGAGGGGAGCAAGCTAAAGTTAGTCCTGTATGGTCAAAAGCTGGAAGATGGGTTCAGGCTGAAGCTCTGCCACTTATGACCCTGGTGTGCATGTATAAGTATGTGTGTGTGTACATGTATATGTAATGAATTCAGGTAGAGAGGTGAGAGACATGACTGGGGCTGTGAAATCCAACAAAGCAGCCTCTTATTCTAGAATCATTCCCTCACACCAACCTGGCAACCGTGCCTGTCTCTCTGATGACTTACTCTTCTCCCTTCCAGTGAAGATGTCCCATGCCGCTATTCCTACTATGAAGAGCAGGGCCCTCACCCTTCCCTACAGCCCAGACCAGAAAAGCACTGCCCTTTGATAGGTGCCCAGAGCCAGGCCTGAGGATAGACAGAGAGACACAGCTGCTAGGCAAGGGCCACTGTTAAGGGTAAAATCAAGAGCCTGCAGTTTGCCATTTGCAAGGAGGAAGCAAGACTAAAGCCCACAGGAATGGGCTCAGCTCCATTTTTGTGGGGATCAGGGATACCTTTTATTTGGAATTCTAGAAATTATGACTTTCTTATTGTACGTTAATTAAACTTCCCCATCTGCTTTGCACTGTGACCTCCAATAAGGTCACTGGATAAAGATGGATGTGGCCCACGCCTCGTAACAGCCCTCAAAAACCCTCCCAAAATGCTTCAAGGTAGAAATTAGTGATCCTGGTTAAACTGGGCTGGGCCTGAGCCAGAAGGAGAGATGCTCTGACATGAGCCTCCATCTGTGGTTTCCTGCCCCTGTCCTACATCTGCAGGGGACTCTGGGTCCTAGGGGTAACAGGTAAGGGAGTGAGGCAGGGAGGGATTGGGAAAAAGGAAAAGCAAGAAGGGGCCCCCCCAACCTCAGACTCTGCATTCATCTCCGTCTGTAGTCAGCAGTCATTTCCTGTGCATCTCCCACTCTCTGGGCCTGGACCAGGCTCTGGGCTTAAAACACCAAGCATGACAGTGTCCTTGCTTGCAAGGAGTCCTCTGTCTACCCTCCCTGCTACCTGTTCTCAGCCCATTACCTGAGCCCTTGTCGCCCTGCTCTGTGGTCCTCAGGTCATGGCTCCCTCCCACCCCCTGCCCCGCTGGGATGCCGGTTACAGACCGTGGCAGCCACCACCATGGCTTGGCCTGATGCCATCTCTATCCTGACTGTTCACCCAGTGGGGTGGCTGTGGGGAGGGGAAAGCCCTGTGGCCATTGGGGGCAGTGGCACTCTGAGCACCTCTCGCATGGACATAACGTCATGTACAGTCACAAGTGCCTGCACCTCGGACACACTCATTCATTTGGCAAATATTTGAGTGAGTGTCTGTCATGTTCCAGGCATGGTACAGGTATGAGGGATATCACAGGGAGCAAGACAGATATGGACTTTACCCACCTACACTATCCTTCAAGCCTAGAGGTTTAGTGGGAAGAACAGATTCATGAACAATCTCCACAGGAAAACAGCTTTACCTGGAGAATCAGGGAAGGCTTCCCTGAGGAAGTGACATTTATACTGAGATAGACATGAGTCAATCATAGAGCAGGCATCTACCAGACATGGAAAACAGTATTAGTGACGTCTCAATGGTGAGTCAGCACAATGCTTTCAAGAAACTGAAAGGGGGCCTATGTGGCTAGAATAGGAGACGATGAACGGGGAAGAGGCACCAGGTGAGGGGAAGAGGCACCAGGCCCTGCTGCAGAGGACCTCAGAAGCCATGCCAAAGACTTCAGGCCTTACCCCATAGGCAATGGGAACCCAATGAAGGGTTTTTAACATGGGAGTGCCTATTGAAAGGACATATTTGGCCAGGCGCGGTGGCTCACACCTGTAATCCCAGTACTTTGGGAGGCCAAGGCGATCACCTGAGGTCGGGAGTCTGAGATCAGCCTGATCAACATGGTCCCACCTCTACTAAAAATACAAAATTAACCAGGCGTGGTGGCACATGCCTGTAATCCCAGCTACTCGGGAGGCTGAGGCAGGAGAATCATTTGAACCCGGGAGGCGGAGGTTGCAGTGAGCCGAGATCGTGCCATTGCACTCCAGCCCAGGCAAGAAGAGTGAAACTCCATCTCAAAAAAAAAAAAAAAAGACATATCTACCCATCACGTGGAGGGAGTATCAGAGTATCAGAGATAAGAGACTCTAGTTGGGACACTAATGTCATGGTTCAGGCAAGAGATATGAAGCCTTGGACCAAGGTGGAGGCAGAGGAGATGATGAGTTTGGGGTGGACAAAATGTGTGGTTTGAGTGGACGTAACAGGTGGGAGCAGATGCTTTTCAAAATAGCTTCTTGGTTTCTAGCTTGAACAACAGGATGGAGGATGATGGTGTTTGCTAGAACAGGATTATTTGCCCAGGCTGGCCTGGAGACCTATAAATTACCATCTCTATGCAAACCTGAATTCCAAGTTTCAAAATACAGATCTAGCAACAAACTTTTGAAGCAAGGCCTCCATAAAAATTGCGAATAGCCTGTTCTTTTATCATTTTATTAATATCAGGTGTTTTCAAAAGAGGCTTGTTCTGTATAACCAAGCCTGGGTCTCAGATATCCACATCCTTGAAAAGCAAAACAAAACAGAAAAAGAGAACAAAAAATATTGCTCACAGTTTGGCTTTGTTTTGTTTTGTTCCTATTTCTTGCTGACTAAAACTAAATGCTGCCATATGCTCAGAAAATATCCAGCGTTTGCATGTTTTTTTTTTTTAATTTAGTTTTATCTGGTGGAGTCACAGAGACTTCAGCTAAGTAACCCTATAATCTGCGCCTCGTGAATAACCATACAATTGAGCAATTGCAGTGATCACTGAGGGCTGCTGTGTGGACAGTAGGTTTTGGGGATTTTTCCAAAAATTTTTTTCTCAAATGCCAGGAAAGAGAACATGTGTGTTGAGTCTCATGGCCCAGTGTCCTTTGGAATCTGCAGCCTTCCTCCAAAAATAATTAAGGTGAAGAAACAGGGCCTTAGTAAGCCAAATGCATTTCCAGGCCTAAGTCCATTTCCCAAAATAATCTTTTGGACTTTTTTTTTAAGTGGAGAAACTTGGGAATAGCTAAATCTGTGCAGAGCCTTTTTGAGTGCTTAGAATTATCTTTTTAGAACTCTTCACTGCCTGATTATTGCTTATAGTGTCTCCACATCTCAGTGAATTATCACAAACCCTGTAGACTGATATTAACAGGCCCCATTTTTCTGTTGTGAAAGCTGGCTGGTAGCTGTGGGTTAACCTGTATAAAGTCAGGATGTTGGGGCCAGGTGTGGTGGCTCACACCTCTAATCCCAGCACTTTGGGAGGCCGAGGCGGGCAGATCACCTGAAGTCAGGAGTTCAAAACCAACCTGGCCAACGTGGTGAAACCCTGTCTCTAATAAAAATACAAAAAATTAGCCGGATGTGGTGGCACATGCCTGTAATCCCAGCTACTCGGGAGGCTGAGGCAGGATAATCGCTTGAATCGGGAGATGGAGGTCACAGTGAGCTGAGATCGTGCCACTGCAATCAAGCTTGGGTGACAGAGCAAGACTCTGTCACCAAAAAAAAAAAAAAAAAAAAAGGCAGGATATTGGTAAATTAGAGTGACAAAATTTGAACTTAAACTAGTCTAATGCTGAAACTCAAGATGATAAAGATTCCCATTTTACTCTAAAGTTGTTGATCCATAAGCAAAGTAAAGGACAGAGATGTTCTAAGGCCCAGAAACAACAGCACTGGTAGTTTCATACTATTCCCGAGTTCTAGATTTGACTGGATATCTCCAAGTTCAACATGTCACAAACACAAACCATCACGTTCCCTCCAAAGTTTGATTCCTTCCCATCTTCCCCAACTCATTCAATAAAGCTGCCATCTACCAAGCTATTGGTACTAGAAATCTTGGGATCAATCTTCATGCCTCTCACTTTTGGTGTTGCCATCTATAGCTCCTACCTTCTAAGCATCCTTCAAATTAATTATGTTCTTCATCCCCATCCATCTTCCACTACATTAGTTTTAGCCCTCATCATCTCTGCTCTGCACTTACCATAGCCCAATAACTCTTCCCCCTGCCAGAGAGATTTTTCTGAACACAAATGAAACCATGTCCTCACTCCTTAAATGGCTCCCCATTGCCTCTACACAATGAGAGCCACAATCCTGATCATCTTACACGGGGTCGTTCTTCATCGGTTTCAGCTTCATCTCCTGCTTCTCCTCACCCACTTCCTTCAAATCCCCCCTCTCACATTCATCCCTTCCCTTCACACCAACCATCTCTTGGCCATTGAATGTCTTGCTCTCTTATATTCCTCTGTGCCTTTGCATATAATATTCCCTCTGTCTTGATTCTTTCTTCTTTTCTTATCTCTTAGGGAATGCCTACTTATCTTTCATCTTCTCTGGGAAGCTTCCTTCCAACTCACAGGCAGAATTAGTTCCTCTCTATTTTGCTCCACTTTTATAATGTTTATCACAATGAATGGTAGTTGTCTGTTGTCTGCCTTGAGAGCTCTGATTTCCTAGAGTGGTGATTATGTATTATTCACCACTATATTCCCCCATGCCCAGTACATGCCTAGTCCTCAACAGCATCTCATTAAGTGTCTGGTAAAGAAGTGGATGAAAAAAAACATGGCACCCAAGCTTTAGAAATTGGGTGTGGTTTTGCACTAATACAGCAGCTATTATCAGCGAGCAGAGAAGACACTAGAGACAGCACAAGGTGACTCAGAGGTGAATGTGCGTGTGACAGAGGGCCAATGGGATGTTTAAAAAGCTTCAACAAGCATAAATGAATATGGGCAGACTCCCCTGAAATTGGCAGGCATTTTCCTTAGGGAGCTCTGTGTGATTTGCATAATTGACGCAGTTCTGCCCATCTCGTAAATCACAGTCTGAAAACAGCCACATGACAGCAGTCTGGCAGGGAAACCGAGGAGGACTTTGTATGAAGGACTTTCCCAGCCAGGCTGGGCAAATCATTTTCCAGTTCTCATTTTATTTTAACATGAATATATTACATGCCCATTCGGTATCTGGCCTTTTGCTCTATGCTCTAATGAGGCTTTTTTTTTTAAGTGTTAGATGTTCTCCTCCCATTCAGGAAATTACAGTCTCACTGAGAAAGCTAATATATACACCTGGAATTATCAGAAGTCACAAGGCTAGGTAAGATCAATGTTAGATTGTGCAAAATCACTTGGAAGTAAAAAAATACCTAGGGGATGGATGGATGGATGGATGGATGGTTGGATGGATGGATGGATGGATGGACGGACAGATGGATGGATGGATGGATGGATGGACACGTGGACAGATGGATGGACGGACAGACAGATGGATGGGTGGATGGATAGATGGATGGATGGATGGATAAATGGGTGGGTGATTGAATGGACGGATGGATGGGTGAGTGGACGGGGGGGTGGGTGGCTGAATGGGTGGAAGATAGATGGTAAGCTGAGATAATTAGGGAAGAGTTTATGGTGTTCATTTCCAGGCACAGAACTTAACACACAGGCCAAGCTTAAAAATGTTTGAATAAAAGACATGGAAGAGGAGACTGGTAGGAAGTGGAAAGGCAGAAAGGAGGAGAAAAAACATTGCAAAATGGAGGAAAATCTTGATAAAAGTAAGAAATGAGCACAATGTGGAGCAGAACAGAGTCTGAAGGGAAGAAGATGGATACAATAACTATCACTATAAAAATGGCCATTTACAGAGCTCTAACCATGTGCTAAGTACTTTTCATGCGCTATCTCCAGCATTCTTCACATACGTATACACATGCACACACACACACACACACACACACACACACAAAATCCTACGAGTATTGCTAACAACTCAATATGGTATATTAATGGAAGGAAAGCTCAAAGAAGTTAATCACCTTGCTCGAAGTCACCCAGCTAGTAGATGATGAGGACAAGACCAGAATCCAGGCTCTCGACTTCTTCTTACCACTGCACTGACCTAACTAGATAAACAGAGAATAGATATGGAACATCTTGACTTCAATAATGTGGAATTTCTCCAGGTCCCTAGATCACTAGGCAATGTTTCTAAGGACCATAGAAATCATATCTTTTTCCTGCTTCCCAAAACTTTTAAGTTACTCCATGCAGGATATATATTATGCAGAGTAACTGATTCAGCTGAAAAGCCCTAATAGCCAATGTACCTGCAAAATGTTGATTTCTGATATGGAAGATCAGACTTTTCCAAGCCTCAGTAAAAACTCCTGTTTGTGGGGCATGATCCCTATGCTCACAAGCTACAAACTGATCTGATAATGACTTCAACCTCCTCTTTGCTGGCTCCTCCTCTTCTTACTAATCTCTAAATGCTGGAGTTCTCCAGCATTCCTTCTCTATCAACACTCTTTTCTAGGTTATTTTTTGTAGTCTCACAGTGTTAAATATCTTCCATGTGCTGATGACTTCCAAATGTCTATCTCCTGCCTGACCTCTCCTGGACTCCTCTTATATATGCTCCTGCCTACTAGGCACCTTCTGTCACAGGGTTCATAGATGCTGCAAACTTCAGTATCTAAAACAAAGCTGTTAGTTGTTCCCTGCTCCCCACGTCTGACTACCCCTCAGTGTTTGTTGTCCCAGCCAGGATGTCAGTGTTCAACCGATTGCTCAAACCCTGCACCTGGAAGCCATCGTTGGTTAATTTCTTTCCCTCTCACTCTATGTCCATTCCACCAGCAAACCCTATGAGCTCCACATCCTCAATCTGTCCCTTTGTCTCCATCAGCACCGCTACCTTTCTCTTGGACCTTTAACTTCTTTTTTTTTTTTGAGACAGAGTCTCGCTCTTTCGCCCAGGCTGGACTGCAGTGGCGCTATCTCGGCTCACTGCAAGCTCCGCCTCCCAGGTTCACGCCATTCTCCTGCCTCAGCCTCCTGAGTAGCTGGGATTACAGGCGCCCGCCACCGCACCCAGCTAATTTTTTTTTTGTATTTTTAGTAGAGACGGGGTTTCACCGTGTTAGCCAAGACGGTCTCGATCTCCTGACCTCGTGATCCGCCCGCCTCGGCCTCCCAAAGTGCTGGGATTACAGGTGTGAGCCACCAAGCCCGGCCTGGACCTTTAACTTCTATCCTTGCCATCCTAAAGTCTATTCTCCACATAGCAGCCAAAGTGATGCTTCTGAAATGTAAATTACATTATGTCATCCCTTTGATTAAAGCCCCCTGCAGTGGGCTCCCATTGCATTGAGAATAAAGTGACCAGAAGTCTTCAACAATGGTCTACAGGGCTCTCCTTGGTATGGCCCCCAATTTCTCCCCTTTCCTTCCATCTCCCCTTCCCCCTCCCACCTTTTCTCTACCTCTTCTCTCCACACTTCACTATGCTTCAGCTCAGTAATCTACACCAAGCTTGGCCGGGCACAGTGGTTCACGCCTATAATCCTAGCACTTTGGAAAGCCACTTGAGGCCAGGAGTTCAAGACCAGCCTGAGCAACACAGTGAGACCTCATCTCTACAAAAAATATTTAAAAATTAGCTGGATGTGATAGCATGTGCCTGCAGTCCTACCTACTTGAGAGGGTGATGCAGGAGGATCTCTTGAGCCCAGAAGTTCTAGGCTAGAGTGAGCTATGATCATGCCACTGTACCCCAGCCTGGGTGACATGGGAAGAATCTGTATCTAAAAGAAACAAACAAACAAAACACACCAAGCTTGTTATTCCTCAGTGCCTTTGCACTGTCTGTCTCTTCAACACAGAACACTCAACTCATTTCCTTCTTTGGATGGATGGATGGATGGATGGGCGGATGCATGGATGGATGGATGGATGGATGCATGGATGCATGGATGGATGGATGGAAAGGTGGGTGGGTGGGTAGGTAGATGGATGAATGGATGGATGGATGGCTGGCTGGATGGATGCATGGATGGATGGATGCATGGATGGAAAGGTGGGTGGGTGTGTAGGTGGATGGACAAATGGGTAATGGAATATGCTGTGCACTTGGAATTGCTCCAAGCTAATCAGATATATGAGAAAATTATAATGCATCAAGATGCCAGTCTTTCAGCATTCCAAATAACAGGATGATTTAGCACAAGTTAAAATACTCAACATTAGTTTAAGGAATGATACTGATTGATGAGTGAAAGGTGAGAATTTTTGGAAGCCTGCAAGAAGGACTGATATTTTTTGGTCCCCAAATGACACCTTCTTTGCCCTCATAAAATGTTATTCCTGGCAGGAAGTACCAGTCACTCCTCACCGCTTGAATGAAAATAAGAATGAAATGAAGGAAGGAAGGAATGGAAACAAGAGACAAACAGGAAACCATGTTTATTTTTTACCATAAGTCAGCCAAACTCCCACACACCTATGCTGTGCATTTCCTCTGTTGGGTGTTAGAAAGCGCAGCAAGAAAATGACCGTTTCCTCCTCCCTTTCTTCAAGAAGCTATCTGGCAGTCACCCTCTGGATACACAGCATGTGAAAGATTGCAGTGGAGCAAAGCTTAGAGGCAGGAAAAATGCTCCATTCTCCATTTATCCAGGATTTCTCAAGAGAGTCATTTAGAAACTCTCCTTAACAGGGAACCGTGTAGATATTTAGCAGTGGTAAGGCTAATAGGGACAAGGTAACATTTGATTTAAAACTCTCACATGCTTGGCTGGGAGCGGTGGCTCACACCTGTAATCCCAGCACTTTGGGAGGCCGAAACGGGCAGATCCCAGAGGTCAGGAGATCGAGACCATCCTGGCTAACATGGTGAAACCCCGTCTCTAATAAAAATACAGAAAATTAGCCGGGCATGGTGGCGGGCGCCTGTAGTCCCAGCTACTTGGGAGGCTGAGGCAGGAGAATGGCGTGAACCCGGGAGGCAGTGCTTGCAGTGAGCGGAGATCACGCCACTGCACTACAGCCTGGGCGACAGAGTGAGACTCCATCTCAAAACAAAACATGCCTTACTGGGCCACAAGGTAGATCAGGTTGCTGTAGAAAATTGTTCTGTGATGAAATGACATGGAAGAAAACAGCAGGACCCTTAACACCGTGGGATGTGTGCATGTTTCTAAACCTTGCACTCCAGGGCTGGTAAAGTTTACCTCCAATCGATTTATTTTGCTCAGCGAGTTTTCTTTATCCAACAGAGGCTCTTCTCAAGAGAAATTGGAATGTGAATACCTGTTCTAATTTAGACTGCTCTTTTAACTTCATTTAAATTACTATTATCATGCCCAGTCTTCCATAATGATGCACCTTGGTAGGCTGAAATGTCTCTGAGGTGCAGGCCTTTAATGAAGATCTTAGTCCAAGAGATATAATTTGACTAGTCTGCCATGAAGTGCTCACCGACTCAGCTAGGCTTTGTCCCAACTTGCACTGACCTCCCTGCCCCCTAAGGATGCAGTCTGCTTGGCTCTCTTCCATTTTCCATGGTACAGGTACCCGACTGTCTCTTTCTGCTTAGCTCCACCTGCCCATTCTTTGTATAACAATAGCATCACAGTCAAACACAAACAAGAATATTGGCAAAATATCCTTATCCATATCCACATGGGCAAGAAAGTGATTAAAATGTCATTCAGTTGAGAATAAAGTTGCTTTAAAATGTAGTTGTTGGCTGGGCACAGGGGCTCATGCCTGTAATCCCAGCACTTTGGGAGGCCAAGACGACTGGATCACCTGAGGTCAGGAGGTCGAGACCAGCCTGGCCAACATGGTGAAACCCCATCTCTACTAAAAATACAAAAATTAGCTGTGAATGGTGGTGCATGCCTGTAATTCCAGCTACTTGGGAGGCTGAGGCACAAGAATCGCTTGAACCCAGGAGGTGGAAGTTGCAATGAGCCGAGATCGCGCCACTGCACTCCAGCCTAGGCAACAGAGCAAGGCTGTCTCAAAAAAAAAAACAATGAAAAAAATAAAAAATAAAACAAAAATAAAATATGGTTGTCTTAAGTTTTTACACATGCTGAAGAATTTGGAGCTTCATTCTGACCTTTTTCCATATACAAAGGAGCCTGAAAATTCTCCTAGACGTTTCATAAGAGTTTGCAGTATAGCAAGGATCTTGACTTGAACGGAAGCTGTGTTTCCCTGAGGTGTCAGGTATGTGAAGGTATCACTGGGGTCCAGTGAGCACATGAGATTGATCAAATAAAAGGTCTCAATCATTGGGAAATAAGAGGCCGTTTTTGGCATAGCGTGGGAGTCTGTCACTCAGATCAACTCTTCAAGAATTTATGCCCGGGTCCTAGGAAGAAGGGAGTCACAAGTGAAATGATGGGAATTCTATGACATGGTGAGGCCATGACAGCACTGGTCCGGAACCGAGGCCTGGGAACACACAATGGGAAGAGACAGGGGACCCTCTTAGATAGAAAACAGGAGCAACTTTGTTCCTCAGAGGTATGAGCAAATTAGCAGTGCCAACTTGTGTGCTTTGACTCTCTCAACCCAGACCCCATTTCTTTTAGAACACCTCCCCACCCCCATTCCTTATCTAGTCTTCAGAGATAATTGACAATCCATATCTATGGAGGATCACCACCCCTTTCTTACTTTTCCAGGAAGGATCCTTGAAGCACTTGAGTAGAAAGAGCACACATATTCAATGAGTCCTGCTCTGAAAACAGAGGGCCTCTAACATGGGACTCCAGACCCAGAAAGCCAGGAAGATAGTGCCAGGTTTGGGAAGAGGGATGGAGAATCCTGAGTTCCAGTCCTAGCTTTGCCACTGACAGATGGACGACTTAGGCAGGAAATTGCTTCCCCTCTCTGGGGCTTCTGTTATTTCGTACGGCTGCTTGCCATGAATCTCCTCCAGGGGACTCTCTGGGTCTGGAATTCATTCTTTTGAAAGGTAGTCTGGGATCTCCAGGCTCTGGAAATACCTGCATGGCTGGGGAGCGACTGCACGGGAAGGTACAGGATTTCCCGAGTTCACAGTTGCAGACTCACTATGCCATGCAGGCTCATCTGCCACAGAAGTTGGAAAAAAGTGTCAAACATGCATCATCGTATATTCCCACATCATTCAGCTGATTTGCCTCCAATCCGGATCCAATGACCTGTCTTACTGCTCTGGGCTCCACTTTAAGGTGGAGAGTTTCGCATCTGGAAAGTGAACAGCCAGGGCCTGCAGGGAAGTTCATCATTCTTTTCAATTTGTTAAAATCATACCACCCCTATCTCCCTCCCTTCGGGGCTGGCCAGTCTTTCTCACCTTCCCTCCTGAAACTGCAAACAACATATATTCAGAAGCGAAGTGATAGATTAGTGCAATGAACTGAATGTTTGTGTCCTCCCCAAATTCACATGTTGAAACCCTAATCCCCAGTAGGATGGTTTTGGGAAGTGAGGCCTTTGGGAAGCAATCAGGTCATAAGGAGTGCTCATGAACAGGATTAGCGCCCTTATAAAAAGAGACTCCAGAGAGCTCTCTACCATCTTCCTGCCACATGAAAACACAATGAGAAGTTGACCATCTGTAACCCGGGAGAGGCCCTTACCAGAACCCAACCACGCCGGCACGCTGATCTCCGACTTCCAGCCTCCAGAACTATGAGAAACACATTTCTGTTGTTTATAAGACACTCAGTCTATGGTACTTTGTTACAGTACCCTTGGCAGACTAAAACAATCAATGGGTTATGATGCCTGAATGAGAAATAGAGCAGTTTAATTTGGAGCGAAGGGAAGTCAATGTGGGATCATTTTTGTAACAGGGAAGAACGAGCAGAGGACAGATCCTTCCTTATTTAACCACCTCCCATTCTTACCACTATGCTGTCCAGAGATGAAAATAGACAGTTAAATATTTGGTTAGTCAAGGAGGTGTTCACCCAGGAACAAAATCTCTTGTGTGTCATTTGCCTTAGTCCCCTAGATACTGACCTCCAGTCTCAAACAAAAGGAAATGAGGAACGGGAAAACGATGATAAGACAGGACTTGAACCTTAACTGCTGCTTCCTCAGGCCAGACGGAGCTGTCCTTAAATGCACTGTCCTACTGCTTGCTGGGTCACTGCTGTTATGTGCTTGCTGGCATTTGGGTCTGGTCTGGTATTGATTTAAGGGAAGGAAATAAGTCACAATTCCTTATGGGCAAAGATAATTGCAATGGGACTCGTTTTTCCTAACCAAAGTCTTTTCTTCATTGCCACTGGATTCAAAACGACTCCATCTCCACATTCTCCACCATGGCTGTCTCCCCAGAGTGGGCATTCCAGTCCCTGCCCTCTGGCCTTTAATGTGGCCATCAGCTAATCTTCGAAATCCTCCTCTTCCACCCTTCCCTAGATAGTTCCTGAGGCTTAAAAGAAATTTTTCCTTTAAAGCAACAACTCTATTGTCCAGATACAGGGCTTTGTACTTGCCTATTTGAAGTCTAATCTTTTCATTCATACTTTGATGAATAAAGTGGTCTATTATTTTTACATGTATAGAGAACTGGCCTAAAGGTACGGCCAACTCACAAGTTCTATTTGTAGACAATGGTAGTTGGTGAAGAATGTATCTATTCTCTCACAATGTTCCTTCCAGGCTGTAAGAAAAGCAAGTCTCAAACCAAATTTGTCCTATCGCATGGACATTTATTCAATAAATAATTATTGGCAAGCAGGCTCAACACAGTTCACGCAATCGTTTCCATAGACTCAAATGAACTTCCAGCTCTCTTTTGGGAACTATAAACATCACATTTATAGGACAAATTTTGTCAAGACAGACACAAAAACATACCAGAGGCAGGATTCAGTTACTCTCAGTTATCCTCGCAAGACTAGAAATGCTCCCAAGTCAGAGAATTAAGCCAAGGTCAGTGACCCAGCCTCAGGTTCATGGTCTAAGGGTACGTGTGACAATCTTGTAAGATGTTCATGCCCTGGTAATGGAAGGTAGTGGGTGTCTCTAAAATATTTTAGCCAACACACAAAACCTGAATGCTTTGATTTCTCCAATGAGAATGCATTTCTAATAATCGTTGTGCTAATTAACAAGCTATCATCTTCACCAATAAGAGTATTTCTAATATCACTCAAAGGAGTTAGCCAGCTTGCTTTAGGCAGACAGTAAGTGAAGGGTTCCCGGAGAAACTCCGACCCGTGTTTTGTGCAGATAAGGGAACTTGCACAGGGGGCTTGCCCTGCGCAACATGCCCGCAGTGGACTAAGGGCCTGCATGTGCACTGAAGGAATGCGGCAGAGCCACAAGGAATTCGCACCTTATACAACTAGGGAATCCAGCCCCATCAGCACGTATGTAAAAGCCCTTGTATTCAACTGTGAAGGGGACAACCAGGAACCTGCTTTCAGGACTTTTCTCTTTGCTGAGAGCTTTCCTTTTGCTTAATAAGTTCTACTTCACTCACTCTTCGAGTGTTCGCATGACTAATTTTTCCTGGTTGTGAGAGAAGAACCCGGACCTAGCTGAGCTAAGGAGAAAAAGATCCTGCATCATCACTATGCTATCTAGCAAAGCCTCGGATGTTGACCAAAATCTGGGTAACAGAGCACTGATAGTAACCGCATTGGGTATGGTACCTCTGACATAGCTAACTAGATATCCACACTCCCATCTCCATCTACCACCCTTTCCAATGTGAATTCTCATTTTGGGTGACTGGATGGATATAAAGTTAAAGCTTAAACTAACTGCCCATGCATAATTTTGCATAGTCTATGTTAAAATACTTTAAAGGAGAACATTGCAATGACTCCTTATAACTCAGCTTCTAAGTCACAGCCCAAATCAAGTCAATCCTAACTCCTTGAGTATTCTGCCTTACATATTATTTCATGTGCAATGCTGGATGCTTCCTATATCAAGTGTGTGCAGATGAAGAAAATACATGATGAATTTATAATGTTGTGGAGGCAAAGACATGTAAACGTATTATTTGAGGAGGGAGAAAACATGGAAGGATAAAACAGCAGCTAGTCACAAGACGTCAAATTGAAACATTGGCTTTGTGCTCTGCACATTTTTTAAAAATCTTAATCCAGTGACATCCTTGATATTAGAGGGCTATGGCTAGTTATGGGGACTGGTTAAGTTAAGGTATTAACCAACTGGATGAAAAGTATGTAGGTAAATTTTACTTCACATTTCAAAAAGTAAAATAATATGAAGAAAGGACATATTTAAGGGGAAAGATGAAGTGTTCTGTTTTATATGTTTTATTCATACTTTGGTGAATAAAGTGGTCTATTGTTTTTACATGTATAGAGAATTGGCCTAAAGGTTATGCCCAACTCACAAGTTCTATTTGTAGATAATGGTAGCTGGTGAAGAATGTATCTATTCTCTCACAATATTCCTTCCAGGCTGCAGGAAGGAACTATATGTGTTTTCTATGGAATATGGAAATGTTAGAGTCCAATGGATATTTGGATATGTAGAAGGAGACATTTTTTTCTGATTGGATAAACATAAGTTTTAATGCCAAAGAGAAGCAGTGTGTAAAAAGATAGAGAATGTAGGGGAATTTGAAGGTCAAGCACAGAAATTCCAGAGGACACAGGGTAAGGCTGAGTGGGAGAGAAAGAAAGGAAGAGCCAAGTGAGAGGAACAGTATGTGTAGGAAGGTAGCAGAGCATCTGCAGCCACATGGCAGAGACCAAGGCTGATGGTAAAGTGAGACATGGTATGACGACCGCATCTCAAGGTCTCAAAAGAGCTAGGAGGTAAAGCAACTTCATGGCAGTGAAGGGGTGAGTTTGCACACTCAATGGCGGGCTAGTGTATAGGGGCAGCAATTTATCCAAAAGCCCTATTTATACAGGCCCTGCCCTTGATCTGGGCAAGGGAGCTCCATCAGGATAAGATGTGATCTCTTTCCCAATCACGAGTTCTCTGCCACAATTACCTTGCTGGTCCAGTTACCTGGTTTCTACCTGACTCAGGTAGGAACACTCCTTCTTTGAACGATTGGGTTTTCTAATCCTAAAAACCACACTTGTATACTCAGTGTCATTATAAATATGCACCCACACCCGGGATGTTCCTCCATCTATCCTAATGGATGACTACATCCAAGGAAATATCCAGAAGTTTAAGAGCACCCAAGAAAGCAAACTTACACACAGGTATACCTTCTCTTTAAGTGGTACCTACTTATGGTTTTATCTGATAAATGAAATCACTGCATAGCCATTTGTGAAAAATGTGGAAAATATAAAAAAAGCACAAAGGATAGAATTAAAATCGCCCATTATCTGTACTCCTCTCTCAGAAGTAACTACCATATTACCATTTAAAACCTACTTCCAGACTTTTTTCTTCACACAGATAACTTATACATTTTATTAAAATGGATCTATTTGCATAATCATATACTCTGAATGTTTTTCTATGTTAGGAAATATTCTTCTACTAAAATAATGTCAATGGCTGCATGGTACAGATTAATTTTCCAAGTTTTCATTTTTATGAAACAAATTGTGCTTATTATGCCTGTAAATAAGTTTTTGCAGAAATTTATTCTTACTTCCTTAAGATGGGTTCCTATATATGGAATTGATAAATGAAAGCATATGTGCATTCATAAAGCTTTCAAGACATCACCAAATTACTCTGCAGAAACTCTAATATTCCCCCCCCATCAGAGGTATGGGAAAGAACCTTATTCCCTGTTCCCAAACCTTCCAATATTAAAGAAGTTCAGCCATACCAAATACACAAAGTGGCTATTTGCATTACAGAAGAAGCAATAATTACTAAGTAGTCAAGGGCACGGACTTTAGAATCAGATCGTCCTACACTCAGATGTGTAGTTCTATCACTTCTTATGTGAGAGATTTCCACTGGGTTATTCTAAAAGAAAAAGAAAAATGCCTTATTAAGGTATAATCACCATACAATCAATTGAACATATTTAAAGTATACAATTTCAACCATAAGAGAGCTGGCATGGCATACTAACATCAGACTAAACAGACTTTAAGATGAAGTATACGAGTTGATAAGTTTTGACACATGTACACAACTCATGAAACCGTCACCACAATGAAGATTGCAAACACATCCATCCCCCTCAAAAGTTTCCTTTTGGAATTTCTCCTTCCTGGTCTTCTCCAGTCCCAGCCCCAAGCAAGCACAGATCTTTCCGTCACTACAGATGAGTTTATATTTTCTAGAGTTTTGTATAAATGCCACAAAATAGCATGTACTCTTTCACCTTGCTTCTTTCACTCAACATAGTTTATTTTGAGATTCATTTATGTTGTCACATATGTCAATAGGAAACTGGTGACATCAGGGTACAATTGAGACTGGGAAGGTCAAGTGACTCAATGAACAGCATGTAATCAGGGCTTGGATGTAATATCAGGAGAACTGCAGAAATGAGTGAGAGCTCAGGGTACAGTGGTGAGGGGTGGCAGGGATGGGGTGGAGGGCGACACGTTCGCAAGCAGAAGACAGGGCTGAAAATCAAGCCTCAGAGCAGGACTCTCTTAGGGTGCACGGAATCATGTGAGCTCAAATCCACCCTACGTCACCACAAAAAGCAAATCAGAGTAAGTCCCTGGCATCTGTAAGAGTCTTTGCTTGCCAAAGGGGCAATCAATCTAATTCTAATTAGAGAATTAGAATTAGAACTATCTATGGACTTGCCAGGAAAGGCCCTTAACACTCTGATATCCATTCATTTCTTTTCAAAAATGGAATTCTTTGTAATTGACTGAGTTGAAATCACTGGAGTTATTTGTATTAACAAGCCCATACACATCTGGGAATTTTGCTTTATTCTATTACAGCCTATACAATGCTAATAAACATGCATTTTCTTCCAGCCTCCGAGCTACTTAAGAAAAATTAAAAGGACATATTTCACTGCAAACAATCCTCTTTGAATTGACATGGCAATTCTAAAGCTTTCCCTCGGTCCCCAAAAGTAATTACACCCAGTCAGGGAAAATAAATCTTTGTTTTCTAATTATAGAACAGATGTTTTCCAGAAACAATTACCCCTAAGCCACTAGTAAAAATAATATAACAAATTGATCTTTGATTTAGGAAACAGCTGTGTGATTCTACCAGCAACAAACACTTATTAGAAGAAAAAAAAAGAGTTGCAATTTATATGAACCAAATGTATTTCACATTTCCTGATTTTCCCAATTTCCCAGAATTCTGAGATTCCAGGAATCAAGAGCAAGAGCCAGTCACTGCTGTTTCTTTGAAAGCAGTGGAAGCCTGGGGGGCACTTTACTTTGGCCGAAGAGGAATTTCATGAGCTCACTCCTGTTGGATCTCAGGACCCTCGGTACATCTTACCTATTATCTTCCCTGTAAAGGTACTAACAATTTTCTCCAGGGTGGTTCTGACCAATCATTCACTCAACACTCAACTTCACTGAGCATCTACCATCTCAGGCACAGTGTCACTGGCCTGCTCTAACCCTTTCAGAGGTTCCCCTGTTGCCTGGTAAACTAAGCTAAGCATCAGTGCCTCACCTGAGAATTGGAGACCCTCCACAACACACGTACTCCTAGCACCCTTTCTTTTTTTTTTTTTTTTTTTTGAGACAGAGTCTTGCTCTGTCGCCCAGGCTGGAGTGCAGTGGTGCGATCTCGGCTCATTGAAACCTCCGCCTCCCAGGTGCAAGAGATTCTCATGCCTCAGCCTCCCAAGTAGCTGGGATTACAGAGGCGTGCCACCTCGCCCAGCTAATTTTTGTATTTTTGTATTTTTTAGTAGAGATGGGGTTTCACCATGTTGGCCAGGCTGGTCTCGAAATCCTGATCTCAGGTGATCCACCCGCCTCGGCCCCCCAAAGTGCTGGGATTACAGGCGTGAGCCACCGTGCCCAGCTGTGCTTCTTGCACCCTTTCCTATTCTTAGCTTCCACTCCTCTGTGCTCTTCTTACCTCTACTACTTCCCACTTTAAGTTGACTTCCAAGCTAGAGATAGTCACATTTTATGCCAGAAATTTCTTTCTTCAATTAACATATCTTAGGACCAATTGTCCTGCAGGAACATATATAATGTTTGGAGTATATACAGTTAAAAGCAAAATTATTCTTACAGATATGTAGCCATCAGTTTCCTCATTTTCACCATAATTTTGTCCAATTACAGAATTTTGTGAACCTAAGGTGTACCTACCATACTCTGTTTTATTTTTTCTCAACATTAGCTCTAATGCATTCTTCTAAATTACTATTACAGTTATCATAACCACTGCTTGGTCTCCTTCAGGCATTTTAATACATCTAGCTTTCCAAAGTTATTGACATTTTTAGGCACATTTTTTGTATCAGGCTTAGCACCTGCACAAAATAAAAGTCTAGATAATATTATTTCACACTATATAAAAGATTTAAAAATTATAATAACTGTAAATATTAAAATGGCAACACAGCAATCACCACGATCAGAATTTTCAATACCCATAAACAACAGATTGGTATCTGGACTAAATAATAGTGATGTGGAATAGTGAGTATTTTGCTTAACCAGGAAAAGATGCATCAACGTTTCACAAAAATTCAAACACATTTTATTATTCACTCAGCCCTCCAGCTTGGAAGTTATAGAATAAATTGGCTTTTTTTATTTGAGAAATGAGAATAATTCCACATTTGTACAGTAAATGAAACTCCATTAATATACCTATGCATCATATTTTCAAATTCCTCTAACTCAGGCTCACGTAAAATGAAACCACTTTGAAATTTTCTCCCTTAAATGTCCTCCCTCCTTCTCCCAACAATTTAGACCTGTCAGAATCTCACCAGTGTTTAAAGCCTAGATGACACAGAATTAATTTGCTTGTTGCTTAAATCCAGTAACATCTGAACTTCTATTACAGTAGTGTCTTATGTGAATGTGTCTGCTTTTCTTATCTCTTCCTATTCCTCCTTAGACTAGCTATTCCTTACAGACAACTAAGAAGTATCATACAGTTAGAGCCCTTAAACAGTTAGCACACAGCGCTTGATTGAGGAGGTGTTGAGGAAGTTTGCTGCCAGGTGTAGACCCAACCATGGGATTGCTGGATCACAGAACAGTTTTGGTTTTAATTTTTAAATTTTAATTTAACACCATACTGTTTTCCATAATGGCTATACTAATTTGCATTCCCACCAGCAGTATATAAAGGTTCCTTTTTCTCCACATCCTCACCAATACCTGTCATCTTTTCATGTCTTTGATAGTAGCAATTCTGACTAAGGTGATAGCTCACTGTAATTTTGATGTGCATTTCCCTGATAATTAGCAATGTTGATCATTTTTTCATACACCTGTTGGCCATTTGTATGTCTTCTTTTGAGAAATATCTATTCAGGTATTTTGTCCATTTTTTTAATTGGCTTATTTGGTTTTTTGTTGTTGAGTTGTTTGAGTCTTTATTTTATGTTTTTTCTCTGAAATGGGATCTTGCTCTGTCACCCAGGCTAGAGTGCAGTGGCACCATCATAGCTCACTGTAGCCTCCAACTCCTGGGTTCAACTGATTCTTCCGCCTCAGCCTCCCAAATAACTGGAACCACAGGTGCATGCCACTTCACTTGGCTAATCTTTAAATTTTTTGTAGAGATAGGGTCTCACTTTGTTCGCTGGTCTCAAACTCCTGGCTTCAAGCGATCATTCCACCTCAGACTGCCAGAGTGCTGGGATTACAAACATGAGCCACCACACCCAGCCTTGGATATTAACCCTTCATCAGATGTATAGTTTGCAAATATATTCTCCCATTCCGTAGGTTGTCTCTTTGCTCTGTTGATTGTTTTCCTTCCTGTGCAGAAGCTTCTTAGTTTGATTTAATTCCATTTGTATATATTTGCTTTTGTTGCCCATATTTTTGAGGTTTTATCCAAAAAAAATCCAAGGGAAATGAAATCAATATATAGAAGAGATATTTGTACCTCATGTTTATTGCAGCATTATTCACAATAGCCAAGATATGGAATCAACCTAAATTTCCATCAGTGGATGAATGGATGTAGAAACTGTGGCATATATACACAATGGAATATTATATACAGCCATAAAGCAGAATGAAATCCTGTCATCTGAGACAACATGGATGAACCCGGAAGACAATATGTTAAGTAAAATAAGCCAAGCACAGAAAAACAAATACCTCATGATCTCACTCATGTAGACTCTAAAACGTTGTTCTCATAGAAGTAGAGGGTATAACAGTGATTAACAGATAATAGGGAGTGGGGGGTGATGGAGAGAGATTGGTCAATGGGTACAAAACTTCAGTTACAAAGCAGAAATAAGTTCTGGTGTTCTATTGCATAGTAGCATAGTAGGATGACTACAGTTAATAATAATGCATTGTATATTTCAAAATAGCTAGCAAAGAGAATTTTGAATGTTCTCATCACAAAGAAATGATAACTGTTTAAGGTGATAGATATGTTAATTACCCTGATTCAATTAACACAATGTATACACCTATTGAAACATCACATTCTACCCCATAATTATATACAACTACTATGTGTCAACCATAAATTGAAAAAATAGAAACAAAAGAAAAAAATTGCTTTTCATTGAATCAAATATTAAATCAATGTTAATGACTAGTCTCCAAATGATCTAGCCTCAAAACTGTTTTTTTTGGTTCAGTCAGCAATAGTGAAAAATCATATATTTTCTAAGAAATAAGATTTGTTATAGTTTTAGTTTCCTAGGGCTGCCATGCAAAGTACCAAAACCTGGGTGACTTAGAACAACAGAAGTCTATTATCTCAAAGGTCTAATATCCAGCATCTATAAGGAACTTAAACAAATTTACAAGAAAAAAAAAACCTTAAAAAGTGGGCAAAGGATATGAACAGACATTTCTCAAAAGAAGACACGCATGTGGCCAAGAAGCATATGAAGAAAGGCTCAATATCACTGATCATTAGAGAAACGCAAATCAAAACCACAAGGAGATACCATCTCACACCAGTCAGAATGGCAATGATTAAAATGTCAAAAAGTAAATGCTGGCAAGGTTGCAGCGAAAAAGAACACTTACACACTGTTGGTGGGAGTGTAAATTAGTTAAACCGTTGTGGAAAGCAGTATCGTGATTCCTCAAAGAGCTAAACGCAGAACTACCATTCGACCCAGCAATCCCATTACCAGGTATATACACAGAGGAATATAAATCATTCTGTCATAAAGACACATGCACGTGAATGTTCACTGCAGCATTATTCACAATAACAAAGACATGGAATCAACTTAAATGCCCATCAATGGCAGACTGGATAAAGAAAATGTGGTACACAAACACCATGGGATACTATGCAGCCGTAAAAAAGAATGAGATCATGGCTTTTGCAGGAACATGGATGGAGCTGGAGGCTATTATCCTTATCAGACTCACGCAGGAATGGAAAACCAAATACCACACATTCTCACTTATAAGTGGGAGCTAAATGATAAGAACTTACGAACACCAAGAAGGGAACAACAGACGCTGGGGTCTACTTGAGGGGGGAGGGTGGGAGGAGAGAGGAGCAGAAAAGGTAACTATTGGGTATTGGGCTTGAGCGGGGAGGATGGGAGGAGGGAGAGGAGCAGAAAAGATAACTATTGGGTATTGGGCTTAATACCTGGATGGTGAAATAATCTGGACAACAAATTTCCATGACAAGAGTTTACCTTTGTGACAAACCTTCAAATGTATCTCCAAACCTAAAATAAAAGTTAAAAAAAATTAAAACACTTTTTCAATAAAGTAAAGGTAAAAAGAACGGTATTGTCTCCCAGTTCTGGAGGCCAGAAGTCTAGATCAAGGTGTCGGCAGGCTTGGTTCCTTCTGAGGCTGTGAGGGAGGAAGTGTTCCCTGCCTCTCCCCTCGCTTCTGGCAGCTTGCTGGCAGTCTTGGGTGCACATTGGCTTCTACTGCGTTACCCCTATCCTGCCTTTACCTTCACACGGTGCTCTCCCTGTGTGCCTGAGTGTCCGTGTCCAAATTTCTCCCCCGCTTTTTCTGAGACAGGATCTCACTCTGTTGCCCAGGCTGGAGTGCAGTGGCACAAGCACACCTCACTGCATCCCCCCTCCCAGTCTCAAGCAATCCGCCTGCCTCTGCCTCCCAAGTAGCTGGAACTACAGGTACCTGCCACAATGCCCAGCTAATTTTTTAATTTTTTTGTAGAGATGGGATTTCACTACGTTGCCCATGCTGGTCTCAAACTCCTGGTTTCAAACTTCTGGTCTCAAACTCCTGGCCTCAAGCTATCCTTCCACCTCAAGTGATCCTTCCGCCTTGGCCTCCCAGAGTGCTGGGATGACAGAGGGGAGCCACCACACCCAGCCTTTCTCTTTTTCATTAGGACACCTGTCATATTGGATTAGGGACCCACTCTACTCCAGTATGACATCATCTCAACTAATTACATCTGCAACCACCCTGTTTCTAAATAAGGTCACATTCTGAGATGATGGGAGCTAGGATTTCAACAAATGAATTTTTGCAGAGACATAGTTAAACCCATAAGAGGCACCCTTCTATAAAAGAGCCAAAGGAAAAACCTGGAATCACTTTCTGGGATGAAAGAAAGGGCCTGTGAGCTGGCTTTCAATGAGCACTGAATGCCAGTTAAGAGACAATTCCAGGTTCTCCCAGATAAGTCATTGAGCCTCTTGGGGTTTTCTGAATGTAACAGAATCTGCCCTATCATCTTCTAACAATTGTTTGGAGTAATATGTGGGTTTCACAATGTGAGTGATGCTTGGGAGTAAATTATAACACTCCTTGAAGAGAGAAACTATCTCATGAAGGTACTTTCCTAAGCTCGATGCCCAACCAGGGTGCTTAGTTCAACATATTAGTTGAATACATGAATGAATAAAGCAACAACCAAGAAACGTGCTGACAATTGATCCAGATGTGAATATTCCAAATAAGTAATACACTGTAGCCAGAAAAGTCATCGATTACATCCCTGTGATATTTTGAGAAGAGAGGAGAAGGAAAGCATGATGTTTATACAACCTACCACCCCAGCCATCACATAACAAACACAGAGCCCTAGGAAAAAGGAAAAGAAACAGTTACTCCATCTGTCTGAACTTTCCTTAAACATTACATTTTATAATTCTTCTCAATGACTTAGACAGCAGATTTCACCATCTTTCATACTTTAAGCTATCTTAGGGTTTTTGTTAGTCACAAGTATATATCATGAAGCAGCCATTTGAAAATGTGGTTTCTCATGTTATCTTTTTCTTTTAAATACTTGTGAAGATTAATTACCATACATGTGGTCTAACAGCCTCCTTTCTTCACTTAGTAGCATTTGTTGAAATTATTTTCTTATCCACACATATAGAGCTACCTTTTCATTTTCAGTAGTTGTATAGCATTTCAGTGAATGAATGTACCACAATGCATTTAACAGATGTCCTATCAGTGAATATTTATGTTAGTTCCCAATATAATCAATATCCTCAAATATTTTTCCTTGCAGTCTTGTCAAATAATTTCTGCAGTTATAACTGAGAAGTGTTATTTATTTATTTATTTTGAGACAGAGTTTCATTCTTGTTGCCCAGGCTAGAGCGCAATGGCGCGGTCTCGGCTCACTGCAACCTCCGCCTCCCAGGTTCAAGCAATTCTCCTGCCTCAGCCTCCCAGTAGGTGGGATTACAGGCACTTGCCACCTCGCCCAGATAATTTTTTTGTATTTTTAGTAGAGATGGGGTTTCACCATATTGGCCAGGCTGGTCTCGAACTCCTGACCTCAGAAGATCTGCCCGCCTTGGCCTCCCAAAGTGCTGAGGTTACAGGCGTGAGCCACTGTGCCCGGCCAAGAAGTGTAATTTAATGTAACCTGGGAGTGAATTGTTGGGCCAGATTTTATTACTAGATTCCCATTCATTCTTTCTTTCCGCAAATATTTAGTGACCATGGACTATGGGCTATGTATTGTTCTACAGTGTTGAATGTGGTAGGCACTGATTCTGCCTTCATGGAGCAGACATCCGAGTAGGGAAGACAAAAAAACAGAACAGAAAATGTATAAATGAGCAAGAGAATTTTTCAGAAGAGCAGTGCTTTTGAATAAATAAATGGGGCAGTTTGATAAAGATCAACTAGTAGGTGGGAGGAGGAGGATTGTTATCGATCAGGGTTTAACCCGGAAAGCAGAACCAGTAGGAGATGTATATTAAGAGATTTATTGCATGGAATCGATTTACTCAGTTGTGGGACCTGCCTAGGTAGCTTCGAAATCCACAGGGCAGGCTGGCACTTTAGGAATGGATTGAAGCTGCTGTTCACAGGTGGAATTTCTTCTTCAGGGAAGCCTTGGTTCTGCTTTTAAGTCCCTTCAACTGATTGAAACAGGCCCACTGAGATGATCTAGGATAATCATCCTTTTTTCAAGTCAACTGATTATGGACTTTAATCACATCTACAAAAGATCTTCACAGCAAAGCCTAAGCTCGTGTTTGTTTGTTTGTTTGTGAACTGGAGACTGTAGTTTAGCCAAGTTGACACATCAAAAAAACCATCACAGTGTTCCAGATGGGATGGTCAAAAAAAAAAGTGACATTGAACAAAAAGTTGAAGAATGAGAGAAGGCAGGCAGAGGGAGAAACAAGTACATAGGCCCTAAGATAGGAAAGAGCATGACATGCTTAAAGCACTGCAGGGAGGCCAACGTGCCTGGACTGTCACAAACCAGGAGGAAAGAAGGGAAAAAAATAAGTGGGAGATATCAAGTCATGTGGGCATTTTAAGTCATAAAAACATGTGCAGATTTTATTCTAACTAATATAGGAAGACATTATAAGTTTTAACCAGCAGAGCAGCATAATAGATGTAAGTTTTAAAAGATAAACATCCTTTTGCTGTGCAGGAAGACCAGCTAGAAGAATGTCCAGCTGAGAGTGGATTGTGGTTTCACTGGGATGTTGGCGGTAGGGAAGGAGAAAATTGGATAGGTTTGAGAAATACTTGGGGTAAACCAAGGCAGACACTGCTACTTAACTATCGGTATTCATTCTCCCCTTTTTACCTACCCACCGCATCCCCATCTTCATATTCAATATTCAAGATAGAATATTCCCTACTGCAATAGTCATTATCCCTAGCTATCCGTGCTGCTGGACTCAACAGTGGAGATGCAAATGGAAGTTGCTAGACAGGCTTCCGGAAGAGCTCTTGTTAAGAATGGACCCAACTGGCTTGAGTTTTTATCCTTTTGCCCTCCCCCCTTCTTCCTGCCTTAAATAGGAATGCAATTTTGGGTACAGCAATCATTTTGCAACTGTGAAAACAAAAGCAGCACAACTTATGTGCATGCATTTGCATGTATATTTGTGCTGAGACAAGGGTGGTTATGGGCATATGCATTGGCACTGAGAAATGAGATGCTTTATAAATGAACTAATTTGCTGGGTCTGGACTTGAGTTATCAGAAGTAAAGATTCCAGAAGTCACTTCTCCTCTCTTGACAAATAGAGCACCCATTTACCTTTTTTCAGGAAGACACAATGAGGCCTTGATGTACAGATGGCTGGTTAAAATACTGTGATTCCCTTCATTATGTTCATAACTCCTTTGCTGCATTTGCATCTCTAAAAATCCAGATCAGAATAAACAACCTCCCAGTGTTTTCTCAACTTCTGGCTCGGGAATCTATCTGTTAATAATTTCCAGAATAGACGGTAGAAAAAGAAGCAATGGTTCATTCTAGGTCATCTTCCACAACAACTGACTGATGTTAGCATCAGAATCTTTCCGCGGATGGTGCCTTTAGAAGAGAGAGAAGTGTGTGGGTGTAATGGCATAATCTCCATTCACTCTGAAAGACACTCAACAGTGATGTTTATAATCTGGTGCTTTTGGATTTTCCTTTTTCTTTTTGGGGGGAGGCCTTGCTGATTCATTTAGTTAGAAAGACACCTCCAGCTTGTTGCTATTTATTATTGTTGTTATTTATTGAAATAATTTGTTGTTATTTATTGAAATAAATGTCAAAATGGCCTTGGAAATGACAGGACTGAAGGGTTTATTTGTAGCATCCTTTGTTATTAAAATAGCAACAGTGGCCCTAAAGAATCACTTGCTATACCAGTTTTTTTTTTCTCACAGCTCTGGTTGCCCAATTGCTGTCTTATTTACAAATAACAGAGTAGGCTGCAGGAAGAGCAAAGGCCTGATTTTTTTTAAGTGCAAATTCTAGGGCTAAATCTTACACCAATAAATCAGAAACTTTAGGGATGAAACCAAGGAATCTATGTGATTCCTATGTGCGTGTGACTCTAATATTATTAGAATATATTATGTCTCCTTCTCACTCCCAAGAATCCTTAATATTATGATTTCTCCTGGAAGCAAATGAGAACAAGGCATAAAGAATATTCCAAAAGCAAAGTCTGTTGAAATTGGCTAATTTGTAGCTCCATGTAAAACCCTATAGGGTTGGGGAATATGTGAAACAGAAAAAACTACCAGACCTGCCCTCGTTTGCTGGGGAAATGAAGTCTATTTATATGGTAAACTGTTTCAGGAGCAACCCCGGGTAACATGCATGTGAGAAAGAAAACCAGCCACAATGCTGAAGGTATGAAATCAAAAGAATAATCTGAGTTGGGTGAGTTAGTTTGGTTTTCATATTGGGAAATTGCATATCTCCATAAGAAATATTGATTTGGAGTTAGTTGCATGTTAGAATTCATTCTTTTCATCCCAGAAACAGAAGCATGAATATGAGGGCATATAGCGTACGTGTAGCATTTTTGAAGGGGAGGACAAAAAGAATCAGTATTTACTAAACTGTGTTGGGGCTTTCCATTTAAAAAAAGAGGTTAGATTCCTCCTTCATACCACTTACAAAAATGAATTCTAGATGTATTAAATACCTAAAGATAAAGCACAAGACTATAAAAGCATTAGAAAATGTTTTTATAATTCTAAAGCTAAGCCTTTCTGGGCAAGACATAAAACTGAGAAGGTAAAAATGAGAAGATTTGACAGATTTGGCTACACAAAAATAAAAAAAATCTGCACTACAAAAGATACCACAAAGTTAAAACAAACCAATAATAGGCTGGGAGAAATATTTGCAGCAAATATGATAGATAAAGAAATAATATCTAGACTATAGAGTTATTGCCAATCAACAAGAAATGGGCAAACATCTCAACAGAAAACAAAATGAGGTAAAGAAAACAAATTACCCAAAAAGAAACAAACCATGAGCAAACATGAAAATATGCTCACCTTTTTTTAAACTCTAAAGAGACAAAAATCATTGTAGCAAATATTTTTCTTTTCCTTCAACTTTTACTTTAAGTTCTGGGGTACATGTGCAGGATGTGCAGGTTTGTTACATAGATAAACGCGTGCCATGATGATTTGCTGAAAGACCAACCCATCACCCAGCTATCAAGGACAGCATCCATTAGCTATTCTTCCTGATGTCTAGCAAATATTTAACAACTACTGATAATATCCCATGTCAGCAATAAGGCAGGATAAGGAGCACTTTCACACACTGCTGATATGTTTGGAAACACATAAATACAGTCATATGCTACGTAATGATGTTTTGTTCAATGACAGACTGCATACATGAAGGTGATCCCATAAGATTATAATACCTTATTTTTATTCTACCTTTTCAATATTTAGATATGTTTAGAAATACAGATACTTACCATTGTGTTACAATTGCCTACAGCATGCAGTACAGTAACATGCTGTACAGGTTTGTAGCCTGGGAGTAATTTGCTACCCCATATAGCCTAGGTGTGTAGGAGGTTATACCATCTAGGTTGGTGTAAGCGTACTCTATAATGTTTATACAATGACAAAATCTCCTAACAACACATTTTTCAGAACGTGCCTCCTTTGTTAAGCGACACATGACTACATAACTTAAAGCAAGTAGAGGTCATGCAGGCTTTCCATTCTGAACTAGGGTTTATATACAGTTTAACCATTTGGAACCTTATAAGCACCTCTCCTTAACTGTTTACATCACTCTAAATTTTGCTCACCTTTACCAATAGTAATTCAGATACAACCTTATCTTCCATTAAAACATACCAGAATTCCACTAGAAAGTAAGTTCCATGTGAGTGGTGATTTTTTTTTTTTTTTTTTGACAGAGTCTCACTCTCTCACCCAGGCTGGACTGCAGTAGCATGACAATGGCTCACAGCAGCTTTGACCTCCTGGGCTCAGTATCCTCCCACCTCAGCCTCCTATATAGCTGGGACTACAGGCACTCGCCACCATGCCTGGCTTATTTTTGTATTTTTTGTAGATACAGGGTTTCGCCATGTTGCCCAAGCTGGTCTCAAACTCCTGGACTCAAGTGATCCACCTGCCTCAACCTGCCAGAGTCCTGAAATTACAGGCATGAGTCACCACACCCAGCTGAGTGATGATTTTTTTAAAACTGATTCTTATTACCGTATTTCTACTTCCTAGAGCAGCACAAGATACATGGTAGAGGTTTAATAAATAGTTTTTAACTGAACAGAATGAATGAACTCAGCTGTCCAAGCTGTGAAGACCTAGTTCCAGGGATAGAGTTTCTGGCTATGATATGCCTCTGGCTAATGTAGGCAGAAAGGAAATTATTAAAAAGGTAACAGAGAGTTCTAAGTCTATGAGGAGGAGGAAGAACCTGGATTGGGAATGGCAGGAACCAAGAGAGACTGAGAAGTGGGAAGAGAGACAGGGTCACGCCCCAGGAATGATGTTATATGCTGCCGCTGGATCCACCAGTTCACACCCAGCAGCCATTGACACACCCTCAGTGCCACCTCTACACGGAATCATTTTTCATCTTCCTGTACCTTTGCACTCCTCTCACTAGGCTTAAAGCATTATGTGGCTGAACTTACATCCTGTTCCCCTGTCCTGGCTTCTGTGGAGTGGGGAGAAGGAATATTTGGCTCATCTCCTAATAATAAGCGTATTGGCCTTTGGAGAGAGGAAGGCTACATACAGCATGCGAATGTCCACCATAATTACACTACAATCTTAAATTTTGCCTGTCCTTACATTTATGGGTGTAAAAAAACAGGCAGCAGTGTGGAAAATGCTAATACTGTCATGTTAAGTTTTTTAAAAGCATGTTAGAAATTAAATAGACATTTGACAACACCTCTGAATGAAACTGATGCATAAGAAAAAGGATGGGGAAAAAAATGTACCAAATTTCAAACACGGATGGCACTAAGATTATAGGTTTATGGGTGATACTTACTTTCTTCTCTTTTTCACAGAAATGATGAATATTTAAATGCATAAATTCTGTTCAATGGCAGGGCCCACTTCTTTCATCTCAGAAATGCCTGTGTATGAGACAAGGTGGAAGGGAAGCTAGAGTGTGTTGATCTTTGGAAGACTGACAAGACTAAAATTTGCCACTTGCTTTTTTTTTCCCACAATTAAAATAATTTAATACATCTTTTTTTTTTTTTACAAAGTTTGTTTCCAGAAGAACTTTTGATGTCAGTAAATCTTCACAATTCCTCCTGTACATTTTAACATTCATGGACTTGTAATGATGATGGTAAAGGCTAGTAGCCTAATAGATATATTTAATCTCATAGTACACAATTAATTAACAGCGGTTAAACAGCAAGCATGCTGCCTGGCCTCAGATCGGAGAGGAGGAGAATCAAAATCTCGTTTCCAAATCCCTCTCTCATCAACCCACCATAACTCAGAGATTTTCAGGGCTGTGGCTGGAGGCAGGGTTTTCCTCCTGACCAGAAAAATGGGAAGACGAATTATAAGAAAGCACAGGAAAAACAAATAAATGAGGAATGAGATTCTTATTAGATGACTTCTTGCAGAGAGAGAAGATCAGCAAGGCAGCGTGCCCTCATAATTCAGGCTGCTGTCAGCTTAGACATTTCTTGTCCTCATCAGCTCTGTGGAAAGGTCCTGGTCTTGGGAGTGAAATAAACCTGGGGAGGAAAGCCATTTGACCTTGGGCAAGTTACTTCACCCCATTGACTCTCGGTTTCCTCATTGGAAAAGGAGGGTAGTTATATCTCTTAGTATTATTTAGATTTCTTTTGTTGTAAGTATCAGAACTTCACTCAAGCCAACTTTAGCAAAAAAATAAATAAATAAATAAATAAAGGGTGATTTATTATAAGGCAGCTGGAGTGTCTCATGGAACTGAAGAACAGGAATCAGGAACAGGAAAGCCATCAGGAGACCAGGAAGAATGATTTCTCCTTATTCTTTTCTTCTTCTCTCTCTCTCCAGTGTTTTCATTCCTCTTGGGAGGATCCTACCTTCCCACACCCCCAGACTGGCTTCTCAGCTACTCATGGGGGGCAGTGGGTGGTAGAGAGGATACCGTTATAAATTTGGCTGTGAAGGTCATTATTTTAAAATACTTGTTTGGGGACTCATATTGATGACACAAAGCTTCTTCACAATTGTTGCTCATGTCGAATGAATTACTACAAATCATACAGCTTCTGCAGCCTGTGTTTGCTGGAACGAAAAGCCTGCCTCTACTTCAAGTGCCCAGAAAAGCCACACCATGTTCTTTGTTGCATCCAATTAAACTGCTGGCCTAGAAATGAATTTGCCTGCCTCTTCTGGAAGCTGCTTTGTCCAGCCACAAGTTTGTTTTGTTGGCTTATAAAATACAACAGCTGGTAAGGAATGGGGGTTGTGGATGGGAAAGCCTATTATTATTTCGTTGGTTTTTTTAAACTTTCACAGCAGTGGGAAAAAAAATGTTCGTGACAAGTACTACTGTTTTGTGAATATGTCTATCCCTTTGTTTATGTGCATGATTAGAAAAAGGACGGGGGCAGGGAGTGAGGGTAGGAGGGTTAAGGGGAGAAAGCGAGAAAGAAAGCGTGACAGATAGAAGAGCCAGAAAACCACAACAGGTATAATTTTAGTCTTACCACTACTGACAAATTCTATCCTCTGAGTTAGGACAAAAATCAATGGAATACAAAAATCTCACTTTTAATAAATGTAAAGAAGAAGGTTATTATGCCATCAAAGGGTTAACTGATACAGCTTCGGTCAATAGAGAGGCTGGCATTTTCCAAGCTCGCTCCTGGAAGAGATACTCTGATTGGGCCGGCTTGAGCAAGCTGCCCCTTTTTAAGCCAATCATCGGTGACCAGGGGTGAGGTCACATCATACAAAATGGCTTCCAGGGGTCCACTATTCTTGATAAGGGCACAAAGACAGGATCATGGGATGCTGGGGCTATACCTCAAAAAATACCCACTACACAATCTCAAGAGGTGATGCAAACACTACTTGTATGTTAAAATCCAAGCATTTTGTTCAAGACAAAAGCAAAACAAGTGTCTATTTCCTTTCCTGAAGCATAACTCTGTTTCCTCGTTGCTCAGATTGAGGTACCCATTCCGGTTACTCTTGGCTCTGCTGATGTCTGTGCCAGAGACATGGTAAATTGATAAATGTTTCCAATAATCTGAAGAACCTGTTTCCTGAAGGAGGTGATTAACTCTCACAAGTATCTTTCATTTATCTTTTGGTTGCAAGAAAAATCTCAGTCTTTTTTGTTGTTGTTGTTCCTCTTTTTTATTTATTTATTTATTTATTTATTTATTTATTATTATACTTTAAGTTTTAGGGTACATGTGCACAATGTGCAGGTTAGTTACATACATATACATGTGCCATGCTCATGTGCTGCACCCACTAACTCGTCATCTAGCATTAGGTATATCTCCCAATGCTATCCCTCCCCCCTCCCCCCACCCCACAACAGTCCCCAGAGTGTGATGTTCCCCTTCCTATGTCCATGTGTTCTCATTGTTCAATTCCCACCTATGAGTGAGAATATGCGGTGTTTGGTTTTTTGTTCTTGCGATAGTTTACTAAGAATGATGATTTCCAATTTCATCCATGTCCCTACAAAGGACATGAACTCATCATTTTTTATGGCTGCATAGTATTCCATGGTGTATATGTGCCACATTTTCTTAATCCAGTCTATCATTGTTGGACATTTGGCTTGGTTCCAAGTCTTTGCTATTGTGAATAATGCCGCAATAAACATACGTGTGCATGTGTCTTTATAGCAGCATGATTTATAGTCCTTTGGGTATATACCCAGTAATGGGATGGCTGGGTCAAATGGTATTTCTAGTTCTAGATCCCTGAGGAATTGCCACACTGACTTCCACAATGGTTGAACTAGTTTACAGTGCCACCAACAGTGTAAAAGTGTTCCTATTTCTCCACATCCTCTCCAGCACCTGTTGTTTCCTGACTTTTTAATGATTGCCATTCTAACTGGTGTGAGATGGTATCTCATTGTGGTTTTGACTTGCATTTCTCTGATGGCCAGTGATGATGAGCATTTTTTCATGTGTTTTTTGGCTGCATAAATGTCTTCTTTTGAGAAGTGTCTGTTCATGTCCTTCGCCACTTTTTGATGGGGTTGTTTATTTTTTTCTTGTAAATTTGTTTGAGTTCATTGTAGATTCTGGATATTAGCCCTTTGTCAGATGAGTAGGTTGCGAAAAGTTTCTCCCATGTTGTAGGTTGCCTGTTCACTCTGATGGTAGTTTCTTTTGCTGTGCAGAAGCTCTTGAGTTTAATTAGATCCCATTTGTCAATTTTGGCTTTGGTTGCCATTGCTTTTGGTGTTTTAGACATGAAGTCCTTGCCCATGCCTATGTCCTGAATGGTAATGCCTAGGTTTTCTTCCAGGGTTTTTATGGTTTTAGGTCTAACGTTTAAGTCTTTAATCCATCTTGAATTGATTTTTGTATAAGGTGTAAGGAAGGGATCCAGTTTCAGCTTTCTACATATGGCTAGCCAGTTTTACCAGCACCATTTATTAAATAGGGAATCCTTTCCCCATTGCTTGTTTTTCTCATGTTTGTCAAAGATCAGATAGTTGTAGATATGCGGCGTTATTTCTGAGGGCTCTGTTCTGTTCCATTGATCTATATCTCTGTTTTGGTACCAGTACCGTGCTGTTTTGGTTACTGTAGCCTTGTAGTATAGTTTGAAGTCAGGTAGTGTGATGCCTCCAGCTTTGTTCTTTTGGCTTAGGATTGACTTGGCAATGCGGGCTCTTTTTTGGTTCCATATGAACTTTAAAGTAGTTTTTTCCAATTCTGTGAAGAAAGTCATTGGTAGCTTGATGGAGATGGCATTGAATCTGTAAATTACCTTGGGCAGTATGGCCATTTTCACGATATTGATTCTTCCTACCCATGAGCATGGAATGTTCTTCCATTTGTTTGTATCCTCTTTTATTTCCTTGAGCAGTGGTTTGTAGTTATCCTTGAAGAGGTCCTTCACATCCCTTGTAAGTTGGATTCCTAGGTATTTTATTCTCTTTGAAGCAATTGTGAATGGGAGTTCACTCATGATTTGGCTCTCTGTTTGTCTGTTGTTGGTGTATAAGAACGCTTGTGATTTTCGTACATTGATTTTGTATCCTGAGACTTTGCTGAAGTTGCTTATCAGCTTAAGGAGATTTTGGGCTGAGACAATGGGGTTTTCTAGATATACAATCATGTCATCTACAAACAGGGACAATTTGACTTCCTCTTTTCCTAATTGAATACCCTTTATTTCCTTCTCCTGCCTAATTGCCCTGGCCAGAACTTCCAACACTATGTTGAATAGGAGTGGTGAGAGAGGGCATCCCTGTCTTGTGCCAGTTTTCAAAGGGAATGCTTCCAGTTTTTGCCCATTCAGTATGATATTGGCTGTGGGTTTGTCATAGATAGCTCTTAGAAATACAAACTACCATCAGAGAATACTACAAACACCTCTACGCAAATAAACTAGAAAATCTAGAAGAAATGGATAAATGCGTCGACACATACACTCTCCCAAGACTAAACCAGGAAGAAGTTGAATCTCTGAACAGACCAATAACAGGAGCTGAAATTGTGGCAATAATCAATAGCTTACCAACCAAAAAGAGTCCAGGACCAGATGGATTCACAGCCAAATTCTACCAGAGGTACAAGGAGGAACTGGTACCATTCCTTCTGAAACTATTCCAATCAATAGAAAAAGGGAATCCTCCCTAACTCATTTTATGAGGCCAGCATCATCCTGATACCAAAGCCGGGCAGAGACACAACCAAAAAAGAGAATTTCAGACCAATATCCTTGATGAACATTGATGCAAAAATCCTCAATAAAATACTGGCAAACCGAATCCAGCAGAACATCAAAAAGCTTATCCACCATGATCAAGTGGGCTTCATCCCTGGGATGCAAGGCTGGTTCAATATACGCAAATCAATAAATGTAATCCAGCATATAAACAGAACCAAAGACAAAAACCACATGATTATCTCAATAGATGCAGAAAAGGCCTTTGACAAAATTCAACAACGCTTCATGCTAAAAACTCTCAATAAATTAGGTATTGATGGGACGTATCTCAAAATAATAAGAGCCATCTATGACAGTCTTGATAATATACTAGGTCCACGTAGAGGCAAAGCACAATGTCACAGATTACTTCGTTAATCCTCACAGTAGTCCTGCAGAAAGACCGACGTTATTATCCTCATTTTGCAAACCTGTTCACTGAGCTCAGAGAGGTTAAATAACTTGTTCAAGGTGACCTGGGTTACGGATGCAATTTAAATTAAATCATCTAATCCCTAGCTCAACGTCATCTTCATTGTACAAGGCAAGGTCTTTTATTTCAGTAGAATTTGGTGCTTGAAGCAAGGCTTGGAAAGATTGGTTCATTCTATGACTGTCAAGCACAAACTAGGCTTGAAAAGGCACAGTAAAAATACAGTATTATAATTATTAAAATAAGACTTGAAGGGGTCTGGATAAGGAAAATACAGATTTTTAAATGTTTTCTTCATTATTTTATATATTTTCTAATTTTTAAAAAATGATCAGGCATTACTTTTTAATTTTCTAACTAAAGGTTTAAAAATTACTTTTAAAACACACAAGTAATGCATGAATGTGTTCTTGTAACAATTCTAAAATTTAGAATTATAAAGTACGGTAATCTTAAAGTCCCTTTTCAGTTTCCTTTCCCCCAATCTCATTTCTTTCCCCATAAATCACCCATTAAAATTGGAGTGTATGTATATCCTTTTGGACTCCATATGCAAGTACCTGCACATATATATTGAGAACTACCATTTCTATTCAAGTGATATCTTATTATCAAATGTATTATTCTGTAATTTGCCTTTTACATTTAATAATATAACTTGGAGAACTTTCTAGGTCATCATAAATCTCATTTATAAAAGGTGAAGTTATGCTTCATCATATGACTTTTCCATAATTTCTTTCATCAGTCCATTAATGATGGAAATTTAAGATATTTCTACATTGTTTTTGCCATTACAAACAACTCAGAAATAAACACTTTTTGTACTTGCATCTTTATAGTACCAGCACTAGTATTTTCTGAGAATAGATTCTTAGGAATGGAATTTCTGATTCCAGGTATATGGGCATTTATTTGTCATGCATCACTTAATGACAGAGATACATTCAAAAAATGCATCATTAGGTGATTTTGTTACTGTGTGAACATCCAAGAGTGCACTTATACAAACCTAGATGGTATAACCTACTGCACACCTAAACTACATGATATGGCCAATTGCTCCTAGGCTACAAACCTGTACAGCATGTTACTGTACTGAATACTGTAGGCAATTGTAACACAATGCTAAGTATTTGTGTATCTAAACATAGAAAAGGTACAGTAAAATTACAGTATTATAATCTAATGGGACCGCTGTCATATATGTGATCCTTCATTGACAAAAACATTGTTATGCAACATGGGACTGTGTGTGCCTCTCCCTGAGATTATAGCTGTGTCAGCACAGGTTCATAATGATCTTATCAATGAATGCAAATTAAAAGAAAGTGGACAGTCAATTTCTCTGTACCCTAGCCCAGATCTACAGATCTTACAACTGTGTAAGGCTTCACATCAATAGAAAACCAAACCCATGCCCAGTTCTTAGTGAGGAACATGTTGGCTTCCAAGAGAGGAAAACTAGGCAGCTCAGAAATGGTTCAATCATTCATCTCAAGGTCTAGTCATTATTATTCAAACTGTCAATCTCTATAATTTTCTAGGGAGAACCGAACTGCCTCAGGTGTGGGTGAATGAATAAATGGTAAAAGGAAATATGAATAGAAGAATAGATGAATAGAAGAATAGATGAATGGAGGGATGGATGGATGGATGGATGGATGGATGGTTGGGTGGTAGGCAGATGGATGAATAGGTGAATGGATGTAAGATTACAAAGGCTAGAACTAATAGCAATACCTTTCATGAAACTTACATTTTAATTCTAAAGAATTTGGGGTGCTCACTTTTCTCATTTAATCTTAACTTTTTTTATTGTGAAACATAAAGCACAGAGGGAAAAGTGAAAAAGAAATTCACAGCCACCATAAAGCATACACCCATATAACAACCATCAAGTTCAAGAAACAAAACTTTCCAAGACTCTAGCACCTCTTTGCTTACCTCTTCCTAATCACAACCCCATCCTTCCCCCACAAGGTACCATCCACCTTTTATGGTAATAACTTACTTGCCTTTTTATGTCATTTTTACCTACTATTTGTTCATCCTTAAAATCTATAGTTTTATTCAGTCTATACTGTTCTTTACATAAGTGGAATCCTAGAGTATGTCATCATCCTTGTGAATAGCTTACTTCACTCCACTTCATATTTGTGAGATTCATCCACATTTTTTTGAAACAGGGTCTCATTCTATCACCCAGGCTGAAGTACAGTGGCATGATCACAGCTCACTGCAACCTCCACCTCCTGGGCTCAAGTGATCCTCCTGCCTCAGCCTCCTAAGTACCTGGGACTACAGACATGTACCACCACATCCAGCTAATTTTTAAAATTTGTTTGTAGAGACAGAATCTCACTCTGTTTACCAGGCCGGTCTCAAATTTCTGGGCTCAAGCAATTCTGTCTTAGCCTCCCAAAGTGCTGGAATTTACAGGTGAGAGCCACCACACCCAGCTGATCCCCATTTTTTATGTAGCTATAATTTATTAATTTTTATTGCAATAGATACTTTTATTGCATGCTATATTGCAATGCATTTATCCATGCTGTGGTTGATGGGTATTTGTATTGTTTTCTCTTTAGTGTTATCATGAATGATACTGCTTTGAAATTATTGTATATAACTGCATGCACTTATTTATATTAGCTATATATCTAGGAGAGAAATTCCTGGGTCACAGTGTATATGAATCTTCAGCTTCAGTAAAAACTACCAAACCATTTTCCAAAGTGACTGTAACCAATTTATCCTGTAGCCAGCAGTGTGTAAGAGTTCCAGTTACCCAAGTTCCTCCTCACTGCTTGATTTTAATGTTAGCCATTCTGGTGGGTGTGTACGGTTACCTCACCGTGTTTTTAACATTCGTTTCCCTGCAGGGTAATGAAGTTGAGCCTTTTCATAAGTTTATTGGCCATCTGTATATCCTCCTTTTGAAGTGCATCTTCAGATCATGTTCATTTTTCAACTAATCTACCTGGCTTTTTTCCATTTATTTCAATAAGGTTTTTATGTATTCTTATTTTGGTATAAAGTTATGATGGGAATGCATTGGGAGAATGATCCACCTTTCATCATTCTCTGGAGGAGTTTGTGGAAGAGTAGCATTTTTTTCTTAAATTTTTTGGTATAATTTGCTAGTGAAGCCACGTTGGCCTAGAGCTTCCTTAGAATGAAGATTTTTAATTATGGATCAATGTCTTCACTAAGAGCATTCAGGTTGTCTATTTTTTCTTGTGTTAGTTTGAGTAAGTTGCTTTATCAAGAGATTTTATTTTTTTATCTAAACAATGAAATTTATTTGAGCTTGTATCAGTTTGCTAGGGTACTGTAACAAAATACCACAGACTAGGTGGCTTAAACAACAGAAATTTTCTCTGAGTCTGTGGCTTGCCTCTTCAGGTTCTGGAGCCTGGAAGTCCAAGATCAAGGGGTTGGCAGGTTTCATTTCTCCTGAGGTCTCTCTCTTTGACTTGCAGAGGGCTGCCTTTTTTTTTTTTTTTTTTTCTCGAGACTGAGTCTCACTCTATTGCCCAGGCTGGAATGCAGTGGTGCGATCTCAGCTCACTGCAATCTCCGCCTCTCAGGTTCAAGGGATTCTCCTGCCTCAGCCTCCCAAGTAGCTGGGATTACAGGCACCCGCCACCATGCCTGGCTAATTTTTGTATTTTTAGTACAGACAGGGTTTCACCATGTTGGTCAGGATAGTCTTGAACTCCTGACCTCAAATGATCCACCTGCCTTGGCCTCCCAGAGTGCTGGGATTACAGATATGAACCACTGCACCCAGCCACACTGCCTTCTTATTATGTCTTCACATCCTGGTCTCTATGCACACATTCTTAGTTGCTCTTTCTCCTCTCATAAGGACACCAGTCACATCGGATTAGGGCCCCATCCCTACAAGCTCATTTAGCCTTAATTACCTCTTAAAAGGTCATATATCCAAATATGGTCACATTCGAGGTTAGGACCTCAACACGCAAATTTGGGGGTAGGGAATACAATTCACTTCATAACAGCATTTATAAAATCCTCTTATCTTTTTAATGTCTGTAGGATTAGTGTTGCTATCTTCCTTTTCATTTTAGGTAACCATTTGTGCCTACTTTCTTTCTTTGTCTTCTTTTAAAATCATTTTGTCATCTTTTTAATGTCTGAAAGGTCTGTGGTGGTGTCTCTATTTTTATTTCAAACATTAGTCTTCTGTGTATTCTTTATTTTTTAAAAAATTAATCTTATGAGAAGTTTATCAATTATGTTAGTATTTTCAAATGGCCAAATTTTAGCTTTGATGTTTGCTTTCTACTTCATTATTGTCTGTTGTAATATTTATTTCTTTTCTTCTGCCTCCTTGAAGTTTACTTGGCCATTTTCTTCCTAACTTATTGGAGTGGATGCTGGGTGTATTAATTCATTTTCACACTGCTATAAAGAACTATCCAAGACTGGGTAATTTATAAACAAAAGGGATTTAACTGATTCACATTCCACGTGGCTGAGGAGGTCTCAGGAAACTTACAATCATGGAAGAAGGGGAAGCAAGGCATGTCTTACATGGTGGCAAGAGAGAGAGAAAAAGAAGGGGGAAGTGCTAGACACTTATCAAACAACCAGATCTCATGAGAACTCACTCACTATCATGAGGACAGCATGGGGGAAACCACACACATGTTCCAGTCACCTCCAACCAGGTCCCTCCCTAGACATGTGGGGATTACAATTCAAGATGAGATTTGGGTGGGGACACAGAGCCAAACCGTATCACTTTGGTAATTAATTTTCAACACTTTTTTTTCTTTTTCAATATATGTACTTAAGGCATTTCCCACTAAGTACTTGTTTAACAGGAAGTTTTGACATCTAATATTTTTAATATCATTCAATTCAAATTTTTTTTGTTTCCATTATAATTGACTCTGTGCCTCACGGTTTATTTAGAAGTGTATTTCTTAATATTTTTATTGATTTTTTCTTTTTAAATCAATTTAATTTAGGTTCAAATTTACATACAATATATTATATGCATTTATACATAATACAGTTTTGTGAGTTTTGAAAAACATAAACATTAGTGTAACCATGACCACAATTAATATATTGAACATACATTTTCACTCCAAAAAAAGTTCTCCAACTCTACCTTTAACCACAACCACTAAACTGCTTTCTGTCATTGCAAACTAGTTTTGTTTGCTGTACAATTTTGTATAGATAGAATCACATATTATTTACTCTACCCTCTTTCATCATCGTAATGATTTTGAGACATAGCCATGATGTTGCATGTATCAGTAGCTTTTTGCTTTTTATTGCTGAAGAAGTGTTCCATTGAATGAATATATCACGATTTGTTTATCCATTCACTGTTTGATGAATATCTGAATTGTCTCCAGCTTTTTGTTATTACAAATAAAACTACAATAAACATTTATATATAATTCTTTTGTAGACATGTGTTTTCATTTCTTACATACAACATAGTAATGAAATTTCTGAATCATACAGTGAATGTGTTAACTTTACAAGAAATCGCCCAATTTTTTCTAAAGTGGTTCTACAACTTTAGAACCACTTTGCAGTTCTACAGTTCTCAGTAGTAATAAATGAGGTTCTAGTTTTTCTTTTCTTTTTTTTTTTGAGATGGAGTTTTGCTCTTGTTGCCCAGGCTGGAGTGCAATGGTGCAATCTCGGCTCACTGCAACCTCTGCCTCTTGGGTTCAAGTGATTCTCCTGCCTCAGCCTCTGGTTGGGGTTCAATCAGGCTGGTGGGAAAAATATTAGAGATAGTGTAGAGATAGACACAAATCTTCTTGGAAGGCCGAGAAGTTTGCATAACTTCTATAATAGATCTGGCTGAAGGTGGCCTGGTCCCTTTATCTTTAGTTAAACAAAATTAAAGTAGTAACAAAGGAAGGCAGAGTAGTTTACCTAGCTAGCTTGTTTACTCATATGATCTTAAGACTAACCTTTATTGTACCACAGGTACTTAAGTGCTTTTTACTCAGGAAGTCCACAATGTCAATTACCCTTTAATGGTGTTAGCTCAAGCCTTTATTAATTAATCTTACCAAATAAATGTGAGTCTCGCTAGCTGATCAGGGCCAAGTCACGACTGTTTACAGGACTCAGCAGGGAGTCTGTAAGCGGCTGAGACACACTCAGCTGGACAGGCAAAGCAGAATATCTGTGTGTCAGTGTACGTTATTCATCCGTCACCGGGTCAGGGGTCTGCAACGGACAGACCCCTCCCCGCAGCTGGCGCCCCCATAAGAGGTGCACTGCCACAGTTGGTGCCCCGTGTGGGAAACTGTGTGATGAGCACTGCCACAGCCTCAAGTACCTGGGATTACAGGCATGTGCCACCATGCTGGGCCAGTTTTTTGTACTTAGTAGAGACAGGGTTTCACCATGTTGGTCAGGCTGGTCTCCAACTGCTGACCTCAGGTGATCCATACACAGGCTGGTCTCCAACTGCTGACCTCAGGTGATCCATACACCTCAGCCTCCCAAAGTGCTGGGATTACAGGTGTGAGCCAGCACTCTCAGCCTGGTTATAGTTTTTCTGCATCTTCACTAACACAGGCTACTGCTAACCTTTTACATTTTGACCATCTTAGTGGTTGTAATTTGTATTTATCTTATGACTAATAATGTTCGGCATCATTCCATGTGCTTCTTGGCCATTAAGATATCTTTTGTGAAGTATGCATTCAAATCTTTTGCTCATTTTTTATTGAGTTTTTGTTATCCTCTTACCATTCAGCTGCAAGAGTTACTTATACATTCTGGACACAAATCATTTGTCATATATGAGTATTGCAAATATTTCATCTGAGTCTGTGGCTTGCTTCTTTGATTCTTAACAGTGTCTTTCGAAAAGCAAAGTTTTAAATTCAATGAAGTCCAATTATTATGACTAATTTTTATGATTAGTGCCTTTTTGTGATCTGTGTAAGAAATCTTTTCTTCTCCAAAGGCCATGAAGACATGAAGACTTTTCTCCTCTGTTTTTTTTTCTAATTTTTTTATAATGTTAGCTTTTTCATTTAGATCTAAAATCTATTTTGAGTTCATTCTTATGTACAACGTACAGGTTGAAGTTCACTTTTTGCATATAGATGCCTAGTTACTCCAGGACCATTTGTTGTTACTGATTTTCAACTTTATTAAATGTGTTTAGAAATCAAACACTATATAATTTGCATCATGAAATCTGGTGAGACTTCCTTTACGTTTCAGCATATAGCCAATTTTTATTGTGCTTGAAATTAGTAAGTATTCTCCAGTTGTTGGCTGCAATATTCTCTACATGTCCTTAGGTAAAATTTGTTGATTGCATTATTCAAGTTTTGTGTATTATTGCTGTTTTATATCTACTTATTTTATCAGCCACTGACAAGTGTGATAAAAATCTGTCAGTATGACTGTGACTCTATTCATTTCTGCCTTTTTGATTCCATATTACTGGATCTATACAAATTGAGAATTTTTATACCTTCTTGGTAAATTGATCCTTCTGGCATTATGAAATTCCTCTTTATCTCTACCAGTCTTTTTGCATTAAAAACAGCATTTTTAATCTTAACATAGCTACATCAAATTTCTTTTGGTTAGAGTTTTCATAGTGTTATCTTTTTTTTTCACCTTTTTATTCTAATCTTTCCACATTCTTGTGTTCTTGATATGTCTCTTGTAACCAACAAGGGTCTTCTTTCATTGCAATTTGAGCCTTTTAATTTGACCATATAGTCCATTTGCATTTGACATAAATACTGATATGTCTAGGAAGCTGTATTAGTTTGCTAGGGCTGCCACAACAAAATACCACAGACCTGACAGCTTAAACAATACATACTTGTTTTCTCATAGTTCTGGAGGCTAGAAGTCCAAATCAAGGCATCAGCTGGGCTGGCTTCTTCTGAGGCATCTCTCCCTGACTTGTAAATGGCTATCTTTTCCCTCTGTCTGCACATGATCTCTGCTCTGTGTCTCTGTATCCTAATATTCTCTTCTTATAGAGAGACCAGTCATTTTGGATCACATTTACCTTAATGATCACATTTAACCTTGATTACTTCTATAAAGGCACTATTTCCAAATAACGGTCACATTCTTAGGTATTGGAGGTTAGAATTTCAATATATGAATTTGGGGAAGAGAAGGGGACATAATTCAGTAGTAAGTATGTCATCAAGCAGATAAAATACCATCTATCATGTGTTTTCTATTTGTTCCATCTGTTCTTTGTTCCTTTTTTGTCTTTTCTCATCTTGTTTCGAATTGATTTCTTTATTATTACATCTTTTCTCTATTAGCATGAAAGTTGTACGTGCATTAACCATTCTTTTAGTGCTACCTGGAAATTATAACATGCATCCTTGGCTTATCAAAGCAGAACATTAATTGGTGTCTTTACCTACTCTCCAGACAAAGACCTTGGAACCCTTTAACTCCATTCAGCCCCATTCTTATTTATGTTTAAATTAGCCTACATTTTAAATCTAAATATATTTTAAATCCCACGATGTGTTATTATTATTGCTTATATAATCAATATGAATTTAAATTCATTCACATCATTGCCTAAAAACAAAAGTTCCTACTTTATTTATCTTTCTTTTGTTGTTCATGAAGTGAAACAACACTTCATTTGTCTCTTATGCTATCCTTGTGCAACATATAAAAACAGATATGTTCATCCTCTGGTGACGTAAGTGGAAGAACGACTAAAATTCCCGACTCTATAGAGTCCTAAGAGAGGAACCTACAGAAGTCAGAGGAAACTTCAATATCAAGAAGTTTGGAAAGAGGTAAATATTATAATACCCCATAAAGACAAAACTTCTGCCAAACTGGATGACATCGGTTCATTTCTGTGATGTTTATTTTGTTTTGTTGAAGAGGAAACTAGATGGGAAAAAAGCAAAGCTGAGAGAAAGGATGAGAGAAACATGCAAGGATTGAGAGAGTGTCTAGAGATGGAAAGAGGAGCTCCATGGAGACCTCCCAAGAGAGTGACCTGGGTGGCATAATAGCAACCAACATGAGTTGGAACTCAGAAACTGGTAGATGTTTGTCATTCCCAACCATAGGTCCTGGATTAAAGGAGCCCAGAAAATCATAGCAGAAGCCCAGATATCACACAAGTGACAGCAGAGCAGGCATCCTCCATGTTTATGAACTTCCTAGTAATACGATTCAGCTTAGAGCGCTGTAAATATTGTCAGTCCCTGCTCTTGGGCTTGTGAAAACCTGTCTGGAGCTTTGCAACTTGTGACTATTCAGACTCAATTAATGGAAATGAGCTGTGTTTTTAGGGTGAAAATATCCTTTCCTTTGCCAGCTTCCGAACCATGTGTCTTGCATTTTGAGACGAATCCAGTTGCGATGTTGACAGGTGCAGACTAACTACTCTTTCCACAACAAGCATTTGGAAACATTTTCCTGGTGGTCATGCTGCAAGTCTTGTGTATTAAAACTAGGGCATCAGGTTTGCTAAGTCAGCACACTCAACATAAGATATGTTAGAGACATAACTTCTGAGGTGAAGGGAATGATGGCAAATTTACATCAGAAGCTTTGTCTGCTGGTCCTTAAGATCAGTTGACTAATGGTCTTTGCCTCTGGGGTTTTTTCCATGCTCAGAAATAAGGACAAAGAAAAGACCTACTTAAAGATAACTAAAATGAGGAAATTTTCAGAAAATTGACTCTTTTTATATGATTGTTATTATAAGTTAACATTCATTCTGCTTGCCATGAGCCAGGCACTCATTATACTTAGCTCTTAGTGTGCATTACATCACCTTATTCAAATCTTACAGCAATCCTACCATATAGACACCACTGTTATTCCCATTGCAATAATTGGGAAGGTTTAGTAGCTTGCCCAAGTCAACTATGTGGAAGTGCCAAAGCCAGGAATCAAATGTGGCTTTCTTACTCTGAAAATAATGTCCTTAACAACTCCAATAAACTACACATTAAAATGAGCTTACCACCAGTATTATATCAACAATCGAGTTAATCACCATTACTATGTCTCATCTCACTAAAAACTTGCATATAGATGCATCTGCGCTGGATCTAATCGCCAAATGTCTGGTTCACCAAAGTGGTTTGTATCCAACTTTATGTGCCCTCTGAACTCAGTTGCATATGATGGGCAACAGTAAAAGCCACACTTTCAAAACCACGATGCAGCAAAGTTCTCAGGTGTGCTTCATTATCCTCCTTCCTTCTCCTCTAGCTCCGAATCTTCCACCTCTCCCAGTTCCATACTTCTTTGCCAGAGGCTGAGTGAACCATAGCAGAGAAGGACAAGTACAAGGAAGAGCATTTAGGAGAATGATCTATCATTTAAACAGGTGCAGCATGGAAAAAGAATAGAAACGTACATAGATCTGCACAAATTGCATGGCAATTCATCTGGGACATTAGATTTTGTAGCAAAGTGATATTTTTTAAATATGTATCTATGGTATCTCTTTTTTGGCCTTTTCTCCATTTTTAACAGCAAAGCTAATTTATGTTTATTGGTTAGGGCATAAGGTTGAGCTTAAAGAAGGAAGCAGAGAAACAAACAATATTTTTCCTGGCTCCAATGTTTTAAAAGCCTATGATGTTAGGAGTCTGGAAAGGATTCTTACCTTAGACAAAATGTTCCTCGGAAGACATCTTTAATTAAGGGGAAGGCCATGTATGAACCATATAGACACGAACAAGGAAGTCTCCGTGGTGACATGCTTGGGCCAATGAGGAAGGATCAAATCAGGCGGCAGATATCTTACCCAATGCCCATATAACCAGATTATATTAAAAAGTAGAAAAACCCATGAGACATCCAGTTCCCCTGAATTTAAATACAATGCCAGGGCAGGAAGAAACCTCAAATTAACTGAGATTACATTTTTCCGCCCTAGAGAAATAGGAGATTGAAATATAAATTAGATTGAATTTCAAAAATACATTATAAGTTGTTTTTCTCATACACTCAAGCTTCTGAACAAAGAGTCGTACCTATGACAATTTATACAATTGAATGCAAATCAGGAGAGCATTCACAGCTGACTTCCATCCAAAGGGAATCTTCGGAAAGGATAGAAAGGAAGAGGTTACCGGCCACAAGTTTGGGAGATTTCTGGACAGCAAAAGGGACAGGCCATGCTTCATTGCCAGGTCAACTCATATGAAAGGACAATTTGTCTCTTTGTAGACATCCCAGAGCAGGGACGTCAAACAATTTTGAAACACTTCTTTTTGGAAAAAGAGCCAAGATGTTACATAAAGTTAAAAAAACAGGTTTGCAGCCCAAGGCTCAAGACTAACACTGAACGCTCTCTCAATGTATTAGGAATCTTGTTTCCCTAAAAAGGGAGAGCTAAGCCTTTGCCCTATGGACATGATGCCATTGGTTGCTTTTCTCTTTGAGAGGAGTTAGATATGCTCCCTTTGTAGCCAACAAAGAAAGGGAGAAATCTGAGGACACATCTGTGCTGAATCTAATCGCCAAATGTCCGGTCTCAACAACGTGGGTTTGTATCCAACTTCATGTGCACCCTGAACTCAGTTGATGCCTTGGAGACAGGGCAGGGGAATAAAAAGCAAGAGAGGTGCATTCCATAAAAATAAGAGGCTCTTGACCTTTCTATTCAAAGCACACTCCAGGGATCATCAGGAGCAGCATTGCCTGGGAGCTTGTTAGAAATGCTGGATCTCTGGTCCCAACCCACATCTCCTTAATCCTGGTTTTCACACAAGATCCCTTGGTGATTTGGAAAGCTCATTAAAGTGTGAGAAGCACTTGTCTAGGAAGCCAGCCTCAAGCTTCCGGAAAAATCGAGACTCCTAGCTGTTCCAGCAGGAAGGATTCCTCATTCTGGGAGGTCTTGCAATCATAAGAATGGCATGGAGAAAATGACAGGCCCTGGAATTAGTCTGCCTGAGTTCAAAGCCTAGCTACTTTATCAGCTCTGGAGCCTTAAGCAACAGGCTCTCTGGACCTCAATTTCCTAATCTGTGAAATGGAGACAAAAATGATAATACTAGCCAGGTGTGGTGGCTCACGCCTGTAATCTCAGCACTTTGGGAGGCCAAGGTGGGAGGATCGCTCGAGGTCAGGAGTTCAAGACCAGCCTGGCCAACATGGTAAAACCCCATCTCTACTAAAAATACAAAAATTAGCTGGGCGTGGTGGCGTGCACCTATAGTCCCAGCTACTCAGAAGGCTGAGACAGGAGAATCGCTTGAACCTGGGAGGTAGAGGTTGCAGTGAGCCAAAATTGCGGCACTGCACTCCAGCCTGGGTGACAGAATGAGACCCTATCTCAAAAAAAAAAAAAAAAAAAAAGGGTAATACTGGAATTTAGTTCCCAGGGTTGTCATGAGGATTAGATGAAAGAAAATACATAAAATATTTAGAATAGTGCCTGGCACAAGGAGCCCTCAATAAAAGTTAGCTATTAGTATTTTTAAGAGAAAATGTCTTATGTTTTGGATTCCTAACAAAAGTGCTGAAACCATCTTGGAGAGTTCTTCCATGTTCTTCCTTCTCAGCTACAGAAAACACAAGGAATGATTTTAACTGCTTCTGACCAGTCTATGCTAAGTGGTGGGGCATGGAGCCAATTCTAGGGGGAAAAAAAAATGGCATAGTCACTGTTTCCCAAACCGTATTCATTCCAAAACTCCTTCAGTCTTTTTTTAACCATATCCATATACAACCCTTATGTGTTATTTTTATTTAAGTCAATTTACAATGAATTTTGTTTCTTAAGAGACACATCCAAAGCAATAAATATTATCTATGAAGTCAGTAGTTTAATGTGATTTTTTTCTAATTCACTTTAAAGTGAAACCATAAATATGAAAATTAAAATGTTCACACATACATAAAAATGTTACTTAGAACTCCAGGAAGTCTTTTCATTCCTACATTAGCATTTTATTAGCTCTCAGCTGTAATTCCAAATGTTTTGACATCAAATCTCTCCACTCAAGTGATTTGAGCAAAACCTTTGCTTCCAGCTCATGCAGCCCAGCTGAGGACCAGAGCCACCAAGCAATTTGTCCAAGCAACACAGCCAGTGCAAGGCAGAAAGATTAGACCACAGCTTTTCTGCAGTAGAGACGGCAAAAGCATCCTTATTCTCCCAACAGCACTGAGACAACAGCTGTGTCTGTGCCCCTATTCCTATTCTCTCTGCTTGGTGACTTTTGTCTTGTTCCTGTAATGATTGAAAGTCCCCTTCCTTTCACATCTAATATGATCACTGGATTCATACGACAGAGCTAAAGAAATGATTTCTAAATGTCATGCCTTTCCTTTTGCAGTTTTCCCACATCAGGGGGGCCAGTTTCTTTCGGGGCCATCAAGTTTTTTCTCACATAGCAAATGCAACAGCTTAGGTTTTCCTGCCACCCTACTTTTCACAGAGCATATGTCAAACAATGAGCCTCATGGGCCAGGTTCCCTGCTCCTCAATGATGCACAGCTTCTGCAAAAGGAATGCCTAAGCAAGCTCTCACGAGTGACAGCCTCCGGCCCAATTATTTCTTCTCCATGTTTTTTCTCTGTGAATTATCAAGTGACATTCTAGTGATTCTTGACAATGTTAATTAATGTAAAAGGAAGGAGAATAAATTAACCCAGTCTATCTGCTCTGCTTTATGGCGGGTATGATAATGTTCTAAGACGTTGTGTTATCAACATTCAGTTCCATTTAGTAAATATTTTTGAAGGGCTCCAGACAAGCTACAATTACTAGAGGCTGCACAGGTTTCAAGAGTTGGATCTTACAACCCTTACAACAGAGGGATGTGTCTATTCCATAGACTCGCCAAACAAAAAGTTTTCAACTTGTGTTTATCCGAATCATGCATTCTCAAAGGGGGCAATATTACAACCCTACTCAACAAAATCTTATTCTTTAGTATTTAATTTCTCGTATCAGGGAGAAATTTAATGTAATTTAATTAACTTAATTTACAATTAAATTAGCTTGTCATTTTACTTTAATTTAATAATTTCAATTTAATTTTTTCTGGGGGGAGGATAATAACAGAAAAAACGGTTGAGAAACACTGCTCTAAATGCAACGATAATTCAAATATACTCCTCCTTTGACCCAGCAGTTCCGTTACAGGAAAGGGGTCCCGATCCAGACCCCAAGAGAGGGTTCTTGGATCTCCCGCAAGAAAGAATTCAGAGCAAGTCTGCAGTGCAAAGTGAAAGCAAGTTTATTAAGAAAGTAAAGGAATAAAAGAATGGCTACTCCATAGACAGAGCAGCCCCAAGGGCTGCTGGTTGCCCATTTTTGTGGTTATTTCTTGATGAGATGCTAAACAAGGGGTGGATTATTCATGCCTCCCCTTTTTAGACCATATAGGGTAACTTCCTGATGTTGCCATGGCATGTGTAAACTGTCATAGGACTGGTGGGCATGTAGTAGTGAGGATGACCAGAGGTCACTCTTGTCACCATTTTGGTTTTGGTGAGTTTTGGCCAGCTTCTTTACTGCAACCTGTGTTATCAGCAAAGTTTTTATGACCTGTATTTTGCACTGACCTCCTATCTCATCCTGTGACTTAGAATGCCTTAACTGTCTGGGAATGCAGCCCAGTAGGTTTCAGCCTCATTTTACCCAGCTCCTATTTAAGATGGAGTTGCTATGGTTCACATGCCTCTGACAATTCCACTTCCATTATTTGTCTCAGAGAAAGAGTCCCTGGAAGAAACAAAGTCATTTGTTGCTGACTATATCATCATTTTTAACAGGGAAAACAACCTAAATGTCCATCATTTGGAAATAGTTCAATAAACTATAGTGCATCTATATTATGCATGCCTGTAATCCCAGCACTTTGGGAGGCTGAGGTGGGCGGATCACTTGAAGTCAGGAGTTCAAGACCAGCCTGGCCAACATGATGAAACCTGGTCTCTACTAAAAATACAAAAATTAGCCAGGTGTGATGGCACAGACCTGTAATCCCAACTACTTGGGAGGCTGAGGAAGGAGAATCGCTTGAACCCAGGAGGCAGAGGTTGCAGTGAGCCGAGATCGTGCCACTGCACTCCAACCTGGGTGACAGAGCCAGACTCCATCTCAAAAATAAATAAATAAGTAAAAGGAATGAGGTAAGCTTAGGGAAACTGACATGGAGAGAGAGGCCTCCAAGCCTGATACAGTTGGGCTGCGTCCCCACCCAAATCTCATCTCGAATTATAGCTCCCATAATTCTCACATTTGTGAGAGGGACCCAGTGGAAGATAATTGAATTATGGGGGCAGTTTCCCCTATACTAGTCTCATGGTAGTGAATAAGTCTCACGAGATCTGATGATTTTATAAGGGATTTCCCCTTTTGCTTGGCTCTCTCATTATTTCTTGTCTGCCACCATGTAAGATGTGCCTTTCGCTTTCTACCATGATTGTGAGGCTTCCTCAGCCTTGTGGAACTATGAGTCCATTAAACCTCTTTTTCTTTATACATTACCCAGTCTCAGGTATGTCTTTATCAGCAGAGTGAAAATGGACTAATACAAAGTCATATTATGGGTTGGAAAAAGCACTCTGCAGAATATGTGTGCATGATCACTTTTAGATTAAAAAACACACACAACAGATCTATGTATTTCTGTTTGTGCATGCTCTATATGTAAATGCAAAAGAAAGTCAATGGAAGGTTACCCACAAAAGTGATAAACTCAGACTACCCTTGGGGATAAGGATGAATTTGACAACAGAGAGGTGGTTGAATTGGCAGATGCACTATTTTATTTATTGTTTTCTGTGTGCTTTCTTTCACATTTTGCACAAGAATAAGTCCTGAATGACTCATAGAAATAAGAATAATAAATAAACAAATATTTATAAAAATCAACCCTTCCTCACCTAAAGAAAGGAAGAAAAGATCTCTTCAGCCCTAAAGAAAAGATTTGTCACTTGATTTCTAATAAAATCAGGAAGTCGAAAGCCTCTGTGCTTCACTTGGATTATAGTTTTTGTCTTTTTAATCAAATTATAGAAAAATGACATAAAGCTATGCTAGGTTTAAAAAAAAAATTCCTAAGGCTTGAAGTAATCAAAGAAATCAAATAGTCAAGAGAAATGGATTTTACTATCTAAAAATGAAACACTGGTGGGCAAGACCTCTAGAGGATGGTTGGCAACAGGTATCAACATGTAAATAAGCATACCTTTCCACAAGCAGTCACAATTCTAGGAATTACACAAGGATGTTCATTACTGCGTGCTGTACAATAGAGAAAAACTAGAAATCACTTGAAAGTCCATTAATATGAGATTAATAAGCAAAATAAGGCAGATCTATATAGAAGAATACTTTGTATTCATTCCCAATGATGATCTATATTTATTGGAAATGGAAAGAGATCTACAAGGTATTATTGTATTAAAGAGTGTATTAGGCCAGGCATGGTGGCTCACACCTGTAATCCTGGCACTTTGTGGAGCTGGGGAGAAAGATCACATGAGCCCAGGAGTTCATGACCAGCCTGAGCAATACAGCAAAACCCCCATCTCTACAAATGGTGGTGGTGGTCCCGGCTACTCGGGAGGCTGAAGCAGGAGGATCAGTTAAGCCTGGGAAGTCCAGGCTGCAGTGAGCCAAGACTGCACCACTGCACTCCAGCCTGGGAGGCAAAACATTCTTTTACTTGAAGTCTAAATCCAGTTTTGGGGGTACCAGCCCTATCTCCACTTGGCTTCAAGAACATTAGCAGCTAGACTTAGACCACAGGAAGGGTCTTATAGGATTCCTTTTTAAGGAAACTGATTAGTCCAGGAGAAAAATCCTACAGACACTGATATCTGAAAGTCTCCCAGTGAAATGCCAGGTTACTACTTGATCACTTGACAGTGAAGTTCCAAATTGACAGGCTTTTGTCAATTACCCACCAGTGTAGAGTTTGCATTTTAGTGTCTCTCTGGTAAGTATAAATGAACAGCCTAGAAGAGTTAGACATTGACGTCAGCTTTTACGTAGTTTTGCATTGCTTTGAATTGGTATGTTACAAAGTTGGGTCCCAGCTCTCTTCCAAGCTTTGAATGTCAAAAAAAAAAAAAAAAACGTTGAGGGTCAGGGGGCAGGGTGGGAAACAAACTAAGAGAAAAAATTTCATGGAAATAAAGACAATGCAGATGGCAAAATGACTTTTTTAACTATAATAAATATCCTCAGAGAAATAGTTATATTATTATACAATGATGGTCTATAAAAAGAGATAATAAGAGAATAAGAAACAGCTCTTGGAAATTAAAAGAATAATTGTAGAAATTTTTAATTTGATAGAATGTTTGAAATGAAATAGAGTTGAAAAAATCTACCAACAAGTAAAACTCAAAGATAAAATAAGGAAAATAAGAGAAAAAAGATAGAAAAACTAAAGGGTCTATTCAAGAAATTCTACATCCAAAAAAAGGGAAAAAAGAAGGAAGAAAAGAAGAAATGTTACAAGAAAAAGAGTACATGGAAAACAGAAGGGAAGAAATTTGCAAAGAAATAACACAAGGAGTGAAGGCCGTGATTTTCCAGACTGGAAGTTTTCATCAAGTGTTCAGCACAATAAATAGCGGGGAAAAGACCCACAAGGCACATAACGATGAAATTCAACAACAACAACAACAAAGTTCAGAACAAAGAGAAAAGAGCAGATCAAATGGAATGAACAAGGCTTCAGAATGCTATTGGAATTGAACAATGAGCAGAACCTTCAAAATTCTGGAGAAAATAATGCCCAATGTAATTTGATATTCAGCCACGATGTTCTTTATTTGAATAAAGATATTTGCAGACATGCAAGAATACAAAAATTTACTTCTCATGAATTCTTTCTTGGGAGGTGTATTAGTCTGTTTTCATACTGCTTAAAAGAACTGCCTGAAACTGGGTAATTTACAAAGGAAAGAGGTTTAATTGACTCACAGTTCAGGCATGGCTGGGGAGGCCTCAGGAAACTTACAATCATGGCAGAAGGCAAAGAGGAAGCAAGGCACCTTCTTCACAAGGTGACAGAAAGGAGAAGTGCCGAGCAAAGAGGGAAGAGCCCCTTATAAAACCATTAGATCTCATAAGACCTCACTCACTATCATGAGAACAGCATGGGGGAAACCGCCCTTCTCCCCCACCTCCCCCAATCCCCCTTCCCCCTCCCCGCCCCCGCCATGATTCAATTACTTCCACCTGGTCTCTCCCTTAACACGTGGGGATTATGCAGATTACAACTCAAGATGAGACTTAGGTGGGGACACAAAGCCTAACCATATCAGGAGGTTCTTGGAGAATATTCTCCATCAAAATAAGAAAGTACACCCAGAAAGTAAGGGCTTGTGATTTGAGAAACAGAGATCCAACCCAGAACAGGAGTTACAGGATTTTTCAGGAATGGCAGTAAAGAGACATCTTAAGACCTGTAGGCCTAGAAAGCAACCAGACCAGATGAGAAAAGCAGAACAAGGATCAGAGTGAGAGGGTGTCAAGAAAAGATGATGAAATTGAGGGAGTACCTGAGCTGTCAAATGTATTCTCAGATTATCCATTCACTTAGAAAGTTAAGGATTGAATTAGTAATGGATGCAATGGAAACCTAAAGCGAATAATGGAGGAAGCAATTATTAAGCCCAAGAATACAAAAAGTTGTGTGAGACACGCAATTGCAGCTCAGTGGTGAATCACAGCTATATAATCATTGTAGTGTAAATATACGATGTTGATTTACCCAAGAATGGGAGGTGGGAGAAATAAAAATGCGTGGCTACAGCACGAGGGCAACCCAGACATGTGAGGACCACCCTTAACCAAGGAGGGACTGCAGCCAGTGCACTGGTATCTCCACCCTCCTGCCCTCTAGCGGGACAATTCTGAGGTATGCTCCATAGTCTCTCAAAGGGCTCCCAGCATGACTGAGCTCAGATCGTCCACAGTGACAATCCACTCACTAAATGGACCCTTCGTTGACTATTCTCTCTTCATTCTCTCGTTCTCCCTTCATTCTTGCTTGTGCTTCCTCGGAGTGCCTTTTGATTAAATTGTGTACTGTATTAGTCCATCTTCACGCTGCTGATAAAGACATATCCGAGACTGGGTAATCTATAAAGAAAAAGAGGTGGGTGGGCACGGTAGCTCAGGCCAGTAGTCCCACAACTTTGGGAGGCCGAGACGGGAAGATCACCTGAAGTCAGGAGTTCGAGACCAGGCTGGCCAACATGGTGAAACCCCCGTCTCTACTAAAATTACAAAAATCAGCTGGGTGTGGTGGTGTGTGCCTGTAATCCCAGCTACTCGGGAAACTGGAGCAGGAGAATCGCCTGAACCCAGGAGTTGGAGGTTGCAGTGAGCTGAGATTACACCATTGCACTGCAGCCTGGGTGACAAGAGTGAAACTCTGTCTCCAAAAAAAAAGAAAAAGAGTTCTTTTTCACAGTTCCACATGGCTGTGGAGGCCTCACGATCATGGTGGAAGGCAAAAGGCACTTCTTATATGGCAAGAGAGAATGAGGCCCAAGCGAAAGGGGTTTCTGCTTATAAAACCATCAGATCTCATGAGACTTACTCACTACCATGAGAACAGTATGAGGGAAACCACCCCATGATTCAATTGTCTCTCACTGAGTCCCTCCCACAACACATGGGAATTATGGGAGCTATAATTCAAGATGAGATTTGGGTAGGGACATAGCCAAACCATATCATGTACTGTCTTTATCTCTGTGTCTCCTTCACGCAAGGTTGCCAGATTTAGCAAATAAAAATACAAAACGCCCCACTAAATTTGAATTTCAGATAAATGACAAATCATGTTTTCATACAAGTTTGCCCATGCTATACTTGGGACATACTTGTATAAAAAATGATTTGTTGTTCAACTGAAATTCAAATTTAAATGAGCATCCTACATTTTATTGGCAACTCGACTATTGTGGGGAACAAAAACTAAGACAGAGGTAGAGCCTCTTGTTTTCTAGTAAGATGTCAATAGTAATACATAAAACCAAAAATCGAGAAAGAGTTCCTTAAGCATATTATTTTAAGATATGAAAGCAGGCCGGGCGTGGTGGCTCACGCCTGTAATCCCAGCACTTTGGGAGGTTGAGCGGGTGGATCACCTGAGGTCAGGAGTTCAAGACCAGCCTGGCCAACATGGTGAAACCCTGTCTCTACTAAAAATCAAAATTAGCTGGGCGTGGTGGCACATGCCTGTAATCCCAGCTACTTGGGAAGCTGAGGCAGGAGAATCGCTAGAACCCAGGAGGTAGAAGTCACAGTGAGCCAAGATCACTCCACTGCACTCCAGCCTGGGCAACAAGAGCAAAATGCCGTCTCAAAAAAAAAAAAAAAAGCAAATAGCGAAAGAACTTGCTAAAAGAGTGGACAACAGTTGGCTCCAGGGAACAGGATCTAGTGTGAGAAGGGGTGGGGCAGGAGATTACTATCTTTTATATTATTCCTCATGGTACCACTGGACTTTTTAAAAGCTCTGTACATGTATAACTTTGATTACAAGTCTTTTGTAAAAGAAAAATTGAACCATGTATTTACATTCCCATCCACAGTCTCTCTCCTCACTTTGACACATCACATTTCTTTTGTTCTTAACTAATCTGGTGGGTGAAAAAAAAGTTACAATTTATTACTTCCAGATACTAATAATTTTGAACATTCACATCCCTATGTTTCTTGAATATTCCTAATTATCCTTTTACAAATTAGCTATAATGTCTTCAGCCGAATTTTCCTTCATGGTGTTATTTGTAAAAATTTCAGTGTTCACTTTTATTACATTTTAATACGATATACATGATTGACATGACTTTTAACTCCAAATCAAGTTTGTACTGAGAGATGGTGATTTATTAGTTTGAATCAGTGGAAAGACTCCATAATTGCCAACTTTGAAAACACACACACACACACACACACACACACACACAGAGTGAAACACAACCATTGGGGTCCTACCCTTCGTATGCAGAGGGACCTCCACAGCCGACTTTTGGGTATTCATCAGACCTCTGGATTTATTTTTTTTTTTTCTTTTTTTTTGAGATGGAGTCTCACTCTGTCACCCAGGCTGGAGTTCAGTGAATCTCAGCTCACTGCAACCTCTGCCTCCCGGGTTCAAGCGATTCTCCTGCCTCAACCTCCCAAGTAGCTGAGACTACAGGCACACGCCATTACGCCTGGTTAATTTTTTTTGTATTTTTAGTAGAGACAGGGTTTAACCATGTTGGCCAGGCTGGTCTTGAACTCCTGATCTTGGGATCCACCCACCTCAGCCTCCCAAAGTGCTGGGATTACAGGAGTGAGCCACAGCACCTGGCCTATCTTGTTTTTCTTAACCTCTTTTTGCTTTTAACTGGATTCCTTCACTTAAAAAATAAAATCTCATTTGGTGAAGCATGTATTCATCTTGGAGAAGTAACCACAGTTTCATGTTAACAATACTTTTTTACTGATATACAATATTTTATGGATTTATGGGGTACGTGTGATATTTTGTTACATGCATAGAATGTGTGATTAGCGAGTCAGGGTTTGGTGACAGCTAGAATGGCTCGGAAGCAGTGTCTCTCATAAAATTACAACCAGGATGTCAGTGGAGGGTGGGGAGGCAGGGACCGGAATGCCCACTTCTAAGGCGGCTCACTCCCATGGCTGTCGGCAGGACGCCTTACATCCTCACTGGCTGTTGGCAAGAGGACTCAATTCCTCACCATGTGTACCTCCTGCTTGGGACTGCTTGAGTGTCTTCATGACACAGTGGCTGGTTTTCCCAGAGTGAGGGATTTAAAGAGTAAGAGAGGCCAGGCGCGGTGGCTCACGCCTGTAATCCCATCACTTTGGGAGGCTGAGGCGGGTGGATCACCTGAGTTCGAGACCAGCCTGACCAACATAGAGAAACCAATCTCTACTAAAAATACAAAATTAGCGGGTGTGGTGGCGCATGCCTGTAATCGCAGCTACTCGGGAGGCCGAGGCAGGAGAATCGCTTGAACCCAGGAGGCAGAGGTTGCCATGAGCCGAGATCATGCCAATGCATTCCAACCTGGGCAACAAGAGTGAAACTCCATCTCAAAAAAAAAAAAAAGAGTAAAAGGGATGCAGCAATGTTTGGATGCCAGGCCTCAGAAGTCACACTCTGTCTTCTCTGCAATACCAGACACAAATCATCCCTGCTCAGAGTGGAAGGGGATTACACAAGGGTGTGAGAACCAGAAGGCAGAGATCACAAGGGACCCTCTGAAGACTGGCTACTATAGGTATATATTTTTCTTAGTTTGTGTAAATCTTATTACAGCAAAATGGGACAAAACCAGATGAAAGAGGTAACTATTACACTGTGTGGTGTTCAAAACGTGTTACTATTTTTCATCAAAACTAAAATTCTATCACCTGAAGGACAAACTGTTATTTTTTGTACCTTTAAAAAGTAAATAAAACACTGTCAGTTAAGTTATAACACAGTTTATCAGTTTGAGGTTTTATTTTCTACTTATTGAGAAGACTTTTGTACTTATATTTAGTGACTGTCATAGAATTACTCTTGTGTCTTCATGAGAAAGAGAATATAAGAGAAAGAAAAATTCAGTCTGAATGTTCACATTGCATGCCTATATCAAAGTATCTCATGCATCCCACAAATATAGATGCCTACCATGTACCCACAAAAATTAAAAATTAAAACAAATTTAGTTCTGCCTGGCTGACAGTAACTGCAAGATGCATTTCTAATTTCAGAGATGTTAAAATATGAAAAATAGGCATCTTTAAGGAATGATATATAACATTTTTTTAAACTTCCCAACAGCCCTGCGAAACAATGATTGTTTTTACAGAAGAGGATGCCAAAATTTAATTAGATAAAATTGCTTCCTTAAAGTCACACATCTAGTTAAGACAGAACAGATACTTGGCTCCAGGTTCCTCTGACTCTACAACCAAAGCACATAACTCCTGCATGTTCCTGCCTCTCAGGTCAGTATGGTTATCCTCATTGCCGGCATCACTGACACCCTTATCAACATTGTCACAGACACAACCATCGCTGTTGTCACCACTATCATTCCTGTCACCACTATAATTACCATGGTTTTATCATTGTCACTGCCACCATAATTGTTGTTGTCAACATCATCATCATCATAGCTAATATTTACTGAGCATGTACTATGTGCTAAGCTCTGTGCTAAGGGCTTTACATGGTTTGCCTCATAACTACCCTATAGGTAGGTTTATCATTACCCTATTCTACAAATATTAATAGTGAGGCTCAATAAGATTAACTAATTTGTTCTAAGTTATTCAGCTGAGGTCTGAATAGCAGGGTTGAATTCAAATCCACTGACTATAGAAACCACACGCAGTATCTGACTATAGAAACTACTACAAGCCGGGCGCTGTGGCTCATGCCTGTAATCCCGGCACTTTAGGAGGCCGAAGCGGGTGGATCACATACGCTCAGGAGTTCGAGATCAGCCTGGGCAACATGATGAAACCCTGTCTCTACAAAAAAATACAAAAACTAGCCAGGCATAGTGATGTGTGCCTGTGGTCTCAGCTACCCAGAGGGCTGACATAGGAGGACAGCTTAAGCCCAGGAGGCAGGGAGGGATTGCAGTGAGCAGAGATCACACCACTGCACTCCCACCTGGGTAATAGAGCGAGACTCTGTCTCAAAAAACAAGAAAAGAAAAGGAAGTACTACTGTGTACGCTATTAAATACAGTATACAGCAAATCATAGGGCCTCAGTAAGTGATGTATATACTTGTGCCTAACCCAGTGACTGGCATATAGGCAATAAACAATTACAAAAGCACCACCAATGATCGAAGCTAATGTTCATTGAGCAATTACTATGTGCCAGTCATGATGTTAAATGCTTCACAGTTTATTGCTGTTAGTCCTCATATTACCCTTATGAGGTAGGTACAATTTTTATCCTCAGTTTACAGGTGGGGACATTGAAGGGTAGAGAAATTAAGAAAGTGTTCAAGGTTGCACTATCAGTGAATGACCCAGCCATAGTTCAAACCCAAACAGTGTCATTTAAAAGCCCATGTTTTTGATTACCATACAATATTGTCTCCTACAAGAAATGTTATGAGCGAATTTGTTTTCATTGATTCACCCCACAAATATTGTCTGAGTACATACCATAGGTCATGTGTTTGCCAAGTGCTATAGATATAATACAGAATAAAAAAAAAGATAGACCTTTCCTCCATGGAAATTACAGTGTGGAGAAAGTACCAATAAAAACAAAAGCTACGAAGACCATGTAGATACAGGGATGTTCAATCTTTTGGCTTCCCTGGGCCACATTGGAAGAAGAAGAATTGTCTTGGACTACACATAAACTACACTAACACTAACATTACTTGATGAGCTACTGAAAAAAAAAAAAAAGTCCATGCACAAATCTCGTAATGTTTTAAGAATGTTTATGAATTTTGTGTTGGGCTGCATTCAAAGCCATCCTGGGCCACATGTGGCCTGTGGGCTGCAGGTTGGACAAGTTGATGTAGAAAGATGGCGATATTAATAGAACACTCATATTTACATCCTACCCTTCCCAAAACTCCACTAAGAAGATGCTGAGATGGTAATGATGATGACTAATATTTATTGAATGTTCTCTGGGTGCCAGACGTTAATCTGGGCACTTTACATGTGTTGTCACTTTCCAACCTTATAACAATCCATTTTACAATTGAAGAATCTAAGGCAAAGAGAGGTTAAATAACTTGTCCAAAGTCACATAGTTAGTATGCGGCAAAGCAAGTGTAAGAATCTAAAGCTTGTGCTTTAATGCATCTCTTTCCACAGTAAAGGAGAAAAAAATACATAAATTCTCACAAACAGAGACATCAGGACAAGAGATGTCCTGAATGGGAAAGATAAACAGTTTTGAGGAAGGAGAAACAGGGCAGAGGGAGTAACTTCTTTAGCAGGGCAGAGAAAGCTGTGAATAAAAGCAGAGGGCTGAGAATAGACCTGCCTCTCCCCACCACAGAGAGTCAGAGAAACTCATAAGCTGGGGACATCTGATATCACAGAGTGTAGGAGGGGGACACAAGAGCAACCCTGGAGGCTAAGATGGAATTCAGTATTTATAACAGTCAGCACCTTCACCTACTCCCACACACAGAGTGCCAGAAACCAGGAACTGACCCTCCACCCCAAGGAGAGGTTGGCAGGGAGACTTACCAGCTTCCCGTATCTCCCTCCACATGGAGGCAGGACACGCTCTGGCCTTGCCCACCCTCCCACTAGCCTCTCCCACAGGGCAGTAAAGGTGAGTCTGGGAGAAAGAACCGGTCAGACTTAGTTCAGCTCCACCCTTTCCTCCTGGGAGTGAGTCTTTCCAAGACAGAGCATGTTTTTTTCTACCCCTCAGTGAGAACAGTCGTACCATGGGAGGAGTCCTGTCCCAGTTCAGCATTGCCCGTGATTGGCTGCCTAAGTTTCCCAGTTCTGGGGTTGAGTTTGCAGGCCCACTGGACTCTTAGACTAAACTGCATCCTCTACCTGACTCTTCAATTGTTTAATAAAAGTGGTTTCTTGGTCTTTCATCTGCCTTACCTCTTTTCCCACATTATTTCTCAATATGCCAAAGTTTGGGTTAATTTTTTAAAAAGGAGAGACAAAGGGAGGAAGAAAGAGAAAGACAGAGCCAGAAAGGGAGAAAAGAAAGAAAGAAAGAGAGAGAAAGAGAAAGAGAAAGGGAAAGGAAAGGAAGGGATTTGTGCTAAATGTCATCCTTGGAGAGATATGAGAAGATAATGCATCCATAAAACAACCTTAACATAACATCCTTGGAAAGATATGAGAAGATAATGTATCCATAAAACAAGAATTTATTAATCAGTGAGGAAAGAAGAGCTCTTAATAAATAAAGCTAGAGCACGCAAAGTAAAAATTTCTATGGAACTTTATCTTTCCATGAATATAAAGTTCATCCCAGTTTCCTTCCCACAAAGATAGCAAATAGAGATCAGGAAATAAAAATTATGGGCAAAAGCAAGACATGAGAGAAAGGATTAACCCAGAAAACCTAACAGTCAAATAACAGGAATAGAAGTTTCCGTTCCAGACAAACAGAAAACAGGTAAAGAAAAATACACACACACACACACACACACACACACACACATTTATACACATACATACAGGAGTAAAAGCTAGCAGCCTGTAGACTGAAAGAATATACAAGGAAGCCAGCATCAGAAGGAAAAATAGAGCTAAATTATCACAGAACTTTACAAATCATGAATAAATAAAAGATCTTAAAAAGATCTTAGAGGCCAAGCGTGGTGGCTCATGCCTGTAATCCCAGCACTTTGGGAGGCTGAGGTGGGTGGATCACGAGGTCAGGAGTTTGAGACCAACCTGACCAACATGGTGAAACCCCGTCTCTACTAAAAATACAAAAATTAGCCAGGTGTGATGGCACATGCCTGTAATCCCAGCTACTCAGGAGGCTGAGGCAAGAGAATTGCTTGAATCCAGGAGGTGGAGGTTGCAGTGAGCCAAGATTGCGCCACGGAACTCCAGCCTGGGCGACAGAGCAAGACTCTGTCGCAAAAAAAAAATAATAATAATAATTTAGAGGGAAAAAATGGTGGAGGAAATGCTAAAGTCAGACTTCTCAGCCTCAATATTGAAGAGGATCTTTACAAAGTATTATGAAACTATTACCAAGACACATTGCTCACTGAAAAGCGCAAGGTGCAGAACAATGCACTTAGTGTGCTACCAAGTGTGTTAAAAGAGAAAAAACAAAGAGAAGAGAAAACAAGGGAAGAGAGATGCTTGAGTGTGCGCAGACTATTCCCGGAAGTATATAAAAACTGGTAGAAATAATACATGGACATGTACTATTCGAAGTTTTTTGTCATGGATTGGGGGCCAGGCGCGGTGGCTCACGCCTGTAATCCCAGCACTTTGGGAGGCTGAGGCGGGCAGATCACGAGGTCAGGAGATTGAGACCATCCTGGCTAACATGGTGAAACCCCGTCTCTACTAAAAAAAAAAAAAAAATCACACACACAGAAAAATGGATGGGATAAAGATGGCATACAACCTTGGACTATGTCCACGATAAAACATCCAGGAGCCTGGCGCGGTGGCTCATGCCTGTTATACTAGCACCTTGGAAGGCCGAGGCGGGTGGATCGCTTCAGCTCAGGAGTTCAAAACCAGCCTGGGCAACATGGTGAAACCCTGTCTCTGCAAAAAAATACAAAAATTAGCCAGGCATGGTGGTGAGCACCTGTAGTCCCAGCTACTCAGAAGGCTGAGATGGGAGAATGACTTGAGCGTGGGAGGCAGAGGTTGCAGTGAGCCATAATTAAGCCACTGAACTCCAACCTGGTGACAGAGTGAGACCCTGTCTCAAAAAAAAAAAAATTAGGAAAAAATACATTATATAAAATTTGTGTATGTGATGATTACAACTACCATAGTGTCACTGATTGTAAGATGCACATTTTGTTCACACATCTCTGAAATTATGCTATGTATTAAAATCAACAGTGCGCTATCCATCTTATGACAGATCATATTGGCAGATCATATTGGCAGGAGTGTTTCTTATTTGGGGAACATAAAATAAAAGGTATCTTACCATTAATGGCATCTTACAGTTTGTGACGTTTGTGTATTCATTATCTATTGCTATGTAACAAATTATCCCACGACTTAAAGGATTAAAACACCATTAATTATTTACATTGTTTGTTGGTCAAGAATTCAGGCACAACTTAGACTCTGCCCTAGAATCAGTCACACGCTGCTATGGAGGTGTTACTTGGGGCTGGGGGTCATCCCAAGACTTGACTGGGGAAGAGTCTATTTCCCAGCTCACTGGTTGTTGGCAGGATTCAGTTCTTTCTGGTTTGTTGGATTGACAGCTTCAGTTCCTCACTGGCTGTTGGCCAGAAGTGACCATTGTTTCTTTGCTCCATGGCCTTCTGCAGAGGGCAGGTCACACACAGCAGATGGCTTTATGTAAATGAGTAAGTGAGGGAGCAAGAGAGGGCAAATAAGAGAAAAGTCACAGTTTTTTGTAACTTAATCTCTGAAGTGACACACCATTACTTTTGCCGTTATTCTATTCATTAGATATAAGTCACTAGGTTCAGCTCACACTTTTATTCCATGAGGGCATGAAAACCAGGAGGCAGAGGCCACTGAGAGCCCTTTTAGAAGCTGCTTACCATAATATGTAAAAATATATGTATATGGACAAAAAAATAAAGCATTTGGAAGTAAGCTTTGTCAAGTTGTTGGTGCTTTAAACCAAAACTGGCAAGTCAAGGAAAAGCTTATTTTTCATGCTGTTGCTTTCAGACAAATCTGCTAGTGTGATCCTTTGAAGGAGTGAGATAAATCCCAGGGACCTGGAAGTCTTTGTCCAGAGTGAGGCCACACTTCCCACGCTGACATAAAGTCAGAAGGAGCAGTTGCAACCTCGGATCTGTAGGTGACCTTGGGCAGCCATGGGGAAGACAGGCAACTGGCGAGCCACAAAGGCCTCCCTGCCAATAACAGCTCCCCCAAGCCATCGTGTAAATCATGCTTGGAGGTGAAGGCAATGAACATTCCAAATCTTCACAGCTTCAAACCTCTTGATTTTCTGCCACATCTATTTTGCCAATTCCTGACCCCGAATCAAGCCAACCATCCATTTTCTTTGTTTCTGCTCCTGGATTGTCAAACATTGCTGGAGGAAATTCTAAAACCATGCTCATTCATTCTGCTACAAATCCAGGCTTCACAGCCTGGGCAAGACACCATGTGACTCATGCCCAGTGAACTCCCTTTCTTATCCCCTGCAACAGCAAGGAAATGATTGCATGTGTGTGTCTTCATAGATAGGTAGGTAGATAGGTAGATAGATAGATAGACAGATAGATAATAGAATGATAGGTGAATAGATTAATTTATAATACAGACACATAGAATATATAGTATATGTTGTTTGTAATATTCATAAATGTATATATGGTACATATTGATATAGATTTCTAGATATATAGAAATATAAAATCAGATAGTGATAAGTGCTCTAGAAATGCAGATACACTGTTCAAACTCACCACATTCCTTCACAAAGAAGACTTCTTCATAAATGCTATTGCCCTGTTAAGAAGGCTCTTACAGGCACTCTTTTGCCTGAACTATCCTTTCTCATTGGTAACATCTTGATTCAAATATTCTTTCACTCCAAAGGCCTTCCTTGACCACCCATCCCAACATATTAAGGTGCCCCAGGGCATTGTTTTAAACTCACATGGAGCATTCTGGGATATTTTAAATTTTCAAGGGAAACACAACGATGGCTGGCATCTGCTGAACACTGGGAGAATTCCTAGTCAGAGGTACTTAACAGTTTCCACATGAAGTCACTACATTCCCTTTGATGGTGTCATATTTTGGTGAAGTTGGCTTTGGGGTGGCAGATGTGATCTAAGAAGCAAGTACCACATGAATTCAACGTGAAAAAAGAAACGAGGGTGGCAACGTCCAATCTGCTTCCAAGGTTCGAGAAGCTGTGCAGCGCCCAACAGGCATGCACGTGTTACTAGGAAGTAACCATGGTCTTTAAGAATAAAATATGTTTTCATTCTACAGTATGCCCTGTGTATCTTTTTAAGCAGCTACTAAGTTGTTAGGACATGAAAATTTATTAAAATATCAGGACTTAACTACTTAATAAATGGAACTCTTAGGTATTTATTTTGCCATGGGGCACTCTAAAAGAATTGCTAAAACACGAAGGCCTCTGTGAACCCCAAAAGTTTAGAATCTCTGCTCTAGACTCTTATCACCAGTACAATCTACCCTTGTAATGCTCTTTACCTTCCCTCACTAAACAATCATTGTACTTTGTTGCAGTTGCTTAAGTAACAAAGTGTTTGGAGCTGTCAGCTGCTAGTGTAGATCACACCTCTCTCTTTCTTTCTCTCTCTCTCTCTCTCTCTCACACACACACACACACACACACACACACACACACACAATTAGGGAATGGACTGAAAGAAGTGATAAAGGACACATGAATGGGAATGAAATAATGTCTGTGCACCATCCACTTCACCAGATCCCTTGAAGCTCCAGAATATGGAGTGAAGACATTAGAGACAAGCCATGACAGCTGCTGTGAAACTCTGGACAATAGAAGAGAAACTTGATGAGTGCAGGAGACAAGGCATAACACAAAGTATACAGGAAGCCCTAACCTGAGTCGCACCCTTGCATGTGACATTGATCATCTCGTGAGCACTGGTTTTTCGGGCAATGGGAATAGAACAAAGGGAAGCTGGAGGCAGAGAGTATGGGTGGAACATATGCAATGTGGTGAATGCAGGAGAGAGATTTGTTTCTGGGCCCATCCCCTTGGAGATATTTCCTAAGTATCTAGGACACTGCATGGATGAGAGTTGAGGCCCTGCCACTCACAAATGAGAACAGTTTGGATCACTTGTAAGCTGTATGAGGACCAGGACCAGGTTGGACCTCTTTGCTGCTATCTCTATACCCTAGGACAGGGCTCACCCCATAGTAAATGCTTATGTATTTGTTCTTGTCTATGTGGGTTTCTTTGTTTGCTTCTAACAGTCTTGAAAAAAAAAAAAAAAAAAAAAAAAGGCACAGATATTTCCAACCTACCAAACTCCATATATCCTAAAACAAACTCATTGTCTTGGAATGTCCTTTAACTCTCCCATGTCCTTTGATATCTCATATCCAATCTTCCATGGTTTCCATCTCCAACATTTCTCTTGAATACTGCCTTATTCAGGTCTTCATTTCCTCTTGCCTCAAGCCCTTCCTCCATTCTAACCCATCCTACACACTGCTTTCTGATACTCAGTTTCTCACTCCCCTGCTCAGAAACCTCCCATGGTTTCCTATTGCTTGTCTAATAAAGACCAAATTCCCTGGTAAATCTTGTGAAGGTCTTCACGTTCCAGTCCCTTACAACTTCAGTTTCTTCAATTTCCCTCACCCTTCACTGACTACCACCTGCCCTAATGTTTGTATGTCTGTATTGCTATTCATGCCATTTCCTCTCTTTCATGCTAGCTTATAAGTTCCTTGGCTCTTCAGGCATGGGCATGTTCTTTTTTTTTTTTTTTTTTTTTTCTTTTGACAGAATCTCATTTTGTGGCCCAGGCTAGAGTGCAGTGATGTCATCTCACTCACTGCAACCTCTGCCTCCTGGGTTCAAGCAATTCTTCTGCCTCAGCCTCCCAAGTAGCTGGGATTACAGGCGCCCACCACCATGCCTGGCTAATTTTCATATTTTTAGTAGAGACGGGATTTCACCATGCTGGCCAGGCTGGTCTCAAACTCCTGACCTCAGGTGATCCTCCTGTCTCAGCCTCCCAAAGTGCTAGGATTACAGACATGAGCCACCGTGCCTGGCCATGTTCTTTATCTTTATATATCCTGTGCCCTTGTCCCTAATACAATTCCTTATTTTGTGGAGGAAACTTCATCTGCCTGCAAGCCATGGGAAGGACGTCAGTTAGAGCTAGACTGCAGGACTCTCCCTGCCTTCCTCAATGACTCTGCCCAGAGAAGAAGAGGTGACTTATCTGATTCATGAGTTTGGCGAAAGGATTTGAGTTTGCTTAACTTAGCACCCCCCCCAATCTCTCTTTGAAAATCCAGCCACCTATAGGAAACCTGCTTTCTCAGTATATCCTCATTTGTTCTTGGCCATCCAGAAAGAACAAATGAGGATATACTGAGATGTCCCTAATTGGGACAGGATTATTCCTGCATGAAAGGCCTCCAGTTTGGGGGACTGATATAAATTTGACTCAGGGTAGTGCATGCAAGCCTCTTGGCTAGATCTAAGCTATGCCCTATGATATAGAGCTTTATGAGTAACAAAAGGGATATTTTTATCTACATCTGTTTGATTCTTATGTCTATTTTTCAACACATTCCAATTGAGGCAGGTTGGGAGGATGCTGTTTTTTAGGTCATCTCAAACCTAACATCTCATACATATTACGCATATGCTATAGGTGTCTCAATTTAACTGACTTGAATTCTATCCCAGAGGCATATTTTCCATTTTCTCATCCTGAGTAAGATTGAGCAAACAAAGCCTTACTTTATAACTTTATAAATAGTATAACAGTAACATGGCATCTTTCAACTCAGGAAATTGAAACATTTAAGGCTTGAGAAACATCATTTATTTCACAAACAGCATGAGGTTGGGAAAAGCCAAAAATGGATTTTCCATGTCAAATTTCTCTTCATCTGTAACCCTTCCCTTCTCACGGAAATTTATAGGTTTCTGGCTTCCTTTCTCTTTGGTCATTAAATTTAATTTCCCAGGACTTGTGTTTTTGTTTGGGGTTTGTTTACTTTTTCTAGTTCCTGTTCTAAACTTGGAGAATTTTCCCCATTTTTGATTTTATAGATCTTCTCCTCTCATTTTAATCTGTCACTTTTCTAACCTATTCTTTTCTTCTACCTCTCCTCTCCTCTTTTACTTCTTAATAAATTCCATAGATGACCAGGCCTCCTGATTCTCTAAATGCTATTTTAAGCCTTTGTATTTCTTTTGTCATCCTCTCAAAATACAGGCAAACCTACCTTTTTCCATCCTTCCCTCCAGCCTTGAATTATATGCCTGTCTTCCTCTTTTCTATCCCCCATAGTACCTAGCATATCCACTTTTCTCCATTCCTCTTACATCCTTTCTATCTCTTTTTCTCCACTGATTCCTTACCCCCTACCTTTAAACATAGCCAAATGTATGAGTCCATTATCATGTTGCTTTAAGGACATACCTGAGATTGAAAAAGGTTTAATTGGCTCACAATTCAGTATGGCTGGGGAGCCCTCAGGAAACTTACAATCATGGCGGAAGGGGAAGCAAACACATCCTTCTTCACATGGCCAAGCAAAAGGGGGAAAATCCCCTTATAAAAACTTCAGATCTCATGACAACTCACTATCACAAGAACAGCATGGAGGTAACCGCCCCCATGATTCAATTATCTCCACCTAGTCCCTCCCACAACATGTGGGGATTATGGGAACTACAATTCAAGATGAAATTTGGGTGGGGACACAGCCAAATCATATCACCAGGTTTCCCTGCTTTGAAAAAAAAACTCTCATTTCTCACTTTATTTGCAGTCCCCTCCCACCTCTAGCTATCTTACCCTTTCACTCACCTTCTTTTCACTCTCAGAAAACTAAAAACATCGCCCCATATGTTCTACCTGTGTTTCCACACTGTTGGATTGCTCCATAGCTCCCTGACCTTCTGCTTTCAGCCTAATCACTCAACTGAAATAATTGCTGTTAGAGTTCAAGAACAATTTCTTCATTGTCACTTCTCAGTCTTTCTTCAGTCCTCATTTGTCTTGACATCTTTGCTACATGTGACATTGTTGATCACATTCTGACCTTAGCCTCATGTTCTTTCTTTTAAAACTGTGGTTCAATCCTAAGTCTTGGTGAACTCTGTGGCAGGCACTTTCAGTTGCCATTCTCACCATCTATCAACAACTGATCAGCCCCAATCATGGGAAACTCTCCCCCTTTGGCAGCGATTGATGTAAGGGCAGGCACATGGCCCATTTCTGATCAATGGTAAAAGGAAGACCTCCAAGAGGGTCTTGGGAAATATTTGACTCCCTATAAAAGGCACATAATGAGAAAAAACATTTCTTCCTTCCCTTCCCTTTCTTCTTGGGATATTCCCACATTAAAAACATAAAGCATTGAGCTGCATCATCCTGCCACCATGAGAAAAGGTCAAGAAGAATACAGAAGCCAGTGCTGTGTCCTGACATCTGGAACTGCCAAGTCAATATTACAACTACACACATACTGGAATGGCAACAGGTATAGATATAAGTAGGGAACTATTGGCTATGTTTGTATTATTTGCAACCAAATACATTGAAGCATTCCTCTGAAACTTTCTGCCTCATCCATTTTCACAGAATATATTGTGAGGTCTATGCTGACCTTATGAAAATCTTTATTTGCAAACTTCCCCACCCCCTAGACTCTCAGGGCACCAGATGTTTCCACCTGGATTTCATACCATCAGCTTAATGCAACATATGCAAATCCAACTCATCAGTTTTCGCCTAACATCAAGAAGCCTTTTGTCATTTTCATTAGGATGAAGAACTCCGCTGAGCTTTGTTAGAAGGACATGAGTTCCAAGAGCTCCAAAGTAGGGGGTATAGTACAGATAGGTGAGACAGACAGAATTTCAGATTTGTCTTAACATGGCTTAGCTCTGCCTGGGTGTTCTGGCCATTTCACCATGGCATGGATGAGACACAGAGTACATGGTAAGACATGGCCAATGATAAAGCCAAAGTAGAAGCAGTTGTCAGATCATGAAAGATGCCTTCTGAAAGAGCTTGGCCTTAATAGTGTAGATGGTGTAAGACTCTCAGCTGTGGAACAGGATGATCAGATTTGTGTTTTGCAAAAATAGCTTCAGCAACATTATGAAGGATGGATCAGAATGTTCAAGACTGAGATTAGTAAAGCAAAATAAAAATTCTCTAGTCAGAAAATCATGAGGTCCTGAACAAAGACTCTGAAAGTGGCAATGGAGGGGAAAGGATATATTCGAAAAATAATTAGGAGAGAATTCATAAGATTGAGTATGGAAATTGAGGGAAACAGAAAAGTATAAAAATGAGAACGTAGGTTGACCAAGTAGTTAACGGCATAATTGTATAAAAGGGAAGACTGTAATTATTGTGGGTCAATATACTGGAGTTCAGTTTAGCACATGTTCAAATTAGTTGCCCATGTAACATACAGGTGGAAATATCTAGTAGCCAGGGAAATACATGTTTCCAAAACTCAGAAGAAAGATTTGGAAACCCAGGTTTGGGAGTGTGAAAGATACTGGGATGTACATGCTCAATACCCATCCCAAACCCCTTCTTGCATGATTTCCTCTCCTGCAGAGGCTACAATGTTAAAAAAAAAAAAAAAAAATACGTTTCTCAGTTTCCCTAGTAACTAGATGTAGCCATGTGACTATGTTCTGTTCATTAATGTTAAGTAGGAATGCTGTGTGGGACTTTTAAGAAAACTACTTTAACTAGTGTAACTCAAATGGGAGGTAGACTTTTTGCCCTCTCATTCTTCCTTTTTTCTTCTGCTGAGGTCAAGAATGTGATAGCTGGAGCTCCAGCAGCCATTTTGGCCATGATGTGACCTTGAAGATGGAAGCCATATAGCAGGAAAATAGAGCAGAAAGATAAGAGGACCCTTGATTCCTAATTACTGTGGAGCCTCCGTACCAACCCTGGACTGAGCACCCCCAGACTTGTTTTACATTTCGGTTTTATGTTTTATCCCCCAAAGTACAATCCTAAATGATACATTAAATCACTATCAGTTTATAGGTAATCCCCACAGAGGATGAGAGGTCACGTTAGAGCCATGGAAGTGGAAGAGATCTTCCAGAAATAATCTATACGATGGGGAGGAAAATAAGCACTGATTTCTAGAGAACCTCAATGCAAAAAGCAGAGGGAGAGAAGTCAGCCAATGAGACTTGGAAGGAAGAGAGAGAAAGTTAAAACGATGTGTCAGACCTAGAGATGGCCTGCTCAGATTCCTAGCTACAAGAAGTGTGAGGTGAGAAAGGACTCACTGCCTAGCTGAAAGGAGTGGGATTGGTTAACAGCTCCATCACGGTCTACCTCCATTTTAAGGTCATACTCTTCTTGGGCTAGCTCCTGGCCAATCACTGAGTAACACAGTAAGTGAAGATCACTTCTCAGTGCAGCTCTGCCAATGATTGAACAATGCATGACACAAAACTTCTACCCATAACAGGACTTCTCTAACAGGCCCTCTTTGTTCCAGAGCTCTCTATTGGGCTGATAGACACCATCAGACCTGCATCACCATCTATCTGATCTTAGTTCCTTCTGCCCAACTAATCTTTTGACGACCTAACTCTGTTTCAGCATCTCCTTGCCAGAAAACCCAGCTGGATATTAAGAGGCTGTACAAGTTAACATGTATTATTTGATTTGATTAAATATGTATAAAATCATTTACTTTCAAAGTGAAGAGGTAGGTTAATGATTTCTTCAACTTACCAAAACTGCCAAACACAGATGTTCTTACTCAAAGCAGTTCACTTTCCAATTCATGTGCTCAGTCCTCTCTGGTTTTTTATCTCTCTTAACCCAGAATAAAACCATATTCCATCAACAGTCCTTCCAAAATGTCCATTTCTGTTGTCTTACTTTCCATTTAAGTTTTATCTTGCAATCAAATATGTAGGAAAAATGAGTAAGAATGAATTAATAACATCACAAGTAAAGGAATGCATTCGAGGCCCTTTGCGTGCATCATTACCGAATACTGTCCAGATTCAGCTATATTATGGTATAAATCACAATCATTCAACACATAACTCCATATGGTAAAAGCTCAATATAACAAGATTAATTTCTAAGGCAGGTATTAAATATGTTCCCAGAACATAATGGCCAAGAGTATTGTCAATAGAATTCATTGAAAAGGTCCTTGTTTCTGAGAATCCAACCATTTATTTCACAAAGGTTCATTTTCTCTTCCTTCCTTTTATGTCAATCATCACTTAGCACAAATTAATCTCCCAAACAAAGTATGAATACCTGCAAATATGTTGGCATTTCCTTCTTATAAGAAAAGCAACAAAGCAGATAAAAATCTGCTTTCCTCAATTTCAGAGAGCCACTATTATTGGTGTACTATTGAAAACCTCTGATGTTCTCTTTGGAGGTCAGCAAACTACCACCCATAAGCTAAATCTGACCTCTCATCTGTTTTTTAAATAAAGTTTTATTGGCACACATTCCTGCCCATTAGTTTAAATACTCTCTATGGCTGCTTTTGTAGTACAAGAGCAGAGTTGAGTCACTGCAACAGAAACCATTTGGCCTACAAAACCTAGAATATTTACTATCTGCCCCCTAACAGAAAAGATTTGCCAACCCCTGTTCTAGTTTAAAAATTATCATGTACTTTTATATTTCAGGTATTTATCCACTCATTTCACTGACATTTTAACATGTTAACCTCAGAGTTAACAGATGTCAATCTGAAATCAGATAACTCTTTTTAAAGATCATAATACATGACCTTTTTCTTTGATTAATAGGTGGTTATTATTTTTAATTAATCTATTTTTTAAATTATCTTCTGCCCAGATGACATTTGTGTTTTTTCTCGGATGACATTAGAATCTTGACTCCAACACTTGATATTCGGCCATGTTTTAAGATAGAGGTTTAAACTTCAGGTTTTGGAATAAATAAATAAATAAATAAATAAATTTTAAAAAAAGCTAGTCCCCAGAAGAGACTGGAAATAAAATATCTACTGCTTTAAGAGAAATAAAAAGATGAGTATGCCCTAATTCCAATGTTTTTCTGTCTTTCCTTTTGAAAAGATTGCCTCTCTAAATAAAAGAAAGATGACAGCCTTTTAAAATGCCTTTTATCCTCAGATCTTTTGACGTCACAGACCTTCCTATTTTAATGGAGCAGCACCTTCTAAGAATTCATCAATGAATCGTAACACAAAAAGGAAGGGGAAGAGGAGGTCCGGAGTGCAGGAAGATTCCAAACTGCTGTCCTAAATGGCAAGTGTTATGCAGACCACAAGTTTGCTCAATTCAGAGATGCCCAGAAGGCTAAGCGTGGATTTCTGGTTATCAGCTTCCGTGTGTCAGCTTTCGGCTGGGAGGTCTGTAGCTTACCCATAGAACATAAATTAACTTAGGTTTCTGTGTGATGACTTTGCCCTCCTCCTGAGGCTCTTTATTTTCTCTTACTGTTTCCTTCTCTGTAGTGCACACAACTACTTGGAGTTTGTGAACCATGGGTTCAATCATAACTTCAAGATGATCAAATCAGCATTTTTGAATGTAGTCTCTCAGTTTTCATATGCCAAGTACATTTTTACTTTCCTTTTATTTCTAAAGTAGTGTAAAGATCTTTGCATAAAAATCATAAAATACTAGTAAGTAAAAAAAAGGAAAAAGAAAATTCAGATTATTCATAAATCCCACCACCCAAAGAAACCAATGTAAAATGTTGCTATATATTTATTTATGCATGCAATGGGTTGAGTGGTACTCATCCCTCACCTCACCTTCCAAAAGATACATCCACCCAAAACTTGTAAATGTAACCTTATTTGGGAAAAGGGTCTTTGCAAAGACAAATGTAATTATGTTAAGGATCTCAAAATGAGACAAGTCTGGATTATCTTGTAGGCCCTATATGTAATGGCAAGTGTTCTGATTTCAGACTCCTGGCATCCAGAATTACGGAAGAGCACGTGTCTGTTGCTTGTGGCAACTTTATAGCAATTTGTTACAGTAGCCTGAGGAAGCTAATATATTTATTCAGTAAATATTTATTGAACGATTGTAACTCAGATATTATACCAAGGAGCTGGTGTATAACACACCAAACAGGCTGGGCGTGGTGGCTCACACCTGTAATCCCAGCACTTTGGAAGGCTGAGGCATGTGAATCACAAGGTCAGGAGATTGTGACCATCCTGGCTAACATGGTGAAAACCCATTGCTACTAAAAAAAAAAAAAAAAAAAAAGCTAAGCATGGTGGCAGGCGCCTGTAGTCCCAGCTACTCGGGAGTCTGAGGCAGGAGAATGGCATGAACCTGGGAGGCGGAGCTTGCAGTGAACCGAGATCACACCATTGCACTCCAGCCTGAACAACAGAGTGAGACTCCATCTCAAAAAAAAAAAAAAAAAAGAAAGACACCAAACTTCTCAAAGTTTTAATCTATGCATACATAGAAATATATATATAAGTATGTTTTTAATGGGTAATGATATGATTGTTATTAACACACCTTTTCCATCTAGTGATATAAACATCTTTTTATGAAAATAAATAAATACAGCTTAATCTTATAGATAAACCATTATTTTGCTCAGTTTTCAATTTTCAAACATTACACTTATTTCCATTTTTTTCTATACTGTAATAACCATTTTTTATCTAAATATTTACATACAACTTTAATGATTTCCTCAAATTTTTATAAATGGAATTCAGAAGTCAAAGTCTGTACCAGTTACGAATTTGTTGCCTCTCAGTTCCAAACCTACCTTTCTCTGTTGGGCTTTATGAAACTGGAGCTGGACCCTCTAGACATTCCTCCTTTACCAGTTGTCACAATAATAGGCTTTGTCAATAGAGGGCGCTGGAGGAACTCTGCAAGGCAGTAGTGGCAGGAAGACACTTCTCTGGGTCCCAGTCCTCAATTTTACTTCAGCATGGGAGCCCTGCAGCCTTCACCAACTAGCTCCAACCACACTATCAAGTCGCACTCCCCACCACCACCACTCTGTGGTTGTTTCCACAGTAGCTCTGACCATGGCCTCAGGCATCGGTAGCCCCTCCCATGGGCTCTTTGACAGATCAACATGGCCTGCTATCCAGAAAGTTTCTTCACCAACAGTGGCTGTTTTTTTCCAGTGGTAAACATGCTCTCTATAACGAGGTCTAAACTTCAGCCTTGGCTTAAGGGTAGGGGAACCCTCCTAGTCCTTAGATCCACTTTTCCTCAGCTTAGATGTAGCAGCTTCTTTTTTTAATTTTTGCAGCTGCTACTTCTAGATCCCTTTTACAGGTAGGTGTCTTATCACTTTTACTAGTTAATAATTCTTTTTATTAAATTTTTCCTTTTCAAATAATTGGTATGCTTTTCATCTCCTAACTGGATCCTGACTGATATAAAGTCTGTAGGCATTTACATTACCAAATTAACCTCCAGAACAGTTTCTTCAATTTACAATTCCTTCCCCAAGTCCTAGTCAATTCTGGATATTTTGTTGTTGTTTTTTTTTTTTTTTGCAATGAAAATGTGATAAGAAACAAATGATCTATTGTCAATTGTTTTAATTTGCATTTATCTGATTACTATTAAGGTAGAGGCAAAGCTACCTGAGTATATGTAGCATTGGAAGGAGTCATATCAAACCAACAATGGTTACCTGTGGGGAAGAAAATCAGATAGGGAAGAGGAAGAAGGAAGGGAGACTTTCACTTATTACTATAAAATTTTGTCTATTGTCCAAATATTTTAAAAAGAGAGAATATTCATATATTATTTGTAGAATTAAAAATAAATACATCATGAAGATATGGTGCTACTGAGTCCTCTGTCTGCCTAGATTCTACTGCTGCTAGTCAGAGTTACTGCCTTCCTTTGCAAAACTGAGCACTCAGCTTTGAAACTGGTTTGTCCAGACCTGATACCATGGGCTCCAGTTGTGTCCACTGACTTCTCCCTCTAAGGCTGCATCTAGAACATCAAAGGGAAGTGAGGGCTTAGCATATGTGCCTAGTTATGGCAACTATAGTTCCTGACTCTTCTGGGATAGATGACTTATGATTTTTAATACCCTGTTTCATGAGTTTGACCCTAAGTCCAGATTTCCAGTTCATAAAATATGGCCAGCATACATCTGTGAAAGAACAGAGGGAGAGTGTAGAAGCCATGGGGTCCATTTGCCTTTTCCTAGTTATCAAGTGAACACTGTGGAAGGTTGTGAAATGTAGGACTTAGTCTAACGCAGAGAAAGGAAGAGAGCATGATTGGTTCACCACAGACTTAGGCTGTAGTCATGCATCTATTTCCAAAATGATTAATCATCTTTTACACCTTTCATCCTTGCTTCCAAATTTAAAAAACAAAAGCAGCACGAAGAGAGTTAAGATGATGTCATTGTATCTGTCCCCACTGTAACTTATAATTTTATGATTCTTCATTTGTCAGAACTAAAATATCATAAAAATATAAATATTTGAAATTCTCCTTCCAAGACAGAAGAGTCCTTTAATTACGCAGCCAGCTAATAGACCTCCATCAGGCTGAACTGCATTGGGAATGGAGAGGGAGACAGAAGCCATTAAGAATGGAGACTATTGCCCTATGTATGAAAGGACTGAAGTGGGATGAAATAAAGAGAAGAGAACAGGCATAGGTGGGGAGGAGTTTATGGGAATTGGGGTGAGAGGGTAAAAAGGAAAAGGAGATTACAAAGCCTGAACTTTGTGGAGAGAGACATGTATTGTGGATGTTTAGAAAGGAATACTAACAATTGTATACCTCCATAATGTAATTCTCCTTTTCCATTCCCTCAAAAATTACTGAGTGAAGACCTATGTTAATTTTCAAAGCTTTTTGGAGTCATTTCTATTTATTTTAGCTGTATTGACGTTCTGACACTGAACTTTGAGCCAGACCAAGATATTTATTTGTGTTACATTTGTTTAATGTTTGTCTCACCCACTAGCTGTGAATTCATACAGTGGATTAGGAGTTGCTAGAAAACAGTTATGATACTTTAAGACATGACATTCTAAAGACCCAAGAAGTCCCAGCTTCCCACCTTCTAAGAATAGCTGTACTGTCAAGGTAGTAAAAACTGAAACAGGGAAAACACATCTGTTGTTGTTCAGTCTGGCATGTAAAGCTCACATAATATATGCAAGAGTTCTGTTCAGATGAATTGCACAGTCTGAAAGCAGCCACGCATAAAATCTGTGAATTTCTTCCCCTTTTAAAATATAAACTCAGTTAATTTAAGTTGAAATTGCTCTTACACATATTCCTTGCCCTCTACCATGTATTTCCTTTAAAATAAAATAGAGCAAATTTCTTTGACTGCTGCTGCTTATTAACCTGCTTCACCTTAATGTCAAAGCCCAACGCTTTCTTTCAATGGTCTCTTTAAAAACCTAGAATAGTCCAGGATATGAGGTCACAAAATGAATCAAGTCAGATTTTTAATAAATATTGTAAATATGAAAAGTAAAGAGAATGAGTCATAACGTGATAGAGAATAATGTGACCAACATCCATATAGCACTACCCAACTTTGTCAAATTTTAACATTTTGTAATATATGCTTCAGATCTTTTTTCTAAGAAATCATTTCAGTTACTGCTGAAGCCCCATGTATAATCTTCAACAAGCACTTTTTTCTCACTTTAATTCCATATGTAATCACTGTGCTGAATTTGGTGTTTGCTAAGAACTGAATATCTGTGTTCTCCTCAAATTCATATGTTAAATCCCCAATTTGATGGTATTAAGGGGTGGGGTCTTTGGGAGGTGTCTCAGTATTTTAGTGTTGCTATAAAGAAATACTTGAGGCTGGGTGGTTTATAAAGAAAAGAAGTTTATTTGGCTCACAGTTCTGCAGACTATACAAGAAGTATGGCACCAACATCTGCTTCTGGTGAGGGCTTCAGGTTGCTTCCACTCATGGCAGAAGGTGAAAAGGAGCCAGTGTGTACAGAGATTACATGGCCATAGAGAGGAAGCAAAAGAGAGAGGGGAGGGAGATGCCAGGCTCTTTTTTAACAACCAGCTCTCCCGGAAACTAATAGAATGAGAACAGTCTTCCTTACCCTCCCAGACATTAATATATTCATGAAGGATATGCTCCCATTACACAAACACCTCCCATTAGGCCCCACTTCCAACAATGGGGATAAAATTTCAACACAAGATTTGGAGGGGTCAAACATCCAAATCATATCAAGGGGTAATTAGAGTATGAGGATGGGGCCCTCATAAATGGGATTAGTGCCCTTATTAGGGGATGAAAGGACCAATGCTCACTCTTTCTTCAGTGTGTGAGGATACAATGAAAAAAGGGCTATCTGCAAACCAGGAAGAGTGTCCCCATCAGACACTGGATCTGCCAGCACCTTGATGTTGGAATTACCAGTCTCCAGTACTGTGAAAAATAAATTTCTTTTATTTAAGCCACCCAATCTATGGTATATTTGTTATAGCAGCAGACTGACTAAGACAGTATTCATTATTCTCATGCATGTTTTTATAATTTTACCAATTTTTTGTTTGTTTCTTTTTCAGAGACAGGGTCTCCAGGCACTGGAGTGCAGTTGCATGATCATAGCTCACTATAACTTCAAACTCCTGGGCTCAAGATATCCTCCTGCCTCAACCTCCCATGTAGCTAGGACTACAGATGAACACCATTGCACCTGACTAATTTTTAAAATTTTTTGTAGAGAGGGGTCCTATTATGTTGCCCAGGCTGGTCTCAAACTCCTGGCCTCAAGTGATCCTCTCTCCTTGGCCTCCCATAGTGCTGGAGTAATAGGTGTAAGCCACTGTGCCTGGCCTAGTTTGCCAGTTTTGAAGGTTATCTAAATAGTATCATACTGCTACACACACACACACACACACACACCCCATATTCATGTTTTCTTACAACTTAAAGATGTATCTTTGCTGAGAAAATACAGTTGTACTTCCTTCATTTTAACTGCTCATTACATAATAATACCACAATTTATTAACATATTTCCCTATAGATGGATGTTTACTTTTTTGTGCAATTATTTGCTATTATGAGCCAGGCTACAGGCAAAATTCTTTTGGATGGAGGTATGCAACCTTTGTTTTTTATTTTATTTTATTTTGTTTTAACATAATTGAACAATAGGGCCAATAAAGTTGCCCTTTTTTTAATGTACAGTTCTGTCAGTTTTAACACATGGATGGATTCACATGACCACCATCATGATAAGGATATAGAATAGTTCCATCACCCAAAACAACTTCCTAATGCTGTACCTTTGTAGTCATACCTTCATCACGGTCCCTAATGCCTGGCAGCCAATGATCTATTCTCTGTCACCATAGCTTTTCCATTTCTAGGCTATCATATAAATGTAATCATACAATATGTAACCTTTTGAGACTGGATTCTATCACTCAGCATAATGCCTTTGAGATGCATCAATGCTGTCATGTATACCCATATTTTGTTCTTTGTTGTTTCTAAGTAGTATTCCATTGTATGATGTACAACAGTTTATCTATTTGCCCACTGAAGGACATATGCACTACTTAATGTTGGCAATTATTAATAAAGCTGCTATAAAACTTTCATAAGTAGGTTTTTATGCACACATAAGTTTTCAATTCATTTGAGTAAATACCTAGCAGTGGATTACTGGGTCATGTGGTAAGTACATGTTTATGTTTTCAGATGTTTGGAGATTTACCAGATATCTCTCTGTCATTTATTTCCAGTCTATTTCTATTATGAGCAGAGAGCACAGTTTGTAAGATTTGATTATATTAAATTTAAATGCTTGTTTTATAATGGAGGATATAGTCCATCTTGGTAAATGTCATGTACACTTAAAAATAATGTGTATTAGGCTGCTTTTGAGTGAAGTGTCCTATGAATGTTAAATTAGATTTAGTTGGCCAATAGTATTTTTCAGTTCTTCTATATCCTTGCTGATATTCTGTCTACTTGCTCTGTGAGTGGCAGAAAAAGAAACACTAAAGTCTTTAGCTATAACTGTTGAATTTTCCCATTTATCCTTTCAGTTTTATCAGTTTTACTTCATGTACTTTGAAGCTGTATTGTTAGAGGCATACACATTTAGAATTATTATGACTTCTTGGTATATTGTCTTTTTGATTGCTACTTTGAGTAATACTAATATAATTATGCCAGATTCTTTTTAATTAGTGTTTGCCTGATATGTCATTTTCTATCCTTTTAAGTTACCAGTGGTCATATATACACCGGGTTTCTTGTAGGCAGCATAACATTGAGTTGTTTTTTAATTCATTCTGAAAATCTCTGTCTTTTAATTGGTGTGTCTAGGCCATTTATATTTAATATAATTATCAGTATGTTTGCATTTAGGGCTACCATTTTATAATTTGTTTTCTGTTTATTTCCTATATTTTTGTTCTTCTTTCCCCTTTTCTGCTTTCTTTTGTATGATTTGGGTAATTTTAGTGTTTCATTTTAATATATTTATTATTTTTATTATGTCTCTCAGTATAGTTTTTAATTTTATTATATCTCTTAGTACAGTATAGTATTATAATCTAGGAATTATAACATATATACTTAATGTTTCTCAGCTATTTGGAATTAATATTTTACCACTTCAAGTGGAATGCAGAGTTCTTACCAACAAACAAGTCCCTTTACCCTCTTCCCTTCGTATTGTAGTGGTCATACGTATTACGTCTCTGTATACTGAATCTCTATCAGATAATGCTATAATTTTTGTCTTCAATTATTAGGTATATTTTGTAAAACTTAAGATGAGAAAAAATAATCTGTTATATCTACCAATATTTTCACCATTTCTGTTGCCCTTCCTTCATTCCTGATGTTCCAGGTTTCCCTCTGGTGGCAGTTGCCTTCCATCTGAAATCTTTCTTTAGCATTTTTGTTAGAGCAGGTCTGCTGGTGATTGTTTCTTTTAGTTTTCTTTCATCTAAGAATGTCTTTACCTCATTTTCACTCCTGAAGGAACTCAATGCTGGAAGAGAACTTTGAAATTGTCTACCACAAAATAGTTATTTACACGTGAGGCAAAGGAAGCCCAGAGACATTAATTAATTTGTCCCATGCCACCAAACTAGTTAATGACTGAGCCAAGATTACAGTGTAAGCTCCCTAACTCCCAATCCAGTGCTCTTACTCTTCCTACAAAATGCCTTGGTTTGCTTTCTCAAGTATTTGGTTTATACTGGAAATAAAGTTGTGTGAAAAGGTCTAGATTAATATATGCTTAGTAGAAAAAAAAGTAAAATTCTCATTCTTTAGAGCTGAAAAGGACATTAAAGATCATTCACTTCAGCGTTTCATGTTTCAAATGAGGCAACTGAGATCCAGGGAAGGTAGTTCAGTTTCCCAGGGGAAATTTACCAATAAGTACAGCCATGACTTTTTATAGCAAGATCACACTACATACCCATCATTTGTAAAGAACAGGCACTTATTTGTTTATTTGTGTTCCCCAGTAGCAATGATGGGGAAACACGTACTCTCTGTCTCTCTCTCTTTAGCGCCTTAGAACCTTATGACACAAGTTGGATGGCCAATGTTAGACAATGGATCCTACCTAGCCTATTTGGAATCAAATCTGTGACTTTGCTCTCATTAGCACTGTCCTTTCAACCAGTGATTCCCAAACTTCAATGTGTGTCAGAATCTTATAAGCTGGTAAGAATCAGCTTATTGAAAATGTACATTCCTGGCCCCACCTCCAAAAAATACTAGAACTATGGTGTGGCCCTGGAATTTGCATTTTTATAAGCACATCAGGTACTTCTGATCCACAGGCTGCACTTTGAGAAATCTCTGGCTTATGCTGAGGCATTATGTGTTGGTCACGATTAGAAAATTTTGGACTTTCTACCTCAGAATAAGGTGTTGAGTGCAATACTAAATCAGTTTCAGTTTCTTAAGTTCACTCCATTCTAGGTCTTCCATTTATAGTAATTTCAATTGCATCTCTTGCTGATTACTGAGACAGCTAGCAGGTAAAGGTAACATTCCTCACATGCATCTATACTATAATAAAAACTGTGAGGGACATAGATGTCTACATTTAGTTATTTCTTTATGTGTCTCTTACTTATTGGTTTTTCAATAGGATCAAGGCAATTTCCATTGATGTTCTAAGTAAACATCTACTGGGGCCAGGCACAGTGGCTCATGTCTGTAATCCCAACACTTTGGGAGGCTGAAACAGGCAGATAGCTTGAGCTCAGGAGTTGGAAACCAGCCTGAGCAACATGGTGAAATCCCATCTCTACCAAAAAAAAAAAAATTAGCCAGGCCTGATGGCATGAGCCTGTAGTCCCAGCTACTCAGGAGGCTGACAGGTGGGAGGATCACTTGAGGTCAGGAGTTCAAGGCTGCCATGAGCCAGATCACACTCTGCCACCCTGCACACCAGCCTGGATGACAGAGAAAAACCCTGTCTAAAGAAAAAAAAAACCATAACGGATGTTTAACTTAACACTTATGTAGATGTTCTAACTTAACACTTATCTTGAGCTAGATTATATACATTTATGTTCTTATTTTAAGTGCTCTTTTCCAAACCACTTCCCACCTCCATGTATGAACACACATAAACCCACAAACATCATTTATTCTGCAGGAATTTGTTAATTCTCATTTGCATGCCTTGCTGTGTCTAAGATCCTATGAAGACAGGAAAATAAAAAAGAAAACATGTTACCCTTGAACTCATGGAGTTATAGTCTAGTATAGAAAACTGCCTACACAAACAAAAAACAACTAGTCAAGTTCTAAGCAACACGGGAACATGGGCAAGATAAAAATAGAGTCTAACCTTCACAGATAGAGGAACTTGGTGTTTAAATGTTGACTCTATTGTTTTCATGATTTAACTCCTGCAAGTAGAGAGCTTGATATTTAGCTAGACTGAAAGGAAACACAACTGCCCTTTGCATTTGCTCCTCTTAATGCATGCAATGGCACAGATTGCTAATCTGCTCTGTGTACTACCTCATACTTTTTTCCCATTGGCTTGTGAGTACAGGTATAGCTGGACTCTCTGATGATCACAAGACTCTTGAAGGCAGGAAGGAATTGTGTCATATATTTCTTTATGTCTCCTACAGGGTCCAAAGCTATGTCATCTTATTGTAAACAATAATTTAGCCCCTACTGTATACTAGGCCATATGCGAGATTCTACAGTTGTAGAGATGGCCAATATCTCTGCCTTCACTCAGCAAACATTTCTTGAGCATTTCTCAAATGATAGGCCCCATCCTCAGAGCTCTGTGTACATATATAAGTAGCATTCTCCCTCTACACTCAGGAGTAGTGCTCCAGTGAAGATGGCAGACATGTGTACTGTGTAAATTTGCAATGGCTGCTGTAACAAAGTGCCACAAGCTGGGTGGCTTAAGCAACAGAAATTTATTGTCTCACAGTTCTAGAATTATAAATCCAAGGTCAAGGTGTCAGTAGAGTTGGACTCTTCTGAGGGCTGTGAGGGACAAATTTGTTCCATGCCTCTTACCTAGCTTCTTGTGTTTGCTGGCAGTCTTTGGTATTCCTTGGCTTATAGAAGAATTGCCCAATCTGTCTTTTATCTTCATAGGGCATTCTCCCTGTATGCATGTCTCTGTGTCCCAATTTCTCCTTTTTATAAGGACACAAGTCATATTGCATTAAGGGTCCACTCTACACTAGTACGCTATCAGCTTAACTAATTATTTCTACAACAACCCTATTTCCAAATAAGGTAACGTCCTGAAGTATTGGAGGTTAGGATTTCAACAAGTGAATTTGAGAGCAGGATATAGTCAACCCATAACACATACTAAAAAGGAAACCCAACATGGCCAACGTTGTAATAGGGGAACATATGAGGAGCTGTGGGGGCACATGAGAGCACAAGGCACTGAGTTTAATGGGTATGAAGACAAGCATCAGAGAAAAATTGGACAAGTGGCCAAAGCTTGGGTGGACTAATGGGTGTTTTCCAGGTGGGGAAAGGAGAAAGAGCTTTCGGTTAAAGACACATCTGTGAGAGGTTGTGTGGGGAAAAGCAAGAGAGATCAGATTGTTACTGTGTCTGTGTAGAAAGAAGTAGACATAGGAGACTCCATTTTGTTATGTACTAAGAAAAATTCTTCTGCCTTGAGATTCTGTGACCTTACCCCCAACCCCGTGCTCTCTGAAACATGTGCTGTGTCAACTCAGAGTTGAATGGATTAAGGGCGGTGCAAGATGTGGTTTGTTAAACAGATGCTTGAAGGCAGCATGCTCCTTAAGAGTCATCACCACTTCCTAATCTCAAGTACCCAGGGACACAAAAACTGCGGAAGGCCGCAGGGACCTCTGCCTAGGAAAGCCAGGTATTGTCCAAGGTTTCTCCCCATGTGAGAGTCTGAAATATGGCCTCGTGGGAAGGGAAAGACCTGACCGTCCCCCAGCCCGACACCCGTAAAGGGTCTGTGCTGAGGAGGATTAGTAAAAGAGGAAGGAATGTCTCTTGCAGTTGAGACAAGAGGAAGGCATCTGTCTCCTGCCTGTCCCTGGGCAATGGAATGTCTCGGTATAAAACCCGATTGTATGCTCCATCTACTGAGATAGGGAAAAACCGCCTTAGGGCTGGAGGTGGGACCTGCAGGCAGCAATACTGCTTTGTAAAGCATTGAGATGTTTATGTGTATGCATATCTAAAAGCACAGCACTTAATCCTTTACATTGTCTATGATGCAAAGACCTTTGTTAACGTGTTTGTCTGCTGACCCTCTCCCCACAATTGTCTTGTGACCCTGACACATCCCCCTCTTCGAGAAACACCCACAAATGATCAATAAATACTAAGGGAACTCAGAGGCTGGGGGGATCCTCCATATGCTGAATGCTGGTTCCCCGGGTCCCCTTATTTCTTTCTCTATACTTTGTCTCTGTGTCTTTTTCTTTCCTAAGTCTCTCGTTCCACCTTATGAGAAACACCCACAGGTGTGGAGGGGCAACCCACCCCTACAAGGTTGGAGCACTTGGGAATTGCAGAAAGTCTTGTGGGGTGAAGACGAAAGAGGGGGCATATAAAGAAGAAAGGAGGTAGAAGCCAGACCACGAAGAGCTGTGTCACAATGAGTGACCTAATCCAGCAACAAGGAGAAGCTCAGGGGGTTTTCAGGAGGAGAATATCCTGGTTGCCTCTGCATACTAGAAGTCTCACTCTGGCAAGAGTGTGTGTGGGCACTGAACTAAGGTACCATGGAAGCAGAGGGACCAGTTAGAAGCCTATTTGCAAGTATGAGCAAGAGATTATGAGGCTCTAGATACATCAAGATCAGTAGAGATGGAAAAGGAGGGAGGGGCTTCCAATGAAAGATTTTAAACAGAATGATGGGTCCCAGCAAACAGCAATTTAGGATACCTTCAGTGTGAACGGAGAGGATGTATGTGAGGCTGGCAAGTAAGCCAGGGCCCAAGACATGGAAGATCGGAGGAGCAGGAGAAGGCTCATTTCTAGGAGGGGTAAAGGTAGATTAGAGGCAAACCTGAGGAAGCCAACATCCTATTGGCCAATCCTACTGGTAGGATTTCCACTCTCCTATCCAGCTTCATTCACACTTAATATCTAACTCCCACATGCAGTTCTGCACTTGACTGTGACCTTTAAAGGGCATGGAAAATATGTTTACATAATTTCCAAGCAAGTTACACTATTGTTCCCTAAATTGGGGCCAGAAAAAAAAGAGTCTACTAAGCGAGTATGACCCCATGGGTTGAGGAGAATTGAAGTCACAAGACCTGCAGTGTCACCACATCCACGTCCTTTGCCAGCCGAGAAAAATGCGCATCAGTTTGCCACACAGTTACTGCAGTTACATCACCACCATTCAATGCCTGACTTCTTCATTCGCTTGCCATGACATCTAATTAAACACATTAGAAGTTGCAACGTCTCTCAGAAATTGGAAATCAGTTAAAATTTAATTCCAGATAAAAAGGAGGAGGTTCTAGAACCCCTCAAAATGCCCACCATCATACCCAGAGGAGTGGAGTAGCTGGGAATAGTACCGTCTTGGGCTTTTTCACTTGGACTGGGCACTCAGGCCACAATGTTATGCCCCTGAAAGCAGGTTCCTTCCTGCTATCTTCCTTTTCCATCCTTTTCTATTTTTGTCCTAGCGATGAGCAGTCTCTAACCAAGCCTAGTGTACTACAGGAACTAATAAGTAATCATAATGATAGCAAACACATATTTCACACTTATTTAGGATGAGTTAGGAGCTCTTCTAAGTAATTTATACATAGTCAAGTGCCACATAACATTTTAGTCAATGCAACAGTGGTCCCATAAGATTACAATACTGTATTTTTACTGTATGTTTCCTATGTTTAGACACACAAGTACTCACCACTGTGTTACAACTCCCTACAGCATTCAGTAGTCGCATGCTGTACAGGTTTGTACCTAGGATCAACAGGCTATGCCATGTAGCCTCCGTGTGTAGTAGGCTGAACCATCTAGGTTTGTGTAAGTACACCCTGATGTTCACACACACAGGAAAATTGCCTAAGGATGCATTTCTCAGACGTGACACATAATTGTACTTCAATTCATTTAAGTCTCATAATAACCTTAGGAGGTAGGTTCCATCATTATCTTCATTTACATTTGAGGAGACTGCAAAGTCCCGAAGAAATCTTACACTGAACCACGGGGAAAAGAACTCTGGTCTGAACCCACAAGTCAAAGTATGTCTGAGGGTTCTCAATTCCAGCAAGGGAAGGGAGGGGGTTAAAGAGTAGAACTAACTTACATGGGAAGCTTTGCTGCCTGGGCAAGCAGCTTCTGGTGGATTTCCTGAAATTCAGCAGGGTGGGGCCGCCTCTCCAATCAGACTTCACTTTACTATACTATGGGGTCATTAAATAGAGGAGCCAGGAGTTCAGGACTCCCTCCCTCTTCTTCAAAAGGAAAACTGGGTGTGGGGAGGGTACATTACCTCACAGAATATTGGAGAAAGCCTAAATGTGTCCTCCAGTGATTCATTTGGGTGGACTACTTTCACACCAAGCTAAACTCAAAAGTTCGGAGTGGGGTCATCAGGGCCCCTCCCTCCCTGAGTGCAAGAAACATTTCCTCTTTTTAAAGTACAGGCAGAGTTGGAATCAAACTCCTTCCAAACAGGAAATCAGCAAGATTCTAGGTAAAACTGATACCTTACTTTTAAAGGTCAAGCTCTTTCCTTCACCAAGAGCGTGTTTCCTGAGCACCTACTATGTGCCAGGCATGTGGTAGGTAGTTGTTATGAATCTTGATGTGCCCTGCGCTCTGCAGGGGGGCGGAGGTGGAAGGGAACACAAAGAAAGAACAGATACCAACACTGCCACCCCCGCCTCCCCCCACCCCCCCCCACACACTCATTTGGCAAAGCTTACAGGAAAAAAAGGGTTTTAGGGGGCTTGTGGTGGTTTTTTTTTCCCTAAAAATAATAGAAATGGTAAAAAGAGGCTTCGGACCCCTCGCGTGAGTCCCTTAAAGTGACTGGATTGAGACCTGGGCAGGGAAAGTGGGAGGCCCGAGCGAGGGGGAGGGCGCAGGCAGTGGGTGGGTGACAAGGTGCAAGGGCAGCGCCGGCTTCGGATCGGGAGTTGGCCGTCAGCTGCGCCAGAGGCAGGTGCCAGCGGAGAGTGGGTGGGGGTGCCGGCGCCAGGCCAGGCTCGGGGAGGCCCCGCGCTACCTCTGCCTCTAGGAGTCCAGGCGCACAGACAAGCTCCCCGGAGCCGCTCCTGCTTCGCCAACTCCCCACTCGCGCCGCCCGTGCCAGCCGCCGGCACTGGCGTCTCCGCCGCCCGCAGGAGGAGTCGCGGGAGCACTAGCAGCCGCCGCCGAGCGACAGCATCCTCAGGAGAGACGCCCCGGGCTTTGCAGCCGGCGGCCTCCGTCCGCCCTCCGCGGTCGCCCCCCGCCCCGTCGCCCGTCCGCCCGCGGTGGCAGCCGGCGCCGGCGCCCCGGGGCCCTTCACCTGCCGCGAGCGTCCGGGCGGGCGGGCGCACGGGAGAAAAGGCGCAAGAAGCGGGCACCCCGGGAACCCCATTCCCTCGGCTCACTCGGCGCGGAGAAGCGACGCCCGCTGACTCCGAGAGCCCCGGTGCTCCGTGCACCTGGTCCCCAAGTTGAGGAGCGACACCCCTCCACAGGGGACTAGCCCGCGCGGGGAGCATTCCGGTCTCACTGACCCCGGCCCACCCGCGGGACTCCAGGCACCTCTTCTGCCCGCACCCCGCGACCCCTCCCGGGACCCCGGAGACAGCCGGCCTGCCCCCGGCGTCCCCCTTGGCCAGCACGCCATGCCGGGGCTGCGCCGGGACCGCCTACTGACTCTGCTGCTGCTGGGCGCGCTGCTCTCCGCCGACCTCTACTTCCACCTCTGGCCCCAAGTACAGCGCCAGCTGCGGCCTCGGGAGCGCCCGCGGGGGTGCCCGTGCACCGGCCGCGCCTCCTCCCTGGCGCGGGACTCGGCCGCAGCTGCCTCGGACCCCGGCACGATCGTGCACAACTTTTCCCGAACCGAGCCCCGGACTGAACCGGCTGGCGGCAGCCACAGCGGGTCGAGCTCCAAGTTGCAGGCCCTCTTCGCCCACCCGCTGTACAACGTCCCGGAGGAGCCGCCTCTCCTGGGAGCCGAGGACTCGCTCCTGGCCAGCCAGGAGGCGCTGCGGTATTACCGGAGGAAGGTGGCCCGCTGGAACAGGTGAGGACCCCGCCCGGGACGCGGGAGAGCGGGCGCTCTGGCCGGGGCCTCCCCGCGCCCCAGTCTCGAGTTTCCTGACGCCCCCGGCCCAGGGCTGCAGCGGCTCCACCCACGGCTCCAGCCCTGGCGCTGGGCTTAGAGTGTGTTCCCCACCCGAACCCCACCAGCTGTTGCAGACCTCACAGTCCAGTCCCGGAGTCAGATAGTACGAGGAAAAAGTTTCTATTGCAGCCGCACAGCGAAGAAACGCTCTCAGCCCCTTCCCCTTGAGCGCCTGGGTCGTCGTTGAGCCCCACTCCTGCTCCCTCGTCCACTCCCGCTCCCTCGTCCGCTCCCAAACCCCACTCTCTGTCCTGATGTGGAGGAAAGCTGCCGCTGGACTTCGGGTTTCCAGAATGAGGCCCCAAACAGGGTGACTCCAGAGCTAGTTGAAATTCAGCACTTAACTGTGCTCTTTGGGTAAACCTGGGCGCCTTCCAGAAAGCATGTTTCTCCCCAAAACCCAGTTCTTTCCCTTTCCTTATTCCTCTGCCCAGTTTCAGAGATCACAAGGGGGTCATCTGAGGCAGGAAGTAAATGGTCAGTTCTCTGCCGCAGCCACCCCATTGTTCACATTTAAAACGCGGCTTGGGCCCATCCAGCAAGTATTAGAACTTGAAGGCACTTTTATCGTCTTGTATGATCCTGGTGATTTGGACTGACTTGGATCTGCGGCTTGATGCTTCCACAGACGAGAAAAAAATCTTTCAGGGAATTTTTTAAACCCAAAGCAAAATACAGAGGAAAAAATATCAAATATATTTAGGATAAAATTAAGAATCTTTCTGGAAAAGGATGGGGGTGTTAGGGAAGGCAGCACGCTCATTACTGAGATCCCTTGCTAGTGGCAGGAAGCCTTCGTATGAGTTAAGGACTCTGTTTTGAAGTACAGAACTTGTCTAAATACCACTCACATGCAGAGTTCACTATCGCACCACACCCATCTCTTTACTTAATACAAGAGATTTCAAAGTAAGATGTCATCGGTGGTTTTATGGTCCCTCCAGAGGATGAGCAGACCATAAATCTCTCTTGAAACTCAGAGCTGGGCCAATTTAACTGTTTGCTCATTATTTTGTAATGCTGAGATTGAAGGGAGAAAAAAAAACCTTCAGAAATTTTTGCAAAGGAATAAGTTGAGTTGTTGGCTGAATCACTGTGGTGAATTTCAGTAGTAACTCTACGGCTCACATTTTATGTTAGAAAGAAAGTGATTCTCAATTCCACGTTAACTGTGTGCAGTAATAAAAGGCAGTTTGAGATTGCTTCTCAGACACTGTCATTTTCAATATTATCTTTATTTCGTCAATAACATGGAAGTCTGGCTTAGTGAACCAGGAAATTTTGCCCTTAGAAAAAGTATCTATATGTCTACTATGGATCTGAGAATGAGAGACTTTGGACAAAGTCACTTGCTTTTGTAAATGTGATCAGCATTCATTTAGTCACATTTCTGTGGTCTTAAACTTCCCGGTGTTACTTTGGACCCGAAGCAAAGTCCAGGGGAATATTATGGCAGAAAAGCAAAAATCTTTCTCACCAAACTGTTCTACAATCAGTTTTAAGCTTGATTTCTACACCATTATGTGTCAACAAAGACAAAAAAAACTCGCAAAAACACACATACTTTCTGACCAGAAATGATCTTGGTCATTTAACAGAAGATCAAGTGGGGGCTGGTGACCTTACTATATTCAGAGATCACAGAGTAGTTTTGTGTGGTTGCTCAAATGTGACATTTTCCCAAGTAAGGTTTGTGGGCCACAACAGGAGGACCCGCTGCACTTATAAATGTTAAAACTGGACCTCAGAGGCAGAGAACACTCTCCTTCCACCCAAACTGGATAGTAAATGTTAACATGAACATATTAATAAGCAGATGTGTTGTTACTTATATCAGGGTTAAAAATGAAACACAAGGCCGGGCAGGGTGGCTCACACCTGTAATCGCAACATTTTGGGAGGCAGAGGCAGAGGGAGGATCACTTGAGCCCAGGAGTTCAAGATGAGCTTGGGCAACATAGTAAGATGTCGTCTCAAAAAACAAACAAAAAAAATAGCCAGTGGTGACACATACCTGTAGTCCTAGTCACTTGAGGGACTGAGACAGAAGGATTGCTTGAGCCCAGAAGGTTGAGGCTGCAGTGAGCCATGACTGTGCCACTGCACTCCAGCTTAGGTGACAGTGAAACCTTGCCTCAGAAAAAAAAAAAAAAAAAACCATACAGAAGATTCATTAGCCAGGGTGAATTTGAGCCACACTCAGAGTTCTATTGTGAAAGGGAGTCACTCATTACCTTAAATGAGAGTGCTCCCTGCCAAATATGAGGATGTAGCAGTGCTGATGAAGACAGGGGGCCTGCCATTATGTGCAGGGTCGAGGACACCCCTAGATCCTAGCAGCAGACAAATAAATAGAATGGACAGCAGAGGAAGAAACAATGAAGGACCTTGCTAATTGTTTTTCTCTTCACAGACAAGCTCTCCTTGTTTGTAGCCCTGCCAATATTTAAAATCTAGTGATTTATAAACATATGAGGGCCAGGCACAGTGGCTCACACTGGTAATCCCAGCACTTTGGGAGGCTGAGGCAGGCAGATCACCTGAGGTCAGGCGTTCAAGACCAAACTGGTCAACATGGTGAAATCCCATCTCTATTAAAAATACAAAAATTAGTTGGGCATGGTGGTGGGCACCTGTAATCCCAGCTACTCAGGAGGCTGCGGCAGAAGAATCACTTGAACCCAGGAGGTGGAAGTTGCAGTCAGCAGAGATCGTGCCACTCTACTCCAGCCTGGGCAACACAGTGAGATTCCATCTCAAAAAAAAAAAATGTGGATGCCTCCATGCCAATACCTAACATGAAGTCCTATCCAAAATAATTGTATCAGCAAACTGTCCACCACACCAGGAGAAGTACAGAGAATAAAATAAGCCAAATCAGTGTTCTTCGCCACTTGCCCACAAGAGACCATTAGTCTGAGTGATTTTTTTTTTTTTTTGTAATTTTGACCATCATACTAATAAGAAATGGTATGAAGTCAGAAAGTATCCTTCCACAATTCAAGCTCATTACCAATAAGAGGTAGGTTATGGTGTGTCTCCCCACCTCCCCACTCACCCACACGTTCCTTTTTGATTTCACACAATGGAAGATGACATTTGTGCAGTTTTGAATGTCTTGGGTTTTTAATTAATATTTGTTCACTGGATGTCAACATTTAGACATGTAGTTAAGTTACAAATGGGAAGATGTGTTGATTTTTAAGGTGGGCTGTCTGTGTGCTATCTGGCCCTGAAGCTTTCTGCAAACCTCCTTCACTCACTGTTCTTCCCTCCCTTCCTTTCTTTTCCCCCCAAAAATGTAACTAAGTGTGGCACAATCCAAGTTAAAAATGTAATTAGGGAAAGTGTTTCTGTCAGGTGGTCAGCTGCTGATCACAGCCAGCCAGCCAACGCCAGGCTCCATCAAGCATGATGACACATTTGGCACCTGTATTGAACAGTGACGAGGAAAGTGCACAGGGAAGAAGGGAAATGAAGTCTTCACTTTCAGGCCATACACTAACAAGCCAGAATTGTGCTGCTCTTAGTCCTTTGCTTGAATAAGTGATGACGCAGGGCAGGCAGGCTTTACCTGGAGCACAGGTGATGGTTCACACTGTTGCTCGCCTTTGCATTCTTAGATACTGAGCTTTGGATTTCTTCTCTGGCCCACAAGCTGCCCAAGTCAGACAACATCTGTCTTTTGACGTGTCAAACTGATCAGCTTGGCCAGTTTTGCCCACATATGATTGGCCTTTTGGCCACATATCTTTGGTCAGTCTCTCTGTAACCCTCTGGTCTCGACAGGCAAGGTCAAACAGGGTCAGCTCTCCCTAATGTAGAAACCCCAGCAGCTATAACACAAATATGAGTTTTTGCTTTTCTTTCTTGACATCTTCCTCAGATGTCAGGAAGGTTATATTGTCTTGCAATTACAGATTCAGCATTTCTTAGGGGTGTGTGTGTGTGTGTGTGTGGTTTCCCACATCAGAAACTCCTGTCTTCTTCACCCCTCCTCCTACCTATTGCTGTCACTGAAAGAAAACCTAGTCCTGGGTCTCTCTTTGAAAATCACCGCAAAGAGACTGGGCAGCTTTTCAAAAATGACAGTTGGTCAAAGGGAGTAAGTTGGCTGAAGTTTTTCTGGGGGATGCTTTGAGAAGATCCAGAAGCCAAGGCAGATAGAGGAGAAGGGTGGAGAAGAAGTCAGGAGAGATGAAAAGGAATTCAGCTAGAAATAAGAATTGCCTCGTCTAGGAGCTTGGGGAAGATAAGCTCCTCCCTGCCCCAGCTCCCCCATGGCATCTGTGGAAGGAAAAATACAATCTCTCCATTCTCACTCCCATCTTTTTATCTCTGTCCTGCTTATTTTGTGCCTGCCCTAGAACGCTCTGAACCTAGATTTCTTGTGAGCAGGCAATTCAACCCGCAGGCTGGATGAAAGTCCAGGTTCTTACTCATGGATGGTGGCCATTTGCTTCTCTCCCAGAGTCAACAGGGCCTTGGCCCCTTGTTAGATTCTCCCGCCAACAATGCTAAGCTAAGACAGGAAGTGGCCTCCTGTGATTTGGAAATGGACCTCAACCACGGCCCGTGTGTGGTTAGCAGAGAGAGTGGGGAGCCTGACTTCCATTTCCCATTTCTCCCAATTAGAGCCTTGCTGGACTAGTTTTGGAAAAGATATTATTTTAGTGGTTTCCAAATCCCTGAACTTGTAGTTGGAGGAAACCTCTCCACTCCTCTCAGAATCAAAAGCTTCAAGCAGATGGTTTCTGAGAGGGCTGGTCCAGACGGCCATTATCAGGTTTTTTCTCCCTCATTCCAAAGCCTGTCCTCACTGCTGTTGCCACAGCAAAAACCTAAATCAGGGAGAGCATCAGTGTCATTCATCCAAGAAAGACAGGCACTTCCTGCTTCCAAATAGATCAAAATGAAGCCCTTCAGCTGAGAACCAGAGGCTGTTCCATTGTTCCTAACAACACTCTTCTTTCACCACAACCAAGTTCTCATCAATCCTGAGAACCCAAGTGGCTAATTTTTTGCATGCAAATGCTCCTACCTAAAACATGCTTGTTATGTGCCAGGCACATTACATACACTTATTTTAAGCCTCATAACCTCTGTAGAAATAGGTGCATGTGGTAGATGGAATTCCAAGACAGCCTTCCAAGATTTCCAGCCCTGGCATACACACCTCTCCTAGTTGTTCAGCCCACTGCTAATATGGGTACTGCTATAAAGGGATTTTACAGATGTAATTAAGGCCCCGTACCAGTTACCCTTGGGATATGGAGATTATCTGGTTAGCGTGACCTAATCCATGAATGATTTAAAGCAGAGAGTTTTCTTGGGCTGATCACAGGAGAGGAAGTGAGATTCAAAGCAGAATAAGGATTTGATGAGCCATTGCTGATTGAAGATGGAGGGGCCATGTGGCAAGGGATAGGAGCAATCTTTAGGCTAAGATTAGCCCCAGCTGACAGCCAGCAAGGAAACAGGGACTACAGTCCTACTGCCACAAGGAAAAGAATTCTGCCACCACCAAGAATGAGCTTGGAAGCAGATTTTTTTCCCCAGAACCTCCAGATGAGAAATCAACCTAGACACCACCTTAAATTCAGCTAAGTCCCTGTGCAAAGCATACAGCCACACCAAGCTGGACATCTGACCTACAAAACTGTGAGCTAATTAATGAGTGTTGTTTTAAGTTACTAGGTTTGTGGTACTCTGTTATACAGCAATAGAAGACAAATACAATACTGTTTTGTTTTTTTTTTTTTGAGACGGAGTCTCGCTCTGTCGCCCAGGCTGGAGTGCAGTGGCGCGATCTCGGCTCACTGCAAGCTCCGCCTCCCGGGTTCACGCCATTCTCCTGCCTCAGCCTCCCGAGTAGCTGGGACTACAGGCGCCCGCCACTACGCCCAGCTAACTTTTTGTATTTTTAGTAGAGACGGCGTTTCACCATGGTCTCGATCTCCTGACCTCGTGATCCGCCCGCCTCGGCCTCCCAAAGTGCTGGGATTACAGGCGTGAGCCACCGCGCCCGGCCAGTACTGCTCTTTACTTCATTTTATAGAGGAAACTGGAAACGAGAAAGTTATATAACCTGCCCAAAGTCAGGCAGCTAGAAAACCACAGGCAGGGTTTATACCCAAAGGGTCTGGCTTCAGAATCCATGCTCTTAACCACCAGCTCCACCACCCTATGTCCTTTGATGCCCAGATGTCCCAGCTTTTCCTCCTTTGGGAAGGCTTTTCTGAATACCTCTCCCCACTGTGGTCCCTCCCTGACTATATACATCCTCTCCATATGTACCATATAATTTTTTGATTTTCCACTATGTCCAGCTGTAACTTCATGGAAGCTGTCTGGAGCTTCATGTGAGAAGGAATGGTCACTTGCCCTTGGCATGAAAAGCCCCCAGCTTGCCCTGGTCGCTCTAATATAGCTGTTGCAGAGCCAGAGTAAATATCTGTGGAACAAATCATTGGAAACAGATGACACCAGGATTTGGGGGCTGTTAGTCAATGGCCTGTTATCTTCTTTGAAAATAGCCTTGAACAAAAACAATTCCAACTGTAAAATCATCCCACTTGTCTACTCCTCCCTGTAGAAGTCTAGAGCAAAACCACCCTGCTGAGACATTCTGAAATTTGGATGTGGAGTGCTCTTCTTATTGCAGTAGCCTAAATAAAATCAATGTCAAAAAAAGCCATGAAGGAAAGTTGAGAAAGCATCATTTGCCAAGAAAAGAGGGAATTTCTTCAGCTTCCTGTGCTTTCTGAGGAAGAGCAGCCAAGAAGTCTTGCATTAAAGAAAAATGGGAAATACAGAGACCTTGATTTAGCCAAAGCTATCCCTGCTCTGCCCCCTTGGCAGGTGCTGACCTGTATTTTTTGTAATTATTCATTAAGCTAGAGGCTGATGAGAGCCTGCGGATTCTGCTGAAGTAGGCTTGCATATGGCCAAAAGCCAAGTAGGGATAACATTCTAACCAGCTGCAGCTGTAGCAGAACAGAAGTTACTAGACATAAGTTCTTACCTGTTATTATAGGCAGGCACACACATATGCACTTAATGAAAACCACAGTACAGAAAAGAGGCTTAGCTCTTTTTGTGCCCTGTCACTTGGCAGAACATCCTATAGTTGAAATGTGAAATCAGGACAGAACTGAGTTTGAAGTGCTATGGAGATGGCAGCATCCCTGACTTTCAATCCCTGTAGCCTGGCTTTGGAGACCAAGCACTGGGGGCAGCCAGTAGACTCGGGCTTGAGCAAGAGGCAAAGTCAAGTCCCAGGGAAAAGCCTGTTTTATTGAATTCACTAGCAATAAGCCAGATAATAAATTTAAGAGGCCCCAGGGAACACAGCATAGTAGAGGAGTACTGTTCCTAAGAAGCCAAGAGCCTGTAATAAAATTCAGCAAAATACGGAAAGTAAAAAAGAAATTTAAGAAGTGTTGGCACAGGGTACATGGACTGAGAAGCTGGATCATGAAAAACAAGGTGGTGTGGAAAGAGATGAGATTTTTAAAAGCTTGGGAGAGGTTGATGGGATAGGAAAGATGTCCACTGAAGAAAAACAGCGCTGTTCAGCCCTGGCAAGTGAAGCGCAGCTCTCAGATTGCAAATTTACCTTCAATCGTCAACACCTAGGTTGAGCTCCACAGGTTGTAGGTAAATCTTTTTGATGATACCAACCAAAATGGAATATATACGGAGGGACAGATTGTCTCTCCTGGCCAATTCAAGTGTCCTTACAGGGTCTCAGTTTCACCAGTTGAAACGGAATTTTTTTATAATTCTGATTTTCTTCAGTGGCTGAATACTCATAAATCCCATAGGGAAAGTATGTCTATCTGCCTCCACAGCTGGCTCACGTACTTTTTTTTAACCCCATTCATAGTTAACTCATAGCTCAGAATTATGCACAACCAGTAGCTGCTTATTTTCACATTCCATGCAGCCCTGAGCACTCAGATAGGAGAAAAGTTAGATTGACCAACCTCAATTCCATAATCAAATCCAGCCCCTTGTTAACCAGAGTTTCATTGCAGAAGTTTTGTAATTGGGGTCATTGGATCCCACTGAGTCCAGTTGGTGAGGTCCATTTTTCCCTTAAGTTTCATGCAAAATCTGCATCCAGTGCATATGTTCATTTTCTTACTGTTGCAGAACTTTCTCCTTAGTTCAGCTAAAACTGGGCTCTTTTCACACCACCAGGAAAGATTAGGTTCACGGACACATAGAAGGGTGAGGAAAACGGAATTTACTGGGCAAAAAGGAAAAAAGAAAGATACCTCTCAGCAGAGCAAGAGAGAGTCCTGCTAGCAAATTTCCCGCCTCACAGACTGAATCCCAGGTCACCACACAGGAACAGGAGAGGCCAGGCTCCTCCCCACGCAAACGGGGTGACCTTCCCGAGGCTCCACCCCCATCCTCCCAGTGCGCAGGCGCAGGTCGGCGTGATTAAGAAAGGATCAGCTGGGAAAGGGAGGGCTTCATCTGGGACCAGCAGTCCGGTTGTTCAGCCTTCAGGCTGTTTTAGGCTTGAAGGTGGGGTTTCGCCAGGGACCCTTAGCTGTCTCCTGTCTCTATCACTAGCAAATAAGTCATTATATTTTTTAAGTATTCCCCACATTCATCAGGATTCTGCGGTTTCATGTGACAGAAACCCAATTCAAACTCACTGTAGGAAGAAAAGGAAGTTTTAGACTCAGTAACCAAACCTCAGTAAGGGCAGAAGGAACTGCCCTCACAGCATTAAAAAGAGTCCTTGGGGCCGGGTGCGGTGGCTCACGCCTGTAATCCCAACACTTTGGGAGGCCGAGGCGGGCGGATCACGAGGTCAAGAGATTGAGACCATCCTGGCTAACACGGTGAAACCCCGTCTCTACTAAAAATACAAAAAAATTAACCGGGCGTGGCGGCGGGCGCCCAGCTACTCGGGAGGCTGAGGCAGGAGAATGGCGTGAACCCAGGAGGTGGAGCTTGCAGTTAGCCGAGATCGCGCCACTGCACTCCAGCCTGGGCCACAGAGTGAGACTCCCTCTCAAAACAAAACAAAACAAAACAAAACAAAACAGAGTCCTTGGACTCTGTGTCTTTGTCTCTATTCCCTCTTTCCATAGTTCATCTGCTTATCTTCATCCCTTCCTGTGGCCCATGTACCCAAAGCCTTGGGACTAGACAGAGAAGGTTTCTCTGATTTCCAAAAAGAAAGATCCTGGGCAAAGATGCTCATTGGGCCAGGTCTGGGAATACAGCCAGGCTTCAGAGGGCTACAGTTGGCCCAGATGGAGGCTGATTCCCACCGTCCAACCAATCACTGATGCCAGGGAGGCGGAGTCATTAGAAGCACGTGGCTCAGAGTGGGGAAGAGCAGTTCCCCCGAACCAAGATGGAAATGCAGACTGACAGGGTGGTGGAGGGGCTTTAGTGACTAACATGGTACCAGAAAGTTTCTCAACTTGTGTCTGCTACAGTCACTGACTCCTATGGCTGCTGCTCTAAGGTTTTAAGAATTTTAGAAAGCAAATTCAATCATAAATTCACATGTGCAGACTTTTTATACCAACTATTAAAATCCTCCCAAGGAAATAGGAATCTTTATTTGGGCATTCTTTTAAAGCGACTTTGGTCTTTTTGTGAGAGCATAAAAAAGAAACTGATGGGGACCCAGCTCCTTCACGGGTTCATGTCTCTTTCTCCCACGGGTTCATGTCTCTTTCTCCCACGGGTTCACGTCTCTTTCTCCTGAAAAAAGAGGTCTCAACTGGGAGCGAAGATACCTGTGTGTAAGTCCTGAGAAAAGTGTTTTCTTCCCCAGGCCTCAGTTCCTGCTTTTGAAAGGAAGAGGGGGAGTCTGTGACCCCTGAGGCCTCCTTGCAACTCTGTTTTCCAAGCTTTGCACATCTTCCGAATTTCTTCTTCAAAGTCTACCCTAATGAAATATCAGACAATTTTCCAAGTGTGCTTCATGAACTTCTGGGAGGTGCTTCACAGTTTCTGCAAATGATTGATTGAATTTTCACTTTGAAAAAATATACTTTAAGGTAATTTTTATATAATTTAAGAAAACCTACACCCAATTGTGTTATGCACCATTATGATCCTGCCTCCAGTAACTGTGCTGACAGATGGCTTCTCCTCTCATCTTTGTTTAATTGAGGAGTATTCTGAGATTGCAAAGTGAGCTGTTAAAAGCTGTTTCCTGCTGCAACTACTTACAGATGTTTATCAGGATTTTCAATACTCTGCTACCAAAATAATATATAGAAATTGATTGGGTGCTAAAATAAGATTATTCCTGTCTCCCCTTACATCCAATTTTGAATGTTTGCATTAATAATCGTATTATCCTTCTTGTTTTCATTGATTAACTTTTTAAACAATTTTATATATTTGACCATATGTTAGATTTATATCAATAAATTACAAATTGTGTCTATTTCATACATTGAAGTTTCTGTATAATATTTCTTTTGAAAAGAAGCTGCCACTTCTAGAAATTTTTTTTAAACCACTGATTTGCAATATTTGAAAATAGAGTAAACTTCCTTCCTTTCTCCAAAATTGATGTGCCCAAACCCAAGACTTCTGCTCCCCTTGCCCCCAACTCCAAACTATTATCACTAGTAAGAACATGGTATTGGTCTCTGATAACTCCTTTCCATGACTTTGACAATGCTTCTACCACTTGAGCCTAAGAGAGTATCTTTTAGGCCCTGTGTACTGTTAGCTTTTGCTGTATAACAAACTATTCCAATACTTAGTGACTTAAAACAAAAGCCACTTATTTAGCCCCCGATTCTGCAGGTCAGCACTTCTGGCTGGGTTCAGCTGAATGGTTCTTCTGGTCTCTACTGGACTTACTCAGGTGTCTGTAGTCAGCTACTGCATTGGTTCCGCTGATCTTGGCTGTACTGCCTCCCATGTCTGGGTTCTGGGCTGGAATGGTGATCTTGGCTCCACGTGGCCTCCACCTCTCATTCTCCAGGAGGCTAATGCAGACTTGTTCATATAGTGGCAACAGGGTTGCAAAAGAGGGTAGAAGCCTCCACAGCCTCTTGAAGTACAGGCCAGAACCTGTTAAATGTCATTTCTGCCATACTATGTTGGCCAACATAAATCAAAGGCTATCTGGGGAGATTCAGGAATCCTGGCCATTGAAGAGAAAGTGGTCTACACAACTTAGTTCTCTTCTACTGAGCAAAAGCTCAAGGGAAATCCCTTCTGCTGGTGAGTTGTCCAGCAGTGGGCAGACAGCTGATAGTGGTAAGACCCCGTGCCATATGTTAAAGTGAAAGAAATTGAATACAACCCTTCAAAAACCTAATGAGGCTGGTATAGACTGAATTGTGTCTCTTCAAATTCACATGCTGAAGTTCTAAACTCCAGTACACCTCAGAATGTGACTGTGTTTGGTGACAGGGCCTTTTAAGAGATAATTAAGGTTAAATGAGGTCCTGTGGGTAGGTCTTGATCCAATATGATTGGTGTCCTCATAAGAAGAGAGATACAAGGAACTCATGCACATAGAAGACCATGTGAAGACACAGAGAGAAGGCAGCCATCTGCTAGCCAAAGAGAGAGGCATCAGAATGAAATCAACCCTGCTGACACCACGAACTTGGACTTCCAGCCTCCAGAACTGTGGGAAAATACATTTCTGTTGTTTAAGCCACCTAGTCTGTGGTATTTTGTTATGGCATCCCTAGAAAACTAAAACAGAGGCTAACTCACCTGGAATGGCCAAGGACAATCTGCTGGCTTAGGCCTGTCTCCATCTCAGTTCCCTGGGGCAGGGGCAAAGCCATATCTGAAATTTTCTTTTTCCTCCCATATGGTTCTTACAGCCTCAAGAGGCCTCTTGGCCTTTCCTTCCTTAAAGAAGTGACCCCAGCCTCTCTGCCTCCCAGATGAGACAGTCTGGAGCCTGGATCCTCTCCTTAAAGCAAAATATCTAGTTCATCATTTATTATCTTTTTAATCTATTTGTTTATGGATGGGCTTTGAGCTCCCCTTCTTCTGGGCCCCCTTTTTTTTTTTACGTCAAAAGCTGAAAACTGGCTCTTTGTCTCTCTTGGCATTCCTCCTGTAATTGTTCTACTCCTACCAAGGCTGCAGATGCTGTGGTTGGATGAATCAAGCATACAGTATCATCTCACAAAGGTTTTAAAGCTTGCTTTGTAAACTCATAAGCACTTCCTTTCATATTAACCAACATAATACGTAGAAACAAAAGTGAAGGTTTGTTTTTCTTCATCAGTTCTGTTGACAGCCTATATTTTATGTGTATTTCCAAGACCATTATCTGTTCATTTATCTACAGGGCACTTGTGATAATAGTTGTTAAGATTATTAACACCATGAACATGTAGAGTCCTTTCCACTTCTTGAAGCTCTTTTAAATTGTATGTCATTAGATCACCACAGCAAAATATTGGTCTTTATAATTCGTAAGACTCTGGCCTGAAAATCTCCATGGAAAGGCATCCAGCCAATTGATGTTTTATTATGAAGCAGCTTGCCCATTGCCCCAGACTAACTGGGCTTTAGTTGTCCACAGTGGATTCCATGTAGGGCCTCTGGTGAAAACATTCGGCAGGAAACATAGGTGCTGCCCTTGCAGTGACACCTCCTAGAGGCTGAACCTCTTGGAGAGCTCTCCACTCTCCACTGAAATGGATAAAAATGCCCTCAGTGCAACTTAATGATATCAAAGCAACACAGGTAAAAATTTTGTGCTCCATAGGTATTATAATGATAATCATTATGTTACTTTAATGTAATGGTGAGAAACTGAGACTGGATCTTCTGGTATAATTTGCTGTCAGAAAATTAGATATATCATCAAGGATGGATTTTCTGCTACACACTTTGCTGCACTAGCCTAGACCCTGTGGCAGAGAACTCTCTGTGAGCTGTACAGCCAAGGGTGAATGCCCGAAGTGTCACACTCCCAAAACATTGGAGGTCAGTCAGGCGCGGTGGCTCATGCCTATAATCCCGGCACTTTGGGAGGCCAAAGCAGGTGTATCACCTGAAGTGTCAAGAGTTTCAGACCATCCTGGCCAACATGGAGAAACCCCATCGCTACTAAAAATACAAAATAAAAAATAGCTGGGCATGGTAGTGGGCACCTGTAGTCCCAGCTACTCGGGAGGCTGAGGCAGGAGAATTGCTTGAATCTGAGAGGCGGAGGTTGCAGTGAACGACATCACACCACTGCATTCCAGCCTGGATGACAGAATGAGACTCTGTCTCAAAAGGAAAAAAAAAAAGAAAGTTGGAAGTCAAGTCTTGAACCATCAGATCTCTTAGCATTGCCTGAGCAAGGTCTGAAAGGGAATTTGGTAACTATATTTGTTCCCTAGGGCTGCTGTAACAAATTGTCACTGTTTAAGCCACTGTGGGTGGCCTAAAACAACAAAAATGTATTATTTACAGTTCTAAAGGATAGAAATCTGAAATGAAGGTGCCAGAAGGGCAGCACGCCATCCAGAGGCTTGAGAGGAGAATCTGTTCTTGTGGCTGCCAGCTTTCACTGGCTTCTGGCTGCATCACTCCAATCTCTGCCTCCATGATCACATTGCCTCCTCCTCTTCTGTCTTTGTCTGTCTGTGTCTTCTCCTCCTCTATGTGGGTCTTTCTCCTATAAGGACACTTGTCATTGGCTATCAGGTCCACCTAAATGATTCAAGATGATCTCATCTCAAGATCCTTAATTTAGTTAAATCTGCGAAAGCCTTCTTCCAAATAAAGTCACATTCACAGGTTCCAGGGATTATCTTTTGGGGGACCATTCAGTCCACTTGAATCATGTTCCATGACAAATACAAAGGCCATGCAGTTACCATTTATCTTCACTCTTGTAAAAAAAATTTAATCTTTTAGATAAAAGATTATCTAGTAGATTATCTATACCTATATCTTTATCCAAGAGTTAATCTTTTAGGTAAATCACAAAATAATTCTGATATATCACAATATAAAATGGTTGAGAAAAATGTGCCAAAGGAAAAAGAAGGATACACAAGACCAGTGGAGCCAAGAGTGAGGAACTTCTCAGAACACTTGCCATGAGAACCTTCCCACCACAGAGTCAGCCCTGCTTGGTGGGGAGGAGCCACCAACCATGTCTATAAGGTAAAAAGCAGCCAGTGACCCAGGAAGGGCACTGGTAGTGACTAGGTAATTCACTGGTAATTCCTGGTAGTGACTAGGCAGATGAATACCTTCCTTGTCCTTCTCGCCTCACCTCCTCCAAGAGAGGACACTGTATGGTGTCAGGACTAGCATTTTCCATCACATCCATAGGGGAATTACCCAGCAATGGCTCTCAGTGAGTCTCTCTGCTAGCACTGTGCCCCACAGCAAATTCCAAAGTCATGTCCCAGGCACCACCCCACCCATTCGCGATCGTGGTGATCAAGCCTGCTTTCTTGTCTCATCTCAGGAGAGAATTTAAATTGCTGAGGCTCCAGAGGAAAGGGCAGCAGGCACATTCTTTGGGCAGCCCTCCATGAACCTGGATTTTTTCAGCAGGGCTTTTCACTGACATTGAGTGGCAGTGCATTTAGGATAAAACTTTCAGAAACACTTTGAGTGCAGTTTTTCAGGGTTGTCATTCAGTACAGAAAAATAACACGTTTTGCCCATGTACCCTAGAACTTAAAGTATAATTTAAAAAAAGAAAAATTTACATAAAACCTAAAAAAAAAATAAATAAAGCCATGGTATTGGTGGAAAAACAAAAAAGAATGTGTTTGCACGGATGAAGAGAGTGCAATAATACACAATGAAGACTCGGAAGTGTGGGAGGCAGAGGGGTTGAATAGAGGGATATTAATAAACATAGTGTTTGTTATTTGAAAAAAAAAAGAAATAGATTTACCAATTAACTGAACTTAGAGGTAGGAACAAAAGGCTCTTTCTGAAGTCATGGAGTCAAACAGGATAGGCAAGTGAACTCAAAGCCACTGACCTCTGTCTACAGGGAAGCCACAGGTCTAAGGGCCAGCCTAGATTCCCTTCAGACAATACCTTTGAATCTGCTGTGACAGGCGAGCCAGCGGGTAATCAATACCTCAAAGCCACATGCCATGGAATGTGGCTGCAAAATGTTTGGCTGGAAAAATACTCCAAGAGACTGTAACCAAACACCTACCTTAGGTATTAAAAAACATCAATAAAGCAACCATTGAATGCCTAACTTTATCAGCGTAACTCACCAGTGGCCTCTCTGGGTTTAACTCACTGCAAAATGTACACCCCAAGTAACTGAATGAGACGACATTCTGTTCTGTTATTAGCTATAAAATCATTAAAAGGCAGGGGAAGTCAGCCAAATATGATGAGCTAGGATTTATAGCAGTTGGTCCGCAGCAGCTCTTTTTGGCAGTTGTGAAGACAGTGGTCTGTTAAGGCTGCTTGCAGTTTATGATATTAAAGCCATTTTATTTGCATATAAGAAAATGCTTCTTCCTCCCTCTCCTGGCAGGAGATGCTATGCCCAACTCATCCAGAAGTATTATTTACTCATTAAGGCATAAATTAAGCTGATGAACCAGAATGGTCAGGCTCTACTGAAGATGTGAAGATGATCAGCAGGCTGCTTCTTGTCCTTTGCGTCTACTTTCAAAACTGCCCACTCAGAGAGAACTTTCCTGTCCTGCTGACCCACAGGGGTCCCAGATGTTGTCCTTACCAAGCCCTGTTTTATTTTCAGCTGGGCTCTTAACACCACTTAATGCCTTTTTGTGTATTGATTTGCTTAGTGTATAGCCTCATTAGATCTTAAGCTTTTTGTGTTTGGGTTTTTTTTTTGTTTTGTTTTGTTTTGTTTTGTTTTGTTTTTGAGATGGAGTCTCACTCTGCCACCCAGGCTGGAATACAGTGGCACCATCTCAGCTCACTGCAACCTCCACCTCCTGGATTCAAGTGATTCTCCTGCCTCAGCCTCCCAAGTAGCTGGGATTACAGGCGTGTGCCACCACACCTGGCTAATTTTTGTATTTTTAGTAGAGGCAGGGTTTCACCGTGTTGGTCACGCTAGTCTCAAACTCCTGGCCTCAAGTGATCCACCTGCCTCGTCCTCCCAAAGTGCTGAGAATACAGGCGTGAGCCACCACACCCAGCCAGATCTTAAACTCTTCAAGGGTTGAATTGGTTTGAGTGGTGGCTCTATTTTGCATTCCCTAGGATGGCCCTTGAGGTAGGCCGAATAATGGCTCCCCAAATGATATTCATGTTCTAATCCCCAGAACCTGTGACTATCATCTTTTTTTTGAGATGGAGTCTCACTCTGTCACCCAGGCTGGTGTGCGGTGGCACGATCTCCACCTCCTGGTTCACGCCATTCTCCTGCCTCAGCCTCCCAAGTAGCTGGGACTACAGGCACGCACCACCACGCCCGGCTAACTTTTTCTGTTTTTAGTAGAGACAGGGTTTCACTGTGTCTCGATCTCCTGACCTCATGATCTGCCCGCCTTGGCCTCCCAAAGTGCTGCAATTACAGGCATGAGCCACCGCAACCAGCCAACTATCATCTTATGTGGTTAAAAAAAACAGGTCTTTACAGATATAATTAAGACTCTTGAGATGAGGAGATCATTCTGACTTATCCAGTGACCCCTAAGTTCCATGTCAAGTGTCCTTATATGAGGAATGCAGAAGGAGATTAGACACAGACGGAAGAGGAGAAGACAACGTGACCACAAAGGCCGAGAGTAGAGTGAGGTGGTCACAGGTTGAGGAACACCAATAGCCACCAGAAGACAGAAACAGCAAAGAAGGGGCTTTCTCCTAGAGTCCCCAGAAGGAGCACAGTCCTATTGCTACCTTGATTTCAAACTCTCAGACTCCAGAACTGAGAGAAGGAATTTTTTGTTATTTACGCCACTAAGTTTGTGGTAGTTTGTTAGGGCCCCAACAGAAAACTAATAGAAAGATGGAGGCTTCTTTGTGTCTTCATCATTGTAACCCAGGTATCTAAAATGCTGTTTGTATATAGTAGGCACTCAACAAATATTTGGTAAATGAATGGTTAAGAGAAACTTGGCAGTCAGGCAACTCTGGGTTTAAATCCTGGCACTAATCTCAGCACTTTCGGAGGCCGAGGTGGGCGGATCACGAGGTCAGGAGTTCAAGACCAGCCTGGCCAACATGGTGAAACCCTGTCTCTACTAAAAATACAAAAAAAAAAAAATCAGCTGGGCCTGGTGGTGTGTGCCTGTAATCCCAGCTACTCGGGAGGCTAAGGTAGGAGAATTGCTTGAACCAGAACCTGGGAGACGGAGGTTGCAGTGAGCCTAGATCATGCCACTACACTCCATCCAGCCTGGGCTACAGAGCGAGACTCTGTCTCAAAAAAAAAAAAAAAAAAAAAAAAAAATTAATCCTGGCTCTTCCACATAAGCGCTATGCAGGGCCAAGGCTCATTTCCTCCAAGCCTCAGTTTCCTGGTCTATAAAGTGGGATGTAATCTGGACCCCAAGAGGTGGCTGGGAAGATGGAGTCAGATCATGTACAGAACACACTGAGCAGGGTGCCTGGTTTCCTACAGCACTGATCCTCAAGCAGATAAAGGACCACTGCTAGTTGATTATGCTTTAATATTCCTTACAGGTTATTTGATACTTATCGATATGCAGCCTTATCCATTTATGTTTGATGTTTGGGTGGATGATGATGATGAAATGGCTTTTGTGGCCTCCTGTTGTCAGGGAAAGGCACCAGTGCTTCCAGCCCAGCCATCGCCCTCACTTGACTTAGCTGCCTCTCATGCTTCTAGCGAGAGAGAAAACACACATATTGATCTCTCCTCCATCACTTCGACGTCAATTACCTAATGCTTGCAAATGGGGAGAAAACACAGAACGCAATCAATCTACTTATTTTGGAAACTCTGCCCCCCTTCCCCTCCTACATGCACATACCCTTCTCAGTGCAAACTGCTGAGCCCATGTTTCTCAATGACTTTCCTTGAAGTGACAGGAATTCTGCTGATTCTAGGAACAACTCTTTTTCTTTTACTAAAGCATTTATTAAACTGGTTAAACAGGCTAATCTCTGCTCCCTGGAGACCTTCCCTTCAAACCGTGCCTCTGGTGAGTCGGTGACACTTTGATGGCAGGTGACACTTGTGCGGCACTTACTCTATGTTAAGCACAGTGCTGACCACTTCACCCACCACACATTTACTCCCTGCAACAACCCCATAAGCAGGTACAGTCCTTATCCTCATTTTCAGATGAAGAAAGTGGCTCAGACAGAGTATGTTACACAAGAAACTGGATTTTGGCTGGGCACAGTGGCTCCCACCTGTAATCCCAGCACTTTGGGAGGCCAAAGCAGGCAGATCACGAGGCCAGGAGATCGAGACCATCCTGGCCAACATGGTGAAACCCTGTCTCTACTAAAAATACAAAAATTAGCCGGGCATGGTGGTGCACACCTGTAGTCCCAGCTACTCAGGAGGCTGAGGCAAGACAATCGCTTAAACCCGGGAGGCGGAGGCTGCAGTGAGCAGAGATCACACCACTGAACTCCAGCCTGGGCAACAGAGTGAGACTCTGTCAAAAAAAAAAAAAAGGAAAAAAGAAAGAGAGAGAGAGGAAAGAAAGAAAGAAAAGAAAAGAAAGAAAGAGAAAGAAAGGAGAGAAAGAGAAAGAAGAAAGAAAGAAAAAGAAAGAAAGAAAGAAAGAAAGAAAGGAAAGAAAGAAAAGAAAAAAAGAAAAGAAAGAAAGAAAAGAGAAAAAGAAAGAAAGAAAGAAAGAAAGAAAGAAAGAAAGAAAGAAAGAAAGAAAGAAAGAAAGAAAGAAAAACTGCATTTCGGAGATACCTTTTCAACTCCAGAGCCGAAACTCAACACTGAGTTTAACTTTATTTCATGTCTGAGCCTGAGTCCTGGAAACCAATTTGAGAAGAGATTTGTGTCCAGGAGGCTTAGTGAGCCATGCTGTCACAGTACACCCCTTTGCATCAGGGCCCAGAGATTATCGAGGCAGAATTACTCCCAGTACCCTGCTCTGGAAGTATAGGTTGCTTTCTCTTTCTGGAGGGCAAGTTGGCAATAAGCATCAGACGTTTTAAAAGTTATCCAACTCATCCCTCCTTATGCACCATAGTTTTTTATTTTTATACAAAAGTTTTTTGGTCTTCCTAATCAGGGGGAAAAATCATTATTGGTGGAGTATCTTACACATATTCAGATGTCATACTCGGGTGTCATCGCAACGCTGCCTTGTACTAGCAGTGCCACCTTGGAGGTGTCATTTTTGCTGCCTATATCTGGTTCCCATATGTTTACAATGGTGGTAATAATAATAATACTGACCTTATGAGGAGTTTCTGTGGGGGTGAAATGAGTTAAAAGAGCAAAGTGCTTAAAACTGCCTGGCCCCATGTGAGTGCCACATAAGAGGTAGTTAGCTATTTTCCTCATTCACACTGTAGGCCCATTTTGGGACACTGGTTCCTCTTGAGTCTGATTTTTGCTCACCAAGGCAGAAGTCCAGGTGGTTTCCACCCTGGGACAATCCATGATATGCCCCTTCTCATTCAAGTCCCTTCCAGTTCGGGGCCACTCCAGCTCAGAAGCCCCATGCCCCTCTCTGGGCGGGTTTTACTTAAGTGCTGAGCCAGGGCTGTGGTTCTATGAGGTCAGGATAAGGTTAAGGACACAGTTAGCTGGAGTGGAAACAAGAGGTGCATTGCAACATAGCATAAAACCAGCTCCCAGAAGAGGAAGCAATTGTATTTTAACGAGAAAGGAATGAGTTTTTGTCGGGAAACCAGCCCATTTCGGGAAACCAGCCCATTTCGCAAAAATCTCAGTAAAATCTTGGTACAGTCATTGCTTTCTCAACAGCAAACAGTTAATCAGGTTCTGTGTCTCCCCCCACCCACCACCACCATGATCTTTAAGAAGGCTCCAAGGAAATTCAAATTAAATTCTTGACAAAGCATTCGTTTCTCTGCAGCCACTGTGGAAGAGCAGAAAAAGCTCAGGTCACAACCCTGGCTTTTATTCCTCCTTTCCACTTATTATGTTGTTACTTCCACTTTGTGGACCTTAGTTTCTTTAAGAGCTTGAGGAGAGGAGAATAAGACAATAAATGGAAATAACCTAAAATGCCTTTATAATGAGATTTATGCAAATGCAAACTATTAATAGTATTAAATCAAAAGACACATCCTATGTTCAATAAGTACCAAGAGGCTGTGGCAGAGGCATTTTCTGCTCACCAAAGTCCACTTGTTCTCCCGTGTGTTCCAGCCCCCAGCAGTTAGTTGGGGTCATGTGACTAGTCCTGGACAATGGGTTATCAGTTGATGTGATCTGCGTCGCTTCCCAAAGCATTGAAGAGCCAGCACTTCATCTTCCAGTTCCTCTCTTTTCTTGCCCTGATGACTGTGAAGACCATTTGTTGGGATCTTGGTGTGTTCATCAAGCTGGGTCCCTGAGTCAGTGTGTGGAGCAGAATCCCTACTGACCTTCACGAGACAAGTAGCATGAGTGAGAAATAAGCTCTTGTTTTGAAAAGCCACTCCGATTTCAGGATTAAGCTGTTGCTCTAACAGAACCTACCCTACTCTCACTCAATAGGTAAATGAATTCAGATGGATTTTGCTCTACAAACTCAAAAATCAAAGTAACATAGCATTGGTTTATTTTTCAAAAGTCCAATCACTTTGGACTCTAGGCCCTCTTTTCTGTTTGGTTGGCTAGAAATTTAGTCTGAGTCATCACTGGAGCTCCTTACCCCAAGCCCCTCATGTTGGGTCAATGTCCTTAGGGTGTCTGGGAGCACATTTGAGGAGGACCCATAGTCCATGTTCCATCACCTGGTCTCGTGCAGGTGGGTGGCACTGTTGGTTCTGCATCAAGTTCAAGCACAGGATTATTGGCTGAGACTCGGTTTCTGGTGCCTAAAATGAGTCTTTCTCTGCACACACCTAACCGTTCCCCAGCACATTGGATCACCTCCAAGAAACAGGCCAGACACAGACCCCAGTCAACTCTCCTTTCCTAACCTTGGAGTCTCTTCATGCTTCCCCAAAATTCTGTGCTTCTTTATGCACTTTCACATTCTCTGTTAAATCCCCCTGCCTAGCAAATGCCTTCACTGAGCCTAGACATGTTTTTTTTTTTTTTTTGAAACAGAGTCTCGCTCTGTCACCAGGCTGGAGTGCAGTGGCGCGATCTCTGCTCATTGCAACCTCTGCCTCCCGGGTTCAAACAATTCTTCTACCTCAGCCTCCTGAATAGCTGGGACTACAGGCACCTGCCACCACGCCCAGTAATTTTTTTTTTTTTTTTTTTTTTTTTTTTGGTATTTTTAGTAGAGACAGGGTTTCACCATGTTCACCAGGATGGTCTCGATCTCTTGACCTTGTGATCCGCCTGCCTCGGCCTCCCAAAGTGCTGGGATTACAGGCATGAGCCACTGCACCTGGCCGAGCCTAGACATTTTTAAAAATCCAAGGAAGGAGTGAGAGAAGCCTGGCTACCTGTCTAAACTTCCCCTTGGTCCTGGATCCTAAAAACACTCTGAGGCAAGGAACACAAAGGCCCAGCTATCTTCTGAGAACAGGGGTGGGTAAAATTCCGGAAGAACAAAAAACACATTAATATCTCAATAAATTATCCTACCACATGGGTGACTGGTCATGCTGAGGAGGAAAGGAGGCCAACATTTGCTATCATTCTCTTGGTTTGCAAATCAGGTGGAAAAATAATACCACGCAAATTAGCACTAGCTCACAGGCCAAGGACTTGAAAGAATTTAATCTGAGTGAGCCACAAGGAAATTTGCTTATGAACCATGAAAATATGTGCCCCAGCCTAACCCCGTATTGTACCCACCTACATGCAGATTCCCCAACATTCAAATCCATCTCTCTTTCAAATGCCCATGCCTGTATGATAGGCAGTAAGGCAGAATTCAGACACTTTTGAAAATAAATATATTCTGGTAAACCTTTGATTATTAGAGGACCCAGGGGGTGGATTTTTAAAGCTCCTGCTTTGTCTTGGTTCTCTCAGAGTATTGCCTTTACACCACGTTTCTTCTTTTTGCATTCAGGAAAATGGTAGAGGAAAGAGAGGACACCTGTCTATCCAATGTCACTTGCTAATAGTGTGCGTGTGTGTGTGTGTGTGTGGTGTGTGAAATATATATTTATTTATTTTAGGATTACACAGTTGGAAGATTGAAAAGCACCACAATGATGACATTTAAATAAATCAATATTGCATCTTTTGCAACTAACACGTGTGTTAGTGTTTTATCAATATGCTTGTTAGGTTGGTAGAAGTCTGACAACTAAATGCTTGCTGACTCAAATTGGTTTTCTTTTTTTAAACAATTAAGTAACATTTTTAATTTTTGGCTGTGCAGAAGCTATAGAAGGAGTGGAGAGGCTCTGAGGAAGGCTTTTACGCGTCTATGGAAAATATTAAATTACACCGAGTGCAAAATCCATCAGAGCAATTTTCAGGCCATCATCAGAGGATTAAGTGCTTTATTTGCTCATTATTCTATGGCTCTAGCCCAGGATTTCTAACTCAGCATTACTGACATTTGGGGCCAGATCATTTTCTCTTGTGCAGAGCTGTCCTTTGCATTGGAGAATGTTTACAACAGCCCTCAGCACTCTCCCCACCAACTATGACAACCAAATATGTCTCCAAACATTGCCAAATGTCCCCTGAGGGGTAAAATCGCCCCCAGTGGCGAACCACTGGTCTACAGCAGGGAGGCAACAGTTCTGCAGAAAGGGAGATTCTGCAGCTGCAAGGCCCCTGTGCTGCGTGAATCATCACATCACAATTAGGTTGAGGAGCTCCGCAGTCCAGCTTTAATATTTCATGTTTCCCAAAATGTGTCATGTACCATGCAGAATAGAGGGGAATTGGTGTGTGCTACGTAAGGAAATGGTTTAAGAGATGTCCTCTGAGCAGGAGCCGTCATGGCAGGACTTCTGCAAGCCTTGACTGTCTTTCTGCACATGGTCACTCCCCTCAGAGTGGTCACCGTTGGCAGCTCTTTCTAAGTTTATTTGTGTGGAGCTAGATGTTTTGGATCTTAGCTCTATAGCCAAAACAAGAATCTGGGAAACTTGGCCCGGATAGAAGGCATCTGCTAGTTCCCTGACTGGACTCTGGGGACTCTTAGATGAGGGATCATTCTTTCATTCTTCTCCAGGGTGTCTGAAAGTTGTTGTGAGGGTAGATAAGCAGACTTTTTACTATAGACAGAGTCCCAGCTCCTAGAATGTCCCTCCTGGCCTGCCCTAGGCAACTAGCTCAGCCTGGGGCCATTTTGACTCAGAGCTGTTAGGCTATTCAAAATGAACAGGGCTGAGCAAAATCAACAGGGCAAGTCTAGCCACTTTGATAAAACCATTTAAAACAATCATATTTTGATTCCTAATTTTTTCTCAGATTTGCTCATCAGTTAAGCAAGTCGTTTTGTCCCTAGGTCCCCAACTACATGTAACTAACGTTTTCTGTAGTACCCACCACTAAGTGTCTGAAAGGTGTCTACAGCGAGGATCTCCCTGCCCAGACTGAGCACCCTCACAGCATTTATGGACTTACAGGTCTCTCTCCCTGGGGAGGAGGCTGGGACAGTCAGAAGGGAGCCTTGGGCTCAGGGCTGCAGCATGAGGAGCCAGGAGGTGCCAGATGGACCATGATGCAGTCAGCACGTAGGGTCATGATGAAGAGCTTGGCCTAGGAAGCCAGTCGGCCAGGTCCAAATCACTGCACTGTGCCTGCCACTCACCAGGCAGGTGACCTTGAGCTAGCTCAAGTCAGTCTCCTCATCTATAAAATGGGCTAACAATGGACCTGTCTTATGGGGCTGTTGTGAAGAGTCATGAGCCAGCACATGTGAAGTCTTCATAAAAGGTGCTGGCAGAGAGCCATGGCTCCAGAAATGGTGACAATTATTACATGTGAGGTGTGGGGGATTGAAGCAAAGAGTGCTTGAGGCAGGTATGGGGGCAGGGTCTAGAGAGCCAGAGAGGACCATGGCACTACGAATTTGGAGCTGGCTGAGCACTGGGCTTTTGTACTCTTATGGGAGCTTGTTCCATTGGCTGGCCAGACCCATTTAAAGGGCTCAGCATGCAGCCAAGTTTCAGAATTCGGGATGAGATGAAGAAGCAAGAACCTCTCTCCAGCCTAACACCATCCACTTCCCCAGGGTTAGCTCCTGGGCAAGGGAAAGGCCATTCTTAGGGGGCGCCCTTTGGACTTGGTTCTCAGAAACAGCAGTGCCTAAACATCACGCCCTGCCCGGTGGCAGCTGTAACTGCCAATGGCTGATTATGTGTGTGTGTGTGTGTGTGTGTGTGTGTGTGTGTGTGTGTATAATATAAAATATACAATATATAAAATATAAAATATATATAATATATAAAATATATAATATATAAAATATAAAATATATAATATATAATATATATAATATAAAATATAAAAATATAATATATAAATATAAAATATATATAAAATATAATATTCTATATTATATTTTATATATAATATAGAATATATTATATATAATGTATAAAATATAGAATATATTATATAATATATAAAATATATATTATATAATATATAAAATATATATTATATAATATATAAAATATATAATATCTAATATCTATAATATATAATATATAAAATATATTATATATAATATATAAAATATATAATATATAAAATATATAATATATATAAAGTGAAGACATATATATATAAAATATATATATATATGTAAAGTAAAGTGAACCTGTGTTGGCCAGGTTGGTCTTGAACTCTTGGCCTCAGGCAATCCTCCTGCCTTGGACTCTCAAAGTGCTAAGATTACAGGCATGAGCCACTGTGCCTGGCCTGCTTGTATATTTGTAAAAGCCACCAGAACACATTATTACAAACTGACTGGCCTAAAACAACATAAATTTATTGTCTTACATTTCTGGAGGCCAGAAGTCCAAGCTCAAGATGTATGCAAGGCTGTGTCCCCTCCTGAGGCTCTAGGCGAGAATCCATTTCTTATCTCTTTCAGCTTCTGGTGACTCCAGGAATTTCTTTTTTAAAAAAATATTGATACATAATAGTTGTACCTATCGACTAGTGGCCACCTCATGCCAGTCTCTGCCTCTGTGGTCACATTGCCTCATCCTCTTTTCTCTGTCTTCTTGTCTATGTGTCTGTTTTATAAGGGTTCTTGTAATTACATGTAGGGCCCACCCAAATAACCCAGGATCATCTCTCCATCTCAAGATTCTTACTTTAATCATATCTGCCAGCCCATCTGGACACATAGGGTATGTACAAGCCCAGAGATTAAGACGCAGATCTCTTTGGGGGCACCATTATTCAGCCTACCCCAGGGACCATCCTAGGGAATGCCAAATAGAGCTCTTGACTTCACCTTGGTAAGCAGAACTCAGGTAACTGGGAAATTAAGCAGAAGTTGGAAATAATTCTTCACAGTATTCCTTCCCCTTTGTAAAGGATAAAGTTACCAGTACTGAGTCCCAGAAGTCACAGTAACAATAACTCACATGATGTTACGGTTTGAATGCTTGTCTTCTCCAAAATTCATGTTAAAACTTAATCTCCAATGTGGCAATGTTGAGAAGTGGGGTCCTTAAGAGGTGATTGAGTTATGAGGGCTCTACTGTCATGAATGGATTAACTCATTTATGGATCCATGGATTAACAGATTAACGGGTTATCGTGGGAGTGGGTCTCATGGTGCTATAAGAAGAGGAAAGGAAACCGGAGCTAGCACACTCAGCCCCCTCGCCATGTGATGCCCTGCACCACCTCAGAACTCTGCAGAGGATCGCTTAGGCCTAGGAGTTTGAGACCAGCCTGGGCAACATAGGGAGATCCTGTCTCTATAAAAATAAACAAAATTAGCCGGGCATGGTGGCACACGCCTGTGGTCCCAGTTACTTGGGAGGCTGAGGTGGGAGGATCACTTGGGCCTAGAAGGTTGAGGCTGCAATGAGCCATGATAGCTCCACTGCAGTACAGCCTGAGTGACAGAGTGAGACCCTGTCTCAAAAAAAAGAACTCTAGAGAGAGTTCCCACCACCAAGAAGGGTCTCATCAGATATGCCCCTCAACCTTGGACTTCCCAGCCTCTAAAACTGTAAGAAATAAATGTGGTCAGGTGTGGTGGCTCACACCTGTAATCCTAGCACTTTGGGAGGCTGAGGCAGGCGGATCACCTGAGGTCAGAAGTTCAAGACCAGCCTGGCCAACATGGTGAAACTCTGTGTCTACTAAAAATACCAAAAAAATTAGCTGGGCTGGGCATGGTGGCTGGCACCTGTATTCCCAGCTACTTGGGAGGCTGAATCACTTCAACCCAGGAGGCAGAGGTTGCAGTGAGCCAAGATCACACCACTGCACTCCAGCTTGGGCGACAAGAGCTTAACTCTGTTGAAAGAAAAAAAAAGAGAAAAGAAAGAAAGAAAAGAAAGGAAGAAAGGAAGAAAGAAAGGAGGGAAGGAGGGAGGGAAGGAAGGAAGAAAAGAGAGAGAAAGAAAGGAAAGAAAGGAAGGAAAGAAGGAAAAGAGAAAGAGAGGGAAAGAAAGGAAAGAAAGGAAGGAAGGAAGGAAAGAAGGAAAAGAGAAAGAGAGAGAAAGAAAGGAAAGAAAGAAAGAGAAAGAAAGAAAGAAAGAAGAAAGAAAGAAAGAAAGAAAGAGAAAGGAAAGAAAGGGAAAGGGAGAAGTGTTATTTCTTATAAATTGCCCAGTTTCAAGTATTTTGTTATAAAGCAACAAAAAACAGGCTAAGAAACATAAACTTTAATTCATTTAATCCTCACTAAAATTCTATAAGGTGGGTACATTTATTATCCTGACTTTTCACATGAGGTGAGGCGCAGAGAGGTTAGATAACTTGCCCTAGGTCACACAGCTGTGAGTGGCAGAGCCAGGACTCGGGATGAGGGATCTGCCTCTCCCACCCTTTCCCCTTTCTAGATTCACAAACCCATCACTAATGGTGACTCTGATTTACAGATACAGCAGCATTTACCACCTATCACCTGCTCCTTAAAATCAAGCTTTGATTCATGAGCTAGCTGAAGCAGATAATCTTTCAGGGCTGGAAGGACAGCCTCCAAAGCGGGGGTGCATTTCTCTTTGGGGAGGTGACATGAGAAGGAATTGGGAGCTCACTTTGGGGTCTAGCAGATCACTGCAGCTCCGGCCCACTCACATTGCCTCAGAGCTTTGTTTGGACTTCCCTTGGCCTCTAGGACACAGAGATAAATGGGCGAGGAGGCAGATGAACAGAAAGGGAAGCAATGAGAAATATGTTTTTTGAGCCCATGAGATGGAGCGGTGGGAAGAAGTCAGTCAACAATTCTTAAAACAAAAATAAATAAATAAATAAATAAAATTAAAAAGAAAACAGAAACAATTCTTCAGCCTGCTTATGACAACCCATAGAATTCTGATGATGAGTCAGCTCGTTCTGCTGAAGATGCATTTTGGGGAGAGTTGATCGTTCTGCATAATTCTATCATGAACACAGGCAGCCGGCACAAACGCAGTGCTGAGGTTTCAGAAATGAAGCCCATTCCAACAGTGAACACCAAAAAGCCATTTCCAAAAGCCCATGCCCTTCTTGGCCCAGTTACTACTACTCAGTGTTACTGCTCTGATGGTCTCATACTCAGAAACTGGTTAGAAGAATCAAGAAAGTCCATTGGATAAGGACCCAGACTTAATGTCTCTGAAAGTGCTCAACAAATACGCCTGGATTGTGAATTGCACAATTGCCTGTCAGAGGCAGATTTACCATGAAGCTGATGAAGCCTCAGCCCACTTCCCCTCACTTCCCCTGTGGGTGCTGAATGCTGTGGAGTTGAGAAGGGAGCCAGGTTATGATCAAGAAATATTTCTACATACAGCTGGGCACTGTGGCTTACACCTGTAATCCCAGTACTTTGGGAAGTCAAGGCAGGTGAATGGCTTGAGCCCAGGAGTCCAAGACCAGCCTGGGCAACATGGAAAAACCCTGTCTCTACAAAGAAATAAAAATAAAAATAATAGCCAGTTGTAGTGGAATGCACCTATATTCCCTGCTACATATATATATATATATATATATATATATATATATATATATATATATATATATATGTATGTATATACACACACATATATATACACACACACACATATATATATTTCTACATAAGTTTGATATCTCAGAAAAAAGCCTTCAAGTCACCAGTAATTTATTGATTCTTTTTCATTCTAAATAAACCTTTACTCTCATACCTGGTTTTGTATTCGTAATTTTGTACTCTTTTGCTTAAAGATGGTCCTCCAAATTGTATTAGCTTCAGGTCTCACAAAACCTGAATCCTTCCGTGTCACAGGAGAAATAGAACAGTATGAAGGAGGATTCTTCCAAATTCATCACAGCCATGGGGAAAAAAAAGAAAAACAACCTTGAGAAAATGTTCTTTCTAGGACCCACGTCAAGGATAAGAACACTGAAAGAGACATATGGATCAAACAGATGCAAGATTTAATTTAAAAGCCGAGTGCTATAGAAGTTCACTATAATGCTTTTCTAATTGTCTGTGTGACAGAGTGCTCTTGGAAATGTATTAAATGAGTGAGACCAACCTTATGAACTCCATGGATAGAATTCAAGTGCAATTCCTGTGTCCAAGGGATTTTCTTCCTCAAGTTTTGATACTAGTGTTTTGGAGTATGATGGAGCTTTGGCAGCAGGAAACGTGTTCAAGCATCTAATAATCGGTTATTTATAGAATATTTACTGTGTGCATAGCACTCCTGAGTGCTCCTTCAAATACTGAGGAGGATGCAAAAGAAATCCAGGGTAGATCCTTGCCCTCAGGAAACTTAGAGTTTAACTGGGAAGAAAGCACATGGCTCCAGCTCTTTCATTGCTGTTCCATTTCTCTTCTGATGGTATAGCACAATGAGCAGTAAATTCAGTTTCCAACGAAGAGATTTTTCCTGAGTGCTGACAGCCCCTTTCTCATTTTCCTCTCACTATTTGGGATCCCAGGCACTGATGACCAGAGCTTCATGAACCTCTGCAGGTCAACCATCCTAACCCAGGTGATGGGACTGGGCGGACCCCATCATACCTCTCCATCTGACACAGTGCCTCCTAGAATTGCTCTGGAATGAACAGCTCCAGGAAATGTACAGGGGTTCAAATAATTAGAAAATACTTAATGGATTATCACCAAATTCCTCCCCAGGAGACCTCAGTATGAGCTCTCAAAACAGAAAGAGTGCCATTTCTCATAATAGCTTAGTAACCAGTGAATTTAGCAAAATATAAATTCTGTGGCATGCAATTTAAATAGCTATACTTGAGAGGACTTGGCATCACTACTTTTGGAGGAGAATGTGTGGCCAGATGCCAAAGGGAGACTAGTTATTTCAGCAGAAAGGACAGAAGTTATTTCTCATTATCATTTCGGTTCATCCTAACTCAGGAAAGCCCCAGGAAATTTAAGATGTGACAAAGTTGGAAAGAAGGAAGAATGGGAGGCAGGATTTCTGGAAATTTTAACATTATAGCAAACATATCCTATCCAGAGAGCATGCAAATCAACTTCTCCTATACTGGGCTTGAGTAAGCTTATGGTTCCCATTAGCTGTCTTTCCAGAAAAATACAGAAAGTCGTTCTCCTGAAGCTATCATCCACTAGGTGTGAGATAAGGAGCACATTAATTCATTCAACAAATATTTATTGAGCATCTGTTGGCCAGGTGTAGTGGCTCACACCTGTGATCCCAGCACTTTGGGAGGCTGAGGCAGGCAGGTCTCTTGAGGTCAGGAGTTCAAGACCAGCCTGACAAATGGTGAAACCCTGTCTCTACTAAAAATACAAAAATTAGCCAGGTGTGGTGGCAGGTGCCCATAATCCCAGCTACTCAGGAGGCTGAGGCAGGAGAATCACCTGAACCTGGGAGGTGGTGGTTGCAGTGAGCTGAGATCATGCCACTGCACTCCAGCCTGGGCGACAAAGCAAGACTCAGTCTCAGAAATATATATATATTTATTGAACATCTGTTATGTGCTCAGGATGCTAAGGATTCAAGGGTTAAGCAGAAACAGAAATAGACTCTACCTTTGTGGTGTCTGGGGTGGATGAACACAAGCAAATGTGAAACTGTAAGTGCAGCATGGATAAAGGAGAGAGACACTGTGCAACGCAACACAGAAACAGAGACATGGGACCTCTCCGGAGGCCAATGCAGACTTCCAAGGAATGAAGGCCTGAGCTGGTAGACAAATGAGACAAACGAGGAGGCAAAGATGAGGAAAGTGTGCCCCAGGCCAAGGATATGGCTGTTCCAAGCACCCATGGTGGATAGATCATTGCCTTTGTAGCTGGGATAGAAGAACATGAACCTAGACCACTGAGTCCAATAGAACTTTTCACAATGATGAAAATGTTTTATCATCTGTGCTGTGCAAAAGGGTAGCCACTAGTTACATGTGGCTACTTAGCAATTAAAATGTGGTGGGTGTGGCTGGTGTGACTTTAATTTTTATTAGTTTAAATGTAATTAGTCACATGTGGCTAGTAGCTATTGCATATTGGCCAGTGCAGGCCTAAGGAAGCTTGTTTTCATTTAACATCAATAAAGAGACATTGAGTGCTTCTGAGCAGGAAGCTAAAGGTTTAGATTTGCATTTTGAAAAAGCAATCATTCTGGTTACAGTTAGGAGTGCTGATCAAAGAGAGTCCCAGTGGAACTTCCAGTTAGGAGGCTATTGGAAAAGTCCAGGTGACAGGCTAGGGTGATGGTGGTAGAGAAGAGGGGTGGACAGATTCAGGAGCTGTTAAAGGAGGTAACATCTACACAATTCGGTGATGCAGGGGACATTTTGGGAAGGGAGAGAGAAATTTCAAGGATAACTCCTGGAATTCTGACTCCAGGATAACTCCTGGAATTTATGAGTCCTTTGCACAAAAGCGATCATTGAAGCTGGGGGGTGTGGATGCAATCTCATCCAAAGCAAGGCTAGAGGGAGAAAGAAAAAGAGCCAGAACAGAAGCTTTCAGAATTGTAGTGTTTAATGATGGACCAAGGTAGACTGAAAAGGAGGGAGCTTCTGTATGCTTTGTGGCTAGTGGCTAAGACACTTACCTCACCCTTAGAAAGATCGGGCAGTGCCTAGGAATTTTATTCTGTTAGAAACTCCCCACCCCTGCTCCCACCCCTACCCAAAATATATCCACGTCAAATCCCTGGAACCTTTGAATGTTACCTTATATGGAAAAAGGGCCTTTGCCCATATGATTAAGTTAAGAATCTTGAGATGAAGAGATAAACCTGGATTATCTGGGTATCTCAATGCTTGCACAAGAATCCTTATAGGAGAGGAAAGAATTAAGAGAAGAGGAAGAAACAAGGTAACCACAGAGGCAGAGATTAGCATGATGTGGCCACAAGACCAGGGATGCCTGGAACCACCATAAGCTAAGAGAAACAAGCAATGGATTCTCCCCTAGAGAGTGAAACTCCCCTAGAGTCTCCAGAAAGCATAAAGTCTTGAAAATACCTTGATTGTGCACTTCTGGCCTCCTGAAGTATGACACAGTAAGTTTCTTTTATTTATTTTTAAAATTTTTATTTATTTATTTATTTATTTATTTTAGAGATGGAGTCTCGCTCTGTCACCCAGGCTGGAGTGCAGTGACGCGATCTCCGCTCACTGCAAGCTCCACCTCCCGGGTTCATGTCATTCTCCTGCCTCAGCCTCCCGAGTAGCTGGGACTACAGGCGCCCACCACCACGCCTAGCTAATTTTTGTATTTTTAGTAGAGACGGGGTTTCACCGTGTTAGCCAGGATGGTCTTGATCTCCTGACCTCGTGATCCGCCTGCCTCGGCCTCCCAAAGTACTGGGATTACAGGCGTGAGCCACTGCGCCCAGCCGTTTCTTTTATTTTAAATGATCAAGTTTGAGGTCATGTGTTATGGCAGCCTTAGTAAACTCAGACACTCCCCCTATTCTCTCTTTCCCCAAGAACAGTCATAGCCAATGACTGACCAGAGTAAGAGTATGTATTAGTCCGTTTTTGCACAGCTATAAAGAAATACCCAAGGCTGAGTAATGTAGAAGAAAAGAGGTTTAACTGACTCACAGTTCCGCATGGCGGGGGAGCCTCAGGAAACTTATAATCATGGCGGGAGGTGAAGGAGAAGCAGGTACCTTCTTCACAAGGTGGCAGGAGGGAGCGAGTGCAAGAACAAGGAAGTGCCACACTAAAACCATCAGCTCTCTTGAGAACTCACTCACTATCATGAGAACAGCATGTGGGAAACCACCCCCGTGATCCAGTCACCTTGACCTGGTCCCTTCGTTGACACGTGGGGATTACAATTCGAGATGAGATTTGGGTGGGGACACAGAACCAAACCATATCAGAGTACAAAGGCTCAGCTCCTTTGCTTCAATGCAGGACAAACTTTCAGGTATACCAAGCCTAACAGCTCCCCAAAGGATTAGACCAAGACTAGGACTTCTTTGTCTGGCTTCTTCCTCCCCTGTCCTCACTTTCTTACTGGTTTCTCCAGGGAGCACCTTCATAATGAATCACCTGCTCCTAAACCCAAAGCCCAGGGCCAGCTTCAGGGAGAACCTGACCTATGACAGGTGGCCTTCACTGGGCAGAACAGAAGCCACAACTGAGGCCCAGGCTTAGAGAGACAATCAAGAGTTTAGTTTTAAACATGTTGAATGTAGATGTTTTTAAGGCAGGGGTTGGCAAACTGTGGCCTGCAGACAAAATCTGGCCCATGACCACTTGATTTTGTAAAAACAAACAAAAAAAGCAGCATTAGAACACAGCTTTGCCTGTTCGTTTACAGATTGCCTAAGGCCCCTTTCGTGCAATAACAGCAGGTTTGGGCAGTTGAGACAGAGACCATAGGGTCCACCAAGGCTAAAATATTTGCTATCTTGTCCTTTACAGATATGAGCAGTGGAATTTATGAGTCTACTGCTGAGAGAGCTGGAAGAAAAAATTTATGAGTCCTTTGCACACAAGTGATCATTGAAGCTAGGGCGGTGGATGCAATCACATCCAAAGCAAGGCTAGAGGGAGAAAGAAAAAAGCCAGAACAGAAGCTTTCAGAATTGTTGTATTTAATGACAGACCAAGGTAGACTGAAAAGGAGACACGGACTAAGTGACCGAAGATGCAGAAGTAAATCCAAGGAAGTTCCTTAAATTTTGAAAGATCAGAATAACATCTTTCATGTTGACCGTTTATTTTCATATCTGAAGACACTGAAAGCTTTTATTTTCTCCTGGAGAGTCAGCATTTAAAACTACCCATCAAAAGAAATGTGTTTTCTCCAGTGCAATCAAAATGATTTTGAATTAAATTATTTTGGAGTTAGTTTGTCCCAATGCAACTAAAAACAGAGAGATACATTGTATACCTATGCAAACCCTTAGCTCTGAACTACCCAGTGATGTTCAAACTCATAGAGAAGTGTCTAATCCTGACTAACGCTTTTGCTGTTTTCCCTCTTTGACCCTGCTGTAGCATTGCCTAACTCCTGGGGAGTTCCTTTATTTAGAAAGTTTTCTTTGTACACAACTTGGAGCGAAATACTCTGAAAAAGACCATATTTGTCTTGGATTATAAACCATCAAACCCCTAAAATATTTTGTAACCCACTAATACCAAAAATATACTCAGGCCATAGTAGCTGCATATGTCAGTACTAGTGGAGAGCTTCCAACTTCTTTCCATAATCAGTGTTAAGTACCTTCTGTGCACAAGGTGCTGTGCTAAGTTTTGGACGAGGCACAAAGTTGAGTAAGACATTGCCTCTGCCCACCCTCAGTTAGAAGAAATGAGAAATATGCCTAAATCACTATTACTCAAAATATGGCAAGAACAATAAAAGAAATTGGAGTTTTATGAAAATTTGGGGGAGTGAGAAAGAAAGCTCACATCTGGTTGGTTGTAGGACTGGAAAAGATTCAAGGAGGAAGTTCCATGGGAGTTTGGCTGGGAGGAATTTCTGGAGATGAAAGTGTAGAAGAAGGCATTCCAAGGTGATGGAACAGCATGAGGTGGGAGGAAAGTACAGGAACACTAAACATAGAACTTAGGTAGGAGGGCAATGGGTGGGGAGGAAGATTTAAAGAAGTAAAACACTTGGGGAAATGCTAAAGTAGGAATTTGGATGAGAGTCCACGGACAACAAGGACCTATTGAAGGATTTCATAGGAGGGAAATAAGTGCTTGCAGCTGTGCCCTGGACAGTGAATTTGGCAGTGATGGAGGCCTGGAGTGGAGAAGGGAAGAAGACTGAGGTCGTGAATATCAGTAAAGAGACTATTCCAGGATCCAGATAAGAGGGTTAAGGCACAGGCAACAGAAAAAAAGGGGAAAATTAAGAGGTAATGGATGGCTGGGCATGATGGCTCATGCCTGTAATCCCAGCACTTTGGGAGGCAGAGGCAGGCAGATCACCTGAGGTCAGGAGTTCAAAACCAGCCTGACCAACGTGGTGAAACCCCATCTCTACTAAAAATACAAAAGTTAGCTATGCTTGGTGGCACACACCTGTAATCCCAGCTACTTGGGAGGCTAATGCAGGAGAATTGCCTGAACCCAGGAAGCGGAGGTTGCAGTGAACCAAGACCGGGCCACTGCACTCCAGCCTGGGTGACAGAGCAAGACTCCATCTCAAAAAAAAAAAAAAAAAAAAAAAAAAAAGGAGGTAATGGAGGTTAAACTCCAGGATTTAAAAATGATTGGGAAGAGGCAGGAACCAAAGATGTCTGTGCTTTTTAGCTGGGAGACCTTAGGAATGAACAGCTAGCTATATAGTTTTGGAGGGGAACAAATGGGGGTCTCAGCTTCCCCTTCTGATACTGCCCCACTTCTCCACTGTAACACCCATTGGAGAGGATTGCTGTGTCTATATTTGCATGGTCAGGTATCAAAATTACTCCAAAGGGGCCTGACCTCAATCCCCAAAGAACTGTTGAATATAGCAGCCATAAACCTTTGCTCTAAAACCTTTGGAGGCGGGGGATCCAAACCTATTCCTTCTATTTCCTCAAAACAAGGAAATTTAGGCACTGGGGAAGATTTTCAGACCTGAAGCCGTGTGGTTAGTGACTAGGAGCATGGGGAGCCGCCCAGTCTTCTGAGAACCTTCCAAATCCTCCCTGAACCCTGTGAGTCACAGCCGTCTCCCCTCCCTGTCTGGAGCACTCGCAGCACCCCAGTGGCTCTGCCCTCAGGGTCCCAGAAGAAAACAGGGTGCAGATTGGCACCCTCCTCACGCCCTCAGCTCCCATATCCCAGGAAGCAAATGGGACTCCAGGCTCCCGTTTAGGCCACCGAAGCTCCATTTCCAGGCTTCCTGCCATCCCCATGCCTGCAGACACCCACCTCCTAAGGCCCAAGCCCAGACCTGCCTTGGTTCTCCCTCTAATGCCTTGATAACCTGCCTATTGCTTAGTCTGCACACCAAGAGACCACAGAAAAGCTACAGCAGGATTCCAAGGTCCCTTGGATGATCTGCAGTCTCACACACATGCCAAGGCATGCAAATTGTGGTGGTGTCTAATGCAAGTATGACATACATGCCATTCCCTTGCTTATGGGATGTTCCAAGGGATTTTGCAGTGGCTTGCAAAGCTGGTTGTTTCTGGTTAGCCAGTAGAACAGTGTTTTTGAAAAAAATCATCATCCACCTGGTCTCTCATCTTTATAAGTGGTAAAAATCATGATTAAAAATAGCCACCATTCTTGGATGCCTGCTCTATGGTTGAATATTACTGCACTTAATTCTGATGGTATAGGAGGTAGTATCAGCATTCCCCATTTCCCACAACAGCTAAACTGAAGCTCAGAGGGCTTAAACTACTTTTTAAGCCTGTACCCTATCTTCAGTCTTCTCATTTGCAAACTGTGGATAGGAATATGTATCTCGTGGGGGGCTGCAGGATCACATGAGACATCGTGTTCATAGCAACGACACTAGCATTGATTTTTGATGCTCCACTGGTAAGAGGCAGAACCAGGTCCTTGTGACACAGACTCTGCATCCCTTTCTGTTACTGCACTACCGATTAGTTCTTGTTCGACTTGCTGTGCATTCTGTGACCCTCTCACTTCATTACAGCAGGGGTCGAACTATGGCATTGTCATCATTGTCACCAACCAGTGACACCAAAACAGAGCCCTGTGTTTGGCCTTTGTGCTGTTTATCCTTTATTTGGGACAGTCAAAGAAAGGTTAATGCTAGAGATGGAGACATCTGAGGTGGTCCTTGAAGGACTTCTGTAGGTGAAGACTGATATTGAAGTGGACTGACATCTTGGAACCATCTCAAGAGAAAGATTTAGGGAGATTTAAAGAGGTTAAAACAACAACAGTAACTCTAAATTAGTCTGGAGATGAAACAAGGGCACTGCGTGATGATGAAGGTTATTGAGAAAGATGCCTATCATGTTGACCCACCTATAAGATCATCTTAGGGAAGTGGTTTTGTTTGTTTAAGAAAAAAAAAAGCCCCTAAAAACTGCGGACATGGGGAACAAATTTCAGAGTCTTGCATGGACATCATGGGGCAGACGAGATTCTGTCCTTCCAGGGTGTGGGCTGTGAAAAGTGGAAGCTGACACCATCTCCCAGAGCCAGTGCAAGTGCATGGCACATCAGGAAGGGGTTTGCATCTTTCTTTTTTTTTTTTTTTTTTTGAGACGGAGTCTCACTCTTGTTGCCTCGGCTGGAGTGCAGTGTCACGATCTCAGCTCACTACAACCCCCGCCTCCCGAGTTCAAGCAATTCTCCTGCCTCAGCCTCCCAAGTAGCTGGGATTACAGGCGCCTGCCACCACACCCGGCTAATTTTTGTATTTTTAGTAGAGACAGGATTTCACCATGTTGGCTAGGCTGGTCTTGAACTCCTGATCTCAGGTGATCTGCCCGCCTCAGCCTCCCAAAGTGCTGGGATTCCAGGTGTGAGCCACTGCGCCCGGCTGTTTGCATGTTTCAAAGGGCAGCTTAAAAACTTAGTCCTAACCAGCTGGAGGAAAGGGATCCATTCCGTTCAGATAACTAAGTCCAAGTATGATGGCTGCATCCAGGCACTCAAACGATGCCTTTGAGCAACCTCTTGCCCTCTGTTGCTTACTTCACTGTTCAGTTTTCCTCAGTGGTGGCAATACCAGGCAGGCTTTCTGGTCATTGGCAGCTCTTCATGTACAGTCTTCTCATAGCTGAGAATCCCAGAAAATGAAAACAGCTCTTCTCTGCTAGCCTTTGAAAAATCTTTAAGAATCCTCAGATTGACACAGCTTGGGTCATTTGCACATGCCTGAATTAACCACAGGGACTCAAGGAGATGGGGCATTGTGATCTGAAATTGTGGGTCACAGATCATGCAAGTACAAGAGGAAATATTTTTTTTGCCAGGTCTGGGAAATGCAATTCAAATGAGAAGATGCAATGCTTAAAATAAAAAGGGGGGGGGATGGAAAAGGATGCTAGATGGGGAGACACATGGAGGAATGAGAAAGAGGTATGCAAAAACAACTTGCAGTGTAATTTGTTTAATTGTACAATTACAGAAATATATAAAGTAAAAATGAAGCTACTCATGCATACCCCCAAGGAGCACCATCATTGAGTTTGGTATGTGCTCTTTTCATGCACACTAAATGAAAGTGTCTATGTCTATATAAGCACCTGTATATGATATTTTTAGCAAAAAGAAAAAGACCCACTCTACACTGTTCTGAAATTAGACATCCTTCTACGTCACTACATATAGAGATATCTCTTAAATACCCCTGTCCTAGATATTTCTCTTTTCTCCAGTTTTTACAGTTACAAACAATAATGAACATCTTTGAACATATTTTCTTGCACAGTTGTGCAAATCATTCTACAGGATAAGTTGCAGAAGTGAAATTGCTAAGTCAAAGGGTACACTCATTACACGTTTTGAAAGGTACTGGGGGCCGGGCGTGGTGGCTTATGCCTGTAATCCCAGCATTTTGAGAGGCCAAGGCGGGTGGATCACCTGAGATGAGGAGTTCAAGACCATCCTGGCCAACATGGCGAAACCCCGTCTCTACTGAAAAAACAAAACTTAGCCAGGTGTGGTGGCATGCGCCTGTAAATCCCAGCTACTCGGGAGGCTGAGGCAGGAGAATTGCTTGAATCTGGGAGGCAGGGGTTGCAGTGAGCCAAGATCATACCACTGCACTCCAGCCTGGGTGACAGAGGGAGACTCTGTCTCAAAAAATAAAACAGAAAGAAAGAAAAAAGAAAGAAAGAAATGTACTGGGAAGTTACCCTCTAGAACGATGTGCCAACTACACGCTCATCAATAATTCAAGAAGACATTATAATAAGGTTACTTGATAAGCCTGTTTAAAACTTTTTAAGGTTTCCATTTTGAAAGCGTTTATATAATTGTAAAATTCATGTGGATAAGTATACAAGTTGGACTATATAGGAAAACTCTTTAAAAAAAAAAAAAAAAAAAGAGCAATCAAAAAGACTAGCCCCACCAGCTGTTAAAGTGTTTTATCAAGTTAAAAAAGTTCAACAGCATTGCCTTGGAATATGGCCAGACAGAGCATGAAACAGAATGGAGCTTCCAGAAATAGACCCAAATACAAATGGAAATGTTTTGTCTGACAAAGATGACATTTCAAATCAGTGAACTAAAAAATGAATTTGTTTAATAAATGATTGTTAAAGAACTAGCTAGTCATCCTGGAGGGCGGAAGAAAGGTGAACCCATACCTAACACATTTTATCTAAATAAATTCTAGACCTCTCAGATATTTAAATGGAAAAAAATGAAACCACAAAATACTAGAGGAAACCATGCTTTGGTTTGGTTTCTTATTCTTGTAATTTCAACGTGAGACTGGCCTAAGAATTTCACACAAGTTGGAGCCATGAATAAGTGGGTTGGTCATTTCAACCTTATAAAAAATCAACATTTCTGCATTTTAAAAAATCACCATAAGTGAAGTCAAAAGATTGACAACAAACTGGGAGAAAAATGCAAATCATATGAGAAAAAATGTAATTTTCTGAGTGTATAAACTCAATAGGAAAAAGACTAACAACTCAATACAAACATAGGCAAATGTAATGCAAATGACTCTTGAACAGAGGAAAAGATGTTCTGCTTCCCTCATAACAAGATAGAGATGCAAACTCAAAATGCACTGTGATACCATTTTTCACCTATTAGATTGACAAGGATCAAGAAGTGTCACTACACTGTTGGCAAAGCTTCTTGAATATAGTCTCATACAATGCTGAGGGAGAGGGATTAGCAGTATCTTGCCTTGGCAGAGGGTACTTTGGCAATATCAGTAACAATTATAAATGCACCTACCCTCTGACCCATCAACAACACTTATAAGAATTTATCATACCGATACACTCTCACACATGCAGAACGTCATATTTATAGGTAGAATGTCCCAGCATCGCTCGGCATAACAAAACATTACAAACAACCTAGAAGTTTGCAAGTAGATGATGTCTTCATCTATTCAGACTGCTATAACAAAGTAACATAAACTGATTGGCTTATAAACAAAAGAAATTTATTTCTTGCAGTACTAGAGGCTGGGAAGTCCAAGATTAAGCCACCAGCAGATTCAGTGTCTAGTGTGAGGACCTGCTTTCCGGTTCATAGATGAAGCCTTCTCTCTTCACATAGTGGGAGAGATGAGATAGCATTCCGAAATCTCTTTTTTTTTTTTTTTTTGAGATGGAGTTTCGCTCTGTCGCCAGGCCAGAGTGCAGTGGCGTGATCTCAGCTCACTGCAACCTCCACCTCCCAGGTTCAAGCGATTCTCCTGCCTCAGCCTTCCAAGTAGCTGGGACTGCAGGTGCATGTCACCATAACCCCAGCACTTTGGCAGGCCGAGGCGGGTGGATCATGAGGTCAAGAGATTGAGACCATCTGGCCAACATGGTGAAACCCATCTCTACTAAAAATACAGGATATTTTTTAGAAGGGCACTAATCCCACCCATGAGGGCTCTGCCCTCATGGCCCAATCACCTCCCAAAGGCCCCACTTCCTAATACTATCATACTGGGGATTAGGTTTCAACATATGAATTTAGGGGTAACACAAACATTCAGACCATAGCAGGTTAATGATGTGATTTTCATACACTGGAATATGATGTGATGAACTTAACAAAGAATGAGGAGCTTTCTGTGTACTGAATTGGAAAAATCACCAGAACCTATTGACAGGAAAATAAAGCAAGTTTCAGAACAGTGCGGATTTTATATTATCATACCTATAAAAATAAAAGTGGAAAAAAACAATGGGGAAAAACACCAGCAACATTAGTTGCCTCTGGAGATGGGAAGCGGGTTAACTCAGGGACAGGATGGAAGAGTCTTGACATTTAACATTTTGAGCCATGTAAATGCATTTGCTACTTAAAAAATAAGTAAAATCAAACGTTTTAAAATGCTCTTTTTTTCTGAAAGAAATACTCTTCTTTTTAGGAAACTATTTCCAAGGAAAATTCCAGTATTGCAGAGTCAGGAGCAAAGTGATTTCTACTTCTCCCCTGAAGATCATGTGATTTGTAACTAAGGTTTTATTTTTGTTGATGAAAGCAACAGCCATGAAGACTTTGTGCTTTATTTTTGTGATATATACTTTTTCTCTTTCCTTAAAAGGAAGGCCAGTGTTACCAGGCAATGGCCTCACTGTCCAACACAAATAGAAGGCAATACTATGGCATGGCTTTTGAGGGAAAATAAAAGTTTTATTGCAGAGTATGAATAGTTTTCTAGATCTAATAAAAAATATTACTTAGGGTTATTTTTAAAAGAAATGAAAGCATATGCTTAAAATAAGAGCATTTAGCTTTTGAGCCTTTCTGTGAACAAAGTACGTATTCGTTTTTTATTTTTGAGTACAAATTGCCACAAACTTAGACACTTAGAACAACACCCCATTTGTCCTATAGGTCAGAAGTCTGGGATAATGTTTCAGGCCGTTTTGCGTTGCTATAAAGAAATATCTGGCGAGGTGTGGTGGCTCACGCCTGTAATTCCAGCTCTTTGGGTGGTCAAGGCGGGCGGATCACCTGAGGTCAGGAGTTCAAGACCACCCTGGCCAAGATGGTAAAACCCCATCTCTACTAAAAATACAAAATTAGCCAGGCATGGTGGCATGCACCTGTAATCCCAGCTACTCAGAAGGCTGAGGCAGGAGAATCGCTTGAACCTGGGAGGTAGAGGTTGCAGTGAGCCAAGATTGTGCCATTGCACTCTAGCCTAGGCAACAAGAGCAAAACTTCGTCGAAAGAAGGAAGGAAGGAAGGAAAGAGAAAGGAGGGAGGGAGGAAGGAAGGGAAGGAAAAAAGAAATACCTGAAGCTGGGTAATTTATTTTTTAAAAAAAGATGTAATTGGCTCATGGTTCTGCAGGCTGTACAGGAAGCATGCTGCTTCTGGTGAGGGCCTCAGAAAACTTACTCATGGCAGAAGGTGGTAGAGAACAGGCACATCACATTGGCAAGAGCAGGAGCACAAGAGAGTGAGCGGGGAGGTGCCATATGCCTTTAAACATCCAGATCTCACATGAACTCTGAGCAAGACCTCATTCATCACCAAGGAGACGGTGCTAAGCCATTCATGAGGGACCCACCCCTATGTTACAATTACCTCCCACCAGGCCCCACCTTCAACACTGGGGACTACATTTCAACATGAGATTTGGAGGGGACAAACATCCAAACCATATCTGATGGTATGACTCATTTTCTGCTAGGATCTCACAAGATTAAAATCAAGGTGTTGGTTGGCTGCATTTTCGTCAGCAGCTCAGGGGTCCTCCTTCAAGCTCATTCTCGTTGTTGGTAGAATTCAGTTCCTTGCCCCCATTTCCTTGCTGGCTTCAGCCGGGAAGCATTCTCAGCTCCTCATGGTGGCTTTCTGGTCCTTCCACTTGACCCAACAATAGTGGGTCTTCAAAGCCAACAATAGTGTGTCAAATGCTTCTGATGCCCTGGATCTTTTGGACTTCTGAAAACAGCCAGAAAAAAAACTTTACTTTCAAGGGCTCATGCGATTCAATCAGGCCCACCTTGACAACCTCCCTAAATTCAACAATGCCATCAACGCAGCATAATCATGGAGTGAGAGTGCTTCATAGTCACAGGTTCTGGAAATGAGGGCATGGAATCTTAGAGGCCAGTTTTAGAATCCTGCTTACCATAAAATCATGTTTTCTTAGAGATACGTGACATGATTTCCCAAAGATTTTCAGTCTTGGGTTACGTTCATACAAGGAAAACGCCATGAATGGGGGTGGTGATTACCGTATTCTCCTCTGCACTGGGCAATCACGTCTGGGGATATTACACTTAATTCTGGGTGTCAGAAATAGGAGAGAAATGGTGAAGCAAAACTGCCTTAGTCTGTTTGGGGTGCCGTAACCGATACTATAAACTGGGTGACTTGTAAACAACAGAAATGTATTTCTCACAGTTCTGGAGGCTAAGAAGTCCAATACCAGGGCGCTGGCAGATTCCATTTCTGGTGAGGCCTCTTTTCCCGGTTCACAGATGCTGTCTTCTTGCTATAACCTGACATGGCAGAAGGGGTGAGGGGTTTCTCTGGGGTCTCTTTTATGAAGGCATTAATCCCATTCATGAGGGCTACCCCCTCATAACCTAATCACTCCCCAGAGGCCCCATCTCCAATACCATCACCTTGGAAGTTAAAATTTCAACATATGAATTTGAAGGAAACATAAACATTCAGTCCATTGCAATCACTAAGATCACAAATGGATTCAAATCCCTGTGGTATATTTTATTTCCTTCCCCATAATACATCTATTTTTATTTTGATAGAAAAGTAATTTTTTTTTTTTTAAAGTCAGAGTCTCGCTCTGTCGCCCAGGCTGGAGTGCAGTGGCGTGATCTCGGCTTGCTGCAACCTCCACCTCCTGGGTTCAAGTGATTCTCCTGCCTCAGCCTCTCAAGTAGCTGGGATTACAGGTGTGCACCATCATGCCTGGCTAATTTTTGTATTTTTAGTAGAGACGGGGCTTTATCATTGTTGTCCAGGATGGTCTCAAACTCCTGACCTCAGGTGATCTGCCTCAGCCTCCCAAAGTGGTAATTTTTAAAACTCTCCACCAATGAGAAAATTGGACACGCCCAAATCTGCCATGTTTGTTTTGTTTTTCACCCCACCCCAGACCCAAGGTATACTATCACAGTTTGAGAAACAGGGATATATAGGAACTGCAAAACCCTGCCCCTATAATCCCACCTACCTCTCCCAATCAGCTTTTCCCAGCCAGATGACATCATACTAATTTGCCTTCCCTTCCAACCCAGAGGCCTCCGTCTTCTCATTCAACAGTGCATTTATTCAACCTGCCTCTCTCATCCCCAGATACATCCGTTTCTTGCCTACCTCTCAAAGTGCTCATGTTGTCCTTAATGCAGGAGTACCCTCCCTGTCCCCTTCAAGCCAAACCACCCCCCCTCCCTGCCCCGTTCTTTAGGATCCAGCTGAAGTCTGCCTTCTTCACTGTGGTTGTCCTCAGGCTACTTCATCATAGATTCATCTTTTCCCTTCTCCAAAATGTTAAGGCTTTTCCATCTGAGCCACATGTTTAGCAGTTGATTTATAACAGCTTTGTATTTTGCTCTGGTTATTTCATAAACATACAACTTGTCTCCTAAATTACAGTCTACATCTCTAAATGGTAGAACCATCTTTTTTATTTTTCTCTTTTTTTCCTGGGAGAAAAGGCTACCCAAGCAGAACAAACAGTAAATGGCTCATTAATTCTTCTTTTCGTTTATAATCTAACTCAGCTTCCAGCCCCACTTAAAGATCTGCACCCTCTCTTCTTTTTATTCTCACCAATTGCCTTCACTCCTCTATCTTCTGATTCTTTGGAACATAAAATACTGGGAAATGTAAGATAGGGAGTTTTAATGAGAAAGTGCATAAAGAGGCCCACAGTCTCACCCTGAGATCCCAGATTATATGAGGCCCTAGTTTTATTCTTAGCAATCTGCCTTTTTTCCTTCCCAGGATTTGTCCTGGTTTGTAATTAAGTATTTGTGTATGATATTGTATAACTATGTGTGTGTTTTGCTCACTAGAGTGTAAGCCCTCTGAGGGTAAGAAAGGACCCCACAGGTGTTTTGCTCCCCAAGATATCCTAAGCACAGCTTAAAGCCTAGCCCTCATTAGATGCTTAATACACTTGTGGAATAAATGAAAGGATGAATAAAAAACTGCAGACAAGGTATCTTGGTGGGTCTTTGCATTCTTGTTCCTCTAATGAACAACTATCTGGCTCTTTCAGGCGACACAAGATGTACAGAGAGCAGATGAACCTTACCTCCCTGGACCCCCCACTGCAGCTCCGACTCGAGGCCAGCTGGGTCCAGTTCCACCTGGGTATTAACCGCCATGGGCTCTACTCCCGGTCCAGCCCTGTTGTCAGCAAACTTCTGCAAGACATGAGGCACTTTCCCACCATCAGTGCTGGTAAGGTTCATGGGATCAAGCAAGGGGGGACTGACTTTCTCCCAGAGAGTCTGGGTAAAGCATCCCAGGCTAGGCTCCAGAGTGGAACATTAGAGGCTTGACATGGACACCTGAGAGAAGAGGAACATATGCATTGATCTTTTTCCCTCTGGAAGAGATCCTATAGCGATAATCTCATCCTGACCCCATAAGGAGGTATGCTGTTGTTTGGTACACCTAAAGGAAGGTGATCGCTACCATTTATTGAGTGTTGCTTTTGAAGCAGGCGACATTCTCTTTCAACCAAAGACCTTATGGCATGGATATTACCATTGCCATTTTACAGACAGGGAAACTGAGACACAGAAAGGTTAAGTAACTTGGCCAAGGACCTAGGGGGTGGAGCTGGAATTCAAACACAGGCCTGCTGATACCAAGTCTGTGCTGTCAAGCACTAAGACAATCTAAGTGACACAGCAAATTATTAGCAGAGACAAAAGCAGACTCAGTCTCCCAGCCAGGTATTGCTGGAGTGCCCACTGAAGGGCTAGAGAGCAGGGGTCTGGGACACAGCAGGGAAGGAGGCTACAGTCTCCTGGGCTCCAAGAGACCTCCCACGGAGTGGTCAAGGGCCCCAGGCTACATCACAGTCTCCCCTCTGGTGATCTGAACCAGAGTCAAGGGACCTCCATGTTGTAGGCTCTCCCAGGAACAAGACTGGAAGTTCTCATTGCCCTTCTCCTCCTTTGCAGATTACAGTCAAGATGAGAAAGCCTTGCTGGGGGCATGTGACTGCACCCAGAGTAAGTGACCTAGCCCCACCCCCACCCAGCCTCTTCACCCTCACAGCTGTGCAAACCCCAAAACCCACTCCAGTGGCGACCTTGGGCAAGAGTGGAAGGAGCATGGCTCTCTGCCTAACCTCTGAGAACTCAACGTTTCTCCCCATCCACCCACAACAAGAAAAGGCACTTAAGGGGAAGGGTTGTATAGGCCCCGCTGGGCAATGCGTGGCCCAGGAAAAGCATCATCAACATCACTGAGGAGCTCATCAGAAATGCAGAGCCTCACTCTCTTTCTGAATCAGAATCTGAATCTTAAGAAAATCCTCAAGTGATTGGAGCACGCTTTCAAATTCAAGAAGCAAATGGTGCCCACTATTGACAAAATATTAGAATCAGCCGGGCTCAGTGGCTCACACCTGTAATCCCAGCACTCTGGGAGTCCGAGGCGGGTGGATCACTTGATGTCAGGAGTTCGAGACCAGCCTGGCCAACAGTGAAAACCCGTCTCTTCCAAAAAATATAAAAAGTTAGACGAGCGTGGGAGGCTGAGGCAAGAGATTCACTTGAACCTGGGAGGTGGAGTTTGCAGTGAACTGAGATCGTGCCACTGCACTCCAGCCTAGGCAACACAGTGAGACTCCAGCTAAAAATATATATATATATATATGTGTGTGTATACATATATGTGTATATATATGTGTGTATATATGTATATATGTGTGTATATGTGTGTATATGTGTATATGTGTATATATGCATGTGTGTATATATGTATATATGTATATATGCATATATGTGTGTATATGTATATATGCATGTGTGTATATATGTATATATGCATATATGTGTGTATATATGTATATATGCATATATGTGTGTATATATGTATATATGCATATATGTGTATATAGGTATATATGCATGTGTGTATATATGTATATATGCATAAATGTGTGTCTATGTATATATGCATAAATGTGTGTATATATGTATATATGTATGTGTATACATGTATATATGTATATATGTATATATATGTATATATATGTGTATATATATGTATTAGAATCACTGGGGGAGCTTTAAAAAGTGCTCCTGCCTAGCCTCCACCCCCAGGGGTTTTGATTCAAGTTCAGACGGTGAGGCCCAGGTGATTCTAATATAGCCAGAGTTGAGACTCACTAGGATAAGTGATTAATGGCATCAAAAAGCTAGGACTGAGAGTGGCAGAGCTCCCCTCCAGGAGTGCTGTGACCTGGTTATAGGTGGGTCTGGACCCTAAAGCCCTCAGGCCAGTCATCACCAGCCATGAGTGGCCCCATCCCTTTACTTCAATATGTGGAACACACATCAGAAATGTCTACATGTGACTACATCTGATGGTGTGTGTCAAAATGTATTAGTCCATTTTTACACTGCTCTTAAGAAATGCCTGAGACTGGATAATTTATAAAGGAAAGAGGTTTAATTGACTCACAGTTCTGCAGGCTTAACAGGAAGCATGGCTAGGAGGCCTCCGGAAACTTACAATCATGGCAGAAGGGGGAGGGGAAGCAAGGCACATCTCACATGGTGGCAGGAGAGAGAGGATGCAAAGGGGGAAGAGCCCCTTATAAAACCATGAGATCTCGTGAGAACTCACTATCACAAGAACGGCACAGGGGAAGCTGCCCCATGATCCAACCACCTCTCACAGCATCCCTCCCTCAGCAATTTGAGATGAGATTTGAGACAAGGGGATTACAATTTGAGATGAGATTTGGGTGGGGACACAAAGCCTAACCATATCACTAAGGTTTGAAAATAAAGGTTTAGGCCGGGCACGGTGGCTCACGCCTGTAATCCCAGCACTTTGGGAGGCCGAGGCGGGTGGATCATGAGGTCAGGAGATCGAGACCATCCTGGCTAACAGGGTGAAACCCCGTCTCTACTAAAAATACAAAAAATTAGCCGGGCGCGGTGGCGGGCGCCTGTAGTCCCAGCTACTCGGGAGGCTGAGGCAGGAGAATGGCGTGAACCCGGGAAGCGGAGCTTGCAGTGAGCCGAGATTGCGCCACTGCAGTCCGCAGTCCGGCCTGGGCGACAGAGCGAGACTCCGTCTCAAAAAAAAAAAAAAAAAAAAAAAAAAGGAAAATAAAGGTTTACAGGGCTCCAGGCTTCCCTTTTCTTCAGTTAAGCACCTGCCTTGACCATTTTATAGAACACAAGGTGAGTGAGGTATTGTCCTGACCCTCCAGAACCAGGGAGAGGGTAAGAGAAGTGAGGTGCCCAGGATGCAAAATTTAAGGAAGTAGCACTCCCTGCACCTAAGAAGCACTCACTTGCCAAGCCCTGGTCCCAGCCCAGGTGTACAGTCTTAAGTAGAAAGAGGCATAAACAAACTAGTCTAATATAACAGAAGGCATAATTAGAATCTACAAAGATGTAGTTGAAACACAAAGAGGAAAGGGTTCATTCTTCTTAGGAAAACATTCTTCAGGGTTTTCAGTAAATGTCTTCATTGTATTTTTTGCTCTTTTCCCATACCAGCAGAAAATGTACTTTTTTTTTTTCAAAATGGAGGTCTCACTATGTTGCCCAGGCTGGTTTCAAACTCCTGGGCTCAAGCGATCCTCCCGCCTTCACCTCCCAAAGTAAAAAGTACTGTCTTGAGCCCCTGGACACCGTCACTACGGCCTGACACCATGGCGTTTACCCTGCAGGCTATGGAGAGCACATCCTAGTCTTTAGGGTCTCATTACATAAGAGGAAAGCGAAGTCAGCTGGGCTTATTGAAGGAACAGAGTCACAAGCCTTGGCTGAGGCCCGGAAGCATGGTTAACTCACCCTTCTGCCTTTCACAGTTGTGAAACCCAGTGGGGTCCACCTCAAGCTGGTGCTGAGGTTCTCGGATTTCGGGAAGGCCATGTTCAAACCCATGAGGTAAGTGACTGCCTTCCTCCTTTCCACACCCAGTTGGGGTGGCCCTGGGAAGATTTGGACCAAAAACTAATAAAAGTGACCTAAAGTCTTTCTGCCAGTTATTCAGAGATTCTCTAATCTGCCCAAGCACAGAACTGTTTGGGGTGATAATAATAATAATAATAATAATAATAATAATAATAATTGAAAATACTAAGAGCTTGTCTTTTTCAGGCCCTTACTATCATCTATGCCACACAATGACCTAAGTTGTGTCCTTGGTTCACGGGCAAGCTTATGAGCCAGATACTCTTACAATGTCCACTTTACAAATAAAGATACTGAGGCTGAAAGAGACCATCTCATCCCAATCTTCCAGCTGCAAACAGCAGACCCAGGATTCAAACCCAGGCATCTGGGTTGCTAAGTTCACACTCCACCACTTTAATTGATCCATACTTTTTTCCAGGGAAAGCACTCTCTTTTTGACATCAAAAAGTTTACGGACTTGTATACCACAATACTTGTTTCAACTGAAAAACTAGACAATCAAGAAAGGCTACTAGGAAGTCAATTACATGTTTACATTAATTTATATTTTATTCATAACAACAGCAACTACATGCCTTGAAAATTTTGTGAAACATAGAGATGAGTGAAATAATATGTATTGAGTCCTTAGACAGAGCTTGGTGTGAGTTTGGGTTTCTGGCCCCCAAAGGATCTGCAGCCCACAGGTTAGGGTCTCCTAGAGTTCGGCCCCAGTGCCTTAGCCCAGGGGAATGCTCCTCCTTGAGATGATGAGGTGACCTGCAGAAAAGAAAATCGCCCCAAGAGGGGCCACGTTACCCAAGTCATGCTTTCCTCCAGAATGTGCTTCTTCCAGTGGAATACAATTAGACTGGCAGATTCCAAACCTTCAGCCATTCAAGGGGAGGCCCATTGAGAGCCCCAGTAGATGGTTCTAAGGGCAGGGCCTACTTGAATAAGCACCGAATAAAGAGTTTCAGTCCCAACTGCTTTGGCGAAAGCACCTCCTTAAAGAAGGGGTTGGAGTGGATCAGCTGCATGTTAGATTCACTTAAGGAGGCTTTAAAAATCCTTATGCCTGAGTCCCACCCTCAGGGAGTCCAGTGGACTAGCTCTGGGGGCTCTCCCCGTGATCCCAAGGCCCAGGCAACCTTGAGAACCACTGCCGTATAAAGAGTTCCTCTGCTGGGCACGATGGCTCACACCTGTAATCCCAGTACTTTGGTAGGCCAAGGCGGGTGGATCACCTGAGGTCAGGAGTTCGAGACCAGCCTGGCCATCATGGTGAAACCCCATCTCTACCAAAAATACAAAAATTATCCAGGTATGGTGGTGCGTGTATGCAGTCCCAGCTACTCGAGAGGCTGAGGCAGAAGAATCTCCTGAACCCAGGAGGAGGAGGTTGCGGTGAGCTGAGATCGCACCACTGCACTCCAGCCTGGGCAACAGAGGGAGACTCTCTATCTTAAAAAAAAAAAAAAAAAAAAAAAAAAAGTTCCCCCATTTTTCCTATGTGAAAGATCCAAAATCCTAGTTGTTAGATCAACTTAAAATTCTCCAGAAATGTACATGAGACAATTGAATGTCTGCTTATATTTATATTGATTTTAAAATCCCATCATATAAAACAGTATATAGATTTAGAAATATTGCTTTTGTTCTCCCACTGTAGATTTTACTTGTCAAAAATTTGGGGAATTGGTTGTCATCATCACTTAGAGTCAAGTTGGGGGTGAATGTCAAATCAATATTAACTTATTTCCCCACTCCCCTCCCCCATCACCACCATCAACCCGTTGTAACCGGTTACACTAGGCAGTAAAACCAGCGCAAAGTCAAGTCATTCCAGGTTAATGTATCTGTCCCAAACAAAACAAAGTGGTTGGCTAACTATGCCAGGACTGAATATAGAGACTCCTTTCCAAGGGACAATTTCAGGAGAGACCTCATCTTGTATTCAGACATATAGGGTACTAAAATATGTAAATAAATACATTGTGTTCCTTTGAAATGAGAGCTATAACAGCAAATACACATGGCAATTAGCAGAGGTTCCACAAGTAGACATGTGACTCTTTGGCACAATGCTCAGCTGAACACAAGAGTCACCAGTGAGGTTCTGGTTGTCATAGAGTTTAAATTATTGTTACAGTTAGTCGAGCACATATAATATATACTCAAAAGACAGCCCCAGTTAGAGAGAGGCAACCTAAGGAATACTGATAGAGAAACAGGAGATGTTAATGAGAAGCATAAAAGTAATGATAAATCTGCAAACGCACCACAAATCACCAGGTCCATAGATTCTGTTCTCCGAGCAAAATTTTTATGTGGCACAATAGGATGTCTCTAACTTTTTTTTTTTTTTTGAGATGGAGTTTTGCATTTGTTGCCCAGGCTGGAGTGCAGTGGCGCTATCTCGGCTCACTGCAACCTCGGCCTCCCAGGTTCAAGCAATTATCCTGCCTCAGCCTCCCAAGTAGCTGGGATTATAGATGTGTACCACCACACCTGGCTAACTTTGTATATTTAGTAGAGACAGGGTTTCACCACGTTGGCCAGGCTGGTCTTGAACTCCTGACCTCAGGCGATTCCCCTGTCTTGGCCTCCCAATGTGCTGGGATTCCAGGCGTGAGCCAATGCACCTGGCCGGATGCCTTTCATTTTTTAAAACTGGAAGCTAATATGCAATGGATGAGCTCCACTCTCAGTTCTTTTGTATCAGGGAGGAAAAACTGCTAGAACCTGTAGCATTTCCTTTGCAGGAAAATAAATTAACATAACTCACAGCCTAATACATCTCTGCCTGGTCAGTTAAAACAAATACAGGCAGGCTGGGCACGGTGGCTCACGCCTGTAATCCCAGCACTTTGGGAGGCTGAGGCGGGCAGATCACGAGGTCAGGAGATCAAGACCATCCTGGCTAACACGGTGAAACCCCGTCTCTACTAAAAATACAAAAAATTAGCCGGGCGTGGTGGTGGGTGCCGGTAGTCCCAGCTGCTCGGGAGGCTGAGGCAGGAGAATGGCGTGAACCCGGGAGGCGGAGCTTGCAGTGAGCCAAGATCGAGCCACTGCACTCCAGCCCAGGCGACAGAGGGAGATTCTGTCTCAAAAAAAAAAAAAAAAAAAAAAAAATATACAGGCATAGCTCGCTGTATCTGCGTTTCACTTTATTGTACTTTGCAGATACTAGGTTTTTTACAAAGTGAAGGCTTGTGGCAACCCTGCATCAAGCAAGTCTATCGGTGTCATTTTCCCAACAGCATGTGCCCACTTTGTGTCTCTGTGTCACATTTGGTAATTCTCACAATATTTCAAACTTTTTTTTTTTGAGACAGAGTCTCACTCTGTTGCCCAGGCTGGAGTGCAATGGTTCAATCTCAGCTCGCTGCAACCTCTGCCTCCTGGGTTCAAGCGATTCTCTTGCCTCAGCCTTCCAAATAGCTGGGACTAAAGGCGCTGCCCACCACACCTGGCTAATTTTTGCATTTTTAGTAGAGACGGGGTTTCACCGTGTTGGCCAGGCTGGTCTCGAACTCTCGACCTCAGGTGATCCGCCCACCTCAGCCTCCCAAAGTGCTGGGATTATAGGCGTGTGCCACCATGCCCAGCTAATTTTTTCTATTTTTAGTAGAGACGGGGTTTCACTGTGTTGGCCAGGCTGGTCTCGATCTCCTGGCCTCAAGTGATTGCCAACCTTGGCCTTCCAAAGTGCTAGGATTACAGGTGTGAGCCACTGCACCTGGCCTAAATGTGTGTTCTGACTGCTCCAACAACTTGCTGTTCCCCCAATCTCTCCCAGTCCTCAGGCCTCCCTATTCCCTAAGACACAACAATATTGAAATGAGGCCAGTTAGTAACCCAACAAGGGCCTCTAAGTGTTCACATGAAAGGAGGAGTGTCATATCTCTCACTTTAAATGGGAAGCGAGAAATTATTCAGGAGGCTAGTAAGGAAGGCACGTTGAAAGCCAATAAGCCAAAAGCTAAGCTTTTTGTGCCAGTCAGGCAAGTTGTGAATGCAAAGGAAAAGTTCTTGAAGGAAGCTAAAAGCGCTGCTCCACTAAACACGAATGATAAGAAAGCAAAACAGCCTCACTGCTGATACGGAGCAAGTTTAAGTTATCTGGATAGAATATTAAACCAGCCACAGCATTCCCTTAAGCCAAAGCTTAATCCAGAGCAGGGTTCTAACTCTCCTCAATGAAGGCTGAGACAGGTGAGAAAGCTGCAGAAGAAAACTTGGAAGATAGCAGAGGTTAGTTCACCAGGCTTAAGGAAAAAAGCCATCTCCATAACATAAAAGTACAAGGTGAAGCAGTAAGTGCTGATGGAGAAGCTGCAGCAGGTTATCCAGAAGATCTAGCTAAGATCATTGATGAACGTAGCTACACTAACAATAGGTTTTCAGTGTAGATGAAACAGCCTTCTATTGGAAGAAGATACCATCTGGGACTTTCCCCATAGCTAGAGAAGAAAAGTCAATGCCTGACTTCAAAGATTCAAAGAACACACATGTATACATATGTAACAAACCTGCATGTTGTGCACATGTACCCTAGAACTTAAAGTATAATAAAAAAATAATAATAATAATGATAAAGATTCAAAGGACAGGCTGACTCTCTTGTTAGGTGATAATGTCGCTGGGAACTTAAGTTGAAGCCAATGCTCAATTACCATTCAAAACATCCTCAGGCCCTCAAGAGTGATGCTAAATTTTACTCTGCCTGTGCTCTAAATGGAGCCTCAAAGCCTGGATGACCACACATCTGTTAACAGCATGGTTTACTGAATATTTTAAGCCCACTGTTGAGACCTTACTGCTCAGGGGAAAAAGAAAAAAAAAAAGATTCCTTTCAAAATATTACTGCTCATTGGTAATACACCTAGTCACTCAAGAGCTCTGCTGGAGATGTCCGAGGAGACTAATGTTGTTTTCATGCCTGCTAACACAACATCCATTCTGCAGCCCACAGATCAAGGAGTCATTCTAACTTTCAAGTCTTACCTTTTTTTTTTTTTTTTTTTTGAGCCGTAGTCTCGCACTCTCGCCCAGGCTGGAGTCCAGTGGCTCAATCTCAGCTCACTGCAAGCTCCACCTCCCGGGTTCACGCCATTCTCCTGCCTCAGCCTCCCGAGTGGCTGGGACTACAGGCGCCGGCCACCATGCCCGGATAATTTTTTGTATTTTTAGTAGAGACAGGGTTTCACCGTGTTAGCCAGGATGGTCTTGATCTCCTGACCTCGTGATCCGCCCGCCTCGGCCTCCCAAAGTGCTGGGATTATAGGCGCGAGCCACCACGCCCAGCCAAGTCTTACAATTTAAGAAATACATTTCATAAGGCTATAGCTGCCACAGTTAGTGATTCCTCTGATGAACCTGGGCAAGGTCATTTGAAAACTTTCTGGAAAGGAGTCTCCATTCTAGATGCCATTAAGAAAATTTGTGATGCGTGGAAGGAGGTAAAAATATCAACATTAACAGGAGTTTAAAAGAAGATTGATCTCAATCCCCATGGATGACTTTGAGGGGTTCAAGACTTCAGTGGAGAAGGTAACTGCAGATGTGGAAATAAAAGAGAACTAGAATTAGAAGTGGAGTCTGAAAATGTGACTGAATTGTTGCAACTGCATGATCAAACTTGAACAGATAGAGTTGCTGCTTTTTTTTTTTTTTTTTTTTTTTTTTTGAGATGGAGTCTCGCTCTGTTGCTCAGGCTGTAGTGCAGTGGCACAATCTCGGCTCACTGCAACCTCTGCCTCCTGGGTTCAAACAATTCTCCTGCCTCAGCCTCCCAAGTAGCTGGGACTACAGGCATGCGCCACCATGCCTGGCTAATTTTTTGTATTTTTAGTAGAGACAGGGTTTCACCGTGTTAGCCAGGATGGTCTCAATCACCTGACCTCGTGATCCACCTGCCTCAGCCTCCCAAAGTGCTTGGATTACAGGCATGAGCCACCGCACCCGACCAATAAGGAGTGGCTTCTTATGGATAAGCAAAGAAAGTGGTTTCTTGAGATAGAATCTACTTCTGGTGAAGACGCTGTGAACATTGTTGAGATGGCCACAGAGGATTTAGAATATTATGCAAACTTAGTTGATAAAGCAGCAGCAGGGTTTGAGAGGACTGACTTCAATTTTGACAGAAGTTCTACTTTGGGTAAAATGCTATCAAACAGCATTGCGTGCTACAGATACATCTTTTGTGAATCGATGCAGCAAACTTCATTATTGTCTTATTTTTAAAAGTTGCCACAGCCTCACCAACCTTCAGCAACCACCACCCCAGTCAGTCAGCAAAAAGATTATGACTTGCTGAAGGCTCAGAAGAGTGTTAGCATTTTTTAGCAATAAAGTGCTTTTTCCATTAAGATGTATACATTTTTCAGACATAATGCTATTGCATATTTATTGGACTCCAGTATAATGAAACGTAACTTTTATATGCCTTGGGTGGGGAACCAAAAAATGTGCATGAATGACTTTATTGCCATATTTGCTTCATTGTGGTGGTCTAGAAGCAAACCTGCAATATCTCCGAAGTGTGTCTATACAAAAATTGTTCCAACTAGCCAGCTTTTTTCCGAAATACAATGCAAAACCCTCCAACATTCAGTGACAGGACCAATTTTATCTATTTTCATACCATAACACAGTGTAATCTACATTTTTATAAAATTCAGTCCCAAATCTAAAATACTATCATTTTAAAATGTATCTCTTGAAAAATTATGCGCTTTGTATTTTTCTGTAAGTAATTTAAGGCGAACACCATTTTTTTCTGATTAAAGAGAGAATGTAGAACTTTAACTTTGGAAAATATACATTAGGAACATAAAGATTTATATTTTTAAAATGTAATGTATACAATATAATGTGCAATGAGACGTGCATTAGTGCTTCTCAAAGTATGAGAAGCACTGATCTAAAGTAAAAACAACCTTTGAATTTAAAATTACTTCTTATCTTACATCATACAAAAATGAGAAAATGTTTTAGAAGAACCTAAAAGGTGTCTGAAAGATGATATGTTCCTACAGATGGGACTCAGGAATTAAAATGAGACTGGGAAGAGGGATTGTCCTTGCTAGCCTGGACATCCAGTGATGATGATAAGCTGGCCAGGCCTGAGCACGGAGGGTTGTGCTGTAACGGTGGCTGCACCTTTTAAAATAGAATCTCTACTTTTGGCAGCACCTCACTGTGGTTTCCAGGACTCACTCGTGTTTTTTGGCAAAATGCACAACACGGTTTAAATTGCCAGTGCTTCTTATTTATAGATTTCTGCAACATCACGTTTATTTACATCTAAATCGCCTTGCAGTCGTTTCAACAGTCCCACACAGTGGATTATAAAATTATTCGAAGATCATCATTCTTCCATGTTTATTAGCCTCGAGGCAAAGTCAGCCTAGAGGCCAGAACTCACACCACAAGGCCCTTAAGGATTAAAAAGCACTTTCATGAATGTACACACCCAGCAGGCCCCACCACTCTCAGGCAGCCTGGCGCTTTTCAGGAATTCATTAGAGATTTAATGTATATAAATCAATATCCTCTGCACCAGCTGCCCCCAGCCCTCATGATCCGGCTGTGTTTCTCTGAGGGGATGATGGTCCACGTATTTCCCCCACATCCCCCTAAGACCCAGAACTTTTCTGTTCTTCAACCCCAGCATACTAAGTTGCATTTCTGGGCCACTTTTCCATTACCAATTCCTGGCTCATACCCCACCTTTCTTCATCCTTGGACATCTGGATCTGCACTACCTCTGGTTCTGCTAACCATTCCCCTCTCTTCTGTTTATACCTGCAGAAGAATGTCTATTTCTTCCCTCTCAACTGCTGGGTTTTGAAAATAATCAGCCACTGTCACCAAAGCTTCTTAAGCAGGAAACTTGGTATTGGTGGTGCCTGCAGGACAGTGTCTTGCAAGAAGCCTGTCTCCTCCCACTTTGCTTGTCTTCTCCTGGCGAAGGGAGCCACAGGCCATTCCTGACTTGCCGTGCCATCGCCTGTGTGTACATGAAAAGCATAAAAGCCCGTTTTCCTTTCTCGCTGGTCATGCTCATCAGCTCTCTTCTCAGGCTCCCAGCTGAAGTCTGAGTCCAGGGCGTGATTCCTTCCTTCCTTCCAGACAGCAGCGAGATGAGGAGACACCAGTGGACTTCTTCTACTTCATTGACTTTCAGAGACACAATGCTGAGATCGCAGCTTTCCATCTGGACAGGTAGGGTCTGGCCCCATGGAGATGGCATTGCCTATAAGGACCAATCCTCTGGGAGGGGTGGCTAGACAGACCCTCAAGGTGGGAACTCCCTGGCATTTCTTCCTTCTGGCTTTCTATCTTCTTCGTGCCTCATCGTGGTGTCTTTGAACTCAAAATGTCCCATGCAACCCCCCAGATTGAAAAACACAAGGCCTTTTAACGAATGTAACGAAAAGAACAATTTACAAAGAACACGCTTCCCGCCATGCTGCTTGGGGCAGTTGCTCTAGTTTCCTGATCTGAGAGCGAGGAGAATGCACCCACTCCTATTTATCCAAGGAGTCTCACTGTTATGATATTAGGTGAAAGCACATTCCTAAACATTCCACTCCCTCTATTTGCTCAGTCATTGCTACCCAAAGTGTGGTCTGTAGCGTCATGGGCACTTCCAAGAAGCTTTTTAGAAATAAGAAATCTCAGCCCCACCCTAGAACCACTCAATCAGACCCTGTATTTGAACAAGATTGCCAGGTGACTCACAGGAACATTAAAATATGAGAAGCACTGACCAAGAACAGAGTTGGGATGGTGGGAAGGTTTGCCCAGGAGGCTTGACGGAATAAGGATTCATTTTCAACTCCATCTCCACTCCTTTAGACCTAGGTTTAAAGGCCCAGTGTTGACCTGGGCACTACCAGCTCAACAGTGCAGAGTCACGCCTCACCGGCCACCCTCCTGGGTACACCAGCCAATTCCTAATGTGCACTGGCCGGGGGACAAAACCCCTCCTCCTCACTCCCTGATCATCCCTCAGATGGAACAGAGCTTCCTCTCTTGCAGGATTCTGGACTTCCGACGGGTGCCGCCAACAGTGGGGAGGATAGTAAATGTCACCAAGGAAATCCTAGAGGTCACCAAGAATGAAATCCTGCAGAGTGTTTTCTTTGTCTCTCCAGGTAGAGTACTGGCCCGAGTGATATTCCGGGTCTGAGTAGATCGTAAGCCAGAGTGTCCACCCCTCCATTCATCAGTGGCCTGACACCCTGCTGCTAGCACTATCCATTACTGGGATGGGCGTATGAAGTTGTAAGACACTCCCACCATGGTCTGCCTGACCATAACACAAGATGAACTGGATGGGAAAGGTTGTGTTTGAGATGCTACCTAGTCTGTGTGGGCATTGACCCTACAATGCTGGCCTCCCCGGAACCAGAGGTTATCCACCCAGGGTAATAAAGAGTGTTCTACTCATAAGGATAGAATGCAGTAAGGTTGGGACATTTGAAAGCAGGTTCCCAGGAGGTTCAGCTTAGTAGCATTCACACCCTCACTTCTGGAAAAGTCAATGTTTCCTTCTTCTTCTTTCTCTTCCCGAGCTGTGAGTTCAGGGTTTCCCTTCCCTCCCAGTGGATTTCCTAGGCCAGGAAGATGTCATGCCTCCAGAGCCCTCCACTTACTCCTCCTCTCTCCTCCCCATCCTCCAGCGAGCAACGTGTGCTTCTTCGCCAAGTGTCCATACATGTGCAAGACGGAGTATGCTGTCTGTGGCAACCCACACCTGCTGGAGGGTTCCCTCTCTGCCTTCCTGCCGTCCCTCAACCTGGCCCCCAGGCTGTCTGTGCCCAACCCCTGGATCCGCTCCTACACACTGGCAGGAAAAGAGGAGTGAGTTGGTCCCCAGGCCACACAGCCCAGTCCTTGACAGTAGCCACAGACCCTGTACCAGGGACTTGTTGCTAGCTTGGCTTTTGAATCTGAAAAGCTGCCTCAATACTCCTTTGCCCCATTTCATATTGATCCTGGGATCAGCAGGCCTGGGTCTGTTCTCCCCTTTAGTTCATTTATTCAGTTCTAAAGAACCTTCCATATACCCAACACTAGGTGTTATGGGATACAGAAATGGAAGACTCAGACTCTCTCCTTGAGAAGCTCCTTGGTCTAGTGGGGAGAACAGACATGTAGCCAGATCACGAAAACACAGCACAGCACTTGCTATAACCAGGGAGCACACGAGAATCCCATGGGAGGGACACCTGGTTCCCGAGCAAGCCCTGGGAGACCAAGGACCTCACTGCTGTATCCCCAGGACCTAGCACCCTCCCTGGCACATAGCAGGTACTCCACACTAGCTGACTGAGTGAATCGATCCATCAGTCAAGCCGTCATGATCATCGTGGGAAAAGAAGTAACCAGGCAGAATTTCTGGAGGACATGACAGATCCTAAGGGACTCTGTGAAGGCTGAGAAGAGCCCTCGGATGAAAATGGGCATCGGAGCATTGTAGGCAGAAAACCATGTGTGAGAGAGAAAGGGCAGGAACAGCCCATGGAGGTGCTATGAGTGGCGCAGGGTCCAAGAGGCTTGGTGAGAGGGACTGTGGAGGGACGAGGAAGCAGGTGAGGGTCACTACCTCCTCCTTTCCTGCCTGCCCCGGCCTCTCCCCTCTGGCACACAGTATCCCAACCATGGGTTTAGTGTCCACCAGACTTAAAGGACCCAGGACCTTCTCACCACACGGAATATGCAGCCTTACGCGTCCTTGCCCAGGGCCTTTCTGAATTTTAGAAGCTGCCACCAGCCCAGGGCAGGATCAGGGAGGCAGGGATTGGGGGGGCAGGGGGAGGTGTGGGGAGACCCCCGACACCCTGCCATCTTGGCTTTTCCAGCCCCAGGACTTCTTCTCCCCCTCAGGTGGGAGGTCAATCCCCTTTACTGTGACACAGTGAAACAGATCTACCCGTACAACAACAGCCAGCGGCTCCTCAATGTCATCGACATGGCCATCTTCGACTTCTTGATAGGTAGGTCCCCACACGCAGGCCCCCAGCAGAAGTGGGCTCTGCTATGTGGCTAGGGTTCCCCGTGACCTTGAGCACAAACTTACAACCTGGTTCATGAGGACTGAGTAACTCTGCACCTCCCACAGCCTCAGAAGTGGCGGAGGTCCCAGAGGACAGAAGGTAACAGGCTCCCCTCTCTTCAAAGAACTGGAAGAAGCTCAAGGGGTCGTCACTCATAAGGCAGGCATCTCACCCTGCCACGGGCCTGAGTGGGCGTCAGATTGGAAGCTGTATGTTCACTTCACCAAGTGAGGGGAAACCAGGTAGGAAGGGAAGAAAGTACACAAATATGTAGCAGGGAGGGCCTCAGGCGAGGCCACGGACACACAAGACTAGTAATTCCACCTTCCAGGCCCACAGGGACTTCTAGGGAGACGAGACACTTATGAAGGTGGCCGTCATACAGGAGCTTAGGTCGGAAGCAAGTCAGACAGCTGGCTCATCATCGTGCCTTTCAGGAAGTTTAGCTGTGTCTGTTTACTATAACCAGGATCAGCTGAGGATCTCTGGGCTGAGGAAAGCCAATGTCAATACATACACGAGGTGAAAAGATGACTTTCTGCACATTCAAATCTCTGGCCAAAGGCTGGAGTAGGGGCAGGGGCAGGGGTGAAAGCCTTAGACTTGAAGCCAGTCCATTTAGGGTTTGCTTGTTTCGCTTCCTTCTCCCTCCTGCGGCTGCTTCACTGATGGCCCTGAGGAAATGACAGTGTGAGGCCCAGCTTCGTTCACACCCCTGTCTCTCAAGTGATGACAGGCCTCCGTTCCCTGGAGAGAACTCAGGTCAGGAGCACCTGTCCCCCTGGCCTGCTGGTTCCAGCTAAGTCCTCCCCTCCTTCACAGGGAATATGGACCGGCACCATTATGAGATGTTCACCAAGTTCGGGGATGATGGGTTCCTTATTCACCTTGACAACGCCAGAGGGTGAGCTTCCCCACGTGTGTTCAACAATCCCCTCTCCCAGATGTGCTGCTCTGTGCAGCCAGCTGCTCGGGGGAAACAGACGCCCTGCAAATGAGGGCCTCCACCACCACGTGCCTTGTCTCCTTCGAGCCCGGCTTCTTCCATTTCCTTCTTTCTCTTTACCTTTGCAAGAACCACTTGATCCTCCTCCAGCCTGAGAGCACTCGTGTGCCCTCTAGTGAAATAGGGTGAGGTTTTCGAGAGCAAGGTGCATCCTCAGTGGCTGGCCCTCTGCAGCTAGTGAATGAATGAAGGATTGCTTAGCTCTAACATCTCTGTACAGATGCTTTTGTGATCTGACTGGGGAGAGGGGCTGGAGAGGCAGCTGCCATGATCCCTGGCATTTTACCCCAATCTCTGATTCACAAAATGCTGAGAGGAGAGAGGAAGCCTCAGGGGAATGCAAAGGATGCTGCCGGCCACCCATAAAAGCCTGTTTCTCCTCCTAGGTTCGGACGACACTCCCATGATGAAATCTCCATCCTCTCGCCTCTCTCCCAGTGCTGCATGTAAGTTTTCCTGCAGCAGATAATACGGGCAAGTAACAGTTGTGACCCTTCATGCTGCTTGCAGCCAAGGTCTGAAGGGCTTCCAGTTTTCACTGGTCCAGGACGTAAGTGGGTAGAATGACATGAATCACCTTATTTCCTACACATTTGTGCACTGCATGACATCTCAGCCAATGACAGACTGCATATATGACGGTGGTCTCATAAGATTAATAATATGGTATTTTTACTGCATTTTACAGTTTTACTATCTTTTCTATGTTTATATACACAGCTATCCACCACTGTGTTGTAAAGGTTTTGTAGCCTACAAGCAGTTATCATATAGCCTAAGAGTGCAGGAGGCTACACCATCTAGGTTTGTGTGAGTACACTCTCTGATGTTCACACCGTGACAAAACCTGCGCTTAAGGATACATTTCTCAGAACATATCCCCATCACTAAGCGATTCATGACTGTACTACAACTATCAAAATTTCCCCCACAACGTTTTGTCTTTTTCATCCTTCCACATAGGATGAATTAGGATTTAATCCTTTAAACCTTTCAATTGCCAACTTTAATCGTTGACCCACTCAGATAATCACCTATTTTTGCAGTCTGCTGGGTTTTGATATTACTAATCAGACCTCTGCTTTGCCCAGCATTCATATCGGCTCATAAATATTACTACTTGATCACCATCTAAGCAAAACCCTGATTAAAGTCCTGTAAACCTGTGCAGACTGGAAGAAGGCACGAAGGCCCTTGCTTGGCCACCATTTCTCTAGAGAATGTCTAACTTACTTCCACACTTCTCCAGTGTTTCAGCCAGGCTTGTAAAATTGACCACCTGCTCAGCTGCAGTATGCAGAGCTAATTATAAATATGATATTCACACCTAGCAAAAACATCTCATTTGTTTCCAGCTGGAAAACTCGGAGTAGAGCATGAGTATTCCTCATCTATGTCTTAGGTTAATTTAAACATGCTTCCCTCTGGCCTCCCTTCCCTGCCTCCAGAGCAGGACTGGATGAGCAGTACCTGTTTTTGACAAAAGTCAATTAAGCTGCTTACACATCAGAGTCCAAGTCAGATTCCCACATAAAAAGAAACTGAAATCCTAAAGATGGGTCCTACCACATTTTCATCTCTGTGATTTTAAAATCTGACAAACAGAAATAAAGTTAGCAAGAAACAACTTAAAGGCTGGCAGTACTGGGGGATTTTGAGACAGCAAATAGCTCATCAATTCACCTACTAGAAACTTCTCCCATTAGCTTTAAATCTCCTTGAAAAATCCTAAGTATCACTTTGGTTTTGATTCCCTTAGCGTTGTCAGAGAAAATGCATATAGCCCAGCATCACCATTATTAGAGCACAAATGGCTATGCAGGCTCTTGACCAAATCGCAATTGGGCAAAGGACTGCAGGATACTGGATTTTGCCTTTCATTTGTTCCCTTTTTACCTGGTTTCCATTAAAATGTGCCTGAGAAGACACAAGGAGAGGCGCCAAGAGTATCAGCTACAACAGCTGTTTGTGGGGAAAGAAGTTCAGGCAAGTTATTTTCTTTACATTTGCTTATTTGGTTCCTGTAACTTTGTCTTTTCAGGATAAAAAAGAAAACACTTTTGCACCTGCAGCTGCTGGCCCAAGCTGACTACAGACTCAGCGATGTGATGCGAGAATCACTGCTGGAAGACCAGCTCAGCCCTGTCCTCACTGAACCCCACCTCCTTGCCCTGGATCGAAGGCTCCAAACCATCCTAAGGACAGTGGAGGGGTGCATAGTGGCCCATGGACAGCAGAGTGTCATAGTCGACGGCCCAGTGGAACAGTTGGCCCCAGACTCTGGCCAGGCTAACTTGACAAGCTAAGGGCTGGCAGAGTCCAGTTTCAGAAAATACGCCTGGAGCCAGAGCAGTCGACTCGAGTGCCGACCCTGCGTCCTCACTCCCACCTGTTACTGCTGGGAGTCAAGTCAGCTAGGAAGGAAGCAGGACATTTTCTCAAACAGCAAGTGGGGCCCATGGAACTGAATCTTTACTCCTTGGTGCACCGCTTCTGTCGTGCGTTGCCTTGCTCCGTTTTTCCCAAAAAGCACTGGCTTCATCAAGGCCACCGACGATCTCCTGAGTGCACTGGGAAATCTGGGTATAGGTCAGGCTTGGCAGCCTTGATCCCAGGAGAGTACTAATGGTAACAAGTCAAATAAAAGGACATCAAGTGGATACCTGACTTCTCAGGATCCTTATTCTAGCTACAAGTCAAAGATAACTCCTGGTCCAGACAAAACACCTGGCCTATCACAAGCTGACTAAAAATCTGCACTTTGGGCCAGCGCAGGCAACAGTAACTCTGACAGGTTCAAATTAGACCTCACACTTTCTACTCATATTCTAGTCACTGGACCCATCTGAATCAGTAATCCCTACTGCCCGGTCCTGGAGTAACTTCTTAGAGATATTATAACAAGTGGCAAAAATAAAAGAGGGATTTGCTAAGAATATCAGAAAAGGAGTGTTCCAATTTGAAGAGTATTACAATTGAAATAACATCAAATATGTCACACTAAGCAGCCAGTAACAGAATAAATAATTACAACGAAGGAAAAAAAAAGGAAAGTCCTCCAAGGTCAGGATGGCATGGGAACAGGCCTAGCAGGGACACAAGCCTGGAGTAAGGCAGGAAAAGAGCCAAGGCTGACTACAGCCCACCAACCACAATCTTCTTCCCTAAGACCCCAGGATTGTCCCCGGCCCATCCCCAAAAGAAGAAAGGGGCTATGTGGAAAGGTGAGGCCCTCTAGATGCCCCTCCCTGTGACGGCTGGCTCAAAAAAGACTAAGTCAGGTTTTTTATTGAAGCCTCCCTTAGAAGAAAGTGTAGTAGGGATTCCTTGTCTCCTCTACCTTCTCCCTGACTTGTTGATATCTGAAACTCCTTTTAATAGGAGGCTTTGTTTCTTATTCCATAATTAATGACCGAAAACACAAAGGACAGTAAGGTCTTCATTCCATGGAGTGACTAGTCAGTCAACAAAAGTAAAAATGCCTCATTTCATCAAATCAACTTTTCCAGTAAAGGCCAGAGTTCAAATACTGTAAGCATGAGAATAGAATGGAGCTGTCACTAAAGAGAGTACAAGGTCAAGAACCAGAAATGTCTCCAAGCTTTCTGCAGTGTGAGCAAAGATAGCCTCGACTGGACAAATAACACTTCTGACCCCGTGGTACCCCCACATGACTGGTATGCTGCCCCTGGACTTTGTGTCTCTCTAAAATCACTACCATTCACTGAGATCTGACCAGGTGAGGCACTCACCAACGCTACAGAAGCAACACACAGGTTTCCAATCCTCTCAAACACAGATACAACCCCCATCCTCCAATGTGCATGGAAGAACTTTAAATCTCAGAGAGAGTAAGCAAAATCACACAATTTAGTGGTTTAGACCTATTCCAAAGTCTTCTTTTCACTGTAACACAAAACCCAACAGTATCCCACCCAATTTATGAAGTCAAATTTGTTTGCTTAAAAAAAAAATCAGCTGGGCATGGGCTCACACCTGTAATCCCAGCACTTTGGGCCTAAACAGGCAGATCGCTTGGTCTCAGGAGCTCGAGACCAGCCTGGGTAACATGACAAAACCCTGTCTCTACAAAAAAATACAAAAAAAAAAAAATTTTTTTTTAAATCAACTCTTTAACAGAGAAACCTTAATCCCAAAGATTTCCTTAACTGTTGTGGCCCTACTGCAGCATAGGGCTCCCCACTTCATTCACTGTCTCTCCTGCTTCAAGATGTTTCTTCCCTGTGGATGAAGAACCAGGAGATCACACACAGAAATGGGAAAATATCTGGGTAAAAACATTCAAAGAATAGCACAAAATGGTTTGGGACTTCCAAATAAGACTCTCAGGAAAGCAGGCTACAGCTCTACCTCAAAACCCGCCACCTCCTATAACGAAGGACTGGTTTTCCAATGGCCTATATACACATTTTGCTGCACTCTACAAACAGAAAGCAATAGGCTTGAATTTCACCATGATATGTGGTACACCTACCTTATTATTCACTTATCTTTCAACCTTCCATTACTTTTTGATTAGTAACAAAATTAAGACTCATTTCTCAAAAATATCAGAAAACCAACCGTTTCATTCTTACTCGAGTTCTTCCAGCATGTTCATTTTGAACTGTTTACCTCCCATGAAATAAAAAGTCTCTTGACTCTGAGAACTTTTCAAGTTACTACTGACAGCAAACTAAAAAATGAACGGGAACTGTACTGATGGAAAGAGGCATTTGGAAGAATTCGTTTTAGCCTTCTCAAAAGCCAGGAAGACAATATGAGTTTGAATATTACAAAAAAATTAGTCATTCTCTTACGAGTTAGTTTTATGTTCCATAAAGTCACCACAAACACTGCATTGGCAAATACTGAACATTGCTCCTAGGGGAAATACAGGGTTAGGTTGCTGGGAGTCTCTAGTTACATTTTTATTGACCGATCAATACATAATCTTGCTGTGTGCGTGTTTTATGTTAACGCATGTTTAAGACACTTTATTTAATATATACTGATTCATTAACATTGTACTCATGGCAAACAGCACTGTAACCCAGACCTAAAAGAAACATCCAATATACATATTTTCTACATATGGCACAACACAGCCTTCTTTCACTTAGGAACACTAGTCAGCACTTCATCACTACACTTAGGGGCTTTTAATAGTGAAATCACCAACAACAAAAAAAATACAAAAATGCAAAAAAAAAAAAAAAAAAGGCACTAAAAAGACCCAAGAAAAGGACACTTATTCACAGTATGAAAGATGAGCATCCCTTTGTTCCACCTCAGTTGGGAACATGTGTGTTGGGAGGCTCAAACTTTTCACTTCCCAGCTCATGTCTGCAAAAGCCCTGTGACTATTGATTTTGGGGTTACAAATAAAGTTTAGCAAGTAGGTAAATTACAAATACAGAATCCATGAATGATAAGGATCAACAGTTAACTCATTTGAGATTAACGAAGATTAAAAAAAGCCCACCATCTAGTGGCAACCTTTAAAATCACACAGCTACTTAAGCAAAATTGGCAGAACTTTCACAAAATGAAAAAATCTTACTCAGTGGTTTTGGTTTTAGGTGTAGTCCAGATGAAGTCACAGCTCTGAACTTATGTCAAGAAACAAATGTTAGCGGTACATGTACATAACAATGCTGCTTTCTATGTAAAAATCACATAGCATAGGAAGGAAGAGATTTAAGAAATTCACATAGCTACAGCGTTTACTGATAGCTATTATAATAATACCTTTGGGAGACGGGCACGCTGGCTCACACCTGTAATGCTAGCACTTTGGGAGGCTAAGGTGGGCAAACTGAGCTTAGGAGTTCGAGACCAGCCTAGGCTACATGGCAAAACCCCACCTCTACTAAAAATACAAAAAACTAGCTGGGTGTGATGGCACACATCTGTAGTCCCAGCTATTCCAGAGGCTGAGGTACAAGAATCACTTGAATCTGGGAAGCAGAGAGGCTGCAGTGATCATGCCACTTCACTCTAGCCTGGGTGACAGAGTGAGACCATCTTAGATAGACAGATCGATAAATAGACAAATAGACAGATAAAAACGTACCTTTGGGGACAAATTAAATGGTTATCTAGCCATTGCTTCTTGATGTTGTCTTAGCCCATCTAAACATACACTGCCAGGGCCTAACATAAGTACAAAAGGTTCAGCTATTATTTGTGGTTAGAGATAAAGTAGTATGAAGAAAACTGACATGCTACTTCAATTTTTAAATGTCAATATTTAAATCATTAAAAAATAAAAGAAACAAAAAAAAGAGTCTACTTGGGCCACTGTTTAGAGAGAATTCAACTATAACCAGGACTGTCAACCCAGAGAAATTTTCTTTAGTTACATTTTATTGTGACTCTAAAGGTTTCATACTCCAGAGGACGGGGGGAAGGGATTACTGAATCTAGAAAAGGTACACATGTTCAAAGCAACACAATTTAAAGAATGCTCTTCTAACATACAACATATCTCCAATTTCACTGGATGTGAAGAAATACCAATACACTAATGAATACAACTTAATCATCTCACTCCTCAGAAATCTAAGAGCATCAGAAATAAGGCTTTATATATGAGGCTTTATATATGCAAAATATAAAAGTATCCCTAAGTAACATTAAATGTATATATTAAATTTAAACCAAAGAGTATGCTAATCTAGAAATGATGTTTCCCCATTAAGTCTGGGAAAGTTCCAAGGCCACAGAACCAATCTGTCTTCAATCAAAAGGAAATCTTTAGCTTTTGACTGAATTTTTTTCTTTCCATGACTAAGTAAATAAATCTGCTACATCTCAATTACCCTTTAAGCAAGATTTTGAGATCCACTCTTTGACAAACTGAAAAGCACTGAAAATAAACATTGCTCTTTCAAAACACCGATCCCATAATTCACTTTCCCCCTTTTCATTTTTGCCCACCCGAGTAGACTTTCGGGGAAGGACAGAGAGAGGAAAGACGGAAAGGAGAAAGGGAAGAAAAACTGATTCATTTAAGAATTTAAATTATTTCATCTCTTTTTATTACTTGACCTACCATTAAGACAATCTATAACAAAAAAAGTATATTAGCACACATGGTATAATCAGACTGGTAATCAGGAAGCAATACAAAACGGTCCTTTGGCCATCTATACTTTCTAGAGCAGTAAATCTCATAAATTCACTTACCAAGCCCAGGAATAATGACTTTTAAAGCCTTGAATATCAACTAAGACAAATTATGCCAATTCTGATTTCTCACATATACTTAGATTACACAAAGATAAAGCTTTAGATGTGATCATTGTTTAATGTAGACTTATCTTTAAAGTTTTTAATTAAAAACTACAGAAGGGAGTAAACAGCAAGCCAAATGATTTAACCAAATGATTTAAGAGTAAAACTCACTCAGAAAGCATTATACGTAACTAAATATACATGAGCATGATTATATACATACATGAAACTGCAATTTTATGGCATTCTAAGTAACTCATTTAAGTACATTTTGGCATTTAAACAAAGATCAAATCAAGCTTTAAGCTTGTAAGAACGTAATTTTCATTTTTAATTTTTTAAATATAAAAAGGTAGCTAAACACAAAGTACAGATCAGAAACCCTCATTTAATATAGATTATTTTGGAAATTAAAAAATTTGTAACAAGGTGGCTTTCTTACCCACCCTAAAATGTAAATAAAACCTCTTCCCCAGATTTATACTTCATACTTGGTAACAACCTAAAAGTTTTTCAAATCTATGAAAAAAATCTACCATGACCAATTTAAATTACCTGGGAAAGGGCAGGAGAAGGGATCAATAACAGAGTCAGTTAGTTGCACACAGATGGAAAAATGCTTGCAGTCACTCCCAAATATAACCCTACATTACCTTATATATAAATCACAATGAAAATAAAAGTGCCTACATTACAGAACTGTGAAATTTTGTTTAAAAAAATAATAAAAATAAACTGTTGGGTATCATTGGAATAATGTAACACATAAGGCTGGAAAATACTGAAATACAGTTAAGACTCAATACACAAGTTTACTTTAAAAAAGAAAAGAAAGAAAAGTTTGCCAGAGAAATAAATGCTAGATAGGAAAGCAGGACTTTCAGCAGGATAGCCTTTCAGACCAATTTGAAGCAACACAGACACATTATACCCTACCATCAACCCACCAGAAATTCTAGCTGAATAAAAAGGAAGGAAAAAAAGACTAAACCAAAGTAAAAAACTTCTTCCAAAATCTCATGCCCCAGTGAATGTCACGGGGAAAATTCCCGACACTGAACTTTGTCCGCCTGGCATTTCTCCCTTTAGCAGCATCACCTCTATTTCTCTGTTAGGACATTTGCTCCATCTGTATCTAGTCACAGCAAATCCAATCTCCTGGAATCAGTTTAATGAGCAGAGGAGATTATACTGGAGTCAGCTGAAGGACATACTTTAACCAAACGCTCTAAATTAACAACCAAGAATGTAGACCTCAAATTCTTATTCTCAATTCAGCATCTGATCAATTATTTGGCACTAGCTGGATAAAGGTCTAATCGGAATTTGTGAGCCGAGGCAGATGTAGTTAAATACTAACCAATATTTGCAATCTATGAGTTAGTTTCAAACTTAAAAGGCAGGTATAGATAGCCATACTCAAAAGTATTTCAGAATTGGAGAAGAAACATTAATAACAAGATATAAATAAAACCAGGCAGATTAGCTTGGCAAACAACAACTCTGGAAAAAAAAAAACTGAACCAATCATATCCCATTGATAATTAGCAAAAATGGGCATTTTTCCACCCTTAAACTAGTTTAATTACAGGCAGATGTCTTTCTACTATACTAAGATTTTCTATATCCATTTTCCCTAATCTTTAGAGTTTAATGAGAAACCATTTATTCTACAAAGAAATACAGCATATATGGCCACAGTCTAAATACGCTTATAACTGGACAATTATGTCACTTAAAAAAAAAATCTTGCACTGTTACATCATTACTCTATGGTAATTCAATAGGTGCTGGGATCTGCCCTCACCAAAAAGCATGGCACTCACTGCCCAGGGTGAATACTAACACTGCACAAAGAGAAGCAGTAACAGCAAAGTCTCCATAGAACTCTTTCTATTTATTTAACTGTGTATGAGCATTTAGTTAATGCTCCAAATTGAAAATGGTGCAATAAAAGCAACTTTCAATATATAAACAGACAGGAAGCTGCGATGCCAGTGGCCACTTGGCGCTGCAAGTAGGGAAAATAAAGCAGTTTGCATGAGTGAAGCATGGATTGGGGAGAGGAGAAAAGGGAGGCACAGGAGGCAGATTTCAGACAGACAGTGACACAAAACTGTTGTACTGCTGGATGTTTCGTTTGAGGATGTCTGAGCATGGGCCAAGAACACGTTCAAATCTAGGTCGGTCCAGCTTAACGCACTTCAAGGGGCCACGAGCAACAACTGTGGCAGCACGAGGACGATTCATCAGTAGTGCAATTTCACCTGGAGAAAGCAAAGATGGGTAACAGGCTAACTTCTATGAAAAACATTTCCTTAAAGCAGTGCACTTCTGAGAAAGAAGACAATAGATATGAGACAATCAGTAATTTCATTAAATGAGTAAAGATCAAAATCTCACACCTTCCCTCTCAGAGCCAAAAAAGACTGCAGTTAGAAAATAAAATTCAGGAGAAGACAAAATTATGGAAGACTACAATATCTCACTGAGAGGTGACTTAAAGAAACCATGTATTTATTGTGAGGGAATTCATACATACCAAAATAATCAGAAGGCCCCAATCTTCCCACTTCAACAAACTCTTCATTTTCTGACCGACGTTGTAGCACAGCAGCTGACCCCTATAATAAAATCACCAAAAAGCTAAACAAACACACACTCTCAAACCCAGGGTGGCACCTTAAACATCCTATGCAATTTTAACTACCTTGCAAATGTGTGCATATGATAAAAAATGACTTTAAAGTTAGTCACCACATGAGCTTCAATTTCTATTTTACCAGCATCTCCTGCTAGCGAGGTTCTTCGTATCAAGCTAAGGTGCTTAAAGGGTGCACACTTGGGTTAGCAAACTGTAGATGAAGGGCTAAATCCAAGCTCACTGTCTCTTTCGCAAATCAAACTTTACTGAAATACCACATACATTCATTTACATATTATTTGTGGCTGCTTTTGCACTATGACAAGAGTTGAGACTTTGCGAATGAAACCCTATGGTCCACAAAGCTTAACTTACTTACCACCTGGCCCTTTACAGTCTCCTGACCCCTGATTTAAATAAAATCAATTAGCAACTATGGAGCCACATTCATAGAAATCTGCCACTTGGATCCGCTTAGCAAGAGTATCTGCTATACATTTCCATGGAATGTGGAGATATACAAACACAGTAATTTTTCAAATTTAAATAATTACCTTTAATCCTTATTTGCCAAATAGCCCAAACACTTGCATTTTAACAAGAATAGTGCAGAATCATCACAGTTTGTTATGTTAAATGGTTTTTAGAATTTGGCTTTTCATGTCTAGGGCCCTTCAAGAATTCTGACTCAAACTCATTTAAAAATATAGTGACCTGGCAGAAAACCAAACAACAGCATTTCAAAGTAAAAGATAATTTTAAAATAAAATGGTCAGGTATTCTTAAAAACTAAAGCTATAGTTCAGAATTAGCCCACTCTTTCCCTCTTAGAGCGTACAACTTTTTAAAGTATTAAATTCTGAGTTCTTTACCTCTAAAATTCAAGTATTAAATTCTGAGTTCTTTACCTCTAAAATAATGAAGAACTCATCCCCTGGTTCTCCCTGCACCACAATCTTCTGCCCATCTTCAAACTGCACTGGTTCCAATGCATCAGCTACCGTAAGACGTTCCCACTTGTCCAGAGACTCTGAAAGACAAGAATCAAAATAACTGCTCTGTATTATTTGGTGCTGTTATAAAGGTAAAAAGAAAGTATAAAGAGATTCAACCAAATAGCCATGCCCATTCAACATTCTAGTAGTGTCTCAGATTAAAAGTGGTACCTGTCTTCAATTACCTCTAGTCTGAGCAGGATTCTCATACTGCCTGCAGATAGCCCTTAGATCCTTACTTCGGTAGCCCAGTGGCTAGGTTAATTTATACCAACTGTACCAAATGGCAAGGGAATAAGAAAATGTAATCCTTAAGTATTCCTGAAGATTGCCATCAATGCAAATCAAACCTACAACTACAATACTCAAAAGTCATAGTTTCCCCATCCATATCGTTCCAAAGTTTCATAGAAATAATTTAATCTATTTAAATTCTTGGTTTACTTTATGAAAAAGAACTAGAAAATAACTTTTATTCCCAAAGGCCAAACTACTATCCAAAACACAAAGCATATGTAACCAATTCAAAGAAAAGACAAAGAAGAGGTGAAAAATTCACTGTAATAAACAATGGCAGAAGCCTGTTACCTTATAAAAATCCCCATTCCCCTTTCATGAAGAACAAGTTCTAACATCTCCAAGTCCACATAACAAAATGCACAAAAGAATATCTTCAATTAATCTGCTTTACTCTAAATTTCAACAAACTTCTGGCATGTTTTCAGAGGATGCCAGCAAATGATACCTAATCTTTCCACAGAGGAAATGTATTGTTGGAAGTACTCACTTTTCTGAACCAATCAACTCAATGATGGAACAAGAGAGACGGGAAGTCACAGAGGAAATAACTGTGAATGTCCACAGTCAGAAGGACTTTCAGCCCTTCTGTCTTTTCAGGGGGAATGAGTAGCAATTATACTTTCAGAAGGCTTTTCCCAAGTCCATCCAATTCTAATTCAGGGGTATCTCACATACTAGCAAAGTTAACACACTTTACAACTCACCTAAAATAGAGACTTTACTAAGGAATTCCTCATACATCTTCCGCTTTCTCAGTGTGCTTCCCTAAAAATAAAAATAACAAAAGTGATATCCCCAAGACGTGTAATTATCACCACATAATGCTATGGAATAATAAATATTAAGTTTCAAATAAATTTTAAAACCAGAAAGTCAAAGCTTGTTGCTTTTAATGAGGAAAGTTTAATTTTAACTAATTCATTTTTATTTTACAGGTAATGAATGATATGACATTCTTGTGATTTTTATTTTCCGCCAATATTATGCCCAATTCCTAGCATTTGCAACCAGTATGTTGACATATTTCACAAAGCATTTCCCAACTTCCAAATACAGTCGAAATACCGGTTTATACCTGAGCCTATCACTCAAGATATTTTTCCACACACTTTAAACCAATGTCCAATTTCCATGTTTACTCTCAAACTGATTTTGTGCCACTGCCAACCCAATTTATCTCTGAAAATATTTTCTCACAAAAGTAATCTAGGTCATTTACAACCCAATAATCCTAGTGTTCTTCCTGTTCAACGCTGGTATTTAAATGCAGATTCCTCCATTAGTTCTGGCTTCTCACCTATACAATTGACATGTCTTTATTCTATAAAAAAAGGACCATATCCTCCCCTACCCAGCTATATAGATATTTCACCCCATATCTACAGTTCCTAATTCCTGTCCACAAAGCCAAAGCATTGTGAGGCCCTAATTTCCTTTCAGGCCCACTATGAGAAAGTAAAATATTTTATTTCAAACCAATAGTTCCAGGTCCTACCTCTTCCTTCTTTGACAATGAGATAAAGCTGTAAACATTCTATGTTTCCTTTTACTAATAGTATTCCTGTAGAGGAAATGCAGAACTAACTGTATGGTCAGTTTCTTCTCCAGTAGACTGTCACATCACTTCAAAACCAATCTTTCTAAAATTTAGACTTATCTTTGCCATAAGCGTTTTTTTGTGTGTGTGGGTTTAAGGTTCAGGGGTACATGTGCAGGTTATATAGGTAAACTGGGTGTCACAGGGGTTTGGTGTTCAGGTAATTTTGTTGCCCAGGTAATAAGTAAAGTACACCACAGGTATTTTTCCTGATCCTCTCCCTCTTCCCACCCTCCACCCTCAAGTAGGCCCCAGTGTTTGTTGTTCCCCTTCTAGTATCCACGTGTTCTCATTGCTTAGCTCCCAACTGTAAGTGAGAACATGTGGTTTGGTTTTCTGTTCCTGTGTTATTTTGCTTAGAAAAATGGCCTCCAGCTCTATCTATGTTGCTGCGAAGGACAAGACTATCTATCTAATCTAATCTATCTATATATCCCAAATGCAGAAAAATTTCAAAGTACATCAGGCTGTACATTTTCAAATGGTCAGATGGACACTGCACAAATTTAAGAAAACCATTAAAAATGACCAATGCATTGGCTGAGACTTAAACATCCAAAGCTATCCTATAAATTTATCACAACGTTCTCAAAAAATCTGACTATCACCAGAAAGTTCCAATGGTTTTAGTATTTTGTTTATTCCTTTAACGAGAGGGGACATGACATACATATACATTACTGATAACCCACTTTCACAGGTTAGGGAAGCTGATTATTTCTGAATGGCCCCAAATAACTTTAAGCACTTAAAAGCAGCACCTATCATGCTGTAATGGGTATAACTAGGTAAATTAAGATGTGCCTACCAGCAAATGGATAGATTTCCAAACATGAGATGACCAGCACATATATACCAGATCTTGTTTCCCAAGGTTTTGTTCTAAAATATCACTGCCTAAAATGGCATAATGAATAATGCTAAGCTGGGCTTAATGCAAAGTATTTGCTCATTAAAAGAAAAATATTCGCTTATTAAAAGAAAGAAATATTTGCTCATTAAAAGAAATATTCTCTTTTTAATTTGGTAATATTCAAACATTAGTTACGTAGATGAGAATTCTAAATCACACTCTCAAACACCATGGTCTCTTACCATGAGGATTCTTCTATAGCTGTCTCGGTCGATGCCCCACAATTTCACATTTGTCTTTGCTTTGACAGTGGCTGCTCTCGGTGTTCCATAAATCAAAGCAAGTTCTCCAAAGCTCCCTCCTTCCCCAACACTGGTTGCCCATTCATTGTTAACATAGACCTAAAGTGCAAGTGACATCAAAAAAGTTTATTTTCTAGATACAAACACTTAAATGTTAAAAACCCTCAAACCTTTTTAAAAGGTCACAATCCTGAACTTTGTTTTAAAAAACAGAATATATTATGTTTGCAGTACACAACAGAGAAGAATAGGTGATTTCTGACGAGTTAAATGAGTTAAGAGTGTCTATAATTTACCTGATTTAATTATCTGATAAGAAAAAAGCACTCTGTAAGGATGTAAGGGAAAAAGGTCAGCTAAGCACTAATACCAGTCACAGATACTTAGAGAACCGTGCTGAGCACTATGCTAAACATTTTACTTGCATTAGGTCACTGAATCTTCTAATAATCCTAAAAGATCAATGCTATTATTGTCCCCATTTCATTTGTGAATAAGAAAGGTATATTAATTTTGCTAGCTAATGGCTGGGTCTAGAATCTTTTTTTTTTTTTTTTTTTAAGAGATGAGGTTTCACTTTGTTGCCCAGGCTGGTCTTGAACTCCTGGGCTCAAGCAACCCTCTTGCCTCCATCTCCCAAAGTGCTGGGATTATAGGCATCGGCCACTGCACCCAGCTACACACACTTCTTCACCACCACTCCAGCAAAGTTCTGAACAGAAAATTACCTTTAAAGAGTTTCTCTGTGTCATAAAAATACTTGGCAAAAGGTATTAATAAAATCTGACATACAAGGGATGTAATGACCCTTCAAAATCACTATTCTTATTGCTCGGAAGCGATCAATACATTGGCTTTTAAGATCAACATATTTTTGATATTGGTAAATCTTACATCCGTCTCTCCTTGATCAATCACATAGAAGTTATCCCCTTCATCACCTAAAAGAGGGTAAAAAAGTTAGAAGCATATTCCAAATTAAAGAAAGAAATTATCAAAATTATTACAAAACAATAAACTTATTTTACAGTGGTACTGTGAGAGTGTGTTACAAACTAACACAATCTTTCAGGGGAAAGAAAATCAAGCAACATATTTTAAAAGTCATAGAATTAATCAAAATTTTTTTAGTCATCTCATGGTGAAGAATACCTCTGAAAAAAATTTTTAAAAGCTACATATGTGTAGTTATTAACTGCTATGGCATTTATAACAAGGACATTAGAAACAACTCAAATAGTTAATAACAAATTATCAGGCTGCCACAAAATGAAAATATATACCCACTCATAAAATGTCAAGAATAAATAAGAAAATAAAAAGAGGAAGATAGTCAAAAAGTTAGATCCATGTTAGTCTATATAGGCAAAGTAAGAATCTATAGAAGTCCTAGAACCTTTTTAATAGACAGGGCTATACAATGAAGAATGTAGGTGTTTCATTTATTTCTTACTTTAAAAGTGATTAACAATATAAAGAACATGAGAGATATATATGATTCTGCAATTCTATATGACATTCAAGGTAAGACAATGTAGGCATTTCCTTTAAATTATAAACAAAACTGTATCAAAAATATTAGTTCCCAATACAAAGTGTTCTGTCCATCTCAGAAAATCTTAATTTAAAAGAAATAGAAAAATCCAATAGTATAACAGAAAAAAAAAAGTGGTAGGATCAAAGAGGAAAACAAACTTCAATAAAACAAAACCAAAAAAATCCTCTAGTCTCGCCTCCTCTCCCGTAACAATATTGCATGCTCCAGAGGCCCTTACCTTGCTGAATCACAGTCTCTCCTGCGATAAAGGAGACCGAAAACATGGCATCAAAAATATCACTGCAAAAGAGAGAAGGCCTCGTGTTACATTTCACATGTCTCTTCCGTGAATTTCAAACATTAAGCTTAGAATTAAAGACCCCAGACTGTCATCTGGTGAACAATTACTAAGAGCTCTAAAACTTGCAACAAGTGTTGAAAACAATTTGGGATCACACCCTTACTTGAAAAATAGTGTTAAGAAAGAGCCTGTTCCTACCTTCTCTCATTATCATCAAGATGTGAAAACAGCACATTCTTTTCAATGGCTTTGGCTAAAGCGGCCATTGTCTTGTAATCTTTTGGTATAACCTAGAAAAGAACTGAAGGTCAAATGACAATTCCATAAACCAAAAACATTTCACGTTTGCAACCTGCGCTTCAATTAAATGTCAAGCCACATTATGGTATTTAAACAAGACTGCTTTGTAGTGTTTCACTACAACACACTTGTACTATCTTTGATCCATAAACTACTCAACAAGTATTGACTAATTAATCCCCTTGCCTACAGCCAGGCCTAAATATAAAGTCTGGTACTTGGTTCCCAGTTAACAACTAAAGAAACAAATCAAAACACCTGGACCAAGGTCATTATTCTGAGGCAAAACTAAGTATTTTATAATAATTAGTCATTTTAAAAATCTGTGATCTGTTAGCTTCACAAGCCTCAAGTGCCAGGACAATTCTGTTCCCCTTTAAGGCTAACAGCATAACTCAAAATAGCCTGGCTCTGAGGAAGAGGAGAACACAGGACAAATGAGGCTCGTAGAATAAAAGGTTAAAAGCCACAACATTTAATAGGATAGCAAAAAAAGGACATCACGATTCAAGAGAAAAAGCAATACCGCCCACCTCCTTCTACTGCAAAACAACTGCAAGGAAATAACAAACCCCAAAATGCAATTATTCACTAGTTCATAATCACTATTAGTTATTTCCTCTGACAGCATGCTATTACAGAAACCTGTTTTCCAGTACCCAAGAATTGTACAGGATGGATGAAGTTCCACCCTGTTTTGTATTTTATGATTCATTCATCAAAGGAGACTAGATGACCACCAAGTGGGTCCCAAAAGCATCCCCCCGATATTCAAATATCAAAACTACCTTTCTAACATAGGATGCCGCATCTTCCTCCGTGTAGACCTCAGCGCTGATAGCACCTCGTCGCCTCCTACCTTTAACCACTGGGTTGGGTGGAGGAGGAGAAATCTCATCCTCCCTTGAGTCTGTACGAGTGCCTGCTTTCTGCAGATTCTGAATCTGTTTTGCCTCCTCCTGAAAGAAATTACGAGTTTGCAAAATGAGATCCTTCGGCATGTAAAGCTGGCACTCTCATGTTCCAATGATAGTCTATCTCAGTCACTTCCAATCTCTTCTTCCATTAACAATGTAAGTTAAGAGGAAAACACCAATTCCAAAGGGGAAAAAAAGAGAGTAACACTTGAAACACTCTCAACAGAATGTACCTCAGATGATAACAGATGCTATCCTTTATTAATGGGCAAAAGTCATTAGTACAAGCCATTAGTACTCACATAACATGTGAGTAACAAATCAGATATTCATTAATGTCTTGACAACAATTATCTGTGATGCACACAACAGTAACACACTGCAAGACAAAATCCTGAAAATTGGGTTTTTTTGGATGCTACTGCAGATAGCAAGAGACCCTCCTGCCAAAAGAAATGTTATCAGGAAAAACAATTCAAGCCCAACATAGTGATCCAAGAATGTCTAGATTACTGAGTTATTTCATTAACTCAATAAGCCATTTTCTGGATCTGCCAGGCCAAGACCTATGCTAGGCAACAGGAAATTAAAAACAAATAGGAGAGGGTCCTGAGCCTGTGGAATTCACATTCCAGTTTGATCCCAGATAAAAACAAATAATGAAATGATGTGATGGTAACCACGAATTTAAACGAGATCGTATCTATAATACTTCTCCCAGCAGAGCTAGGATCACTCTTTGTAATCAAGGTTTAAACTTGAAGTTAAAAGACAAAAAGAGTTTACTTGCTTTTAAAAACTACTTATTGGACCAATTCAAATAAAACCTAAGATAAACTATTAAACATTCCTTTTTTCACATCTAGAGCCTTAAAAACAAATTCCTCTCAGATCTAAAGAATTAGTTGTTGTGCCTGAAGTAAAAGGGAAAAAATAAAAATGTGTTATCTTCTACTTTCTCATTCATTTGACCCGTTATTTCTTTTCTATATATAAATTTGTAAGTGCCCATATATTAATCTCCAGAACATTGGCAGCATTCAAGAAAAGCAATGGCGTGGGAGGGAGACCTTTCATTATTATGCCCCTTTGTACCTGCACAACTTTGAAATATGTGAATATGTAACCTACTTTTTAAAATATGGTTTTTAGAAAACTCATTTCATGTTAATTCTGGTTGTTCCAATAACCAGTAAGGTTTTCTCATTTCATATTAACACAGGTATAAAACTCAAGTCTCTCCCAAGTTTAAAGTTTAAGAATACATGACTGGGTACAGTGGCTTACGCCTATAATCACAACCCTTTGGGAGGCCGAAGGTGGCAGATCACTTGAGTCCAGGAGTTCGAGACCCGCCTAGGCAACATTGTAAAACCTCATCTCTACAAAAACACATAAAAATTAGTTGGGCGTGGTGGCACACACCTGTAGTCCCAGCTACTTGGGAAGCTGAGGCAGGAGGATCACCTGAGCCTGGAAGGTAGAGACTGCAGTGAGCCATGATCGCACCACTGCACTCAGGCCTGGGCAACAGAGTGAGATCCTGTCTCAAAAAATAGGCCAGGCATGGTGGCTCACACCTGTAATCCCAACACTTCGGGAGGCCAAGGTGGGCAGACCACAAGGTCAGGAGTTCAAGACCAGACTGGCCATTATGGTGAAACCCCATCTCTACTAAAAATACAAAAATTAGCCAGGTGTGGTGGCAGGCACCTGTAGCCCCAGCTACTCAGGAGGCAGAGGCAGGAGAATCGCCTGAACCCAGGAGGCAGAGGTTGCAGTGAGCCGAGATTGCACCACTGCAGTCCAGCCTGGGTGACAGAGCAAGACTGTCTCAAAAAAATAATAATAAAAATAAAATAAAACACACACACAGTTTAAGAGTATAAATGAAAACACAAATTCTCCCACCCCCAAATTTGTCACTGACATTTCACAAAAATTTCAGGAAAAATTTCACAAATAACATTTCACTTGGGACTACATTCTACTTCACTGAATTTTTAAGATTAATTTTGAAGTAACAAAAGCATTCTGATTTTAGCAGTGTCTCATGGATTCTAGTGAGTCTTTTAAAAACAGCAATCTGAATATAACCTAATCTGACAACTCAGAGCCATTACTCAGATCATGAGTTTTCTAGTATATACTATGATATATTTTTATATCCTTTCTCTTGCTGTTGTCATCCTTCTGTCAGTCTCCTTCCTCCTCAGCTCTTTAAGTGAGGTGATGAATAACCTAAATACCTTGACGTGATCATTACACATTCTATGCCTGTAAAATATCACATGTACTCCATAAAAACATACAAATGTTATATATCAATAAAAAATTAAAAATTAGAAAAAACCTCCCAGTCTACTCAGTGGTTAATTATGTTCTTGACTCTGAGGTTCAAATTCTGCATTCGGTTTTGCATTAAATTCTGCACTATCTTCTTGACTCTTAGGTTCAAATTCTGTCCCCACTACTATGTTTTCCCGATTATTTGTTCCCTCCCTGCTTCTGTCACTCTTCCCTGTGGGTAAAGTATACTTCCCACCCCACTGACTTAAGGCTTGGCTACAGGACTTGCTCTGGCCATGGAATGTAAGTGGACATGCCATACCATGGTTGCCTGTGTGGTTTGGCTCTGTCCACCTTGAGCTTCTGCCCTCCCTCTGCTTTGAGAACAGCATGCCCTATATAGGGCTGCTCCTTCTGCTCAGCCCCAGAACAAGATATGTGGTGTCAAGAACATAAGACAGGCTGATACCAGAAGAACTGCACATGACTGGTCTGTTGTAGTAACCACTGAAATTTGGGGGTTGTATGTTGCTCCAGCAAAAGCTGACGACTACAGTCTATAACCACAGCCACATTACTTAATTTCTCTCAGTTTTACTGCTATGTCTATAAAATGCTGAAAATCACATACCTCGTACATTTGAAATAACGAGTATTTATGTATATAAAGTGCTTCACACAGTACCTGACACAGCAGACACAAGGTCACTGTTATTTTAATTCCTCTTACCTAAGGGTCTAATAAATACAAGAGTAAAAGAAGACTCAAATTCCAGATGACTGAATTAAAATGCAGAAGCTTTCAAAAGACCAACTGTCAAGAGTTTTTGGTACATTTCTTATGGAGTAGTTGAAGGTAACAGAAACACAACCCCCCAGTAATGACGAAGAAGGTGATGAGAATATGACTGTATTTTCAGACTGATATGGTTTGGCTGTGTCCCCACCCAAATCTCATCTTGAATTATAGTTCCCATAATCCCCACATATTGTGGGAGGGACCTGGTGGGAGGTAATTTAATCACAGGGGTGGTTACCTCCATGCTGTTCTGGTGATAGTGAGCTCTCATGACATCTGACAGTTTTGAGGGGCTTTTCCCCCTTTTGCTTGACCCTTCTCCTTGCTGCTGCCATGTGAAGAAGAATGTGTTTGCTTCCCCTTCTGCCATGATTGTAGCTTCCCGAGGCCTGCCCAGCCATGAGGAACTGTGAGTCAAACCACTTTCCTTTATAAATTACCCAGTCTTGGGTATGTCTTTTATTAGCAGCATGAGAACAGACTAATACAGTAAAATGGTACACAGAGCGTGGGGTGCTGTTACAAGGATACCCAAAAATGCAGAAGCAACTTTGGAACTGGGTAACAGGAAGAGGGTGGAACAGTCTGGAGGGCTCAGAAGAAGACAGGAAAATGTGGGAAAGTTTGGAACTTCCTAGAGATTTCTTGTACGGCTTTGACCAAAATGCTGATAGTAATATGGACAATGAAGTCCAGGCTAAGGTGGTCTCAGATGGAGATGAGGAACTTGAGAACTGGAGTAAAGGTGACTCTCGCTATGCAAAGAGACTGGCAGTATTTTGGCCCTGCCCTAGAAATCTGTGGAACTTTGAACTTGAGAGAAATGATTTAGGGTATCCGGTGGAAGAAATTTCTAAGCAGGAAAGCATTCAAGAGGAAGCAGAGCTTGAAAAATTTGCAGCCTGACAAAGCAATAGAAAAGAAAATCCCATTTTCTGGGGAGAAATTCAAGCCTGCCGCAGAAATTCACATAAGTAACAAGGAGCCAAATGTTAATCACCAAGACAATGGGGAAAATGTCTCCAGGGCATGTCACAGACCTTCAGGACAGCCCCTCCCATCATAGGCCCAGAGGCCTAGGAGGGGAAAATGGTTTCCTAGGCCATGCCCTGGGGCTCCTGTACTATGCAGCCTCAGGACATGGTACCCTGCGTTCCAGCTGCTTCAGCTCCAGTCTTGGCTAAAAGGTACAGCTCTGGCCATTACTTCAGAGAGTGCAAGCCCCAAGCCCTGGTGGCTTACAAGTGGTGCTGGGCCTGTGGGTGCACAGAAGTCAAGAACTGAGGTTTGGGAACCTCCCCCTAGATTTCAGAAGATGTACAGAAATGCCTGGATGCCCAGACAGAAGTTTGCTGCAGGGGCGTGGCCCTCCTGGAGAACCTCTGCTAGGGCAGTGCGGAAGGGAAATGTGGGGTCGTTTGGAGCCCCCACACCGAGTCCCCACTGCAGCACTGCCTAATGGAACTACGAGAAGAGGGCCACTATCCTCCAGACTCCAGAATGGTAGATCCACCAACAGATTGCACCATGCACCTGGAAAAGCAACAGACTCTCAATGCCTGCCCATGGAAGCAGCCAGGAGGGGGGCTGTACCCTGCAAAGCCACAGGGGCGGAGCTGCCCAAGGCCACGGGAGCCCACCTCTTGCATCAGTGTGCCCTGAATGTGAGACATGGAGTCAAAGGAGATCCTTTTGCAACTTTAAGATTTAATTACTGCCTCGTTGGATTTCGGATTTGCACGGGGTCTATACTCCCCTTGTTTTGACCAAGTTCTCCCATTTGGAATGGGTGTTATCTACCCAATGACCCCAGGAAGTAACTAACTTGCTTCTGATTTTACAGGCTCATAGGTGGAAGGGACTTGCCTTGCCTCAGATGAGACTTTGGACTTGAACTTTTGAGTTAATGCTGGAATGAGTTAAGACTCTGAGGGACTGTTGGAAAGGCATGACTGTGTTTCAAAATGTGAAAACATGAGATCTGGGAGGGGCCAGAGGTGGAATGATATGGTTTGGCTGTGTCCACACCCAAATCTCATCTTGAATTGCAGTTCCCATAATCCCTATGTGCCCTGAGAGGGACCTGGTGGGAGGTAACTTAATCATGGCAGGGGGGTTACCCTCATGCTGTTATCATGATAGTGAGTGAGTCCTCACGATAGCTGACGGTTTCATAAGGGACTTTTCCCATTTTGCTCTGTACTTCTCCTTGCTGCTGCCATGTGAAGAGGATGGGTTTGCTTCTCCTTCTGCCATGATTGTAAGTTTCCTGAGGCCTCCCCAGCCATGCTGAATTGTGAGTCAATTAAACCTCTTTCCTTTATGAATTACCCAGCCTCGGTATGTCTTTATTAGCAGCATGACAACGGACTAATAGACTAACATACAAATTAACACCTAATACACAGAACTATGACCCACTAACAAGTTGAAAATCTAATTACTTAAAGGTCCAGGTATCTATATTCAACCCTGGAAGGAATGTATACATGTGAACAAAGACCCTTGAATTACAGCAAAAACCATGTTGAACTGTGACTTTAATTATTAAAAGTTAAAGAAGCTGAAACACATTAAATCTAAAAATTCCATCTGCAAAGAAACCATTTTAATAATTATTTATTGCTTTCCACCTTTGTTAGTCTTTAAACAGTACTGTGGCAACTACAAGCTTTGAAACTAGCATCACACATTCAACACTCCCTATAAAAAGATACACACTTAATGTCTCACCAACTTAATCCTCTCATTTGATGGTTTCTATTGATGTCCAAAGAAGAGGGATCACCTTACAGTGACCCATTTCAAAACCGGATCTCCAGGAATGCACTTGACTTCAAAACAAGCTACATCTATGACCTGGCTCTACAATACTTCCATGATTTGGAAATTGCATAAATAAGAGAAAGCCAGAATATCTACTATAATTCCAAGACAGCAAAGCAACATTCACAGTGACTAGTTGTTTTTGTTTTTTTTTTAATTATTCTGATCATGGTACTAAATACAAATTTTAACAATCAGTTTTTAAAGAAAATAGAAAATACCTGATCAATGAGCTACCCAAATACTTTTTAAAGCTTAGTACAGATTCTTTTACTAATAAACTATACTGATTATAAGAAACTATAAAAACCAATGGAAAATAAAGCAAATTATTTCTATTATACAATTAGATAATCATATACCAAAAGAAATGATTCATTTCTTTTGGTATATGAATCATTTCTTTTGGTATATGATTCATTTCAATTAATTCATAATCATTATGAACCACCTCATAACTTCCACATGCACAAGAAAATCAGTAAGTTTCTCTCACTGATTTACAGAAGCGAATCACATAAACTATTCAAAATATTTGGTAACCCAGACTTTTTCATTCATCGTTTCTTGAGGGAGATGAATTGAAGCATTCATTTGCTTCAATTATCCCTGATGTAAAATTATCACTTTGCTTAGAAAAACATATGCCATATACGTAGGTCACAATGACATACAAGCAAGGAGGAAGAGCAAAAAAGAATAAAAATTGGATTAATTTTTTTCAAGGCGCAACAAGTCCTGACCAATAAAATGGAGTAAAATTTTTGAGGAACATCAATATCAATATCTCTACAGTAATTTATCAGATATACTCTATACTAAAATAGACCGAATCTAATTGAAAATTTCTGATATATCAGTCACAAGCTAGATTCATGTTTCATTACACTAGTTTTAAAAGTGGGATAAGATTTACTACGCTTACTTGCTTTGTTCAAAACGGGAGGAGCATTAACTGCCTTTAAGAACTATAGAATTTCTTATTCATAGAACTGCTATACTAGTTCTGATCAGTTTTATCTGTTATAGTTCTACGCACTAATTTAAAAAGTTACAAAGAATTGTTTGGAAACCCTTTATTAGCCAAGTACAGTTAGCATACAGGTTCATTTTTCTGATAAATTCTACTAATTAAGAATTTTTAAATTACTACAAATGCCTTAACTGTATTTCTTATTTGAAATTGTTTTAGACTTTTTATTTAGTCAGATTCCTTTTCTTCCAAAAAATACAAATTAGTAACATTCCAGTTATTAAATGTAACAACTGTCACAATCACCTCATCATCTCCCCACATTTATTTTTACCTTCTCCAACCTCTCAAAGTATTCCCTGAGGAATGCCATGGGTCTCTCAGGTCGAGCAGTGCACAACTGCACAATAGAATCTTTGAGCAGCGCTTGAATGTTATGCTTCTGGACGTAGAGCTCACATTCTCGAAGGCTGCGTGCCTCCTCACTGGCGGCGGTACTGCCAGACTCCATGGTTCTCTGCGAGAAAAAAACACACACATGCTTGTATAAACTATAAAGCAAAATGTCAATCTGGCATTTAACTTGCTAAATTCATTAGACAACTGATTCACAGGGATTTTTTTCTAAGTAGATTTTGTTTTTAAACAGGGAAGTGGGGACTAGGGAATAAAATATGTACAGAATTAGCATTATTCCAAGTAAATGTTTCATTTAGTTCAGGATCTGTGCTCTGTAGGCAACAGTGAGAGTCGATAACCTCAGCTCCTGGGAGGAAGTATGAGCCACTAACCTCTGCAGAGACGGGTGCTGAAGTCAGGCCCTTAAGGGAATTTCATTCAGTTCTCCCTCAAAAGAAATCATGATGACGTGGGAAGTAGGTAAACGGTAAACAGGATACAGAATTACCAGGGCACAAAAGTCAACTGTAAGCGAAAGCAAGTCAGCACAATGAAGAATATCTGACATTCCCTATACGTAACTTCTATCCCATGGGAGTATCCTAACGTCACAGAGCAAACCACTGGAGTGAGGATCTGATTAGCCAACTACTAGCATAATCAAAATTTTTAAAAACACACAAGAAAATTAGATGAGTTTTAAAAGCAACCTTTATTCCAGACTCGTTTGCCAGATTCCACCCCTAAATGATAATACACTAGTGGTAAAAGAAGGAAAATCCTTAGTTGGGGGAGGGGAGAATTCTTACCACATAAACTGTAAAACATTTGGACAGAAAATTGTCAAAATATTTTCTTCATCTTGACAGGAGAATGTTAAAACACTTAAGTTTCAAACTTGCATGAAGATTCAATAGATAAATTGCATTTAATGGATTACATTTAATGGATAAATTGCATTTAATGGATTTTAGAGGATTCGAATTATGGTACCTTTATGTAAAGTAAAGCAAACAGAGATAATGATGAGCAGCTAACCTTACCCTAGAATTAAAAGTTTACTAATTTAACAACAGGGTCATATACTGTTTTCCTTCCAACTCCTAATTACTAAGCACTTAAGAGTAGAAGACAAGAGTGTGGTCCCCTCCACTCAGCAACTGAATTCAATACTAATCAGACTTTTCCAATTATAATGCATTGTAAACTATTGAGATGAAACTGTAAATTTAAAAGAACTTATAGAAAGAATTAACAGAGTAAAGAGCTATTCTAAAGTGCTACACTGTTACTCATTTTGTTTTGACAACTTTCACCATAAAGGTCAACAACAAGTAGACTAATTAACAGACCATTAGAAAGTTCGTGGCTCCAAGACAAGCACATAAATTAGAAGCCATGGAAAAATAATCATGCTGCTACTTTAAACAGGCAAAACAAAAACAAAAACGCGCATTTACTTTAGGATAGATTTATACAAGCCACTTCTCCAGGTCAGGCAATCATATGAACTGAAGATCCACTTCAGTAGAATTGTCTGCATTTCAAATAATACTTAAAGGCCACCAAGAACAATCATAAATCAGATCTTTCATGCTTCAAAGCATTGTCATATTTTAAGAACATTCAAATGATCAATCATTCTAAGATCAGGTCTTTGGCTGGTAGAGATGAGAGAACTGGGCCTAAGGAGTGAAACTGTGTTTTTGTTTGAAACAACTAATGTATTACGAAAACCAAAAAGATAGCCACCGGTAATAGGACAGTATACGAACAGAAATGTACCAAAATTAATGCAGTCACCATGTAAATCCCTGAATAACCAGACTTCACAGTCTTAATATTTTTAATCGAGTTACCCGGATTCTCTATGTGTACTTATTTGTAAAGCCCAACAACCTAGCCTTCCCTCCCCACACACAATTATTTAACTGCTTTAAAACTTTCGCTGCATTGTCTCTATGTAAAACAAAACACTCAGATTCATTCTTTTGAAAATTCAGTTGTGACAAAATTGTTTCGAAAGGATTACATTCTGGGAAATAAATAAAAACACTTTGAGAAACTGTTCCTGATTCAGACCGCACCCCCTTAGACCAGCCAAGTTACGGCTCCCCTAGGGTCATCTTGAGTAAGTGTTTGCTTTCCTCGCTCTGCTAAAAAGACGGATCTCTTGGGAATCTCTCAAGGAGTAGGACGGTCGTCACCACAGGCTCTGAGCTGAAGAGGTTAATAGGTACCGTGTATTTTCTAGAAGAAGGGCAGGAAAATGCCCTTCACTTCACGTAGGCCACGGTCATGACCACAAAATGAAGGGAAGCCGAGACTTCAAGCTACGCCAGTCGGAAGGCCACAGTGGTGGCGAGGAGGCCTCAGGGGGGCAAAATTGGGAAAGGGAGAGAGGTGAAAGGGGACAAGAGGAAATTCAGGAGCCCGACTAAGACCGTCGTGTTGGGGGAAAGATCACTCCGCTATGAAGAGGAAAGGCTACTGCTAGCAATGACGAGTCGTCAAAAGTGGAGAGGAAAACTACCGGCTTACAAGAAGAGCCAGGACCGGCGGACGAGACGATGGCGGACCCCAGTAAAATAGAGCCGTTGTCCTTCAGGAAATGGGGGAGGGTGAGCGAAGAGGCCGCGGCGCGCGGGGGCGAAGGCGGCCGGGGAGGGCCGCGGAGGGCCCAGGGCCCCAGGAGCCGTGGGGTGGGGGCAGCGAGCGCGAGCGGGGCGGCTGGGGAGCCCCGCACCAAAGCCAACGCCCAGACGGCCTTGAGGATGCAGACTCGGAGCCGGGGGCGTGAGGCCTGCGGGGAGGCGCCCGCCGGGCCGGGGAGGGGCAGGGGGTGCGGCCGTCCCCCTGCAGGTCGCTCCCCGTGACGCCATCTTGGATCGGTCCAGCTCCCGCAAACCGGCTGCGAAGCGACGAAGCTCACCTCGCCTGAGCCCCCGGCCGACCCCACTCACCTGGGGACGGGCGGCGGCGGGCGCGAGGCTGCGGGTGCGAGGCGGCGGCGTACCGAGCTCCCTCAGCGCTTTGCTCCCAGCCCCGCTCCACTCTGCGATAGCGGCTAGGCGACAGCTCCACCGGAAACGGCCTGGCCGCAGCCAATCAGCGTTCGGCTACTGACGTCAATGCGCCTCGCTCTGGCCAGAACCGTCGCCTTAGCAACCTTAAGGGCGCAACAGCCCCAGTTCCTCCCCCCTGGTCGCTCTTGGAAGGACCCTCACTCTGCGGTCGTTCGTCTTCCGCCATTCTTTCCATCTTACTCGTCCCTTATCCACAGCAGTTTCCTCACGCCCGCCACTTCTCCTTTCCGCAGTCTCCCTAGCCCGGTTCTCTCCTCCTTCCTGCTCACCTGCCCCTCCTTACCTGTCCCTCTCTGGGTGTCTTGGGTCGCCTTTGTTCCTCCGCCTGCTCTTCGCTCTCTCTCCGCGCAGCTATCGTGCGCTTCCCTCTCGTCCCTCCGCTCCTCTGTCCACCCCACTCTCCCTCCGGCCTCCCTTGACGCCTCTGCCTTTTCTCCCTCCTTTCCACCCCCTCCCTGGCCGACCCACGTGGGGCGTCTCAGATGACAGGTGGGCGACTCCTCCCCGCAGCCCCTGCAAGGGAGGGCCCCGGGCCGGGGCGGGGAGAGTCCTGTCGCTGCCAGCCCCCGGAGGAGGTGGCGGCCCCCGCGGATCTGCAGCAGCTGCGCTGCGGGGCCGAGCGCGGGCGGATGGCCGGGATGCGCTCTCCGGGCCGCGCATCCTGTGCCCGGCCAGCGCCGCCCGGGCCCCGGGCTCAGGTCAGTCATCCGGTCCAGGAAACCTGAGCCCTGCCGAGTCTCCGCTGGGGCCGCTCTCCCCCGCCGGGGGTGCTGTCGTCTGTGCAGGCAACACCGTCCCTGTGGAAACCAGGCACGGGAAAGGACTTTGTCAGGGTCCAAGAGGAGGCCTGAGTCCTTCTAGAACCTGAAGTGCCCCCCCATCACTCCTGACCTCACAGAGGGAGAAGTGCAGAGCGTGCAGATTGTCAAAAATGCCCTGTGACCCAACAAGAAATCGCAGCTGTCCAGACAAGCTGCACTAATGGGGAAAATTCGGAGGAAAAGCGACTTTACTCTTTCAGCCATTTTTTTTTTCCATCAGAGTATCTGTCTAAGGAGGAAGAAAAGGGAGACGGTACAATTTTAGACACATCAAGTCTGTAACTCAATAAAGAAGGCCCATCAAGGAAACATGTCCAAGTGTCTGGCTAGGGGCTGCTTTAGTAGCATTGTATATATTTCTAGGGCCGTGTGCTTAAAATTCATAATGGATTCAACACAATACAAAAAAGCAAAATACACACATATGCAAGTGTCCAGGAGCTGTTGTAGTAACATTGTATATACTTCAAGGGCTGTATGTTTAAAGTAAATCATGAACTCAACACAATACAAAAAAGTAGCTCAATAGTGTTTATATTGATTCCAGATTGAAATGATAATATTTTTGATATATTAGGTAAAATATTAAAGTTAATTTCACTTTTGTTTTTTAATTCTTAGTGTAGCTATTAAAAAGTTTAAAGTTACACAGATGGCTCCCATTATATTCCTATTGGGCAGCGCTGCCCTCGGAGGCCGACTGCTCCCCCAAATCCACCAGGCTCTAAGGGTACTGTCCATCAGATGATTTATTTAGTTATGTTATTCACTGCCTTCTGATAGGGATACATAGGCGATATCAAAAGGGCAATCAGGCTTACAGGGGGGAATGGAAAAGGGAAGTTTCTCCTTTCACTGACTCCCCAAATGTTGACCATTGGCCCTTCTCCAGGGTTGATCAGAAATGGGGATAAAAGAGCCTCAGTCAGATAGGATTTCACTCTTGACAGTACAAAGAAGGGTTGATAAACTGAACCCTACGCTGGCAAGCAGCAGAGGGAATTTGATAGCATTGAGCAGGCCCGGTCATGTTATGGGAAGAAAATATTGCAGTCAGGTAAATCTGAGTTTGGTTTCAGGCTCTGCCATGTCCGGTAATTGACTTAATCTCCATGGGTGTCCGTTTCCTCGGTCATAAAAGGATGAACAGGACTTTGTTGAAGTTAACTACTAAGGGTATAACAGCAAACACACGTATAGCACTTACTGTGTTCCAAGCACTGATCTAAGGGCTTTACACATAATTAATTTAATCCTCATAGTAACTCTTAACATAGGTAATATTGTTATTGTTACAGAAAAAAACATGAGACATGGAGAAGTTAAGTGACTTGCCCATGGCCACACAGCTAACATGGCTTAAACCCAGGCAGTGATCTTAATCACTCTCCATTGCAGAATAGATAGATCTCTCTCTCTCTCTCTCTCTCTCTCTCTCTCTCTCTGTCTACATATATATATATGGTGTTCAGTACAGTGGGGGATATATTAAATGAATGTTAATTTACTTCCCATTTCTCCCTCTTCCTGCAGAGCTACCCAAACTACAAGGTTAAGTCAGAGTGACACTATGTCCCACCATTAGTGTTACCTTCCAAGTGCAGTTAAGACACTAAGAATAAGGAAACAAGCAAGCTGCTGACATTGAGCTGAGCACTTTGAGTGACAGCTGCTTCCTTGCTGAGTCCTGGCTGTGTGTCCCCATTCAGCTGCATGCAGGCGCCAGTCCAGCCACGGGCCATTTCCTGTGTCAGTCACACTCAACCTTGTTCTAGGTGCCAAATCCTCATATGCTGGGGCTTTAGGAGACATAAAGGGAAATGGGCAGTAGACAGTTGAGCCCGGGGAAAGTTCAGTGAGACAGCTGTTCTGAAAAACTAAATAGCCTCAGTGCTTTCCAAATGGTGCAAATGTTCTTTCAGTGCCACTGTGCCACTGTGAGAATACCAACTTGTTGGTATTCGTAAATTATGTTTCAGAAATGACATTTGTTCCACTGTAGTTTCTGTATGGTTTCCCTTCTCCAGAGGCCTTCTGCCCTTGATTCAAAGGTCTGTTAGCCTTTCCTTTGGACTGTGTCCTTGAGAAACTCAGTTTAAAAATATGTTTCTAGAGTAGTGGGATTATAAGTAAATTTTCCTGTTTAACTGGTGGCTAACATCTGTAATCCCATCACTCTAGGAGGCCCAGGCTGGAGGCTTCCTTGGGCCCAGGAGTTCAAGACCAGCCTGGGCAACACAGTGAGACCGCCGTCTCTACAAAAAAATTTTAAAAATTAGCCAGATGTGGTGACCCACGCATGTACTGGGAGGATTGCTTTAGCCCAGGAGGTCAAGGCTGCAGTGAGCCATGATCGCACCACTGCACTGCAGCCCTGGCCACACAGCAAGACCTTCCCACTCAAAAAACGAAAAAGAAATTGCATAATTGCTGTTACAATGCTTGTGAAACAATACCAAAAACCATAAAAGCAAAATAAACATGAGTGATAAGCAGAAATAGAATTAAGAAAGCTAAAACGTGAAAGGAAGGAATACTTTGGTGGTCCATTTCTTGGTGGTTCTTGCACCTAAAGTTTCCATTGGCTAAACACAGATCCACGTATTTCCAATTTCAAAGTCCATCACCACCTACTTATGGTGTACAATGGTACTGAGTACTTATACTTCCTAGGAGACCCAAAGTTGTGGTTTCAGACATAACTAATTCCAGCAAACACCCGAATGCCAAAATGTCTTCCTACTTTTCTCACTGGCAAATGCTCATTTAAACTAAGGAGGGGTGTTTATCTTGAGCATTAATTGAAAATATTAACCAAGAAACCAGAAGGGTGGCAAACTTGGATCTAACACTAAAGCGTTCCAAGTAAAAATATCTTAATCTAAAACATATCTTCATCAAAAATAGCATATTTACTTATTCATTCAACTTTTATTTTAGATTCAGGGGTACAGGTGCAGGTTTGTTACCTGGGTATATTGTGTGATGCTAAGGATTTGGGTACAAGTGATCCCATCACCCAGGTAGTGAGCATAGTACCCAATAGTTTTTAAATCCTTGCTCCCCGACTCCCCCTTCTAGTAGTTCCAGGTATCTATTGCTGCCATCTTTATGTCCTTGAGTAATCAATGTTTAGCTCCCACTTATAAGTGAGAACATGCGGTAGTTTTCTATTCCTGTGTTAATATGCGTAGGAGAATGGCCTCCAGCTGTATCTATGTTGCTGCGAAAGACATGATTTGATTCTTTTTATCACTGAATAGTATTCCATGGTGTATATGTACCACATTTTCTTTATCCAGACTACCACTGATGGGCATTTAGGTTGATTCCATGTCTTTGCTATTGTGAATAGTGCTACAATGAACATAAGCATGCATGTGTCTTTATGATACAATGATTTGTATTTCTTTGGGTATATACAGTCCAAAATCTGCAGGGCAGGTCAGCAGCCTAGACCCAAGGAAGAGTTGATGCTGCAGTCTCAAGTCCAAGGCAGAACTCCTTCTTCCTCAGGGAACCTCAGTCTTTTCTCTTAAGGCCTTCAACTGAGTGAGGCCCACAAACATTAAAGAGAGTAATCTGCTTTACTCAATGTCTATTGACTTAAATGATAATCGCATGTACAAAAAAAAAATACATTCACAGCAACATCTAGACTTGTGTTTGACCAATAACTGGGTAGCATGGCCTACCCAAGTTGACACAAAATTAATTATCACAAGCATGTATTCAGTGAAGTCCAGATATTTGTATGAATCTCTTCTAAAATGTTCTTCCTTTGAATACTAATCTCCTAGGCCTAAGCTGTTTTTAAACAAGGCTGACCTTTTGTCATGGATTTGAGGCTTTAAAAAATAGGGATGAGTCAGTCACCCACACAGATCTTTTTTTTTTAATGTGAAAAGATAGTGGTTTCCTGTTTTTCAGATGTATGTATGTTTGTTTGTTTTTTAATTTAATTTAAGTTCGGGATACATGTGCAGAAGAACGTGCAGGTTTGTACATAGATAAACGTGTGCCATGGTGGTTTGCTGCACCTATCAGCTCATCACCTAGGTATTAAGACCCACACGCATTAGCTGATTCTCCCCCTCCCTGCCTCCCCAACAGGCCCCAGTGTGTGTTGTTCTGCTCCCTGTGTCCATGTGTTCTCATTGTTCAGCTCCCACTTGTAAGTGAGAACATAAGGTGTTTGGTTTTCTGTTCCTGTGTTAGTTTGCTGAAGATAATAGCTTCCAGCTCCATCCACATCCCTGCAAAGGACACGATCTCATTCCTTTTTATGGCTGCATAGCATTCCACAGTGTATATGTACCACATTTTCTTTATCCAGTCTATCATTGATGGGCATTTGGGTTGATTCTATGTCTTTGCTATTGTCACACAGATCTTTGTGTCATGGATGGTATGATCGTTGACTAGGATCAGTAACTTTCTTTGTTTTTGTCAATCTGACAAAGTCAACAAATCTTGTTAATGTATCCAGGTTGGCACTGTACTGATCATGTACCTATACTCTTCCAGGAATTCTTCATTTTTTTCTTTGCTGGAGGCTGGTCATGGTTCCCTTTGAGAAGCTCATGAAAACAATGGGCTTTCTCCCCAGGAAATAAGCCCAAACAAACATACACACACAGCCTTTTTCATCCCATTTCAAGGTGGTCACAGATCCTGAAGCCCATCCATGTATGGACTCCAAGTTTAGAATCCCTTATAAAATGATTCCTGATCATCCACACTAGTGGATACTAGCAGGTACTAGGTAACAGGCATGCAGAGATAAATAAGCCATGACCTCAAACTTAAAAGTTCACAGTCTGGGCCAGGTGCGGTGGCTCACACCTGTAATCTCAGCACTTTGGGAGGCTGAGGTGGGCAGATCACGAGGTCAGGAGTTTGAGACCAGCCTGGCCAATATGGTGAAACCCCGTCTCTACTAAAAATACAAAAATTAGCCGGGTGTGGTGGTGCACGCCTGTAGTCCCAGCTACTCAGAAGGCTGAGGCAGAAGAATTGCTTGAACCAGGGAGGCGGAGGTTGCAGTGAGCCGAAATCGGGCCACTACACTCCAGCCTGGGTGATAGAGCGACACTCTGTCTCAAAAAAAAGAAAAAAAAAATTTCACAGTCTGAAGGGGCCAGCAATAACATGAGTTCTTTCAATAAAATGGCCAAATTATGGGGGTGGGATTGGGGGGGTACATTGAAAGGGCATCTAACTCAGGCATCAGTGATCAGAAAAAGCCAGCCAAAAAAAGGTGTCTGGGATATAATGGTACCCAGTTAGTCCTGCCTGGTATTTCAGGTAGAGGAACTAATGGGCAAGAGAGCATGGATTTCTAAGGAAAATATTTTTCAAGATGGCCTAAGGATAAGATGGAAGATGGTGTGAGGCTGGAAGAGTGATCAGTGGCCTGTGGTAGGGGGGAGGGGCAGATAGTAAATGCTTTAGATGTTGTAAGCCATCTGGGCACTGTGGCAACTTCTCAGTTTGGTTATTGTATCACAAAAGTGGCCATAGGCAATATGTAAATGAATGGGCGTGGATGTCTTCTGATAAAAATTTATGAACACTGAATTTGAAATTGATGTAATTATCCTAATTAATAGACTTTTGGTTTTAGCAATTCTAGGTTTACAAAAAAATTGGCAGAAAATACAGAGAGTTCCCAGATACCACCTCATCAACCCTCCATACATGGTTTTCCCTTATATTGACATCTTGCATTCGTGTGGTACATTTGTTATACTTGAAGAGCCAATGTTGATACTTCTGTGTGTGTGAAACAGGATCTGGCTCTGTTACCCAGGCTGGAGTGCAGTGGCACAATCTCAATCTCAGCTCACTGCAACCTCCCATCTCCTGGGCTCAAGCCAGTCTCCTATCCCAGCTTCCTGAGTAGCTGAGACTACCGGCATACACCACCACGCCCAGCTAATTTTTGTATTTTTTGTAGAGTCAGGGTCTCACTATGTTGCCCAGGCTGGTCTCAAACTCCTGAGCTCAAGCAGTCCATCCACTTGGGCCTCCCAAAGTGCTAGGATTACAAGCCTGAGCCACCTCACCTGGCCTGATACATTATTATTAACTGAAGTCCATAGTTTACATTAGAGTTCACTCTTTCTGTTGTATATTCTATGAGTTTTGATAAATGTGTAATTACATTTACATCTACCATTACAGCATCCTGTGGAAGAGATTCACTGCCACAAATATCCCCTGTGGTCCACTGTTTATCCCTCTCTCCTTCCCCTAAGGCCCTGATAACCACTGATTTTCGTTTTATTTTATTATCTACATATATATTTTTTGAGACAGAGTCTGGCTCTGCCACCTAAGCTGGAGTGCAGTGGCATGATCTTAGCTCACTGCAACCTCCGGGCTCAAGCCATCCTCCCACCTCAGCCTCCCAAGTAGCTGGGACTACAGGTGCACACCACCATGCTCAGCTAGTTTTTGTATTTTGGGGGGTAGAAACAGGGTTTTGCCACATTGCCCAGGCTAGTCTTGAACTTCTGGGCTCAAGAAGGCCTGCCTTGGCCTCCCAAATTACTGGGATTACAGATGTGAGCCACCACGCCTGTCCAACCACTGAATTTCTATACTTTCTCCCTATGTTTTTCTCTCTATTTTTTATTTGTGTGGGTACATAGAAGGTGTATGTATTTATGGGGTATATGGGATATTTTGATACAGGCATACAATGGGTAATAATCACATCAGGGTAACTGGGGTATCCATCACCTCAAAGCATTTATCCTTTACAATTATACTCTTTTAATTATTTTTAAATGTACAATTAAATTATTTTTTACTATTGTGCTATCAAATACTATGTCTTATTCATCCTTTCTAACTAGTTTTTACCCATTAACCATCCTTACATCCCCTCCACCCTCCACCGCTACACTTCCCAGCCACTGGTAACCATCCTTCTGCTCTCTATCTCCATCAGTCCAGTTGTTCTAATTTTTAGCTCCCACAAATAAGTGAGAATATGTGAAGTTTTTCTGTGCTTGGCCTACTTCACTTAACAAAATGAACTCCAGTTGTTTCCATGTTGTTGCAAATACATCTCATTCTTTTTTATGGCTGAATAGTACTCCATTATGTATTTGTACCACATGTCTTTTTTTGAGACAGAACCTCACTCTGTCGCCAGGCTGGAGTGCAGTGGCACGATCTCAGGTCACTGCAACCTCCGCCTCCTGGGTTCAAGTGATTCTCATGCCTCAGCCTCCCAAGTAGCTGAGATTACAGGTGTGCACCACCATGCCTGGCTAAATTTTTTTTTTTTTTAGTAGAGATGGGGTTTCATCATGTTGGTCAGGCTGGTCTCAAACTCCTGACCTCAAATGATCTTCCTGCCTTGGCCTCCCAAAGTGCTGGGATTACAGGTGTGAGTCACCATGCCCAGCCTTGTACCACATTTCTGTATCCACTCATCTATTGACAGACATTTGGGTTGCTTCCAAATCATGGCTATTGTGAATAATGCTACAGTAAATATGGGAGTGCAGATATCTCTTTGATATACTGATTTCCTTTCTTTGGGGTATGTACCTAGCAGTGGGATTGCTGGATAATATGGTAGCTTTATTATTAGCTTTCTGAGGAACCTCCAAACTGTTCTTCCTAGTGGTTGTACTAATTGACATTCCCACCAACAGAGTACAAAGTTTCCCTTTTCTGCACATCCTTGCCAGCATTTGTTATGGCCTGTCTTTTGGATAAAAGCCATTTTAACTGGGGTGCTATGATACCTCATTGTAGTTTTGATCTGCGTTTCTCTGATGATCAGTGATGTTGAACATCTTGTCATATGCCTGTTTGCCATTTGCATGTCTTCTTTTGAGAAATGTCTATTCAGATCTTTTGCCCATATTTAAATTGGATTATTAGATTTTTTCCTATATAGTTGTTCAAGCTCCTTATATATTCTGTATATTCTGTCTCCATATGTTTGCTTTTTGCAGAATGCCACATAGTTGGAAGCATACACTATGTAGCCTTTTTAGACTGACTGCTTCACTTAGTAACATGCAATTAAGATTCCTCCTTGTCTTTTTGTGACTGGATAGCTCATTTCTTTTTATTACTGAATAATATTCCACTGTATAGATGTACCACAATTTATCCATATTTACTAAAGGACATCTCGTTTGCTTCCAAGTGTTGGCAATTATGAATAAAGCTGCTATAAACATCCATGTGCAACTTCTCTGAGTAAATAGCAAGAAGTTCAATTTCTGGATCACATGGCAAAAGTACCTTTTGCTTTGTAAAAAAAAATTGCCAAACTGGATTCTAAAGTAGGTGTACCCTGTACCATCTTGCATTCCCACCAGCAATGAATGAGAGCTCCTGTTGCTCTACATCCTTGCCAGCATTTGTCAGTGCTTTGGATTTTAGGCATCCTGTTAAATGTGTAGTGGTTCCTCCTTGTTTTAATTTATAGTTCCCTAATGGCATATGCTGGTAAGCATCTTTTTTTGTGCTTATTTGCCATCTGTGAGTCTTCTCTGAGGTGGTGTCTGTTTAGGTCTTTGGCCATTTCTTTTTTAATCCAAAATGATTTTATTATTTTTCACTTTCCCAAAGCTTGTGAGCATGAATGCTTCTGAATCAGACCAATAAAGTCTATATTTTGGTTGAATACATTATTAGACTAACTTGTATGATCAAGTCCAGCTCGATTATCAGAAATCATAGAAGTTAACAATTTACTCTGAGAATCTGTTGCTAATATAGATGATGGATTTCCAATTTTTTCTTAGCTAAGAATTTACTCAACTTTAGCTCAGAACCAGATTCAAAATATCTTTTTTTTTTTTTTTTTTTTTTTTCCTGAGATGAAGTTTCGCTCTTGTTGCCCAGGCTGGAGTTCAATGGTGCAATCTCAGCTCACTGCAACCTCCACCTCCCAGGTTCAAGCGATTCTCCTGCCTCAGCCTCCTAAATAGCTGGGATTACAGACGCCCACCACCAACCTTGGCTAATTTTTGTATTTTTAGTAGAGACGGGGGTTTCACCATGTTGGTCAGTCTGGTCTTGAACTCCTGACCACAGGTGATCCACTTGCCTCAGCCTCCAAAAGTGCTGGGATTACAGGCGTGAGCCACTGTGCCTGGCCCCATTTTAGCCATTTTTTAATTGAGTTGTTTGTTCTCTTGTTGAGCTTAAGAGTTCTTTGTATATTTTGGATAAGGTCCATATAATTTTCATGTGTCACATTCTTTGACTTTTTTTTTCAATAATTTTAAAATGTAAAAAATTTCTTAGCATTTATGCTGCATGAAAACAGGTGATTCAACCCATGAGCCATAGCTTACCAACCCCTGCCTTAGAAGTTTAAATTGTCTTATAGCTGTGGGGATTTACTGAATGGCCTCATGCAGGGAAGAGATGTGACCAAGTGCACACTTTATCTTTTGGGTTCTAATGAAGCAAGGACATGAGTAGGGACTGCAAGGGCTCTCTGGAGTCTGGAGCCTGAACACTTCTCAGGAGTCTGTTGCAATGATCCAAGTAAGGGATGATGATAGCTAAAACTAAAAGATTTTGATGCAGGTGAATGAAGCTGGGCAGATTTGAGAGATATTAAGAAAATAAGAGCGAGAGAACCTAGGGATTGATGTGAAGGATAAGGAGGAGACAGGAAGGACTCAAAGATGATACCTAGATTTCTAACTCAGTGATTCTGCTGCTATTCACTGAATCAGAGAACACAGGAAGAAGCAGCAAGGGTTCCATTTTGGAATGTGTTCAGTTTGAAGGGCTGCTGGACATCCACAAAGAGCCGTCTAGTTGCTTCCTTGCTGGTCGGAAGTTTAAGAGAGCTGAGTTCTGGGCATGGTGGCTCATGCCTGTAATCCCAGCACTTTAGGAAGCTGAGGAGGGAGGATCACTTGAGGCCAGGAGTTTGAGACCAGCCTAGGCAAGATAGTGAGATGTCCCTCTCTACAAAAAAATTTAAAAATTAGCCAGGCATGGTTATGCACATGTGTAGTCCTAGCTACACAGGAAGCTGAGGTGGGAGGATGGCTTGAGCCCAGGAGTTCAAGGCTGCAGTGAGCCATGATTATACCACTGCACTCCAGCCTGGGCAATATAGCAAGACCGTGTCTCAAAAAGAGAGAGAGAGAATGCTGAGGGTTTTGAAATCATCAGCTTATTGATTATAACGCCATAGGAGTGAATGCAGCACCTCCTGGGACAGGCTATTGAGAGAGAAGTGGGAAGAAGAAAGGCAGCTGAATATAGAACCATGAGTAAGGCTAACAGTGAGAGGTTAAAGGGAGGAAGGGAGCCCAGAAGGAACATTTAGAAAGCAGGTGGCAAACCTGGAGAGGAAGGAGGTCACAGAAGCCAAGGGAAGCAAGTGTTCTGAGAAGCAGACAGATGCTGCAGAGAGTCAGAGTGAGAAATGAAGAGTCAGGGCAATTCACAGCTCAGGCAGGATACTGGAAACCAAGATGACACTTCTGATCCACCGTCAAGGAGGAGTATGCTCCGAGCTCTCTCCACATGGACTTATGTGCATTGACCAACCAGTAAGAGATGAGAGAATAAATAAACAGGAAGCTGTCATGCTGTTAAATGTTCCTTTGGAACTTGTATCAAAAGGCACAGGGAAAATATACAGAATGTGAAAACTGCGTTGTTTCCATTAACTGCTTTTCTACTCACATCTCAGGGAACAAATCCTCAATAGTGTCCTTACCTGAGCACTTTCACGGTGTGTATATTTGTCCATTTTCATGCTGCTGATAAAGTTATACCTGAGGCCGGGCGCCGTGGCTCATGCCTGTAATCTCAGCACTTTGGGAGGCCAAGGAGGGTGGATAAGCTGAGGTCAGGAGTTCAAGACCAGCCTAACCAACATGGTAAAACCCCATCTCTACTAAAAATAGAAAAAAAATTAGCCGGGCGTGGTGGTGGGCACCTGTAATCCCAGCTACTCAGGAGGCTGAGGCAGGAGAATCACTTGAACCCAGGTGGTGTACGTTGCAGTGAGCCAAAATCGCGCCATTGCACTCCAGCCTGGGCAACAAGAGCAAAATAACTCCATCTCAAAAAAAAAAAAAAAATACTCGAGACTGGGTGATTTACAAAGGAAGAGAAGTTTAATGGACTCACAGTTCCATGTGGCTGGGAGGCCTCACAATCATGGCGGAAGGCAAAAGGCATGTCTTACATGGAGGCAGACAAGAGAGAAAATGAGAACAAAGTGAAAGGGGTTTCCCCTTATAAAACCATCAGATCTCGTGAGACTTATTCACTACCTCAAGAATAGTATGGGGGAACCGCCCCCATGATTCAATTATCTCCCACCTGGTCCCTCCCACACACGTGGGAATTATGGGAGCTACAATTCAAGATGAGATTTGGGTGGGGACACAGCCAAACCATATCAGTGTGATTTTGAGAACTGTTTCCAATTGGTACAGCCCTCAAGCCTTGTTCTCAAACCTTCTCAGAAGTCTGTGAGTCATCCAGTATATAATCAATAAATTCTGATTCTACTTAGATCACCTAGGTTATGTTTCTTTGTTTGCAAATAAGAACTCTGGCTGATATATGTCCCATATCCTGTCCTGGGTATAAAAATCTCTAGGTTCCTGTTTGGATGATTAGGAAGTGACCTGTTAGTTAATGTATGGTCTTCATGTCATCCAAGAAGGGAAGGCCATGAAAGAGTGACTGTGGTCAGTTAGTCAAAAGTCGTAACTGCATGGCGAGCCTGGGCTGGCTGGCCATACTTTGACCAACGCTGATTCACCTACACCACTGGCTGGGGTGGCAGCCCACAGCAAAGAGCTGTGATCAGTGGCCACCACTTACAACTCATTACTCTATAGCACGGTGGCAATCTTAACTCTAGAGGACCAACACAAGCAATTCTCCTCTGTATACTGAAGAAAATTGTAGTAGAAATTCCAACACCTATTCTGAGAAACCCAACGTGCATTTTCCACCTTGAAATAAACATTTTACATGCAATGGTCTTAATAATGGTCATTAGTGAGCTGTAGTAAGCAACCCTGATGGATAGCCCATCTGGTCGGAAGCCTGGCTTGCTGTCCCAGCCCTGCCTGCTCCTAGATTTGGATTCTGGAATGCAAATCAGCACCCAATTTCTGAATATTTTCTCATCCCTTGTTGCTGAGTTTGTCTTGCTTACTTATATCCCTCCTCTCTCTCTCTCTCTCTCTCTCTCTCTCTCTCTCTCTTTTCCTCCCTTCTACTTCCATGACATCCCTGCTCTCTGATATAAGAAGAATGAGGAAGAATAGGTTAAGAGGGAGAAGGAACACTTTCCAGCAGAGGAAATGTGCAGAACACCCAAAGATGAGCAAATTCAGGCTGGAGGACATTTAGGAAACTACAAGTAATTCCACTGGATGTGAAGCCAGAAACTGTGTGAAGGGCATTGGCAAGAGGTGAGTCTGAAGAGCTCATGACAGTGACAATAACACATGGAGAGATCTTCTGTGCCTGGAACCGTTGTGAGGTTTCACATAGATTCCCACACCCTACCCTCACAGCACCTTTTGAGGTACGTACTATTGTTGTTCCTATTTTACAGATAAGGAAACTCCGGCATACAGAAGTTACACAACTTGCCCAAGTCATGTAGTGAGGAAGAGGCAGAGCTGGGGTGTGAACGAGGACCCTAAGCAAAGCTACTGAACTTGGACTTCCACCTGAGAGCTACAGAAGACCTTTAAAGAGGAGAGGGATCTGATTGGCCTGTACTTTAGAGAGATTGTAGGATGCCAGTGTGTCCCCTGATGCCAATAACAAGACTGAAACTGAGGATGTTTGGGAGTTAACACTCGAAGAAGATGTCAACAGACATCAGAGCCAGCACAGGAAGCAAGCGGGCAGTGGCGTGGGATGGAACTAGGGCCAATTGCCAGGTTTCCAAGAACTGAGTGGGGAGCTGCCAGGATTGCAGCCAAGGCTGCAGGAGATAAGGGCATGGGGATGGCACCTAACTGGCTCAGGCTATTTCTCAAAGGCAGGAGCACCCACCAGCTTCCTTGACCCTGACTGTACCCAGTGCCTGACACCAACTTATCTTTTCCAATTTATCTCCCTGGGTTCACATCCTCCCACAACCAGAACCTATTCTGTCATTTATACCCACACGTATTCACAAAACGACCCAGGGGCATTGCAAGAAATAAATACGTAATGAAATGATGTTAAAATATGGATAAAAACAAATATTAAGACCAGAGAAAACACTCATCAGAGCAGAAATTGAGCTTTTGGGGAGGAAAGGAGAAGAAACTCAAATATTCAAGCTGTGTGGTTCCTTGCTCTTGCTCAAGTTAAGCTCAAGTTTGAAGCTAAACTTCCAGTCAAAGTGAAAACGAAGGCAAGGTCATTTACATGGTCGTTACGGAGAGAAAAGAGGAAGTGCACCAGCTGCCAAGAAAACTTGTGGCCCTTTGCTAGCAAAGGTGTGGCATGAATTTTCAAAGTGGACTGCTTTCCAATCCCTTAACCCCCCCTTTACTTCCCCCATCACACCTGTGTTTAGGTGGTTGCATCCATCTAGCTTACAAGCATGTAAGTGTCAATCAAAATCCTGCCCAAATTTTAGAGCCCATCTTAAGTAGTTTGGCACCCATGAAGAAGGTGTCTTTTCCCTCCCTGGTCAGAAGTTTTTCCCCTTAATTATTTCTCTGCCTTGTTGTTGCTTCTTTCATAGCACTCATTATATTCTCTCACATGTTACAATTCAATGTCTATGTGTCTTGTCTTTCGTGAGGCAGCATAGCCTAATGGTTAGAGCAACAGCTCAGGAGTCAACCTCCCTGGGTTCTAGCTTGCCCCTCTCTGGCTGTGTAACCTTGGGCAACATACTTGATCCATCTAAGCTTCAGTTTTTTTTCATCTGTAAAATGAGAATCATAAGAGCATCATCCTTGTTCTCTTAGCACGGCACTTGGCACATGGTAAATTATCACATTTTTATCAGCATCTTCATAATTATCATCTCATCTCCTAGGGCTGTCAGTACAGTAGCCACTAGCCACAGGGAGCTCTTCAAATCTAAATTAATTATAATCAAATAAAGCTTAAAAGTCTTTTCCTTAGGGGTACTAGCCTCATTTCAAGTGCCAGCTGTAGCTAGTGACTACCATATTGGACAGCCCAGATACAGCATATTCCCACAATCACAGAAAGTTCTAAAGTTCCCTCTAGAACGGGGACTAGCAATTTTTTTTCTGTCAACGGTCAAATAGGTAATTATTTTAGACTTTGTGGCCATAAGGTCTTTGTTGCAACCACTCACCTTCACCACTATAGTGTGAAAGCAGCATAGACAACAAATAAATGAATGGGCATGGCTGTGTTCCAATAAAAGTTGACTTATGGACACTTTAAAGTAAATTTCATCTAATTTTTATGTCACAAAATATCATTCTCCATTCGAGCTTGTTTAGCCACTGAAAAATATACAGCCAGGCACAGTGGCTCACGCCTGTAATCCCAGAAATTTGGGAGGCCTGGGCAGGCAGATCACTTGAGCTCAGGAGTTCGAGACCAGCCTGAGCAGCATGGCAAAACCCTGTCTCCACAAAAAATACAAAAATGGGCCAGACATGGTGGTGTGTGCCTATAGTCCCAGCTATTTGTGGGGCTGAGGCAGGAGGATCACTTGGGCCCAGGAGGTCAAGTGCAGTAAGCTGTGTTTGCACCACTGCACTCTAGCCTGGGTGACAAAGTGAGACCCTGTCTCAAAAAAAAAAAAAAAAAAAAAAAAAGTAAAAACTAAGCTTAAGAGCTGTACAAAAACAGGTGATAGATCCAAATTTGTTGACCCCTTCTTTTAGAATATAAACTCCATTTGAACAAATATCATGTCTTCCTCATATACTACATAGCAGACTTCTGTTCTACATTCGAGGAGAGTGATACATAGTTCACAGCCTTTTTACCATAGGAGCTCACAGACTGCAGTCAGCCAAATGATGACCCCTGCAAGAACGTCCACGTCCTACTGCCCAAAAACATGTTGAAGTGTTACAGTACATGGCAAATGGGAATTAATATTGTAGATGAATTTAAGGTTACTAATCAGATGATCTTAAAATACAGAGATTGTCCTGGATTATCTGGACGTGGCCGGTGTAATCACAAGGGTCCTTCCATGTGGAAGAGGAAGATAGAAAGCTAGTATCAGAGTGATGCAGCATTAGGAAGACTCATCTGGCCATTGCTGGCTTTGAAAATGCAGAGAGGGCCGGGCGCAGTGGCTCATGCCTGTAATCCCAGCACTTTGGGAGGCCAAGGGAGGTGGATCATTTGAGGTCAGGAGTTCAAGACCAGCCTGGCCAACATGATGAAAACACATCTGTACAAAAAATACAAAAATTAGCCAGGCGTGGTGGTACACGCCTGTAATTCCAGCTACCCAGGAGTCTGAGGCAGGAGAATTGCTTGACCCCGGGAGGCGGAGGTTGCAGTGAGCCGAGATAGCGCCACTGCACTCCAGCCTGGGTGACAGAGTGAGACTCCATCAGAAAGAAAGGAGAGGAGAGGAGAGGAGGGGAGAGGAGGGGAGCGCAGGGGAGGGGAGGGGAGGAGAGGAGAGGAGAGGAGAGGAGAGAGGAGAGGAGAGAGGAGAGGAAAGGAAAGGAAAGGAAAGGAAACGCAGAGAGGGACCAGGAGCCAAGAAATGTGGCCTGCCTCTAGAAGCTATAAAAGGCAAGAAAACAGATTCTCCCCCAGAGCCTTCAGAAAAGGATGCAGCCCTGCCAACATCTTGCTTTCAGCCTATTGAGACCCATTTAGGATTTCTAAGGTTCAGAATTCCAGATAATAAATTTGTATGGTTTTAAGGCACTAAGTTTTCTGTAATTTGTTATAGCATCAAAAGAAACTAATACACAGATAAGTAGAAGAAATAGACATGAGAACAAATGTGCTACAATGTATGTGATGAGTAAATGAGTATAATAAGAGAAGCACGTGCAATACAAACATTAGCACAGAGAAGATATAGAACCCTGTATGGGAAGAAGTAAGTCTTTCCAGAAGCACCATCAGAGGTAAATTTTGAAAGCTCAACAAGAATTTACCAGGGAGATGGAGGAGCTGGTGGTGTGATAGACAGGTGAGGACAGAGGAATGGAGTAAGGATGGGAACGTCAGTCCAGGCAAATGGAATAAATAAGAAAAGGAGGCTGGTATAGACAATGGCACCAAGGTAAAGACTATAGTTGGTTCAGGAACCTAGAAGAAGCCTGGGGCCAGGTATGATGGCTTTCACCTGTAACCCCAGCACTTTGGGAGGCCAAGGTGGGAGGATCACTTGAGGCCAGGAGTTTGAAACCAGCCTGGAAAATATAGTGAGACCCCATTTCTACAAAAGAAACTTTTAAAAAAATTAGCAGGGCATGGTGGCACACATCTGTAGTCTTAGCTACTCGGGAGGCTGAAGCGGGAGGACCTCTTGGGCTCAGGAGTTCAAGGCTAAAATATTCTACACTCGAGTCTGGGAAACAGAGCAAGACCCAGTCTCAAAAAAAAGAGCCTGAGATATAAAGAAGAGTACAGTAGGAAGGGAAGGTAGACAGAGGCCAGATCTAGGAGGATCTTAGCCCTGCTAAGAAGACTTTCTTTGTTTAATAGAATTCCAATTATCTACGGCTATCTAACAAGTTAACATAAGGCTTAAAACAATAATTATATCTCATTTGTGGAGCAGGACATTTGGCAGGCCCAGCTAGGGGGATTCTTCTGTTCCATGTGGTGTCGACTGAGGTCAGGGGTGGCATTCACCTGGAGGATGGGCTGGTCTGAAGGATACCAAGTGGCTTCTGCTTGGTGGGGAGGATTGATATACCAGGCCCAGCTGAGACCGTTTGCCGGGCACTTACATTACAGAAGTCTCAGGGTATCCAACTTTTCCACAGTGGTCAGGGCTACCAGACAGAATGTTCCATGAGAGGCAGGCAAAAGCTGCATGGCTTTTTATAACTTACCCTTGAAGTCCCAGCACAGCACTCCTGCTATTTTATTTTATTTTATTTATTTTTTGAGACAAAGTCTCCCTCTATCTCCCAGGCTGGAGTACAGTAGTGCCATCTTGCTCATTGCAACCTCTAACTCCTGGGTTCAAGCGATTCTCATGCCTCAGCCTCCCAAGTAGCGGGAATTACAGGCTCCCACCACCATGCCTGGCTAATTTTTGTATTTTTGTAGTAGAGATGAGGTTTCTCTATGCTGGCCAGGCTGGTCTCGAACTCCTGACCTGAAATGATCCACCCACCTCAGCCTCCCAAAGTGCTGGGATTACAGGCATGAGCCACCACACTCGGCCCATATTTTCTTACTCAAACAAATTACTTAGGCCAGCCTAGATTCAAGGGGAAGGGAATTAAACCCAGTCCGTCAACGGAAAGAGTGTTAAAGCTCTTTGGCTGTCTTTAATGTGCCGCAACTAGAACAGGGAGCCAGTAAATGGCATTTTTGATTATATATTTTTAAACATTTTCAATATAGAAAAATACAAAAAAGAAAATTAAAATCATCCATAATCCTCCCACCTAGAAACTATTCACAACGTTGTGAAGAATTTTCTTTCAAAATTTTTGATGGACGATGTTGCCACATTCTCCATTTATCTTCATGCTTTTCCACTCAAGGGCTTTAAGTAGGAAATAGATACTATTAAATTTGCGTGTTGGGCCAGGTGCCGTGGCTCACACCTGTAATCCCAGCACTTTGGGAGGCCAAGGCAGGCAGATCATGAGGTCAGGAGTTCAAGACCAGCCTGGCCAACATGGCGAAACCGCATCTCTACTAAAAATACAAAAATTACCTGGGCATGGTGGCACGCACCTGTAATCCCAGCTTCTTGGGAGGCTGAAGCAGGAGAATCGCTTGAACCCAGGAGGCGGAGGTTGCAGTGAGCCGAGATCACGCCACTGCACTCCAGCCTGGGTAACAGAGCAAGACTCTGTCTCAAAAAAAAAAAAAAATTGCAAGTTGAAAAATATCTTTGGCATCAGTGCAAAGAATAGTTTGGCAAGGAGACAAAGTGGGAAGCGATTGCTACAGCGCCGGGAGTGGCCACTCCGAGGCTTGGCTGCAAAAAAGTAAGAACACGTGCGGGGGGAATCAGCTATTCCATGAGCTTCTCCCTATTTAATTTTTTTATATGGACAACTTAACTTTTAAAAAATATTACACAGCACTTGCCTTTCAAGTTGCCTGCTTGGCCCTCTTCCAAGTGTATTTTCCTTCCTTTTGTTCCTGCTCTAAAGCTTTCTTTTCCCTTCAACTTTTAAGTTCAGGGGTACATGGGCAGGATGTGTAGGTTTGTTCCATAGGTAAACGTGTGCCATGGTGGTTTGCTGAACAGATCAACCCATTGCCTGGGTATCAAGCCCAGCATCCATTAGCTATTCTTCCTGATGCTCTCCCTCCCCACAACCCCCACCCCTCTGACAGGCCCCAATGTGTGTTATTCCCCCCCACCACATGTCTATGTGGCAATTCCTCAAAGACCTAGAGGCAGAAATAGCATTTGACCAGCAATCCCATCACTGGGTATATACCCAAAGGAATATAAATCATTCTGTCATAAAGATACATGCACACATATGTTCATTGCAGCACTATGCACAGTAACAAAGACATGGAATCAACCTAAATGTCCATCAATGACAGACTGGATAAAGAAAATGTGATACATATACATCATGGAATATTATGCAGCCATAAAAAAGGAATGAGATCATGTCCTTTGTAGGGACCTGGATGGAGTCTAAAGTTTTTAATAAACTTGCACTCCTGCTCTAAAACTTGCCTTGGTCTCTCCTTCTGCCTTATGCCCCTCAGTCAAATTCTTTCTTCTGAGGAGGCAAGAATTGAGGTTGCTGCAGACTCATACTGATACAGATTCACCGCCAGTAGCATACTTGGGTGCTGTGTGACTTGGATACGTTCCCAAGCGCTAACACACTTTGGCGCTGCATAGCTCACATATGTTCCCTAGTGGTTAGAGATCTCTACACCTTCTTCAGCTGCAGGCATTCAACCCCTGTACAGTTTTCTTCTCCCTTTCGCTCTCCTGCTCACTAACCAACGCCCAAAACAATTCCTCTCAGTCACAGTGGCTCTGCTCCCATGGCTGATTTTCTGCTCACCCTGACGGCTGGCTCGCAGGGGTGGGAAGAACCTTGGGGTCTGCACCAAGTAGAACTAAGGCACTAATGACCCTCCTGGACAAGAGGCTCATGAGGGTGGTAAAGCTAAAGCCTCAAACCGTGCAATATCTGGGGTGTCCTCTGCTTTTTCAAATAAGATCGGCTCTTTCCCAAGAACCCGCACTGCCTGTTCTTCTGTTTTCCTGTGTCTCCTGAAAAGCGGCCTTGAGCACCTGCCGAATGAACCATCGGCCTCAGGAGCAAGTCAGCCACTTGGCTTTCACTTCGAATGCCACATGACTTCTTAAACACACGCTCCCTGTTATTCATGTGCCTGCGGCTTTTGCATGGCAGAAAAGACACAGGCTTCCTTGCGGATATCTCCTGAGATTTATACTTGGTTTTAACCTAACAGCTTGGATGACCTCCAACCCTTCCCCTGTCTGCTGGCCCATGGCCAGGACAGACACTAACTGGAACTCTGGCTCTGCCAGCTCCTTATGACTTACCATATGCTTTTTGTTCCTGTTATGCCACAGGACCAAGTTTTCTGGTGGCTTTTGAAGCAGTTTGTCCACCTCCATAGGGCCTTCTTCTGGCCCTTTAAGGATCCCACCTACTTTTTTCTTTTTTTTTTTGTGCGTTAGCACCACTTGGGAGGAGGGGAAATTCTGCTTTTGCTATTTGTGAGTTCTTACTCCAAGCCCCAAGTCCTCCAGAGGTTGCTACTTTATGTCAAGAGGGCAAATGAATATTGCCCTCTTGAATCCGAGGTCTGCTCTTTTTGCAAGCATATGAAGGCTTTCCACAAGTGTTCCTCTCACTTCCTCCCACTTCCTCCCACTTCCTCCTGGAGCCTCCACTTCTCTAATTACTTCCACGCCCTTCTCAACAAGCATCAAGTCCTGCAAGGTCATATTCAAATCTTGCAGGGAGGGAAGTCCAGCCCCTTTGCAGCAGTGAGCTGAAAAACAGGCTTCTTGTCTACTTGAAGAACATGGGAACTAGGCATCTGACAAAGGAAATAATCATTTTGGCTGGGCGCGGTGGCTCACGCCTGTAATCCCAGCACTTTGGGAGGTTGAAGCGGGCAGATCACCTAAGCTCAGGAGTTCAAGACCAGCCTGGCCAACTTGGTGAAATCCCATCTCTAATAAAAATACAAAAATTAGCTGGGCATGGTGGCACATGCCTGTAATCCAAGCTACTTGGGAAGCTGAGGCAGGCAAATCACTTGAACCCAGAAGGCAGACGTTGCAGTGAGCTGAGATCATGCCATTGCACTCCAGCCTGGGTGACAGAGCCAGACTCTGTCTCAAAAAAAAAAAAAAAGAAAGAAAGAAATAATCATTTTTTTGCTAAAATGCTCTGAGTGAGAGTCTTGGAGACAAGGATACAGGCTGGTCCAAGGCCACAGGCACAGGAGACCCATAGGACAGAGATGAAGGCTGATCCCAGGCTAACAGATTACCATTAGAACAGAGATGAAGGCAAGGTTAGAGGTATACAGTAAGACAGTTCACTCTAGAACCTCAAGGATAAACATGGGACCCACTCTTCACTCCAGTATCTCCTCTGTTCTCAAGCGGGTAATGTGACGAGATGGGGCCAAGGGTACACGATAAGACTGCTTCATTCTGGAACCCAAAGGATGATGAGGGATGCCCCATTCAGGATAATAGGAAAGTAGAGGGAGTGCTTTCTTTTTTCCTTTTTCTCCTCTATTCTCTCTTCACAGATGGGTAATCGCATCTCCATACCACAGGACACGCCCCTCAGATGCATCCCCAAAACTGGGAAAAGTTTTATTACCCCAAACCTTAAGAAAAAAAAAAGTTTTCCTTTGTGATACTGCTTGGCCTAAAAATGAACTGGAAGGAAATTACAAAACTCAGCCATGGAACCCAACACTCCCTGTGCAGGAGGTCCTCAGATTAGCCTCCTCTGTCTTTTATAACCCAGATCAGAATAGGAGGACAGGGCTAAGAAAAAGGAGAAATGCGGGACAAGAGGCAACCTCAACAACTGGCTGCTTTACAAGCTCTCCAGCACTCTCCATGTTGCCCTAAGGATACTCCTCCAGGTAACTGCCAAAGGTACAAAAAGCCAGGACACTGGAAAACAAAGGGCCCCAATGGGATAAATGGGGAAAGGCCCCGCACGCTTGCCCCCTCTGCCACAAGCTCAGCCAGTGAAATGGGACTGCCCAGAGGGCCAAAGGGACCCTGGGACAGAATCCCAACCCCTGTTAGCCTGGAGCTGAAGGGCTGTCTGCTCAGGCCGGCTGGCTTCCAAACCAGACATCGTCATCAACAAGACAAGCCAAGGGAGGCAAGTAAAATGACACATTTCCCTTTTGGGTTCAAAAGCTGCCTATTCTGTGCTCATCTCCTTTTCTAAACAACTCTCCTCCAAATCCTGTTGAGTAATCAGGGCAAATGGCATTCCCTCTCTCTAAAAGAAAAGATTCACACCCCTTTATATTACTTAAGGGACCAATTACCATTCTCCCACCAGTCCCTGGTAATATCTAAATACCCCACACCTCTTTGGAGCAAAAATATACTCTCCAGCCAGGCGTGGTGCCTCACGCCTATAATCCCAGAATTTTGGGAGGCCAAGGTGGGTGGATCACTTGAGGTCAGGAGTTCGAGACCGGGCTGGCCAACGTGGCGAAACCCCGTCTCTACTAAAAAGAAAAAAAAAAAATTTGCCGGGTGTGATGACACGCACCTGTAATCCCAGCTACTTGGGAGGCTGAGGCATGAGAATCACTTGAACCTGGGAGGCAGAGGTTGCAGTGAGCTGAGATTGCACCACTGCACTCCAGCATGGGTGACTCTTTCTCAAAAAGAGAAGTATGTGTGTATATATATACTTTCCATATATACATATATATATATACACTTTCCATATATATATACTATCTATATATATAGATATACTTTCCATATATATATATTTTTTCCATTTATATATATATATACTTTCCATATATATATACTTTCCATATATATATATATACTTTCCATATATATATATACTTTCCATATATATATATACTTTCCATATATATATATATATATACTTTCCATATATATATATATATACTTTCCATATATATATATATACTTTCCATATATATATATATATATATATACTTTCCATATATATATATATATATATATATACTTTCCATATATATATATATATATATATATATATATATATATATATATACTTTCCAAGATGGGTGCTCACTTAGTATTTACCCAACCTCTATCCTATTTCTCCTAGGAAAGCTACCTAAATCTTTAACCGATAACTTCAATCTGGTCAGCCCCACCTCTGGGGTTTAGAAATAGCCCAAACTTATTCAGACAAGCCTTAGGAAAAATCTGAGCATTTTTTTTCAAATTTTTAAAAAATAAAAAATAAATATTTTAAAAATTGTGTAAAGTGCTTTACACACACAGCTTCAAGACAAGCCCAATTCAGACACAGGATAGAGAAAGAGCCCTCTGAAAGCTTATTTCTCACACCATATCCACCAGGGAGCCTGACATCCAGTTCCATAGTTTCTTCACTCCAGAGCTCAGGTCTAAAAGGTGACCTCTTTATAGAACCATGTGGCAGAGGGAAAGGAATGATGGAGAAGCCCACGCTGGCTCTTTTTTTTTTTTTTTTTTTTTGTTTTGAGATGGAGTCTCACTCTGTTGCCCTGGCTGGAGTGCAGTGGCATGATCTCAGCTCACTGCAACCTCTGCCTCCCAGTTCAAGCAATTCTCCTGCCTCAGCCTCCCAAGTAGCTGGGATTACAAGCTTGAGCCACATCATCCAGATAATTTTTTTTGTATTTTTAGTAGAGATGGGGTTTTGCCATGTTGGTCAGGCTGGTCTGGAACTCCTGACCTCAAGTGATCCTCCCACCTCGGCCTCCCAAAGTGCTGCGATGACAGGCATGAGCCACTGCACCCAGCCCCATGCTGGCTCTTAAAGCTTCTTCCTGAGAGGGACACTTGCCACTTCCTCTCTCATTTCATAGGTCAAAGCAGGCCAGAAGCCAATCAGGTTGTATATATGGGACAGAGAAGCCTTGCAATGGCGTGCAAGCTCCTTAGATCTGGCCACTGTCAGACTCAGACCTCAGCTCTTCTCTCCTGCTCCCACCTTTCTCCAGCCACAGACATCCTGGCTGTTGCTCAAATAAGCCAGGCCCACCTCGATCTCAGGGCAGGCTGTTCCCTCCACCTGAAACATAGACCTCCCCAAACAGCCTCAGGGCTCACTGCCCCACTTCCTTGGGTCTGTGCTCAAAAGCCACCTGGCCATCTTCAAATTGCAACTCTCCCCATGCCACCCCCCTACTCCCCTGTGCTTCATATTTATCACGATCTGACGTATTACATGAATTTCTCTAGTCTGTTTATTCCCTCTCTCTCTCTTTCATACAAACGTAAGCTTCATGAGTGCATTTTTTTTATTTATTTTTGAGTTTTTTTTCATTATTATTGTTGTTCACTGTTATGCCTCTGATACCCAGAACACTATCTGGCACAAAGAAAATGCAAAATAACCACAAAACCACTTTTCTTTCCTTTTTCTTTTTTCTTTTTTTTTTTTGTCTGAGATGAGGTCTTACTCTGTCGCCCAGGCTGGAGTGCAGTGGCGTGATCTCAGCTCACTGCAACCTCCGCCTCCTGCTTCAAGCCATTCTCCTGCCTCAGCCTCCTGAATAGCTGGGATTACAGGTGCCCACCACCAGTCCCGGCTAATTTTTGTGTTTTTAGTAAAGATGGGGTTTCACGATGTCGGTCAGGCTGGTCTTGAACTCCAGACCTCAAGCAATCCACCCGCCTTGGCCCCCCAAAGTGCAGGGATTATAGGTGAACCACCGCGCCCGACCCCAAACCACTTTTCCAATAAGTCAATAATGAATGAATGAATACAGAAAAATTATTAGCACAGGAGAAAGTCAGGAAACGTTGGCTTAAGTTATAACTATATGCCTCTCAATATATACCATAGTGTTAGGCTAAGTAAGTATTGATTAATTAACTTGGTAGCCTTCATTTGAAAACACTAGAATGTAAAAATGTACCTGGAGGTAAAGTTTATTTCCCAGCAGTTGAATTATAATGTTGGTTATCTACATTTTTCTGATTTTTATTAACAAAACCATACTTTGAGATTTCCCTATGTGCCAGGCACTGTGCAATGTGTGTACATGAATGTCTTATTAAATTCACATAACAGGCCGGGCGCAGTGGCTCACGCCTGTAATCCCTGCACTTTGGGAGGCCGAGGCGGGCGGATCACGAGGTCAGGAGTTCGAGACCAGCCTGGCTAACATGGTGAAATCCCATCTCTACTAAAAATACAAAAATTAGCCGGGTGCGGTGGCAGAAACCTGTAATCCCAGCTACTGGGGAGGCCGAGTTGGGAGAATTGCTTGAACCTGGGAGGCGGAGGTTGCAGTGAGCCGAGATCATGCCACTGCACTCCAGCTGAGGTGACAGAGCAAGACATCATCTGAGAAAAAAAAAAATCCGCACAACATCGACTTTGGGAGGTAACTAGCATTAGTATACCCATTAACACTTGGGTACCTGAGGCACAGGCATATTAGATGAGTGACTTCTGTAAGGTAATGCAGCTGGTTAGCAATGGAACCAGATTTTCAGCTCAAGTTTCATTCCAGAGCAAAAGTACACAGTCACACTATATTTTCACTTTCTACAATGAGCATAATTTATTTTTATAATAGGAAGAGGGAAGAGAAAGCTAATTAGGAGAAGGAGAAGGAGGAAGGAGAGAAAAGAAGGAAAGCAGAAGAAGGAAGGAAGGAAGGAAAGAAGAAAGAAAGAAAGAAAGAAAGAAAGAAAGAAAGAAAGAAAGAAAGAAAGAAAGAAAGAAAGAAGGAAGGAAGGAAGGAAGGAAGGAAGGAAGGAAGGAGAGAAAGAAAGAAAGAAAGAGGGAAGGAAGGAAGGAAGGAAAAGAAAGAAGGAAGGAAAGAAAGAAAGAAAGAAAGAAAGAAAGAGAAAGAAAGAAAGAATAAGAGGAAGAGGGGGATGAGAAGAAGGAGGAAGAGGCAGCCCCAAGATAAGGAGCTTGTGCCTCCTGATGCTGTGACAGACTTCAGCCCAATCACTTCATAGAACAGTTTCCTGCAAAGCCATGTATATGTCCAAGACTCCTTAATTATGCGGACATTAAAAAAAAAAACCTCATGAGCTCTTCTCTTAGTCCAGGCACCAGTGTGACTGAGGTGAAACTGATTGCAAAGTGGCTGATTGCTGGGAGAATGTCTTCTTTCCCTTTGATGAATCAACAGTTCACTGAATCACTAAACATGTTATGGATTGTGGGGCTCGATCACTGAAACTTAGGCTGGGCACGATGGCTCACGCCTGTAATCTCAGCACTTTAGGAGGCTGAGGCGGGCAGATCACTTGAGGTCAGGACTTGGAGACCAGCCTGATCAACATGGTAGAACCCCATCTCTACTAAAAATACAAAAATTAGCCAGGCATGGTGGCACGCATCTGTAATCCCCGCTACTTGGGAGACTGAGTCAGGAGAATCGCTTTAACCCAGGGGGTGGAGGCTGCAGTGAGCTGAGATCACGCCACTGCACTCCAGCCTGGGCAACAGAGTGAGACTCTGTCTCAAAATAAAGAAACTTAAAGTATGTTTCTTTAGGATCAGTGGAATGATTCTAAGTAAAGTTTTAGATGAAAAACTGTAATTCTTTATGCCTCGCAAGAATAATTGGAGTGTTTTCTCCTTCAGCCACTTCAACCCCTTATCTCCAAAAGCTTTGGATGTAAAACGGAGTCTCTTCTTCTGTGGTGCGGGCATTATCATCATTTTACAAACACAGGGAGGAAAGCAGAAGAGTTTCAAAGGTCCTATTTCCAAAGCAAAAGATCAAAGGGTCAAAATAACAAGTGGTCACTAAAAGGGAAATATTTTTAGAAGGCTTAACTCAATAGAAGTAACAGATGTCTTCCCCTTTTTTACTTTGCTCTTTCTCTTTTACCAAGCAAACCCACTGCTGCATTATACAACACAATCCAAGGATAAAGGGGAACTCTGAGGTCTAGGACAATATCCTTGCCCAATATTAGCTCATTTTAGGGGTCACTCAGCACTCAGCTATTTGTGGAAGCGAAGTTGATCTTTGTTTCCCACTCTCCATCTGTCTTGAGCTTACCTTCAATTCTAGGCAAATTGTTCTATGTGCGTAAACTACTGCTTGTTTGATCATTTTTCCATGATAGTTTGGTGGGTAAAATAATCTAATTAGCAGAAAGGCAGCCCACAGTATGCCCTTGAATCCAGCAAATCATAGAAGTTCAAGTTGTTCTTTGAGTCCTTGGTAAAACAGATAACATCTGCAATGTCTTAATATATTCCGTGGATCTCTTACAAACTAAATTGCTAATTTGTTAATTCTTTGCCATTGTGGCAGAAAACACATTCATTTTAAAGTGAACATAGCACATTTAACTTTGCCTTGAACTATGAAAGTGAACAATATCCTTTGACTCCCCACTTTTATTTTCATGACAAATTTAGGGACATTTTGTTAGTTTGGATTGTCTCCAGAATCTGAGACTTCACCCTCACTTGCTTTCTCTGTCGGGATGGAAAACACTACTTTGTTTGTCAGCCTTTCTTGCTACATTTGATGAGATTCCAAAACTGACCCAAATGGAGCTTTTTCAACCTGTTAAAGGACATCTGTGAAAAACCTGGAACATTTTACTCAATGATGAAAGACTGAATGCTTTCTATCTAAGATCAGGATCAAGTCAAGGTCATCCACTCTCATCACTCTTATTTAACATTATAATGGAAGATCTAGTCAGTTCAACAAGGCAAAAGCAAGAAATAAAAGGCATCCATATCAGAAAGGAAGAAGTAAAATTGTAGAAAACCCGATGGAATACAAAAAAAAAAAAAGATACCACGATAAGTGAGTTTAGCAAGGTTGTAGGATACAAAGTCAAAATAAAAAAATTAATTGAATTTCTATCTACTAACAATGAAAAATTTTAAATTTAAAACTCCCATTTCTAATACTATCAAAAATACAAAACATTTAAAGATAAATCTGACCGATGTGCAAGAGCAGTACACTGGACACCACAACACATTACAGAGATGAATTTTTAAAGACCTAAATAAATGGATAGATTTAATTTGTTTGTGTGCCAAAACAGTCAGTATTGCCAAGATGTCAGTTCTCCCCCATATTACTCTATAGTTTCAGGGCAATCCCAATAAAAATGCCTGCAGTTGTTTGTGGATTTTTTGTAGACATTGACAAGCTGATTCCAAAATTCATAAGGAAAGGCACAAATACCTAGAATAACAAAAACAAAGTTGGAGGGCTAATGGTACCTAATTTCAAAAGTCATTATAAAGCCCCAGTAATAAAACAACATGGTATTGGCATAAATATTAACAAATAGATCAATGAACTGAACAGAGTCTAGAAACAAACACACACATATATGGACAATTGATTTTTTTTCTTTTCTTTCTTTTTTTTTTTTTGAGACGGAGTTTTGCTCTTGTTACCCAGGCTGGAGTGCAATGGCATGAATTCAGCTCACCGCAACCTCCACCTCCCAGGTTCAAGCAATTCTCCTGCCTCAGCCTCCCAAGTAGCTGGGATTACAGGCATGCGCCACCACACCCAACTAATTTTGTATTTTTAGTAGAGATAGGGTTTCTCCATGTTGGTCAGGCTGGTCTTGAACTCCTGACCTCAGGTGATCCACATGCCTTGGCCTCCCAAAGTGCTGGGATTACAGGCATGAGCCACCGCACCTGGCCTGACAATTGATTTTTAACAAGGATGTGAAGGCAATGCAGTGAAAAAGGACCACCTCCTCAACAAATGGTGCTGAAGCTTTTTTTGTTTTGTTTTGTTTTAAGACGGAGTCTTGCTCTATTTCCCAGACTGGAGTGCAGTGGCGTCATCTCAGCTCACTGCAAACTCTGTCTCCCGAGTTCAAGTGATTCTCCTGCCTCAGCCTCCTGAGTAACTGGGATTACAGGGGCTGGCCACCATGCCCAGCTTATTTTTGTATTTTTAGTAGAGATGGGGTTTCACCATAATGGCCAGGGTGGTCTTGAACACCTGACCTCAGGTGATTCACCCACCTCTGCCTCCCAAAGTACTGGGATTACAGGTGTGAGCCACTGCGCCTGGCCCGGTGCTGGAGCAATTTGATGATTTGTATGAACCAATATGAACTTGGGTCCATGCACATCATAGACAAAAAAAAAAACTCAAACTAGATCATGGATCACAATGTAGAGCTAAACTAACGAATATGTAGAAGACAACATAAGAAATTCTTTTCTGACTTTAAGTTAGCCAATGATTTCCTATGTTTGACACCACAGCATGATTTGTTCAAAAAAACTGATAAATTGGACTTCCTCAAAACTAAGGACAAACAATTAGCCACATCCAGATATGATCAGACATCAAGCTGGAATCATAAAGAAATACTTTCTGCCTGGAAAACTCATAGCTTGCTCCAGGTGGTCTGTCACCCCAGTGTGGGAATGGTTGATATATTTGCTGAGAGCAAATAGTTTATATGCTGAAGGCAATTTGAGGACATCTGGCCCTTCCTTTGTCCACCGATTGACCTTAGTAAAAACAGATAAGGGAGCCAATGGATAGACACACAAAGCCTCCTTTTCTGCCCATTCTTTTTACCTTTATTGTACGGGCAATATTTGGTTTGATAACGCTAAGCTTAATGAGCTATTTAACCTTCACCCGGTGTCTAGGGTTATTGCCCCAGAGTGAAGGAAGTACAAAACTTGAAAACAAAGAGGAATTTTAAAATCCTAAATGTCTTTGCCATTTAAAATATTTATTTTTTTCCTCTTGAAAAGCTAGTGATTGCTTCCTTATTACAGCACCGTAAAAAAAGTCCCAATAATCCTTGTTTCTATATTATAGCATATAAATGAGATGAAACTGTATTTGAATTCCAGTTTTACCTCCCAACAGTTGTGTGTCATTGGGCAAACAACTGAGCCTCAGTTTCCTTGTCTGTCAAAGAGTAATAACATCTTCGTAAGGTTTTTGTGAAGCTAAAATGAGAATGTGTGCAAACATGCACCACTATGCCAGGCATATAGTAAATTGCCAATAAAGACGACATAAGTTTTAAATTACATGCAGTCAAATCCGTCTGTCTTTTTCCCTGTCGCTTCATCCTACTCACCGCCACTCATCTTTCAAAATTCAACTCCAACATCTCCTTGGAGACATCGTCTCTGACCTGCCCTGTCTTCTTGCTCCCCTGGTGGCTTTTACATCCCCCACTGGAACACACAGCACTTGCCACACAGTCAGGACCCATCTCCTAGTCTGTCTCTGGTTCCACCCACTGGATTATAAACTCCTTAAAGGTAGGGCATTTCTTCCACTTTGTGCCCTGGCACCTAGCGCATTGCCTAGCACGTACCAAGCAAGCACTCGACACACATATGTCTCCTTTTCCGTAATCAACAAATCTCGGTTTAAGTTCCATCCATCCGAGAAGTGTTCCTTGTCAACTCAAGCTTCCACTGGCTTTGACATGGTCTATTCAACTGTGTATATCCCCACTGACCAGCATACAATGGGTGCCTAAATAATATCACACGAAAAAAATGAATGAATGGCTGTATGAATAACTATCCCAGGGTTCCAGAAAGATGGAAGACTATGATAAAGAGAAAAATGTCTGGCTACCTGGAAATTCTAGATCAATTAATATAATGTTTTAATGCAGGGGTACCCAACCCTGGGCTACAGACCAGTACTGTGAGCTCTGCTCCTCTCAGATCAGCATGGGCATTAGATTATTATAGCAGCAAGAACCCTATTGTGAACTGTGCATGTGAGGGATCTAGGCTGTGTGCTTCTTATAAGAATCTAATGCCTGATGATCTGTCACTATCTCCCATCATCCCCAGATGGGACCGTCTAGTTGCAGGAAAACAAGCTTAGGGCTCCCACTGATTTTACATTATGGTAAGTTGTATAATTATTTCATTCTATATTACATGTAATAATAGTAGAAATAAAGTGCCCAATAAATGTAATGAGCTTGAATCATCCCAAAACCATCCCACTTTACCTTGGTTGATGGAAAAATTGTCTTCCACAAAACCAGTCCCTGGTGCCAAAAAGGTTGGGGACTGCGGTTTTAATGCGTAACTAAGCTTTCAAAGAGGAAAGGGAAACCTCAAGGGCCAAAAACATGCCACAGGCAAACAGGCAAAATAAAAAGCACAAACAAAAATGGCACTGAAAATACAACCACCCACAAGAGGGTGAGCTGTTGCTATAACTGGGTAGGGAGACACCTGACTGTTAGACCGATAAGCTACAGGCTTATATTTTCTTACCTATGTAGACATAGAGATGAAGCTGTGGACCTGCATGAGGTAGAGAATTGAATCTAAGATTCCTGAATAAAACTGAGGACTTTCAAGGTCTACTACCAAGTAAAAACGTAGAAAATTATCCAGTAGCTCAGGAAGATAAAAATCCTTGTGTTGGCTGGGCACGGTGGCTTGCACCTAGCATTTTGGGAGGCCAAGGCACACAGATTGCTTGAGTCCAGAAGTTCGAGACCAGCCTGGGGAACATAATGAATCCCCATCTCTACAAAAAAATTACAAAAATCAGCCAAGCCTCACGGCACATGCCTGTAGTCCCAGCTACTCAGGAGGCTGAGGCAGGAGGATCACTTGAGCCCAGGAGGTTGAGGCTGCAGTGAGCCATGATTGCACCACTGCACTCCAGTCTGGGCAACAGAATGAGACACTGTTTCAAAAAAAGTAAAAAAGCTTGTGTCATCTGAGTCTGGGTAAAATAGTTTTCCCCTGAGAAACTAAACCCCCTAGCCTGCATTTCCAGTGGGTTTGGATCTGAAATATATAGTAGCAGGGTTGTCTGGGAACCCCTGAACTGATAAATTAATGTTTAAAAATGTCCCGGGATAATGATATCCCTGGGGCACCTAACAGAAGAAACAAAAACCTCCCTGGAAGGTCCTTCCCATAACTCAGGCCACAGGGATTCTCATAAATAGCACTACCCAGAAGATGAGTTCGCAATAGAATATTAATGCTCAAAACTTTAAATTATAAAACAGTCCAAAAATACTTTCAATCAAGTATGTTTACATAATCGAAGACATTAAAGAAAGAATCTAAGGGGAAAACCCTAGGATTTAAAAGAACTGCTATATTTTTTTCAAGGATCAAATAACTTCTAGAAATGAAACATGAGATTGATAAGCTTTGGCTGTGTCCTCACCCAAATCTCATCTTGAGTTGTAGTTTCCATATTCCCCACATGCTGTGGGAGGGACCTGGTGGGAGGTAATTGAATCCTGGGGGTGGTCACCCTTATGCTGTTCTCATGATAGTGAGTGAGTTCTCACAAGACCTGGTGCTTTTATAAGGGGCATTTCCCCCTCTGCTCAGCAATTCTCTCTCCTGCTGCCATGTGAAGAAGGACGTGTTTTCTTCCCCTTCTACCATGATTGAAAGTTTCCTGAGGCCTTCCCAGCCATGTGGAACTGTGGGTAAATTAAACTTCTTTGCTTTATAAATTACCCAGTCTTGGGTATTTCTTCATAACAGTGTGAGAATGGACTAATATAGGAATCACTGAAATTAAAATCTCAGTAGACTAGTTAAACAGGATGTTAAATGCAGAAAAATAGAAAATGTGTAAATTTGAAGAAAAGACTGATAAAATTACATGGAATACAGCACAGAAAAATAAAAACTGGAAAATAGGAAAGTTAAGAGTCATAGAGGATGAAGTACATTTTTAAAAATAACATATTCTCAATGAAAACCCCAGAGATGATGAGGAAGAAGTATCTGAAACATGATGGCTGATAGCATCCAAAACTGATGAAAACTATAGATGTGAGCATCGGAAAACATGCCAGTTCCCATTCAGAATACATAAATCCAAACCCAAAAAATAGCAAAGCAAAATTGCAAAATCACCAAATACAAAAAGAAAATGTAGAAAGCAACAAGAGGAAAAAGAGATTATGTCATCTGTACCTAAAATGGAACAGCAATTCAATCCACAGCTGACCTCACAGTACGAAGATGAAGGAATAAAACACAAGAAATAAAAACAAAAGAAAATATTAAGACTGTGAATAAACCTAAACAAGTTTTTACTGGATAAAAATAATAGCTGTAATTACCAATGTGAAAAGTATAAGAACAATGTAGAAACTAAAATACTGGACAAAAAGAGAATGTGGATAACTATAGTTAAAGCATTCTAAGTTTTTTCCCTACAGTAAATCTACATGGAGAAATGGATTAAGACTGCCTAGGCTGGGCGCGGTGGCTTATGCCTGTAATCCCAGCACTTTGGGAGGCCAAGGTGGGCGGATGGCCTGAGGTTGGGAGTTCGAGACCAGCCTGACCAACATGGTGAAACCCCGTCTCTACTAAAAATACAAAAATTAGCCAGACATGGTGGCGTGTGCCTGTAATCCCAGCTACTCGGGAGGCTGAGGCAGAAGAATTGCTTGAATCCGGGAGGCGGAGGTTGCAGTGAGCCGAGATCGTGCCACTGTGCTCTAGCCTGGGCTACAGAGCGAGAGTCTGTCTCAAAAAAAAAAAACAAAACTGTCCAACATATACATACTAAAACCATAGGGTTTAACACACCTAGGCCTAGTATTATGAAAGTTCTGAACATTGAATATAAAATATAGACACATTCAGATACACACACACACACACACATATTTCTAAATGGTCATAACAAAAGAACAATAATCAGATCGCAATACAAACTTTCATCAACACAGTGGATGTTAGAATGCAATCTGATATTGCCTTCGATGTGTTGAGAGAAAAATGGGTTTTTTGGTTTGTTTTTTGTTGTTGTTGTTGTTGTTTTTGAGACGAAGTCTCACTCTGTCGCCAGGCTGAAGTGCAGTGGTGTGATCTCAGCTCACTGCAACCTCCGCCTCTCAGGTTCAAGTGATTCCCCTGTCTGAGCCTCTCGAGTAGCTGGGACTACAGGCGCACGCCACCATGCCCAGCTAATTTTTTGTATTTTAGTAGAGACAAGGTTTCACCATGTTGGCCAGGATAGTCTCGATCTCCTGACCTCATGATCCACCCCCCTCGGCCCCCCAAAGTGCTGGGAATACAGGCATGAGCCACCACACCCGGCCAAGAAAAATGTTTTTAAACAAAATATTACATTCCAAGCCAAAATATCAAAGAACATGTGAAAACATAATAGATATTTTGGGGCATTAAAGGACTCATAAAGTTGTGTCTCAAGTACAGTTTGTTAAAGCTTACTTGAAAATATAATCCAGGCCAGGCACAGCGGCCATCCTCTGTAATCCCAGCACTTTGGGAGGCTGAGGCAGGCGGATCACCTGAGTTCAGGAGTTTGCGACCAGCTCGGCCAACATGGTGAAACCCCGTCTCTCCTAAAAATACAGAAATTAGCTGGGTGTAGTGGCGTGTTCCTGTAAGTCCAGCTACTTGGGAGGCTGAGGTGGGAGAATCGCTTGAACCCGGGAGGTGGAGGTTGCAGTGAGCCGAGATGGCACCACTGCACTCCAGCCTAGTCGACAAAAGTGAAACTCCATCTCAAATAACATAAATAAAAATGGAAGATATACCAAAAAAAAAAACAAGAATAAAATTGTATTTGAAGCATTAGATCGAACATAGGAGAAAAAATGAAGGGAAGTAACTGAAAATCATCTGCGTAGAAAACCAGAAAGCACTGAATCTGAATTTGACCAGATGGGTTGAATAATATGGAAATAAGTACACACGGGGAAAAAAGATATCTGTCAACTCTGTCAACTTGCTGGGCTGATAAGAGTTTGGAAAAAGATCTGGAGTAGCATTAAACTGGAGAATTCACTTGAACCCAACACTTGAAACATTCTCCAGACTATGACATTAAGATTGTAAAACTGAATATTTACTGGTGCAACTGCAGTCTCATAGTGAGTCTTGGCTCTGAAGTGAATAAAATTTACATGATAATGATGAATTAATGGCAGAAAATGTAAAAGCAGAGATACAGCAGAGAAAAGAAAAGAATTAAATGAATTAGAAGTGATGGAGGGAAGGATGAGTGTTCTGATATCCTCTCATTGTCAACCAGATTTGATGCATGACGAATAAAGGAATAAAGGTTTATGATCATTACTGTCATATGCAAAGATGATTGTTGTGGATTTATAAAATTACTATATGACTGAAGAAGAGAGTGTTTGGGACTTCTCTATTGTACCAAGACAATGAAAGTCCTTGTCTAAAAATTTGTAAATGAATAAATAGCAAAAGCCATATTATTTTGATATACTGCAGAATTCAGAATTTGGGAGAACAAAACAGACATTAAAAGTAGAAATCTCGGCCGAGCACGGTGGCTCACGCCTGTAATCCCAACACTTTGGGAGGCCGAGGTGAGCGGATCACAAGATCAAGAGATCGAGACCACCCTGCCAACATGGTGAAACCCCATCCCTACTAAAAATACAAAAATTAGCTGGGCATGGTGGCACACACCTGTAGTCCCAGCTACTCAGGAGGCTGAGGCAGGAGAATCGCTTGAACCCAGGAGGCAGAGGTTGCAGTGAGCCGAGATTGCCTCCAGCCTAGGTGACAGAGCGAGACTCCATCTAAGAAAGAAAGAAAGAGAGAAAGAGAGAGAGAGAGGGAGGGATGGAGGGAGGGAGAGAGGGAAGGATGGAGGGAAGGAAGGAGAAGAAGAAAAGGAGAGAAAATGAGAGAGACGGACAGACAAATTCCAGAAGGACTGGTAAGAAGCTGGTAACAGTGGTTGCCCCGGGAGGAAAGCTGAGTGGCCACAGCCCAGAGAAGGGGTCAAACACTTTTCACTACATGCCTTTCAGTACTTGTAAATTTTGAACAATGTGCATATATTATCTATTTCTAAAAATATCTCTTTTAATAAAGAAAGGGGGAAAATGGAGACCTCCACTTCCTGCAACATGACAGGCTAGATAACCTGAGATCCTTCTGCCTTCAAATACCTGGTAAAGGCAAATAGAATATGACAACTTCTAGCCATAGTGAGAGTTTTTAACATACCATCTCCTAGTATTGGTTCAATCACACAACCCAAACATAAGCAAGGTGGTAAAAGCTTTGAACAATATAATGTAAAAGCTTGACCTAGTAGATTATAGTAGATTATAAATATTATAGTAGATTATAAATATTATATTATAGTAGACAGAGCTAGGCACTCAACAATTAGTGCATTAACATTATTTGTAAACACTATAGGGCAATTGCCAAAATTGACCAGGCCATAGGCATCAAAACATATTAAACTACACAGAAGGCATCAACAAAACATAATAACCCCCCCAAAAAATCAACATCACATTGCCATATTCTCTGCAAAATTTGAAATCAACTTTAAAGAGAACAACAATAACAAAAAACTTAATATTTTAGAAATTTTAAAATATTCTACATATATATGCATAAAAATATATGTATCAAAGAAGTGGCTATAATGAAAATCAGAAAATGTTTAGACCTGAGATACAACGAAAAGTCTGTGTATCAAAATGGCTAGGATGGGCTGGGCGCGGTGGCTCACAACTGTAATCCCAACACTGCCCCGCGTGGGGCAGATTGCCTAAAGGTCAGGAGTTTGAGACCAGCCTGGCCAACGTGGCAAAACCCCGTCTCTACTAAAAATACAAAAATTAGCCAGGCGTGGTGGCACACGCCTGTAGTCCCAGCTACTCAGGAGGCTGAGGCACGAGAATCGCTTGAACCCAGAAGGTGGAGGTTGCAGTGAGATGAAATTGTGCCACTGCACTCCAACCTGGGCAACAGAACAAGACTCTGTCTCAAAAAATAATAATGAATAAAAACAAAATAAAATGGCTAGGATGAAGCTATACAGCAGGACTTAGAGAGGAATTGTTTCATGTTATACTCATCCTGCTGTTGCTTGCTTTCTTTGTTCAGTATTATGCTTTACACAAGGGGTTGTATTGACATATGAAGATTTAATTCACCCATTTAACTACAATGTAGAAACAAGGGCACAGGTGTCCTGCCTGATGCCAAGGAAATTCTTTCCATGTTTCCACAACAAGTATAATATTCGCTAGAAGTTTTTGGTAGATTTTTTTTATTAGGTTAAGGAAGTTCCCTTTTATTCCCAGCTGGCTGAGAATTTTTATCAGGAATGGATTTGAAACATATCAATCCACTAAGAGATCTGTTGAGAGGGTTATATTTTCCCTCTTTATCGATTTATATGCTAAAAGTGCATTAAATGTATTCATTGATTTTCAGATGTTGAGCTATTCTTTCATTACAAAAATAAATCCAACTTAGATTTTAGAACTTAAAAAGACATTACATTTTTTTTAAAATTTACTTAAGTTAGCAAATAGGAAAACTTGGGCATTTTGATTGTGATTTATTTATCTTTATTTATTTTTTTGAGATAGATCTTGCTGTGTTGCCAGGCTGGAGTGCAGTGGCGCGATCTCGGCTCACTGCAACCTCCACTCCTGGGTTCAAGCGATTTTCATGAGTAGCTGGGACTACAGGCGCCCGCCACCACGCCCAGCTAATTTTTTGTATTTTTAGTAGGCACGGAGTTTCACCGTGTTTACCAGGATGGTCTCGATCTCCTGACCTCGTTATCCGCCCGCCTCGGCCTCCCAAAGTGTTGGGATTACAGGTGTGAGCCACTGCTCCCGCCCTATTTATTTATTTTTGATAAGCTGATTGAGAAATCCTTGTAGAGAGCCGCCTGACACGGTGCACTGCTGACCACTCGTCACGGGATCAGCCCAAGGCCGCGCTGCCTTCCTGTTGCCAGACTTCTCACTATGTGTGACATCAGACAACCGGAGATCAAGCGGGCCCCCGGGGCACTGCTGTACAAGTCACTCAAGCCTCAAACACCTCCTGTACACGCCTGGGGAGTCCAACGCAGAAAGTAACCTTCTGTCAGCATCCTTTTTATTTGTTAGGAAGCACACTTCACCTTTTTAAAAACAGCAGAAATGACAGCTGACTCCCTACCTTTCCAAAAACTTAGCCCCAGGGAAAAGCAGAGTTGATGTGACTAAATGCTCTAAATTTGGAAATGTTTAGGCTTAACATTTTTCAGCTGAATTGAAGATACCTAAACTATATATAGCTATGTATAATACACATGAATATAGAAATATATTTGGTGGTTTTTAGAAAGATTAGCAAGAATGAAAACAGTATCAATGATCAACTGAGTATGAAGATCTTATGTTAACATGCATTTTTTTCTTCAAGAGTTCCTTTTCTTGTTAACAAGTTTTTAAATCAAAAAACGAATACATGCACATGTTTAAAAAGCCAAACAATGGCAAATTATACCAATAAAGAATAAGTTCTCTCCCATCCCATTCTCCCAGTTTCCAAGGTTTTAGGGAATGAGAAGAGACTTGGAAATCACCGTTTCCAGTTTCTCTCCATCTTTCCAGAAATCAACAATCCATATAAAATAGATAGGTTGGCCAGATGCGGTGGTTCACGCCTGTAATCCCAGCACTTTGGGAGGCCGAGGTGGGCGGATCACAAAGTCAGGAATTCGAGACCAGCCTGGCCAATATGGTTAAACCCCGTCTCTAGTAAAAGTACAAAAAATAGCCAGGCATGGTGGCGCACGCCTGTAGTCCGAGCTACTTGGGAGGCTGAAGCAGGAGAATTGCTTGAACCCGGGAGGCAGAGGTTGCAGTGAGCTGAGATCGTGCCACTGCACTCCAGCCTGGGCGACAGAGTGAGACTCTGTCTCAAATAAATAAATAAATAAATAAATAATAAAATAGGTCAATTGATTTACCAAATCAACTGTTTTCAGATAGATCTGTAGCTAGATCAGTAGTTTTATCTTTTCACACTAATCAGTTCTATGTGAGTCTGAATTTAAGTGTATTTATTTATTTATTTAATTTCTGGAGCGTTGAGGTCTCACTATGTTGCACAGGCTGGTCTCCAACTCCTGGGCTCAACTGATCCTCCCACTCAACCTCCCATAGTGTTGGGATTACAGGTGTGAAGAGCCATTGTGCCCAGACTTAATTTTAGTTTAAATGTAAGTGTGTACAATGACATTCTAATATTTCCTCTGTCACCTCCTGTAACTTGTGGAGGCTGTAGCAAGAGCCAAAAGTTGCATCTACAGAATAATTTTTCTCATTATTAAAAATTATTTGTGATCCAGCATTTGCCAAGAGAGGCTGATATCACTTTCAATTATATCAATTAAAAATGAAGTTGCTGAAAGTATGTCGATGACCTAGTGAATGAATTTGCAGAAAAGTGAGCAGAAAAATCTAATGATCAATCAAATACCACATTAACAATTTATTATTTATTACTTTTTTTTTTGAGACAGAGTATCACTCTGTCACCCAGGCTGTTGTACAGTGGCATGATCTTGGCTCACTGCAACCTCCGCCTCCCGGGTTGAAGTGATTCTCGTGCCTCAGCCTCTGGGTAACTGGAATTACAGTGGCATGCCACCACGCCCAGCTAATTTTTGTATTTTTAGTACAGACAGGATTTCACTATGTTGGCCAGGCTGGTCTCAAACTCCTGGCCTCAAGGGATCTGCCCACCTCGGCCTCCCAAAGTGCTGGGATTACAGGCATGAGCTACTGCACCCAGCCATTACATAAAATGATGACACGAAAATGTTAACTTTTTTGCAACTTGTAAGTTAAGTGTGATGCTCACGCATCACTCTTTTCCCTATTACATTTTATTTAGAAATAAAATATTTTTAAAGAAAAGCTTTATGTTTTAGTGTCTTTAACAGCAGTTTCTCCTGTTTTTTGGACAGGAAACCCTACGTTTCCATTTTGCACTGGGGTCTGCAAGTTAAGTCACTGGCCCTGATTGGAAACTTGGTAGTGCAGTGAAGACTCACACGCCCGGAGCAGGAAAGTTCCTGGGAGTTCCACCTGTGTCCCCCAGAACATGGAGGGGTGAGGAAATGGTAGTGTGGGGAGGACTTCTCCACCCATGGCAAGGTGAGGGTCTGAGAGCTTCGAGAGTCATAGAGGCTGGGGGAGTTAGCAAGGCTGGAGCCATCCTGAATGGCCTTACTTGCCACCTGCCTGGGCCACAGAAGAAAGGGGTTGTGTGGGTGGGGCACTGGGGAAGGAGCTGAGCACAAGAAGACAGCTGAACCACACCTCCTCACTCCTATTAGAAACTAGGCAGTGCAGGCTGGGCGCGGTGGCTCAGGCCTGTCATACCAGCACATTGGGAGGCCCAGGCGGGCGGATTGCTTGAGGCCAGGAGTTCAAGACCAGTCTGGCCAACATGGTAAAACCCCCGTCTCTACTAAAAATACAAAAACATTAGCCAGGCGTGGTGGCGGGTGCCTGTAATCCCAGCTACTCGGGAGGCTGAGGCAGGAGAATGGCTTGAACCTGGGAGGCAGAGTTTGCAGTGAGCCGAGATCGCGCCACTGCACTCCAGCCTGGGCAACAAAGCAAGACTCTGTCTAAAAAAAAAAGAAAAGAAACTAGGCCATTCAGAAGGTCTCACGGGAGTCCTCTGAATAACCCCACAAGTGGGGGGCCTCTGAGACAGTCAGGCATTTGCAGACATTTGGAGAGCTCCCCTAGTAGAAAAGCATTAGGCAAGAAAGTACTACAGGGACATCCCTGGCGAAGACCTCCCCCCTCTCCCAGTAATCCCCTCTCATGGCCCCAACTCAGGCAGAGAGAGAGACGGAACGGAAAGGAGGAGGTGGGAAAAGAATAGAGGGGCTTAGCCATTTTGAATTGGCTGTGAGAGTGATGTTTTGATGTTACACATGGCTGGATGGTTCTGCTCTCTGAAAAGTTAGGGTTTCTGTCCATACCACACATCAAGGTCTATGTCTGGGGGAGGAGGAGATTATGGTTACAGAAAAATAAGCTGCCTCCTGCTTGTCCCTCTACTGAATTCACAAAAGCAACCAGTTACCAGTGCATATTCATATATACATTTTAAATACAAATGACAGCATACTGTAGAACTTGAGCCACCTTATTTTTTCCCATCTTAGAGATAGTTCTATTTCAGTACCAATAGAGCTGCTTTGTTCTTTTTAATGACTGCATAGTATTGCATCCACAAGTGTGTCGCAATTAATGCAACCACCCTGTCCCCTACTGATGGACATTTAGTTGTCTTTCAGTTTTCTGCTGTGGGTGTATTACTTTTCAAATCTGGGGGAAAAAATGCATTGAATTTTTAAATTTACACATCACTAGAAGAAAAAAAGGAGTTAGTTTTTTTATTCATTTATACAAAACAATAAGGCTAATGTGTACAGTGAACTCTTCATTGTTTCTGAGTTTTTCCCTCCCATTTTGTGGTAATCTAGAATTTGATGGTCAAAAAGGCCATGCTTTTGGAAGAAAAGAGATTTGGGGGTGGCAGTCACCTCTCTATTACTTATTAGCTTGGCAATCTTTCATACATTATTTTGGTTTTCTGAGCCTCCATTTCTTTGTCTATGAAATGAAGCTGATAATTCCTGCCTGGAAATGTTGATATAATAATAGAGATAATCTTTGGAAAATATAGAGCACACAGTGCATGCTTCACAAAGGCACATGTTTTTATTGTTTTTTTGTTTGTATGTGGATGTGTCTGTATAAAAGCAACGAATTATTAACCTTTGGTTTGTTTTTCCATCACCCCTTCCTCACTATGTATCTTGGCCACCTTTGGCAGATTTGAGGAATGCAAATGTATTTTAATATTAAGCTAAGCAAAGGATATCGAAGAGAAAAGTAGTGTTTAAAGATAATGTAGTTCAAAGACAAAGAAAAATATTCCTCTCCACTAATATCAATCTTTGGTTCTCAATGTGCTTCAGCAATCCCTGGGTTTACCCAAGACTCTCTTGGGGCATCTATGAAGTCAAAACTATTTACAAAATAATCTAAGATGGGCCGGGCACGGTGGCTCATGCTTGTAATCCCAGCACTTTGGGAGGCCAAGGCGGGTGGATCACGCAGTCAGGAGTTTCAGACCAGCCTGACCAATGTGGTGAAACCCTGCCTCTACTAAAAATACAAAAATTAGTCAGGTGCGGTGGCACGCTCCTGTAATCCCAGCTATTAGGAGGCTGAAGCAGGAGAATCACTTGAACCTGGGAGATGGAGGTTGCAGTGAGCCGAGGTCACGCAACTGCACTCCAGCCTGAGTGACAGAGTGAGACTCTGTCTCAAAAAAAAAAAAAAAATCTAAGATGTTATTCGCCTTTTTTACTCACATTCTCTCACAAGTGCACAGAGGGGTTTTTCAAAGGCTACATGATGTTGTGATATGATACGTTGAATACAGAAGCAGATATAAGAATTCAGCTGTCTTCTATTATACCAGACATGAAAGAGATATGCAAAAACAAAAAACGATGCCTCTGTTCTCCCTGTGTTTTGTATGTTTGGGGGTATAAAAAATAATATTAATGTTAACATATAATGGGTTTATTATTACTTTAATGCATTAATAAATATTTTAAATTCTCAGTTTTAATTTCTATTTCACTAAGTAATGATAGATATAATCCATACAAACAAAAGCTCTTTGGGGTCCTTAATAATTTTTAAGAGTGTAAAGAGCATCCAAAAGCTTGAGAGCCACTAATACAGTTAATTGGCATTTGTCAATAATGCTAGTTAAATCAGGACAACATCCTTACTCAAGAGAGGGAAAAAAAAAAAGGACATTCATGATGGAAAGTTTTGTATGATATTTAAGCAACTGATTCTGTAAGTCAGTCAGCCAACAAACATTTCATGAGCACCTATACATGGGGGCATTGCTCTAGGTGCTAGGAGAAGACAGGAGACCCCATCCTCATGGAACTTTGTTTTAGATGGAGGAGGCAGATAGTAAACATGTAAACCAAGAAATCAACAAGATAATTTCAGTTTTGATAACTGTTTTGGGAGAAATACACAGGCTAATGTGATTAAAAGAAAAAAAAGCTCCTGGGGGTAGAAGAAATTGAGCTATGTGGTTGTGGGAAATTTTACACTTCAAAAGGACTTAACAATCTATACTATGTTCATGGATTGGAAGAACAGGAGAGAAAAAAAAAAGCAGCCTACCTTGAAAATAGACAGTGCCTAAAATGGTGCAAAATGAGTGATTCCTGTTTTGGTGTGGGATAAATCTCTTTTTTTAAAAAAATGACTCTCTCAATTTTCCCTGGGAGTCACTGAAGCAGGACTCTTTCAACTGCTCAGGAGAAAGAGATCCCATCAGGAATGCCAGCGGAAGTGGGTGTTGATGTTCCCTGGGATGAAAGTCAGAGGCATATGGAGCATTCCAGAGTATAAGGTCAGACAAGGGTCACCTATAGATAGAGGCTGACTTAAGCCCCCATCTGTGGAACAGATCCCTGGAGAGGAAGTGGAGAGAGAAGAGCTGAGAGCCTAGGAATGGGCCACTTTAAATATTTTGAGATATGTCTTGTCTGCTTGATGTTTTTCCTAACAGCATGTAAATAGTCTCTGGAACTGACCTTTCATGAAAAATTAGAAACCCACCAAAGGACATTTCTAACCTCAGAGAAATAATGAAAGGTCCAATCTGTACCCTCTTTAGATATTCAGCAGTGAAAACATTCAGTCATGTTTTTGGAAAGCAAGCCAGCTTTTTATTCCTCGTGCGTATTTGCAATCAATAAGGAAAATAGGAGATCATGGACATAATAGGTACCAAAATAAACTGGTGCATTCAGCTTTAGCCAATGAGCATTTGCCAGTTCACATTTCCATTTATAACAGAGGTTCTCACTCATCAGCAATGTGTGGTTTAGAGCTGCTGCAGCCGACTCAGCTCACAAGCTAGCCTCTTTTCTGATAGTGTTCCTAAAATTAAAGGAATACTCAAAACGTCAAACCAGGACATTTCGTTCCAGTTCTTTACCAACTGACACATTTTCCATTACAGCCTGCCTCCTCTCACAGCTTCAGCTACTACATCTTCCCCCAATGACTCCTAGATCTCTCTCCCAATCTCACATATCTACCCTTAGCCCCAGATGCAGATATCAAATACCTCCTAGACATGCCCTCTTTGATGTCACACAGGGTTTTCCTTACAGCCAAAGGGACCAAAGTTTCTGGTCCTCAGTGTTTATTTTTCTGTATCATCTGCATGATTGGCCCCACTCTCCATCCTAACAAGGACCTCCATCACAGCCTGGGTGACATGGCAAAACATCATCTCTCTAAAAAAAATGTATATCTATAAATTAGTTGGGCATGGTAGTATGTGCCTGTGGTCCCAGCTACTTGTGGAGGCTGAGGTGGGAGGGTCAGTTGAGCCTGGGAAGTCAATGCTGCAGTGAGCCATGATGGCACCACTGCACTCCAGCCTGGGTGACAGAGCAAGATCGTGTCTCCAAAACAAATGAACAAACAAAAACAAACAAACAACAACAACAACAACCCCTGCATAATAGAGATCCCCGGCCGAAGCTAAGCAGCTAAGTTTGGAAGCAATCATATCCCAGTGTACCTAAAGAGCTGGTGGTATATCAAGAGATTTTAGCTAGGAGAATGAAAGATAAGATTGGAAAGAACAGGCCAGGAAGGAAAGCCTGGGATCTGCTTCAGATATCGAGTTCTTGAACTCCCATTTGAGCTTCATAAAGAGAGAGCTCTGTGTTGAAACTTATTGTCCAGGTGTCAAGAGTGTGACCCAGAATGAGCACAGGGATCTTGAGAGTACAGTAGGGCTTTGACTCAGTGAGAATGCTGGGGCATCGAGCACTGGTTAGATGTCCCAAGGGTTTGCAGTTTGCAGGCATCTCATAAAACTTTAGTGTTCATGACACCCACAAGGATGGCTATAGTAATTCGGAAAACAAAAACAAAAAAACAGAAAATAACAAGTGTTGGCAAGGATATGGAGAAACTGGAGTCCCTGTATGCTGCTATAGGAATGTAAAATGGTTCAGCTGCTATGAAAAACAGTTTTGCAGTTCCTCAAAAAGTTAAACATAGAATTACCAGGTGACCCAGCAATTCCACTCCTAGGAGTTCAGAGTGTTCTCAAGAGAATTGAAAACACGTACCAAATAAGTACATGTATGCACATGTTCATGATATTCACAATAGCCAAAAGATGGGAACAACCCAAATGTCCCTCAGCTGATAAATGTATAAAATTGTGATATGCGTATTCAAAGGAATACTATTCAGCCATAAAAAGAAATGAAATACCGACACATGCTACAACGTGGATGAACCTTGAAAACATTCTGCTAAGTGAAAGCCAGACACAAAGGGCCACGTATTGTGTGATTCCATTTATATGAGATATCCAGAATAGATAAATCCATAGAAACAGAAAGCTGACTGGTCATTGCCAAGGGCTTGGGGAGGAGGGATGGGTAGTAGCTGTTTAAGGGGTACAGGGTTTTCTTTCGGAGTGATGGAAATGTTTTGGAACCAGATAACGGAGGTGGATGCACAACCTTGTGAACGCACTAGATGTCACCGCGTTGTTCACTTAAAAATGGTTAACTGTATGTAAATTTCACTTCAATAAAAAATTACTCAATATAATTCTCCACATTAACATAAGATAGGAGAAAACATGGTTGGGCACGGTGACTCACGATTGTAATCTCAGCACTTTGGGAGGCCAAGGGGGGTGGATCACTTGAGGCCAGGAGATAGAGAGAAGCCTGGTCAACATGGCAAAACCCTGTCTCTACTAAAAATATAGAAATGAGCCAGGTGTGGTGGCAGGTGTCTGTAGTCCCAGCTACTCGGGAGGCCGAGGCACTAGAATCGCTTGAACCTGGGAGGCAGAAATTGCAGGGAGCCGAGATCGCACCACTGCACTCCAGCCTGGGTGACAGAGTGAGACTCTGTCTCAAAAAAAAAAAAAAAAAAAAGAGAGAGAAAACATAAATAACATTTCAATACAAGCAGAAAGGGTGTGTACTGGTGGGAAGAAACACTTCAGTGTTGTTACAGTGGACTCCAGCAGGTGGCAGCAATTAGGCATCAATCACAAGGGCCTTCATCAGCAGAAACAAAAATCCCTATGGGCAAAGCCTAAAAGGGCAGGTCCCCGCACGTGCGAGGCATTTCCGGGGACTCCCAGTAATTAATAGGAAAGGCTTTGGAGGGAGCTGTATGTTCTATAAAAGGTAGAGGAAGAAGCCGGTGAAATTTGGGTAAGTGATAACACAGGCCCATTTGCACGACAGGCCCATTTGCACGCAGAAGTCAGTAAGGTCAGGGGAAACCCAAGTTACACTGACAACCAATCTCCATGCTGACCTGCCTCTCCCAGTTCCCTCATGTAATAGGCCACTGAGTCCTATACATTCTACCTCCACCCACAGCAAGCACCTAAGTTCCAGTGTCTGACTTGAATTGACATACCAGCCTCTCACCTGGTCTCTGCCCCCATCACTCGCCCCTCTCCGACATCCTCTACTGCTGCTGTAGGGAGCTTTCTAAGATGCAAGTCTGCTTTTGTGAATCACCATTGCCTATACACTCATCACAGCTCAAGAAAGCTGAGACAGGCCGGGCGCGATGGCTCATGCCTGTAATCCCAGCACTTTGAGAGGCCCAGGCGGGTGGATCACCTGAGGTCAGGAGTTCGAGACCAGCCTGGCCAACATGGTGAAACCCCGTCTCTACAAAAAAAAAAAAAAAAAAAAAAAATTGCTGGGCGTGGTCGCGCACCGCACGTCTGTAATCCCAACTACTCCAGAGGTTGAGGCAAGAGAATTGCTTGAACCCCGGAGGCGGAGGTTGCAGTGAGCTGAGGTCACACCACTGCTCTCCAGCCTGGGCAACAGAGTGAGACTCCATCTAAAAAATAATAATAATAATAGAAAGCTGAGACAATGTGCTTTGTTTTGCCCAGAAACAATCTGGTCTGTCTCCAGACATCTGTGCATTGCCCAAGAAAGTCCAAGGAGGCTCCCAGCAGAAGGGAAGCGTATTAAACCCTCATCAAGCCAAGAGATCCCATAGTACAAATGTTCAGCCAAAAATGTTAGCAGCAGAAGGGACCAGATAGACAAGGAGTAACTTATAAAAATAACCCGGCCGGGGCCGGGCGCGGTGGCTCACGCCTGTAATCCCAGTACTTTGGAAGGCCGAGGCGGGCAGATCACGAGGTCAGGTGATGGAGACCATCCTGGCTAACACAGTGAAACCCCGTATCTACTGAAAATACAAAAAAAAAAAAATTAGCCGGGCGTGGTGGCGGGCGCCTGTAGTCCCAGCTACTCAGGAAGCTGAGGCAGGAGAATGGTGTGAACCTGGGAGGTGGAGCTTGCAGTGAGCGGAGATCACGCCACTGCACTCCAGCCTGGGCAACAGAGCAAGACTCCGTCTAAAAAAAAAAAAAACCCACACTTCCTCACCCTTTTCATTCTTAAAATGCTGTTTTTGATTGGTATACAAGACAGTTTTGGGGGGATGCAATGTCTTTAGACTCAGAATTTCATAATAGGAAGTGATCATTTTGTCCAGCTGTTCTTACACCTCGTTCTATGAAACGCTGGGCTCTGATAACACCTACAGGTAAAGTATAAGAGGAATAAACCTTTTCAATGTTAGGTGTTTTTTTTGTTTTTTTTGTTTTTTTTTTTGAGACAGAGTCTCGCTTTGTCGCCCAGGCAGGAGTACAGTGTGCGGCGGCACGATCTCGGCTCACTGCAACCTCCACCTCCCGGGTTCAAGCGATTCTCCTGCCTCAGCCTCCCAAGTAACTGGGACTACAGGCACGTGCCACCACACCCAGCTAATTTTTGTATTTTTAGTAGAGACGGGGTTTCACCGTGTTGGCCAGGCTGGTCTCGAACTCCTGACCTCACGATCCATCCGCCTCGGCAATGTCAGTTTTATTAACTTCCTGCAGCAAGAGGGTGTGCACATCAAGTGAACCATGAGGCATCTCAGTAAGAGGCTGTGGGAAAGGGCTTTTTGCCAGGTTTGTGTTAAGTTATGCTAGGAAGGGAAAGGTAGAAGAAACAGGAATCAGGTCAGGAATGGATGTGTTGTGAAGCAGGTGGTTTCATCATCGGATATCTCAGAAATTTTTGTTCAGCAAGTGGAGAAATCGAGTGGGTCTGGGAGAGGCTTTGATAAGAAAGGATTAGATATGCCAATGTCAGTAATTTTGCAGCTACAGTGTGGCCTTGGGTTAAACACAGTTTTCACCTGGCCTTGTGCTGGCCTTGTTTATGACTGTTGGGAACATTCCAGTCTGCTCATCTGAGCTGATTTCCATTTTCTCAGGTTCCCACATGAAGTAGTGGGTGTTCCTGGAAGAAAGGGAATCTATCTTTAAATAAGCTTGGAAAGTACTTGGGAAACAATGTTAAATAAACATAATGCTGGGCTTTCTGGAGACTTGAACGTGCTAAAGTGAATTGTGAATCTCCCAAGACACCTTCAATTTCTTTTCAACACAGCTGTCTGTGTCGAATTCCAGTGTAAGTCAGAACTTCCAGTGATTTCTCAGGTCACTCTGACCTCTTTGCCTGTAGTTCTCCCCACTCTTCTCCCCACTCCAGCGGCCCTGCCTCCTCGCTGCTCTTTGAGCTTTTTCCCATATGACTGCATAACCTGCTCCCTTTTCTTCCTGAGGTCTTGTTCAAATGGAAATTTTCAGTGGGGCCTTCCCTGCCCACCCTATGCAAAATTTCTCCTCCCTACACCCCACACTCCCAAACACACTTTCACTGCTATACATTTCTTAGCACTTATCACCATCTAAGATACTATACATCTCATTTTTCTTGTTAATGGTCTCTCTGCCCAGGTGGGCAGGGGTTTTTATTTATTTTGGACAGCGTCATATCCCTAGAACCTGGAGCCATGACCGGCACACAACAGGCACATGATAAAAATTGGTCAAATGAATGAATGGATGAATGAATGAATATACAAACTCCTTCCAAACTTCTCCTCCTTCAGAGGAAGTGGTGAGGGAGGCTTCTGTGTTTTCCATTTATAGACAGTAAAGAGGTTTTGGAAAAATACACAAGGGAGCCTCAGAGACTTTCTTTTGGGGCTTTAGGACTGGCTACCCATATCTTATCACTCAAGCCAGTTTTTCCTGAGGTGTCCCCCCAACCATCCTAGAACTAAATCATACAGACCACTAGATGGCACTGTTCACCAAGAATCTCGGGATTCTTAGCCACGCCCCTCTCACCCTAAGCCCAAAGCCTTTGAATCCACCTTCTTCCCAGGGGTGACTGATTCTAGAGAATGATTACCACTCCCTGCACCACCGCTAGACTAGAAAGAAACCTAAAGTCGTACAGCACGTTCCAACAAGCCATGCCCAGCCAGGAGCACAGGCTAACTCTCTGCTTGGGAGCAAAGGACGTTTTTGAATATTTCTAGATGTACCCTTGGTAAATGTAGGCAAAGTGCTGGTGCCCTTTGAAGAGCTGCAGGACTCCACACTCTCCCCCTTGTACTTGGCCCGTGGCCCTCTTGGCACAATTCTGCCTCTATCTCTTCACCCCTTGCTCCTCTGTCCCTTCATAGGATGAAGCACAGGTTAAGATGCCAATTCTATTTCCAGCCTTGAGCCAAAGCAGTCCAAGAGACAGCGTGACAGGCAACCTGGGCACCCAGTGGAAGGGACAGAATACAAACTACACCTGCATCAAAAACTGTCCTAGGGCCTTTGGCAACTTACTCGACAGTCTCCACTTTGGCATATGCAGCTGCCTGATGGGGATAAACATTCCTAGACCAGATAGATGTGGTTAGCGTCACATGAGAAGATCTATGACGCTCCAAACCAAGCTTTCTATAAAGCTTGGTCTTCTATTTTCAAGTATCGCCTATAATTATATTCTAAAATTTAAGGCAGGGTGATTGGCTGACCTGCTGAACCCGTCTCTGTGTTCTTGACCAGTGCGAAGATGCCTCGGTGAACAAAAACACCTTGATTGAACCTCTCTGCACTGGCATGGGTAACAGACTCTCAGCTCCAAGGACATTAGCAAAAGCACTTGTAGAAAGCAACTGTCTTCGTGATCATCAGCCAATCAGCAAGCATTTATTGAGAACCTGTAATTCACCTTGGTGTTTTAGGAAGGCTATTCTGGAGGCAAAAATAAGACAGGTGAGGGGAGAGAATGAAGATTAAGACATCAATTCACTCTTTCATGAAATAACATTTTTCCTGACTCTTGGGAAGGAATATATAAGTCAAGGAATATTAGAAGTGTTGTTAGTTTTTGCTCCCTGTCTCTCCCCTTTTAATCAATAAATCCAGAAATAATGGTTCCATTTGGGGGACAAGGGCACATGATAGGGCCTCTTCATTCACTGCAGCCATGCTATCTCACACACACTGTCTATAATTAGAAACAGAAAACCCAGTTGCACCTGCTGCTCGGCCAGACTTCTGGCTGGGGCTTCCTGCTTGCCAATCAGTTCGATCATCTCCTTTCCCAGAAATCACCCCACAGCCCAACCCCTCCTCTTCTACCCTGGCACCATAGGGCTGACTCCTTGAGCTTCCTCCACGTACTGACACATCGCCCTTCCCTCCCTCTCCCTCTTGGCTCCATTGTCCCAGGGCCCTTCCTCCTTTACCCTTTCTCAAAGGGCTACCATACACTGGTCCATTAGAGTTCAACTCGTTCTCAGTTCATGTTCTGAGTGTTGCCCCATAGCAGAAAAGAGAAAGGAGATTATTTCCTGTAACTTGATTTTATAAAAATAGAATGGACTTTATAAAAAGAAGAATAGGACAGGAGTGGTGTTTGTTCACCTAGTAGTTACTTTAATTGTAGATGGTTGGGTGCCATGAATGACCATATGGGGTGACAGGAGTGTTGCATCAGACAGGATGTCTCATTTCCACCTTCCCCTGTGAATGCCCTGTGCATGCCCTAATCAGCATTTTAAAATTACAACCTGATTGTTATACAAATAAGAAGTCTCTCCATTAGATGAACTGTGGCCTGCAATTTTGTATTACCAAACATGTTTTTAATTCCCAGAGCCCAGCTTTATTTTCCCAGATTTTGCTGACTGGTAAGTAACTTACTAGTTACTTACGAGTAAGTTTTCCTAGAAATAATGGAGTTTTTTGTTTGTTTGTTTGTTTTGTTTTTCAGGGAAAAGATAGACATTTAGGAATTTCAGTTGAAAGAAAGAGAAAGGCCAAAATCTTATTCCCACTGGAACAAAGCATTGTCCCCTGCCCCACCTACCCCATTATCTTTTGCTGATGTTATTTAGTAGTGAAATTGCTGTTGCAAGAACTTGTAAGACTTAGGTTGCCCATAAGCCCAACATTCAAATCAAGAGTGTCCTCTCCCACAGAACCCAGAACTAGAATGTTAAAAAAGAAAAACCAGCCTGACATTAAATGGATTCAGCACCTCTTAAGTTATTTATAACCTTGCCCTTGGCTTTTTATATGAATGGACTTCTGGGAAATTTTTTGAGGGTGGAGCTCTTCAAAGTGGCTGCTTACACCTCTAACAGAAATCACAAACCAGCCCTCCACAAACCACATCCAGCTAGCTGATGTATTTAGTTTAGCTTATGAGGTACTTTTTGAAAATAAGAATTAGTTTTCATCATTTTTTAAATTTACCTACAAATACAGGTTTTTAATAAAATAGGCACAGATTTATATAAAAATACAGACTTACATATTGTCTTGGGAAAAATGAAATCAGATGAGGCAGCCCTGAGATGTTATTTCCACATGGCTGGTGCCATAATGGACCATTAGCCTGGAAAGAAACATATAAGGGGGACCATTCACAGGAAAGGCTGAGGCTGGGAAGGTGACCATTTTTCTCCCGTGGCCATAGCTCTAGATCCAAACCTTGATTCCAGTAAGCATGCAGTTCTGCTGCTGATTTAAAGTGTCTGAAATGAAATACAACTTCCTGAATACCTGACTGAAGATCTAGTTTCTAAAAGCAACCCAATGGGCTTCCCCTTCCCAACCATGAAATCAGCTTTGACTCTTCCCTCTTCTTCCCTGCCCCTCCCCCTTCCCCATCAGTTGCCATGCCTGTCATTTAGTCCCTCAAGACTCTACTGAGAATAAAGTAGCCACCAGCTACATGAACACTTAAAATGTGGCTCATGTGAACTGAGATATGGTGTAAGTGAAAAATACACACCGGATATTCAATATTTAGTTCTAAAAAAAAATTAAAATCTGAGGCCAGGCGTGGTGGCTCACGCCTGTAATCCCAGCACTTTGGGAGGCTGAGGCAGGTGGATCATGAGGTCAGGAGTGTGAGACCAGCCTGACCAACATGGTGAAATCCCGTCTGTATTAAAAATACAAAAATTAGCTGGGCATGGTGGCGGGGGCCTGAAGTCCCAGCTGCTTGGGAGGCTGAGGCAGGAGAATCGCTTGAACCCGGGATGGAGAGGTTGCAGTGAGCCTGGTGACAGAGCAAGACTCTGTCTCAAAAAAAAAAAAAATTAAAACCTGAATTAACTGATTAGTAACTTTATATTGATTATCTTTATATTGAAATGATATTTTTGACACATTGGATTAAATAAATGATATTATTCCAATTAATTTGCCTATTTCTACCTTTTTAAATGTATCTTCTAGAAAACTGAAATTTACAATGTGGAGTTCACATTTGGGGCTCATTTTATCTACTGGACAGCAATGCCTGAAAACAACTCTATGATTTGGTCTAATTTTCTGGCCTTGTTTTCATCACTTTAGCCTAGTCTCTCCTGTCCCTTTACTTCCAGAATTTCACATTAGTCCCCTAAAGACTTCTAGATCTTTTCCCACTTCTAATTTGTTCTGCACACCCTGGCCAAGTTTATCTGACAAAGACACTGCTTTTTTATCATGAAACACTCCTGCTCAAAAACTAACACCAGCTCCCAGGTCTATCCCATAAAGTCCAAACTCTTAATAACAAACTGATAATAACAGCTTACACTTTAAAAACTTTATGGTACACTTCATGTAATTCTCCAAACAACGTAGCACCTAGCATGCCAGATTCTAGGTTTTCTAACCAGGACAGAAATGACTGCAGCATTTGACAGAGCTGGAAGGTGGGGGGAAGCACCTTTGATCTGAAAGGTTACAAAAATGGCACAAAGTATCTAAACAGCAGTTCCATTCACTTCTGATAGTTTATACAACACCTCACAATCAGCCAAAGAGCAATAACATCTGTGAATCTATGAGCTGAACTATTTTTTACATCAGTGGAGAGAAAAAAATAATAAAGTTGAGAAAAGAAACTGTTACATTTGCATCTCAGAAAACACAAACCGGAAATCCAACCAGAAAGGTTTAGGTGAAATAGTGCCCTTTGTTCATCTATTGTAGGTCCAAGGTTAAATATATATATATATACACATACATAAAAGTAGCTTTGTCATAAACTGGGTATTAAAAGTGGGAAATGGGGAAAACCGCAATTACTTTTGCACCAACCTAATAAATTTGAATTATGCTGATTTGAGAGACTGTCATATAACAATAACTAAAATATCATCTCAAAATTTGAAAAAATGAATTAAAAATCCATCAGCAGTTATACAATCCAAAGCTGGCAGAGCTCCTGCTTCATAAACCGTATTGACAGTAATTCCGCATGGGAACATGTACAGTACTCAGCTTTTAAAAAGAGATTCTTTGTTAAGGTTTATCTCGAATTACGTGAGTTTTGAATTGTGCTATATCTTCAAGACGTTACCCCTTTCATAAACTACACTGCCCTACACACACTTTCATTTTTTTCAGCTGCGGATCGGATAGGTCTTGTTTAGATACTTTGTGCCATTTTTGTAACTTTTCAGATCAAAGGTGCTTCCCCCCACCTTCCAGCTCCGTCAAATGCTGCAGTCATTTCTGTCCTGGTTAGAAAACCTAGAATCTCGCATGCTAGGTGCTACGTTGTTTTTGCAAATTACTGTTTAGCAGTTATTTAGTGCACAGGTCTTGAAAGCAGACATGCAGACATTCTACCATTTACTGTTACTTTAGACAAATTGTTTAGCTTTGGAGCTTCAGTTGCCTCTTCTGTATATTGAGCACAATCGTATTTTCCACACAAGTTTTATAAGAATTCAAGATGACATACATAGTACGGCGCGCTTGGCAAGTAGTGAGGGTTCTCAACCGCTCGGCAATGGATAAGATAACTTGCTATCTCTCTGGCTGAGGCAGCCCCATTTCAGGAGCTTCTCTCAATGCGGCTTGAGGACTCGACAAAAGGGTGGGGCTTTGGAGTCTAACGCTCTCTGCTAAACTCTGTAAGTTTAATAGGCAGAGTTACACATGGCAAGGGGTCTGGGCGGGGTGGGAACTAGCGCGTCCTCCTGTCACCCTTGCGGCGGCCCCGACGCAGTTGCCGGACTGAAACCAGCAGATCTGGCCCCAGCCGCATTCCTTCTTCCCTCTCCCTCCCAGCTGGGCGGCTCCGGCAATGAAAACACCGCCACGTGGGCCTGCTGCCTTTGCGTCACGCGCCTTTGTCCAATGGAGAGCCGCGTTACGAAGCCAGGGGCGGGTCGCCAGCCGGGCGGGTCCGCCCACAGCTGCCACGGATTGGCCAAGGGGGGCGGTGCCCGCCAGCCGTGGCTTGGGCTCGTGGCCAATGGTGGCCGGAGGCAGGGGCCCCGCCCTATCAGGTGCTCTGGTCCTCGGGACCAGCTGGAGGGGCGAGAAGGGGCGGGGCGAAGCCGGGGACGCGGCGGGGACGGGGCGGGGTAGGGGCGGGGTGGGGACGGGGCGGGGTAGGGGCGGGGTGGGGACGGGGCGGGGTAGGGGCGGGGCAGGACCGGCGACCCGGCCCGTGGAGCCGGCGCGGGCGGGCTGCTGAGGTGGCTGTCGCCGGCTCCGAGCTGCGGCTTCCCGGGCCGAGCCCCCGATGGAGGCCGAGGCCGCGGACGCTCCCCCGGGCGGGGTTGAGTCGGCGCTCAGCTGCTTCTCTTTCAACCAGGACTGCACGTAAGCTGCGACTCGGCCCCTGCCAGGGAGGTGGGGGACAGAGTGTCAGGACCCAGGGGTGTCGTCCTGAGAGCAGCTTGTGGCTTCCGCCTCGAGGCGGCCTCGGCGGGAGGGCCGGTGTCTGCTTCGGACGCATTGGGATCTTGTTATCCCCGTACCCCTTCAGTGGGGTTTGCCGCACCCCCCACCCCACCCCACTCCCAGTGTCCTCCCAGAGCGACAAGGTTGGGCCAAGGGTGAAAGCAGGGAGTTCGCAAAGGGAGTGGTGGGGCTGCGGGGGCCACGGAATATGGGGGGAGCAGGGCGGTGGGAAAGCCAGTGACCAAAGTGGGTGTCTGGGGAAGAGAGACAGTGGCCAAAAGAAAGAGATGAGAAAGGAGAGGAAGTTGCAAGTTGACCCAGGACTCTGTAGTTGGGGCCCAGGAAGATGAGAGTACAGGAAAAACTTTCCCATTTGTCCTTGAGCATCTCAACGTGGCATCTGGGCAGGGCCTCGGACAAAGAGGCAGCCTATCCCTGCGGCCAGGCCAGCCCCTGTCCCATCCCCGACGCAGGGCATCGTGCCTGCCCGCTCTGGATGGAAGAAACCTTTGGATTTCTTTGGCTGTTTTCACATCGCCCACCCAGCCAGGCAGGATCTCCTTCTCGGAGTCCAAGACTCTTTTCCCGGGCGCAGACTGCTTTCTCTCCAGGAAACAGGAGCTCCACCCTGTTGTTTTTGAGTGGATTTTTAATGTTTTACTTCGATGTTCACATTTGGGCTTTGAGAGGGAGCTGGGCTGAAGTGTGTTTCAGGCATCTGCAGGATTCTGTGACTTACAGGCAAACGCCTGTTTCTTTCCCTATTTTCATGGAAGCGAGCCCTGGGGACCATATGGAATCATCTTTTTGGAATGTGCACCCTGAGCATCAGGCGGGGATGACCGATTCCCAGTTTCCCACTTCCTGCTGTACCAGTTTCTGTGCCTTGGCTGCTGGTGACTGAGCTACGCTAATATTGATCCTTCAGTGGTGTAATTAAGGCCATTATGTACCATTAGCCACCCTGGCTTCCATTCCCTTTATGTTTCTGTTTAAAAACACCCGGTGCTGAACAATATGCCTTTGTTTGAAAAACCCATATGTGTAATCATGTAATCGAGTAGCTCTACAGCTTGGTTATTTGAGTGACTTTCAAGTTTTTCTTGACCACAATCCACAATACGAAATATGTATTGCAACATCACCCAATACCCATAACACATACACTATTCACAAAATATCATGTGCAATTTTCTGTGTCCTTTTTTTCTAAGCTGCTTGTGACTCACTGAATTGCGTTTTAGGATCCACTCATGAGTTGAGACCTGCAGTTTATAAAAATGCTGGTATAGATAAAATCCTGATGTTCTGTAAGAAACATTTTGCAAGAGGGCATGGCTGTTGAAATGCCTGGGTGATGTTTTCCTTCCCAATTGAACACAAGTTAAGAAAGGGGGTTAGTTTGCTTGTAAGTAGTAAATGTTCTAAATTCTGCTTTGTAACATCATTAGATTTGACAAAAAAGGGTGTTAATTTATACTCTAGCCATTAAATAACGCAAAGTCCCAGCTTTCTACAGAAATTGAATAAGAATGTTATTTTCAAAACGGTAGGGTGCTTTGAAAGTTAATTTCCTTACTCCCTACTGTTAGTTTTATTTTCTTGGATGGAAGCTCTGCTGGGCAGCTTTGCCTTGCCTATAAATAAAAGTTCTTGTCACAGTCAGTTGCTTTGAGCCACAGAGGGTATGACATTGGATTTTAAAATAAGTCAAGCCCCTTACTGAATACATTTAGGTGTATTGCCATGTCTTTTTCTATAAATGTAGGCTGAATTTGGGATCCAGTATTTCCAAAGAAGGTAGGTGAAAACAGCAAACCCTTACCAGTCCCCTACGCTCATACTTCGTGATTGGTACTTGTGCTATACACTTTGGGTACTTTTTTTTTTTTTTTTTTTGAGACAGTCTTGCTCTGTCACCCAGGCTGGAGTGCAGTGGTGTGGTCTTGGCTCAGTGCAGCCTCTGCCTCCCAGGGTTCAAGCGATTCTCCTGTCTCAGCCTCTCAAGTAGCTAGGATTACAAACGTGTACCACCACACTCAGCTAATTTTTTGTATTTTTAGTAGAGACGGGGTTTTGCCACATTGCCCAGCTTGGTCTTGAACTCCTGACCTCAAGTGATCCACCCACCTCAGCCTCCCAAAATGCTGGGATTACAGATGTGACACACTATGCCCAGCCTACTTTGGGTACATTTTAAATTTGATTAATGATAAATATTTGTCCCAAGCTCTGTTTCCATGAGTGGTGATTAGAATTTTGTTTCTACAGAAAGACTTTATGGATGAAATAAGGTCTAAGTCTAAATTCCTTGATTCAGAGTCTTTTGTGGCCATTGATCAATCACGTAAAACATCACATAAAACATCACTCTGTGATTTTCTCATATGTAGAATTCTTCTGGTCCAGGAGCAGGGCTTATGTTTGAAAATTACTTTAAATTGCTGTCACTTTGCATTAATGTTATAAGACTCTAGTTACAGTATTTCTTTCCTTACTTGCAAACTTTACAAACCTCATTTCGCAGCCAAACACATCTATATTTATGTGAAAAAGTTTATGTGAAGAAAGTTTAAAAACAATAACACTACAAAATACATTTTGAAGTTTTAAGATGCTCTGGGCTTACTTTTCCAGTTGCTGTTTGTCATCATGAATACCTCAGTCTAGGTACTAAATGCCAGTTCTAAGTGCACAGCTGCAAATGTCTAACCCACCAGTTTAGCTACTTAGCAGGTTGGAGGGCTGCGAGACGTCACCAGCTACCTTGTGGATTAAAAGTTTACTGTAGTTGCCCTATCCCTGTGTCCCAGGGAAGAACAAATGTCTGGGTAGGGAAAAAAAATTCCAGGGAAAATCATGTGACCTTCTCTTTTTTAGGCTAGTGAAACAAGAGCCTTGGCCATCCAGGCTTGTAATAGTAAGTTGCTTATTTTAGTATATGCTTCCCTGTAAAGAGTGAATTTCACCTTGCCTTCCAGAGAAGCACACTTCTGTGAGTGTGCTCCGGGTCAGATTCTGTTCATCACTTAGGTGCGGAGGGCACAGCTGGAAAGAGCTGGGTGAGGATTCCCAGCTGCTGAACAAAGTTGACTTTGATGTTTACTTTCAACACAAGGCCAAGAAAATCTGGATTCACGTCCTGTCTTTATCTCCTCATTGAAAAATGAAAAATTAAGAGAACCAGATTTTTTTTAAGAGGCACTTTGATTGTCCTAGATAAATGTTTAGTTTGTATTTTGTTTGTTGGTTGTGATGATTGCTTTGTAGGATATAGTAGAAAGCAGAGTTCTCCAACTTGGGCTGCTCATTAGAATACTTGAACTTCAAATCCAATTAAACTTCCCAGCTGAGTTTAATATACATCCAGGTGTGAGAGCTACTAGTATGAAGTATCAGGACATTTTTCTGGAAACTGATGAAAGGAAGCATCTATTAAATTTTACCTACTAATGACCTACTATGCCTACTTTGAAAGTGTATTTCTTAGACCAGGCATGGTGGCTGATGCCTAAGCACTTTGGGAGGCCGAGGCAGGTGGATTACTTGAGGCCAGGAGTTCAAGACCAGCCTAGTCAACATGGTGAAACCCTGTCTCTACTAAAAATACAAAAATTAGCCTGGCGTGGTGGTGCATGCCTGTAATCCTCACTGCTCGGGAGGCTGAGGCAGGAGAATTGCTTGAACCCAGGAGGCGGAGGTTGGAGTGAGCTGTGATGGCACCACTGCACTCCAGCCCGGGTGACAGAGCGAGACTCCCTCTCAAAAAAAAAAAAAAAAAGGAAAAGAAAAGCAAAGCATGTTTCTTCTTATAAGCAACAAACAAATAAAGTTATGAAGGAAAGAAAAACTGATTTATCTGGTAAAGTGCCTCTCAGACAACAAGAAGGCCCCCTCGTTGTGTTGGAGGTAGAGCTTTCAGCTATTATGAATATTCTTAAACATTCAATTTTTCCTGTTATCTGCCCAGTGGGAAAAACATGTCTGCTAGATTTGACATTTTGTTGGATGACAGAGCTCATGCAGTTTCATGCCCCTTGATCATTTCACTTTTTTTTTTAAGTTGCCTTTGACTTTTTCTTCTTTTCTTTTGCTCTTCCTGCCTGTCAAGACATGCGTCACCATTTAGGAAGTTACCAAGGATCTAAGCTCCTGCAGATGCTTGTTTACTGTACCCCTGAGGCTAGGGGGCAAAAGGCATCTATTTGCAGACAGATCTGTTGTTAGAATACCTGTCGTTATTCCCATGCTGTCATTATCCTCCACAGATCCCTAGCAACTGGAACTAAAGCCGGGTATAAGCTGTTTTCTCTGAGTTCTGTGGAGCAGCTGGATCAAGTCCACGGAAGCAGTAAGTGTGTGTGAGAGAGACCTCAGGGATCTGCAGGAGAACCAGAGCCTCCTTCTAGGCTTTAATCTGCGGTGCTACCAAGCTGCCTATTTTTCCCTTCCTTAGCCATCAAACTTAGGGAGTCAAGATTTTTAGATTTAAATATAAATCGTTGCCACTACTTGCTTTAAACCACAAGCACTTAGATCTGGCAACAGTTTAAGTAACATTTTCTTTTTATAGAAGAAATTATTTGTGTGAAATCATATTATTGAGACTTTTTCACATGCTTATATGCACAGTCATTAATTTTTATAACTGTCAAACCTAAAGGACACTTGTGACATTTTCTTTCTTTCTTTTTTTGAGATGGAGTCTTGCTCTATCACCCAGGCTGGAGTGCAGTGGCACGATCTTGGCTCACTGCAACCTCCACCTCCTGGGTTCAAGTGATTCTCCTGCCTCAGCCTCCCAAGTAGATGAGATTACAGGCACATGCCACCAAACCCAGCTAATTTTTGTATTTTTAGTAGAGACGGGGTTTCACCACGTTGGCCAGGCTGGTCTCCAACTCCTGACTTTGAGTTATCTGCCCATTTTGGCCTCCCAAAGTCCTGAGATTACAGGCGTGAGCCACCTCACCCAGCCACCTGTGACTTATTTTTGCCATTATATTGGCACCATAAGATACTGATAACATTGATTCAGTTTTGGAAGTATTTGTTTGAAGAAGGCAACGGTATCCTATTTACATAGCCCATGTCAATGATGTTGAAGCATGTCTAGTGAACACTGTAAATAATTCACTAGAAATGTGACTTCCTTATTTTGTCAGGGTGATGGTTTATGCCATCATAATAGCGAACAATATACAACCTTTCAGTTTCCTGGAAAAAAAGTGGTTCAGTAAATAATATTTTGGGCTCCTACTTTATTTGTAAGATGTTATTGTTATTACACCATTTTTGTGAATTTTTTGCTCTATGTCTGTCCCACATTGTTCCCTGTGGGCCTTTTCCAAGTGGAAGAAAGGCACACATATGAAAAGAATGTGCTCAGAAAGATACCAAAGCCGTAACCTTTGTGCTCAGGAGGGTCATTAACTAACTTCTTCCTGAGTACAGAAGTACTTTCCTCGTCATAATACTGATGTCCAGATGGTTTTCAGCAGGAAAGAGATCCAGGGAGCACAGCAAGATAGGGGGTGGGGGGAGTACAGATTTAACTGTGTTACTGTCCCCTCCCATATTGGCACCCCTCTAGCAGGACAAGAAGAATTCTGAAGCAGAAGTTCCCAACTGAGAAGTCACGCCTTTGAAATCTCTCAGGGAAAGGGTAGATGAAAATTGTTCAAATATTCCAAACATGTTTGACAGAGCAAACAGTGGAGCCCTAGGGTCTGGAGGGGAGATTCTGCCACTCAGACAGCATCAGAGGCAGCTGTCTGCCTTTGCTCTGACTTGCAGTCTAGTCACTAGTGTTTTCTTTTTCTTTTCTTGAGACGGAGTCTTGCTTGTCGCCCAGGCTGGAGTGCAGTGTTGTGATCTCGGCTCACTGCAATCTCTTCCTCCTGGGTTCAGGTGATTCTCATGCCTCAGCCTCCCGAGTAGCTGAGATTACAGGTGTGCACCACCATACCTGGCTAATTTTTAAAATATTTTTAGTAGAGATGGGGTTTCGCCATGTTGGCCAGGCTGGTCTTGAACTCCTGGCCTCAAGTGATTCTCCTGCCTCAGCCTCCCAAAGTGCTGGGATTACTAGGCGTGAGCCGCCATGCCAGGCCACTAGTGTTTTCTTTACTTTAGATATTTGGAAAGGACTCTGAAAGTGCTCCCTGGGAGAGGGTAAAAAGCCACCTGGCAGGGTGGGGGGCATGGTGGATCACTGTCAATGCAAGCTCAGAGAGGGCGCCTGGCCGGCAAGACCCGGAGAACCTTTGGAACCTGGCCTGCGCCGGGCCCAGTGTCATGGAGGCTGGAATCCTTCTTGGAAGTGATCAATCCATGTAACCTCCCGGCTGCTTTTCCTCCCAGATGAAATCCCGGACGTCTACATCGTGGAGCGCCTCTTCTCCAGCAGCCTGGTGGTGGTAGTCAGTCACACAAAACCACGGCAGATGAACGTGTATCACTTCAAGAAAGGCACAGAGATCTGTAATTACAGCTACTCCAGCAACATCTTGTCCATAAGGCTGAACCGGCAAGTAAGTGGGGAAATCCCTCAGGGTTTCAAAGCTTCTGCTAACGGGAGCCAAACAAAAAGATGGACATCTTTCAAGATCAATGTCTGTAAAACAAGCTTCCAATTCTAATGAGAATGTTAACACTCAGGCCCCGTGTCCCGGGGGTATTGTAAACAGAGTCTACTCCAGGTGCTGGTTGTAACGTTGTTTTCCCTAGACCTCTGGCTCATGTTTCCAGAACGTTGGTCCCTGACTGGTAGGCTGCACCCTCTCCCTAGGGTACAGATTGGGCACCGCAGGGATGGGTCAGAGCTCTGGCTTGGACAGTCCCATGAGCCACCGCAAGAGCACCTTAAATCAGAGGAGCGACTCTTCTGGTTTTGCCCTAGATAGTGTCATTCATTGCAGATGTTGGGGCAATACCACTGAGCAGGAGATGCCTGAGAGTGAAGTGGGGGCTCCCTGGGTCAGGAAAGCTGCCCTTCTCCCACCACGTCCTCAGCTCTCCTGGAAGGTCTGCTATTCAGCCTTGGGTTCTCATTTTTCTTTTTCCCAGCTAACCCTTGAAGACTTTTTGTTTTTTTTGTAGCATTTTCTTTGTTGAAGGATTATTCTGATCTCAAATAGGCAATATGTTCTCTTTTAAAATATAAATTCTTATTCAGTAAGTATTGGGGGTGTTAGCAGATTTCCTTTTGAATTGCTGGGTTTTCATTTTGGGTTGTTGTTTCTGTTTTTGAGACAGGGTCTTGCCCTATTGCCCAGGCTGGAATGCAGTGGCACAATCTTGGCTCACTGCAGCCTCCATCTCCCAGGCTCAAACAATCCTCCCACCTCAACCTCCTGAGTAGCTGGGACTACAGGTGGGCACCACCACGCCCAGCTAATTTTTCTGTATTTTTTTATATTGCCAGAGTGTATTCGTCTATTCTCACATTACTCTAAAGAACTACCGGAGATTGGGTAATTTATAAAGAAAATAGGTTTCACTGGGTCAAGGTTCTGCAGGCTGTACAGGAAGCACGGCAGCATCTGCTTCTGGGGAGGGCTCAGGGAGCTTTGATTCATGGCGGAAGGCAAAGCGGGAGCAGGCGTCTTACGTGGCAGGAGCAGGACCAAGAGACGGGTGGGGGGTACTACCCACTATTAAACAACCAGGTCTCGTGAGAACTCACTCACTCTATGGTGGGGGATGGTACTAAACCATTCATAAGAACTCTGCCACCTTCCTCCAACACTGAAGATTACAATTCGACATGAGATTTGGGGAGGGACACTGATCTGAATCATATTACAGTGTTTCCCCATGTTGCCCAGTCTGGTCTCAAACTCCTGGGCTCAAGGATCCTCCTTGGCCTCGCAGAGTGCTGGAATTACAGGCATGAGCCACCACGCTTGGCCAAATTACTGTGAAGGCAGGCACTGTGCTGGTGTGTTCACCATTATACGACCTGGTAGAAAAGGCAGTGCTTGGTAGATACGTGCTCATAAATATCTGTTTCCTGACTGACTGTTAAATAAGTAAATAAACAAAGAGATTCTTTATGTGACCATGCAGATTTATCTATTCAATTAAGTATTCCCAGAGCGGTTGCTGCATTCATTGAGGACAATGTTTTCTTCTGTCTTTGTCTAAACTCTTAAGTACTAATTAATTTTTTTTAACAAATGAGACAAATAAATGCTTTTTAAATTTATGAGAAGGAAGGGATTGTTTCTTTGAATTGATCAACTCTTTCAAATGAAAATCCACTTAAGTCCACCTAAAGCAGTGCGGTGAAAAATAGCTGGAGAAAGAGAAGTGGGACCTTTTAAGTAGGGAGTAGCAGGAGTAAGAAAGAAAAGAAACCTGCATTCTTGGCAAGGGAGGGAAAGGCAGTTTGAGAGTTTTCTGATTGAAGGCTTTTAGATGAAATTCTTGACTCAGGTGTTTTCACTGAAATCTGTTGGTAGCAGATTAAGTTTCGCTGCTAAACTTTTTATCCTTGCATATAGTAGTAATCCGTATACAAGGTTAAATGTCTGTTTTTGGCACCTGATGATCTTTTTAAGATTGTTTAGGCAAATGATCTGTAAAGACCGGAACCCTCAAATAGCGTCTATTGTATTTGCTTGTATGATTTCTCTCTTTCTGTCTGGTATATTCATTAGCAAATGGGACAAGGAAGGCCTATTTGAGTGTCCGAGTCTGTTAACCTTTAGGTGCCAGCCTCCCCTTAATATAATACTCATTAACTGTGAGGTTCTCCTCCCCCACCTTCTAAAGAACACTGATGCACCAGGAACTGTCAGCAATTCATGGCAAAGCCACGAACCAAGATCTAACAGTTCTCGGAACCAAGATCTAACGTCGGAACCAAGATGAGCATCGGTTCATTGGAACCAATATCTAAGAGTTCTCCCTTCCTTTACATTTCTTCTCCGACAAGAATGATTTGAAACAGGTCTGGGAAGTATTGGGGGTTTGCTTTTCTTAAAACTTTCAGGTTTGGGACTTAAATTTTGGTTTAAGCAACTCAGCTGCTGCAGCCTCTCTTGCCAGGTAGGGATTCTGTGGTGTCCGGGAGGACTGCCCACTCTGGGGAAATGATAAAGGCCCAAGGGGAGTGTGTCCTGTTCTATTCTGTAGCACTCAGTCTGCTACTTCCTCAGGCCTTCAGACAGCACAGTTTCTTTTTTGAAAAACAGGAAAAAGTTAAAGATTTGGATAAGGTGTTATAAGGATCCAAAATCCCTTTTATCTTTTTTTTTTTTTTTTTTTTTTGAGATAGAGTCTCACTCTGTTGCCCAGGCTGGAGTGCAGTCTCAGCTCACCACAACCTCTACCTCCCGTGTTCAAGCAATTCTCCTGCCTCACCCTCCCAAGTAGCTGGGACTACAAGCACCTGCCACCACGCCCGGCTAATGTTTTTGTATTTTTAGTAGAGATGGGGTTTCACCATGTTAGCCAGGATGTTCTCGATCTCCTGACCTCGTGATCCACCCACCTCGGCCTCCCAAAGTGCAGGGATTACAGGTGTGAGCCACCGCACCTGGCCCCAAATCCCTTTTTTCTAAGTATATAGGAAGGAAAGGGCCAAGTGTGGTCCCAGCACTTCAGGAGGCCGAGGCAGGAGGATCGCTTGAGCCCAGGAGTTTGAGTCCAGCTTGGGCAATGTAACGAGACCTAGTCTTTACTAGGTCTTTACTATAAAAATAAATTAGCTGGGCATGGTGGCACTTGCCCGTAGGCCTAGCTACTTGGGAGGCTGAGGCAGGAGGATCGTTTAAGCCCAAGAGTTGAAGGCTGCAGTGAGCTATGATCACGCTGCTGCATTCCAGCCTAGGTGACACAGCAAGACCCTGTCTCTATAAAAAATAAAAATTTAAAAATTTAAAAAAGAAGAACACTTAGGAATTGTCATATGTTTCATTTTTAGTTAATGTTATTTCTCTTGTATTGAACTGAGGAAATATATTTTATGGAATCAAGACAGCTGTATGATGTATTTAGATTTGCATACTTTTACAGTTCTTTTGCAGTCTCCTCCCAGGGGCCCTTGCTATCCAGATGGAGGCTGATTGGCTCGAAGCCTCTGAGGCCAAATCTGTGGTGTTCTAGGGCAGATGCTATAAATATTTTGTAATTGATAAAAGGAGTTATTGCTTATAAAACCTAGAAAAGTAGATGAAATTCAAAGCAACAGACAAGGAGCTGAGTTGAAGGCAAGACCATGGTTCTGCGGGGGCTGAAAACTGATAGTTAAAAAAGCAATCAGCAGCATCGTGCCCACCCCAGAAGCATGCTCTCACACGAACTAAGAGTGCATCCTCGTTCCCTCCCAGTGTTTTCTCTCTGTTTCCCTCTGCGTTTAGTCTTATCTGCAGCCAGCATGAGGGTGACCTGAAATTCAGCTGAGTGAGCCGCAGAGCAGATGGTGCCATCAGAGCTCTTGGGAAAAAAATGCAGATCAGATCAGATGGGCTAGATGTAGATGCTGTTTCTAGGAGAGGCATATGTCAAGGCCCCGCTATCCCAGGGATTGGGTGTGGGGCTGGGAGGGGACACAAGAGGATATCAGAAACCTCTGAACAGAAGGAAGCATAGAACCACGTAGTTCTAACCACGGCATGTGCTGGCAAAAGGCACAGTGATTGGATAAGTCAGAGAATATTTCACAGAGGAACACTCATATTTATCATCAATTTTGAGAACCTGTTAGAATTTTTTTAACCCTCAGTCCCCAGTCTCAGACCTACGACAGAGCCTTAGGTAAAACTGAGAAAGGGCTGGGCACAGTAGCTCATGCTTGTAATCCCAGCACTTTGGGAGGCCGAGGCAGGAGGAGCTCTTGAGCTCAGGAGGTAGACTAACCTGGACAACATAGTGAAACCCGGGTCTCTACAAAAAATACCAAAAAATTAGCCAGGCATGGTGGCGCACACCTGTAGTCCCTGCCACCCGAGAGGCTGGGGTGGGAAAATGGACTGAGCCCCAGAGGTTGAGGCTACAGTGATCTGTAATCCTGCCACTGCACTGCAGCCTGGGTGACAGAACGAGACCCTGTCTGAAAAAAAAAAAATTGAGAAATGTGTTTAAATTTTATTTTTCTGCTTGGTTAACACTGATGACCTTCATCATTCTGAGCCATGGATAGTCTTCCTTGGGGAATAGCAGGGCAGGCTTTTCCCAGGAGCAGAGCCTGCCTCTTTTGTGTGGTATTTTTTGGTACCTTCCCTTCTAGCTGATGTTCCCTGGAATAAAAGGAGCTGGCTGAGACCAGTGGTTCTTGAGCCTCAGTGTGCATCGCAATCACCTGGTATTCGTCTAAAAACTTCCCAAACCAGAATCTCCGGGGAGAGCCCAGGGCTTGCTCCTTGGGCAGCTCCTTGGGCATCCAGGTCTAAGAAACACTGGCCTGAGGGGAGCCAAGTCAGGCATGTGCAGGGGTGGTCGGCAGCTGCTCAGATGTGCGAGGAGCTGCCCAACCAGAAATGCCTTCCTGACACCTCCTCACCAGCACCGATGTCTGCCCTTGTACTGGGCTATGCGTTATATTCCTTTAAACACCCGATACATCAACCCTGTGGCCTGTTTTCACTTAGCTGAGAGCACAGCCATTGGGAAGAGGCTCTGAACCTGACAAGCTTTCATGTGGAGAGGAAGAGAAGGGTCTGGCAGCAGTGGGGAGAGCAAGCACCAGAGAGAGGAGCCCAGGAAGGAACAGTGGGGACGTGGGGCACTGGGGTGTTCAAATGGGGCCGAAGCCCTTCTCCTTTTCCCTTTGCCAGGGCTCAGACAGCGGCCCAAAAGCAGGCCTGGAGGAGAGTCTGAGTAGAAATAAGTTAGAGCTGGTAATTATTCAGAGAGGGGTAAAACCTAAGATTTGGTGATGGAGAGAAAGCAAAGAAACCCATTTTTATATAGGAGGGAGACCTGTGCTATAAACACTGAAAGGCAGCCTGTTAGATGGCAGTGGAAACTACAGAAGGCACATGAAATTGTCTTACATGGCACAGGGGGTCTGATCAGAAAGTGTTCAGAAGTCCTGTTGAACGCGGTGGCTCAGGCCTATCATCCCAGCACTTTGGGAGGCCGAGGCGGGCAGATCACCTGAGGTCGGGAGTTCGAGACCAGCCTGATCAACATGGTGAAACCCCGTCTCTACTAAAAATACAAAATTAGCCAGGTGTGGTGGTGCATGCATGTAATCCCAGCTACTCAGGAGGCTGATGCAGGAGAATTGTTTGAACCCTGGAGGCAGAGGTTGCAGTGAGCTGAGATTGCGCCACTGCACTCCAGTCTGGGTGACAGAGTGAGACTCCTTCTCAAAAAAAAAAAAAAAAAAAAAAAGTGTTCAGGATCCCTGTTCTAAGGAAAGAAGGAGAAGGAAGAGAGGGAGGGAGGAATGGAGGGAGGGAAGAAGGAAGGAGAGAAGTAAAAACAATCTTAATTTCTAATAAAATTTCTTAAGATCTTGCATTTTATGCTTGTGTTCAGGTGGATGATTACATGTGTATGTGTGTACATCCATAAACACAATCTTCAAAATGCATCATCAAAATTCTGCTTTAGGCTTAGAATCAAGTTAGGACTCATATGAAAGATGAATGATTTGGATTTGGTCAGGGTCTTTGTAAGGAACGGTTCGGTAGACTGATAAGTCTGTGTGATTACAGAGGCTGCTGGTTTGCCTAGAAGAGTCCATTTATATTCACAACATTAAAGACATGAAGCTGTTGAAGACCCTCCTGGATATTCCTGCAAACCCAACAGGTGAGCTCCAAAAATGGAACAAATGTCCCTGAAATTTCATGTCCTGGTGCTTCTTTCCCAAGCTTTATTTTCCTCCAAATTGCGAACGTGAAGCAGTGTTTGCTTTTTGAGTCTTAGTGAGGTTTATCTCGAAGCTTTGTCTTAATGGCGGCAGATTCAAATTATGTCAGGCTGTGTGTCCTGCAGGGGGGCTGTGTGCCCTTCATTGCAGTCCAAGAATAACAACACCCTTTGTCTGGGACCCATATCAGCAAATGTGTCAAGGCACGTAAGGTAGACATGTAAAAGATTTCAAGCATCTGCTGTTGAAAAGTGTTTACCCCTAATTGTTTTTTGTGGTTCGTTCAGTACAGAGTAGGCGTGATAATTAGAAGCAGGTTTCAACTTGGCGTGTCTGCATGGCCAGCAAAAAGACAATCTGAACCATAAAGAATATGTTTTATTACATGACAAAGAAATCTCTCTACTTCGACGATATGCTAGGATATTAAACCTTACTGAATTCTCGGGATTTAACACTATTTAATACATTCCTGGTGTATAAGAAGAGGAATGGTTTGGATTTGTTATATTGAAATAGCAGATGACATTATATGAATTCATCAAGCTAGGAGTAAACAAGAAAGAATTCCTTCATTGTGTGGTGGGGTGAGGAGTCAGCACACTGGAACAACTTGTACATTTAATGACTCCAGATTAATATTTGCAGATTATATTTCAGTTTGGTATCATTGAACAACTGCTTCTATTATATTTCAGTTTAGTATCATTGAACAACTGCTTCTATTTGCTGTTTCTGAGTTATTTGGCTTTCACTGAATTTCAAGATCTATCTGGGTGCCATCCAAGTCACCTAGACTTTTTGAACCTTGGTTCCCTTATGAATAATACCCATCTCCCAGGGTTGGCTGAGAATTAAACAAGGTAATGTTTGTGAAAGTGACCAGCACAGGAACTGCCATGCATGAAATACTTCTGATGCCTTCTCTTCATTCCAATTCTATAAATGGCCCTTGGCTGTTGATTTCAGTGCTTTCACATTTCAGCTATGGCAAAAGGATATTTTAAAAGAACAAAGCTAGCCGGGTGCGGTGGCTCACACCTATAATCGCAGCACATTGGGAGGCCGAGGCGGGTGGATCACCTGAGGTTAGGAGTTCAAGACCAGCCTGACCAACATGAAGAAACCCTGTCTCTACCAAAAAAATACAAAAATTAGCTGAGCATGGTGGCGAGTGCCTGTAATCCCAGCTACTTGGGAGGTTGAGACAGGAAAATTACTTGAACCCAGGAGGCGGAGGCTTCAGTGAGCTGAGATCGCACCACTGCACTCCAGCCTGGGCAACAGATCGAGACTCTGTCTCAAAAAACAATGAATAAATTAAAAATAAATAAATAAATAAAAGAACAAAGCCATTGAGGCTGTTAGGGAGTTCTGTGAGATAATGACTTTGAAGCACATTTTCTGAAATGGAAGACGGTACGTGAAGAAGCTGTGGGTGGTAAGTTTTTCCCTTAGAAATGAGAGGCTGAAATCATCTGGACAAGTATCTATTGCAGACATTCTTTGTGCTTGGCACCATAGTAGGCACCATTAGGCAACCTCATACCAGGAGCCCAAAATCTAGTTGTCACGAGTTCCCTTCAACAGTCTGTCTGAGGTGGTCTGAGACAGGTGCGCCAGCAGCCTTTGGCAGGGGTGGAACCATGTTTAACTCTGGGGTGCGGACACAGTTGAAGGGAGCATGTGCTCTTCTGATCAGGAATGAGAGGCCCCTGAATCTGCATAGAGCTTGAGGCTGGCAGGGCCTGAGCTGGGCCTTCAGGGATTTGGGGAGGGACATCGGGCATGCAGAAAGCTAGAAGCTGCCTGTGGCTCTCAGTTTCTCTGAAGAGAGGGGAGTGGACAGTAAATGCCACTTACTCCTCACACCTGTTGCACACTTGACCCCCAGAGGACAGGGTTGCTTCAGGACTGAGCACCCTCCCTTGCAAACAGATGTTTCTCCTTTTTTTTTTTTTTTTTTTGAGACACAGTCTCACTCTGTTGCCCAGGCTGGAGTGAGGTGGTGCAATCTCAGCTCACTGCAACCTTCGCCTCCCGGATTCAAGTGATTCTCATTCCTCAGCCTCCTGAGTAGCTGGGACTACAGGTGCCTACCACCACACCCAGCTAATTTTTTGTATTTTTAGTAGAGATAGGATTTCACCATGTTGGCCAGGCTGGTCTTGAACTCCTGTCCTCAAGTGATCCGCCCGCCTTGGCCTCCCAAAGTGCTGGAATTATAGGCATGAGTCAGCATACTTAGCCACCATTTACTCTTATTTTTTAGCAAATATAGTTGTTTTTCTGTAGTTCAGAAAACTCACTGGTTGCCTTACTTTCTGCAGCTTAAACAGAGAGAAAATAAGGTTTAAAAGTGCAGGGCTATTTGTGTTCCCTGTTAGAGACAGTGTATATTGTTTGTAAAGGGAATCGATTTTATCTCAAGAAAAATGAGAAACAATAGCAGAGACTTCCTCTGTCTCAGATAAAAGAATGCCTCCTTATGAAAGGATCCAGGGATAGGTTGAGTATTTCTTCTGAAAGACCAGGAGCAAACTGTGTCTTTTTAGACCTCTGATGTTCTTTGGAGATATAGCCCAAGGTGTTTTAAATGCTCACGTTTATAATTATCACCTCAACTTCTCCTGAGCTCCCTTTCTACTGCAGTAAAATGGAGATGATCATTTTTAGCCCCCAGAGTTGCCACGGAGAGCGTTACCTGAGGTTGTGGCCTGGGTGGGCAAAGGTGGGTCCGCCCTGTCCATGCGGGCAGTCAGACTCACTCCGCAGCCCTCTCTGTCCCATAGGACAGCCTTGCACAGGTCAGAGCTGCGCTTCAGTGACATGACCAGGTCCTCACTCGGGAACCTTCAGAGGACTCCGCCCTGCCAATTATACATTCCCCAGAGGCCAGGAGTCGCCTTATCTGTTCTCATCCTCTAGTTTATTTTCTGAACAAAGAAATAAGATGGAAACTGTGACTGTTGATTTTATAAATCCTTGCTGGGTACAGAAGGAAGACACAATCACTCGTCTAATTGTCTTCAGCACACAAATCCTGAATGCATTTTGACTTCATAAACTACAAGTAAATTAGCTATACAGAGTTCGCCTGTTGCCTCACACTTGGTATCTAACGCAGCTGTAAATTTCCTTCTTTCTGTCTGTTTGTGTCATGCCCGTTCCTGTTGTGTCAGAGATTGCAGGCTGTTTCCTTTAAAGAGCTTGGCCAGACAGGGGCTCGAAGTTAATTTCCTGCTAGCACAGCAGTCTGCTCTGAGCAGTCAAGGGTGGAAATCTCCATGAAAGTCCTGCCAACTGCAGACCTCCCAGTATGGAGGAGGTGGTCACAGAGCTGACCACCTTTTATGGGATATTGAGGGAGCGTTCCATACCACACAGCAATGCAGATCATTGAACAGTTCATGGTTTCTTCCCCAGCAAGACCTCTTTCTTGTTTGAAAATGCTAATAAAAGTGGTATAAATGCTTCCCTTTTGTAGGAGCATAGGGCATTTGCTGTACAAAGAAGATGTCTTTCTATTTTTGAAAATCGGAAAGCGTAACCTGAGACATTAATCAACTCAGAGGGAACTGCATTTTATAAATCACTGTTAACTTACCTAAAGTTTGACATGCAATACTTTAAATACCAAGATGAGAATCATTTAGAATCATGGGACTTCCTTTGAATTCCACTGATGATGCCATTGGTTCTTGAGTTGAGAGCAGGCACTTCTTTTCCAGCTGTAGAAGAATTACAGCCAAACAATTACAGTGGAATTATAGCTGCCAGTGACTTATGAAAATATGTGTCAAGCTATAACACATCCAAAAGCCCCATCAGAACCTCATTCCTAGGTAGAAAAAAGACTGGAAGAAAATATGCTCAGATGTTCAGAACAGTGAAAAGCCTCTGGGTTTTAGAATTGTGGGTGATTTTTTTTCTCCTTATATTTTCTAGGCTTTGCAAATGTTCTACACCATCACTTTTATATTATACAATAATATTTTTAAAGCCCATATCCTTCCTTAAAAAGGCTTTGTGTAACACCTGTAACAGAAAGAGGAGACTGGCAGAATGGCAATAGCCAAGCTAAGGAAAACTCTTCTTGCTTGCCTTGGGTGGTTCCCAAGATACGAAGATACATTCGTGTGGCTCGTTGGATTTTTCTGACACTTGGGCCATAGGGAAGTCACAGTAGGCTTTTCTGGGGACCTTCATTAAGTCTGTAAGGGTAGGAAGGCAGGATTCCTTGTCTAAATTCAGATGGATTGGTAGAGGTGCGAGCCTGGAGGCAAAACTGTCAAATAAGTGGTATGTGTCAGAGTATGCCTGCCCTCACTCTTATCCTTTGTCCCTTTCTTGTTAGCATCTAGTGTCAACCAGTTCTATAATAGGTATTGCAGAAAGTTCAATATTAGCTTAGAAAGTTTAAACGTTTCTTCCCTTCTGGGAATATTTATGTTTTAACATAAGACTCTGAAGCACAGCTGGAGGTATGCGTCCAAGGCTTCTGCTCCAAGACTGCTTAGCTCTCTCTGCCACAAAGACACGCCCAGTATTTTCAGAGGGAAGAAGTAAGAAACGAAGGCTTGGCATCTTGAAGTGTTAAATCTGGAAAGACCTCTATATCACGGTAGCCTTCATTTCACAGACAGGAAACAGGCCTGAAAGAGCAGCAAATAACTCGGCCAGAGTTTCACAGTACATAGCAGACCTCAGTCTTGAACTCATGTCCTCAGCCTATCTCTAACCAGATAAATATTCCTGAAACATGCCTTAAAATAAAATTTGAAAATCTTTTTTGAGATAAAATTCACATCCTATACAATTCACCCGTTTAAAATGCATGGTTCAATAGCTTTTGGTATATTCACGGAATTGTGTAACCATCACCACAATTAATTTTAGAGCATTTTCATCGCCCCAAACCTTGTACCTCTAAGCCATCACTCCCTATGCCCCCAGCCATAGGCAACCCCTAATCTACTTTCTGTCTCTATTAGATTATGGATTTCTCTATTCTGGACATTTTATATCAGGAGACTCATACAATATCGGTTCCTTTGTGACTGACTTCTTTCACATAGCCTAATGTTTCCAAGGTTCTTCTGTGTTGTAGCATGTATCAATACTTTATTTTTCTTGCTGGATAATATTCTATTATAAAAATATATCACATTTTCTTTATCCATTTATCAGTTGATAACATTTGGGTTATTTCCACTTTTTGACTTATGAATAATGCTGCCATGAACATTCATATACAAGTTTTTGTGTGGACATATGTTAAATTTCTCTTGGGTGTATATGTAGGAGTGGAATTTCTAGGTCATATGAGAACTTTATGTTTAGCTTTTGAAGAACTGCTAAACGTTCCAGAGCACTGCCCCATTTTACATTCCCACCAGCGGTGCATAAGATCCCAGTTTCTCCATATCCTCACCAACATTTATCTGTCTTTTTCACTATAGTCATCCTAGTGGTTGTACAGTGGTATCTCATCGTGTTTTTAACACAGCCTTTTTAAAAACATATGTGCTAGGCCAGGCACGATGGCTCACGCCTGTAATCCCAGCACTTTGGGAGGCCGAGGCAGATGGATCACCTGAGGTCACGAGTTCGAGACAGCCTGGCCAACATGGTGAAACCCTGTCTCTACTGAAAATACAAAAATTAGCTGGGCGTGGTGGCACACGCCTGTAATCCCAGCTACTTGGCAGGCTGAGACAGGAGAATCGCTTGAACCAAAGAGGCGGAGGTTGCAGTGAGCCAAGATCGCACCACTGCACTGCAGCTTGGGCAACAGAGTAAGACTCCATCTCAAAAAACAAAGCAAAACATATGTGCTGAGAAACCTTCAGCAGTTACACACTGCATTTGTAAGGTCTTAACTCTTTAGTTTGGTACGCTAGTCCTTGTAAGATTTCCACAGTCTTCACATCTTTTCTGCCAGCCGCCTCTTTGGGAACCCAGCACACAAGACAACCAGATCTCCTGACTGCCTTCCCTCCCCAGTTTCACAAGACTAGAATCCCTTCTGCCTGCCTAGCTGTTCTTGAAATTTCATTTGGATAGCAAAGAATTCAGAAGGGGTGAGGAATTGGGGTTTCCAGAGCAAAACTGGAAATGGACGAGTGGCCTCTTCTAAGGCTGGGGCCAGGAATGACCTTGTATCGCCAAAGGGGTGGCAGGGCTGCCAGAACGTGCAGTTAAAGGTTCCGGGGCTCAGCCACTTCCTCCCGTAGCTATGCATGGCAAGTGATAAGAGGACAGCCCTGCTGTGGACTCAGCAAAGCCAGAGCAGGAAATGAGACCTAGGTTCCAACTCTAAATGTTTACTTTCTTTTTCCTTTGCTCTCCTTCCTCAGCAGATTAGTTGAGGTATGTTTCAGCCTGACCTAAAGTTTTTTCTTATACTTTTAGAAGAAACCCACTTAATATACTAACTTGTAATAGACGCCAGTCACTTTTTTTTTTTTTTTTTTTTTTTTTAAGAGAGATGTCTCTCTTGCGTGATCTCAAAGTTTCTGGTAACACTTTGGTTTCTATGGAATTGCTGGAATTCACTGCTATCATGTGCACCTCTATTCATCTAAACCATTGTTTTGAAAATCCTTTACTTAAATGCTCCCTTCTTGAATCCCCTTATAAATAAAAACAGCTTATGTTGGTTCAGTGGTTTGATGGGCTGTTTACTCTTCCGGAATATTATTGAAGCATCTTAAATCCAAAATGTCCTCTTTATTTAGTTTGTCTCAATGTCTAGGCACACCATCTTGACTGCAGACGCAGACCTCAAATAAACTTCCTCCTCGGGAGGTACCCATTTCCCTTATCAAGGCAGGGCATTTGGCTCAGAAATTGCTCGGTTTCTTTTTTTTTTTTTCTTAAGACAGAACCTCACTCTCACCCAGGCTGGAGTGCAGTGGCACTATCTTCACTCACTGCAGCCTCCACCTCCAGGTTTAAGCAATTCTCCTGCCTCAGCCTCCCGAGTAGCTGGGACTACAGGCACATGCAACCACACCTGACTAATTTTTGTATTTTTAATAGAGACAGGGTTTCACTATGTTGGCCAGCCCGATCTCGAACTCCTGACCTCAGGTGACCCACCTGCCTCGGCCTGCCAAAGTGCTGGGATCACAGGTGTGGGCCACCTTGCCTGGCCTGAAATTTCTCAGTTTCTAAATAGGTTCTTGGCAGCTCCTCTTCTCCAACTTGAAGTTACTGGCCAACAGTATATAATCATCTGCAGAAAGACCAATATGTACTGACTTTTCACTATAGGAAGATTTATTTCAGTTTTGAGGAAATCTCTTGTAACCCTAGAGGATAATGGAATTGGAAGAAAAGTAGATGCTGTTTCAGAGTCCTGGGGTAAAATGTAAAAATGAGCAATATATACACACACACACACACACACATATATATATATTTTTTTTTTTTTGAGACGGGGTCTCACTCTGTAGCCCAGGCTGGAGTGCAGTGGCACGATCTCCACTCACTGCAACCTTTGCCTCCTGGGTTCAAGCGATTCTCCTGCCTCAGCCTCCCAAGTAGCTGGGACTATAGGCACGCACCACCATGCCCAGCTATTTGTATTTTTAGTAGAGATGGGGTTTCACCATGTTGGCCAGGCTTGTCTGGAACTCCTGACCTCAAGTGATCCGCCCGCCTCAAAGTGCTGGAATTACAGGCATGAGCCACTGTGCCCGGCAAGTCTCATTGTTTCACTGTAGCAAGGACGCAGCCAGTGTTAAATCAGGAGGTCTTCCCCTGTGAAGTTGCTTTATTGGAAGCCTTAATCAGAAGAATCATCAGCGGAAAGCAGTTGTCTGCAAAGCCATTCCTCCCCTTGCCAGTAGGTGGCACTGTAGCTGTACTGTTTTCAGATGCCCTCTCCAGCCGTGCAATCTCTCCCTTGGCCCCAGGCTTCTCATGTTCTGTTTCTTCTTTGCCAGGTCTATGTGCTCTCTCTATCAACCATTCCAATTCTTACCTGGCCTATCCTGGAAGCCTGACTTCAGGGGAGATTGTGCTTTATGATGGAAACTCCCTGGTAAGTTGACGGTGACCTGGCTGAGCCAACCCACCTGCCTTGGCTGTGTGGTCATGGAAGGAGATAGATAAGGACGCCCTGCCGTCGGGGGCTGGAGGCGGTGGGAGTAAGCAATACTGGGGAGTTGTTCAAGAGAAGGTGATACTATTTCCCCTCGGGCTTGCTGTGAGTCAACCTCACCATAAGCCAGCTGGCCAGGCCAAGTTAGACATCTGCAGCATAATGAAAACCACTTGCCAGCAGGGGGCCAGTTGTCTCCCTGAATGTGTCACCCTGTCCCATGCCACAGCCTGAGACAGTGTGCAGGTGTTTCATATTCCCTGCCCTCTGGTCTCTGAGGCATCCCTGAGCGGGACAAGATTGCTGTGGGAAGTTGCCTAAAGATGCGTGCAGGGCGCGCCTGCGACGGCATCACACTGCATCAGGTGCTCCGTTCGTGGCCACCTTCCCAAGGGCAGGAAAAGGGATGGAAATGGAGTGGCCCTTGAAGCCAAATCTTGATTCACCAGAAAATGACACACAGCTTACATGCAGATGGCCTGGGGGACAGAGGAAGAGACAGGGAGCTGGACAAAGGAGGGAGAAAGGAGAAAAGAGGAAGGGGAGGGAGGTGAAATCCATCTTCCCTCCTCCGCAGCATCTGTATCCATTTTTCCTTTTCACCAACAGAAAACAGTCTGCACTATTGCTGCCCATGAGGGAACACTAGCTGCCATCACCTTCAATGCCTCAGGCTCCAAACTAGCAAGTGCGTCTGAAAAAGTGAGTCCACTCCCACCAACACCTCTGTCTGGGTTTCGCTGGATGGCTCCTGCCGTGCGCAGGGATGGGATTGAACAAACCTGGTGACATGAAGACTGACTGGTCTCTGGGCCCACTCAGAATTTGTTTCAGAGGGAGAATTTCTGGCCTCTGCATGTGTGGTATATTCATGCATTTGTTAATTCAATAGGCCAGGGGCCTGCAATATGCAAGATACAAGACACTTTGCATGAAAACTCGTGGTCTTATGAAGAAATGTACGTGTACATCAGCCGTAGAGACGGACAAATGCTACACCTTATAAACACAGTACAGTGCAAACCAAATGCTTTACTTTGCTATTTAGAGAAATTGATGTCTTCTGCCTGGAATAATCAGAGAAAGTGATCCAATTGAATTTTTTTTTTTTTTTTGAGGTGGAGTCTAGCTCTGTCGCCCAGGCTGGAGTGCAATGGCGCAATCTCGGCTCACTGCAACCTCCGCCTCCCAGGTTTAAGTGATTCTCCTGCCTCAGCCTCCCGAGTAGCTGAGATTACAGGCACATGCTGCCACGCCTGGCTAATTTTTTGTATTTTAGTGGAGACGGGGTTTCACTTCACTGTGTTGCCCAGGCTGGTCTTGAATTCCTGAGCTCAGGCAATCCACCCGCCTTGGCCTCCCAAAGTGCTAGGATTACAGGCGTGAGCCACCACACCCGGCCTCAAATTGAAATTCTAAGAAACCAGAGCAGTTGGGTGAACACACACATGCACACACACATACACGCAGAGCCTTGGGCACAGGTGGAAGGGAAAAGGTAGACAGAGGGTGTTTATAACATTTTCCAAGAATTGTTGATATGGCACATAAATAAACATGCCTCTATGCTCAACGTGGTGTTCTTCCTCCTCAGAGACAGATGTTCAAAACCAATAAAACAAACTCCTCTCTAAAGGGACATCTCTGTGTAAAGCCACTAATGGTTATGAAATGTCCACCTGCTTTCTTTTCCAGGGCACAGTCATCCGGGTGTTCTCTGTCCCTGATGGGCAAAAGCTCTATGAGTTCCGGAGAGGGATGAAAAGGTCTGTGTTCAATGTCAAACCCATTTTAAAGTCCCCGCAGAAGTCCCGCAGGGACCGCTGGCAGCTGTCTAGGGAGAGGACAGAGAGTGGCTCTGTGCCCTCCACTCACCTGGAGGAAGTGTAACTACTCTCCCAGGTAATTGACTCCCAGGCTTTACTTAGGGCTCAGCAAAACTGAAAGCCGAGATGCTGTTTTAACACAGTTCAGCCGTGAGAGTCCCTTTTTGATGTGTGTGTGGGCGGCCGGCACAGGAGAAATGAGAGAGCCAGGGAGTCACAATCCAAAAATAATTTCTGATTTCCTTCCATGGAAATAAAGGACGATGTAAAGTGTGACTGTTTGGGATCTTATCGGATGTAGGTTTGCAGCCAGATCAGTGCACAGAGCAACTGGAAGATTCCAAGATGCCAGGAAGGCACAGTTCCTCCCTTCTGCTGACAGAGGCAGGGCTATACCTTGTTTCTTCTCACATAAATAAGACTATGGGCCGGGCGCGGTGGCTCACGTCTGTAATCCCAGCACTCTGGGAGGCCAAGGCAGGCAGATCACCTGAGGACCAGCCTGGCCAACATGGTGAAACACCGTCTCTACTAAAAATACAAAAATTAGCTGGGTGTGGTGGTGTGTGCCTGTAATCCCAGCTACTTGGGAGGCTGAGGCAGGAGAATCGCTTGAACCCAGGAGGTAGAGGTTGCAGTGAGTTGAGATCAAGCCACCGTACTCCAGCCTGGGCAACAGAGCGAGAGACTCTGTCTCAAAAAAAAAAAAAAAAAAAAAAAAAAAAAAAAAAAAAACTATGACCCTTTGTGAATCTTTCTGACATTAATTTCTAAATATGAGCACCACAGTGTTTAAGGGATCTGGGTCTACCTAGGCTCTTCAGGATACATCTGATTTTCTTATAAAGCTGATCTCTGAGTTATAAGGCCATAACTCCCATTTCTCTTGCTCACTGACCCATGTGTTGCTGTGCTTGTAGGTATGTGACAATCAGCTCTCTAGTGTTCAGTATGGATTCACAATTCCTCTGCGCCTCCAGTAACACCGAGACGGTACACATCTTCAAGCTGGAACAGGTCACCAACAGGCAAGTACTCCGCGGGGCACCAAATGCTCATTAAACGAAAGGAGTCAGGCCTAGGCTCTTCTACTGGCATGAATGATCTCTTTTCTTTCTGAACACCCAATCTTGGCTTCACTTGGGACTTCACCTAAGTGATGGAGTGTGTGTTAGCAAAACTTTGGAGGCATGATGCACAAAAGCAAAAAACTGGGAGCCACCCACGTGAGTTCACGTCCTGGCTCTGCCTCTTAGGAGCCCAGAGATCCCGGGAAGATAATTTAGATCTGTGTCCTTCAGTTTCCTCATCTGCAAAATGAACATAACAGTAGTATTAAATGAGTCTGCAGATCTAAAGTGTTCAGCATCGTGCCTGGCACATAGGAAGCACTAAGAAGTGTTAGCTGATATAGCTGTAAATATAACAATATATTTATTTATCATTGTTGCCAGCAGCACCACTGAGCGCTTGGGAAGCACCTGCAATTTCTCAGGGCTTAAGAAGCTGTCTGAAAAGTGAAAGAAAAGCCTAAAAAATGGATAAAATCTCTAGGGAAAGAGTAAAAAGAACTTCAGGGCAGACAATGAGCTTTGAGTTACACCTGTGCAGAATGGGGGTTGGAAAATTCTGGAAAGATGGAGGAGTGAGAAAGGAGCAGCCCCCAGTGTTTCATACCCCACGGTGGGGGGCAAGGATTCTAGAGAAAGAGCGCTTTGAAAACGTTACCCCAACCTGCAGAGAAAGGCAGGATCAGGACAGAAAGCCTACTGTATCTGGGGAGTTGGTTGCTGGTACCCTTGGATGGAGTTTCAGAAGAGGAAGGTGTAGAGGCTGGGCACCATATCACGCTGATACATGCTAACACATACGTAACAGAGGCCGGGCACCTTATCACGCTGATACATGCTAACACATACATGACAGAGGCCGGGCACCTTATCAATGCTGACACATGCGGACCTCATGATCCACCCGCCTCAACCTCCCAAAGTGCTGGGACTATAGGCAAACAGCCACATTTATGATTTCACAGTTCTGCAGCCCAGAATGGCAGGACTGGGTCTTCTTCTCAGCATGACACAAGGCTGAAAGAGAGGTGCCAAGATTTCTCTGACTTGCCCTTCTGCCATCTTTTTCTGCCACCAGTTGGAGAAAGCTATTTTTAAAGGCATGTGTGATTAAAGCAAGCCCACGCTGCCTGAGGTCACCTGAGCCATGTCACATATCACAGCCATGGGACTGACGTCCCCTCATCTCTAGAATCCTTGTCTCCCCCCACCCCCAGTGGTGTATGAAACACTGGGGGCGGCTCCCTTCTCGCTCCTTCATCTTTCCAGAACTTTCCAACCCCCAATCTGCACAGGTGTAACCCAAAGCTCATTGTTTGTCCTGAGGTTCTTTTTACTCTTTCCCTGGAGATTATATCCACTTTTTAGGATTTTCTTTCACTTTTCAGACAGCTTCTTAAGCCCTGATCTTTTTTGGAGCCTTAATTCATCATCTGTTGTCATGGGTTTGAGCACTAGAGGGCGGCTGAGCTGTTAAGATGCCGTTCAACCCCAAGGTTCCACGAGTGAGTGATCGCAATTGCTGCTGCAGCCCCGCCTCCACTGGGGATTATTATCAGAGATTGATTTTCCACTCCAGGCTCTCCCGTTTCTGTCTGTGAGCACAGGTGACCAGGAGCAGAACCTCCAAGCTGTTCTGGGTTCTCCGCTCAACCTGTCCACGGGTGTTCATATGTCCCCGGCGGTTACGGCTCACACGTGCCTCTTCAGCCCTGCTTCGCTGGCCAGGGCCCTTGAACGTGTCTTTAGCACCTCGTGCTGGTCCAGCCGTTACTCTTACATTTGGTCTGACTTTCCAGTCTCTTTCAACCAATACCAGTCCATCCTATATCATCTTGCTGATTAATCTTCTGAAAATGTCCCTTTGAACATGACACCTCCTCCTCAGACACCTTTATTCCCCTTTGACCTTGGGAATGAAGTCCCAGCTCCTCCCGTCCCCCTGAGTCAGACCTGCTGCAGAGCCCAGCAGCCACCACCCCCAGAACCTCCTCATTTCCTCCAGCCACAGAGACACCATCCCATAAAACAGTATGCGCCACGTGCCGGGCTCCATGCTCAGTCCCCAGCATCCTTAGTTCTCCCAGCAACCCTGTCAGGGAGGTTGTGATGATGATTCCTGTTTCCCAAATGAGGAAATCTGGACACGGAAACGTTAAGGAACCTCATCCGCCTCTCCCTTCCTCTGTGGTCCTGGACTAGCTCCTGCCTGGACCATCTGTGCAGCACCGCATATTAACTGCTCACGTGGTTTTTCTTTGTATACACCCGTGCTCTCTCAATCTGGAATGCAGGGTCTGGATCGTACACCTCTTTGTAAACCCCAGCCCGGAGCACAGGGCTGTGGGACAGACAGTACAAGGATGTCTCAGGATGCTTCGGATCACAGAACCCTAGCAGTGCACCTAGCATAGTCACTTTCAGATGAGAACATGAAGGCCCAGAGAGGTTTGTCCAAAGACCCCCTAGCCCATTGGTAGCATAGTAAAGAATACCTCCCAGAGCTCTGAGCTGCAGGGCGAGCTTCCCACCAGGACCTAATCCTGCAGACAAGCAGCCTCTCAGCAGTTGCCTGCTCCTGGGAACTCATATGGCAACCTTGGTTCTCAATGTGCCACCCTCTGTGTGGGGCAGAGCTGGGGGTTGTCTCTCACCAACAGAACAGTCACCCCCTTTGTCTGGCAGAGGCCTTGGGATGAAGTTCCATGACTGTAGGCGACATCCCAGGTCCCTTTGCATGATCTCCATCATTACACATGCTGGGTACCTGGGTGACTCCAGGGTTATCTACAATCAAACACCACCCAAAGTGTCTTGCCCGGAGGTTTGCTACCCACTCAGTCTGGCTCAGGAGGCCTTCACGTTGAGATCTGTCTGTTCTTCCATGAGCCCGGCACAGTCCCAAGCTTATTTAATGGTACCTGGATATCAAGTCCATCTCACTCTCTACCCTAACTCTCTTCTGGAAATCTAGGAATCAGACTAGTCATCAGATAAGCCTTCTTTAATAGGGGAAAGCAGTAGCATTGGGAACCTTTTAACAGCTTTACAATGGCTCTTCTGAAGAACAAACAAGCCCTTGATGCTCTTTAGTTATTGCCAGAATAATACGTCCTGGATTGTTCTCAGTGGGCAGAACATTATGCTAAGGCACAGTCTCTCCCTGCTGCGGGGAGTGTGGCTAATGACGCTTGGGTGTGGAGATTCCTGGGTGCGTGTGGGGCCTGCAGCCCAGTCCCATCGTTGCCTGTGCATTACTCCCTAGTCGACCAGAAGAGCCTTCGACCTGGAGTGGCTACATGGGAAAGATGTTTATGGCTGCTACCAACTACCTCCCTACCCAGGTGTCAGACATGATGCATCAGGACAGGGCTTTTGCCACTGCACGCTTGAACTTCTCCGGACAGAGGAACATCTGTACCCTCTCAACGTACGTACAATGACACCCACTCTGAACAAGACCACACTTTCGTCAATGTATTTTTCCAAAGCACAAAAATCCCCAAACCTGAAAAGAAAAAAAGAAAACTTGCCCCAGGCTGGGCACGGTGGCTTACATCTGTAATCCCGGAACCTTGGGAGGCCAAGGCAGGCAGATCATCTGAGGTCAGGAGTTTGAGACCAGCCTGGCCAACGTGGTGAAATCCCGTCTCTACTAAAAATACAAAAATTAGCCGGGTATGGTGGTGCGTGCCTGTAGTCCCAGCTACTTGGGAGGTTGGGGCAGGAGAATCGCTTGAACCCAGGAGGCGGAGGTTGCAGTGAGCCGAGATCATGCCACTGCACTCCAGCCTGGGCGACAGAGCAAGACTCCATCTCAAAAAAGAAAAAGAAAACTTGCCCCAAAGGAAGGGTGAGCGGAATCAAACCCCTGCTTTTCCTATCTGACTTCAATACGGATTCTCAGGGGGCAGCCAGAAGTTGGCATGGGAATTTTAGCCTTCTGGTTATAATGACACTGTCTTAAAAACAATTCTTATTTTTATGTAATTATGTAAAAAGCCTCCAGATCTGTTTTCTAGGTTCGGACTCCTATGGGGCTGACAGATGTTTTAAGAAGTTTAAAGGAGTTTATTCAAAAGTTGAACATTTTTAAAATTTCACAAAACTAACCAGCAAAGACAGTAAGCCAATCCTCCATTTACCCCCTTTCTGTCTTGGTTAAGGGCAGAGACACATGTCAGAGGGAGACTGCGTCCCATGTAGGGAGCTAATGTGTTCACTAGCTATTGCTTCTCGCAGGGTCGCAGCATCTACACTCACTTGCCTCATCCACACTGTCACGTTCAAAGACAAGAAATAATCCTGAAAGTAGATCCCAAGGCCAGAATGCAAAGGAATAGCCAGAAGCCCAGACCAGATCAGTGGGCTAAGGGTTTGTCAAAGGCAGAATCTGGTGACAGCTAGGGTGAGGGGGGCTTTGTCATTGGAAGCGAATCCATCGCCCATCTTCGTTGTCATCACGGTTTATGTTTTCCTTGGCCCTTAGGATCCAGAAGTTGCCACGGCTGCTAGTTGCGTCATCCAGTGGACACCTTTATATGTACAATTTGGATCCTCAGGATGGAGGAGAGTGTGTCTTAATCAAAACCCACAGGTGAAGAGACTGCTTTTCAAAAGACAGCCTTTCGAGAGCTGGTCGTGTAGAGTTGTCCCTTCGCCAAGAACGACAAGCTTCAGTGCCCTTGCATTGATTTGTTCTTCACTGGCAGTCTCAGTGGCAAACCTCTAGTGGGCAAGTGCTCTGCACCGGGCTCTGTGTCAGGTGCCCTCAGCATGTGGTAATCATCTGGAAAAGTGCCAGGATTAATAACACACAAGATGGTCTCCCCCTCAGCCTATGCTCCTAACACAGCCCTGAGCTCACAGTGGGTGTTCAAAAATATTCCCTGCCACCAGGTGTGGCGGCTCACACCTGTAATCCCGGCACTTTGGGAGGCCGAAGCGGGTGGATGGCTTGAGTCCAGGTGTTCAAGACCAGCCTGGGCAACATGGTGAAACCCCATCTATACCAAAAACAAATACAAAAATTAGCCGGTTGTGGTGGCACACACCTGTAGTCCCAGCTACTCAGGAGGCTGAGGTGGGAGAATCACCTGAGCCTGGAGAGGTTGAGGCAGTGAGCCATGATCACACCATTGCACTCCAGCCTGGACAACAGAGTGAGACCCTGTCTCAAAATAAAAAAAAAAAAAAACCTATTCCCTGCATGGAATTGAAAAGTGCTCTACCAGTCATGTTGACTCACGCCTGTAATCCCAATACTTTGGGAGGCCAAGGAGGGCGGATGGCTTGAGCTCAGGAGTTTGAGACCAGCCTGAGAAACATGGTGAAACCCCATCCTTACAAAAAGAAAAAATATAAAAATTAGCCAGGCATGGTGGTACATGCCTTGTAGTCCCAGCTACTTGGGAGGCAGAGGTGGGGGGATCACCTGAGCCCAGGAAGGTCAAGACTGCAGTAAGCTGTGGTCACACCACTGCACTGCAGCCTGGGCAACAGAGTGAGACCCTGTCTCAAAAAAGAAAAGAAAACAAAAGAAAAGCACTCATGCCTTCTGTGAACAGGCACAGACTGAGCTCTCCTGCTGTGGCCAGGGCACCAGAGCTGCCACCGCCCCCCACCGATGGCTGCTCTCCTTGCTAGCATGTCCTCACCTGTGTGTACTGGGAAGAGCAGAGGACTAATCTTTGTCTAGCCAATGTAAGAGAAAGAGGCCATTTTGACGGTGTGTGACTGCCCCTGGCAGTTGCAGGTCACTTCAGCTCATCCTGGCCCAGCAGCGTGTGGGTAGGTCTACAATTTAAACCCACAGAGTTGGCGGGCGGATCACCTGAGGTCAGGAGTTCGAGACCAGCCTGGCCAACATGGTGAAACCCAGTCTCTACTAAAAATACAAAAATTAGCCAGGCGCTGTGGTGGGTGCCTGTAGTCGCAGCTACTCGGGAGGCTGAGGCAGGAGAATCGCTTGAACCCAGGAGGCGGAGGTTGCAGTGAGCCGAGATTGCGCCACTGCACTCCAGCCTGGGCAATAGAGCAAGACCCTGCCTCAAAAATAAATAAATAACCCACAGAGCTGAGCACAGGCTTCTTCATGCTTTTCCTTTGGAAGGTGTCCTAGATATATGATGATTTCTTTTTTCTTTCACCTCCTCTTGATTGTCACAAGTAGCTTGCTTGGCTCAGGAACAACAGAAGAGAATAAAGAAAATGACCTCAGACCTTCCTTACCTCAGTCTTATGCAGCGACCGTAGCCAGACCAAGTGCATCTTCAGCCTCCACGGTGCCAGGTGGGTGGACACGGGGCCAACAGGGGAGCATCTCCAACAGTGACCTCCCTCCCCTTCTCCCTGCACGCTCCCTCCCCTTCCCCCTTCACTGTTACCTGGGGGTGGAGTGCCCTCCCTCCCCTTCCCCCTTCACTGTTACCTGGGGGTGGAGTGCTCTCCTTGAATTTTTTATTTTCTCACAGGTGAGGCCATGGTAATAGCCTTTAAACCTGGGACCCTCAACCTGGCAAGGCATCACACGATACGGTCTTTTTCCTAACAAGTGGTGTTAACCCTTTGCCTCTTCAAAAATTCCAATGAGGCCAGGCACATTGGCTCACACCTGTAATCCCAGCACTTTGGGAGGCTGAGGCCAGCGGATCACTGGAGGCCAGGGGTTTGAGACCAGCCTAGCCAACATGGTGAAACCCCATCTCTACTTAAAAAATAGAAAAATTAGCTGGGCATGTTGGCACACACTTGCAATCCCAGCTACTCCGGAGGCTGAGGCAGGAGAATTGCTTGAACCAGAGAGGCGGAGATTGCAGTGAGCTGAGATCATACCACTGCACTCCAGCCTGGGTGAAAGAGTGAGACTCTGTTTCAAAAAATAAAAACTAAACTAAAATTTCCAAAGAGCCTGTAGTCCTAGCCACTCAGGAAGTTAAATTGAGGCAGAAGGATCCCTTAGGCTCAGGAGTTCGAGACCAGCCTGGGCAACATACTGAGACCCTACCTCAACAAAGAAAAATTCAAAGAGGTAGGATGCCTCAGGCATCTGAAGTGGAAAGGCAGGTCAGGCTTAAAGATGGCAGATGGTGAGGATTATGACTTGTCCTAGGCACAGTACCTCCAGGGGGAAGACAGACAGCCCCTTTGCTTCCTTTGCCCTTTATTTGAGCCCCCGCTCCCCACCCGCCAGGTCATGGCATAAAAGCAGATCCCCAGTGCTTGTTTCATGTCTCTTTCTTGGTTTCCAGGTTATTCTGAGGACGGCGGGGCGCTGCGAGGAGAAGTTATTCCTGAACATGAGTTTGCGACGGGACCAGTGTGTCTTGATGATGAGAATGAGTTTCCTCCTGTGAGCATTAGGAACCCGTAACTGGGCGGCTCAGTCTGTGTGCTTAGAAGGAAACCTTCGCCTCATACGAGAGGCAGAGTCCCTTTCCCTGTTTTCTAATCTATAACAACTAATTCTCTGCTCTAGTATTTGGAAAGCCATAGGATATTTGTTGTACTGTGTGCTTCGAATCCTACAGAGTAGGCTTTAGGTGTCGAGCTAAACCCTGATGGCATTAGAGTCACCGAATACTAATCCAGGGAGTCTTGGTGGCCTCCCTCCAGCCAGAGGCCTGCGATCCCTTACTTTGCTTCTGTAGCACTGACTTTGCTGCCTGGAAGGTAGGAACACGTGACTTGTCTAAAACTTATTTTCCTGAGGCTCCCATGGATGCGTTTGCAGAATGCTGCCTTCCTTGTGCTGGAGGGGATGGTTTCAGAGGGCTGGGCTGTGTGTTCAGGACTCTGAGCTGAGTTGCTGCACTCTGTGAACCAGCTTGACCCTCACTTACCTGCAGCTCTGGCCGGCAGACCCGCACCTCCCCAGCAGTTGCAGACACTCATTAAGAAACAAGTGGCCGGGTGCGGTGGCTCACACCTGTAATCCCAGCACTTTGGGAGGCCGAGGCTGGAGGATTGCTTGAGCCCAGGAGTTAGAGACCAGCCTGGGCAACACAGCAAAACCCCATCTCCACCAAAAAAAAAAAAAAAAAAGAAAAGAAAAAATTAGCCGGGTGTGGTGTCACGTGCCTGTAGTCCCAGCTATTCGGGACGCTGAGATGGGAGGATCACCTGAGCCTGGGAGGTCGAGGCTGCAGTGAGCTCTGATTGTGCCACTGCACTCCAGCCTAGGTGAAAGAGTGAGACTCTATCTCAAAAAGAAAAGAAAAGCAATTGTGTGCTCTGTGGAGGGCAGCAGGTGCAGGGCAGGAGCTTGCCCGAGCACCTTTAGCTGGGTTTCCCAGCAACCTGCTCAGCCTGTTCCCACAGCTAGGGCCCTCGGGGCTGGCTGAGTGCTGGGCGTGGCTTCTTCCATCACCTGGAACTGAAGACAAGATTCCCTCCTGAGAGCCTGCTGGGGCTTCCTTAACTGCTGATTCTTCAGGCTCCCATCTGGAGTAACATATAGACCGCTCTTGTGAGCTTCAGTCAAAACATCCCAGATAGTCAACCTGAAATCATTTCGAGATGGAAGTACTGATTTGTTTTGTTTTGTTTTTGAGACGGAGTCTTGCTCTGTCACCCAGGCTGGAGTGCAGTGGTGTGATCTCGGCTCGCTGCAGCCTCTGCCTCCTGGGTTCAAGCAATTCTCCTGCCTCAGCCTCCCGAGTAGCTGCAATTACAGATGTGCGCCACCATGCCCAACTAATATTTTGTATTTTTAGTAGAGACGGGGTTTCACCATGTTGGTCACGCTGGTCTCAAACTCCTGACCTCAAGTGATCCACTCGTCTCGGCCTCCCAAAGTGCTAGGATTACAGGCGTGAACCGCCGCACCCGGCCGGAAGTAGTGTTTGGGCCAAGACTTGGAGCATCAGCTCCTAGAGCCAGAGAGGAGCTGCCACTTGGGCACTGAAACAATGTCCATTAGGCTTTGTTATGGAAACTTCTCCTGATCATTGTTTTGTGTCCATTGAGCTTCCAATTGTAAAAGGATGGAGTGCAGGTCTGGCTTCTTTCTCCCGCAGATCCGTGGAACCCTCTAGTGAGCACATTTGGCTTAGAAAACAAAGCTGCGGTGGGGCCCTGCATGCAGGGCTGGGGCTGTTGTTTTGTGATTTCCCACATCGGCTCTGCGGGTCGGTCGCAGCGTGAGCTTTTACATTTCTGGCTTTCAATAGGCAGGTTGTCAGAGACGTGGCTGGCAAGTGAAGTTTATATCTCAGTGGCGGAGAGCAGTTGTTCTTAAAAATACTAATTATAAACTTCAAAACCTCTGTTGGCATGCTGCCTAACTATAAACCAGTTGTTTTACCTTTGGGTTCTCATGGCCCCAACTGGCCTTAAAGGGCGTTCTTCTGCACCCTCAAGAGGCGGTGGTTATTTACCTGAAGTCGAGGCTTCCAGGATCCAGAGCACTCTAGGTCAGACACCGTGGGGACAAATGTGACCATTCTACTCTGTCAGGGTTTACCACATCCAGACACTCACTAGGTTCCGTTTCACTAATTTTGGTAAAAGTCTGTAACTACTATAAAATATTATTAGATTCTTAATTGTAATCGCAGTAAGCCTTGCAACCTCTTATAGTTACAGAATTGGGGTAATGTGGATATTAGTATCTAGGAGGTAGTTCCTTGCCAAAGAACCTGTATAAAATAATAGGTACCTTGTGCAGATCATTTATTTGGGGTAAAAAGGAAAAGGGGAGGTGCTTAATTGAAGAACCAGTAAGAAAGTTTGTCCTGAGGCCTGTGTGCCCATTCAGTGCCAGGAAGCTGGGCATGAGCCAGTTGTTTCTTCTCCCTCCTAAGGACCAAATGAGTGAAAGTTGGTTGAAATTGCATCAGGAATTCTTATTTATACGCAAGAAATACTTCCTGCCAGTGAGAGTGGTCACTGAACAAGGTCCCTAGAACAGGTGTTAGACCCTTGTGAGTGTCAAGCAGCCCCTGTGTGCAGGGCTGTGTCGTGGCAGCCACCAACCTCTCAGTCTGCCCTCCAGCCTGCAGGTAGATGGTGATGAGGGGCAGTGCTCCCACTAAGGCACTGTCTCAGTAGCAGGCAGGCTTCTCCATCTCACCATGTAAGGACCAGAGGCATGCATGCTCCTGGGATGCTCTATCAATATGGCCCATCTCAGTCATGCCTGAATTGGCAGAAATGTTCAGCGAGGGATGCTAGGGAACTTCCTCTCTGTCTCCTTATTCTGAATTGTCATGCCTATTGCAAATCTCTGTGCAGAATTCACATCTTTACTCACATTCCTTAAAATCTTCTAGGACCACAAAAGGCTCTTGGAGTCTCAGCTTGGTTAAAATCGCCTCTCTTGTAGTGACGAACAAACATAGGCTTGCCTGAGTAGTCTGCTACAGGAGCTCTGTGAGCCGCTGCCTTAAGAACGCGGGTCATCACTAGTGATCTTTTCAGAACACATACTGACACTTCCCTGCGTAGGATCACGCTTGCCTCCTTGGGATTTACTTTTGCTCTGAGAGCAGTGAAAGAAAAGAGACTTGATCATTTCTGGTGCCTTAGAAAGCTGCTACATTCGGGAGGATGAGAAGCTTTTGTTTCAGGAACAAGCCAACCTGTACAAGTCTCTGTATTTTGTGAGACTAGTCCCAATCTTGTGAGCAAGAGTCAGGAAATCAGGCCCAAGGGTATAAACTGACCTTCCCTTTTTTTTTTTTTTTTTTTTTTTTGAGATGATAGAGTCTCACTCTGTCCCTCAGGCTAGAATGTGTTGGCGTGATCTCCACTCACTGCAACCTCCACCTCCTAGGTTCAAGTGATTCTAGTGCCTCAGCCTCCCAAGTAGCTGGGGTTTCAGGCATGCTACCATGCCCAGCTAAATTTTGTATTTTTAGTAGAGACAGGATTTCACCATGTTGGCCAGGCTGGTCTCAAACTCCTGACCTCAGGTGATCACCCCCCTCAGCCTCCTAAAGTGCTGGGATTACAGGTGTGAGCCACTGCGCCCAGCCTAAACTGACTTTTTTTTTTTTGAGATGGAGTCTTGCTCCATCGCCCAGGCTGGAGTGCAGTGGTGCGATCTCGGCTCACTGCAGCCTCCACCTCCCCGGTTCAAGCGATTCTCTCCTGCCTCAGCCTCCCGAGTAGCTGGGATTACAGGTGAGCGCCACCATGCCCGGCTAATTTTTGTATTTTTTAGTAGCGATGGGGTTTCACCATGTTGGCCAGGCTGGTCTCAAACTCCTGACCTAGTGATCCACCCACCTCAGCCTCCCAAAGTTCTGGGATTACAGGCGTGAGCCACCGCGCCCAGCCTAAACTGACTTTTTAATAGTGATTGAGCAGTCCATGTTTACAAGTAAGATGAGCCTTTTAAAAATATATACATATACATATAAATACATACACACACACACAGAGACATTTTTATAGTCAGTATTTTCTAGAACTGTGTCATACTTGTCTACACCTAAATAAGCTGGGTGACCATTCTGTGGCCATGAGCGAGTTCAGACAGAAAAATTCCACAGTGCCCAGCCTCTCCCTGCTCACTCTGCATGGGCACAGACCTGTTGATAATGCACCTGCCTACCAGCCTCTTCCTGAGAAGAGTAAGGCCATTCTGTTTTGATTTTGGTAGATAATCTTGTGCCGTGGAAATCAGAAGGGCAAAACGAAGCAGTCATGATGAGAAGCACACCTCAGAAATCAGGACATCCCCCCTATCAGGTGGTTTTGGAGAAAACAAGGAAGGCGGAAGAATGGAGTGCAATTGTGTGAGCAGAAAGGGGGGCAGGAATCCCGGGTGCTCCACTGCTTAAACCACAGGACCTGGTTAACTCCTCACCAAGCTTCCCACGACCCTGGTTGCCAATGGGCGCGGGAGACATTGTATACACATCATGCTATTTAAAATACGTTCAAACTATAGTGTAAATGCTAATTAACCATATTGGTATATAACCGGAATTTTATATTAAAAGGGGCCTCCTTTTTAAATATATGCCGTGTAAAAAATGTACTTATAGGAACATCTCTTTGAATTGTATTTCTTGTATATTACATACTTAGAGAGAGACTCTTTTAGCCAGGCAAAGTCTTTTTTGGCTGTGGCTGGAATAAATCATTTATTACTTGGGAGTCCCATTTTGGACACTAATAATAAAATCATGGCAATGCATTTTTGAGGTTTTTATATATTTTTTTGTTTCCTTGTGGTTATAGGGGACAGGAGGAACTCTTTAACTTCTTTTAAATGCAGTCATTTCACCCTTAAAAGGAGAGGAAGGGGATTGGGCCACAGACTTATCCATGGACTCGTCTGCTCTGAGATCTGGAAAACGACCTAACTTTGGTCTAAATCTGTGCTCCTCAAGGCATTGTTTGATAGAAATGTAGGATTTCAGGATCTACTCGAGCCCTACTGAGACGGAATCCGGATTCTCACAAGATCCCAGGTGATTTGTTTGCATATTAAAGATGGAGACCAGTGAGTACACTGGTTTGTGGAAGGAAAAAAAGAGAAAAGAGAGAGAAGCTCTGCCCTAAATACTAATTAGAATGGATTTACACCAAAATGACCAGAGAAACTGGGAACCAGAGAAACAAGGAAACTAAAATGTATTGAATGTCTGCTCTGTGTCAGGTAATTTGCCAGGCATTTTCATGTATGCCTTTATTTAACCCTCAAAATCAACTTGCAGGTTAGGTTAAACAATTGCCCAAGTTCAAAAGCTGGAGCTGGCACCTGTGCCTGACTCCAAAGCCCGTGTGCTTCCCATTAAGGCACACTCCCTGCCCAGAGCCAGCGCAGCTCAGCTGCTCTCGGGTCGGCGTGGAGGAGGGACAGGATACAGAAGGGATATGCAAGGCTAACTCCAAAACTAAACTCCAAGACTAAACTAAAGCGTGTGTTTGTAAAGAGGGTAAAAATGAAATTTGGAAGCAAACTTGCCTAATTTCCAGGTACTCCTCCTCGTGGAATAAAAATTGGTCTGTTATGCGGCTTGACAGCGGCAGGCAATTTGGTAGGGATTACAGCAGGGAGTTACTGAAGGGTCCTGAGTGTAATCTGCGCTGGAGATGTTGTCGTTGGCAATGTCTTGGAGGACGTCTGCAAGAACCTTTCTGACCTCGGGCAGCACAGCCTGGTACTCCGCACCACCTCTTTCTAGGGGCACAGCTTCTGCGGTATCGTCTTCCAGGTTGAAAATCAGAGGAAACTTATGCTGCAGCTCAGGCCCCGTGCTCCCATCACACGCCCTGGCTCCACCTAGAGAGGGAATGACAACAAATGCCTCGCTAACCCTGACAGTTGCCCTGTGTTGTAAAGACGAGAGCTGCGAGTGATTCTACATTAATTCAAACATACCAGATAACCAAATGTTCCAATGATGGCTCTCTCTGTCAAAGAAATATTACCTTGAGAATCTATTTGCTCCTTCCAGTGATGATCCTGTGGTCCAAAATGTTTTGCTTTTTTCATTTCTGTTTTTGTTTTTTGAGGCAGGGTCTGGCTTCGTTGCCCAGGCTGGAATGCAGTAGCGTGATCCTAGCTCACTGCAGCTTCAGCCTTTTTGGGCTCAAGTGATCCTCCCACTTCAGCCTCCCAAGTAGATGGGGCTACAGGCATGCACCACCACGCCCAACTTTTTTTTTTTTTTTCCAGAGACAGGGTCCCGCTATGTTCCTCAAGCTGGTCTCAAACTCCTGGCCTCAAGCAATCCTCCTGTCCCAGCCTCCCAAAATGCTGGGATTATCAGCAGGAACCACTGCAGCCACACTAAAATGATTTGGAAGTTCTCCTTGAACTCGCCTTCAGGGCCAGTAGAACATTCATTCAAGTATCTTTATTGACACAAAATCAGGATATAATTATTTTTTCAAGTTGGAGTCTCGCTCTGTCACCCAGGCTGGAGTGCAATGGCACAATCTTCAGCTCACTGCAACCTCTGCCTCCCAGGTTCAAGCAATTCTCCTGCCTCAGCCTCCTGAGTAGCTGGGATCACAGGCACCTGCCACCACGCTCGGCTAATTTTTGTATTTTTAGTAGAGATGGCGTTTCACCATATTGGCCAGGCTGGTCTGTTGGCCAGGCTGGTCTCGAACTCCTAACCTCATGATCTGCCCACTTCGGCCTCCCAAAGTGCTGGGATTACAGGCGTGAGCCACCACACCAGCCAGGATATAATTTTTTAAAGTATCTTTAACCTCTGCCCTTTAGGAGTAAATTTGATTTTTTTGAAAATCGATTTCTTGACTACCAATTGGTGAATCAAGTAGAAAGGCAGGTGAGTCATTTCACTTTGGGTTGAAGATGACAGTCTTACGTGGATTCGAATCTGGCTGTGAAAGCCATCCAGAAGAGGAAGGACAAAAATGTTTGGAATGATAGCAGCTTCCTTGGCTCTTTATGATTCCGATGACTTTTTTTTTTTTTTTTTGGCTTTGCTATAGAAAAAGCAGTTAAGGGTCTGATGGAAATAAATATGACATAATTAAATAAACAAAGGGAATTAAAGCAAAAGATAGCCCTCAAAATTACAAGAGTTCCTAAACACTGACTTTGCTTCTGAGCTTAGCAGCAGCCAAACATTAATGAGATAGAAACTTATCAGTTGCTCAGGAGAAGCAGAGCTTTTTCTGGCACTAAAATCTGAGAGAAATTCTTCCAGTGGCTCCTTCTCCTACAGGGGACCCTGTAGGATGGAATGCTCACTGGCATTCTTATGAAAAATAAAACTGAGATTAGGATGGTTCCACTGACGACTTCTTATCACATCCTTTACTATATGATGAGGGCAGATGCCAACATGCAACTCAATACAAGGAAGTCTATAGGGGCAAAGCCATACCACCTAAGGATTCAGCCTTCTGGTCCAATCTGGCCAGAAATAAAATTTGAAATATTTAGGAGAATGGGTAGATCTCAAAGCCTTTAGACAACCCTTTTTTATTACTGGTTTTCCACCTGTGGCTGAGAGTCAAGTTGATCAGTAGAGATTAATAGTTGTTGTCTTTGCCTACAGTTTGGAATAGAATTTGATTATTCTTCATTGCCAGTACAGGGCAGTGACATGAGCTTTGACAAACAGTTCATGCTAGGAGTAGAGACTGTGTCCCAGGACTGAGGGATCTGCCTAAGATCAAGGGAAAAATCTGAAAGACTCGTCCTAACAAAGTGTAAAACTAAGGCTTTATAAGTTCAAGGGAACTGACTACTGATTAGCTGCCAGTGAAAACAAAAATCAACACTCTCAGGTAACAGAAATCAGAATTGCTACAATGCATCACCAACAATGTCCAGCTTACAATTTTTAAGGACGACTAAATAGGAGACTCCCAGTTTCTAGTCTGGCACATAAGGAGGTCGGCAGTCATCACTTCATTCTAACAAGTAAAAAGCTGAACAAACTAAAAAATCAACAACTCAGCCGGGTGTGGTGGCTCACGCCTGTAATCCCAGCAGTTTGGGAGGTTGAGGCAGGCGGATCATGAGGTCAGGAGTTTGAGACCAGTCTGGCCAACATGGTAAAACCCCGTCTCTACTAAAAATATAAAAAATTATCTGGGCATGGTGGTGGGCACCTGTAATCCCGGCTACCTGGGAGGCTGAGGCAGGAGAACCACGTGAACCTGGGAGCCGAGATCGTGCCACTGCACTCCAGCCCAGGCAACAATGTGAGACTCCATCTCAAAAAAAAAAAAAAAAAAAAAAAAAAAAAAAATTCAGCAACTCTTATTAGGTCTTTTGGAGAAGTGAAGTCACAGGGCAAACTACTGCCCCCAAAATTAGAGAGACAGACAAGCAAATAGAAACAATCACAACTTAACAGAGCAGAAACCCACAAGCAGAAACCTCTGCAAGAACCAGTGCCAGGAGTAGGGAAGCCCTGAACTGTAATTGACAAATTGCTGGAGGCTCAGTGTGGACAAGTCTGAGAGATGAAAAACTCCAGTGGGGCCCAGTTATCAAGCGCCACCCCCCACCGCGGCACCCAAAACACAACACACTTTTGTGAGTTTTACCTCCAGGAGCTCAACCAAGTTCTTACAGTAAATACTGGAGAAAAATCTCTTCATCCTTCCAAAAGGGGTAGGAGAAAAGTAATTTTTAAATATACCAAAACATTCTAGTTTTCTTAACAAGGCCTGCCCTCAGGAGAAACTAATTTACCAGAGCTTAAATTACTTAGGTTTTTCTCACAGCCTAACTGACCTAAGGGTAGGGGGATACCCAGCTCTAGCCACTCTAGCTGTTCCACCTAAGGGGAGGGAAGGGATAGACTAAGAAGCACTTGTGAAGTTCACAGTCCAAGGGCCCAGGCTCACCAAAACTACTAAGACTTAATAATAACCTACCCAAATGAGAAGGAACCAGAAAACCAACTCTGGTAATTAATATGACAAAACAAGGCTCTTTGACACTCCCCAAAAAATCACACTAGCTCACCAGCAATGGATCCAAACCAAGAAAAAAATCCCTGATTAACCTGAAAAAGAATTCAGGAGGTTAGTTATTAAGCTAATTAGGGAGGCACCAGAGAAAGGTGAAGCCCAATGCAAGGAAATCCAAAAATCAATACAAGAAGTGAAGGGAGAAATATTCAAGGAAATAGATAGAATAAAGAAAAAACAGTTAAAACATCAGGAAACATTGGACATACTTCTAGTAATGCAAAATGCTCTGGAAAGTCTCAGCAATAGAATTGAACAAGTAGAAGAAAGAAATTCAGAGCTCGAAGACAAGGTCTTTGACTTAACCCAATCCAACAAAGACAAAGGAAAAAGAATAAGAAAATATGAACAAAGCCTCCAAGAAGGCTGGGATTATGTTAAACGACCAAATCTAAGAATAATTGGTGTTCCTGAGGAAGAAGAGAAATCTAAAAGTTTGGAAAACATATTTGGGGGAATAATCAAGGAAAACTTCCCTGGCCTTGCTAGAAACCTAGACATCCAAATACAAGAAGCTCAAAGAACACCTGGGAAATTCATTGCAAAAACATCACCAGGTAACCTATAAAGAAAAACATGAGACAAAAATACCAGGTATCCTATAAAGGAAAACCTATCAGGATTAACAGCAGATACCCTACAAGCTAGAAAGGACTGGGGCCATATCTTCAGCCTCCTCCATCAAAACAATTATCAGCCAAGAATTCTGTATCCAGCAAAAATAAGCGTCATATATGAAAGAAGGATACAAACAAATGCTGAGAAAATTCACCACTACCAAGTCACCACTACAAGAACTGCTAAAAGGAGCTCTAAATCTTGAATCAAATCCTGGAAACACATCAAAATGGAACCTCTTTAAAGCATAAAGCTCACAGGACCTATAAAACAAAAATACAATTTGAAAAGCAAAAACAAAAAAACCAAGGCACATGGGCAACAAATAGCATGAGGAATGGAATGGTACTTCACATCTCAATATTAACACTGAATGTAAATGGTCTAAATGCTCCACTTAAAAAAATACAAAACAGCAGAATGGATAAGATCACCAACCAACCATCTGCTGCCTTCGGGAGACTCATCTAACATATAAGGACTCGCATACATTTAAAGTAAAGGGGTAGAAAAAGATATTTCATGCAAATGAACACCAAAAGTAAGCAGGGGTAGCTATCTTATATCAGACAAAACCAACTTTAAAGCAACGGCAGTTAAAAAAGACAGAGACATTATACAATGGTAAAAGGCCGTGTCCAACAGGAAAACATCACAATCCTAAACATATATGCTCCTAACACTGGAGCTCCCAAATTTATAAAATAATTACTAATAACGTAAGAAATGAGATAGACGGCAACACAATAATAGTGGGGGACTTCAATACTCCACTGACAGCACTAGACAGGTCATCAAGAAAGAAAGTCAACAAAGAAACAATGGATTTAAACTATACCTTGTAACAAATGGACTTAACAGATATATACAGAACATTCCAACCAACAACTGCAGAATACACATTCTATTCAGTAGTGCATGGAACTTTCTCCAAGACAGACCATACAATAGGCCACAAAATGAGCCTCAATAAATTTAAGAAAATTGAAATTATATCAAGCACTCTCTCAGACCACAGTGGAATAAAACTGGAAATCCATTCCAAAGGAACCTTCAGAACCATGCAAATACATGGAAATTATATAACCTGCTCCTAAATGATCATTGAGTCAAAAATGAAATCAAGATGGAAATTTAAAAGTTCTTCAAACTGAATAATAGTGACACAACCTATCAAAACCTCTGGGATACAGCAAAGGAGGGGCTAAGGGGAAAGTTCATAGCCTTAAATGCCTACATCAAAAAGACTGAAAGAGCACAAACTGACATTCTAAGGTCATACCTCAAGGAACTAGAGAAACAAGAACAAACAAAACCCAGCAGACAAAAGGAAATAACCAAGATCAGAGCAGAACTAAATGAAATTGAAACAAAAAAATAAAAAAGATAAATGAAACACAAAGCTGGTTCTTTGAAAATATGAATAAAATTGATATGCTGTTAGCAAGATTAACCAAGAAAAGAAGAGAGAAAATCCAAATAAACTCAATAAGAAACAAAACAGGAGATATTACAACAGACATCACAAAAATACAAAAGATCATTCAAGGCTACTATGAACACCTTTGCATTTAAACTAAAAAACCTAGAAGAGATGGATAAATTCCTGGAAAAATACAACCCTCCTAGCTTAAATCAGGAAGAATTAGATACCCTGAACAAACCAATAACAAGCAGCGAGATTAAAATGGTAATTTTTAAATTACCAACAACAACAACAACAAAAGTCTAGGACCAGATGGATCCACAGCAGAATTCCACCAGACATTCAAAGAAGAATTGGTACCAACCCTTTTGACACTATTCCACATGACAAAGAGGGAACCCTCCCTAATTCATTCTATGAAGCCAGAATCACCCTAATACTACAACCAGGAAAGGACATAACCAAAAAAGAAAACTACAGACTGATATCCCTCATGAACATAGATGCTAAAATCCTTAACAAAATACTAGCTAACTGAATCCAACAACATATCAAAAAGATAATTCACCATAATCAAGGGGGTTTCATACCAGGGATGCAAGGATAGTTTAACATATACCAATAAATGTGATATGTCAATAAATGTGATACACCACATAAACAGAATTAAAAACAAAAATCACATGGTCATCTCAATAGATGCAGTAAAAGCATTTGACAAAATCCAGCATCGCTTTATGATTAAAACTCAGCAAAATCGGCATACAAGGGACATACCTCAATGTAATAAAAGCCATCTATAAGAAACCCACAGCCAGGGGGAGGAGCCAAGATAGCCGAATAGGAACAGCTCCGGTCTACAGCTCCCAGCGTTGAGCGACGCAGAAGACGGGTGATTTCTGCATTTCCATCTGAGGTACCGGGTTCATCTCACTAGGGAGTGCCAGACAGTGGGCGCAGGTCAGTGGGTGCGCGCACCGTGCGCGAGCCGAAGCAGGACGAGGCATTGCCTCACTCGGGAAGCTCAAGGGGTCAGGGAGTTCCCTTTCCTAGTCAAAGAAAGGGGTGACAGACGGCACCTGGAAAATCGGGTCACTCCCACCCGAATACTGCGCTTTTCCGACAGGCTTAAAAAACGGCGCACCAGGAGATTACATCCCTTACCTGGCTCGGAGGGTCCTACGCCCACGGAGTCTCGCTGATTGCTAGCACAGCAGTCTGAGATCAAACTGCAAGGCGGCAGCGAGGCTGGGGGAGGGGCGCCTGCCATTGCCCAGGCTTGATTAGGTAACCAAAGCAGCCGGGAAGCTCGAACTGGGTGGAGCCCACCACAGCTCAAGGAGGCCTGCCTGCCTCTGTAGGCTCCACCTCTGGGGGCAGGGCACAGACAAACAAAAAGACAGCAGTAACCTCTGCAGACTTAAATGTCCCTGTCTGACAGCTTTGAAGAGAGCAGTGGTTCTCCCAGCACGCAGCTGGAGATCTGAGAACGGGCAGACTGCCTCCTCAAGTGGGTCCCTGACCCCCGAGCAGCCTAACTGGGAGGCACCCCCCAGCAGGGGCAGACTGACACCTCACAGGGCCCAGTACTCCAACAGACCTGCAGCTGAGGGTCCTGTCTGTTACAAGGAAAACTAACAAACAGAAAGGACATCCACACCAAAAACCCATCTGTACATCACCATCATCAAAGACCAAACGTAGATAAAACCACAAAGATGGGGAAAAAACAGAGCAGAAAAACTGGAAACTCTAAAAAGCAGAGCGCCTCTCCTCCTCCAAAGGAACGCAGTTCCTCACCAGCAACGGAACAAAGCTGGACAGAGAATAACTTTGACGAGCTGAGAGAAGAAGGCTTCAGACGATCAAATTACTCTGAGCTATGGGAGGACATTCAAACCAAAGGCAAAGAAGTTGAAAACTTTGAAAAAAATTTAGAAGAATGTATAACTAGAATAACCAATACAGAGAAGTGCTTAAAGGAGCTGATGGAGCTGAAAACCAAGGCTTGAGAACTACGTGAAGAATGCAGAAGCCTCAGGAGCCGGTGCGATCAACTGGAAGAAAGGGTATCAGCGATGGAAGATGAAATGAATGAAATGAAGCGAGAAGGGAAGTTTAGAGAAAAAAGAATAAAAAGAAATGAGCAAAGCCTCCAAGAAATATGGGACTATGTGAAAAAACCAAATCTACGTCTGATTGGTGTACCTGAAAGTGACGGGGAGAATGGAACCAAGTTGGAAAACACTCTGCAGGATATTATCCAGGAGAACTTCCCCAATCTAGCAAGGCAGGCCAACATTCAGATTCAGGAAATACAGAGAACGCCACAAAGATATTCCTCAAGAAGAGCAACTCCAAGACACATAATTGTCAGATTCACCAAAGTTGAAATGAAGGAAAAAATGTTAAGGGCAGCCAGAGAGAAAGGTCAGGTTACCCTCAAAGGGAAGCCCATCAGACTAACAGTGGATCTTTCGGCAGAAACTCTACAAGCCAGAAGAGAGTGGGGGCCAATATTCAACATTCTCAAAGAAAAGAATTTTCAACCCAGAATTTCATATCCAGCCAAACTAAGCTTCATAAGTGAAGGAGAAATAAAATACTTTACAGACAAGCAAATGCTGAGAGATTTTGTCACCACCAGGCCTGCCCTAAAAGAGCTCCTGAAGGAAGCACTAAACATGGAAAGGAACAACCGGTACCAGCCACTGCAAAATCATGCCAAAATGTAAAGGCCATCGAGACTAGGAAGAAACTGCATCAACTAACGAGCAAAATAACCAGCTAACATCATAATGACAGGATCAAATTCACATGTAACAATATTAACTTTAAATGTAAATGGACTAAATGCTCCAATTAAAAGACACAGACTGGCAAATTGGATAAAGAGTCAAGACCCATCAGTGTGCTGTATTCAGGAAACCTATCTCACCTGCAGAGACACACATAGGCTCAAAATAAAAGGATGGAGGAAGATCTACCAAGCAAATGGAAAACAAAAAAAGGCAGGGGTTGCAATCCTAGTCTCTGATAAAACAGACTTTAAACCAACAAAGATCAAAAGAGACAAGGCCATTACATAATGGTAAAGGGATCAATTCAACAAGAAGAGCTAACTATCCTAAATATATATGCACCCAATACAGGAGCACCCAGATTCATAAAGCAAGTCCTGAGTGACCTACAAAGAGACTTAGACTCCCACACATTAATAATGGGAGACTTTAACACCCCACTGTCAACATTAGACAGATCAACAAGACAGAAAGTCAACAAGGATACCCAGGAATTGAACTCAGCTCTGCACCAAGCGGACCTAACAGACATCTACAGAACTCTCCACCCCAAATCAACAGAATATACATTTTTTTCAGCACCACACCACACCTATTCCAAAATAGACCACATACTTGGAAGTAAAGCTCTCCTCAGCAAATGTAAAAGAACAGAAATTATAACAAACTATCTCTCAGACCACAGTGCAATCAAACTAGAACCCAGGATTAAGAATCTCACTCAAAACCGCTCAACTACATGGAAACTGAATAACCTGCTCCTGAATGACTACTGGGTACATAATGAAATGAAGGCAGAAATAAAGATGTTCTTTGAAACCAACAAGAACAAAGACACAACATACCAGAATCTCTGGGATGCATTCAAAGCAGTGTGTAGAGGGAAATTTATAGCACTAAATGCCCACAAGAGAAAGCAGAAAAGATCTAAAATTGACACCCTAACATCACAATTAAAAGAACCAGAAAAGCAAGAGCAAACACATTCAAAAGCTAGCAGAAGGCAAGAAATAACTAAAATCAGAGCAGAACTGAAGGAAATAGAGACACAAGAAACCCTTCAAAAAATCAGTGAATCCAGGAGCTGGTTTTTTGAAAGGATCAACAAAATTGATAGACCGCTAGCAAGACAAATAAAGAAAAAAAGAGAGAAGAATCAAATAGATGCAATAAAAAATGATAAAGGGAATATCACCACTGATCCCACAGAAATACAAACTACCATCAGAGAATACTACAAACACCTCTATGCAAATAAACTAGAAAATCTAGAAGAAATGGATAAATTCCTCGACACATACACTCTCCCAAGACTAAACCAGGAAGAAGCTGAATCTCTGAATAGACCAATAACAGGATCTGAAATTGTGGCAATAATCAATAGTTTACCAACCAAAAAGAGTCCAGGACCAGATGGATTCGCAGCTGAATTCTACCAGAGGTAGAAGGAGGAACTGGTACCATTCCTTCTGAAACTATTCCAATCAATAGAAAAAGAGGGAATCCTCCCTAACTTATTTTTTGAGGCCAGCATCATCCTGATACCAAAGCCAGGCAGAGACACAACCAAAAAAGAGAATTTTAGACCAATATCCTTGATGAACATTGATGCAAAAATCCTCAATAAAATACTGGCAAACCGAATCCAGCAGAACATCAAAAAGCTTATCCACCATGATCAAGTGGGCTTCATCCCTGGGATGCAAGGCTGGTTCAATATACGCAAATCAATAAATGTAATCCAGCATATAAACAGAACCAAAGACAAAAACCACATGATTATCTCAATAGATGCAGAAAAGGCCTTTGACAAAATTCAACAACCCTTCATGCTAAAAACTCTCAATAAATTAGGTATTGATGGGACATATTTCAAAATAATAAGAGCTATCTATGACAAACCCACAGCCAATATCATACTGAATGGGCAAAAACTGGAAGCATTCCCTTTGAAAACTGGCACAAGACAGGGATGCCCTCTCTCACCACTCCTATTCAACATAGTGTTGGAAGTTCTGGCCAGGGCAATTAGGCAGGAGAAGGAAATAAAGGGTATTCAATTAGGAAAAGAGGAAGTCAAATTGTCCCTGTTTGCAGACGACATCATTGTATATCTAGAAAACCCCATTGTCTCAGCCCAAAATCTCCTTAAGCTGATAAGCAACTTCAGCAAAGTCTCAGGATACAAAATCAATGTACAAAAATTACAAGCATTCTTATACACCAACAACAGACAAACAGAGAGCCAAATCATGAGTGAACTCCCATTCACAATTGCTTCAAAGAGAATAAAATACCTAGGAATCCAACTTACAAGGGATGTGAAGGACCTCTTCAAGGAGAACTACAAACTGCTGCTCAAGGAAATAAAAGAGGATACGAACAAATGGAAGAATATTCCATGCTCATGGGTAGGAAGAATCAATATCGTGAAAATGGCCATACTGCCCAAGGTAATTTACAGATTCAATGCCATCCCCATCAAGCTACCAATGACTTTCTTCACAGAATTGGAAAAAACTACTTTAAAGTTCATATGGAACCAAAAAAGAGCCCGCATCGCCAAGTCAATCCTCAGCCAAAAGAACAAAGCCGGAGGCATCACACTACCTGACTTCAAACTATACTACAAGGCTACAGTAACCAAAACAGCATGGTACTGGTACCAAAACAGAGATATAGATCAATGGAACAGAACAGAGCCCTCAGGAATAACGCCGCATATCTACAACTATCTGATCTTTGACAAACCTGAGAAAAACAAGCAATGGGGAAAGGATTCCCTATTTAATAAATGGTGCTGAGAAAACTGGCTAGCCATATGTAGAAAGCTGAAACTGGATCCCTTCCTTACACCTTATACAAAAATCAATTCAAGATGGATTAAAGACTTAAACGTTAGACCTAAAACCATAAAAACCCTAGAAGAAAACCTAGGCATTACCATTCAGGACATAGGCATGGGCAAGGACTTCATGTCTAAAACACCAAAAGCAATGGCAACAAAAGCCAAAATTGACAAATGGGATCTAATTAAACTAAAGAGCTTCTGCACAGCAAAAGAAACTACCATCAGAGTGAACAGGCAACCTACAAAATGGGAGAAAATTTTCACAACCTACTCATCTGACAAAGGGCTAATATCCAGAATCTACAATGAACTCAAACAAATTTACAAGAAAAAAACAACCCCATCAAAAAGTGGGCGAAGGACATGAACAGACACTTCTCAAAAGAAGACATTTATGCAGCCAAAAAACACATGAAAAAATGCTCACCATCACTGGCCATCAGAGAAATGCAAATCAAAACCACAGTGAGATACCATCTCACACCAGTTAGAATGGCAATCATTAAAAAGTCAGGAAACAACAAGTGCTGGAGAGGATGTGGAGAAATAGGAACACTTTTACACTGTTGGTGGGACTGTAAACTAGTTCAACCATTGTGGAAGTCAGTGTGGCGATTCCTCAGGGATCTAGAACTAGAAATACCATTTCACCCAGCCATCCCATTACTGCGTATATACCCAAAGGACTATAAATCATGCTGCTTTAAAGACACATGCACACGTATGTTTATTGCAGCATTATTCACAATAGCAAAGACTTGGAACCAACCCAAATGTCCAACAATGATAGACTGGATTAAGAAAATGTGGCCCATATACACCATGGAATACTATGCAGCCATAAAAAATGATGAGTTCATGTCCTTTGTAGGGACATGGATGAAATTGGAAATCATCATTCTCAGTAAACTATTGCAAGAACAAAAAACCAAACACCACATCTTCTCACTCATAGGTGGGAATTGAACAATGAGAACACATGGACACAGGAAGGGGAACATCACACTCTGGGGACTGTTGTGGGGTGGGGGGAGGGGGGAGGGATAGCATTGGGAGATATGCCTAATGCTAGATGACGAGTTAATGGGTGCAGCACACCAGCATGGCACATGTATACATATGTAACTAACCTGCACATTGTGCGCATGTACCCTAAAACTTAAAGTATAATAATAATAAAAAAAGAAATATGTAGAGAGTGTTTAGTTAATGCCAAAGGCTAGTGCACATTTGTTTTGCATAAGGAATAAATAATGCTTAATAAACAGTAATTTGCACCAATAAAAAAAAAAAAAAGAAACCCACAGCCAACATAATACTGAATGGGGAAAAGCTGATATCACTCCCTCTGAGAACTGAAACAAGAAAAGGATGCCCACTGTCACCACTCCTCTTCAACATACTACTGGAAGTCCTAGCCAGAGCAAGACAAGAGAAAGAAGTAAAGGGCATTCAAATCAGTAAAAGGGCATTCAAATCAGTAAAGAGGAAGTCAAACTCTCACTGTTTGCTGACAATATGATTGTTTACCTCGAAAACCCTAAAGACTCCTCCAGAAAGCTCCTAGAACTGATAACAGAATTCAGCTAAGTTTCTAGAAACAAGATTAATGTACACAAATCAGTAGCTCTTCTATACACCAACAGCAACCAAGCGGAGAGTCAAATCAAGAAGTCAACCCCTTTTACAATAGCTGAAAAAAAAAAAAACTTAGGAATATACCTAACCAAGGAGGTGAAAGACCTCTGCAAGGAAAACTACAAAACACTGCTGAAAGAAATCATAGATGACACAAACAAATGGAAACACATCTCATGCTCATGGATGGGTAGAATCAATATTGTGAAAATGACCATACTGCTAAAAACAATCTACAAATCCAACACAATCCCCATCAAAATACCACCATCATTCTTCACAGAATTAGAAAAATTCATACAAAAACAAAAAAGAGCTTGCATAGCCAAAGCAAGACTAAGCAAAAAGAACAAATCTGGAGGCATCACACTACCTGATTTCAAACTATACTATAAAGCCATAATCACCAAAACAGCATAGTACTGGTATAAAAATAGGCACATAGACCAATGGAACAGAATAGAGAACCCAGAAATAAACCCAAATAATTACAGCCAGCTGATCTTCGACAAAGCCAACACAAACATAAAGTGGGGAAAGGACACCCTTTTCAACAAACGGTGCTGGGATAATTGGCTAGCCACATGTAGGAGAATGAAACTGGATCCTCATCTCTCACCTTATACAAAAATCAACTCAACATGGATTAAGAACTTAAATCTAAGACCTGAAACTATAAAAATTCTAGAAGATAACATTGGAAAAGCCCTTCTAGACATTGGCTTAGGCAAGGATTTCATGAACAAGAACCCAAAAGCAAATGCAATAAGAACAAATATAAATAGCTAGGACATAATTAAACTAAAGATCTTTTGCACAGCAAAAGGAACAGTCAGCAGAGTAAACAGCCCACACAGTGGGAGAAAATCTTCACAATCTATACATCTGACAAAGGACTAATATCCAGAACCTACAAGGAACTCAAACAAATCAGCAAGAAAGAAACAATACCATCAAAAAGTGAGCTAAGCACATGAATAGACAAGCCTCAAAAGTATACAAATGGCCAACAAACATGAAAAAATGCTTAATGTCACTAATGATCAGAGAAATGCAAATCAAAACCACAATATGATACCACCTCATTCCTGCAAGAATAGCCATAATCAAAAAATCAAAAAACAGTAGATGTTGGCATGGATACGGTGAACAGGGAACACTTCTACACTGCTGATGGGAATGTAAACTAGTATAGCCGCTATGGAAAACAGATTCCTTAAAGAACTAAAAGCTGAACTACCATTTGATCCAGCAATCCCACTACTGGGTATCTACCCAGAGGACAAGAAGTCATTGTACGAAAAAGATACTTGCACACACATATTTATAGCAGCACAATTTGCAATTGCAAAAATGTGGAACCAGCCCAAATGTCCATCAATCAATGAGTGGATAAAGAAACTGTGATATATATATAATGGAATACTGCTCAGCCATAAAAAGGAATGAATCAACAGCATTTGCAGCAACCTGGGTGAGACTGGAGGCTATTATTCTAAGTGAAGTAACTCAGAAATGAAAAACCAAACATCGTATGTTCTCACTGATATGTGGGAGCTAAGTTATGAGGAGGACATAAAAGCATAAGAATGACACAGTGGACTTTGGGGACTTGGGGGTAAAGTGGGAGGGGGCAAGGGATGAAAGACTACAAATAGGGTGCAGTGTATACTGCTTGGGTGATGGGTGCACCAAAATTTCACAAATCACCGCTAAAGAACTTACTCATGTAACCAAACACCACGTGTATCCCAATAACCCATGGAAAAATAAAAAATAAATAAAGTGAAATGGTAGGAAAAGATTTTCCATGCAAATAGTAACCAAAAGATAGCAAGAGTGGTTGTACTAATATCATACAAAATAGACTTTAAATTTTAAAAAGGGTTATAAGAGACAAAGAGAAGGACATAATATATTAATAAAAGTTTCAATGCCATTTTTGCCATTTCTGTTCCACATAGTACTGGACATTCCAGCCAGAGCAATTCGGCAAGAAAAAGAAATAAAAAGCATCCAAATTGGAATGGAGGAAGTAAAATGACCTCCTTCAGATATGATATAATCTTATATGTAGAAAACCTAAATATTCCACATAAAAACAGAACTAATAAAGGAATTCAGCAAAATGGCAGGATTGAAATTCAGAACACAAAGCCAGTTATATTTCTATACACTAACAGTGAACAATCTGAAAACGAAATTGTGAAAACAACTTCATTTACAATGGCATCAAAAAGAGTAAAATAGGAATTAACACAAAAAAGTGAAAGACTTGCATAATGAAAACCATAAAATATAGCTGAAAGACATTAAAGAAGACATAAACAAATGGTTACATCCCATGTTCATGGATTGGAAGACTTAATATTGTTAAAATGTCAATACTACCCCAAGTGGTCTACAGGTTCAGTACAATCCTTATCAAAATCCTGATGATGTTTTTTGCAGAAATAGAAAAAGCCATCCTAAAATTCACATGGAATCTCAGAGGACCCAGAAATAGTCAAAACAGTCTAAAAAAAAAAAAAAAAAAAAAGCCCAAAGCTGTAGGACTCACACTCCTGATTTCAAAACTGCAACAAGTCTACAGTAATTAAAACAGTGTGGTACTGGCATAAACATAGACATATAACTAATGAAATAGAATAGACAGTGGAAATTATCCCTCACATGTATGATCAAATGATTTTTAACAAGGGTGCCAAGACCATTCAATGGGGAAAGGACAGTGTTTTCAATAAATGATGCTGGGAAAACTGGATGTCAACATGTAAAACAATGAAGTTGGACCCTTACTTATGCCACATACAAAAATTAACTGGAAATGGATCAGAGATCTAAATATAAGACCTAAAATACTAACACTCTTTTTAAAAATATGACAAAATCTTCACAACAATGAATTTGGCAAATCATTTCACAGATGAATTCAATCAAACATGAAAGAAATAATACTGATCTTCCACAAACCCTTTCAGAAAATAGAGAAGGGAATATTTCTCAACTCATTTTATAAGGCCAGCAAAATCCTGATACCAAACCTTGACATAGACAAGAAAGGAAAATTATAGACAAAATCTTAGCAAATCAAAATCAGCAAGATATAAAAAGTATGATACATCATTACTAAATGGGATTTATTGAGGAATGTAAAGTTGGCTTAACACTTGAAAATCAATCAATGGAAAAAGAAAAAGAATCAATGGAATTCACACCATTAAAAGGGTACATACACGGTATCTACATTTATAAAACCTCACCAAATTATACATTATAGATCTGGGCCTTTCACTTTGTGTACAGGTTGCCTTAACTGGACAAATAGGAACACTTTTACACTGTTGGTGGGACTGTAAACTAGTTCAACCATTGAGGAAGACAGTGTGGCGATTCCTCAAGGATCTCGAACTAGAAATACCATTTGACCCAGCCATCCCATTACTGGGTATACACCCAAAGGATTATAAATCATGCTGCTATAAAGACACATGCACACGTATGTTTATTGCGGCACTATTCACAATAGCAAAGACTTGGACCCAACCCAAATGTCCATCAATGATAGACTGGATTAAGAAAATGTGGCACATATACACCATGGAATACTATGCAGCCATAAAAAAGGATGAGTTCACGTCCTTGGTAGGGACATGGATGAACCTGGAAACCATCATTCTCAGCAAACTATCACAAGAACAAAAAAACAAACACCACATGTTCTCACTCATAGGTGGGAATTGAACAATGAGAACACATGGACACAGGAAGGGGAACATCACACACCGGGGCCTGTCGTGGGGTGGGGTGAGGGGGGAGGGAAAGCATTAGGAGATATAACCAATGTAAATGACGAGTTAATGGGTGCAGCACACCAACATGGCACATGTATACATAGGTAACAAACCTGCACGTTGTGCACATGTACCCTAGAACTTAAAGTATAATAATAAAAAAAAAGAAAAACAATAAGGTACACCTTAATTCTAGGCCACATACCAAAACAGACTGGTTGTCTTTTCAAGACCACTCCCAGTGCGTGACCATAACATCATATCCTCATCATAGACGAACACATCTTTCTCTAATCTAATGTAGTAGATGTCAATTCATCTAGCTTATCCAAAAGCAGTTGTAAGTAACTGGAATGCAAATATTAGAAGCAAGAGGAAGAGGGAATCAGAACATGCCCCTGTTTCATCCTATTCCCAGTTTTCACTGATGGATTAAAAGTTCAGTGCTCCCTACCCAGACTCTCTTGGGAGTTTGGTGACTCCTTAGAAGAGCAGACCTCCCCTGGGTGTTATAGTTCCTATCTGATTGTGATCATTTAAATAGCCCTATTACTTCATAGTAACATGTCTGATTCCAACATTGTGGTGCCAAGGGCTTTCTGGCAGGACTTTTACTTGTGAAATTAACTCAGCCTGGAGGTCCCATACCTCTTAGATAATGTAATATAAGGACTCTAATCTAGAAACTTTTCAACCGAAAACAACAAATATCTGACTGAGTTTTAGGTTTTAGAGAATCAAAGATTTTTGTGACATTTTTAATACCCCTCAAGTCATGTTTTGTTTTTATGCCACATTTTCTTCAGGATCACTTATTTACACTCAGGGAAAATAATTTTTTTATCATATAATTTGAAAAGCTCCAACATTAAATAACTGAATCAAGTTGGAATCTGCATTAGGTCACAGGTTTTCCTTTTTTTATTTTTTGTTTTTCATTTACTTAAAAATTGTAGCGTTCCTACTAAGTGTGCTAAGCACTTCAAGACAACAAAGATTAAAGTGCTGAAAGAGTTCCAAATTTAGAAAGCTTAAAACTAGTACAGGATCAGGCTGGGCAAGGTGGCTCATGCCTGTAATCCCAGCACTTTGGGAGGCCGAGGCGGGTGGATCACGAGGTCAGGAGATCAAGACCATCCTGGCTAACACGGTGAAACCCTGTCTCTACTAAAAATACAAAAAAATAAGGCGGGCGAGGTGGCGGGCACCTGTAGTCCCAGCTACTCGGGAGGCTGAGGCAGGAGAATGGCGTGAACCAGGGAGGCAGAGCTTGCAGTGAGCCAAGATCACGCCACTGCACTCCAGCCTGGGTGACAGAGCGAGACTCCATCTCAAAAAACAAAAACAAAAACAAAAAACTAGTACAGGATTGGGAGGCTGAAAGGCGGGCGGATCACGAGGTCAGGAGTTCAAGACCAGCCTGACCAATATGACGAAATACAGTCTCTACTAAAAATTAAAAAATTAGCCGGGAATGGTGGTGCACACCTGTAGTCCCAGCTACTCAGAAGGCTGAGGCAGGAGAATCGCTTGAACCCAAGAGGCGGAGGTTGCAGTGAGCCAAGATGACGCCACTGCACTCCATCCTGGGCGACAGAGCGAGACTCTGTCTCAAAACAAACAAACAAACAACAACAACAACAAACAACAAAAAAAACTAGTACAGGAAATAAGACGTGTACCTAAATGACGGGCATGCATGGCAGAAAGTGAGAGATAACAGAGTTCTCCAGAATTCCTACCCAGCTGGGAAGATAAGAGAGTTTTATGAAAGTGGCATTTGACTTGGGCCATAAAGGCTTAAAAGGATTTTAATATGGAGACCAAGGAAGAGGAGACTTGTTCTTGGAAAACTAAGGGTGGAAAGACAGTAGGACTCGGGATTGAGAGTCTGAATTCAATTGGCAGCAAGAAGCCATTGGAAGACCCTGAGGACCATCCTGATACAGTATGACATTTCTAAAGTATACATCTAAGAGACAGATAGTCACAGTGAACCAAGAAGCAGAGAGACTTCTGTCGGTTTGCTAACTAGTCCTCTAAAATCTATTTTCTGAAACGGTCTATTGTCAAGTAAATTATACTTTAAAATATCTCTAGGCTTCCATTTAATGTTCATCCAAACTGGCATTTAAAGCACGACAATAGGAAATGCTCTCTATGTGAAAAGGAGCTGAATAAACGTGCTGAGAGCTCCCAGCTCACTAGAAATTCAGGTGAACAGCACAAAGATCTTATTTGCATATGAGGGATCCAGAGAGCCTGTGCAGGGACCCTGGGTTTGGAGGAGACGCTTGTCAAGAGGTGCTGAGAACCCCCCACAAAGGAGGGACTCACACTCATTCCCAGAGGCCTGGGTGAGAGTCCATGGGGTCCCCGTGCAGCTGTGACTGTGGGAGGCAGGGCTAAGTGGCCCCTCACTCACCGGTAATGTAGAAGGCCTTGTAACGCTCCAGGCGGACAGTCTGCAGGGCTCCAAACTCTCCAGCTGCCCCGCTGTTGGGGTGGAACAGCACCTGAGAAAGGGTGGCAGAGCTTACTAATAGAAAAATTGGCAGAACTCGGTGACTCATGCCTGTAATCCCAATACCTTGGGAGGTCGAGGCAGGAGGATCACTTGAGCCCAGGAGTTTGAAACCAGCCTGGGCAACACAGCAAGACCCCTCCCTACAAAAAAATACAAAAGTTAACCAGGCATGGTGGTGCACACCTGTGGTCCTAGCTACTTGGAAGCTGAGGTGAGAGGATTGTTTGAGCCTGGGAGGTCAACGCTGCAGTGAGCTATGATCATACCACTGCACTCCAGCCTGGGTGATAGAGCAAGATCCTGTCTCGAAACAGCAAAAGAAAATAAAACATGCTAGATGATGCTAGATGCTCCCTGGAACATATTACTGTCTTTTTCAGGGTCTGGTCTCCCTATCCCTGTGCCCAAACACACACTGACAGATACAAGCCTGGAGTCCACACCAGTCAACTCCAGGGAGCCTGTGAAGTTGTTATTTTGCTGGTTAATTGATGGGAGTGGGTTACAACTCTGGAAGAGTAGGCAAAAGGTCTCACTAGGTAGGTCAGATTTCTAGGCCTGAAACCTGCTATGTAATTTGCAAAGTCCACAACAAAATGCAAATCAGGGATACCTTGTTCACAAACTTAAAATTTCATGATGACCACGGCAGAGCTTTAAACCAAGCACAGGGTCCCTCCAAGTGCAGGGCTCTGTGTGTGGGGGGCACCGGTCACAGGCCCACAAGGCCACCCTGCCTGAGTTCCAACCCCTCAGGGTCAGGATGGGCCCTGGGGACTTACTTGTTTTACAAGTATTTCCAAGGGTTCTGATGCAGGTGACCCTCAGCTGTCTTTGAAGAAAGGCTTCTTCAGCATCAAGTCAATGTTCCAACTCTCCCTTGAGCAAGGATGGTACAAAAGAAGGCATCCTTGATTTCCGCAGAATCGGGCACAGCCCAGACTCTGGTCACAGACGCCCACAGCTATGACTCAATCCGACTATATTTGGACTGAGGAAATCTTTCCTCATCAGGTCACAAATAAAAGAATTACCGTACAGAATGGAAACACCTAAATCAGGGTTCTCGAGGGAAGGATGTGAAAGAAAACAAAAGGCCAGTGTCCTTGGTAGGTTGGTGGGTCTGGGCTAAAAGCATGAGACTGCCTTGGTATGAATCACAACCGTATATAGGGCTGGAAAGGCACTTACATGATTCAAAGTTTCCACACGAGACTTAAGAAAAAAATGAGAAACATCTGTTGGAGCAGTAAACAGCTGTCCCCCGGAGTTTCACAGCTCTGAGAGGATGCCGCCAAGGTGGGGCTCCTCCCCACACCTGCGGCTTCCAGGTTCTCGTGACAATCCCTGCACAAACCCAGGGCGCGCATGATGATAGCAGGTTCCTTCCAAACAGGAAAAGAAGTCGTAACTGAAAACCCTCACTTCTTCCATCCCTGCAGAAAGCCAAGCCTCTTCACCACAGGAGACTGTTTTGTTTCCTTCTTGAGACAGCAGGAAGTGGGAGACTTGGAAAATCTATTGTCAACTGATATACGATGCACGCGGACATGCAGAAGATGGGAGTGAAGTTGCTGCTTCAGATCAGTCACAGTACTTGCGTCTCAGTCACAGAAATTCCATGAGGGTGGGCTGCTATATTCCCACTATTTATGTGGCGTTACCAGAGGCAACTTCCAAAATCCACGAGGAAGCAAAACTGTGGGATGGCTCATTCTCAGAAACATAGATGGACTTTGGAGAACTTGTCTATGCATTTTTTTTGTTTGTTTGAGAAGACCCATTATGGCTTTCTTGTTTATATCAATATAGGAAGGAAGCTGTCAAAAGTACACATGAATCACAGCTCTCCAGATGCCTGGTTCAAATTTCAAAGATGACTTTATCTTCTGCAAACTTGTTTTGCCTTCCTGGTGGCCTTTCTTGCTCTATTTTATCTTGTTTTGTTTTTTAAGCACGAGAGCATTCCTTTACCTTAAGTCCCACAGGGTGCTGATATAGCATCCCCTGAAGGTGGGCTTCTTCTCCATTCAGGTGGGGATGCACAGCTACAGCCTCCAAAGGGGGTGGATGGGGGTGGTCAGTTTGCCAGCCACGCCAGATGACATCTCTCGCCACTAGGGGCCTCCCTAAGAGAAGTGATCAGCGTTCTTTCTGGACATTAAAACTCAGCTTGTTTCCTCGATGTATGGCCTCCAGGGGCGTGTCAAGCATTTGATGACCCACAGCAGCCCCAGACTGTGTGAGGCTGGGCAGATGCAGAGCTGTTAGGGGAAACGTTCCTTCGTTGACAATTTCTGGACCTGATCATGACAACCTGGGGCTAAGACACGACCTGACCAGTGATGATGTTACCACCTTCAGCTTCCATCTGGGAGCCAGGAAAGCACAAAGTGGGACCTTTGGTTCTAGGCTGTGCAGCCCTCCCCTTCCCAGCCCTCATCTCTCTCCTGGTGCCCCTCACTGCCTAGACACAGACCCATCAAGATCAGAAGCAGGAGGTTGAGCTGATGCAAGAATATGCAGCATGGTGTCAGCTGATGTGGTTTCGAACATCACAGAGACAACGTCCCTAGAGGTTGCTGGAGTGGGTTGTGAGAAGACCATCCAGTGTGGAACTGGAGCTCATTGTGCACATGACACCTCTCAACTCTCTTGCTCCTCTCCTTAACTCTTGGTTACTTGGTTTGCAATAGGGAAGGACTGGATTGCTGAGAAGCATTGGCATATTGTTCCCAGTTGAATATCCAGGAGTTACTTTGAGCTTCTAGAACTGAAAGTGTTTCTAAACCAACTCATATTGGAATCCTTGTAAGCCCAGGATGTATCTGAGGGTGAACACAAATTGTGCTTATTTTAAAATACATATGTACACATGTATGCATATGTTACAGACATATGCATCTGTGTACACATATGTATGTGTATATTGATATATGCATATATATACACGTATGTATACATGTGCATACACCTGCATATAAATATGTGTGTATATCTCTATTTATGTGCCTGGACATATGCATATGTATACATGTATGTGTGTGCATGCATGTGTATACATATATGTGCATAGACATGCATAGGCATACATATGTACACATGTATAGTGTATAAACATAAGCATGCATATGTATGTTTATATAGACACATGCATATGCGAACATGTGTATGCATGTGTGGTATAAGCATGCATATGCATACATATGTATGCATGTATGTATACAGATGTGGATATGCATACATGAATATACATACATGGTACATAAACATGCATATGCAGCCCAGGCACAGTGGCTCACGCCTGTAATCCCAGCACTTTGGGAGACCGAGGCAGGCAGATCTCCTGAGGTCAGGAGTTTGACACCAGCCTGGCCAACACAGTGAAACCCTGTCTCTACTAAAAATACAAAAATTATCTAGGCGTGGTGGTGAACGCCTGTAATACCAGCTACTTGGGAGGCTGAGGCAGGAGAATCGCTTGAACCCAGGAGGTGGAGGTTGCAGTGAGCCAAGATTGTGCCGCTGCACTCCAGCCTGGGCGACAGAGTGAGACTCCTCTCAAAAAATAAAATAAAATTAAATTAAATTAAAACAAAACATGCATATGCATACACGTCTAGAATATGCATGCACACGTATAACACACATGTATAGACGTATGCACACATATGCATACATGTAAGTATGTATAGAATATTGTGTGTGTGTGTATATATATATAATTCCTCATATTCTTACCTTCAAGCCTCCCCCATAGCTATTCCAAATTTGAGACAATTTACTCTTATTTCCTTAGGTCTATGACTTTGCTTTGATAGAGAGGACTGACTAGAGAAGACCAAACCCAAATTCAGGTCCAGCAACTACCCATGTTGTCCTCAAACTTCAGAATCTTATCTCAAGTGTCTTCACTGACACTGCAGGCATGCTCTGGGAGACTGAGTGTGACCCACAGGTGCCAGCCCCGTGTGCTCTTAACCTTGAAGATACCATCAGCTGCTTCCCACAAGCAGTAAGCATGGCTGTTTCTTTCTGGGCCATGGGGTGTGGTTAGGGAGCAAATCAGTCCTGACTCCAGCTGCATTAACCACGCCATCATACCTCCCCGTGACGATGCTGTGACTTGTATCTGGTTTTCCAATCTGGTTCCTGGGCCTAACCCTGCTGGGCACTAGTTAGGATGGGGTCTCTACGAGCCTGCGCAAAACTCCAGTTAGAGCAAGAGCAGAGCTCTCCCGTCTGAGAAAGGAAGTTAGTACATGAAGGAGCTGGCTCCCACAGGCAGTACCGACAACGTCAAGGAGAGCACAGTCCTTGAAGCACTTCCTGATGACCCCAATTATTCCTAGCAGCCATGGTAATAAACACTCCGGAGCACCTCTCCAATGACGTCTGTGACAACCCTCCAGGGTCACATACTGCTAACTTCCAACCTCAAGGCGGAAACCATCTTCCTGCCTGGCTGCTCCTGCTTAGGGAGAAGGGCTAGGCCTGGAAGGGTCTGCAGCTCTAGGGGGCAGATATTCTGGGGAGAAGCAGGACTTCAGAACACCTCTCAGGCTTCATCCAACAACCCCTAAAAACTGCATTAATGTGCACAGAAGAACCGATGGCCCATAGAAGACCCATGTTCTGGTTTGCTGGGGGAGGCTGGGTGGGAAGGGCAGCTTTGGTAACTACCAGCCACAGGACACTTCTGTACATTTGAGTCACTTCCATGTGACCCTTAGCAAAGACACAAATAGACCCTTTGATGTGTGGGTCCCTCACCAAGAAGCCATGCATTTGTAGGGCGTTGCAGAGGGGACTCTGTGCTCCTTCCGCCTCCTTGCCTCCTCCTGCTTCCTCTTCCTTTTGGTGAAAGGAAAACACAGGGAAAAGACAAGGAAAGGCCATGAGGCCTGACATTTCCTGGCTGTCACTGCCAATGAGTGCTTCAGAGTGCAAACAGGGGACATTGAGGAGGTGATGCTGGGAAGTGGAAGCCCAGAGCCATTGCCAAGGTCTGCTTGGTCAAGAACAGGCTGCAGGTCGGATACAGTGGCTCACACCTGTAATCCCAGCACTTTGGGAGACCAAGGCGGGCTGATCACTTGAGGTCAGGAGTTCAAGACCAGCCTGGTCAAGATGGTGAAACCTCACCTATACTAAAGATACAAAAATTAGCTGAGCATGGTGGCATGGGCTCGGGAGGGTGTAGTCCCAGGTACTCGGGAGGGTGAGGCAGCAGAATCGCTTGAACCCAGGAGGCGGAGGTTGCAGTGAGCTGAGATCACACCACTGCACTCCAGCCTGGGTGACAGAGCAAGACTCCATCTCAAAAAAAAAAACAAAAAAAAAAAACAGGCTGCCAAGAGTGTGCTGAGCCCTCTGGAGCTGGGAGAATGTTGGATGTAAGGCCCTTGCTGGACCTGCTGTCCAAAGGGTCTTTCACTCATTTGTTCATTTGTTCCTTCATTGGTTCATCCAGTTTGCATGGACTGAAATGCTGGCTGACTGCAGGCAGTGAGAACTCGGAGCTCAACTCAACAGCTCAGATTCTTGCCCTCAAGAAGCTTCCATTCTAGAGGGTGAGGCTCACAATAAACAAGTTGCAGACACTAGTCAGTCATCTCATCTAACAAAAATACTGGGTAGCTATGTTATTAAATTAAATACATGCAGGAAAAGAAATTGCCCATTATAGGGAATGAGAACCTATATACACCCACCCTAAGCCAAACTGTTAAATATAAATCTGGACTGGGGGTTGGGGGTAGAAAGAGGCTCATCTCAAATGCTTCACCTTTTGGGGTCTGAACCAGCCACTTGCTGGCGGCAACCTCTGCCTCCCGGGTTCAAGCGATTCTGCTGCCTCAGCCTCCCAAGTAGCTGGGACTACAGGCCCATGCCACCATGCTCAGCTAATTTTTGTATCTTTAGTATAGGTGAGGTTTCACCATCTTGGTCAGGCTGGTCTCGAACTCCTGACCTCAAGTGATCAGCCCGCCTTGGTCTCCTAAAGTGCTGGGATTACAGGCGTGAGCCACTGTATCCGACCTGCAGCCTGTTCTTGACCATCTTCTGATGATGGTTCTGTCTGCACAGAGGTGAGAGGCAGCAGACCAGCCTCCTAAAGAGCCTACATGTGGGCAAGTACCTCCTCCACTTACCCTGTGCCCAGGCTGTGACCGGCCAAAGAGCACCTCGGAGACGTCCACACCATCAAAGCGCCGTCCTTGAGGTAAGCTGGCCTGGGCCAGGGCTACCACAGTTGGAAAAATGTCCAGCACGCTGCGGAAATAACAAGACTGAGTTGTCCCCAGCTCTTCTGACTCGCTCCCTGACCCTGCCGTGTCAACCCCCACCTGAACCAGCCCAGAGCAAGCACCCACAGCCTCTCCTATGGGCTGGCTTAACTTCTCTACCTGCTTGTTTTTCCTTTCAGTTCCACCTGGATTTCTGCTCCTACAAGAGGCAGAATGGTGCAGCGGTTCAGCACCCAGGCTCTGCAGCCAGCTGTTGCCTGGGCTCAAATCCCAGCTCTGCCACATATCTAGCTTCTCAATGCCTCAGTTTTCAATTCTCTAAGATGGGTATGATATTTTAATAATATAGTAGTCCCCCCTTATCAGAGAGAGACACATTCTAAGGGCCTCAGTGAATGCCTGGAACCTTGGATTGTACCAAACCTGATTGCCATAAATCAAACATGTTTATTCTTAATTTTTTTAGAGACAGAGTCTTGCTCTGTCATCCAGGCTGGAGTGCAGTGTGTGATCATAACTCACTGTAACCTTGAACTCCTGGGCTGAAGTAATACTCGTCTGACTCCAAGAGTAGCTGGGACTACAAGCATGTACCACCACACCTACAAGATTTCTTTGTTGTTTTATTGATTTTTATTTATTTATTTATTTATTTTTTTGTAGAGACAAGGTCTTGCGATGTTGCCTAGGCTGGTTTCAAACTCCTGGCTTCAGGTGATTCTCCTGCCTCAGCCTCCCAAAGTGTTGGGATTGCAGACATGAGCCACTGCGCCCGATCAGAACACGTTTCTGTTCATGTCTTCCACTCACAAATGTAATGACTTTTCCATCTTAACTAAGTACTTACCATGAACTGTGGCCATAACTTTTGCAGTTTGAGGTGCAACAGCAAAATTAGCACAAATTTCTTTTTCCTTCTTTACAATTTCATGGATAGGAAATTCATTCTTGGTGGCTTATGCCTGTAATCTCAGCACTTTGGGAGGTCAAGGTGGGTGGATCAGTTGATTTTGTTCTGACATGAACAAAATCCACCAAAATGTGAATAAAGGCTGAACAATGGCCATGTGAACAATGGCCGGTTTGAGACCAGCCTGGGCAATAGGGCAAAATCCCATCTCTACCAAAAAAAACAAAAAGAAAAAACAAAAAAATAGAAGATTCATTCTCACCATAGATCTTAACAACCTCAGCATATAATTTCTTTTTCTTTCCCTTTTTTTTTTTTTTGAGATGGAGTCTTGTTCTGTTGCCCAGGCTGGAGGTGCAGTGTTGCAACCTTGGCTCACTGCAGCCTCTGCCTCCAGGGTTCAAGCGATTCTCCTGCATCAGCCTCCTAAGTAGTTGGGTCTACAGGTGCATGCCAACACACCCAGCTAATTTTTGTATTTTTAGTAGAGATGGGGTTTCGCCGTGTTGGCCAGGTTGGTCTCAAACTCCTGACCTCAAGTGATCCACCTGCCTCGGCCTCCCAAAGTGCTGAGATTACAGGCAGGAGCCACTGCACTCAGCCTTCTTTCCTTATTAAGTCAAGAACTTCACCTTTCACTTAAAGGAAGCACATTTCGGCTTCTCTTTGGCATATTCGAATTACCCACATCACTGCTCTTGCACGTTGGGGCCATTAGTAAGTAAAAATAAGTGTGACTGGAACACAAGCACTGCTATATCTCGACAATCAATCTGATAACTGAGATGGCTACTAAGTGACTACCAGGCAGGTAGCGTATACAGCGTGGATCCACCGGACAAAGGGCGGACTCGTCCAGGGCGTTACAGGGTGGGTGGGATGGTGCCAGACTTCACCACACTCCTCAGAATGTGCACAATTTAAAACTTAGATTCATTTCTGTAATTTTTCATTTAATATTTATAGACCATGGTTGATCACAGGTAACTAAAACTGCAGAAAGTGAAACCGTGGATAAAGGAGGACTGCTGTATTGGTGCCAGCTCACAGGTGGTTGTGTGCATGAAACACACATGTAAGGCACAGAGAAGAAGACCTGGCACTCAGAAAGTCCTCACTGGATGTTTGTGTCTTAATGATTCACAAGGGTAATCCCTGTGAGCCCACCTAAGAACTGAGGCGTTCTACCTGTCACCAGCTTGGTGACAGCCATTGGCTTAGAGGAAACAGTGTGGGACAGGTGTCCACAAGAGAATATTCACTGCCTTTTCCATTAGGCGGGTCTCTGTGTTATAAAAGATCTAGTTTTTGTTCAAAATGCCATGATATGTGGAACATTCCACCGGCTTTATTTTAGCTCTTTTAGTCCATTACAAAGTAGTGAATGCGGCCAGGTGCGGTGCCTCACGCCTGTAATCCCAACACTTTGGAAGGCTGAGGTGGGTGGATCACCTGAGGTCAGAAGTTTGAGACCAGCCTGGCCAACATGGCGAAACCCTGTCTCTACTAAAAATATAAAAATTAGCTGGGTGTGGTGGCACACGCCTGTAATCCCAGCTACTTGGGAGGCTGAGGCAGGTGAATGGCTTGAACCTGGGAGGTGGAGGTTGCAGTGAGCCGAGATTGCACCACTGCACTCCAGCCTGGGTGAAAGAGCAAGACTCTGTCTCCAAAAATAAATAAATAAATAAAAATAGCGAATGTTTATGGTTGAAAAAATGAGAGCATCCGGAAATATAAAAGAGAGAACAACACACACTTAGTCCATCACCCAAAGGCAGCCATTGTTCATATTTTAGTGGATTTTGTTCATGTGACTTTTTTTTAAGTCATATGGTGCAAGGTTACTCTACCTATGGCACATCTTCCTCCAGCCTGTTGTGCTCATGTTGGGGGAAAAAAGTCTTCCGCAAGAACAGAGAGGCTGCCCCTTCAACAGAGCCGTTTATATGATGGCCAGGCCAACTGGAAGTCAGCGGGGCTTACTGGAGCCAGGAGGGCTGAGCTAATGCGAAGCTGGACTTTCCCAAGAAAGAGGCCCTGGTAGCCCTGAGGCTGGGCGCAGCAGCAGAGTTCAGGCTTTCGCATGCACCATTCATCAGGAAGCCTCCAGGGCCACAAATCCCCACTTTCCCCAATCTGATATCTGAGGGGCTGGGGGGATATCCGCCCTCTAAGGGGGCTGCAGAAAGGACCTGCTCTGAGGCTCCGTCTCCTGTTGGCCATCTCCTTCTCCTCTCCAGGGCTCTACCTACAACCCCAGGCAGAATCTCTCCATTGACTACAGTGCAGAATGTTTCTGTTTGCCTTTGGCTCCCACAGTCCATGGAGCTGGTGGCTTATCTCTTAAGAAACAAGCTCCAGGACCTGGCACCCCACTCTGATGCAAAGTCAAGAATGCAGAGTCAGCACTCGCAGAGCACGGAACAGTCCAGAAACCTGTCCAGAGTCCAAGGTTCCTGCCACATACCGGAAAGCAAAGAGGACCACAAAGCAGTCTGAAAAGGCCGCGGTGGTTTGGAGCTGTTTGCTCGAGTTTTCTCTAAATTGTGCCCCTAAGAGAGATCAGCGTCACAGATGGGTCAAATCAGTCAGCAAGAGAAACAGGATCTGCGTTCGATTTTGGAAAGTATTGTGTACTTTCTTTTTCCATCTGATTTCCCCCCACTACTCTCTCCTGAGGTTTAGCATCCCAATTATAGAGCACTAAGTCTAATGTTCACGGAATCCTAATGTCTCAGACTTTGGCAAGAACTTCAGAGGTACCTAGTCCACCTGGAGCACAAAGAAAGCCTCTCGCCCATGAGAAAAGCTTCAACATGTCCAGTGACTCAGGCCACTCGAGGCAGCCCCATCCCGATTTGGCAAGCTTGGGCTGTCAAATAGTCCTTCCTTAAGTAACAGAAAAAGCCAAGCCCAAGAGCTTAGCCCTGGAAGAGGGAGACGGTCCCTGGCACATGCAGCCCAAAGTCATCCCAGGCCTGGGCCCCCAGCCTACATGAGAACTTGAAGAAAGCATCCACCCTACTAAGGCTACCAAGGGCACCCCAGCTACTCCAAACCTCAAACCCCACCAAAGAAATTGGGCCTGGGAGTCTTTAAAACCTCGGAGAAAGAGACAAAATAAATACAAACCTATACTTCAAAGCTTCCCCTGTTCGTTTCGGTGCCCGGCTTTTGGCAGAGCCACACTGCAGCTTTCATGGGACCTGGGCACTTCTGCCTTCGTGGGTCTCTTCCTTCATTAAAAAAAAAAAAAAGGACCGGGCACAGTGGCTCACAGTTGTAATCTCAGCACTTTGGGAGGCTGAGGAGGGTGAATCACCTGAGGTCAGGAGTTCCAGACCAGCCCGGCCAACATGGTGAATCCCTGTCTCTACTAAAAATACAAAACAAATTAGCCAGGCATGGTGGCAGGCACCTGTAATCCCAGCTACCCGGGAGGCTGAGGCAGGAGAATCACTTGAACCCAGGAGGTGGAGGTTGCAGTGATCTGAGATCGTGCCATTGCACTCCAGCCTGAGTGACAAGAGGGAAATTCCATCTTAAAAAAAAAATTCCAAAATTCCATGGACTCTGGCACTATGCCTCATGGGTCTGATGGAGAAGTGGTTCCCAGCCTCTGATGGGATGAAACCCCACTTCAGTGGGCTTTTTGGTTGTGACAAGGGCAGCCATGAACCCACTCGTGATAACAGGAGAAGGCTGAGATTGCTCTGCACAATGGCACAAAAGGCTGTCCTCAGAGTGGGCAGGGTGACATCTTTGCAGGTTGCATTGCCCTTATGAAAATATGTGCTTTTTCTTTCCTGTGGCTCTGGTCACCCCAGGCTCTGAAGGTTGTTCGTAGGAAGGGTGCATATTTGTGTTCTTATCCAAGGGGCTGCTGAAGGATCCTAGGAGTGGAGATGGGGCAGTGGTGGCGAGGAGGATGCAGAAAGGCCTGACCTGCCAGGCAGATCATCTGAGGTCAGGAGTTCGAGACCAGCCTGGCCAACATGATAAAACCCTGTCTCTACTAAAAAGACAAAAATTAGCCGGGCATGGTGGCGCATGCCTGTAGTCCCAGCTACTGGGGAGACTGAGGCAGGAGAATCACTTGAACCCGGGAAGCAGAGGTTGCAGTGAGCCGAGATCACATCATTGCACTCCAGCCTGGGTGACAAGAGTGAAACTCCATCTAAAAAAAGAAAGAAAGAAAGAAAGAAAGAAAGGCCTGGCCTGCTGGACCCCAAGGTGTGCAGGTGGGGGGTAGGTAAAGGGGAGTGGAAGGCCAACAGGGGGCTCGTTCCAGAAGGAACCACATGGACTTCAGGATGCATAGTATGGGAACTGAGGTGCTGTGCTGGGCAGCCCTGGGGTGGAAGGCATCCCAGGATGAAGGCAGGGGACAGAGAAGCTGAGAACGTTTTATCTGGAAAAAAGGTGGATCTGATCTAAGGACAGGAAGCGAGAGGCAGGAGAGGTTTGCTTGGGGATGGATTGGAGGCGCTTGGACCTGGACAGAGACAGAGGCTTTGTGTTCATCTCTCCCGAATGAAGGCAAGAAGAGAACTTCCTCTGAAGAAGAGGAAGGGACAGGGAACAGTAGGGATCATCCCTAGGCCGTGGGAGCAGTACTTTCTTAGCACTGAGTTGTAAATTTCTTTCTGCATTTAGTTTTAACTTTTTTCCTGCATTGTTCTTCCCTGTCATTATCCCCGAGAAAAGTGAGGTGCCCACGCCTTCCTGGTCTCAGCCGTGGAGACATGAGGGGCAAGCCTATGCTCACATTTGATGGGCAGCTTCCCTGGCACCCTCATCCACACACGAGTCCCTCTTAGAAGCCAGCATAGCCCCAGCCACATTGATTTCAGGGAGAACCGGGGTTGCAGGGGTCCCAGAGCATCAGGGGATGCCCCCCAGCAAACCAAGCGCTTCTTACAGAGTAAAGAGAGCTGCCAAGAGTGGGGGTGGGGGTGAGACCACCTCCACCAACCACCACTACCCACTGCCAGATCCAGGGAGGAGGAGAGGACTTGGAAAGGCGACATGTGGTTAGGCCCTGCCTGTAGGTGACAGCTAAACCACAAGACACTGATGTGAGCACAGCCTCCTCGTAGCTTTTACTTCCAAGACCGGTGCCTTCGGACAGGCCAGAACCAGCTGAATCCCTCTTCCACACACCTGACTGTCTTTCAGAGCCACGAGGTAGCCCAGGGAGTTACCTCTTCTGGCTACACAGCAGCTTTAGCTGTTTTTCTTTTTTTTTTTTTTTTTTTTTTTGAGACAGAGTCTCACTGTCGCCCAGGCTGGAATGCAGTGGTGCGATCTCGGCTCACAGCAACCTCCGCCTCTTGGGTTCAAGCAATTCTCCTGCCTCAGGCTCCTGAATAGCTGGGATTACAGGCACGCGCCACCACGCCCGGCTAATTTTTGTATTTTTAGTAGAGACGGGGTTTCACCATGTTGGTCAGGCTGGTCTCGAACTCCTGACCTCATGATCCGCCCGCCTCGGCCTCCCAAAGTGCTGGGATTACAGGCGTGAGCCACTGCGTCCGGCCTTAGCTGTTTTTCAAATAAGATTGTTTCAAGTCCTTTTTGCCATTCTGGTCACCTCATAATTGCCCCAGTTCATCTCTGAAGGATCGATCCTCATTCGGAGCAGAGGTAGGGGTCTCCCAGCTCAGAGGCAGAGCAGGCCCTTCCCCTTCTTGTATATGGCTAAGAGAGCTTCCGCTAAAGCCGTAGTTCTCAGCCAGAGTGAGTTCATTCTCCCCGGGGACATTTGGCACTGTCTGGAAACGTTTTAATTGTACAACTTAGGGGGTGGGGTGGGGACACGATTGGCATCTAATGGGTAGAAGCCAGAGCTGCTGCTAAACATCCTATAAAGCGCACAGGACAGTCCTCCAAAACGAAGAGTGATCCAGCCCAAAATGCCGACCACGCCACGGTTGGGAAAGCCTGCAGCACAGTTTTAAGTTAAAACTACTGAAACCTTTTCCCATGTGCTGCCAAAGCCCTGGCCTCCTGAAGGTAAGGTAGCCCCTAAACAAAGAGCTTTCTGTTTGGTCTGCTCATGACTGCCATCTCCCCAGTCCCTGGAGTAATGATTGACCCATAGTTGGACATGGCAATAAATATCTGTGGAATAAATGCATTTTCCCCATCCTGTACTTGTGTCTGTGGAGGCAGGTCACGTGCAAGACCCTTCTTTCATCTTATGACATCACCCAGGTACACACCGATATTAACACTGGTTATCTCTAAAACCAATGGGATCCATGTGAATGGATCCCCCGCCCCCTCTCCCACACATTCTCTTTCACTTTTCTGTATTCATATTTATATCAACTTGACCACTCTCTGATGCTCATAATTCCTCAGGGCCTCAAGGATATAGGTTTAAGGGACTCTGGCTTTAGCTCTTAGTGGCTTAAGGGAGTTATCTCTGATCTGGAAGATCTATATTCCTCAAGCAATGAAACAAGAGTAGGTGATATGCAGTCTGGGCGGAGGGTGCCGGGCTGGGCTCCCAACAACATGAAGCATTAGCATCAATGTCTTGAATTTGGATCATAGTACCATTCTCTGTCAAGCTGACCCTGAGGTGTCAAGGGAAAGAGAAACACACACACACAGCCTGTCCAGGCAGTAGGAAACTCCGCCCAAATTTGCTTAACATGGATTCATATGGGAAACAGCAAGAAGGTAAATCTATAGAGGTAAAACTGGCTGGCTGAAATCCAGCCTAATTTAACACCAAAAACTAGCCTTGGCTGTGTGTGATGGCTCATGCCTGTAATCCCAGTGCTTTGGGAGGCCCAGGAGGGAAGAGTGCTTGGGACCAGGAGTTCAACACCAGCCTGGGCAACATTAAGAGTCCCCATGCCTACAAAAAATTAAAAAATTAGCCAGGCATAGTGGTGCATGCCTGTAGTCCCAGCTACTTGGGAGGCTGAGATGGGAGGATTACACAAACCCAGGAGTTCAAGGCTGCAGTGAGCTATGATCTTGGCACTGCACTACAGTCTGGGCAACAGAGTGATGCCCTGTCTCTTAACAAAATAAATAAAATAAAAGGTATGTGTGTGTGTGTGTGTGTGTGTGTGTGTGTGTGTGTGTGATACACTATATATTAGGTTGGTGCGAAAGTCATTGCAGTTTTTGCTACTAAAAGTAATGGCAAAAACCGCAACAACTTTTGCACCAACCTAATGTATCTCCTAGGAGGTACCGATACGGTGTGTTGGTATTATCCTGGTACAATTCTGGGGCCCTCAGGCAGACACTGCCTTGGGTCACCAAACCATCCTCTCAGTCAGTTGTCTCCTCTAAGGCCCTACATTATGAATGAGATGAGGCAGTTTTATTATGGTTGACTGTAGGTGCAAACACCATTCTCTGATGAGAAGCCACTGGTTGGCTTTCTGTGAAGCAACTTGAGAGACGGCTGAGTTACTTGTCCATGTGCAGCCTGGCCCGTGAACACTTGGCCCCTCTTGATAAGCACTTTGACTACACCAAGTCAGCCCTATAAAAGCAGCCTGCCTGGCCCTTTTCCCAGGCAGCCTGACATCACAGATTCCAGGCTCTGCTGTTGTTGTCACACCTGCTGGTACCCGCTGACAGCACGCTGCCCCCTCCTGACTGTACAGGGCTGACCCGGAATTTCTGGGGGCCCCACAGGCTGCCAGGGGTGATGCCCACCCACCCCATACTTTGGCCCTGAAAGCTGTTTACCCTTTTCCCCTGGACTTTGAGTCTCTCCCCTCCTCCCCATTGGATCTAGGGAAGTCAGAGGGTGCCAATGAAGCTTGCCTGCCTCTACTCAGCTGTGTTCTTTACGCCAGAACTCATTAGGCTAATGGCAAAGAACCTTTGGAATTAGGAAATCGGTCTTTAACCAGCAGTTTTCTGAGCACATGAATGAGCACAGGGTTCTACGGAGGGTTCCCCTTGTTAGTGAACACAGGGCAGAACACAGAGAGGAAGGTCCTGTCTGAATTAGTGAAAAGTCCCCAGGATAAGTCATGGTTCCATAGCTGGGAAGATGTTGTTTTCACATAGACGCTGCACAGCCAAGTTCTTTGCCATGGAGATGGCCTCCTGGATCTGCCTTAAGGCGGCAATAAGAATAATGGTGAGACATCACATTTACCTGATGTGATGGGTCTGCAGTGAGCTATGCAGACACTCAGCTCATTAAGAAGCATCATGGCCAGAGGCAGGAGGAATGTCTTCACCTAAGGATTCATTATTTCCCTAATGGCCTGGAGGGGCCACCTTTCTTCTCCACCCTCCTCCAGGGAAAGTGGACATCTGGACTCCTTTCTTGGGGCCATCGGATTGCTAGAGACTAGCCGGCTTCTCACAGCCACCCCTAAGACACCTGCCTTAACCCCAAGGATGGAACAATTAGGTCTCAAAGGATCTATTGCCTCGGTCAGCTTGGCACAGGCTGAGAGGGAGATGCTGCTGCTGCCGCCTTTTCTGCACTCTCTCCAGCAGACACAGCCAGGACCCAATGCTGATGTATGTGAAACCAACCAATCCCTTCTTCACTCAGGTGTTATTCCCAGAAGATGGCTCGAGTCCCACTTCACTGTTTCTCCCTCCCCTCCCCTCCTCTCCCCTCCCCTCCCCTCGCCTCCCCTCTCCTTCCCTTCCCTCCCCTCCCCTCCCTTCTCTTCCCTTCCCTTCTTTTTAGAGATAGGGTCTTGCTATGTTGACCAGGATAGTCTCAAACTCCTGACCTCAGCAATCCTCCTGCCTCAGCCTCCCAAAGTGCTAGGATTACAGAAGCGAGCCTCCACACGTGGCCCCACTTCACTATTACTTTCATCACTTCTACAGTCAGAGTCTTGGAAGTGTCTGGGAACACCCGGCAAAGGCAAGTGGTGAATGACCTTCCTGAGGCCTCTAGCCACCCATGCCTCCATCTAGCCACCCATGCCTCCATCTAGCCACCCATGCCTCCATGACTTTTCTTGCTCTGGGCCCCAACATCTCAAGGTAGTTTTGGTCTCATACCTTAACAAGGCAGTGCTGGTGACATTAACTGGAACTCTGCCAGGCCAGTAAGCCAGTGCTGGGACCCGGTGCCCTCCTTCCCAGGTCGTCTGCTTGGCTGGACTTCCCCCTGTGAGAGGAGGGGAGGCAGCTGGTTCATCCATGGTGATAACTCGAGACTTCTTTTCAGCTAAGAGCTAGTCTCTGGGAGAACCCCTCTCTGAGTTTCCAATAACCCCAACAAAGGAATGACTTTTTTGGTAACCAGCTATTTCCCTCAACTAGCTAGTATCTTTCAAAATATGCTTTTTATTTTACTGGACTTCAGATGTAAAAAGTTGCCTCACTCTACTGAATCACCTCATTTTATTTTCTTCATGAGACCTTCCCCACTGTAAATTATTTTTTCATTTATTGATTTGCTTGTTTTGTGTCTCAACACCATGAGACTTCATCAGTCTCATGCACCTAAGACATAGTGGGGCTTAGCAAATCTTTGTTGAGTAAGTGAATTTCTCTTCCTGGTGATCATAATGTGACTGTCTGTTTAGGATGAAGAAATACAACTATTAAAGAAGAGAGAAAGAAGGAAACTTCTGCAGCTATTTGATCTGCTCAACATCCAAGAACCGATCTGGCATGGATTTTATGGCTTTATTTTGTTTTGCTTTGCTTTGTTTTTCCTTGAATTCATGAGTTGTTCTGATGTTATGGAGACAGTGTCAGTAATAGTTCCAACCTCTTGCCTCCTGGGGGAGGTAAGAAACAACTACGTGCAATCTATGAATTTCCACCTTGGTTATTAAAGGAATTATTTTTGTAACCATTAAGTCAAAAGTGACCACCAGTATAATGATAGCTAGCGGGCTGGAAGACATGAGGTCATGCTTGATGGAAACATCCTGAATACATGTTGGGTTGCATTAACCACGGCCATCCCACCACCCCCACACACACCCCACCCTCATCCTGGTTGAGCCAAGGGCCAAGGATCCCACAAAGTTAGCGTGTGCACAGCCTTTCCAAGGCAAGTGCTGTGTGTGGCTCACACACACTGTGGTCATGCAATTTCCCTTTGTTTGGCTGGTGTGAATAATGAAAGCAATTATGTGGGGAGAAGCGTGGGGAGGAAGAAGATGAAGGCTTCTGTCGCCCTGTACTAGCACTGTTGCAAACGGAACCTTTGATGTCCCTGGCCCAGCACACCACACGGGAAATGCTCAGCATTCTTAGGACTCTTTCATAATCAGCTTTGGAGTCCCTCAAGTTTTGAAGTAAGAAACAAAACACAAAATAACTTATGTCCTATGGACTGTTTATGTTTAAGGGTGTGGGGTTGAAAAATCTAACTGGAGTCTCTGCAGGCTGAATGAGACGCTCTTTGATCTAGCCCAGCATTTCTCTAATACATCCTTCCTATCGAGGGCCACGTCTCCCATAAATACATATAGCTCCCTCCAATTTATTCACGCACTTGGAACAAAGAATCCAGAACTCCAGCAAGCATAAAACGCATTTCCACGTGGCTTTGGAATGTATGACTTATGCGTCAGCTTAGGGCCAAAGGGCAGGGAGGAAGCATCCGCTCAAAGGCATGTGCCAGGGCTTTGTAGATACTTCCACCCCCGTGGGGGCATCTTTGTGGAAGCTTGGGGTATGGGTGGGTGAAAACGGGGAGCCTGTTTATCTGCATGTCCATGGTGTACACTATTCAAATAGTCTTGCTTAACCTTTGAGGCCAGATGCTAAGGAAAGATCACGGCTGTGGTTCCAGGAAACAAGCCATTAGCTCTATCGGTCAACCAGAAGGCACTGGGGTGGGCAATGGCACCAGGGTTGAACACAGGATTTGGTCTCTGCCTCCAGGATGTTTCCAGAAGGGTAAACTGACCTTTAGTTAATAAATTTGCTAATTGGTCTTCACCAATTAGGGATTGGTCTAATTAATAAATTTGCTAATTGGTCTTCACCAATTAGGGATCCCTTCAAGAATTAGGGATTCTTCTCGTTTGCCACAACCTTTTGTGTTGCTCTCTTGTAGGTGACTGACTTTCCTAATACGCTCTTCAGAGAAAAACGTTTCAATGTGCTTGTCTTATTTCAGCAAAGGACTGAAAGCTGGAGGGGTTTGGAGGAATCCAGCTAGTTATAAAACAGGTGTAGTCAACAAAGCAGACAATCTCCTTGCAAAAGATTCAGGAATTAGGAGAAAGAAAAAGATTGGCTGAGAGAAGCCTCTCAGTGTGGCCACTTAAGGAGCAATCCCCTCTTTTTGTTGTACAGACTAGTTGGTTAGTGCAGGCTACATCCTGGGTTCTGGCTCTAACAGGAAGACACAATTATATATGCCAGCCACCCAAATGATCACAGGTCCACAGACCTTGTATTCTAAAGGGATTTATCTTAAAAGGGTCTAGAGTGTGAACAGGCAATTGTAAAATATTTATGTGTCACCAACAGCGCAGATACTGTCTTGCTATAAATCTCAGCTTCTCACTGGTACTGCTAGGAGTGGACAAAACTTACAAAGATCTGACTGGCATTCTATCGGCCCCTAGGATTGTGTACTCTAATTATGAGATGCATATGCTTATATCAAACAGGCGTGTTGTGTTTTATCTGCACCAGCAAAGGCTAAATTCTAGGATAGCTACTCCTGATCCCCCAATATTCTTCAGTAATACCTGCTCCCACTAATGGATAGTTATTCTAAGTTAAACATAATAGTAATAACAACAACAATAACATCTCGTATTTATTGAGCCCTTACTAAGTACCAAGTTAAGTGCTCCTCAGCATGATACATGCTTCCTGGCATTATCTCATTGAATCCTTATGACAACCTCTCAAGTTAGCCACTATTGTCCCCATCTTTCAGATGGGGAAACCAAAGCTCAGAGAGGCTAAGTAATTTGCCCCCAAGTCACATAGCTAGAAAATGATAGAGCCGGCCGGGTGCAGTGGCTCACGCCTGTAATCCCAGCACTTTGGGAGGCTGAGGTGGGCAGATCATGAGGTCAGGAGTTCGAGACCAGCCTAACATGGTGAAACCCCATCTCTACTAAAAATACAAAAATTAGCCAGGCGTGGTGGCGCATGCCTGTAATCCCAGCTACTCAGGAGGCTGAGGCAGGAGAATCACTTGAACCCGGGAGGCGGAGGTTGCAGTGAGCCAAAATTGAGCCACTTCACTCCAGCCTGCACGACAGAGACTCTGTCAAAAAAAAAAAAAGGAAAGAAAGAAAATGATAGAGCCAAGATGTGAACGCCGGTCTGACTACACAGCCAGCACCCTCACTCACTAAACCTAGGGAGGTGGTTCCATTTTGAATATGTATTAGAATCACTGGAGAGCTTTTAAAAAATACGCATGCCAAAGTCTCTTTCCCAGAGACTGTGATTTAATCGACCTGCAGTGAAGCTCTGACATCAATATCTTCTAAAACCCTCCTGGGGATTTAGTGGGGAGAGCACTCATTCCCAGGGAAGGAGGGCAAGGGGCAAGATCGGGAAGAGAACACAGCACGTTTCAAAGTTAAATGTAGCTAATAGTCATCGTCACTGCAGGCTTTCTGTTGCCCACGACTTTATACCTCTATGCCATAGCATCATAAATATGACCTTATAAGTCATAGTAAGAACAATAGACAATCCATAAATGAAACTTCTAATCACTTTTCAATTTCAAACACTATTCATTTAGATAAGCCTCCATACTTTGATCAGGCACTGGCACATTAAAACTGTTAGTTGCCTTCGGCTTTCTGTCGAGAAATGCGTGTCTTATGGCCATGAGAATGCATTTCTACGCACTTGTGGTTACTTGTGACTCTAATTAAAGCAGAACCTCTTAAAGCAATAAATATTTAGCCACAGCAACCAAAATATCAACAAAACCATGATTCATGAATTTGCTTATTTGTGCTTCTCTGGTTACGGAAGTGAAGTGGCATTTTATGATGCATGAAGACAGGGGCAGGCCGGGGAAGACTCACCACTGCCCACGCGGAGGAACAGTGGTCTTTCTTGGCTGGGACCCAAGGGCCATGTTTCACTGAGTCAGAAAGGCAATGCAGCAAACAAGGAAATTCGCAAATTTCTCCATACAAGAGAATCACCAGATGAGATCTCATCTAAGACATGGATTTCTGGGTCCTATTCCCAGGAATTCTAATTTAATAAGTCTGGGGTGGGGCTCTGATTCTAGGTAATTCTGATGTCAGTGGTTTGAAAACTAGAGTTGAAGAAGTATTCAAGGAATAATTAGGATGATGCCTTTGGGGGCAGGCAGGTCTCCAGTGCCACCCCTGCCAACCAAGTGGTCTTGGGCAGAATTCATAACCTCCCTCAGTCTCAATCATCTCAGCCAGGAAGCAGGGAAACGATTGTACAGTTGACCCTTGAATAACACAAGAGTTAGGGCACTGACTCCCAAGCAGTTGAAAATCTGGGCATAACCTCTGACTCTCCCAAAACTTAACTACTAATAGCCTTATGTTGACCAGGAAGCCGTACCAATAACATAAACATTTAATTAAGACACATTTAGTATGTTACATGTATTATATACTGTAGACTTACAATAAAATGAGCTAGAGAAAAGAAAATGTTAGTAAGAAAATCCTGGCCAGGCACAGTAGCTCAAACCTGTAATCCCACCACTTTGGGAGGCCAAGACAGGAGGATGGCTTGTGCCCAGGAGTCCGAGACCAGACTGGGCAACATAGTGAGACCCGTGTCTCTACTAAATAAATAAATAAATAAATAATTAGCTAAGTGTGGTAGTCCCAGCTACTTGGGAGTCCTAGCTGGTAGTCCAAGTTACTTGGGAGGCTGAGGTGGGATGATCGCTTGAGCCCAGGAGGTTGAGGCAGCAGTGAGCTCTGATTAGATCACTGCCCTCTAGCCTGGGCAACACAGCAAGACTGTCCAAAAAAAAAAGAGTAAAGAAAGAAAGAAAGAGAGAAAGGAAGGAAGGAAGGAGGAAGGAAGGTAGAAGGAAGGAAGGAAGGAAAAAGAAAATTGGAAGAAAGACAAAATATATTTTCTATTCATTAAGTGGAAGTGGATCATCATAAAGGGCTTCATCCTCGTTGTCTTCACGTTGAGTAGGCTAAGGAAGAAGAGGAGGAGGAAGAGGAGAGGTTGGTCTTGCTGTCTCAGGGGTGGCAGTGGCAGAAGAAAATTCATGTATTACGTGGACCCATGCAGTTCAAATCCGTGTCGCTCAAAGGTCAGTTGTACGTATCTCACAGGGCTGTGGGAACAGTTATATAAGACAGTGTACATAAAGCTTCAAGCAAGGTACTTTTGCATAATGCCTGCCAGAGAAGTGCCAACCAAATTACCTGTAGGGAGAAAATAGCAGAGATCACAACCTCCGACAGTTTGGTTGGGCATGCCTAGTGTTTTTCATTTAACTAATGCTGAATGTCATTCGACAGGGTCCTCTCTCCAGCATATTGAATTCCTAACACTGCCCATAACTGACAAAAACAAACATGTGTTCCTTTATATCACCTGCCTGGCCCACAAAGGCATTAGCATTTGTGACTGGGTAGAGTGCCTGTTCTGAGGAGTGCACATTCTAATAACCTTCTAAAGAAGCAGGCTTTCAGCCCAGTGCAGTGGCTCGCACTTGTAACACCAGCACTCTGGGAGGCCGATGCAAGGAAGATCACTTGAAGCCAGGAGTTCGAAACCAGCCTGGGCAACAAGCAAGACCCCTCTGCTCCATCTCTGTAAAAAAAAAAAAAAAAAAAAAAAAAAAAATTGTAGTGTTCCAGGCATGGTGGCACACACCTGCAGTCCCAGCTACTAAGCTACTAGGGAGGCTGAAGCAGGAGGATTGCTTGAGCCCCGGAGGTCAAGGCTGCAGTGAGCCATGATCAGACCACTGCACTGCAGCCAGGGCAACAGAGTGAGACCCTGTCTCTACAAAAATAAAATAAAGAAGCAGGCTTTGTTTCTAAGTGTAGTATGTCCCCTTGCCAAGGATGCCTACAGTGTACTCGTTTTCTAGAAACACAGGGCGGCCTGGCCTCTATTCAGACCCAGGACTCCGGCTGGCCTGGGGTGGCCCTGAGTATGGGATGAGGACATTCCACCAAGCCTGGTGGCCAAAGGCCCAGAAAGAGACGCAGTTTGACTTCCTCTAGGTCCCTATCAGCAGGCCCTGTCCCCAGCCAGGGCCAACAGCCAGAGTCCCTTATCCCTTGCTCTGTCACCTCACAGCACCTCTGACTTTTCCCCGCCCCACCCCCGACCCCAAACTGGACAGAAGGCCCAGGATGCAGAGACTGCTTCCCAGCGGGAAAGGTTATGCAACAACCTGATAGCATCAAATTACAAACAACCAAGGTCTCCTAGGAGCCTGGATGCCAAATTCAACAGAATGTTTCCTCATCACCAAGGGGGAGGAAGGAACAGTTCTGCTCTTCAAATAAAACGAGAAAAGATTTTCCAGACAGAGGAGCAGTCAGTTAGGGGAAAAACAAGGTGTTGGTTCTGTCCTGGGTAGGAAACAGATCTGGCATGGAGAAGGGAAGGCGGCTGCTGGGAGAGCCAGGCCTCCTGGACCAGGCTGTGGACTCAGAGACAGCAGGGGTGTCTGACTCGTGCCCTTCTTCTTCGGGAGAAGGCAGGGCTGCTTTGCTCTGCCCCCGCCCCAGTTCCGTTTCTCCTCACCCCTGCAGGGCACAAGCCAAGTGGAGCATTCTCAGTCCACACGCACGGGGTGAAAAGATGACTCCAGGAGACGCTGCCTCATCCCATCAGCTGAGCTGGGCGGCTCGGCCAGGAAAGGAAAGGGAAGACAAGCAGGGGGGCCTGGGGGCCCTGAGAACAGGGGAAGACAGCACGTGGCCTGACGCAGCAGCCTGGCTTCAGGGAGAAAGTTGCACGACTCCGGGTACTGTTTGTCCTACTCCGTTGCGAAAACATTGACCGCCTTCTCTCTTTCATCTGCTCTTGAGTCTGGCCCCTGTACAGTGAGCCGTGCAGATGTCCCACTGATGGGGAACTGGGTGAAGAGGAGCAGGTGACCAGAGGGACCCCAGCCCCCTTGACTCACAGGACATGGCCACCTGCTGAGCAGGGCGCTGCCTGGCTTCCCAGAGCTCCAGCAGCATTCCAGGCAGAGAGGAAGAAGGAGGCTGTGGAATAGTTAGTTGACAGGAAGCCGCTTTGGAGACTGAGGAAGAAGAAGTATTTACCCCCAGGCAGCAGCCTTTCAGGCAAAGTTCACTTTCAGACTCCCAAGAAAAGAGGGCAATGGCATCCAGCCCCAGCCCGATCATGAATTCAAGTGCTGTCACCCACCGATCCCACATCAGAGTTACTGGGAAGGCCTTGCCCCAAAAAAGAATGTTATCTTGAGGTGCCTGAAATTCAGCTTCAGAACAAAGTTTCCCAAGAGTTCCTGAACACTTTTAAAGTTATCTGTATGCGATTTAAGTTGCCTGATCCTTTTGTGGGGGAATCTTTTTCAGGGTGTTTGCCAATCCCCTTCTAATGCTTCTATGGGTGGGGTTCCGCCAGGTTGTTTCAGCCAGGAATGAAGAAATTTAGTCTAATGGGGGTTATCATTAGAGGCCAGGTGCAAGGCTGGGAGCCTCCTGGGCAGTACCCCCACTGATTCTCCCAACAGTCCATGGAGAATGGTCCACAACCCCACCTAATGAGAAGAGGATGCTGAGCCCTGAGCTGAGTCAAGATTCAAGCCCAGCCTGAGCCTCCAAACCCTCTCTGCCTCCCACCGATGTAGAAAGATTCAGACTGTTGCAAGGGCTAAAGACTTTTCCTTGACAATTGCTAGGTTCAAAGAGCAAGATAGGATTTTCCAGGTGGCTGAGGAGTCGAGTATAACAAGGTGTGCGTGAGAGCAGTCACGTGACTTGGAGAATGAGCCAGTGATGGTCAGAGGATGTGGACCCCTCCATTGCTGGCTGGCCTCGGGGATGCCTTCCATTCTCCTTGGCCTCAGTTTCCTCATTTGTCCAATAAGGTGGTTGGAATAAAGATCGCTGAGGTCGGCCAAGCACGGTGGCTCACGCCTGTAATCCCAGCACTTTGGGAGGCTGAGGAGGGCAGATCACTGGAGGTCAGGAGTTCAAGGCCAGCCTGGCCGACATGGTGAAACCCCGTCTCTACTAAAAATACCAGACATGGTGGCGGGTGTGGTGGTGCACGTCTGTAATCCCAGCTACTCAGGAGGCTGAAGCAGGAGAATCGCTTGAACCTGGAAGGTGGAGTTTGCAGTGAGCTGAGATCGCACCTCTGCACTCCAGCCTGGGCGACAGAGCAAGACTTTGTCTCAAAAAAAAAAAAAAAGATGACTGAGGTCTTTTCCAACTTTGGCGTTCTTTGAACTTGGGGATATTCCTGGAGATTTTGTCACTGGCTTCTCTCATTGGTCATTTTGGATCAGTGGAAATGAGGCTGGTACTTGCCCTTCTCCTTGTTCTCAGCTCCCCTGATATAAGAGGGATCTTTTAAAAAAAAATTGAATAGTATGCTGGAGGGGGAGTGGGAAATGGTGAGCAACTGTTTAAAGGATATGGGGTTAAATAAAATAAATATATATATTTTAAAAGCTAGGCATAGGACAGGTGCAGTGGCTCACACCTGTAATCCCAACATTTTGGGAGGCTAAGGTGGGAAGATTGCTTGAGCCCAGGAGTTTCAGACCAGCCTGGGCAACATAGCAAGACCCCGTCTCTACAAAAAAAATTTTAAAAGGTAAAGAAAAATTAGTTGGGTATGGTGGTGCATGCCTGTGGTCCCAGCTACTTGGGAGGCTGAGGTGGGAGGATTGCTTGAATCCAGGAGGTTGAGGCTGCAGTGAGCTGTAATGATGCCACTGCACTCCAGCCTGGGCAACAGAGCAAGACCCTATCTCAGAAAAAAAAAAAAAAATGCAGGGGGCGCAGTGGCACACTCCTGTAGTCCAAGGTACTCAGGAGAATGAGGTGGGGGGAATCCCTTGAGCTCAGGAGTTTGAGGCTGCAATGAGCTATGATCGCGCCATTGCACTCCAGCCTGGGGGACAGAGCAAGACTGTATCTCTAAAATATTAATTAATTAATTAATTAAAGGATATAGGGTTTTCTTTTGAGGTGATAAAAGTGTTTTGGAACTAGACAGATGTGGTCGTTGCACAACATTGGGAAGGTGCTAAGTGCTACTTAACTGAACAACTTAAAATGTTAATTTTATGTGATGTAAATTTCACCTCCATATTTAACATTAAATAATGTCCCTCCCACTCTTAAAATCTTCCCATGGTTCCACATTTCCTTAAAATAAAAGCCAAACTGAAAAGATCGTTGAACGCTGGCCCCATCTCTCGCTATTCTCCTTGGTCGCCACAAACTCCAGACTCACAGACACAGGGGCAGCTCTAGGGAGCGGCTCCTACTCCCCGATGTTCCCACCCCTGCCCGGGCTGCTGCCCTCGCCCAGAGCCTCTTCTCCTGCCAATTCCTGGCTGTCTCCTACTCATTCTTCAAAACACAAATCACCCCCAGGGAAGCCTATTTGCTACCCAATATGGTAGCCACTAGCCACATATGGCTACTGAGCCCTGGAAGTGTGGCTGGTGTGACCAAGGAATTGAATTTTAATTAAATTGTATTAATTTTAATTTAAATAGCTATATGTAGCTAGTGCCTGACATACCAGACTGTGTAGCTCTAGACAGGTAGTTCTCAAATTTTAACCTGCATTATCGCCCAAAGGACTTGTTTAAACACAGATTCCTGGGACCCATCCTGAGTGCTTCTGATTCTTTTGGCCCGGGGTGAAGCCCTAAAATTTGTACTGTTAACAATTTCTCAGGTGGTGCTAATGATGCTGGTTAGGGACCACACTTTGATAACCATTGGTCTAAAGTTGAAAGTTCTACACTCAGATGATTCTAGACTCATGGTCTAGATGTAGATGTTCTGGACTGGTGGTTCTCAAAGTTTGGTCCCTGGACCAACCACATCAGCGTCACCTAGGAGAACCTTAGAAATGCAAAACTCCCATCAGCAACCCAGCCCTCTTGGGTCAGAACTGTAGGTTAGCAAGATCCCCAGGGGACTGTCTGCATATTAAAATCAAAGAAACACTATTCTAGACTATTATTCCTTGCGGCTGGGGCTTTGTTGATCTTTGTGGCACCAGCACTAAGCATAGTTCCTGGCACACAGTAGGTGCTCAACAAATAGGAGGAATAGAAAACAGTAGGCACTCAACGAATGCTTACAGGAGGAAGGAAGGAAAGGAGAGATGGTGGTTGCCCAGCTAGTAAATTTATTTTTATTTTTCTGTTTTCTTTCTCTTTTCTTTTTTTTTTTTTTCTGAGTCTCACTCTGTTGCCCAGGCTGGAGTGCAGTGGTGCAATCTCAGCTCACTGCAACCTCCTCCACCTCCCAGGTTCAAGTGATTCTCCTGCCTCAGCCTCCCGAGTAGCTGGGATTACAGGTGCCCGCCACCATACCTGGTTAATTTTTGTATTTTTAATAGAGACGGGGTTTCACCATGTTGGCCAGACTGGTCTTGAACTCCTGACCTCAAGCTATCTTCTTGCCTCAGCCTCCCAAAGTGCTAGGACTACAGGCATGAGCCACTGCACCTGGCCAGCTAGTAAATGTATTTCTCATCATTCCCTCGAAGAATGGGGTCCCAGTCCACATCCTTAAGCCTGACTCACTATTTCAAAACTGCCTCATAAAGAGAGAAGAGATCAATAAGGCAAGTCCTCAGATAGGAGATCAGTAGGTAAATTCTTCTCCCCACGGAGAAGCCACTTACTTACAGATCCTTCCCCCTGCATCCATGGTCTCCACACCTTCTGCACCTTCTGGACTTTTAGCCTTGGGGCTTCTGACACCAGGCTATTCCAGGCTTTCTAACTGAACACTGAAGATGACAGCCTGGCCCAAGAGTGTCCCAGGTACAGAAAGGAGGAATTGTAATCAGCTAATGCAACAAACCACTCCCATTTATGCTGTATTTCTCTAGGCTCTTGTTTCTTTTTTTTTTTTTTTTTTGGAGACAGAGTCTCGCTCTGTCACCCAGGCTGGAGTCCAGTGGTGCGATCTCAGCTCACTGCAAGCTCCGCCTCCCTGGTTCACACCATTCTCCTGCCTCAGCCTCCCGAGTAGCTGGGACTACAGGTGCCCGCCACCATGCCCGGCTAATTTTTTGTATTTTTAGTAGAGACGGGGTTTCACCGTGTTAGTCAGGATGGTCTCGATCTCCTGACCTCATGATCCGCCCGCCTCGGCCTCCCAAAGTGCTGGGATTACAGGTGTGAGCCACCGCGCCTGGCTGGCTCCTGTTTCTTGACACACCCCCATCCACCTCCAGTCCTCCTTAGCATCTTCTTTTGACCCAACTCTCCAGAAATCACAACTAAATCACAGCATTTTTGAACTGAAGAGGACCAAAAAGATCTATACATATATATAGAGAGAGAGAGAGTGAGAGTGAGAAACACCAATACTCCAAGAGATAAAATAATCTGGTCACTGAAAAGGTTAGTGGGAGGTGGTACTCAGCTCTCCTGACCCCGACTCAAATTTCCAGACACAAGATATGGCCACAGTCCTGCAGCCACTTGCTCCTAAAGTTCTCAAGATATCTGATCCAAGGGACAATAGGTTAAAATTGAAAAGTAGGCCAGGCATGGTGGCTCACGCCTGTAATCCCAGCACTTTGGAAGGCCAAGATGGGTGGATCACCTGAGGTCAGGAGTTCAAGACCAGCCTGGCCAACATGGAGAAACCCCATCTCAACTAAAAATACAAAATCAGCCAGGTGTGGTGGTGGGTGCCTGTAATCACAGCTACTAGGAAGGCTGAGGCAGGAGAATCACTTGAACCCAGGAGGCGGAGGTTGCAGTGAGCCGAGATCATGCCATTGCACTCCAGCCCAGGGAACAAGAGTGAAACTCCATCTCAAAAAAAAAAAAATTGAAAAATAAAAATGATCATGGCCGGGCACGGTGGCTCATGCCTGTAATCCCAGCACTTTGGGAGGCCGAGGCAGGTGGATCACTTGAGGTCAGGAATTCAAAACCAACCTGGCCAACATGGTGAAACCCCGTCTCTACTAAAAATACAAAAACAAAAAAAAACAAACAAAAAATTAGCTGAGCGTGGTGGCACACACCTGTAATCCCAGCTACTTGGGAGACTGAGGTAGGAGAATCGCTTGAGCCCAGGAAGTGGAGGCTGCAGTGAGCCAAGATCGTGCCACTGCACTCCAGCCTGGGTGACAGAGTGGGACTCTGTCTCAAAAAAAAAAAAAAAAAAAAAAAAAAAAAAAATCAGCATTTCCTTCTCTGCACCAGAATTGAGGCGCACAATGCTTCAGTTTCTAGGTAACTACAATTATCCTGCCAGACTAATACGATGACGGGAGTGCTAGTGGAGACCTCCTGGAGACAGCTGAGGGTCATAGGTCAGGATTGAGTTTGACAGCAGGGAAAACAGCCTGATACGGTTTGGCTCTGTGTCCCCACCCAAATCTCATGACGAATTGTAATCCCCAGTGTTGGAGGAGGGGCCTGGTGGAAGGCGACTGGGTCATGAGAGCGGATTTTCCCTTTGCTGTTCTCATGATGGTGAGTGAATTCTCATTAGCCTTGGCTGTTTAAAAGTGTGTGGCGCCTTCCCCTTCACTCTCTTCCTCCTGCTCCAAACATGTAGGACATACACGCTTCCCCTTCGCCTTCTGCCATGATTGTAAGTTTCCTGAGGCCTCCCTAGCCATGCTTCCTGTACAGCCTACAGAACTGTGAGTCAATTAAACCTCTTTTCTTTATAAATTACCCTGTCTCAGGTAGTTCTTTATAGCAATGTGAGTTTATTTTATCTCTTGGAGTATTGGTGTTTCGATCGATCGATCGATCAATTGATAGATAGATAGATAGATGACAGTTAGATAGAACTGGCAGACAGACAGACAGATAGACCTTTTTGGTTCCCTCTAATTCAAGAATGGTGCGATTGTGTGTATTAGTCTGTGGACTAATACACAGTCCCAGATCTAAAATTCTGCCCCACACATCCCTCAATGAGGGTAAACTTGCCAGGTCCACCTCTGAACCTCTTGGACACAAATACCTCCTAAACATTTAATTTATATGAAACAAACAATACCAGTTTATTGTGGGGGGAAATTCACCCCTTCAACTCTCCCTCCGCTGCCCAGAGGTAATTATTGCTAATGTTTTGTTACCCTTTATTGACTCTTTCAAGATTTTTTTGAGTCTACATGTGATTATTTTTATATAATAAAATCATACTTTACATATTGTTCCATACTGGAACCTGCTTTATTCATTTAAAAATATTTCATGTAAATGTTTCCAAGTCAATAAATATGAATTATTTTAGTGGTTCTTTGTTATTCCTTTTAATGGAGGTATAATAATTTCTTTAAGCACTATCTTCTTACTAGACACTTGGGTTATGTCCAACTATGAAAAAAATTCACTGCAATGAGCATCCTTTTTCGTATGTCATTGAGCATGTGCCTAATTATTTCCTTAAGACAAATTCTTACAGGAGGAATTGATGCATCAAATGATATGCGTATTTTTCAAGCATTTGGTCCATATGTCAAATTGTCCCCAACATGGCTGCAGTCTCAGAAAGTGAGGTCCTTGTGGCAAAGCTCTCCCAGAGCAGATGGGAGCTGAGTTGGAAGTTGGAAGATGTTGAAATAGAGACAGAGGCAGCTGTGAGAAGCATTATGGTACAACAGGGCGAGCACCAACTTTAACTTCAGTGGAAAACCTGGCTCCCTCCTCACAAACTGTGTGACATGGGCAAATTACTTACCCTCTCTGAGCCTCTCTCCTTCTTTTTTTTTTTTTTTTTTTTGAGACGGAGTCTCACACTCTCGCCCAGGCTGGAGTGCAGATCTCAGCTCTGTCTCTGCAAGCTCCGCCTCCCAGGTTCACGCCATTCTCCTGCCTCAGCCTCCTGAGTAGCTGGGACTACAGGCGCCCGCCACCACGCCCGGCTAATTTTTTGTATTTTTAGTAGAGATGGGGTTTCACCGTGTTAGCCAGGATGGTCTCCATCTCCTGACCTCGTGATCCGCCGGCCTGGGCTTCCCAAAGTGCTGGGATTACAGGCGTGAGCCACCGCGCCCGGCCTAGCCTCTCTTTTTCTTCATCTGTAAATGGAGCTATGACTGCCACCCTCTCACTCTTGTAAGAACTGGAGACAATGTACATTAAAAACCTTGTACAGTTGTACACTAAATATTTTTTGAATGGATGAAATAAATTAATGGTTAGATGGATGGAGGGATGAAGTTTTAAAAAGGAAGGAGGAAGAGCAAGGGAACAGGATGAAAGTAAAGACAAAGCTCATTTGTTGGAATGTTTGTAGGTAGACTGGCTCGTTGGGTGGAGGGCTGGTCGCCTTTGGGAAGTTCTAGGAGGAAAGGAGAGACAGGGATGGTCCAAACTGAGCAGTCGTTTTCTCCACCACTACTTGTTCCTTCTTGTCTGGGTGCTGGTGGCTGGTGAGCAAATGTGTCCCTGTTTCACAATGATGACCCTAAGGCCCAGATATAAGTTGTCCCCCACCCGGAGGCAGAATCCCACACCCCAGCCTGGGCTCAGCATTGCAATGGGATCCACCAACCCCAGCTGAGCCCCTTACCTTGACGAGTTTGCCAAAATCCAGTGAAGGGACCCACACTGCCCGCTAGCTCACACTTCTGAGCCCACGGGCCATTGTCTCCTAGAAACCAGAAAAAGCATTAATGGTCACCAGGCTGGTTGGACACTTTCGCTGACCCTCCCACTCTGGCCCTATATCCCTTGCGCAGAGCAGGAACTAGATAGAAAAAGGACTTATAAAGACAAACATGGGCCTAGTGCAGTGGCTCACGCTTGTAATCCAGCACTTTGGGAGGCGGAGGCAAGCAGATCACTTGAGGTCAGGAGTTCCAGACCAGCCTGGCCGACATGGTGAAACCCCTTCTCTACTAAAAATACAAAAATTAGCCGGGCATGGTGGTGGGCACCTATAATCCCAGCTACTCTGTAGGCTGAGGTGCAAAAAACGCTTGAACCCAGGAGGCGGAGGTTGCAGTGACGCGAGATCCTGCCACTGCACTCCAGCCTGGGTGACGGAGCAAGACTCCATCTAAAAAAATAAATAAATATAAATAAATAAAGACAAATATGATTCCCATCCGTGAAGAACAACCCTTGATATGAGATGTGTCTCTACTGGGCTTTCAGAGACAGGTGGCCTTTTCCTGCCCCAACCCAGTCCCATCGTGAGCCTCTTGCCTTCCTTGCCTTTCCTCCTCTTCCTTCCTCTTTCCTCTCTTGCCTTTTTGTAAGGTTTCAGCAATCTCATTGCCACCGTCATCAGCTTCAGCCCAGCAACTGTTTATTGAGCATCTATTATGCACCCAGTGTTTCACATACATCATCTCATAATCCTCCAACATGCTATGGAGTAGATTCGGTTATTAGCTTAATTTTGCAGATGAGGAAAAGGAGACTGAGAGATTAAGGGAATTCCCCCAATAGTAGAGTATAGATTCAAACCCTGTAGGAGTTTATAACACCTTCACTGCACGGTAGAGAGTATAAGTCTCTACTTGACCCGAAAGCAGTGCTTTTTTTTTTTTGAGACAGAGTCTTGCTCTGTCTCCCAGGCTGGAGTGCAGTGACACGATCTCAGCTCACTGCAACCTCCGCCTCCCAGGTTTAAGCGATTCTCCTGCCTCAGCCTCCAGAGTAGCTGGGACTACAGGCGTGTGCCAATATGCCCAGATAATTTTTGTACTTTTAGTGGAGACAGGGTTTTGCCATGTTGGCCAGGCTGGTCTCGAACTCCTGACCTCAGGTGATCCGCCTGCCTCAGCCTCCCAAAGTGCTGTTATTAGATTATAGGTGTGAGTCAACCTGGCCAAAAGCAGTGCTTATAACCTCTGCAGTCGCTCCAGACAGAAACCTAAAATACACAATGCATGTGTGAGGCCTTTAAAGAGGCCACTAGTTCAGCTCGCTAAGGCCACTCAGCCAAAAGACGTGACACGGGGAGTGGCAGCAAGTAGAATCTTTGGGACCAGGGAAGATGGAGAAGAGGGAAATCTTAGAACTGCACAGGGACAACACAGGCTCACAATGTCAATGTCATTCAATGGCAATTAAGAGCAATACCCAGATAGCCTGAATCGACACACAACGGGCCAGCAAGGTGGCTGCTCTGTGTGTGCAAACCTTTCCAGGGACTTGGCCTTGGAGGCCCCAATGGACAGGTGCTCAGCATTCAGGCCAGCAAGCCTTATCTGGGCCACAAGTTCAAAGCAAGCCTCCTGACCTATGAAAGGGGATCACGGGGCCAGACTCTGCTCTTCACAGGTAATGTGCAAGGTTGTCTATTAAATGGCAGTTAGGCTGGCTGGCTTTTACTACTTTACCTGTAAACCAGAGGAATGTGTTTTCCTTCACTGTGTGGTCAACTTTGTCCTTGATCTGGCCCACCAGACTGTCCATCTCCCAGAGCCCTGCACCATACAGGCTTCTGCCCCGTGGCGCTGCTGGTAGCTGAGTCACAGGTAAGGGCACGTGCATGTGGGCCAGAGCCACATAGAGCAGGAAGGGCCTCCCGCTGGTGCTGAAACAGGAGAACCAAGAGGTGACTCTGCAGAAGGCTCTCCTGGCTCATCTGGTGCCTCAGGGATCCTCCCTCTCCTCCAGGAAAATCCCCAAAGCTCCTTCTGCCCCACGGGCTCAAGAAGGACACATTTATCCAGAATCTTCCAAGGAAATGTGAAAGCAATCTGGTTAGCCAATTAAAAATGAGAATTGTAATAACAGTTACTATCCCTTATCATTTACTGAGAGCTTATTATATGGGAATCACATTGTCTAGGTTCGTCCTCATCATAGCCCCGTTTTTCAGATGAAGAATCAGAAGCTTAGAGATTAAAGGACTTGCCCAGGATATGCAATTAGTTACATGTCCGAATCTTGCTCTTAACTGCCACACTGTAAAGTCTAAGGCACACACACACACCTTTAAATTTTATTTTGCAGCATCCAGACTATCCTGTCCATTCTCAGCCTCTCATTCCTTTCTTTCTTTTTTTTGGAGACAGAGTCGCACTCTTGTCGCCCAGGCTGGAGTGCAGTGGCGCGATATTGTCACACTGCAACTTCCGCCTCCTGGGTTCAAGCGATACTCCCGCCTCAGCCTCCTGAGTAGCTGGAATTACAGGTGCCCACCCCCATGCCCGTCTAATTTTGTATTTTTAGTAGAGATGGGGTTTTGCTACGTTGGCTAGGTTGGCCTCAAACTCCTGACCTCGGGTGAGCTGCCCTCCTCGGCCTCCCAAAGTGCTGGGATTACAGGCGTGAGCCACTGTGCCTGGCCAGCCTTGTTCCTTTCTAAGAGATAAATGGTTGTCTCAAGTTGATCACAGGAATTTCAAGGACACATATGACCACCAGGTAACATCTAGATCAGGGATCTGTCAGAGGCCTTGTTGTTCGGCTGCCTCTGTACTCATCCTGATTTCCCTGGAAAGTGCAGAATGAAAGGCTTGGAGGGAGCTGGCGTGGCTTCCAAGCAAAGGTCCCAGTCCTACTCCCAGCCAAGAGCAGCTGCAGAATCACAACGGTGGCAGGGACCTTCAGGGGGCCCCTCTCCCACAGATCCATCCATGGGGGGTCTTTCAGAGGACACCAAACAAGGGTATTGGGAGAGTACAGAGTCAACAACATTCTGGTGGGGGTAGATGCATGGCCCTTTCATACTAGTTCACGCAGAGATTCAGTTGGCCCCAGGGTTCTCCTTAGCTCACCCTGGTTTACACCACCTTACAGCCTTGCTCTATAGCCAACTGTGCCCTCAAATCCCCCCTGCACCCTGGCTCCCAGGGTCTGCCGCCTGGGACTGTGCTTGCACTCAGTTCTCTTTGCTATGCATAAAACCCTGGACACAAGTCCCAAGACAGGGGCGTCTGCCTTCCCCATTTTAATCCACACTTTCTCTGCAACATTGCTAGAGTTGTGTTGTTCAGGGCAGCAGCCACAAGTCACATGTACCTATTTAGATTTAAATTAATGAAAATTAAATCATATTAAAAGTTCCATGGCCCACACGCTAGCACATGGGTGGACCCGGAAAATATTATGCTAAGTGAAATAATCCAGTCACCAAGAAACAAATAATTGTATGATTCCACTTGTGTGAGGTACCCATAATAGTCAAATTCATAGAGAGAAGGTAGGATGGTGAGTGGCGGGGCACTGCGGGGAAGAAAAACTGGGCAGTTTATGTTTCATGGGTACAGTTTCAGTTAGAAAAAATGAAACAGTTCTGAAGATGGATAGTGGTAATTGTTGCAAAACAAAGTGAATGTTTAATGCGACAGAACTTTACATTTAAAATGGTTAAGATGGTAACATTTTATGATTATATATATCTGTATATATACATACCCACAATAAAATACACACACACACACACACACACACACACATACATAAATTCCTAGCCACATTTCAAATGCTCAGCAGCAGCAGGTGGCTAGAGGCTAGCAGCTTGGACAGTGCAGATAGAAAACATCTCCATTCTTGCCTAGTTTTTTCGTACAGCAATGATTTGCAGTGCCTGATGCCAACTCTCCCAGGGATGGTCATGTACAGTTGTGCAGGTTGTGGCCTGCATCAGGACATCCTGCTGAGTGAATGGGTCCTTATTTCCAGCTTACAATCTACTGGCTGGTTACCCTGCACAGGGCAGTGCCTGGCCAGTGGGGGTGGCTTTTTTTAATTTTCAGGTAGATTCCATATTGCAGTGGTGCCTAGATCTGGCTCAAATTTCAAGTATTTTGCAAACCAGTTGTTAAACATGGCCATTGCTAAAAATTCAATTATAAAAGTCCACAATTAAATAAATTTTATTTTATTTTATTTTTTTGCCAGGCGTAGTGGCTCACACCTGTAATCCCAGCACTTTGGGAGGCCGAGGCAGGCGGATCATTTGAGGTCAGGAGTTTGAGACCAGCTGGGCCAAGATGGCAAAACCCTGCCTCTACTAACAAATACAAAAATTAGCCAGGCGTGGTGGCAGGTGCCTGTAATCCCAGCTACTCGGGAGGCTGAGGCAGGGAGAACCACTTGAAACCAGGAGGCAGAGGTTGCAGTGAGCCAAGATTGTGCACTGCACTCCAGCCTGGGCGACAGAGCGAGACTCTGTCTCAAAAAAAAAATAAATTAAATAAATCAATAATATTTTTTGAAAGTAGTACATTCTCACCATTTATCACTTCCCAACTACTACATTCTGCTATGATGTAGGCTCATGGGGTTATTTACATCTATTGTATCTGTGTGGTGGAAATAACACACAATGGCTTGCTACTGCCCATCATTTTTCAATGCCATATTCGGTGACATCTCCATAGCTGGAAATCAGCCATGGTGAGATTGAGTATTTACACCTCAGGAATTGGCAAATGCTACAGACTGCAGCTGTTTTCTTAGAAATCAGCTCACCATGTGTATGGGCGAGGGGTGGTCCTGCTGTCCACCCTTCATCATCCATCATCATCTTCCAAACTCTCACCCATTATCAAAGTCACATTAGCACCCTGAGCCAGAGGCTTACAGAGACAGGCAGTTATGAGAGATGGCAGAGCACAGGCTGATGAAGAGCACAGGCTTGAGAATCCTGCATCCAAACCTCCAGATTTGTTATTTCATGACTGTGTAGCCCTGGACAATTAACTTAACCTCTGTCATCTATAAAATGGGGACAATCAGACCTCCCCAACAAAGTTGTGTAACTTCCCACACTAAGCATCTAATAAATGGTAGCTTATTTTGTTGTTGTTTTTTGTTTCTGAGACGGAGTCTCGCTCTGTCTCCCAAGCTGGAGTGCAGTGGCGCGATCTTGGCTCACTACAACCTCCGCCTCCCAGGTTCAAGCAATTCTCCTGCCTCAGCCTCCCGAGTAGCTGGGACTACAGGCATGCACGCCACCACACCTGGCTAATTTTTGTATTTTTAGTAGAGATGAGGTTTTGCCATGTTGGCCAGGCTGGTCTCGAACTCCTGACTTCAAGTGATCTGCCTGCCTTAGCCTCCCAAAGTGCTGGGGTTACAGGCATGAGCCACTGCGCCCGACCGCTTCCTTGTTAAGAATGTTGAATACATGCCAGCAGTAGTAAGCATAAATGATGCCCAAGGATGTACCTCTCTCCCTGCATCCTGATGCCAGGCTAGATTCCAAAACATGGCATCAGGCAGAGCCCACACAGACTAGTCCCTTGGGGGCATCTGTCCCGCAAGCCACCTCTTCATTATGCACCTGTGCTGAATGGAAAATAGAGTGGGGGGACACCTGATGCTTTAAAAAAATACTGATTATATCACAGTGTGACTCCACTTTTGTTTTCTAAAACACATTCATTTCAACTATACCTTAATAAAACCAGGGAAACATATGTTTATGCACCAGCATAGAATGAGGCTAGAAGAACATACTCGGAGGTATTAAAACAGGTTATCCTCACACTTGTAATCCCAGAACTTTTGGAAGGCCGAGGTGGGTGGATCACCTGAGGTCAGGAGTTCAAGACCAGCCTGGCCAACATGGTGAAACCCTGTCTCTACTAAAAATACAAAAATTAGCCAGGCATGGTGACGCGTGCCTGTAATCCCAGCCAGCAAGAGAATGGCTTGAACCCAGGAGGCGGAGGTTGCAGTGAGCCCAGATTGTGCCACTGCACTCCAGCCTAGGCAACAGAGCAAGACTCTGTCTCAAATAAACAAAAAACAAAACAACAACAACAACAACAAAAAACAGGTTATCTCTGGGATGGAATTCAGGGTGATTTTTTTTTGTTTGCTTGTCTCAGTTTTCCGAGATTACTAAAGGGAACACATGCTATTTTTGTGGGAAAACAAGTGGAATGGTGAGTAGAGAAGGAAAAAAACAAGTAAGATGACAGAGGGGACATTCCAGGAGAGCAAGAGGATGGGGCAGGGTGTGGAGACAGGGTGTGGAGAAGATTATGGTGCAGGGACCGTTAAGGCTGGGGAAAATCATCTGATCCGAAATGGAAGAGGGCAGGTGAGAGGCACCCATCTCTCAAGAAGTGTCCCCAGATGGTGCCTGGGTGGAGGGAGGCAGGCCTGGAGGTGAAGGCAGGGCTTCCCTCATGCAGGGGGAAATGAACACCTGCAGCTCTCAGCCCACTGGCCTCTCTGGTGGTGGCTCCCTGGGGATGGATGGGCAAGGGGTCTCTCTGAAATGGACTGCTGCAATAACCACTTGTCCCCCGCCCCACCATTTTGCCATCTTCCACTAGACCCTGGCATCACAGACAACCTTCTCTAACCCAGACTTGATCTGGCAGATCTCTATTTAGAAACGTACTAGGGCTCGGCCAGGCACGATGGCTCACGCCTGTAATCCCAGCACTTTGGGAGGCCGAGGCAGTTGGATCACCTAAGGTCAGGAGTTCGAGACCAGCCTGACCAACATGAAGAAACCCCATCTCTACTAAAAATACAAAATTAGCTGGGCATGGTGGTGCATGCCTGTAATCCCAGCTACTCGGGAGGCTGAGGCAGGAGAATTGCTTGAACCTGGGAGGCAGAGGTTGCGGTGAGCCGAGATCGCGCCATTGCACTCCAGCCTGGGCAACGAGAGCAAAACTCCATCTCAAAAAAGAAAGAAGAAAGAAACAAAAGAAACGTACTAGGGCTCATTGCAGCCTGCAGGGTCAATCCAAACTCCTCACCCAGTCTTTGCAGCTTTCCCTATCTCCGTCCCTTCCAGCCTGACCTTCCTTCCCTGTCAAAGACTCTTTCTATATGCCAGTGTCCCAAGCACCTCACCTACTTCCTGTGCCTCATCTATGTTATTCCTCTCTCAGCAGTATTCTCCCTGTTATCTTGCCCCAAAACACTTAATCAGTTCTTAAGATCCAATTCCAAAGCCACCAATAGTCCTCCTCCTTTGCTCCCAGGTCATGGTTGGCTGCCTCCTCTCTGCCCCCATCCCTGCCATAGCCCTTTTCCCTGCTTCTTGCGGTATTAATAAGATACAAACAACCTGCATTAAAGCCATGTTTTTACATATCTGTTTCCCCACTAGCTTGGGAATCACTCAGAGACTGGACATGTCTAATTCACGTTTGAATCCCTGGCACAGCACCAGCACATCACTGGAGCTGGATAAGTAACTCACTCATTCATTCATTCATTCATTAAATATTTATTAAGCTCTAACTGGGCACTGGGGACAGAGGAATGAGCACAATAGATATGATTTCCACCCTCTTGGAGTTTAACATCTAATTGAGACCAGGAAAGAGAAAAAGGCAACTAAAATATAAATAAGATGATTATTTAAAAAGTTAGTATAGGCAGCGCATCCCAAATCTGAAAATCCAAAATACTCCAAACTCCGAAACTGTTTGAGCACTGACCTGACACTCAAAGGAAATACTCATGGGAGGATTAGGGATGCTCAGCCGGTTAAGTATAATGCAAATAGTCCAAACTCTTTAAAAATCCAAAATCTGAAATACTTCTGGTCCCAAGCATTCCAGATACGGAATACTCAGCCCGTAGGAGAGATGGAAGAGAAATACAAGTTGCTGTGGAAGGTGTAACAGGGGAACCAAATGGGGTTTGGGGTGTGGAGGGGAGGGAAAGATCCCTGAGACAGTGGGACCTGGAGGACGGTGTGTGGTGACCACACAAGGCAGAGAACATAGCCCTGGGGGAGACGTTCGATATGATTGCCTCGCTAGTCATTAGTTTATTCTCTCACTCACTAGAGATCCGTCTCTGCATTCAAACAGGAGAAAGGAGAAAGAGGGGTTGGGGGTGAGTATGGTCTTTGGATCTGAACCTGGATCCCTGACATAGGTTGGTGTCGGGTGGGAGCCGGGTGAGAGGCAAGATGAGGAGGGGGCAGCACCACAGCAGGGGCACTTAGGCAAGCATGGGGGCCAGCAATGAAGACGGATAGTGAGTCAAGGAAAACGGAGAATTCTGCAGATCCCAGGCATGAGCTCATGAAGGCTGGAACATGTCTTTCATCTCTGCATCCTGAGGACCTAGTTCCAAAAGATGCGTGTCCTGTGTCTTAGCCTGCTAGGGACGCTATAACAAAATACCACTCCCTGGGGTGGCTTAGTATACAACCATCGACTTCTCCCAATTCTGTTTTTTGGGTTTTGTTGTTGTTGTTGTTTTTGTTTGTTTGTTGTTGTCATGGTTCTTTCTGAGAGTTTCGCTCTTGTTGCCCAGGCTGGAGTGTAATGGCATGATCTCGGCTCACTGCAACCTCCGTCTCCTGGGTTCAAGCATTCTCCTACCTCAGCCTCTCAAGTAGCTGGGATTACAGGCATGTGCCACCATGACCGGCTAATTTTTGTATCTTTAATAGAGATGGGGTTTCACCATGTTGGCCAGGCTGATCTCGAACTTCTTCTGACTGCATGTGATCTACCCACCTCGGCCTCCCAAAGTGCTGGGATTACAGGCGTGAGCCACCGTGCCTGGCCTTTTTTTTCTTTTTCCAGGTTCTAGACTGCAGAAGGACCTATTTGTTTGTTTGTTTGTTTGTTTTGTTGTGTTTTTTGTAGAGATGGGGGTGGTCTCACTATGTTGTGCAGACTGGTCTTGAACGCCTGAGCTCAAGCAATCTCCTACCCTTGGCCTCCCAAAGTGTTGGGATTACAGGCATGAGCCACCACGCCTGACTTTACGTCTCCCAGTTCTAGAGGCTGGGAAGTCCACTGTCTGGTAAGGGGCTGATTCTTGGCTTATTAACAGACAAGTGTCTTCCCACTGTATCCTCACATGGCCAGGAGAGAGCACACCAGAGTCTCTTTCTCTTCTTTTAATACAAACACTAATCCCAACATGGGGGCTTCACTCTCATGATCTTATCTAAACCTAATTTCCTCCTAATGGCCCCACCTCCTAATACCACCCCATTAAGGGTTAGGATTTCAATGTGTAGTACATGACACCATGGAAGATTGATTTGTTTGAAAGGTCTGATTTCAGGCCGGGCACGGTAGCTCACACCCGTAATCCCAGCACTTTGGGAGGCCGAGGCAGGTAGATCACCTGAGGTTGGGAGTTCGAGACAAGCTTGGCCAACATGGTGAAACGCCGTCTCTACTAAAAATACAAAAATTAGCTGGGTGTGGTGGCGGGCGCCTGTAATCCCAGCTACTCGGGAGGCTGAGGCAGGAGAATCGCTTGAACCCAGGAGGCAGAGGTTGCAGTGCGCCAAGATTGCAACACTGCACTCCAGTCTGGGTGACAAGAGCGAGACTCAGTCTCAAAAAAAGAAAACTAAGAAATGTCTGATTTCAAACATGCTGGGCCGCTGCTCATCCTGATGCCCGATACACTCCTGCTTATCAAGCCCTGTATTGCCCGCGTAGGTGCAATGCACGGTCCCAGACCTCAAAAGGAACAGAGGCCCAGCTAGCTCTGTGACCCAGGAGTCATGCCTTCTACCGGCTCCTTTTCCCATTCAGAGATTTGCCTGCTGCTTAAAAAACTCCAATCAAGCATTAGCATTCAGCATTGCTACCAGATGAAGGGTCTAAAGTCAAGTAAACTGAATGACCAGCAGTGATAACCAAGTACTACGTCGAGGGTCTTGGGTGAAACACTAAAGCCAACTAAAGACCCAAGTAAAAACTCCCTAAGTCCCAGGGTGGGCCCCCTTGTCAAGGAAGAGCGGGAAGCCACACTCTAGGGACAGCTGGTGGTTTTGAAAAACAGGTCCAAGGTGGGGGAGGGGCTTGAGGCAGGGGCCAGAGTCATGGAGGAGGAAGGGCATGGACCTGAGGGCCTTTTCTGCTGATGCTCAGAAAATCATTTGGCATGTGGAAATCCCAAAGAAATCAGCATTTCTGGGGATTTCCTTCTGTGATGTTAAATGCCAACAGGACTCGGGACTTTTCACTTAATAACCAGCTAATGAATTAACAAAACTGTTCCCCTTTTTTGTATAATAAGGAGGCTGTCGGTTGATTTGCCCTTTAATGGATTAATTAACGGGTGGATGTCCAGGCCCTATGCCCACTTCGGAGGGGGCATTAAACGGCCCCGAGTCCCCATTCCTTCCCCTAAGAACACAGTGTCGTTTGAGTCACCACAAAAGCAGAAGAGACTGTCCCCACTAGCCTTGAAGCATCCACGTGCCATGGGGCACAGGGGCCCGAAACCATCCCAAAGTTCCAGGGAGCTGGGAGACGCTCAACCCTCCAGATGGCAGAAGAGGCTCTGCCCTTTCTACTATTGACAATCTGAAATAAAACAACAGTGTTCTCAGAAAGTCCTGATAAACCCTTAAGATGCAATTTCTGAAGCCCTTAGGAGCTGCTTTTGAGATTCAATCCTTAAATAGGTTTTATTACCAAGAAAACAGGATGCCTGGATCTCCTGCATTGCTGCCTCAACCCTCCCTGCTGAGCTTCTAAAAACGTCCAATGTGGCTGAGCGAGGGGTGGGGGATTCCTGCATATTCAAGGGGCTGCTGTGATCACTTAGCCACAGGTAGAGTCCCTTTTTAATTCTGCCCAAGTGGACAGCCGTGCAGCACGTGCTTTCTTGACCACTTAGGCTAAGGCTGTAGAAAACACCAAGTTTCTTGGAGTCCATTGCCCTTGAGGAGTGGAATCTCCTAGGAGGAAGATAAGATGAACATATATGGGGTCATTAGAGGGCAGCAGAAGGCAGTTATGAAGGGGGCGGGGAGGGTGACTGTGTGTGCATGTGTGCAGGTACACGTGTGTGTGTGCACTTGCACCCCACAGTCTATGGGTGTGCATTCCAAATAAGTGTGCACAATTTTGGAGTTGTCCATTATTTCACAATGTCCATTCTTTGCCCTGACACCTCACACGTATATGATTTATTAGAGATAGACTGTGGTATGGTTTTGTTTTTGCTTTTTTGTTTTTTGGGTTTTGGGGTAGTTTTGTTGTTGTTGTTGTTGTTGTCGTTTTGAGATGGAGTCTCACACTGTCGCCCAGGCTGGAGTGCAGTGGCCTGATCTCGGCTCACTGCAAGCTCCACCTCCCGGGTTCACGCCATTCTCCTGCCTCAGCCTCCCGAGTAGCTGGGACTACAGGCGTCCGCCACCACGCCTGGCTAATTTTTTGTATTTTTAGTAGAGACGGGGTTTCATCGTGTTAGCCAGGATGGTCTCGATCTCCTGACCTCGTGATCCACCTGCCTCAGCCTCCCAAAGTGCTGGGATTACAGGCGTGAGCCACCACGCCCAGCCGGTTTTGGGGGTTTTTTAAGAGACAGGCTCTCCATGTGTCAGGCTGGAGTACGGTGGCACCATTATGGCTCACTGCAGCCTTGAACTCCTGGACTCAAGTGATTCTCCCAGTTCAGCCACCCGAGTTAGCTGGCACTACAGATTCACACAACTATGCTCAGCTATTTAATAACTTGTATTAATTTTTTTTTTTGAGACAGAGTCTTGCTCTGTCGCCCAGGCTGGAGTGCGGTGGCACAATCTGGGCTCACTGCAACCTCCACCTCCCGGGCTCAAGTGATTCTCCTACCTCAGCCTCCAAAATAGTTGGGACTACAGATGGGTGCCACCACTCCCAGCTAATTTTTGTATTTTTAGTAGACACAGGGTTTCACCGTGTTGGTCAGGCTGGTTTCGAACTCCTGAATTCAGGTGATCTGCCTGCCTTGGCCTCCCAAAGTGCTGGGATTACAGACGTGAGCCACCGCGCCCAGCCACTTTTTATAATTTTTTGTAAAGACAAGGTCTCACCAGGTTGTCCAGGCTAGTCTGGAATTCCTGGCCTCGAGCGATCCTGGAGGATTACCCAGTGTAATCCCAAAGCACTGGGATTACAGGTAGGAGCCACCGCACACAGCCCACTTCTTTGTTTTTCTTATTTACCTTTATTTTATTTTATTTTTCATTTTATATTTTTTTTGAGACAGGGTCTCGCTCTGTCACCCAGGCTGGAATGCAGTGACACAATCTTGGCTCACTGCAACCTATGCCTCCCAGGCTCAAGTGATCCTCCATCCTCAGCCTACCAAGTAGCTGGAACAACATGTGCAGATCACCACGCCCAGCTAATTTTTGTATTGCTTGTAGCGACAGAGTTTCACCATGTTGCCCAGCTAGTCTTGAACTCCTAGACTCAAACAATCTGCCCATCTTGGCCTCCCAAAGTGCTGGGATTATAGGCATGAGCTACCACCCCCAGCCTTTTGTTAATTAGTAGTTTCTAATATTTCAAGATCAGGAGATTTCACATAAAAGCCAGGTATCCTATCTCTGTTGTAAAATGAAAAGATGTGATATTCCAGGTTCACATTTTCACAAAGAAGCACCAAGCAGCTGGAGCTAGGTAGTAGCTGCCCCCTTCAGATGGGGCATGTGCTTACAGGTTCACTGTAGACCCCACCACTCCCTAATGCCTTACGTTCATCCTGCTTCCCTCTTTAAGGTTACCTATCTGTGCCTTCTAGATGCGGGAATTTGTAACTTCTGTCTGGTAGAATGAAGGATAGCTCCCAAAGATAAGCAGGGTCTAATTCCTGGAATCTGTGAATGTTACGGTATATGGCAAAAGAGAGTTTTCAGGTGGAATTATGTTAAGGGTCTTGAGGTAGGGGGATCACCTTGGATTCTCCTGGTGGACCCTAAACGCCATCACAAGTGCTATCGTAAGTGGGAGCCAGAGGGGAGATTTGACTGAAGATGCAAGTGAACAACAGAATTAGAGTTGAGAATGATATGGCCATAGCTCAGAAATGCCAGAAGCTGGAAAAGGCAAGGAAGGAATCCTCCCTAGAGACTCCCCAAGAAAACAGTCCTGCTGATGCCTTGATTTTAGCCCCCTAAGACTCATTTCAGACATCTGGCCTCCAGATCTGTAGCAGGGTAAGTTACTGTTGTTTTAGCTACTAAATTAGTGGTTGGTTGTTACAGCAGCAATGGAAAAGTAATACATCCTGCCAGCTAGTGAGCTCAACAAATGCCTTGAGTGCCCAGAGTGCAGTGGGCAGGCCCTACCCTTGAGGAGCTCGTACCCTAGAAGGAGAGGACAAAATGATCATGGCAGTGGAACGTGATCAAAGCAACAGAGGGATAAGCCCCAGGGACTCTAGGAACATACCTGAGGAATCTCTAATCCAGGACCGCAGATTTCCAGAAGGGGCTGTTTTCCAGCTTTACTTATAGGAGACATGTATGCATCCATCTCTGCTGAGCAGCAAAACTCTGCCATGGCCTCAAGCGTGCTGAGGCCAAGGGACATGGTGTGTGTGCACGGGTAGGTGGAGGCAGGGGGAGGCCCTGCGGAGGGAGGGAGACTCCTCACCTTGCACGCTGGATGAACTGGGTTGCTTTCTCAGCATACTTCTGGGCAAGGCTGCTCAAGTTCACCGGCTGCTCCACAATGTTGAGGTTTTCATAAAGAGGGAGGGCCACGTCAGTGTAACAGTCTCTTTGAAGGTTCCTGTGTGGAAACCACAGACCATAGAGTATTCATTTCCTACGTACTCACGGAGCAGAACTAAATGCTTTAATGCAACAATGCATATGCACATAAATACAACACTCTGGCCCCAAATGATTTTTCTGGTTGGCCATTTCCTCCAAGTGTAAAAGTCTATGCATAATGCTTTCTTCCATTCCCTTTGAATAGATATTTATGTTCCATGGACGAGCTGACCACTCTGTAAAGCTTGCAAAGACTCTCGTGAGCTAGGGACATTATTTTTTATTACTTGCATTTTGCGGGGAGAGAAACTGAGGTCTAAAGAACCTAAATGATGTCAAGCAGAGTCCCACCACCAATCAGTAGCCCCATTGCTGGCTTTCTCTGCTGTCTCACTTCAATCCCAGCCTCTGTGTATGGCGTGCAACTCAGCGTTTTCCGAAGTCAACAATTGGGACTTCATGTAATAGCAGGTCTGTCAATAGGACAGAATATATAAGATGGGCCAGGTGCAGTGGCTCATGCCTGTGATCCCAGCACTTTGGGAGACCGAGGCCAGCAGATCACTTGAGGTCAGGAGTTCGAGACCAGCCTGGCCAGCAGGGTGAAACCCTGTCTCTACTAAAAATACAAAAATTAGCTGGGCATGGCAGTGCACATCTGTAATCCCAGCTACTCAGGAGGCTGAGGCAGGAGAATCATTTGAACCCGGGAGGCGGAGGTTGCAGTGAACTGAGATCATCCCACTGCACTCTACCCTGGGTGACAGAGTGAGACTCCATCTCAAAAATAAATAAATACATAAAAAGGAATACATAAGATGGGTTGGGACAATTTTAATTTTAAGCCATGTTTGCAGAATTTGGAGAAACTTCAGCAGTTGGAAAAAAAATAAGAGTCAAACTAATAACATCTCCTGGAAAAAAAAAAAAAACAAGCTCATGGCCAGACGCCGTGGCTCACGCCTGTAATCCCAATACTTTGGGAGGCTGAGGCAGGCAGATCACCTGAGGTCAGAAGTTCAAGACCAGGCCAGGCACAGTGGCTCATGCGTGTAATCCCAGAACTTTGGGAGGCCAAGGCGGGTGGATCACCTAAGGTCAGGAGTTCAAGACCAGCCTGGCCAACATGGTGAAACCCCATCTCTACTAAAAATACAAAAATTAGCCGTGGTGCTGCACGCCTGTAGTCTCAGCTACTCAGGAGGCTGAGGCAGGAGAATTGCTTGAACCTAGGAGGCGGAGGTTGCAGTGAGCTGAGATTGCGCCATTGTACTACAGCCTGGGCGACAAGAGCAAAACTCCATCTCAAAACAAAACAACACAAGCTCAAGTTTTGGTCTTACAGATTGAAATGAATCTGACCCATAGCTGCCCATCAATGTGGCTGAGTCATGGTCTGACTCTGGTCATGATCTCTGGCAAGTTACTTAAGCTCCCAGAGTTATCTCCTTATCCGTAGCATTGGAGGGCCTGTGCCATCCTTACAGGGGTGCTGGTGGTCTAAGGGAGATAACAAATGGTTAGTGCATTGCACACATCTTCAGTGTATTAGGAATTCTGAAAAATCTCAAGCTCTCAGTCCTGGTCACCAAAGAGAACCAAGAGAGAAGCTGAGAGCAATGCAGACAGAGGTGGTAATGAATGGAGTTCTCTCAGGCAAATACGTCATCCTAATAGTGCTGGGAAGGATTTGTGAAGAAATCAAAACTTGCCATCACACCTACATGCACACACACCCCATTACAGAAATATAGGAGATATGGTCAGACTGTGTGGATAATTGTCAAAAACCACAATTTTTGTTTTGTTTTGTTTTTTTGACACAGGGTCTCACTCTGTCGCCCAGGCTGAAGTGCAGTGGCACAATCTCAGCTCATTGCAGCCTCAAACTCCCATCTTAGTCCCTGAGCAGCTGAGACTATAGGTGTGTGCCACCACACCTGGCTAATTTTTGTATTTTTTGTAAAGAACGGGTTTCACCATGTTGCCCAGGCTGGTCTCAAACTCCTGAGCTCAAGCAATCCACCCACCTCGGCCTCCCAAAGTGCTGGGATTACAGGCATCCCAAATTTTTTAAAAGAGAAAAAGAATTATCACCATGCTGGGCATTAGAACACTAATCGCATATTTATGTTGAATTTTTCAGCTTTTTATTATACCATTGCAACTCCATGAGTCATTTACATTCTTTCCTGTTTTTCTCTCTCTCCTAAGCCACCCATTATTTCTCTGTTTGATTTTTTTTTCTTTTTTTCTTTTTTTTTTTTTTTGAGACAGGATCTGGCTCTGTCACCCAGGCTGAAGTGCAGTGGCATAATCTCAGCTCACTGCAACCTCCTCCTCAAGCCATCCTCCCACCTCAGCCTCCTGTGTAGCTGGGACTACAGGCATGGGCCACCACACCCAGCTAATTTTTGTATTTTCTGTAGAGATGGGGTTTTGTTGTGTTGACCAAGCTGATCTCAAACTCCTGGGTTCACAAGGTCCACCCACCTCAGCCTCCCAAAGTGCTGGGATTACAGGAGTGACCCACTGCACCTGGCTTTCTACTGGATTTTTAACATAGATTAAAAAGAGATTTTTAACATAGATTAAAAATTAAAAAATAAAAATAAAAAAATACAGAAGGAACAGGATTGAAATAAAAAAAAAAAAAAAAAGAACAAGAAGAAGAAAAAGAAGGCCAGGTGCAGTGGCTCATGCCTGTAATCCCAGCATTTCGGGAAGCCGAGGTAGGCAGATCACTTGAGGTCAGGAGTTCAAGACCAGCTTGGCCAACACGGTGAAACCCCATCTCTACTAAAAATACAAAACTCAGCCAGGCATGGTAACACAAGCCTGTAATCCCAGCTACTCAGGTGACTGAGGCAGGAAAATCACTTGAACCTGGGAGGCGGAAATTGTAATGATCAGAGATTGTGCTACTGCACTCCAGCCTGGGCAACAGAACGAGACTCCATCCTTCCAAAAAATAAATTAATTAAAATTTTAAAATTTTAAAAAGAGATTGGCTGACATATGTCATACCTTCATATGGCCAGGTGTGATTACAGGTATGCCCAGCAGGCCACGGTGGGTAAGAAGGGCAGCAGGATGCTCTATAGCCTCGCTTTTCATGCCATAATGTGCAGAATCCCTGGGCTGGTTTTTGTTTTTGTTTTTGTTTTTTGAGACGGGATCTTACTCTGTCACCCAGGGTGAAGTGCAGTGATGCAATCATAGCTCACTGCATGCATAAGTCTTGTTAAAAAGCAGACCTGGGGGTAGGATGTGAATCTGTGCACTTCTACCAAGCATGTAAGTGATATCCACCATGCTGGTTCAATGACTATGCTATGAGTAGCAAAGATAGGAAGGGCATATGGGCTCTGGACTCAGAGAGACCTGGATTGGAATCTCCATTCCTACCTCTTTCCAGCTCCGGTGTAACCTGGGCAACATAAGCTTCCTTATCTGTAAAATCAGGTATCAGGTTGGTGCAAAAGTAATTGTGGTTTTACTTTCAACAGCAAAAACCGCAATTACTTTTGCACCAACCTAAGAAATACCTACCTCACACAGTGGTCACGTGGATTACAGATAAATATAGACAGTGCTTAGAATGTAACAATTTCTCAATAAATACCCACTATTATATTAACTATTGTTTTATAGATAGACGAGCTGAGACTCACCTTTCCCAAGTGGCTCAGACAACTGTAGCCTTAGAAATAACCACAGTGCTCTGTCCGAACAAGGGAACACGTGTTTTGTGCTGCTTTATTACCTGAGTGAGGCTTATCATCTTTTTTTTGTGATCATAAATGCATCTCAGGATACTTAGGAAATACAATGACAAAGAGGAAAATAAAGAGAAAGTGGAGAAAGAGTCACCGCTGGGTGCGGTGACTCACGCCTGAAATCCCAGCACTTTGGGAGGCCGAAGTGGGCAGATCACCTGAGGTCAGGAGTTCAAGACCAGCCTGGCCAACATGGCGAAACCCCGTCTCTTCTAAAAATACAAAAATTAGCCTGGTGTGGTAGTGGGTACCTGTAATCCTAGCTACTCAAGAGGCTGAGGCAAGAGAATCTCTTGAACCAGGGAGGCAGAGGTTGCAGTGAGCCGAGATCGCGCCACTGCGCTCTAGCCTGGGTAAGAGAGCAACACTCCATCTCAAAAAAAAAAAAAAAGAAAGAAAAAAGAAAATGAAAACCCTGAGTCCCACGACCAGAGAGATTCCTTGATAACATTATGGCATATCTCCTTTGAGTCTCCGTTGATAGGACTACAAAGATAGGGTTACAGAGCTCATTAGGATCTTACCGTTGATGACTTGCTTCCTGCTTTTTTTTTTTTTTCACTTACTATTATATCATAAGCATTTTCCCATTTCATTAAATGTTTTTTCAAAACATCCTATTTGGTGCCTGTTTGGCATTCCAACATCAGAATGCTGGCTTAGTTGTCCATGCGGGGAGAAGCTCAAAAGGAATCCTGTTCTCTCTCTCTCTGTCTCTGTCTCTCTCTCTCTCTCTCTCTGTCTCTCTCTCTCTCTCTCTCCTCTGTCTCTCTCTCTCTCTCTCCTCTGTCTCTCTCTCTCTCTCTCTCTCTCTCCTCTGTCTCTCTCTCTCTCTCTCTCCTCTGTCTCTCTCCTCTGCTCTCTCCCTCCCTCCCTCCTTATGTCCAGTGTCTGGGCTAGAAGCAAAGACAGCAGGCAGAGGAGGAGGGAGGCCCCACATGTGTGAGACCCTAGCAGCACAAGCCTCTCCCTAGCTGAGCTCAATAGTCTGAGGAACCTGTAAAAATTTCAATAGAAGAATTTTGTGGACCTCATCGTTGAAAGGTTTCTTGCACTCCCTGCAAATAACACATTTAAATTTGCACAGAATGTACCGTGTATCTTATTTGCCGTCTTAACTGTTTCCTGTCTGCATCTTTAATTTATTGCTGATGGACCACAGTCTTGGAACTTTGCCTTGTCCTGGAGCCTATCGCAAATGTGTCAGACAGCATTACCTTGATGGTCCATCACCCTGTGGACACGCTGGACAAGGAGGGTGGTTGTAGCCTGGAGTATCAGTACAGCCCATATCATGGCTATATGGGATTCCAAAGTAGTAATCAAAACCTGGAATAGAAGCAACCGGTTAGCACCCCCACGTGGCTGCGACTCCATGTGCTTGCCTTTGTACACCCACGACAAAAATGTAATTTCCTATGATTTAATACTGCAGTGCTATAGAGTATGTAATTATAAGAGGATTTGATTAATATCCCTTTGTAGTATGCATAGAAAATCACTTTGCTGGGTTCTGGCTGTTAGATTAGATTTGCAAAACATCTTGTGATTAGAATTAACCCAGTTTGGGAGGAAGTGGAGAGAATTATTGAATGCCTAACATCTTCAACGAAATTATGGACATACTCAGTATTTGGTGAAAACCTACTATATACATGACACTTTAAGGGATAAAAAAAAAACAGTTGTTCTTAGCTGCCACAACCACAGAGAAAAAAAAAATTATAAAAAATTTTTTAGAAAGAATAAATTCTGCCTTCAAGAGACTTTTCATGTGAGGAGAAAATAAGATATAAAGATTAAGAAATAAGAGATGAATAGGTGAGCCAACAAGAGTGATCACAGGAAGTTACCCCCGATAGAGATGGTGGGATGGGGATGGGGCAGGAATCTCAAAATGCGCCTTGAAAGATACTGCCTTTCAGCTGGGACTCAAAAGGCTGACAGAATTTGGGCTTGGAGTGGTGGAGTGAAGGTGAGGGATGGAAGGGTGTGAGCATTGAAACCCAAAGCCTTTGTGTTGAAGTTTTCTTCTGAGTTCCTCCTTCCTTCTATCTCTTCTCCAGCCCAAGCTTTATTTATGTATTTATTTATTTTATTTTATTTTATTTTATTTTTTGAGACGGAGTCTCGCTCTGTCACCCAGGCTGGAGTGCAGTGGGGAAATCTCGGCTCAATGCAAGCTCCGCCTCCCAGGTTCATGCCATTCTCCTGCCTCAGCCTCCTGAGTAGCTGGGACTACAGGCACGTGCCACCACGCCCGGCTAATTTTTTGTATTTTTAGTAGAGATGGGTTTTCACCGTGTTAGCCAGGATGGTCTCAATCTCCTGACCTCGTGATACACCCACCTCAGCCTCCCAAAGTGCTGGGATTACAGGTGTGAGCCACCGCGCCCGGCCCAGCCCAAGCTTTTAATCAAAGGCTATAGCTGCATATGCAGCTAGAATGCAAAAATTCTCCAGAAAAAGGAAACCTTCCCCAATTACCCAGGTAACTGCTTCAGCTCTCTTTATTTCCTAGAGGTAGATAGAACTCGAATCTCACAAAGAATTGCTATTTCTCATTAGCCTCAAATTCCAGGCCCAGGAGTAGGGAGAGCTGTGTTTTCAGCTTCAACTCCTGCCCCTCCAAATCGTTTTTGGCCCTCTCTATAAGCACCCTTCCTAAAAGAAGCAAGCTCTCTTCAGTTCCCTGTGAGCCTCATGCTTTGGGGCCTCGGTGGCTTTGCCTGGAATTATCTGCTCTGTGTCTCTCACAGGTGAAACTGCATTAGCACTTCCCAGCCCAGTTTGAGTGTGAAGTTTCCTACAGAATTTCCCTGCTCTTCACTGCATCCCGCCTGCCACAGCCCTGCACTCAACCCATTCTCCTAGTGTAGCCTACAGACTTTTTATCATCTGGGTAATACCGTCTTCCCCATTAGTGATGCACTCCTCGAGTTAGACATTAGATCTTTGCCAACCCAATATGTGGTGTATGTAGAATAACTAGTAGATGCTTGTCGTATTTTTTTTTCTTTTTGAGACGGAGTCTCAGTCTGTCTCCCAGGCTGGAGTGCAGTGGCACGATCTCAGCTCATGCAACCTCCACCTCCTGGGTTCAAGCGATTCTCGTGCTTCAGCCTCCCGAGTAGCTGGGACTACAGGCACCTGTCACCACGCCCAGCTAATCTTTGTATTTTTGTAGAGATGGGATTTCAGCATGTTGGCCAGGCTGGTTGCAAACTGCTGACCTCAAGTAATCCACCTGCCTCGGCCTCCCAAAGTGCTGGGACTATAGGCATGAGCCACCATGCCCAGCCTGTTTGTTGTATTTTTAAAAAATTGATATCTTCATGCTAACTTGGTTTGCACAAATGGATTTAGCTACCCCCTAGGTACACAACATAGCCCTGAAATGCTACTGCATCTGGTATCAGGATGACTCTCCACCAAGGAGAGCAAACTTCTGCCGGAAAGAGCCAAATAGTAAACATTTTAGGTTTTGTGGGTCAGATGATCTCTGTTAAGGCCACTCAACTCTGCCATTGTAGCGCAAACACACCCACAGACAATATGTACACAAATGACTGTACATATTGGCTGTTTTCTTTTTTTCTTTTTTTTTCTTGAGATGGAGTTTCAGTTTTGTCGCCTAGGCTGGAGTGGTGCAATCTCAACTCACTGCAACCTCCACCTCCTGGGTTCAAGCGGTTCCCCTGCCTCAGCCTCCCAAATAGCTGGGGTTACAGGCATGCACCACTGTGCTGAGCTAATTTTTTATTTTTTTAGTAGAGACAGGGGTTCACCATGTTGGCTGATCTCAAACTCCTGACCTCAGGTGATCCACCCACCTCAGCCTCCCAAAGTGCTGGGATTACAGGCGTGAGCCACCATGCTTGGCCTTGCTGTTTTCTAATAAAATTTTATTTACAAAAACAGCTAGCATACTGGATTTGGACCACAGGTCTATGCCAACCACTGATCTAAATCATAGGCATCCTCATACCCCAGTGTTAGAAAGACCTCGTTGTGTTTGCAGGAGCCCTGACCTGAGGAACAGCCCAGGGCAGCAAGAGGAGCGTGGGTGCTTAGAAGGAATGTGTAAGTGTGCTTGGCATAACCCAGGGCATGTGAAGTTTTTTTCCGACTTCCTCCTTCATTCTATCTCTTCTCCAACCCAAGCTTTTAATCAAAAGATTAACCAGGCATGGTGGCGGGCACCTGTAGTCCCAGCTACTTGGGAGGCTGAGGCATGAGAATCACTTGAACCTGGGAGGCGGAGGTTGCAGTGAGCCGAGATCATGCCACTGCACTCTAGCCTGGGAGACAGAGTGAGACGGGGAACCAGGACAGTGCACCGCAGAGAGGATGTAAGAGGCAGGAGGGAAAAGGAGTGAACTTGGACATAAGCATGAAGAAACCTCAGAGTGTCCATGCCAGAAGGCTTTTTGGAATTGTCTGGTCCAAAGAGCAAATAGGTAGGAGGTACTCTTTCTTCCCACTTCCCACACCCACAGGAGACACCAGATCCATCATGGTACCACTTCCTGCTGCATAGGAGCTGGTCTCAGTATCCCCTCACCACAGGAATATGCCCTCAAGGTGCCAACACCTGATCTGGTCCAACCCCTCAACTGTCAAGTGAGAAAACTGAAGACCAAGGAGGAAACAAGTTCTGGAGTAATTTTTAGTGAGTGCAAAAGCCAGGTCTTCACTTCTCCCATCTGTCATTTTTTTTAAAGCATGTGTGGATGATGCCACGAATGCCCACCTGGGAAAAGGGGCTCAAGGGAGGAGAGGGAGAGGAATGAGCATCAAAGGGGAGGTAAGAGTTGAAGAAGACGTCAGCCAATGGGGTTACTGACCAGTGGGTCCCTGCTGAAGGCTGGCTCCAGGCCAACCCTCTGAAAGTCATTCTCCAAATGCAAAAATCTTCCAATGCAAACCTTCCGCCAGGTCTAGGACAGAACAATTCAGCCGTTTTCCATAGAGATAGGGAGAGATACTGGGGCAGGGGAGGGGAGAAGTCTGCAAAATAGTCAGAGAATCACATTTGCTTATAAAATGGCAGAAGAGGAAGGGGCCAGGGACAGGAGAAGCCACCAAAGCTGAGATCATGGTAAATGCCTTTAAGAGAAAGTCCACGGCTTCCTATAGGAAATGGAAAAGGTCAGTGGCACGAACTGCAACTTTGAAAAACCATCAGTAATTCAGTGAATTGGACGTTTGGAGAATCCGCCCTTCAGCAAAGTGATTTTCAGAGAACCAGCTTTGGTAGCTTGATCTTGGCCTACTTCCCCAAGGCCAGAGGGTGAGGAAGCAAAGGCTGCAGGAAGAGGCCAAGAGGCAGCATCTCCTGTTTGGGTCTATGGCCAGGTTTCCTGCTTCGGTGAACCCATCAGTCAATTTTTACTTCTTCCCAGATTAGCCATGTCTGGACCTCATGGGGCAGAATGTTCCCTGAGGTGTAAAGAACCGAGAGATGGCAAAAAAGCTGATGGGCCTGTGATGGGGCAGTTGGAAGGGCAAACAGGCACCAAGGAAGGACAGTCAAGGAAGATGCCAGCAAGTGGGATGTAAGGTCCCGGAGAGCCCTGGCACCCCAAATGCACTCAAATGACCTCGTGAACAAAGATGTCCTAACTTAGGGTTGCCCCCAGAGACAGGATGGCTTAGCTGTTCATGGAGTCTTACACAGAGACCTTTATTTTCTGTTTCCCAGGTAACAAATCCCCAAAAGAATTCTTACCACGGAAGTTGGGGTGATAAGAGCCGTGGTGTCCAAGATGCCATTTGCCTGTAGAAAAACATAAGAGAGATTTTCAGAGGAATCCCCATAGGGGTACCACAGCCCCCTGAGGAGCTGATCACACACTCAGCTCTCCATTAGCTTCGCCTCGCACTGTGGACAAGCCAAAAGAAGCTGCAATGTGGTGTACAAGCCAGGCTTTGCTCTCTGGGGCCGAGACGGTGTCCACAGGGACACATAAAGGATGACCCCAGACTCACACGGGAAACCACAGTGAAAGGGGAAGACAGCCCATCACCAGGAGCCCGGAGAAGCCTGAGCCTCTGCCCCTCAAAGAGGGCTCCACAGACACAGCAACCCCACATGGGCTCCTTCACTTTGCCCTCCCGCGCTGGGGCCCTGCAAAGGCACCAGGAGGCCCAGGGTGCAGGTGCACCGCCCCACATCGTCTCAGAAATGCCCGCTTCCTGCCTGGTTTCATCATCTTCCTCTCTGGCCAACATCAGCAGCCCGCAGTTCAAGCACCGAGACACCTACGGGGCAGCAAATGAGGAAACTCAGACACCCTGCTGCTCCTCGGTCTGCAAATGCGCTCAGTCTGGGGGAATAATCGGGCAATGTGTGGCAAGAGCTCTGACAGTGTCAGAACTCTCTGATCTGCTCTTCCGCTCTGAGGAGTAGACCCCAGGGACGCCACCCCCATGGTGAGGGGGCAAAGAAAAGAATGTGGTACAAAGATTGAGACGCTGGCAGCATTAAACCGCTCAAACGAGAGATTAACGGGCAACCACAGGAGTATGTCTAAGTACATTATTTGATGTGGCCTCAATAAGGAACTATCGATCTATTTTTTCAAGACAACTGCATGTAGCAAAAATTAAGAATCGGTGAAACTGGATGAAGGGCCTCTAGGAGTCCATTATTCCCTCCCTGCAACTGCTCTATGGGATTGAAAAAAAAGATTAATAAAAAATTGAGAGAAATGGGCTCTCAATTTCTCTCAATTGAGTGGCTCATGTCTGTAATCCCAGCACTTTGGGAGGCCGAGGCAGGCGGATCACATGAGGCCAGGAGTTTGAGACTAGCCTGGGCAACGTGGCAAAACCTTATCTCTACTAAAAATACAAAAATTAGCTGGGTGTGGTGGTGCACGCCTGTAATCCCAACTACTCGGGAGGCTGAGGCAGGAGAATCACTTGAACCCGGGAGGTGGGGGTTGCAGTGGGCAGAGATTGAGCCACTGTACTCCAGCCTGGGTGACAGAGTAAGACTTTGTCCCAAATAAATAAAAAAGATTGAGAGAAATGTATTAAGCATTATGTGAAATATTTGGATTAAACATTACATGAGAACATGACATTATATTAAAATTATGAAAAGTATTGTTTAATCATAAAAATTATACTATGTAAAATTATATGACATGGAAACATAGAATAATGTGAAAGGGGGAAAAGTGGAGCCCAGTGGTATTCGCACAGCTAGGCAACACATAAACATGGACCAAGATTAGAAGCAAAGTGTGAGTGTTGTAAAAGGATCTGATATTCCTTTGGTGGGTCTTTAATTTTTCCTAAAAGTGTACTTTAGTTCATAATTGCAACAGCTGGATATGCTTAAATATCCTGCCCAGGATGTGCAAAAGGTGTCGTGAGTGGTGAGGGGGTGAGGAATGCAGCTAAACAGTCAAGCTGCAAACAGTTGCTTACTGGGAGTTTAAAGGCATGAAGACGGAGGGGCCAGTGAGGTCAAATTCAGCTCCAGAAGAAGCCAGCCCCACTTCTGCAGCATAGGGGCTGAGTCTGGGACAGCCCTGGGACCTAACTCTTCCTGGCTATGAGTTTTATTATTTATTTACTTATTTGTAGATACAGAGTCTCACTATGGTGCCCAGGCTGGTCTCGATCTCCTGGGCTCGAGGGATCCTCCCACCTCGGCCTTCCATAGTGCTGGGATTACAGGCGTGAGCCACTTCGTTCAGCTGGCTGTGAGGTTTACATGGACGCATGTAACTGGCCTAGTAAGGAGAGTCAGCCCACAGTGGCAGTTTCACAAATGGTGTCTTGGTGTTGATGTTGTTAACATAATGACTCCTTGGGGTATGGGAAGAAAGGGATTGGAAAAAGAGAAGTGTGTGACCTTAATTGGTCTCTCCTACAGCCTGGGACTTACCCCTTCTGGGACAAAGAATGCCGCACTCCAGGTTGAGCTTCCGTAAAAGGATATCAGGCTCTTTAACCCAGAGTGGGATAAAAGGGCCAATAGCAGAGGCACCAGCCCTGGGTCTGGGTAGAACAACCTCCCACAGGTTCACACGGTTCAGACACCCAAGGCATGCCCACAGGGCCACCCGCTTGTGGTTGCACCCTCCCTCCCTTGCAATTTCCTGTATAGTGGAGGAGGCAGGGATCCCAAGGGGTCCAGCTCTTTGAGAGTTAGACTAACAAACACAGGGAGCTGAGGATACTTCTGGGAATACTGGGCTGTCTTGGCTCCTGGAGGGGAGAAGGGCAGTGAGGCAGAGCCTCAGGGCAAGGCTGGGAACAGATATACCTGCCTAGACCTGGCCTCCACCCCTCCAGGTTAGGCAGCTTCTCTTCACCGGCCTGAAACTCAGTTCTCTTGCCAATACAATAATCATCTTCATGCCAATAAACAGCCCAGTGCCTAGCACATAATAAATGCTGAGTAAGAGATGCCTAAAAAAATGTTTTAAAGGAGAGGGAGTCATTGGACAATGTGGCAGACGTTGCTGGTCTCCCAGCAATGCCCATGTCCCCATGTATCCTGCTAATAGAACTGTGGTTTTGTTCAAAGGGAGGAAGATTACCATGCCCAAGTTCAAGTCAGTCACTACAATGCTGTCCCCAGTTTCTCAATCTGGGAGTGCAGCAGTGAGGCGTGGCCAAAAGACCCAGCTCTGGCCAATAAGATATAAGTGCAATTCTTGGGGTGCAGGCAGAGCTGAGCCATCTCCCTTCTCTTCTTCCTTCCTTGAGCCAAATCGTGGTTCAGGGGCCTAAAGTCGCTGGATGGCAGTCATGAGGCAGTGAGCATGAGGACAAACACCAAACACCAACATGCTAAGGATGGCAGAGCAGAAAGATCGAGTGAGAGCACCTGGCTCCCGGCAGCATCTTTGAGCAGCTGAATTAATGAAAGCAACCAGTTACCACAAAACTTGCTATAATGGGAGGAAAATAGCTCCATGTATGTTTTAATTCACTGTTAGGTCTTTTCAGTTCCTTATAGCTGAGAGCATCCCTAACTCACACAGCAAGACATGAACAGGAAAGCAGACAGGGAGTATGTTGGGAATTTGCAAACACAAGGCGGCTGCCACTGCAGTAAATGCAACAGGCAGACGGGGCCCAGAGTTACCTATTATCCCAGTGACGTAACCCGCCTGCTGCAGCACCTCTGCCAAGGTGGTCTCGTTGAGCGGAAGGCCTCCCACAGAAGTGACTGCAAAGTTGCGTGTGACTCCATTGCGAAGGCCAAGCCGGCCGGTGAGCAAGGAAGCCCGGGAGGGTGAGCAGGTGGAGGCAGCTGCATGGAAATCCACAAACCTGCAGGGAAAGGACAGTGGTCAGGACCGCACCAACCACAGGAAGCCAGAGTAAAAGAAAAGGCAGTGCCCACTCAGTTCCTGCAATTTCAGTGCTCAAAGATCAAAGATCACCCAGTCATGGAACAAGTCAGGAAATGGGATTTCTGGCCAGGCGCGGTGGCTCACCCCTGTAATCCCAACACTTTGAGAGGCCGAGGTGGGAGGATCACCTGAGGTCAGGAGTTCAAGACCAGCCTGGCCAACATGGTGAAACCCCGTCTCTACTAAAAATATAAAAATTAGCTTGGTGCAGTGGCGTGCGCCTGTAGTCCCGGCTACTCAGGAGGCTGAGACAGGAGAATTGCTTGAACCTGGGAGGCGGAGGTTGCGGAGAGCCAAGAGCACGCCACCGCACTCCAGCCTGGGTGACAGGAGCGAGACTCCATCTCAAAAAAGAAAACAAAACAAAACAAAAAAAGGAAATAGGATTTCTGGGTTTCAGGAAAAAGAAACCCAGAGAGGCAACACAAGTAGTCCAAGTTTCCACAACTCATTCAAATGGATTTAATCCAACAAATTCAATCTTATTTATTCGAAGATTCCACATTTCAAATGTGCCTACTTACTAACGTTGTATGTTTTTAATCCCAAAATCAATACTTGAGGTGATTTAGGGTCATTTGCGGATATAGGCAGACCTGCAAAGTTTGAGTAGCTTTGGCGCACACATTCTCAGTGGAGGCTGAAGGAGGTGACCCTCTCCCTTCTGGTTTCAGCTCTCATATCGCACTGTAAACAAATGTCCTCACAGTGTATTTAGAGCCATGGCTTTTGCATTTTTGTGTTTTGTGTTGGTGGTTTCACTGTGGAAAATGGCCCCCAGATGTAGTGCCTAAGTGCTGTGTAGTGTTCCTAAGCACTCAAAGGCTTTGATGTGCCTTATAAAGAAAATGTATGTGTTAGGACCAGGTGCGGTGGCTCACGCCTGTAATCCCAACACTTTGGGAGGCCGAGGCAGGTGGATCACTTGAGGTCAGGAGTTCAAGACCAGCCTGGTCAACATGGTGAAACCCTGTCTCTACCAATAATATTTTTTAAAAAATTAGCTGGGTGTGGTGGCAGGTGCCTGTAACCCCAGCTACTTGGGAGGCCAAGGCAGGAGAATCGCTTCAACCCAGGAGGTGGAAGTTGCAGTGAGCCGAGATCACACCACTGCACTCCAGCCTGGGTGACAGAGCAAGACTCCAACTCAAAAAAAAAAAAACACATACATATATATATGTATATATATATATGTACATAAAATAAGGTATCTTTACACAGCAGCATTCATAAAATACAGTTATATATTAATTTAACTAGTGAATGAAAATATTGTGAACAGATGCCCATAGGAAGCTAACTCCATATTTTCCCTGGGAGCAAAAGAGTCAGTATTCCCCAATTCAGTACTCACGGTGGCTTGATAGAACATAACTATTATCAATAACAAGAATTGACTGAGGTCGGGCGTAGTGGTTCACTCCTTTAATCCCAGCACTTTGGGAGGCTGAGGCAGGTGGATCAACTGAGGTCAGGAGTTGGAGACCAGCCTGGCCAACATGGCGAAACCCCATCTCCACAAAAAATACAAAAATCAGCCAGGCATGGTGGTGCATGCCTGTAACCCCAGCTACTTGGGAGGCTGAGGCAGGAGAATCGCTTGAACCGAGGGGTTGGAGGTTGCAGTGAGCCAAGATCGCGTCACTGCACTCCAGTCTGGACGACAGAGCAAGAGTCTGTATCAAAAAATTAAAAAAAAGAATTGACTGAATCTATTACCTATTACTGTATGCCCAGTCCTTTTTTAGACATTGTTGAGAAATACAAAAGAATTCTAGCCATTATCCTATCCTCAAGGAACATGCAGAAACAAGACATTGAGTGACAAGACGTGAGCAAATGTAAGTCACAACAATGCACAATGGCATGTAATTAAGACCCCAAATAGATGAATAGAGCCACAGGACATGGAGATAAAGAATGCTCTAGGATTGAGATACGGAGAAAGAACTGGATGACGGTCCAAGGTTTAGAGAAATCTCCATAGAGGAAGTGGCACAGAGGTTGGAATCAATCTAAAAGATGGGACTGTTATGAACACTTCAAAAAGCACAAGGAAACACTGAAAGGATACACCAGAAGCTAATAAAAGAATGGTTTCCCACAAGGGGAGGGAGAAACAGTATGTGGAGGGGGAAAGCAAGTATCTCTGGACTATGTTGTTATACAGTTTGACTTTCGTACCTTGTAAACGTTTGACATGGCCAAAAAGTAGAATTAAACCACAAGGGGAAAACAAGCAGACCCTATAATTAAAAAACAAAAAACAAAAAACGCTGAAACAAATAAATCCAATCATATAATAAACAGTAATATGACCACACAGAGGAAAGAATCATTTCAAGTAATATCAGCACCCAGTGTTCTGGCTGTACAATATTAATGGGATATAATCTAAGGACAAAGAGAACCACAAAAAAAGCTTAAACTTCACTCAGTAGCTGTTCCACTGGTGGCAATATTGGGTTCAGGATTTTGAAACGATTTTATGTGATATGGTAGAGTAAAGCAAACAAGTAATTATATTAATGTTCCTAATCAGGAACCGAGATTTCCAGGGTAAAAGGTAAAGATATAAAATAAAAGAAGATAATAAAAAACCTATAATGTTAAAATTAATATAGAAGTCATTATGAACTCATGCTTTTTAAAAATACAGATCTCCCAGCTACTATCTGCTGAAAGGGCCTAGAATCATTGACACGCCTGTGGCAATGAGGATACTACACCTCTATCTTTGTTTTAAACCCCATCCTGCAATAAAAGGAATTGGCTCTCCTTTGAGAAATAGTTAATTGCAGATTTGAGGAAGGAGAAGTACCAGGGGAGTCTGGGACATCTGCTTGTGCCAGGAAGCAAAGAAAGACCCAAGAGTCAACTTCGAGGGGCTCCTCCTGGCCAAACTTGGGACAATGTGGGCATCAAAAAACAATTAGGCCTGGCGTGGTGGCTCACACCTGTCATCCCAGCACTTTGGGAGGCTGAGGCAGGTGGATCACTTGAGGCCAGGAGTTCGAGACCAGCCTGGCTAACATGGCGAAACTCCGTCTCTACTAAAAATACAAAAAAATAGCCGGACATGGTGGCACACGCCTGTGATTCCAGCTACTCAGGAGGCTGAAGCATGAGAACTGCTTGAACCTGGGAGGCAGAGGTTGCAGTGAGCCGAGATCGCACCACTGTACTCCAGCTTGGGAGACAAAGCAAGACTCAGTCACACACACACACACAAAAAGAACAATTAGTGTATTTGATTGTAAGCCATGAATAAATAAAAATCCATTAGTCCATACTGACACTCAGAAAAATTCATTTACCACCATTAGAAAAGAATGTTATGCCAACTCCACACCCTAAAAATTCGTAATTAAACATTCATCTTGACACTTTAGAAGGACCACAGTCATCACTAGGTGATGAGAGAAAGCACTCCTTTTCAGAAGGATGCCAGGCAGTCAGATGCAAGGAAGGGATGGCAGGCTCAGGAAATCACCATTTTTGCAACCCCACCTCCACCTCACCCAACCCTCATCTATTTTCTTTTTTCTTTGGTGCAGCCAAATCAACCCATCCCCCAGCTAATAGCTGATGATCAGTGGATGTGTTGGGAGTGGTTGTTCAGAGTGTCAACCGCGGAGCATCATAAATTGGACAGAGCTGGCGATCCCCACCTTATAAAATGATTAAGTTTAGTGTCATGCACAACGGGTACCCTGACCTCGTACATCTCCTGATGGGATGCAAGATGAAGTTTATAAAATCAAGGATTCTTGCCAAAAGCGTTTACCCTGAATCTAATCAAACCTCTAGATCTAATTTCCAGGTTACAGGAAATACAGCTCATAGAAAAACAAATTAAATGACACCACAAGGAAGTAATTTAACAAACCAGTATTTTGATATTCTACAAGAAAACTGGTCTAGTCTCTTCAAAAAGTCAGTATCATGGGATAAAATGGGATTGGGGTGGGTAGTAACCTACATTAAAGCCATTAAAGAGACAAAACCAAATGTAACATGTGATCCTTGATTGGCCTGCAGTTCACATAAACTAGCAATACGTTTGAGGATAATTAAGGGAATTTTAATACAGACCCAATGTAAGACATCAGGGAATTTTTGTTCATTTTCTGAGTATAATAACAGTATTATAGGCATATGGAAGAATAATATTCCTCTTTTTTATTTTTTTAATTTTAATTTTTATTTATTTTTCTCTTTTTGAGATACAGTCTCGCTCTGTCGCCCAGGCTGGAGTGCAGTGGTGCGATCTCGGCTCACTGCAACCTCCACCTCCCAGGTTCAAGCGATTCTTCTGCCTCAGCCTCCCAACTGAGAGCTGTAGCTGGGACTACAGGCACGCGCCACCACGCCCGGCTACAAAGTGGCTAATTTTATCTTATGTATATATCACTTCATTTAAAAAAAAAAAATCCTACAAACTGAGTGGAGAATGCTCAAAGAGAATCTCTTAGGCAGGGGCCTTGGCCCCTTAAGCTGGCTGTCAGGAGGTCTTCAGGAGAGAAAGCTACTGATTTATAACAAAGGGATTCATTTATCATTTCACTCATTCCAAAAATATTTACTGAGCAGCAACAGCTACTGGGGCAGACCCTGTAATCCATGTTAAGGAAGCAAAGAAACAGTCCCTATACTCAATGACCTTCCAGTTTCATTTTCAAACGAAAGTCCAAGGAGGTCGTTTCCATTTTACAACGAATAGTTATAACCATTTTTTAGCTTGAACTACGAACAGGGCGCTTTACATGTGCTAAGTCATTTAATGGCATTAAATGCCCCTCCTGGGAGAGCCCTAGGATGGGCTCATATAAGGATTCCCATATATAGATGAAGAAACTGAGGCAGGGGGAGGTTAAAGACCTTGCCTCACACTGCTGGAAGGGGTAGAGCCACAATTTGTATCCAGGCAAATCCAGTCCATGCTCCTGGCCGTGGCACTATGCAGTCAGGTATCCAAGGGCACACCCTGGGACTCAGGCGTGTCTGATTCCAAATCCTATGCAGGTGCCATTAAACCATGCTGCCTCTACTAAGAACTCCAGAAGCTTGTCTTGAAAGTTGAAGGGAAGGGGCAGGGGAGACTCGCCCACTCCACAGCCAGTCTTGGAAGGAGGAAACTGAGATAAAGTGAAGTTTTAAAGCGGAGAGGAAAATGTGCCCAGTCCCCCTGGCCTAATGTAAGGGAGGACAGAAAAATGAATTTGGTTTGGGCATGAGAAGAGACCTTGAGGCTTAACCATCCAAAGACAGGTGTGGGACACCCACACGCGCACACACACACTAAAAACACACATGCATGCACACACACACACACATCTTCAAATACAGCTCAATGTGAACGGAGGAAAGTACTAACTGGGCCTGGGGAAGGCCTCTTGAAATCAGATGACACAACACTGGAATGATCTATTCAGGGAAGCCAGTTTTTCAAGGTTTTTATACCCTAAAAACCATCTAGAGAAAAACCAGGCACCTGAATGCCTGGGGGGTTTTCCTCGGAGACCTGCCTGAAACAGAAGTTTCCTGGAGCGAGCGGTGCTGGGATTCTAGGAATGTATGCTTTTGGAAAGAAGAGTTTCTGCTGGCCGGGCGCAGTGGCTCACACCTGTAATCCCAGCACTTTGGGAGGCCAAGGCAGGCGGATCACCTGAGGTTGGGAGTTCGAGACCAGCCTGACCAACATGGAGAAACCCCGTCTCTACTAAAAATACAAAATTAGCCGGGCGTGGTGGCACATGCCTGTAGTCTCAGCTACTCGGGAGGCTGAGGCAGGAGAATCACTGGAATCCAGGGGACAGAGGTCGCGGTGAGCTGAGACCGTGCCATTGCCCTCCAGCCTGGGCAACAAGAGCGAAACTCCACCTCAAAACAATAAATAAATAAATAAATAAATAGAAGCGTTTCTGCTTAGCTTCCTAATCTCCAGGTGCCTGTTCAGGGTCATGATCATCCAGACAGCACCTTGTTTCTGGAAACCTTCCTCCTTCGCCTTCCAGGAGACCTGTCTTCATCCTCCTTTGGCCTCCCTGATGGCTGCTGTTCTCCCTCCACTGTGGGCCTGTCTTCTTTTGTCCACATCTAAGATGTTGGAATGTGCCCAGGCTCCCTCCCCAGCCCTCTTTTTACTTCTAGTCCACTCACACACTCTGGGAAGTCTCAGACAGCCCCACTCTCTAAACTAATGCCTAAAAGCTGATGATCTCCAAATCCGTATTTCCAGTTCAGACTTCATGTGGGGACCACCTTCGCTCCCCTCCCCTCCCGAACATCTCTTCTTGGCACCTTAAACGCAATAATCCAGGGCTGCCCTCAGTGTTTCCCCTCCAAAATTGCTCCCATCTGCCATCTGGGGAGCAGTGCCACCACCATCCACCCCACATCCCAGCAGAGAACCCATCAGGGCTGCCTAGACGCTTCACTCCCGCTCATTCTCCATGTCAGGTGGTCACCAAGTTCTATCAAGTCTCCCAGATCTGTCCTCCCTCTCTTCCACCCACTATCACGGCCTCCATAGAGGTCCTTAGGAGCTAGAGTCAAGGTTATTACAGGAGCCTGATCTTCCTGTCACCTCAGGTCACCCTCCACACTAGTACAAATATTTTTCTTTCTTTTTCTTATTTATTTGTTTATTTATTTATTTATTTGAGACAGAGTCTCATTCTGTTGCCCAGGCTAGAGTGCAGTGATGTTGCAATCTCAGCTCACTGCAACCTCCACCTCCTGGGTTCAAGTGATTATCCTACCTCAGCCTCCTGAGTACCTAAGATTATAGATGCACGCCACCATGCTCAGCTAATTTTTATACTTTTAATAGAAACGGGATTTTGCCATGTTGGCAAGGCTGGTCTCAAATTCCTGGCCTCAAGTGATCCTCCCGCCCTGGCCTCCCAAAGTGCTGGGATTACAGGCATGAGCCACTGTGCCCAACCCAAATGTTTTTCCATAATGCGAATTTGATCACACTAATCCCTTACTGAAAAACATGATCTTGGCCAGGTGTGGTGGTTCACGCCTGTAATCCCAGCATTTTGGGAGGCCAAGGTGGGTGGATCACTTTAGGTCAGGAGTTCAAGACCAGCCTGGCCAACATAGTGAAACCCTGTCCCTACTAAAAATACAAAAATGAGCCAGGTGTGGTGGCGGGTGTCTGTAGTCCCAGCTACTCAGGAGACTGAGGCAGGAGAACCGCTTGAATCTGGGAGAAGGAGGTTGCAGTGAGCTGAGATCGTGCCACTGCACTGCAGCCTGGGCGACAGAGTGAGAGTCTGTCTAAAAAAAAAGAAAGAAAAGAAAAGAAAGAAGACCAGGCACGGTGGCTGACACCTGTAATCCCAGCACTTTGGGAGGCCGAGGCAGGCAGATCACCTGAGGTCAGGAGATCAAGACCATCCTGGCCAACGTAGTGAAACCCCGTCTCTACTAAAAATACAAAAATTAGCCAGGTGTGGTGGTGGGTGTCTGTAGTCCCAGCTACTTGGGAGGCTGAGGCAGAAGAATCGCTTGAAACTGGGAGGCAGAGGTTGCAGTGAGCTCAGATAGCACCACTGCACTCCAGCCTGGGTGGCAGAGTGAGACTCCATCTCAAAAACAGAAAAGAAAAACACGATATTGCTCTTCTTGCTTCTCTGGGCTTATCTGCTGCCCCGATGCCTGCACCTCCTTTGCTTCCAACACACCACATTACTCCCATGCATCTGTGCCTTCGCACACGCTGTTCTCCCCACTGGGAATGTCTCTCCCCACTATCCTACCTTCCATTCATTGGCAAATCCCAGCTGTCTTCAAGGCCTAGTTCAAATGTTCCAATGTTAGCACCTCGATGACATCCTCCCTGATCTCTCCTCCTGCAACCTATCTGCCACGCCCCAATACCCGCACAGAAGCGGGGTCTCCCTTCTCCATGTAATTATATACCATTTGACATATATCTTTTTTTTTTTTTTTTTGAGATGGAGTCTCGCTCTGTTGCCCAGGCTGGAGGGCAGTGGCATGATCTCGGCTCACTGCAAGCTCCGCCTCCTGGGTTCACGCCATTCTCCTGTCTCAGCCTCCCGAGTAGCTGGGACTACAGGCGCCCGCCACTACGCCCGGCTAATTTTTTTGTATTTTTAGTAGAGACGAGGTTTCTCCGTGTTAGCCAGGATGGTCTCAATCTCCGGACCTTGCGATCCACCCGTCTCGGCCTCCCAAAGTGCTGGGATTACAGGCATGAGCCACCTGGCCGACATATCTCTTATAACACTCAACTACAACAGTGATAATTGCTTGAGTCCAGGAGTTCGAGACCCAGCCTGGGCAATATAGGGAGACTCCCGTCTCTACAAAATATTTAAAAATTAGCCAGGTGTGGTGATACATACCTGTAGTCCCAGCTACTTGGGGGGCTGAGGCGGGAGGATGGCTTAAGCCCAGGAGTTAGAGGCTGCAGTGAATCATGATCGCACCACTGCACTCCAACCTGGGTGACAGAGTGAGACCCTGTCTCAACAAATAAATAAATAAATAATAAAGGCCACTAATGCTTTGACATGCCTCCCATTGAGAGGTGGGGTCTATGTCCCCTCCCCTTGAATCTGCATGGGTTCTGTGACTGCAGTGACCAACAGAATAATGTGGCAGTGAGTGACCCTACATGCCAGTTTCTGGGCTCAGGCCTTACAAGACTGGCAGCTTCTACCTCCTGTCTGGAAACACTCTGTGAGCCGCCATATAAGAAGCTGAACCACCCAGAGACCATCACGTTGCAGAGGCCGTCTGTAGGTCCTCTGGCCGGTGACTCCAGCTCAGACCTTCCCCGTGGAGATGTCCGCCATAGGAGCAAGGCCATCTCAGACCTCCCAGCCTGACCATCTGCTTGCTACACTCCACGAGGCGACCTTAGTCAACGCCCAGTACTAAAGAATTGCCCAACCAAGGAGTGCCTGAATTCCTCACCGCAAAGATCATGGGCTCTAAGAAAATGGTTGTTGCTTGAACCTAAGGTTAGGGCTGGCTTGTTACTCAGCAATACACAGCCAGAAGAATGTCTGTGTCTCTCATAAGATAAGGTTTGGTTCACTATGAAGTCTCCAGCACAGCAAAGAATAAATGGGGTGCTACCAAATGTGTGCTGATTGGGTGACGCCACTGTCCTCTTTGCTTTCGTACCACATAACAAGGCTTGCTAAAGAGACCTGGGCCTCAGTCCCAGAAGATGGGTTCATTCCCTGATGCTGTTTTTCAAGGTGACAAACAGCAATGGACATCATCAGAGAGCAGTGAAATTGCACTGTGAGATCCCAGTCCTGTCCATCTGGAAGCCTGGCCTGGCCTTGAAACCAAATCTTAGAAGCAGGCCATTGATCCCTCTTTCTGCCAGAATGAGGGAAGGGAAGGTGTGTGCGCCAACATATGCACTGACAGGTTGGGTGAGGTCCTCCCTCCAGAACCTCAGGGAGCTCCTGGCGCCACCCCGGCCAGCTCTTCCTTCCTGAACCATCAGTCTCCTGGAGGCTAGAAGAAACACTGCAGGCTTTCTTCCCTCCATCACTGGGGGCCTTGGGTAAAATTCCCTAGGCACAGGTTTCTTTCAAAGCGTCCCTGGCAGCCACACGTATTGGGACCACCAGGACCCAACTTCTGAGCCCAGGATGTGGATGTGGCTGGTAGCTAGTAACTGCTACCCTTTGATGTCCAAATCGAGTTCTAGCTATTGCTCACAACTTTGCTCCCCAAATATTCATCTCTACCCAGCTTTTTCTGTTCCCTTCCTCCTGAGACTGAAGCACAAGGATCCTCTTGGCTCACACTCCTAAACATTCCTTATAACAACTCTTATTACTCTTTTATTATTATTATTATTATTATTATTATTATTATTATTATTATTTTTGAGACAGAGTTTTGCCCTTGTTGCCCAGGCTGGAGTGCAATGGCACGATCTCGGCTCACTGCAACCTCCACCTCCCGAGTTCAAGCGATTCTCCTGCCTCAGCCTCCCAAGTAGCTGGGATTACAGGCGTACACCACCATGCTCGGCTAATTTTGTATTTTTAGTAGAGATGGGGTTTTGCCACTGTTGGCCAGGCTGGTCTCGAACTCCTGACCTCAGGTGATCCGCCCGCCTTGGCCTCCCAAAGTGCTAGGATTACAGGCGTGAGCCACCACGCCCGGCCTCTTATTACTCTTTTATTTTTTTTGAGACGGAGTCTCGCTCTGTCGCCCAGGCTGGAGTGCAGTGGCGCGATCTCCCTTCGCTGCAAGCTCTGCCTCCCACGTTCACGCCATTCTCCTACCTCAGCCTCTCGAGTAGCTGGGACTACAGGTGTCTGCCCCCATGCCTGGCTAATTTTTTGTTGTTGTTGTTGTATTTTTAGTAGAGACGGGGTTTCACCATGTTAGCCAGGATGGTCTCAATCTCCTGACCTCATGATCCACCCACCTCAGCCTCCCAAAATGCTGGGATTACAGGCGTGAGCCACTGGGCCCAGCCCTCTTATTACTCTTATAGCTGACATTTATGCAACACTTACTATAATCCAGGCACTTTTCCAAGCACTTCACATACATTAAGTCATAAGCTTCTGTTGCCCCTGGCTTCATTTTGGTCAGAATTTGTAGCTCTGTACAAGCTGGCCCAAGCTTACTGGTGTTGTCTCTTTATCCACCACAGCATAACCAGCTTCAAAATTCATGGAACCCAGTAAAATATGAAAATGCAGGGTCAGGTGTTGCAGGAAGTCAGGGACCCCGAACGGAGGGACTGGCTGAAGCCATGGCAGAAGAACATAAATTGTGAAGATTTCATGGACATTTATTAAGTTCTCCAAATTAATACTTTTATAATTTCTTATGTCTGTCTTTACTGCAATCTCTGAACATAAATTGTGATGATTTCATGGACATTTATTAGTTCCCCAAAATTATACTTTTATAATTTCTTATGCCTGTCTTTACTGCAATCTCTTAACATCAATTGTGAAGATTTCATGGACACTTATCACTTCCCCAATCAATACTCTTGTGATTTCCTATGCCTGCCTTTAATCTCTTAATCCTGTCATCTTTGTAAGCTGAGGATGAATGTCGCCTCAGGACCCTGTGATGATTGCATTAACTGCACAAATTGTTTAAACAATATGAAATCTGGGCATCTTGAAAAAAACAGGGTAACAGCGATGTTCAGGGAACAAAGGAGATAACCTTAAAGTCTGGCTGCCTGTGGGCTGGGCGGAACAGAGCTATATTTCTCTTCTTTCAAAAGCAAATAGGAGAAATATCGCTGAATTCTTTTTCTCAGCAAGGAACATCCCTGAGAAGCAGAATGCGTTCCCAAGGGGAGGTCTCTAAAATGGCCACTTTGGGAATGTCTGTCTTTCACGGTTGTACATAAAGGATGAAATAATCCCCGGTCGCCCGTAGTGCTCCCAGGCTTATTAGGACGAGGAAATTCCCACCTAATAAATTTTGGTCAGACCGGTTGTCTGCTCTCAAACCCTGTCTCCTAATAAGATGTTATCAATGACAATGCATGTCGGAAACTTCATTAGCAATTCTAATTTTGCCTCGGTCCTGTGATCTCGCCCTGCCTCCATTTGCCTTGTAATATTCTATTACCTCGTGAAGCATGTGATCTCTGTGACCCACACCCTATTCGTACACTCCCTCCCCAAGCTTGCTGGTTTTGTGGCTTGGGGGCATCACGGAACCTGCCAACATGTGATGTCTCCCCCGGACACCCAGCTTTAAAATTTCTCTGTTTTGTACTCTTTCCCTTTATTTCTCAGACTGGCTGACACTTAGGGAAAATAGAAAAGGACGCACGTGAAATATCAGGGGCTGAGTTTCCCCCAATAGTCAGGCCAGGCACAGTGGCTCATGCCTGTAATCCTAGCACTTTGGGAAGCCGAGGTAGGCGGATTGTCTGAGCTCAGGAGTTCAAGACCAGCCTGAGCAACACAGTGAAACCTTGCCTTTGCACCAGGCGCAGTGGCTCACGCCTGTAATCCCAGCACTTTGGGAGGCCAAGGCGGGCAGATCATGAGGTCAGGAGATCAAGACCATCCTGGCTAACACGGTGAAACCCCGTCTCTACTAAAAATACGAAAAATTAGCCAGGCAAGCTGGTGGGCGCCTGTAGTCCCAGCTACTCCAGAGGCTGAGGCAGGAGAATGGCATGAACCCAGGAGCTTTCAGTGAGCCGAGATTGTGCCACTACACTCCAGTCTGGGTGACAGAGCAAGACTCTGTCTCAAAAAAAGAAAGAAAGAAAGAAAGAAAGAAAGAAACAAAGAAAGAAAGAAAGAAAGAAAGAAAGAAAGAAAGAAAGAAAGAAAGAAAGAAACCCTGTCTTTGCTAAAATACAAAAAATTAGCTGGATGTGGTGGTGGGCGCCTATAGTCCCAGCTACTCGGGAGGCTGAGACACGAGAATTGCTTGAACCCAGGAGGCAGATGTTGCAGTGAGCTGAGATCATGCCACTGCACTCCAGCCTGGGTGACAGAGTAACACTCTGTCCCCGCCCACCACCTCCCCCCCCCCCCGCAAAAAAAAAGAAATAAAGAAAAGTAAAGAAAAGAAAAAGGTAAAGAAAATGCAGCGTCCCTGGTTCAAGAATCACTAAAAATTTTAAGACAGAGACAGCAAAGCCTGCAACCAAGCACAGGGTCTAAGTGTGCAACTGCCCAGGCCACAGTGCCCCTAAAGCTAGCCCTCCACAATGCCATCAGCCTTGTCTTAAATCTCTCAGCCCAATGGGCTTCCCAGGCCAGGAGAAAACTGCTTGTTGGTCTCAGGGCCCCAGACAGCGCTCCCATGTGGCATGTGGTTGCTTCCTTTGCCAGTTTCTGCAAGTTTATCTGGGCTTTCTTTAGATTTTTCCCTACATACCAGCTATTCCTATACCAATCTTCCCTCTCAGTAAATAGCACCCCCCACCCTGTCACTCAAGTCACAGTCATCTGAGGTTTCTCTCATTCCCTCCTGCCTCTCCACAGCTAAATTATTAGCATGTCCTATCAACTCAACTTCCAAATATATCCAGAATCTATCCATTTCTCTCCATCTATCTGCTCATGTCCTGGTCCAAGCTACCACCACCTTGTACCCAGATCCTAGGGCCATCATGTCAAACAACCCAAGGGCCACCATTCACACCACAGTCCAGAGGTGAGCAATATACAGTCTCCCCAGCTATAAGTGGCAGCCCTACTTACTCCCCACTTCCAATTCCTGTCTCCAATTCCCCCTCCCCTCATTTTCCATGGTGCATCCAAAGTCATCTTTAAACTTTTTCTTTTTCTTTTTTTTTTTGAGATGGAGCCTCACTCTGCCACCCAGGCTGGAGTGCAGTGGCTCGATCTCAGCTCACTACAACCTCCACTTCCAGGGTTCAAGTGGTTCTCCTGCCTCAGCCTCCCAAGTAGCTGGGATTACAGGCACATGCCACCACACCCAGCTAATTTTTGTATTTTTAATAGAGACAGGGTTTCACCATGTTAGCCAGGCTGGTCTCGAACCCCCAACCTCAGGTGATCCACCCGTCTTGGCTTCCCAAAGTGCTGGGATTTCAGGAGTGAGCCACCACACCCAGCGTCTTTGAAAATGATTATCACCTAGCATGAGTACATACAGCCCAGGATAGCTTGAATGCGGCCCAACACAAATTCATAAACTTTCTTAAAACATTGATTTTTTTGTGATTTTTTTTAGCTTATCAGTTATCGTTAATGTTAGAGTATTTTATATGTGGCCCAAGACAATTCTTCTTCCAACATGGCCCAGGGAAGCCAAAAGATTAGACACCCCTGCGATTAGTCCCTGGCTGGAAACCCTTTCATGGGTTCTTATTGCAGTCAAAGCAAATTCGAAGTCAGCACGGTCTACAGGCCCTCCATCACAGCCTCCCAGCAGGGGAGCTGGAGCACAGTTAGGCCCAAATGAACCAAAAGTTTTCTTAGACTGTGCTCATCTCAGCCCCTGGGGCAGCCAGTGGGGCCTGGGGCAACTCGAGGCACCAGAGCTGTCCAATGTGGGCTCTGTCTGTTACCCGCCCAGCTCCACGGAAAGCAGTCCCCTTACAGCACAATGTGGAGACAGCCCTCCACTGCCAGCCTCAGTGGAGGTCCTTGGAAAGGGGCACAAATATCACTAATTTCCAGATGTGACATGACACGGGAAAGGTGGGAACTCACCACCCCAGTGATCTGGACCCTGTGTGGCATCAAACCCCTCCTCCCCAAGCTCTCTCCCGTCCAGCCAGACAAGGTGAGTTGCTTTTTCTAGAACACCCCCAGCTGGTTCTGGCCTCAGGCCCTTTTCTTGTTCCCTCTGTCCTAATCACTCTGCTCTGGTCTCCACATGGCTGGCCCCTCTTGGTCAGCTGGACTTCAGCTCTCATTTCACCTCCTGGGGAGGTCTCCCTGACCCGGCTACACCCGCAGCAGCACTGTTCGAGTTTGTCCCTAACCCTTATCATATCTGACTTTATCTTGTTCAGGGATTTGTCTTTTTGCTGCTGCTGGCTCCCTTATCCAGATTAGAGTTCCACAAGAGCAGAGGTATGTCTGCCTAGTCTCATCACTGCCCTGGGGTGTAATTCCAGACCTCAAGAATGCTGTTTTTCCACCATCAGCAGCTCAGGTCCTGCACTCTACCTCGTAAGACCTGTTTCTTCCAGTCTGGTGGGAAAGCCATAGCCTGCATCGACACTGGCTTCCTCAGCTGGGTTCTCTGCAGGTCCCATGACTTCATCCCTCCAGCATCTAGGCATGTAGACCTGAAGACACCACTGGACATCCCTCCCTTTGTTCATCTCTCTGCCTCCAAACAGACACATGCGTATCACCTGCCATCTCAAACCTTTCACCTACAAGCTCCTGGTCTAGTTCAACCAACCACGACAGAGCTAGCTGGGGAGCTACAGCCCTTTCCATCAACGAGTTTATACTCTAGCAGAACTGTCATATGTGGATAATAAGAGAAAATAAGATGAGCCCTATCTGAGAAATACAAAGAAAATGCTATGGGAGGCAGAGTGATAAGAAAATTAAAGGCACGGAAAGACAAGCCTGGGTCCAAATACGACCCCAACTCTGTCTAGTGTGAGACTAGACAGGTAACTCAATCTAAGCCTCAGTTATCTTCTTCTGCAAAATGGGCATAATCAGACCTATCTCATCAAGTTATTTGAAGAATTCCATAAGGTGATGTACATAAAGTAATTAGCAAAGCATCCAGCACAGAGTAGGTTTTTAAAATTCATGGCAGGCAACATGATGACTGCCATCACCAGCTAAATGGGAGAAAGAGAACATTTCAGTGTGTGGAGGGGCAATAAGTGAGCGGGATGTGAGTGGATGGAACTCTGGGGGTGAGTGGCATTTCGATGCTGCTGCTGCTATCCTGGTATCATGTACACTGCCACACGTATGTCACATGTCAACTCAGACTCAACATGCACTGAACCAAGCTCAGCATTCTCCCTCCAAAAGCTGTGACCACCCCCTCCTGGTCAAGCAGTGGCACTGAGGCAGTAGAGACCAAGGCATTATCTTCAAGTCTCTCTGCCACTTCCTGCATCCTTCAGATCCTCCTCATTCCCAATGACGCCACCCAGGATCAAAATGATGGTTGTCCCTCACCCGAAGCACTCTCTCTAACCCATGGTAGCACGCTGATTGGTCATGCCATTTTGTAGCCCCAAGTCTCAGCCACCATAACCCGTCATGCTCTGGCTCAACCTACCTATCAGCCTCTGAGCCATGGCTGCTTGCTGTGGGTTGGGCTGCGTCCCCCCAAAAGATATGTTGAAGTCCTGAGCCCTCTACCTTAGAATGTGAATGTAATTAGAAAAAGGGTGATTGCAGAGGTAATTTTAAGTTAAGATGAGATTATACCGAAGTAGAGTGGGTCTTGATGCAATGTAACTGTTGTCCTTATTTTAGAAGAGCAGAGAGACACAGAGAAGAGAATGCTGCGAAGACACAGAGACACACAGAGGGAAGATGGCCATGTGAAGAAGAGGCAGAGATGAAAATGATGCCAGCACAAGCCAAGGAATGCCTGGAGCTACCAAAAGCTGGAAGAGGAAAGGAAGGAACTTCTCCTAGCGCTGTGGAGGGAGTGTGGCTCTGCCAACACCTTGATCTTGAACTTCTAGACTCCAGCATTGTAAGATAATATATTTTGGTGGTTGTAAGCTACTCAATTTGTGGTACTGTGTTACAGCAGGCCTCAAAACGAGTACACCTCCCTGCGTGTCTCCAGGGTCCAGCTCAACAGTATTCTTTTTCCTGGAACATCTGGAATCCCTCCCTCCCCCACGCCCCACTCAACTCTCCAGCTCAACATGTTAACTCTGTTGTATCTCTGCTAAATAATGCATTACCCTCTTCTTGCCCTTCCAAACTCCTACTTGTCCTTCAGAACCTACTATTATCACAAAGTCTTTCCTTACCCTCCAGGAGGATAAGCCCTGACTTTGACTTCGGAAGCACGTGAAACTGTCTTGCAGCCTTTTCATGTCTAATGTAGACATCTGCCTGTTGTCTGAGCACTGACTATTGCTACCATCAGTTGTGTTTTGCTGTAGAGCATCCACTCTTTCTCTGGCCACTCCTTCCACATGACTCATGGGGCTGCTGACGACTGTTGCTTGATGCACAACCACCCACCCCAACCCACCACAAGAAGTATTAGTTTCCAGGTGTGACACAACACGGGAAAGGTGGGAACTTGCCACCTCAGTGATCTGGACCCCGTTTGGCATCAACTCCCCTCCTCCCCAAGCTCTCTCCCCTCCAGCCAGACAAGGTGAGTTGCTTTTACTTTCTGCTTTTTTTGTTTGTTTGTTTTTTAGACGGAGTTTCGCTCTTGTCACCCAGGCTGGAGTGCAATGGCACGATCTCGGCTGACCACAACCTCCGCCTCCCAGGTTCAAGAGATTCTTCTGCCTCAGCCTCCCAAGTAGCTGGGACTATAGGCATGGGCCACCACGCCTGGCTAATTTTTGTATTTAGAGTAGAGACGGAGTTTCACCATCTTGGCCAGGCTGGTCTCAAACTCCTGACCTCAAGATCCATCCACCTGGGCCTCCAAAAGTGCTGGAATTACAGGTGTGAGCCACCGCGCCAGGCTGAGTTGTTTTTTCTAGAACACTTCCAGCTGGCTCTGGCCTCAGGCCCTTTTTGTGTTCCCTCTGTCCTGATCACTCTGCTCTGGTCTCCACAGGGCTGGCCCCTCCTGGTCAGCTGGGCTTCAGCTCTCATTTCGCCTCCTGGGGAGATCTCCCTGACCCGGCTACACCTGCAGCAGCACTGTTCGAGTTTGTCCCTAACCCTTATCATATCTGACTTTATCTTGTTCAGGGATTTGTCTTCTTGCTGCTGCTGGCTCCCTTATCTAGGTTAGAGTTCCACAAGAGCAGAGGTATGTCTGCCTAGTCTTGTCACTGCCCTAGGGTATAATTCCAGACCTCAGGAACGCTGTTTCTCCACCAACAGCAGCTCGGGTCCTGCACTCTACCTGGTGAGACCTAATGATAGTTTCCCATGTAATGTCCCACCTGGATACTAATGCAGTGTGGGACTCCACTGCATGCTAATCAAACTAGCACAAGCTTCTGTCCTTGGTGAACTGGCCCATGACCCATGAGCCAAGCAGGGCTATTGTGAATTTAAACTTGGAATTTTCTGAACCAGAGAATGAGAAATAGCTCTTTTCTCCCCCTCTGGAATATCAAGCTATAAGCAGGCAACCCCAGAAGGGTAAGGGCTTCCTTGACTATCACATGGAGGAACTTGAAAGAATGGGCCAACTGGCTCAGAAGCACAGAGGAAAAAATGGAGGCTCTCAGGGGCTTAGTTCAAGAGCCCCACCTGTGCCTCTTTTGTGTTTAGGTTGATTGAGTTGGGTTTCCGTCACTTACAACCAGAGAGTCCTGGCTATTATACTGTAGGTCAGCTATCCCCCACCTTCCTGGTACCAGGGACCAGTTTCATGGAAGACAGTTTTTCCACAGACAGGGGTTGGGAGGGATGGTTTCGAGATGATTCAAATGCATTACATTTATTGTGCACTTTATTTCTATTATTATTATATTGTAATATATAATGAAATAATTACACAACTCACCATAATGTAGAACAAGTGGGAGCCCTGAGCTTGTTTTCCTGCAACTAGATGGTCCCATCTGGGGGTGATGGGAGCCACTGACAGATCATCAGGCATTAGATTCTTATAAGGAACATGCAACCTAGATCCCTCACATGGGCAGTTCACAATAGGGCTCGCACTCCTGTGAGAATCTAATGCCGCTGTTGATCTGACAGGAGGCGGAGCTCAGGCGGTAATGCAAGCGATGAGGAGTGGCTGTAAATACAGATGAAGCTTCACTCACATGCCGCTCACCTCCTGCTGTAGGGCCCAGCTCCTAACAAGTCATGGACTGGTACAGTGGCCTGGGGGTTGAGAACCCCTGCTGTAGGTGATCCAGGATATATCAATGAACAAGACAAATCCCTGCCCTCAAGCTGCTCACTGGTCAGTGAGGGAGGTGGATAATTTCATTATGTAAGAGGATTTGGGAAACATGAAGCACAGGATGTTCTCAAAGGGCACCAAGTGTGTATACCTGTGTGTTGGGAAAGCATTTCCCAAAAGAAGTTAAGTGTAAGCTGAGACCTAAGGTATAAATAGGCATTAGCGTTGTCTTATAGTAACAAAAATATCTAACACGTACCAAGTGGCTACTACTCTACTCATGTTACACATATTTCTAACTTTTAAAACACTCTGTAAAACAGGCATCCAAATTCCCATTCTACAGAGAAGGAAGCTGAGGCAGAGAGAGTTTAAATAGCTTTCCAAGACTACATAGCTGGTATGAGCTCAGTGCATCTTATGCCAAGGCCTGTCTCATCACGGTGCCATATTGAAGACTGCAGACCCCTACAGGGAGGAAATGGCAAAGCCAGAATTTGAACCCAGGCCTTTCCAACCCAAATTCCTATGCCCTTTCCACTACAGCCACGCGAGGGAAGGTTGTCTGGAGCTGGGCCGGTCCGCAGGAGGTATCGTATTAACTAGGTCATCGTGTTACAGGAGCCAGTCTTTGGCTGGGAAGGTCCTGAGAGTCATGCTTGGTGGTGCCAGCCCCGAGAGCCTGACTCACATCCACACAAACCATGTGAGCCCAAGAAAGAGGCAGGAATGCCCACGACCCATCTGACTTCCAAGGATGGGTACAGGAACCAGAATGTCAGCGTGGTCAACATGTTTTCTTCCTGTGCACAAGCTACACAGGAAATCAGAATCTGAAGTTTGCCTTAGTGAGTGTGGACTTCGTTAATGCTAAGAGAATTCAAATGGAGCATCAAAAAAGTCCTTTACTTTGTGAAGCTTGAGGGCCTTTTCTCTACTGTAGATTAACTTTTTTTTTTTTTTTTTTTTTGATGGAGTTTTGCTCTGTTAACCAGGCTGGAGTGCAGTGGCATGATCTCAGCTCACTGCAACCTCCACTTCCCAGTTTCAAGCAATTCTCCTGCCTCAGCCTCCCAAATAGCTGGGATTACAGGCACCCGCCACCACACCTGGCTAATTTTTGTATTTTTACTAGAGATGGGGTTTCGCCATGTTGGCCAGGCTGGTCTCGAACTCCTGACCTCAGGTGATCCACCCGCTTCGGCCTCCCAAAGTGTTGGGATTACAGGCATGAGCTACAGCACCCAGCCTGTGGATTGATCTTTGACAGTGGGTCTGGGATACTCAAAGGCTGTTGAGCCACCATTTCCTCTTGCCTGGTTCCATGGACTGAATGTTTGTGTCCCTCCGAAATTCATATGTGGAAACCCGAATCCCCAGTGTGTCCATATGTGGACATGGGCCCTTTAGGTGGTAATTAGATTTAGATAAGGTTATGAGGGTTCCATCAGCTTCCATGATGAGATAAGTGCATTTGTGAAAAGAGGACTTGGCTGGGAGTGGTGCCTCATACCTATAATCCCAGCATTTTGGGAAGGTGAAGTGGAAGGACTGCTTGAGCCCAGGAGTTCAAAATCAGCCTCGGCAACATAGCAAGAGCCCATCTTTACAATAATAATGATTAATTAATTAATAAGAGGGTTCTTTCTCTCTCTCTCATTAAGTATGTCTATGGCTTTGGGGTAAAGTCAAGTTAATTTGAGTCCTTTTCCTAGTTTTCATTGACTTCTCAGACCTAGAATTTATAAATTAGAGTCTGCAGTGACTCAAACTATCTGAACTTCATTTTACTCATATGTAAGTGAGGATAATAATGCTAATCTTATAAAATCCCTGCAAGGATCAAATGAGAGAATTTATAAGTCACACTGATAGGATATGGCACCAACTAGATGTTAATTCGAAATCTGTTCACTCCAAAAAAAAAATAACCAGTTCTCCTCCCAGACCCTCCATGTCTTCCAATAATTAGGATGATAACATCAGAGAGAGAGAGAGAGAGAGCCCTCTCTTATTAATTTATTATTATTGTAGAGATGGGGTCTTGCTATGTTGACCAGGCTGGTCTTGAACTGTATTCTCCTTGTGAGAATACAGCAAGAAGGGGGCCGTCTGCAAGCCAGGAAAGAGCCCTCACCAAAACCTGACCATGCTAGTACCCTGATGTTGGACTTTAGCCTCCAGAACTGTGAGAAATAAACATTTATTGTTTAAGCCATACAGTCTGTTGTATTTGTTACAGCAACCCAAGCTGACTAATATGGCTGGTCAGTGCCAAAAACACACTGCCTGAATGTTATCCCTGCTTGCCCAATTTTAACAGTGGCCCTAAATGTAATCTCCCCGTGGGCTTGTTAACGTCCTCATCTTGGGAACAGCTATCTTAATTTCTTTTTTTTTTAATTTTTTTTTATTTTATTTTTTTGAGACGGAGTCTCACTCTATCGCCAGGCTGGAGTGCAGTGGCACAATCTTGGCGCACTGCAACCTCCGCCTCCCAGGTTCAAGCAATTCTCCTGCCTCAGCCTCCTGAGTAGCTGGGACTACAGGCACGCAACACCATGCCCAGCTAATTTTTGTATTTTTAGTAGAGATGGGGTTGGCCAGGATGGTCTCGATCTCTTGACCTTGTGATCCGCCTGCCTCAGCCTCCCAGAGTGCTGGGATTATAGGCATGAGCCACCGCGCCCGGCCAGCTATCGTACATTTCTACAGCGGGATGCAGTTTTGAGTTCCTTTGCCGGGTGTAGGTTTCATGAGATGGGGCTTAGAGTTGCAACTCCAGCCCCAAGCACAGCACCTTGGTGGGGCAGGGCTGCCCCAGCAATATCTGGTGAACAAACAAAACTTAGAGAAACTCAGGTGGTTTGATTGGAAAAAACATGTCAGTTCATTCTTCATGTAATCACTTAAGCGGATGCTTTCAGGGCTCAATTCCTTCCCCACAGTGTGTTAAAGTTCATAGCTTAACTCTCAGAAACAATCTCGTTTCCTTTATTTGCAATTCTTTGGAGACGCTGTACCCACCCCCAAAAATGCAGCTTTATGAACTGGCCTGCACGTCACCTTTTTTCCCCCTCCTGGCCACTGTCTCCATTTAGTTGGACTAATTAATAAGCAATAAAATGACCTTGTTATTTGGAAAGCTTTCTTTCCTCCCAAGTCTATCTGGGCAGGCTCAGGCCAGTTCATCATCAGGGGTCCTAATTAAAGTCTGAAAATACATTGTAAAGCAAAGCTGGAAATACAGAGCCAGACATTACAGCAGCCTGTTAACAAGAAAATCAACGCAAATTAAGACACAGCCAGACAGAAACCAAAGCAACTTGCCATTGCATAAATTATGTGTATTAGAATCAGGGAAGGCTAGCACTGGAAAGGCTGCCACAAAAGCCCCGGAGAGACATAACGTTGCAAAGTTAAGCGTGTCCAGCCTTCATTTACAAGGAATTTAAAATAGATGATGGGGTGTTCTGTGGCAACTCTGACTGGAATAAAAACTGTCCTTGTTCCATTCATAATTTAAAGGCATGGACGTGAAAATAGGTTTTTAAAATCTTTTGCTGCGGCCTTTGTGTGTAAAGGGACAGGGTTGGGAGATGGGAACTGGAAAGTAGCTGAAATAAAACTCAGAGAACCAGCTCAGCCCAGCCTCCACATTGCCTTCTGTTAAATGGGAACACAGCTGACTTATTCCTCAGAAGGTTGTCAAGTGAGATCATTGAGATCATGGATACGCAGGCCCTTTGTAAGCTACAAGCAAATGTGGCAGCAAATAGTGAACTTGGTGCCTTTCGTCTACTCATTCATTCATTAATCCATTTATACTCTTTTTCTTTTTGTTTCTTTCTCCTTTTTTTGAGATGGGGTCTTGCTATGTTGTCCAGGCTGGAGTGCAGTGACTATTTACAGGAGCAAGGATAGTGCACTGCAGCCTCAAATTCCTGGGCTCAAGCGATCCTCCTGTCTCAGCCTCCTGGGTGGCCTCCTAAGTAGCCACCGCACGTCACCACATCCAGCCTCTTGTTCTTTTCCAGAAAGGATTCCTGGCAGCTGAGCTTGGTTATGGTCCTTGGCAAATTTCTCCTTTCCTTTTCACAGTCTCATATATATATGCACATTCACATTCAAGGAAGCACACACACAAGGTATACGACAATGCGACATACACATAGGCATCTATAAGCCTCCTGAATCTGACATCTCTCTCCATTGCCACAATTCTGAGTCAAGCCATCCTGGAGATCACTGCAACGTGACCCCCGCCCTTCCAGCCACCCAGGTGGGCCATCCTGGTAAGCTGGAAAATCCCATCTCAAATTCTCAAATGTAGGTGGATGACTTCAGTCATTCAGGATCCCCACAGCTTGCAGGATCATGTCCAATCCTGTAAACATGTATATGACACACTGTACCAGATGCCCAGTCCCTCCATCCAGTCTCACACTCCCAGCCCTGCCATACTCAACTGCTAGAATGCAACACCCCCCGGAGAGTGAGGGCTTTTGGTTGTCTGGATCACAGCTGTGTTCCCAGCACCTGGGACAGTGCCCCGAGGGAGATCCTAGGAATCAGGTCTGGGTCTTTTCTCTTGCCTTCCCTTCTGCCTACAACACTCTCCTCTCCCTTCATTTTAAGTCTCAGCATTCAAGTCTTAACAGATAATCTTTACTCATGACCTCTTGACTTTGCTCTAGAGAAATGACTTTTCTCTTCCTGTAGCCCCACGGCACTATCTTTTTTTTTTTTTTAAGACGGAGTCTTGCTCTGTCACCTAGGCCAGAGTGCAGTGGCACGATCTCGGCTCACTGCAACCTCCAACTCCCAGGTTCTAAGCGATTCGCCTGTCTCAGCCTCCTGAGTAGCTAGGACTACAGGCGCACGCCATCACGCCCGACTAATTTCTTTTGCATTTTAGTAGAGATGGGATTTCACCGTGTTGCCCAGGCTGGTCTCGAACTCCTGGGCTCAGGTAGTCTGCCCACCTTGGCCTCCCAAAGTGTTTGGATTACAGGCGTCAGCCACCGCACCCAGCCACGGCACTATCTTTAACAGGATTCCTCACTGCAAGCTTTATCACCTAAAAGGTGAGAAGCCCAGCAAGGGGCCTTTCTCTTTCTTGACTGAGACCAATCTATAAGTGATATGCTAGTTCTATCCCCTAAGCTGTCAATTCAGATACATCTACCTCAGGTTATAAAAGCAAAAGGAGTAGGAGATATGGCAGGAGTCTCCACTCTCACAGCACACTACCCTCCTGCATTCTAAAGGCTGGTTTTCTTGTCTTTATTTGCCATCAGGCCATCGGTCCCTTAAGGGCAGAGCTGGCTAGGGTCTCCCAGCAGTTGTCTCACGTCCTCCTCTTCGTAGAGATTCACTGTTGAATGACTGTATTTGGGAGGCTTAAAAGAGGAACTATTAATAGCAATTGGACAGGCTACTTTGAGCTTGCAGTTGGTTAAGCAGGCTGGCACCAAGGCCCCACTGGTTAATATTTCAGTTCCTTTTCTTTTCTCTAAGATTGGCTACCATCTAGGTCATTGTGTTCCTGCCTGTCCCCATCTATCAAACAGAGCCATGAGGTAAAAACCTGAAGTCCCTTTTGTTCAGCACTTACCTGGCCCCAGTTGAAAGGTGGGCATGACATGATTTTGATTCTATTTGACCTATTTACTCAAGTGCAAAAACATAAAGTCGCCTGTCCCACCATGCCGAGAGCTTACAAAGAGAAGTCAGGATGGGACCTCCCAAAGCTGGCCTCTAGGGGATAATGGTGAAGGTCAGAGGACAAGAGGATTTCTCTCCAGTGAGGGTCCTCCCAACCCTGAATCTGAGTTACTGTCAGGGTTAGGAATACAGCTGAAAAGGAATTACATGAAAGAGGAAGCGGCCTGCTCTCCCTAATATTGGTCTTGTTTAGACTGTCCTTTCTGCCCTCGTCCCCATACTGTCCACCAGATATCAAGACCTCATCACAATCCCCTGCAGTGTGACTGCCAACCTGGTTCGCATCTTCCATTAGGTTACTGCCAAATCCCCAAGGCAGCAGGGTGGCTGAGAAAAAGAGGTCTGAGAGGTAACAGGGTGCATGAACTCTTGCAAAAAGCCAATTCTGAGAACACAAATCAAGCCAAGTGTTCAACTAAATTGACAGCTCAATTCATTGCTCACTGAGGCCCGTTTTAGAAACAGCCTCAAGTCCCTGGGAGCCCCTGACCTTCCTGTGGCAAATATTGATCTTTGATTCCGAGCTAAGCCACTGCCCGTAACTCCTAGCAGCAGCAGCATTGACTTGACTCAAAATTAAACCAGGGGTAGAGAAGGGGGAAAGCAGAGAAGAAATGAGATCAAGGCGCAAAGTTAACATATTGCAAATCAACGTACATAAGTAAACATGATTACAGTGTGCTGTCACCTGCACCTCTGAGTCAGCCTGGCAGACAGTTCAAGCAAATGGGAAGTATCTGGGCTTCGCTGCCTGTGGCCACCTCTCTCTCACGATCACTGGGCATTCTCTGTCTCTCTCCCAAGAGACCTGTGAGTCATTACTGCCCAGGAGCTCAAATCCCCATTCAGAAATCCTAGGCCATTGCCTGAATCCAGCCACCCAGCCAGGAGTCATATGCAAGGCACTTCCCAGCCTGAGAATTTTCAAGAAATAATGTCACTTGTTTATCACAGGTGAAACCAGCACTGGCTTTCCCTGGGTCTGAGATGTGCTGCCAGCAAGAACCAAACTAGTGTTGTATCATCAGGGTTATTCACCGAGCTCTCAGAGTTATCTTAACTAATTTCAGACTGCATGAAGAGCTGGAAATGATGCCAACAGAATGCATTGGTCCTCTTCTCTTTTTTAAATCATGAGCAATTCATCCTCTGTCCCCTATTGTAATGCAAGTTGCTTTCATCTCCTGTTTTACTTGATTTTTTTTTTTTTTTCCAAGACAGAGTCTCGCTCTTGTCGCCCAGTCTGGAGTGCAAAGGCACAATCTCAGCTCACTGCAACCTCCACCTCCCGGGTTCAAGAGATTCTCCTGCCTCAGCCTCCCGAGTAGCTGGGATTACAGGCACCCGCCACCACGCCCGGCTAATTTTTGTATTTTTAGTAGAGACGGGGTTTCACCACATTGGCCAGGCTGGTCTTGAACTCCTGACCTCAGGTGATCCACCGGCCTTGGCCTCCCAAAGTGCTGGGATTACAGGCATGAGCTGCTGCGCCTGGCCAATTGCTTAACATTTTTAAGTTTTAGTTGATTACTAAGTCCCTGACATTTTCATTTAAATTTCATTTCAATTATCTTCTGGCTATCTTATCATTTTTAAACTGATAAGTGTTCAACAGCACAGCCCAGCTCAGATCTACAAAGGACATTGGCAAAATGACATCCCACAAGGTCAACGGCAAAATAGGTTGGCTGCTTAACCTACTGACATGTGCGAGGGGACTTGGGGCCTTGCGGTGCATACATGAGCAATCTCTCAACACTGGGGGCCCTAAACGACAACGCCCTCTGATAAAGAGATGTTTGCTGATTTGCAGTAGCTTTGGGTTTTTCACATACAAAAAAAAAAAAACAAAACAGTTCATCATTATTTTTCATGTAGTCAATCTTTGAGCTAGCAAACCCACAAACCACATAATCGACCCCCACATGGCAGAGAGCTGATTATAACAGTAAAAACACTTCGTCTCTCTCGGCCTCAGTTTCTCCCAAAGGGATATGGTGACATGAATGCTCTTTGACCTGGGCTACTGTAAATGGGCTTAAGGCTGTGGGATTTTAGGCCATAATCCCTATTTTATCTCCATGTAAATAGAGTTTAGAAGTCTGAAAAGGGATACCAAAATATGAAGTCACCGAAAGATTCTGCTTTTCTTCCCCCAGATTCCTTTCTTCCTTTAACAAATAACGACATCATAATTGTGGTACGGATGGTGCCCTTTCTGTGCAAAAATGGGCAAATCACATCTCCTGCAACCAGGTTAAAAACAAACAAAAAACGAATCGTGTGCGCTGGCCACAAACTAAAAGGGAAATGTTACTGAGACCTTTAGGTGTTGACTTGGGGATTTGGTCTAGGAATGAGAAGAAACAAGCAGATTCTAAGAAGCCAGATGAGTCCTACAGCTCAACCTGGGGAAGGGTGAGAGTCTGGGAATAGATAGAGCAAGGTGCTTTTGGAACAGACGCTGAGAAAACAGGCCTCACCCTCCAGCCAGAGGAGGGAATTGTGACGAACAGGGGAGCAGGGCCGGTGTCATAGGGAATCATAAGAGCTAGCACCCATCAAGCACCAATACATGCCAGGGACCCTTTTGCTGCCTTATATGACCTAACTTATTTCCTCCTCACCATAGCCCTGTGATGTAGGTGCCATTATTTTCCCATTGCAGAGATAAGCATACTAAGGTCCAGCAAGGTTTAATAACTAGCACAGTGTCCCAGAGCTAGCAAGTAACAGACCAAGGCAGTCTAGTTCCAGCTCTCATGCTCGGGTCAACCCATGTGTGCACACCTAGAAGTTTAGATCCAGGAATCCAAGTACGTGAACAATTATTGTTTGAGCACCTACCATGTGCCAGGCATTGTTTTAGCCACTGAAGACATAAATAAGACAGATAAGGAGGCTGCTGTAAGGAGGCAATATTCCAGTGGGAGAGACAGGCAACAAAGAAGTAAACAAAGAAGATCATTTCAACAGTGATACAGGTCATGGAAACAGAACAGGAGAATGGGTAGGAGATGTGCATGGGGTAGGAAGGCAATGTTGGAGAGCACGGTCAGGAAAGGCCTCTCTGAGGACATGGTATTTGAGTGGAGGCCAGAAGGATGAGAAGCGATCAGCTGCTTGAAGCCTGAGGAGAGACCTCGCCAATAAGAGGCAACAGCCAGTGCAAAGGCCCTGAGGCAGGGAAAAGCATATGTTCAAGGAACAGAAACATGTGCAATGTGAGGAACATGAGGAGAGGGTTGGAGATGAAGCTGGAGTAGGCAGGATAAGATTGCAGGCACCTGAAACTGCAGCCATCACACATCCCTGGCTGGGTGAGCCTCCTGAACGATGGTTGCATCAACCATTTTGATGACTGACATCTAAATCCCATTTCTGCCTGGGTGCCACCCACGCACTTTGTAATCCCAGCACTTTGGGAGGCCGAGGCAGGTGGATCACCTGAGGTCGAGTTCAAGATCAGCCTGGCCAACATGGTGAAATGCTGTCTCTACTAAAAATACAAAAATTAGCCAGGTATGGTGGCACACACTTGTAGTCCCAGCTACTCGAGAGGTTAAGGCAGGAGAATCACTTGAACCTGGGAGGCAGAGGTTATAGTGAGCCAAGATCGCGCCACTGCACTCCAGCCTAGGCGATAGAGCAAGACTTCATCTTAAAATAAATAACTAAATACAATCCCATTTCTCAGGTTGCCTCTTATGCTTGGACAGCACAAAAATCCTTCATTAGCACCAAAGGGAGAAAAAAAATGATGAGATTCCAATCTCCTTTTTTTTTTGAGACAGGATTTCACTCCATCACCCAGGCTGGAGTGCAGTGACACGATCATAGCTCACTGTGGCCTCAACCTCCTGGGCTCAAGCAATCCTCCTGACTCCGCCTCCGGAGTAGGTAGGACCACGCCCAGCTAATTTATTGATTTTTTTGTAGAGATGAAGTCTTGCTATGTTGCCCAGGCTGCTCTCAAACTCCTGAGCTCAAGCAATCCTTCCGCCTCGATCTCCCAAAGTACTGGAATTACAGATGTGAACCACCACGCCTGGCCTCCTGCTCTTTGACAGCCATATGGGAAAGCTGGCCAAATCTTGATGGATTCTCTTTGCTGATTCCCCAGTTCTGCCCAGCCCTGAAAGAATAAGGCTCTAGAATGAGGAAATCTGAGTTTGAATATTGGCTTGGCCACTCACCAACTCTGGGCGTGTTACTTAACCTCAATTTCCTCATCTGAGATATAAGAGAAAAGTAGGGTGGTACCAAGAATTAGCCAGGGTAATGCCTAGAGCCTGGCACCTTGCAAGAGCTTGGTAAGGGTTAGTGATTGTTGCAGCTGTTGTGTTGATTCAAATAAAGGTGTTGGCCCCAATGCACAGCCAGCATAGGGATTAACAGGAATTTGTCACTGGAACTCCACCTCATCCTTCCAAGTTTTGTCACTGGACCTTTTATCATGCAGATTAGCCAATTCACACTGACATTCCATTTGGACATTTCTAGTAACAATAACAAAAATAACCATAGCTAACATAGAACCCTATCTATTGTATGCTAGGCTCTATGCTAACTGATTACACAGATTACTTAATTTTTTATTTTTTATTTTTTTTATGAGACACTCTGTTGTCCAGGCTGGAGTACAATGGCATGATCATAGCTCACTGCAGCCTTGAACTCCTGGCATTAAGGGATCCGTGTGCTTCAGCCTCTGGAGTAGCTGGGACCACAGATGTGCAACACCACACCTGGTTTACAGATTACTTAATTTTTTTTTTTTTTTTTTTTGAGATGGAGTCTTGCTCTGTTGCCCAGGCTGGAGTACAATGGCGCAATCTCAGCTCACTGCAACTTCCGCCTCCCGGGTTCAAATGATTCTCCCGCCTCAGCCTCCCGAGTAGCTGGGATTACAAGCATGTGCCGCCACGCCTGGCTACTTTTGTATTTTTAGTAGAGATGGGGTTTCTTCTTGTTGGTCAGGCTGGTCTCAAACTCCTGACCTCAGGTGATCCATCTGCCTCGGCCTCCCAAAGTGCTGGGATTACAGGTGTGAGCCACTGTGCCCGGCCCAGATTACTTAATTTAACCCTCACAACATCCTGTGAGGTAGAGGTGCTATCATTGTCCCCACTTACAGAAGAGGAAAGCAAAACTCCAGGGGATGATGCAGTTTGCCCGGGGCCACAGATAGGAAGTGGCAGAGCTGGGATTTGAGCTCAAACTGTCTGGCTCCTGCCCTCTTAAGCATGACATTTAGTCTTTAATGCGACAGATACTGACTGACCACCTACTACATTATAGACTGCGTTAGAAGCGGAGTAAAAAGAGATATGTAGGCCAGGCATGGTGGCTCACGCTTGTAATCCCAGCACTTTGGGAGGCCAAGGCAGGTGAATCACTTGAGGTCAGGAGTTCAAGACCAGCCTGGCCAACATGGCAAAACTCCGTCTCTACTAAAAATACAAAAATCAGCCGTGCGTAGTGGCAGGTGCCTGTAATTCCAGCTACTCAGAAGGCCGAGGCAGGAGAATCGCTTGAACCCGGAGGCGGAGGTTGCAGTGAGCCAAGATTGCACCACTGCACTCCAGCCTGGGCAACAGAGTGAAACTGTGTCTCAAAAAAAAAAAAAAGAGAGAGAGAGAGATACGTAATACAGCTAATTGCACCAGACTGAACAGCGTTCCCCTCAATTTCATATCAATCCAGAACCTGTGACGTGACCTTATTTGGAGATAGCGTCTTCGCAGATGTCATTAAGTTAAGATGAGGTCATACTGGAGTAGGGTGGGCCTTCAATCCAAAGACTGGTATTTTTATTAGAGGAGGGGAGTCTGGACACTGGCATGAAAGAACGCCTCATAACAACTGAGGCGGAGATAGGAGTCTAGAAGCCCAGAATGCCAAGGATTCCAGCAGGCACCAGAATCCAGGAGAGAGGCAAGGAATGGATTCTCTGTCAGAGCCTTCAGTCATAACCTTGATTTTGGACTTCTGGCTCTCCGAACTGTGAAAGGACAAAGTAATGTTTTTTTGTTTTTATTTTTGTTTTTTTTGAGATGGAGTCTCACTCTGTCACCCAGGCTGGAGTGCAGTGGCGCAATCTCGGCTCACTGCAATCTCTGCCTCCCGGGTTCACGCCATTCTCCTGCCTCAGCCTCCTGAGTAGCTGGGACTACAGGCACCTGCCACCATGCCCGGCTAATTTTTTGTATTTTTAGTAGTGACAGCGTTTCACCACGTTAGCCAGGATGGTCTTGATCTCCTGACCTCGTGATCTGCCCGCCTCGGCCTCCCAAAGTGCTGGGATTACAGGTGTGAGCCACTGTGCCTGGCCAGAACAAAGTAACATTTTAAGCTGTCCAGTTTGGAGTAATTTGTTCCAGCAGTCCTAGAAAATTCATGCACAAATAAAAAGGAGGCAACAGAACCGGGCGTGGTGGCTTGAGCGTGCAGTCCCAGCTAGTCACCCCAGACCCTGTTGGGCAATAAGAGTTCGTGTCTGAAAGTCATGGTTCCCCACTGGCCGTGAGTAGGCAGTGGGAGAAACCAGCGATGAATCAGTTCATGGCCTCACAGGAAGCCCGGCTTTCCTGTCAACAAAGAAGAATGAAAAGCCGTCGACCTCAGGCCAGAGGGCTAGCCACCTGGCCACTGTCACAAGGCTCAGATGGAAAGAAACACTTTCATAAGGGGGTGGGGAGAAGGAGAGCCCAACGAACCACATTTGGCATCTGACCCCTGAGTCCTCCTTTCTGCTCAGGATGAGAGTGTGACAGTAGAGACAGCACATGAGAAAAAAAAAACGTGTAGGCCTCGCAAATCTCAGCTTAAATAATGGGACTAATATTTCCCCGCTAACCTGCTAAACACTGAAAGCGGAAGTTCCTAAGCATTTGGCAACCCACGCCCTTTGGAGAATCTGGTAAATGTTCATGAATGGATGAACTCTCTCCCCAGAAAAGTATTCCTACATGCAAAATTTGGGGTGACATTCCAGGGCATCTTGAGCTCCTAGAGCCCATTTATTGATGAACAAATATTTATTAATTGCCCACTACGTACCAAGCACTGTGTTACATGCTAGGAATATAAGCGGGAAAGAACAGATGAGGCATTTTTCTTCCTGAAGTCCAGAGCTAGGAGGGAGGTGTGTAAGTTTTCTGTGGCTGCCATAACAAATTACCACAAGCTGTGTGGCTTAAAACAACAGTACAGGCCAGGCGTGGTGGCTCAGACCTGTAATCGCAGCACTTTGGGAGGCCAAGGCGAGTGGATCACTTGAGGTCAGGGGTTCGAGAGTAGCCTAGCCAACATGGTGAAACCCCATCTCTACAAAAATACAAAAATTAGCCAGGCATGGCAGCAGATGCTTGTAATCCCAGCTACTTGGGAGGCTGAGGCTGGAGAATCGCTTGAACCTGGGAGGTGGAGGTTGCAGTGAGCCAAGATCGCACTACTGCACTCCAACCTGGGCGACAGAGCAAGACTCCGTCAAAAAAAAAAAAAAAAAAAAGTACAGTACAGGAGGCTAAAAGTCTGAAATCAAGATGTCGGCCGGGCTGGTACCTTCTGGAGGCTCTGAGGGAGAATCTGTTCCATGCCTCTCTCCTTGTTCTGCTGGTTGCCAGCGGTCCTTGGTGTTCCTGGCTTGTAGAGGCATGGCTCCAATCTCTGCCTCCATCTTCACGTCACCATCTCTCTCTGTGTGTCCCTGTGTCTTCTCCTCTTCTTATAAGGAAATGTCACTGGATTTAGGACCCACCCTAAATCGATTCTGAGATCATCGAGAGCCTTAATTAATAACATTTGCAAAGACCCTGTTTCCAAATATGGTCACATTCTGAGGTTCTAGATGGACATGAATTTAGGGAGGATGCTATTCAACCCAATGTAGTGGTCAGATGATTGAACAGCCACCACAGAAAGCAGCAAGGACCATCACAGAACACCCGAGGCATCCACGAAAGCTTTCCTGAGGCCCTCGTGTACAACTGAGACCTAAGTAGTGAGTAGAAACTAATTAAACAGAGGAAGTGGAGAGTGCACCAGGATGAACCCATCACACAGATGAAGGGAGGGCTCATCCAAAGACCACTGCAAGAGAGAAGAGTGGAGAAGAAATCAGTTTGGGGTTTTGTTGGTTTTGTTTGTTTGTTTTGAGACAGAGTCTCAGTCTGTTGCCCGGGCTGGAGTGCAGCAGTGCAATCTCAGATCACTGCAACCTCTGTCTCCCAGGTTCTCCCGTGCACCGCCACATCTGGCTAATTTTTGCATTTTCAGTAGAGATGGGATTTCGCCATGTTGGCCAGGCTGGTCTTGAACTCCTGTCAAGTGATGTGCCCACCTTGGCCTCCTAAAGTGCTGGAATTACAGGCGTGAGCCACCACACCCAGCCAAACTCCAGTTTGTTAGCTGTGGTATGGGGTATGGGTTTTATCCTTAGGGCTAAAAAATGTCTTTGAAGGACTGGAAGCAGAAGAGTGTTTCTACAAAGTTCACCTTGATGGAGGTGAGGAAGAACTGGAGTGGGTGAGACCAGATGCAGAAACTACCACCCACCAAGGGCGCGTATCTCAGGAAAAGCATCAAGCTCTAGGATGCAAGTGGCCAAAACTCTGTGGAGATGCCCTATGCGTCATCCTAAGCGGTGAGCTGAAATGATTCCCCCCGAACCACATGGAGGAGTTTCGCCCAGTGCAGACAGAATCCGAGCTGGACAATCAGACCAATGTTAGCCCAAGAAGAAAATCCTGAAGTCTGAAAGCTCTAACGCTTGTTCTCCATCTAAGAAGGGAAAGGAGCTGGGTGTTTTAACAAAAATCTGCAATAGCTGTTTTCTAAACACTTCAACTCATCAGATGCATAGGCTCCTCTTTTGTGGTCCCTTAGAGTTCAGTATGCCTTAAGTGTAAGCCACGCCTTTCATAAATAAGTGAGTCACATCTCCCACGCCTCACAGACTCTCTTTTGCTCTTCAAAGGCCATCTCCTCCCTTGAAACCCCAGGTTGGGTTCCACACCCTCGCTTCTGTTCTCCAAAAACTCTGGATGTTGGGGCTGGGTGTGGTGGCTCACGCTTGTAATCCCAGCATTTTGGGAGGCCGAGACGGGCGGATCACCTGAGGTTGGGAGTTTGAGACCAGACTAACCAACATGGAGAAACCCGATCTCTGGGGTTTCTCCCCAGGTGGCACACACCTGTAATCCCAGCTACTCGGGAGGCTGAGGCAGGAGAATCGCTTGAACCCGGGAGATGGAGGTTGCAGTGAGCTGAGATCGTGCCACTGCACGCCAACCTGGGCAACAAGAGCGGAACTCCATCTCAAAAAAAAAACACAACAAAACAAACAAACAAACAAAAAACTCTGGATGTGGGCTCAGAAGCTATTTGCTTATAATTCTTATTTCCCTTTCTTTCTTTATTTATTTACTTTTTTATTTTATTTATTTTTTTTTAGACAGAGTCTCACTCTTATTGCCCAGGCTGGAGTGCAGTGGTGCGATCTCAGCTCACTGCAACCTCTGCCTCCCAGGTTCAAGTGATTCTCCTGCCTCAGCCTCCCGAGTAGCTGGGGTCACAGGTGCCTGCCACTGCGCCCGGCTACATTTTGTATTTTTAGTAGAGAGAGGGTTTCGGCAGGTTGGCCAGGCTAGTCTCGAACTCTTGACCTCAGGTGATCCACCTGCCTCAGCCTCCCAAAGTGCTACAGGCGTGAGCCACTGCACCCAGCCTATTTACTTATTTTTTAAGAGACAGAGTCTCGCTCTGTGACCCACACTGGAGTGCAGTGGCACAATCATAGCTCACTGCAACCTTGAACTCCTGGGCTCCAGTGATCCTCCTGAGAGGTGACAGCGTGCTGGCAGTCCTCACAGCCCTCGCTCGCTCTCGGCGCCTCCTCTGCCTGGGCTCCCACTTTGGTGGCACTTGAGCCCTTCAGCCCACCGCTGCACTGTAGGATCCCCTTTCTAGGCTGGCCAAGGCGAGAGCCGGCTCCCTCGGCTTGCAGGGAGGTGTGGAGGGAGAGGCGCGAGCGGGAACTGGGGCTGCGTGCTGCGCTTGTGGGCCAGCTGGAGTTCCGGGTGGGCGTGGGCTTGGCGGGCCCCGCACTCGGAGCAGCCAGCTGGCCCTGCGGGCCCCGGGCAATGAGGGGCTTAGAACCCGGGCCAGCAGCTGCGGAGGGTGTACTAGGTCCCTCAGCAGGGCCAGCCCACCAGCACTGCACTCGATTTCTCACCGAGCCTTAGCTGCCTTCCTGTGGGGCAGGGCTCGGGACCTGCAGCCCGCCATGCCTGAGCCTCCCACCCCCTCCGTGGGCTCCTGTGCGGCCCGAGCCTCCTCGAGCACCACCCCCTGCTCCACAGCGCCCAGTCCCATCGACCACCCAAAGGCTGAGGAGTGCAGGCGCAGGGCGCGGGACTGGCAGGCAGCTCCACCTGCAGCGCCGGTGCGGGATCCACTGGGTGAAGCCAGCTGGGCTCCTGAGTCTGGTGGGGCCTTGGAGAACCTTTATGTCTAGCTCAGGGATTGTAAATACACCAATCGGCACTCTGTATCTAGCTCAAGGTTTGTAAACACACCAATCAGCACCCTGTCAAAACAGGCCACTCAGCTCTACCAATCAGCAGGATGTGGGTGGGGCCAGATAAGAGAATAAAAGCAGGCTGCCCGAGCCAGCAGTGGCAACCCGCTCAGGTCCCTTTCCACACTGTGGAAGCTTTGTTCTTTCGCTCTCTGCAATAAATCTTGCTACTGCTCACTCTTTGGGTCCACACTGCTTTTATGAGCTGTAACACTCACCATGAAGGTCTGCAGCTTCACTCCTGAAGCCAGCGAGACCACGAGCCCACCGGGAGGAACGAACAACTCCAGACGCACCGCCTTAAGAACTGTAACACTCACCGTGAAGGTCTGCAGCTTCACTCCTGAGCCAGTGAGACCATGAACCCACCAGAAGGAAGAAACTCCGAACACATCTGAACATCAGAAGGAACAAACTCCAGACGTGCCACCTTAAGAGCTGTAACACTCACCGCGAGGGTTTGCAGCTTCATTCTTGAAGTCAGTGAGACCAAGAACCCACCAATTCCAGACACACTCCCACTTCAGCCTCCCGAGTAGCTGAGACCACAGGAGCGTGCCACCACCGCTAGCTAATTTGCTTTTATTTTTTGTAGAAGTGGGATCTTGCCAGGTTGCCCAAGCTGGTCCCAAAATCATGGGCTCAGGTGAACCTCCCACCTGAGTCTCCCAAAGCATTGGGATTACAGCCATGAGCCACTGTACCTAGCCCCTTACTTTCCTTTTAACCTGTCTTCTCTACCAGACAATGAATAACTTGAGGGCAAAAATGTTTTATCTTGTTCACCTCTGTATTCCTAGCTCCTAACACATAATGAATGTTACTAGATAGATGGATGGGTGCTAGATGGCTGGATTTCTTCACGATGCTATGCTGGCTTCAAACCAAATTAATTAATAAATTAACTAAATCAGCATGGGTCCATCAATGACTCTTTAAGTGCTTTGCACGGCCCCTTCCCCTCTCAAGAACGGGAGTAAGACATCCAAAGAAAGGCTGGCCTGGCATCTCAAGACTCACCTCATTCCCTCCGAAGCCATCTTATCAAGGTTGGCAGTGTCCTTTGTTTCTGCCCAGTTTGCTCCCAGGTCACCCCACCCCATGTCATCGGCCAAAATAATCACAAAGTTTGGCTTCTGTCCTCTTGTTTTCCCACTGATGCAAAAATCCACAAGAGGATAAAGAAATCCTGAGAAACTCACTCCCGCCAACAAAACCTTTAGAAAAAGCCAGCCCATGGTGGTGAAGGCAGGATTCCGATTGTCTGGAGCGACGGCAGCCACCACTAGAGATTTTTCTGAGAGCTTCCTTTCTGCTCACTTTCAAAGCAGGAAGTCTCTGGGGAGCAGGGGTGGAATCTGCAAGAAGATGCTGGTGGCAGTGGTGATGGCAGTGATAACGGCTATAGGAATGTTGGGGGCTGTAGAAATGAGGCCCCCATCTGGAATCCTAATTCAAAAGAATCAGGAAATTTGCAATCCCTCATTTGGCTTGATCTTCTATGGTCAGTGTTTCCTCACCGCAGCTCAGTAAAATGACTGGTCGTGTTCAATAATTAGACATCAATGTCAACAACTGCTCTTTGGCCACTAAGAAAGTGACCCTTCTGTATTCAGGGCCTCAGAGCCACAGCACAGGCCTTACATCTGCTTGGCTGTTTGGGACTCCATCTGGTGACTACAGGATGAGTTCTCGCATCTGCAGAACACCTGGATGTTCTAGAAGCCGCCGTCAGCCCCGAATAACTGAGTAGCAGATGGTTGAGGGCTTCATGTTTCTGTAAGGTTTCCTGAAAGAACAAAAATTGACAAGAAAACAGAGTTAAAACTGCCAGTGCAGCTGTGTTTTACTCAGTAGCTTAGGAAATAATCACTTTTCCATGCCAACAGATGTTTTTATTCAAATATTTAACTGGTTCATCAGTTTCTCCACCTGAAAAATAGTGATGATAATAATATTCGCAATGGACCTATAGCGACAGGGTTGGAAGTAACATTAGAGATGATCTCTGCCAACCCACTCACTGTAGAGATGAGGATATTGAGGCCCAGTGTTCTGGGTGGGACCAGGACCAGCCCCCAATGCTGCTAAATCCCAGTGTGCCACTGAGAATTCCAGAAGGAGAGGTGAGACCCTTATTACCAAGACATGGTTATTTGTAACAGTCAAGCTATAACCTAATGTTTCTACATTTAAAAAAATTTTTGGAGATAGGGTCCTGCTACGTTGCCTAGGCCAGTCTTGAACTCCTGGCTCAAGTCATCCTCTTGCCTCAACCTCCCACATAGCTGGGATTACAGGCATGTGCCACTATGACCAGCTAAAATTCTTTTTTTTTTGAGACTGAGTCTCACTCTGTCACCCAGGCTGGAGTGCAATGGCACAATCTCGGCTCACTGAAACCTCCGCCTCCCGGGTTCAAGAAATTCTCGCAGGGAGCGGTGGTTCACACCTGTAATCCCAGCACTTTGGGAGGTCAAGGCGGGCGGATCACCTGAGGTTGGGAGTTTGAGACCAGCCTGACCAACATGGAGAAACCCCAGTTCTACTAAAAATACAAAATGAGCCGGGCATGGTGGCGTATGCCTGCAATCCCAGCTACTTGGGAGGCTGAGGCAAGAGAATCGCTTGAACCCAGGAGGCAGAGATTGCGGCGAGCTGAGATCGCACCACTGCACTCCAGCCTGGGCAACAAGAACAAAACTCCATCTCAAAAAAAAAAAGAAGAAAAAGAAAAAAGAAATTCTCATGCCTCAGCCTCCTAGTAGCTGGGATTACAGGTGCCCACCAACACACCCCAGCTAATTTTTGTATTTTTGGTAGAAACGGGGTTTCACCATGTTGGCCAGGCTGGTCTCGAACTCCTGACCTCTCAAGTGATCTGCCCGCCTTGGCCTCCTTAAGTGCTGGGATTACAGGTGTGAGCCACCACACCCAGGCCCAGCCAAAATTCTTGACAGAAGTTAATCTGGGGGAAAAGGAAATGGTTTTAAAAAGTTAATAATAGAATCTAGGTAGCAGATATATGGGTGCTTACTAAAGAACTCTTTTAATTTTGCTGTATGTTTGTAATTTTCATAATAAAATGTTAGAAAAAATTTCAAAAAATTTTTTTCATGGAAATGTGTCCCTTTGCATCCTAGCCATGTAATTTTAATAAGAAAATCTAAAGACATGTTCAACCAGTGGTGCATCTTACACATGGAGGTACATATGAATCTGCTGTGGATTTTATGTTGATTAAACCGCAGATTCAGTAGGTAAGGCTGGGCCTGGGATCTGTATTTCTAACAAGCCCATGTGAGGCCTGTACTGCTCGTCTTTGGATCACACTTTAAGCAGCAAAGTTGCTGGAAAACAAAAACATCATGAGGCTAGTGCAAGAAGAAAAAGGAAACTGCTTAATCTAACTGATGACTCAACTTCAGTGGACAAATAAAAACGACAAATCAGACTTGAGTTTTGAAAGACGGGAATTGAAGGTTATACTTTAAGCTGCAGGTTGCAAATGGAGCCAAGGATAAAACTAGATTAGCTCTAGTTCACTTAAAAGCCCTAAATTTGCAAGTTTATTTTATTTATGTATTTATTTTTAAAGAGACAGATCCCAGCTCACTGCAATCTCAAACTCCTGGGTTCAAACGATCCTTCTGCCTCAGCCTCCCGGGTAGCTAGAATTACAAGTGTATGCCACCACGCCCAGCTAATTTTTTTACTTTTTGTACAGACTGGATCTCACTATATTGCCCAGGCCAGTCTGGAACTCCTGGGTTCAAGTGATCCTCCCACCTCAACCTCTCAAAGTGCTGGGATTACATGCATGAGTCACCACATCCAGCCAATTTGCAAGTTTAATAAGGAGGAACAGAGTTGAAATTGTGGACCAAACAAAAATTTCAGTTGGCTGGGCATTGTGGTTCATTCCTGTAATCCCAACACTTTGGGAGGCCGAGGCGGAAGGATTACTTGAGGCTAGCGGTTCAAGATCAGCCTGTCCAACATAGTGAGACCTTATCTGTATTTTTTAAATCTAAAATTAACAACAACAACAACAAAGCTTCAGTTGAACATCCAGTGTATGGAGCAGATTAAAGGAGAACCACTGTGTAAAAAAGATAGGCCTGGGATTATGACAGACACTTTTTCCAGTTGTACATCCTTGCAAGCCAACCCAATTGATCAATCCACATGGATGGGGGTGGTTAGAGGTATGTAAATTTTGGAAGACCGGGATAAAAACCAAAAGAATGGGCAAATATGTACTTAATCAAACTAAAAGGAAATCCAAGTAAACAGTCATGTCATCTGGAGGCCAATGAATCAATTGTTCAGAAATGCAAATTCTTCTGTTTCCCAAAAGGAGATGTATTATCTCAAACTCAATTAGACTCAACTGGTATTTGTTGATCTTAAGACTCCAAAGGCATCTCCCTTTTCAGGAGAAAGAGCCTCAGCACAAGGAGGGTGGTTAACAAACACCTGTGGACCTGCTGCTTGATTCCGAGATCATTCTACTGGCTTCTGACCATGTGCAACAGACACAGGAGACTTTTCCTCTTAAAGCTTCTTAGCTTGGAACACTAGAGTGGCCTCATGCCTGGTCAATAATCCATTTCAGAATGGATCCCATGTACAAGACTTCAGGGAAAAAAAATTCACTTAAGAAAGAAGCTAAAATTTAGGTGGGAATATAAATAAACAGATTGTGTTTCTTCAGTGTTCCATGATGAAACATTCCATTGAGGATTTTCAAAGAGAATCATTACTTAAAATGTTCATAGAATGGAAATAAGCGAATCTAGCCAGCAGACCACTGCATTATTCTTCACACCCACACCTCCAGGGAAACATTTAATCCTTTCCCCATTTTTGTTAACTAAATGGAAAAGGCAGACCAGACACTCAAAGAATGGATGCCCAGGTACAGACTTTGATTAAGATCTAAGCTCAAACGTTGAGCTCAAGTGCTATAAGGAAAATGGGGCTGGGTGCGGTGGCTCATGCCTGTAATCTCAGCACTTTGGGAAGCCAAGGCAGGCAGATCACCTGAGGTCAGGAGTTCAAGACCAGCCTGGTCAACATGGTGAAGCCCCATCTCTACTAAAAATACAAAAAATTAGCCAGGCATAGTGGCGTGCACCTGTAGTCCCAGCTGCTTGGGAGGCTGAGGCAGGAGAATCGCTTGAACCTGGGAGGCGGGGGTTGCAGTGAGCTGAGATTGCGCCACTGCACTCCAACCTGGGTGACAGAGTGAGACTCCATCTCAAAAAATAAAACGAAACAAAAATATAAGGAAAATGGTTCCATAGCCAGACTCAGTGGCTCATGCCTGTAATCCCAGCACTTTGGGAGGCAAGGTGGGAGGACTGCTTGAGCCTGAGAGTTGGAGACCAGCCTGGGCAAGATGGCGAGACCTGATCTCTACAAAAAAATTAAAAAATTAGCCACGCATGGTGGTGTACATCTACAATCCCAGATACTTGGGAAACTGAGGTGGAAGGACCACTGGAGCCCAGGAGTTCAAGGCTGTGGCGAGCTATGATGGTGCCACTGTACTCCAGCCTGGGCAACAGAGCAAGATCCTGTCTCTGAAAACAATACCTCCAAACATACAGCTATATAAGCCAAGCATTTGATTGCATCTAGCCCCTAGAACAAAGGAAGAAAAGAAAATGGCCTTACTTGCTACCCTCAGATCTTATCTGATGTTATTTTGCCAGCTTTTTCTTTCTCCATCACTCTCAGAAAGGAGAGTAGACACAGGGAAGGAGCACTCCTGGCTATAAAGAAAGGCAGAGTCTTTGGCAAATACAGCATTCACCCCTCCTTCCACTGGGGCAGAAGGTACTCGGCCACGTCAGTCAACAAATCCCACAACGAAGGCCCATCTGCTCCATCAGAGCACAACTGACTGTGAAAGATCCTTGTTGAGCACAAGCATAAACAATTTCCCATGTCTCATGCTCCCCAAGCAGGAGCAGAGTGAACTTTAGTTGACAATCAGCTTTACCCATGATTCCTATTCTTCTCCACGACCCCCATTTTAAAGCAGGGCTGCTAAGTGTGCTCAAGTTTGACCTCCCTTCAGTTTCCAGGCTTGCTTAGGGGTAAAGGTACTGATAAACAGCCAAATGACCCACAGGCAGGCTGTGGGCCAGAAGCACTGAGAAGCGAATGGAATGCAGCAACCTGAAGATCTGCTGAGCAGTGTCTGAAAACACAGAGCTGAAGTCCTTGGGCTTCCTGAGCCACTCACTTCATCACCTGACCCTCGTTTCCCATGGGCCTCCCTGTGGCCAAGCATCCTCCTAGAGAACCTTGAAAACAGCTGAAATAACAAGAAGGTCGGGCAGACCTTTCTGGCAGAGGGTTCTGTTGGTTTTCCAGAGACAAAAGCATCTGATGAGCCGAGGCCAAAAAAGACAAAAGAGCAGGGGGGAGCAGGTCTCTGGGATGTGGACTGCTGTTGTTTTACTCCCCAGATCAGAACATGGTCTGTGTGCTGGCTGGCGGCCACGAGCCATCAGGGGCTGTCAGAAGGGGCCTTGGGCATCAGCTGCTCACGTGTTGTCGGAAGCAACTCCCCAACGCATTCTGTCATCTGTCCACCAAATTTGTACTGACTGACAGATTTTAAACCAGGCATAGTGCATACAGCCGTAAATGAAACAGACAAAAGTCCCTGCCCTCACACCACTTACTTTTTTGACAGTGAGGGGAGAAATGAAATCAATAAAATGTAAATAGCGTGAAGAACATCAAAGAAGGAGCTCAGGCATGGGATGGAGGCTGCAAAGTTAAAGGGGGTGGTCTGGGACAATCTCATCGAGAAAACACAATTTGGATAAGGATCTGTGTGAGGTCAGGGAGGAAGCTACGCAGCCATCAGGAAGCCAAGCAGGAAAGGCAGAGAAACTGGGAAAGGCTGAGGTCTGGCACAAGCAAGGAGCGGCAAAGAAGCCACTGCAGAAGCAATGGAGAAAGGAAGGGCAGGGATTAGAGTCAGAGAGGAAAGAAAGGCTTTTGCTGCGAGAGATGGGAAGCCAGAGGGATTCAGCAAGAGCAGCAGGCTCTGGTTTACATTGTAACAGAATCCCTGCCCTGTTGAGAATACACAAATGCCCCGCAGGGCAGCAGATGAAAGAAGCAGCTGAGTTAGGAGTCTCTTGCATGGGTCCAGGTGAGTCCAGGTGAGAGACAGTGCTAGAGCGAGACAAGCAAAATGCCTAGGGCACAAAACGTCAGGAGGTGGCCCTTCTGCTCGGGTAGCCACCCTGTACTCGCACCACCTGGGCAGTGAGCACTTCCTTACATGTTGCCTCACCCTAGTCCATCCAGGTGAAAAGGAAAACCCAGTTACCACGATAGCCAGGACAAAGGGTTATTTATTATCTACATGTAATAAACATCCTTGTGTCCCAGGCTTTTGCCCATAGACCCCAATATGTAATTTTGAGGCTAGCCCAACTTGGAAAGACTGCTTTCTTAGAGTGTAGGGGCCAAGATGTAGTAGTCTAAGCTCAACAGAAGATGCACAAGACATCTTTGAATGCCTCTATCCAGCCTGGGAGAGCAATTTCACTTACGTAATTAAAATGCTTTTTTTTTTTTTTTGAGACGGAGTCTCACTCTGTCACCCAGGCTGGAGTGCAGTGGTGCGATCTCGGCTCACTGCAAGCTCCGCCTTCCAGGTTCACACCATTCTCCTGCCTCAGCCTCCCGAGTAGCTGGGACTACAGGCGCCCGCCACCACGCCCGGCTAATTTTTTGTATTTTTAGTAGAGACGGGGTTTCACCATGTTAGCCAGGATGGTCTCGATCTCCTGACTTCGTGATCTACCCACCTTGGCCTCCCAAAGTGGCTTTTTTTTTTTTTAAAGCTTGGAGACCTCACACCAGACACTGTTTCGGGCAATATCATTTCTGTGAACCCAACGATGCCAGGAAACCCATCCACAGGGGGCATATGACATCCTGCCTAGTTTTAGGCTCGAACCACCTGTTGAGACTGTCACAGAAGAAAGCCATGTTGCAGGAGCCAGTTTGAGAGAGCCTAGGTGGCATCACGCCATGCATCTAAAAACCCAGTAGCCCTGCGGAAATTATATCTGTGTCCTCGCTCACAGATCAGAGAGAGGAGATGGACCTCTGAATAACGTCTTTCCTCTAAAAGTCTATCCTCCACTTGAGAAGAAAAATCCTGAGGGGTATGATCAAGAAGAAAGCTCCAGGTCAATGTCTGAAATTCGCTCACTGGAAGCCTGTTTGCCACATTTTTAAGAACCTTTTACAAAGCTGTATTTACTTATCACTTATTAAACATTTTATTATGGAAGTTGTCAAACACACAAAAGTTGAGAAACTCACATGTACTTACCCAACATTTCAATTCAACAATTATCAACACATGGTCAGGCTGGCTCTCTCCTTCAATTTCCCTTAGCCTCCCTCTCCACATATGCTGGATTATTTTGAAATAAGCCCCAGGCCAGGCGTGGTGGGCCACACGTGTAATCCCAGCGCTTTGGGAGGCTGAGGCAGGAGGATCACCTGCGGCCAGGGGTTAGAGGCCAGCCTTGGCAACAAAGCGAGACCCCATCTCTCTGCAACAACAACAACAACAAAATAACTGGATATGGTGGCATGTGCCTGTAGTCCCAGCTGCTAGGGAGGCTGAAGTGGGAAGATGGCTGGAGCTCAGGAGTTCAAGGCTGCAAGTGAGCTGTGATCATGTCACTGCACTCCAGCCTGGGCAACAGAGCAAGACCCTGTCTCTTAAAAAAAAAAAAAAAAAGCAATACCAAATATCATATAATTTTATCCAGAAGTATTTTGGTACAATTCTCTAAAAGTTAATTCTTACTATATAACTACAATTCCATAACACCCTCCTTTTAAAAATTAACAATTGGTTAGTATCATCAAAAATCCAATCAGAGTTCAAATGTCCTCCATTATCTCATCAGTATTTTTTTAACAGTTGGTTTGTTCTAATCAGTATCCAGACAAGGTTCACAACACACTGCACTTGGTTCACGTGTCTCTTTTCTTTTCATTTATGGCTCCCCTCTTCCTTTCTCTGCATAGATTTGTAAATAAATTACGGTGTTTGCCCTGTAACATTTCTCAAATTTTGGATTTAGCTGATTGTATCCTCTATTGAAATGTTCCCTGGACCCGTTTTCCTGGTAAACTGGCTTGTAGATCTAGGATGAGATCCGATCCAGGTTCGATTTTTTTTTTGGCAGGCCCACCTTATGCATCATATCTTTCCCCTTGTCATGTTCAGCCTGATCAGTGGTTTACGTGTCAACGTTCCATTTTTTCAGCTAGGCGCGGTGGCTCATGCCTGTAATCCCAGCACTTTGGGAGGCCGAGGTGGGCAGATCACCTGACGTCAGGAGTTCGAGACCAGCCTGGTCAACATGGTGAAACCCCATCTCTACTAAAAATATAAAAATTAGCCGGGCGTGGTGGTGGGCGCCTGTAATCCTGGCTACTCAGGAGGCTGAGGCAGGAGAATTGCTTGAACCCAGGAGACGGAGGTTGCAGTGAGCCAACACAGTGCCACTGCACTCCAGCCTGGGCAACAGAGTGAGACTCTGTCTCAAAAAAAAAAAAAAAAAAAAAAGTTCAATTTTTTTCCCTTTGTCATTTTTGCATGAGAATAGGAAACTTTCTCTTAAGAAAAACAGTGCTTTGTACTATCTTTTCTATTTTTGTAGATTTATCCTTGCCCTGGATCCATTCTACTTTCTCAATGAAATATGTTTTTATAAACTAAAAGTTTGTGTGCCCCCAAAATTTGTATGTTGAAGCCCTAACTCTCAGTGTGATGATATTTGAAGATAGGCCTTTGGAGGGGTGATAAGGCTTAGATGAGGTCATGAGATAATGGGATTAGTGCCTTTACAAGAAGAAACATCAGAGAACTTGCTTGCTCACTCTCTCTGCCATGTGAGGACACAGCAAGAAGGTGGCTGTCTGCAGGCCAGGAAGAGAGCCCTCACCAGGAACCAAACTGGCCAGCCTCCAGAACTGTAAACAATAAATTTCTGTTGTTTGGGCTGTATTTTTGTAAATTTCTGTTGTTAGTCTACAGTAGTGTTCTTCTCTTTTTTTTTTTTTTTTTTTTTTGAGACAGGATCCCGCTCTGTCACCCAGGCTGGAGGGCAGTAGAGCAATCTCAGCTCACTGCAACCTCCACCTCCTGGGTTCAAGTGATTCTCGTGCCTCAGCCTCACAAGTAGCTGGGACTACAGATGCACACCACCATGCCCAGCTAATTTTTATATTTTTAGTAGAGACAGGGTTTCACCAGACTGGTCTTGAACTCCTGATCTCAAAGTGATCCACCCACCTCACCCTCCCAAATTGCTGGGATTACAGATGTGGGGCACCAAGCCCAGCCTAGTCCATGGTATTTTATTATGGCATCCTGAGCACCCCAAGACAGATTCCCCTAAAGTTTTAGGAATCTCTGAAGCCAAGGCTCAGGTAGGGGCAGAAATAGGGGTAAGACCCAAATTTAGGAAAAAAACAATTTAGTGAAGCAGTTACTTAGCAAATTTGCCTTTTGGGGAATTGACTTTTGAGATGTGTTATTTCCAGAGGAGTATGTATCCGGGATTCAGCAGTGATTTGCCAGCTGTGTGACCATGGATATGTTACAGAATCTCTTTGTGTCTCAGTTTCCTCCCTTACCTGAAAAATGGAGTTTTGGCCTGGAATTAGATATCAGGGGAAAAAAAAAAAAAAAAAAGAGTCACAGTAAACTTTCTCAACCCCAAACACAATGTGAGAATGAAATAATCCAACCCAAGTTCTCAGTAAGTGCTAAGAAATATTGGCTACTGTTAGTCCATCTCTTGATTGTTTTGAGGATAAAGGGATAATAAATATGAGAACACACTAAAAATGTGCTATGCAAGCCAAAGCGTTACTAACATTAAAATAAAACATAATGGCTGGGCACAGCGGCTCACGCCTGTAATCCCAACACTCTGGGATGCCGAGACAGGAGGATCACCTGACCCCAGGAGTTCCAGACCAACCTGGGCAACATAGCAAGACCCCATCTCTATTAGAAAAAAAATTTTTTTAATTTTAAAAAAAGATAAAAACATAACTATTCTGAGTATAGATGGCAAAATCCAGACTCCCTGCAGCTACTGGCTGAATCTGCCAGAATTGTTTGTTAAGCAAGCTCTGATGCTGGTTTCTGAACCTAGAGAAGACAGAAGCTACAAACACGCCACCATAGTCACAAACAAGGCAAAGAGGAAATAAAGACTGATTTCAGTTTACATTTTCAACGTTCCAAACTATGGTTCCTTGTTACACAATCCCATGACTATCTGTGCCATCTTGGCTAAACCTGAGCCAGGTCCCTTCAGCCAAGCAGACTCTAATAATAGCTGGCATCCTTGGAGTATGCTGCCTTCCAGCAAATCTGGTTTCGGACAATTTAACAATATGAGGTCAAGATGTAGGATGCGTGTGAGGGGAATCTCCCCTTTGTTGATGTTAATTGAAAATGGAAGTTACATTTCCATATCAGAAACATTTCAAAAGAACTCTTTGTCCAGGATGCTTGGCTAGCTAGGTGCTCAAGCAAGAAAGATCTACAACTCCAGGGCGGAAACTCTGTAAAGGCAGGGACATTCTGTATAGTTTATGCACTGCATAATTCCGGCACCCGGCCCAGAAGGTATTCAGTCAATATTTGCTGGATGAGTGCATGTAACATGAACATCAACAGCCCAGCCTGCTCTGCCTCGCCCTGCCAGCTTCATCTCATCATTCCCCTCAACTTAGATGACTTTTCTAAGTTCTTTCTTAGAAGACATTCACTTGTAATTCTCACTTGTAAAATTGTACTTGTTGAAATGCTGTTTTACGTAACAATCGCATGTGTCCTGTCTTCTGAACTAAACTATACACACTATGAGAGAAGGAACCACATCCTCTGAGGTGTGGTTTTGTGGCCTGGGAGACAACAGCAGTTGTCAGTGCTCACGAGTGGGCTATGGATGAGCAGAGGCCGCTTGGGTGGATGGACGGATGAACGATGGGCATGGGAGGGAAGGATGGAGGGATGGATGCTCCCTGGACCCAGTCCTGCTGTGTATCCCTACAAAGCTCACCTAACTCCACAGGCCCCCACCGATCACAGCAGGGCGGGGCCCCTCCTCACCATTTGCCCACAACACAATCCTGCAGCATCCTTGTAGTTTCTTCGCATCGTCCCCTAGCCATCTGGAAACTCACGGAGGCACTGCTCCTAAAGGGTTAAAATGGAAGCTTAACATTGCCTATTGTTCCTGGGAATCTAGAAACACAGGACAGGAGGTACCTGTTTAGACAAGATAGGGAAAGTCAGCATCTCCCTTTAGGCAAGAAACACAGCAGGAGAGCAGGTTTTTATTCATTGGGCCTTGAGGAACAGGGCAGGTGGAACAACTTCAACAACTATCTGAAGAAAGCGTGACTCGATCGGGGCAAAATCCACTGGTCCCACACACAGCCCTTCCCAATATTGCCAATGAGATCCCACGACCCACAACTGTGTCACACAGTTTAATGTGACGTGCATTCACTCCTAAATGTAATGTGATTTAAATAATTTTGTTCTGAGATTTGGAGTTGGTTGGTTGGTTTGAGACAGGGTCTTACTCTGTTGCCCAGGCTGAAGTGCAGTGGTGTGACAGCACCACCACACCCAGCTAATTTTTTAAAAATATATATTTTTTAGGCCGGAGCAGTGGCTCATGCCTATAATCCCAGCACTGTGGGAGGCTGAGGTGGGTGGATCACCTGAGGCCAGGAGTTCGAGACCAGCCTGGCCAACATGGTAAAACCCTGTCTCTACTAAAAGTACAAAAATTAGCCAGGCATGGTGGCACACACCTGTAGTCCCAGCTACTTGGGAGGCTGAGGCAGGAGAATTGCTTGAACCCGGGAGGCAGAGGTTGCAGTGAGCCAAGATCGCGCCACTGCACTCCAGCCTGGGCAACAGAGGAAGACTCCATCTCAAAAAAAAAAAAAAAAAAAAAAAAAATTTGTCTTAGATGTGGTGTCTTGCCGTGTTGCCCAGGCTGGTCTCAAACGTTTGGTCTTCAAGCAATCCTCCTGCCTTCATGCCAAAAGCACTAGGATTATCACACTCAGCCTGGGTTTGTTTTCTAGGACTTTTGCAACAGGCTTGAGATAATTTATAGAAGCCTCCCGGAGGCTATGTTCTCTATTTTTTTTTTTAATTTTTAAGCAGTAATAAATGGCAAAACTACAGGAGCAGTCAACTATGAAGACTGAGAAGCCTAGGAATGAAATTCAGTACTGATCAAGTAAAAGTTACTTCAGAGTTAATGACAGACACCAACGATACATCGATACTGCACCAAATGGTAACAGGTATGACAGAAATCAATCATCGGCCGCCCACACACACGAGTGGGAAGGTGACCTCACTGTCCCCAAATACAGAATGGCCTCACCTACCTCCTACCTTCTTCTCATGCTGTTCACCTCTCCCTTGGCTCAGCACCCCTTGCCAGTTCTCCCAAGGTCCTCTCTGCCAGTTGAAGGCTTCCCTGATCGCCATCCTCCTCAATCCCCCAGGACTCACAGGTTGAAAGAGTCGCAGCCAAGAGTTAGGGAACCTGACCATGAGCCAATCCCAGTGCTAAGCCCCTTGCACGTGTTAATTCAGTTAACTTAGCAACTGTACTAAGCCATGCACACAACTCTGTAGTATTATTATTATCATCGTCATCACTATCTGTGCCTCAGAACCCCTTGGCAAATCTTTAAATTCTCCCAGAAGTGTGTGTTTCCCAGTTTGAAGGGCCCTGCCTTCCTACAAACTGTGAAATTTGGCGGGGTGCTGCGGGGGAGGAACCCAAATCACAAAATAAACCTAGCAGAACTACCTGTACCATCGGTTCACTGTTGCTAGATGGCAGAGTGTGTGAAGTTCCTGGCCAATTGGAGAAGCAGATATTAAAGTTTTAAAGCAAGAAATTGCTTCAGTGGCATACAAGTCACTTGCCCAGAACACAAGCCCCTGGGTGGGAGCATGGTGGGTGGAACAGAGACTGGAAGAGGAAGAATGGAAGGGTGGGTGGGCCATCGAAGCCTCCCATGGAAGCCCCCTTCACATATTCTCCCCCTTTGATGGCTGCCCTGAAGAGTCAGCCCCCAAAAGCAGGCTTGCGGGACCCTCTTCCCAGAGGTCCAGACCAGATTCCTTTCAGTCTACTTACCCAAGTTGAAGTTCTCACAGGCTGGTAAATGCAGTGAGCTTATTTGCAAGCCAGGGTCATATCTGCCTAGCAACCCAACACGAAGACTTGAAGGACTATAAACGTGGACAGAGAACAGGCAGGCCAACTTTACACAAAGGAATCTGTTCTCATGCAAATGACCCTATGCAAGAGGGCTAAAAGAGGGAGCCTTGGGGACAGCTCTGAAGAGCCAACTTTTTCCCCAAGAAGATGTTGGGGGTCTTCTTAAGGGCATCATGATGGTCTTGCCCACTGTAAAGGAAAGCCGAGAGGGGGCTCTGCCTGCCACTTGGGATCAGGCAGACACAACAGGAGAGGCTAAGAGGGGAGCTGAGCCCTTCACTTGATTTCCTGATTTTTCTGGTCCTGTACTCCAGACTCCAAAGGTTCTTTTGTTCTTATTTAGAACTAAACAGAGTTAGTTTTGTTTGGGGGCAAGGGGGCGTTGATTAGCATGGCAATGCAGTGCTTTCTCTGGAGAAGTTAAAAAAGCAGGGGTTTTCACGCTTGGTCTCACTAGGATTGAGGGAACAAGGTGAAGCCAGCCTCTAACTAGGGTGGGCAAAAGTCATGTTGCGTGACTTTTTTGTGACTAGCAAGGCTGTGCGTAGGTTGGGTTTCCAGCTACCTCTCCATTATTCAAACACAGATGGCAAATGTCATCTTTGGATGAGCTCTAGTGGTAAAAAGTGCTAGTGTGTATCTATAAACATGGTGTAACCTTAGGTCAATCCCTCCAGTGCTCAGTGCCTCCACTTTCCTCATCTGTAAAATGGGAATAATGAGTGTCAACTACAGAAGGTTACTGATGCGGTTAACATTGCATTACATGTATGGCACTTAATGCAGTGTTGAGGACAAAGCAAACATTTAAAAAAGATTAATATTAATAAAATATAAGAATAGTAACACATTAGTAACAAAAATCTATTATTATTATTATTATTATTATTAGAATCATGCTCCCCAAAAGCCAGGTTTCACTTGCTCAAACATTCAGATGTGATTTTTCCAATCATTCATTCACTCCTGAGGATTTAGGTATAATTTGAGTCATTTTTTAAATCAAGAGACTGAAGTACAGAGATTTTATGTGACTTGCTTCGAGTCACTCAGGTATAAATGGCTGGCTGCACCTTTAGGTTCCTAAGACATACAGAATATGCTGTCATATTGCACATGATATTTCCATATAGAGTACAGTAACAGGTCCTAAGTATTAAAGTGTAAGATCCTAAATATCAAAGATTATCTTACAGGCAGCCCTGCATTAGCATGAAGTGTTCAAATCAGTTTCTAAATATCATTATATATGGATCCTTTGAAGAACAACTCAAAAAAGGGCTCTCTCTCACAGGGAGTGTGTTGGAGTCAGCAATTAATTGGCCTTGGTAAAGCATAAATCGTAACAGCAGCAAGAGCTAATGGGTACTGAGGCCTTACCAAATGCCAGTCACTGCGATCCGCACTTTACAAGTACCATAAATTAAACCCTCCAATTCTGGGAATACCACCTCCATCCCCATTTTACAGATCTGGAGAAATTAACGCTCTACGAGGTTAAATTACGCCTACAAGGTTGCAAAGCTGCTCAGCGGCCCCTTGGCTGTACACTACTGGCCATACAAGGCACCCTGTACCAACGAATCTTCTCCCCACTTACACAACCAGAACTTGTCAACGGCAAAGGATGGCATTTAACTCAGGAGAGCCTATCCCAAAATGGTGAGAGAACTCAGCGAGCAAGGAAGGATTTTTATTAAAATTCAGATCGCCGACTCCTCCCGGTGGCGACCCTCCGTGCATGCACTCCCAAACTAGGCTCTCTTGAGTTTCTGACATCAGAACCACATTCTCCGAACCCCAATGAAGGCAGCAGCCGGCGCCAAAGTCTGCATACGAATGCAAATAACATGGCCTTTGCTTCCGAGCAGTTTCCAAATTTGCCCTCGGGATGTGAGGTAGAGACCAAGAAGCTAAGTTTGCGCCCCCGCAGGCTCTGAAATGTCTAGGATCTGACACATGCTTTGTCCCCATGAGGAGCTCCTGAGATTTCGCGTGCATCATCCGCTTAGTTCACGGTGACCTTGGGGTCGGGGACTACGGGATGAGGGGCACGGACTGTCTAAACCTCCAGGTCCCTTACAGAGGGCTCCCCGCGGGTATGGGAGCCATGCACCTGTGCCGACGCCGCCACTGCCTGGAGGGTGCGCGCGCGCCCCGGGCCGGGGATGCTGACTCAGCCCGGCTGCTCACATTCCTTTCGCGCAACGCGGATGCTGTTGCTGCCGCTGCTGCCGGTGCAGCAAAGTGGGGGAAGCAAGGCACCCGCAGCGGCCCGGCCGCTCGCTCCCTGGGGCCCACTGCGACACTCCCTCCCCACTGCCGGAAGGGGAACTGTGGGGGTGCGCGAGTTGACGAAACTGGGGGAAGTGGGCGCTGCAGGAGGAACTCAGGCGCCGCGCGCGCAGCTCACACCCAAACTGGAAGGAACCTGTTCTGCCCGGGGCGGGCGCGAAGCCGCCGCAGCCGCGAGCGCCGCGCGGGATCAGCCCCGGCGCGCGCGTGTTCCCCCTCGCCGCTAAATCCCTAAATCCTCAGGGCGCGGGCGGGACTGGGCGGTGGGCGCGCCGGGAAGGCGCCCGGGGGTGGGGACGGGGACCCGCGCGCTCGCGCCTGGCCGAGGTGCTCCGAGACAGGATGCAGGCACCCCCAACACCCTGCACGCTCGCGCTCCTACTAGCGTTGCAGCAAAGCTCCGGGGTCTGGGCGGGTCACGCGCGCAGAGGCGCACCCGGGTTGGGAGATCGGGGCGTTGTGCCAAGGACCCCGGCGGCGCTGGCGGGGGCGGCCCGGCCCCGGACCGCGACGCGGTTACCTTTCGTGACCCCCAGCCCAGGCGGCAGGCTGGCGGGCGCGCGACCGGCGCGGCTCAGGTCCACGTGGGACGGCGCGCGCGCGCCAGGCAGGCCCCCTCCTTGGCTGCGCTCAGCGCTCGCAGCACATGGTCGGCGGCGGCGCGCCCCCGAGGCCGGCGGAGACCGGCTGCAGCCGGTATAGGATAAGAGCTAGGCAGCGACGCGGGGCCGGGGCGCGGGCGGCAGCACGCACGGCCCGGGTCGCAGGCGGCCGGGGTGGGGGGCGGGGGGAGGGTGTGGCTCGGGTGCCCGAGTCGCGGGAGTGGGTGGAGGGCCCGGGCGCTCGGGCCTCACCAGCCCGAGCCAACTTGCGCTAGAGTCGGGCCCGCCCCCTAAGGGGTTAATCCTTTTCTCATGTTACCGAGCGGCTTATAAGGAGGGGGAGGCCAAGCCTCCGCCTTATTGGGAGCCTTTGGGGGTTTATTCTCTTCCCTTCTAACTTGGTGAGTTGGTTTATTATTTTACATGTTTAAAAGTTTGATTGTGGGATGTGGGTTGTTTTTTAAAAAATATGTGTTGGGGCCTTTTTTTGTGATGGGAGGCGGAGGAGACCACTGAACATCTTCACATTTTGGAGAGGTTATTCCCAAAAATATTCGCTCTGACAGTTAGGAATGCCCAGGGCCACCGGGATGACGCGCTCGCGCCGGTGTGGGTAGCTGAGAGTTGAATGTCCGTGACCCTGGTACAGTTGGGTCCCGGAAGATACCTAAAGGCACGCCTGGCCTTTGAGTGCCCCCTGCCCCGGGTTGGGGGCTCCGGGACGTCGGAAGAGTCGGGGGCTCCAGGCTCAGCCCCTCCGCGGATTTTCCGCATGAAGTTGCCTGCGCGTCGCAGGAGCGAAATGTCAGAGGTACCTTCCTACCCCAGGCTGGCGCGCGCACGCAGGCCGGGCACTGAGGCAGCGCGAGGGAAAGTGGGGCTCCCTGCCTCCCCCGACCCCCAAACACAGCACTCCCTGCGGCGGCCACCGTTTGTCCCCAGCGGGAAGCCGGGGATTTCCCGGCAGAGCGCGGGTCCTCCACCTGGACTGTCAGAACTGTCAGCGGCTGACGGCCGGTCCCGCGCAACTTCAAGGTTCCCGGGCTGCCAACCGCAGGAAAGCGCTGGTGTCGCCAAGCAGTTCCGTAGCAAGGGAAGATGGTTTTGCAGAGGAAATGGGTTATTTCCTTCTAGGTTGTTGTCGTCTTTTCTTTTTATTCCCCCCACCCTAGCAAGACAGGTCATAGAAGTTTGTTAGGTGGCGTATATAAAATGTCACCAAACATGGGGGGCGTCAGTCTTAGAAAAAGCTCCCCGGAGCCAACTGGGGAAGAGCAATTACAACTTGTCAACCTGGAAGCCGGTTTTGTTTGCACGGTTAGACACTCCGTGCCAGCTCCTTCTCGCAGGAGATGGTTTCTACCCCGGGAATGAGATTTCTCAGTGATCTGATTGTTTTTGCAAATCATGGTAAGATAGGTGTCTTGCTTGTAAAAAAGATGCCAAGTGCTTATGCTGAAATCTCTAAACCATGCATCTCCCCATGTCCCAAGCACCGTTATGTGGCATTTTTGGGGTCAACAATACATCCGGCCAGATGATATAATAGAAACCCCTCTTCTCATAATTAAGGGAAGAGTGTCCAAAATAGGAACTTACAGTGTGTAAATAAACAATGCAGCCAAGTGGAAAAGCTCCTTCCAGTGTAATGAGTACCACTAACCCTGAGTTTTCCTTCTGTGGTTTCCGAAAAAGGACTTTCCTCAGTGGAACTCCTGAGGAGGACACTTAAATTAGGGGCTCAGGTTTCAACACCATAGTCTTGTAAAATGGTGACTCGGTTGTAGCCAGTGATTCAACATCGTGAGGCAGCTATCCAGGTTAGGTTTGGAAATTTTTTTTAAATAGAGAATGCAGATGAACTTTAGCCAAATACAGACTGGTTTTGACAACTTGGGCCAGAAACAACTTGTCAAAGCTGTTCTCCGGGCTACGCCTTTAAGAAGAAGAGAAATCCGCAGTGCTTTTGCTCGAGGTCTGCCTACAACAGTAGCCACCCCATTTCCATCCAGAGCCTGCGTTTTGAAACTTGCTCTTAGCTGACCCTGGAATAACACTCTGATGGTCTACAATAATACAATTTTTTTCATGCCCTCGGGCCAAATCTTCTCTCGACAAATTAAATCACAGTGAAACTCCCAAGGATAGCGGATTTCCAAGCCTTTGGCAAGATACCTACTTATTTATTTGTTTAGAGGCAGGGTCTCACTCCCATCATGGGAGTGCAGTAGCGTCATCTCTGCTCATTGCAGCCTCGACCTCCCGGGCTCAAGCGATCCTCCCACCTCATTTTTTAATTTTTTTGTAGAGACACAGCCTCACTATGTTGCCCGGGTTGGTCTCAAACTCCTGGGCTCAAGTAATCTGCCTGCTTCGGCCTCCCTAATTGCTGGGATTATAGGCATGAGCTACCGCACCCGGCCAATACTCATTTATTTAAGGGGACACTTAACCACATGCTACTAGGAAATCCTCCAAACTGCCCGTGGATTGTGTCATTGTACTTCCTCCAGAAGAACACTAGGGTGAAGGGAAGATGGCTGCCGGGAACCCCCATTCAGAATTGTCGAGTTTTGTAAGTTGGAAAAGGCTTGAGAGACTCCCCTGACAACCCATGCTTTACAGATGATAGAAGTTCTAGAAGTTCAGGATTCTGTGGTTTCCATAACTGTGCAGCCAGTTAATGGTACACAGAAATTAACAAATATGGCCTAAGAGCTTTAAGAAGACCAACTCTTCGGCCTTGCCTTCAAAGGGCTTAGAAGGATTAAAGCAAGTGACGGTCAAAGGCTGTCATAGAAGTATAGACTATTAGGGCAGGAAGAGATCTAAGCTCATCAGAGTCTAGTTCAACTCCCTTTTTTACATTTACCTTGATTTTACATTGACATTGAAAATGGGGAAGTGAAGTGATTTGCCTAAATTCCATCATCCGTAAAGCAGGGGTTGATGGGCAGGATGACTCAGCTCGCCTCACCAGTTAGATCCCTACACAGCTGAAAAATATCCCTACCCGTCAGATAAATTCACATGGCCACAGACCAAAGTGGACAGATAAACTTTTATATTCTGGAACTTACAGAGGCTTCTGCATAAATGAGTTCAAAATTCAGGCCTCAGTTGCTTTGTTTGCAGAGACAGAAGGTTTGGCCTTCTGCTGAAGGAATGGAAAAAAAGAAAAGGAGAAGGCCGGGCACAGTGGCTCACGCCTGTAATCCCAGCACTTTGGGAGGCTGAGGCGGGCGGATCACAAGGTCAGGAGTTTGAGACCAGTCTGACCAACATGGTGAAACCCTGTCTCTACTAAAAATACAAAAAAAAAATCAGCCGGGCGTGGTGGCATGCGCCTTTAATCCCAACTACTCAGGAGGCTGAGGCAGGAGAGTCGCTTGAACCCGGGAGGCAGAGCTTGCAGTGGGCTGAGATCGCACCACTGTGCTCCAGCCTGGGAGACAGACTGAGACTCCATCCCCAACCCCCAAAAAAAAAAAAAAAAGAAAGGAGGGAGGGAGGGGGAGAGAGAGAGAGAGAGAAAGAGAGAGAGAAGAGAAGAAGAGAAGAGAAAAGAAAAAAGGGAGAAGAGTCCAGGAAGGGTTTTATTCTGCAACCAAGCACTTTCTCCCCTTATGACTCGGTTTTTTAAGGAAAGACCTGTGCATGACTTTACTTAAATACAGGCATTATCACCCAGGAAGGTTCAGAAACCAGGTTATCCTGTTATTACTTTATATTGTGGTCTTATCTTCAAAGCTAAATTTAATAGGACATAGGATGCTTTAGGATGATAAAGGCATAAACCTTGGGGGTAGGACGGGGTTCAGGGTGTCATCTTTCCTTGATGGAGATCTCAGTTATAAAAAGAAAAGAAAGCTTCTGTCCAAAAACCCAAGAATGCAGGTGAAAGTTATATGTGGCTCTAGCTAGAGTAGAATAGCTCAGACATAAAGCAGAGTTTTTTAAAAAAACTAAGGAATTAACTTCCCAGCAGTGGCTCAGAAAGGAAATAGAAATGAATAGTCCACCATCTGGCTAGGTGAGGTGGCTCACACGTTTAATACTATCACTTTGGGAGGCCGAGGTGGGAGGATCGCTTGAGTCCGGGAGTTCCAGACCAGCCTAGGCAACATAGGGAGACCCTGTCTCTATTAAAAAAAAAAAGAAGAAGAAGAAGGCTGGGCATGCTGGCTCACGCGTGTAATCCCAGCACTATCGTTTAGATACTATCTAACGTTTAATACTATCACTTTGGGAGGCCAAAGCAGGCAGATCACCTGAGGTTAGGAGTTCAAGACCAGCCTGACCAACATGGTGAAACTCCATCTCTACTAAAACAAAATTAGCCGGGCATGGTGGCGCATGCCTGTAATCCCAGCTTCTTGGGAGGCTAAGGCAGGAGAATCACTTGAACCCGGGAGGTGGAGGTTGCAGTGAGCTGAGATTGTGCCATGGCACTCCAGCCTAGGCAACAAGAGCGAAACTCCATCTCCAAAAACAAAAACAAAAAGTCCACCATCTTCTAAACAGCTGTCATAGAATAGATCTAAGCAATGACCAGCTAGCTACTTTACACCCATGTTTGCAAGAACCATCTAGCATTTACACTTTCTCCGAGCTCAGTTTCCTTGGGCCACCAGGCTTCGCTTAAGCCATCAGTTGATTAATAGAATTCAGTACTAAATTCAAAAGTATCAGCTGTTTCTCACACCTGTAATCCCACACTTTGGGAGGCCAAGGCGGGCAGATCACTTGAGGTCAGGAGTTCGAGACCAGCCTAGCTAACATACTGAAACCTCATCTCTACTAAAAATACAAAAATCAACCGGGCATGATGGTGGGTGCCTGTAATCCCAGCTACTCGGGAGGCTGAGGCAGAAGAATCGCTTGAACCCGGGAGGCTAAGGTTGCAGTGAGCCAAGATCGTGCCACTGCACTTCAGCCTAGGTGACATAGCAAGACTCCATCTCAAAAAAATTAAATACAATAAAATGCTCTCCTGTAGGCTTGTACAGCAGGAGCCCTGGAAGGCAGGAGATTCAGTATTGGGCTATTTCAGTCAAGTCCCTTCACCTCTTGGGGATCAGTTTCCCGATTTTACAAAATGAGTAAGATTTTACAAAAAGGAATTGAAAAAGATAACCTCAATTTTCCCCTTCAGCTTTAACATTCAATAATTCTAACTCTATTCAGGGGTTACAGATTCATCCTAGCCCCATCCCTTTTGCAAGTGTAAACATCTGATGATACAGGCAAGGGAAGAGAGGAAAGGGGCAGCTGGCACCAGAACTTCAGTGCTGGCCAGACAGAGCCTTCTCATGATGGCAGGTAATCTCAGCTCATACAAAAACTGCAATCTGGTCCCACTCATCTAAATGCAACCCACAGCCCGGTCCACATGGTGAGACCCTGTCTCTACAAAAAATAAAAATTATGCCAGGCGCGGTGGCTCACATCTGTAATCCCAGCACTTTGGGAGGCCGAGGTGGGTGGATCACGAGGTCAGGAGTTCCAGACCGGCCTGGCCAACATGGTGAAACCCTGTCTCTACTAAAAATACAACAAATTAGCTGGGCATGGTGGCGGGCGTCTGTAATCCCAGCTACTTGGGAGGCTGACGCAAAGAATTGCTTGAACCTGGGGGATGGAGGTGGCAGTGAGCCGAAATCATGCCACTGCATTCCAGCCTGGACTCCATCTCAAAACATAAATTAAAAAAAAAAAAAATTGGCTGGGCATGGTAGCACATACCTATAGTCCTAGCCACTTGAGAGGCTGAGTAGGGTCACTTGAGCCCAGGAGTTTTTTTGTTTTTGTTTTTTGAGACGGAGTCTCGTTCTTGTCACGCAGGCTGGAGCGCAGCGGCACAATCTCAGCTCACTGCAACCTCTGCCTCCTGGGTTCAAGCAGTTCTCCCACCGCAGCCTCCCGAGTAGCTGGAAGCACAGGTGCGCACCACCACACCAGGCTAATTTTTGTAATTTTAGTAGAGACGGGGTTTCACCATGTTGGCCAGGCTGATCTCGAAACCTGACCTAAGGCAATCCACCCACCTCGGCCTCCCAAAGTGCTGGGATTACAGGTGTGAGCCACCGTGCCCTGCACGAGCCCAGGAGTTTTGAGGCTGCAGTGAGCTATGATCGTGCCACTGCACTCCACGTCTCTCTAGGGTCTTTATCAAATTTTATCACTATATGTTTTGTTTCAAGGTGGTCCTGAGCCCTCCATTAAAACTCTTAAGACCTTCTGGGCACATTTCTGGGTTAGAACAACTGTGCCAATTTGACCTTGGTCTTAGTAGCTACTGAGTCCTGACTGCTTGTCAGAAATGTGCTGAACTCTGGCAAGATGTGGTTGAATCATTTACATAGGATGCATTTCAGATGCATTCATTTTCCTTAGCATCATCATCAGCAAATATTTTAGTCCATGGAGGCAGAGACCATCTCTTGGTCTTTTCACTGTAGTGCCCCTATAGTGAAAGCGAGGACCTGGCACCTGATAGGTATTTTGTTGCAAAAATAAATACAAGCTGTGTACAAGGTACAGGCAGGGTCCGGGGACATGGGGTTGTACAAAGAGAAATAGACCTCAGATTTTGTGAGCATATAATTTATGACATATCAACACACATCAAAATGCAAAGGCCTTTGCTGCAAAGAGCATACTCATCTTACAGCATCTTATGCCTTATTTTAATCAACCAAATATTTAGCCGTAATAGTGTATAAAGTGAATATATAGTCCTTCCCAAGTACTAGGCTACAGTGGGAATGGCGCTATCAGTAGGATGAATGATACTAAGTTAGATCAGATTTGCTGCTTTTTAAGATTTGTAGAGTAAATTCAGAACATTAGATTTTAAAAATAGAAAACCAGCAAGTCTGTTGGATAGATGAGGTTGTGTCCTGTTATTTTTCAGTTGCCTTCTACTTTCAATAAAACCTTTGCCTTAGTAACTTTGACCCAACAACTTATGGCTAGGAAAAGGATATAAAGGATATAATGCACCCTGACCCTGAAAATTCACCTGTATACAATTGTATAATTGTAAAGAATTTTCTTTTTACATTTTATTTATTATTTTATTTATTTATTTTAGACAGAGTCTTGCTCTGTCACCCAGACTGGAGTGCAGTGGCACGATCTTGGCTCATTGCAACCTCTGCCTCCCGGGTTCAAGTGAACCTCAGCCTCCTGAGCAGCTGGGACTACAGGCACGTGCCACCACACCTGGCTAGTTTTTGCATTTTTAGCAGACACCGGGTTTCACCATGTTGGCTAGGCTGGTCTCAAACTCCTGACCTCAAGTGATCCACCTACCTTGGCCTCCCAAAGGATTACAGGCATGAGCCACTGCGCCCAGCTTTTTTTTTTTTTTTTTTTTTTGAGACAGAGTCTCACTCTATTGCTCTATTGCTCACTCTAGGCTGGAGTGCAGTGGTGTGACCTCGGCTCACTGCAACCTCCGACTCCTAGGTTCAAGTGATTCTCGTGCCTCAGCCTCCTGGGTAGCTGGGATAACAGGCTCGTGCTACTACTAATTTTTGTATTTTTAGTAGAGACAGTGTTTTGCTATGTTGGCCAGGCTGGTCTTTTTTTTTTTTTTTTTTTGAGACGGAGTTTTGCTCTTTTTGCCCAGGCTGGAGTGCAATAGCACGATCTCGGCTCACCACAACCTCTGCCTTCCAGGTTCAAGTGATTCTCCTGCCTCAGCCTCCCGTGTAGCTGGGATTACAGGCGTGCGCCACCACACCCGGCTAATTTTGTATTTTTTTTTAGTAGAGACAGGGTTTCAAGACTATACTTTCAGGGATCATTTCTGTAGTTTGTTAGTAGAGACAGCGTTTCTCCATGTTGGTCAGGCTGGTTTCAAACTCCCAACCTCAGGTGATCCACCCGCCTCAGCTTCCCAAAGTGTGCTGGGATTACAGGCGTGAGCCGCCGTGCCCAGCCTTTTTTTTTTTTTTCTGATACGGAGTCTCACTCTGTCGCCCAGGCTGGAGTGCAGTGGCGCGATCTCGGCTCAATGCAAGCTCCGCCTCCCGGGTTCACGCCATTCTCCTGCCTCAGCCTCCGGAGTAGCTGGGACTACAGGCGCCCGCCACCACGCCTGGCTAATTTTTTTGTATTTTTAGTAGAGACGGGGTTTCATCGTGTTTGCCAGAATGGTCTTGATCTCCTGACCTCGTGATTCGCCTGCCTCGGCCTCCCAAAGTGTTAGGATTACAGGCGTGAGCCACTGCGCCCGGCCCAGTCTGGTCTTGAATTCCTGACCTCAAGTGACCCATCCACCTCGACCTCCTAAAGTGATAGGATTATGGGTGTGAGCCACCACGCCAGCCAACTTAAAAAAAAATTTTTTTTAGACAGGGTCTTGCTCTGTCATTCAGGCAAGAGTGCAGTAGTGTGATCACTTCTTACTGCCGCCTCAAGCTTCCAGCCTCAACTCAAGCAATCCTCCCACCTCAGCCACCCAAGTGGCTGGGACTACAGGTATGTGTCACCACACCCCGCTAATTTTCTTTCTTTTTTTTTTTTTTTTGAGACAGAGTCTTGCACTGTCACCCGGGCTGGAGTGCAGTGGCACAATCTCAGCTCACTGCAACCTCCACCTCCGGGGTTCAAGCAATTCTCCTGCCTCAGCCTCCCAAGTAGCTGGGGTTACAGGCACCCACCAGCACACCTGGCCTTTTTTTTTTTTTTTTTTTTTAGTAGAGATGGGGTTTCACTATGTTGGCCAGACTGCTCTCAAACTCCTGACCTCATGATCCACCCATCTCGGCCTCCCAAAGTTCTGGGATTACAGGCATGAGCCACCATGCCCGGCACTGCTAATTTCTTCTTATACTTTTTTGTAGAGACAGCGTCTCCCTATATTACCCAGGCTGTTCTCAAACTGCAGGGCTCAAGCAATCCTCCAGCCTCAGTTTCCCAAAGTGCTGGGATTACAGGCGTGAGCCACTGCGCCTGGTCCTATGTGTAGTTTTTTTTTTTTTTAAGTTCTAGGGTACATGTGCACAACGTGCAGATTTGTTACATATGTATAGATGTGCCATGTTGGTGTGCTGCACCCATTAACTCGTCATTTAACATTAGGTATATCTCCTAATGCTATCCCTCCCCCTTCCCCCAACCCCACGACAGGCCCCGGTGTGTGATGTTCCCCTTCCTGTGTCCAAGTGTTCTCATTGTTCAATTCCCACCTATGAGTGAGAACGTGTGGTGTTTGTTTTTTTTGTCCTTGCGATAGTTTGCTGAGAATGATGGTTTCCAGCTTCATCCATGTCCCTACCAAGGACATGAACTCATCCTTTTTTATGGCTGCATAGTATTCCATGGTATATATGTGCCACATTTTCTTAATCCAGTCTATCATTGATGGACATTTGGATTGGTTCCAAGTCTTTGCTGTTGTGAATAGTGCCGCAATAAACATACGTGTGCATGTGTCTTTATAGCAGCATGATTTATAATCCTTTGGGTATATACCCAGTAATGGGATGGCTGGGTCAAATGGTATTTCCAGTTCTAGATCCTTGAGGAATTGCCACACTGTCTTCCACCATGGTTGAACTAGTTTACAGTCCCACCAGCAGTGTAAAAGTGTTCCTATATTTGTAGTTTTTTGAGGAAGCTCCATACTGTTCTCCTTATTGGCCGTACTAGTTTACATTCCCACCGACAGTGTATAAGAGTTCTTTTCTCCGCATCCTTGCCAGCATTTGTTATTTTTTTGTCTTCTGATCATAGCCATCCCAAATGAGGTAAGATGATACCTCACTGTGGTTTTGATTTGGATTTCCGTAATGATTTGTGATGTTGAGCATTTTTTCATATATTTGTTGGCCATATGTATGTCTTTTGAGAAATGTCTGCTCAGATTATTCACCCATTTTATTTATTTATTTATTTATTTGAGACAGAGTCTCGCTGTGTCACCAGGCTGGAGTACAGTGGCACGATCTCGGCTCACTGCAACCTCCACCTCCCAGGTTCAAGTGAGTCTCCTGCCTCAGCCTCGCGAGTAGCTGGGACTACAGGTGTAGAGGTGCATGCCACCACGCCCAGCTAATTTTTGTATTTTTAGTAGAGACGGGATTTCACTATGTTGGCCAGGATGGTCTCGATCTCTTGACCTCATGATCCACCTGCCTCAGGCTCCCAAAGTGCTGGGATTACAGGCGTGAGCCACCGCCACCAGCCTGTTCACCCATTTTTAAGCCAGATTGTTGGGGAGTTTTTTTGCTGTTAAGATGTTTGAGTTCCTTGTATATTCTGGCTATTAATCCCCTGTCAGATGAATAGTTTGCAAATATTGTCTACCCTTCTGTGGGTTGTCTTTTCATTCTTTTTTTTTTTTTTTGGAGGCAGAGTCTCCTTCTGTCACCCAGGCTAGAGTGAAGTGGCATGATCTCAGCTCACTGCAACCTCCACCTCCTGGATTCAAGCAATCCTCGTCCCTCAGCCTCCCAAGCAGCTGGGACTACAGGTGTGTGCCACCAGGCCCAGTTAATTTTTCGTATTTTCAGTAAGGATGGCATCTCACCATGTTGCCCAGGCTGGTCTCAAACGCCTTAGCTCAGGTAATCCACCCACCTTGGCATCCCGAAGTGCTGGGATTATAGCGTGACACACTACATCTGGCCTCACTCTGTTGATATGTTTCCTTTGCTGCGCAGAATCTGTTTAGCTTAATATAATCCCATGTTTATTTCTGCTTTTGTTGTGTGTGCTCTTCCAGTCTTATCCATAAAAATCTTTCCTCAGACAAATGTCCTAAAGTGTTTCCCCTATGTTTTCTTCTAGTAGTTTTATAGTTTTAGGTCTTACATTTAAGTCTTTGATCCATTTTTAGTTGATTGTTGTATAGGGTGAAAGGTGGGGATTTAGTTTCATTGTTTGTATTGATATCCAGTTTTCAAAGTGCCATTTATTGAAGAGACTGAACTTTCTCCAATGAATGTCTTTGGCACCTTTGCCAAAAATCAGTTGGGTGTAGACATGTGGATTAATTTCAGGGTTCTCTCTTCTGTTCCATTGGTCAGTGTGTCTGTTTTTATGCCAGTACCATGCTGTTTTGATTACTGTTGTGTTGTCATATATTTTGAGGTCTGTTAGTGTGATGCCTCCAGCTTTGTTCTTTTTTTCAGGATGGCTTTGGCTATTCATGATCTTTTGTGGTTCCATACAAATTTTAGGATTTTTTTCTTCTATTTCTGTGAAGAATGTCATTGGTATTTTGATAGGAATCCACTCTGTAGATTGCTTTGGGTCATATATAAATAATTCTTTTTTTTTTTTTTTTTTTTTGAGACAGAGTTGCTCTATTGCCCAGGCTGGAGTGCAGTGGTGCAGTCTCAGCTCACTGCAACCTCCTCCTCCCAGGTTCAAGCAATTCTCCTGCCTCAGCTTCCTGAGTAGCTGGGATTACAGGTGCCTGCCACCATGCCCAGCTAATTTTTGTAGTTTTAGTAGAGACGGGGTTTTGCCATGTTGGCCAGGCTGGTCTCGAACTCCTGACCTCAGGTGATCCACCCGCTTTGGCCTCCCAAAGTGCTGGGATTACAGGTGTGAGCCACCGCGCCCAGCCATAAAGAATTCTTAAACTTGAAGTTGGTTGCCATTAAGAGCTTGAAGACCATGGACTCATTGATTATTATAGATATCATTAATTTTTAGTTAGGCTAAAAATACACATGACTGTTTCAAAGTATATGTAATTACAGAGGCTTTGAAAAAGACAGTATTCATGTGCTAGAGCCCAATCCAGAAGACTTAAGTTAAACCAATGTCAATGTCAATGTCTCCTTAGAAGTGTTAAGACAGGTTGGCTTGTTCTGATGTTTATTGCAGTTTGAATGGAGAGGCACAGTGAGGTTAGGGGTAACTCAGTTAACTGGTGTCCAGATGGGGCCCTACAGGCTTGTATAATAGTACCTTATTTAGACACCATATTCTAGAGTATCATCATGTACTTGGAAATTCAATTGCTAATATACTAAGTGGTGGTCAACTTTGAGGAAATTACTCCTGCTTAACAAACTCCCAGAAGACAGAATGCCCTCATTTTGATTTATAGTGACATTGTGTCTGTGTAGGTACATCCACATGGAACACCAAATCATAATCAGAATATTGCTTACTGAGTAGAAAATGGCGGGGAAGAAGAGTTGACTAGGTGATCGCGGTGGCCAGGGACATCAAGCAGAGACGCTTATGGTATCTCAAACACTTACTCGGTGGAAGGTGCTGGATGCACCGCCAATGTTTGCTTTTCAGCCTCCGTTTTCTAGGCTTCATTTCTGATCAACATTCCTTATGGTCAATTCAGTCTTTTTTTGCCTAAGTTGAGTCCTTCAAGGTCAGCATTAATACTTGGTCTGGTGGCCATTTGGTGTCCTTCAATATGCTTCTAAATATTCTGCTCTGGTTCTTCATGTCTGTTTTTCCCATTTAACTTTCTTTTTGGGAGGCCCCATGTACAATACCAAGATTTGTATATACATATATATGCATAAAAGTATCCAAATACTTTATACTGCTTGTACATGATTTAAATATTCAACAATCAGCTGGGTGTGGTGGCTCATGCCTATAATCCCAGCATTTTGGGAGGTCAAGGCGGGTGGATCCCTTGAGGTCAGGAGTTTGAGCCCAGCCTGGCCAACATGGCAAAACCCCATCTCTACTAAAAATACAAAAATTAGCCGGGTGTGATGGTGGGCATCTGTAATCCCAGCTACTCGGGAGGCTGAGGCAGGAGAATCACTTGAACCCGGGAGGCCGAGATTTCAGTGAGCCAAGATCACACAACTACACTGCAGCCTGGGCAACAGAGTGAGACTCTGTCTCAAAAAAAAAAAAAAAAAAAAGGAAAAAGAAAAAACATTAGCTGGCTGTGGTGGCACATGCCTGTAGTCCCAGCTACTTGGGAGGCTGACGTAGGAGAATTGCAGAGGTTGCAGTGAGCTGAGATCATGCCACTGCACTCTAGCCTGGATGACAGAGCAAGACTCCATCTCAATAAATAAATAAATAAATAAATATTCAACAACTTAAGAAATGGGGTAAGTAGTTCTTATCTGTTGTTTGCTTAAGAGTATGAGAATCATCGATCCTCATGCTATTGCTGATCTGAATTGCTTTTAACTTTTTCTTTCAGATTAAGAATGACCCAAAATAAATTAAAGCTTTGTTCCAAAGCCAATGTGTATACTGAAGTGCCTGATGGAGGATGGGGCTGGGCGGTAGCTGTTTCATTTTTCTTCGTTGAAGTCTTCACCTACGGCATCATCAAGACATTTGGTGTCTTCTTTAATGACTTAATGGACAGTTTTAATGAATCCAATAGCAGGATCTCATGGATAATCTCAATCTGTGTGTTTGTCTTAACATTTTCAGGTTAGTACATCTTTCGGCCTAACCATGACGTAAGTATAGGGCCCTTTTAATTTGGCTACCTTGGTAATGGTAGTCGATGTGTTTGTGATGCTTTCATTCCCTTATACGCCTGTTGGTCCTTCCTAGCCCTGACTAACAGGGTTTTCAGAGCATTGAGGATTGGCAAGAAACAAAAGGCACTGAAGAAAAAAAGCCTTATTTGCCAGCCATGACAGCCTTCAGTTTAACACACATGTATTAAACATCTGCTGTCTGCACACTCTTAGGATTCTGTAGATTCCCTTAAGGAGTGCAGTCAACCTCCTTTTGTGAGGATGTGAGGATATAGTCACTGTCTAAGAAGCAACATCAAAAAGTTGCTGATGGCCGGGCACAGTGGCTCACACCTGTAAGCACTTTGAGAGGTCAAGGTGGGTGGATCAGTTGAGGTCAGGAGTTCAAGACCAGGCTGGCCAACATGGCGAAACCCCATCTCTACTGAAAATAGAAAAATTAGCCAGGCACAGTGTTTTGCACTTGTAATCCTCAGTACTTGGGAGGCTGAGGCACGAGAATTGCTTGAACCCAGGAGGCGGAGGTTGCAGTGAGCTGAGATCACACCACTGCACTCCAGCCTGGGCAACAGAGCGAGACACCATCTCAAAAAAGAAAAAAGTTGCGGCCGGGCGCGGTGGCTCACGCCTGTAATCCCAGCACTTTGGAAAGCCGAGGCAGGTGGATCACGAGGTCAGGAATTCGAGACCAGCCTGACCAACATAGTGAAACCCCCTCTCTACTAAAAATACAAAAAATTAACTGGGCATGGTGGTATGTGCCTGTAATCCCAGCACTCAGGAGGCTGAGGTAGGAGAATCGTGTGAACCTGGGAGGTGGAGGTTGCAGTAAGCCCAGATCATGCCATTGCACTCCAGCCTGGGCGACAGTGTGAGACTCCATCTCAAAATAATAATAATAATAATTGCTGACATACCAGGCCCCAATCTCATAATTCCAAGTGGAAACATGTAAATGTGGATGCATGAAGCAAAATGAGATGTGTACAAGGAGATAAGGTGAAATTACAAATATTGTTCTGAGGAGACCTTCTGAATTCCAAGCACCTGTTTCCCTAAAGGACTTCACTGATTCATCATTACATAATATACTCCCAGACCCAATCGCATAAAATAAAATGGGGCTTCAGTATCATTTTTAACATACTAATCTTCACTTGGTCCTATAAAGGGCTATTGAATATACATGCCAGGTCTCATGAGTTCATTGGTCTGTCAGAAATAATTGCCAAGGGTTTTCTAAGAGAAAAGGGCTGTTGAACTCACCTCAGAAAGTTAACCAAGCTGGGCATGGTGGCTCACGCCTGTAATCCCAGCACTCTGGGAGGCCAAGATGAAAGGATTGCTTGAGCCCTAGAGTTTGAGACTAGCCTGGGCAACATAGCAAGACTCCATCTCTACAAAAAATTAAAATAAAAAATTGGCCGGGCATGGTGGTACACACCTGTGATCCCAGCTACTCAGGAGGCTGCAGAGCGAGAATTGCTTGAGCCTGGGAGGTCAAGGCTGCAGTGAGCCATGATCATGCCATTGCATTCCAGCCTGGGCAACAGAGCAAGACCCCATCTCAAAAAATAAAAAAAATAAAGAAAGTTAACCAGGCTGACCTTAAACTTCCCTAAGTTTACACTTACACACTGTCATGGAACTGTTATCTCTGAAGTTATTGCTGAAATTAAAGCCCTTCTTTAAATGTAGTCCATTTTTAGCCATAGAATGTCTTTACAAGGCAGTTCTACATGTTTTTACCCTTTGGGTAAGGTAGAAATTTCTCGTTAGCCGGGTGTGGTGGTGGGCACCTGTAATCCCAGCTACTCGGAAGGCTGAGGCAGGAGAATCACTTGATCCTGGGAGGCAGAGGTTGCAGTGAGCTGAGATTGTGCCACTGCACTCCAGCCTGGGAGACAGAGCAAGACTCTGTCTCAAAAAATAAAAAAAGAGAGAGAGAGAAATTTATCTTGTTAGTTCTCATACTATCCCTTACAAGTTTCATGAAGTCATTCCTGGTTCTATTTTAAGTGAGTATCAAGATAACTTAATTTTTTTTTTTTTTGAGACGGAGTCTCGCTTTGTTGCCTAGGCTGGAGTGCAGTGGTGCGGTCTCAGCTCACTGCAACCTCCGCCTCCCAGGTTCAAGTGATTCTCCTGCCTTAGCCTCCCGAGTAGCTGGGATTACAGGCACCTGCCACCACGCCTGGCTAATTTTTTGTATTTTTATAGTAGAGACGGGGTTTTGCTATGTTGGCCAGGCTAGTCTCTAACTCCTGAACTCGTGATCCACCTGCTTCGGCCTCCCAAAGTGCTGGATTTACAGGTGTAAGCCACCGCACCCAGCCAAGATAACTTCATTTTTAAATTGTGGAATGCTTAATTACCTTCTTAGAAAGATAACAAATGAATTAGGACTAAAATGTTACATTTGGTAATCTAAATAAAAAGAAAATCCCAAAGCTTAAGTTTTAGGTCTTTTATAACTAAAAATAAAAATGTAGTCAACAAGAAATTTCCACTTAATACTATTATACCAGAAGATAATTCTTCCAAATGCTATTATTCTAGTTGTTAATGCTTTGAGCCAACATCCTGGCTCAAAATGATGAGAGTGGTTTTATTATGAGCTACATCCAAGATTACTTTGTATTCTAATAGTTAACATAGTAGATACATATAGACTAACCCAAAAAAATGGAATCCTTTTTTTCCCACTTCCTTTTCTAGCATGTTGTTGTTCCTTGACCCAACTCTCAATGGCTCACTTACGTCACTGTTGTCAAGTTAATATTAAGTAACCTATAACTAGGAAACTAATTTGCCAGATTTAAATGTCCTAGGGGATACAGCTTATAGAAGCTAAGCAAATGATGATTCACTTTCAATTATCTATCCCATAGCAACTCTCCTTCAGGAGTGCATAACTTAGAATTCACATTCTTTCATCCTGTCAAGAAACTAACTAGGCTGGGCGCGGTGGCTCACGCCTGTAATCCCAACACTTTGGGAGGCCGAGGTGGGCGGATCACCTGAGGTCAGTAGTTCGAGACCAGCCTGACCAACATGGAGAAACCCCATCTCTACTAAAAATACACAATCAGCCGGGCATGGTGGCACATGCCTGTAATCCCAGCTACTTGGGAGGCTGAGGCAGGAGAATCAGTTGAACCCAGGAGGTGGAGGTTGCAGTGAGCCGAGATCACACCACTGCACTCCAGCCTAGAAAACAAGAGCAAAACTCCATCTCAAAAAAAAAAAAAGAAAGAAACTAACTAGAATCTGACCCCAAATGGAGCTTTTTAAAAAGAATCCAAAGTAGTGAGTAGAGAAAAAATAATTCAAGCAATCATAGGAAAACCAATTTTTATTATAGAATAACATAAATTCAATACATATCTAATTTTATAGGTGCTCATGGTGAGTCAGAGTCATCTAAAAATATAGATAAAAGTTTTATACTGTTATTCTGGCTTTCTCTTTCAGGAGTCTGACAAATCGTGTTGAATTTGAACAAATAGTAAAATAATTCCTGCACTGACTTTGCATGAAATGTGTTATGGTTTGGTTTTGTTTTTTCTTGAGACAGGGTCTCACTCTGTCACCCAGTATGGAGTGCAGTGGTGCAATCTTGGCTCACTGCATCGTCTGCCTCCCAGGCTCAAACAATCCTCCCATCTCTGCCTGCCAAGTAGCTGGGACTACAGGTGCACACCACCATGCCTGGCTAATTTTTGTATTTTTTGTAGAGACGGGGTTTCACCATGTTGCCCGGGCTAGTCTTGAACTCCTGGGCTCAAGCGATCCTCCGTCCTCAACCTCCCAAAGTGCTGGGATTACAGGCATGAGCCACTGCGCTCGGCCATATTTATATTCGACATCATCTCTCCATGTGCAAGACGTGGAGGAAGGAGTCTTATGGCAGCTAACCCTGAAGCCTCTGTGAGTTAAAATATCGTTTTGTTCTTTCCCGGCAGCTCCCCTCGCCACAGTCCTGAGCAATCGTTTCGGACACCGTCTGGTAGTGATGTTGGGGGGGCTACTTGTCAGCACCGGGATGGTGGCCGCCTCCTTCTCACAAGAGGTTTCTCATATGTACGTCGCCATCGGCATCATCTCTGGTAAGTGTTCCTCTTTGGCTCAGAAGTTGTCTAGACACTTAGTTTGAAGAACAAGGAAGGGGAAGGAGGAAATTAAAGCCAAACTATATTTCTTTCTCTTTCTTTTTTTCTTTAACATTAACAGTGTCTCAGATCAGTAGTTTTGAACTGAGCTATATGGACTTCAGGGGACCTGGGAATCTGTTCTCAAGTGCCCAAGGGTTTTTGTTTGATCTTCACCAAAGATGATGATAATTTCTCTTTTGCTGTATTTGCAGCCAAAAGATAGCATTTTTACAAAGTAAGACGAATTTCTGTAGCCAGTATTTCTCACATCAGTGTCTGAGGATCCAGGGCTGTAGGGGAAGTGCAACATGCCAGACTTATTCTTGGGGGCCTAAGAAAACCTTTTTCCATTCAAAAGGAGTAGCCAGCATGGTGGCTCATGCCTGTAATCCCAGCACTTCGGGAGGCTGAGACAGGAGGATCACGTGAGCCCAGCAGTTTGAGACCAACTGGGGCAACATAGGGAGACTCCATCTCTACAAAAAATAAAAACTAGCCAAGCGTGGTGGTGCGTGCCTGTGGTCCCAGCTGTAACCATCCTATCACTTTGGAGGCTGAGGTGGGAGGATCACTTGAGCCTGGGAGGTCAAGGCTCCAGTGAGCTGTGATCACACCACTGCACTCCAGCCTGGGCAACAGAGTGAGACCCTGTCTGTTTAAAAAAAAAAAAATGAAATGAACAATAAAAGGAGGCCATATATTCCTCATAGATGATAGATACACACACAGTTGTTAAGATTTGCAGACTTTAAATTTTTCCTGTATTTCTGCACATATGAAATGACTTATTTCTTTCTAGATACAAATCTTATATAAAATTTCATGCAATAATAGTTTCATCCATTGTGAATTATATAAATTTGAAAAAAAGTGTTGCAAAGATAAAAAAAAAAAAAGTTATATTTTTAGTATCCCAAACAACCACTGAAGTTTATCCAGACCGTTAATGAAACCCATTTTTCTTTGCAACATCACCTTTGTCCAGAATGAATTACTTGGCTCCTAGAACTTAAGATTCAAAAAGCAAAACCAAAAATCCCAGATCTTTTAATGCATCCTTCCAGTCTCAAGCAGTATGTGGGTCTCATTGGCTTTTTTGACTTTTCTTTCACAGGTCTGGGATACTGCTTTAGTTTTCTCCCAACTGTAACCATCCTATCACAATATTTTGGCAAAAGACGTTCCATAGTCACTGCAGTTGCTTCCACAGGAGAATGTTTCGCTGTGTTTGCTTTCGCACCAGGTAGGTGGACTACAACAGCCTAAGTATGAATGTGGATGAGAGACGTCACTCAGGTATTCTTGCTACGCTAACTTTTGCCAACAGTATGGATGACTTTCAGTGTATGTGTAATGAGACGTTATTTACGTCTCTTCTCCAGCTCATTTTTAGGATCTGTCCTCCCTAACCCCCACTTTAGGTATTCAGACCACCTTAATAATAGGTTTCAATTCCTAACTGGGCACATATGCAGTGGTAGGGCTTTCTTGACACATGCATTCCAGAATAATCTAGTAATTTGCAATTATTCACCTGTTATGTCCTCTCGTTTTTCAAAAGAGCTACATTCAATGTGGATTTAGATTATGCTAATAAACACAGCATTCTTATCTGTGTGTAGATCATCTCAAAACAAAATCTGTAACTGAGCACGGTGGCTTACACCTGTAATCCCAGCACTTTGGGAGGCTGAGGTGGGCGGATCACCTGAGGTCAGGTGATCGAGACCAGCCTGGCCAACATGGCAAAAACCTGTCTCTACTTAAAACACACAAAAAAAGGCCAGGTGCAGTGGCTCATGCCTGTAATCCCAGTACTTTGAGAGGCCGAGGCAGGCAGATCAGGAGGTCAGGAGATCGAGACCATCCTGGCCAACACAGTGAAACCCTGTCTCTACTAAAAATACAAAAATTGGCTGGTCGTGGTGGCGCACGCCTATAGTCCCAGCTACTCAGGAGGCTGAGGCAGGAGAATCGCTTGAACCCGGGAGGTGGAGGTTGCGGTGAGCTGAGATCAGGCCACTGCACTCCAGCCTGGTGACAGAGTGAGACTCTGTCTCAAAAAGTAAATAAATAAAGATTGAGTACATTCATACTGCTGAGTATAATAAATTTCCACAGAACTTATAACAAAATCTGGATCCATATTTCTTCTTGATGGCTTCTCCTGGGTCTTGAGTCCATTATTGACCTTATATTATTTCTTCTTCACTCCTGCCTATTCAAGCAATCATGGCTCTGAAGGAGCGCATTGGCTGGAGATACAGCCTCCTCTTCGTGGGCCTACTACAGTTAAACATTGTCATCTTCGGAGCACTGCTCAGACCCATCTTTATCAGAGGACCAGCGTCACCGAAAATAGTCATCCAGGAAAATCGGAAAGAAGCGCAGTATATGCTTGAAAATGAGAAAACACGAACCTCAATAGACTCCATTGACTCAGGAGTAGAACTAACTACCTCACCTAAAAATGTGCCTACTCACACTAACCTGGAACTGGAGCCGAAGGCCGACATGCAGCAGGTCCTGGTGAAGACCAGCCCCAGGCCAAGCGAAAAGAAAGCCCCGCTATTAGACTTCTCCATTTTGAAAGAGAAAAGTTTTATTTGTTATGCATTATTTGGTCTCTTTGCAACACTGGGATTCTTTGCACCTTCCTTGTACATCATTCCTCTGGGCATTAGTCTGGGCATTGACCAGGACCGCGCTGCTTTTTTATTATCTACGATGGCCATTGCAGAAGTTTTCGGAAGGATCGGAGCTGGTTTTGTCCTCAACAGGGAGCCCATTCGTAAGATTTACATTGAGCTCATCTGCGTCATCTTATTGACTGTGTCTCTGTTTGCCTTTACTTTTGCTACTGAATTCTGGGGTCTAATGTCATGCAGCATATTTTTTGGGTTTATGGTTGGAACAATAGGAGGGACTCACATTCCACTGCTTGCTGAGGATGATGTCGTGGGCATTGAGAAGATGTCTTCTGCAGCTGGGGTCTACATCTTCATTCAGAGCATAGCAGGACTGGCTGGACCGCCCCTTGCAGGTAATTTAAATACACAAAATACAAACACTTGTCTACTTTCCCTTGTGAATTGTGCTAGCTTCCTGTTCAAGCCATAAAAAAAACTTACTGCCGTTTTATATTTCCATTGAATTTTAGAGCTGCCAGGGATTAGAGATTACCTGAGCCAGCCCTCTTGATTTAAATATGAGGAAACTGAAGGCCAAAGAATTGAAGCTAAAGGTCAGATGGTAAATTAGTGGTCGATTCAGGACTGGAAGCTGTGTCTGTAGTCCAGATTGACCCTGGCCTTTTTTTTTTTTTTTTGAGATGGAGTCTCGCTCTATCACCCAGGCTGGAGTGCAGTGGCGCAGTCTCAGCTCACTGCAACCTCCACCTCCCAGATTCAAGTGATTCTCCTGCCTCAGCCTCCTGAGTAGCTGGGACTACAGGCACCCACCACCACGCCTGGCTAATTTTTGTATTTTTAGTAGAGATGGGGTTTCACCATGTTGGCCAGGATGGTCTCAATCTCTTGACCTCGTGATCCGCCTGCCTTGGCCTCCCAAAGTACTAGGATTACAGGTGTGAGCCACCGCACCCGCCAACCCAGGCTTTTTCTGTCACCTTGCCTTCTCTCATGCTAGGCAAGAACTCATGGATTTATCACCTTCAGAGCCCACCTGACTTTTGGAATGATAGAACTAATGGACTTCTGTAAGTCATCTTCCTTTCTTAGGAAAGGTATTTGGGAATGGATAGCAGCACTCTGTAAATACCTAACTGATTTGTACAGAATATTTCCTTGTAGGAGGGACATAGGTATGTTTCATATCTTAGATCCCAAATGGGTCTTTAAAGTGTTTGTGATTAGAAATCGTACCCCCTGTCAAAAGATACCTAAAACGGGCCGGGCGCAGTGGCTCATGCCTCTAATCCCAACACTTTGGGAGGATGAGGCGGGCGGATCATTTGAGGTCAGGAGTTCCAGACCAGCCTGGCCAACATGGCAAAACCCCATCTCTACTAAAAATACAAAAGTAGCTGGGCATGGTGGCAGACACCTCTAATCCCAGCTATTCGGGAGGCTGAGGCAGGAGAATCGCTTGAACCTGGGAGGCAGAGGTTGCAGTGACCTGAGATTGCACCATCGCACTCCACCTGGGGCAACAAGAATAAAACTCTGTCTAAAAAAAAAAAAAAAAAACCTAAAGTGAACTCAAGTGAAAATAATACAGTTCCTTCCTACCGAAGAATATTACCTTTTCAAAGAAGTATGCATCGAAATGTCCCAGGTTTTAGGTCCTCTGCTAGGACAGGCTTAGCCCAAGAAGAACAAGTATATTGGGTGTTTGTCTCTTTCTCCTCTCCAGTCTAGTAAAGATTTCTGCCCTTAACACCCATTTTTCTTTAGAAACACAAAAGAAAACAAGGAAGGCAGTGAAACTGAGAGGCTTCTGAATGGGATGGTCGCCTGGGTGAGGGGCTTATGTCTAGGAAGGATGCTGTTAACGGACGCCATGCTCTCTTCCAGGTTTGTTGGTGGACCAAAGTAAGATCTACAGCAGGGCCTTCTACTCCTGCGCAGCTGGCATGGCCCTGGCTGCTGTGTGCCTCGCCCTGGTGAGACCGTGTAAGATGGGACTGTGCCAGCATCATCACTCAGGTGAAACAAAGGTAGTGAGCCATCGTGGGAAGACTTTACAGGACATACCTGAAGACTTTCTGGAAATGGATCTTGCAAAAAATGAGCACAGAGTTCACGTGCAAATGGAGCCGGTATGACACACTTTCTTACAACAACAGCCACTGTGTTGGCTGGAGAGGGATGGGGTGGGCCCAACGGGGACACAAGGAGGCAGAGGAGCTAACCCCTCTACTCCACTTTCAAAACTACATTTTAAAGGGAATGTGTATGTGAAGAGCACTACCAACATCGCTTTTGTTTTGTTTTGTTTTGTTTTAAGCTTTTTTTTTTTGCTTGTTTTTAAAGCCAAAACAAAAAACAACCAAGCACTCTTCCATATATAAATCTGGCTGTATTCAGTAGCAATACAAGAGATATGTAGAAAGACTCTTTGGTTCACATTCCGATATTAAAATAGTGACATGAACTGGCAAAGTGGTTTTAAAAGCTTTCACGTGGGATAAATGATTTTCTTTTTTTCTTTTCTTTCTTCCTATGGTCTTGTCTGAATAAACTACTCTCCTGAATAAAACAACATCCAACCCAGGTCATTGAAATGAAATTGGCCAGTCAAAAAAAAAAAGACTTCAATCATTTTTAAAATTCCTAATTTTCAGAAATATGAATAAATAGTTTTTGTTAAACCCTTTGTAAAATACCAAGGTTCCCGTTAACAAATTACGGCCTCTGCTTGCTGGAAATGAAATATAGTTTAAGACCAAACATTTTACTAATAAACAAATTTTAAGTATATATATATATATATAACTTGAACTTCATAAATGTGAAGATTACCACTTCTTTTTATGGCCAGTCCTTATCAGAAGTGTTTCAGTACAGAATATACAAAATGGCATTTAAAAATGTGTTTCCTGTTGCTTTTAGTTATACAGAAATATGTGACTGTAGTGTCTTTAATTTAAACCGCTATTTATTATTAAGTTATTCTAGGATGATTAAAGTAATCAAAAGAAATAAAATCTGAGACATAAGCAGCATTTTTACCTCCTTTCTGCAATCCTTTAAATGCCTCACAGAATACGTCTTATCTTGTAAAAATACTTTCATAAAAGGCCAAGTTGTCATGATTCTTCCATTTGATTAGGGGCAACGTGTGCTATTAAAGGGGAAAAAATAATGGATTGCAAATCGCCTTAGCTTTCAAAACTAATTTGTTTTATCATTTAAGAATACTTGAGGAACTTCTTTGATCAGAATTATATTTCAGAGAATTGTTAAAGCATTTCTGATTTAAAGAAAAAACCATCTAATTATTGAAGCATTTCTGTATTTCACATGGGGGTAACAGAGACAATTATGTTATAGCGAGTTACAAGTTGCAATTTACATCTTCTATAACACATGACTTGATTGGTCTAAGTTGCCAGAGGTATCGGGTAACTGGTCATTGTTTTGTTTTGTTTGTTTTATTCTTCCTTTTTTTTTGGAGTCACACTACATGTATAGTATTGCTCACGTTAGCAGTTTTCTGTAAGGAGGGCAAGTGTCAGGATAATAGGTGGACTTTTTACTCACCTATTTTACCACAATCTCACCCTGCAGGTGATGGTCAATGCTTGCTGCTCCATCTTTATTCATCGTTAATGTTAATTTATGACAACTCAGGGGGAAAAACATAACAAGCCTAGTTTGGTTACAGGTACACACAAGCTTGAATATTTCTCTGCACTGAAATGAAAGTGGCATAGTTCATCACCACCTGCTACATTTTGTAGAGCATCTTATCAGCCATAGAAATAGGACAATCTATAAAACTTTGGGGAGGGTGGGGGAGGAAATGACAAAGTGTCTGTCAAAAACAGGCATAATCTAAAACAAGGTGGATGTAGCAAATCTCTGTCACTGCTTGAGAACTTTGAGCTTGTGGCAGTTTTGCAGACTTACATGACTTCAGCACTTTACGACATATTTTTTACTATGAATGTTCAATACAATTTAATATTTATAACTGATTTCTGAGGGATCTGCTCCATGTCTATTCTGTTATCTGCATGAAAACAAAATGTATGCCAATTTCAGTATGTCAATAATCAAGGTTTTAAATGTTTGGAAGAAAATACAAACAAGATTGCTGATCTGTTCTGTATTAGTGACATTCTGGTACTTCTAGATTTGCAATAAATTTATGGATTTTTTATTTAAAGAGACCGATTCTCTTCTAAGATTTTTTATTGACTCTCACAGCATTCAGTGTTTGAGGCAATTAAAGTTATAAAAACTCACCAAAGATTCACTCCAAATAAATAATTTTTTAACGTTTATCTTCTGCAAAACCTTTTAACTCTACTAGAGACACATAAAGTTTCCCAAGAAGTTTCTACTGAACTTTTTATTTACTTATATTTATTATTATTATTTTTTGAGATGGAGTTTCGCTCTTGTTGCCCAGGCTGGAGTGCAATGGCACAATCTCAGCTCACTGCAACCTCCGCCTCCCAGGTTCAAGTGATTCTCCTGTCTCACCCTCCCATGTAGCTAGGATTACAGGTGCCCGCCACCATGCCTGGCTAATTTTGTGTATTTTTACTAGAGATTGGGTTTCACCATGTTGGCCAGGTTGGCTTCAAACTCCTGACCTCAGGTGATCCACCTGCTTCGGCCTCTCAAAGTGCTGGGATTACAGGTGTGAGCCATCATGTGCAGCCTAAACTTTTTTATGTCTTTTTTTTTTTGTATACTTTTTATACAAAAAAAAAGTATATATATACATATATATACTTTTTATACAAAAAAAAGTATATATATACATATATATACTTTTTATACAAAAAAGTATATATATACATATATATACATATATATACTTTGATCATTGAAAACAGGACGATTTTATTTTATGTTGAGTTTCATACGAACTATTTTAAAGCACCTTAGAAAAAGACTAAATAATTCAAGGGAAGTATTAAGTAATGAATAACAGAAGAGGGAAATAAAAATTAAACAATATAATCAAATGAAGAAGCATATTTTCATCTAAGAATTGAAATAAGAATGAAAGCATCAATGGAATTTAATTATTAATCAAAAATACATGAATGAAATGATATCATGGTAGCCAGAGTAAGCCTATCAAAAGTCATAAAGGCAAATAGTTAAAGACCACAACCAGTTACAGAGTCATTCCAAGAACTGTTGCAACCTGTAAGTAAACAGCACAGACTCTACATGCCAGGGGTTGGCAAACTTTTTCTGTAAAGGTCCAGATAGTAAATATTTAAAGCTTTGCAGGCCATGAGGCCTCTGTCTAGTCAACTCTGCCATTGAGGGTCAAAAGCAGCCACAGACAATATATAAATGAATGAACGTGGCCATGTTTCAATGGAATTTTATTTACGGATACTGAAATGTGAATTTCACAAGATTTTCACACAGGAAATATATTTTTTTTCAATCACATAAAAATGTTAAAAAAAAAAAAACAACACACACTATTAGCTCTCAGGCTGAAAAAAAAAAAAAACAGTGGACTGGATTTGGCCTGTGGACCACAGTTTCCAGCCCCTTCACCACACATCTGTAACACCGGCACAGGTCAGTACCGCCAGAAGCAAAGCTCTGAGAACTAACATCCTGACCCATGGGAAAGGATTCATTGTGGTCAAAGTAATTCTTAGATCATAACTGCCCCAAAATAGGAAAGATCAAGCAGCTAACACTTTTTCATTGTTGTTGTTGTTTTGAGACAGAGTCTTGCTCTGTCGCCCAGACTGGAGTGCAGTGGCACAACCTTGGCTCACTGCAACCTCCACCTCCAGAGTTCAAGCAATTCTCCTGCGTCAGCCTCCCAAGTAGCTGGGATTACAGGCGTGCACCACCACACCCAGCTAGTTTTTGTATTTTTAGTGGAGACAGGATTTTGCCATGTTGGCCAGGCTGGTCTCGAACTCCTGACCTCAAGTGATCTGCCCACTATGGCCTTCCAAAGTGCTGGGATTACAGGCATGAGTCACCGTGCCCGACATTATAGCTAACACATTTGTTAATTACGTTTTCTTTTTTCTTTTTTTTTTTTTTTTCTGAGATGGAGTTTCACCCTTGTTGCCCAGGCTGGAGTGCAGTGGCGTGATCTCCGCTCACTGCAACCTCCACCTCCTGGGTTCAAGTGATTCTCCTTCCTCAGCCTCCAAAGTAGCTGGGATTACAGGCATGTGCCACCACGCCCAGCTAATTTTTGTATTTTTAGTAGAGACAGGGTTTCGCCATCTTGGCCAGGCTGGTCTCAAACTCCTGATCTCAGGTGATCCACCCACCTCGGCCTCCCAAAGTGTTGGGATTACAGGCGTGAGCCACCACACCAGGCCGCTAATTATGTTTTCATTTCCCCTGATTAAAAAGATTCTGCTTTAAGCTTGTTGACTTCAAGAGGTTTCAGTATAAACCTTATGTAGACTTTCTCTACCCAAAAGTAAAATTATTCTACTTATAAAAATGAGTTGGGCCAGGTGCAGTGGCTCACGCCTGTAATCCCAGCTCTTTGGGAGGCCAAGGCGGGTGGATCACCTGAGGTTGGGAGTTCGAGACCAGCCTGACCAACATGGAAAAACCCCATCTCTACTAAAAATACAAAATTAGACAGGCATGGTGCTGCATGCCTATAATTCCAGCTACTCGGGAGGCTGACAGGAGAATCACTTGAATCCAGGAGATGGAGGTTGTGGTGAGCCAAGATTGCGCCATTGTACCCCAGCCTGGGCAACAAGAGCGAAACTCCAACTCAAAAAAAAAAGAGTTGAGACCATGTACTCTTTTAAGACCTATGTATCCGTAACTAATACAAAATGTGTCCAAACCTTTTAACAAAGTTATACATTTTATACTCCAATAATATGTAATGTAGCTTTTCAGCATTTATTTGCCTTTCCCTTTGCTTAATATCTGGTGATAAAACAGAAAATGGATTCTATGTCAGCATTCTTGTGGCGCAGATTCAAATCACCAGGTGGTATTTATTACATTTAGATTTCCATACTCCAATTCAACTATTGTAAATCAGAAATCATCATGATCCTTCAGCTGGGCGTGGTGGCGCACACCTGTAATCCCACCCAGCACTTTGAGAAGCCGAGGCGGGTGGCTCACTTGAGGTCAGGAGTTCGAGACCAGCCTAGCCAACATGGTGAAATCCTGTCTCTACTAAAAATACAAAAATTAGCCGGACATGTTGGTGCGTGCCTGTAATCCCAGCTACTCGGGGGGCTGAGGCAGGAGAAGCACTTGAACCTGGGAGGTGGAGGTTGCAGTGAGTCGAGATCACGCCACTGCACCCTAGCCTGGGCGACAGAGCAAGATTCCATCTCAAAAAATAAAAATTAAGAAAAAATAAAAAAGAAATCATGATCCTTAGTTTCACAAGTTTGCAAATATGGGGCTCACCAATAGGGAACTAGAGTTTAGAAGCCATTGTCTTTAATTCTTTAAACCGTGGCCAGGTGTTGTGGCTCATCCCTGTAATCCCAGCACTTCAGGAAGCCACGGTGAGTGAATTGCTTGAGCCCAGGAGTTCAAGACCAGCCTGGGCCACATGGCGAAACCAAAATTAGCCAGGTGTGGTGGCTCATGCCTGTGGTCCCAGCTACTCAGGAGGCTGAGGTAGAAAGAGCACTTGAGCCCAGAAGGCAGAGGTTGCAGTGAGTCCAGATGGCATCACTGCACACAGCCTTGGCAAAGAGTGAGACCCTGTCTCATAAAAGAAAAATAGTAATGGTTATGCACATTACTTAAAATGACCTATTTAAGGAATTCAGACATGTTACACGCAAAAATGATCACTGCTATAAGTATACATTGCATTGATAAAAGAGAAGCTGCCCTTGTTTTCAGATTTGTGTTTATATTGCATGTGTCCTAAGTGAGGGCGATCGTAGCGTACAGCTGGGCCAGCCGCCGTTGCATAAGTAAGGAAACTGGGTCCCCCTAGTGTTCAGTTCTCGTTAATGACTCTCTAAAGGTGCAGAACAAGAAAAGTGGCAAGAGAACTTACAACTTCCCTTTCCATGTAACAACTCACCCAAATCAAAACTACTTCAATGACTATCCATTTCCTACATGGAAAATTAGACGGGAAACCTGATGCCCAGAACATTTCACCAAATATTATTGAGAAAATACAGATTGTGGCCATGTATTTGTGTCATTTATATGCCTTTCCAGCAACTCAAGAACAAGCACGCTAACTTCCCTAACAACTTATACACCCTAGAATTCAACCAAAACTTTAAGCACCCTCTCTGCACTGGCACCTCCCATTCTTAGTCCCAACTTTGTCCCTGAGCTCCTGATTTATATCTGCCCGCATGGCAGGGCATGGATATAAAACTAGGCATCTTCTACTTAAAGTGTCCTCAGCAGAACTCTGGATCATCCTCCTCAAACCCACTCCTCCACACATCCAATCGGCTCTCCTTTCTAAATATATCCAGGAGCTGACTGCTTCTGCCAACTGCACCAGGACCCTTGATCCAAGCCAATATCATCTTAGCTGGATTATTACAGTAGTCTTCTAGCTGGCCTGCCTGCTTCCACTCTTGGAACACGCCACCCCCACCTTAATTTTCCATACAGCAGCCACAGTAATCCTCTTACAGCACAAGTCTGAACTAAATCCTTAGCAATGGGCCCTGCATGAACTGCCTGATGGATACTATTACTTTTCCCTCTGCTCCTGCTACACTAGCCTCACTGGCTCTTTTTCTGGGGGGGTTGGGGGGGCAGTCTCGCTCTGTCGCCCAGGTTGGAGTGCAGTGGTGCAATCTTGGCTCACTGCAACCTCCGCCTCCCAGGCTCAAGCAATTCTCCTGCCTCAGCCTCCCGAGTAGCTGGGACTACAGGCGCCCGCCACCACACCTGGCTAATTTTTTGTATTTTTAGTAGACACGGAGTTTCACCGTGTTAGCCAGGATGGTCTCGATCTCCTGACATCGTGATCCGCCGACCTCAGCCTCCCAAAGTGCTGGGAATTCAGGCGTGAGCCACTACGCCCGGCCCTTTCTTTTTTTTTTTTTTGTTTGTTTTCGTTTGAGATGGAGTTTTGCTCTTGTCACCCACGCTGGAGTGCAATGGCACAATCTCGCCTCACTGCAACCTCCGCCTCCAGGTTCAAGCAATTCTCCTGCCTGAGCCTCCTGAGTAGCTGAGATTACAGGCACCCGCCACCACACCCAGCTCATTTTTTTTTTGTATTTTTAGTAGAGATGGGGTTTCGTCATGTTGGCCAGGCTGGTCTCGAACTCCTGACCTAGGTGATCTACCTGCTTCAGCCTCCCAAAGTGCTGGGATTACAGGTGTGAGCCACCACGCCCAGCCTCTCTTACTGTTTCTGGAATTGTTCTTACTGTTGCAAGCTTCAGGCCTTAGCATTTGTGGTTTCCTTTGCTTGGTACTCCCTTCCCTGAGATGTGTATGCAGTGTGACCCTTCAATTTGATCACTTCCAAATGCCACCTCCCTAGGGAGGCATTCCTGTCTATCCTATTCAAAATGGTACTTGTTTCTATCCATTTACTTTGCTGTTATTAGGTTATAACAGCATCCACTTTGGGAGGCTAAGGTGGGCAGATTGCTTGAGCCTGGGAGTTTGAGACTAGCCTGGTCAACATGGTAAAACCCCTCTCTACAAAAACTACAAAAATTAGCCAGGCATGGTGGCACATGCCTGTACTCCCAGCTACGTGGGAAGCTGAGGCGGGAGGACCACTTGAGCCCAGGAGGCAGAAGATATAGTGAGCCAAGATCACACCACTGCACTCTAGCCTGGGTGACAGGACAAGACTCTGTCTCAAAAAAATAAATAAAATAAAATAAAGCATCTGTTTACTCCTTGACTCTCTGTCTCATCCACTAGTGTATTAGGGTAGGAGTTCTTTGTTCACTGCTGTATTCCCAAGGCTTTGAGCAGGGCCTGGCACCCAGTAGGCGGTGCTCCATGAATATTGTTGAATGAAAAAATACATGAATGAATGAATGAGTTATAGACTTTTTTCCCTTTAGTTACACAAGAGAAAAAAAATGTTATCTATTGACAGTTACAGTTCAAGAGAGTCTGTGCTGCTACGAAACAGCTGGATAACCATAGGACACTGAAAGCACTGTGCTGAGAACCCACCGGCTCAGCATCTGAGGATGGATGGGTCTCAGAGTGCCCAGCAGTAGTGTACTATATGGGTGGGTCAGTTGTAAAGAAGAAAAAACTGATCCATGAGCAGACACTAAAGAAAACAGTGGGATGAAATCAATACTGGGTTAAGTATGGAGGTCTGTGGGTTTTAACATACTGCCTCAATAGATTTTGTTTCAACTATTTTCCAGTAGACTTTTTTTTTCCATAATGCTTTCTTTTAATGCCTCAACTAGTCGGAAGAGCTTTACTAAATATTGCAACTCTTGGCCGGCCATGGTGGCTCACATCAGTAATCCCAGCACTTTGGGAGGCCAAGGCAGGCAGATTGCTTGAGCTCAGGAATCCAGACCAGCCTGGACAATGTGGAAAAAACCCCATCTCTAAAAAATAAAAATAAAAAAAATACACGGGGCATGGTGGTGCACACCTGTAATACCAGCTACTTGGGAGGCTGAGGTGGGAGGACCACTTGACCACGGGAGGTGGAGGCTCCAGTGAGCCGTGATCATGCCACTGCACTCCAGCCTGGGCAACAGAGCAAGACCCTATTTCAAAAATAAATAAATATTGCACCTCTCTTTTTTTGGTACTAAGGCAGAAGTATATAGACTGATTTCTCCAACTTTGAGCAACCCCAGATGACTCTACTTGAACAGAAAAGAAATTGACAGTTTAATCGTGTATAATCCCTTGTAAACAACCCGGGGGAAAAATGGTTAGGTTCTGGTTGGTGATATTTTACTTCAATGAGGTCATGCAGCACAGTGAAAACAACGAATAACTCAACATTAGGGAGACTTGGGATCTGATCCCATTTTTGCCATTGGTTAAACAACAAGCAAGTTTACTCGGCTGCTGCAGGCTTGTGTCCTCATGCATGAAATGGACTAAATAATCTCCACATTATTAATGCTTTACGACTCTGCTTTCCAAAAATGGAAATGCATTTGAAGACAATACCAGGCCCTTGAAAATGAAGACGGGAGGGTAAAAAACAAGCTGCAACAGAGAACAGTATCAAGCTTTTAAAGAAACAAGTTAACACCGAAGCCAGAGGCCTTTAATGTAGACATTAAACGGTGTCTACATACACCCTTTCAGCTTGAATGTCAACACCGGCTGTACTGACAGAAGATTTACATGACCTTTTCCTGAAATAAGCCTTCCTCTCCTAGTAACTCAATACCACGGGTACATTTTTCCAGGTACACTAGAGTTGGGTACTGGTCTAGAGCTGCACTGTCCAATACAATAGACACAAGCCACATGGGGCTGTTGAGCACTTGAAAATGTGGCCAGTTGGAAGTAAGATGTACTGCAAGTGTAACAAACACACGGGAATTTGAAGATGGTACAAAAAAAGGACATAAAACATTCAGCATTGATATTGATTGAAATAATATTTTGGATGCATTGGATTAAACAGAATATACTATTAAAATTAACTCCACCTGCTTCTTTATGCATTTGCTAATACGACTACTAGAAACATCAAGCTTACATATGTGGCTTGTATTATATTTTTGTTGGACGGTGCCACTCTAGATATCAGAATCTACAAAGTGACTGAGATTCAAACTCTTCAATGAAGCACTTTTTAAATGCTCTACTTGAGAATTAATTCCACTCACTGCTCTGCTGCCGTCGCGGTCCTGACTTTCCAAGGCTGTGCCCAGAGCGCGGCACACGTGGCTCTCACACAGGCAGGCCTGCACGGCACGCAGCAGTGGAGGAGGTTACCCTGGGTCGCTGACGCCAGGGGAAGCCAAGCGACCGATCCCACACTTCTGAGCCCCGCCGGGGAAGTCCCCGGGCGCGGAAACAGGTGGTGCGCCGGCGGTTCGCAGCTGCTGGGCCCGCCGGCCTGGGCGCAGCCGGGGACAGCGACGCGTTTCCTGCCCGGGAAGGGCCCGAGCGCAGGGCCGGCTATAGCGGTCCCGCAGCTGCCTGCTTCGATTTTAGCACTGCTGCTCCCAAGAGGGAGCAACGCGGCCCTCTGTCCCTCGTAGGGCTTGAAATGTAAATTATTCATATCAGGGGAATGTGTGCTTCAAAAAGCAAGCTGGACAAGAACCGACGGGTAATCCTCGACAAATTCTTCTACTTAACCCTCACCATTAGAAGTCTGAGGCCTGAAAAATCTCTTGACCGGAGAGATACTAACTCCACAGGTGCCCAGGATCAGGATCTATGACATAAATGAAAAACATTCCAAATTCACTGATTTTTAAGAGTATTTAGATAGTAGAAAATTATTAATTCTCTTTATTAGCTCAATACTTTGTTCAGCCAGCATTTGCAGAGCAAAATCTGCGTGGATTTATTTAGTGAAAATTATCTTTTAAAACCACAAAGATTTAACCATAGTACATAAAATTTAGTTGCAGTAAGCAAATTATATTTTTAAGCTGAACCCTAAGAAATTATCCAAAAATATATAGTTATACACAGCACTTATGATTGCTGAACAAATGAATCATATAAAATTTATGTTTAGTTCAATTTTTAGCAAGAGTGAATGACTTCTTAGATGATTTTTCTCCTAGTCTCATAGTGCAGTGTAGACACAAATGGACCTTATTTATTCAACTAGGCAAATCTTAGTTCAAAAGAGTTTGTGACAAAGGCTGACCTACAGGACTAAAACCGTGCTTGCCTTGTAGGAAAATAAAAAAAAATGTAATCGAATGGACAATAATTTTTTAAATACATTATTCAAGGAGGAATAAGCCCTGTAACAGAATCCATAAAACACCATGCTCCATCAGTCTCTTTTTCCTAATAGAATGACCAAGTATTCTCTCCAATTAATTTTAATAGCAAACCACCATTTTCTAAAATGACTTAAATGGGTTCAATCAAGTAGAATGACTCCAAGGGAAACCACTGACTCAGATATGAAATGTGCCTTACATCATACTCCATACATCAAAGACTATACTTTCAGGGATCATTTCTATACTTTGTTACATCATACTGCATACATCAAACAATGAAGAATCCAGGTTTCAAATTACAAATACATATATACCTTTAAGTCTTACCCTCAAGGTAAGATAGGAAAGTGGGAAATGCTGTCTGCTCACTGATATTCCATAAAATATTCACTGTAATTTCTGGATTTCCAAGATACATCTATCTAGCAGAGGTGGTTTGTCAAGTCTGAGCTTTTCCACCTGTCCACCCCCGTAGCAATGGGGCTGATGTTCACACCCTGCAGACCATCATCAGCATTCATGGCACCCCGACAGATAACCCCATTAAACTCTCTCCCTGACTCAGGTAAACACTTCACAATGTAATGTGAGGAGGACATTATTACTGAAATAAACCTGAAAGCCGCTCTAAATCTATAGAAAAAGTGCAACACTCACAAATATAAATACCATTACACACTATTTGTAAGATCCCTCATAAATGACTATGTTATAGCTGAGACCTGCAGCGGAACTCCCACCACCAAATGTTGTGGTAGTGTAAGGACCATTGTTATTTTCACTTGCAAATATTCCTGATAGGTCATATTTTAAGCTGCTAAAAACTGATACAAGCTGTTCATTCTTTCAGGGATAAGGTGACAACCAGCAAGAGAAAAAAACAAGGTAATGCACTTGAGACAGTAAGGTAGGCTCTCGGAAAAGGAGGGCTGTGGTGATCAGAGCCCACGGACGTCCAAAAATGTGACTTGGCTGGGCCTAAAAGAGGGGAGCGGCTCTTCTAAAAACAAAATCACCCCCTGGAAATTATGTTGGTTGGTTCCTTGGGGCATTGAACGGTTCTTTTTCAAGTTATTTACTTGCTCGTTACCGCCAGTCCCAGCTTTCTTGGGAGACCTAAACATATTTGGGGAATGGAAATAATGTGCTTGCTGCCACAGACCAGGCCAGTAAGATGAGAAGATAAAGAGTTTCTAGAGTTTTTATTATTCAAAATGAGTTTCATTTCAATTCAGGTACTTGAAAGAAGGTTCTAGTCTGTTACTTTGACACAGCACAAGATCAGTAGTTTATTCCAATGAAGTATTCCACCCAAATGAAAGCATAACATGCAAGTAGTTATTTATTTCAATCACTCCTATTTGAAGGTCCTCATTTTTGGAGAACAGCCAGGCATTTTATTATCCACTCTTTCCATTCCTTAAAGGCTTCCACGGGTTTCGGTAAATTCCCATTATCCTCGTGACTGTGTTCTGGAGTTGCTCCAGGTGTGTCAGAAGATTCATCATCAATCCACCTCACCAGTGCCTGGAAAAACATGAAAGATGCGCACTTCAACAAACCACAGCAAAATACCATCAGGCAAGAGAGAAGCATTGGCTTCTAGATCATAGGGTGACATATTACCCCATGAAGACGCTGCATTTGATAATGATGGTGTGAATATGAAATAATGCTAATGATATACTGAGTGAAATGGCACGTACCAAATACACACAGAATTACAAATGATGTCAAAAGTACGCACTGAAAAAAGATGAAAAAGAAATACACTCATTCTTACACTTTGTTTCTAGCATAATAGGATGTTATTTTTTCTCAACTTGCTAAATATTCCACAAGGCATTATATTACTTTGACATGTACGTATATACATATATAAGTGTCCACACAGGCATGGGTAGACATATGTATGTGAAAACACATGTGTAGACATTTCTGTGCAGTCACCTGAATGCAGTCATACCCATGAGTAGACACATGAATGTATATTGATGTTTGTGGGCAAGTGTGGGCACACACACACACATACTGAGATTAGGTACTTTCCTTCTTCCTTTTTAAAGAAAATCATTTTTTTCCTCCTAATGAACATCATACCTCTGTCCCATATTTGGAAAGGTAAATCCTGTCCACACACTTATAGGGTTTAAAAAATGAACTCTGCCACACATATCAATATTTATTCTGTTCTGCAAAGTCAAGCTCTCTTGCCCTAAATGGAAGAGAAGCAAAGAAACTTCTTCCACTATTTCTCATTGAACTGTAAGCATAAATCACTCAAAGGCAAGCTGAAGTTTTTAAGAAGAGCATTTCTTCACATTTTTAAACCGCAGCTTCCTGCTTATCTTTACACTAATTTCCTCTGATAAATTATAACTCCAGAGAAGGATATAATAGAAACATGGGTTTGCTACTCAGATAACCACTTCCCCCTCTTTAGACTGTCCACCCCCCAACTTACTTTGTATCTTTCTACAATGCTGAAGCCAACAGCACACTGCAACTTGTGCAAACAGATAGGGCAAAGGTTTAGAGGGCGCCGGTCAGCTTCTTCCAAGTGGTTGGAGCCTTGCATGAGGCATGCAAGCCACTGGCAGTGTCGCAGTCCAAATATGTGTCCGATCTCATGGGTTAAAGTCTGCAAGACAATCATGTTGAGGCTTTATAAGACCACCATCACATTAGGCTACACGTCTCTTCTTTTTCTTGCTTTTCCAAGAAACATAGGAATCAACTCCCTTACCATTACCACCAAAACTTCACCCTGTCCAGACCTTCAAAGACTTAATAATCCCTCATTTCCCCAAATGTCTTACTGCCTTTCTTGCTATAGACTTCCTCAACCTCAACATCGCTGACATGTTGGACCGATAATACCAGGTTGTGGGAGGCTGTCCTGTGCACTGTGCGATGCTTTGCAGCATCCCTGGCTCTACCCACTAGAGGCCAACAGAACTCCCTCCCTGATTGTGAAAATCAAAAATGTCTCCAGACGTTGCTAATATTCCCTGGATGGCAAAATCACCCCTGGCTGAGAACCCTTGATCTACACTAGGGTACTTGTTGTAATTCTGATTCTGGGGCTCTTCCCCTAGAGATGCTGATTTCAGTAGGTCTGGGAGAAAGGGGGCTTGATCTGCATGCTAATGAGAACATCAGGTGGCAATGACACAGGGGGCCCATGAAACACACTGTGAGAATGTAGTTCTCAGAGGTGTAGCTGTCAAACCCCAACAAATAGTACAGGTAAAAGCAGAATTTCTCTAGCTGAAGGAAAAGCCCATCTCTCTGGCTATGGAGAAAGGGGAGATAGGCTTTCCACAAAACCGAGTTGGGGATATCAGGAACTGCCAGGACAACTACAGTCGAGGGTAACCTGGAGCCCAGGGCAGGAAGGCCCAGGCTCCCAGAGAGGCCAGAGCAGAGGTTCTCCAAAGGCCTGGGGAAAGCAGCTTTGCCCAATGACCACAGTAGCTTGAAAAAGTAGGTTACCCACTCATACCAGAATTCAGAATTACACTAATAGCACATGGGTACAGCCAAGGCTGTAACTAGTAGTACAGAAAAACTGGCACTGATATTGTAAATTTCAATATGAAGGTATCCATTTAAATTGTTTTACTGATCATTTCAGTCAAGCACTATGCACCAAAATTATACAAATGATACAAACTCATTTATAATATTACCTTACGGACTGACAATATACAGTTTACGGAACTAAGATCTCTTTTAAAGAACTGTCCTGTCAGATTTTTGTAATAACTTACCTTACAGGATCGAAGTAGTAAAACACTAGTTATTTCTGGAATATAATAGTTGTCGAAAATTGAATAGTCACTTGAAGATGTTTTCTTGAGCTTCTTCACTTTGCCTTTATAGTGCATGCTATAAAAATCACTGCCATACCTGGCAAAGCTGAATATCCCCACACCTACAAAAAAAGGACAAACAGTGACAGAATGAGAGTAAGGTCCCTGAAGAAAGACCAAAGAAAGAAGAGACTGCTGGCCCATCTGGCCAGTGAGTGCATCTCTGTGTCACTGTGTCCACACCATCTGATACACTTATGGTTTGCCACCAAAAAGGAAGACTTTTGCCCCAGATTTCCCTATCAAAATCTTTTGCTGCTATCCACTTTGCCTTGCCTTGTAAAACTTAATGGACTTGAGGTCAAATGCTTGAGAAACTGAAGTTTCAGAGAGTCTTTTCCCACAAAAGAAGTCTTTTTCTGAAAGTAGCAAGTACTCCAAATCAAGTACTCAAAAAGGAATCATAAAAAATAACCACATGGGTTGGGCGTGGTGGCTCACGATTGTAATCCTAGGACTTTGGGAGGCCGAGGCAGGTGGATCACCTGATGTCAGAAGCTCAAGACCAGCCTGGCTAACATGGTGAAACCCTGTCTCTAAAAAAAATTAGCCAGGCATGATGGTAGGTGCCTGTAATCCCAGCTACTAGGGAGGCTGAGGCGGGAGAATGGCTTGAACCCATGAGGCGGAGTTGCAGTGAGCCAAGATCGCACCATTGCACTCCAGCCTGACGATAGAGTGATACTCAGTCTCAAAAAAAAAAAAATCACATGAACAATAGGAAGTCATGATTTCACTATTTAAGGACACACTAAACAGATCTGTTACACGTGTGTCTGGAGGGGTTGCTGGCCTTCCCTCACGCAGCACTGACTGAGGACAACTGCCCCTGATGTCTTGAAGCCCATGCTTTAAACCACGGCTTTTGACAGAATAACCTCGTCCCCTTCCCCAACCCTACCCCCTTTTCAAAGAACAGCTCAACTCTATTCTGTCACTAGTGTCTGGTGACCAGAATAAATACCCTTGTAACTGACTTCCTGTGTTACATTTAGAGTTATATCAACCATCTCTGCAAGCACAGAGAACACGGTTTGCTACATAACTCACCCTACAGGGTACTGCTTCATAATTCGACTTGTTTACATGATCACTTTTATTTATGTCTCTCGTTCAGTTTTTAAAGTAATAAACCCATAGTAGATTTGTCCAATCTAATTTGATTCAAAAACAAACTTCCTCACCTCCCTTTACCCAGAAAATGTAGACTGATATTTGAAAATTAAGCAAAGATAGCATTCTGGAAATTAAGAGCACACTAAATCTATTCCTTTATCACAAGTAACCCCCTCTGGCCAATCAAGTGTGAGCATATTTCACTACTTTCAGCAAGGACATTTCCTTCTTCCAATAATCCTACAAATAGACTATTTTTTTCGTAGTCAATGCGTCTCACTTTAAAAATATCAATCTTTGTAAACTCGGAGAAAACAAGACCACTGTGTTAAGATATTGTCACTGTCTAATCCTGCTACTTTCCTATGTAAATCTTTTATGTCATGTAATATTTAAGAAACTTACCAAAAAAAGAATTAAAGTAAATACAGTTTGGGGAAATGTTTCCTGACCTCCTCAAACACATAAGATAAGTTAGCTAGCAATATCTAGATAAACGAACATATGGTTTTAAAATTATTTTTTTAGCTGGGTGTGGTGACTCACACCTGTAATCAAAGCACTTTGGGAGGCTGAGATGGGAGGCTCGCTTGAGCCCAGGACTTCAAGATGAGCTTGACCAACACAGGGAGATCCCATCTGGCCAAAAAAAATCCCATCTGGCCAAAAATAAAATAAAATAAAATAGCCGGGTGTGGTGGTCCTGTGGTCCCAGCTACTCGGGAGGCTGAGGCAGGATGATCCCTTTAGCCCAGGAGGTTGAGGTTGCAGTGAGCCATGATCACACCACTGCACTCCAGCCTGGGTGACAGAGGGAGACTCTGTCTCAAAAGAAAAATAAAAGGTAGATAGAATTATTTTTCAATGTTTCCATCTCTATCAGGTTAATAATAAAAGAGAAAACTTATGATAAAAAGCTACCTCACACCACCAAAATCAGTAAGAAAGTAGTGACCCACGTCTCCAAGAGTGCATGCTGGTAGGGCCATGGGGGCCACAAGAAACCTCACATAAATGGAGAATAAAGAATAAAGGAGTAAGTGGGAAGAGGCTCTATAACCCTACAGCCCCCACCTCTAGTAGAAACATTTGTCCCAAAAAGCTTACCACCCCACACAAATCCTAAGGCTAATGTAACATCCAGACAGACCATAAACTCTCAGGATAGTCCCTGTACTTACTCCCCATCCCCAGAACACTAATGAACCACTCCCCTTAGGGGGCCTTTTCCCTTTCAAGTCTGTGTTGGATTCTTAGGGATGAAGTTAGAGAAATAAGAACAATAATTAAGGGGAGGGGAGAAGTAGAGAGATGACAAAAAAAAAAAAAGGTTAAAAATATGACCGGTTTGCAGAACCTTTCCCATCCCTAATATTACCATACAGAGTTCCTAATGAGTCAAGGTTTATTACATATCTCAAATCAAAGATGGACGTTTTGACTCTTTAAATTAAAAAACAAATGTCGTATGATGAGAAAGAAGCATACACTTAGTCTATGGCTATTCTAACTGTGCAAGATGACTATGAAAAGAATTGAAAAATAATTAGCAAGATTTTCACATCCATTGATAGCTCAAACTGTAATTGGTTTAATTCACCTTGCTACTGAATTACTGACATTTACTAGCTGTTATGCTGTATGCCTATATATATGCCAGGCCTATATATACATTTTTTTTTTGAGACACGGTCTCACTTTATTGCCCAGGCTGGAGTGCAGTGGCTCGATCATGGCTCACTGCAGCCTCAACCTCCTGGGCTCAAGCAATCCTCTCACCTCAGCCTCCTGCGTAGCTAGGACTACAGGTATGTGCCACCATGCCCAGCTAATTTAGTTTTTTAAATTTTTATTTTTTTGTAGACATGTGGTCTATGTTGTCCAGGCTTATCCACACTTTTTATGTACAGGCACTTTTATGTAAATTATCTCCAAATGACTCCATGATGTGGGTATTGTTACCTTTAAGGTCCTGTAGGTAGTGAGTGGCCAACCAGAACCTAGATTATCACAATCTACCAACAGCACACTTCCCATTATGGCATAATGTCTCAACTGAAAATATTTTAAATATCAATATGATTCTTGGTTGGAATTTTTTCCCTCTTCTAACATCTTCAAATATTCTCAAGCTGAAGAAGCTTCTAACAACAATGCCAAAAACGGAATACCATCTGTCAAAGAGGCCTGTCCAAAGACAAAATTCCACGAGTCTCTTGGGTAAAGATCAATCATTGTTATTCCCACAACACAGAAGGCATCTTCAGGTTTCTTCTTTTTCAAGAACTTCAGGATGTCCCCTATTTAAAAAGAAATACATAAATGTATGAGTGTATATTATATACATATACTCAGTTCGAATTGCAAAGTCGTGTAATTCACCTGCATGAATTTGTAGGTTGTGTGTGTTCTCATTGACTCTAAAGGAACATCTTGTTACAGAAACAGGAACTGGTTCTAGGAGTTTTACTCTCAAGCCATAGAAATATGCTTTACAGTAGCCCGTGAGCCATTTAATATATTCTTCACTGATAATTCTGGTGTTTCCTAGAGAGCCTACAATATGGAAGAACATTTAAAAACAGACTTTAAGATGATTATTCAGTGTTTACCCAGTCTATGAGTAAGAAGATTCAAATTAGAAACAAAACCAACTCTAAATTTTCAATAACCTTTATCATTCATTGGTGTTGCTATGAAACAAAAAGAAACAAAATGTTATCTTTTAAGTCAGTTTGGCTACAAAACTTGTACCGCCGCAATGAATATCAAAAACGATCCTAAAACGGCCCATCTGAATCAGACCCATAGCCTGGACTATTCCTGACAAGAGCGCCACTGCAAAACTGAACCAAAACCAGCACATTACCAGTATTTACCAATGGACTGTATATAAATGCTGCGTTTGTTTGGAGAGGGTGTCTTTCTGTAAGGATCACTGAAGAACTGTTCAAAGTCTTGGGGAGCCTCAGGGTGGGAGGTGATCCAATCTGATGGAGAATGCAAGGTAATGGGTCCAAAGAGATCACTGGCTGGCTGGAAGGCTTCATTCATTAAACGTTGTTCCCCAGCATTTAATTTCTCATACTGTGATACAAGCACTGGGTTCTTTGAGATGAGAGCTGTTTTTAGTGTCTGTTCGGAGTGCCGTATTATTTGCATCTAACAAAAAAAAGCAAGTAATCAAATATAAAAATACATATCTACATTGGGGACTTTACCTATCCTCTATATTTCAGCTCTGATTTCTCCCTAGAGTGAAATGACTGATTGCTAATGCTTTAGAGTGGTCACACTTAGAGTGGTTTCCTCATGTCCAATTTCTTGGAGATCTAAGAAATTAAAAAGACAATCATGAAATCCATTCCTCCATCTCATATGGAACCTGCTCCCATTACAAAAACTAGTGGTGGCCAGGTGTGGTGGCTCATGCCTGTAATTTCAGCACTTTGGGATAGGAGGATTGCTTGAGGCCAGGAGTTTGAGAACAGCTCAGGCAACATGGTGAGACCCTGTCTCTACAAAAAATTTAAAAATTCCCTGGGCATAGTTGTGCACATCTGTGGTCCTAGCTACCAGGGAGGCTGAGACAGGAGAATCACTTGAGCCCAGGAGCTTGAGGCTGCAGTGAGCCATGACTGTGCCACTGCACTCCAGCCTGGGCAAGAGTCCAAAACAAAAAAAAAAAACCTCACGGTGACCACAGGAGCAGGACCTCACACCCAACTTCCTTCTTTTGGGGAATAATATTGGCCTGGCACAGTGGCTCACGCTTATAATCCCAGCACTTTGGGAGGCCAAGGCAGAAGGATTACTTGAGCCTAGGAGTCTGAAATCAGCTTCGACATCATGGCAAAACCCCATATCTACAAAAAAATTAGCCGGATGTGGTGATGTGCACTTGTAGTCCCAGCTACTTGGCAGGCTAAGATGGGAGGATCATCTGAGCCCAGGAGGTCGAGGCTGCAGTGGGCCGTGATCGTGCCACTGCAGTCCAGCCTGGGCAATAGAGACTCTGTCTCAAAAAATAATAATATGAATTAACTCATCAGTGCCACATGAAAAATACTCATCGTTTCTAATGTGACTCAAAGATCTTCAACATCAAATAAAAACAAAACTAATGTAAGCCCTATCATTTCTGCAATTTAACTGCAGGCTGAGAAACTACAGCTTAGCCACTGAAGTTTATGGCCTCAAAGTCATGTCACATTAGGGAAGACATCAGATGACTAATCAAAAGCCAGCCTCACAATGACAGGTTTCTTCCATTCACATCGTGTTCCTATATAGAGCTTTCATCCTTCCTCTTGAATGGGTCCGATGTTCCACCACGAGGCTTTTTGAATTAAGGAAAAAGTTGAACATCTCTGTCTGGATCATCTTTGTCATATTTTCTAATTATTTAGATTTTGCCAGTTTAATGATAGACGATTGATGGGAAAACTTAAGCTAATGTCTGTTCTGATTGAACCTATAAATTCTGGGGTTGAAGAGGCTGACTAAAATTCCAGACCAAATGTCTCTGTACTCAAAGCTCTGATATAAGCATAGGCTCATCCTCACTCCTACACAACTGGGCTGAAATCTGACTTCTACAGGACAAAATATAAAACAAGATGTACCTTCCTGTAGTCTACCTACCTTGATTAGGAAGGAAGGCTCCCATGGAAGCTTTTAACTTACAAGGACGGACATGTCTGGGCCTGGCTGGAAGAAAGTTGTGGAGTGTGACTTCATCTTAATATTAAAAAGGCAGTGTGAAAGGTCAGGAGGCCTCCTCTTGCCTCCCAAGCCTAATCTAGGGAAGCTGCGGGAGAAGATGGGCAGGGGGCGCAGAATTCGGTCACTGCAGTGGGCTGGAGGCCTAGGATGCTTTGGTCCCAAAACCAGAACATCACGGGCAAACGGGAAGGAGCTGGCCACCCTGGCTGGTTGCCTATAGCAACTCGCACTGTGGGCTCTGGTCCATGCAGACACAACCCAGTCTCCAGCTGGGAGTGGAGTGGGGGTTCCCCAGGGACTCTCGCTTCGCCTCTTCTTCCCCAGGAGCCTCGGGAAAGGCCTCCCTGGCTCCCTAGAGGCACCGACCCCGCGGACCCCGCGGCTTCCGCCACGTCCGCCCCTCCTACATCCTCATCCCGCTCCACCGACCGCGACCGGCCCCCGCCTCTACGACCCGGCTACCCTGCCTAGGGGCCCCGGCCCAGCTCTGACAGCACCCGCGAACCGCCCTGACCCGACAGGCCTCGATACCACCCACCCGCGGCAGCCCTCACGCGCATGCGCACCGCGTCCCTTCGCACTGCGCCACGCCACGCCCACTGGCGCCACGCCCCTTACGCCACGCGCCGCGCCGCTGCGTCGCGCACGCCCTGTGGGCCCCGCCCAACTCACGACCCACCCATGCCACGCCCCTGAGCGTGCGGCCGCCTGGGCAGGCGCAGAGCTGGAGTTCAGCGGCCGCGACCCGCCTCTTCCAGAATAGAGGGTAGCGAGGGGACTACAAGCCCCAGCTGTCCACCCCCGCAGTCGCCGATTCCTCGCTTGCGCTCGCGGCGGCTCCGCGGCCCGGTTCTCGAGAGCCACAGATGCGCCCGCGTCGCTGGGGTCTCCCGTGTGGGAACGTCCTCGGCAGGCCGCGGGTTTGAGAGGCATCGCCGGCGTGACGAATGCAACCAGCGTGGCCCCAAATGAGTCGGCGGCCGCCGCAGGTTGACGTAGAGCCGCAGCGCTCCCCGGGGCCGTCACCCTCAGCACTTTCCCTTCTTTATTTGTTGGGGGCCGCGGGGGCTGGAACCCAGAAGCGCAAGTGTGGGGCGCGTCCTCGTGGCGTCCCTGGCGCTCCGAGGCCGAAACCCGGATGCTGAGGGGAGGCCGTGAGCTCGGAAAGGCACCGCGGGGCCGGCATTAGGGCTGAGCTAGCTCTGTACCCTCTGGTGGGACTTTCGGTCTCTCTGGGCCTCGCCATTCTCTTTCTTTTTCTTGCTTTTTTTTTTTTTTTTTTTTTTTTGGAGACGGAGTCTTGCTCTGTTGCCCAGGCTGGAGTGCAGTGGGACAGTCTGGGCTCAGTGCAACCTTTGCCTCCTGGGTTCAAGCGATTTTCCCGCCTCAGCCTCCCCAGTAGCTGGAACTACAGGTGCCCGCTATCACGTCCGGCTAATTTTTGTTATTTTTAGTAGAGATGGGGTTTCACCATGTTGGCCAGGCTGGTCTCGAACTCCTGACCTCAAGTGATCCGCCCGCCTTGGCCTCCCAAAGTGCTGGGATTACAGGCGTGGGCCACCGCGCCCGGCTTTTTTTTTTTTAATACGGGTTTTCACCCTGTTACCCAGGCTGGTCTCGAACTCCTGCGCTCAGGTGATCCACCCCCCCGCACCCCGGTCTCCCACAGTGCTGGAATTACAGGCGTGAGCCACGGCGCCCGGCCTGTTATTTTGAAGTCAAGCTATTTTACCATCCTCTGGATTTTCGTCATCCTAATTCTCCTTCCCAGTCTCAAGGAAAGACAGGCACATTTTCTTGATGACTTCAGCATTTGTAACCCCTTGTTGGCTCTCCTTAGAGGACATTAACTCTGAACCTTTCAACTTCGAGGATCTCTTTAGCCCTTCCTTATTTGTTCACTCTCCTGGATCATGAATTCTCCAAATTTGTCCTTTGAACCCAGTGCCCATATCCACCCTCACCTGAACCCATTCTTGAATAAAATGCATTCCTACCATGACTGTTCTCAAAGTTTGAAGTTGAGAATACCGATGCGCCACTCCTGCTTCAATGCTTGAGAAGTCGTGGGCTTTCTTCCATGTGCCTTTTGACTGGGCGCCTATCTCCCGACAGCCTGAGGTGGTGTAGCATAGGGGCGAAGGTGGTCTGTGCTTGAATCCCAAAACCCTCACTAGCGTGGGACCTGTGTCAACTACTTGACCTCTTTTGTAAAACGGAGACAATTACAGCACATCTTTTTTTATTATTATTACTTGACACGAAGTCTCGCTCTGTCATCCAGACTGGAGTGCAGTGGTGCGATCTCGGCTCACTGCAACTTATGCTTCCTGGGTTCAAGCGATTCTCGTGCCTCAGTCTACAGAGTAGCTGGGACTACAGGCACACACCACCACGCCCGGCTAATTTTTTTTTTTTTTTTTTTTTTTGTATTTTTAGTAGAGACAGGGTTTCGTCATGTTAGCCAATTTTTGTATTTTTAGTAGAGACGGGGTTTCACCATGTTGGCCAGGCTGGTCTTGAACTCCTGACCTCAGGTGATCCACCTACTTCGGCCTCCCAAAGTGCAGGGATTACAGGCGTGAGCCACCGCGCCCCACCTACAGCACATCTTAACAGAATTTTAGGGATCAAATGAGTTCCTTTGGATACTGTGCCTGTTTTTGACTGAACAGCTGTCTTCTGACATCCTGAGTGGCTTCTTTAGCTTAGTTGTCACCTCTTCTATAGCCTCATCCTGCCTCATGACAAAACTTTACTTCTGCCTGTTCATTGCCTTGTGTGTACATAATAATACTGCAGTTGTCCTTGTCACAATGATTGTAACCTATTTCTTACATGTCACCCTTACTCAACTGCGAGATGCTTGAGGGTAAAGACTCTCTATACGAGGTGTCTGAAGCATAAAAGGTATTCACTAGATTTTCAGTCAGTTTTTTGGTATTCATTAAAAAGAACTTCATTTTGCGTTTAAACTGTTTAAATTTCTAAATCATGAACTTTGTACTTGCTCACAAATTTTAGGATAGCATTATTTCTGCATGGTCTAATATTTATTTTCTTAAATAACTGACCAGGCATGGTGTCTCATGCCTATGATCCCAGCACTTTGGGAGGCTGAGACAGGAGAAAGGAGAATCACTTGAGCCTAGGACTTCCAGACCAGCCTGGTCAACATAGGGAGACCCCATCTCTAAAAAAAAAGAAAAAAGAAAAAAAAAAAGCCAGGTGTAGTGACACATGCCTGTAGTCTCAGCTACTTGGGAGGCAGAGGTGGGAGGATGGGTTGAGCCTAGGAGATCGAGGCTGCAGTCAGCTGTGATTCACAGCACTTCAGCCTGGGCAACAGAGTGAGACCCTGTTCAAAAAAATAAACAAATAAACACCTTAGTGCTTCGGGGGGGTTAGGTTTTTTTTTTTTTTTACATTAGAAGGAAAAGACACTTTCTCTTACTAAGGTATTTTTGCCTGTTAACTAATATGCAGTTGCAGAATGAACCATAGTCTGTCTGCATTTCAAAGAGCACTACAAGTTCTGATATTTAAAATGAGTGTATATGCCAGTGGCCCAAGGTTGGAGAAGAAAGTTGGTAACAAATTGGAAGGTGGCAGAAAGCAGGAAAGAAATGTAACATATATGGCAGATGAAGGGTTTTAAAATAGCTTTTACAAATCAGCACAGAAAAGATAAACACCATGACATAAAAATGAGCAAAAAATATGAACCATATAACCCGAATGGTCCATTAACATCCATGTGTTCAACTTTACTGAACACATGAATGAAATAAAATAAAAAACACTAATAATTTTTTCTTACCTGCTAATTTGGCCAAGCTGTTTGTTTTGAAATAATTTCTAGCTAAAAGAAAAGTGGCAAAAGTAGTATAAAGAATCCCTGCATTCTCTTCACCCAGATTCCCCAGTACTTAACATTTTACCTCATTTCTTTATCATTCTCATCCTTTTTGTGTCTTTATCTCTGTCTCTATATGAAAATATACATTGTTTTCCTGAACCATTTGAGAGTAAATTACAGGCTGGGCGAGGTGGCTCATGCCTGTAATCCCAGCACTTTGGGAGGCTGAGGTGGGTTGATCACTTGAGGTCAGGAGTTTGAGACCAGCCAGGCCAAAACGGTGAAACCCCGTCTCTACTAAATATACAAAAATTAGTGGGTCATGGTGTTGCATGCCTGTAATCCCAGCTACTTGGGAGGCTGAGGCAGGAGAATTGCTTGAACCCAGGAGGCGGAGGTTGCAGTGAGCTGAGATGACATCACTGCACTCCAGCCTGGGCAACAGAGCAAGACTGTCTCCAAAAAAAAGTAAATTGTAGACATGATGCCCTGCACTCCAAAATATCTCAGAGTATATTCCCAAAAATCAAGCACAGTTCATAAGTAGCCACAGTACAACTAAAACATGAGTCCATACTGACATTTTCAATACCAGTCCAGCCTGACACCACAGAGTTCATTCATTCTAGCCTTCCATTTTTCCATATGTATGATGTCCTTTGCCAGTAGAGAGAAACCTGGCTCCTGTTATTCACAATTTATTTATTTGCTCTGTACTAGAATATGTACTAAAAATAATTTCAGAATTCCTAATCCATAGCACTGCAGGAAAACAATTCTACCAATTAGTATTTATTTAAGGTTCTTTATAGCCAGAAGATATATATTAAAACCCAGTTACCTACCTGGGTTAGTTCTTCCCCCTCCCAATTCTGCCCTTCACTGTAGTATTGTTATTAACATGAAATATAGTTAGGTTCATTTATTTTTGTTTGCATTCCATTTTACGAATTTCCCCCCAACCTTGATCTTTTTTTGAATGTGTGATATATTAACATGGTTACTAAAAAGTTGTCTTTGATGATAATGTCCAATGATGGTAGATTGTCCTGGCAGAACGGTGTATAAACAGGTCGAATCTTTCTGGTGAACAACCTGACATGGAGTATTAATAGCTTTTAAAATGTTCATACCTATTGACCCAATAAGAGATCTCACAGACTTATGGTTAAGGATAGTCACCAAAATATTATTTATAATTATGAAAATTAGAAACAATCAAAGTATCCAGCTATTGGAGACTGGAAAAGCATAAATTATTAATCATAGACCATAAATTACATGTATGTTCATATGTTAGAATACTAAGCATCTATTTAAAATCATTTCTCAGCTGGGCACAGTGGCTCATGCCTGTAATCCCAGCACTTTGGGAGGCCAAGGCAGGCTGATTACCTGAGGTCAGGAGTTTGAGACCAGCCTGGCCAACATGGTGAAACCTCATCTCTACTAAAAATACAACAATTAGCCAGGCATGGTGGCACATGCTTGTAGTTCCAGCTACTTAGGAGGCTGAGGCAGGAGAATTGCTTGAACCCGGGAGACGGAGGTTGCAGTGAGCTGTGGTCCCACCACTACACTCCAGCCTGGGTGACAGAGCAAGATTGTCTCAAAAAAAAAAAATCATTTCTCAAAGACAATAGTGACCTACAGAAATGCTAAGGGGAAATAAAGTGTGACACAGAAATGTTTACACATTGTAATTTTTTTTTTTTTTTTTTTGAGACAGAGCCTCACTCTTTCACCCAGGCTGGAGTACAGTAGTGTGATCACGGCTCACTGCAGCCTGGACCTCTTGGGATCAGGTGATCCTCCCACCTCAGTCTCCCAGGTAGCTTGGATTACAGGTATGCACCATCACACCTGGCTAATGTTTTGTGTTTTTTTGTAGAGAGGGGGTTTCACCATGTTGCCCAGGCTTGTTTTGGTTTTGAACTCCTGGGCTCAAGACATCTGCATGCCTCCACCTTCCAAAGTGCTGGGATTATAGGCATGAGCCACCCTGCCTGGCCTATACATTGTAATCTTATTTTTGTTTTAAAAATATGTGCTTGGTTGGGCACGGTGGCTCATGCCTGTAATCCCAGAACTTTGGGAAGCTGAGGCAGGCAGATCATCTGAGGTCAGGGGTTTGAGTCCTGCCTGGCCAACAAGGTGAAACCCCATCTCTACTAAAAAATACAGAAATTAGCTGGGCATGGTAGCACACGCCTGTAATCCCAGCTACTCGGGAGGCTGAGGCATGAGAATCACTTGAACCTGGGAGGTGGAGGTTGCAGTGAGCCGAGATCGCGCCACTGCCCTCGCTCTGTGTCAAAAAAAAAGTGCTGATAAATAATAATCTATGAATAATGAGATATTTGGTGGTTTTGATTTTTCTCTGTCCCTCTTTAGTTATTAATTTGCATTTTCCAAACTTTCTACAATAAGTATTATTACTTTTACAGTCAGAAAACAATTTAACAAGTCAGTAATGTATTAATATTTAGGCATTCCTAAATATACAAATGACCCTGAGGCATAACAGCTTCTCCATGCTTTCTAGGTGGTTCCCTGCCTCTGTCTTTCCGCCTACCCTTTCAGCTGCTCCTCAATCTATTTTTCTATGGTCTCTGAATTTTACTTACACCAACATACCACTAACTAGAGATTCATTTAGATTAACAACCAAGCCATCCTTTGTCTTCCTAATTTGTTGACTTTATTTTAAAATTACTATATGGACCGGGTGCAATGGCTCACGCCTGTAATCCCAGCACTTTGGGAGCCTGAGGCAGGCGGATCACTTAGGTCAGGAGTTTGAGACCAGCCTGGCCAACATGGCGAACCCTCGTCTCTGCTACAAAAAAAAAAAAAAGAAAAAGAAAAAAGAAAATTAGCCAGGTGTGGTGGTGCACACCTGTAATCCCAGCTACTTGGAGGCTGAGGCAGGAGAATCGCTTGAACCTGGGACGCAGAGGTTGCAGGTTCTGAGATCATGCCACTGCACTTCAGCCTGGGTGACAGAGCAAGACTCCATCTCAATAATAATAATAATAGTAATAATAATAATAAAATTACTATATGTATGAAAATATTCCAAGTACACATTTTTAAAAGCTAAGAAGTACTAAAAGCATTGTAATGAAAAGTAATAGTCCCCACCCCATAGGCCATCTTCCTAGAGGCTACTGTTCTCAACTCTTTAGCTGTTTTTTCTGGTATTTATCTCCATGTTTCTCAACAATGTGTGTATAATGAGATTTCTTGATCTTTTAATTTTAGGTAGCATCTGTTAGTTTACTGCCATGAGAAATGAGGACTTAACTCTCATACATCATACTTTCCACCTATCATTCCTCTTGTGATTCTATCATAAATTTTGGTTGAATCTGGTGGTCAGTGTTTACATTATGATAATTATGCAAACATTGTGCACTACAGAGCCAAGTAGTGTACATGACCATGCTTTCGTTCTTGTAGAACCTCTTTATTTTTGCCTAGAGTTAATCATCACTTGATTTCTATTATTTATTTTCTTAAAAAATTATATAATATGCATGTGCCTCATTTTTTATGATTCTCTGATTCTTTGTTTTTTAATGCTTCTCTACATGGCCCATGCACACTGGTTACATTTTTTTTCTGGGTAACTTCATCTCCCCATTCATATCTATACTGGTTGTCCATGGGCCTACTGCATAGCTGTTCCTAGGACTACAACTACACTTTGCTCTGTTGGATCCCCTGTTTCTTAAATTATTAAATTCTGTGTCTTCCTCTTTCCTGGCTGACTCGTTTGGTTTCAGCAGCACATCCCCAGAACCTTCTGGAATAAAGGTACATAGAGATAAATATTGTGAGATCTTTGACATCTGAAAATGTTTTTATTCTGCCCTCATACTTGATTGAGAATTTATCTGGGTTGGTGTGGAATTCTAGATTGCAAATCATTTCCCCTCAGTATTATAAACAGTTTGCTCCAGTTTCTTCTGACTTCCAATGTTGCTACTGAGATGTTCAATGCCATTTTGATTCCTAGTCCTTTGTATGTTATCTGTTATTTTTAGGAAGATTTTAGTATCTCCTTTTTATCCTTAGAGTTCTGAAGGGTTATAAAGATGTGCCTTAGCCTGAACCTTTCTTCCCATTCATTTTGTGGCTCACTTAGCAGGCGCTTCGATACTGAGACTCTTATCCTTTCATTCTGAGAAATTTTCTGGTATTATTTCTTTGATAATTTCCTGCCCTCCATTCTTGCTGGATGTTGGACTTTCAGAATGAATCCTCAGATTTTCCTCTCTCTCACATTTTTCCATCTTTTTGTACTATGGTCATCAATTATTTTCTATCTTTTCTTTTGAATACTTACTTTCAACTATTCTGCTTTTTCATAGCCAAAATCCCTTTCTTGTTATGATTATTTTATTTTGCACCCTGCTATGGTTTGAATGTCTGTGTCCCCACAAAATTTATATGTTGAGACCTTACCCCCAATGTGATAGTATTTGTAGATGGGAACTTTTGAGAGGTGATCAGGTCATGAGAGTGGAACTCTTATGAATAGTATTAGTGCCTTTATGAAAGAGACCCAAGGGAGTCAGCTCACCCCTTCTGCCATGTGAGGCCACTGCAAGAAGACACTATCTCTGAACCAGAAAGCAGGCCCTCCCCAGACACCAGATCAGCACCTTGATCTTGGATTCCAGTTCCTAGAACCGTGGGAAATAAATTTCTGTTGTTTGTAAACCATCCAGTTTATCATATTTTCTTATAGCATCCCAAACAGTCTAAAATACACCCTCTCATTTCATGGATAAAATGTCTTTTCGTATTTCTCTATAGATAGTAACTATACTACTTTTGAAGATTTGTTCTGTTGTTTCCTCTGTTTGGTCTTTTTGTTTCATGTTAGAACTTTCCATCAACATCTGGTAATCTTTGGCTGTTAAGATTTCATTATGATGCACAAAAAACTGGTGGGGGGTTCTGTGTGCATGAATGTGGCTTATTCTCAGAGGCGATCTGGCAGATAATCAGCTTATTCACTGAGGGGAGTCTCCCAGTGTCTGAACCTGAAAGTTTCTTCTCTGTGACCATCCCATTTTTTTCCAGAGTAGGATCGTTTCCTAACTGACTGCCAGTGTTCTGGAAGCAGGTGCAGTGAAGAGCCTAAGAGTCCCACTAATGTGTGTGTGAATTCTGAATCCTTAGCCACCGTGTTCATCCCTAACCCATACTGCCACAAGGACTCTCAAGTCTCACAACCAATTCGTTTTAACACGAGAAGACATTAAGAGGGTTAAGAGGTTCTCCATGATTCACCTACTAGTGTGAATTCATATCTGCTCCTTTTGCTTTTCCCCTGGCCCTTAGCTGATATCAACTGCCCTGAGGAAATGGAAGTCTGATTGGTCAGGAAGCAGGAGTAAGTGGGTAATTTGGGGTCACAGACCCCCCTCAGCAGGCAAGCAGCCCAGAGGTGGGTAAAGCACATTAGGAAAGGATGCTGCAATCCAGGGACTAGGGCCCTGGACCTGGATGCCAAAAGGGAGTTGGGAAAGTAGAAAAGAAAACAATTTATGCTTAAATTGTGCTCAGAGCCAGGGCTCTATGCAAAGCAGCAGCAGGTGACCTGTTTTCTCCCTCCTGCACTGCAGAGAACCTGCCCTCAAAGACCCAGAGCTCAGCTTCAGTGGAAGTTGAACGGCACTGTACAAGCAAAACTGAGAACCCAGTCACCCTGAGAAAAATGGTTTCTAGGGGGAAACACATTCTTTGGTCCAAACAACCAACTTACAAATGATCTTTTGGACCACGTCCTGCCTGCAAACTGAGGCTCGATTCACCTTTAATGGACCAGTTCTGGCAGTGCCAAGGGAGAGAGGCCATTAGCAGAAATGAAAAAAGCAAGAAATCTTTTAGTCCACTAGGTTAAGATTTTTTTATGCTTTGTTGTTTATGATTTCCCACTTTAGTTACTCTTTCCCGGAACAAATGTTATGATTCTACTTCATCTCTATTTACTGAAGCAAATAGATGCTTATCAGCAGTCATGCTACAAATCGCAAAGCAGTCAGTAAGGCCTTTGGGGCTGTGGTCTCTTTTGCAATTCTTTGATGTCTTGTCAGGCAACTTATTTTCTGTGCCTCAGAGAGTTTCCAAAAGCTACCACAATCTGATTGTGTGTGTGTGTGTGTACATATGTGTGTGTATATCTATATGCACTCTTTCTCTCTATATATATATACATATGGCATATAAATACAGTAAAGTCAAAGAATTGAGCAAAAGCAGATTTTGGTTTTTACCTTAAGAATATCATTTCACTTCCTGAAAAATTAGGAATTAGGAGTCCCAAGAATACCACATAGCATTTAGGAAGACTTGAGTGGGAGCTAAGAAAGTTCGAATGAGGGGAGGAAGAAAGTCCCTGGTCAGGCTGGGTATAGTGACTCAAGCCTGTAATCCTAGCACTTTAGAAGGCTGAGGTGGGAGGATTGTTTGAGCTCAGGAGTTTGAGATCAGCCTGGGCAACCTAGCAAGACTCTGATTTCTATTTAAAAAAAGAAGAAGAAAGAAAGAAAATAAAAGAAAAAGGCTGGGTCAGTGGCCTCAGTTGAACCCTGGAGGATGCTGTGATCCTCTTGGTGATGTCCCCAGCCTCTGCTTCAGGATGACAGCATGGTCTCCTGCACTGTAGCTCGGTTTGAAATTTTCAGTTTTTCTTTCAATTTCGCCTTTTTCAGACTCCAAGGGGGATGGAGGAGATGGTCTGAATAAGACAAATATGAAAGAGGAAGTGTCTCAGCACCAACCAAACGTAAAACAGCGACAGCGACCCACTTCACTTGTGACCTATACAGAAATACTGAAGACGTCCTCTGTGTCCTTTTAGACTTTCTGGGGGAGGGAACAGCCGCTGCCCAGAAGCAAGCAGCTTCCTTTTGGCCAGGTCAGTGCAGGGAACCAACAAAGACAGGGACCTGTGGCCAGAAGAAGCACAGCCGCAGCAGGTGTCTGATTGGACTGAGCCAGGAAAGGCCTTCTTGCCCTTAGGGACCCCTCAAGGCTTTTTTCCCAAAAGCTGGAAACTGCTTGGCTCACTGCTGTGCTAAATGCAGGTGCCAGCCGAGGGGGTTACCCTAGGACCGTGAGCCATTAACAGCTTGTCTCAAATACACTTCTCCAAGGCAGTCAGCAACTCCCCACTGAACACCTGTGGGTTCCTGCTGGTGCTAACTTAGGCACGGGGCTAGCAGGTCCCTCCCCTGTAGCAGATGATGAGAGCAAGTGTGGTGCAGGAGGAACTGAAAAGAGAGCGTCGTCAGAGATGACACTTGCGTGGATTAAAACCATATATTCTTGTGCAATGTAAAAATGCCAACTTGCATCAGCGTAACGAAGGACACACTTAGAATAGAAAAGCTGAGGAGGACAGAAGAATAGGAAGAACAACAAAACCATGCCTGGTCCTTTTGCCCAGAAATGACCCATGTGAATCTTGGCTGAACTTTTAGACTTTTTCGTGGTGCACATTTTTCAACATAATTTGACAACGTGGGACCTCTAGAATTGTACATTCTAATTTTTCAGTCCATTTATTTCTTATTCCAGAAAGAATCCATGTATAAGGATGGCTCATCACAGTGTTGTTTTTAATTCTGAAAAGCTGAAAGATGGATGCTCACCACTAGTGTTTATACATAAGTTCAATAAAGTTATGCTCTCACAATAAAATATTATGTAGTCATTAAAAAGAACAATCTCATGCTATGCGTATTATCATGGAAGGATGTCCCCAAGATCTTGCTGAAATGTTTTAAAAAGTCCCAAGCAGTGTATATATAATTTGAAGCTATTTATATAAAAATATGGGTGTATATGTGTGTAAAAAAGGATGTTTGGGCCGGGCATGGTGGCTCACGCCTGTAATCCCAACACTTTGGGAGGCCAAGGTGGGTGGATCATTTGAGGTCAGGAGTTGGAGACCAGCCTGGCCAACATGGTGAAACCCGTCTCTACTAAAATATATATAAAAAAAAAATTAGCTGGGATGTGGTGGTGGGTGCCTGTAATCCCAGCTACTGGGGAGGCTGAGGCAGGAGAATCACCTGAGCCTGGGAGACAGAGGTTGCAGTGAGTTGAGATCTCCCCAGTGCGCTCCAGCCTGGGCAACAAAGTGAGAATCCGTCTCAAAAAAAAAAAAAAAAAAAAAAAGGATGTTTGCCAAATGTTAATAATGTTAGAAGGAGGGCTTTTTGTGCTGTTTTACTTTCTTCTTGATATTTTTTAGCAATATTTATTTTGCAATGAGCATTTACTAGCTTTATTTTTTTTAACTATTTACCTTGAAAAAATTATGTAAATCTATACTTACTATATAAAATACATTTATTTTGTAGTGAGTGAAAATGAGGGTTACCAAACATATACATAGTATAATATCATGTTCATATGTTATAGTTTTATATATAAATTTACATAGTTTAAGTGTTTATAAACACAAAAATACATATTCACACATTTGATATATATAATGTGCATATAAATTTTACATGTATATATAAAACGTTTTAAAACATTTTTTTAAGATTACTCTTATATTTTGAATAATAATTGTATTTCCATTCTGGGGAAAAGAGTAATATTTTGGAAACCAGATGCAGTGGCTCATTCCTGTAATCCCAGCACTTTGGGAGGCCGAGGCGGGTGGATCACCTGAGGTTAGGAGTTCGAGACCAGCCTGGCCAACGTAACAAAACCCCATCTGTACTAAAAATACAAAAATTAGCCAGGCATGCTGGCGGGCACCTATAATCCCAGCTACTTGGGAGCCTGAGGCAGGAGAATCGCTTGAGCCCGGGAGATGGAGGTTGCAGTGAGCCAAGATTGTGCCACTGCATTCCAGCCTGGTGGACCAAGTGAGAAACTATCTCGAAAAAAAAAAAAAGTAAGATTTTGGGCTAAGTCTTGGAGGGGTAGGGACGGCCAGTCCACGGCAGCCCAGGCTGAGGGCACAGCACGTACCAAAAAGCCACAGCAGAGCAGGGTCACACGTGGCACACGCTGCTCCTGGCACCTGATAGCACCAGTGTTCTGTCCTCCTGGAAACTCTCCTCTTGCTTTTCTGGGTCACTGTTCTCTCTGGGCTGCCCAGTCAGCCAAGCAGGCACCGAGAGGGGCCCTGAGGGATTGAGGCTGTCCCGGATAGGGGCTCCGTAAGGGGGAAGCCAACCTACTTTGCAGTGTTCCTGAGGCTCAGGCCCGTGTGCCACAGTGAGAGGGCGCGAACTCCACGGTCTGTGGACTTGGGTTCAGCTGAGGCACCACCAGCTCCTGGGTGGCCCTCAGCCAAGGCACTTTACCTCCCTGGGACTCAGTGTGTTTATCCAGGGGTATGAACAATAAGAACCTCTGGCCCACAGGCTTAATGAGAGAATTAAATAAGACATGGGAACAGCTCCTTTCAACTGTTTATTACCAGAAGGTGCCCAATAACCAGGCATGGCAAAAGCCCAAAGGCAAAAACACAAAGCCCTGACATTTAACAAGTTGTTTTTTTGCTAAGAAACCAGCGCTGGAGACAAGTACTTGTGATATATCCTCGTGGTTGGATGTGTTGGTCACAAGTTCTAATTACGGAAATGCCCGCTGACAAAAGGGCCTGTTGATGTGAGTCACTATGAGTGGTTTCACTCTCTAGGCCTGGGCTGCTCCTAGGAATCATTTGCAGATACATCTATCTACCTATCTTTTTTCTTTTTTTTAAGATTGGAGTTTTGCTTTTGTTGCCCAGGCTGGAGTGCAATGGCACAATCTCGGCTCACCACAACCTCCCTCTCCTCGGTTCAAGCGATTCTCCTGCCTCAGCCTCCGGAGTAGCTGGGATTACAGGCACCCGCCGCAATGCCCGGCTAATTTTTGTATTTTCCTAGAGACAGGGTTTCACCATGTTGTTGGCCGGGCTGGTCTCCTAGCTATCTTTTTTTTTTTTTTCTTTTTTTTGAGACAGGGTCTCACTCTGTCACCCACTCTTCACTCTGTGAAGTGCAATGGCACCATCAGGGCTCACTTTAGCCTTGACCTTCTGGGCTCAAGCATTCCTTCCGCCTCAGCCCTCTGAGTAGCTAAGACTATAGGTGTGTGCCACCATGCCCAGCTAATTTTTTTATTGTTGTTTTGAATTGTAGTATAGATGTCTCACTATATTAACCAGGCTGGCCTTGAATTCCTGAGCTCAAGCAATCCTCCCACCTCGGCCTCCCAAAGTGCTGGGATTACAGGCATGAGCCACTGCACCCAGCCAATAAGATACATGTTTTTATTAAAATAATGCAGTGATTTTTTTTTTTTTGAGACAAGGTCACATTCCGTTGCCCAGGCTGTGCACTCACTGCAGCCTTGACCTCCTGGGCTCAGGCGATCCTTTCACCCCAGCCTCCATGTAGCTGGGACTACAGGTATGTGCCACCACACCTGGTTAATCTTAATTTTTTTTTTAGAGATGGAGTCTTGCTATGTTGCCCAGGCTGGTCTTGAGCTCCTGGACTCCAGTGATCCACCCGCCTCAGCCTCCCAAAGTGTGCCACCACACCCAGCTAATTTTGTATTTTAAGTAGAAACAGGGGTTCTCCATGTTGGTCAGGCTGGTCTCGAACTCCTGACCTCAGGTGATCTGCCTGCCTCAGCCTCACAAAGTGCTGGGATTACAGGTGTGAGCCACCGAGCCCGAATGCTACTTGTTCTTGTTACACATTTATATGCTGAAGAAATGGAATCTACGATTTGCTGTAGTAGCAATCCAGAAAAACAAAGCGTAGTTGTTGGAATAAAACACGACTTATTGACATTGAGTGTCACCTGGGGGTGACCCAGCACAGCAAGAATGGATCAGCTTAAGCAGGTGTGGTGGCGTGCACCTGTGGTCCTAGCTACTCAGGAGGCTGAGGTGGGAGGATCGCCTGGGCTCAGGAGGTTGAGGCTGCAGTAAGCCAAGATCATGCCACTGCACTCCAGCCTGGGCAACAGAGCAAGACCCTGTCCCAAAAAAAAATAAATAAAAATAATAAAAATAAATTAAAAATAAAAAATAAATAAAAGAATGGACCACCCTTGTAACATCCAAGCTCATAGAGAGAATGATGTAGAAAAACCCCAATGGCTTTGTATTGAATCATCACCCTCAGAGGGCTGGGGACATAGGTTCATAGATCAGCACCTTCACTCCCAGGAGGCAGGGGAAGACAATTTCTCTCTTTTTTTTTTTTTTTTTTTTGAGACATAGTTTCGCTCTTGTCGGCAGGTTAGAGTGCAGTGGTGCGGTATCGGCTCACTGCAACCTCCGCCTCCCAGGTTCGAGTGATTCTCCTGCCTCAGCCTCCCGAGTAGCTGGGATTACAAATGCCCACGACCACGCCCAGCTAATTTTTACGTTTTTAGTAGAGACGGGCTTTCTCCTTGTTGGCTAGGCTGGTCTCGACCTCCTGACCTCAGGTGATTCACTTGCCTCAGCCTCCCAAAGTGCTGGGATTACAGGCGTGAGCCACCACGCCCAGCCAGGAAGCCAATTTATAACAAGCTTTCTTGGTAAACATGGGTAATTAGTTGATGACCCTAATGGTCCCTACCCCTCAAAGTTTGGTGCATCCTCTTTGTCCCAGCCATGTGAGGACACAACATGTAGCTGGCCATCTGGGGACCAGGAAGAGAGCCCTCCCCAGAACCCAACCATGCTGACACTTGACTTTGGACTTCTTAGCCTCTGCTGTGAGTGATGAATGCTTGTTGTGTAATCCACCCAACCTGTGATACTCTGTGGTAGCAGCCCAAGCTGACTAAGACACTTGGCAAGTGCATCTCCACAATAAGATCCAAGCCATCTCAGCCTGGAAGTTGATGCTTCCAGATGGTGTTGAGGAGAATGAACAAAGTTTGTCTCTCTTTTTTTTGAGACAGAGTCTTGCTCTGGCTGGAGTGCAGTGGTGCAATCTCAGCTCACTGAAACCTCCACCCCCTAGGTTCAAACAATTTATCGTGCCTCAGCCTCCCAAGTAGCTGGGATTACAGGCATGCAGCACCACACCCAGCTGATTTTTGTGTTTTTAGTAGAGATGGGGTTTCGCCATGTTGGCCAGGCTGGTCTCGAACTCCTGACTTCAAGCGAACCACCCACTTGTCCTCCCAAAGTGCTGGGATTATAGGCATGATCCAAAACCACACCCAGCCCAAAGGTTTTCCTTTGACCTTTCATTTTCTATTGTTGATCAATCTCTTTTTTTTTTTTTTTTTGAGATAGGGTCTTGTTCTGTCACCCAGGCTCGAGTGCAGCAGTGTGATCACGGTTTATTGTAGCCTCAGACTCCCAGACTCAAGCAATCCTCCTGCTTTAGCCTCCTGAGTAGCTGGGACTAGAGATGCAGGCCACCACACCCAGAAAATTTTTATTTTTTTGTAGAGATGGGGTCTCATTATGTTGCCCAGGCTGCTCTCATACTCCTGGGCTCCAGTGATCCTCCAACCTTGGCCTCTCAAAGCACTGGGATTATAGACGTGAGACATCACGTCCAGCCCTAACCCCCTTTCTGATTGGCACGTTCTTAAGGTACCTTACAAGAGGTTAGAAGTGTTTTTGTAAATATACCTTTTTTTTTTTTTTTTTTTTTTACAAACTTCAGTTGTAATCAAGTCTTGCTAAAGAACACATTCTGATCTCTTAAGGTAACCTTACATTTCTTTACATTAGAACTTTATATTTCTTCTAATCCATATGCATTGGTTCTACAGTTTTAGTTTTGTAATTGCCAAAAAAATACAGGATTCTCAGTCACATCAGAATTTCAGATGAACAATGAGTGATTTTTTAGTATAAGCATGTCCCATAAATTTCATGGGATATACCTACATTAAAAGTGATTTGTTGTTCATTTGAAATTCTGTTTAACTAAGCACCCTGTATTTTTATTTGTAAAACCTGACCACCCTCTCTCCAAGGGAAATCCTAGTTCCCTAATTTCCAAATTGGTGGAGGTGGTGGTGACCTCATGATTGCTCATGTAACCTATCCACAGTTTCAAGAAGAAAAGAAAGGTAATTCTGTATGCTAAAAAGACACATACCACACAAATAGCAAGTATGTCCCCATGCAAGGAAAACTCGTACTACTACTTATGTGTTTCCCACCATGCACTGCCTAACACACATGAGGGCATATAATGGGAGAAGACTTGCAGAAAAATTCTCTTTAAGTTTATATTTGATGGAAAAAAATTATATTACCTCTTAGTAATGTTGAAGCAGGACTTCTTTTTTGACCTTTAGGATACAAGAAGCCACAATTTCATGGCTAGTTTTGTTCATTCCAACTTAACTAGTGCTGGATGACTCACAGAGAGTGATGTCTGGTCAAACACAAGCCCCTGGGCACAGTGGCTCACGCCTGTTATCCCAGTACTTTGAGAGGCTGAGGCAGGTGGATCATGTAAGCCCAGGAATTCAAGACCAACCTGGACCATATGGGAGAAAACCCTCTCTACTAAAAAAAAAATACAAGAAAATTAGCCGAGCGTGGTGGCACATTCCTGTAGTACCAGCTACTCGGGAGGCTGAGGTAGGAGGATCACTTGAGCCCAGGAGGTCCAGGCTGCAGTGAGCCATGGTCACACCACTGCACTCCAGCCTGGACGACAAAGGGAGACCCGGTCTTGGGAAAAAAAAAAGAAATTAAAAATTAAAATAAAAAAATAATAAAATTAAAATGTAAAAAATACATATATGTCTTGCCCTACAGGTTAGATGCATTCAGAGAAATTTACCTGAAAATGAATTTCTGAAAAGTAAATTTATTTCCCTAGTTTTCAATAAAAAATGAGCATAACTAGGCTTTCAACCTCAATCTGCCAATTTATCATTTGGTCCTTGGCAAGTGTATAAACTAAAAACTTCACTGAGACTCAGCTTTCTCATTTATCAAACGTAGCCCAAATGGCTACCTTTCCCTCCAGCCAATGCCAGGGGAAGTGCTTGGTGAGGAAGGGGTAAGCAGCATGAGAGGCCCTCCAAGATGCCCCCATGGCATCTGTGATCTCCCTGTTCCCTTCTTAATAAAATGAATATAGATCAAGCAACTCCTAGGTGTGAGCCATTCTGAAAGGGGCTGTGGGATAGAACACATCCCTGCATCCCTTGAAGAGTTAGACTCCACCTGGAAAGATAGGACATGTGTAGTCATCTGTTACAGTGGTAGCCCCCAGTGAAATGCACCTCCTGGTATTCATGCCCTCTATAGATCACTCCACTGAATCTGGGCTGCCTGAAACAACAGAAGGTGACAGAGATGACACTGTGCCAGCTGTGCCAAGGGGCACGCATGGAGGGGCTCACTTCAGGGTGCTGGATGAAGAACAGGGCAGGAGGCCGGACACAGAAGCTCATGCCTGTAATCCCAGCACTGTGGGAGGCCGAGGCGAGTGGATCACCTGGGGTCAGGAGTTCGAGACCAGCCTGGCCAACATGGTGAAACTCCCATCTCTACTAAAAATACAAATATTAGCCAGGTATGGTGGTGGGCACCTGTAATCCCAGCTATTCAGGAGGCTGAGGCAGGAGAACTGCTTAAACCTGGGAGGTGGAGGTTGCAGTGAGCCGAGATCACGCCACTGCACTCCAACCTGGACGACAAGAGGGAGACTCCATCCCAAAAAACAAAACAAAACAAAACAAAAAAAACAGGACAGGGACAGATGCTGGGCTTTGAAGACTGCAAAGCTCTAGGGCTACGCCTTAGGATATCTTGGTGGATTCCACATTTGTAGTCCTGGGAGCCCTGAGCCACCAGGTAACGGGCCTTACTTTCCTGTTAGAGAGGCCACGTGGAGAGTGAGAGGCCCCTGAGACTATATGGAGGAGAACGAGAAGCTCAGCCAAACACGTGCACATGTTCAAGCTGACCCAGCCATCCTCCGGACTCCGGAGCTACACCAGCCCGGACCCCTGACATGGGGGTGGTGAAGCCACATCTCCAACTCATTCCTGGGTGTGCAAGATGCAAGTTAACATGGAACTCATTCTTGGGTATGCAAAAGATCAGGAATGTTTAAGCAAAGCAACCAATGTCTAGGTAAAGGTGATGCTCCCCAGACAGGGAACAGCACCCAGTATCCCCTGTTTAAATTCCAGACCCACAGATTTGTGGGCAAATAGCATTTTGGTTGTTTTTAAGGTACCTCGCTTTTGGGTAGTCTGTTATGTAGCCATAGGTAATAAAATCTCAAACTCTCAGGAAAAGTAAAATGTCCCTCAAAATGTTAGGCATCTGTGCCTTCCAGCCAGACAGGTTTCTCAGGGTCGAAAGCAAGGACATGCCCAGTTCTAGCACAGGCAGGAACACTTCCTGTTGGGGACTGAGCAGGAACTCCCTGTGAGGGCCCCAGGTTTCTGGATCCTGGGTGGGTGTGGGGACAGGCACCCGGGCTGAGGGGCTCGCCTGTGTCTGTTCAGCCACGGCTGTGCTTCCCCAGAGAGGAAACATCATGGGGGGCTGCGTTTGAGGTGGGGGTGTCAGTGCCATGGAATCAGGGCTACCTCTACTGCACAAAGCACCGTGACGTCCCCTACCTTCCAGGCAATAGCAAAAACCAGAAGAGACAGGCGGTAGCAAAAAGGGAGGGTGGAGTGGAGGGAGAGAGGGATAGAGGCCAAAAAACACCCCATGAGGCAGCAAGGGCAGCTGCCAAGGCTTCAGTTAACCCAGGACAGAAACAGGACTCGCCACCTGGCCACGGAGGCCAGAGGGCTGCAGAAGGGCGTGCATGCAGAGGGGCTGACTTCAGGGCACTGAAGACAGCACAAGCTCTTGACGGGGCCAGGATACTACACACACAGGGCCAACAGGCCAGCACACGCGGAAGCAGCAGTGCAGGCATCCCGCTGTGGATGTAGGCTGCTTGAGGCAGTGGTGGGTCGGTGTAGCAGGCAGGAGGAGCAGGTGGAAATGTGAATGCCAGGCCAAGGCAGCATATGGGCCAGGCTGATTGAAGGCTGGGCCTATGCCTGGTTCATCTTGGGCTCCCCAGCCCCTAGCACATAATAATAGATGCTCAATAAATGCTTGCCAACAGATGGACTTTGCTTCTAGGTCACTGGGAAACACTGAAGCTATCTCCACAGGGGTGACCCAAATGAAAGCAGCGAAAGGAATGCTGGAGTGGCCAGAGTGGCTGGCTGGAGAAGGCCCACGAGGCTTCCGCAGCCTCCCAAGGAGGGGAGGCAAGGGCAGGGCTCAGGAAGGGACAGAAGGATGGAGAGAGCCTTGTCCTCAGGAAGCATTTTGCCGATGGGCAGTCAGGGTAGGAGTGGATCCCAGGGGCCTGGGCTGTGGTCCAGTCTCGCCATGAAATCACCATGTGACCCCAGCAAGTCACTCCCTATCTCTAGGGCTCAGCTCCATCTCTGTGCATCAGAGGAGTCAGATGAGAAGTTTCCCTTTTGGTCAGACTGTGATGCTGAGATTTGGTGACTGATGTAAGGCGTAGGTGGAGTGGCATCAGGAAAGGGTAGGAGCACCAGGGGTCAAAGATAGTTCTGAGGAGGATGGTGGAGAAAATGATGTGGCTGTGGGCAGAAATAGGAAGTCTCAGGATGGGGAGCTGAGCTCGGGCAGGAAAGATGATGTGTGGGCGGCTAGGGGAGCTTGAAGGAGACAAGGGCACAACTCCACAGCAAACGGGCAGTGGAGGCAAAAAGGACAGCCAACTTGAACATGTCCCCCGCAGCTGGGTGTGACAGGCTGGAAATGTCTCCCTCCCCAAAATATATCCACACCCTGATCCCCAGAACCTGTGAATACAAGGGTCTTTGCAGATGTGATTAAGTAAGGGTCTTGACATGGAAGGAGATTATCCTGGATTACATGGGTGGGCCCTAAATACAGTTCTTTTCTGTTTATTTTGTAGAGACGGGGTCTTACTATGTTGCCCAGCATAATCTTCAATTCCTGGCCCCAAGTGATCCTCCCACCTCAGCCTCCCAAAGCACTGGGATTACAGGTGTGAGCCACTGCATCTGGCCAATGCAGGTATCTCTGTAAGAGGGAGACAGAGGGATATCAGACACACCGAGGAGAAGGCCGTGTGAAGATGGAGCAGAGAGAGATTTGAAGATGCTGACCTTGAAGACTGGAGCGATGCAGCCACGAGCCAAGGAATGCGGCTGGCCACCAGAAGCTGGAAGAGACCAGGAACAGATTCTCCCCTGGAGCCCGCAGCCAGTGCACAACTGAGCAGTAAGGAGTTTAGACTTCTGGCCTCTAGAACTGTGAGAGAGTAGATTTCTGTTGTCTTAATCTACCAAGGGTTTGTGGTAATGCCAGCAGTCACTGGAAGTGCATACACTGGCCATCCCACAAATCCCAGGCTCTGAACTCACAGCCAGGTCCCTACCCAGGCTCCTGGTTAACTGCTTTGCATGTGTTGCCTCTTACTCCTCCAATAAGCCAGGGGGGAGGACCTATTAGTATCCCCACTTCCCAGAGGAGGAAAACCAGGTGTCGAGAGGTCAGATCATCTTCCCGAGGTCACGGAGCAGGTCTGTGACAAAGGCTGACTCTCGCTGAGATGGGTGTGACACCAGTGGGAACATTTCACCATTCTGCCACTCTGTCCCCAGCTATGAACATAGATTCCTAAAAATGTTATTATGTACACAAGGGTTCCAGTTCTGGTAAAGGAATTAGGGCCTCCCTCTCTCGGTGCCCGAAGCCATAGAAGTTATTATGTATAACAACAGCAGTTCAAAATCCCAACTCAGCCACGGGGTGATGGCAGGTTAGCTTGTGCTCCTCCCTCCTAACCCTGCTGTGCCACAGGGCAGCAAACTGGGACCCTAGGAAGTGGCAGCTTGCTCCAAGTCTTAAGGCTGGTCCCCTGATGTTAGAGCCAGAATCAGAAGCCAGTTCAGAATTTCCCCACCCAGCACACAGAGTACATTTTAGGAGTAAATTAGGCAGCTGAAATGTGAAAAGAAATGGGGACTTGGTCACATGATCCTTGCTATTGAAGACAGTCCCAAGACCACTGTCCAGAATTAAACTCTAAAATCAAATGTATTTTCCAAACACATGCATGATGCCTGCCCTCCACCAGAGGTGGGAGGTGGCCAGGCAAGCCAGACTGGGTGCCACCTAAGTCACTGGAGATCAGGGGAGGACACTTGACCAGAATAGGTCCATTGGCTGACAGGTGGCCCATGAGGACTCCCTCCAATGGGGCAAACTATTGAATCCATCAGACTGGCTCCCTGCAGTGGGCTGGACAATTTGTAGAGGACTGGACAACAGAGAAAGAGACGCAGGGGCTGGGGGGCAGGAGAGAAGAACCTGTTGCCAGAGCAGCCTTGCATCCTGGCAGCTTTCCCTCCTCACTCTTCGTCCTGAAGGAAGCCTCCCTGGGTTCTCCATTCTAACCACGTTAGAGTCAGCCTCTCACGTAACTCTTAAGGCACAAAACAGAGTCAAATGTACATAGTAGGCAGGTCTTCTCCCAGTCCTTTTGCTTGGCATCTTTTCGTTCAGATTCCTGCAGTTTTGACTCCTTTGTGAAGTGATACACTTACGAATGCCTTACTGAATTAATTTTGCTGCCTGTCACTCTAGCAAATCCACTTCGGGCCAGTCGGATTTGCCAGGGTTTGTTCTCCTCCTTACGGGTCCGGCAGGGCTCCCGGGCGAGCCAGCTTCAGGCAGAGACCACAGCACGTCCCCCTTTTCATACTCCAAAAGCCAAAAGAAGATGGGGTTGGGGCGAGGCAATCTGGGACCCCATTTTCTATTAATCTTGCCTTAATTACATGCTGAAAAATGAACATTAAGGCTGGGTGCAGTGGCTCATGCTATAATCCCAGCACTTTGGGAGGCCAAGGTGGGTGGATCACTTGAGGCCAGGAGTTCGAGACCGGCCTGGACAACATGGTGAAATTTCATCTTTACTAAAAAATATAAAAATGAGCTGGGCATGGTGGTGGGCACCTGTAATCCCAGCTACTTGGGAGGCTGAGGCTTGGACCTGGGAGGCGGAGGTTATGGTGAGCCGAGATTACACCACTGCACTCCAGCCTGGGCAACAGAGTGAGACTCTATCTCAAAAAATAAAAAAAAGAAAAGAAAAGAATATTAAAATTCTCACCATTGAGGAATGTTTACTATGTGCCTGAACACAATGCTAACTTTAAAAAATAGCTATTGCTCTTCGGCTTGAGTCACAGAGGGAAAAAGAAAAAAATTAAAAATCAAAATACACAGCTATTGTGTGTTTTCCTATAGTAAAAATAGAGGAGAGCTGAATTCTGTTGGGTATGGAGTTAATAATAATTTACACCTGTGGTGCTCAGCCAACCACACGGGTGGGGTGCTTGTGAATTTTACTTACAGATCCTATTAATATAAGGCTGAACTTCTCCATTTCCACCCTCCCACTTCAACCACCATCAACACGACTGCTCTCTCAGGGGACTTTTAGCTCCTCTATCACTGCAGGGTGGCAAAGGTGATGCTACAGCCCGTCAATTTCACACACTGGTTTCCAGTTTTGTTTTTGTTTTTTTAAGACAGAGTGTCACCTTTCACCCAAGCTGGAGTGCAGTGGTTCCATCCTGGCTCACTGCAACCTCCACCTCCCAAGTTCAAGCAATTCTCCTGCCTCAGCCTCCTGAGTAGCTGGGATTACAGGTGCACGCCAGCATGCCCAGCTAATTTTTGTGTGTGTGTGTTTTTTTTTTTAGTAGAAACGGGGTTTCACCATGGTAGCCAGGCTGGTCTCGAACTCCCGACCTCAGGTGATCCACCCGCCTCCGCCTCCCAAAATGCTGGGATTACAGGTGTGAGCCACCACGCCCAGCCTGGTTTCCAGTTTCTTTGGGGGGAAACTGCCAAAGCAAAAACCCAAATGAAACAAAGAGGATGATAGATAGAGAGGAAAGAAGGCAGGCAAAAAAAAGGGAGTGAAAAAGAAGCAGATAAAAATAAAAATAGCTGCCCCTCAGCCCGGGCAACATAGGAAGACCCCAACTCTAAGAAAATTTAAAAAAATTAACCAGATGTTGTCGCACGCCTCTGTAGTCCTAACTCCTGGGGAGGCTGAGACTGGAAGATTACTTGAGCCCAGCAGGCTGCAGTGAGCTATGACTGCACCAGTGTACACCAGCCTGGGCAACAGAGTGAGACCCTGTCTCTAGGGAAAAAAAAAAAAAAAAGCTACCCCCAATTCCTATCCCATGCCTGGCACTGCAGCAGTTTCTGCATTTGATGTTTAACAATAAACTGAAACTGCCGCATAGGTGTTATAGGTAAGGCAAGCAACACGCAGAGAGGCTGGCATTTGCCTAAGGCCACACAGCTCAGTAAACACAGAAGCCTGGATTTGAATCCAAGTCCCTCTTATGGTAAAGCCCATGTTCTTGTTTACCGATCACAGAAGCACCCTACTCTCATTCCTTAAAGAATCTTACAAAATAAAAGAAAAATGCAGCACAGCAATTCTCTAGAAAATCCATTAGCGGGCACAGTGGCTCACGCCTGTAATCCCAGCATTTTGGGAGGCTGAGGCTGGCAGATCACCTGAGGTCAGGAGTTCGAGACCGGCCTGGCCAACATGGCAAAACCCCGTCTCTACTAAAAATAGAGAAATTACCAGCCTGGCCAACATAGTGAAACCCCATCTCTACTAAAAATACAAAAAATTAGCCGGGTGTGGTGGCGGGCGCCTGTAGTCCCAGCTACTCGGGAGGCTGAGGCAGGAGAATGGCGTGAACCCGGGAGGCAGAGCTTGCAGTGAGCTGAGATGGTGCCACTGCACTCCAGCCTGGGCGACAGAGCGAGACTCCGTTTCAAAAAAAAATATATATATATATAAATTAGCTGGGTGTGGTGGTGCACGCCTGTAATCCCAGCTACTCAGGAGGCCAAGGCAGGAGAATCACTTGAAACCAGGAGGCAGAAGTTGCAGTGAGCGAAGATCACACCACTGCACTCCAGCCTGGGTGACAGAGCGTGACTCCGTCTCAAAACAAACAAACAAACAACAAAAAAATTAGCCAGGCATGGTGGCAGGCACCTGTAATCCCAGCTACTTGGGAGGCCAAGGCAGGAGAATCACTTGAACCCGAGAGGCAGAGGTTGCATTGAGCTGAGATCGTGCCACTGCACTCCAGCCTGGGCAACAAGAGAGAAACTCCATCTCAAAAAAGAAAAAAAGAAAAGAAAATCCATTAGTTAGAATTGAAGGCTTGAGTGAAAAAAATGTAGTGAGTTATGTCTTATGCTGGAATCAGCAGTTTGGATCTCTTGTACTGTTGAGCAAAAAGGCCATTAAAGAAATGGAGCACAGTAAGGCTGGCAAGAAAGCGCTGCCCCGCAGGGCTTCATTATAATGAGGCCACGAGGGGCTTCTGGCTGAGATGAAAGATCTTGATGTCATGGATCCAGCATAACTCAGTCCTTCATGCCTTCTGGTGTGGACTCTACTCAAGCCCAGTCTTCGAAACTGACTATGTTTACAACCTTTCCCCAATGAGGGCATGATCTCCTTATTCTTTCTGACTTTTTATGATGGAAAGTTTCAAACATACACAAAATTTGAAAGAAGAGAATCATGAACACCTTAGAATAACGGACAATTAATATCTTACCACTTGCTTTATTTCTCTGTCTCTGTCTCTCTCTCTTCCTCAATTTCCTCCTTGGCTTCCTTGATACCCCTCCCTCCGAGAGCACACGCCTCTCTGCTGCTCCTACTTGGACAGTTCTCTGTCCTCCTCTTGAAGGCAAGGTTTCCTGCAAGCCCACTTCTCTCCTGACTCTAGGAAGTCAGTTCCCTAGGACAGGGATCCCCAACCTCTGGGCCACAGACCCGTATTGGTCCATAGTTTGTTAGGAACTGGGCCACACAGCAGGAGGTGAGCAGTGGGTGAATGAGGAAAGCTTCCTCTGAATTTACAGCCACTCCTTATTGCTCGCATTACCATGAGCTCCGCCTCCTGTCAGATCAGCGGTGGCATTAGATTTTCTTAGGAGTGCAAACCCTATTGTGAACTGCGCATTTGAGGGATCTAGATTGAGCACTCCATATTAGAATCTAATGCTCGATGATCTATCGCTGTCTCCCATCAAGCCCAGATGGGACCGTCTAGTTGCAGGAAAACAAGCTCACTGCTCCCACTGATTCTACATTATGGTGAGTTGTAAAATTATTTCATTATATATTTCATTATATATTACAATGTAATAATAACAGAAATAAATGTAATATGCTTTAATCATCCCAAATCCACTATCCCCACCCGGTCCGTGGAAAAATTGTCTTCCACAAAACCAGTCCCTGGTGCCAAAAAGGTTGGGGACCACTGCCCTAGAACAATCTCCCTACAACCCACGGCTTCAGCCACTGTGCGTGTAGCTTACATTCTGTGCTTTTATTTATCAGACCTCTCCACTGAGCTTGAGACCTGTAGATCCAGCTGCAGTTAGATACCCCAGAGGGACCTCAGACTGAGCATGTCCCTCAGAGCCCACCTGGCCCACCCAAGTCTGTTTCTCCCCCTAGACGTCCTATTTCAGGAATGGCTCCATCCAGTTGCTCCACCAGAAACCTGGGGAGCCTGCTGGGTTTCACCCTCTTCCCTCCACCTGCTGCTTCCAAGTGCTCCGTCCAGTTTTCTGCCTGAAGTATCCTTTTCATTCACCTCCTTCTAATTCCATTGCTAATGTATAAGCTCAGCTATCTTGCTTTTCCTGTACCTCAGCAGCCCTAACTTTACTTCTAGCCTCTGGCCATTTGTCACCCTCACTGGGATTACTGTAATACCGCTGAGGTCGTGTCATTCTGCTTCTTGTTTTTCTTTTTCTTTGAGATGGAGTCTCACTCTGTCATCCAGTCTGGAGTGCAGTGGTGCGAACTCAGCTCATGGCAACCACCTCCCAGGTTCAAATGATTCTCCTGCCTCAGCCACCTGAGTAGCTGGGATTACAGGCATGTGCCATGCCCGGCTAATTTTTTTTTTTCTTTTTTTTAAGACAGAGTCTTGCTCTGTCGCCCAGGCTGGAGTGCAGTGGTGTGATCTCGGCTCACTGCAACCTCTGCCTCTCAGGTTCAAGCGATTCTGTTCACCTCAGCCTCCGGAGTAGCTGGGACTACAGGCACCCGCCACCACACCCGGCTAATTTTTTGTATTTTTAGTAGAGATGGGGTTTCACTGTTAGCCAGGATGGTCTCAATCTCCTGACCTCGTGGTCCGCCTGCCTCGGCCTCCCAAAGTGCTGGGATTACAGGCGTGAGCCACCGTGCCCTGCCTCTGGCTTTCTTACTGACGCAATGTTCCACCATCTGGCATGCACCCTTTCCTGCATCTTAGGTCTAGGTAAATTAAAGACATCTTTAAAGCCCCAGCCCAAATGCCTTCTCTTCCACAAAAGTATCCCTGCCAGCCTGGGCAACACAGTGAGACCCTGACTCTACTAAATAAATAAATAAATAGTTGGGCACGGTGGCATGCACTTGGGGTCCTAGCTACCGGGGGGGCGGGGGGGGGAGCTGAGGGCTGAGGCAGGAAGATCACTTGACCCAGGAGGTCAAGGCTGCAGTGAACTGTGATCCCACTTCTGCACTCCACCCTGGGTGACAGAGCGAGACTCTGCCTCAAAAAAGAAAAAGAAACAGCTGGGCACAGTGGCTCACGCCTGTAATCCTAGCACTTTGCGGGGCCGAGGCGGGTGGATCACCTGAAGTCAGGAGTTCAAGACCAGCCTGGCCAACATGGAGAAACCTTGTCTCTACTAAAGAATACAAAAATTAGCCGGGCGTGGAGGCATGCACCTGTAATCCCAGCTACCCCAGAGGCTGAGGCAGGGGAATCGCTTGAACCCAGGAGGCGGAGGTTGTAGTGAGCCGAGATCGCACCACTGCACCCCAGCCTGGGCGAGACAGATTGAGACCCTGTCTCAAAAAAAAAAAAAAAAGAGAAAGAAAAAGAAAAAAAGTGTCCCTGATTGCACGTAGATGGAAGGAATTGCCTTTCTCTGAAGGGTTGGAGCATTTTATCTAGTCCCCTCGAATGGTATCTTGGCTTAAGTACTTATGCACCTGTGTCTTCTCCCCTGCTGGACTGGAAGCATCTTAAATTCAACTCCATAAGTGGATCATTTTCTTATCACCCAAAGTGTCCAGCACATGGGTGACATAGTAGACATTTAACAAATTCAGTTAAATTCTACAAACATTTTTTGAGCACTTATACTTGATGGGTATATACCCATCAAGCTACTAGACTGAGGATTCAGAGGCAAATGAGACAAATACAGTGATCTCTGACTTCCGGGAGCTTACAGTCTAATCTAGAAGTCAGACTGGAAGACAAATAGTTACACATGTGATGACCGAGATCAATGCAGTAGGTGAACTCTTGTAAAGCAAGGGGAGGCATAGTCTTTGCAGGTCAAATGCAGGGCTGATCTTCTGCCTCTAAATGTTTATTAAGTTTTTTCTTCATATAAAAGTAACCAATGCTCTTTGTAGAAAATTTAGAAAACAGAGAAGTATAAAGAAGACAAAATATTTTGTGATTCCCATCACTCAGAAAAGCTAACATTTTGCCATATTTACTTTTAATCTCTTTGCTAACTTTGTGGAGTGACTGAAGTCTCAGATTCTTTGAACAGCCTTATTGAGATATAATTCATATGCTATAAAACTGGAGAGCCAGTCTCCATACTGGCAGGGTGGCATTCTCTCCACTCCTCCACAGTCAGATTCTCATCACAATTTGATTGAGATTTGAATTAGATTGAATCTGATGGGCACTCAAAGAGCTTAACAGGAGCATCTGTGTAGCAATGTCGAGTTCACAGCACAGTGGAGTGGAGGAGCTAAGAATCTATGAACAATAATAGCTTCAAAATAAGGTACAGAGGTCAGGCGAGGTGGCTCATGCCTACAATCCCAGCACTTCGGGAGACTGAGGTGGGCAGATTGTTTGAGCTCAGGAGTTAGAGACCAGCCTGGGCAATATAGCGAGACCTCATCTCTACAAAAAAAAAAAAAAAATTTGCCAGATGTGGTGGTGCGTAACTGTGGTCCCAGCTACTTGAGAGGCTGAGGTGGGAGGATCACTTAAACCTGGGAAGTCAAAGCGAAAGTGGCCTATGACTGTGCCACTGCACTCCAGCCTGGGTGGCAGAGTGAGACCCTATCTCAATAAATAATAGTAATAATAATAATAGCAGTAATGTGGAATGATTTAAGTTCCCTGAAAAAGCAGTAACATGGGATAAGTACTCAGAGAAAGAACTGCTTCTAGCCCAGGATGCATAGCAATTGGGATATCCTCCCTTGAACTGGGTCTTGAAGGATGAGTAGGATTTGCCATGTGGCAAACAGAACCAGACAGAAGAGGTGAGAGGTGTGGGGCAAAGAAGCCATCTAGTTTAGCTAGAGTGGAGGAAGCTGGAAGGGAAGGCCGGTTAGAAAAAGGCTGATGCAGCTGGGCACGGTGGCTCACACCTGTCATCTCAGCACTTTGGGAGGCTGAGGCGGGCGGATTACAAGGTCAGGCGTTCAAGACCAGCCTGGCCAACATGGTGAAACCCTGTCTCTACTAAAAATACAAAATTAGCCAGGTGCACCTGTAATCCCAGCTACCTGGGAGGCTAAGGTAAGAGAATTGCTTGAATTTTTGGGGGTTGCAGTGAGCCGAGATTGGGCCACTGCACTCCAGCCTGGGTGAGACTCCATCTCAAAAAATAAAAAATAAATCTTGGAGGGTTGAGGTAGGGGGTTACATATAGACCACTTTAGGGGTGACCGACTAGTCTAATCGAGATGACACTGGCTTGTATCACGGAGGGACAGTGGGAATGGAGAGAAACTGATTCAATATTTATTTTAAAGGCATAGCAAACAATAAAGGAAAAAGTTTATTCTCATATTTCTAGCTTGAGCAGCTGGTGGGACAGTAATCCCATTTACTAAGATGAGAACACTAGATGAAGAGTAGGTAATGGGGGGAAATTATGAGTTCAGTTTTAAACACATTTGAGGTGCCTGCTTTGCAGACATGTCCAGGAGTCTGCTGGACATACAGAACTGAATGTGGACAGAAGGAATTCAGACACAGGTCTGATGGCAACTAAAGTCAATAAGCTCACATGTGGCTTGTAGCTAGAAAGGGGAGTAGAAAGCTGTATAGATTTAAAAGTATAGTTTAGTTCATTTGGAAAATGAAAAGAATATAGATTGATTTTAAATGCTGCTTAAATGCGTGTGGTGGTTCACACCTGTTGTAATCCTAGCACTTCGGGAGGCCAAGGCTGGAGGATCGCTTGAGCCCAGGAGTTCGAGACCAGCCTGGCAACATAGTGAGACTCTGTCTCTACAAAAAAAAAATAAAACATAATGCTGTGTTCACGTAGTTTTATTTAGAATGGACAGTGACAGAAAAACATGCTAATCTTATCTGCCCATTTCTATTTTAGTAGGTCCTAATTTCAGAGCAAAGATTGACAGGATAAAAGCAATAGTTAACAAAGATTGGCCCACTTACATAATGAATGAAAACTGACCTCTAAGTTATATGCTGAATATGTCTTGGTTCCTCAGGTGGACCATAAATTCATGTATAAGAACCTTTTTTTTGGCCGGACACGGTGGCTCATGCCTGTAATCCCAGCACTTTGGGAGGCAGAGGCAGGCAGATCACGAGGTCAGGAGATCGAGACCATCCTGGCTAACATGGTGAAATCCCATCTCTACTAAAAATACACAAAATTAGGTGGGCGTGATGGCGGGCGCCTGTAGTCCCAGCTACTCAGGAGGCTGAGGCAGGAGAATGGCGTGAACCCGGGAGGTGGAGCTTGCAGTGAGCTGAGATCACGTCACTGTACTCCAGCCTGGGCGACAGAGCCAGCCTCCATCTCAAAAAAAAAAAAAAAAAAAATCTTTTTTATTATATGCTTCACTAACCTATACAAATAACATATTTTTAAGCACTTATTAAATAAAAGCAATAATGGAAAACTTAATTTCTATAAATTGCTAACATTACAATTAAAACCTCTGCATACTATAAACTGTGTGAAAATTTTACATGGCTTTAAAACTATCATGAGGAGTCCACATGTAATCTACCACAAAAGTACAGTTAAACTGAAATTACTTTAATCTCATTTTCATAAAAGATGTAAAATCTTTCAGATTTGTCAAAATTGTTGACACAGAACACTTAATTATCACTATGTTTAAAGTTTCCTACTTGACTTTACATAGAAAAATACTCAAGATATCACAGCATGGAAAAAGATAATCCTATTTGCCTGAAATCATCTTTAAAATCTGTGCACTTTATTATGCATCAAAAAAGGCAATTTGAATGACGACTATAGCTTTTAAAGCAAATAAACTTAAATGAACAGTTTTATTGACAAATATAACTTGAGTAAAGAATTTTACTGTTCCACTAAGAAAAACAGAATATTTGATTTCCTCGACAATGTATCAAAAATTCACCCACAGGTATTTGTCATCTGAGTCATGTGATTTCAAAGGTTTGCATTTATGTAACTATCAAATAGTATATATTTTGCTTCCCTGAATGCTGTTTCATATATTGATACTGATATATCAGGAAACAGAACTTTTCTGAAAGGCCACTTAGTTGAGATTTTCTTAAAACGCCTTTATTTCAAAATTTTAAAGACTTTTTTTTTTTTTTTTTTGAGACGGAGTCTCGCTCTGTCGCCCAGGCTGGAGTGCAGGGGCGCAAACTCGGCTCACTGCAAGCTCCACCTCCCGGGTTCACACCATTCTCCTGCTTCAGCCTCCCGAGTAGCTGGAACTACAGGCACGTGCCACCACGCCTGGCTAATTTTTTTGTGTGTTTTTAGTAGAGATGGGATTTCACCATGTTAGGCAGGATGGTCTCAAACTCCTGACCTTGTGATCTGCCCGCCTCAGCCTCCCGAAGTGCTGGGATTACAGGCGTGAGCCACCGTGCCCGGCCTAAAGATTTCATAAATACTCACTGCAGATATAACAAAAACCATTACAGTATCTTTCTCCTCGAGTTATAAGCATTGGTTTTAACAGCTAAAACAATGCAAGTTGCAGATTTCTCAAGAAGATGGTTTGAAAACTCTATAGACTACAGTATAAAATAAGGTATTGAAAATACTCTCATAAAATACGTTCTGAAAAAAATTCCAGGTTCTACCTCCTAAGAGCCATAGGATCTTGGGCAAATCAAGGGCAAATTATTTAACCTCTTTGAGATTTAGTCTCTTCATCTATAAAATGCAGACAAAAATAGTGCCTGCAAGGCAGGGCATGGTGACCCAGGCCTGTAATCCTATCACTTTGGGAGGCTGCGGTGGGAGGATTGCTTGAACCCAGGAGTTCGAGACCAGCCTGGCCAACACAGTGAGACCTCTACAAAATAAAAAATAAAAAAATCAGCTGGGCGTGGTGGCACATGCCTGTAGTCCCAGCTCCTAGGGGGGCTGAGGTGAGAGGACAGCCTGAGCCTGGGAGATTGAGGCTGCAGTGAGCCATGATCATGCCACTGCACTCTAGCCTGGGCGACAGTGAGACCCTGTCTCCAAAAGTGATTAATTAAAAGTAAAATAAAATTTAAAAATATAGTACCTGCGTTATTGGGCTGTTGGGAGGTTTAATTTTAAAATACATAAAATGCTTAGGACACTGTGAGGCATGCATGAAGTGCTCACTAAATGTTGCTCTTGGCTGTTACTAACTTATCACAACTACTTCTTTTTACAGGTCTCTGAAACTAAGACCTATACCACTGATTACTGTGTAATGAGCCTTACAGATGTCAAGGTTTTTCTGTATGTGGACAAGACACCTTTGGTCTGTATCTGGCCAAAAAGGGCAGCACAGGGAAAGAAAGAGGCAGTGAGAGTGAATATCCAAAGGGTAAGGACAAGCAGCACAGAAAGGAAGGCACAGGAATGGGAGAATTGGAGCATGGACTAAATTTCACTTACTTCCTAATTTGTTCCCAGCCATCCTGATGACTATGAGCTCCTTTCAAGAGGGCACTTGAGATTGCGTGAATGTGACCTGCTATAACTGCTGAATGTCTATACAGAGTACAAGCACCGGGCTCCCTGACAGGCAGCCATCACTGAATTTCCACTTACAATGACAACACAGCAGTAAACTTTTTTTTTTGGAGACAGACAGAGTCTCACTCCATCACCCAGGCTGGAGTACAGTGGCTCCATCTCGGCTCATTGCAACCTCCGCCTCCTAGGTTCAAGCGATTCCTGTGCCTCAGCTTCCTGAGAGCAGTAAACTTTAAACTTTAAAAATGTGGTTACAGTTATTTCACCATTTGGAATGACCTTGCTGACAAAGGTTTCCATGTTACCACCTCAACAGTGAAATGTTAAAACAAAGACAAAAGCAAAAAATGGCACAATGAATACCATGACCAGATGTTTGGGAGGTAAGGGAGCAAGAAAAGAAAAAAGTTACACATATTTTACACATATTTCTTAAAATATCTGATCCAAACCAAAAGACATAGAATATACATTTAAAACCTTATGTATTGTTTCTCTTAGCAGTTTCTGGGTTAAGGTGACAGATTTCATTTTGCTCCCTCCTGAAACCTTCTTAAAACCATACTAAAGAAATATTGTTAGTCTGGACGCAGTGGCTCACGCCTATAATCCCAGCACTTTGAGAGGCCGAGGAGGGCAGATGGCTTGAGCTCACAAGTTCGAGACCAGCCTGAGTAACATGGTGAAACCCTGTCTCTACAAAAAATGCAAAAATTAGCCGGGCGTGGTGTCACACACCTGTAGTCCCAGCTATTTGCGGGACTGAAGCAGGAGGACTGCTTGAGCCCAGGAGGTCGAAGCTACAGTTAGCCAAGATAGCGCCACTGCAGTTCAGAGCTTGGGTGACAAAGTGAGACCCTGTCAAAAAAAAAAAAATTGTTAAAGACTAACTCATAAGGATAAAGTAGGAGACACACAATTAAAAAAAAAATTCTGAAAGTAGATGAACAAGTGATTACTGCCTCAGCAGACTCAAGAAAGTCTGATCTCCAACTAAAAAGGAAGGTGAAGTTGAGAACACAATCCTCAAAACGCAATGATAACAAGGAGGGGTGTCTCTAGAATAGGGAACTGGCTGGAGCAGATTCCTAAACCATCTCTCTCCCCTTCAAGCTGCCAAAGGTCTAGTCTCTAGAGGAGGTAAACTGAGGTTCCCTGGACTGGGAGAAACCACGCTCAGTTGTGAAGAAAGGTACTGTACAGAAAACTGAGGATTTAAGTGACGATATACATAGTAAATGCTGTGTGCACAATAAATGAAGCTTTCTTCCACCACTCAGCCACCAGAATACCACCAGCAAGACCTCCATGCTTCAAGCAGGACACAGGAAAAGGCCTTTCCATGCCATCGCTCCTCTAGAGCTTACTCTCGAGGACAGACCTCAAGATACTGACAAGAGGGATTTCCCCCAATAAAAGAGACAATGAAAATCATCCAATGGTTAAGTCAAAATTGATAAGGCCCACCCACTTGCTCAGAGCTTCCAACTGGCTACAGAGTACCACGATGTTAATGAGAAGCAGAAAATTAAGAATTAATAAACATCTGAGGAAGAAATAAAAAAAAAAAAGAATAGGAAGCAGCAACTTAGAAGAAACAGACCATGCACAGAGGAGAAAAAAAAAAACCTGTCATTAATAGCCTCAGAAAAGTAAGAGAAAATACTATATCCAGGACACAGAAACAGGATTTTACTAATTTTTTTAAAGGAAGATTCTAAAAACAAAAGAGCTCTTAGATAATAAAAATATGGTAGCAGAAAGGAAAAACTGGATAGTAGGGTTGGACGACCAAGATAAGGAAATCTTAAAAACCTGAACACATACAAATACCCCAAAAAGAAAAAGAGACAAAGAGGAAAACTGGAGAGAAATGATAAGAATGTCAGAAGACCAAAATAGGAAGTCCAACGTTCAATAAAATCATAGCTCAAGATAAATACAAGAGGGAAAAGAGGAAGTTGTCAGGAGAAGTTCTCAGAATCAAACACAATTGCCAGATTGAAAACGCCCACCAAAAATACCTCGTGGATGAAAGTGGCCCACACAAGGGCGTATCACTGTAAAACTGCAGAACACCATAGACAGCGAAGATTCCGTAAGCTTCCAGCCACAAAGAATCAAGAATCAGTGTGGATTCAGACCTCTCGACAGCACATTGATAAAGTTTCTACTCTCCTTTCCATTCCCTGCTCTGACACTCATTTCATCCTACCAGATTTTTTCATGTGACCTAATTCTAAGAACTGGAAGAGGGCTTTGAAGACTTCAGAAGCTGAAGACGCAAAGTAGCCCATCCCTCTGCCCAGTTTGTTTTATTCTCCCCATTTTGGTTATTATGATTTTTTAAATCCTTTCATTCTTTTCACTCAGAAAGAGGCAAGTAATTGATTTCCTTATGAAGAGGCCAGGCAGTCCATTTTTCATGGCGTTCAGCGTGCACAGCAAATCTAAAACCATTGTCTGGCAAATGCAGCTTGCAGCCGCAATCATTTTTTTCACCAGGTAAGCCGGCTGGCGTATGTTTTTAAAATTTTATTGTTAAGTATTGTCTTTTACTGGTTAAATCAATGATAACATTCTTTACTTTGTGGTTGTGTTACTCAAAACGAGGATTTTTAACAATGATAAAAAATAAAGCTTGTTAGATCATTTTTAATGGTAATGAATTGGTTCCTGAAGATTTGATTAAAGAGAACTAGGCCAATCTAAGCAGAGTCCAAATGAGGTAGAAAGTCCATAGAGAACAGGAAAAAAGGAAGTTGTGGAACCACAGACACAGTAAAAGGAAAAAATTGGCCAGGTGCGATGGCTCACTCCTGTAATCCCAGCACTTTGGGAGGCTGAGGTCGGTGGATTGCTTGAACCCAGGAGTTTAGGCAACATGACAAAACCCCCATCTCTACAAAAAATACACAAACAAAAGACATTAGCCAGGTGTGGTGGTGTGCACCTGTATAATCCTAGCTACTTGGTAGGCTGAGGTGGGAGTATCGCTTGAACCTAGGAGGTGGAGGTGGCAGTTAGCTGAGATTGAGCCGTTGCACCCCAACCTGGATGACAGGGTGAAAGAGACCCTGAAAAAAGAAAGAAAAGAAAAAAAATTATTTAATTAAATTATTTATTTTTGTGACAAGGTCTCTTTCTGTCTCCCAAGCTGGAGTGCAATGGCATAATCATAGCTCACTGCAGCCTCAAACTCCTGGGCTCAAGGCATCCTCCTGCCTTAGCCTCCCAAAGTGTTGGGATCACAGGCATAAGCCACTTCAAGGGTAGATTTTTTTTTCTTCTTTGAAACAAGATTTGGTTCTGTCACCCAGGCTGGAGTGCAGTGGTATATTCTTGGCTCACTGCAACCTCTGCCTCCTGGGCTCAAGCAATCCTCTTGCCTCAGCTTCTCAAGTAGCTGGAACTACAGGCACGTGCCACCATGCCTAGCTAATTTTTGTATTTTTTGTAGAAAAGGGGGTGTCGATATGTTGCCCAGGCTGGTCTTGAATTACTGGGTTAAAGTGATCCACCCACCTTGGCCTCCCAAAGTGCTGGGATTACAGGTGTGGGTCACCACACCTGGCCAAAAACATGTTAAGTTTTAAAATCAAAAGAAAATCAGCAAGCCATTTTGCATATTTTTCTGGAGATATATAAATACAGATATATATAGATAGAGATAAAGATATACAGATAGATCTGGACTGGAAACCTTATGATAATATAGTATCAGTTGGGTATAACTTAAAAGGACAAAGGGAACTGATTAAAAAAGACTCAAGGCATATATATATACATACACACACATATATACATATACATATATATACATGTACATATATACATATACATACACATACATATATACATATACACATATATACATATACATATATACATATACACATATATACATATACATATATACATATACACATATATACATATACATATATATACATATACATATATACATATATATACATATACATATGTTTTCCCAATTCTTCATACCACTTTTTATTTTTATTGAGATATAATTAATTTATACACCATAAATTCACCCTTTTAAATAAGTGCACAATTTAGTGGGTTTTAGTATAGTATTCACAAGGTTGTAAAACCATCACCACTATTTAATTCCAAAACATTTTTTCTTTTTTTTTTTTTTAAGACGGAATCTTGCTTTGTTGCCCAGGCTGGAGTGCAGTGGTGTAATCTTGGCTCACTGCAATCTCCACCTCCCAGGTTCACACCATTCTCCTGCCTCAGCCTCCCGAGTTGCTGGGACTACAGATGCCCGCCACCACGCCCAGCTAATTTTTTTGCATTTTTAGTAGAAACGGGGTTTCACTGTGTTAGCCAGGATGGTCTCGATCTCCTGACCTCATGATCCTACCGCATCGGCCTCCCAAAGCGCTGGGATTACAGGCGTGAGCCACCGTGCCCGGCCAATTCCAGAACATTTTCATCACCCCAGAAAGAAGCCCCAGAATCACTGGCCCTACTCAACCATTTCCCCTCCCATTTCCTGGCAAGTATTTACTTACTTCCTGTGAATTTGCCCATTTGGGACATTCCATATAAACGAAATCATACAATACGTGATTTCACTAAACAAGATTTTTGTGTGTGGCTTCTTTCAAATAATTTTTGAAAATTGTGGTAAAGTATGCATAACATAAAATTTACACTCTAACCACCTCCCCCCCCCCCTTTTTTTTTGAGACAGGGTCTCACTCTGTCTTTCAGGCTGGAGTGCAATGGTGTAAACACAGCTCAGTGCAGCCTCAACCTCCTTGGGCTCAGGTGATCCTCCTACCTCAGTCTCACAAGTAACTAGGACCACAGGCACACACCACCACACCTGGCTAATTTTTGCATTGTTTGTAGAGACAGGATTTCTCTATGTTGCCCAGGCTGATCTTGAACTCCTGGACTCAAGTGATCCTCCCACCGTGGCCCCCCAAAGTGCTGGAATTACAGGCATGAGCTACCACACCTGGTTGTCTCTAACCATTTTTAAGTGTACAATTCAGTAGAGTTAAGTATATTCACATTGTTGTACAACCAATCTCCAGAACTTTTTCATCTTCCCAAATGGAAACTCGTACCTATTAAGCACTAACTCCCCATTCTCTCCTTCTCCCAGCCTACAGTAATCACCCTTCTACTTTCTGTCTTTACCAATTTGAACACTCTAAGTACCTCATGAGTGGAATCACACAGTATTTGTCCTTTGGTGACTGGCTTATTTCGCTTAGCATAATGCCCTCAAGGGTTCTCCATGTTGTAACATGTCGGAATTTCCTTCCAAGGCTGAATAATGTATCTGTTATATGGATCAATCACATTTGGGTTATCCATTCATCAGTTAATGCACATGTAGGCTGTTTCCACCTTTTGGTCATTGAGAATAATGCTGCTGTATACATATGTGTATACGTTTTTGCATGACCATTTGTTTGCAATTCTTTTTTGACTATATATGTATGAATAGAATTACCGGGTCATATAGTAGCTCTAAGTTTAACTTTTTGAGTAACTGCCAAAGCATTTTCCAGTGTTACATGGTTTTACATTCTCTCTAACAATACATAATGGTTCCAATTTCCCCAAATCCTCCCCAACACTTTTTATTTTTATTTTTTTTAAACATTACAGCCCTGCTAGTGAATGTGAAGTGGTATCTCATTGTGGTTTGGGTTTTAATTTTATAATATTTTAATTTTTAAAATCAAAAGAATATACTGGGGCTGGGGTGGTGGCTCAAGCCTGTAATCCCAGCATTTTGGGGGGCCAAAGGGGGTGGATCACCTGAGTTTATGAGTTCAAGACCAGCCTGGCCAACATGGTGAAACCTCATCTCTACTAAACATACAAAACTTAGCCGGGTATGGTGGCAGGCACCTGTAATCCCAGCTTCTCAGGAGGCTGAAACAGGAGAATCACTTGATCCGGGAGGTGGAGGTTGCCATGAGTCAGAATCACGTCACTGCACTCCAGCCTGAGAGGAGACTCTGTATAAAAAAAAAAAAAAATATATATATATATATATATATACATATACACACACACACACACACACACACCCACAATTATTTTCTTCTATAATATTATTTTACAAAAGAAGTCCATCACTAACACACGCTTGCATGCAAAATACAAGACACATCTAAAGGCCGGGCATAGTGGCTCACGCCTGTAATCCCAACACTTTGGGAGGCAGAGGCAGGCGGATCACTTGAGGTCAGCAATTTGAGACCAGCCTGGCCAACATAGTGAAACCCCATCTCTACTAAAAACACAAAAATTAGCCGGGCATGCTGATGGGCGCCTGTAATCCCAGCTGCTGGGGAGGCTGAGGCAGGAGAATCGCTTAAGCACAGGAGGTGGAGGTTGCAGTGAGCCAAGATCGCGCCATTGCACTCCAGCCTAGGCGACAGAGCAAGACTCCATCAAAAAAAAAAAAAAAAGTACTAAAATTAAGTTGGCAAAAATTTACATGTAGTCCTTTCTACATATAAGACATAAATATCTGACACTGAATTCATTCCTTTTATTCTCCATACAGCCTCCCCGGACAAGTCTGGCAACGATTCTGACCATCCGGCAAAACAAATTACCTTTTTCCAGTTTATGTTAGTGTCCAGCATTGGTGGGTTCCTGGTCTCACTAACTTCAAGAATGAAGCCGCAGACCCTCGCGCTGAGTGTCACAGTTCTTAAAGGCGGCGTGTCCGGAGTTTGTTCCTTCTGGTGCTCGGATGTGTTTGGAGTTTCTTCCTTCTGGTGGGTTCGTGGTCTCGCTGGCTTCAGGAGTGAAGCTGCAGACCTTGACCTTCCAGGTGAGTGTTACCGCTCTTAAGGCGACGTGTCTGGAGTTGTTTGTTCCTCCTGGTTGGTTCGTGGTCTCGCTGGCTTTAGGAGTGAAGCTGCAGACCGTCGCGGTGAGTATTACAGCTCGTAAAGGCAGTGTGGACCCAAAGAGTGAGCAGCAGCAAAATTCACCACAAAGAGCGAAAGAACAAAGCTTCCACAATGTGGAATGGGACCTGAATGGGTTGCCACTGCTGGCTGGGGCAGCCTGCTTTTATTCTTATCAGGCCCCACTCAAAATCCTGCTGATTGGTCCATTTTACAGAGAGCCGAGTGGTCTCTTTTGACAGGGCGCTGACTGGTGCCTTTACAATCCCTGAGCTAAACACAAAGGTTCTCCACCTCCCCACTAGATTAGCTAGATACAGATTGTCGATTGGTGCATTCACAAACCCTGAGCTACACACAGGGTGCTGATTGGTGCATTTATAAACCTTGAGCTAGATACAGAGTGCCGATTGGTGTATTTACAATCCCTTAGATAGACATAAAGGTTCTTCAAGTCCCCCACCAGAGTCAGGAGCCCAGCTGGCTTCACCCAGTGGATCCCGCACTGGGGCCGCAGGTGGAGCTGCCTGCCAGTCCCGCGCCCTGTGCCCGCACTTCTCAGCCCTAGGGTGGTCGATGGGACTGGGCGCCGTGGGGCAGGGGGCGGTGCTCGTCAGGGAGGCTCAGGCCACACAGGAGCCCACGGGGGCAGGGGAGGCTCAGGCATGGCGGGCTGCAGGTCCCAAGTGCTGCCCCGTGGGAAGGCAGCTAAGGCCCTGCGAGAAATTGAGCACAGCAGCTGCTGGCCCAGGTGCTAAGCCTCTCACTGCCCATGGCCGGCGGGGCCTGCCGGCTGCTCCAAGTGCGTGCCCACCGAGCCCACACCCACTGGGAACTCACGCTGGCCCGCAAGCACCGCTCGCAGCCCCGGTTCCCGCCTGCGCCTCTCCCTCCACACCTCCCCCGCAAGCTGAGGGAGCCGGCTCCAGCCTTGGCCAGCCCAGAAAGGGGCTCCCACAGTACAGTGGCGGGCTGAAGGGCTCCTCAAGCGCGCCCAGAGTGGGCGCCAAGGCCGAGGAGGCGCCGACAGCCAGGGAGGGCTATGAGGGCTGCCAGCACGGTGTCACCTCTCATTAGGACAACCTACGTAGGTTTATATTTGGCTCAAGATAATACTACTCTACTTCTCCAGTAAGTAAGCATTTATGAAAAATCAGAAACTTTTCAAGTTAACCACTTCTACTACAGCAGTCTCTCTGAGAAAGACATGACACACCTTACTTCAAGGAAAAAAGGGTCCTTTTTCCTCACAAGTATTTTCTCATAAACTTTATTTTTTTAATGCTTTTAAAAACAGATTCTAATTTAATTAATCTAGATTTGCAAAATTATAAAGGAAAAGTCTTGCCGGTTGTTGCTTCGGTTACGTTAATTTCACAATTTAGTAAATTCCAACTACGTATTTAATACAAAGCAGCCTTTGTGGGGGGGGGGTATTTAACAAAATGCATCTTAGCAACAGTCTAGAGAAACTTTTCTGTGTGAAAACAGAAGAGGGGTTACCATGGAGAAATTCATTACGGATTTCGGGAAGGCTTTTTCCTCAGAAATAGAGTGAAAACAAAAAAGTCGTTGTGTAATAAATCTGATAATGATGCTGTGTGACTTAGAAGTTGGTCCAAAAGTTTATCTTCAGCAATTATGTCTAGATGATCAACTACATATCTTCTGCAACAGGTGACACGAAACTGCATTTCCCAAGCAAGGCAAAGCGATCAAATGAGCTAAGATGCGCGTTCCTGCGGTTTTGTACTTTCATTTTTGATTTAACCAAAAACAATTTTGAATCGAATGAATAACCAAAGTTGGGTGGGTCTTGTTTGGCTTTCTGCTTTGCTTTTTAATCAGCCATTTACCAGCAACTGTTGCACAGGCCCATTAGCACTCGAAGAATAAAAGCAAACATACAGGACCAGATAAAATTCCCCTACTAACCCAAATGATCCATTTCCTTAACACAATTTTAAAACCACAGCTAGGGATGTGAAAACAGACATGTTTTTGTGTGTGTTTGTGTGCCACAATCTGTCCAAACCCTTAATTCCCTTTTAAGTAACATATCTAATAAAAATCTGAAAGAAACCACATTAGAAATGCAAAGAGGTTTGTAAAACAAGAGGCTTCTTTCATTCCAGAAAACCAGACCAAAACAAGGGGAAAGAAATGAATGCAATGGATACGTGTTTGCCAAAGTTTCAATCCTGCCCGGTGGAGACACTGCACTGGCACAAATTTTGAAGAGGAAAAAGAGGAGGTTGGGGGGGAGAGAGAGAGCGAGCGAGTGTAGCCTGCAAACTGCAACAATGCAATCTCCATTTTTAACAATGCGCCTCTTTCCTCTTGTAAATCTAGTTTTTTGCCACTTGATGTGCCCTCGCATTTCCCCTCTGTTTGGGGGGGAGGCGGGGTTGGGGGGAGATCGGAGCAGGATGCACAGCACACGAGTGAGCAAGGGGGGAGGGCAGAGGAGGTGGGGAAGGAGTCTGCAGCAACTGGGCTGGGTGGGTACCTGGAGTGCTGCTGTAGGTACTATGGCTCCTGAAGCTGCTTTCTGTGCAGTAACTGGCGTCGTCGTCGTCTTCCAGCTCCTCCAGATAATCGGAATCAGCCTCGTCCTCCTCCATCTCATGCTCCTCGTTGTCCTCAGACTCCTGGGTCTCCTCGACGTCGCCGTCCTCTTCCTCCTAGCTCCCGTGGTCATCGTACACCACTTTGTTCACGGCCCTCCGGGCCGCGGTGGTCCGGGCCAGGTGGCCGCCGCCGCCGCCGCCGCCCCCGCCTCCTCGCCCCTTCCACCCGGGCGCTGGTGCTTGGGGGACCAGCGGCGGCTTCCTCCGGCTACTGCTGCTCCCCCCTGGGCGAGCTCAGCCACGGCTTGGAGGCTGCCTCAACCTAGGCGGCGGCGGCGGCCCACCTGCCCCTGCTGCTCGCGGTGCCGCGAGCTGAGCCCCCCGATGGGTCCGGACTTGGGCGGCGGCGGCGGCGGGGCCGGGGCAGGGGCCGGGGCAGGGGCCGGGGCGCAGCGCTCCGCAGCGGAAGCCGCAGGCTGCTTGGGCTGCCTGCCCCGCCTGCCCCTAATGTCGGAGCCGAGGACGGGGGAGAAGGGAAAGCGGAGGAGGAGGGACGGGCGCGGGTGGGGAGGCCTGCGAGGCCGCGCGGGAGGGCCCCGGTCGGCAGAAGCGGGTGGAGGGAAAAGGCTCATTCCGAATTGCTGGGGCCCCACTCAGGATCGGCTTCAGCCGCCCTCTTGTTTCATCCCTCTCCCGCAGCGCGGTCACGTGAGATGCGCCACAGAAGAGCCTGAGACCGAGTGAGGCGGCGCGGCAGCCGCTAGGGGGAGCGCGGGGGCGTCGAGTCGGGAGCGCGGAGCCCGGAGCGCCTGGGCTCGGCGCAGCGCGGTGCGCCTGGACTCGGGGCGCGGATGGCGCGGCTGAGAGGGGCGCGTAGCTCGCGAAATGCCCGGCGTCAAAGGCCTTCGGAGACCAGTCTCCGCGGACCCCTGGCTGGAGCCCAAAGCCGGCCAGACCTCCTCCCCGCGTCTCCCCTTCCGCGGCTCGGAGAGGAAGGCAGGGGAGCCCCCAAATATCATTCCCCTCCCGCCCCCTAGGGAAACTGATGCTGAAAGAGCCAGCGAGAGAAAGAAAAAAAAAAGTCGCTGAGGGGGGCGGCCCGAGCGACCGAAGGCACCGGACAGCGCCAGCGACGGAGGGAAACTTGGGGCGGGGGGGGGACAGGGAGACAAGCCCCCAGAATTTTGGAAACCCCAAAGCTTGGAGCTGGAGTCCTGAAATTGACTCCGATGACAGCTGCTCCGGATCCTTGCCAGGAGCCACGCCCCGGGCTGCCACGCCCGGAGGGAGGGGCGCCCTAAGACCTGTTGCGTGGAATGCCCACTTGGAAAGCCTCAGTAAACTCCAGAACGCAACTACTGCACGTTCCAATGTCCCGCCACCTTCCCAGTGCCCCAGGTGGGACTTTGACCACCTCAGCAAGAACTTACCTCTCCTTTGCAGTGGAAAAGAGGGAATCCTGCCTAAAACCTACTTCACGGTGTTAAATGTTTGTATTATTGGGAAATAACCTTAATTTATTGACCTGACAAGTCACTAGGTTTCAGCTTAGCCCAAAGGACGAATCATGATGACATTTCAGGCACCCTCAAACCTTATCACAGCGACTCAACCCTGAGTGGTTGAGGTCAGCTCTTCAGATAAAAGAAAGGTACATATTAATATTTATTGAGAGAAGTGACAACCGAAAAGTAATTTAAAGAAAAATAGTTGGCTGGGCGTGGTAGCTCACACCTGCAATCCCAGTCCTTTGAGAGGCCAAGGCCGGATGATAGCTTGAGGTCAGGAGTTCAAGACCAGCCTGAGCAACATAGCAGGACCTCGTCTCTAGAAAAATTTTGAAAAAATTAGCTGGGCATGGTGGTGTGCACCTGTGGTCCCAGCTACCCGAGAGGCTGAGGTGGGAGGACTGCTTGAACCTGGGAGGTGGATGTTGCAGTGAACTGTGATTGCACCACTGAACTCCAGCCTGGGTAACAGAGCAAGACCCTGTTTCAAAATTTTAAGAAAAGAAAGAAAAATGCCTAACAGGATTCTGTATATCAAATGGCTTATTTCAATCTAGTTAGGAAAATGGAACACATATGTGAAATGAAAATTAAAATACAAGAACTAATTGCCAAATAAATGCATTCAATACAATTTGGTTGAGCACTAAGGGTGACAAATGTGTATATGTCTCCAAGGACCAGGTAAGTAATGTAAGTCAATAAAGTAGGCAAGATGAAGACCTAGGCCAATGGAAATGCCCATATTTTGTTTGAAGAGGATAGCCAGGCACGGTGGCTCAGGCCTGTAATCCCAGCACTTTAGGAGGCCAGGTGGGCAGATCACTTGAGCCCAGGAGTTTGAGATTAGCCTAGACAACATGGTGAAATCCTGTCTACTAAAAATACAAAAATTAGCTGGGCATGGTGGCACGAGCCTGTAGTCCCAGCTGCTTGGGAGGCTGAGGCAGGAGAATTGCCTGAACCTGGGAGGCAGAGGTTTCAGGGAGCTGAGATCGTGCCACTGCACTCCAGCCAGTCTCACACACATACAAAAAATAATAAAACTTCATGTATGAAGAATTATCACAATTTGATGATTCCAGAAAGTCCACATCAGTGGCTTCTAACATACTTTGTGTCACAAAACCCTATTAGAAATGGATAAATACTGTGATCCTCTACCAAGGAAAAAAGTATGTATATAAACTTTTGTAATCTATTTCAATGGTTCTTGGACTCCTTGAAGTTTATATAACAGAATAAAAAGACTGAAGAAAAATAATGAAGTGCAATGTGTGGCCTTGTTTGGACCTGGTTTACTGCTAACAGTAAAAAGGTATCTCTAAGAAAACTAGGGCAAGTGGAATATGGACTGAGAATCAGATGATTAATTTGTTAATTACAGTTAATTTATTGAGTGTGATAATGACATGATGGTTATGGAAAAAATGTCTACATAGAGATACATACTGAACTTCTGGTGAAACGTGATTTCTGGGATTTGTTTTAAAACACTATAGGATTTCAAAAAGTGGTCAGTGACAACTGAACCAAGAGTGATAAATTTGGCTGGGAGCAGTGACTCAACGCCTGTAATCCCAGCACTTTGGGAGGCCAAGGCAGGCAGATCACTTGAGGTCAGGAGTTCGAGACCAGCCTGGCCAACATGGCGAAACCCTGTGTCTATTAAAAATACAAAAATTAGCTGGGCGTGGTGGCAGGTACTTGTAATCCCAGCTATTTGGGAGGCTGAGGCAGGAGACTTGCTTGAACCCAAAAGGTGGAGGTTGCAGTCAGCTGAGACCATGCCACTGCACTCTAGCCTGGGTGACAGAGCAAAAGTCCATCTCAAAAAAAAAAAAGTGATAAACTTTGATAATTGTCACAGCTGAATGATGGTTGCTTGGGAGTTCATTATTCTCTTCGTATTTGTGTAGTTTTAAATTTCCCATAGTAATTAAAAAAAATCAAGCCTCCCAAAACAGAACTACTGTCTAGATGAATTTTCTTGGGCCTTAAAGGCTTTTTTGTTTGTTTGTTTTTTTGAGACAGGGTCTTGCTCTGTCACCCAGGCTGGAGCACAGTGGGTTGATCTCAGCTCACTGCAGCCTTGAACTCCTGGGCTCAAGCGATCCTCCCTCATCAGCCTCCTGAGTAACTGGGAATACAGGTGTGTACCAATCTGTCTGGCTAATTTTTGCATTTTTTGTAGAGATGGGGATTTGCCATGTTGCCCAGGCTGTTTCTTGAACTCCTGGGCTCAATTGATCCTCGCCTGCCTTGGCATCCCATCACAGGTGTGAGCCACAGCACCTGGCCTTAAAGGCATTTTCCTATTCTTTACCTTCTTTTTCACTTGAACCTAAATATCCGAAGGACCTAGCAAGGTATATCTATTTTTTATTTAAATGAATGATTTCTTCCAGAAAGATCTGGCTGAAGGGAAGAGAGTGCAAAGAAACCATAAGCCTTTCAAGAGCAGGATACTGGTGAGAGAAAATAGATATAAAAAATATATCTATTTTTAATTTAAATGAATGATTTCTTCCAGAAAGGTCTGGCTGAAGAAAGGGAAGAGAGTGCAAAGAAACCATAATCCTGTCAAGAGCAGGATAGTGGTGAGGTAAGAGAAGAATCACAGAAAAGGGCTTGGGACCTGCCAGCGTTCTATCACTCTGTGCATATGTGGTCTTCACTATGTCACCTGGCACCCTCATGAAATAATCGGCTCATTGAACATGAGTTTAAAAACACATGATCTTTTAAAAGAGCAGTTCATCTCTATAGAATTCGGTGATTCTAAATACTAAAGCTCATTAGCCAGTTGTAAAAATTCAATTAATAGCTCATTTATGTGACAGTGTTTTGGAAGCCTCTATCACTTCCTTTCTGGTTTTCTCTTACATGCAACAATGCCAAGGTTACCAGATACATGACTCTCCTCGAGAAGTGAATTAGAACTGAATTAAGATTTTTTTTTTAAGAGAGAGAATCTTGCTCTGTCATCCAGGCTGGAGTGCAACAGCACATTGCACAGGGTAGGAAACAGGACCAGAGATGCAAAGTGACTTGTGGAGGTCACACAGTGAATTAGGGCCACAAGTGGGGCCAAGGAGCAGCCTGTCTCTGGCCAATGTCCTAGTTCCCCCCGGGTAAGTCCCCTGCCCTCATCACCTGTGCCCCTCCCCCCATATGCCACTGCAACTGGGAACCTGCTGGGAGCTGGAGGAAGGATGGGCAGAGGGGCCACCTGGCAGGCGCCCTGGCAGCCAGGGTCATCTGTCTTCTCAGGAGATGTCAGGACCTGGGCAGTCTCCTTCCTCTTTGGTCCTGGGGCCTGGTGGTGGCCCTTGGGCAGACCTACAGAGGCCTGGCTCATAGGTAAGGGGCTGCCGCACCTGCGCCCTCCTCAGCACACACTCTGTGCACTCTGTCTGAGCCAGACCCTGGGCCGGATGCGAGGTTCAAAGAATAAGGCCATTCCCCCACCTCCAGGGGCTCCGCTCAGACGGGCAGGAACCCTCCTACAGGACAGAGAATGTGGAGAGGCCGGGAAGTGCGCCACCGGGAGCCTGGGCAGGAAACGGAGGGGCGCTGCGGGGGAAGAGCGCTGGCATCCAGCCATCCATCCCAGAGAAGCTGCCTGCTGGCTGGCAGGGGCGCGAAACAGGAAACAGCCGTGGTCTCCTGCCCTGTCCGCCGGGTGCCGTTTTCCACCCTGGCCACAAGGCGGCGGGCTGCCGCTGCAGGAGCTCGAGTGAAAGCGGCACAGTCCTAAGGAAGCCAAACCAGGACGACCCGGACAGTCTGGGTGGACCCCCTGCTGCTGCCAAGTGCTTAGAAGCCTTACCTCGTTTAGGGCTCACAACCCTAATCCTTAGGTATTGTGCTTACACCAGAGGACGCTGGGCCTGGGGGAGCGTCCTCGCGTGTAAGTTAAGTGGCTGTCAGCAACTGGCAGGTGACCCAGCAGAGTCCAGTTGCCCTTTCCCTAGTCTCGAAACCTGAGCTCTGCATTGTAACGAGTCGAGCGGAGGGAACATCCAGCAGCGGGCCTACGGAGGCGTGTCTCTTCGTTTGGGCATCCCGGACTCAGTCCTGGCACATGGTGGGCATCAGTGTTCATGGTAATGACATCAGGCACAGCGAAAGAAATCAGAGGCTCCCAAGGTTCAGCGGTCATCTGTCCATCCCCTCCCTTTGGGCTAAAGAACAAACCGAGACCCTGAGAGAGGAAGGGAACTGCCCCTAGATCATCACACAGCTGGTGGCAGATGAAAGAACGGTTCTGAGCATCTCTTTTTCCCACTCGGGCTGCCCCTCCTTGAAAAGTTCCTAAAGTTCAAAATGTCAGGGTCGCCCAGAGTGTTCTGAGGATGTAAGCGTGTTTTTAAAACGTGCTTTATTTTCGATTTCCCTGATTAACACAACCGGATTCTGAAGAGAGAAAAAAAACAACCTCACCATAACCGGACGCCTTTCTGAAACAAACCCATCAATGTTGGAAGCACCCAAACAAACCCATCTGAAATGTTGGAAGCACCCTCAAAGGGAAGCAGACGCCTGAGTTTCACATCCACCCTCTCATCTGACCCCAGGCTCCTGGGAGACTGGCAAGGCTGTTGAGCCGGCGGCAAGCCCGCAATCCCCCGTTCCGTGCCCAGATGCGCTTCGGAATACAGAACAGCTGGGACTTGGAAAGAGACTATGGGGCACACACCTGCTGTAGGTCACATAACCTCCCAGCAGGGCTTGGGGCAGCAGCCGGTCATCGAGCTCATTTGCATTTCTGCAGCAAAACATGAATATTCACACAAGTTTGACAAATAAAGACCATCAACAGCCTCACATCAGTTCAAGCGCAATTTTGCCACCAATTGGATTACGAAAAACTTCTGGGCTTCCAGGCAGCTTTGGAGCTTGGGAATCGCAGATGAGGGACTAGGGGCTTGCACCGCTCCCGTTTCGCGGTTGGGGAGAGGGAGCTCATTCCAAGTCTTCAGACAGAGGTGGGCATCGTGCCCGACGCTGAGCGGAGCAGGTCTCCTCGCGCCCCGGCTCCGTGCGGGCGCGGTCCCCAGCGCGCCACCCCTGTTCCCCGCTCTCCTCCCGCGGCGGGCCGTGCACATCCTGGATGGCCTCGTAGACGGTCTCTGAGTCGCTGCGCGCCAGGGGCCGCGGGCACATCCAGGAACCCGCCACACTGCAGCCTTGAAGCTGCCGCTCCTTCCGAGGTGGCCGGCGGGAGGCGAGACGGCGGCGCGCGCCAGGTAGTCCAGGGACTGCGCAGGCCGCAAGTACAGGCAGGCGGGCAGGCCGGGCGCCAGGCTGCTGCGCTGGGTCGCGGCGCCGCGTTGCGAAGGGCCGCACAGGGAGCTGGCGCGGCCTCGGGGCTCCGCGGGGGTGCTGTCGGGGCCCGCTGCCGCCGCCGCGCTCACAAGCCGGTAGTCGTAGGTGAGCGGCTCGGGGGCCGAGGGGACTGTTGGGGGGACCTGGCGGCGCGGCAGTGGCAGGTTGTCTCGTCCGGGCGTTCCCGTTCGCGGGGAGGTCATTTGCCCAGCGCAGGCAGCTCGCGCACGTACTGCGCGGGCAGGTAGAAGGGGTGGCCGCCAGGCTCGCGCCGCACGTGCCACCAGTGCTCCGTGCTGCGCCGCAGCAGCCAGTAGCGCTCATTGGGCCAGATGGCCACGCGGCGCCAGTCCTTGCGGGTATACTCGAAGGGGTGCTCCACCACCAGGTAGACATCCCCCTCCACATACGCCGGCATCGTGGCCGCGGCGTTTTTCTGCAGGCAACAAGGAGGAGGGCCGTGGAGGTCAAGACCACCGAGCCTGGAATAGCCCCGCACTCGGGGACAGACTTGGGTTCGAGTCCCGATGCTGCATTCGCCGTTCGCCTTCGGGCCTGAGTTTTTCCATTTCTAAAATGGGGACTTGAATAAAATCACATGTAAGGCTTCCATTCTTACACTCAGTGCTGGAATTACGACAACCTCTTCATTCCGTGGGGTTGATTCTAAGATTTCAGCCTCGCTTCAGTCCTGCGGTGGGGAGATTGTGGGTAGTCTTGGTCCAAATCGACTGCGAGGGAAACTTTGGTTTTAAAACGAGGGGTGATTGCCCGCTCTGAGGTCGACACCACGCTTACTCAGGTGACTGAGCCTTAGTTTTCCATCAGTCAAGTGGGAAGAGCAGCCCATTGCCAGCCGCTCCCCGGGCCCTGTCCCGCCTGGACGCCTCCCGCCCGCAGAGAATCCGCAGAGTCCCGTAGCACCGCCTCCCTCCAGGAGCCTGCGCCCCGGCCCCTGGGTCAGGGTTGGGATGCGGGCTCTGCAGACGCCCCGGAGAACAGCTTTACCTGCGGGCTGTCCCTGCCCGGTTTAGTCCAAGGGCCTCGGTGTGAGGGCCTCCGCTGTCAAGGCGGGGGAACCGGTTCTCTTGGTTTCTCTCTCCTTCCCCAGAGGCTTCAACGCAGACGTGAGCCCCAGCCGGGCCCGCCCCGCCCCCTGCTCTCCGGCTCTCACACCGCACCCCCCCCGAAAAAGGCTGCCCACCTGCCCTGGGACCCCCCGGATGCCTCCACGAGAGTGGCCCCTGGAGAATGCACTCTGAGACAGTGACTATCCGTGCGGAGTCCCAGAGCAGGGGCCCCCAAAGCTCTCCGGAGTGGTCACAAGCCCCGCTCCCGCCCCGGCTCCAGTGTGTCAGGGATGGGGGAGAGCCTAACTAAATCTGCCTGCACCCCTCCACCAAAGCCACGAGTCGGTGGTCTTCTCCGGAAGTGCATGGCCCCTCCAAGCTCCCACACTGACCACATCTCCTCCTGCCTCCTAAGGTGACCCGGACCAGGGGCCAGGAGACCGCCGCTTGCCGAGGCTGAGGGACTGAAGGAGCAGGGTCCAACCAGGCCCCCCGTAGGGCTCCTTCGCCACTTTCTCAAGCGTTCCTCGACGAGGAAAAAGTGTAAACTGAGTCACTAAGCACACTGGGTCCCGGAGGCGGGGTCATCGAGCTGCCCAGAGCTGGACCAACAAACCCCAAGGAGGACACTGCCCCGGCGCCCCTTCCCCATGGACCCCGCAGCGCACTCACGTCGGCTGGGCGGGCCTCAGGGAGCCCAAGGGCCGGGGGGGGCCGAGCCGGCAGGTTAGGCCCCGACCATCGCCCTGGGCGTGGCTTCCAGGGGCGAAGCCGGAGAGGCTGCACGGAACCGGAGCTGGCAACGGGAGCTAAGAGGGACAGGGACACTCAGGAGTGCTGTCACCGATACCCAAAGCAGCTGTGTCTGGGCGGGGCGAGGAGGGGCCAGAAGGCCTCTGCTGGGGACCTTGGGGGCATGGGGAAGACAAGGCCCGAAGCAGAAGGCCGGGGCCTGGAGCCGGGAGGGCTGCGTCTGAAGGGGTGCTGGCTGATCGCTAGCAGAACCCAAGGAGGGTGGGGCCGCCCCTGCCCGGCCTTCCCCCTTCTCCCCTCACCTGGGGATTTGCTGTCCCTGCGTCCCTGCGTCCCTCCCGCACGCGGCTCTGGGAATGCTGGGCTGGGGCTGGTTGTCTTGTCCGGGCGTTCCCGCTCGCGGGGAGATCATTTGCACCCTGAATCCCCCACTGCGAGCACTTCCAACCGGACTGCAGACCGCCAGCTCCGGGCCCGCCTCCCTCACCAGGGCCTTTCCCCGCACAGCCCGGCCGGGCTTGGAAAAACTCCGAGCGGGATTCCCAGCGCAGGGACGCCCACCAGGCGCGGTGTCTCGGGCTGGATAAGAAGGGGACCCGGCCACGGCTCCTTCCCCGACCTGGGGGCACACAGAGAAGGAGAGAGATTGGTGGGGGGGGCGGGGTGCCGGGAGGATCCCTGGAGCGCAGGAGCGCACCAGTCGCCAGGAGGTCTCCTGCGTCCACCGCCCAGGCGACGCAAGATACAGAGGCGTCAACGCCTGGGTGGGCGTTGGGGGCCTCCCTGCTGCCCTCCAGCCCAATGGAGGGCAGCCCTTCGCCTACCTTCTCCTTCGCGTGGGATGCGGCCCGCGCAGATCCTGCCCCAGCGCGGAACTAAGGGGAGCAGGCGCGCGGAGCTCCCAGGTGCGGACCAGCCACCTGCCGCACCCTTTCCTCCCCCACCCTGTCCCCTTCCCCACCCCCTACCCCCACCCCTAACCCCACTTCCCACCTCAACCCCCGCTCGGCGCCTCACTCCCGACCCTGCCTGCCCGGGCAGCTCGGGGCGTCCGCTCGCCGGCCTCGCCTCCACTTGCCCCGGCAGGCGCGCGTGGGCTCGGCGTTCCGCGCTCCCTCCTCGACCGCGCGGCTCCCGCGCTGCCAGGTTTCCTGTATAACAGTATAACCAGGGAGGCACCGGCGGAGAGCGCCTGGCAGAACTTCCCGGACTGGGTCTGGGCTGCAGTTGACAGAGACAATCCCCGGCGCACTGGCTTCCTGGCGCCGGGCCAGCGCCTGAGGAGCGAAGACGCCACCCCCTCCCCTGCTGCACTTCCCGGGATCCTGGGCCACACCTGGCTGTCTCCAGGGAGGAAGAGGCCGCGGGGCTGAGATGGTGGGACTGGGGATGGCGGGAGTCTCCCCCGCAGCTTCTCCTGGCCAGATTGCCTTCCCACCATCCCCCAGTCCCTCTTGATCCTTGTGGGGAAAGAGGGCCACCCTCCAATCCGTCCACAGGGTAAGCTCAGAACAACCTCCTGGAGGCCAGGAGTCCAGCCCCAGGGCCCTCTGCCTTGGAGGTCTTCTGTTTGGGAATTATCTGCCTCTCTGGACAAGCTGCCTTGCCCTGATCTGAGCCTGCGCTCACTCCACACATCACAAGCCCCAGCCCCAGCAGACCCCCTGCCCTCAGGGGCCCCAGGAAATTGTTGTGCCTGTGGACCTGGCTGTGTGTGCGCAGAGCTGGCTGATTCAGGCTAGTGTTCTGGGAGGAAGAGACGCCCGCACCCCAGGCCATGGCCCCTCTTGACACCACCTCCTGGGGGTCCAAGGTTGGGTGGGAAGCTGAATCTGGCCACACTCGTTCTGGAACTCCCTTATCTCTATATGTTTGCCCCCGCTAGGCGTTGCCCACCCGTTGAATCCACACTTACTCTGAGAATCTCAGTGTGTCTGAGACCTGGTGGCACCTTGGGACCCTCCAGGGTGGGCACACAGCAGAACTCAGCATTGGTCTAAGCATTGACCTGCTTAGAAAATAGTGACTGGAGGAATCTTCTCTCCCTCCCTACCTTTTAGGTCTCTCCCCACCTGCACACAGCCAGGCAGCGGCTGGCAGTAGTGATGGTCTTTGCGTGGGGTCAGGCATGTATGATGCCCCACTCTGCTGCCTGGTAGGCCTTGGGAGTTCTGCCTTATCTCTGCAGCTCAGCTTTCTTTCCTATCAACGGGATAGTAACACCCACCTCACTGGATTATTGGGAAGATTAAATGAGGTCCACTAAGCAGTGCTTACCACATGCCTAGCGCACACCATATATCAGCCTTTTTTTTTTTTTTTTTTTTTTTTGAGACGGAGTCTCGCTCTGTTGCCCAGGCTGGAGTGCGGTGGCACAATCTCAGCTCACTGCAACCTCCACCTCTGGGTTCAAGTGATTCTCCTGCCTCAGCTTCCTGAGTAGCTGGGATTACAGGCACCCGCCATCAGCTATTTGATTTGAGCTATTATTTGAGCTCAAATCAAGGAAACTTGACTTGAAAATTAAATGATTTCTTTGCTTTATAAGTTAAAAAAATGGTTTAAAAGTTTAACAAATGGTTGAACTAAAATGAACAGAGCCTCAGTGACCAGTAGGAGAATTCTGAGTCTACCATACGTGTAACTGTAAAAGGAAAGGAAAGAGATATTTTGGCAAGTAACTCCTTGGCAAATATTTGGCAAATATCAAAAGAGGCTGAATTAAAATTCTGGTAGAATTTTTAAAATAAATTGACAGGTGAATTCTAAGATTTATATGTATACGCAAAGGATCTAGAATAGTCAGGACAATTTTCATAAAGACTAAGAAACTGGAGGATTTGTTTTACAGAACCTCAAGTTTTAATATAAATATACACTATCAGGAGACACTAGTATTGGCTAAGGAAAGAAAAATAGACCAATAGCATAGAATAGAGATTACCGAACTAGACATACACACATATATGTTTAATTTACTTTTGATAAGATGCCAAGCAAATCTATGGGTAAAAGAAAGAGTTGCCACATGGTGCCGAACTATATTTCCATATATTAAAAAAATAAACCAACCTTCCATGAAATGCAAAAATTAACTGAGTGGATAATAAGCCTAAACAGAGGGCTAAATAACTGTATGTCTTCTAGAAGAACGCATTGGAGAAATTACTTCTGACTTTGGAATATGCAAATGTTTCCTAAAGAAGGCACAACACCTACAAAATGTGTTTTAGAATGATAAATTGATTGTATTAACATTGTAAACTTTTGCTCATCAAAATACGTGGAAAAAATAAAAAGGTGGCCGGGCGCGGTGGCTGACGCCTGTAATTCCAGCACTTTGGGAGGCCGAGGTGGGCAGATCATGAAGTCAGGAGATTGAGACCATCCTGGCCAACATGGCGAAACCCTGTCTCTACTAAAAATACAAAAAATACAAAAACAAAAACAAAAAACATTAGCTGGGCATGGTGGCAGATGCCTGTAGTCTCAGCTACTCGGGAGGCTGAGGCAGGAGAATCGCTTCAACATGGGAGGCAGAGCTTGCAGTGAGCCGAGATGGTGCCACTGCTCTCCAGCCTGGCAACAGAGCGAAGTCTCTAAATAAGTAAATAAATATCAAAAAAATAAAAAGCCAGAGACAGAAAAAAATTATTTGTACTATATGCATACCTGACAAGTGACTTCTATCCAGGACATATAGTTTTTCTACAAATCATTAATAAAAAGACAACTTAAAAATGGCAAAGTAAGTGAGCCATATTGGCTTTCAAGGGCTATAGGATATTACGAGCCTTATATAAATACACAGATACACATTATTAAATATTTCATTGACATTTTCATGAATAAACCAGAAAAGCAACTTATTAGTTTAAGATCAAAATAATTGGAGTCAAATAATTCCAAATTATAACTATATTTTTGCCACTTCCTCAAAAGCCAAAATAGAGATGAGATTATTTTATTTACTACTTCATGTATTTTCTGATAAAAAGAAAGGTGCATATTAAATAGTATTTAAAAATAACCAAAGGACATGAAATTAGTATACCAAAGGGATAGCCACACCCCCATACTTATTATATAGCATTATTCCTAATAGTCAAGATATGGAATCAACCTATATGTCCATGAAGAGATGCTTGGATAAAGAAAATGTGGTCTATATACACAATGGAATACTATTCGGTCATAAAAACAATGGAATTCTGTCCTTCCTGGCAACATGGATAAACCTGTAGGACATTATATTAGGCGAAAAAGATCAGGCACAGAAAGATAAATACTGTATGTTCTCACTCAAATGTGAGACCTAAGTAAAATTTAAGCTCATGAAAGTAGGGAGTAGGATTGTGAGTATTAAGATGCTGGGAAGGGTAGGGAAAAGGAGGATGGGGACAGTTTGGTTAATGGATACAAAATTATAGCTAGATGGAATGTTTTATGGTGTTCTACAACACTGCAAGGTGAATATGGTTAACTGTAATTTATTATATATTTTCAAAAAGCTAGAAGAGAGGATTCTGAATGTTCACAACACAAAGAAATGATAAAGTGATGGATATGTTAATTACTCTGATTTGATCCTTACATATTGTATAGATATATCAAAATATCACTCTGTATCCTGTAAGTATAATTACTGTGTCAACTAAAAAAAGGAAAAAATAAGTATTCTATACATTGAACAACGATAAAAAGACATTCAAATTGGCATATACATATATCTGTTTAATAACTTTAGCTACATTATATGCTTTACTAAGCATTCAAGTCTTTTCATTTTATACTCAATTTATACTCTCATTTCTCAATACAAGCAATAAAGTTTCATTAGCATCCTGGTATCTCATAATTATCAATAATTACTATTTATTAAGTTTATAGTCTATACTACCTTGTTGGTAGACACAAACTATTTTGAGACAATTTATAGTAGGGTGGAGAACACTTAGAAATAATGTTTTGCCAATAAATCTATGGAGGATTCATCACAATGGAGGAAATTAATTGGAAGGTTCAGAGGAACATTCAGTTCTTTATCTGGATGGAGTATGGTAGCAAAGGAAATTGTTCATGTTAATAATCGATACAGAGCCTTTGCTTTTAAATGTTATGTTATTGTGGATTATGCTGTGCTTGGAAATAAAAGTCACCATCCATACTAATAATTATCATAGTGACTAGAGAATCAAGAAGAAAAATACTACAAAATAAAGTTTGACTATGTAAAAGTAATAGCAACCCAGAGTAAACTCATATGAACTCCTACCTATTCAATGCCTTAAAAACTATTTATCTTATTAAATGTGTTAAACATTTGCCATAAATTATCATCCCAAATTTTATAAATGCTAAGCCTTAACATTGACTATGCATGTGTGCTTATCAGCTCATGTAACTCATTATTTTTTAAAATTCCACTTATGAGAGCGAAGGCTAGTTCAATTCTCTACATGGCAGGGGGTTAGAGATAGGGTTAAACTGACAGATTAATTTTCCAACTTCTATCAGAATTGAGTCTCAAAATAGGAGTAAACTTCAGTTATTAAATATGAAGAAAGTTATATCTGATTTAGTTCCTGCCTGCTTTTCTTTCCATGAACCAAATTCTATTCTTCATAAATTCTACCCACTGGTGAGGATTATGCAAATGGAGAAATATGTACTCTACATTGGAAAATAATCTGTCTACCCTCTGATTTAAACTGCTAACTATTCTAAATGTCTTACACTATTCTCTGCTAGTCAGATTGGATCTCTTGTTATCTGTCCAAAATGGTAACTGAAGTTACTGAACTCTAAACATTTTTTATTCATTGAATGCCATTGCAAAACCTTTTAAACATCACTCATCTTGGGTTCAAACATCCCAGCATCCTTACAAATAAACTTTCCTATCTTGAAACTAAATTTCTTTTTGGTAGCTTTAATTTAGTCTTAAACTAAAAACAGAGTTTATTTTCTGATAATCACCTGTTTCTACATCACATTCATATTTGAAAATGTGTCATGAACTAATAATGTATAGCATAATAATTTTAACATTTAATTGCATTGATCAAAAATACACCTTTAAAAATTGGCAAATCTTATAAAATTACAATAAATCACTTTCTAATGAATGCATAAATCTTATATAACGTTTTCAAATTTGAGATTATAATGAAGAATAAATTTTCATGTGGTTTTAGATTTTAACTCTTAATTTTACTTTTATAATGTTTGAAATTGAAGTTTGACCTCATGGCTAATTATTCTTAGTTATACTGTATTTTACAGTATTTGAGATATCTGAAAAATCAAGAATTTGTTTTTCTAAGGGCTCTGTGGTTTTGAAATAGGATTGTCATACTCTACACCATAATTATTTATGTAAAATCTTAATGTAAATTTGCATTAGATGTGGGTTATTAAACTAATTTAGGTATGACAGCTATACTATTCCAAATAATATGAATTCCAAAATTCTGTTTGGAATGAAATTCAAGAGCAATGAGAACTTGACATAAAGGCTAATTTTATAATAATCATCGGTTGATAAGGCATTAGAAATATTAATTTTCTGTACTTTTACTATGACTCATTGGAACATAATCTCAATTATGAATCCACATTCATATACCAAATAATATATATTAATATGCACAGTTGATCATGGTGGAAAATATACATATATTAGTTTCTGAAGAGTTTTGAAGAAACCAATAATAAAATGCTAGAAAATATGTATGAAATAACCAGATAGATGATGTATTAGAAGGCAAGGAGGAGCAAGTCACGTCTTACATGGATGGCAGTAGGCAAACACAGAGAGCTTGTGCAGGGGAACTCCTTTTTTTAAAACCATCAGATATCGTGAGACTTATTCACTATCATGAAAATAGCACGGGAGACTTGCCCCCATGATTCAATTACCTCCTACCGGTTCCCTCCTACAACATGTGGGAATTCCAAATAAGATTTGGGTGGTGACACAGTCAAGCCATATCAAATGGATAGATATAGACATATTTTATACATCTTTTAAATGTGATGCTTCCTGTTCACTTTTGGCACAGGCTGTAGGTCTCAAACTAATGCCAAAAATACCCCTATTATAGTTACTGAACCTTCATAGGGTAATCATTCTAGTTTGCTCAGGATAGCATCAGTTTATGCTCATGGAGTAGAAGACAGAATATTGCTGAAGTATCAATTCCCTCCATTGGAGCCAAGTTTGAAGAGGCTTTGTGATAAGATTTAATGGGGTGCTGGGCGCGGTGGCTCACGCCTGTAATCCCAGCACTTTGGGAGGCCAAGGCAGGCAGATCACCTGAGGTCAGGAGCTTGAGACCAGCCTGGCCAACATGGTGAAATCCCCTGTCTACTAAAAATACAAAAATTATCCAGGCATGGTGGCACACAAGGCAATTATCTATAAACCCTGTGACAAGACTGGTAGCCTCAATTTTCCTCTCATATATAACAAACATAACTCATAATTTCCTGTGGTTCCCACTGACCAAGCTCACTGACAGCCCAGAAGACTTGTGCTGGAAGAGCAGCATTATTAGTAACCTTCTCTTCATACCAACTGAAATAAGGAGGAATTAGCTATTTTTTGGCTGCTTGGGTCTTCAAAGTCCTACAAGCTGTCCTTGAATGATTGATACAATACAATTTGCATCTGGAAAGCATTGAAAAAGAGAGGTAGGTTATCACTGGTTACATTATCATATTATCCTCATGTTAAAAAAAATTTTCTGCTTATGTGTATCTCTATATCTTACACTCCTAGAAAAGATGATGGCAGAATTTAAAGCACCAAGTGGTGACTTATCAAACCCATCCCTATTTATTTTAACGCAACTATAAATAATAGTGCTTGGTTAAAAAATCCAGGACAAGGCCGGGCGCGGTGGCTCACGTCTGTAATCCCAGAACTTTGGGAGGCCGAGGCGGGTGGACCACGAGGTCAGGAGATCGAGATCATCCTGGCTAACACAGGTGAAACCCCATCTCTACTAAAAATATAAAAAATTAGCCGGGTGTAGCGGCGGGCACTTGTAATCCCAGCGACCCGGGAGGCTCAGGCAGGAGAATGGCGGGAACCCGGGAGGTGGAGCTTGCAGTGAGCCGGGATCGCGCCGCTGCACTCCAGCCTGGGTGATAGAGCTAGACTCCGTCTCACAAAAAAAAAAAAAAAAAAAAAAAAAAATCCAGGACAAATGGTATATGTATGTATACATTTTTTATCTGAAAATTGTTTATCACATTCACAAATGAAACTATTTGAAGTAATATTGCTGCAGTTTCCATGGAAACAGATATGTGGTTGACATTGGCCAATTAGTTGAGCAATTCATTCCTATAACAATCAAAAAAAGTTTATTTACATGGCATATCAATATTATAACCATCAATTTTCCCTCAATTCTTTAATAATGAAAAGATCAAATTCTGACAAATGTAATTTCAGTTATGAAACTATGTTATATGATGGTGCATTTAAATTGAAATAAAAATTAATTTTGATACTTTACATAAGGTTTTCCTCTTCTGACCCCAGACTATAATATAAAATATTTTTTTCTGGCTAGTGGTATTTGAACTTTATTTAATTTACATGATATTTTAAATTTTTAATTGTTTTTTTCATGGTAGATAGTATTAGTACATATAAGTACCAGTTTTTCAACATACAGAAGATATTGCAGTGGTAACTTACACAGTGACACATTCAAATGTGTATTGTGTCTCACCCTTATCCCCTAGCCAAGAGAACAATTCAAAAGGAGAAATAGCTGCCTGGATTCTCAGAATTATGTGCATAAACTTGCAAATTCAACACTTCTTTGTCCTTGCTGGCATATCAAATTTTCCAAATCTCACTTACACATACTATTGTGGTCCCACTATATCAGTTAACACAGCCTTCCATAACATACTTGTACTATGCATATTTAATCATCTTATAATACGCTTAGTAGAGGAATGTGCCTTGGAAATCTCAGGGCACAGCAAGTGGACAAATGCTGTTACAAAACAACTGCATGTAATTTGGCAATATGCTTTTTTCCTCAGTTTAATTAAGCTCTTAATTTAATTTATAAGCAGCTTTTGCCATTATCACTGATGTCTTTCCAATTCCTTATATACTGACATCCCTGCCTCACTAATGCGGAACTCTTCTTTCTTCATTTACCTCCAAGCAACCCTAAACATAATGAAAATATAAATAATGAAATTGTAAATAAAAATCATTATGTTTCAAAATGCTTTCCAAACACAAAAACTAAATTAACAGTAGAATGCTCTACAGTCCATGCCCTAATTAAACCTTAGTGAGTTTTATGAGCTAAATTGTGCCCACCCACCCCCGCCAAATTCATGTGTTGAAGTCCTAACCCTCAATATCACGGAGTATCTATACTTGGAGACAAGGTCTTTAGAGAAGTACACAATTAAGGTTAAATAAGGTCAGTAGGGTGCGTCCTAATCCAATGTGACTGGCGTGCTTCTAAGAGGAGAACATTTACACACAGACACATACAGAGAAATGACGATGTAAAGACACGGGGAGACGATAGCAGTCTATGGACCAATTGAATAGGTCTCAGAAGAAACCAAACCTACCAATACCTTTAATCTTGGACTTTTGGCATCTAAAACTGTGAGAAAGTAAGTTTCTGTTTAAGCCATCCAGTCCATGGCACTTTGTTACGACAGCTCTACCAAACGAATGCAGTGAGCTTTCTCAATTGTTTTGGCAATTCTACATATTTCATTATCTTCTGAGATTTTAAAAATGAAGTAACTATAATTAAAGTTGCAAATGGAGTATTAATGTTATAAAAATAAGCACTCTTTAGATATTTTTACAGTGCTCAAAGTTTAATGACTTAAAGCACCTATGGCTGTAAGAAAGAGAAAGAACGAAAGAAAAAAAGAAAGATCTTCAGTAAGAAGCAAACCATTCTATGCAGTTATAATAAAACCACTAAAATAATATCCCATGAACTATGAATGCATACATGCAAATTAATATTCTGACACATGGTAGAAATTTTCTGGCCAAATATCCTTTAAAACTCTTCGGACAGGCGAAAACGGATGCTTTAGAGACGGTGTATTAAATTGCTTTATCATTCACTCCAAATCAGCAATTTGAGTGCTTTCACTTTTTCTCTAGCCTGCCTTAACTTTAATCACCTGATATACCCCAGCGTAAATCAGGTTGCACCTTCTATCACCAATGTCAGTACAGTCAAATGAGAATTTGATCCACATTATAGAGACAATATATTCAATGGCTATTATTGGTATTAACTTCTGTAATGATCTTGGTACTGAGCTACTATCAAGTCCAAAACGACTCTGAAAGATTGGACTAGGTGAATTTTACAGCCTACAATGGCTTATTGAGGTCTTCCATTAAATCTTTTCTTGTTTTATTTTGTTGTTTGTTTTTGAGACACAGTCTGGCTCCGGCCCAGGCTGGGGAGCAGTGGCGCGATCTCAGCTCACTACAACCTCCGCCTCCCGGTTCAAGGAATTCTTCCGTCTCCGCCTCCTGAGTAGCTGGGATTACAGTTGCCCACCACCACACCTGGCTAATTTTGTATTTTTAGTAGAGACGGGGTTTCTCCATGTTGGTCAAGCTGGTCTTGAACTCCAGACCTCAGGTGATCCACCCACCTCAGCCTCCCAAAGTTCTGGGATTACAGGCATGAGCTATCACACCTGGCCTCGAGTCTGCTGGCGTCTTTATCTTGATTTTCTCAGTTTCTAGAACTGAAAGAAATACATTTCTATTCTTTATAAGCCACCCAAATTATGGTATTTTAGTACAGCAGCCTGAATGGACTAAGATACTCACTCTGGCAGAAGTTATTGATGATATTGCCTTTGTCCTAGATACAAATACAGAACAATCTCAACTCATTGGCATGGGCAGTGATAGACAATAACATTACCCTAGGTTTTTTTTTTTTTTTTCTTTTAGTCATCCTGGTGTCTGTGCCGTTGCTCATACTTCTTGTCCTTGGATCAAAGAAACAAGCAAGTTGGAACTATTATATATTGTTTCATGGTATAAGCTATTTGGCTAAGGTTGATCCCATAATCTATCAAATTTGTTATTTTGGCCTTGATTTGGCAATTGAGGTTCCTGGTTCCAAATCACCTTATAGGAACTATTAATTATTCTGGCTTTGTAAGAGTGGACATGATGCTGCGTGCTATCTAGATTCTTAAAAGCTTCTGCACATCTGCTCTCTAGTCAAAATCACCATGATGATACAAAAACAAAAAGGTCAGGAATATTTTGCAATACAGTTTTATATGGAGTTTACTGAATAATCTCTGAGTGATAAAGAGCTAGATTTCCAGCTTTCCTTGAATTGGCCAACCTCTTGAAAGTAAGCGAATGACCAAAAGGGGTGACTAAGAGACTGAATATACAAATACAATGGCCAGACCATAGATGAAAGTAAAACTCTGACCCACCTCTACAGCAACCAGTCTAGAAAGTCAAAAAACAACCCTATAGCAACCAGCTGAAAAACAGCCAGGACTTCATTGACTCACAGCTTCCTTAATTTTTGCGCCTGCTTGCAACTTAGGACCCAATGAAGAAAGACAAATATGCACACATAACCAATCACATTGGATGTCCTAGTTCCAGTTAGCTGACCTACAGCTTCTCCATGCCAGTGGCCTCCAATCAGGGCATAACTAAAGCCTTTGCCAAGCCTATGAGGCCCAGGTGACTGCAGCCCCCTGCAGGTCCTGCATGGGCTTATTGATTTCATGTTTTTGAAAAGCACTTTTTCTGTGGCTCCTCCCATTATTAAGATAATACATGTCTATTAACATTTTAAAATTAAAGAAAAGCCCAAAGACCAATCAATATTTTGTGTCATAACCCAGAGATCACCATTATTAACATTTTAGGGTATACCCTTTTCTGTGCATTTATTGACATATGCATCTATTTTTTATAAAGTTGGAATCAGACAGGACTCATACTGCTTTATAACAAGCTTGGTTCACTTAATATTATACCTTGGGTACATATTTATGTTCACCAAATGCTTTTGAATAAGATGTATCCTAAAGTCTTTCAGAATTTTCCTTTTCTCCAGCTGAACGTAGCCACTTGCCTAGCTGTGTTACCACGAGCAAATTAACTTCAGTTTCCTCATCTGTAAAAGGAGGGTTAACAACAGTGTCTGTATCGGGGTTGTTGGGAGGGCAGATGTGGCAGTGTGTGCCTGTCAGAACAGTGTTCTTTCCCTGTCACGCCTCCTGCCTGTCACACCTCCTGCCCATTCACCCACCCATCCACCCATCTGCCTAATTCATTTGGTCAAGTGTTTGCCTCAAGGGGTGCAAATTCAGTTTTCTCCCAAGGGCACAGATTTCTACTAAGAGACACAGAAACACAAGGAAGAAGCTGTTTGCTCCTCTGGACAGCCAGCACCTGCCAGCTGTGTAGTCCTGATGTGTGGATGTGTCTTCATCACAGTGCAGGGAGGGTGATTCTCTCAGTCAGTTCTACCTCAGCCTCCACCTCCCTGGGGTGGGGAAACCCCACAGAAGTTGGTTTCATTTTGGCTTTTTTGTTGTTTGCCTTATCCCTACCCCTGCTCTCAGTGTTAAATAGTTAACTAACTACATAGAGGAAATTAAACCTCAAAATCACCAAAAATGCAAAGAACGGTTTGATCATAAAACACGTTCCCTATTTACAGGACCCTGGTACTTCCATTGAACCATCTTCTTCATTGCCCTCATCTTTGTGCCACTTCCTTTTCACACTAGAAAATTACAATCCTTCTCTAGGCCTATCTGAAATCAGGAAATCTTCAGCTCGCTCTCCCTCTCAAACATTGCTGGCCTAGGAAAGACAGAGAAATTCAAGATAGAAAGTGGGGGGCCCACGGGTTTGGGGCCTCATTGTTCGTCGTTGCTGTTCTGGCTGACCCACTGGTGCTGAGGCCCGGCTGGCACTGGCAGGATGTCAGCCCAGGAGTGGGGCTTCTTTGTCGGTCTCCTCCATTCCCGCAGGATAGGAACAGTCGCTGGGGAGCACAAAGCCCCTGCCCACCTGCAGTGCTTGGCAGTGTTCAGCGCACATTCCTGTGTGTTATTTCATCGGAGCCTCACCCAAGGCCTGGGGGCCAAGTCACGGGAAGAGCCGAGTTGGGATTGGAGAACAGCAGCTTGACCCAGGTCACCAGGAGTTTGCCACTGGGCTGTCCCTAGGCTGGGGGGCTGGTACCTCAGGGGCCTAAGCTATGGGAAAAGAAGGGGTTGTACATTGCTGGGGGAGGTGAGAGATGCTGGTGGAGCTAGGAGACAGGAGGTCAGAGATCTCCCCAGCCCCCGAATACACAGGCAGGCTTCCTGAGGGCCTGTTTTGTCCCCCAACCCTCAAGGGGACAACAGGGCCACACCAGGCACTCACACAGCAGCTGACAGCAGCTCACATTTACTGAGGATGTGCCACCTGCCAGGCCCTGTGCCAGGAGCTCTCCTGGAATACCTCTTTTCATCTAAATTCAAAATAATACCATGAGAAAGAAGCTCCAGTCCTGGGCTGACATCCCGCTGAGTGCCAGGCCTCAGCACTGAAGCCACAGCAGCAGCAAGCAAAACGGCCCCAAACCTGTTAGTTGCTTTCAATTTTCCCATTTTACAGATGAGGAAACTGAGTCACAGAGAGGGATAAGTTTCACCAGGTCATATAGGTAGGAAGTGGTGGAGGCAGGATTCAATTCCGTTCTGACTCCGAAGCCAGACTTTTTTTTCCCTACACAATTTATTAGAATTTGAAAAGGTTGCTGGATACAGTCAAATAAATCAATTTCATTTCTATATATCATCAAAGTATTATTTTAAAAGATAATCATTTATAATAGCATCAAAGACAAAGCCACCAGAAATATAACAAAATATGTTGACAGGACTAGTTCAGATGTTAAAGATCTAAGCCGCGCGAAAACCAGACTTCTAACCACTAAGCACCTGTCAGCTGTGGAGACAACAGCTCCTCCATCCTTACGATGCAGCGAGGCCACTGCAGGTGGGGAGGGGTCTTCTGGTTAGTGCAGCAGCCTGGTGTTCAGAGATGACACCTCAGCTCAGACCTGGAAGGTTCTGCAGGCAGGTTGTATAAGCCACGTTAGCTGCTCTAAAGCCTCCATTTCCTCATCTAGAAAATGGGGACAGGGAGGCCCTCCCTAACGGGTTGTTCTGAGGATGAAGGGAGGATGTGGTCAAGTTCCTGGCCCAATGTTTTGCAAATAGTAGGTGCTCGATTATTGGCACTGGTATTAGGATCAGGGCCAAGAGTAGAACCTTCAACTCCCTGTCAGCTGGGAGAGACTGAGATGGATCACTTATCTGCACATGGAACCCGGCGTTGCTGCTGGTGTGAGCCAAGGGGGCTCAGGGAAGCCTGTTGTTGAGCTGTGTCTGATCTGTGGCTTCCTGTGCCTGGGGCCTGACTCAGCACATTACCTGGTTCCTGAGTCACGGCACAGAGGGGAGTGCTGGGATTACAGGTGTGAGCCACCGTGCCTGGCCACAAACTGCTTTTAAAAGGTTCAGGCCCTTTGCTCCAGCAATTCCACTTCCAAGAATTTATCCTATTGCAATGATTTTCAAACTGTGTTCCCAGTGGAATCCTGGGGTTCCATAGAGTTGCTTTGCTAGTTCTGCAAAACTTTGATTTGAATGTCACTGGTGCCGAGTCTGATTTAAAACTGCAGGCATCTGGCCAGGCACGGTGGCTCATGCCAGTAATCCCAGCACTTTGGGAGGCCGAGGTGGGCGGATCACAAGGTCAGGAGATCGAAACCATCCTGGCTAACACGGTGAAACCCCGTATCTACTAAAAGTACAAAAAATTAGTCAGGCGTGGTGGCGGGCGCCTGTAGTCCCAGCTACTCAGGAGGCTGAGGCAGGAGAATGGCGGGAACCCGGGAGGCAGAGCTTGCAGCGAGCTGAGATCGCGCCACTGCACTCCAGCCTGGGCGACAGAGCGAGACTCCACCTCAAAAAAAAAAAAAAAAAAAAAAAAAAAAAAAGGCAATCATCTGCAACCCCTAACTGGCCTTCTAAATACTGCACATTTGAATTTATAAAATATATTTATGCTAACAGAATGACTTCTTACCTGTTACTTATATGAATCTTACTAAGTTTCATTCAAAGAAGGGTCCTACTTCTAAAAAGAAACAGTATAAAATCATTGTCACAAGAAAATGATCATTTCATACTAGGAAAGTTTGGCTTCAAAAAGATGTACCACACAATGTTTATAGAGTTGGTTCAGTGAACCATGCCATGGCTCACAGGCCAGATCTGGCCACCACCTGTTTTTCTAAATAAAGTCTGATTGAAACACAGCCATGTGCATTCATATATGCATTGTCTGTGGCTGGTTTTTTGCCGTAATGGCAGAGCTCAGTAGTTCTAAGAGAGAACTTGTGATCTGCAAAGGCCAGAACAAATACCACCTAGCTCTTTACAGAAAAAGCATGCTAATTGCTGGTTTATGATGATATAAAAATTGGAACCAACCTAAATGTCCAAGAAAAGGGGATTGATCAAATTACAGCGCACCCCCTTCAGCAAATGGAATGCAAAGCCCTTGTTGAAAAATGCTGGCCGGGCACGGTGGCTCATGCCTGTAATCCCAGCACTTTGGGAGGCTGAGGCAGGTGGATTACCTGAGGTCAGGAGTTTTGAGACCAGCTTGGCCAACATGGCAAAACCCCGACTTTACTAAAAAAAAAAAAAAAAAAAAAAAAAAAAATGCAAAAATTAGCCGTGTGTAGTCGTACACACCTGCAATCCCAGCTACTCAGGAGGCTGAGGCAGGAGAATAACTTGAACCTGGGAGATGGAGGTTGTAGTGAGCCAAGACTGCACCACTGTTCTCCAGCCTGGTAAACAGAGCACTCCTCCACCTAAAAAAAAAAAAAAAAAAAAGTTGCAGTTTAGCAGCTCTTAGGTTTGGCTGCATATTTAAACTACTTGGGGAGTTTTTTTTTTTTTTTTTAATTCCAAACCTCAGGCCACCTCAGATGAATTAAATTTGACTGTAGGTGTGGAACCCAGGCATTGACATTTTTAAAGCTTCCCCAGGGATTCTAATGCAGTGCCACTGTTGTAGAATATTTAATGAGGCCAGATACAGTGGCTCATGCCTCTTATCCCACCACTTTCGGAAGCTGAGGTGGCAGAAGCACCTGTAGTTAGGAGTTTGGGATGAGCCTGGCCAATGTTGTAAAACCCTTGTCTCTAATAAAAATACAAAACTTACCCCGGCGTGGTGGTGGACACCTGTAATCCCAGCTACTTGGAAGGCTGAGGCAGGAAAATCGCTTGAACCCAGTGTGTCTAAAATCGGTGGGTTCTTGGGCTGACTTCAAGAATGAAGCCGCAGACCCTCGCAGGTGGTGTCACAGTTCTTAAAGGGGGCCTGTCCAGAGTTTCTTCTTTCTGATGTTCTGAAGTTCGGATGTACTTGCACTTTTTTCCTTGCGCTGGGTTCATGGTCTCGCTGGCTCAGGAGTGAAACTGCAGACCTTCATGGTGGGTGTTACAGCTCTTAAGACAGTGCCTGTGGAACTGTTAGTTTCTCTTGGTGGTTTTGTGGTTTTGCCAGCTTCAACAGCAAAACCTTAAACCTTCACAGTGAATGTCACAGCTCATAAATGCAGTGAAAATCCAAAGTGATTAGCAGCAAAACTTACTGTAAAAACGGGGGGAAAAACCTTCCCATTATTTGGAAGAGAATCAGAGCGGGTTGTTACGGGTGGCTCCAGCAGCCTGCTTTTATTCTTATCTGGCCCCACCCACATCCTGCTGATTGGTCCATTTTACAGAGAGCCGATTGGTCTATTTTACAGAGAGCTGATTGGTCCGTTTTGACAGGGCACTGATTGGTGTGTTTACAATCCCTGAGCTAGACACGAAAGTTCTCCACGTCCCCATTAGATTAGCTACAGAGTGTCGATTGGTGCATTTACAAACCTTGAGCTAGACACAGGGTGCTGACTGGTGCATTCACAAACTCTGAGCTAGACACAGGGTGTTGATTGGTGTGTTTACAAACCTTGAGCTAGATACAGAGTGCTGAGTGGTGTATTTACAATCCCTTAGCTAGACATAAAGGTTCTCCAAGTCCCCACCAGACTCAGGAACCCAGCTGGCCTCACCCAGTGGGTCTCGCACGGGGGCCACAGGTGGAGCTGCCCGCCAGTCCCGCGGCCTGCCCCCGCACTTCTCAGCCCTTGGGCGATGGATGGGACCGGGCGCCGTGGAGCAGGGGGCCGTGCTCCTCAAGGAGGCTCAGGCGGCGCAGGAGCCCACGGCGGCGGGGCGGGGCAGACTCAGGCATGGCGGGCTGGAAGTCCTGAGCCCTGCCCCGTGGGGAGGCAGCTAAGGCCCGGCCAGAAATCGAGCGCAGCACCCGTGGGCCAGCACTGCTGGGGGACCCGGCGCACCCTCGGTAGCTGCTGGCCTGGGTGCTAAGCCCCTCACTGCCCGGGGCCGGCAGGGCCGGCCAGCCGCTCTGAGTGCGGGGCCCGCCAGGCCCACGCCCACCTGGAACTCTAGCTGGCCCGCAAGCGTGGCGCGCAGCCTCGGTTCCCGCCCGTGCCTCTCCCTCCACACCTCCCCGCAGGCTGAGGGAGCCGGCTCCGGCCTCAGCCATCCCAGGAAGGGGCTCCCACAGTGCAGCGGCGGGCTGAAGGGCTCCTCAAGCACAGCCAGAGTGGGCGACGAGGCCGAGGAGGCGCCAAGAGTGAGCCAGGGCTGCCAGCATGCTGTCACCTCTCACCAGGAGGCGGAGATGGCAGTGAGCCAAGACTGTGCCGTTGCACTCCAGCCTGGGCAACAAGAGTGAAACTCCATCTCAAAAATAATAATAAATAATTAATGGCACAGAAAGATGGCCACTATATATTATTAACTGAAGACGAAGATTTTGACAATGTGTAGCATGTGACTCCTTTCTGTTAAGTTTCTACACACACATGCAAACAGACTCACATGTATGAAAATATATGCTCACACATTGACAGTGGCCATCTGTGTAGGCTGGGACTAGGACAGATTTTGATTTTTTTTCTTTTCGCTTATCTGTATTTTTTAGATGTTCTACAATGAACATGTGATATAATAGGTGCAAAGAATAAAGTTGTCAATGGCTTAAAAAGCCATGTACTTTTTGTTTTAGGCAAAACTACAAAGATGAGCATCTAATCAAACAACACATCCCCAGGTCACTCTGTATGCAGCATGCCCTCAGGCATGCATCCCAACAGAGGCAGATCCCAGGCTCATGGGGACACCAGGTTTTCCTCGGTGAGGAAGTCAGGCACTGCAGCCTCCAAGCCTCAGGCTCCTCAACTGTTAAAAAGGGATCAGTCTGACTGCTCCCACAATTTAAGGCATGCAGGCAGTGTCTGGCACGTAGTATGTGCTCAACAAAGGTTGCTTCTTTCTCCATAAGCAGCTTTTAGCGTCACAGCCTGCAGCCAGTCACTGTTCTTGCCAAAGGAAGATTGGCTTTGCCAAAGCTGGGCCTGCCCAAGTGCATCCGCAGCCACTGGTCTCTGATACCGTCCACCTCGGCTTGGAATCTCTGCTGCTCTTGGAATTTTTCTGTGTTCCCTAGAAGGACCGTGACCTCTCATCAACAAAACCTGTGTCCCCTATCCCCAGAATGGGTTCCATCTGCGTAAAGGAAGTGAGGGCTTTACATCTTCCTGGGGCTGCTCACTTTTATTTATTTATTTAATCTATTTTTTTTTTAAATTTTTTTGGACAGAGTTTTGCTCTGTCTCCCAGGCTAGAGTGCAATAGCGTGATCTCAGCTCACTGCAAGCTCCACCTCCGGGGTTCTCCTGCCTCAGCCTCCCGAGTAGCTGGGACTACAGGCGCCCACCACCACACCTGGCTAATTTTTTGTATTTTTAGTAGACACGGGGTTTCACCGTGTTAGCCAGGATGGTCTCAAACTCCTGACCTTGTGATCCGCCCGCCTCAGCCTCCCAAAGTGCTGGGATTACAGGCATGAGCCACCGTGCCCGGCTGGGGCTGCTCACTTTTAATAAGAACAATAGTGGCTGCCACGTATCAGGAGCCCCTACATGTGCCTGGGCTGACATCCTCTATCTCTCAGCCCCAACTCTGCAGGAATGTGATCGTGTTCCCATTTCCCAGATGAGGCTGACAGAGATGAAAGAACTCCTTGAAGGTCACACAGCTGGTCCATGGCAAGTGCCACTCTGCCTTCTTAGCTATCTTGGTTCCATCTTCTACTTCAAAAGACAGACATTCCCCAGTGGATTCTAACTTGCAGCCAGGTTTGAGAAGCATTGTTATGAAAGTAGTGGTTCTCAACATTGACTATACTGTGGAATCACCTACACTGATTTACAAAAACGCTGGTGGGGGCCGGGCGCGGCAGGTCACACCTGTAATCCCAGCACTTTGGGAGGCCGAGGCGGGTGGATCACCTGAGGTCAGGAGTTTGAGACCACCCTGGCCAACATGGTGAAAACCCGCCTCTACTAAAAATATACAAAACTAGCCAAGTGTGGTGGCACGCGCCTGTAATCCCAGCTACTTGGGAGGCTGAGGCAGGAGAATCGTTTGAACCCAGGAGGCGAAGTTTGCAGTGAGCTGAGATCACGCCATTGCATTCCAGTCTAGGCAACAACAGTGAAATTCCGTCTCAAAAAAAAATGCCGGTGGGGGTTGGTGGTTGAAGACTGGGGAGGGTGGGAAGAGGACAGGAAGAAGGGGATGGGGGCGGCTTCTAAAGTTCTAGATAATGTTCTATTTCTTGATCTGGGTGCTAGCTACTTGGGTGTGTTCATTTTGTGAAAATCATTGAGCTGTACATTTATGATTTATGTACTTTTCTACATGGATGCTATTCTATAGTAAAATTTTAAAGAATAAAAGAAGCTGTCATCAGCCACATCACTGCCTCCTGGGAAAAGGCAGTCCCTGGCCTTGACCCATATTTTGAGGATACTTTTCTCAGCATCAAGCAGCTGTTGGCCTCTGAGTCTGTGCCTGTCCCTGCCAATGAGCAGACTAACCCTACTTTCTTGCCGTTGAGGCTTCTTCCTGGGCTAATGCTGGGTTAGCTACAAAAAAAAAAAAAAAAAAAAAAGGCCAGGTGCAGTGGCTCATTCCTGTAATCCCAGCAGCACTTTGGGAGGCCAAGGTGGGTGGATTGCTTGAATCAAAGAGTTTGAGACCAGCCTGGGCAACATGGTGAAACCTCGACTCCACTAAAAATACAAAAAATTAGCCAGGCATGTTGGTGTGCGCCTATGGTCCCAGCTACTGAGGAGGCTGAGGTGGGAAAATTGCTTGAGTCTGGGAGGTAGAGGTTGCAGTGAGCAGAGATTAAGCCACTACACTCTAGTCTGGGCGACAGAGTGAGACTATCCCCCCACTCCCCCAAACAATACCCACCGTTGCTGTGGTTGCAGGTACTTGGACAGCCAAGCACTGTGGTTAAGCTCCACGGCCCCTCCCTCCCACAGTGGGAGTCATATGACACCAGCCTGCCTAAGCCCCAGGACCTAGGGCAGCAGGGGTGTAAATGGCTACAGCCCAGCACCCTGGGCCTGAACTGTGAGTTCCCTGGTTGACCTCTGGCTTGTGTCATAATTTGAGTCACTGGAGTTATGTTCTCTTTTCTTCAGTTACAGGTTCTGATTTTTAGCTAGGCTCATGAATACGTGAAAAGAAGACAACATTTCCAACCCTCCTTTGCAGCTAGACATGGCCATGTGACTCAGTTCTGGCCAAAAGAATGTAAAGAAAACCATCTGTGCAGTTCTGGGAATTGCTGTTAAAAAAAAAAAAGGAGAGTACTCTTCTCCTTCCCATACTCCTTCCTGATACCTGGAATATAGCATGGAAAGGCTGAGCTCCAGCAGCCATATTGTATCATGGGGTAGAAGTCATGTTTGTGGATGGCAGAGCAATAAGACAGGAGCCTTTGCATCATGGAGCACTCTGTTGGCTCTGGATTGATTCCCTCAGGACAGCTAAACATGAGAGAGAAACTGAGCTTTGAACTTGTTTGAGACAATGATATTTGAGGGTTTTCATTCTTCTCAACCCAACTGAATCCTACCTGATACACAGGGCTTCTGACTTGCTCCTTGGGCCTGAGTTCTCACCTTGGTCACTTGCCCAGTGTAAGGATGGGGGCCCGGCCTGCTCCATCCTGCAACTGGAGTTCTGCCCTCACCCCAGCTCAGTGGCTGGTCCCTGCTACCTGCTGGAACCCCATCTATGCTGCCTCCCCACCCAGCAGGATTCTGTTCCTCGGCTGGACCCTTGCCAGGGTGGAGGGCAGGTCTCCCACTCTGCTTGCTTTCCTGGAGTGAGCTCTCTTGCCTGCCTCCCACTCTCTGCTTCCCACTCATCCCTGTGCCCTTGGCTCCTTCGCTGGGCCCACCAGGATGGCTGCTCTGTGGACATCCCAATGCCTCCAGTATCTTCCCCAGTGGAGAGGTCCAGGAGCAGCCCATTCCTGACATACAGAAACAACACCTCCTTCATTCATTGATTCATTTCAACAGATATTTACCAAGCATTTGTTATCAGCATTGAGAACACCACAGGAAATAAGATCAGGTCGAATGGTGGGCCTAGTGCAAGTGCTTACAGGCACAGGCTTTAGAGTGAGAACATCAGGCCCAGCCAGCAAAGACACTGAAACCCATCACAAGGAATTTTCAGGAGTTTCTTTTAAGGATATGCCCATGACCTGGGTGATGTGCGCAGGCCTGGATGAGTCACTATACCTCCCAGTCCTCAGCCACCCCATCTGCACATGGCGAGGCTGAACTGCATGCTCTTGATGACTCTGTGCAGGTCTGACCTCCTGTGAAGGAAGGAAAGGGCCCAGGGGCCCCTAGGCCTGGTTTTGCCATGCATGGGCTGCTGATGGATTTAGGGCCTTAAAACAACCACTTGATTATTAATTTCTTTAGAGACAGGGTCTCACTCTGTTGCCCAGGCTGGAGTGCAGTGGTGTGACCATAGGTCACTGCAGCCTCAAACTCCTGGCCTCAAGCAAGCCTCCCGCTCAGGCCTCCCAAAGCGCTGGGATGACAGGTATGAGCCACCACACCCAGCCTTCACTTTTTAATTATTTATTATGATTTTGTCGGTTGGCTGGGCCAGCCAATTCTTCTGCTGGTGACAGTTCCTTCAGCCCCTCTGACCTCTGGCCTAACATGGAAGTGGGGATAATCCCACGTACCCAGAATCTTCCCAGAATTGATGAGATAAGACTCCAGGTAATGGAATAGTTAACAAGGAGGAGTTTCTCTTTAGAAGTAATCCAGCTAATAAATGAAGACAGGATGATAGAATATTACCATTTCTGTGCCAGGCGCAGTGGCTCACACCTGTAATCCCAGGACTTTAGGAGGCCAAGGCAGGCAGATCACTTGAGGTCAGGAGTTCGAGAGCAGACTGGCCTACATGGCAAAACCCCAACTCTACTAAAAATACAAAAAAATATATCTGGGCTTGGTGGCGAACACCTAGAATCCCAGCTACTGGGGAGGCTGAGGCAGAAGAATCACTTGAACCCAGGAGGCGGAGGTTGCAGTGAGCCGAGGTCGCGCCATTGCGCTCCAGCCTGGGCAACAAGAGCGAGACTCCGTCTGAAAAAAATAAGCAAATAAAAAAGAATAAAGGGAAAAAGAGAAAGATTAAAGAGGAATCCATGGATTAAAAGAGATTTAAGAGACATCAACTAATCATATTGTGTGCATCTTGTTTGGATCTTGATTTAATAAAAATGTTAGAAAATGCTTTTTGACATAAAATAGTTGGAAATTTGAACACTTACTGAATATATAAAGATATTAAAGAATAATTGTTTTAAGAAAGACAGAGAGAGATAATGTGTAACCAACCCTTAATAAAGAAAAACCAAGCAGCCTATCTATTATTAGAGAAGTCTACAGGGTATGCTGGGAGTCCTAACCCCGGCTCGGCCATCAGTGTGCTGTGTATGTGGCCTTGGCTGAGTCCCTTTCCCTGCCCAGACCTTGATTTTCCCATTTATGAAATGAAGGAAGGGACCCAAGGGGCCTGTTTAACTCTGGCCTGCTTTTGCTTTGTCTTGTCACGGGCAGCCATGGATCCTTTAATTCGGGGCTTGTATCAACACCACCATGCGTCCACAAGAGTATAAAATGGGCAGAAGAGTGCTTGATGGGCACAAGCCCAGAGCTGTTGGTTTCTGCAGAACCCAGAACAGGAAGGGTCACCTCCCTGAGGCATCTGGAGTGGAGAACCAACTGCATAATCCCAGGTAGGCTGAGTCAAAGCCAAGGGGAAGGAGAGAAACTGCTGGAGGACTTCCTCCCACAAAGCATGGGCACGTGTTATCTACTCACCAGGATGCTTCGACCTTGTTCTGATGCATGGGGACTTCTGGTGAGTTCCCTGGGCCTCCATCCTGGTCTGGTCACCTTCTCAGGACTCCAGTTGAGTTGGGCTGTGTTTGACAAACCCTTTTAAGTGAGTGCAAATAAACAATGTCACTGGATTCCTGCATCACTGACCCCTCAGTTCCATGTTGCTGGCCTCTGCCCACCTGCCCTTCAGACACTGTCATCATGAAAGTATCATCCTTAGCATGGAAACTCACACACTGTAAATGCTCCATGTAAAGTGGTGAAGGGGTGGAGAGGGGAACCTCCCTCATGGACCATCACAGATGCTAAACATTCTCTTGAAGCCTGACAAGCTTTCTCCAGAAAGCTGAACTACAATACCAACCATCTGCTACCAACACCAACGAGTGTAACACATGAACTAAATAATCGAGAAGGACACTTCCGTTTAAGTGGGTACTACAGAGCAGTAGCGAGGCCCACGTGTTAGTGTCAAATCTGGATGCAAATCCTTGCACTGCCTCCTACCAGCTCTATGACTTTGGGTGTTTCTTAACCTTTCTGCAGCTTATTTAGTAACAATGCTGTGAAGATGAGATGATTCCCTTCATACAGTGTTTGGCATCATGCCTCACCCACTGGGAGGGTTCAATGTGTGTCCACAATTATTTTTTTTGAGACTGGGTGTCACTCTCACACCCAGGCTGTGGTGCCATCATAGCTCACGGCAGCCTTGAACTCCCAGGCTCAAGGGATCCTCCTCCCTCAAGCTCCTGAGTAGCTGGGACTACAGGCACGCACCACCATGCCCGGCTAATTTTTGTAATTTTTTTTGTAGAGAAGGGGTCTTGCCATGTTGCCCAGGCTGGTCTTGAACTCCTGGGCTCAAGTGATCCGCCCACCTTGGCCTCCCAAAGTGTTGGGATTACAGGCGTAAGCCACCACACCAGATTCTTTAGGCGTTTCTTAAACCTCTCTGCAGTTAATTTAGTAAGAGTGTTGTCAGCCAGGCACGGTGGCTCATGCCTGTAATCCCAGCACTTTGGGAGGCTGAGGCAGGCAGATCACTTGAGGTCAGGAGTTTGAAACTAGCCTGGCCAACATGGTGAAACCCCATCGCTACTAAAAATGGAAAAATTAGCCGGGCGTGTTGGCACTCGCCTGTAATCCCAGCTACTCAGGAGGCTGAGACAGGAGAACTGCTCGAACCTGGGAGGCAGAGGTTGCAGTGAGCTGAGATAGTGCCAACTGCGCTATAGTCTGGGCGACCTCCCTGTGCTCCTGGTGTTGGGGGACCAACAAGATGGAATCAGGAGCCAGAAACCGAGTCCCAAGTCTCAGCTCTAACTGAGTATTATGGGGGTATTAACGCCCACCTCCCAGGATAGGGAGCACAGAGCAGGGAATTCTTAGTATTGAAACCCTGAAACGCCGACTTCCTGTACATGAGTCGCTGCTGTCCTCTAGTGGCCACTGGATAAATTGCACAGCACGCTGGCCTGAAGAAGGGGAAGTGGGAGATGCTTTTCCCCACTTCTGAATCTACCTGATGCTGGGGTTCTCAACCATGCTCCACTCATGACTTCCTTCTGAATCTACCTGATGCTGGGGTTCTCAACCATGCTCCATTCATGACTTCCTTTTCATAAAATGTATTTTGTATAATTACAGTAATTTTTAAACATTTTAGGCAGATTTACTGAGGTACTGACATATAATAAACTGTGCATATACCGAGATTACAATTTGGTATCTGACCCTTGGTATACAGCTCAAATCATCACATTCAAGATAGTGAAGATATCCATCCTCTCAAAAAGTTTCCTCATTACCCCCGGTGATCCTGCTTTCTGCCCTTTCTACTTCCCCATCACCCCCAAACAACTACTGATCTGCTTTCTTTTTCTTTTTTCCTTTTTTTTTTGAGACGGAGTCTCGCTCTGTCACCCAGGCCGGAGTGCAGTGGCGCGATCTTGGCTCACTGCAAACTCTGCCTCCCAGGTTCAAACAATTCTCCTGCCTCAGCCTCCCAAATAGCTGGGACTACAGGTGCCCGACACCATGCCTGGCTAATTTTTGTATTTTTAGTAGAGACTGGGTTTCACCACTTTGGCCAGGCTGGTCTCGAATTCCTGACCTCATGTGATCCGCCTCCCAAAGCACTGGGATTACAGGTGTGAGCCACCATGCCTGACCCTGATCTGCTTTCTGTCATCATAGGTTAGTTTATATTTTCTAGTGCTTTCTAGACATGGAATCATACAGTGTGTACTTTTTTTTGTCAGGCTTCTTTCACTCACCATAATTATTTTGAGATTTATCCATGTTGTTTTGTGTGCCAACAGTTCATTACTTTTTAAATTTTTAATTATAGTTTTTGTGGGTACATTGTAAGCGTATGTATTTCTGGGATACCTGAGATGTTTTGATACAGGAATGCAGTGCATAATAATCACATCATGGAAAATGGGGTTTCCAGACCCTCAAGCATTTATCCTTTGTGTTACAAACAATCCAATTATATACTCTTATTTTTATTTTCATTTATTTATTTATTTTTGAGATGGAGTTTCACTCTTGTTGCCCAGGCTGGAGTGCAGTGGTGCTATCTTGGCTCACTGCAACCTCTGCCTCCTGGGTTCAAGCATTTCTTCTGCCTCGGCCTCCCAAATAGCTGAGATTACAGGCACGTGCCACTAGGCCCAGCTAATTTTGTATTTTTAGTAGAGACAGGGTTTCACCATGTTGGTCAGACTAGTCTCGAATTCCTGACATCAGGTGATCCACCTGCCTCTGTCTCCCAAAGTGCTGGCATTACAGGCGTAAGCCAGCATGCCCAGCCATTAGTTATTTTTAAATATATAATTAAATTATTATTGATTATAGCCACCCTATTGTGCTCTCAAATACTAGGACTTACTCAATCAGGTTTTTTTTTTTTTTTTGGTACCCATTAACCATCCCCACCTCCCCTCATTACTTTTTATTGCTGAGTTCTATTCCACTGTATGAATGTACCACAATTTGTTATTAATTCAGAATGATAGTAATTTAAAAAATCAATATAATGCCCTAACTAGAATATACAACAGAACCTAACTCAAAGGCGAGTTCTGTATAAAGGCTCAGGGAAGCTGGGTGTGATGGCTCACACTTGTAATCCCAGTGCCGAGGCAGGTGGATCACTTGAGTCCAGGAGTTCGAGACTAGCCTGGGCAACAGAGCCCCTCCCTCCTCAACCTCTACAAAAATTTTAAAAAATTAGCCAGGCTTGGTGGTGCAGGTCGGTAGTCCCAGCTACTCAGGAGGCTGAGATAGGTAGATCACTTAAGGCTAGGGATTTGAGGCTTCAGTGAGCCGTGATCGTGCTACCGCACTCCAGCCTGGGCAATAGAGTGAGATTCCCCCCACCAAAAAAAAAAAAAAAAAAAACTCAGGCATGACCATCCTGGAACATACAATGAAACAGTCGGGCACATATATAGTATACATGTACTAGCTACAAGTACAGCCAGGCAGAGGTGGGGCAGATGGGCACATCAACTACTAGCACCATTATGCCGGACATCACACAACAGAGAGTCAGGGCTGGCCTTTGAGCCCAGGTTTGTTTGGCTCTGAAGCCCAGTGGCTGGCCATTCCATGCAGGAGGGTACAGTGCTCTGTGTCCCAAAGCATGGGGACTGGTGTTGAGCAGACAAGATGGACACAGGCAGATTTTAGCTGGATGGAAGGATGCGTTTCTCACAGGGCTGACCATTGGAGTAGCAGTTCCTTTTTTTATTCCATGGATGGTGTGTTTGGGCTGGCTCACCCTGGGATTTCTCCGGTCCAGCCATGACCCAGACTCATTCACTAAGGTCCGTATTTGTCTTTCAAAGGTATGTTTGTATTTCACCCACTTTGCGTTTCATGGTGACCCAATCCAGGGGCTTTTCCCTGGCACTTCCCACAGCAGAGACATGCTCCTTCCTTGCCCGCTACCCTCAGGGGCCAGCAGCAGGAGGTGGCACTTCACAGTCTGGCTGGGGGCCTCCCTCAGGGCAAAATATAATTTTATGGAAGAAAGTGTTTAGCAATGCTTTCTTGAGACAGGATCTCGTTCTGTCACCCAGGGTGGGGAGTGCAGTGGTGCAATTGAGAGGTAACAGCATGCTGGCAGTCCTCACAGCCCTCGCTCGCTCTCGGCGCCTCCTCTGCCTGGGATCCTACTTTGGCGGCACTTGAGGAGCCCTTCAGCCTACCGCTGCACCGTAGGAGCCCCTTTCTGGGCTGGCCAAGGCCGGAGCCCACTCTCTCAGCTTGCAAAGAGGTGTGGAGAGAGAGGCGCGAGCGGGAACCGGGGCTGCGTGCCGCGCTTGCGGGCCAGCTGGAGTTCCGGGTAGGCGTAGGCTTGGCAGCCCCGCACTCAGAGCAGCCGGCCGGCCCTGCCGGCACTGGGCAATGAAGGACTTAGCACCCGGGCCAGCGGCTGCGGAAGGCGTACTAGGTTCCCCAGCAGTGCCAGCCCACCGGCGCTGCGCTCAATTTCTCGCCGGGCCTTAGCTGCCTTCCCTCAAGGCAAGCCTCAGGACTGCAGCCCGCCATGCCTGAGCCTTCCCCCGCCTCCGTAAGTTCCTGTGCAGCTGGAGCCTCCCCGAGGAGCGCCGCCCCCTGCTCCACGGCGCCCAGTCCCATCTACCGCCCGAGGGCTGAGCAATGCGAGCGCATGGCGCAGGACTGGCAGGCAGCTCCACCTGCAACCCCGGTGCAGGATCCACTAGGTGAAGCCAGCTAGGCTTCTAAGTCTGGTAAGGACGTGGAGAGTCTTTATGTCTAGCTCAGAGACTGTAAACACACCAATCAGCATCCTGTGTCTAGCTCAGGGTTTATGAGTGCACCAATCGACACTCTGTATCTAGCTGCTCTGGTGGGGCCTTGGAGAACCTTTATGTCTAGCTCAAGGATTGTAAATACACCAATCAGCACTCTGTATCTAGCGCAAGGTTTGTAAACACACCAATCAGCACCCTGTGTCTAGCTCAAGGTTTGTGAGTGCACCAATCGACACTCTGTATCTAGCTGCTCTGGTGAGGCCTTGGAGACCCTGTGTGTCAAAACTGTATCTAACTAATCTGATAAGAACGTGGAGAACCTTTATATCTAGCTCAAGGATTGTAAACACACCAATCAGTGTCCTGTCAAAACAGACCACTCAGCTCTACCAATCAGCAGGACGTGGGTGGGGCCAGATAAGAGAATAAAAGCAGGCTGCCTGAACCAGCAGTGGCAACCTGCATCGCGTCTTGTTCAACACTGTGGAGGCTTTGTTGTTTTGTTGTTTGCAATAGATCTTGCTACTGCTCACTCTTTAGGTCCACACTGCTTTTATGGCTGTAACACTCACTGTGAAGAACTGCAGCTTCGCTCTTGAGCTAGCAAGACCGCGAACCCACCAGAAAGAAGAAACTCCAAACACATCTGAACATCAGAAGGAACAAACTCCAGATGTGCCACCTTAAGAACTATAACACTCACCACAAAGGTCTGTGGCTTCATTCTTGAAGTCAGTGAGACCAAGAACCCACCAATTCCAGACACACAATCATAGCTCACTGCAGCCTTGACCTTCTGTGCTCAAGAGATCCTCCCACCTCAGCCTTCCAGATAGCTGGAACTATAGACATACAGCACTATGCCCCACTAATTTACCTCACTTTATTTTTTGTAGAGACAGTATCTCACTATATTGCCCAGGCTGGTCTTGAACTCCTGTGCTCAAGCAATCCTCTCACTTCAGCCTCCCAAAGTGCTGAGATTATAGGTGTCAGCCACTGTGCCTGGCCCATAGCAATGCTTTTGAGACAAGGTTTTAAAACCTGCTACTATAAGATAATCAGTTATATTTGCCTTCAGGGGTAATTTACCTATTGTGTTGTTATTAAAGGAGTCTGTTGGTGGTAACTCCTTGGCTTCAGAGTGGCCGTCTCCTTGCAAGGAAACTTTGAAGAATTTAGTCAAACATTAGTGTTACAGAGAAGGACCCAAGGTCCATAGGAAGTGGAGTGTAATACACAAGTTCTCCAGTCATTTCCTAACTCCGTTTTTAACATCTCACCCCAATAGTTTCCCCTGGATCCAATTAAATACACATGTCATGCTTTTATTCTTAAGCTTGCTTCTTCCTGATTTCCTTGGAAATGTTTTCCTTCTGCTCCTTATAACTTTTTGGGTTGAAGGCTCAGTTCATTTATTTTATTTATGGGATTTTTGGTTTTTGTTTTTAGTCCCCTTTCCTCTCCTCTGTTGCTCACAGTGCAGACAACTTTGTGCAGTGGAAACAGTGCAGCCTTTGGGGCCTGAAAGTCTTTTGTTTTGACTCTTGGTTCAACTTCCCATGAGCAACTGTTAAGTCTCAGTTTTTTCGTGTGTAAAAGGAAGGCAGTGGTAGCCCTCTGCAGTGTTTTTTGAAGATTAAATGGGATCGTGGTATGTAAGGAACATTGCGCAGTGCCTGATACATGGCAGATGCTCATTGGATACCTGTCTCCTGATCATTTCCCACCCTGCACATGTACAATGCCTACCTACTTAATAAAACAAAACCCCATGGTTTCTTTTTTCTTTTGTGTCATTTATATTAATACTTCTTGCTGTAATGTCACAATGCTTGAGCTGAGAGGTGAGTTGCCAGCAATAAGACGGGGACATAGCATAGAATAGCTATTAACATGGGGGATTCTGGAGTCCGGCTGCTGCTTTCTGTCCCAGGCATCTCCACAGACCACCTGGATTAAGCAAATAGCATCGAAGCCTGAGGATCCTGCTCTCTATTTTGTTTTATTGGAACAAAAGCAGTTAAGACAGGGTTTCACCATGTTGGCCAGGCTGGTCTCTGTGGGATTTTAATTGTAGTCAGAATATTTATCTATATAATTTCTCCTTGGAAAGCTTGAGGTATTTTTTGTAACCCAGTTTATATCAATTTGTGTACTTATTCCTGAAATATCTGAGAAGGTATACCTTCTGTGGAGTAAAGACAAGCCTGATAATAAAGCCAAAAATTCAGTCTTATTAATCATATGATTTGAAATATGTCTAAGCAGTGACGGTCTTTTTTTTTTTTTTTTTTTGGAACAAAGTACACCTGTCAGCTCCACAGACCCACCTTTTGTCATCTCTGGTGTGTTTCTCCAGAATATCTGTCATTCAACTTCCGAGCTCCAATCTTTGTTGTCCCTGGCCATCCTTCTCTGGTTCACTGTTTTTCACACCTTTCTCCTCTGCCTTCTCGAGGAATGTCTCAGGTGTGCAACTACAGCCTTGATCGATTTCATTTTTGTCACTGGATTTCAGTTCCTTGAAAATTCTTTTATCATTGCTGTCAGAATTTCAGCACACTGTATCATTTTTGGTTTTGTCTTATATTTTATTGAGTATTCAAAGCAGACATTTCCTTAAAATTTCCTCTCTGTAGGGTGGGCGCTGTGGCTCACGCCTGTAATCACAACACTTTGAGAGGTCTAGGTGGGCAGATCACAAGGTCAGGAGTTTGAGACCAGCCTGGCCAACATGGTGAAACCCCGTCTCTACTAAAAATACAAAAATTAGCCAGGTGTGATGGCAGGCACCTGTAATCCCAGCTACTCGGGAGGCTGAGGCAGGAGAATTGCTTGAACCCGGAAGGGGGAGGTTGCAGTGAGCCAAGATTGCGCCATTGCACTCCAGCTCTGGGCAACAGAGCAAGACTCCATCTCGGGGGGAAAAAAAATCCTCTGTTTTCTACAGCAATTTATTTCCAGAAGTATATTTTCCCAGTCCTGTCCTTAGAGCTGACAAGAGGAGCCCCTGACTGGGCCCTGCAATTTAGAGAACTCTACATACAAAAAAACTAAATTAATTAAGGACTACAAGGCTGGGTGTGGTGGCTCATGTCTGTAATCCCAGCACTTTGGGAGCTCAAGGTGGGCAGTTCACCTGAGGCCAGGAGTTCGAGACCATCCTGGACAACATGACAAAACCCCGTCTCTAGTAAAAATACGAAAATTAGCCGGGCGCGGTGGCACATGCCTGTAATCCCGGCTACTAGAGAGGCTGAGGCATGAGAATCATTTGAACCTGGGAGGCAGAGGTTGCAGTGAGCTGAGATTGCACCACTGCGCTCCAGCCTGGGTGACAGAGCAAGGCTGTCTCAAAAACAAACAAAAACAAAAAAACAAAAAAACAAAAAACATTAAGGCCCACAGGATGCCTCTGCTAGTCTGGATCTGGTGCCTGGCGTTGGTGCAGCACCACCTAACCCCATGCATCCTCTCTTGACTGACAATTTTCAGGCCCCAGAGGGATGCTTCTCTACATCTTATCCTCTGTCCATGGGAAAAATTATAACTAAATCTAAAGGTTGAATGGGGCCTCTGGTAGGCACTATTTTGATGTACAGAGAAGCTGTGGGCAGAAAAGGACTTAGATAAGAGAAAGACAAGTTAACATATCATGGTTCCAGAGGTCCTCATGAGTTAGCACAGTATTTGTCTCAGTTGCATAGAAGCTGAGGAAAAGTTTGCAATATTAACCCTTTTCCCGTTTAGGAAAAAAGGGGCAGCTCACTGCCAGTGCTCATTTAATTTTACAGAAACATGCTCTTTGAGGCTGAAGCAAATATCACGGATTTCCTTCCTTCCCCGCCTCCCTCCTCCCTCCCCTTCCCTTCCTTTCCTTCCTTTTACAGAAACATGCTCTTTGATGCTGAAGCAAATCTGACTTCTTCCTTCCTTCCTTCCTCCCTCACTCCCTCTCTCTCTTTCTTTCTTTCGACAGAGTCTTGCTCTGTCACCCAGGCTGGAGTGCAGTGGTGTGATCTCAGCTCACCACAACCACTGCCTCCTAGGTTCAAGAAATTCTCCTGCCTCAGCCTCCCGAGTAGCTGGGATTACAGGTGCCTGCCACCACAGCTGGCTAATTTTTCTATTTTTTAGTAGAGTCGGGGTTTCACCATGTTGGCCAGGCTGGTCTGGAACTCCTGACCTCAGGTGATCCATCTGCCTCTGCCTCCCAAAGTGCTGGGATTGCAGGCATGAGCCACCATGCCTGGCCACAAATCTGAATGATTTTCAGTTTGAAAATAAAATATAAAAACTGTTCTTGGAATTATTTATAAACAGAACTAACATCAGAATCATCTGAATCATCAGAATAGTCTATTCTGGAAAAATCAGATTCATCAAATGAATCTTTGGCCAACAACTGTTGGAGAATGATGTTAGTATCATGTGTAGGAATGCTATGTTTTCTAGGATTTGATATTTTCAGCCATGGACAATTACTGTATTTTGTAAATGGAAATCCCGCTACTAAAAACACAATGCTATAAATAGAATGATGCCTTTTGTTTCCAAAGTGGATATACTAGAGTGATGCGAAAATAATAATAAAGTGAGATATTTCATGGCAAAGTTATCTTCGGGAAGATGCTGCAGCTGCAGGTGCCACCGGTGAGTCTTCTCTGGGCAAACGAGAAAAGGATGAAGTAAATCACATTACACATTATTCTTAAATTTGTATCTGTGTCTAGCCCTCAGACAAACTGTGATGCTTACTAATTTTTTTTTTTTTTTTTTTTGAGATGGAGTCTTGCTCTGTCGCCCAGGCTAGAGTGCAGTGGCGCGATCTCAGCTCACTGCAAGCTCCACCTGCCGGGTTCAAGTGATTCTCCTGCCTCAGCCTCCCAAGTAGCTGGTACTACAGGCGCCCACCACCATGCCTGGCTTTTTGTTTTGTTTTGTTTGTATTTTTAGTAGAGACGGGGTTTCACCATGTTAGCCAGGATGGGCTCGATCTCCTGACCTCGTGATCTGCCCGCCTTGGCCTCCCAAAGTGCTGGGATTACAGGCGCAAGCCACTGCACCCGGCCACCTTTTCTTTACATTGGCAATGAGGTGGTCATTGAATGCTAGAATTATGAATTTTAATTTAATGTAATTTAATTAAGTTTTCAAAAATCAAAATAAAATGGATTTCAATCATTTTGATTTACAAATTTGATTAATTCTAATTTGTATGTTGCCTTTTGGTTTAATAGGTACTTTTCTTTCTTTTTTTTTTTGAGATGGAGTCTCGCTCTGTCGCTCAGGCTGGAGTGCAGTGGCACGACCTCGGCTCACTGAAGCCTCTGCCTCCCGGGTTCAAGCAATTCTTCTGCCTCAGCCTCCCAAGTAGCTGGGACTACAGGTGCGCCACCACACCTGGCTAATATTTTTTGTATTTTTAGTAGAGATGGGGGTTTCACCATATTGGCCAGGCTGGTCTCAAACTCCTGACCTCATGATCTGCCTGCCTCAGCCTCCCAAAGTGCTGGGATTATAGGCGTGAGCTACTGGGCCCAGCAATAGATACTTTTCAATATTTGAAAAGAATATTGTTTGGGAAAACATTTCTGACAAAATTAAATTTTTTACATAAACTTATTTTGATGAAAATGTTAAGATACTTGTACTGTGAATATGACTGTTTTAATCCTTACATGTATTTTTTTTTTTTTTTTTTGAGATGGAGTCTCACTCTGTTGCCCAGGCTGGAGTGCAGTGGCGCCATCTTGGCTCACTGCAAGCTCCGCCTCTCAGGTTCACGTCATTCTCCTGCCTCAGCCTCCGGAGTAGTTGGGACTACAGGCACCCGCCACCACGCCCAGCTAATTTTTGTATTTTTAGTAGAGACGGGGTTTCACCTTGTTAGCCAGGATGGTCTGGATCACCTGACCTCGTGATCCGCCTGCCGTGGCCTCCCAAAATACTGGGATTATAGGCATGAGCCACCGCGCCCAGCCTTCTTACATGTATTTTTAAATCTTGACAATAATAATTGATTTTGCTGAAAGGAATAAAAATAAATTTCATGGAATAGTTTCAGTAATTTATAAATTACACATATCTTTATTTTATTACGCATCTCAATATTAAGAATTGCTTGAACCCGGGAGGCAGGGGCTGTAGTGAACCGAGATCGCGTCACTGCACTCCAGCCTGGGCAACAGAGTGAGACTCCGTCTCCAAAAAAAAAAAAAAAAAAAAGCAAAAAAATTTTATGATCTTTGATATTTTGCTAACTTTCTGTCATGTACAAATCATAGCTTCATACACATTTTTAAATTTTATCATTTTAAAGGAATATTTGTCAGGGGATGAGGTTAGAACATACTTTATTTAACACCCTGTTAGTTTAATTTATAATTTGGAAATATTTAGACAGATGGCCTGTGGCGTCCATCTGTCCTCTTGCCCCAAACTGCACGTCCAGACTTGACTCATGGGCCCCAGCTTGGGTTTTTGATAGGAATCTTCCCAGGGCTCATGTTTGTAATAGCTGGGGGGGCCAGGGGTGGAGGGTCCCTCTGGTCCCCCTTTGAATGCTGCAGACACCATCTTCTCTCAGATTTTAAGCTGCAGAGACCAAATTTCCAGCATGTGGTCCTGGGCTATGGAAACCTCTCCTCCTGCCCAGGACTCTCACTCTACAGAGATGAGTTCATTCAGGTCCCTGAAGCCCCTGTAGAGTTCTGGCCATAAATGGTTCCTCATAAAGTGGTGCCCCCAGGATGTTCAGCCTCCCCGCCCCCGCCCCTGCAGACCTCCTATCCCAGGGTGCCATATGCTGCTGCCCTGCTGGGAGGAGAAGCCCGGGGGGCATGGGGCAGCACTGCCTGCTTAGAAGCCCCTTGTAAACTTTCTTTCTGCCAGATCCTGCCGCCCTGTTTCAGAGGGTAGAGTGGGCCAGCAGTAACAAAATGTTTCCTCCCTTGCCCCTTTCTGGTAGAAATTTCTCCCAGACTTCCTTGGTGACTAATGGTGTTGGGATGTTGTGGCCTTCACAGGGAGGGGACAGGTTGTCAGCTCACAGTTTCACAGATGGTTGACCGATGCTGACAGTAGCTGGCAGGTTTCTTTTGGCTGCAAGTGACAGAAACCCAACTCAAACTTGTTCGCAAGTAGGGACATTTACTGCTTCTCAGAATTGAAGGAAGGGGAAGGGTGTGTTTGGGTCCCAGAAAGGGTGGACCGTGGGACTGGAATCCGGTCCAGACTCCACTCCCTCTTCACAGAAGCTTAGCACCTCAGATGGGCTGTGTCCTCTGGCCCTGCACACATGGGCTTCCTGTTGGAAGCTGAGCAGCTCCACCAGCTTCCCCTTATAAATGTAGTGACTGGCGCAGAAGCGTTCCTATGACTATGGGGGGTGACAGGGGACCGGGCACTGGCACTGGCAGCCCCCGCCTAAAACCCCATGAGAGAAGGAGTTACCCCAAAGGTGGTGCTGTTCCCAGAAAGGAAGGGAACAGCCCGTGCTCTCCACCCTGTCCCACCCAGCCATTTTCCTCACAGACGTCACCTGTGCTTCCAGGCCCAGCTGCTATTTCTGCCTGATGCTTAACTAATTTGCATGGTTAAAACCAGCATATTTCCAGGAGATGGATAATGTCACAGAACTGGGGTTCCAGAAGGCTGGGGTGGTCCAGCACTCCTGCCTTCTTTAGAACATGGAGAGCTGTTAGTTGGGCAGGGCTGAAGCGTAGGTGGCGAGGAACAGGAGGCTCCTACTGCAGATGGCCTTGTTCTTCGGATCCTCCCAGAAATCCCCAGGCCAGCTGGAACCTGGGGTCAGAGAGGGATGGGAGAGAGGTAGGCTGTGAAAGGGGGTGGGAACACACCTTCTGGAACCACTGTCTTCCTTGAGGGGACCCCAAGAGGGGGCTTGATGGGCAGGGATGGAGCTTCCTCCTTCCCGAGGCTCAGTGACACTTATCTCTGAGGGACCCTCCTGAGACAGTGTGGGGTAGTTTGTTGTTTGTCCGAAATTCTAATTTAACAGGATCTTGTAAATTTTATTTGCTAAATCTGTCAGCTCTGGGGGTAGGAGGATGAGAGGAGCAAAACAATGGTCCCAAGCTCAGGCTGGTATGGAGTGAGTCTTAGACAGAAAAAGAGACCAGAGAGGAAACAAGCCCACTGGGGTAGCCATCTTGTCCAACCGGAAGCCGCCTGACACTTGAAGGCGATGGATGGAAGAACTCAGCCCTCTGCCTCCTCAGCAACATGAACCTAGTTTAAGGGGAAAGACACACCTTCTCTCAGTGACAGAAATAGCCCCAGATTTTCAGATTTATCAAAAGTATTATTTTTTTCAGGCCAGGTACAGTGGCTCATGCCTGTAATCCCAGCACTTTGGGAGGCCAAGGTGGGTGAGATCAGGAGTTTGAGACCAGTCTGGCCAACATGGTGAAATCCCATCTCTACTAAAAGTACAAAAATTAGCCAGGTGTGGTGGACGGTGCCTGCAATCCCAGCTACTCGGGAAGCTGAGGCAGGAGAATTGCTTGAGCTCAGGAGGTGGAGGTTTCAGTGAGGTGAGATTGTGCCACTGCACTCCAGCCTGGACAACGGAGTCAGACGAAAGAAAAAGACAGACAGACAGACGGAGACAGAGACACAGAGAGAGAGTGAGAGAGAGAAAAAGAATTTAAATCAGCCAGTTGTAGTGGCATGCACCTGTAGTCCCAGCTATTTGGGAGGTTGAGATGGGAGGATTGCTTGGGCCCAGGAGTTTGAGGCTGCAGTGAGCTATGATTGCATCACTGCACTCCAGCCTGGGCAACAGAGTGAAACCCTATCTCTAAAAAATGAATGAATGAATGAAATTTTCACCAGAAGAGTTCTGCTTATATTTACTTTTTAAAATATTTTAGAGACACAGTATCACTGTGTTGCCCAGGCTGGTCTCTAAGTCCTGACCTCAAGCAATCCTCCTGCCTCAGCCTCTTAAGTAGCTAGGTACAAGCCACCATGCCTAGCTATATTTACCTTTTTTTTTTTGAGATGGAGTCTCTCTCGCCCAGGCTGGAGTGCAGTGGCGCAATCTTGGCTCACTGCAACCTCCGCCTCCCGGGTTCCAGCAATTCTTCTGCCTCAGCCTCCTGAGTAGCTTGGATTATAGGCACACACCACCACGCCTGGCTAATTTTTGTATTTTAGTAGAGATGGAGTTTCACCATGTTGGCCAGGCTGGTCTCCAACTCCTGACCTCAAGTGATCCGCCTGCCTCAGCCCCTCCAAAGTGCTGAGACTACAGGTGTGAGCCACCACACCCGGCCATATATTTACTTTTATGTGAATTTAAAACATGTAGGTGTGACCAACTCTTCTGCCAGCTCTTACATAAGGAGACTTTATCATCATCATCATGTTCATCATCACTCACAAACTGCTTATTTGGAACTCCCCTCAGTTCTCAGAGTGGGAACATTCTTTAAGCGGCCTTGTAGAAACCCTATTCCATGCTAACATGCCAACCAATTTTACTTTCCCAGAACCACAGAATGATATTTCATTGTATGCCTCGACTCAATCACCTTTCCTTTTTCAAGGACCATTTCAATGCCTGATTGGCTACTTGATCTGACTGCTTCCTGCTAATCTTGCTGCCTATTCTTGTCTATATTCCATTCCTCATCGAATTAACCTTGATCGAATCTGAGAACTCTGCTTAGTAATGACTCCGGGTATTCTATACCCACTTCTGTAGCTTGTTCAACACCCTCTTCAATCCTGGTCCCACTTCCTGTGACTGAAATGATTACCTGTAATATATTATTTAACTTTTGGACTATGATCTGTTTCTAACCTGTGACCATTTCACATAGCCACTCAAATATTGTAAAGGTACGGTAAAGATGATGAAACAGTTAGTTGGCATCATTTTGTACGTAATGAGTTTGTAGTGCGCTTTGGACATTGAGACCACTTCATAAGCTTTAGGTTTTGAGAATTTCACAGAATAAAGCTCATCGCTGATGCAGTAATGAAGGAAATGTTCTACAAGTCAATAGATAGGTGAAAGGAGAGGGCATTCATATTAGATTTACTTACTGAACTCAGAGCCTTGGGTTACCACCTGACCACCACTGCCATCTAGTTTAAGTGTCCTTTTCTTTTTCTTTCAAATCTCTGGCAGGTTGTGATATTTATGGGTCTATCTCTTGTGACTTTAGGTTCGTCTTGGCACCAGACATAAGGCAGTTCCACAACAAGCTCTTGCCCTAAACAGCTCCTGATGCCAAGAACTGCCGAATTACTACTTTGATTTCAGTAGATGTCAAAAAGGATCATCAGGGTAAACTTTGTAGATTTCTTTCAATAACCACACTCTCCTTTCAACATTGAAATTCTAGACCGTAGACAGAAGTATTGAAATGGGTTATAGGGAGGAGATGTGAGAGGCCTCCTGCCATTGATAAGTGGACATGTCTGAATTGGCCTGCTACCTAAATTAATAATCTCAATCACTTGGATGGTGGTATCCATAATTTTCTCCACTGTTTGTGTGGCATATAATAAAAAACGGTTGTATCTAGCAATTCCTTTGCAAATCTTACTTGATTTTGAAGCCATAGAATGCCTCAACTCTTAGCTTGAATGACTGGAGTTTAGTTTTTATTTCTCAGAACAAAACAGTTTGAAGCCTAATTAATATCCTTGGAAGGAACTCACACTAAAAATTCTAACAGCTTCAGGAGTTTTCTGAAGGAAATTTCTTCAAGGATTTTCCCTTGAAGAAAGGGAAAATGAAGAGACATGGTGCCACTTCCGAAGCAAAGCCTGAAGTTCTGTGCTTTAGAGGTGGTGCTGCCATCCTATGATTGCAGGAGTCTGGCATTGGCTTGGTGGAGGAACCTGTGGGTAAGGCGGAGGAAGGTCTGTTTTCAATGGGGGTAGAGTAGAGTAAGGAGTTGAAGTGGGAATGATCTCTTTTTTCTTAATTTCTAAAACTCATCTTTTCAGACACATATTAAGTCCTTCCCTCTCTGAGCTACTGAAGTCCTAGGCAGAGTTTTTGTGTCTTACAATATAGGTTTTCACCTTAGGCAATACCTGACAAAACCTTTAAATTTAAAATTGTAAAGTCAATTTCCTGCCAGGAAGCTTAGGAGGAAGAACGAAGTAATGTTTTTCCAGTTTTGGGTTAAGAACTTGTTTTGTACTAAAATAGTCCTTCACATACGTATCTCTTGTAGCCTTCAGTTATCCCAGCAAATCATCTAGATTTATTTATTTATCTTTTTATTATTATTATTTTTTTAGAGACAGGGTCTCACTCTGTTGCCCAGGCTAGAGTGCAGTAGCATGATCATAGCTCACTGTAACCTCGAACTCCTGGGCTCAAGGGATTCTCTTACCTCAGCCTCCTGAGTAGCCAGGACTATAGGCATGCACCACCACATGTGGCTAATTATTTTTTCTAGAGATGGGGGATCTCGCTGTGTTGTCCTGCCTGGTCTCAAGCTCCTGGCCTCAAGTGATCCTCTTGCCTCAGGATCTCAAGATGCTGGGGTTATAGGCATGAGCCACCCACCATGCCAGGTCATCATCTAAAGATTTACAAAAACTTTTGTGTTAACATTCAGTCCTTTTTTTTTTTGAGATGGAGTCTCGCTCTGTCACCCAGGCTGGAGTGCACTGGTGTGATCTCGGCTCACTGCAACCTCCACCTCCCAGGTTCAAGCAATTCTGCTGCCTCCTGCCCACCACCACACCCAGCTAATTTTTTTTTTTTTTTTTTGTATTTTTAATAGAGACAGGGTTTCACCATGTTGCCGAGGCTGGTCTCAAACTCCTGACCTCAGGTGATCTAAATGATCTGCCCATCTTGGTCTCCCAAAGTACTGGGATTACAGGTGTGAGCCACTGCGCCTGGTCTCTTTTTTTTTTTTTTTTTTTTTTAAGAATAGTCTCACTCTGTCGCCCAGGCTAGAGTGCAGTGGTATGATCTCGGCTCACTGGAACCTCCACCTCCCAGTTCAAGCTATTCTTGTGCCTCAGACTCCCAAGTAGCTGGGATTACAGACACATGCCACCACACTTCTCTAATTTTTGTATTTTTAGTAAAGATGAGGTTTTACCATGTTGGCCTGGCTGTTCTTGAACTCCCGGCCTCCACCCACCTTGGCCTTCCAAAGTGCTGGGATTACAGGCATGGGCCACCATGTCCAGCCAACCAAACCTTTTTCGGTGAGTGATTTCAGCCCTTGATGCATAGGAGGGTAGGGTCTGTAGGAGTGTAGCCTTAACTGATGAATTTGAAATCTCTGGGTGATGTGAGCATGTGCCAGGTTCTTGGCTTGTATCTCCCTTCTAGTACTTCCGGAACTTCCCAACTAGATGGAGGCAGTAAAAATGGGCCCTGCCAGGATGTACCTATAACAGAGCCATTCAACCATACCCTTGTGCTGTCTACCCTTAATCATGAAGATTATGAGCTAAGAATCATGGATGCATTTTTATTTTTTAAACGTGTAGCAATTATCACTCAGATAGGTATCTTAAATCCATTTGTTTTGGTTGGATTTAAGACCGTTATTGTTCCTTATGAAAGGGAAGACAGCCCAGAAGCTTGCTATTCAGAAGGTTTTGTCAGATGCATTCCAGAAACTGTTGATTGTGGTTCTAGGTAAAACTTTCTTAATTTTAACTTCAGTTTCAATGAGCAAATAAACTCATTTTGAAAAGTTAATTGGATAAAAATATCGATATCTAAAACACTCCATAGTATGCTTTCATTTGCTAAATTCTTTCACAGCAACAGGCTCAAATTTGTTATTTGTGACATTTGTAGAAAAAATGGCAGCAACTATTGTCCCTAGTTTATAGTTGTAAAAGGACTTGCCTCAGTTCACACGGAAAATGTTTGAGGCAGGTCTTCTTTAATTGCATGCCTATCATACAGAATAGTGATTATAAGCTTTGGACACATGGACTTGAGTCCTAACTCTGTCTCTTAGATTTTTTTTTATTCAATTTTAAGTCTTATAGCCAGAGAGATTTGAAGATATTTAATATCTCTAAGCTGCAATCTCTTTATCTGCAAACTGGGGTTAGTAATCCAATCAACCTTATGGGGGATATTGTTTGAGAAAATGAGATGACAAATGTAAAAACTCAGAACTATACTTACAAGGTAAGCGACAAAATATGCTATTATTGTTGTTTTCTCTCTGAATAAACTCTCTGCCGAAGAGTTTACTAGATTATGTTTCCCGAATCGAGAATTCAGTTCCAGCTTTCATTTCTGGCACTGACATATTGGCCAAATAGGATTCTTATGCAATAATCAGTTGCTTTGCTGTGAGCCTTGGAAGTGGTCATGCTATTGAATGCCATTGCTTGTATTCCCTGTTCAGTTCTACAGTGGTGCAAATGTTATAGGCTGTGCCCAGAGGAAGCCCGATGTTTAGCAAAGAGTCCCTGAACAGAGTTGCTCTTCTGCTTCACAGCCCTGAAGACTTAGAGACAGAGATCCTAATTAAGTTACCACAGACCTTATTTGCTTGTAAGAGGTGGCCCTGATTGCTCTCGGCTTTCCAACCTGGGCCGCCCTTCTAGTGAAAGTCTTACTTCCTTGGTCATCAACTGTCAAGTCTGAGTAACAACCTTTAATAACCAAGCTAAATGTGTGGGTTGTTTACCTCTCCCTAGTATACAAAGGTATCCCTTGCACACACTCAAAACTTCTTAGACCAAAAGCCTTATATCTCTAATTTGCCTTGAAGGAAGTTGTATTGTCTATAGAGTATGCGGGATATTTTCTGCCAATAAAATGTTCAAGTGTTCTCTCTCTCTGAAGCTTTGCTCATTGTATCTGGTGGAATTTTGGTTCTCAGGGAGTAGACACCTAGCCGTGCTTCTAATGTGAAGTGTCTACTAGCCCAGTGGTCTCCATTTTGGATTTGAACTTCGACCCCCCCACCTGATGCCTTACTATTTAATATTGTGATTGAACATTTTTGTTTCCAAATTTTTTATTTCTTATGTTATTATTCCTTAGTTCCTATCTGTAAGATCATAAAGTCCTTTGAACCAAACACAGTTGATATTTCATACATATGTTAAAAACTGAGGTGTGAGACCGGACATGGTGACTCACACCTCAAATCTCAGCACTTTGGGAGGCCAAGACAGAAGGACACTTCAAGTCAGGAGTTCGAGACAGCCTGAAATAACAAAGCAGGACCATGTCTCTAAAAAAGAGAATTAGCCGGGCACAGTGGTGTAGTCCCTGCTACTCTGGAGGCTGAGGCAGGAAGATCACTTGAGCCCAGGAATTCCAGGCTGCAGTGAGCTATGACAGTGCCACTGTACTCCAGCCTGGGTGACAGAGTGAGACCCTGAAAAAGAAGAAAGGGAGGGAGGGGAGGGGAGGGGAAGGGAGGGGAAGGAAGGGGGAAAGGGAAAGGGACAGGGAAGTATGTGATGAGATGAGGAAACTTCCAGGAAAATGCTCTTATTTTCTGCTTTTAGAAACCAAAAGAATGTCTCACTGTGGGGTGCTACCATTATATGCAGGAAGTTTTAGAATGAAAAAGATTCTGAATTGCTCCTTGCTAACTTTATTTCAGAAAGTGGTAAAATAGCTGTGGAGTACAGACCCAGTGAAGAGATTGTAGATGTCAGATGGGAAGAAGAACTACACGGCTTAATTCAAGTATGTGGAGATAAAAACTCAAGGGTAACAGAGCCAGGCGTGGTGGCTCACACCTGTAATGCCAGTGCTTTGGGAGGCCGAGGCCGGCGGATCACCTGAGGTCAGGAGTTCAAGACCAGCCTGACCAACATGGAGAAATGGTGGCGCATGCCTGTAATCCCCGCTACTCGGGAGGCTGAGGCAAGAGAATCACTTGAACTGGGAGGCGAAGGTTGCTGTGAGCCAACATCATGCCATTGCACTGAATCCTGGCCAACAAGAGCGAAACTCCATCTCAAAAAACAAACAAACAGGCCAGATGCCATGGCTCACGCCTGTAATCCCAGCACTTTGGGAGGCCAAGACGGGTGGATCACGAGGTCAGGAGTTCAAGACTAGCCTGGCCAACGTGGTGAAACCCTGTCTCTACTAAAAATAGCTTAGGTGTGCTGTAGGCTATACCACCTAAGTTTGTGTAAGTATACGCTATGATGGCAAGCAACTCATGACTGTATATGAAAGCTCTTAAATAGGGATTAAGTTTCTAAATCTCAAAACAGTCATTATTTACTATATATGGAATTTAAAAAAAAAAAGGGGCAAAAGTTTCATTTCAGTGAGAACTTCATTTGGGGCTAGAGTGTTTTATTTAACTTTTACACCAAAGTTGCAAAGTGTTTTGAAGTTTTTCCCTGTAAAATAATTATTTTAATTCAATTTAAATAAAACCCACCAAGAAAACTTCAAGCTTTAAGAAGTCTAGCTTCCCGTGAAATGTGAGAGGAAGTCAGCACTGATTTCAGAAATCTGATTATAACAATAGATCTATCCCTAAATGAGGCGAATCTTGGAATCCCTTCAATTTTATTTTATTTTATTTTATTTTATTGAGGCAGAGTTTCACTCTTGTTGCCCAGGCTGGAGTGCAATGTCGCGATCTCGGCTCACTGCAACCTCCACCTCCCAGGTTCAAGTGATCCTCCTGCCTCAGCCTCCCGAGCAGCTGGGATTATAGGCATGCGCTACCACACCCGGCTAATTTTGTATTTTTAGTAGAGACAGAGTTTCACCATGTTGGTCAGGCTGTTCTTGAACTTCTGACCTCGGTGATCCGCCTACCTCAGCCTCCCAAAGTTCTGGGATTATGGGTGTGAGCCACTGCACCTGGCCCCCCTTCAATTTTAAAACCATCACTGTGCACGCTATGCCTATGCCAGGCACTGGAAGAAGATGAAGCACCTTCTTGGAGTTTACATGCTGGTAATTGTGCCAGACAGTAATACAATAGGTAAGAATGGCTGTGGGGGAAGTCAGCTGGGTTCTAGTTACAGTCGCATTTCAGGAAATTATTTGACATGCTGACTTTAACAACCTAAGCCTCTTCTCCATGTGTACACCCAGGGTAGATCTCTGAAGGGTGGTGCTGTAACTTCTAGGGTAATGGCTGTGTTAAGTCAAGGCAGGATGACAGTTCAGCCTCCTCCCAGGCTAGTGCAAAGGATTCTTCACTCTCCCAGACTGAATTGCCTACCCCCAATGCCCCTCCTACAGAAAATTTGGAATCCGGGCTTACTCCCTGACAGCCCCTACCTAATAGGGTGGTGAATTATCAAACATGCAACAAAAGATACCGAAAGTTTGGCGAAAATGGCAAATTTTGGAATAAATGACTGTAATGTGCGTCCTCCCTGCCACCCTAACTGGCGCCCATTTTGCAGGTCAGTTGCTGTCCTTGGAAGGAAGTGTATTCTTGGATTTCACCTTGGAGGAGGAAGAGTTCAGGCTGCCAGAACTGGACTAGAGCTTCTGAATATCCTGAGGCGGGGTCCCGTGACTTCCTTGGGAAGCTCTGCCGTGCCCCCACCCCACCCCACCACAACAGGCCCCAGGAGTCCTGGGACCACCCGGGTCTGCGGCCCAAATCCTACCTCGCTAAGGGGAGGAGAGGGGAGGGGGGAAAGGGGAGCTTGGGCGGGATTGTGACATAAGATTGCCATGGAGACATGGAGCAGATCTGGACCCAAGCCTAATAAAGGTGGCATAAAGATGTCATAAAGACTGGGCGGGGCGCACGCTTATCGCGGGTGCGAGCCTCTCCAGGCTGTTAGAATGGCTCCCACTCACTGCACAGCGCCAGCGTGTGTCATGTCCCAGCTGTGTCTCTGGGGCCCAAGGCCCTTCCTCACGTGGCAACTATTGTGGCTACTAGTCCAGGAGGCTCAGCCTCTGGAGTGGGTCAAAGACCCGCTCCAGCTGACCTCTAACCCCCGGGGCCTACTGAGCCCTAGTCTTCCTGCTCCTCCCATCTCCCATGGGAATCTCCCCATGCGTCTACTCCCTCTGCTGACCTGGAGGGCTTTGATTACGTGGCGTCGCGTCGTCTGCTTCCTCCCAGATGTCAGCCCCGCCCCAGGAATCGACTGAAAATTTGGTTCTGTTCCTGGACACGGATTCAGCTGGAGAGCTGCCCCCCGGGGTCCAGAGCAGTTCTCGGCTGCACACCAGGATCTAAATGACAAGCTGACTCCGAAGAAAAGGCACCAGAGGTGGTTCCAATGCTGGACTGGGATCAGAACTAGACCCTAGTTCAGCTTCCTCACCTCAAAAGTAAGGTTCAAACTGCAGACCTAGATCAGGCTGCAGATCATCAGGCAGATGAAATACTTGTTCCACTAGACAGTAAGGTTTCAAAAACCAACCAAATTTATTGTTTCGCCCAAGAAGCTGAAGAGAGATCTAGCTCAGCACTGGAGCCTTGCTGAGCAATTATCCAAACCTCGGTGTCAGAAACAAACTTTGCTGGATGAATATTCAAGTGTGGATATACTGTATCCCAGCAGCCTGCCTCCAGAACTCCGGTGAACTCTGATGAGCCTCTAGGGCTGCCTCCAGAGTCCTCTATGGAGAGTCTAGCTCAAACTCCACCAAATCATGAGGTGACAGTTCAACCTCCGGGTGAGGATCAAGCTCATTATAACTTGCCCAACATTACAATTTAAACCTGCAGATGTGGATGTTACCATAACTTCAGAGCCTACCAATGAGACAGAATCTTCCCAAGCCTAGCAGGAGACCCCAATTCAGCCTCCAGAGGAGGTGGAACCTTCTGCAACCCAACAGGAGGCCCCAACTGTGCCTCCCATTCCTCCTATGGAGGCTTAACTTTCCCCCAGTGAGCAGAAGCAGCCAGCTCAGCCTTCTGAGTCTTCTAGGGAGGTTGAATCTTCTCAGACCCAGCAGGAGAGCCCAGCTCAGCCTCTAGAAGAGATGGAACCTTCTGCAATCCAAGATGAGGCTCCAACTGAGCCTCCAGGTCCTCCTATAGAGCCTGAACTTTCCCCCAGTGAGCAGAAGCAGCCAGCTCAGCCTTCTGAGTCTTCTGGGGAGGTTGAATCTTCTCCAGCCCAGCAGGACAACCCTCCTATTCCCACTGAGCAGGCTGACTTTTCTCTAGCCCAGCCTGATCTCCCTTCCCCACCTCTGTGTTCTCCGGAAAAGACTGAATCTCCAGTCCAGCAAGAGGCCACAGCTCAGACTCCAGATCCCCCTAGGGAGGCAGAACCTTCTCCAGTCCAGCAAGAGTTCCCAGCTGAGCCACCAGAGCCCCCTAAGGAGGCTGAACCATCTGCAACCCAGCAGGAAGCCTCAAGTCATCCTCTGAAGTCCACTGAAGAGGTCAGTCCTCCACCACAGGGGAGATACCAGCTCAGCCATCAGAGCCACCTGAGAAGGTCAAACCATCTCCAGTCCTACAGCAGGCCCCAACTCAGCTTTTAGAGCCACCTAAAGAGGTAGAATCCTCTCCAGTCCAGCAGGCAGTCCCTGCTCAGTCTTCAGAGCCCCCTAGGGTGATAGAACCCTCTCTGACCCAGCAGATGGCCCCATCTTTGCCTCCAGAGTTCCCTCAGTAGGTGGAACCATCTCTAACTCAGCAAGAGGTTCCAGCTCAGATTCCAGAGCCCTCTATGGAGGCAGAACCTTCTCCGACCCAGCAGGAGGCCACAGTTCAGGCTCCAGAGCCCCCTAAGGAGGTAGAATCTTCAAGCCAGCAGATGGTCCCAGCTCAGCTTCCAGAGCCACCTAAGGAGGTTGCAGCTCAACCTCCAGCTCATTATGAGGTGACAGTTCCAACACCAGGTCAGGATCAAGCTCAGCATTGGACATTGCCCAGTGTCACAGTTCAACCTTTGGACCTGGGACTTACCATTACTCCAGAACCCACTAAGGAGGTTGAACATTCTACAGCCCTGAAGAAGGCTATAGTTCCTCCAAAGCACCCTAAGGTGACACTTCCACATCCAGACCAGGTTCAGATTCAGCATTTACACCTGACTCAAGCCACAGTTCAACCTGTGGACCTGGGGCTTACCATCACTCCAGAATCCACTACGGAGGTTGAACTTTCTCCAACCACGCAGGAGACCCCAACTCAGCCTCCTAAGAAAGTTGTACCCCAACTTCCAGTATATCAAGAGGTAACAATTCCAACACCAGGTCAGGATCAAGCTCAGCATCAAATATCACCCAGTGTCATAGTTCAACCTGTGGACCTGGGACTTACCATCACTCCAGAACCCACTATGGAGGTTGAACATTCTACACCCCTGAAGAAGACTATAGTTCTGCCAAAGCACCCTAAGGTGACACTTCCACATCCAGACCAGGTTCAGGCTCAGCATTCACACCTGACTCAAGCCACAGTTCAACCTTTGGACCTGGGACTTACCATCACTCCAGAATCCACGACAGAGTTTGAACCTTCTACAGCCCTGACTACAACTCCTCCTCCAAAACACTCTGAGGTGACACTTCCACCTTCAGACAAGGGTCAGGTTCAGCATTCAAACCTGACTCAAGTCACAGTCCAACCTCTGGACCTGGAGCTTACCATAACTACACAACTTACTACAGGGGTTAAACCATCTTCAACCATGGAGGAGACATCAACTCAGCCTCCAGACCTGGGGCTTCCATCACTCCAGAACCCACTACAGAGACTGGACATCTACCGCCCTGGAGAAGACTACAGCTCCTCATCCAGACCAGGTTCAGACTCTGCATCGAAGCCTGACTGAAGTCACAGGTCCACCTACTGAACTAGAACCTGCTCAGGATTCATTGGTGCAGTCTGAAAGTTACCCCAAAATAAGGCTTTAACTGCACCAGAGGAACAGAAGGCCTCCACAAGCACCAACATATGTAAGCTCTGTACCTGCAGATATGAGACGCTGCCTTGTATTGATCTCAGTCCAAAGCAGAGGTTCCGCCAAGTGCCTGTGCCACAGCCCAACACCCACAATGGCACCTTCCCCATCTTGTAAGAATCACATTTCCTCAACTGTCCTCTGTGTCCTGCCTGACATGGCAGCCTTTTCCTGGAGGCCTTCCTGGGCCTTCTTTATCTCCCTAAGCCATATTGACAACTGACTTTCTGCTTTCACCTTTGCTTGTCAACTCTCCCTTCTCTTCATTTTCCTTTACTGTTAGGCCCTTTCTCCAGTCTTTTCCTTTTACTCCAGTCTTTTACTCATGTCTTATTCATTTTTATTTAGCCCCATCACATCATTGCTTAACCGCTGCTCTCCTCCCATTTTCCCTTCACTCCCTTTACAGCAGCCTGTCCCTCTCCGCATGTCAGTGATGATGCTGTAAGTGGTTAAGAGTTTATTCTGGCGCCAGGCTGCCTGGGTTTGAACCCAGGTCTGTCATTTATTAGCTTGGTGACCCAGAGCAAGTTATTCTGCTCTGTGACTCAATTTCCTCACCTTTAAACTGAGGATTATGCTAGTTACCATTTCATAGGATTGTTGTGAAATTTAGGTGAGTGAATATATGAAACACTTCATCAGTGCCTAGCATATGTAGGATGTGTTGACTGTTAACATGATTACTCAGTCCTTTAGTTATGTCCAGAACTCATCTTTGTCCCTGGCTTTCTATATGTAGCACTCATTTTGTGTCACACCTAGGGCCAAGTATGCTACTGTCTCCAGAACACGAAAATGATAGGAGGGAAGAAAGAGAATAGGCATAAAAAGGGAGGTATATATAATTAATTACTAAAAGATAATGCAGACCATTGGTGCTATAATTTACCAGAATCTGTGATCCCTGAGGTGTGGAGACCAGGGAAAGCTACATGGATAAGCTAAAACTTTACTGGGGTCTTAAAGAGTAGTTATAATTTGTTAAATAGAAAAAAAAATGGGAGTACAGTCTAGGCAAAGGCATGGCTACAGGTATGGTTGGAATTTAGTAGACCAATCTGGCTGCAAAGAATTAGGTGAGGGAGCAATGAAGATATGATTATGTAAAATCTTGACTATCAGCTATAGGAGTTTGAAAGCTACAAAATGGGGTATGGAAAGCCATTGAAAGTTTCCAAGCAAGAGAGATTAAATGATTAAAACAAAAGGATTCTTTCATTTTGTTTTGTTTTTGCTTTATGTTCAAGTGTAAACATGCAAAGGATTATTTTAGAATCCATATGTAGAGTGCTCAAAGGGAAAATCTTATTTCAGGGAGACAAAATAGAAAGGAATAGCAAAATGTAGGAGTAAGGTGTGAAGGGGCTAAATCAGATCAGTTGTAATAAGAATGGAAAGAAAAAGCCTAGGATGTTTCAACAGAGGGCAAAGCTTTGGTGTCACCTGGCATAGGGTTTCTTTCTACTTATTTATTGATAATGATAAGCTTTTGCCCATTTTTCTGTTGAAGTATTTACCATTTTTTATGTGTAGAAGGAGTTAGTTTAGACACATAAGTGCTTTTGGATAAAGGCCTTACATTCAAAGTAATTAACTGGCATCGTCTGTCCAAGAGATGGGATGGATAGGAAGTTAAGCTTCCAGGAGATGCCTCATCATTTGTGCCAGTGGCCCGGCATTACTTCTTGATGAACTGTGCAAACTGGGAAGCTAATAGCTCTGGAAGTGAGAAAGCAGGTGTTATTTTCTGTTTCTGAATATCCCCGACAAGGTTGCCATGATTCTTTTACTTATCCTGTTCATTCTTTTCCTACCTATTCAAGGATATAAACTGTGTTTCTTCACAGAAGTTACCAAGGAAACTATATTTCCTACATTGATGGAAATGTATGGAAAGCATACAGTTGGACCAAGAAACTGTGAGTATATTCTCTCCAAATGTGACAAAAAACTAACTGCATTGTAAGATCCTTCTTGGTCCAGAATTTTGAGGTCGGTACCTCTGAGAAAAGATATTTCTCCTCCATATCCCAAATCAACCTCTGTTGATTGCGATCCTATGGTTATTTTAAAATTAAATTTGGTAGGCTCTCTTTAAAATAAGAGGCAATTTAAATTTATTTTTTATCACAGAAATAATACGTGGTTATATTCTCTTTTTTCTCTCTTTTGTTTTTTAAGAGACAGGGTCTTACTTTGTCCCCCAGGCTGGAGTGCAGTGGCACAATCACAGCTCACTGCAGCCTTCACCTCCCAGGCACAAGTGATCCTCCCACCTCAGCCTCCCAAGTAGCTGGGACCACAGGTGCATGCCACCACGCCCACCTCATTTTGTATTTTTTGTAGAGACAGGGTCTTCCTATGCCATTTAGGCTGGTCCTGAACTCCTGAGCTCAAGTGATCCTCCCACCTTGGCCTCCTGAAGTGCTCATATTACAGGCATGAGCCACCACCCCCAGGCCATGATTCTATTTTTAATGTATAAAAATGCAAAAACAGGTATAACAAAAACCCTCCTTGTGTCCTACTCCCTCATCCCTGAGGTAATGCTGCTCTGCATTTAGTATACATGCTTCCAGACTTTTTCCCATTTGCCTACATACATATTTACATAAGGCAAAATAGATTTGTTGTGTGGTTTTTAAAATCTTTTTTCTTTACCTAAATGGTAACTTCTTGCAACTTGATTCTTTTACTTCATGGTTATATATCTAATTTGACAAGTGTATCACCTATATGATATCATATACAGTATCACTTATTGTATGACATGATATTCTTTCACTTCATGATTTATTTCCTTCCCAGTACTTAGAGGGTCACCCCATTCATTTAAACTCCTGCATAATCCACGGTATGGATGCACTGTAGTTTATTTAATAATTCCCCCATTGATGAATTGTTAGATTAGGCTTAGTTTTCTTGTTACATGCGTTGCTGCAATGAAATCCCCGTACATGCTTCTTTGTGAATATGGGCAAGTATTCCTGTGGAATAGATATCTAGAAATGGAATTATTGGGGTGAAGACTATGTAGACTATGTAGATATAAAATTTTAATTGCCCCCAAAGAAGACACTTCTGGAGAGTTTATATGATGACTGTGTGCAGGATAGTTTAGGAAGGGAGAGACTAGAGATGGAGACACCAGCCAGACAACGTAACACCATCCAGGTAAAGAGGGAGGGACAACAAGCCCCATCACTGTATAACTGAAGAAATCGCTTTCATGAAATATTAAAGCAATATAAAACCAAAAATGAATTTATATTAATATGATATAAATTAATTATATTAATATGATTTGAATTAGTTCAAAGTTATGTATTAGGTAAAGGGGCAACTTCCTTTCAAATGCTGTGAAAGGATGTCTTTTATTTCTTCTGATCCTGAACTGGCTTAGGAAAACAGACCTGAACTAGGAAGGTGTATAAATGTGAGGCTATTTGTTTTAATATTAGAAACTATATATAGAGATCAAAACTTTGAGCTCATAATCTAGGATTTGATGAGACTACAAAAGGGCATCTAATCAAGTCTACTGCTCTCAGGAAAAATTAATTCCAAAGTCTATTAAGTTGTATATTTTATTTATTAAAACTATGAAGGTAAGACTCTAGGAGAGGTATGGGCAGGGTTAGGGCTCTGGAAAGTTCAAATACAAGTCCAAACGTTTAGAGTTGAAAAATGTGTATTCAATATTATTCTAAACTCTATTATTCATACTAATCGACATCTAATAACTTATCAAGGCAATATTTTCCTTTTCCTAGAGATTTATCCTGCAATAAAATACAGTCTATTGAAAGACATACATTTGAACCCCTACCATTTTTGCAGTTTATGTAAGTTACAAATATAACTTTATTGCATTTGGAATTTTTATAAAACTTAATTATAAACCTCTTTGCTATTCATTTTGAAATGATTAAAATTTGACCAGTAGAAAGGAACTAAAATTATATAGCAAACTGTTTTTGTCTCTAGCAAGGATTAGTGTGAGAATTATTACACAGATCATAGTGAATCATCAGAGAGCAGTGGTTCTCAACTGATGTGATTTTGTACTCAGGTGACATTTGGTAATGTCCAGAGACAGTTCTGGTTGATAAAACTGTGGGTGTGCTCCTGGCATCTGGTGGGCAGAGGCCAGAGATGCTGCTAAACATCCTCCAAGGTATAAGACAAACCTCCATGGCAAAGAATTATAGAGTCCAAAATGTTGATGGCACTGAAGTTGTGAAATCCTGTTCTAGAGAAATAAAGATCACTTAGCACAGATATTTACTGAGCATTCACTGTTTTGTATCTAATGCACCACATATGCAATGTTAAATTATAAATCATAAGCCAGTATCTTCCACAGGGAGATTTCTTTAGTGCTTAGAGAAAGGATTGACGTTACGTTCCATCCTATATAAATTAGACTCACAGCAAATGATAAATGCTCTGAAATAATTTTTTTTTCCTTTGGCTTATGTTTTTTTTTTTTTTGTAGAAATCTTGGTTGCAATTTACTAACAGAACTGAGCTTTGGAACATCTCAGGCCTGGCACAGAATGCAGTTTTTACACAAGTTGTAAGTGAAATAGAAGATGAATAAGTGTAAACATCTATTTATGTATAAAAACTCATACAATTATTGGTTAGCTGGGTATAAGCCCATTATGAACTCTGAAAAGTATGTCTTAAGATCCATTTGTTTTTTTCAAATGGGGAAACTAAGGTACAAAGAGGCCAAGAGACTTACATAGCTTATATATGACCTGCTCTGCTTGTCCTAGTTCTGACCTATGGCATGGGCAAGAAAAGGCATCAAACAAGTGACCCCCAAATTAGTCTTATTCCTGGGTGGGGTGGCTCAGGCCTGTAATCACAGAACTTTGGGAGCCGAGGCGGGTGGATCACCTGAGGTCAGGAGTTCAACACCAGCCTGGCCAACATAGTGAAACCCTGTCCCTACTAAAAATGCAAAAAAATTAGCTGGTTGTGGCGGTGCAGTTTTTTGCTCCCTGGGGGACTTTGTGTTAAGCTTTCTTCCTTGCAGCTAAATGTTGCAGACATTTAAGCAGTTATAAACTCTGCATATGAGCAGGAATCAAAGTTAAATCCAAAGTGTAGGGCCAGGCGTGGTGGCTCACGCCTGTAATCCCAGCACCTTGGGAGGCCAAGATGGGAGGATCACTTGAGGTCAGGAGTTTGAGACCAGCCTGGCCAACATGGTGAAATCCCGTCTCTACTAAAGATACAAAAATTAGCAGGTCGTGGTGGCAGGTGCCTGTGATCCCAGCTATTGAAAGGCTGAGGCACAAGAATGGCTTGAACCCGGGAGGTGGAAGTTGCAGTGAGCCAAGATTGTGCCACTGCACTCCAACCTTCCCTCCAGGCTGGTCTCGAACTCCTGTGACCTCAGGTGATCCACCCATCTCAGCCTCCCAAAGTGCTGGAGTTACAGGTGTGAGCCACCATGCCTGGCCAAGATAGTGTTTATATTAAGCAATTGTGCCAAAAAAAAGAAAAAATTTTGTGAAGAAAATACATCGCTCTATTTTAATTCCATATACATTCCTGACTACTCTTCTACCATAAGTGCAAGAATTCTATGATTTCTCTGTATAACATACCCAGCAAATCAGAGTGGGTATATTCAATCGCCTGAAGGGGAGTTTAGACTCAAGGTGAAGATTCTCCTCCACATCTGACTTTAGAAAAGACTTTCCACTTCTCTTGTGGTTCAGAAATCTAGTTTCACACAGTTCATTTTGAGGTAGAGGGAGGCGTTCAGGATGTGTCTGGACTAGAGCAGCAGTTTCTGCAGATGCTCCTCTCTGTCCTCATTAATTTGCTGATGCTTAACTTAGGGAAGGGGCACTGAGGGTCTGTTTTTCATTTGCTCTCACACCAGAGAACAGGCTCATTAGGTCCCTCCATCAAGAGGTTTAGGTAGCATCAATACAAATGTCTTAAATTCACCACCTTTACTAAACACTTTATACACCGGGAGTCCCTCAAAAGAATCTGGCAGCCAGGAGCAGTGGCTCATGCCTGTAATTCCAGCACTTCTGAAGGCTGAGGTGAGCGGATCACATGAAGTCAGGAGTTCAAGACCAGCCTGACTAACATGGTGAAACCCCGTCTCTACTAAAAATACAAAAATTAGCTGGGCGTGGTGGCGGGCACATGTAATCCTAGCTACTCAGGAGGCTGAGGCAGGAGAATCACTTGAACCCAGGAGGCAGAGGTTGCAGTGAGCCAAGGTCATGCCATTGCACTCAAGCCTGGGTGACAGAGCAAGATTCCGACGGAGATGGGGTCTGGCTCAGCCTGACCTCAGGCTGGTCTGGAACTCCTGACCTCAGATGATCCACCCACCTGAGCTTCCCAAAGTGCTGGGATTATAGGCCTTAGCCACCAGGCCCAGCCAATAAACGGAAACTTTAACTTAAAAGAAGGAAGGGAGGAAGGGAGGGAGGGAGGGAGGACAAGGAGGGAGGGAAGGAAGGGAAGGGAAAGAAAGAGGGAGGAAGGGAAATGAAAGAAAGAGAAAGAAAAGAAAAATTTAAAAAACCATAAGGTTAAAGTAAACCCTTTTTCTTCATACAGATTAAGCACATGAGTTCAGATTACAGCTTTGTTTCTTAATAGCTTGGTGACCTAGGACAAGTTATGTTACCTCTCTGTGCCTCAGTTTCCTCATTTATAAAATAGGGCAATAATATCTACCACATAAGGTTATTGTGAGGATTAAATGTGAAATGCTGATCACAAATACCTAGCAGCCCAATAGAAACTCACTGTAATAATTATTATTTTTATAATTTCTGCAAAAGTACAGTGATTCTTGGGTTAACCTAAAGGGTGGTTTTCTTTTATTTCTTCCTGTTTCTTTTCTTTTTCTCATTCACTTTAAAGAATTAAAAAGAAAATAGATTCCAGCATTTTGGAATAAAAATTCACATCAAAATGAATTTATTCATTTATTGACATATAAACAAAATGTCATTTGTTTATTCAATAAACATTTATTAAATCCCTAGTAAATTTCAGACATGATGCCAGTCACAGGGATGACAATGACGATAAGATGTGGTCTCTGCCCTCAAGGAGCTGATAGCCCAGGAGACTGACAAGTAGACAGATGATTATATGCAATGTAACAAAGGCTGTGATGTCATACAAGAAGACAAGTGAGAGTATGTGATAGGAGTATGGTTTTGACCAGTTCCTCCTCTTAGATTTATCCCTTTTACTTTGGCTATAAAGCAAAAGAATTGGTCCTATTTTTTTTTTCCTTAACTGTGCAAATTAAACCATAAAATTTAAAAACTTTATGAAGATAAAAGGCAAGCAGTCAGGTGCAGTGGCTCACGCCTGTAATCTTAACACTTTGGTAGGCCAAGGGGGATGGATCACCTGAGGTTAGGAGTTTGAGACCAGCCTGTCCAACATGACAAAACCCCGTCTGTACTAAAAATACAAAAATTAGCTGGGCGTGGTGGCAGGCACCTGTAATCCCAGCTACTCAGGAGGCTGAGGCAGGAGAATCGCTTGAACCCAGGAGGTGGAGGTTGCAGTGAGCCGAGATAGAGCCATTGCTCTCCAGCCTGGGCGACAGAGCAAGACTCCATCTCAAAAAACAAAAACAAAAAAAACCCGAGCAACTTGAATTATGGAGGACACTAGATATAGTGTTTCCTGCAGAGTCAGGGCTTCCTACCAACATAGTCACTTCTAGGGTTTTTGACCTGAAAAGTTCTGCAGCATATTTTTTCTTTGCTATCCGCTTGTTTTTTTTTTTTCTATTTCTTCCCCTCTTTCTCTCCTCTATCTTCTAGAGACCTAGGTAGTTCCCAAAGGAATAGTGCTTTACAGATTCTAATGGTGATTTATTAGGTAAAAACAGAAAATGATTTTTTTAACCTAAAAGTTCCATAACAAAAAATGAATATAAGCTTTTGATGCAGTTTCACACATTGAAAATGCAGGTAATTTTAATTTCATTGCATTTTTATCAGAATTCTCAATCACAATCCTCTGACAGCTGTTGAAGATCCGTAGCTCTTGGAACTGCCGGCATTAATATATCTGTAAGTACTATAGTACTCTCATGAGTCATGAGATGACTTATGCTCTTTTAAATTTGTCATCAAAGATTAAGTATTTTGCATTTAGGCTAAAAAGTCATAAATTTTAACTGAGTTATTGAAAAAAGTTATTGGCAAAGAAAAGGATTAAGAAAAGATGTGTAATGGTCAAGACAGCCAGCAGCAGCAGAGGAAGAGAACCGTGTTGAAAAACCTGTATAGATTTGGAACATGTAGACATATGGAGGAATACTACTTAACCAAGAAAGCAAAGAGGAATAGGTGTTCATTATTCTAAAAAGGAAGAAAAGAGTAAATAATCAAAATGGGTGAATGCAATATGAAATGAGAAGATAATGGTAAAAAATAAGTGTAAGTTCTACTCTTAAGTATCATTAAATTTGATGATGCAGATCAACTTAAATTTCTTTAATAAGAGCTCTCTGGAATTTTACAGCAAATAAACTGTTGAACTGGCTTGTTTTATAGAGAAGCCAAAATTGAAGTAGTCACATGTCCTTGAAATATCTTTTTAAGGACAGAATTTTGGTATTGGGCTTCATATCATGAATGTTTCGGCTTTCTTCTTCAGATACATGGGAACAACACAAGTCCCACTTACAACAATTAAGAACATTCTCAGGATGACTGTTGAATTGGAAAAACTGTAAGTTATTTTTTTCTTAGATTTATTTTTACTTAGTTGGTTTTTTAGGTTTGTTTTATTATTTTCTTAAGTCAGGTTTATTGAGATATAATTTTCACATAACATTCACCCTTTATAAGTGTATAGTTTGATTAGTGTTTTTGTTTGGGTTTTTTTGAGATGGCGTCTCACTCTGTCACCCAGGCTGGAGTGCAGTGGCGCAATCTTGGCTCACTGCAAGCTCCGCCTCCTGGGTTCACGCCATTCTCTTGCCTCAGCCTCCCGAGTAGCTGGGTCTACAGGTGTCCACCACCACACCCGGCTAATTTTTTGTATTTTTAGTGGAGACGGGGTTTCACCGTGTTAGCCAGGATGGTCTCGATCTCCTGACCTCGTGATCTGCCCGCCTCAGCCTCCCAAAGTGCTGGGATTACAGGCATGAGCCACCACGCCCGGCGCTACTTTGATGAGTTTTGACAAATGTATAGTTACATAACCACCACCACATTCCCAATATAAAGCATTTCTGTCACCTCAAAAAGGCCCCTCGTGTCCCTTTGTAGGCAATCCCCTCCTCCCACCATCAGCCCCTGTTAGCTACTAATCTGATTTCTGTTCCTATAGTTTTGCGTTTTTCAGAATGTCTTATAAATGAAATCATGTAGCATGTAGCCTCTTGTGTTTGGCTTCTTTCACTTAGTACTGCTTTTTTTTTTTTTTTTTTTTTTTTTATAAGATGGAGTCTCACTGTCACCCAGGCTGCAGTGCAGCGGCGTGACCTCAGCTCACTGCAACCTCCACCTCCCAGGTTCAAGCAATTCTCCTGCCTCAGCCTCCCAAGTAGCTGGGATTACAGGCGTGTGCCACCACGCCCAGCAAATTTTTGTACTTTTAGTGGAGACGAAGTTTCACCATGTTGGCCAGACTGGTTTCGAACTCCTGACCTCAAGTGATCCGCCCACCTCGGCCTCCCAAAGTGTTAGGATTACAGGTGTGAGCCACCTTACCCAGCCTCACTTAGCATAATTTTTTTGAGATTATGCTACCATCCATGTTGTTGCACCTCCATATCTGCAGGTTCCTCATCCATGGATTCAACTAACAATGGATGGAGAATATTTGGGAAAAAATAAAAATATGTAAAATAATAATACAACAATAAAAACAATAGAAAATTTATGGTATAATTATTTACATACCATTTACACTGTATTAGGTATTTAAAGTATACCCGAGGCTTATGTCATTTATTATATCAAGTATTATGTCATTTCATATAAAAGACTTCAGCATCTGTGGACTTTGGTATCCGCAGGGGGTCCTGGAGCCAATCCCCTGCAGACACCGAAGGACAACTGTTCACTCCTTTTTATTGCTCAGTAGTATTTCAGTTGTGTGGACGTATCAATGTGTTTATCCATTCATCAATGTATGGACATTTGGGTAGCTTCCAGTTTTTGGCAATTTTGAATAAAACTTCTAAAAACACTCATATACAGGTCTTTGTGTGAACCTATGTTTTCATTTCTTTGGGTAAATACCAGGAGTTGGATGGTTCACATGCTTAGTGTATATTTAACTTTTTAAGAAACTGCTAAACTGTTTCCTAAAGTGGCTGTGCCATTTTACATTTCCACCAGCATTGTATGAGAGTCACAGTTATTCCACATCCTCAGCATTTTTTTTTTTTTTTTTTTTTTTTTTTTTTGGCGACACAGTCTTGCTCTGTCCCCAGGCTGGAGTGCAGTGGTGCCATCTTGGCTCACTGCAACCTCTACCTCCTGAGTTCAAACAGTTCTCCTGCCTCAGCCTCCCAAATAGCTATAGGCACCTGCCACCACACCCAGCTAATTTTTGTATTTTTAGTAGAGACGGGCTTTCACCATGTTCGCCAGGCTGGTCTTGAACTCCTGACTTCATTTGATCCACCTGCCTAGCCTCCCAAAGTGCTGGAATTATAGGCGTGAGCCACCATGCCTGGCCCAGCAGATTTTTCTTTTTTTTTTTTTTTTCTGAGACAGAGTCATTGCTGGAGTGCAGCAGCAAGATCTCAGCTGACAGCAACCTCTGCCTACCAGGTTCAAGCGATTCTCCTCCCTCAGCCTCCTGAGTAACTGGGATTATAGCTGCGCACCACCACGCCCAGCTAATTTTTGTATTTTTAGTAGAGATGGGGTTTCATCTTGTTGGCTAGGCTGGTCTCGAACTCCTGGCCTCACTTGATCCACCCGCCTTAGCCTCCCAAAGTGCTGGGATTACAGGCGTGAGCCACCATGCCTGGCCCAGCCCAGCAGATTCTTATATTTGAGTTTTTAAAGAAATATTCACCTTTCTACTGCTAGATGTGTAGTGGAATCTCATTCTGGTTTTAATTTGCATTTCTTTAATAGCTAGTGATATACAATATTCATGTGCAAATATCTTTACTAAATTGTTCAAATCTATTCGCATATTTTAATTGGATATTAATATTTTTATTGAGGTTTTTTTCCCTGTAATCCCGTGAGACATTCGTCATTATTGAGTTTTAAGAGTGCTTTAGGCCAGGCGTGGTGGCTCATGCCTGTAATCCTAGCACTTTGGGAGGCCAAGGCGGGTGGATCACGAGGTCAGGAGATCAAGACCATCCTGGCTGACATGGTGAAACCACGTCTCCAGTAAATAAAAAAAAAAAAAAAAAAAAATTAGCCGGGCATAGTGGCGGGCACCTATAGTCCCAGCTACTCGGGAGGCTGAGGTAGGAGAATGGCGTGAACCGAGGGGGCGGAGCTTGCAGTGAGCAGAGATCACGCCACTGCACTCCAGCCTGGGCGACAGAGTGAGACTCCGTCTAAAAAAAAAAAAAAAAAAAAAAGACTGCTTTATAGATTCTAGATACAAGTCTTTTCAGGGACTAGGTACAGTAGCTCATGCCTATAATCCCAGCACATTGGGAGGCTGAGGCAGGAGGACTGCTTGAGGCCAGGAGTTTTAGACCACCTGGGCAATATGGTAAAACCTTGTCTCTACCAAAAATATAAAAATTAGCCAGGTGTGGTGGTGCTCACCTGTGGTCCCAGCTACTTGGGAAACTGAGGTGGGAGGATTGCTTGAGCCTGGGAGGTCGAGGCTGCAGTGAGCTATGATCACCACTGCAGTCCAGCCTGGGTCACAGAGTGAGATGCTATCTCAAAAATTAAATACGTAAATAAATAAAAACAAAAAACAAGGCCTTATAGATATGTGTTTGGTAAATATCTTCTCTCTGGTTGTGGTTTGTCTTTTCATTCTGTTAAAAGTGTTTTCTGGCTGGACACAGTGACTCACACCTCTAATCCCAGCACTTTGGGAGGCCAAGGCAGGTGGATCACTTGAAGTAAGGAGTTCGAGATCAGCCTGGCCAACGTGGCAAAACCCCCATCTCTACTAAAAATACACAAGTTAGCCAGGTGTGGTGGCCCACGCCTGTAATCCCAGCTACTCCAGAGGCTGAGGCACAAGAAGTGCTTGAACCTGGGAGGTGGAGGTTGCACTGAGATGTGACTGCACCACTGCACTCCAGCCTGGGTGACACAGTGAGACTCTGTCTCAATAAATAAATAAATAAATGTTTTCTGAAGAGCAGACGTTTTTAATTTTGATCAGCTTTAAGTTAGCAATTTTTTCTTATATGGCTTGTGCTTTTTTGTTTCTTACCTAAAGAAATCTTTAAGAACCTGTTGTTTAATCCAAAGTAGAAAAGATTTACTCTCTATGTCTTCTCCCAGAAATTGTATAGTTACATCATTTAGGTCTATGATCCATTTTGAGTTAATTTATATGGTGTGAGTTTTTTTTTTTTTCAATTTTATTTTTTGGAGAAACGAGGTCTCACTGTGTTGCCCAGGCTGGTTTCAAACTCCTGGCTTCAAGTGATCCCCCTGCCTCATTCTCCCAGAGTGCTGGGATTACAGGCATGAGGCACCATGCCTGCTTCTTTGTAGATGTAGCTATAGATATATATGTATCTATATATATATATATATCTATATCTTCGCCAAGTGTGGTGGCACATGCCTGTAGTCCCAGCACTCTGGGAGAATGAGGCAGGAGGATTGCTTGAATCCAAGAGGTAGAGGTTGCAGTGAGCCAAGATGGCACCACTGCACTCCAGCCTGGGTGACAGAGCAAGACCCTGTCTAAAAAAAAAATATATATATATATATATATGTATTTCTCCAGGGCCCTATTGGGAGTTTGTTACACAACTTACTGCAACTTAAATTGTGCCACCACCACCCCCATCCCCCCACAATATGCAAGCTAAATAGAAACTCAGTTATGCTAAGGCTGGTTGAGGGCATTATACAAGATTAGCCCTTCATTTAGTACTCTGCTCCATTCATTTTTGTCAGGTCACTTTCTTACCTTCACCACGTTGTTAGATCTGTTTTACTGCTCTAGGCTCACTTTCCTCAGCCTCCTGCAGCATCTTTCTGTCAGCTAGATCCCTTCCTCTCTGGATGAAGTCCTCTTCACTGACCAGCTTTCTCACTTAGTTCTCTAAGATAGTGAGGATCTGTCTGCTTTTTTCTTGACCATTAGTGTATAGGAAAAATGCTCTCATTGTCTGTAACCATTTGTCGCCAAGGCCATAAAGACATTGAACTAATTGCCTTATTGGAGTTCATTATTGGAAGTCTTCAGGAGTTTACACATTTATATACAAAGTAAGTAGACCAGCTCATTTGTCTTAGCTCATGTGTAATGATCTTTAATGCATATTGAAAAATTACTATTCTCAAGTAAAGATAATGTATACCTCAGGTCATTTACAGTCTCAAAGGTTTGTCAGTATGCTTTTAAACAATCCTGGGAACAGATCTAGATTGAAGGAGACTAAAGAATCATGAACTCGAGGCGGCGCCGGGGCGGGCGCCGAGCTGGCAAGCGGGTGGTGGAGGCGGTGCTGATGGGGGCCGCTGAGGCGCGCAGAGGGTTGGTGGTGCCCGGGAGCCTGTCGCTGGCGGGGTCTGGGCAGGGGGGTCTGGGCGGAAGGTTCCGCGGCAGGAGGCAGCATGTCGGTTGCCGGGCTGAAGAAGCAGTTCTACAAGGCGAGCCAACTGGTCAGTGAGAAGGTCGGAGGGGCTGAGGGGACCAAGCTGGATGATGACTTCGAAGAGATGGAGAAGGTGGATGTCATCAGCAAGGCGGTGACGTAAGTACTGTCCAGGACCATCGAGTACCCGCAGCCCAACCCAGCCTCGCAGGCTAAACTGACCATGCTCAACACCGCGTGCAAGATCCGGGGCCAGGTGAAGAACCCCGGCTACCTGCAGTCAGGGGGGCTCCTGGGCGAGTGCCTGATCCGCCATGGGAAGGAGCTGCGCGACGAGTCCAACTTCAGCGATGCACTGCTGGATGCCGGCGAGCCCATGAAGCACCTGGCAGAGGTGAAGGACTCCCTGGACATAGAGGTCAAGCATAACTTCATTGACCCCCTCCAGAACCTATGTGAGAAAGACCTGAAGGAGATCCAGCACCACCTGCAGAAGCTGGAGGGCCGCCGCCTGGACTTTGACTAAAAGAAGCGGCAGGGCAAGATCCCCGAAGAGGAGCTGCACCAGGCGCTGGAGAAGTTTGAGGAGTCCAAGGAGGTGGCAGAAACCAGCATGCACAACCTCCTGGAGACCGACATCCAGTAGGTGAGTCAACTCCCGGCCTTGGCAGAGGCGCAGCTGGACTACCACCGGCAGGCCGTGCAGATCCTGGACCAGCTGGCCCAGAAGTTCAAGTGCAGGATCCGGGAAGCTTCCTCACGACCCAGGCGGGAGTATAAGCCCAAGCCCCGGGAGTGCTTTGACCTCGGAAAGCCTGAGCAGTCCAACCGGGGCTTCCCCTGCACCACAGTCCCCAAGATCGCAGCTTCGTCCTCTTTCCGATCTTACGACAAGTCCATCTGGACTCCTAGCAGGAGCATGCCGCCCCTAGACCAGCCGAGCTGCAAGGGCTGTATGACTTGGAGCCGGAGAAAGATAGGGAGCTGGGCTTCCATGAGGGCGATGTCTTCATGCTGATCAACCAGATGAACGAGAACTGATACGAGGGCATGCTGGACGGCCAGTCGGGCTTCTTCCTGCTCAGCTATGTGGACGTGCTCGTGCCTCTGCCCAGTGACTCAGGGGCGCCCCCGCCCTGCCCCTCCATCCACACTGGGTGGCACCCCCTGCTGGGTATCCTGCCTTCCACGGGGCCCCTGCTGCCAGGGCAGTGTCCAAGCCTGCTGGCGCCACCCAGGCCGGGGCCCTTGAGGTACTCCCTGAGCAGGGCTCCACACTTGGGTGGGGGGCTTATCTGGGTGGGTGGAGATGCTCGTTTACACTAGCGGCTGATCCCCAACAGTGACGGCTCCCTTCCCCACTCCATGGCGCCGGCCTCCTCCCCGCTCCCCAACTCCTTGCCCAGCTGGCTGAGGCAGAGCAACACTAAGGTGCTCTCAGAAACACTAACGTTCCTCCAGGGCAGCCCCCACACCTCCATCCTGAACCCACGGTGGCCCAGCCCACTGCCTACCCTCGAGTTCCACGGCCTTAACAGGCTTGGATCAAGCGTCCCTGTGGGGTGGCTCAGAGACAGGACTCTGGTTTTAAATCCTCCCCGCGCCTGGTGCTGGCGATGAGCCCTAGCCCCACTCCAGGGCCACTGTATCCCAGCCTCACACATGCACTCCTTCTCCCCAAGGCCAGGGCAGAAGGCCTCACTGCTTCCCTGGCCTGCTGTCAGCTTGCAGCCCAGGGACAGGGGCCAGTTGGGATCTGCCCCACCTTCCCCCCCCCAACACCTCCCCCCTCCTAACCAGGACAGAGAACATGACGTCCTGCAGGGCCCCGCCTCCCAAGCCTTGCCCTCACAAAGCCAAGTACCTTTTCGGCTTTTTAACTGCCCCCAGCCAGGCCCACAGAAGCCTGTGTCACTCTGGCACAAGCTGCCACCACCAGCCACCTACACAACCCTCAGCACACCTTGCACGGGACCACAGCCCCAGCTGTGCTGCTGAGGGCCAAGCACAAAGGCTCCAGTGAGCAAATCTTCAAGCCCCTAGTGGCCACCCCACCCTGTGGGAAGTAGCCGCAGCCATCTCCTCTAGACCATGGCAGGCAACCCCGGGGTTCCCAAACCCCTGCCCAGACCAGCAGGTCTGCAGCCCAGACATCTGCTTCCTCTGTTGCCCAATCCAAAACTGATGAAATGGAGGGTCCTCTGGGCCGGGCCACATTCACATTCCCCTCCCCCTGAGGCCCAGCGAAGCCTCCAGACCCCAGGCTCTGCTCTGCACCCTCCACGTCAGCAGTACATGAGGGCACAGACATCCTGGCAGAGATGAGCACACAGCCTTGGGCACGGTTCAGGGCAAACTGAAATGTATGCCTGAATTTTGTAAACAGAAGTATTAAAGGTCTTTCTACAAAAAAAAAAAAAAAAATCATGAACGCTAAATGCAATGTCTGATGTTGGATTGGATTCTGAATTTTTTAAGCCATGTTATGATTGGGACAATTGTGAAAATGTGTATATGGGCTGCATAGTAGACAATGATAATATGAAGTTCCATTGGGTGATGATAGTCCTCTGGTTATGCAGGAGAATGCCTTGCTTCTTAGGGGCTGCACACTGAAGTCTTTAATGGCAAAGGGTCATTTTGTCTGCAACTGACTCTCAAATGGTTTGTCCAGAAAATGTATAGACATACACACATGGAAAGCAAATGTGGCAAAGTATTAGCAACTGTTGATTCCAGATGAAAGTTATACAGGTGTTCATTATACCATCTGAAAATGCTTCCTAGCCATCCTAAGGCTTAAAGGAAAAAAAGAAAATGTTTAAAATCAAAAGTCGGGGGCAGGAAAAGAATAACAATTAAACTTCAGGCTCATGCCTGTAATCCCAGCACTTTGGGAGGCCAAGGAGAGAGGGTTGCTTGAGCTCAGGAGTTTGAGACCAGCCTGGGCAACATGGTGAAACCCCATCTCTACAAAAAATACAAAAATGAGCCAGGCATGGTGGCACTCACCTGTAGTTCTAGCTACTCAGGAGGCTGAGGTGGGAGGATCATTTGAGCCCAGGAGGCAGAGGCTGCAGTGAAGTGAGATTGCACCACTGCACTCAGCCTGTGTAACAGAGTGAGACTTGGCCTCAAAACAAAAGAAACACTTTTGTGTCAGAGTTAAGGTTGCTATATAAGTAAAATGCTAGGTTACGGTTCTGGGTACATTCAATCTGTATGAAGATCAGAGACCTCTATTGGACCCAAAGGAATACTAGTCACTTGTGATTATTCCTCTATAGGTTTGAAAGATGTGTCAGACCAACTTATTGGATGCAGTTTTAATCTAAAACTCCATAAATTGTACCCCCAACTCATAGACTTCATTTATCTGTTGAATACTCTTCTGTTTCCACAGTCTTAATGTGGCCCTAATAAAGTCATCCTTTTGGAGGACTCAGAAAAGGCCCCCCCACAACCTCTGTAATGTAATAATTACAGTAGTTAACATTTATTGAGCACTCACTGTGTGTCAGGCATTTTTCAGGTACTGATTCATCTAATCCTCAAAACTCATTAGAGGTAGGTACTATTATAATGACAAGGCCAAGGAACAGAGATTAATCAATGTGCCCAAATTCACATTATTCACAGAGCTGGGATTTAAGCCTAGTCTGGCTGTGGAATCTGTATTCTTAATGACCATGCTATATTGCTTAAGATTAACCTTGAGAATTTACTCCAGTTACAAAGATTGTTTTTATTTCTCTGAAACTGCCCCCAATGAGCCATAACAATAAATTAATCAATTATCTTGGTTATCTCTTTTGCCCAAGTTTATATTTCAAAAAAAATTCAAACATACCAGAAAGATGAAAGAATAGCACAGAATCCAATCAAAGATTAGGCACTGCATGTCATGTCTTCATTTCCTTTAATCTAAAACATTCCTCTACTTTTTTTGATCTTTCATGACATGGCATTTTTTAAGAGTCAAAGATAGTTGTTTTGTAAATTGTCCCATAATCTGGATTTGTCTGTTTCCACATGATGAGATTCAAGGTAAGCATTTTTGGGAAAAATACTGCATAGGTGATATATCCTTCCTGCCTCGTGATTGCAGGTGGCTCATAATGCTAAGTTTGATCACTTGTTTAAGGTGATCTTCCAGATCTCTCCATTGTAGTTATTTTGCTGGGTGTGGTGGCTCATGCTTATAATCCCAGCACTTTGGAAGGCCGAGACGGGCAGATCGCTTGAGTCCAGGAGTTTTAGACCAGCCTGAGCAACAAGGTGAAACCCTGTCTCTACTAAAAATACAAAAAAAAAAAAAAAAAAAAAAAAAAATTAGCTGGGTGTGGTGGTACAAGACTATAGTCCCATATACTTGGGGGGCTGAATTTGGAGACTCACTTGAGCCCAGGGTGGGGGTCGAGGCTGTTGTGAGCTACGATTTTGCCACTGTATTTCAGCCTGGGTGACAGAGTGAGACTTTGTCTCATAAAAAAATAAAAAATAATTTTTCCCTTTGGTAATTAATAAAATATCTGTGTGGTGGTACTTTGAGATCAGTAAAGATCCTGTTCTCAAATGTCTTCTCACCCAGCTGTGTCCATCAATGACAATCCTTGTCTGAATCAATTTTTATTACATTGGTGGTTGCAAAGTAACACTTTTTAAAATTCTGTCATTCCTTCTACATTCATTAGCTGGCATTATTTCATTAAAGAACAACTCCCTCTCTTTTTAAATATCATTCTTCATGGATTCTTTTTTATATATTAATTATGTTGTAGCTTATTGTTACTCTTTTGAATGCTCAAATTGTCGAGATTTGGCCAATGCAATCTGTTATTTTTTTAACCCCACAATCCAGGTTAAACTGAGCTATTTTTAATGCCCAGAGTAATTTCTAATATTTCCCACTGCCAACAGAAATTGAGAAAGGGACTCCAGAAGTTGGGGGCTTATTCAGACTCTTCTTAGAAGTCTACTTTCTTCCTGTGTACTTTCAGCCCAAAGTGAGACTTTTGAGTTGGGAAGAGATACTTCTGAATTAAACTACTGATCAGTGTCACCCAATTCTAATCCCAACCACTTTTATTCTAGGCATACCATACTCACTGCCATGCTTACCCTTCAGTTGGGCACCTTTGTCCTCCTTCCCATTGCCCTTCTGGTTCCTACCCAACTGTCCAGTCCACAGGCCTCAGTAACACCTTTCTGCCCAGCCCTGTGGTAGCGTTGGCCTGCCTCCTTTGCCTACTCAAGTAACTGCTTTACCACTATTTATTGTTTTGTGTTTTCATCTTATAGGATCTTACCTAGCCATATGGCCTGCTGCCTCTGCCAATTTAAAAATAGCATTGAGGCTGTCTGCAAGACAGTCAAGCTGCATTGCAACAGTGCATGTCTGACAAACACCACACATTGTCGTGAGTCCAAATTGCCTGGTGATAAATTGTTACATTATTTTAAGTATTTGTTTTTAAATTTATTTTTAATTGATGATAAAATTTTAAGCTAATGATATAATTGCTTTATTTACTCATTCAGATTTAAACTCCCTCAACTTCTGAACTACTCCCTTGCTGGGAGTCAGGTTCTCAGTTATTATTACAAAATTTAATAATGGAACTGTTCCATATGCATAAAGGACCAAGAGAAGGGAATGAGAAGGCTAGGGAATGACATTAACATCCACACCCTGTGTATTGTGCTCCCTACTTGGTGATTTGCCCCCAGTGATAATTTCTTCATATAGTGCGATGTAGTTTGTAAGCTGGTTTTATATGCATGAGGTCTCAAGTACTCTCTGCCTTTTAGGACAAATGTAGATCCAGTTTTGTTTTTGTTTTTACAATTTTATAAGAGTACAAGTGATGCTGTTTTATTTGAAGCCTGAGAGCTTCTGGTTCCATAACCAGAAATTGCTCCCTGGCTCTTCTAATGGAATGGAGGGCTTTTCCATTCTTAGACCATCCAACTCTGAACTTGCTCTGAATCTCAAACCTTTCTATTCACAGAACAAATGCTCAAGTGCTTTCAAGAGTTTTTCTGTAGATTAGGTTTATTAGCACCAACTTCATGACTTCTAAAATGTGACTGCTTTTATGTCCACATAGCTTGAATACAGGTATCTACCAGTGATATGGGGTGGATAATTAATAATGCTTGGCTACTTATATAAAGACAGAGTTGCTTATTATTCAAAAGTTTTTTTTTTACCAACTAAATTATTCCCTTCTCCCCAAGAGGTGGGCAGAAAAGCATTGTTAATCTCCTTTTACGGACGAGGAAAAACAAGATCAGAGGTGCTAAGTGCTATAGCTTAGTGCCAGGTCTTCTGTCCCCAATTCTGGGTTCTCCCCAAGCCCATGTTTCTCCTTTCTCACAATTTTTACTTCTTCCTCTGACCCTCAGCACCACCCAAAATACTTTTAATTCTGGAAAAGAAACCCAGCTGCACACTGGCACACTTGACCTTCATGCGGCCAGAAGCTTTGGATGGTTCCCCATCCAAAATATTAGAGATGAAATGAAAGCAAAGTAAGCATCTGACAAAAGCTGCTTTTTCCCTTCTGCATTTTAGGACCTCAAGTAATGTTTATCCAGAAACTGCTATCATACCATAGATTCATTGTATATTTAACAACATAGGCATACCATCTGGCAAATTAAAAATCTCTTAACCTATACCCTGGATCTCTGCCCAAATTTAAGAAAAGGACTAGGGTGGGCACAGTGTTTTTTCCATGTCACTTCTTCTTTAATGGGGCTACGATATGTGGTAGCAGAGAATGGGGTGGGTGGGTGGAGTGCATGCCAGATGAGGATCTATCAGCAATGGGAGGGGGCCTCCACTTTAGCATCTCCACCCTGCTCCTCTCAGAGGATAGCCTTTCATTGCATTCAGCTGTGATGGTAGTAAGAACACAGGCACACTGAGGATGAGGAGGGAGGCTTGTGCTCTCTCTGCATCTGAGGCAGGACAGCACAGGGTACGGAGCAGTCTGCAGAGAGGACAGCTCATCAGGGAAGCACTTGTCTTCCACCTTGGGCTTTGACTGAGCACTGGGCAATTGGCCCCTGGGGATCAACGAAATAATCCTAAGCAGAGTTACTCTATGTCACACTAGGAATGTTCCAAGTAAGTAGCCATATTTTCAAAAGATGTCTTTTCCTCCTTTTGTTGTTGCCATTTCATAGATTTAGGCTTGGGTGTGTGTTTCTCCTCTCTGAATGGCACTCTAATGTTTGCTGACTCCTACTTTGTGTGACTGGGGCATACAGCTGTGGACTGATGCATGCCGTTCCATTATCTTTCATGATCAAAGCAGTCTCTTTTTTTTGACAGGTGAAGAAGCATCTGTAGGGAATCCAGAAAGAGTGTTCATGAAGGTGTTACAAGCCCAGAAGAAGCACATGAGCATTGAGCTGACTACTGAGCCGGAGGCAGCCTCAGACAGCAGTGGCATCAACTTGTCAGTCTTTGGGAGTGAGCAGCTAGACACTTATGATAAGAGTGATGTTATCACTGCGCTAAATTACATCTTGCCTTATTTCTCAGCAGGAAATCTAGATGCGGAATCAATGTTGTTACCATTCATTAAACTGCTTTTTTCAAATGTGCAAGATGGAGATAAGCTCCTGTTTTGAAAAACAATACAAAGAGCCCCTTGTTTCAACCTGCATCCAACAATTCAACTTATGAAAATAAATTGAGAAAGGTGTATTTGCTAGAAAAGATGTTAGATGCAGAAATACAAGAAAAAAATCGATGAAGTTAAAAGGGAAGAAAAAACTGCCATGCTTATGCAGTCCAGCCTTCTAGGTAACAAATTTAAATGCCAAATATTTGAAAAGAAATTAGAAACTGTCCAACCACAGGAAAACAGCCTGGCAAAGGTTCAAAGTGTAGGCAAAAACCTGCAGAGAGTGAACAGAGTCCTCATGGGCCCAAGGAGCATCCAGAAAAGGCCCTTCAAAGCGGTGGGAAAGCAGAGTATCAGGAGGGAACAGGGTGCCCAGGCATTTGGGGAGAATGCTGCCAAAGAAAAAAGGCTCGGGAGTCCAGCCCCAAGGGAGCTGGAATAGCCTCACATAGTGCAGGGGCCCGAGAACGTAGCGGGAAACGCCGTCTACACCAAGCCTTCATTCACCCAAGAGCAGAAGCCAACAGTCTCCTCTTTGCTGAAACCCTTCTCCATGGGCATGCCTTCTGCCTTCCACAACTGCAAAAGCCCTACCTCAGGTCATAGACAGATTGAAAGACTTAGCCTACACCATTTTAATTTTAGAAAATGCAAAGGCTAGAGTTAAAAAATATGAAGGCTGCTAAACGAGTAGTACATTCCAGAAAAAAATACCACTTTCATAAAACTCACTCCCGTGTGGCCCACAGAACACCCAAGGCCAAAAAGATTAGAAAATTGAGAAAGAAAAGTTATCTCAATAGACTGATGCTCGCAAAGAGGCCGCCGTTCTCTGCAGTGAAGAGCCTCATAAATTCCCCTTCACAAGGGGCTTTTTCATCCTCAGGAGACCTGAGTCCTCAAGAAAACCCTTTTCCAGAAGTATTTGCTCCTTCAGAATGTTTTATAGAAAACACTACTGTAAAAAACACAACTGCAAGAAATGCCTCTGAAGAAAACGTTTTTATGGAAAACACTACTATGCCAGAAGGCACCATCTCTGAAAACACAAACTACAATCATCTTCCTGAGGCAGATTCCCACTAGGACTGCATTCAACTTAGAGCCAACTGTTAAACAAACTGAGACAAAATGGGAATACAACAACGTGGGCACTGACCTGTCCCCCGAGCCCAAAAGCTTCAGTTACCCATTGCTCTCATCCCCAGGTGATCAGTTTGAAATTCCGCTAACCCATCAACTACAGTCCGTCATCCCCAACAACGATGTGAGAAGCTTCATTTCTCATGTTATCTGGACCTTGAAGACGGACTGCTCCGAGACCTATGTGCAAGTGACCTGTGCCAAGCTCATCTCCAGGACAGGCCTCCTGATGAGGCTTCTCAGTGAGCAGCAGGAAGTAAAGGCGTCCAAGGCAGAATGGGATACAGACCAGTGGAAAACTAAGAACTATATTAATGAAAGCACAGAAGCCCAGAGTGAACAGAAAGAGCAGAAGTCGAGTGAGGTGAGGACCACACAGAAACATGAGACCCAGACTTTCCCATCATTTAGCATATGCCAGGAAAGTGCCCACACAGGAGAACCTGGGACTCCCAGGCCATAGTTTGTCTTGGCCATGTAACTTTGGCCATGACAGTGATCTCCCACTTTGTTCATTTAGAGAGTGAAACAGATTAGTGCACAGGATGAACTGTAGGCTGGGCATGGTAGCTCACGCCTGTAAACCCAGCACTTTGGGAGGCCGAGGTGGGTAGATCACTTGAAGTCAGAGGAGTTTGAGACCAGCTTGACCAATATAGTGAAACCCTATCTTCACAAAAAATACAAAAATTAGTTGGGTGTGGTGACTTGTGCCTATAATTCCAGCTACTCTAGAGGCTGAGGTGGGAGGATCACCTGAGCCCAGGGAGGTCGAGTCTGCAGTGAACTGTGATCACACCACTGTACTCCAGCCTGGGTGACAGAGTGAGACCCTGTCTCAAAAAAAAAAAAAAAAGAACCTGTAAGCTACTCAACTAGAATACTGGGGTTTTGAAAAGTTAGCTTTCACTCTTTTTTTAATTGTTCTTTCCTTTTTTCTTTTTTTTTTTTTTTAGCTCACGAAAGAAGTTCCAGGATATGGCTATAACAACAAACTAATCTTGGTGATATCTGTGACTGTAATACTAACGATTTTGATTCTAATTTTTTGTCTTATTGAGGTAAGGACAATAATTAATTCAGGTTTTCAGAAAGCAATCCTGTCTTTGTGTGGATTCAGAACCCACAAACTGAAAACCAAAGCCACTTCCCCACTTGACATTCTTCTTCAGTCGTTTAAGGCTGAGGTATGCTTTGTTCTTTTACTGCAGTGTATATTCCAGGATTTTTAAAGGATCCTCGCTTCCAAGAGATCTCTGTGAATTGAAACAAAGTTAATCCCACTAGACCATTTTAAGAAGTTGATATAATAGCAAAATTTCTCCCACCCAAAACTATGTCAACAATTGGATGTACTCACCAAGTCACCCTTACTCTGCCACTAATTTATTTCCTTGTTGCTGAAATGATGAGAGATGTATAATCTCCACCCTCACGGAGTTGTCATCACCCTGGAGAGGAAGGAGACAGCCAAAAGAGAGAAGTATTGTCTGGTAGATTTATTAGAGTCACAAAGTATCATCCTTCTCCAGTGTGTAAGGCGTTGTCTAAATAGGTCCAGTTAAAGCACTGCAGGGTAACCATCTTTTAAAAAAATTGTTGGCCACATTTTTAAGTTCACAAGGGAGGGGAAATGTCTCATACTGTAGCCCTCCTGAGTCTAGGCCCTCTGTGAGATGTGCCCATTTCTTGGACACCATATGAGACATTCCCCCTCGGATTAGAGATGCTCAACCTGCATTAACATATCTAAAGTCTACATCTGGCCACTCTAGGGTGAGTCCTGTTTACAGTGCCCATTCCTGGAGCTTGCCTCTGTTTGCCTTTTGTTTGATTACATGATGCATTACTTTTCCCAATAGGCCAGTGCTAGCATATTGGAAGAGTGATTTAATAAGCTGGCAACCTTGATGCTATCCTACCAATCCAACCTTATTTGCCTCATTTACCATTTCCACTATTGTGGCAGCCAGCCCTCCATTCCAGCCAGAGCAGCCCCTCACCATCCCCCAGTCACACCATCTGCATTTCTGCTTTTGTCTGTGCGTTTGTTCATCTAAAATTCCCTTATTTCACTCTGCCTGTGGGAATCCTATGAATCTCTCAAAAGCCAACTCAAGTTCATCTTTCTGCTTGAAACCTTCCCTGAATATTCCAGCCCTCCTGAGCCTAGTCCCTTTGTGAGATTTGTCCCCATTTCTCGGACACCATATGAGAGACTTCAGAGGCTGAAGTGGGAGGATTGCTTGAGCCTGGGAGGTCGAGGATGCAGTGATCTGTAGTCATACCACTGCACTCTAGCCTGGGCAACAGAGCGAGGCCCTGTCTCAAAAACAGCCACCACCAAAAACTATCTGAGGATTTGAATAGGATTACATTAAATTTGTAGACTAATTTGAGAATTGACATCTGTACAACATTCTAGAAATGTGCTGCCTCATGTACTCATTTCTTTTTAATGTCTTTCAGAAGAGTTTTAGGGTTTTCATCATATAGATTTTATATATTTTTTGTTAGATAAAAGATCTTTGCATTTTTGTTCCTAAATACTCCATACATTTGTATTGCTATTGTAAATGGGATCTTCCTTCCATTTTCTAATTAGTTATTGGTGGTACATGGGAAAAGTAGTTGAGGTCTGTGTGCTGCTGTCTTGATTTTTATATAGCCACTGTATTGAATTCTCATATTACTTCCAGTAAGACAAACTTAGTTGATTCTCTTAGGCTTCCTTGGCTGTCTCACATTTATCATTTCATATGCAAATAATCAGTTTTGTCTCTTCCTTTTCAATACTTATATTCTTTCCTTCCTTTCCTTTTTCTTTTTTTTTCTTCTTTCTCAGGGCCTTGTTGTCACCCAGGCTGGAGAGCAATGGTGTGATCTAGCTCATTGTAACCTCAAGCTCCTGGGCTTAAGGGATCCTCCTGCCTCAGCTTCCTGAGTGGCTGGGACTACAAGCAGGCAGCTAATTAAAAAAAATTTTTTTTGTAGAGACAAGGTCTCGCTATGTTGCCTAGGCTGATTTTCCTGCCACTTTAGAGGAAGGACTTTTTTTCCTACTTTTAAGAGTTTTTTATTAGGAATTGTCTGTTGAATGTTAGCTAAAATAGTCAATAAAATGTATTAAGTGCCAGCTGCATGCAAGACCCTAAGTTAGATACAGTCAGCCCTCTTCATCATCAGGTCCACATCTTCAGATTCAACTAGATGAGGCTGAATATTTGAAAAAAGAAACAATAAAAATACAAATAGAAAAGACAGCATAACAACTGTCACCATTGTACAATATCTATACATTTTATTAGTGATGACTTAAAGTACATGGGGCCAGGTACCGTGGCTCACCCTTGTAATCCCAATACTTTGGGAGGCCAACCTGGGCAGTATAGTGAGAACTTGTCTTTACTAAAAATAAAAATTTTTTTAAAATTAGCCAGGTGTGGTGGTATGCACCTGTAGTCCCAGCTACTCAAGAGGCTGAGGTGGGCGGATCACTGGAACCCAGGAGGTTGAGGCTGCAGTGAGCTGTGATTGTGACACTGCACTCCGGCTGAGCAACAGAGGGTGATCTTGTCTCTAAGTCAATAAAGTATATGGGGGGATGTGTGTTGGTTATACGCAAATACTGCACCATTATATGTAAGGGACTGAGCATCCACAGATTCTGGTATGGCGTGGCAGCGGTATCCTAGAACCAATCCCCTGCAAGATATCAAGGATGACTGAACTGTGGAAGAATCAAAGCACTGTTAAACAGCATACAATTCCTATCTTCAAAAAAGTTATTTCATCAGGTAGATGAGACTTATAATGAATAATGAATAGAAGCAATGAATACAGATTTGGAGATAGTGGTTGTTGTGATGGATAATCTTAATTGCATTTTCTTCCAAAACATATTCATTCTCATAGAAGGGCATCAGAAAAAGATAAAGAAGGATCCTCAATGTCAGGCCGCTGAGCCCAAGCTAAGCCATCGTTAACCCCTGTGATCTGCAGGTATTCGTCCAGGTGGCCTGGAGCAACTGAAGAACCACCAAAAAAATGAAACAGCCAGTTCCTGCCTTCACTGATGACATTCCACCATGGTGATTTGTTCCTGCCCCACCCCAACTAATCAACTGGCCTTGTGACATTCCTCCCCTGGACAATGAGTCTCATGATCTCCCCATCCTGCACCTTGTGACCCCTGCCCTGTCTGCAAGAGATAACTACCTTTAACTGTAATTTTCCACCACCTACCCAAATCCTATAAAGCTGCTCCACCCCATCTCCCTTTGCTGACTCTCTTTGTGGACTCAGTCCACTTGCACCCAAGTGAAATAAACAACCTTGTTGCTCACACAAAGCCTGTTGGTGGACTCTCCTCACATGGACATACGTAACAGTTGGGAGTTCAAGACCAGCCTGACCAACATGGCGAAACCCCGTCTCTACTAAAAATACAAAATTAGCTAGGTGTGGTGGTGCAGGCCTATAATCCCAGCTACCTGGGAGGCTGAGGCAGGAGAATTGCTTGAACCCAGGAGGCGGAGGTTGCAGTGAGCCAAGATCGCACCATTGCACTCCAGCCTGGGCAACAAGAACAAAACTCTGTCTCAAAAAAACAAACAAAAACAAGAAACCATGAAGCTGCATGACAAGGAGTCTTCCAATGAGGATGAGATCTTCAACAGGGACACCAGGTAGACGACAGGGCCCTCACGGTTCCCATCTAAAATGAGGAGGGGGTGAGAAGCTAAATTGCTCCTTTCAAGAATCAAAACCTTGGCACTGTTATTCTTATCCCAGGGACACTGAATCCCCAACAGAGAAGACCCCAACTGGAGAGTCGGCTGCTGAGGGGGAGGAGAGTGAGGCCCTGCTGTAGGAGGAGAACACAGAGTGACTCCAGCCCACATCAGGCCTCCTGCAAAACTACTTATTTTTTCATTCATAATTGAGATTTTATTAGTTGAGGATCAGTACAGACATTTCAATTTGTACACAATTCTTAACACACGTAAAGAAAATCTAAAAAGCCAGGTATTGTAATTCTTTTTTAAAGTTATTCCAGTGACTTTCCAGCTTAAAATTTGGAAGCAAATTTTCCTTAACAGGCTATCAAGTACCAGTATCTTCACATGTTGATCAGCTGTGACATACATCCCAGCAGTTCACAACTGAACTGTTTCAAGCAATTCTCCTGCCTCAGCCTCCCAAGGTTTGTCAGTATACTTTTTTTTTTTTTTTTTTGAGACAGAGTCTTGCTCTTTCACCCAGGCTGGAGTGCAGTGGCACGATCTTGGCTGCAGGTTCAAGGGTTCAAGTGATTCTCCTGCCTCACCCTCCTGAGTAGATGGGATTATAGGTATATGCCACCTCGTCCGGCTAATTTTTGTATTTTTAGTAGACGGGGTTTCACCATGTTGGTCAGGCTGGTCTCGAACTCCTGACCCCGTGATCCACCTGGCTCAGCCTCCGGAAGTGCTGGGATTACAGCCGTGAGCCACTGTGCCTGGCCTACTGTCTAGTTTTTTAAAAAATTATGATAGCCATCACTGTGGGTAAGAAGTGGGAGCTCATCGTGGTTCTGATCTATGTTTCCCTGACAGTTAATGAAGTTGAACATCTTTCCATGTGTGTATTGGCCATTTGTGTATCTTCTTTGGAGAAATGTCTATTCCAAACCTTTGGCTTTTTTTTTTTTTTTTTTTTTTTTTTGAGACAGGATCTCACTGTGTTGTACAGACTGGAGTGCAGTGGCATGATCACAGCTCACTGCAGCCTCAACCTCCCGACCTCAAGTGATTCTCCCACCTCAGCCTCCCACGTAGCTGGGATTATAGGCATGCGGCACCATGACCAGCTAATTTTTTGTAGAGATGGGGCTTTGTGATGTTGCCAGGATGGTCTCAAATTCCTGGGCTCAAGTGATCCTCCCGCTTCAACCTCTAAAAGTGCCAGGATTACAAGTGTTAGCCACCACATTCAGCCTACCTTTGCCCATTTTAAAACTATGTTTTGTTGTTGTTGTTGTTGGATTATAATAGTACTTTTTTTCTCTTCTTTTTTATTTATTTTTGAGACAGAGCCTTGCTCTGTCACCCAGGCTGGAGTGCAGTGGCATGATCTCAGCTCACTGCAGCCTCAACTTTCCAGGCTCAGGTGCTCCTCCCACCTTAGCCTCCTGAGTAGCTGGGACTACAGGCTCACACCACCAAGACCAGCTAATTTTTTTTATATTTTTTATAGAGACGAGGTTTCACCATGTTGCCCAGGCTAGTTCTTTAAATCGTATATATTCTGGATACTAGAACCTTACCAGATACATGATTTACAAATATTTTCTCCCATTCTGTTCACTCTTTTGATGGTATTGTTGGCAGCATAAAAGCTTCTAATTTTGATGTAGTTCAATATATCTAGTTTTTGTCACTTGTGCTTTTGGTGTGGTATCTAAGTACCCATTACCTAATCCAAGGTCACGAAGATTTACTTCCATGATTTCTTCTAAGAATGTTATTTTAGCTCTTACATGTGAGTCTGTGGTCCATCTTGAGTTAACTTCTGTGTATCAAGGATGCAGATACCCAGTAGAACCAGCACCATTTGTTAAAAAGGCCGTCCTTTCCCCCATTGAATTGCCCCACTTTCTCCGTTAAAAACTTTTTGAGGAATGATGTATCTAAAGTACCAGATCTTCAGTGTCCTCCACCTTGGTGAGTATTTACCTATGATGTGCACCCTGTGACCACCACCTAGATCAAGATCTAGAACATGTCTAGCCCACCAGAGGCTCCTGTGTACCTTCTCCCAGTCATTGTGCCCCTTGAAAACCACCATTCTGACTTCTAGAGCCGTGCGTTAGTTTTTCCTGTTGTTGAACCTCACGCCTATAAATGGAATCACACAGTATGTACTCTTTTGTATCTGGTTTCTTTCACTGAACACTACATCTGTGAGCTTCAGCTGTACATACAGCATAAGACTGTAGTTCATTCTTTTCCATTGTTCTGTAATACTCCATTGTAAAAATATATCACAGCCTATCACCCATTCTCGTTAATGGACATTTGGGTTGTTTCCAGATTTGTTTGAGACGGAATCTCACTGTGCTGCCCAGGCTGGCGTGAAGTGGCATGATCTTGGCTCACTACAACCTCTGCCTCTCAGGTTCAGGTGATTCTCCTGCCTCAGCCTCCCACGTAGCTGGGATTACAGGCACGTGCCACCGCACACAGCTAATTTTTTTATTTTTAGTAGACACAGGGTTTCACTATATTGGCCAGGCTGGTCTCGAACTCCTGACCTTGTGATCCGCCCGCCTCAGCCTCCCAAAGTTCCGGGATTACAGGTGTGAGCCACCACGCCCAGCTGTTTCCAGGTTTTGACTATTATGAAGAAAGCTGTAGTGAACATCTTGTACGTGCTTTTGGAGAACCTCAGTGCTTATTTCTGTGGGTATATACCTGGGAAAGGAATTGCTAGGTTCTTGGATAGATTTACTTTTTTTTCCTGAGACGGAGTCTCTCTCTGACGCCCAGGCTGGAGTGCAGTGGTGTGATCTCGGCTCACTGCAACCTCTACCGCCCCGGTTCAAGCAATTCTCCTGCCTCACCCTCCTGAGTAGCTGGGACTACAGGCACGTGCCACCACACCCAGCTAATTTTTTGTATTTTTAGTAGAGATGGGGTTTCACTGTGTTAGCCAGGATGGTCTCGACCTCCTGACCTCATGATCCGCCCGCCTCAGCCTCCCAAAGTGCTGGGATTACAGGCGTAAGCCACTGTGCCTGGCATGTTTAGCTTTAATAGATACCACCACCAAACAGTTTTCTGAACTATTTGTGCTAATTTATACTCATATTGGCAACAAATGAGCATTCTAGTTGCTCTTTATCCTGGCCAATGGTGTTACCAATCTTTTTCATTTTAGCCACTCTAGTAGATGTGTAGTGGTTTTAATTTTCATTTCCTTGATGACTAAAGATGATACTTTTTCATTTACTTATTGGCCAGTCAATCCTCTTTTATAGAATGTCTGTCCAAGTTTTCATCCCAGTCTTAAATTGAGTTGTATGTGTATGTATTGATTTGAAGGAGCTCTTTGTATATTATAGATATGAGTCTTTTACTGGACAAAAATAGTATATATATCAAGTATCTTTTTCTAGTCTATAGGGCTTGACTTTTAAATGTCCTAATGGTATTTTTATTGAACAGAGATTCTTTTAATGATGTGCAGTTTATCAGTCTTTTTGTTTATGGCTTGCTTGGTTTTTGTCCCATTTAAGAGATATTCATCTCCCCCAAGGATCTGAAGGTATTTGCCTATATTATCTTCTAGAAGCTTTAGTGATTTATCTTTCACAATTAGGTTTATGATCTTTCTGGGATTAATTTTTGTGTGTGGTGTGAGTTAGAAGTCAAAGCTCATATTTTTCCATATGGGTATGTGATTGGCCTCGCTCTGTTTCTTGAATATGATCATGTAAATCACAGAACTGTCAGTGTGGGTCAGCCTCTTCATATTTGCTATTCTGAAGATGCTTCAGTACATCCTGAAGATTTACTTCCTGAAAATGAATGCTCTAGGACCCTGAAGGTTTTGACTGTGCACCTGCCAACTCAAGCTGAAGGTTGAAGAGGAAAGCTCTGCAGCCCCTGCCTCGAGCTGGAGGCAGAGTGACGTCTGCTGGGGATGCAGGCTGGGCACCCCACAGGGCTCCACAGAGTGGCACTGACCATGTTGAGTTCACTCCTGCCCAAGGTCTAGCTTCTGCTTTGCAGGCTCAGGCATCCTGTCTTGCCAGGGCCTCAAAGCTTGATGGGACAGGGTAGCATCTCTGCTCCATAAAAATCTTAAAATTCACATTTGTCTCCTTCCTTCCAGTTCCCTTCACCTACCTTTGTTATTTTATGTTAAAGACATTGGGATGGTCATAATTTATTCCCTCATCTTGTATGATTCTGGGCCAGGCACTTGCTGGAGATACCAAGAAAAAGAACCATTCCAAACAGCCTTATAGCTAGGATGGGGGAACAAAATAAACTTACGATTGGCATGTCAAGAATCTCTTGGAAGTTCAAGAACTATTCAAGAAGGAAGACTCTTAGTCTTCCTTCTCTTTGAGTGCCTGTTTACAGTGGTTATGGTCTCAGCACTAGCTTAATGCTGACACTAATTATTCTAATTTTTTTTTTTTTTTTTTTTTTGAGACAGTGTCTCACTCTGTCACCCGGGCTGGAGTGCAGTGGCACGATCTTGGCTCACTGCAACCTCCACCTCCCAGGTTCAAGCGATTCTCCCGTCTCAGCCTCCCGAATAGCTGGGACTACAGGCACATGCCACCATGCCCAGCTAATTTTTGTGTGTATTTTTAGTAGAAACGGGGTTTCATCATGTTGGCTAGGATAGTCTCAATCTCTTGACCTCGTGATCTGCCCGCCTCGGCCTCCCAAAGTGCTAGGATTACAGGCATGAGCCACCGTGTCTGGCCAAAAAAAAATTTAATAGGCATAGAAGCATGTGCCTATAGTCCTAGCTCTTTAGGAGGCTGAGGCAAGAAGATCACTTGTACCTAGGAGTTTGAGGCTGCAGTGAGCCATGATCACACCACTGCACTCCATTGAGCCTGGGTGACAGAGAGAGACCCTGTCCCTAAGAAATTAATTAATTAAACTACTTATTTGACCTATACATATAATTATAGTACTTAGATGCCACCAGCAGATGATCATGATTAAGTTTTCCCAATAAACATTCAAACTCTAGTTATAAGTAAATAACACAAATTCCACAAAAACTATCAAGTCCTAAGTATGATGTGCAAGAGATTATTTTTAAAAATCCACGCTAGCTCTCCCTCTCCCTCTCCCTCCCTCTCCACGGTCTCCCTCTGATGCCGAGCCGAAGCTGGACTGTACTGCCGCCATCTTGGCTCACTGCAACCTCCCTGCCTGATTCTCCTGCCTCAGCCTGCTGAGTGCCTGGGATTGCAAGTGCGCGCCGCCACGCCTGACTGGTTTTCGTATTTTTTTGGTGGAGACGGGGTTTCGCTGTGTTGGCCTGGCTGGTCTCCAGCTCCTAACCGCGAGTGATCTGCCAGCCTTGGCCTCCGGAGGTGCCGGGATTGCAGACGGAGTCTCGCTCACTCAGTGCTCAATGTTGCCCAGGCTGGAGTGCAGTGGGGTGATCTCGGCTCGCTACAACCTCCACCTCCCAGCCGCCTGCTTTGGCCTCCCAAAGTGCCGAGATTGCAGCCTCTGCCCGGCGGCCACCCCGTCTGGGAAGTGAGGAGCGTCTCTGCCTGGCCGCCCATCGTCTGGGATGCGAGGAGCCCCTCTGCCCGGCCGCCCAGTCTGGGAAGTGAGGAGCGCCTCTTCCCGGCCACCCATCGTCTGAGATGTGGGGAGCGCCTCTTCCCCGCCGCCCCATCTGGGAGGTGAGGAGCGTCTCTGCCCAGCCGCCCCATCTGAGAAGTGAGGAGCCCCTCCGCCCGGCAGCCGCCCCGTCTGGGAAGTGAGGAGACCCTTCGCCCGGCAGCCGCCCAGTCTGGGAAGTGAGGGGCGTCTCCGCCCAGCAGCCGCCCCGTCCGGGAGGTGGGGGGCAGCCCCCGCCCGGCCAGCCACCCCATCTGAGAGGTGGGGGGTGCCTCTGCCCGGCCGCCCCGTCTGGGAAGTGAGGAGCCCCTCTGCCCGGCTGCCACCCCGTCTGGGAGGTGTACCCAACAGCCCATTGAGAACGGGCCATGATGAGGATGGCGGTTTTGTCAAATAGAAAAGGGGGAAATGTGGGGAAAAGAAAGAGAAATCAGATTGTTACTGTGTCTGTGTAGAAAGAAGTAGACATAGGAGACTCCATTTTGTTCTGTACTAAGAAAAATTCTTCTGCCTTGGGATGCTGTTAATCTATAACCTTACCCCCAACCCTGCGCTCTCTGAAACATGTGCTGTGTCCACTAAGGGTTAAATGGATTAAGGGCAGTGCAAGATGTGCTTTGTTAAACAGATACTTGAAGGCAGCATGCTCGTTAAGAGTCATCACCACTCCCTAATCTCAAGTACCCAGGGACACAAACACTGCGGAAGGCCGCAGGGTCCTCTGCCTAGGAAAACCAGAGACCCTTGTTCACTTGTTTATCTGCTGACCTTCCCTCCACTATTGTCCTATGACCCTGCCAAATCCCCCTCTCCAAAAAACACCCAAGAATGATCAATAAATACTAAAAAAAAAAAAAAAACCATGCTAAAGAAACCACCCATCTATAGGTTTAAAAGATAACAGAATGAAAATAAGTCTACAAGTACACACATGTAATGCTAAATAATAATTAATGGGAATTATTGAAAACATAATTTAATTTTGGTTGGATTTAAGATTAGGGAAAGCAGAATTACAATGATCCTTAAAACATTTCAGTAGAGAGCTACAGTGTTTATCCTACATTTATATAAAACTAATTTTCATATTTAGAAAAGAATTCTTATAGTAAATATAATATCAGAAATAAATCACTGGCTGGGTGCGGTGGCTCACACCTGTAATCCCAGCACTTTGGGAGGCCGGGGCAGGCAGACTACTTGAGCTCAGGAGTTCGAGATCAGCCTAGGCAACATGGCGAAACCCCATCTCTACAAAAAAATTACAAAAATTAGCTGGCTGTGGTGGCTTGTACCTGTAGTCCCAGCTGCTCAGGAGGCTGAGGTGGGAGGATCTCTTGAGCCCAGCTTGGGGAGGTTGCAGTGACCCGAGATCGCGCCACTACACTCCAGCCTGGGTGACAGAGGGAGACCCTGTCTCCAAAAAAAAAGAAAAGAAAAAGAAATCAATTTGACTTGACCTGTGAGTTACAAATGTAGCAGAAGCATTATACCTTCTGTACTGAAACATTCTGAGGACCATCATGATATGTACATGTGTATACACACATGCATGCATACACATTCATTTAACAAGGAAAAAAGGCATAACAAATGGAAGCAAAGAGAACCAGTATTCAGTTCGTCATATATCGTTTAAATCTCAAAACTGTTCCTGACAATGTAAAGCAGAGGCAATAACATGCTGAAGGAGAGATGGAGAAAACACAGGGCCTGCAGTCTCATTGGACTCAGATGATCTATTGGGGAGTTCTAAAATACTTGTCCAGTAGCAGTACTATCCTAACCTCATTATGAATATATCTATTAGGATATCCTCAGTAATACAAACATTAGGGAATAGAATACCCAAAAAATAAATGTCGATGAGAAAGTTATACCGCAGGAAATATCTTAAATTGGTAAGTACAAAGATGCGTATGTCATAAGCTGGCAAGCAAGTCCTTACCTGGCAACCCCTCCGTAGTCAAGGCCTTCTTCTCCATGAAATTTTATCATTAATCGCTTCCAGAGATCTTTTGGTCTCATTTTCATGACCTGTCAATATGATTCCTGAAAAAAATAATTTTTAACACACTATTACTATTAGGTCCTGTTAGCCTATTACTTAATTGCTCCCTGCCAATCCGCTCAAAAAACTCAAGTCAAAATAAGGTGAAATTTGGCCAGGTGCAGTAGATCACACCTGTAATCCTCAGGTGGGAGGATCACCTGAGGCCAGGAATTCTAGACCAGCCTGGGCAACACGGTGAAACTCTATCTGTGCAAAAAAGTTTTTTCTTAAATAGCTGGGCATGGTGGCAGGCGCCTATAGTCCTAGCTACTTGGTAGGCTAAGGTGTGGGAGGACTACTTGAGCCCAAGAGTTCAAGGCTACAGTGAGCTATGATCATGCCACTGCACTCCAGCCTGAGTGACAGAGCAAGACCTTGTCTCTTTTAAAAAAATAAAGAGGCCAGGTGCAGTGGCTCACACCTGTAATCCCAGCACTTTGGGAGGCCGAGGCGGGTGGATCACGAGGTCAAGAGATCGAGACCATCCTGGCAGACATGGTAAAACCCCATGTATACTAAAAATACAAAAATTAGCTGGGCGTAGTAGTGGGTGCCTGTAATCCCACCTACTCAGGAGGGTGAGGCAGGAGAATCGCTTGAACCCAGGAGACGGAGGTTGCAGTGAGCTGAGATCACGCCACTGCACTCCAGCCTGGGCAACAGAGCAAGGCTCTATCTCAAAAAATATATACACATACATATTTGTATATGTGTATACAAATATGTATGTGTATACACATATATTTGTATATATGTGTATATATTTTTTGAATATATATATGCTTACATTCTAATAAAATTAAGTTTCTTCCTTTCTTTTGCCTTTTAGAAAAAATATACACATAAAATAAGGCAAGCAAAAGCAAGCCAGGCACAGCAATGTCTCAGGCCTATAATCCCAGCACTATGGAAGGCCAAGGCAGGGGATCACTTGAGGCCAGGAGTTCGAGACCAGCCTGGGCAACACAGTGAGGCCCCATCTCTACGAAAAATAAAAAAAATTTAAAAATTAGCTGAGCATGGTAGTGCATGTTTGTAGACCCAGCTATTCAGAAGGCTGAGGTGGGAGGATCACTTGAGCCCAGTTCAAGATCACAGTGAGCTCTGATTGTGCCATTGCACTGCAGCCTGGGTGACAGAGACCCTGTCACAAAAATAATACAAGCAAAAACGATAAATACTCATAATCCAACCCATACTTAACACACCAATCACCTCCTTTCTTTTCTATGGTCACATTTTAGATATGTTTATTCTTTATATCCCACCTTTTTCCAAAAATGATTTGAGGGGACTGACAGCTGGTAAACAAGCAAACTTTGTTAAGTCCTGGTTGTCATAATCCTCTTTCATCACATAGTAAGAGATGAAAAAGATTAATTAATTTAAAAATGTAAGGTTCATAATAGAAATTCTGAAAGGAAAACTACAGGACCCCATCTAGGCTTTTTCTGATTTCTTATATCTCCATTCATGGTACCACATAATAAAAATAATATCTGTCACATATCAAAAATGATAAATACTTATTGGCTGAACAAATTAAACAATGGCTCCAAAGCATTACAAGATTCTAAATCAAAGACTCAATTTGTTTGAAAGCTGCTTTATTTTAAAGCTATAGTAATCAAGACAGCACGGTGTTAAAAAGAATAAACTTAAAGGGGTAGAATCATAGATAAAGAAAACAGAAGACAGTCCAGAAATAGAATTATATGTATATTGTCAACTGATTTTTTTGTTTGTTTTGAGACAGAGTCTCATTCTGTCACCCAGGCTGGAGTGCAGTGGCACCATCTGGGCTCACTCCAACTTCCGCCTCCTGGATTCAAGGGATTCTCTTGCCTCAGCCTCCTGAGTAGCTGGGATTACAGGCGCCCGCCAGCATGCCCAGCTAACTTTTGTATTTTTAGTAGAGACGGGGTTTCGCCATGTTGGCCAGGCTGGTCTCGAACTCCTGACCTCAAGTGATCTGCCTGCCTTGGCCTCCCAAAGAACAGGCATGAGCCACCACACCTGGCTTGTCAACTGATTTTCTACCAAGGTGCCACGACAATTCAATGGAGGAAACAAAAGTATTTTCAACAAATAGTGCTACAAAAATGGAATATCCATATGAAAAAAAAACCATGACTCTTACTTCTCACAGCATATTAAAAAATTAACTTGAAAATAAGTTTAAACGGATGAGTTAAAATTATAAATAATGCTGAAGAAAACACAGAGAGAATCTTTAGAACTCTGGGTTAGAAAAAGAGTTAGGGCCGGGCACGGTGGCTCACACCTGTAATCCCAGCACTTTGGGAGGCTGAGGCGGGTGGATCACCTGAGGTAGGGAGTTCAAGACCAGCCTGGCCAACATGGGGAAACCCCATCTCTACTGAAAATAAATAAAAAAAAAAAAATCAGCTAGGCGTGGTCGCGGGCGCCTGTAATCCCAGCTACTTGGGAGGCTGAGTAACGAGAATCGCTTGAACCCGGGAGGTGGACCTTGTAGTGAGCCAAGATCGCGCCACTGCACTCCTGCCTGGGTGACAAGAATGAGACTCCATCTCACAAAAAAAAAAAAAAAAAAGACTTAGTTAGGACTCAAAAAACATGAACCACGAAAGAAAAAAAATTGATAAACAGGTTTCATCAGCATTCAAAACTTCTTCTCTTTGGGACATCTTTTGGGGGCCGGGTGGGAGCTACACTCCAGGAGGAAATATTTGCAAAGTATTTATCTCATAAAAGGCTTATATCCAAAATACATAAAGAATTCTCAAACTTAATAAGAAAACAATCCAATTTTAAAACATGAACAAAAGACTTAGATATTCACCAAAGATTATATGGACAATAAATAAGTGCATTAAAATATGCTTAAAACTGTAGGTTATTAATGAAGTAAAAATTAAAGTATAAAGAAATATCTATACCTACCAATTAGAATGGCTAAAATCAAAGACAATATCAAGTGCTGACTAGGATGAGGAACTACTGAAACTCATACAATGCTGGTAGAAATGCAAAATGGTACAACTTTGAAAAAAAAATTATTATTATTTTTTTGAGACAGGGTCACCCATGCTAGAATGCAGTGGTGTGAGCATAGCTCACTGCAGCCTTAACTTCCCAGGCCCAGTCAATCCTCTATTAGCTTCTTGGGTAGCTGGTACTACAGGCATAGGCCACCACACCTGACCAATTTTTGTATTTTTTGTAGAGACGGAGCTTTGCCATGTTGCCCAGGCTGGTCTCAAACTCCTGGGCTCAAGCAATCTGCCCAGCAGATTTTTAAAAAGTTAAAATGCATACTTTTTGTATGGTGCAACAATCCCACTCATTTACCCAAGGGCAAGAAAAACATGTTCACAAAGAGCCATGTACTCAAATATTTATTCGTAATGGCCAAAAACTGGAAACAACAAATGTCTGTGGATATTTACAAACAGATAAACAAATTGATGTACAATGCAATATTCCTCAGGAATGAAAAGGAACAAAGTACTGATACCCAGCATGGATGAATCTCAAAAGCATTATGTTAAAAGAAGCCTCACCCAAAAGACTGCAGACGGTATGATTCCATTTACACAAAATCCTAGAAAAGGCAAAATTATAGTGATAGAAAACAGATCAGTAGTTGACAAGTTCTGGGTATTAAAGAAGACAACTGGCTATGAAGAGGTAAGAGGAAACTTTTTGGGAAGAAATGGGAAGAGCATTGCATGATTGCAATCATCTATGTGGTAATTCCTCCCTAAAAATTAATCATCACAGTTTATTTAAAAATTTAAAATTTAGGCCAGGCACAGTGGCTCACACCTGTAATCCCAGCACTTTGGGAGGCCAAGGCAGGCGGATCACCTGAGGTTGGAAGTTCGAGACCAGCCTGGTCAACATGGAAAAACCACGTCTCTATGAAAAATACAAAAAAAAATTAGACTGGCATGGTGGCGCATGCCTGTAATCCCAGCTACTCGGGAGGCTGAGGCCGGAGAATCACTTGAACCCGGGAGGCGGAGGTTGTGGTGAGCAGAGATGGCGCCACTGCACTCCAGCCTGGGCAACAAGAGCAAAACTGTCTCAAAATAAATAAATAATTTAAACTTTATGTCTGCTATCAATTTTTGTATAAAACCAAACCAAACTGCCAATCAAACTTAAGATTAGGTTTTGATACTTTTTAATACAATATCAAAGGTGGTTTTTAAAAAAGGTAGCCAATGCCATCAGAAGCTATTCTAAAACAGAGAGTCTGTCTGAAACTATTCTTGTTCAGGAGACTGCTCGTATTTAAAAAAATTTTAATAAAATAAACAAAATTTCTCACTTTGTTCAACTACTTATATGTTGGGGAGGAATCCAAGAGAAAAGAAAAATTTTAAGTGTTAACATTCAACTGTAACAAGTACCAAACACTTGATACCTAGAAAACTAACATCAGCTGGGCACAGTGGTTCATGCCTGTAATCCCAGCACTTTGGGAGGCCAAGGCAGGCGGATCACCTAAGGTCAGGAGTTCGAGACCAGCCTGACCAACATGGAGAAACCCCGTCTCTACTAAAAATACAAAATTAGCATGCCTGTAATCCCAGCTACTCGGGAGGCTGAGGCCGGAGAATCGCTTGAACCCAGGAGGCAGAGGTTGCAGTGAGCCAAGATGGCGCCATTGCACTCCAGCCTGGGCGACAAGAGCGAAACTCAGTCTCAAAAAAAAATAACAAATAAATAAATAAATAAATAAATAAATATATAGATGGGGTCTCACTATGTTGCCCAGGCTGGTCTCAAACTCCTGGGCTCAAGTGATCCTCCCACCTTGGCCTCCCAAAGTGCTGGGATAACAGGCATGAGCCACCACGCCCAGCCAAAATTGTTCTAATCAAGCAAAAATACATATAACTGCATTCCTAAATACAAGCAATAACTAGGATTAGAAAACACAATGTAAATCAGACAAATATAAATTATCTGAAATTAAATTCAAACATAGGAAGAAAATTATAAAGCTATCCTGAGCAATATGAGCCAAAGCTTAAATAAATGTAAAAACTTAGCATGCTCCTGGGTAAGAAAACTAAATAAACTTAGATGCCTCTTTTTCCCAAAGTAAGGAAATTCTAATAATAATCCCAATTAAATGTCTTTTTTTTTTTTTTTTTTTTTTTTGAGACACAGTTTCACTCTGTCACCCAGGCAGGCTGAGGCTGAGTGCAGTGGCATGATCTCGGCTCACTACAACCTCTGCCTCCTGGGTTCAAGTGATTCTCGTGACGCAGCCTCCCCAGTGTGCCACCACGCCCAACTAATTTTGTATTATTAGTAGAGACAGGGTTTCACCATGTCGGCCAGGCTGGTGTCAAACTCCTGACCTCAGAAGATCCACCCTCCTCAGCCTCCCCAAAGTCCTGGGATTACAGGCGTGAGCCACCACGCCCGGCCCCAGTGAAATTTCTTATTAAACTTAACAAGTTTAATATTTATGCGGAAACAAAAAATAAGAATAGCAAAAAAAAAAAAAAAAAATTGGGAGGCCAACGCAGGCAGATCACTTGAGGTCAGGAGTTCGAGACCAACCTGACCAATATAACCCCATCTCCACCCCAAAAAAATTAGCTGGGAGTCGTGGCATGCACCTGTAATTCCAGCTACTAGGGAGGTTGAGGCAGGAGAATCACTTGAACCCAGGGGTTAGAGGCTGCAGTGAGCCAAGATCACGCCACTGTACTCCCTGGGTGGCAGAGTGAGACTCCATCTCTTAAAAAAACTGGCCTAGTGAGAATATTAAACTAAATTATAAAGCTACAATATTGAAAACAGTATGGCACTGAACAAGAGATATATCTGACTCTATTATAATTAACTGAAAAGATACTACATCACTGTGGAAAGGAAGAACTGGTTAATAAATAATGATGAGACGGCTAAATAGGAATTGAAGGGGGAATAGTTTATTAAAGCATTTTTAAAAAACACTAAATATAACGTACTTATTCATCAAACTCCTTGAAGAAAAAGGTTTTCCAAGTATAGAACAGGAAAAACAAAACAAGAGTTGGACAGATTTTGACTCCTAAGATAACACATTTCTACATGTCCAAACAATGACCAATATTAAAAGACAAATAATTCACCATGGAAATGTTTGTAGCAAATATGACAACAGATTAATATATTTGTAAGTATCAGGTAGATCAATAAGAAAAACACTAAGGCTTTAACATAACTAGGACAAGGCCAAACAAATCAATGAAAATAAATATGATTAGTAAACAGACAGGAAAATATTCTGCTTCACGAATGTTTAAATGGCACATGCCATGAAATTAGCAAAATATTTAAAATGCAATTAGCTAATGCTTACAACAGAATAGTAAAAAGGGACATCTTTATTTACTGCTGCTCTAAACAGGCCCAACTCTTTTAAGAAAGAGCCTAAAGGAAAAATTAATCACAAAACCTTAAAAATATCCACACACTTGAACTCAGTAACACTATTTTTATGGAAGCATCCTAAAAAAAAAAAAAATCCTTTTAAAAAAATCAAAGTTACCTACACCAAGATGCTTACAGCAATTATTTGTAATAAAAAATTTGGAAATAAATGTTCAAACAAGAAAAAAAATCTGAACGATGGCTGCTGTTGAATCTTCTTAACCAGTTATCCTAAAACCAGTCTTCATGGCTCCCATTCCAGTCCATCCTCCATATTGCTCCCAGATTGTGTCTAAACAACAAATATATCAATGCTTAAAATCCTGCAATGGCTCCCACCACCTTAAAAAAAATGAACCTCTTGGCACACTATAATAAGGTCCTAAACTAGGTTGGTCCCTGTCCAAGAGCCTCACCTCTTGCCACTCATACCCAGTGCGTTAGCCATAAAGAACACACGCAGAACTATTCGGAACTATTTATAGCTCTCCAGCATTCATTAAATAAAATGCCAAAAAGGTCTTAATCCATGCTCACACAAGGATCCTGACTTCATGGAACTTAAAGCATAGGAACAATAGATGCCTATCAGCGGGTTAGGTCTGATACTAAAAGAAGAGTTTCCTAGAGTCACAGAGGACAGTTCAACTCAGGTCAGGGAAAGTTCTAGGGCTAACAGTAATCCTTGACTTGAGCCTTAAAAGATGGGCAAGTATTGCTAGGGGCGAGTGCAATTCCAAGTGAACAGAATATGTCAATTTTATTTTTCCACACAAATTCTAATAAACTTGTAATAAGCTTTCTAGACAACTTTGGTTGTGACATGTACTTCTCCAACTTTCAGTTTCTCCTATCACTTAGAGCTACTATGAAAATTAAAAGTGATAATAGATACGAACTTAACATAGCATCTGGCACTTAAACTTTCAATACATGTCAATCATACAGAAACACGTAACAATGCTGATTACAACGGCGTATTTCAAGGGTTCAGCATTCTTAGACAAAGAAAGTATCAGTAAACAAAAATGAAGGCAAAGAGAAAAACTAGTAAGAACAAGTTAAATGACCTATCACCATTTAGCCAGGGTGAAATACTTCTCTCTACAGGCCCTAATGAGATCCTCACATTGCATATGCAACAAAACAATAATTTATATTCATAATTATATTGAATCATAAGTAAAACATTAAGTTCTACTAAGTATGATCTATTTGAAAAGAGGAGGACATACTACATCTTTAAGACTCTCACCAAGAAAGACTAAAATAGGCCAGGCATGGTGGCTCACACCTGTAATCCCAGCACTTTGGAAGGCTGAGGCAGGAGGATCTCCTAAGTGGAGAAGTTCAAGACCAGCCTGGGCAACCTGGAGAAACCCCATATCTACTGGAGAGGAAAAAAAAAAAGTAAAAAAAATTAGCCAATCACAGTGGCGCGTACCTGTAGTCCCAGCTACTTGGGAAGCCAAGGTGGGAAAAGCACTTGAGCCAGGAGGTCAAAGCTGCAGAGAGCCGGGATCACTCACTGCACGCTGTTGCCACTGCACTCCAGCATGGGCAATAGAATGAGACTCTGCCAAAAAAATAAAAAAGGCTAAAATAAAATCTTGTATGCCTAAGTGTGACCCTTCATTTATCTTGAAAACTGAGTTATGCTAAATGAGATGTTAGTATGCTGTGATAGTAACAGCTCAACCAACAAGAAAAAAGTAAAAGTGATGACTAAAATACACAGACTTTACTATGAATACCAAACTACATCAAGGACCTTGACATGTTCTACTGCCTGCCTGAAGAGGGTTAGACTAGTAGACAGGATTTAAGAGAAAAGGAAAGAGCTCAGCTACATTGTCTTCCTTCTCAGAAACCAAGAAAAATAAAATGAACTGGGGACATTCAAATCACTAACACCTATAGTATATAAAAGTCATTATGGGCTCGGTGCAGTGGCTCACGCCTGTAATCCCAGCACTTTGAGAGGCCAAGGCAGGCAGATCACCTGAGGTCAGGAGTTCAAGACCAGCCTGGCCAACATGGGGAAACCCCATCTCTACTAAAAATACAAAAAAAATTAGCCAGGCATGGTGGCGGGTGCCTGTAATCCCAGCTACTCGGGAGGCTGAGGCAGGAGAATCGCTTGAACCTGGGAGGCGGAGGTTGCAGTGGGCCAAGATTGGGCCATTACACTTCAGCCAAGAACAAAATTCCATCTTAAAAAATAAATAAAATCATTATGGTGTATAGGCATACTTAAAAACCTGTCAAACAGAATGAAGCTATAATTTTTAAAGCCTTGACTCGATAAAATATGTAGTGTACCAAGATTAAGATGCTAGCATATCTAAAGGAAAATTTTTAAAGTTAAATTTCCTTACACTATAGACAAGTTTAACCTCCTTATTGCCAAGGGCTTTGAAATTAATAACATGAGAAACAGCATACAAAAACATTAAATGTATAAAAATGTCTGAAATAAATGTTCTGGAGGAGTAATCTTATTCTACTTCTCCATACCTAAGAATTTAAAATATTAGAAATTACACTAAGCTGCTTTTTCCAGCCTTTGGTTTTCAGAAACAATAATGGTCTAAAAAATTATCCCAAAGTTTTTACTGTAAAGAATATTTTTCTAGGCCGGGCACCGTGGCTCATGCCTGTAATCCCAGCACTTTGGGAGGCCAAGGTGGGAGGATCATGAGGTCAGGAGATTGAGACCATCCTGGCTAACACGGTGAAACCCCGTCTCTACTTAAAATACAAAAACAAAGTTAGCCGGGCGTGGTGGCGGGTGCCTGTAGTACCAGCTACTCGGGAGGCTGAGGCAGGAGAATGGCGTGAACCTGGGAGGCGGAACTTGCAGTGAGCCGAGAGATTGCACCACTGCACTCCAGCCTGAGCGACAGAGGAAGACTCCAACTCAAAAAAAAAAAAAAAAAAAAAAAAGAATATTTTTCTATCCAACCCATTGGAAGAAAAGCCTGTATAAGACAGTCATATAAACATAATGATATAGAAATTATACATTTTGTCATCAATTTGTTATAGAAATATTAGTTGAAGTTAATAGTGTTACCACACAGCCCATTTTAATGATCATATGTTAATGTGTCATAAAGAACAGAAGTAGCTTGATGGATGAAATCGGATTCTAACCCCCAATTGCCTGAGGAATCTAAAATTTGGGATTAAATTATTAAATTAGCCCCACCTTGTTAGCGTTGACAAACACCAAACAGTTCACTGATAGTGGTTTTAAGAATAGTATGTGGAAACGTCTAATATCAATTGTGGGCAGAGATCTCATGGTTTAAATGTTTCCTTTTCTTCAGAAAGAGAGTGTGTATGAGTGTGTGAGAGAGTGTGTGTGTGTGTGTGTGTGTCACCACGCAAGAAATGTTGATACCTTTCAGTAAAGGGGCAATTCCACAATAAGGTTATTACCAAGTAACTGAAGTTTATACAGCATCTTGAAATCAAAGGTACTCTATAAATTTAAAATACTAATATGTTATTAACTTAAAGCAAAGAACAATAATTTTAAAACATCTTATAGCCCAAGTGTATTGTAAACCAAATATAAATTCGCTGTGGGATCTGTCTTTTTTTAAGTGATTTTTTTTCCTCTATTAGGGAACCCAGATCTAAATGAACTGTCACTTAGTCTAAAGGTATGCCAAACATTTCTTAAGGTCTTCACAAAGAATCAACTTTTTTTTTTTTTTTTTTTGAACAAAATGAGGCCTAGGTTAAGTATTTTATTTGGCTTCTCAAGATGGACTGAGAAGTTGGGCACCAGCTCCAGACCAATTCCTGGACACACATCAAACACAGCCCTGTCATTTATCCAGTCAGTCAAAACAATCTTTTCCATCTAACCCTTTAATGTTTATGTCCTTAAAAGCTGCTAATTGAATCCAGTTCTTGAGATCTATTTGCTAAAATCTATACCATCTAATTTGTAAATGATGAACAAAAATGAAAAAAACAATATGTTAACTTTCCTGGCAAAACAGAAGAGACTCCACTGTAACCAAAGAAGGAAGGACAATGTTTTTAATATTTGTCAAATTTTAAGAGAAAACTATTCAGAGACAAATAGTTGTAAGAAACTTAGAGTACCTCAAACTGTTTTTACTATTAAGAGGACACAGGGTATTTAAAATTCCTCAGAAAAACCTGAAACAAAATCACTCTATAAATGTAGCTCAATATTCCCTCTTCCCCTAAAAGATAAGCATAATCTTTCCTCTTAACAAACTTTACATACAGATTTTTATAATGTATCTTAGGCAGTACAGAAACTGCAGATAAACACTTTAAGATCTATTGAGTCATACTAAAAACTTCAACTCATTTTATCTGCAGAAAATCAAAATCCCTACTTTTTCCTCATTTTCTCTATATAGCCCAGAGGAAAGTAAATGGAAACAGCCTATTTCTGATGCTTTCTGCACACCTGGGATCACATGTTCTTTCCACAATCACTGACTCCAGATAGTAACAGCAACAGATAAACTCCAAAGCAACAAAGATCCCCTACAAAGGTTTCCACTGACTCCTCCCAATATAAGGACACTGAATGGGGGGTGGGGGGGAATATAAGTATCCTCCAATCCAGGTTTTCCATTAAGAACCACTCAGTTAATGATTCCTGGCAATTTTCCCTAGGGAAAGGAAAACTGTCATGAAGGTAATACATTATCTAAATTGCAGCCAACATACACATTCAAGCTAAATTCTCAAATACCAAATTCACTGCAAGTTTTCATCCAGCAAGTTTAGCCAGTGGACTGGGATGTGACACACAAGCATTCAACTGCAAAATTAGTCCAAATAAATCTCAAAGTCTAGTGTGGGCAAATATAATTACAGTTTATTAGTACATGTGCACGCACACACAAATCCTCTACGGAAAATTATCTTTCTCACCACTCACCCAAATATAAACGTGGACAATTTATCAGGGGTAAATGGTGAAGGTAGGATAACGCCGTGATTCCAATTCCTTCTCAAACCAAATACAAGTTCTCCTAAAACGGGGGTGGCATGTCCCTGTAAGAATACCAAAAATGGCACTGTAAGCAAAACGTACCTGTAATGTTAAAGATTTCATGCACCTGGAATCATAAACACTTTGTAAGTGTAGTCTTCTATCTAGCAACCCCTCTGGACACTCTTTTCCATTTCGAAAAAGGAAGGGGGAGGGTGGGGAGAGTAACAGAAAGTTTGTTCGAAAATTTGTATGAGGACATACTTAGAATTGTACCCTCTCCGCCCCCCCACCAAAAAAAAAAGTGTGTTTTTAAAGCAGGTCTGGAGCTAGAAGTGAGACACAAGTTCTGCGGCCTATAAGGAACAACCCCCAAACATGCCACCCTACAATCAGACACTTCCAAAACACAGTGTACAATGAGCCCAAGCCGTCGGATCAGACAGGCACACCGGAAGTCAACCTGTCTCCCCTCCTCAGAGAGACGTGAGTTTAAGGTGTGTGACCCTGGCAGCGGTGGCCGGCGGCGGGGAGTAAAGGTTTTTCACGCGGGCATAAGTGGGTGTGTGCAAGGTAACAACCCGGGAACACAGACGCACACCCTCCCGTTAAGCGCTCCATCTTTAAGGAGTGTTTACTGCGCGCAGTCAGCAACCGAATTCAATAATCCTCGCCACGGGAGCTCTTCATCCCCTTCACGATCTCACCTGGGCGGTAGCCCAGGGGCTGTTCCCCGAGCCCCGGGAGGCAGCGTCGGGCTCCTTGACCAAGACTTTCCGACCTGAAATCCGCCTGCGATGCGAACTGGTGTACCCTCCCCTCCACAAAACACCACCCCCCCGCCCCGAGTCATCCTCGGCTTTTTAAACAATGTCCAAACCGGAACAAGTGGTTTTCCAATTGCTCTCTCTGAACTAGGCCTTCCCACACCTCCGACCCCCAACTCACCACTGATCGCGACCCTGGCCCTTCCCAAGGCCACAAGCACCCCTGCCAGCTCGCCCACCTCGCGGCTGCCCAGCCCGGCCCGCCGCGCCCCCTTCACCTGTCAGGCGCACTTCGACAGGCCCGTTCCTACGGCCTCCGAGGTTAGACATGTCCCTGGCGGCTGGGGCGGCGGGCGGGACGGGGGCGACGGCGAGGCGCGGCGGAGTCACCACAGCGGCCGGGGCTGGGGCCCGAGCAGCCGGCGACGCGACTGCAGCGGCCTGAGGGTCCCGGATGTGCCAAGCGTCGTCGCCATGAGCCGCGGAGGGAGCGGACGCCACGGCCTTTCCCTCCTCTAGGCGAGGCCTAGTAGCGGACAGGGCTGGTCAGCTGAGGTGGGCGGTGCTCGGCGGCACGGGAGCAGGACTGTGGACTTGGCCGCTTCCTCCTCCACCCGCCCCCTTGTCTGAGTGACGCCGGACCTGAGGCCGCCGCGGCCATTTGTCGGCTCCGGGGGGGCGAGGGGGAGATGGGAGGCGGGGCCGGTGGGGTCAGCGGGGCGGGGCCGGCGGGCGCGCGCCAGATGCCCGGAGCGGGCACCGGCACTGAGGGAAGGTGTGAGCTGCCGCCGAGGGTCCCAGGCGGAACGCGGGAAGGGAGCAGGCAAGGAGCAAAGTGGCGGCGGGAGCGGCAGCTGTGACCCCTGGAGGGGTTTAGTGTCCGGTCCACTCAAGGGAGAGTTTTAGACCAAGCAGGGCCGACTGCATTTATTAGACGCCCACAGCATGCAGGGCGCTCCAAGAGGCTGGGGCGAGGAAAATTAGAACCAAGTCTGCTACCCGCCGGGAACTTGTCGTATTTCTGGCGAGGGAAGAGACAGCATTCCCACGCCGATGGTTCCAGCAAAGCCCCAGGAGTGCTGTTCCTGGTCTTGTAGTTGACGCCTCCATCCGGGACTCACCTGGTGGAGAAAATCGGGTTACCTGCAGAGTCCCGCTCTTTTCAGGTGCAGCCAAGGATAGGGAGATGATACGTCTTAAAGAATTAACAAGATAAACCTTGGAGTAACGTATGAAGAGTTGTTCATACACTACTGTATTTATCTCAGGAGCAGAAAGATAACAACTTTCTAAAGATGTACCATATCCTTTGACCTTGTAACTATACTGCTAAAATTTTTTTTTTTAAGACAGGGTCTCCCTGTCACCCAGACTCACTGCAGTCCCAACTTCCCAGGCTCAGATGATCCTCCCACCTGAGCCTCTGCAGTAGCTGAGATCACAGTATGCACCACTACACCCCACTAATTCTTTTATTTTTGGTAAAGACACGTTTAGGAGGGACATTTAGGTTTCTCTATGTTGCCCAGGTTGGTCACGAACTCCTGACCTCAAATGATCTGCCTGCCTTGGCCTCCCGAAGTGCTGGGATTACAGACCTGAGCCACCGCACTCAGCCCTATTGTGTCCAGAATTGGTGGGCTCTTGGTCTCACTGACTTCAAGAATGAAGCCACAGACCCTGGTGGTGAGTGTTACAGCTTTTAAGGTGGCGTGTCAGGAGTTCGTTCCTTCTTGACCTTAAGATGTGTTCGGAGTTTTTTCCTTTAGGTGGGTTCTTGGTCTCACTAGCTCGGGAGTGAAACTGCAGGCCTTGGTGGTGAGTGTTATAGCTCTTAAGGCGACGTGTCCGGCGCTGTTCATCCTTCCCGGTGAGCTTGTTGTCTTACTGCCTTTAGGATAGAAACTGGAGACTTACGTGGTGAGTGTTACAGCTCATAAAAACAGTGTGGACCCAAACAGCAAAAAACTGAAACTTCACACTGTGTAAAGAGACGCGAACGAGTTACCACTGCAGGCTCTGGCAGCCTGCTTTTATTCTCTTATCTGGCCCCACCCTCATCCTGCTGATTGGTAGAGCCAAGTGGTCTGTTTGGACAGGGCGCTGATTGGTGTGTTTACAATCCCTGAGCTAGATACAAAGGTTCTCCACGTCACCATCAGATTAGTTAGATACAGAGTATGGACACAAAGGTTCCCCAAGGCCCCACCAGAGCAGCTAGATACAGAGTGTCGATTGGTGCATTCACAAATCCTGAGCTAGATACAGAGTGTTGATTGGTGCATTCACAAATCCTGAGCTAAACACAGGGTGCTGATTGGTGTGTTTACAAACCTTGAGCTAGATACAGAGTGCTGATTGGTGTATTTACAATCCCTGAGCTAGACATAAAGGTTCTCCAAGGCCCCACCAGAGTAGCTAGATAGAGTGTCCACTGGTGCACTCACAAACCCTGAGCTAGACATAAAGGTTTTCCAAGACCCCACCAGACTCAGAAGCCCAGCTGGCTTCATCCAGTGGATCCCCCACCGGGGCTGCAGGTGGAGCTGCCTGCCAGTCCTGTGCCATGTGCTCGCACTCCTCAGCCCTTGGGTGGTCGATGGGCCTGGGCGCCGTGAGCAGGGGGCAGGGCTTGTCGGGGAGGCTCGGGCTGCACAGGAACCCACAGAGGCGGGGGAAGGCTCAGGCATGGCGGGCTGCAGTCCCGAGGGCTGCCCGGCGGGAAGGCAGCTACGGCTCGGCGAGAAATTGAGCGCAGCGCCGGTGGGCTGGCACTGCTGGGGGACCTAGTACACCTTCCGCAGCCGCTGGCCCGGGTGCTAAGTCCCTCATTGCCCGGGGCCGGCAGGGCCGGCCGGCTGCTCCGAGTGCGGGGCCGCCAAGCCCTGGCCCACCCGGAACTCCAGCTGGCCCGCAAGCGCTGCACGCAGCCCCAGTTCCAGCTCACGCCTCTCCCTCCACACCTCCCTGCAAGCTGAGGGAGTGGGCTCCGGCCTTGGCCAGCCCAGAAAGGGGCTCCCACAGTGCAGTGGTGGGCTGAAGGGCTCCTCAAGTGCCGCCAAAGTGGGAGCCCAGGGAGAGGAGGCGCCGAGAGCAAGCGAGGGCTGTGAGGACTGCCAGCACGCTGTCACCTCTCACTATTCTTGACAATAATACAGAAGATGTTCTTTGCTCTATTCCATTAAAAACAAAAGGGGAATGAGGGAACAGCATAATGGTCCAGGAACCACATGGTTTTTTATGCAGCCATTTAACTATTTTAATGAAGATCATATAATATGGAAGAATGTATATGTAATGCAAAGTTTAAAAACAGAATAAAAGTTGTATGCATATACATGCAAAAGTGTCTAGCACAAAGTAAACTAGTAAGGACAACAGCGTGGGGGATTTTTTTTTGAGACGGAGTCTCGTTCCGTCGCCCAGGCTGGAGTGCAGTGGCGCCATCTCGGCTCACTACAAGCTCCACCTGCCGGGTTCACACCATTCTCCTGCCTCAGCCTCCCAAGTAGCTGGGACTACAGGCGCCCGGCACCACGCCTGGCTAATTTTTTGTATTTTTAGTAGAGACAGGGTTTCATCGTGTTAGCCAGGATGGTCCCAATCTCCTGACCTCATGATCCGCCCGGCTTGGCCTCCCAAAGTGCTGGGATTACAGGCGTGAGCCACCGTGCCCGGCCACGTGGGGGATTTTTTATGTGATTCATTAGTTTTGCTTTAGGCTGTTATAACATTAATGCAATTTTAAATGTTTCAGATTAATATATTTTAATCCTTATTCCATGCCAGTCATTTATTTTAATCAATCAGTGAAGTCACTTCTCCAAATAGTTACCTCCGAGAGCATTTGATCAGTTTGGATACAGCCCTACAATTAAAGTAATCCAAAAAAGTATATGAAGTTCTAGACATCACACTAAAAATACCACAGATAGGCTGGGCACGCTGGCTTACGCCTGTAAACCCAACACTTTGGGAGGCCGAGGCGGGCGGATCATTTGAGGTCAGGAGTTTGAGACCAGCCTGGCCAACATGGTGAAACCCCGTCTGTACTAAAAAAAAAAAATACAAAAAAATTAGCCAGGCGTGATGGCTTATGCCGGTAGTCCCAGCAATTAGGGAGGCTGAGGCACGAGAATCGCTTGAACACAGGAGGTTACAGTGAACCGAGATCACACCCCTGCACTTCAGCCTGGGTGACAGAGCAAGACTCCATATCAAAAATAAATAAATAAATAAAAATAAAAATACCAGAGATAGTGCCAGCAATTCATTCAACAAATATTAAGTGGCCATTTTGTGCAAAGCAATGAACAAGGTCCTTTAGAAATGCTTCTTTGTACTACAAACATATACAAATCAATGTGAACAATAGCTGCTACCACAATTTAAGAGGTCAGACGGTGGCAAAAAGCTTAGCAAACTGTTTCACACATTCACATTTACCTTATTTTTATGGCACACACTTTGTTCCCAACCATCCAATGAACATAATTTGTAGTCTTGTATTAGGTAATAGAAGTTAGGATTTCAGAACGTAATGGGAGACTTGGGGGAGACTGCTTGTTTTGAAGTTGAAAGCAGTACATTCAAATATGTAAGTAACAGCATAGAAAAATGTATATAGGGTTAACGTGCAGAGGTTTGTATTTAGGCTTTCCTGTAAGGTTAAATCCTGTTGTTTAAAACAAATATTCAGATAACAATAACACTTTAAAACCATTCAAGAGCTGGGCATGGTGACTCATGCCTGTAATCCTAGCACTTTGGGAGGCCGAGGCAGAGGAATCACTTGAGCCCAGGAGTTTGAAACCAGCCTGGGCAACGTGGCAAAATCCCATACCTACAAAAAATTAGCCGGAAGTGGTGGCATGCAACTACAGGCCCAGCTACTCAGAAGGCTGAGATAGGAGGATCACCTGAGCCCGTGGAGGTCAAGGTTGCAGTGAGCCGTGATCATGCCACTCATTCCAGCGCCACTGCATTCCACCCTCGGCAGCAGACTGAGAATATCACACACAAAAAAAGAAAATCAATATACTGGTAATGATTTTTTTTAAGTAGTTACATGGATGTTCATTTTATTGTTTTCCTTGCCATGTTAAATATTATTTGACATTGACCGAAACCTTTTTTTTAAAGTAACTAAACATTTAAAATGAAGTAAAATAAATGAAAAAACAAAACAGAATAGGGGCCGAGCATGGTGGCTAATGCCTGTAATCCCCACACTTTGGGAGACCAAGGTGGGAGGATCACTGGAGCCCAGGAGGTCGAGGCTGCAGTGAGCCATGATTATGCCATTGCACTCCAGCCTGGGCAACAGAGTAAGACCCTACCTCAAAAAAACAAACACACACAAAAACAGAACACTCCTAATAGGAAAGTCATTTTGAAGGCCTCTCTTAAGTGAGTGGCCACAACTAGTCCAGGCTCAGATTTCAGAGATGATTGGGTTAGAAACCTTAAAAAAAAAAAATAAAAGTCTCTATGTTTCTCTTCCCTTGGGTTTATGTTTATGTCTCCAAAGGGGGATATATGTACATTATAATGACAACATGTAGGGAATTACCAAATTAATAGCCAGAACTTGGGAAAGATAAGACGGAAAATTAAGGGATGGGAATCTTACGTAAAATGAATTATATACATTCAGGTGTAAAATCTTTGAGGAAAGGAAAATACCACTGGACATGAAAACAGGACCATTCTTTATTTTTTATTATTATTTATTTATTTATTTTTTAAAATGTTTATAGGTTTATTTAACAATGTGAAGTAGTCCTGGGAAGTTGTACTTTGAGCAAGGTCCGCAAGCAGTATTCCTGCACTTCTCCAGTCATGCCCCAGCGCCAGGTCGGAAGCTGTCCACATGCGGGGATGGAGCCTGGCGTCCTGGGCCCACAAGGACAGGGCCCTGAATATGGACTTAGCAGAACAAAGTTGGGAAGGCAACTGCACTCACCCCTTGTGCCTCCTGTGGTACCTGCCCTTCACGGTTCCTGGTGGGGACACTCAGGCACCAGCTTCATGGCTGGACTCAGATGACACAACGCCAGGAAAAAAAGTAAAAGCCCCATTACCCTTTCCAATGCCTAGATAAAATAGATGTCTAATAAAAACCTGCTAATAATCATTTATTGTTTGTTTATATACAATTAAAACAAACATTAAAACAATCATTTAAAAACACTCTTTTTTAATGAGTGTGGGATAAGGACGATGATGGCCTATGGGGCTCCCTGTCTTACAGCCCTTGTCCTCAGGCCATGATTTGACCTCAGAATGATGGTGACTCTAGCAAGGCACTGGGAAGCCAGATTCTGCTGCATTTGTGTGCAAATCCTCTATGAGTTACAAATGGCTCCATGCACCAGCAAAACCTCTTAGTTCTTAAGAAAAGGAGACGGAAGAGATTTGGACACCGAAGAGAAACACAGCCATGCCTCAGCTCCCTGCTGGTAGGAAAATGTGTGCCTAAGGTTGCTTTTCTCTCAAGCTTCCATATTTTTGTTTCCTCTTGCGGAGCTGCCGCTGGAGCTGGAGCTTGTTGGTGAAGAACAGCTGTCTCCAGCCCGTGTCCTCCGCCAGGGACCTCACGTCAGGAGTGATGGTGTCGCAGATCGACTGGACTATCTGTTCCCACAGTTTATCAGACATGCACAGCTTCTCCAATTCCTGCAAGGTGTGAGCACTTCTTGGTCTTGAATGTAGAAGATATTCTATTCTTCTGTTAACTTTTGCCATTGCACACCATAAAAAAAGAATGAAACCATGTCCTTGCGGCAACATGGATGCTGCTGAAGGCTGTTGTCCTCCTATCCCAAACAGCACCAGCCCTGGCCAGCCCTGTTGTGCTGTGGCCCTCTGTGTCCTGACTTCCTCCTTTGCAAATCTGTGTGATGTTTGACAAAGCCTAGCAATATCTTCAAGATCCAGATAAGAAATGATATTCAGGAGCAAATCGTCTGAGAGCCGTTCAAGGAAGTCAAATTTACCTTTGCACAAATTGATAACATAGTCTAATATTCTTGCACCAAATATTAAGGCAGTTTGACCTTGAAGATGTAAATTCTCTAGGAAGTCTTTGTGGGTTTCTTTTGCTTCTCCAGGTTTTGTTGATCAATACTCACTCCTTAGAGAGATCTTCCACCATCCAAAGATTACCTCTCTGTTGAGTCAAAGTCCAAGTTTCTCAGGAATAGTGGTGAGTTCTCCATGTCATGATCTACTGGCCAGCATCAGGTAACATGCCCTCCATCCCATCTGTAGTTCGTTATCAGTTGCACAGGTCAAGGCTGCAGGATTCTCCTCCTGGTACCCTCTTGGCAACACTGCCCCACTGGTGGCTGCAGAAGAAGGTGCCTAATGGCTCCCTGAATACCGCAGGAGGCTAGGGAGCTGGGAGGGTGTCTTAACCTGTCCACCCACCACCTCCTTTAGCAAAGTGCTGGGGATGCGAGGCACTTTAGATTTCTCGGCTGGCTCTCCCATTCATCTGCAGCCCTGTGAGAAAGGTCGGGTGGAGGTTTGCTCAGCCACTGGTTTACTGACCTTCACTCCCCAACTTGATTGAAAGCTGAGGATGCCTCACGGGAAACAGGCATGAGCCACCGCGCCTGGCCTGTTTTGTTTTGTTTTGAGACAGAGTCTTACTCTGTCGCCCAGGCTGGAGAGCAGTGGCATGATCTCCGCTCACTGCAACCTCTGCCTCTTGGGTTCAAGCGATTCTCATACCTCAGCCTCCTGAGTAGCTGGGATTACAGATTATAATCTTACAATTACTTACAAGATTCTATAATTACTTACAAGATTATAATCTTACAATTACTTACAAGATTCTATAATTACCTGCAAGATCATCATCTTACAATTACTTACAAGATTCTATAATTACTTACAAGATTATAATCTTGTAAGTAAAGAAATTCTGATACTGAGGGGAAACCCCCTACCCCTATAAAGATATCACAAGTCATTCTGGAGAAGATCTTTAAAGATAGCACCTTGTAGCCGGGCACGGTGGCTCACGCCTGTAATCCCAGCACTTTGGGAGGCCAAGGCAGGCGGATCACCAGGTCAGGAGATCGAGACCATCCTGGCTAACATGGTGAAACCCCGTCTCTACTAAAAATACAAAAAATCAGCCGGGCGTGGTGGCATGTGCCTGTAGTTCCAGCTACTCGGGAGGCTGAGGCAGAAGAATCGCTTGAACCCAGGAGGTGGAGGTTGCAGTGAGCCGAGATTGTGCCACTGCACTCCAGCCTGGGTGACAAAGTGAGACTCTGTCTCAAAAAAAAAAGAAAAAAAAATAGCACCTTGAAAATTAAGAACATTCCATTCATTTCAAGTTTGATAGGGTTTGGTACAAATATCTACTTTACCAGGATAGTAGAAAATATGGCACTGGCTGGACACAGTGGCTCACACCTGTAATCTCAGCACTTTGGGAGGCCGAGGCAGGCAGATCACGAGGTCAGGAGTTCGAGACCAGCCTGGCCAAGAAGGTGAAACCCTGACTGTAAAAATACAAAAATTAGCCGGGTGTGGTAGCATGGGCCTGTAATCCTAGCTACTCGGGAGGCTGAGGCAGAGAACTGCTTGAACCTGGGAGGTGGAGGTTGCAGTGAGCCAAGATCACAGCCACTGCACTCCAGCCTGAGCAACAAAGCGAGACTCCGTCTCAAAAAAAAAAAAACAAAAAACAAAATAAAAAAAACCATTGTGGTCTAATCCATATGTCTTTTTTCTGAATTCATTTGAACTCATTCGCTGCTATCACTGACAGTTTAAAGGCTGGGCGTGGTGGCTCACGCCTGTAATCCCAGCACTTTGGGAGGCCAAGGCAACATGGCAAAATCCCGTCACTACAAAAAATACAAAAAATTCAAAAAATTAGCCGAGTGTGGGCCAGGCAAGGTGGCTCACACCTGTAATCCCAGTACTTTGGGAGGCCAAGGCGGGCGGATCATGAGGTCAAGAGATGGAGACCATCGTGGCCAACATGGTGAAACCCCATATCTAATAAAAATAAAAAAATTAGCTGGATGTGGTAGCAGGTGCCTGTAGTCCCAGCTACTTGGGAGGCTGAGGCAGGATAATCGCTTGAACCCAGGAGGCAGAGGTTGCAGTGAGCTGAAATCACGCCACTGTACTCCAGCCTGGCGACAGAGCGAGACTCTGTCTCAAAATGAAACAAAACAAAAAATTAGCTGAGTGTGGTGGTGCACACCTGTGGTCCCAGCTACTCCAGGAGGCGGAGGTAGGAGATCACTGGAGCTCAGCAATGGAGGCTTCAGTAAGCTGAGATCACACCACCAAGAGTAAGACCCTGTCTCAAAAAATCAAAACAAAATTTAAAAAGCACACAGTTTAAATATTGTATGTAGGCATTGAAAACATTTTGGAGTTAATTTCTTTCTTTTTTTTTTTTTTCTTGAGATGGGGTCTTGCTCGGTTGCCCAGGCTGGAGTGCAGTGGCATGATCTCGGCTCACTGTAAGATCTGCTTCCCAGGTTCAAGTGATTCTCCTGCCTCAGCCTCCTGAGTAGCTGGGATTACAGGCACACACCACCACGCCAGGCTAATTTTTGTATTTTTAGTAGAGATGGGGTTTCACTATGTTGGCCAGGCTGGTCTCACTCTCTTGACCTCAGGTGATCCACCCACCTTGGCCTCCTAAAGTGCTAGGATTACAGGCATGAGCCACCGTGACTGGCCTTTGGAGTTAATTTCTAAGAAAAGGAAGTGGGCACAAGTAAGATGTATTTCATCTTAAGAACTCATTCAGAAATTTACAGTTTTTTTTTTTTTTTTTTTTAAGATGGAGTCTCACTCACTCTTGCCCAGGCTGGAGTACACAGGCGCCCTCTCGGCTCACTGCAAGCTCCGCCTCCTGGGTTCTCACCATTCTCCTGCCTCAGCCTCCCGAGTAGCTGGGACTACAGGCGCCCGCCTCCACACCTGGCTAATTTTTTGTATTTTTAATAGAGACAGGGTTTCACCATGTTAGCCAGGATGGTCTTGAACTCCTGACCTTGTGATCTGCCCACCTCGGCCTCCCAAAGTGCTGGGATTACAGGCGTGAGCCACCACGCCCGGCCAATTTACAGCCTTTTTTTAAAAAAATAGAGAGTGGGGTCTTTCTCTATTGCCAAGGCTGGGGTGCAATTGCATAATCATAGCTCACTGCAGCCTCGATCTCCTGGGTTCAAACCATCCTCCCTGCCTCAGGCTTCCTAGTAGCTAGGATTACAGGTGCATGCCACCACACTAATTTATTTATGTATTTATTTTTAGAGGGGAAGACAGCGGGGAATCTAGCTGTGTTACCCAGGCTGGTCTCTAATTCCTAGCCTCAAACGATTGTCCTTCCTCAGCCTCCCGAGTAGCTGTTATCAGCATGAGCCATTGCCCCTGGCTGAAATTTATAGTCTTTATGTATGAATTCATAAACATCATGAAGCTTTGCCCATAGCATTTCTGAAAGTGGAACTTGGCTCATGTGAATTCTCATAACAAAAGAGCAATTGCCAAAACAAGCAACTTTCTCTAAATAGAGGCGAAATAATAGTCTTACAGAGTAAATCTTCACAATGTAAAAACATAGAGTCAGTTCACTAAATATTCTCTAAAACATGCTTCCAACATGCTGTTAAGTGGAAAAAACCTTTATGATATAGTATTACTGTATAAATTCACCTCTTAACAGAAAAATATACCATATAGGCAGATTTAAAGTTTTATTTTTTTTTTTTTTGGAGACAGAGTCTCACTCTGTCACCTAGGCTGGAGTCCAGTGGTGTGATCTTGGCTCACTGCAACCTCTGTCTCCCAGGTTCAAGCAATTCTTCTGCCTCAGCCTCTCCCGAGTAGCTGGGAATACAGGCACCCACGCCACGCCCAACAAATTTATGTATTTTTAGTAGAGACAGGGTTTCACCATATTGGTCAGGCTGGTATCGAGCTCCTGACCTCAGGTGATCCACCTGCCTCAGCCTCCCAAAGTGCTGGGATTACAGGCGTGAGCCACTGCGCCTGGCCGATTTAAACATCTTAAAGGAAACACATGCAAGTGTAACTAGGGTTGTTTCTAGATAATGGGACCATGGGGATTTCTATTTCTTCTTTGACATATTTGTATTTTCCACTTTTTTCTATAATGAACATCTATCGTTAAAACAGTTAAGATACTGAGTATTAGTAAGATAAAATATGCAAATATAAAAGAAATATACCAAATGTCAACAGTGGTTGTCACTAGATGATGGCATCATCTGAGATTTTTATTTTCAACTTTTTTTTTTTTTAAGACGGAATCTTGTTCTGTTGCCCAGGCTAGAGTATAGTGGCACAATCTCGGCTCACTGCAACCTCCGCCTCCTGGGTTCAAGCTAGTCTCCTGCCTCAGCCTCCCAAGTAGCTGGGACTACAGGTGTGTACCCCCATGCCAGGCTAAGTTTTGTATTTTTAGTAGAGACAAGGTTTTGCCACGTTGGCCAGGCTGGTCTCAAACTCCTGGCCTCAAGTGATCCTCCTGCCTTGGCCTCCCAAAGTGCCGTAATTACAGGGGTGAGCCACCTTGGCAGGCAAATTTTCATCTTTAACTTCTATGTTTTCTGAATTTTCCACAAAAAGCATAGATTAGAATTATATTGGTAATATCACATATTATATCACCTCATAGTAGATGAATGGGAAGAGGAAGATAAGTGGTTACAGAGTTAGAAGGGTCACTTCAATAAACTAAAACTAATAACTTCTCATTATCGTCAACTGCTATAGAGTCTTTCTTTTAAAGATGTGTAATTGTCAATAGCAGGATCCCTAAATGAAGCAGATAAAGATGTGATTTGCAAGTAGCAATGACACCTTCATACTGGTCCTAATGATAGAGGGGTTCCCTAACTCAACACTGCCCCGTTCCTGTGGTCAGAGCACCTCTCTCTGATGTCGTCAGGAACAACCCCAGGCCAAATTCAAGTGAGAAAACTGGAGCTTAACAGTGGTTCCTAGGGTTACTTGGATCCAAAGAATCAATTGCTGAAGTAGAAGTTGAGGGAGGTGTGAGTCAAGAACAGCCTCTGTAGAAACAACTTCAGGCTTTTAGTTGACAATGGGCTCGGTATGAGTCATCCTAGTGACATGGGCTCTTGGCCAAAGAATTGCACTGAGGATGAGGGACATGATGGTGACCTGCTGCCAGCAGCCCAGCAGCCCACGCCACAAGCAATACTTTCAGTTCTGGGTGCTTTACTGTAAATGGGACAAGGAGGAGAGGAATCAAAGTGCTTAGGGACTTCAAGTCACGTACCTCAAGGAATGTTTGGAGAAGCTGAGAAAGAAAACTCAGGGGGCGGGGCGCGGTGGCTCACGCCTGTAATCCCAGCACTTTGGGAGGCTTTGGTGGGCAGATAGCTTGAGGCTGGGAGTTTGAGACCACCCTGGCCAACATAGCAAAACCCCATATCTACTAAAAAATACAAAAATTAGCCAGGTGGCGGCGCATGCCTGTAATCCCAGCTACTGGGGAGGCTGAGGCATGAGAATCACTTGAACTTGGGAGCCAAGATTGTGCTACTGCAATCCAGCCTGGGCGACAGAGTGAGACCCTGTCTCAAAAAAAATAAAAAAGAAAAAGAAAAGAAAACTCAGGGGACCCTAACAGCTACCTGCCTTAACATACCTGGTATGTTACCTGGTAAGCTATCAAGTTCAGGTCAATTAAATTTGTTCCATGTGGTTCTACAGGAAGTAGCCAGGACCAGTGTAGTGGGGCTGCAGTTGGAATTATACTGAGACAGACCTTGAAACAGGAGAAAGGATTTTTGAGTAGTTTGAAATGGCGGAAGATACACTGGTCTTGAACCTGCTCCTCAAAGTGTGGTGCAGAATTGCAGCCTGGCTTCAGAGGAAGCCTATTAGACAAGTACTAGGTCTCAGCCCCCAGCTCAGACCTACTGAATCAGTGCCTGCAGTTTAAAAAGATGCCCAGGGCCAGGCACAGTGGCTCACACCTGTAATCCCAGCACTTTGGGAGGCTGAGGCAGGCGGATCACCTGAGGTCAGAAGATCAAGACCAGCCTGACCAACATGGTGAAACCCCCGTCTTTACTAAAAACACAACAATTAGCCAGGCATAGTGATGGGTGCCTGTAATCCCGGCTACTCAGTAGGCTGAGGCAGGAGAATCGCTTGAACCTAGGAGGCGGAGGTTGCAGTGAGCCAAGATTGTGTCACTGCACTCCAGTCTGGGAGACAGAATGAAACTCCATCTCAAAAAAAAAAAAAAAAAAAGATACTTTGCCTGAAAACATAATGAGCATATTTGAAAATGTCAGTAGCATACACTTTTAAAAATAAATGTAAATAAGTAAATAGAGACAAAAGACAAATCTCCCATGTAGTGTTCCAGATAATTTCGGTAGATACTCCACCTCCTAACTCCCACTCTTTATACATGGGTTGTACATGGTGAATGACCAAAGAGGATGGTATGGAAAATGGGGAAAAAAAGAGTAACTTTACAGTGGAGAAACTGACAAACACTACTTCAGCCAGGTAATTAATAGCGGAGAGAGCAAGCGTGTATGTCCTGTGTTTTTCAACCTTGCTGACACCCTATAGTCTTGTGGGGAACAGTCTGGTGAAGCATAAAGATCTTGGATCTGGAGTCAGCCAGCTCTGAGCTCCAATCCTACCTCTGTGTGCTCTTGGGGCAGTCACTCAACCTCATTGAGTCTGTTTCCCCATCTGTGAGAAGAGGATTAGAATGCAGCGATGAGGCCGAGTGCAGTGGTTCAAACCTGTGATCCCAGTACTTTGGGAGATCAAGGCAGGAGAATCGCTTGAGCCCAGGAGTTCAAGACCAGCCTGGGCAACATAGAGAGACCTCCATCTCTACAAAAAATTTAAAAATTAGCTGGGTGTGGTGGTGCACACCTGTAATCTCAGCTACTTAGGAGGCTGAGTGGGGAGGATTACTTGAGCCTGGGAGGTTGAGGCTGCAGTAAGCTATGATGGTGCCACTGCACTGCAGCTTGGGTGACAGTGAGACCTTGTCTTAAAAAATACATGACATTAAAAAAGAAAAAGAATGCAGTGACGTCTGTCTGGCCCTTAGCAACTGTGAGTGCTGTTGGAATCATATTCTATTTGAAGGCAGCTCCAAAGTACTGGAGTGGAGTCAGGGGTGGCTTTGCAGAAGGGTCCTGCTGCTAACACAGTTTCCCTCGGGCAGATCCCCTCATACTGCCAGACTTTCCAGTCCTTCACTCATTCTTCACTAAAGCTGCAAGGGGCCAGGGCGAGATGGTTCACGCCTATAATCCCAGCACTTTGGGAGGCTGAGGTGGGTGGATTGCTTGAGATCAGGAGTTTAAAACCAGCCTGGCCAACATGGCAAAACCCTGCCTCTACAAAAAAAAAATACAAAAATTAACCAGGCGTGGTGGCGTGCGCCTATAATCCCAGCTACTCCAGAGGCTGAGGCATTAGAATTGCTTGAACCCAGGAGGCAGAGGTTGCAGTGAACTGAGATCGCGCCACTGCACTCCAGCCTAGGCGACAGGGCGAGACCCTCTCTCAAAAAAAAAAAAAAAAGCTCCAAGGTCAAGGGCTTTTCAGACCCTCTTGGTCCATTTGGTTAGGGGGTGTTTTCACAGAGCTTTGCCTGTTAGCTTTATGGGACCCGGAGGGCATACTTTATAGAACACAATTTTCATACCAGTGTCTCTAACCACAAACCCCAAGAGTCTGAACGTTGAGACACTCAGGAAGTTGAAAGGGACCTCTCCTCTTCAGAGGCCCGGCCCAGCTCTCAGGAATGGCATGCATCAAAAGGCAGGAAGTCCCTCACAAGTCTGTCCTATCAAGCCACCAGACACTGGTTACCTTTATGTGGCTGCACAAGAGGCTGAGTTCCCAGGGAGGGGCGAGGTGGTCTGGGGCCTTCAAGCCGTGGTGGAACCCACGCCTGAGAAGCGAGGCCTGCCGCTCCCACCACAGGAAGCCTGGCCCCCGCCAGCAACAGAGAGACTCAGAGCCCGGGCCTCGATGCCCTCATGGGATAAGTGGCATTTTGGTTCCTGTTTCCTTCCCTCTCTGTTTTTCTTTTCATAGATTCTCCATGCAAATATTAAACATGTCCTGCAAATCTCAGGAACCAGCACACAGAGAAACACAGAGAAGAGTGAGTGGCCTTCTTCCAAGACCTGGTTTATCAAAGGTCTGAGGCAGTCCTGATCCGCTGCTCTCCTCCTGCTGGCTGAGCCTCGCCGCTGGCTCAGTGGCCCAGGGTGCCAGCTCCCTTTCCTGGGCCTCCCGGGAAAGGAGAGGGAGAAGGTTGAGGGAGCAAGAGGGTCCCAGGGCTGCCTCCAGGGCTGGCCTGGCAAGTTGCAGCTCTGCCCCTGGGGATTTCCCTGCAGCCAATGGCTGTGGAAGAGGAAAGGAGAGGACCTTTTGATGTGGTGGAGAAGCATCATTGTAGAAGAAAGAGGAATGAGTAACAGGTTGGCCAGGGAACCATGGTGGGGCATGGTGGCTCCTGCCTGTATTCCCAGCACTTTGGGAGGCCAAGGTGGGCCGATCACTTGAGGCCAGGAGTTTGACACCAGCCTGACCAACAAGGTGAAATCCCTTCTCTACTAAAAATACAAAAATTAGCCGGGCATGGTGGTGAGCACCTGTAGTCTCAGCTACTTGGGAGGCTGAGGCAGGAGAATCACTTGAACCCAGGAAGCAGAGGTTGCAATGAGCCGAGATCGTGCCACTGCACTCCAGCCTGGGTGACAGTGAGTAAGACTCCGTCTCAAAAAAAAAAAAAAAGTAAAAGGTTGGCCAGGGAGCCTTGCTGGCCTCCTGAAGGCAGCCAAACATTAAACACACCTGCAGTCACAGAGTCCAGCTTAAGAAAGAGGCAGACCAGGAAGTGAAAGTGAAGAAAGAACGGGAGGAGAGATGGGTGGGGGCGCGGATCAAGGCAGAAAAGGGAGGCAAAAGGCAACGCTGCTAGGGACAGAGAGTGGTGACGTGCCAGCTTCTGTTCGTTAAAACCCTGCTCTGGACCATGAACACTGCTAGGCAATTTTGTTATGACAGCTCCTTGCATCCTCCCAGCATTTTACAGCTAAGGAAACTGAAGACCATGAGGTTAAATTCTTCACCCGAGGCCCACAGCTAGGGATTAGCAGAATCAGCATTTAAACCCAAGGCTGCCTGACTCCAGTGTCACACCCAAACTTCCTATCTCTCTGTTAGCAGTTCTTAGTTGCTGGGGATTCAGACTCTATTTTGTTGCTTGTATAGTTCAATACTCCCCACACTGTGGCCACATTGCAGCCTGCAGAGGCAATAAAAGGGAGGGGAAGGCATGCATTTCCTCTAAGGGCACAGCCCAGTGGCTGAATACATCATTTCTTCTCACACTTTACACACTGGAATGTAGTCATAAGAGCCACATCTGGGGGCAAATGGATTATAGGTGAGCCTAAGAGGTTGCTCCCCTCGGCCCTTCAGGCAGACCTGAGATAATGGGTGTCTCTAGCCACAGGGAGCAGGTTCATTACCCCAGCACACCATGCAAAGGAATGACTTTCTCTAGGAGTATCGTCCTGTGCAAAAATTGGGCTCCACTGACTTAGAAAACTAAAACTAGGTGGCCTAGAAGTCTGGAAAAAGAATAGGAAAACATTCCCATGGTGTTGTCGGTGGGAAAAAATGGATATCAAGGACAAGAGTGATGGTCAGGCATGGTGGCTCACATCTGTAATCCCAGCATTTTGGGAGGCTGAGGCAGGCAGATCACTTGAACCCAGGAGTTTGAGACCAGCCTGGGCAAAATGGCAAAACTCCGTCTCTACAAAAAATATTTTTAAAAATTAGCTGGGCGTGGTGGCATGCACCTGTTGTCTCAGTTACTCAGGTGGTTGCAGAGGGAGCCTGGGAGGTCAAGACTACAGGGAGCCAAGATTGCACCAGCACTACTGCACTCCAGCCTGGGTGACAGAGTGAGATTCTGTCTCAAAAAAAGAGTAAAAAAAGGACAAGAGTGTGAAGACAAACTCCATCAACTTTCACAAAAAGATAATCATCAATACAGGGACATTTCTGCCAAAATTAATTGCAACTTGGGGAAACCCTTCTTTAAATTGGTGAGAAAATAAGAAAAAGGCCTGGTGCAGTGGCTCACCCCTGTAATCCCAGCACTTTGGGAGGCCAAGGCAGGTGGATCACCTGAGGTCAGGAGTTTGAGACCAGCCTGGCCAACATGGTGAAACCCCATCTCTACCAAGAAATGCAAAAATTAACTGGATGTGGTGGCACATGCCTGTAATCACAGCTACTTGGGAGGCTAAGGCAGGAGAATTGCTTGAACCCGGGAGGGGCAGGTTGCAGTGAGCCGAGATCGCACCACTGCACTCCAGCCTGGGCGACAAGAGTGAAACTCCATCTCAAATAAATAAATAAATAAGAACAAAGATTTTAAAATCCTAAATAGTATATATATATATATATATACACACACACTATATATATATATATATACACACACATATTATATATATTTATATAAAGTGAATTCATTAGGGAATTTTTAAAAATTAAAATGATCAAGTAAGATTTATCTCAGATTAGCAGGGGTTACTACAACGAAGGACATCCCCTCAAAATAGAATCCTGGAAAATGTGTAGTGGGGATGGAATGGGTCAAGTGCAATCAATGGCATTCAGTGGCATTAAAATCACACAAATTATCAGCAGTGGCATGGGATGAAGGGTAGGTATAGAGGATAAGGCACTGGGATTTGGAATGGCTTGGGCACTTAGACACTGTGACAGTGATGGTCAGTATAAAGATTATAGAGTCACTTGGCCTCTCTCAACAGCACTGGAGAGATTACACAGGGAAAAGGAAAAGTCAAAAGCTATGAATGAGGGCCTGGCACAGTGGCTCATGCCTGTAATCCTAGCACTGTAGGAGGCCGAGGTGGGTGGATCACTTGAGATCAGGAGTTCGAGACCAGCCTGAGAAACATGGCGAAACCCAGTCTCTACAAAAAAACACAAAAATTAGCTGGATGTGGTGGCTCGTGCCTGTAGTCCCAGCTACTTGGGGGGCTGAGGCAGGAGAATCACTTGAACCCAGGAGGTGGAGGCTTGCAGGGAGCCGAGATCTCAACACTGCACTCTACTGGGTGATAGAGTGAGATCCTGTCTCCAAAAAAAAAGGAAAAAAAAAAGGCCGGGCACGGTGGCTCATGCCTGTAATCCCAGCACTTTGGGAGACCAAAGCAGGCGATCACCTGAGGTTGGGAGTTCGAGACCAGCCTGACCAACATGGAGAAACCCTGTCTCTACTAAAAATACAAAATTAGCCAGGCATGGTGGCATGTGCCTATAATCCCAGCTACTCGAAAGGCTGAGGCAGGAGAATCGCTTAAACCCGGGAGGCGGGGGTTGCGGTGAGGCCAGATCATGCCATTGCACTCCAGCCTGAGCAACAGGAGTGAAACTCCATCTCAAAAGAAAAAAAAGCTGTTAATGTTGAACTGAGAATGCAATAGACAGCAAGAAAGGTTTGGTGGCATCTTAGAAGGAGACTTCATCTCCTGTACTTTCAGGGTGGATATGATGGAAGACTCAGTCCAGGGCCTCATTGTGCATGTAAGAGCTCCAAATAAATGCTTAGGAAAGGGCATAGTGGGGACGTAGTGGGACCTTGAGACTTAGAATAGGAGCATCTAAATGGTCACAGACAAGGCTGAGACTTTGGCACTTTTGAATTCTCAAATCCTGTCTGTTCAGGTAAGTCCTCCCGTGTAGAGGTAACCAACTTATCCCTGCCTAAGGGACCTTCTGTGACTGCACCTAGGACAGTTGCTTCACTAAAAAGGGACTCCAGATCTTCTCTTCATTCCTCCAGCTTCAAAAAGAGAGTTAGATCCCAACATAGCCCACTTGGGCAGTACAAGGCCTGCTCTAGAAAGAGAATGTTTATACACTAAGGTAGTTCCAAGACCTTGCCAATTCAAATCCACAACGCTCTTGGGAGCACGTGTGGGAGTGGATTCTAAGCATTGTTAGCCGAAAGATGGTAAATACAAGGCTTGGCTGGGCGCAGAGGCTTGCGCCTATAATCCCAGCACTTTGGGAGGCTGACGCGGGCAGATCACCAGGTCAGGAGTTTGAGACCATCCTGGCCAACATGGTGAAACCTGTTTCTACTAAAAATACAAAAAATTAGCCAGGTGTGGTGGTGGATGCATGCCTGTAGTCCCAGCTACTCAGGAAGCTGCGGCAGGAGAATCCCTTGAACCCAGGAGGCAGAAGTTGCAGTGAGCACAGATCGTGCCACTGCACTCCCGCCTGGGCGAAAGAGTGAGACTCTGTCTCAAAAATAAAATAAAAGGCTTGATTGGGCTGAATTCACTGATACACTCACCCAGGTTTGGGCTTTGGAGTTGGCATGAATAATCTACAATGGCTAAGTTGGACTTAATAGAGACGTGAAGTTCCACCACCCAGAAGCAGCTGGCTTAGAAAGCGGTGAAATAGCTGCTGAAAGTTAATTTACAGGGTTAGCCTAAAGACGACACCCCGTGGGCTTCAAGTGTTGGCCTACAGGATAGTTATGTCTTTTAAAACATGCTAACATTTGGAGTTGTCACCTTCATAACTAGAAAGTGTACATCTAGAGGCCAGGCGCGGTGGCTCACGCCTGTAATCCCAGCACTTTGGGAGGCCGAGGGGGGTGGATCAGGTGGTCAGGCGTTTGAGACCAGCCTGACCAAAATGGTGAACCCCTATCTCTACTAAAAATACAAAAATTAGCCAGGCATGGTGGCAGACCCCTGTAATCCCAGGTTATTTGGGAGGCTGAGGCAGGAGAATCGCCTGAACCTGAAAGGCAGAGGTTGCAGTGAGCCAAGATCGCACCACCACACTCTAGCCTGTGACAGAGTAAGACTGTCTCATTAAAAAAAAAAAAAAAAAAAAAGCGTACATCTAGGAAACAGGATGAAGAAGTAGCTGCTCTCACTCTTACACCTAAACTCTTGCTGCCCATCCCTATTGTGTCCAGAATTGGTGGGTTTGTGGTCTCACTGACCTCAAGAATAAGGCCGCGGACCCTCTCGGTGAGTGTTACAGTTCTTAAAGGCGGAGTTGTCCGTAGTTTGTTCCTTCTGATGTTCAGATGCATTTGGAGTTTTTTTCTTCTGGTGGGTCCCTGGTCTCGCTGATTCAGAAATGAAGCTGCAAACCTTCACGGTGAGTGTCACAGCTCTTAAAGCTGCACAACTGAAGTTGGTCGCTCCTGACGGTGGGTTCGTGGTCTCACTGGCTTCAAGAGTGAAGCTGCAAACTTTTGTGTTACAGCTCATAAAAGCAACATAAACCATAACAGTGAGCAATAACAAGACTTACTGCAAAGTGCAAAAAAAACAAACCTCCCAGACTATCAAACAGGACACAAGCAGATTCCCGCTGCTGGCTTGTGCAGCCTGCTTTTATTCTCTTATCTGGCCCCACCCACATGCTGCTGATTGGTCCATTTTACAGAGAGCCAATTGGTCTGTTTTACAAAGAGCTGACTGGTCCGTTTTGACAGGGTGCTGATTGGTGCATTTACAATCCCTTAGCTAGACACAAAAGTTCTCCATGTCCCCACTAGATTAGCTAGATACAGAGTGTCTATTGGTGTATTTACAAACCCTGAGCTAGACACAGAGTGCTGATTGGTGTGTTTACAAACCTTGAGCTAGATACAGAGTGCTGATTGGTGCATTCACAATCCCTTAGCTAGACATAAAGAAAGATTCTCCAAGTCCCCACCAGACTAACTAGATACAGAGTGCTGATTAGTGCATTCACAAACCCTGAGCTAGACACAGGGTGCTGATTGGTGTGTTTACAAACCTTGAGCTAGATACAGAGTGCTGATTGGTGTATTTACAATCCCTTAGCTAGACATAAAGATTCTCCAAGTCCCCACCAGACTAACTAGATACAGAGTGCCCATTGGTGCATTCACAAACCCTGAGCTAGACACAGGGTGCTGATTGCTGTGTTTACAAACCTTGAGCTAGATACAGAGTGCTGTTTGGTGTATTTACAATCCTTTAGCTAGACATAAAGATTCTCCAAGTCCCCACCAGACTCAGGAGCCCAGCTGGCTTCACCCAGTGGATCCCACATGGGGGCCGCATGTGGAGTTGCCTGCCAGTCCCGCGCTGTGCGCCCGCACTCCTCATCCCTTGGGTGGTGCATGGGACTAGGCGTGGTGGAACAGGGGGCGGCGCTCCTCGGGGAGGCTGGGGCCGCACAGAAGCTCACTGCGGTGGCGGGGAGGTTCAGGCATGGCAGGCTGCACGTCCCTGAGCCCTGCCCCGCAGGGAGGCAGCTAAGGCCCGGCAAGAAGTCGAACACAGCAGCTGCTGGCCCAGGTGCTAAGCCCCTCGCTGCCCGGGGCTTGCGGGCCGGGGGCCGCTCCTAGTGCGGGGCCCACCGAGCCCACGCCCACCCGGAACTCGCGCTGGCTGGCAAGCGCAGCGCGCAGCCCCGGTTCCCGCCCGCGTCTCTCCCTCTACACCTCCCCGCAAGCTGAGGGAGCCGGCTCCGGCCTTGGCCAGCCCAGGAAGGGGCTCCCACAATGCAGCGGCGGGCTGAAGGGTTCCTCAAGCGTGGCCAGAAGTGGGCGCCAAGGCCGAGGAGGCCCCGAGAGCGAGCGAGGGCTGCAAGGGCTGCCCGCATGCTGTCACCTCTCACTATGACCTTGGATTTGGGAGTTTGAATATTCTAGTGCCTAAGGTGGGGACTGTTTCTACCAGGGAATTGTACTACCATGGTCATGGGTCTGATAAATTGGAAGCTAAGGCTTCCCTCAGGCCATCTGGAGATACTTATGTCATTGATCCAGCAGGCACGGAAGGAAAGACAAATAAATATCTTTCCTTTTGGTCACCCAACACCTGAACCTTCTTCCTATATCTCTAGGGTACAAGCAGATGACCTGGGCTCAGCCCTATAAAAACACTCAGCCGCTGGCCAGGAGTGGTGGCTCACGCCTGTAATTCCAGCACTTTGGGAGGCTGAGGCAGGAGAATCGCTTGAACCCGAGAGGAGAGGTTGCAGTGAGCCGAGACGGCGCCACTGCACTCCAGCCTGGGCAATAGAGCAAGACTCAGCCTCAAAAATGAAAAAATAAAAACTAAAAACACTCAGCCCTAATTCGAATGGAACATGAGTTGCCCCACCTGCAGTGGCATAGGATAGAGTTCCTGGAGCAGGGGCAGCAGTGCTACTGGCAGTCTGAAGGATTCAGTGCTGGAGAGGTGGGAGGAGAAGCAACAGCATCTACAGTTCAGAGAACCAGTCTTCCCCATAATTCAGAGAGATGCCACTCTCCTCCTCATGAATCATTTTACCGCTAAAGTTGATTCCTATGGCCTGCGACTGACAACTCTTATTGAAACTGTTGTACTGTTCTCTATTTCTCTGTTTTTGAAGTATTCCATAATAAAGAAAATGAATAAGGAGGAAAGATGCAGGATCATCTTAATAAAAGCAGAAAAAGCATGCAATAACATTCAACATTCATAAATAACAGTAACAGGCTGGGCGCGCTGGCTCACGCCTGTAATCTCAGTACTTTGGGAGACCGAGGCGGGCGGATCACAAGGTCAGGAGTTCGAAACCAGCCTGGCCAATATGGTGAAACCCTGACTTTACTAAAAATACAAAAGGGTGGCTGGGCACGGTGTCTCACGCCTGTAATCTCAGCACTTTGGGAGGCCGAGGCGGGCAGATCACGATGTCAGGAGTTCAAGACCAGCCTGACCAACACAGTGAAACCCCGTCTCTACTAAAATACAAAAAGTTAGCCAGGCATGGTGGCAGGCGCCTTTAATCCCAGCTGCTCGGGAGGCTGAGGCAGGAGACTCGCTTGAACCCGGGAGGCGGAGGTTGCAGTGAGCTGAGATTGCAGCACTGCACTCCAGCCTCGGCGACAGAGGGAGGAGACTACGTCTCAAAAACAAACAAACAAACAAACAAACAAACAAACAGTAATAACAAATTCGTAGGAAACTAGACTAGCTGCCAACTTCCTTAACATGATGAACATTTTCTATCAAAACACGCAGGAGAAATAATAATGGAAATGTAGAAGCCTTCTCTTTAAGAGCAGAAACAAAGAATGAAAGCCCATTGTCACCATTTCTATTTAACATTGGAGGGCCAGGCCGGGCGCGGTGGCTCATGCCTGTAATCCCAGCACTTTGGGAGACCAAGGTAGGTGGATCACTTGACGTCAGGAGTTCGAGACTAGCCTGGCCAGCATGGTGAAACCCTGTCTCTACTAAAAATACAAAAATTAGGCAGGCGTGGTGGCGGGCGCCTGTAATCCCAGCTACTCAGGAGGGTGAGGCAGGAGAATCACTTGAACCCAGGAGGCAGAGGTTGCAGTGAGCTGAGATCGCACCACTGAACACCAGCCTGGGCAACAGAGCAAGACTCCATCTCAGACAAAAACAAAAACAAAAAATCCCATTTACAATAGCAACAAAAGTTATAAAAGGCTTAAGAATAAATCCAGCTGGGTGCAGTGGCTCACGCCTGTAATCCTAGCACTTTGGGAGGCTGAGGCGGGCAAATCACTTGAGGCCAGGAGTTTGAGACCAGCCTGGCCAACATGATGAAACCTCTACTAAACCAAAAAATTAGCCAGGCGTGGTGGTGTGCACCTGTAATCCCAGCTACTTGGGAGGCTGAGGCTGAGGCTGAGGTGGAAGGACTCCTTAAGCCAGGAGGTCCGCAGAGGCTGCAGTGAGCCATGATGGTGCCATTGCACTCCAGCCTGGGCAACAGAGCCAGATCCAGTGTAAAGAAAAAAAAAAGTGTAGTATTTGTGCAGGGAGAAACAAAGAACCCAGTGGAACAAAATATAACCAGAAAATGACCCATGCCATATGAAAATAATATATGGCAGAGAAGACATTACAGATCAGTGAAAAGAAGATAGTGGTGCTGGCCTAATTAGTTACCCAAATGGGAGAAAATAGTTTGATCCTTACTTCATAGCATACACAAAAACAAATTATAGGTGAATTGAAGACCTAAATGTGGAGGCAAAACTCCAAAATGGGTAGAAAAAATATATAAGGGATTTTGTTTATAGCAGAATACAAAAGAGTTTCTCAAATAAGACACAAAAAGGATAGACTATAAAATTATTTTAGAAACTTCTTACCAAAAGAAATAAAGGAAACAAGAAGGAGAATTTAAAAGCCATAACAACAGTGAAAATAAAGCCACAGACTTTAAGATTCATTTTCAGAAAATTTGTTTTAAACTCCTATAAAATCAAGAAGAAAATAACAAACAACCCAAGTGGAAAATGGGCAAAGGATATTAAAAGGAAACTCACAGAATGGTCAAGGGCATGTGAAAAGAGCCTCCAAACTCATTAACAGGGAAATGAAACTTAAAACAACCCGGAAAGACCACTTTGTATCCCTCAGCTTGGCAAGAGCTTGAAGGACTGACAATGGCAAGTGTTGGCAAGGACACGCAAAAATGGGAACTCACACACACTGCTGGCCAGAGTGTAAATTACTACAGTCACTTTGAAGAACAATTTGGCCATAGCTAGTAAAATCAGTGGTGAACAAATCCTTCAGTCCACCAGTTCTGCTTCCGGATATACACCATAAGCTCACACACTTGCCCGAAACGGAGTAAACAACAATGCCCATTGTAACTCTGTCTGTACTAGTAAAAAACTGCAAAACAACTCAAATATTCATCAACAGAAGGCCAGAGAAACAAGTTGCATACAGTTGAAAAAAAAAGAACGAGAGCCACATATATCACTATGGATAAATTTCAAAAACAAATTTGAAAGCATGCTGAAGTTTTTGTTTTGTTTTGTTTTGTTTTCAGACTGAGTCTCGCTCTGTCACCCAGGCTGGAGTGCAGTGGCACGATCCCGGCTCTCTGCAATCTCTGCCTCCCAGGCACAAGCAATCCTCCCACCTCAGCCTCCTGCATAGCTGGGACTACAGGCACGCACCACCACACCTTGCTACTTTTTTGGGTTTTGTTTTTTTGTTTTGTTTTGTTTGGAGATGGAATTTCACTCTTGTTGCCCAGGCTGAAGAGCAATGGTGCAATCTTGGCTCACCGCAACCTCCACCTCCTGGGTTCAAGCAATTCTCCTGCCTCAGCCTCCTGAGTAGCTGGGATTACAGGCACCCACCACCACGCCCAGCTAATTTTTGTATTTTTAGTAGAGATGGGGTTTATCCAGGTTGGTCAGGCTGGTCTCAAACTCCTGACCTCAGGTGATCCACCCTCCTCGGCCTCCCAAAGTGTTGGGATTACAAGCGTAAGCCACCACGCCTGGCCAAGTTTTTTTTGTTTGTTTGTTTGTTTTTTGGGTGTTTTTTTGTTTTTTTTTTTTTTTGGTGGAGACGGGTTCACCATGTTGATGGCTTTCTCAAAGTCTTAAACACAGAGTTGCCCTATATCACCTTATGACCCAGAAATTCCACTTCTGGCTATTCATCTAAGAGAACTGCAAACATACATTTACACAAAAAATTGTACACAAATGTTCATGGCAGCATTATTCATAAAAGCCAAAAAGTGGATATAACCCAAATGCTCTTCAACTGACAAATGGATAAACAAATGTGGTATCTCCATACATTGGAATGTTGCTTGGCAATAAAAAGGAATGAAGTACTGATCCATGCTACAACAGGGATAAACTTTGAAAACACACTAAATGAAATAAGCCAGACACAAAGGACAACAGAGAGTATGATTCCATGTATATAAAATGTGCAGAGTAGGCAAGTCCATAGACACAGAGAGTAGATGAGCAGTTGCCTAGGGCTGGGGAGGAAGGGATCAGTGGGGAGTGACTGCTAATAGATGCTCAGTTTCTTTTAGGGAATGAAGAAATCTTCTGAAATTAGATAGTGGTGATAGTTGCATAACTCTGTGAATACAGTAAAAGTACTGAATTGTACACTTTACAAGGGTTAATTTTATGGCATGTCAATTATACCTCAATTAAAAACACACACACACACATTGAGAATCTTATGTTGAAGTTTGTGGCCTGCTCTGCCCATTTCTATATCGCCTCCACCATTTGCCCCTAGGAGAAGGTTCAGGACAGTATAGTGGGAGTGTGAGCTGGACACTGTTCAAATGCTTGCCCTCCTACAAAGACCCTGAGGAAATGAAGCTGGAGCCCAGTGTCAGAAATCCAGTTTTATAGGCTGCAGTGTGGTCATCAAGAATGTTTGTCCCTGTCTCCTATAGCCAAGCAAATGTTTAATTGTAGGAAACAAGTGAGCTTTGGAGTGGCATATGATGGTTTAAAATGTTATTCCATATTTTATTTTATTATTTTATTTTATTTTATTTTATTTTTTGAGACAGAGTCTTGCTCTGTCGCCCAGGCTGGAGTGCAGTGGCATGATCTCGGCTCACTGCAGCTTCTGCCTCCCAGGCTCAAGCGATTCTCATGACTCAGCCTCCTGAGTAGTTGGGACTACAGGCATGTACCACCACACCTGCCTAATTTTTTTGTTTGTATTTTTAGTAGAGACAGGGTTTCACCATGTTGGCCAGGCTGGTCTTGAACTCCTGGCCTCAAGTGATCCACTCACCTTGGCCTCTGCAAGTGCTGGGATTACAGTTGTGAGCCACCACGGCCAGCCTAAGTGTTACTCCATATTTTAGATCTGCTTAACTACTCCAAATTTACTTATAAGACTGCTATAGTCATGTCACAAAGTCATAGTAGTTTCTTGATAAGCAGTCATTTTCATTCATTTTGTAAGCAGATCTGAATGCTGTAGTATTTCAAATGTCTAAAATATTTGTAAATAAAAATATGAGGCCGGGTGCAGTGGCTCATACCTGTGATCCCTGCACTTTGGGAGGCTGAGGTGGGAGGATCACTTGAGCCTGGGAAATCAAAGCTGCAGTGAGCCCTTATCATGCCAGTGTACTCCAACCGAGGCAACAGAGTAAGACCCTGAGAAAGAGAGAGAGAGAAACGGAGGGAAGGAAGGGAGGGAGGGATGGAGGGAAGCAGGCAGATGGGGGACTGGGCGAAGTGGCTCACACCTGTAATCCCAGCACATTGGGAGGCCGAGGTGGGTGGATCACCTGAGGTCAGGAGTTCAAGACCAGCCTGGCCAACATGGAGAAACCCCATCTCTACTAAAAATACAAAAATTACCCGGGCATGGTGGCAGGGCCTGTAATCCCAGCTACTCAGGAGGCTGAGGCAGGAGAATCGCTTGAACGCAGGAGGCAGAGGTTGCAGTGAGCCAAGATCAAGCCGTTGCACTCCAGCCTGGGCAACAAGAGTGAAACTCTGAATCAAAAAAAAAAAAAAAAAAAAAAAAAGACAGATGGGATTATTCATTTTTATAAAATATTTAACCCAACAAATCCAAAATATCATTTCAGCATGTAAATAATACAGATGGTCCCCAATTTAACCATGGTTCCATTAAAGGATTTTTTTTGACTTTAATAATGGATTTATCAGAATATAACCTCATCATAAGTTGAGGAACATCTGTATAAAAATATATTAATGAGATACCCTACATTCATTATCCTTTGTATACCAAGTCTTACCATGTGGATTTTGCACTTCCCACACATCTCAATATGGACCAGCCATATCACGTGCCCCCTGCCAGATGCATCTAGTGGCTTTCACATCGGACAGCTCCACACTAGAATGACAGTAAGGCACAGAACCAGACAGTCCCCCCGCTTCCAGCTCCTGATCAACCACTTGTAGCCATGGGAGCTTTGGAGACTGCCTTAATAGTTATGAATCTAAGCTAGGTGTCATGGCTCACACCTGTAATCCCAACTCTTTGGGACGCCAAGATGGATGGATAGCTTGAGGCTTTTTTTTTTTTTTTTTTTTTTTTTAGACAAGAGTCTCGCTCTGTTGCCAGGCTGGAGTGCAGTGGCACGATCTTGGCTCACTGCAACCTCCGCCTCCCAGGTTCAAGGGATTCTCCTGCCTCAGCCTCCCCCTGAGTAGCTGAGACTACAGGTGCGCACCACCACGCCCAGCTAATTTTTGTATTTTTAGTAGAGACAGAGTTTCACCATGTTGGCCAGAATGGTCTCGATCACTTGACCTCATGATCCACCCACCTCAGCCTCACAAAGTGCTGGGATTACAGGCGTGAGCCACCGCGCCCGGCCAGCTTGACGCTTGAGTCCAGGAATTCAAGACCAGCCTGGGCAACATGGTCGAAACCCTGTCTCTACTGAAAAAAAAAAAAAAAAATTATCCGGGCATGGTGACACACGCCTACAGTCCCAGCTACCCCAGAGGCTGAGGTGGGAGGATCATTGAACCCCTAAAAGTCAAGGCTGAAGTGATCCAAGATTGCATCACTGAACTCCAGTCTGGGTGATGGGAGTGAGACCCTGTCTCAAAAAAAAAAAAAAATAGAAAAGCTCTGAATCTATGGGTTCTAGCCCTGGGAAATTCTGGATAACATGGAGTTAACAGTTCACCTGCCTCAGGTGAGATAATGTAAAACTAGAAAGGTCCATACCATTGTGATGTCTAATTGAATCTATTTATCAAAACAGTACCCAAATGCAGTATGTTCAGAAACCTTATACTGTTAGGTAATAATAACCATAAACAAGATAAAAAATATGGGCTGGGTGTGGTGGCTCCCACTGTTATCCTAGCATTTTGGGAGGCGAAGGCAGGAGGATCACTTGAGGCTGGGAGTTTGAGAACAACCTGGGCAACATAGCAAGACCCCATCTCTATAAAAAAACATATAAATATAATATAAAGATATATATATTTTATATATATACATATATTTGTACCTGTTAACGTGGGGTGAGGGGTGCAGGGAGGGTGGAAAGGAGAAAGTCATAATATTAAGCATCAGTAGGCCGGGCGCAGTGGCTCATGCCTGTAATCCCAGCACTTTGGGAGGCTGAGGCGGGCAGATCACAAGGTCAGGAGATTGAGATCATCCTGGCTAACATGGTGAAATATCATCTCTACTAAAAATACAAAAAATTAGCCAGGCGTGGTGGCGGGCGCCTGTGGTCCCAGCTACTTGGGAGGCTGAGGGAGGAGAATGGCGTGAACCCAGGAGGCATAGCTTGCAGTGAGCCGAGATTGCACCACTGCACTCCAGCCTGGGCAACAGAGCAAGACTCTGTCTCAAATATATATATATTTATATATATATATTTTATATTTAATATATATAATATATATTATATATAAATTTATTATATATAATATATATTATATATAAATTTATTATATATAATATATATTATATATATTATATGTTATATATATTTATTACATATAATATATAATATATATTTATTATATATAATATATATTTATTATATATTATATATTATATATTTTATATTTTATATATATTATATAATTTTATATTTTATATATATTATATAATTAATATTTAATATATATTATATATATATATATAATATATATTTATTATATATAATATATATTTATTATATATTATATATTATATATTTATATTTTATATATATTATATATTTATATTTTATATATATTATATATTTATATTTTATATATATTATATATAATATATATATTATATATTTTATATATAATATATATTTATTATACATATTTTATATTATATATAATATATATTTATTATATATTTTTATATATATTATATATAATATATATATATTTATATATATATATTTTATATTTAATATATATAATATATATTATATATAAATTTATTATATATAATATATATTATATATAAATTTATTATATATAATATATATTATATATATTATATGTTATATATATTTATTACATATAATATATAATATATATTTATTATATATAATATATATTTATTATATATTATATATTATATATTTATATTTTATATATATTATATATTTATATTTTATATATATTATATATTTATATTTTATATATATTATATATAATATATATATTATATCTTTTATATATAATATATATTTATTATACATATTTTATATTATATATAATATATATATTATATATATATATATATATATATTTATATATATATATATTTATATATTTTATATATATATAATATATATTAATTATATATAATATATATATTATATATATATTATATATAATACGTAATATATATTTATTATATATATTTTGTATATATTATATATTATATATTTATTATATATATTTTATATATATTATGTATATTTTATATACAATACATAATATATATTTTATATACAATATATAATATATATTTTATATACAATATATAATATATATTTTATATAATATATTTTTATATAATATATATTTTATATTATATATAATATATATTTTATATATTATATATAATATATATTTTATATTATATATAATATATATTTTATACTATATATAATATATATTTTATACATTATATAATATATATTTTATACTATATATAATATATATTTTATACATTATATAATATATATTTTATATATTATATAATATATATTTTATGTTATATAATATATATTTTATGTATTATATAACATATATTTTATGTATTATATAACGTATATTTTATATATTATGTAACGTATATTTTATATATTATGTAACGTATATTTTATATATTATGTAACGTATATTTTATATATTATGTAATATATATTTTATATATTATATATTTTGTATATTATATATTTTGTATATGATATATTATATATTTTATATATTATATATTATATATTTTGTATATTATATATTATATATTTTATATATAATATATCATATATATTTTATATATATATAAAGCATCAGTAAACAACTCTAGAGCCAGGCACCGTGACTCACTCCTGTGATCCCAGCTTTTCGAAAGGCTGAGGCAGGAGGATCGCTTGAGGCCAGGAGTTCAAGACCAGCCTTGGCAACATAGTGAGACTCTCCCGTCTCTAAAACAACAACAACAAAAGGTTAATTAAAAATTAAAAGAAAAGAAAACTCCACAGCCACCTTCTCCAGGAAAATAAGTCCCAAAGCCACTTGCCACTGATGCAGAGGTGCGCAGAGCCCGAGGAACACGGAGTCATAGCAGCTCTGCAAATTGATTTTATTCCAGGCTAAAAGATGCTATTTCTCAAAAAAAGGAGCTGGGAGCGTCTCTGTTCATGAATTCATTTTTCAGGGGTGGGGTGATTTCAAGAGTCCAGGCTGTTTCCTGACCATGCACACTGTTCCGGCCTGGAAGCCTCAGACCCCAGCCAGGCTGACCACGAGCCAGACCCGGAGTAAGCTTCGTCCCATGCTTCCTGTCGGTCCGGGCAGCCTGAGTTTCCTGGTGACCCTTCCCTGCACCCAGCCAATTCAAAGGTCTGGCAAGGCCTGGTGCCAGCCAAGAAAATCTGAGGCAGCCAGGTTTGTTATTTCAAATCTCTAAACCTTCAGACCTCTGTGCTTGGCTTACATATGTGAAAGTTAAAACAAGGATGTGTGTCGCAGTGGTGATTATAATTCAAGTAAGCAAAGATCCCTGCATGACCAGCCTTCGAATGTCAGCCCATGCTGAAGTTAACACATTTAACTCATAGAACAAAATAGTTAAAATGAGGAGTGGATGCAAAATGGTACTGCCATTCTAGAAAACAGTTGGCAGTTTCTTATAAAGTTAAACGTACGCTTACCACAAGACCCAGCAATCACCCTCCCAGAGAAATGAAAATTTATGTTCATATAAAATATTGTACACAAATAATTATAACAGCTTTATTTGTAATAGTCATGTATCAATCAGGATTCTCCAAGGAAACAGGACCAATAGAAGAGAGATATATACATAATAAATCATATATATAAATGATATATATAAGAAGTTATATATATATACACAAACACATACATATATTGTGATAACCTACCTTGTTTTAACCTGAGTGACTCTCTCCTAGCAGAGAGAGCCAGACAGACTCCATTTTAGTTTCTTCATTCACAGCCCCCTTTATCCCCCTTAAGGGAATAACTAGTGCAAGCTGACTCTAAGCACATCCAGTAATGCACCTGCTGATAAGATATTGAGGCAGGCTGTACCAGCAGCTCCTGGGAATGTGCTCGGTGGAAGGTATCTAAAAGCCCCTGCATTTATCTCTTAGTGATAGTTTAAGCCCCTGCACCTGGAACTGTTTATCTTTTACAACTGCTTCTATAACCAATTAATTTTTTAACTTTTTGCCTGTTCTGCTTCTGTAAAACTGCTTCAGTTAAACTCCCCCTCCCCTATTTAGACCATAGTATAAAAGAGAATCTAGCCCCTTCTTCGGGGCTGAGAGAATTTTGAGTGCTAGCTGTCTCTCAGTCGCCGGCTAATAAAGGACTCCATAATTTGTCTCAAAGTGTGGCGTTTCTCTATAACTCGCTTGGTTACAACACTATCTCTCAGGGATCTCCAAAGAAATAGAACCTATAGGATATATCTATCTATAATAAATCATTGCCAGGCATGGTGGCTCACCCAGTACTTTGGGAGGCCAAGTCAGGAGGATCACTTGAGCCCAGGAGTTTGAGGCCACCTGAGCAACATAGTGAGACCCTGTCTCTACAAAAAAAAAAAATTTTTTTTTTAATTAGCCAGGTTGAGCCAGGCACGGTGGCTCATGCCTGTAATCCTAGCACTTTGGGTGGCCAAGGTAGCAGATTGCTTTGAGCTCAGGAGATCAAGACTAGCCTGGGCAACATGGTGAAACTCCATCTCTACAAAAAACACAAAAATTAGCCAGGCACGGTGCCACATGCCTGTGGTCTCAGCTACTCAGGAGGCTAAGGCTGGAGAATTTCTTGAACCGGGGAGGTGAATGTTGCAGTGAGCCAAGATCATGCCACTGCACTCCAGCCTGGGTGGCAAAGTGAGACCCTAGCTCAAAAAAAAGAAATTGTCCAGGTGTGCTGGCGCACACCTGTGGTCCCAGCTACTCAGGAGACTGAGGTGGGAGCATTGCTTGAGCCCAGGAGGTTGAGGCTGCAGTGAGGCCATGACCACACCATTGTACTCAAGCCTTGGTGACAGAGCAAGAACCTGCCTCAAAAAAAAAAAAAAAAAGACATAGGGATAAGAAATGATATATATTGATCTATATAAATAAATGATATGTATATAATAAATCATATATATATAATATATACATTTACTACAAAGAATTGGCTCACGTGATTATGGAGGTTGACAGATCCTAAGATGTGCAGTCAGCCAAGCTGAAGACCAAGGAGGATCGATGGTGTTGTTCCAGTGCCAAGGCCAGCAGGCTGGATACCCAGGAAGAACAGATGTTTCGGTTCCAGTCCAAAGGCAGGAAAAAAACTGTTGTCTCAGCTCAAAAGCAGTCAGGCAGGAGGAATTCTCTGTTATTCAGGAAAGATAGTCTATTTGTTCTATTCAGGCCTTCAACTGATTGGATGAGGCCCACCCACCTTAGGGAGGGCAGTCGGCTTTATTCAGTCTATTGACTTAGATGTTAAACTCACCCAAAATCACCCTCACAGAAACACCCAGAATACTGTTTGATCAACTGTCAGGGCACCCCATAGCCCAGTGAAGTTGACACATAAAATTAACCATCACAAGCCAAAAACTGGAAACAAGCCAAATGTCCCTCAACAAGTAAACAGATAAACACATGATGGTCTATCCATTCAGTGAAGTAACTCAGCAATAAAAGGTAATGAGCGATTGATCCATGCAACAATGTGGATGGGTCTCAGGGCTTTTTGCTGAGTGGAAAAAGCCAATCTCAAAAGGCCACACACCGTCTGATTCCATTTATATAACACTCTTTTTTTTTTTCTTTTTTTTTGAGACGGACTCTTGCTCTGTCACCCAGGCTGGAGTGCAGTGACATGATCTCGGCTCACTGCAACCTCCATCTCCTGGGTTCAAGCGATTCTCCTGTCTCAGCCACCCGAGTAGCTGGGATTACAGGCGTCCACCACCACGCCCAGTTAATTTTTGTATTTTTAATAGAGACGGGGTTTCACCATGTTGGCCAGGATGGTCTCGATCTCTTGACCTCGTGATCCACCTGCCTCAGCCTCCCAAAGTGCTAGTATTACAGGCGTGAGCCAATGTGCCCAGCCAACATTTTGTTTTGTTTTGTTATGTTATGTTTTGAGATGGAGTCTCGCTCTGTAGCCCAGGCTGGAGTACAGCGGCACCATCTCAGCTCACTGCAACCACTGCCTCCCTGGTTCAGGTGATTCTAGGGCCCCGGCCTCCTGCGTAGCTGGTATTACAGGTGTGCACCACCATGCCCGGCTAATTTTTGTATTTTTAGTAGAGACAGGGTTTCAACACGTTAGCCAGGCTGGTCTTGAACTCTTGACCTCAAGTGATCTGCCTGCCTTGGTCTCCCAAAGTGCTGGGATTACAGGCATGAGCCACTGTACCTGGCCTTATATAACATTCTTGAAGTGACAAAGTTATAGAGTTGGAGAATAGATCAGCAGTTCCAGGGGTTACAGTTGGAGGAAGAATGTGACTGAGGGGTAACAGGAATAAATTTCTTCTTTTTTTTTTTTTTGAGACAGAGTCTCGCTCTGTCGCCCAGGCTGGAGTGCAGTGGCACGATCTCAGCTCACTGAGACCTCTGTCTCCTGGGCTCAAGCAGTCCTCCCACACCAGCCTCCCTCATAGCTGGGACTGCAGGAGGAGTGTGCCATCTGCACGCTCAGCTAATTTTTGTATTTTTTGTAGAGATGAGGTTTCACCATGTTGCCCAGGCTGGTCTCAAACTTCTGAGCTCCAGTGATCCACCTGCTTCGGCATCCCAAAGTGCTAGGATTACAGGCATGAGGCACCATGCCCAGCCCCAGGAAGAAATTTCTTAGTGGTGATGGAATACTTCTGTATTCTTATTGTGGGGATGGTTACTTGAATCTATGCATGTGATAAAATTTCATAAAACTTGTCCAGGCTCAGTGGCCTGTAATCCCAGCACTTTAAGAGGCCAAAGTGAAAGGATCACTTGAGACCATGAGTTTGAGGTTATAGTGAGCTATGATTGTGCCACTTCTCTCCAGGCTGTCTCAAAAAAATTTTTTTCATAGAATTATATACCAAAAGAAAAAGATGAGTGTCTCTTTGGTATATATCTATTACGTTCCCAACACTGCTTTTGGGACTTTACACATATTACACGCAACATTGACAGTAACTGGCCAAGTGCGGTGGCTCACACCTGTAATCCAAGCAATTTGGGAGGCCAAGGCAAGCAGATCGCTTGAGTACAGGGGTTCGAGAGCAAACTGGGCCATAGTGAGACCTTGTTTCTACAGAAAAAAAAAAAAAAATATATATATATATATATGGTGTGTGCCTGTAGTCCCAGCTACTCAGGAAGCTGAGGTGGGAGGATTGCTTGAGCCTGGGAGGTCAAGGCTGCAGTGAGCCAACATTGAGTCACTGCACTCTAGCCTGGGCAACAGAGTAAGATTCTGTCTCAAAAAATAAAAATAAAAACAAAAGCAAACCAGACAGTCACCTTAGGAATAAACACTATATCCCCAACTTTATAGTCAAGGAAACACTGAGAGTGTAATCACCACCCAGTCACATAGCCAATAAATGGCAAAACCGGATCTAAACCTAGTCTACCTGACTCCAAGGCTTTGGCCCTTTCTCATGTTGCCTGCTAACATACACACAAGCTCCAAGAATGGGGCCTCCATGCTGCCCATGACAGATCTTTCTAGCCCTGATGTTGCCTCGCACCACAGCTGAGTGTCCTGCACTGTGTTTTCTGCACTCCCTGGACAAACACAGAAAGTCCTGCTCTGTGAAGAGGCCATCAAAATTAGCACAGAGATGAGGCATTGGAGAGCAAACTCCAGGTCAAGTCCAGAGAGACAGATGGCTCAGCCCAAGGTCAGGGTCCTTTTTATACCTCACTTGAATTTAGACGGCAGGCCGGGTATGATGGCTCACGCCTGTAATCCCAGCAATTTAGGAAACCAAGACGGGTGGATCACCTGAGGTTAGGAATTTGAGACCAGCCTGGCCAATATGGCAAAACCCCGTCTCTACCAAAAAAACTAGCCAAATGTGGTGGCACGCATCTGTAGTCCCAGCTACTCAGGAGGTTGAGGCAGGAGAATCCCTTGAACCCGGGAGACGGAGTTTGCAGTGAGCCAAGATCGCTCCATTGCACCCCAACCTGGGCGACAGAGTGAGTCTCTGTCTCAAGAAAAAAAAAAAAAAATTTAGATGGCAACCAACTTCCCAAGGGTGTGTGTCTCTGGGATGCCTCCCCTGACTCCCTCCAGGCTGAGCTGCGGACCCATCATCCACACTCCCACATCAGCAGGATTTCCCTTAATCAAGGACCTAGTGTGTGGCTCTAGAATCACCAATGTATCATTTGTTGATGCGGGAGCCTCTCACAGAACTTGGCCTGGGTAGAAGCGCAGTAAGCGTTTGCTGAGTGAATGAATGAACTGCAAGAATCTCATGCAAGGGCTGTGGGCTCAAACACTTTCAGAGGCCAGGCAGACACCACCAATGAATGAGGTTGGGGGTGGTGATTCGTGGGGAGTGGAGAGGACAGGGGTGGAGTGGGGATATGTGCCCGAGCCACCGGGGCAGCTGCCACTCCGCTTGCCCTCATGCTGCCAGGTGGGAATGTGGGCCATCTATTACCACATCTGATTTTTCAAAAGAAGCCAAAAGCCAGTCTTTTATGATGAGCTCCTGATTTTTTCATGTTGTGGACTAATTTTAAGCTTTTTAAATTAAGTGAGGGCCAAATGAAACACATATGCTTGTTGAATACTGCCCAGAGGACATGGTTTGGAATTTCTGCTTTGAAACTTCAGGATGTTCCAGCGTTTCTGATGCAGTGACAGTGATTTTCCTGATGACTACGAGACAAAGGTGTCCACAAGCAGGTAAAGGAAAGCCAGTGTCACCAACAGCCATAAGCCAATTCCATGTGGATGGCCTCCTCTGCTGGCATCCCACTGGGAGGGGCTCCAAGAACTGGTAAGAGCTCTGAAGGCAGGGTTGCAGGGAGGGCAGGGAGGAGGGTACAAATGACCTATGACTGCTGGTTGGCATAGTATAAGACTCTTGTATAACTTGAATTCTCATGAAACATGCATTTTTGATGGATTATTAGATTATTTTCATCTTTGCACTAGTGGCACAAAGACCAGACAATCCCATGTAATGGATAAAAGATAGTGCCACTTGCACCAGACAGAGAGAAGCTAAGACAAGACTGGACAAGGTCCTGGGAAAGAGGCCACAGGTGGCAAATCCACCCCACCTGAAGGACCTCATCTGGGTGCAGACTTCTACCTCCCACCGTTGCTTCAGTACCGGAAGTCTTTCCTTGTTTTCCTCACCAGACAGTTCTTTTTCTCAAACTAAGGAAACGAGCACACATCTCAGAATGGCCCCAGTTCAAATCCATTCGCTGACTGTGATGAACAGCTTTGGAAGCCCCATTTGTCCATCTTTCCAACATGACTCATATATGTTGATATCACACATCCCGGATGTGATAGGATGAGGGCACTTCATCTCTTAGGTATTCTTCCCAAAATTCTGCAGTCCCAGTCTAATCATGAGAAGACCAGAAACTGTCACCAGTCAGCAGAGACTAAGGAGACATGGACACTCAACGCACCACGGTGTCCTGGATTAGGTCCAGGAAGGGAAAGAGGCCATTATTAGTAAGATAACTGCTGAGACCTGAAGAAAGTGTGTAGTCCAGTTGAAAAATCATGGATCTAGGCCAGGCAAGGTGGCTCACACCTGTAATCCCAGCACTCTGGGAGGCCAAGATGGGTGGGTCATTTGAGGTCAGGAGTTTGAGACCAGCCTGGCCAACATGGTGAAACCCCGCCTCTACTAAAAATACAAAAGTTAGCTGGGCCTAGTGGCACGCACCTGTAATCCCACTACTCAGGAGGCTGAGGCAAGCGAATCACTTGAACCTGGGAAACAGAGGTTGCAATGAGCCGAGATCGTGCCACTGAAGTCCAGCTTGGGTGACAAAGCGAGACTCCTTCTCAAAAAAAAAAAACCAAAAAACAAAACAGCCGGGCTCAGTGGCTCACCCCTGTCATTCCAGCACTTTGGAAGGCTGAGGTGGGCAGATCACTGAGGGCTGAGAGTTTGAAACCAGCCTGGCCAACATGGTGAAACCTCATCTCTACTAAAAATACAAAAAATTAGCCAGGCATGGTGGCACGCGCCTGTAATCCCAGCTACTTGGGAGGCTGAGGCAAGAGAATAACTTGAACCAGGGAGGCAGAGGTTACAGTGAGTGGAGATTGTGCCATTGCACTCCAGCCTGGGCGACAAGAGCGAGACTCCATCTTAAAATAATAATAATAATAAACAATAAATAATAAAATAAAAATGATGGGGCAGGGTACAGAGGCTGACACCCATAATCCCAGCACTTTAGGAGGCTGAAGCAGGTGGATCACCTGAGGTCAGGAGTTCAAGACCAGCTTGGCCAACACGGTGAAAAAATGCAAAACTAGCCAGGCATGGTGGGGTGCACCTGTAGTCCCAGCTACTTGGGAGGCTGAGGTGGGAGGATTGCTTGAGCCTGGGAGGTGGAGATTGCCATGAGCTGAGATCGCATCGCTGCACTCCAGCCTGGGTGACAGAGTGAGACTCCGTCTCAAAAAATAAAAATAAAAGTTAAATAAAAATAAAAACAGTTAAGATTGCCAAATAAAAATAGTTAAAATTTTATATTATATGTATTTTACCACACTTTCTTTTCTCTCTCTCTCTTTTTTTTTTAAGACAGAGTCTCGCTCTGTTGCTCAGGCTGGAGTGCAATGGTGCAATCTTGGCTCACTGCAACCTCCATCTCCCAAGTTCAAGCGATTCTCCTGCCTCAGCCTGCCGAGCGGCTGGGATTACAGGCACCCACCATCATGCCCGGCTAATTTTTGTATTTTTAGTAGAGACAGGGTTTCACCATGTTGGCCAGGCTGGTCTCGAACTCCTGACTTCAGGTGATCTGCCCAACTCGGCCTCCCAAAGTGCTGGGATTACAGGTGTGAGCCACTGCACCCAACTCACAATTTCTTAAAATAATAAAGAAATCAACACAGATGTGACTGATTGTATATGTGCGTGTGCATGTGTGTGTACACATCTACATTCCCCAGCTGTATCCACTGAGAGGGACAAGGAACAGCCTCATCCTAGTGGCAATGAGCACATGTAGCATCCAGATCTTGACTTCTAAATACCATTTTCAAAAAGGAGAACCAGGATCTTTGGAGAACAGACTGATTCCAGGGCTAGGACAAAAAACATACGGATGCTTCTATAACAGCTTGTACTAAAAAGCTCAAAGAATGATGGGTCACCAAAAAAGGGCACAGCTGCGAGCTTGAGTGGGTTCCCACTGGCCAAACTGGGAATTATTATTATTATTATTATTATTATTATTTTTGAGATGGAGTCTCACTCTGTTGCCCAGGCTGGAGTGCAGTGGTGCAATCTCAGCTCACTGCAACCTCTGCCTCCCAGGTTCAATGGATTCTCCTGCCTCAGCCTCCAGAGTAGCTGGGACTACAGGTGTGTGCCACCACACCTGGCTAATTTTTGTATTTTTAGTAGAGACGGGGTCTCACCATGTTGGCCACGCTGGTCTCAAACTCCTGACCTCAAGTGATCCACCCGCCTCAGCCTCCCAAAGTGCTGGGATTACATGCATGAGCCACTGTGCCCGGCCTGGGAATAATTTAATTATTACAGTGAATAGTGAGAGTCATGGATTATAACCTATTGCATTCATGAGTCCATGCAGACATAGATAAATCACTTGCCCAAGATCACAATGGGATAAGATAGCACTGGGGACGAGGGATGCTCACTCTCATTTTCCTTTAGCACTTCTTTCCCCCCAGATACTGTGAGTGGGAAGGACATGACACAGAGCAAGCTGGAGGCCCAGGAAATTCCTAGAGAGAGTGTCCAGGACATATGGACTTTTGAGATCTGCCCAGTGTCATTTCCTGTTTCAAATCGTGCTGGGGGAAGGGAAGGTGCAGGAGGTGCAGTGAGGGAGGGGCTATGGGGGTGAGAGAGGCCGGAGAGCAGGGAGGAGGCTGGTCCATCAGCTGTGGCTGCCAATGATGCCTGGTAGGGGGGGTACGGGTGAGGGACCTCCTGGAGAGCAAGGTGCCCACATCTGGTTCACATTGAAGGGTAAAAACAAACAGGTTCGTGAGCTGGAAGAAGCCCAGTGGACTGAGCCAAGCCGTGCTGCTTGGACACTAGGGCACAGCATCCTCTCTTCCATGGGTCACTGGGCCTGGGCAGCTCCCAAGGGCTTGCAGAGGGGACGCAATTGGAATAAGGCTATCTTCTCTGCTTGGAACCACATTATCTGGGTCCAGCTCCTCCTAATGTACAAACCAGCCTCATTCTGTGTCCGGAGAGGCTGGTTCTTTGATTTGTAGATGACTCATTTCAGGCCCTTGAACGAGACTGAGACTGCACACGTGCCAAATGTCACCATGTCCACCCACAGGGCTTGTTTGTGCTTCGTGTAATGTCTCCCTTGGCTGGGAAGAGACAATGGCTTGCTGTAGGATCTGGAACAACTTTCTTAACTTCTATGAGCCTCAGTTTCCCCTGCTATAAAATGGAAACAACAGTTCCTCCTTAAGGGGTCATGGTTGGCCTACTAGAGTTACTGAGTATCGGGCCCAGCCACAGTGCCAAAAAGCTCGCAATCAGCGTCCACCATTCCTACCGGTCATTTGGACTCCAGCCTTCTCTCGTCTATTGGGTATTTAAAGTTAGCCTGTAGCCCCAGCTACTTGGGAGGCTGAGGTAGGAGGATCACTTGAACTCGGGAGGCAGAGGTTGCAGTGAGTCAAGATCGTGCCACTGCACTCCAGCCTAGGTGACAGAGCGAGATTTTGTCTCAAAAAGATTTTTAGGAGAAAAAGACTTTCCTCTAGGCCAGGCGTAGTGGTTTACACCTATAATCCCAGCACTTTGGGAGGCCAAGGCAGGTGGAACACCTGAGGTCAGGAGTTCAAGACCATCCTGGCCAACATGGTGAAACTTTGTCTGTACTAAAAATACAAAAATTAATTGGGCATGGTGGTGTGTGCCTGTAGTCCCAGCTACTTAGGAGGCTGAGGCAGGAGGATCACTTGAACCTGGGAGGTGGAGGTTACAGTGATCCAAGATCACACCACTGCACTCCAGCCTGGGTGACAGAGCAAGACTCTGTCTAAAAAAAAAGTTTTAGGAAAAGAAGGCTTTCCTCTAGGATTTGTATTCCAGCAATTAGTACTATCCCTGGCAATTCGAGGCAAGTGGCAGGCAGACCACAGATGACTTTCCAGTTTTGTTATTTGGTGGCTGTGTGACACTAAATAGCTTCCTTAACCTCTCTTAGCCTCAGCTCCTTCTTCTGTAAAAGCAGAATTCTTGCCCTGCCTCTCAGGTATTTGTGAGAATTCGGAGGGGTAATGCATATCAGAGAAGGGTATGGTTTGTGGTAAATACTATTTTCCTTCCCAGGCCCATATTAAAGGCTCAAAGAATAGTTGTTGGGTGGAGGTGAAACACACCAGGAAAGCACCTTTCAAAACCACCTGGGTACAGCCCTTTCTCTGCTCAGCGTTAGTTCTTTCCTCTTCAGTAAGTGGCACCATGGCCAGGCACAACAGCTCACACCTGTTATCCCAGCACTTTGGGAGGCCAAGGCAGGGGGATCACTTGAGCCCAGGAGTTTGAGACCAGCCTGGACAATATAGTGAAACCCAATCTCTACAAAAAAAAATTTTTAATTAGCTGAGCATGGTGGCACACACCTGTAGTCCCAGCTATCTGGGAGGCTGAGGCAGGAGGATCACTTGAGCCCAGGAGACAGAGGTTTCAGTGAGCCATGATCGTGCCACTGCACTCCAGCCTGGGCGACAGAGCGAGACTCTGCCTCATAAATAAATAAATCGGCAGCAGACAGCAGCGAGCAGATTCATTCTGGAGAGAGCCCTGAGGCCCACATCCTGGCCAGCACCTTGTAGAGACCTCAGCTTCCTACCCTGAACTCACCTCTTGCTGTCCCCAAACTTACAGAAAAGGACGTTGCCCCTTTGCCACATGCAACCAGCTTGCTCTCCTCCAGCGCCCTCCAGGGTGTTCCTGGGGAGTCCGCTTCCGTGGGCCCACTTGTCCGCTGTCAAAAGCCCTTGGCCGGCTGGGCTTGATGGCTCACACCTCTAATCCCAGCACTTTGGGAGGTCGAGGCGGGCGGATCACAAGGTCAGGGGCTCAAAACCAGCCTGGCCAATATGGTGAAACCCCGTGTCTACTAAAAATACAAAAATTGGCCCCGTGTGGTGGTGCATGCCTGTAGTCCCAGCTACTTGAGAGGCTGAGGCAGGAGAATTGCCTGAACCCAGGAGGTTACAGTGAGCCAAGATCGTGCCACTGCACTCCAGCCTGGGAGACAGAGAGAGACTCTGTCTCAAAAAAAAAAAAAAAAGCCCTTGTCCAGGAGCCCCTACAAAGCAAAAGCCCGGGACACCATCCGCCTTGGTCCTTCGGAGAAGGTGAAATTAGACAAACTGGTTACACCTTGGCAAATCATTTGACCTCATTGTGCCTCAGTTTTCTCATCTGTAAAAATGACTTTTTTGTTTTGAGATGCAGTTTTGCTCTTGTTGCCCAGGCTGGAGTGCAGTGGCACGATCTCGGCTCACTGCAACCTCTGCCTCCCAGGTTCAAGCGATTCTCCTGCCTCAGCCTCCCAAGTAGCTGGGACTACAGGTGCCTGCCACCACGCCTGAATACTTTTTTGTATGGGTTTTACTGTGTTGGTCAGGCTGGTCTCAAACTCCTGACCTCAGGCGATCTGCCTGTCTCAGCCTCCCAAAGTGCTGGGATTACAGGCATGAGCCACCACGCCCAGCCCCTTCATGCAGTTTCTCTCACTCCTTTCAGAAGCAAGGAGTCTGATATTCCATCAACATGGAATCCACTGCTATAAACCAGCCTGCAGTCCCAGCTGGTGAACTACAATCCAATCAGGGATTAAATCTAAATTCCTCCCATCTGATCAGTGGGATCCCTACACATCCAACTCACCCCTTCCTCCTCCAGAAATGTTATCAATCCCCTACATGCCTCCAATAACCTGTTTAACCACCAGCCAAGAGCTTACTACTCCCCCTCTCCCAAGCTTAGACACTCAGTGTAATTAATGGACACGCAACATTGGGAGCTTTCACATTAAGCTCTTACTTTGAAACTTTGAACATGAAAAAGAGCAGAAAAAAGCAGATCTCCTAATCTCGGTGAAATTGTAGGTAAAACTCCAAGTAGAATACCCAAAATAAATTGTATAAGTAATGATAATATATCATAATGTATTTATCATATGCATATATATTAGATATATTTGGAATATATAGGTATTATGTATTCTAAATTTCCATCATCTATCTATCTATCTCCATCTGTCTATCTATAGTCACCCCAAAGGCTAAAAGAAAGTTTTCCACACTCAAGAGTGAAATGGGGCTGGGCTCAGTGGCTCACGCCTGTAATCCCAACACTTTGGGAGGCTGAGGCAGGAGGATTGCTTGAGGCCAGAAGTTCAAGACCAAGACCAGCCTGGGCAACATAATGAGACCCTGTCTCTACAAAAAAATATAAAAATTAGCCAGCTATGGTGGTGCACACCTGTAGTCCCAGCTACTCGGTAGGCTGAGGTGGGAGGATTGCTAAGGGCAGGAGGTGGAGGCTGTATTAAACCATGATTGCTCCACTGCACTCCAGTCTGGGTAACGAACTGAGACCCTGTCTCAAAAAAAAAAAAAAAAGAAAGAAAAAGAAAGAGAGAGAGAGTGAAATGGAACAAATTATACATCCTTTGCATGACAAGAAAGAGGTAGAAGAATAACATTGTGGAGGGCCTGGTTTCTCTGAAGGAGCTGTTGAAATCTGCTCTATGATCAGAAGGGGACATGATTGTAGGTGGAGGCTGGAAAAAGGCTGTTTGAGCAACTGTTTAGATTTTGGGTTAAACCATTTGGCACAGCTTGAAAAATATTATGCTCTCAAAAAAAATCTATTTATCCAAGATCCATCTATCTATCTATCATCTATCTATCTATCTATCTATCTGAAATGAAATTAGTTGCCCCCTTAAACTCCTGCTTTGTAAACTAACACTGACTGAGAGCTTACTTGTTGAGCTGCGTATTCAAATCACCTTTAAAGCACTGGTAGGAGTTAGATACTAGTTTTATCCTCATTTTGCTGAGTTGAAAAGTGAGGCACAGAGCAGTTAAGCAACTTGCTGGACGTCACACAGCTATTAGGTGTCAGAGCTGGATTGAAATTCAAATCTGATTCCAGAGCCAATGCTATTTGCCACTAAGCTCTACTGCCTCCCTGTGGCGGTTTTCCAGTCAGGAGGGAGTCTTCAGCTTTCACAAATACTATACCTCCCTCGCCCACAACACACAGAACTCAGTCTCCCCCTGTTGCTTTTCATAGCAAACCCTATGCCCTGTGTTCATATTTTTGACATGCATAAAATCTTGGCACACCATGAGAAAACAAATACTTTGTTGATGTGTGTGTGTGTGTGAACCAATAACTTCCACTTTCTGTCTTTCTAAACTATTAGAAGGAAAAACATTTGTTCTCACCCTTCCCATTTTTTGTTCGTTTGTTTGTTTTTTGAGACGGAGTTTCTCTCTTGTTGCCCAGGCTGGAGTGTAATGGCATGGTCTCAGCTCACTGCAACCTCCGCCTCGCAGGTTCAAGTGATTCTCCTGCCTCAGCCTCCCAAGTAGCTGGGATTACAGGCCCCTGCCACCATGTCTGGCTACTTTTTGTATTTTTAGTAGAGATAGGGTTTCGCCATGTTGATCAGGCTGGTCACGAACTCCTGACCTCAGGTGATCTGCCCACCTCAGCCTTCCAAAGTGCTGGGATTACAGGCGTGAGCCACCGCACCCGGTCCTCACCGTTCCTATGTAAAGCCAAAAGCATTCACTCACTGTCCATCCACAGCACAGGTTGGAAGCCACTTAGGAGCCCTGGGGGTTGAATCTAGTGAAGAGAATCTGACGATGCCTGGTGCACTCTGGGGTGAATTCATTTTGACACCTAGCTCTGAATTTTTAGAAATATCGTTGTTCTTAATATTGGTGTTTTAGATAAAGGAGGCACATTAGTTTTCTTTTTCTTTTTTTGAGATAGAGTCTCACTGTATCACCCAGGCTGGAGTCCAGTGGTGCAATCTCAGCTCACTGCAGCCTTGACCTCCCTGGCTCAAGCGATCCTCCCACCTCAGCCTCCCAAGTAGCTGGGACTACAGGTGCACACCACCACGCCTGGCTAATTTTTGTATTTTGTAGAGACGGGGTTTTGTCATGTTGCCCAGGCTGGTCTTGAACTCCTGGACTCAAGCAATCCTCCTGCTTTGGCCTCTCAAAGTGCTGGGATTATAGGAGTGAGCCACCGCACTCAGCTGAAATGTTCCATGTCTTTATCTGGATGGTGGTTACCTGGGTGTCCATGTAGGTAAAAATGCATTGAGTGGCTGGGTACAGTGGCTCACTCCTGTAATCCCAGCACTTTGGGAGACTGAGGCAGGAGGGTCACTTGAGTCCAGGAGTTCAAGACCAGCCTGAGCAATATGGCGAAACCCAATCTCTACTAAAAATACAAAAATTAGCTGGGCATTGTGACTTGGGCCTGTAATCCCACATACTCATGAGGCTGAGGCACAAGAATCACTTGAAGCCGGGAGGCAGAGGTTGCAGTGAGCCAAGATTGCACCACTGAACTCCAGCCTGGATGACAGAGTGAGACCTTGTCTGGGAAAAAAAAAAAAGCATTGAGCGGCACGCTTCAGATTACAGCACTTCACACTCATTACTGAATACAAATTGCACATAAGGCCAGGTGTGGTGTCTCACGCCTGTAATCTCAACACTTTGGGAAGCCAAGATGGGCGGATCACCTGAGGTCAGAAGTTCGAGTCCAGCCTGGCCAACATGGTGAAATCCCGTCTCTACTAAAAATGCAAAAATTAGTCAGGCATGGTGTCGGGCACCTGTAGTCCCAGCTACTTGGGAGGCTGAGGCAGGATAATCCCTTGAACCTGGGAGGTGGAAGTTGCAGCGTGCTGATATCGCACCACTGCACTCCAACGTGGTCGACAGAACAAGACTCGTCTCAAAAAAAAATTAAATTAAAAAGTTGTACCTTATTATAATAAAGACAATAGAAAGGGAGGAATCTAGGAGAATAAGTTGTTGTAAGGGTGAACAAGGTTCATAAAACACACACGCACACACCCTGTGGTGGTTGTGAGGACTGGTGTGGTACAACAGAGGAAGAGAAGGCAGGGAGACCAGAGTTGAAGGCTATTGCATGTTGTCCACGTTTTAATCTCTTAGGCAGAAAAGGGCAAAGACATGCCCTTTTCATTGTCACCAGCTTTACTTTTACCTTTTAAAAGTAAATTGTTGGCTGGGCGTGGTGGCTCACGCCTGTAATCCCAGCACTTTGGGAGGCCAAGGAGTTCAAGACCGCCTGGCCAACATGGCAAAACCCCATCTCTACTAAAAATACAAAAAGTATCCATATGTGGTGGCAGGCACCTGTAATCCCAGCTACTCGGGAGGCTGAGGCAAGAGAATCGCTTGAACCCACGAGGTGGAGGTTGCAGCGAGCTGAGACCATGCCATTGCACTCCAGCCTGGGCAACAAGAGCGAAACTCCGTCGCAAAAAAAAAAAAAAAAAAAAAAAAAAGTCTACAGAATTTGTCAATTGTCATCTTGGGGGGCAATATCTCCCTCGACTGAGAACCACTGCTTTAGATAAAAGCAAAATCTTAGGCCAGGCTCGGTGGCTCACGCCTGTAATCCCAGCACTTTGGGAGGCCGAGGTGGGTGGATCATTTGAGGTCAGGAGTTCGAGACCAGCCTGACCAACATGGTGAAACCCTGACTCTACTAAAAATACAAAATTAGCTGGGTGTGGTGGCACGTGCCTGTAATCCCAGCTACTTGGGAGGCTGAGGCAGGAGAATCACTTGAACCTGGGAGGTGGAGGTTGCAGTGAGCTGAGATGGCGCCATTGCACCCAGCCTGGGCAACAAAGGCAAAACTCCACCTCAATTAAAAAAAAAAAAAAAAAGCAAAATCTTAGACTTGTCCATTTTTGGGCCATTGCCTGAAATCCTGGACAAAGGCCTAACTGACCCAGTTAAAATGCCAGTATCTGAGCCCCACTGTTACGCTGAAGCAAACCAAGGAGGCAATGAATTACGTGTTGCCTAACTTGCTTCTCCCTTGCAGTTTCAATTGCGTTAGGCAGCCAGCTTCCCTTCCTCTCCACTGTTTGAATTGTTGCTGCCGGGCAAAAACTGCAGCTGGTCCACCTCAGAGCTGGCCTCATTTCAATAATAGCCGGGAGGACTGGCATGGGGCTTTCCAAGCTTAATTAGCTCATGTTTGTAGAGTTCCTTAGGAAGCTCAGGCCAGCATGCTATGGGAAGTCCAAGTTAGTAGGATTCTCGCCACACTTAGAAAACGAACATTCCCACATAAAAAGGCTGGTAGAGGCAGAAAAGAACGCCTCGGAGCGTGTGTGTGAACAGCGAAGGGTCCTTGTGAACCACATTTGAGACCATAAAGAGAGTAATGCATTCCAAGTTTCAGGCCCTCCTCCTACTCTCTACAGCAGGAAATTATTTAAAGTATTTCCTGAACAGCTGAAGTATGTTAGAAACCTGCTAGCATCCTCCACAGTATCTCCAGGAAATGGACACCAAAGAATTTCTTTGTAATGAGAAACTATCTGAGCTCTACTGGCCATTTCTACCTGAACAGGTTGGATACTCTCAGCCTGGGACCTGGAGAATACAATCTTCTTAGATCATTTTTATGTCAAACTTAGCATCCTACTGCAAGAACACACACTGGAAGAGAATTCCTCTTATGTATGCACATATATATGAAGAATTCTCTTATATATATAGTATACATACACATATATTAGTATATATCAAGAGAGACAGAGACAGAGACAGAAAGAACTTTGTTAGGTAATTTAGCAATGTCAGTAATAGCTTGCTAGTTAGTTATTCCCGCTCAATCTTCGGGTGGGGCAAGAATGAGGTCAGCCTCTTTTGTTTTAGGCAGAATTCTAGAACATGCAACACAAGGAAACTGCTTGGCCCCATCCCACCTCTAGAGATTTGTTCTCTCCAAGGCCTGCCTATAAATCTCCCAGGGTGGGGTTCCAGAAGAATGGTGCCCCAGCAAGCCAAGTTTGAACCTCCCAAGCAAATCGCATTGGAATGTTGGTGGGGTCACAGGATCAAGAGCCATCTGGGAGCCAGCTGTGACTGGGGCTGATTCCCATGATTTCCTATGAGAAGGGCAAGTATGATCACTACAGCAGAAATACCAAAGAAAAATGGCAATTGTTACCTCCAGAGCAAAGAACAAGGCCTAGAGCAGAGCCAGTTCCTGAAGAGAATGACAGATCTGATTATGCTGGTGAAGGCCAGGCAAGTTCTGTGCTTCCTAACTAGTTAGACTTTCCTTCTGCGGCAGCGAAGCTCGGATCCAGAGCTTGGGAAGTGTGGGACTTGCCTCTCTGAGACCTGGCTGTCAGCAGGAGGATGAGGAGCCAAACACATCCCATTGTTACCACCCACCTTCTGGGGCTTGCAGGGAAACTGTGAACTCCTTGCCAAACGAGATATAAGCCCTTGCCATCTTCCCTTTCCTGGGACAAAGGAACCACACAAGTTTTCAGTGTTTCATCATGCTTTTGGAACGAATGTCAACCAAAGGCCATCTTTTAAGGACAACAGCTAAAACGCCTGTCCAACTAGAGTTCTTTAGTCAATGGCAGTTACATTCGTTCATCTGAGGTCTTACACTACTTAGGATCAGGGAGTGACATTTAAAAAAAAGCGACAGGGTGCAGTGGCTCATGCCTGTAATCCCAGCACTTTGAGGCCACGGTGGGCACGTGTCCAGAACTGGTGGGTTCCTGGTCTCACTGACTTCAAGAACGAAGCTGCAAACCCTCGCTGTGAGTGTTACAGCTCTTAAAGAGGCGTGTCTGGAGTCTGTCCTGTCTGATGTTCAGATGTGTTGGGAGTTTCTTCCTTCTGGTGGGTTCATGGTCTACGCTGGCTCAGAAGTGAAGCTACAGACCTTCACGGTGAGTGTTAACAGTTCTTACGGCAGCGCATCTGGAGTTGTTCATTCCTCCCGACGGCCTTGTGGTCTCGCTGGGCTCAGGAGTGAAAGTTGCAGACCTTCTCGGCGAGTGTTACAGCTTTTAAAAACACCGTAGACACAAAAACTAAGCAGTAGTAAGATTTATGGCAAAAAGCAAAAGAACAAAGCTTCCATGGCGCGTAAGAGGACCTCAGCAGGTTGGCAATGCTGGCTCGGGCAGCCTGCTTTTATTCTCTTATCTGGCCCCACCCACATCCCGCTGATTGGTAGAGCCGAGTGGCCTGTTTTGTCAGGGCGCTGATTGGTGCGTTTACAATCCCTGAGCTAGATAGAAAGGTTCTCCACATCCCCATCAGATTAGTTAGATACAGAGATTCGACACACAGGTTCTCCAAGGCCCCACCGGAGCAGCTAGATACAGAGTGTCCATTGGTGCATTCACAAACCTTGAGCTAAACACAGGGTGCTGATTGGTGTATTTACAATCCCTGAGCTAGACATAAAGACTCTCCACGTCCCCACCAGACTCAGGAGCCCAGCTGGCTTCACCCAGTGGATCCCACAGCGGGGTCACAGGTGGAGCTGCCTGCCAGTGCTGTGCCATGCGCTAGCACTCCTCAGCCCTTGGGCGGTCGATGGGACTGGGCGCCGTGGAGCAAGGGGCGGCATTCGTTGGGGAGGCTCGGGCTGCACAGAAACCCACGGAGGCGGAGGAAGGCTCAGGCATGGCGGGCTGCAGTCCCGAGGCCTGCCCCGTGGGAAGGCAGCTACAACCCGGCGAGAAATCGAGCGCAGCACCGGTGGGCTGGCACTGCTGGGGGACCCAGTACACCCTCCGCAGCCGCTGGTCCGGGTGCTAAGCCCCTCACTGCCCTGGGCCGGCAGGGCCGGCCGGCCGCTCCGAGTGCGGGCCCGCCAAGCCCACGCCCACCCGGAACTCCAGCTGGCCCGCAAGCGCTGCGCACAGCCCCGGTTCCCGCTCGCGCCTCTCTCTCCACACCTCCCTGCCAGCTGAAGGAGCCGGCTCTGGCCTTGGCCAGCCCAGAAAGGTGCTACCACAGTGCAATGGTGGGCTGAAGGGCTCCTCAAGTGACGCCAAAGTGGGAGCCCAGGCAGAGGCGGTGCCGAGAGCAAGCGAGAGCTCTGAGGACTGCCAGCACGCTGTCACCTCTCAGGCAGATCACAAGGTCAGGAGTTCTAGACCAGCCTGGTCAACATGGTGAAACCCCGTCTCTAAAAATATAAAAATTAGCTGGACACAGAGGTGCATGCCTGTAATCCCAGCTACTCAGGAGGCTGAGGCAGGAGAATCACTTGAACCTGGGAAGTGGAGGTTCCAATGAGCCGAGATCGCGCCATTGCACTCCAGCCTGGACAACAAGAACAAGACTCCGTCAAAAAAAAAAAAAAAAAAAAAAGGCCGGGCGCGGTGGCTCACGCCTGTAACCCTAGCACTTTGAGAGGCCTAGGCCGGCGGATCGCCTGAGCTCAGGAGTTTGAGACCAGCCTGGTCAACAACAGTGAAACCCCGTCTCCACTAAAATACAAAAAATTAGCCGGGCATGGCAGCATGCGCCTGTAGTCCCAGTTACTCGGGAGGCTGAAGCAGGAGAATCGCTTGAACCCGGGAGGCGGAGGTTGCAGTGAGCCGAGATCACGCCACTGCACTCCAGCCTGGGCAACAGAGCGAGACTCCATCTCCAAAAAAAAAAAAAAAAAAAAAAAAAAAAAGCACATTTACAAAAGTGTAGGAAATAGGCCGGGCGCATTGGCTCACATCTGTAGCACTTTGGGAGGCTGAGGTAGGTGGATCACCTGAGGTCAGGAGTTCAAGACCAGCCTGCCCAACATGGTGAAACTCCGTCTCCTACTAAAAATACAAAAATTAGCTGGTCATGGTGGCGCACGCCTGTAATCCCAGCTATTCGGGAGGCTGAGGTGGGAGAATTGCTTGAACCTGGGAGATGGAGGTTGTAGTGAGCCGAGATTTTGCCACTGCACTCCAGCCTGGGCAACAGAGTGAGACTTCATCTCAAAAGAAACAAAAAAAGAAAAGAAATGGAAAGGAACTACACCTGAAACTTGTAATATTTTGAAGGTAGCTCTGCCTTTGAGGGCCTAATTTTCCCCAGGCTATATTCCCCTTTCTTTGAAAAGCACCCACATGTATTTAACAGTAAACTGTGCATACAGTTTCAGAGGTTCAGGAGCCCCATAACCTATCTTGGATCTCAGGTTACACAGGTTAAGAATTCTTATTCATGCCAAAATATACAATCCAAAGGTAGAATTTTAGGTTATTATTTTAATCTTTGTGGTATTCTGTTTTTCAAACTTTCTAAAATTAGTATTATTTCTGTAACTAGGAAAATACATTTTAAAGAGTTACCAGGAAGAAAAGGAAGAAAGAAAGAGGAAGGAAGGAAGGAAGGAAGGAGGGAGGGAGGGGAGAGAGGGAGAGAAAAAAGAAAGAGTGACAGAAAGAGAAGAAGGAAGGAGGGAGGGAGGGGAGAGAGGGAGAGCAAAAAGAAAGAGAGAAAGAGAAGGAAGGAGGGAGGGAGGGGAGACACGGAGAGCAAAAAGAAAGAGAGAAAGAGAAGAAGGAAGGAGGGAGGGAGGGGAGAGAGGGAGAGAAAAAGAAAGAGTGAGAGAGAGAAAGAGAAGAAGGAAGGAAGGGAGAAAGAAAGGGAAGGGAAGGGAAAGGGATGGGAAAGGGAAGGGAAAGGGAGAGAAAGTAAGGAAAATGAATTAGTTTTGTGTTCCCCAAGTTAATCTTTGCTGAGTGGCTGAGATGTTGGTTGAAAGGATGGGCAAGAACAGAGTAGGGTGACAGTCATTGGTCACCTACAACTTTAGTCTAAGACAAAGGGTTGAAAGAGACCATCTTGGCCAGGCGTGGTGTCTCATGTCTGTAATCCCAGCACTTTGGGAGGCCCAGGCAGGCGGATCACCTGAGGTCGGGAGTTTGAGACCACCCTGACCAACATGGAGAAACCCCATCTCTACTAAAAATACAAAATTAGCCTGGTGTGGTGGTGCATGTCTGTAATCCTGGCTACTCGGGAAGCTGAGTCGGGAGAATCTCCTGAACCTGGGAGGCGGAGGTTGCAGTGAGCTGAGATCACACCATTGCACTCTAGCCTGGGCAACGAGAGCAAAACTCCATCTCAAAAAAAAAGAAAAAGACCATCTCATTCGTACATGTTTTTCTACATTTCTCCTCTATTTCAACAGTTTTGCTTTTAAAATATGTATTTTTGCAGCCACAATCGGGAGATGCCTTCTGGATATCATCCTTTGACCATTAATTTTAATTTTGAATTGATTCAAAGTTTTCTCATTCATCCAATCTTTCCTCATATTCCCTTGTTTTTATGGATAAGCTTCCAATATTTCTGCCTAAACTTGTTCAAGTTCTAAACATGAGTTTCTTCATAGTAGAAAATATGGCTTTGTGGTGGCTGTCTCAACAGTCAAGTGTTTGCTCATTAAAGAAACTTCATTAACACTAGTATTAGGGGCCTATCAGGTATTGATACTGACAAGCTTCCATCACCAAGTTGGACTTGGGTGGTTCAGTCCTGTTCTCATGGCCAATGAGAAGTTAGGGGAGGAGGTGCTCCAATTATTACGTCCAATAGAATTAAGAGAAAGGGAACCAGTGGGCACAGGAAGACAGCTGGACCTCTCACTGAGATACTGCAAAGGCTAACAGCCAGTCTAGGAACTTAGTCACAGTGGGCCCTCCTTGAGCCAGTTCCACTGTTCAGAAAGCTATGCCAAGCCCCTAAAAGACCTAAAGGCTGACAAAACATCTGACTTTTCGGTAGAATCCCATCATTAAGTATATGAACAATCCAGTATGGTCATCTTATGTTATGTGTATCTGACTGATAAGGGGGAAAAAAAAAGAAGAGTAATAATCAACTTAGCCTAGAAGGTAAAATATATCAAAACAAGAGTCTATGTAAGAACAAACAGAAATCTTTGGTGTTAAAAGGTTGGAGGCAGCCAGGTGCAGTGGCTCATTCCTGCAAATCCCAGCACTTTGGGAAGCTGAGGCAGGAGGATAGCTTGAGGCCAGGAATTTGAGACCAGCCTGGGCAACACAGCGAAACTTTGTTTCTTCAGTTATTACAGCTATTCCCAAAAACAAAAAGTTTGGAATAGCCGTAATACTCATCTAGGATATTTCTATTATGTAGGAATTAGTATCTATACTTTTCTTATGCCAGCACTTAGCTGCCCCACCAAAAGGTCTTTCACTGACACAATAAAGAGGCAGGATTTGAATTCAGACAGATCTGGCTCTTAAATACTAGTCCACTTCACTGCACCATGCTACCTCCCACAACTAGGATGGGAAAAGACATTTACGATTGTGAAAAGCCTGGAACGCACGAACTGATCAGTTTAAGAGGGTTCGATGCATACACCTCCTACACAGTGTTATGAAACTGTCCCAAATATTTAGGAGGAACTGAGCGTTCAGACACTAGAATTAGCTTTCAAACTATGCCAACATGTCATTTAACATGCAAGTGCTCAAAATTAAATTGCACTTCTGCCCTCAAAAAACCCTAGTTGATAGCTTGGGTGTTTCTTATCATTTTTATTAGCTGGGGTTATGAAACTTAAATGGGTGATGTTGCTAAAACACTTTTCTCTAACACTTTCCCATGGGGAGTTAGAGGGAGGCTGCATGATTTGGCCGGGTTTTGTTCATCACAAATTAGGTCAACAGCCCAATCCCAAAAGAAAGCACCATTAGTGAAATGACACGTTTCAAGGGCTTTCCAAAATCAGTCCACTGGGTTTTGGCAAGCTCCAGCAAGGGTGGAGAGGGGTAAGGAGCAGCCAGGCCTTAATGGCCTTCTGAACTTGGGTCCTGTATCTGACAAGGTTTCCAATGGCTCCTATGAACAAAACTGACTTTGCTCTTACTGCTGTTATGCAATTAAAGCAGCCAAATGCTGAAATAAAAAATCTTAACAATAAGGATTTACAGTAACGAAAAATTACCCCGTTTTTTCTTCAGTGATGATGCAGCCAGATTGATGAGAGAAAAAAAAAATCAACATTAGGAAACAGAATGTTGATTTCCTTTGTTCTAAAAATAATCAAGTAGCCTGATTATTTTTAGCCAAAATGCAATATAGCAATGAAAGAATACTTTGTGAAATGTTTAACACTGACATCTTTTAATGTTACTCTTTTCAGATTATTTCAACAAGCAAAGTAAGTGTCAGCAGTTTTTACTATAATTGCCAAATGGTATTAGGAATATTACCTTTCCTCCCTTGCTTACAACAAAAACAAATACAAAAATTAAAGTTATAGGTAAAGATATATTATCAAAGGGGATTTTTTTTTAGACAAGAGTCTCGCTCTTGTCACCAAGGCTGGAGTGCAGTGGCGCAATCTCAGCTCACTGCAACCTCCGCCTCCGGAGTTCAAGCGATTCTCCTGCCTCAGCCTCCTGAGTAGCTGGGATTACAGGCTCCCACCACCATGCCTGTAATCCCAGCTAATTTTTTGTATTTTTACTAGAGACAGGGTTTCGCCTGGGTGACAGAGCGAGACACCATCTCAAAGAGTAGTGGCTATCAACCTACACTGTACAGGAGCCCTTGGGAATTACATTTTTAAAAAAGACACATGGTGGACCCTCATGCCCCTCATCAACGAAACAGAACTGGGTACTTTCCCAGATGAGGCCCATGTGCAGCCGTGATTTACCTTGGAACCCCATTCGGCCTTGAAGTTTGGGAGGAAAGAATTCCATTTGTAGCTCCAGCAGAGATTTATGATTAAATTTACGGTGTTTAGCCCATCTCCCTGGCCAAGGAGACTTAAGGAGACACTGGCTGAGGGTTTCCAGAAAATGTTATTCATTCTTCTGCAAAAACTGCAGCCAGGACTACCTCTGGTTAATCCCATCAGTTTGGACAGGTTACCTTTCACTAGCAACATTAAAGGCCCCAAATTAGAAAGCAACACATAGGCATGGTGAAGTCAAGAAAAGGGTGGACTTGAATGTTTATTTACAGGATGCTGCAAGATAGGAAATTCCACATAGAAATTAGAAACCTAGTCAGAGGACAAGCTTCATACAGTATGTATGTACAGTTGGAACTGTTCAAGTATAGTTTCAGTGTAAAAAGTGCTACAGTAACAAACCACATTTAAGAAAGAGTTCTTAGTAGAGAAACAATAAGACAAAATACCAAACGTAGTACACAACAAATTTATGTCTCAGCTACATGATCTAAAAGTTAAAGGTCCCAGGAGCCCCATCCTGAACTTGGAAAGTGTAGCCTTCAGAGGTAGTTTCTGGTACAACGTTTTGATCTTCCTCTTCCTGGAAATATATTAAAAAATAAGTATAAAAATGATATAAGTATTCCAAGCAGCAGCCTACCTGAAGTCTGTATTTAATCTCTAGGTCTTGATCTGCATATTACACCTTTAATCCTGTATGATATTATAGTATTTGACATAGAGGAGGGAGGGTCTCTGAAACTTTGCCAATTCATAAATGCTAGCTACTACAGTAACACAAACAGGCCGAGATTTTTTTCTTCCCCAACCGTCACTTTTCAATAGGAAAAGACTGTATTAGGCCCAGAGCATGGTGATGAGTTTGGCCTACTTCTCTATCACCTCCTACAATGACACCCGTTAACTTACCCTCAAGATATTCTAAGATTCTCAAGGTTGTTCATTTGAAACTAATCTGGTGGCTTTTAAAATCTCAGTTTAAAAAGATTTTATTACCATCAAGCCAAACTAGAGGGGCAAATAAGTACATTATGTCCCATGCACACTGATATTTTACTATATTTAACAAAGATATGACACTTATTTTTAAAAGGGAAAAAAAGGCTTATGGCCTTGACTTTATGTTTCCAAGTTGTTATTAATATTACCATCCATTACTCACCTCTACAGAGAAATACTTCTCAATTAAGCTTAACGAAGCCTTATACACAGACTCATTTTCATGGTTTTGTAGAGCTTCAATTTTGTCTAAGCCTCCACATTCTTCAATCATTATACTAAGTTTCTCAGTTTCACCTAGTTTCTCAGCAGCCTAAAAAAAAAAAAAATCCAAGTTTACTGGCATATACTCTGGTTTTATTTTAATGAAGAAAACATCAATAATTTGAATATTGATACGTCAGGCAGAAATAAGCACCTAACAATTCCTTCATCAAGCCTATCATAGTTTTATGTCCATTTTATATTTTGTTGACACTCAATGTGATTGGATCTGTACCTGCTTTTAGCACTACTTCAACTGGAGCCAAAGATCTTACAATCAGTAGTAGCTCCCAACCTTTTCTATGTATCAAAATCATGCGGGCAACTTTTAAAACAACACTACATTCCAGTTCAACTGGTCTGCTATGGGAACAGGGGTGTATTGTTTCATAAAGCATCCTATGTCATCACAAGGTGTAGTCAAGGTGTCTAAGGGCAAAGATGGCCTATGGAGTGCTAAACTAAACGTCCCCAAACAGAATGTGTGTTGGTATTAAGGATTTACTGGACATATGGAATGGTATGTAGGTTAGTTTTCCTTTAAATTTTCAACCTTAAAGAGATACATAAATATCTATAGATGAAAAAAACAGATTTGCTTCAAAATAACTTAGGGGATTAGATGAGGGGAAGAAGAAATACTGGCCACATACTGACAAATTATTTATACACAGTAACAGATACGCTAGCATCCATTATTGAAGGCTCAACTTTTTTTTTTTTTTTTTTTAAGACAGTTTCACTCTTGCCCAAGCTGGAGTGCAATAACACAAACTTGGCTCACTGCAACTTCCGCTTCCCGGGTTCAAGCGATTCTCCTGCCTCAGCCTTCTGAGTAGCTGGGATTATAGGCGCCCACCACCACACATGGCTAATTCTTGCATTTTTAGCAGAGACAGGGTTTCGCCATGTTGGCCAGGCTGGTCTCGAACTCTTGACCTCAGGTGATCCACCCACCTCGGACTTCCAAAGTGCTGTGATTACAGGCATGAGCCACCGTGCCTGGCCAAGTCATTCAAATTTAATGTCACCAAAAATCGGTATGAAATTGGGAAATTAAATCAACCAAGTAAACAGGTGTGATGAGTCCACATAAGCGCCTGACTCCGATTCAGGTCACACCATCCACTTGTCGTCTCTTTTGTATCTTTTATAATGCCTGCCTCATTTTTAATCAAAGGGGTGGCCACATAAACAGGCTTTCTGATTCTGTGGCTTACTAGTGAGTAAACTTACAGCTGCCCTCCCCCAAGTCTAAATAGTAAACTGATTATTATCAAGTCCAAATTCAAACAAAGCCACCTTGATAGGACTTACCTGAAAGATATTTGAAATGGCATCCAGGATAACCAGAATAATCTTGGTATCTTTTGCAGTTAAGAGGTTCATCAACGGTTCTATTATGCCACAGTGAACAAGGTACACAATCTGTTCAACTGTTCCACCACTGGTATAGTTGGTCACGGCCCACACAGCTTCCTTTTGTGTCTTAAAATCTGCCTATTAAACATAAGGAAATGGTTTTATTTCAGAACAGTTGCACAAATAAGATTCCAAGAGTACTTTTTCACAAAAACAATGACTGAAAGTACCAAGGTTCTATCCAACCTTAAGTAAAAGGGGTTACTGGGTATTGTTCAGCAAAGGACTCCTAGTAGAACCCAAGATTCTTGCACGTGAAGAAGCTTATCAAGCACAGCTTTCTATAAATACTAAAAATGACTTGATTAAATCCTAAGACTTCGTTACCTTAGAGAGAACACTGACAAGGAATGGGACTAATCCATGATTCACAACTTGCTGTATCTGGTCCTGGCGGCCGGCTGTGATGTTTGACATTGTCCACGTAGCTTCCTTCTGAATGTTAGTTTTGGGGTTGGTGAGCAGGCTGGGAAAGACGGCGAGTGCTCCTGCATCAATCACAACCTGAGTCTGTTCATCTGTACCAGTGACAATATTCCCTATGGCTCTTAGGGCAGGAGTCTGAAAAAAAAAAAATATGTTGATGCTGGTTATTTTTTCCCCAGCACTTTAGAAATTCTATACCCTAAAAGTTTTAACAAGAGGCCCATCATGGCCTGAAATAGGCAATATTTCAATATTACTATCAACTGATTATGCTTTTTTTTTTTTTTTTGAGAGACTGGAGTATAATGGCACGATTTCGGGTCACTGCAGCCTCTGCCTCCCAGATTCAAGCAATTCTCCTGCCTTAGCCTCCCGAGTAGTTGAGATTACAGACACGTGCCACCATGTCCAGATAATTTCTTTGTATTTTTAGTAGAGATGGGCTTTCACAATGTTGGCCAGGCTGGTCTCGAACTCCTGACCTCAGGTGATCCACCTGCCTTGGTCTCCCAAAGTGCTGGGATTACACAGGTGTGAGCCACCACTACCACGCCCAGCCCTGATCATGCTTCTTATACTTATGTCCTAATCTACAAGTAAATAACTTACCACAATTGGCAATTCAGAAGCTCCTAGAAGCTTCACAAGTTGGGGCACAACTCCTGTTTTCACCACCATGCCAATTCGTTCATTTGGACCATCAGTAAGGTAGGAAATAGCCCAGCAGGTATCTGCTAATACTTCTGGATCATCATGATGCAGGAGCCGAACTAAGGTAGGAAGAATCTGCTCAACAGCATCTATCGGGGGTGCAGGATTCTTGTTGCGGCAAAGATTAGAAAGTGTCCAGGTAAGATTACGTAAGTAGCCACACTGGGGGAAAAAAAATAGGCAATGAGAGGTTCTGTCTTTTGAGAAGATGGGGGAAATTAGAATGAAGAAGTGAGTAACTTTACTCATGTTAGTAACTTACTGCTAAAGATGACATATCAGGAACTGCAAGGAGAGCCAACAGTGGGTCAACTGCACCGTACTTAATAACCAAGTCTCGGAACACTGAGCCATCACCTGAAAAAAAAGGCAAGATTAATTTTTTTTTTTTTTTTTTTGAGACGGAGTTTCTCTCTGTCGCCCAGGCTGGAGTGCAGTGGCGCGATCTCGGCTCACTGCAAGCTCCGCCTCCTGGGTTCAAGCCATTCTCCTGCCTCAGCCTCAGGCGCCCGCCGCCACGCCCGGCTAATTTTTTGTATTTTTAGTAGAGGTGGGGTTTCACTGTGTTAGCCAGGATGGTCTCAATCTCCTGACCTCATGATCCACCCGCCTCTGCCTCCCAAAGTGCTGGGATTACAGGCGTGAGCCACCATGCCCGGCCGAGGCAAGATTAATTTTATTACCTTGTCCAACACCATCAATTTTCAGTGACTGAATGCACCAGCAAAAACTCCCAAACTTACTTAGATGGCCCTCTGCTGCCTTTGTAAAGACGACACTTTCATTCCTAATAAGGGCTTGAAAGCAAGCTCAAAACTTGACAAAGTCACTATTACTTATAACAAGGCCTTTCTTCCAACTAATTACGATTAGATACATTCAGTCAAAAGAACTTCAAGTCCAAGTACCTGCAATGTTTCCTAGAGCCCAGACAGCTTGTTCACTGATGTGAGCATGGGGAGATGCCAACAGAGAAATGAATGCTGGGATGGCACCTCCATCTACCACAGCCTTGGTTTGTTCTGATGTCCCAGAAGCAATGTTAGTGAGTGCCCAAGCAGATTCAAACTGAATGGGACTACAATCAGTTCTGCCCAAGAAGGACACAAATTTCGGAATCAAACCAGCCCGGATTATGTTGTCTATGGGGGGCTGTTTTTCTCTGGAAAGTAGTTTCCTAAAGGGGAACAAAAAGAGAAATAAAAGTTGACAGTGATTAACAAAAGGAGTTTGTGTAAAAACCAATATAAAATGCAATTCAAGAGTTTAGAACTTCAGACAACCTTTTAAGTAAATCACTAAATGCTGAGACATTCTGGAACCTAAGAGAAGCTGAACAGATTACTTGTATGGTGCTATGTATGCGGTATAATTAACTACCATTTTTCCAGAAATTAATGTAGATTACCCTCCTTTCCATCCCTGCAGAAATCTACTCCAGATCTTGTCACTTTTTAAAAAAACTTTTCACATTCTGACAGGGTTATACTCTCACTGAATTTGTTCTGATAGTTGTGGTTAAGCACATTTTGTTTTTTTGAAATAGGATCTCACTCCACTCAGGCTAGAGTGCAGTGCCACGATCACAGCTCACTGCAGCCTCGACCTCCTGGGCTCAAGTGATCCTCCCACCTCAGCCTCCTTAGTAGCTGGGACGACAAGTGTGCACCGCCACACCCAAGTTATTTTATTTATTTATTTTTTGAGACAGAGTCTTGCTCTGTCGCCATGCTGGAATGCAGTGGCAAGATCTCAGCTCACTGCAACCTCCGCCTGCTGGGTTCAAGTGATTATTGTGCCTGAGCCTCCCAAACACGTGAGATTACAGGCATGTGCCACCACACCCAGCTAATAATTTCTTTTGTAGAAACTGGCTCTCACCATGTTGCCCAGGCTGGTCTCAAACTCCTGGGCTCAAGTAACCGACCCCTTGGCCTCCCAAAGTGCTGGGATTACAGGAATGAGCCACAGCACCCAGCCTAGAACTTTTTAATGATAATTTACCATTGAAATTTTTCTTCTGCACACTGTCAAGCTATAGAACTTATTAATCCTTTCTATTATATCATAAATATCCACGTATAGTGGGAGGTAAAGGTCAAATTATACTTATCTCCTAAATGGATCTATCATTCTAAATGCATGTCTCAATCCCACTTACTATTTATTTCTTCCTTCCCCTGCCAGTGACTTGAAACATTACTTTGGTAAAAACTTTATGGGCAGGTGCAATGGCACACACCTGTGATCCCAGCACTTCAGGAGGCTGAGGTCAGAGGACTGCTTGAACCCAGGCATTCCAGGCCAGCCTGGGCAAAATAGCAAGGCCTCCCCTCTCAAAAAAATTAATAAATAAAAAATACTATTTGGCTTATGGCTGGCTGGCCTAATCTTTCCTTGTACTATCTGTCTGTCCCTTCCTGCCCCACCCCCCAAAAAAAAATCTAAAAACACAAATTTCTTAGGCTACCCATGCTATCGCAGACAAGACTTACCTGGCAGCTTGAGTAGCTTGGAGCTGATTTTCCACATTGCTGCTATTTATGCCTTTGACAATGTCATCAACAGACCAATTTACAGTGCCCTAGAAGAAAAGTGAAAGTTTGCACATTATCATTAAGATTAAATACAAACAATAAAATCCACACTTACTTGTGAAGGCAAGTGTAAACATCGTTAGGCTTATAGCCAGCTACTAAATATTTAGCCCTACATTTAATTTTGCCTGTTAAATATTCATTATTTTATATGTAGAACAGTTTCCAAACTTGTTGTCATGGACTCACTGGAGTCTCAAGTTATGGAGTATCCAAGTGTTTTGTCGCTAAAAAAGGCAGCTTTGAACAATTTTAAAAAATGAACGAGAAGGACAGGCATGGTGGCTCACACCTGTAAGCCTAGCACTTTGGGAGGCTCAGGAGGGAGGATGGCTTGAGCTCAGGTGAGACCAGCCTGAGCAACACAGTGAGACCTCCCAACAAAAAAAAAAAAAAAAAAAAAATATCCAGGCATGGTGGTGTTTGCCTGTCGCCATACAAGACCTTGTCTCAAAAATCAAGAATCAGAGCAGACTGAAGATTATTTCTACGTTAGTCTCAATCACTTGCATTCAGATATACTTTGAGGGAGAAAGACATGAAGTCATAGGCAACGTTCTGAGGATTTTCTTTTCTTTTTTTTTTTGAGACGGAGTTTCACTCAATCCCCAGGCTGGAGTGCAGTGGCATGATCTTGGCTCACCACCACCTCCGCCTCCTGGGTTCAAGCGATTCTCCTGCCTCAGCCTCCCAAGTACCTGAGATTATAGGCATGCGCCACCATGCCTGGCTAATTTTTTTTTTTTGTATTTTTAGTAGAGACGGGGTTTCTCCATGTTGGTCAGGCTGGTCTCGAACTGCCAACCTCAGGTGATCCACCTGCCTCAGCCTCCCAAAGTGCTGGAATTACAGGCATGAGCTACCATGCCCGACTTTTTTTTTTGGAGACAGAGTTTTGCTCTTCTTGCCCAGGCTGGAGTGCAATGGCGTGATCTCGGCTCACCACCGCCTCCACCTCCCGGGTTCAAGCGATTCTCCTGCCACAGCCTCCTGAGTAGCTGGGATTACAGGCATGCGCCACGATGCCCAGCTAATTTTGTATTTTTAGTAGAGATGGAGTTTCTCCATGTTGGTCAGGCTGGTCTCAAACTCCCGACCTCAGGTGATCCACCTGCCTCGGCCTCCCAAAGTAATGGGATTACAGGTGTGAGCCACCACACCCGGCCGAGGATTTTCATATCTAATTTTATAATCTACATATTTCCACGGTTAAGTGTTGCTGCAAATATAAATGGTTTATGTTTGGCTGGGCGAAGTGGCTCGCGCCTGTAATCCCAGCACTTTGGGAGGCCGAGGCGGGTGGATCACCTGAGGTCAGGAGTTCGAGACCAGACTGGGAAACACGGTGAATCCCCGTGTCTACTAAAAATGCAAAAATTAGCTAGACATCGTGGTGATCCCCTGTGATCCCAGCTACTTGGGAGGCTGAGGCAGGAGAGTCACTTGAACCCAGGAGACGGAGGCTGCAGTCAGCCAAGATCGTACCACTGCACTCCAGCCTGGGCAACAAACCAAGGTTTTGTCTCAAAACAAAAAAAAAAGGAAGCATATTGTGAGAAAAACATGTAGGAAAGGGCCCAGATGAAAGATAAATTTGAAAATCTAAGTTAAGTCTACTTTATGGAAGGCCTTCATAGAGTAGGGATTTCTTAGAGACAGGGTCTCACTGTCACCCAGCATGGGGTGCAGTGGTGCAATCACAGCTCACTGCAGCCTCAAAATCCCGGGCTCAAGTGATTCTTCTGTCTCAGCCCCCTGAATACCTAGGACTAAAGGCCGGCGCCACCACACCCAGCTAACTTTACTTTTTATAGAGACGAGGTCTTCCTATGTTGCCTAGGCTGGGCTCAAACTCCTGGCCTCCAGTGATCCTCCCATTTCAGCTTCCCAAAGTGTTGGAATTACAGGCATGAACCACCATGCCCAGCTGGAGTATGGATTTATTTTATTTTTATTTTTTTCCTTGAGACGGAGTTTCACTCTTGTTGCACAGGCTGGAGTGCAATGGCATGATCTTGGCTCACTGCAACCTCCACCTCCCAGGTTCAAGCAATTTGGAGTATGGATTTTAAGGAGCGAAAACACAGGTCTAAAGCAGTACTTCAGGAAAAATTTCAGGAAAATAGTATATGGCATAAAGAAGGATATGATAAATTAGGAGGCTACTGTAAATATTTCAGAAGGAAAGTCCTGAACAAAGCTGGTGACAAATACAAAAACATAGAGAATACCAAAAAAGGCAGAAATAAACCAAAAACGGGAAGGGCCTGGTGGCTCACGCTTGTAATCCCAGCACTTCTGGAGACCAAGGCAGGCATATCACGAGGTCATGAGTTCAAGACTAGCCTGGCCAACATGGTGAAACCCCGCCTCTACTAAAAATACAAAAACAGGCCGGGCAGTGGCTCACGCCTGTAATCCCAGCACTTTGGGAGGCTGAGGCGGGTGGATCACGAGGTCAGGAGATCGAGACCATCCTGGCTAACATGTTGAAACACCGTCTCTACTAAAAATACAAAAAATTAGCCAGACAGGGTGCGGGCGCCTGTAGTCCCAGCTACTTAGGAGGCTGAGGCAGGAGAATGGCGTGAACCCGGGAGATGGAGCTTGCAGTGAGCGGAGATCGCACCACTGCACGCTAGCCTGGGCGACAGAGCAAAACTCTGTCTCAAAGAAACAAAAACAAAAAAATACAAAAACTAGCCAAGCGTGGTGATGCGCACCCATAATCCCAGCTACTCAGGAGGCTGTGGCAGGAGAATTGCTTGAACCCATGAGGCAGAGGTTGCAGTGAGCCGATTGTGCTGCTGCACTCCAGCCTGAGCAACAGAGCAAGACTCCATCTCGGGGGAAAAAAAAAAAAAAGAAGAAATAAACCAGAAACTGGCTGGCTCTGGACACACTGGTCAGGCCAAGGTACCCAGCTAGTAGCTAGAAATGCAGGGAAGTCTGAAGGAAGGTCAGAGCTAAAGGAAGATCCTAAATCAGCTTCAGTGGATTACAGAAGGCAGGAAAGAAGACAATTACTAATTGCAAACAGAGAAAAAGATGTTCACAGATAGTTAAAACCGTTAAGACTAGAAATGTTAAGTTTACTTGAATTTCTAAGAAAAGTCCCTACTGATTTTCTGGATTTCACGTAACTCATAAACTAAAATACATTTTTTACCTGGTTGTTGCGGTTTTCCTGCAGCGGAGAAGTAGCATCATCAGGAAATGAGCTTACATTTCTCCTCTTCAGCATCTGGTCATCCTTCTTAGCTTTCCTCAGCTCCACATTGACCTCTATTCTGCGACGCCTCATTTCCTTGAGAAAAGATAACATGCCGTTTCACCTATCACACCAGTTTTTGTTGCTAAGTGAGGGCATTTTTTTTTTAAATACCTCAGTTTTCACCCCTTTCCAAATGTCTTCCCATTTAAATACCACCACAGGAAAGCAACAGAAGGTACTCACTGTACTGTCTTTTCCCTTGTTCTTGAATCTGTGAAGACGGGCAGCTGGTGTATTAGCATTCTCGTTGGTGGACATGGTTATGAGACAAAGGGAGAAAGCTAAAAGATGGGGGAAGAGAAAAATATTTCCTTTATCATTTTCCTTTGTCAATAATAGTACCAAATAAGAACTGAATTATCAAGCATCTACTGAATCCACACCTGTATACTAGAGGGGGGATCATCATGTTTTCGGCACTATGAAATAGCTTTACCCAAAGGGGAAGTGTCCCCCTTCCCTCTAAAGGGCTGAGACTTCCTGGAGAGGGCTCTCCATCAGAAATAGAATGCAAGCTATATAAATTGAAACTTCCTAGTAGCCATATTTTTAAAAAGGAGAAAAGAAACAAGTGAAACTAATTTTAATAATGTATTTTACTTAACCCAACATATCCAAATAGTATTTCAACGTGTTATCAATATATAAAATAACTGACATCTTCTACATTCTTTTTCCATACTCCATCTTTGAAATCTTTTGTGTACTTTAAGCTTACAGCGTATTTCAATTTGGACTAGCCACATGTATCCACCGTTTCTGACAGCCTAGTTCGATACTCCAGAGTCCCTAATAGTTAATTCAAGACAAAGTAGGGGAACCAAGTCAACTTACAGCTAAAAATTATGTGCCAGGGCAATAAATTCAGATCCTCAGGAGGCTCTCCCTATTTTACTGTCTTTACTTGGCCAAAATAGGTGCAGACTCGAAAATTAAATAAAAATTTGCTTCATCATTACATTATGGTCAACATTAAAAATGCAGTGCCGCATCTCGCATATTTGATTTGCATTTCCAGAGACTAGGAGTGAATGCGCTTAATTAGGATGACATCAGCTGTGCGTCATTCAGAAGATGACAAAAGTCAAAGCCCTCCTTACAATTTGCTATCTTTGCTTTCATTACGCTCGCCTACGACTTGGTGGCAGAGCCACCCCCGGGGCCTAGGTGTCAGAGACGGTGCTCCCAACTGCCACCCCCAGCCCCTGCCCCCACGCCGGGGAAGATGCAACGAGAAAGGAGGAGGCGAAACCAGGGCCGCCACAAGTCCTCCCGGGACATTCGCCCTCAAGCCTGGCTCGCTCCGATTCTCCCGGCCGCGACGCGTTAAGGCCTCCGCTGCCGTTTGCAGAGCGTCGGCGCCCTAAACCCGCAGACCCCGCGAAACTCAGCCGCCTGGTCAATGAACGTCGCCCCCGAGGCCTAGTCAACGCGGGAGGCAGAGCCAGGCTCGGCGTGGACCCGGGGCCTCCCTCCCCCAACCCAAAAGGCGAACGCCGCCCACGGGCAAGCCGTTAGCGCTCGGGCCGGGCCGCCGCCTGAGTCTGTACCTGCGAAGCGGGCCTGGGCTTCCACGGGAGGCGATGCGGGGGGAATCAGCGGCTGTAGGGCGACTGCGTTCAAAGGGTCCACCTCGACTCAGCTCAAAGACCGTGTGGCTCGTGCAGCCGGCCGGCGCGATTTAAATTTCCCGGTGACTCCGCATTCCGATTGGCTGGTTCGAGCCTAAGCTGTGTGCCCATTGGTGGATTTGAAAAACACGTTGGGAGGGGAGGGAGTCATAGGGCTTGGGGGCGAGTGGGAGGGGGGAAAGAAAAAAAAAAAAAGAGGATGGCATCGCGAGATGAGGGAGCGGCCGGGCGGTGAGGGAGCGGCCGGGCGGTGAGGGAGCGGCCGGGCGGTGAGGGAGCGGCCGGGCGGTGAGGGAGCGGCCGGGCGGTCCCTGAGCGCCTGGCGGGGCGGAGCGGGAGGACTCCAGATCCCGTCAAGCAGCGCGAAGGGGCGGTTCCCTGGGCCGTTCGTGTTTCCATAGGGTTGAAGCGTGCATGGTCCTTGGGCGTTTTCCTGGGCGACAGCCTTAAACAAATACCACAAAATGATTCTCTAAGTCATTATTTTAAAAACTTTGTTGTTGATCTTCATGAAAATAAAAAAATTCTAATTAGTAAATAAGTAATCTTTATAGAAAAACATATTGCTTTGCATTTTTTTCCTATTATGACACCCAAAGTACTCGGCGGGGGTTTCTGGCTACTATGGGAGGGAAGATTTGTGTTATATTTTTTAGTTTAGTTTTTTTTTAATTGCATCATAAAAGACTGTATAGAAGCCGCAAATATGGAAACAAAAGGTTTCTTATGCCTGTTTCTCCAAAAACTCAAGTTTTTTATTTTTAAATAATTTCAAATGCAGCAGAATTGCAAATCTTTATCCAGATTTGCCAAATCTTAACATTTTGCCACATTTGCTATTGCTTTCTCTATACATATATATGTATACATATGCACGCGTGTACATATGTGTGATTTTAATATGTTACTTTAAGAGAAAGTTTCAGAATCATGTCCTTTTTCCTCTGTTTCACGGTGTCTCTCCTAAGAAAAGACATTCTCTTATATAACCACACTGCAGTCATCAAATTCAGAAAAACTGAAATTTCATGCTGTTGTTTAGTATGTAGTGTGTGTTCAAGTTTTTTCAATTGTTATAGTAACATTCTATGCTCATTACACATTTCTGAATTTTGCATTTTTTGCCATATGCTCAAACGAACAAACAAAACAAAGATGGTCAACAGAGCATCAGGATTCTGGGCCATTTTTGTTTCTGCAATTTTTTTGTGTTCTAAAAGATTACATTTTAGAAAAGTTTTCATGGTTTATTTCTTACTATAAATAAATTCAAACAGCAAGTTTGTCCATTTTTGCAGGCATTAATGCCAGCCTCATTCATCGTAAAGCCAGAGTTCATAAAGGGTTGGACCTACTCTTAATCAGCATAATCCCATCCCCCTAAATGCAAGAATGTGGAAGGAATTCACCCCTAAACCAATCACTGTGTGGCATTCTCTCAGCTACTGAGAATGGTTCAGGGGCAGGCACATGACCTAAATTCATCCAGTTGGACAGCCTCTGCCTTTTGTTTACTGGTTGGAGGTAGGAAAGCAGCCTCTGTTCTTCTGAACTAAGGGATGTGAGTCCTAGAAATCTGAATAAGAAAACTGTAGGGAAACCTTGAGAGGTCTGACCTGCTCTATCTCTGAAGGTTTGCAGGTAGGAGATCCGATACACATTTCTTTTGTATTGTCAAGTTGAGTTTCTTCTCTTTTTTTTTTTCTTTTTTTTCTTTTCTTTGAGACAGGGTCTAGCTCTGTCGCCCAGGCTGGAGTGGAGTGGCACGATCTCAGCTCACTGCGACCTCTGCCTCCTGGGCTGAAGCCATCCTCCCACCTCAGCCTCCCAAATAGCTGGGACTATAGGTACACACCACCACGTCCAGCTAATTTTTGCATTTTTTGTAAAGACAGGGTTTCACTATTTTGCCCAAGCTGGTCTCGAAGTCCTGAGCTCAAGCAATCCACCCACCTCAGCCTCCCAAAGTGCTGGAATTATAGGCCTGACCACCATACCAAGCCAAGTTGAGTTTCTTTTGCTTGAAAATACTGACTACTATGTGCCCAGAAGTGTTCTGAGTGTTTACCATATATTAATACACTTGATCTTCACAACTGTGAGGTAGTACTGTTATTTGCTCTATTTCACAAAAGAGAGCACTGAATCACAAGTGTTTATGTAACTTGTTCCAGGGTCACACAGCCAGTAAATGGCAAAGACAGGATTCAGCCATAAGCAGTCTGGTTCCAGGATCTGTGTTCTGAACCACTATTCTGTACTTGCACCTAAAAACAACCTGAAACAGAAGTATAATGCCCAAAATTGCCTTTGAAAGATACGATATCGTCGGGCACAGTGGCTCACACCTGTAATCCTAGCACTTTGGGAGGCTGAGGTGGGCAGACCACCTGAGGTCAGGAGTTCAAGACCAGCCTGGCCAACAAAGGGAAACCCTGTCTCTACTAAAACATACAAAAAATTAGCTGGGCGTGGTGGCAAGCACCTGTAACCCCAGCTACTTGGGAGGCTGAGGCAGGAGAATTGCTTGAATCTGGGAGGCAGAGGTTGCAGTGAGCCGAGATCACACCATTGCACTCCAGCCTGGACAACAAGAGCGAAACTCCATTTCAAAAAAAAAGACTAGCCTGTCCAACATGGCAAAACCCTGTCTCTACTAAAAAATATAAAAAATTAGGCAGGTGTGGTAACACACACCTGTGGTCCCAGCTACTCAGGAGGCTAAGATACAAGCATCACTTACACCTGGGAGGTAGAGGTTGCAGTAAGCTGAGATGGTGCCACTGCACTACAGCCCAGGCGACAATGCAAGACGCCGTCTCAAAAAAAAAAAAAAAAGTCCTATCATTTATGACCAAGTTTTAGCTGATGTGTTAGTCCACTAGCATAGTCCGCTTAGGTTACCATAACAAAGTACTACAGGCTGGGAGGCTTAGATAACAAACATTTATTTTTCTCACATTTCTGGATCACGAAATCTGAAATAAGGGTGCCAGAGTGGTCAGTTTCCAGGAAGGGCCCCCCTCTTTGGCGTCCAGATGACCATCGCCTAATTGTGTGCTAGCATGATCTCTTCATTTTAGCACAGAGAAGGGAGAGTGAAAGCTCTCTGGTGTCTCTTCTTTTTTTTTTTTTTTTAGATGGAGTCTCGCCCTGTCACCCAGGCTGGAGTGCAATGGCGCGATCTCAGCTCACTGCAACCTCTGCTTCCTGGTTTCAAGTGATTTTCCTGCCTCAGCCTCCCAAGTAACTGGGATTACAAGTGCATGCCACCACACCTGGCTCATTTTTGTATTTTTAGTAGAGATGGGGTTTCACCATGTTGGCCAGGCTGGTCTTGAACTCCTGACCTCATGATCCACCCACCTCAGCCTCCCAAAGTGCTTGGATTACAGGCATGAGCCACTGCGCCCGGCCTGATGGCTCTTTTTATAAGGACACTAATCTCATCATGAGGGCCCCACCCTCATGAATTCATCTCAACCTCCCAGAGGCCCCATTTCCAAATACTATCATACTGGGAGTTAGGTTTTCAACATATGAATTTTTGAGGGGGATGCAAACATTCAGTTCTTAATATCCATTCACCAGCCTGGGCAACATAGCGAGATGCCCTCCTCCAAACCACCATCTCTACAAAAATTAAAAAAAAAAAAAAAATTAGCAGAGGCTGGGAGCAGTGGCTAACGCCTGTAATCCCAACACTTTGGGAGGCCGAGGCAGGTGGGTCACTTGAGGTCAGGAGTTCAAGACCAGCCCAGCCAACATGGTAAAACCCTGTCTCTACTGAAAATACAAAAATTAGCCAAGCGCGGTGGCTCGTGCCTGTAGTCCCAGCTACTCGGGAGGCTGAGGCACAAGAATCGCTCGAACGCAGGGGCAGAGGTTGCAGTGAGCTGAGATTGTGCCACTGCACTCCAGCTTGAGCAACAGAGTGACACTCTGTCTAAAAAAATAAATAAATAAAAATAAAAAATTAGCCAAGCATGTTGGTATATGCCTGTAGTCCCCGCTACTTGGGAGGCTGAGGTGGGAGGATGGCTTGAGCCTGGGAGGTGGAGGCTGCATTGAGCCGAGATTGTACCACTGCATTCCAGCCTAGGTGGCAGAGTGAGATGCTGTCTCAAAAAAAAAAAAAAAAAAAAATCCATTCAGATTATCTTCCTTCAAAATATGAATGTTGAGTTAAAACATGCAAAGAAAGAAAGAAAGGGGCCTGGAGCTGAGCTGGCTGAAAGACATAGGACCACCAGCTACTGAGGCTGAGGCCCTTTAGTTACTGTCTTTCTAGGCCGTCTTGTAAACTCATGTTTCAGTTCTGTGAACTATACAACATCCCTCAAACACACCACTTTCTCAATTTTTTCTTCTTTTTGAGACAGGGTCTTGCTCTGTCATCCAGGCTGGAGTGCAGTGGCACGATCAGAGCTCCCTGCAGCCTCAACCTCCTGGGCTGAAGTGATTCTCGTACATCGGCCTCCCAAGTAGCTGAGACTACAAGCATATGCTACCACGCCCAGCTAATTTTTGTTTTTTTTTGTAGAGATGGGATTTTGCCATGTTGCCCAAGCTGGTCTAGAACTCCTGGGCTCAAGAGATCTGCCCACCCCAGCCTCCCAAAGTGCTGAGATTACAGGTGTGAGCCACCGTGCTCAGCCAAATACAGCCCTTTCTGATTTGAGTGTGGCAGCAATCCCTAATTCTCCACCAAAACTCATGTTTCACCTTCCATTTGGTCTACTTGTTGCTGGTAGATGGGTGGATGGGTGCCTAGCCAGTGACTCTACTTTTCAGTTTCCTTGGATCCAGGTGAGGCCATAAGTCTAGTTCAAGTGAAAGTAATGTATTTGTCTAATGGGTTAGCGCTTACAAAATGGTGTCTCTCTCTCTCTCTCCTTTCCCTGGCTTGAAGCAGACAAGCCTGGCCACACTGGGAGCCCTATGAGGAAGGTGGTAGAGCTGCAACATGGAAGGAACCTGGGTCCCTGTGTCAGCCAAAGAGTCTCCAAACCCATCCTAGGTTTACTTGCCTGTTCCTGAGTCTGCGGGTGGGATGGATGTTCCCAGCTGCTGGCAGAACCCCCACGCTGGCTTTCTTACCCTCTGCGTCAGGGCTACTGTGGCAGGCTTGGCTAAATGAAAGCCATTGGTGCTCCCTTCCCCACAAAAACAGTAACTCAGAAGCAAAACTGCATCCTTGGGGAAACTGCAGAGATTAGTGCCACATATGGAGGCTCTTCAGTAAGGAACTATCCTCGTTTTGAGAAAGAGCTCTTGATCACCTACTGAACTCCAAATAAAAATGTAACCTGCCAGGTGGGGTGGCTCATGCCTGTAATCCCAGTACTTTGGGAGGCCGAGATGGGTGGATTGCTTGAGCCCAAGAGTTCAAGACCAGCCTGGGGAACATGGCAAAACCCCATCTCTACAAAACATAGCTGGGCGTGGTGGCATGCACCTGTAGTCCCAGCTACTCAAGAGGCTGGGACGGGACGATCGCTTGAACCCAGGAGGTGGAGGTTGCAGTGAGCAGAGATCATACCACCACACTCCAGCCTAAGTGACAGAACAAGACCCTGTCTCAAAAAAAAAAAAAAAAAAATTAACCAGGCTTGGTGTGTAGCCAGCCCTGGTGGCACGTGTCTGTAGTCCCAGACACTCAGGAGGCTAAAGTGGGAGAATCACCTGAGCCCAGGAGGTCGAGGCTGCAGTGAACCATGTGATCATGCCACTGCGCCATAGCCTGGGTAACAGATCAAGACCCTGTCTCAAAAACAAATAAAATAAAACCAATGTAATGTGAGCTACTCATGACGAATTGGGGGTTATCTGATCCCATGAAGTTGGGTGGGCACAGCAGCACTCCATAACGAAGTAGAAGTGGGATGGGAGGGACCTGGACCAAAAGGACCCAGAAGGTAGAAGAAAACTGCATGAACAAGTGACTTATGTTCCCAGCTGCTGACTCCTGCCAGCAGATTACACCTGTGGCCTCATGGGACAATCAATGACCAGCAAGATGAAGGTCAAGCTAGGTGCTCTGCATACTATGTTGACATTAGCTGAAGTGGATTGCTCCTGACCGATGGCCTCACATGTAGGCAACCTAATATAGTTCGGCTATTTGTTTCCTCCAAATCTCATGTTGAAATTTGACTCCCAGTATTGGAGGTGGGGCCTAGTGGGAGGCGTTTGGGTCATGAGAACAGATCTCTTAGTAATGGCTGGTGCCCTCCCCATGGTAACAAGGGAGTTCTGACTGTCAGTTACTGTGAGATCTGACTCTTTTTCTTTCTTTTTCTTTTTCTTTCTTTTTTTTTTTTTTTTTTTTGAGATGGAGTCTCGCTCTGTCGCCCAGGCTGGAGTGCAGTGGCGCCATCTCCGCTCAATGCAAGCTCTGCCTCCTGAGTTTACGCCATTCTCCTGCCTCAGCCTCCCGAGCAGCTGGGACTACAGGCGCCCACCACCACGCCCAGCTAATTTTTTTTTGTATTTTTAGTAGAGACGGGATTTCACCGTGTTAGCCAGGATGGTCTCGATCTCCTGACCTCGTGATCCACCCGCCTCCGCCTCCCAAAGTGCTGGGATTACAGGCGTGAGCCACCGCGCCCGGCCCTTTCTTTTTCTTTTTAAAATGGAGACGGGGTCTCACTATGTTGCCCAGGCTAGTCTCATACTCTTGGGCTCAAGCAATCTCCCCACCTCGGCCTCCCAGAGTGCTCACAGGTGTGAGCCACTGTGCCTGGCTGAAGTCTGATTGTTAAAAAGAGCCTGGGCCAGGAATAGTGACTCATGCCTGTAATCCCAACACTTTGGGAGGCCAAGGTGGGTGGATCACTTGAGGTCAGGAGTTAAGAGACCAGCCTGGCCAACGCGGTGAAACCCCGCCTCTACTAAAAACACAAAAATTAGCTGGGAATGGTGGCGTATGATTGTAATCCCAGCTATTCAGGAGGCTGAGGCAGAAGAATCACTTGAACCTGGGAGGAAGAGGTTGCAGTGAGCCAAGATCGTGCCACTGCACTCTAGCCTGGGTGACAGAGTGAGACTCCATCTCGAAGCTTCCTGAAGCCCTCACCAGAAACAGATACTGGCACCATACTTCTTGTACAGCCTGCAGAACCATGAGCCACTAAACCTCCCCTTTTTAAAAAAATATAAATTACCTAGCCTCAGGTCTTCCTTTATAACAATACAAAATGGACTAACACACAGCTCTGAAGGAAAGTAAGCAGTCAAACTCCCTAGTGGGTAGAACCTTGAAGCATGCAGCTGGTACACATTTTTCTGAAAGAGCAGATATCCCGAGGTGAGATCCACACTGATTCCCAAACAGTGAAAACCAGCTTAGCTGGCTGGTTGGTATAAGGGTCATTAATTTTATTTATGTTGCCCAGCAGATATGCACACCTCTATTAAAAGAGTAATTCCTAACTTTCCTGCAGGAACCAGCGCTCACCCACACCAGTCCATGTGGTTGGATGAGGTTGACTCCCTACCCTGGGTGGACTCTAACTGGCATAAGCCAAGGAGGAAACCCTTCCCGTAGGTCACAGGTATGGTTTCATGGAGAGCATATAACTCAATAGGGACTGGTAAGAATCAGGCCTGGGACTTTGACTAATAGGGGTGAGATGTACTTCCTCTACACTTGGAATTATGATAATGGATGTAAAGTCTGGAGCTGTTGTAAATATTTTACCACTGTAAGGAAAGAGCCTGGAGCCTGTCTGAAAATAGAGTGACAATAGAACAAAGTAGAACAGGTTCAAGAGAGACACCAGATTCTGATTTCTTTTATTGTATTTATTTATTTATTTATTTATTTATTTATTTATTTATTTATTTATTTTTGAGACAGAGTCTCACTCTGTTGCTCAGGCTGGAGTGCAGTGGTGCGATCTCGGCTCACTACAAGATCTGCCTCCCGGGTTCACGCCATTCTCCTGCCTCAGCCTCCCGAGTAGCTGGGATTACAGGCACCCGCCACCACGCCCGGCTAATTTTTTTTTTTTTTTTTGTATTTTTAGTAGAGATGGGGTTTCACTATGTTAGCCAGGATGGTCTTGATCTCCTGACCTCGTGATCCGCCCGCCTCGGCCTCCCTGATTTCTTTTAAACCCCTAATCAAGACACATCTGAAAGGCAGACCTATCTCTGGACTTTTTTTTTTTTTTTTTTTTTTGAGACAGAGTTTTACTCCGTCTCCCCAGGCTGGAGTGCAGTGGCGTGATCTTGACTCATTGCAACCGCCACTTCCTGGGTTCAAGCGATTTTCCTGCCTCAGCCTCCCTAGTAGCTGGGATTACAGGTGCATGCCACCCCGTCTGGCTAATTTTTGTATTTTTTTGTAGAGACAGGGTTTCACTAGGCTGGTCCTAAACTCCTGACCTCAGGTGATCCGCCCGCCTCGGGCTCCCAAAGTGCTGGTATTACAGGCGTGAGCCACCGTGCCTGGCCCAGCCTTCTTTTTTATCATTGAATAATGTTCCATTGTATGTTTGTATACCAAGGTAGGAGGATCGCTTGAGCCCAGGAGTTTCGAGACTAGCCTGGGCAAAATGACAAGACGCCATCTCTACAAAAAATAAAAAATATATTAGCTGGGCATGATGGTGCATTCCTGTACACAGCTACCTGGGAGATTGAGGCAGAGGATCACTGGAGCCCAGGAGTTTGAGGTTAGCAGTGATCACGCCACTGCACTCCAGTCTGGGCAACAAAGCAAGACCCTGTCTCAAAAAAAAAAAGGAAAGAAAAGAAAAAAAATCTGAAAAAGAAATTCCATTATATGGATGTACCACAGTTTGTTTATCCATTCACCTATGGAAGCACATCTTGGTTGGTTCAAATTCTGGCAATTACGAATAAAGCTGCTATAAACAGTTGTGTGCAGGTGGAGATTTTTGTGTAGACATACGTTTTCAACTCACTTGGATAAATACCATGGATTGCGATTGCTGGATGGTATGGTAAGACTATGTTTACCTTTGTAAGAAACTGCCAAACTATCTTTTGAAGTTGCTGTACCATTCTGCATTCCCACTAGCAATGAATGAGAGTTCCTCTTGTTCCATATCCTCACCAGAATTTGGTGTTGTCAGTGTTTTGCATTTTAGCCATTACAATAGATGTGTAGCGGTATCTCATTATTTTGATTTGCAATTCCATAATTTCACTGTGAGGTGAGTTTCTTGGTTGGAGCAGTGTTGTCTCTTTGGGAATCCATGACAGCATAAAAGACTTGCAAAGTGAAAGGAGGGGCCGGGCGCGGTGGCTCATGTCTGTAATCCCAGCACTTTGGGAGGCCGAGGTGGGCGGATCATGAGATCAGGAGTTTGAGACCAGGCTGGTCAACATGGTGGCCCCATTTCTACTAAAGATACAAAAATTTAGCTGGGCGTAGTGGCACGCGACTGTAATCCCAGCTACTCGGGAGGCTGGGGGAGGAGAATCGCTTGAACCTGGAAGGCGCAGGTTGCACTGAGCCGAGATCATGCCACTGTACGCCAGCCTGGGCGACAGGGCAAGACTCCGTCTCAAAAAAAAAAGAAAGTGAATGGATGGTGGTGCTGGCAGCAGAGTGACACATTGGAAAGTAAATATGGCCCAATCCAGATAAAATGTCTCTTCCTCCTGATCTATTATGGAAAGGGTCCAATGTTATTGTCATGATCACCAGGTAATTGAATGGTCCCTTCAGGGTGTGAAGCCAACATCAGGGCTGGTTGGGCCCCCGGCAGAAATAGTAGCCAGACCAGACTCAGTAGTAGGAAGTGAATGATACTGAGCGTATGCATAGCCTCTGTCTCTGCTGCCTTGGCCATGTGGTTCATGATCCCATTAAGCAAGCACTAGCCTGGCAGGGGAAGGAGGATGATGGACATCTACAGAGCAGGCCATCATGGCCACCTGAATATTAATAGCCTATTCCACAGTGGAGGCCTTTGGGTGAACATCCATATAACTCAAATCCACACCTTCTAAGTTCATTCCAAAAGATCCATACATCTACCCCTTCTCCAAACCACCTTTGTTGTCAATCCTATCTTCCTCTCACAAATTCCTGAGTGTATTGTTTATGACTCTTTTGGTTGCAAGAGGCAGAAGACCCAATCCTAAGTTGGCTTATGAGTAAAGGAATTTGCCACCTCAAATAAGAAGGCTGGGTGCCGTGGCTCATGCATGTAATCCCTGCACTTTGGTAGGTTGAGGTAGGAGGATCACTTGAAGCCAGGGGTTTGTGTAACCAACAGAGGGAGACCCCCTTTTTCTACAAAAAAAAAAAAAAATTATCCAGGTGTGGTGGTGTGCACCTGTAGTATCAGGTACTTGGGATGCTGTGGCAGGACAATTGCTTGAACCCAGGAGTTTGGGGCTGCAGTGAGCTATGATTGAGCCACTGCACTCCAGCCTGGGTGACTGAGCAAGACCCTGTCTCTAAAAAAAATAATAATAATAACAAAAGTCCAGACCGGGCGTGGGGGTCGTGCCTGTCATCCCAGCGCTTTGGGAGGCCAAAGCCGGTGGATCACCTGAGGTCAGGAGTTCGAGACCAGCCTGGCCAACTCCAGTAGAGATGGCAAAACTCTGTCTCTACTAAAAATACAAAAATTAGCTAGCCATGATGTGATTCAGGAGAATCACTTGAACTTGGGAAGCAGAAGTTGCAGTGAGCTGAGATTGAGCCACTGCACTCCTGCCTGGGTAATAGAGCAAGACTGTCTCAAAAAAAAAAAAAAGAAAGAAAGAAAAGAAAAGAAGGCTGGGCATGGTGGCTCATGCCTAGAATCCCAGCAGTCTGGGAGGCTGAGGTGGGCAGATTGCTTGAGTCCAGGAGTTTGAGACCAGCCTGGGCAACATGGTGAAACCTGGTCTCTACAAAAAATATAAAAATTAGCCAGGCATGGTGGTGCACGCCTGTCATCCCAGCTACTTGGGAGGCTGAGGCGGAAGGATCATTTGAGCCTGGGAGTTGGAAGCTGCAGTAAGACGTGATTGCATCACTGCACTCCAGCCTGGGCAACAGAGTGAGAACCAGTCTCAAAAAAACAAGCAGATCGGGCATGGTGGCTCACACCTGTAATCCCAGCACTTTGGGAGGCCGAGGCAGATAGATCACTTGAGGTCAGGAGTTTGAGTTTGAGACCAGCCTGGCCAAAACAGTGAAACCCCGTCTCTACTGAAAATACAAAATATAGGCCGGGTGCGGTGGCTCACACCTGTAATCCCAGCACTTTGGGAGGCCGAGGTGGGTGGATCACCTGAGGTCAGGAGTTTGAGACCAGCCTGGCCAACGTGGAGAAACCCCATCTCTACTAAAAATACAAAAATTAGCCAGGTGTGGTGGCATGTGCCTGTAATCCCAGCTACTCCAGAGGTTGAGGCAGGAGAATTGCTTGAACCCAGGAGTGGAGGTTGCAGTGAGCCGAGCTCATAGCCACTGCACTCCAGCTTGGGTGACAGAGTGAGACTCCATCTCAAAAAAAAAAAAAAAAAAATTCAGCCAGGCATGGTGGCACACACCTATAGTCCCTGCTACTTGGGAGTCTGAGGCAGGAGACAGAATTGCTTGAACCCAGAAGGTGGAGGTTGCAGTGAGCTGAGATCGTGCCACTTAACTCCAGTCTGGACAACACAGCAAGACTCCATCTCAAAAACAAACTTACAAAGAAACAAACAAGCAAGCAAAAATTGAGCTATCAATCCATGAGAAAAACATGCAGAAACCTTAAATGCATATTGCCAAATGAAGGAAGCCAGTCTGAAAAGGCTACACATTGTATGATTCCAACTACAGTAAATGACATTCTAGAAAAGATAAAACTATGGAGACAAAAAAGATTAGTGGTTGGGGCCACGTGCAGTGGCTCACACCTGTAATACTAGTGCTTTGGGAGACTGAGGCGGGCGGATCACGAGGTCAGGAGTTCGAGACCAGCCTGGCCAATATGGTAAAACCCCGTCTCTACTAAAAAATACAAAAATTAGCCGGCCATGGTGGCTTGTGCCTGTAGTCCCAGCTACTTGGGAGGCTGAGGCAGGAGAATCGCTTGAACCCGGAAGGCGGAGGTTGCAGTGAGCCGAGATTGTGCCACTGCACTCTAGCAAGGGTGACAGAGCGAGACTCCATTTCAAAAAAAAAGATTAGTGGTTGGAAAGGGTTTCAGGGGAGGAAGGGGAGAATGAATAGGTGGAATAAGGCATTTTAAAGGCAGTGAAACTATTCTGTGTGATACTGTAATTGTGGATATATGACATTATACCTTTGTCAAAAACCATAGAATGCACAATACAAAGAGTGAACCCTGCAAGTATCAACTATGGACTTTACTAATAATGTATATTAAATATTATTATTAATATTAATTATTATATTGTTAATGAAGTTAATTATAATGTATCAGTATTAGTTTATCAATTGTAATGAATATACCATACTAATGCAAGCTGTTAATAACGGGAAATTGGTGAGGGAAAGTGAAGGAATATACAGGTACCCTCTGTACTTTCCACTCAATATTTCTGCAAACCTAAAACTGATAAAAAATAATAAAGTCAATTAATTAAGAAAATATGCTGCAATGTGAAAACTAGAGCATATCACCAAACTTTCTGCATTCTGTTACATTAAAATCCATTAGTCTGGCCGTGCGGTGGTGGCTCATTAGTCTGTACTCCACTTGGATGCATATTTTACCTTTACCCATGCAGGAATATCGAACATTATGCACTGGTCATTTGAAACACGTTACACTAAGAGGTATGCAGATCTTCCAAGTGTTGACACATTGAATTGTACAACATCAAAACATTGCACTCATTAAACAGAAATGTCTTTAAATATTTGAAAGCTATCAAGCTTACAGTGGTGGATACAAAGTTTCAAGCTTTTAAATGTTCCCTTGACGGTTTTTTTGTTTTTTTGTTTTTTGTTTTTTTGAGACGGAGTCTCGCTCTGTCGCCAGGCTGGAGTGCACTGGCGCCATCTAGGCTCATTACAACCCCCGCCTCCCAGGTTCAAGCGGTTCTCCTGCCTCAGCCTCCCGAATAGCTGAGACTACAGGCGCGTGCCACCACGCCCAGCTAATTTTCGTGTTTTTAGTAGAGATGGGGTTTCAACATGTTGGCCAGGATGGTCTTGATCTCTTGACTTCGTGATCTGCCCTCCTCGGCCTCCCAAAGTGCTGGGATTACAGGCCTGAGCCACCGCACCCGGCCTTCCCTTGAAAATGTAGGTTATTTCATTAGCCACAAACAGTGCATATTGTTTTCCTTGAAGCGACATGCTCACTTTGTTCATTTTCTAAAAAATATCTGCAAAATGCCCAACTCTGAATAATCTAGTTTGTCGGTCAGTTGTTCCTTCAATGAAAATTCGGTACGACTGAAAAGCAGCTAGTTCGGAGTGCAACTCCAACATCCCACAAGTGCTTTACTCAAGCAAAAACCATTGTATTTTGGTATGCGTAGAGGTGATTTATTCATACTTCCCATTGTCAAAGAAAATATTAAAAAGCTGTGCACTCAAGCGTTGAAACTTAATACACTTAATTATTCTTACAGCGTCACCAAGGATATGCTTCAGTAAACCTGGCTTTTTCCCTCTGCCAGTGCACGAAGGTAAAGAATATGACTCTTATTAGTTTAGTTCAAATGCCTTAAATTTGCTATTTCACCCGCTATTGCTTCTGCACCATCGGTGCAAATGTCAACGCAATAAATAACCTGTTTTCATGAAAAGCATTTCCTGAATGCCTCAGAGTTCACAGGCCAAGGATAACAAGGATAACACATCACACGCAGACTAAATTAGAAAGATATGCACCAAAATGTTAATACATTTTGTAGGAGTGGTTAACTCCGACTTACAGAATTTCGATTTTCTTTTTTTTTCCCCCTAGACAGAGTCTTGCTCTATCGCCCAGAGTGGAGTGCAGTAGTGCAATCCCGCTTCGCTGCAACCTCTGCCTCCCAGGTTCAAGCGATTCTCCTGCCTCAGCCTCCCCAGTACCTGGGATTACAGGCACGCGCCACCACGGCCCACTAATTTTTGTATTCTTGGTAGAGACGGGGTTTCACCATGTTGGCCGGGCTGGTCTCGAACTCTTGACCTCATAATCCGCCCGCCTCGGCTTCCCAAAGTGCTGGGATTACAGGCGTGAGTCACCGCGCACGGTCCCTTTTTTTTTTTTTTTTTTTTTTGAAAGAGTCTTGCTCTATCACCCAGGCTGCAGTGCAATGGCGAGATCTCGGCTCACTGCAGCCTCCGCCTCCCCGGTTCAAGCGATTCTCCTGCCTCACCCTCCGAAGCAGCTGGGACTACAGGCGCTCGCCACCACGCCCCGGTAATTTTTGCATTTTTAGTAGAGATTAGGGTTCACCTTTTTGGCCAGGCTGGTCTCGAACTTCTGACCTAAAGGGAACCGCCCGTTTGGGCATCTCAAAATGCTGGGATTACAGGCGTGAGCCACCGAGCCCGGCCCAATTTCGATTTTCTTTACCTGGCTTATCTTTTTTTTTTTTTTTTTTTTTGAGACCGTCTTGCTCTGTCGCCCAGGCTGGAGTGCAGTGGCACAATCTCGGTTTACAGCAACCTCCGCCTCCCAGGTTCAAGCGATTCTCCTGCCTCAGTTTCCCTGGTAGCTGGAATTACAGGCGCACGCCACCAAACGCCTGGCTAATTTTTTTGTATTTTTAGTAGAGACAGGGTTTCACCACGTTGGCCAGGCTGGTCTCCAACTCCTGACCTCAAGTGATCCGCCAGCCTCAGCCTCCCAAAGTGCTGGGATTACAGGCAGGAGCCACCACGCCCGGCCGGCTTAGCCATATTTTAAACAGACTTGTGAAGAACAAGTGTTACGTGTCTAAGAAGAAAACGAAATTGTGTATTTGTAAAAATCACAAATGCAGCATCTTTACATGCAACAAACATACAGATAGTGTGCATGGCACCAGAAAGTCTCCAAGTCTTTACTCAAAACTTAACTTCAGGATGTTGGCTGAGGGAAGGGGGAAGCCAAACCCGTACTATTTTGCACTTAGGGACTTTGTTATGTTCATTTTCCCTTTACTCCAGAGGGAAAGAAGAGTCAGGGGGAGGAAAACGGCTGAAGGTGAATGGCCGTAGGGACAAAGGTCAGATTTGAAGTTCTCGTGGGGTGGAAAAGCCTGTTCACCCAGGAGCCCAACAGTTCCCAGCACATAACAGGTTATCACATTAATCTCTGCTGAATAAACGCGGGAAAGAAAGAGAAGACAGGGACAAGAAGGTTGGCGGGAGAGGGAAGCTGCGGGAGGATTTCGCGATCTGCAGTGGCTCCCAACGCCGCCTGCCCTGCAGAGGGTCCCGGGGAGCTTTGTAAAATGAAGACGCCCAGGTCCGCCCCAGTCAACTGAACTAGAATGGGATGGGGCAGGCACTGGAACCTTGTTTAAAATTCCCCAGGTGAGCCCAATGGACAACTGGAGTTAAGAACGCTTGAAGAACCCGACAGGAAGGATAGCACCCAAACCCGGCGGGGTGGATGCCATGCAGTTACCGGGCAGGAGAGCTCGGAGGGTCACGCGCAGGCCCTCCGGGGCCCTTGCGGCCGCTCCGGGCCCATGGCGCAGCGCGCGGGAAGTCCAGGCGGCCGACAGGGACGCAGAAAAGCGCAGGCGCGCGCCGCCGCCGCTGGGGGCGGCTGCCAAATCACTTGCCTCTCGGCGCGAGACCGCGATGCGCGGGGGCGGGAGCGTGATGATGGCATCGCGTAAGGAGAGGGTGTGAGAAGCCGGATCCTGTGGTGACCCAGTGGCCTAATGGATAAGGCATCAGCCTCCGGAGCTGGGGATTGTGGGTTCGAGTCCCATCTGGGTCGCGTGAGATTAGTTTTGGTGGAAGAGAGGGCGATCATTGGACAGTTGATTAAGAGATGGTTCTTGGCAGCTATCGTTATCACAAATAAAGAGGTGCTTTTGAGAGTTTTAAAAACACTGTCAGCGAATGGGTACTAAAATACGGTCAGACCTAGTGTTCGGTAGCACAGTAGGGTAATTATAGCTAACGGTAATTTACTGTATATTTCAAAGTAGCTAGAAGAAAATATTTGAAATGCTCCTAACACAAAGAAATGATCAGTGTTTGAGGTGACAGCTATCCCAGTTACCCTGATTTGATCATTACACATTATACGAATGTAACACAATATCACTTGTTATTCGGGGTGGGGTGGCTCACGCCTGTAATTCCAGCTCTTTAGGAGGCCAAGGCGAGAGAATCACTTGAGTCCGGGAGTTTGAGACCAGCCTGGGCGACATAAGGAGACGACACCACCCCCAACCCCAACCTCCCCAGAAAAAAATTTTAAAATTAGCAGTAAGTTATAATATGATTGGGCCACTGCACTCCAGCCTGGGTAACGGAGCGAGACCCTGTCTCAAAAAACAAAAACAAAAAAATTCAAAATCAATATGAAGTATCAATCTTTAAAAAGAATTTAAAAACCAGGCCATGGCTCATTCCTGTAATCCCAGCACTTCGGGAGGCCGAGGCGTCACCTGAGGTCAGGAGTTCGAGAACAGACTGACCAACTGTTGAAATACTAAATAGAAAAAATTAGCCGGGCGTGGTGGCGCATGCCTGTAGTCCCAACTACTTGGGAGGCTGAGGCAGGAGAATCGCTTGAACCCGCGAGATGGAGGTTGCAGTGAGCCAAGATTGCGCCATTGCACTCAAGCCTGGGCAACAAGAGCGAAACTCTGTCTCAAAAAGAAAAAAAAAAAAAATTAAAAAACCAAAATGGCCGGGCACGGTGGCTCACGCCTGTAATCCCAGCACTTTCGGAGGCCGAGGCAAAAAACACTGTCATTGAGAGCTTGCAAGTGAACACGAAATCTGACCCCTAAAAAGAAATATTTACTTAAAAAAAAAAAATTCTTGGCTGGGCACGGTGGCTCACACCTGTAATCCTAGCACTCTGGAAGGCCGAGGCAGGCGGATCACCCGAGGTCAGAAGTTCAAGACCAGCCTGGCCATGGTGAAACCCCGTCTTTACTAAAAACACAAAAAATTAGCCAGGCGTGGTGGTGCGCGCCTGTAATTCCAGCTACTCGGGAGGCTGAGGCAAGAGAATCGCTTGAACCGGGGAGGCGGAGGTTGCAGTGAGCCGAGATCACGCCATTGCGCTCCAGCCTGGGCAACAAGAACGAAACTCCGTCTCAAAAAAAAAATTCTTTTAGGCCGGCCGCGATGGCTCACAACTGCAATCCCAGCCCTTTGGGAGGCCAAGGCGGGCGGATCACCTGAGGTCAGGAGTTCAAGACCAACCTGGCCAACATGGTGAAATCCTGTCTCTACTAAAAATACAAAAATTAGCCGGGCGTGGTGGCGCATGCCTCTAATCCTAGCTACTCTGGAAGCTGAGGCAGGAGAATCGCTTGAACCCGGAAGCTGGAAGTTGCAGTGAGCCGAGAGCCGAGATGGTGCCATTGCACTCCAGCCTGGGTGACAGAGCCAGACTCCCTCTTAAAAAAATAATAATAATAAAAATAAAAATTTTAAAAAGTGTTTTTCCCCAGCATTATTGAGATATAATTGACAAATAAAAATTGCACACATTGAGGAAGCATTTATTCTTGCTTAACTTATACTGATTTTTAAAAGAAAAAGACCTTAGCAAACACAAACTGGTGACTAGACATGTGGCATCATCTCTTTTTCTGTCTACTTTTTTTTGTGTGTGTGAGACGGAGTCTCGATATTGTAGCCCAGGCTGCAGTGCAATGGCGCGATCTTGGCTCACTGCAACCTCTGTCCCACAGGTTCAAGCGATTCTGCTGCCTCAGCCTTCTGAGTTCTGTCTACTTTTTCAAGCTGAGATTAACAATGGGCAGCCACACTTACAAAACTTTGTCCCTATTCTTATCCCAAGGGACGTGTGAGCAGGTCCAACTGTGCTGGCCTCAGATTTCCAGGACGGTACCAAGGAAAGTTTACAGCAGAGTAACTGTGGAGTTACCCCATACAACTATGATAAACATAATTTATTGTTGCTGTCTTCAAAATATTATGAACAACAAATTGTAATTAGAACAGTTTGTGTGTTTGTGCATATGTGTGTGTGTGAGAGATCTGCAAATTAGTGAAATAAAAAAAACACACAATAATCAGAGTTTAAGCCTTTCAGACCAGTTCAGTTGACTAGCTTGAAAATTTTATTTATTTATTTATTTTTGAGACAGAGTCTTGCTCTTTTGCCTAGGATGGAGTGCGGTGCCATGATGGGGGCTCACTTCAACTCCACCTCCCAGGTTCAAGCGATTCTCATGCCTCAGCCTCCAGAGTAGCCTGAATTACAGGAATGCGCCACGACGCCTGGCTAATTTTTATATTTTTAGTGGAGATGGGGTTTCACCATGTTGCCCAGGCTGGTCTTGCACTCCTGACGTCAGGTGATCCATCCGCCTCAATCTACCAAAGTGCTGAGATTACAGGCATGACCCACTGCACCTGGCCTAGCCTGGACAGTTTAAACTCTTCTTGCACACTTGTACAAAAGGAACATCCACTGAGTTCATCACTACTCTTTAAAAACAACTAAACACTAAATGCAGTGTGGTATCCTGGGTTGAAGTCTGAAACAGAAAAGGATATTAGTGGAAAAAAAGCAGTGGACTCAAATACTGTACAGTGTGGAATTTCATTACTAGTAATGTACCAGTGTTGATTTCTTAGTTTTGACAAATATACATAGTGACGTAAGATGTTAACATTAGGGTTAAGGGATACACCAGAACTCTGCCCTACATTTGCAGCTTTTCTGTAAATCTGAATTTATTCCAAAATAAAAAGTGTATTAAAAGAAAACCCAACTACTAATAACCAGTGGAGAATTTTAACGGACACCTTTGTCCCTTAAGATTAGAAATTAGGCCAGGCGCGGTGGCTCACGCCTGTAATCCCAGCACTTTGAGAGGCCAAGGCGAGCAGATCACGAGGTCAAGAGATCGAGACCGAGCACTTAGTGCTGAATGTTTAAACCAGAAAGCATTAATAAATACAGAAGACCAAGAATAATTTCCAGTTCAATTTCTGGTAGGTATCTCAGAGTTGAATATTGGTGGCCACATTAGGTCCTTGGATGCAGTAGGTATTCAAAAAATCTGAACTGAGGCCAGGTGAAGTGGCTCATGCCTGTAATTCCAACACTTGGGGAAGCCGAGGCGAGAGGATCACTTGAGCCCAGGAGTTCAAGACCAGCCTGGGAAACACGGTGAAATCCCCATCTCAACAACAAAATTAAAAAAAAAAAATTAGCCTGGTGTGCAGTAGCACACACCTGTGGTCCCAGCTACTCAGGATGCTGAGGTCAGAGGATCCCTTTAGCCCAGGAGATTGAGGCTGCAGTGAGCTGTGTTCATGCCACTGCACTCCAGCCTGAGTAACAGAGCGAGACGCTATCTCAAAACAAACAAAACGGCCAGATGCAGTAGCTCACGCCTGTAATCCCAGCACTTTGGGAGGTCGAGGCAGGCAGATCACAAGGTAAGGAGTTCGAGACCAGCCTGGTCAATATGGTGAAAGCCCGTGTCTAATAATAATACAAAAATTAGCCGGGCATAGTGGCACGGTCCTGTAGTCCCAGCTACTCAGGAGACTGAGGCAAAAGAATCGCTTGAACCCGGGAGGCGAAGGTTACAGTGAGCAGAGATTGCGCCACTGCACTCCAGCCTGGGCGACAGAGTGAGACTCTGTCTCAAAAAAAAAAACAAAACAAACAAACAAAAAAAAACTAAACTGCATGGTCTCCTGTCCCCCACCTGCAGGCAGCGTCTGGAAATTACAGACAGTGACAATGTATCCTTGGTCCCTCAAATGCACAGATATTGGAATGTGCAGCCCCCAAGGCTGGGCACAACAAACTCATCCTGGGTTCTCTGCCCTTTGAGCTTCTGACAGCGGCTCAGTCCTCCACGGTGCTCATCTGCCTCTCCCACCTCCTTCCCCTCCTTTAGCCTCCTTGTGAGCCCAGCTCCTTCTCTCTGGAAGATGTTTCTAGCCTCACTCACCATAGTCCATTGAGCTGGAGTCAGCAAACAGTGATTGAGTGCCTTTACTTTGTCCCTCTGCTGGCTCTTGCCTCGGAGTCCAAAAACATTCTGCAAGGCTGGGCGTAGTGGCTCAAGCCTGTAATCCCAGAGTTTTGTGAGGCCGAGGTGGGCAGATCACCTGAGGTCAGGAGTTCAAGACCAGCCTGGCCAACATGGTGAAACCTGTCTCTACTAAAAATACAAAAAGTAGCCAGGCGTGGTCACACATACCTGTAATCCCAGACACTCAGGAGGCTGAGGCAGGAGAATCGCTTGAACCCACGAGGCAGAGGTTTCAGTGAGCTGAGATCACACCATTGCACTCCAGCCTGGGTGACAGAGCAAGACTCCGACACAAAAAAAACAAAAAAAGAAAAACATTCTGCAGGTTGCAGGTTCTCCACCCATTCCAAGCTCAGCCCCGGGCCTATGGCGCTTCTCACAAGTCCTGTTTGCCCTCTCTCCGAGCAGTCAGGCTGCATCATGAGTGTTGTCTACGTGTCCAGAGTCTCCTCTTCACTTGCTGTCCTCCCTCCACTGCCACCTGACACACTCCTCCCCAGCAGTGGCCTCTTCATAGACAAATTTAAGGAACACCTTTCAGTCCTTGTCTTGCTTAACTTAGCCCTGACATTTGAAACTCCTAACGAATCTTTCTTCTGGAAACACACTTTTTCTAGGCTTCCAGGAAATCTTTTTCTTGGTTCTCCAGACAACTCCTTAGACTCCTTGACCAACTCCCTCTTGTTGCCAATGATGGAAACAAACCAGCCCTACCTAAACAAAGCACATTATAACTCACTGGAAAGATAGAGGGGAGGGGGTGCCCACTAAACCACTAAAGAGACAGGAGGTGGGGAGCTGTAGGACCAGGTTTGGGAACCTGCAAGAATCAAGACCAGAGCCCCTGAAATAGCAAGAAGCTGGAAGCACAACAAATGTCAGAGCCAGATGGCCGTCACTGTAGTCAGCGCCTCTGATTGATTGTTTGTTTGTTTGTTTGTTTGTTTGAGATGGACTCTTGCTCTGTTGCCCAGGCTGGAGTGCAGTGGCAGGATCTCGGCTCACTGCAACCTCCATCTCCTGGTTCAAGCAATTCTCCTGCCTCAGCCTCCTAAGTAACTGAGACTACAGGCTCTCGCCACCATGCCCAACTAATTTTTTATATTTTTAGTAGAGACGGGGTTTTACCATGTTGGTCAGGCTGGTCTCGAACTCCTGACTTCAGCTGATCCACTTGCCTTGGCCTCCCAAAGTGCTGGGATTACAGGTGTGAGCCACCATGCCCGGCCAATTTTTGTATTTTTAGTAGAGATGGGGTTTCACCATGTTGGCCAGGCTGGTCTGAAACTCCTGACCTCAAATGGCCCACCCATCTCAGCCTCCCAAAGTGCTGGGATTACAGGCATGAGCCACCATGCCTGGCCACGTCTGATGGTTTTCATCATCCTCGGGCCACTTGCTCCTGAATCAAGGTTCCAGACAAAAATCTTACAATTAGTCCAGCTTTGGCCAGGCTCAGTGTGTTGGTTAATATTGAGTGTCAACTTGATTGGATTGAAGGATACAAAGTGTTGATCCTGGGTGTGTCTGTGAGGGTGTTGCCAAAGAAGATTAGCATTTGAGTCAGTGGGCTGGGAAAGGCAGACCCACCCTTAACCTGAGTGGACACAAGCTAATTAGCTGCCAGCAGAGCTAGAATATAAGCAAGCAGAAATATGTGAAAAGAGAGACTAGCCTAGTCTCCCAGCCGACTTTCTCCCATGCTGGATGCTTCCTGCCCTCGAATATCTGACTCCAAGTTCTTCAGTTTTGGAACTTGGACTGCCTCTCCTTGCTCCTCAGCCTGCAGACCGCCTTTTGTAGGACCTTGTGATCATGTGAGTTAATACTTAATAAACTCCTATAATACTTAATATACTTAATACTTAATAAACTCCTATATATAGTTCTGTCCCTCTAGAGAAACCTAACACACTCAGTGACTCACACCTGTAATCCCAGTACTTTGGGAGGTTCAGGAAGGAGAATGCCTTGAGCCCCAGAGTCTCCATCTCCTTCTCCCTCTCCTTCCCCCTCCCTCTCCCCTTCCTCTTCTTCCTCTTCTTCTTCCTCTTCCTCTTCTTCTTGTTTGAGATAAGATCATTGCCAAGGCTGGAGTGTAGTGGCACAATTGTAGTGGCACTGCTTCTCAACCTCCTGAGTGAGGATCACACCACCACACTCCTGCCTGGGTGACAGAGCAAGACCTTGTCTCTGAAAACAAACAATAAACAAACAAAAAACTCTGCTGTGATAGAGGTGAATTGTCTGTTTTATCCTGATAATTCTGCTTCCTTTATTCCCGTGGTTCTCAACTGGGCCAATTTTGCTCCCCAAGTAACATTTGGCAATATCTGGAGATTTGCAATTGTCACAGTGGAACTGGAAGGGGTTGCTATTAACATCTAGTGGGCAGAGGTCGGGGATGCTGCTTAACATCTTAAACCACACAGGACAGTCCCCCACAAAAAAATGATGATCCAGGCCGAGCGCGGTGGCTCACGCCTGTAATCCCAGCACTCTGGGAGGCCGAGGCGGATGGATCACCTGAGATCAGGAGTTCAAGACCAGCCTGAGCAACATGATGAAACCCCGTCTCTACTAAAAATACAAAAAGTAGCCAGGTGTGGTGGTGGGTGCTTGTAATCCCAGCTACTTGGGAGGCTGAGGCAGGAGGATCGCTTGAACCCAGGAGGCAGAAGTTGCAGTGAGCCGAGATCGTGTCATTGCACTCTAACGTAGGTGACAGAGCAAGACAATGTCTCAAAAAAAAAAAAAGATGATCCAGCCCAAAATGTCAACTGTGTCAAGGGGAAGAAACTGCCGTAAAGCCTTGGAAACAGGGATGGTATGATGAATTATTGATAGGCCACAGTAAAACATTTAGGGCCACATTGATTGTCCCTGTTTTAACGATTTCTTCTTTCTCCCCATGCACTTTCAGGGGCAAAGTAAGGACATAAGTCAAAGGTGGTTCCAAATAGACATCTGGGAATCTTAGGGTGTAATATGGCCCTCGTGGAGGCCCTTGCTGAGTTTAGGGCCTGATTCTGGAACCCTAGCATTGCCAAGAGAGGCAGGCTGCCAGGTGAGAAGACAAATAATGGGAGAGCCCAAATATGTTGGAATTCATTTGATAGTATCTAAGCTGGGGCGATTTTCCCCACTAGCATTACATGACTATGGATCCAGTTATTTGGAGAAATCCATTTCCTCCACAGGGAATATACATTACATTAGAACCAAAGATGGAATCCTTAGGAAATGGAATCATTTGGCAAAATTCAGTGGTCTGAAATGTTTGCATAAAATTCTCTTTTTTATTTTAATTGAGCCAGATAAATAAAGTATCAGGTGTTTGCTAGGGTCACCATTCATTGATTGGGTTGACTTTTTTTTTTTCCCCAGACACGGTCTTGCTCTGTTGCCCACACTGGAGTGCAGTGGCGTGATCTCAGTTCACTGCAACCTCCACCTCCTGGGCTTACCTCCCATCTCAGCCTCTCAAGTAGCTGGTACTACAGGTGTGCGCCACCACGCCCAGCTAATTTTTGTATTTTTTTGTAGAGATGGAATTTCATCATGTTTCCCAGGCTGGTTTTGAACTCCTGAGCTCAAACGATCCGCACGCCTCGGCCTCCCAAAGTGCTGGGATTACAGGCATGAGCCAACCATGCCTGCCCCTTAACACAGTATTTGAAATTATAATACTATAATGCTTTTAACATTTGCCAGGTTCCAGCATTAAAATGACAGTGAAGATGCAATTTTTTTTCTACTCTTCTAGGAAATCCCACAAAAGCAACAAGGGGGATGAGAATCAGAATCACAAAGACCGCTTCAGTGAAACTGGGGGATATCAGAAACTTCAAATAAAAGGAGAAAAAGGCTACAAAAACAGTGAAGAGGCTGGGCGCGGGGGCTCAACGCCTGTAATCCCAGCACTTTGGGAGGCCGACGCGGGCAGATTGCTTGAGGTCAGGAGTTCGAGACCAGCCTGGCCCACATTGTGAAACCCTGTTTCTCCTAAAAATACAAAAATTATCCGGGCATAGTGGCGGGTGCCTGTAATCCCAGCTACTTGGGAGGCTAAGGCAGGAGAATCGCTTGAACCTCGGAGGCGGAGGTTGCAGCGAGAAGATTGAGCTACTGCACTTCAGCTTGGGCGACAGAGCGAGACTCCGTCTCAAAACAAACAAACAAACAAACAAAACAACAACAACAACAACAACAAAACACCAATCCCTACCTCTGTTGGTGAGGATTGGAAGGGAGACGCGCGTGGCCACAGATCTTAGGGGTGACCAGCAGAGGGCGCTGCTCCAAGGTGAAGGTCGCGCCGTGAGAGGCCATCCTTTTTTGTAGTGACCAGACTGGGGTGTGCGGACAGTGCCTCTCACAGCGACAGACCCGTGTTCTGGGTGTGGATTTTCCTCCCTTGCCTGCGGGGCTTCTGCTAGCACTGCCGTTCCTAGACTTAGACAATGTTAGAATGAGTCCAGGAAGCGAGGAGAGGAGGTGGGAGTGGCTCCTCCCACTGTGGCCCCTAAGAATTCACATGAAGAATTTTTGTTTTCCTTGCCACGGACCCGGGACTGAGTGGGTCCAGAGGTCCTAGTGCCAAAGGAAGGAATGTGTAGATCAGGAAACATTATTGTGGTTTTATTCAACTGGAAGCCGAGGCTGGCCATTTATTTTATTGTTTGTTTGTTTATTTATTTATTTAGAGACAGAATCTCACTCTGTTTCCCAGGCTGGAATGCAATGGTGCAATCATGGCTCACTGCAGCCTCAACCTCCGAGGCTTAAGTGATCCTCCTACCTTAGCCTCCTGAGTAGCTGGGACTACAGGCACATGCCACCATGCCTTTTTTTTTTAGACGGAGTCTTGCTCTGTCACCCAGGCTGGAGTACAGTGGTATGATCATGGCTCACTGCAACCTCTGCCTCCGGGTTCAAGCGATTCTCCTGCCTCAGCCTCCGGAGTAGCTGGGATTACAGGCACGCTTCACTACACCCAGCTAATTTTTGTATTTTTAGTAGAGACAGGGTTTCACCGTGTCAGCCAGGCTGTTCTCATGATCCTGACCTCAGGTGATCCGCCCACCTTGGCGTCTCAAAGTGCGGGGATTACAGGTGTGAGCCATCATGCCCAGCCCTGTCCAGCTAATTTTTAAACTATGGGCAAGTATGTTGCCCAAGGCTGCTTTGGAACTTCTGGGCTCAACTGATTGTCTTTCCTCGGCCTCCCAATGTGCTTGGATTAGAAGCATGAGCCACCTTGCCCAGCTGAGGCTGTCCATTTAAAGTTCCTCATGCTGCTGAATCAATAAGGAGAGAAGGCGGCCACTATTATGGGCTAAGTGTTTGCATCCCTCCCAGATTCTTACGTTGAAGCCCTAACCCCAGCGTGATGGTATTAGAAGGTGGGGCCTGGCCAGGCACAGTGGTTCACGCCTTTAATCCCAGCACTTTGGGAGGCCGAGGTGGGTGGATCATGAGGTCAGGAGTTCAAGACCAGCCTGGCCAACATGGTGAAACCCCATCTCTACTAAAAATACAAAAGTTAGCCGGGTGTGGTGACGTGTACCTGTAATCCCAGCTACTTGGGAGCCAGAGGCAGGAGAATCGCTTGAACCCAGGAGGGGGAGGTTGCAGTGAGCCAAGACTGCACCACTACACTCCAGCCTGGCAACAGAGCAACACTCCATCTCAAAAAAAAAAAAAAAAAAAAAAAAAAGAAGAAGAAGGTGGGGCCTTTGGGAAGTAATTAAGCTTAGAGGAGATCATGCAGACAGTGCTCCACGATGGGATGAGTGTCTTTATAAGAAGAGACCAGATGACTGGGCACAGTGGCTCATGCCTGTAATCTCAGTACATTGGGAGGCCAAGGCAGGTGAATCACTTGAAGACAGACGTTTGAGACCAGCCGGGGCTACATGGTGAAACACCGTCTCTACTAAAAATACAAAAATTAGCTGGGCATGGTGGCACACATCTCTAATCCCAGCTATTTGGGAAGGTGAGGCAGGAGAATGGCTTGAACCCAGCAGATAGAGGTTGCAGTGAGCCCAGATCAAGCCATTGCACTCCAGCCTCCAGCCTGGACAGGCAGAGCATCTGAGATTCTCCATCTCAAAAAAAAAAAAAAAAAAAAAAAAAAAGAAGATGCTAGAGAGCCTTTCTTCTCTTTGTCCACCAAGTGAGGCAAGAAGGCAGCCGTCTTCAAGCTAGGAAAAGAGCCCTCACCAGCACCCAATCATGCTATCTACCTGATATTGGACTTCCTAGCCACCAGAACTGTGAGAAATCATTATCTGTTGTTTAAGCCACCCAGTATGTGGTATTTTGTAATAGCAGCCTGAGCTGACTAAAACCATCACTGAATTAGCCTCTGTATATATGATTAGCAAGAGGAAAATGGCTCTGTTACTTAAAAGAGGAAGGAGACTATGTCTGGAAACCAAAAATTCACTGGGGACACATCTTAGCAGGCTCTTGACCCTAAGACCTGGTTAATGGAAAAGTAGAGCAACCCAGTAAAAACAAGACCACCAAGAAGTCAGGTCTTATGGGAATAAAGTATTGGGTGTCCCTGTGAGGCATCCTTCAAAAGGGGACTGGAAGAAGTGGTGGAAGAAGGCAGCTATGATTATTGGCTGGGTGTGGTGGTTTACGCCTGTAATCCCAGCACTTTGGGAGGGTGAGGCGAGTGGATCACCTGAGGTTAGGAGTTCGAGACCAGCCTGACTAACATGGTGAAACCCTGTCTCTACTAAAAATACAAAAATTAGCCAGGCATGGTGGTGCATGCTTATAGTCCCAGTTACTCTGGAGGCTGAGGCAGCAGAATCGCTCAAACCTGGGAGGTGGAGGTTGCAGTGAGCCGAGATCACGCCACTGCACCCCAGCCTGAGCGACAGAGCAAGACTCTGTCTCAAAAAAGGAAAAAAAAAAAAAAGAAAGCAGATATAATTATCGACTTAGACTTCATGGCCATTTGTAGAAGGAGGCTTCTAACAGCTATGTTTTATGTTAATTGGCTCTTTTCTTTTTTCCTTCAACCTTCTTATTATTATTATTATTATTTTTTTTTTTTTTCTGAGACAAGAGTTTCGCTCTGTCGCCCAGGCTGGAGTGCAGTGGCGCCATCTCGGCTCACTGCAAGCCCTGCCTCCCGGGTTCACGTCATTCTCCTGCCTCAGCCTCCTGAGTAGCTGGGACTACAGGCGCCCGCCACCAAGCCCGGCTAATTTTTTGTATTTTTAGTAGAGACGGGGTTTCATCGTGTTAGCCAGGATGGTCTCGATCTCCTGACCTCGTGATCTGCCCGCCTCGGCCTCCCAAAGTGCTGGGATTACAGGTGTGAGCCACCGCGCCCGGCCTCTTTCAACCTTATATTAAGAGCACTGGCAGAAGCTATCAGTTTTGGTATCATGTAATTACTAGCTGTATAACCTTGGCCAAATTACTCAACCTTACTGTGCCCCAGTTACTCATCTGTAAAACAGGGTAATAGAAGTCTCAAGCTTGTAATTATGTTGTTATAAAGATTTAATACTAGGCCAGGTATGGTGGATCACGCCTGTAATCCCAGCACTTTAGGAGCCCGAGGCCGGTGGATCACCTGAGGTCAGGAGTTCAAGACCAGCCTGGCCAACATGGTAAAACCCTGTCTTTACTAAAAATACAAAAAATTAGCCAGGTGTGGTGGCATGCGCTTATAATCCCAGTTACTCAGGAGGCTGAGGCAGGAGAATCACTTGAAACTGGGAGGTGGAGGATGCAGTGAGCTGAGATTGTGCCACTGCACTCCAGCCTGGGCAACAGAGCGAGACTCCATCTCAAAAAAAAAAAAAAGACTTAACACTTTGAACAAAAGAAAAACATGATAATAAAAATAAAATTTAAAAAAGCCTTTAACACTTGGGCCAGGCATGGTAGCTCATGCCTGTAATGCCAGCATTTTGGGAGGCTGAAGAGGGAGGATTACTTGAGCCCAGGAATTCCAGACCAGCCTGGGCAACAGCAAGACTTTGTTTCTACTTTAAAAAAAAAAAAAAAGTCAGGTGTGGTGGTACACACTTGTGATCCCAGCTATTTGGGAGGCTGAGATGGGAGGATCCCATGAGCCTGGGAGGTTGAGGCTGCAATAAACCATGATCATACCACTGCACTCCAGCCTGGGCGACACAGTGAGACCCATCTCAAAAAAAAAACTATTCCCAACACTTAGCAGCTTAAAACAAAAAATATTTATTATTATTATTATTTGAGATGAAGTCTCGCTCTTGTCCCCCAGGTTGGAGTGCAAATGGTGCAATCTCGGCTCACTGCAACCTCCACCTCCCAGGTTCAAGTGATTCTTCTGCCTCAGCCTCCCGAGTAGCTGGGATTACAGGCACCTGCCACCACGAATTTTTGTATTTTTAGTAGAGATGGGGTTTCACCATGTTGGCCAGGCTGGTCTTCAACCCTTGACCTCAGGCGATCTGCCCGCCTTGGCTTCCCAAAGTGCTGGGATTACAGGCATGAGCCATCACGCCCGGCCAAAAACCATTTATTATATCACACTTTCTGTGGGCCAGGAATCTGGGAGGGACTTAGCTGGATGGTTCTGCTCAGGTCTCTCGGGATGTTTCAGTCAAGCAGTGGCCTGGAGCTGCACTCTTATCTGAAGACTCAACTGGCAGAAAATATGCATGCAAGGTCGCTCATTGGTTGTTGGCAGGCTGCAGTTTCTTACTGAATGTTGGCTGAAGACATCACTGGCTTGCTACATGGACATCTCCATAGACTGCTTGAATGTCCTCCCCACATAGCCAGAGTGAATGAGCTAAAAGAGAGACAGCAAGAACACACACACCCCAGATAAGAGTTCAGTCTTTCTAAGTCATATGAAAAAGATACTTGGACATGCATGTTTATAGCAGCACAATTCACAATTGCAAAAATGTGGAACCAGCCCAAATGCCCATCAATCAATGAGTGGATAAAGAAACCGTGGTGTGTGTGTGTGTGTGTGTGTGTGTGTATATATATATATATATATAATATATATATATGCATACAATGGAATACTATTCAGCCATAAAAAGAAATGAATTAATGGCATTTGCAGCAACCTGGATGGGATTGGAGACTTATCATTCCAAGTGAAGTAAGTCAGGAATGGAAAACCAAACATCCTACGTTCTCACTCATAAGTGGGAGCTAAGCTATGAGGATGCAAAGGCATAAGAATGACACAATGGAATTTGGGGACTCAGAGGGAAAGTGTGGGAAGGGGTTGACAGATAAAAGGCTATTAATTAGGTGCAGTGTATACTGCTCGGGTGATGGGTGCACCACAATTTCACAAATCACCACTAAAGAACTGACTCATGTAACCAAACACCAACTGTTCTTCAATAACCTATGGAAATAAAAAATTAAAAAAAAAAAGAGTTCAGTCTTTCTGTAATCTAATCTTGGAAGTGTATATTATCCTATCCTATCAGTCTTCCAGACCAACCCTGCTACAGGGTAGGTGGGGACTATATGGGATGTGAATACCAAAAAGTGGGCACACTGGGGGCTGGCTACTTGGAGGATGGTTACTACAAACTATATTTGTAATTTTTTTTTTCTCGAGATGGAGTCTTGCTCTGTCGCCCAGGCTGGAGTGCAATGGCATGATCTCGGCTCACTGCAACCTCCACCTCCTGGGTTCAAGTGATTCTCCTGCCTCAGCCTCCCAAGCAGCTGGGATTATAGGCATGCGCCAGCATGCCTGGCTAATTTTGTATTTTTAGTAGAGACGGGGTTTCTCCATGATGGTCAGGCTGGTCTACAACTCCTGACCTCAAGTGATCCCCCTGCCTTGGCCTCCCAAAGTGCTGGGATTACAGGCCTGAGCCACCACGCCCGACTATATTTGTAATTTTTTAACCACTGGAAAAAAAAAAAAGAAAGAAACAAGTATGGGAAAATACTAAGATCTGATAAAACTGGGTTATATTTGTGCAGCTGTTGATTACACTATTCTCTATAACTTTGAATGTTTTATAATAAAAATAAAAATATTTTCTCCTTAAAAATGTGCAGAGCATACCTCACATAATGTTGACAAATAATCCTAGAGACAATTATTTTTTTTTTTTTGAGACAGGGTCTCACTCTGTTGCCCTGGCTGGAGTGCAGTGGCACCATCTCAGCTCACTGCAACCTCTGTCTCCCAAGTTCAAGCAATTCTCCTGCCTCAGCCTCCTGAGCAGCTGGGACTACAGGCGAGCACCATGATGTCCGGCTAATTTTTGTATTTTCAGTAGAGACAGAGTTTCATCATGTTGCCCAGCTGGTCTCAAACTCCTGGCCGCAAGCGATCCACCCACCTTGGCCTCCCAAAGTGCTAGGATTACAGGCGTGAGCCACTGTGCCGGGCCAAATACATACATACATATATATATATATATATATATATATTTTTTTTTTTTTTTTGAGACAGCGTCTTGCTCTGTTGCCCAGGCTGGAGTGCAGTAGTGCAATTTCGGCTCACTGCAGCCTCTGCCTCGTGGGCTCAAGTGATTTTCATGCCTCAGCACCCGGAGTAGCTAGGACTACAGGTGCCCATCATCAGGCCCGGCTGATTTTTGTATTTTGAGTAGAGACGGATTTCACCATGTTGGCCAGGCTGGTCTCAAACTCCTGACCTCAGGTGATCCACCTGCCTCGGCCTCTCAAAGTGCTGGGATTACCGGTGTGAGCCACTGTACCTGGCCAAGACAATTTTAAGAAACAGGCACTCTCGGCTGGGCGCGGTGGCTCACGCCTGTAATCCCATCACTTTAGGAGGCTGAGGAGGGCGGATCACAAGGTCAAGAGATCAAGACCATTTTGGCCAACATGGTGAAACCCCATCTCTACTAAAAATACAAAAAATTGGCTGGGTGTGGTGGCTTGCACTTGTAATCCTAGCTACTTGGGCAGCTAACGCAAGAGAATCGCTTGAACCCAGGAGGCAGAGGTTGCAGTGAGCCGAGATCACGCCATTGCACTCCAGCCTGGGTGACAGAGTGAGACTCCGTCTCAAAAAAAAACAAAAACAAAACAAGGAGAAATAGTCCTTGTAAAGAAGGAAATTATAAGAAGGCAATAGACTGAAATGAACAAACAACAGGATGAACAAAAAAGGAAGCTGACTATTAATTCCTGAGCTTTCAACCCCTTACTGGGGCCAGGTGCAGTGGCTTACTCCCTTAATCCCTGGGCTTTGGGAGGCCCAGATGGGCAGATAGCTTGAGCCCAGGAGTTTGAGACCAGCCTGGGCAACAGGGTGAAATCCCATCTCTATTAATAAAGAAAAAAAAAAAAAAAAAGCGGGGGCGGAGGGAGGGGAGGGGAGAAAGGAAAGAAGATCCTTATTGGAAAGAGCAAAAGGCAGAACTGATGCTCCTGAAAATGAAATCAGCAACAAATGTACAAATTCCGGAATGTCTCCTAGAATAACGAGGAAAACCGAGTGTGGTAGGTTATGCCTATAATCCCAGCACTTTGGGAGGCCAAGGAGGTTGGATAGCTTGAGCCCAGGAGTTGGAGAACAGCCTGGCCAACATGATGAAACCCCATCTCTACAAAAAATACAAAAATTAGCTGGGTGTGGTGGTGCGTGCCTGTAGTCCCAGCTACTCTGGAGGCGAAGGTAGGAGAATCACCTGAGCCCCGGGAGGTCAAGGCCACAGTGAGCCTTGATCGAGTTTTGCCACTGTACTCCAGCCTAAGCAACAGTGAGACCCTGTCTCAAAAAATAAATAAATAAATAAATAAATAAATAAACAAGCAAATAAATAATAGTAGAGATAGAAGATAAAATGGAAGGCCGAAAGTAGAATATCAACACTGATAACATAACAAGGAAATATGAATATTTGTCAGATTCCTAAGGCAAAAACAACAGCCCAGGAGTGTGGATAAAAATAACCCTATATAGGCCGGGCGCGGTGGCTCACGCCTGTAATCCCAGCACTTTGGGAGGCCGAGGGGGGGCGGATCAGGAGGTCAGGAGATCGAGACCATCCTGGCTAACACGGTGAAACCCTGTCTCTACTATAAAAAAAATACAAAAAAATTAGCCGGGCGTGGTGGCAGGCGCCTGTAGTCCCAGCTACGCGGGAGGCTGAGGCAGGAGAATGGCGTGAACCCAAGAGGCAGAGCTGGCAGTGAGCCGAGATCGTGCCACCGCACTCCAGCCTGGGGGACAGAGCGAGACTCCATCTCAAAAAAAAAAAAAAAAAAATAGCTCTATATAATCCGTGTAAAATCAAATTTTTAGTTACTTGAAAGTAAAATATTTGAAATGCTCTCTAAAAATGAGGAATATTAATAAAACAAAGATGATGGCTATGATTAGTATTATTAACAAAGCTTAGAAAGCTTTTATTAAGGCCGGGCGCAGTGGCTCACACCTGTAATCCCAACACTTTGGGAGGCCGGGGCAGGCGGATCACGAGGTCAGGAGATTGAGAACATCCTGGCTAACACAGTAAAACCCCGTCGCTACTAAAAATACAAAAAAATTAGCCAGGCGTGGTGGCGGGCACCTGTAGTCCTAGCTACTCAGGAGGCTGAGGCGGGAGAATGGCGTGAACCCGGGAGGTGGAGCTTGCAGTGAGCTGAGATCGTGCCACTGCACTCCAGCCTGGGCAACAGAGCAAAACTCTGTCTAAAAGAAAAAAAAAGAAAAGAAAAAAGAAACCTCTTATTAATGCATGGCTGGGCGTGGTGGCTCACACCTGTGATCCCAGCACTTTGGGAGACCGAGGCAGGCGGATCACCTAAGGTTGGGAGTTCAAGACCAGGCTGACCAACATGGAGAAACCCCATCTCTACTAAAAATACAAAATTAGCTGGGTGTGGTGGATGTCTGCAGTCCCAGCTACTACGGAGGCTGAGGCAGGAGAATTGCTGGAACCTGGGAGGTGGAGGTTGTGGTAAGCCGAGATCGCGCCATTGCACTCCAGCCTGAGCAACAAGAGCGAAACTCCGTCTAAAAAAAAAAAAAAAAAAGAGCTCTTATTAATGCAATAAAAAAGCTAAATGAATATTTGAGCTGGGCGCAGTGGCTCATGCCTGTAATCCCAGCACTTTGGTAGGCCGAGGCAGGTGGATCACGAGGTCAGGAGTTCGAGACCAGCCTGGCCAATATGGGGAAACCCCCATCTCTACAAAAAATACAAAAAATTAGCCAGGCGTGGTGGCGTGAACCTGTAGTCCCAGCTACTCTGGAGGCTGAGGCAGAAGAACCCCTTGAACCCAGGAGACAGAGGTTGCAGCTAGCTGAGATCGCGTCATTGCACTCCAGCCTGGGCGACAGAACGAAACTCCGTCTCAAAAAAAAAAAAAAAAAAAAAAAAAAACAGGCTGGCGCGGTGCCTCACGCCTGTAATCCCAGCACTTTGGTAGGCCGAGGCAGGCGGATCACAAGGTCAGGAGAGCGAGACCATCCTGGCTAACACGGTGAAACCCCGTCTCTTCCAAAAATACAAAAAATTAGCCTGGCGTGGTGGCGGGCGCCTGTAGTCCCAGCTACTCTGGAGGCTGAGGCAGGAGAATGGCATGAACCCGGGAGGCCCAGCTTGCGGTGAGCTGAGACCGCGCCATTGCACTCCAGCCTGGGCGACAGAGCGAGACTCTATCTCAAAAAAAAAAAAAAAAAAAGTTCAGGCGCGGTGGCTCACGCCTGTGATCCCAGCACTTTGGGAGGCCGAGGCGGGCAGATCACGAGGTCAGGACATCAAGACCATCCTGGCTAACACGGTGAAACCCCGTCTCTACTAAAAAAATACAAAATAAATTAGCCGGGCGTGGTGGCGGGCACCTGTAATCCCAGCTAGTCGGGAGGCTGAGGCAGGAGAATGGCGTGAACCCGGGAGGCGGAGCTTGCAGTGAGCCGAGATCGCGCCACTGCACTCCAGCCTGAGCGACAGAGCGAGACTCCGTCTCAAAAAAAAAAAAAAGAAAAAGAGCTTAGTAGTTTTTCTAGACACCTACTAAAACCAGTCAGAAAATATAAAAGAAAAAATATGCTATCCACATTACATCAAAAATATAAAATACCCAGGAATTAAATCTAAGAAGAAATGTTTAGAGCTTAGACGAAGAAAATGATAATACCCTAGCCGGGCACGGTGGCTCACGCCTGTAATACCAGCATTTTGGGAGGCCAAGGCGGGGGGATCACTTTAGGCCAGGAATTTGAGAGCAGCCTGTCCAACATGTCGAAACCGGGTCTCTACTAAAAATATACAAATTAGCCAGGCATGGTGGTGTGTGCCTATGATCCCAGCTACTCAGGAGGCTGAGACAGGAGAGTCGATTGAACCTGGGAGGTGGAGGTTGCAGTGAGCCAAGGTTGCAGTGAGCCAAGATCGCACTACTGTACTCCAGCCTGGGCTACAGAGCCAGACTCCATCTCAAAAAAATTAAAAAAATAAAAAAATATACTGTCTATGTTAAAGATGATAGCTCAGATTTCAGATTTAGGAAGGGATGGATTTATCTGTCAATTGGATTAGACAACTTTCTGTTACTCAAGAAAAAATTAAAATTAGATTCTTACATCAGACTACAATACCAAAATAAATTCCAGATGGAATCAAGATTTAACTATAAGCATTATAAAAATATACGGAGATTTTATATATATATATATATATATATATATATATATGCGCGTGTGTGTATATATATGTGTGTGTGTGTGTGTGTATATATATATATATATATATATATATATATATATATATATATATATATATATAATTTTGATTTCAAGAAAGTCTTTCTCGGCCAGGCGCAGTGGCTCACACCTGTAATCCCAGCACTTTGGGAGGCTAAGTAGGGTGGATCACAAGGTCAGGAGTTCAAGATCAGCCTGGCCAACATGGTGAAATCCCGTCTCTACTAAAAATACAAAATTAGCCGGGCGTGGTGGAGCATGCCTGTAATCCCAGCTACTGGGGAGGCTGAGGCAGGAGAATTGCTTGAACCCAGGAGGCAGAGGTTGCAGTCAGCCAAGATGGCGCCATTGCATCCAGCCTGGGCAACAAGAGCGAAAATCCGCCTCAAAAAAAAAAATTTTTGATGGATTTTATGATACATAATTTTAAAGTTCTATGGCAAAAATCACTAAAAGGTTTTAACAAACAAAATTTTGACAGGAAATATTTGGAACATATATAGACAAACCATATGAACAGGCAATTAACAAAAGAAGAAATGCAAATGGCCAATAAATCTATGAAAAAAATGTAAAATTTCACCTGCCATTAAAGAAATGTGCATTAAAACGAAGATAATTTTTTTTTTTTTTTTTTTTCTGAGACGGAGTCTCGCTCTGTCACCCAGGCTGGAGTGCAGTGGCATGATCTCGGCCCACTGCAACCTCTGCCTCCCGGGTTCAAGTGAGTCTCCTGCCTCAGCCTCTTGAATAGCTGGGATTACAGGTGCATACCACCACACCCAACTAATTTTTGTATTTTCAGTAAGAGATGGGGTTTCACCATGTTGGCCAGGCTGGTCTTGGACTCCTGACCTCAAATGATCTGCCTTCCTCAGCCTCCCAAAGTATTGGGATTACAGGAGTGAGCCACTGCACCTGGCCCCCACCCCCATCTCTATTAAAATAAGAGAAAAGAAACATAAAATAACGAACCAACAAAATAATAATACAACTCATTGTAAGTAAAATGCTATCCTGAGTTCTGTGAGTCACTCTAGAGAATTCAAGTTCTCTAGAATTACCACCTCAGCTGGCTATTTTATTTTTATTTTTATTTTGTAGAGACAGTTTCACCATGTTGCCCAGGCTGGTCTTGAATTCCTAAACTCAAGTGATCCGCCCGCCTCAACCTTCCAAAGTGCCAGGATTACATGTGTGAGCCACTGCGCCTGGACTTCAAATTCTTTATTATACAACACAGAGTAGATGCTCAATAAATATCTGCTAAGCAGAAACACACACTCAAAATACCAGAAATTATCAAGGAAGGGAATGCCAGTTGGTCTCTTGGGTTCTTCCTCCTGACAGGTATACACACCTATTGCAGAGACAAACACTTAGGCTGTCAGAAACCAATACTGTTAAACATTCCAATCAGGTGACAAACTCCCCAGGCTCTGGTTTATATTACCAAGCACCCTGAGGATAACTTGGCTTCCTCTGTGGCTTGTTTATAGAAAGAGAATGCTACCCAGGCTGACATGAGTTTGCATTTCTGATTTGATTTCTCATTGTAAATTAATAAACTGGCATTCTGGCTACATAGATCAGTCTCTTTGAACTCTTTGTACCTTCCACCATTAGTGTGGTTTCTTTTTTTTCTTCTTCTTCTTTTTTGAGACGAAGTCTCGCTCTTGTCCCCTAGGCTGGAGTGCGATGGTGCGATCTCGGCTCACTGCAACCTCCGCCTCCCGGGTTCAAGCGATTCTCCTGCCTCAGCCTACCAAGTAGCTGGGATTACAGGCACCTGCCACCATGCCTGGCTATTTTTGTATTTTTAGTAGAGACAGGGTTTCACCATGTTGGTCAGGCTGGTCTCAAACTCCTGACCTCAGGTGATCCGCCCACCTCAGCCTCCCAAAGGGCTGAGATTACAGGCGTGAGCCACCGCGCCTGGCCCATTAGTGTGATTTCTAAGGCTCAAGCCAGACACTGCCCAAGACCCAGGACTGGACTCTGGCAGGTTCTTCCAGCTGGTGCCACCCCAGGAGCCTCTGGGAGCCCCTGGGAGCCATCCAGCCTGCTCCCTGCCTCTACATTTCAGGGTGTGGGTTTCAGGGCATTCACAACATTCCTGCAACAGAAGAGTTTCGGGAACACCCCCAATAGGTTCTGGGTGATTTGAATGTAATGGTAAGAAGGTATGTTAGAGATGTGGTTGTAACTGAGAAATCTTAAGCCTAGTGAATTTTATTCCACTTGACTTAAAGAAAGAGCACGTGAAAGAAGGGGATCTGAGGACATCTATAAACAGGGCCCCAAGGGCATGAATTTACTAGTGTTTATCTGGTCTTGTCTAGGGTCTGGAGACCCTGACTCTGGTATACCCAAGCTTTGCAGGGGCTGTAGAGGTTTACTCTTTTGGATGGAGAATATAATTCACTCCTCTAACACCTGAATGAGGGAAGATTAGCTCATCTCCTTAGCTGCAATTTGATTTAATGCTCAACAGGCAAATTTCTTTTCTTTTTTTTCTTTTTCTTTTTCTTTTTTTTTTTTTTTTTTTGAGACAGAGTCCTGTGCTGTTGCCCAGGCTGGAGTGTAGTGGCGCAGTCTTGGCTCACTGCAACTTCTGCCTCCTGGGTTCAAGCGATTCTCCTCCCTCAGCCTCCCAAGTAGCTGGGATTACAGGTGCCCGCCACCATGACTCGCTAATTTTTGTATTTTTAGTAGATATGGGGTTTTACTATGTTGGCCAGGCTGGTCTCGAACTCCTGACCTCGTGATCTGCCCACCTTGGCCTCCCAGAGTGTTGGGATTACAGGTTGAGCCACCGCACCCAGCCAGCAAATTTATTTTCTTTGATTTAATGCTCAACAGGCAAACTTCTTTCCTCCTCCTCCTCCTCTTCCTCCTCTCCTTCTTTTTTTTTTTTTTTTTTTTTTTTGAGACAGAGTCTCACTCTGTCACCCAGGCTGGAGGGCAGGGCAGTGGCGCCACACTGCAAGCTCCGCCTCCCAGGTTCACGCCAGTCTCCTGCCTCAGCCTCCTGAGTAGCTGGGACTACAGGCGCCCGCCACCACGCCCGGCTAATTTTTTGTATTTTCAGTAGAGACGGGGTTTCACTGTGTCAGCCAGGATGGTCTGGATCTCCTGGCCTCGTGATCGACCCACCTTGTCCTCCCAAAGTGCTGGGATTACAGGCGTGAGCCACCACACCTGGCCCTGCTCTCCTTCTTCTTCTTCTTCGTTCTCCTCCTCCTCCTCTTTTTTTTTTTCTTTTTGAGACAAAAGTCTCACTCTATCACCCAGGCTGGAGTGCAATGGCATAGTCTCAGCTCACTGCAACCTTTGCCTCCCAGGTTCAAGCGATTCTCCTGCCTCAGCCTCCTGAGTAGCTGGGACTACAGGTGTGTGCCACCACACCCTGCTAACTTTTTTGTAATTTTAGTAGAGACAGGGTTGCACTAATTTGGCCAGGCTGGTCTTGAACTCCTGACCTCGTGATCCGCCTGCCTTGGCCTCCCAAAATGCTGGGATTACAGGCGTGAGCCACTGTGCCTGGCTCCTCCTCTTTCTTTTCTTTCTTCTTCTTCTTCTTCTTCTTTTTTTTTTTTTTTTTTTTTTGAGACAGGGCCTCTCTCTGTCACCCAGGCTGGAGTGCAGTGGCACAATCTCGGCTCACTGCAACCTCCACCTCCTAGGCTCAAGTGATCCTCCCACCTCAGCCTCCCAAGTGGCTGGGACCACAGATGCGAGCCACCATGCCTGGCTAATTTTTGTATTTTTTGTAGAGACAGGTTCTCTCCATGTTGCTCAGGCTGGTCTTGAACTCCTGAGCTCAAGAGATCCTCCTGTCTCGGGCTCCCAAAGTACTGGGATTACAGGCATGAACCACCCTGCCTGGCCTCAACAGGCAACATTCTGATTAATAATTAGACCTCTGGGCCCGGCGTGGTGGCTCATGCTGTAATCCCAGCACTTTGGGAGGCCAAGGTGGGTGGATCACTTGAGGTCAGGAGTTTGAGACCAGCCTGGCCAACACGGTGAAATCCCGTCTCTGCTAAAAATACAAAAATTAGCCTCGCATGGTGGCATATGCCTGTAATCCCAGCTACTTGAGAGGCTGAGGCACGAGAATCGCTTTAGTCCGGGAGGCAGAGGTTACAATGAGCTGTGATATATAATGAAACAGTTTTACTAAGGAAGCAGTGACTTGGTTTCTCTAGAAATTGCCTAACACACACATTCCAGGATACATTCTCTGTCATCTGGAATCTCCCTTCCACAAACCCACGCTGTCTTAAGCACTATTTTCCTATTTGTTGTTGACCTAATCTAGAAAAAAGCTCCCGTCACTCGTTCTCCCCCACCCAGTCCCTCAGTCCCGAAACACGCTTATTCTCTGCACTTGTCACCCCACCCTTTGCTGCCCCCACCCCAGCGCGCAAACGCACACAGGTTTAAAGTTTAGGCTGTGATGCTCTCCTCGCCCGCAGATCACAGGACAGACATTCCCGGGGACAACTTTGCAAGGCCATGTGCTCGTCCTCCTTAGGAAGGAAGAGGGAGAAATCCCTGCGGCTCGGTTTTGTTCCAATGGTCTGCTCAGCGAGTGATTCCCGTTTCCCCAAAGGCTGCCCCTCATTAGCATGAACGGGGGTGGGGGTGTGGAGAAGGGGTTGGGGGAGAGAAAGCAAGCAAAAGACCAGGCTCACTTTTAGAGCCTGGGAACCCTGTCTGCAAAAATGACAGCTAGAGCTTTCTGGCTCCTCTGTTTGATCGTCGGATCATCCCCCGAAGCACCGGTGGCGGAGAGAAAAAGTAAGATTGGTGTAGTGCGGGGCCCTGGGAGCGGAGCGGGGATCTGTGGGGGGGAGCTGGGAAGGAGGCTCAGTGAAACGTGGGACGAGGAGGGGGGTCAGAGCTCGCAAGAGAGGACACCCCGGGTCTGCGTTCGTCTTATAAAGGAGCAAAGTGTGTCCCCAAGGTTTCGTGTCTCTTGGCAGCCTTTTCGGAAAGAAGCCAATTTAGCTACTGAAATGATCCCGAGCAAGCCGGGCAGGCTGGGGAAAACTTTGCATGTTAAGTAGTTGCTCCATCACGGAGGAGGGAAAGTGTCAAAAGGGGTCGTGGCGCGCCTTTCGGGAGCCGTGCCCGGGCCGGGCTCGCAGGACGCCGCGGGGTCCGCCCCCCTCGACTGGGTGAGCAGGGGCTGCGGGGGGCGCTGTGGAGGGCTGGGGGGAAGCGGGGCCGAAATCCGGCAGCCCCGGGCACTTTGCTCTCCCCGCAGCCCCAGCGCACAACCTTGGGACACCTGAGCCGGGGTTTAACTAACACGCACACACTCTTATACTTCATGCACGAAATGAAATTAAGTTACTCAGCCCGTGAAGAAATGAGGGGTTCTCTGGGGGATCGTGTTTTTGTTTTGCTTTTATTTGGATGTTCTGTCGGCTTCGCTATCTCTGGGAAAAACAGTTTCCGTACCTCACAGGGCAATTTACTCTGGGTTATTTTTCCACATGGAAATTGAATGACTTCAGTGGCATTTAACCCAAATATCAGACAATCTTTCCCATGACAACAGATGGTTATATCAATGGGGAAGCAGTTGTGAGGTCAACAGTTGACAGTCAGGAATTGGATATCCACCAGAACTTTATTCAGCTGTGCATGGCACAACCGTTTAACAACATAATGAGTCAGAATCAACCTCTTTGCAAAAACATGAACTCTAACCAGCTATTATTGCTGGGTGAAAGCTGATTTTAAAGCAGATTATCGATTTGGCAAGACTGATCAACTTTAAATGAAGTGTTGCCAGAGCTGCAAATGGGCAGATCCATCTCTTTAATGCAAGGGGAGAGAAAAATAAAGGCTAGTTCTTGCCTGTTTGGAGGGCACTGGGACCCAGGCAAGCAAGGAGGTGAAATTGTGTAACTGGTATGGAAAGGTGCCCAGCTCCCAAGCTGGCTGAGGTTTACTCACCAACCTGTCTGCAGAACTAGGGAAAATCATTAATAATTTTAAAAATTTGTTTTCATGCCATACCATTTAGGAGTCTTTCCTCCATCATCTAATGGGGAAAAAAATGTAAGCGACGTGTGCTTTTATACTTAACCAGGGGCCTCTCTGCCTCCCAGCCAAGCTTTTAAAACCTTCCTTAGCTGTGGTTTACCAGTAAGTGGTGTCCAAGAAGCCAGATAAAAATCCACTTACAAATGCTCGATTCTGCAGAGACCGGGATGACAGTGTAAACATGGATGGGAAAACCAAATAGTTCTGTTGTCAGGGGCGCTTAAAGAATTAGGAGAACCTGTAATATGAGACCTTTCCCCCTGGGGTTTGCTCTTGGTACTTTCTCAACAAACTGTAAATAGCAAAGAGGCGGATGTTTATATATGTTTTATATATATATATATATATACACACACACACACACACACACACGCACACGCACACATACACACATATACGTATATATTAAAGGAAGGGCAAAAAAGTTTGTTATCTAACCAGTGTTGTAAGACATGTTTAGTCTTAGAGTAAATAGGGGGTTGTAATTTTAAAAGCTATAATCTTAGAGGTCAAGACCCTCGTATCCTTCTTCCTTTGGGGCCTGGGAAGCGCGTGCCCCGCTTGGCCGCGACGCTGCGTCCGGGTTCTCCCTGCTTCACTTCCAGGCCTCCGGGCCTCCCTCCCATCTCTCCTCTTGCAGGTGCCTGCGAAGCCTCCCTTGTCCTCTATCTCCTCTCCCCCTCCCAGAGCCCTTCTTCTGCAGCGCCCCTGCCCCACTAGCGGCCTCCTCCCCTCCTGGCTTCCCTTCCCCTCTCGGCCTCCCGTCTCAGCCTCCCCTTCCCTCTTCTTCCTTCTCGGCTTCCTCGGCTTTCCCCGACGGCCTCCCCTCACTGCTTCTCCTCCCCCACCGCCTTCCCGCCTCTCCTCTTCTCTCCCCACAGCCTCGCCGCCGCACAGCAGAAAGCCGGACTCCCGCGGCTGCCCGAGCGCGGAGGAGACACCGGGGCCCCGCGCGCAGCCACTCCTTGAGGCCCCGCAGCGGCCGCGCGCGGCCGAGGTCGCTCCCGCCGCCCGCGCCTGGCCTGACCCGCGCCGCCGGAAGCCCCCACCGCCGGCCGACAACCAGGCCAGCTTCCGGGAGGCCGCACGCGCGCCCGCTGGCCCGCCGGGCCCGCGCCTGGCGCAAGCCGAGAACCGCGCGTCGCCGCGCCGCGAGCCCGCGTCGGAGGACGCCCCGCGACGCGCGCGCTCACGGGCCCTGCGCTTCCCCGCCGCCCGGCCGCCCGCGCTCGCCACCGAGGGCTCCGCCGGCCACGCCCACCCCAACCGGCCGCGCGCCGCCGCGCTGGCCCCGGGACCCGCGCCCGCGCCGCCGCCGCGCTTCAGCCTCAGCTTCGGCCTCAGCCCGCCGCAGAGGGACGCGGAGCCCGGCGCTGAGCCCTGCGCGCGCGCCTGCCGGTCCGATCTGGACGAACGCGAGGCGTTCTGCGAGAGCGAATTCGGTGAGCCCGGCCGCCGCGCCGCCGCCCCGCCGCCCCGCGAGCCTTTCCGAGCCCCGGAGAATCCGCCCGCGAGATCCCAGGGCGCCTGACCCGTGCGGGCCGTTTCGCGGTTGCTAAAAACCACCTCCTGGGGGACTGGGAGAGGAACTCGGGGTAATGCTCTTCTCCAAACTGTTTTTCGGAAGCAGCGGTGAACGGGATCGTGCACGATGTGGACGTGCTGGGCGCGGGCATCCGGCTGGTGACCCTGCTGGTGGATCGGGACGGGCTGTACAAGATGAACCGCCTGTACCTCACCCCCGACGGCTTCTTCTTCCGAGTCCACATGTTAGCCCTGGACTCCTCCAGCTGCAATAAGCCGTGTCCAGAGTTTAAACCTGGTATTGAAACTGACCTGAATGACGCTGCATATGTACTTTATACCACCGTTTGTAACGTGGGTGCCACAGCCCGGGCTGTAGGTCGCCCAGCCTTTTTTTGGGAGCGATGGGAAACAATGACATGAATGGGATTTAGACGACAGGTATTATTCCGGCCACTCTGTGATTTAAGCCCTGTCAGCCCCCACCCTCAAGGGTGAGAACAGCAAGGGTTGGCACAAAGCGGGCTGTCAATAAATAGATGTTGACAAATGGGGTGGACGACCAAACACCATTGCCAGAAGGGACTGTACAGAACCGAGTTTAGAAAAGCTGCTTTTTTGGGTGTGTATGTGGGGTTGGTAGCGGGGAATACCCACTCCCACATCTTTCTAGACATGTGCTCTGGGAAATCCTGATAGATTGTGATAAGGACCTTTGTTCTGTAATGTGGTCCGGTTACATACTGCTTTTTTTTTTTTTTTTTTTTTTTTTTTGAGATTGAGTCTTGCCCTGTCGCCCAGGCTGGAGTGCAGTGGTTCGATCTCGGCTCACTGCACCCTCCACCTGCCGGGTTCAAGCGATTATCCTGCCTCAGCCTCCCAAGCAGCTGGGGTTACAGGCATGCGCCACCACGCCCTGCCAATTTTTGTATTTTTAGTAGAGACGGGGTTTCACCATGTTGGCCAGGCTGGTCTCAAACTCCTGACCTCAAGTGAGCTGCCCACCTCGGCCTCCCAAAGTGCTGGGATTAAAGGCGTGAGCCACCACACCGGCCTGGTTGGTTATCTTGTAAAGGTGGCTAGGCTGTTTCCACCAGATGCCTGTAGACTCAATATCAGTTTCAACTTGTGCAGCAAGATAATAGATTGCAGCTTAGGCGTTTCTTAAAGGCCTTACATTTTCTGTTTCATGGCATTTAAAAGACACTATGAATTAATGTTCTGGTTATTTTGTCCAGGCAGCAGGTATATTGTGATGGGCCACATCTACCATAAGAGACGGCAGCTCCCTACAGCTCTGCTCCAGGTCCTGAGAGGCCGCCTCCGTCCAGGGGATGGACTGCTAAGGAGCAGCAGCAGCTATGTGAAAAGGTTTAATCGAAAAAGGGAAGGGCAGATTCAAGGTGCAATTCATACCCAATGCATTTGAAACAACCATCCTGGCATTTCTGGACCGCAAGAGACTTGGACGTCGGCAACAAGACATGAAAGGTCTACCTTCATGTAATGGGTCCTCCTTCAGAAGAGAGCCCTCAGCTACTCTGTGAATGACTTGCATAGCTGCAACTGTAATCTCGAAGGTGTCACTTTGTTATTTACAAGATGCTTCTTAAATGGGCTGCTCCTGAGCTCAGTGTCAAGGTGATTCAACTGTAGTGCCAGACAATGATTTACACAGCTCAGATAATTGACCTGTCCAGTTAACAGATCATTGCTTCATAAGTTTTTAAATTATTTTAATTTAATATTCTTTAGTAGAAATAGTCCACAAAAACATTTTCTTGAATTTAAATATACAACTTTTATATCATGTATCAAACCAGATTTTATATTCAAACGATCACATTTTAAATTCTGTACATAACAGTAAGCGCACTAGTCAAAAGACATTTATGTTTGAAATGTCATTTAGATCAAACACAAGGGTCAAAGCCCAGGACAAGTATTAAAGTTTTATACTTAAAGAGTACTAAAGGGCCAGTGTGCAGATGGGTGGATTAAAAAAATAAATAAAATAAAAAATAGTACTAAAGGGCTTACTTCAGGCAAAAGTGTTCCTGACGTACCAAAAAGTAAGATATAGTTTATTTTCATGCCTCCCTGCTCCTAGTAATGTATGTTTTGTGCTGAACTGGCAGCTATCCCAATGTGAAATGTATTTTGGATGTATCTGGTGTCATTTTTCTATTAAGACCAAGTATAATGTTTGTTTGTAAAGCAATAAATCTTGACTTGAAATCAGATCTTGGATGCACCTGTTTGTTTTTGTTTTAGCCTTACTGAGCCCTAAAGGTTTGAGAAAAAGGCTTTCTCAAATTCATTCCCCAAACCTTGGAACCAATATTCACCAATGACGGCTCACAAGCAAGCGAATTTTAAACATTTTTCAGTTGGTTTTAAAAAGGTTTAATTGGCCGGGTGTGGTGGCTCATGCTGGTAATCCCAGCACTTTGGGAGGCCGAGGCCAGCGGATCACCTGAGGGTGGGAGTTCGAGACCAGCCTGACCAACATGGAGAAACCCCCGTATCTACTAAAAATACAAAATTAGCCGGGCGTGGTGGTGGGTGCCTGTAGTCCCAGCTACTTGGGAGGCTGAGACAGGAGAATCGCTTGAACCCGGGAGGTGGAGGTTGCAGTGAGCCGAGATCACACCACTGCATGCCAGCCTGGGCAACAGAAGCGAAACTCCATCTCAAAAAACAAACAACAACAACAAAAAAATGGTTTAATCACTAGCTAAATTAAATATTGATTTTATACTTGAGTCCACAAAAGAGTATTTTTTCGGAAGATCAGGCTGTACTTTAGTTTATATGAAGCATGGTGAACAGAGACACCACTAATGCATAGATGAAGATGACTGCCTAAAGACAGAAAGGAATCTTCACTGGAGAGAGAACAGCCTATTTGGCCTCACAGTGATGCACTCAGGAAGCTCAGAATGTGTCCTGACACTGTCCATGGCACACAGTAGTAGCACTGTGCACCTAAAGGACATCCAGGATGGGACGCTAGGGAATCACAGGAGCCAAGAAGCAATAGCCCAACATTACAATATCTGATACTATTATTTGTTCCAATTATGGGGCATACAGGTAATAAAGGGTTGAGAGGTTCTGAGTGTTCCATGGTAAAGCACTACTGAGGGATTTTTCAAGTATTTTTCAAAAATGAGTTTTGTCCAAACTTATAAATTTTACTAGAATCGCTTTTTGGGAGTCAGCAGCATTATTACATGAACTATTGGTGATAGAGTACATAGCTAATGAAGACTTCCTGAGTTAGTTTTCTTTAAGATAAAAAACTAACTCGGGCATAACTCAGGCCAGTCAAATCAAAGTTGAATTTTTAAATGTCTAAAGGCTAGGCCAGGCGCGGTGGCTCACTCCTGTAATCCCAGCACTTTGGGAGACCGAGGTGGGTGGATCTCAAGGTCAGGAGTTCGAGACCAGCCTGGACAACATGGTGAAACCACATCTCTACTAAAAATAGAAAAATTAGCTGGGCATGGTGGCGGATGCCTGTAATCCCAGCTCCTCGGGAGGCTGAGGCAGGAGCATCGCTTGAATCCGGGAGGCAGAGGTAGCAGTGAGTCGCGATTGTGCCATTGCACTCCAGCCTGGGAAACAGAGCAAGACTTCATCTCAAAAACAAACAAACAAACAAAGGCTAAGTGGTTATCTCGAATAATGTGGTGGAGACAACTACAAGATGACCAAATAGGGCCGGGCGCGGTGGCTCACGCCTGTAATCCCAGCACTTTGGGAGGCCGAGGCGGGCGGATCACGAGGTCAGGAGATCGAGACCATCCTGGCTAACACGGTGAAACCCCGTCTCTACTAAAAATACAAAAAATTAGCCGGGCGTGGTAGCGGGCGCCTGTAGTCCCAGCTACTCGGGAGGCTGAGGCAGGAGAATGGCGTGAACCCGGGAGGCGGAGCTTGCAGTGAGCCGAGATCGCGCCACTGCACTCCAGCCTGGGCGACAGAGCGAGACTCCGTCTCAAAAAAAAAAAAAAAAAAAAAAAAGATGACCAAATAGATAAGTTATTGGTTGGATGCTCAGATGTTAAAACAAAGAGAAAAGTTATAAATAGTTCTGGAATATTTTTTCGAGACGGAGTCTTGCTCTGTCACCCAGGCTGAAGTGCAGTGGTGTGTGATCTCAGCTCACTGCAACCTTCACCTCCCAGGTTTAAGAGATTCTTCTGCCTCAGACTCCTTAGTAGCTGGGGATTACAGGTGCCCAGCACCATGCCTGGCTAACTTTTGTATTTTTAGTAGAGACAGCATTTCACCATGGTGGCCAGGCTGGTCTTGAACTACTGACCTCAAGTGATCCAACCCCCTCGGCCTGCGTGTGTTGGAATCACAGGCGTGAACCACTGCGCTGGGCTGATTTTTTAATTTTAGTCTGTATCCTGCTGAAATAACTCTAGTTTAAAAAAGGTCCAGGTGTAATGGCTCATGCCTGTAATCCCAGCACTTTGGGAGGCCGAGGCAGGATCACTTGAGGCCAGAAGTTTGAGTCCAGACTGGGCAACATAGCAAGACCTCATCGCTACAAATAATAAAAAAATTAGCCAGGCGTGCTAGCGTGTGCCTTTGGTCCCAGCTACTTGGGAGGCTGAAGTAGGAGGATGGCTTGTGCCCAGGAGGTCAAGGCTGCTGTGAGCTGTGCCACTGCACTCCAGCCTGGGCAACAGAGCAAGACCCAGTTTCCAAAAAAAAAAAATAATAATAATAAAGAAAAAGGAAAAAAATAACTTTTACATAATCCTGAAGCTTAAGTTTAGGGTTTGACTTAGATTGGTTTGATAATAGTCCGTTTCTGGGTAATTCTGGAAACAAAAAAAGTGCCAGAGCTGTGATACCTGTGATACTTGGAGGTCACATAGTTAACATGCACACCTTGGCAAACACATGCAGGCCAGATTCTTAGAAACTTCCTGGCTAAACATTAAGGTCTTCATTCAAAACCAGGTCTGTGTCGGGCGCAGTGGCTCACGCCTGTAATCCCAGCACTTTGGGAGGCCGAGGCGGGCAGATCACTAGGTCAGGAGATCGAGACCATCCTGGCCAACATGGTGAAACCCCGTCTCTACTAAAAACACAAAAAATTAGCCTGGCGTGGTGGCGGGCGCCTGTAGTCCCAGCTACTCGGGAGGCTGAGGCAGGAGAATGTCATGAACCTGGGAGGCGGAGCTTGCAACTTGCAGTGAGCCAAGATCTCGCCACTGCGCTCCAGCCTGGGTGACCACGCCTGGCCAATTTTTTTGTATTTTTAGTAGAGACGGGGTTTCACTGTGTTAGCCAAGATGGTCTCGATCTCCTGACCTCGTGATCCGCCCACCTCGGCCTCCCAAAGTGTTGGGATTACATGCGTGAGCCACCGCGCCCGGCCTCAATGCCCGGCTAACTTTTGTCCTTTTTTTGAGATGGCATCTCACTCTGTCACCCAGGCTGGAGTGCAGTGGCGTGATCCCGGCTCACTGCAACCTCTGCCTCGCGGGTTCAAGCGATTCTCCTGCCTCAGCCTACCGAGTAGATGGGATTACAGGCGCCCATCACCACGCCCGGTTAATTTTTGTATTTTTAGTAGAGATGGGGTTTCACCATGTTGGCCAGGCTGGTCTAGAACTCCTGATCTCAAGTGATTCACCTGCCTCGGCCTCCCAAAGTGTTAGGATTACAGTTGAGAGCCACCATGCCTGGCCTTTTGTACTTTTAGTAGAGACGGGGTTTGGCCGTGTTGCCCAGGTTGGTCTTGAGCTTGTGGCCCCAAGTGAATCACTCACTTCAGCCTCCCAAAGTGCTGGGATTACAGGCATTAGCCACTGCGCCCTGCCAATTTGATGGAAAATTTTAATGAGCAAATGCACTATAGTTTCTTATAATCTTGTCCCATTGATAGATTTTTCTTAGCAAATGGGTTTGTGCCTATGTGCACACATTAATAGTCCCTAAATGGAATACTCTCTTGCCTTCAGTAGTAATTCAATAGCATCCCTCCTTCAAATGAAGCTATTATTTTACAATTCAAGGGAAAAAAGTACTTGTTTTTCTTTTTTTTCTTTTCTTTTTTTTTTTTGAGACGGAGTCTCGCACTGCGGAGTGCAGTGGCACAATCTCAGCTCACTGCAAGCTCCGCCTCCCGGGTTCACGCCATTCTCCTGCCTCAGCCTCCCGAGTAGCTGGGACTACAGGCGCCCGCCATCACGCCCGGCTAATTTTTTTTGTATGCTTAGTAGAGACGGGGTTTCACCGTGTTAGCCAGGATGGTCTCAATCTCCTGACCTCACAATCCGCCCGCCTCAGCCTCCCGAAGTGCTGGGATTACAGGTGTGAGCCACCGCGCCCAGCCAAGCACTTGTTTTTCTTTGGGTAGGAAAACGTCTATAAAACACATACACTGTTTGTTTGTTTATTTATTTATGTGAGACTGAGTCTTGCTCTTGTCACCCAGGCTGGAGTGCAGTGGCACAATCTTGGCTCCCTGCAACCTCCACCTCCTGGGTTTAAGCGATTCTCCTGCCTCAGCCTCCCAAGTAGCTGGGATTACAGGCACCCACCACCAGGCCCGGCTACTTTTTGTATTTTTAGTAGACACAGGGTTTTGCCACATTGGCCAGGCTGGTCTCGAACTCCCGACCTTGTGAGCCACCTGCCTTGGCCTCTCAAAGTGCTGGGATTACAGGCGTGAGCCACCACGCCCGACCCATAGCTCTTCACAACTGCCTTGTAAAGAAAGCATCATTTGGCACTGTTAGTATTTCTCTTGAATTTTTTTTTTTTTTTTAGACAGAATCTCGCTCTATCGGCCAGGCTGGAGTGCGGTGGCACCATCTTGGCTCACTGCAACCTCCGCCTCCCGGGCTCAAGCAATTTTCCTGCCTCAGCCTCCCGAGTAGTGGGATTACAGGCATGTGCCACCACAGCCTGCTAATTTTTGTATTTTTAGTAGAGACGGGTTTTCACCATGTTGGCCAGGCTGGTCTCGGACTCCTGACCTCAGGTGATCCGCCCGCCTCGGCCTCCCAAAGTGCTGGGATCACAGGCATAAGCCACCGCGCCCGGATAAAATCATTTTTAAGGCTGACCATTCACACATAGAAACAAACTCATAAAAACTGACCTGCCACCTATAATGCATCACCTCAATTTCAGGAAATATTTGAGCAAGCAATAAATAAATTAGATAAAGCAGGACATTAACATTTTAAAAATATAGCTAATTTTAGTTGAAAATATAGCTAATTTCTTTAGTTGAATTTGGTTCAAATTGGATCAAGCGGTATGATCTTCTGAGAAAATCTTCTAGTATCTCGCTCCAAGTATCCAGAAGTACCTCAGAATGTTTCAAATTATTAAAAATACTTCTCAGCTGGTTCTTACCCCCACCTCCTCAAGTACTTCATTACTTTATCCATGAAATATCACCATTCTCACATTAAGGACAAGAAGTCTGAGACCTACGGTAATAGCTTCAATCATGAAGAGCGAAAGCTGTAATAACCATGTAGCTTTGTCTAAGTGTGCAGAGATCTGAAAGGCCACCAGGTTGGCTCTTTAACATAAAGCAGCAGAGAGTTTGCCTAAAGGAATTAACAGAAATAGGGAAGTAACTTTTATTTGCAGATCCTAGGAAGGTAGATTACAAACAACAGCAAATCTTAGTGTCTCTAAATAACACTCTAGGCCATTTGAAATATAAAAAGGTAATTATTTTCCTTCAGAAAATATCTCCAAAAGCTCACTTTTTTTGAGACGGAGTCTCGCTCTGTCACCCAGGCTGGAGCGTAGTGGCACAATCTCAGCTCACTGCAACCTCTGCCTCCCGGGTTCAAGCTGTCCTCCCACCTCAGCCTCCTGAGTAGCTGGAACTACCGGCGTGTGCCTCTTGTCCAGCTAAATTGTTGTATTTTTAGTAGAGACAGGGTTTCACCATGTTGGCCAGGCAGGTCTCTCCAACTCCTGACCTCAAGTGACCCACTTGCTTCAGTCTCCCAAAGTGCTGGGATTATAGGCGTGAGCCACCATGCCCAGCCACAATTTTATTTAAACCTCCTGCAGAATTTGGATAGGAGAATAAAAGCTTTACCAATAGGAAAATACTTTTCATGAAATGGTTTCAAGGATTGTGAACTTGGCAGGTAAAGTATAACAGGTACTGAAAATACTTTTAGCCAAGGAAATCTATTGATGCAAATTAAATGTATTTATAAGCCCAAGGCCTGGGGTAGAAACATCCTAAGAATATCACAAATGTACAGTTTACTGCCTGAATTATTGGAAGCAAAATAGCTGTATTATGTAGATCTTTCTGAATAGCAGAAGCTTGTCAAAGATTTCTGCTTGTCACAGAAAAGCAGCTTTTGGAATTCATTATGTTCTATAAGAATGTATGGTTTTCAGGCCAGGCGTGGTGGCTCATGTCTATAATCCCAGCACTTTGGGAGGCCGAGGCAGGCGGATCACCTGGGATCGGGAGTTCGAGACCAGCCTGACCAACATGGAGAAACCCTGTCTCTACTAAAAATACAAAATTAGCCAGGCGTGGTGGCGCATGCCTGTAATCCCAGTTACTTGGGAGGCTGAGGCAGGAGAATTGCTTGAACCCGGGAGGCAGAGGTTGTGGTGAGCCGAGATGGCATCATTGCACTCCAGACTGGGCAACAACAGTGAAACTCCATCTCAAAAAAAAAAAAAAAGAAGTATGTTTTTCAAAAATTACTTCTGAAGGACTAAAGCTCTGTAGTTGATGAAACTATAAAATGTCTATGTATTTGTATGGTGATAGAAACTATACAACACTTTATACCGTTAAATACACATATGAAATTAACATCTTCCTGGTTTCAGATTTCCATAAAATTTATCCTTTTTGTACAATTTGGCAAGGCTAACAGCTATAGAAAACATATTAACCAACCAACCATTGCTTCATTAGAAACTGCACCAAATCCAATGTCAAAAACATTACTTTATTTTTCTAGGATGAAATGTCCTATTACGTACAAAAGAATTGCTGTTTAGAATTTGCCACAATTTGTTAAAAACATAGCAATCTATTGCCTACAGGTAGGAAAGTTCTTGCTGCAACAAATTTTAAATGATTAAGCCCATATATATTTATATATATGAATAAATAGTACAGAAATACTGTGACGTGATGAGATGCAGAATAATTTTATAACTCATTAAAATGTAGAATTCTTGCATCAGCACAGTGCATACAATATGTAACATTTTTTAAAAAAGTAAAAGGACAAAATAACCCATATTTAACTACTTCCATCTTAATACTTTAAGCAAAAATTTTTTCATGTTTTCATATTGAGCGATTAGTCTTTAGTTTGTAAGCATAAGTTTAAGTGACATCTTTATGTACAAAAAGGAATGGGCTTCATTAGATAAAATTAACCCAGAATAACCTGTACACCTGAGCCTGTAATAAGAAAGAATCGGGAACTGTAGCAACATCTTTCTTTTAAGAAACTGAGGTCTGGGAAAGGTTTTGCATAGCAGGGAAACATTAAAAGGAAAGAAACTTTGAAAAACAATAATTAGATAAATTCCAGAAGTTGGTAGGACAAAGCTAATATGAGTTAGTGCAAAATCTAGTAAAAATTTTTGCAAAGCTGCATAATCCAACTATGGCAGATTTTATAGAAGCTATTACCACAATGCAGTGATACAACGTGTAAGAACACTGAAAGGAAAAACATGCAAAATACATCTTCCTCTGTGGTTTCCATTTTCTCGCTACTGTTTACACTACTTTTCCTTACGTGGAAGAAACAAACAAACCAACAAACAGAAAACAAACCCAATCAACAAATAACACAGAGGATGAGGTCATCTAAAAAATGCCCTTCATAAAATATAAGTAGCTGTGTGTAATTGGTAATTTGCCTGGTATCACAGAATGTACAGATGAAGGCAATGTGTATCTTGTCGCATTACCGTTCTCGTTAGTATGATCAACTGATGCAACAGGATTAGCACCCCTGAAGATTTTTCTCTGACGTGATGACAATGGACTGGGAATGATAAAACGAGGGGCCACTGCTGTCCTGGAGAAATCCAGGCACAATTAGACTCTTCTGCCTTTCATGACCTTGCAGGCCTCCCTCCCCACAAAGGCTTACAGATAATCATTAGCGCACATTCAAAGACACCTCTGTCTGTGGGAGAAAAATTATCTCCATTTATTTTGTTTCATATACATCCATAGTTGAATTTTAATACAAAAGAAAAAAATTAGAATCTGACAAATGTTTACAAACAAGATACCTTCAAATAGATTTTACTCATTTTAGCCTGGTGCAGAGTAATTGACAAATTGTACTGTTATATTCAAGGCAACAGAGTCTGTAGTCCAGGACCACTTAGCCCAACCTTTATGCAAGCTTAATTTTAATCTACCATGAACAATAAACTCATTGTTGATTCCCAGTTGTGTGTGTGTGCACATGTGTACATAGCAGCTCCTTTCATAGAAAGAAAAGACATCTAGAGGTCGTCTTGTACTTTTACCTACAGGAATCATGATAAGATACAGATGATTATATGTAACCGGGGCTGGATTTTATAAGAAAAAATAATTAGCTGACAAATGAGGGCAGCAATAAAAAAGCGTCTTTTTTGCAACAATAAATAAATACAGTCAAAAGTTTTCTGTGAGACTCTAAACCAGCTTCTTCACTGAAGAGCAGACGTGGCATTTCCATGGAGTTACACTTGACCCCATAGTATCTTTTTTTCTTGCTTTCTTTTTCTTTTTTTTTCAATAAACAAAGTTTTCTCGCTTCTGCCACAATAGTAAAACCATCTGATCTTGACAAGATAATGGTGTCGTTGACTTTGCTTTTTTCTTGTCCGTTGGACAAAATTGGCCAAGAATATAATTGGACTGTTATGACCAATAAAAACGAAGTTTAGGTCAAGTCTTGTCAGGATAGCCTGACTAAAAACATCTGGCTCCTTAATTTAAAATAGTTCAGACAACCAGATTCTTGCTGTGTTTTATGTTAGGTTAACACGCTGAACTTTAAGAAGCTGTAGACTGCAGTTTGTTGTTATGAGACCTACAGAATATAGAAAAAAGGGAACAATTAAGCACCCTTCATTTTTGAAAACAATGATGCTTTATGCGGATGCCAAGGTCAGTCAGTCTGGGAGAAGCAGCCATGTTCTTTCATTCACCCTTGGCAAGCGAATAGAAAAGAACGATTAAGAAAATTTTAACCTATAATATTAAAACTTTTCACTGTACACTAAACATAATAGCTCACTGGAAAAAGCCAATATTTAAATATATATATATATATATATATATATATATATATATATATTTGTCTAATAAAGATTACAACATTTTCAGCCAACTGGACAAATAGAGGCATTTACAGAAGCATTACCATTGTGGTGAAAGGTGTGTGTGTGTGTGTGTGTGTGTGTGTGTGTGTGTGTTTATTTACATTGATGAGGGGAATATAAAGGGAAAAATTACGCTAAAACAAAAGAAAAAGCAATCTTAAAATCACATTTTTCTATTAAAGTCCAGAAAGTCTCCCTTCTAGTTTCACAGTTTTATTCACAACTTTCATTAGTAAACCAAATTACTGTACAGTTACCAGGACTAAGTCAAAGGACTTTATATTGAAATAGCAGATAAATACAGTATTCCAAGAGTTTACAATTTTTAAATACATTGTTCAACATGGCTGCTAGAGTAAATTTTTTACCACGATACATCTTTAACATTAAAAAATTATATTAACTAATCTGACTTTTTGGGGGGCAATTTTGAATTAGGTAATCACGAGGTACAATAAAACAAAGAGTGACCCCAACATCCAGTTCTGATTCCAGTTAAAAATTCAGACTAAAGATATCACAATCTGTAAGAAAAGAAAGAATATGGATGGTATAAATGATGAATTATAACAAAGTGCAGTAATGAAAACAATGTGCAAACAATGCTGGAGATCATAAAATGGGAAAATATGGCAAAGGAAATTCTGAAAATCCATAAATAAATCAATTTTCAATAACTGGCTAGTTATGTTTCATTCTGCCTTAAATCTGGAAAACAATAGAAATTCCCTAAAAAGGCAACAGCAAGTTGCCCTTATACAACTCTTTACATTGTAATTTTGTTTTGTTTTGTTTTGTTTTGAAACAAGGTCTCACTCTGTAGCACAGTCTGGAGTGCAGTGGCGCAATCACAGCTCACTGCAGCCTCAACCTCCAGGGCTCAGGTGATCCTCCTACCTCAGCCTCCTGGGTAGCTGGGACTACAGGCACATGCCACCATGCCCGGCTAATTTTTTGTATTTTCTGTAGGGATGGGGTTTCCCCATGTTGCCCAGGCTGGTCTCAAACTCCTGGGCTCAAGCGAACTGCCTGCTTTGGCTTCTCAAAGTGTTGGTATCACAGGCATGCACCATTGCACACAGCCTAATTTGTTTATTTAAGCAGAATTGAGCAAACTTCTCAATTCAGCTCCCATGTGCTTTAATGAAAATTATGTCAACTTGAGTATATTTAAAAACTACATAAAATAACCACGTGGCAAGAAGACATCCTAAGTGGCCCCTTCACTGTGCAGGCCCAGCCTAGGCCTCCATCTCTCCTTTACCAATTCCCTTTGTCTTGCCTACAGTCCCCAGGACCTCCAGGCAATTTCCTCTCCTTCATCAGCAGTTGCCAGCAGTCATCCTGTGGGCTCTGCCAGCAAGCTGGCAGCAGGGTAGGATTCACACTCCTTGGCTTCTACCTCACAGTTACCACCAAAGGCCTTCCCAATTTAAAAAAGCAATTTTAGAAACTGAACCAGAGGAATAACCACGATGTACAAATGAAAAAGCATAGAGGGGCTTATAATGAGAAGTTGTGCTCCTCTGTCCTACCTTAACTCCATCTGAAATCCAGGCTCCCTATGATCAATCCCTTTGACTTTTCAGTTCTCTGGGTAGATGTATTTTTCTTTTTGAGATGGAGCCTCAGTGTTGCCCAGGCTGGAGTGCAGTGGCAGGATCTCAGCTCACTGCAACCTCCTCCTCCCAGGTTCAAATGATTCTCCTGCCTCAGCCTCCCCAGTAGCTGGGATTACAGGTGCCTGCCCCCAGGCCCAGCTAATTTTTGTATTTTTAGTAGAGACGAGGTTTTACCATGTTGGCCAGGCTGGTCTTGAACCCCTGACCTCAAGTGATTCACCCACCTCAGCCTCCCACAGTGTTAGGATTACAGGCATAAGCCACCACACCCGGCCTGGGTAGGTTTTTTTTTGTTTGTTTGTTTTCAGACGGAGTCTCACTCTTGTTGCCCAGGCTAGAGTGTAGTGGTGCGATCTGCAACCTCCGCCTCCAAGGTTCAAGTGATTCTCCTGTCTCAGCCTCCCAAGTAGCTGAGACTTATAAGCGTGCACCACCACACCTAGCTAATTTTTTTATTTTAGTGTAGACGGGGTTTCACGATGTTGGCCAGGCTGGTCTTGAACTCCTGACCTTAGGTGATCCGCCCGCCTCGGCCTTCCAAAGGGCTGGGATTACAGGCATGAGCCACTGCGCCCGGCCAGGGTAATTTCTTATACTGCTATTTCTTGTTTTATCAACTTTTGTTTAAGCCCTGCTATGGCAAGGAGAACCAAGCTCACTTAACCATTTCCCAACCTCCCTTTTTTGAGTCCAAGTTTTATTTCCCTATAATTTAAAAATTATATCATTCTATGCTTTGTCTATAGGGTGATTCTAAAAGTCGAAAACCAATGTCATTATTTTTATTATCTTTGAGACGGAGTTTTGCTCTTGTGGCCCAGGCTGGAGTGCAGTGGCGCGGTCTTGGTGCACTGCAACCTCCGTCTCCCAGGTTCAAGTGATTCTGTCTCAGCCTCCTGAGTAGCTGGGATTACAGGCATGTGCAACCACACCTGGCTAATTTTTGTACTTTTAGTAGAGACAGGGTTTCATCATGTTGGCCAGGCTGGTCTCGACTCCTGATCTCAGATGATCCACGTGCCTTGGCCTTCCAAAGTGTTGGTATTACAGATGTAAACCACCGTGCCCGGCCCAATGTCATTATTTACGTTACTACGAAAATGTAAATATTTTTCTCTGTAGCACCTAGTCCTTTGCTAACAGGGCCTTTTTTTTTTTTTTTTTTTTTGAGACAGGGTCTTGTTGTGTCTTCCAGGCTGGAGTGCAGTGGCATGAAGATGGCTCACTGCAGCGTCTACCTCATGGGCTCAATCCTCCCACCTCAGCCTCTGAAGCAGCTGGGACCACAGGTGTACATCACCATGCCTGGCTAATTTTTGTGTTTTGTAAAGATGGGGTTTCCTCATGTTGCCCAGGCTGGTCTAGAATTCCTGGGCTCAAGCATCCTCTTGCCTCAGCCTCTCAATGTGTTGGGATTACAGGCATGAGCCACCGTGCCCAGCTAACAGGGTACACTTACACAACTTTCTGTTTTTAGTGGCGTTTCTAATTGCCTTTCATTTTTATCCCTGACGTTCTTTGGCTTAATCATAGCCTTATGTTTTTCTGTCTTAAACAAATTATCTAATGTATGAGTCATTTTCTTGCTCTACTGAGCCTCTGGGGAGTGCTCCATTCTCCTGCTAGGATTTGGTCTGCTGACATTTTACAGCCTGCTGTATAAATGTCATCTTGGGTCAGAGTAATTCTCATTGCTTTCCTGAACCACTTGTTTTCTGAACTCAAATAAACAAAAATTTCTGGCCGGGCACGGTGGCTCACATCTGTAATCCCAGCACTTTGGGAGGCTGAGGCAGGCGGATCACGAGGTCTGCAGTTTGAGACCGGCTTGGTCAACATGGTGAAACCCCGTCTCTACTAAAAATACAAAAATCAGCTGGGCATGGTGGTGGCTGCCTGTAATCCCAGCTACTTGGGAGGCTGAGGCAGCAGAATTGCTTGAACCCAGGAGGCAGATGTTGCAGCGAGCCGAGATTGTGCCACTGAACTCCAGCCTGGGCAACAGAGTGAGACTCTGTCTCAAAAAAAATATATATATATATATATATTTCTGGCCCAGCACAGTGGTTCACAGCCCCAGCACTTTGGGAGGCCAAGGCTGGTGGGAGGATCGCTTGAGCTCAGGAGTTCAAGATTAGCTTGGGTCATAGCAAGACCCTGTCCCTAAATAAAAAGATACATCATGGCCGGGTGCGGTGGCTCACGCCCGTAATCCCAGCACTTTGGGAGGCCGAGGTGGGCAGAACACCTGAGGTCGGGAGTTTGAGACCAGCCTCACCAACATGGAGAAACCAGGTCTCTACTAAAAATACAAAATTAGCCGGGCGTGGTGGCACATGCCTGTAATCCCAGCTACTAGGGAGGCTGAGGCAAGAGAACCACTTGAATCCGGGAGGTGGGGCTTGTGGTGAGCCGAGATCGCGCCATTGCACTCCAGCCTGGGCAACAAGAGTGAAACTCCGTCTCAAAAAAAAAAAAGATACTTTTTTTTTTTGAGATGGAATCTCCCTCTGTCGCCCAAGCTGGAGTGCAGTGGCGCCTTCTCGGCTCACAGCAAGCTCCGCCTCCCAGATTCAAGTGATTCTCTTGCCTCAGCCTCCCTAGTAGCTGGGATTACAGGCATGTGCCACCACGCCCAGCTAATTTTTTTGTATTTTTAGTAGAGACGGGGTTTCACCGTGTTAGCCAGGATGGTCTCCATCTCCTGACCTCGTGATCCGCCCGCCTCGGCCTCCCAAAGTGCTGGGATTACAGGAAGATACATTATTAAAAGGAAAAAATTTGTTTCCTTATTTTTGACAGCACACTTTTTTTTTTTCTTCTGAGATGGAGTCTCACTCTGACACCAAGGCTGGAATGCAGTGGCGCAATCTCAGCTCACTGCAGCCTGTGCCTCCCGGGTTCAAGCGATTCTCATGCCTCAGCCTCCTGTGTAGCTGAGACTACAGGCGTGCACCATTATGCCTGCCTAATTTTTGTATTTTAAGGAGAGATGGGGTTTTGCCATGTTGGTCTGGATGGTCTTGAACTGCTGACCTCAAGTGATCCACCCACCTTGGCCTCCCAAAGTGCTGGGATTACAGGCGTGAGCCACCATGCCTGGCCAATAGCACACACTTTTTAAAAATACCTGCCAAGAAAGGATGCCCTGAGTCCTCACATGACTGAAAATATATTTATTCTGCCTCTAAACTTGACTGGCTGCACAGACTTCTAGGCTGACAATCATTTTTTCTTAAACTTTTAGATTTATTCTTCCATAATCTTCTAGCACTAAATGTCACAGCAGAAAAATCTGACACCAATCTAATTCTTGTTTTATAGATTGTCGGTTTTATCTAAGAGTTTCTTTTATTCTTAGCATTTGGAAATTTTATAGCGATGTATGTAGGGGTGAGTCTTTTTCCATTTGTCTACCTGGTTTATGATGTTTATCAACTGTCCCCCTTGCTCCACCCACCCCTCATAGAGTGCAGGGGCTTTAATTTATTCACTGCTAAATTCCCAGTATCAGGCACACATCAGGTTCTCAAAAGTTATTTGCTGAGTGAAGGAATTTATTCTGCTAGAATTTAAAGTCCTGTGACAATCATCAGCTCAGGAAATTCTTCTTTTATTCTTATTTTTTTTTTTTTTTTTTTTTTTTTTTTTTGAGACAGGGTCTCACTCTGTCACTCAGGTTGGAGAGCAGTGGTGTAATCACAGCTCACGGCAGCCTTGAACTCCTGGGCACAAGTGATCGTCCTGTCACAGCCTCCTGAGTAGCTAGGACTACAGGTGCATGCCACTATGCCTGGTTAATTTTTTAAATTTTTGTAGAGACATGGTCTCATTATGTTGACAAGGCTGGGATGTTCCCCCCACCTCCTGTGAGAGTCTCATTGTCACCCAGGCTGGAATGCAGTGGTGTGATCTTGGCTCACTGCAACCTCCGCCTCCCAAGTTCAAGTGATTCTTGTGCCTCGGCCTCCCAAGTAGCTGAGATTACATGCGTGCGTCACCACACCTGGCTAATTTTTGTATTTTTGGTAGAGACGGGGTTTCCCCATGTTGGCCAGTCTGGGCTCGAACTCCTGACCTCAGGTGATCTGCCTGCCTTGGCCTCCCAAAGTGTTGGGATTACAGGCGTGAGCCACTATGCCCGGCCACTTCTTGAATTTTCAAAAAAAGACTTTAAGTAGATCAACAACAAACCCAGCAATTTGTCCACTTCTCCTTGGCAGTAGATCATAACCCTGGAGTCTTGATTTATTTATTTTTTTTTTAAAGATATTTAAGGTTAAATTTACCATAAACTGCACTGGTTGAATCGTTAGACAGAATAGTATAAAGAGTGTGAAGAGTTGAATTAATTCAGAATACCGAACCCATCTGCTCACCTGCTAGCTTTGAAGCCTTTCAATTTCTGTACAAAGAATGATTCGAGAACTTCTGCACACTGGTAAAATGGGGAGTCACTTGGATTGTAGTAACGACAGTTATCAAAAATTTTGGTCATATCTGCCACAAATTCCGTCAGCTTTTCATAATATCGTCTTTGTACTCTTTCTTCCATGGTGGCAAGGTCTTAAAAACACAAAATGTAAAACATTTTCAGAGCTTTAAGGTTTTTCCAATGTGAATATTCTCCGAAGTTCTAACAAGTATATATGTTTACTGTGCAAGCAGTCCTGGAGCCAGGCTGGTTCACCCTGGAGGTTATTTTGCAATTCATAAAGAACAAAAGAGTACTTTTCCAATTTTGTTTCTGATTGAGGTTCTAAAATATAAATCCGGGTTGCTGTTAAGGTTCTTTTACTTTCAGGTAACTGCACAGAACCGTTCTTCATTCAAATGGTTTGAAATCAAGGAAACACACCGACATGCTCTATGCATATCTAAGTATAATGCATTTTTACATGCAAACCATTTAGTGTATGTACAAAGATGGGAATCCAGAATTAAGAACAAAATCTCTGTACTAGTGGCTTTATGATCCTGGTATTAGACTTTAATAACATCATTTTGCTTTATTTTTATTGTTACCTTTTATTTGTGACAAAGTGATACTGTCTTACCATTCATGACTGGATTGATAAGTGTCCACTTAAATGTAAGGGAAAAATATCAGCTGATACGAATATTAGTATGTAATAGTACAGGCAATATGCAGAAAGGAGAAAATCATTATGGTGATAGATGGGTGTGATATTGTGAAATATATATTTGGTTTTTGTCCCCATTTCCTGACACTTAGCTCCTAACACGGTTGGAATCTCCGGAGTGATAAGAGTTTCTTTTATATGTTAATGACTGGTGGTTGGAATTCCCTAGATAGCTTCAGGATTGGGGCTGGTCACCGGAAAGACCTAGTCAGGATTGGAGGGTTGGGACTTTTAGTCCCATCCCCCAACCTCCGGAAGGGGAGAGGGGCTGAAGGTTAAGCTGATCACCAATGGCCAATGATGTAATCACTCATGCCTACGTAATGAAGCTTTCCTAAAAACCCAGAAGGACCGGGTTCGGAGAGCTTCCTGATACAGCTGAACATGTGGAGGCAACTGTCAGGTGGTGTGCCCAGAGAGGGCATGGGAGACTCCACACCCCTCCCCACAGCATTGCCCCGTGCATCTTCTCCACCTGGTGTTCATCGGAATCCTTTGCAGTGTCCTTGAGAAACCGGTAAGCCTAAGTAGGTGTTTCCCTGAGTTCTGTGAGCTGCTCCTGCAAATTACTGAACCTTAGGAGAGGTTTGTGGGAACCCTGATTTATAGCCAGATGGTCAGACGTGCAGGTAAAACCACCTGGGGCTGGCGACCGGCATCTGAAGAGGGGGTAATCTTGGGGACTGAGTACCCAACCTGTGGGATCTAACCCTATCTTCAGGTAGATAGTGTCAGAATTGAATTGAATTGAATTAGAAGACACTCAGGTGGGGTCTGAGGCTGGATTGGTTGTTCATGGGGAGAAATCCCCACCCACTTCTTGCTGACCAGAGGCCGCCAAACAGAATTCTCCCACGTTGACCGTAGCGTGAGAGCACAGGAAAACAAGTTTGTTTTTTTTTTTGCTGTAGAGCAGGCAACTGCTTTGGAATGTACTGACTGAAATAAATCTATCTGAAACAACATTGATCCTAGGAGAACGACGTGTTTGAAATAAAATTCTGTATACAATTTGACATAAATATCTGAGAGAGTGAAAGGCCAGTAATCTCCAATCAATCTAGGGTAGACAGACAACACATTTCAAACTAAAGGTTAGTGAATATTTTAGAATTTGAAAGTGATTTGGAAGTTCAACCAATAAATAAAAGTACTAGAATACCTAAGAAATATCTGAAAAGTAATGAGATAATCTTATCTGTCAGACATTAAAAAATATTCTAAAGCTGTGGTAATGAAAAGTGTGGCAGCATGCAGAACAACACAAACACTAACGCAGACAAGTTCAAAACAGGAACAGATTTAACTGTATCTAGTATAAGAATTTCACATATATTAAGGGTGTCCCTTCAAGTCAGTAGGGAAAGGAGTTCATTCATAAATGAGGTTGCGGCTGGGGTGGCTCACGTCTGTAATCCTAGCAGTTTGGGAGGCCGAGGTGGGCGTATCATCCAAGGTCATGAGTTCCGAGACCACCCTGGCCAACACAGCGAAACCCTGTCTCTACTAAAAATGCAAAAATAAGCCAGGCATGGTGGCACATGCCTTTAATCCCAGCTACTAGGGAGGCTGAGGGGAGAATCCCTTGAACCCAGGAGGTGGAGGCTGCAGTGAGCCAAGATCGCACCACTGCACTCACCACTGCTTGTGCAACAGAGCCAGACAATGTCTCAAAAAACAAAAACAAAAAAAGGGTTTGGGGCAACTGCCTACAAATCTGGAAAAAAAAATTCTCTCTCATTATATGCCAAGATAATTGTGGGTTTATTAAAATGATTAAAATGGCAAATTTTGTTATATATATATTTTATTTTTTTTTCTTGAGACAGTCTCGCTCTGTCGCCCAGGCTGGAGTGCAGTGGCGGGATCTTAGCTCACTGCAAGCTCCACCTCCCGGGTTCAGGCCATTCTCCTGCCTCAGCCTCTGGAGTAGCTAGGACTACAGGCATCTGCCACCATGCCTTGCTAATTTTTTGTATTTTTAGTAGAGACGGGGTTTCACCGTGTTAGCCAGGATGGTCTCAATCTCCTGACCTCGTGATCCTCCTGCCTCGGCCTCCCAAAGTGCTGGGATTACAGGCGTGAGCCACCGTGCCTGGCCTTATATATATATATTATATATATATTTATATATATATAAAATATATATATATATAAATATATATATTTTAGTACACACACAGACACACTACTCTTTGAAAGCTCCAGTTTATGCAGTTAAAGAAAAAAAATGTGTAAATGTGAAGAACTGTGAAAACACACAGAGTTGGATTCCAAGACTTGGCACATCGATGCTGTAGGTTCATGTAAGGTGTTCAGGAAAGAACGCACACATCACACTAGGACATTCTTGGTTCATACTTATATTATGTTCTGGTTACTTACTGCTTGACTAATTTTCATTTTAATAAAGTATGTGAATAATGCTTGGACATTGTATGGTTCCAAGTTAATTAGGTATCCCTTAAGGTACTAGGAGAACACATAGGTGAGTATATATTATGGAGGAGGAAAAAGACTCCAAGCATGACACCAAAGGCTGAGTTTATAATGATTAATAGATATGACTCCAAAAAATGTTAAAAACTACCATATGCCAAAAAATCTATGAAACTTTTACTTGTCTTTAGTATATAAATAGCCCTTAAATAGCCAGACGCAGTGGCTCACATCTGTAATCCCAGCACTTTGGAAGGCAGAGGCGGACGGATTACCTGAGGTCAAGAGTTCGAGACCAGCCTGGTCAACCAACATGGTGAAACCCCGTCTCTACTAAAAATACAGAAATTAGCTGGGTAGGTATGGTGGTGGGCGCCTGTAATCCCAGCTACTTGGGAGGCTGAGGTGGAAGAATCGGTTGAACCCGGGTGGCAGAGGTTGCAGTGATTCAAGATCACGACACTGCACTCCAGCCTGGGTGACAGAGTGAGATTCCTTCTCAAAAAAAATAAAATAATAAAATAAAAGCCCTTAAATAATACTGATAACAATCCAAATATCTCGAGAGAAAAATATAAGAAATATGTGAATAGGAAACTCTTACATAAAAACACTTTCTTTGCCAAATTAGCAGAAATTAAAAATGGTAACACTGGCCTATTAACAGAGGTTAACTATAGGGGACACTATAGGAGTAGTGGTAAATATTACATTTTACATCTCTGTAACATCTGCATTTGTACACCATAAAACACACTACTTTTGAAATAAATATTCTCAAAGACAAAAAATATACCCCTCAAAAGAGTGATAATACTCAGTGTTTTCCAATAGCGCAGACAGAATGCCATAGATATACACTATTAGTGGAAGCTGGTTCAATTTGCTAACGTGTAATTTTTTTCTTCTCTTTTTTTTTTTTTTTTTGAGATGGAGTCTCACTCTATTGCCCAGGCTGAAGTGCAGTGGCATGATCTCAGATCACTGCAACGCAACGATCTTGGCTCACTGCAACCTCTGCCTCTTGGGTTCAAGCAATTCTCCTGACTCAGCTTCCTGAGTAGCTGGGATTACAGGCACACACCACCATGCCCGACTAATTTTGGTATTTTTAGTAGAGACGGGGTTTCGCCATGTTGGCCAGGCTGGTCTTGAACTCTTGAACTCATGATCCGCCTGCCTCAGCCTCCCAAAGGGCTGGGATTACAGGCATGAGCCACCGTGCCCGGCCCTAAAGTGTAATTTAAAAATAACTCTTTTTTTTTTTTTTTAAAGACAGCGTCTCACTTTGTAGCCCATGCTGAAGTGTGGAGGTGTCACAGTGATGAGCCACCTTGCCTGGCCTGGACATTGTTTTTAAAAAAAAGCCTAAAATGGGCCAGGTGCGGTGGCTCACGCCTATAATCCCAGCACTTTGGGAGGGCAAGGCAGGTGGATCCCTTGAGGTCAGGAGTTCGAGATCAGCCTGGCCAACATGGTGAAACCCTGATTCTACCAAAAATACAAAAATTAGCTGGGTGTGGTGGCGCATGCCTGTAATCCCAGATACTCAGAAGGCTGAGGCAGGAGAATTGCTTGAACCCGGGAGGCTGAGGTTGCAGTGAGCCGAGATAGCGCCACTGCACTCCAGCCTGGGCGGTCCATCTCAAAAAACAAACAAACAAAAAAAGTATACTACATCCCCGCTACTCAGAAGGCTGAGGTGGGAGAATCAGCTGTACCTGGGAGGACGAGGATGCAGTCAGCTGGTGATGGCGCCACTGCACTCCAGCCTGGGCAGAACAACAACAGCAAAGCCTAAAATGTACTTAGACCCTTTCACCTGGAGACTGTTTTCTTAGAACAAACAAGTACAGGCAGATGTATAAACAAAGATGTCCAGTGGCATGTTGTTTATACTAGCAAAAACTACACACAATAAAAAAATCTATTGATGGGGGCTGTTAATTTTAATTTCATATAATTTAAAATGATGTAGGTCTATAACAGCTGATGTGAAAAAGTATTAAGTTTACAAAATACATTAGCAAACATAATTCATTTAAACCTATTTCTATTTAAGAATATAAAAGTTGCTGATTTTGTTGGTTCCCTTATATCCTCAAAGAAAATTACTATTTTCAATTTAGTCTATATTGTTCCAGACATTTTCTATGCATTTCTAAACACATTTAGGTACTCTTAGAAAATAAATGTTTACTGCTTAAAATCTGGGTACTGCTCTGTAACTTTCACTTCTTTTCCCAACAATACGTTTTAGAGATCTATATTATTATCTTTATGTACCTACTTAGGAGATATAGGAGATTATGTTTAACTTAGTATGTATGTATATATGTATTTTATTATTACGTTTGTGGGACAAGGTCTCGCTTGTTGCCTAGGCTCGAGTACAGTAGTGCGATTATGGCTCGCTGCAGCCTCCACCTCCCAGCTGAAGTGATCGTCCTGCCTCAGTCTCTCGGGCTGGGACCACAGGCATGAGGCACCATGCCTGGCTAAATTTTTTTTTTTTTTTGAGATGGAGTTTCACTCTTGCTGCCCAGGCTGGAGGAGTGCAATGGCGTGATCTCAGCTCACCGCAACCTCCACCTCCCAGGTTCAAGCAATTCTCCTGTCTCAGCCTCCTAAGTAGCTGGGATTACAGGCATGTGCCACCACGCCTGGCTACTTTTGTATTTTTAGTAGAGACAGGGTTTCGCCATGTTGGTCAGGCTGGTCTTGAACTCCCAACCTCAGGTGATCTGCCTGCCTCGGCCTCCCAAAGTGCTATGATTACAGGCATGAGCCACTGCGCCCAGCCATTTTTTGTTTTTATTTATTTATTTGACACGGAGTTTCACTCTTGTTCCACAGGCTGGAGTGCAATGGTGCGATCTTGGCTTACCACAACCTCTGCCTCCTGGGTTCAAGCGATTCTCCTGCCTCAGCCTCCTGAGCATTTTTTGTTTTTTTGTAAAGACAGGATCTCACTATGTTGCCCAGGCTGGTATTAAAATCCTGGGCTCAAGCTATCCACCTGCCTTGGCCAAAGTGCTGGGGGAACCACCATTTGGGGCTTATCTTGGTATTAAAAAAAACAAAAACAAACAGGAAAACCAGGTCTTCAAGAAAATAATTTTGGTTAAATAAGCTAAGGTATATTCAACTAATGGACCATAAAAACCCATTAAAATCATGGGTTTTCGAAGAAGATTTACATAGGAAAATGTATTCACTGTATGATATGAATTTTAACACCCATGCATACAAGAACACACCAAAAGCAATGGCTATCTCTTTTTTTTTTTTTTTTTTTTTTTGGAGACAGAGTTTTTCTCTGTTGCCCAGGCTGGAGTGCAGTGGCGCGATCTTGTCTCACAGCAACCTCTGCCTCTCAGGTTCAACTGATTTTTGTGCCTCAGCCTCCTTAGTAGCTGGGTACAGGCACCCGCCACCACACCCAGCTAATTTTTGTATTTTTTTTTTGTAGTAGAGATGAGGTTTCACCATGTTGGCCAGGCTGGTCTTGAACTCCTGATCTCAAGCAATCTGCCTGCCTCAGCCTCCCAAAGTGCTGGGATTATAGGCATGAGCCACTGCGCCTGGCCTTGGCTGATTCAAAAAAATTTTTTTTGGAGAGACAGGGTTTTGCCATGTTGTCCAGGCTGGTCTTGAACTCCTGGGCTCAAGCCATCTGCTTGTCTCGGCCTGTGAAAGTGCTGGGGTTACAGGCATGAGCCACTGTGCCTGGCCTATCTTCTTTATTTATTTTGTTTATTTTTTATTTTTTTGAGATGGAGTTTCGCTTTTGTTACCCAGGCTGGAGTGCAATGGCGCGATCTCGGCTCAATGCAACCTCTGCCTTCCAGGTTCAAGCAATTCTCCGCCTCAGCCTCCCGAGCAGCTAGGATTATAGGCATGTGCCACCACGCCGGGCTAATTTTGTATAGTATTTATTTTCTAAATTTTCTTTCTTTTTTTTTTTTGAGACGTGTCTCGCTCTGTCAGCCAGGCTAGAGCGCAGTGGCACAATCTTGGCTCACTGCAAGCTCCACCTCCCGGGTTCACGTCATTCTCCTGCCTCAGCCTCCTGAGTAGCTGGGACTACAGGTGCCCGCCACCACACCCGGCTAATTTTTTGTATTTTTAGTAGAGACGGGCTAACACGGGGTTTCACCGTGTTAGCCAGGATGGTCTCGATCTCCTGACCTCGTGATCCACCCACCTCAGCCTCCCAAAGTGCTGGTATTACAGGCGTGAGCCACCGCACCTGACCTTATTTTATGAATTTTCTACCATTAACTTGTATTATTACTTCTATTACCAGCATAATTAACTTATTATTTTAGTAAACATCCCAGGTACTTTCTCAAAGGCGACTACCCAAATTTGAAATATGTACAATGATTAACTCCTTCTATTTTCAACATCAGGAGAACAGAGATAATAACTACTTCATTACGTTTATTTTTCAGAGATAGTTTTCATTTATTTCCACTTCATGTTTCCCCCTCTTTCATGCTGCCATGAAACACAAACTCTTCTCATTAAAAAAAATGCTTAGCTGGCTTTTGGAACATAATTCTTTCATTAGTGGTAAGTGATCCTTTGGAAGGTTTTAGCTATGTTTTAATTTTTCTAATTTCTTTTGCAGATAAATTATTTTTTAGTAAAATCATTTGTAGCCATTCGTGTTGATACGATTACTCGTGGCTCCTATTACCATTTTTTTTTCTGGGAAATGAGGGTATTCTCTCTAGTTCATAAAATTTACTCTCCTTCAGAAAAAGAAGAAGTAAATGGAGAAGGATGAGAGGATCAAAGAGACCCCAACCCATTCATTAATTTCATTCATTCTTTTATAAAGCTGCATAATACTCCACTCAGACACCATCTGATATAGCTACTCCTCTATTGATGGCTACTTATTTCATTTCCAATCTTTTTTTTTTTTTTGACAGAGTCTCGCTCTGTCGTCCAGGCTGGAATGCAGTGGCGTGATCTCAGCTCACTGCAACCTCTGCCTCCCGGGTTCAAGTGATTCTTGTGCCTCAGCCTCCTTAGCAGCTGGGATTACAAATGCCTGCCACCACAACTGGCTAATTTTTCTATTTTTGTAGAGACGTATTTCGCCATGTTGGCCAGGCTGGTCTCGAACTCCTGACCTCAGGTGATCCATCCACCTTGGCCTCCGGAAGTGCTGGGATTCCAGCGTGAGCCACCCCGCCATTTCCAATGTTTTTGTAATTATAAACACTGCCACAATGAACATACTTGTGCACATGTAAATCCTAAGAAATGAAACTGCTGGGTTCAAGAATATGCACAATTGGCCGGGTATGGTGGCTCACACTTGTAATCCCAGCACTTTGGGGAGGCCGAGGGGGAGCGGATCACAAGGTCAGGAGATTGAGACCATCCTGGCCAACATGGTGAAACCCTGTCTCTACAAAAAATATAAAAATTAGCTGGGTATGGTGGTGCATGCCTGTAGTCCCAGCTACTCGGGAGGCTGAGGCAGGAGAATTGCTTGAACCTGGGAGGCGGAGGTTGTAGTGATGTGAGATCGCGCTAGTACACTCCAGCCTGGCGACAAAGCAAGACATCGTCTCATTAAAAAAAGAAAAAAAAAGTATGCACAATTAAACTTTATTTTATTTATTTATTTATTTTTTTGAGACAGTCTCATTTTCTTGCCAGGTTAGAGTGCAGTGGCGCGATCTCTGTTCACTGCAACCTCCGCCTCCCTGGTTCAAGCGATTCTCCTGCCTCAGCCTCCTGAGTAGCTGGGAATACAGGCATGCACCACCATGCCCAGCTAATTTTTGTATTTTTAGTAGAGATGGGGTTTCACCATGTTGGCCAGGATAGTCTCGATCTCCTGACCTCATGATCCGCCTGTCTCGGCCTCCCAAAGTGCTGGGATTACAGGCGTGAGCCACCGCACCCGGCCACAATTAAACTTTAATAGATACTAACAATTTACCCTCCAAAGTGACCATACCAATTTATACCCCCACCAGCCTTGCTAAAAATATTCTAAGATATTAATTTTATGGATAATAAAACATCCACTGAGACTTCTGAAAAACTTCATATTCAACTCATGTACTTACCCATAGGTTCCTTAATAACACCATAATAATCTGGTGCATCATTAGGGTCTACTGGTTCAAGGAAAGGCCAGGCCATCTTATGGGCCTATAATGAAAAAGCAGCATCATTATTGTCAGTGAAAACACTAATTCCATTTAAGTTTCCTGGTTGAGTTACTACATCAATGAACCCAAAAGTGAGTTTTAAATTTGATACATGAAATATTTTATATTAAGTGATTTCTGCTCTAGTAATAGTTACCTAAGATGAGCTTCCTCTACAATAATGGTACTCAAAGGCTGGTCAGAAGACTTTGTGTTGGGAATGGAGCACAAGCTTAGAAGTCACAAAATCAGTATTCTGGGCCCTACATGATGAGCCGTCACTGAGTGATGCTGGCATTGCAATCGCTTCTGTCAACAGGTGGGATGGGTTCAAAGTGTGGAATCATTACCACAGCTGGTTAATGATGAGGTAGCAGAGACGTGATGTTAGATAACATTCAAGCACACATTGAGACTATGATTCTCTTTTTAGTTACTTCAATTCTTCTGATTATGATAACGACAGGAGAAAGTTTCAATCCAGTGCACTATATCCTTTTATTTCCCCCCACTTTTTTGAGACAGGGTCTCGCTCTGTCATTCAGGCTGGTGTCGAGTGGCGTGATCATAGCTCACTGTAACCTCCTGTGCTCAAGTGATCCTCTCACCTCAGCCTCCCAAGTAGCTGGGATTACAAGTGCGTGCCAACATGTGCAGCTCATTTTTTTTTAATGTTTTGTAGAGGTGGGGGTCTCACTTTGTTGCCCAGGTTGGTCTCTAACTCGTCAACTCAAGTGATCCTCCTGCCCTGGCCTCCCAAAGTGTTGGGATTATAGATGTGAGCAACCACACTGGCTTTCTGTGTCTTCAGTACATCTGTATCACTTGATAATCCTGCAAACCATCCCTATCCTGTTATTCTTTTTGTTCTGAGATGGAGTCTCACACTGTCACCTGGGCTAGAGTGCCGTGGCTCGATCTTGGCTCACTGCAACCTCTGCCTCCCGGGTTCAAGAGATTCTCCTGCCTCAGCCTCCTTAGTAGCTGGGATTACAGGTGTGCACCACCGTACCTGGCTGATTTTTAAAAAATTTTTTTGTAGAGATGGGGTCTCACTTTGCTGCCCAGGTTGGTCTCTAACTCATTGACTCAAGTGATCCTCCTGCCTTGGCCTCCCACAGTGCTGGGATTATAGGTGTGAGCAACCACACTGGCTTTCTATGTCTTCAATATATCTCTATCACTTGCTAATCCTGCAAACCATCTCGATCCCGTTTTTCTTTTTTTTCTGAGACAGAGTCTCACACTGTCACCTGGGCTAGAGTGCCGTGGCTCGATCTTGGCTCACTGCAACCTCCGCCTCCCGGGTTCAAGCTATTCTCCTACCTCAGCCTCCCTAGTAGTTGGGATTACTGGTGCGCCCCACCGCACCTGGCTAATTTTTTGTATTTTTAGTAGAGAGATGGGGTTTCATCCTTTTGGCCAGTCTGGTCTCGAACTCCTGACCTTGTGATCCACCCGCCTCAGCCTCCCCAAGTGCTGGGATTACAGGTGTTAGCCACCACGCCCAGTCCCCTTTTTGTTTTTCATAAGGAAAAGAATAACTATAATCTTTTTTTTTTTTTTTTTTTTTTGCGATGGAGTCTCACACTCTCGCCCAGGTTGGAGTGCAGTGGCGCCATCTCGGCTCACTGCAAGCTCTGCCTCCCGGGTTCATGCCATTCTCCTGCCTCAACCTCCGGAGTAGCTAGGACTACAGGCGCCCGCCACCACGCCCAGCTAATTTTTTGTATTTTTAGTAGAGACGGGGTTTCACCGTGTTAGCCAGGATGGTCTGATCTCCTGACCTTGTGATCCGCCCACCTTGGCCTCCCAAAGTGCTGGGATTACAGGCATGAGCCACCATGCCCGGCCAAGAACAACTATAATCTAATCATACTGCTTCTCAATCCATGGGGGTGAGAGGAAGTCTCCTTAAAAATAAAATGTATAAAGAAGTGAGTCATGTTAACACTCTTGTGAGTGTGAGATAAGCTGACGTGGTGTGGGGATATGGTAAAGCTCATGGCACTGGTACGTGAAGGACTGCAGTTTGTTAGGCACTTCACTAGACTAGCTGGGAGTCAGTAAATAATCATTCTAAGATTGGAAACTTGAAATCCTAGAAATGCTTCCAAAATTATGCTGGCTGATTTCATTTTGAAATGCTGCACACAGAGGGGTCTCACCTGTAAGGAACGGAGCACCCTCTTCAACCCCTCATAATCCTTCTCTGTTAGTGGCGTGAGCACTGTCATGGCATCCTCTGTTGACTGGCACTGTGGACAGACATACTCATCAATGAGCTCTGCCTCACTTTGCAAGATGCCAACGCAGCGCCCATGGTACCAATTCTGACACCGATCACAGCCAATATAAAATCTGCAAGATCCGAAATGGAAATGTGAGTTCAAAACACATGGGATGATGTTACTTATAATAAAGCATGCACCTGAAAATTTGCTAAACCCTGGGATATAAAATAGTTTTAGTATTATGGTTTTAATACTTTCAAGATTGACATTCCAGTTCATTAATTTAGTATTTTTGATGTTAAGAACAAGCAGTAAAAAAATTTATAAGAACACTGTGTAATACTGGAGAACCAATTTAAAGATAAATATGAAACATTCAATTGATTTTAAAGCTGAAAACAAAGCCAAAAATCTTTCAACTAGTACTGTACCATATGGGTGTTCAAAATCCTATAAGCTAATAACAGAGTCTCAGAGCTTGTACCCAAATTAGTGTTTTTCTAACCTACAATAAAGCACCATTTCAAACACTGATAAAGTCCAAACAAGTCAGGCTATTTTAATCTCATTAATTTCTATGTTACATATTGAAGAATCAAATCTACCATTAAACCACATTTTCCCCAATGTGTCTCAAACATTCACTATGAAGCAAGATAAATTTTGAAGGGTAGGTAAAAAGGGAAAAAGAGAAAAATGAAAAGGAATTTGTAATGTAAGTGTATAATAAATGTAGAAAAAAATCTGCTTTTTATTTTAAAATAAATAAGTAACCAGTCAGAGCAATTTGGCTTCCTAAATTATTAAATATGATGCTCTTATCAGAACTCACTGTGACTCATCATAAGGTGTTCTGCAGATACAGTACAATTCCTCACTGCTGCCCTCTTGTGCCCGTTTACAATCATTACAGATGTACACATCCATTTTCTTAGCCTCCTTTTCTGTGATGCCAACACATTCTCCATGATACCAGTTAGTACAAAGATCACAGCCAATATAGAACCTAAAAGTATTCACAATGAAAATGACAATGTAATTGTCATTTTGAGCTGCATGGTACTTAAATCTGTCTTCCCTGCCTTGATTCACTTTTTTACAGTGTAACTTCCTGCAATGAGTCAGCTAAACATTTCTGAATCCAACCATTCTACTCCTGGCAAACTCCAGTATCTGATGCTCTATCACATGTGGAAACATAAAGTCACTCACATCAGTTTCAACAAGTACACTGCTTAGTGAAATATGGGTCTTTAAAAACATACTGGAATTTGAAAAAAGAAACAACACATTGATGGTAATGTCTTCCTCTGAATGAATGTGTGTAAAACTGTAACAGGCACAAAAACCAAAGCCAAAGAATCAAAGACTTACATCTGTCAAACCTATTCCACAGAAGCCATTTCAATATCAGGGCTATTTCTTAGATAGGTTTGAAAATGTATCTCACAATTTAAATTTGAAAACAAAGCAAAGCGCAAACACCAAGTAGAAGTTACACTACAAGGAACATGCAGGTCAGCCAGGTGTAGAAGATAAATGGTCAAAATATGATATGAAGAAGAAAACTAAGAAAGTACATAGAGTAATTCAATCTCTACCAGGTTTTCTGAATAAACATTGGAATTTAATCGAATTAAAAATAACCTCTCATAATGGAATATGGCACGGGCCAGTTTTCCTGTTAATATAATGTTTGTGACAATGTGGGCAGTGGCCTGGCTAACTAACGGGCAGGGAACGTGGAAGGAGATGCTTCAGTTCAACACCGGGGACAAGGTGTGGAGAATGATGCAAGGATAGTTATCCAAAGCCTGTGAGGGTCTACACTGCTTGGCAAGGGGGAGCTGTGTAAATGTGTGATTGTGGAGAGCAGAGTGGCCTCTGTAACAAAAGACCTAATGACAAAAGGAAAAGTAAATGTAACAAACGCTTACACAGTGTGTCTATAAGTGTTGATAGGCACTGTGTAGGAACACCATGTCAAAGTCATAGTGAGAATTACCATGAATCACAGGGAACCAGACTGGCCTTGCTGATACCATTGGCACTCTTAGTTCTACCAAGGCATTTCTTGGCAGATTCACCTAGAGGAATGGAAGTCGTCCTCAAGCTTCAAATTGACCTGCTTCATGAATGTGAAGGAATAATATATGGTTATGTAGTTTATCCTGTTACCACTAACTTTTTTCTTTTTTTCTTTTGTCTCGCTGTATAGCCCAGGCTGCAGAGCAGGGGCAGGATCACGGCCCCCTGCAGCCTGGACCTCCCAGGCTCATGTGATCCTCCCACCTCAGCCTCCCGAGTAGCTGGGGCTATAGGCATGCGCCACCAGGCCCGGCTTTTTTTCTTTTCTTTTTTTTTTTTGACAGAGCTTTGCTCTGTCTCCCAGGCTGGAGTACAGTGGCATGATCTCGGCTCACTGCAACCTCAGTCTCCCGGGTTCAAGCGATTCTCCTGACTCGGCCTCCCGAGTAGCTGGGATTACAGGTGTGTGCCACCACATCTGGCTAATTTTTGCATTTTTAGTAGAGACAGGGTTTTGCCATGTTGGCCAGGCTGATCTCGAACTCCTGACCTCAGGTGATCCGTCCACCTCGGCCTCCCAAAGTGTTGGGATTACAGGCATTAGCCACCACGCCTGGCCAATTTTTTGTACAGACGGGGTCTCTCTATGTTGCCCAGACTGGTCTCAAACACCTGGGCTCAAGTGATCCTCCCACTTCGGCCTCCCAAAGTGCTGAGATTACAGGTATGAGCCACGGTGCCCAGCACTTTTTTCTTTTGAACTATGACTCTCACATGATTTTCACTGCCACAGGTGGGGGTCCTCTGAGATAGTTTGTGTGTTATCTCCACAGGGTGATAGGCTGTGTTCTGGAAGGATGTTCAGGACTTGAATTTCAGTTTTCAGTCACTCTCACTGGATTCCCAAACCAGCCTAGTTTGGGACAAGAGATTACGAAACACTCCTTAGAAACACTAACTCATCTCAACTAAAATAGGGAGTGAATGAACCTGGTATACTAAAGTGTTAATAATGACAAAATGAAAAATATAAAATAACACAAAATAATGAGGCAATCTCGATGGAATGGGCACATGTATCTGTGTGCCTCATTTTATGCAATGTAGGTATTTCAAAGAAGTTGTGTGTGAAATCAATTTCTGTGATCTGAATACTCTAAACAGGCCAAAGAAGCCTTGTTATTTAAAGAAATTCTGTAAACAAATCTTTTTAACTGAAAAAGTAAGGAAACTCCTGTTTCAGAAATCATTTAGTATATTTTGCTTAAAGTGAGGCACACTTGTATTAAACTAAAGTAAAAAAAAATCAGTGAATCACGTTCTACTGTTTACATTATGTATAATTTCCAATGAGATAAGATAATGAAAAGTGAAGATGCCTAAATTGATTTCTGTTTAATTCAGCACACAGCTCAATCTGCCAACAAAGAGTTTTCATTTGGCATTTGCAAACAGATTATCATTTAGATAGCACCACCAAAGCAGCTTCAATGTTGCAACTTGAACATCATTAAAGGGACCACAATTTTATTTTAGGAATCAATTAGGTATCCACTTAAGGTAGGCATTAAGCATTCCTAATTCTAATTAATTGATTCTAAATGATCAGTTTTTAAAGCACAATCAGACTTTTTGGTCCTGTAAAAAGTATGGTGGTTAACTGTGGCTTTAAAAAGCTGGACTACATTTTAATGTTCAAAGTAGAAGTTAAATATTTTGTAAAATGATAGTAATGACCAAAAAAATGAAACTACATTTACGGTTTAGTGCCTCTATAATCTTGTTTATATCACCAAATACAAGTCACAACTGTCAAAAACAGCTTCCAGCTGCCAAACTGTTGGACGTTATGCTTGAGGAATGGGGGAAAGGAACACTTTTTGTATTTTTCTGGCTTTTGTCTCTGATAAGAAAGTGGAAACTTTGACAAAAATATGAGTTGCAGTATTTTAATACAAAAAAAAACAACTGCTTAAAATAAAACAATTAAGAAACCGAACCACTCAAATTCAAAACCTCTGACCATTCATGTTCAACTGGTTTCCAGGATTTCATGTATTCGCAGGGCTTTGAACAGATCCCAGAAAGGATGCTCTCCATTTTGGGCAACAGTAATACACCTCCTTCTCCAGACATCAATTACTCACTGATTTGGAGTTAATTCAGAGGGAAGAAGAGAAAGCAAAGGAGCAACAGAAAGCTTGTTTTTGACAGAAAAGAATATAACAAAGGACAATCACAAACACGTGAAATAGCAAATTTTACTTTACTAGCGTCAATGGTAAGAATATCACATGCAAGACCATGGATGAAACATTACTCTTAAATTTAATATTTTCATTTATATCACTCCCAAAATATTCATTTTCTTCAAAATCCAATTTAATAGCTAAACTTTCAAGACAAAAAACTAGAGCTCAAAAAGATCTACTCACTTAGATTCATCATAAGGCGTTTTACAGATACAGTAAAGCTTTGTGTCCTTCTTAGTTTCCTTTGAGGTAGTAGAGATCATTTTCTTTTTCTTGGACTTTGAGCTGGAGTCTTTTTCCTCTTCCCGCTTCCTCTTCTGGGAAGCAGCAGGTAAGGTGGGCGTGGACAGAAGGCCTGTGTGTTGCACAGCAGGTGGAGGGGGAGGTGAAGGTGGAGGGGCTGGAGGGGCTGGAGGAGCTGGTGTCACTGGGGGGCAGGGTGCAGCTACTGCTGTGGCCTGAGCCAACTGCATCAGGTCTTTTTCTTTCTTAATTTTCAGGTCTCTCTTCAGCTCTTCCTGTTATCAATTAAAGACAATACAAGACTATCATTAGAGTCATGTAAATGTGTGATCTGGCCAGAAGATGGTACACTACCCACTCTTGTCAAAGTAGCTCCACAGTTCAGCCTAACGTGAGAGTTTTAGTTAGTTGCAAACAAGAGTTTTCTTATATCTTAAACCCAACTAAGACAACTAGAAACAAAATGAAGACTAGGTAAGAACAACTAGAAAGCTGCTAGTTATCTTCAAAGGAGAGCTGACTGAAAGATGAGCCAAGTGGCTAGGAAGAGCGTCCCTCCTGGCTTGCCCCTGTCCCATCTGGGCTCTTTCTGTGGTTGCTCAGAAGGTGATTTCAAGCATCCTCTCTCACTGGCTGCTTTCTTCTAGTTGCTCTTGCTCTCTGTCCTTACAGTGAGACTGGACATGAACTGGCCTTGAGACTCAAAATGTGGTCTGACCAGCATAAAGCAGAAAAGAGGCAGATTTGCCTTATTTATTATGATGCTCCTATGTCTAGAATTTCAGACTGCAGGGAGAGTAGTGCAACATAACGCACTATTTTCTTTTTTTAAAAGATAACTTTCTTTTCATATATATATTTTTTGAGATGCAGTTTCGCTCTTGTCAATGGTGCAATCTCAGCTCACTGCAACTTATGTCTCCTGGGTTCAGGCAATTCTCCTGCCTCAGCCTCCCAAGTAGCTGGGATTACAGGCGTGCAACACCACACCCAGCTAATTTTTTTGTATTTTTAGTAGAAACGGGGTTTCGCCATGTTGGCCAGGCTGGTTGCAAACTCCTGACCTCAGGTGATCCACCCGCCTCGGCCTCCCAAAGTGCTTTGTTGCCTAGGCTGGAGTGCAGTGGCACAATCTCAGCGCACTCCAACCTCCCCACCTCCTGGGTTCAAGTGATTCTCCTGCCTCAGCCTCCCAACTAGCTAGGATTACAGGCACCCACCACCATACCCAGCTAATTTTTTGTATTTTTAGTAGGGACAGAGTTTCATTATGTTGGCTAGGCTGGTGTTGAACTCCTGACCTCAGGCAATCCACCCACCTTAGACTTCCAAAGTCCTGGGATTACAGGTGTGAGCCACACTGCCTGGCCCCTTTTCATATATTTTTTAAAAAGTTTTAATGAGCAGTGAGGACAACCAGAGGTCACTTTCATCGCCATCTTGGTTTTGGCCAGCTTCTTTACTGTACTCTGTTTTTTCTTTTTGAGAGTGGGTCTCACTCTGTCACCCAGGCTAGAGTGCAGTGGCACAGTCTTGGCTCACTGTACCCTTCACCTCCCAGGCTCAAGTGATCCTCCCACCTCAGCCTCCCAAGTACCTAGCTAGGACCACAGGCACGTGCCACCAAACTCAGCTAATTTTTGTATTTTTGGTAGAGATGGGGTTTCACCATGTTGGCCAGGCTGGTCTCGAACTCCTGACCTCAAGTGACCTGCCTCGGCCTTCCAAAGTGTTGGGATTACAGGCGTGAGCCTCTGTGTCTGGCCAACATACTACTTCCTCAATATGCATTTGCCATACTTTTTAAGCACACCTCTTCTGCTATCTAGTGGTACAACTTACTCTTGGAAATGATCAAAGCAAACCTTATTACCCTAGGAACAAACCCATTGTGATTGGCATCCACAAACAAACTTGGTGTAAAGAAATCATAGCTATGACCAAGAGTATTTCTTATGTGGAGACAGTGTCTCACTTTGTCACCCTGCCTGGACTGCAGTGACATAAACACGGCTTGCTGTAGCCTTGACCTGCCAGGCTCAAGTGATCCTCCCACCTCAACCCCTTCAAGTAGCTACAGGTGCTCACTACCATGCCCAGCTAATTTTTTTGAGGAGATGGAGTCTTGCTGTGTTGTTCAGGTAACTGAACTCCTAAGCTCAAGTGATCTGCCTGCCTGGGCCTCCCTAAGTGCTGGGATGACAGGTATGAGCCACTTACACCCGGCCATAAGAATATTTCTTAAAATCTGACTTAAAAATTTTTTTAAAAATTCTTTTAGAGACAGGGTTTCACCATGTAGGCTAGGCTGGTCTTCAATTCCTACCCTCAGGTGATCTGCCCACCTTGGCCTCCCAAAGTGCTTGGATTACAGGTGTGAGCCACTTTGGCCAAAATCCGACACATTTATAAATTTCTACAATAATTTAAAGTACCAAAAATATTCCCAAAACATTTCATCATGATTTATAGTCTCTCAGGAAAATAAATTAGCCCACGTTTCCTTTATTTTTTTTATTTTTTTATTTTTTTGAGACGGAGTTTCGCTCTTGTTGCCCAGGCTGGAGTGCAATGGCGCGATCTCGGCTCACAGCAACCTCTGCCTCCTGGGTTCAAGTGATTCACCTGCCTCAGCCTCCTGAGTAGCTGGGATTACAGGCATGTGCCACCACGCCCGGCTAATTTTTGTATTTTTAGTAGAGACGGGGTTTCTCCATGTTGGTCAGGCTGGTCTCGAACTCCGGACCTCAGGTGATCCACCTGCCTCAGCCTCCCAAAGTGCTAGGATTACAGGCGTGAGCCACCGTGCCGGGCACGTTTCCTTTAAAGAGCTTTTTTTTTGTTTATTTTTTGAGACGGAGTCTCGCTCTATCTCCCAGGCTGGAGTGCAGTGGTGCGATCTCAGCTCACTGCAAGCTCCGCCTCCTGGGTTCATGCCATTCTCCTGCCTCAGCCTACTGAGTAGCTGGGGCTACATGCGCCCGCCACCACACTCGGCTAATTTTTTTGTATTTTTAGTAGAGATGGGGTTTCACCATGTTAGCCAGGATGGTTTTGATCTCCTGACCTCGTGATCTGCCCGCCTCGGCCTCCCAAAGTGCTGTGATTACAGGCGTAAGCCACTGTGCCTGACCGTTTTTTTTTTTTTTTTTTAAGTAGAACTGAATTAATTTTATTTTTCCTTCTTTAAAAAAAATTGGTCCAGGACAGTGGCTCACACCTGTAATCCCAGCACTCTGGGAGGCTGAAGCTGGAAGATCGCTTGAGTCCAGGAGGTCAAGACGAGCCTGGCCAACGTGGCGAAACACCATCTCTACTAAAAATACAAAAATCAGCCAGGTGTGGTGGCACATGCCTATAGTGCCAGCTACTTGGAAGGCTGAGGTGGGAGGCTCCCTTAAGCCTGGGAGGTCAAGACTTCAGTGAGCTATGATGGCACCACTGTGCTCCAACATAGGTGACAAAGTGAGACCCTGTCTTTTTTTTTTTTTTTTTTTGAGATGGAGTCTCGCTCTGTCTCCCAGGCTGGAATGCAGTGGCGCAATCTCGGCTCACTGCAAGCTCCGCCTCCCGGGTTCACGCCATTCTCCTGCCTCAGCCTCCCGAGTAGCTGGGACTACAGGCGCCCGCCATCACGCCCGGCTAATTTTTTTGTATTTTTAGTAGAGACGGGGTTTCACCGTGTTAGCCAGGATGGTCTCGATCTCCTGACCTCGTGATCCGCCCGCCTCGGCCTCCCAAAGTGCTGGGATTACAAGCGTGAGCCACTGCGCCTGGCCCGAGACCCTGTCTTTACAGGCGTGTATCATAACACCCAGAGAATTCTTTTTTGTAGAAACAGGGTTTTGCCATGTTGCCCAGGCTGGTCTCAAAATCCTGGCCTCAACTGATCCACCCGCCTCAGCCTTCTAGAGTGCTTGGATTACAGGCCATGAGCCACACCTCTCCTGGCCTATAAATGATAATTTAAGTGAATCCCTGAAGCTACAGTTTTTTGTTTCGAGATGGAGTCTCATTCCGTCATGCAGTGGTGTCATCTCGGCTCACTGCAATCTCTGCCTTCAGGATTCAAGTGATTCTCCTCCCTCAGCCTCCCAAGTAGCTGGGATTACATGCGCCCGCCACCATGTCTGGCTAATTTTTGCATTTTTAGTAGAGACAGGATTTCGCCCTGTTAGCCAGGCTGGTCTCGAACTCCTGAGCTCAAGTGGTCCTCCAGCCTTAGCCTCCCAAAGTGCTGCGATTACAGGCATGAGCCACCGTGCCCGGCCTCTGAAGCTACAGTTTTAAGATTCTAAAGCAGAGACTTCATGTAGATGTCTATGAAAAGCCAAAAACAAAAAACTCACAGGAAAACCTGATTCCCCCCTGCCAAAATTTCAAGGATTTGCCTAAAGATAAGGTCCATTTGTACCTGAAATAGAGTTTGCTGTGCCCCTTTTTTGCAGGGTCACCCATCCCTATGCACCAACTACACTAGTAACAATCATTACATGAGTACCTCAGGAAGCTTTTTTTTTTTTTTTTTTTTTTTTTTTGAGACAGAGTCTGGCTCTGTCGCCCAGGCTGGAGTGCAGTGGCGCTATCTGGGCTCACTGCAAGCTCTGCCTCCCGGGTTCATGCCATTCTCTTGCCTCAGCCTCCCAAGTAGCGCCCACCACCATGCCTGGCTAATTTTTGTATTTTTTTTAGTAGTGACTAGGTTTCACCATGTTAGCCAGGATAGTCTCAATCTCCTGACCTCGTGATCCGCCCGCCTCGGCCTCCCAAAGTGCTAGGATTACAGGCATGAGCCACCGTACCCGGCCAAAGCTTTTAAACATATCACAAATATTTTACTAAATAAACCTGAATGGCCCTGGTTTAATGAATCTGTTTCTGTCTATAGACTATCTGGTCTTACAAAGTCAAAAGAGAAGTCAGGTGACAAATTATTCAACAGCCCTTCTCTATTTATAGAGAGAGACTGAACTTCTTCCTAGGTTAGAAAGAAAACCTTGAGTTTCATCTCCTAGTTCATATGTTTATAACATCATGGGACGGATTTTGGGAAAACCAAGATTGTATAGTGGGCACACACTTTGATCTTCCCTCTCCCTTCAAAAACATACAAATGAAAATAAAATATAAAAAAGAGAAACTGAGAAGAAATAGTCATGCTTAAATAAGTTACAACAATCTCAATGGAATAGAGACACAAAACTGTGAGCAGGACTAAAACTGCAGGCCTGCTAGGCTCCAGATTCAGAAGGAAGAAGAGGTGGCCGAACACTAACATTAGGGTTTCTGGGGGGTAAGGGAGACTAACATGCTGTGTGTGAGGCAGTGATAAGAGCCGGCTCCCTGTTGGAAGTTAAGGGTTGACTGGGCTCCACTGGGCTTTGGGAGAGAAAACAAAAACAAAACTCCTCTCACTCAAAATAAGCTTGCAAAACTTAAATGTTTGAAAAGGAAAACATGTAATATGAAAAAAAGACAACCAGGGCCGAGTACGGTGGCTCATGCCTGTAATCCCAGCACTTTGGGAGGTCGAGGCAAGAGGATCACTTGCTTGAGCCCAGGATTCTGAGACCAGCCTGGGCAACATGGCAAAAACTTGTCTCTACAAAAAAACAACGACAACAACAATAACAACAAAAAACACCCCAAAATTAGCCAGACAGGGTGGCATGGCATTCGCCCGTACCCGTAGTCCCAGCTGCTTGGGAGGCTGAGGCGGAAGGACTGACTGATCTGGGTAGGTGGAAGCTGTGGTGTGCTGTGATTGCACCGCTGCACTCCCGCCTGGGCAACAGAACAAGGCCCTGCTTCTCAAAAAAAAAAAAAAAAAAAAAAAAAAAAAAAAAAAAAAAAAGAAAAGAAAAGAAAAAGAAAAAAGATAAAAAAGCCAATAAAATCAATGGTCTAATCTGAATTCACTCCAAATGAAATTATACAGCCAGGCACAGTGGCTCACAGCTGTAATCCCAGCACTTTGGGAGGCTGAGGTGGGTGGATAACCTGAGGTCAGGAGTTCGAGACAAGCCTGGCAAACATGATGAAACCCCATCTCTCCGAATAATACACAAAAAAATTAGCTGGGCATGGTGGTGCACGCCTGTAATCCCAGCTACTCGGGAGGCTGAGGCAGGAGAATTGCTTCAACCTGGGAGGTGGAGATTGCAGTGAGCCGAGATCGTGCTATTGCACTCCAGCCTGGGCAATAAGAGCAAAACTCTTTCTCCAAAAAAAAAAAAAAAATTATAGAACAATTTGACGGGCCGGGCATGGTGGCTCACGCCTGTAATCCTAGCACTTTGGGAGGCTGCAGTGGGTGGATCACCTGAGGTCAGGGGTTTGAAATCAGGCTGGCCAACATGGCAAAACCCTATCTCTTCAAAAAACAAAAAAAAATTAGCCGAGTGCAGTGGTGGGCGCCTGTAATCCCAGCTACTTGGGAGGCTGAGGCAGGAGAATCGCTTGAAACTGGGAGGAGGAGGTTGCAGGAGCCGAGATCGCGCCATTGCAGTCCAGCCTGGGTGACAGAGTAAGACTCCGTCTCAAAAAAAAAAAAAAGGCCAGGCGCGGTGGCTCACGCCTGTAATCCCAACGCTTTGGGAGGCCAAAGTGGGTGGACCACAAGGTCAGGAGATCGAGACCATCCTGGCTAACATGGTGAAACCCCGTCTCTACTAAAAATACAAAAAACTAGCCAGGCGTTGCAGCCTGCGCCTGTAGTCCCAGCTACTCGGGAAGCTGAGGCAGGAGACTGGCGTGAACCCGGGGAGACGGAGCTTGCAGTGAGCCGAGATCGTGCCACTGCACTCCAGCCTGGGCGACAGAGCAAGACTCTATCTCGAAAAAAAAAGTAAAGAACAATTTGACAAAAACTTTATTGATATATTCAAAGATGTAATGAAGGTATAAGCTTTATTAAAAAACAAATTATTTTATCAAAAAGACTAGCACAGGGGGAAAGAGGAGGAACAAGAAGGTGGCACACGGGATTGTTAGGGCAGTGTAACTATTATGAATGATACTGTGATGATGAATACGTTACATTAGGGATTTGCCAAGCCCACAGATCACGAGGAGTGAACCTTAATGTAAACTATGGACTTTCGTTAATAATAATAATAATCACTATTGGCTCATTAATTCTAACAAATGTGCCATGCTAACATTAATAGGGGAAATTGTGTGTGGGTGGGGGAGGAATAATATGGGAACTGTACGTTCTGCACGTAAAACTGCTCTAAAAAATTAAGCCTATTGGCTGGGCGTGGTGGCTCACGCCTGGAATCCCAGCACTTTGGGAGGCCGAGGAGGGAGGATCACTTGAGGTCAGGAGTTCAAGACCAGCTTGGCTAACATGGTGAAACCCCATCTCTACTGAAAATAGAAAAAAAGCTGGGCGTGGTAGCAGGTGTCTGTAATCCCAGATGCTCAGGAGGCTGAGGCAGGACAATTGCTTGAACCCAGCAGGCAGAGGTTGCAGTGAACGGAGATGGCCCTACACGCTCCAGCCTGAACAACAGAGCAAGACTCCATTTCCAAAAAAAAAAAAAAAAGCCTATTAAAAAAAAGAGGCAGAAATAAGAATAGGCAGATGTAAGGAAGCAATCACATATCTTATAAAATTAAAATTTATTTTTAAAATATGCCAGTACATATACATATTTGAAGCTTTAGCAGAGACGGGGATTCACCATGTTGGACAGGCTGGTCTCAAACTCAAAGCAAATTACCTTAGCAATAATTTTTTTTTTTTTTTTTTTTTTTGAGACAGAGTCTCACTCTGTCGCCCAGGCTGGAATGCAGTGGCATGATCTCGGGTCACTGCAACCTCCACCTTCTGGGTTCAAGTGATTCTCCTGCCTGATCCTCCTGAGTAGCTGGAACTACAGTTGTGCGCCACCATGCCCAGCTAATTTTTGTATTTTGGTAGAGATGGGGTTTCGCCGTGTCAGCCAGGCTGGTCTCGAACTCCTGGCCTCATGTGATTTACCTGCCTTGGCCTCCCAAGGTGCTGGGATTACAGGCATGAACCACTGCACCTGGCTCCTCCTTTCTCAAAGTATAACTTTTCTTCCTCGTTAGATTGTTTCTGTATAAAACAGGTTTATATATGAATACATACATTAAAGTAATATATACAAGATATATTCTAAAGTTGTTTAAAAATGATTGTCTTTGGGGGTTAGATTTAGAGATCATTTTCATTTGTTGGCTTTGAAGGGCAACTGACCAACTTTTTTATACATAAAGGATATAAACTACAACTATTTTCCCACTCTGTGTAGAATGTGGAACGGAAACAGTGTGTGGCACACTTTAAATGATGCTAAACTTCTACAGTGTGTAAACTGGCTTGTTCAAGAGGCCAAAGTGCTTCTGTTGAGAAACACTGATGACCAATCTCCTCTTTGTGGTCCTGTGATACTGTGAAATATATATTTGATCTTCCTCCCTGTTTCCCAGCATACAATTCCTAAAACCCTCAGAATCTGCAAAATAAGATTTTTTTTTAATGCTAATGATTGACTGATGGCTGGAGGCTCCTAGAGAGCCTCAGGATTGGGGCTGATTCTCAGGGCTTTCAGTGCCACCTCCCAACCTCTGAGAAAAAGAGAGAGAGAGAGAGGCTGAAGGTTAAGCTGACCACCAACAGCCAATGATGTAATCATTAATGACTATGTAATGAAGCTTCCATAAAAACCCAAATTGAGGCTGGGCACAGTGGCTCATGCCTGTAATCCCAGGACTTTGGGAGACTAAGGCGGGTGGATTACTTGAGGCCAGGAGTTCGAGACCAGCCTGACAAAAAATGGTGAAACACCCTCTCTACTAAAATACAAAAAATTAGCCAGGCATGGTGGCACATGCCTGTAATCTCAGCAACTCGGGAGGCTGAGGAAGAAGAATCACTTAAACCTGGGAGGCAGGTTCAATGCTTATCTTGTAACTGACTACGTTACTGAATTTTTTTTTTTTTTTTGAGACCTAGTCTCACTCTGTCACCCAGGCTGGAGTGCAGTGGCATGATCTTAGTTCATTGCAACCTCTGCTCTAGGGTTCAAACAATTCTCCTGCCTCAGCCTCCCAAGTAGCTGGGACTACAGGCACCCACCACCATGCCTGACTAATTTTTTTGTATTTTTAGTAGAGATGGGGTTTCACCATCTTGATCAGGATGGTCTCGAACTCCTGACCTCAAATGATCCGCTCGCCTCAGCCTCCCAAAGTGCTGGGATTACAGGTGTGGGCCACCGTGCCCAGCCTTGAATTATAAATTGTAATAATTATTTTCTTGGGGTTTTGATGTAATAATCATACCACACATAAAAACAATGTCTTCTTTCCTCAATTTTTTGTCTTTGTTTCTTTTGCTTGGCTTAACATATTTGCCAGAACTTCCAGAAATGCTAAATAATAACGTTGATTGTTGGCATCACTGGGGTTTCTGGTTTCTGACTTTAACTGGAAGATCTCTAATGTTTCACAGATAGGTAGTATTATTAGTCTGGTTAATATTATCTTACTATTTCTCATCTTCTTTTTTTGGCGGTGGGGGCGGGGGGACAGTCTCACTCTGTCGCCCAGGTTGGAGGGCAATGGCATGATTTCGCATCACTGCAACCTTCACCTGAGCTCAAGTGATCTGCCCGCCTCGGCCTCTCCAAAGTGCTGGGATTACAGGCATGAGCCACTGTGCCTGGTCTATTTCTCACCTTCTTAAAATGTTTAAGATATGTTATGAAATGTTTTTTTTTTTTTTTTTTTTTGAGACAGTCTCATTCTGTTGCCCAGGTTGGAGTGCAGTGGTGCGATCTTGGCTCACTGCAACCTCCACCTTCCTAGTTCAAGCAATTCTCCCCACCTCAGACTCCTAACTAGCTGGGATTACAGGCACCTGCCACCATGTCCGGCTAATTTTTGTTTTTAGTAGAGACGGAGTTTCACCACGTTAGCCAGGCTGGTCTTGAACTGACCTCAGGTGATCCACCTGCCTCGGCCACCCAAAGTGCTGGGATTACAGGCGTGAGACACCGTGTCTGGCCTTGAAATGCTTGAGATAACCTACTTCTCTTTAAAAAAGCTGTGTAATTATGTGTAAATTATATATATACATGTGTGTATATATATATGTATGTCTGTGTGTATATATATATATGTCTGTGTGTATATATATATATGTACGTATGTGTATATATGTGTGTGTGTATATATATGTATAAATAGATGTCTACTTTTTTTTTTTTGAGATGGAGTCTCACTCTGTTGTCCAGGCTAGAGTGTAGTGGTGTGATCTCAGCTCACTGCAACCTCTGCCTCCCAGGTTCAAACGATTATCCTGCCTCAGCATCCCAAGTAGCTGGGATTACAGGTGCCTGCCACCACGCCCAGCTAATTTTTGTATTTTTAGTAGAGACAGGGTTTCACCATGTTGGTCTGGCTGGTCTCGAACTCCTGACCTCGTGATCCACCCGCCTCGGCTTCCTGGAGTGCAGTGGTGCGATCAAGGCTCACTGCAACCTCTGCTTTCCGGGTTCAAGTGATCATCCTGCCTTAGCCTCCCAAGTAGCTGGGACTACAGGCGTATGCCACCATGTTTGGCTAATTTTGTGTATTTTGTAGAGACAGGGTTTTGCCATGTTGCCTAGGCTGATCTTGAACTCCTGGGCTCAAACAATCTGCCTACCTTGGCTTCCCAAAGTGTTGGGATTATGGGCATGAACCACCACAGCCAGCCTACTTTCATTTTTTAATAAATTCCTCTAGAAAGCAGGTTAGCAATACCTACAGAATCGTTTACAAGTCAAGGAAGAAATTTTTTATTTGTTTGTTTTGTTTATGAGACAAGGTTTTGCTCTGTTGCCCAGGCTGCAGTGCAGTGGTGCCATCAGGGCTGACTGCAGCTTCAACCTGCCAGGCTCAAGTGATCCTCCTGCCTCAGCCTCTCGAGTACCTGGGCTGTGTGCCACCACATCTGGCTAACTTTTTCATTTTGTGTAGGGATGAGGTCTCGCCATGTTGGCCAGGATGGTCTCGAACTTCTGGGCTCAAGTGATCTGCCTGTCTTGGCCTCCCCAACTGCTGGAAGTATAGGAGTGAGCCACCTCATTCTGGTGCAATTTGTCTTATTTAATGGACTCATGTTATTTTTCATTCTTTCAACGTTACTTCACTGTCTCTGTACCTTTCTCATGAAGCTCTGCTCCTAATTACTTTTGGCTAGACTATGTCATAGACATGAAAAGCTCTTCTCAGAGTTTTTCAACAATTCAATCAACAAGCTCACCTCTCAGAGTTGCTAGTCTGGAGAATACAATATAACTACACATTTAGTTATAAAAGCTCTGACTTGTTTTGCAAGACACACACGCTGCACTGCTTTTTACTCTATGTACACAAATGTAAGTTCTAGAAAACATACTGAAATTTTAAGCTTTATTAAAAAGGCAAGGGAAAAAAGCAGAACCTCAGATGTTAAACACTGGACACAGAAGAAAAGGATGTGCCCTCTTACCTGCACTTCAATTTGCAGATCCTTGTCCAGGAGTGCTCTCTTCTTCAGGATCTCGGCTCTGAGCTGCTCTTTGTGCTTGAAGAGCAGAGCTGACAGCTTAGTGGCATTCTGCTTGCTACGTTTCTGCTCCACACTCTCTTCACGCTTCCGTTTTTTTGCTGCCTGTTTTTCTTCTTTATCTATCTTATCCAAAATATACTTCATCACCTGGTTACAGACAATCATTCTAGAGAAAAATACACAACCTATGTAATGCTGGGCGTTTCATTTTGAAAGGCTTAAGACATCATTCTTCTATGCCTCTACAGATGAGACAAAAACTTTCTGTGACTGGAAAACGTCAAGAGTGGTTCAAACCAGTTATGAGTAACTATTAGTGCCAAGTGTTCTCATTTAATGAACTTCAATCAAGATAAACAAGTATAAACTCAGAACTCTGTGCGTGTGCACGATAAAGAGAAGAGACGGACAGACAACAAGACCCTGCGTCTCCCCTACCTTTGATTCTCTTCTCTTTCAGCTGGAGTCATGCTCTTTTTCTGTTTTAAATGTTCTATTACAGCATTATGCTTCATCACCACCTTCAGGACAGAATAAATCCAAAAGCGCATATTTTATAATCACCACAGGTTAGTACACAGATAACAACAGTAGAAATTTGAGCACATATGTGTTTTTTTAAAGAAACTGTAAGAATTTTATATCGTAACATAAATAAAATTAGCAGCTACCAGATGGCCTGGGTGCTTACCACCTGCTGGGTACCGTGCTAGGCTAAGCACTTGACATTACCTCGTTTATTCCTTACAACAACACTGAACCATAGCAATAATTTTATAAACAAGATACTGAGACATAAAGAAATTAACCACCTTGTTTGACAAACAGTAAGTAATACAGCTGAAATTTTAACCTGGCTATCCTTCTCCAAAGGCCGTATTTTTAACATTATGCTTTCTTCCCAGGAATGAATTTTAAAGAACTGTCCCTCGTCTCCCCTATACAAAGATTAGCGGATAGACAGACAGTGTAGTAATTCTCAGTTTATAGATACACAGTAAAGCTGGGTAATAATACATTTAAATATAATATATATGACCGTCATTTTCATAAGAATACTACATCTTTAAAATAACTTCGCTGTGTAAAAAGTGCTTCTACATTTATGACCTCATTTAATCATTGCAATAATCTCATGTGGCTGGAAAGAGAAGGGTTTTAAGAGGCTATAGCTAAGGAGGGATAAGTGAGTTTCACGGACTGTGAATGGGAGACCTAGGAACTGAATGAAGGTCTCACAACTTGGTAACACTTAAAATCCACATTCAAACTCCTGCCTAGTGCTGAGCGAAGCAAGCTATAGGTAGATGAAAAGATGGTTTCTGCCAGTAATGTTATCAGATGTTATATGTGTGACTTCACTTTAGTAGACTAATTCTAACTCATCTAAATTGCTTTATTTCACTAATGTGCCATTGCAAGATGTTGCTGGATGATGCCACTTTTTACTTAAGCTATGAAATAATATGTTTTCAAAAACTTTTTTACAAAGGTGTGGCTAGAAATGCAAATGAGTTTAATCTGTCTATAATTTGCATAGTCTACATGCAAACTAAGGAATGACAACTTTCAATAACTTTAAAGGAATTGCTATAATGTCTGAAGTGGCTTTAAAACTTAGTTAAACCCTCAAGTTTTATATTAAAGATTAAAGCTCATAACTCCATTCTTCCCATCTTAGTCCTCCCAAAATACAGGTCATTCCTAATAAGCACTGACTATATATTATATGTATCTAACGAAGTGTTCCACACCACAGTAGTCATTCAGTATTTTTTTTGGTCAATTCAGTGTTTCTTCTAAATTTAAACATTAATGACTTTGTCTCATTTAGGAAACCTAACACAACCAAACACTAATTCTACTGCACAGCACAATAATTCAAGCTACTGAACATGCTGCTTTTACTTAATAACTTTACCTGTTTCTGAATGATTTCACTTTGATTAGAAGCTTGGAGGGTGTGTTCACGCTTAATTTCTATCTGTTGCTGTTTCTTCTTTTGCTGCTGATCCCTGAGTTGCTGAACCCTTTGCAACTGCTCTTGCACACTGGCTGCCTGCACTGTAACCACATTCTGAATCTGGTGAGTCTGCACAGCACTGCTTTGCTGAATTTGGATAGGTAACTGGAGTTTGATTTGCTGGGGCACACCACTTTGCTGAGCCTGTATCTGAGCCACAACCTGTGACTGGATCTGAGAGAGAACCTGGACTTGTTGTTGCAGCTGAGGCACAGCAATGACTTGGGGCTGTGGCTGCTGTATTTGTAGCTGAGGACGGGATGGGGATGAAACAGTAACTTGATTTAAAGTTTGTCCTGATGAAAGAGTTTGAGTTGAAGACTGTACCTGGGGTTGTGACTGTGGCTGGCCTTGGGAAGGTATCTGAAGAGATGTATGTGGTTGAATTGGAATCGGTTGTGAGGTTGTAGTCTGAACCTGGGATTGTTGTCCAGGAGACAGTTGGGATGGAGTTGATGGACGTATTCGAGTCTGTGATGGACTTTGGACACGAACAGGAGACTGTCCTTGGACATTACTTTGAGGCTGAGACTGTGCTGCAACTTGGGGCTTGGATGACTGTGCGTGGGTGGGTTGTGCTTCAGAAGGGACATGGGATGAAACAGTTGTTTGGGTCTGAACTTCAGGCTGAGTCTGAACTTCAGGCTGAGCTGGGGACTGGGGCTGGGTTTGGGGCTGGGGCTGAGCTGAAGGCTGAGCAGTCTGTGGCTGGGCTTCTGCTGGACCCACACTTGATGACTGAGCTGGTGGCAGGGTTTTGTCTTGATGTACCTGCATCTGGGGTGACAGTTTACTCTGCCTTTGTTCACCTGTACCTGTAAAAAGGAAAGATGAACCATTTCTATTACTCTGGAACATAAAACTGTGGTTAAAGAAGAATCTGAAGGAAATCTTCTGAAGTTGAGAATTCTGGCCAGGCGTGGTGGCTCACACCTGTGCACCTTGGGACGTTGAGGTGGGAGGATCGTTTGAGCAACATAGTGAGACCCCGTCTCTACACAAAAACAAAAAAAATAAAAAATTATCTGAGCATAGTGGAGCATGGCTATGGTCCAAGCTACGTGGGAGGCTGAGGTGGGAGGATTGCTTGCGTCCAGGAGTTCAAGGCTACAGTAAGCAGTAATGGTGCTACTTCGCTTCAGCCTGGGCGACAGAGCAAGACCCTGTCTCGAAAAAATAAATAAAGTAAATAAAGTTGAGAATTTTGTATTTTGGTACAGAAGGTCTATGCCTTTGAAATGCTCCATTTGGACACGCTTAGGGCAGGACGCTCTGAAACTGGGAAGCCTGGGCCCTGCTTCTTGGCTGTCCCCTGTACACTCTCCTAACTCTAGAGGGCTGGTTTCCAAAGTAAGTTGCAGCCTCTGGAAATCAGCTGGGTCATCTGGCCCAGGCTAATTGCCACGCTTCACTTTTCTCCCATGATGTGGTGGTAGTTAGTTACAATGACTTGCAGCAGAAGGTCAACAAAGTGGTTCTGGACCCACTCTCAATCTGAGGTCATGAACTGGATTTACCCACCCTCCCTGAGATCACCTCCATGACTGAATCAGCACCTACAAGGCTTAGCAAGGAGTAAGTGTGGGCATAGTTACCAAGATAACCATTATTTTTGCCCCCTTTCTCTCTCTCTCTTTTTTAATAGGAGGGAGAGGGTGGTGGTAACAGGGAGTCTGTAAGAATAGGGTACAAAAGCTTCGAGACGTTGTGAGGCTGACTATGTCAACTGTTGAGGTCACTGGCTTGAGGCATATCCTTCCAAAGGTAAATACTGGTTCTCCTGTTGGCCTCTGTTAGCCCAGCCACGTGTAGTAGTAACATCCGACATTTCCGATAAACCCACAGCTCTACCTGCTGCTGTCGTGGAAACAGTGGTGGTGGTGGTGCTGGCTGTGGTGGCTGTTGTTGCCAATGGGGTAAAGAGGAATCGCTGAACAGTACCATTTGGCATTGCAGCTTGCATTAGCTGCTGGCCTGGGCCTGGGAGTACAGTCACCCCTTGAGGTATCAACTGCAACTGTCCAGTAGTTTGACCTTGTCCTTGAATTACTACTGTCAAACCTTGATTGCCACCCTGTGGAAAAAACACAACATGTAAACAGTGTTCAAAGCATCAATCTGTATGTATATCATTTTTATTAAATCATTTTTATGTGTAATTATCTTTTAATATAATGAAAATACATATTTGAATGTCACCAGCAGGAATTTAGATAAGCTAAAGTAAGAATATTTATGTTGCTTAGTAGGAAAAACATCAACAATCCAGAGTTCCAGTTCAAGCTCCCCCAATGGTCAGCCAGTTATCTGTCCACAAGCAACACTGTTCCTCCAGATCCAAGTTTCCCAATCTATAAAATAAAGGTATTGAATAACTAAAGTCCCCACAAAATTCTGATTTTAAATAATCTTATATTCATATTTTACAATTTCAAAAGCATCTTCATAGATACTGCCTCATTTGATTCTCACAATGGACTTGTGACTTTATGGGGTAGGCAGAGAAAATATTCTTCTGATTCCCAACTAAGAAACTCAGGTTAGAAAGGTCAAGTACCCTGGCCAACTTAAAGGTGAGATAAAAGAAGGAACCTAGATCTCCTGAATTTTGTCTTTCAATACGTGCCAAATTACCTATGGGGTGTGTGTGTGCTAAACTGTAAAAAGCTTAGGGTTTTAGATATGTAATGCAAACACCAAGTAAGGAGGATCACTAAGGTCTGAGCAGTTACCAAAAAGGGGTCCAGAAATTTAAAATTCTCTAGGCGCTCTCTCTTCTGTCCAGAACTGTAATTCAACTAGAAACCCTGAATACCAGGAACATGCTGGAGAACTGGAAAGCAAAAGTAAAAACCATCCCCTAAACTCCCAATGACCAAAACTGATGGCGCAAAGTCCATGTACTAAGTAAGCTCCATATACATGTGAATCCCTCAAAACTTATTTACTCTTGCTTTTCTAAAATACATTTTTTATGCACAAAATGCACAAAACACCAAGTATAATTTAAAAATTATAAAGTAAACATCTATAAAACCGCCACTGTGGTCACCATTGCCAGTGTCCTAGAAGTCCCCATATGACTCACCCGGATTTCAATTCCCTCCCTCTCCCCTAGAGGTAAGCACTATCCTCACTTTGATGATAACACTGTATTTCATTACTACTTCGGTATGTATCTTAGGTATATATAAGGCCACTGAGGTTCACAAACTCAGGAGCAATATTCACAAAGAATACAATGGGAATAGTGCCCCCTCCAGGCAGGCAATGCAGCAGCCCTGTATCCCTACACAAAATAGCTTAGTTTTGCCTATTTCTGAATCTTATACAAATGAAATTATAACATGTATTTTTTTTGGCAGCTACTTGCTTCTTTAGCTTACCATTATATATTTGTGAGAATCATCTGCATAGTTCTGTGTGGCTGAAGTCTATTCATTTTTATTGCTGTAGGAATATACTACAATTTACTTAGCTAACTGATTTTGATAGACACCTGAGTTGTTCTTAGTTTTTGATTCTTATGAACAATGCTGCTACCAATATTTATGCCATGTATTCTGGTGCTCACATGGCCAACAACTTCTCTAGGGATATACCTAGAAGGTATACTGGGACCTTGGGCATACACAGCTTTGACTTTACCAGACCATGTCCAGGAAGTTTCCAAAATGGCTGAACCGACTGATAGGCCCACCAGCTGTGCATGAGAATTCTTTCTGCTCTATGTCTTTGCTAACTCTTGGTTTTGTTGGACATTTAAATTTGTACCAATCTCTTAAGCATATGGTTTTAATATGTACTTCTCTCATTATTAATAAAGTTCAGCAGTTTTTTGGAATTTGGGACATTTAGATTTCTTCTTTCCTCATAATGTTGGTTTGTCCTTTTTTTTTTGTTTTTCTTTTTTTTGAGACGGAGTCTGTTGCCTAGGTTGGAGTGCAGTGGTATATCTTGGCTCGCTGCAACCTCTGCTTCTTGGGTTCAAGCAATTCTCCTGCCTCAGCCTCCCAAGCAGCTGGGATTACAGGCGTACACCACCACGCCTGACTAATTTTTGTATTTTTAGTAGAAACGGGGTTTCCCCATGTTGGCCAGGCTGGTCTGAAACTCCTGACCTCAAGTGATCCACCTGGCTTGGCCTCCCAAAACCTTGGCCCCCCAAAGTGCTGGGATTACAGGTGTGAGCCACCGCACCTTGCCTGTTTGTCTTTTTTCCTATTGATCTATCTGGATTTTTTTCTTTCTTGATTTGTAGTAATTCTTTATATATTCTGGATATGTAATAGTCCTTGGTTGGTTCTTTTCTCATTTTCTTCACTCTCTCTGTAGTGAGTTTGATGAACAGAGGTTCTTACTCTTATTTTTAAAGTAGTTGAATTTATAAATCTTTTCATTTATGGTTAGCATTTTCTATCTGTTTAGGAAAGCTATGAAGATATTCTTCTATCTTCTAAAGGTATTATAGTTTTACCTTTCACAGTTAGGACTTTCATCCTCCTGGAATTGAGTTTATGTAGAGTGAGGTAATAATGGTCCAATTTCACAGTTTCCCATGTATATTCAATTGTCCTGGCACCATTTACTGAAAAGTCATCTCTTCCTCAATGATCTGCAATGTCACCTTTGTCATATAACAAGTGTCCACATACATGGGGTTCATGTTCTGCACTCTCTACTGTTCTGTTGGTCTATCTGCCTCTCCTTATGTCTGTACCTCACTATATTAATTAGTGAAGTATTATATACTAAGTTTTTTGGTTTTTTTTAGATGAAGTCTTGCTTTGTCACCCAGGCTGGAATGCAGTGGTGCAATCTCAGCTCACTACAACCTCCGCCTCCCAGGTTCAAGCAATTCTCCTTCCTCAGCCTCCTGAGTAGCTGTGATTACAAGCGCATGCCACCACGCCCAGCTAATTTGTTTGTACTTTTAGCAGAGATGGAATTTCACCATGTTGGTCAGGCTGGTCTCAGACTCCTGACCTCAAGCAATCCACCCGCCCTGGCCTCCCAAAGTGCTGGGATTACAGGCGCAAGCCACCATGCCCAGCCTATACTAAGTTTTGATATCAAGTTATCATATATAGGGCAAATAATCCTGTTCTTCAAAGGTACAGATATTCTTAATACTTTGTACCTCCATATAAACTTTCAGTATCAGCTTGTGAAGTTTCACTAAAAACAAAACCTCTTGGGATTTTGATGGGAGCTGCATTCAATTTATTAATCAATATTAGAAGACTTGCTAACAATATCGAGTCTTGCAAGGAAGCAGCTTAATGTACTCAAATTTTATTTGTCTCATGGAGATTAGCCAACTAATAAAATTTTGGTGTTTAAAAGGGTTATCTGTCTCACTGTTTTAGCTCACTGTCTAAAGATTACTCTAGTAGTTGGGGTTTATTATATCCTGTCTAAGAGGTATTTCTGCTTGACTCCAGGAAGCAACCATTTCTTCAAATCAGCACATTTAAAAACGTATCAAAATAAGTTCATGTTTTTAAACTTACCGCAAGAATAAATAAGATCACCTCTAAAGTTAAAATAAAGCTTATGTTACTTACGTGGCCCTGTGTTAACTGAGTAAGTTGAGCCATGGTGAGCTTCACTTGTCCTTGTTGGGGGCGAGGGGGTTGTGAGGCTGAAGACTGTATATTTGAAGTGGACGTTGCTGAAGTTAAGCTTTTCTGCCCAGGTGTTGAGGAAACCGTGTTAGGGGCGGAGACTGCAGTGGAGACAGGCTGCCCCCTGATGATTTGAGTCATCACTTGCTGAGGAGCACCTACCCAAACAGCAAAACATTATGAATGCTTATACACCCTTGGCATTATTTTGAATTGAAATAATTCAACACCTCACATGAACGTATTCTTTTCCATCTTCAAAAAAACACTGGGATATTCAGAGCCTAAGGATACATTCAGACATATACCCACATCCAAAGGTCCTGCCTGGTTGGCAGTGAGTCTGTTTTCACTGCCAACCGTTATCCAGTCTCTGCTGTCTGTAGGATAATGGAAAAAACCAATTAAAATTCTTCCTATAAATCTAAAACCAAAATGATAATAGGGAAGACAAAAAAGAATGTGTAAAATATGCCATTTATAAGGCTGCCTTTTCTTAGGAATATAATATTAAAAATAAGTGCTAATTTAATAAAAAATTAATTCATATGAATTTTAAACAAAATATAAAGAATCTGGAATATTCTGGGCCAACTGCATTTATAATAAGCTTCTCTTACAGCTATTTGACAGATAGCTTGGGAGAGCCATGAAGGCAAGGACCACTATATCCTCAATACTAGGGCAGAGTGCTCAAATAATGCTTTTCTTTTTTTTGAGACGGAGTCTCGCTCTGTCGCCCAGGCTGGAGTGCGGTGGCGTGATCTTGGCTCACTGCAACCTCTGCCTCCTGGGTTCAAGCGATTCTCCTGCCTGAGCCTCCCGAGTAGCTGGGACTACAGGCATGTCCCACCACACCCGACTAATTTTTTGTATTTGTTTTAATAGAGATGGGGTTTCACCATGTTAGTCAGGATGGTCTTGATCTCCTGACCTCGTGATCCACCCGCCTTGGCCTCCCAAAGTGCTGGGATTACAGGCATGAGCAACCTCACCTGGCCCAAATAATGCTTTCATAGTAATTGTTCAATAAATGTCTATTGAATGAATGAAGTTGAACTGGAATGGCTCTACAGTTTTCCATAAACCTCTTTTTAGTTTAACTTGCTGAAACTAGAATAGGCAAGTGGAATTTTCCCCCATGTAGAACAGTTGCTAAGAATAATTTTTTGGTAGCTAATTTGACACTTACAGACTCATTACTAACTACTGAATAACATCAAATTTCTCAAGCTTTTAATATTTACTCGCTGCCTTTTTTCCATCTGTGGATACACATATATATCTTTGTGTTTCTCTTAATGGCTGAATGATACTTCATATTACTGCACATATGTAAAATGAAACTTATTTTGACATTCAGAATACTTCCCCCACACCTTTTTGTTGTTGTTGTTAAACTAACGCCATGGTAAAATTCCTGCTTATCCATTTTTGGGTGCTTCTGATTATTTCTTTAAAGTAACCCTCCAAAAAATATTACTGGGTTCATAGTAGGAATATAGTACTAAGTTGAAGTTTTGAAAGGTTATTCCAATTCACACTACTGCCAGCTCTGTGTGCCTATTTCACTGAACCCTGCCAAACCTTGATATCACCAGTAAAGTAAAATATTCAGGCAACTGCAAATAGTATCATGTATCACAGTGCTAAATTTCCTCAATTACCACAGGTTGGCATTAAAAACTGTTTTAAGTCATTGTTCTTCATTTGTGAATTCACTCTCCACACACTGCCCATTTCTTTTCCTACTTATTTAATACATATTTTTAGAAACTATTTTTTCCACTTTGCCATCTACGTTTTTATTTCTAAACTTGCAATTTTAAAAAATGCGGCCAGACTAGTCTTTTTAAAAATTTTGGCTTTAATTATTGCTTGTAAAGTTCTCTTGTATTCTCTCATCAGATACATCCTCCCAAGAATGTTCTTAGTCCTGGTATATGTTGTAACACGGAAGTCTATTTTCCCCCCAAACTATAAGCCAATTATTCCAGTATCATTTACTGATGCAAAATGACACCACTGTCATGCAGCCAATTCCCACATATAATGCCTCTGTAACTATTTGTGTTGCTTCCTTTGGTATCATGCTAATTTTGGTGGCTTTATAATAGCTTTAACAACTGGTAGTACAAGTTTTCCATTATTACTCTTTCTTCTAAATTTTTCTTGGTTACTCTCATTCATTTACTCAAGATGAACTGAAAGACAGCATAACATAGTGTGGCCAAGGTCTTTAATTTGAGAACTCCTATATCCCAGTGCTATGTCCTTGCATTGCAGTTTGAGAAACAATACATGAAAAGTTATCACTTCCAGAGATCACCTGGTACAGATACATTGCCATCATAAGCAGAGACAGATAAAAGGATTGGTACTGATTCATTTTTATAAGCCACCCAGATGATCTCCAATAGGTATATATCAATTTATTTTTAGATCAAAATGGAAATTCAAAAATGTAATAATTTCTGACTGTACTCCGAGGGTCTGTGAAGTCTCGCTCTATTGCCCAGGCTGAGGGGCGGTCTCAGCTCACTGCAACTTCTGCCTCCTGGGTTCAAGCGATTCTCCTGCCTCAGCCTCCCAAATAGCTGGGATTACAGGCTGCGCCACCATGCCCGGCTATTTTTTGTATTTTAATAGAGATGGGGTTTTGCCATGTTGGCCAGGCTGGTCTTGAACTCCTGACCACAGGTGATCCGCCCGCCTTGGCCTCCCTAAGGGCTGGGATTACAGGCATGAGCCACTGTACCCGGCCGGATCTCATCTTAGGAAAAGCTAGTGTGGCGTAGGAAGAGGGATAAGTTCCAGTGTGATCTGTGCACACCTGAAGACACAACCCATACCCACCCACCCTCCACCTCTCTGACCATAACTCCTTTGACTCCCACTTCTTGTCCTCCTTGGGTCCCCCTGAGATCCACTGGCTACCCATCCCTTCAATGTCACCAGGTCCACTCCTGCCTCAGGGCCCTTGCATTTGCTGTTTCTTTTTCATAAAAGACTCTTTCCTCAGATATCTGCACAGCTCCACAGCTCTCTCATTTCCTTCAGGTCTTTATCCAAATTTCATCTTGTTAGTGAGTCCTTCTCAGGCCATCCTTCCTAAAATTTCAACCCTCCCTGCAAATCATTCCCAAATCCCAACTCTAAACATTATCGTTCCTCCCCTCAGTTTTTCTAAGTACTTTTCTTTCTTTTTTTTTTTTGACAAAGTCCGATTCTCCTGCCTCAGCCTCCCGAGTAGCTGGGATTACAGGCACCAACCATGATGCCCAGCTAATTTTTTGTATTTTTAGTAGAGATGGGGTTTCACCATGTTGGCCAGGCTGGTCTTGAACTCCTGACCTCAGGCGATCCACCCGCCTCAGCCTCCCAAAGTGCTGGTATATTAGGCGTGAGCTATCGCGCCCGGCCAGTACTTTTCATTATTTAACATGATATATGTGTAAAATTCATACATTATTATACAGTATATTTAAATATATGTATAATTAATTTACTTCATTATTATCTACCTTTTCCACTAGACTATAAGTTTCATGAGGGCATTATTTTGTCTGATTAGTTTATAACCATGGCCATTTGGGCCTGGAACAGCATCTGGCACATAGGTAGTACTGAATAATTGTTGAATGAATAAATGAATATCTGGACTTGGAAATCAGATAAATCTGGTTTGAATCCCAGATTAATAGCTTGGGAAATTACTCAACATTCTAAATTTCAATTTTCTCATCGGTAAAATGGGGATAGTATTTTATATGCTTTATATGAAGATTAAATGAATGCTTATGTACAAAACACATACACCCTGGCACAGAGTCAATGATGAATATATGACAGTTGCTATTTTAGAGTATTACTACTAAGAATTAATTCGTTTAAGGCAGACTTTCATTTAAGTACATTAAATGAGCACTGCACAGCCAGGCGGCAGGGTTGGGTAGTTCATCATACAAACCCTATCCTCACAGGGGATTCAAGACTCCAGGGAAGAAAAGTGGCAAAACCCTGGAGAAGAGAGTGGTTTGGAAACTACACATTCACTTATGCATGTCAGACAAACACATACTTACAGCTACATAGGGCATTATGCAACAAAGGCTCTGTGTATCCATAGTAATACCAGCATTTACAGTTTCTCTGGCAATTTACCACAACTGTCAGTTTTCTAAGTATATAGAAAACATTTATCACCTATAAATTGCACTTTCTCCTTTATATTAGTTCTCTTTCCTAGTAGCTACCTGTCTCACATAATAGATATTAAATCTTATCAATTGTTCCTGCAGCATTAACTGAAATAATCCATCTTCCTTTCTTTTCTCAGGTAAATGCTACTTAGGCAAGACGATTGCCTTAAAACAAAACAACAACAACAAAAAACCCTGCTATATTTCATATTAGAATTGGTGCTAAATTAGTAAAATGGGAAAGATTTTATCTATCTTTCCCCTTATGCCCTGGAACCATGTTTTATAGTAAGAAAATTATTTCCTACCCATTTCCAAGAACTATACCTGTAAAACCATGAAGTCTGTAATTCCTTGCTATAGGTAACATTATGGCAACTTTTCAAATTTCTTCTGTTGATATGTCATTGAGACATTCAATTTATAAGCACAATATTTAATTATGTCTTGCTATTCAAATAGATTTACGTCCTAAGTATGTATAGTAAGACTTCTGAAAGTCTTACTACAAGGATACCTATACAAAATTCTTTTTTTCAGTTTTGTGAGTTTCACTCTGTCGCCCAGTCTGGAGTGCAGTGGCGCAATCTTGGCTCACTGAAACCTCTGCCTCTAGGGTTCAAGCAATTCTCCCTGCCTTGACCTCAAGTAGCTGGGATTATAGGCATCTGTCAACATTCCCAGTTAATTTTTGCATTTTTAGTAGAGACAGGGTTTCACCACGTTGGGCAGGCGGGTCTTGAACTCCTGACCTCAGGTGATCTACAGTTCCTTTTGAGTTAAAAAAGCTCACTTTATTTTTATTGTACTTTTTCATTCCTAATTCTGTGAACAAGCATATTCCTCCCTTTTCCCTAGATTAGACTTGCAAAATAATGGTCTAATTTTTTTGGTCTTTTCTGTTTTGTAATTATTATTACTTGTGCTTTCATTTCCTCCCTCATTTTCTTTCCTTTTTTCTTTTTTTGAGACAGGGTTTCACTCTGTCACCCAGGCTGGAGGTGCAGTGGCAAGATTGTGGCTCACTGCAGCCTTGACCTCTTGGGCCCATGTGATCCTCCTGCCTCAGCCTCCCAAGTGGCTGAAACCACAGGCATGTGCCACCACGCCTGGCTAATTTTTTAGAAATTTTTTGTAGAGATGGGGGTCTCACTACATTGCCCAGGATGTCTAGAACTAATAGGTTCAAGTGATCTGACTGCCTTAGTCTCCCAAAGTGCTGGGATTACAGGTGTGAGCCACCGCATCAGGTCTTGTTTTCTTTCGAAACTTGTTTTATATATGTTTCTAACTTTTGATTAAGAATAGAGGTATTTTTGGTTTGTTTTATTCACTGATTTATTTCAACTGCCTAGAGTAGGTGTTCAAATATGTATTGAATAAACTGAATCACCTCAAAGTTTAACTGCAGCTTCAAGGCTTAAGGCTGCTATTTGAGAATTGTTTTGTAATTACATATTTGATGTATCTTTAACTTAAAAGTTACTTAGAATGTACTTACATGCTTTTTTTTTTTTTTTTTTTGAGACAGAGTTTCGCTCATTGCTCAGGCTGGAGTGCGATGGCACCATCTTGGCTCACCATGACCTCTGCCTCCTGGGTTCAAGCAATTCTCCTGCCTCAGCCTCCCAAGTGGCTGGGACTACAGGTGTGCACCACCACACCCAGCTAATTTTTATATTTTTAGTACAGGCGGGGTTTCACCATGTTGGTTAGGATGGTTTTGATCTCTTGACCTTGTGATCCACCCGCCGGCCTCCCAATGTGCTGGGATTACAGGAGTGAGCCACCACACCCAGCTGTACTCACATACTTCTAAGCAAGTTAAGATTATTAGTATAATATCTAATATCTTTTTCTTTTCTTTTTTTTTTTGAGACAGAGTTTCACTCTTGTTGCCCAGGCTGCAGTGCAGTGGTGCAATCTCCGCTCACTGCAACCCCCACCTCCCAAGGTTGCAGTGATTCTCCTGCCTCAGCCTCCCAAGTAGCTGGGATTACAAGTGCTCGCCATCACACCCAGCTGATTTTTGTATTTTTAGTAGAGAAGGGGTTTCACCATGTTGGCCAGGCTAGTCTCGAACTCCTGACCTCAGGTGATCTGCCCATCTTGGCCTCCCAAAGTGCTAGGATTATAGGCGTGAGCCACAGCGCCCGGTCATGTCTTTTATTTCCTAACACATCTTGTTACAGCATAATATAGTATTTTAATATTAATTTCTAGCTTTACTATAAAGAATGTGGCCTATACACATTTTATTTTTTGGAATTTATCAAGGTTTTATCTATGACTCAAGAACTACTTTTCCACCAAAAAGCCTATGAATTATTATTTTTTTTTTCTTTTTTCTGAGATGGAGTTTCACTCTTGTTGCCCACGTTGGAGTGCAATGGCAGGGTCTCAGCTCACGGCAACCTCCACCTCCTGAGTTCGAGCAATTCTCTTGCCTCAGCCTCCCAAGGTGCCCACCACCAGGCCTGGCTAATTTTTATATTTTTAGTAGAGATGGGGTTTCACCATGTTGGCCAGGCTGGTCTCAAACTCCTGACTTCAGGTGATCTGCCCATCTCGGCCTCCTGGAGTGCTGGGATTACAGGCATGAGCCACTGCGCCTGGGTTAAGCCTACAAATATTTTAAATGAATGTGTATTTCAGAAGGCACAAAAGTTGATACATAGTTTAATTGTGGCTTACTATGCTCCTATTAATTTCTCCTTGATTTCAAATAGTTTTGCTTTTTACACTTTAATATGACATGTTACTTAATTCATAAAGATTCAAGATTATACCTTAACTGCAATCTTTTTTTTCTTTTTTTCTTTTTTTTTAAACAGGTCGTGCTCCGTCTCCCAGGCTGGAGTGCAGTAGCATGAGCATACTTCACTGCAGCCTCCAATGTCTGGGCTCAAGCAATCCTCCCATCTCAGCCTACCAAGTAGCTGGGACTACAGGCGTGCTCCAGGATGCCTGGCTAAATTTTTATTTTTTGTAGAGATGGGGTCTCCCTATGTTGCCCAGACTGGTCTCCAACTCCTGGCTTCAAGTGATCCTCTTGCCTCAGCCTCCCAAAGTTTTGGGATTACAGGCTTTAGCTACTGTGCCTGGCCATGATCTTTACCTTTTTTTTTTTTTCCTTCAGACGGAGTCTCACTCTTTTTGCCCAGGCTGGAGTACAGTGGCACAATCTCGGCTCACTGCAACCTCCGCCTCCTGGGTTCAAGCGACTCTCCTGCCTCAGCCTCCCGAGTAGAGTAGCTGGGATTACAGGCGCCCACCTCCACACCCAGCTAATTTTTGTATTTTTAGTAGAGATAGGGTTTCCCCATGTTGGCCAGGATGGTCTCAAACTCCTGACCTCAGGTGATCTGGCCTGCCTTGGCTTCCCAAAGTGCTGGGATTACAGGCATGAGCAACTGCGCCTGGCTGATCTTTTTTACCTTTAAGCCAATAAAAAATGACTCTTTTTCATAAATTTTTCCTTTTTATTAAACATTGAATTTTATTCTGCCCAGTATCAGTAGGGCCATCCTTGTCTTTTCTTTCTTTTTATGGCCTTTATTTCATGTGCCTGTGTCCATCTCTAGTTTTTTTATCTTTTGTAGCTTTTGTAGTAATTTGATTTTAGCTAAATTTCTCATAAATGTATAGGGTTTAAAAAAAAATCTTTAACATTTTCAACTTTTTTTTCTTTTTTGAGACAGGGTCTCACTCTGTTGCCCAAGCTGGAGTGCAGTGGCATGATCTTGGCTCACTGCAACCTCTGCCTCCTGGTTTCAAGCGATTCTTCCACCTCGGCCTCCCAAGTAGCTGGGATTACAGGTGCATGAGGCACCACGCCCAGCTAATTTTTTAATATTTTTAGTAGAGATGGCATTTTGCCATGTTGGCCAGGCTGGTCTTGAACTCCTGGGCTCAAGTGATACTCCTGTCTTGGCCTTCCAAAGTGGGATTACAGGGGAGAGTCACCTAGCCTGGCCAGTCTTCAACTTTTAAAATGGTAGTTTTAATGTATTCTCATTAAGAGTAATAAATGAACATCTGGCACTGCATTTGTAATTTTGTTTTATATGTTTCTTTGCTATCTCCTTGATTTTCTGTCTTTTGCTATACGGACTGTTTTCTTTACTTCAATTATATATTTTATTTATTAGTGATTTCTGTTACATTTTTAATAAGCATACTTCAACCTATTTTACTGTCAATGTCAAAATGAAATAATATCAATGAATAGAGCTCACAATGGATTAGAAATTTAGTATGCTTTGAAGTACTAATTAAAATTATATTTCTCGTATGTAGTGCCAAATGCAGAGAATTACGTATTTCCTAGACTGGCTGTTGAGATGTAAAATGATAATGCTGGATGGATAAATACCTGGCTGTACCATCACAGGTGTTCGAATAATTGCCTTTCCTAGTGTTGACTGTTGGAGTGGTGTTCTAATCACGGTCATACCAGGGCGAATCTGAGGCCCTGTGATTACCTATAAATGACACAAAGAACAATGAATTAAAATGCTTTAAAAAGATTAAAGTATAATGGACTTAGAACACAAGATCTTTAAACATTCTATATTAATAAAAATGTTTACAGGAATGACAGGGGCTCTTGAACATTACATTTTAAATTGTATTAAACATCAGAATAAAGACGGAATTTTGAGGAAAGAAAACTTAATTCAAATGCTATCATACAAAATTCCCTGCCACTGATACCAAAATAGCCTATGGAATAAAAGGAAGGAGCATGTGCCAGCGAGGCTCTGCTCTGTAACTAGTGCTCACAGGAAAATGTGGAGTCGCACTTTCTGTAAGCTCCAGACCATACCTGTAACCCACAGAATATAACAGGAAGATCAGAAACCAAATGTTCTTTCATAGTTTTTTAAAAATTATTTATTTATTTATTTATTTATTTTAAAGACAGGGTCTCACTCTGTTGCCCAAGATGGAATGCAGTGATGCAATCACAGCTCATCGTAGCCTGGCTCACTCCTGGGCTTAAGCAATCCTCCTGCCTCAGCCTCCCAAGAAGCTAGGACTATGGGTGAATGGCACCATGTCCGGCTAATCATTCATTCATTCATTCATTTACTTATTTAGAGACAGTCTTGCTTATTTATTTATTTAGAGACAGAATCTCGCTCTTTCGCCCAGGCTGGAGTACAGTGGCACAATCTTGGCTCACTACAACCTCCGCCTCCCGGGTTCAAGCAATTCTCCTGCCTCAGCCTCCCAAGTAGCTGGGATCACAGGCGTGTGCCACCACACCCAGCTAATTTTTGTATTTTTAGCAGAGACAGGGTTTCACCATATTGACCAGGATGGTTTCGATCTCTTGACCTTGTGATCCGCCCCCCTTGGCTTCCCAAAGTGCTGGGATTACAGGTGTGAGCCACCGCATCCGGCCCAGCTAATCTTTGAACTTTTTTTTTTTTTTGAGACAGAGTCTCACTCTGTCACTTAGACTGCAGTGCAGTGGCACCATCTCAGCTCACTGTGGCCTCTGCCTTGTGGGTTCGAGCAATTCTCGTCCCTTACCCTCCCAAGCAGCTGGGAATAGCTGGGACTACAGGCACATGCCACCATGCCCAGCTAATTTTTTGTATTTTTAGTAGAGATGGGGTTTTGCCATTTTGTTTAGGTGGTTCTCGAACTCCTGGCCTCAAGTGATCCTCTCGCCTCAGCCTCCCAAAGTGCTGGCATTACAGGCTTGAGCTACTGCCCCTGGTCCTTTCATAGTTTTAAAAGGGAAACTAGAAAGTATTTTATTTTCAGTTTTATAGTTAGGTTCAGAACATTTTCAAAAATTTAAAACTTTAAACCTTTTTCCACAATGCTAGTCTACAAAACTTTAAGCCTTTTCCATACTAGTAACAAAGAAATTACATATCTGGGCCAGGTGCAGTGGCTCAGGCCTGTAATCCCAGCACTTTGGGAGGCCGAGACAGGTGGATCACCTGAGGTCAGGAGTTTGAGACCAGCCTGACCAACATGGTAAAACCCCATCTCTACTAAAAATACAAAAATTAGCCAGGCATGGTGGTGGGTGCCTGTAATCCCAGCTACTTGAGAGGCTGAGGCAGGAGAATCGCTTGAACCCAGGAGGTGGAGTTTGCAGTGAGCAGAGATCATGCCATTGCATTCCAGCCTGGGGAACAAGATTGAAACTCTGTCTCAAAAAAAGAAATGATGTATCTAATATGTGCACATATCAGCTGATAACAAACTAGTTAACAGTACTGTAGATTACTTTTTAATTTTTTTTTTTTTTTTTTTGAGACAAGGTCTGGCTCTATTGCCCAGGCTAGAGTGTGGTGGCACAATCTCAGCTCACTGCAACCTTCCCCTCCCAGGCTCAAGCCATCCTCCCACCTCAGCCTCCTGAGGTGCTGGGACTACAGGTAAGCACCACCACGCCTGGCTAATTTCTGTATTTTTTGTAGAGATGGGGTTTTGCCATGTTGCCCAGGCTGGCCCTGTACTCCTGAGCTCAAGTGATCCACCCGCCTTGGCCTCCCAAAGTGTTCGGATTACAGGCGTGAGCCGCCGCACCTGGCCCAGCATTTTAAATTTGATTTCTTAGCGAGCCTGCACAGCACACTTCCGTGGGTGGTCTAGTGCTGTCCACTGTTTTACATAAAGAAATTTTCTTTATAAAATCCTAGAAAGCAATTATTATTCTTCATAAACCATACTAATGTGTCATTAACTGTTAGACATTAATACTTCATGTATCATTTTCACTTATCAGAAATATAACAGATTTTTTTCCAAATCAGTACTCTGTCACAGATTCAGTAATAGGCAAAGGAAACTGAGTTGGATTAATCTTGGAAGAAGTCATTCTAAAAATAATGTGATGTGCTCAACACATCAAACCAAATAAGTCTGTAAGAATTCTTACTTGTGAATTGCTTGTGGTTCCTCCAGAGCCTGAGGTATTGGGCCTAATTGTGACTGTTGCTGTCCTGGGCTGGAATGAAGTAAAGGTTTGCTGACTGGTACCTGTACTTGATGGAATGATACCCAGGACTTTCTGCTGTACTTGAACAACGCCTTAAAAAAAGATGAAGCCATAATTAAAAACTATCACTTTATTGGAAAGCATTACGTGGTGCTCGGTTGCTGAGGAGAAACTACGTGTGGCAGGGTTTTATAGTGGGCTACATAGAATGTGAGATCCGAGGACTGAAATCAGTGAAAAGGAGATGAAAAATAATGGCAACAGTATGATCTGGCAAATGTGAATTAAAACTTCACATTTCCCTTACCTCCTTGTGTTGCTGGCACATTTACAGCGACAATCTTGCTGTTTGCAGGAAGTGGCAGTTTGGTAATTACTTTTCCTGCCATAGTGACTGGATTGCCTGTAATTTGGAACGTCTGACCTGTGCTGGCAATGGTTGTAGCAGATGTGGCAGCTGTGCTGGTGGCTAATGGGGTATAAGACATTTAATAAGCTTTAGATTTAAAATAACCAGCAACGTAGTGACTTCTAGGAAAGGGCACCAATGCATGAAATGTGGCTCATTTTGTATTTTTAATAAAAACATTCCTCTCCACTCAAAGTGAACTATGTAAATGTTGAAAGTGAAATAATGTAAGAGAGGAGTTTGCTAATGTAATATTATGAACATTATTTGTAACAAACCAACCGTTACAGCTTGTTTGCTCAACTGGCTGCAAAAGAAAAACAATCTTCTAAAAAAATGTTTCATTTCAGTAGCTAAAGGGTTGAAAATTCTTTTTCCTGAACCAAAGTAATCTTTTACTTAATGATAGTTCCATACCTGAATTTGACTGGCCTTGCTTAACCCATGTAGCAAAGGTTTGATGAAAGTTCTTGTTTTGTTGGAATGTTACTGTAGCTGGAGATCCAACTTTAGTAGTTAGTACCATTTTGGTTCCAGTTGTAACTGAGCCACTTATGGGGGCCACCATAACCTTCTGTGCTGGAGAGATGGTGCTGGTTGTACTGCTTGTTGGGGAAGTAGTGGAAGTTGCAATCACTGTCGGCTTCTGCTGCTCCAGTCGTTTCTAAAAAAGTGAAGGAGAGGAAACATGAATCAAAATAGTTCTAAATAAAAACAATACCATTCTACAAGAAGTCTGTCCACAATTTCTCTCACCTTAAGAAATTCCACTACATTTCTGAAGTATTTTACTTCCAAAAAGAATATATGTCCATATAAATTTACCCGTATTTATGGCTGGCTGCGGTGGCTCACACCTGTAATCCTAGCACTCTGGGAGGCTGAGGTGGGTGGATCACCTGAGGTCAGGAGTTCGAGACCAGCCTGGCCAATATGGTGAAACCCCACCTCTACTAAAAATACAAAAATGAGCTGAGCATTCTGGCTCATGCCTGTAATTCTAACTACTCGGGAGGCTGAGGCAGAAGAATTGCTTGAACCCAGGCGGCAGAGGTTGCAGTAAGCTGAGATCATGCCACTGCACTCCAGCCTGGGTGACAGAGTGACTCCATCTCTAAAAAAAAAAAAATTACCTGAATTTAATTTCTTGATGAAGGCCATATATATATTTTTAATTCCTCCAAGGTACCTATCTATGAAGGCAGTATTTTCATGTCTCTATACCACATATATTACATTAAAAGTACTAAGCTGTTCATAGCAGAAAATTTTATAACAAGTTTTTCTGGCTTGTACAAACATCCAAGGTTTCAGACTGAAAACAACAGAGATGTGGGTAAGCTTATTGGAGACAGAAACACCATGCTGCTCAGCGGTGAGATTCAGAGCTGAGAACAAATGGAGCTGTGAAAGGTTTCTGTTTCACTGTAATATTAATTTATCCAACTATAAAAACATGTCAATAGTTAATGACACTATTATTAAAGTTGGCAAACCTGCAATCAAGCAAGCTGAAAATTATAAAAGTTTTTCTAGACTTCTTCTATTATACATTCAAATATTTTTACAGAAAAATACTTTATACTATACAGAGTAGTATAATACAATCTTTAAAACTACAGGTATTAAAGATATTCTGTATATCTTTTATTATAGATTGCTAAACTTTTCTAACAGCTTATCAACAGTGGTGTGATAAGTAACAATATAACCACACACATGTAAAACAACAGGTGAAATTTATTTCAAACCTGGTGGCAGATGCTTTACCTTCATTATCTTATAAGATGAGGAAACGGAGACTAGAGAGGTTGTGTAACTGGCCCAAGGCCACAGAGCTAGTTAAGGGTGATGTTGGGATGTCTGCTAAAATCAAATTCCAATCCTGCACCACTATCTCCTGCCTTTGACATAGGTGAGCCTCCTGCTCACCTATGACATCACGTCCAATTTTTTTAGGACTACTTTTGTACCTATCCTATATACCTGAATATAATATAAAGTACTTTACACAATTTCTCATTCCTCAGAAGAAAAAGAGCTTAGTTTTCAACTCTTAGAGACATCATCTGATTAAATCAGTTAAAAAAAGAAAGAAAAAAAAAAAGAGGGAGGCAAAGGTGGGTGTGGTAGTGTTTCTGTAGCTCCAGCTACTCAGGAGGCTGAGGCCGGAGGATCACCTTAAGCCAGGAATTCAAAGTTGCAATGAGCTATGATCTCACCACTACACTCCAGCCTCAGCAACAGAGCAAGCCCCTATCTCTAAAAAAAAAGGAGGCAAAGAAATAGAACAGATATATTAGTACTTATTTATAGGAGGATATGCCTTCAAAGTTGAAGTGTTAGCTATATTCATAAATAAGCATCTTAAATAAATTTTTTAAAGTAATATACTGGCTGGGTGCGGTGGCTCACGCCTGTAATCCCAGCACTTTGGGAGGCCAAGGCAGGCGGATCACGAGGTCAGGAGATCGAGACCATCCTGGCTAACACAGTGAAACCCCGTCTCTACTAAAAATACAAAAAATTAGCCAGGCGTGGTGGCGGGCGCCTATAGTCACAGTTACTCGGGAGGCTGAGGCAGGAGAATGGCGTGAACCCGGGAGGCGGAGCTTGCAGTAAGCCGAGATCGCGCCACTGCACTCCAGCCTGGGTGACAGAGTGAGACTCCATCTCAAAAAAAAAAAAAAAAAAAAAAAAAAGTAGTATATTAGGGCCAAATGCAGTGGTGCTCGCTATCTCAGCACTTTGGGAGGCCCTGGTAGGCAGATCGCTTGAGCTCAGGAGTTCAAGACTAGCCTGGGCAATATGGCAAAAGTCCTATCTCTACAAAAAACACAAAAATCAGCCAGACACGGTGGTGCATGCCTGTAGTCCCAGTTACTTGGGAAGCTGAGGTGGGTAGATTGCTTGAGCCCAGGAGATTGAGAATGTGGTGAGCCATGATCGTGCCACTGCACTCCAGCAGCCTGGGCAAGAGAGTGAGACCTTGTCTCAAAAAAAAAAAAAAAAAAAAAAAAAAAAAAGTAATATGTTAGGTTACATTGCAGAGATGAGAAAACACACCCAATAAAATAAAAAACAATACAACTAGCCAGTTGTTATAGATATTTGGGTTTAGTGATTGGTTTCCTGTGACAGACAGCATCATACATAGAATCCAAAAGTGCTATCATCTCAAACTTTGATGTAAGTGAAGATAAGGACCTATAGTAAACTGAAAGATACACAAGAATTTGAAAAAATGTTTTATAAAATGAAAGGGAAAACTAGTTTGAAACAAATAATTTGGTTTATATATGATTTTTAAATAGTTATGTATAACTATGTTAATAATACTGTATATAGATATATCTACTCACTTGTATCCTCAATGTTTATATACTGAAGTTGGTAAAAACTCTTACAGTATTTTCTCAATAGGAATAAGTGGTAATCATCTTTTATTCAGGTCCTCAATGTTTAGGCACATATGGCACATTGTATTTTTATTTTTAAAATTTTGCTTTTTTCTTTTATTAGAGACAGGGTCTCCCTATGTTGCCCAGGCTGGTCTCAAACCCCTGGACTCAAGGGATCCTCCTGCCTTGGACTTCCAAAATGCTGGGACTACAGGCATGAGCCACTGTGCCTGGCCATGGCACATTATTTATAGTATGAAAACACTAAGAAACCATCAGTAGCTTTATAATAATCAATTACAACAAACTCTTATGGAGTTTTAGCATACTTTGCTTTTTCATAGACTACAGAAATTTTCCAGATTGGAAATTCACAAGAAAAAATTATTTTCAGAAATTACTTATGAAACTCTAAAGATAATAAATAATAGAAATCTTATTTCAGATGTCCTCCAAATATGTATACTTTTTACAAAACCACAGCTTGGTGTACCCACAGAGCTGTTTTCAAATAATGACAATAAGATAGACGTGAGATACACTTAAAAAAAAAAAAAAAAAAAAAACCTGGATGGGTGCAATGGCTCACACCCAAAATCCCAGCACTTTGGGAGGCTGAGGCAGGTGGATCGCTTGAGTCCAGGAGTTTAAGACCAGCCTGGGGAACACGGCGAAGCCCTATCACTACAAAAAATACAAATATTAGCTGGGCATGGTGGTGTGTGCCTGTAGTCTCAACTACTAGGGAGGCTGAGGACCGCTTGAACCAGGGATGTCGAGGCTCGGTGAGCTGTGATCTACTCCAGCCTGGGTGATAGTAAGACACTGTCTCAAAAAAATAAACACCAAAACCCACAAGAATGTATCATTACTGTGCATGGGTGTGCATGAATTTGGCTAAAAAATGTATGTATGTTGTCAAGTGGGACCAGCACCAACTCCCCCTGCTGATGGGAGGTCAAGTGCTTTTGTTTTGAAAGAGCCTCCATTTGGGCCTTGATGTCCTCTGCCTTCTTCTGTTCACTAACCTTAGCCTGTTGCTCAACTGCTTGTGCCTTTTCTTTCTCCACTCTGCAGGAAAAAAAGGAGAAACTTATCAGAAACTAGCCTGTTAGGCATCTGGCATCTAATAAGAGTGAAATCTGGTTGATTTTCACATCATACAAAGGTATGATATTATCTCAATTTAAAAATAAAACATTTGGTTGTGCGAGGTGGCTCATGCCTGTAATCCCAGCACTGTGGGAGGCCAAGGCAGGCAGATCACTTGAGGTCAAGAGTTCAAGACCAGCCTGGCCAACATGGTGAAACCCTGTCTCTACTAAAAATACAAAAGTTAGTCGGAGCTGGGCACAGTGGCTCAGGCCGGGTGCGGTGGCTCATGCCTGTAATCCCATCATTTTGGGAGGCCGAGGCAGGTGGATTGCTTGAGATCAGGAGTTCGACCCATCTCTACTAAAAATACAAAAAAATTAGCCAGGCATGGTGGTGGCCACCTGCCTGAGGCAGGAGAACTGCTTGAACCTGGGAGGTGGAGTTTGCAGTGAGCCGAGATTGTGCCACTGCACTCCAGCCTGGATGACAGAGCGAGACTCCGTCTTAAAAAAAAACAGCCAGGCGTGGTGGCACATGCCTGTAATCCCAGCTACTTGGCAGGCTGAGGCAGGAGAATTGCTTGAATCTGGGAGGTTGCAGTAAGCCAAGATCGCGCCACTGCACTCCAGCCTGGGGGACAGAGTGAAACTGTCTCAAAAATAAAATAAAATAAAAAATAAAGATAAAACATTTATGGTCATTAGAAATCGACAAATGGACAACACATTAAAAATAAGAGAGAGGGCCGGGCGCGGTGGCTCACACTTGTAATCCCAGCACTTTGGGAGGCTGAGGCAGGTGGATTACCCAAGGTCAGGAGTTCGAGACCAGCCTGGCCAACATGGTGAAACCCCGTCTCTACTAAAAATACAAAAATCAGCCGGGCATGGTGGCACACCCCCGTAATCCCAGCTACTCAGGAGGCTGAGGCAGAATTGCTTGAGCCCAGGAGGCAGAGGTTGCAGTGAGCCGAGATCATGCCACTGCACTCCAGCCTAGCTGACAGAGCGAGACTCTGCTTCAAAAAAAAAAAAAAAAAAAAAAAAAAAAAGACAGAGAGAGAGGACCTTACTAAACTATTTACAGCTAGCACTTAAAATCAAAGGTGGAGTAAAGTCAAGCTAGGACTTTACTGCACTGAATAAATGATTAAAGTGTTCTTTTACCCCAGGCAGGGTAGCTCATGCCTGTAATCCCAGCACTTTGGGAGGCCAAGTTGGGTGGATTGCTTGAGCCCAGGAGTTCAAGATCAGCCTGAACAACATAGCAAAACCCCATCTCTGTACAAAAAATACAAACATTAGCTGGGCGTGGTGGCATGCACCTGTAGTCCTAGGTACCGGGGAGGCTGAGGTGGGAGGATCACTCGAGCCTGGGAGGCAGAGGTTGCAGTGAGCCAAGATTGTGCCACTGCACTCCAGCCTGGGTGACAGAGCAAGATCCTGTCTCAAAAAAAAAAAAAAAAAGTAATTTATTGATTCTGAAGTGATAAAATCTTCAAATAGCTGACCAGGTATTAACCATTTCCTTACCTCTCAGCAAATGCCCTGATCTCCCACAATTCCAGTTCTTCTTCTGCTACCCAGGTTTCAATAATAACAGGGCCAGTTTGCTTGGGCGTTTCTGGTCTCTTTGGCCGCAGTGCACTTGATCGAAGGCCTTTCCTCTGAGGTGTAGGCGTTTCTTTGGAAAGGAAATCAGAATATTTTAAGCAATATTGCTTCTAAAATTAAAGTACTTCTGGCATCTTCTATCATGAAAAAGTGGTTGGCAAACTTCTTAAATAGCCAGATGGTCTCTGCTGCAGCTACTCAGCTGTGCCTTTGTATCATGAAAGCAGCCAAAGACAATACGTAAGTGAGTAAATGTGGCTGTGTTCCAATCAAATTTCATTTATAAAAGCAGGGTAGGCCAAGGCTCATGGGCTGTGGTTTGCTGACCCCCAAAATACAAGGCTTATGAGCCTTTATACAACCTGTTTCTTCCACCTGGAGCACTATTCCAAGCCTCCACCGCTCATCTGACTAATGTCAATTCATCCTCTGGACCCCAACATGAATTCAACTTCCTACAAAAGCCTAGCATGTTCTTCTCACACTTGGGTGTACAACATGTGTTTCCCTATCACCGCACAGAGAAGGGGGATTTGAGAGTTACCAATATAAAGTGGAGATGTGAAACCTAAGAATAGATAAAATCTCCTCATAAAAAGATTTAAAAAATAAAAAGCAGGGAGGGACAAGCATTGAACCTTCCCATATATTCAATCACAAGGAAGCAGCAGAAGGAAACAGAAATGAAAGCAGGACCTGAATTGTACAAAGGGATACAAGCCAAAGAGAAGTGATTTTAGGGGACTGCAGTGGTTTGCATCAAAGGCTGTGGGGTCAAGGAGACTGAAGGCCTGCCAGGTACATCTCCCATCTGTGTCTCTGCCCATCAACAGAGCTGTTTCTGTGCCAGGACGACCTTGTGATTTTGTTTTTTTTTTGGAGACAGAGTCTTGCTCTGTTGCCCAGGCTGGAGTACAGTGGTGTGATCTCGGCTCACTGCAACACCCCCATCCTGGGTTTACCAATTCTCGTGCCTCGGCCTCCCGAGTAGCTGGGACTACAGGTGTGTAATACCATGTCCCGCTAATTTCTGTATTTTTAGAAGAGACAGGGTTTCAACATGTTGGCCAGGCTGGTCTTGAACTCCTGACCTCAAATGACCCACCCGCCTTGGCCTCCCAAAGCGCTGGAATTACAGGCGGAAGCCACCGCACCTGGCCGCTGTTTTAAGTAAGCTAAAATTTATCATCTACTAGGAACAGGTATTACTTCATTGGTACTCTTTTCAAAAAGGTTATTCTCCAAGAAGAACTCCCAAGTTAATTTAATCAAGTTTCAAAAATTAATTGTATACATTTGGGGAGAACTAACTTTTATAAAAACACTACGTTTCTATCTAAGGACATTATCTTTTTATTTATTTATTTATTTATTTATTTACTTGGAAATGGAGTCTCACTCTGTTGCCCATGCTAGAATGCAGTGGCACAATCTTGGCTCACTGCAACTTCTGCCCCCTGGGTATAAGTGATTCTCCCGCCTCACCCTCCCAAGTAGCTGGGACTACACGTGTGTACCACCACACCTGGCTAATTTTTTGTATTTTTAGTAGAGATGGGGTTTTGCTATGTTGGCCAGGCTGGTCTCAAACTCCTGATCTCAAGTGATCTGCCCGCCTCGGCCTCCCAAAGTGCTGGGACTACAGGCTTGAGCCACATGCCTGGCCTGTATTTCTTTTTTTTTTTTTTTTTTTTTTTTTTGACACGGATTCTCAATCTGTTACCCAGACTGGAGTGCAGTGGTGTGATCTCAGCTCACTGCAACCTCCACTTCCCAGGCTCAAGCAATTCTCGGGCCTCAGCCTCCTGAGTAGCTGGGATTACAGGCATGCACATTACCAATATTTTTGTAATTTTTGTATGTTTTGTAGGGATAGGGTTTCACTACATTGTCTAGGCTGGGCTCGAACTCCTGGACTCAAGTAATCCACCTGTCTCGGCCTCCCAAAGTCCTGGAATTACAGGTGTGAGCCACTGTACCTGGCCTTTTATATATTTCTTACTAGGTTTTTTCCTAAATATTTTTATTGTTTATATAAAATAAAATGGAATTTATATATTTTCAATCTGGATACTACAATGAACTCCTATTAGTGCTAATACTTTTAATTCTCATGAATTTTCTAAGTAGACATTCATAATTATCTATAAATTAGTGTTAATCTTCTTTTCCAATATTACTCTCTTAGCTTACTGCAACACATATAACACTGATATTATAATACTATAAGCTTTACTTTGCTTCCTTGAGATTAGGGGCCAAATATCATTCTTCTATGTATTTGCCACCCAGTGCCTATTGTACTGGTGCTCTATAAACATTTTTTGAGTAACTCTTTATGCCTCTTGGATTATCTCTACCTTGAGCACTGAAGTATTTCACAGTAGTTTTAATCCTTAAGAAACCTTTATTGACCCACTTACATATCAGACTCGGTACTAGCTGCCGTGACTTCAATAAACCAGACAGACGAGATGGCTGCTCTCCAGGAGCTGCTGGTCTGGGGTCAATCAATGTCTCACATCTTAATTACAAGAGGTATTATTATAGCCCTTTGCTGTGCTTAGAACAAGGCTTATAGGCATCGATGTGTGTCTACCAGAATCTTGATATGTTTATTACTTTAATATCATTTTCAAAATTTGGTAGTTGTAAAATATGTCTTTTTTAAAAGGTGAACAGAGAAGAAAAAATTATATCAAATTTCAATTCATAAAATACATGGTTAACAGGTTAATCATGAAAGAATAGAATTCTATTTCTTACCTTTTGGTGTTTCTGGAACTCCAATGGGACAAATGATTTTCCTGATACAATATTCAGATCGAATGCCATAAGGACCAACATCTCTCCTCTTAATTATTTCTGTTGTTGTGATTTCAGTTTCGGATGTTTCTATGGTGATTTAATTCAATAGTATTAATAACCAACTGAAATACTCAGAGACTAAAAAGGTACATCTGGTGCTTTCAAAAAGAGACACACGTGGAATAAACTTTTGGAAACACCTGACTTAATTAACAGGATCACTAACATCTAGCAGGATCACTGCTAGACTGCAACAATACTGAGCTTCTTCCTCGCTGCAAATTCCTAAACGAAACAAAATGCTGCTGGGTATAGCTGAGCTCCTGGTGGCAATACTCAATCAAAATAATAAAAAGCCTAGGACAGAAGCAGCAAGCACAGGCCTCCAGAAGTCTTAGTTTAAATTTTTAATTAAACAATCATAAATATCTTTTAAAAAATGTAGACTGGTTCACACATAAGTGACTCACTTTATAATCTGAACCTTCCCTTCTGGCCCCTGGGATTTTATAGCATGTGCCAAACTTCAACAAAGCTGTATGTGAAAAAAAAATTTTTTTTAAGAGACAGGGTTTTGCTCTGTTATCCAGACTGGAAGACATTAGTGGACCACAGTCACTGCAACCTTGAACTCCTGGCTCAAGCAATCCTCCTGGCCCCAGCCTCCCAAGTGGCAGGGACTACAAACACAAGGCCTAGTTGATTTTTTTCTTTTTAAATTAGAGTTTTGAAGAGACAAGGTCTCGTTATGTTGTCCAGGCTGGTCACAAACTCCTGGCCTCAAGTGATCCTCCTGCCTTGGCCTCCCAAAGTGCTAGGATTACAGGTGAGAGCCACCACACATGGCCAAAACTGTATTTCTAAAAAACAAGCATTATATTTTATTATTATTATTATTATTATTATTATTATTATTATTATTATTATTTTGAGACAGAGTCTCACTCTGTCGCACTGGCTGGAGTGCAGTGGCACAATCTCAGCTCACTGTAAGCTCCGCCTCCCAGGTTCACGCCATTCTCCTGCCTCAGCCTCCCGAGTAGCTGGGACTACAGGAGCCCACCACCACGCCCAGGTAATTTTTTGTATTTTTAGTAGAGACGGGGTTTCACCATGTTAGCCAGGATGGTCAGGATCTCCTGACCTCATGATCCACCTGCCTCAGCCTCCCAAAGTGCTGGGATTACAGGCATGAGCGCCCACGCCTGGCCTGTGATTTTAGCTTTTAAACTTAAATTAGAAAATAACTCCCTTCCCCCTTACCTGTCCGTGTAGTCCCTCCTCCTGGAGGAGCCTTGGCCGCCATATCATCCCATCTCAAACTTGCCCACAGTAACCGTAACATCAGGCTCACTCCAGCTAAGGACTTTACTGTCTGAAGTCTATACCTGAAAGGAAAACCAAAGAAATCCATATATATCTATATGTATATACATACACATACACATTCATATTCACTCTACTAAACTGAAGGGCTGTGTTTCTTGTCCTCATTAGGACTCCAGTATTTATAATATGGTTTTGTAAGACTTTGGTATTATATGTCCTTTAAAAGAAAAACTTCTTCATTCATAGGCATAACACGCACCTAACATTTTTTTTTAAAAGGGGCTATATTCATTTTAAATGCCATATAAGTTTATAAAATGAGAATGTTTCATTGTAAGGTTGATAAGGCAAAAATTCATGAAGACTTTATAAAGTTAACCTAATTCCAAAATATCTGTTAGGAAAATTTTGGGGACCAAATATAGAGAAATAGATAATTGTTATTAAATGTGATAAAGGAGTTTTGAAGGAAAAATCCTAACTTTTGCAAAAACAAGAAACCTGAAAATGTTTAAATTTTCTAAAAGAATAAAATGAGGTCAGATGCGGTGGCTCACGCCTGTAATCCCAGCACTGTGGGAGGCCGAGGTGGGCAGATCACCTGAGGTCAGGAGTTCGACACCAGCCTGACCAATATGGCAAAACCCCATCTCTATTAAAAATACAAAACTTAGGGCCGGGCATGGTGGCTCATGCCTGTAATCCCAGCACTTTGGGAGGCCGAGGTGGGCAGATCACAAGGTCAGGAGATTGAGACCACGGTGAAACCCCATCTCTACTAAAAATACAAAAAATTAGCCAGGCGCGGTGGTGGGTGCCTGTAGTCCCAGCTACTCGGGAGCCTGAGGCAGAAGAACGGCGTGAACCTGGGAGGTGTAGCTTTCAGTGAGCCAAGATCCGGCCACTGCATTCCAGCCTAGGCGACAGAGCGAGACTCTGTCTCAAAAACAAAACAAAACAAAAAATACAAAACTTAGTTGGGCATGGTGGTGCATGCCTGTAATCCGAGCTACTTGGGAGGCTAAGGCAGGAGAATCAATTGAACCCAGGAGGCAGAGGCTGCAGTGAGCCAAGATCATGCCATTGCACTCTAGCCTGGGCGACAAGAGTGAAACTCTGTCTCTAAATTAATTAATTAATTAATTAATTAATTAAATTAAACCAAAAACATCTTACAAATCTAGTAAGACCTTTCCAAACGGACAAAAACATTCTGCATCCAAATGGTGGTTATTCAAAACATGAACAACTGGATGATGAATAAAGTTAATACTAATAAAACTTTAACAGCATTAGTGTAGTTTTCAAATTCTACAATGAATAGTAAAATATTAGAAAAAGGACAATATCAGCTGGGCGCAGTGGCTCACACCTGTAATCCCAGCACTTTGGGAGGCCAAGGTGGGGGGATCACGAGGTCAGGAGTTTGAGACCAGCCTGGCCAACATAGTGAAACCCCATCTCTACTAAAACTAAGCTGGGTATGGTGGCGGGCGCCTGTAATCCCAGCTAGTTGGGAGGCTGAGAAAGAAGAATAGCTCGAACCCAGAGGGCAGAGGTTGCAGTGAGCCGAGATCGCTCCACTGCACTCCACCTCGGGCGGCAGTGTGAGACTCTATCTCAAAAAAAAAAAAAAAAAAAGGACAATACCATATTAGTTACTTATCAACAGACAAATCTCTCTGTGTTCATGTTTGTTTCTAAACATTGTGTGTGGAGGTACTAAACGTTTTACACATTCTTAAAAAATACTAAAAACGTATTTCAAAATAAATTTACTTAACTGCATTAAATATCATGTCCTAAAATGGAATTCACTATATATCTTTGTGTAACTGAATACTTTGTTGACATTTTCACTCTACTTAAATGAACTTAGTGGTTGATTATGGTGTAGACAAAGGCTATAAAATAAAAATAATTTCCTCTTCTAACAGAGGTGGAAGGTAAATCTCAAACAACTCTGTATGTAAAAGGCAATGCTTTCTTTTTTTTTTTTTTTTTTTTGAGACAGAGTATTGCTCTGTCACCCAGGCTGGAGTGCAGTGGAGCAATCTTGGCTCACTGAAACCTTCGCCTCCCAGGTTCAAGCAATTCTTCTGCCTCAGCCTCCCGAGTAGCCGGGATTACAGGCGCCCGCCCAAACATCCAGCTAATTTTTGTATATTATTATTATTTTTTTGAGACGGAGTTTTGCTCTTGTCGCTCAGGCTGGAGTGCAATGGCGCGATCTCGGCTCACTGCAACCTCCGCCTCCCGGGTTCAAGTGATTCTCCTGCCTCAGTCTCCTGAGTAGCTGGGATTACAGGCGCCCGCCACCACGCCGGGCTCATTTTTGTATATTTAGTAAAGACGGGGTTTCACCACTTTGGCCAGGCTGGTCTCGAACTCCTGACCTCAGGTGATCCACCTGCCTCGGCCTCCCAAAGTGCTGGGAGGCGTGAGCCCACCTGAAAGACAATGCTTTCTATTGACAGCATTCAGTTGGAAAAATGAACACTGTGAAAGAGAAAGCTCTAGCCAAAAAGTTGCTGCAGCTTCTTAACTTCCCATATCCACTTGTGACACCATTACTTTCTCCACTGTGTTATCGCACTATGAATCCTCTGACCTGGACAGAGCAGGTCAAGGGGAAATCAGAGGGGAAATGTTAACTAGTGCAGGGATGTCCCAAGAGGGGGAAAGTGTCTGTCACTTTCAGACCATACCCCATAGTAATTCCTAGAGATCTTTAGTGTCACAGGAGAAAGCAAATAAATATTTATTTGCAAGGAAAAGTTTGTCCTCATTCTCTGTGGTCAAACAATGACTTTAAAGTATCCTTATTTTAAAATGGAAATAACACCAGGGAGGAACACACCACATGCACGGTAAGTCTGCTCATTCAAGCATTCATTCAAAAAATACTTGAGCATCTTCTATGTGTTAGACTATGTGAAAGGAGCTGGGGACACAGAGGTAAACTAGAATCTGTCTGTGTTCTCAAGGAGCTGTAAGAGAGGAAAGGACAAGGGAGGGACATCTGAGTTGGCTCGGGAATGAGGATCAGAGCTTTGCTGGAGTCTCAAAGGACAAGTTAAGAGTATGGGGGTTGCTGATCAAAGGCAAGGGGCACACATATGCTAAACAGAACAGTGTGCAGGAGTACACATTTCTTCCCAGAAACCACATCCAGTGTTTTATGACTGGAGGGAAGGGGTGTAGAGGTACAGAAAGAGATGAAGGTGGCATGAGAGAAAAAGGCAGAAGCCAGAATGCGCTGTACCAAAATAAAAGATTAAAGAAGAGCATTAAAGGGTATGTATATTAAGTCCTCTGAGATTTATCCAGTACTGGATGGGTTGTAAAGGGAAGTACTTTCCATGAATGTGATCTACAGGTGACAAATGCTTTCCCCGCTCCTTGCTGCAGTAGTTACCAAGTCCCTTAGCTCAGTCAGACTATTCACAGGATAGAGGGGCATTTTAGGAGAATCTTTCTGGCAGCACTGTGGAGGACAACTATCAGTTCAATGTGAAAATGAAGCACAGAATCAGGGCCTGGGAGGATGGGCATAAGGGAATGGATGGTGTGGAGGGAAAAAGAGGCCCTATTGAGTGTATGAGACAAGTTTTCCAATATTGCTCAGCCTTAACATTAATAACAAAGATCATACATGCATCTTTGGCATTCTTAACTCCTAACCATCAGATGTATTCTATTCTAGTGTTAGTATAAAAATGCATTTCACGTGCATGGCTTTTTATAGCAATATGCTTTTAAAAAATGCATTCTAAAGTCATGATCAATTTACATATTTACCCATGCCTCCATTAGACAGAAAGGATTATGCTTCTCTCAAATATGTTTTGGCAAATTAAGACGTTAGCATACATTTGAAGGCTGTATCAGTTTAAAATGAATGTTTAATGGAAGGTATTTCCTCCCATTAAAAAATGTGAAATCAAGTAATATAAACTGTACCATAGTGCATACTAAGACATGAAATTCAGCTCCAGAAATTCAGCTGTGCAGAACAGGGCCCCGAGCAACACTTGATTGGGACCAGTGCCTAACTCTCCTGGAGAGTTCAGAGAAGAGTGCTTCCCAGTTGAGCCTACCCTCCATTTTAGAATACAAAGAGCAGAAAGGTCGGCCTCCACAACTGCCAGGTCACTTTAATTAAAGTATTTGTACATAGTAACTTTTCCAGTGGGAAAGAAGTTACCTGCAGGACAGTCAAGGATACATTTTGGGACCGCTCTCAATGAAGAAAGCAGAAAAGTGCAGAGTAATCCTATAAATCCATGAATTGTAATGAAGAGTTCCTTGATTCCCTGCAGGATTCTGCAAATCCTTCATTGCAGGCCCTGCAGAGAAATTGTACTTTTCAGCTGTCTCTATTGAATGTGTAATGGAGTGATGATATTTTATTTCAAATCAAAAGATGAGTTATAAAAAACTTGGTCAAACAAACTATGACTGGTTGTATTAATAAATGAATTCCTTTATAGAGAGTACTTACTTTTTTTTCTAGCTGATTGTAATTAATATAAAGGAAACCAAAAAAGTGTGATTTTTAAAGAAATTGGAAAAATATTAAAAGACACACAAAAACGAAGCCTAAGGGGAAATGAAAACGGCTCAGTAACTCGCTGAAATAATTTGAGGGTCCTAGCAAAATCTAACTGCAACTATGACTGATTCTGATTTCTAAAGATGTTCCCAGAACTCTCATGTTTTCAGTGTTTATGTTCCATCCTTCTCAATTACAGGGGTGAAAAGATAAAGACAAGGACATGAAAAAGGAGAAAGCAAGGACACATAAGTGAAATGTGATACAGCAAATAAAGTACTAGACTGGGATTTAGGAAAACCGGGCACTATTCCTGTGTCTCTGTAGCCACAGGCAAATTACTGTACATTTACAAAAGATAAGAATTTCTAAGGTGCCTTCCCAACATAAAACTACATGATTTTACAACTACCAACACTATCTATTTAGGACGCATCCCCTAAACCTAAAGTGCCCAGAAAATTTTAAATTAGGACTATTTCTGGGTTTAAAAAAATTTCTAAGGAATCTTAGAGACTACCTATTCATACATAAATAACAGAGAACTCCAAAACAAATGTTTATCATGCAACTAAGCTACATTAGGAAGATTTTCACATTATGATAAGCTTTATGAAATTTACAGGCGTGTTTATGTCTTATTTTTTATGAATTACCTAATAAAAATAAAATACAAACATTCCAGAAAGTTGGTGGTTATCTTGTTCCCAGAGCAGTAACTCAGAAAATCAGACCACAAAAACAATCACATCTGACATGTTCCTTTTGTCTTATGAAAGTTAAAACTGAATTTCATTTTTAAAATAGTCCCTTAAATTTTAAGACTTTAAACATTTTTCCCTACAAAAACTTTAGTACATTAGTTGGCCAATTTTGAAGCTTTCTGTATCCTGTTTCCATTACTATCTTTGGCCATTAATATGTTTCCTGTCTTATCTCTATTATCTCATTTTTTAAAAATGAGATATTCTTGTGAGATAATTCTTTTTAAAATTTTCTCCCTCCCCCAAATACATTTTAAAGTACATACCTCCAAGTGATGCCAAAGGTCGGTCTAGGAGAAGGATATGGCCATATATCCAAAGCAGGTTTTGCATTGTAATTAAAATAAGGGACCTCTCGGATTCCTCCTTTTCGGGCCAACTTTTTTAAGTCATCATTAGGCAAAACAAAAATGCTCTTCTTGCTGCTCTTGGTAACAAATTTTCTATAGGATGGCAGAGCTGTACCTGAACGAGTCTTCTTTGGTCTTGAAAATTTCATCAGTTTCACTTTGTCTCGTGTGGAATACTCTTTGCTCACAGTCATAGATGTAACCAGTGTGCCTCCCGTGGTGGTCAGGGAGTCTGTCACTGTCGTGGTGACCACGGTTTTGCTCTGCTCCTTTACAGAGATGATGTCCACACTGCCGCCTGTGGAGGGTGTGGAAAGCTTGGTCACTGTTGTAGTGGTGGTTGTGACAGTGGATTTTGCACAATTTTCTGTGGAAGAAACCACAGTTTGCTTATCGCCTTTTTCTACCTTGATCACAGTTTTTGATTCTGTGGCCACTGTGGAGGTCATCGTGGTGACTTCTGTGATGACGGTTTTTCTTTTAGATTCTCCATTGACATTTTCATTTTTGTTGATGGGCAGACCATTTTCATCAATAAAGTCATTACTGAGATTAGATTCCTCTTCAGAAGTAATAGGTGATGAAGTAACTTTCTTAACTTCTGAGGTTTCTATTTCCATATCTTCTACCTGATTAACTGAATTGCTTTCTGGACAAGATGCTGAGGGTGTGGTCGTCTGTGTACTGTCAGACTCTTTGGTTGATGGCAGGGTCTCAAGGCTATCTCGGTAGTTACCTTCAGCATCTGAAGAACTCAGCAAATGCGATTTTGTTTCGGAGCTGTTTCTTTCATTAAAATCTTCCATGATGACATCACCATTAATGAATGGCCTTATAGCAGATTCTTTAACAGTCAATGATTTAATATCATTCTCAGGGATTATTTTATTTATATTATTAACCTTTGGTTCAACATTACCACTTACTACTCTACTCTCAGAAATTTCTTTCAAGCATTCACCTTTCAAATATATTTTGGGTTTATTATCTTTTCCATTTATTTGAAATGTACTTGTTCTCTGTCCTTTCTTTTCAGACTCTCGATTTTCATTATTCTTTTTGTCAGTGGTATTTTTTAGCTTTATTTGATCACTACATTTATTAACTGGTCTCTCCTCTAATTTCTTCTGCTGACTTGGTTTTTTACCATTTGCTTCAGTCCCCTTGACCGGCAGCCTGTCCTCACAGTTTCCAGTGGACTCACCAGAAACCAACTCACACTTTAACGGCTCCAAGACTTCAACATCTTGTTCTCGAGTTCTGAACTGTTCAGAAATGCTTTCATTGCTATTCTGAACAATCATATCTTCTTCACTGCTATCCTGAATAGACACGGTATCAGAACTATTTTCCAAAGTGCTATTAGATTCAGAGTCACATCCCAGTTTTCCTTCAAAGTCCATTGCTCTTGACAGAGGTGTGGCATCTCTGTCATTGGTACTTTTAGGCACTGATGAATGTAAAGCACTCTTGGAAGAAGAAACAATGGTGTCACTTTCCTCCTGTATGAGCGGTTTTTTGTTCTTACAGATCAAAGTACCAATATCATCTGCACTGGCTAGTTTAGAGTCATCGATGAAAAAATCATTTCCTTTTGTTTTACTCTTACTGGGTTCCTGGCCTCTACTGGCAAGGTCAGAGACTTTTTCTTCTATGTCATTTTCAATGGAATTTTGTTTCGGACATTTTGTTTCTGGGCTCCGAATGGAGACATCATCTAACACTCGATCTTTTGGATAAAGTTTGTTTGTGGTATGACTAGGATCACTCATTCTAAGAACTGAGGAATCACTTTCTGAACATCCCTGAATCAAGTCCTCAGGTTGATCATTATTTGCATTTGGGCTCTGTTCTTGTCTCATCGAGTCACTCTGACACCCTTCTTTTGCTTTCGTTATTACTGGTGATTCAGAGAGATTTTTTGAAGAATTTGTAGAAGTCTTTCCTATACCCTTAATTCCACCCTCCAACTTGATTTTTTCGAGTCGCTGTTTTTCTTCCAGTGTAAACTGTTTAATTCTCCTTTCAAGAAGTCCATCTAGTTTGGATGATTTTGTTTTCTTTTTGTAACTAGTCCTTAGATGAAAACCCTCACTAACATTGACCACATCTACTTGAGAACTCTCCTGACAATTTACATGTGACTCTGTTTTCATGTCATCGTCTACTTCCATTGGTTCTTCCTTGCAGGGTTTATCACTGTCAGAATCTAAGAGCTCCTTCACATCTGTGAAACAAAGACATTTATATAAATGTAATTTTTACTCTGAAAGGAGGAATTTATATATATATATTTTTTTTTTTGAGATGGAGTCTCACTCTGTTGCCCAGGCTGGAGTGCAGTGGCATGATCTCAGTTCACTGCAACCTCCGCCTCCTGGGTTCAAGCAATTCTCATGCTTCAGCCTCCCAAGTAGCTGGGATTATAGGCATGTGCCACCATGCCTGGCTTATTTTTGAATTTTCAGTAGAGACAGGGTTTCGCAATGTTGGCCAGGCTGGTCTTGAACTCCTGACTTCAGGTGATCCGCCCACCTCAGCCTCCCAAAGTGCTGAGATTACAGGCATGAGCCACCACGCCCAGCCAAAAATATTTTTTTAAAGTATCTCTAGCCACATGCATTATCTAGCTTATCTAGTTTTTTTTTAAAAATGACTTGTTACAAAAGACAATGTAGTTCCTCAAAAGGTTAAACAGAGTTACCATATGATCCAGTAATTCCATTCCTAGGTATATCGCCAAGAGAAGTGAAAACGCATGGCCACAAAAAACTTCTGCATGAATGTTCATAGCAGCATTATTCGTATAGCCAAAAGAGGAAACAGCCCAATGTCCATCAACTGATGAATGGATAACAAAATGTGGCATATCCATACAGAGTATTATTCAGAAACAAAAAGAAAGTACTGATAAATGCTACAACATGGATGAACCTTAAAACCATGCTAAGTGGATGAAGCCAGCCACAAAGGACCACATATTGTCTGATTCCATTTCTATGGACTGTCCAAAATAGGCAAATCCAGAGAGACAGAAAGTAGACCACTAAGCTGGTGGCACTTTCGGGAGGGGTTGGGAAGTAACTGCTAATGGGTATGAATGAGGCTTCTTTTCAAGGTTATGAAAATGTTCTAAGATTGATGTAATAATGGTTGAACTTTGTGAATATACTAAAAGCCACTGAATTTACACTTTAATTGGGTGAATTGTATGGGATATCAATTATGTTTTGATAAAGCTGTTATCAAGAAAACACAACGCAGTACCTTTCCTGTGGTGGGACCCTGATCCAGTGCATTCTTATCACCCCCAGGCTGCCCTCCACAGCTGACTCTCCTTACCTTGGTCCTTCTTCTCAGTAATCTTTGAGATATCCATTTCATTTTGGTCTGCTCCTTTTGCAGCATCTGAACCTTTTACCTCATCTTTTTCAGAATCAGGCTCTATTTTTATTTTTTTTGGACTTCGTGAACATTTTCTTTTATCTGACTCATCCATATTTTCATCCATATTATTTTTGGCTAAAAAGAACCATGTAACGATAATTTACGTTATTTCCAGAGTATTAGCACTTTAATATGTCAAGTTTAGTGAAAATAAACAAGTAATTTCCAGCAAGTTATGTTTCATTTTTTCATTTAAAAAAAAAAAAAAGACAAAGGTCTTATTGAGTATAAGGTACCATATAATCCTATATGCCTGGCTGACCTAAAACACAGAAGGAATGCCTGAACTTCAGACATTTCAGAAAACTTTGTGAACATTTTTGGTGAAATATGATTTAGGAAATTTGTTTTAAAACACTGCAGGATAAAAAAAAAAAGGGGGGGGGGGACCTGGTGCGGTGGCTCATGCCACTGCACTCCAGCCTGGGTGACAGAGTGAGGCTCTGTGTCCAAAAATTAAAAAAAAAACAAAAAACTGTGATTCAGTAACATAGTCAGCTACAAGATAAACATTAATACTATAGGCTGGTGCGGTGGCTCATGCCTGTAATCCCAGCACTTTGAGGGGCCGAGGTGGGTGCATCACCTGAGGTCAGGAGTTTGAGACCAGCCTGGCTAACATGGTGAAACCCGATCTCTACTAAAAATACAAAAATTATCTGGGTGTGGTGGTGCACACCTGTGATCTCAGCTACTCAGGAGGCTGAGGCAGGAGAATTGCTTGAACCCAGGAGGCGGAGGTCGCAGTGAGCTGAGGTCACGCCACTGCACTCCAGCCTGGGCGACAGAGTGAGACTCCGTGTCAACAAAAAAAAAAAAAAAAAAAAAAATTGTCAGTGACAACTGAAACAAGAGTGATAAAATTTGGATGGGTGTAGTGGCTTATGCCTGTAATCCCAGCACTTTGGGATGCCAAGGTGGGCGGATCACTTGAGGACAAGGAGTTCAAGACCAGCCTAGCCAACATGGTGAAACCCCGCCTCTATTAAAAATACAAAAATTAGCCAGGCATGGTGGCGTGCAACTGTGATCCCTACTCAGGAGGCTGAGGCAGGAGAATCGCTGGAACCTGGGAGTTGGAGGCTGCAGTGAACTGAGATCGTACCACTGCACTCCAGCCTGGGTGACAGAGTGAGACTCCATCTCAAAAAAAAAAAAAAAAAAAGTGGTCAGTGACAACTGAAACAAATGTGATAAAATTTGGGTGAGTGTGGTGGCTCATGCCTGTAATCCCAGCACTTTGGGAGGCTGAGGCAGGCAGATCACTTGAGGCCAGGAGTTCAACACCAGCCCAACAAGGTGAAACCCCATCTCTACTAAAAATACAAAAATTAGCCAGTCATGGTGGTACGAGCCTGTAGTCCCAGCTACTTGGGAGACTGAAGCAGGAGAATTGCTTCAACCTGGGAGGCAGAGTTTGCAGCGAGCTGAGATGGTGCCACTGCACTCCAGCCTGGCTGACAGAGCAAGACTCTGTCACACACATAAAAAAATAAAATGAAAGAAAACTCGTGTATGAAGGATTATCACAATCTATTTGATCATTCCAGAAAGCCCATATCAGTGGTTTCTAACATACTTTGTGTCACAGAACCCTATTAGAAATGGATAAATGCTATGATCCTCTACCAAGGAAAAAAGTATGTATATAAACTTTTGTAATCTATTTCAATGGTTCTTGGACTCCTTGAAGTTTATATAACAGAATAAAAGACTGAAAAAAAGGATCAAAGGCAATCTGTGGCCTTGTTTACTGCTTACAGTAAAAAGGTATCTCTAAGACAACCAGGGCAAGTGGAATATGGACTGAGAATCAGATTATTAATTTGTTAATTACGGTTAATTTGTTGAGTGTGATAATGACATGATGGTTATGGAAAAATGTCTACGTAGAGATACATATTGAACTTCTGGTGAAACATGATTTCTGGGATTTATTTTAAAACACTGCAGGATTAAAAAAAGTGGTCAGTGACAACTAAACAAAGAGTGATAAAATTTGGCTGGGAGCAGTGACTCACACCTGTAATCCCAGCACTTTGGGAGGCCGAGGCAGGCAGATCACTTGAAGTCAGGAGTTCGAGATCAGCCTGGCCAACATGGCAAAACCCCGTCTCTATTAAAAATACAAAAATTAGCTCGGCGTGGTGGCGGGTACTTGTAATCCCAGCTATTTGGGAGGCTGAGGCAAGAGAATTGATTGAACCCGGGAGGTGGAGGTTGCAGTGAGCTGAGACCATGCCACTGCACTCTAGCCTGGGTGACAGAGCAAAACTCCATCTCAAAAAAAAAAAAAAAGTGATAAACTTTGATAATTGTTGAAGCTGAATGAGTTCATTATTCTCTTTGTATTTGTGTAGTTTTAAATTTCCCATAATAATTACAAAAAAAAAAAAAAAATCAAGCCTCCCAAAACAGAACTACTGTCTAGATGAATATTCTTGGGACTTAAAGGTTTTTTTTTTTTTTTTGGAGACAGTGTCTTGCTCTGTCACCCAGGCTGGAGCACAGTGGGTTCATCTCAGCTCACTGCAGCCTTGAACTCCTGGGCTCAAACGATCCTCCCTCATCAGCCTCCTGAGTAACTGGGAATACAGGTGTGTACCAATATGTCTGGCTAATTTTTGCATTTTTTGTAGAGATGGGGATTTGCCATGTTGCCCAGGCTGTTTCTTGAACTCCTGGGCTCAACTGATCCTCCCCTGCCTTGGCATCCCATCACAGGTGTGAGCCATGGCACCTGGACTTAAAGGCATTTTCCTATTCTTTACCTTCTTCACTTGAACCTAAATATCCCAAGGACCTAGCAAGGTATATCCATTTTTTATTTAAATGAATGATTTCTTCCAGAAAGGTCTGGCTGAAGGGAAGAGAGTGCAAAGAAATCATAATTCTGTCGCGAGCAAGATACTGGTGTGAGAAAATAGATATAAAAAATATATCTATTTTTAATTTAAATGAATGATTTCTTCCAGAAAGGTCTGGCTGAAGAAAGAGAAGAGAGTGCAAAGAAACCGTAATCCTGTCAAGAGCAGGATAGTGGTGAGGTAAGAGAAGAATCACAGAAAAGGGCTTGGGACCTGCCAGCGTTCTATCACTCTGTGCATATGTGGTCTTCACTATGTCACCTGGCACCCTCGTGAAATAATCGGCTCATTGAACTTGAGTTTAAAAACACATGATCTTTTAAAAGAGCAGTTCATCTCTATAGAGTTCGGTGATTCTAAATACTAAAGCTCATTAGCCAGTTGTAAAAACTCAATTAATAGCTTATTTATAGGCCAGGCGCAGTGGTCACACCTGTAATCCCAGCACTTTGGGAGGCCGAGGCGGGCAGATCACAAAGTCAAGAGATTGAGACCACCCTGGCCAACATAGTGAAACCCTGTCTCTATAAAAAATACAAAAATTAGCTGGGCATGGTGGTGTGCACTTTTAGTCCCAGCTACTCGGGAGGCTGAGGCAGGAGAACTGCTTGAACCCAGGAGGCGGAGGTTGCAGTGAGGCCAGATACGCCACTGCACTCCAGCCTGGTGACAGAGCAAGACTCCATTTCAAAAAAACAAAAACAACCCCTCCCCCCAAAAAAAACCTCATTATTTTTTTAAATTATACTTTAGTTCTAGGGTACGTGCGCACAACGTGCAGGTTTGTGACATATGTATACATGTGCCATGTTGGTGTGCTGCACCCATTAACTCTACATTTACATTAGGTATATCTCCTAATGCTATCCCCCAACCTCCCCCAACCCCACGACAGGCCCCGGTGTGTGATGTTCCCCATCCTGTGTCCAAATGTTCTCACTGAAAAACCTCATTTATGTGACAGTGTTTTGGAAGCCTCTATCACTTTCTTTCTGGTTTTCTCTTACTTGCAACAATGCTAAGGTTACTAGATACATGACTCCTCAGTGAATTAGTACTGAATTAAGATTTTTTTTTTTAAGAGATTGAGTCTGGTTCTGTCATCCAGGCTCGAGTGCAACAGCACAATTATAGCTTACTGCAGCCTCAAACTCCTGGCCTCAAGCAATCCTCCTGCCTCAGACCCCCAAGTAGCTGGGACCACAGCCATGTGGCACTACACCTGGCTAATTTTTAAAACGTTTTTGTAGAGATGGGGTCTTGCTATGTTGCCCAGGCTGGCCTTGAACTCCTGGCCTCAAGTGATCCTCCTGCCTCAGCCTCCCAAAGCACTGGGATTATAGGTGTAAGCCACTGTGGCTGGCCTGAATTTTTTTTTTTTTGAGACAGAGTCTTGCTCTGTCACCTAGGCTGGAGTGCAGTGGTGCAATCTTGGTTCACTGCAACCTCTGCCTCCTGGGTTTAAGCCATTCTCCTGCCTCAGCCTCCTCAGTAGCTGGGATCACAGGCGTGTACCAGCACACCCAGCAAATTTTGTATTTTTAGTAGAGACAGGGTTTCACCATGTTAGCCAGGTAGTCTAGAACTCCTGACCTCAAGTAATCCACCTGCCTCAGCCTCCCACAGTGCTGGGATTACAGGCGTGAACCACCGCGCCTGGCTGCCTGGCCTAAATTTAAGATTTTGAAAAATGATAATCAGGCGGCTGAGGCGTCTTCTAAAAAACAAGTTCCATTCTACAATCTTACGGAAATCTGAGACATCAAATTCCTGTGAATAAAGGTAATTTTTAAAGTTTTAGGGTTTTAGTAAACTAAACTAGTAATTCTGCAGTACGAATAAAAATTTCAGAAAAATGTTTTTATCTAAAATATAGTCAAAATACTACAAATTTATAAGAAATATAAAGCAGAAACGATTATGCAGGACATGTAATTTTAATTACTTACTTCCTTCTAACGACTTTCTGTAATTCACATTAGTATTGCCTGGCAATTTAGGAACAAACCTATAAACATGAGTTTTACTAATCCAGCTCCAACCACCATATCCTGTCACTCTGTACTCTTCACCTTTTTGTTTCCAAACCTGGTGTAAATGAAAACATTTTGATTAAACAATAAGAATAACAATGCTTATAAACCACATGTGGTTTTATGCATTTTTACCAAACAAGTTTCAAAGTCAGGCAAATGAAATTTACTAATCATCCCCAGGTTTTTCCAAGTGGGGACAAAAAAAATTTACTAATCAATTTAGTTTTCACTGGGAATCAAAGATTAATGAACTAATACTCCTTTTTAGCATGTAAAATGTAACACAATTTTACAGTTTTATAACAATTTCAACAAATTGGCCTTGTAAGCCTCCAATATTCTAAGATAAACCAATGCTTTGTAAATTTGCCAGGAAGATGTACTTTATCCCTAACATATTAATTAAAAGACTATGTCAAAAGTAGGCCAGGAGCAGTGGCTCATGCCTGTAATTCCAGCACTTTGGGAGGCCAAGTCAGGAGGATCACCTGAGGTCAGGAGTTCCAAGACTCACCTGGCTAACATGGTGAAACCCCATCTCTACTAAAAATACAAAAATTAGCCAGGCGTGGTGGTGCACGCCTATAATCCCAGCTACTTGGGAGGCTGAGGCAGGAGAATCGTTTGAACCCAGGAGGCGGAGGCTGTAGTGAGCCAAGATTGTGCCACTGCACTCCAATCTGGGCAACAGAGCGAGACTCTGTCTCAAAATAAATAAATAAATAAATAAAATACAAAGACTATGTCAAAAATAAAATTAGTAAGTATTCAAAGTTTCAGAATAAAAGTCTCAGAAATGGCTAACACTATTTTAAAGGGTTGTTGTAAAAATTACCTGATGCTTAACTGGAAATGTGTATTTTACCCATGTCGCTTGCTGCATCGTTTCTTCTTCTTCCTGTTTCTTCTCTTTTTTTTTGACTTTCTCCTTTTCTTCTCTTTCAATTGATGTCATCCGGTGTAACCTAAGAATTCATGCATAGAAAGACAATGTTAACTTGGAAAAATAAACAGAAAAGATAAAAATGCAATACTGAAAAATTAGGAAAACAAAGCAGACTGTTATAATCCTACAAACCAGACAACCCCAACTGACAAAACTTAGTTGTAGTTGTACAATTCCTTAACAAGAAAAGATAAAGAGTACAAAAAGGCAAAAACAAGAAATACTATATCCTTTCCATAAGAAATAATTATGATTTATTTCTAAAACATTTCATGTATATATGGTATATACCAACATTTATGTATCTCTTTACATAGTCCATTACATATTCACACATATGTACTTTTTAGTGCACACACAACCACAGTTTTTAATCAATGGATAATTACACTAGAAGATCTTTCCTTATCAAAATATACAGATTTTTTTAAGGAATTAAAAAATATTCCATTGCATGGATATGCCATAATTTATTAAACCAGGTCACTGTTAAAGAATACTTTGTTTCCAGAGTTTTTTCCTTCCAAAAAACGAAGACCAAAGAATACAAAAACATTTATTTTATCAACCAGTATTTCTGATTCTCACAAGCACTGCGGATTTTAAAGCACTCACAGATCTACTAACAGAAATCAGGTTTCTTACATCCGCAGAGAAAGGGGCCCATGGGGCCCCATCTTTCGAGAAAGAGAGGAAGGATGAGGAAGGTCGGCCCATATTGACCTAAATCATGAGACACAGGCATCGGCCACAACTCCTTCTCAGGCAGGAAAGGAAATCACTGCACCTACCAGTAAAGACTGTGGTGAGGCTCTACATTTAGGGGATTAGACTAGATTTTTATGAATCAGAATATTTCTCAGAGAGACACGAAGCAAAACCTACAAAGAAAGGAGCTCTTGTCTCTAAGAGCGCTAGTGGCAGAAGAACTGCTTTTATCACACCCTAACCAGATGCAGCCAATTTCTCATGCACAGCTCTGCAGAAAGAATAGAGACCTTTTGTTAACTTGGGGTAGTGATGCCGAAAAGATGTGGGAGGGGATTTCAGTCTTTTTATCTCCTTTCCCCCCACAAAAAACTCCCCATCAATCTCCCGGCTTCTTCTCTCCCTCCCAACTTTTACGACGGCTTTGTGTCCCTGTGATTGTAGGTTCCCAGAATACAGTCTCCCCCAGGCTGACAGCTCATGCCTATTAACTGCACTCAACTGGTGTAGCAAACATTCTCCATAGGCTCTTCGTAGTCTCTCATAAGCTGATGGGAGGAGGGGAAAGGGAGCAGATCCTCACTGGGAGCTAATGTACTCAAATTCCATCCCTCTGCCAACACGCTTGGAACTAAGGAGAAGGACTAGCTCTGTAGGCACAATACGGTGGATAACCTGACAGTCTCAGGCTACAGGAGTAAGGCGGGGTGACTATGCCAGGAGGACTGTGTAGGATTTCTCATGGAGATTTTGAGGGCTTGGCTTCTATACACCTCTGAAAGGCCAGGTCCAGCATGGCAACTGGGCCATTTTCACTGAGAGAGGCCAGGAATGGAGCACTGTCTGAAGGACTTCAGCGCAGTGACACCCTAGGAGCTCAAAGCTGGGCAGGGTGCTCAGTTGTGTTCTTGGTGTCCATGAGGCAAAGAGGTCCCTTTTATCACCAAATACAAAGGCTTCTCTTTGTGGAGGAAGCAAGGCCAGTTAGGCAGTCTTATGGCTAATCTCTGATGCTACCTATCCCAGAGTAGCATGCTGGTGGGTGTGCCAGTGGCAGATTTTCTTTCTACTTCTTGGCCAACGAAGTCCAACCAAGAGAATGAACTCAACTTCAACTCCACTGGTGCTCAGGGTTTTGTGGTGTTTTGCTATCACAGCCATAGCTGTAACAAACAATATTTTATGTCTTTCTTGGTAAACCTGGGGAGTACCCCCCTATATCCTCCAGTGGTGGGATGGCTGGGTCCAAAAGTTCTTGCACTGAAAATGCTGACGGATATAGGGTCAAACTACTCTTCAGAACAGTGCAATCATAAAGCCACCCTGCGTTCCTACACCTTCACTCATGCTGAGTTAGTATTGAACTTCTAAACTGTTAGTCAAACTCAGAGGTAAAAAATACTATCCCATTGTTTTTAATTATGAGAGAAGTAATCATTTTTTATGTCTACTGGCCTTTCATATTTATTTTTCTGCAAAATGCCTATTCAAATCCTTTGTCTTGTTTGTATTAGACTATTAGTAGTTTTCATTTATAAAAGGTCTTTGTCAATCAAGAAAATTTTCCATTTGTGGTAAAAATATTTTTCCTCGGTTTGTCATCTGTCTTTTGACTTTGATTACAATAACATTTTTCCACTCAGAATTTTAAATATATGTATCCACTTTTTTCCTCTATGGCATCTGGATTTTTTATCTGTTTAAAAAGAAAGTATCACAACAAAAACATAAATTAATTCATGCTTTCTTATTGACGTTTTCTTTTGTTTTTAGGGTTCTGGGTTTTTTTTTTTTTAACAATTCTTCATCAATCTAAATGTTTTTTGCTAAGGCAGAGATCTAAGTGATATCTTCCCAAACATGCTTTCCCTTTGTGATGTGCAATGCTACTACAGCTAAATTCCCATGCTTAGGTCTATTTTTGGATTCTGTATTTTATCTACTGATTTGCTTCTTCTGTAGAACAAATTATTGAAGCTTCAAAATGTGCTTTAATATCTAGTACCTTTTTCACTAACATCTATTTTTTCCCCTTTTGGCTATTCTTACACAATAACTTTTTTTTCTTTTCTTTTTTTTTAAAGACAGGTTGTCACTCTGTTGCCCAGGATGCAGTACAGTGGCGCAATCATAGCTCACTGCAGCCTCAAACTCCTGGGCTCAAGCAATCCTCCTCCAACTTCTAGGCTCAGTCTCCCAAGCAGCTGGCATTACAGGCAAGCAAGACCATGCCTGGCCAATTTTAATTTTTTTGTAGAGACAGAGTCTTGCTATGTTGCCCAGGATGGTCTCAAACTTCTCACTTCAGGTGATCCTCCCTCCTCAACCTCTCAAAGTGTTGGGATTACAGGCGTGAGCTACTGTGTGCAGTATTCTTGCACATTAACTTTTCTAGATCAAATATTAGTATCGTTTTGGTCAAACCTCCCCTGCTCCAGGATGGAAAATCTTATTCCCAAAGTATCCTTCATGTCTTTAGTTAAGCTTTAAAGATTGCTTAGCTTTTTAATTAATTAATTAATTATTATTTTTGGTAGAGACAGGGTCTCCCTATGTTGCCCAGGCTGGTCTTGAACTCCTGGGCTCAAGCAATCCTCCCGCTTCACCTCCCAAAGTGCTGGGATTACAGGCATGTGCCACCACACCTGGCCTAAAGATTGCTTTACACAGGCCTTGAATATTTCTTGTTACATTTGGCTGAACGCGGTGGCTAACGCCTGTAATCCCAGCACTTTGGGAAGCCATTGAGGGTGGATCACTTGAGCACAGGAGTTCGAGACCAGCCTGGCCAACACGACAAAACCCCATCTCTACTAAAAATACGAAAATTAGCCGGGCATTGTGGTACTTGTCTGTAATCCCAGCTACTCAGCAGGCTGAGGCAGGAGAATTGCTTGAAACCAGGAGGTGGAGGTTGCAGTGAGCCGAGATGGCGCCACTGCCCTCTAGCCTGGGCGACACAGCAAGACTCTGTCTCAAAACACACAGACACACACATGCGCACACACACAATTATTCCTAGGTGCTGGAGGTTTTTGTTGTTGTTGTTCCTGGAATCTTCTGCTTCATTAAAATTTTCAAAAATATGTAAAATGCAACCAGGTTAAGAAACAGAACTTTATCTACAACCAATACATCAGATGCTTGTGTGTCCAACTCCCTGGCAATCAATACTTTTGTGCTAAACATTCCCTTGTTTTTCCTTATACTTTTAGAACCTATGTGTGTGCATCCCAAACTGTATAAGTTTGCCTTTTGAAAACTCAGCATAGGCCGGGCGCGGTGGCTCATGCTTGTAATCCCAGCACTTTGGGAAGCCGAGGTGGGCAGATCATGAGGTTGGGAGTCGGAGACCAGCCTGGCCAACACAGTGAAACCCCATCTCTACTAAAAATACAAAAATTAGCTGGTCGTGGTGGCACACGCCTATAATACCAGCTATTCAGGAGGCTGAGGCAGGAGAATCACTCGAACCCGGGAGGTGGAGGTTGCAGTGAGCTGAGATTGCACCACTGCACTCCAGCCTGAGCGACAAACAAGATTCTGTCTCAAAAAAAAAAAAAAAAGAAAAAAAACTCAGCATCAAGTATAAAACTACCTGCATAGAGCAGTATTGTTACTATCAAAGAAGGTTCCCAGGAAAATATAAACTTGTCTCTGGGTCACAGTCTGGCTTCAGCTTTCAGGAAAGTTTACAGACCTCTTTTGGTGAAATCAGTGGGTGAGATCATGAGCAAACCCTGGAAGATACAGGGCTCACCACAATCAAGGTATCTGGCGTGACTGCAGCATAAAACAGGTCTACTACAGCCAAGCATCCAAAGCGGCTGGCTCTGTACTTCCTGCTTTTGGATCTTTTGAGGACTGTTTTCCCCCACTGACTTGGGATTTGGCCTTTGTGGGTAGGCTGCCATTTGTCTACCTGCATTATTGCTTCAGCAATTTTATAGGTGGTGTATTTTCTGTTGTTCCTCTTGTCCCTGTGGGTCTGTAATTTTACAAAAGTTTGGCCACAGTTTTGGTGGAGTTCAGCGTGGAACAAAATTGTATGTGTTAATTAATTAGATCAACTGCATATAATAATTGTGTCTATATCTTGACAATATTTATAAGTTTTATTTCTCTTGGCAAACTGCATTTCCTGGTACTTTTAGAAATTTTTTTTTTTTTTTTTTTTTGAGACAGGGTATCACTCTGTTGCCCATGCTGGAGTGCAGTGGTGCAATTATGGCTCACTGCAGCCTCCAGCTCCTGGCCTCAAGTGATTCTCCTGACGTGGTTGCCCAAAGTGCTGGGATTACAGGTGGGAGAGCCACCTCACCTGGCCAATAGTGGGTATCTTTTTTGTTCCACCTGAATGTTATTGGGAATGCTTCAAGGGTTTCACCAAAAGGCATAATAATTTGGTTTGCAATACATCTTCAAAAAAAAAAAAAAAGACTTCATATACTCGTATTTATCTAAGAGTTTAAAAAAAGAATGAATAAATAGGCCAAGTGCAGCGGCTCACACCTGTAATCCCAGCACTTTGGGAGGTCAAGGTGGGAGGATAACTTGAGGTCAGAGATTCAAGATCAGTCTGAGTAACATAGGGAGACCCCATCTCTACGAAAAAATTAAAAATGTAAAAAAATTAAAAATAAAAAAACCCAATAAATTATAATGAACTTAGATAAAATACCTTCTTGGCATCTAATGAGATGATCAAAAGGTTTCCTTTCTTCAACTTTTTTCTTTTTAAGACAGCATCTTGCTCTGTTGCTCAGGATGGAGTGCACTGGTGCGATCTCAGCTCATTGCAACCTCTGCCTCCCAGGTTCAAGTGGTTCTCCTGCCTCAGCCTCCTAGTAGCTGGGACTAAAGGCATGCAACACCATGCCTGGCTAATTTTTAGTAGAGATGGGGTTTCACCACATTGGCCATGCTGGTCTTAAACTCCTGGGCTCAAGTGATCCACTCGCCTTGGCCTTCCAAAGTGCTGGGATTACAAGTGTCAGCCACTGCATCCAGCCTTTCTTTGACTTCTTAAAATAGTATGGTATTAGTAATCTCCTAGTATTGGAGATTGGTGTCTAAGGTGAAGCCAATTCAGCCATGGTTTCTTATTCTTTAAATTTACTCCTGAATATATCTGCATACCAATATTTTCAGATTTCTTATAGATACACCTATTTGCTATTAATTATTAATAAATATTAATAAAGAAGACAGGGCCATAATTTTCTATTTGTCTATTTCTATTTATCAAGTTTCCTAACAGTTTCACACTAACAGAAACAATAATTATAAAATTTCCTTTTTCTATTCTGGTAGAAAAGTTTAAATAGAACTATCTGGTTCTCGAAATTTAAGAAATACCTTATGAAATCATCTGGTCCTGCGATCACCTTAATGACAGGTGCAGTGATAACCAGAAATCCTTTTCCTGCCTAAGAGTGTGGCTTCTGCCCTACTAAGGACTGAGATCATTGTGGCATCCTCCCCAACCCTTCCCCCCACCCAAAAGGAGCTCGGTGGGTCCCTTTCTGTGGCAGTGGGGATGGAAGGTGGGGCACGATGAGTTGGGGACTTTTATTCCACCATCTTGGTCCACTCTTTCTAGGTGGACCCCTTTCTTTGTGGATGTAGGAAACCTGAATACTGTGTTAGTGACCCTGTGAAGGCTTTAAAATTCCAAGTTCTAATAAAAGAGAATCAGAAATATTGGTTAGTATGTCTCTTTCTTTACTTTTTTTTTTTTTTTTTTTTTTTTTTTTTTGAGACAGAGTTTCACTCTTGTTGCCTAGGCTGGAGTGCAATGGCATGATCTCGGCTCACCGCAACCTCCGCCTCCCGGGTTCAAGCGATTCTCATGCCTCAGCCTCCCGAGTAGCTGGGATTACAGGCATGTGCCACCACGCCTGGTTAATTTCGTTTTTTGTTTTTGTTTTTTTTAAGTAGAGAAAGGGTTTCTCCATGTTCGTCAGGCTGGTCTCGAATTCCCGACCTCAGGTGACTGCCCACCTTGGCCTCCCAAAGTGCTGGGATTACAGGCATGAGCCACCATGCCCGGCCTCTTTTTTTATTCTTGATATTGGTTATTTGTGCTGTATTATTTCCTCCCCCTTGATAATCTTATCAGAGACTTATAAAACATAATGGGATCTAAGGTATATTTGTTTTCTATTTCATCATATTTGCTCATCTTTAATATTTTATTTCTTTAGGTTGGTTCCTTGAGATGTATCCCTAGCTAATTAATTTGCAGTTTTTCTTTTCTAATATAAGCACTAAAAGCTAGCAACTTCTCCTAGGAAGTCTTTAATTGCATGTGACAAATTTCAATGTATGTAGTACTTTCATGAACATCCAGATCAAAATGTCTTCTAGTTTTATGATTTATAGTTGAGTATTTATTTATTTAGAAGTGTATTTCTTACCTTTCAAGCATATAGCCCTTGCCTTTAAAATTTTACAAACGTCTATATCCCTAAACAATACTGTAACATTGTGTTATCACACATGCTTTTAAAATCTCCATAAATGTATGTAGTATATAGATTTATCCTGATGTATTTTTAGTGATGGAACTGTTTTTTCTTTTTAAAAATTTTTATTTTAGATTCAAGGGGTCTATGTGCACTGGGGGGACAGTTTCTAGTTACTCATTACCCGTAGAGTAAACACTGTACCCAACAGGTAATTTTTACAACCCTTGTGCCCCTCCCACCCTCTCCAAATGTTTTCCTTCTATTGTAAACTTACGAGATTCAATCTCGACACTTGTTGCTCCAGTGTGTTTTTCACTGCTATGTAACAGTCCATCATGAAATAACACAATTTAAACATGCCCAATATTGGCTGGGTGCAGTCACTCATGCCTGTAATCCCAGCACTTTGGGAGGCCAAGGCGGGCGGATCACAAGGTCAGGAGATGGAGACCATCCTGGCTAACACGGTGAAACCCCATCTCTACTAAAAATACAAAAAATTAGCTGGGCATAGTGGTGGGTGCCTATAGTCCCAGTTACTCGGGAGGCTGAGGCAGGAGAATGGCGTGAACCCGGGAGGCGGAGCTGCAGTGAGCCGAGATCACGCCACTGCACTCCAGCCTGGGTGACAGAGCGAGACTCCGTCTCAAAAAAAAAAAAAAAAAGCCTGATTGAGTACTTAGGAATTGTTTCCAAATTTCACCATTATGAAATAATATTATAAGGAACACCCTGCTATAATGTCTTCTCATGTACACAGGGTAAAAGTCTCTCTACTGTACTAGGAAGGAGTCGAATTGCATTTTTAACTTTGTTTTTGTCAAACCATTCTCTAAAATGGTTATAGCAACCACTGTACTAATTGCACTCTTATCAGAAATGTATCACAACTGTAATCCCAGCACTCCGGTAGGCTGAGGCAGGCAGATTGCTTGAGCCCAGAGTTCAAGAACAGCCTGGGCAACATAATGAGACCCCGTGTCTATAAAAAATACAAAAATTAGCCAGGCATAGTGGAATGCGTCTGTAGTCCCAACTACTCAGGAGGCTGAGGTGAGAGGATAACCTTAGCCCAGGGAGGTCAAGGCTGCAGTGAGCTGTGATGGCGCCACTGTACTCCAGCCTGGGTGACAGTGAGATCCTGTGTCAAAAAAAAAAAAAAAAAAATGTATGTGGTGGAAACACCAAAGAAAACTGGGAGCCATACCTTTAGCAAATGAAAACCATTTAGTAGGCATAAATGTACTTTTCTCAAAAACATATATTACATTCCTTTTTTTTTTTTTTTTTTTTTTTTGAGATGAAGTCTTGCTCTGTCACCCAGGCTGGAGTGCAGTGGTGCAATCTCGGTTCACTGTAACCTCCGCCTCCTGAGTTAAAGTGATTCTCCTGCCTCAGCCTCCCGAGTACCTGGGACTACAGGCATGTGCCACCACACCCAGCTAATTTTTGTGTTTTTAGTACCTCGGTCTCCCTAGGTGCTGGGATTACAGAAGTTGAGCCCATGTGCCTGGCTTGTATTTATATTTTAAAAACTATAGGGCTATGCCTTTGGAGTGGACTCTGTAGAAAAGATTGGGGCAGAGAAGATAAAATGGTTCTTACTTTTTGCTTTATGCCCTTAAATATTCTATTATTTACCATAACCTTAGTTTTGTAATAATAACTTTTTAAAGACTAAAGTTACAAAGCAAGTCTATCAGGGCTAAAAAGTAGATTCAAGTCACAAAATTTTCTTTCTTTTTAATCATCTGTTGAAGTTGCACAGCCCTGGGTCTACTCAGGAGCTATATGATCTTTGGTTGGACAATGAACTTTAAAAACAGATGTAAATCAGATTCCTAGCATAGTGCCTACAAGATTCCAGAATACTAAAAAATGTGAGTGCTCTTTCTAGTCAATAAAAATGCTATTTACTTTAGAAAATATTTTAAATTTTCATATACCAGATCTCTTTTGATCTTCATCACAATCCTGTATGGCAAATAAGAACTAATATTCATGGTGGGTGCGGTGGCTCACACCTGTAATCCCGGCACTTTGGGAGGCCGAGGAGGGCAGATCACAAGGTCAGGAGTTCAAGACCAGCCTAGCCAACACAGTGAAACCATGTCTCTACTAAAAATACAAATAATTAGCTGGGCACAGTGGCGGGTGCCTGTAATCCTAGCTACTTGGGAGGCTGAAACAAGAGAATCGCTTGAATATGGGAGGCAGAGGTTACAGCAAGCCGAGACTACACCACTGCATGCTAGCCTGGGCAACAGTGCAAGACTCTGTCTCAAAAAAAAAAGAAAGAACTAATAATATTCATTCATGTTTACAACTTATATAGGAAGAAAATGAGGCCAAAAGTAAAGTCTTCAATATGGCCTCTTAAATATATTAACTTTCATTATTAATAGGCTAGTATTTCAAAAGGGAGTCCAATACTCATCATTTACAAGGCTCAGAATTCATTTACCTGGTATGTCCTAAAGATTCTCGCCATATTGGTAGCATCACAACTGGTTTAACTGCACACTCCAAAATGGCTAAAGCCAATGCAAATTCTCTGGGTTTGCTACACATCTGAACTGCCTTGATCCAATTTGCCCTGTATTTCAGAAGAAATGAGAGAAATTATTTCACTAGGTTGACCTTAAATTAAAAGCACAATAGTTGTAACTTTGGCCTCCATCTGATTCCAGGTATAAAGACGATGACTCCTAAAAATCCTCCAAATAGTTAGTGGTGTCGGTTCAGTAAGTTAGAAGTACACTCATGCCTCTAATGTCCTGTCTGCTGACCACATTGACTTCATTCAACTCATTGGTAATGACGTTTTCAAATGCACAACTACAACAATCATTTTATAAACATTTAGTATATTTACAGCAATAAATTAACCTTAGTTTCCTTTACCTATGTGATGCCCAGTTGGGATGAAGAAAGGATGAAGGGATGTTGTTTTCTAATTGGGTGATAGTCAGTCTCAGAGTAGATATGGTAAGAACTTTGGACCCATGGACAGAACCGTTCCATTTGAACTCTCCTGCTGGAGTCAGACAGAACTTATGTGCAAGATGCCTTCTCTTATCATGGTCTTCTCTGTGCTGGTGCTTATTCAAAGCAAATGAATTGGTGGAGTATTGATTGTGGTAGACGCGATACTTCCCTTCTTGACCCAATTTAAAATAATTGTTGATATTTCCTTTCATGATCACTTCCTTTTTGGTGCTCAACCGTGAAATTTCTCCTTGAGAGTTAACTACCAGTACCTGACCAAAAAAATAAAAAGACTGCATTATTTATGTCAATCAAAGATGTGAATTTCATCTAATCAACTGTCTTTCAATAATTAAAATTAATCATTCAAAGTAAGTTAAGATAAATCTTATGATAGAACTTTTGAAGTCTAAAAGCTAAGTTAAAAGTAAAGCTAATTGTTTACAATTAAACAACCAAGATATGCCTGCAGAAAGAAAACTAACACATATTAAGTACCTATTACATGTCAGATACTATTATTCACTGCTTTCATGTATTAATACTTCAAATATACCCATGAAACCATACATATAAATTACTCACCTATCATTTTTTTCAAGTTTATAACATATACTTAAGGGAAAAAGAAGGGCATCGCATGTACTATCCCCCAAAAAATATATTCCTAAAAACATCCTTTCGGGTCCTTTTATCATTCCAGCTACAGTGTAAGACCCCATGGATACTTCAAAATAGTATTTTCAAACAGTTGATCCCAACTCTTAGTGGACTATCAGATAAACAGTGGCCTTATTCAGCTTTTTTAAAAAATAAAATGTAATGCAATAGGCTAGCACAGAAAATATCAGAGTGCTTCCCACATCATAAAGTAAAATAGTATTTCAGAAAGCTTTTGAATATGTGTACTGGGCTGCTATGAAAAAATGTGTATGTGACTGAGGGTCAGAGTCAAAAAGAAGTATGAAAGCCATTGCTTTTAAGCAATTGCTGCAATGTTAAGAATGTCCTTTATTCTTGCATATCTACCCTGCAAATAATTCTCGAATATGGGAGACAAAGTTGGGACCATGTCCTGTCACCACGGCTAGCTGAAGCACAGAGATACCGAGTCCTAGCTCTGATCCCATTGTTCATGATCAGAGCTGGGATGCCATGCTGTCCTATCCACAGTACTCTGCTATCAGTGGGTAAGCCTCATCCTCTAATTAGCTGCAGGTTCACCTGAAGTGATCATAGCTAGAACTGAGCAGTGAATCATCTACAGTTCTTTAATAAACCATAAAACCCAAAATAGCCTACTCATATGTGTAAAGAAGGCTTTAATTCTTTAGAATTATATGTAGAATAAAACTGTTCATGTAGTAAGAAAGTGTATCAGCCATTTATAGCATTTTTATGCCTTGACTGAAATTTGGGTACGCAACTATGCTTATAAAGCCTAATACTTTCAGTCTTGTTAACTACTACAGTTTCGGAAACAGAGAAAATATAATTCAAAAATAGGTCTACAAATTTCTACAAATTTCCAGCCCCTATTTTTAAGGTGTGGTAATTAAAATTATCTCACATTCCACAGATTTTTGTTTTAAACAGAAAGAACACACCTCTTTGCCCTCCTTAAATAATTTATTTGCTTCATGTGCAGCGGCTGCCACCTGCTGGCTCTTCAGCTGACTAAGTTTGCTATCTGGATTCCGCAATCTGGTGATGATTCGAGTTGAGCCAGATGCTCCTTTTCCAGCTCCAGGAGATTCACTTAGCTCCCCGTTGGACTTCTCCGATTTGAAATCACCTACTGTCAAATGAATAGGCCACAAAGCAATTGCTGACAATAAGTAAATAATTATAACCACCTTATTTCACCAAAACTCGTATCTGGTGTATGTGTAAGATCCACAAAGTAAACAGATAAAAAAAGGCCCTTGAATGGCAAAGCAAGTATCATTATTCCTTAAGTTTTTTACTTAAAAGAAAATATGTTGTAACTTTACTGTGAGTCATCTATTATTCCACAAAAAATTGAAACATGCTGGGTTATCTGTTTAAAAACTCATCTGTTTGAAAACAGGAAGAGCTGCTACAAACTTACAAGTAACAAACATAATAATAACTCAAAAAGCAAACTAACAAAGTGTTGCCTTATATATTCAATATGGATTTCTGTATAAAAAGGTTTAAGTTTTTGAAAGATTTCCACTGAAATTCTGTTTAAATACCAAATAGTTTTGAGCTTATAAACATAAATGTCATGAATTTTCCACTAGGGAATTTAGATAATTATCTGTGTAGGCTTATCAATATAAAACAATCAACTAAATTAGTTTTTTATAACCTAATAAAGACCTCTCAACATTTTCCTAGTAAATTTTTAAGGACACACTAAACTCCACAGGAGCAAATTTCTGCTTTACATACTGATCAATCTCACTTTGGCTGAATTTTTTTTTTCTTTTTTTTGAGACAGGGTCTCATTCTGTTGCTCAGGCTGGAGTGCAGTGGCACAATCTCAGTTCACCTCAGCCTCAACCCCCAGGCTCAGGTGATTCTCCCATCTCAGCCTTCCAAGTAGCTGGAACCACAGGCATGCACCAGCACACCTGACTAATTTTTTGTATTTTCTGCAGAGATGGGGTTTCGCCATATTGCCCAGGCTGGAAAAATTTGTATACATTCTAAAACTACTGCATCACTGTTAAATTTCCATTGACCAGATAGTTGAATAAGCTCTGATTTTTCCTTTTTAATTTAAAGCTTTAAAAAAATGAAGACACTGTGGCACTGGCAAATGAAAAGACAGATAATTTACTATATGATATATAATAAAGATGGCATTTTAAGTAAATAGAGAAAAACTAGGATTGGGAAAACTGGCTATGCATTTTGGGGAAAATAATTAAGACAATTTTGTAAACATCTGTTAATTTTACCTGTTCCATACCCCTTCTTTCCTTTGGGGAGATACTTCCCTCACCACCGCCCTCCCACACTTTAATCATATGATTCTGCCAGGGCTGCAAATCAAGTATGTTGCCCCTTTGGAGCGAGCAGCAGGACCCAGCGTGGCCAGACAAAGCACACCACTAGCTGGCCACAGTGACTGTCCCAGGACTGGCTCTTTGGCTCAATCCTCTCAGCATCCTTTTCCAGTTTTTAAAATCCAGAGATGGAGAAGGGGTCTTTGCTTTTTGTACTAATGAGCAGGAAGGGTGTAAATCAGAAGTTGGCCACTTTTATTCCCACAACATGGAGAAAACCGTTGATAACAGCAAACAATAAGCCCATCACAAAGAAGAAATAAACAGAAAAATATGAAACGGCAAAATCAGAAGTAGCCTCGATAACCTCATTTGGCTCCCTAGATCCAACAATGCACCTGAGGCTGTCACCAACACTGGACTTCTCAATAGTGTATGTCAATAAAATTCCCTTTTTAAGCAAGTTTGATGTATTTCTATCAAAACCAGTAAATTCTAAATAATCTGGTAGAATATTTTAAGATTTTGACTCCAAAATATCACACTACTACAGTTTTGGAAATAAAGAAAATACAATTCAAAAGTAGGTCTAGAAATTTCTACAAATTTCCAGCCCCGATTTTTAAGGTATGGTAATTAAAATTATCTCACATTCCACAGATTTTTGTTTTAAACAGAAAGAACACACCTCTTTGCCCTCCTTAAATAATAAGTCAAAATGGAGAGAGGGTACTGAGCATCTTGCCACCCCAGGCTGGAAAGCAAGTCACTTTGGATGTGTGGTAGCAAAGCAGTTGGTCAGACTATCAATTTTCTCTTGGGTCTCAGATCATGGAGGTTTTTTTTCTTTTTTTTGAGATGGAGTTTCGCTCTTGTCGCCCAGGCTGGAGTGCAGTGGTGCGATCTCGGCTCACTGCAACCTCTGCCTCCTGGGTTCAAGCGATTCTCCTGCCTCAGCCTCCCAAGTAGCTGGGATTACAGGCGCCCGCCACCATGCCCAGCTAATTTTTGTATTTTTAGTAGAGACGGGGTTTCACCATGTTGGTCAGGCTGGTCTTGAACCCCTGACCTCCAGTGATCCACCCGTCTCAGCCTCCCAAAGTGCTGGGATTACAGGCGTGAGCCACTGCGCCTGGCCTTCAGATCATGGAGTTTTATGCCAAGATGTTGAACTATGGTGGTTAGTTCTTGGGACCATCTATAAAGTCCTGTAATAGATACTTTTTAGACATCATTTGGTCTGGGTCAGATTTCCCGAAAAGAGAAAGAGAATGACACAGTGCTTTTAAAAAGCTTCCTAATTCAGAGCCAACAATCCAATACTGCTCAGAGTCAATCCTTTATCACTTGCTAAATTTAGTGCAAATAAGGGAAAGGAGGAGAAAATTACCACAGGGGTAAGACTTAAAGGAATGGAGAAAAAGAACTAAACTGAGGGTAGAGGTCTTTACTGAACACCCTCTGCCCAAAGGCCATATTCCTCCTATTATAAAGCAGTGGATCCTTGTGATGCAGCCTGGCAGCAGGCTACAGATCTACATCAGCCTCTGCAGCTCACTGTTTAATGATACCAGCAGGCAGAAGCCTACACAAACTCTTCACCTGAGGACTAGGACTATTGGCCTACTAAACAGATAAACTGAGGAAGTGGAGGGTGTTCACCTTCATGGATCCTAAAGCAAGTTACTGGGCATTAAGTACTAGCTGGGAACCTAGGAATCTACAAGTGAGTGCTACTGTCAGAAAAAACCCCAAACCTGCCAAATAGGGTTATATGATTGTTTAATCCTATAGAAGTCCCCAGCAACCCAACCCCAGTAACAGACAGCAGGAACTAGGCAGGTAAAACAGAATGGCCTCCAGAAGGGGAATCTTCTTATATGTTTCTCACCTCTCAAACACAGCCATTCTCCCAGAAAAACAATGGCATCCAGTTTTATTAAAGAACACCCTCTACTATGTTTATGAGTGTCATAGGCAGTTAAATTCATAATGTGGCTCATGGATTGTGAGATCAAGATAAGCCACCTCGAGATCTACTGGAATTTAATTTTTTTTTTTTTTTTTTTTTTTTGAGACGGAGTCTCGTTCTGTCACCCAGACTGGAGTGCAGTGGCACGATCTCGGCTCACTGCAACCTCTGCCTCCTGGGTTCAAGCAATTCTCCTGCCTCAGCCTCCCCAGTAGCTGGGATTACAGGCACACACCACCATGCCCGGCTAGTATTTTTTGTATTTTTAGTAGAGACAGGGTTTCACTATGTTGGCCAGACTGGTCTCGAACTCCTGACCTCGTGATCCGCCCGCCTTGGCCTCCCAAAGTGCTGGGATTACAGGTGTGAGCCACCGAGCCCGGCCCAGATCTACTGAAATTAATATACACACAGAGAAATACTAGATTTAGGTCTAGATACAATTACAGGATGTAACTGTGGGAAAGAGGTTTTTGAAAAAGTTTTAAGTTGTGGGTGAAATCTTTGCATTATATTAGGCAGAACCATTTTTGAATTGTATGTATGAGAACAAATGTGAGTACACACACGTGCTGAGCTACCAAAGGATGGAAGTGTAGATATTTACTATGCTATAATATTTGCAGCGTCCCTGTTTCCTTAGAAAACCATTCCTACCCAACTTTTGCTGGAGGCATCAATCGTAGTACCTTGCCTGCCCTGGCCATAGGGTTAGAAACAATATGATCCAAGATAAGCCACTCAAATTCCTTCCTCAAGGGCTTCTGATTTGGAGCAGAAGTAGGGGCCTTGCCTTTGGGTCACAGACCTTGGAAACATATAAATACAAATTGCTGGTGCCATCTTCCCTGCCACATGGGAATAGCCTGTCTGTACTGGGAGAGAATGAGGTTAACACACATAAATATATGTAGACCTAAAAGGTGAGAGAGAGAGGAAAACAAAGAGTTTGATACCTGAGGGTCCAGTTATACCTGATGATGGCTCGGACTTCCCAACTACATGAGCTAATTAAATTCCCTCTTCACTTAAGCTAGTTTAAGTTGGTTTGGTCACTTGCAATTGAAAAAGTCCTAATTAAAACAGATTTCCAACTCATATCAAATGAAAATTATTACTTCAGATAGGTTGAAAACAAAGTTATAGAAGTATTATAAAGAATTACTATAAAACATATATATATTCTTGGGATGGGGATAACCCTCCTCAATAAAACACAAAATCCAGAGAAACTCTAAAGAAAAAGATTGATAAATTTAAGTAAATAAAAATGTAAAAATGTCTGTATGACAACGAAGAGCTAAAAGTAGGCAATTACTATGCAAATATACGTAAAATTGAAGATTAATAGCAACAATACATAAAGCATTCCTAAAATTCATTAAAGAAAAATAACAAAACTCATTAGGAAAAAGTGAGAAAAAGATATGAATAAGCAATTCACAGGAAGTTCAACAAATACATGTAAGAAACTTAACCACATGAGTAAGAATATGTAAATTTGTATACGAAATACTTTTCACCATTGGCAAAAATGTTAAGAGGAATGATGTTGTTGAATTTAAGTGAGAGAATAAGGAAACAGAAATGTATGAAAGTTACTGGTATAAATCTCTTTTGATATACAATTAAGCAGTAGCCATCACTGTTTTTTAAATGTAGCTACCATTTGACCAGCAAGTCCACTTACTGTTTCTATACTGCCAGAAATACCTGCACAAGTACACAAAGATATACGTTAAGGATGTTCAAAAGCACCACTATTTGTAATAATGAAAAACTGTTAACAACATAAATGTCCATTAATAGAGAAATAGTAGATGAATTATGGTTCATCCATACTCTGGAGTACCATGCAGCAGCTTTAAAAAAAAATGAATTCAATTCATAACACAAAAAGATTCTCTCCATGTATCACTGAGTAAAAAAAGCAGGATGCAGAACAATACATGCAGAATGATCCTGTTTATATTTCAAAAAACCCCAAAACTAAAAAATCGCCCAAAGCTCTCCAAAACCTTTGTAAACATACATACATAAATGTAACTGCAGAAAGATCTAAAATGTTACACACCAAACTGTTGATGCATGGTGGTTACCTTTGGGGAGGGGAGTATGAAAAGGATCTTTCTTCCCTGCTCTGTGTGCTTTTGTAGATTTTGAAAACAAAAACATTGAGTGCAAGTGCTGTGTTTAAAAAAAAAATGAAAAATAAAGGAAAAGAACATCTAAATTCCACCCCCCACCAAACTTTCATTTAAAAAATTAAAAACTAAAAAACAAAAACAAAAGCAAAAAACCACACACACACACACAAAAAAAAGAAAAAAAAGAAAAAACTTCCCTTTAAAGGAATGGATGAAGTATATTCTTACCTATCTCTTCCTGAATAGAGACAGGTGTATGAGATTCTCTTTCTCCATTTTCAGGATCATCAGCTGCCTTAGCAGATTCACTCTGGGAAGAATTTAGTTCACTGCTGCTGTTACTGTTTTCCAGATTAGGCTGGATGGAGGTAGTGGTAGCACTAGTGTTACTGCTCTCACATGTCTTGTTAGGTTCTTCTAGAAAAATAGAATATCTGATTTTTAAATTGGAAATCACATGAAAAATGACGAATTGTCAGAAAAGACAATTGTTTTAGGATTTCATTAAGAAGCTGTATTTTTAAAAGAAAATCTGTTCATGTATCAGTAATGCAATGTATAAAAGAAAGTGGTAGGCAACACCTTATTTTTTTAAGTCTTCCAGGCTATTAACTCACTGACTTTTTTTGGGGGGGTGAGGACCCAACTCTAACTCACTGACTCGTATCACCTTAGTCTCCAGTACAAGGCAGACAATTTTTTGGATACCCCAGAGCTGGAGAATAACCAAGTGATATGACTATCTCTCAAAACTTACAGTGCGCCAGATATTGCAGAGGTAGTTTGCTGAGATAGTATTCAAAATCTGAAGCTTATAGTCTTACTTTTCAAAAGTACTCAAATAGTATTAGAAACAGAATTAAGCAGGATTATTTAACTCTATGGTCTTCTGCCTGAATACTATGCCCAAATTAACTGAAAGGTAATGCCTAAATGCGATTGTTAACTTCTTTTTAAGATGGAGTCTCACTCTGTTGCGCAGGCTGGAGTGCAGTGGCACAATCTCGGCTGACTGTAGCCTCCACCTCCCAGGTTCAAGAGATTCTCCCGCCTCAGCCTCCTGAGTAGCTGGGACTACAGTCAGGTGCACGCCACCATACCTGGATAATTCTTTTATATTTTTGGTAGAGATAGGGTTTCACCATGTTGGCCAGGCTGGGCTCGAACTCCTGACCTCAGGTGATCCACCCACCTTGGCCTCCCAAAGTGGCTGGGATTACAGGCGTGAGCCACTGTGCCCAGCTGTGATTGCTAACTTCTGAGGACAATTTAATAGTATCACTAAGAGTATAGTTCTTAAAAGCATATAAAAATTACCACTACCATGAACAGAAAGCCTGTCTTTCCATGGTAGTTCAGAAATTAAAAGTCTCCCTCTGCCTTTGTTTTTGCCACTGACAAGATACTCTTCAAATCACCTAAAAATTGGTTGATAGTCTATTGCAGTAACTATCTTTAATGTATAATTTTGGGTTTCAGGAAAAAAACCTGACAACCTGATAAAATATGGGAAAATATGTGAACAGTCATAAAAGAAAAGAAAATGGCCTTTAGGCATATGGAAATATGCCCAATTCAAACTATGAGAAATGTAAAATAAAACTATATGAAGAAACTACTCTCAGTTATCAACTGGCAAAAATCCAAGTCTCACAATACACGAAGGGAAAATTACACATGCATTTACTTAACACAGCAATCCTGTGTCTAGAAATCTAGCCCAAAATACACTAAAAAAAAAAATACTAAATTACTTATCTATAGAGCTAGCTATTCATTGGAGTATTTAAAATGGCAAAAGACCCAGAAACAAAGAAAATGCCTATGAAGGCTGGGAGCAGTGGCTCACACCTGTAATCCCAGCAATTTGGGAGGTTGAGGCAGGCAGATCACTTGAGGTCAGGGGTTCGAGACCAGCCTGGGCAACACGGTGAAACTCCATCACTACGAAAAATACAAAAATTAGCCAGGCATAGTAGTGCATGCCTCTAGTCCTACGTACTTGAGGGGCTGAGGCAGGAAGATCATTTGAACCCAAGAGCCAGAGGCTGCAGTGAGCCGTGATTGCGCCATTGCACTCTAGCCTGGGTAACAAAGTGAGAACTTGTCAGAAAAAAAAAAAAGGGAGGGGCCAGGGGTAGTGGCTCATGCCTGTAATCCCAACACTTTGGAAGGCTGAGGTGGGCGGATCACCTGAGGTCACCTGAGGTCAGGCATTCGAGAGCAGCCTGGCCAACATGGTGAAACCCTGTCTCTACTAAAAATGCAAAAATTATCCAGGTGTGGTGGTGCATGCCTGTAATCCCAGCTACTTGGGAGGCTGAGGTTGCAGTGAGCTGAGATTGCGCCACTGCACTACAGCCTGAGTGACAGCACGAGATTGTTTCAAAAAAAAAAAAAAAAAAAGAAAGAAAATGCCCATCAATAGGGCATTGGTTGAATAAAAGCTGGTATACACAATGAAATACCATGCATTGTAGCAAGAACTGAGGATAATCACTATGTTCACACATAAAATGATCTCCAAGATTAAATGTTAAAAGCAAGGTGTAGAACAATACTTATAATATGCTTACTTTTGTGTGAGAAGAGGAGGAAATACAAATTTATAAACAGATTTTACTTTTATTTATAAAAAACAAAACGAGCCGGGCGCGGTGGTTCACGCCTGTAATCGCAGTACTTTGGGAGGCCAAGGCAGGTGGAACATGAGCTCAGGAGTTCGAGACCAGCCTGGCCAACATGGTGAAACCCCGTCTCTACTAAAAATACAAAAATTAGCTGGGCACAGCGGCAGGCGCCTGTAATCCCAGCTACCTGGGAGGCTGAGGCAGAAGAACTGCTTGAACCCAGGGGGGCGGAGGTTGCTGTGAGCCAAGACCGTGCCACTGCACTCCAGCCTGGGCAACAGAGTGATACTCTGTCTCAAAAAACACACACAAACAAAACAAAACAAACAAGCAACATTCAAGAATAACCAAAAACCAATAAAAATGGCTACTTAGAAAAGAAAGACATGGTTACCTAGAGAGAGAAGGAATGAAAGTCAAAATTCTCTGAATATCTCCCGTTACATAGTTTTCAATTTATAATAATGTAAATGCTCTACATTTTCAAAAAATTAAAAGTTATTATAGAAATACAATCCCTAAAAATTAAACTGAAACAAATGAACTGTGTATCAAGTTGTGCATAACTACACAAAGGATTATTATTATTATTATTATTTTAGATGGAGTCTCGCTCTGTCGCCCAGGCTGAAGTGCAGTGGCGTGATCTCAGCTCACTGCAACCTCTGCCTCCTGGGTTCAAGCGATTCTCCTGCCTCAGCCTCCTGAGCAGCTGAGACTACAGGCGCCCATCATCACGCCCGGCTAATTTTGTTTGTATTTTTAGTAGAGACAGGGTTTCACTATAATGGCCAGGCTGGTCTCGAACTCCTGATCTGTGATCCGCCCACCTGGGCCTCCCAAAGCGCTGGGATTATAGGCGTGAGCCACCAAGCCCAGCCCTTTTTTCTTTTCTTTTTTTTTTTTTTTTTTTAGACAACGTCTGGCTCTATCACCCAGGCTGGAGTGCAGTGGCGTGGCGTGATCTCAGTTGACTGAAACTTCTACCTCCTAGGCTCAAGCCATCTTCCCACCTCAGCCTCCTGAGTAGCTAGGACTACAGGCAAGCACCACCACGCCCAGCTAATTTTTATAGAAAAGGAATTTTGCCATGTTGGGCAGGCTGGTCTTGAACTTGTGAGCTCAAGCAATCTGCCCATCTTGGCCTCCCAAAGTGCTGGGATTACAGGCGTCAGCCACCACGCCCAGCCCAGGGGATTATTTTAAGTGACTTTGGAATATGATATTTTGTCTGTACATCCTTACTAGAAATGTAGTATAATGAGAAATAAAGAGCAGCAAAAAGTCGTAAATGCCATTCAGTAGTCTTAGTGTGAACAATAATACTGGTATTATGAAAATACTACTATTTAAAATAAATCACTTCCTCTTATTATTAATGCACATTAGGATAGGAATACCCTGTATTGGGATAAAGCAAACATATAGCTGAATTACTGTTGCTGGAACTGAGGCTTTCAGTGTAAGGGAACAGATATACAAATGTAAACAAAGAAACTAAGTATGCTATCTGCAATCTGAATCTGAAATGTCAATGTAAACTGATGATCTTTTTCTTTTCAAAAATATGTCTTTCATAACACTACCCACCAAAAAAGCATAGGGACAGTGAGAGCCCAACAACAAAAAGTATCCCTGAGTCTAGACTGTGGTCTCTAAATATCATTTCCCATTAAAAGGAACCAGGACTTCTTGGAGGAAAAAAAAATGATTCCAAGTCAGGATAGGTACTGTGTAACATAAGCCTCAAACATTTTATTCTGCTAAAAAGCAAGAAGTCCGGCCAGCACGGTAGCTCACGCCTGTAATTCTACCACTTTGGGAGGCTGAAGTGGGCGGATCACCTGAGGTCAGGAGTTCGAGACCAGCCTGGCCAACATGGCGAAATCCTGTCTCTACTAAAAATACAAAAATTAGCTGGGTGTGGTTGTGGGCGCCTGTAATCCCAGCTACTCAGGAGGCGGAGGTTGCAGTGAGCTGAGATTGTGCCACTGCACTCCAGCCTGGGTGACAGAGCAAGACCCTGTCTCAAAAAAAAAAAAAAAAAAAAAAAAAACAAAAACCCAAAATCCCCAAAACTCCATATTACAGTCTCCAAATAAATAACTGATTCTGGGCCAGGTGGGTGGCTCACACCTGCAGTCTCAGCACTTTGGGAGGCCGAGGTGGGCAGATCACAAGGTCAGAAGTTCAAGACCAGCCTGGCCAACATGTGAAACCCCATCTCTACTATAAATACAAAAATTAGCCAGATGTGGTGGCGCGCGTCTATAGTCCTGGCTACTCGGGAGGCTAAGGCAGGAGAATCGCTTGAACCTGGGAGGCGGAGGTTGCAGTAAGCCATAAGATCGCACCACTGCACTCCAGCCTGGGTGACAGAGCGAGACTCTGTCTCTCAAAAAAAAAAAAAAAAAAAAAAAAAACCTTGATTATGGAAAGATTATTAATGAGTGAGAGGTTAACAGAGAATCTTGCAATCTCACCACCTAAACTCGTTGATCAATCTAGGCATCTCTGAAGGTACAAAAACCATATACCATGAGCCTTTTGATGGGATACAATATCAATTAACCAGCACATTCTTTATAAAGTATTCTTGCCAAAGACAGTTGAAACTGAATAGGTATTAAGAGATTAACTTTTTAACTTTTAAAAGTGATAGTAGCAATCTTTCCCCAAATATTGCCCAACTTTTTCAGTTTAATCTTTAATCTGAGCCACACAAAATGTTTCTGATCACTGATAATACTCAATATAATGGGTATCATGAAATCTGCCCAATTTTCTTATGTTCTCACTCCTATCATTTTTTATACTACAATTTTGTCATTTTCTCCTTCACATAACTTCTACCAAATTATATGAAAATGACAGTATTCTGACAAGATTTTATTTCAAAGTAAAGCCTGAAATATATATATGTAATATATATACGTGTGTGTGTGTGTGTGTGTGTATATATATATAATATACATACACCCTCTTCAATTGTTCATGGAACATTTATCAACATTAATTAAATGTTGGGCCACAAAACAAGAGTCAATAAAATTTAAAGGACATAAATCATGCATAGAATGTTCTCTGATAGAGGGTTAAACTAGAAATCAACTAGAAAAAAAAAAGATAATTAGCCTATAGTTTCAGCTACTTAGGAAGCTGAGGTGGGATAATCACTTGAGCTCAGGAGTTCCAGGCTACAGAGAGTTATGGCCACTTTACGGCAATCCAGCCTGGGTAACAGAGCAAGACCCTGTCTTACACACACACAAAAAACCAAAAACCAAAAACCAAAAACAAAAACCTACAAATGTTTGAATATTAAGCAATATACTTCATCACACACCATATTAAAACAGAAATTAGACAATATTTTAAACTAAATGATAAAGGGAACATGACCTATTACAGTTTGTGGTTGTGTTCTGGTCATGCATTTAAAAATAAAATAAGTTTGTGGGATGTAGCTATAGCAGGACATAGAGGAAAGCTGATAGCCTTGATAGTAGACGTCATAAAAAAACAAAACTAAACTACAAACCATCAAAGCAACCATCTTCAGAAGCTAGGAAAGAAAATCCATAAAAGTACAAAGAAAATAAAAGGAAGGACAAAATACTAAGACCAGAAATTAATTTGGAGAAAAACATACAATAAAGAAGGTCAACAAAGACAAAGTTGTGTTTTTTTAAAAAAAGACTAATGGAATTGCTAACAGCCTCACAACACGATTAACGGGGGCAGGTAACGAATTTCCAGATTGGAAAAATAGAGCGAGTATAGACCCTATATATATAAAAAAGATACGATGTTATTATGCTAATAAATTGTAAAAATTTGCCAAAATGAGCAGATTCCTTAAAAAAAGGCGATTAAAGAAAATGAACCTAAGAAAACAACAGAAAATATGAATAGCCCACTGCTGTAGTTTGGATAGTTTAGATGTTTGTCCTGCCAAAAATCTCATGTTGAAATTTGATCCCAATGTTGGAGGTGGGGCCTAATGGGAGGTGTTTGGATTCTGGGGACGGATCCCTCAAGAGCAGATTAATGCTCTCGGGTTGGGTGTTGGGGGTGAGTGAGTTCTCACACTATTAGTTCCCACTAGAGCTGACTGTTAGAAAAAGAGCCTGTCATCTGCCACCCCCGCCTCCCCTATTTGCTCTCTCACAATGAGGTATCAATATACACTGGCTCCCCTTTCCCCTTCCGTCATTAGTGGAAGCATCATAAGGCCCTCACCAGATGCAGATGTCAGTACCATGCTTCTTGTACAGTCTGCAAAACCACATAGCCAAAGAAATCTCTTTTTTTAAATAAACCACCAGCCTTAGATACTCCTTTACAGCAACACAAATGGACTAAGATAGCCATTATCTACTAAAGAAGTGAATGAAATCTATAATAACCTTCTCACAGTGAAAACTCCAGAACCAAATCACTCCAGCAAACATTTAAGAAATAACACCAGCCCTAGCCGGGCGCGGTGGCTCACGCCTCTAATCCCAGCACTTTGGGAGGCTGAGGCGGGTGGATCATGAGGTCAGGAGTTCAAGACCAGCCTGGCCAACATGGTGAAACCCCGTCTCTACTAAAAATACAAAAATTAGCCAGACGTGGTGGTGGGCACCTGTAATCCCAGCTATTTGGGAGGCTGAGGCAGGAGAATCGCTTGAAACAGGAAGGCAGAGGTTGTGGTGAGCCGAGATCGCACCACTGTACTCCAGCCTGGGCGAAAGACTGAAACTCCATCTCAAAAAGAAAAAAAAAAAAAAAAAGAAATAATTAACAACAGCCCCACAAAAACTCTTCTAGTACCAACTCATGATATGAGGCCAAAATATTCCTGATACTAAAGACTGACAAAATATTCCTGATACTAAAGACTGACATTATCAGAGAAGAAAAATGCAAGCCAATTTTACTCATGAAAGTAAATGCAAAAATCCTAAACAAAATATTAATAAACTGGATGCTATAATATATAACAAGGAAAATACATCACAACAAGTTATATTTACCCCCAGGAACATGAGATTAGGTTAACATTCAAAATTCAGTGTAGATACTTCTGCTTCTAGTCAAGGTAAAGTGGAAGAACCAGATTTACCCTCTCCCATGAAACAACTACAAAGCAAAAAACAGAACATTTATAGAAAATGAACAAAGAAGCAGACAGGTACCTCCCAAAAGAGGATATCTAAACGACTGACACACACACACACACACACACGAACACATAAAGACGCTCAACATCCTTAGTCACAAGGGAGCTAGCAAGTGCAAAGAACAGTAAAATATCCCTACATGCCCACTAGCATGTCCCCTCAGTCCTCCAAAAAGACAAAGAGTGATGCTGATGATACCCAGTGTTAGCAAGGATGCAGAGGAGCTAGAACTCTCATACACTGTTGAACTGAATACTTCTACAACCCCTGTGGAAAACTGTTTAGCAGTATCTACCAAAGATGAGCATAAACCAGCTCCATGACCTAGAAAATCCACAACTAGGCTTGTACCTCCAGAAATGCACATGTATGTGCACAAGAAACATGTAAAATATTCATAATAGTATTATTCATAATGGTCCCAAACCAAAAATCATTAAAATAACCACCAAAATGTAACAAGAATCATGACATATCTATATAATGGAATATCATACTGCAATAAAAAAGAATAAGCTGCTACTACTAGCAACATCTGGATGGCTCTCATTGATGTTTTGTTGAGGTGGGAAAAAAGCTATCAGGCATCAAAGAGTATATACTGTATGGTTCCAGTAATTTTTTTAAAAAAGGCAAACCAATCAGTGGTGATAGAAGTCAGAATAGTCAGTACCTTTGTTGGGCTAGGTGTAGTGGTAGCTAAAAGGGGGCACGATATGGTAACACAGATGTGTTAACTTCGTAAACATCCATCAAGTTATTCACTTAATATTTATAAACTTTACTGCAGGTTATATTTCAATTTTTTAAAGTTGCTGGGTGCAGTAGCTCATGCCTGTAATCCCAGCACTTTTGAGAGGCAGAGGCGGGAGGATGGCTTGAGCCCAGGAGTTCGAGACTGGCCTGGGCAACACAGTGAGACCTTGTCTCTACTTACTTGTTTACTAAATAAATAAATAAATAAGCTGGGCATGGTGGTGCACACCTGTAGTCTCAGCTACTTGGAAGGCTGAGGTGGGAGGATCACTTGACCCTGGGAGGTCAAGCCTGCAGTGAGCCATGATCACGTCACTGTACTCCAGCCTGGGTGAAAGAGTGAGACTCTCTCTCAAAAAAAAACTTTACCAAAAATATCTTAACATCCAAAATGCTTTCCAATCTGACAGTTATCTTTTGTCGATAAGTTTTAATCATTAAATTAGGTGCCTAAATACATTCTGAAAGTTTAGAAAAGAAAACCAAGTAAGATGTCTTCTATCACGGCTATTGTTCTTAGTCTGCCTTTAACAATTCTCCCACCCCAATTCTTCTAACAAGGCATCTCATCCACTGACCATAGGTAGTAAACAGTGGTAACAGAGTTTGGTCCAGGGACATCACAAAGTGTCTAGCACATAGCCAGGCACATTGTAGGGCACTCAATAAATAGCTGTTGAATAAATAACTGCATAGAGAGCCACAGAAACAGAAGGAAGCAGGTGAAGGTCAGAACTCTATTAAGTCCGTCTACTGCCCACTAGAATGTAAGTCACCAAGGGCCCAGACCTTATCTATTTTGGTCACTGATACATCTCCGTTAGTATATTCTGAAGTCAGGGACCTATTAAAATGTTTATCTACTTTACAAAAGTACCAAACTCCTCTTTAAAATCTGGTATGATATATTTAATAAAGTCTTTTAAAATGCTTTTCATGTTTGATCATTGTTTTGTTTTTTACTCTACTCAAGAAGAGAACTATGAGTTATTAAATGGGAAGGTTTTGAATTTGTAGGTACAGCATCTTCAGCTGTCCAACACTCTCACCCTGCTAATGACCCAAATTCCCCTCTGATGCCGGCCACTGACAGTTGCTATATTTGCTCCCATTCTAGTTTCCTTGAAACTTCTTGCTTATGTTTTCATATAAATATATTTTCTTTTTCTCTTTTTTTACTTTTTTAAGATGAAGTCTTGCTCTGTCGCCCAGGCTGGAGTGCAGTGATACGATCTCAGCTCACTGCAACCTCTACCTCGTGGGTTCAAGTGATCCTCCTGCCTCAGCCACCCAAGTAGCTGGGATTACAGGCGCATGATATCATGTCCAGCTAATTTTTGCATTTTCAGTAGACACGGGGTTTCAACATGTTGGTCAGGCTGGTCTCGAACTCCTGACCTCAGGTGATCTGCCCGCCTAGGCCTCCCAAAGTGCTGGGATTACAGGCATGAACCACCACACCTGGCCCTGTTCTTGATCTTAATGATCAATCTCTCATCAGTATAAAGTAAGGTGGACTTACTGCTGATTGCTGTGGTTCTTCTGGAGCTTACACTTACATCCCTATCTGTAGCGCCCTGTTAAACTGGTGTTTTCAGCAACACAGCTCACTGCTGACCAGTACTCAAATGGAAGTCGTCCCCATAAGAACTGCAGGTTGTCAAAATCCTTCATGTTATGCAACAGGACACTCTTGGTGTGCTATAACTTACTTGGAGTATAACTTTAATTTTAAAAACTGAAAATGTGAATTACTGGTCAACTTACATTTTTATGTCAAAATACATCTGACAACAATGTTCTGTGATAATGATTTTCTACCATAATACTACGGTTTGAAATGCTATAAATATTACACGAGCACATGCAAACATAAAATTAATTTGTTAGTATCTACAGAACTGGAAAGGTCAGATCATTCAACATTGAGCCATTAGTACATAAGTAATTAAAACCAAAATATCTGCCACTATGGTCTGGTGATAAAATATAAAAATAAATCTATTAAACAAAAACAGCTAAATGAAGTTTAAGAAGCATGAAAATTATGATGAGTTTCAAGCACTAACTGCGAGGACATTTATCAAACTCCAAATGTTAGGTGACAATTTAGCAAATGGGGATGGCACTGTAAGCAAGCAGCATGAATGAACACATAGTTTAAGGTTTTAGGTGACATTCGGCTTTTACTACAAAAGGGAAGGATTCCCCCCATTACAGAGGCATTGATACGCTGCCCTCTGTACCTGGCACATCCTGGGGGAGCTCAGATGCCACCTTCTTCTCTGCCATGTTGCTGCTATCGGGGGTTTCTGAGAGACACCCCACAGGGCTCCTCCCTTCAGAGGGACTAGTCTCTTCTGAAGTTGCATTTGTTGTGTTGTCGCCAAGATTTGCTGACACAGAGTTACCTTTATCCCCAACTTCTGTTGGCTCTACAGCAAAATGCACAACAAAACTTCAAAGATATTCTTTAAAATTGCTTCAGGGCAAATGGCCACATTCAGTCAACTACTAAATAATCACAAAAAACCTGCTTCCATTGAACGGCCATTTTAAAGCAAGTAGATTCTCGGATATTGCTGCAATAGGTAATTCAGAGAGTATTTAAGAATATTTAATAATATATTAAGAATGCTTAAGTAATTAATATAAAAATGAACATTTTATCACATACAAAAGTGTATACTCTGGTATAATATTAAAGAATAGTTCTTTTTCATAGGGAAATGGCAACTTAATGGGAAGTATAAATAGAGACATGAATATAACATTATAGCAAATTCACTAATACATAAAACTCATTACAATTGTTACACACGTTATAAGAGGGGACGGTATCCTGATCTCTTTAGAAATATTAAATTAGGTAGCTGCTTGCAATATTTCACTTTCATTTTGCAAGTAAAACTGGAGATTTCATAAATAACACTAATGAAATATTTCTTTTTAATCAAGTAATTTTTTTACCCTCAGATTTTCCTTGCTCAGGGTCATCATCTGGTGTTTTGTCGTCACTGTCTTTTTCAAGGGACTGGTCTTCAAATTCTTCTCTGTTTTTCTCAGCATCTTTAGAGTCATTCTCAGTCTCATTCTTGTCTTTTTCTGTTTCTTCTGGGCTTTTAACATTATCAATGTCTCCCTTTTTGGCTCTTATGGATTCCAAAATTTCTTCTATAATGTGTAAAACAAACAAAAAAATTATTCCTATATATAACCAAATAGAACAGTACCACAAATGTCACTTACGAGTTTCAATACAAGCTATTAAAGAGGAAAAATTAAGTATTTTTAAAGCATTAGACCTATGAAATAAAAATCAAGATTACAAACAAAATTGTGTTTACAGAATTCAATCAATTTGGTGTACCTTCACCTCTAGATAATACATGCTAATTATGGGCTCTACTTTTTAAAAAAAGTAAAATGAGCCTATCTTTTTAAAATATAGCCTTGATATAGATATCTGTCACGGATATCTGTGACAGATGACAAAAACTGCAAGCTGACATAGACCCACAGTCTGGGCAGCACACTGCAGTGATCAAAACCTAGAAACCCAAAACCCACTGCAAATCTGACTTGGATTAGCTGTGTGACTCTGGGCAAGCTACCTAACCTCTCCAGGCCATCATTTCCTCAACTGTAAAAAGAGAAAACAGAGGCCCTTTTGGAAACAACTTTCTTTCTGAAGTCCCTTAATTGTTCTGAAAGTCACTAAGTCTCTTAGTACACCTACCCTCTTTCAACTTAGACAGAGTGATACTATGGCATGTTATAGACCACGGGATACAGAAGGACCACAGTGTACAGAACACACGGTATATCAGTACGCACTCATGGATATTAATTATATTCTTTGGGTTATCATGCAATACTATCACTTTTAATTTTGTTGCACAAATTGTTTCAGCTTTGGCCACTGGGGACTTTTTCCGAGTCCAGTGTCCTTTTGACACATATCCATCCATCCATCCATCCATCCATCCATCCATCCAGCATTTTCTTACTTTCCACTATTACAAGATGCTCCGGGCTCACCTTGTATTTTCCCTGCCCCAGCCCTACAATCCACCATCTCTCCAAGGAGCCTTTGTTCTTTTTTGAAGAACAAATTGGAGAATGATGTTAGAAGTCACAATCTAAGTGGTTGGTGTGTTTGTTACTATTGGGGTGTTACTATTCTAGAGTCTCTCAGCCAACAGAGCTAAAAAATGTAGTCATAAATATATACATCTATATTATTTCTGTATTTATTTGTGTGGGCACATATGTATATGAGTGAATGCCTATGTGTCTGTATAGGGTTCATTTACCATTGCCCACTTGCTTATCTGTAACTTCTCTGACAGTGAGAAATCTGGCTCACATTATCTATAACATATCTAGTTATTTGTTCATTCCTAGTACACACAGTAAAATAGTTTCGGAATTGCTAAACTGTTTCCTCATAAAAATAAATTTATCAACTAGAGTACGCTATTTGTGAATAAGAAGAAACACGGTTTTTCTTTTTCTTTTTTTTTTTTTTTGAGATGGAGTTTTGCTCTTGTCACCCAGGCAGGAGTGTAATGGCGCACTCCTGGCTCACTGCAACCTCTGCCTCCCAGGTTCAAGCAATTCTCCTGCCCCAGCCTCCCAAGTAGCTGGGATTACAGGCGCCTGCCACCACACCCGGCTAATTTTTGTATTTTTAGTAGAGACGGGGTTTCACCACGTTGGCCCGGCTGGTCTTGAACTCCTGACCTCAGGTGATCCGCCCACCTCAGCCTCACAAAGTGTTGGGATTACAGGCGTGAGCCACTGCACCGGGCCATAAGAAACACTTAATACCATGTATATCCACAGTACTCCTCTTGGATTTTTGGGTTTGTGTTTCCTTTTTTATAAATTTATTTTTTACTTTTTTAGAGACAGAGTCTCACTCTTGCTCAGGAGTACACTGGTGTGATCACAGCTCACTGTAACCTTGAACTCCTAGACTCAAGTGATCCTCCCACCTCAGCCTCCCGAGTAGATGGAACTATAGGTATGTGTCACCACGCCTGGCTAATTTTTTAATCCTTTTTAAAATAGAGATGGAGTCTCACTATGTTGCCCAGACTGGTCTTGAACTCCCCCGTGCCTTGGCCTACCAAAGCACTGGGGTTACAGGCGTTAGCAGTGCCCAGCCCTTAATTCCTATATTTTAAAGAACACTTTATTTGGAAAAAGAAAATGTAGTTACCGATTATCTGTTTTTCTTAGAGGCACAGATTTCCTTTTTTCTTTCTTTCTTTTTTTTTGAGACAGAATCTCACTCTGTTGCCCAGGCTGGAGTGCAGTGGCGTGATCTCGACTCACTGCAACCTCTGCCTCCTGGGTTCAAGCGATTCTCACACCTCAGCCTCCCAAGTAGCTGAGACTATAGGCGCATACCACCACACCTGGCTAATTTTTATGTTTTTAGTAAAGATGGGGTTTCACTATGTTGGCCATGCTGGTCTCAAACTCCTGACCTCAGGTGATCCACCTGTCTCAAAGTGCTAGGATTACAGGTGTGAGCCACCACGCCCGGCCATTTTCAAACACAACTACATCCTATAGCTTTTCTTAACCAAATCATTGTACATCCTCCCTACTTTCCCAGTGCCATTTAATGAAAATAAAACCAAAAAAATTGTTTTAGTTGCCTACTAAGTTTAGACCATTTAAATTGGTTGAAAAGCACAGGTTGCATGACCATAGTTCTCTGACTTTCTATAAAGATTCTAATTTCAAATAGTCTATATTGTTAAATACACATATACATATATACATTCATACAAGTTTTAGGTTCAAAAAACTATGGCAATCATAGCCATAAGAAAAACAGACCAAAAACAGGGCTGGGCGCAGTGGCTCACGCCTGTAATCCCAGCACTTCAGGAGGCCGAGGCAGGTGAATCCCTTGAGGCTAGAAGTTTGAGACCAGTCTGACCAACATGGTGAAACCCCGTCTCTACCTAAAATACAAAAATTAGCCAGGTGTGGTGGCACACGCCTGTAATCCCAGCTACCTGGGAGGCTGAGACATGATAATTGCTTGAACCTAGGAGACAGAGGTTGCAGTGAGCCGAGATCATGCCACTGCACTCCAGCCTGGGTGACAGAGCGAGACTCTGTCTCAAAAAAACAAAAACAAAACAAACAACAACAACAAAAAGAAAAAGAGACCCAAAATGTTCAGCAGAGAGAAAAACATTAAAGGATGAAAGAAAATTACATTGTATCTGATCTATACTAAATATGCATATTCTATCAACAAGTATATTCTATACTTTGCATGAACATTTCAAAACTAAACAAAGAATTAACCTACCAGGTTTTAGAAGCCATCTCTACTCAGAAAAAATTCTTCTAAAAATAAACTTCCCTCAAATAAGCAAAATAAAGCATTTCATAATTACCATACAGGCATAGGATAAAGCAAATATAGTAAGCTGTATATTTAGTTACAAATATAAAGTACAGATCTATACGATGAATATATGAGTATTTACTGTATAATTTTTTTTTTTTTTTTTTTTTGGAGACAAAGTCTCACTCTGTTGCCCAGGCTGGAGGGCAGTGGCACGATCTCGGCTCACTGCAACCTCTGCCTCTGGGTTCAAGCAATTCTCCTGCCTCAGCTTCCCGAGTAGCTAGGATTGCAGGCGTGCACCACCAAGCCCAGCTAATTTTTGTATTTTTAGTAAAGACGAGGTTTTGCCATGTTGATCAGGCTGGTAACTGTATAATTCTTTCAACTTTTGTGTACATTTGAAATTTTTAATAAAATATTGAGGAAAAATGGAGAAGAAAAATTTAACTATCAAAAATAGAATTAAACTCTCCTAAAGTAGACACGTGTGTGTGTAGATAAAAACCAGAGAGTTATACATTAGAAATGAAGCATTTTCGGCCGGGCGCGGTGGCTCACGCCTGTAATCCCAGCACTTTGGGAGGCCGAGGCGGGCGGATCACGAGGTCAGGAGATCGAGACCATCCTGGCTAAAAAACGGTGAAACCCCGTCTCTACTAAAAATACAAAAAATTAGCCGGGCGTAGTGGCGGGCGCCTGTAGTCCCAGCTACTTGGGAGGCTGAGGCAGGAGAATGGCGTGAACCCGGGAGGCGGAGCTTGCAGTGAGCCGAGATCCCGCCACTGCACTCCAGCCTGGGCGACAGAGCGAGACTCCGTCTCAAAAAAAAAAAAAAAAAAAAAGAAATGAAGCATTTTCTTTGAGAGGTTAACATCAAGTCAAAGTCATCAGACAGGCTACAATTCTGAAATTCCTGTTATGCTGTAAATTATTCTTGGCTATTATCAGAACCCCAGTAGTTTCCATTGTTTTCATCTCATAAAACCCCAAGTTAAAGAACATGATTAGATATTATTTTGGGTATTTACCTGGACTGGGTGGTCCTAAACTGACTATCACAGCCAAGATTTTAGTTACCAGAGAGAACAAATAAAGGTAACAGTGGTGAACTGGTGTTTTAATCGGGAATTCTTCTATTTGAATGCTCAATTCATTACCAATACACTCCTTAAAAAGTTGCTGAGAGGATTAAAGAATTGTAAAACACCTAGTTGAGCACCTGGCCCACAGGAGGCACCCAAAAATGTCCGTGTCCCCTTCTCTTCCCCAACAATTTTCAATTCTTGTGAATCCCTCCTCCTACAGTACCAGGTTGATGTTGTACCTTAGCCGAAAAAAAAAAAAAAAGGAAAGAAAGAAAAAAATATTTATGTCATTTTTGGGGTCCAGATCTCACCATTAAATCCAAGGTACAACTCACCTTATTTCCATGTACTCCATGTAGTACTAAGAGGATAACTGCAGGTTGCAAGGCAATCTCACAGCACACAAATTTTAGTCATCTAACTTTCTAAGAACATATTGTGGCCTAAAGCTCAATGTTCTCTTTGTTGTTCCCCATTACTACAAAAGGTTTTGCTAATTTTTTTTTTTTTTTTTTTTTTTTTGAGACGGAGTCTCGCTCTGTGTCGCCCAGGCTGGAGTGCAGTGGCTCACTCGGCTCACTGCAAGCTCTGCCTCCCGGGTTCACGCCATTCTCTTGCCTCAGGCTGCCGAGTAGCTGGGACTACAGGTGCCTGCCACCACGCCTGGCTAATTTTTTTTTTTTTTTTTTTTTTTTTGTATTTTTAGTAGAGACGGGGTTTCACCATGTTAGCCAGGATGGTCTCGATCTCCTGACCTCGTGATCCGCCCGCCTCAGCCTCCCAAAATGCTGGGATTACAGGCGTGAGCCACTGTGCCCTGCCGGTTTAACTAATTTTTAAAAGTACATTACATGCTGAATCATACTGAACTATATAACATGCTCATTGTAGGAAATGCAAAAAATATGAGAAGGAAACCAACTACAATTCTACTATGCTAATTGGTTATTTTTTAATGATAAAACCTGATCCAGTTGGTTATTTAGAGGAAGAAGAATTTAAGTATCTCACACAGTTTTTGCAAGGTACTTTACTTAATTCTCCAATACGCAGTGTTCTATCACATGATAATTCATAATGAAATTTATCAATTCCCCTATATTAACATTTTTAGGTTTTTACATTCCCCCAAATCACAACACTTAACACTTGATTACCCATTCCTGTTTTGACTTTGTTCTTTAATTATGATTATACTGTATACATAATCTAACACACAGAAAATATTTTTTTGTTTTTTCTATTTTTTATTCTGAAAAATATTTTAATTCAATGTACTTTATAAAATCCTATCTCACATTGCCTTTTAGAGGACTAAAGATGGTTCTCTGTTGTTGTACTAAAACACAGGAGAGCAAAAAGGGATTTGTCTATTTTAATGCCATGATTCATAAAAGGAAATTAAGGGGGGAAGTAAGCTGGCTGAAATTAATAAAATTTCCTATGATTTGATCTATATGGGGGGAGAGTAAGACGGAGATTGTGTTACTGCAATTACTTATCCCCCAAAGACTTCTGAACACTAAAACTTTTCTAATAAAAAAATTACACATTTTTCTAAACAGATCTAATAGAGAAATACTTCCAACTACCAGATATGAATAAATATAATTCATGGTAACTAAGAATGCTTTTTTCTGAAGACAAAGTATATTTGTGCCCAACAGTATTTATATGTGAGAGCCTATCATTCTCCAAAAATACGCATGAATTCACAGGAATATTGATGTAGAATATGTGAGAACAAGGTTGGATACAGCTATCCGGGTATCTTTATTAAATATAAACATTCTATTTTTAAGCAAATGGAGAATGGGGAAAATTAATAGGATTATATGTATAGCAGATAATGTATGCAGAAGAGCAGAACTCAGAACCAGGCACTTAAAAGTGTACTTTCAGAATCTTACCTAATAATTTTATCTAAGCTAAAACTTAAAAGGCACTATAGTCAGCCCTCTGTGGCCAAAGGTTCTGCATCCTTGGATTCAACCACCCTCAAATTGAAAATACAGTATTCTCAGGATGCAGAACCCTTGAATATGGAATGCCAACTTTTCATATCAGCAGGTTCCACAGGGCTGACTGCAGGACTTGGGCATCCATGGATTTTGCTATCTGCAGAGGGCTCTGGAAGCAATCCCTGAGAATACTGAGGGATGGCTACATTAGAAAACACAGGTGGTATTTATTAAACATGCACAGAATACATCTGGCAGGACAAAAAAACATACAGCAATAATGATTGCCTCTGGAGAAAGGAAGGTCAGATTGGAGATTTTGAAGGAGAGAGATTCATTTTTCACAGCATACCCTTTATACTATTTAAACTTTTGAGATATATATGTATTTATAACTTAAAAAAATAAAGAGTTGAGTAACAAAATAAATAAGGTGACATTGAATTATAACCTAATAAATATCCAATTATATTATAACCCAGTAAGTATAAAATATCCATGAATGTATACTCATAGAAATAAATGCCTGAAAAAATAAACACATCTCCTGTGCAGAAAAATTCCAAATAATTTATGTAGATATTGCCCCTTCAAGAAGGTAGAACATAACTCCTCACCCGCTAAGTGTGGCTGTTTATAGTGACTTGCTTCCAGAAAGTACAGTATTGGGGGTTTGAGGGGTTGGGGGAGGATGTGGAGAAACCTGACGAACACTGCCTCACCCAGGGACCAAGGTTAACATCATCAGTGGTAAGTCACGAGGACACCATGCACTCTTGATAAGAAGATGAGAATTGCACTTCACTTCTGTGGTCTTCCTCCCCAAAATGCATAAACCTAGGCTAACCATGAGAAAAACCCATAATGAGGGCTTTCTACAAAATACCTAACCACTACTCCTCCCAACTGTCAAGGCCATCAAAAACAAGGAAAGTCTGAGAAACCGACAACCCAGAGGAAAACATGATGACTAAATATCAAGTGGTACAGGATCATGAGGCAGAAAAAGGACATCAGGTAAAAACTAAGGAAATTGGAATGAAGTATGGACTTGAGTTAGTAACAGTGTATCAATACTGGTCCATTAGTTGTAACAAATATTTCACACTAATCTAAGACTTTAATAACAGGGGCAACCAAGTGCAGGATATATGGAAACCCTCTACTATCTTTGCAACTTTTGTATAAATCTAAAAATACTCTAAAATTTAAAGTTTTATTTTTTTAAAAAGGCAAAAAGTTCAAAAAGAATATTATTTCTTAAAATTAAAAACTGGAATGCCAAAAAAGTTTAATAAGATACTTGAATTAAAGAAACAAACTAACATGTTGGGGAATATCAGTAATGACCCAAGGCAGAAATAAAACACTAAAATGTATAGCATCCCTAATTTACAGTGGAATGAACAAGGTTCTCTTGGGAAAATGAAATATGGAGAACTAAAGTAAAATATACACACAGTCATGCACTGCACAATGTTTCGGTCCACCAGGAACCACATACGTGATGGTGATCACATAAGATTATACGTATTACCTTTTTAAATGTTTAGATATAGTTAGATACACAAATACCTGCCATTGTGCTACAACTGCTTATGGGATTCAGTACAGTCACATGACGTACAGGTTTGCAGCCTAGCAGCAACAGGCTATGCCGTATAACCTAGGTGTATGGTTTGTGTAAGTGTACTCTATGATGTTCATACAATGATGACATTGTCAAATGACACATTTTTCAGAATGTATCCCCATCATTAAGCAATGCACGACTGTACTTGAAAATTTTAATCTATTTTCAAATTTTGCAGTGATTTCATACCAACGGTTTAGCTCAGACTTAACAAAAATAAAATGAGAAAATGCCCCTCTCACCATTAGCTGCCGCCAGAAAGGATTTGTTACTGCCCCGAGCCTTATTGGTCAGGTCTTCAGTTATGTCCATGTGTCGGTGGATTTCTTCACGCATTTCTTCTAGAATTTTGCAGAGTTCTGCTTCCCAATAATCTTTGTCTAGACAGTCAATTAATTCTGCAAGTTGGACCTTTGTGCTGTAATACCAAATTTTCTTTTCATTTTCATTTTCTGTATCTTCTTCTCTGTTTAAAAATGGGGGGAAATACTTTATATGTTAGACATAATGCCACTTATCTGACAGTTCATCTACCCAGTGAAAACTTAAAACAAAGCTTATGCACTAAAACTCAATATAGGCGCTCACAAGAAAACCCTGCAGGTCTCACTCAAACTTGATTTACTCTGAGAAATGATATCTAAAAAACATGACACAAAGAAAAATAACCTCAAAATTCAGAACCACGTGAGAGTACTTTGTGGAAGCCAGTTTCAGCTACATCTCAACCAACTTTAAGATCATCAATGTAACAATATGATGAGAAGAATGTATTTAGAATTATTTTAGAATAAAATAAATTTATTTTAGAGACAGGGTCTCACTCTGTCGCCCGGGCTAGAGTGCAGTGGCACCATCGTGGTTCACTGCGTACTCAGACTCCTAGGCTCAAGCAATTCTCCTGCCTCAGCCTCCCAAGTAGTTAGGACTTACAGACATGTGCCACGATACCCAGCTAACTTTATAATATAGTTTAGAAATATTTCTAACAAAATGGTGTAAATGCTTTGCTAAGTTCTGGTTTTTGAAGGAGTTATCTCAAATAATATCTCATCCCTCTTCTTTACTTCTGGACAATCGAAGCCCAAACTGGAGAGAAGAGGAGCTTCCTCTCCTGCCTAAAACTCTCCTAAGGTTCCATTCACTTTTAATGGAGTTAAAGACTTCAACAGAGATGGTCACTAACTTAAAACAAACAGGCAAATTAATGTCTAGGACTAGACATAGAGGAACACATATAATGGTATTTCTGTCCCCACTCAAAAGGAATTCAAGAGTATGTGTGAGGCACTCGATGAGAGTGAGCCTGATTTTCCTGTTTACTCAATGGCAAACTGAGGGAACTGAAAGAACTGGGCTTTAGGAGAGATCTGGCTTTAAATACACTCATTTGCTTGTAAGATATGTGGACATGGACAAGACACAGCCTCTCTGAGTCTCTAAGCCATTCTATTTACCTCACTTGTAAAATGAAGATATAATAAAACCTGCCTGCAGGCCACTATAAGACTTAAAGGTATAATGATAAGGCATCTACCACAGTGCCTGGGCACACCAGTGATCAATAAATGTTAAATATTATTACTAAGGTAATAAATGAATAAAAATTTAGCAGCATTCCAGGAATAAGTCATTCAGTAATTCTGAAGAAAGAAGGCCTATATTAAATCACAGATAAATAAAAGGATATGGGTGGAGTTCCCTTAATCCGAAAATCTGAAATCCAAAATGCTCCAAGATCCAAAAGTTTTTGAGTGCCAACATGCCGTTCAAAGGAAATGCTCATTGGAGCGTTTCAGATTTTCAGATTAGGAATGATCAACTGGCTGGGCACAGTGGCTCATACCTGTAATCCCAGCACTTTGGGAGGCTGAGGCGGGCGGATCACAAGGTCAGGAGATCGAGACCATCCCGGTTAACACGGTGAAACCCGGTCTCTACTAAAAATACAAAAAAAATTAGCCGGGCATGGTGGCAGGCGCCTGTCGTCTCAGCTACCCGGGAGCCTGAGGCAGGAGAATGGTGTGAACCCAGGAGGTGGAGCCTAGAGTGAGCCGAGTTCGCGCCAGTTCACTCTAGCCTGGGTGACAGAGCGAGACTCTGTCTCAAAAATAAACAAAAAAATAAATAAATAAGGAATGATCAACTGGTAAGTATAATGCAAATATTCCAAAGCCCATAATACTTCTGATCCACAGCATTTTAGATAAGGGATACTCAACCTATACCGTATTCACTGACCTAACATTTTTCTTCTTGAAGCCACAGAAAGAAAAATTCATTAAAGCATAAAGCAGCAAAACAGTGAATACCTGCTAATCCATTCAAAGAAAAGTTGGGGGTTTTTTTGGTCTGTTTTGTTTTGTTTAACTTTTTTCTTTTCCTTTTTTTTTTTTTTTTTTGTGATGGAGTCTCACTCTGTTGCCCAGGCTGGAGTGCAGTGGCGCAATCTTGGCTCACTGCAACCTCTGCCTCCTGGGTTCAAGCACTTCTCATGCCTCAGCCTCTGAAGAAGCTGGGATTTACAGGCACACACCACCACGCCCAGCTAATTTTTGTATTTTTAGTAGAGACAGGGTTTCGCCATGTTGGCCAGGCTAGTCTTGAACGTCTGGCCTCAAGCAATCCGCCCGCCTCAACCTCCCCAAAGTGCTGGGATTACAGGCACGAGCCACCGCACCGGGCTGAAAAGTTGTTTTTTTATACTTAGTTACTTGGCCTATATACAGTTTATATAATCAAAATTATTTGTCCTCATTGTAAAAGTGACAACAGCTTTCCACATAAATATACATTATGTATGTATATTTGGTTTTGGAGTTATAATGTGGTTCTGTAGAAGCTCTGGTTCTTACAAGGCCTACCATGTTCCTCAGGCTCACCCAAACTGGCCAGGCTTCCCTGAAGTTACCACTGGGCACACATTCTCAAGGACTCATAGGGTGGCAAAGAGAAGACAGACTGGCAAGAAAAGGTTTGCTAAAAATATAATTAAGAGCAAACATACATATTATATGTCTACATTTTAAAGCTTCTTTGACTTTTACCTAGGCTAGCTAAGTAGAAGGTTAATGACTCACAGTAAGTTTCAACTTTCGTTTCTAAACAAACCCATAGAAATGAAGAGTAAAGAACACTAGTGAAATGAGTTGAATAATGTCCCCAAAGTTCATGTCCACCTGCAACCTCAGGATGTGATCTTATTTGGAAATAGGGTCTTTGCAGATGTAAAGTTAAGGATCTTGAGATAAAAATCATCCTGGATTTAGGGTGGCCCCTAAGTCAAATGACTGGTATCCTTAGAAAAGGAGAGGACCCAAGGTGACACATAGAAAAGAAGGTAATGGGCCGGGCGTGGTGGCTCACGCCTGTAATTCTAGAACTTTGAGAGGCCAAGGCGGGCAGATCACAAGGTCAGGAGATGGAGACCATCCTGGCCAACATGGTGAAACCCCATCTCTACTAAAAATACAAAAAATTGGCCAGGAATGGTGGCATGTGCCTGTAGTCCCAGCTACTTGGGAGGCTGAGGCAGGAGAATCACTTGAACCTGGGAGGTGGAGGTTGCAGTGAGCCGAGATCGTGCCACTGCACTCCAGCCTGGGCAACAGAGACTCCGTGTCTCAAAAAAATGAAAAGAAAAAGAAAAGAAGGTAGCATAGAGGCAGCAACTGGAGTGATGTGTCTGTTTGTAAACCAAGAAATGCTAAGGACTGCCAGAAGCTAGGAGACAGGCATGGAACAGATTCTCTTTGAAAGTCTCCAGAAAAACCAACCCTGCTGACCCATGATTTCAGACTTCTGGCCTCCAGGACTGTGAGACAATAAATTCATATTTTTTCAAGCCACCCCATTTGTGGTACTTTGTTATGGTGGCCCTGGAAAACTCCCAACTTTTGGTACGGGAAGTGGGGTGCTGCTGCTAACATACTCAAAAATGTGAAAGTGGTTTTGGAACTGGGTAATGGGAAGAGGCTGAAGAACTGTTAGGTGCTTGATAGAAAAAACCTAAGCTGCCTTGAAAAGATAGTGACAGGGAGATTGGAATTATGCTGCCAGCAAGCCAAGGACACTTGGGGTGCTAGAAGCTAGAAAAGGCCAAAAAAAAAAAAAAAAGCAAGGATTTTTTTCCTAGAGCCTGCAGAGGGAGCATGGCCCTGCTGACACCTTTGAGTTTAGACTTCTATTCTCCAAAACTGTTAAATAATCAATTTCTACTGTTTTAAACTACCCAGTTTTATAGTACTTTTTTTTGGTATAGTACTTTGTTATAGCAGCTGCAGGAAACTGATAAAACTAGCAATTCAGCAATTAAAGACAAAAGCTAGGTCCTAAGCTCTTGGTCAAGCAGCCCAAGTAGTGCTTAGGAGCACACATTCTGGAGCCAGAATGCCTAGGTTCAAATCCCGATCCCACCACTTTGTAGTTGTGTGATCTTGGATAAATTACTTAAAACTCTCTATGCCTCAGTCTCTCCATCTGAAAAATAGGGTGACGGTACATATCCTGGAAGATGCTGTTGTTAGAATTAAATTAATTAAAATATATAAAGTGTTTAGAGTAGTACCAGCACTTCATGGGTATCATATACATAGTTGTCATCATTTTCCTCACCTTATGAAGTGTATAATATTTACCTTAAAACAAGTAACTAGGCCGGGCACGATGGCTCACGCCTGTAATCCCAGCACTTTCGGAGTCCGAGGCAGGTGGATTACCTGAGGTCGGGAGTCCAAAACCAGACTGGCCAACATGGTGAAACCCCATCTCTACTAAAAATACAAAAATTAGCCGGGTGTGGTGGCAGGCACCTGTAATCCCAGCTACTTGGGAGGCTGAGGCAGAAGAATCACTTGAACCTGGGAGGCGGAGGTTGCAGTGAAGCAAGGTTGTGCCACTGCACTCCAGCCTGGGCGACAGAGTGAGACTTGTATCAAAAAACAAAACAAAACAAAAAAACTATTGGTAGGATGGGTGTTTTAAAAAGTAGTATTTCACGATGCAAGAGAAAAAGGGGTTCAGGGAAAGAAAGGGGTGCAGGCAAAGAAATCCCTAGGAAGTAGCATAAATAGGCTGAGACCTCAAGAATGAGCTAGTTAGCCAACAGGTTTTTAGGTGCTTTGGTTTGCTTTTTATTTATGTTGTCTTAAGTGTTAGAAAGCAAGATAATTAAATGTACAAAGTTAGGGATCTGTGCTAAAGAATCTGAAGTTTTGGTTAAGGGCAAATGGAAGTAATTGTAATTAAAAGGTTTTTCAACTTAGGGGAAAAGGAGACTTGATCAAAATTGCTGTTTTAAAAATCATCCAGCTATGGCTGGGCATGGTGGCTCACATCTGTAATCCCAGCACATTTGGAGGCTGAGGTGGGCTGATCACCTGAGGTCAGGAGTTCAATATCAGCCTGGCCAACATGGTGAAACCCTGTCTCTACTAAAAATACAAAATTAGCCAGGTGTGGTGGCGGCCGCCCGTAATCCCACCCACTCGGGAGTCGCTTGAATCCAAGAGGCAGGGGGTTGCAGTGAGCTGAGACTGGGCCACTGCAGTCCAGCCTGAGTGAGACTCCATCTCAAAAAAAAAAAAAAAAGAAAAAATCTTGGAAGGTTGGGGTAGGGGGTTACACTACTTTAGGGGTGACTGACTAGTCTAATGAAGATGACACTGGCTTGTATCACGGAGGGACAGTGGGAATGGAGAGAAACTGATTCAATATTTATTTTAAAGGCATAGCAAACAATAAAGGAAAAAGTTTATTCTCATATTTCTAGCTTGAGCAGCTGGTGGGACAGTAATTCCATTTACTAAGATGAGAACGCTGGATGAAGAGTAGGTAATGGGGGGAAACGATGAGTTTGGTTTTAAACACGTTTGAGGTGCCTGCCTTGCGGACAGGTCCAGGAGTCTGCTGGACATACAGAACTGAACGTGGACAGAAGGAATTCAGGCACGGGAAGTCAGTAAGTTAATATGTGGTTTGTACCTAGAATGGGGAGTAGAAAGCTGTATAGATTTAAAAGCATAGTTTAGTTGATTCGGAAAATGAATACAGATTTTTAAAATGCTGTTTAAAGGCGTGTGGTGGTCCACGCCTGTTGTAATCCTAGCGCTTTGGGAGGCCAAGGCTGGAGGATCACTTGAGCCCAGGAGTTCGAGACCAGCCTGGCAACATAGTGAGACTCTGTCTCTGCAAAAAAATGAAATATAATGCTGTGTTCACGTAATTATATTTAGAATGGAGAGTGACAGAAAAACATGCTAATCTAATCTGGTAATTTCTATTTTAGTAGGTCCTAATTTCAGAGCAAAGGATTGACAGGATAAAAGCAATAGTTAAGAAAGATTGGCCCACTTACATAATGAATGAAAACTGGCCTCTGAGTTATATGCTGAATATGTCTTGGCTTCTCAGATGGACTATAAATTCATGTATAAGAAGCTTTTTTTATTATAAGCTTCACTAATCTATACAAATAACATATTTTTAAGCACTTATTAAATAAAAGCAATAACAGAAAACTTAATTTCTATAAATTGGTAACATTACAATTAAAACCTCTGCATACTATAAACTGCGTGAAAATTCTACATGGCTTTAAAACTATCATGAGGAGTCCACATATAATCTACCACAAAAGTACAGTTAAACTGAAATTATTTTAATCTCATTTTCATAAAAGATGTAAAATCTTTCAGATTTGTCAAAATTGTTGACACATATCACTATGTTTAAAGTTTCCTACTTGATTTTACATAGAAAAATACTCAAAATATCACAGCATGGAAAAAGATAATCCTATTTGCCTGAAATCATCTTTAAAATCTGTGCAGTTTATTATGCATCAAAAAAGGCAATTTGAATGACGACCATAGCTTTTAAAGCAAATAAACTTAAATGAACAGTTTTATTGACAAACATAAGTATTTTACTGTTCCACTAAGAAAAATAAAATATTTGATTTCCTCGACAATGTATCAAAAAATCACCCACAGGTACTTAAAAAGTCATCTGAGTCACGTGATTTCAAAGGTCTGCATTTATGTAATTATCGAATAGTATATATTTTGCTTCCCTGAATGCTGTTTCGTAGACTGATACTGATATATTAGGAAACAGAACTTTTCTGAAATTGCCACTTAGTTTAGATTTTCTAAAAACGCCTTTATTTCAAATCTTTAAAGATTTCATAAATACTCACTGCAGATATAACAGAAACCATTATAGTATCTTTCTCCCCAAGTTATAAGCATTGGTTTTAACAGCTAAAACGATGCAAGTTGCAGATTTCTCAAGAAGGTTTGAAAACTAGACTACAGTATAAAATAAGGTATTGAAAATATTCTTATAAAACACATTCTAAAAAAAATTCCAGGTTCTACCTCCTAAGAGCCACAGGGTCTTGGGCAAATCAAGGGCAAATTATTTAACCTCTTTGAGATTTAGTCTCTTTATCTATAAGATGCAGACAAAAATAGTGCCTGCAAGGCAGGGCATGGTGGCTCAGGCCTGTAACCCTATGATTTTGGGAGGCTGAAGTGAAAGGATTGCCTGAACCCAGGAGTTTGAGACCAGCCTGGCCAACACAGTGAGACCTCTTCAAAATAAAAAATAAAAAAATTAGCTGGGCACGGTGGCACATGCCTGTAGTCCCAGCTCCTAGGGGGGCTGAGGTGAGAGGATGGCCTGAGCCTAGGAGACTGACGCTGCAGTGAGCCATGATCATGCCACTGCACTCTAGCCTGGGCGACAGTGAGACCCTGTCTCCAAAAGTAATTAATTAATTAAAAATAAAATAATAATTAAAAAATATAGTACCTACATTATTGGGCTGTTGGGAGGATTAATTTTAAAATACATAAAATGCTTAGGACACTGTGAGGCACACATGAAGTGCTCAATAAATGTTGCTCTTGGCTGTTACTAACTTATCACAACTACTTCATTTTACAGGTCTCTGAAACTAAGACCTATACCACTGATTACTGTGTAATGAGCCTTAAAGATGTCAAGGTTTTTCTGTATGTGGACAAGACACCTTTGGTCTGTATCTGGCCAAAAAGGGCAGCACAGGGAAAGAAAGAGGCAGTGAGAGTGAATATCCAAAGGGTAAGGACAAGCAGCACAGAAAGGAAGGCACAGGAATGGGAGAATTGGAGCATGGACTAAATTTCACTTACTTCCTAATTTGTTCCCAGCCATCCTGATGACTATGAGCTCCTTTCAGGAGGGCACTTGAGACTGCGTGAACGTGACCTGCTAACTGCTGAATGTCTATACAGAGTACAAGCACCGGGCTCCCTGACAGGCAGCATCACTGAATTTCCACTTACAATGACAACACAGCAGTAAACTTTTTTTTTTTTTTTTTTTTTTTGGAGACAGAGTCTCACTCCATCACCCAGGCTGGAGTACAGTGGCGCCATCTCGGCTCATTGCAACCTCCGCCTCCTAGGTTCAAGCGATTCCTGTGCCTCAGCTTCCTGAGAGCAGTAAACTTTAAACTTTAAAAATGTGGTTACAGTTATTTCACCATTTGGAATGACCTTGCTGACAAAGGTTTCCGTGTTACCACCTCAACAGCAAAATGTCAAAACAAAGACAAAAACAAAAAATGGCACAATGAATACCATGACCAGATGTTTGGGAGGTAAGGGAGCAAGAAAAGAAAAAAGTTACACATATTTTACACATATTTCTTAAAATATCTGATCCAAACCAAAAGACACAGAATATACATTTAAAACCTTAAGTATTGTTTCTCACAGCAGTTTCTGGGTTAAGGTGACAGATTTCATTTTGTTCCCTCCTGAAACCTTCTTAAAACCATGCTAAAGAAATATTGTTAGCCGGGCACGGTGGCTCACGCCTGTAATCCCAGCACTTTGGGAGGCTGAGGTGGGCGGATCACAAGGTCAGGAGTTCGAGACCAGCCTGGCCAATATGGTGAAACCCCATCTCTACTATAAATACAAAAATTAGCTGGGTGTGGTGGCGCATGCCTGTAGTCCCAGCTACTTGGGAGGCTGAGGCAGGAGAATCGCTTGAACCTGGGAGATGGAGGTTGCAGTGAGCCAAGGATCGCGCCACTGTACTCTAGCCGGGGCAACAGAGTGAGACGCTGTCTCAAAAAAAAAAAAAAAAAAAAAAGAAAGAAATATTGTTAGTCTAGACGCAGTGGCTCACGCCTATAATCCCAGCACTTTGAGAGGCCGAGAAGGGCAGATGGCTCGAGCTCACAAGTTCGAGATCAGCCTGAGTAACATGGTGAAACCCTGTCTCTACAAAAAATGCAAAAATTAGCCGGGCATGGTAGCACACACCTGTAGTCCCAGCTACTTGGTGGGCTGAAGCAGGAGGACTGCTTGAGCCCAGGAGGTCGAGGCTGCAGTTAGCCGACATAGTGTCACTGCACTCCAGAGCCTGGGTGACAAAGGGAGATCTTGTCTTCAAAAAAAAAAAAAAAATCTGCTGTCCAGGCACGGTGGCTCACACCTGTAATCCCAGCACTTTGGGAGGCCGAGGCAGACAGATCACAAGGTCAGGAGATCAAGACCATCCTGGCTAACACGGTGAAACCCCGTCTCTACTAAAAATACAAAAAATTAACCGGGCACGGTGGCGGGCACCTGTAGTCCCAGCTACTCGGAGGTTGAGGCAGGAGAATGGTGTGAACCCGGGAGGCGGAGCTTGCAGTAAGCCGAGATCACGCCATTGCACTCGCACTCCAGCCTGGGCGACAGAGCAAGACTCTGTCTCAAAAAAAAAAAAAAAAAAAAAAAAATTGTTAAAGACGAACTCATAAGGATAAAGTAGGGGAGACATGGTAACAACAAAAAAAGATTTTAAAGTAGATGAACAAGTGATTACTGATTCAGCAGACCCAAGAAAGCCTGATCTCAAACTAAAAAGGAAGGTGAAGTTGAGAACACAATCCTCAAAACGCAATGATAACAAGGAGGGGTGTCTCTAGAATAGGGAACTGGCTGGAGCAGATTCCTAAACCACCATTCTCCCCTTCAAGCTGCCAAAGGTCTAGTCTCTAGAGGAGGTAAACTGAGGTTCCCTGGACTGGCAGAAACCACGCTCAGTTGTGAACAAAGGTACTGTACAAAAAACTGAGGATTTAAGTGACAATACAAGTAGTAAATGCTGTGTGCACAATAAATGAAGCTTTCTTCCACCACTCAGCCACCAGAATACCACCAGCAAGACCTTCATGCTTCAAGCAGGACACAGGAAAAGGCCCTTCCATGCCATTGCTCCTCTAGAGCTTACTCTCGAGGACAGACCTCAAGATACTGACAAGAGGGATTTCCCCCAATAAAAAAGACAATGAAAATCATCCAATGGTTAAGTCAAAATTGATAAGGCCCACCCACTTGCTCAGAGCTTCCAACTGGCTACATAGTACCACAATGTTAATGAGGAGCAGAAAATTAAGAATTAATAAACATCTGAATATGAAATAGAAAAACCAAAACAAAGAATAGGAAAAAGCAACTTAGAAGAAACAGACCATGCACAGAGGAGAGAAAAAAACCTGTCATTAATAGCCTCAGAAAGGTAAGAGAAAATACTATATCCAAGACACAGAAACAGGATTTTACTATTTTTTTTAAAGGAAGATTCTAAAAACAAAAGAGCTCTTAGATAATAAAAATATGGTAGCAGAAAGGAAAAACTGGATAACAGGGTTGGACGACCAAGATAAGGAAATCTTAAAAAACTGAACACATACAAATACCCCAAAGAGAAAAAGAGACAAAGAGGAAAACTGGAGAGAAATGATAAGAAAGTCAGAAGACCAAAATAGGAAGTCCAACGTTCAATAAAATCATAGCTCAAGATAAATACAAGAGGGAAAAGAGGAAGTTGTCAAGAGAAGTTCTCAGAATCAAAGAACGTAATTGCCAGATTGAAAATGCCCACCAAAAATACCTCGTGGATGAAAGCAGCCCACACAAGGGCGTATCACTGTAAAACTGCAGAACACCATAGACAGCGAAGATTCCGTAAGCTTCCAGCCACAAAGAATCAAGAATCGGTGTGGATTCAGACCTCTCGACAGCACACTGATAAAGTTTCAACTCTCCTTTCCATGCCCTGCTCTGACATTCATTTCATCCTACCAGATTTTTTCATTTGACCTAATTCTAAGAACTGGAAGAGGGCTTTGAAGACTTCAGAAGCTGAAGACACAAAGTAGCCCATCCCTCTGACCATATATCTACAGGATGTCAGATACTCAGTCCACACTATAACCCTGCCTGATGCCCTGACTGAGGTAAACCCTGAGACTGTCTCCTGACCTCGCCCACAGGCTTCCCAGAAGAGCTTCTCGAAACCCTCAGGAACACTGAGGCCAGACTATGACCCTCAGTCTGTTGGGATCATCTTCTCCTGGGGGATTCCAACCAATAATGGCAGAACTGACCTTTCCTTAGACAACTAGGTATTTTCTTGCTGTTCCATTTTACATACAGATATGGTAAAACCAAAAAAGAAGTAAAACAACCCTAACACCAAAGTTAAGGGTGGATGAGCTGAGCTAGGCTATAGAGGAACATAACCAAAAACAGGCCCACAGTGGCATTCCACCTAGAAACTTTTTGTTTATTTATTTATTTTTGAGACAGAATCTGTCTCTGTCACCCAGGCTGGAATGCAGTGGTGTGATCTCAGCTCACTGCAGCCCCTGCCTCCCAGGTTCAAACAATTCTCCTGTCTCAGCCTCCTGAGTAGCTGGGATTACAGGTGTGCGCCACCACACCTGGCTAAGTTTTGTATTTTCAGTAGAGGTGGGGTTTCACCATATTGGCCAGGCTGGTCTCGAACTCTCAACCTCAGGTGATCCACCCACCTTGGCCTCCCAAAGTGCTGGGATTACAGGCGTGAGCTGCTGTGCCCAGTCCCAACTAGAAACATTCTATTTCCTAGCCTAGGCATCAAAAAACAATGGAATTTTGCTTCTTTCATATATGTTTCCTTTACCTTCTTAAAAGCTATTTTAATGCACATATTCCTTCAATTAAGAAATTATTTAACTGTATAACTATTAAGTTACAAAGGTTTATACCACATCAACAGCATAGCTCTGCTACATCAATCACGAAGGAAACTAGTCTAATTTTAAATGCATACAAAAAATTAAGACCAGATTTACTTACATTATGAGTCTTCGGTTCAAGAACCAGTATTTCCTCCGACTTCTATCATATCCAATAGGTTCATGTCGAATATATGGTTTATTTTTTTGGATTTCAGCAACACAGTCAGTCACACCAGGCACCTTGTGTGCTACACAGACTTCACACTGCCACTCGTCCTCTGGCACCTCCTCAAGAGGTGGCTTCACACATTCCAAATGGTATACTGCTGAACATGTCTCACAGCAAAGCAAATCCCCAAGTTTGTGACAAACCCTACAATGGTCATCATACTGTATCACCCCTTCAGACATCAATTCCTCTCGAGCAATATTTGTTGTAAGAAACTGATCGACTAGAAACTGTAGAACTTTGATCTTGTTCTCTACTGGTCCATATGGGTAGTCCTCTGCCTCTTGGTAAGGAAGAACGTGATGGTACTCCTTATCACTCTCACAGTACACCCGCAGCACCTCTGGCCACGTCATCCCATCTATGAAATACAGTGTGGAATTAACGCTATCTTTCAGATCAGCAGGTCCAAAGGTAGTATTGGAAGTGTCTTCTTCACGCAGAACTGCTTTCAAAAGCACAACATGCATCTCTGCCATGAGTGTGCACTGCTCTTGGCTCACCAGAGCTGCACAAAAGTCCTCAAAGCGAAAAGGAGATAATCTCAAAACAGTGCCAAAGTTCCGCAGTACCTCGTAAATGGCAATGACATTCATTATATGCTCATTAGGCACCATTAAATCCTCAGAGGACTTGGGAAATTCAAGGGGCGGGATGTCTTTTTCTTCCAATATAGGAGAACGAGGCCGATGTACTCTTGGTTTTCGCCTACCTGTAGATAAAGACGTGACATCATTACAAATCAATACATTACATCATTTCTACAAATTTCCTATTTGAACATATACCCCCCTAAAATACATAAGTACATTTCTTTAATAATTGTCAAGTTAAAATAATACGAAGAAGCAATGATTCAGCTCTAATTTTTAAATCTATAGAAAATCTAAATGCAAAGTTTTCCCATTAGATTATAAACCAGAAGTAAAAAAATTATAAATTATAATCAGTTCTCAATTACCTAGAGAGATTAACAGGCTCACAGGTAATCATGATTAAAAAATAACAGTGTCAGAACAAGGATCTCTAAGGAAATAATAATAATAATAATAATAAATAACTGCATTTGTGAATGATTTGACAAGAATATAAATGAGAAAAAACATTTACACATAAGATACACAGCACAAAGTAGGGGCAATAGATCTCACACTGTCAGCTGCAATACAGAAATGCCTGTCAACAACCAGACACGAAGTTCCCAGTGCAGACCTCTTTTTTTGTCAGAAGTACCTCCTAAGTGGAGTTCCACAGCGAAGCATGGGCTCAAGGTGAAGACAGAAAGGAAGGAAGTGCAGAGGAGGAGAAAAGAGAAGAATTCCAATGCTGGGGGAAAAGAAAAGTGGCTTACCTAGGAAACAGACAACAGACTACATTTCTTAACAGTCAGTTAAACAACTTTTTAGATACCTGTTCTCCAATTATGAGATGTGATGTCCAGATATACATATGTAAGTATATAAATGTATCAATATAAATAACTGAGAGTTTTGTTTTTAACAAACGTATCTATCTCATTTAATCACCTACAGCCGTCGCCTAGGCTGGAGTATGGTGGCGTGACCTCGGCTCACTGCGACCTCCGCCTCTCAAGTTCAAGTGAGTCTCCTGCCTCAGCCTCCTGAGTAGCTGGGACTACAGGCAGGCGCCACCACCCCAGCTAATTTTTGTATTTTTTAGTAGAGATGGGGTTTCACCATATTGGCTAGGCTGGTCTCGAACTCCTGACCTCAGGTGGTCCACCCACCTCGGCCTGCCAAAGTGCCAGGATTACAGGCGTGAGCCACCGCACCCGGCCCATTCTGATCTATTTTTGGGAGAGTATAAATTGGTTGGATTTTTAGAAGGTAATTTGGCAAACATCTATCTGAATGTATGTCCCTTTGACCCTGTAATTCCACCTCCTGGAACTTATCCTGTAGTCACACATTCATTTAAGTACAAAATATTTAATTCAATATAGTTTACAAAAGCTGAAATTTTTATGTGGGTTTTCTTTTTAATCTAAATATACATAAATAGTCAAATGAATTATGATGCATCTACAGAATGGAATCAAATTCAGTAGTGGTAAAATTCCTATGTGTTAAAATGAAACAATCTTTAAGATACAGTGTTAAGCAGAAGGAATGAACAGCTACAGAACAATGAATAGAATGTCATTTGAATAAATAAACTAAAAATAAAAAGGAGGGCAAGGGGATAGTGATAAGGTATATATATATCTAAGAGGTCATATAAGAATCTTTTTATAGTACTTGCTTCTGGGGAGAGTCGGGGGACAGGAAAAGAAGACTAATTTCTTTTTACTTTTTTATACTTTAAAAAATAATTCATACATGTATTTTCGTTATAAAATTTTAAAAGAAAAAATTGGACAGGTATCTATAAAAATATAAAAATATTAATACTCAAATCAATAAAATGATGCTGCCACTAATGACTACTCATAGTCTTGTATAAATACAACGTCATTATACTAAATTCAAAGATTCAAGTTTATAGAATTGAACATAGACTACAGTGTTTAAAGAGAGAACGACATTAAATTAAACCACTTAAGCCCCTCAACTGTCAATCATTAGTATTAGCAAGTCAAGTCATTTCACTTCTTCACAGAAGTGTATTTAGAATATGCCACTGAGCATTACACTCATTATCAATTTCAACACTAATCTGGTATCTCTCTACCAGGTGAATTATATTAATTTTCCTGCATTAAAAAAAAAAAAGGACCCCAATCTCACTAGTTAGCAAGGAAAGGCAAAGTAAAACCACAATGAGATAACTGTTCTCAGACTCCTCAATGGAAAAAAATTTAACAGTTTAACCAAACAAACTGTTGGGAAGGATGCAAAACAATGGAAACACCAGTATACCACCACTGGGACTGTAAACTGGTATCACAACTTCAGAGAGAAATTCAGGATTGTCAAGTTTAAGGTTCTGCTTATAACTGAACAGCCTGCACACCTGTTTGCCCACAACCAAAGTAAGAAATATATTTTACATCTTATCCAGTACACATACCCCTGAAAACAAAAGCTCTATAAAACACTATTCTCACTACATGCCTTATACTAATATCTTCTCTCCTACCAACATTTTCTATTCTATTCTCTTTCTACTTTTAAAACATGCTGCTTGCAGCTCACAATTAGAAAAACACTTCTCTAGAGAAACTATCCTTATGCATACGCATGTGGAGGAAAAGTTAAATATTAAATCTGAACTCAATTGAACGTGCACACAAACAATGGTCACCAAGTCTTGGAAAAGGTTGTGTGAGCCCCTTGAGGCGTTCATCCAGCACTGTTTCAGAGAAATCTCTATTTCAGTCTATTCCTATATGGTGGTTATTAAAAAAAAAAAAAAAAAAGCAGAAAATCGCAAAAACAAGTTGACCTTTTTGTGTTCCTTGAGCCCAGTCACGAAGGCCCCTTGTGACTGGACCTCATGCCAAACAACTCGTTACAAAAAGAGCTAGGGTCCCAGACTCTGCCGAAGCTTCATGAGACCTCTCCTTGTCTGTGCACAGATAAGTGGCCGACTCTGGAGCCCAGGCTGTTGCTTCCCAGTCTGGTGATGAATCCTCCATAGTCTGGTGAGTGTAAATATATATACCTCTTTTCCCTTCTCCTCTTTCCATTACAATTTGCTTATTGTATCAATTTGCTTATTATATCATTTGTTTATTATATCTGCATTGCCATTTACATGGGATAAAGCTTGTTTACCCTTAAAGGTATTGTGTGTGTGTCTTTTCTTCTCCCCTAGCATGTTTCCCACACAGAACAATGCAGAGCATTTAATATGTTTATAAAAGCAAAGAAACAATCAACCAAGCTGAAAACAACCAAAATGTCCATCAACAGGAAAACAGTCAAATTGTGGCTTATTCATTGGATAGAATTCTGTAGATCAATTTTGAGTAATTTAGGGCTATGCATATCAACATGGATCAATCTTAAAAACAAAAACACAGGGCCAGGTACAGTGGCTCATGCCCGTAATCCTAGCACTTTGGGAGTCCAAGGTGGGCAGATCACGAGGTCAGGAGTTCCGGACTAGCCTGGCCAATATGGTGAAACCCCGTCTCTAAGAAAAATACAAAAATTAGCTGGGCATGGTGGCACACACCTGTACTCCCAGCTACTTGGGAGGCTGAGGCAGAAGAACCGCTTGAACCCAGGAGACGGAGGTTGCAGTGAGCCGAGATCATGCTACTGCCAGCCTAGGCAACAGAGCGAGACTCTGTCTCAGAAAACAAACAAACAAACAAAAACACCATGAGGCAAAAGAAAAGTTAAGTTTTACAATATAAAACCATGGAAATACAGTTTATATACTACTTACGGATGAATACATACATGAACTAGTAGTTAATATCACCACTAGAATATAATCTCCTTAACGACAGGGATTTTTTAAGTTTGCCAATGTTAAGTAGTGGCTAGCATATAATAAGCTATTAAATAAACATTTATTACAAGAATTAGTAGTTTTGAAAGTGCTAGCCCATGCACTTACACAAGAAAATGATATCCTTGCATTATCTGACAACATTAGAAATGTGTTTTGATTTCTACGTAAGTAAATACAGGACTACAGTGAGAAGCCTTAAAACAGTGGTTCTCAAACTTCAGAGTGCATATGTCACTGATTCAATAGGCCTAGAATAGAGTCTGAGAACCTGAATTTTTTTTTTTCTGAGATGGAGTCTTGCTCTGTTGCCCAGGCTGGAGTGCAGTGGCACGATCTCAGCTCACTGCAACGTCTGTCACCTAGGTTCAAGTGATTCTCCTGCCTCAGCCTCCCGAGTAGCTGGGACTACAGGTGCCCACCACCATGCCCGGCTAATTTTTTTTGTATTTTTAGTATAGAAGGGGTTTCCCCATGTTGGCCAGGCTGGTCTCAAACCCCTCACCTCAAGTGATCCACCCGCCTTAGCCTCCCAAAGTTATGGGATTACAGGTGTGAGCCACCACGCCCAGCCGAGAACTTGCATTTCTAACAATTCCCAGGTTGTGCTGTTCTGGCGAACCATACTCTGAGAAACACCTCCCTATATCCTGATAGGTTATTTTCCCTAAGATCCAGATAAGTAAAAATTAATACACATTAGATGAAATTCCAGAAGTTACCTTCAAACCTTGCTATTCATTGAATGTCATGAAAATACTGGAAAAACAAACAAAAAATAAAAAACAAAAAACTTGCTACTCGACAAGTGACTGGCATTATCATGTTTGAGAGAAATTCAGAATCTCAGGCCCAAGCCCAGGCCTACTAAATTAGGATCTGCAGTTTCTCACGATCTTCAGGTGATTTATATGGTCACTGAAGTTTGAAAAGCTGCCCTGAAATGGAGGTGCAGCAAAAATCATCTGGTAAATTGTTAAAAGTAATCTCAAATGCAACCCAAATTCACAGAACCCCAGGTGAAGCTCAGTAATCTATATTTTTATCCTTCTCCCCAAATGATTCTGATGTGCGGCAAGTTTGAAAACCACTACTTTAAAGAAAATGGATACTCCCCTTACCAAGCAGAAAGGGTTTTGGAAACTCATGCAAGGGAAGCAAAAAGATGCCTCAGGAGGCACGATTACAACAGGATTGATGCAAAGGGAAGCTGAAGCTTAACCAAAGACATTAATGTACGCCCACAAAAGAAACTGCTAAGGAAGTCAAGTGGTCTGCATGAATTCTGAAGAAAAATGGAGAATCAAAGAACAAAATTTGTCAATGAATTTCCAGCACAGTCTAGGTTAAGGGAGTGAATTTCCTGACTGAATGGCAAACTCTGGACCACCTGATAGCTTATTACCTCGACGGAGTAATTATGTTACAATGTATAGGTATTCTAATTAGAATGACCTGGCAGTTATTGAGACAAAATTTTCTGCTCCTTTGTATTCTGTAACACAAAAGGGATCTACATGGATGTTCTCTTCTCTGAACTGTTCGGATGAACTGGTCAACAGCACTCATCATGCCTTGGTTTTTAAATACGCACTGTAGTCATAATCTGTTAATTAATTTCTCATATTTTTAATTTTAAAAAAAAGTTTGCCTACATATTTTAGACAGAAATTGCCTTACTTTGCTGAAATTCTGAGAAACCCTAGACAGTTTTCAAGGCCGGGCTCAAATGTCACCTCTACTACCCTTTGCTGTGCCTCCAGGTGCTGTGCTTCTGACACTTTGTACGGTCCTCCATGACAGCGTGAGCACAATTATATTACAGGCAATTACTCATGCCCCCTGGCTCATTTGTTGACTCCTTTAGAGGACAGATCATGTTTTAGTTATTGTAGCAACTAAAAAAATATTTGTTCAACCAATGACACCCATAAACAAAACTACCTGCCGAGGGCAGAGATGCAGGGGTAAAGTCATGCCAAGATCAAATCCCAGAAACCACTGTCGATTTTTTAGAGTTGACCCCTACATTTATTGTACTAATTCAAAAAAAAAAAAGAATTTACAGTGTTTTCAGACTTCTAGACCTCAAAAGGCAACTCTCTATATAATGTGTGTTTCTAGAAGGAAAAAATGTAACATTGTCCCCTTATTTCTGATTGGTATCTGAGAGAAAGTGGCCTCACTCGGTATTGGTATAGAGAAGGGGGAAGTTCATTTCCAGCCGAAGTTAATACTCCAGAACTAATAAAATCTAATTATTTAATCTACTGTTACATATATATAAACCATGAATGGCACATCAAGAAGAAATAACCTGTGATGCATTGAAATCTTTTAAAAATTATGAAACTTAGTTGTCAAATGTAACAAGGATTCACCTTTTCATGTGGAATAGTGTCCCAATCTAGCATTAACGTTATTACTGAACAAGGTTATGCTCTTCCAGTACATTCCATTTGCCCCCAATCCCTATCTTCTGTGTCAGTAATAATATAAAAATCAGCAGCTAGCTTTTATAGAGTGCTTTCTTTTTTCTTTTTTTTTTTTTTTTTGAGACGGAGTCTGGCTCTGTCGCCCAGGCTGGAGTGCAGTGGCGCAATCTAGGCTCACTGCAAGCTCTGCCTCCTGGGTTCAAGCCATTCTCCTGCCTCACTCCCAAACAACTGGGATTACAGGTGCCCACCACCACACCCGGATAATTTTTTTTTTTTTTTAGACGGAGTCTCACCCTGTCACCCACGCTGGAGTGCAGTGGCGCGACCTCTGCTCACTGCAAGCTCTGCCTCCCCGGTTCACGCTATTCTTCTGCCTCAGCCTCCCGAGTAGCTGGAATTACAGGCATGTGCCACCACGCCCGGCTAATTTATTATTTTTAGTAGAGATGGGGTTTCACCATGTTGGCCAGGCTGGTCTCGAACTCCTGACCTCAGGTGATCCACCCACCTCGGCTTCCCAAAGTGCTGGGATTACAGGTGTGAGCTAACACGCCTGGCCTAGAGAGTGCTTTCTATTTGCCAGACATTGTGCTAAGTAAGCATTTTAAAGTGCATTATCTTATTTTTATCCTCAGATCAACTCCATAAAATAGATACCATTATTACTTCCTTTCAAAGATGTTTATAGAGAGGCTAAATGACTTGTCCAAGGTCACAGCCAGTACCACTAAGAGTTACAACCAACACAGGTCCCAAATAAAACAAAAAAACAACAACAAACCCACAAGTCCAGCTGGGCTTGGTGGCTCATGCCTGTAATTCCAGCACTTTGGGAGGCCAAGGCGGGTGGATCACTTGAGGTCCGGAGTTTAGGACCAGCCTGGCCAACATGGCGAAACCCTGTCTCTACTAAAATAACAAAAATTAGCTGGGTGTGGTGACGTGTGCCTGTAATCCCAGCTACTCCAGAAGCTGAGGCACTAGAATTGCTTGAACCCAAAGGGCAGAGGTTGCAGTGAGCCCAGACTGTACCACCGCACTCCACCCTAGGCGACAGGGACCCTGTCTCCAAACAAACAAACAAACCCACACAAGTCCTAAGCTATGGTCTTTACTACTATATTAGACTTCCTCCCATATTGTTAAAAACCACCTGACTTGACCTCTCAGTGAAAGGGAATTTGAGAAATAACAAGTGCCTATTGTGCAGGTGGGAGAAATGACAGATAAAGGAGACAAATCAGTGAAGTGACAATGTTATAAAGTATGAGACCTGAACAAAAATTTCAGGTGCTTACTTAATAGCCATGTGTCTCGTGGCTACCATACAGGACAGTACACATACAGAATATTTCCATCATCACAAAAAGTTCTATTGGACAGCCCTGGTCTAGAGATACATCTAGGGACTACCACACAATAAGTGAAGTTCAAATAACCCACTGGGTTGTCAACACAAAGCTAAAATACATTCAGTATCCTCTATGCTGCCCAGGCTGCTCTAAAACTGCTGGGCCCAAGTGATCCTCCTACCTCAACCTCCCAAAGTGTGGGAATTACAGGTGTGAGCCACCATGCCCAGCCTATATTTTTAAAACTTTTCTGAATGTTTGGACTATTTTATAATTATTTTAATGGGATAACTTCTTTTATATTTGAAAGATTTATTTACAGAAGATTGCCACTAAATACAATGGTTCATCAACCACTAGTGAATGTTACCCTATATTCAAGAAAAAATTTTGCTTCAGTAGCAAAACAGGATAAAGAAAAATTTTGGCTTCGAAAAAGTTTAAGAACTCATTTAATGTCTTTTAGCCTTTGAAAGATAAAAATAGCTTTCATATACCTCTTTAGTTTTTTCCCCAAGTAAGTATGGCTCTAGGATAGTTTGGTAAACATTCCTAAAATGTGGGCTCAAAAACTGTAACATAAAGATCCCCTGTTTTTCTTTTTTATTATATACATTTATATAAATACATAGTTATAAATATATATAAAATAAAATATATATATTTTTTGAGACAGAATCTTGCTGTCGCTCAGGCTAGAGTGCAGTGGTGCTATCATAGCTCACTGCAGCCTCACCTCCTGGGCTCAAGAGATCCTCCCACCTCAGCCTCCTGAGTAGCTGGGACAAAAGACATGCACCACCATGCCCAACTGATTTTTAAATTTTCTGTCGAGATGGGGTCTCCCTACATTGCCCAGGCTGGTCTTGAACTCCTGGGCTCACACAATCCTCCCACCTCGGGCCTCCCCAAGTGCTAGGATTACAAGCGTGAACCACCATGCCTGCCCTCTTGTTTTTCACAATGAATAATAAAAGAACTCGAGGCCACTCTTCAGTAAGACTCCAAAGGGAGAGAGGAAGAAAGGGAGATGTCTTCAAATGCCAGATAATTAACAAAGAAATGATAGAAATAGAGAAGTCACCATTTGCAATCAGAGGTGTAACTGATTCAAGCAAGAACCATCAACAGATCCTAAAACTACTGGGTGAAAGGTTGTTGGGCAATAGGATATTCTCAAAGAATCACCTTACAGATAAATACTACTTTCAAAGGTGAAAGATACCTTTACAGGGATGATTCTAGCACATGTCACCTTTACCAAGTGATCTATATCAATAATGGAACAAATTGATGGTGCACCTCCTGATGAGATGTGCTGAGGAGGAGACGTGCACTTATACAGCATTCCTATCACAAGTATACTAAACTCAATCTATGCATGTAAAAAACAATCAGGCTGGGCGCAGTGGCTCATGCCTGTAATCCCAGCACTTTGGGAGGCTGAGGCGGATGGATTACTTGAGGTTGGAAGTTCGTGACCAGCCTGACCAACATGAAGAAACGCTGTCTCTACTAAAAATACAAAATTAGCCAGGCGTGGTGGCACATGCCTATAATCCCAGCTCCTAGGGAGGCTGAGGCAAGAGAATTGCTTGAACCTGGGAGGCAGAGGTTGCGGTGAGCCGAGATCATGCCATTGCACTCCAGCCTGGGCAACAAGAGTGAAACTCCGTCTCAAAAAAAATAAATAAAAAAATCAGATAAATCCAAATGGTGAGACATACTGTAAGGCAACAGACTGGACGCAGTGGTTCACCCCTGCAATCCTAGTACTTTGGGAGGCCGAGATGGGCAGATTGCCTGAGCTCAGGAGTTTGAGCCCAGCCTGGGCAACATGGTGAAACTCTGTCTCTAGTAAAAATACAAAAAAAAAAAAAGAAAAAAAAAATTAGCCGGGCGTGGTGGCTCACGCCTGTAATCCCAGCACTTTGGGAGGCCAAGGCGGGCGGATCACGAGGTCAGGAGATCGAGACCATACTGGCTAACACGGTGAAACCCCATCTCTACTACAAATACAAAAAATTAGCCAGGCGTGGTGGCGGGCGCCTGTAGTCCCAGCTACTCGGGAGGCTGAGGCAGGAGAATGGCGTGAACCTAGGAGATAGAGCTTGCAGTGAGCGGAGATTGCGCCACTGCACTCCAGCCTGGGCAACAGAGCTAGACTCCGTCTCAAAAAAAAAAAAAAATTCGCCAGACATGGTGGTGCATGCCTGTAGTCCCAGCTAGCTACTCCGGAGGCTGTGGCACGAGACTCACTTGAACCTGGGAGGCGGAGGTTGCAGTGAGCTGAGATCATGCCACTGCACTCCGGCCTGGGTGACAGAGTGAGACTCCATCTTAAAAAAAAAAAAAAAAAAAAAAAAAAAGGCGGGGGCCGGGCACGGTGGCTCACACCTGTAATCCCAGCACTTTGGGAGGCTGAGGTGGGTGGATCACCTGAGGTCAGGAGTTTGAGACCAGCCTGACCAACATGGTGAAACCCCATCTCTACTAATAATAATAAATTAGCCGGCCATGGTGGCACATGCCTGTAATCTCAGCTACTCGGGAGGCTGAGGCAGGAGAATCACTTGAACCCAGGAGGCGGAGGTTGCAGTGAGCCACGATTGCGCCATTGCATTCCAGCCTGGGCAACAAGAGCAAAACTCCATCTCAAAAAAAAAAAAAAAAAAAAAAAAAAAAGACAACTGCTCCAGACAATTTAAAAATCTCATTATCACAAAAGACCACCCTCACACCCAAAGGTGATAGAACTGCTCTATAGTAAAGGTGCTACAGAGACATTAACTAAGCTTTTCTGTATATATATCTAGATATATACAGATATTTATACATATATATCTAGATATATATCTTCTGTATATATATCTAGATATATACAGATATTTATACTATATATATATCTAGATATATATCTACATACATTCAAAGTCTCATGTAAGGCCAGGTACGCCTATAATCCCAGCACTTTGAGAGGCTGAGGAGGGCAGATCACTTGAGGTCAGGAGCTCAAGACCAGTGTGACCAAAATGGTGAAACCCCATCTCTACTAAAAATACAAAAATGAGCCGACATCACACCACTGCACTCCAGCCTGGGCAATAAAGCTAGACTCAATCTCATGTAGATATATATCTATATGTATCTATGTCTACATATCTATATGTATCCATATATGTAGATATATATTTACATGTATGTAGATATATAGGTATATATCTACATACATCTACATGTATGTAGATGTATGTAGATATCTATATGTATCTATATATGTAGATATATATTTATATGTATGTAGATATAGGTATATATCTACATACATCTACATATATATAGATATATGTATCTACATATATATCTACATACATTGAAAGTCTCACCAGTGTTATAACTTTTGCTTTAAACCACTATACATATTTTAAAGAGCTTAAGAAACAACTGTTTGTGTTTTTACATTTTCCCAGATACCATTTCTGTTGCTCTTTATCTCTGAAGTTCTAGTATTTCCTTTGGCCTAAAGACCTTCTTTTATATTTATTTTACAGCAGAACTTTTGGCAACACATTCTCTTAGATTTTCTTCATCTGAAATGTCTTTTTTTTTTTTTTTTTTTTTTGGCCTTAATTGTTGAAGGGTATTTTTGCTGGATACAGAATTCTGGATTGACATTTCTCTCAGTACTTTAAAGATGTTCTGCAGTTACATGAATTACTGAAAGGCTTAAAGTTGGGGACAGTCTCTATCACATATATGTTTTATAGAGACATGTTTTATATTTTCATTGTGGACCACAGCCTTTGTCATCAAAAAATCTTTGTCTCGTTTGTGAGTTTCTAAATTTTGCTTTGAACCTAAACTTTTATAACTCCTTTCTTTTTATTTCCTACAATGTGGAGTTTATCTGGGACAGCACAGAAAGTTGGAAATACATAACTGGAGTTTAGAGGAGAGGTCTAAGAAGAAAAGTGGATCTAGAAGTCATTGATATTATGGTGGTAACTCAGACAACTGATAATTAGGGGAAAGTTGGGGAAACTAAATGCTGAGGACTATCACATGTAAGAGGGATGTCTGAAGGAGGAGTAACTGGTCAAGGAAATTGAGTCATGAGTTGCAACAGGAAATTTAAGAAGGATGTAGTGGCCAAAGGTATCATGCATGCATTGTATATGTATGTAGATATATATCTGTCAATGTATGTAGATATATGTCTATGTATATATACAATGTATGCATATAGATATACACTGAAAGCATATGTAGATACATATCTATATGTATCTACATATATTGAAAGTGTATAAAGATATATACACATATGTACAATTATAACATAAGGGAGGGGCGCTAGAATAAAGAAACCTGTATGGTTGCAATACTTTTACGTTTTATTTTACATTTTATTTAGAGGTAAAATGCTAACTCTAAGTAGATAGTTTAGGTATATATTTTGTAATTCCTACAGCAAAAACATAGCACAGATATAACCAAAAGCCAATTAATAAAACACTAAAAAATATTCAATTAATCCAAAAGTAGGCAGAAAAAAGAAACAGAAGAAACCCCTCAAAAAAGAGATAATCAGAAAACAAATAATAAAATAGGAAACCTAAATCCAATCATTATCAATCATATTAAATGTAAATGGTCCAAAACACATTAATTAAAAGAGGCTGTCAGATTAAATTTAAAAGAAAAACAAACAAGAAACCATTTCAAATTATAATGATATGGCCAGGTATGGTGGCTCACACCTGTAATCTCAGCATTTTGGGAGGGTGAGGTGGGTGGACTGCTTGAGCCCAGGAATTCAAGACCAGCCTAGGCAACATGGCAAAACCCCATCTTTATTTTCACAAATTAAACAATAGACGAATATCATGATATATAAATTAAAAGCAAAAGGGTAGAAAAAGATATGTCATTCTATCACTAGTCAAAAAAAGTATTATATTACTGCTAATATAAAATACTAATTTTATATTAGTATTAAATAGTGGTATTTATTTTTTATTTATTTATTTGAGACAGATTTTCGCTCTTGTTGCCTAGGCTGGAGTGCAATGGCGCAATCTCGACTCACTGCAACCTCCGCCTCCTGGGTTCAAGCCATTCTCCTGCCTCAGCCTCCCGAGTAGCTGGGATTACAGGCATGTGCCACCACGACCGGCTAATTTTTTGTATTTTTAGTAGAGACGGGGTTTCGCCATGTTGGTCAGGCTAGTCTCAAACTCCCAACCTCAGGTGATCCGCCTGCCTTGGCCTCCCGAAGTGCTGGGATTACAGGCATGAGCCACCATGCCTGGCCTTACTATCTGACCTTTTACCAAAAAAATCTGGCAAGCTCTGGATTAGGGAGAGTTGTTAGACGAACCCCAGATGTGTAAAAGAAAAAAAGTGGTAAATTAGACTTTATCAAAATTTAAAACTTATGCTCTGGGAAAAAGACACTGTTAAGAGAATGAAACGCAAGGCACTGACAGGGAGAAAATATATGTACATCACACAGCCTAACAAAGCACTTATATCCAAAATATATAAAGAACTCTTACTACTCAATAATAAGAAATTGGCTGGGCATGGTGGCTCATGCCTGTAATTCCAGCACTTTGGGAGGCCGAGACAGGCGGATTGCTTGAGCTCAGGAGTTCAAGACCAGCCTGGGCAACATAGTGAAACCCCATCTCTACTAAAAATACAAAAATTAGCCAGGCATAGTGGCATGTGCCTGTGGTCCCAACTACTTCAGAGGCTGAAGTGGGAGGATCACCTTGAGCCTTGGGTAGGCGGGGAATGACGGGCTCCAGTGAGCCAAGATCATGCCACTGCACTCCAGCATGGGTGAAAGAAGGAAACTGTCTAAAAAAATAGAAAGGAGGAGGAGGAAGAGGAGAAGGAGAGGAGGAAAAGGGGGAAGGGGGGAGGAGGGGAAGGAGGAGGCGGAGGAGCAGCAGCAGCAGCAACAACAACAACAAGAGGAGCAGCAGCAACCCAATTAAACATCTTAAATAAAGATTTTGGTATCTTGGCCAGGCATGGCAGCTCATGCCTGTAATCTCAGCACCTTGAGAGGCCGAGGCAGGTGGATTGCTTGAGCCCAGGAGTTTGAAATCAGTCTGGGCAACATAATGAAACCCTATCTCTACAAATAAAAATAAAAAATTAGCCAACTGTGGAGGTGCGCACTTGAAATCCCAGCTACTGGGGAAGCTGAGAGGTGGGAGGATGGCTTGAGGCTAGGAAGTGGAAGCTGCAGTGAGTGGTGACTGTGCCATTGCTCTCCAGCCTGGGCAACAAGCAAGACCCTATCTCAAAAAAAAAAAAAAAAATCAGTATTTTTCCATAAAAAATGGTATACAGATGGCAAATAAAAAGATGCACATAAAAGGAGGCTCAGAACCATTTGTCATTAGGGACAAGCAAATTAAAACCAGAAGGGGATATCACTATATACTTATTAAGGTGTCTTTTAAAAAAAAAACTGACAATATCAAGTACTAGGGAGGATACAGGGCAACCGGAACTCTTCATACACTTGCAGGTAAGAATGCAAAATGGTACAGCTACTTTGGAAAACAGTTTTGGCAGTTTCTCATAAACATACAACCCAGAAATCATACTCCTAGGTATTTACTCAAGAAAAACAAGTATTGTGTTCATACAAAACCATTATGGAAACGTTTAGGACAACTTTATTCATAGTTGCCAAAAACCAGAGATAACTGAAATATCCAACTATTGAATGGATAAATGCACTGTGATACACTCATATAAGGGACTGCTACTCAGCAATAAAGAAACTACTGATACACACAACAACATAGATGAATCTCAAATACATTATGCACTGTACATGTATAAACTATTTAAAAATTAAAATACCTTTTTAAAAGTCAAACAGTACATGAAAAAGTAGGATCAAGAGAGGTTTGCTGCAGGAATGTAAGGGTGGATCAATATTATAAGATCTAATATAATTCTATGAATATACACCACAGTAATTAATATGTAGCTTGCAGGAGAAAAACTATATGATCATCTTAAAAGATGCTAAGATGACATGTGACAAAATACAATAGCCATAGCTGATTTTTTTTTAAAAAAAAACTTAGGAAAAAAAAGAGAACCAGGTGAATACATTCAACACATTGAAGGTCTCAAACCCACAGTTAACCATGAAATATTCGCATCAGTTCCATTAAATTCGGAAAGCATACTAAGATGCCTATCGTTATAACTAACATTTAACATTGCTTTGGAGGTGGTACACAATGCAATTTGTTTCTTTTTTTTCTTTTTTTTTTATTACCCAGGTTCCCATCAATGGTAGAGGGCAATGTAATTTGAAGAGAAAAAGGAGATACAAATGTAAGAAAATCAGATGTGTACATATGATTCATTTTTGCAGATGACACAACTTTATTCCTAGAGTAAAATTATTCCAATCAAAGCAAAAGCTACAAGAAACAATTAGAAAAAAGAATAGGTGGCTAAATACTAAATTAATTTTTAAAATTCATTAGTTTTCAACTAGAAGCCCCAGCAGAGCAGGTATTTTTATACACAAAGATAAAATCTGATTTCATGGCATAAGTGAAAATATTTAGCAAATGAATTATACTTCTTCCAATTTTGTAAAAAGTATGTATGCACACATGTGCTGGGTGTGGTGGCTCACGCCTGTAATCCCAACAGTTTGGGAAGCCAAGGAGGAAGGACTGACTGAGCTCAGGAGTTCAACACCAGCCTGGGCTGGTGAAACCTCGTCTCTACTAAAAAAATATAAAAAACTAGCCAGGCATGGCAGCGAGCACCTGTAGTCCCAGCTACTCTGGAGGCTGAGGCAAGAGAATCACCTGAACCTAAGAGGTGGAGGTTGCAGTGAGCCAAGATTGTGCCACTGCACTCCAGCTTGGGTGACAGAGCGATACTCCAGCTCAAAAAAAAAAGTATGTACATACACATGTTTACACAAAGATGGTTAACTAATGAGAGGAACCAAAATATTAATGTTCTGGGTTTTCTAAATGTTCTACATTACTTTCCTGATAAAGAGAAGAAGCAAAAATAAAATTTAAAGGTTTTACTAGATTTTCAGAAGCATTATTTGTAAAACTCAAAGCCTTTTTCCTAAACGAATTATCGAAATCACAGACTAATGAATGTCAAGAGCTCAAAAATGGGGTGAATAAACTATGGCCAGCCACAGCCTGTTTTTGTAAATAAAGTTTTATTAGAAAGCAGCCATGCTCATTTGTTTACTTATTGTCTATGGCTGCTTTCCTGCTATGAGGGCAGAGCTGAGCAGCTGTGACAGAGCCAGATGGCCTGCAAAACCTGAAATATCTACTAATTGGTAACCTAAGAACAAGTTTGCCAGTCCCCTGACCATTAGATCATCTAGTCCATCCTATACTGTACAGGTGAGTAAACTGAGGTCCACACAAGAATGACTTCTCTATGGTCCAAACTCAAGTTAAGTAAGAAGCAATGAAGAACTCCATTTCCATGGTACTTTCCACCACTTGGCCAGGAAACTCTCAAAACAGACATCCTGCCATTTGGGAGGTAAAACTCAGGGTCTCATATCACATCGCAAGTGAGTGTATTTGCCAATAAATTGATGAGAAGAGGACTCTGGGCCTAGTCAGTATCCAAGAACACCTGCTAAAGGTCTGAGTAAACCTTAGTAGATTCTAGAAAAAGTTAATTTAAAACCACATAGGCTGGGCACGGTGGCTCACGCCTGTAATCCCAGCACTTTGAGAGGCCAAGGTGGGCAGATTGCCTGAGGTCAGCAATTCCAGATGAGTCTGGCCAACATGGTGAAACCCCGTCACTACTAAAAATACAAAAAAATTAGCCAGGCGTGGTGGCGTCCGCCTTTAATCACAGCTACTCAGGAGGCTGAGGCAGGGGAACTGCTTGGACCAAGGAGGTGGAGGTTGCAGTGAGCTGAGATCATGCCACTGCACTCCAGCCTGGGCGACAGAGCAAGACTCCATCTCAAAAAAAAAAAACAAAACACATAAGCACAGACTAGGGAAGGTTTAAAAACAGATGTTGAGAGTATAATCTGGTCCAGACTTTTAAATGGTACACACTATAATGCAACAATCCAATCCCAGTCCTAGGAATCTACCCTACAGAAACACCAGCTTAAGTGACTAAAGGTACATCTCTAGCACATTCAGGACAGCACTGTCTGTAAACGCAAAAAGAGCCTGAATTCTCAATAGGACTAGTTTTTTTAAGGCAAATCAATATTATCAGCAAATGCAGTTATGTATTAATAAAAAGGGGGGCACTTCATGTCTTTACCTTAAAGAGGGTCCTAACCTGAGCATGTAAATTTGTGACCCTTGCCATAAACAATCTCCACTGTTAGGTTTCTTCTGAGACACAGAGAAGATTCACAACTCATGCTATTAAAGCAATTAAGGAAAACCAATATACCTGGAAGAAGGTAATCTTCCAAGTTTACAGAGGATCAGAAATCCAATGCATTTCACCTGGATAATTCAGACTCAAAAGTTCAAATATGTATGTGAAATTACAGTAAAACCACCTTAAAACATTTTACTCTTTGCACAGCACTTTGAAAGCACAGTACAGTCATAAGGTGGAGAAATGAGTAACTTACTGAATAAGACTTTAAGAAGTGTGTGAAATAATTTTGCTGTCTACAAAAACAGAAAACTGCACTTTCTTTCTGCCTACTTGTTCTCTTGATTACTGTGAGAAGAGTGTTGAAGTCTACGATATTGTTAAGGATTTGTCTGTTTCTCCTTGGAGTTTTATCAGTCCTCATGTATTTTGAGGCTCTATGAATAAGTTCATAAACCTTTAGAAAGGATTGTTTTAGGATGAGCTAAGATGTCATTCACTATTTTAAATGTTGGACCATCTCTTGAGACAAGTATCTATGCAAGAATTAGAACAGGACAAGAGAAATTCCACACAGATTAATACATGCATTTCTGAAATACTTCTTAACTTCCATAAATAGAATATACTATATACTATACACAGACCTCAAAAGAGGCACTATGAACATACTGAAATCGAGCAAGAAGCCATATTTCTAGTAAAATATATAAACTGCACCTACTGAACATTGCCATTTGGTATGAATCACATGGCCATGCCGTTTCCCAAGCGTGTGAATTACAGAACATATCCATGAGTAGAAAGAAGTCTAAGTATAACTTTCTTAGCAAATCTCAGGGGGTTCCATAGATAAATAATTTGGCCAGTGACTCCTAAGACGTTTTATACAGGAGAACCCAGACACACTAGGACATACTAACATCTCGCAATTCAGTTTGCATATCAGCTTTTACACTTTTATAACACTGAAATTCTCTGAATTATCAAATTTAATTTCTCAACCAAAAGTCTCTGAATCCTAATCCTTCCTTCTCTTCTGGCCTATATATATAACTTTTAGCTTAATTTTACCAGGACTGGGCCAGGCATGGTGGCTCACGCCTGTAATCCCAGCACTTTGGGAGGCTGAGGTGGGCGGATCACAAGGTCAGGAAATCAAGACCATCCTGGCTACCATGGTGAAACCCCATCTCTACTAAAATTACAAAAAATTAGCCGGGCATGGTGGCAGGTGCCTGTAGTCCCAGCTACTTGGGAGGCTGAGGCAAGAGAATGGCGTGAACCCGGGAGGCAGAGCTCACAGTGAGCCGAAATCGCGCCACCGCACTCCAGCCTGGGCGACAGAGCGAGACTCCGTCTCAAAAAAAAAAAAAAAAAAAATTACCAGGACTGTGGCAGATTTTCTAATCACATGTTAACTTCCTCTTCACCCTACCACCAAGGACAACAAATAATGGAAAGTCATCTCACACATGACCCCAAATCTTATTGCAGAAATGCAATACCATCACATACACAAATAATGCTGGGCCCAGAGTCTCCACAAAGGAGGACTTCACTCAGCCAGAGTGCTGGGGCTACCCAAGCTGTGCAGGATTTAGGGCAAATAAAAGGCTAGAGAAAAAGAGATGTTAGGTAAATTCCCCCTGGTCTAACAGAGGCAGACTGACTACAATGAGTCCAGGAGAACTTTCTGCAATGATATGAAATGCCCCAAATGCTCTACATTTGTGTGGTGCAATACATGTGGCTATAGAGCACTTGAAATGAACATATAACAGCTAGTGCCACAGGAGAAACTAACTTTTCATTTTACTTAAATTTTTTTTTTAAGAGATGGGTTCTCACTCTGTCACCCAGGCTGGAGTGTGGTGGCATGGTCCATAGCTGACTAGGGCCTCTAACTCCTGGGCTCAAGCAATCCTCCCACCTCAGCCTCCCAATTAGGTAGGACTACAGGCATGCCAACCTCTGCCAAACTATTTTAATTCTTTTGTAAAGACAGTGTCTTACTATGTTGCTCAGGCTAGTCTTCAACTGCTGCCTTAAGTGATCTTCCCACCTCAGCCTCCCAAAGTATTGGGACTACAGGTATGAGCCACCACGCTTGGCCTGCCTAGTTTTAATTAATTTAACTCTCCACATGTGGCTAGTGGCTACCATACTGGACAGTATAGAGCGTGAAAAGAATCCACAGGCTTTCTTTGACTCATCATTCAGTTCCACAATTACTTGTGCTGCCTACTGCATTCAAGAGATTGAACCAGGCACTACAGAGACTGAATGAGACTGTCCCTGCCCAAAGTAGGTTGTAATTAAAGAAGGGCCAGATATTAAAAGCCCATTTCAGCTCCATGTCTTAACAGATAAAGATAGAGATAAAGGGGTTAAATAATTAAGAGGATAAAATAATCCTTCCTAAAGGTTTATGGACTTTAGGAAGGAGCCTCAAAATACATGAATATAAAGCCTCAAAATACATGAAGATTGCTAGAACTTCAAGGAGAAACAGACAAATCCTTCACAATAGCTGCAGACTTCAAGACTTCTCTCAGTAATCAACAGAACAAGCAGAAAGTCAGACAGATCTTAGTAACATTATCAACAAACTTGACCTAATTGACATTTATGCAATACTCCACTCAACAAGAGCAGAATACAAAATTCTTTTCAAGTACATATGGAACATTCACTTAGACTGACAAAATTTTGGGGTGCAAAACAAACCTCTAAAAATGTTTTATAAAATTAAAGTCATACAAAGTATACTCTCTGAACAAAATGAAATTAAATTAGAAATCAGTAACAGAAGGATAGCTAAAAAATTCCCAAATATTTGGAAACTAAAACACTTAATGCACATGGTCCTGGAGGTTATACGGGTGGGAAACACAGGAACTTAGCCCCACCTGGCGGTAAAGGGAATGGTGATCAGAGAAGGCAGGCTGGAGAAGGTGATGGATGGATGACTAGGAGTTAGGTGTGTGAGAACTACAAAGAAATCAGTATTACTAGATCCATTCGAGATGAAGAGAAGAAATAAGGAGTGAATAAGGAAAAGAGAAATAAGGGAGATTCAGAAGTCAGTTCATCCTTGAATCCTTTTCTCCCACTCACCACATCCCAGCCTAACCAATCTATCACTAAGGATTCATTCTAACTCCTGAATTACTTTCTTCCAGGCACGGTGGCTCACACCTGTAATCCCAGCACTTTGGGAGGCCAAGGCGGGTGGATCACTTGAGGTCAGAAGTTCAAGACAAGCAAGGCCAACATGGTGAAACCCTCTTCTAGTAAAAATACAAAAATTAGCCAGGCATGGTGGCACACACCTGTAGTCCCAGCTACTCAGGAGGCTGAGACAGGAGAATCACTTGAACCCAGAAGGCAGAGGTTGCAGTGAGCCAAGATCATGCCACTGCACTCCAGCCTGGGCGACAAGAGACTCTGTCTCAAAAAAAAAAAAAAGAAAGAAATTAAAACTGAATTTGCAATAATACAGCAAATAATCCTAGTTATATACCCAAGAGAAATGAAAACATACGTACAGATAAAAACATGTACACGAATGTGCTCAGCAGCATTATTCCTAATGGCCAAAAAGTGGAAACAGTTCAGATGTCCATGAACTTAAGAAATGGATAAGCAAAACATGGTCTCTGGACACAGAGATGTGTGCCTGTAATCCTAGCTACTCTGGAGGCTGGAAGGCTGAGGCAGGAAGATTGCCTGAGTCCAGGAGTTTGAGGTCAGCCTGGGCAACACTGCAAGACCCTGTCTCCATAAAAAAAAAAAAAAGGCTGTATAGCCATACAATGAAGTGTTATTCAAATATAGTACTGATACATGTTAAGATATGCATAACGCTTGAAAACATTAGGCTAAATGATGGAAGACATATATTATATGATTCCACTTTATAAGAAATGTCCATAAGAGGCAAATCAGGCGGGGCGCAGTGGCTCACGCCTGTAATCCCAGCACTTTGGGAGGCTGAGGCGAGTGGATTACAAGATCAGGAGTTCGAGACCGGCCTGGCCAACATAGTAAAACCCTGTCTCTACTAAAAAAAAAAAAAAATACAAAAAATTAGCCAGGCACAGTGGCAGGTGCCTGTAATCCCAGCTACTTGGGAGGCTGAGGCAGGAGAATCGCTTAAACCCGGGAGGTGGAGGTTGCAGTGAGCTGAGATCCCGCCACTCCACTCCAGCCCAGGTGACAGAGCGAGACTCTGCCTCAAAAAAAAAAAAAAAAAAAAAAGAGGCGAATCAACAGGGAATCAAAGTAGATTAGTGGCTGCCAGGGATGAGCAGGAGGGAGGTGAAGAACAGGGAGTGATGCTGACGGTGCGGGCTTCTTTTGCGGGGGTATAAAAACGTGCTGGAATTAGGTAGTGTTAATGGTTGCACAACTCTGTCAATATACTAAAAAAACCACTAAATTATATACTTTACAAGGGTACATTTTACAGTATATAAATTATATCTCCATACAGCTGTTACCTTTTAAAAACTGAATTTTCATAAATATTGCTTGAAAATCATTCAGCAATTCAGAAGATGTCCAATAAATTTAGCTATTACTGTCACTATTTTTAAAATGTGACAATCACAAAATAATAGTTGAATATAACTTACTATCTAGAAAAACATAAAAATTTTAGATATATACCAGCAGACAAAACAATTAAAACATTATAATTATATTTACGTGCATTTTAATTATTTCTATACGGTCACCTTCGATCTTTTAAAGTGCATTTTAATGTATAAGTGGTTTTTTTTTTTTAAATTAAGAAACATGCTGCCTCCTGAGGCTTATCATTTTAAAAAACCAAAAGCATGAAAAAAATTAGAGGCCGGGTACGGCAGCTCACCCCTGTAATCCCAGCACTTTGGGAGGCTGAGGCAGGCGGATCACAAGGTCAGGAGTTTGAGACCAGCCTGGCCAATATGGTGAAACCCTGTCTCTACTAAAAATACAAAAATTAGACGGGCGTGGTGGCAGGCGCCTGTAGTCCCCTACTCGGGAGGCTGAGGCAGGAGAATCGCTTGAACCCAGGAGGTGGAGGTTGCAGTGAACCGAGATTATGCCACTGCACTCCAGCCTGGGTGACAGAGTGAGACTCTGTCTCATAAATAAATAAATAAAATTAGAATAATCAGTGTCAGCATTAAGCTAGTGCTGAGATCATAACCACCGTAAGCAGGCACTCAAAGAGAAGGAAGACCAAGGTGCAAAACAGGACTCAGGGAAGATCTCCCAGGAAGAGGGATTCCAGCCTGGCTAAGGAGCAGGAAGGGAAAAGGGCATCAGCTAGGATTTGCTCCTGTGTCACCCAGAATACTACTTGCCCACCATGACTACCAGTCTCTCACCCCCATGTCTCCACCATTAAGGGTCTTTAGTCAAAGGGAAGACACAGGGTCTTGAGGAAAGAGGAAAGGAGGACCTAACAGAAGAGACCAGAGTTCCTGGTCTTAACATCCCCAGTCCTGTGATACGCATGTTTCAATACAAACTTCCAAACACGCCCGTGGGTGAGCAGAATAGAAAAGCACGAACTGTGTGCAAGACTATTTATTAATGCATACCTAGGACACACCTCTCTACTACTCACAAATCATATTGCCCAACTTTTTCATAACCCTTTTGGCTCTCATTTTGTTTAATTCTCATGTTTAACCTCTTGAGGTGCTGATAACTGAAAACAGATGTCATTAATTTCCCTTATAATCTTGACCTCCCCATTGTTACTGAAAGTGCTACCATTCTTAGGGAGGCATATGTAATGCATTCCTCTCTCTACACATCTATGTGTCAAGGCCTGAAGAACTCTAAAGTGCCTCCTGGACTGATCTTCCATCCAGGGCTACAAAACCCACCAGCTATCTCGTCCTTGTCAATCCATCCTGCAGAAGAGAATCTAAGCTATACTTCGTGGCATCCCTCTGAAATCATACCCCACTCTTTCAAGATCTTCCGATCATCCCAATACCCAAAATTAAACAGATGTGAAAGAGAGAGAGCTTCAGGCCATTTCCCCAGTAATTCTCTCAATTTGGGAGAAACAGCTACACCAGTGGTTCAACAGCATCTCTGTGATTTGATATGGTTCTGTTTCATGTTTGTGCATGGTGCTGCTGGGAATACAACATAACTCCTCTGGGTGTTCAGGAGTGAAAAAGGGCTGAGGATCACAATCCAGCCCAATCCCTATTCTACAGAAAAGGGGGAAAGTACAGTTGCTATAGCCTGATCCTCTAGGTACTGCCCAACACAGCATACAAAGGAGCTTTGGTTTATTTCCTATTCACACACTCAGGCTCTTGCTAAACCGAGTTACTTGAGACTGCCCACACTTTACTATCAGTGCCTGCTGCTCCCTCCCGCTCCCGCTCCCTCTCCCTCCCTCCCTCCCTCAATCTGCCTTTCCTTACTCTCCACATGCCCATCCAGGAAGTGTATGCCCACATCAATCCCCTTAAATGGGGTATATTATCTCGCCCTCCTTAAAATGCCCACTGCACTGCGTACCTCGCATGCAGCAATCAGAAATTATACTGAAAAGATATTGACACTGATAGGAATAATATTGTCAAACCAGTGACAAATTCTGCTTGAATTTGAATCTATGGTTCATTCATGGCATCTCTGCCACTGATCTCCAATGTCACAATCCTTAGAGGACATAAATCACTAACTCTCCCAGGGTAACACCAGGGTTTTTGTTTCATGAAGTTATCAGAGGTTCCAAGTTTTAAAATTCCAGGTAAGTATTCTCAGAAGTCTCACACAAGACTGAGACTGCAACACAAGAACCATTCTGTTTTAAATATAATTTCTTAAAATTAGCAAATGCTTAATTTCAAAGTGCTGTCAGAACCTTACCAAATGCCTATTGAAAACACTTCCTATACAATCCTTCTCAGTATATTGGCAATGTCATAAAACCTATAGGCTGAAGTAAGTCTAAATTTAAAAAGTAAAAATGAATTAAAGCATTATTCAGCGATATGCCTTTAGCTTAAGCAAAACTAGGTGATTTCAATTTTATACTAAAAAGTTGGCATCCTTACATTTTTTCCATAAAAGGAAAACAATCTTCAATGAATAAACCTTTCATGACTTTAGTAATGTCAACTAATGTCTTTGCATTGTTACATTACCTACAAAATACTGAGTTATTTCTTGTATTAGGAGTGAGCTATTTCTTATGTTAGGAATGTCACGTCAGTACTTAAACCAACCCTGTAAACTATAAAAATTAATCAAATTACTCTAAATTACCAATAAGGTAAATTCCTCTTTCAGCCTTCACAGTACAACAGGATTCAAACTCATCAATCATACTTCTTTATGTGTTATTCGGATATCTTAAACCAGTTCTAAAACTTTTTTTCTTCTATCTACACATTTACCTGACAGCCTTCCTCCAGGAAGTACAGACTAAAAAACCAATGAAACTGGTACTTAGCCTAATCAACTCACTGTCATGCATTGTTACTCATTCCAGGCAAGTGGGCATGTTCTAAAAGTTTAGAACTCAAAATGTCACATCCGGGGGGTGGGGGGCAAGGGGAGGGAACTTAGAGGGCCGGTCGGTAAGTGCAGCAAGCCACCATGGCACACGTATACCTATGCAACAAACCTGCACGTTCTGCACATGTATCCCGTTTTTTTTTAGAAGAGATAAGGAAAAAAAAAAGTCACATCTATTTTACCATAATCTTTAAAAATAATGTGTTGCAAAAGGTAAAGCATCCAAATTAACATCACAGCCAATAAAGGAAAATGCCTGGCAAGCAATATGAAATAGCAACTCAAAAACAAAGTAACTCTTGCAATGAAAAACGTTCACAGAAAAAAAAAAAAACATTCACTGATCAAATTGTCCATCAAAAACCAATTAGAAAAAACAACAACAACAAAAAACAAAAACAAAAAACAATTAGACCAATTTTTAGTTTCCTAAATCCAAAGTATTTAGAGATTATGACACCCACTGTAGAGTTATCAAAACTTCATCTATTACAAGTTCTTATCTACTAACAATAATTTATCCAACCAATCTTTGATGAGCACCTGCTATGTGCAAAACTCTGTTACAGGAGCTGCAGGGGGAATAAGCTCAATACTTATCTCTAAGGAGTTAATAATTTCATATAAGGATAAGACAAGTAGACACAAGTGTCATTAAGAAAAACAAAATGTCAGACCAGGCACGGTAGCTCATGCCTGTAATCCCAGCACTTTGGGAGGCTGAGGCAGGTGGATCAACTGAGGTCGGGAGTTCAAGACCAGCCTGACCAACACGGAGAAACCCCGTCATTACTAAAAATACAAAATTAGCTGGGCGTGGTGCTGCATGCCTTTAATCCCAGCTACTTGGGAGGCTGAGGCAGGAGAATTGCTTGAACCCAGGAGGTGGAGGTTGCAGTGAGCCAAGATTGTGCCATTGCACTCCAGCCTGGGCAGCAAGAGCAAAACTCCTTCTCAAAAAAAGAAAAACAAAATGTCACAAAAGTATCAAAAGTAAACACATTTTTCTTAAAGGACACCTAGCTACAAATTGTAATTTAAGTCAGCATATGCACACCCATCAATCTTAAATATTATTTGCTATGCCTTCGAATAGGACTTAAAGTTAGCTGAACTGTCCTGCCAAAATGTCTCAGCTCTTTTTAACCAGAAAAAACTTCCTCCAGGGGTGTATGCAATTCAGTCTCCGTGTTTCAATTACCGGCTCTGGGTGCAAAGAAGACCAACATGTGATTTCTTAAGGTAAAAATTATTACTATAAAAAACGTACTAGGCTGGGCGCGGTGGCTCACACCTGTAGTCCCAGCATTTTGGGAGGCCGAGGTAGGCGGATCACGAGGTCAAGAGTTCGAGACCAGCCTGGCCAACATGGTGAAACCCCATCTCTACTAAAAATACAAAAATTAGCCGGGTGTGCTGGTGGGCACCTGTAATCCCAGCTGCTCAGGAGGCTGAGGCAGGAGAATCGCTTGAGTCTGGAAGACGGAGGTTGCAGTGAGCCGAGATCAGGACACTGCACTCCAGCCCAGACGACAGAGCAAGACTCCCTCTCAAAAAAAAAAAAAAAAAAAGTACTAAAATTAAGTTGGCAAGGATTTACATGTAGTCCTTTCTACATATAAGACATAAATACCTGACACTTGATTCATTCCCTTCATTCACCAGACAGCCTGCCCCGGACAAGACTGGCAACGATTCTGACCACTGGGCAAAAGAAATTACCTTTTTTCAGTTATGTTAGGACAACCTATGTGGGTTCACATTTGGCTTAATACTACCCTACTTCTCCAATAAGTATTTAAGCATTTATTAAAATCAAACTTTTCAAGTTAACCACTTCTACTACCCTAGTCTCTCTGAGAAAGACATGACACACCTTACTTCAACGAAAAAAAAGGTCTTTTTTCCTCACAAATATTTTCTCATAAACTTTATTTTTTAAAGGCTTTTAAAACCAGATTCTAATTTAATTAATCTAGATTTGCAAAATTATAAAGGAAAAGTCTTGCCGGTTGTTGCTTTGGTTATGTTAATTTCACAATTTAGTAAATTGTGACTATGTACAAAGCAGCCTTTTGCGGGGGGCCGGGGGTGTTTCACCAAATGCATCTCGGCACCAGCCTAGAGAAACTTTCTGTGAGAAAACAGAAGAGGGGTTACCATGGAGAAATTCATTACGGATTTCGGGAGGGCTTTTTCCTCAGAAATAGAGTGAAAAGAAAAAGTCGTTGTGTAATAAATCTGATACTGATGCCGTGTGACTTAGAAGTTGTTCCAGAAGTTCATCTTCGGCAATTATGTCTAGATGATCAACTACATATCTTCTGCAACAGGTGACACGAAACTGCATTTCCCAAGCAAGGCAAAGCGATCAAATGAGTTAAGACGCGCGTTCCTGTAGTTTTGTACTTTTATTTTTGATTTAACCAAAATAATTCTGAATCGGATGAATAACCAAATTTGGTTGGGTCTTGTTTGGCTTTCTGCGTTGCTTTTTAATCAGCCATTTAACAGCAACTGTTGCACGGGCCCATTAGCACTCGAAGAATAAAAACAAACACACAGGACCAGATAAGGTTCCCCTACTAACCCAAATGATCCGTTTCCTTAACACAATTTTAAAACCACAGCTAGGGGTGTGAAAACGCATTTTTTTGTGCGTGTTTGTGTACCACAATCTGTCCAAATCCTTAATTCCCTTTTAAGTAACAGATATATAATAAAAATCCGAAAGAAACCACATTAGAAATGCAAAGAGGTTTGCAAAACAAGAGGCTTCTTTCATTCCAGAAAACCACACCAAAACAAGGGGAGAAAAATGAATGCAATGGATATGTGTTTGCCAAAGTTTCAATCCTGCCCGGTGGAGACACTGCACTGGCACAAATTTTGAAGAGGAAAAAAAGGGGGTTGGGGGGGGGAGAGAGAGCGAGCGAGTGTGGCCTGCAAACTGCAACAATGCAATCTCCATTTTGAACAATGCGCCTCTTTCCTCTTGTAAATCTAGTTTTTTGCCACTTGATGTGCCGTCGCATTTCCCCTCTGTTTGGGGGGGAGGCGGGGTTGGGGGGAGATCGGAGCAGGATGCACAGCACACGAGTGAGCAAGGGGGGAGGGCAGAGGAGGTGGGGAAGGAGTCTGCAGCAACTGGGCTGGGTGGGTACCTGGAGTGCTGCTGTAGGTACTATGGCTCCTGAAGCTGCTTTCCGTGCAGTAACTGGCGTCGTCGTCGTCGTCTTCCATCTCCTCCGGATAATCGGAGTCATCGTCGTCCTCTTCCATCTCATCCTCCTCGTCGTCCTCAGAATCCTGGGTCTCCTCGGCGTCGCCGTCCTCCTCCTCCTCCTCCTCGGAGACCATGTCCTCCTCTTCCTCCTCCTCCTCGCTCTCGTGGTCATCGTACACCACTTTGTTGACGGCCCTCCGGGCCGCGGTGGTCCGGGCCAGGTGGCCGCCGCCGCCCCCGCCCCCCGTCCTGCCGCCCCCGCCTCCTCGCCCCCCCCGGCCCGGGGCGCTGGTGCTGGGGGGGGCCGGCGGCGGCGGCGGCGGCTTCCTCCGGCTACTGCTGCCCCCCCTGGGCGAGCTCAGCCGCGTCTTGGGCGCCACCTCAGCCTGGGCGGCGGCCCACCTGCCCCGGCTGCTGCCGCGGTGCCGCGAGCGGAGCCCCCCGATGGGTCCGGACGTGGGCGGCGGCGGCGGTGGCGGCGGGGCCGGGGCGCAGCGCTCCGCAGCGGGAGCCGCGGGCTGCTTGGGCGGCCTGCCCCGCCGGCCCCTCATGTCGGAGCCGAGGCGGGGGGAGAAGGAAAGCGAAGGGGGAGGGGCGGGCGCAGGGGGGGCGGTGGGGAGCGCCGGGGCCGGGTGGGGAGGCCCGCGGGGCCGGGCGGGAGGGGCCCGGCCGACGGAAGCGGGTGGAGGGAGAAGGCTCAATCCGAATTGCTGGGGCCCCACTCCGGATCGCCTTCAGCCGCCATCTTGTTTCTTCCCTCTCGCTCGGTGACTGGGGGAACCGACAGCGGCCGCAGGCCCAGAGCGCGGTCACGTGAGCTGCGCCGCCGACGAGCCTGGGACGGAGCGAAGCGGCGCGGCGGCCGCTAGGGGGAGCGCGGGAGCGTCGAGTCGGGGGCGGGGAGCCCTGGGCGCCTGGGCTCGGCACAGCGCGGTGCGGCTGGACTCCGGGCGCGGGTGGCGCGGCAAAACTCCGGGCGCAGGTGGCGCGGCTGAGAGGGGCGCGCAGCTCGCGAAATGCCCGGCGTCAAAGGCCTTCGGAGACCAAAGTCTCCGCGGACCGCTGGCTGGAGCCCAAAGCCGGCCGGACCTCCTCCCCGCGTCTCCCCTTTCGCGGCTCGGAGAGGAAGGCAAGGGAGCCCCCAAATATCATTCCCTTCCCTCCCCCTATGGAAACTGATGCTGAAAGAGCCAGCGAGAGAAAGAAAAAAAAAAGTCGCGGAGAGGGGCGGCCCAAGCGACCGAGGGCACCGGGCAGCGCCAGCGACAGAGGGAAATTAGTCGAGGGGACAGAGAGACAAGCCCCCTGAACTTAGGAAACTCTGAAGCATGGAGCTGGAGTCCAGAAAATGACTCCAATGACAACTGCTCCGGATCTGTGCCAGGAGCCACGCCCCGGGCTGCCACGCCCGGAGGGAGGGGCGCCCTAAGACCTGTAGCGTGGAATCCGCACTGGGAAAGCCTCAGTAAACTCCAGAACGCAACTACTGCACGTTCCAATGTCCCGCCACCTTCCCAGTGCCCCAGCTAGGACTTCGATCACCTCAGCAAGAACTTACCTCTCCTTTGCAGTGGAAAAGAGGGAATCCTGCCTAAAACCTACTTCACGGTGTTAAATGTTTGTATTATCGGGAAATAACCTTAATTTATTGACCTGACAAGTCACTAGGTTTCAGCTTAGCCCAAAGGACGAATCATGATGACATTTCAGGCACCCTCAAACCTTATCACAGCGACTCAACCCTGAGTGGTTGAGGTCAGCTCTTTAGATAAGAGAAAGGTGTTATAAACATATGAATATTTATTGAGAGAAGTGACAACCGAAAAGTAATTTAAAGAAAAATAGTTGGCCGGGCGTGGTAGCTCACACCTGCAATCCCAGTCCTTTGAGAGGCCAAGGCCGGATGATAGCTTGAGGTCAAGAGTTCAAGACCAGCCTGGGCAACATAGCAGGACCTCGTCTTTAGAAAAAATTTGAAAAATTAGCCGGGCATGGTGGTGTGCACCTGTGGTCCCAGCTAGCGAGAGGCTGAGGTGGGAGGATTGCTTGAGCCTGGGAGGTGGATGTTGCAGTGAGCCGTGATTGCACCACTGCACTCCAGCTTGGGTGACAGAGCAAGACCCTGTCTCAATTTTTTTTAAAAAAGATGCTGGGCGCGGTGGCTCACGCCTGTAATCCCAGCACTTTGGGAGGCTGAGGAGGGCGGATCACCAGGGCAGGAGTTTGAGACCAGCCTGGCCAATATGGTGAAACCCCATCTCTACTAAAAATGCAAAAGTTCTGTACTAAAAATACAAAAGTTAGCCAGGCGTGGTGGTGCGTGCCTGTAGTCCCAGCTACTCCAGAGGCTGAGGCAGAAGAATCGCTTGAGCCTGGGAGGTGGAGGTTGCAGTGAGCCGAGATCGCACCACTGCACTCCAGCCTGGCAACAAAGCAAGACTCCGTCTCAAAAAAATAAAAATAAAAATATCTAACAGAATTCTGCATACCAAATGGCTTATTTCAGTCTTGTTAGGAAAATGGAACACATATGTGAAATGAAAATTAAAATACAAGCACTAATTGCCAGAGAAATGCATTCAATACAATTTGGTCGAGCTCTAAGGGTGACAAATGTGTATATGTCTCCAGGGACCAGGTAAGTAATGTAAGTCAATAAAGTAGGCAAGATGAAGACCTAGGCCAATGGAGGTGCCCATATTTTGTTTGAAGAGGGTGGTCAGGCACGGTGGCTCAGGCCTGTAATCCCAGCACTTGAGGAGGCCAGGTGGGCGGATCACTTGAGCCCAGGAGTTCGAGATTATCCTGGGCAACATGGTGAAATCCTGTCTACTAAAAATACAAAAATTAGCTGGGCATGGTGGCTCATGCGTGTAATCCCAACTACTTGGGAAGCGGACAGGAGAATCGCTTAAACCCAGGAGGCAGAGGCTGCAGTGAGCCAAGATCGTGCCACTGGACTCCAGTCTGGGTGACACAGCAAGACTCTATCTCAAAAAAAAAAAAAAGGTAGTGAGGAACTGAGAATTTTATTTGGAGACACAAAAATTGAAACCTTAAATATGCATATCCCAGCGATCTTGGTTCACTGCAAACTCCTAAGCTCAAGCAATCCACCCGCCTCCCTCCCAAAGTGCTGGGATTACAAGCTACAGCCACTGTGCCCAGCCACCCTCTTTAAACAAAATACGGGGCCAGGGCCGGGCGTGGTGGCTCATGCCTGTAATCCCAGCACTTTGGGAGGCAAAGGCAGGCAGATCACTTGAGGGCGGAAGTTCGAGACCAGCCTGGTCAACATGGTGAAACCCTGTCTCTACTAAAAACTAGCCAGGTGTGATGGAGCACCGGTAGTCCCAGCTATTTGTAAGACTGAGGCAGGAGAATCGCTTAACCTGGGAGGTGGAGGTTGTAGTGAGTGCAGATCACACCACTGCACTCCAGCCTGGGCAACAGAGCGAAAGTCTGTCTAAAAAAAAAAAAGCGGGGGGCACTTCCATTGGCCAAGTCCTCATCTTCCCCTACTTTGTTGACTTTCATTACTTACCTGGTTCCTGGAGGCATATACAGATTTGTCACCCATAGTGCTCAACCAAATTATATTGAATACATTTATTTGGCAATTAGTGCTTGTATTTTTTCATTTCACATATGTGTTATATTTTCCTATCTAGATTGAAATAAGCCACCAGGCGCAGTGGCTCATGCCTGTAATCCCAGCACTTTGGAAGGATGAGGCGGGCGGATCACCTGAGGTCAGGGGTTCGAGATCAGCCTGACCAACATGGTACAACCCCATCTCTACTAAAAATACAAAAATTAGCTGGACGTGGTGGCACTTGCCTGTAATCCCAGCTACTCTGGAGGCTGAGACAGGAGAATCGCTTGAACCCAGGAGACGGAGGTTGCAGTGAGCCAAGATCGCACCACTGTACTCCAGCCTGGGCGACAAAGTGAGACTCTGTCTCAAAAAAAGAAAAAAGAAATAAGCCATTTGGTGGACAGAATCAGAATCCTGTTAGGTTTCCTTTCTTTTCTTTCTTTCTTTTTAAATTTTGAGACGGGGTTTTGCTCTGTCACCCAGGCTAGAGTGAAGTGATGCAATCGCAGCTCACTGCAACGTCCACCTCCCAGGCTCAAGCAATCCTCTCACCTCAGCCTCCCGGGCAGCTGGGACCACAGGCGCGCACCACCATGCCCAGCTAATTTTCAAATTTTTTCTAGAGACAAGGTCCCACTATGTTGCGCGGGCTGGTCTCGAACTCCTGGCCTCAAGCTATTCTCTGGCCTCGGTCTCTCAAAGGGCTGGGATTGAAGGTGTGAGCCACCATGCCCAGACAACTATTTTTCTTTAAATTACTTTTTGGTAGTCATTTATTTCAATAAATATTAATATATGTTTATATTGCACTCCAGCATGTGTGACAGAGCAGGACCCTGTCTCAGAACAAAACACTACAGATTGATAAAAATATAAGCAGTCTTGGCCCGGTGTGGTGGCTCACACCTGTAATCCCAACACTATGGGAGTCTAGGGTGGGTTGATCACCTGAGGTCAGGAGTTTGAGACCATTCTGGCCAACATGGTGAAACCCCGTCTCCACTAAAAGTACAAAAATTAGCTGGGCGTGGCGCTGTGCACCTGCAATCCCAGCTACTAGGGAGGCAGGAGAATTGCTTGAACCCAGGAGGTGGAGGTTGCAGTCAGCCGAGATCGTGCCACTGCACTCTAGCCTGGACGACACAGCAAGACTCCATCTCAAAAAAGAAAAAATAAATAAAAAATAGGCAGTTTGGATATAGCCCAGAGTCTACTAGTTTGCAATGTATATCCTACATAGTGTGTAAAATGCTATGTACTGCCAGGTGCGGTGGCTCATACCTGTAATCCCAGCACTTTGGAAGGCTGAGGTGAGAGGATCACTTGAGCCCAGTAGTTTGAGGCAACATAGTGAGATCCCCAGCTCTAAAATTAAATAAGTATGCTATGTATTATAGGGAATACAAAGATATTAGAAGTGGGAATACCCTTCAAAATTTATAATTGAATAGTAAAGCAAAATTATTTACAAAAAGTGTACAATAGATGGAATGAGAGGTGTTTTGCATAACTTTTTTTTTTTTTTTTCAAGAAATGGTCTCGCTCTGTCACCCAGGCTGGAGTGCAGTGGCGCGATCTTGGCTCACTGCAACCTCCACCTGCCGGGCTCAAGCCATCCACCCACCTCAGCCTCCTGAGTAACTGGGACTGCAGGTGGCTGCCACCTTGCCCAGCTAATTTTGTATTTTTTTTTAGTAGAGACAGGGTTTCGCCATGTTGGCCAGGCTGGTCTTCAACTCCTGACCACAAGTGATCTGCCCGCCTCAGCCTCCCAAAGTGCTAGGATTATAGGCACGAGCCACTGCGCCCAGCCTACGACATGTCTTCTTGGGGAAGGGAGCGCTACTGGACATTTTTTGGCTAAGTGGAACAAATACTCAGTTCCTGACAAGCTGCACAGGTATGTGGTCACCTGGCTTTCAATCTTTGCTGGGGCCCAGGAGCAAAGTAAGACCAGTTTCCAGAAAGAATATTTATTAGCCAAAGAGAGCAAGGCTTTGATCCAAAACCCTAAGCACAACCATAGGATGCTCCTTTGCAGGGTTTTCATGCGCCCTTCATACAGCACCCCAGTATGTGGTTGTCCAGAGAGTGCTGTTGGGTACATTGGGTCATGAGGACCAATTAGCAGAAGTCCTTGCACCACAGCCTGGACCTGCTGAAGAATCTTCTCTTGCTCTGCCTTGTGGCTCAATGTTAGCAAGGCCTCAGGTCACTCTGAAAATGGGTTAAGGCAGCACAAACAAACGTGGTATATATAGTCTTCTTCTTCTTCTTTTTTTTTTTTTTTTTGAGACGGAGTCTCACTCTGTCACGTAGGCTAGAGTGCAGTGGCGTAACCTTGGCTCACTGCAACCTCTGCCTTCTGGGTTCAAGTGATTCTCCTGCCTCAGCCTCCTAAGTAACTGGGATTCGAGGCACACAGCTAATTTTTGTATTTTTAGTAGAGACGGGGTTTTACCATGTTGGCCAGGCTGGTCTCAAACTCCTGACCTCAGGTGATCCACCTGCCTCAGCCTCCCAAAGAGCTGGGATTACAGGCATGAGCCACCATGCCCAGCCTTGTATATCTAGTCTTCTAAATCCAAAGAGAGCCACCAAGCATCCAGTACTGTCAAATGAAATCACCCCATCCATAGTCCTTGACTTCTTTTTTTTTTTTTTTGAGATTGACTTTTGCTCTTGTTGCCCAGGCCGGAGTGCAATGGCGCAATCTCAGCTCACCGCAACCTCCGCCTCCTGGGTTCAAGCGATTCTCCTGCCTCAGCCTCCAGAGAACTTCATTACATCTGTTATATGTCCCTTAGCTATGGCCAGTCTTCAAGACTTGCCTTGAAGTCCAGGTGGCATGGGTGATTTTGTTAAAATCTTTTGCCATTGATTGCAAACACTGTGCTCCAAACAATGTCAAATTGGCTGTCAGAGTCTCATTCTGTATTACTAGATACATATTTTCTACCATTGGCCGCAGAAGACTAGAGTGAGAGTTACAGACCACTCCCATTCCATTTCCCTGAGCATCTACGGCCTACCACCACTCTGGTACCAATTTCTTTATTGGTTTTTTTTTTTTTTTTTGAGACGGAGTCTTGCTCTATCACCCAGGCTGGAGTGCAGTGGCATGATCTTGGCTCACTGCAACCTCTACCTCCTGGGTTCAAGCGATTCTCCTGCGTCAGCCTCCCAAGCAGCTAGGACTACAGGTGTAAGTCACCACTCCCGGCTAATTTTTTTTGTATTTTTAGTAAAGACGGGGTATCACCATGTTAGCCAAGCTGGTCTCAAACTCCTGACCTTGTGATTCACCCACCTCAGCCTCCCAAAGTGTTGAGATTACAGGCGTGAGCCACCGCGCCCGGCAAATGTGAGCCTTTTATGGCACTTGTCTTTTTTTTTTTGAGATGGAGTCTGGCTCTGATGCCCAGGCTAGAGTGCAGTGGCATGATCTCGGCTCACTGTAACCTCTGCATCCCGGGTTCAAGTGATTCTCCTGCCTCAGCCTCCTGAGTAGCTGGGATTACAGGCACATGCCATCATGCCCGGCTAATTTTTGTATTTTTAATAGAGTTGGGGTTTCACCATGTTGGCCAGGCTGGTCTCAAACTCCTGACCTCAGGTGACCTGCCCACCTTGGCCTCCCAAAGTGCTGAGATTACAGACGTGAGCCACCATGCCTGGCCTATCGGTTGAGTTCTTGATGGCAAGCAACAGAACCATTGCCTACTTCAAGCTCACAGAATCTCTGATAGTGCCCAAGAATGAGGCTCTGAGACTTTGCAGCCAACAAGTGTCCAAAATCAGGCTATAGAATTGGACCAGTGAGGACAGCATGATGGCAGCTGCCTGGCAGAAAGCCCAGCTTGTCCTGGTAAAGCATCAATCCAGGGCCACTGCTTCACAGCTGTTCTGGCTTCCAGCTAAAAGGCTGCGCTGGGTGTGCCTGAGTGCAGGGTCTAGCAGCAGGAGGGACCATGATGGCAAGTGCCTGGCATCTTAGTTCCCATAGTGGGTTACAGGCTACATATAATGTGAAGGGTTCCTTAAACCTGGGAGGGAGTTCAGATTGGATGGAATATGACAGGCTAGGTGTGGTGGCTCACACCTGTAATCCCAGCACTTTGAGTGGCTGAGGTGGGAAGAACACTTGAGTCCAGGAGTTTGAGGCTGCAGTGAGCTATGATTGTGCCTCTACATTCCAGCAGTCTGGGCAACTAAGCAAGCCCTTGTCTCAAAAAAAAAAAAAAAAAAAACGAAAAACGAAAAACAAACAAAAAAAAACAGCCACGCAGAGAGAAACCAACCTGATATGATTTAAACTTAGATGAGTTGGGTAATGTGTCACACATCTGCAGTTAAGGCTCAGAAAGTCAGAGGACAGGAACTGATTTATGAAGGAAGTGATTAGCTCTGTGACGTCAGATGGGTCAATCAACCCTGACCGAGCCCCAGTTTGCTCACAAATCAGTTAAGGGGGCTGGGTTAGAACCAGACTTTCCAATACTTTCCACATATATAGCACCCAATGAAAATTAGCAGGGGATATGGAATGTGGTTTAAAACATTTCTTTAAAGAATACAATTGGAATAAAAACAAAATATATATGGAGAAGATATTAAATATTGCATTTGTAACACTTTCCCCAAAAAAGCCCTCTTTTTTTTAATGAGAAATTTGAACTTAAATCCGTATACCTAACTTTTTATTCTGTTTTGCACTCTAAATAGCTCATGTAAGGTAAGTCCTGATTGAGTCTCTTTAACTGATCTGTTTCTTTTTATCTTTCTTTCTTTCTTTTTTTTTTTTTTTAGAAATGGGATCTCATGGCCGAGCGCGGTGGTTCACACCTGCAGTCCTAGCACTTTGGGAGGCCAAGGTGGGCGGATCACAAGGTCAGGAGTTCAAGACCAGCCTGGCCAACATGGTGAAACCCCATCTCTACTGAAAAAAAAAAAATACAAAAATTAGCCAGGCGTGGTGGTAGCGCACTCCTGTAATCCCAGCTGCTGGGGAGGCTGAGGCAGGCGACTCGCTTGACCCCAGGAGGCGGAGGTTGCAGTGAGCCGAGATCACGCCATTGCACTCCAGCCTGGGTGACAGAGCGAGACTCCATCTCAAAAAAAAAAAAAAGAAATAGGAAATGGGATCTCACTCTGTCACCCAGGCTGGAGTGAGTGATGCAGTCACACCTCTCTGCAGCCTCAAACTCCTGGGCTTAATGCATCCTCTCACCTCACCTTCCCAAGTAGCAGGGATTGTAGGCTTGAGCCACCACCCCTGGTGCGTGATCTCCTTAAATGACAAGAAACCATTTGCAACTGTATGTGCTAAAATAATTTAAGCCATCTTTTATAACCAAACATTCACAACAGTGGAAATGATATTTAAGTTATATTTAAAGCTCTTTTGTTTCTTTCATTGACAAATGTCCTTAGAACTTAGAATATTCCGGCTGGGCGCAGTGGCTCACGCCTGTAATCCCAGCACTTTGGGAGGCCGAGGCGGGCGGATCACCTGAGGTCAAGAGTTCGAGACCAGCCTCAACATGGAGAAACCCCGTCTCTACTAAAAATACAAAATTAGCCGGGCGTGGTGGTGCATACCTGTAATTCCAGTTACTGTGGAGGCTGAGGCAGGAGAATTGCTTGAACCCGGGAGGCGGAGGTTGCAGTGAGCTGAGATCGTGCCATTGCACTCCAGCCTGGGCAACAAGAGCGAAACTCCGTCTCAAAAAAAAAAAAAAAAAAAAAAGAACTTAGAATATTCCTTCTGGATTTTAGATCTAATCAAACTTGCCATAGCGAGTATTTCAAAATCATGATGAGGTTCCAGTTGACAGAACACAAATGCATTATTAGGACAATCACTTCACAGCCTGGACATCATTTGTGGTATATTGGCCAAAATTATCCAATACAAACGTATGTGAAGACAGAGTTTCTAAGCTGCCTGCCCCAGAATTCCCAACCCCCATCTCTTAATTAATTAATTAATTAATTATTATTATTATTCTTAGAGATGAAGTCTGGCTCTGTTGCCCAGGCTGGAGTGCAGTGGCGTGATCTCAGCTCACTGCGACCTCCGCCTCCTGGGTTCAAGCGATTCTTCTGCCTCAGCCTCGTGAGTAGCTGGGACTACAGGCACAAGCCACCACGCCCGGCTAATTTTTGTATTTTTAGTAGAGACGAGGTTTCACCATGTTGGCCAGGCTGATCTCGAATTTCTGACCTCAAGTGATCCGCCTGCCTCAGCCTCCCAAAGTGCTGGGATTATAGGCATGAGCCACCGCACCCAGCCCTCATCTCTTTCTCTCCTCTCTCTCTCTCACACACGTACACACACACACACACACACACACACACACACACACACACTCTGACACCTTCCTGCACATTGGATCGTTCCTTATACTTCTTGGGCTCCTGAGATAAACTCTTCTAGCATCTTCGTGGGTCCCTTGTCTACGCAGGCAATAATGTGCTATGCAACTGAATGCCAATGGTGGGCTCCTGCCCACCATCAGACCCCACCCTCTTAAGCCCGTCAGGGGATGAGGTTGTCATGAACAAAGTGGATCAGAGGCTGCGTACACCCTGAGAGCTTGGAGGATGAATATCTATCCCCACCCACCTCTTATCCTATTCACTGTGTATCAGTCTATAGCTCTCCAATCAGGAAGGTCTAGATTAGATCATCTCTAAGGTTCCTTCCAATACTGATCTCTATGATTATGATCTGGCTATTGCTCCTATTTAAGTGCGCTGAATTTGGGTTATTGACAAGATAATGAGGTGGAAATGTCCAAGAGACAGTTTGAAATGTAGACTGGGCTGAACGAAGTGGCTCACACCTGTAATCCCAGTACTTTGGGAGGCCAAGACGGCAAGATCACTTGAGGTCAGGAGTTCTAGACCAGCCTGGGCAAAATGGTGAGACCCCCTCTCTACAAAAAGTATAAAAATGAGCCAGGTGTAGTGGCACGTGTCTGTAGTCCCAGCTACTCAGGAGGCTGAGGTGGGAGGATCACCTGAACCCAGGAGGCAGAAGTTGCAGTGAGCCAAAATCACACTGCTTGCACTCCAGCCTAGGTGACAGAGTAAGACCCTGTCTCAAAAAAAAAAAAAAAAAAAAAAAAGGAAAAAGAAAGAAAAAAATGTAGACTGAAGCTCTGGAAGGATTGAAGCTGGGGGTATAAATTGGGAACCAGTCTCATTGAGATGAAAATTGCAGCCAGCAGACTATTTATCTATTTATTTTGAGACAGAGTCTCACTCTGTCACACAGGCTGGAGTACAGTGGCGCAATCTTGGCTCATTGCAACCTCCGCCTCCCTGGTTCAAGCAATTCTCCCGCCTCAGCCTCCCCAGGGGGCTGAGATTACAGGCATGCGCCACCATGCCCAGCTAATTTTTGTATTTTTAGTAGAGATGGGGTTTCACCATGTTGGCCAGGCTGGTCTCAAACACCTGACCTCAAGGGATCCACCCCCTTTGGCCTCCCAAAGTACTAGGATTACAGGCATGAGCCATTGTGCCCAGCCTCAGACTAAACTATTATAAAAGAGAAAGCAGAGAGACTAAGAGCACCTCATATATACCCTGGGGAATCACCTACATTTCAGAGCTGGAAGGAGAGAAGGAGTGGTCTACTTGATGATATGAAGCATGATCAATCAGTATCACTACTAGCTTTAGGGTGAAGGCATAGCCAAATTGGAAACTGGACAAATTTCAGAAACTATGCACCAAAACTTACAAACCTCAAATCCTAGTTTTCTTCCTATCTCTTTGGCCACTCCCGTTAGTCCTCAGCTTCTTTTTTGTTTTTCTTTTTTTTAGACAGAGTCTTGCTCTGTTGCACAGGCAGGAGCACAATGGTGCAATCTCTCCTCACTGCAAGCTCCGCCTCCTGGGTTCACGCCATTCTCCTGCCTCAGCCTCTCAAGTAGCTGGGACTACAGGCACCCGCCACCATGCCCGGCTAATTTTTTTGTATTTTTTTAGTAGACATGGGGTTTCACTGTGTTAACCGGGATGGTCTCGATCTCCTGACCTCGTGATCCACCCGTCTCGGCCTCCCAAAGTGCTGTGATTACAGGCGTGAGCCACCACGCATGGCCCACACCCAGCTAATTTTTGTATTTTTAGTAGAGACGGGGGTTTCACCTTGTTGGCCAGGGTGGTCTTGAACTCCTGACCTCAGGTGATCCGCCTGCCTCAGCCTCCCAATGTGCTGGGATTACAGGTGTGAGCCTGTAATTTGTATTTATTTATTTACTTGAGACAAGGTCTTGCTCTGTCGCCCTGGCTGGAGTGCAGTGGCGTGATCATGGCTCACTGCAATCTCAACTTTCTGGGTTCAAGCAATCCCCCCACCTTAGCTTCCTGAGTAGCTGGAACTACAGGCTCTCACTACCACACCTGGCTACTTTTTTTATTTTTAATAGAGACAGGTTTTGCCATGTTGGCCAGGCTGGTCTCGAACTCCTGGCCTCAAGTGATCTGCCTGCCTCGGCCTCCCAAATGCTGGGATTACAGGTGTAAGCCACTAGGCCCGGCCTCAGTTTCTTTAATGGACTGACTTACCTCCGCAGATTGGCTCAAATGTCATTACCCTCAGGCTTCTCTCCTGTTTACAGGTCTCTTGGACCACCCAGTCCAGTCTCATGATACTTGCCACCCAATATGCTCATGTTTCCCAAACCAGCAACTCTTGTCTAGACCCACGCTCTAATTAGCTGTTTCTCAAGCAACGTTTTGACTGGTTTTGTTTTTGTTTTTGTTTTTTTGCTTCCCTGGTACCTGGGATAAAAGTCCCCTGAATTAAAACATGAATATTCACCTCACCCAGTCCTCTGGGAGGTTCACCAGTCCCTGTTTTGGGAAGAATGGAGCTGAGCTCTAGCTGAGAAAAAAAACTCCATTCGGTGATCTAAAAATTTTGCAGCTTGGAAGTGCAAAAAAAAAAAATTGCAGCTTTGCACAGTGAGTCAGGGTGACCAACTTCTCCTAGTTTGCCAAAGAGTTTCCCAGTTTTAGTACTAAAAGTCCCAAATCCCAGGAAACCTCTCAGTCCCAGGCAAACCGGGTGGTTTGGTCAACCCCACAGGGAGGTGTTCTTTATGAGGCGTGGCAAGGGTGAAGGCTTGGCAAAGGGTGGCTGTGCCCATCAAACACAGACAGTTTATGAATACTTGAGTGGGTGGGACATACACTTTTAACTATTCCCTAGGGCCCCCAGCGCCTTCGCAGAGGTCCAGAAGAGCAGGTGGGGGCAATGGGGCAGTGAAATTTGGGTAAAAGGCTAATGTGACCTCATTTAAAACCGCAGGCTGGAGAGGCCCAGGGACTTTGGGTATCTATTTGCATAGCCAAGATCACACCAGATTCACATTTTATCTAGTACTTTTTGTATCTGTGACTCTGCCAGACATTGTTACAGTTTAACAGCTACATAATACTCCATCAAGAGAATATTTAGACTGGGCGTGGTGGCTCACACCTGTAATCCTGGCCTTTTTGGGAGGCCGAGGCGGATAGATCACTTGAGATCAGGAGTTTGAGACAAGGCTGGCCAACATGACAAACCCCATCTCTACTAAAAATACAAAAATTAGCCACATGTGGTGGCTCATGCCTATAGTCCCAGCTACTCGGGAGGCTGTGGCACAAGAATTGCTTGAACCCATAAGGTGGAGGTTACAGTGAGTTGAGATTGCACTCCAGCCCGGGCGATAAAGTGAGACTCTGTCTCAAAAAAAAAAAAAGAAGAAGAAGAAGAGGATTTTCAGTTTGTTCCAGAAATGTTCCTATTATAAATACATCTTTGTGCTTAAAGTTTTTTCTTTTCCTATATTTAAGATTTTTTTTCAGGCTAGATGCAGTGGCTCATGCCTATAATCCCAGCATTTTGGGAGGCCAAGGCAGGAGGATTGCTTGAGGCCAGGAGTTCGAAACTAGTCTGGTCAACATAGGGAGACCCTGTCTCTAAAAACTATGTTTAAAAAAACTTAGCCACACATGGTGGCATGCCCCTGTAGTTCCAGCTACTTGGGAGGCTGAGGAGGGAAGATCACTTCAGCCCAACTGTTCAAGGTTGCAATGAATGAGCTATGATTGCATCACCGTACCCCAGCCTGGGTGACAGAGCAAAACCCTGTCTCTTAAAAAATAAAAATATACGGCCAGGCACAGTGGCTCACTCCTGTAATCCCAACACTTTGGGAGGCCGAGGCAGGCGGATCACCTGAGGTCAGGAGTTCAAGATCAGCCTGGGCAATATGGTGAAACCCCGTCTCTACTAAAAATACAAAATTAGCTGCACGTGCCTGTAATCCCAGCTACTCGGGAGGCTGAGGCAGGAGAATCGCTTGAACCTGGGAGGCAGAGGATGCGGTGAGCCGAGATCATGCCATTGCACTCCAGCCTAGGCAACAAGAGTAAATCTCCACCTCACCAAAAAATAAAAATAAAAAATAAAATAAATAAAAATATACATTTTTTTTCAGTACTAATTTGGAAGTACCATTATGTGCCAGAGACAGGGCTAAGCACTTTATGTGCATTATTTCCTTTAAATTTCACCATAGATAACCCTCTGGAGTAGGTAGTATTTTCCCCGGGTAGACACTAGTGCTCAGAGGATATGTAATTTTCCCAATGCCACACAGCTACTGCATGATGAAGCCAAGATTTGAAATCAACACCACCACTTACTTTCAAAATATGTTGATGGTGAATTTTGGTTTGTTTACGGCTGTGTCATCTTTTGCCTGGCTTTGCTCTACTGAGCCACCACTGAGTCTTGTATATGTCTCTCTTTATTTTTGGTTATGTGCACTGCCCCAGTGACCACTCGTGTCTCTCTTTAGCACCTCTCCCACTGTGTTGAAGTTGCTTGTTTACACTTCCGCTCCACCTACAAGTGGAGGGTAGAACTGCATTTATTCATCTTTTTCCAACACATCTAGCAAGATATAGTAGAGACTCAAGAGAAATTTGTTGTTGAACATATAAAAGGAGAACTCCAGGCCAGGCGCAGTGGCTCACGCCTCTAATCCCAGCACTTTGGGAGGCCGAGGCAGGTGGATCACCTGAGGTCAGGAGTTCGTGACCAGCCTGGCCAACGTGGCGAAACCCTGTCTCTATTAAAAATACAAAAATTAGCCAGGCATGGTGGCATGCACCTGTAATCCCAGCTACTCAGGAGGCTGAAGCAGGAGAATCGCTTGAACCCAGGAGGCAGAGGTTGCAGTGAGCTGAGATCATGCCACTGCACTCCAGCCTGGGTGACAGAGTGAGGCTCCATCTCAAATAAATAAATAAATAAATAGGCCGGGCACGGTGGCTCATGCCTGTAATCCCAGCACTTTGGGAGACCGAGGTAGGCGAATCACGAGGTCAGGAGTTTGAGAACAGCCTGGCCAATATGGTGAAACCCCGTCTCTAATAAAAATACAAAAATTAGCCAGGCATGGTGGCGGGCGCCTGTAGTCCCAGCTACTCGGGAGGCTGAGGCAGGAGAATCGCTTGAACCAGGGAGGTGGAGTCTGCAATGAGCCAAGATCACACCACTGCACTCCAGCCTGGGCGACAGAGCGAGACTCCATCTCAAAAAAAAGAAAAAAAAATACAAAAAATTAGCTGGGCGTAGTGGGGTGCCTGTAATCCCAGCTACTGGGGAGACTGAGATAGGAGAATCGCTTAAACCCAGGAGGCGGAGGTTGCAGTGAGCCAAGATCTCGCCATTGCACTCTAGCCCAGGTGACAGAGCGAGACTCCGTCTCAAAAAAAAAAATAACTAAAATAAAAATAAATAAACAAAAGGAGAACTCCAGTGGTTGAGAGTGAAGGGAAGGATTATTTCAGAATTGAGGAGACTGGAACTGCTGGATGAGTGAGGGTTGACAGTCTTATAGGTATTCAAAGAAGGTGGCATTACCAGAAGTCAGGCAGGAACTGAGTCAGGTAGGCAAGGCGTTCTGGACTTTGAGAATGGAGGAAGCAATTTTGGGCAGTAGGAATTTTCATGGAATGCCTTCCCTTACTCACTCAACAAATATTTATTGAGTGCCTACTGTATGCTGGTAGGTGTACAATGAATGCTACTTTGGATGAGGTCAAGGGGGAAGGCTTCTGTAAGGAGGTGACATTTGAGCTCAAACTTGAGTATATAAGAAGTGGTCAATGTGAAGAACTGGAGAAGAACATTCTGAACAGAGTGAATTCAGCTTGCTTGGGAAACAATGGGAAGACAAAATGTTTGGGGGCCAGCTCTGTGATCCTGGGCAGGTCTCTTTTGAGACAGAGTCTTGCTTGCTCACCCAGGCTGAAGTGCAGTGGTGCAATCTCGGCTCACTGCAACCTCCACCTCCCAGGTTCAAGCGATTCTCCTCCCTCAGGCTATGGAATAGCTGAGATTACAGGTGTACACCACCACACCAGGCTAATTTTTGTATTTTTAGTAGAGATGAGGTTTCACCATGTTGGCCAGGCTGGTCTTGAACTCCTGACCTCAAGTGATCTACCTGCCTCAGCCTCCCAAAGTGCTGGGATTACAGGCAAGAGCCACCACATCCAGCCTGGGCAGGTTTCTTGACCTTGGTCTTCTCATCTGTAAAATGGAATGTACCCACCCACCTCATAGAGTTTAATAAAATGAGCATTAAATGAAATAATGAATATAAAGAGCTTAGCGTGGTGCCTGAAACCTAGTAAACAATAAAGGTTAGTGGTAGTAAAAATTATGAATTTATTCTTTACTATTTTATTAATAGAACACTTAGGAATGTATGGATAGTCACATGGTATAGTTCAATGTAAATACTCTGGAATCAGATCTGGATTTAGTCCCAGGGATACTGCATACTGTTATAATTTGCATATGTAGATATATATACATATACATATATATGTATTTTTTTTTAACCTCTCTGAGTCTTAGTTTTTTCAGCTATTAAATGAAGGTAAATATAGAACTTATTAAAGGTTGGGCGCGGTGGCTCACGCCTGTAATCCCAGCACTTTTGGGAGGCCGAGGCGGGCGGATCATGAGGTAGGAGATCGAGACCATGCTGGCTAACACAGTGAAACCCGGTCTCTGCTAAAAATACAAAAAAATTAGCCGGGCGTGGTGGCAGGCGCCTGTAGTCCCAGCTACTTGGGAGGCTGAGGCAGGAGAATGGCGTGAACCCGGGAGGCAGAGTTTGCAGTGAGCCGAAATCGCGCCACTGCACTCCAGCCTGGGAGACAGAGCAAGACTCTGTCTCAAAAAAAAAAAAAAAAGACCTTATTGCATAGGATTATTTTAAGGATTCGATGAAATAATACACGTAATATATTTAACTTGGGGACCTGATAACATGGGAAACTCTCAAAATTTTTATCTTTTAATTGTCATTTAAGCTTGCAGGGATTTTATTTATTTTGTTTATTTTTTATAATCTATTTATTGTAGAGATGAGGGTCTCACTATATTGCCCAGGCTGATCTTGAACCCCTGGACTCAAGTGATCCTCCTGCCTCAGCCTCACAAAGTGCTGGGCCTGCAGGTGTGAGCCACCGCACCTGGCTAAGAGATTTTATTTTTATTAATTGATTGATTGAGATGGAGTCTCGCTCTGTCACCCAGGCTGGAGTACAATGGCAAGATCTCAGCCCACTGCAACCTCCGCCACTCAGTTCAAACGATTCTCCTGCCTCAGCCTCCAGAGTAGCTGGGATTACACGTGTGCACCACCACACCCAGCTAATTTTTGTATTTTTAATAGAGATGTGGTTTCACCATGTTGGCCAGGCTGGTCTCAAACTCCTGACCTCAAGTGATTCACCTGCCTTGGCCTCCCAAAGTGCTGGGATTACAGGCGTGAGCCACCATGCCTGGCCTGGCTAAGAGATTTTAAATCCTCTCATCCTCCTAGAAAGAATACCATCAGTTCATGTCAACCCAGAGCCCATCTCTGACTTACTCTTTAACATTTTGTTAGTTATGTGAATAATTCTCCTGTTTGTACCAATATAACCTTAGATGTGTTTTTTGGTTGTTGTTTTTGAGACTGAGTCTCCCTCTGTTGCCCAGGCTGGAGTGCAGTGGCATGATCTTGGCTCACTGCAACCTCCGCCTCCCGGGTTCAAGCGATTCTCCTGCCTCAGCCTCCCAAGTAGCTGGGATTACAGGCACCTGCCACCACACCCAGCTAATTTTTGTATTTTTAGTAGAGATGAGGTTTCACCATGTTGGCCAGGCTGGTCTCCAACTTCTGACCTCAAGTGATCTGCCTGCCTCAGCCTCCCAAAGTGCTGGGATTACAAGCATGAGCCACCACGCCCTGCCCTTAGATGTTTGTGCTTTGCATATACACATATGTGTATAGATACACATATATGTATTTTTTTTAGATAGAGTCTCCTCTCAGGCTGGAGTGCAGTGGCGTGATTCCGACTCATGGCAACCTCCACCTCCCGGGTCAAGTGATTCCCCTGCTTCAGCCTCCTGAATAGCTGGGATTACAGGCGCCTGCCACCATACCCGGCTAAGTTTTGTATTTTCAGTAGAGATGGGGTTTCACCATTTTGGCCAGGCTGGTCTCGAACTCCTAAACTCAGATGATCCACCCACCTCGGCCCCTCAAAATGCTGGGATTACAGGTGTGAGCCACCACACCTGGCCAAAGTATATTCTTTTGATTTTAAAAATTAAAATATTATAAAATTAAAACCCAAACCACAATGAGATGCCACTTCACATTCACTAGCATGACTGTAATTGTTTTAAAAAAATAAAAATAAAAAGTGTTGGAGAGGATTTGGGGAAATTGGAACCATTATATATTGTTAGCGAGAATGTGAAACCATGTAGCACTGTGGAAAATGCTTTGGCAGTTACTCAAAAAGTTAAACTTAGAGCTACCATATGACCCACTAATTCTATTGATACATATATAGTCAAAAGAATTGCAAACAAATGGTCATGCAAAAACATACATACATATGTATACAGCAGCATTATTCTCAATGACCAAAGGGTGGAAACAGCCTACATGTGCATTAACTGATGAATGGATAACCCAAATGTGATTGATCCATGTAACAGATATATTATTCAGCCTTGAAAGGAAGGAAATTCTGACGCATATTACAACATGGAGAACCCTTGAGGGCATTATGCTAAGCGAAATAAGCCAGTCACCAAAGGACAAATACTGTGTGATTCCACTTATATGAGGTACCTAGAGTGGTCAAATTCATAAAGACAGAAAGTAGGCCGGGCATGGTGGCTCACACCTGTAATCCCAGCACTTTGGGAGGCCGAGGCAGGCGTATCACGGCATCAGGAGTTCAAGACCAACCTGGCCAACATAGTGAAACCCTGTCTCTACTAAAGATACAAAAAAATTAGCTGGGTGTGGTGGCAGGCGCCTGTAATCCCAGCTACTCAGGAGGCTGAGGCAGGAGAATCACTTGAATCCGGGAGGCGGAGCTTGCAGTGAGCTGAGATCCCGACATTGCACTCCAGCCTGGGTGACAGAGCGAGACTCTGTCTCAAAAAAAAAAAGGACAGAAAGTAGAAGGGTGGTTACCATGGGCCGGGAGAAGGAGAGAATGGGGAGTTAGTGTTTAATAGGTACAGAGGTTCAATTTGGGAAGATGAAAAAGTTCTGGAGATTGGTTGTACAACAATGTGAATATACTTAACACTACTCAAATATACACTTAAAAATGGTTAGAGACAACCAGGTGTGGTAGCTCACGCCTGTAATCCCAGCACTTTGGGAGGCCGAGGTGGGTGGATCACAAGAGTCCAGGAGTTCAAGACCAGCCTGGGCAACAGTGAAACCCCATCTCTACAAACAATGCAAAAATTAGCCAGGTGTGGTGGTGTGTTCCTGCGGTCCCAGTTACTTGTGAGACGGAGGTAGGAGGATCATCTGAGCCCGGGGAGTTTGAGGCTGCAGTGAGACGTGATCATACCACTGCACTCCAGCCTGGAAGACAGAGTGGGAGACCCTGTCTCAAAAAAAAGGGGGGTGGTGGTTAGAGTGTAAATTTTATGTTATGCATACTTTACCACAATTTTAAAAATTATTTGAAAGAAGCCACACACAAAAGTCTTATTTAGTGAAATCACATATTGTATGATTTCATTTATTTAAAATGTCCCGAAGGGGCAAATTCATAGGAAGTAAATAAATACTTGCCAGGAAATGGGAGAGGAAATGGGGAGTAGGGCCAGTGATTTGGGGGCTTCTTTCTGGGTTGATGAAAATGTTCTGTTTTTGTTTGTTTGTTTGTTTATTTGTTGGGACAGAGTCTCGCTCTGTCACCTAGGCTGGAGTACAGTGGTGCAATCTCGGCTCACTGCAACCTCCGCCTCCCTGGTTCAAGCAATTCTCCTGCCTCAGCCTCCCAAGTAGCTGGGATTATAGGCATGCACCACCACACCCGGCTAATTTTTATATTTTTTTTAGTAGAGACGGGGTTTCACCATGTTGGCCAGACTGGTCTCAAACTCCTGGCCTCAGGTGATTCTCCCACCTCAGCCTTCCAAAGTGCTGGGATTACAGGTGTGAGCTACCGAGCCCAGCCAGATGTTCTGGAATCAAATAGTGGTGATGGTTGTATAACCTTGTGAATACTATATTAAAACCCACTAAATTGTGTACTTATTTAAAAGGGTGAATTTATGGTAGATAAATTAATTATATCTCAATAAAAATTAATAAAAAGAAGTGGTATGAGGAATTGGGAAAACATTACATATATATGCCTTAAGTCTTCTTTAATAAGTTCCCTTTGTCCTTTCCGGAACAAAGTTATACCCAACTGATACTATATTATCATAAGGTGTCCAGTCCAGATCTATCTGTATATCTTTATCTCTCTCTACATATATATCTGTGTCTGTATCTATATCTCTCCAGAAAAATATGCAAAATGGCTTGGTGATTTTTCTTTTTGATTTAACACTTAACATTTTTTTGGCTGGGCGTGGTGGCTTGCACCTGTAATCCCAGCACTTTGGGAGGCCGAGGTGGGTGGATACTTGAACCCAGGAATTCAAGACCAGCCTGGGCAACATATTGAGACCCCTTTTCTACAAAAAATACAAAAATTAGCCAGGCATGGTGGCACGTGCCTGTAGTTCCAGCTACTTAAGAAACTGAGGCAGGAGGATTGCTTGAGCCCGGGAGGCAGAGATTGCAGTGAACCAAGATTGCACCACTGCACTCCAGCCTGGGTGACAGAGCCAAACTTTGTTTCAAAAAAAAAAAAAAAAAATCTAGCCTTGCAGTGGCTCGTGCCTGTAATTCCAACACTTTGGGAGGCTAAGGCAGGAGGATGCCTTGAGCCCAGAGTTTGAGGCTGCAGTGAGCTATGATTATGCCATTGCACTCCAGCTTGGGAGACAGAAAGGGACTTTGTCACAAAACTAAATTAATTAAATAAATTTCTTTTCTTTTTTTTTTTTTTGACAGGGTCTCACTCTGTCACCGTGTCACCCAGGTTGGAGTGCAATGGCTCAATCTCAGCTCACTGTAACCTCCACCTCCCAGGCTCAAGTGATAACTCCTACCTCAGCCTATGAAGTAGCTAGGGACTGCAGGTGCCCACGACCACGCCTGGCTAATGTGTTTTGTTTGTATAGTTTTTGTAGAGATGGGGGTTTTGTCATGTTGCCCAGACTGGTCTGGAACTCCTGGGCTCAAGCGATCCATCCACCTCAGCCTCCCAAAGTGCTGGGATTACAGGTGTGAGCCATCGCACCTGCCCAATTTTTTTCCTTTTACTGTGTCTGTGGTTCCACAACTTCCTTTTTTCCCGTTCTCTATGGACTTTCTACCTAATTTGGACTCTGCTTAGATTGACCTAGTTTTCTTTTTAATCAAATCTTCAGGAACCAATTTATTACCATTAAAAATGATCTAACAAGCTTTATTTTTATCATTGTTTAAAATCCTCATTTTGAGTAACATAACCACAAAGTAAAGAATGTTATCATTGATTTAACCAGTAAAAGACAATACTTAACAATAAAATTTTAAAAACATACGCCAGCCGGCTTACCTGGTGAAAAAAATAATTGCGGCTGCGAGCTGCATTTGCCAGACAATGGTTTTAGATTTGCTGTGCACGCTGAACGCCATGAAAAATGGACTGCCTGGCCTCTTCATAAGGAAATCAATTACTTGCCTCATTCTGAGTGAAAAGAATGAAAGGATTTTAAAAATCATAATAACCAAAATGGGGAGAATAAAACAAACTGGGAAGAGGCATATCATACATTTCAAGCTAGTGTTGCTTTGTTTGAAAGTAAAGTCTTTATGCCTTCAAATATTTAAGGTGATTTTTATTCCTTCATTCTTGACTCCTCTGAAGCTCCTGGGAACACCCCCCCAAAAGCAGCTGCCAGCCTTTACTTCCTTTTTTTTTTTTTTTTTTTTTTGAGATGGAGTCTCCCTCTGTTTCCCAGGCTGGAGTGCAGTGGCGTTATCTTGGCTCCCTGCAAGCTCCGCCTCCCGGGTTCACACCATTCTCCGCCTCAGCCTCCCGAGTAGCTGGGATTACAGGCCGCTGCCACCACGCCCAGCTAATTTTTGTATTTTTAGTAGAGACGGGGTTTCACCGTGTTAGCCAGGATGGTCTTGATCTCCTGACCTCGTGATCCGCCCGCCTCCGCCTCCCAAAGTGCTGGGATTACAGGTGTGAGCCACCACGCAGCTGCCAGCCTTTAACCATGCCCCATGTCATTTTTTTCCCAGCTTGTCAGGACAGTCACTCAAACAGAGTCTCCTCTGATCCTCCCCAGCGCAGGCATCCCATTCAAGAATTTGCAGCCCGGCTCGCCTGGCAGTGGAAAACAAATTTTGTTTCCAGGGGGAAGTTACACATAATCTTTTTTTCTGAACTGGGCTTCCATCATACTTGAGTTACTTCTTTTGGCTCTGGGTGCTCCCTGAGCAGGCCTGGCTAGTAGGAAGTAAAGCAAGCACTGGTTTTTCAAAGCCCCATTTAGTCTTCCTAATGGGTCATTCTCACTGAGCACTATAGGGGCAAAAATATGTTGATTTCCTGATTGACTAAAGCTACCTTGAGTCATTTCAGCCATTTCATTATCTTCTCACCCTCACAAATACCACTTTCTCAGCCAGGAAGCTATAAAGCTGATGATGTCTTAGGAGATTTAGAATTTGATTAAACATTTATTTGCATTGCTCAAAACTGAATTTATAGTAGCTTGATCATAATATGAATGACCTTTTTTTTGTTGTTAGAGGAAGGGAAGACAGTAAATAAAACATACGTTTACATTTGCCAGCTGATGTTGAAGGCATATAGGATTTTCTTTTTCCTAAAAAAAAAGAGGCTGGGGAAAAGCTTCTTTTTCTTTTTCTTTTTTTTTTCTTTTTTTTTTCTGAGACACAGAGTCTTGATCTGTTGCCCAGGCTGGAATGCAGTGGCATGGTCTCAGCTCACTGCAACCTCTGCCTCCCGAGTAGCTGGGATTACAGTTGCCCACCACCATGCAGGGCTATTTTTGTATTTTTAGTAGAGGTGGGGTTTTACCATGTTGGCCAGGCTGGTCTCAAACTCCTGACCTCAAGTGATCTGCCTGCCTTGGCCTCCAAAGTGCTAGGGTGAGCTACCTTGCCTGGCCTTTTTTTTTTTTTTTTTTGAAACAGGGTCTCACTCTGCTCTGTTGCCTAGGCTGGAGTGCAGTGGCATGATCTCAGCTCACAGTAGCCTTGACCTCCTGGGCTCAAGTGATCCTCCCACTTCAGCCTCCAGGTAGCTGGGACTACAGGCACTTGCCACCATGCTAAGCATTTTTTTTTTTTTTTTGGATAGAGACGGGGTCTCACTATGTGCCCTGGCTGGTCTGGAACTCCTGGGCTCAAGCGATCCTCCTGCCTCAACCCCTCAAAGTGCTGGGATTATAGGCGTAAGCAAATGCACCCAGCCTGGGGTAAAGCTTCTTTTGCCTTGGCTGGGATCTATGGATTGTGTGGTGGTTAACTTTAGGTGTCAACTTGAATGGATTAAAGAATATCTAGAAACCTGGTAAAGCATTATTTATCCAATCTCCTAGGGTCCCGGAGAGAACAAAAACAGAGAGGTAACTATGTCAAGCTATCTGCTGGAGCTGGGACACATTCTTCCTCTCCTGTCCTTGGACAACAACTCCAGGCTCCCCAGCCTTCAAACTCCAGGACTTCTCCCCTCTCCTCCACCCTTCCTGGCTTCTCAGGCCTTTGGCCTTGAACTGAGAGCTACACCATCAGATTCCCTGATTCTGAGGCCTTCGGGACTTGAATTGAGCCATACTACCAGCCTCCCAGGGTCTCCAGTCTGCAGACGACCTGTTTTGGGACTTCTTGCCAATTTCCCTAATAAATAAACTCCATTTCGTCTTTCTCTCTTTCTCTCCTGTTGAATCTGTCTCCCTGGAGAACCCTGACTAATACAGATTGAGGCTGGAAGGAATGGATCTTCTTTGCCTTGTCCTGGGAAAACACACATCCACGTACATACAGTAGATTGCCCTTACAAACAGGTATGGCCAGGCTGGACCAAATTCTATAGGCTCTGACCTCAGCCAGGGCTACTGTAGTCTTATAGCAGTCACTCCCCAGGACTGCGCCTTGCTTTGCTGATTGTCTGACTCCTTCGTGTTCAGAAAAGCAGACCCAGATCACAGAGGCAAGGAACAGAAGGCAGTCTTGCAGACATGCCTCAACCCGTTTACATAGATTGAATCCCTTGGCCAGATCAGTGGCCCAGAAATGAATGAATGGAATCTCTCAGACCACCTGCAGCTACCTGACTTACCTGACCCCTCCGCTAGGAGGTGCTCAACATAACTATGGGGTGAAACTGGCCAGGCTGCGGGACATGGGGTGATGAAAGTATGACCAGCCCTTCAATCTAGCCTGCTTGCAGTCTTTTTTTTTTTTTTTTTTTGAGACAGAGTTTTGCTCTTGTCACCCAGGCTAGATTGCAATGGCGCGATCTCGGCTCACAGCAACCTCTGTCTCCCGGGTTCAAGCGATTCTTCCATCTCAGGCCCGCCCTGCTTGGAGTCTTTTTATTAAAGATATCAGATGTGGCCAGGCGTGGTGGCTCATGCCTGTAAGCCCAACTCTTTGGGAGGCCAAGGCGGGTGGATCACTTGAGACCAGGAGGTCGAGACCAGCCTGGGCAATATGGTAAAATCCCGTCTCTACAAAAAATACAAAAATTAGCCAGGCACGCACCTGTAGTCCCAGTTGCTTGGGAAGCTGAGGTGGGAGGATGGTTCGGGCCCAGGAGGCAGAGGTTGCAGTGAGCCTAGATTGCACCACTGCACTCCAGCCTTGGTAACAGAGATCCTGCCTCAAACAAACCAACCCACCAAAGATGTCACATGTATCTTTGCCCTAAAAAACACTCAGTACATTTTGATCAGAAGAGTGTTTAAGCTGTGTCATGGAATAATTTTTTGGGAAGGCTGGATTTGGAAGTTTTATTAAGACATCAAGGTGTAATATTTAAAACCCAGATCACTCTGGACCTGGGAATGGAAGTTAAAAACAGATGTCAAGGCTGGGCATGGTGGCTCACGCCTGTAATCCCAGCACTTTGGGAGGCCGAGGCAGGTGGATCATTTGAGGTCAGGAGTTCGAGCCCAGCCTGGCCAACATGGTGAAACCCCGTCTCTACTAAAAATACAAAAATTAGCCGGGCATGGTGGTGGATGCCTGTAATCCCAGCTACTTGGGAGGCCAAGACAGGAGAATCGATTGAACCCAGGAGGTGGAGGTTGCAGTGAACAGAGATCGTGCCACTGTATTCCAGCCTGGGTGACAGAGTGAGACATATCTAAAAACAAAAAACAAACAAACAAAAAAACCCACAGATGTCAAGATAAGTGTTGAGCAGTTTAAGGAAGTGCAATGTTTTCAGGCTTGGGCAGTGCCCCTGCTCTCTTCCAGGGGCTGATAAAGCGTGCAGCCCAGCCTTCTGAGCTGTGACATCCTCTTCCATTGGGTGATGTTCTTATCCATTTGCCAGACTGGCCTGAGCCTCTGGCCAGCATTTCTAGACCAACAACAGGGGCGCCACCTCCAGGCCAATCCCCATAAGTGTAGTTTTGTGAGCCGGACTGACGTGGGTTATGTTCAGTTCAGACAGTGCGTTCTCAAGCAGAGCAAAGGGTCTGGGTTCCTGGATTAGGAGACCCCTTACCCCAAGCAATTCTAGAATCTAGGATTCGCCGGGTGCAATGGCGCATGCCTGTAATCCCAGCACTTTGGGAGGCCAAGGCGGGAGGATCACTTGAGCCCAGGAGTTTGAGGCCAGCCTGAGCAACACAGCGAGACCCTGTTTCTATAGAAATAAAAAAATTAGCTGGACGTGGTGGTGCACACCTGTGGTCCCAGCTACTGGGGAGGCTGAAGGAGGAGGATCACTTGAGCCCAGGACTTCAGGGTTATACTGAGCTATGATCAAGCACTGTATTCCAGCCCGGGTGACAGAATGAGACGATGTCTCTAAAAAAAAAACAAACAAAAATGGATTTCTTTGCTACCAGCTTCACTGTGTGCTTTGTTTCAGAGATTGAGAACTCTTTCCAAAAACTGACTTCCCTAAAGTCAGCCTAGCCTCATATCCTCAAGGCAAGCTCATCCAGCTTGTATCAAGAAGTCCCCAGCCTGGCCGGGGAGCAGTGGCTCACGCCTGTAATCCCAGCACTTTGGGAGGCAGAGGCGGGCGGATCACGAGGTCAGGAGATTGAGACCATCCTGGCTAACATGGTGAAACCCTGTCTCTATTAAAAGTACAAAAATTAGCCGGGCGTGGTGGCGAGCGCCTGTAGTCCCAGCTACTTGGGAGGCTGAGGCAGGAGAATGGCGTGAACCCGGGAGGCAGAGCTTGCAGTGAGCTGAGATCACGCCACTGCACTCCAGCCTGGGCGACAGAGCGAGAGTCCGCCTCAAAAAACAAAAAAGAAGTCCCTAGCTTTCTCAAGCTGGCAGGAGAAGGACACACAAAAAAGTCTTCAGCCTAAATGACTTACTCTCCTGTGACTCCACAGCAAGAAAACTGGATGATTAACGTCAGTGACCTCATGGTGAAGAAGACAGCATTGCTAGTGATCTAAGTGGCCTTCAAGGGGGGCATTCCCCATTACCTGACAGCTAGGAGTGCTTGGAGCACACTTGGTTCAGCTCATGCCTCCTCGCAGTCTTCAAAGAGTTTGCTTCCCGTATTTGTGAGCTGAGCAGCCTAAACTGTTTGGTAGATATCCTGCCAGCAAGACCACAATGGCAGGGGATGGCAGAGAAGTCCCGCATCCAAAGCACCGTGGCCTGGGAACTCTGCAGGCATGCCGGCTCTGTTGCTGTGAGTCTAAACAGTTCTGCAAGGCCATCATCCAGTTGGCTGAGATCCAAGCCTGCTCAAAGCTAAAAAAATGCACAGGATCGGCTGGGTGCGGTGGCTCACACCTGTAATCCCAGCACTTTGGGAGGCCAAGGCAGGCAGATCACGAGGTCAAGAGATCGAGACCAGCCTGACCAACATGGTGAAACCCTGTCCCTACTAAAAATACAAAAATTAGCTGGGCATGGTGGCATGCACCTGTAGACCCAGCTACTCAGGAGGCTGAGGCAAGAGAATTGCTTGAACCTGGGAGGCAGAGGTTGCAGTGAGCCAAGATCGCGCCACTGCACTCCAGCCTGGCAACAGAGTGAGACTCCATCTAAAAAATAAAAAAATAAGAAAAATGCACAGGTTCCTCCTCCACCAGTATAGCCATCAATGTCCTGGCAGTAGGAAACTGCGCATCAGTGCTGGGACTGGGGAGGACACTACTCAGTATGCCACTGGGCGTCCTTCAAAATCCTAAACATGGGCCCATGGAACTTTTGGTGGCCCTGTGGTCTAGAGATTGTCTCCCAAATTCATCAGTTCTTGAGTTATAGGTACACTGGATAAGGATAGACAGCAATGGTCCTAAAGGCTACTATACCCTCTCTGGGCCCTCTCCATGCCTGTGACCATCACACCATCATGGTACAGGAGGGAGTATCCTAAGATGTCACGTTTCATCCCCCGTACTGGACCTTTCCACCTGGTGCCTGGTGAAATGCGTCAATTAAGTTCTAGAGAACGCTCTGCTTCCTGACCACTGGGAAACACAGGACACCACCCGCCTTTATTCTGCAAAATTTGCATAGAGTTCACTACATTCCCGTGTCTAAAACACACTGACACATCAGCCATGGCCTCCATTCCTTGTACCTTCTAAATCATCAACCACCGTATAAGCAAACGGCTAGGACCTTAAGTGCTTGCACCTAAGGGATGCAGATCAGAATCATCTGAGAAGCTTTTAGGCCAGGTGCGGTGGCTCATACCTGTAATCCCAGCACTTTGGGAGGCTGAAGCAGGCAGATCACTTGAGATCAGGAGTTCAAGACCAGCCTGGCCAACATGGTGAAACCCCGTCTCTACAAAAATAAAAAATAAAAAGTTAGTGAGATGGCATGCACCTGTAATCCCAGCTACTCGGGAGGCTGAGGCAAGAGAATCATGTGAACCCGGGAGGTGGAGGTTGCAGTGAGCCGAGATCGCATCACTGCACTCCAGCCTGGGTGACAAAGTGAGATCCTGTCTCAAAACAGATATTTCAGGCCAGGCACAGTGGCACACGCCTGTAATCCCAGCACTTTGAGAGGGTGAGGCAGATGGCTCACCTCAGGTCAGGAGTTCGAGACTAGCCTGGCAAACATGGTGAAACCCTGTCTCTATTAAAAATACAAAAATTGGCTGGGCGCAGTGGCTCACTCCTGTAATCTCAGCACTTTGGGAGGCCAAGGCGGGCAGATCATCTGAGGCTGGGAGTTCGAGACCAGCCTGACCAACATGGAGAAACCCCGTCTCTACTAAAAATACAAAATTATTCTGGTGCGGTGGCACATGCCTCTAATCCCAGCTATTCAGGAAGGCTGAGGCAGGAGAATTGCTTGAACCCGGGAGGCGGAGGTTGCAGTGAGCAGATCGCGCCATTGCACTCCAGCCTGGGCAACAAGAGCAAAACTCCGTCTCAAAAAAAAAAAAAAATTAGCTGAGTGTGGTGGCATGCGCCTGTGATCCCAGCTACTCTGGAGGCTGAGGCAGGAGAATCACTTGAACCCAGATGGTAGAGGTTGCAGTGAGCCCAGATCTCACCATTGCACTCTCTCTGGATGACAGACCGAGACACCATCTCAAAAAGCATACAAACAAACAAAAAGGCATTTCACCAGGTGAGTGAAGGGATGCCCTGCCCTGCCCTGCCCAGAGGAGGACTTAGAAGGGTTTGGTTCCTGCCCCAGTTCTGGTCCTTTGCTTAGCCAGCCCAGCCACCCTCAAAAGCCAGCCCTGAGCATCATCTGACAGCCCAAGCACCCTCCCTGCCTCCCAATTTGATCCTCACCTGATCAAAGTTTTCTCTTCTCTCCCTGGTTCCAAACCCTGATCCCATGTCTCTTCCTGGGTCTCTTATGAATGTGAAGCCCAGTTTGCTGAACAACTTCTGGCTCAGTTTCCTCCTCCAGATCTAATGAGAACTCCCTGATTCAGGCCCCCAGTTCTGAGGATTCCACTCCTCAATTCAGCTGCCAGAGGAGGCCCAACCCCCAGCGCCTTTGTAAGGGGTAAGGAGAGGACTAAATCCTTTTGTGCTTAGCATCTGTCACTCAGCAAGGTTTCTGATACACAGTTCCATGTATCCATGGGTGCATTATACTGATCAACTGTGCTTTGCTTTATCACATCCACGTTTTGAGCTTTTGGGACATTTCCAATCTGTTGCTATTATAAATAGCTCTGCGATGAACATCTTTATTTAAAATAATTTAGTTTCCTTTTGGATTATTTCCTTTGGACTGATTCCTAAACTCAAGATAAGTGGGTTGTTTATCTGCTCTTTTATTGTCTGACCCACATGTCTTTCCATTGGGAACAGCCCCTCCTACACTTTATGGCTCTGGTGTGCCTTATTTTTTATTTTTTATTTATTTTGGTTTTTTTTTGAGACAGAGTCTTGCTCTGTCACCCAGGCTGGAGTGCAGTGGCACGATCTCGGCTCACTGCAAGCGCCGCCTCCCAGGTTCACCCCATTCTCCTGCCTCAGCCTCCCCAGCAGCTGGGACTACAGGCGCACACTGCCATGCCCAGCTAATTTTTTTGTATTTTTAGTAGAGATGGGGTTTCACTTTGTTAGCCAGGATGGTCTCGATCTCCTGACCTCATGATCCGCCCGCCTCGGCCTCCCAAAGTGCTGGGATTACAGGCATGAGCCACTGCGCCCAGCCTTTTTGTTTTATTTTTGAGACGGAGTTTTGCTGTGTTGCCCAGGCTGGAGTGCAGTGGCACAATCTCAGCTCTCTGCAGCCTCTACCTCCTGGCCTCAAGGGATTCTCCTGCCTCGGCCTCCCGAGTAGCTGGGACTACAGGTGCATGCCAACATGCTCAGCTAATTTTTTGTATTTGTAGCAGAGATGGGGTTTCATCACGTTGGCCAGGCTAGTCTCGAACTCCTAGCCTCAAGTGATCCACCAGCCTTGGCCTCCCAAAGTGCTGGGATTACAGGCATGAACCACCGCACCTGTCCAGTATGCCTTGTTTTAAAGCAAAAGTCCCATCTCTCCTATCTCAGGAGTGAGCATGTGAACTAATCTATTCACAGTAGATTGATAACCACTAACTACAAATCTCAGTGGCTCAATAGAATAATAAGTTTATTTCTTGGTTATATCACAGCTCAATGAGGGTTTTTTTGGGAGGTTGTTGGGGGAGGACATGAGAAGACTTTCCTTTAAGCAGAAATCCAAGCTCCTTCCTTTTATCGCTTCCAGTGTTCTTTAGGGCTTCCTAGGAGCCCTTGATTAGACCTGAGAATGCATCCACCATGAACAAGCAAAGAGAGAGCATGGAAGATGGGGGAAACGGGGTGCATTTTAGGATCCAGCTCAGAAGCCGTAAGCCTCTCTTGTGCCACATTCATTGTTCAGAACTAGTCACATGCTTCCACCAGATGTGAGAGTGCCTGGGGAATGTAGTTTCTCCCGAGCCAGGAAGAAATGAAACCCTCTGGTCTACACATGGCATTGTCTTTGCCAGTTAGAGTACTTCATCCTTGAACATGAGGTTGCTCAGGAATGGGCATAGGACCTAGGCAGCTCTATCAGAGTCTTTTTTTTTTTTTTTTTTTTTTTTTTTTTGAGACAGAGTCTCATGTCGCCCAGGCTGGATTGCAGTAGCACAATCTTGGCTCACTGCAACCTCCACCTCCCAGGTTCAAGCAATTCTCCTACCTCAGCCTCCTGAGTTGCTGGGATTACAGGTGCTCATCACCAAGCCTGGATGATTTTTGTAGTTTTAGTAGAGATGGGGTTTCACCATGTTAGTCAGGCTGATCTTGAACTCCTGACCTCAAGTGATTCACCCGGCTTGGCCTCCCAAAGTGCTGGGATTACAGGCATGCGCCACCACACCTGGCCTCTATTCAGAGTCTTTTGAGGGGATTGTTGGATGGCTGTGGACTCGGGGAGACTTCTGAGGACTAGAGCTATGCAGCTCCTGTTGCCATGGAGCTGGCAGGGCGTCTTCCCCAGCAAAGAGAGGGAGGATGACTGCTGGAAACAAAGTCAGAGGCAGGGAGAGCCAAGAACCTCAGTTTCTTGGGCACATGCTTTGAGCTCCTGGATCCAGGATCAATTCTTATTCATTTTATTTTTTTACACAGAGTCTCCCTCTGTAAGGAGGAGTTGTGCAGTGGCGCAATCTCAGCTCACTGCAACCTCCGCCTTGGAGCTTAAGCGATTCTCCTGTCTCAGCCTCCCGAGTAGTTGGGACTACAGGTGTGCACCACCCCGCCCAGCTGATTTTTTTTGGTATTTTTAGTAGAGACGGGGCTTCACCATGTTGGCCAGTCTGGTCTTGAACTCTTGACCTCAAATGATCCACCCACCTCAGCCTCCCAAAATGCTGGGATTACAGACATGAACCATGGCACCCAGCCCAGGATCAATTAATTCTTTAAGGTAATTTTTTTTTCATAGTCTATGTTGGATTTCTGTCACTTGCAACCAGAGGAGTTCTGACTAATACATGAGTCAAGAGATAAAAATATTTAATATTTTGTGAAACATATTTCTAAACTGCTCTCTAAAATAACAGCCATTTTTTAAGGCAACTTATTTTCCCAGCTTTTGTTTTTATAATTTATGTTTTTAAGCACAATACCTTAACATTGCTGGGTTTTTTGTTTGTTTGTTTGTTTTTGTTTTTGTTTTTGATACAGAGTCTCGTTCTGTCACCCAGGCTGGAGTGCAGTGGTGTAATCATAGCTCACTGCAGCCTCCCCCTCTCGGGTTCAAGCAATTCTTGTGCCTCAACCTTCTGTGTAGCTGGAACTACAGGTGTGTGCCACCACGCCTGGCTAATTTTTATGTTTTTAGTAGAGCCCGGGTTTCACCATGGTGGCCAGGCTGGTCTCAAACCCCTGGCCTCAGGTGAAATGCCCATCTCGGCCTCTAGAGTCTTTTTTGAATGGACAGTTTATACTCTGGTTTTTTATTTGTTTGCTTGTTTGTTTGTTTTGAGGGGGGCGGTTATCTTTTCTTTTTTTTGAGACAGAGTCTTGCTCTGTCGCCCAGGCTGGAGTGCAGTGGTGTGATGTCGGCTCACTGCAAGCTCCGCCTCCCAGGTTCACGCCATTCCCCTGCCTCAGCTTCCCGAGTAATTGGGACTACAGGCGCCCGCCACCACGCCCAGCTAATTTTCTGTGTATTTTTAGTAGAGACGGGGTTTCACCGTATTAGCCAGGATGGTCTCGATCTCCTGACCTCACGATCCAGCCGCCTCAACGTCCCAAAGTGCTGGGATTACAGGCGTGAGCCATCGCAGCCAACTGGGGTCGGTTATCTTTTCTAACCATTAGTTAAGGATATTGACTTTATTAGTCTAGATAAAAGTAGTCTTATTTGTTCCCATTCTTTATATATGTTGAAGAGTAAACTGATATTGGCTACAATTCATCACATAGAAATGTGCACAAAGGCTGTGTTGATGGTTGGTTGTAGCAGCAATGTCTTTATTTTTTCAACAGATATTTACTTCTTTTTTTTTTTTGAAGCAAGGTCTTGCCCTGTCACCGAGGTGGGAGTGCAGTAGCATGATCATGGCTCATTGCAGCCTCTATCTCCTGGGCTCAAGCAATCCTCCTGCCTCAGTTTTTGATTTTGTGTAGAGACAGCGTCTCACTATATTGCTAAGGCTGGTCTTGAACTCCTGGGCTCAAGAGATCCTCCCACCTCGGCCTCCCAAACTGCTGGAATTACGGGCATGAGACACCGTGCCCAACTGATATTTCCTTCTCATCACAAGAGTTAGTACAGCACATAGGTTGAGCACAGAGGCTCTGAAGCCAGATTTCCTGGGTCCAAAATCTGGTCTGCATTTTACTAGCTGTGTAACCTTGAGCAACATCCTTAACCACCTGTGCCTTAGTTTCTCATCTCCAAAAGGCAGATAATATGAGAAGACTTTGAAAAGTTTGTGGGAAATGGAATTAAAAATTAAAAATTAAAAAAAAACATAAACCTTATTTTTCAACATAATCCCCATCAAGTTCAAGACACTTTTGTAGGGGTGGGCATGGTGGCTCACACCTGTAATCCTAGCACTTTGGGAGGCCGAGGTTGGTGGATCACCTGAGGTCAGGAGTTCAAGACCAGCCTGGCCAACATGATGAAACCCCATCTCTACTAAAAATACAAAAAATTAGCTGGGCGTGGTGGCGGACGCCTGTAATCCCAGCTACTCGGGAGCCTGTGGCAGGAGAATCACTTGAACCTGGGAGGCAGAGGTTGCAGTGAGCCGAGATCACGCCACTGCACTCCAGCCTGGGCAACAAGAGAGAAACTGCGTCTCAAAAAAAAAAAAAAAAAAAAAGACCCTTTTGTAAGTGATGATACCAGCCCTTTAGTCTATCCCTAAAGAACTGAGAGGCCTGGGAATTTAACCATGTCAATGTAGTCTTTTTTTTTTTTTTTTTTTTGAGGCAGAGTCTCACTCTGTCACCCAGACTGGAGTGCAACGGTGTGATCTCAGCTCACTACAACCTCCGCCTCCTGGGCTCAAGCGATTCTTCTGCCTCAGCCTCTCAAGTAGCTGGGATTACAAGCACGCACCACCATGCCCGGCTAATTTTTTGTATTTTTAGTACAGATGGGGTTTCACCATGTTGGCAAGGTTCGTTTCAAACTCCTGACCTCAGGTGATCCACCTGCCTTGGCCTCCCAAAGTGCTGGAATTACAGGCGCGAGCCACCACAACCAGCAGTCAATGCAGCCTTTTTTACATTATTAGCTGAAGAAAAATGGATGCCCTTTAAATTTTTTTTTAAGACTAGGAAACAGGCTGGGCGTGGTGGCTCACACCTGTAATCCCCACACTTTGGGAGGCCGAGGCAGGTGGATCACTTGAGGTCAGGAGTGTGAAACCAACCTGGCCAATATGGTGAAACCCTGTATCTACTAAAAATACAGAATTAGCCAGGTGTGGTGGTGCACACCTGTAGTCCCAGGTACTTGAGAGGCTGATGTAGGAGAATATCTTGAGCCCGGGAGGCAGAGTTTGCTGTGAGCTGAGATCGCACCACTGCACTCCAGTCTGGGTGACAAAGCGAAACTCTGTCTCAAAAAAAAAAAAAAGATTAGGAAACAAAAAGAAGTTAGAAGGAGCATGGCCAGGCTTGGTGGCTCACGCCTGTAATCCCAGCACTTTGGGAGGCTGGGGCGGGAGGATCACGAGGTCAGGAGATCGAGACCATCCTCGCTAACACAGTGAAACCCCGTCTCTACTAAAAATACAAAAAAATTAGCCGGGCGTGGTGGTGGGCACCTGTAGTCCCAGCTACTGGGGAGGCTGAGGCAGGAGAATGGCCTGAACCCGGGAGGCAGAGCTTGCAGTGAGCCAAAATCATGCCACTGCACTCCAGCCTGGGCGACAGAGCGAGACTCCATCTCAAAAAAAAAAAAAAAAAAAAAAGAAGTCAGAAGGAGCCAAATCAGGACTGTAAGTTGCATTCTAGGCCAGGCGCAGTGGCTCATGCCTGTAATCCCAACACTATGGGAGGCCGAGGCGGGCGGATCACCTGAGGTAAGGAGTTCAGGACCAGCCTGGCCAACATGGTGAAACTCCGTTTCTACTGAAAATACAAAAAAAAAAAAAAAAAAAAAAAAAAAAATTAGCTGGGCGTGGTGGCAGGTGCCTGTAATCCCAGCTACTCGGGAGGCTGAGGTAGGAGAACCACTTGAACCTGGGAGACGGAGATTGCAGTGAGCCGAGATCGCACCACTGCACTCCAGCCTGGGTGACAAAGTGAGACTCCATCTCAAAAAAAAAATAAAACAATAAAAAAGGTGCATTCCTAATGATTTCTCATTGAAATTCTTGTAAAATTGCCTTTGTCTGATGAGAGAAATGAGCAGAAGCATTGCTGTGGTGGAGAAGAACTCTCCAGTAAAACTTTGCTGGCATTTTTCTGCAGAAGCTTCGACTAACTTCCTTAAAACACTCTCCTAATAAGCAGATGTTATTGTTCTTTGGCTCTCCAGAAAGTCAACAGCAAAATGTCTTGAGCATCAAAAACTGTTGCCAAAAAAGCAATCCCATCATCCAAAAGTGGGCTAAGGACATGAATAGACAATTCTGAAAAGAAGATATACAGCCAGGCGCGGTGGCTCACGCCTGTAATCCCAGCACTTTGGGAGGCCGAGGTGGGTGGATCACAAGGTCAGGGGTTCAAGACCAGCCTGACCAACATGGTGAAATCCCGTCTCTACTAAAAATACAAAAATTAGCTAGGCGTGGTGGCGGGCGCCTCTAATCCCAGCTACTCAGGAGGCTGAGGCAGGAGAATTGCTTGAACCCGGGAGGCGGAGGTTGCAGTGAATGGAGATCGTACCATTACACTTCAGCCTGGGCGACAGAGCGAGACTCTGTCTCAAACAAAAAAAAAAAAAAAAGAAGAAGAAGATATACAAATGGCCAACGAACATATGAAAAAATGCTCAACATCACTAATGATCAGGGGAATGCAAATCAAAACCAGAATGTGATACCACCTTACTCCTCAAGAATGGCCATAATCAAAAAATTTAAAAATAATAGATGTTGGCATGGATGCAGTGAAAAGGGAACACTTCTACACTGCTGGTGGGAATGTAAGCTAGTACAACTGCTATGGAAAACAGTGTGGCAATTCTTTAAAGAACTAAAAGTAGATCTACCATTTGATTCCACAATCCCACTACTGGGTATCTACCCAGAGGAAAATAAGTCGTTATATGAAAAAGATGCTTGCACACGCATGTTTATAGCAGCATAATTCACAACTGCAAAAATGTGGAACCAGCCCAAATATCCATCAGTCAACAAGTGGATAAAGAAACTGTGGTGTTGGCCAGGCATGGTGGCTCACACCTGTAATCCCAGCACTTTGGGAGGCTGAGGTGGGTGGATCACCTGAGGTCAGGAGTTTGAAACCAGCCTGACCAACATGGTGAAACCCCATCTCAACTAACAATACAAAAATTAGCCAGGCCTGGTGTCACGCACCTGTAATCCCAGCTACTTAGGAGCCTGAAATAGGAGAATCACTTGAACCTGGGAGGCAGAGGTTGCAGTGCGCCGAGATCGTGCCATCGCACTCCAGCCTGGGCAATGAGAGTGAAATTCCATCCCCCCTTCTCCCAAAAAAATTAGTCAGGTGTGGTGGTGCACGCCTGTAGCCCCAGCTACTTGGGAGGCTGAGGTGGGAGGATTACTTGAGCGGAGGAGGTCAAGGCTGCAGTGAGATGTGATCATGCCACTGTACTCCAGCCTGGGCAACAGAGTAAGGCCCTATTTAAAAAAAAAAAAAAGTGTTTTTTTTAGCAGAATTCATGTTGCTCTGACAGGGGCTCTTTTCAAACAATGTCTTATCCTTAGTGCCTCAAACCAGATCTTGATGTGAAAGGTTATGACAAATTAGTATGCGTTTATTTTGGTACAAAAAATGTTTGAAATCCATGCATAGTATTTTCATTCATTATGTGCGTTTTTAGTGAATTTTTTGAAGACTCTTCATATCTACCACAAGAATTTTTAAATGAGGATTAAAGGAGCTAATGTACGTAGAGGCTGGGTGTGGTGAGTAACATCTGTAATCCCGGAGCTTCGGGAGGCCAAGGCGGGCAGATCATTTGAGGTCAGGAGTTCAAGACTGGCCCGGCCAACATGGTGAAACCCCATCTCTACTAAAAATATAAAAATTAGGCCAGGCATGGTAGCAGGCACCTGTAATCCCAGCAACTTGGGTGGCTGAGGCATGAGAATTGCTTGAACCTGGGAGGCGGAGGTTACAGTAAGCCAAGATCATGCCATTGTACTACAGCCTGGGGTAACAGAGCAAGACTCTGTCTCAAAAAAATAATAATAAAAATAAAAAGTTTTTTAAAAAAGGGGGAATAAAAGAGGCTACTGCAATTTTCCAAGTGAAAAATAGTGGCCAGCATCGTGGGCCTGGAGGCTAGCAGTGGAAGCAGCAAAATGGAGTCAGATTCTGGATATTTTGAAGATAGAGATGATGGAATTTGCAGGCGGACAAAATGCAGAGCATGTGCAAAAGAGTCATTAAGGATGACTCCAGAGTTTTAGCCTGAGCAACTGGAAGGAGAATTGTCATTAGCTGATGCAGGGAAGACTAAGGGAGGAACAAGTTGGGGAAGATCAGAGTTTAATTGTAGACTTGTTAGGCTTGAGACACCTAGTAGATATTCAGGACAGGTGCAGTGGCTCATGCCTGTAATCCCAGCACTTTGGCAGACTGAGGTGAAAAAAATCACTGGATCCCAGGAGTTAAAAAGCAGCCTGGGCAATAAGGTGAGACCCCCCATCTCTACCAAAAAAATACAAAAATTATCCAGGCATAGTGGTACATGTTTGTAATCCCACCTACTCAAGAGGCTGAGGTGGGAGGTGGAGGTTGAGCCCAGGAGGCAGAGGTTGCAGTGAGCTGTAATTGCACCACTGTACTCCAGCCTGAGTGACAGAGCCAGACCTTATCTCAAAAAAAAAAAAAAAAAAAAAAAAAAAAAAAAGATGTTCAAGAGGGCAGCTGGGTATACAAACCTGGAATCCAGTGGGGATGATATGATCCAGGTTGGAAAATTAAGTTTGAGAGTTACCACCTAGATAATATTTAAACCCAAGAAACTGCATGAGATCACAAGCAAGTGACTATAGATGGAGGAGAGGTTCGAGGACCACACCCCAGCACTCTTCAACATTCACTGTTTGGGAGATGAAGAGAAACCAGCCAAAGAAACTGACAATGAGGGGCCAGCAAGGTAGGAGGAAAACTAGCAAGAAATAGAATTGGAGGAGCCAAATGAAGAAAATAGGTGGAGAAAATGATCGACCATGTCAAATACCACCAACAGTTCAAGACAAGTAAAGACTGAGACGACCATTGGATCAGCAACATGAAAGTCCTTGGCAACTGGAACAAGGGCAGTTTCAGAAGAGTGGTGGGAACACAAAGCCTAATTACAGGGGGTTTAGGAGAGAATGAGGGAGACAAATTGAAAGAGGGAGTATTGACAATTCTCTCAAGGGATTTTGTTCTCAAGAGGAGCAGAGATTGAGAGTACAAGGTGGAGGGTCCCATGAGTTCAGGAGTAACAGACCAGCCTGGGAAACATAGTGAGACCCTATCTCTATAATTTTTTTTTTTTTTTTTAGATGGAGTCTCACTCTGTTGCCCAGGCTGGAGTGCAGTGGCGCAATCTGGGCTCACTGCAACCTCCGCCTCGTGCCTCAGCCTCCCAAGTAGCTGAGATTACAGTTGTGTCCCACCATGCCTGGCTGATTTTTATACTTTTAGTAAAGGTGGGGTTTCACCATGTTGGCCAGCCTGTTCTCGAACTCCTGAACTCAAGAGATCTGCCCGCCTTGGGCTCCCAAAGTGCTGGGATTACAGGGATGAGTGCCCAGCCTACTTTTTTTTTTTAAATTACCCAAGCATGCGGTGGCATGCACTTGTAGTCCCACCTATTTGGGAGGCTGAAGTGGGAGGATCACTTAAACTGAGGACATGGAGATTGTAGCAAGCTATGATCACACCACTGCACTCCAGCCTGGGTGACAGAGCAAGAACCCCTCTCACAAAATAAATAAATAAATAAATAAAAATAAAAGCAGAGAAATGGGGGCAGAAATAGGAGGGGCTTGTGGGATGGATCAAGAGAGAGGTTTTAACATAGGAAAAATAACACCATGTTTATATACTGACCCAGTAGTGAGATAAAGCATTCTTGTTAAAGTTTCTAATAAAGTTGTTTTTCACTATCCCTTATTCCTACTATTGTAAATTGCTTTACAGGAAATATTTTTAAAATTTGAAGGTTCTATTGGCCCCAGATGATCAACAGTGATGACTTTTTCTGGCATACTAAGGGTAAAATAATTTAAACAGTACACAAAGGTATAAAATAAAACTAACAATGGCTTATGTATCCCTCCAGAAACTTTCCTGTCATATATCAACAAATGTGTTTATGTATATATACCATTTTCTTTTAATTTGCGCAAAAGCAATTGTACTTTTTATATATAGAATAGTATCTGTCCTATATATAAAGCCTCTGAATAGAAAGAACTTCACATGAAGAAAGCTACTGCCACTTTAAGAAAGGTGTGAAAACGGCAGGCATGGTGGCTCACATTTGTAATCCCAGCACTTTGGGAGGCTGAGGCAGGTGAATCATGAGGTCAGGAGTTCGAGACCAGCCTGGCCAACATGGCGAAACCCCGTCTCTACTAAAAATACAAAAAAATTAGCTGGGCATAGTGGCAGGCACCTGTAATCCCAGCTACTCGGGAGACTGAGGCAGGAGAATCGCTTGAAACCAGCAGGTGGAGGTTGCAGTGAGCTGAGATCGCGCCACTGCACTCTAGCCCTGGCGACAGACACTCTGTCTCAGAAAAACAATTAATTAATCAATCAATTAAAAAGGATGAAAACAATGTGGCCCTATATTATTTCAAGAATTAAGGTCTCAATCACACACCAGTCTTCCAAGTCAGTATTGTTTTAGAATGGCTATGTTATTCCTCTTTTGAGAAACATTTCTTCTCTCTCTTTTTTATTGAGACAGAGTCTTGATCTGTTGCCCAGGCTGGAGTGCAGTGGGGCCATCTTGGCTCACTGCAACCTCTGCCTCCCCGGGTCCAAGCGATTCTCATGCCTCAGTCTCCTGAGTAGCTGAGATTACAGGCATGCGCCACCACGCCCAGCTAATTTTTGGATTTTTAGTAGAGACAGGGTTTCACCATGTTGGCCAGGCTGGTCTCAAACTCCTGGCCTCACATGATCTGCCCATCTTGGCCTCTCAAAGTGCTGATATTACAGGCGTGAGTCTCTGCACCCAGCCAAGAAACATTTATTTTTATTGAATGGCTCTTATATGTCTGTTTTGAGAGCCCCTAGCTAAACTGGGGTTTCAGTACCAGAGCAGCTAGCAGCCCTGCCCTAATGGGAAATGAAGGGAGCTGGGCATAGGTGTCTACAGTGCGTCTCTCATGGGGTACTTCTTTAACGTGGTGGAAGGTCTAATGCTTAGCTGCCCAACCTGTGCCCAGGGGCTCCTTCACATGGGAAATGTGTTTATCCTGGCAGACGCTCCCATGGCTGTTGTCTGGTCTGTGTTCAGTTTATGATTGTCTAACCATCGCTTTGATGCTGAGAGCCCAGCCTTGTGTTCTTCCCAGTGTCCCTGGAAAACCTAGGTAGCCCCTGGTTCTTCAGATGAAAGGCACCCATTCAATCCACCACAGTAGGAAATATGATCAAAGGTTTATTACTTACAGATCCTGGGCAGGGAAGGCGCCATGAGTCAGGAGTATCATCCTCCATCCTCAGGTCAGGCAAGGCAGAAATTAAGAGGCAGAGAGTGAGAGAAGCAACTAGTGGTACGTATAAGAGAATAGTGTGGAGTCCTGATAAGTAAGCGAAATGAGGACAGGGTCTCAGGTGGGGGAGAAAAACGAACACTTGTTCTGAGAAAGTGCTAATCACAAACTTGTGGGCACAATGACCTGTTTGGCATGTAGCGCCAGGATTACAACCTTGTTCTGCATGTAGCCCCCCTCCTGCAAGACCCTATAAAACCTCCCCCTAGCCCCTGCCCCTTGGCTGACAGCCCCTTCTCTACTGTGCTGCCCATCGCACCCTTGCAACATATTTTCACGCTTTCTCTAATAAATCTGCCTTTTTTTTTTTTAACTTTTAATTGCATTTATTTTAATGCTGAATGTAGTCCTGTGTCATCAGTTTTTGTTTCTTCAGTTTCTTCTGGGATATCTTTTTCTTCTGGGCAACCTCGTCTTCTGGTTTAGGAACAATCTGTTCCTTTTCAGTAAGGATAATCTCAGTGTGGCAGGGAGAGCTCATGCATGGGTTAATCCAACCATGAGCTCTGTAGGTCCAGCAGCCCTTCTTAGGTGCTTTGTTCACTTGGATATGCTCAATGACCAGAGAATCTATATCTAAACCCTTAAATTCTGCATTTTTAAGCATGTGCAGCAAAAAGTCAGCACTCTTTTTGGGCCACCGACCTTGTGCCCAGCCCCAATGCTTGGCCTGGGCACCCCTGCCAACTCCACCATTGTAACATTGGAATGGTACGCACTGTTTCTGTAAAGTGACATCTTTCAGATACTTTGTGGCTTTTTGTATATGCATACGCTTGATGGCCTGCAGTTTCATGAGTGTTCTTAAAGTGAACACGAAGATTTGAACCTCTTGATTTGCGTGATTTTGTGGGGTTCTCTAGGTCAAATGAATAGCGAACCATTTTCACAGATTACCTCAGGCCGCTTAGGGAAAGAGGAAGAGTGGTTAAATCTGCCTTTCTTTACCTACAGCTGTCTTGGTAAAATCGTTTACCACCTGCAACAAATAGGGTGTCACTTAAAGTTGAACTTAAAGCCCCTTTAAGTTTGTGGGCAAATGCCTGAGTAGTCTGTTTAAAGGAAGTGATGGGAAACCAGGGGGCCCAGTCTGCTAGGCGGGAGAGATGCCTTTAAGTTCTTATCTCTGGCCACCAGCTTGAGCCATTTGGGCGTGGTGTTTCACTTCTAATTCCCAGGCAACAACCTTTACTGTGTTGTTCTGGTTACATGTCAAAAGTGAAGCTAGTTCCTAAATGTTTCCTGGTTGGTTTGGTTTTTATTTAGTATTGTCAATGAATCGTTTTCTCCTCACTGACTTTTCCAGTGTATGTATCCATATATATTTTATGTATCTATATATATATCTATATATCTTTTACATGTAGATATATATACTGGAATATATATATAATATATACTGCTAAGTGTGTGTGTGTGTATACTTTGACTAGTGTAGTGAAAATGTGTATATATATACTGTTACTAGTATATATACATATATATGCTATATATACACATATATACATATATATGCTATATATACACATATATACATATACATATAGTAGTAAAATATATATATAGGCCAGGTGCAGTGGCTCATGCCTGTAATCCCAGCACTTTGGGAGGCCGAGGGGGGTGGATTACGAGGTCGAGTTGGAGACCAGCCTGGCCAACATGGAGAAACCCCATCTCTACTAAAAGTACAAAATTAGCCAGATGCAGTGGTGCATGCCTGTAATCCCAGCTACTTGGGAGGCCAAGGCAGGAGAATCACTTGAACCTGGGAGGCAGAGGTTGCAGCGAGCCGAGATCACGCCATTGCACTCCAGCCTGGGCAACAAGAGCGAATTTCCAACTCAAAAAAAAAAAATTAGCCAGGTATGGTGTCATGCATCTGTATCCCAGCTACTCAGGAGGCTGAGGCAGGAGAGTTGCTTGAACCCAGGAGGCAGAGGTTGTAGTCAGCTGAGATCACGCCACTGCACTCCAGCATGGGTGATAGAGCGAGACTCCGCCTCAAAAAAAAAAAAAAAAAAAAAGCCTCAGCTTCCCAAAGTGCTGGGGTTATAGGCATGAGTCACCATGCTCAGTCTAGTTTGTATTAATTCAGTTGACTCTTACAACCTGAAATCTTGCTAATCCCATGGCAAACTCAAGTTATTTTTAGCTTGATTTTCCAGAATATAAATATATTGACTGCCAAAAGTGATATATGTACTTTTTTCCTCCCAATTCTTACATATCTTACTTTTCCTTCATGGAGAGTTATCACAAGCATTTCAAATATAGTTAAGTACTAAATTAAAGTGAGTTAAGTGGGCTGGACATGGTGGCTCACGCCTGTAATCCCAGCACTTTGGGAGGCCAATGAGAATGGATCACTTAAGACCAGCTTGGCCAACATGGTGAAACCTGGTATCTACCAAAAATAATAAAAAAAATTAGCCGGGCATGGTGGGGTGTACCTGTAATCCCAGCTATCTGGAAGTCTGAGGCAGGAGAATTGCTCGAACCTAGGAGGTGGAGGTTGCAGTGAGCCGAGATCACGCCACTGCACTCCAGCCTGGATGACAGAGGGACAGTCACAGAAACAGATAAATAAGTAAAATAAAGTGAGTTAGATATGTGAAATTAATTAAACTACGTTAAATTGTGTTAGGGCATCTTGGTTGATACTCGACAAAATTATATATATATTTTTATATATATATATTTATAGATAGATAGATTTGGAAATCCAAAATTACAAATAAAAGCTAAGTGAAAAAATCTTGGCCGGGCATGATGGCTCATGCCTTTAATCCCAGCACTTTGGGAGGTCGAGGCAGGCGGATCACGAGGTCAGGAGATCAAGACCATCCTGGCCAACATGGTGAAACCCCGTCTCTACTAAAAATACAAAAATTAGCTGGGCATGGTGGAGCATGCCTGTAATCCCAGCTACTTGGGAAGCTGAGGCAGGAGAATTGCTTGAATCACAGAGCTGGAGGTTGCAGTGAGCTGAGATCGCGCCACTGCATTCCAGCCTGGAGACAGAGCAAGACTCTGTCTAAAAACAAAAAAAAGAAAGAAAAAAAAGAAAAGTAAAATCTTTTGTCCATACGACCTTTCCCTTTTTTTAAAGGCAAACAGTTTCTTGGACTTCCTTTCAGAAAAACAAATAATTATATGTGAGAGATGTATCTGTTCACAAGCTCTTAATTATACATCTTTATTTATTTACTTTGAGCCAAGGTCTCACTCTGTTGCCAAGGTTGGAGTGCAGAGGTGCAATGACAGCTCACTGGCAGCCTCAATCTCCCAGGCTCAGCCTATCCTTCAACTTCAGCCTTCCAAGTAGCTGGGACTATAGGTGTATACCACCACCATGCCCAGCTAATTTTCTGTATTTTTTTTGTAGAGATGGGGGGCGTCTCACTGTGTTGCCCAGGCTGGTCTCGAACTCCTGGCCTCAAGTGATCACCCTCTTCATCCTCCCCAAGTGCTAGGATTATGGGTGTAAGCCCCTGGGAAATAATGCATCCTAAGGGAAGACGGCTTCAGGCAGACAAATTTGGCACAATAATAAGCCCCAGGTGATGGAGTATAGGGGTGGTGCCTGTCCCTCTTACCAGTCTAGTTTCTTTTTCTTTTTTTTTTTTTTTGAGACGGAGTCTGGCTCTGTCGCCCAGGCTGGAGTGCAGTGGCGTGATCGCGACTCACTGCAAGCTCCGCCTACCGGGTTCACGCCGTTCTCCTGCCTCAGCCTCCCGAGTAGCTGGAACCACAGGCGCCCGCCGCCACGCCCGGCTAAGTTTTTGTATTTTTAGTAGAGATGGAGTTTCACCGTGTTAGCCAGGATGGTCTCGATTTCCGGACCTCGTGATCCACCGGCCTCAGCCTCCCAAAGTGCTGGGATTACAGGCGTGAGCCACCGCGCCCAGCCGTTTCATTTTCTTTTCTTTTTTTTTTGAGATGGAGTCTTGCTTTGTTACCCAGGCTGGAGTGCAGTAGCACGATCTCGGCTCACTGCAACCTCTGCCTCCCGGGTTCAAGTAATTATCCTGCCTCAGCCTCCTGAATAGCTGGGATTACAGGCGCTGGCCACCATGGCTGGCTAATTTTTGTATTTTTAGTAGAGACAGGGTTTCACCATGTTGGCAGGCTAGTCTCGAACTCCTGACCTGAAGTGATCCACCCACCTTGGCCTCCCAAAGTGCTGGGATTACAGGTGTGAGCCACCATGCCTGGCCTACTGGTCTAGTTTCTAACCCAGCCATCTGGAACACAATGTCCCTGGCCTGAGCTGTCTCAGTCCCTAGGCTAAATATGAATAAAATCTAGAAAGCTTTCTTCTTTTTACATATATAACGTTTTTTAGAGACAGGTCTCACTCTGTTGCCCAGGCTGCAGTATAGTGGTATGATCGGAGCTCACTGCAGCCTCCACCTTCTGGTGTCAAGTGATCCTCCTGCCTTAGCCCCCTAAATAGCTGGGACTACAGGCTTGCACCACCCCACCTCACTAATGTTTGAATTTTTTTATAGAAACAGGGTCTTGATATGTTGCCCAGGCTGGTCTCAAACTCCTGGCATAAGCAATCCTCCTGCCTTGGCCTCCCAAAGTGCTGGGATTATAGGCGTGAGCCACTGCATTTGACTAGAGCTGTTTTCAATTTGAACTTTATAAGATATAGGCCCAGAAGCAATGATTTTCCCTTTCACTTTGTCCATGTGGAAAAGGATGTTGGTAAAGTCGGGAGAGTGGCCTTGCTTCCTGCTTCTATGAGAACACACCAGGGAAGATAGCATGGCTTCAGCCCATTGAGTTTGCCTGAGAATGGAGTGCTGCTTTGGCCTTCTGTTCATCAACATGGGTAGTGCCCAGTGCCCTCTGCCATGTTGGCGATGCTATAGTACCTCATTATTCAGTCAAAACTAATCTAGGTGTTGCTAGAAGTTTGTTTTTTTTTTTTTTTTTTTTTTTTTTTTTTGAGACAGAGTCTCACTCTGTCGCCCAGGCTGGAGTACAGTGGTGTGATCACTGCAACCTCTGCCTCCTGGGTTCAAGTGATTCTCCTGCCTCAGTCTCCCGAGTAGCTGAGACTACAGGTGCATGCCACCACATCCAGCTAATTTTTTATTTTTAGTAGAGACGGTGTTTCACTATGTTGGCCAGGCTGGTCTCGAACTCCTGACCTCAGGTGATCCACCCACCTCCCAAAGTGCTGGGATTACAGGCGTGAGCCACTGTGTCTGGCCTAGAAGGTATTTTGTAGATGTGATTAGCATCTACTATCAATTGAGTTTAAGTAAAGGAAATTATCCTCAATAATCTGGGTGGAGGCAGGGCGAGGTGGGTCACACCTATAATCCCAGCACTTTGGGAGGCCAAGGCAGGAGGATCGCTTGAGCCCAGGAGTTTGAGACCAACTTGGGCAACATGGCACACTCCCATCTCTACCAAAAAAAAATACAAAAATTAGCCGGGTGTGGTGGTGTGTGCCTGTAGTCCCAGCTACTTGGGAGGCTGAGGTGGGAGAATCACTTGAGCCTGGGAGGCAGAGGTTGAAGTGAGCTGAGATGGCGCCACTGCACTCCAGCCTGGGTGACAGAGTGAGACCCTGTGCTACTCCCTTTCCCCCAAAAATAATAATCTGGATGGACCTCATTCAGCCAGTAGAAAAGTCTTCAGAACTGAGGTTTCCCTGACGAAGAAGAAATTTGTGAATTGTAGCATCAATTCTTTAAAATTTTTAAATGTAATTAAATAAATATAAATAAAGGCCAGGTGTGGTGGCTCACACCTATAATCCCAACACTTTGGGAGGCTGAGGCAGGCAGATTGCTTGAGCTCAGGAGTTCGAGACCAACCTGGGCAACATGACAAAACCCCATCTCTACAAAAAATACAAAGAATTAGCCAGCTATGGTGGCATGTGCCTGTGGTCCCAGCACTTGGGAGGCTGAGGCAGGATAATTGCTTGAACCGGGGAGGCAGAGGTTGCAGTGAGCTAAGATCACACCTCTGTACTCCAGCCTGGGCGACAGAATGAGAATCTGTCTGGAAAAAAGAAAAAAGCAAACAAAAAACACCAAGACATTTGAAGTCCAAAATCAGACTAGCAAATGCATCAAGAATATCTGTACGCAGAGTGAGCACATGGAGTCCTAGGGAAGGCAAATCAGAGGCCAGAACTCCAAGGTCAAATCCAGGTTAACCAGAACACTCTGGTTTAACTTGGCAGCAGCACAGATGGACGTCATCATGGTCTGGGACAGGACACCAGCAAGTCTCGACTGCATCACCTTCCCTGATGTTCCTGTGGGGTTGTCTCCCTGTATCTGGCCGAGTCCCTGGCCCTGGCCCTGACAAATGGGTTGTGATGAGGAGGATCAGGGGTTGGAGGCACCGCTCTAGCCCAGGGGGCCGCTCCCATTATTGCCGCCCCCATCACCCGGCCCCTCTCCACTAGGGCAGAGTGGAGTGCGCCGGCTCAGGCAGCAGGGGGCGCTAATGGCTCTTCCGGAGAGGGAAAGGTGGCAAAGTCACAGAAAAGCATTTATTTTATTTTATTTTTTTTGAGACGGAGTCTCGCTCTGTCGCCCAGGCTGGAGTGCAGTGGCGGGATCTCGGCTCACTGCAGGCTCCGCCTCCCGGGTTCACGCCATTCTCCTGCCTCAGCCTCCCAAGTAGCTGGGACTACAGGCGCCCGCCACTACGCCCGGCTAATTTTTTGTATTTTTAGTAGAGACGGGGTTTCACCGTTTTAGCTGGGATGGTCCCGATCTCCTGACCTCGTGATCTGCCCGCCTCGGTCTCCCAAAGTGCTGGGATTACAGGCGTGAGCCACCGCACCCGGCCCCCCCTTTTTTTTTTTTTTTTTAAGACAGAGTCTCACTCTGCTGCCCAGGCTGGAGTATAGTAGCGCCATCTTGGCTCACTGCAACCTCTGCCTCCTGGGTTCAAGCATTTCTCCTGCCTCAGCCTCCCAAGTAGCTGGGATTACAGGTGTGCCCCACCACACCCGGCTATTTTTGTATTTTGTTTTTTTTTGGAGACGGAGTTTTGCTCTTGTTGCCCAGGCTGGAGTGCAATGGTGCAATCTCGGCTCACCGCAACCTCTGCCTTCCGGGTTCAAGCGATTCTCCTGCCTCAGCCTCCTGGGTAGCTGGGATTACAGGCATGTGCCACTACGCTCAGCTAATTTTGTATTTTTAGTAGAGATGGGATTTCTCCATGTTGGTCAGGCTGGTCTCGAACTCCCGACCTCAGGTGATCCACCCGCTTCGGCCTTCCAAAGTGCTGGGATTACAGGCATGAGCCACCGCACCCGGCCACTTTTGTATTTTTAGTAGAGATGGGGTTTCGCCATGTTGGCCAGGCTGGTCTTGAACTCCAGACCTCAAGTGATCCACCTCCCTTGACCTCCCAAAGTGCTGGGATTATAGGCATGAGCCACTGCACCCAGCCTCAGCTAAGAATTTTGTTTCACAGTCTAATGCGTAAAGAATCCTAGCAAATAGGCCTTTAGTAAAGTGTTGTGGTTTCTTTATGGTTTTGAAAGCCAGTGTAACATTACAGCAAATTTAATTTTGGATGAAGAAAACATCTCATCCTAACCCAACCACCTTAGTACAATGGTTGCACAATCACTCTTTTTTTTTTTTTTTTTTTGAGATGGAGTTCCACCCTCATTGCCCAGGCTGGAGTGCAATGGTGCAATCTCAGCTCACTGCAATCTCCACCTCTCAGGTTCAAGTGATTCTCCTGCCTCAGCCTCCCGAGTAGCTGGGATTACAGGGGCCCACCACCACACCCAGCTAATTTTTGTATTTTTAGTAGAGATGGGTTTTCACCATGTTGGCCAGGCTGGTCTCGAACTCCTGACCTTAGGTGATCCTCCCGCCTCGGCCTCCCAAAGTGCTGGGATTACAGGCATGAGGCACCATGCCCAGTCTCTTATTATTTCCTTATTTAGATATTGAACATCTACTATGTACCAGTCACTGAATATACATCACTGTGCACAGTGTTTTTTTGTTTTTGGTTTTTTTTTTTTTGGTAGAGATGGGGTCTCACTATTTTGCCCAGGCTGGTCTTGAACTCCTGGTTTTAAGTGATCCTCCTGCCTCAGCCTCCCAAAGTGCTGGGATTTCAGGCCTGAGCCACCACACCCAGCCCTGCACAATGTTCTTAGTTAAAATATTTGTCTATTATATGCTCTTCTTGAAAGAGCAGACTCACAACTGACTCATAAACATTTTTTCAGCTTTCTACACTATTTAGAGAGGGGTCCCTACAGCATTGTCCTGAGTTCTTTTGTCACATAAAGGGAAATTTTTACAATGTCTGGTACTCTTGATATCCTGCAAATGAAGAAGAAAGATATTGTCAAATTCCTTGTGGAAGAAACCCACTTAGGTGGCACCAATCTTGACTTCCAAATGGAACAGGACATCTCCAAAAGGAAAAGTGATGGCATCTACCTTATAAATCTGAAGGGGGCTGGGCGAGGTGGCTGACGCCTGTAATCCCAGCACTTTGGGAGGCTGAGGCAGGAGTATAGCTTGAGCCCAGGAGTTTGAGACCAACCTGGGTGACATGGCAAGACTCCATCTCTACAAAAAACGATTTTTAAATCAGCCAGCCATGGTGGCACTCATCCATCCTAGCTACTTGGGAGTCTGAGGTGGGAGAATCACTTGAGCTCAGGAGTTTGAGGTTGCAGAGAGCTATGTTTGCACCACTGTACTCCTGCCTGGGTGACAGAGAAAGACTATCTCAAAACAACAAAAGAAAAACAAAACAACAAATAAAAACAACTGGAGATGACCTGAGAGAAGCTTGTGCCGGCCACTCATGCCACTGTGGCCTTCGAAAACCCAGCTGTTTCCCGTGTCATACCCTCCAGGAATACTAGCCAGCGGGCTGTGCTGAAGTTTGCTGCTGCCACTGAAGCCGCTCTCACTGCTGGCCACTTCACTCTTGGAACCTTCACTAACCAGATCCAGACAGCCTTCTGGGAGCCACGTCTTCTTTTTTTTTTTTTTTTGAGATGGAGTCTCGCTCGGTTGCCCAGGCTGGAGTGCAGGGGCGCGATCTCGGCTCACTGCAAGCTCCACCTCCCGGGTTCACGCCATTCTCCTGCCTCAGCCTCCCGAGTAGGTGGGACTACAGGCACCCGCCACCACACCTGGCTAATTTTTTGTATTTTTAGTAGAGACGGGGTTTCACCATGTTAGCCAGGTTGGTCTCGATCTCCTGACCTCGTGATCCACCCATCTCGGCCTCCCAAAGTGCTGGGATTACAGGCGTGAGCCACCGCGCCCGGCCTGGGAGCCACGTCTTCTGATGGTTACTGATCCTGGGGCTGACCACCAGCCTGTCACAGAAGTGTTTCATGGTAACCGGCCTACCATGGCTCTTGGTCACAAAGATTCTCCTTGACACTGCGTGGACACTGCCATCCCAAGCAACGAGAAAGGAGCTCCTGAGTGGGTCTGCTGTGGTGGGTGCTGGCAGGGAAGTTCTGTACATGTGTAACACCATCTCCTGTGATCACCATAGGATCTCATGCCTGAGCTCTACTTCTGCAGAGATTCTAAAGATATTATAGGCTGGGCACAGTGGCTCACGCCTGTAATCCCAACACTTTGGGAGGTCAAGGCGGGTGGATCACTTGAGGTCAGGAGTTCGAGACTAGCCTGGCTAACATGGCAAAACCCCATCTCTACCAAAAATACAAAAATTAGCCAGGTGTGGTGGCATGCACTTGTAGTCCCAGCTACTAGGGAGGCTGAGGTGGGAGAATCCCTTGAAAACAGGAGGCAGAGGTTGCAGTGAGCCGAGATGGTGACGCTACCCTCCAGCCTGGGTGACAGAGCAAGACTTGGTCTTCAAAAAAAAAAAAGATATTTTAAACCAAAAATAAAATTCTAAGGCCTCCCAACCATCTGAATGGACCCGTCCTCTTGGCCATGGGCATTCCAGAGTTACCTGAAAATCCAGTTCAGGTCATGATGGAAGAGGGGGGTTGGACATGGCTCCTTATACCCTTCCAGCATTAACACCAACACAGACCTTAAGTCTCATAAGAAATATCTGTATTCTGTCTAAAGCCTGCTACTTGGAGGCTTCATCTGTATGAAATAACCTAGGTGTCCAGGGGTCCACAACCTCTTATTCTAACCCAGACATTCCTTTCTACTGATAATAACTTTCAACCAATTGCCAATCAGAACATTTTTAAGTCTACTTATTACCTGAAAGCACCCCTCACCCTTTGAGTTGTCCCACCCTTTGCGTTGTCCTACCCTTCCAGATCAAACCAGTGTAAATCTTACATGTATTGATTGATGTCTCATGTCTCCCTAAAATTTATAAAAGCAAGCTGTACCCCGACCACCTACATGTCATCAGGACCTCCTGAGGCTATGTCACAGCATGTTCTTAACTTTGGCAAAATAAACTTTCTAGGCCAGGCACGGTGGCTCACGCCTGTAATGCTAGCGCTTTGGGAGGCCGAGGTGGGCAGATCACCTGAGGTCAGGAGTTCAAGACCAGCCTGGCCAAAATGGTGAAACTCTGTCTCTACTAAAAATACAAAAATTAGCCAGGCGTTTTGGTGGGCGCCTGTAATCCCAGCTACTCAGGAGGCTGAGGCAGGAGAATTGCTGGAAACCTGGAGGCAGAGTCTACAGTGAGACAAGATTGCACCACTGCACTCCAGCCTGAGCAACAGAGTGAGACTGTCTCAAAAAAAAAAAAAAAAACAAAAACAAACAAACTTTCTAAGTTGACTGAGACCTGTCTCAGATATTTTGGGTTGACAATACTGAAAAAGAACAGGTCACTGCTGAAAGGCAGTGACCAAGAAGGACCTTAAGAGCAAATGAACTGCCATCCGAGGTTGCAGACTTGTCTGAAGGTGTGCAGGTGCTCTCTGTCCCTGTTAAGTAGGTCCCTACTGAAGAACACAGCACTCAGACTGCCACTGAAGATGGGTCTAGACCAGGTGCAGCGGCTCATGCCTGTAATCCTACTATTTTGGGAGGTCGAGGTGAACAGGTCGCTTGAACCCAGGAGTTCAAAACCAGCCTGAGCAACCTGGCAAAACCCCATCTCTACAAAAAACACAAAAATTAGCCGGGTGTGGTGGTGCCAGCCTGTGGTCCCAGCTACTTGGGGGGCTGAGGTGGGAGGATCACTTGCGCCCAGGAGGTCAAGGCTGCAGTGAGGCATAATTTCACTACTGCACTCCAGCCTGGGTGACAGAGCGAGACCCTGTCTCAAAAAAAAGAAGAAAAAAAAAGACCAAAATGGTGAAACCCCATCTCTACTAAAAATACAAAAATTAGGCCAGGCGCGGTGGCTCACGCCTGTAATCCCAGCACTTTGGGAGGCAGAGGCGGGCGGATCACGAGGTCAGGAGATCGAGACCATCCTGGCTAACACAGTGAAACGCTGTCTCTACTAAAAATACAAAAAATTAGCCGGGCGTGGTGGCGGGAGCCTGTAGGTAGTCCCAGCTACTCGGGAGGCTGAGGCAGGAGAATGGCGTGAACCCAGGAGGCAGAGCTTGCAGTGAGCCGAGATTGTGCCACTGCACTTCAGCCTGGGCGACAGAGCGAGACTCCATCTCAAAAAATATATATGCATATATATAAAAATTAGCTGGACATGGTGGTGCACGCTTGTAGTCCCTGCTACTTGGGAGGCTGAGGCAGGAGAATCACTTGAACCCAGTAGACAGAGGTTACAGTGAGCCAAGATTGTACCACTGCACTTCAGCCTGGGCGACAGAGTGAGATTCCGTCTCAAAAAAAAAAAAAGTGCTCTTAAGCTGTTCTTCCACAGGCTTTTAAACAGGAAATGGAAATAAGGTTGAGGGAAAATAAACATCAGTTTAAAAAAACAAAGCATTATTTCTGTTTTTACAGTCTCCATGATTATAATTTTAAAAGTGTAACACATTATAGAAATTTTGGGAAATCACTGTAAAAAGATCCTGTCCCACAACCTGACAATCCCTGGTCCTTTTCCTACGTTTCTCTCTACGCGTTTTGTACAAAAGAGCCATCATCTGTCCTTCTTCCCTGACATTATGTCATAAGCACTTTCCCATGTTGTTACCTACTCATCTTGCAAAATTGTCTTTGCTTATAGATATTTTCAGCCTTACTAGCATTTTCCAGGTTTTCCCAGCAGCAGACTTCTCAAGCATTGCTGGAAAGGTGCCGAAATGATTATGTGAATTGGGATTTGTTCTCAATAGTTCCCTTGTGTCCGGAACTGTCTGGTTTCGCAGGATCCCTGCCTGCAAGACTCAGTCCTGCTCATGTGTGAACAAGGGTCCCCTCCATGAGCCCCTTTCAAAAACGATGGTAGGATTGAGCCCCACTTTGCCAGTTTCTTCTTCCCTCAGCACCTCCCAGCTCACCCTCCCTCCTCGTTTCTGATACCCATTTCCATTGGTATTGAAGTTAGCAGTCCTGGATTCAAAACCAAGCTCAGCCACGCAGCAGAGTGACTACAAGCAAATCACTTAATATCTCTGCACCTCTTGGTTTCCCCTTTTCACAGGGCCGTCGTCAATACTGAGGTCGGGAACGGCGGTTCACGCCTGTAATCCCAGAACTTTAGGAGGCTGAGGCAAGAGGACTGCTTGAGCTCCAGAGTTTGAGACCAGCCTGGGCAACATTGTGAGATCCCATCTCTATTAAAAATCAAAACAATTAGTTGGATGTGGTGCTGCACGCCTGTAGTCTCCACTACTCAGGTGGGTTGAGGCAGAAGAAACACTTGAGCCCAGTAGATTGAGGCTGCAGTGAGCCTTGATCGCTCCACTACACTCCAGCCTGGGCAACAGAGCAAGACCCTGTCTCAAAAAAATTTCCTTAAAGACATGTGATTATGCGTGGAAAGTGTGGAACATAGTACAGAAATAGTGGTTGTTGCCTGTTTTTTTGTTTTTTTGTTTTTTGAGAAAGGGTCTCACTCTGTTGCCCAGGCAGAATCTTGGCTCACTGCAACTTCCACCTCCCAGGTTCAAGCAGTTCTTCCTCAGCCTCCCTGTAGCTGGGACTACAGGCGTGCACCACCACGCCCAGCTAATTTTTTGTATTTTTAACAGAACAGGGTTTCACCATGTTGGCCAGGCTGGTCTCGAAATCCTGACCTCAGGTGATCTATCTGCCTTGATCTCCCAAAGTGCTGGGATTACAGGAGTGAGCCACCTCACCCGGCCGGTTACCTATTCTGAGCAGTCCTTCTGTGCCTGGCGTTTGATCTCTGCCAAGTCCTTCCACCTGGATCCTCAGCTGTAGATTCACAACCCTGTGCTCGAGGTTGGCTCTCATGAACCATTTCCTCTGGGCCTAAGATTCTGCCACTCTTGTTACCTAGACCTTGTAGACCTGACCTCTGCTTTTTCAAGGCTTGTCCCTTTTTTTGTTTTTTGTTTTTTGTATTTTTTTTGAGACACAGTCTCACTCTTGTCGCCCAGGCTGGAATGCAATGGCACGATCTTGGCTCACTGCAACCTCTGCCTCCTGGGTTCAAGCCATTCTCCTGCCCCAGCCTCCCTAGTAGCTGGGATTACAGGCGCATGCCACCACAATGCCTGGCTAATTTTTGTATTTTTAGTAGAGATGAGGGTGTCACCATGTTGGCCAGGCTGGTCTTGAACTCCTGACTTCAGGGGATCCACTTGCCTCGGCCTCCCAAAGTGCTAGGATTACAGGCGTGAGCCACCACGCCCAGTTCCTTTGTTTCTACTAGAAATGGCCCTGCTCTTTCTGGCCGGGGCAATCTCCCCATGCTCCAAAATTGAATGGCCCCATTATACCTTTGCTACCCAACTCCTTCCCCTGTTTGCTTTGGATCTCCTGACACACGCTCCCATCCGTACACCAAAGCACTGTGACCTGTTGGCTTCCTCTAATTGGTACCAGACTCCTTATGTACCTGGCAGACTTGTCATGTTGGCTACACACAGCAGTGTCTTCTCCACACATGCTTTGCTATGTTAAGAAAGTAATCTGATTAAATGAATCAGTAAGCCATATAAAAACAAAACATTATAAAAAAGGATGAGTTCATGTCCTTTACAGGGACATGGATGAAGCTGGAAACCATCATTCTCAGCAAACTATCACAAGGACAGAAAACCAGACACCGCATGTTCTCACTCACAGATGGGAATTGAACAATGAGAACACTTGGACACAGGGCGGGGAACATCACACACCAGGGCCTGTCGTGGGGTGGGGGGCTGGGGGAGGGATAGCATTAGGAGAAATACCTAATGTAAATGAATTGATGGGTGCAGCAAACCAACATGGCACATGTATATCTATGTAACAAACCTGCACGTTGTGCACATTTCCCTAGAACTTAAAGTATAATAAAAATAATTTAAAAAATCGATGTATACTTATGGCAATTAACACCACATAGAAAACAACTGCTAGCAAGTCATCTCCTTTGATTATCACAACAGTCCCCTGAGCTACATAAGAATGGTTTAGTTAGCCTTATTTTGAAGATGGTGAAGTGGGCTGGGCGCGGTGGCTCACGCTTGTTATCTCAGCACTTTGGGAGGCCGAGGCAGGTGGATCTCTTGAGTTCAGGAGTTTGAGGCCAGCCCGGCCAACATAGCAAAACCCTGTCTCTACTAAAAACACAAAAAATTACCTGGGAGTGGAGGCGCATGCATGTAATTTCAGCTACTTGAACCTGGGAGGCAGAGGTTGCAGTGAGCCGAGATCGCACCACTGTACTCCAGCCTGGGTGACAGAACAAGACTCTATCTCAAAAAAAAAAAAAAAAAAAAAGAAGATGGTGAAATGAACTGTCCAAGTTTGTTGACTAAGTGGTGGTGCTAAAATGAGTATCTTGTGACTTCTAATTTAATACTTTTCCCAGTCTTAGACTCTGCTTCCAGAAATGACTAATAGCCCCTTCACTCTCCCTATGGTGTGTGCAGTTTAGAAGACGTTTATTAATGAAGCCAAATGAGTTTGAGTCTTTTCTTTCTGTCCATAAGAAAAAAAAAAGAAGAACTTGGAGAATAAAGTAATGGAACATGGAAGAGGCTTTTCTCTGGCCATGTTGAACACTGCAGAAGCAAGCTGCCTTGACCACTTCAGTTTAAAAAGGAGGAAGAGGACCAGGTGAGGTGGCTCATGCCTGTAACCCCAGCACTTTAGAAGAAGCACTGAGGCAGGTGGATCACTTGTGGCCAGGAGCTCACCAGCCTGGCCATCATGGTGACACCTCATCTCTACTAAAAGTACAAAAATTAGCTGGGTGTGGTGATGTGCGCCTATAGTCCCAGCTACTTGTGAGGCTGAAGCAGGAGAACTGCTTGAACCCAGGAGGCAGAGGTTGCAGTGAGCTGAGATTTCACCACTGCACTCCAGCCTGAGTGACACAGTAAGACTCGATGTATCAAAAAATAAATAACTACATAAAAATAAAAAGGAGGAGGCCGGGTGCGGTGGCTCATGCCTGTAATCCCGGCACTTTGGGAGGCCGAGGCGGGTGGATCACGAGCTTAGGAGTTCAAGATCAGCCTGGCCATGATGGTGAAACCCATCTCTACTAAAAATACAAAAAATTAGCCGGGCATGGTGGTGGGCACCTGTAATCCCAGCTACTCGGGAGGCTGAGGCAGGAGAATCGCGTGAACCTGGGAGGCAGAGGTTGCAGTGAGCCGAGATCACACCATTGCACTCCAGCCTGGGCAACAGGAGTGAAACTGTCTCAAAAAAAAAAAGGAAAGAAAAAAGAAAAAAAAGAAAAGGGGAGAAAACATTTGGTTAAGAGTAGGGTCCCCACACTTACACACTGGCAGCACTCCAGGGAAATGGCTGGTGCTCAGTGGGGAGTGGCCAAGTGGAATACTGAGGGAGACTAGATTCTTGGCTCTGGGGTACTCAAGGTGGGTACCACCCTCACCTTGGCAAAAATTCCTGGATCCCAGGCATTGCACAGAAACAGAGATCTGCCAGACTACAAGAAACCTCAGGGGCTTAGTCAAAGACCATGATGGACTGTCCTTCTCCTACGTCCTTGGCACCATTTAAGCCTCTTAGTGGCTATAGAAGGTGAGTGTATTAGTCTGTTCTCACATTGCTGTAAAGAAATACCGGAGACTGGGTCATTTATAAAAAGAGGTTTCATTGGCTCACACTTCGTCAGGCTGTACAGGAAGCATAACGGCATCTGCTTCTGGGGAGGCCTCAGGAAACTTCCAATGATGGCAGAAGCAGAAGTGGGGGGAGCAGACAGGTCACATGGCCAGAGCAGGAGCAGTAGGCAGGGGCAGAGGGGCTACACACTTTTAAATGACCAGATCCCATGAGAACTCACTCACTATTGCGAGAATAGTACTAAGATGCTGCTGCTAAACCATTCATGAGAAATCCACCCCCATGATCCAATCACCTCCCACCAGGCCCCACCTCTGACACTGGGGATTACATTTCAACATGAGATTTGGGCAGGACATCGGAACCATATCAACGAGGGAAACCCAAATATGACTGAGACTGGATTTCCTATTGGTCTGGTGAAATAAAGGCTTGAAGTAGGATTTAAGTTGATTTGATTTAAAGAACATAATTAGGATGTTTCTTGAAACCCTGAGGTTGTGGATGCAATAGCTCCCTTTCCTCATTCATTCTTTCAAGAATTTGGCTAATTTTGGCCGGGCACAGTGGCTCACACCTGTAATCCCAGCACTTTGGGAGGCCGAGGCGGGCAGATCACTTGCGGCCAGGAGTTCGAGACCAGCCTGACCAACACGGCAAAACCTTGTCTCTGCTAAAAATACAAAAACTAGCTGGGTGTAGTGACATGCCCCTGTAATTCCAGCTACGCAGAAGACTGAGGCACAAGAATTGCTTGAACCTGGGAGGCACAGGTTGCAGTGAGCTGAGATCGTACCACTGCACTCCAGCCTGAGCAATAGAACGAGACTCTGTCTCAAAAAACAAACACGGCTGGACGCGGTGGCTCACGCCTGTAATCCCAGCACTTTGGGAGGCTGAGGCGGGCGGATCATGAGGTCAGGAGATCAAGACCATCCTGGCTAACACAGTGAAACCCCGTCTCTGCTAAAAATACAAAAATTAGCCGGCCGTGGTGGTGCACACCTATAATCCCAGCTATTCAGGAGGCCGAGGCAGGAGAATGGCGTGAACCTGGGAGGCGGAGCTTGCAGTGAGCAGAGATCGCGCCGCGCCACTGCACTCCAGCCTGGGCGACAGCGCAAGACACCATCTCAAAAAACAAACAAACAAAAAGGCTGGGCACAGTGGCTCACGCCTGTAATCCCAGCACTTTGGGAGGCCAAGGTGGGCGGATCACCGGAAGTCAGGAGTTCGAGACCAGCCTGGCCAACATGGAGAAACGCTGTCTCTACTAAAAAATACAAAATTAGCCGGCGTGGTGGCACATGCCTGTAATCCCAGCTACTCAGGAGGCTGAGGCAGGAGAATCGCTTGAACACAGGAGGTGGAGGTTGCGGTGAGCTGAGATCACACCACTGCACTCTAGCCTGGGCAACAAGAGCAAAACTTGAAAAAAGACTAATATTTATTGAGTACTTAGCATTGTGCTAGGTACTGGAAATGCTTTTTTTTGTACTGACATTGTCCCTGCCTGATGAAGCAAGTAAATTATGACAAATAGAAATTCATAGTAAAAAGGAATTGAAGAGGTTGAAGTGATAAAAGATAAGGTATGGGAAGGGCGTGGTGGCTCATGCTTGTAATCCCAGCACTTTGGGAGGCTGAGGCGGTCGGATCACGAGGTCAGGAGTTTGACACCAGCCTGGCCAACATGGTGAAACCCCATCTCTACTAAAAATACAAAAATTAGCTGGCTGTGGTGGTGCACGCCTGTAATCACAGCTATTCAGGAGGCTGAGGCAGGAGAATTACTTGAACCCGGGAGACGGAGGTTGCAGTGAGCCGAGATCACGCCACTGCACGCCAGCCTGGGCGACAGAGCGAGACTCCATCTAAAAAAAAAAAAAAAGCAAAAGGCATGGAGAGGAGAGGGTAAACCACCTACTCTGCTAAGATACAGTGGGTCAGGGCTGGGCATGGTAGCTCACACCTGTAATGCCAGCACTTTCGGAGGCCAAGAAGGGCAGATCATCTGAGGTCAGGAGTTTGAGACCAGCCAGGCCAATAGGTGAAACTCTGTCTCTACTAAAAAAAAATACAAAAATTAGCCGGGTGTGGTGTCAGGTGCTTGTAATCCCAGGTACTCAGGAGGCTGAGGCAGGAGAATCACTTGAACCCAGGGGACAGAGGTTGCAGAGAGCCAAGATCACGCCACTGCACTCCAGCCTGGGCGACAGAGCAAGACTCTATCTCAAAAAAAAAAAAAAAAAAAAAAAGGCCAGGCATGGTGGCTCACGCCTATAATCCAAGCACTTTGGGAGGCCGAGGTGGGCGGATCACTTGAGGTCAGAAGTTCAAGACCAGCCTGGCCAACCCAGCAAAACCTTGTCTCTACTAAAAATACAGAAATTAGCCAAGCGTTGGTGGCACATGCTTGTAATCCCAGTTACTTGGGAGACTGAGGCAGGAGAATCACTTGAACCCGGGAGGCAGAAGTTGCAGTGAGCTGAGATCACACCACTGCACTCCAGCCTTGGAGATACAGTGTGACTGTGTCTCAAAAAAAAGAAAAAAAAAAGTGGTCAGGGCAAGCTTCTCTGAGGAGGTGACATTCAAGTTGAGTCCTCAGAGATAAGCAGTCAGCCATGCTGTGGCTGAGGGGATTGCATGTGCAAAGGACCTGTGGTAGGAAAAAGCTCGACATAGTCACAGGACTGAAGGAAGACCTGTATGCCTGGAGCACTGTGGGGTTATGAAAGGAGGGAGGCAGGGAGCTGGAGAAGCAGCAAAGAAGTGGATCATCCAGTCTTACAGGTCACCTATGTTATCGTCAGTGCACTCTGATTTGAGCTTTTAAAAAGCTGGTGATGGCCGGGCATGGTGGCTCATGCCTGTAGCACTTCTCCAGCACTCTGGGAGGCCGACGCAGGCAGATCATTTGAGCTTAGGAGTTCGAGACCAGCCTGGCCAACATGGAGAAACCCTGTCTCTACTAAAAATAGAAAAATCAGCCGGGCGTGGTAATGGGCACCTGTAATCTCAGCTACCCCGGAGGCTGAGGCAGAAGAATTGCTTGAACCTGGGACGTGGAGGTTGCAGTGAGCTGAGATCGTACCACTGCACTCCAGCCTGGGCGACAGAGCAAGGCTCCATTTCAAAATAAATAAATAAATAAAAAGTTGGTGGTATAGGCCGGGCACAGTGGCTCACATCTGTAATCCCAGCACTTTGGGAGGTGGAGGCGAGAGGGTCATTTGAGCTCAGGAGTTCAAGACCAGTCTGGGCAACATATGGAGACCCTGTCTCTGAAAAAAATCCGAAAGTTAGTCTGGCATTGTGGGTTTTGCCTGTGGTCCCTGTTACTTGGGAGGCTGAGGGGAAAGGATCACTTGAGCTTGGGAGGTTGAGGCTGCAGTAAGCTGAGATTGTGCCACTGCACTCTAGCCCAGGCAACAGAGCAAGACCTCCCCACTCAAAAACAACAACAACAAAAACTGGTGGCTCATGCACTGGGGGAAGAAAGGATGGCTCCAGGGAGGCAGTAAGGATGCTGTGGGAGATTCTGTAGGATGGCTCACCCAACCTCTTCTCCTTTGCCTTCCCTTGCTATACTGGCTGGAGAGCAAAACCCCACATTCCCAGGCTCCCTTGCAGCTGGGGATGGCCATGTCATGTGACACAGCTTTGGCCAATGAGATGCAGGCACAGGTCTCTGGGGGAGGGTTTCCCTTCCCGAATGAAGGAACAAAGACCAAGTGAGAAGGCTTTTGCCCTTGACCTTTGGCCTTTTCTTTTCTTCTTGTTTGGGTTACAGATGTGATCCCTGGAGGTGAGTGGCTATCTTGTGAAGCATTGCAGATGATGGGGCAGGAAGACGGAACTATCCTGGGGTGCCTCTTTCCATGGTCATTGTCACATGAGTAAGGTAATGCTTTGCTTCTTTCATCTGCTGTAATCGGGTTTTTTGATACTTAAAGCTGATTCTGATACGGATACTTTTGCAGTTGTCTAGAAGAGGTCACGTTGGCTTGGATTAAGGTGGTGACGAGGGCTGTATTAGTCCATTTTCATGCTGCTAGTAAAGACATACCCAAGACTGGGTAATTTATGAAGAAAAAGAGGTTTAATGGGCTCACAGTTCCACGTAGCTGGGGAGGCCTCACAATCATCAGGGCGAAGGAAGAACCAAGGTGCGTCTTACATGGCACCAGACGAAGACAGTGAAAGGGGTTTCCACTTATAAAACCATGAGATCTCATGAGACTTTTTCACTACCACGAGAACAGTATGGGGGAAACCGCCCCCATGATTCAACTATCTCCCATTGGGTCCCTCCCATAACACGTGAAAATTATAGGAGCTACAATTCAAGATGAGATTTGGGTGGAGACACAGCCAAACCATATCAAGGGGGATGGATGGAGAAGAGCAGATGGATTGGAGGTTGTGGAGGACAGCCGCCTGGCCTTGCTGGTGATGAGGACAACAGGACCAAAGGAACGTTTGAGCCATTTATTCAAATCATGCTGCTAGCTAATGGCAAAGGTGAAACTCCAACTTGGCTCTGCATGCCTTACTTGTACACCAGGCATCCCATAAATGTTTGCTACTGATGGTGACCCTCACAGGGCTCAGGGCTTTTCTCCAATGCCTGCCTCATTCCTCTTGGGCTTCCCTAACCTTGGGTTGCCACTGGGAGCTGCCGTGGGTTTAGGAAAGCTGAGATGGCAGTGTGGCCAGCCTGTCCTCCAGCATTAGCTAAACACTGTCCAAATGTGTGAAGACAGGGGCTTCTCAGCAAACTATCTTGGGAATGATGACATTCCCAAGGCCCTTTTTTCTGCAGGTTTCCTCAGATGTACCCACTTGTCCTTCCAAAGCCCAGAGTTTATTAAGCCCATCAGGCCCACCTGGACCCTGGGCCACGTCTCCCAGTCAGTCTTTGTGAAGATCAGGTTAAAACTCTTTGGCTGACTTATCAATAAAATAAAGACACAGATTCAGGAGATTTTCTTCTGCTTCATAGAACAAGTGATTCCCTGGCCGGGTGCGGTGCCTCACACCTGTAATCCCAGCACTTTGAGAGGCCGAGGCAGGTGGATCACTTCAGGCTAGGAGATCAAGACCAGCCTGGCCAATATGGCGAAACCCTGTCTCTACTAAAAATACAAAAATTTAGCCGGGTGTGGTGGCACACATTCTGTAATTCCAGCTACTCAGGAGGCTGAGGAAAGAGAATTGCTTGAACCTGGGAGGCAGAAGTTGAAGTGAGCTGAGATTGCACAACTGCACTCCAGCCTGGGCAACAGAGTGAGACTCCATTTCAAAAATAATTAATTAATTAATTAATTAAGGGAAGGGAAATGATAAATTATCCGAAGGGAACATTTCCTCATTTTCTTTTGTTTCCCGTGTTAAGAGAATAGTTTTTGTTGTAAATTGCGCTGCTTCCTTACACCTTTTTTTAAAAAAACAAAACATAGAGAATAGTTGTTCTCTTAATTACAATAGGAAATAACTATTGTGTCTAACATTTAGGGAACAGAAAACACAAAGAAAATCACCCATAAGGCCGGGCACAGTGGCTCACACCTGTAATCCTAGCACTTTGGGAGGCCGAGGTGGGCAGATCACGAAGTCAGAAGTTCGAGACCAGCCTGGCCAACATAGTGAACCCTCATCTCTACTAAAAATACAAAAAATTAGCCGGGCATGGTGGTGGCGCCTGTAATCCCAGCTACTCGGGAGGCTGAGGCAGGAGAATGGCTTGAACCCAGGAGGCGGAGGTTGCAGTGAGCCAAGATCACGCCATTGCACTCCAGCCTGGGCGACAGAGTGAGACTCCGTCTCAAAAAAAAAAAAAAAAGAAGAAGAAGAAAATCACCCATAATGCTACCTATCAAAATAATCAGGATGTAAAGTATTTTTCCATGTATAAATAGTATCATTAGTAAATAGTATCAGAATCCATAAACTGTTTTAAAGCCTGTTTATTTCCATTAAATATATGATGTATATTTTCCCATGCTAATAAATAACCTTACAACATAAGTTTTAAAGATTGCATATAATTTCTTCATATAAATTACTGAATTACTCCCCTATTATTGGCTATTTAGCTTACACTTTTTGCTACTATAAGGAACACCATGATGGACACCCTTGTCACATGTATCTTTGTACAGATCTCTGATAAATTCCTTGAAATGCAATTGTTGGATTAAAGCATATATGCACTGTAAGGTTTTTTTTTTTTTTTAGATGGAGTCTTGGTCTTTTACCGAGGCTGGAGTGCAGTGGCATGATCTTTGCCCACTGCAACCCCCGGCTCCCAAGTTCAAGTGATTCTCCTGCTTAGCCTTCTGAGTAGCTGGGACTACAGGCACACACATGCCACCACACCTGGCTAATTTTTTTTTTTTTTTTTTGAGATGGAGTCTCGCTCTATCACCCAGGCTGGAGTGCAATGGCGCGATCTTGGCTCACTGCAACCTCTGCTTCCCGTGTTCAAGCGGTTCTCCTGTCTCAGCCTTCTGAGTAACTGGGACTACAGGTGCGCGCCACCATGCTCAGCTAATTTTGTATTTTTAGTAGAGAGGGGGTTTCACCATGTTGGTCAGGCTGGTCTCAAACTCCTGACCTTGGGTGATCCACCCACCTTGGCATCCTAAAGTGCTGGGATTACAGGCATGAGCTACTGCGCCTGGCTGCACTGTAAGGTTTTTGAAGCATATTGATAAGTCATCCTCCAGAAAGACTATATAACAACAGTGTATGAAAATGCCAACACTAAGTTGCATGTGACCTCCCTGAAGAAATCTGTCTCTCATACTCTGGGAATTTTGTTAAAAATGCACATTCTGGCTGTGCGAGTTGGCTCACACCCATAATCCCAGTGCTTTGGGAAGTGGAGGCAGGAGGATCACTTGAGGCCAGGAGTTTGAGACCAGCCTGGGCAACATTTGGAGAACGTGTCTCTACAAAATGTAGAAAAAAGCCAGGCATGGTGGCACAGGGGAGGCTAAGAAGGGTGGAGGCCGAGGCAGGAGGATCCCTTGAGCCAAGGAGTTCAAGGTTACCGTGAGCTGTGATCACACCACTACACTCTAGCCTAGGTGACAGAGCAAAATACGTCTCTCTCTCTTTTGTTTCTCTGTGAAGATTCCAGAAGTAAGATACTGTCTCATTGAAACAGTTATTTAAAAAAAAAAAAAAGATGGCTGGGTGCCGTGGCTAACACCTGTAATCATAGCACTTTGGGAGGCCGAGGCAGGCGGATCACCTGAGGTCAGAAGTTGGAGACCAACCTGGTCAACATGGCAAAATCCCGTTTCTACTAAAAATACAAAAATTAGCCAGGCATCGTGGCACGCACCTGTAATCCCCGCTACTCAGGAGGCTGAGGCAGGCGAATCACTTGAACCCGGGAGGCAGAGGTTGCAGTGAGCCAAGATCACGCCACTGCACTCCAGCCTGGACTATGGAGTGAGACTCTGGGGGCGGGGGGTAAAAAAGCAAAGAAAAGAAAAAAAAGGAAATCAACTTTCTGTTTGTTTCATAAGTCAGACATTTTTAAAGATTTGTTGTTTAAGATACAAATAAAGTTTCCATATTGCAATTGGTTATGTCCTTTTTTTTAATTAAAAAGCATTTTTGTTTTTATTTATTTATTTATTTATTTATTTATTTTTGAGACGGAGTCTTGCTCTGTTGCCCGGGCTGGAGTGCAGTGGCGCGATCTCGGCTCACTACAAGCTCCGCCTCCCGGGTTCACGCCATTCTCCTGCCTCAGCCTCCTGACCAGCTGGGACTACAGGCGCCCGCCACCACGCCAGGCTAATTTTTTTTTTTGTATTTTTAGTAGAGACGGGGTTTCACCATGTTAGCCAGGATGGTCTCGATCTCCTGACCTCGTGATCCGTCCGCCTCAGCCTCCCAAAGTGCTGGGATTACAGGCGTGAGCCACTGTGCCCTGCCGCATTTTTAATTTTTTTTTAGAGATGGAGTCTTGCTATGTTGTTCAAGCTGATCTTGAACTCCTGGTCTCAATTGATCCTCCCACCTTAGCACCCCTATCTGGGGTTACATGAGCCACAGTGCCTGGCTGATATGGCTTTTAAGTTTCTTCTAATGCATAGGTTATCCTTCCCTCTCTCTATTATACCCTTGTGATTTCTTTGTAGTAGAAAACCTAAATTATTTTTTTCTTTTGTTCTCCGTCTCTATCATCTTATGCTAAATTCTTTTTTTAAACATTAAATTAAAATTATTTTGAGATGATAGGTTGGCCTTAAAGCAAAATGATATCAGTTAGGAAAGTTCAGGCATGCATATTGTCCAGCCCCCTTTTGTAGTGAAACACTGATTCATTCACAAGGCAGTAATCCATAGAAAGAGAATATTGCATTGTAATATTCATATGCACAGGTATACTTATTTAAAATAGTTTTTTCATTTTATAAACCAGTGTTTAAGTGGCCTAAACTCTATAGAGTTCTCTCAGTGATGGTTTCTTTCTTTCTTTCTTTCTTTTCTTTTTTTTTTTTTTACCTGAGACGGAGTCTTGCTCTGTTGCCCAGGCTGGAGTGCAGGGGCGCGATCTCGGCTCACTGCAACCTCTGCTTCCCGGGTTCAAGCAATTCTCCTGCCTCAGGCTCCCGAGTAACTGATATTACAGGCACCCACCACCATGCCCAGCTAATTTTTGTATTTTTATTTTTATGTATGTATGTATTTATTTATTTATTTTGAGACGGAGTCTCGCTTTGCCACCCAGGCTGGAGGTGCAGTGGCGCCATCTCGGCTCACTGCAAGCTCCGCCTCCCGGGTTCACACCATTCTCCTGCCTCAGCTTCCCAAGTAGCTGGGACTACAGGCGCCCGCCACCACACCCGGCTAATTTTTTGTATTTTTGTTAGTAGAGACGGGGTTTCATCATGTTAGCCAGGATGGTCTCGATCTCCTGACCTCGTGATCCACCCACCTCAGCCTCCCAAAGTGCTGGGATTACAGGCGTGAGCCACCGCGCCTGGCCTAATTTTTGTATTTTTAGTAGAGACAGTGTTTCACCATGGTGGCCAGGCTGGTCTCGAACTCTTGACCTTGTCACCTGCCTGCCTCGGCCTCCCAAAGTGCTGGGATTACAGGCGTGAGCCACCATGCCTGGCCATTCAGTGATAGTTTCTAAAAGGTAAAATGAAATCACTGGGCTCATTTTATGTGAAAGAGCGGGGTCTACAGTTACTGTCGAGGGAAACAGCCATGGCACAGGGCAGAGAGTGTTCGGTGTGGATAAGAACAAGAAAGTGCCTCCAGATTAGCTGCTCCTTATTAAGAGGCTCGAGGCTTTGAGAAACCGAAAAGTTGAAAGACACCTGGTTGCTATGGTCATATAGGCAAAGTAGAGAACAGAGATAATCCTCATTTGCCTACAAGGTAAACAAGGGTTTGGGAGCTGCTTTATCTCTGGAACAGCTTTAATTTCCCACTACCCATTGCAAGGGTGTGGTGAGCAGAGCTTCTTGGCTGAAGTGCTGTGGTCCAGGGGATTAGCCTGCAGTGTGTTAGGGAGAGGGCCTCCCTTCCTTCCTCTCCTCTCTGGGGCCTGTCACCTCCTGCCCTTTGAGTCTAGCCAATGTACACCCTGTCCCAAAAGAGGGTGGCTCCGGGAGAGCCGTGGAGCTGCTGGGCAGGCAGTAGGTCAGGGGGTGACTGGGTGTGGACTCATGTGGATGACATCGGGGATGCCTGGCCCTGGGAATAGGGCCAGGCCAGATTATTTTTCTGGCTATCGTGGGCCTCAATATACATTCCTTTCGCTCTGTCCAAGTTGGAAATTCCTTTGCACAAGCATCTGTGTGTGTGTGTGAGCACGTGTGTGGTATGAAAAACACACAGGAAGAAGCTGGGAAGACCCAGATTTACAGATGTTCTGGTCCTGAGATCCCAGCCCTCAGTTCTCTGGCCTTTCAGGAAACGTAGATGCAGAACAAAAGAGAAAGAGCTGCCAGTCCTCTCTCAGTCTATTATGCGCAACCTCGGAAGGGCTGTGTCAGTTTTACTAAATGGAAAAATCACAATAGCAAATCTAGATTCAAGATATATGACCAGAGCCAGGTACTTTGCTCGCATTATTTCATTTCATTTTGCTTTGTAATCTCTGAGGTACGTGGAAAGGATTGGAGGGAAGCAAAGAAAGGGAGGCTTGGTGAAGCCAAGCAACTTGCTCAAAGTTGAGTTTGAACACATTCGGCCCTTGTGCTATAGCTAATTTGCTCTGTGATTCTAGGCAAATCATATGGTCTCTCTGAGCCTCGGTTTCCCCATCTGCAAAGTGAGAATAACAGTGACACCTGTAATCCCAGCACTTTGGGAGGCCAAGGTAGGAGGACCACTTGAGGACAGAAGTTCAATGCCAGCCTGGGCAACATAGTGAGACCCTGTTTCCAAAAAAAAAAACCAAAAACCTGGATGTGGTGGTGTGTACCTGTGGTCCTAGCAACTTGGGAGGCCGAGGTGGGAGGATGACTTGAGGCCAAAAGTTCAAGACCACCCTGGACAACACAGTGAGACCCTATCTCTAAAAAATATATATATATATGTATTTATACCTGAGCGTAGTGGTGTGCACCTGTGGTCCTAGCTACTTGGGAGGCTGAGGTGGGAGGATCACTGGAGCCTAGGATTTTGAGGCTGTAGTGAGCTACGATCACATCACTGCAATTCAGTTGGGGCAATAGAGCAAGACACTGCCTCTAAGCACTTTTTAAATAATAGTAATACTGGCCAGGTGTGCTGGCTCACGCCTGTAATCCCAGCACTTTGGGAAGCTGAGGTGGGTGGATCACCTGAAGTCAGGAGTTCAAGACCAGCCTGGCCAACATGGTGAAACCCCATTTCTACTAAAAAGGCAAAAAATTAGCTGGGTGTGATGGTGGGTTCCTGTAATCCTAGCTACTTGGGAGGCTGAGGCAGGAGAATTACTTGACCCAGGAGGCAGAGGAGATCACGCTGTTGCACTCTAGCCTGGGCGACAGAGCAAGCCTCTGTCTCAAAGAAAGAAAAAAGTAATACCTACCCACAGAAATGAATTCAAAGACAAGATGAACTAATGCATGGAAGGTCACTTGATGAACTAAAGCACTATCTAAAAACAAGGTAAGAAGTTTAGAATGCTGCTTGCTCAGGACAGACCCAGATGTTTTCTTGGTAACAAGGGGTAATGATTTCTTTGCTGAAATCTTCTAGTTAAGAAGGTAGGTCATCTCACTGTATCTTTCTCTTTTCATAAGATGCAATAAAGCTCATGTCATTTTGACTGAGGAATAAAAAATGAAGCCTGTAGGCCAGGCGTGGTGGCTCACTCCTGTAATCACAGCACTTTGGGAGGCCAAGGCAGGTGGATCACCTGAGGTCAGGAGTTTGAGACAAGCCTGGCCAGCATAGCGAAACCCCATCTCTACTAAAAATACAAAAATTGGCCAGGAGTGGTGGCAGGCACTTGTAATCCCAGCTACTCAGGAGGCTGAGGCAGGAGAATCTCTTGAACCCAGGAGGCAGAGGTTGCAGTGAGCCGAGATTGTGCCACCGTACTCCAGCCTGGGTGACAAGAGCAAAACTCCGTCTCAAAAAAAAAAAAAATGAGGCCTGTAAACATTTGTACTTTTCCTGAATTACCCCTTGTGCTAAAAGACTTTTGCTCCTGCAGAGGCTGCACCTTCTTCAGAGGCAGGCCAAGTTTTAACTTCTATATATTAGCAGCAGCTTCAAGCCAGGTCTTGAGCACTGGTTAGTCTCTTGCCCAATGTCTGGTTGACAAACACACTTTCTCCAGTTCCTGGCCAAATACAAAAAAATGCCTTGCATTAAGAGATTTAAGATCTCTTACATAGGTAGTATATATATATATTTCTCCATTAACATTTACAAAGGAGCCAGGCAAGGTGGCTTACACCTGTAATCCCAGCACCGTGGGAGGCCAAGGCAGGAGGATCACTTGAAGTCAGGAGGTCGAGACCAGCCTGGCCAACATGATGAAACGCCATCTCTACTGAAAATACAAAAATTAGCCAGGTATGGTGGTGCACACCTGTAATCCCAGCTACTAAGGTGGCCGAGGCAGAAGAATTGCTTGAACCCGGGAGGCAGAGGTTACAGTGAGCTGAGATTGTACCACAGCACTCTAGCCTGGATGACAGAGTGAGACTCTATCTCAAAAAAAAAAAAAAAAAAAAAGGTACAAAGGAAGTGTTTTGTATTTTTTATTTTTAAAACTTCATTTATTCTACATGCACAGATATATTTATTTATTTATTTTATTTTGAGACGGAGTCGCCCTCCGCCGCCCAGGCTGGACTGCAGAGGCGTGATCTCAGCTTACTGAAACCTTCGCCTCCTGGGTTCAGGAGATTCTCCTGCCTCAGCCTTCTGGGTAGCTGGGATTACAGGCACGCGCCACCACACTCGGCTAATTTTTGTATTTTTAGTAGACACAGGGTTTCGCCATGTTGGCCAGCCTGGTCTCAAACTCCTGACGTCAAGTGATCCACCTGCCTTGGCCTTCCAAAGTGGCGAAACCCGCCATCTCTACTAGAAATACAAAAATTAGCCGGGTGTTGTCACATGTGCTACTTGGGAGCTGAGGCACAAGCCAACTACTTGGGAGGCTGAGGCACAAGAATTGCTTGAACCCAGTGGGGTGGAGATTGCAGTGAGCCAAGATTGCATCACTTCACTCCAGCCTGGGTAACAGAGCAAGACTTCATCTCAAAAAAAAAAAAAAAAAAAATTGAGTCTCTGAAATAAACTGACAATGGATATATTAATAGGAGAAAAATCATTTTAATTACCTTCTTGTGCAGGTGAGTCCCAAAATATAAGACTGTAGCTACTGAAAGCAATAGAGGGGCCTGTGGCTTCTGGGGGAGTAGTGGTGACAAGTTATGAGAGGGTGAGGAGAGGAAATGCATGGTGAGCAGAGGTTGTCTTGTTATGCAGATAAAAGATCTCGCAGGTAATAGAAGTTCTCTTGCAGCAGCCCTCAGAAGAACAGGTGATAGTCTGTGATGAACTCTAGGTGTGGGGTCAACCTTCAGTCTCTCCTATGATACAGTTAATCTTCTCTTGTTGATGAGACTCCTAGGGAGGGGATTCATGACAATTCTATTCCTTCTAGAAAGTCTATCTGTAATTGCCCAATGGGTTCTTCCTGCCTGCTGCCTGGAAAAGCCAATACAATGAGAACAGCAGGAGTGTTACAGCAGAGAAAGAATTTAATGATTGCAAGGCAGCCGAGTGGAAGGACAGCAGATAATTCTCAATCCACTCCTCTGAGAATTCAGAGGCTGGGATTTTTCAAGAATTGTTTGGCGAGCAGGGGGCTAGGGAACAGGTAATGCTGACTGGTTGGGTCTGCAATGAAATCACAGGGGGTTGAAGGTGTCTTCTTGCCCTGAGTCAGTTCCAGAGTGGGGTGGCAGGACTGGTTGAGTCAGTTTCTTGGTATAGGTTACTGGTTCAGGTGGTGCTAGCTGGTCCATCAGAATGCAAGGTCTGAAAAATACCTCAGGCTGGGCACGGTGGCTCACGCCTGTAATCCCAGCACTTTGGGAGGCCGAGGTGGGTGGATCAGGAGGTCAGGAGATCAAGACCATCCTGGCTAACATGGTGAAACCCCGTCTCTACTAAAAAAACAAAAAATTAGCCGGGCGTGGTGGTGGGCACCTATAGTCCCAGCTACTCAGGAGGCTGAGGCAGGAGAATGGCATGAACCCGGGAGGCGGAGCTTGCAGTGAGCCGAGATTGCGCCACTGCACTCCAGCCTGGGTGACACAGCGAGACTCAATCTCAAAAAAAAAAAAAAAGGAAAAATACCTCAAATACCACACTTAGGTTTTATCATAATGATGTTATCTATAGGAGCAATTGGGGGGTGGGTTACAAATCTGGTCACCTCTGGCAACATGACTCCTGAACTGTAATTCCAACCTTGTGGCCAATTTGTTAGATTTACAAAGGTGGTTTCGGTCCCACAGCAAATAGGGGATTCATTTTGGGAAGGAACTGTTAATCATCTTTTAAAGTGAAACTGTAAACTAAACTTCCATAGTTAGCTTGGCCTAGGCCCATGAATGAGCAAAAAGTTAGCTTGTGAGGTTAGAAGCAAGATGAAGGCACTATGTCAGATTTATCTCACTGTCATAATTTTTGCAAAGGCAGTTTCATGTCTTTAGGCAGACAAGGGAAATTCAGAGAGACCCCTTCTTGTGTTTTAGGGAAGAGGTTGTGAGCAGGAGATCAGAGAGACCTTGGTTCTGAGGTTGCCTCCAGTCTCCATTAGTTCAAAATACTCAGCATGCCAAAGTGCCATATTTTTTTTTTTTTTTTTTTGAGATGGAGTCTCACCCTTTCACCCAGGCTGGAGGCTGGAGTGCAATGGCACAATCTCGGCTCACTGCAACCTCCGCCTCCTGGGTTCAAGTGATTCTGCTGCCTCAGCCTCCCAAGTAGCTGAGATTACAGGTGCATGCCATCATGCCCGGCTAATTTTTTGTGTCTTTAGTAGAGACGGGGTTTCACCATGTTAGCCAGGCTGGTCTCAAACTCCTGACCTTGTGATCAGCCCACCTCGGCCTCCCAAAGTGTGGGGATTACGCGCCCAGCCCAAAGCGCCATACTTTAGTGCATCACTTCCTGAGCCCATAGCTTAGAGCAGGTAGAGCAAGGCTCAGAGCACAAGAAGGAGAGGAGGTAGGGTGGCGAGATCATGCAGTGCTCTGTGGGCCTTAGTCAGGAATTTGGATTGTAGTTTTTGTTTTTTTTTTTTTTTAGACAAGGTCTAGCTCTATTGCCCAGGCTGGAGTGCAGTGGTGCAATCACGGCTCACTGCATCCTCCACCTCCAGGGTACAAGTGATCCTCCCACCTCAGCCTCCCTAGTAGCTGGGACCACGGGCGCATGCCACCACACTTGGCTAATTTTTTGTAGAGACAGGGTTTTGCCATGTTGCCCAGGCTGGTCTCGAACTCCTGACCTCAAGCAATCCACCCACCTCCGCCTCCCAAAGCACAGCTTATGGGCATAAGCCACCATTCCCGGCCCTGGCTTCTATTTTAAGACCGCAACAAGAAGTCATTAAACCTTTTTTAGAAAAAAAAATGGTAAAATTCACAAAACAAAAGTTGCCATTTTAATGTGTACAATTCAGTGATATTTAGTACACTCAATGTTGTGCAACTATCATCATTATCCAGTTCCAGAACCTTTTCCTCACCCCAGAAGGAAAACCCCAAACCCTTTCAGCAGTCACTCCCCATCCTTCCCCGACCCACCGCCTGCCCGCTGCAGCCCCAGCCCCTGGCAACCCCTAACCTGCTTTCTGTCTCTATGAATTTGCCTCTTCTGAACATTTCATACAACTAGAGTCATACAACACACAGCCTTTTTAAACTGGCTTCTTTCATTCAGCGTCATGTTTTCTAGATTCATCCATGTTATAGCATGGATCAGTACGTGGAAACTTTTTATTTATTGAATTAATTAATTTTTATTTATTTATTTATTTATTTTTTTAGACAGAGTCTCACTCTGTCACCCAGGCTGGAGTGCAGTGGTGCAATCTCGGCTCACTGCAACCTCCGCCTCCAGGGTTCAAGTGAGTCTCATGCCTCATCCTCTCAAGCAGCTGGGACTACAGGTTTGCGCCATCACGCCCAGCTAATTTTTTGTATTTTTAGTAGAGATGGGGTTTTACCATGTCGGCCAGGCTGGTCTCAAACTCCTGGCCTCAGGTGATCTGTCCACCCTGGCCTCCCAAAGTGCTGGGATTATAGGCATGAGCCAGTGTGCCGAGCCTTAGTTTTTCTTTCTTTATTTTTTGTAGAGATGGGGTCTCCCTATGTTGCCCGTGCTGGTCATAAACTTCTGGCCTCAAGGGATCCTCCTGCTTTAGCCTCCCAAAGTGCTGTGATTACAGACATGACCCACCATGCCTCGCCAGAACTTTTTTGTTTTTCAATTTTTGTTTGTTTTTCTTTCTTTATGCACCGCTAAGAGTAGTATGAGGAAACTTTTTAAAGGGCATGTGAACTGATACGATTTATGTTTTAGGATCATCTGCTGTGAGAAGAATATTCTAATAGGAGAGAAGCCAGAGGGAAAGCAGGCAGTCAGTTGGGGGCTGCTGCAGTGGGGAGGGCGAGAGATGCTGGAGAACGGGTCGGTGGCCACAGTGGAAATGGAGCAGGGAATGGGGCACCAGCCGTTCCAAGCACCAGCACCGGAGTGGACTCCATGTGGGGCTTGCAGCTGGACCAGACATGCTGCACCTGGGAAATATCTCACAGGGAAGGTGCACAGGAATTGCTGATGGATGAGGGATTCGAGAAGTGAGGTGCCAAGTACCCAGGAAGTCCAAGGTGGGATTGAGGAGGGGAACAGAAGTGGGGGAAAATTGGCCGGACGCAGGGGCGCACGCCTGTAATCCCAGCACTTTGGGAGGCTAAGGTGGGTGGATCACCTGAGGTCGGAAGTTCAAGACCAGCCTGGCCAACATACTGAAACTCCATCTCTACCAAAAATACAAAAATTAGCTGGGTGTGGTGGTGCATGCCTGTAATCCCAGCTACCCAGGAGAATGAGGCAGGAGAATCTCTTGAACCCGGGAGGCGGAGGTTGTGGTGAGCCAAGATCATGCCATTGCACTCCAGCCTGGGCAACAGGAGCGAAACTATGTCTCAAAAAAAAAAAAAAAAAAAAAAAGTGGGGGGAAAATCCAGAATTCCATTTTGAGTACATTAAGCTTGAGATATCTAATCAAAAATGTTAATCAGGCAGTGGAAATTCAAATTTAGGAATTAGTGGGGAAGTCAGAGCTAGAGATAAAAATTTAAGGATCACTAGCCAGAAGATTGAGTTTAAATCCAGGAGAATATGTATTGAATTATATGCATTATAATAAAGCTATTTCCACCCTCAAGGGTGACCAAGAATAAGAGGTCTGTAAATCTATTACTTCTCGGCTCCTAGCAAAAAGCAGAATATTCTGCATTTGAATGAGTAATCAGCATTCACAAAGACATCCACAGAGGACTATATTCAGAGCCCATAGCCCCATTCCACACACCTCTTTGCATTTCTATTGCTGCTACAGTTAATCAGCCCAACAACAAGGTAACACTCACCCATTGTGTAAGTAAAAGAAATTTTGCCTTTCAATAAGGAAACCAGGGCTGGGCACAGTGGCTTATGCCTGTAATCCCAGCATTTTGGAAGGCTGAGGTGGGCGGATCACGAGGTCAAGAGATTGAGACCATCCTGGCCAACATGGTGAAACCCCATCTCTACTAAAAAATACAAAAATTAGCTGGGCATGGTGGCATGCACCTGTAGTCCTGGCTACTCGGGAGGCTGAGGCAGGAGAATCGCTTGAACCTGGGAGGCAGAGGCTGCAGTGAGCCAAGATTGCGCCACTACACTCTGGCATGGTGACAGAGCGAGACTGTCTCAAAAAAAAAAAAAAGAAAAGAAAAGAAAACCAACAAAGTGGGTCAGGCTCCTGTTCATTGAGGACACTTAACATCAAAGAAATCAAACTCTTTTATTTTTTTTGAGACAGGCTCTCACTCTGTCACACAGGCTGGAGTGTGGTGGCATGCCACTCTCTGCAGCCTGGAACTCCTGGGCTCATGCCATCTTCCCACCTCAGCCTCCCAAGTGGCTGGGACTACAGGTAGGCACCACTGGGACCAGCTAATTTTTTATTTTTTGTAGAGACGGGGTTACCCAGGCTGGTCTCAAACTCCTGTGCTCAAGAGATCCTCCCACCTTTGATGCAGGATTTTTCTTAGTCACTTTGCCAGCTGGAGATTTCCAGCTGGCAACTCCCCTGCCCAGGCCTTGCTCAGGCCTGGGCTTGCTGCAGGAGACACCCTGTCTACTCAGCCTGCTGGGCTGCACCTGGCTTGCACTCCAGTGCAGGTCCCATAGCTGCCACTACTGTGTGCTTAGCCCCTGGCAGGACGGGGTGTGTGAGTGAGGGAGTGTGGGGTCTGGCTGGCCGTTCCAAGTGCTGGCAGGGGAATGGGCTCCATGTGGGGCTTGTAGCTGGACCAGGCATGTCACAAGTGACTCCCATGGTGGACTCTGGCATCCAGAGGAGGGGAACACGGTGGCACCCAGGCAGGGGTGCCCATGACCCTGAAGCCCCAGAGGGGGTGTTACGGCATGCAAATTAGCTCTTTTAGTCCCTTTGTCCGCAGCCTGATGGACAATGCCATGTTAACAACACCATCAGTCCTGTTGCCCTGCTCTGGCCCAAGGCTCCAGGGCTGGCTTGGCCCTGCTGCTGCTTCCCATCACATGAGGCAGCTGCTCTCCACTGGTGGAGGGTGTACAGCCTTCTTTGTACCCGTGCTTGGTGGGTCCCAAGTTCTTATCCCCTGTCCAAGAAGAATGAGGTTATACTGACAATAAAGGGTGACGAGGGTGGAGAAGAATTTTAGTGAGTGACAAAACAGCTCTCAGTAGAGACGGGATGTGAGGGTGGTCCCCTACTCAAAGTCAGGTGGTCTCTCACTCAGTGTGGCTGGGTCTGGGGCTTTTATGTGCTCAGAATAGGGAGTGCTGATTGGTTTGTGGGTAAGCAAAAAAAGGCTAAAACAAAGGCACCACTCAAAGGTGGGCACGACAGTGTAATACACCAATTAGGGAAGGGTATATACATGTAAAACAGGTGCAGGGTGGGGATCAATCAGAGGAAAGTGTGCCAAACAGGAAGACAGTTTCCCAATCCAGTCTGTGGACTTACCCAGGACTTGTAGCTAGGCTTTAAACTGTCTTTGGCTTGAAGTTTGGGTTTCACTGGGGATCTGCCCCTGTCTGCCTAGGGTTTGTCTGCCTCCTGCTGCTATCACCTTGGCATCCCAAAGTACTGTGATTACAGGCCTGAGCCACCATGCCTGGCCAACTTTTGCTTTAATGGAAGGAAAAAAATATTCACAATGTGTTTTCCAGTAAAATAATTTTTCCTTTTTGTTTTTGGTGTACAACATAATCTTTTGATATATATATACCTTGTGGAATGGCTAAATCAAGCTAATTAACATAAATATTACCTCACATACTTATTTTTGCCTGTGGTAGAATACTCAACATTTATTCTCTTAGCAATTTTCGTGTATATAATCTATTAACCATAATCACCATAGATTTTGAAATTGCCTTTGCAGAAATTATAGTAGTAATGGAAGTCTGACATAACTGACTCCATCTTGCTTCTACCAGACTAAGTTGCTTTTGGTCATTCCATTTTTTTTTTTTTTCTTTTTGAGACAGAGTCTTGCTCTGTCACCCAGTCTGGAGTGCAGTGGCGGAATCTCAGCTCACTGCAACCTCTGCCTCCCATGTTCAAGCGATCTCCTGCCTCAGCCTCCTGAGCAGCTGAGATTACAGGTGCCCACCACCACACCGGCAAATTTTTGTATTTTTAGTAGAGATGAGGTTTCACCAAGTTGGCCAGGCTGGTGCTTTTGCTTATTTTTATGCAGAGGCCATAATAGTCCTTCCCTTGAACTAATCTCCTTTGTTCAAAAATTGAAACCAGCCAGGCATGGTGGCTCACGCCTGTAATCCCAGCACTTTGGGAGGCCGAAGCGAGTGGATCATGAGGTCAGGAGTTCGAGACCAGCCTGGCCAACATAGTGAAACTCCATCTCTATTAAAAATACAAAAATTAGCCAGGCATGGTGACACACGCCTGTAGTCCCAGCTACTCAGGAGGCTGAGGTGGGAGAATCACTTGAACCTGGGAGGCGGAGGTTGTGGTGAGCCAAGATCGTGCCACTGCACTCCAGCCTGGGCAACAGAGTGAGACTCTTGTCTCAAAAAAAAAAAAAAAAAAAAAGAAATTGAAACTGAGGCTGGGCATGGGGGTTCACACCTGTAATCTCAGCACTTTGGGAGTCCAAGGCAGGCAGATTACCTTGTCAGGAGTTCGAGACCAGCCTGGCCAATATGACAAAACCCCATCTCTACTAAAAATACAAAAATGAGCTGGACATGGTGGTGCATGCCTGAAATCCCCACCACTTGAGAGGCTGAGGAATGAGAATCACTTGAACCCAGAAGGTGGAGGTTGCAATAAGCCGAGATCACGCCACGGTACCCTTAGCCTGGGTTACAAACCGAGACCTGGTTAAAAAAAAAAAAAAAAGATAACTGTTGAAGCTGGGCGATATGTATGGTATTTGTTAAACTCTTTTTTTTTTTATGTTTGGAGTTGTCTATAATAAAAAGAAAAAGAAGGAACCTACACAAGTTTAAAATACATAATCAGTCTCTGTGAGCTAAAATTTTGTTGACTTTTTGCAGTTTTGTGTTTGTGTCCACCTTTCCTAGGTTTATTATACTATTTTATTGTACATGTCTCTTTGTGAAAGAGGCAATGCATAAATAAAAAGCCTATACCAAAGCTAATAGAAGACTTAAACTTCCTGATTTTCCTAAGGGAATCATGCACTAAACTTGAAAATAGTGCAAACTGAATTCTGTAGAGTATGCTGTTGCATATTATAAGCTATTGTCCAACCCAGTAATGTAAAGTAAAGAAATGGTGCATGTGGTCTATGCAAATCCAAGAACATTTTCTTCAAGTTTATTGTTCTCTAAGTGAATCTTATTTTATTGAGATAGTCTCACTTTGTTGCCCAGGCTGGAATGTAGTGGTGCTATCTCGGCTCACTGCAAACTCTGCTTCCCGGGTTCAAGCAATTCTTGTGGCTCAGCCTCCTGAGTAGCTGAGATTACAGGCATGTGCCACCACGCCCAGCTAATTTTTGTATTTTTTGTAGAGATGGAGTTTCGCCATGTTGGCCAGGCTGGTCTCGAATTTCTGGCCTCAAGTGATCTGCCTGCCTCGGCCTTCCCAAGGGCTGGGATTACAGGTGTAAGCCACTGCGCAAGCCCAAGTTTATTTTACTTCTTTCCTTTTTTTTTGTTTTTTGAGACAGGGTCTTGCTTTGTTACCCAAGCTGGAGTACAGTGGCACAAACATGGCTCACTATAGCCTCAACCTCCTGGGCTCAAACGATCATCTCATGTCAGCCCAAGTAGCTGGGACTACAGGCACGTACCAACACAACCAGCTAATTTTTAAATTTTTGTAGAGACAGGGTCTCCCCATGTTACCCGACTACTGTGGTAGTTACATTTCCTGAGCTTAAGTGATCTCCCTGCCTCAGCCTCCCGAAGTGCTTGGATTACAGGCATGAGCCACTGTGCCCTGTTGGTCCAAATTCATTTTGAAGTAATATAAAACATCTGTATATTAACTATCCCTTACCTGGTGTATAACCAAACAAACCAGAAGAAATAGATGCTGTCAGCTCTGTGGTCTGAACGTATTAAACAAAGCATAACAAATTTGGCACTGACAACCCAAAGCATATGAATTCATCCAGAGATGAAAAGTAGCCAAGGATAATTAGGTTCACATGAAATTAAATTTAGACAAGAATTTCAATTTGTCAATTTACAGGGATTATGCCAATTTAGGAAACTGTAATTACCTCTCATATAGAGCCTCCCCATCCTGGTATTTGTGTTTCTGGGAGAGTAAATCAGTGTCAGTTGCTTGGCAAGTATGGAATTAGAGGGAAGATACTTCCAAGAAAAAAGAATTTCATTTTGGCAACAATGTGCAACTACCAGAAAGATCCCCTCCTCCTTCCTTCAGCTATGAAAGACATTACTGGGACAACTGTGGAAATCAGAATATAGACTGTAATCACTCTAGAGAACAATACTCCATTAATATAAATTTTCTGAATTTGATCGTTGTATTGTGGTCATGCAGAAGATGCCCTTGTTTTAGAGGATTAAGCTGAAGTATTTATGGGATTAAGCTGAAGTGTCTGGATGTCTGCAAATAACTCTCCAGTGGTTTAGGAACGAAAGAAAAAATACAGAGATTAGCAAAGCAAACATGATAAAATGTTACCAATTGGTAAATTTAGATGAAGGGTATATGGGTGTTGTTTTTGCTTGCAATTTTTTTTTAAGATTAAACTGTTCAAAAAAGAACTGGATATATGATCCAGAATGAACTCAACCATAATGATGTCACCAACAATTACAAAGAAGGCTAAGGAGGCAAAAAGCAAATAAATGCCGCATGTTAAGTAGTAATAACCCGTTAGCCCACATTTCCTTCGGAAAACAGATAAGGTTCATAAGAGGAAGTCATTTCCTTTTTTTATTTTTGAGACAGAGTTTCACTCTTGTCACCCAGGCTGGAGTACAATGGCACGATCTTGGCTCACTGCAACCTCCACCTCCTGGGTTAAATGATTCTCCCGCCTCAGCCTCCCAAGTAGCTGCAATTACAGGCGCACGCCAACAGGCCCGGATAATTTTTGGATTTTTAGTAGAGACAGGGTTCCACTATGTTGGCCAAGCTGGTCTCGAACTCCTGACCTCAAGTGATCTGCCCACCTCAGGCTCCCAAAGTGCTGGGATTACAGCCGTGAGCCACCGCGCCCGGTCAAAAGTCATTTTCTAGATGGAACTTCAGTTTAAAGAACAATTCTTTTATTGTTATATAGATGTAGTATATATTATATAATCAGAAATAAATCTGAGATATATAGTGTTATATGGCCTAGAGGAAGAAGACACACTGCCTATATATGATGAACATGGATAATTTACTTTCCAAGAAAAGGAACTATAGCAAACCGTCAGAATTTTACTCTGTAGTTAGATAAAATCTATTATTCAAAGACTTTATTCACTAACCATAACACCTGTTATGTCCCAGTGGACCTAGGCTTAGTCCTTGCCTTGAAGAACAGCCTATCAGAGTGTCTGCATATCTTTTTAAAATCCTAGTTTACTTTTAGTAATTTAGATTGCAGGTAACCTAGAAATAATTTATAACTACTATTTAAAGGCAATTATGCCCGGGTGCAGTGGCTCACACCTGTAATCCCAGCACTTTGGGAGGCCGAGGCAGGTGGCCTAACTCACTTTAGGCCAGGAGTTCGAGACCAGCTTGGCCAACATGGGGAAAGACTGTCTCTACTAAAAATACAAACATTAGCCGGGCATGGTGGCATATGCCTGTAATCTCAGTTACTTGGGAGGCTGAGGCATGAGAATCACATAAACCTGGGAAGCAGAGGTTGCAGTGAGTTGAGATCGCACCACTGCACTCCAGCCTGGGCGAGAGAGTGAGGCTCTGTCTCAAAAACAAAATGAAATAAAGGCAGTTACAATTTTCTACTCTAATTAAAATGGCATATAATTCTGAAAACCATAATACAGTTTATAGTCTTGTTTGTGGTAGTTACATTTCGTCAAGTATCTGATTCCTTACCATGTAAGTTATTTTTCAATGCAGAAGCCAGTCTTTAAGTACAAAATTAAATCAAAAGTCATGAAGAGTAAAATGTCAATCTATGAACTGACTGCCTCTGCATTTCAGTTGTTTATCTTCTTTTTACTGGCTAAGAGTTCACAGATCAATGAGACTTGTCTCTTTAATTATGGGTTCTTAGATATAAAATAAGAATCCACTACGCTAAAGCTCAAAATTCTTATAAAGAAAAGCTTAGGAACTCATAATTTTATATTATCTGGATGTCTGCAGATAATTCTTAAATGGTTCAGCAAAAAAAGATAAAAAGGTGGGGCCGGGCGTGGTGGCTCACGCCTGTAATCCCAGCACTTTGGAAGGCCAAGAAGGGCAGATCACCTGAGGTCAGGAGTTGCAGGCCAGCATGGCCAACATGGTGAAACCCTGTCTCTACTAAAAATACAAAAATTAGCTGGGTGTGGTGAGGCATGTCTGTAATTCCAGCTACTCGGGAGGCTGAGGCAGGAAAATTCCTTGAACCTGGGAGGCAGAGCAAGACTCCATCTGAAAAAAATGATAAATAGGCCGGGTGCGGTGGCTCATGCCTGTAATCCCAGCACTTTGGGAGGCCGAGGTGGGTGGATCACGAGGTCAAGAGATTAAGACCATCCTGGCTAACACAGTGAAGCCCCATCTCAACTAAAAATACAAAACAAATTAGCCGGACCTGGTGGCAGGTGCCTCTAGTCCCAGCTACCCAGGAGGCTGGGGCAGGAGAATGGCATGAACCCGGGAAGCAGAGCTTGCAGACTCCGTCTCAAAAAAGAAATAAATAAATAAATAAATAAATAAATAAATAAATAAATGAAATAAATAAAAAGGGGATATGCACCATGGAGACCGTATTTTTCATTTCTGCTAAGTACTGTATTACCGCTGAGCAAAAGGTCCCATTACATAAAGAGAACATGGTTTTTTTTTTTTTTTTTAAGGAGTTTCACTCTTGTTGCCCAGGCTGGAGTGCAATGGCGCGATCTTGGCTCACAGCAACCTTCACCTCCCAGGTTCAAGCGATTCTCCTGCCTTAGCCTCCCCGAGTAGCTGGGATTATAGGGATGCGCCACCATGCCTGGCTAATTTTTTTGTATTTTAGTAGAGACGGGGTTTCTCTATGTTGGTCAGGCTGGTCTCGAACTTCTGACCTCAGGTGATCTGCCCGCCTCAGCCTCCCAAAGTACTGGGATTACAGGCGTGAGCCACCGCACCCGGCCGATTTTTTTTTTTTTTCGAGACAGGGTCTTACTCTGTCATCCAGACTGGAGTGCAGTGGTGCTATCTTGGCTCAGCGCAACCTCCGCCTCCTGGGTTCAAGTGATTCTCCCATCTCAACCTCCTGAATAGCTGAGACTATAGGAACGCACCACCATGCCCAGCTAATTTTGTATTTTTTGGTAGAGATGGGGTTTCACCATGTTGTCCAAGCTGGTCTTGAACTCCTAACCTGAAGTAATCTGCCCGCTTCCGCCTCCCAAAGTGCTTGGATTACAGGCGTGGGTCACCGTGCCCAGCTGAGAATGTCATCATTAATAGAGGCTTTACCCTGTTCCTTTGGGATTTCTTTTCATTAAGGCCTACTGAGAGATTAAAAACAATGGAGGAGAACCTGTTTATTAACGGCCACATGTGTGACTAAAGTTTACATACAGTGCCTGACCTAAAACGCAGCTTTTCACTACTGCAAGGTAAATTCAGCCATCAGGATTCTTTCTGTAAAGCTGGGCTGTAGAATCACACTTGAACTTTTCATTTGTCCTAAAGGACAGGGGAGACCGCAGGAGGCAATCACGTGCCTGTGTGAGGGCCCCTCTCTGCCCTGCTTGTGGCAGAAGACACACTGCAAATGTGTGAAATAAAGGTGAGCTGTGGAACAAATGAGCAGGGGCAGCTTCTGACTCTGATAAAATTACATTCTTCCTAGAATCACTGCTTCAATGGTCATTTTTTATTAAAAGAAAAAATTCAAAACACATGATAAGAAATTAGACTTTTATCAATACACAAATAATTTTACTTAAAATCAACCCAGTTACATATTTTTAAAAAATTGCAGAACCTCTCCACACCAATGTCCACAGCCTAGAACAGGTTCATGTGAAACCTGCAGTCCTACCCCGGAGCATCAGTTAAGTGATGGTCCAGGTACTCACTGACACGTTTCTCTTGACACTGAGATGGTCGCAAACAAAACACCGTTCTTGCCTGGATGAAGCAAGAGTTCACATAAAAGAGCTTTATAAAATGTCTATGAAGGAGAATTGATAATATCAGAAGAGCTCCAGCACTTCAATTGAATATAATCCTCTATTATTCTTTTCTTGATTTAATTTCTGTAGCTCCCGAAAACTTACTTCAATCTTGTTGAGCTCAGAATAAACAGATATCTAAAGAAAAGAGTTTCAGAGTAACTTTTACCATAATGTCTACATAGAAACAAATCTTCCATGAGTAAGTTATTTAAGGACAAATTTTAAGAATAATTGTAATTCAGGTGATACTTGGGTACAAATAAAATCAGTATATATCAAATAATCACAAACCTGAGATTTTACAAGCTTGTAAAGATTTATCAGTAGCCTCTTTGCTTCTGGCATCATTACAACAACAGTAAAATTTGCATCCAGAAGTAGACATATCCAATCCATAATCTGAAGATGAATAGGAAAAGGAAGTTAAGATTTTAAATTTAACTTCAGGTTAATTCACTTTACAAAGTCCATAAATAAACAGTTATGAGAAAAATAAGTCTTTATAAATAAAATCTGAACATTTTTGTTTAGAGATGGAGCAATTTCTACGAAATATAAAAAGGCTCATTTCTGGCTTTTAAAAAATTTATTCTAATTAAAAAAAATTTTAGAGATGGGATCTTGCTATGTCACCCAGGCTGGAGTAGGAATGCAATGGCACAATTCATAGCTCACTGGAGCCTCCAAACACCTGGGCTGAAGTGATCCTCCTGCCTCAACCTCCCAGAGTAGCTGCAATCATCCAGAGTTGCTGGGATTACAGATGCACCATCATACCCAGCTACTTTTTAGCAATTTTTGTAGAGATGGGGTTTCGCCTTATTGCCAAGCTGGTCTTGAATTCCTGGCCTCAAGCAATCCTCCAACCTCAGCCTCCCAAAGTGCTAAGACTACAGGCTTGAGACACCGCGCCAGTAGTTGTCTTTTTATTTTTAAAAATTTTAGTTTTCAGTTTCAATAATTTTCAGTCACACACACAAAAAAATAACCACTCATCTTCTATTCTGCAAGATAAATTTTCCCCAAGGACAAGGTGTTGTGTATTATAGATGAGTTGCCATAAACCAGAATTATTACTAAGCATTTATAGAAGTTTCTTATGTAGTCCTACATCTTCCAGTGGTGTAGTTAACATGCAAATATCAAAGCAACCGGGAAACTGGCTATCCATTTGGGAGGGGGAGCTGATCCCTAAGGAACTCCTTATATCAGATTAAATTCTATATGTATCAAAGAGTTAAACACAAGAAATAAAACCATGTAGTAGGGAAAGCTGGTGACTATTTTCATAATCTTAGAGTGGGAAGGGCCTTAAACATAACATAAGCCATAAAGAAGTTATAGAGGAAAACTTTAATTTTAATAGCATGAAAAAGTATCTGTCAAAAATTATACTAAAGAGAGTAAAAAGACAAATAACTTACAATGCATTTGATAGAAAAAGGCTAATTTCCTTAATATAAAAGGAACTTTTTATAAACCAAAAGACAGGAAATGCAATATACATATGGACAAAGAACCCGACTAGGCAGATTCACAAAAACAAATATAAATGGACAAGAAGAGACGGTTTCCTTCTCTCATTATCAAAGAAATGCAAATTAAAATGAGGTAACACCTGTTACCCATCTGATTGGCAAAAAGTAAGTTTGACAAAACTGAATGTCAGTAAGAATGTGAAAAAGAATGCCTCAGACCTTGCTGGTGGTAGTTGTCACAACTCTTCAGAAAGTCTGGCATTTTGAAAACTAAAAATTGCATGTACTATTTCATCCAATAATTTCTCTTGTGGGAATGTATTCAACAGGCATTCTCATAAATATACAAGAATATCTGTATAAAGATCCTCACTGAAGATTTACAACAGCAAAAAATGGTAAACAAATGACCATCAATAGAGGATTGATAGGTACATTAATTTATATTTGTAAAATGAAATAGTATGCATTGGTTAAAAGGAATGAGGCAGATGTATGTCTACTGGTCCAGGAAATGTCTAAAACAGTGCTGAGTGGGCCGGGTGCGGTGGCTTAAGCCTGTCATCCCAGCACCTTAGGAGGCTGAGGTGGGTGGATCATCTTGAGGTCAGGAGATCCAGACCAGCCTGGACAACATGGTGAAATCCTGTCTCTACTAAAAGCACAGGGGCATGGTGGTGGGGGCCTATAATCCCAGCTACTCAGGAGGCTGAGGCAGGAGAATTGCTTGAACCTGGGAGGTGGAGATTGCAGTAAGCCAAGATCGCACCACTGCACTCCAGCCTGGGTGACAGGGCAAGGCTCTGTCTCAGAAAGAAAATAAATTAAATAAATAAATAAATAAATAAAAAATAACCACTGAAAAATTTAACTTATTTTTAGGCTAGGTAAGTGTCTCATGCCTGTAATCCACATGCTTTGGGAGGCCAAGACAGGAAGATCACTTAAGCCCAGCAGTTTGAGACCAGCCTGGGTAACACAGGGAGTCCCTGTCTCTACAAGAAAAATTAAAATAAAAAAATTGTAGTTTGCCCGGGCACGGTAGCTTACACCTGTAATCCTAGCACTTTGGGAGGCTGAGATGGGTAGATCACCTGAGGTCAGGAGTTTGAGATGAGCCTGGTCAATACGGTAAAACCCCATCTCTACTAAAAACACAAAAATTAGCCAGGTGTGGTGGCTTGTGCCTGTAGTCCCAGCTACTCAGGAGGCTGAGGCAGGAGAATCACTTGAACCCTGGAGGCGGAGGTTGCAGTGAGCCGAGATCGTGCCACTGCATTCTAGCCTGGGAGACAGAGCGAGACTCCGTCTCAAAAAAGGAAAAAAAAATTGTATTTTCATGTGGTGTGGTGGCATGTACCAGCAGTCCCAGCTACTTGGGAGGGTAAGTGGGGAGGACTGCTTCAGGGCAGGATTCATGTCTGCCCCAAACTATGATTCCCACTGCACTCCAGTGTGGTTGAGCGAGACCTTGCCTTCTTGAAAAGGAAAAAAAAAAAGAAGTTATTTTTTATATGAAGAATAGCCAACTTAAGTGTTTAAAATCCTTCGTTAGAATAACATATTACCAAACCAAAACAATTTATTGTTTTTACTGCTTCTATGTGGGATGGTTGATCTTGAGCCTGCGGAGAGCAAGCTGGCCCCAGATTTCTCCAAGTCCACATTTCTTTGCCTCCAATTCTTACATGTCCAAAGACAAGGAACTATAGACATGCCTTTGTAGGAGGGTAAATACATTATTTTTAAATGTTTCTTACTGTTTTTTAAATAAGTTTTTTTTTTTTTTTGAGACGGAGTATCACTCTTGTCGCCCAGGCTGGAGTGCAATGGTGCCATCTTGGCTCACCGCAACCTCCAACTCCCGGGTTCAAGTGATTCTCCTGCCTCAGCCTCCCAGGTAGCTGAGATTACAGGCATATGCCACCACACCTGGCTAATTTTGTATTTTTAGTAGAGACGGGGTTTCTCCATGTTGGTCAGGCTGGTCTTGAACTCCCGACCTCAGGTGATCCACCCGCCTCAGCCTCTCAAAGTGTTGGGATTACAGGCATGAGCCACCGCACCCAGCATAAGTATTATTTTTAAAGAGGGACTACCATGGGATTCTCTGGGAATATTTTTTCACTAATCTGTATTCTCTTATTCCCCCCGCTTTTTTTTTTTGGGACAGAGTTTTGCTTGTTGCCCAGACTGGAGTGCAGTGGCGCGATCTCAGCTCACTGCAACGTCCGCCTCCTGGGTTCAAACAGTTCTCCTGCCTCAGCCTCCCATGTATCTGGGATTACAGGCACGCACCACTATGCCTGGATGATTTTGTGTTTTTAGTAGAGACAGGGTTTCACCATGTTGGCTGGGCTGGTCTCAAACTCCTGACCTCAAGTGATCCTCCCGCCTCGGCCTCCCAAAGTGCTGGGATTACAGGCGTGAGTCACCATGCCTGGCCTGTTCTCTTATTCTTAAGAGATGATTAAGGGGGCAACCTATATTATCAGCCCCTTCCTGTTGTCTCCCATCAAGGCTGAGGAAATTCTTGGAAAAGGGAAGGGTCATAATGAAGAATCAGGAATTTAAGATAAATTAAAATTCTGTCGTGTAGATTTATGGATCTAGAAATCTACTAAATGAGAGACTCCCCATTTCTAGCTGCAGTGGTTTGGTTTTATGAGGAAGGGATTCCTACGGCCTAGGAAACAAGAAGTCAGCTCTTGAATGCAGGTGCTGACCTTGAATACAACTTTTTTTCACAGATTTTTCCCAGCACCAAATCAAAGTAAAAAAATAATCTCACCTGGTTCAAGGTAGGTGGGTGTATTCCAGGAAGAGTCATAGTAGCATTTTCGCTACACTTCAGGTACAGGAAATACAAATACTTAAGAAACAGCTGGGTGGGAAAAAAAATGGATAGTTTATCATTTTGATAGAAAAAATTTCTATTATATAAACCCATCACGAAGATTGAAAAAAATGTTCAATTTATACATCAAACAAATACGCCAGACATCTGGAGACATAAAAATGAATAAAATGCAGTCCCTCCCATTAATGAGGAGCTCATCTGGTTTGGGGGTAGTGGTGGTGATAAGCTCATTGTTTGTAAATAATAGGTAGAGAGAACCCTTCTGTCTGCAATTCTTTTTAGTGTTTATTCATTTATAACTTAGGAAGCTTAACTTGGCCTTCAAGTTTGGCACAAGGAATATGCCATGGTCTATCACCCTAGTATCGCTCTAGTTTTCTCAGCACAATTTTTTGCCATTAGAGCTGGGCAACCTCTTATTCACATGAAAGAATTTCATAACCTTTAGAATGCCCTAACAGCTGGTTAGAGTTAAATAGCAATATTTAAACCAGAAGTAAAATTCTATACAACTTGTATGAACACTTACCGTGATATGCTGTGCTGGGATGTCTTTCAAATGAGGCAGAAGAAATGTCTCGCTATATGCTGAATGAAGAATTGCATTACTTAGGACTAAAGGAAAATCGTACTTCAACAAATAGAAGCTATTCTATTGAACTTATGAGTAACTTCCTTTGTCAATGTTAGTTTTCTAAATTTATACAAAAGTTTTACATCTCTAAAAGAGCTCTATCACCAAACACTCTCCTAATCATTGGAGATCATGTGGAATACTTTAATTGGTATTTATTCAGAATACTGATCTTCAGAATTGATAGAGCTTCTGTGTTAGTATAGCTTCTTCTTTTTTTTTTTTTTAAATCTGATGTAGAGATGGGGGTCTCGCCATGTTGCCCAGGCTGGTCTCAGACTCCTGGGCTCAGACAATCCTCCCACCTCGGCCTCAAAAAGTGCTGGGACTACAGGCATGAGCCACCCATGCCCAGCCTAGTTAAATTAAACAGGTTTAAGTAAACCTTACTTAACGTAGCATTGAACATAATCTATTTTCAAACAGAAACAAAAAACAATTGGAAAAGGAAAGAAAAACCTTAAATTATTGAGTTACTCCTTGGTTACTGCTTGGCATATAACTATATCCTATAAAGAGAAACAGAGGGATGCTCTATGTCAAAGGATACAGTAGAGCTGCTCTTTTTTGTACCACAGGGCATGAAGTGCTCTCCTTTGTTTCGTCCTGGGGCTTTTTATTTAACTCTTGATCACAGTTATTGCATTTATCTTCTTCAGGATTGAAGCCATTTTGAAGAATTTCAGTTTGCTCTTCCATTTTCTCATCATGTACAGAATTTATACTATAGTCAAAAACTGACTCCATATTAACATCTGTTTCTTGAAGACTGTCATCACCAATGCTATGATGGTAGTTGAAAGCAAGAGGTTAATCCTTATCACCAAGCTTTTGGGAAAAATTTCATTTCCTAAGCATCAAAATTTTGGAAATCAAATAATGTAACAGATTATAAATGTAGTGAAGAAAAAGGACCATTGGAGTCTAACTTACCTCAAGAAAATTTTTAAGCAAGCACAGGTGACTGATTCAGGAATGTCAGGGAACTGCTGTAGACAGAGTTGTAACAACTGTACATCTTTCTTTTTTAAGGCAATCTCCATTAAGTCGGGGCACAAACTAAGACAAAAAAATCTGAATCACTATTACATATTAAGAAAATTCTCAACTGCAGAACATTTATAAGCCTTTTGAGAGTTTCAGAAGATTAGAACTATAAAAAACAAGGTCAGAAGAATTATGCACGTACAGTGTGGTACACACAAACAGCTACCTGTAAGAAAGCACATGCGTTTGGATAAGCTGCATCAGACAGTTCCGGGGATAAAATGATGGTTCTGCTTTACACCTTTCCAGAAGTCCTGTTACTGTGTCCCCAATGACAGTATGAAAGTCAGGTGTCTGCTTCAGAGCCAAAAATTTCCGTACTTCTACTTCAATGTGTTTTTCTGAATCTTTCTGAAAGCGCAGAATTAAAGAATTCAGTTTGGCACATTAACGAATGTCACTCTGAACTTAACGTTTCCTAGCACAACATTTTCTCAAATGACTAACAGTTATCATGCATTCCTGCAAAGCTGAAGCTGACACTGCAAAGTTAAATGAGAAAGAGATAAGACCAACACCATATCAATCTCATGAGGTGACAGCGAGCATCAAAGAAGCCAAAATATCGGATCAACTCTGACACCCTTAAGATACTACAAGATGTTAGCTATAGGTATAAAGATGATCATAAAAATAAGACAGAACGAAGAGTAGATGCGATTTCTTTGGAACACTTGAGTTTGATTTTTCATATTTCAATATTATTTATTTACCATTATGGTTGACAAAAGTTGTTTGGATGGTGGAACCTCTGGCTGTAAACTCACTTCAATTTTTCGTCTCCTTAACTGGAATTAAGTAAATTGATTAGGATCACAAAACAATATAAGAGATCCAATACACATTTAGAGGGATATGAAACACTCCAAAGAGATTAGCACACTTTTGCTCTCATCAAAAACTTTTAAAAGTAAATATAACTAATAGACAACATGGGGCATTTCTGGATAAAGAATGTGAGGTTACTGGGTTCAAGCCGCAAACTGTCCTGTCATTATAGTCAAAGCTCTAAGAGTTGTAAGGATATGATTCATTAAAATAATTCAGTCTTTTTCTGTTTTTCAACATTTGCACTAATGTTTCAATTTCAACTACGAAACTTACAATTCTTCTTGACTGCTCTGAGTTCTGGAACCCAAGTCCACATCCTTGAGGTGTCTCCCAGTTTACAAAATGGGACACGACATGAGTTCCTAAGAAAATGCAAAATGCACAATTTCTGGAATGTTTTGACTTACTTTTTGCCCAACTAAACAATCAAAGAACAATTTAAAAAAAACCACTCATACAATTTAAGAGAGGCTTTGAAGTCCATGTAATTCTGATAACCTCAGATAAGAAAATCATAATATAGTGAAAAGGCTGTATGTCCAACAACGTTAAGCTAACAGATGAGGCCATCGGTAAACAAGGGAGGGCAGAGGTATTACTGATTTTGTTTGGGGGTTCTCCCATTGCCCCTAAAATCAGAACACTGGCATTCAAAACACAGTGTAGCTCTTCAGCTTGCCACAGAACCTGCAATTTGGACTGTTCACAAGTTTCAAACTTTTTTTTTTTTGTTTTCCATTTTCTGTGGAGTACAGGGTCTTACTATGTTGCCCAGGCTGGTCTTGAACTCCCGGGCTCAAGCTATCCTCCCGCCTCTGCCTCCTTAAGTGCTGGGATTACAGGGGTGAGACACCGTGCCTGGCCTGTTCACAAGTTTCAATAAACAGCGGTAAATTTCAAAATTAAGAAAAAGCTTTACAAATAGAAGGCTGTGGGAATCTGTACGAAACTACAAGTTAATAAAACGGTTTGTATTAATAAAACAAACAGAAGTAAGTTTCTACCTGGATCTTGACTATGCTTGAGTTTTCCAAGAGCACCTGCTAATGATGACACTTCACACTTGTATGGAATCACAGTTAGAGATTTTCCATGTAGCATAAACAAATGTTCTCCATAATACCAGAGCTACAAAAAAAGTTATCAAAAACATAAGCAAATTTTTTTCTCTTCTAAGGTATGACTCAATAAAGCCTTATCACTCACTGTATAAGTGCTCAGTATTAAAAACGAGGCAAAGTAAGCAACTTTCAAGAAGAATTTTATATGCAGAGCTTATTAAATAGGCTCTTATTTTTGCCCAAGTCTGAATGAAGCATAATTTAAAGAATATTTTCAACTCAGAAAAATTTAATCAACATATACATTTTAAAAAACTCAATTGTTTAAAATTAATGTGGTCACTATTATACATCTATTAACATAATAATTACCAAGGCTACTATAGCATGGGCAAACTTCTAATGCACTAAATTTACAAACCGGAATTTAACACTTTATATTTTATGATTGTAAAAATAAGACAGGTATGTGGAAAAAAAAGCCTGAGGGAACAAGGAAATAAAAAAAAGTTTGTAATAATAAATAATAAAATGATAAAACAAATAAAATAATAAGTTGTAATAAAAAAGTGTGAGTTTATTCACAATAAAAAATTGTGAATAGTTAAAATTACTTTTTTACATATAAAGTATAATTAAATTGTATGCTGAGAAACCTTGTCTCTTTATCCTCAAATTAAAATTACCAAAACATCCTATTGCCTTGATTTATTTGTATATGAATATTCATTCACTAAGTAACTAAAACTTACTGTGCACCTTGCTAAGCACTGAAAATACACTGGAGAAAAAAACTCACAAGGAACCCTGCCTCAGGAAGTGCACAGTCTGTTCAGCTTCAATTTTAATTCTTTTAAGTATTTTTATGTAATTTCATGGTAACATTTAACATTTAACACATAATCTAAAAGACTAATTTATTAGGAAAAGTAACAGCTTGAGGGTATAGTTCAAAATACATAAGTAAAAAGACAAAACCAAAGAGCAGCTAAAAACAAAAGCTGTTTTATTAAATAGCTAATTGTTCTGGCAAAAATTTAGAATTTTGGAAGTGATTTCAACAATAACTGAACTAAACATAATCCCTCAGGTAAAAAATAATTCTTAAATTTGATCAATAACTGCCAAGCTATTTACTTATTTATTTACAGAGATGAGATCACACTATGTTGTCCAGGCTGGACTGCAGCAGCTCTTCACAGGCACAATCATACAGCACTGAAGCCTTGAACTCCTGGGCTCAAAAGATATTCCTGCCTCAACCTCCTCAGTAGCAGGGACTACAGACACATACCACCACACCTGGTTTGAAAAGCTGCCAAAATATTTAGGTTCAAAGAGATCTCTTCCCTTACAGCATATTTATTAGGCAGAAAAATAACTAAATTTCTGAAGCAGGAGGATCACTTGAGCCCAAGAGTAAAAGACCAGCCTGGGCAACAGAGTGAGGCCCCATCTCAAAACAAAGCAAAACAAAACACAACAAAATAACTAAATCAGAGAAAGTACTCAAGTGAAAAAACTTACTTGACCACTGGTCCCTTGTGGTAACTCTTTTGAAGTCTGTAGTGTTTGAAATTTTATGTTCCATACAGAGAGGCATTCTATAAAATAAGACATAAATTCAGAAAAAAGTCCCAAGTATAAATATATGATATTTTGGGGAAGGGGGGAGTTACAGTTAAATATATATGCTTTGCTTTAGTATAGAAATGAATTATGAAGACAGTGATTGCCACAGGAACTGGAAGAAATGAGAGCTCATGGTAAGAAGAAGCCTGGAAAGGTGAGCCCTGAGGAAGGGAGGGCTTTATGAACCAGGAATAACAATTAAAAACACCCAACAAAGAAAAGCCCAAGACCAGATGGCTTCACTGGTAAATTCTACAAATTTACAATTTAACACAAATCTTCCCAAACTCTTTCAAAATATAAAAGAGCAGGAAATACTTCCTAAACTCATTTGGGCTTTTGGTTGCTCTGATACCAAAGCCGGACAAAGACACCACACAAAAAAACTACAGAGCAATATCCCCATGAGTATAGATGCAAAAAAAAATCCTAATCAAAATACCAACAAACCAAATCCAACGGGAAATATTAAGATCCATGACCAAGAAGGATTGACTCCAGGGATGAAAGGGTAGTTAACAGAAGAAAACCAATCAGTGCAGCACATACATCAACAGAACAGAGGGAATAACCATATGATCACCTCGGTTGACACAAAGCATTGTGCAAACTCCAACAGTCTTTCATGACTTAAAAAACAACAACAAAAAAAACTCAGAGAGCTAGGAAAAAGGAAGGAGCTTCCTTAACATGATAAAGGGCATCTATGAAAAACCCACAATTACCATCACTCAACAGTGAAAGACTAAAAGCTTTCCCCCTAAGATAAGGAAAAAGACAAAGGTGCTTGCCCTGCCTTCTTCACCACTGCTATTCTACGCAACTATCATCACACTGAGAGGTTAAAGACTGAAAACTGTCCCCCTAAAATGAGAAACAAGACATGGAGGCTTATTTTCACCACTGCTATTCAAGTTCTAGCCAGGCAAGAAGAAGAAAAACAAAAATCCAATTTTTGTTTGTTTGTTTTGAGACAGAGTCTTACTCTGTCGCCCAGGCTGGAGTGCAGTGGCACGATCTTGGCTCACTGCAACCTCTGCCTCCTGGGTTCAAGTGATTCTCCTGTCTCAGCCTCCCGAGTAGCTGGGATTACAGGTGCATGCCACCACGCCCAGCTAATTTTTGTAATTTTAGTAGAGACAGGGGTTTCACCATGATGGCCAGGCTGGTCTCGAACTCCTGACCTCAGGTGATCCACTCACCTCGGCCTCCCAAAGTGCTGAGATTACAGGTATGAGCCACCACGCCCAGCCAAAAATCCAAATTTAAATGGAGGTAAAACTAACTCTACTCACAGATGACATGATCCTGTATAGAGATCTCGAAGAATCCACAGGAAAAGATTAGCATTAATAGCATTAATAAACAAATTCAGCAAGGTTGCAGGGTACAAGATCAACATACAAAAATCAGATGCTCCTATATACTAAAAACAAAAAGCAAATTAAGAAAAAAAATTCCGGCAGGGCATGGTGGCTCATGCCTGTAATCCTAGCACTTTGGGAGGCCGAGACAGACATATTGCCTGAGCTCAGGAGTTGGAGACCAGCCGGGGCAACACAGTGAAACCCTGTCTTTACTAAAATATAAAAAATTAGCCAGGCATGATGGCATGCACCTGTAGTCCCAGCTGCTCAGGAGGTTGAGGCAGGAGAACTGCTTGAACGCGGGAGGCAGAGGTTGCAGTAAGCCAAGATCATGCCACTGCACTCCAGCCCTGCAACAGAGTAAGACTCCATCTCCAAAAATAAAACATTTTTTTAAAAAAAGAGAAAAATAATTCCATGTATATTAGCATCCAACAGAATAAAATACCTAGGAATAATTTTTTTTTTTTTTTTTTGAGACGGAGTCTTGCTCTTATTGCCCAGGCTGGAGTGCAGTGGTGTGATCTTGGCTCACCGCAACCTCCACCTCTCGGGTTCAAGTGATTCTCCTGCCTCACCCCTGCTCCCCCAAGTAGCTGGGATTATAGGCATGTGCCACCACACCCGGCTAATTCTGTATTTTCTTTCAGTAGAGACAGGGTTTCTCCATGTTGGTCAGGCTGGTCTCAAACTCCTGACCTTGGGTGATCCGGCCACCTTGGCCTCCCAAAGTGCTGGGATTATAGGTGTGATTACTGCGCCCGGTCCCTAGGAATAAATTTAACCAAGTGAAAGCATTGTACACTAAAAGTTATAAAACATTGCTGAATGGAATTAAGGAAGACATAAATAAATAGAGATATCCTGTGTTCAGCAATTGGAAGACTTAATATTAAGATGGCAATACCACACAAAGCAACCTACAGGCTCAGTTCAATCTCAATCAAAATTCCAATGGTCTTTTTTGCAGAAATGGAAAAGCCAGTCTTCAAAATCACATGGAATAATTGTAAGGGGCCTAAACAGCAAAAACAAACTTGAAAAAGAAGAACAAAGTTGGAGAGCTCATACTTCCTGATTTCCAAACTGATTATAAAGTTACAGTAATCAAAACAGTGTGGTACTGGCCCAGTGTAATAGATTGAGAGTCATCTAGGGCCAACTGATTTTTCAACAAAGGTGCCAGGACCACTGTGGTGCTGGGACAACTGGAGAGCCACAGGCAAAGGAACAAAGTTAATCCCTTATTTTACACCATACACAAAAATAACTCAAAATAAATCAACAACCTAAATGTAAGAGCTAAAACCATAACATTCTTTGAAGAAAACGTGGGGATAAGTCTTTATGACCTTGGATTTGGCCATGGGTTCTTGGATGTGGAACCAAAAGCACAAGCAACGAAAGAAAAATAAAAATTGGACTTCATGAAAATTAAAACTTTTGTGCACGACTTTGGGAGGCCGAGGCGGGCGGATCACGAGGTCAGGAGATCGAGACCACGGTGAAACCCCGTCTCTACTAAAAATACAAAAAATTAGCCGGGCGCAGCGGCGGGCGCCTGTAGTCCCAGCTACTCGGGAGGCTGAGGCAGGAGAATGGCGTGAACCCGGAAGGCGGAGCTTGCAGTGAGCGGAGATCGCGCCACAGCAGTCCCGCCTGGGCGACAGAACGAGACTCCGTCTCAAAAAAAAAAAAAAAAAAAAAAAAAAAAAACTTTTGTGCACGAAGGGACATTATCCAAGTGAAGACAACCTATAGAATGGGAGAAAATATTTGGAAATCATATGTCTGATAAGGGTGTAGCATCTAGAATATATAAAGAATGCTTACAATTCAACAAAAAAGACAACCTTATTTAAAAATAGGCAAAGGACTTGCATAGACAATTCTCCAAAGAAGACATATAAATAGACAATGAGCATATGAAAAAATGTTCAACACACTTAGTCATTAGGGAAATGCAAATCAAAACCGAAATGAAGTACTACTTCACACCCACTAGAATGGCCAGAATCCAAATTATGGAAAATAGCCACGTGTGAGCAAGAATGCAGGGAAACTGGAACCACTGTACAATGCCGGTGGGAATGTAAAATGGTTCGGCCACTGTGGAGTTCGGCAGTTCTTCAAAAAGTTAAACACAATCAACAACGAAAAGAGTATAACTAAAATGTTTGCAATGCAAAGGAATGACAAATGCTTGAGGTGATGGGTACCCCATTCACCCTGACGTGATTATTATGCATTGCATGCCTGTATCAAAATATCTCATGTGCCCCTTAAATACATACACCTGTTATGTACCCATAAAAATTAAAAAAATGAAAAACTAAATATGGAATTAACGCATGACCCAGTAATTCCCCTGCTAGGTGTATATCCCAAAGAATTAAAAACTGGTACACAGCTGGGCGCAGTGGCTCACGCCTGTAATCCCAGCACTTCGGGAGGCTGAGGCGGGCGGATCATGAGGTCAGGAGATTGAGACCATCCTGGCTAAGACGGTGAAACCCCATCTCTACTAAAAATACAAAAAATTAGCCGGGTGTGGTGGCACCCACCTGTAGTCCCAGCTACTTGGAAAGCTGAGACAGAAGAATGGTGTGAACCCGAGAGGCGGAGCTTGCAGTGAGCCCAGATTGCACCACTGCACTCTAGCCTCTGGGCGACAGAGCGAGACTCTTGTCTCAAAAAAACAAACAAACAAACAAAAAACAACAAAAAAAACTGGTACACAAATACATGCACACGAATGTTCATAGTGATATTCACAATAACCAAAAGGTGGAAATAGCTAAAATATCCATGAATGGATGAACAGATAACAAACTGTTATATATATACAATGGAATATTACTCTACCATGAAAAGGAATGAAACACTGATACATGCAACGAGGTAGATGAACCTCAAAAACATTTGGCTAGCCAGGCGTGGTGGCTCTTGTCTGTAATCCCAACACTATGGGAGGCTGAGGCAGGAGGAGCTCGTAGCAAGACCTCAGAGCTACTAAAAACTAAATATAAAAACAAAAATTAGGCTAAGTCTAAGTCAAAGAAGCCAGACACAAAAAGTATTGTATGATGGGCCGGGCGCGGTGGCTCACGCCTGTAATCCCGGCACTTTGGGAGGCCGAGGTGGGCGGATCATGAGGTCAGGGGATCGAGACCATCCTGGCTAACAAGGTGAAACCCCGTCTCTACTAAAAATACAAAAAAATCAGCCAGGCGTGGTGGTGGGCGCCTGTATTCCCAGCTACTCGGGAGGCTGAGTCAGGGGAATGGCATGAACCCGGGGGGCGGAGCTTGCAGTGAGCCGAGATTGCGCAACTGCACTCCAGCCTGGGAGACAGAGCAAGACTCTGCCTCAAAAAAAAAAAAGTATTGTATGATTTCATTTACACAAAGTATCCCAAAAAGGTAAATCCATAGAAGAATGCAAATTGGTGGTTGCCAAGGGTAGGGGGCAGAGGAGAATGAGGAGCAACTGCCTAATGGGTCCACAGGTTCCTTTTGACATAATGAAAATGTTTTAAAACAAGACGTTGGCCAGGTGCAGTGGCTCACGCCTGTAATCCCAGCACTTTGGGAGGCCAAGGTGGGTGGATCACTTGAGGTCACGAGTTCAAGACTAGCCTGACCAACATGGTGAAACCCCGTCTCTACTAAAAATACAAAAAATACAAAAAGAAAAAGGAAAAAAATTAGCCAAGTGTGGTGGCACATGCCTGTAATCCCAGTTACTTGGGAGCCTGAGGCAGGAGAATCGCTTGAACCTGGGAGGCAGAGGTTGCAGTGAGCCGAGATCCCGCCACTGCACTCCACCCTGGGCAACAAGACTAAAACTCTGTCTCAAAAAAAAAAACAACAACAACAAAAAAAACTAGACAGAAGTAGATGCACAACGAACACCAGTGACTCCTTCACTTTAATTTCTTCTACAAGGGCCTACCAAAAATTAAAGATAAATGAAAGTAAACAATGAAAAAAGAAATGAAAATTAAAAAGAGCATTACAAAATTTAAAAAATAAAACGATTAATTTTATGTTATATGAATTTCATCTTAATTTAAAAAAACAGAATAGATGGTTCATGTCTGGCAATGGGAGAATGATGAAGCACACTGTGGGGCCACCCTTCGGTGAAATATTACACAGCTATTCAAAAAGCAAGGAAGATTAACAAATAATATTATATGGAATGATCTCTGAGAGATCTTGGGTAGGTGAATAAACAAGGTACACAACAGTATGCATGGTGTGCTACCATTTGTGTTAAACGAGGAGGGGAAAAAACCCCTTAAGTAGTAGTATTTGCTTGTATATGGACCAAAAAAAAACCATAGGAAGAGACACAGGAAACTCTATAGTAGCCACCGGGTTTTTTTGGCAGGGAGGTAGAGCAGAAATAAGAAAGAGAGGAAGATGGGAGAAGAGAGAGGAGAAGCACAGCTTAGTGAAGTGGTCAAGAGCCAGGACTTAAGAGCGGCAGGGTACATGGCTTAACAGAGTTCACCTGTTCGGGTTGAATCCTAGTTCCACTACTTAGTTACCTCATACCTCAGTTTCCTGTTTTGTAAAGGGGGATAGTAACAACTTTATTTCCTCCTAAATGGTAGAGGACTAAATGATACAAATAATGAGATAATCTTAGTAAAGTGCCAGGCACATGGTAGTTATTTTATTTATTTATTTATTTATTTTCTGAGACGGAGTCTTGCTCTGTCCCCCAGGCTGGAGTGCAGTGGTGTGATCTCAGCTCACTGCAAGCTCTGCCTCCCAGGCTCACGCCATTCTCCTGCCTCAGCCTCCCGAGTAGCTGGGACTGCAGGTGCCCACCACCACACCCGGCTAATTTTTTGTATTTTTAGTGGAGACGGGGTTTCACCATGTTAGCCAGGATGGTCTTGATCTGCTGACCTTGTGATCAGCCCGTCTTGGCCTCCCAAAGTGCTGGGATTACAGGCATGAGCTACTGTGCCCGGCTCGCACATGGTATAGTTATACTATAACCAGGAGCTCTTTTTTTTTTTTTTTTTTTTTTTTTGAGACAAAGTCTCACTCTGTTGACCAGGTTGAGTGCATAGTGCAATCTCGGCTCACTGCAACCTCCACCTTCTGGGTTTGTGCGCCAAAAAGCCCAGGTGATTTTTTGTATTTTTGGTAGAGACATGGAGTTTCACCATGTTGGCCAAGCTGGTCTCGAACTCCTGGCCTCAAGCAATCTGCCTGTCTCAGCCTCCCCAGGTGCTGGGATTACAGGCGTGAGCCACTGTGCCTGGCAGGAGCTCCTATCTTTTTTTTTTTTGAGACGGAGTTTCGCTCTTGTTGCCCAGGCTGGAGTGCAATGGTGTGATCTTGGCTCACTGCGACCTCCACCTCCCAGGTTCAAGCGATCCTCCTGCCTCAGCCCCCTGAGTAGCTGGGATTACAGGCATGCGCCACCACACCCAGCTAATTTTGTATTTTTAATAGAGACGGGGTTTCTCCATGTTGGTCAGGCTGGCTCGAGCTCCCCTCAGGTGATCTGCCTGCCTAGGCCTCCCAAAGTGCTGGGATTATAGGCATTGAGCCTTGCTCCTATGTTAATAATAAGCAGGAGAAACACAGAACAAAGTACACAGGTGAGGATGGGCATATCAAATGTGTGGTCAATAGAGAGCACTGCCTGAATAAAGCAGAGGGTTCTTGCTCAGAATTTGGGAGAAAAGGTTGGAAAAGGTGGACAGGTCTAGGCTGTGAAGGGACTTATGCTAAACGACAGAGTCTGAGTTTTCTAGTGAAGGCTGGGGTCTGCTATCCTGCACTGGCAAGGAGCAATCGTGTTCTTCATGACTGACTAGGAAGTCTGGCGGGGAGTTGGTGGGTAAGGAGGCAAGGTGGCGATGAGAATCCTGTTCAGAAGTCACGGAGTCCAAAGGTACACTATTAGTTCCCACATTTCAAGGTGTTCATGTCCAGTGGATTTCCATGATGTGAAATGTTGCCAAGAATCCAATCCTCAAATGTAGGCTTACTAATGTTTCAAATACCTGCAGGCTAGTATGATGGTGACTAGTATATTCGCCATTTTTATTTCTTTATGACATAGTTATGAGCATGGTGGTGATAGCAAGAAGTGTTTTTGAAAGATCAATGCAAAATAAAAATAAAAACCAATTCAAGAAGAATTAGGAAGGCACAAAAAAAATTGAGTATGCTGATAAAGAGAATGAATTAGTCTGGGTAATAACGAAATGAAAAAGAAAAGGAAGACTAAAAGGTACACCGTGAAGGAAACATACAAAGGCCTTCTTAATGAATTGGATGTCAGTTACCCTTAGAAGCTGCTAGTGGACTTCCTAGGACTGCGACGTGATCCTGATCCAGGGCAGTGAGTGCAACTCCATTTCGAGCGTTACCAGATACAACAGCCTTGAGCAGCAGTGATTTAACTAAGCTCTGATTTTTTTCTGGGTCAGCTGGACGTATTGGTATCAAGGTTTCATATATACAACCATCAGAGCCTGTTGGAAACAAGCATTTGTTGTTGGTTATTGAAGGATACTTCTATATCTATTACAGTTAAATGTACTAGGTTGTTTATAAGATTTTACCAATTTGATAAAACAGCCAACCAGAAAAATAAACAATCCCATCACTGTGCTTTCTCTTAAAGAGTACCACAAATTTAAACTGGGGAAAGAAGTACTATTAATAAAAATCTCAGTAAGAAATGTAATAGTCAAGAAATACAAACTGTAAATACCTGCAATAACTTAAAATATTGAGGGGGACTCCCAAGAATATAGATCATCTAGTCCCTAAAAGGATATATCCCTCATTAGAAAGTAATTAGCATCTGGTCTATACGTTACCTTTCTTTCTTGTTTGTTTTTTTGAGACAGGGTCTCACTCTGTGGCCCAAGACTACAGTGCAGTGGTGTGATCACAGCTCACTGTAGCCTCAACCTACTGGGCTCAAGTGATCTATCTTTCACCTCAGCCTCCCAAATAGCGGGGACTACAGGTGCACAAACCTCACCCAGCTAATTAAAAAAAATTTTCTTTTAGACATAGGGTCTCGCTATGTTGCCCAGGCTGGTCTCCAACTCCTGGGCTCAAATGATCCTCCTGCCTTGGTCTCCCAAAGTACCGGGATTACAGGTGTGAGCCAGTGTGCTTAGTTTATTATAATTCTTCCTACCTCATCACCCTGAAAACCTTATGAAATTGCTCTTTCTTGTGGGCCAACTGAATTTCGGCAGTTTCATGTGGTTCTAGCAATTGTTACGTAAAGATTTATATAACCCTTTGGTGCACACTTCCTCACTTCAAAGTTCATTAAGCTAAACATTAAGTACATTCCAATAGCCCCCAAGATATGAAAATGATAGGAGCCTTTTAAAAAATAGCCACCGCAAACATTTGCACACTGAAAAACTTCACAAAGATTTTTAATTGTGATAATATGGAAATGTTTCCTATGTATTGCTCTTGTTTACTTCTCCTTCACCTTCTCAGAACAACTTCAAAAGCAGCCATGAAGGGTGGAGGGGAGAGGGTACCACAAAGACTTTTTTTTTTCTTCCCCGCCCTAGAGGCCTAAGACTGGGGTTATACTTTAGACCATTTCATAAAGGTATTACAATCTATAATAAAAAGCAACTGGCATGGGCCAAAGCTGCTGTTAGTCTCCTTTTGCCCATCTGTCTCAGTTGCTATTCAAGGAAGGGCATACTAAATCTAATGGTTGGAAAAAAGGAGCAGAGGGGCCATTCAATGCCAAGCATAGACAGTTTATGTTTCACTAATTACACTCAAAGAACCTGGGCCTTATCAGCTAAAAAGTGATTTCTCTTTTTCACTGGTATTAACATTGTTACTTATTGCTTATGGTAAATTTTTTTGTTTTGTTTTGTTGAGACGAGTCTCGAGTCTCGCTCTGTCCCCCAGGCTGCAGTGTACTGGCACGATCTCAGCTCACTGCAAGCTCCGCCTCCTGGGTTCACACCATTCTCCTGCCTCAGCCTCCAGAGTAGCTGGGATTACAGGCACCCGCCACCATGCCTGGCTAATTTTTTGTATTTTTAGTAGAGACGGGGTTTCACCATGTTAGCCAGGATGGTCTCGATCTCCTGACCTTGTGATCTGCCCACCTCAGCCTCCCAAAGTGCTGCGATTACAGGCGTGAACAATGCCCGGCCAGCTTATGGTAAATTTTAAGACATAAAATATAAAGAAGCAATGTTAGAAAAGGATGCTGTATCTAAAGTACTTCAATAGGCCCTCAAAACACAGGATCACTGATCTAATGCATGGCCAGACATGCAAAGTACAAAAAGCAAAGGCATGGGCCGCACGAGGTGACTCACACCTGTAATCCCAGCGCTTTGGGAGGCCAAGGCGGGTGGATTACCTGAGGTCAGGAGTTGGAGACCAGCCTGACCAACATGGCGAAACCGTCTCTACTAAAAATACAAAAATGAGCCAGATGTGGGGGTGGGCGCCTGTAATCCCAGCTACTCAGGAGGCTGAGGCAGGAGAATTGTTTGACTCTGGGAGGCAGAGGTTGCAGTGAGCAGAGGTTGTGCCACTGCATTCCAGCCTGGGCGACAGAGCGAGACTCTGTCTCAAAAAAAAAAAAAAAAAAAGTGAAGGCATGAACGCTGTAAAGAAGCACAGAAATGGCTGTAACTGAATGCTTCACAAAGTCTACGATTCAAAAACATACACTATCCTATAACAATCCTCTATTTATAATCTCTGAAAGTTTAAAGAAAGAAAACTTACTTAATGACATCAAAGAGATGAATTTCCGATCTACAGATGCAGTAAAACTCTTTATAACAGAGTTTTCGTCTTGTCCAAGTAAGAGTGTATATTTGGTTAAGATACGTGAGTTAAACATTTGCACGTAAGCAAAGTAATTTCCATGCTGCAAAAAAAAAAGGTTATTTTATAAATATTCCCATTTCAACCAAGTATTTTAACATATGTTAAAACCAGAAGTTGTCACCCCATTCTACTTACATCAATGAGTACTTAAAAACATCTTATGCTATCAAATTTGTTTGTTTTGAGACAGGGTCTTGCTCTGTGGCCCAGGCTGGGCTACCGTGGTGTGATCTCAGCTCATTGCAACCTCCACCTCCCAGGCTCAAGCAATCCTCCCACCTCGGCCTCCCAAATATCTGGGAATACAGGTGTGTGTTACCATGCTACACTATTTTTTTTTTTTTAATAGAGATGAGGTCACCACACCCAGCCTTAAATTTAAAAGGTCATAAAAAAGTTAGAGGCTGGGCTTGGTGGTTCACACCTGTAATACCAGCACTTTGGGAGGCCGCAGTCGGTGGATCACAAGGTCAGGAGTTCGAGACCAGCCTGACCAATATGGCAAAACCCTGTCTCTACTAAAAATACAAAAATTAGCCAGGAGTAGTGGTGGGCGCCTGTAGTCCCAGCTACTTGGGAGGCTGAGACAGGAGAATCGCTTGAACCCAGGAGGCAGAGGTTGCAGTGAGCCGAGATTGTGCCACTGTACTCCAACCTGGGTGACAGAGGGAGAATCGTCTCAAAAAAAAAAAAAAAAAAAAAAAAAAAAAAAAAAAAATTAGAGATCTTCTGAGAGAATAACGAAGTCACATTTTAGTTTAAAAAATAATGGTTTTGCGCCAGGCGCAGTGGCTCACGCCTGTAATCCCAGCACTTTGGGAGGCTGAGGTGGGTGGATCACCTGAGGTTGGGAGTTCAAGACCAGCCTGACCAACATGGAGAAACCCCGTCTCTACTAAAAATACAAAATTAGCTGGGCGTGGTGGTGCATGCCTGTAATCCCAGCTACTCGGGAGGCTGAGGCAGGAGAATCACTTGAACCCGGGAGGAGGAGGCTGCGGTGGGCTGAGATCGCACCATTGCTCTCCAGGCTGGGCAACAAGAACGAAACTCTATCTCAAAAAAAAAAAAAAAAAAAAAAAAGTTTTGAAATTTCACAGCTGGGCACAGTGGCTCACACCTGTAATTCCAGGACTTTGAAAGGCCAAGGCAGGAGGATCCCTTCAGCCCAAGGAGTTCGAGACCAGCCTGAGCAATACAGTGAGACCCTGTCTCTACAAAAAATAAAACATAAGCCAGGATGGTAGTGCATGCCTGTAGTCCCAGCTACGAGGCAACTCGGCAGGCTGAAGTGGGAGGACTGCTTGAGCCAGGAGGTTGAGGCTGCAGTGAACCATCGTGGCACCACTGCTCTCAAGCCTGGGTGACAGGGCAACACCCTGTCTCTAAATAAATTTTTTTTTTTTAAAGAAATTTCACAAAATGGGCCAGGAATTGAAGATATCACTTACTTTTTCAGTAATAAAAATTAAAACAGGATGTCTGAATACTACGAAAAACTTTGTCCATCTACAAAAAAAGAAAAAAGAAAAATTATAGGATGCAAAAATCACCAGCTGGGAGACACATATCAATCAAAATTTAATCAAAGTTTTCATTAAATATTTTTTAGAACCAGAAAGACATCAGAGAACACTTAATTGGGCGTTTTGAAACATATACCACAAGCAATACGCATTTGTCAAATGCAGCTCTGGATTAAATGCAGGTTATTGAACTCCCCAGATGATAATGTGAATTTTAAAGTTCTAAGAGGGGAGATGCAGTGCTTCCCAAACTTAAATTGACTCCCCTACCTCATTTTCTTCAGAGTTACTTTTGGGACTCGTGTTCTGAGGAAAACATTAAGATCTCAATATAGAGGAAGCTGAGGCATAGAGAAGTTACTGGCTGCACAGTTTGTGGCAAAGCAGCAACTAGAACTCAAATCCTCCAAGGATTTCCCTCACAACAGTTGCTCACACCTTAGAGGGATTCATCAGGTCAGTCTAATATATAACTGGTTATTGGCCACGTTGTAAGTACCAGTCTTCACTCTGACTTTTAGAAAATTAGTTTCTACCAGGTGGACCTGGAGAAAACAAGTAAAATGAACAGGAAATGTGATGAAATAAAGAGTATCAGAAAGATGTGGAATCATGAAGTGTCCTTCTATCCCTTGATGAGTCATTTTTCCAGTTTTATTTCAGAATCTGGGAAAGCAGAGGTCTTAATGCATCATGATTTCACTAACACGATGCACTTTTAGCCAGGGGACAAGGATGGGAGCTTGGTAGTCAGGGCAATATGAGAGGAACAAAAAGATTTTGGTCTTTTGGGATAACACATTTCATCCTCAAATAACTAAGTATCCAGTTCTGTCAAGACTTCATATGACTCTATGGTTTCTTCAATCTTCATGCCCAGAGGCTTTTTAGGATGTTGTTTTAGTCAGTGTTTTGTAAGTGATTTTTAATTAGGTTACTTTCATTATGTTTATAACCAAAATACTTTTGAACAAGGCAAAAAAATGTTCAGTGCATTTTTATTTTGATAAATTTACTTACAAGTACTGGAACTTACTTAATCACTTCTTCATCAGAGATAACAGTTTCAATTTTCTGCTGGGGGTCTGCAAGCAAGGCCTCTAAACCACGAACAGCACCTTCCTTGAAGAGCACCAAGGGTTCTGTCCCTTGCACTGAAAGTATCCTATATACTTCTGCTGACAACTGGAAGAACATAAAAAATTTTAATTTTTATTCTAAAACAATTTATACCTAATATAAGGATATTTAGAGAAGGCTTCTTTTTAAGTGACTGCTTTATTTTCATTTTGAATTAATTTTGCTTTATAATTATGTATGGTTCCAAAATCTAACCTACAACACAAAACACATTTAGAAGTCTTAACTTTTTCTCTTATCCTCTCTACCTAGTCCCTGCTTTAATCTGTAAATTCATTTTTGGTTTACCCGTTGTGACTACTAGAGGTTAGGCTAAAACCTGGGTTTCTTAAAACTGGGAAAGATACAGATAAGCCATTCATGCAGAGGTACATGCAATTCTGGTGTTAGATAAAAACTAATGCCACAATTGTAACTACAGCCTGCAATTCCAGAAAAAGAAGTTAACACCGTGTGTGAGGAAAACAACAAAAAAACCCCCACTGTTTAAAATTCAGGATTGTGTTATGAATTTCAAGGTAAATGAAAAGAATGGAGCCAGGGAACAGCACAGCTAGCTAGCTAGAAGTTTCAAGGATCCAGGCAACAACTGCATTATATCTGAATTAACCCTATTGTGAGCCACTTCTAAAATGTGCCAATTATATTTAGACATTTAGAACTGGAAAGAACTTTCAAGATTAACCTAGTTTAAGATCCTCATTTTATAAGTAAGAAAAAATGAACACACTCTAGGTCATCAGTAGAACATGCACAGCTAGTCATGTTTTTATTTTATTTTTTACTGTATTATGTGCCACTCTTCAAAATGTACAATACATGGGCCAGGCGCAGTGGCTCATGCCTGTAATCCCAGCACTTTGGGAGGCTGAGGTGGGTGGATCATCTGAGGTCAGGAGTTCAAGACCAGCCTGGCCAACATGGTGAAACCCTGTCTCTATTAAAAATACAAAATTAGCTGGACATGGTGGTGCATGCCTGTAATCCCAGCTACTCGGGAGGCTGAGGCAGGAGAATCGCTTGAACCCAGGAGGCGGAGGTTGCAGTGAGTCGAGATCGAGCCATTCCACTCCAGCCTGGGGGACAAGAGCGAAACTCCGTCTCAAAAAAAAAAAAAAAAAAGTACAATACACCAATACACGAAACTTGCAGGGTCTATTCTACCTATTCTAAGAAAGGGCACAGAAGTTCATTTTGCTCTCACAAAAGACACACTCCAAACATCCAAACTCATGGAAATAAGTATAAATTTCTCATTCATCAATTATATAAATCCTCATCTCCTTAACTCATGGAGACATGTTACCAAGATACATTGTAAGATAATTAGAATGAAAACCTGATTAGGACCTTATGCTTATTTTCCCAGAGGTATTAAAATAAATAACACATACTTTATTATGAATGATTCTAATTCACCAATAAGCTAAACAAATATGTTGGAAAATTCAAAGACTTACTGTAGCTTTAAATACTTTATCCAGGTTTACATCTTCATTATTCCATATTCTTAAAACCTTAAATCAAAACATACTAGTTAAAAACTATCCTATTCTCCATTTACATATAATAAATACAAATAGTTAATAATCAACATTTATATTGTATATATTATACAAAAGTTTTAAAACTCACCTTATTATCGTGTACAACAACATACTCTCCAGTTTGAAAGTTGCACACAGCTGGACATGTTATAATTTGACCTTGTTTCACTGACCAGCTCCCCAAGGGTTTCTGATCAGAAACCTAATGAAATTAAGATAAATACAATATTCAAGAAGTCAACTTCAAACATTAAAAGCAATTAAGTTTATAATCAATAAAAGAAACCATTAAAATGACAGCATTTAAAAAATTTACTGGCCGAGGGCAGTGGCTCACGCCTGTAATCCCAGCATTTTGAGAGGTCAAGGTGGGCAAATCACGAGGTCAGGAGTTCGAGACCAGCTTGACCAACATGGTGAAACCCTGTCTCTACTAAAAACACAAAAATTAGCCGGGCGTGGTGGCGTGCGCCTGTAACCCCAATTACTCAGGAGGCTGAGGCAGCAGAATCGCTTTAACTCGGGAGGTGGAGGTTGCAGTGGGCCGAGATCGTGCCACTGCGCTCCACCCACCTCGGCCTCCCAAACCTCTGGAATTACAAGCGCACCTCACCACGTTCGGCTAATTTTTGTATTTTTAGCAGAGACAGGATTTCACCATGTTGGCCAGGCTGGTCTCGAACTCCTGACCTCAAGTGATCCACCCACCTGGGCCTCCCGAAGTTCTGGGATTACAGGCGTGAACCACCGCGTCCGGCCAAACCTCTAAAAGGGTAGTTAAAATGAAAATATAACTAAGTTCCTAAATAAGTAAATAAGCAACCCTTTGTTAAAAAAACAATAGTACATTTAAAAATTGATTATATTATGCCTCTGCATGGGAAGTTATGCCTCTGAACAGCGGCATGGGAAATTAAGTAGGGACATCTGGGATCATGTCTATCCAATTCCAATCTGCCATTGTATTCCTATGCAGGAGCTGCAAAACTGCAAATCTACTTGACATCCCAAGTGAAACCCAATAGAGTTAGCAGAGTCAAAACGGCACAGGGAGCTGTTAGCAACCTGTTCTCAAAACGTCAAAGCAGATACCTAACTTCTTTAAAACATGGAAAACTATGTTCAGCAGCCCAGAGAAAAGTAACTGCTTTCTATGCGACCACCAAAAGCAAGGTTAGAAAGTGTTCTCTATCAGGCTTTAGGCTGAAATGGGGGCAGGGCTTGCAGATTTTCCCAGGACTCAACTCCAGGATTCCCAGCGTGAATCAGAGATGCCAACAGACAACTCACTTGGAGGCAAGATTCTTAGCGAGCTATCAAGAAAGTCCCTCACTCTCTAAAATTGTCCCCGCCCCTACAAAGAGAGGGGTGTGAAGTGTAGACACGGCTAAACCACTATTCCCACTCTGTCAGTGTCATCCTCTCCCGCCCAACCAATCTCCGTTCCATCCTCCCGCGGGCGGCTAAGATAATAAAGACCCTAGGAGGGAATCTTAGCAAGGCCAATTCCGCGAGTTCCGAAGCAAAAGCACAGGTTTTCTTTCTTTTCCGAGTCTAACCCACGTGCACTCAGACGCTCTGCCCCTGCAAGTCGGAAATATGCCTTTACAGGAAGGCAAGCAAGCCAGATTCCAGACCTCACTCAGCGTCCCCAACAGGCCCAGCCGGCTCTCTGCTAAGCCTTCTCCACGATCTCTTTCTGAAGCTGTGAGAAACTTGAGCTCGAGCTCCGCGCTCAGAAAGGGGCGAGAAGGCAGTCGGGGCGCTCCCAAACCTATTGCCTTCACCTTATAGAGGATGACTGTCCTGCCGCTGTCTGTCACTAGAAACTGGTCTGTTTTGTCGCTCTGCTCCACGCCTAGGAGTCCTTCAGGCCCGGCGCTCAGGACTACCGAAGACAACGTGAATTCTTCCTCCAGCGCTGCCATTTTGAGCAAACCTAAGTACGGCCGCGCTCACTCCCGGCAGGCCTCGCGCTTTCTCTCGCGAGAATGAACGGGCCTGAGGGGGCGAGTGCTTGCCAAACCAGGAACCTGCTCTCGCAGCCTGCGACCTCTGGCGGGCGGAAGGAGCGAGCGCGACTGTGAATTTAGCCAGGTGGGCTGGGCCGGCTTGCGTCAGACTCCGCCTCCCGAGACCACGCCTCGCCGAGTCCCGGATGTGCTCCAGGAAGGGATAGGGTAGGCGCGGAAGTGCTGCTTACTGGGTCCTGAATCGGCTGCGTGCTGTTCTAGGTGGGGACTTGAGAGACTGTAGATGGGTCTAGGGAGTGGTCGAATATAAATAAGCTAGATTTTTTTTTTTTTAATTGCAAGGGAACTCCCTAGGAATTCCATCCATGGCCTTGTGGAACGATCTGCCAAAGAAAAAATATTTATCTCTGTAGGTAAACTCCCAATAACGTGCTGTTCCTACGTGAAATGCTTAATTCCCCCCAAGTTTCTTGGAACCCTCTAGAGATCTCCAGTCTTTTCAGTCTTTCAGGCCTTCTGAGTTCTCTGACTCCCCTTCTCTGAGCCCCAGTGGGGAAAATCTCTCCTCAGCTTACAGGAAATTCAGACTAGTTTGATGAAGGTGAAGTTGAAGGTCCCCTGTGTGATTTTTGGCAAGGTTTTTATTTCCGGGAGAAATGTATGTTTCTCAGATAAGCATGGCAGATTCAATCAATAATGTTAAATAAATAAGTAAAGATAAATTGTGATGTTCTTAGGGAGAAACCATTTAATAGGCAATTACTAAACAAATGTACCCAGTGTGACAAAGTGCCTCAGTTTAGATTTAAGCATCCACCAGATCGCCATGTGTGTTGTTTCTCATTGCCCCAACATGACGACATGGGCAAAAGGAGAATATCCAGCTACTGTGAAGGAATCAAATGCAGTCTATTTTTATAATGCTAATAGGTCTTTTGTTGTTCAAAAGTAGTGGCATTATCATGGCTCACTGCAGCCTCTAACTCTTGGGCTAAATAAAGCAATCCTCCTGCTTCAGCCTCCCGAATAACTGGGACTACAGGCATCCATCACCACGCCCGGCTAATTTTTGTATTTTTTGCAGACATGGAGTCTTGCTTTGTTGCCCAAGGTGATCTTGAACTCTGATAATCTTTTAATTTTTAGGCTGGGTTGTGAGATCAAGAGGATATAGTTTATTATTATGCTTCATAACTTACTTTGTGATAGGTGGTAAGAAGAAAAACATTAAACTCAGAAGGGAGAGATAAAGCGTGGGTGTGTGGGGGAGGAAGGAGTGGTCTGTGTATGTGAAATTTTCACTAGGATGACCACAGGCCTCCTTGAGAGGATGTCTTTTTTTTTTTTTTTTTTTTTTTGAGACAGGGTCTTGCTCTGTCGCCCAGGCTGGAGTGACGCAGTCTCAACTCACTGCAATCTCTGCTTCCCGGATTTAAGCTATCCTCCCACCTCAGCCTCCCGAGTACCTGGGACTACAGACATGCACCACCATGCCCGGCTAATTTTTGTATTTTTTGTAAAGATGGGGTTTCACCGTATTGCCCAAGCTGACCTTGAATTCCTGGGCTGAAATGACCCTCCCCCCTTGGCCTCCTAGAGTGCTGGGATTACAGAGCCACAGTGCCTGGCCCAAGGGTATCTTTTGAGGATGGCATGAAGGAGGGGAGGGAGCGATCATGCAGTTAACTAGGGGAGGGAGCGATCATGCAGTTAACTAAGAGCATTCTCAGTAGCAAGTGCGCCTGGGGCACCAACAGGGAGATTCCCTAGAAGTCTATCGCAGTTATTGTAGTTACCAGGTGAGAGGTGATGAGGGCACCATCAGTAGCAAGGCTTTTCTTTCTTTCTTTCTTTTTTCTTTTTTGAGGCGGAGTCTTGCACTGTAGCCCAGGCTGGAGTGCAGTGGCGCAATCTCGGCTCACTGCAAGCTCTGCGCCCCGGGTTCACGCCATTCCCCTGCCTCAGCCTCCTGAGCTGGGACTACAGGCGCCCGCCACCATGCCCGGCTGACTTGTTTGTATTTTTAGTAGAGACAGGGTTTCACCTTGTTAGCCAGGATGGTCTCGATCCCCTGACCTCGTGATTCGCCCGCCTCGGCCTCCCAAAGTGCTGGGATTACAGGCGTGAGCCACTGCGCCCAGCCTTTTTTTTTCTTTTTTGAGACAGAGGTTCACTCTTGTCACGAAGGCTGGAGTGCAATGGCACAATCTCGGCTCTCTGCAACCTGCAACCTCTGCCCCCCGGGTTCAAGCGATTCTCCTGTCTCAGCCTCCCGAGTAGCTGGGATTAGAGGCACCCACCCCACACCTGGCTAATTTTTGTATTTTTAGTAGAGACGGGGTTTCACCATGTTGGCCAGGTTGGTCTCGAACTCCTGACCTCAGGTGATCCACCCGCCTCAGCCTCCCAAAGTGCTGGGATTACAGGCCTGAGCCACCGCGCCCGGCCACTTCACATTTTCGTATTCATGGCACCAGCAATTGTCTGTGATCCATACAAAGAGCTTAATACACGTTTGTTGAATAAGTCACACTTAACGTTGCAAGCTAGGATAATAAATAGAACGTGGACTTGATCCATTAAGGGAAAGTAAGACTTCCTGGTTGAGAAAGCTGGAACTGTGCTTGCATATTCGTCTGTAAATTTGAGTCTAAGTTTGGTAAACTATTAAAGGAGATTACAATCCTTTCTGGAAAGGACACCAGCTATAATAAGGGAACTAGGAGTCTTCTGCAACCAAGCCTAAGCTAGGAACGGGTCAGGAGGCGTTCCACTTCCAATGTGCATCCATCAAGGTCAATGAGCAAGAAGAGGGTCTGGCTATCCCTCACTGGTTAGAGACATTTAAGGCTGGTCTTCAAAGGCAGCTGTGACCCTGTGCATTTTACTGTGTGTTGTGGATGTTCTCTCTGGATTGTTTGTCATGTTTATGCTGCTTGGCTGCCTAGCTGTGAAGACTGGGGGAAGATATTGCCTCTCACATTCAATTCCTAGAATAGAATCAGATGATAAATATACAATGAATGAGTCTAAATATATAATGGGTAGGAAGGGAAGCCTGCTCACATTCAAAAGGGAGGATGTTACCCATTAGAAATTTGTCATGGAAGGTTGACAGCTGGTGACGTGTACATTGCATGAATGGGGTACAGTAAGTGCTTCATCAAAGGAATATTCGTAGAAGGACCATTCAGCAAAGAAAGTGAATGGTAGATATTTGTATGCCACCAAATCTCTATATTATTTGAAAGTTGTGGTGATTCTTAAATAAGATCTGAGATACTCTAAGATATGTTTTTCGGTTTCAGAAACTCAAAAAACCTTTGCGGTAAATGTTCAGACCATAGCAAATAATTGAACAATATTACCAGAATTTAGGCATATGCCCCTGAAGAAGTTTTCTGCCCAGCAAAAATCAGAGAGAGAGAGGAAGAATCTAAGATCTTTGTCATCCTTTGGGGCATACATTTCAACCTAATGTTAGCGCCCTCCCGGTGGTGCCAAAACCCAATGAGTATATTTTAAATTTTTTTATTGTGCTAAAATGTACGTAACATAAAATTGCCATTTTAACCTTTTTAGCAACTTTTGTTTTGTTTTGTTTTTTGTATTTTTAGTAAAGACACGGGTTTCACCATGTTGGCCAGGATAGTCTCGATCTCCTGACCTCGTGATCCGCCCGCCTCGGCCTCCCAAAGACTTCCACACCTGGGATTACAGGCATGAGCCGCCGCACCTGGCCTGTTTTTTTTGTTTGTTTGTTTTTTTGTTTTTTTTTTTTTTAAAGAGACAGGGTCTTGCCACGTTGTCCAGGCTGGTCTTGAACTCCTGGGCTCAAGTGATCCTCCTGCCTTGGCCTTCCCAGTAGCTGGGATTACAAGCGTGAGCCACGGCACCAGGCTCTTAACCTTCTTTTTTTTTTTGAGACTGAGTCTCACTCTGCCACCCAGGCTGCAGTGCAATGGCACTATCTCGGCTCACTGCAACCTCCTCCTCCCAGGTTCAAGCAATTCTTGTGCCTCAGCCTCCCGAGTAGCTGGGATTACAGGTGCCCGCCACCACGTCCAGCTAATTTTTGTATTTTTACTAGAGACAGGGTTTTGCCATATTGGCCAGGATGGTCTCGAACCCCTGACCTCAAGTGATCCACCCACCTGGGTCTCTCCAAGTGCTGGGATTACAGGCGTGAGTCACCAGACCCGGCCTTTTAACCATTTTTAAGTGTGCAGTTCTATGGCATGAAGTACATTCACACTGTGTTGCAACCACACCATTCATCTCTGGAACATTTTCATCTTCCCAGACTGAACCCATTAAACAATAACTCTCCATTCCCCCTTCTGCAGCCCCTGGTAATCACTATTCTACTTTCTGTCTCTCTGAATTTAAATACCATAGCTCAGATAAATGGAATCATTAAATATTTGTCCTTTTATGTCTGGCTTATTTCACTTAGCACAACATCTTCAAGGTTCATCCTGTTGTAGCATGTGTCAGAATTTCCTTCCTTTTAAAGACTGACTAATATTCCGTTGAATGGATATACCACATTTTGCTCCTCCATTCTTCCATTCATGGACAGTTGGATTGCTTCCTCTTGGCTATTGTGAATAACGCTGCTATGAACATGGGTATACAAATATCCCCTTGAGATCGTGCTTTGTTTTTTTTTGCTATATAACCAGAAGTAGAATAGCTGGATCACACAGTGATTCTGTTTTTAATTTTTTGAGGAAACACCATGCTGTTTTGCACAGCAGCTGCACAATTTTACATTTCCGTCAGAAGTACACAAGGGTTCCAGTTTCTCCATATCCTCACTAACAATTGTTATTTTATGTTTGTTTGTTTGGTTTTTTTGAGATGGAGCCTTGCTCCGTCACCCAGGCTGGAGCGCAGTGGCGCGATCTCGGCTCACTGCAACCTCCGCCTCCCAGGTTCAAGCGAGTCTCCTGCCTCAGCCTCCCAAGGAGCTGGGATTACAGGCATCTGCCACCACACCCAGCTAATTTTTGCATTTTTAGTAGACCATGAGCACGAGGTCAGGAGATCAAGACCATGTTGGCCAGGATGGTCTTGATCTCCTGACCTCGTGATCTCCCTGCCTCAGCCTCCCAAAGTAATGGGATTACAGGCGTGAGCCACTGCGCCTGGCCTAAAAAAAAAAAAAAAAAAAAAAAAAAAAAGTTTTAAGCTAAGGTCTGATTTCTGTTTTGAAAGGATCACGCTGGCTCTCAAGCAGAGAATAGCTCATAGGGGATAAAAAGCAGAAGCAGAAATACCAATTTTGAGGATACAAGAGATAGTGGCTTGTGGTAGGTGGTGATAGCGGAGATAGGGAAAAGTGGATCAATTCAGGATGTGATTTGGAGGGAGAGTTGACAGGGTGGCAGATGGGTTGAGTGTGATGGTGAGAGGGAGGGAGGAATCAAAGGCATGTTCTGCACATTTACCTTGAGTGACCAGGTGGATTGGGGTGTTCCCTACTGAAATGGGGAAGTCTAGGCAGGGGAGTAGCACATTTGCAAGGGTTGTTTGGAGAAGCCATACCCAAATTTCTATTTTGGCTGTGTTAAGTGAGATGCCAAATAAGCTGTATCCCATATGATGCTGGAGTTCCTGGCAGAGCCCAGGCGGGTGATATAGATTGAGGTATCATTGGCACATGATAGGAATATAAAGCAGTGGGACTGGAGTAGGTTGCCAAGTACTGTGGATTTTATCTTCTAAATATAGCTCAACCTGTCTACCTCTCTCCTTCTCCACTGGCCCCGCCCCCATTCCCAGTCCCATCTCTTTCTTGGACCGCAATAATTGCTTCCTGGTCTCCCTGCTTCTTTGTTGCCTTCTTCCAATCTGTAGCCAGTATGATCTATTAAAATTCAAATCCGATTATTCCACTCCCTGCTTAAAACCCTTTAATACCTTATTCTCAGGATATGAGCAAAATCAAATCCTTACCTTGACCTACAAATAGGGTTGCCAAGTAGAATACGGGATGCCCAGTTAATCTGAATTTCAGATAATAAATTTTATTTATCTATCTATCTATCTATTTATATATTTTTTTGAGACAGAGTCTCGCTTTGTCACCTAGGCTGGAGTACAGTGGTGCAATCTCGGTTCACTGCAACCTCTGCCTCCCAGGCTCAAGCAATTCTCTCACCTCAGCCTCCCAAGTAGCTGGGATTATAGGCACTTGCCACCACAACCTGGCTAATTTTTGTATTTTTAGTAGAGACAGGATTTCACCATGTTGGCCAGGCTGGTTTCGAACTCCTGACCTCAAGTGATCCACCCACCTCGGCCTTCCAAAGTGCTGGGATTACAGGCATGAGCCACCACACTCAGCTGATAGTGAGTACTTTTTTATTTTTAGGTATGTCCTATGCAATTATTCATTGTTTATCTGAAATTAAATTTGACCTGGCATCTTGTATTTTTATTTGCTAAACCACAAGGGCTTTGTAAGATCTAGCCCCTACCCTTCTTTCCTGGCTCATCCCTCATCAGACATCTCTTGTCCTCTTTCTCAAGCCATATTCTTCAGAACCTGGAACAGGCTATGCCCACCCCCCTCACCTCTGTGCCCATGCTATTTCCTTTCCTGCTTCATCTAGCTGCCACTTGTCTTTCAGATCACAGCTTCTGCTGAACAGCCCTCTTTTCTTATGGTATATGCTGTCCTAGCATGATGTAACATTCCTTCATTGACCTGTATGAAGTTGCAACTACACATTTGTGTGACTATATAATTATTATTTATCATTTCTACTACACTCTGAGGTCAGATTTTTTTAATTTTTAATTTTTTTATTTTTTGATACGGAGTTTCACTCTTGTTGCCCAGGCCGGAGTACAATGGCAGGATCTCAGCTCAGTGCAACCTCCACCTCCCGGGTTTAAGCAATTCTCCTGCCTCAGCCTCCCAAGTAGCTGGGATTACAGGTGCACGTCAGGCTAATTTTTGTATTTTTAGTAGAGATGGGGTTTCACCATATTGGTCAGCCTGGTCTCAAACACTGAGATCACTGACCTCAAGTGATCTACCCGCCTCGGCCTCCCAAAGTGCTGGGATTACAGGTGTGAGCCACTGTGCCAGGCCCTAGATTTATTTTTGATCACTTTTGTACCATTCTCCTAGTGTCTGGTACATGTTAGGCACTGTCGAAGGAAGGAAGCGAGGAAGGGAGGAAGAGAGGGAAGGGAGAAAAGAAAAAAAAGTAAAAGATGAAAATACCCGATTATAGAATAAGTTCTATCAGGACCAGAATGAGGAATGAGGATTAAAGCAGAAATTGGCCCTGAGAGCCAATTCACAGGGAGGGCGCAGAGGGAATGCAGGCTGAAGGTAAAGCCCCCAGTTCAGCCTAGGAGGAGAGTAACTTGATATTTTGTCCCGATATGTTGGGGGTGAGACTGAAGAAGTTTGAGGCTGTCTAAACACCTTCTTTTTTTTTTTTTTTGAAATGGAGCCTCGCTGTGTCACCCAGGCTGGAGTGAAGAGGTGCGATCTCGGCTCACTGCAACCTCCGCCTCCTGGATTCAAGCATCAGCCTCCCTAGAAGCTGGGATTATGGGTGCCGGCCATCACACCTGGCTATTATTTGTACTTTTAGTAGAGATGGGGTTTCGCCATGTTGGCCAGGCTGGTCTCGAACACCTGACCTCAAGTGACGCACCTGCCTTGGCCTCCCAAAGTGCTGGGATTACAGGCACGGGCCATCGTGCCCGGCCTTGCTTAAATACCTTCTACCCCTAAACTCTATTAGGTGTGGCAAACGGGGGTGGGCACTGGTGAGTGTGTTTATGGAACTGCTGCCTGAAGAAAAGCTCAGGTGGGTCTGGGCTCGGCTCCTGTTCAACTCTGTGGGAATCCTTCACCTTCATGTCCCCAGCAGGAGCCAGCAGGAGGGTGCATGTGGATGGAAGACAACGGATGCACCTAAAGCCCTCCTTCTCAACCAGCCCTGCAAATAAATCGGTCCTATTCTTCACCTAAATGTCTAGTTGACTACCTTTTTTTTTTGTATAAATGTATTTTTATAAATTGCTTAAGTTTTGTCTTAGCAATCAAGGGAGTAGAAAAGTAGCGAGACATTTGGTGCCATTGACACACACATCTCCAATTCTCTGCTAAAATTTTTTTGGAGGTGGTGCTGTCTTCATGGCAAATGTTAGCTATATCTAGATTTTTTTTAAATGTAAATTTTAATATTTGGAAATAAGAAGAATGGCTACATATGTTCATAAAGCTTTGTAGTTTATGTAGTATTTTCATGTCAAGAAATTTTTTTTCTGGAATTAAATTTAATTCAATTCCAGTAAAATTAAATTTATTGTCTCCAAAAAAAGGTGACTTCTTTCCTGAAGTATATCCAATTAGTAGCTATCAATGCTATTAAAAACCTGCTATTAAAAACTGGTGGTTTGGCTGGGCGCCGTGGCTCACGTCTGTAATCCCAGTACTTTGGGAGGCCAAGGCAGGCGGGTCACGAGGTCAGGAGATTGAGACCATCCTAGCTAGTATGGTGAAACCCCATCTCTACTAAAAATACAAAAAAGTAGCCGGGCGTGCTGGCACGCACCTGTAATCCCAGCTACTCAGGAGGCTGAGGCAGGAGAATTGCTTGAACCCCGGAGGCAGAGGTTGCAGTGAGCCGAGATCGCCCACTGCACTCCAGCCTGGACGACAGAGCGAGACTCCGTCTCAGAACAAAACAAAACAACAACAACAAAAAACTGGTGGCTCAGGCCTATAATCCCAGCACTTTGGGAGGCTGAAGTGGGAGGACTGCTTGAAGCCAGGAGTTCAAAATCAGCCTGGGTTTTGTTATCAAGACCCCATCTCTACAAAAAATTTTTTAATTTAAATTAGCTGAGTGAGGTGCTGTGTGCCTATAGTCCTATACCCAGGAGGCTGAGGCAGGAGGATCACTGGAGCCCAGGAGTCCAAGGTTACAGTGAGCTATGAAGGCACCACTACACTCTAGCATCATTGGTGACAGAGCGAGAACCCGTCTCAGCAAAACAAAATGATACACTCATAAAAGAGCTGTGTTTCTGAAGGTGGTTTGAAACTAGTTGTTTTGAACTCAGATGGTATTTTCTCGGTGGCAGTGCTGAGCAGGGAAACTAGGCTCTCAGCTCAGCCAGTAAACCTGCCTAGTGCAGCTAAAGGCTGATCAATACCGCCTTCACATTTGCATTGGAAAGCCCAGTGGCCATGGTTCAACAGGAACACATTTTTAGAGTTTCCACTTGGGTTATCAGGAAAACATCTTTATCTGCTGGAAACTAGATAAGGAGAGGTGGCTCCGCCTGTCCCCCTGGAGGCGAGGAAACCACAGAAAAGCCAGGAGTGGAGAGGTGAGTTTGAGGGTAATTGTTGGAGACCCAGTGTCAGGCATTATGGTGGCTGAGATCATGGTTAAGGAGCCATTGTGTGGATGGGTCATTAATAACTCAGATGAGTGAGTTGGAGACCACCTATTGTTAGAGGAAAGTAAAAAAGCAAAGGCCTAAAATTGGGAGGCAAGAGAAGAATATTATGTGAAATCTTAGAGGTCCCTTTGATGGCTGTCAGTGCTCCCTCTGAGAAGAAAGGCTCTCAGATTGTCCCTTAAGGAAACTTGGAGCTATTCTACTGTTTTTTTGTTTGTTTATTTGTTTGTTTGTTTGTTTTTGACACAGGGTGTTGCTCTGTCACCCAGGCTGGAGCGCAGTGACCCAGACACAGCTCACTGCAGCCTCAACCTCCCTGGCTCAAATAATCCTCCCATCTCAGCCTCCTGGGTAGCTGGGACTACTGGTGTGCTCCACCATGCCCAGCTAATAAAAAAAAAAATTTTTGGTAGAGACTATGTCTCCCTATATTGCCCAGGCTGATCTCAAAAGTCCTGAGCTCAAGTGATCCTCCTGCCTCAGACTCCAAGTGCTGGGATTACAGGTGTGAGCTACTGCGCCAGGCCTGGTATTTTACTTTTTAAACCATCTTTCCTTGGTTTTCATTTAAAGCATCAAGAAAGGTGCATGGGGAGGGGAAAAAGAGTCTATCCAAAACACTGAAAATAATTGATTCATATTTGGATCCAGAATGGAAGATGCTTGCTTTCAAAGATAAGTATGCTTCTCGGGGTATGTTTGGTTTAATCTTATATAAAAGGAATTACCAAAGAGTTTCAGTGAGGCTGTGGTAGATATTGTTTAGCAAATCCAATTAACAAAATGTTGGCCTCTGTGTATTAACCAGATCTGTCTCAAAAGTCGTCCATCAGCTTGGCAAGGGTGTTTTGTCATATGCTAAAAAGCTTTTGCATTTAGATGCAAATTAGATCTAGTATATCAGAAAAAAGAGAAGCTTTTGACATTTTTATATTCTGACAATAACAGGTCATGTTACTTAAAAGAATCTGAGTATAAAACACTATTGACCCACCAGATGATCTGAAATTAGCCAGTTTTGTGTGTGTGTGTGTGTATTTAATGATCTAAGCACCCTCATTTAGTTGTCTTTAAAGGAGTAAAACGTAATTATTTTTACAACTTGCATGCATGAAAACAAAGGAGGTTTTGCAGGTCTGACTTCATTTGTACAGTTCTTTTCAAACAGAAACATATTTTACCTTATTCTTATTTTTTTTATTTTTTATTTTTATTTTTGAGCAGGGTCTTGCTCTGTCTCCCGGGCTGGAGTGCAGTGGCACCATCTCAGCTCACTGCAACCTCTGCCTTCCGGGTTAAGTGATTCTTGTGCCTGAGCCTCTCAAGTAGCTGGGATTAGGAGTGCGCCACCACACCCAGCTAATGTTTGTATTTTTTAGTAGAGATGGGTTTCACCATGTTGGCCTGGTCTCGAACTCCCGGACTCAGGTGATCTGCCTGCCTCAGCATCCCAAAGTGCTAGAACTACAGACGTGAGCCATCGTGCCTGGACTATTTTTGTTTTTTTTTAAATTTTTTATTTATTTATATTTTTTTGAGACGGAGTCTTGCTCTGTTGCCTATGCTGGAGTGCAGTGGCATGATCTCAGCTCACTGCAACCTCTGCCTCCCAGGCTCAAGCGATTCTCCTGACTCAGCTTCCCAAGTAGCTGGGATTACAGGCACCTGCCACCACACCTGGCTAATTTTTGTATTTTTAGTAGAGACGGGGTTTCGCCATGATGACCAGGCTGGTCTTGAACTCCTGACCTCGTGATCTGCCCATCTTGGCCTTCAAAGTGCTGGGATTACAAGCGTGAGCCACCGCGCCCAGCCTATTCTTATTTTAAAAAGGAGCTTCATGTACTGATGGAGCACTAGGAAAGGTCACCTGCTCTTTCTCATAGAGCTTCTGTTTATTTATTTATTTTTTAGAAACAAGGTCTTGCTGTGTGTCCCAGGCTAGAGTGCAGTGGTGCAATCATAGTACACTGCAGCTTTGAACTCCTGGGCTCAAGCGATCTTCTTACCTTAGCCTCCTGAGTAGCTGCGACTACAGGCGCATGCCACCATGTTTGGCTAATTTTTAAACTTTTTGTAGAGATGAGGTCTCACTATGTTGCCCAGGCTGCTCTCAAACTCCTGAGCTCAAGTAATCCTCCTGCCTTGGCTCCCCAAAGTGCTGGGATTACAGGCATGAGCCACTGCACTCGGCCTAGAGCTACTGTTGAAATTTGCCTGTGCATTCTATTTTTCTCAGGATTTTTCAGCCGCAGCTTCCATCACCTACTGACAATCTTATTTTTACATATTTGTCATTCAGATTTAATATATGCCACCTGTTATTAATGGTAGTGTTGCTACAGTTGAAGAAACAAAGGCTCAGAGGGATGAAGTCACTTGTCCAGCATCACACAGCATTAGAAAAATGTCTGTTGTCTAATAACTAGAAAAGGTCTGGTTGGGTATGCTGGCTCATGCCTATAATATCAGCACTTTGAGAAGCCAAGGTGGGAGGATCACTTGAGCCTAGGAATTCGAGACCAGCCTAGGCAATATGGTGACACCCAGTCTCTACAAAAATTAAAAAAATTAGCCAGGTGTGGTGGCCCTTGCTTGTGGTCCCAGCTATTCAGGAGGCTGACGTGGTAGAATAGCTTGAGCCCAGGAGGGTGAGGTCACAGTGAGCTATGTTTGTGCCACTGCACTCCAGCCTGGGTGACAGAGCGAGACCCTGTCTCAAAAGAAAAAAAATAAAAACAAGGAAATATCTGTTTTCTAATAATTAGAGAACTTCTGCTTACTAGTGCTGCACTCCTATAGTTTGGTTTGTTTGTTCCTTCCAAATCTCATGTTGAATTTTTTTTTTTTTTTTTGAGATGGAGTCTTGCTCTGTTGCCTAGGCTGGAGTGCAATGGCGCAATCTCAGCTCACTGCAACCTCTGCCTCCCAAGTTCAATCGATTCTCCTGCCTCAGCCTCCCGAGTAGCTGGGATTATAGGCATATGCTGCTGCACCTGGTTAATTTTTGTATTTTTAGTAGAGACAGGGTTTCACCATGTTGGCCAGGCTGGTCTTGAACTCCTGACCTCAAGTGATCTGCCCGCCAAGCCCTCCCAAAGTGCTGGGATTACAGGGGTGAGCCACCACACCAGGACTTCATGTTGAAATTTGATCCCCTGTGTTGGCAATGGGGCCTAATGGGAGGTATTTGGGTCATGGGGGTGGATCCCACATGAATTCTGGCTTGGCGCTATCCTTGTGATCACAAGTGAGTTCTCCTTCCATTACTTCCTTCCAGAGCTGGTTGTTGAAGAGTCCATAGTCTCCCACTTCTTTTGCTTCCTCTCTCACCATGTGACCTGCACAGGCTGGCTCCTCTTCACTTTCCACCGTGAGTGGAAGCAGCCTGAGGCCTCACCAGAAGCAGATGCTGGTGCCATGCTTTTTGTACAGCCTGCAGAACCGTGAGCTTATAAACCGTGGGTTTATAAATTACCCAGTCTCCAGTAGTCCTTTATAGCAACACTAAATAGATTAAGATAAGCAAACTGTACAGTATGTTTACTGGCTTATAGGATTTCCCTCTTCCCATAAAATAAGACTTTAAAATGTTTGATGCATGCTATAACATGGATGAACCTTGAAAACATTATGCTAAGTGAAGTAAGACAGACACAAAAGGACACATATTACAGGATTCCACTTACATGAGTGATATGGTTTGGCTGTGTCCCCACCCAAATCTCATCTTGAATTGTAGCTTCCATAATTCCCACGTGTTGTGGGAAGGACCTGGTGGGAGGTAATCGAATCATGGGGGTGGGTTATTCCCGTGCTGTGCTCATAATAGTGAATAAGTCTCAGGAGAGCTAATGGTTTTATAAGGGGGAGTTCCCCTGCACCGCTCTCTTGCCTGCCATCATGTAAGATGTGCCTTTCTCCTCTTTGCCTTCCACCATGATTGTGAGGCCTCCCCAGCCATGTGTAACCGTGAGTCAATTAAACCTCTTTCCTTTATAAATTACCTAGTCTCAGGTATGTCTTTATTAGCAGTGTGAGAACAGACTAATACAATGAGGTACAGAATAGGCAAAATTGCAGAGACAGAAAGTAGAATAGAGGCTTTTGGGGGCTGGGAGGAGGGCAGGATGGGGACTTATTACTTAATGGGCACAGAGTTTCTGTTTAAGATGATGAAAAAGTTCTGAAAATGAATAGTGGTGGCTGGGTATGGTGGCACACACCTGTAATCCCAGCACTTTGGGAGGCTGGGGTGGGAGGATCACTTGAGGTCAGGAGTTTGAGACCAGCCTGGCCAACATGGCGAAACCCTGTCTCTATAGAAAATTAGTTGGGTATGGTGGTGCACATCTGTAATCCCAGCTACTTGGGAGGCTGAGGCAGAAGAATTGCTTGAACCCTGGAGGTGGAGGTTGCAGTGAGCTGATTGTGCCACTGCACCCCAGCCTGGGTGACAGAGTGAGACTGTGTCTCAAAAAAAGAAAAAAAAAAAGATAATGGTGATGGCTGCACAACATTGTGAATGTAGTTAATGCCACTGAATTATATACTTAAAAATGGCTACTATGCGGCCGGGTGTGGTGGCTCACACCTGTAATCCCAGCACTTTGGGAGGCCAAGATGGGTTGATCACCTGAGGTCAGGAGTTCGAGACCATCCTGGCCAACATGGTGAAACCCCATCTCTACCAAAATACAAAAATTAGCCGAGCGTGGTGGTGTGTGCCTGTAATCCCAGCTACTCGGGAGGCTGAGGCGGGAGAATTGCTTGCATCCTGGAGGCAGAGGTTGCAGTGAGCCAAGATCGCGCCATTGCACGCCAGCCTGGGCAACAGAGGGAGACTCTGTCTCAAAACGCTAATATGATAGTGAATAAGTCTCATGAGAGATTTATAATACATAATATACACAAATTGCGTATACTTAAATATACATAAATTGTATGTTATGTATATTTTACAATAAAAATATTTAATTGAAATTTAATTTTAAAATTAAATTTAAATGCCCCCCAAAATGTTTGAGAGTTGTGATGAATATGTTAGAAAGTAGCAGAAAAAAAATTGAGGTGGCTGTTTGCCTCTGTGAAAATTTTTTCGTTTTTGAAAGTAAAGATTTTGGGAGATTGGGGTAAGGGATGGCAGCATGAGAGAGTCTTGTAGTGATGGAACAGTTCTGTATCTTAAATGTAGTGATAGCTGCATGAGGCTATATTGATGAGGAAATTGCATAGAACTACATGCATACACATGCGTACACACACACACACACACACACACAAACACACACACACACAAATGACTGCATGTAACTTGGTGAAATTTTTTTTTTGAGACAGGGTCTTGCTCTGTTGCCCAGGCTAGAGTGCAGTGGTGTAATCTCAGCTCACTGCAACCTCTGCCTCCCAGGCTTAAGTGATTCTGCCACCTCAGCCTCCCACGTAGCTGTGACTACAGGCACGCACTACCGCGCCTAGCCAATATTTTTGTACTTTTTGTAGAGACGGGGTTTCACCATGTTGCCCAGGCTGGTCTTGAACTCCTGGGCTCGTGATCCGCCTACCTTGGCCTCCAAAAGTGCTAGGATTACAGCAGTGAGCCACCGTGCCTGCCCATGGTGAAATCTTCATAAGCTCTATGAATTGTACCAATGTCAACTCCCTGGTTGTGATGTACTATTGGTTTTTTTTTTTTTTGAGACAGAGTCTCACTCTTTCGCCCAGGTTGGAGTGCAGTGGTGCAATCTCAGCTCACTGCAACCTCCACCTCCTGGATTCAAGCGATTCTCTTGCCTCAGCTTCCCAAGTAGCTGGGATTACAGGCACCTGCCACCATGCCTGGCTAATTTTTTTGTATTTTTGGTAAAGACAGGGTTTTCACCATGTTGGCCAGTCTGGTCTTGAACTCCTGACCTCAAGTGATCTGCCCGCCTTGGCCTCCCAAAGTGCTGAGATTACAGGCATGAGCCACCAGGCCCGGCTGGTGTACTACTAGTTATACAAGATGTTATCATTAGGGGAGGCCGGGTGAAGGGTGTACAGGCCATCCTGTATACTTCTTTGTAACTTCCTGTGAATCTATAATTATCTCAAAATAATTAAAATAAACACCCAACACTGACAATAAAACAGTAAACACTGGGCCGGGTGAGGTGGCTCACACCTGTAATCCCAGCATTTTGCGGGGGCCGAGGCAGGTGGATCACTTGAGGCCAGGAGTTCGAGACCAGCCTGGCTAACACGGTGAATCCCTGTCTCTAATAAAAAATACAAAAATTAGCTGGGCGTGGTGGCAGGCACCTGTAATCCCAGCTACTTAGAGGCTGAGGCAGGAGAATCACTTGAACTCGGGAGTTGGAGGTTACTATGTGCTGAGATCATGTCACTGTACTCCAGCCAGGGATACAGAGCGAGAATCCATCTCAAAAAAAAAAAAAAAAAAAAAGTAAACACTGCAGTCAGATTCCAAACTAACTTGAGTGTAAATTTTATACCTGGTCCTCGTTATGTATGAGAAATGAGCATAGTACTCTCCTGGTGGAGAATTCTCTATTCCTCAGGAATGGCTTGCGCGTGGCTGAAAAGGGTGCTATGTACCAACTGTTTCTTCTCTTTTTTGGAGCACATGTGTGATCTGTCATCACGTTGCTTCCCGAGAAGTTAAATCAAAGACTTAGGAGGGACTCTGCTTTGTCCTTACCAAGGTTCTGCTAGAATTTGGGAATCACTGATTCTAAAATAACAGTAAGAGAGCTGGAGTTTTTTTTTCTTTTCTTTTTTCTTTCTTTCTTTTTTTTTTTTTAACTGATTCCTTCTTGGTAAAAAAAAAAAAAAAAGCAAAAACCCAAAAACTTGTTGGCACGTATATGGTGGTTTTCAGGAAAACCTCAAATAAAAAGATGCATTCAATGTTTGTTATCCCTGAAAGTGTGAAAACAAAATGACTTAGAATTGATGTTTGTTTATTCAATTAAATGCAGTTCCTTATGCTCAAGTTAGGCTTTTGTTTCTGTAGTAGCCAGTCAAATGTTTCTACAGTTTGCTAGCTAGGCTGGAGAAGGCACTGAACATTTAAATAATTCGGAGAGCTTCTTTGTGTCTGGGCTCTCCCTTCATCACATGACTACCCAAAATAAGGATATTTGACCTATTAATACTTTAACAAAAGACTTGTATGGAAATTGGATGCTGGCAATTGCTTAATAAGTTGAGACTGGTGAACTTTTACAATGGCAAATACTTGTTTAAAGAGACACATGTTCTCACTCACATATTGTCAGTGGAATTGTAAATTGGTATAATTTTCTTTGGAGGGGATGTTGGCAGTAAGGACCCAAAAGTCAGGAAAATACTTACATCCTTTGACCCAGTAATTCAATTTCTGGGAATTTATCCAGAACAAATAATTAAAAAGAAGACATAAGCTATGTTGCAAAGATGTTCCTAATGGCACTGTATATAATAACAAAATCTGGAACATAACCTAAATGCTAAATAATAAAGGAATGTTTAAGTAAGTTACTGATTTTCAACCCAATGGAATATTATATAGCTATGAAAAATGATAAACATGCTATGTACCAAATGTAAAGGTGTTTATAAAACAATTCAATATCCTCAAAGCATTTTGTAGAAAGACAGGCATGTACGGATTATGCTCTACAGAAAAATTCTAAAGTACTTAAGGTGAAAAGTCACATTCTTGGATTTATATAATAAGATTTTTAGCAAAATGCAAAGAAATACAGTTAACTGTAAGATGACAGTGGGAAAATTTAAACTTGTAGAATCTTTGTAAATTTTCAAGTTGTATTCTGAGAAAAGACAAAATATGCATTCAGTACTGTTGACTGACTGCACAGAGAAAGCAGCAAGCTGTCTCTGAACACTCTGAATATAATCACTGGTATGCTTAAGAGCACAAAATGATTCTCAAGGGTTGCTAATGAGCTGTAAACTGCCAGCATCTTGCCTGTGGAATCTCTTGGGAGCAAGAAAGTTATTTTGGAATGATTTTTTTTTAAAAAATCACAGAAGTCCAGATTTGGCCACCCTCAAATACGCTCCAGGGACAAAGCGGTCAAAACTCCCTTCTACAAAAGCTAAAGGAGGGGAAATGATGGCCCTGTCTTTTGTGTCTGCTTACAGTGCGGAAAGTTGGTACTTACAGTTAAACATAATTAGCCCTTAAATCCCAGGTGCTTAATTCAGCCCGTTAATGTTGCTTCACTGAATGGCTGATTCAGTAGGTTTCTGAGGCTGTGTCGTTTCTTTGGCCACAGGCTAGCTCCATTCCTCAGTGCTGGGAACAGAGCAAAAGCATTAAGGCAAAGTCCCAGCCTGCTTCCAACTTTCCCAGGAGCAGGGAAGCACTTGAAGATTTGGATTTGAGTGGGATATCCTACTAGGTTGCATACTATGGAAAAAGGAGGATTTATGGGAGGATGAAATGTCAGGGGGCAGGTACATTAGGCAGAGAAAGTCAGTCTGTCAGCTGGAAAACAGGGTTTGCCTGGATCAACCGCACTGAGTTAAACACACACACAACTGTATGTGAACATGCACAAAGATTGTTGTTCCAAAGGCGTCAAAGCTTCAGGACTGAGGGTGACATTTTTGTTCTTCTCTTTTTTTTTTTTTAATTTTTTTTTTTTAAGACATGGGATTTCACCATGTTGCCCAGGCTGGTCTCAAACTTCTGGACTCAAGAGAACCTGTCTCAGCTTCCCAAAGCGTTGGTATTACAGGTATGTGAGCCACTGAACCCGGCTGAGGGTGATATTTTCATACAGGGATATTTCACGACAGGGTTGGAGAATGGTCGCATGATTTTCCTGAACTTGAGAGGCCAAGATGCAGCTGGAGGTCAGAGGCAAGAAACCCCAAGTAGAATGTAATGAAGGAAACAAGGACTTTTTTTTTTTTTTTTTTTTGAGGCAGAGTCTTGCTTTGTCACCCAGGCTGGAATGCAGTGGTGCGATCTCTGCTCACCGCAACCTTTGCCTCCCAGGTTCAAGTGATTCTCCTGCCTCTCAGCCCCCCGAGTAGCTGGGACTACCAGTGCCGCGTCACCATGCCTGGCTAATTTTTTGTATTTTAGTAGAGACAGGGTTTTACCATGTTGGCCAGGATGATCTTGATCTCCTGACCTCGTGATCTGCCTGCCTCGGCCTCCCAAAGTGCTGGGATTACAGGCGTGAGCCACCGCGCCCGGCCGAAACAAGGACATTTTAGAAAAGAATGTGGGCGTTTGGAAATCTAAAGAGTAATGCTCAAATGAGATAATGCCTTGATGAAAAGCTGTAGTAGGAAGCTGGGGGTGATACAAACATATATATATATATATTTAACATTAGGCATCCAAATGTTTAACCACCCATATAGTTTGGTCCCGGGAATAAACACCCAGCCTGGCTGTACCCAAGTTCACTGGCTGAAAGTCAGCCAACAACAATGTGTGGAAAGTTTGTGTGTTTTGAAAAAAGAAGTAAAAGGCAGGTTGGGGGTGGTAATGGTGAAGTTGGAGCTACAAAAGCAAGCATGTTTTTGTTCATTGGAACGATGCAATATGATTTTGGGAAAATTTTCAGTGTAGAAAGCCGACTGATGGTGTGCTATTCTATGAAGCTGTGTGCCTGATCCAGTCACAGATTAGAACATAGGATGTGGATGATTCAAGAGGAGAGAACAGAGTGAGAGGTATATGCTGTTTTAGCAGGAGACTAACGAGCAGGGGGCTAGAAAGTAATTCTGGCTGGGTGCGGTGGCTCACACCTATAATTATCCAGCACTTCGGGAGGCTGAGGCGAGATGATCACTTGAGTCCGGGAGTTCAAGACCAGCCTGGGTAACATAGTTTAACCAGTCTCTAGAAAAAATAAAAAATTAGCTTGGTGTGGTGGTGTGTACCTGTAGTCCCAGCTACTCTGGAGGCTGAGGCAGGAGGATCACTTGAGTCCAGGAGGTCGAGGCTGCAGTGAGCTGTGATCACACCACTGCGCTCCAGCCTGGGTAACAGAGTGAGACTCGAAAAAAAACCCCAAAGAAATAAAAGTTTCTGTCCTCAGACTACCCATCTGCAGAGAACCCTTTTGTGTACAGGAGCTACCTGAGATGGAGAAACCACATCAGAGTGATTTCAGCTCACCTTAAAAACTGGCCCAACCTTCAGTGGAGAGAATCTAGGAACACCACTGGGATGGTGTTCCTACAGATTCCCTCAGGGTGGATAGCTTCACATTCGAGGCGAGGGAACCAAGCACCTGGTGGACGGATGCATGAGTATCCCACTGGGTTACAGATTCACCTCGGGTTTTTTTTTTTTTGAGACGGAGTCTCGCTCTGTCACTGGAGTGCAGTGATGTGACCTCGGCTCACTGCAAGCTCCGCCTCCCGGGTTCACGCCATTCTCCTGCCTCAGCCTCCCGAGTAGCTAGGACTACAGGCGACCGCCACCGCGCCCGGCTAATTTTTTGTACTTTTAGTAGAGACGGGGTTTCACCGTGTTAGCCAGGATGGTCTCGATCTCCTGACCTCGTGATCTGCCCGCCTCGGCTTCCCAAAGTGCTGAGATTACAGGTGTGAGCCACTGCGCCCGGCCTCAGCCAGGGTTTTTTTGTTTTGTTTTGTCTTTTTGAGACAGGCTCTTGCTCTTTCACACCCAGAGTGGACAGCAGTGGCGTGATCTTAGCTCACTGAAGCCTCCACCTCCAGGGTTCAAGTGATTCTCATTCCTCAGCCTCCTGAGTAGCTGCGACTACAGGCGTGTGCCACCACGGCTGGGAAATTTTTGTATTTTCAGTAGAGATGGTGTTTCGCCATGTTGGCCTGGCTGGCCACCTTGTGTAATTTTTGGCTGGATAATTAGTGCAGACACTCAGACTTTTCCTACCAAGGGTCCTGAAGGTGCCATATGCCTACTAGCAGGCAAGGCCACACAATGACACAGAAGGATGGCATCTGTGAGGATCAACTTTTGTTTGCTTTGCTTATAGTCTGTAATGCTGTGTATTCCAACACCTGGTCCTTCAGCAGTGGCAGTGGTATGGGGATGGGTAAAAAAATCCATAGAGGAAAAGAAGCAAGCCCATCAACCCACAGGTGAACAATTACTAACATTCCCTCGAGAATAGCTAAAGAGGAGAGAGAGAGAGAGAGAGAGAGGGCGAGCGAGAGAGAGAGAGAGGAAGCTACGCTTGCAAAGAAGATTGCTTTGTATTTTATTTACAACAGAATGTAAGAAAAAGTAAGTTATTAACAATAATAAATAACTAGGAAGAAAAACACAGAACAGCCACAAAATGACACAGAAGGATGGCATATGTAAGGATCAACTTTTGTTTGCTTTGCTTATAGTCTGTAATGCTGTGTATTCCAACACCTGGTCCTTCAGCAGTGGCAGTGGTATGTGGATTAATTTAACCAATCAAGATCCCAGCTTGAATGTAAACACTACAAATTACACTTGAGCTACATGTGAGTGGTACAGGTACAACACCAACTCAGAGACCCTCTCCTGGGTGATATATAGAAACTGAAGGGAGACTTGCAATTTGACAGACATGCTTTCAATTTAAAGCAAAAAACATCAAGAGGCTTATCCTAAAGTCCTTGTTAATTTAACAACAAAATTACAATTATTAATGGCATCTGAAAATTTCCCAACATATTCACATTCTCTTATTACACTAACTCCTAAAAAGCTTAAACACTTATATTTCAAATGCAAACAGATTGTTTTGAAGGTAGAACACAAAAGAACCCAATGTTTTGCCTCAGCATGCCAACAGTGTGCTATTGTGTACACTTCAGTTTCAGCAAGAATGAATAGTTAAAATAGTTTATTCATAATCAGATTGCAGTCACTGGACAGACTTTTTAAATCTCAAGAACTATGGCTCAGATGACAGATTGTCTCCTAGCCTACTGAGTCAGATGATCAGAAAGGTACTAAAACTATTTGGACAATTCCTCTCTATTGGATTATCTGATTACACATTATATGTAGAGTCAGCTATACACTGGCCCTTCTTAAGAGTAAAATTCCTATCGACGTAAGCCAGCCAATGACCTATTACTTTGTTGTCGCTGAGCCATGAAGAGATGCCAAAGAAAGTAGAATTTAAAAATACACATAAATACATTAGCCCTGAAACTTTTGCAGAGAATGATTTATCGAGATGTATCAGAATCTATTCTCTTAGTTCACTGTTTATTACAGTGTCTTGAAAGAAAACCACAGTTACTTTTGCAGGTATTGTGGTAAGTGTCTGCATAATATACCCACAACTGTGCTACTTAGAGATTTATTTTCAGGACCAACAACATGGCTAATAAATACTTCCAAATAAATTAAAATTTTCCTCACACACAGATGCAAAACCGTAACAGAAGCCTTGATAAATCAGTTCACCAACAAACCCATATTGTTTGAGTTACAACGGTGGCAACTAAAAATGTCACGGCCTCCTTCATTGTGTTCCTTTTCCTTTGCTTTGTCTTGCAACAACCCAAAGTGAGAAAATGAAATGATCTTCAGAGGTGATTTCTAACAAAGCTTATGTGTTAAATACACCAAGATCTTCTCATCCCAGGAAAGCACAGCTAAAGCAAGAATGCCGTGCTATGGCCAAGAAAATGCACAGGGGCACTTCACATTTGAAATCTTCCCAGAGTTATGAAATGTACAGTCATTTTGATGGTCTCCACTAACTTCAGAGATGAAGATGGAGTGAACGTATGTGATATTCTATGGATTATTTATTTAAGTTTGGCTACCAGAGACTTAAAACTGATGGTGTCTGATTCACTATACTATATTTATATTTATATATATATATATATATATATATACACAGGTATAATACAATTTTGGTGAACAAAGTTGAAGGTTTCCATATCGCAGACAGAGGCACTGAGTTAAGGATTCTATTTCCCCCCAAACATGCTTAGCAAATTCAAGTTTCTGCTTTTTTTTTCTTCTAATTTCCATCATGCAGCCATTTGGCTTCCATCCTTCTAAGAATTATTAATGTTCTGTATATATACATCCATTGCAGGCTTGTATTCCACAATAACAAAGTCATGTATAGAGAATGTGAAATGATACTTGAAAACCAAGATATATAAAATATTGAAGTCATTTATGCCTTTTGATGACTGGGTTAAATATGCAAAGCAGCTAAAGGAATATTTACACCACCCACCCCCTTTTTAACTCACACAAAGCATATGTAGACAGAAAAACTGAACATACTTTAAGAGCACACGCTTTTTTTTCGGCTAAGAATCACACTATCATCGTAGCTTTGCAACTGATGTCTGTGGTAACATACTGGTTATAAAAGAAATGAAACTCACAAAAGGAAATTAGAACTTAGCTTCCTAAAGCATATAGAATTGTTAACCTTGACAGCAGAAGCTACTTTATAAAAAGGGAAAATAGCAATGCTCTTAATGGAAAAACTAGGTGCCAGATGTGTTTAACAGCCTGCACAAAATAAATACATTCTATGTGAAAATAATGACCCCATCCCACCTTGATTTTAGCTTGCAAATGGTAAGCAAATACATATACTATTTCAGTGTCTTCTGAAAGTAGCATTTTGCTCTCTAAAGCAAAACATTTTCATTAAGTACTACTGTGTGGAGAGGGAGGGATTGAGAAGTCCGAGGGGTCTGATAAAATATTAGGTTTTCCCACAAGCAAAAATCATGCTTCCATACCATGCATAGAAGGTGTCTTACTAAGATACTATCATTCTTAGGGAAGAGATACACTGTTGATCTAAGCTATTTGCAACAGGTTTCCTTTGAGTTCTAGGTTTATTCTTTTTTTTTAAGCTAAATATCAACCTATAGATAAAGAAATGATCTTGACAGTCTGACCTATGACTTAGAAAACTTTGGTGCTGGGCTCATGGGGCCAGCGCCTGCACCTTGGGAGAGTGTATCAACCTGAAAGACACTACACAGAGTGCTGAGCACTGAGAGGGAAGCAGGCAGGGTCCACTGGCAGAGAGGCTGTGTGAGAGAAGCAGATTATGCTCCTTGGTCTATTTTGTTTCCTTTGGGATCTGTGTTTTGGGAAGGTCCCTTTCCTGAGGTTGGAGGTTACGATCAGGAAGGCTAGCTGGGGCGTGGGCCTCCAAGTTGCCCAATTACTTCTTCTCTTCCTCTCTTGGAGGACAAAAGTCAATGCTGAGATTTGGCCTGCCCTCCCGTCTGTGTTTAAAGGCAGTGAGGTGCAAAGGTGACAGATTTCTCTCTTTGGAGCAAAGGAGAATTGTCTTTCTGTCACTTCAGTGAGTGACCTTGCCTCCTGTCAACCTTGATTCTAATCTTGCATTACCACTAGTTGAAGAAAGGAAAGCTAGACAGAAGGGCATCTATTATCACTCCTCCTTTTCACTCTACAAATAGGAGTCAGCAATTCTGCTCATTCTCTCCTCCCACTTGACAGTAGTTGCTTGATGTCTGTGACATTCCCAATATTTGTATTTCAAGTAAGGAGCAAGAGAATGACAGTCTTTTCTAAGGTCTGGTGGTAGGCAATCTGTTCCAGGGAATTCTGGATGTTACTAAGAGTAAAACAAGGAAGGGGATGGGAGACAGTTCTCTTTTTTATAGTTCATGCACCAGACATTCTGACCATGTTAAAGCCCAGTTAGCTTACTCTACCCTTGTACTTCTTTGAGTGGGCAGATAGTAAATGAATTCTATTCAATTAATTGCAAATTCTGAGAATCTTAATTGATGATGGAAGCTGACAAGTCAAGGTTTGTTGGTACCTGTAGAGAAAAAAGATGTTGCCTCACCTGGGCCTCTTGGTTCCTAAACTGAACCATTCCAAAATCAGTTATGGTCACATTCATCCATGCAATTCTTAAGGATTTCTGAGGCCACAAGGGCACAAAAGGGGAAAGTTATTAAAAGACAGAAACAAGTAGAATCTTTATTAAATTCTGTGGAAGGTATAAATGAGTTATTATTAATTGCACTTGGAGCCTCTATAGCTTGATGATTAAAATTTTCAAAAGTTTAGAGTTAATTAGGCTCCAAATCCTGAGTCAGACTAACCACAAAATAGGAATCTCAGTAACTATTGGTATTCAAGTATTAGTAATTAGCAGTTCAAAATTTAACAGCTAAGTATGTTATGCCTGAGAGTATTTTGGAGAATTTTAGATTTGATGAGAGGAAACTGACTTCACTATTTTCTACCGTACCTTGTAACAAAAGTGGTGCAAAGTTTTCATTCATTTATCCTTGAAGTCCATGCCAAACCTCATCAAATGCCCAATAACAAGGCTTCCTCTCTGGCATACAGCTATGTGGTTACAGAAGATTCCTTCTGTCCTTTGCAAGTCTTACATCTTACATCTAATATGATGCTGTGTAGCATACTTAGGGAATCATATTCTATGTGAAGTTACTGAGTCACATGCACACTGAAAGGTCGAAGGAACATGTTTGAGTGACAAAGCAGTCTTTTTCTCTATCAGAAGATTCTTAAAAAAAAACAACAACAACAAATGAAAATATAAAACCCCATGAGATATTTATATAAAGTTACTCAGATTTGGGCCGACATGGCTTATCTGAAGAGTGCATGCCGGGTAAATTCAGGGTGGCTTTTTTCTCAGGGTCTGGAAGTGTGAGAGTTTCTGGGGCAGACTTTTTCCGGGGCCGATCTTTGGGAACGGACAGAAATTCGGGTGCGTCTGTGGAGAGAGGGGTGGATGGAGCACTAGAAGGCGCACTGCGGACGGAAGAAGGCAGCAGGGGGATGCTGGAGATAGAAATTGCAGGTGGGAAAATGCCGATTTTCTTGTTGGTGGCTTCCTGAGTGGCTCGTTCAAATTCTCGGACTTCATCCATTGTCATGTCTTCAAGGAGAAAAACAGAAAGAAAAACGAGCAGTTATTTATAAGAGAGGCAAATAGATTCATCACTACCCTTGTTTTTACAGGAACTATGGGAACCCTATCATAAAGGGGCCTCTCCCGATTATACACCCAAAGTATCATTGAAATACCAAACCCCCAATTTTTTCTATTGGAAGCTACACCCTGAAAACAATATCCCTTTATGATTATCCATTTAAGATTTTCCAAAGCACTCTTCACAGTGAGTATTTTAAGTATTCTCAATAAGGACTTAACAGTAGAATACAGAACTAGACGGGGGAAATATGTGCCTGTGTGTGTGTATGTGTGTGCACCCGTGTGCATCTGTGTTGTTGTGGGTCTGGTGTGGGGTATTTGGAGCTATAATTAACTGGTCATATTTTTCATAAAGAGAAGGTAATTAAAACAATCAATGGCCCTGAAATGACACATATTATTGTCATTATTGTCAACTTTAGATCATGAAAGTATACCTTTATAGGGTAAACAGGTAAATCATCAGGATTTTTCAACATACTATCTTCTTTTTTTTTTTTCTTTCTGAGACGGGATCTCACTGCATCACCCAGGCTGGAGTGCAGTGGTGCGATCATGACTCACGGCAGTCTCGACCTCCTGGGCTCAAGTGATCCTCCTGCATTAGGGCCCCGTGAGGCTGAAACCACAGGTGCATGCCATAATGCCTGGTTTAATTTTTTTGTATTTTCTGTAGAGACAGGGTCTCGCTATGTTGCCTAGGCTGGTCTTGAATTCCTCACCTCAAGTGATCCGCCTGCCTAAGCCTCCCAAAGTGTTGGGATTACAGGCGTGAGCCACTGTACTCAGGCCAACATGCTATCTTCTTAATCAATACATATACTTTTTTATTCTGAGGGGCCACAAAGATGCTGTTGTTTCTGGTTTCCTGACTGTGTGTCGATCCTAAGAAGGTTCAGAGATTGTGTTTTAATAAATTCAGTTTCAAAAACACGTAAATCAACAATTTCACCACACCCTGCTAATCATTCCAAAGCCAAGAAAATAAAACCATTTCTTGAGGAAACTTAAAAAGAATAGAGAATGAAAGGAGAGGATCATTTAATAGTGAGGATTCTATTTAAAAGAAAAAAAAGCATGACTTGGAATTCAACAAATAAGACAGTGATACCACTGTTAATAATCATTGTTGGATAATGTAGGTTTTCCAAATACCTGAAATGTTCTTATTTAAGTGAGAAAGTAAAAACAGTATTTAAAAAATGTAAATCTTTCCCTAATGTGTTTAATGTATTATACATACTTCCTACATTTGAGACATAATATGTTGAAGATATATCACTGTGCAAAAATACAGTTCCTTAGTTCCTTCTCAGGGTCTATTTGCTCTTTATGGCTTGATATCTCTTCTCTCATGCTCAGAAACTCTATTATTACTGTTATTATTTATTTATTTATTTATTTATTTATTTGAGATAGAGTCTTGCTCTGTTGCACAGGCCGGAGTGCAATGGCGTGATCTTGGCTCACTGCAACCTCCACCTCCTGGGTTCAAGTAATTCTCCTGCCTCAGCCTCCTGAATAGCTGGGACTACAGGCACGTGCCACCATGCCCTGCTAATTTTTGTACTTTTAGCAGAGACAGGGTTTCACCATGTTGGCCAGGCTGGTCTCGAACTCCTAACCTCGTGATCCACCTGCCTCAGACTCCCAAAGTGCTGGGATTACAGACCTGAGCCACCGTGCCCAGCCTTATTACTGTTATTATTAATTATTGTTACCCTGGCTATCCCTGGTATCCTTTGCCATTTTTACTTGCTGGGAACAGGGAAAAGAGGAACCTGGGCTTATTAAAGACTGAGTCAAGGCCCAAGGCTTATCCTGGAGCAAAATGCAAAATTTAGTGCCCGCGGATTTTCTGTATCTGTTTTGGCCCCCCAGAGACCCATTTTTCATTGTTTCTTGTCCACTGCCATGTACTTAGCAGTTGAAACTTCATTAGATAATATTGGAGGGAATAACCAGCAGGAAACAATATAGCCACTTTGGAAATACTGAGTATGTAATGAATATTCATAACACAGTATTAATCCTTAGGACTTTTCTTTTTCTTTTTTTTTTTTTTTGAGACAGAGTTTTGCTCTTGTCTCCCAGGCTGGAGTGCAACGGCGAGATCTCGGCTCACTGCAACTTCCGCCTCCGGGGTTCAAGCGATTCTCCTGCCTCAGCCTCCCGAGTAGCTGGGATTACAGGCGTCTGCCACCACGCCCGGCTAATTTTTGTGTTATTAGTAGAGATGGGGTTTCACCATGTTGGCCAGGCTGGTCTCGAACTCCTGACCTCAGGTCATCCGTCCACCTCAGCCTCCCAAAGTGCTGGGATTATAGGCATGAGCCACCGTGCCCAGCTTAATCTTTAGGTTTTATAACATCTGAGCAAACCAGAAGTATTTTTCACAAAATGAAATCCTTAAGAGGATTTCCTGGGAACAATTATTAAAATTTTCTGAAAGGGAAAGTTTTTACAAAGGATATAAGTCATTATGACTATGTGGATAAGATATAAAATTCAGCATATATCAAGAAAAATTGTACCTATAAACTTACCAATTTTTAAAAACATGGAAGACTATTAAATGAGCTAAGAAGTGAGATTAAGGTTATATAAAAAGAGGCATTTATTTCACAATAAAGTTGAGACTGAGAAAAATTTTAGTGTATCAGGGTATGTTATGTTTTTGCTATGATAAATGGATATTATCTTTGAAAAAGCAGACTTTCTTAATCAAGTGGCTGAATACATTGTTCTACTCCACATAGCCAGCAGGGGGCAGAAATAATCTAAAGCACAGAATTTTGATTTTCCACTCCCAGAGGCTCTTAGAAGTTCCCGTCCTTGAAGGCTTTGAACCTGCTCAATTGAAAAGACTTATTTCCTCACTGCTGTGTTCATGGATGTTAATTTTGCCTAATTTCAATCTAATTTGTCCCTGCTTGGGTTGATGATCTAAAATTCATTTAGCACCCATGCAGTTTTTATTTGTGACAAAGAGCCACCTCCTGATTTTCACTGCTTTTCATTATGATACAGGAGAAAGACTAAGGAAAAATAAATGTGCTCCAATTTCACGGAATTCCAAAGGATAATGGAAATGTCATAAGCATTCAAAATAACCACTTTGTGTAACTTCTCCGGTGGCAGGCATCTTTCACCCTGAAGTCACGGGAACAACGCTGAGGGGCAGCCAGAGATTATGTGGGCTTTTCCATGGGAAGAACCACTCTACGTTATCACCTTCTACATAGTAAGTGGACTTTATTTTTTATTTTACTTTATTTATTTATTTTACTTTATTTATTTATTTATTTATTTGAGATGGAGTTGCACTCTTGTTGCCCAGGCTGGAGTGCAGTGGCACAATCTCTGCTCACTGCAACCTCCATCTCCTGGGTTCAAACGATTCTCCTGCCTCAGCCTCCCGAGTAGCTGGGATTACAGGCATGCGCCACCACGCCCAGCTAATTTTGTATTTTTAGTAGAGACGGGGTTTCTTCATGTTGGTCAGGCTGGTCTTGAACTCCCGACCTCAGGTGATACGCCCGCCTTGGCATCCCAAAGTGCTGGGATTACAGGCGTGAGCCACCGCACCCAGCCATGGACTTTAATTATAAAGTAATAATCACAGTAAAACTGAAAGAAAGCCAAGCCAAGGGGCTTATAAGCTGTGAGAAAATCACTGAGCTTAGCATCTTTTAGCCATCTGGTGTCTCCTCTTTACCTGTGGCTTCTTCCTTTGTTTGCCTGGTCATATTTATAGTGAATGGCTTTCAGAGTGGCTGAGGGGGAACTGGGGCCCAACATTTCTAAAAGAAAAGGTAATTGAAAGTGATAGAAATTCAAGGAGAGTTTCCTTAAAGAGCACTTCTAGGGGGAAGTCCTACTGGAATTGGTCTGTGCATAGAGAGGAAACGCCTCTTGCTCCAACAGTTTCCTGCAAATCAGATCACTGCATGCAAAATGGGAGAAGAGTTAGGGCCCTTGCAACCTCAAGGGCAATCACATGCAACCAGTTGCAGCACATGAGACTTGCAGGGCACATTCCAAAGACATGCTCCAAAAATTTAACTAAAAATTTCCAAAGTGCAATCAGAAGGTCTTCACAATTCTAAAGGATCCATTTATGACAACAGCCACATCTAAATTTCCTAGAACTACAGCATTGATTTTTTTTTTTTTGAGACAGAATTTTGCTCTTGTTGCCCAGGCTGGAGTGCAATGGCGCGATCTTGGCTCACTGCAACCTCTGCCTCCCAGGTTCAAGCAATTCTCCTGCCTTAGCCTCCTGAGTAGCTAGGATTACAGGCATGCGCCACCACACCCAGCTAATTTTGTATTTTAAGTAGAGACGAGGTTTCTCCATGTTGGTCAGGCTTGTCTCGAACCCCCGACCTCAGGTGATCCACCTGCCTCGGCCTCCCAAAGTGCTGGGCTTACAGGCATGAGCCACCGCGCCCAGCTGATTTTTTTTTTTTTTTTTAACACCTACTATGTATTATTCTGGAGACTGGGCTAATGGACATGAGGACTCAAGGCGGAACCCAAAGAGATCACAGCTCTGGCTGAAGATGCAAAGAAATGATTTGGTGATTACACTTTTCTTTGTTATCTCTAGCTACCCTTCATTAGCATGAATGATTGAGAGATTACGATACTTAAAATGCTGGCATACAATATACAGTCAGCTCTCAATTTCCAGTGTGCAACGAAATAACTGAGGCTCTCTAAGGCTTACCCTAAGTCCCAGGGATCTGCTAGGCAGCTCAGCACATCCCCAGCTCACACCCCTTCACTGCTCAGCCTGTGTGTCTGCACAGACTGCAGCCCATCTTGAGATTATCCTAAGTAAAAAGGAACTGATTGGGTAAAACAGCTATAAAGAGCCACAGAAAGCTTTTCAAAGCAAATGTAAAGAAACCTAAAATAGCTGATGAGCCAGAAGCCCTCCCTTGAATGAATAAGTGAGTGTTAGCTATGTTTTTAAAAGTTACTGACATGTTATTCTAGTTTACATATGACATCGATTTTCACTCCTCTGCTCTTTTATGGTGCAGGCCGTTTTACTAGTCCCACAAAAGTGTTTCCACTCTCCATGTTCTTGGTTTTATGACCGAAATAACCTCCACGTCAAGCAACTTTAAGGGATCGAAATGTCTGGAAGAGAGAGGTGACACTGCCCAATTTAGATCCAGCTCAGGTTCTGCAGCAACAGGGTCTGGGTGACGACATGTTTCTATGGAAGGTTGCGAACCGGGCATCTGCAGTATTTCCCAGATCAGTTTACATGTGCATTTGTGAAAGGGTGGGCAACATGTTTTAAAAATTCTACGTACACTTGTTTGGGCATGACTCTCTATGTCATCCACAGGGGAGGAATGCTGATTGCAAACTTTTATGTTGGTTTGTTCATGCATGTTTTTCTCGTATTCCCGAACATCATCCATTGTCATATCTGAAAGAGGTCAAGATGTTGGCAACTTCCGTTATTAGATGCAAACTTTCAATGGGGACACTTTAGGGAAAGATGGTAGCTGAGCAGTAGCCAAGGAGGTTTAAAAAAGCAGAGACTTGTCTAACTTTATGATGAGTAAGTCATAAAGTTAGCTAAACCAACCAAAGGGGGAGTGAGGGCAAGGAAGTTAAGTCAAAATAGTCTTAGAACAGAGAAGAGTGGAAATTATTTAGGGGTGATTCTTGTAAAGTGAGCTAGGTTTGGGTAGAAAGTATTAGCATGTGGGCAGTACCATAGCCTGAGATCTCCTAAAGCATCATTAGAAGATCCCATTGGGGACAGAGGGTCAGTTTTGCTTGGTTTAATACTTACCTTCCACATAGCTTTCAAAATAGATTTAGAGGTTGTTTAAATCAATGCATTCAACAACAGAAAGGACACTTTCATTGCTGTTATAGGAGGCAGGATGTAGAAGGCAGAGCAATGATATTCACTGGTACAATTGAGATTTGGTGCAACTTGCACACAGATGTAAATTTGCACAGAATGCATGGCGTCAGAGAGTGCAGGTCTATACTGAACCTCAAGTCTTGGCTAACAGCTTGAAGATGGCTGGCACTACTTCCACCCACACTGATCTAAAAATAAAATGGCACATGACATGATTTTTGGCCCAAGTCTGCAGTTTTTCAGTATTTCAGGATAATGATCTCTTAATCTAGTGGTTCTCAACGGGGGACAATTTTGTGACATTTTTGGTTGTTAGAACTAGGGAAGGGGTGCTACTGGCATCTAGTGTGCAGATTCCAGGGACACTATGGAGCATCCTACAATGCACAGGACCCCCAGCCCCCAACAAAAAATTATCTGGTCCAAAATGTCAATAGTACCAAAGTTGAGAAACCCTGTCTTAATCCAACTGATAAAAATGTTCAGGCCAGGCATGGTGGCTCATGCCTGTAATCCCAGCACTTTGGGAGGCCAAGGCGGGTGGATCAATTGAGGTCAGGAGTTCAAGACCAGCCTGGACAACATGGTGAAACACCGTCTCTACTAAAAATACAAAAATTAGCTGGGCATGGTGGAGGGCGCCTGTAATCCCAGCTACATGGGAGGCTGAGACAGGAGAAGCACTTGAACCCGGGAGGCAGAGGTTGCAGTGAGCTGAGATCACACCACTGCACTCCAGCCTGGGCGACAGAGTGAGACCCTGTCTCAAAAAAAACCAACCAACCAAACAAAAAAAACTTAAATAAGGAACCCATCCACCTTCAGTATGTGAAATGCATATAAATAACAATTAGTCTCACTTCAAATACTTCTGTCATTTTACCCCCACCCCTACCCGGCTCCTTGGTTATTTTACATTTTATCAGCAATATTCCCAGGTAGGCATTCCTCTGTTACTCTCTTGGCAGAGCGGAACTTCATGCTCTTTACCAATGATGGTATGCCGAACAAAGTGCTTCCTCTGCCACCCTGACCACTAATTGGCTTAGTGGGGATTTAGAGTGGGCATTCACAGCTGGAATTTTTCCTTAGGTATTTTCTGCATCATGTGGTTTGGTGTCTTTTTATATCAATCCATGTGTCATGTGAGATCCTCTTCATTTCCAAAGGGCAGATTTGCCAGGAGTTTATGATTTAATTCACTGTGGTCTGGGACCAAGATGCTGTGTGCCTCTAAATCCAGACCTGGTCTATTTTATGCAGAAGATCATTCCCAGGTATACCTGGAGATCCTCAATCGCAAATGCGGTCCATAAGCAATGTAAGTATCAAGAATGCTAAGCAGCAGCTTGGCCAAGCAAGGAGCATGCTCTTCTTTTAGAAAATCGAGGTAACCAAAAAGCAATAAAGAGATGCTGCTTTATGATGAAAACAAATGCATCTTAGTTAATAATAACAACACATTCTTTCAGTACAATCACTTTCAATGGCTGCTTATCAACATTTCTTAAACACAAATATATCTGAAATAATACTAGACGATCACTTTTAGCTAGGAGTTGAAAATTTAAAGAAGTTTCTCTACACATATGTCATTAGGGGGTGCCCCCCACCATCCCAACAGGCATGACAGTAATTTGGAAAACAAAAGCCAAGGAGTTATAGGTTTTTTTGTTCTATTGAATCCCCACAGAAATCATACTTCATCTTGAATTAGCTCAACGTCAAGATAGGGGCTTAAACTTTGTGACTATGGGCTTTCAAAGATGTATCCATTTTATGGATGTGAAAAAGGGTTTAACAACAAAGATATTCATTGCTGCCTTGTTCAGCAATGTTCATAATAATGAAAAATTGAAAACAACCCAGGGGACTGATAGCACTATGCAATTGTTAAAAATTAGGTAGAAGAATAGTTAATCCTAGAGAGATATCCTTAATCTATTGTTAAATAAAAAATAGGTAAAAAGAACTGTATATAGCATATGAAATCAATTTAGTCAGAAAACCATTATCTACATTAAAAAAACACTGAAAGGATATATTTCAAAATGTTAACAGTGATTATTTTGAAGAGTTAGAATTACAGGTAATTTTAATTTCCTTCTTTTTGCTTATCTACATTTTTGAAATTTTCTACATCAAATATGCGTTGCTTGTGGAAAAGAAAAAAAAAAACATTATTTAAGAATCTGTTATGTTGGGCTGGGCAGGGTGGCTTATGCCTGTAATCCCAGCACTTTGGGAGGCCGAGATGGGCGGATCACCTGAGGCCAGGAGTTGGAGACCAGCCCGGCCAACATGGTGAAACCCTGTCTCTACTAAAAATAGAAAAATTAGCCAGGTATGGTGGCACACACCCGTAACCCCCAGCTACTCAGGAGGCTGAGGTACAAGAATCGCTTGAACCTGGGAGACGGAGGCTGCAGTGAGTCAAGATCATGTCACTGCACTCCAGCCTGGGCGACAGAGCAAGACTCTGTCTCAAAAAAAAAAAAAAAATTTGTTATTTTGGATCATTATGAGATGGATACCGTCAATTTGGAATTGGTAAGGAGAAGATAGACTTTTCCAGAATTTCTGTTCACTCTAGAAACATAATCCCCTGTTTCTTTTCTTTTCTTTTTTTTTTTTTTTTGAGACAGAGTCTAACTCTGTCACCCAGGCTGAAGTGCACTGGTGCAATTTCAGCTCACCGCAACCTCTGCCTCCCGGGTTCAAGTGATTCTCCCGCCTCAGCCTCCCGAGTAGCTGGGATTACTGGTGTGTGCCACCACGCCCGGCTGATTTTTGTATTTTTAGTAGAGATGGGGTGTCACCATGTTGGTCAGGCTGGTCTCGAACTCCTGACCTCAAGTGATCCGCCCACCTCGCCCTCCCAAAGTGCTGGGATTACAGGTGTGAGCCACCACGCCCAGCCATCCCCTATTATTTTTTTTAAACAAAGAGTTAAGAAATGAAATTTCAGAAAATTCTATAAAAGAAAATCTCCCAATTTTGCCACATAGGAATGAACATTCCTAGTAGAGTAGTTCTCTAAAAGATGGTGATAATATGGTCCCTGCTGTGAAGGAAAATATGTTTGTCTAAATCCTGAAATATCCTCACAGACTATAAATGTGTATGAACATGATGTAAATATTTTCAGTATTTCTCAGAAATTTATGGAAATCCTAATCAAGTGAAAATGCTCCTGTTCAGGTTAGCTGGTAAAATGCACTGTCTAGCTTTTGCAACATATATGACCTCAAAATCTTTGTAGAAATCAATATTTTAGTAAATTCAGTTACATGTGCCCAATGACAGATTATACAGTAATGATGATTCATCTTTATTATTGATTGATTTTCAATGATCAGAGTGACTTCAAACAATTTAGGTTCAGACTTCTTTGCTTCCAGCAAACAAATGCTTATGTGTATCAACTCTTTTTTTTTTTTTTTTTTTTTTTTTGAGACTCAGTTTCGCTCTTGTCACCCGGGCTGGAGTGCAATGGTGTGATATCTTGGCTTACCACAAACTCGGCCTTCCGGGTTCAAGCGATTCTCCTGCCTTAGCCTCCCAAGTAGCTGGGATTACAGGCACCCGCCACCACACCCAGCTAATTTTTGTATTTTTAGTAGTGACGGGGTTTCACCATGTTGGCCAGGCTGGTCGCGAACTCCTGACCTTGTGATTCACCCGCCTCGGCCTCCCAAAGTGCTGGGATTACAGGCGTGAGCCACCACACCCGGCCCAAACTCTTAATTAAAGGAAGCCCATGTCAATTACTTTGCAAATACATTGGTAAACAGTCAGCCCTTCACTTATAGATTGTGAAAGGTCATAATTTACTCTTCCTAAATAAGGTTTCCTACATAAAGACTCCTTAAGCCAGCAATACTGGGGATAATTGCCTAATTTAAGAGAATATTGCAACTGGTACGGTATTTCTTCTGATAAAGAAAGTGCATCCTAATATCTTTGAGACTCTGCTATCAGAGGTTAAACAGCCCTGGGAAGTATTTTGGGAACACACATGCCCTGCTCACTGTACTTCAGTGGGACAATATTTCCTTTCCTTGCCCTCTGGAGAGGCCATTTCTTTTCTTCTCTTTCTTGCTCTCCTTCAGGTGAGGAGAGATCAGATCCCAGACTCTTATCTCAGGGCGTGAGGTCATACTGCATGGGGCCTGAGTAGAACGTTCTCCTCTGCCAGTGACTGGGCTGAGGCCAAAATCTCCTCCTCAACCATCAGCTCCACTTTGGCAAAGAGGCTCTGGTCTCAGGGGATTTGTTAATTGATAATCCTGTTAGTAAACATTTACACTGAGACTAATTTTTAGCTTATATGAACACCACCACACAGAATAGCTTTGTACTTGTTGTACATGTATTCATGGGCAATTTGTATTTCTTTTTCTTTTTTTCTTTTTTGAGACAGAGTCTCACTCTGTCCCCAGGCTGGAGTGCAGTGGCGCCATCTCGGCTCACTGTAACCTCTGCCTCCCAGGTTCAAGCGATTCTCCTGCCTCAGCCTCCTGAGTAGCTGGGATTACAGGCACGTGTCACCATACTCAGCTAACTATTTTTGTATTTTTAGTAGAGACGGGGTTTCACCATGTTGTCCAGGCTGGTCTTGAACTCCTGACCTAAGGTGATCTGCCTGCCTCGGTCTCCCAAAGTGTTGGGATTACAGGCATGAACCACTGCACCTGGCCTCATGTGTATTCCAGAATAAAATTCTGGAAGTGGATTGGCTGGGTCATAAGTTGTTTGTGCTTATCATTTCTATGGTATATTTTATTAAATTGGATTATCATTTTATATTGAAAACTGGATATAATCACTCTTAAATTTTTGCTATCAGATGGGCAAATGTCCTATTTTCTTGTTTTTCTCATTACGGTTCTTGTGATTACTAGTAAGTTTATTGGCTATTTGTATTTCTTCTTCTATGATTTACTTATTCATATCCTTTACCATTTTCTTGAGTGACTGATTTTTTTTTTTTTTTTTTTTTTTTTTGAGATAGGGTTTTGCTCTGTCACCTAGGCTGGAGTGCAGTGGTGTGACCATAGTTCCCTGCAGCCTTGACCTCCCAGACTCAAGTGGTCCTTCCACCTCAGCCTCCCAAGCAGCTGGGACTACAGGCACACCATCATGTCCAGCTAATTTTTAATTTTTGTAGAGATGGGGTCTCCCTGTGTTGCCAGGGCTGGTCTCAAACTCCTCAGCTCGAGTGATTCTCCTGCCTTGGCCTCCCAAAGTGCTGGGATTACAGGTATGAACAACCACACCTGGCCAAATTTTCAATTTATAGGACCTCTTTATATATTATAGATGGTAATCCTGTTGACTACATATGCAGCAAATATTTTCCCCTAGTCTTTTAGCTTTGTTTATGGTGGCAATTTTCTTTAAATCATTGTATTTTTAAAGAAAGGAGGTTAATTTCACAGGAAGTGGAGGCAAGATCATATGTTTGAAAGGCCTTTAGAAGTCAGTTGAACACACATGGAAACTACAAATGCCCTTGAACAAAGCATCTGCAAGCGTGAATTTTCCTTCATTGTACCACACAGTTGCAGCAGCAAACATTTTAAAAAGGGGAGTCTTCTGTTCTAATTCAATGATCTGTGAAATGGCACATTATACTTTATTTCCCTCTACAAACATTTCCGTTCACTTTCAGCCTCCTTCACCAAAACAGAAGTCATTTTTACATCATTCTAAGTCAAAATAAAAGTCTTGAACAAGTAGTTGGGTCAGGGAGGCCCCAGAAATCATAAATAAGAATGGATACTTCTTTGGCTCCAGCAAAATGGTAGCCATCCTTTGAGAAATGCCATTTTTTAAACCCTTTACAATGATTACAAATTCAATACATGCTTCTTACAAAAAGCTTAGGGTGACTCCATTTTTTTGTAGTGAAAGTAGCCAGTCCTCGAAGTGTGGTGTATACCTTTTCCACATAATTCAGACCACTAAGATCTAGAACTGTAATCTATAGTTGTGATTTTTTTTTTTTTTTTTGAGACAGAGTTTCACTCTTGTTGCCCAGGCTGGAGTGCAATGGTGCGATCTCAGCTCACTGCAACCTCTGCCTCCCGGGTTCAAGCGATTCTCCTACCTCAGCCTCCTGAGTAGCTGGGATTACAGGTGCCCGCAACCACGCCTAGCTAACTTTTGTATTTTCAGTAGAGACGGAGTTTCACCATGTTGGCCAGGCTGGTCTCGAACTCCTGACCTCAGGTGATCTGCCCGCCTTGGCCTCCCAAAGTGCTGGGGTTACAGGTGTGAGCCACCGTGCCAGCCTTATAGTTGTGATTTTTTTCTGTAGTTTTTAATTGGGAGCAGGGAGTAGGCAGGGGAAGGGTTCACAGGTTCCTCTGAAAATCTGATGGAAAGTTATTCATTCTCTCCCCAGATAAACGAATACAAGCACACACACATAAAATGTTGCGTTGGAAAATCTGGCTTGGTGAACTCAACCAGCTCATGCAACCCCTAGCAGGCTTCTTTCTCCATTTTAATCTTGCCTCCCTCATTGTTAGACCTGCTCTAGGGACTCCAGGCTGATTTCTAAGTCACTTTCATGAGGTAGTGTCGTCTACAGCAGCCAGAACTCTCCCTCCCTCATACTTTTTGGTTAGAGTCAGGTTTTCAAAGACATTCGTGAGGTTCACCTCAATCATAGGCTCCTTCTGGCAATGTTCTGTGTTCCTTTCTCAAAACACTGTCAGATTTGTAAAGCAAAACCAAGCCTTTGTGAAACTGGGCTGCCTATTTTTATCCACCTTCCCTCTCACCCCATCTCCTGAAATACGTTGTTGTTATTTCTCTGATTAGCGTTCTAGTCGTGCAGAGAGACCCAAGGCTCATGGATAAAGACCAATCACGGCTTTGAAAGACACACTCAACTCCTCCAATATGGAAATGGTTACACTTTACAATGAACACGAACAGAATAAAATCTCTTTAGGGAAACAGTTTCGTGACAGCCAAATGCTGAAACTCAGAAGAGATACAAAATTCATCCTTGGCTGACAAATGATCACTACCCTCAACAATGTCCTTTTTTCTTGACTCTTAATTAAGCACTGGAGGTGGTGTGTCTAATTAGAGAGAAAGACATCTAGAGCTACCCATGCATCAGTGTGTACAGTTTGTGCACTGTATGAACACACAGCAGAGGAGGCAAATGGGGCTCAAATTCAGCCCTAAGCCCAGAGCACCTGCTGAGTCTGCCCAGAAGGGGCACCTTTTTCTAATTCATCTGTCTAAAGGGAAGCTTTTTTTTCTAATTCTCACAAGAAATCAGAGTTGTAAGAATTTGGGTTCCTGCAATCATTTTAAAATTGATTTTATTTTTTGTTTTTTAGAGACAAAGGCTCGCTCTATCGCCCAGGCTGGAGTGTGGTTGGCCCTGCAGACAGCTATGATTCTCTAGTTAACCTATTTGGATTGAATCAATTAAACGGTCCTTACAACCCAATGTCCCAGTCTGGTTTATAGCCCATGCTATAAGCCAGTAGTTCTTAAACTTTAGCCAGCAACAGAACCATCTGGAGGGCTTGTTAAAACAATTGCTGGGCTAGACCCTCAGAGTTTCTGAGTCAGTAGGTTTGGGGTGGGGCCTGAGAATATGCATTTCTAACAAGTACCCTAGGGATGCTGACGTTGCAGGTCCAGGGACCTTACTTTGAGAACCAGTGCTAGACGCTATAGCTATAGGCAAGGATTTATTTTGGATCTTTTCCATGTTTCCATGTTTCCATGTTTCCATGAGAGTCTCACTGAGCCTGTCCAGAACAAATAAAAATAGGCCACTTCAGGTACCCCAAAATGGAGTGGAAGGGTAATGCTGGTGGGCGCTTAGCCTGGGTACCAGTGGCACATATGGCCCACAGTTCCCAGAATTACTTTGAATATGGGACTGAGAAGGCACTCTGTGGACAGGAGTCATTTCCATTCATTTGATTCACTGAGTGTCTGCATCTGTGTGATGAAGGAGCCACTGTTTTCCTGGTCAGCAGCTCAGCTGTGGGTACTGATGGTTGCAGAAGCTTACATGAAATTAACGGTGTAGTTCTCAGACCACTGCTGAGTGAAAAGGCTGCTTGTTTTGGCTGGGGCTATGTCAGTGTATGCAGGGGGAGACCCACTCTGGGGAGTGCAAGGTGTCCTAATGATCCACATTCACTAAAGCCCACAGTGTTGTTTTGTGCTCAGATAAGGAAAAGGTTTTTTGCACAATAGACTCCTTAGTTGTTAAATGCCTCCACTTCACTCATCCTAAGTAAATAAGTGCTCTCTTTTGAAGGTCTCCAGATTCGGGGAGATCTCCTGTTTCCTTTGATACATTATTCTAGCCTTGGGCTCCTGTTGTAATCCCAGAATTCTTTTTTTTTTTTTAAAGAGACGAGGTCTTGTTCGGTCACCCAGGCTAGAGTGCAGTGCTGCGATCATAGCTCACTGCAGCCTCCAGCTCCTGGGCTCAAGTGATCCTTTCACCTCGGTCTCCTGAATAGCTAAGACTACGGACATGCACCACTGTGCCTGGCTAATTTTATTTATTTATTTTGTAGAGATGATGTCTTGCTATGTCGCCCATGCTGGTCTCGAATTCCTGGGCTCAAGTGATCCTCCATCCTAGGCTTCCCAAAGTGCTGGGATTACAGGTGTGAACTACCGTGCCTGGCAGTTTTTTTTTTTCTTTCAATTTTTATTAGAAGTCCCTAAGTCTTTTATTAGAAGTCCCTAAGGCCGGGCGCAGTGGCTCATGCCTGTAATCCCAGCACTTTGGGAGGCTGAGGTGGGCGGATCACGAGGTCAGGAGTTTGAGACCAACCTGGCCAGCATAGTAAAACCCCATCTCTACTAAAAAGACAAAAAAAATTAGCAGGGCGTGGTGGTGGGAGCCTGTAATCCCAGCTACTTGGGAGGCTGAGGCAAGGAGAATCGCTTGAACCTGGGAGGCGGAGGTTGCAGTGAGCCGAGATTGTGCCATTGCACTCCAGTCCGTACGACAGTGCGAGACTCTGTCTCAAAAAAAAAAAAAGAAGTCCCTAAGTCTCTTCCTTGCCCTAGGCTCAGCTGAGATGGAAAAGTCAGGCCCCATCGCCTTCCTGGCCTTTCATTTACTAGATACCCACCCACACTGGGTTTTCTTCCTATATCCTGCCTCTAATCAAACCCTTTTTATTATTCTGTCCTCTTGATCAGAGCCCGGCTATTCTTTTAGCTGAAAAATCTTCTTTGGCACTCTGGCAACAGAGAGAAACCTATCCAAGTGCCCTGTGTGTTGGTTTTCAAAGTGGCAGATTTTTGGCCCTTCAGGTACCTCTCTTTTTGCCAAACTTCTAATCAGTTTGCACCTATGATTCTTTAAATATCCTTTTGATATTTCCTTGGTGTTGGTAGCAAGGAAACCATGAGCTCTGAGGAGCACAAGCTGGGAGAGACCAGAAGTTCTTATCCTTTCTTGGGGTCTGTGCTCCCTCTGAGAATCGGAGAAAAGCGCCCCAGAAAAAAACAACCAGAAAGATTTATTTAAGGATCAGAGGAAGTAATCACAGGAGACTCTCCTGCCTGCCTCACAAAACACAACTAGAAATAGACAGGTCTCTGGGAGACTACATGACAATGTGGCAAGCCAGTGCTTTTGCGGTATGAGAGCGGCATTCTGTGGGTGTGTGATAAGAGAGCATAAATGATCTGCATTTGGACAAACCCAGGAAGGTGCATTTGCTCTTCAGAAGGTGCAGATCTGGGAAAACTGCAAAAGGAGGTAAGAAAAAAAGAAAAAAAAAAGAAAAGCCCATAGCTTATAGAACCATGCCTTTTAAATGTGGCTCAGAAATAGCTAACAATATTAATAATAATGACTGTCTTTGCCCCTTCCGTCTAACGTGTCCTTTTACTTTGGTACCTTCTGCTCAGAAAAGGGAGGGAGTTGGTGAAACAATGACAGAAAAGGACCAAAATGCAATCTAGGTTATACTCAGAACAAATTTAATGTGACTTTGGAAAAGGCCAAGGAGAAGGGCATTTCATTAGACAATCGACCTGAAAATCAGATCTAACCTAAGTCACCGGTGGGGCGTGTTCCTTTCTATTTATAGCCAAGGACGGTAGCCATCTGATGACTGATTCTGGGAGTGCAGAAAATTCATGTGGACAAAACAAGACTGCTGAGGACCTGGGAAGGATGGTCCATCCATCATGGGATGAAGCTAACCTTGTTTTCATTTGCTGCAAATGTGTAGAAATTGTTTAACTCTTCCCAGATCATGAAAAAAAAGCCAGAACAATAGTTTCAATTAGGATGAACGGGGCACCTATGCCTCTGTCTGCCCTTAAATTCTTGCAGAACCTGTATATATTTGTTGAGGGGTAGTTTCTTTCTTTCTTTTTTTTTTTTTTCCGAGACGGAGTCTCGCTCTGTCCCCCAGGCTGGAGTGCAGTGGTGCGATCTCGGCTCACTGCAAACTCCGCCTCCCAGGTTCATGCCATTCTCCTGCCTCAGCCTCCTGAGTAGCTGGGACTACAGGTGCCTGCCACCATGCCCGGCTAATTTTTTGTATTATTTAGTAGAGACGGGGTTTCACCGTGTTAGCCAGGATGGTCTCGATCTCCTGACCTCGTGATCTGCCCGCCTCGGCCTCCCAAAGTGCTGGGATTACAGGCGTGAGCCACTGCGCCCGGCAAGGGGTGGTTTCAAATGTTGTCTGAATCAAAGGACTGCTTTTACTTGACAGGATGCTTCAGACAGCTTTGATCTTGAAGTTTGGGATAAATTAGGATGGGTTTGAAACCCATCTAACAGAGAATGATGGAGCCATGCGTATCAACTATGTAAGCATCAAACATCCTGAGGTTCCTACTTAGTCAATAATTCTGTGGTTATTTTAGACCAAGCTTCTATAATTACATCTTCATTATGCTTGGCAGACAGTGCTATTTCCAACACAGGAAGCAGCGGCCTTGCCTTTGTTGTTGTCCTTCTAGGTAGCAGTTGAAGCCAAATGGACAGAAAGCCCGAGACAACATGAAGTTGTTCTACAAGTTATTTTGGAGAAATTGACTTACCATACCACTCATCAACCCATGCAAAAGCCTGTCTATGTCCAATCAGCAGAATGTCTCGGACCACCTAAAAAGTAAAAGAAGGAGACTGAAATAATAGCATCTTTGATGAAAACTATCTGGAAGACAAGTTGTTAACAATTCTGGGGATCTTGGTGATTACAGAGTTCTTAATCCCTCTGTCCATAGGTGATGACAATTACAGGCTGCCTATAGGTCCTATAGTGCTCACACACCTCCAGCCCTTCCCCATGGTGTACACACACTTGCAGTATATTCATCTCTTTGTCTTATTTGAGAGTAGGGCTGGGTGTGTGTACAAACTAATGACAAATACTTGACAGTCACACAGCAGTGATACAAATAAATATCTAGGTTAATTACCTTGAAGTTTTTCTCTCCATTTATTTTTAACTAAAACAGCATCTACTTTTCATCTGTGGGAGGGTGTGTCTCACTGGTGCCAGGAGGTCATAAATTTTGGAAATCTAGAACACTTTTCTAGGCAGCAAGTCACTTTTTTTTTTTTTTTTTTGAGACAGAGTCTTACTCTGTCGCCAAGCTGGAGTGCAGTGGCGCGATCTTGGCTCACAGCAACCTCTGCCTCCAGGGTTCAAGCAATTCTCCTGCCTCAGCCTCACAAGTAGCTGGGACTACAGGCGTGGGCCACCATGCCCGGCTAATTTTTGTATTTTTAATAGAGATGGGGTTTCACCATGTTTGCCAGGATGGTCTCGATCTCTTGACCTCGTCATCCACCCACCTCGACCTCCCAAACTGCCGGGATCACAGATGTGAGCCACCGCACCTGGCCGACAGCAAGTCACTTCTAAGCAAACAGCACTTAACATTCCCTCTTTTCTGATGACATATCCTAAAAAGTGAACAGCACTTAACATTCCCTCTTTTCTGATGACATATCCTAAAAAGTGAACAGCACTTAACATTCCCTCTTTTCTGATGACATATCCTAAAAAGTGAACAGCACTTAACATTCCCTCTTTTCTGATGACATATCCTAAATACTGATTTTTTTTTTTTTTTGAGACAGTCTTGCTCTGTCCCCCAGGCTGAAGTGCAGTGGTGCAATCTCAACTCACTATAACCTCTGCCTCTTGTGTTTAAGCGATTCTTGTGCCTTAGCCTCCTCAGTAGCTGGGACTACAGGTGCGCACCACCATGCCTGGCTAATTTTTGTATTTTTAGTACAGACAGGGTTTCGCCATGTTGTCCAGGCTGGTCTCAAACTCCCGGCCTCGAGCAGTTCACCTGTCTTGGCCTCCCAAAGTGCTGGGATTACAGGTGTGAGCCACTTCACCCAGCCTGATTCAATTTTTTAATTGTACATTTTAAAATAACTTAAGAGTGTAATTGGATTCTTTGTAACACAAAGGATAAATGCTGGAGGGGATGGATACCCCATTCCTCACATTGTGCCTATTTCACATTGCAGGCCTTATGAAAACATCTCATGTACCCCCTAAATGTTTACACCTACTATGTACCCACAAAAAATTATTTAAAAAATAAATATTGATTCAATTTTTCTTTTTATCTTTTTTTTTTTTTTTTTTTTTTTGAGACGGAGTCTCGCTCTGTCCCCTAGGCTGGAGTGCAGTGGCGCCATCTCGGCTCACTGCGATCTCGGCTCACTGTAACCTCCGCTTCCCTGGTTCAAGTGATTCTCCTGCCTCAGCCTCCTGAGTAGCTGGGATTACAGGTGCCTGTCACCATGCCCGGCTAATTTTTGTATTTTTTTAGTAGAGACGGGGTTTCACCATGTTGGTCAGGCTGGTCTCGAACCCCTGATCTTGTGATCTGCCTGCCTCGGCCTCCCAAAGTGCTGGGATTACAGGCATGAGCCACCACGCCTGGCCTCAATTTTTAAACAAGCATAAATGAATGTGTGAGATACAAGATAAGTAAATATCCTTTTAGGTTTGACTTTCATGTAATAGAAGAGGGGGAAAAAGGCCGTTTACCATTGAAAGGATGAAAAAAGAGACCTGAACTAGAATAGAACGTAATGGGAATGACAAGCTTGACTGGACACAAAAAGGATGAAATTGTTTCTTATGGTGACACATAATGGCAATAGAAGGCTAAGGAAAATAGTATATACCATTTGTGTGTGTGTGTGTGTCTGCGTGTGTGAGATACTGTTCATGTGTTTTTATTTCATGGTATTCTTTTCCATCCTGGGTAAATATGTCTTTTTACATTTCTTGGATACTCACAGTATCCCTGTAACATTCCTTTCTTCCTGCCAAACAAATCCAGTGATTGTGAAAAACCTCTCGTGGAAGGTTCAAGCATGTTTCAATAAATGAAGGATTTTAATTCAGTGAATTTGCAGAAACAAGGAAAGCATTTATAATGAAGTGTTTATGACTCCAGGCCTCTGGATATCTAGTGAGGCTTTTATGACTTGAAAGTAGGAAACACATAATGAATACAAGAAACAACACACAGCTATACACACTTGAGTGCTGAGTGTCTCAAATTCATGGAAATCAAAAGAACAGCATCGAGGCATCAGTAAATGTACCCTATTACACGAAGCACAACACAGCTGTCGGCTGGAAACCAGAATTCAATAATGTGCTCATGGCTCGCTTTCGAACATTTTTTTCCCCTTAACTGTGAATAGATTCTTAAAAAAACAAAGGTGTTCAGAGAAAGGCATCCCTGGCACCTTCAACCCATGCAAATGCTAGCCTCAGATACTCATTAGCGACTCACGTGCGAGAGCAGGTGCGTTTCTGGAGTGTCAATAACACTTCCTTATATTTGGAAAGGGCAAGGCATAAATCTTACAGGTATTTTCAGGAAACAGATTCTCAAAACTAGCCTGAGTCATCTGTGAGAAAAGAAACACAGTGGACCCTGGGGCAATATAAATATGGCCTTTTAAATTATTATTATTATTATTATTATTATTATTTTGGAGACAGAGTCTTGCTCTGTCCCCCAGGCTGTAGTGCAGTGGCGCGACCTAGGCTCACTGCAACCTCTACTTCCTGGGTTCAAGTGATTCTCCTGCCTCGGCCTCTGGAGTAGCTGGGACTACAGTCACCTGTCACCACGCCCAGCTAATTTTTGTATTTTTAGTAGAGATGAGAGTTCACCATGTTGGCCAGGCTGGTCTCGAACTACTCCTGACCTCAAGTGATCTGCCTGCCTCGGCCTCTCAAAGTGCTGGGATTACAGGTGTGAACCACGCCCAGCCTTATTTTTATTTTGTATTATTCTCTTTTTAACTGACAACTCTGCCTTATTAAATATGCTTTGTGAGTGGAAAACACACTATGAAGCCGGGCATGGTGGCTCACGACTGTAAACCCAGTACTTTGGGAGGCCGAGGCAGGCAAATCACTTAAGGTTAGGAGTTCGAGACTGGCCTGGCTAACATGGTGAAACCCCGTCTCTACTAATAATACAAAAGTTAGCCTGGTGTGGTGGCATGCACCTGTGCCTCAGCTACTCAGGAGGCTCAGGCACAAGAATTGCTTGAACCTGGGAGGTGGAGGTTGCAGTGAGCCGAGATCATGTCACTGCACTCCAGCCTGGGCAACAGATTGAGACTCCATCTCAAAAAAACAAAACAAAACAAAATAATACTATGATAGTGGCCCTAGTAAGAGGAAGTCTTTTTACCTTAAAAAGCCACACACAAAAAGGGATGCTGTGGGAAACCAAGGAAGACACTGCCTTAGATAGACACAAAGCTGAGGCTGGAAAACATTTACTTTGGGAGCTGCAATTGCTTTCCTGTGCAATAATCAGGACACAGGAGGAAAACAGGAGATCCTGGAGCTTGATTTCTACGTATCACATTTCATTCTGGCTCCTGGCTGGCTGGCTGGGTTCTGGAGCACGGGAAAGGAGTGGCATGCTTCTCTGTTCAAGAAAACACCCAGGGCTCTCATGTTTGTGCCAGAGTCTGCCATTACCGTGAGCCTGAGTTATGAGGGTTCAAGAGACTGGCAGTCTAGTTCTTGGACCTAAATTCCAGAATTAAACTTTTTATTGTTAACTGGCCCCCAATCTCAATAGACAAATCCATCTAAGTAACAAAAAGCTCAGTGCATTAAGGTTAAATTCCAGTGACTCCAAAATAATTTTGGCAAGCTACTCTTATCAGTTTTTAAGTGGAAAAATAAACAGATAACCAGCCTATCTGGAATGTAGAGACAATTTGGGTAGTATTTATTCTTATGAAAATGAGAGCAGCTACAAAGGGCAATGCTCAACATTGCATTTCCCATTTTTTTCTCCCATGAGGGACAGAGTCATGTTAGAAACCCTGAGAAAATATGACTCTTCACCAAGTGGGATTCTGCTACAAAATGAACATGCCGGCCGGGCACGGTGGGTCATGTCTGTAATCCCAGCACTTTGGGAGGCCGAGGCAGATAGATCAGGAGGTCAAGAGATCGAGACCATCCCTGCCAACATGGTGAAACTCCATCTCTACTAAAAATACAAAAATTAGCTGGGCATGGTGGCGTGCGCACCTCCCAGTAGTCCCAGCTACTCGGGAGGCTGAGGCAGGATAATCACTTGAACCCGGGAGGCAGAGGTTGCAGTGAGCTGAGATTGTGCCACTGTACTCCAGCCTGGCGACAGAGTGAGACTCCGTCTCAAAACAACAGCAGCAGCAACAACAACAAAAAACCAAAATGAACATGTTTAGCCAAAGTAGGTTTACAATTGAAATCTGCATCCCGAGGCTGTTAACAATTATTTGGTAACAGAATTATTCTTATTATTTCCTTTTTTTTTTTTTTTTTTTGAGATGGAGTCTTGCTCTGTCACCCAGGCTGGAGTGCAGCAGCACGATCTTGGCTCACTGCAACCTCTGCCTCCTGGGTTCAAGCAATTCTCCCTGCCTCAGCCTCCTGAGTAGCTGGGATTATAGGCACGTGCCACCACACCCGGCTAATTTTTTTGTATTTTTAGCAGAGACAGGGTTTCACCAGGTTGGCCAGGCTGGTCTCGAACTCCTGACCTCAAGTGATCCACCTGCCTCAGCCTCCCAAAGGGCTGGTATTACAGGCATGAGCCACCACACCTGGCTACTTTAGTAACAGAATTATTAAAGAAGCAGAAATGCTGGGGTATACTGTCTAATGGGACTATTGGGATTTCTTGTTCTACCTCTGGGCATCTTCTGCTTAGGTGCTTACATTTGTAGATCTTTTGGGTGGCAATTAACCTTAGGGGCTGTGCTCACAGATAAGCCCTTTGGCTGTTTCCCAAGTTTCTCTGTCTGGGAGTAGATGAGTCCAATACCAAACTGAGAAGTGTGTTTCCCAAATACGCTTGCCTAATAGACATGGAGGTCACAGAATGAGAGATGGGGCATAAAACATCTATTAGTGGAAGAAAATTGAACCTATGCATAAAATGCATTTTCATCCAAAAAGTATTTTTTATTTTTTTATTTTTTATTTTTATTTCTTATTTTTTGAGACAGAGTTTCTCTCTTATTGCCCAGGCTGGAGTGCAATAATACGATCTTGGTTCACTGCAATCTCTGCCTCCCGGGTTCAAGTAATTCTCCTGCCTCAGCCTCCTGAGTAGCTGGGTTACAGGCACCCACCACCATGCCCAGCTAATGTTTTTGTATTTTTAGTAGAGACAGGGTTTCACCATGTTGGCCAGGCCGGTCTTGAACTCTTGGCCTCAAGTGATCTACCCGCCTCGGCCTCCCAAAGTGCTAGGATTACAGGTGTTGGCCACCCCAACCGGCCCAAAAAGTGTTTTTGAGATGCAGTGACCTGATGTATTTGTGCACCTGTTGTGTATCATGGACTCCAATTTGGCAATATAGACAGTTACCTTGTCCACAGCCCAGGAACTGCTGTTGGACCACTTACCTTGTGTACAAATTGTTCCACTCTGGTCTGAAGCCCCCAGACCTCAAACTTCACAGTCACCAGCTTGTAGGAGCACATGATAGGCTGATGACTATCTCTCCAGCCTTCCCTCAACTGTCCCCGTCCTGTCTTCTCTGACTTGAAGTGCTTAGGATCCTAGAAAAAAAAAAATCAAAGAAATTGATATATTAAAAGTTTGACCATCATTATTAAATGTCAGGAATAAGTATTAAATAACATAGAAATAGGGCTGGGTGTGGTGGCTCACGCCTGTAATCCCAGCACTTTGGGAGGCTGAGGCGGGCGGATCACCTGAGGTCGGGAGTTCAAGACCAGCCTGACCAACATGGAGAAACCCCATCTCTACTAAAAATACAAAAATTAGCTGGGCATGGTGGTAATCCCACCTACTGCCTATCATCCCAGCTACTCGGGAGGCTAAGGCAGGAGAATTGCTTGAACCCGAGAGGCAGAGGTTGTGGTGAGCCAAGATTGCGCCATTGCACTCTAGCCTAGGTAACAAGAGCGAAACTCCATCTCAAAAACAAACAAACAAACATAGAGACAGAAAGTAGATTAGTAGTTGACATGGATTGAGGAAAGGAAGGGATGTAGAGTGATTATGAATGGATATAACATTTCCTCTTGGAGTGATGAAAACATTCTGGTATTAGACAGTGGTGACAGTTGCACAACCTTGTGCATATGCGAAAAACCACTGAATTGCACATTTATTTAAAAGGGTGAATTATATTGTGTCTCAATTTTTTCTTTTCTCTTTTTTTCTTTCTTTCTTTTTTTTGAGATGGAGTCTCGCTCTGTCGCCCAGGCTGGAGTGCAGTGGTGCGATCTCGGCTCACTGCAAGCTCCACCTCCCGGGTTCACGCCATTCTCCTGTCTTAGCCTCCCGAGTAGCTGGGACTACAGGTGCCCGCCACCACGCCTGGCTAATTTTTTTGTTTTTAGTAGAGACGGGGTTTCACTGTGTTAGCCAGGATGGTCTCGATCTCCTGACCTCGTGATCTGCCCGCCTCGGCCTCCCAAAGTGCTGGGATTACAGGTGTGAGCCACCGTGCCTGGCCTCAATTTTTTCTTTTCTTCTTTTGTAGAGATGGGTCTCACTATGTTGCCCAGGCTGGTCTCCAACTTCTCACCTCAAGTGATCCTCCCTTCTTGGCCTCCCAAAGTACTGGGATTACAGGTGTGAGCCACCATACCTGGCCTCACGACAGCTTTAAATACAGGAGGCAAAAACTGGAAACAGTCCAAATGTTCATAAGCAAGAAACTAGACAGATAAATTGTGGTCTAGGTGCACAATGGAATACTACACAGCAATGAAAAAGAACAAATGGCTGATACATGCAAAAACGTGTACAACTCTCACTGATGCTATGTTAAGCAAAAGTAGCCAAATGCAATAGCATATACATTGTATGATTCAAATTGAAGTTCAAGAACAAGCAAAACTTTATGTATGGTGATAAAAGTTAGATGAGCAGTAATCTCTTTGGGGGTGGGGGCTTGGTGCAAAGGGACATGAAGGAAACTTCTGGGATGATTATATGTTGACCTGGATGTAACGTGTACACATTCACTGAGTTTTACACTTAAGATTTGTATTATACTTCAATTACAAGAATGAAAAAAACAGGTAAAAGGGTTTTTTTGTTGTTGTTGTTTTTGAGATGGAGTCTTGCTCTGTCACCCAGGCTGGAGTGCAGTGGTTTGATCTTGGCTCACCCCAACCTCTGCCTCCTGAGTTCAAGCAATTCTCCTGCCTCAACCTCCTAAGTAGCTGGGATCACAGGCACCCGCCACCATGCCCAGCTAATTTTTGTATTTTTAATAGAGACCGGGTTTTGCCATGTTGGCCAGGCTGGTCTCGAACTCCTGAACGCGAGTGATCCACCCACCTTGGCCTCCCAAAGTGCTAGGCCTCCCAAAGTACAAGCATGAACCACTGTGCCCAGCAAGGGTTTTTTTTTTTTTTTAAGTTTAATCATCCAATATTTGTCTAATGATTGCCATTAGCCAATCATTTGCTGATTATTTCATTAGAAGATTATTTTTTTCAGAGATACCTTAGAACATGTAAACTATATAAAACCCAGTAATTATGCTTAAATATGTATGTATGAGCTAATTTTCAGTACTTTTTTTTTTTTTTTTTTGAGAAAGGATCATGGCTCACTGCGGCCTTGACCTCCCAGGCTCAAGTAATCCTCCTGCCTCAGCCTCCCAAGTAGCTGGGACTACAGGTGCACACTACCATGCCTGGCTAATTTTTGTATTTTTTGTAGAGATGGGGTATTGCCATGTTGCCCAGGCTAGTCTCAAGCTCCTAGGCTTAAGTGATCTGCCCACCTCGGCCTCCCAGAGTGCTGGTATTAAAGGCGTGGGTCACCGGGCCCAGCCAGTTTTCATTATCATAAAGAAGACGTGCAGCTGCTCCAGGATCTGCTGTCCAGCTGTGGGTTTGGGGCTAGTCCTGGTCCTGTTCACGGGGATGTTGGACCCCAGGAAGGGAAAGAACCTCACAGCACACAGCGGAGTCTACAGGCTGAAGCAGAAAATTGGCATCTCCCCTCCCAGGAGAAACCTGGCAGTCAAGGGGTCCTGTGTTGAGAAGTAGATAGGATGAGACACAAAATCAAATTGGCTGGGACAGCCCCAGCCCTTTTAATGCAGACCAGACTGTGTCTCAGGGGTGGGCTTGGGAGGTAAAAGCAGGCTGCTTACAAATAAAGACAGGTTTATTCTCTCAGATCTGGCCGTGGCTCCGCCAAGGCCATCTGGCACTGGCCTCTAAAGAGGGCTTTCAGGCTGCCCTTGACTTCCCTTACAGATCTGCCTCCTCTGTTAGGACCTTTTTGCTATGGTGACCACTTCCACAACTGTAGCTCCCCTAAAAAACACAGTGCACTCCCAGGGCCAACTTCCATGCCAGCTGACGCCAGGCCTTCATCAAAGTAGCGGGTGAATGCTTGCCCTCCTGCCTCTTCTCAATCTCTCCATCCACCATTCCCCACTCTGCTGCCACGGTGGCCTCCCAGATGTAAACTCCCCTCCTCAAAATCTGTCCATGGCACCATGAGTGTAGCATAAAAGTAATATGCCCTGGCAGGAAGGAGGTACAAGGCCTTTGATGTTATTACTTATTTTTCTGGCATCTTTTCCGGACCAGCCTCCCAAAGCCACACCTCTCTCGTGAGCCTTAAGAAGCTTCTGCTGGCCTCATTCTCCAAAGCCCCAGGAGTCTGGAACCTCCTAGGTAGGCACTGGTCCCCCTTCCTGAAGTTCCTTCTCCCCCACCAAGTCCTGCACTCTGCCTGATTCTCCTTTCCTTGCTTCAAGACTTAACTTAGGGGCCGGGCACAGTGGCTCACGCCTTTAATCCCAATACTTTGTGAGGCCAAGGCAGGAGGATTGCTTGAGGCCAGAAGTTCAAGGCCAGCCTGGCCAACATAGCAAGATCCCAGCTGTATTAAAAACAAAACAAAACAAAACAAAAAAACACTTGGCCAGGCACGGTGGCTCAGGCCTGTAATCCCAGCACTTTGGGAGGACAAGGTGGGTGGATCATTTGAGGTTAGGAGTTTGAGACCAGCCTGGGCAACATGGTAAAAGCCCGTCTCTACTAAAAATATAAAAAAATGAGCTGGGCATGGTGATGCATGCCTGTAATCCCAGCTACTAGGGAGGCTGAGGCAAGAGAAGCGCTTGAATCCAGGAAACGGAGGTTGCAGTGAGCCGAGATTGTGCCACTGCACTCCAGCCTGGGTGACAGAGACTCTGTCTCAAAAAAAAAAAAAAAAAGTACTTCAGTGTCATCCCCTCCAAGGACCCTTTCCTGGGTGGCTCAGAATGAGGGCTCCTCCTTTCTGCTTCTGAAGCTTCCCCTGTCATGGGTCTGGCAGGTGGGTACATCACAGATGTTGAATACATGCTTGTTGAGTGAATGCTTCAACCCTATTCGACGTATCACACACATGTGGCTGGGACATCAGAATCTTAGCCAAAATTTGGTAAATACCTAAGTGAAAGACTAGTTAAATTCTATGTTCACAATAACAAGCATTGGCAAAGATAGGGAGAAACTGGAACCCTCATACATTGTGACAGAAATATAAATAGTGTGGCCACTTTGAAAACATTTCAGTAGCTCATCAAAAGATTAAACATAGGGTTACCATTTAACCTAGCAATTTCACTCCTAGATATCTGCCCGAGAGACTTGAAAACACATATCCACACAAAAACATGTACATGGGCTGGGTGCAGTGGCTCACGCCTGTAACCCTAGCACTTTGGGAGGCTGAGGCAGGTGGATCACTTGAGTCCAGGAGTTTAAGACCAGCCTGGGCAACATGGCAAAACCCCTTCTCTACAAAAAATACAAAAATTAGCCAGGTGTGGTGGCACATGCTTATAGTCGCAGCTACTTGAGAGGCTAAGGTGGGAGGATCACTCGAGCCCAGGAAATTGAGGCTGCATTAAGCTGTAAACATGCCACTGCACTCTAGCCTCAGTGACAGAGTGAGACCCTGTCTCAACAAACAAACAAACAAACAAACAAAACCCCAAAAAACAAAACATGTACATGGATGTTCTAATTCATAATAGCCACAAAAAAGGGAAACAATACACATTTCCATGAACTGATTGATGGATACACAATATATGGTATATCCACACAATGAAATATTATTCTGGCATACAAAGAAACAAAGTCTTCTTCTTCTTTTTTTTTTTTTTTTGAGATGGAGTCTCGCTCTGTCGCCCAGGCTGGAGTACAGTGGCATGATCTCGGCTCACTGCAATCTCCGCCTTCTGGGTTCAAGCAATTCTTTTGCCTCAGACTCCCGAGTAGCTGGGACTACAGGCATGCGCCACCACGCCCAGCTAATTTTTTGTATTTTTAGTAGAGATGGGGTTTCACCATGTTGGCCAGGCTGGTCTCGAACTCCTGACCTCAAGTGATCTGCCCGCCTCGACCTCCCGAAGTGCTGGCATTACAGGCGTAAGCCACCATGCCTGACCATGAAGTCTTCTTAAAAGAAGATATACAGGTCGCCGAGAAACATGAAAAAATGCTTAGCATTACTAATCATCAGAGAAATGCAAATCAAAACCACAATTAGATACCATCTCACACCAGCCAGAATGGCTATCATTAAAAAGTCAAAAAACAATAGATGCTGGTGAGGCCGTGGAGAAAACGGAATGCTGATACACTGTAGGTGGGAGGGTAAATTAGTCCACACTGTGGAAAGCAGTCTGGAGACTTCTCAAAGAACTTAAAACAGAGCTACCCAGCAACTGCATTACTGATGAATGGATACAGAATAGGTGGTATATCCATACAGTGAAATATTATTATGCCATAGGAAGAAATGAGGCCAGGTGCAGTGGCTCACGCCTGTAATCCCAGCACTTTGGGAAGCCGAGGTGGGTGGATCACCTGAGGTCAGGAGTTCGAGACCAGCCTGACCAATATGGTGAAACCCCGTCTCTACTAAAAATGCAAAAATTTAGCTGGGCGTGGTGGCATCTGCCTGTAGTCCCAGGTACTCGGGAAGGCTGGGAAAGGAGAACTGCTTGAATCCAGGAGGTGGAGGTTGCAGTGAGCCAAGATCACGCCACTGCACTCCAGCATGGGCGACAGAGCAAGACTCCATCTCAAAACAAAAAAACAAAAAACAAAACAAAACAAACACTGAGAAATGAAGACTTGATTCTAGAAGCTCGCTCGGTCACTGGACCAAATTGAGGGCTAGCTAAAACAGGTCTAGGGCGGAAGCAGGTTTCCATAAGAAGCGGCCATGTCATTTACCATCACTGTGGCAACACTGTGAAGTTACTGCCCCTTTCCATGGCAATGACCTGACAACGTGGAAGTTACCACCCGCATCCTAGAAATTTCTGCATAAACCACCCCTTAATTTGCATATAATTAAAAGTGACTATAAAATGAGTGGAGCACTGCCTCTGTGCTGTTATTCTGGGCACACTGCTTAGGGGGCAGTCAAGCTCTGCAAGGAGCAGCACCTCTGCTGCTACTGCTTCAACTTTTTTTTTTTTGTCCTTTTTTTTTGAGATGGAGTCTCGCTGTGTTGCCCAGGCTGGAGTGTAGTGGCGATCTCGGCTCACTGTAAGCTCCGCCTCCCAGGTTCCCGCCATTCTCCTGCCTTAGCCTTCCGAGTAGCTGGGATTACAGGCACCTGCCACCATGCCCGGCTAATTTTTTGTATCTTTAGGAGAGACGGGGGTTTCACTGTGTTAGCCAGGATGGTCTCGATCTCCTGACCTCGTGATCCACCCGCCTCGGCCTCCCAAAGTGCTGGGATTACAGGCAGGAGCCACCGCGCCCGGCCTACTGCTTCAACTTTTAACACCACCGGCTCACCCTTGAATTCTTTCCTGGGTGAAGCCAAGAACCTCCTGGGCTAAGCACCCATTTAGGGGCTTGCCTGTATCAGATACACAACATGTGTTATATCCATACAATGAAATATTACTGTGCCATAAGAAGAAATGAAGTCTTCTCAAAGACATACAGGTGGCCAACAAACATATGAAACAGAGCTACCATTCAACCCAGCAACCCCATTATTGGGTATATGCCCAAAGAAAAGAAATCATTCTACCAAAAAGACATGCACTCATATGTTCATCACTGTGCTATTCACAAAAGCAAAGACATGAAATCAATCTAGGTGCCCATGGAATACTACACAGCCATAAAAAAGAATGAAATCATGTCCATGGGGTACTATGCTCACCACAGGGTGACAGGATCCATACTCCAAACCTCAGCATTACACAATATTCCCATATAACTATTCTGCACATGTACCCCCTGTATCTAAAAGTTGAAATTTAAAAAAAAGAAGAAATGAAGTACTGATACATGCACCAACACAGATGAGCTTCAGAAAACATGCTACTAAGTAGAAGAAGCCAACCACCAAAGGCCACACTGTATAATTCCATGGATATGAAATGTCCAGAGGAGGCAAATCTATGGAGAAAGTAAGCAGATTAGTGGTTGCCTAAAGCTGGGGGAAGGGAGTGGTATGCAGAATGACGGCAAACAGAAACAAAATTTCCTTTTGGGGTGATTAAAATGTTCTAAAATTAGATTAAAATGATGGCTCACAACTAGATAAGTATATGAAAAAAACGTTGAATTATACACCACTTTCTTCTTTTTTTTGAGATGGAGTTTCACTCTGTTTAGAGTGCAGTGGCACAATCTCAGCTCACTGCAACCTCCGCCTCCTGGGTTCAAGCAATTCTTCTGCCTCAGCCTCCCAAGTAGCTGGGATTACAGGCACGCACCACCACACCTGGCTAATTTTTGTATTTTTAGTAGAGATGAGATTTCACCATGTTGGCCAGGCTGTTCTTGAACTCCCGACCTCAGGTGATACACCTGCCTCGGCTTCCCAGAGTTCTGTGATTACAGGCATACGCTACCGCACCCGGCCAAGTTGTACGCTTTCAATGGGTGAGCTTTATGGTATGTAAATGACATATTATAAACATTTAAAAAATACAATCTGAAAAATGCTATGTTGCGTCGGTGGGTTTTTCAGGGCATGTACTGGCTCTGGGTTTGCTGATGGTCCTACCTAAAGTCATATTACTATTATTATTATTATTATGAGATGGAGTCGCACTTTGTTGCCTAGGCTGGAGTGCAGTGGCGTGATCTTGGCTCACTGCAACCTCCACCTCCCGGGTTCAAGCGATTCTTCCGCCTCAGCCTCCCAAGTAACTGGATGACAGGTGCGTGCCACCACACTGGCTAATTTTTGTATTTTTAGTAGAGATGGGGTTTCACCATGTTGGCCAGGCTGGTCTCGAACTCCTGACCTCGTGATCCGCTTGCCTCGGCCTCCCAAAGTGCTGGGATTACAGGCGTGAGCCACTGCACCCAGCCTAAAGTCATATTATCAGAGTCATGATCCTGAGCACGTTTCTTGAGTGTGCTCCATGAGAACCAGGTACTGCACTGCCTTCCACCTTGACCACATTTCTTTGCCCTGGGGGTGTAGGAGGGGCATGTGTGGTCACAGAGCACTTCCCTCCACTCAGAACAGACGCAACCCTACACTGAAGATCAGGGTTCCCTGAGCTTCCTTCAGGGTCCTTCCTTCTTGGTCTCTGTTGCAGGAAGACAGTGGGCCTGGGGGTGAGGGGAGAAAGGGACTCAAGTGGGACAAATATTTGATTAATAGGATATAAAGTCTGTTTTGCTAATGGAGTAGAACAATATTGACAAAAGAGATTCTGGGAAGGGGGAAGGAAAAGAGAATGAATAATAAGTATCTGAAGGGAGTAAGTGAGTCTGAAGGGAGGGGCTCGTGACCTTGACTGTGGGTGACATTTCTGAATCTTCTCTATTAATTTTGCCAGGTTGTGTTTCCATTGCCTAAACCAACCCGGAAACCACCACCGAAATCATATGCATAGGCCTGGAAAGACTATGCTAATTTAAGAATGTGATTCGACTGGGCGTGGTGGCTCACACCTGTAATCCCAGCACTTTGGGAGGCCAGGAGTTTGAGACCAGCCTGGCCAACATAGTAAAACCCCATCTCTACTAAAAATACAAAAAAAAAAAAAAAAAATTAGCTGGGCGTGGTGGCGGGCGCCTGTAGTCCCAGCTACTTGGTAGGCTGAGGGAAGAGAATTGCTTGAACCTGGGAGGTGGATGTTGCAGCAAGCCAAGATCGCATCACTGCACTCCAGCCTGGGTGACCGAGCGAGACTCCATCTCAAAAAAAAAAAAAAGAGAATGTGATTCATGAGGCTGGGCATGGTGGCTCATGCCTGTAATCCTAGCACTTTGGGAGGCCAAGGTGAGTGGATTGCTTGAGGCCAGGAGTTCGAGACCAGCCTGGCCAACATGTTGAAACTCCATCTCTACTAAAACTACAAAAATTAGCCAGGTGTGGTGGCATGTGCCTGTAATCCCAGCTACTTGGGAGGCTGAGGCAGGAGAATCGCTTGAATCCAAGAGGCAGAGGCTGCCGTGAGCTGAGATCATGCCACTGCACTCCAGCCTGGGTGACAAAGTGAGTGAGACTCCATCTCAAAAATAAATAAATAAACAAATAAATAAATAAATAAATAAAATAAAATAAAATAAAATATATATGATACATGAAAAAGACTAATATAGGGCCTGGCCCGTAGCAAGTGCTCAATTGATGTTAGCCATTATTGCATTTCCCAAGGCAGTCAAAGGAGCATTTAAGTAATGTATCCAATCCTATAGTCCAGGGCAGAGACAACATGCTTTTCCATAGCACCCCGGAATTGCTGGGAAATTTGCTGCTTGAGGCCATGGGACTAGTTCCTGCCTGCTCTGTGTTCCTATACCATATCATGCCATTGAGAGTAAAAAGATAATAATAAAATAATAAAACAGGGCAGGAGGAAACTTTTGGAGGTGATGGATAGATTTATGGCATAGCAGCCAGTGCCTCATGCCTGTAATCCTAGCACTTTTGCGAGGTCTAGGCAGGTGGACTGCCTGAGCTCAGGAGTTTAAGACCAGCCTGGGCCACATGGCAAAACCCTGTCTCTACTATAAATACAAAAAATTAGTTGGGTGTGGTGGTGTGTGCCTGCAGTCCCAGCTACTTGGGAGGCTGAGGCACAAGAATCGCTTGAACCCTGGGGGGAGGAGGTTGCAGTGACCTGAGATTGCGCCACTGCACTGCATCCTGGGTGACAGAGCAAGACTCTGTCTCTAAAAAAAACAAAAAACAAAAAAAGATTTATGGCATAGATTGTGGTGATGGTTTCACAGGTGTATACTTATGTCCAAAATCATCAAGCTGTATGTGTTAATTAAAAAGCTGTGTACAGCTTTTTGTATGTTTAAAAAATAAAATAAGAAATAATGTTGAATTTGGAAAAAAATAAAAAGAAAAGAGAAGACCAATAAATTGAGAGATTATCTACCATACATCTCCAAAGATGGCCACCATCAATTCCTTCCCCCACTGTGCTGACATGCTGTTCCCCTCACCATTTCCCCACCCCTTGAATCTAGACTGGTCTGTTATTTGTTTTGACCAACAGAATGTACCAGAAGAGACATTGTGTCAGTTTAGCCTTTCAAGAGAAGCTGGAAGCCAGAAACCGGAACCCTCCACAATGTAAGAAGACTAGGCTGATTACCTTAGAGCACCATGATATGAGGAGGCCCAAGCTAGCCATGTGGTGAGACCATGTGGCAACATGCTCAACCAGGTCTCAGATGCTCCAGCCATCTCAGCTGAGACCACGTTGAGTGAAAGGGCCATCTGAGATATTTCAATCCAAGCTCACATCATGAAGAGCAGATCTGGCCAGCTAAACCCAGTCAAGAGTGCAGAATTGTGAGAAACAATGCACTCTCATTGTTTTAAGCCACTAAATTTTGGGGCTGTTGCTCAGCAACAGGTAACAAAACACATCCATCAAGCATATTATAAAACAGGTGCATTAACTGGATTACCAAAGATGAAGAGAATGAATGCTGCTTTGTTCTTTCCCAGAGCACACCAAAAGTTCACACAATCAGCCACAAGCCTGAAAGCTGAAAACAAGGAAATTTATACCTCTCAAGAAGCTCTCATGAGTTAAAATACAGGAGGTGGAGTTAAACAGGGAAATTTGGTTTCTTTCCCCATCTGTCTTTTGACTTCCTCCCAACAGAGGTAAATGATGGGTGTTTACCTCTGATAGTTGCACGTAAACAACTATCTTGAGGCTTAGAAGACATGGCTTCCCCCCTGCAGTTGACCAGAATATGGACAGGCAAACCCTCGAGAACCTAAGTGGAGGTCTTCCTGCTTGGGTAAGCAACTGAGTAAGTAAAGGATAGGACAAAGACGGCAAGTAGAGGAAAGCAGGAGTCCAAGCTCCTGGTAACCCAGAGATGTAGGAGACAACCCAGCAAACAAAGCAAGGTGGGCAGGCACCAGAGGCAGGGAAATAAAATAAAAACCAGTGATGCAGGATTTTTTCTGCTCCTTAGCTCAGCTAGGTCCGAGTTCTTGTCTCACAACCAGGAAGAATTAGGCATGCAGACACCAGAGAGTGAGTGGAGTATAATTTATTATGCGAAAGGCAAGCTCTCAGCAAAGAGAGGATACTGGGGGTGGGGTGGTTACCTATCCCAAAGTGGGAAAGTCCCCTAATATGGCTGAGCCTGGGGCTTTTATGGGCTAACAATAGGGAGCGCATGCTGATTGGTTTGTGAGTATGCAAAAAAGGTTAAAGTGAAGATACCACTCAAAAGTGGGCACGACAGTGTAGATAACCAATTAGGAAAGAGTAGGCATATTTAAAATAGGTGAAGGGTGGGGATCAATCAGAGGAAAGGCCAGTTCTCAATCTGGTCTGAGGATTTAACCTGTAGCTTGGCTTTCAGGCTTTAAACTGTCTTTGGCTTGGAAGTGGGGTTTCACTGGGGTCCCACCCCTATCTGCCTAGGCATTTGGCTGCCCTCCTGTCACTGTCACCAGGGCCATAGTCTGAGCTGCCTTCCTGCCCTTCAGGTCCTGCACAGTGGGTCTGACTGAGCAAGAGGAACCTGGACCAGTTGGCTGTGCCCGACCTTGCCCTCCCTCCCTGATTCATGGACTGCCCTTGGCTTGTTTCTTCAGTCAATGACAGCTGAGTTTGAGATGGTATCTATTCCAGCATCTTCATGTACATTTCAGATTCATATTCTTCAAGAATAAAACAAGACTTCACGGTATTAAAAATGGAACACCAGTGGATTGCATTTCCAAAGCAGTTGAGAATTGTCGGGACTGACAGCTCACTTCAGTTCAGAATAAGACTGGAAAAGTATTGCTTGCACAGCAAAAACGATGTAGATGCTTAAATCAATGTGTGGTTCCTGATTGCGTGACAAAAGTATAGAATTATATTTGGGTATTGTGAAATAAAGTTTTGGAAAAAGGATAGAAATGAGAAGTATGCTGTATTTTCATGATTAAGAATATAATTTTTAAGCTGAAAGTGGTAATTTGGTTTCATGCCCTCAGTTTTATAGATAAGGACACCGGGGCCTGAGAAAAATAAAATGCTTTGCCCCCAAATCACAGGCACTCGGCAATAGGGCTGGGACTAGAATCCCAGCCTACCCTACTTCTAGCTCGATGTTCTTTCCACTACATTTACTTTTAATATTAAACAGAAAAAGGGTGTTTTTGTTATAGCCCAGTGCCAAATAAGCAATTAACAATTGGGCTTTTTATGGCAACATTGTGTCGATATTTTGCAGTCTGGTGTCATATCTACAGCTGTTGATTTCATCTAGTCAATCTCAAACATGGCCTATAATTAAGGATTCACTTTCAAAGAGCTAGAGGGAGGTAAGGGAAAGGACTCCTTTAATCAAAACTCAAGATTAGAAATGAACATCCAGGTAAATGCTTTTGAATGAAGATGAGCCAAAAACAAAACAAAACAAAACAAAACAAAACAAAAAAAACGGGGGTGGGGAGGGGAAGGGAACCAAATTATCTGGTCTTATCTGAAATAGTCCAGTTGCTGCAAACTTCTCTTTTCACATTCTACCCCCTCCTCCTCACTGTCCTCCTTAACACCTCCCAAGACCCATTCTTTATGAAGTCATTTTCTTTCTCATTTTCTCACTTGGGTTTACGAACATTCAGTATCTAAATTGCCCCCTTCACACATCGGTTGACCTCTCTTACAACATTTCCAAATATGTATATATTTCTGTTTTGTATTTCTAGAATGTCTGTAGTGTTTTGGGCCTGATTCAAACTCTTGTTATAGCACTTATTCTTTATAAAAGAACAGAATTATTTTACATTTTAATCCTCCATTTCCAGGTTTCCTTATTTTAAAAAGAGGTTTATAAACCTCAACCTTCATCCCCGATGTTAAAAATCCCCTGGGCCTTTCCACAGGCAAGTTTCAAGGTCTGGCCAATTATAAAACGTCATAAGGCTGGACTTTAGTGTGACCGAGATTACGTGTCTTGAAACCCCTGCTGGGTCCCAACTCAGTGCAATCAGAAAACAGAGTGCAAGATGTCTGCTGTGGGTTAAATAAATCCTCCCCAAAAATATGTCCAGGTCTTAACCCCTAGTATCTATCTATGAACGTGATCTTATTTGGGAAAGGTCCTTGCAGATGTAATTAAGTTAAGGGTCTTGAGATGAGATCATGCTGGATTAAGTGGGAGGGCCCTAAATCCAATGACAAGTGTCCTTATAAGATACAGAAGAGGAGAAGACACAGAGGAGAAGGTTGTGCGAGGACAGAGGCAGAGATGGGAGTTAAGGAGTCACAAACCAAGGAAATTTTGGAGCCGCTGGAAGATGAAAGGAAGGATGGTCCCCTAGAGCCTCGAAATCTCTCACTTGGATTTCAGACTTCCGGCCTCCAGAACTGTGACTGAAACCTCGGGATGAGGTCCAGACAGAAGAGCAAGGTTAGACCCCCATGCTCTGACCTAACTGGTCCTGGGTGGGGTCTGAACAGGTGGTGACCTGAATGTACAGTCAAGATCCAGTCACTGCTATGAAGTACACATATTATCTCCATGCTCTTGATGAGGAACCTGAAGCTGAGAAGTAATCAGCAACTCAGCCACAGTCCACCCCGACCCGGGCTCCCATGAACGTTTGGTCTGAACGTTTGTTGCCCCTCCCCCAATTCACATGTTGAAACTTTTTGGGTTTTTTTGCAACAGGGTCTTGCTCTTATCTCCCAGGCTGGAGTGCAGTGGTGCCATCACAGCTCACTGCAGCCTTGAGCTCCTGGGCTCAAGTGATCCTCTCACCTAGCTGGGATTACAGGCATGCACCACCATGCCCAGCTAATTAAAAAATTCTTTTAATGTTTTGTGGAAATGAGGTCTCATTATGTTGCCCATGTTGGTCACAAATTTCTGGCCTCAAGCACACTTCCTGCCTTGGCCTCTCAAAGGGCTGGGATTATAGGTGTGAACCACCGAACCCAACCCATATGTTGAAACTTAATCACCAGTGTGATGGTATTAGGGGGTGGGGACCTTTGGGAGGCAATTAGTGCTTTTTTTTTTTTTTTTTTTTTTTTGAGATGAGTCTCTCTCTGTTGTCCAGGCTGGAGTGCAGTGGTGCGACCTCAGCTCACTACAAGCCTCGCCTCCCAGGTTCATGCCATTCTTCTGCCTCAGCCTCCCGAGTAGCTGGGACCACAGGCGCCTGCCACCACGCCTGGCTAATTTTTTTTGTGTTTTTAGTAGAGATGGGGTTTCACCGTGTTAGCCAGGATGGTCTTGATCTCCTGACCTCGTGATCCGCTCATCTTGGCCTCCCAAAGTGCTGGGATTACAGGCATGAGCCAGCGAGCCCGGCCCAATTAGTGCTCTTATAAAAGAAACTCTGGATAGCTCCTTCACCCTTTCTGCCATGTGAGGACACAGTGAGAGGGGCGCCATCTATGAACCAAGAAACGAGCCATCTCCAGGCACTGAATCTGTCAATGCTTTGATCTTGGATTTGCCAGCCTCTGGAATTGTAAAAAATCAATGTTTATTGTTTATAAGCTACCCAGTCTATGGTATTCTGTTATTGCAGCCCAAATGGTTTAACACGTCACCCCTACACCATGTGGACAGGACATTCTGTCTGAAATTCTGGCACAATTGATCAGAGGAGAGCTTCCATCTCCCCATCTGTAGAATGGTGTTAAGAACTCCTGGCCAGGCGTGGTGGCTCATGCCTGTAATCCCAGCACTTTGGGAGGATGAGGCGGGCAGATCACGAGGTCAGGAGTTTGAGACCAGCCTGGCCAATATGGTGAAACCCCGTCTCTACTAAAAATACAAAAAAACTAGTTGGGCGTGGTGGCGCGCTCCTGTTGTCCCAGCTACTCGGGAGACCGAGGCAGGAGAATCACTTGAACCCAGGAGGTGGAGGTTGCAGTGAGCCAAGATTGCACCACTGCACTCCAGCCTGGGCAATAGAGGGAGATTCCATCTCAAAAAAAATCAAAAAACTTCCTTGCGGGTTGTTGCAAGACTTAAATTGGATAAGGTAGGCAAAGTCCCCAGCCCAGCCTGGCACATAGAAGGTGCGTGATGCACAGGAGACATCCCAAAGTGATAAGCACATGATACAAGGATGCCCTGAGAGATGCTGTAGTGCACTTTGTTCAAATCTTATTAAGCTCCTCCAAAGAAAGGCAGTGGGAATGTCCCAGGGGCTGTAGGATTACTATGAGTTTATTGTTATCCTGTAGTCAAATGTACAGAAAAATGCTGATCATCTCAAATAAAAAATATGACTGCCCAACAGCATGCAGGTTTCCTTGTGTGAGTGAAAGCCTGGGTGGGCATTTCCATTTTCTGGAAGCTGTCACATGCCAGTGTCCGTAAGTATGGTGGTTGGAGGAATTGCGAGAGAAGGGTTCTTGTTCTGTGGGATGTTATGACTGGGTTCTGGGTCCAGGTGAACCGACAGTCTTCAGTGCTCAGTACCAATGTCTTTCCCCCTTTCTCTTATGTTTCAGAGGCAGGAACACTCTGTTCCAAGTGGACGAAAGCAGAGAGCAGAGCAGATTGTCCCTGTCATGGGCCGCTCCCTTAGGCGATTTCACCTGGGGGCCTCTGGAACCTCGTGGTCCCAGCCAAGCAGGGGGCCCTCCTTGAACGGTGCATGTACTGGGCAGCCACCTCCCAATGGCAGGATGGGTGAGCCTCAAAGTCCGGCAGCCTTCACGCATCTTAAAGGTGACTTACAAGCTCTCCTTGTGAAGGGCTGAAAGGCATACAGAGGCATACGCTGTCCTTTCCTTCCAGTAATCTTCCAAGCCAGGGCAGGGCTCTCTTCCTCCCTGGTTCAAGTTCAAGAAATCCTACATTAACTCAGGGCTAAATTTTACCTGGTTGAAATGGTCATTCATTGGGAGAGGAATGAAAATGAGATCTGCAACACCTTGGAGGCTTCAGGAAAAGTTCCGTAATGCAGAGAAAGAAATCTAACATGTGATATGTGTTTTTCATTCGTACCTATTTAGGGTGGAGGGTTGGTTCCACTAGTCTATTCGTTTCCTGCTGTATCAAGTATCACAGACAACAACAACAACAACAAAAAGATAATCACACACTGGTGGCTTAAACATCAGAAATTTATTGTTTCACAGTACTGGAGGCTAGAAGCCCCAAATCGAGGTGTCATCAGGACTGGTCCTTCCAAGGGCTGTGAGGAGGAATCTGTTTCATGCCTTTCCCCTGGGCGTTCCTTGGCATGTAGAAGCATCACTGGAGTGAAGTCATCACATTCTCACTGCATCTTCATATCGTCTTCCCTCTGTGCTTGTCTGTCTGTGTGTCCAAATTCCCCCCAACCTTTTTTTTCTTTTAGACAGAGTCTTGCTGTGTCACCCAGGCTGGAGTGCAGTGGTGCCATCCAACCTCCACCTCCTGGGTTCAAGCAATGCTCCTGCCTCAGCCTCCCGAGTAGCTGGGACTACAGGCGCCCACCACCACTCCTGGCTAATTTTTGTATTTTTAGTAGAGATGGGGTTTCACCATGTTGGCCTGGCTGGTCTTGAACTCCTGACCTCAAGAGATCCGCCTGCGTTGACCTCCCAAAGTGCTGGGACCATAGGCGTGAGCCACTGCACTCAGCTCCAAATTTCTCCTTTTTATAAGGACACCCATCATACTGGATTAGGGTCCCCCTAATGATCTCACTTCAACTTGATTACCTTTGTAAAGACCCTATCCCAAGTAAGTTCACATTCTGGGGGTTAGGACGTCAACCTAGCTTTCTGGGGGGACACAAACCCATAACATGAGTCAGAGAGGTTTTTACAAGGCAAGTCTTCTAGGTTCCGCGGTCACTCTTCCAGCTCACTCATGTGGTCACGGAGCACCGAACCCCAGTAGTGGCATCTGGCTCCGCTGGGGGATGTGGAACTTCTCTGCAAGCGATGCTCTTGCCTCAAGGGCCCTGCCCAGCTCCTCTCGGCCCGGCAGCTGGCTGGTGGGGAACGCGTGGGGCTGCAAGTTCTTCTAGCCAGGGTTTTATAAATTCATCCACAATGAGATCTCTGGCTCCGGATGCTACCGATTCTCTCCAGGCTTGGCAGATGGCAAATTGGACCCTTGTAGTTAAAGCCCATCTGTATCGAGGGGGTTGAGCTGGTGCCAGGGCTGTTTCCCTGGGGCCAGATGGACTTCGGCACATCTTTAGAAGGCGTCCACTCTATAGGATCAGCCACACCTGCAGGCCTCATCCATCTCGCACTGGGACAAGGCAGAGCAAAGGGCTTGTTTGAGCAGCCCGTGTAAAACTGCGTCCTCGTTTTGGATAGAATCAGTCTCCCACCTGGAAGGTGCAAGGAGAAGCCCACAGGAGAGCTTGGTCCAGCTGGGGCTGAGCTTGCATCTTGGAGGCAATCTTATTAGCTGACGTTCACTGAGATATGAAGTCTCCATGATTAATTACACTCTCAATTTGAACCACAAAGGGCAATAGCCAACAGGGGCTTGCCCTGTTAATTGAAATGAGAAGTTTTTGATAAATGCTAAATGAAAAAAGGCTAAGCAGGAACTCCAGCCAGGAATTGCTACATTATGTAACTATAACCCTCAGCCCTAAAATAGGGATGGATGAACAACACATATCACATGTCAGATTTTTTTCTCTCCATCCTGGAACTTCTCCTGAAGACTCCAAGGTGTTGCAGATCTCATTCTCATTCCCCTCCAATGAAAGTAAAGTTTAGCCCTGAATTAATGTAGGATTCCTTGAACTTGAATCTTAAGAGGGATACACATAAAACCAAGGAGCTTTCAAAGCAGCTAGTCCCCAAAGACCACTTATTAAGTGACCCTATTCATATGAAATGCCCAGAAAAGGGAAATCTATGGAGACAGAAAGTAGATCAGTGTGGTTGCTGAGGCTTGGGAGATGGGTGAGGGGAGAGGGTAGGGAGATGATAGCTAAAACATATGAGGTTTCTTTGTGGGGTGATGAAAATGTTTTACATTTGATTGTGGTGAGGTAAACATGTGATTATAGTAAAATCCACTGAACTATACATTCAAAATGGCTGAATTGTATGGTATGTGATCTATATCTCAATAAAGCTGTTTTTTTGGGTTTTTTTTTTAGACGGAGTCTCATTCTGTCACCTGGGCTAGAGAGCAATGGTGCAATCTCGGCTCACTGCAACCACCACGTCCCAAGTTCCAGCAATTCTCCTGTCTCAGCCTCCCAAGTAGCTGGGATTACAAGCACGTGCCAGCACACCCGGCTGATTTTTGTATTTTTAGTAGAGATGGGGTTTCGCCATGTTGGCCAGGCTGGTCTCAAGCTCCTGACCTCAGGTGATCCACCCGCCTTGGCCTCCAAAAGTGCTGGGATTACAGTGGTGAGCTATTGTGCCCAGCCAATAAAGCTGTTTTTTAAAAAAGAGACAAAACTAAGGAGCTTTCAGAATGTGCTGGAGAACTGACCTAAAACTTGACTTAAAAGGTCAACTGCTATGCATCAACTTAAAAAAAAACAAACCAAAACCCTAAATGCAAATCATGCCAGAAGCAGTCAATTCTTGCTTTGTTAGCAGTTAATACCTAAAGTGCTATTTTTAAAGCATTTGCTCTTGGCACTAGAATGCACCGCAAACCCTGAGCGGTTTGTGTTTTTTCTCTGCAAAATGACTCTCTTAAAGGAGTTTGACTCATAAGGTGCATCTGATGTGTAGAAAGGCACTGAAAGGCAGCTGTGGCAAGGGGAATGTTTCTGTTTTGTACCCTTCTCAGTTATAGTTCAGTGCCACAAACACTTGAAACTCATTGCTTTAAGAAGAGGGACGAGGCAAATGAGAAATTTGAGCACATCACACAAAACAATGTAATAGTCCATGGTTTTGGCCAGGCGCCGTGGCTCACACCTGTAATCCCAACACTTTGGGAGGCCAAGGAGGGCGGATCTTTTGAGGTCAGGAGTTGGAGATCAGCCTGACCAACATGGTGAAACCCCGTCTCTACTAAAAATCCAAAAAATTTAGCCAGGCATGGTGGCGCATGCCTGTAGTCCCAGCTACTCAGGAGGCTGAGGCAGGAGAATCGCTTAAACCCGAGAGGCAGAGGTTGCAGTGAGCTGAGATCGCACCACTGCACTCCAGCCTGGGAGACAGAGCAAGGTTCCATCTCAAAAAAAAAAAAAAAAAAAAAAAAAGCCTATGGTTTCTAGCCCCCAGGATGCCTTTTAGGAACTGGGGAGAAGATGAAAGCAAATGAGAACTTGCAAGAGAGGTGGCCAGAGGAAAGTCAAGGAAGGAAGCTGGGAAAAATCACCCTAGGAGCTAACGTTTTCAAGTGCTTGCTCCGTACCAGAGTCTGTGTCAGGCACTTCAGATTCGCTTTCTCATTTCATCCTTGTGATGTAATACAAAATAGATTTGGTTTTTGTCACTGCTTCCTAAGACAATGCTCCAAAAACTCCTGGAATTTCCTGAGTGATGGGGGTGACTTTTGGGATGCATAACAAGCTCCTTCAGATCACATACACAGGTGAGGGGCCCTAGATGGCCTCAAGATGGCTCTGGTCACCAGAAACACCAGGTGATTAGGGGGTTAGAACTTTCAGCCCCATCCACTGACCTCTAGGGAGGGAGGGGGTGCTGGGATTGAGCTCCATAAACGCTTAAACACACTGACCTGCTGGGAGGATGGCACACCCAGAGGGGGCACGGAAGCCCCAAGTCCCCACCCCCCAATACCTCACCTGATGCCTCTCTCCCATTTACCTGCTGCTGAGTCATATCCTTGATAATAAACTGGTAAATCTAAGTAAATGTTTTCCTGAGTTCTGTGAGCCTTTCTAGCAAATTATTGAGCCTGAGGAAGGAGTCGTGGAGACCCCAGATTAAAAAAAAAATTTTTTTTAGTAAAAAAAATAGAGATGGAGTCTCACTCTGTTGGCCAGGCTAGTCTCGAACTCCTGGCCTCAAGTGATCCACCTGCCTTGGCCTCCCAAAGTGCTGGGATTGTAGGAATGAGCCACTGTGCCCGGCCTATAGCCTGTCAGTGAGAAGTGGGGCAGCTTTGTGGGACTGGGATCTGATGCTAACTCCAGATAGACAGTGTCTAATTGAATTGAATTGTTGGACACATAGCTGGTGCTGGAGAATTGAACTGGTTGGAGACACAGAAAACACCCCAGAATTCTCATAAGCAAGCTACTAAAAGTAGCCCACTATTACCTGCATTTTCAATAATGCCCAAGGGGATGCCCCCGTGCTATTCCCAAGCTCACACTCCCATGGTTCCATCTCAGCCCTAGCCATGGGCTCCTTCAAAAACTCCTTTAGAAATTTCCAGATGGGCAGCAGGTGCAATCTCTACGTTCCTCTGCAAGCTTTTGGGGACACTTATTAGTATCACCCAAGTCTTGCAGGATGGCAGCATTGAGGGTGGGCCTGCAAGTTCCCGGCTCAGCAAACAGTCAACTATTTTTTGTGTGTGTGTCAGGGTCTCACTCTGTCACCCAGGCTGGAGTGCAGTGGTGCAATCATGGCTCACTGCAGCCTTGAACTCTTAGGCTCAAGCAATCCTCCCACCTCAGCTTCCTGAGTAGCTAAGACCACAGGCATGTGCCACTGGGCCCAGCTAATTTTTAAAAATATTTTGTAGATGGGCTGTTGCTATATTGTCTGGGCTGGTCTCAAACTCCTGGCCTCAAGTGATCCTCCCGCCTTGGCCTCCCAAAGTGCTGGGATTAGAGCCACTGCACTGGGCCTATAGCCAGCTTTTTTTTGCAGATGCCCCAGCTACTGTAGTTGATTCTCTCAGAATACTACTCCTGTCACATGGGATTGGGGTGAGGCAAGAAGTATACTCCCAATGACTACAAACTCCCCTCCTTCATCTCCACATAGGGCCTAGGGAAGGGGAAGATAGGGGCAACCAGAGCTGTGGGAAGAGGGTCATCTGGGCCACTGGTGATTAGCAGCTGCCTGGTGAATGTGGAGTCCCAATTCCTCTTTGTCCCCAGCTTTGGGCCTGGTTCCCAGTTCCAGAGCAACAAGAGCTGTCTCCCTAACATCCTGTTGCAGAACACTAACCTGTTCCGTTTGGCAATATGAGTATAGTTCAAGGTAACCTCTAATCAAAAGCAATAAGGTCATTCAAGGGCACACTGGAGAGGACCCCACCTTAATACATGAGACAGTGAGAGGCCAAGAACCCAGCTCCTCCCATAAAGGGAGCTTATTAGAACCTGGCTCGGTTTGCAGCCTTTGAACTTGAGGCTGTTCTCCACTCTGATTTTAGCAGTGCTCTTTAGACGAAGGCTATGGGGAGGCATTAACAGCCTGCATTCCTACCGAGGATCTACAATTTGGCCTAGAGATAGCTTAAGTTTATTAAATCAAAAGCTGATAATAGGCTGACAAATATCTCGATGAGTTGCAGCATGCCAACAGTGATCAGCACCAGATTAACTGTCCCTAAGTCTAGCTTGCTCCTTGTGTACTGTATTATTTTGGGAAATTTAGGCCTCCAACTTGTCGAACAGAAACCAGGGTAGAGATGTTCAATAAGCCAATCAGTCTGTAATTTGAAGACAATAAAATATTTCCACTTTTAGATTTCAAACTTATTTGAGCTTCAGAACTCATTTTGTTTCTCCAAATGCACTTTTGGAATCCCAGTATATAAAGCAGGTAAAAGTGATGAGTGGATTCTTCAGGCTGTTTCTCCCTTCACTGTTTGATACAATGTATTTCACTGTTTACCATGCCCGGGAGCACCTTGTGGGGTCCTCAGATCTGTGGAGCAGAACTGAGAGATGAACTGAGGAGGCTTTGAAGTGAGAGAACACATGCCCTGCCCCCAGGTTTGAATTTCAGCTCCAGTAACTACTGTGTGAACCTGGGCAAGTTATTTAACTCTAAGACTATCGTGTGGATGCTAAAGTGAGAAAAGGAATATTTCTGAATTAGGGTCTGTAGATGGGTTCTTTGGTGACTAATGGCTTTTTTTTTTCTTTTTAAAAATAGCTTCCTGGGCTGGGTGTGGTGGCTCACACCTGTCATCTTTGGGAGGCTGAGGCGGGCAGATGGTTAGAGCTGAGGAGCTCGAGACCAGCCTGGGAAACCTAACATGGTGAAACCCCGTCTCTACAAAAAAAAAAAAAAAAAAAAAAAAAAAAACCCAAAATTAGCTGGGTGTGATGGTGTGCACCTGTAGTCCCAGCTACTTAGGGGGCCAAGGCAGGAGAATGGCTTAAACCCAGGAGGTCAAGACAGCAGTGGGTCGTGATGGTGCCACTGCACTCCAGCCTGGGCAACAAAGTGAGACCTTGTGTAAAAGAAAAAAAATAATAAAAGGTTTCTATTCTCTAATGGAGGATGGCTAGTTTTTAGTTTTTGGTTTTTTTTACAGACCCAAGCTGCTTTTGGCCAATCCACTATGTTCTGGAATGTTTGTAAAGAGGAAACTTCTCCCCAAAGATGAGGAGTGGAATTCTATCACATCAGGTAACCAACCGTCTCAAAGGCCCTTCTTTTTCTACATACCAGTCTTTCCCTAAGATCATTTAGTCACTGAGACTCGGGGTTGGGAAGATATATTTAAGAAGGGAACTATTTCTTAGAGTGATTTCCAAAGACAACAGTTGTTTGTACGTCTAGCTTTACCTGAAGGAATCTTACTTGGTGTAGGGGAAGCATAATCTTTGGGGTAGGACACTTTGGGGTTTGAATCCAGGCTTCCTGAAACTTCCAGCCAGTTACTTAGACTCTCTAAGCCTCAGTTTCCTTATCTATAAAATGGAGACAATGTTGGCTGGGTGCAGTGGTGGCTCGTACTTGTAATCCCAGCACTTTGGGAGGCTGAGGCAGGTGGACCACTTGAGCCCATGAGTTTGAGACCAGCCTAGGCAACACTGCAAGATCCCCATCACGACACACCCACACACACACACCCACACACACAAATAGCTGGTGTGGTGGCATGTGCTGGTAGTCAGGAGGCTGTGGTAGGAGGATCGCTTGAGCCTGGAGGGGTGGAGGTTGCGGTGAGCCGTGGTTGCATCACTGCACTCCAGCTTGGGCGACAGTGAGACTCTAAATGGTGGAATTTATTTTTCTCAAAAGTTAGTTCCATACCTTCTAAAACCAGGTTTAGCAATTTTGTGAGAAATTTTCGTTGAAAATTCTAAGGCCCAAGCTAATGAGCTAGTAATTATAAGTCTTTCTCTGGGCCTCTTAATAATAAAAGATGAAGACAAGCACCTTAATAACACTTATTCTTTCTTGGGTATTTTTGGAACAGAAGCTGAACAGTTGTATTTGGAGTCTGAATAACTAGATGTGGAGCAGACAATCGCTCTGTCAGGTCTTATTTCTCAAGGAGAAAAATGCCACCTCAAACATCATAGTCATTGTTGCAGATTCTTAGAGTGCTAAACAAAGAAAGGGCTTGGAGAAGATTTAGCCAGAGGACCTGGTGGACAGCTACCAGAGTCTTTTTTTTGTTTTGTCTTTGTTTTCAGACAGAGTCTCACTTGTTGCCCAGGCTGGAGTACAAATGGTACGATCTCGGCTCACTGCAACATCCACCTCCCAGGTTCAAGTGATTCTCCTGCCTCAGCTTCCAGAGTAGCTGGGACTACAGGCACCCGCCACCACGCCTGTCTAATTTTTGTATTTTTAGTAGAGACAGGCTTTTGCCAGGTTGGCCAGGCTGGTCTCGAACTCTTGGCCTCAAGTGATCCACCCGCCTTGGCCTCCCAAAGTGCTGGGATTACAGGCGTGAACAATCACAGCCGGCCTAGAGTCTTTGGGTGGAGGAAATAAACTTCAATAATGTCAATCTGAAGCCACCCCCAAATCAGAAGCAACTTAGGAAAAAAACTGCACAAACTTATGTTATAATTAACGCTAGTAGCTGTCAAGGAAGACTTTGGATCTGATTCTACAGATGGCGTCAGATTCCCAACAGACAGAACAAAATTCAAAGGCACTGACCTCTCTCACAATCGGGGAATGGGCAGGCTTACAGGCTTACATTGCTAACCCCCCTGCATCCCTCCTCCCCCAAATTAAGTAACAATAAAGTGGTTTAAAACCTTGACCTCAGTAAGTTGAGCTCTCTTAGGCAAAGCTTCCCTATGGTGAATGGATAGTAGATGTGATAAGGCATATTGCTCCCGCAGCCCTTGAGTAACAGACTGGGCCTTCTGAGCTCAGGGGTTGGTCATCTTAACCAGGAGCTCCTCCTCAATGTGTCAATCAAAACAAATCACTTTCTCTTTTTTTTTTTTTTTTTTTCTGAGATGGAGTTTCGCTCTTGTTGCCCAGGCTGGAATGCAATGGCGCGATCTTGGCTCACCGCAACCTCCGCCTTCAGGGTTCAAGTGATTCTCCTGCCTCAGGCTCCCGAGTAGCTGGGATTATAGGTGCCCGCCACCATGCCTGGCTGATTTTTGTATTTTTAGTAGAGATGCGGTTTCTCCGTGTTGGTCAGGCTGGTCTCAAACTCCCGACCTCAGGTGATCCGCCTGCCTCGGCCTCCCAAAGTGCTGGGATTACAGGCATGAGCCACCGCGCCTGGCCAAAACGAAACACTTCCTACCTGTCAAGGCATGAAAAAAGATGGGAAGCTCTGCTCTGAGGCCATTTTCCCAAACCTGGTGCATTTACACACTGATTCTTGGGTCCCAGACCAGTTGAGTCTGGTTGGGTTGGTCTAAGGTGGGACCCGGATATCTCCAGTTTTCAAAACCTCCCTGGGTGATGCTGACCTGATTTGGGAACTCTGTTCTAAGGGCCAAGAAGTTCTGGTGTTTTACTTTAATAAGACTAAAAACAGCAGGGGCTGATGTGGCTGGCCCCAGTTATGAGCAACTTGTGTGGACTCATTGCCTGTTTTCTTGAAAGAACAGAGCAGGGCCAGGTGCATTGGCTCACGCCTGTAATCCCAGCACTTTGGCGAGTGGATCACCTGAAGTCAGGAGTTCGAGAGCAGCCTGACCAACGTGGTGAAACCCTGTCTCTACTAAAAATACAAAAATTAGCTGGGCGTGGTGGCGTGCACCTGTAGTCCCAGCTACTCAGGAGGCTGAGGCAGGAGAATCGCTTGAACCCAGGAGGCAGAGGTTGCAGTGAGCTGAAATTGTGACACTGCCCTCCAGCCTGGGTGACAGAGTGAGACTCTGTCTCAAAAAAAAAAAAAAAAAAAAAAAAAAATTACAGAGGGAAGTTCTCCATGAGATGGAACTGAAGAAGAGCTTGTTGTATCTGTTCACTCCTGGCTGAGAGCCTTGGGCCCTTCAGCTCTTGCTTCCTTCTTTGAAAGTCTTAAATGTTAGTTTTCTATAGTACAGCTGTAAGAAGGCTCGTGGCAGACAGAGATAGCATGGCAATACTGCCTTGGGTACCATCCCGGCACTGCAGTGCCACAGATGGCCCAGACTTGGCACAAAACAAACAGCAAATGTAACTTCTAAGGTTTCTTCGAGGTGAAGTAGCAGAGACACGTGCCATCCGGAATTCAGGTTAAACCATAACAGAGGCAATAACACATTTTTTTTGAAAAGTCTCAGCAGCACAAATGGCTGTAACTTCTGCAGGATCTTGCTGAGCCGGCGGAGGATCCCATGATCCTGAGAGCTGGAGCTATTGGTATCACACCTCTGCTCCTGTTCTCCACTCACACCGACAAGGGAAAAGCGACACGCAAACAAACTCCTGTGACGCCACTCACGGTGGCCACTTTCCAAAGACACATGGTTTCCACGGAGCCACCATTCCTGCAACCCATCTGCAGAGCTCGAAGCCAGGGTCAAAGCAGAGAGAAGGGAACACTTATGAAATGCTTACTGTGTGCCAGGGACTGTGCTGGTCACTTTCCATGCCTTGCCTTTGACGTCATCTCACTTCTCCATCCCATCTGTCCATCTGTCCATTCTTTGGAAGGGAGGGAGGGACTCAGACACAGAATTGATGATGATCAAATGCAGTGGCTGTGACCGCCTGGGAGGCTCCCAGAGCCAGGGCCCTCACCACATTAGGGCTGAATCATCTAGACACAGAGCACACAAGTTGGGAATCCCAATTCATAGGTTCTAGGGGTTATCTTTTGCACAGATCCCTCTATGAAAAGCCCAACTGTTTCTCCCTTCCATGAATGTTTTGCTTGGATGAATTCTTCCCTCCCTGGTCTGTTCCTTTTGGGATATAGGGTGATAGGGTGATTTCCCCAAGGGTTCTTTCTTTCTTTCTTTTTTGAGACAAAGTCTCACTCTGTTGTCCAGGCTGGAGTGCAGTGGCGCGATCTCAGCTCACTGCCACCTCCGCCTCCCGGATTCAAGCAATTCTCGTGCCTCAGCCTCCCTAGTACCTAGGACTACAGGTGCGTGCCGCCATGCCCAGCTAATTTTCGTATTTTTAGTAGACAGGGTTTTGCCATGGTCTCGAACTCCTGACCTCAAGTGATCTGCCTGCCTTGGCGTCCCAAAGTGCTGGGATTACAGGCGTGAGCCACTGCACCTGGCCCCCAAGGGCTCTTTCTATTGATTCAATGACCCACAATGCCACAATCAGCAACTGCACTCCTGGCAGAGACTTAGATTCTCTGCTTTTGATCTGGCATTTAGGAATTCATATGCCTTGATTTTGTTTGACCTACTTGGTCTGGCATTTCACTACCAAATTCAATTGGTAGGATTTGCAACTGCTGCTCTGAACACTGAGTTCTGGGGAACATCATTCATGCCAATTACTGCAGCAGTTTAAATGGTTTTTTTCCCCTTGAAAAATTAAAAAAAAAAATGAAAACTCTTTCTCTAGGATGAAGTTGGGCACTATCATTTTTTGTAGTAATCCCAGTAAAAATGGGGTTTGATCCAAATGCTGAGGTAGCTTCGCATTATTAGGCCAAGAGAACAGCAGTGGCTTTTAAAATCAGCACTAGGCACGGTGCTTCAGCGAGACTTGGCGTCTTATCTTTCCCGGGTTTGGAAGGAATGAGGTCTGAAAAAGAACACCTCATTGTTCCTTGGGAAGTGAGTTGCCATGCCAATTATTGGTCTGAAAATGGTGCAGCCAGGGTTGTTGAGAACTGGACTACTGTTTAACACCTTTTTATTTCCAAATGTTCCTATTCATTAATAAAATCTTATTGTTGTCAAGATGGCTGAGGGCAATTTGTTCATGAAAGGGGGTAGCAGAAGAGGGAAGGATGTAGGTTGATGGATTTGAAGGGTCCTAAACCTCTGGGCACCCAGGAGCTTGCCCTCACCATCCCCACAAGACAGTCAGCCCCTCTGGTGAGGTCACAGGTAGAGTCCCCTTGCACGGTTGCTGATAACCCCTGCTTTTTCTTTTTTCTTGGCCAACGGAATTTTTTATTTTTGGTGACCCCTGCTTTGAAGACTCTCTGCGACCTGCAGAATAAAGTCCAAATTCATTGACTTGGTACTCAATGTTTTTCCCTTGTGCCTCACTGACCCTTGACCATGCACTGAGACTCCTCATTTTCAGCCATTCACTACACTGTCCATTCCATCTCACACATCTTCAGACCTGAGTTTGCTCCCATCCAAGTGTGAGTCAGGGGCAATTTAATGTAGCCGCAGGGTGTGGGCAATTTTGTTATATCTAGGAAAATCTCAACCCATATGTCCATTGACTCAACACTTTCACTTTTAGATTTATTCTACAGAGACGTTAGAACAACTCTCAAAATATATCTATGGCTGTTTCTTGCAGTACCATAATAAGAATGGAAACACCCTAAATGTCCATCAAATGGAGAATGATGTACACATGGCACCACCGTACACTCGCTTATTATTATTATTATTATTATTATTATTATTATTATTATTTTGAGGTAGGGTCTTGCTCTGCTGCCCGGGATCTCAGCTCACTGCAGCAGCCTCCGACTCCTGGGCTCAAGTGATCCTCTTCCCTCAGTCTCCAGAGTAGCTGGTACTCCAGGCATGTGCCATCACACCCGGCTAATTTTTGTATTTTTTATAGAGATGGGGTTTTGCCATGTTGCCTAGGTGGGTCTGGAACTTCTGACCTTAAGCGATCTGCCTGCCTTGGCCTCCCAAAGTGCTGGGATTACAGGCGTGAGCCACTGAACCTGGCCTTCACTGGCATATTATCCGGCCACCTAAAACTCACTAGACAGGCGTGTGCTGCACAGAAAAATGGCAAGCTTATGTGGTTAGTGAAATAATGCATGTTGCGAGATGGTGTGCATAGTGTGAGTTTAGTTTTATAAAATAATACTATTTATGCATTATGTTTAAGTATAAACACCAACTTTAACAGCGATGTCTGTGATGAGGGATCATAGGAGATTTGCTCTGTTTTGTGTTTGTATCATGTCGGAATTTTTTTTACAAGGATCATGTATTAATTTATGAGCAAAAAATAAACATAAACCTATTATGTTTTTAAGGCCCAGCTCAGATTCCATCTCTGCTGTAAAGTCTTCCCTGACTAGTCCTGGGAATCCTCTGAGGATGACTATGTGTACAAGTTTGAGGAAAGTAGATCACACATGACTGTGTGAATGTATTTCTCTTGCTGCCTTGCTCCGTACTGTCACTTAGCATTTGTGTCATTATACCATATCCTCCCAACCAGATCATGGGTTTCTTTTTTTTTTGAGACAGGGTCTGGCCCTGTCACCCAGCCTGGACTGCAATGGTGTGATCTCAGCTCACTGCAACCTTTGCCTTCCGGGTTCAAACGATTCTCCTGCCTCAGCCTCCGGAGTAGCTGGGGTTACAGGCATGTGCCACCACACCCGGCTAATTTTTTGTATTTTAGTAGAGATGGGTTTTCACCATGTTGTCCTGGCTGGTCTCGAACTCCTGAGCTCAGGCAATCTGCCTGCCTCGGCCTCCCAAAGTGCTAGGATTACAGGTGTGAGCCACTGTGCCCGGCCTCTTTTTTTTTTTTTTTTTTTTCTTTTTCAACAGAGTCTCGCTCTGTCACCCAGGCTGGAGTACAGTGGCACCATCTTTGGCTCACTGCAAGCTTCGCCTCCTGGGTTCAAGTGATTCTCCTGCCTCAGCCTCCTGAGTAGCTGGGATTACAGGTGCCCGCCACCATACGTGGCTAATTTTTGTATTTTTAGTAGAGATGGAGTTTCACCATGTTGGCCAGGCTGGTCTCGAACTCCTGACCTCAAGTGATCCGCCTGCCTCGGCCTCCCAAAGTGCTGGGATTACAGGTGTGGACCACTGTGCCTGGCCTTCTCTCTCAATTTCTAACAGCACTGGCATCATCCAGACCCTGGAAGGGGAGAGGGCTCAGGGCCCGCGATGCGGCAGCTGCTGAGGACCCTTCTCTTGTGTCTCCTTTGCAGGCTTCCTCCCTCTCCCTCCAGTTTTAGAGGCTCCCACCAGGGACCCCTTTGGCAGCAGGGACTTCTCCCCATCCCAGTGATGTCATCAAGTCCTCTTATTTTCCAAGAAGCATGCAGGCCCCAGTAAGTTGGAACCCACTGCAAAACAGCTGCGTTACTCTCAGAAAGAAACAGATGGACTTGAGGGAAACGGGAAAAAAAAAAAGATAATAACAGCACAACCAAGTGAACTTAACGATGTACCCCGGCATGAGGCAGCTGTGTTAAATCTGGCCATTAGAGGTAACGGAAAATCTTTACCACCCTCAAAGGCCAAGATGTAGACCAGAATGAAAATATTTTTCATTTGAGGGAGCCGAGTGATTTGGATGAAGCTCTTTGTACCGAAGGGTACAGCTAAATATGACAATATTTACTTAGTTGATCTCTCTGTTCCCTTTCTGAGGGCCGGTCCTTAGCAAACAACATTTAATCTCTCACCCTTGACAGTTATTGGAAAAGCTAGATGTATCTCCTTTTGTTCTGTTCTCTCTCCCTTAACAGAGAATTCAACAGATATTTAGATCTGTGGGGACCAATGAACTGGCTGCCAAGGAGTTCTTGGTCCAGGAAGGCTATGACCCAGGGACCTGGAGACTTAGTCACCCAACTTAAGGGGAAAGTTCAAAATCAAATTCTGTCTGAAAAACATTTAATTATGCCACGTCAGGGGCCCATGCTTCTAGGACAGCCTCATGTTATTCTTTCTCCTTTGTTGCTATCTGAGTACAAACAATTGCAAATTTCCCCTATTCAACTTACTATGCTGTATTTATCACTAGTAAGATGGCCTTTATATCCTCCAAAATAAAGGGGATGAGAAATTGCTTCATCTGTAACAAGATGATCAATTCAAAAGGCAGTAGAAGACAGGACCTTTGAGGGCTGACATAATCTTGTTTTTGTACCCTCAATGCTTAGTGTGGAGCTGGCACTCAGTAGGTGCTTAGTAAATGCTAACTAAAGGAATTCATTAATGAGTCTTGATACCAGTAGGTTTTACTAAGTTTTCTTTCCTTGGATTGGTCCATGTCAGGGTTTATTGATCTTGGCATACTTGACATTTTGGAGCTGGATAATTCTCTGTTGTGGTGCAGTTTGGATTCTTTTCTTTTCTTTTTTAGAGACAGGGTCTCGCTCTGTTTCCCAGGCTGGAGTGCAGTGGCATGATCATGGCTCACTGCAGCCTCAAACGTCTGGGCTCAAGTGATCCTCTCATCTCAGCTTCCTGAGTAGCTAGGACTATAGGCACATGCTACTATGCCCAGAGAATTTATTTTTATTTTTATTTTTTTTTTGTAGAAATAGGGTCTTGCTGTGTGGCTCCGGCTGTTCTTGAAATCCTGGCCTCAAGTGATCCTCCCGCCTCAGCCTCCCCCAAAGTGCTGGGATTACAGGTGTGAGCCACTGCACCTGGCCCATTTTGGATGTTCAGTAGCCTCCCTGACCTCTACCGACTGGATTCATAACATGCCGTATCCACTTTCATCAATCAAAAATGTCTCCAGATATTGCCAGATGGCCCTGAGGGACAAATTTGCCTGTAGTTGAGAACCTCTGGGCTAGAGACTCCTTTGCTTTTCATTACATGAATCAATGAAGATTTAAAAAAGGAAGCACACACACACAAAACCCTCTACTTCTACTTCCTTGACTAGGAAAGACATTCCTTTTTCTTTCCCTTCCTTTGCCCTGGAGGTATGTCTGAAGATTGAGAAGCTGCACGCGCCCTACACATTTGTGTCTAGGGGAGATTGCTGCAGGTGGCAGCCCCCAGGAGGCCAGTATAGATGCCATTTTCTTTGGTCACTCCCCATCTCATGATGGAAGCCAGACCTCAGGAACTACTGCAGTGAATGGAGGAGAAAGTACTGGACTTGAACTTGACTAGAAGCCAATATCAAAGGCCTCTGGGTTAGATCTCTCCCAGCATGGCTTTCAGATTCTCCAGCCTGGGCTAGTCCTGCAGGCTAGAAGTTGAGGTTTGTTCTTGCACCCCAAAACTGCCAACTCAGCCTTGCGGGTATGGCCGCACTGCCTGTGGCCTCTGCAGGCATGCTCCAACTTATCGTGCAGAGTTCCTCATTCCTCCGCTGGGATCTTCACCTTGAAATCTTGGCAGAGCATCAAGGAGCTGGGATGAAAATCTTGGCAGCGGCAAGACACTATGTATCAGCCACATAACCAGTCCAACCTGCTCAGCTTTTGGCTTCACCCCTTTTCCTGCTTTGGTGTTGATGATGGTCATTTTACATGTGACATGGTGCAAACAGCTTTATGACTCTTATGGGCGGGCAGGGTCTCAGTGGTCTGTGTGACTAATGGAGGGGCTCTCTCTGCCTGAAAAAAATCACACTAATTCCTCCCCCACCCCCACCCCACAATACGGCACTGCCCTGCAGAGTCCATTAATGACTATGAGAACAAACTTGAAGCTAAGAGGTTTTTGAGAGCTGAAGTTCAGGCCCTAACAGGAAACAGCAACACAGCAAAAATGAGAATAAGGAAAGCACAGAGCTGGGCTATCAGCTGGTCCTGAATCCCCAAAGCATGCTTCTGAGTCCCCGGTTAGTGGCGATGGCACGAGGGCCATCGGGCAGAGGGCACCCAGTGGAAAACTCCAAGCTCTGGTCACCTTCATGAGAGAGGCAGTCTTGATTGTGTGGCTCAAAGGTTTCCAGGGAGAAATGGAAAAAGAAAGGAAAGTGCTTTCATCCCCTCCTTTGGCCTGGATGGCCGTGTGTGTGTGCAACAGTAGCTGAGTGGAGAGGAGCAACCCAGATAACCCTGGTCTGGGTTCATCAGCATCAAAAAAATCCAGGAACAGATTCGGCCCATCAGCATCCGGCTTCCTCACATAAAGAGCGTTTCTATTTAGGACGCTGACATCGTCAACTTACAAAGATGGATGGGAAGAAAAGGCCCATGGAGCTGGATGCCTCCGATTAAAAAAAAAAAGGAACTCTGATTCACAACTGCTTGCTTAATGGCAACGAATTCATTTTCTTTGATAGCGGTTGCTCTGAAATTGTCACTGCTGGAAGAAAAAAAGCAAAGTCCCTTGCCTTCACTCATTCATTCAGCAACCATTGAGTGAGCGCCTGCTAAGCACTGGTGCTGTGGCAGCGGCTGGGAAAGAGCCAGCTCTTGTCTTCGCAGAGCTCATGCCATAGTGATGAGCTAGCATAACCTAGCATGATCTAGAAGCCACGGACCAGAACTTTGCTGCCTCCAGACCAGCAGTGGTGGGGGCATGCCCAGGAAAACTCAGAAAGGGGGAGTCCTGTGTGAGCTGAACTCTAAAGGAGGGCCAGTGAGGGGTTTCAAGCAAAGAACAAGGTCAGATTTCATTTTAGAAGGAAACTCCTGTGGTGGGGTGGAGGGTGTTAATTATCTACAGTGTGCCAGTTAGACATTTGTTTGGAAATGGTTTGCCTTCTGAATCGGTTGTTCCTCTTATTCCCAGTCCCTGGTGTGTTTACAGTAGACACAACCACCAAAACAGCCCAGGAAACTCACCCCTCTTCCTTTGGGTGGGTTCAGACTGCAGTCTGTATTCTGGCCTGTTGAAGGTGATGGGGCTGGGGTTACGAGGGAGTCGCCCCTGGGGGAATGCTTTTTCTAAGATTTTATTGCAGGCTCCCAGTGGTACCTATAGCCCTTTGTGGTCCGGCTGCCAGGTCCACGGAGGAGGAATTCCACCTGTTCCAGATGCCAGCAGATCCCCTGGGAGGTCACACAATGGATGATGAATGTGCAGGGCTCAGCCCTATGGGGCCCCTTCTCCCGCATCCATTTAGTAACCGTAAGACTCCAGGGCGGGCCAGGGGTGGCCCTGAGCGTCAAAGCTGAATCCAGAGTTCCATCCATCTTCAATCACCTCTTCCTGTAGAACAAGGCTTCCCAGCCTTGGCACTATGGACATTTGGAGCCAGATAATGCTTTTTTTTTTTTTTTTTTTTTTGAAACGGAGTCTCGCACTGTCGCCTGGGCTGGAGTGCAGTAGCGCAATCTCGGCCTCCTGGGTTCAAGTGATTCTCCTGCCTCAGCCTCACGAGTAGATGGAATTACAGGCACCTACCACCATGGCCGGCTAATTTTTTGAATTTTTAGAAGAAACGAGGTTTCACCATGTTGGCCAGGCTGGTCTTGAACTCCTGACCTTGTGATTCACCTGCCTCGGCCTCCCAAAGTGCTGGGATTATAGGCGTGAGCCACCGCGCCCAGCTGGAGCCAGATAATTCTTTGTTGTGAGGGGCTTTCTGTGCTGTAGAGGATTTTAGCAGTATCCCTGGCCTCTACACTCTAGATACCAGTAGCACCTCCTATGTTTTGACAACCAAGAATGTCTATAGGCATTGCCAAGCATCCTCGTGAGGCAATAATCACCCCCAGTTGAGAACTGCTCCAGCGGACAGTTTTCCATTCTCTTCCTACTCGATCTCTTGGCAGCATTCAGCACCTCTGGTCACTCTCCTCCTCTTGAAACTTGCATTCCTTGGTGCATTTCTGTGTTTTCCTCCTAACTTTCTGGCCAATTCTTTTAGACTCCTGATTCTTTTAGATTCAACCTGATCTCCATATGCTGCCATCCTTGAAGGCTCAGACTTGAACCCCTTTCCCATTTATATTTCATGCTTTCTTCCTCTCATCCATCCCCAGGATTTTTAAATCTCCTATTCGCCAAATACTCTCAAATTGGTCTCCCAGATCTCTCACCTAAGCTCCAGACTCATTTCTGTCTGTGTTAGATGCCTCACTGACATCACAAAATCCACTCATCTTTCTCCAACGTATACCTCTCTTCTCACCTTCCCATTTCAGTAAGCAGCACCCCCATCTATCAGTTGCCCAAGCCAGAATCCTTAAGGCCATCCCAATTCCTCCTTCAACCTCATCCCCACATCCAATCCATGAGCAATCCCTGTCAACTCATCTTCAAAATATACCTCCAAACCATCTGCTCCTGTCCATCTCTGCCACCAGCCCTCTAGCGCAAGCCACGACAGAACCTAAGTAACCGACAATATAAATCACAATAGTGACCTTGGTGGTCTCCTGACTCTGTTCTTCTCCAGTCCATTCTCCATCCAGAACAATATTTTAAAAGCATAATTTAGATCCTATGACACCTCAGCTTCATTTATTATTTATTATTATTTTTTTTGAGACCGAGTCTCTGTTGCCCAGGCTGGATTGCAGTGGTGCCATCTCGGCTCACTGTAACCACCGCCTCCTGGGTTCAACCTCAGCCTCCTGAGTCGCTGGGACTTCAAGTGATTCTCCTGCCTCAGTCTTCTGAGTAGCCGGGACTAAAGGCGCATGCCACCATGCCCGGGCAATTTTTATATTTTTAGTAGAGTTGGGGTTTCATTCTGTTGGCCAGGCTGGTCTCAAACTCCTGACCTCAGGTGATCTGCCTGCCTCGGCCTCCCAAAATGCTGGGATTACAGGCGTGAGGCACTGCGCCCGGCCTGAAATGTCATTTTTTCCATAGCATGTCTCCTGATCCTATCCTCTTAAATTCAGTTTCCTTATCACAGTCTCTCCCCGTACCTGCCTTCCTGCACGTGTGACTCTGAACTCCATATGTATCTGTGTGACTATTTCTCTACTGTTCGCCAAATACTCTCTGCGTGGTATTTGTTAGATTGGAAGTGTCCTGAAGGGAGGGACCCTAAGCATCTCTTTGGCTCATTGCTGTTTTTTTTTGAGACAGTTTCTCACTCTGTTGTGATCTCAGCTCATTGCAGCCTCCACTTCCCAGGTTCAAGCGATTCTCATGCGTCAGCCTCCCGAGTAGCTGACCACCCTGCCGGCTAATTTTTGTATTTTTAGTAGAGTTTTTGCCATGTTGATCAGGCTGGTCTCGAACTCCTGAACTCAAGTGAGCCGCCTGCCTTGGCCTCCCAAAGTGCTGGGATTACAGGCGTGAGGCACCATGCCCAGACATCCCCATCTTAACATTGTATGTGACACTCAGTGAGGACTCCATAAATATTTATTGGATGAATAATTACTGGACTCTTTACCACTCATCTCCTTGGCCAAGCTGCATCCAGGGAAGAATACTCTAGGACCCAGGGAAGGAGGTACGGACGTGCCCATGAGTGACCCTGTGAAGCATGAAGGAAAAGCTCCTCGAATGTCTGTGTGAATGAAAGGAAGCTTTCTAGTGGAGGTTCTTTGGGGGCACAGAGCACAGGGAAATGAGTCAGGCACGTTGACTAGAAATGAGACTTGATTTCTTCATTAATATTCTATATTTGTATCAAGACTTCCTACTGAATCAGGAGGGAACTCCCTGAAGTCCAGGCAGAGCCACGCCAAAGCACACTGGGAGGAAAAGCTGAAATTAGTTCAGAGTTTTCTGGCAACCCTGCTTTCCTGGAAGGCCCAGAGCTCCCAAAGAGGCCGGGAGGTCCAGGTAGGACAGCAGCCCGGGGGGGCCCGAGGCGTCACAGGAGTGCTTTGCACAATGCTCTGCGCATCATCAGAGCCCCATTAAGCACTGGCGGACTTGACATGAAACTATAGGATTTCTGTGGAGTGAGACAAGGGGAAGGTCAGTGGCCCTGTTTATTTCCCTCTTCGGCGGGTCCACAGTTACGTAGGGAGCGTTTAACTTTCTTTATCTTAAAATGCATAGGTGTGGTTGGCCACAGAGCATAATGAAAGCTGATGATGTTAAAACGCTCACCCTTTGGGTGGAGATGAGCAACACAGAGTGATCCACATCAGCCTCTCCCCAGCCCTTTCAGGGACAGCAGCTGAACATAAGCGCCTGCAATTAAGCAGCCGAGCATTTGCTAAGATCAGGTAAGACTTTTATACCGAAATGAACCCCAAAATGTGGAGGCAAAAGAAATCTGAACCACGTCGGGAGCCTGGTTTATTTGCGTAACGACAGAATTCATTTTGAATAAGTTTATTTATTGTGTCTCCCATCAGCCTTGATGACTCTGGGAGAAGAGTTTCAAGGTCCACGTGTTACGGCTCAAGGACGAGTCTGGGGCCCTGATTCCAAACATATTGGGATTGGTGGCATGTCGCTAACCAACAAAAATAGCCCTGCATCTGCTGTCATTGCAGGGCTGGGATGTTATTTACAAGTGGGTCACCCAAGTTCCGTCAGCAGCCATTAATAAAATACTAATGGGATATAAATGGTGACTTGCACAAACCGTATAACAAGAAGGTAGAACTAAGGCAAAGGATGGATCCTGGTAGGTTGAAAACCAGACAGAAAGAAGTTCTCTGAAATTTATTCTCAGCCAAGAACAAAGGAGATGTCCTCATTAAGGTGCTTGCTGTTTTGAGAGAAAGGAGCTGTGCTGGAATGAGCTATCAAAGTTTTCAAGGATTGATTCAGATACAAATAAAACACAGGTGGCTCATGCCTGTAATCCCAGTGCTTTGGGAGGCCAAGGTGGGCTGATCATTTGAGATCAGAAGTTGGAGACCAGCCTGGCCAACAGGGTGAAACCCCATCTCTACTAAAAATACAAAAATTAGCCAGGTATGGTGGTGGGCGCCTGTAATCCCACATACTCAGGAGGCTGAGGCAGGAGAATGGCTTGAACCTGGGAGGCAGATGCCACAGTGAGATCACACCACCACACTCCAGCCTGGGCGAGACTCCATCTCAAAAAAAAAAAAGAAAAAAAAAAAAAAAAGAGCGCATGTAATTGGGGAGACTGTTGTTTTTCAGCAAGGCCAGTGTGTTGGATGGTCCAGCCCTATGGATACTGACGTTGCCAAAAATGATGGCAGAGTTGGGAGACAGGAAAACTAAGTGGAGATTGAGTAACAGCCAGGGCCAATGATGGTCCCTGAAGAGTTAGAGACTTAATTTTGAGACTTGCAAAAAGAACCAGCAAGATACGAAAGCAAATTGAATCCACACGACGAGAGATGGCATCCTCCCAAGTTAGGAGGCACTTAAGAAATAGTTGTGGAATGAATGAATGAATGAATCTTCCACATCTCATCCCAACTGTTGCTTACCTCAGATTCTTTGTAGTAGCGCTCTGGAATTTCATCGCAGGCAATATCAATAAAGCAAACTTCTCTCTCCACGTCTTTGGCTTCATTGTCGAAAATCTGAAAAAGCAGAGCAACATATCAAAGGTTAGTGATAGCAGGTGTTACCCTCCAAAGTGCCCGAGGCAGAATAACCCCCACACAGAGCATCTTCACACGTCTCAGGGCCCCCGGCTAGTGCTTTCACCAGCCTCAGAATGCGCAAGAATCATAGAAGGCTTTGATTCATGGCTTTGGTTTTGTCACATCAGAGGCAGGTGTAGCATCAATCACTGCTTGGTGAGAGGTAGAAGAAAAACTGGGCTGTTTTTAGGAGTTCAAGAGTGAGGAAATTAATCTCTTCCAAAAAAAAAAAATCTCTTCCCAAACTGAAGTCTGCTGATTTTTGGCAGTTCACCTGAACAGGAGGAGTAAAGAGGTTGGAAAGGGTCTGGCTAAATTTGAGTCAAAAAGCAGGGATATAGGCCAAGAGTTAGAAAAGTGTGTGTTTTTTAAAATTAAAATTATATATATGTTAAAAATATATATTTTATATATATATATATTTTTTTTTTTTTTTTTTTTTTTGGTTTTTGAGACGGAGTCTCACTCTTTCGCCCAAGCTGGACTGCAGTGGCGCTATCCCGGCTCACTGCAAGCTCCGCCTCTTGGGTTCATGCCATTCTCCTGCCTCAGCCTCCCGAGTAGCTGGGATTACAGGCGCCCACCACCACGCCCGGCTAATTTTTTGTATTTTTAGTAGAGACGGGGTTTCACCGTGTTAGCCAGGATGGTCTCGATCTCCTGACCTCGTGATCCGCCCGCCTCAGCCTCCCAAAGTGCTGGGATTACAGGCGTGAGCCACCGCGCCCGGCCATATATTTTTATATATATTTAGTTTCACAAATAAAACATGCTCATTGCAGAAAATATAGATAAGCAAAAATAAGAAAATAAACCACAATCTCATTATCCAGGGGAAACACACCTGTTTTTCTTGATCATTTAAGGGCACAATTTCCTTTGTACACATAAAGGTAACAAGGTAAAGCTTGGTAAGACACTGAGATGGTTTCCTGCCAATCTGCTCTAGGTTTCACTGGCCCAGAATGCACATCACTTGCAAAATAATAATAATAATAATAATAATAATAATAATAATAATAATAACAACAACAACAACACAGCCGCAATATATAGATATAAATGTCGGCCTGGGCTCAGTGGTTCATGCCTGTAATCGCAGCGCTTTGGGAGGCCGAGGTGGGCAGATCACTTGAGGTCAGGAGTTTGAGACCAGCTTGGCCAATATGGTGAAACCCTGTCTCTACCAAAAATACAAAAATTAGCCGGGCGTGATGCTGCACACCTGTAATCCCAGCTACTTGGGAGGCTGAGGCAGAAGAATCACTTGAACCCAGGAGGCAGAGGTTGCAGTGAGCCGAGATTGCGCCACTGCACTCCAGCCTGAGTGACAGAGTGAGACTGTCTCAAAAAAAAAAAAAAGTCTAAATTTCAGTGGAAAAATTAAGTTCTTCTAGTTCTTCTCACTGTCATTTTTCTGGTCTAAAGGGATAATCATCCTTCTGCAGGATGATAAACAGCTTTCTTTTTTTGAGACGGAGTCTCAAGGCTGGAATGAAGTGGTGGGATCTGAGCTCACTGCAATCTCCGCCTCCTGGGTTCAAGCCATTCTTCTGCCCCAGCCTCCTGAGTAGCTGGGACTACAGGTGCCCACCACCAAGCCCGGCCAATTTTTGTATTTTTAGTAGAGATGGGGGTTTCACCATGGTGGCCAGGCTGGTCTTGAACTCCTGACCTCAAGTGATCCATCCGCCTTGGCCTCCCAAAGTGCTGGGATTACAGGCGTGAGCCACCATGCCCGGCCAACAGATTTAAGTTTGGACAACCACTTCATTCTTAGAGGAAGTCTTAACTGTAGCCACATCCCACTGTTTAGCTCATTCCTGGAGGGAATCAACAGTTAACACTAATTACATCTGACTCTTCGGGAGAGAATGCAATATTTTGGAAGAACAGGGTGGTTGATACCCAAGAACACTGTCCTAACCCAAACTTGGTGCCTATTAACACAGTCTCCCACAAGAGGGCATCTGAAGGGCTCTTTATAGGCTCAACTCATCTCGGTTGGATTCTCAAGTTACTTGAAACGATTAGTCCTTTCTAAATGCTTTCTGAATAATATTTGTGTTGTAATTATCCTCCAAGTCGGCTGGTGGTTCTTCTCTTCTTGCCTATTCTTTTCTAAATATTTGGAGACTGGACTCTTCAGATTTGTCCAAGGAGATTAACTCCCTAGTCTGACCCGAGGTGGCCACTGACTTCTCCAAGTCAGAGAAAGATTGGTTCTTGGATTGGCTCTGATTCTTTCCACTGCTACTTGAAGTCAAGTGCTTCAGGACACTCCTAAAGCATTTGGGAGGGACAAGTGAACTGCCTCGAAATGAAACAGACAGTGGAGAAACAAGTTCAAGTTCAAGTGGAGAAATAAGTTGTGAAATAAAATACTGGGTCTCACACTGTTTGCGAGAGCCAGTCCCCCCCGCTCCTTCTTTCTTTCTGCAAATCTCTTTTAAGTATGAGCTAAGAGAAGAGAGACACATGCCTCATTAAGAAGACACACAGAGGCCAGGCACAGTGGCTCACACCTGTAAGCCCAGCACTTCGGGAGGCTGATGTCGGGCGGGTTGGGGGAGGTGGATTACTTGAGGCTGGGAGTTCAAGACCAGCCTGGCCAACATGATGAGATGGAGAAACCCCGTCCCTACTGGGCATGTTGGCATGTGCCTGTAATCCCAGCTACTTGGGAGCCTGAGGCAGGAGAATCACTTGAACCTGGGAGGTGGACATTGCAGTGAGCCGAGATCGTGCCACTGCACTCCAGCCTGGTCGACAGAGTGAGACTCTGTCTCAAAAACAACAACAACAACAAAAACCACACACACACACACACACACACACACAGAATACCCCAGAGGGAAATGAGCTTCCAGAGAGTAAATTACAAAAGTAGTTAAAAAGGTTTGACATTTATTGGTGGCAAAATCTACAGGACTCAAAGAAAGGGAACTAAGCACGGATGAAGGGGGGGCATGACAGGTTATGTAGCTTTCTCCGATTTAATTCAAACATTTTATTGATCCCTCATTGCACCCATTGCAGTTTTCATAGTATTGCCTTAGCTCCAAAGTCGCCCTTATGCCTCTGCTCTGAGATCATGGACTGGACCCTGTAAGCATTTCTCCTTTACAGTGAGCCTCATCAGTAGGGGGCCCTAAAGGGCCACTGCAAGAGGAAGGGGATTTCTTCAGATTTGGATGTTGTTGGGCTGCAGAGTGTGCCTGTGGGGACTTTCGGTCATGCTCTGCCCCAGCTGCAAGCCTGGAGTGCATAGTTGCTCAGTGACCTTGCAGCCCTAGCCTGGGCCCAGTAACCACTTCACGGTGGCCCTCCTGCTGCAGGCACTGCGTGCTGCAGGCCTTGCACTGGCAGCGTGCCCCGACTCTCTCTCCACACACACCCCTGTCCACCAACCTCCTCTGGCCTGCACCCCAGAGGGCGCTCTGCTGCTCAACCACTGTGAACCAGCCCTGGCTCAGGTCAACCTCGTGAACTTCCCCACCATCCTGCTTCTCCAATGAAGTCTGAACCCCAGCCATGCAGAGAGGCCCCTGCCAAGTTTGTCCTTCCTGGGTATTCTCTCTCAGCCTTAGGGTATCCTTTGGAGTTCCCTTTACATCCTTATAGTTGCTCCCATCAGAGATCAATAATTCCTTCTATTACATTTCTCCTATTCAAATTACTGCATGGTTTCTATCTCCTGATTGGGCCCTGACTGATACACCCATTGCATACAAAGTGCTGCCCTGGGCTTGAGGGACTACAAAGATAGCCCTTGAGAGGTTACCATCTAGTAGGAGAGACAGACTGGGGAGCTATCACCAAAAATACAAGGCAGAATGGAGTATGTGCTGCAAAAGAAAGAAAAGAATAGGCTGTCAGCTGGCCGCAGTGGCTTACACCTGTAATCCCAGCACTTAGGGAGGCCAAGGCGGGTGGATGGCTTGAGGTCAGGAGTTCGAGACCAGCTTGGTCCACATGGTGAAACCCCAGCCGGGTGTGGTGGCACATGCCTGTGAACCCTGGTACTCAGGAGACTGAGGCATGAGAATCGCTTGAACTCGGGAGGCAGAGATTGCAGTGAGCCGAGATTGTGCCACTGCACTCCAGCCTGGGCGACACAGTGAGACGCCATCTCAAAAAAAAAAAAAACAAAAAAGAAGAAGAAGAAAAAGAAAAGAATAGGCTGTAAAACTAGGGAAGGGAACTATTAATGTTGCTTTAAGAACATTATGCCCATATTAATATTATTCCTGCTTTTCAGATGAGAAAACCAAGGCTGAAAGAAGTAAAGAGGCTTGCTCAAAGTCACATGGCCAGTCAGCAGAGAAGCTCAGACTGGAGGGCAAGTCTGTAGGCTTCACCAGGTCCTTCCATGATTAAAACAAACAAACAAAAACAAAACCGCCTCTTAGCATCCAACCGCTAAGATAAACATCAATCAAAACTGCTACCTGCATCTTTCTAGAAAGAAAAATTCAGAATCTGAGTCTCCTGCTACTTAAAAAGTGTGTGTCCTGAGAAACTGTCACTGAGAACCTCCCAGCAACATGGGAGTCTTCTGTTCCTCTGTTGAATAGCTAAGGCTGCAGTAGAAGCCACCAAGGCATCCTTTAGTCCAACCACTGGTCTCCTTCATTAACAGCGTGCCTAATTCTCATGCCAAAGTCCATGGAATAGCAAGCACGAGGAAGCTCCTTTACTTGAACTTTGTAGTAAATATTTCAGGGTGGGGTACCCACCATCTGAACAAATCACAAAAAATCACATTGAGGAACCCAACATCCTCTTCAGGCTTGAGATGATGAGTTTTAATTTCTTTTCTTTTTGAGATGAAGTCTCACTCTTGTCCCCCGGGCTGGAGTGCGATGGCACGATCTCGGCTCACTGCAACCTCTGCCACCTGGGTTCAAGCGATTCTCCTGCCTCAGCCCCCTGAGTAGCTGGGATTACAGGCGCCTGTCACCACGCCCGGCTAATTTTTGTATTTTTAGTAGAGATGGGGTTTTACCACCATATTGGCCAGGGTGGTCTAGAACTCAGATGGTCCACCCATCTTGGCCTCCCAAAGTGCTGGGATTACAGGCGAGTTTTAATTTCTAATAAATAATGAATCTCCCAGTGATTAGAGCTTAAGAGATGTTCATAGGTGCTCAATAAGTGCCTGGAGAACTAACAGAAGGCATTAGCATCTACTTTCCAAAGAGGACTCTATGGCAGGAATATTGCTTACTCATTGATCTTAGGTTTTTTTTTTTTTTTTCATGAGTCTGAGATCCTGTTTCCTTGGTTGTAAGCACCCTAATTTCCCACAATTGCTGCCACAGGGCTCAGTGCAGGGTGACAGCCTCCTACTATGGGCTGATGGGTCCTACATTGGCAATCAGGAGAGCTGAGTTTAAATTCAGTTATCTGGCCGGGCATGGTGGCTCACACCTGTAATCCCAGTACTTTGAGAGGCCAGGTGGGCAGATCACCTGAGGTCAGAAGTTTAAGACCAGCCTGGCCAACATGGTGAAACCCCATCTCTACTAAAAATACAAAAATTAGCTGGGTGTGGTGGCATGTGCCTGTAATCCCAGCTACTAGGGAGGCTGAGGCAGGAGAATTGCTTGAACCCAGGAGGTGGAGGCTGCAGTGAGCTGAGATACACCACTGCACTCCAGCCTGTGCGACAGGGCAAGACTTTGTCTCAAATAAATAAGTAAATTCAGTAAATTTTCTGTGTAACCTTGGGCTAATTCCTGCATGTTCTTTGGGCCTCCATGTCCTTGTTTGTAAATTAAAATCTTAGTCTAACTGGGAACAGCGGCTCATCCCTGTAATCCCAGCACTTTGGGAGGTCAAAGTGCAAGGATGGCTTAAGCCCAGGAGTTTGAGACCAGCCTGGGCAACATAGCAAGACCCTGTCTCTATAAAAATTACAAAAATTAGTTGGGCGTGGTGATGTGCACCTGTTGTCCCAGCTACTCAGGAGGCTGAGGCATGAGAATCTCTTGAGCCGAGAGGCAGAGGTTGCAGTGAGCCAAGATCACGCCACTACACTTCATCCTGGGCAACAGAGTGAGATCCTGTCTCAAAAAAAACCAAAACCAAAAAAAAAAACAACAAACAAACCACAACTTAGTCTAGATGAATGGGTTTCAGGGATTCTGGGAGACATCCTGAAATTTGAGAAGGCGTATTTTTCTGGAAAGAGAGTTCGACCACTTTCATCTGATCATCAGAGATCTGTGGCCCTAAGGAGACTGAGATCAAGTGACCCAGGTGACCATTAACATTCCTTTCAGTTAAAAAGCCTGTGGTGTTAAGAGTGGCCTCTGCGTCCTGTTAGTCTCCTCTGTCTTGCTCCTTGGCTTGTTCCTTCTCTGTCCTATCATCCCACAGTCAGCCAACTTGGGTGGTACATAGAGGGGCTGCCACGGAGCAGTGGGAAGTGGCAGCGGTCCTGATGTGGTGTAATTGGAGAGCAGGGACAAGGTGAAATGTTCTTATCGTCACACTCAGTTCAGGGCAGGAGCCAGAATTAAGCCAACACCATTAAAAACAAGCAGTGGCTTCACCGGGCCCCAAAGGAAAACACTCAGCCACAGCAATGATTCATTTGGGCTCCCCGGTGGTGGCAGGTGCAGCTGCCAGAGCTCTGGTACAACTCCCGGCTCTTGGAGGTGGAGGAAGAGATCTGCTGAGGTCACGTTAGGATGCGAATGCCTTTTGTTGTTGCATCAAGCCAAAGCTTTACAGGGGGGCACCTGACACTGGAGTGCTGTGAACTTCATGGTCTCGTTTGCTCCTTGGGCTGAATTTGTCTCCTGAGATGGGACCTGGGTGTGGGAGGTCACGGAGGCACTTTTCCTATATCACCTGTAATAATGTTCCTGTCTTTGGCTATTTATCAGAGACAGGGAGAAGGAAAAGTGTTTATCCTCTTTCCCTTCTACTTTCTACCCACAAATCATCTGCAGTGGATTTTGGTGTCAATCTGGTTGACTCCCGTGGCCACCCCCGCCATACACACACTAGAGAGTGAATAACTGCTCAGTAGGAAAAATTCCTTTAAATATGAACCTAGAAATGCTACATGGGGAAGGCAAATCTGAATAATTACCATGTTATAGATTCCAAAATTAAAAGGGAGTAATTTTCTCTTTTTTGTAAAGTATTAAGAATAATAAGTATCAAGTGTCTTACAAATCTTGATATACTTTGACCTAGTAAGCTTACATTTTGAGAATTTATCTTAAGAAAAGAATCTTGGTGGCCAGGCATGGTGGCTCACACCTGTAATCCCAGCACTTTTGGAAGGCCAAGACAGGTGGATCAGTTGAGGTCAGGAGTTTGAGACCAGCCTAGGCAACATGGCAAAACCCAGTCTCTATTAAAAAATACAAAAATCAGCTGGGCATATTGGCGGGTGCCTGTAGTCCAGCTACTCAAGAGCTGAGGCAGGAGAATCACTTAAATCCAGAAGGCAGAGGTTGCACTGAGCCAAGATTGCATGACAGAGCAAGACTCGGTATAAATAAAAAACAAAACAAAACAAAACAAACAAAAAAACAAAACAGAAAGAAAGAAAAGAATCTTGGCAAGGCACAGTGGCTCACACCCGTAATCCCAGCACTTTGTGAGGATGGCTTAAGCCCAGGAGTTTGAGACTAGCCTGGACAACATAGTGATACCTTGTCTCCACAAATAATTTAAAAATGAGCTGGGTGTGGTGGCATGGATCTGTGGTCTCAGCTACTCAGGAGGCTGAGGTGGGAGGACTGCTTGAGCCTAGGCAGTGGAGGCTGCAATGAGCCGTGAGTGTGCCACTGCATTCCAGCCTGGGTGACAGAGTGAAACCCTGAGGAAAAAAAAAAAAAAAAGAAAAGAAAGAAAGAAAAAGAAAATAATCTTAAAGGAAAAGACTTACGCACAAATATTTTTATTGCAACATTATTATAATGTCAAGAAAAATAAGATTGAAAAAGGAAGAAAACAGTTTAAATATCCTACTATGGGAGAATTGCCAAATAAATTAAGGTAAATCCATTTCATGAACTATTACGTGCTGTGTGGTGATAATTGAGTAGGGACAGGTACACTGATAAGCATGGAATGTGTCTTATCAGCCTAGATTTCTCTTTGAACAGAAGTGTTTTTCTAAATTTTGCAATTGCTCTTGCTTCATTTCTAGATTTGTTTCTAGATTTGGTGATTTCTCTAGATAAAATCCACCAAGATCACGATGTAGGGTGGCTCTTCATAAATCCACAATTTTGGGAATCATGAATTCTGCAGCTCTTTTCTCTACAACAGAAACTTTGATGGTTTAAGATCCAGGCTTAGATGAAAAATGTCTGTACTTTCTGCACAATTTTTCTGTAAACCTAAACTGCTCTAGAAAATAAAATCTAAGGTGGGCAAGGTGGCTCATGCCTGTAATCCCAGCACTTTGGGAGGCCAAGGCAGGTGGATCACCTGAGGTCAGGAGTTCCAGACCAGCCTGGTCAACATGATGAAACCCCGTCTCTACAAAAATACAGAAATTAGCTGGGCATGGTGGCGTATGCCTGTAGTCCCAGCTGCTCGGGAAGGCTCAGTGAGGCAGGAGAATCGTTTGAACCCGGGAGGTGGAGATTGCAGTGAGCCAAGATCACGCCATTGTACTACAGCCAGGGCAACACAGCAAGACTCCATCTCAGAAGAAAAAAGAAAAGAAAAGAAAAGAAAATCTATTATCCTCTAAAAATTGAAGGGCTGGGCAGGTGGTGGGGAAGGTGCAAGCCTAGTAGCTGTGTAGATTTTTATCTTCCTGCCATCTGTACAAGCTACTGAGGATACAAGGTAGAGGTGGCTGATTAGGAGGGATTTTGAGAAAAGTCTACCAGTCATCTTGTTTTATGCTTCAGATACGATTAAAGAGACAGAGAAGCCTAGCCAAACCACTGATCCTCTCTACTATAACTTTTTTTTTTTTTTTTTTTTTTTGGCTTTTGGGAGCTCGCTGGAGGAAGCAATTGAGGAAGACACGCCAACAAAGTACAGGTTCAGCCAGCAGGAACACTGGAAGCAGAATTCATGTTTTAACAATGTTGTCCCGCTCATGCTCTGCACCGGCAAAGTGGCTACTGGTTTGGTGGAGGGAGGGTATACTGGCTGCTAGTTAATACTTTAAGCATATGGGTCTAGTGTTGGTTCATGGTTTATTATTATTATCGCTATTTTTTTTTTAAAGACAGAGTCTTGCTCTGTCACCCAGGCTGGAATGCATTGGCGTGACTGCAACCTCTGCCTCCTGGGTTCAAGTGATTCTCCTGCCTGAGCCTCCCAAGTAGCTGGGACTACAGGCATGCGCCACCACACCTGGCTAATTTTTGTATTTTTAGTAGAGATGGGGTTTCACCATGTTGGCCTGGTCTCGAACTTCTGACCTCAAGTGATCCAACTGCCTCAGCCTCTCAAAGGGCTGGAATTAACCACACCTGGCCAGTTCATGGTTTATTGATTATTATCTAATAGCAGCATATTCAGTTGGAGAGAGCCTGAAAAGCACTAATGGCTGTAAAAAAAAAAAAAAAAAAAAGTCCAGGCTACCACCAATGATGAAAACCATCTCTATGGGTCATCTCACTGAGAACATTATCCCAGCTACACAATTCAGTGGTGACTGTTTCATAAATATATACATGACTATTTATGAATATATATATATATATGAATATACAATCCAACCCAAGAGTATTTCAACTTGTCTTCTACATGGTCATTAAGATAGGAATAAAAAAGATACTCTTTATGGGTCTCTTCAAAACCACTATCTTTTCTTTTTTTTTTTTTTTTTGAGATGCAGTCTCGCTCTGTCACCCAGGCTGGAGTGCAGTGGCGCAATCTCGGCTCACTGCAAGCTCCGCCTCCCGGGTTCCTGCCATTCTCCTGCCTCAGCTTCCCGAGTAGCTGGGACTACAGGCGCCCACCACCGCGCCCAGCTAATTTTTTGTATTTTTAGTAGAGACGGGGTTTCACCGTGGTCTCGATCTCCTGACCTCGTGATCCGCCTGCCTTGGCCTCCCAAAGTGCTGGGATTACAGGAGTGAGTCTTTTTTTAAATATTAGGTTGGTGCAAAAGTAATCATAGTTTTTGCAAATAGATACAGGGTCTTGCTACATTGCCCAGGTGCGTCTCAAACTCCTGGCTAAAGTGATCCTCCTGTCATGGCCTCCCAAAGTGTTGTTAGGATTACGGGTGTGAGCCACTGCACCTGGCCTCAGAACCATTTTTGGTCTCTATTCTTTTTTCTGTTTTGCAGAAGACAGAGTTGGGTAACTGTTATTTGTTCTTAAGATAGAATTACTGTACTTAAGGACAGCACTCTAGAGATGAAGAGGCCGAATGCCCACCATTCAATGAATTGGCAAATATTGGTTAAGCACCTACTGTGTGTTCAACACTGTGCCTTGGAAAAATGTGTAAGAGAAGGTCCACTCTCAAAGGGGCTATGATTTTGTGGAGACTAGATTTAATACACAATTTAATCGATATTATATGACATATAATCCATATATTACTAAAGTACTAAAAGATATGTTTCAGGCCAGCTGCAGTGGCTCACACCTGTAATCCAAACACTTTGGGAGGCCAAGGCACGTGGATCACTTGAGGTCAGGAGTTTGAGACCAGCCTGGCCAACATGGCGAAACCCCGTCTCTACAAAAAATACAAAAATTAGCCAGGTGTGGCAGCACACACCTATAGTACCAGCTACTAGGGAGGTTGAGGCAGGAGAATCGCTTGAACCTGGGAGGCAGAGGTTACAGTGACCTGAGATCGCGCCATTGCACTCCAGCCTGGGTGACAGAGTGAAACTTTGTCTTAAAATAAAATAAAATAAAATAAAATAAAATAAAATAAAATAAAATGTGCTTCAGACAAGAGTACTCTAGTAGTCCAAATTCAGCAAGGAGGGAACTCAATATAGGTCCATAATGGTCGGGGTCCAAGATGATTATTTGGCCAGCAGGGGTGATACAAGAGACTGGCCAATTGGTGTCGTGAAGAAAGAATCCAACCCCACATCGTGCCTGCAGTGTGGTCCAGAGACGCCAGGCCAGGAATATAGCTCAGGGCTGCTGAGGTTTCCATGTGGGGGCCCCAGAGAACTGCCTACTGGTGCCGGGGCTCTAGGGCAGTGATGACCCCAGATCCACTCCCGTACTGACCTTGGTCTTAGAATGGAATTGAAACCCCATTTGGTAATACAGTGGGAGGTAAACTGCTTTTATTTAATCCCCATCAAACGCTCCACTTGCCACAGGATTTCAGGGGTATTAAGGCTGAGTAAAGGAAACTCATCCATCAGGGTTAGGCCGGATCGTCTTAGCTGCTGGGTAAACTTCAGTGCTTCTCTGGAGAACCCTTTCTGGTGGACAATATCATTAGGCCTTTGGCGCAGAGGGGAAAATTGTTTTTCCAGAGCCAGCAGGGAGTTGTAAAGCAAACTGAAGGCAAAGGTTTCAGGCCTGAGAGTGTCTGAGAAAATTCTGTCCCCAGTGAGGTGGCGACAAGCCTATGCAGCAGGGATAGAGAAGGGTGAGGGGTTGGAAGGGGAGCTCCAGAGAACACCTCTGCAGATCTCCGCGAGACTGGCTTGCTGTGCCCTTCTGTTTTCCTCACACTGTCCTGTGTCCTTTCAGTGACAGCTCAGTTACCCTCCAGTGTACTGGGTGTGAGTTTTAAAGGGTTCTAAGGCCAGGTGCAGTGGCTCACGCCTGTAATCCCAGGACTTTGGGAGGCAGAGGCAGGAGGATTGCTTACGTGCAGCAGTTCGAGACCAGCCGGGGCAACATAGTGAGACCCTGTCTCTACAAAAATTTTAAAAATTCGTCAGGTGTGGTGGCAAGCATCTATGATCCCAGCTACTTGGGAGGCTGAGGCAGGAGGACCTTTTGAGTCTGGGAGGTTAAGATTGCAGTGAGCTGTGACAGAGCCACTGCACTCCAGTCTGGAAGACGGAGTGAGACCCTGTCTCAAAAAACAACAACAAAAACAAATAAATAAAGGGCTTGAAGCAGAGGAGAGGAAAAGGGAGGCTAAGAGACTGAGAAGTAATCTTCAGAAGGCTGTCTTTGGGCCTTGGTGACACTTCCAGGCTGTTTTAGTTATGGGATTTTGGGAAGGACGGTGAGTTCATGAGGACATGGTCAAGCTCTCAGGGGTGTGAGCTGGCGATGTGAGGACTCCTCTGAGGCTAAGAGTGGCACACCGCTGCAGACAAGCTGGGTGAAATATTGACACACACCCACAAGCCTGCAGATGGCACTGGGGGCAGATGGCACTGCAGATGGCACTGGGTGGGGGTGGGGGGTGAGCTGGGAGCGGGGAGGGGAGGAGAAAGCTCTCAGAGGAGCACCTGATGGTGGAAAAGCTTTGATCAGAGATGAAGGTGGGGTGGAGTAAGGCGGCTGCCCTCAGCATCATCTGCGGGCACTGTGCATGTTGTCCTTGGATCCCCGGCAGTAAGCGAGGACGCTGGCACACACAGAGTTGGCTAGGGCTCCAGAGAGGGATGTTGAGCCCCTGGTGGAGTGATTGGCAGTAGAGTGAGAATGCCTGTGGGGGTCCTTGGGGGGCCAAGAAGCACAAGTAGAAAAGAGCCCCTGGATCTTGGGTCACCTTGAGGGAGCCGATTAAAAAACGTGGGTATTCATGGTGTCGGGAAGGGAGGCTTGCCTGATTCTTTTCCGAGTCACTGAATAATATTTCTCTCTATTAAATTAAACTACTTAAACTTCCAGATAGAACTCTTTGCCAAGAAGGCTGGCAAGATAGGAGTTTAGGGAAATTCAGCATCATGGTCATTCCCAGTTTGAGCACACAGAAATAAGTGGTGGACTCCTAAACTGTTCAATCTGGCCCCTTCATGGACATGCCTGTTAGAAGGCATAAAGCATATCCTCTAGGGTTGGTTGCTTTTCTTTCTTTTTTAAAAAGTTTCTCAGGAACTAGATGTTTTTATTTTTTATTTTTATTTTTTATTTTTTTGAGACAGAGTCTCACTCTGTCGCCCAGGCTGGAGTGCAGTGGCGCAATCTCGGCTCACTGCAAGATCCACCTCCCGGGTTCACGCCATTCTTCGGCCTCAGCCTCCCGAGTAGCTGGGACTACAAGCACCTGCCACCATGCCCGGCTACTTTTTTGTATTTTTAGTAGAGATGGGGTTTTACTATGTTAGCCAGGATGGTCTCGATCTCCTAACCTCGTGATCCTGCCCGTCTCGGCCTCCCAAAGTGCTGGGATTACAGGCATGAGCCACCGCGCCCGGCCAGTGTTTTTATTTTTATTTTTTTCTGAGACGGAGTTTTGTTCTGTCACCCAGGCTGGAGTGTAGTGGCATGATCTTGGCTCACTGCAACCTCCACCTCCTGGGTTCAAGTGATTCTCCTGCCTCAGTCTCCTGAGTAGCTGGGTTTATGGGGGGCTGGCCAACACACCCAGCTAAGTTTTGTATTTTTAGTAGAGCCGGGGTTTCACCATGTTGGCCAGGCTGGTCTTTAACTCCTGACCTCAGGTGATTCACCTGCCTCAGCCTCCCAAAGTACTGGGATTACAGGCGTGAGCCACTATGCCCAGCCAGGAACAAGATGTTTTTAATTCGAAAAATGCAGTCAAATACAAGGAAGAAACTGGCAACCACCAATAAAAGTTATACATATCTTTTTTTTTTTTTTTTTTTTTTGAGACGGAGTCTCGCTCTCTCACCCAGGCTGGAGTGCAGTGGCGCGATGTCAGCTCACTGCAACCTCTGCCTCCCAGGCTCAAGTGATTCTCGTGCCTCAGCCTCCCTAGTAGCTGGGATTACAGGTGTGCACCATCACGCCCAGCTAATTTTTGTATTTTTAGGTAGAGATAGGGTTTCACCATGCTGGCCAGGCTGGTCTCGAATTCCTGACCTTAAGTGATCCACCCCCCGCCTTGGTCTCCCAAAGTGCTGGGATTATAAGCATGAGCCACTGCACCTGGCCTGGTTTTCATTTTCATAGGGTCAATAGTCAGGAGTAGGACTGCTGGGTTGTATGGTATATATTGATTCTCCTCTATAGGCAGAGGCATCAATACTCCTATAGTAAGTTGAAGAGTGTCCCCCCGAATCTCATGTCTCCCAGGAACCTCAGAATGTGACCTTGTTTGGAAATAGGGTCTTTGCAGATGTAATTAGTTAAGGATCTTGAGATGAAGTCATCCTGGATTTAGGGTGGCTCCTAAATCTGACGACTGGTATCCTTATGTGAAGAGGAGAGGACACAGATACGATTAAGGCACAGGGCAGTTCACACAGGGGGATGAAAGTCATGTAAAGACAGAGGCAGAGATTAGAGTGTTGCAGCCCTGAGCCAAGAAACGCCTGGAGCCACCAGAGGCTGGAAGAGGCAAGGAGGGATCATCCCCAAGAGCCTGACCTTGACCTGGGACTTCTGGCCTCCAGAACTGCAAGAGAATCAATTTCTGTTGTCTCAAACCACCCAATTTGTGATGATTTGTTTTGGCGGCCCTGGGAAACTATTACAACTCTCTGGGTTTAATTTTGTTTGTTTGTTTTGAGACAGAGTCTTGCTCTGTCACCCAGGCTGGAGTGCAGTGGTGCAATCTCAGCTTACTGCAAACTCTGCAGCTGGGTTCAAGTGATTCTCCTGCCTCAGCCTCCCAAATAGCTGGGTTACAGGTGTGCACCACTATGCCTGGCTAATTTTTATATTTTTATTAGAGGCAGGTTCTCACTATGGTGGCCAGGCTAGTCTCAAACTCCTGACCTCAAGTGATCCACCCACCTCGGCCTCCCGAAGTGCTGGGATTACAGGCATGAGCCACTGTGCCCAGCCAACTCTCTGGTTTTTAAAGGACCTCTTTCTTCCATTCTCCAGATTAAGACCGTCCCTGTAGCCAGAAAAGCTGGCCTTCCCTGAGGCCTCACTGTCCCAAATATTCATGAATGAAGGCAACTAGGCTTTTTTTGGTTCTCTGTTATTAAATGTGTGCAGGAAGAAGGAAGGGTTAGAACACTCAAAAAGAACACATTAAATGTGGCGTTCAGACCGGCCGATGGTGGACATTTGTCCTTTTTTTTCTCTGCCCACCCCAAAGGTCACAGAAAATTCAAAACAACAGATAAAAACCTGTCAACAACAATACACCGGAGAGAAAGAAGGACAGGAATAACTTCAGGCGTGGCTCATCTGCGAAGTTTAACATAAAAAGCCGCTGACGAACGCACCAGGCGAAAATGAGAACAGTAAGATGAAAAAGCAGAGGCTGCCTGGGAAAGTGGTGAGGCAGAGATCTAAGAGTAAAAAGGATAACAAAGTGGATAGGAATCCACAGTGGGGTCCCTTTGAGGGAAAGGGCACGTTTATTCCAGGGTTTGTGTCTAAAAAGAGCACCAGCAAACCGGTGCTCAACAAAAGGGTTGAGAACCATTTTGTGCCATGACCTGAAGTCCCACATACGGTAAACCCTGGCTCATCTGGGTGAAATAAAGGGTGAGGAAGAAGATTCAAGGGGCAGTGATCAGAGTGATACAGTGACCGATGAGAAAAAGATGCTGTTTGGAAAAACAACGTTCTAATCAGGTGCCCTAGATCATGGTAACTCATTAAGAGGACAGAGGCTGGGCACGGTGGCTCATGCCTGTAACCCCAGCACTTTGGGAGGCCAAGGCTGGTGGATCACCTCAGGTCAGGAGTTCGAGACCAGCCTAGCCAACATGGTAAAACCCATTTTGTACTAAAAATACAAAAATTTGCTGGGCGTGGTAGTGCACCCCTGTAATCCCAGGTACCCGGGAGGCTGAGGCAGGAGAATTGCTTGAACCCGGGAGGCTGAGGCTGCAGTGAGCTGAGATCGTGCCATTGCACTCCAGCCTGGGCGACAAGAATGAAACTCCATCTCAACAAACAAACAAACAAACAAAAAAGAGGACAGAAAAGTACAGAAAAGTACCAAAGTACATGCGGAAGGATCACAAATGCTATGACTCAATTCATTTACTAAAGAGGCTGTAAGGGCACAAAATCACTTCTAAGTTACAGTTCCCAGGGCAGCTGCAACAATGGCCCTTTCATGAGTTTGGCCTAATTTTGGTGCAAAGTAGCCTCAGTCCGAATTCTCCTCTGGGCTGCAGCCTCCCTTGGGCACACAGATGGTCTCAGGAGTCTAGGCCAACACTTCACATGTGCACATGTAGACACTGGCACCAGCGACGCAGAACGGTTTCCCCGAAGTATGATCAATAATGCCTCCTAAAATAAGCCTCAGAAGCTGAGCTTAAAAATAGCTCCAATTTCTCCCCGTTCCTTCTTATTTCAATTCACAGGGTGGTCTCTGGGAACTAGAACTGCTGGTTTTCTCTACAATTGACAAATCGATATTGAACCTGGAGACACTCACGGGCCAGCCTTTCACAGCCTCGGTGTTCGGTGTGTGCCATGTGGAGGTGAATTTGATCCTCATCCTTCTTGGAAGAATGAATTCTTTGCACAAACAGGCAGGGTTCCTGACACAGCCACTACACTAGCTCAGCCTCAAGAGAATGAAATACTGAGACAGATGGCTGGCTATGGCTCGTGCGGTGGGGTGGCCACACGAGGCATCGAAAGACAAGGAGGCCGGCAGCCCTGCTCTCTGAGTTTCCTCCTCTTGTTCACCAAGCAAGCGTCCCGAGGTACTTAGGGGCTTGTGTCTCCTTCCAGCTCATTCCTGGTGAGCCTCTCTGGGCAAAAACAATGGAATGGGCACTAGCCCAAAAACACTTAAGAATCACGATAGATTGCATCTACTGTCAGAAAAAGCAAAAGAAAGGAACAAATCGTTACTTGTTCCTGGTAGGCTGTGTTTGGTTTGGTTTTCGCATCTATGTGGATTGGCTGTAATAACCTCCCAAGGCAAACTACGCAAGGCCTCCTGGCTGAGCTCCACGGGCCCCTGCTCCCCAGGGCAGCTGCCCAGAAGACTCCAGAAGGAACCCTCCAGGCACGGGTAAGACAGGCTGGGGCTAGCATGTGGGGAGGGTTTGGCTTCCAGAGCCCTTCCCAGGGTTGTGGTAGAATTAGGTATGAGGCCCCTGGGTGGGCCTGTTGTTTCTATTTTTCCCCAATGGGGAGAAACCCGCCACTCTTGCCTTCATAGACCAGCTCTCACATATACTCTCGTGAATCAATTCTGGCGTCTGTGATGTCATTAAAAACTTTTTTTTTTTTAGTAGAGACGGGGTCCCACTATATTCCCCAGGCTGCTCTCAAACTCCTGGGGCTCAAGCTGTCCTCCTGCCTCAACCTCCCAAAGTCCTGGGATTACAGGTATGAGCCATTGTGCCTGGGCTGTGATGTCATTTTTAATTTATTTTTATTTATTTTATATATTTATTTTTTTTTTTTTTGAGACGGAGTCTCACTCTGTTGCCCAGGCTGGAGTGCAGTGGGGCAATCTCAGCTCACTCCAGCCTCTGCCTCCCAGGTTCAAGCGATTCTCCTCCCTCAGCCTCCCGAGTAGCTGGGACTACAGCCATGTGCCACCACACCTGGCTAATTTTTGTATTCTTAGTAGAGATGCGGTTTCACTATGTTGCTCAGGCTGATCTCGAGCTCATGAGCTCAAGCAAAACTCCCCACCTTGGCCTCCCAAAGTGCTGGGATTATAGGCGTGAACCACCGTGCCTGGCCAATTTTTTTAATAACATTTTCTTTTCTCCTTTTTTCTTATCACAATCATACTACTTCTTTATTTTGGAAAGAATAAAGAATCTTTATTCTGGAATCTCATCTGTGATTCCGTAATAAAGTGTCAGTTCGTCCCTCACTGGGTAGTAGAGAAGATCTGAGGACATAAAGTAGGGAAAGCCCACTTCATTTTGATCTGGGCTGGGAAGTACCCTGCCAGCGACAGATGTTAGTATCACCAAGGAAGGGAAAGCACCCACAAGCCTAGCGCTCTTTTTTCTTTTTCTTTTCTTTTCTTTTTTTTTGAGACAGAGTCTTGTTCTGTTGCTCAGGCTGGAGTGCAGTGGCGCGATCATGGGTCACTGTAGCCTCAACCTCCCTAGGCTCAGGTGATCCTCCCACCTCGGTCTCCTGAGTTGCTGGGAATATAGGCTACTTTTTTTTTTTTTTTTTTTTTTTTTTGTAGAGATAGGGTTTTGCCATGTTGCCCAGACTGGTTTCGAACTCCTGGGCTCAAGTGATCCTCCAGCATTGACCTCCTAAACCAGCACTCCTTTTTTTTTTTTTTTGAGACGGAGTCTCACTCTGTTGCCCAGGCTGGAGTGCAGTGGTACCATCTCAGCTCACTGCAACCTCTGCCTCTTGGGTTCAAGCAATTCTCCTGCCTCACTCAGCCTCCTAAGCAGCTGGGATTACAGACACATGCCACTACACCTGGTTAATTTTTGTATTTTGGTAGAGATGAGGTTTCACCATGTTGACCAGGCTGGCCTCAAACTCTTGACCTCAAGTAATCTGCCCACTTTGGCCTCCCAAAGCCAGCACTCATTTTTAAGGTCTGAATTGCATTTCAATATATGGCTGTAACATAAATGAGCCAATCTGCAACTGTTACATGTTTAAGACCTTTCCTTTTTATTTTTCTCTTTTTTAACGTTATTTATAATAACACAGTGAACATCTATAATAAAATGCTAACCTTTGATCGCTGATGACCTAATGAATCTCCTGGATATCTCAGACACTTTTCCTGAATTCCAGATCCATTGATATCAACTGACTATTAGACATATTCGAAGTTAACATTCATCATCTCTACCTTTACCACTTTGGCTGTAAGGTTTAAGTTTGTTTTCCTTTGTGGTCCTTTAATCATCCAAGGTCAAAACTTGGGTGTTATCCTACATTCTTATTTCTTTTTTTGATCGCTCTTGCTGCCCAGGCTGGAGTGCAATGGCGTGATCTCGGCTCACCGCAACCACTGCCTCCTGGGTTCAAGTGATTCTCCTGCCTCAGCATCCTGAGTAGCTGGGATTACAGGCATGCGCCACCACTCCCAGCTAATTTTTTGTATTTTTAGTAGAGACAGGGTTTCTCCACATTGGTCAGGCTAGTCTCAAACTCCCGACCTCAGGTGATCTGCCCACCTCAGCCTCCCGAAGTGCTGTGATTATAGGCCTGAACCACTGTGTCCGGCCATTACACTCTTATTTCTTTCTCATTCTCACATGTGGTCAGACATGAAGTTCTATTCACTCCACTGCCTCTGTATCTCACAAATCCACCTTCCTGATAGACGTTTGAATCCCCCATCTCACCTGCACAACTGCTGGACTCTTAACTCTTTTTCTCTTGAGACTCTGATCTCCACATCCACCCATTGATCCATCCATCCATCCATCCATCCATCCATCCATCCATCCATCCATCCATCCATCCGCCCATCCATCCACCCAGCCACACCCCAACCATGAGTTTTCTTCCCAATATGCTAGGAAGCTTTCTTCAATGCTCCTGGAACATATCAGTTTATGGTGGAAAGAGCAGTGTCCAGAGGTCAAAATATCTCATTCTAATCCTGGCTCCACCACTTAGGAGTTGTACGACTTTAGAAACTCCTCCAGGCCTCCATTTCATCACCTGGAAGTGAGGACGTTAGGTGTCCCACCTCATCACTGAGCTAGCAGGACCTGGTGAGATAGTGGGTATGAAGGTGCTTTGCAAACTGTCAAATACTGCACTCATGTATGGACTTAGTACATCTGCCTCCTCTCATCAACTCACCTCCCTGGATCACCCTCCTTTCTCTCTTCCTTGCTCTGGGCCTGCCCCCATGACCCTGTGGAGCCTGAAACTTCCTCTCCACATCCTGCTCACTCTTCAGCCTTCAAGACTCTTGCCCTTGCTCCTCCCTTGCCCTGAAGGCTCTCCCCACCCTATCTGCCTGGCAAGATATCTGCCTGCCCAAGATGAGTTGGTACTCATCTTTCAAGACCGTGCCCTGCCAAGGCTTTCTTGATCACATTTTAGTAAAGATTTTAGTAAAGCAACAATGTGTATAATGAATTTAGATTTTGAATAACATTCAGCTGTTGTTTAATTCTTGGGCTCTCAAGGCCCCAACCCCTATCTCCCTGATGGAATTGCCAGGAAACGCTAATAAGTGGCTTGTCTTCGCTGTTGTTACTTTCGTTAAATTAGGAGGTCATAAATCACTTACACGCCAAGAAAGGTTGAACCATTATCCTTCAACTCCAAGCTTTTAAAGTTTCTCCTCCTAAAACCAAAGCCAATAAAAGGCAACAGGCTCATTGTGATTTTTGTTTTAAAAACCATTCATTGGCCGGGTGGCTCATGCCTGTAATCCCAGCACTTTGGAAGGCTGAGGTGGGTGGAACACCTGAGGTCGGGGGTTCAAGACCAGCCTGATCAACATGGAGAAACCCCGTCTCTACTAAAAATACAAAATTAGCTGGGTGTGGTGGTGGCACATGCCTGTAATCCCAGCTACTCGGGAGGCTGAGGCAGGAGAATTGCTTGAACCCAGGAGGCGGAGGTTGCGGTGAGCTGAGGTCACGCCACTGCACTCCAGCCTGGGCAACCAGGGCAACAAGAACAAAACTCCGTCTCAAACAACAACAAAACAACAACAAAACCATTCATCTATTGATCTGAGGAATCCAGAGTAAATTTCCTGGTTATATTGGTTTGGATAGCTGTCTGGACACAGAAGATGAAATCAACTTGACAGGTAATAGCAAAAGTCATTCATTTTGGTGAATTCTGCAAATCCAGACTAGTAGCATCCCAAGGATTCTAATAAAAGGATGGTCATTGCTGAAGTACCATTCAGTGCCCCAGTACTACAGGCACATGTGGCCTTACAGTCATGGGGAATAAGCTATACAATATATCTCATTCATCTATGCATCCCTCAGACCTTCTTCTAGTATCTCATACATTAATAGAAGCTTAACACTCAAAGTTTTAATTTTTATTTTTTGCTGTTGTTGAACTGAACTGTTAGACTGAACACCAGGTATGTTGAATTTTAACATTACCATTTATTTCCTAGTAGTTTACTCATTTTGTTTGCCAGCAGATGACATCTTGTTAGCCAACAAGTAGCAGCAGATGTCAAAGTTTAGAAAATAATATTTTTTTCTTTTCTTTTTCTTTTTTTTTTTTTTTTGAGACAGAGTCTCACCCTGTCGCCAGGCTGGAGTGCAGTGGCGCAATCTCGGCTCACTGCAACCTCCGCCCCTCGGGTTCAAACGATTCTCCTGCCTCAGCCTCCCGAGTAGCTGGGACTACAGGCGCATGCCCCAGTGCCCAGCTAATTTTTGTATTTTTGGTAGAGATAGGGTTTCACCATGTTGGCCAGGATGGTCTCAATCTCTTGACCTTGTGATCTGCCCACCTCGGCCTCCCAAAGTGCTGTGATTACAGGCGTGAGCCACCACGCCCGGCTAATGTTTGTATTTTTAGTAGAGACAGGGTCTTGCCATGTTGACCAGGCTGGTCTTTAACTCCTGACCTCAAGGTGATCTGCTGGCTTCAGCCTCCCAAAATGCTGATGTGTGCCGGCACCACGCCTGGCCCAAAGTTTAGAAAAGAATTTGTAAGAGAAAAAAGTAAAAATCAGATGAAGCCCATTTACTAAGTTTATTTATTTATGCAAATTAGGAAAAACAATTTCCAATGTAATTTTCGGAGCGGAATCCCTTGAATCAGAGATTATTTTGAGAATCTTGCCTCAGTGCCAAGGACCACAGAGCCTGAGGGGCAGCTTAAGTTCCTTGCACAGAACAGGCCCTTCCAGCAGGTTCTAGATAGTGCCTCCGGTGCTTTCATGCGCACACAACACCTGGGAAATCTTGCTTGCTTAGATTCAGGTTCCGATTCAGTGGGTCTAGGGTGGGGCCTGAGATCCTAACAAGCTCCCAGGTAATGCTGGCACTTAACACTCTCGTATCCTGACCTGATATTTTGGGCATATTATGTTTGAGGCAGGGAGCATGGAATAGCGGAACGACAGAGGAAAGTAGTGGCCGGGCGACAGAAGGTCTTGGGTGCCAGTCACTGTGAAAATGATCAGATTTGAAGTCTACGTGGATTCCCTGGGCAGATAGCTCTGTGGGAGATATGGGTTTAGTGTGAGATTGCTCTAGAAAAGAAATAAACACCTTAACTAGGGCCATGGTAGCCGGAATGGAGAAGTAGGATGGATGTAATATTTAAGAGGTAAAACCATCCAAATGGAATGCCCAAGCTTGGGTACAAAAAGCAAACCTGGATCCAAGGGATGTGGCTTTTTTTTTTTTTGGAATTGGATCTAACCAGATCCAATTCTGCTGTGAATGACCCCGTGAGGGCTTCATCAACAGTTTGCCGGACTCAGAGCACAGGATAGAAAGAGTCCACTGTCGCCTCTGCTTTGGGATTCTTCCTGCTCTCTCTTGGGGTGACTTTTCAGCACAGGCAGCTGTCCTTTTTTCTCCAGTGCTTAGAAGAACATGACTGGCTGGGTGCGGTGGTTCACGCCTATAAACCCAGGACTTTGGGAGTCTGAGGTGGGCGGATTACCTGAGGTCATGAGTTCGAGACCAGCCTGGCCAACATGGTGAAATCCCGTCTCTATTAAGAATACAAAAGTTAGCCGGGCATGGTGGCGCATGCCTGTAATCCCAGCTACTTGGGAGGCTGAGGCAGGAGAATCACTTGAACCCGGGAGGCAGAGGTTGCAGTAAGCCGAGATTGCGCCATTGCACCCGGCCTGGGCAACAAGAGTGAGACTCTGTCTCAAAAAAAAAAAAAAAAAAAGGAAGAAGAAGAAGAACATGACCAACTCTCCCACCAGGCCTCCGACACCAGCTCTGTGATGAACACAGCTTGGGAAACCAGGGGAGGCTAAAGTCTTCTCAAAGGCCAGAAAATAAAATACAGGGAAGGCTGTGCACAGTGGCTCATGCCTGTGTTCCCAGCACTTCGGGAGGCTGAGGCAGGAGGATAGTTTGAGCCCAAGAGTTCGAGACCAGCCTGGGCAACATAGGAAGACCCTGTCTCTACAAAAAATAAAAATAAATAAATAAATAAATAAAATCACAGGGAAGCCATGCATGTTGGGGAAAGGATATTCTGAAAGTCCACAATGACTCAGTATTGCTAATACAGAATTCCTGCCAAAGATGCACAGTCTGAATCTAATCATGAGAACACAATGGGGAAAACCCAGCAACAAGGACATGCACAAAACCAGCCAGTGTTCTGCAAAATGTCAGTGTCACGAGAGACAAAGAAAAGCTGAGAAACAGGCCGGGCGTGATGGTTCATGCCTCCCAACGCTTTGGGAGGCTGAGAAAGGCACATCACTTGAGCCCAGGAGTTTGAGACCAGCCTGGGCAACATAGCAAGACTTCATTTCTACAAAAAAAAAAAAAAAAAACTAGAAAAACTAGACAGGTGTGACGGTGCATGCCTGTAGTCCCAGCTGCTCGGGAGGCTGAGGTGGGAGGATTGCTGGAGCTCAAGAGGTGGAGGTTGCAGTGAGCTCAGATCGCACCATTGCACTCCAGACTGGGCAACAGGAGTGAAACTCTGTCTCAAAAAAAAAAAAAAAAGCTGAGAAACAGCTCCAGATTAAAGAGGAGACTAAAGAAAGTGACAATTAAATGCAATGTGTGAGCCTCTACTGGAACATGAATCATGAATGTTTATTTATTTACTGATTTAACTTTTAAGAGATAGAATCTCACTATGTTGCTCAGGTTGGACTTGAACACATGGGCTCAGGCCATTCTCCTGCCTCAGCCTCCTGAGTAGCTAGGCAAGTTAGGAAGTGGTTTTTTTTTTTTGTTTTTTTTTGTTTTTTTTTTTTAATTGACATTTAGTAATTTCTTAAAGTTTTTATTTGCTATTGAAAAAACATTTTGCGATAATCGGCAAGATGTAAATATGCCTCTCTATCAGATAATAGTATTGTATCAATGTTAAGCTTCCAGAACCTAAGCACTGCACGATGGTTACGTAAGGGAAAGCCCTTGTTCTTAGGGCGCAATGAAGTATTCAAGGGTAAAGGGTCAGGCCGGGGCCGGTGGCTCATGCCTGTAATCCCAGCAATTTGGGAGGCCGAGGTGGGTGAATCGCCTGAGGTCAAGAGTTTGAGACTAGCCTGGCCAACAGGGTGAAACCCCATCTCTACTAAAAATACAAAAATTTAGCTGGGCATGGTGGCGGGCGCCTATAATCCCAGGTACTCGGGAAGCTGAGGCAGGAGAATCGCTTGAACCCGGGAGGCAGAGGTTGCAGTGAGCCGAGGTCACAGCATTGCACTCCAGCCTGAGCAACAAGAGTGAAACTCCATCTCAAAAAAAAAAAAAAGAAAGAAAAAAAAGTTAAGGAGTCATGATGTCTGTATATGACTCTCAAAGGGTTCTGGGGGGTTGGGGGAAATGATGTAAATATGTATGGAGAGGAAGAGACAAAGCAAATGGAGAAAAATGTTAACAATTGGTGAATCCAGAATCACTGCACTCTTCTTACAAACTTCTCTGTAGGTTTGAAATTTTCCAAATAAGAAGTGTAAAAGAAGGCTACAAAAAATCTTGTGCTGGTTTGGAGCAAGCAGCAAGATTGAGCACGTCACTTAGCCTCTGAGAGTTGCTTACAACAGAGCACCCCCTGTCCATCTGCAGCGGTCAAGCTATGGGCAGTCAGCACTGCATGGCCTGGATGGGAGAGCCCAAGGGGGGCAGTCCCGAAGCTCACCTGGAAAATGCCACCTTTGCTCTGCTGCATCCTATAACTCCTGGGGCTGGCATCCTTTCCTGAAAGCTGAGATTTCAGAAGGCTGCAGCTTAAAGGGAGGAGGTAGTCAGAAAAGCACCATCTTGCACAAAGTCAAACTGGGTGCTGGAACGACGCTCTGCCAGTAGGGAGACTTCCAACCACTGCATGTCTCTTCCTACAGCAGCGCAGGGCAAAAAGATAGCAACCCAAAGTTGTGCTCACATGGTCTTTCCTCTAACTCCAAGTGGAAAATATGAACCTTACTGATTATTACTTTCCCCGTGCTGGAGGTCACACGCTCCATTCTGCACATGGGCCAGCCAAGGACAGGAGAGCGGAGCAGGTTGGAAGGGTTATTGCAGAGACCATTTTAAGGTCAAGCGACTGCCAGGTTTTCAGACAGGCAGTGGTTTGTTTCTGTACTTATCTGGATAACCAAGGAGAACAATCTCAGGGAGGGTGGCTAAACAGGAATTCTTTTGCACCTTTCCACCTCTTTTTATTTCTTTCTCTCTCCCTTTTTATTATTATTTTTTAATAAAAAGGGAAGAAGAAAAAAAAAAACCCTCTTCTGGCCCTGAGCCTAAAATCTCTTACTTGTGATGCTAATCTTTCCTCGCTGGCTTCACGCCACTGCTATTGGCTCTATGCCTGTTTAATATCGTGGTTGCTGATAGCAGGTTGTGGCTGTGTTTCCATTATAAAGTTCGGCTTTAAATAGGTTTCTGAGATGGAGACACAGCCTTACAGGCAAAGGGTCCTCACTTTACGCCTCGTCATCCAAGTGTGGGCCAGGGGTCTCAGGCCTGCATCTGCAAACGTCTCCGACTTAGCCGAATTTAAACGTGCTCTTTGGAGCTCTTTGGAAAAGCTGGTTTTCAGTGCGAAACTTCACTCTCTAAGAACATTGTCCCATCTCTTTGAAGGCAGTTGAATTTGGGTCTGGGTAAAAAAAGGGTCCCTTGTCTTAATAATAACAACAAAAACCATACATACTGCATTGGGTATTTGAGGAAAAGATGCTTTTCCCCAAGGTTTGATAAAGAAAATACTTCTGTCTTTTCCCTCTTGTCTCTCATTTCTTTCAGTCCCATTTTTCATGACTTATGTAAGACATATTTACATGCTGAAGACTTTTTTTCAACCAAACTACGAAATAATTCCCTCGCTTATCACCCACTGTTCCATCAATTCAGTCAGCCAGTTGAGGGCAGAAAGCTTCCATCTCTGAGGCTTCCTACAGAGGTCCATTCTGGCCCCAGGATCTGCTTCTGAGCAGCTGAGGTGGAGTGTGGAGAGAGAAAGACACACAATCAAAAGACCCCAGATCTCAGTTTTGTCAGCTATTCATTGTGTGGCCTTGGGCAGTGTATTAAAAACATCTCTCAACCACAGTTCCCTCATCTGCAAACTGAGCATTGAACTTATGTGCTGTTATGAATATTAACTGAGATAATACTCAGTACGATGCTCTCTTAACTAGAAGTGTTAGGTATTATTCTTTGGTGCTGGGACTTAAAAGGAGCTCCACAAGTGTTTACTGGCTTCACTTGATGTCCTGATAACGGCGCAGGTGGCTGGTTTCTGTCTGGCACTGGAAGAGTTTTCCGAACTGGTTCTAAGAGCATCTTCCTGTCCATTACTTATTATTTTATTGTCCATTATGATTCCCAGGAACAGCCCACAACGGATAAAAGGACTTACTGTACTCTTTTTACTTACAACTAACATAATTTAGAAGGTTGACAGAAAAACACGAGCCACTAATGCAATTTCCCCCAGCTAAAATCTTCATTAAGGAAAGGTCGGGAGGTTTTCAGGATGAAGATGCAAAACCGGGGAAATTCACGATAAGCCCCGGGAGGACTCGCCACAGGCCGGAGCAAGCTCTGTTCCCAGGCTGGACAGCGGCTGCCAGCTGGCAGGCGGCGTGAGTCCAAGGTCTTGCAGACCATGGAAAATCCGTAAACGGTTCAGGACAAAGACTTGCAGAGCTGTCTCCTTCTCCATGCAGGGAGCTATGCTGAGAAGTTTTGGCTGTGGGTATTTTGAGATGTCCTTTGGCACTTGATCTCAGCTGAGGAAGGCACATAGGGACTATGAGATAGGAAAAATAAATTATTCAGACATAGGGCTCTAGGAATAGAGCTCTCGGTTCAGCTTTGCTCCTGCCAAGGAGCCCCTGGGTTTATCATTAGCCTTGTTTTATTTTATTTTATTGTTTTGTTTTATTTTATTTTATTTTGAGACAGAATCTCACCCTGTTGCCCTGGCTGGAGTGCAATGGCGCGATTTCGGCTCACTGCAACCTCTGCTTCCCGGTTTCAAACGATTCTCCTGCCTCAGCCTCCTGAGTAACTGGGACTACAGGCGCATCCCAACGCACCCAGCTAATTTTTTATTTTTAGTAGAGATGGGGCTTCATGATGTTGGCCAGGCTGGTCTCAAACTCCTGGCCTCAGGTGATCCGTCCGCCTCAGCCTCCCAAAGTGCTGGGATTACAGATGTGAGCCATGCCCAGTCATATTTTAATTTTTTTTGGAGAGGGAGTCTCACTCTGTTGTCCAGGCTGGAGTGCAGTGGCAAGTTCTCAGCACACTGCAACCTCCGCCTCCTGGGTTCAAGTGATTCTTGTGCCTCAGCTTCCCAAGTAGCTGGGACTACAGGTACATGCTTTCACGCCTGGCTAATTTTTGTATTTTCAGTAAAAATGGGGTTTCACCATGTTGGCAAGGCTGGTCTCGAACTCCTGACCTCAAGCTATCCACCCGCCTGGGCCTCCCAAAGTGTTGGGATTACAGGCGTGAGTGACCGTGCCTGGCCTAGGACTGTTTTATTTTTAACTTATTTCTTTTGCTTTTGGGTCTTTGAGGCCAATCTCTCTGGTGTTCCTACGCAGATCCTCTTTCTCTGAGAATCTGCTTTCATAAGAAACAACCCCTCCTTCATATGTCACCAGCATCCTGCTATTAGCCTACCAGCCTCCCCTTCTAATCCAGGGGAAGCTGACTTGACCCAGAATTGAGGCAACCCAGCTCTGCCTTCCATCCATGTCTGAAGATGTGTAAAAACTAGACACATGGCTGGAAAGCCATTTTCCCTCACTATTCCAGTTGATAAACACCCATTATATGGCATTACATCTGAGAAAATTCCTAGTAATAAAAGTTTTTGAAAAAAATCAGGTAAGGGATGTTATTACCACGATAATTCCTTTCAGAATATTTGCCTCCCTGTAAAACTTGGAAGGAGAAAAATATTCCTTTGACAATGCTTCTTTAAGATGGGAGTGACTTATTTCCCTTTCCTCACTGTGAAAATTTAAACTTTCAACCAGACTTTAGAGCAGCTGACTCCATGTACAGTTTTTTTTTTTTTTTTAAATCTATGAGACAGAGTCTCGTTCTGTTGCCCAGGTTGGAGCAGTGGCACCATCTTGGATCTTGGCTTACTGCAGCCTCTGCCTCCCTGGTTCAAGTGATTCTCCTGCCTCAGCCTCCCAAGCAGCTGGGATTACAAGCATGCACCACCAAGCCCAGCTAATTTTTGTATTTTTAGTAGAGACAGGGTTTCACCTTGTTGGCCAGGCTGGTCTCAAACTCCTGACCTCAAATGATTCGTCCGCCTCAGCCTCCCAAAGTGTTGGGATTACAGGTGTGAGCCACCGCGCCTGGCTCTACCTACAGTCTTATTTCATTTTTAGAGCCAAAGACAGCAGATTAGTTACATGAGAGCACGTGCTCCAAGGCTAAACTAACCTAGAATTGAGTCCTAGATCTGACACTTGCTAGCTGTGAGGCTGTGCAGACCGCTGGCTCTCACTAAGCCTCAGTGTCAGTTGTAAAATGGGGATATTAATATCTGTGAAGATTTCATGAGACTGTGGCTATCTAAAGACAGGTTGGCAAGATGCTGGGCTCATGTAAATATTCCTGCCAATATCCGTCTGACCATCACCATTATTATGAGTCAATATCCACATGGCTGCCATCATGATTACTTCTTACTCTTGAAGATGTTACTTCCTAGCCGGGGCCTGCTAGTCTAATCTATACCCTCTTTGCCTTGCTTTTGATGAGAAAAGGGGCACAGGCGAGCCTGCTTGCTCCAGCTGTACTTTGCAAAAAGGCCATTAGATGGGGCCCTGCCATAATCACTCAAGTCAGCAAGTGGCTCTGACTTTGAAACCTGGGGAAAAGGTGTGAGAAGACAATTGAATCCTGTGAGTACTGCTCAGATTGATCAAATGAACCCACTGGCTCTGGTGTAAGAGGTGACCCAGGGGCCTGGTGTGGTAGCTCATGCTTGTAATCCCAGCACTACGGGAGGGTGAGGCAAGAGGATCACTTGAGCCCAGGAGTTGGAGACCAGCCTGGGAAACATGGCAAAACCCCATCTCTACAAAAAAAAAATATCAAAATTAGCTGGGCATGGTGGTATGCACCTGTAGTTCCAGCTACTTGGGAGACTGAGGTAGGAGGATCACCTGAGTCCAGGAGGTCGAGGTTGCAGTGAACCAAGGTTGTACCACTGCACTCTAACCTGGGCGACAGAGCAAGATCCATCCCCCCAACCACCAAAAAAAAATTCCCAAGGTTAGTGGTCACTTGTAGAATGAGTGGCACTTTTCCAGGGCCCTCCTCCTCCAGGCCCCTGCTTTCTAGCCACACGCCTCATTGGTGATTGATGATGACTGCTGTTATTTACAGACCACCTGACCCCTGGCTTCATGAACTCTCTGGACCATGCCCAGGATTCCACTTTACCCTACTTTATATCCACATCTTTATGATTTCAGTGTCCACATGGGCAGCCCATCAACACTATAGGCCCAGCCTCCTCATTCCTTTTCCTTTCCTTCTCCTCCAACGACCTTCACCTCCATTCCACCTCTAACCACTTCCCTTCAAGCTCCACTGGGGTCTTGAATCTCCTGGAATTATTCCACTTCTGAAATCTGAAAGCTCTAGTTACTTTTGCTCCAACCCCAACCTGTATTCTCTTACTCTCACTCCCAGGACACTTTCTCCTTGACCTCACCAAGCTCTCCAATTCCCAAGAGTCTTCACTGGACTCCAAAGCTCATTTTGACCTTCACTTGCTCAATTTTTCCATACTTTGCTGAACCTACCCTGAAGACAAATCCTGAATCAATTCAACCATTTCCTGTGCTCCTACACGCAGGCTGCAAAGCACAGCTGGGAAAACGCCACAATTATGTAGGCTGATGGTACCACTCATTCAACATTTCCCAAATCACCACACTGCCAAGACTTTCAAGCAATCCTTTGACGCTTCTCATCCATTTCCCATAAAGGTTATCTTTGACCTTTATTACCCTCCTTCAGCCCCCTCTTTCCTGACCCCTTCCTTTACAGGAGATGACCTTTCTTCCCATATTACTGGAAACTAGAGACCTTCTGCGTGTGCTCGTCACTCTCTGCCCCTTCTCCCCCTCCTTGCCTGCCCTGCTTTTCCTTCTATTTCAGAGGTTCACGAAGACCATTCACTTTCTGGCTTCCCGGGGGCAGGCTCTTCCTCTTATTTTCTTTCCCTCCTTTTTCTTTTTGAGACAGGGTCTTGCTCTGTCACCCAGACTAGAGTGCAGTGGCGCAATCATGGCTCACTGCAGCCTCAACCTCTTGGGCTCAAGTGATCCTCCCACCTCAGCCTCCCAAGTAGCTGGGACTATAGGCACGCACCACCATGCTTGCCAAATTTTTTAATTTTTTTTTTGTAGAGATGGGGTCTCACTATGTTGTCCAGGCTGGTCTTGAGTTCCTGGGATAAAGTGATCCTCCTTCTCCAGCCTCCCACAGTGCTGAGATTACAGGGATGAGCCACGGGGTGCCCAGCTGCTCTTCCTCTTGTAACTCCAAACTCACTGGCCTACCAGCTCCTTCCTCAGTATTTCACAGTTAAGTTAATGTATAACATTGTATCATTTGATAGGCCCACATTTGTTTCTTGTGTTCTATGCCTTGCCCTGGGTTTTAGAATCTCTCCTTTCATTGTCTTCATTGACCAGCTGTTGCTAATGAGAAGTCCACTATTAGGATGAGGATTGTCCCTTTGTACGTGATCTGTCTTTCCTCTAGAGGAGCTCTTAAAAAAAAATCTTTGATAATCTGCAGTTTCATGACAATGTGTCCAGGTATAGATTTATTTTTAATCCCTTTAGGATTTAGAGAAGTATTAGAGGGTATCCAGGCTGCTTGGGGTGAAATCCCACCACCCAGTTGTGTGACCTTGGGCAAACTACACACATTCTCTCTTTTCCAGTTTACTCACATGTAAATTACTCTTATCCAAGGGATATTAGAGGATTAATGAGTTAATACATAGAAAGCATATAGAAGAGGGTCTGGAACATAAGGGCTAAATAAGTGTTTACCATTATTGTTATTACTCAAATATACGTTGATGTAAGGATTTATGTCTCTCTTCAATTCTAGAAAATTCTCAGCCTTTATTGTTTCAAATATTGCTTTTCTGTTATTTCCTCCATTGTATGGTTGGTGCAAAAGTAATTGCATTAAAACTAATGGCAAAAATCGCAATTACTTTTGCACCAACCTAATATTTTTCTGCTCCTATGAGTTAGCTATATGGCAATTCTCATTCTTTCTCCCTAATTTAACTATGTATTTAAAAAATTCTTTGTATTTCTGTGCTATGAAATGGGTTGTATTTCTCAATACTATTAATATCTTCCAATTCACTAATTATCTCTTCAGTTGTATCTAGCCTAGTTTATCTGATCCACTTAGATTTCATTTCAATGATTCAGTCCCTGAATTTCAAACTGGTTCTTTTTCAAATCCTCTGTTCTTGTTTCTTTTTTGGTTCCTAATTTCTCATTCTTTTAAAATGAACATTATTCCTTTACTTTTCCCTCTGAGCAGCCCGAATATACTATTTTAATCAGGTCTGTCTACAAAGTTATTTTCTTCGGCAGTAGATTTACATTCTGACTGTTGATACCTTGGCTGTCTTCATTAATGTTAGATTTGCGGGGTCGTTTTTGAGTGGGAGGCTTTGTTGTTATTGTCACTGTTGCTGCTTTTTTTTCTCCACCTCCACTCCCTGACTCCTCACACCAATCTCTAGGTTTTACAGTTGCCTTCTAAGAGCAGAACTACTACTGTAAGCCATGGCCCAGGCATCAGACACAGGGGATTCTTTTCAGGTTCCTTTCACCTGAAAGAATGAAAAGAGGGTGGGGAGGCCTACCTCCAGCCTCTTTTTTCAAACAGTGACCCTGGCTCTGGTGGCCCAGCTTGCATTGAGTACTTTTAGTCCTATTGCCATAAAAGACCTACATCAATACCTGCCTGACCCCAAGACCCAGATTCCAGTCAATCCAGGCTACCCTCATCCTTCCGAGTTTTTGATCCACGAGTCCAGCAATATCACTTTGGCTTTCTCTCTTTGTATTTTATCTGTCACTGCTATGCGTTTGGAACAGAGGAGATACACCCGAACATGAACTTCTTTTCCACAGAGATGGGAAATCTTGCAAAGGCTTCTCCCTTCCACTCTAAGTCCCCTTCTGATCCAATTCTTTTCCTTCCTTCTACAGCCAAGCATCAAAGGATACTACAAGCTGGCTTCTAACTCCACCATGTCTCTCGTTTTCATAAAGGTCACCAGTGACCTTATTGCTCATTCTCACAGGACCTTTTAAATTCTGTGTTCACGGAACTCTGTTGCTGTTACTGGTGACAATTTCTTCCTTGGTGTTCTCACTTTCCTGGGCCTTTGTGACTCCCAGGCATCCCGATTCTCCTAACTCTCAGAGTGCTCCTTTCTCATCCATCTCTATGAGATGCTCTTCCATTTCCCTCCCATTAAACGTCAATATTCCCCCAGGTTCCATCCTTGCCCTTCTTTTCATTTTATCCCTCATGTATCCTTTGGGTAATATCCTCTGTTCTCATGCTTTCAAAACTACGTTTATGACTTCCAAATCTGTATCTCTAGGTCTCGGCTTTGGATTTATATACCAAATTCCCTACCGGTTATTTCACTAAGTTTTCCGTGACTACTTCAAACTCAACTGGACAAAAACTGAATTCATCAACCTCACGTGTCTCAGTCTGTTTGGGCTGCTATTAAAAAATGCCATAAACTGGGTAGTGTGTGAACAAAAGAAATTTATTTCTTAGCCAGGCACAGTGGCTCTTGCCTGTAATCCCAGCACTCTGGGAGGCCAAGGTGGATGGATCACCTGAAGTCAGGAGTTCAAGACCAGCCTGGCCAACATGGTAAAAAAAAAAAAAAAAAAAATATATATATATATATATATATATATATATATATGTATTTCTTATAGTTTTGGGGGCTGAGAAGTCCAAGATCGAGGCAGATTTGGCATCAGGTGAGGACCCACTTCCTGGATCATAGATAGCACCTTCTTTCTGTTTTTTTGAGATGGAGTTTCACTCTTGTCACCCAGGCTGGAGTGCAATGGCGTGATCTCGGCTCACTGCAACCTCCACCTCTCAGGTTCAAGCAATTCTCCTGCCTCAGCTTCCCAAGTAGCTGGGATTACAGGTGCCCACCACCATGCCCAGCTAATTTTTTTGTATTTTTTTGTAGAGACGGGGTTTCACCATGTTGGCCAGGCTGGTCATGAACTCCTGACCTCAGATGATCTGCCTGCCTTGGCCTCCCAAAGTGCTAGGATTACAGGTATAAGCCACCATGCCTGGGCAGATAGCAACTTCTAGTTGTGTCCTCACATGGTAGAAGGGACAAGGGGTCTATCTGGGGCCCTTAAAACCTAAGGGGTCTCTCTGGGGCCCTTAAGACCTAAGCACCTTCAAAGGCCTCACCTCCTAATGCCATCACCTTGCGGTGATTAGGATTTTAACATAGGAATTTGGGGGTGAGGGGCACCATGGCATCTCCTAAACCACTTAAAAAAAATTCCTCGCCTTAGTTGGTAGCACGAACACCCATTCGTTACAAAAACCTGAATTATCTCAGACCACTGAGCTAATTGCTCCATCCTAACTAGGCACCAATCTCTCTCTGTCTTCCTAATTCTCTCCTCTATATTTCTTTTCTTTTCTTTTCTTTTTTTGAGACGGAGTCTCACTCTGGAGTGCTGGAGATCACTCTCAGGCTGGAGTGCAGTGGCGTGATCTTGGCTCACTGCAACCTCCGACTCCCTGGTTCAAGCGATTCTCCTGCCTCAGCCTCCCAAGTAGCTGGAATTACGGGCACGCACCACTACTCCCAGCTAATTTTTGTATTTTTAGTAGAGACGGGGTTTCACCACGTTGGCCAGGATGGTCTTGATCTCCTGACCTCGTGATCCGCCTGCCTCGGCCTCCCAAAGTGCTGGGATTACAGGCATGAGCCACCGCACCCAGCGTCTCCTCTCTATTTCTACTGTCACTGCTTTAAATCTCGGGCTGCATTCTCTATCATCTGATCTACTGCAAAAATCTCCTGTGTTCTCTACCAGTCTCTCCCTGCATCACGATCTTGCCTGTCTACCCATTCTCACCCTCTAGCATGTGTTCTCCATAGAGCCTACCCCACTGCCTTGCAATGAGAGTACCTGTCCCTTCCACCAGCCTAACAACCCCTGGTGCCGAATAGATGTTTAACAAATGTTTCTTGTACGATGAATTAAGGCACCATTAAAAGCATCCTATCTTTTAAATGTAAAATAAAGGACTTCTCAAATTTCCACTAGGAACTTAACACAAAGGGATTGAGGAAGATAACTGTTTTTTTCTTTCCTTTTTTTGTTGAGATGGAGTCTCAATCACTCTGTCGCCTAGGCTGGAGTACAGCAGCATGATCTCAGCTCACTGCAACCTCCACCTCCCGTATTCAAGTGATTCTCCTGCCTCAGCCTCCTGAGTAGCTGTGATTACAGGTGTGTGCCACCGCGCCTGGCTAATTTTTGTATTTTTAGTGGAGATGGGGTTTTGCCATGTTGGCCAGGCTGGTCTCGAATTCCTGACTTCAAGTAAGATACCCACTTTGGCCTCCCAAAGTGCGGGGATTACAGGCGTGAGCCACCATGCTCAGCCTGAGGAAGATAATTGATATTTACTGAACATCTATGATATGTCAGGAACTATGATAAATGGCTTATATAAATTATTTGGGGCCAGGCATGGTGGCTCATGCCTATAATCCCAGCAGTTTGGGAGGCCAAGGTGGGGGCATCACTTGAGCCCAGGGGTTCAAGATCAGCCTGGGTAATATAGGAAGACTTCATCTCTACAAAAAATTAAAAAATTAGGCGAGCATGGTGGCAAGTGCCTATAGTCCCAGTTACTTGGGAGGCTGAGGTGAGAAGATCACTTGAGCCCAGGAGGTGGAGGTTGCAGTGAGCTGAAATTGTGCCACTGCTCTACGGCCTGGGTGATAGAGGAAGACTCTGTCTCAAAAAGAAAAAAAAAAATTGGTTCAGAACACTATCATTTTAAAAACAAACCCAAGGGAGTATAGAAAAGCAAGGGGGAAGAGCCTTTAAACCATAAGAATTTACTCGGCCTCTAGGGAATTAAGGAACACCCAAGGGAACAATCAGTCTTGAAATCAGATGACTTTACATTTTTATCAGTTTAGAATAAAGGTTAGGAACAACATGAGCAAATCGAGTCTGATCTTCCATCTCTCAAGCCAGGCGTGGTGGCTCACACCTGTAATCCCAGCTACTCAGGAGGCCGAGGCAGGAGAATCGATTGAACCTAGGAGGCAGAGGTTGCAGTGAGCCGAGATCGGGCCACTGCACTCCAGCCTGGACGACAGAGCGAGACTCTATCTCAAAAGAAAAACAATAACAACAAAAATACAAAACAACAACAACAACAAAGAAATAGGGAACAGTATGCAGTTACGTAAACTCTTAGCCAAAGCAGAATGTTGTTACCCGTGAGTACCAAGGATCACTTTTTTTTTAAAGCAATACTTTTTTTTCTATCTTAAACTGTTACCAAAAGCCCCCAATAAAGACATACCACGTGTACAACTAGTGTATCTGGTTTAACATTATCTATTCCAAGAGACCCAGATGGTTCCAAGCAAATATAGCTGGGTGCTGAAAACAAAGCTTCACCCATAGATCGAAATTAAGTTACTAGAAAATTCAGTCTTTCCAGTGTCCTTCATTCCCGAGGACGTTCCTTAATATGTTTCATATTTCATTTCAATAATTTACTCTAGTTTTGACATCCCAACCAAGGTGATGTTGAGTTCATAACAAACCCAATCTCATGATAGATTTCTGAACCTTTGTAGGAATGATAATAAAATGTTTCAGCACCAAATGGTCAATTATTTGGTTTTACCCCTGAGTATCTCTTCCATGATGGCATTTTGCTGATGCTTTTCAACATCTATTTATTATCATCTGATCGGCATAGCTAAAGATAATTAAAATTACTCTAGATAATGGTTTGCATAGTCCAAAGGTATTTATGACCATGTCTTTACAGGACTGGGAACAAGATGAAACATTTTCAGATGAAGCTCCATGAAGTTTATATTTAACAAATTTATGTACCAAATGGCCATAAAAATCTGATGGAATATAAACAGGCCTTCAATAGGTATTAGTGGAGAAATAGGATTTAAATGTGATTTAATAGCTTAATATTATTCATAGAGAATCGCCATCAGTCTCAGAAGATCAAGTGCAGAATTTGGTGGGCAACAGCTGACACACTGCATGGTTAAAAAGCAGAGCCCTGTGTACAAGTAGGGGAGCAGATGGAAGCAATGATTTCAGCGCATCAAAAGGCAGAAATTGCTTTGAAATCATGTCCATTGGAAATCATTAACTTCTTTTCTGTAAGCTCAGCTCCTATTATCCCCTTGCCCCACATTAAAAAAAAAAAAAAACTAAAATACTAGCTGAGACTTTGTCCTTGAAGGTGTATCAGATAGATGGCATCCAGGGATTTTTAGTAAGAAATCCATTTTATAAAGATGATGGCTCTGGATGTCCAAGGGGAAGAAGATTCAATGGTTCCCTTTTCAGAGTTCTATCAAGTCATTTGCATTATTAGGAAGCCAGCCAGTGCCCTGGAAAAAGTTAACAAACAACCTTCCAGGCCTGAACAACTGAATAGCTTATTATTCAATGACTTGACTTTGGCAGAATTCAGTTCAGTGTTCACATTTGATATGCAAACACTATTCAGTACTGAAATGCACTCATGATGTACATCTCAATATCCTATGCAAAAGGAGATATCATGCTGAATTAATTCATTGATTCTAAGATGCCACCAACTATACCACCGAAAAAGAAAAAATGCTGCCACTTGTAATTGTAACATGCCATCAACTCTAATATGCGTTTCATTTGTAAAGTTGTTAAAACATGAAAAACAATGGCCGTGTTAAAACATGCTGAATGTCTAAAATGTGTACAAAGCTCTATTCTGTGCACTTTTCAGGCTTAACACATTTAATCCTCACAAGTACCCTATGAGTGGGAACTATCATGATACTCATTTGACAGGGGCACACGGAAGTGAAGTAACATGACTTAACTAGCTGCTAAGGAGTTGACTTGGGATTCAAAGACACCTGGTTTGACTCTAGTGCCTACAGTCTTCATCCTGTCTCCATTCTGCCACGGTTCTGTTGATGATTAACTGGGAACAACAGCATAGATGGCTCTCACCTCTTGGAACAGAGCTGTGCCAAGCAGGATCCCTTACAGATGAGTAAAACCCAAGGAAGGACTGTGTCTGAAACCAGAATCCCCAACCTCCAAGCAGGAGGCCACAAGGCAGAGGGTCTGCTGCTTGCACCAGTAACCACTCCTTTCTCCACTTTGAAAAAGTGAACTCAAAAGTCCCTGGAGACGTGACTTATCAACTCATGTCTGAGGATGCCTCTGGGTGGTGAAAAAGGAATAGGGACTGCAGACTTCAGAAACGTGAGAACTTGGACTCCCCAAGTTACACTGACTTCCCCATTTGTGGATCTCCAAGAGTCCACTCTGAAGTGGTTCCCATGAGGTATAACTGAAGTGAAAGAGAAAAGAGAACTATGGTTTATGAAGCATTTGACATGCAGCATCTCACTGCATCCTCTCAATTCTCTCTGAAGTGGGTGCCATTTTCCCCTTTACACAGCTGGGGAAGTTCAGAACAGCGAAGTCCCGTTATCACTTGGCTGCAGAGCCCTGCTTTGGACCCTATTTGGTCGAAGGCTGGTGATTTCTCTGATTCTAGTACAGAATCCTACTAACTGGGCCTGACCAGCTGCTAGCTTTTGGCAGATTCCTCAAGTGTTCTCCACCAAAATGCTCCACGACCCAAGATTGCTGTCCATCCTCTGTCATGAGCAATCCACCCACCAAGGCACCATCCACTGGACTCAACAAACATAAACACAAAGCTCTAGGTAAATAAACAGCAAAGCTGTGCCTTATTTTTTTTAAGTGACGTACACTGTATTCCCACAGTAATTATGAGGGGGAAAAGGAGCCAAACATTTGGGAAACAACTGCAGAGCCAGTGACTGAGGCTAACAGTGGATCACAAAGAATTAAAGAGGTTTGAGTTTCATGGAACAGAAGACTCAGATGAATATTTTCTTTTTCAAAACTCAAAAGATCAATATCAAGAATATAAAAAATCATATAAAAAACATGGCTCACGCCTGTAATCTCAGCACTTTAGAAGGTCAAGGAGGGCAGATTGCTTGAGCCCAGGAGTTTGAGACCAGCCTGGCCAACACGGTGAAACCTCGTCTCTACTAAAAATGTAAAAATTAGCATAGTGTGGTGGCATGCACCTATAATCCCAGCTACTTGGGAGGCTGAGGCAGGAGAGTCGCTTGAACCCTGGAGGCAGAGGTTCAGTGAGCCAAGATCACACCACTGCACTCCAGCCTGGGTGACAAAGGGTGACTCCATCTAAAAAAGAAAACAAAACAAAAAATCAAAAAGCCAAAAAACAGCCACTACCCACCAGTCAAACATATGTAATTATTTTGTCATATTTGATTCCGATTCTGTCCCTACTTAAAAAAAAAAAAAAGAGAAAATTTCACACTTATAGTTGAAATCCCTTCCTCTTCCACACCTGGCTGACAGCTATCATAAATTTATTGTGAACTTAGTCCACATTTTAAAATAAACTTTGTATTTTATGTAACATATAAATGCATCTGCATCCATAAATAAGATATTCTTAAATGATTTTAATGGTTTCCATGGTCAGGTTTGTAAACACTTTTGGAATTTATTTTTGAATATGGAGTGAGGTAGGGATCCATTCTTTTCTTTCTTTTTTTCTTGAGACAGGGTCTTTCTCTGTTGCCCAGATGGAAGTGTAGTAGCGCCATCATGACTCACTGCAGTTTTGACCTCCCAGGCTCAAGTGATCCTCCTGCCTCAGTCTCACAAGTAGCTGGAGCTACAGGCCTACATCACCATGCCTGGCTAATTATTTTTATTGTTTGCAGAGATGGGGTCTAGCTATGTTGCCCAGGCTGGCCTTGAACTCCTGGACTCAAGTGATCCTCTTGCCTTGGCCTCCCAAAGTGCTGGGATTACAGGCATGAGCCACTGTGTCCAGCCTATTATTTTAGTTTTCCCTATGAAATGTCAACTCACTTAATGTCATTTACTGAGAAAGTTATCTTTCCTTCCCACTGATTGGAGACACATTATCTATTATGTATCAAATTCACATGATCAGCTTACGTTTATTTCTATCTTTGTGCAAATACCACATTCTTTCATATGATTTTGTTATCAGATATGATGAACTTCGCCTCCTTGTTCTTTGTTCAAAATTTGTCTCAGCTATCTTTTGACTTTTATTTTTCCATCTGATTTTACAATTTATGACAATCCTGTTGAGATGTTGATTGGAATTACATTTAATTTGGAGACTGATTTAGGAAATCACTTATTTCTTTACAGTATTTAGTCTTTTGCTCCATGCACATGGAGTATTTATAATTTGTTCAGGTCTTTGTTAGGTCCTTTGATAATAATTTCGTCTAGAAAAGTTAGATTTGTTCTTGGGTACCTTAATGTTATGTTGCTATTGATGATGGGATTAATATTTTCTAATTATTACTCATATATGGAATATCATTGATATTTGTAAGTTGATCTGATAGCCAGTAACCCTTCTGAACATAATCATTTTGCTATCATTTTAACTATTTAGTATTCTATTTAAGATAATTTGTAAATTCTCTTAGGTTTTCAGTTTAGACACACTGTCTGCCTATAACAAAATTCTTTTATCTTTAGTTACATTCCTTATACCATTTTTTGCTCTTTCAATTTTAATTTTAAAAAATCATTGCGCTGGGTGTGGTGACTCACTCCTATAATGCCAGCACTTTGGGAGGCTGGGGTGGGAGGATCATTCGAGCCCAGGAGTTCAAGACCAGCATGGGCAACACAGCGAGATGCCCATCTCTACAAAAAAAAAAAAAAAATTAGCTGGGCATGGTGATGTGCTCCTGTAGTCCCAGCTACTAAGAAGGCTGAGGTGGGAGGATTGCTTCAGCCCAGGAGGTTGAGGCTGCAGTACGCCGTGATGGTGCCACTGCACTCCAGCCTGGGTGACACAGCAAGACCCTGTCTCCCAAAAAAATTTTTAAATCAATAAATAATTGTGACTTTAAATCTTAATATAATGTCAAACATGTCAAAAAATTGCAAGAATATAAAAAAAATCAAGAAATATCAGAAAATCCCTGAACACCCTTTACCCAGATTCTCCAGCCGTTAACATTTGCTTCTTTTGCTTTGTCTTTCACATTTGAGAAAACATTGCAGATATGTCCCTTGACCTCTAGATATTTCAGGGTGAATTTCCTAAGAATAAAGACAGTCTCTCACCTGATTACAAAACAACGATCAAAATTAGGAAGTTTAACATTGATATAATACTATTATCTAATCCTCAGTCCCTACTTAAATTTTGCCGATTACCCAGTAATATCCTTTGGGCTCTTTTTCTCCAGTTTAGGTTCCAGTCCAGGATCATACTGCATTTAGTAGTCTCATCTCTTTAGTCTTCTTTAATCTAAAATAATTCATCAGCCTTTCTTTGTCTTTCATGACCTCAACAATTTTGGAGAGTACAGGCCAGCTATTTTATAGAATCCCATCAATCTGAGTTTGTGTAAAGTTTCCTTATGATTAGATTTAGCTTATGGGTTTTTTGTTTGTTTGTTTGTTTGTTTGTTTTTGACAAGAACACTAAAGAGGTGATGCGTCTTTTTCAGCACATCATATCATTTCTGATGCTAGTTTGTTCCAGGATTGATAACGTTACAGACATTTGGTTAAGGTGGTATACACCAGGTATGTCTATTGTAAAATTCTTTCTTTCTTTCTTTCTTTTTTTTTTTTTGAGACAGAGTTTCGCTCTTGTTGCCCAGGCTGGAGTGCAATGGCACATTCTTGGCTCAGTGCAACCTCCATCTCCCAGGTTCAAGTGATTCTCCTGCCTCAGCCTCCCCAGTAGCTGGGATTACAGGTGCCCACCACCACGCCCGGCTAATCTTTTTGTATTTTTAGTAGAGATGGGGTTTCACCGTGGTCTCCAACTCCTGACCTCAGGTGATCCACCCACCTCGGCCTGCTAAAGTGCTGGGATTACAGGTGTGAGCCACTGTGCCTGGCTGTCTATTGTAAAATTATTTCTATTTCCATTTTCCATTAGTAAGTCACTTGCAGAGAAATACTCTTAGTCCATGTAAATATCCTGTTCCTCATCAAACTTTTCACATACTAGTTTTAGCATTCAATGATGTTTACTACTAAATCAATTACTATTATGATAGTTGCAAATGGTGATTTTCTTCTACAGGTAGGCCCTAGGGTTGTGTATTTGCTCAAACTTAAATTACACAAAAAATAGTTTCAGTAGTATTAGCCCATACTACAGTAAGAAACAAACTTATTACTTAGAATTCAGTATTTGTTTACAATTCTTATTGTCTTCCGACTGAGGATACATAGTCAGAGTGCTGTGTAATTGAGAATTCCTTGGGAAAGGTCTTTTTCTCTCCTTTTCAGTGTGGCTATTTTATTTCTTTTAAAATACAGTTAGGTTCATTTATTTCGTTTTAATTCTATTTTAGTATCTTCCACCCCACCAACCCCCTGCCTAATCCCTGTTGATTTGGTTTCATTATTTTTGAGTGGGGAAAACATTAACATGATTTCAAAAGTTGAATGATTCAAAAAGGTATACTCCCAGAGGTAGTGCTTCTCTCACCATCTCTACCCCGTTTCCACACACCCCCACTGTAGGTAGCCAATCTCATTATTTTCTGGTTTGTCCTCTCTGCATGTCTTTTTTTTCCTGTTCTTCCTTTCCTTTCCTTTCCTTTTGAGACAGAGTCTCACTCTGTCACCCAGGCTGGAGTGCAGTGGTATGATCTCAGCTCACTGCAACCTCCACCTCCTGGGTTCAAGAGATTCTCCTGCTTCAGCCTCCCGAGTAGCTGGGATTACAGGCATGTGCCATGACGTCTGGCTATTTTTTATATTTTTAGTAGAGATGGGGTTTCACCATGTTGGCCAGGCTGGTCTCGAACTCCTGAACTCAGATGATCCACCTACTTTGGCTTCCCAAAGTACTGAGATTATAGGTGTGAGCTAACACACCCAGCATTGGTGGTGATATATCCTGTACCCAATACTTGTTTTGCTCAACGGTCTTAGCATCCATTGATGGCTTTTTTTTTTTTTTTTGAGTCAATTATTACTACAGTGGTTACAAAGTGGACATTCAGACCTTGATACTTGGTATTGCCTCTCTAGCTCCAAACTCCAGTTTCCCAACATGATTCAGCACCAGGTCTTTGCTGACAATGCTTTTGACCAGTTTGGTTAACTGTCTCCCTCACCCTTGATACTAGCACATCAGAGGAGGCAGGTCTTTTTGAATTTATCACAGCACCTGTGAATCAGGCCTAGCCAGAAAGCAGACACTACTTTAAGCTGTCTTCTACTAATGATTATCCGCGGTAAGTTCTAGCTTCTTTGAATGCAGAGGTAAGCTGTGTTGTCACTATACCTCTGAGAATCAGAAAGCCAGCCCTTGTGTGCTGGATATTCTTTTTGCTCATGTGTTTTTTACATGCAGCTCTCAGATCACAAATTGTACCACAAATAGCAGTGGCCACATCTTAAGGAATCAAACATGATCTGTTTTCCATTGTCCTCAAAATGACACCATTAGACACAGATTGAATAAGAACATTGACTTTCCACTTCACAGACCAAAGCAGATAATAATCCTTCCAAACTGCAAATGGGAGTGTTTTGTGCAACCTCCTTTTTAACAGGTGCTGACTTATTAGAGAAAATTGCAGATTTTGTAGGTGGCTGGTTATAATAATCTAAGGTTAAAAACAGAACGATAAAAGTTGAAGACATCAGAGATCACGTCTAAAAATAAAGCAAATGCTTTTTTTCTTTCTGTAATCCTCAATTAGAAGCCATTTAAGGAAGAGATAATCAGCTCCAGAGACCTGTAAATATGGATTCTGCAGTTCCCACTGGCACTCCTGCTTTACAAATTAATTTTAGTACATTTTGAAATGTGTTAACATCCATCCATCTATGTTGTCCTCTTGGAGTTACAAATACAAATGCAGTTGTCCCCGACCTTGGCCGAGGGGGATATATTCTGAGACTCCCACTGGATGTGTGAGACCTCAGATAGTACCAAACTCTATACACGCTCTATTTTTTTTCTTTTGATGTGATAACCGAGACAGCTACTAAGTAACTAACAGGCGTGTAGCATATACAGAGCAGAGTTGACGGACAAAGGGAGGCTTCGTGCCCTGGGTGGGGTGGGGCAGGACGGTATGAGATTTCATGTTGCTCCTCAAAACAGCATGCAATTTAAAACTTAGGAATTATTCTTTTCTGGAATTTTCCATTTAATATTTTTGGACTGCATTTGACTGCAGGGAACTAAAACTGCAGAAAGTGAAACCTCGGAGAAGCAGGGACTACTGTGCTAATTAGAAAACAGACTTCACGGCTGGGCACGGTGGCTCACGCCTGTAATCCCAGCACTTTGGGAGGCCGAGGTGGGCAGATCACTTGAGGTCAGGAGTTCAAGATCAGCGTGGCCAACATGGTGAAATCCCGTCTCTACTAAAAATATAAACATTAGCTGGGTGTGGTGGCGCGCACCTGTAGTCCCAGCTACTCTGGAGGCTGAGGCAATAGAATCGTTTGAACCTGAGAGGTAGAGATTGTAGTGAGGTGAGATCACGCCACTGCACTCCAGCCTGGGTGACAAAGTGAGACTCCGTTTCAAAAAATAAAAAAGAAAGAAAACAAACTTCACGATGGCTATTGTCATAGCAAGCCTCAATAAATACAGCTCTCCTGAAATGCTAAAATTCCCTCTTTGTCAGCTGGTAACTTCCAGGGGAAGCTACTTGTAGTCAGGAAGAGAACATTTCTCTCCAAAGCCATGCAAGTTGAGCCCAGTCAAGACATTGAGATGTTTATGCAATTTACCCGAAGGAGGCACCCAGGGGGAGAAATTAGATCTCTCTAAGTAAATCTTTGTGGTTAAATTAATGAGATCGTTTATTTCCTAAAACCAAGCACAGCCCAGTGATTGAAAATTAGTCTTAACCAAGGAATAAAGATAACAACGAGAAGCTGGACCTGGAAGCCATCAGAAGGTCCTTCTTAGGACCTGGGCAATCTCTATCTCGGAGCATCTAGAAACTTCTCTTTTCTGTCACTCCTCTCCCTAGATAAAAATCATGACCCACATCCCTCTCTGAATGCCAGATTCATATGCATATGCAACTTCTTCTTCTTCTTCTTTTGAGACAGAGTCTCGCTCTGTTGCCCAGGCTGGAGTATGGTGGCTTGATCATGGTTCACTGCAGCCTTGACTGCCTGGGCTCAAGCGATCCTCCCACCTCAGCCTCCTGAGTAGCTGGGATGACAGGTGTGTGCCACCATGTCCAGCTAATTAAATTTTTTTTTTTTTTTGTAGAGATGGGGGTCTCAACATGTTGCCCAGGCTGGCCTTGAACTCTTGGGTGCAAGCGATCCTCCTGCTTTGACCTCCCAGAGCACTGGGATTACAGGTGAGAGCCACAACACCTGGCCAATATCCAACTTCTTACCCCTCATTTCCACTTGGCAGTCTCATTGGTATCTGAAAGTCATCATGACTAAATGGCGCTCTTGCTTTTCTTCTCAGAACCTGCTTCTCCTCCACTGTTTCCCATGATGGCAATGGCACCACCACTTACCCAGGCCCACTAGGCAGAGCTAGAAAGCCTGAGATCATCCCTATTTTGTTCCCCTCTCATGCCCCGCATCAATTCTAACAGAAAGTCACTCTGTTTTCAAAATAGATCCCTTCCTCCCCTCTTTATCCTCTGCCATCTTTCCAGCTCAAACCACCATCTTGGTCTGGATCATTCCAATAGCCTACCAACTGGACTCCCTGCTTCCAGTCTTGCCTTTCACTAATTCTCCACAGAACAGCCAGAGCAAACATTTTAAAACATAAATCAACCAATGTAATGGGGTGTCCTAATCTGGATTCTGGAACAGAAGCAAAAGTACATTATTGGGAAAACTGGTGAAATCTGAATGAAGTCTGTAGTTTTGGCAGTGGAATCATGGTTAGGTAAGGGGAAACTGGGTAGAGGGTATTTGAGAACCCTGTGCACAATCTTCGCAAGTTTAGTATACATTTTTTTTTTTCCTGAGATGGAGTTTTGCTCTTGTCACCCCGGCTGGAGTGCGGTGGCACAATTTCGGCTCACTGCAACCTCTGTCTCCCAGGTTCAAGTGATTCTTCTGCCTCAGCCTCCTGAGTAGCAGGGATTACAGGCATGCACCACCACGCCCAGCTAATTTTTTTTTTTTTTTTTTTTGAAGTAGAAACAGGGTTTCACCATGTTGGCCAGGCTGGTCTTCTCAAACTCCTGACCTCAGGTAATCTGCCCGCTTCAGCCTCCCAAAGTGCTGGAAAATAAGCCACTGTACCCAGCCAACTTTAGTATAAATTTAAAATTATCCCCAAATAAAAAATTTTAAAAAACTCCACGAACAGTATCTTGTTATTCCTTTGTTTAAAATCCTTGAATAAGTTCCCACTGCACTGAAATCCACACTCTGCCATGGCCCCATAGCTCTTGCGTGATCTAGCTTTTACTACATTTTCAACCTCAGTTCCTGCCAGTCTACTTATTCTCACTCCTAATGCTCTAGCCAGTGGTTTTCCAACAGTTCCTGGAATATGTGAGGCTGTGTTAGGGTCCAGGGCCTTTGCTCCCTGCATTAGTTTGTGGGGTCAGCCATAACAGAACACCACAGATTGGGTGGTGTAAACAACAAAATCTAATTAATTGTCTCACAGCTCTGGAGGCTGAAAGTCCAAGATCAATGTGCCTGCAGGGTTGATTTCTTCAGAGACCTCCTCCTTGACTTGCGGATGGCTGCCTTCTCCCTACGTCTTCACGTGTTGCACCCAAAGAGTCTGCTTGTTTGTTTTTGAGACAGCGTCTCTCTCTATCACCCAGGCTGGAGTGCAGTGGCACGATCTTGGCTCACCGAAACCTCTGCTTCCTGGGTTCAAGTGATCCTTCCATCTCAGCCTCCTGAGTAGCTGGGACTACAGGTGTGTGCCACCACATCTGGCTAGTTTTTGCATTTCTTATGTACAGATGGGGTTTTGCCACGTTGCTCAGGCTGGTCTTGAACTCTTGAGCTTAAGCGATCCGCCCGCCTCAGCCTCCCAAAGTGCTGGGATTCCAGCTGTGAGCCACCACACCCAGCCTAGAGTCTCTTTATGTGCCCAAGTGTTCTCTTCTTATCTGAACACCAGTCAGACTGGATTAGGACCCACTCTAATGGCCTCATTTTAACTTAATCCCCTCTTTAAAGGTCCTGTCTCCATGCACAGTCACATTCTAAAGCTTCCACGTATGAACCTGGGGTGGGGGAACATATATCTCATAGGGCTGGCTCCTTCCCATACTCAAGCCTCAAGTGGACTTGTGTCTTCTGAGGGGCCTTTCTGACCACATGGCCTCAGGCTGAGCTCCCTCTAGTCTGTTTATAGCTTTCCTAGCACTTAGCACAGCTGCAATTCTTTTGTTTGTTTACTTGCCTATTATCTGCTTCCCCTACTCCATGATTAATGGAGGGCTGGTTTGTCTGGTTTTTTTTTTTTTTTTTTCTGAGATGGAGTTTCACTCTTGTTGCTCAGTCTGGAGTGCAATGGCACGATCTCAGCTCACTGCAATCTCTGCCTCCCAGGTTCAAGTGATTCTCCTGCCTCAGCCTGCTGAGTACCTGGAATTACAGGCATGCGCCACCATGCCCAGCTAATTTTTTGTATTTTTAGTACAGATGGGGTTTCTCTATGTTGGTCAGGCTGATCTCGAACTCCCGACCTCAGGTGATCTGGCTGCTTCTGCCTCCCAAAGTGCTGGGATTACAGGCGTGAGCCACTGCAACCGGCCTGGAGGGCTGGTTTGTCTTAATGCTGTATCCCCGATCCTTCTCCTAATGCCTGGGACATAGTAGGTGCTCAAAACTTGTTGAACAGCAAATGGTTCATTGACACTTGAGACAAAATCAGAGTCTCATTGGGAAATCATCATGAGTGCAGTTAATCCCGAGGTGTGGCCATCACAGTAATCATGTCTCTTATTTGCATGGCACTTCACAGTTTATGAAGTGCTTCCATGTAAATGAACCTCTATGCATCCTCTACACCCTGATGGAAGCATTATTTATCCTATTTTTTTTTTAAATAAAGAAACCAAGCCTTAGGCTTATGGTGATAACTGGAACTTCAATACTGATCTTTCTGTTTCACAAAGAACAACTTTGTGTTCTTTCATTACCACACAGAGGAGCTAGAAATGAAATACATTCCAGACACTTCTTTTAGGCAGCTTCCAAGGAGACCCCTGTGAAAGACAGAGCTTCATGTTTCCAGGAACTAAACTGGACATTCTCTTCATTTTATCAGAGGAGTTTCTTTGCCAAGAAATAATGTCCTTGGTGATATGTGGCTAATGAGAACACATATGTTACCCAGGTCTTTTTATTGTGTGAGTGGGAGTGGAATGGAGTGGGGTTTACATATGCCTTTTGTAAACTGTCCTATTTTCCAGGAGTATAAAGGAGTGAAAACATTTGTTTTCCTAAGTGTTGGTTTTAAATAGCACTTACTATTTCTTTAAATCTATAGTTCTCAGTCTTGTTGCCCCTTAGATTCACCTGGGGGAACTGTAAAAATCCCAATGCCGGCCGGGCATGGTGGCTCACACCTGTAATCCCAGCAATTTGGGAAGCCGAGGCGGGCGGATCATGAGGTCGGGAGATCGAGACCATCCTGGCTAACACAGTGACACTCCATCTCTACTAAACACAAACACACACACACACAAACACACACACACACACACACACACACACACAAAATTAGCCAGGCGTGGTGGCGGGCGCCTGTACTCCCAGCTACTCTGGAGGCTGAGGCAGGAGAATAGCGTGAACCTGGAAGGCCGGAGCTTGCAGTGAGCTGAGATCGCGCCACTGCACTCCAGCCTGGGTGACAGAGTGAGACTCCATCTCAAAAAAAAAAAAAGAATCCCAATGCCTCAACCCCACCTCAGACCAATGAAATCAGAATCCCCAGGGCTGGGACAGCAGCATCAGTGATGGCTAAATCTTCCCAGGTGATTTTTTTTTTTTTTTTTGAGAAGGAGTCTCGCTCTGTTGCCCATGCTGGAGTGCAGTGGTGTGATCTCGGCTCCCTGCAACCTCCGCCTCCCAGATTCAAACAATTCTCCTGCCTCAGCCTCCCTAGTAGCTGGGATTACAGGCATGCACCACCACACCCAGCTAATTTTTGTATTTTTAGTAGAGACGAGGTTTCACCATGTTGGACAGGCTGGTCTCAAACTCCTGAGCTCAAGCCATCCTCCCGCCTCGGCCTCCCAAAGTGCTGGGATTACAGGTGTGAGCCACCCCGCCTGGCCCAGGTGATTTTAATAGGCAGCTGTGATTGAGAACTGCTGGTCTAGACCCTCTCAGGGGTGGGGACAGCATAGCCAATGTCTCCTGAGGGAACATATCAGGTTCAGCCTCAGGGTAGACTCTAAAACTGCACACACTGCCAGCTGGAGAATTTGGTGTTCTGGAAGTGAGTGTTCTGTCCTTCATGCTTATTGGCTGGTTTAGACCAGCCTGCGCCCAGGACCCATTAAATAAAATCCCAGGGGCTGGGACCCAGGCATGAGTTGTTAAAACTTCTCAGGTGAATCCAATGTGCAGCCAAGGCTGGGAACCACTGCTTTAAATGGTGCCTGCTTTGTTTGGAAGAGGAAGTAAAGTAGCAAGGCTGCCCCCATTAACCCCATTGAACACCAGTAACCTGGCAGCCGTCACCACATGGGCAGCCTCTCATTCAGCTGAACCAGGCAGTGCTAAGCACGGACTCTCACAGGCCTAGATTTATGGCCTTGGATAAACAACGGAACCTTACCTTGGCACGGTGCCGTCCTCCCTAGCACGAATGAAGGCCCAAGTAATTCTCATAAGTATGTGCATAAAATAAATGGGCCTCAGTTTAAGACAACTTCCCCATTGCATCCTGGTTAATGTAATCACAGTTTGCAGGTTTTCACAATCATACGTATACTGGTTTTATTTTTAACAAGGAAGATATTTACTCATACTGCCACTATTTTTTTTTTTTTTACTAGATATTGGGTCACGTCAAAAAATTACTTATATGGTAATTGATAATAGGATAACAACATGTACTCGATTCAACCACTATCATCAATATGACTATCAGCAGCCTCTTTCAATTTAATTATTGCTTCTTATCGTCATCAATTTCATTAAATTTTTGGCAGGTAGGGGAGGAAACAGTGCAGATAGCAGTATGAAGGATGGTAGCTGAATGATAAGAGTGTACACCCAGAAAGTGCAAAGAAATGAACTGAGTTTATTAAATAGTTTGGAAACGCGGTGAGACAAGAGAATTATCCACTACTGCACTGCTTTCCTTAGCAACTCTGCCTCCCACCAAAAACTCCACACTCAACCCAGGACAGAAAAAGAGCACACCAGCACACTCCTTGGCTTAAAACACCAGTTTTGAATCCCTGGCTAGATAAAGCTAGCGTTTAGTAATTAAAGAATTGTTAGATAAATATATACTTCTTATGTTCAGATTTTGAAGTATTAACAAGTATGAATGGAAACGGATGCAGCCCTCCTTTTCTTTTCTTTTCTTTTTTTTTGAGACAGAGTTTCACTCTTGTCACCCAGGCTGGAGTGCAGTGGCGCAATCTCTGCTCACGGCAACCTCTGCCTCCCGGGTTCAAGCAATTCTCCAACCTCAGCCTCCTGAGTAGCTGGGATTACAGGTGCACGCCACCATGCCCAGCTAATTTTTCTATTTTTAGTAGAGACGAGGTTTCGCCATGTTGGCCAGGCTGGTCTCAAACTCCTGACCTCAGGTATCCACCCACCTCAGCCTCCCAAAGTGCTGGGATTACAGGCGTGAGCCACCGTGCCTCGGCGCAACGCTCCTTTTCTGCCTTTCTGGGACCAACTTTGAATCTGCTGGACAACCAACAGCCGCTGAATATGTAAAACAGAGGAGGGCAAATTGGCAAAGAAGTCTAATGAAGTGGGGCTGGGCCGTGTGGTCCAATGGCCTCAGGAGCAAGACCTGGGGTCCGTGGAGCAGGGTCAAGCAGAGCCTGGGGGGCAGGGGGTGGCAACTGGGCCAAAAACACATTTAGGGCCTCTTTAGTGTAACAAGATGGCAGGACTGGGGCTTGGGCAAGTTGGGTGCCATGACAGGCAGACAAGCAGCAGGTCCCCTGGGCAGTTCCAGAGTCCACATTCTGGGGAGAGGGAGGCAAGCCAGGCTACAACAGCTGAGATTTCTCCTAGAGGAAGCAAACTGTGTCCAAGGACTGCACAGAGTGAATAGGTGATAGGTGCTTCTCTTGCAGCCCAGCCTAAGTCTCAAAGGGGCCTGGCCCTTGGCATGGGCCTGGATCCTGATTGTAAGGTGGATAACCTGTTATTTTAAATTCCTAGGAGAGTAGTCAAAAAACCTGAGCACCTGCCAAAAAAGGATGTATAATAATACACAATAACCATATGAATTTTGGGGATGATTTGAACTGGGCAGAGGATAAACCAGATTACAGTGGTCCCACCAATCTATAGGGATCACAGTGAGGCCACGTGTCCCCTCTGCACCTCTTTTTTATTTTTAGGTGGCACTCTGTCACCCAAGCTGGAGTGTAGAGGTGCAAACATGGTTCACTGCAGGCTTGACCTCTTGGGCTCAAGCGATTCTCCCACTGCAGCCTCCCAGGTAGCTGCAACCACAGGTGTGTGTGCCACCACGCCTGGCTAATTTTTTAATTTTGCAGAGATGGGGTTTCACCATGCTGCCTAGGCTGGTCTCAAACTCCTGACATCAGGTGATCCGTCCACCACAGCCTACCAGAGTGCTGGGATTATAGGTGTGAGCCATAGCACCTGGCCTCTCTACACCTCTTCAAATGGAGAGCTGTTTTGAATAAACTCATGGAGATAGAGGCATAGAGAAAAAGAGAGAAAGCAAGGAAATTTGTTTGGAAAGACTAAAAGATATTTAAAAAATTTTTTTCCAGCCAGGCATGGTGGCTCACGCTTGTAATCCCAGCACTTTGGGAGGCCAAGACAGGCAGATTGCTTGAGTCCAGGAGTTTGAGACCAGCCTAGGCAACATGGTACAACCACGTCTCTAAAAAAAACACAAAAATTAGCTGGGCACGGTTGTGTGTGCCGTAGTCCCAGTAGGGGGGCTGAGGTGGGAGGATTGCTTGAGCCCAGGAGGTGGAGGCTGCAGTGACCTGAGATCGTGCTACTGCACTCCAGCCTGGGTGACAGAGCGAGACCCTGTCTTATAAAGAAAAAAAAAATTCCCCCATATTTTCATATTATGCCAGGAAAAGCAATTCAAGCAACTGAACTTTATTATCCTTTTCATGAGAGTCCACAGCTACGTGAAAAGAGTCAAGCTTACTTCAATATCCAGTGACCAGCAATTGTTTAAAGAAGTACACTGAAATATGGAAGGTGGTACAGCCAGGAAAAATCATTATAGGGAAGCATACTTCAGGGCATGTTAAAAATAACATACTATATGATTCAATTCAGGAGGAATTGGTTAAAAAATAAATTTGTCCATAATCTGCAACATGAACCAAATTGCTAACAGAAGTCATCTCTAAATTGTGGGATTGCTATTGGTTTTTCCTTTCTTTTTTCAATACTTTCTTTTTGCATTCTCCAAGTTTGAATAGCCATGTATTAACTTTTTTTTTTTTTGAGACAGAGTCTCGCTCTGTTGCCAGGCTGGAGTGCAGTGGCGCGATCTGCGCTCACTGCAACCTCTGCCTCCCAGGCTCAAGTAATTCTCCTGCCTCAGCCTCCTGAGTAGCTGGGATTACAGGCATGCGCCACCACGCCCGGCTAATTTTTTGTATTTTTAGTAGAGATGGGGTTTTGCCATGTTACCCAGGCTGGTCTTGAACCCCTGAGCTCAGACAATCTGCCCACCTTGGCCTCCCAACATGCTAGGATTACAGGCGTGAGCTACCGCGCCCAGGCTGCTTTCTAATCAGAAAAAAAAAAAAAAAAAAAAAAAAAAAATCACTATTTTACAAGGATTCAAGTTGAAACACAGTGTGACACTGTTTTAGGCATGGTGGTTTTGATGAATTTGGCCAGCAACGCGCCTGTGATTTCAGGCTGTGACAGGAAAATGGCCCTAAACATTTCCCATTGGGCTGCCACTTCAAGGAGACACTAACGATGGGGTTCCTGAACAGAGTGGTAGGATAGTACTGCTGCCAGCTGTATTTTTCTCTCCTCTGGGAAGTTCCATGAACTCTGGGGAAGCCCCGAAGCTTCTAGATCCAGGTTCTTCCTTTCAACGGGTCCTGAGGGAACCCACAGCCTAATCCCAGGTGAGGCTTTTGGTAGGTCAAAACAGTCACCCCCAAAGAAAAGAGAAGTTAGAAATTTACTGCCCAAACAGAAAGAGCCTGGGGGTAAAAGCCAGGTCAGAAGATGGGTTTTACCCAACACTAATAAGCAAAATACTTGGCTGAAATTTAGTAAAAGTCAGAATGCCTCAGGAGGTAAATATTTTGTGGGGGTACCCCCTGATTTTAAGGTAGGATGTGTGGGTGTATACATACACCGCATGTGTGTAAGTAAGCATGCATGCAGTATGCACACACATATCTGATTCTATTTCCTTTTCTCTTTTTTTATTTTTTTGAGATGGAGTCTCGCTCTGTGGCCCAGGCTGAAGTGCAGTGGTGCAACCTCGGCTCACTGTAACCTCTGCCTCCCAGGTTCAAGCAATCCTCCTACCTCAGCCTCCCAAGTAGCTGGGATTACTGGTGTGCACCACCACGCCCAGCTAATTTTTGTATTTTTAGTCGAGACAGGGTTTCGCCATGTTGGCCAGGCTGGTCTTGAACTCCTGATCTCAGGTGATGTGCCTGCCTCAGCCTCCCAGAGTGCTGGGATTACAGGCGTGAGCCACTGCACCAGGCCTGTATTTCCTTTTCTGTTCACACATACATCTGACTGTATTTCCTTTTCTGTGTACACATATCTTTGATTGTATTCCCTTTCCGAAGTAGATATTAATAGGCATTGAGAAGATGTGTACTCTGTCCAATGATCAAAAACCAAATCTTGGAGTTCCAAGTGCCCTGTCATCCTCTCCACCTCCATGACAATCACCCCAGGTCAGAGGCTTCTGCTCAGAGGCCCAGGGAAAGTACATAAAAATGAGAAGAAAGAAAAGCTAGACAACAAAAGAATTCCAGGGAAAAGTCCCAGGGAAATAACCCTCAGAAGCCAAAGGCCAGAACATCTCTGAGGTCCCAGGCACAGGTCCCACTGCTGGCCCTGGTCACAGAGGGGCTGTGAGAAGTGCTGTGATATTCAGAGCCCACGAGGCGAGCGCAGCATGGAAGGAGGGGCTACTCACGGTGTCATTGCTTCCTTTGTTGTCCTCATACTTGGTTTCTATATGAATGGAGAATTTCGGCAGAAAGGAACACTGTGGGAGAAAAGCAAATTTTCATTAGCATAACATTTTTTCTCTCTTCCTATATTCAGCAGAGCTTCTGAATACTTTCCTGGCCATTTGGTTGCAAGCACCGTCCCGGAACAGAAATGTTAAGATACTAAGTCAATATCCAAATTCAGACAAAGGAAAGCCGCCTTTAGGACAATGAACACAGTTTCATCCAGACAGAGGTCAGGCCACAGAGAATAACCAGCAGTAGAGGGCAAGTCCCTGAAGAGAACATTTCCAAAAGGAATATGTTCTGTGACTCCTAGCATAAGCTTTAGAAAAGCAAACCCCTAAATCACGCCAGTTCCAGTTCTGGTGAGCTTACTTTTGGGGAGCAGCTACCATTGCTGGATTCCTGGGGACCCAGCCTTAATCTTTATATAAATGCTCATATAACATTAGCAAGGGGATATAGTAGAACTTTAAAGTCATAGATTATTGAAGTCAGACAGACCTGGCTTTTATTTTTAATTTTTAAAACATAAATTTATTTTTAATTTTTAAAACATAAATTTATTTTTAAAGTAAAATAAAAAAAATTTTTAAATTTATTTTAAATTTTAAATTTTATTTTTAATTTTTAAATTTTATTATTTTTTATTGTTTTGAGACAGGGTCTTGCTCTGTCGCCCAGGCTGGAGTGCAGTGGTGTGGTCTCGGCTCACTGCAACCTCCACCTCCCAGGTTCAAGTGATTCTCATGCCTTAGCCTTCCGTGTAGCCCGGCTAATTTTTGTATTTTTAGTAGAGATAGGGTTTCTCCATGTTAGCCAGGCTGGTCTCGAACTCCTGAGCTCAAAAGATCTGCCCACCTTGGCCTCCCATAGTGCTGGGATTACAGATTACAGGCGCCCGGCCTTCTTTTTATTTTTATTTTTGAGACAGAGTCTTACTTTGTCACCCAGGCTGGGGTGCAGTGGTGCAGTCACAGCTCACTGTAACCTTGACCTATGGGCTCAAGCGATCCTCCCACCTCAGCCTCCCAGGTAGCTGGGACTACAGCTATAGGTGTGTGACACCATGCCTGGCGGATTTTTAAAATTTTTTTGGTAAAGGCAAGGGTCTCTCTCTGTTGCCCAGGCTGGTCTCAAATTCCCGGCCTTATGCGATTCTCCCGCCTCGGCCTCCCAAAGTGCTGGGATTACAGCCATGAGCCACTGCATCCGGGCGAGACCTGGCTTTTAATATGTAATTTGGATAAGTCATTTAACTTCTCTGAACCCCAACAGAGTTAAAACAGGAGTAATAATTATTACCTAAGAGCAACACTGTGAGGGTTAAATATTAATAAAATGATGTTTTAAAAATGTATAATACTGGGCAGCAAGAATGCATTCAGCAGACAGCATCCATGGGTAGAAACTGAACCAGAAAAGGCAGCCCCTGTCTTTGTCTTTGTCCACACGAGGGACAGAAACCCCAAATGCAACCCAGCCCTACAGCCCCAGTCTCGCTGAGTCAAGTCCTATGCATTCAGTAGATGTGAAGGGTTAAGGTGGCTTAAGAAGAGAATTTTGATGGATGTTGGTGTAACCACGCTCTAGCTAGCCCTAAGCTGGGCATTAACTTTCTTGGCCACCAGAGATGGGATTGACGGCTAATGGGCAAAATGACCCAGCACCTGCATTGGGATCTGTGGGTGTTGGGGAAACCAGACTTGGCCTGATAGCATCACAGTCCCAAGAGGCTGGATCCCTTATACATGATTCCAGTACTCACATACTGTCTATACCAGACACTGCTACAAATGCTCTGATGCTCTCACTCATTTATTCCTGGCAACAATCCCGTGAAGGAGGTACTATTACCATCCCCCCCTGCTTTAAAGATGAGGAGATGGAGGTGCAGAGAGGGTAAGTAAATGGCCTACAGTCTCATGCAGCCAGGTGGCCAGGTCTCAGTGTCCATACTCTTCACCATACTGAGTGGTTCTCAAAGAGGAGTTTCTGGACCAGCTCCAGCAGCCCAGAATTGTTAGAAATGCAAATACTTGGCCAGGCACGGTGGCTCATGCCTGTAATCCCAGCACTTTGGGAGACCAAGGCAGGCATATCACCTGAGGTCAGGGGTTTGAGACCAGCCTGGCCACCATGGCGAAACCCCGTCTTTACTAAAAATACAAGAATTAGCCAGGTGTAGTGGTGTACCCCTGTAATTCCAGCTACTTGGGAGGCTGAGGCACGAGAATCGCTTGAACCTGGGACGTGGAGGTTGCAGTGAGCTGAGATCATGCCATTGCACTCCAGTCTGGGCAACAGAGTGAGACTCAGTCTCAAAAAAAAAAAAAAAGGAAAGAAAGAAAGAAGGAAGGAAAGAAAGAAAGAAAGAAGGAAGGAAGGAAGGAAGGAAAGAAAGAAAGAAAGAAAGAAAGAAGGAAAGAAAGAAAAGAAAGAAAGAAAGAAAGGCAAATTCTTCAGCAGACCAACTAAATCAGAAACTCTGGAGGTGGGGTTCAGCAATCTGTTTACCAAGCCCTCCAGTGTATGCTGAGGCATGCTCAACCTGGAAAACCACCTGGCTATAGCACACACATGCTTCAGCCGCACAATGACCACGCTCCCCTTTCAGCCCAGCTGAGACCCCTGGTGGCACCTGCACGAGAAGACAGAGGCCTGGGACGTGCCATCGATAATTCTCCTGACATCACATGCCAGGACGCGTTCAGCACGCATCTGTCTTAATCTGAGTGAAACAAGGGATCTGAACCGTGACTAAGGAAACACGGAAACAATCAATCCCAGTAATTGCCTTTATGGAGAACAAGGCCCTGCGATTATTCATTAACACCCTCTCTGCTGTCTCCTCTCAAACTTCTCACTCCATAACCGCTGCCCTTATATCCGGGTTCAGGTAGCACCAAGGAGCAGCTGCTCATCTCAAATGAAGACGCTGGAGGACTCAGAGCCCCAAAGCAGACATGAGAACGTGGGGGGATGCCCTGGCTGAGACCCTCTTAGACACGACAAGCCTTTAGGTAAATCGATTTTGTATTTTTTATCCCATAATTCATATGAGAGTCAAACCAAGGAGTGGGGAGAGTACAGAGTTGTGGAGCGTGGGTGTGGGTCTCGGTGCACCAGAGTGGAACACTGTGAGGAGTTTTTACCCACTGAACCTCTAAACCACTTAGCTAGCCCAACACATGAATTTTAGCATTTGCGTATTAAACCCAATTATGAAATGCAAAACTCCCATGCAAATTAGCAGATGTTGTTATTTTTGAGTGGGGACTTTGGTTATTTTCATATCAGAATGGCAACCTTGCCACGAGGCTAGGAGTAGTGCACCTGGCTTCAGCAGGGTGGCCAGAGAACAGCTCCTGGTAACTCCAAGCGGGTCAGTACTTTCTCCTTCGGCAGGTGGTTGGGGCTGATAATCCCCTTGGGATGTCTGATGACTCGTTCTCAGAGTCCTGGGGTGTGCGGGTGTCTTGAGTTAAAATCAGAATTATCTGTGGCTCTGGGCTTCTTCAGTGCCGTCACTGAAATCTCTCAGGGGTGATGTCCATGTTAAGATAACCTTCTGCCTCCCCCATGCAGGCTGGTTTCTCCAAAAATCCAGCCCACTAATCCTAGCGGAAGCTTAGCTTTAAAGCAAGGTCTTTTATTTCTTCCTGATTGGCTCCCTGTTATATCTCATCCACTGATCTATCCTACATCCCTTACCCTCTCAAGGTCCCTTGCCTGGCTTCACCCTTTCTCCCCTCTCCCTTGCAGCTGATCACTTTGAGTCATAGTTTAATGAGGACATGAACTGCATGATAGAAACACTGACACATCCCTTTCCTCCATTACAAATCTGCTTATTTCTTTACGTTTCTTATTCTTTGTGAATCCGAGAAAGATATATCCTCCTCTTTTTCAGTGGAGAAATAATATAATGAAAAGCACTGAGACATCAGAGCCAGCTGACTTGGGCTCAAATCCAAGATGTATCAACCTGGGCAAGTTATTTTACTGTTCTCAGCCCCAGTTGCCCCAGGTGGAGAATGGGGACAATCCTTTTCCGCTCTGTAGGAGTGTTCAGAAGATCAATGAGATCACACAGCTAAACCCCAGCACAGTGACTGGCACATAGTAGGTGCACAGTACAAATTATTTGTAAGCTCTTCTCTGGAACCTTGTTTCATTGATTATTTGCATCTTTTCCCTGCTTCCTTCCCACAGCCTAAAAATATAATGAAAAGAGACACAGTCTTAAAAAATAAATAAGCACAAAGTTCCCTTGATCCTATTTCTTCCCCCATCTATAATCAATTCCGTATCTCTTTCTGTCTTCATAAAAAAACTTATTAAAAGAGTAGTCAGTAGCCGGGCATGGTGGCTCATGCCTGTAATCCCAGCACTTTGGGAGGCCGAGGTGTGTGGATCACCTGAGGTCAGGAGTTCAAGACCAGGCTGGCCAATGGTGAGACCCCCATCTCTACAAAAATACAAGAATTAACTGGGCATGATGGCAGATGCCTGTAATCCCAGCTACTCGGGAGGCTGAGCGGGAAGAATCGCTTGAACCCGGGAGGCGGGGGTTGTAGTGAGCTGAGGTTGCGCCACTGCACTCCAGCCTGGGCGACAGAGCAAGCCTCCATCTCAAAAAAAAAAAAAAAAAAAAAAAAGAGTATTCAGTTTCAGTGCTTCCTGTCTCTACTTTTTCCACCTCCCACCTGATCATCAAAGGATTTCCAAAGCAGCATCACTCTTCCATTTGCACCCTGGAGACCTCTCTACACTGCAATATGACTGAGCAACTCCTCCATCCTGAGCAGCAGTTCACCCTTTCCTCCCTCCTCCACTCCTTCCCTACAGGAGATCCCTCAGGTCCTACCCTACCTACAGCCTCTTTTCTTGATCCAAACCCTCTCCCCTGGTGATCTCATCTGCTTCTGACTTTTCATGATTTTTTTCTTTTTTGGCAGATGCCTCCCAAATCAACATCGCAAATTCCAACTCCTCTCACATTTCCAGGTGCCCACTGGCCATCCCCAACAAAGACCCTACAGGTTCATCAAACTTGAAAGGTCCAGAATGAACGCGAATGTTCTCCCTGACTGTACTGGTACTCTAGAATTATCGTAGCCAATTCCACAAACTGCGTGGCTTAAAACAGCAGCAATTTATTCTCTCACAGTTCTGGAGGCCAGAAGCCTGAAACCAAGGTGTTGGCAGAGCCATACTACCTCTGAAGACTCTGGGAGAGAATCTGTCCTTGTCTCTTCCAGCTGTTGGTGGCACCGGGAGTGGGTGCATCACTCCAGTCTCTGCCTCCGTCTTTACATCCCCTTCTTCCCTCTGGGTCTCTGTGCTCTCTTCTCTTCTTACAAGGACAAAAGTCATTGGATTTGGACCCACCCTAAATCTAGGTAGGTCCACTCCCCCTTCCCTGGAAAACTTCCTGCTGTCAGGTCTTTTTTTTTTTTTTTGGCCATGGTACTCTCAGCCCGAAATTTCTTTCCTAAATCTTACTCAAAGACCATCTCAAGTACCACTTCGGAATGATTATCCCATGCATGCTGGCAGCATTCTGTTTGTCCCTTTATCACAGCGCGTATCTCCTTTGTCACCATTACCATTAGCTATCTGTGTCCCAGGCTCACCAACCATGTGGTAAGCTCACACTCTAACAGGAGGGTGCCCCCCTAATACCAGCACCACTAGGAATGGTGGTCATCAAAGTCACCCCCCTTCTTCTTTACCCCCCCCCCCCGCTTTACCCAGCTTCTTCAGGTGTTAAAGCATCTCCTTTAGTTTAGGTTTGCTCAAATAATGCTTTCTGTAACTAAGACTTTTGCTTCCACTAGGAATATACCATCTAACCTAGTCATTCTCAATGTCAATGGGGAGACGGGAACCCCACTTTCCAACCCTGGACTTTTTCTCAAAATATGCGCTGTTCCCTAAAGATCCTGATAAATGTCCTTGGGTGGAGGGATTCTATATCACCGAGGGATCTGTCAGGAGTGTGGGGGTGGAAAAAACGTTGGGAACCCTGATGTAACCACACCTGAACTTGCTCCAAGAAGAGAGACACTAGGGTCGTCAGCCATTGGCTAAAACAGAAAAAGATGTCTAAGGGCTGCTGAAGCATCCCGTGCTCTCTAAGGAACAGTCATTTGGAAATGCTGAATGTCTAAAGTCCCATTTGGCCCACAGCATATGAAGGAAAGACTGAAAAACCCACGGCAGACAGAATTCTGAGATGGCCTCCAGAGTCCCAGCCACTGGTGCACACATCCTGTGTAATCCTTCCCTTCGGGTGTGAGCAGAACCTGGGGATATGATGGGCTGTCACTCCCCTGGTTGCCCCCCAGAACCTTCAGAGGGAGCACAGCTTTTGATTGATAGCAAAAAGACAAGACAGTCAGTCACTCCTGAGAGTGTATACAAGACTTCACTTTAGAAAAAGCAGAGATTCTTTTGTTGGCTTTGAAGTTGTGAGATAGCCACGTGGATAGGACCCAAGAGAGGTCTACTGGGAACTGAGAGTGACAGCCGGAGAAGAACCAGCTAGAAAACGCGACCTTCGTCCTTCAACCACAAGGAATGAATCCTGCCAACCACCAGTGAGCGTGGAAGAGGACCCTGCATTTCTGGTGAAACTAGAACCTTGGTTGATGCCTTGATTTCTACCTGGTGAGTTGCCTGAGCCAAGGACCCAGCTAGCCTGGGTTCCAACTCCTGACCCATGGAAACTGCAAGATAACAAACTTGTGTTATTTTTCTTCTCTTCTCTTTTCTTTTCTTTTTTGAGACAGAGCCTCATTCTGTTGCCCAGGCTTGAATGCAGTATAGCTCAGCTCGCCGCAGCCTTGACCTCCTGGGCTTAAGCAATCCTCCCGCCTCAGCCTCCTGAACAGCTGGGATCACAGGCATGCACCACCACACCCAGCTAATTTTTTTTACTTTTAGTAGAGATGAGCTCTCACTGTGTTGCCCAGGTTGGTCTCAAACTCCTGAGCTCAAGCGATCCTCCAACCTCAGCCTCCTAAAGTGCTGGTATTATAGGCATGAGCCATTGCACCCAGCCACTTGTGTTGTTTTAAGTTGCTAAATTTGTGGGAGATTTGCTACACAGCAAGAGAAAACCAACACAACACTCAGCCTGCTGGCTGCCTTCTTCCAAATCACCCATCTGGTTTTCATCTGAGTAAAGCATCACCGACTCTGAGGTTCAAGCAAGTGCAAGGGAAGGGGGAATTGGTGCTTTTTCTGACTTATTAGTTCCACCTATGATGCCACCTGCTTTGTCAATCAATGGCCACTGCTTATTGCCCAGGGTGATATTTACTAGTAACTGATGTCAGCAAGCTTGTCATTATCTGGTGTCCAGATGCAGCAGCAGGCACCTAACCCACAGAGAGGGAGGATGATGATTTAGTAGGAAAAAAAAAAAAAATACAGATTTTTGGAGTAAAACAGACTTCAGTTCAAACCGCAGCTTCTTTTCCAACAAACTGTGTGACTTGGGGCAAATTCACGATTCCCTCTGAGCTTCAGTTTCCTCATCTATCAAATGGAGACAATTGCAACCTCAAAGCTGTGGGGTGAGAATGAAAAGAGATAACGAATGTCCAGGGCCAGGCAGCGCCTGGCAGATGCTGGAGAGATGTTGGTCCACTCCATTGTACCCTCCTAGGCAATGTGGACGAGAAAGCTGAGCTGGGGTCAAAGGCAGATCCTCCACTATGAAGATGCAAGGATGCAGAGGCTTCCGGAAAGGCATCCACAGGACACCTGATGGCTTCTTCCCATGGCAAGGAAGGCAGCCAAACCACAGAGCAGATCTGGGCTCTTCCAGACTCACTCTGAATCCCTGACCTGCTCTGCTGCTGAGGAAATGTCACCACGTGTCCCAGGCTCCATCCTTGGCAGCTCCTTCTTCTGGGCAGGTGCCCCTTCCACTGGCCTCTTCTCTGAGCTTTCCCTTGGCCCCCTGCTGACTTCATGCAGGGAACAAAAACTCTACCAGGATCTCCGTGAACTCTTTTCTTTCCTAGATCTAAAGGGTGCACGTCCGCTGGTTCACTCAACCCAATCGCCAAAACCAAGGCTCAAAGAAGTTAAGAAACAGAAGCATAAAACAGAAGTTGGGAACCCTTGAGGCCACAGAGATGACTCTGCTTACAGGCAGAGGGGGAGGCAAAAAAGCACGCCTGTCCCTGGAGCCTGGGGGAAATCAGTGAGTCATTTCTGTCCCTCTCCACCTCTTCTTCCTCCTCTGGGCTCACTCCAGGTCTCGAATCCTCTTTCTCATGAAAAATCTTTTCTTTTTTATCTCTCTCTCCCTCTTCTTGACTAAAGGCACAGCTTGGCAGGGAGAATAAAGCAGAGAAAGCATCATAGAAAATATTCACTTAATTACATCCAGTGTTTATTTTGCCCCAACCCCCTAAAAACAGTAGCAGTGTTAGGAAGAAGTCAGGGAGTCAAGGCAGGAGCTCTCCTGTCATCTCATCTTTGATTTTCTAGCTTAGATCCACGTAAGCCAGAGGAATCTTATAGGTGTTGCTGCCATCTGCTCCCTGCCATGACCCTCTTCCTTTTATCTGGTGTCTAAGCATCTATAATTGGCCTTCCAAACCCAACGGAATCCACCAGGATGAACCTCTTATTGAAAAGTGATATTCTGGTACCTGTAAAACCTCCAGCACCCAAAACTCAATGTGCAGAAAAGTGATGGTGGAACATTTAAATGCAGCTACTTGTAGCTTTTGGAAGTGACGGGTGGATCTGCAGTGGGGAAGAAGAACGCCAGGAAAGACAAGTGAGGTTTCTGGGTCTCTGCAAGAATAATTTCCAGACACAAGCCCTCCCAGGTTCAGTGTCGGGAAATGAAAGCAGCATATGCAAAATGCACGGCAGAACTGAATTTCCAATTCACTACAGACATGCTTTGGAAAACATGAAAGAGCTATTTTTGGTCCAGTGATCGATTAGGGTTGCTATGGCAATAAGAAACACTTACAGGAACAAAATGAAATGTAAGCAAACCAAAGTCTTAAAGAGAAAGGGTCAGACACATTGGGGATTTCATAGTCAGTTTCTGGGTGGTGCTGGCAGCCCTTATTTCTGTCTCAGCACCTGCATAGGGAGAGAGACGATAGTGGCTGCAGTGAATGGGGGCCCTGGGGATGGGTCTGAGGCTCTCTAGGGCACTGCACTTCAGAAGCAGGAAGTGCGAAACTTCTGGAAGAATGTACACCGCTCACTTTGAAGACTGTCATTATTGTCATCAAAGGATACTGTATTTCCACAGCACCTAGCCTGTGGCAAAAACGTAAGCTAAAATGTATTAATCCTACCCTATCCCACTTTACAATGTAAAAGAAAAATAAAAGTATTCTCTATGACAGTGTATTTCTAAGACCTACTTAATGATGCCTCATTTGCTGGGCTTGTTAAAAACAGATTCCAGGCCTCTCTCCCGATGCCTCGCTTTCAGTAAGCTGGTATATTCTGGGAGCCCACCCCCAAACTCAGGAGCTGTTTCCCCCTTTTCCCCCCAAAATATAGCTTTACTATTCAGCAGGCAGAGGCAGGAGGATCACTTGAGCCCAGGAGTTTGAGGCTGCAGTGAGCTATGATCACACTACTGCATTCCAGCCTGGGTGACAGAGCAAGCAAGATCCCATCTCTAAAAAAATAAAATAAAATAAATAAAAAATAGCTTTATTCACATACCATATAATTCACCCATTTCAAGTATACAAGTTAATGGTGTTCAGTATATTCAGAGTTATACAACCATTAGGACAATCTAATTTTAGAACATTTCCATTACCTCCCAAAGAAGCCCTGTATCCATCAGCAGTCACGTCCCCATTCCCGCCTACCTGCAGCACCACAATGTACGCAACTCCTAATCTACTCTAAGATTTGTCTATTCTATACATTTCCTACAAATGGAAGTGTATCATATGTGGTCTTTTGTTCCTGGCTTCTTTCCCTTAGCATGTTTTCAAGGCTCATCCATGTTCTAGCATGTATGGGTACTCCATTCCTTTTTCTGGCCGAATGATAGTCCATTGTACGGACATACTACATCTGATTTCTCCATTTATCAGTTGATGAACATTTGTTTCTATTTTTTGGCTACTATGAACAATACTGCCACAGCTATTCTTGTGCGAGTTTTTGTGTGGATTTCTATCTTTCTTTCTTCTTTCTTCTTTTCTCTTCTCTTCTCCTTTCTTTCTTTCTTTTTGAAATGGAGTCTCACTCTGTTGCCCAGGCTGGAGTGCAGTGGTGTGATCTTGGCTCATTGCAATTCCACCCCCTGGGTTCAAGCGATTCTCCTGCCTCAGCCTCCAGACTAGCTGGGATTACAGGCACCTGCCACCATACCTAGCTAATTTTTGTATTTTTGGTAGAGATGGGGTTTCACCATGTTGGCCAGGCTGGTCTCAAACTCCTGACCTCGTGATCCACCCACCTCGGCCTCCCAAAGTGCTGGGATTACAGGTGTGAGCCACTGCGCCCGGCCATGTTTTCATTTCTCTTGAGTGTATACCTAGAGTGGAATTGCTGATCACACTGTAACTCTATGTTTAACCTTCTGAGGAACTTCCAGACGGCTACCCCATTCCAAAGTGGCTGCACCCTTGTACATTCCCATGAACAGTGTAGGAGAGTTCCAACTTCCCCACCTCCTTGATAGCACGTCTCGTCGCCCAGGTATTTCTTTTTTTTTTGGAGATGGAGTCTCACTCTGTCGCCCAGGCTGGATTGCAGTGGCGCAATTTTGGCTCACTGCACGCTCTGCCTCCCAGGTTCATGCCATTCTCCTGCTTCAGCCTCCTGACTAGCTGGGACTATAGGCACCTGCCACCACGCCTGGCTAATTTTTTGTATTTTTAGTAGAAACGGGGTTTACCATGTTAGCCAGGATGGTCTCGATCTCCTGACCTCATGATCCGCCTGCCTTGGCCTCCCAAAGTGCTGGGATTACAGGCGTGAGCCACCGCGCCTGGCCTGTCCAGGTATTTCTTAACTCTGGGAGGTTCTGGGTCAAAATGACAATCCAAAGGAGACCTGGCCAACATTCCACATGTCCAGTGAGGGACAGACACAACCCAATACAGAGGTTATAATGACAATAGTGTTATACCGTCCTTCCTGTCAACAGGCACTGGTCCGAGTATTTGATATATATTAGTTCATCTATTAACTCATTAACCCTCATACATCCCCATTTTACAGATGAAGAAACAAAGGCACGGAAAGGTCCAACAGTGTGCTGTAAGTCACACAACAAATGCATAGAGGAGATGGGATTCAAGCCAGGCTGTCTAGCTCTGACATGCATGCTTGTGATCTCATGCTGATTCTTAAGTATCAGGAAATCATGGAAGTGCTTCCAGGGAAGCAGAGGTTGAAAGCACAGGCTTTGCTTCTCAGTATGTGCTGTGGCCACTAACAGCAGAGAAAATATGTGTGTGTGAATCTGTCATATGATAGACGTGCCTTGCTTCAAACAAACCCAAATCAGGAAAAGCAGGAGTTACTCAAAAGATATATTAGGGAAATAATTATTCATTTCAGAAATTCATTGGTATTCCTTTAGATGCCAAATTACCCTAGTACCTTGAAAACACAATAATTTTCAAAAACTGAATTGAAATATAATGGCTTAGGTTAATTCTTATTATGAAAGTGCTTTTAAAAACAGGTCCAGGCCCTGTGGGTGGCTCATGCCTGTAATCCCAGCACTTTGGGAGGCTGACACGGGTGGATCACTTGAGGCCAGGAGTTTGTGACCAGCCTGGCCAACATGGCAAAACCCTGTCTCTACTAAAAATACAAAAATTAGCTGGGCATGGTGGTGCACGCCTGTCATCCCAGCTACTAGGGAAGCTGAGGCAGGAGAATCGCTTGAACCTGGGAGGCAGAGGTTGCAGTGAGCCAAGATCGCGCCACTGCACTCCAGCCTGGGTGACAGAGCAAGCCCCTGTATCAAAAAACAACAAACAAACAAAAAACCCTGCCCAGAACTCCAGCATGAATTCTGAGATGTGAAAAAATATTACAAAAAAACACATGTTCATTAACTGTATTGTTGGTCCTATAAAAAAACTTGGAAACAAGTCAAAGTTCACCAGTAGAAGGCTGGTTAAGTACATTGGGATCGACTCTAAAACCATTAAAAAAACAAAGTGTAAAACAGGATAGCCCCATTTTTGTAAAAACAAAAAGAAAGTAGACTAGTATCCACACTGAAATACATGGAAAAACTAGTATACACATCGAAAAACATGGAAAACGAGTATACACACTGAAAAACATGGAAAACAAGTATACACACCGAAAAAACATGGAAAAACTAGCATACACACCGAAAAACATGGAAAACTAATATACACACCAAAAACCATGGAAAATGAGTATACACACTGAAAACCATGGAAAACTAGTATACACACTGAAAAACACAGAAAACTAGTACACACACTGAAAAACATGGAAAATGAGTATACACACTGAAAACCATGGAAAACTAGTATACACACTGAAAAACACGGAAAACTAGTACACACTCTGCAAAACATGGAAAACAAGTATACACACTGGAAAACATGGGAAACAAGTATACACACCGAAAAAACATGGAAAAACTAGCATACACACCGAAAAACATGGAAAACAAGTATACACACCAAAAAACATGGAAAAACTAGCATACACACCGAAAAACATGGAAAACTAATATACACACCAAAAACCATGGAAAATGAGTATACACACCGAAAACCATGGAAAATTACTAGTACACACACTGAAAAACATGGAAAACTAGTATACACACTGGAAAACATGGAAAACAAGTATACACACTGAAAAAACATGGAAAAACTAGTATACACACTGAAAAACATGGAAAACTAATATACACATCAAAAACCATGGAAAATGAGTATACACACCGAAAACCATGGAAAATTAGTATACACACTGAAAAACACAGAAAACTAGTACACACACTGAAAAACATGGAAAACTAGTATACACACTGGAAAACATGGCAAATGAGTATACACACTGAAAAATATGGAAAAACTAGTATACACACTGAAAAACATGGGAAACAAGTATACACACTGAAAAACATTGAAAAACTAGTATATCCACTGAAAAACATGGCAAACGAGTATACACACTGAAAAACATTGAAAAACTAGTATATCCACTGAAAAACATGGCAAACGAGTATACACACTGAAAAACATTGAAAAACTAGTATACCCACCGAAAAACATGGGAAAATATTCTCATGGAGGAGAGTAGTGGAAATTATGAAGTTCTTTTATTTTCTGTGGTATAGATTTTTATAATGCTTGGATGTTACAATAAATATCTACTATTTTAGTAAGCAGAAAAAATTTAAATCCAATTTAAAAATGAGTGAATACATCAATGGCATCCCAGAGTAACTATATTATCTTACAGGAAGTCACAAGGTTTTCCAAAAATTCTTATAATTTAATCTACTTTAACTTAAAGAGGATTATGTTATAAAGAACACTATGATGGTTAATTTTAGGCGTCAACTTGACTAGATTAAGGAATACCTAGAAGCCTAGTAAAGCCTTATTTTAGGTGTGTCTGTGAGGGTGTTTCCAGAGACTGTCATGTGAGTTGGTATGCACTAGGTGAGGAAGATCCATCCTCAATGTGGGTGGGCACCATCCAACCTGCTGAGGGGCTGGAGAGGACCAATACAGAGGAAAGGCAAATGTATGGATCTATCTGCTGGAGTGGGGACACACTCCTCCCCTCCTGTCCTTGGATAACGACTCCAGGCTCCTCAGCCTTTGGACTCCAGGACCTACACTCGCGGCTCCCCTGGTTCTAAGCCTTCTGACTTGGACTCAGCCACACTACTGGCACCCCAGGGTCTCCAACTTGCAGGTGGGCTGTTGTGGGACTTCTCAGCTTCCCTAATCATGTGAGCCAATTTCCCTAGCAAATCCCCTCTCATCCATCCATCCATCCATCCATCCATCCATCCATCCATCCACCCAATCTACCTATCTAATCTATCTTTTTATCTAATCTGTCTACCTATCTAATCTATCCATCTATCTGTTAATATCTATCAATCCATCCATCCATCCAATCTACCTATCTAATCAATCTATCTATTAATATCTATCATCTATCTATCTACTTAATCTAGCTAATCTATCTATCCATCTCTCTTATCTATTAATATCTATCAATCATCTATCTATTCATCCATCTATCTAATCTACATATCTAATCTAGCTATCTAATCTATCTATCCATCCACCCATTTCTCTCTCTCCCCACATCTCCCCCACCATTGGTTCTGTCTCTCTGGAGAACCTTGACTAATATAAGCACCACTAAGTAGACAGAGGAGTTGCAAATCTGTTAAATTTGGGAACTGCTGCTTCAAGTGGTTCCTGTCCCACATACATCACACTTATTCATGGTCTTTAGAGTAGGGCAGGAGCTGAGAGATATTACAGTTCAGTAGTTTTCAAACCATTTTAACTGGCATCAGAGTTTTTCTTTAAATAAAATATTAGGGACAGAATGGCCACTGAGACCTGTCCATGGAATCTCCTGGACCTAAAGGAGGACAGTTTGAAAACCACTCATTGAGAAGAACCCTCAGCCCAGTAACTCAACGCTTTATTCTTGTTTACCAGCCCAAATTCTTCCATGTCTGAGAGCAGCACTTTACAACGGGCCTAACATCAAGAAAGTTAAATGGAAGAGTTGAGGAGCTGGCTTGGGGTTGATGAAGTATTTATAGGCTTTTAAAAGACAATTTCCTTTTAGCTTTTATCTGGAATTCAATGCATTCTTCTCTTGCCATCTTGTTCCAACAGTATGTAGAACGTGTTCCCTGCTATCCACAAGCACGAAACTCTATACAGACTTGACTTTCTCTCTAATGGAGTTCCCCTGTAGATGACATCGATTCTCTGGTACTGTATTCTATATTGTCATATTAACTGTGCTCCAAAGCCACACTGGGAATTGCAACTTAAGATGGGATCATTAATAAAACTAGATTTGCAAGTGTTTCCTCTGTTCACCAACAGGAGACTCACATCCAGAATGTTCCACAGTGCTAATGAGGGCAGGCATAGAGTTTAGGGCTTATTATCTTCCAGGACTCTGAGGCTGGAGCTACTGGAAAATAAATGAGAAAAGCCTGTGTTGCTTGAAAAGTAGAAGAAAGTGGATGATAAATGTGTATACAGACAGTTGGTAGAACCTAGATCTTAAAATACCTTTCAGCTTCCTTTATTCATTAAAAAATTTTTATCTCCCCATTTTGATAGAAATTTTACCCCACGCTTGGAAGGCAAAATATAAATTTCTGTTTTGTGCACAGAAGATCTTTAATACACACATCAATTTCAAAAAGGTAAATGTCTGGCCGTCACCCTCTACTCAGAACCTTAGTTATCATACAGGCAAAGATGCAAAGGAAATAAGGGGAGATATTTGAGCTCCCTTCGCCCTTCTGCCTTGTGAGGGTTACGTATGACTTTAGATACAAATAAGGTGGGTGGTTATGGTGACAGGGTAGTTGGAGAAAAAAATTGCAAAGAAGATAGTTCCACAAAAGTGAGAAGAAGAACTCAAGTGGGGAAAAAAAAAGTAGACTTTTCAAGGAAAGAGGAAAGGAAGAAAAGGAATTGCATGTAAATAATAGAGATGAGGATGAATCAGAGTGACTTCCTAAATATATGCTGCATAGGAAGAAAAATGTGGCCAAGAGGAATGGTGGGACCTGAAAGAGATGTGGAGGAGGGTGAGAGGAAGGGACTGTGTGGAAGGCAGAGCTCCGAAACACAGCCGGAAAACAGCTGCTTGTATTCCAGCTACAGCATGGAAATGCACGCGGGCCTCTCCGCTGCTCCTCACCAGCCCGCACCCTACACAGAGGCTTCTGTTCATTCATTAGTTCATTCACTCATGGATCCTCTTCCCGTCCTCTGACATGCTGAGTAATAGCAACTCACTAGGAAAGCAAGGCCAGAAGGGAGACAGAGCCGAAGACATGAATGAAAGCATGTTTTCTGAATGGGGGATGGTTTGCTACTCACTTGCACTTCTAGGATAATCATGCAGGGAAACGAAATTCAGGCTCATACGATCTAGGGCTGGACTTGTCAAGGCAGAAATAAGCAGAGGATGCTCATGAATACTGATATCTACATACTATAATGGCAAGACAAGAATTTAAAGAGACAGGGAGACCACATCAAATAAAAAGAATTGCATGTAAATAACAGAGATAGGGCCAGGCGTGATGGCTCACGCCTGTAATCCCAGCACTTTGGGAGGCTGAGGCAGGAGGATTGCTTGAGCCCAGGAGGTCAAAATTAGCCTGGGCAACATAGCGAAAACCTGCCTCTAATTTATAATTAAAAATAATAATAACAGAGATGGGAATGGATCAGTGTGACTTCCCAAATACAGGTGAGCATATGGCCAGGTAAGAAACTTTCAGACGGCAAGCCTTCTCAGTTAAAAAGGGTTAAGAATCATCCCCCTTCACCAACCTAGCAAATTCTCACTTAAGAAAGTAGAATCGATGTTTAAAATTCTGAACTGAAAAGATGTATCAACACTTGTCTAGACAGTAAAGAAATACACACTATCGTGTAGTTCACATTATCTTACTGATCAAAAAGATCAAAGACCTCAGGGCAATTCTGCATTCCCTTTTTTTTTTTTTGAGACAGAGTCTTACATTGTCACCCAGGCTGGAGTGCAATGGTGAGATATCGGCTCATTGCAACCTCCGCATCCCAGGTTCAAGTGATTCTCCTGCCTTAGCCTCCTGAGTAGCTGGGATTACAGGCACACACCACCACGCCCAGCTAATTTTTGTATTTTTAGTAGAGGTGGGGTTTCGCCATGTTGGCCAGGCTTGCCTTGAACTCCTGACCTCAAGTGATCCACCTGCCTCGGCCTCCCAGAGTGTTGAGATTACAGGCATGAGCCACCACACCCGGCCTTTGCATTCACTTTAATCCCTGAAATATACTATGTTGGTATACCCATAGTCATACTGTTTTATTTTTACAGAAAGAAATCTGCTCACAAAATCTTTCCAGTTGTATTCTGCAGATCTCAACAACTGAGCTGAACACAACTCCACAGACATTTGTAAACTGCAGAAGGGAAATCAAATTTTTCAGTACTGCAAGTGGAAAATAAACAAAAAAGAAGAAAAGGAGAATTTCTTAGTAAAATCTTCTACCAAACATTCCCTTAAACAACTCTGTATTCTCTGCTGATTGCCCTCTGTAAAGTCATTTCGAGTGGTGTTAAAAAAATGCAAACAATTTTAAAATGTTATGTTTTGTTACAGTAGAGCCACGTGTTCTATCACCTGCTCTTTCCCCTCAAAATGGCTGAATTAATTTTCTCTGAAGTCCAAAGAAGAGCTTGGGAACAGCTAGAGCAAGTGGAAACGGGATAATCTGAACAAACAAAACTGGCTGTTCCAAAGCTCCTGCTTCACCAGGCACTAATTGGGGTGCTGAGATGTAGAGGCGAGCTCTGGTCCCACACAAGGGCAGCGGTACATCTGTGAATAGGCTGGTTTGCAACTGGCTCGTCCATACAACCAGTTCATTTTCTAAATGGAAACAAATCCAAATGCACAAACCCACTGCCATCCCAACGTACTGCTGACTTTGCTGTGTGGTTGAACAGAACTGACTTTGCTTGAAAAGGAACTTACGGGTTCTGTGTCACCTGATTCTAAAAATAAAACACTTCCATTACTGTTGGGCATTCTTCAAAAAACTTTGGTATCTGAGTAATAGTCATCTTCAGGCAACACATTAGCTCACTGAAATTTAGAAAAAAATAACATTTACTGAAATAGAATTGATCCACTGGCATAGTTAGTGGGCACATAATGGCTCTGACCTAAAGAGAAGTTTCTGGAACACCTCTAAGTCTTAAAAGATTGGCCTTGCAAAATCCAAGATCCCTTGGACAAATCAGCTCGGGAAACGTTGCATGCCACAGCTCCCTTTGGAGATTCACAATGTACATTAGAATAAGAAAGGCTCTGAGAAGTCCTATAATTATAAAATCTGTTTAGCTCTGTATAGCCCATCCCTTACTTAATGGGCTGTGTACCATCTTGAATGGTAGTTATAAATGGTTCTAGACTGCTTCCATCTAAATTCTCTAGAACTGTGACGATTTTTGAGCTTGGTCGTTCTGGCTCTGTGATGACACCGGTCTCACATAATCTTCTTTGTTTTTGGGTTTTTTTGTTTGTTTATTTTTTGTTTTTGAGACAGGGTCTTGCTCTGTCACCCAGGCTGGAGTGCAGTGGCATGATCCCGGCTCACTGCAACCTCCACTTCCTGGGTTCAAGGTCAGCCTCCCGAGGAGCTGGGATTACAGGCATGCGTCACCATGCACAGCTAATGTTTGTATTTTTAGTCGAGACAAGGTTTCACCATGTTGGCCAGGCTGGTCTCAAACTCCTGACCTCAAGTGATCCGCCTATCTCAGCCTCCTGAAATGCTGGGATTACTGGCATCAGCCACCACACCTGGCCTTACTGTCCTCTTCTCCACAAGGGTGCTTTTCAGGCCCGTGCCTAATTGCTGCCTTGCTCATCAGTGCCCCCAACTGGAGGACTGTTTCTTTGGCCTGGTCCCTAAAAAAAGGATATTTCCCTTTGTCTAAAAAAAATTATGTACTGCACTAAATATCGAGGGTTAATTGTGATACATAGATAAAAGTTATTTCCTAACCCGCTAACTCCTGACTCCATGGCCTCAAAGAAGGGACTCTTAGGGACTTTCACCCTCTTAGCTTACATCGTAGATGAGATAGCCAGATTTTTTTTCTTTAATTTCCTAACAAGCCCAATCCTAGAGGTCTGGTATAATAAACATAATCTTCCCTGGACTTGTTCCTGTGTTCCTAGTTATGAAATACAGTGGTTTGTACTGCCCCTTGGCTGGGACTCAGGGGAAGGTGCGGGGAAGAAAGGCTTAAGAAAGGAGACGGGGCTTGGGAGGAATGGGGGTCACTGGTCTCTAAACACAGCACCTATCAGCTCTTTGGATTACTGGGGGAGCTTGATAAGGCCCAGACTGTGAGGGCAATTCCTATCCCAGATAGTTTAGTGGCTTTCAGAAACATACCTCATTCTCCCCATGGCCACTCCTGGGCAGATAACCCGGGTTCACCTGGGGTGACTGATGACAGACTCTCAGCTGTGAGCAGCCTTTCCTCTCTTTCTTGGCTCTTCTAAACCAGCCCTGAGTAATCTCTCTCTCATAGTGGCTCAATACGATTTGAGGTTCTCATGAAAGAGTCATTTCATCCTCCCTGGTCTGTTGCAATTTTATTTTTCCACCTCTCTCATCTAAATAATTTAAAATGTTGGGTAACATTGACAACCCATCTGCCTTTGCTTCTGTCATTCTAACTAACACAAAGGTGCATCCCATTTCTCCTCTTTTGTGGATTCTTATTAAGAGAGATGCCGGTGGAGAGGGGTGATCACGGTCGCAAAATATATACGCCAACTGTATTACTCTAGGTCCCTGCTATCCATTTCCTGTAACTTAAGTTTTCAAATTCCTACAAACAAGAAGAAAATCCTTTGTTCTTCATTAGTACCAAGGCTGAATTGATACTGCTGATTTATGCTCATCTGAAAGCGCAGACTTTTTTTTTTTTTTAGCTCTAGAAAAACAAAATCAACTCCTTTGGAAGGCAGCCAGTCTCCTCAGGCACCTTTCTTTGCAGACTTTACCAACTTCAGAAGAACCCACCAGTTTGGAAGAACTGGTTGAATGGTCTGTCCTCTGTGAAACTGTCATTGTGTTGTTGTTTACTGTATAATTAAGTGTTTTTTTTTTCCCATAAGCAAGCTAAAGATGTTTTTCCCACTTCCTGGGCAAATGGCATTTCCACATAATTCTAAACACACGCAGTCACTCACAGTGATGAAAAAGCTCTTATGTCTTGATAATTGTGATAGTGCTGAAGCCCTAGATGACTCTAAATAGGTTTCTTTGCCTGGGCTTTGTCACGAATGAGGGCAGCATGAGGTCTGAGTAATAGGCTAAACAGTCAGATATAAGACCTAGGGGATCCTAGTATAGACATCCTCGTGCTCTGGACTAATGCTTTCCAAGAAGAGACATTGGTTTGGAGGTTTCTGAGCCCTCCGGGCTGCCTCTCTGAGGAAAGGAAGGGCACCGTGATCCTAACTGGGGCTCTGACCTTGGGGAAGTTTTGCTTTGAGGCACCGAACAGGAACTATGGAGCTTGGGAAAGACAGCAAGAAGAGGTATTTAGGATTAAAGGATCAGGGGATAAAGAGCACAATTCAAAAGCATTTAAAACAGGAAAAAAGACTAAGGCAACTGAAAGCATCTGTCATAAATCCTGGGTGCAGACTCTGTAGTCAGAGTCAAGGGTGGGTTCTGCCACCAGGGCTGTCGTGGACAGAGAGCGTGAGAACACGGCTGAATCTGAGTCAAGAGGTGGCAGCTTCAAACCGCACACTGTGGGCCCGGAGGACTGCACTAGAGCCAGAGAGAAAAATCCGGATCCCCTTGTCACCAGGGAGATGGAAAGAAAAGCTGTCCTATATTTGGGATGGAAAATAAAAGTGAACTAGCCAGGAACAATGTGACCTCCTCACAGAGAATTAAATCTAGACCTTGACCTGACATTGAAAACACCACGACCTGCCCTCCATCCATGTGTCCAGGTGGCCAGGATCCACCTCCATCACTTGCCCACTGGTCCTGGAAGGAGCATACTATGGGCCGAACTGTGTCTCCCCCAAATTCCTATGTTGAAGCTGTAATCCCCAGTGCAATGGTGTTTGGAGATGGGATTTTGGGACTAATCAGGTAGGGATGAGGTCACGAGGGTGGGGCCCTCATGATGGGATTAGTGCCCTTCAAAGATGAGACCAGAGAACTTGCTCTGTCTCTGCCATGTGAGGGCATAGCAAGAAGATGGCCACGTGCTTACCAGGAAGACAGCCCTCACCAGGAACCCAGTCGCACTTTCAGCTTCTGCAACTGTGAGAAATAAATGTCTGCTGCTCAAGCCCCCAAGTCTGTGGTGTTTCATTAGAGCAACATGAGCTAACACAGAACAGGCCTCTGCAGGGGGAGTTGTACTGTCCCTTCAGGTCCAGCCCAAATGCGACCTTCTCTGAGAAACCTCCTCATATTTCTCCCTGGCAGAATCCCTCTCTCCTTCCTACAATCCTCTGTCTGCACTTCAGCTCTAACACTTACATGCAACACAGTTCTTCCTTAAAATGCTGACAGTTATGTATTCATCTGCTACCACTTAATTTTCCCGAACTCTGCCTAGCTCCTTCCATTCCACCTCCTGAGCCAATCCTAACTGAGGCAGGAAGGCTCTTGGAGTGGTCCCATCAGTGCATTTGACTGTTAGTCTCAGACCTGTCCATTGAGCTGGACAAGCTCTGAGCTGAGCTGCCAGCAGAGATTCAGACCAGATGGCTGAATCTCTGGTCTGACCTTAGAGTTCCTATGGCATGTCAATTGCAGGATGGGTTCCCACATTACATACTTCTGGACCCCTCCCTTCCCTTGGCCCATCAGTGTGCCCTGTTCTCATAACTGATTTTTGTACTTGAGTCTCTGAGACCAGTTCTTCCACACCACCATCTCTCTCCCATAAATTTGCCAGACAAAATATGAGACAACAATCTTTTGGCATAATTATGTCCCATGCAACATGTGGGACACTCTTATACTAAATATTATTTACTGTTTATCTGAAAATTCAAAGTTACCTGGACATTCTGTATTTTCACTTACTAAGGTTGACAACCTTATCTCCCCAGCACCATGATACTGAGTAACCTCCTTGAGTGCTGTGTACTTTTCTTCCTGTCTCCCACATTGGGGACTGTAGCCCTGTCCCCAAAACTCAAGGCCCCAATGCAGAGGCCAGCACCCTTCTTTTCACATTGCAACTGCTTTATCTGGTTGGATTCCCCAGAGTCATTGATTCTGCCCTCTGCTGAGGTCTGAATCTCTGCTGGCAGCTCAGTTCAGAGCTTATCCAGCCCAGTGGACAGGTCTGAGGCCAGCTTGTTTCCTTGGCTAAGTCCCCTCTTGCCTCCAGAAAAGCCCAGCACTTGCTGATGACTGCCAGGCTTTGACTGGAATGTCCAGCTATTTCCAACCAGATTGTGACCCCAAATGACAGAGATAATTGCTCAGTTATGCCATCTAGCATGATGTTTTGTACCTCACTGATGCCTAATAAATGACCGTTGACTTAATTTTTTAATTTTTTATTTTTGAGATGGACTCTCACTCTGTTGCCCAGGCTGGAGTGCAGTGGTGTGATCTCAGCTCACTGCAACCTCTGCCTCCTGGGTTCAAATGATTCTCCTGTCTCAGCCTCCCAAGTAGCTGGGATTATAGGCGCCCGCCACCACACCCAACTACCTTTTTTTTTTTTTTTTTTTTTGTATTTTTAGTAGAGACAGGGTTTCACCATGTTGGCCAGGCTGGTCTGGAACTCCTGACTTCAAGTGATCCACCTGCCTCGGCCTCCCAAAGTGCTGGGATTACAGGTGTGAGCCACTGCACCCGGCCCAAAGTCTACCTCTTGATGATTATGCAGTTGCCAGAAGCAATGGAACTAGGGGGTAGTGTTGGTGGTAGGGAATCATTTAATTACCTGCTGTATACAGGCAGTGTGCTAACAGCTTTATATTTAGCGTTGGCAAAGTAGCCTGGGGGACAAATTTGACCCGCTGCCTGGGCATATATGACCATGCTAATTTGTTTACATACTATCTAAGGCTGCTCTTGCAGTGTCAGAGACTATATGACTCACAAAACAGAAAACATTTACAATATGACCCTCTAAAGACAATGTTTTCCAATCCAAGGGTAGACCACTGAATCCTTCCGCTAACATCTCTAGGAAGGAGGGATTATTCTAATTTCAGAAAAGAGGAAACAGGTTCAGAAAAGTTAAGATGTTCATTCTAGAGCAAAGGTTCCCCTGCTTCTAAAATTTTACATTTGCATTTTGCCATAAAATTGCCTCTTTTTTCAAAGTTAGGGACATTGCGGGGGGAAATACTATATATATTCCTATCATTTCAAAAAAGAAAAGATATTTTAATATCCGAGTATGATGGGATATAATTACCAACAGTACTTTGGATGAAATAAATTTAATGTTATGAAAATCTCTGAATACTATTCCTGTTTTTTCTTCATTCTGCAGAGGACTGGTGAGAACATAGTCGAGGACCAGTGTGAATTCAAGAACTGGCAGTTGGGAGCCAGTCGCTTAGGAATTCTGGCAGTGAGTGGCAAAACCAGAGGACAGCCAAGCCTTTCTGACGCCAAAGCCTGTGCTGGGACCATTTATCTATCTAGAATTTGTGTGTTCATTCTGTCATTCAATAACTATTGATTGAGCACCTACGATGCGTTGGGTACTATGCTCCTGCCCAGGGCATGACAAATCATTTTCTTCCATTTCTCTCACCACCTCTCTATCCTTTGGCTATTTGGATTGAACCCAAAAACTCAACTCTTAACACAGCTCAGAAAATCATAACTATTAGCCAGGTGTGGTGGCTCACACCTGTAATCCCAACACTTTGGGAAGCCAAGGTGGGCGGATCGCCTAAGGTCAGGAGTTCGAGACCAGCCTGGCCAACATGGTGAAACCCCATCTCTACCAAAAATAAAAAAATTAGCCGGGCGTGGTGGTGCACACCTGTAATCCCAGCTACTTGGGAGGCTGAGGCAGGAGAATTGCTTGAACCCGGTAGGTGAAAGTTTCTGTTGAGCCAAGATTGTGCCACTGCACTCCAACCTGGGTGATGGAGCGAGACTCCATCTCAAAAAAAAAAAAAAAAAAAAATCATAAACTATTTTCTTGTTGTGATAGGTTGACCTGTTAGCTGCTTGGGAAAATGATCTAAATGAAAATACCACAACACAATGATATTATAGGTTCTGTCTTTTTTTCTTTCAGTCTAAGTAATAACCCTAGAGGCTCTTAGGAGAAGAAGAAATTTTATCAAGCCACAGCGACTGCCCAACCCAGATCTCTGTTGTGCAAAATAGTTTGCACATGTGCCTCTTCACTTTCAAGCTTCTCCAACAAGGAATCAGGACACAGTCCATGAGTAAAAGCCCCACCTTCCATCGATAACTACCATCATCTCTTTAATATCACGTTGCTAGAAACTGTTCTTTTATTATAGTGAACTATCACCAACAAAGCAGTCAAGCTATTTAAAAATTACAAGCAAAGGCTGATTACGTAAAGTGACTATCAAGGCGATTTCAATTAGGATTCACATTCTTGAACAAATGAGAACATTCAAATTATTGCATTATATATAACGATGCAATAGCCTACATTTAAATATTTCTGACTTGGAATTATTCCCCTTTTTAATTATTACATTGATAAGACAAGTAATACAAGAGACATTCCAATTACTCCACTGATCATAGACAGAATGTTTAAAAATAATTAAATGGAACTTACTGTGTATTCTGTTTCCACATGTTCATTTGAAGAAGAGAGGAAAGAAAAAAGAGACAAAAGATGATTTAGATCATGCTTATATGCAATATAAAAACCACAGAACTAACAAATACTGACGAACTATAATTACAAAAGATGTCCTAATGAAACTTTCATAAATACTGAATGTCTCCGTGTTGCACTGAAATTCTTTCATGATACTTATGTGGTTGGGCAGATAAGAACAGTAAGACAAGATTCAATTAGCCTATAGGCTTGTGGCTAATTAAAAACCAAAGAGTTGGCATTATAAAAGCAAATGAAAGACTAATAATTCCAGTAGAGTATTTCATTAACCACAAAGGAAATCTTTTAAGTGGAAAAGCAGCTTTTGTAACCAATAAGAAGAGCTTGTTATTGATGACGTTGAGGTGGGATTTCAAATTTTGGTGTGTTTGAGGGCAGGAACCAAACCTTCTGAGTTTTTTTGGCCAAAGTTTCTAGGACAGTATTCAGTACAAAGAGTTTATTGTCATCGCATTGCAAGTGAGAGGGAGACTGACCTTAAATATTTTCATATTATCTAATAGCAAAGGAAGTCATCTGGGGGCAAAGAGAGATCCAATAGAATCTTTTATACAAAGTATAGTCAAAATTTGGAGTGGTAAAAACAAACAAGTCATAATAAGCAACTTGTTTACAGACAAATTATACCCCTAAATTACTTGGGAATTATTGAGGAAACAGGGAAATAAGAATCATAAAACCTCTGGAAATGTCTCTATAAAGATCTTCACCTTCCTTCTCCATAAGCTTTTTTTTTTTTTTTTTTTGACGGAGTCTCGCTGTGTTGCCCAGGCTGGCGTGCAGTGGCACAATCTTGGCTCACTGCAACCTCCACCTCCTGGTTTTGTATTTTTAGTAGAGACGGGGTTTCACCATGTTGGGCAGGCTGGTCTCGAACTCCTGACCTCACGTAATCCACCTGCCTCGGCCTCCCAAAGTGCTGGGATTACAGGAGTGAGCCACTGCGCCTGGCCCTCCGTAAACTATTTATTGTAACTCTAAGAACGAAGATGGAATGGCTTAGCTTAACCCCCCTGTCACCTGCCATCTCTGTGTCTGTGTTAGAAGTGTTGATAACCTACAAGTAAGAAACCAAAAAAAAAAAGAGGGATACTACGGGGCTCCCACAAGGCCCTGCTTGGATAATCCACTGTAAATCAGTGAAATTCAACTATGCTATGTCCTTGCACTCACTACATGTGCCATATGGTTGTACTAAGGACTTACCTGTAATTGTGTAGGGATAATAGTTCCAAGCCTTCTCTGTCACATAAAATATTTTGGGGACAACAGCTCTAGCCCAACTAGGCAGTTTGCTAAGAGGAAAGAAAGAAAAAAGACAATTGGAGTCTGTTCAGAGTCTCACCACACTACCACATCTTTCTGGATAAAATGCTGGAGAAATCAGGGGGATTCTGGGGCATCTCTTTTCTCCACAGCTGCCCTTTCCCCATCTCTTCGGTCTTTGTCATAGTTAACTTTTTCCCGTGCATATTCAAGTGCTCTCAAAATGTGTAAAGACAGAAGGCTACAGCCTGGTGGGGGACTCCATCAGACTGTCAGCCTGTCCTCTTTGGATTTGCAAAGACATGAGAATTCAGGGCCTGAAGGGTTCCATGTTTGGAGGGTTGGCCAGCCTGACCTTTGCCTCCTAGGAGTGGTATCACGGAATGTTTAAGCCCAAACACTGGCAGGGAGAGGAAGCTAATCTTAGAGATAGATGTCAGCCTAAGCAACTCATACAAGTGACATTTTGAAAATGGACAAAACCAACAGAGAGCAGCAACTTAGAGATAGGAAGAGCAACAAAATACAGTTGTAGTGGGTTGAATTGTGTCTGCCCCAAAAGATGGATCCACATCTTAATCTCCAGTAACTGTGAATATGACCTGATTTGAAAATAGGCTCTTCGCAGATGTAATTAATTTAAAGATCACAAGATGAAATCATCCTGGATTTAGGGTAAGCCCTAACTCCAATGACTGGTATCCTTATAAGAGAAAGGAGAAAGAGATTTGAGACTCAGAGACACACCGAGGGGACAGCCATGCAAGGACAGAGGCAGACATGGAAATGATGTTGCTGCAAGCCAAAGAACACAAGAAGCTGGGACAGAGGCCCGGGACAGATTCTCTCTCAGTTTCCCCAGAAGAAAACAACACTTTGATTTTGGGTTTCCGGCCCCCAGAACTGCTAGAGGATAAATCTGTGTTGTTTTAATCCACCTAATTTGCAGCAATTTGTTTCGGAAAGTTATTAGAAAGCCAATAAAATGACACAGCTGTTCCTCTGGAGCAGTCATTTGCAGAAAACAAATTCTCAAAAGGCACAGGTCCCAGGGTCTTTTGCAAACCAGAAAGCAATGTTTTGTTTTTCTTCAGAGGCAAAACTTAGAGAACAGTGCAGCCCCAGCTAATTCCTTAAATATTATATTGAAATATGTAATATTTCTATTCCTTAAGATACATCTGCATGATTTCACTTTTTTGTTTGTTTTGTTTTGTTTTGTTTTGACACGGAGTCTCGCTCTGTCACCCAGGCTGGAGTGCACTGGTGCAGTCTCGGCTCACTGCAAGCTCCGCCTCCCAGGTTCACGCCATTCTCCTGCCTCAGCCTCCTGAGTAGCTGGGACTACAGGCGCCAGCCACCACGCCCGGCTAATTTTTTGTATTTTTAGTAGAGACGGGGTTTCACCGTATTAGCCAGGATGGTCTCGATCTCCTGACCTCATGATCCACCCGCCTCGGCCTCCAAAAGTGCTGGGATTACAGGTGTGAGCGACTGCGCCCGGCCCATGATTTCATTTTTATTCCAGCCCGATAACCAAGTGTTTCTGTCCTTCCAGAGGCTACCATTTGCTACTTTTCTACTCTGGGGCCTATAGCTAAGTGTCTGGGCCACTCATGCCTAGCAGTCGATCGGATCCAGGAAGACGACGTATACTCTCAGCAACTTAGCTACATGTTGGAAATAAGAAACATCAAGAAGCGGTTTTGAATTCCAAGCTGATAGAACCAGGAGGCTGGAAGGGACATGGAGCTAACAGAACCCCAAGTCTCAAACCCCTCTTGGATGCGAAATCTAAATGACAATCAGAGCCCGTAAAATACTGCGTACCTTGCCTGTCTTTTCCAGTTGTTTCTCTTATTTCTGACAGTAACCAGGCCTGGCTTTTGAAAACACAAAGATGGACTCTCAGTGGCTGGCCGGACCTAACCCATAGCTCTGCGCTGTTAATCAGGGTTAAAACAAATAGGAAAGCAAAGTTCCCCGGAAGTGGAGTGAGTGTCAGATGAAGGCCCCTGCTCTTAGGCGGGCTCTGAGGAGTCAGCAGAAGCAGTTTGATCATTCACATAACAATCCTTCTTGCTGCTCTGATGCAGAATTTTTCACTCCTATAAAATCCTCTCTGCAGTAACTGCTCATTTCCCTTACGTTCACGCTGCTCAAAAGGATGGGGTTTTTATAGCTTTCGCTGATGATGTATTCCATCCATCACCGAAGTTGGAGTGCAACTCAGGTGACGCTGACAGTGGGAAAATTACACTGGCTCGCGTGCAGGAAATGGTCATGAGCAAAACTTCCCCTGGTTCCTTCCTGTTTGCCCCCACACCCTAGCGCAATATGCCAATGGTAGTGTGGGAAGATGTGGATTCTGGTTGCAGGCAGGTGATTTTCTTGTGCTTTTAATGGACTGACTCAGGGTTGGAGAATCTCCCTCACGTAAGCCAGGCATTGTTTAGCTTAGACAAAGCGCATATGTCTCCCTACGGTATTAAAGCCCCTTCTCCACTGTCCTCTTGTGGGCAGGGGTTCCATCTACATTGCACCCCTCCTCAAATTCACTCCAATCCTCATGCATAGTAGTAGTCCGGGGCCCAAGTACCTCCTCGCCCCGTAATTCATTTCCTATAGCAATTTAAAAGCCTCCCAGCAGAACTATACTCCTGAGCCACAGTCATTTTCTGGAAGGGAGGTGAAAATTATTGGCAATTTTCCATCCAAGTCGAGACTTTTTCTATTTGTAAATGGTCCCTCAGGACCCCAGATTCTAGAATCTATTTTAGCTGTTTCAGCCACCAACTTATATAGGATATGCAGCACGATAATCAATGACCTTTTCCATTGAGATGGCCTAAAAAACCACGATCATTTAGTCAAGATAGCTGATATTTTATGGAACTCTTCTTCCTTTTTTGGGAGACGTCTCGCTCTATCCCCACACGAGAGTGCAGTGGCGCAATCTTGGCTCACTGCAACCTCCGTCTCCTGGGTTCAAGCTATAGAGACAGGGTTTCGCCATGTTGACCAGGCTGGTCTTGAACTCCTGACCTCAGGTGATCCGCCCGCCTCGGCCTCCTAAAGTGCTGGGATTACTGGCATGAACCACCGCGCCCGGCCTGAACTCTTCTAATCAGTCTGGAAAGGAGGTTCCTTCTGGTATTTTCCAGGCCAGACGCGAGAGGTATTTGCAACAAGTTCCATGATGCGCTATTTAAATACTTTTAAGCCCACCAACAGATCTTCTCTCAGCCCCCGATTTCCTCACAGCACATCATTATTCCAATCATTTGTCTGAGAAAGTAAAATTTATTTTTCCCTGCAGCAATGATTTATCAGGGCCTGCAAAGGAAAATGGAATTAAATTAGTCCCCACTGTTGCTGTCACTTTCATGATGTATACTGTCACACAGCCTACAATTCCAAGAAAAAGTCTGTCACTCATGCTCACTCTAAGTGTCAAACAAGAGCCTCTCTATTAGAAAGGCAGCAAGTTTGAATCGAGTCTCCTTGGTCTATGGGCTAGGATCAAACCTCCAATGGCCCATCTCACCAGGGCTCAGGCTTTAGAGACATTGAGGAAAAAGAGGGGCAAAATGATACCACAAGCAGCATCATATTCCCCCAGATGCCTTGTCAATGCCTCCCAAAGACAGACTTTTCAAAAGCTTTGGTTTCTTACTCACTTTATTTATTTATTTGAGACAGAGGCTTGCTCTGTCGCCCAGGCTGGAGGGCAGTGGCACAATCTCGGCTCACTGCAACCTCCATCTCCCAGGTCCAAGCGATTCTCCAGCCTCAGCCTACCATGTAGCTGGGATTACAGGTGCATGCCACCACGCCAGGCTTATTTTTGTATTTTTAGTAGAGACAAAGTTTCACCATGTTGGCCAGGCTGGTCTCGAACTCTTGACCTCAAGTGATCCACCCGCCTTGGCCTCCCAAAGTGTTGGGATTACAGGCATGAGCTACCATGGCCAGCCCGGGTTCTTACTTTTAAACGTTGGTATAAAATAGAACATATCAATGACACAGCCAAGTGGACAACTCATCTGGTTTGCCTGGGACTTCCCTGGTTTTAACACTGAAAGTCCCACCTGCCAGAAAATCCCTCAGTTCCAGGCAAACTGGGATGGTTGGTCACCCTAGAACAGGAGTTCTCACTAGAGGGAGATTTTGCCTCCTGCAGGAGACACCTGGCAATGTCTGGACATTTTCGGTTGTCTCAACAGAGGCGAGGTGGGGTGGGCAGTGCTACTGGCATCTACTGAGCAGAGAGAGGCCCAGGGTGCGGCTCAGCCTCCTATGATGCACAGGATAGCCGCCCCCCACCACCACAGCAAATAAAGATCCAGCCCAAAGCATCAGCAGCAACAAGGTTTTGAACCCTGGCAGATCATCTCTCATGTCATAAATTCCCCAAGGTTCCCGAAATCACAACTGATTTAATAAGAAGGTTCAGGGGCAGGCATAATCTGAACTGGTCTCAGGTTATGGGTGTTTACCTACTTCATAAAGAGCTTCTGGAGCAGAACCTAAATCATCCCTCCATTAGAAGCTTCTGGTACTTTACGATCCCTATGATCACAAAATTCAAAACTCCCCCTGGTACCTGATCTCACATTGCAATGTATGCTCACTTGGGCTTTGGCTCCAGGAGGTTTTGAACATCATTAGGCCAAACGTGTCTAAATAGAGTCTAATTTCATTTTCTCAACAGGGGTCAGAATTACGGTGGTCTTAACTAGAAATTTTATTTTGTTCTTTTTCTCTTTTGAGACAGGGTCTCGCTCTGTTGCCCAGGCTGGAGTACAGTGGCATGATCGTATCTCACTGCAGCCTTGACTTCCTGGGCTTAAGTGATCCTCCTGCCTTGGCCTCCCTGGTAGTTGCGACTAAAGGCATGCACCACCACACCCAGCTAATTTTTAAATTTTCTGGTAGAGATGGGGTCTCACTATGTTGCCCAGACTGGAATCAAACTCCTGGGCTCAAGCAATCCTCCCATCTCGGCCTCCTGAAATGCTGGGATTACAGGCATGAGCCAGTGCACCTGGCCTTTACCAGAACTTGAACATTCCCAGCAGAAAAGACAGTCCTGGAATTTTCTTCTCAACAGCGTACCTAAAACCTGCCATGTTCTGCACTGAGATTATGCTGAAATGACTGCAGCTCATTTTAAATAGAACTCTGCTACCTTCATATCCTCATTTCTCACAAGATAGTCCAGGAGGAATATACTGACCTTTTGTTTCCTTCTTGTACTAAAACTGGCAATTGACATCTGTTTGATTCATAATCAATTGCCCCCATCCAGTTCTATGTGCAGTGATTTCTGGGGTCTTAAAATATCTTCTCCAGCTGCTCTGATTCATTTAGTTACTCTTCTAAGTGATTGTTCTGGCTGGTCTTTTACTTGTGCTCTTAATGTAATTGTTTATATGGCAGTAGGGAAGTGAGCAGTTTCGGGACCAGAGTTATCAGCTGTGGGAGGCAAGGCTGCCGGGGCCTCCCCGGCAGGGACTGGCCAGAAACCAAGTTCCTTGAACTTGGACTCACGGGCCCCACCCCCGACCTCCCTGCTTAACAAGACAGTTTGTGTCAGGATTCTGGGAAAAGGAGCCTGCCTCCTGCAGGTTCCTGGAAGGCTCAGCTTGGACAGCATCAGGGTTATGTGGACAGTGTGCTGAGAAGCCCCTGGCAAGGCGACACAGGACACACCATCATCCATCAGCAGTGAGGCAGAACCCAGGTGGAAAGCCTCCTGGAAAACCTCTGAGATCCCAACCAGGCCTAAACATTCTGTTTCTATGAGTTCCTACAGGAGCACAGGGAAGAGGGGCCCGGTAGCATGAGAGTCCCTCACAAGTCCTTAAGTACTCAGATGGGGACAGAATAGGATAGCATGGACTGAAAGGTTGGAAGGAAGCACCCCATGTGCTCTATTATTTTCCATAACACTTATCACCTTCTAAATATATATATATATATATATACATATATAGTCTCCCTATATAAATAATATGTAATATACATAAGTATACAGACTATATAAAAGTATATATTCTAGACGATATACTGTTTTGTTTTTGTTTTTGTTTTTGTTTTTGTTTTTGAGATGGAGTCTCACTTTGTCACCCAGGCTGGAGTGCAGTGGCATGACCTCCACCTCCCAGGTTCAAGTGATTCTCCTGCCTCAGCCTCCCGAGTAGCTGGGACTACAGGCGCGGGACACCACTCCCGGTTAATTTTTTGTATTTTTCCTAGAGATGGCGTTTCATCATGTTAGCCAGGATGGTCTTGATCCACCCACCTCGGGCTCCCAAAGTGCTGGGATTATAGGGGTGAGCCACCGCACCTGGCCAATATACTGTTCTTTATTATGGCTATTGTGCACTGTCACTCCCGAGTGGAATGCAAGTCCCACCAGGGCAGGGATGTTTGCTCTGTTCACTATTGCAACCCCAGCACCTAGAACGGTGTGTGATGCCCAGCAGGTGTTTCTGTCTCTCCGTCTGTGTATGTGTGTGTATATATATATGTATAGACTATGTATACAGTCTAATATTCACATAGTCAAGTAACTTGACCAGCTATTACTAGATAAGGAGCCATCTTTCAAACATAGCATGGGCAGCAGCTTATATATTTTGGTAAAAAAATAAAAATAAATGAATAAATGGATAGAGAGACCCATATTTTATGTTATTTATTTTGAGACAGAGTCTTGCTCTGTCACCCAGGCTGGAATGCAGTGATGCAATCTCAGCTCGCTGCAACCTCCACCTCCTGGGTTCAAGCAATTCTCATGCCTCAGCCTCCAGAGTAGCTGGGACTACAGGCATGCCACCACACCTGGTTAATTTTTGTATTTTTAGTAGAGCTAGGGTTTCACCTTGTTGGCCAGGCTGGTCTCAAACGCCTGACCTCAAGTGATCTGCCTGCTTGGCCTCCCAAAGTGCTGGGAGACCCATATTTTAGAAGCAGGGTCTCACTTTGTCACCCAGGCTGGAGTGCAGCGGTGCCATCATAGCTCACTGCAACCCTGAACCCTTGGGCTCAAGCAGTCCTCCTGCCTCAGCCTCCTGAGTAGCTAGGACTACAAGAGTGTGCTACCACGCCTGCCTATATCTTAAAGTTTTTGTAGAGACAGAGTCCCACTATGTTGCCCAGGCTTGTCTCGAACTCCTGGCCTCAAGGGATCCTCCTGCCTCAGCCTCCCAAAGTGCTGGGATTACAGGCGTGAACCACCACACCCGGCCTCAATAAGTATTTTTTTAATGACTAAATATTGTCTTTGTATATCTAGAAGTTAACAATCACCATAGAGATTCTTGGAAAAATAGCATGAAAATGAGCTATTTGGTCAGAGTCTATGTCTCTGATGCTGTCTCTATTGCCTGTTGCCCGGGCAGTGGAATATCCCAAAGCCACACAAGTTCTGGGCACTGAGCTTATTTTGGGGAAGATCTGGGAGAACAGGAAGCAGAAATGGGAAAGAGAGACCCAAGCCATGACCACAAGGTTCTATCAACAAGCTGTTAGGTAAAAGGACCAGCTGGTAGCTTTGCAAGCCCATCAGTTAAAAAAGAGTTCATGACTTATGAAAGCTTTATCCTCTCCTACCCAAAGCCATCAGAGGCCAGGAGACATTGCCGTGGAAGGCAAGGGCCATGTAGCGGGAAAAATGTTCTCTCCCTGAAAATCAATTCAGGCATTAGGCGGAATCACCGTTAGAAGCTGGCAACCCTCCCTGACTGGCAGCTGCCAGCACAGCCTAATTAATCCAGCAGCCAGGGTGGTGAAGAACATGACACTTCATGGTTGAAAAACAAGCCTAAAAATAGCCTCCATCTTTTCTCCAGTGCCCCTCCACCCCCACCCCCATTCCCTCCCCTCCTGGGCTTCAGTGGGAAGGGATCCGAGAGATGCTAGCGACGAAGTGAAAAGAAAAGGTGACAAAAGAAAAGTCCACCTTCATATGTTTCTGGGTGACAGGTTTTATTTAGAATCACTATTCTAGAATTTGATTAGTATCATGCCCCCATTCCTTGGATGCCAGTTGTAACCAGGATTTTTGAAGACGTGTCAAGGCATACTACTTACTTGGTTAACTGAACTGGATCAAAAGCCCAAGCACACGCCGGGTGTGGTGGCTCATGCCTGTAATCCCAGCACTTTGGGAGGCCAAGGTGGGCGGATCACCTGAGGTCAGGAGTTCGAGACCAGCCTGGCCAACATGGCAAAACCCCGTCTCTACTAAAAACACAAAAATTAGCCCGGCGTGGTAGCAGGTGTCTATAATCCCAGCTACTCAGGAGGCTGAGGCGGGAGAATCGCTTGAACCTGGGAGGCGGAGGTTGCAGTGAGCCAAGATTACAGCACCGCACTCCTGCCTGGGTGACAGAGCGAGATTCCCTCTTAATTACCCAATGTATTATTGTATTAGTACTAATGTAAATGTACTAATGCATTAGTACTCATATACCAAATATATTAGGCAACCATCATAATGTACTATATATCAACAGTATGTCAGATGCTGTAGGAGGGGGCCAGAAGATGAAGCAACCCCACAATCTCTGGGAAATGAGAGGCATGTATTAAAAGGATAAATGGCATTTTCAACGGACATTGGACCCAATTAAAAAATTGGCAAAGGAATAGACATTTCTCCAAAGAAGATATACAAATGGCCAATGAACACATGAAGAGACGGTCAACATTAGTCACTAGAGAAAAGCAAATGAAAACTACAGCGAGATACCACTTCACACCCACTAGGATGGCTATCATCAAAAAGACAACAATAGCAAGCGTCAGTGATTATGTGGAGAAATTGGAGCCCTATTGCATTCCTGGTGGGAATATAAAACAGTGCAGCCACTTTGGAAAACGGTTTAGCAGTTCCTTTCTCCCATTCACTGGTAGCCCAGGGCTTGGTCTGGGAACCCAATGGGACACTTGTGTTTGGGATTTTGGAACAAGTGGTGGAAAGAAAAACAGGACAATTCAGATCTACTCAGGGCAGCTGCGGTGCTGATGGCTGCAGGCAGCAGAGGTAGGGGGTGATGAGGGCAGAATGACGCCATCTGGCTCTACTTAAAGATGGCTGTCATCATGGGGCTGTTGATTTCTGCCCACTCTTAAGCCTCCAGATGATCCTGAGGGCTCCTAACATCTTTCCATGAAATGTCCTTTCTGCTCAAGAGACTCAGTTTCTCTTGCTGGCAACTGTGGACCTTAACTGCTAAAGCCTCACGCCTCCTTTTTGGCCTGTCTGCCACTCATCCCCCACAGACAACATAACCACCAGCCAAAGCACACCAGTGGTCGATAGATGGATGTTTACACTATCTTTGCTTAGTGATAATAATTATTGTGGACTCTAACTCCCCTTTGAGCAACTTTCTCATTTCCACATTAACTGGAGAGTAGGCTGTGATTACACAGGCTTTGAATATTTCCAGTGCCTCTAATAATTACTTTAGGTAATCAATAAGGCAGTTTCTGAATGTGGTTTGACTTCCCATACAGATTGATGTAAGGAAGAGAATCCACTCACTATGCCGGCTCATGCGTTCAGGTCCATAGGTCAATGATAATTGTCTGTGTACATTATTAAATGGGCACTGGGAACATCTTAGTTACGGCCGGTCCAACAATCAGGACCCACTGCCCTGTGGACTTATGAAAATGCCTTGGACCCTACCTTGATCAGGAGGCAAGAACCATGACCATGGCTTATTTCTTAAGGGATTCTCTCCAATGCCTGCACAATGTGTTGTACGTCGTACATTTCAGCAAATACTCGTTTAATGAATTATGACTCTGAAGCAGCCCAACCCACAAGGCAGTCACATGACTTATGCATGGAGGACTTGAGTCACCTTGAGGTGGCTCTACGTTGTGATGATTAAACAATGGATTTGGTTTTCTTTTATGATGATGGGGATTTATCTAATTAATTCATATTCTGTCAATTTTTTTCTTTCTCTCTTGCTAACTCATAATCTCCCTGGTTCCAAAATATGCATCCATACTCTACCAAATACGCCCAAGAACTTTTTAAAATTATGAAATGGTGGACCTGGTTTAGAATGGTGCAAGCATAACTAAAAATACTTCTTTTCTTGTGCCTCATTGGTTACATATGTATGCTGGAGGAGAATCAGGACAATCAATGACTGATAGATAGTTTGAGTGTAGAAAGTTAGGGTTGAAAAGGATCTTCCAGGCTGTCCAACTTAACCAGCCACCCAATATGTTCAACCGCCTATTAGATATTTGAATCTGCTTCAGGACACCCTGATGAACAGGGTCTCACTCTTGCTGAAACACCTCCAGCAATAGCAAAATCCACTATAAGGCATTCTGAGATGGTTTGTGTGCTTGGAAATTTCTTCCTTAACCTGAGCCGAAGTCTTTCTCCTGGCATTCCTACCCACTGGTCTTGGTCCCATTGGTCCTGCTAAGTGAGGTCTTGTGGCATACACAGTTCTGAGTCTTCTCCATCTAATGGCACCATGATACACTCAAGTCTAGCTTTTCCGGGTTAAATATCCTTGGTTTCTTCAGTCATTCTTTCTATCACTTGAGTTTCTAGATATAGTTTGTCTATATCCATTTTAAAGTGTGCCATTTAGGAACAGATAAAAATATTCCAAGTATGTTCTGACTAGTGGAAAATTGGGCAAGATTATCAAGTACATGGTTTTAGATATTTTACGTTACTTTTATTGATTCAGTTGAAGAATAATTTTTGCAGCTGTATAATCTATTACACACACACTAAATTATTGTGTGTGTGTGTGTGTGTGTGTATGTATAATTGCTTCATATTGAATTGTCAACTAAACCCACTGTATTTCTTTCAAACAGGCCATTGCAAAGTTATCAGTGTTTCATCCCATACTTATATAATTTGTATTTTGGGATCCAAAGATAAGACCATATACTTGCCCCTATTTAATTTCATCTTGATAGAAAATGGCCTGTAATTCCAAACTACTGAAGTTTTTCTGGATCCTCACTCAGTCTTTTATTTTATTTATTTTTATTTTTATTATTATTTTTTGAGATGGAGTCTGACTCCGTCACCCGGGCTGGAGTGCAGTGGTGCAGTCTTGGCTCTCTGCAACATCTGCCTCCCAGGCTCAAGTGATTTTCACGGCTCAGCCTCCCGAGTAGCTGGGATTACAGGCGTCTGACACCGCTCCTGGCGAATTTTTGCATTTTTAGCAGGCAGGGTTTCACCATGTTGGCCAGGCTGGTCTCGAACTCCTGACCTCAAGTGATCCATCTGCCTCAGCCTCCCAAAGTGCTCGAATTACAGGTGTGAGCCATTGCGTCCAGCCCTCACTCAGTCTTTTAGAGTTATCATCCTTCCTGGCTGTGGGTTTCTCAAGGGTATGGAAAGGATATCTTCTAGATATTTAGCCAGATGTTGGCTTAAAAAATCCAATAGGACCAAATTCAGACTTCTGAGTCACATTACTAAATCACATTATTTTTAAGTTACACATAGAATTTTCTCTCTTGGTTGCCACTATCCATCATCTGTACCTTTTGTTATTCAATCAGTCACTAATCCATCCAGTTTTGACAGTAACCAGGTTTCATTTCTCCACCTAATTTACTTTTAAAATATTATGTTTAATTGTGGAGAATTTCACTTACATAAAAAATATATAAAAAATCGAGAGAAAGGTAACAGACATGCATGTATCTGCCACCCAGAATTTATATTTTCGATTTTATTTTTAAATTACAGTAAAATAGACCATTGTTGGTGTACACTTCTGAATTTTAACATTACCATTCAGATTTAACAAACTAACATTTCCCCATATTTGTGATGAACTTTCTTCTTTTAAAAAAAGGAATAGGCCAGGTGCGATGGCTCACACCTGTAATCCCAGCACTTTGGGAGGCCAAGGTGGGAGGATCATTTGAGGTAAGGAGTTAGAAACCAGCCTGCCCAACATGGTGAAACACCGTCTCTACTAAAACATACACAAATTAGCCAGGCGTGGGAGCATGTGCCTGTAATCCCAGCTACTCAGGAGGCTGAGGCACGAGTATCTCTTGAGCCCGGAAGGCAGAGATTGCAATGAGCCAAGATCATGCCACTGCACTCCAGCCTGGGTGACAGAGCAAGACTCCATCTCGAAAAAATAAATAAAATAAAATAAAATAAAATAAAATAAAATAAAATAAAATGTAGTAGATACAGGTAAAGTTTCCTCTCATGCCAACTCATTCCTCTCCCTCCTCAAAGGTAACCACAACCTGAGGGTGGTTTCTCCATGTTTTGGTGCTTTTATTACATATGCGGTTGTCTGTAAACAATATATATAAATGTAGTAATATTATGCATATTGTATATCTTAATAGTAGATATAAATGGCATCATACTATATGTGTATATATACATTTGTTTGTTTGTTTGTTTGAGACGGCGTCTCGTTCTGTCACCCAGGCTCGAGTGCAGTGGCGCGATCTCGGCTCACGGCAACCTCCACCTCCCGGGTTCACGCCATTCTCCTGCCTCAGCCTCCCGAGTAGCTGGGACTCCAGGTGCCCGCCACCACGCCCGGCCAATTTTTAATATTTTTAGTAGAGACGGGGTTTCACCGTGTTAGCCAGGATGGTCTCGATCTCCTGACCTCGTGATCCACCCGCCTCGGCCTCCCAAAGTGCTGGGATTACAGGCGTGAGCCATCGTGCCGGGACTTGTTTTTGTTTTTTGCAGCTGATATATTGCACGTTACGATGTGCATTTGAAATTTATCAAAGTATGTCTAGTTCATTAAGTTGAACTGCTGTGGAATTTTCCATTACGTGAATGTGCCATAATGTATTCCCATTCACAGATACTTGAATCGCTTCCATTTCTTTTCTATTGCATACAGCATTAGGACTAATCTCCTGGTAAATGTCTCCTTGTGTACAGTGCAAGAATTTTTCTAGGGCTCTACCTAGAAATATAATTGTTAAGTGGAATGTATATATGTTTTCAACTTTTCCAGTTGCTGTCCATTGCTCTCTAAAGAGGTGGTATCAGTTTATATCTCTTACTAGCATTGGAAGTGAGTTATTTTCACATATCTTTGTGAACACCTGGCATTATCAGATTTTTAAAATTTTTGTCTATCTGATGTGTGTAAAAGAGGATGCTATTGCTTTTTTATTTTGTGTTTTCCAATAAGGTGGGAATTTTTTTCATGTTTATATTAGCCATTCTCATTTCCTCTTTTCTGAATTGCATGTTCAATCCTTTGCCCATCTTTTGATTGGATTATTGTCTTTTTTTTCAAATTAAAAAAAAAGGATCTATAAGAGTTTTTCTTTTTTTTTTAAATTAAATACTAGTCCTTGGTCTTGGTCTATATGTGCATTTTGAAATACTTACCTCCAGGCAGGGATGGTTCTTTTAATTTTGGTGTCTTTCACTATGCAAAGGTTTTTTTTGTTTTTGTTTTTTACTTTTTATGTGTGTGTCTTTTGCTATGCAAAGGCTCTTCATTTTAGTGTTGTAATATTAATGATTCCATTTATTTATTTTTTATTTAATTAGTTCTAGTCTACTCTCCAAATAATATAGCTATTTACATATATTTTCTTCTGATTTTTTCACATTTAGGTTTTTAATCAATCTGGAATTTATCTATCTATTTATTTATTTATTTAGAGACAGGGTCTTGCTCTGTTGCCCAGGCTGGAGTGCAGTGGCACGATCTTGGCTCATTGCAACCTCCACCTCTAGGGCTCAAACAATCCTCCCACTTCAGCCTCCTGAACAGCTGGGACCACAGCTGTGTGCCACCACACCTGGCTAATTTTTGTATTTTTTGTGGAGATGCGGTTTCGTCAGGTTGCCCAGTCTGGTCTTGAACTCCTAGGCTCAATCGATCCTCCCTCCTTGGCCTCTCAAATTGTTGGGATTACAGGCATGAGCCACCACGCCCAGCCATGGAGTTTATTTGTGTGTGTAGTGTGAAGGAGGGCTCTAGTCATTCTTCCAATTAGAAGCCCAGTCATCTCAACATCATATACCGAAGAGTTCATCTTCCCCTCAATAATTTCTTATGCCAGCTCTATTAAATACAAAGCACTAATAATGGCTTGGATCTGTCTGGGGGCTACTTTGTTCCATGAGTTTAACTCTGCTCTAGTACCCCACTGCCTTAATTACTTATGTAATTACTGAATTAGCTTTATAATGATATCTAGTAGGTCAAGCCCCTCCTTCAACTTTCCAAATTGTTCATATGAATTTTACAAATATCTCCTCCAGTTCTTTTTTTTTTTTCTTTTTGAGATGGAGTCTCGCTCAGTCGCCCAGGCTGGAGTGCACTGGCGCGATCTTGGGTCACTGCAACCACCACCTAGCGGGTTCAAGTGATTCTCCTGCCTCAGCCTCCAGAGTAGCTGGGATTACAGGCACCCGCCACCATGCCTGGCTAATTTTTTTGTATTTTTAGTAGAGACGGGGTTCCACCATATTAGCCAGGATGGTCTCAATCTCCTGACCTCATGATCGCCCACCTCGACCTCCCAAAGAACTAGGATTATAGAGGTGAGCCACTGCACCCAGCACCAGTTCTATTTTTTAAAAAACAACATGTTGGCATTTTAAGTTAGATTTTTATTAAATTTATAGATTGATTTGAGATTTGATGCCAACTTTGTAACATTTCCCGTCCATGAATATGGTATGTTTCACTATTTGTCTAGGGCTTTTAAAACGTCTTCCACAAATGTTTTATGTTTTTCTCCAAAATGATTTTGTATATCTTATAGACTGATTACTGGGTAACTTTGTTTCTTTTTCTATTATAAACAAAAAATTTTTTAAATTATATTTTCGCTATTATTTTTCCTGCTGTATAATAATGCTGTGGATTTTTCTATATGGATTGTACCCAACAATCTTGCTGAATTCTCATATTGATGTTAACAGCTGTAGAAATGTCTGAAATTTCTATCAGACAATCATATTATCTGCAAATGATCATTTTGTTTCTTCCTTTCCTCTTTATTTCTCTCTTGTTTTATTGCATTGGCTAGGCCTTTACATAATGTTGGATAGACATGGTAATAACAAGCATCCTTAATGTGTTCCTGACTTTACTCTGAATAAGTACACAGATTTATTAAATGTTAATTTCATCAATTTCAGGGGTAAATCTGATTAGGTCATGATACATTTTTCTCTGAGGTATTTTATTCGCTAATGTTTTATATAGTATTTTCATGTCTATGTTCTCAACTGAGATTGGCCTATAAGTGTCTTTTTGGTATGGTTATTATCCAGTGTTGTTATCAAGGTTCACTTGGTAGGCACTATTAGTGTTCCTTCCAGCAGTCAGCCCCCATCCTCCCCACTTTCTTACACACAAATCATGAAGTGGGGAGACATCAGAACAGATTCTCTTTGAATAGCATAGATAGCTCCTTGAACGTCCCTCTTTTTATCAAGGAGGAAAAATCTCATGTCTCATTGGCCAGAACTAGGTCCACATGGCCATCTCTAGCTGCGAGGGTGGCTAGAAAAGTGAGTATCTGACATTTCATTTTATTTTACCATCCAAATTTGTGTTTTCTATTTATCATGCTTTTTGTAGGCTTCTCTTTTGTGTTCCCAGGCCCTCTGTGGATTGATCAAGTTTTCTCTTGGAGGTTATGGATTGTTTTACCACCTCTTCAGAGATTACCTTTATATTTTGAATATGCATACTTGTCTTAGAAAATCTAAAATTAGGCTGGGCACGGTGGCTCATGCCTGTAATCCCGGCACTTTGGGAGGCCGAGGCTGGTGGATCATTTGAGGTCAGGAGTTCAAGACCAGCCTGGCCAACATGGTGAAACTCTGTCTCTACTAAAAATACAAAAATTAGTCGGGCATTGTGGTGGTGCACACTTGTAGTCCCAGCTACTCGGGAGGCTAAGGCACGAGATTGCACCACTGCACTCCAGCCTGGGTGACGGAGCTGGCTGTCTCAAAAAAAGAAAAACAGAAAATCTAAAATTAATCAATATTTTTTTCTAATTCCTAAACAATATTAGCACCTTAAAGTGCTTTTTACTGTAATTATTACCCTCCCATCTTCTGTGTTATTGATTGTTGTCTTATTATTACTGTTTTTAAAACATCCTACATCCATTCAAAGATTTACCTAGTTGTTTATCAATTTCTTCATTATTATTACTTCTAGAACTCCCTCTCCTTCCTGGGCTCAGTTTCCTCTTTCTTACAGCACATCCTTTAGTAGTTCTTTCAATATGAGTCTCAGAGTTAGTAAACTCTCTCAGACCTTGATTGTCAAAAATTATTTTTATATCCTATTCTCAGTTCCAACTTTCCATTTATGTGGGCCTGAGGCCCTAATTCCTGTTCCCCATGGGCATGACATGCCCAGTCCCTAGATGTCAGAACCCACACTCTGTTCTGATGTCCCCCCGATGCCCTTCCTTAGCATTAACGGGTCTGCTTTCCACTCTGGTTTCAGTTTGCCTGTTTATTTCTAGCCTCGGAGGATTTCCCTTTCTTTGTTTTGAGCTCAGCTTCTTTACATAGTTATATTTCATCCTGTGTTTGTCATGGGAAGTGGTGGAGGGTCCCCATTAATCTTTTTCCTTACTATTACTGGAAGTCCACATCTATTTATAACAAATTTCCCTCTTACTAATGTTTATTACTCTTCTTTTAAATAAATATGATATAAATATGATATGACAAAACAGACATGACAGGGAGAGCTGGATGCCTCTTATTGTGTTTCAGCAAAACTTACAAAGTTCCTAAAATTCTTCCTGATTTTCATATATAAGGAACATTCTCCAGGTAATAACTTGAGAGAATGCAATTGTATGCCAAGAAATGGAATTTTCCATAGGTTTCTATTTTCTGGCATCTTCCTCACTTCTCTTTGCCCTGCAGAGGTGATCCCCGAGGAGAAACTTGCTCAGTATTTGATTTACACCCTCCACGCTAAGAATGCCAAAGCAGCATGTTGAGAAACCTGTCTCTGTAAAAAAGCCATGCTCAGGACAGACCCAGAGCTCAGCTGCCCCTGCAAATCAACAGCTGGCTGGACACTGAACTGGTTCCAAAGCCTGGGAATTCACAGCTACTAATAGATGAATGGGATCAATCTCATTTGCATTTCATCATGACTCAGGAATTCCCTGGTACTGCATCTCTGGGCAAATTAAAACATCAGTTTAATCAGCTCATGCCCTTCACTGTCAGGACACGGGTCTGGGAGAATTCCATCCACCCTAGTGACAGGAAGCAAAGTCTCCCATCAAGAAGGAATAGTCCAATTCAAGCTGCTGGGGAGTGGGGTCAAGGCGAGAATGGGAATCTAAATATGGTTCCTCTCAGAGATGTCTAACCACGTCCGAGGCCCTGAGAATGGACAGTCACTGGTGTCAGTGAATAAACTGGGGCACTGCCCAGCTAGGGTGTTGGAAATACTTTCTGGATAATCACATATGGGCCAATCGGAGAGGCCACAGGTAGGGGTAAAAGTATTCATGAAATGGCTGACGTAAGACTTGTTTGCTGGAATGGACAGTTAATTTCAATAAAATATATTTCTTTTTTTTCTTTATTCTTTTCTTTTCTTTTCTTTTCTTTTTTTTTGAGACAAGGTCTCACTGTGTCACCCAAGCTGGAGTACAGTGGCATGATCTCAGCTCACTGCAGCCCTCAACCTCCCAGGCTCAAGCGATCCTCCCACCTCAGCCTTCCAAGTAGCTGGGGCTGTAGGTGCGCACCACCATGCCCAGCTAATTTTTGCATTTTTAGTAGAGATGGGGTTTCGCCATGTTACCCAGGCTGGTTTTGAACTCCTGACCTAAAGTGATCTACCACCTTCAGCCTCCCAAAGTGCTGGGATTATAGGTGTGAGCCACCACACTTTGCCAATAAGATATATTTCATATGGCATCTAACCACAAATATTCCGAAGGTTTCAGAAAGGAACTGAAAGGAAGAAATGGGCTGGATAGGAGTATAGGATGGGGAGAAGATCAGACAAGCCCTAATAATCCATTACGCCATTCATAGTAAGAAAATAGCAAGAAAGGCCGGGTGTGGTGGCTCATGCCCGTAATCCCAGCACTTTGAGAGGCTGAAGCAGGCAGATCACTTGAGGTCAGGAGTTCAAGATCAGCCTGGCCAACATGGTGGAATCCCGTCTCTACTAAAAATACAAAAATTAGCCAGGAGTGGTGGTAGATACCTGTAATCCCAGCTACTCGGGAGGCTGAAGCAGGAGTATCACTTGAACCCAGGAGGCGGAGGTTGCAGTGAGCAGAGATCATGCCATTACACTCCCGTCTGGGCAATAGAGTGAGACTCTGTCTTTAAAAAAAACAAAAAAAGAAAGAAAAGAAAAGAAAAAGAAAAAAGCAAGAGATTAAAGAATATATTTTGCAAAGCAGAAACGGCACGCTTGACTAGTGCTATTTTGTCATCCTTGATGTGTTTCCCTTCCAAAAGGAGAGTGACAACCTCCACCTTGGGAAGGATGGGTCCACTTGAGAAGTGGAAGCCATCTTAACCACTTTGGTCACAGGTGACTGTTTGTTTTGTCATTCCCTTTTCGGACACCCAAGTGGTCACCAGTAGTAAATGAAAATCTTACTGAGACCAAAAGGTGCATTGCCACCTCCAGCACTTACTTGTCCACAGCATATAGGCAGCACCGTCTCTTTCCTACAGCTAACACTGAACCAAGGGATGAGACAAAGTCCTTTAATTCTCTTTTTTTCAAGGGCCTCACTCTGTTGGCCAGGCTGGAGAGCAGTGGCATGATCATGGCTCACTGCAGCCTCCACCTTCCAGGCTCTTGAATTCTTAAGATCACATTTCGCTGTAACACGTCATCAAAGCCGTGGGAAAGATGAGCCGAAAGCTCCTCTTAATGGAAACGCAGTTGAGGACGATTTTGCAGAATGCAAGGTGGGGAGGGGGAGATTCATTTCGTTTATTTTATTTTATGTAGTAATATTTTTTACAGTCAGGGTCTTGCTCTGTCACCCCAGGCTGGAGTGCAGTACTGTGAGTATAGCTCACTGTAGCCTCAAACTCCTGGCCTCAAGCCATCCTCCCACCTTGGCCTCCTAAAAACATTGGGATTACAGGCATGAGCCACCTCGCTCGGGCAGATTCTGTTTTCAAAAACAATGAGATTGGTGGTCGTAGACGGTGGACGTAGTTACTTTCCAAGTGACCTTTTCATCCCAGACACCCACTGCCTCCACTGTCACACCATGGGGTCAGGTGGGAGGGGGCTTCTGTGCAGAACGCAGGCTGCCATGACTCACCTGTTGAGATACACCCGCTTCTCGGTGAACTGCCCATTGCCATGGTGAGGGTCCTCAAAGGGCTCATTCTGGACGACCTCCACCCCTTCTCCCCGGTCACTCTGTTCATGGCTGTGTTTGCTGATCATGTACAGCTGTCCAATTTTGTACTACAAAACAGAGTCAGAGACAGAAAGGTCAGCCCCACAGCGTGCCCCTGACATCCCCCTCCAACCATAGCTTGGCAAGCCACTAATAACATCAGCACCTTCTGCTGAGAAGAGAAGGCAGCCACATGGGCCTCATGTTACTTTTCCTCGGGAGCTAGGGAGAGAACCAGTTGTGAGTAGAACATCGAGACGGCGTGTTCCCGTGAATATTTTACATCACCTTGGCAAATGCTCGGCCGGGTGGCTGGCAGTCTGTAAGCTTTGGCAGCTGACCAAACCTTGGGAAGGGGGACACTGGAGTCTCCCTTTGCATTCTACAGGGTTAAATGGAGCTAAAGTCCTGCTTGGTTTGGCCCAAGACAGCCGAGGGTGTGTGATTTCTGCCCCTGCTTTCTGCCTAATTAGCAAAATTGCTGAACAGGGAGCATTAGATATCATCTATTTCTTCTATCCTCCCTCTCTCAAAATGCTCAACTCTCCTGGAGGCCTCTGTCCCCTAGAACAATGGTTCTCAAAGGTGGCTGGATATTAGAATCACCTGAAAGCTTTTCAAAGCTCCAGAGGCCCCGGCTCCCCCATGAGTGGAGCCAAGGCTCATAATCTGAGCCCCTGAAGGCCGCTCCTCTCCGAGGACCACCTACAGTACTTTTAACTCCTTTTCATCCAATTCCATGAAGAGTGTGGAGCCTTCCAGTCCAAGGACCCAAAAGTCACCTGTCTTACCCTAAAATAATCATGTGGAGCAACATACTATATGAACATTTTCTGTCCTTTTTTCATGTATGAGCTGTTCCATCTGCCTTCCTGCCTCTCTGAAAACCCTGGGACCAGCAGGCATTTCTTCCCCCAGTGGACTTTCGAAGTGGCAAAACGAATTTGATGGAAAAGAGAGAGGGGAGGGGGAGAGAGGAAGGAGGAAATTAAACAACTTTTGCATGAGGTACAACCCTGCTCAGAGTCAGGACGCAGGACGATGCGACCCTGCTGCCATCCTTCCTAGAGACAGACCCTGGGTCATTACCACCGACGCCTCTGGGATGGGGGAGTGGGGCCTGAGTCTGCAACAAACTAATGAGGACTCGGGGTTATTCCCCAACAATCTGCAGGGATGCGGGTCCCCTGTCTGTCTGCATAAGAGACAGAAATAGATTTTAAATTAAGGGGGCAGATGAAATGCACAAGTCAACAGTGCAGTTAGTTTCACAGCTGAGAAGACACATGTGCCCGAAGGTTTCTCTTTCATTCTGAGGCAGGAGCAGGGACGGGAGTGTGAAGAAGCTCTGAAAGGCTCTGGTCTGCAGCCAGCCCTGGGGACCGAGCCCAGTAACCATGACAATGGAAGCAAGCTGCCGTCTGGGTCTTCTCGAAGGACTGTGTCTCCTATCTGTGCCACGCCCCTCTCCAGAACGGTCACATGAAAACGCTTTTAACGTGAGCGTATGTGTGCACGTACCTGTGTGTGTGCACCTGTGCTTGCAGGAAGTGGGCAGCACTGGGGATAAGACCAGGAAAAGGAAAAATAAAATTTAAAGATGAAATCCTCTTTTTTTTGTTTGTTTGAGACAGGGTCTCACTCTGTCACACGGGCGGGACTACAGTGGTGTGATCTCAGATCATTGCAACCTCCGCCTCCCAGGCTCAAGCAATCCTCCCACTTCAGCCTCTTGAGCAGCTGGGACTACAGGTGCGCACCAGCACGCCCAGCTAATTTTTGTATTTTTTGTAGAGACAGGGTCTCACCATGTTGCCCAGGCTGGTCTTGAACTCCTGGGCTCAAGCAATTTGCCCATTTCAGCCTCTCAAAGTGCTGGGATTACAGGCATGAGCCACAGTGCCCAGCCTGAAATCAATTTTTAAAATTAATTTTAGGATCAGAAGCTTGACTTCTCTTCCCTTAGTCCAGTACTGCTTTGACTTTTGCTCGTAAAGGCTAACACTCTTTCAAGGAGGAAGACAATAAGAAAAAGTTTACACATTGCAGATTTGTGAGCTCTACCTGTGAGATCAATATGCCACCTTATACAGATGGGCACACACTACCCAGGGGGTGGAGATTTCACTGACAGTTGCTTTGTACTTGGGGCTCAAAAAATAAATGTTTACATGCAATGGGATATTATTCAGCCATAGAATGGAACAAAGTACTGATACTGCCTAATGTTGTTAAAGGTTGAATTGTGTCCCCGCAAAATACATACTGTGAAGTCCTGACCCCTAGTAACCCAGAATGTGACCTTATTTGGAGATAGGGTCTTTACAGAAGTAATCATGTTACAATGAGGTCATTAGGGTAGGCCCTTATCCAAAATGCCTGGTGTCCTTATAATAAAGGGAAACTTAGACAGGGACACAGGCAGGCATAGAGGAAGATGATGTGGAGAGAAAAATGGCCATCTATAAAGCCAAGGGTTGGTCAGGCACAGTGGCTCACGCCTGCAATCCCAGCACTTTGGGAGGCTGAGGTGGGCAGATCACAAGGTCAGGAGATAGAGACCATCCTGGCGATCACGGTGAATCCCCACCTCTACTGAAAATACAAAAAAATTAGCCAGGTGTGGTGGCGGGTGCCTGTGGTCCAGCTACTTGGAAGTCTGAGGCAGGAGAATGGCGTGAACCCAGGAGGCGGAGCTTGCAGTGAGCAGAGATCACACCACTGCTCTCTAGTCTGGATGACAGAGCGAGACCCCATCTCAAAAAAAAAAAAAAAAAAAAAAAAGCCAAGGGTTGAGGTCCGAACCGGATCCTTCCCTCACCCCACAGCCTCCAGAAGGAACCAAGCCTGCTGACACTTTGATTTCAAACTTCTAGCCTCCAGAATTGTGAGACAGTAAATTTCTGTTTGTTTGTTTGTTTTGAGACAGGGTATCATTCTGTCGCCCAGACTGGAGTGCAGTGGTGCGATCTTGGCTCACCACAACCTCCGCCTACCAGGCTCAAGTGATTCTCCTGCCTCAGCCTCCCAAGCAGCTGGGATTACAGGCGCACGCCGCTACGACCCGACTAATTTTTATATTTTTAGTAGAGACGGGGTTTCACCATGTTGGCCAGGCTGGTCTTGAACTCCTGACCTCAAATGATCCACCCACCTCAGCCTCCCAAAGTGCTGGGATTACAGGCATGAGCCACTTGCTCCTGGCCCCAAATTTCTGTTGTTGAAGCCACCCAGTTTGTGGCACTTTGTTACAGCAGCCCTAGTCAACTCATGCAACAGGTGCAGGGGTTCCTTCTGGAGCGATGGAAGTGTTTTTGGATAGAGGTGGTTTTGCACAACGTTGAGAATGCACTAGATGCCACTGATTGTTCCCTTTAACCTGGTTGATTTTATGTTATGTGAATTTCACCTCAATTTAAACAAAAGCACCGATCCTGCTTCAGAAGCAGACACCTCTAAACCAAAGTACTGCCCAGGACCTCGGTAAGGGGCTTGGCAGAAGAGCTATTTCCACCACTGGACCATCTTCAGGCACTCCAACCCACTCACGTATGAAAAACATATGGGATCAAGGTCAGTGCATGACACAGAAAAGCCATTAGCCAGACGCCAGTCAGCCCTGGCTGGGCTCAGCTCGAGTGCTTCCTGCTCAGTGGAGATGGGAATGGCCGAGGCAGCTGATTCACCAACAGCCGGTGGAGGGCTGGGCGGCCGGCCTCATTGATCATTCCAGTGGCTGCTGAATGAGCCGGCGCGGGGCAGACACTGGCATTAGCTCACTGAGACGGCGTCAGTGTGGGGGTGACCTGCAGACGCTGGGGGTGGCGGGACACTCGAGCCCAGACACCGAGATGGTCAAGGGCTCTGCAGCCGTCACTTCTTCCCCTCCTAAGGAAATCAGGCCCACTTTGCTGGTCGTGGCCATGGGAACTGGGCCATTCCAGGAGCAGTGGTTTTGTTGCTGTTTTTAAATCTCGTATTGACTCTCAGACACAAGCAGCAGTTTCTCGTTTGGGGGAGGGAGAAGAGACAGAGAGTCCTTGAACCACGTGTTTCAAAATCTCCAGAGACACTCCTAAAAATGCTGAATCTCAGGTTGTTCCAGACCTTCTCCATTCAGACTCTGGGGAGAAAAGAGTGGGAATCTTTCAGAAATGCACATAAATGCTGAGAACCGCTGCAGCAGAACGTGGTGAAGGCAGCCATCAGCACTTGCTCAGCTGTAAATGTTCTGTCTTTAGGACGCTTGTTTCTTTTTTCCTCCTTTATACTGATTTCTTACAAAGCTCCATCCCTAACTTAGTGAAAATACCATATCCCTGACCACCAGCTCCAAACAAACTTGTATGTTGAATAAAGGCCACAACATCCAAAGACATAGAAAGATTCTAAAGCCTCCAAAGCCTGAGAATTGATCGTAGAATTGATGATGATGATACAGCATCACTTTATTGATTGCCCATTAGTGCAAGGCACTGATTAAGTGCTTTATATTTCTTTTGCCTTTCTTTTAAAAGAGACAGGGTCTGGCTGGGCGCAGCGGCTCATGCCTGTAATTCCAGCACTTTGGGAGGCCGAGGCAGGCGGATCACCTGAGGTCAGGGGTTCAAGACCAGCCTGGCCAACATGGCAAAACCCCGTCTCTACTAAAAATACAAAAATTAGCCGGATGTGGTGGTGCACGCCTGTAATCCCAGCTAATCGGGAGGCAGAGACAGGAGAATCACTTGAACCCAGGAAGTGGAGGTTGCAGTGAGCCGACATCACGCCACTGCACTCCAGCCTGGGCTACAGAGGGAGCCTTTGTCTCAAAAAAACAAAAACAAAAACAAACTAAGTAAATAAAATAAATAATTTAAAAAATTAAAAGCAGCAGGGTCTTACTCTGTCACCCAGGCTAGAGTTCAGTGGCATGATCATGGCTCACCTCAGCCTCGACTTCCTGGGCTCAAGCAATCCTCCTGCCTCAGCCCCTTGAGTAGCTGGGACTACAGAAGTGTGCCACCACACCCAGTTAATTTTTATTTTTTTACTTTTGTACAGACATGGTCTCATTATGTTAGTCTCCAACTCCTGGCCTTAAGCAATTCTCCCACTTTGGCCTCCTAAAGTGCTGGGATTACAGGCGTGAGCCACTGCACCCAGCCTATATTCCTTTTTTTTGTTTTTGAGATGGAGTCTCGCTCTGTCTCCCAGGCTGGAGTGCAGTGGCGAGATATCAGCTCACTGCAACCTCCACCTCCTGGGTTTAAGAAATTCTCTGCTCAGCCTCCTCAGTAGCTGAGGTTACAGGCGCCCACCACCACACCCAGCTAATTTTTGTATTTTTAGTAGAGACGGGGTTTCGCCATGTTGGCCAGGCTGGTCTCGAACTCCTGACCTCATGATCCATCCGCCTCGGCCTCCCAAAGTGCTGGGATTACAGGCATGAGCCATTACACCCGGCCGCCTATGTTCATTCTAATCTCTCAATGATTCAGACAAGTGAGTATTGACAGACGAGGAAGCTGAGTTGCAGACAGGTTGAAGACTGTATGTTACAGAGTTTCTAGATGTCAGAATTGGGATTCTGACCCCCCACAGGCCTGTACTCATTCTAGTCCACACAACTTCAGCCCTTATTTCTTTACCAAGTTAAATGCTTTAAAAATCTAGGCCTCGTGATGATTTAAAAAGAGGGGAGGGAGGTGGCAGAAAGCTACTGCCTCTGACCTTTGCTATTGCAGAAGATGAGTAACAAAAATCTGATTGAAAGATCAAAGTTGTTTAATCTGTGCACATGTAAGGAATGGTGGAGCAATTATGCTCTAACTTTGTAAAATCTATTGTTATAATTCCAGAGTTTGGGTAATCATCATTACAGGCAATCATGACTAGAGACAGTTCCATGCTGCAGACTGAACCTCCGTGAGTTATCATCAGAACAGCTACTCCAAATAATTACCTCCATAGTCAAAAACATCATGGGATGCAGATCTTTCCCCACACACCACGCTGTACACTTGATAGAGCTGCAAAATTGGAGGCAAGGCAGAGTTGCATAATGTACTGAAGAAGCTCAGCAGTTTCACTAGTTTGAACTTTTGCAAACTCTTACATGGGGCACCATCCAGTCATTTAACTTTTTTTTTTTTTTTGAGATGGAGTCTCGCTCTCTGTCGCCCAGGTGGAGTGCAATGGTGCAATCTTGGCTCACTGCAACCTCTGCCCCCCAGGTTCAAGGAATTCTCCTGCCTCAGCCTCCCAAGTAGCTGGGATTACAGGCACACACCACCATGCCTGGCTAAGTTTTGTTATTTTTTTAGTAGAAACGGGGTTTCACCAGGTTGGCCAGGCTGATCTCGAACTCCTGACCTCAGGTGATCCTCCCGCCTCAGCCTCCCAAAGTGCTGGGATTATAGGCATGAGCCACCACACCCAGCCAAGTCATTTAATCTTGAACCTTGAATTAAAAAGGCAACCCCAAGCCAAAACTTCTGAGTACAGTAAGGGATTATCAAATGAGTGCCAACAATACCTTCAACATCATCCATGCCTGAAGAAATACTGGATCCAAAGTTCTAGGGTCAGCAGAGCTCTAAGCTATCACTGATTTTCACTTCACCCTTCCCCAACTGCTGCGTCCCAGAGTTTCTGCAAAGCCAGCCTCCATAACCCCCTACCCTAAAGCACCTAGTGGGGGTCATCTTCCTACCAACCAATCTCTATGCCCTCCCTTCCTGTCCTCTTTCTTTCCCTCCATTAGTCCCAATACCATTTCCAAACGTCACAATGTGAACAGCGGGAACCATGGCTTTGCAACGTAGATTCCCAAATTGGGTGGTGGTAATCCCCGCCTGGGGACCTCAAGGCCCCAGGTCAGGAAACAGAATTTATATTTACTTTGGCCTTTACCATCAAAATGGGCGGACGCCATATCACCTAACAAGCACAGAGAAACACCTGTCCCTCTGATTTCACGTGAAATCACATATTTACCCAGCTGTGAAACGTGTGTGATTCCTGCCTCACACTGGCTATGTTGGAAAAGCAGAGAGTGATATCATTTGGCTTTCTTGGGAGTTTCCTGCATTCTTCACATCACCATTAATGCTTTTGTTGAAGCCTTTCTTCCAGCTTTCTCCGCTGTTACCTCTGCTGGACCTCAAAGCACAGGGAAGCAATTGCTTCAGGAGGCACAAACCATCCACTGCAGAGAGCACCTGAAGGATAAATGACGCAGAACTCTGGCCCACCGTTGCTTCATGCCAAGTGGTGTCAAAATTCTAATTACACACAGGAAAGGAGATCCAGTGAGTCCAGATTTTGACAACCTCATCTCAGAAAGCTAGAGGTGAGAGCTGTCTCTTTTTCTGGTAATCCCACAGCACAGCTAAGGCCCTAGGACAAATGTTCTAGTCTAATGGTTGGCAAAGCATGCAGGCTGATGCCTGCTTTGTAAATAAAGTTTTATTGGAACACAGCGATGCTCATTCATTCTATGGCTGCTTTCATTTACAATGGCAGAGTTGAATACTTTGAGAGACTGTGTAACCCCCAAGGCTGAAAATATTTATTATCTGGCCCTTTATAGAAATAAGTTTGCAGACCGTTGTTCTATTCCACGGCTGGGTCCAGTCTGGGCCACCCTCAGCTGTTCATCTAGATCTGTTCTGCCCAGGACCAAAGCTATTTGCTATGTGTGGCCACTGAGCCTTTGAAGTGTGGCCCATGGAATAGAGGGATTGAATTTTAAATTTTCTTTCATTTTAATTCATTTAAATTTAAGACTGGTGCTTGATTCAGTTATTAGAAAACCTTCGGCCGGGCGCGGTGGCTCATGCCTGTAATCCCAGCACTTTGGGAGGCCGAGGCGGGTGGATCATGAGGTCAGGAGATCGAGACCATCCTGGCTAACAAGGTGAAACCCCGTCTCTACTAAAAATACAAAAAATTAGCCGGGCGCGGTGGCGGGCGCCTGTAGTCCCAGCTACTCGGGAGGCTGAGGCAGGAGAATGGCGTGAACCCGGGAAGCGGAGCTTGCAGTGAGCCGAGATTGCGCCACTGCAGTCCGCAGTCCGGCCTGGGCGACAGAGCGAGACTCCGTCTCAAAAAAAAAAAAAAAAAAAAAAAAAAAAAAAAGAAAACCTTCATATATGTTTGAAACACTTTGGGTATGTGAATCTACTTTTTCAACTGGGAATTTTATGAAATCTAAATAAAGATCAAGTACTGCCAATGAAAATTTAGCGTCTGACTTGGGAGTGCTGTTTAAGTCTAAAATGCACACTAGATTTGGAAGACTTACTACAAAAAAAAGCAAAATAGTTCATTAATAATTTTTATGTTGATTGAAATGATATTTTTGTATACTGGGTTAACTAAAATATATTTTTAAAATTAACTTCACTTGCCTTTTTTTTTCCTTTTCTTTCTTATTTTTTTAGAGACAGGGTCTCGCTCTGTCATCCAGGCTGGAGTGCAGAGGTATGACCGTAGCTCATTGCAGCCTTGACCCCCAGTGCTCAAGCGATCCTTCCACCTCAGCCTCTTGAGTCACTGGGACTACAGGCAGGCACCACCACGTCCAGCTAAGTTTTGTATTTTTTCTGTAGAGATGGTATCTTGCTATGTTGCCCAGGCTGGCCTCAAATTCCTAGCCTCAAGCCATCCTCCCGCCACAGCCTCACAAAGTTTTGGGATTATAGGTGTAAGCTACCATGAGCCAGCCTATGTGTTTCTTTCTACACACTTTTTAAAATGTGGCTATTAGAAAATTTAGGCTGGGCGCAGTGGCTCACGCCTGCAATCCCAGCACTTTGGGAGGCCGAGGAGGGTGGATCACGAGGTCAGGAGTTCAAGACTAGCCTGGCCAAGATGGTGAAACCCCATCTCTACTAAAAATACAAAAATTAGCCGGGCGTGGTGGCAGGCACCTGTAATCCCAGGTACTCAGGAGGCTGAGGCAGGAGAATCACTTGAACCCGGGAGGCGGAGGTTGCAGTGAGCAGAGATTGCACCACTGTGCTCCAGCCTGGTGACAGAGACTCTGTCTCAATTAAAAAAAAAAAAAAAAAAAAAAACGGTTTCCATGTATTTCTGAGCTGGTGAGGTGGAGCACTAGTAATTAGGGTTGCATTTGGAGAGGCCCTCCCTTCCTGAGGACTGGCTATTACCTGGGCCTCCAGAGACGTGATAATTGTTCACAGTGGGCTGTGATGGAAAGCACTGGGGTTTTAAAAATGAAAATGTGAAGCCAGCGTCCTGATTCTACCATTGACTAGCTTTGTAACCTTAGACGATTTACTTCTCTGAGCCACAGTTTATTATCATTAAAATGGAACTAATAGAATACCTCGCAAGACATGGTGAGAATCAAGTGAGAAAAAAAAAAAAACTTAAAAATTAAAATGCTTCATAAATTGTATAATAAACCTGTACACCAACTGCCCTCACCACTGCTCCTTCTAGTTGGCCACATGTCTGACTGTGACTTGCAGATCTGTTTCATTCATATCCCTGTTATGCTGCGGGTTCCAGAAAGTATAAGAGAATGAGGCATCTGCCATATACTTGTACAATGCCAAAACCAAAGGAAATCTGACCATCTGCTCAAAACTATCTTTTCCTTATGTAAAAATTTCATTAGACGGTAGTCAGATTGACTACTTCCCATAAGTATTATAAAAAGCTTGAGAATTTCCACTTAGACGAGGCAGCTAGAAGTGTCAAGTTCGTAGAGACAGAAAGTCGAATGGTAGCTGCCAGGGACTGGAAAGAGTGGGTAATGGAGTGTTTAGGGTACAGCGTTTCAGTTTAGGATGGTAAAAAAGCTTCTGGAGGTAGATGGTGATGATGGTTTTGCAACAATGTGAATGTACTGAATGTCACTGAAATATACACTTAAAATTGGTTACAGTGGGCCAGGCATGGTAGTCTATGCCTGTAATCCCAGTGCTTTGGGAGGCTGAGGTGGGAGGACAGCTTGAGCCCAAGAGTTGGTGACCACCCTGGACAACATAGGGAGATGGTGTCTCTACAAAAAACAAAAAAATAAAAACTCAGCTGGGCATGGTGGCACACGCCTGTAGTCCCAGCTACTCGGGAGGCTGAGGCGGGATGATCGCTTGAGCCCAGGAGGTCCAGGGTGCAATGCAGTGAGCTATGATCATACCACTGTGCTCCAGCCTGGGCAAGCAAGTGAGACCTCATTTTCCAAAAAAAAAAAAAAGATTAAAATGGTAAATTTTATGATATGTATATTTGATCACAATTAAAAAGGCTCAGAACTTGTCATTTTTCAGTGAGTATGGCTCATGCCTCAAGGAAACCATCTAACAATTACTTTATGATTATGAAAAAATTATTAAAGTTTATTATGAAATAATTTTTAAAATTATTTCTATTTGATGAACCTTTGGTTTAGAAGCTTCCTGAAAGGTATTGAGCCTAGAAGACGGGAGAAATATGAAAAGACTCCCCGGAGAAACAATGAATGTTACATGAGATTCCCTGATTCCTGCCATGCCAGGGGAGTTCTTTGTTTGCCGTGCCCTAAGCCTAGATGTCTTTTTTTTTTGGTGGTGGGGGATGGAGTTTCACTCTCTCTCCCAGGCTGGAATGCAGTGGTGTGATCTCGGCGCACTGCAATCTCCACCTCCTGGGTTCAAGCAATTCCTCTGCTTCAACCTCCTGAGTAGCTGGAATTACAAGCGTGTGCCACCACGCCCGGCTAATTTTTGTATTTTTAGTAGAGACAGGGTTTCACCATGTTGGCCAGGCTGGTCTTGAACTCCTGACCTCAGGTGATGCACCTGCCTCGGCCTTCCAAAGTACTGGGATTACAGGCATGAATCACCATGCCCAGCCCGAGAGGTCTTTAATATATGACCATTCTGGAGGATTCCTGTCGGTGATGCTCCCACACAACGAGGTACTGACTGCGTGCCCAATGTTGCAGACAAAGACCCGGCAGAAAGGAAAGAGTCATTAACTGAACCCAAATGAGTTCTGATCCGGTCTCAATGAGAACACATTCCTCAATGAACATGAATGTCACATGAACATCACATTCACAGTCGACCGTCTCCAGTTGCTCCTTATCCCGAAGTTCTGCCCGAGAGTAACTCTACAGTGAGACCAATTCCAATTGCTTTTTCCTTGGGAAAGCAGCGTGTATTTTTACCTCCAACAGCTGGATCTGATTTGGGTTCTGCCCAAGCTAAGAACATGACTGGCTAAGCCCCAGTCTTCCAGGCCCTGTGATTCAATGTGTAGATTTCTCCATGTAGACAGGAAGGTTAAAAAATAATAACAAAAAAAAAAGGTGTAAAGTTCTTGGGTGTTTTGTCAGATGTCTCTCAGCCTGGTCAATAAACCATGAAAACCAATATCCGATCCCACAAAGAAAATACAAACCTGCAGCTCATATTTCAGGATATCAGTGCATCATCACATATTTATCTTTTCTCTTGAGTTTTTATAAGCAGCCCTCGGAGGTGTCTTGTTTACGTAATACCTGTGTCATTATGCCAGGGTATGGGAATGAAAAAACTGATAAAAAGATTTAAGAAGCTGGGTTATCAACATTTAATTCAAAAAATCCCCCTTTTGTGACAAACTAATATAAACTGTATTGGACGCTGATGCTTAACCTGTCCTAAGTTCTGGACTGAACTGAATAGAAATAGAGCAACTGAAATCCAAGGGAAGGGCTCAGGCTATGCTTCCTGCTGGTACCAGCACAACCTCTATCCTGCTGTTGCTGCAAAACTGTGCAAATCGCCTCAAGGGTACTTGACCATGGAGGAGCATAATCTACTTGACTGAGTACAGGAGAGTAACAATAGTCTTCATAGTCTATGCAAGTAAGAGTGCATGTATATTTTTGCTGCTTCTTCCAACACTGACTCGCTTTTAGGGGTGATGTTCTAGCCCCGAGAATTCACTTGACTCATAAATTGAAAAGCCGAGATGATAACATGCAGCACTTACAGGTTACTTTATAAGCACTGGCTAAGGCAGTGGGTGTCATGTCCTTGTATTTATAAATGACAAGCTGAGCAAATTAGCCATTAGTGGGAGCCCATGAAGAATGATTAAGAGAGCAAAGACAGGAACTGCCAGAACTCAACTCGAAACCACAAGGGCAGTTGGCTCTAGAAGCAGAACATGGGATTTCTTCATACGTTGGCTGTGGGGACGGTCTCGGTTCTTAAGAGTCCTGTGCGCTCCCGTTCATCACTCAACATGCATTTCACGTGTATGCCAAGCCCTGTAGATGCTAGAGGCAGAGCTGCAAACAAGATACACTTGGTGTCTGGCAAAGAGGGGGATTTCTTGAGCGTTTCTGCCTTGAAGACAGAAGACTGAAGGAAACTGATGCATTCATCAGAGCTCTCAAACGATTTGCCAGGAAATGTGAAACCGATCGCAACTCAAGTTAATGGAGAGGTTTGCTGACAAGTCTGACCTTTAGTAAGCAATCAAGGCTCTTGTGTTTACTACAGAACATAAACCCACAGTCAATCACAAGACCAAAAAGAGGGAAAATCAAGATAGAGCTTTCCCAGGACACATATCCTGCGCCATCCGCTTGTGACCTCTTTGTCATCTCTGTAACCTTAGCCCCATAAACAGAGATGTTCGCAGCAGAGAGGTCCATCCACTACCAAGGTAGCAAGGCCTTTCCAGGATGAAAAGAACCGTTGTTTGTGAAGCCTAATGCACCCATCAACCCTTCATGAAATCCTTAATGAAAACGGCTGGTAGCATCAAGGGAAGCCGCAGTACCACTTAAAAGCAGAAATCTTTCAGGAATGACAGCAATTAGTTTCAGCATCTTTGAGACCTTCTGAGAACAGAGGGTAAAGGAAATGCAAAGAGAAGCACTTGCTGCTTCAGGTACAATTGAACAGCGGGAGTTCTTAATGTCTTGAAAGAGTTATTCAAGGCACTTCATGCCTAGACAAACAAGATCTCAGTGATATTTGAGGGTCACTGGACTCCTTTGCTTACCTAAATGCTGACTGGCTTGGCAAGTGGTTTTGGGGTTCTGGTAACTACCTAGCAAGGCTGGGAGAGGGTTATATATGTGGATTGTATATGTAGATTGAGACTTGGAAAGTTCCAGCATCTTTGCTCACCCTACTTAGGAGAAGCTCCAGGTTCCAGAGGCATGGATGGCACTTGTAGCCAGAGAGGGTGTATGGCTGGTTGCAGGGAGGCACCATTCATTCTTAGGCCATAGTTGGCCTAAGAGTGTTTCCTCCTTGGTAAAAAGAAGCAGATAGCAGATTGAGGAAAGCAAATGGGTGTCAACTCCTGCTCTCCTGAGGTCGTCAGTGAAGACAGGGAAAACAGTAAGTTTGGTATATTTCCAGAAATTGCTACATTTAAAAAAAATCTATCTTCTGCCTGGGCATGGTGTCTCACATCTGTAATCCCAGCACTTTGGGAGGCCAAGGCAAGAGGATTACTTGAGGTCAGGAGTTCGAGAACAGCCTGGCCAACATGGTGAAACCCCATCTCTACTAAAAATACAAAAATTAGCCAGGTGTGGTGGTGCACGCCTGTAGTCCCAGCTACTTGGGAGGCTGAAGGAGGAGAATTGCTTGAACCCAGGAGGCGGAAGTTGCAGCGAGCTGAGATCGTGCCACTGCACTCCAGCCTGGGAAACAGAGCAAGACATCATCTCAAAAAAAAAAAAAAAAAAAAAAACAGAATGCTGCTGTGAACATGAGTATACAAGAATCTGAGTCTCTGCTTTTAATTACTTTGAGTACAGACCTAGAAGTGGAATTGCTCAATCATTTGGTAATTCTATGTTGAACTTTTTGAGTAACCACCAAACTGTTTTCCACAGTTTTACATCCCTACCAGCAATGCAGGAGGGCTCTGATTTCTCCACATCTCCACCAACACTTGTTTTACATTTAAAAATACTTTTAGGGAAAGGGTCTTGCTCTGTCACCCAGGCTACAGTGCAGTGGTGTGAAATAGCTCACTGCAGCCTCAAACTCCTGGGCTCAAGTGATCCTCCCACTTCAGCATCTGGAGTAGCCGGGACTACAGGCACACGGCACTATGCCTGGGTAATTTAAAAAATTGTAGAGATGGGTCTTGCAATGTTGCCCAGGCTAGTCTCAACTGATCCTCCTGCCTCAGCCTCCCAAAGTATTGGGATTACAGGTGTGAGCCACCATGGCTGGCCCATCATTTTCCTTTTTTTGTTTGTTTGTTTGTTTTTTTGATAACCACCATCCTAACAGGTGTGACATGATTACAGGATGTTTTAAAGTCAACTGTAGGTTCTCTCTTGGATCACTTATTCTTGCAAAGCCTATTTTAGGTGGAGCTTGGGTATTTCACATCCTTCTTCCAAATAAGTACTGAAACAGCCCTGGTAGAGATTTCAACCCCATTATTTATTTAAACCAGAAGAGTCAATCAGTAGGGTCCTGATTAAACACTGATAAACTAAGATGGTTAATTCTTAGGGGGCTGGAAGGCATCCCCTGGAAATATTCTGTTTGCAAACATAAGTTTAATTCAGTAAATCTCTTTAATGTCAAAAAGGTCCAGACACCTTTACAAACAGTTAAATCACTCTTTGTAAGGGCACCACAAAGAGGTAGCTATGAATTAGTACCTTAGGGAACCCAGGAGTGGTGGTAGGCATGACCTGAAACAGCACTTCTATTTGTTATAGAAGCTGTTTTCAGTATTATTTTGATGGCCCATCCAGGAATGTAGCAAATTACAGAATCACAACATAGAAGGCAGCCGAGTCCTACAGCGTTTACTTACGAATTGCATGTATATAATTTATATTCAACAATTTGGGGTGAAAAAGCCATTCTTGACCATTTGCATTTTTCATGTTTTCCTTGCAGATCAAGTCACTTTTTATTCTATTTTAGGTGACAGCTACGCTGGAAAAAGTAATCTTAAAGATGACTTTAAGCTCTGTAGTTGAGCATATAGATGTTTCCCATACTTTTTTAAAAAAAATATGCAATTCGGTGGCTTTTAGTATATTTGCAAGGTTGTGAAATCATCACCGCTATCCAATTCCACATTTTCATCATCTCCAAAAGAAACTCCATACCCACTAATAGTCATCCCTGATTCTCTTCTCCTCCCAGTCCCAGCAACCACTAAGTTACCTTCTGTTTCTATGGATGTGGCCATTCTGAACATTCATATCAATGGAATCATACAATACATGGCCTTTTGTCACTGACTCCTTTCATTTAACATGTTTTTAAGATTCATTCATGTTTAGCATGCATCAGTACTTCCTTTTTATTACTGAATAATATTCCATTGTATGGATATACCACATTTTGTTTATCCCTTCATCAGTTGATGGACATTTGGGTGGTTTCCACCTTGTGGCTATTATGAATAATGCTGCTATGAGTATTTGTGGGTGAGTCTTTTGAGGACGTATGTTTTCATTTCCCTTGGATATGGAATTACTGGGTCACATGGTAACAACATGTTTGACCATTTGAGGAACTGTCAGACTTTCCTCCATAGCAGCTGCAACATCTCATATTTTCTTTTGATAGTTTTAAGTTATGTACAGCAACAAGAAAGCCATAAGCAATAAGAAAGCAACAAGAAAGCCATAAGCAATAAGAAAGCAATAAGTGACTTCAAGAGTAAGCTAAAGGACAAGTGTGGTTGTCCAAGTCACTGTTTTATGTACTTGGCCACATCATCCATTGAACAACGATCGCAGGCAGCTCTCCAGCCACATGGCATCTTTTCATTATGCCTCAAGGACAATGAAGAGCTGAACTTCACATTACAATCAGAGTGAGAAGCTAAGACATCGTGTCCAAATGTGCTAATTACACAGCATTGACAGAAAGGGTGCAAGGGGTAGGAACAGAGCAGCATGGGGTACTGTTGTTGGTGGGGGGTGCCACATGGAAAATTAGGCTTGATCTGTGCATGAATAGAAACTAGCATGGCTGGGCGTGGTGGCTTATGCCTGTAATCTCAGCGCTTTGGCAGACAGATCACCTGAGGTCAGGAGTTTGAGACCAGCCTGGCCAACATGGCAAAAACCCCATCTCTACTAAAAATACAAAAATTAACCAGGCGTGGTGGCGGGCGCCTGTAATCTCAGCTACTTGGGAGGCTGAGGCGGGAGAATCGCTTGAACCTGGGAGGTGATTGCAGTGAAGATGGCGCTACTGCACTCCAGCCTGGGCGACTGAGCTAGACTCCATCTCAAAAAAGAAACTAGCATGGCAAGAAAGAACGGGGAGGTCACTGCCTGCAAGCAAGCTCTGGAAATCTACTTGCTCACAGCAAAACTTCACTACCTCACTAGGACCCCTGCAGATGCATGACAGAGTCATCTTAAAAGCTGCCATACAGAGCCCTGGCTTCTATAGGTTCAGCACAGTTCTAAAATATTTATACTATTTAATCCTCACAACAACACAATGAGGAAGGTAGCGTTTTAAATCCCTATTTGACAAATGAGGAAACTGATACACAGAGGTTAAGTCACTTGCCCAATGTCACCCAGGTAGTAAGTAGTAGAGCTGGGACTTGAACCCAGCCCGTCTAGCTGCAGCATGCACTCAGGCATTAATCTCCTTGGCCACTTGTTTGACATGCAGATAAAAAGGCTAGGTGGATGAAAATGTCACAGTTAAGTTTAGTGACTGCTCACTCCTGCATGTTGCTGACAGTTTCAGGTTGATGGTAAGAAGAGTTCTTTTTTACCAAAGAGATGAGAGAGCAGAGCCAAGGAGAGCAAAGAGAGGAGAGGTCACAGGGGAAGTAACCCAGGGGTACAAAATCAGAAGCCAAGAGCCTGAGATCCTCAATCCTGCTCCTAGAAGGTCTTCCTCCTACATAAATTCCTGCACACAACCATGAAAGGAAGCACAGCCGCCCATCAAAGTCCTTGAGACTTGAAAGTAAAAATTACAATTAATTAGTCCACCTAATTTGGACTCACAAAATGCGTGGGTGGGAGAGATTCCTGCAGCTGACAGCTGATGTGACAGTTATTTCATGAAAAGGAAAGCAGAACGTCCCTGCCTTTGGATTTGAATGTTTCCAAATGTGATTCCAAGCCCTCGCCTGAAACAATACTCAGGACAAGTGCTGAATATAGATATTCTGTGGGAGAAAAATCCCTTCCGCTTGCCCAGTCAACCTCAAGTGTAGGAAAATGAGCCGGAATATCCACTTCTCTTCATCCTCCTTCAGAGTTCGTCCAGTAAAGGCAGCCGGCTCCACGCCCAGCCCACACTCTCTTATCAGTTGGAAATTAGATTCCTAATGGCATTTGGGGAGGCAGGAATCGCATATTCATAGTCTTCATTAAGCCATTCCAGTTATCTGAATCTAAGTGTTTTGTGATCCACTGAAGTGATATATACTACTTCTTTTGCTCACTCTACCAGGAGAAATGTACAATCTAAGTTCCTGTCTATATCCTAATGATATACATTCAGGACTGTCCACAAGGCAGACCACAAACTCCTCTGTGGGAAGAGAACAAGGGAGAGGCTCCAGAAACGAATCAGCACATCTTCTTCCCTGTTCTCCTTCTATTGGGCATGCCTTCCTCCCCATTCCCAGAGGAAGACGTTTCCAGAACTGCTGACAACCCCTAGAGGAAGAAGGCCTTGCTTCCTTTCTCCTCTTGGGCAGATGGTATTTGCATACTGACATATTGTAAATCTAGTCACCCAGGTAACAGGGCTCCAGTTAGCAACAGCGGAATGAAGGTCAGCCTGGTTCCTTCTAAAATTAGAAATCAGACAAATCTGATTTTTAACCATTCAAGGTAGGATGCCCGGTTAGATGGCAAATTCAATTCTTACAATGAGTTTTCAGTTGGGAGACTGAGCACTAGTTAATAAAGGCAACGTGGGGCATTTCAACATGATCATAACATAGGTTTTGAAGTGTTGAAGTTTTAGCTCCATGATTTTCTTTCTGTAAATAATCCTAACTATGACTCCAGTGTCTGTTGGCAGAGTTATCTTTGACTGGGGCATCTCCCTTGACTTTTTTTCTTTTTTAATTGAGCTGAGTCTTGCTCTGTCACCCAGGCTGGAGTGCAGTGGCACAATCTCGACTCACTGCAACCTCCACTTCCCAGGTTCAAGCGATTCTCGTGCCTCAGCCACCAGAGTAGCTGGGACTACAGGCACATGCCACCATGCTGGGCTATTTTTTGTATTTTTTAGTAGAGATGGGGTTTCACCATGTTGGCCAGGCTGGTCTTGAACTCCGGACCTCGGGTGATCTGTCTGCCTCAGCCTCCCAAAGTGCTGGGATTACAGGCATAAGCCACCGCACCCGGCTTCCCTTGACTTTCACAGTTGATCAGTTATCAAGAACCGTGAATTTGGCCAGGCATGATGGCTCACGCCTGTAACAGCACTTTGGGAGGCCGAGGCAGGCGGATCACCTGAGGTCAGGGGTTCAAGACCAGCCTGGCCAACATGGTAAAACCCCATCTCTACTAAAAAATACAAAAATTAGCTGGGCGTGCTGGTGGGTGCCGGTAATCTCAGCTACTCGGAGGTTGAGGCTGGAAGAACTGCTTGAACCCGGGAGGCAGAGTTTGCAGTGAACCAAGATCACACCACTGCAATCCAGCCTCGAAGACAGAGCGAGACTCCATCTCAAAACAAAAACAAAAACAAAAACAAAAAACCCGTGAATTCTACACCAAGTAGTCCAAGTATTTGAGGTCTTCCACAGTTGGTGTCCCCCTCCCCACACAGTCTCTCCCTCACAGTCAACTGCCCGGCAGTGAACAAGCTCCGTATCTTCTACCCTCTTCTATCTCGACCTACACAGATACTCCCACTACCTGGGATTTTTTTTTTTCCCTTCTTTGCTTTCCCTGATCATGGAGGCGGGTCTTCGGTGGGCTTCGAAGAGCACAGAATTGTGCACAATCCCCTCCGACCATCCATTTCTCAAAAGGCCTATGTTCCAAAGAGGTTAAGAGACACTATCTAATTACAAATGGTATCTACACCAGAATTTCCCATAACGATTTTAAAGAATGATAGATCCATAGGATGCTAAGCAGTGGGAGGAAAAGAGCTTCACAGTTAAATGAATGTGGGTGACATTAGGTCAAAGAGAATTCAACAAGTTTTTCCTGCAAGCCTTCTTGGTCTTTGCTGTACTGACACACACGTGACCACTCATTGATTGCACTGGGAAGCCCCCTTCCAGCCGTCTCTTCTTCCTATGCCCTTAGTGACTCCTAGAACACATTAAGTGCAAAGTGAGCTTTACTCCCACTTGGCAACTACCAAGTCATGCACTGCTTTGTGATAATTCTTCTGTGACTGTTTTTACTTATTTATTTTTTACTATATATATATATATATATATATACACACACACACATATAGTAAAAATATAGTATATGTATATATACATATATGTATATACATATATATACACACATATGTAGATGTAGATATAGATATAGATATAGATATAGATATAGATATAGATATAGATATAGATACAGACTCTTCCTGTGTCACCCAGGCTGGAGTGCAGTGGTGGGATCTCAGCTCGCTTTTGCCTCCTGGGTTCAAGCTACTCTCTTGCCTTAGCCTCCCGAGTAGCTGGGATTACAGTCGCCCGCCGCCATGCCTGGCTAATTTTTGTATTTTTAGTAGAGATGGGGTTTCGCCTTGTTGACCAGGCTGGTCTCCAACTCCTGACCTCAGATGATCCATCTGCCTCGGCCTCCCTAAGTGCTGGGATTATAGGCGTGAGCCACTGTGCCCAGCCTTACTATATATTTTTAATAATTATTATATGATTTCTATATGATTGTGTGCATCCCATTATGTTGTGTTTATTTTATATCTGTCTCCCCTACTAGACTGGAAGCCACTTAAGTGTGGGGTACACAACTTGACTTTATCTTTTCAGATACTGCCAAGCTGGCTGGAGCTTAGATAACTCCGGATATATTGAATAACTCAATGAATGAGTGATCGAGCTTATCTCCCCAACTAAGATATGAACTACATTTTAAATATTTTTTGTATTCTCATGGCACCTAGAACGCAGCTTTTCTTATGGTAAAAAAAAAAAGTCAATAAAATTCTCAAAAATTAAATGTATTGGAAAATATTGAGTGAACACCATTATATCCTGGACACCAAAGATGTGAGGATGGATAATACGGTCCTTGTGATCAAGGAGTTTAGAGTCTAATAAGAGAAATCGATATATAAACAAAAAATGATAATAAAATATAAATACTCTAAAAGCAAGTTCAGGGTACCTGAGAACACAGGATAGAGCCTAACAGTTCTGATCTTCCGGCTCCAAGTCCAGCTGTTTTTTTTTTTTTTTTTTTTTTTGAGACACAGTCTCACTCTGTCGCCCAGGCTAGAGTGCAGTGGCACGATCTCGGCTCACTGCAACCTCCGCCTCCCAGGTTCAAGCGATTCTCCTGCCTCAGCCTCCCGAGTAGCTGGGATTACAGGCACCCATCATCACGCCTGACTAATTTTTTTGTATTTTAGTAGAGACGGGGTTTCACCCTGTTTGATCAGGCTGGCCTCAAACTCCTGACCTCAAATGATCCGCCCGCCTGGGCCTCCCAAAGTGCTGGGATTACAGGCGTGAGCCACTGCACCCGGCCCCCAAATCCGGTTTTCATTTGAAGAAACTGGGACCTAGAGAGGTCTAAGGTCACATACTAGTGGAGTAGTTGGGAGTCAACGTGGATCTTTCTCACCCCAAGTTCTGAGCTGGACATCACTCTCTAGCCTTGGGGCAGGGAAGGGCAGGTCTGAAGAGAAGGAATAGATTTTCCATCCTGGCAGGCAGAGAACAGCAATGCGAAATTCAAGTGCATCATCAGCAGGAGACCAGGCAGAAATTTAGAGAAGAAATACAAATGGCCAATTAACATATGAAAATGTTCAACCTCAAGTAATCAGTATCACCCTAGAGTTTTGCAATGGGAAGACCTGCAAAACAAATGTTTAAAATGTAAACTAAAACATTTCCCATCTATCAAAGTATTAAAAATTTAAAAAGCTAGCCAGGCTGGGTGCAATGGCTCATGCCTGTAATCCCAGCACTTTGGGAGGCTGAGGTGGGTGGATCATCTGAGGTCAGGAGTTCGAGACCAGCTTGGCCAACATGCTGAAACCTCATCTCTACTAAAAATACAAAAATTAGCTGGGCGTGGTGGTGAGTGCCTGTAATCCCAGCTACTCGGGAGGCTGAAGCAGGAGAATCACTTGAACTCAGGAGGCAGAGGTTGCAGTGAGCTGAGATCGCACCACTGCACTCCAGCCTGAGTGACAGAGTAAGACTCTGTCTCAAAAAGAAAAAGAACAGCTAGCCAGTATTGACGAGGTGAAGGGAACCGACCTCGGTCCACAATGTGGTGGAAGAACAAAATGGTTAAGTCCTTTAGGAAGATGATTTGGCAACGTCTATTAAAATTAAAGATGTTCTTACCATTTTACCTAGCTACTCTACCTAGGAATTTATCCTAGAGAAACCCTTTTGCAATTGTGCAAAGATTTATGTGCTTAAGATTATTCATGTCTACATTATATGCAATAACAAAGCTGGAAAAACTCCAGTTGTCCATCAATGGGATCCGTTAGATAAATCATGGTACATCCAAACAATGAAATACAATACAGCTATTAAATCATGAAATAGAGCTCTCCTTGCCAAGATGGAAAGATGCCCCAGTTGCATAATTATGTGGGGGAAGGAAAGTAAGCTGCAAAACAGTAGGTATAGCAGGAGTTTTGCTAAAATGCAAACGCGTGTACTCATATATGAATAGAAAAAGAAAAATCTAAAAAAATATATTGTCCATTGTTAATGGCAATTACCTAAGAGATAATTGTGGGAAAGATACTTCTATGAGGTTTGAAGTTTTTATAAGGAACATGTACTTTTCAAGTAGAAGAAACAATACGCTGGCATGGAAAAGGGGGCCTAATGCTGAAATTTCAAGGCAGCATTCCAATCCCTGAGTAGTGGGGAAGAGAGAATGAGGATGGGACCCGGGAGTCTTTATCCACAAGGGCGGTAACAGAGGTTGCTCTACTAAAAATACAAAAATTAGCTGGGCATGGTGGTGAGTGCCTGTAATCCCAGCTACTAGGGAGGCTGAGGCAGGAGAATCACTTGAACCCCGGAGGCAGAGATTGCAGTGAGCTGAGATCGCACCACTGCACTCCAGCCTGAGTGATAGAGCAAGACTCTGTCTCAAAAAGAAAAAAAATGGCCAGGCGCGGTGGCTCACGCCTGTAATCCCAGCACTTTGGGAGGCCGAGGCGGTCAAGGGCGCCCTCTTGAGTAGTGAAGGGCTTGAGGCATTAGAGAGGCTTCTGAAGAAGGAACTGAGAAAGGCAACCAAAGCAAAAGCCAGCCCAGGGGTCTAAAGAGGGGCAGGAATGCTGTTAGGAATGGGGGTCTTGGAGAGAAGGAAAGGGGTGCGCACATCAGCTCTGGACGCAGGGATTAGTGACAAGGCAGGTTCGGGGTGTCCTGAAAGTGGGCCACATGGTGGCCAAAGAAGCCAGAGGGGGCTCTGATTCCCAGATCTGCAGACAGAGTGAAAGACAGTGAAGCCACTGTGTGGGCTGAGTCTCTTAAGCAACTCCTGCTTTAGACCCAGATTAGTCTAGGACCTGGGGCAGAGGAAGGAAGGACAAATGTGTTGCCCAAGGCTGTCTATTTCACTTTCCCTTTACTCACCCAATGCCCTGTGCTCAGCTTCAAGTGTTTCAGCACTTAGAGATCTAAGATACTGACTGGAAGCCTCCCAATAGGAGGAACCTCCTATCTTTCCAAAATAATTCCCAAACCTCTGCATAAAGGCAGCAGATTGTGTACTTAAGACTCATTGAAGTCAATTGGTCTCCGATTTGAGCCGGCTGTGTTCTAGACGTTTCTTTTCAGGCTAAAGTGTTTCAAAGCTCCAAATCCATTCATAGAAATGACGTCATTAGGCTTGCTCAGAGAAGACGAATTGACCCAAAATTCCCCCAAATAAAAACTCAGCCACCATTTCTAATAATATTTCTCTGAGTTAATACACTCAGGAAGTTGATTCTTCCTCCCCACCCCCAAGTATGTGGGAATGTTCCCCAAAGTGTGTTTTTCTAACATGGAAAGGATGTGATATATGTCACACTTTAAAGCATTTTTTTCTTCTGATCAGAGGGGACCACAGTCAAATAAGTCTGAGGAAAAACTAAGTCAAACCCGGTTGAACACGTTTTATTTATTTATTTATTTATTTATTTATTTATTTATTTATTTTTAATTCAATTTAATTTAATTTAGAGATGGAGCCTCACTCTGTTGCCCAGGCTGGAGTGTGGTGGTGCAATCTCGGCTCACTGCAACCTCCACCTCCTGGGTTCAAGCGATTCTTCTGCCTCAGCCTCCCAAGTGGCTGGGATTACAGGCGTGCACCACCACACCCAGCTATTTATTTTATTTTATTTTTAGTAGAGATGGGGTTTCACCATATTGGCCAGGCTAGTCTTGAACTCCTGACCTCGTGATCCGCCCGCCTTGGCCTTCCAAAGTACTCACAGGCATGAGCCACCACGCCCGGCCTATTTTATTTATTTATTTATTTTGAGACGGAATCTCACTCTGTCTCCCAGGCTGGAGTGCAGTGGCGTGATCTTGGCTCACTGCAACCTCCATCTCCCCAGTTCAAGTGATTCTCCTGCCTCAGGCTCCTGAGTAGCTGGGATTACAGGCGTGCACCACCACACCCGGTTAATTTTTGTATTTTTAGTAGAGACGGAGTTTCACCATGTTGGTCAGGCTGGTCTCGAACTCCTGACCTCATGTGATCCACCCGCCTTGGCCTCCCAAAGTGCTGGGATTACAGACGTGAGCCACCAAGCCCGGCCTGTTTTTATTTTTAAATTATGGTAAAACATACATAACATGAAATTTACCATTTTAACCATTTTTAAGTATTCAGTTTGGTGCATTAAGTACAACCACAATGTTGTGCAGCCATCACTAGAACGTTCCGTCACCACAAACTGAAACTCTACACTCTTTAAACAACAGCTCCCCGTTTCCCTCCCCTCTGGCCCCTGGCAACCACCATTCTACCTTCTGACTCTATGAATTTGCCTCTTGAAGGTACCTCAGCTAAGTATTTGTCTTTTTGTCAGAGGCATTTGAACCAGAGCAACTCCATCTTGAATAGGGGCTGAGTAAAATGAGGCTGAGATCTACTGGGCTGCATTCCCAGAGAGTTAAGGCATTCTAAGTCACAGGATGAGACAGAAGGTCGGCGTGAGATACAGGTCATAAAAAAACAGGTTTGCAGTAGAGAACCCAGGTAAAACCCACCAAAACCAAGATGGCGACAGGAGTGACCTCTGGTCGTCCTCACTGCTACACTCCCACCAGAGCCACGACAGTTTACAAATGCCATGGCAACATCAGGAAGTTACCCTATATGGTGTAAAAGAGTAGGCATGAATAACCCACCCCTTGTTTAGCACATCATTAAGAAATAACCGTAAAACTGGGCAACCAGCAGCCCTCCAGGCTGCTCTGTTTATGGAGTAGCCATTCTTTTATTCTCTACTTTCTTAATAAACTTGCTTTCACTTTGTAGACTCGACCTGAATTCTTTCTTCCTTGAGATCCAAGAACCCTCTCTTGGGGTCTGGATCAGGGCCCCTTTCTGGTAACAGCTTTGCAAATTTCATGAGGACATTCAATTTTCTGGCTGCGTAACTGGTAGGATGGGAGAACGGAGATTACTCTTGGGAATTAAATATAGAAGGAGGAGGAGCAGGCTTTGGAAAAAATAACTTCCTGTGAGGTTAAGGATTCCGGGGACAACTAGGTGGCCTGGACATGTTTAAACACATCCTGGTTTGCAGCCCAGGAAAGCGATCCAGGTTGCAGCTCAGGGTCAGAAGACCACAGCACTCAGATGGTCAGTGAAGCCATGGAGCGATGGGCACTAAACAGTACCCAGGAGCAACAACAGTGAAGGGGTAGGGGAAGGAAGAAAAACCCAGGAAGGACACTGAGAAGGACCAGTAAGAGAAAGAACAAACCAGGAGCACACCTCCTAAATGCTCTCCTGCCCCTGGTCTCCCAGCCTTCAATAACACAGTTCTACTCTTTTTTTTTTTTTTTTTTTTTTTTTGAGACCAAGTCTTGCCCTGTCACCCAGGCTGGAGTGCAGCAGTACGATCCCAGCGCACTGAAACCTCCATCTCCTGGTTCAGGTGATTCCCCTGCCTCAGCCTCCCGAGTAGCTGGGATTATAAATGCATGCCACCACGCCTGGCTAATTTTTGTATTTTTAGTGGAGATGGGGTTTCACCATGTTGACCAGGCTGGTCTCGAACTTGTGACCTAAAGTGATCCGCCTACCTCTACCTCCCAAAGTGCTAGGATTACAGGTGTGAGCCACCATGCGTGCCCAGACAGATCTAAATCTCACTGCAAATCTGAAACCTTTAATGATTTTCTCCAACGTACACAGCAACATCTGAACTCCTCTCCCAAGTTTTTGCAGCTCTCGGACTCGGCCTTGACTCATACCCACCCTAGTCTCAGCATCATCCACCCCGGTTACTGACTGCTTGCCTGCTCTGTTCTGCACACATTCTCAGCGTGGCTTCTCTGCTCAGTGACTCAGTCATTCTTTCTATGTATTCATCTATGAATATTTTACTCTTCCATCAAGGCCCTGCCTCTATCCCACCTTTTCTAAGAGGTCACAGTGACTCGTTGAAGTGGGATGAATGTGTCCATTCCTGGCAATCCTAACGAGTGGGTCTATGTCATTACAAGAAACCACCACCACCACCATACTATCAACTGATTATAGCATCGATTTGTTTTCATTCTAGAAAAATTAGAATAAGGAAACTTTTTTAAAAAAACAAATCCAGAAATAGACAATGTTAACATTTGGGTACATATTCTTCCTAGTTTTGAATTCTGGTTTTGAATTTTTTTTAGATACGATGAAAATTATACTGAATATATTACTTTGAAATGTGCTTTTTCTAACTGAATATATTATCAGCATTTCCCATATCTTTAAATATTCTTCAAAAATTATCAATGGTTGCATAAAATCTCTCCTAGTATAGGTGTAATTTAATCGATTTCCAATTATTGAATGAGAATTTAAGAAATTTTCTTGTTTACCCGCAGTACATCGCGTATAGTAAGTACTGAAAAGTCATTTGAATTGGGGTTTTATTATTAGTATAATAAAATAAAAATAGGCAAATCCTGTCCTGAATTTACATGATCATTCAGATAGCAAATACATTATTTAAACAGAAAAAAATTGTTTTCAGCTTGTGTAATATAAATTTGTAAATTTGTGTCAATTAAAAGTCAGTTACACCTGAAAAAACTACTGCTTTCCCCACCCCATGAGGGCCATTCCTTCTCCCAAAGACTGAAATTCATGATTAGGGCAGTGATTTGAAAAACAAAGCAAAACTAAACTAAACTAAAAACAATATCTTAAATCTAAAGGGAGATTGTATATTCAGGAACATTAGTATCATCTAATCTGAAAATGTGTGTAAAATCTTACTTCACCTTTTCTTCATTTCCTTTTCTTCAGCAGTGTCTCTTCACATTAAAATATATTGAAATTTTTTCAGTAGGTAAAAGCCAGTTACAAATATGATTTATATGCTTGCCCATAGTAAAGTGACTTTTCAGTAGCCCTAGGTAATATCTCGCCAGCCCAAGCATGATGATTTGAGGGAGGAGGGAGAGAAAAGGGAAAGGGACTGAGTGGGACTAAGGCTTGCCCAGTGCCCAGGAGGGCAGGAAAGGGTGGAGTAACAATGGAGGATCAACAACTGGACAAAAGGCACGTCTCACAAGGCTTGATAGCAGGCTCCAGTGCAATCCAGGTAGAGGGGGAGGCCAAAAATACGAAGAAACACCATCAAAAGAATTGCGAGGGAAAAGAGAGTTACTCCAAAATTTTACATATGGCCAATCTGTCATCTGTGTGCAAGCGTAACACATGCAAAGGCTAGGAAACACTCCCTACAGGTGTTCTCAAAAACAACTTGGGCTGGGCGCGGTGGCTCACGTCTGTAATCCCAACACTTTGGGAGGCCAAGGTGGGTGGATCATGAGGTCAGGAGATCGAGACCAGCCTGGCTAACACGGTAAAACCCCATCTCTACTAAAAAAAAGACCCAACTATATGCTGTCTATAGGAGATAGTTTAGATCCAAAGTTACAAATAGACTGGAATTAAAGGACAGGAAAAATATGTCATGTAAACAGTAAACCATAAGAAAGCTGGAGTGGCTGTACTAATATCAGACAAAGTAGACTTTAAAACAAAAAATGGTACCAGAGATAAAGTGGGACATTTTATAATGATCAAAGGGTAATTCCTTAGGAAGATACAATGATAAACAGGTATGTGCCTAACAGAGCCCTGAAATACATAAAGCAAAAATTGACAGAATTGGTAAGAGAAATGCACAATTAAACTAAACTATCACAACTATAGTTGGAGACCTTAGTGCCCCACTTTGAATAATGGATAGAACAACTAGGCAGAAGATCAACATGGAAACAGAAGACTTGAACATTATAAGCCAATTAGACCTAAAAAATCAACAGAACACATCACTCAACACAGCAGAATACACTCTCTTTTCAGTGCATGTGGAAGTCTCCAGGATAGACCGTATACTAGACCATAAAACAAACTTCAGTAAATTTAAAAGGACTGAACTCATACAAGGCAAGTTCTCCGACAACAATGGAATAGAATTAGAAATTCAGGCAATTTATAAATATGTGGAAATTAAACAACACACACAAATAACCAATGGGTTTAAGAGGAAATCACAAGGGAGAGTAGAAAATAATTTGAGATGATTAGAAATGAAGATACAACATACCAAAACTTAAGTGACACAGCTAAGGCTGTGCTACCTAAAGAGAAGTGTATAGCTGTAAATGCATATATTAAAAAAGAAAAAGATTTCGCATCAATAACTTAACCTTCCACCTGAAGACAGCGGAACAAAAAAAGCAAGTCAAACCTAAATTAATTAATTAACCTAAATTAATTAACTAATGAACTAGAGAATAGAAAAATAACAGAGAAACTGAACAAAACCAAAAGTTGGCTCTTTGAAAGGATCAACAAAATTGACAAAACTTTAGCTAAACTGGCCAAACAAAAAAGAAAGAAGACTGACTGAATTCCCCTGATATTGAAAAATATCGTAAGCATTGCTTTGTCAAAACGTTTCCCAGGTCTTCCCTTTGCTCCAGGAAGGTACGGGTTCTAGAGAGACTTTAGCCATTCCTGTGTACCTTTTCACAGCAGAAGGTTGAAAACTTGTTCTTCAATAGTTTTACACATGTGGTGGCTACTAGTTCCTGGAATAGCAAAGCAATTGCTACCTCCATGCCTTTTCAGTTGCTTTAGATAAGACCTGTTTTGCACCTGAGAAAACAGAAAGATCAGAGCAGCTTTTTTGTGTGTTTTGTTTACACAGTGTTGTTGTATTTTCATTTGCTCTAGACTTCAAGGCAGATGCAAAAGAAAATGAAAAACAACTTAGGTTCAGTAGAGTGGTCAAGTGATCCTACTCCTTTGGGGAAGGATATGCCACAGACTCCTGGAAGGCTGGAGATGTTGGGGCTCAGAAAGCAATACCCCAAAATAGGGTGCTTTGACATGCTGAAGTGAGGCAGAAGCCTCAGGGTCTCTCTGACCTTCCTCCACACCCCTCATTTCTCTGTCTCTCCCAAAGCACAGAATCAAGTTGTTCTCTGGAGTTCCTTCTATCTGCCAGCCCCCAAACTTTTAATGTGGAAGTTACAAGAGGGTAACTTCCAAAGGGTAACATCCAAAAGGTTGCAAAATAAGGGAATAGAACAAAAAAAGAGGAAGACAGAAATGCCAAAGAAGGAAACAATCACTTCTGGTCACTCCCCTGTGTTTTCATTAACTGAACTCATATCGCGTAAAGAAAGCCTGAATTCAGTCAACACACCTGGACAGAATTTTGTCACAAACCATTGTCTGCCCAACAGACTTTGTCCCAATCCATTGTATGTTCTTCAGGCCCATCAAATTCCCTAAAAATCATCTACTACCTCCCTAAAATCATCCACACTTCCCCTCTCCCTTTCCTCTAAAAAATAAGATATATAAACATCTGTACCCCATTAGGATACTGGGTAATCGCTTTGTGATTTTCCTCCCATGCACGCTAATCATTTGTATGGCTTTTCCCCTATTAATTTGCCTTTGTTTCAAGAAACAAAGGGTAAGTTTTCCCTTGTCCCCTACAGAGAAAATACAAGGGCTGCAGAGAAGTTACTCAGAGTGTGACATGGTACCTGGGCAACAAACAATGCCCCCTCCCTCCCCGTCAAGATGGAACCAGGCCACTGGATTCTATTGCCAGCTCTGTGACCCAGAGTGAGTCACCTTACCTTTTAAGCTTTAGTCATCTCATTTATGAGACAAAGTGGTCATTAAGTGATATCATTTTTTTTCTAGTTCCTACCACCTTTTACCCAGTCCTACAATGGGAAATTCAGGAGCCATAATCCTTGGAGCACTCCCACCCCAACCCCCAGTACAACCTGTAGACTTACTTCTCAATAAATCTACTTCTTTTATTTTGAGTTTTTGGTAACTTTATTTTCTAAAACTCTACACAACAAATATGTTTTCTTTGACATCTCCACTTCCTTTAAAAAGAAATAGAGCCTGGGCGAGGTGGCTCACCCCTGTAATCCCAGCACTTTGGGAGGCCAAGGTGGGTGGATCACCTGAGGTCATGAGTTCGAGACCAGCCTGGCCAACATGGTGAGACCCCGTCTCTACTGAAATACAAAAATTAGCTGGGCGTAGTGGTGGCATGCACCTGTAATCCCAGCTACTCGGGAGGCTGAGGCAGGAGAATCGCTTGAACCCAGGAGGCGGAGGTTGCAGAGGAGCCAAGATCGCGCCACTATACTCCAGCCTGGGTGACAGAGCAAGACTCCATCTCTAAAATACAATACAATACAATACAATACAATACAATACAATACAATACAATACAATACAATACAATGCAATGCAATGCAATAATCTTACTTCACACAAACTTCCTCAAGTACCCAAAACTAGACCAATTCTCCCTGTCAGATCCTCTCAATAATATCTTGTACTTCCTTCATGAGAAAGGATCAAGGTAAGGCCAGGAATGACAAACCCTTCTACCCCATGGCAGATGTCACTTACTGACAACAGCCCCAATGCTGCCCCCAATCCTCTTCCATCCAGTGTTCCAAGTGGCCACTATAGATTGACTAGGGCAATGGTTTTGTTACTTGGGCCAACCCGTTCCTTAAATCTTCAATATCCTAAATTTTCCAATCTCCTTAAGTAGATTGCATTGTTACTCTCCAAAGCCACTTGCATACATCTAAACCAAATCTGCATTACAATTTCAATCCATTTCCTGGAAATGACTGTGCTTTGCTGAGTATCTAGAGAGCTGAGAACAGCCTAGTGGCCTAAAAAAAAAAAAAGTACAAGTAAATCTTAAAACACGGATTATGATTTTATGAAAGCAGAGAAGAGCACTAAGGAATAATTCATAAGCTATGGTTCAACTATGGTAATAGGATCGTTTACTTCACCACACAAACTTTCATCTTATTACTTTGCTGTTAGTCCACACGATGTCTTCAGAGTGCAGAACACGAAGACACATCTAATGTGCTTCAACTACAACGTGAATGGTTAACGCCTCCCAAACAAATTTATGATGTACCAAAAGTTGTCTTAAGACTTTCTGCACAATAGCTCATTTAATCCTCGTTAATTTAATACTCACTAATAGGTCAGTGTAATTATGATCACCTCCCTTGTACAGATGAGGAAACTGAGGCACCGACAAAGCAGAAGACCAAAATGACGAGAATTTCAGGCATGCTAGAATTTAGAAAGCTTACTTCCCTCAAACTTTTTTTTTTTTTTGAGACAGAGTTTTGCTCTTGTTGCCCAGGCTGGAGTGCAATGGCACAGTCTTGGCTCACTGCAACCTCCACCTCCCACGTTCGAGCAATTCTCCTGCTTCAGCCTCCCAAGTAGCTGGGATTACAGGCTCCCACCACCACATCCCGGCTCATTTTTGTATTTTTAGTAGAGACAGGATTTCACCATGTTGGCCAGGCTGGTCTTGAACTCCTGACCTCAGGCAATCTGCCCGCCTTGGCCTCTCAAATTGCTGGAATTACAGGCGTGAGCCACCGCACCCAGCCAGCCCCCAAACTTTTAATGTGGAAGTTACAAGAGGGTAACTTCCAAAGGGTAACATCCAAAAGGTTGCAAAATAAGGGAATGGAACAAAAAAGAGGAAGAAATAAATTTAATAAAATGTTGAGACAAGGCAGCGAAGGAGACAGGACAGGCTGGTAGATTGGAGCCAGATGACGATGGCTGAGAAGTAAGGAGATGTCATATAACCCGGAGTGCATCTACAGCACTAGGTGATGAAAGTGTATTTTTGGGGTCTATATGAAAAAGAAAGCAAGAAGGAATTCCAGGATAACACAAAAGGAATAGTCGATGGTAAATAAGAAAAGAGAATTCACTCGAACTGCGATGCATGAAATGCTATCCTCTAGGTGGCCTGTGGATTGTGGCATTGGTCCTATAGAGAAAGTAATAATATGACATTAGCACCTAGACCTGCAGTGGGCAATGTTTACACAGCGACAATAAATGTTGTTTACTGGTGTCCAACATTCAGAAATAAGCTAAAGATATTAAGATTAGAAAATGGAATAAATGGAATGTAACAGTTAAGAATCTTTCTTTTGGCCAGGTGCAGTGGCTCACGTCTTTAATTCCAGCACTTTGGGAGGCAGAGATGGGAGGACTGCTTGAGCCCAGGAGTTTGAGACCAGCCTGGGCAATATAGAGAGACCCCTGTCTCCACTTAAAAAAAAAAAAAATTTTGTCAAGTGTGGTGGTGTGCGCGCCTGCGGTCCCAGCTACTCGGGAGGCTGAGGTGGGAGGATCACTTGAGCCCAGGAGTTTGAGGCTTCAGTGAGCCGTGAGCCATGGGCCATGATCCGTGATTGTGCCACTGTACTCCAGCCTGGCTGACAGAGTGAGACCTTCTCTCAATTAAAAAAAAAAAAAAATCTTAAAAAAAAATTGAGATATAATTCAAACCATAAAATTTGTCCTTTTAAAGTGTAGAATACAGTGGGTTTTAGTATATTCATGAGGTTGTTACAACCATTACCACTATCTAATTTCAGAACATTTTCCTTATCCTAAAAAGAAACCTGGTGCCCATAAGCAGTTAATGGTATTCCTCGAGGCCCCTGGCAATGACTCATCAACTTTCTGTGCCTATCCTGGATATTTCATATAAATGGAATCATGTAATATGTGGCTCGTTGTGTCTGGCTTCTTTCACTTGGGTATGATGTTTTCATGGTCCATCCATGTTGTAGCATATATCAGAATTTCATACCTTTTTATTACCAGATAATAGCCCATTTATGGATATACCATATTCATTTATCCAGAATTTGGACAACGTAAAAGGGAGAAAAATGAAAGGGTAAGGCCTTAATGTTTTATTTAGAAAGGAAAGAGAATATTGCCGAAAACTGACAAAACAAGAAACAGAGACAGAAATGCAATAACTAGAGGTAGCTAAGAGAACTAAAACTAATTGTTTAAAATGATTAACCATCAGAAGAAGATAAGCTGAGAAGCAGTACAAGCAAACTAAATCCTCTGCAGCCTACTTATATATTCAAGGGGAGAAGATGGATAATTCTAAAACTGATACATTGAGAAAGAGCATACAGTATATGCATTTATTTAAAACGATGGAGGCTCACCAATGGAAGAACTAAGAACAGATGTACAGTCATGCATTGCTTAACGATGGGGATATGTTCTGAGAAATGTGTGAAATGATTCTGTCGTGCAAACATCATAGAATGTTCTTACACAAACCTAGATGGTGTAGCCTACTACGCACCTATGTTGCTTCTACACTACAAACCTGAAAAGCATGCTATTGTACTGAATGCTGTAGGCAACTGTAACATAACTATAAGTGTATGTGTATCTAAACACAGAAAAGGTACAGTAAAAATACAGCATTATAATCTCATAAGACCACCATCATATATGCGATCTTTCCTTGACTGAAATATTGTTATATGGTGCATGACTGTAATTGCCTCTGGGCAGTAGGAAGTAGGGAGGTAGCAGACCAGCTATTCAGGCCAAGGTCTTTACTTTGTTTCCTAAGATTCCTCAGGCTGGCCGGGCACAGTGGCTCATGCCTATAATCCCAGCACTTTGGGAGGCCAAGGAGGGTGGATTGCTTGAGCCCAGGAGTTCAAGACCAGCCTGGGCAACATGGTGAGACCCCTGTCTCTACAAAAAAATAAAAAAATTACACGGGCATGGTGGCACTTGCCTGTAGTCCCACCTACTCAGGAGGCTAAGGTGGCAGGATCACTTGAGCCCAGGAGGTGAAGGTTGCAGTGAGCTGAGATCACACCATTGCACTCCAACATGGGCAACAGAGCGAGACTCTGCTTCTCAAAATAAATAAAAACGGGCAAAGGACTTGAATAGATATTTCTTCAAAGAAGATATACGGGCTGGGCACGTGGCTCATGCCCATAATCCCAGCACTTTGAGAGGCTGAGGCAGGCAGATCACTGGAGGTCAGGAGTTCGAGACCAGCCTGGCTAACATGGTGAAACTCTGTCTCTGTTAAAAATACAAAAAAATTAGCCAGGCATGGTGGCGGGTGCCTGTAAGCCCAGCTACTCTGGAGGCTGAGGCAACAGAATCGCTTGAACCTGGGAGGCAGAGGTTGCAATAAGCCGTGATCGTGCTACTGCATTCCAGCCTGGGCAGCAGAGCAAGACTCCATCTCAAAAAAAAAAACAAAAACAAACAAAAAAAAAAACAAAGAAGATACACAAGTGACTAGTGAGTACATGAGTATATGAAATGATATTCAACACCACTAATCATCAAGGAAATGCAAATCAAAACCACAATGGGATATCACCTCACACTCGTTAGGAAGGCCACTATCAAAATAACAGAAAATAACAAGTGTTGGCAAGGACGTAGAGAAACTGGAATCATTGCACACCATTGATGAGCTTGTCAAGTAGCACAGCCGCTATGGAGAACAATACGAAGCTTCCTAACAAAATTAAAACTGGAACTACCACATGATCCAGCAATACCACTACTGGTTATATACCCAAAAGAGTTGAAAACAAGACCTCAAAGAGATATTTGCACACCCAAGTTCATTGCAGCATTATTCACAAGAGCCAAGGGTTGGAGACAACCTAAATGTTCATGAATAGGTGAATGCATACAGAAAATATGGTATATACATACAATGGAGTATTTTCTTGAACTCCTGACTGCAGATGATCTGCCCGCCTCGGCCTCCCAAAGTGCTGGGATTACAGGCCTGAGCCACCATGTCCGGCCAATATTAAAGATTAATATTGCTAATATATAAAGAGTTCCTAAATTAATTAAAAAGATAACCCAAAAGGAAATAATAAGCAAGAGATATGAGGGAGCCAGTTTCTGAAGATGATATACACATGGATAATAAACATAAGATAGAGGCCAAGCGCAGTGGCCCACGCCTGTAATCCTAGCACTTTGGGAGGCTCAGGTGGGTGGATCACTTGAGCTCAGGAGTTCAAGACCAGCCTGGCTAACATGGTGAAAACTCCAAACCCCGTCTCTTCCAAAAATACAAAAAATTAGCCAGGCCTGGTGGCGCATGCCTGTGGTCCCAGCTACTCAGGAGGCTGAGGTGGGAGGATCACTTGAGCCTGGAAAATGAAGGTTGTAGTGAGCCAAGATTGAACCACTGCACTCCAGCCTGGGCAACAGAGTGAGACTCCATCTTGAAAAAAAAAAAAAAGAAAGAAAAATACACAAGTGCACAAAAACCTAAACAGGCTGGGCATGGTGGCTCACGCTTGTAATCCCAGCACTTTGGGAGGCCGAGGCAGGCAGACTGCTTGAGTGCAGGAGTTCAAGACCAGCCTGGAAAACATAGCGAAACCATGTCTCTACAAAAAATACAAAAATTAGCTGGGCGTGGTGGCTCACACGTGTGGTCCCACCTATTCAGGAGGATGAGATGGGAGGTTCGCTTGAGCCTAGGAGGTCGAGACTGCAGTGAGCCATGATGACATCACTGCACTCCAGCTTGGGCAACAGAGACCCCATCTCAAAAAAAAAAAAAAAAAAAAGACACGAACAAGTTTATGGAGACACAGGTTTATCTTACTTGTAATAGAAAAAAAAAAAGACGACTTCCTAAATGTCCATCATTAAGAAAATAAAGTTTTATTTATCAATTTAATGAGCTACTGCTCCAAAGAATACAGTACCTATAAGTGTGCCTGCACAGGGTGACTTCCATTATAAATTAAGCTTTAATCCCAGCTACTCGGGAGGCTGAGGCTGGGGAATCGGAGGTTGCAGTGAGCCACGATTGCGCCATTGCACTCCAGCCTGGGCGACTGAATGAGACGCCGTCTCAAAAAAAAAAAAAAGGAGGTTTATAATAATATGTCTTGTGTGACTACTTATGTAAAAACAAAAAACATAGATAAGTTTTATTCTCATGTTAATTATTTTTAACGTCAGGCTCTTACTGTGTTGCCCAGGCTGGAGTGCAGTGGCTATTCACCGGAACAGTCATAGCTAAAAACAGCCTTGAACTCCTGGGTTCAAACGATCCTCCCACCTCAGCCTCCCGAGTAGCTGGGACCACAGGCACACACCACCATGCCTGGTTTTCTCACATTTATAAATGCACAGTATAGGGTCCAAAAGGATAAAACAGCACTTTTTTTTTTTTTTAAACTATGGTAAGCTCTGCAGAGAAGGGCAGAATTGGGAGGGCGGAAAGAAGGCTTCTCGCTCTAAATATATTTGGAATATTTATGTATTACATTTGAATTTTTAAAACCTACTTTTCCATTTTTGAAATTACGACCCTCAACCTTCTCATTTCTATTCTAAGTAGAAATAATTCTGCTAACCTTCTGTGATCACACTAGTTCTTTTCAATCACCATGTATGAGTCTGGGGTTGAAAATCACTGAAGCGCTCCCACAGAGTGAACCCATTATTTCCAGGATTAATCATACCTCCTGCTCTCAGGAGGGTTAAACCAGAGTGAACAGTGAGTGCTTTCCATATTTCTCAAGAGTGGAACTGTGATAATTCCATAGTAAACACGGGGAGGCTGGGACTCAAGACTGGGGTCATTGTCGTCACCGGTGCACTCAACACAGCACAGGTTTTACTAAGACGAGCAATAACCTTTAGATGACTCAACTCAAAGGGAGCCACGCATGGGCCTCAAATGCCTCTTGGAACTAGTTAAAAAGCTGCATATTGGATAATGTAGTTAGAAGACTAAAACTATTTTTCATGTAATTTACATGGGGGAATAACCGCATACAAGAACTTGTAGTTAAAGTAAAGAGTAGGAGGAAATGAAGAACGATAACAGGGAAAGGGGAGTGTTTCCATCACGGAAGCATTCGTTAGAGGGATGATATTTTAAAAACTTGTTCTTTTTTCCCATCTTAAGTTGTGCTCCCCAGCATTTTTTCCTCTAAGGTCAAGTACTATGCTTGGTAGTATTCCAAAAGCACTCTCTATAATTCCAACAACATTTTCTCCTCAGAATTCAATTCCCAGCATCACCAAAAACTCCTTTGTATTTTGGAATTTCCAAAATTATAAGCATAAAGAGTCAAAAATAAATAAAAAATGGTCAAATACAGATGAACTTTCCTACATCCAATGGCATTTCTACCTTTTAAATGCCAATTAATGGATTAACGTCTTTGGCTTAAAAAACAAAACCCTCTCTATTCATGTCAGCGTGACAACATCATAGAGTTAGCTAAACGTCCTCTTCCCTTAAGGTGCTTTATATGTTATGACCATAGCTGTATTGGTCAGGACTGGCCAGTTAATGCTTGGTAACAAAGAACCTCAACATCTCCACAGCTCATGGAATACTATACAGCCACAAAAAGGAATTGAGATCACGTCCTTTGCAAGAACATGGATGGAGCTGTAGGCCATTATCCTTAGCAAACTAATGCAGGAACAGAAAACCAAATACTGCATATTCTCACTTACAAGTGGGAGCTAAATGATGAGAACACACGGACACAAAGAGGGGAACAACAGACATTGGGGGCCTGCTTGATGGTGGAGAGTGGGAGGAAGGAGAGGATCAGAAAACGTATCTACTGGCTACTAGGCCTAGTAAGTGGGTGATGAAATAATCTGTACAACAAACCCCCATGACATGAGTTTACCTGTATAACAAACCTGCACATGTACCCCTGAACCTAAAATAAAAGTTTTTTTAAAAAAGATCTCCGTGGCTCAGAGGCCGGGCGCGGTGGCTCATGCCTGTAATCCCAACGCTTTGGGAGGCTGAGGCGGACGGATCATGAGGTAAGGAGATCTAGACCATCCTGGCTAACATGATGAAACCCCATCTCTACTAAAAAATACAAAAAAATTAGCCGGGCCTGGTGGCGAGCGCCTGTAGCCCCAGCTACTCGGGAGGCTGAGGCAGGAGAATGGCGTGAACCCGGGAGGCGGAGCTTGCAGTGAGCCGAGATAGCGCCACTGCACTCCAGCCTGGGCGACAGAGCCAGACTCCGTCTCAAAAAAAAAAAAAAAAAAAAAACAAAAAAAAAAACAACTCCATGGCTCAATATTGCCAAAGTTTACTTCTACTTGTTGTTGTTGCTGTTTTTTTTTGCCAGTTTGAGACGAGGTCTCCCCGTCACCCAGGCTGAAGTTCAGTGACACAGTCACAGCTCACTGCAGCCTTGACCCCCTGGGCTCAAATGATCCTCCTGCCTCAGCTTCCCTGAGTAGCTGGGACCACGGGCATGCAGCACCACGTCCGACTAATTTTTGTATTTTTTGTAGAGATGGTGTTTTGCCATGTTGCCCAGGCTGGTCTTGAACTCCTGGACTCAAGCAATCTGCTCACCTCAGCCTCCCAAATTCCTGGGGATTACAGGCGTGAGCCACTGCACCCAGCCTACTTCTTGCTTCTGCAAGTCAATGGCAGCACCCTGGTCCTTTTGGCACTCTGGGACCTGTACTATCAGAGCAGTCACCATCTCCGAATGTGCTGGCCACCACCAGCAAGCAAAACCACTGGGGATTTAGTTCATTGATAAATCTATAAAAGTTATATCTGAATATCTGTTGCCATTGAAAGAGGTTACAGGGCTGGGCACGGTGGCTCATGCCTGTAATCCCAGCACTTTGGGAGGCCGAGGCGGGTGGATCACGAGGACAGGAGTTCAAGACCAGCCTGGCCAAGATGGTGAAACCCTGTCTCTATTAAAAAAACAAAAATTAGCCAGACGTGGTAGCAGGTGCCTGGAATCACAGGTACTCGGGAGGCTGAGGCAGAGAATTGCTTGAACCCAGGAGGTAGAGGTTGCAGTGAGTCAAGATTGCGCCACTGCACTCCAGTCTGAGTAACAGAGCAAGACTACGTCTCAAAAAGAAAGAAAGAAAGAAAGAAAGAAAGAAAAAGAAAGAAAGAAAGAAAGAAAGAGGTTACACATATTGTTAGTGGAAAAAAGCAACCGATAAGAAACATGTACCATAAGATCTCATTTTAGTACCATATGTATCGTATAATAAGCTCCCACTGGAAGGTCAGCTCCGCAAGGACAGGGGATGGTTTGTCTGTTTTATTCATGCTCTATCCCTGGGGACTGGCACATGGCAGGCATTCAATACATACTCGTTGACTGCAGAAATAAAATGTTTGTATGGGAAGAAAGGTTTGTATATGAAATGTATATATGCAAATATATTCAACAGTGGTTAACTGTGGGTGTCAGGTTTGTGGTTATTTTCTGGTGGACCTGAATTTTTCTCATTCTGCAAGGAAGACAAATTGCTTTTGTATTGGGAAAAAGAAGGCTTATCAGTCATAATGATAGCTAGGTTGCTACCATCCCACCCATCTCACGTCTGGAGGGAAAACAGTCCTCTGAGGTACCATCACCACACTTTCCTCCCCTTTCCAGTATTTCCAAGGTCAAAGCCACCCTCCCCCATTTCCAGAAAGATCTTGGGGCATCAGGCAAATCCAAAGCAGCACATCTTCTTTAGACAGCTGGGGACCCTGGGTTTTAATCTAGTCTTATCCGCTGTACCAGCACTATTTCCACTCACTTATCAAAGCAGAATATTTAGAAATGCTGCATATCATTTGGTTGCATCCTAAGTTATGGAGCATAGAGCTTAAAAGCTGGAAAGGAGAATTAAAACTGGAGCTCCTAAAAGACTGCAAATTTATTTCTGAGTCTCGAGATGGAGGATACGACAGCTGTGCTATTCATCACTCCAGCGATGGGTTAAGAATATTTAAAATTCACAGTCAGTAGCCCAGCCTCTCCGATTCCCAGAAACTGGTGTGCTTTCACGCCTGCCCAGCCCTGTAATGGGCTCTTCTGAGACATGGAATATTCCTGATTGTGATCTAAGGAAGGAACTTGCTCCAAGAAAACCCTGCGTTCAACATTTGGACCTTATAAAATAGCCACATTAAAGAGTGGTTACTGAATCTACCATTGGATTCTCCATTTCACACAGAGATTCCAAATCGGATGGGGTGTTTAAAAAATTAATAGGAAAACTGGCAATAGCTACTGAAGCTGAACACACAGATAGCCTATGACCCAACAATTCAGCTCCTGAGAATGTAACTCACAAAAGCGCCCACGTATATTCATCAGAAAGGAACGAAACAGAATTTGTAACAGCACTCTTTGTCGTAGCCCCAAACTCAAATGCCCCCAACAGGAGAAGAGTAAATAAATCGTGGTATATTCACACCGTGGAACACTACAACTAAGCAGCAGTGAGAATCATCAAACACACAACAGGATAAACACATCTCACAAAGCGTGGAGGGGAAGAAATCTGACACAGAAGACGATGCACCGTAAGATTCCATTTATTATGTTCAAATGGCATAAAACCTATCCCCGGCGTTAGAAATCAGGACAGTAGCTGTCCTGGGGCGGTGTGAAAACAGAAACTAGGCTTGAGGGGGAGTTTCCAGGGTTTTGGAAACATTCTGCTTCTTCATCTAGGTGTGATGATTTTATTAGTTTCCTTATCAAATCACCACAAACTTGGTGGCTTCACACAACAGAGTTTACTGGCTCACAGTTCTGGATGCCAGAAAAAAGAAATCAAGGTGTCAGCAGGGCCAGGCTCCCTCCAAAGGCACGAGGGGACCACCCGTTTGTTGCCTCTTTTGGTTTCTGGTGGCTCAGCTGTTCCTTGCAGCTCCAGTGCTCTAATCCCTGCCTCCTGCTTCATATGTTTCCTTCCTGTGTGTCTGTGTCTTCTCCTCTTCTGTCTCTTGTAAGGACACTTGTCATTGGATTTAGGGTCCACTTAGGTAATCCAGAATGATCTCATCTCAAGATCCTTGATTGAATTATGTCTGCAAAGGTCTCCTTCCAAATAAGATCATATTCACAGGCTCTGGGGGATATTTAAGGGGCCACCCTTCAACTTGCTACAGTTACTTGGGTGTCAGATTTTACCCAGGGATGCATGCATGAACTTTTCTGACTGTATGTCTTATATCCATAAGGATTTTTTTTAAGGAGTTAGTTTACAACTTCTCAGAAATATACTTGTTATTCACCATAAGGCATCTTGCACATCTTTTTTTTTTTAAAAAAAAAAGAAAAAAAAAGGAAGACCGCTCGTGATTGCTGGCATTTCACTGGCACAATGCCAGCACAGTTTTTGGCTTCTCCCAACACCCCACCTCATTTCTGATCTTACTAAAATGTGCAGAAACCTCACAGCAACTTACACTTTTGGGGTTTTTGGTTTTTGGTTTTGTCGTTGTTTTGAGGCAGGGTCTCACTCTGTCACCCAGGCTGGAGGCAGTAGTGTGATCACAGCTCACCGCAGCCTTGAATTCCTGGGCTCAGGCCATCTTCCCACCTCAACCTCCCAAGTAGCTAGGACTACAGGCATGCCATGCCCAGGTAATTTTATCTTTTTGCAGAAACGGAGTCTTACTATGTTGCTGGAGCTGGTCTTAGACTCCTGGCCTCAAGTGACCCTCCCACCTGGGCGTATGTTTTTATTATCTGATTTCCCACCACTAACCAAAGTGGTGAGATCCTTTAACAAATTACAAGCCAGAGACCATCAGCGTGCGTGTGCTCTGTGCCACATCAGCTCAGAAAACCAGGCTATAATTTTAGACAGATGTTCATGAACTTGGGGATTCCTGGTGGGCAGACTTGATGCCTCCAACCCTGGACAGCAGGGAAGCAGCAGTGCCCTGCACCCAGATGACCCAGAAAGCATTTCTTAATGAACGGCCCGGCATTGTGACTCATGCTGGCTCCCACATCTGGCAGATCTGGGTTACATCACGCACGGTCCTCAGTGTCCTGCGGGTTCCTGGGAACGCGCTGCCCAGAGTCAAGTGCACCAGCTGCAGTGGCCGGCTGCGTTCACACGCCTCTCTGCGTCATCCTGATGGCCACACACTATGGGGCTGGCTCCGGCTCCGGGCTCCAGAGGCTGAGCCGACTGTGAGGAGGTCACCTCCCTCTCACTTTCCCATGGGCTTAAGAAGAAGTCACCATGGAAGTAAACCCTGGTGCCCAGGGCAGGACTGCATTCTTTGTTTCTCTACACTAATAGACCCTGGCATCACAATTCCACTGTATTAGCTGTGCTAATCTAGAGAGGAAAACAAAACAAAACAAAACCTCAGCCATTCACATTCCTTGAATAGAATCAGAGGAGGAGAGAAGTAAGTATAAAGTTTGAAAGAATCCCGAGAAGAAATGTTGATATAAACAGCTCTTGGCATCAGGTGGATGGTGTCAGGGAAGTTACTATTTTCGTGGGGACAGAGGCGCTGACGTTCAGCTCCATTGGACCCAGAGTCCTGTGCTATGTTCTCTCGTGACTGACAAAGCCCCCAACTCATTTCTCCCTGGGGACGACATTCCTGCTTTCTTATTCATTACGGATCCTTTGAGATTTTTATTTCGTATCCTTTTATTTACTGATCAGAGCTGCCCTGAAGGCTTCTTCTGGGACACCAGAAACTCCCAGCAGTCCCCTGCCTGCGGGGAGGCTCTTCATCCCAAAGCTCATTATTGTTAGAACAGGATGGGTTCACACCCGGGGGCTCTCTCTCCAAGCCTCCTCACTCCCCATCAATTCCACCTGTTCATTCAGAGTCGTGGTATGTCAGAGCTAGAGGGGACATTTTTAAAAAAATCATTAATTTCATTCTTTTATCTGGTTTGCCAATCTATGCCCTAATTTTAAAGCCAAGATTTAAAAAAAAACAAAACAAAAAACAAAAAACCAACAACAACAAACTGAGATCCTGCCAAGTTAAATAATTCATTATCCCTGGTTAGATAATAACACACACACACACACAAGTATGACCCAGGTCTCCTCATTCTTAGCTCCAAAGTTACATAATGCATCCTCATTCCTCATTCTTAGCTCCAAAGTTACATAATGCATCCTCGTTAATTAAAACACACACACACACACACACACACACACACACACACACACACACACACAGAAAAGCCTGTTTCCAAATCTTTAAACCTTGGGCTGAGATGTACAAATCTGAAGATATGCTCCAAAGAAATAACCTGGCTGGGTGTGGTGGCTCACGCCTGCAATCCCAGCATTTTGGGAGACCGAGGGGGATGGATCACTTGAGGTTCGAGACCAGCCTGGCCAACATGGTGAAACCCCGTCTCTACTAAAAATACAAAAATTAGCCGGGCGTGGTGGTGCACACCTGTAATACCAGCTACTCGGGAGGCTAAGGTGGGAGGATTGCTAGAACCTGGCAGGAAGAGGTTTCAGTGAGCCAAGATCCTATCACTGCACTCTAGCCTGGGACAGAGCGAGACTCCATCTCAAATTAAAAAAGAAAAAGAAAAAAGAAATAACCAAAAAGACAACAGACAGCATGAAAGGGATTGAGAAAAGGTTCGGGTTCAGTAATTCACTTGGGTGCTACAGAACCCTGGCTGCATATTAGACTCGCCTGGAAGCTTTCAAAAGTCCCCATGCTGAGGCCAGGACTCAAACCAATGAAATCAGAATCTCTAGAGGCGGGATCAGAGGCGGGGTCTGGACATCAATAAGCCACAAGGTGAATCCCGTGAGCAGCTAACATGAAACATCATTGATTTACCAGACTTGAGGCCACCATAACTGTATAGTGACCACAATCTTTGTCATCCAAGGAAGAAAAGGAGAAGGAAGGAGTCATTTATAGCCCATGATCTTTAGTTCATTCTGAGATCCTCTCTGTGCTTTTGGGGGTTCATCAGATGTAGGGTCAAACTGAGAAGGTCTACACTGGTGATCTCACCCTGGAACAGGGCCACTCTTCCATACCACATCTGTGAGGACAGAGGCCTATGGGCTGTACCTGGAGGCAAAAGGAGACGGAGCAAACAATCCAGCCCAGTAAGTACTCCTAGGGTGGCTCTCCCAAGTTCTCAAGATACTTTTCTTTTTTAAAAAAGGAGTCTGTTACCGTATGACCCATCAATTCCAATTCTGGGAAAGTACCCCAAAGAACAGAAAGCAGAGGCTCAAACAGGTATTTGTATAACTGTGTTCATGGCAGTACTATTCACAATAGTCAAAAGGTGGAAACAACCCATGTCCATCCACGGAGGGATGGATGGATGAACAAAACATGGTATATCCGTACAATGGAATATTATTCACTCCTGAAAAGGAAGGAAATTCTGATACACACTACCACACAGATGCACCTTGAGGATATTACGCTAAGAGAAATAAGCCAGATAGATACACAAGGACAAATACAGTGTGATTCTACTTATGTGAGTACCTAGAGTAGTCAAACTCAGGGACAGAAAGTGGCTCTGAAATTCAGAGACGGGCGGCTGCCAGGGGCTGCCAGGAGGGGAACAGGCAGTTACCACTGAACAGGCACAGAGTTTCAAGATGCAGAGTTCTGCAGATGGATAGTGGTGATACTGGTACAACGATAGGAATGCACTTAATAACACAGAACTGTACATTTAAAAATGGTTAAGATGGTAAATTTTGTTACATGTCTTATCTCCATTTGGAAAAGTGAACAAAAAAAGAGCCCACATGTGGCCCTTCCTTCGTTCGCTCAGGCATTGATGAAGGTGACTGAGGACAGAATTTCAAAGGTTAATGTGTCATCTGTAAAACACAGCACACACCAGGCCCCTGGACTCTGTTCTGCAGGATTGACTGACTCCAAGAGTTACAGAGCCTTGTAACTCCCCCGGGGCACAGGGAGGGCCGTCTGGCAGGCCTCTGGGTTCACATTATATAACAACCGGGCTGCCAGCTTCCAAGCAACACGAGGTGAATTCCGAAGCGCTCCACGCCTAGGATGAGCCAAGTGTTGATTAATTCCCAAATAACTTTATCGTGGGGACTTTTTCTGATTCCCAAATGCAGTGATGCCGCTTATTTGTCAGTTGAGAAATCTGTATTTTTCTGCGATGGGTTGACTCAATGTATTTTTAAAGAGGGACTTACCTTTCATCTTTTCTTTCCTTTTTGCTTAGTATTCTAGGGGCAAAGAAAAACTTCAGCAAGGAGAAAATCCCGCCAGCAACAGCTCTTTTGAGCTGCTCGGTAATCCAAACCTTTCAAGTAAGCTTTCTCCTTTACTGACACCTCTGTGACAGACAGAAAAGAAAAAATCGTAGCTTCTCTCTGATCAGTGGTCCTAACCCTTTTCTTCAATCAGCAGTCCGTGATGATCCTATACAGGGTATAAGATGCGAAGACATCTCCTGGGAGAAATTACTTAGGCCCTGGAGGCTGATCCCAAACCCCAAGTGTGTGAACTCTGGCCGTGCATCTAAATAAACACATCCTGCTCCCCCACCCTCAGACCAGTGGCCCCCAGAACAGCGCTTACACTTGGCCTAGAAAGCCTGTCCTGATGATTCACCATGAAGCCCAAAGTTTGGCAGCCGGAAAAACTTAAACTTTCCCCCTTTCTTAGAGTTTACAAATTAACAGTCCCTGAGAAGTCAATCATTCAACAGAAGTTGGATTAAACACCTTTCACTTGGGCATCCTCCTGAGCTCAGATGGATACAGAGAAACACTCGCTTGTTTCTTCGAGGTAAAATTTTGCAAAATAAATTTCTGTAAATCTGAGCAATAACAAAAAGGAGGCTGGGTGTGGTGGCTCATGCCTGTAATCCCAGCACTTTGGGAGGCCGAGGTGGGTGGATCGTTTGAGGCCAGGAGTTCGAGATCAGCCTGGTCAACATGGTGAAGCCCCACCTCTACTAAAAATACAAAAATTACCCTGGTGTGGTGGTGAGTGCCTATAATCCCAGCTAATCAGGAGGCTGTGGCAAGAGAATTGCTTGAACCTGGGAGGCAGAGGTTGCAGTGAGCTGAGATCGTGCCACTACACTTCCGCCTGGGTGACAAAGCGAGAACCTGTCAAAATAAACAAAAACAAAAAAGGGAAGTGGTTGGGGTGGTCTAACATAAAAATGGTGTGATTTGTCTGTAATGGACTTCAAACTAGTACTCATATTTTATGATGTTGGTTTTCTTTTTCATACAGCTACATAAGAATGAATTCCACAGTACTCTTTTTTTTTTAGACAGAGTCTTGCTCTGTTGCCCAGGCTGGAGTGCGGTGGTGCAGTCTCAGCTCACTGCAACCTCCGCCTCCCAGGTTCAAGTGATTCTCCTGCCTCAGCCTCCCAAGTAGCTGGGATTACAGACATGCACCACCACGCTCAGCTAATTTTTGTATTTTTAGTAGAGATGGGGTTTCACCACGTCTGGCCTCCACAATACTCTTGAATGCAGAACATGCCACACTCGGGACTCCAGGAGACACCCTGAAAGGCAAGAGAGGAGGAGGTTTCCTGGATGCCCCTAACTGTCTGCTCTCACCGCCCTAAATGCATAGACACTTTTCAGTCAACCACATTCCTCGTTATGTGTCTACAGATTCAAAACGTCACCTTTCTGCCTCCCTGCCATTTGCTTGTCCTTGGATAAAAAGGAGAAGACCTCTTTGCTTATAACTATCACTCATGCTTTGTGATTTCTACAAGGCTGTCTGTAGTCCTTGGAATTCTGGAACCATGGAACATATGGACAGCAGTATCCCAGCTGTACTTTGCTACCATCTCCGATCAATGCCATCTTCTCATTAGGATTTGTGGGCAGACACAAGCTTAGCAAGACTACATACAGACTTGCCATAGGAGGAAGAAGAGGTCTATTTTTCTACATTACTCATTAAAGGCAGGCTAAGCATCAGATGTAATAGAATAGCCTATTCCTTCCTTTGCCCACAGCGAGACTTCAACTCATGAAAACACCACCATCAATATATATTGAGTGTTCATTATATATATATAGCCCAAGACTAAGATAATATACTCTATTTCAAAACACTGCCAAAACTCCGAGAACATTTTTTGGCACATTTAAACAGCAGAATGACCATAAATTATGTAAAGGGAGAATTTTCTGAGTACATGTCAGGAAAAAATAAAATAAAAACCTCTAGCAGCAGAATTTAATGCTTAATAACTCTCATGCTAAAGTTTCAGTTTAATCAATTGTGACTTTTGATATTTTATTTAATGCGTCTAAGGAGCATCACCAGAAGAAATTTTAATACTATTGCTTCTAAATTCAATTAGAATGCTTACATTTTTATGTTAGGGTAACATTTGCAGAGCCATTCTTTAATACGCAAGTTATTAAATCCCACGGTCCCTTAATCCACATTGCAGACTAATCTAATGCATTTAAGCCGCCCCCAGAAGACAGCCTTCAGCTTGTGGCTCATACAGCGTGATAGCTTTTGCTCTTTTTTTGACCGAAGAAGTCATTTTTCTTTCCTCTTGACATCTTAAGAGTCATCTTTAATAATGTTTTTCTGTAGTTCCAATGTCCCTCAACTCCTGATCTTACAGACTAAATTGGCAAGTCAGTTGTTCTTCCGTAGAAAGATCTAACTAATTGGCCGGGTGCGGCGGCTGAGACCAGTAATCCCAGCACTTTGGGAGGCTGAGGTGGGTGGATAGAGACCAGCTTGGCCAACATGGTGAGACCCCATCTCTACTAAAAATACAAAAATTAGCCAGGGGTGGTGGTGAGTGCCTGTAATCCCAGCTACTCAGGAGGCTGAGGTAGGAGAATCGCCTGAATCCAGGAGGCGGAGGTTGCTGTGAGCCAAGATCACACCACTGCCTGGGCGACAGAGCAGTGCCTATGTCAAAAAAAAAAAAAAAAAAAAATCACCCAACTAATGATGACTCTCAGTACACAATTCTAGTTCATGGCCTAGCAGATACCCTAGTGCAAAATCCACAAATCCGGAATGAAAATGTAAGCATCCATGCCTTCCAGCATGCTCCATGCTTTTCCCACTGCGCTCATGGTAAATGCTCCCCATGGCATCACCACCGGGAACCAAACACATGCATACATACGTATATGAAGACAGTTTAGCCAAGTGGTTAAGAGTGAGGACCCTGTGGCTACACTGCCCAGGTTCAAATCCTGGCTCTACCACTCCTTACCAACCTCAGGGAAGTCACTTGACCTTTCTGAGTTTTCCATTTCCCTATTTGTAAGATGGAAACGCTAGTCATAATCAACTTTCTTGGCACAACGATCAAGAGTCAAAATAAACCAATATGTAAAAATGGTTTTGGAAGTTTTTTTTTTGAGATGGAGTCTCGCTCTGTCACCCAGGCTGGAGTGCAGTAGCATGATCTCAGCTCACTGCAACCTCCATGTCCCGGGTTCAAGCGATTCCCCTACCTCAGCCTCCAAAGTAGCTGATATTACAGGCACACACCATCACACCTGGCTAATTTTTGTATTTTTAGTAGAGTCTAGGTTTCACCATGTTGACCAGGCTGGTCTCGAACTCCTGACCTCAAGTGATCCGCCCACCTCGGCCTCCCAAAGTGCTGAGATTACAGGCATGAGCCACTGTGCCCGGCTAGAAGTTTTCATGAAAATCTTTACTCTGATTTCTTAGGGGATTGGATAAATATTTTCACAGGTCCAGACCAACTGGCAAAGTTAAAAGCCAGCAAGTTCTAAGTTAGGGCTCCACTGCCTTAAATAGTTTTCAGAACAAGGTCAGATGTAAATTAACAATGACAGAAGCCCTGAGAGAATTATACAAGCTTATGTGGCGACTGAGCTAGAGATGAATGATTTGATGCGAAGTCAAGACGGTTCCAATTTGGACTAACAAAACCTTTCAACAGAGGCTTATGATTTTAATATGGAAAAAGTTGGCTATAAATGATCTCAAGCTTAACAGAAATCTAATTAGGCAAAGTTAGAGAGTAGGAACCAACAACAACTCTCTGAGCTGGGTCTTATGCACATCTCACAGGCAAGAAAATGGAATGAAGAAAAGCGTTATTAACAGGCTGGGTGTGGAGGCTCGCCCCTGTAATCCCAGTAATTTGGGAGGCCAAGGCAGGCGGATCATCTGAGGTGGGGAGTTCGAGACCAGCCTAACCAACATGGAGAAACCCCGTCTCTACTAAAAATACAAAATAAGCCAGGCATGGTGGTACATGCCTGTAATGCCAGCTACTTGGGAGGCTGAGGCAGGAGAATCGCTTGAACCTGGGAGGTGGAGGTTGCAGTGAGCCAAGATCATGCCACGGCACTCCAGCCTGGGCAACAAGAGCAAAACTCCACCTCAAAAAAAAAAAAAAAAAGAAAGAAAACGTTAGCAAGGGTGAAGGGAGAATGGTTATTGCATGACAACCAACAGTGCTGGCTGCGTTATGAAACTTCTCCTCTTCAGGCATAAACGAAGCTGTATTTTGAAATTTAAGAGCTATATGTTTTTCAGGTAGAAAAACTTAAGTGTGGAATTACCAAGTCCCCCCAGGGCTTGAAGGCTACCAATCCAAGTTATTGGTACTTCAGTAGAAGCTTCCCACACTGCTCTCAGATAGGAGGGTGAATGATGGATAGATGGGCAGATGGATTTACAGTCTTTGAAATCAATAAACCTATAGGCCATCAAACATTTTCCAAAACACTGCAACGATCAAACCAGAATCATACCCCAGAGTGGCAACGCATCTTAATGTTGATCAAAGAAGGGTAAGAAATGCATTCTAAAAGATGGTATTGCTTTTCAGCTCTTTGACCGCTTTACAATAAGCAGGAAATATTTTATTTTTGTTGTCACAGTGAAAATCCAACACTCAGAACTCTGAGGCAAGGTAAACCAATAAAAACAAATTAAAACTTCTTTATCTGGATACCAGGATTACTTGTACTTTTGGAAGAAGTAAAATGTTTTGTGACATTTTAGGGTAGTATGACCTCCTTTTACAACACAGAGAGGTTTTAGCTGTGAAACTTCCTTATAAAATTGGCTACAAGTTCAAATTCTGCCCCAAATGAGTTTCTGATTAATATGAATCAAGAAATGTCCCTCATGATCTCTGCAGCTCTTCTGCAAACAAAGCATCCAGAAAGGACCTGGGGTTTAAAGATGGCTCTGCCACTCCCAGTTCATCCCAGGCTAAATTCATCACTCCTGCAGATCAGGAGGCTGTGAAAGGAGTTTCTACCAGAAGTTCCTTTTGATGGTAGGAAGCAAGGTGGGTGACTACCAAGCGGCATAATATAGAGAGGCCTACTGTGGTACAGGGCGGCAGGGCAGAGGACTGAGTCAGACCCACGGTTCCTAGTTTTGTCACAAATGAGCTAGGTGACCCCAGCAACTAGCTTGACCTCTCTGCATTGCAGTACCTCATCTGTCAAAGCAGGCAACTGGTTCACCCAATTTTTAAAGTTCTTCCCAGCTGTAGAAATCATTATTCCTAGAATAAGCACAATTTGCAAAACAGCAATTTTCAAATCTGGGCCTTATTTGCAATAATTCTCGCCTTATGGGGCTTCCGAAACCAGATTTTCCTGAAAAGATCACCAAAGCACCAAATGGTTCCTACTGTCTCCCTTGAAACATTTTGTTGCATCTCATGAAATAGCAGGGAAATACCAAATGTGGATTCCATCATGTTTTAAGGGACTACATTCAGGGTAGGTTAAAGAAGAGGTCAAAATCTACCACTTGACTTTGCGAGGCTTTGTGCATAAAACAACATATTTTTGGGTTCTACTAACCTAAACTCCAGAGTTGAAGAATCTGATTCAAGGCAAAAGATTTGCAAAATTTGATCTTATTGTGAAGGAGGTAATGTGTTATATGATTACCATTAATCTATTAAAGACAGAAAAATTTCTATCCAAGGGAGGAAAAAAAACTCTCTATGCTTTTTGGTTTGCCTTCCAAATAAGCCTAGAAATACCCTACTCAAGATAACCATATTAAAAAGCTTTAAAACCATATATTTAAAAAATTATTTAAAAGATAATTTTTACATTATCAAGTCAAGTTTCCTTTAAGTTGTAGCTCTTCCAAGATATTTTATGTTAAAGATCATGTGCATTTCACAAAGAATTACAATAAATGACAGCTAACGGAAGACCAATTAGAGTCTTAAATTACTGTTAGTCAGTCAGTAGGAAAATATGATTCAGTTCCTCTGTGTTGTAAGGGGAGGTCACGCTACCCTAAAATGTCACAAAACACAAATAGTTTTATTTCTTCCAAAAGTACAAGTAATCCTGGTAGCTCAACAAAGCAGAATTGCAAGCCTTTCAATTTATCTAAGCCTTATTCCATGACCCTAGCCAATTTGCTCCTCTGCACTTATCTGAACACTCTCTGGCCTTTTGCATATACTACTTCGAATTGTTATTGGTCCGGTTTCTCAATCAGACTGTAAATCCCTGGAAGGCAGTGTCCACATTTTATACCTTTCCTTTTTTTTTTTTTAAATCTTCAAATTGCTTCAGAGTATACATCTTCTGTATGATTAATTCCAAAAGGAAATGCCCTCTGAAGACATCGAATCAAAACTCAACTTCCTTTTTAAATTTATTTTTATTTTTATTTTACGGGTAATAAATTTAGTAGCAGCTGGGCATGGTAGCTCATGCCTGTAATCCCACTTTGGGAGGCCAAGGTGGGGGAATCGCTTGAGCCCAGGAGTTCAAGACCTACCTGGGCAACAAAGCAAGACCTCATATCTAAAAAAAATTTGAAAATCAATCAATAAATTTAGCAGAGACCGAAAGCTGTCCCAGCAAAATTCCTTTTCTCTTTTCTCCATAGCACAGAGCTATTGCTGGTCACATAAATGCCTGTAAGGATTTTGTTCCCAGCCTGCTTTGCAGCTGGCAGTGGAGTATGGCCATGTGCCTATGTCCCTGCTAAGGGCTGGGAGCAGGAGTGATATGGGCCACTTTTGGACCAGGGCCTTGAGACGGCAAGTTGTGCCTCTTCCATACCCATGTTTCCTTCTCACGACAGCACCCAGACTTGGCTCTTTAGAAGATAACAAGGCAGGCCAGGTCTCGCTCTGTCGCCTAGGCTGGAGGTGCAGTGGCACGATCTCAGCGCACTGCAACCTCCGCCTCCTGGGTTCAAGGGATTCTCCTGCCTCAGCCTCCTAAGTAGCTGGGGTTACAGGCGTGCACCACTGCGCCCAGCTAATTTTTGTATTTTTTGTAGAGATGGGGTTTTGCCATGCTGGCCAGGCTGGTCTCGAACTCCTGATGTCAGGTGCTCCGCCCACCTCAGCCTCCCAAATTGCTGGGATTACAGGCATGAGCCACAGTACCCAGCCTGAGATTTATTTCTTTAAGTCACAATGTTGTTGGATCTCTTGTTACAGCAGCTTAGCCTTCTACCCATGTGTGCTTTGTTCCAAGAAGAGGTATGGCATTCTATGAGAAAGAAAGTCGTATTAACTGAGATTCATAACATAAGCATACTTACAGTGAAAATGATGGCAAAATATGTGAGACAGAAGAAAAGTCATGCTGGATCCTACTACCCCTAAATAACCACTATTAATATTTTGGGGTAGTTCCTTCTAGACTTTTCCCTATGCCTACAAAAAAAAATACATACATGTATTTTCCTACAGAAATAAGCCATATCGGTTTATAGACTCTCTCACTTAATATCATCTTTTATTTAATATGTTGACATTTTTCCAGATCAAAAATACATATATATCATTACAGTGGTGATATAATATTTCACTGCTTGGATCTACCAGAATTTATCTAACCAGTCTTTCATTGTTGGACGTTGAGTTGTCTCCTTGCAAAAATTCTGTCATAAACAGCACTGCAGAGAACATTCTTATACATAAACCTTTACATATCTGTCAAATTATTTTTCTTCTAGGTCTCTATTCTTAACATATCCCTGCAAACAAAGATGTTCCCTCTTTCTGGGCACCTGTATTAAGTCATTCTGTCTGCGAGATATTTACAAGCCTACATTCATTAATTACATTTTTGGATGAATTTCCATTCATGTTTCATCGTTAGACAACCTGGAAACCAACTAAGGTTCCAGCTCTCCAAGTCAGCAACAGGATGGGTCAATGACTCCCTAAGCAGTGGTATCAGGCAGACCCCCGCTCCTAGACAATGCCATCCTGGTTATCAACATGCACAAAAGGGGAAACAGTAGTGAAACTTGTTGCCTGCTGACAAACCTTGATCTACATCTGTGTTGCCAATTACTTGTTCAACAAACCTGTTACTTTTTTGGAAATAATAAATAATTCAGGGAAAGTCATTTTGAATCCGCTGACATCTGTTGCTTGTACAACTCTGAATTATTCATCAGTGAGCATAAACAGTATTAATTAAAGAAAAGTACTGAGGCAGACCATTGAAATAGAAATGAACATTGCAGAAGAAAATGCCTTTACTCAGAGCACATTTCACATGTCATTGACAAATATCACAAAGAACATGCCAGTCCTTAGAACCTAAAGGAACTGTACTTTTAGAAATCAGACGGCAGGATATCATGATAAGCCTTATTTTTATTTTTCCAATTTTATTTTTTTCTTCCCTTCAGAAAAAAAAATCATAATCTTTGATTTGGTCTGTTTCAAGCATTCTACCCGTTTGTCCTTTGTTCCAAGAAGCCGTATGGCATTCTATGAGAAAGAAAGTCTTACTAATTGAGATTCAAAAGAATCACAAGAATAAGTGTCAGGAATCAAGTCATCAAGTGCTCATTTGTAAACTGAGATTTAGACATATTAATGGCAGACTCCCGCCCAAATTAAAGATAGCTCAATCTAGCTAATGATTTATTTCCATGACAACTTTGGCACTTCCTTTTGACAAAGCACTGTCTCATGGTAAAGCGGAAAAGGGAAAAACCTATGGCCTGACTGCCTGTTCCTCATGGGCAGCTGCTGGCTAATCATTTAATTCTCCCCCTTGTCTGTCTCTACTGGACGTGTGTGTGGTAGGCAGAAAGTGTGAACATCAGGAAAGTGTGTTAAAGAGTTAACAAAGCATTGTTGGTAAAGAAAGGCCTCAAAAAGGCAGGGAGGCAGTGGCTCATAACTGTCTGCTCAGGTACTAGAAAACACGGACCTCTCAGGAAAGGTAGGGTTGGGGAGTTGCTGGTTAAATATTGGGGGTGGTTTGGATCGGGAGATTTTCAGAGAAATCTGTTTCTTTGTGAGGCTCTGGTGAATTGCTCAGTAATGATTGCTTGACACCGAGGTAACCTGGCCTGCCCTCTCCACTCTGTGCTGGTACCAACTGCTGAGGTTGCTGTGGGCAACAGAGGAGAACAGAGAGGCTGGAGAAGAAAGAAATATATATATATTAAAAAAAAAAAAAGATTGAAGAAAGTCGCAGGCTCAGTTTGGGGTTCTTTCAAAACCTCTGAATTCAGAGGAGTGAGCATTGGCCAAGTCTTCTTGCTAGTGGCAACTAATGAATGGCTTCTGTGCGTATAATTAGCGCTCCAGTCTCCCCAGGTCAGATCCTCAGAGACCTCCCAACGCTTGCGGAAAAAGAGGGCCACAGAGACCCTTTCTCAGTGACATCCTTTCAAGGGATTTCACCAATGGGGACAAGCCTCCCTTGTTTTTTCAAAGTTTGGTTTGTTGTTGTTTTTCTTTGGGGGAGGAAGGTTGGAAGAGATACAGGAGGTGGCAGAGGGGAGCTTGGAAAAGAGGAGAAATAAAAGGGGAACCAGCTCTAGCCTGTCTCAGAATGGTCTTTCATCAAAGGGGGTTTGTTGTTGAAAACGGCAGAGAAGGGATGAATAAGCAGCCAAGGCTCTTGGTTTCCCGAAAAGAGGTTGAACAGGGACTGCTGTGTCTCTTTTAGGCGCTACCCAAAATGAAAGTACAGATTTAGAAAAGATCAGACTGGCTCTCATATAGCACTGGATTTTAAGAAATGAACTAAAAAAGATCTCTTTTCAAAAGACCACGGACAGCCTTTGCTGGTGAAGAGTGCTGCCCAGATAGGAGCTCCTCAACTGAAACTCAAGTCCAGCAGGGATGAAGCCTGTTTCTAACACCAAAGGCTGCCCAGAGGCCCACACAGCCTTCATTTCATTCCAATATTCCAAATCCAACATCTACTGAGTACCTTCTATTTCAGAAAGGAAGAAAGAGGAAAAGGCACTGCCTCCCAGTTTTCCAATACAAGCAGAGTGTCTGAGCTAGAGGTAATGTAAGAGAATCTTAGGGGCCGAACCAAACAAGTTGAACCTCTCATCCTCGGGGAAGCCAGCAGTGACATGCCATCACTCTCAACAGGAAGGACCCAGAGGCAGCCCACAGGCCTGACTTGGTGACTACATTATGACACACCCAGAAATCAAGGGCTGTGGAACACTCAGCTGGCCATGAGCAAGACTTTTTTTGGGGTGGGGGTAGTTCTGGACTCTCTCATGGCTTCAACCTGGGAGGCACATGGAACCCTCAGGGTAGAGGGAAGCCCAGGGCCCTCGATGGAGGCCACTCACACTAGGCCTTGAGTGCTGTCTGAATGGTAAAAATTAAACAGACCTGATGCGGTGGCTTATGCCTGTAATCTGTAATCCAAGTACTTTGGGGGGCTGAGGTGGAGGATCACTTAAGGCCAGGAGTTCAAGACCAGCCTGGGCAACATAGCAAGACCCTGTCTCTACCAAAAAATAAATAAATAAATAAAAATGAGCTGGGCAGGCTGGACACGGTGGCTCACGTCTGTAATCCCAGCATTTTGGGAGGCCAAGATGGGTGGATCAGCTGAGGTCAGGAGTTCGAGACCAGTTTAACCAACATAGTGAAACCCCATCTCTACTAAAAATACAAAATCAGCTGGTGTAGTGGCATATGCCTGTAATCCCAGCTACTTGGGAGGCTGAGGCAGGAGAATCGCTTGAACCCGGGAGGCAGAGGTTGCAGTGAGTGAAGACTGTGCCATTGCACTCCAGCCTGGGCAATAAGAGTGAAACTCCATCTCAAAAAAAAAAAAAAAAAAAAAAGAGCTGGGTGTGTTGGCACACACCTGTAGTCTCAGGTACTTGGGGGGCTGAGGCAGGAGGGTCCCTTGAGCCCAGAAGGTAGAGGCTGCAGTGTGCTGCGATCATGCCATTGCACTCCAGCCCTGGTGACAGAGACCTGTCTCATAAATAAACAAATAAGACATCCTCCACAGACACCAATGGATAGCACTGTATGTCTGATCTCAAAAGCAACACTCAGAGTTTCCAAACTTCGCCATGCACAGGAATCATCTGAGAACCTTGTTGCAATGCAGGTTCTGATTCAGAGGGTCTGGGGTGGGGCCTGAGACTCTGCATTTCTAACAAGCTCGCAGGTGATGCTGATGCGACTGGTTCATGGACCACACCTGGAGGAGAAGCGCTTCAACCCCAGGCAGCAGGTTAGAATCACAGCCCAGGACCCAGCCCTGGCCCGGCCCCGTTAATCCATATATCTGGCCAGGCACAGTGGCTCACACCTGTAATGCCAGAACTTTGGGAGGTGGAGGTGGGAGTATTGCTTGAGCCCAGGAATTCAAGACCAGCCTGGGCAACATAGTGAGACCCCATCTCTACAAAAAAATAAACAAAAATTAAAAAATAAATCTGTATATCTGAGAGTGAAGCCAACCACTAAGATTTTTTTTTGTTTCCCAGGTGATTCTTATATGCATCCAGAGTTAAGAACCCACTGGCTGAACTAATTCCAGCTCTTGCTATCAAGCAGACATATGGACCTAAGAAATTTAGTCTCTAGGCCGGGCGTGGTGGGTAACACCTTAATCCCAGCACTTTGGGAGGCCAAGGCGGGTGAATTACCTGAGGTCAGGAGTTCAAGACCAGCCTGGCCAACATGGGGAAACCCCGTCTCCACTAAAAATACAAAAATTAGCCGGGCATGGTGGTGCATGCCTGTAATCCCAGCTCCTCAGGAGGCTGAGGCAGGGCAATCACTTGAACCTGGGGGGACAGAGGCTGCAGTGACCCAAGATCGTGCCACTGCACTCCAGCCTGGGTGACAAAGCGAGACTCCATCTCAAAAAAAAAAAAAAAGAAAAGAAAGAAATTTAGTCTCTAGGAATCTGTTTCATCATCAGAAATGTGGGGATGTGTTGGTATAAATGGATTGGTATCAAGACAAATTTAGTCTTTGAAAGCACTTTGGAAGGGGATAGAATATAATAGTTGTTTTGCATCATATTATCATAGCTTCTTTGATTAGAGTGAGGAGTTAATACTGTCCCTCAATATCAAATTCCACAAATAAGGACTGCATGCTAGCTCTATGGGAGACACTGGGGTTTTTTTACGTTAGAGACCGCTCTGTTGCTCTGTTAACTTCCCACAGCCCAATGCCTTAACTGACAGTCGACTGAGAAATGGATTGGAGGTCCCCATGGCATCCCAGCCAGAACCTTGAAAAATCCTCCTAAAATTGTTTCAACTATGGATTCCTGGCACTGAATCCTGATTGTGCTTACTGATGCACAACCTACAAAGCAAACACGCATTCCCTCCCCTTCCAGTCCTCCCTAATCCTGCCAATCCTATCCTCCCAGGTGGTAACAAGGTTCTCTGCTGCCAACTTTCAACTTTCTGTGCAATAAACAAAGCTCCCTCGCAGCAAAGGGCATCAGTTCTGCCAGCCACCAACAGATGGCATCAGCGGCTGTACGAGGTCGTCGCAGCCTCTGCCTTGGCCTTGTTCCTCAATCTGTCGTGTTCGCTATGTTTGAAATGGCAGTGTCTTGTTAAAAACGTAGGGAAGGTGACAGAAAATTAGGCCCCAGTGCAAGCATCTTTGGACAGTCAAATGAGAGTTGTAAAGGAGTAAGAGTCCCAAACACCCCGGGCTGTTTTATGAAACAAACCAATGTTGTACCCAGCTCGGTAGGCGTCACGTTGGATTTAGAACAAATGGGCTTTCAGAAATTAACCTATGAGAAGAGCTGCTGTGTCCCCAACTGTGATAACAATCAAGTTGCTTCCCACGGCCCACACAGAAACCGCGCAGAAAGCAAAACACCCTCCACCGCGAGGAAGGCTAGAACCACGGCAACGCTTTTCAGAACCAAAGACCCTCTGCGAACCAGAACTTCATTTCCTCTTCATTCATCTGTGCTGTGTGCTGAAAGGACCATCCGCTATTCCCAAGAAAGCAGGGCCCTCCCTCATCCATAGCGTCAACGTTGAGTGTTCACACTAGAGCAGCTTAGCTCTTTCTGCAGAAAATTAATAGGTGAATGCCATCATCTTAGTCTTTCAAAGTAATGGTCAAGAATCCCGTGGGCTGGATGCAGTGGCTCATGCCTATAATCCCAACACTTTGGGAGGCTGAGGTAGGAGGACTGCTTGAGCCCAAGAGTTTGAGACCAGCCTGAGCAACACAGTGAGTCCCCCTCTTCAAGAAAAAAAAAAAAGCCGCCGGGCATGGTGGTGTGCACCTGCAGTCCTAGCTTCTCAGGAGGCTGAGGTGGGAGGATTGTTTGAGCCCGGGAGGTCAAGGCTGCAATGAGCTATGGATCATGCCACTGCACTCCAGCCTTGGCAACAGAGGGAGACAAAAAAATAAAAATAAAGAGAAGAAGAATCCTACGGATTGCCAGAATTGTGTGTGTTAATTTTAGATCTGTGGTTCTCAGCATGGGGCGATTTTGCTCCCCAGGGCACATTTGACACTGCCTGGAGACATTTTGGTGGTCACTGCTGGGGAAACAGGAGAGGGCACTAAAGCATCTAGAGGGTAGAGGCCAGGGATGCTGCGACACAGCCTGCAATGCACAAGACGGCTCCCACAACAATGAATTATCTGCTCCAAATGTCGGCAGGGCTGAGGTTGAGAAACGTTACTCTAGAGGCCAGGAATTTTGGCCAAGACAATTAAAATTCCAAAAGTCAACTTCCCATTGTCGTCACAGAAAACATCTTGACGGAGAAGACAAAAGCTAATTAGTTGGAACTCCTTCAAGTTCTCCTTCCTGACATGGAAATCGACCCTCCCAAACTTTCCTCTTACCCATTTGTGGGAACAGGGTGTCCCTTGTTTTTGCCAAGACCCCCACCTCCGGATCTCCTTCTCACTGACCTTCCTAGGAACTTCGCTCCATCCACCGCCCATTCCTCCCCCAGCATCTATGCTCCTCCTCCCCACACCTCCTGCTACCTGGCTCACAGTTAGGTTAACTTAAAGTAGTCCATTTTCCCATCTTAAAAACATCTCTCACCCAGAGAATAAAATAAGTACTTGTGAGTCCACACTGATATAAATAAATGAGAGGATAGATAAACAAATACCTGGAGAAGAAACAAATTTCCCTTACAGAAGAATTCCATGTAATAAAGGCAGAAGGCATGGGAGAATAGAAAATCACCAGGAGAACATTACAGTAATAATAGCTGCAGGCAGGGTCCACTGAGGAATGTTAAGTTCATGGGCAAACTTTAAGGGGAAACAGGATACCTGCATAGGCTCAACACATCCCTCCAAAAACATTTATTAGCCAGGTGAGGTGGCATGCACCTGTAATGCCTGCTACTCTGAAGGCTGAGGCATGAGCATCACTTGAGCTCAGGAGTTCAAGGCCAGCCTGGGAAACATAACAAGACCCCATCTCCAAAAAATATTAAAAAGCACACCAGGGCCGGGGGCGGTGGCTCACACCTGTAATCCCAGCACTTTGGGAGGCTGAGGCGTGCAGATCACGAGGTCGGTGAAACCCCGTCTCTACTAAAAAAATACAAAAAAATTAGCCGGATGTAGTGGCGGGCGCCTGTAGTCCCAGCTACTCGGGAGGCTGAGGCAGGAGAATGGCGTGAACCCAGGAGGTGGAGCTTGCAGTGAGCCGAGATTGTGCCACTGAACTCCAGCCTGGGCGACAGAGCGAGACTCTGTCTCAAAAAAACAAGCAGGCCAGGTAAAGTGGCTCACGCCTATAATCCCAGCACTTAGGAGGCCGAGGTGGGTAGACAGCTTGAGCCCAGGAGTTCAAGACCAGCATGGGCAACATAGTGAGACTCTATCTCTAAAAATAAGAATAACTTTTAAAATAATAAAAATACATTAATTGGCCGGGCACGGTGGCTCACACCTGTATTCCCAGCATTTTGGGAGGCCAAGGCGGGTGGATCACGAGGTCAGGAGATCGCGACCATCCTGGCTAACATGGTGAAACCCCTTCTCTACTAAAAATACAAAAAAATTAGTTGGGCATGGTGGTGCGCACCTGTAGTCCCAGCTACTCAGGAGGCTGAGGCAGGAGAATGGCATGAACCTGAGAGGCAGAGCTTGCAGTGAGCCGAGATCAGGCCACTGCACTCCAGCCTGGGCTACAGAGCAAGACTCCGTCAAAAAAAAAAAAATACCACATTAATTATGGTGCTGGTTTTAGCATATGTCCACAAATTCTTTGAAACCCCTCCCTGTAGGAGGCAGGGCCTAATCTCCCTCCCCTGAGTGACTCACTTCTAATGAATAGACGGTAAGCTTGTCCAACCCGTGGCCCAGGACAGCTTTGAATGTGGCCCAACACAAATTCATAAACTTTCTTAAAACATTATGATATTTATGCACAGACCTTTTTTTTTTTTTTTCTTTTGAGACAGAGTTTCCCTCTGTCACCCAGGCTGGAGTGCAGTGGTGCAATCTCGGCTTACTGCAAACTCCTCCTCCTGGATTCACACCATTCTCCTGCCTCAGCCTCCTGAGTAGCTGGGACTACAGGCGCCCACCACCACGCCCGGCTAATTTTTTCTATTTTTAGTAGAGATGGGGTTTCACTGTGTTAGCCAGGATGGTCTCGATCTCCTGACCTCGTGACCCACCCGCCTCGGCCTCCCAAAGTGTTGGGATTACAGGTGTGAGCCACCGCACCCGGTCCTTTTTTTTTTTTTTTTTTTTTTTTTTTTTTTTAGCTCAACAGCTGTCATAGTGTTAATGATGTATTTTATGTGTTGCCCAAGACAATTCTTCTTCCAATGTGTCCCAGGGCAGCCAAAAGATTGGACACCCCTGGAACAGAGTATGGAAAGGGAAATTAGCAGCTTACGGTGGGTAACTCTGGTAGACAACGCCTTAACCAAGTGATCAAGGTTAACTTCACCAGTGAGCAATCAGGTAGATATCATGTGCCCCCTAATATTATGTGATGAGAAGGCCATTTCACCTCTGGGGTATTCTTTCCCCAAACCCCAACTGCAGTCTAATGATCAGAAAACATCAGACAAATCCAGATTGAGGGACATCCTACAAAATACTTGACCAGCCCACTTCATAAATGTCAAAGTCATAAAAAAACAAGGAGAGACAGAGAAATTGACATAGATTGAAAGTGACTATTATGATATAATAATTAAGTGCAACATTATATCCTGATTAAATCCTGGAACAGAAAAAGGACATTAGTGGAAAAAACTGGTGAAATCTGAAGAAAGTCGGGAGTTTAGTTAATACAACTGTGCCCATGTTAATTTTTGAGTTTTGATAAATGTATCATAATTAGTACGATATTAACATTGGGGGAAGGTGGATGAAGACTACGGGGGGTTCTCTGGATTTGCAACTCTTCTGTAAATCTAAAGTTAACTTTAGGGGGTATATGATGTCAACCTGATTTAGCTAAAGTTAACTTTAGATTTACAGAATAATTGCAAATCCAGAGAGAGGGAAGATTTAGGTTGGTGCAAAAGTAATTGTGGTTTTTGCCATTGAAAGTAATGGCAAAAACCACAGTTTCTTTTGCACCAACCTAATAAAATAAAAAGTTTAAAAGGAAAAAAATCTCTCAAATGAAGACGTAGGTCCACACAAGGACTTGTATGTGAATGTTCATTGCAACTTTACTCAAAATCATCCAAAACTGGAAGTAACCCAAATGTCCATCAACTGGTAAATGAATAAACAGACTGTGGTATATCCATTCAGGGGAATGCTACTATGCAATAAAAAGGAACAAACTATTGATACATCCAATAATATGGATGAATTTCTTTTTTTTTTTTTTTTACATTTTTTTTTTTTACATTTTTTTTTTAATTTATTTTTTTATTGATAATTCTTGGGTGTTTCTCACAGAGGGGGATTTGGCAGGGTCATGGGACAATAGTGGAGGGAAGGTCAGCAGATAAACAAGTGAACAAAGGTCTCTGGTTTTCCTAGGCAGAGGACCCTGCGGCCTTCCGCAGTGTTTGTGTCCCTGATTACTTGAGATTAGGGATTGGTGATGACTCTTAACGAGCATGCTGCCTTCAAGCATCTGTTTAACAAAGCACATCTTGCACCGCCCTTAATCCATTTAACCCTGAGTGGACACAGCACATGTTTCAGAGAGCACAGGGTTGGGGGTAAGGTCACAGATCAACAGGATCCCAAGGCAGAGGAATTTTTCTTAGTGCAGAACAAAATGAAAAGTCTCCCATGTCTACTTCTTTCTACACAGACACGGCAACCATCCGATTTCTCAATCTTTTCCCCACCTTTCCCGCCTTTCTATTCCACAAAGCCGCCATTGTCATCCTGGCCTGTTCTCAATGAGCTGTTGGGTACACCTCCCAGACGGGGTGGTGGCCGGGCAGAGGGGCTCCTCACTTCCCAGTAGGGGCGGCCGGGCAGAGGTGCCCCTCACCTCCCGGACGGGGCGGCTGGCCGGGCAGGGGGGCTGACCCCCCCCACCTCCCTCCCGGACGGGGAATATGGATGAATTTCAAAAACATTGTGTTGAGCAAAAGAAGTGAGACACAAGAGACTACATCTGTATGACTGCATCTATAGGAAACTTTAAGAAAGGCAAGACTTTAGTGCAAAAGCAGATCAGTGCTTGTTAGGAACAGGAGTGGGGAATGTGGGGGGTAGAGAGAAGTAATTGACAGCTAAAAGTCACAAGGGAAGTTCTAGGGGTGATGAAATGTTCTGTATCTTGATGGGGCAGTGGTTACATGACTACAGTGTGTGTATATATATGTTAAAACTCATCAAGCTGTACACTTAAAGTGAGTTCTATTCTATGTTAGCTATATCACAATATGGCCAGGTGTGGTGGCTCATGCCTGTAATCCCAGCATTTTGGGAGGCCAAAGTGGGCAGATCACTCGAGGTCAGGAGCTTGAAAACAGCCTGGCCGACATGGTGAAACCCCATCTCTACTAAAAATACATAAATTAGCCAAGTGTGGTGGTGTGTGCCTATAATCCTGGCTACTTGGGAGGCTGAGGCAGGAGAATCGCTTGAACCCAGGAGGCGGAGGTTACAGTGAGCTGAGATTGCACAACTGCACTCCAGCCTGGATGACAAAACAAGATTCTGTCTCAAAAAAAAATTATATATATACATATACACACACATATATATATTATATATCACAGTAAAGCTGATTTTTAAAAAATCTCTCAGCCCCTGCTATTGCTTTGTTTTTATCCTCCTGAGCCTCTCTATAGCTATGGCACTTGAATTTCCTTCTTCCTCTTGGTGGCTTTTGTTCTGTCTTATTTCCTGATGCCCTTTCTAGGTCCCTAAACATTAGTGCAAAGAGGGCACCAGAGCAGAGGGGAACAATTCTCTCTACACTCAAGTGGAATCTCTGAGCTGAGGGACCCAGAGAGGTGGAGTAGCCAGCAGGGCCCTGATGACCCGCACCTGAACTCCCACGGGTCTGACGGCTGCTGTCACAAGAGCCTGGGGCCGCTGGTCTGAGTGTGCTGGCGATCCAGCCAGGCTCAGGACGCTGAGGAGGAGGTAACCGAGACCAGGCTTCTCCCTTGTCAACAGGCAGACAGATCCCGGGGATCTTGTTAAAACACAGAGGCTGATTCAGCAAGCTGGGCGGGGGCTGCAGATTCTGCATTTCTAATAAGCTACGGAGTGATACGGTGCTGAGGGTTGGAGGCCCACACTCTGAGCTCAAAACGGAGACCACAGGGATATGCAATGTGTGCAGAGAAGGGGGAGGATGGCACAGGCTGCAGCAGTGGGGCGGGTGCTTGGCTACACTTGGAAAGGAAGTTCTCACAGTGTCTACAGCAGGAACCCAGACAGTTTCTGAGCCATCCTGGGGCTACTACAGGGACTGGGAAAATTGCACCAGTTGGGGAACAAAAAGTAAACAATGGTCTTATTACAATTAGTATGGTCTTTATTGCATGTAGGTGACAGGCCCTTAAAGAAGGTTTCATCCAGACATTCTCCCAGATCCCTCTCCATACTCTCTCAAGAAAGTCACCTGGGCCAGGCGCAGTGGCTGACTCCTGTAATTGCAACACTTTGGGAGGCCGAGGCAGGCGAATCACCTGAGGTCAGGAGTTTGAGACCAGCCTGGCCAACATGGCGAAACCTCGTCTCTACTAAAAATACAAAAATTAGCCAGGCGTGGTGGTGGGTGCCTGTGATCCCAGCTACTTGGGAGGCTGAGGCAGGAGAATCGCTTGAACCTGGGAGGTGGAGGCAGGAGAATCGCTTGAACCTGGGAGGCAGAGGTTGCAGTGAGCCGAGATAGTGCCACTGCACTCCAGCCTGGGCAACAGAACAAGACTCCGTCTCAAAAAAAAAAGCGGCCAGGCACGGTGGTTCACACCTGTAATCCCAGCACTTTGGGAGGCTGAGGTGGGCGGATCACGAGGTCAGGAGATCGAGACCCTCCTGGCTAACACGGTGAAACCCCGTCTCTACTAAAACTACAAAAAAATTTAGCTGGGCGTGGTGGTGGGCACCAGTAGTCCCAGCTACTCGGGAGGCTGAGGCAGGAGAATGGCCAGAACCTGGGAGGCAGAGCTTGCAGTGAGCCGAGATCATGCCACTGCACTCCAGCCTGGGCGGCAGAGTGAGACTCCATCTCAAAAAAAAAAAAAAAAAAAGGAAAGAAAGCCACCTGTTCATTCCTGTGGCTTCACCACGGCTTCCCCAAGGGACTCCCAAATCTGTCCCTGATGCTGCTCCTGCACGCCCCCAGTGTTGCTAACAGCTGGTAGCTATCTCCAGCTCCTTAATTGAGCCTGAAACTCACCATGTCTCAAACATGCCTGCTTCCTCCTGTACTATCTTCATCAGCTGGTGGTTGTACTAGACACTTCTACGACTCTAAATAACCCTTCCATAGCATTGCCTGACAACCAAGACCAAGAGATAGTCACCCCTTGTCACACTCTCTAGTTTCTTTTATAATGGTTATCTCAGCTGCAATTAATTAGGGACAGGATTATTTGTGAATATCCATCTCTCTCACAGGACAATAAAAGGGCAGAGGCCCTCTCTGCTCTGTGGTCTGCTTCCCACTCTGCCCCAGCACCAAGCCGAGAGGCTGGCATGAAATACAAGACATGCAATTACATCGTAAGTCTCCAACTCAATTCTGACACATTAGGAGTCTCTAAACACAAACATTAGGGACCATGTCAGTTTCTGAAATGCTCTTGTTTACTGACATTTAATCATTTTCCCAGGGACGGCTTTCTACAAGATCAGGCTGACCTCTTTGGGGGTTTTATTCTTAGATGATGAAGATATTTTGACACAAGGCCCAAAGGCAACATGCACCTGGTTGTGGCTGGCAGGTGGCTTTGCTTTTTAGATACAGAGCTTGGAGCTTGCCCTGAGTGACAGTAACTTGTAAAGCAAATCTGTTTGGGGCAGAGGCAAAGCAGATCTCATTAGACTCCTAAAGGGACATGTTAGTATAGCTAGAAAGCAATACCTGGTTCCAAAATTCAGAATTTTGCGAGAGCCACTCAATCACCAAGCAAGGCCACTTCAAAAGCCTATGACAACATCCATTAATACTCCAGTCACTCTGGATCAGAATAAAAATGAAAAAGGTGCAAATGAAACTTCTCTCACTGGTCCACACCACCCTCCCTGAACCTTGTATCTGAAAAGATATTTTAGTTCAGAAAAAAAAAGTCTCCAGCGGGGCACAGTGGCTCATGCCTGTAATCCCAACACATTGGGAGGCTGAGGCGGGTGGATCACCTGAGGTCAGGAGTTCGAGACCAGCCTGGCCAACATGGTGAAACCCCATCTCTACTAAAAACACACACACACAAAAAATAGCCAAGAATGGTGGTGCACACCTGTAATCCCAGCTACTTGGGAGGCTGAGGCAGGAGAATCACTTGAACCTGAGAGTGAGCCGAGATCATGTCACTGCACTCCAGCCTGGGTGACAGAGCAAGATTCATCTCAAAAAAAAAAAAAAAAAAAAAAATCTCCTAACTGGCTCAGGTCCCTTTTCAGCTAAATTGGGAAGAAAAGCAGGTGAAGGAAACAAATGGTCCTTAACACAAGAATGCCCAGTTATTATTTTGCAAAAACAGTCAAAGCCCTGTTAATAGCAGGAACATAGTCTTCTCTTAAGGAGCTAGATTGCTTGCTGGATTTGGGGGGGAAGAAAATTAATACTCACTACTGAGGTATTCCAACAGTTGGAATGAAGTAGTTGAAAGAGAGGATCAAGGCAATCATCATCTCCCAGCCCAACCTCCTGCCAAGCACCAGGGCCAAGCACTCCTCCTGCGACTCCCAGAGGGTCCTGTTCAAACCACAGGTGCAGAAGGTGCAGACATCTGACTCCTATTTCCTCTGTGTCCAAGAGTGGGGGTTTTTCAAGCAAAAGGGCTAACAACACTGAATTCGGAAGGCAAGAGGGGTACTTTGAAGTGGGACTCTTAGAGGACTGCTGAACTTACTGTGTTAAAAGGGATGAGTTAGAAAAAGGCCAACACCTGGCCCTTTCTCTTTGCTGTTTTGGGTCGTGTGGGAGGGCCCTGCATGAATCCTTTACTAGGCACTGGTTGCTGTGAGTTTCAGCTACTAATGGGTCCCATCTGCCCCCTTGTTTGTAAATTGCGTTTGAACAAATGGGAACCTCTCCACCTGTGGGAGGCCCACAACCAATCAATGGCTGACATTGAGAGGGGTACAAAAGGCTGACTTTGGCCAGCCCAGTGGCTCACACCTGTAAATTCCAGTGCTTTGGGAGGTCAAGACAGTAGGATCAATTGAGGCCAGGAGTTTGAGACCAGACTGGACAACATCGTGAGACGCGCCCCCCCCCACCCCCCCACCCCACCATCTCTACAGAAACTTTAAAAATTAGTTATGCATTTGGGCGTGTGCCTGTAGTCCCAGCTACTCAGGAGGCTAAGGTAGGGGGATCGCTGGAGCCCAGAAGTTCAAGGCTGCAGTGAACTATGATGGCACCACTGCACTCTAGCCTGGGTGACAGAGGGAGACTCTGTCTCTAAAATAAATAAATAAATAAATAAATAAAGGCCGACCTTGCCTGACGGGGGGGAAACCAGCTCTGTGATGCAAGTCATGGACTCCCAAGACACCTGAAGTTTAGATTTACCCCCGCCCTACCATCCTCCCAGCCCTCTAGCCCCCATCCCATACATCATCTCCATGAGAATCCCTTGACTTCTAGGGAAACCTGACAAAAGGCACAAGGAGCTAAGCTTCCACGAAGTTTTGGGAGTATTTGGTTGATCCCAGGAAGAGAATTTCCAGTTCAAGGTCTCCAGTGCTTCCCAAGGGGAACTAGGCACAGAGGACTCAGAACCCAGCCCAGCTAAAGCCCCGAACATCAGAGAGGAGCCTCATTTCCCTATTCCACCTTATACAGATTGGAGAAAGGCTATCCAGTGCAGGGGCTCTGTCATTCGTGGGTGACAGCTCCTGGATCCTATGAAGATCCTACCACAAAAAAGCTGATTTTGCTAGTTCCTGGGCACCCTGAACCCAAGTTGGGGACAATTCAACATTGGCATGTGAAATCTCCCGGAGCACTTAAAAGGCAAAAAGAGTTATGTCTGCCACCAAGTCTTTTTCAAGCAGCTGCTTATGGGATTCCACATCGGTGCTACCATCACGGCACAGACTGTATTTCCTTAGTGCATTTCAAGACTTTCCTCTGCACTGGCTCATAAGGAAACCCTCTCCCAACACACATTCTATTACATTCCCTTCGTCCCCTTTCTCATTTTCCTCTGCTCCTCCTGGGGCTTCCCACAATTACCTCCCCAAATCTTCACCTTAGAGGTGGCCTCTGGGGACCGATCACTCAAAGACAGGTGTATGTTCAACAACATACACTCTTAAAATCCCGATTTCACAGTGAACAGACACAGAATGCAACACACACCTCTGTGATCTAACTAGCCATCATTTGCTAGCCAAAGTGCTTGATTCTGGGGCACAGTCAATTAAAAGTGAGAGTTGTGGCCGGGTGTGGTGGCTCACGCCTGTAATCCCAGCACTTTGGGAGACCAAGGCGGGTGGATCACCTGAGGTCAGGAGTTTGAGACCTGCCTGGCCAACATAGTGAAACCCCATCTCTAATAAAATTCAAAAATCAATCAGGCCTGGTGGTGCATGCCTGTAGTCCCAGCTACTCAGGAGGCTGAGACAGGAGAATTGCTTGGACCCGAGAGGCAGACATTGCGGTGAGAGGAGATTGCACCACTGCACTCCAGCCTGGGTGACAGAGTGAGACTCTGTCTCAAAAAAAAAAAAAGTGAGAGAGTTGTAAAATCGTGGTCCAAAACACCCTACGAACTTTATTAAATTCATAACGCTGTGCTTTTTTTGGTGCAATTTTAAATTAGCTTTTTAAATTAGCTTCCATCAATCTTCTCCTGGTCCACTGTATTTCAGATGTTGAACTCAGGACAGTGTTGAAAGATTTTTACGGGGTGAGTTCCACAGTTCCAATTCCAATTTACCATTCTTCCTTTTGTGACTTCCTCTTAGAGTTCGCCAGCCTATGGGTCCTTGAGGACTGAAAACCAATGAATTAATCAAAGGAAAAATGTTCTGTTTCCTCCATTTAGAAATTCATTGAAATATAGATGAAGTCCATCATGAACAGCAGGACGTTCTGAGAAAGCCATCAGCCTAAATGTCTTTATGAATAACTATTATGTTAGATGCTCAAAAGATCTTACATCTCACTTAGATGAATAATCCAGCCACCAAGGAACACTGGGAAGCAAATGAACATAAGGCAGTCTATACTTATTTCTCTACTTAGATGAACACAGAAAATATCATTTTTTTTTTTTTAATTGAGATGGAGTCTCGTTCTGTCGCCCAGGCTGGAGTGCAGTGGCGTGATCTCTGCTCACTGCAACCTCTGCCTCCCGGGTTCAAGCGATTCTCCTGCCTCAGCCTCCAGAATAGCTGGGATTACAGGCACGAGCCACTGTACCTGGCCAATTTTGTATTTTTAGTACAGATGAGGTTTCACTGTGTTGGCCAGACTGGTCTCGAACTCTTGACCTCAAGTGATCTGCCCACCTTGGCCTCCCAAAGTGCTGGGGTTACAGGCATGAGCCACCACACCTGGCTCTTTTTTTTTTCTTTTTTGAAATGGGGTCTCACTCTGTCACTCACACTGGAGTGCAGTGGTGCTGCAAGCTCTGCCTTTCGGGCTTAAACGATCCTCCCACCTCAGCCTCCCAAGTAGCCGCCGGAACCACAGGTGTGCACCACCATGCCCAGCTAATTTTTGTATTTTTTTGTAGAGATAGGTTTTTGCCATGTTGCCCACAGCGCCAGTCTCAAACTCCTGAGCTCAAGCTATCTGCCCACCTCAGCCTCCCAAGGTGCTGGGATTACAGGTGTGAGGCACTGCGCCTAGCCAAACACATAAAATATCTTTCCATTTTTACTACCGAATTCACATTCAGGCAGCTTCTCCTGATATCAGCGATGCTCTTTGACCCCAAGTCAAGGACTTCCGGAAGCCGAATTTGCTACCTCAGACTTCCAATGTACTATGTGAAGTATAAAATGATTACAACACGGAGATGACATCCTGTTTCACTTGTAAGAATTGGTAGTTTGGGCTCAGAGAAAGCTCAATCAATATTGCCACAACTGCATGTATGAAAATATATCCCACCAATTCAATTAAGTGATTAATCAATAATGCACATAAGTTTAAAAAAAAACTGATCAAAATCAAGCTTTCAATCCCCCCTACCCACCAATCAGAGGCACAAAGAAACACCATCCATATTCATTCCTGTTTAGCTATTATAAATTGTTACTTGCTATGCAGAAGTATTTATAAGTCTGAATTACTACAGGATGTTTGTGGTTTGAAAAATACAAATGCTATATCTCATCAGTATATAATTATATATGTACACAGTCTATATAAACACAATTTATGTATTTGTCTATAATATGCAAACCAAAGTCTTTAGTTGAGCTCAAGCTAAATAGTCTTTGTTTTTAAAAAATTTCCAATTGTTGCCGGGGGCGGCGGCTCACGCCTGTAATCCTAGCACTTTGGGAGGCTGAAGTGGGTGGATCAACTGACGTCGGGAGTTCGAGACCAACCTAACCAACATGCAGAAACCCCGCCTCTACTAAAAATACAAAATTAGCCGGGCGTAGCGGCCCATGCCTGTAATCCCAGCTACTTGGGAGGCTGAGGCAGGAGAATCGCTTGAACCCAGGAGGCGGAGGTTGCGGTGAGCCGATATCACGCCATTGCACTCCAGCCTGGGCAACAAGAGTGAAACTCCATCTCAAAAAAAAAAAAAAAAAAAAATTCCAATTGTGAAATAATCATTACATAAATAACTTTCCTAGCTCCACCTCATTTGCATGAAAGCAATCTGTTTTCTAGCATGATATGTATTGGTAAAGTGCCTACTAAGTGGTATTTTTGTCTAGATAACCATGTCTTAGGCACACAACAGAAAAAAGAAAAAGTGCAGCCAGGCACGGTGGCTCACGCCTGTATTCCTAGCACTTTGGGAGGCTGAGGTGGATGGATCACCTGAGGTCAGGAGTTTGAAACCAGCCTGGCCAACATAGTGAAACCCCATTTCTAATGAAAATACAACAATTAGCTGGACATGGTGGTGGGCGCCTATAATCCTGGCTACTCAGGAGGCTGAAGCAGGAGAATTGCTTGAACCCAGGAGGCAGAGGTTGTAGTGAGCTGAGATCCCACCACCGCACTCCAGCCTGGACGACAGAGCAAGACCCTGTCTCAGAAAAAAAAAAAAAAAAAAAAAAGAAAGAAAGAAAGAGAAAAAGAAAAGAAAAGAAAAAAAAAAAGGTGTAGGCAAGTTCATTCCTCCCAACCCATAATAAACATAACTCTCTTCCTGTTCAAAGGACCAAGCAAATAAACTGCAACTAAGACAACCACCAACAGCACTGCTTTCTTTAGATTCAAGAGGCATGTTGTGAAAGCAAATGGGACATTACCCAGAGAGACCTGGAGCAGAAGCCCTTCCAGAAACAGGGATGAGCAGGAAGTCCAGAAACCCAGGTCGTAATGCTGGCTGTGGAGCTCCATAGTTCTGTGACCCTGAGCAAGTCATCAAATAGTCCAGGCTTCAGATTCCTTGCCTATCGAGTTAGAACTCTAGATTAAATGATCTAAGGTCCAAAAATCTAAGTTTTTTGTTTTTGTTTTTGTTTAGAGACAGGGTCTCCCTCAGTCACCCAGGCTGGAGTGCAATGGTGCAGTCACAGCTCACTGCAGCCTCAGACTTCTGCCCTCAAGCCATCCTCTTGAACTCCTGCTCTCAAGCGATCCTCTTGGCCTCCCAAAGTTTTGGAATTACAGGTGTGAGCCACCACACCCAGCCTACAGTTCTAAGATTCTTTAAGACAATCTCTTGGATATCTGGGTGTTGCTGAGGCTCAATGACACTGATTCTGATTCACCAGACTGCACTGTGGTTGCTGGAAAAACTTCATCACCCTCCAACACAACGGGATGGGTTTGGAGAAAAACAAGAAAGACACATCCTGTGTGATATGTATGTGGTCCCCTTAAGCGAAGGAGACTCCCTGCTGCATGAGTTCCCATAGGATGCTTAGTATCCTTCATCTAACTCAGCCCAGATTTCCCTGGGCACCGCCCCCGAAGCTGTACTATTGTCCCGTGCTATTCTATGGGGACCTATTATCTATTTGACTTCCAGTAGGAAGATTCCAGAAGCATTTTATAGAAGCATTTTCAAAACTTATAGAATATGTTTTACTTCTCATTTGAGAAATCTGAAGTACCAGTGGAATCTGGTCTTTTCATGGACACAGTGAGTGTGGATGGTAGCAGAGAAGAAGCAGGAGGAGGCAGGGAGAACCTTCAGACCATGGCCTAGGTATGATGGAGAGAAAAGAAAGGAGTACCGGGTAGGAAGAGACTCAGAGTGCAACACAGCTGTAAGAAAGTTTTGGTCACACTGGCCGGGCGCAGTGGCTCACGCCTGTACAATCCCAGCACTCTGGGAGCTGAGGCAGGTGGATCACCTGAGGTCAGGAGTTCAAGACCAGCCTGGCCAACATGGTGAAACCTCATCTCTACTAAAAATATAAAAATTAGCCAGGCATGGTGGCGCGCGCCTATAATCCCAGCTACTGAGGCTGAGGCAGGAGAATCACTTGAATCTGAGAGGTGGAGGTTGCAGTGAGCCACCGTCGCGCCGCTGCATTCCAGCCTGGGTGACAGAGCCAGGCTCCGTCTCAAAAAAAAAAAAAAAAAAAAAAGAAAGAAAGAAAAAGAAAAAAGAAAGGGCCGGGCACGGTGGCTCATGCCTGTAATCCCAACACTTTGGGAGGCCGAGGTGAGTGGATCACCTGAGGTCAGGAGTTTGACACCAGCCTGGCCAACATGGTGAAACCCTGTCTCTACTAAAAATACAAAAATTAGCCAGGCGTGGTGGCACATCCCAGCTACTCGGGAGGCTGAGGCAGGAGAATTGCTTGAGCCCGAGAGACAGAGGTTGCAGTGACCTGAGATCGGGCCACTGCTCTCCAGCCTGGCTGACAGAGTGAGACTCTGTTTCAAAAAAAAAAAACAAGAAAATTTTGGTCACACTGATGGGGAGTCTGGGAGCTAATGCCATCCACGAAAGAATCCTGCCTCCTGCAGCAAGGGGTCAACTAGGGAGTTCCGAGCCCTGGAACACAGTTGAAGGCTAAACCCTGCAGCGGAGTGAGTGCCCGCGCTGGGAGAACACCCTGATGCCTTAAACTGCTTAGCCACCTCTAAGGAACAATGGCAATCCAGGGGCTGACACGGAAGGCATGGAAAATCAATGAGCACTCACTTTGACAAACAATTCTGGGTGCAGAATACCTGCCACAGGTTATAAATCACTTCATTTAAGTTTATCTTTTCAGCAGTGCACAGTGGATTACACCCATACATCACTTCAACCCCTTTTCTGCCCTGTTGACAAAGGACAAATTGAGAAGGATGGTGGGAAAGCTGGGAGAAAGAAACGAGAGAGATAGAAGAGCTCTGTTACTGGGCTGAGGCAGTAAAAGGAATACTTGTGATGATAAAGTAATTATTATTTTTTGTTTTCTAAGCTGCTGGTTCCATTTGTAAAAATCTTACAGGTCTGTCTGGATTTACCAATGAAGTTACCATGGGTTGGAAATAAAGGTAGCTATTTTTTCTAAACCCCTCAGGACATACTATATACCTACCGTCTCAACAAGATCTCGAAATCTTCGCTTTTCTGATAACGGGTAAGTTTATGGGCTTCACTGATGACACAGCATAGAAAGTGATGCCCGGAGAACCTTGATGTCCAGAACTCAATGTGGTAAATGGGATTCCTGGTTCAGAAATATGGCAACAAATTAAGATAACGTAGGGGCGGAATCTCCCACCACAAACACCTAGGAATGCTGGGTAAAATATAACCCCAGGAAGAAAGGGAAAAACAGAGTGAAAGTGTGTGAGCTAATTCTGGGATTGTTCTAGTAACTTCCAGACTTACAATTTAAAACCCAAGTGGACAAAGGAGGTGAAACCATGAGTCACCATGAAGCAGAGAGTTGGAACTAAAACCCCAAAGAGGCTGGGCACGGTGGCTCACGCCTGTAATCCCAACACTTTGGGAGGCCTAGGCGGGGCGGATCACCTGAGGTCAGGAGTTCAAGACCAGCCTGGCCAACATGGTGAAACCCCTTCTCTACTAAAAATACAAAATTAGCTGGATGTGGTGGCCCACACCTGTAATCCCAGCTACTCGGGAGGCTGAGGCAGGAGAATCGCTTGAACCTGGCAGGCGGAGGATGCAGTGAGCCAAGATCAAGCCATTGCACTCCAGCCTGGGCGACAAGAGCAAAACTCAGTCTCAAAAAAAAAAAAAAAAAAAAAGAAAAAGAAAAAAAAAAGCCCCAAAGAGAGTTAGGATCTTCAAAGAAATACTTCCCAGTGAAAAGAAAGACTAGGGGGAAAAATCATCCCCTGGTACAGGGGTCTAGGAGAACAATTTTGTGTTCTTGGGTTCTAAGTGAAAAAAACCTCTCCCCTGAAAAATGGATATCCCAAACCTGAGCCTTAAGCGGGGTGATCCAGGCCGTTCTAAACTAAGAAATTAACAGAAATATTGGCCCCAAGGCAGTGACACTCCTGAGATCTCTAGAAGAAGCAATGCAAATTGTTCTGAGCAATGCTAATTGTTCTGAAGGAGCCTCACTATCAGACCATGTAAGATTCCCACGGAAAAAAAATAACCCCCACTAAAGGTTAGTTTAGAGGAAAATTAAAAATTAGAATACACCATAAGCAGAAAACAGCAAATACAACAAACAAGATTATTAGAGCTCCAGGGAACTTGGAATGATAAAACTACAATTTGAAAGAGGGAGTACAATGTAAGTGTGCTTTAGACTGTTAAAGACAAAAAATGAGAAACTAAAACCCTGAGAAGAATATACTGGGAAAAAAGTAAGAGTCAGATGTGAAAACAAGCCAAATGGTACTTTTAGAAATAAATATTATAATTTTAAAATGCAATAGATAGATTAAATAGTAGATTAGACAGAAATGAAGAGAGAATTCAGTAAAATGGAAGACAGATCTGAGGAAATTACCCAAAGAGCATTAGAGAGGTCAATGAGGCATAAAAGAATAACTAAGGGCATAGAGAGCACAATGAGAAGGTCCATATGCATCTAATACAAGATTCAGATGATGAAAACAGAGATACGGTGTTAGTTTGGGTCCTCCAAGAAGCAGATGCTGAGACGAGATGTTGGGAAAAACACCTGTGAAGGAAAAAGAGGAGGAAGCAGGAGGAGGCAGGGAGAGCCTTCAGACCATGGTGTAGGTATGATGGAGAGAGAAGAAAGGAGTACTGGGTAGGAAGAGACTCAGAGTGAGACGCAGATGTAAGAAAGTTTGGTCACACTGATGGGGAGTCCAGGAGCCAATGTCATCCATGAAAGGATCCTACCTCCTGCAGCAGTGGGCCAGCACTGGTACCCCTGTCATATTCTGCCATCAGCTGGGAGCAGCCCAGGAGAAGCGTGAGTGAATCTGAGACATGGCCTCTGGGGCTCAGTCAACTATGCTTCCTCCAGCAAGACAACCGAGCAGCATGATTTTATGGCTGCCCCAGTGAAGGAGAAGCAACATTTTAAAAGATAATAGTTAAGGACTTACCAGAATTGTAAAAGTCATGAATTCTCCGTGTAAAGAATACCAAGTTCTAAGCAGAATAAATAAAAATGAATCCATGCACACAGGACTGAGGCTCCAGAATTTCAAAGACAAAGAGGAAGCCTAAAGAACAGCCAGATAGCCAGCGTGGTGGCTCCTGCCTGTAATCGCAGCACTTTAGGAGGCCCAGGCGGGCGGATCATGAGGTCAGGAGATCAAGACCATCCTGGCTAACACGGTGAAACCCCGTCTCTACTAAAAATACAAAAAAAATTAGCTGGGCCTGGTGGCAGGCGCCTGTAGTCCCAGCTACACGGGAGGCTGAGGCAGAAGAATGGCTTGAACCTGGGAGGCGGAGCTTGCAGTGAGCCAAGATTGCACCACTGCACTCCAGCATGGGCCGAATGAGCGAGACTCCGTCTCAAAAAACAAAAAACAAAAAACAAAAAACAAAAAACAGCCAGAGAGATATGGCAGATTACCTACAAAGGAAGAGCAATCAGACAGAAGACTTCTCAGTAACAAATGAGAGCTGAGCAGGGTTTGGCGGCACGAGACTATAGTCCCAGCAACTTCAGAGGCTGAGGAGGGAGGATCGTTTCAGCTCAGGAGGTCTGGGCTGTAGTGCACTATTCCAAACAGGTATCCACACTAGGTTTGGCATCAATATGGTGATCTCCCAGGATCAGGGGACCACCAGGCTGCCTAAGGAGGGGTGAAGTGATAGCCCAAGTCAAAACTCCTGTGCTGATCAGTAGTGGCCACTGCACTCCAGCCTGGCCAACATAGTGAGACCCCATTTCCAAATAAATAAGAAAAAAGAGGGTTGAGAAGTTGAGAAAACAAATGAGGAAAAGAAAAGTTGAGAAGACAAAGAAATACTATCTTCAGAGGGTTGAGGGGAGATTCTATACTAAGCTAAAAGAGAGTCATTGAAAGATGAGGACAAAGAAGCTGTTTTTAAACAAGAACTAAGTACATTCACAGGCTCTTACTAAAATGCACTAAAGTATATATTTTCAGAAAATAAAATGTGTACATAAAAGAGTACTTAGAAAGACGAGTAAAGACCCTAGTAAATAAAAATATATACAGTTTGGGCTGCACAAAACAACAAAAATAACAGTGAATAAAATACAAAATACAATAAAATACCAAAAAAGGAGAAATTAAAACACTAAATAAGAAAAAAACTGGGTGGGGGAGGTGATAGGGTAATTTCTGACTGCTATTTAAGTATACACATTGAATATTTTTAGGATAACAAAGCTAGTAGAGAGAAAAAGAGAAAACCTGGTAAAACTCAATTCAGTAGGAGACAGGAAATGGAGAAAAAACAGAAAAAGTATGGGAAATAGAAAGCATGAAATAAGACAAATAATTCAAAAAACATCAACAATTGCTATAAATGCAAACAGACTGAAATAGCTGGTTAAAAAACAGGTTATTAATAGCTGGTTTAAAAACCCAGACTCGAGATTTTTTTCTTAATTTAGCTATAAGCTATTTACAAGAGGCCCATCTAAAATACAACAACATACAAAACTTAAAAGTAGAGACATTAGAAAACATGTACCAGACAGAAACTGACCAAAAAGGGGAAGAAGACTGGAAGGGCTATATTAATATCAGTAAAAGCCTAAGGTAAAAGCATCATTAGGATCAACTGGTTCTTTACAGCCCACTTACTGGTTCTTAAGAATTAGACAAGTTACTTAAAGTTTTTGAGCCAGTTTCCTCACTTGTAAAATGGGATGATAATAATAGACTTGTTTTTGAATCTGGAATGTGTTTTTTAAAAGTAACAAATGCAAATACAGCAAAATGTTAACACCGATTTAATCTTTCTGCTGGGTACATAAGTGTACGTTTCATTATTATCTGTACATGTTTTATATATTTGAATTGTTTTTAAAATAAGAATGTTTTAATTTTTTAAGTTCACAAACCCAGTAACCAAGTAAAAATATAAGAGGGGCATTGAAACAACAGTGCTCCATACATCATCTGGGAATGACTAACTATACAACTTTCCTAGGAGACAACTTTGCAAGATACACCAAAGCTTTAAAAATGTAGATACCCAGCTGGGAGCGGTGGCTCACGTCTGTAATCCCAGCATTTTGGAAGGCCGAGGCAGGTGGATCACTTGAGGTCAGCAGTTCGAGACCAGTCTGGCCAACATGGTGAAACCCCATCTCTACTAAAAATACAAAAAAAACAAAAAAAAACAAAAAAAACTAGCTGGGCATGGTGGTGCGCACCTGTAACCTCAGCTACTCTGGCGCTGAGGCAGGAGAATCGCTTGAACCCAGGAGTCGGAAGTTGCAGTGAGCCGGGATTGCATCACTGCACTCCAGAGCGAGAGTCTGTCTCAAAATAAATAAATAAATAAAAATGTAGATACCCTGTCACCCAGTGATTAAATTTTGTAATTTATCCCAAGGAATGAATCAAGAGATGTGTATAAGCATGTATGTACCAGGTTATTGCTGAGTTCAGTCTAATGGTGAAAAATTCAAAACAGCATTAATGTTGTTGGAAATTGCTTTAGTAAATTTTAACACAGTATAACAGAATAGTATGTGGCCATTAAAATTCAGGTTATAGAAGAATATTAATGACAAGCATTGCATATTAATAGGTGAAAAAGATACAAAGCAGTATGCATAGTATGGGCTTGGGTTTTACTTTGAAATATGTGTAGGCTGGGTACAGAGGCTCACACCTGTTAACCCAGCACTTTGGAAAGCCAAAGCAGGAGGATCACTTGAGCTCAGGAGTTCAAGACCAGCCTGGGCAACATAGCAAGACCCCATCTCTACAAAAAATAATAAAAATTAGCCAGGCCTGGTGGCATGCAGCTGTAGTCCCAGCTACTCAGGGGGCTGAAGTGGGAGGATTGCTTGAGCCCTGGAGGTGGAGGCTGCAGTGAGCTGTGATTGCACCAGTGCACTCCAGCCTGGGTGACACAGTGAGACCCTGACTCAAAAAAAAAAAAAAAAAGGAAAATAAAAAATAATGAAATATGTGTATTATGTACACAATTGTCTGGAAGGCTATGGGGCAACATACTACTCATGAAACGTCTCTGGATGGTGGAGATTCTGAATGGCTTTTGTTTTATTGTGCTTTTTTGTGTTTTCCAAGTTTTCTGCAGTGAACATATGGTGCTTTGCAATTAGGAAAAAAGCAATCATCGTTTCTAAAGTAAACGGCAATAATTCAAGTTCATACTCCAATGCAGGGTCCACAAACTATATCCTGCAGGCCCTGCCACCCGTTTTCATACTGCCCATGACTTAAGAATGGTTTTACATTTTTAAATGGTTGAAAAAAAATCAAAAGAAGAATAAAAAGTATAATATGTCATTCTAAATCTTTGTGTTTAATCTATACAGCAACTCTGTGAAATAGGTACTATTATTCATTTTATAGATCAGGAAACCAAAGCTTTTAGATGGGTTATGTAAGTAGTGAAAGATCACATAGTTAATAAGTTGTTGAGCTGGAATTCAGACCCCAGAGTCTTACCCTAGAGCCTGTCCTCTTTTGGGTTTTGTTTTTTTTTTTTTGAGAACGGAGTCTTGCTCTGTGTCCCAGGCTATAGTGCAGTGGCACAATCTTGGCTCACTGCAACCTCTGCCTCCCGTGTTCAAGCGATTCTCCTGCCTCAGCCTCCCAAGTAGCTGGGATTACAGGTGCCCGCCACCAGGCCCAGGTAATTTTTGTATTTTTAGTAGAGACGGGGTTTCACCATGTTGGCCAGGGTGGTCTCCAACTCCTGACCTCAGGCGATCTGCCCGCCTTGGCCTCCCAAAATGCTGGCGATTACCGACGTGAGCCACCACGCCCAGCCCGAGCCTGTACTCTTAATGTGCTTCCCCCATGTGAAAAGTTCCCCAACAAATCAAGGGCAAATCAAGCCAGTACATTCTGGTGAATTCTCAGGAGGGAAGACCACTGCATATCAGAGAAGCTTTGTAGAAGAATGAGGCCACATTTCTACCATGATGATAGGAAACATTAACTCTGAACTTCCAATTAAGCAAAATGTTTTCCTCCCTCAAATAATTCAATTCTTCTCATTAGCAGACTTGTGTTACAGAAAATCGTACCCCATTACTATGTTTGGAGTTTCATCGATAAAAATTCATGGAAATTTGTTTTGTCTGTCGTTATGTAAGCACCTCCACAACGTCGCTGATGTTTTCTCTTGGCCCACAAAGCCTGACATATTTGTTTACTCTCTTTACAGAAAATGTTTGCAGACCCCTGCTCTAATTAACACAAAGAAAGAGGGCAGAGGGGAGTGGCAGGCGGTCACGGTATTGATGAGAATAATTCCCCACACCTGGAACTACAGAGTAGCCAATAACCCAGCTGGTTCTCTCCCAAGCTGCTCCACAAGCTCTTAGTCATTTCGAGATTGAGTTTCTTTCCTCCTCCTGCTCTGTCTATATTTTCTCCATTACCTCTCACCAAGGGGTAAGCAAAGCAAAGGAAAAAAAAGTAAAACTTAGTTCACTCAAGTTTAATACTACTTAGAAACTGACAAAAGGGAAGAGATTTGACTGGTACCTCATCTTTTGAGTTGATTCACCACTGTTTTCTGTTACCTAAAATATTTGAAAATTGGCCACTCCTACAAAGTATCAGTTTGCTCATTCACTCAACAAACCCTAAGCATTTTCCATGTACCCTGCCCCCGGACACAATACTGGATCAATCAGCTAGACAGAGTAGCTCACAGGTGAGCAGAAGCTTTATATATATAACAGCACAACACAACATGTTCTATAATGGAAAGCAGTTTTAAAAGAGTACAGGAAATGCAAAGTAAAACCACAGTGAGATACCACCACACACTCATTAGAATCGCTACAAACAAAAGACGGATAATACCAAGTACTGACAAGGATGTGGCAAACCCAAAACGCTCATATGTTGCTAGTGAGAGTAAAAAAATGCAAGAACTACTTTGGAAAACAGCCTGGCAATTTCTTTATAAGTTAAACATAAGTTTAATATAAGACCCAGTGGCCAGGCCCAGTGGCTCACGCCTGTAATCACAACACTTTGGGAGGCCGAGGTGGGTGGATCATGAGGAGTTCGTGACCATCCTGGCCAACATGGTGAAACCCTGTCTCTACTAAAAATACAAAAATTAGCTGGGCGTGGTGGCGCACGCCTGTAGTCCCAGCTACTTGGGAGGCTGAGGCAGGTGAATCACTTGAACCCAGGAGGAGGAGGTTGCAGTGACTCCAGCCTGGCGACAGAGTGAGACTCCATCTCAAAAAAAAAAAAAAACCCCAGCAATTCCACTCCTTAAAGTATCTTCCCAAGAGGAACGAAAGCACATGTCCATCCAAGAATTGTATACAAATGATCACAGCAGCAATATTCACAGTAGCCCCGAATTAGAAACAAATCTCTATCAACTGGTGATGAATAAACAAAATGTGGTACATCCCTATAATGGAATGCTATTAGCAGTAAAACAAGAACCAGCTATTGGCCAGGCATGATGGCTCCCGCCTGTAGTCCCAGCACTTTGGGAGGCTGAGGCAGGCAGACTGCTTGAGCTCAGGAGTTCGAGACTAGCCTGGGAAACATAGTGAGACCCCCGTCTATACAAAACAAAAATACAAAAATTAGCCAGGTGTGGTGGCATGTGCCTGTAGTCCCAGCTACTCAGGAGGATGACGTTGGGAGGATCACTTGAGCCCAGGAGGTGGAGGCTGCAGTGAACTGTGATTGCACTCTAGCCTGGGTGATCACAGTGAGACCCTATCTCAAAAAACAACAACAAAAAAAAAACCCAACCACTGATGCATTCAACAACACGAATGAACTCAAAAACTTTATGTTGAGTAAAAGAAGCCAGTCTCGGCCAGGCGTGGTGGCTCAGGCCTGTAATCCCAGCACTTTGGGAGGCCGAGGTGTGCGGATCACGAGGTCAGGAGATTGAGACCATCCTGGCTAGCATGGTGAAACTCCATCTCTACTAAAAATACAAAAATTAGCCAGGCGTGATGTGGGCACCTGTAGTGCCCGCTACCCTGGAGGCTGAGGCAGGAGAATGGCATGAACCCGGGAGGCGGAGATTGCAGTGAGCCGAGATCGCGCCACTGCACTCCAGCCTGGGCGACAGAGCGAGACTCTGTCTCAAAAAAAAACAAAACAAAAAAAAAAAAGGTCAGTCTCAAAGGACTACATGTTGTATAATTTTTATACGAAATTACTAGAAAAGACAAAACTATAGAGACGTAAATCACATCACTAGTTGCCGGGGATCAGGGTAAGAGCAAGAACTGACCACAAACAGGCAAGGAGGATGTTTAGGGGGGAATGGAAAGTTCTAAAACTGGACTGCGGTGATGGCTGCACAGATGTATGGATTTACTAAAACTTAAGAGCTTTTGTTGTTTTACTGAAACTTATTCATTTTACACTTAAGATAGGTGAGTTTATCATGTGCAAAAAAGAATTTTTAGCCAGGCACGGTGGCTCACACCTGTAATCTTAGCAGTCTGGGAGGCCAAGGTGGGTGGATCACCTGAGGTCAGGAGATCGAGACCAGCCTGGTCAACATGGCAAAACCCCGTCTCTACTAAAAATACAAATATTAGCTGGGTGTGATGGCGCGCGCGTGTAGTCCCAGCTACTCAGGAGGCTGAGGCAGGAGAATTGCTTGAACCCAGGAGGCGGAAGTTGCAGTGAGCCAAGATCGTGCCACTGCACTCCAGCCTGAGTGACAAGAGTGAAACTCTGTCTCAAAAAAAGGAAAAGAAATTAGATTCTGATATGGGCTACAGCTGAACCTTGAAAACATGCTAAGAAAAAGACGCCAGATACAGAAGAACACATAATATTGATTCTACTTTTATGAGGTACCTAGAATAGGCCAATTCATAGAGGCAGAACATAGGATAAAGGTTACCAGAGGGTGGGGGAAGGGGACATTGGGGAGTTAGTGTTTAATGGGTGGAATTTCTATTTGGAATGATGAAAAAGTTCTGAAAGTGAACAGTGATGATGGTTGCCCAGCATTGTGAAAATACTTAATGCCACTAAATTGTACAATTTACAATGCTTAAAATGGGCCGAGCATGGTGGCTCACACCTTCCCAGCACTCTGGGAGTCTGATGCGGGTGGATCACTTGAGCCCAGGAATTTGAGACCAGCCTGGGCAACACAGCGAAAATCTCGTCTCTACTAAAACTACAACAAATTAGTGGGCACGGTGGTGTGCGCCTGTAGTCCCAGCTACTCGAGAGGCTGAGGTGGGAGGATCGCTTGAGCCGGAGAGGGTGAGGCTGCAGTGAATTGTGATCACACCACTGCACTCCAGCCTGGGTGACAGAGCAAGGCTTCGTCTTCAAAAAAAAGAAACTTAAAATGGTAAATTTTTATCTTATACGTATTTTACTACAGCTTTTTTTTTTTTAACGAAGTCTCCCGTGCACCTTCAGGAGGAAGAGGGGCCTGTGACTTGCCTGTGGGCTCACTTTCAGGTGGCTATTTCTTCATCAGTTGAGTTCTTAACTGTCTCTAATTGATAGCAATTGAAGAAAACGCAGTTTGCATTCACACAGCCCATTGTCCAAATGCCTAAAGACATTAATTTGAAAAATACTGCAAGATTCATGAAACTGATTCTAAATTTACTTCTAAATCATAAGAGCAAACCTGAAATGTGGTTTTAATTGGGTTTACAGGAAGTATAAGTGTTGTTTATGTGACTTGTTCTTCTGTTTAACTGTTGGTAATCACTGGCTACTGCGCTTATCTCATTGCCAGACAGACAAGCAGTTAAGTAATTAAAATATTCAAAATCTGGCTCAGTGGCTCACCCCTGTAATTCCAACATTTTGGGAGGCCAAGGCAGAAGGATCGCTTGAGGCCAAGAGTTCAAGACCAGCCTGAGCAACATAGTGAGACCCCCATCTCTGCAAAAAGAATTTTTTTAAAATCTGAGCTAACAGAAAAAGAGTTTGTTTCCAATGCTTTCATTTTAACACTAACTGTGATAGAGGCATCAAAGAATTAACCTTTTAAAAGATAAATTAGCTTTCGTATTTGACTGTTTGGACAGCTAGCTGTATATGACAACTTTTTGTCCTTTTTCTCCACCCCAAAACAGAGAAACTTGTTGAGTTTCAATTCTCCGAGATGTCTAGATTCTAACGTTGAAGTTCTCATACAAGCAAAACCTCCCAGCAATGGTACATGTCTTGTCAAGGTAAAGACAGAAGATTTTTTTCTTTGCTATCTGTCAAGAAAATAAAAGGGTGTGCCTATTACTTTAAGTAACATTTTCTTTTTCCTTTAATGAAAAGTGTTATGCTTATTCCAGTGGCAGTTTAACAAGGAATCTCGGGTCGTCAGCAAGGCTTCAAAATAGGTGATTAGAACACTACAGGCTGATAGACTCCAAATTAAATTGACAATACCCAATCTAAGCTTCAAAAGATGTGTGTATCGGCACCACCATCAAAAGCAATTCTCTGAGTCACGTTTAACTTCTCCCAAACTCTGAGCCTTTCCAACTAGAACACGGAAAAGGAAAGAAATGCAAGATAAGGCACTTTGCTGTGTCACTCCTTAGAAAGTCAGAGAAAATTAAATAAGTACAACCAAATGGATTTATTGCTTGGGTGACGATCTTCAAGTGACAGGGAAAAAGAATAAGAAAATAAAAATGTTAGCACTGAATAAGGAGCAGAACAATAAATACTTAGAAGATCAATGTACCTGGCTGAGCATGCTGGCTCATGCCTATAATCCCAGCATTTTGGGAGGCCGAGGCGGGAGGATTGCCTGAGGTCAGGAGTTCGAGAGCAGTTCGGCCAACATGGCAAAACCCCGTCTCTATTAAAAATACAAAAATTAGCCAGGCATGGTTGCATGCAACTGTTATCCCAGCTACTGGGGAGGCTGAGGCAGGAGAACCACTTGAACCCGGGAGGCGGAGGAGATCGTGCCACTGCACTCCAGCCTGGGTGACAGAGCAAGACCCCATCTCAAACAAACAAACAAATAAACAAGAAAGATTGATGTACCTGCCTCTCCAGCCTAGTAAGTATGGCCTAGGTAAGTATGGTGATTTTGACTGTGGAAGGTGAGAAAGAACTTTGCACCAGAAGATAAGAGCCCACAGGAAAGACTGGAAGCACTGGACTCTGACAGAAGAGAATGGTCCAGTGGTTCTAGAGGGGTTCTAGAGAATGGTCCAGTGGAGCGGAGAAACGGAGGTGAGATTAATCAAGGTAGAGACCAAGATAAAGCATGAAGCACCCCCAACGGCAGGTTCATGAACGAGGACCACCAAGCGGTTTTCTAGGCTGCAGCTACATGCCAGCGAAGAAGTCTCTGCACCCTCTCCTGCAAGTCAGGGAAGCTGCCCCAGTTCTCAGAGCACCTGGTTCCAGGTGATCAAATCACTTTCCTCTGGGTAGAAGAACCCCCACATCCACACACTCAGTGACACATAAAGACTGTGACCAAAAGCAAATGAAAACACCTAAATTAAGCCCCCAAAATCATTTAAAATAAGGCTTTATAGAAAAGTCATGCAGCCGGGCGCAGTGGCTCATGCCTGTAATCCCAGCACTTTGGGAGGCCAAGGCGGGCGGATCACCTGAGGTCAGAAGTTCGACACCAGCCTGACCAGCATGGAGAAACCCCTGTCTCTACTAAAAATACCAACATTAGCCTGGTGTGGTGGTGTGCGCCTTTAATCCCAGCTACTCCGGAGGCTGAAGCAGGAGAATCGCTGGAACCTGGGAGGTGGAGGTTGCAGTAAGCTGAGATCGCACCACTGCACTCCAGCCTGGGCGACAGAGCAAGACCCCATCTGAAAGAAAGAAAGAAGGAAGGAAGGAAGGAGAAAGAAAGAGAGAGACAGAGAGAGAAAGAAAGAAAGAAAGAGATAGCTGGGATCCCAGAGACAGAGAGAGAAAGAAAGAAAGAAAGAGATAGCTGGGATCCCAGGTAAAAATTTCAGGAAATAAACACCTTCAAAGCAGGGGTTTGTCCCTTCATAGTATCAAAGACAACAAAACAGGCTTCCACCATTCCAAGGACTGTCGCGTAAGACCTCTGCTGACTCCAAGCAGGGATGGCACCATGTCCGAGGCACCAAAAAAGAGACCCAGGATGGGCGTGGTGGCTCAGGCCTGAAATCCCAGCACTTTGGGAGTCTGAGGTGGGAGGATCACTTGGGCCCAGGAGTTTGAGAACAGCCTGGGCAAGATGGTGAGACCCCTGCCTCTACAAAAAAATTTTAAAATTATCTGGGCGTGGTGGTACATGCCTGTAGTCAGCTATAATTGTACCACTGCACTCCAGCCTGGGAGACTCCATTAAAAAAGAGAGAGAGACCCGGAGCTAGTGAGGGAGACAGGGTTTATTGAGGACTTACATAAGGGGCATTCCAGGGGCAGCAGGCTGGACAGGAGAACCACTGCTGTTTGTACTAAGCATGCAGTTTATATTGTGTTTTTCACTTAGCACCCTCCCACCTAGCAACCTCCATTTAACCCAAAGCAAAGGGCCTCCATCCCCTAGGTGGCCTGCATTCCAAGGAACGAGCTAGGGGTTCGGATGTCTGTCATAGATAAGGAGTGAATCTCCAGGTTGGCCACTCTCCGATTCCTTAGCTTGGAAGTCCAAACACACATTCTTCTTAGATCCTAGGGTCATTCTTTTTTTTTTTTTTTTTTTTTTTTTTTGAGACAGAGTCTCACTCTATGGCCCAGGCTGGAGTGCAGTGGCACAATCTTGGCTTACTGCAACCTCCACCTCCTGGGTTCAAGCGATTCTCCTGCCTCAGCCTCCCCAGTAGCTGCGATTACAGGTGCCCGCCACCATACTTGGCTAATTTTTGTATTTTTAGTAGAGATGGGGTTTCACCATGTTGCCCAAGCTGGTCTCAAAGTCCTGACCTCAAGTAATCCACCCACCTCGGCCTCCCAAAGTGCTGGGATTACAGGCGTGAGCCACCACGCCTGGCCAACCTTAGGGTCATTCTTAGGATGTGCTTCGGTTATGGCTGTCAGGTGCATCTGCCATACAAGGCCCCAGATCCACCATTCAAAAACCCACCATTCAATGGACCCAGAGAGGCTTATTCTGCTGGGGACTTGGGGTGCAGGAGTTTTGAAACCTGCACAAATAGTCAACCCTCCCTTTACAAACACTAAAGTATCTCTCTTTGTCCTCCTAAGAGATTCTGGGATGGCAAGACAACAATAGGCTCACTCTGTTCTATTTCTCGTAGCATAAATTAAAAAAAAAAAAACCTTAATGAGGAAAGAAATTATTTTTGTACCATACTCCTAATGCTCAATGTCTGTGGGTTATCCTGGTGAAGCTGGCATATTCTTTTATTTTCCTTTTTTTTTTTCTGAAAACAGAAGAATTTCTTCCTTCTTTAGGCAGAAAGGACTGCAGCAAAAGAATCGGTTGTACCTTAATTTTAGAAAGTCCTGAAGAGGCAGGTCAAGAAACCAATACGGAGCACACTACCACTTGTGACCTCAGGACATGCGCACACAGAGAAGAATCAGTCAAAGAAGGCTGGGTGTGGTGGCTCACGCCTGTAATCCTAGCACTTTGGGAGGCCGAGGCGGGTGGATCATGAAGTCAAGAGATCGAGACCATCCTGGCCAACATGGTGAAACCCCGTCTGTACCAAAAATACAAAAATTAGCTGGGCATGGTGGCGCACGCCTGTAATCCCAGCTACTTGGGAGGCTGAGGCAGGAGAATTGCCTGAACCCGGGAGGCAGAGGTTGCAGTGAGCCGAGATTGTGCCACTGCACTCCAGCCTGGGCGACAGAGTGAGATTCTGTCTCAAAAAAAACCAAAAAAAATACAAAAAAAACAGCCAAAGATACCTAGAGTCTGATTGGAACTTCTGGAGCAATTTAAGCCCTATGCTCCAAATGCCTAAAGAATGGCCTCTATTTATGCACAGTTCAAAAGACCTCATTGCATCAGAAGGCAGCTTCCTGAATGAGATTGCCGCTAATTCTCTCAGCAGGAGAAATCCACTCCCATGAATAACAAAGTTTCGCTCTGTTATTCATAATAAGGATTAAACCCAGTGGGATAAAATGTACAGTTGCCAGGTCATCTTGGGGTAGGGCTGAGTATGGAAAACATGAGTTCTCATTTCTCCCCAACTAACGAATGCCTGGTAGTTGGTGCAGGTAACAGTTTCTTTAAATGCACCTGTCACAATTCCTTTTGCTACTAAAGGAGAAATTAGTTAACAAGGAAAGTACATTGAGAGACAGAACTAAAGCGCTCTACAGAAATATTACCACTGGCCTTTACTCCATGTCACAAGTGTGAATGCAACCCTTCAAAATAATACCTAGTTACTGTTGGGGCTCAGAAAGCGGTATCCCAAAATATGGCGCTTTGACATGCTGAATTGAGGAAGAAGCCTCAATGTATCTCTGATCTTCCTCCCTTTCCCATCATTTCTGTCCTCCCAAAACACAGAATAAAAGTTATTCTCTGGAGTTCCCTTATCTGCCTAACGTCTAGACCTGGCAAAAAAGAAAACAATCACCTCTGATCCATTCCCTCCCTGAGTTTTCATTAACTGAACCCATATCACAGGGCAAAACACTGAAGTCGGTCAACACACCTGGAAAGATTTTTGTCACAAACCATTGTCTGCCCAAACAGACTTTGTCCCAAGCCATTGTATGTTCTTCAAGCTCATTGAATTCCCCTAAAAATCATCTGTTACCTCCCTAAAATCATCCACACTTCCCCATCTCCTTTTCCCCTAAAAAAAACAAGACATATAAACATCTGTACCCCACTAGGATATGGGTAATCACTCTGTGTTCCTCCCTCCTCCCACAGCGCACACTAATACACTTATATACCTTGCCTTCTTTTTTTTTGAGACCGAGTCTCGCTCTGTCGCCCAGGCTGGAGTGCAGTGGTGCGATCTTGGCTCACTGCAACCTCCGCCTCCTGGGTTCAAGAGATTCTCCTGCCTCAGCCTCCCGAGTAGCTGGGATTACAGGCACATGCCACCACGCTCGGCTAATTTTTGTATTTTTAGTAGAGACAGGGTTTCACCATGTTGGCCAGGCTGATCTCGAACTCCTGACCTTGGGCGATCCTCCTGCCTCAACTTCCCAAAGTGCTGGGATTACAGGCGTGGGCCACCGCGCCTGGCCAGCCTTCTCTTCTATTAATCTGCTTTTTGTCAGTTGATTTTTCAGCAAACCTTCAGGGGACAAAGGCAAAGTTTTTTCCTTAGCCCTTGCATTACATAAAACTAAAAGAGTCTCCAGTCTGTCCCATTGCCCAAAGGCTGCCTCTCTGTCCCAGGCCTAGATTTTCCTCTGCTCACCCCCCTCCGCCACCCAGTCCCCACTCCAGATAAAACAATCTGCTCACCACATGTTGGACACATGATTTACAGCTTCCTACTTACAGACTTTCTCTGCCAAAATCCGTATTCCTCCTTCATAACTTGCTTCCAAGAGCTTCCCCGTGATCTCGGCCTATTGTGATCTCTTCTTTCCACCAGGTTCATGGTGAGTTTGCAATCAATTACAATGTTCATGTTCTTCCTTTAATAATTATATGTGAAGTGACAGTAAGGTCTAGGATTTGCTTCCAAACAATCCAGGGATGGGGGTAGCAGAGCGGGGCAGTATGACAAGAAACCTGATGAACCCACATTGTTCTAGTTGGATGATGGGTACATGTGGGTTCATCAGGCTGTTCTATTTTTGCTACAATTTTAAAGTTTCCATAGTAAAAAATCTGAAAATAATGACAGAGTTGTAAAGCTGGCTAATGACAAGACCAAAAGCCAAATCCAGGTTCTCCTGATTTTAAGACCAGTGTCGGCCGGGCGCAGTGACTCACGCCTGTAATCCCAGCACTTTGGGAGGCTGAGGCAGGCAGATCACCTGAGGTCAGGAGTTCGAGACCAGCCTGGCCAACATGGCAAAACCCCGTCTCTACTAGAAATACAAAAATTAGCCAGGCGTGGTGGCAGACGCCTGTAATTCCAACTACTCAGGAGGCTGAGGCAGGAGAATCGCTTGAACCCTGGGGGCAGAGGTTGCAGTGAGCCAAGATCACACCACTTCACTCCAGCCTGGTCAAAAGAGTGAGAATTCCCCCTCAAAAAAAAAAAAAAAAAAGACCAGTGTCCTCTCTGCCTATTGTCCTCTGTGCTTTTGTTTTTCATGGATTTTTTATGGTTGCTGTTCCTGCCTTTTTCACTGTGTCAAATTGTATTCATTTATTCATTAGACATGAAAAGCCCCGGTTGCTCGCCTCAAGGAGCTGGCAGTGGAACTAGGGACACCGGTAAACAGATAAATCACAGTCGAAAAATGAATGCAACCACCAAGATATGAATTGAGTGGAAACGAACAATTTCCTATGGGAAAACAGAACAAAGAAGCCTGCTTGCGAGAGTCTAAGAAGTCTGCCCAGCCAGTCAGGGATATCTGAGGTGAAACTTGAGAGCTAACAGGAATATTTTAGGTGAAGGGGCTTGGAGACACAATTCAGGAGACAGGGGCACAATTCAGGCAGACAGCAGAGCATGGACAAAGGTGCAGTCTGGCAGAAGTTTGATGAGGCAAGAGAGGTGGGAACAGGGCCAGACAGGGCAGGCGCCCTGGTGGGTTAGGTGGGGGCCAGATTGTAAAGGGGCTTCAACGCCAAACCGAGGGGGCTGAATTTTCGCTCCCAGCAGTCTGGATTAACAAGAAAGTGACATGATCACTGGTCGTCTGTTAGGAAGGTAACTGGCAGCTGTGTAGGTCAGAGCCCGCGGGGACTTTTGTAATAGACCAGAGCCTGGATTAGTGTGAGAGCTGGAGGTATTGCCTAGGTGTAAAATTTAAGAGGGTGCCTCAAACCTCAGCAATACAGATAAATATTATTTTAATGCATTTTTTTTAGTTTTTCTGGGACAGAGTCTTGCTCTGTTGCCCAGGCTGTAGTGCAGTGATGCAATCCCAGCTCACTGCAACCCTTCGTCTCCTGGTTCAAGCAATTCTCCTGCCTCATCCTCCAAAGTAGCTGGGACTACAGGTGCACACCACCATGCCTAGCTAATATATATATATATTTTTGTATTTTTGGTAGAGACAGGGTTTTGCCACGTTGGCCAGGCTGGTCTCAAACTCCTGGGCTCAAGTGATCCACTTGCCTCAGCCTCCCAATATGCTGGGATTACAGGCGTGAGCCACCACGCCCAGCCATAATGCATTTTTTTTTAATCAAAATGAATGCAAAGGAAATTCACGATGAAAATACATCCAAATTCTAAATAAAGATATGCTTGTTCTTGTTTGTTTTAGGGCCCTGCCTTCTTCCCCACTGGCTGCAGAATGCCCATCCCACCCTCGTCATCTCCCACCACCTCATCCACTGGGCGGGCTTACGAGGGTTGACAATAATAGGATTACAGATTGGACAACATGAGACTTTACTCATAGTCAACTTTTTTTTTCATTGTAGAGCTTCATTAACTTTTCCACTTGGTCCACAATATGGGAGGATATTTTCATGCATATATATATATATATATATATATATATATATATATATATATATGCTTATTTTCCCCTGATCCAGCTCCAATATGGTTTGGCAGGGCAGTGCAATCAACATAGCAATAAATGAGGAGAGGCAGTCCTAAAGCAATAGTAAAAGTTTAGATGGTTAAAGAGGAGAAACCAGATTCAAGCAACATTTCTGGGGCAGAAATGAAAGAATGTGGAAATACAGCAGGTGCATGAGGCTGAGGCTCAGCTTGGGCTCAGCAGAGTTTATTCTACTCAACTAAATCACAAACGCTTCAGGGGTTACAATCCCATTCTCCTATTCTTCTGTATCATTTTGCACCCAGCTCAGTAAGTTCCTGTTAACTAATTAAGTGGAAAAGAAGAGCTTAAATCCAAGGCATACATGACTGAAGCCAGGCGTGTGCAGTTCCTACTTCATACAGCCTCTCTTGCCGAACAGCAGGGCGCACTGATGAATATTCAAAAAGTAACAACTATTAATGACGACTAAGACCCTCAAAGTGTAATAAGTTATTTTAGTGACACTCTTCTGTCACTTTTCCCCATCTAATTTCACATTCTTAGGAACAGGGAGAAGAATAATTGACGTCGGGGCTTGGCTTTATGGTCTTTACAGCTGTGATCGGATTAGAAGAAAGGCTGACAAAAGTGTTGTTTCCATCCGCCTTTTACAATCGGAGAGAATGAATGAGCTGCTTTCCAGTTTTCTGTTCCAAGTATTAACTGGATTCCCACTTCACTTTGCTTCCGTGATTTCTCCTCTGCTTATGTTAGCTTCCGTCTCACACGATATGTACATAGCCCCATCTCTGCCGAGCAAATCAGAGGCTGAGCTCTGGGCTGTGGACAGTGTCAGTGACAACAAGGGTGAGTCGTCCTCAGATGAATCATCAGGTGTGGGAAATGCGTTTGAGACACTCAAAATAACTGGGGACTGATGGGTGGCGGGGGGGGGCTTAATAAATACAAGCCTGCGAGACCTAACTTCTACACGTCTTCAGAAGGCTGAGTTGCTTTGAGAGGGAGATACAGAAGATGACAATTTGCTGCCAGTGGCTGGTCCCAGACAAGGAGCTGTGACTAAACAGGAAATCAGTTACTTAGCAGTTGAGCGGATGTTTGAGTGTTCAAAGCACAGGCACAATAGCTATACTCTGATATGTCCTGTAAAGTTAAAAACAAAGCCAGGTTAACCCTGACAGATGCACCCAAGACTGATACACTTAGGTACTACCTGGTTGCATCGCCTGGGGATCTTAATACTCTGTGAATCATTATGAATTATAATATTTAAAGCTGTTGTTTATTTGGTATTTATTGGGTGTCATAATGTTCCCAGTGCTACACAGGCGTAATTTTTAAACCACCCCAAAAGTCCTGCAAGAGGTTAGGCGTGATGGCTCACGTCTGTAATCCTAGCACTTTGGGAGGCTGAGGTGGGCAGATTTCTTGAGCCCAGGAGTTAAGAGACCAGCCTGGGTAACATGGCAAGACCCCTATCCCTATAAAAAAAATTTTTTTTCAAAAAAAAAATCAGCCAGGCATGACGGTGCATGCCTGTAGTCCCAGCTACTTGGGAGACTAAGGTGGGAGGATTACCCAAGCTTGGAGAGGTAGAGACTGCAGTGAGCCATGATGGCACCACTGCACTCCAGCCTGGGCAATGGAGTGAGACCCTGTCTCAAATAAATAAATAAATAAATAAATAAATAAATAAATAAATAAATAAATAAAAAGTCTTGCAAGAGAAAACATCTCCATTTTTCAAAAGGAAGTTACAGAGGTTGAGTAATTTGCCTGATTTCACTAAGTTGGTCATAACAGAGTTTGGATTCAAACCCAGAGCAAACGAAGGCTTAGAGGGACTAGCAACTTTTCCTTTTGAGGTCTAGATGATCTTACTTTTTGTTATTAGGGGTCAAGGCCAGGATTAGAAGGAGACAAGTGAGGTTGCGTTTGCCAGTGCGGGGTTAGAGCCTGTCTTTAGCATTTTGATATTTTGTTCATTGTAGAGTATTGTGCATTAATTTTTATTTTTTAAAAATATTGCATCAAAATATTATTTACCCTGATTTTTAGTTTTTTGGTGCCATCTTAAATTTTGAGCCCAAGGGCTAGTGTTTTACTAGCCTCACTATTCTCTAGGCTTTGCTCAAGGCTACAGACAATCTGTGATCACCTGAATTAAGCCAACAGACAGTTCTCATTTCAGACAGACTTTTCATCTTCCTCCTGCCTACCTCATACATTTTACATCCCAAATTACTGCCTACTGGGAAAGAAGGTTTTGGGTTTGTTTTAACTTGTTTGTTTGCTTTTTTGTTTGTTTGTTTGTTTTTCTTTATCTTTTTCCTTGATTCATCACCGGCTGAGATACATACTATATAAACAAGAAATGTGGCAAAAGGTGGTATATCAAGAAACGGGATGCCAAAAATTTCACACAATCCGTGAACACATTTAAGCATACTTAAAAAAGAAATGTCCATCTCATCAACAAAAAATAAGTATGTAAGGTGAGAGATATGTTAATTAGCTTAACATAATAATTCAACAATGTATTCACATATCAAAATATCACCTGGTATATTATAAATATATATAATTTTTCATTTTTCAATAAATGAATGAGTGAAATGTGGAAGAGTAATGTCAGGCCCCCGCCCAAGGCTGGAGAACATATCTTTTTCTATGAGAAATTTTCTTCCATAATTGTCAGATCTTCAAACATCTGCTTCACAGAAGTGTCTCAGAGCCCTATCACAGATACAAGATTAAATAAATACCATAAGCTGAGGCTGTGGGTTGTCACTGGCAGCTGGAGGGACAAAAGTCATCTTTTTATTCCTAACCTTTTGTTTCTGCAAATGTAGTCTATTATGACATGCACAGGTATTAGGAGGGTGACGGCCATGCCAATAGCAAACACAGCTGTTTTGAATCCTATTCTGTATTTTTTATTAACTAAATACAGTGCTTGGTAAAATAAAATAAAATCAACATTAGGAGGCTCATCAATTACACAGGAGAGAAATGGTTACATAGAAATTGACATCATCCAGGTAATATATGCCTAATCAATTTCCTAAGCAAATCAGATGCTTCTGGGCTGAATTAAAGAAACACCTTTAATTAATTCAGCACCTACTGTGTGTCCGAAACCAACCAGAAACTTGTGGCCCAGGTTTCCTAGGAGAAACTGATGACCAATAAGCTACTGCCATTTGGACCTGTATTTTGTGGAGAGTGCAGGTCATTTTTTTAATTTAAAAAAGTGCTCAATTGCAGTCCCTTTCTACAGGACAGGCCAAGGGAAACGGATGGGAGCAAAGCAGGTGGATCTCTGGCAGGATTACAATCAAATTAAATGCGCATGGCCTGGAGTTTTCTTTTCAGCACTTTCAACTCAGAATAGTAGCCGTAAGTCAGCAGCAGTACTGCTTTTTGTTGCTGGGGCAGAGTATTATACCTCAGGGTTGCTTCTTCAGTTCTAATTTGACCTAATGAACATTTAAAAGAGAGGAAGGAAAAGTTACTTCTGAGTCCAGAAAACTGGATGGTAAAAGATCATATTCTAAAATTCACACATTCTGTGCATTAGAAAGTCACTTAGGCCCAGCTGGGCACGGTGGCTCACGCCTGTAATCCCAACACTTTAGGAGGCCGAGGCAGGCAGATTACTTGAGGCCAGGAGTTCAAGACCAGCTTGGCCAACATGGTGAAACCCTGTCTGTACTAAAAATACAAAAATTAGCCAGGCATGGTGACAGGTGCCTGTAATCCCAGCTACTGGGGAGGCTGAGGCAGGAGAATCTCTTGAACCCAGGAGGCAGAGGTTGCAGTAGCGGAGATCACACCACTGCACTCCAGCCTGGGCGATAGAGCGAGACTCTGTCTCAGAAAAAAAAAAAAAAAAAAAGTCACTTAGAACTCTGTTCTCTTTATCCAAATTCTAACAAAGATCTTACAACCCAGAACAGCTTAGAAGGCACACAGCGGAATGATGGTGGCTGCACTGACTAGAGGTCTATGTGCTGCAGAGGGTCAATTACAACGTTCATGGCTAGGGCTATTGAGTGACCTGAAGGTCAGACACAGCCCTGTCTTAGGATCTTTGTTTTTCTTTTTTCTTTTCTCTTCTTTTTTTTTCTTTTTTTCTTTTTTTGAGACAGAGTCTCGCTCTGCCGCCCAGGATGGAGTGCAGTGTCGAGATCTCCGCTCACTGCAACCTCCGCCTCCCAGGTTCAGGCAATTCTCTGCCTTGGCCTCCCCAGCAGCTGGGATTACAGATGTGTGCCACCACGCCCAGCTAAATTTTGTAATTTTTAGTAGAGATGGGGTTTCGCCATGCTAGCCAGGCTGGTCTCCAACTCCTGACCTCAAGTGATCCGCCCGCCTCGGCCTCCCAAAGTGCTGGGATTACAGGCCCGAGCCTCCGCACTCGGCCTTGGGCCCTTTCATTCATTCATTTGTTCATTCGTTCTCAGGGACCTCCTCTGGGATCTTAGAGCTCCTTTGAGTTCCTGGTAAGACCACCCACCTCTCCAGGGCTTAAGGAAGGTCTATAGAATGGCCAGTCTTCCTGATGAGGCCTCTCTCATGCCTGCACCCCAATGCAAATATTCCTAAGAAACCAGTGATGCTTAGGAGGTGCATTAGTTTCCTAGGGCTGCAGAAACACAGTATCACCAAGTGCCTAAAGCAACAGAAATGTGTTCTCCCGCAGTTCTGCAGGGTAGAAGCCCAAAATCAAGGTATCAGCAGGGCCATGCTCTGGAGGAAATCTGTCCTTGCCTCTTCCAGCTTCTGGTGGCCCCAGGCGTTCCCTGGCTCGTGGCTGCAACACCCCAACTTCTGCCTCCATGTTCAAGGGGCTATCTTCTCCCTGTGTCTCTCTATGTCCGCTCCCCTTCCTATAAGGACATCAGTCATTGGATACAGGTCCCACTCTAATTTCGGGATTATTTCATCTTGAGGCCCTTCACTAATTACATCTGCAAAAACCCTACTGCCGGCTAGGTGCAGTGGCTCACACCTGTAATCCCAGCACTTTAGGAGGCCGAGGCAGGTGGATTACTTGAGTCTAGGAGTTTGAGACCAGTCTGGGCAACATGGCGAAACCCTGTCTCCACTAAAAATGCAAAAATTAGCCAGCCATGGTGGTGCAAGCCTGTAGTCTTAGTTACTCGGGAGGCTGAGGTGGGAGGATCACCTGAGCCTGGGAAGTCAAGGCTGCAGTGAACTGTGATCGCACCACTGTACTCCAGCCTGGGCAAGCAGAGTGAGATCCTGTCTCAAAAAAAAAAAAAAAAAAAAAAAAAAAACACCCCTATTTTCAAATACAATCAGATTCTGAGGTTCCAGGCAGACACAGATTTTGAGGGGACACTATTCAACCTGCTACAGAAGACAATCAATAAAACTGGTAACAGATGACCCAGCTTTCCAGAAAAGGCCATGGAATGAGTCTCCTTTACCTCAGCCATCCACACAAATCCAAGACCCTTGGGTTTTCCCTGGTCTCAGGACTTTTATCCCTGTTGCCATTCTTGCAAAGCTCTGCACACAGCCAAGAAACATGAATCAGATTATGTCACTTCTGGTTTTAGAACTCTCAGTGGCTCCCATTGCAAAAAGGACATATCCCAAACTCCCAGCCAGGCCCCGAACGCTTTCCACGCCCTGTCCGGTACGTTCGTTCCATCACCCTCCTTCCCCTCCCTGGCCTCCCTACCTTCTGCTTACCTCTTGCCTCCCTCACCCTCACCTTTATTCCTCTCCTGGCTCAAACACAAAGAGGCCATGCTAGTACTTGCTGCTCCCTGTGTCTGGACAGCTGTCTCTCAGATTGTCGCTTAGATAAGACCATTGTTCAAACGTCAAATCCTCGCAGAAATTTTCTGTCCATTCTTTTTAAAATAGCACCCCCAGCCAGACACGGTGGCTCAGGCCTGTAATCCCAACACTCTGGGAGGCAGCTGAGGCAGGAGGATCCTTTGAGGCCAGGAATTTAAGACCAGCCTGGGCAAGAAAGTGAGACCCTGTCTCTACAAAAAATTTAAAAATTAGCTGGGTGGCTGGGTGTGGTGGCACACATCTGTAGTCCCAGCTACTTGGGAGGCTGAAGCAGGAGGATCCCTTGAGCCCAGGAATTGGAGGCTGCAGTGAGCTATGATCACACCACAACACTGCAGCCTGGGGCAACAGAGCAGCAAGATTGTATCTCAAAAAAATAAAAAGTAAAACAAAGGAACAAACAAAAAAACCACCAACCATGTATCTCACACATCTTAGGTCACTCGATTACAGGACCCCAACTTATTTTTTTATACCACTTATCACTAGCTGAAATTGTTCTTCTTGGCGGGGAGGGTGCGGTGGTAGACAAAGTCCCGCTCTGTTGTCCAGGCTGGAGTACAGTGGCATGATCTCGGCCCACTGCAACCTCCTCCTCCCAGGTTCAAGCGATTCTCCTGCCTCAGCCTCCTGAGTAGCTGGGATTACAGATGTGCACCACCACACCTGCCTAATTTTGGTATTTTTAGTAGAGATGGGGTTTCACCATGTTGGTCAAGCTGATCTCGAACTCCTGACCTCGTGATCTGCCCACCTTGGCCTACCAAAGTGCTGAGATTACAGGTGTAGGCCACCGCACCTGGCCTGAAACTGTATTATTTGTGTCCTTGTTCACTTGCTTACAGTCTGTCTCCCCCAGCACAATGTCAGCCCCATGGGGGCAGGAGTTTGTCTCATTGGTGGCTATGTCCCTGCATCCCAGGGCCTGGAAGAAGGCATTCAATAAATACTTGTTGAATGAATCCATGTGCCTGCTGGGTAACATGTTAGACACTGAGGGTACAAAAATGCCTACAATGGCCCCGGAGGGTGTCACGTTTAGTGAAGGTTACAGAAACGTCAAAAGCACTAACACTTCTGGGGCCCAGCCACTGTTCTGTGGCTTTTATCTTCACAAGAATCCTGCAGAGGTAAGTACTATTATAATTTCCGTTTTACAGATGAAGTAACTGAGGTTGCGTAATTTGCCCAAGAGGAGCCAAGGTTCAAACCAGGGAGTCTGACCAGATCTTGAGCTCTGGGCTTCTTTTTTTTTTTTTTTTTTTTTTGAGATGGAGTCTCGCTCTGTCACCCAGGCTGGAGTGCAGTGGCGTGATCTCAGCTCACTGCAAGCTCCATCTCCCGGGTTCACGTCATTCTCCTGCCTCAGCCTCCTGAGTAGCTGGGACTACAGGTGCCCGCCACCATGCCCAGCTAATTTTTGTATTTTTAGTATAGACGGGGTTTCTCCATGTTGGCCAGGCTGGTCTCGAACTCCTGACCTCAGGCGATCCACCCACCTCAGCCTCCCAAAGTGTTGGGATTACAGGCGTGAGCCACCTAGCCTGGCCTTTTATTTTTTTATTTTTTTTTTTTTTTTGAGGCAGAGTCTCACTCTGTTGTTCCCTGTTGCAACAGCTCACTGCAACCTCCACCTCCTGGGCTCAAGCAATCCTCCCACCTCAGCCTCCTGAGTAGCTGGGATCACAGGCATGCACCACCACACCTGGCAAATTTTTTTGTATTTTTAGTACAGACGGGGTTTTGCCATGTTGGCCAGGCTGGTCTTGAACTCCTGGCCTCAAGAGATCCACCTGCCTCGGCCTCCCAAAGTGCTGGGATTACAGGTGTGAGCCACCGCGCCCAGCCTGAGCTCCGGGCTTCTAAAGCACAGCCTGCCCCTCTACCAAAGATTACAGCTCTGTGCAGAGGGCCCTAAGAAAGGTTATGTAATGGGCCTGTGGGAGCCGGAAAAGGAAACGCTACTTGGGAGTGGGGCGGGTGGGAGGCTTCCTCTTGCTGCTCAGTTCCCAGGCTGGGGTGGCAACACCATGTGTAAATGGGCAGATTTTACAAAAGAGGCACAGAGCAGATTGCATTCAATGGGATGCAAAGTAGTTTCTGGTAATCTTGTGTGGGCACAGGGAGGGGTAACACAGGACTCTGTGGTGCCACAGCTGAGGTGTCAGCATTACATCACCATTACGGAGCCATAAGCCTCATTCCCCGTCTGCAGCCCAGGTTCTAGGCACTGGGCTCTTGACTTCCTAACATCTATAATCAAGCCTCTCTCTTAAACCACAGCTTCTGCTGCTGAGCTCTGGCCTTGCTCCTCTTCACCTCCCTGGAGAACCAGGTCCCGTTCTAAGCCCCAGGAGCAGGACCATTTGTGGTCTCGGCCCCTTGCCCCATCCTGACCACCCTCCCATCCAGCCTGTACCTCTATGCCAGCACCAGATTCCTCTTTATTATTATTATTATTATTATGGGGAGGAGGAGACAGAGTCTCGCTATGTCACCCAGGCTAGAGTGCAGTGGCTATTCACAGGGGTGATCCTTGCACGCTAGTCTCAGACTGCTGGGTTCCAGTGATCCTCCTGCGTCAGCCTCCTGGGTTCAAGTGATCCTCCTGCGTCAGCCTCCTGAGCCTGCACCTGGCTTCCTCTTTTTCTTATTTCTATTTTTTAGAGATGGAGTCTCACTCTACTATCCAGGCTGTAGCACAGTGGCACAATCATAGCTCACTGCAGCCTCAAACTCCTATGCTCAAGCGATCCTTCTGCCTCAGCCTCCCGAGTAGCTGGGTTTACAGGCGCAGGCCACCACACCCAGACTCTCCCTATGTTGCCCAGGCTGCTCTGGAATTCCTAGCCTCAAGGGATCCGCCCTCCTCGGCCTCCTAAAGTGCTGGGATTTCGAGTTACTGCACCCGGCTCCCCAGCTTCCTCTCTGTTCTATCTTCTGCCCGGGGCTGGCTTGCCCTCCATTCATCTGCCCAGAAGCACAGCCGTGTTTGTGCGCAGCCAGCAGACTCTCCAGACTCCGGTTCCACAGCCTTACCCGCCCGCCCAGGCTCGCTCCCGCAGCCCGCGGCTAAGACCTTAGCAATCTCTGCTCTGCACCTGTAGCTTTGCCTCCTTTCTAGGTCTGGCTTCCCTTGGTCTGGCCCAACTAAATTCTTTCCTGGCACTGACTGCCAGGAGACAGGAAAACTATAGAAAGCAGAAGAGGGAGAACCACGTAAGTCACAATCAAATGGCTCTTTTGCCAAATATCTACAAGCCTTGCTCCCACGATTCATCCAGGTCTCTGCTCAACTGTCGCCTCCTCAAGGGTCTTCCGCCACCACTCTCCCCACCCCCACTCGCTGTCCCTATATCCTGCTATATTTGTGGCTACCTGACATTATATTATATTTGTATATTTCCATGCTGTTGTCAGGGTCCTCCTCCCACCTCCAGAATATAAGCACCTTGAGGGCAGGGAGTTTGTTTTAGTCACACCTGTGTCCAGAGCTGTATCTGGCACATAATAATCACTCAATAAACAGTGGTAAGCTGAATGCTTACAAGAGTCACATACACCTGAAATCTACACAAAAGAGCACACTGTAATAGCTGATGTTTACAAAGATCACTCAGGAAATCGAGACAGGGAAAGTCATTTTGTTCTGTTTTGTTTTGTTTTAGGATTACATGAGATAATGTTCACAAAGCCTGTAATGAAGTTACTGAAACAGCCATGTCCAACCCTTTGAATAAGAGGACTTTTTGGCTTATCTGTGGTGGCAGATATCACAAAAATTATACACGGACCTTTATTTATTTATTTTAGCTCATCAGTTATCATTAGTTTTATTTTATTTTATTATTTATTTATGTATTTATTTATTTTGAGACGGAGTCTCACTCTCTCGCTCATGCTGGAGTGCAGTGGTGCAATCTCGGCTCACTGCAAGCTCGGCTCACTGCAAGCTCCACCTCCCAGGTTCACGCCATTCTCCTGCCTCAGCCTCCCGAGTAGCTGGGACTACAGGTGCCCACCACCACGCCCGGCTAATTTTTGTATTTTTAGTAGAGACGGGGTTTCACCGTGTTAGCCAGGATGGTCTCCATCTCCTGACCTCGTGATCCACCTGCCTTGGCCTCCCAAAGTGCTGGGATTACAGGCGTGAGCCACCGCACCCGGCCAGTGTTAGTGTATTTTATATGTGGTCCAAGACAATTCTTCCAATGTGGCCCAAGGAAGCCAAAAGTTTGGACACCCATGTTCTAAAACATAGCACGCTTATAAATATGTTAGCTATTATTAGAGAAACCATCTTTACAAGATTCTGGTAAACCTTTCTTATCAGGAACACCCAGCTCGTTTCCCAAGAGTGTCAAGTAGCTGAAGTTTTCCTGCAGAAGTTATCCACTGGGATATAGGAGGTAATATGGCTGTGGTCCGTGCTGGGTGAAACTGAAAACATCTGACTGAGCCAAAGAGAAGAGACTAAAGATAAATGTTGCTGAAATAAACACAGTCAATTGTTAAGACAGTCATGACATTAAGACAAAGGAAGAAAAGTTTTCAGAGTGACTCATCTTTTGGTTCTTCAGAGTGATCATATCTTCCTTGGAAACAGAAAATACATGGAGATGTGTGAACTATGCATGCCTCTGTGTTTATGACTCGAAGATAAGCTGTGGTGAGGGAAAGTCTATATTAGTATTCAAGGCCACAGAAACCAGTCTCTTTTACAAATTACCGTGTAATTAAACAGAAGGCACATGAGATGTATTTTAAGCACATCCCCTTTCTTATTCTTAGTATTCCACTCAACGTCCAAACCCTTATTAATATCTCTGGCCAAAACCACAACTTAAAAACTGCAAACTCATTGTACTATCAAGGAATATTTTCTAATTGTGCCTTAAAACCAACTGTCAGACAAGCTGAGTTCCCATCATGAATAATGGTATACAGAGGCTGACTCAGCGGTAAAGGGTGGAGAAAACGCAGAAAGAGGGGGAAAGCCGTAGGTAAGACAAGACATGAGGCCAGGTGCGGTGGCTCACTCTGTAATCCCAGCACTTTGGGATGCTGAGGCGGATGGATCACTTAAGGTCAGGAGTTTGAGACCAGCCTGGTCAACATGGTGAAATCCCGTCTCTACTAAAAATACAAAAATTAGCTGGGTGTGGTGGTGGGCGCCTATAGTCCCAGCTACTCGGGAGGCTGAAGCATGAGAATCGCTTGAACCCGGGAGGTGGAGCTTGCAGTGAGCCAAGATCACGCCACTGCACTCCGGCCTGGGCGACAGAGCAATATTCCATCGCAAAAAAAAAAAAAAGAAACAGTAACTAAAAAGAGTAAAAATTAAAGAAATAGTTCATCATAAAATGGAAACACATAATGAACTTCTTTCAACATTCCAAGTTGTTGTGTGGTTTGGTTTTGTTTTTAAGAGATGGGGTCTTGCTTTGTCACACAGGCTGGAGTGCAGTGGTGTGATCATTTCTCACTGCAACCTTCCTGGGCCCAAGGGATCCTCCCACCTCAGCCTCCTGAGCAGCTGGGACTACAGACACATGCCACTGCATATGTCTAATTTTTTTTTTTTTGGTAGAGACAGGGTCTCACTATGTTGCCCAGGCTGATCTTGAACTCCCGGCCTCAACTGATCCTCCCACCTCAGCCTCCCAAGTAGCTGGGACGACAGGTGTGCACCACCACGCCCAGCTGTTTTGTTGTTGTTGTTTAGAGACAGAGGTCTCACTACCTTGCCTAGGCTGGTTTCAAACTCCTGACCTCAAGCAATCCTCCCGCTTCCACCCTCTAGAGCATTCTGCCTCCTAGAGCACTGGGATTATAGGCATGAGCCACCACACTGGCCAACATTCTAAGTTTGTTTTTGTTTTTGTTTTTGAGACAGAGTCTTGTTCTGTCACAGAGGCTCGAGTGCAGTGGCATGATCTCAGCTCACTGCAACCTCCACCTCCCGAGTTCAAGCGATCCTCCTGCCTCAGCCTCCCAAGTAGCTGGGATTATAGACTAATTTTTTTGTGTCTTAGTAGAGACAGGGATTCACCACGTTGGCCAGGCTGGTCTTGAACTCCTGACCTCAAGTGACCCTCCCACCTCAGCCTCCCAAAGTGCTGGGATTACTGGCATGAGCCACCACACTAGCCAACATTCTAAGTTTTTAAAATCACAGAGTAGTAAGGAGAATTAATGATCCAGAGAAAAGACGTTACCATCTATAAACTCCTGCGCATTCAGAACTGTCTTAAACCCTTTATAAACCTTATTGCTATACCTCTGAGATTCCTCTTTTGCAGATGGGTAAAAAGAAGTTCAGAAAAATTAAATGATTCAGAACTGGAAGTAAAATTGTGTTGTTTCAAAGCAAGGCTGTTTCCACTACACTGATAATTCCTAAATGATTCCTAAATGCTAGTGCACAGGTTCATTGCCAAATGGAAAAAACAAAGCAAGTGCGGTCTGTTTTCAGAAAGCTAAATTTATTCATCACATAACTACTGAAATTGTATTCCTTCTAATATTTAATGCTAAAATATTCTTTCAGAAAAGAAAGGATATTTTGACATGAAAATTCTCTCAAATCATAAAATTCATAAAAACAAGATTTTAAATGACAAATGAATAAAAGAATAATGGTGGTAGAAATAATTACTTTGTAAGTTTTTTTTTTTTTGAAACAGAGTTTTGCTCTTTCATCCAGGCTGGAGTGCAGTGGCACGATCTCAGCTCACTGCAACCTCCGCCTCCCAGGTTCAAGTGATTCTCCTGCCTCAGCCTCCTGAGTAGCTACGATTATAGGCAATCGCCACCACGCCCAGCTAATTTTGTAATTTTAGTAGAGATGGGGTTTCACCATGATGGCCAGGTTGGTCTCAATTCCTGACCTCAGATGATCCACCTGCCTTGGCCTCCCAAAGTGCTGGGGTTACGGGTATGAGCCACTGCGCCCAGCTACCTTGTTTTAAAACATCCTTACTTTGCAACATGAAAAACAGATGATCTTACATCAATCCCCAAAATTTCTTTTAAATTTTACTGACCCATGAAATACAAGACTGGCAACCACTGTCCTATAATCACTAGCTTTCAATTTACCCATCAGTGGTTCATGAAATCATTTTACCTGGTCAATACATGAATATTCTTCTTTCTTTTTTTCTTTCTTCCTTCTTTGATAAAATAGAATAGAAAAACAGAAAACATCAGGAGGTAAAGACAAGTAGGTAAAAAAGCCGGGCGTGGTGGCTCATGCCTGTAATCCCAGCACTTTGGGAGGCCAAGGCAGGTGGATCACCTGAGGTCGGGAGTTCGAGACCAGCCTGACCAACATGGAGAAACCCCGTCTCTACTAAAAATACAAAATTAGCCAGGCGTGGTGGCACTATGCCTGTAATCCCAGCTACTCGGGAGGCTGAGGCAGGAGAATCGCTTGAACCCGGGAGGCAGAGGTTGCAGTGAGCCGAGATCACACCACTGCACTTTAGCCTGGGTGACAGAGCGAGACTCCGTCTCAAAAAAAAAAAAAAAAAAAGCAAGACAAGTAGAAAAAAATGGTTAACTAATGTTTGTTTTAAGTTTATAAATACATAAATGCTAGTTTATATGGGGTTGGGATGTATAACGTACTTACTGCAGGTAAATGACTGTCAAAAAACTTTGAAAACCTTTGTACTGTTTTTCTTAGAGTAGTACATATTCATTATTAAATATTTGTAAAACACAGGAAAATTATCAAGAAGAATGTTTAAAATCATCTATAATCTCATTACCCGCAGGTCACTATTTGTATTGCTAGGCGCAGTATGTTTTCTTTCTTTCTTTTTTTTTTTTTTCTTTTTGAGATAGGGTCTCACTCTGTTGCCCAGGCTGAAGTGCAGTAGTGCGATTTCTGCAGCCTCATCCTCCTGGGCTCAAGGAATCCTCCCACCTTAGCCTCTCGATTAGCTAGGACTATAGGTGTGCACCATGATGCCCTGCTAATTTTTGTTTTTTATTTTTTAAAAAGATGGGCATTATGTTGCCCAAGTTGGTCTCGAACTCCTGGGCTCAAGTGATCCTCTCACCTCGGCCTCCCAAATTCCTGGGATTACAGACATGAGCCACCACACCCAGCCAAGGCACAGTATGTTTTCATATTACAGAGACACTAGCTGTAAACACTAAATATTCCTAAACCCTCTAAAGTAGCAGCATTATTTAAATAGAAGACTGAGCCTGGCACAGTGGTGGATGCCTGTAGTGCCAGCCACTCAAGAAGCTGAGGCAGGAGGATTGCTTGAGCCCAGGAGTTCAAGCCTGCAGTGTGCAATGATGTTGCCTGTGAACAGTCACTGCACTCTAGCGTGGGCAACACATCGAGAACCCCATCTGTAAAAAATAAAATAATAAAATAAATAGAAGACTGATCGTCAAGGACAATGTGCCACAAATGGGGGAATGCCCTTAGACAAGATGAACTATTATCATTTCAGACACTTAGGTATCCATCAATCTCTCTGATCATATCAAGAGTTGGAATTGATTTCTAGGCACCTTGCTCACGAAGGAATGCAATCTCCCATCTTAAAGGTAAGCATCTGATTCCACCATTAACATTTTCAACAAAGATTCCATCAAATCAGATGATGTATTTGCCTGGAGTTTTGTTTCTACTTGTTAAATATGGTTTATTTTTAGCTGTAGGAGTGATGGAATTTGTGTTAACAGGCCCTGGTGAGAATAATCAGTTCACAGCCAAGCTCGGGTGCAGCCAATGTTCATGTGTAATGAAGGATGACTTTGAAAATACAGCAAATCCAGCTCACTCACTCTTGTGAGGAGTCCGAGGAGTCCGAGGAGGTTTTCATAGTGAGAAAGCATGGCTGGGTGCAGTGGCTCATGCCTGTAATACCAACACTTTGGGAGGCCGAGGCAGGAGGATCACAAGGTCAGGAGATCAAGACCATCCTGGCTAACACAGTGAAACCCCATCTCTACTAAAAATACAAAAAAAATTAGCCGGGCGTGGTTGCGGGCGCCTGTGGTCCCAGCTACTCGGGAGGCTGAAGCAGGAGAATTGCTTGAACCTGGGAGGTGGAGGTTGCAGTGAGCCAAGATCACACCACTGCACTCCAGCCTGGGCAGCAGAGCGAGACTCTGTCTCAAAAAAATAAATAAATAAATAGTGAGAAAGTATACATTGTGGGAAAGAAAGAAAGTAGCCAGGGTCTCACAATGCCCAGAGCCCTGACTATTAGTATGAACTCATTCCAGACAACCAGGAGAACTCCTCCAGGGCCAATCATGGAGACTTTTTCAGGATTAGGAGAAGGTCACCTGAGACAGCACCTCGGTGCCATTAGGACTCACAGGGACCTCAAAACTTATGTTTGCTGCAAAGGAGAGGTGCATGTAAGCATGGTGCTCAGAACTCACCAGCATGTGAAAAGAACTTCAGAGTAAACAGGAATTCAAGCATCATCAGTTTGTTTCACATCAAACATGGATACTCTTACCAAGCATTTATGAGGAATCCATTTTACAGGAAACAAATGTGGAACAAATTTGTATGCAAATTAAATAAGTTTTTAAAAAAATCATGATGATACATAAATATGGAAGCTTCCTTTCTCTAAACATATGTAATTTATTTTTTATTTTTATTTTAAGTTCTGGGATACATGTGCAGAATGAGCAGTTTTGTTACATAGGTATATGTGTGCCATGGTGGTTTGCTGCACCTATTGATCCATCCTCTAAATCCCTCCCCTCGCCCCCCACCCTCCAACAGGCCCCGGTGTGTGTTGTTCCCCTCCCTGTGTCCATGTGTTCTCATTGTTCAACTCCCACTTATGAGTGAGAACACGTGGTGTTTGGTTTTCTGTTCCTCTGTTAGTTTGTTGAGGATGATGGCTTCCAGCTTCATCCATGTTCCTGCAAAGGACATGATCTCATTCCTTTTTATGGCTGTATAGTATTCCATGGTGTATATGTACCACATTTTCTTTATCCAGTCTATCGTTGATGGGCATTTGGGTTGATTCCATGTGTTTGCTCTTGTAAATCGTGCCACAATAAACATACATGTGCATGTGTCTTTATAGTAGAATGATTTATATTTCTTAGGGCATATACCCAGTAATGGGATTGCTGGGTCAAATGGTATTTCTGGTTCTAGAGTCTTGAGGAATCCCCATACTGTCTTCCACAATGGTGGAACGAATTTACCTTCCCACCAACAGTGTAAAAGCATTCCTATTTCTCCACAGCCAAACATATGTAATTTATATTCAAAAGAATTTCTTACTCCAAAGTATGATTTTCAAGCTCCAAAGAGCACAGGAAGTGTATGATGGTCTATGAAGTGATCAGCAAAAGGGATTGCAGGAGGGAGGCCTATGTGTTAAATAAAGTTTTATTGAAACACAGTCACACTCACTCCTTGACCCTATTGTCTATGGTTGCTTTTGAGCTACAATGGCAGAGTTGAGTGGTTGTGACATAGACCTTATGATCGGCAAAGGCAAAAATATTTACTTTCTGGCCTTTTAAGAAAAACTTTGCTGCCTGGCATGGTGGCTTGCACCTGTAATCCCAGCACTCTGGGAGGCTGAGGTGAAAGGATCACGTAAGGCTAGGAGTTTGAGACCAGCCTGGGCAACACAGTGAGACCCCATCTCTTTAAAAAAAAAATTTTTTTTTAATTAGCCAAGCGTGGTGGTGTGTGCCTCTGGTCCCAGCTACTTGGGAGGTGGAGGCAGGAAGATCGCTTGAGCCCAGGAGTGCAAAGTTGCAATGAGGCATGATTGCGCCACTGCACTCCAGCCCGGGTGACAGAGCAAGACCCTGTCTCTAAAAAAAAAAGAAAGAAAGAAAAGAAATAGCGAATGAGAGAGAAGGAAGGAAGGAGGGAGGGAGGGAGGGGAAGGGAGAGAAAGAGTGAGAGAAAGAGAGAGGAAAAGAAAGAAGACAGGAAGAAGAAAGAAAAGAAAAAAAAAGTTTGTCAACCCTTGCCCATAGCAAGGGTTTAGGACTTGAATAAGCTGTGACCATTTCTGAGGGGTTCATTCTCCCATACCATGGTGATTCTTCTTTCTCTAGAGAGGTCATTTCTCTCTCTCTCTCCCTCTGTGTGTGTGTGTGTGTGTGTGTGTGTGTGTGTGTGTGTGTGTGTGTGTGTGTGTGTGTGCGTGTGCGTGCGCGCGCACAACATGGCTGTTTATTTCACCTGGGTGCAGGCGGGCTGAGTCCGAAAAGAGTCAGCGAAGTGTGGTGGATTATCATTAGTTCTTACAGGTTTTGGGATAGGCGGTGGAATTTGGAGGAATGTTTTGCAGGCAGGGGGTGGATCTCACAAAGTACATTCTTAAGGGTGGGGAGAATTATAAAGAAACTTCTTAAGGGTGGGGAAGATTACAAAGTACATTGATCAGTTAGGGTGGGGCAGAAACAAATCACAATGATGGAATGTCATCAGTTAAGGCTATTTTCACTTCTTTTGTGGATCTTCAGTTGCTTCAGGCCATCTGGATGTATACACGAAGGTCACATGCTTAGCTTGGGCTGAGAGGCCTGACACTGAGGCAAGAGAATCGCCTGAACCTAGGAGGCGGAGGTTGCAGCGAGCCGATCACGCCACTGTACTCCAACCTCTGCAACCTACTTATTGACTGCATGAATTGTCGAATTGTCTCCTCAGCTCAGTTTTGTATATTTGCTTGTTTGTTTGTTTTTGTGAGACGGAGTCTTCCTCTGTCGCCCAAGCAGGAGCACAGTAGTGCGATCCCGGATCACTGCAACCTTCGCCTCCCAGGTTCAGGCGATTCCTCTGCCTCAGCCTCCTGAGTAGCTGGGATTACAGGCGCCCACCACCACGCCCAGCTAATTCTTGAATTTTTAGAAGAGACAAGGTTTCACCATGTTGGCCAGGCTGGTCTCGAACTCCTGGCCTCAGGTTATCTTCCTGCCTCGGCATCCCAAAGTGCTGGGATTACAGGAGTGAGCCACTGCGCCCAGCCAGCCCAGTTTTCTTGAAGGTCAAGTGGTAATCTTGCATAGTTATAGTTTGGATTAAATACGATGGTGACATAGTGCCTACATCACAGTCCCTCTTATGCCATTCTTCCTCTTCTTGCTGGAAGAGAAGTCCCAACTCTTAAATTCTCTCCCTCCACCTTGAAAGTCCTTTCTCTATTGGCTTCTACCATACCATTCGCTAGTTTTCCTGCTTTTTCTCTGTCCATCCCATCTCACTTTTATTCTTGAGCTCCTCATCCTCAACTCTATTTTTTTTTTTTTTTTTTTTTTGAGACAGTCTCCCACTGTTGCCTAGGCTGGAGTCACAATTCTAGAGAGGTCATTTCTTAAGTGGCATATGAAGAGTTGTAAAATGTAACAGGAACACCAATAGGTTTTGGATTGGTGTTAAACCAATTTCAGAGAAGTGTGACTTTCAGGACTGCAAGAAATCTACTTGAAACCTCTTCTGTGAAACTGATCCCGAAGTTTCAGCCCTGAATCCAAATGAGGACAGAGATGCCCAAGAGGGAGCATTGCAACTCTCCACTGTGGGACCTGGGCCACATATTCCCTCCTGGCTTCAGGACAGAAATCTGTAACTGCTCTTGAAGGAGCCACAGAAACGCTCTTCTTTTCTTTAGCAACTTTCTTCCATTTGTCCTTTGCTCCAGAACTATAGGATGGAAACCCACAAAGACATACCTGGGCGCACATCCATCCTTATTCAAATGCAGGTGGACCTTCAGGGAGGCTGAGGCAGGAGGATCGCTTAAGCCCAGAAGTGCATGGTTGCAGTGAGGCATGATTTCAGGTAGACTTTCATTTAAATGAGCATGGATTTGCGCCTAGTCAGGTCGGTTGAAAATACTAGTAATCAGATTTGAAAATACTAATATTCAGGTTTCGCCACCTCTCTGTACCAAGCCCACATCCTTGCCTTTAGAAAGTCAGGCCTGCTAGGTGGGGTCACCGGGGTGCTCCAGGCAAATATCATCCCCCTCTCCCAAGGTAAGGGCCCTGCCAGGCAATGGAGAGTATTTCTCCAACACACCATGTTTCCAATATCTGTCAGAGAAAAGACCTGATTCAACTTGTATCCAGTGATTTGAAAGCTAAACCCAAATCTCAATGTCATTCTGACAATATTTCTATTAAATAAAATCCTCTGTTTCCTTGGGGGCTTTTAAAATCAATCTGCCACAAAAAGCTTCCGAACAAGTTAATAACGCAGACGTGCTGACTCACACTCCCCAGCAAGCACTCCTCCATGAAGAATCAATGGACTTTGTTCAACATATCAAAACAGTTAGCAGTTGAGCCGTAATGCAATTAAAACACAGCTCTTCCTTACCCAACTCTTCCTCATGTTAAAAAAAAAAAAATGCTAGCATACTGAACTCTTGGGAGTTACAGAATCAAAATCTCAGATGAGTCTGTTAGAGCTGAACTAACATTTACTAAGTGTATATCACACCAAAGACACTGAGGCACGTACATACACTACCCTGCAAACTAGACATTGTTTGAGTAAGCTAGACCGGCGTGGTAGCTCACGACTTTTATTCCCAGCACTTTGGGAGGCTGAGGTGGGCAGATCACGTGAGGTCAGGAGTTCGAGACCAGCCTGGCCAACATGGTGAAACCCATCCCTACTAAAAATACAAAAATTAGCCGAGTGTAGTAGTCTAATCCCAGCTACGCAGGAGGCTGAGGCAGGAGAATCTCTTGAACCTGGGAGGTAGAGGTTGCAGTGAGCCGAGATCACACCACCGTGCTCCAGCCTGGGTGACAGAGCAAGACTCTGTCTCAAAAAAAAGAAAAAAAGAAAGACAGTGAGCAAGCTAGGGCTGGGCAGGTGGGTGTGGTGGCTCACACCTGTATGTACTCAGGAGGCCAAGGCAAGAGGATGGCTTGAGCCCAGGAGCTCAAGACCAGCCTAGGCAACATAGCAAGACCTCATCTCTATTTTAAAAAATAAATAATGAGGAAATTGAAGCTTAGAGAGTTGAAATGACTTGTCCACGGCCTAATAAGACAAAATTGGGATTCAAACTCAGTCTGTCTCCAAATCTCTGTCTCTCCATATGCCACTCACCTCCAACTCTATGCAATGGTAAGTAGACAATGTCAAAGGAATGTATTAATAGCCTTCCTTCCTCCTAGGATGGGCCTGGGAACATGCTGTTTTGTTTTTCCCTCTGCCCCTCCTTTTAGTCATTGGAAGCGTATGTTGGCACATCCTTCTTTCAGATGATGTGGTTTAAGCCTTCTTGGGTACAGTCACAATTGAGTCATACTTCCTGCAAGTCACACCAGCTCACCTTGCCTGAGTTCTAAGGGTTCACAGATTCTTGGCTCATCTCGCACTGTAAATTTCAACTTCAATTCGAGGTCATTTCCTGTTGGCCTCATGTGTCACCTACATGCATAATTTGCCTCTCAATGTTATTCCTGGAAGGTCTCTCATTGCCTTGGCTGTGTTAGAGGGTGAGTCCCATCAAGGAAGGATTTGGTGGCTTATTCGCCGCTGTATTCCCAGAACTTGATAAATATTTACTAAATAAACAGATTCTGCATCTTTGCCACATTTCTAGGAGGTAAGGAAACTAAGACACAGGAAAATTAAGGTTGCTTTTCTATGACCACACAAGAATGAGGCTTCCTGGAATTGGATGTGAGAACAGCCATAACTGGGGTGAGGGTACCCATCTGACACAGCAACCCAGCCTTCCCAACACCACACCGTGAAGACTTTAGAATAACAAAAATGGGTTTCAAAAGTTACCATTCTAGCCTGGTACAGTGGCTCACACCTGCAATCCCAGCACTTTGGGAGGCCGAGGCAGGTGGATCACCTGAGGTCAGGAGTTCAAGACCAGCCTGGGCAACATGGTAAAACCCCATCTCTAGTAAAAATACACAAATTAGCCAGGCGTGGTGATGAGTGCCTGTAATCCCAGCTACTCAGGAGGCTGAGGCAGGAGAATCGCTTGAACCCAGGAGGCAGAGGTTGCAGTGAGCTGAGATCACACCATTGCACTCCAGCCTGGGTGACAAGAGCGAAACACCATCTCAAAAATAAATAAATAAATAAAAGTTACCGTTCTCTGTTTTCAAGTCTTTGGCACCAAGACAAAAGACATCCGTCTTCTATATGAGCTGTATGTGTGAATGACTCCAACAGGGAGTGAAAAACTAACAGTTCCTGCTCCACCTGCCAAGTTCTCACTAGCACCATCAAGAAGAAAGCTTTCTCTCAGCCTACCTGGAAGGAAGGAAGCCAGGGTGGAATGCGCAGAGATCTCCTGAAATGTCATCTTCCCTTCTGCACCCAGAAGGACCCTAAAGATCCCCCAAAAGAGACTGGAGCCCAGTATATTCTAGCTAACATGATGGATAATGTATCATTCATGGCTGGTGAAATTCTAAGTAGCTTCATAGTGAATTCTGCCCCCACATTAGACATTCCTGACTTTGCTTCCATCACATATAGTTAGTATGAGTAAAGGGCTATTGATTGATCAGAAGAAACACTGGAAAGTAAGTCTGAGTGCCAAAACACTAAGTGCTTCTACAACGAGAAAATATACACAAGTCAGGAAATGCAATGGAAATAAAAACACAAGTAGAAAACAGAAGTGAGGCCGGGCGCAGTGGCTCACGCCTGTAATCCCAGCACTTTGGGAGGCTGAGGCGGGCAGTTTACTTGAGGCCAGGAGTTCAAGACCAGCCTGGCCAACATAGCAAAACCCCGTCTCTACTAAAAATATAAAAATCAGCCAGGCGTGGTGGTGGATGACTGTAATCCCAGCTGCTTAGGAGGGTGAGTGAGAGGCTCGCTTGACCCAAGGAGGTGGAGGTTGCAGTGAGCCGAGATAGCGCCACCGAGCTCCAGCCTGGCAACAGAGAAAGACTCAAGAAAGAAAAAAAGAAAGAAAAGAAAAGAGAAGAGAAGAGGAAGGAAGGAAGGAAGGGAGGGAGGGAGGGAGGGGAGGGAGGAAGGAAGGAAGGAGAGAGAGAAAGAGAGAGAGAAAATAGAAGTGGCTAATTTCTGTACACCCCCAAGAATTTAGAAATTTGGTCACACATTGAGATTCTTTATTCCAGTGCTTCTTGCTGTACCCAGGGGCACTTAGTAATTCCTGAGAACCCTGCACTGGAGGTTTTCAAATCATAATTAATACAAAACTTGTCATGAAAAGACTCACTAATCACTGATCTATAAAATATATTCTCTTCCACAGAGTGCCTTTTTTAGCTTCACTCTGAAAAGCATTGCTTGTTTCTACCACCCCTCAGGGATCAAAGACGGACTCATGTCAGGTCCAAAATGCATGAAGCAAAATGAGACCATGATTTGTCTCTGATAACTTTGTGCTTTACGGATGGATAGACAGATGTGGATGGTTTTGAAACAAAGGGGTTCTGGTTTTCTCTCTCTCTCTCTTTTTTTTTTTGAGACAGGGTCTTGCTCTGGGTCTCCAGCCTCACTCAGGCTGGAGTGCAGCGGCACAGTCTCGGCTCACTGCAACTTCCACCTCCCGGGTTTAAGCAATTCTTCTGCCTCAGCCTCCCGAGTAGCTAGGATTACAGGTGCTTGCCACCATACCCGACTAATTTTTGTATTTTTAGTAGAGACGGGGTTTCGCCATGTTGGCCAAGCTGGTCTCGAACTCCTGACCTCAAGTTATCCGCCTGCGTCGGCCTCCCAAAGTGCTGGGATCATACGCTTGAGCCACTGCGCCTGGCCTCTTTAATTTATTTTTTCTAATGAGTTGGTCTATTCTGTAATTCAGGAAAAAGAGTGTCTTCCCTTTCTCGGAATTTTCCTGATACCCTACTTAAGGTCAAAACTAGAAAGTGTCCCAAGTAGGTAGGGAAGACGGGCCAGCTCTTACATTAAAGGAGGTACTGAACCCACCACACTTGAAGCAATGACGGAGAAGGATCCTCGAGCCTGGCACTGCAACTTGAAATGATGTTTCCTGGATAGAAATCTGTCTTAGTAGGAAATGCATCATGTCTGCGTCCTACTCCAGAAATAGGAAACTTCTAGAATCTGTGCCAGTGTGGTGGAACTGATGGAACCATTGGGAGAGCTTCCATTTCTCCACCACATGTACCTACTTTCCCCCTCACTCCCTGCTCCTGACTCTTTGCCAACCCCTGTTGCATCTTTCTGCTTTCTCATTTTTTTTTTTCTCCCTTCCTCCTTCTCCCCCAAGCATGCTTTTACTTATAGTTGAAAGCCACAGTCTCTGCTTAATACCACTGAATGTTAATCTGGACCAACAGGTTGCTGTCCTCTGCCCCTTACCTGGGGAGCTTTCATAAAAGTAACCAGTGGTAGCTTTGTAATATCAAGCCAAACCTAAGAAGCACAAAGTTCTCACAGGCTGAGTGATTTCTGAACACTACCCAAGTCATCACAAGTGTCCATTTTCTCTGGTCAAGCGCATTCATTTTCATCATGATTCTATTAAGCAAAATTCAGGCCCGGTGGGGTGGCTCACGGCCAGGCAGAGTGGCTCACGCCTGTAATCCCGGCAGTTTGGGAGGCCGAGGCAGGTGAATCACCTGAGGTCAGGAGTTCGAGACCAGCCTGGCCAACATGGTGAAACCCCATCCCTACTAAAAATACAAAAATTAGCCTGGCGTGATGGTGGGGGCCTGTAATTCCAGCTACTCGGGAGGCTGAGGCAGGAGAATAGCTAGAACCCAGGAGGTGGAGGTTGCAGTGAGCCGAGACAAGACATACCACTGCACTCCAGCCTGGGTGACAGAGCAAAACTCCATCTCAAAAAGAAAAAAAAAAATTCCTAATATGCCCCCATCCTCAGCTATTGATTTGTTCTTTTGCTTCCTTCCCCGCAACAACACAGTTTCACAGAACATGGAGAAATCTACCTACCTACCCAAAGAATGAAAACTGCGATTCCCTTGTGATAGGAACTTTTTGCATGAAACACTGAAATTCCATTTTCTCCCATTGTTTATCTTTGGGTCAGTATTTACTTACTAAGCAAAGTTAGAATATTCCATTTAAATGTAAAACTGTCTTCTCCCATGACTGGGAGAGCAGCACTGCCATAAGCAGACCAATTGAACAAGTTAGAAATTTGGTCTCCAATAAAAATAGGTATTGGGAGCTTTATATAGTCTCAAGGCAATAAGCAGATCTTAATCTACTGCCTAACCATCTCCTGAGAATAAAGTCATGTGCCTGGGAGCCTTAAAGATCCAAATCATCTGTTGGTAAAAGGATTTATGACATACATTTCCCAAGGAAAGAATATTTCAATACGCTGCCTTGTTCCATTGACTTTTTTTCTTCCAGACAGGGTCTTGCTCTGTCACCCAGGCTAGAGTACAGTGGCTGGACGTCCACTGCAGCCTGGACCTCCTGGGCTCAAGTGATCCTCCCATCTCAGCCTCCCAAGTAGGTGGGACTACAGATGTGTGCCACCACTCCCAGCTAATTTTTTTTATTTTTTGTAGAGACAGGGTCTCACCATGTTGTCCATGCTGGTCTCAAACTCCTGGGCTCAAGAGAACCTCCTGCCTCAGCCTCCCAAAGTGCTGGGATTACAGACAGGAGCCACCGCACCCAGCCCCCATTGACTTCAAGCAGTCAGAGCTCCCATGTCTGAGGGAAACCTTTTCAATGGTGCCAGCTGCAAAGGTGTGCTACTGGGAGGCAGCTGATTGAGAAATAACTTAAGAGCTGTGCAAATATAAATATGATGCACAGCAGAGAATATCAGAATTTTACAGAAAATACAAGAGATTCAATTCAGGCCTTTAAACACTACAGATCTGAAGGACAATGGAGAAGACTCAGGGAGGCTGGCAACCAAGAAATTATATGTAGGTTAAATTACCTCTGCCTCTCTTTCCTTGCTGACACCATGGTGGGCTCAAGAATCAAGAGGGTGCTGAATGTGGACCTGGTGTGGCTGCTCACACCTGTAATCTCAGCACTTTGGGAGGCCGAGGCAGGAGGATCGCTTGAGGCCAGGAGTTCGAGACCAGCCTGGGCAAACATAGCAAGACCTGTCTCTACAAAACAATGTAAAAAATTAGCCAAGCATGGTGGCATGTCCCTGTAGTCCTAGCTACTAGGCTGAGGCAGGAGGATCACTCAAGCCCAGGAGTTCAAGTCTTCAGTGAGCTATGATCATGCCACTGCACTCCAGCCTGGGTGACAAGAGCAAAACCATGTCTCAAAAAAAAATTTTTTTTAAGAGAATGCTGAATGTTGGCCGGGCGTGGTGGCTCACACTTGTAATCCCAGCACTTTGGGAGGCTGAGGCGGTCGGATCACCTGAGGTCGGGAGTTTTTGAGACCAGTCTGATCAACATGGAGAAACCCCGTCTCTACTAAAAATACAAAATTAGCCGGGCATGGTGGTGCATGCCTGTAATCCCAGCTACTCGGGAGGCTGAGGCAGGAGAATTGCTTGAACCTGGGAGGCAGAGGTTGCGGTGAGCCGAGATTGTGCCATTGCACTCCAGCCTGGGCAACAAGAGAGAAACTCCATCTCAAAAAAAGAAAAAAAGAGAGACAGAGAGAATGCTGAATGTTGTGAGCATTTCCTTTTAAGGGCACTGATTGTTGATATAAGTTGTTCTTGAATGGTGACATAGGTGCCAAGTTGCATAAAAGAGGAACGTGGTTCAGCAAAAATTGTACTTCTCAAATATGCCAGGAACCTATGCCAGTGCAACAGCATCCCTGCACCTGGGAACCAGGATAAGAGGTGGGGGCCAAGGGATGCAGGCAGAAATACGCTGCATCTGCCATCTGACAGTGGGTAAAATATACAATGCTCCATTGTAAATAAAATAGCAATACATGGGCTGGACACGGTGGCTCACGCTTATAATCCTAGCACTTTGGGAGGCTGAGGCGGGAGGATCATTTGAGGTCAGGTGTTCGAGACCAGCCTGGACAAAATGGTGGAATCCCATCTCTACTAAAAACAAAAAAATTAGCCAAGCGTGGTGGCTGGCACCTATAATCCCAGCTACTCAGGAGGTTGAAGCAGGAGAACGGCTTGAACCTGGGAGGTGGAGGTTGTGGTTGCAGTGAGCCGAGATTGCACCACTGCACTCCAGCATGGACAACAGAGCGAGACTCTGTCTAAAAAAAAAAAAAAAAAAAAAAAAAGCAATACATGTAAACAAGGAAAGGGAGATTTAAATTTATGTACAAAAAAAGGACCAAGTCTTATGTCCAAAATTAAGTGAATTTTTCAGTAAGTACCTGGGTCCGTAAGACTCCAGTCATTAGCCACCCGCCACGTGCTATTTTCCACATTAATCTATACATAACGGCGGTAGTGCCATGCCTTCAATTTTTACAATTGTTCTTCAACCTAACGAACAAAGAAGAATGAAGAATGGCAGTACATTTTTACACACATAGTAAATATAAACCATACTCAGGATTTTTTTTTTTTTAGGTAAGCGTGATTTTCAAAAGTCACTGTTTTCATTCATATTTCATGACTCTTGCATATTTATCAAGTCTAAGTTGGAACTTTATCACTGTTGACCAAATCATCTAGACGAAAGAAGAGTACAACATGATCTTCAGAAAATGCTATAAAGCCTCAGGCAGAATAAAATTAGAATGAGTTTCTGGGTTCCAAAAAAAATGTAACATTTTAGATTTCATTTATTAAGGGCATCGCCAAGGCCATTATATAACCATGTCCACGTAATTGTAATAGCCAACATTCCATTAATTCTGATTTTTGAGAGAACCAAGGCAATAAAAAGAAGCAATATTAAAAGTTAACTACATAGTACATTTGGGGAACGGTGGTTTGATTTGGCCAGAGCCCAGGACACAAGGGAAGGGCAGAGGATGAGGCTGAACAGTCAGTCCAGGCGGACTTTAAATGTCACACAAAGGGGCTTAGACTGGTAATATAAAAGAGGCTGTGCTGACCCAAAGGATTTGGAGACGATGACGTGCGTCTTGTTAGGAAACTTACAATCTAATGGGAGTGACACCTAAAGAGGGTCCTGAGCTACAGAAGGGCAGAAGAGAAATGAAGTATGGCAGGGACAATGAGAAAAACCTTTCCTGGTAATGTGGCATTTCAGTTGGACCCTGAAGGGTAGGTAGAATTTGACAACAGTAGATGGCAACAAACAGCATAACAGATCAAGAGAATGTGCAAAGAGGTCAGGCATGATAGCTCATGCCTGTAATCCCAGCACTTTGAGAAGCTGAGGAGGGTGGATGGCTTGAGTTCAGGAGTTCGAGACCAGCCTGGTGAACATGATGAAACCCTGTCTCCACAAAAAATACAAAAATTAGCCAGGCCTCGTGGCACACACCTGTAGTTCCAGCTACTCAGGAGGCTGAGATGGAGAATCGCTTGAACCCAGGAGGCAGAGGTTGCAGTGAGCCAAGATCATACCACTGCACTATATAGCCTGGGTGACAGAGCAAGACCCTGTCTCAAAAAATAAAAATAAAAAAGAGAGAATGTGCAAAGACACAGAGACAGAAAAACTCTATAGAACACACTCAGAAACTGATGAGTATTTCAATTCAACTGGACCTTCCCCTTTGCCCCAGATATTCTCTATTGACATGGCATTGACTGTGATTTGTCATTATTCCTATCTGTTTGTATTTATTTTGTGTTGTTTACTGTCTGTTTCAACCCCTGCGGGTTGACAAATATTTTTGGCTTTGCACACCATATGGCCACTACTCAACTCTGCCATTGTAACACAAAAGCATCCATAGGCAATACCTTGAGTGTGCCCGTGTTCCAATAAAACCTTATTTACAAGAAGAGGTGATGGGCTGGAATTGGCCCTTGGAATGCAGGTTGCAGACCTTTAGAATTTTACATATGTATAGTTTTCCAGAATTTTATATGCATAGATGCATACAGTATATATGGGGGGGTGGGGCTTTTTTCATTCGGCATAATTATTTTTAACTTCTTGCATGTTGTATGTATAAATAGTTCATTTCCTTTTCACTGCTGAATAGTATTCCAGTGAAAAGATATACCACAATTGGTTGATGCATTCACCTATTGGTGGGCATCTGGATTGTTTCCAGGTTTTGGGTATTCTAAACAAAGCAGGCACAGTTGCTTTTAATTTCTGCCTTTACTGTTTGGTAACTCCTCCTATGTTCTCTTTCAAAAGTGCCTCTTACTTGGCCATGGTTTGAAAACTGATAAGGCTGGGTTGAGGGTACATGGGAGTCCAACACACCATTCTCTCTATTTTTTTTTTTTTCAGTTCAAACTCATTTCCCTTTTATTAAAGTCCAAGTTACCATAACATGGTTTGGTATTCAATAAAGAAAAAGGTGTTCAAATAAGGTAACATGTTATCATCAGCATTTCCAGGGGAGTGTTTACAATCAAGTAGCAATACCAATAAATCCCTGGAACGCTTGTCCCTGGGGTTCACACTTTGTCTAAGCCTAGGTCCTCTGGAGTGGGGATTCCCAATTCATTTAAAGTTGGTCTGAGTTCTTGGATGACATTTTCTTATGAGGTCCTGCCTTGTCCTTAACAACCTCTAGGATGCAAACTGCCCTAGGAAAAGCATCGAACTGTCTGCATGCCTGCGAAGCAACATCAATGATTTGGGGTTCTGGAACCAGGTCATAGCCAGCAAGTGTGTTCAATTCTTTATGCAATTCCCAGGCATCTATCTCTGGCTTGTTGAAGCATGTCACCCAGCATGCATCAAACTCCTCATCTGCCTCATGTGAACCACGGAAGCAGCAGCAAACTGACTGGATAGTGGTGGTGGGGATAGAGGTGAAGGAGGCCTCAGGGCCCGGGCACAGCAGCAGAGAACAATGGCCAGCATGACAGTAATGATGACACACAGGCTGAGCATAGCGAGAAGCCCCATTCTCTCTATTTTTTATATAGCCTTAAACTTTTCCAAAAAGAAAGAAAGAAAGAAAGAAAGAAAGAAAATTAAGCACATTATAAAGTGCTTTTTCTTGACAGTATTGCCATACTAAAAATATTCAGTAATTCTATAGCTGAGCTAATGGGTCAAACTTGGGGGCTTTATTTAAAGAAGGTTTAAGTTTAATTCCCATATAATACTATAATCATGGAGAGTGTTTGCTAAAAATACAAATTCTTTGTGCTATCCTCAGAACGACTGAATCAAGATCTACCACTCCAAGTCATTCTTATGAGCAAGCAGGTTGGAAAACTGGAAAACACTGAATTCTCTTTCTGGATGATCTAACCTCCAATTTGGTTTCATATCAGAAAAAGAGGAACAAGAAATTTAATTCCTAATGTAATCTCTTTCTATTCCTATCTTTCCATTTCTCCTCCATCATTCTCAGATTCTCAAAAACACCGAAGGTATTATCTAGCAACCAACTCATTAAGGAGGAAAAAACAGTAATAAGGAAATGATCGATAAGAACTAGAAAGTAACTTGCAAATGGGAAAGATAAGGAAAAAGGAAGTTAAGTATAAAGAGAAATATGAAGGCCGGGCGCGGTGGCTCACGCCTGTAATCCCAACACTTTGGGAGGCCAAAGCGGGAGGATCACCTGAGCTCAGGAGCTCAAGATCAGCTTGGACAACATGGAGAAACCCCGCCTCTAATAAAAATACTAAATTAGCCAGGCGTGGTGGTGGGCGCCTGTAATCCCAGCTTCTCGGGAGGCTGAGGCAGGAGAATCACTTGAACCCGGGAGGTGGAGGTTGCAGTGAGCGGAGATCACACCACTGCACTCCAGCATGGACAACAAGAGCGAAACTCCGTCTCAAAAAAAATAAATAAATGAAAGAGAAATATGTAAGAAGATGAAACAGCAGATCTTGTCATGTTCTGATTTCTTCTCTTTTAGGTTAAATCAGGGCTTATTTAAGGTAAGGTCACAGGCAATCAAGAGGCTAATTACAGGGATGAGGGATGAGGTCTTTGAGATTTTAACCTAGTCTCCAGTCGAGTTGGAGAACTTGGCTAATTCCAAGGCTCCTGGAGCTTGTGCCATCAGCACCTAGTTTTGTCAGTATCTACTTGGAATTTTGACCCCCATGTTTCTCATCCCTCCTAGATAAATTACCCCATCCTCAGCACACATTAAACCCTGCCCCGGGCTCCAGGCCAAGTCCTGTGCTCAGTTTGGAAAGGTTTATTTGTAGGAGTAGTATTAATGGCTATTTACTAAGTCCCTACCGAGGGCCAGGCAAGGGGTGAGGCACTTCCATGTGTGATCTGAATCTCATGCTTCTTATTTTATAAATAAGGAAACTGTGGGTCACAGAAAATTTCGTTGACTTGCCTAAGGTCATAAAAGAAAGATAGTAAGAGGTTGAAATGAAGATTAGAAACCAAGCCTGTTTGACTCCCTAAACCATGCTTTTTCCAGAAGAAGTGCAGTACCATGGGAAGGGAGCTTGCACTCTGGAGCCAGAGTATCTGGGTTCAAATCCTGGCTCTGCCACTCCCCTCTCTGTGCCTCAGTTTCCCAGTTCCTGTAACACAGGAACAGTAACAGAATCTATTTCCCAGGATTGTTGTGTAGATTAAACAAATTAATATACATAAGTGCTTAGCCCTTATTAAGTACCCCCAGGATGAAAATCATTATTACTCTCTGTAAGAGGAATAAGGAGCAAGTCCATCTAGCTCTGATCTCGTGCCCCAGTTATGATAACCAATCATAACGTTACCTTGTTCCTGACACCAAGTTGCCTTCTGGTCTTCAGGTTCCCGTTTCTTTAACATAGGGCCTGGTGACCTACTAGGACACAGGTTCCCCTAGGCCTGGGGCATCTTGTCACTTCCTCCTTTCTCCTGCCCTCACTCATGCCTCATAAGTGGCATTCTGTCCCTGGGCCCCAGCTCCCAGGTGGAGCACTTTCCAACATGCTTCTCTACCAGGCAGGCTGCTCACCTCCCCGGCCCAACCACCTTCTAGGAGACTTTCTTTACCTCCTGCTGGCCATCCCTGGTGACCTATGTGCTGCGCTTTCCAGGACAACTCGCTTTCTTTATAAGCTGTAGATTTGCCCCACTCCAGAGAGAATTTCCAACTCTTTCAAGGTTCTGAGCACTACTGGCCCAATTCTGCATCCTTCAACCCTTTCACATGATACTATTGAATGAGATCATGAAATAGGGCAGGTGTCTCATCATTATGGGCAGGATTCTGTCTTAGCATAACCACTGTATGCTAATAGGTGGGTACCAAGAAAAGGAAGCACTCCCACCTCCCATTCATACCCAATTCTGTAAACTGCTCTATTTTTTTTTTTTTTTTGAGATGGGAGTCTCACTCTGTCACCCAGGCTGGAGTGCAGTGGCGCAATCTCGGCTCACTGCAACCTCCGCCTCCCGAGTTCAAGTAGTTCTCTGCCTCAGCCTCCCGAGTAGCTGGGATTACAGGCACCCAACACCACGCCCGGCTAATTTGTGTATTTTTAGTAGAGACGGGGTTTCACCAACTTGGCCAGGCTGGTCTTGAACTCCTGACCTTGTGATCCACCCGCCTCGGCCTCCCAAAGTGCTGGGATTACAGGTGTGAGCCACCCAGCGCAGCCCAACTGCTCTATTATACTTGCTCCACACCCTAGTTAAGAGAGCAATAGTAGGCTGGTGTGATGTTGCTTTAATTAACACGCAGACTCACCTACTAACAGCAAAAACCTTCACCAGGCCCGTGCGGTTGGTGGCTCACCCCTGCAATCTCAGTGCTTTGGGAGGCCAAGGTGGGAGGATCGCTTGAGCCCAGGAGTTCAAGACCAGCCTGGGCAACATAGCGAGACTTCATCGCTACAAAAAAATCAAAAAAATTAGCTGGGCATGGCAGTGCACACCCGTGGTCCCAGCTACTCAGGAGGCTGAGGTGGGAGGATCACTCGGGATTGGGAGGTCGCAGCTGCAGTGAGCTGTGATTGCGCCACTGCACCGCACTCCCGCCTGGGTGACAGAGTGAGACCCTGTCTCAAAAACAAACAAACCACTACCTCAACCAGCCAAAGACCTGTTTAAGGTCCACATTAATATTTTAAAATGTAAAGAGATACTTAAGTCTTCACTGTGAAAAAATAAAATAAATCAAACAAAGAGATACTAATTGCATACTACGTTCTCAAGCTATTGGCCTTTTGCTTATTTAATTCTTGCTAATAAAATATTAGAGGCCTAAAAGGCAAATTTCACTTGCAAATACCACTTGTTTCTTTTTAGTAATGACTTTTTTCAATGAGAGACAGAACAAACAGAATGCTTAAAACTGTTTTCTGAAACGTAGTTCTGACACATCGCTGATAGAAGCATAAGTATGACAATCGCTTTGGAGAACACATGCACACACTACACTTCTAGGCACATACTCTGGAGAGAAACTCACGCACGCACGTTCAAGTGAGTTCAGAGCAATAGTGTTCATAATAGCAACTTCTGGAAACAACCCAATCTGTATGGAACAAAGAATAAATAAATACATCATGGCAGATTTATACAAAGGATACTATTTTTTAGCCATAAAGAAATGAATGATGTGGGCCAGGCACAGTGGCTCATGCCTGTAATCCCAGCACTTTGGGAGGCCAAGGTGAGTGGATCATTTGAGGTCAGGAGTTTGAGACCAGCCTGGACAACATGATGAAACCCCACCTCTACTAAAAATACAAAATTAGCTGGGCGTGGTGGCGTGCACTTGTAATCCCAGCTACTTGGGAGGCTGACACAGGAGAATCGCTTGAACCAAAGAGGTGGAGGTTGCAGTGAGTTGGGATCACGCCACTGCACTCCAACCTGGGCAACAAGAGTGAAACTCCGCCCCGCCACCACCACCAAAAAAAAAAAAGAAATGATTTGTAGTTATATGCAGCAATTTCAGGATCAAAATGTTGAGTGAAAAAGAACAAGATTCAGACAATACAATGGGGAAAAATGTATTTTCAACAAATGGTGCTGGGACAAATGGATATCCATATGAATAAGAATGAATTTGGGGCCGGGCGCGGTGGCTCACGCCTGTAATCCCAGCACTTTGGGAGGCCGAGGCGGGTGGATCATGAGGTCAGGAGATCGAGACCATCCTGGCTAACAAGGTGAAACCCCGTCTCTACTAAAAATACAAAAAATTAGCCGGGCGCGGTGGCGGGCGCCTGTAGTCCCAGCTACTCGGGAGGCTGAGGCAGGAGAATGGCGTGAACCCGGGAAGCGGAGCTTGCAGTGAGCCGAGATTGCGCCACTGCAGTCCGCAGTCCGGCCTGGGCGACAGAGCGAGACTCCGTCTCAAAAAAAAAAAAAAAAAAAAAAAAGAATGAATTTGGACCCCTACCCCACACCATATGCAAAAATTAACTCCAAATGGACCAAAGACCTAAATGTAAGAGCTGAAACTATAAAACTCTTAGAAGAAAACATAGGCATAAATCTTTGTGACCTTGCATTCAGGAATGTTTTCTTAGATGTTAAACCAAGGCACAAGGAACTAAAAGAAAAAAAGAAGGCTGGTCCAAACGTAGTGAGTTATCTCAATTGATTGTTCACATTGAGTTACAGATTGAACTTGTTCTATTCTTTCCCCCTTTCTTACTACTGCATTTGACTAGAGAAAGAAAAAGAAGGAAAGAAAGAAAGAAAGAGAGAAAGAAAGAAAGGAAGGAAGGAAGGAAGGAAGGAAGGAAGGAAGGAAGGAAGGAAGGAAGGAAGAAAGAGAAAGCAAGCAAGGAGGGAGGGAGGAAAAGGAAAGGAAAGGAAATGAGAGTGAAAGGGAGAGGAGGGGAGGGAAAGGAAAAGGGAAAGGGAAAGGGAAGGGAAACACTGAACTTCATCAAAAAACTTTTTTTTTGTTTGTTTTGAGACGGAGTCTCACTCTGTCGTCCAGGCTGGAGTGTAGTGGCACGATCTTGGCTCACTGCAACCTCTGCCTCCCAGGTTCAAGTCATTCTCATGCCTCAGCCTCCAGAGTAGCTGGGATTACAGGCATGCACCACCACACCTGGCTAATTTTTGTATTTTTAGTAGAGACGGGGTTTCACCATGTTGGCCAGGCTGGTTGGTCTCAAACTCCTGACCTCAGGCGAGTCACCATGCCTGGCCTGAACTTTATCAAAATTTAAAAATGTTGATCCTAGGCCAGGCACAGTGGCTCACACTTGTAATCCTAGTACTTTGGGAGGCTGAGGTGGGTGGACTGCCTGAGCTCAGGAGTTCCAGGCCAGCCTGGGCAACATGGTAAAACTGTGTCTACTAAAAATACAAAAAATTAGCTGGGCGTGGCGGTGCATGCCTGTAATCCCAGCTGCTGGGAGGCTGAGGCAGGAGAATAGCTTGAACTGGGGAGGCGGAGGTTGCGTTCAATCGAGATTGCCCCACTGCACTCCAGCCTGGGCAACAGAGCAAGACTCTGTCTCAAAAAATAAAATAAAATAAAACTTATGATCCTTTTGTGGTTCACAAGCACAGCGATTGGGTTTTCACACTCATGTCTGAGATGTGCCGCTCTCAAACCTTACTATGACATCAGCACATTGCCTATCTGATGTAAAAAAATAATTTATTTTAGTTTTTTTTGTTTTTCTTTTTTTTTTCCGAGACAGAGTTTCGCTCTTGTTGCCCAGGCTGGAGTGCAATGGCGTGATCTCGGCTCACCGCAACCTCTGCCTCCTGGGTTCAAGCGATTCAGGTTGATGCCTCAGCCTCCCAAGTAGCTGGGATTACACGCACCCAGCTAATCTTGTATTTTTAGTAGAGACGGGGTTTCTCCATGTTGGTCAGGCTGGTCTCAAACTCCTGACCTCAGGTGATCTGCCCACCTCAGCCCCCCAAAGTGCTGGGATTACAGGCGTGAGCCACCACGTCGGCCTTATTTTAGATTTTTAAATTTAAAACTTTTGTGTTTTAAAGGTCACTATGAAAAAGTGAAAAGACAAACCACAGAATGGAAGAAAATATTTGCAAATCAAATATTTGATGAGGGTCTAGCATCGAGAACATATAAGGAAGTTTTACAACTCAACAAAAGAAGACATGTAACCCAACTGAAAACTAGACAAAGGATTTGAACAGAAATTTATTCAAAGAAGATATACAAATTGCCAGTAGATGAAAAGATTTCCAACATGATTAGTCATTAGGGAAATGCAAATCAAAATCACAATGAGATACCACTTCACACCTACTAGAATGGCTAGGACCAAAAAGACAGAAAGTACAGTGCTGGCCAGGATGTAGAGAAATTGGAACCATCGTACACTGTAGGTGGGAATGTAAAACGGTGCAGGCACTGTGGAAACCAGTTTGGCAGCTCCTCAAAAACCTAAACATAAAATTACACATGACCCAGCAATCCCACCCCTAGGTATATATCCCAAAGAACTGAAAGCAAGTGGTTAAATAAAAGCTTGTATGTGAATGTTCATAATAGCCAAAAACTGGAAACAACCCAAATGTCCGAAATATATATGTATATCCATACAATCAAATATTATTAAGCCATGAGGCCAGGCATGGTGGCTCACACCTGTAATCCCAGCACTTTAGGAGGATGAGGTGGATGGATCACCTGAGGCCAGGAGCTTGAGACCAACCTTGCCAACGTGGTGAAACCCTGCCTCTACTAAAAATACAAAAATTAGCCGGGCATGGTGGCACACATCTGTAATCCCAGCTACTCGGGAGGCTGAGGCAGGAGGATCGCTTGAACCTGGGAGGCGGATGCTGCAGTGGGCTGAGATCGCACCAATGGACTCCAGCCTGCTAGACAGAGCGAGACTTTATCTCAAAAAAAAAAAAACTATATATAATATATACATAATTAAGCCATGAAAAGGAATGAAGTACTTACTGCTTCATGCTGCAACACACACCTTTCATTAAACATTATGCTAAGCAAAAGAAGCCAAACATGAAGGCCATACATTGTGTGATTCCATTTACATGAAATGTCCAGAATAGGCAAATCCATAAGGACAGAAAGTATAGATTAGTAGCTGCCAGTGGTTGGGGAAACAGGGAAATGGGGAGTGACCGCCAATGGATACGAGGTTTCTTTTGGGAGTAGTGAAAATATTCTAGAATTGGCCAAGCAAGGTGACACACACCTGAAATCCAGCTACTCAGGAGGCTGAGGCAGGAGAAATGTTTGAGCCCAGGAGTTCAAGGCTGTAGTGCGTGATGATCGCGCCTGTGAAAAGCCACTGTACTCCAGCCCGGCAACATAGCAAGACCCATTCTCCAAAAAGGGAAAAGAAAATATTCTAGAATTGAATAGTGGTGATGGGTGCATAACCTTAAGAATATACTAAAAACTAGGGATCTGTACATTTGTTTAAAAGAATGAATTTTGTGGCATGTGAATGATATCTCTTTGAAAAGTTACTAGGAAAAAATAGCAAGTTATTGAAGACTAAATCATCTATAATGTCATATGTACAGAAGGTCTGGGATCAGGAAGAGACATATAGAAAATGTTGAACAGGGGCCAGGCATGGTGGCTCACACTTGTAATCCCAGCACTTTGGGAGGCCAAGGCGGGAGGATCACCTGAGCTCAGGAGTTCAAGACCAGCCTGGGCAACATGGCGAAACCCCATCTCTACTAAAAATACAAAAAATTAGCTGAGCGTGGTGGTGCATGCCTGTAATCCCAGCTACTCGGGAGGCTGAGGCAGGAGAATCGCTTGAACCCAGGAGGCAGAAGTTGCAGTAAGCTGAGATCACGACACTACACTCCAGCCTGGGCGACAGAGCGAGACCCTGTCTCAAAAAAAAAAAAAAGAAAGAAAGAAAGAAAGAAAATGTTGAGTAAACTCGTAACATTCTACTTATTAAACGGACGATAGATTTATGGGTAAATTGATTCATACCCGTGCAATATCCAATAAAAAATAAAAATTTTTGAACAGCAATATATTTTTCTTGTTTTTTAAGCCACAATCAACACAAAATTAAATTTGATTTTTTTTTTTTTGAGACAGGGTCTTGCTCTATCACCCAGACTGGAGTACAGTGGCACAATCACAGCTCACTGCAGCCCTGAACTCCCAGGCTCAAATGATCCTCCCACCTCAGCCTCCCCAGTAGATGGGATTACAGTCATGAGCCACTGCGCCTGTCCCTAAATCTGAATTTTTTTTTTTTTAAACGGAGTCTTACTCTGTTGCCCAGGCTGGAATGCAGTGGCACGATCTTGGCTCACTACAACCTCCAACTCCTGGGTTCAAGTGATTCTCATGCCTCAGCCTCCCAAGTAGCTGGGATTACAGGTGTGCGCCATCATGCCTGGCTAATTTTTGTATTTTTAGTAGACACAGGGTTTCACCATGTTGGCCAGGCTAGCCTCGAACTCCTGACCTCAGGTGATCTGCCTGCCTCGGCCTCCCAAAGTGCTGGGATCATAGGCGTGAGTGACGGTGCCTGGCCCTAAATCTGAATTTAAATGACCATAAACTGGTAGTCATCCTCAACGAAGCAACCACCATGTGCAAAGCACTATAAAAGCTCCTATAGGGAGTTAAAAAAAGAGGCAATAACAAACATAATCCTACAAGCAACCCATAATCTACACCATGCCTGGCCACCAGCTCCAGAAAGCCATAAACCAGCTTCCCCATAGAATAATCTTAGCCAAGCTTTTGTCATTCCCAGCAGCAGCTACTAGTTTAAGCAACTCATTTCAAACAATTAAAATATTAAATATGTTTTACTTTGTGCTTCAAAAATATATTTTGAAAATATCTTTCATCTCCCTTTTATAAGTCTGCTTTTAAAGAACTCAGGATGGATGCAGGTTTAGAGCATGCTTGGTGAATTGTAAAGAACTTCTTTACAAGGCTCAGTTTTTCACTTGAAGTCATGTATTTTTAAAGCCCTGACTTAAATGATATCTTTAGATTATCACACATTCTCATCTAGGTTCTATTACATCTGAGTTTCTGAATATTCATATAATGACATCTTAAAGTGCCTGTTTGCAAGACACAGTCTAGATAGACATATTTTTCTAAAAAACAATCAAGGTTTCCCTCAAGATTTATAATAGCTTGAAGGTAATCTAAAATTGTATCTACGTTTCTGGCTTTACAAAAGAATGGCAAATGCAAATAATGTTAACTTGAACAGTCATTTTCCACTGAGAATGTTCATATTCTTAATTTACATTACAGTTTTGAAGATATATGCTCCAGAAATGTTACCATTCCAGTAAATAATTGAGGAACATATCCCCATTTTAGGATATTTAGTATATCGGTACAAATAACTTGACAATGAATTAACATCAACTTCTCTTTGGTTATGCAAAACAAAGGTGTTGTTGGAATGGAATTTGTAGCCAAAAAGCCCAGGGATTTTGTTTGTTTGTTTTGAGATGGAGCCTGGCTCAGTCGCCCAGGCTGGAGAGCAGCGGCGCAATCTCGGCTCACTGCAACCTCCACCTCCCAGGTTCAAGGGATTCTCCTGCCTCAGCCTCCCAAGTAGCTGGGATTACAGGCACCTGCCACCACACACGGCTAATTTTCGTATTTTTAGTGGAGACAGGGTTTCAGGATGTTGGCCAGCCTGGTCTCAAACTCCTGACCTCAGGTGATCCACCCACCTCAGCCTCCCAAAATGCTAGGATTACAGCCGTGAGACATAACGCCAGTCCAAGCCCAGGGTTTACACCCAGCTCTGCCATTAATGATGGGGGTAATTTTGTCAAATCCTCTAAGCCTCAATTTCCACGTCTGTTAAATGAAGATAATAGGATCCACCTTGGAGGATAACTGCAAAATTGAAATGAGATGATTAACACATTGGGCCTGGCCCACTAGAATGTTCCATAAATGTTGGCCCTCTGTGTTCTCCCTTCCCCTTAAAGCAAAGCCTTGGTAAATAAATGTCCACACGGACACATATATAATTATGATTAAATGTTTATACACTAAAAAAGTTGGCTTCACCATTTTCTAAATTTTCTCCTCTGCATACAAAATTATAATCTTAAACTGTTTCTCAAAATATCTAACGAGAACCTTATTTTAAAAATCAAAACAAATGAGGAAGTAGGGAATAGTTCATTTTTAGCCTTATGAATATAATTGAGGGTTTCATTTCTACACCCAAATACCTACTGGTTTCTGCAACAAAGGAAAGCAGTCATGACTTTTTTTTTTTTTTTTTTTTTTTGTAGAGATGAGGTCCACTGTGTTGCCCAGGCTAGTCTCCAACTCCTGGACTAAAGCAATCCTCCCGCCTTGGCCCCTTGGGATTACAGGCACAAGCACTTCACCTGGCCAGACCTATGTTTTATGATTTAGATGTTACTGAAAAGTCAGTGACTTAGAGAAAGACACAAAGGCATGCTTATCACATCTGCCACGAAGCTAAGAAGAACGGTTAATACAGATATAACAGAAGCAAGAATCAAAAACGTGGTCAGGCTAGGCGCGGTGGCTCACGCCTGTAATCCCAGCACTTTGGGAGGCCAAGGTGGGCAGATCACTTGAGGTCAGGCGTTCCGGACTAGTCTGGCCAACATGGTGAAACTCTGTCTCTACTAAAAACACAAAAATTAGCCGGGCATGGTGGTGGGCACCTGTAATCCCAGCTACTTGGGAGGCTGAGGCAGGAGAATCACTTGATCCAGGGAGGGGAAGATTGCAGTGAACAGCGATTGCGCCACTGCACTCCAGCCTGGGCGACAAAGCGAGACTCCAACTCAAAAAACAAACAAACAAACAATAAAAACATGTGGTCAAACTTGAAACTAGTGGATGCCATTCATTGCATTTGTTTCAAAGTCCTATGGTTACGGCTGCTGTGGTATGGCTGCTTGTTTTCGGCAGAACACATACCCACAGGTTAGAGAGACAGCTTTGTCAGGAAATGGCGGAGGGGCGGGGGATGGGGGGTGGAGAAGACCAAGTGTAACTGACCACCTTGTCAGAAGCAGCCAGCAGTTTGATGCGGCTTCTGAAAATGACAGTGCTAGTGTTAAAGCTGAAGTTCCAGTGGTTTCAGCACTGGTCCTCCAATATCTAAGATCAGTAAATAACGGCCCATGGGCCAAATGCAGCCCATAGCCTGTTTTTGTACGCCTCTCCAACTACAAATGGGTTTTGCATTTTTAAATGGTTGGAAAAGAAAAAGCAAAAGGCACATAATATTTCGTGGCATGTGAAAATTTTATGAAATTCAAATTTCAGTGTCCACAAATAAAATGTTACTGGAACACAGCCACGCCTATTCATTTACATGTTGCCCTATGCCTGCTTTCATGTTACGAGGTCAGAGTTGAGTAGTTGCAACAGAGACCTTACGGCTTGCAAGTCTAAAATATTGCTATCTGGCGGTTTGCAGAAAAAGTTAGTTGACCTCTGCTGTAACGCATTGCGTTCAATATTTTCTAAAGGGCAATAAGAAAGAGGAACCACAGGAATGGTGAGGGAGACAAAAGCATTTCATAAATTCAATCTGAAGGAATTGAGAGTAGCAAGCCAGTGGAAGAGAAGATCAAAGGAGAACAATCTAGATTTCTTTTCTTTTCTTTTTTTTTTTTCTTTGAGGTAGAGTCTCACTCTGTCTTCTAGGCTTGAGTGCAGTGGCGCAATCCCGGCTAACTGCAACCTCCGCCTCCTGGGTTCAAACAATTCTCTGCCTCAGCCTCCTGAGTATCTGGGATTACAGGCGCCCACCACCAGGCCCGGCTAATTTTTGTATTTTTAGTGGAGATGGGGTTTCACCATCTTGGCCAGGCTGGTCTTGAACTCCTGACCTCATGATCCACCTGCCTCGGCCTCCCAAAATGCTGGGATTACAGGCATGAGCCACCGCACCCAGCCAACATTATAGATTTCTTTAAATGTTTAAAGAGTCAGCATGTGGAAAGGGCTTGTGTTTGTCACTATAGTGGTAGAAACGATCCTGAAAGCTCTAAGGAGTCAGATACCAACTAAACATGAGAAAGCATCTTCCAACAAATCAAAGTGGAAAATCATAGAGGTTGTATTACCAAAAAGAGCCCACACCCAAGCGATGGCTGGTATTAAGCCCAAAGGCAAGATGATTGCCATCCAAGATTATCATAGAAAGGACTCTTAAGTGGGTAGGAAGTTTAACTGGTTTAATACTCAGGTTCTTTCCGTGATTTTATCTCAAAAGAAAGAAAACTGGCCAGGCGCGGTGGCTCACGCCTGTAATCCCAGCATTTTGGGAGACCAGGGCGGGCGGATCACTTGAGGTCAGGAGTTTGAGACCAGCCTGGCCAATATGGTGAAACCCCGTCTCTACTAAAAATACAAAAATTAGCTGGGTGTGGTGGTGCATGCTTGTAATCCCAGCTACTCGGGAGGCTGAGGCAGGAGAATTGCCTGAACCCGGGAGGTGGAGGTTGCAGTGATGCAGTGAGCCGAGTTGGCACCACCGCACCCCAGCCTGGGTGACATGACAGAGTGAGACACCATCTCCAAAAAAAAACAGAAAGAAAGAAAACAATCATAATTGGCAGGTGAAAGCGTAACGAACAATTTCTGCTACCACATTCACGAAGGATTAGACCCTACAGGGAAATCTACTTTTATTATATATTTATATATGTATTTTATTATATATAGTTATATGTAATAAATATATATCGATTAAAATGGGCATGTTAAAAAGAGGCCTTTCATTTAAATAGAGTACATCAGCTATAAGAAGAATCACATTAGGAAAAGAAGGGTTATTTTTAGAAAGAGGGCTCTGGTTACAAAAAATAAGGAAAGGACATCCACTGCTAAATAAAATGAGCTGAAATCTTTCCTTGTGTTACTACAGGAAATCAGCACGGCACTACTTGAAAGAGGAAAAAAGTCTATATATAAAACGGAAAGGGGGAGGAATGCGTTTTAAAAAAATGCTAAACTATAAACTACAGTTAAGGGCACAGTCATGTGACTTATTTGCACCAGACTTCTTCGCAAAATAGTTTTGCAAATGACTTCCCAAAGCACAGCCACCTGTTAGGCTGTTATTTTGGCCTATTTCCAATGGCAATCTTGTCACCCGAGCAAGAGACACACCACCATAGCAACATAAACATCAGGGTGCTGGAATGAAATTTAAAGTAGCAATTTATAGCCCCTGCAGGGCTGGAAATAAACTAATCCTTAAGCCTTTATGACTATGACACAACATTCCCACTGGGCAAAGTTAGATCCCACGGACATCTCAGGATTTCCCATAGGCCATTTGGAAAGCAGAGACTCCAAAATACCTATGGCACTAGAGGGTCCCCCTAAAATAAAGGCATTTTAAAGTGTGAAACAGTACCTAGCCCATCATGATCACCAGGTGTTTTCACACTCCCCACAAATGGACAATGACCATGACCCCTTGTATTTGCAGAGTAGGCTCCGTATTGCATGAGATCAGCCCCTAATACAGGCCAAAAGAGGGCATTTGACAGTTGAGAAAATTGACAGGTGAGGCCCAGGAAAATGAGTCTTTCTCAATCAAATCATTGATATCACACAGCAAGGACTGACTAGGTCTTCCGTGTCCACACTCTTCCACAGTATTGCACCAACCCCAACTCCGGGCAACTTACAGGTACTTTGGCTCAGGGAGATAAAATGCAAAGGTGTTTCATCAAATGAAAAGGTAGAGTAAAATGAAAGAAAAATCAAGTTTGAAAGTGACTATGCCTGTTTTCAGGGGTAAGTTTTTGCACTGTTGGAATTTGCCATTTGATATTGGAATACATTCTTAAATAAATGTGGTTATGTTATACATCATTTTAATGCACATTCTTTCACTTTTTTTGCTAATGACTTATTACTTGCTGTTTATTTTATTTTAGACTATGGAAATGATGTTAGACAAAAAGCAAATTCAAGCGATTTTCTTATTCGAGTTCAAAATGTGTGGTAAAGCAGCGGAGACAACTCTCAACATCAACAACGCATTTGCCCCCAGGAATGGCTAAAGAATGCACAGTGCAGTAGTGGTTCAAGAAGTTTTTCAAAGGAGACGAGAGCCTTGAAGATGAAGCTAGTGCCCAGCCATTGAAAGTTGACAACGACCAACTGAGAACAACCATCAAAGTTTACCCTCTGACAGGCACAGTGGCTCACGCCTGTAATCCCAGCACTTTGGGAGGCCGAGGTGAGCAGATCACAAGGTCAGGAGTTCGAGACCAGCCTGGCTAACACAGTGAAACCCCGTCTCTACTAAAAATACAAAAATTAGCCGGGCGTGGTGGCATGTGCCTGTAATCCCAGCTACTCGGGAGGCTGAGGCAGGAGAATCGCTTGAACCCAGGAGGCGGAAGTTGCAGTGAGCCGAGATCGCACCACTGCACTCCAGCCTGGGAAACAGAGCGCGACTGCGTCTCAAAAAAAAAAAAAAAAAAAAAAAAGCTGATCCTCTTACAACTACACGAGAAGTTGCCGAAGAACTCTGCGTCAACCACTCTATGGTTACTCGGCCTTTGAAGCAAATTGGAAAGGTGAGAAAGCTTCATAAGTGCATGCCTCATGAGCTGAGCGAAAATCAAAAACATTGTCGTTTTGAAGTGTTGTCTTCCCTTACTCTATGCCACAACAATGAACCATTTCTCGATCGGATTGTGACGTGCAATGAAAAATAGATTTTATACGACAACTGGTGATGATCAGCTCAGTGGTTGGATTGAGAAGAAAATCCAAAGCACTTCCCAAAAGCCAAACTTGCACCAAAAAAAGATCCCGGTCACTGGTGGTCGCTGCTGCTGGTCTGATCCATTACGGCTTTCTGAATCCTGGGGAAACCATTACAGCTGAGAAGTATGCTCAGCAAATCGATGAGATGCACCAAAAACTGCAACTCCTGCAGCCGGCACTGGTCAACAGGAAGGGCCCAATTCTTCTCCACAACACCCAACTGCACGTCGCACAACCAATGCCTAGAAAGTTGAACCAATTGGGCTACAGAGTTTTGCCTCCTCCGCCATATTCACCTGACCTCTTGCCAACCGATTACCACTTCTTCAAGCATCTCGACAACTTTTTATACAGAAAAACGCTTCCACAACCAGCAGGATGAAGAAAAAAATGCTTTCCAAGAGTTCGCTGAATCCCGAAGCACAGATTTTTACATTAAAGGAAAAAACAAACTTATTTCTCATTGGCAAAAATGTGTTGATTATTTTGATTAATAAAGATGTATTTGGGCCTAGTTACAATGATTTAAAATTCATGGTCTGAAACCACAATTACTTTTGCGCCAATACTTGCTATGGGAGGGGATAAATTACCAGGACTTAAAATTTGAACACTTTTTTTTTTTTTTTTTTGGAGACGGAGTCTCGCTCTGTCGCCCAGGCTGGAGTGCAGTGGCGCGATCTCGGCTCACTGCAAGCTCCGCCTCCCGGGTTCACACCATTCTCCTGCCCCAGCCTCTCGAGTAGTTGGGACTACAGGTGCCCGCCACCACGCCCGGCTAATTGTTTGTATTTTTAGTCGAGACAGGGTTTCACCATGTGAGCCAGGATAGTCTCGATTTCCTGACCTCGTGATCGGCCCGCCTCGGCCTCCCAAAGTGCTGGGATTACAGGCGTGAGCCACCGCACCTGGCCTTGAACCCTTTGAAGTATTGATGCAAAAACAAGTGGTCAGCTATGGCCAAATTCGCAATTCAAAAAGATCCAAGAAAGCAAGTTGAACATCCTGATTGGAGATGGGACACACCCAAACGTGTGTCTTGAGGTGGCTGCAAAGTCCTCCGGTCTGAGCCAGTGTAAGCAGGTTTTACCCCAGCCCATGATTTAGAGAGATGTTCAGTGCAGATCCTGAGCTCAGCAGAGAGCAACATAAGCCTGGACTCCAGCCCTAAAATCCCAATCCATTAACCCCCGACGTCATTTCTCCACTGCATCTTTTTACTTTGTTCTTAACTTTTCTCAAAAAGAGAGGTGTGGAAGACCCTCAGGGCAGTTCCTTCTCCAGGTCTAGAGAACAGATTTTTGGCCAGGACAGCACTGAGGTGGCCATTCTGGAGATGAAAAATAGATGAATCCGTGATGAAGCTTCTGTGATACCAGGGATCTGGCTGCTTTTGATCTCAGAACCAGTACTGAACTCTCTCTTTAAAAAAATAAGATGGTCACGGCCAGGCGTGGTGGCTGACGCCTGCAATCTCAGCACTTTGAGAGGCCGAGGCGGGTGGATTACCTGAGGTCAGGAGTTCGAGACCAGCCTGGCCAACATGGAGAAACCCCGTCTATACTAAAAATACAAAAATTAGCCGGGCGTGGTGGCAGGCGCCTGTAATCCCAGCTACTTGGGAGGCTGAGGCAGGAGAATCGCTTGAACCTGGGAGGCAGAGGTTGCAGTGAGCTGAGATCACACCATCGCACTCCAGCCTAGGGGATAAGAGTGAGACTTCGTCTCAAAAAATAAATAAATAAAAATAAATTTAAAAAAATAAGATGGTTGCCAGGTGAAATGGCTTATACCTGTAATCCCAGCACTTTGGGAGGATGAGGCAGGAGGATTCCTTGAGCCCAGGAGTTGAAAAACAGCCTGGGCAACATAGCAAGACCCTGTCTCTAAACTTTTTTTTTTAATTAGCCCAGTGTAGTGGCACACACCTGTGGTCCCAGCTATTCAGGAGGCTGAGGCTTGAGCTCAGGGAGGTGAAGGCTGCAGCGAGCAGTGATTGCACCACTGCACTCCAGTCTGGGCAACAGAGAGACCCCATCTCAAAAAATAAAAATAAGGCCAGGTGTGGTGGCTCACGCCTGTAATCACAGCACTTTGGGAGGCCGAGGCTGGTGGATCACCTGAGGTCAGGAGTTCAAGACCAGCCTGGCCAACATGATGAAACCCCGTCCCTACTAAAATACAAAAATTAGCCAGGTGTGGTGGCCGGTGCCTGTAATCCCAGCTACTTGGGAGGCTAAGGCAGGAGAATTGCTTGAACCTGAGGGCAGAGGTTGCAGTGAGCTGAGATCACGCCACTGCACTCCAGCCTGGGCAACAGAATGAGACTCCATCTCAAAAATAAAGAAAGAAAGAAAAATAAAAATAAAAAATAAGATGGTTTCTGACAAACATAACCTAAATGTAAAAGAAACAACTCCTAGAGAACATGGTCAAAAGGCTGAGCACCTACGTAAATAATGGCTAATTTTAAATTTACTTAACCTTTCCAAAGTGTTTTTCCTGAAAAGGCTTAAGGGGATTATTCCATTTGGACCTCTAATAGCCTAATTACCTTAAAAACACACAAGCACACACAACCACCACCAAGCTCCTTTTCAGACAAATTTTGGCAAAAAGAAAAATCTCAAAGTATGCCCATATCTGCAGTACTATAAGTCATGCTGCTGAAAAGCATAATTACACTCAGCTGTGTCCAAGTTTCCGTCAAACGCAATCCAAAAGAGGTGAACTATTAAGTCCTGAATCTAAAGATTTTTCATTTTGAACATGATGCTTCTTCATGAGCAGCAAAAACATAATATTAAAAAATGAGCATTTGTCATGGCCTTCAATAGCCCAGGGTTTGAGTCTCCAGCCCGCACAGTACAATCTGTACCCCGATGACTAAATGCAATTCTAGTTACCAAACTCCTGGCACTTGGGTGGGGGGGCAGGATTTAAAAAATCACATTTATATCTTTAAACCTATCTCATTTTCACAGTGTTTTTAAGTATTGAGAAAAACCACTTTCATCCACTGCGTCACTTTTATGGAGGCTACAATAATCCCGAATGATGATTCATGTGGGATGTAAGGGCCACATCAGTCTTTTCATCAGCACCAGCATCACTGTTATTATTTTAAGTCAGGGAAAACTCAGCAAAATGTTCTTGATGGAGGGCCACGCCACCAGGGAACTAACTATAGGAAATTTACACATTTCAGAAGACATGCTCCTCAGCTCAAGCACAGACTTCTCTAGTGATAACCCCTGTTTTCAAAACTACCTGTCCAGGCCAGGTGTGGTGGCTCTCACCTGTAATCCCAGCATTTTGGGAGGCCAAGACAGGAGGATTGCTTGAGGCTAAGAGTTCGAGACCAGCCTGGGCAATGTAACAAGACACCTCCCCGCCCATCTCTACAAAAAGAAAAAAATTAGCCAGACATGGTGGTGCAGACCCGTTGTCCTAGCTACTCAGGAGGATAGCATGAGCCCAGAAGTGTGAGGCTACAATGAGTCATGATGGTGCCTGGGCAACAGAGTGGGACCCTATCTCTAAAAAAAAAAAAAAGAAAAAACCTGTCCAGATAAGCAGGTGATTACAGATCCCTTTTCTCAGCCATCTATCCAGTGATGTTTTTCTACTTTAGTTGCTAATTACCAGTTTAATAAGAGCGTTGTTTTCTATAACTTTTAAAATATATACATAAATAGATATGGGGTCTCACTATGTTGGCCAGGCTGTTCTTGAACTTCTAGGCTCAGTGATCCTCCTACCTCATCCTCCCAAAGTGTTGAGATTATAGGTATGAGCCACTGCTCCTGGCAACCTTTTTTTTTTTTCCTCGAGACGGGGTCTCACTCTGTTGCCCAGGCTAGAGTGCAGTGGCACAATCTCGGCTCACTGCAAGCTCCGCCTCCCGGGTTCACACCATTCTTCTATCTCAGCCTCCCCAAGTAGCTGGGACTACAGGCGCCCGCCACCACGCCTGGCTAATATTTTGTATTTTTAGTCGAGACGGGGTTTAGCCAGGATGGTCTCGATCTCCTGACCTCATGATCCACCCGCCTCGGCCTCCCAAAGTGCTGGGATTACAGGCGTGAGCCACCGTGCCCGGCCTTAACTGTGTAACATTTTCATTCTTGTCAGTTCTCCTAGTGATGTCTACAAATAGAGCTTTCAACTCCCTATAGCCAATGACCTGGGCTTTATTAGATTTTATAGTACAATGGTCCTGCCACTTTCAAGTAGCAGTTTGTCATGAACACTATCCAAGAAAGTATCTAGAAAAATGTTGGTCTTCAGAGTTTCAATCCAATCTGAGAAGCATTTTCCTACTAGGGAGAAAAGGTGTTTATTTAACCCTTACTGTTACCAAAACATTACACATTTACAACACAAAGGTTAAAGAAGGCCAGGCTTGGTGGCTCATGCCTGTAATCCCAGCACTTTAGGAGGTTAAGGCGGGAGGATCACTTGAGCCTAGGAGTTTGAGACCAGCCTGGGCCACATAACCAGACCCTCATCTCTTCTGTGATACTGGGGATTTGGCTGCTTTTGATCTAAGAATCAGTACTAAACTCCCTCTTTAAAAAATAAGATGGGTCGGGCATGGTGGCTCACGCTTGTAATCTCAGCACTTTGGGAAGCTGAGATGGGTGGATCATGAGGTCAGGAGTTTGAGAACAGCCTGGTCAATGTGGTGAGGCCCCATCTCTGTGAAAAATACAAAAATTAGGCGGGTGTGGTGGCGGGTGCCTGTTCAGTTTCAGCTACTCGCGAGGCTGAGGCAGAAGAAAAAAGAAAATGTTACACGGTTAACTTATTCATACGCCATTACACTGACTTAAGTTATATTTTTCTCTTGAGTTAAACATTTCTAAAATCCCAAAAAATAAGCTAACATTTTAACTGGTCTTCCTTACTCAGAAAAGGGGTCTAAATAATGTCTATTTCTACCTGCTACAGCACTGTCTTTAGTCAAATATTCTGTCTTCTACCTTAAGAGAACACTGGTCAGTGCCAACCCTGCTTCTTTGAAATGCTTCTAAAGTCAGTATATTTCTGCTTTAGTAAGTATTTCTGTTAAATGATGATACAGTAATATTTCTAAATTAAAATTGCCAAGTATTTCGCTGGCTGCAAAAGTGAAGGTCACTGAGTCATTAATGCCACCCAAATACAGATATGCGTCCATGTTGTCATTTTCTTCCTTTGACAGAGGGCAGAATTCAGAAAAAAATTCTTATGAGCTTCCATTAAAGTTTATTGGGTTTATTTCAAGAAACGATGAATGAGTTTAATGATAAGTAATAACCAATTAAAAAAAAAAACCTGATCAGATACCTAGAGTAGTCAAATTCACAGAGACAGAAAGTAGGATGGTGGTTGCCAGGGGCTTTGGGGTAGGGAGAAATAGGGATTTAGGGTTAAATGGATACAGAGTTTCAATTCTGCAAGATGAAAACTGTTCTGAAGATGGGCGGTGGTGATGGCTGGACAACAATGTAAGTGTACCCAATTCTACTGAAACTGTACACTCGAAAAGTTTTAAGATGGCAAATGTTATGTGTATATTTTTAACACATTTTTCTGCTTTTTTTTTTTTTTTGAGGTGGAGTCTTGCTCTGTAGCCCAGGCTGGAGTGCAGTGGTGCGATCTTGACTCACCACAACCTCTGCCTCCCAGGTTCAAGCGATTCTCCTGCCTCAGCCTCCTGAGTAGCTGGGGTCACAGGCGTGCACCACCATGCCCGGCTAACTTTTCTGTATTTTTAGTAGAGATGGGGTTTCACCATGTTGGCCAACTCCTGACCATGGTTTCCAACTCCTGACCTCAAGTAATCCGCCTGCCTTGGCCTCCCGAAGTGCTAGGATTACAGGTGTAAGCCACTGCACCCAGCCATTTTAACACATTTTTTAAAAAACAATAAACATTAATAAAAAACTCACCAGGATATACACATCCAGTGAAGTGCAGTCCTCTTCAAATAGTTCCTTTTAGGTGACAATATGTTTATTTCAATAGTGCTGATACAAAGCAAAACATCTTTGACTCTCCCCTGGGGAATCTAGGGCAGGTTTAGGGGTGCTTTTTTTCATTGTTTTTAACATTCCTGATCATTTTGAATTTTGAAAAGTCTTTTAGAGTTCCAATTTCAAAATAATAATCGTGTTAAATTTTAAAATATTTATTTTAGCCAAGCGCAGCGGCTCACACCTATAATCCCAGCACTTTGGGAGGCCAAGGCTGGTAGATCACTTGAGCTCGGGAGTTTGAGACCAGCCTGGGCAACATGGCGAGACCCCGGTCTCTTTAAAAAAAATTATTTTAGTCCACATGCAGTGTGACTATAAAAGAATAATGTTAATCTCCCTGTGTGATTTAGAAACTGGATCTGGAGGCACTGCTAGTAAAAGTGAGCTGGGGGTTTCCAAGGCGCAGCCATCTTGGATGGAAGGGTAAATCTATAACTCTGAATAGTACACTCTGATCATTTTTAATACCTTCCAATTTGCTTACCTCCACCGGAAGAATTTTAAGTTTTCAACTAAATGTGCCAAAGACATGATGGTATCGCTTGTGTGTTCCCATCATTTTCAGATACTAATTTTGAGAAACTCACAGGTGCTCATGAACTAACATCTCTGCTGATGATGCCTATGAAAGCCAAAGGTTTTTACTGCCATTAAAAGGAATAATTTCCAAGAGTGTAGGGGTGGTTCTCTTTTTAGAGCACGAAATACAAAAGTTATTTTCGAAGAGGAATATGATTCATTTATCAGAGTTAAACTGAAGAATGTCACTTGGTTTAATACTTAAGTAAAATGGATCATTTGATGGGAGATAAAATTTCTGGACCACTTTCTTCTCTTACTGGGACAGAACATCTACCTTTCCCTAATTATTTCCTTTGATAATCCTGAAGGGTTATTTAATCTCTAAGAAATTGGATTTTTTGGCCCGGTGCGGTGGCTCACTCCTGTAATCCCAACACTTTGAGAGGCCGAGGTGAGCAGATCACCTGAGGTCAGGAGTTCGAGACCAGCCTGGCCAACCTGGTGAAACCCCATCTCTACTAAAAATATAAAAATTAGCCGGGCGTGGCGGTGGGTACCTGCAATCCCAGCTACTTGGGATGCTGAGGCAGGAGAATCACTTGAACCCAGGAGGCGGAGGTTGCAGTGAGCCAAGATCACACCACTGCACTCCAGCCTGGATGACAATGTGAGACTCCATCTCAAAAATAAATAAATAAATAAATACATAAACTAGTTATTTTCAACATAAAAACACACAAACTAGTGCTCAGAAACACCTGGATTTGGCCTTAATACAGCAAATATAATCAGAACAGAATGTGTGTGTTTTTGTGCCTGTGTGTGTGTGTAAGATGACATGGGGCGGGGGAACAGTCTTTGGAGATTAGCGGCTTAGATTAGGTACTTAAACAACATTATTATAGGGTATCATCAAATTACATTTGTTGGCCAATCTTATTTCTCTGAGTGATTCAGTCTAGGAAAGAAACAACACCCTAAAGATGGTCAGATATGATGCTAAAGGAATTAAAAAGGGTTGATTTTTTTTTCTTTGCTCAGGAATAAACAGGAATTCTAGAAGGTCAAACTTCACCCAAACTTAAAAAGATTAAACACACACACACACACACACACACACGCTAAAAAAGTCATTAGATCAATCTGACCAAGAACTTACGCTGGCTACATGTTTAGATACATGAGTCGACTTCCACTAACGTCCGATGAGGAGTTTTAAGAGAGTCCCCTTTGTCAAAGTGCTGGGAAATGAAAGAATTAGTCACTTTCATGCTTGATGTCAGAATCTTGGTGAGCTCTGGCTTCAGTATTACTAAGTCAACAAACAGTCTTGTATAATGTGGCTCAGGCAGTCAGCCAGGAAGTGGTTGGTGACCCCAGACTCCCTCCTCCACTATGGTTTGCAAAGCCAGTGGCCAAGACAGTGTGTCCTCTGCAGTGGCGCTCTCCTCTAGCAATACGCCACCTGGGAGATTTGCCCAGCAGAACCTGGTGTGATTTTGCCATCCTAGACAGACACTATTGAGATGAGGTTTAAATAGCCAGTTAGCCACCCTTAGAATAAAGCCCTTGATGGGAAGGCTTAAGGACATCTGCCAGACAAACATCAATAAGGCAAAGGACTTACGTGCCATGTGGAACCATCTCCTCCTGAATGTGTATTCTGGGATTTATTCTGCTAACACGTGATTTCCCATTCAATGCTCACGGAAAGCAGAGATATGCACCTGGAGCCAGGGCCAGAACAATCCTAGGTTCCTTTGGAAGCTGGTTCTTCCACTCATGATGGCCACAGCCTCCATGCCCTTGTGGGGACTCCTAAGGATCCTGAGTTCTGACAAGAAAGGTTCCACAGACCCCTGCAGCCCTGTAGCTGGCCTTAGGGCAGCTATTCAAGCCATGATTACTTTTTTCCCTCTAAGTATCATGTTCTGACCTAAATTGCAGTCATTCTGGTCCAAATCTGGTAGATTTTTTTCCCACACTGCTGCAGGAGAGAACCTCCTCCTCTGGAAAGCTGTCTAAATTCAAGACAACCAGAGCCATCTCCTTATGGACGGGGACCGTAACTTTTCAATTTACACAGAATTCACATTCGGCACTCTCTGCCTCTCAATGGCTCTCTCTCTCTCTCTCTGAACATGGGTATCTATTCTGCTCAAACAAATCTGTAAGCACTTCTATTTCTAAAAAAACAGCTTTGGCCGGGCACGGTGGCTCGCGTCTGTAATCCCAGCACTTTGGGAGGCCGAGGTGGGTGGATCACGAGGTCAGGAGTTCGAGACCATCCTGGCTACCACAGTGAAACCCCGTCTCTACTAAAAATACAAACAATTAGCCGGGCGTGGTGGCACGTGCCTGTAGTCCCAGCTACTCGGGAGACTGAGGCAGGAGAATTGCTTGAACCCAGGAAGCGGAGGGTGCAGTGAGCCGAGATTGCGCCATAGCACTCTAGCCTGGGCAACAGAGTGAGACTCCATCTCAAAAACAACAACAACAACAACAACAACAAAACAAAAAACAGCTTTACTGAGATGTACTTTACATACCAATTCAATGGTTCTTAATACACTTACAGACTTGTGCAACTATGGCCATCATCTATTTTTAAATGGCAATAAAACCTCTCCAGTGTCCTCTGGCCTAGGAGCTTCAGGAGGGCAGGGATCTACCTGCCCTGTCAGCCGCTGCAGGCCTAGCACCCGGCACAGAGCAGGAGTTCAATAAAGTATCTGTGAATGGATGTTTTCATGATGCCAGCCTGGAACTTCCATAGCCCTGTTTTCCAGATTCAAGAAATAACTACTTCTCTAATTCAGCTAATCTCCCTAGGAGAGGCAGAATGGCCCCCAAGATTCCCACTGATTGGTGAGCCCTTTTGGAAAAGAATCAAGAAGTCAGAGACAGCAAGTCGGAGAGATCTGAAGTTGCAGTAGAAGCTCCTGCTAGCCTTGCAAGAGCAAACTGCCATGTTGTGGAGAGGGCCACATGGCAGGACACGGCAGGTGGCCTCTGGGATCGAGCCTCTAACTGATGGATGCAGTAAGGAACTGCATTCTGCCAACAACCATGTGAACCCTGAAGACAACTCCAAGCTCCAGAAAGAAAGGCAGCCTGACTGACGCCTTGATGTCAGCTTTATGAGACCCTGAGCAGAGAATCCAGCCATGCTGCACCTAGACTTCTGACCCACAGAATTTGTGTGCTAATAAATGGGTGTTATTGTAAGCCACTGAGTTTGTGATCATTTGTAACACAGCAATAGAAAACTAATATACTGCCAGGCGCGGTGGCTCACTTTGGGAGGCCGAGGCGGGTGGATCACCGGAGGTCAGGAGTTCGAGACCAGCCTGGCCTACATGGTGAAACCCTGTCTCTACTAAAAATACAAGACCAGCCAGGTGTGGTGGTGCTAGTCTGTAGTCTCAGCTACTAAGAAAGCTGAGGCGGGAGGATTGCTTGAACCCGAGAGGTGGAGGTTGCAGTGAGTCGAGATCATGCACACTGCACTCCAGCCTGGGTGACAGAGCAAGACTATGTCTCAGAGTAAAAAACAAAAGAGGCCGGGTGCAGTGGCTCATGCCTGTAATCCCAACACTTTGAGAGGCCAAGACAGGTGGATCACTAGGTCAGGAGTTCAAGGCCAGCCTGGCCAACATGGAGAAACCTCGTCTCTACTAAAAATACAAAAATTAGCCGGGCGTGGTGGTGGGCACCTGTAATCCCAGCTACTCGGGAGGCTGAGGCAGGAGAATCACTTGAAACCAGGAGGCAGAGGTTGCAGTGAGCTGAAAGAACTGCACTCCAGCCTGGGCAACAAGAGCAAGACTCCAAGGGAAAAAAAAAAAAAAACACGAAAAAAAGAAACGAAAACTAATATACATACTCCTCCGGGAATTGGGAGGAAAGCAGTCTGACGGCAATAACTCCTAAATATATGTGACTGATTTCAAACTTCTCAGGGGTATCACTAAGAAATTTTTTAATGAGGATGTATTAAATACAAAAGAATCTCTAATTGGTAAAATTTCAGGCAGTATACAAGTGAAAAAATTTTAAACCTTTTACAGGAGGACATAGAGGATCAGGGTTCCTTAAAAAGTTCCTGTTTTCCTCAGCTTCTTCCTATCCATTCATTCAGCAAGTATTTACTATGTGTGGACCCTAAGTTTAAGCACCAGACCTGCACTGTCCAGTATGGCAGCCACAAGCCACACATGGTCCTTGAGCACTGCAGAGCGGCCAGTGAAACTGAGATGCGTGTCCACGGAAAATACACACCTGATTTCAAAGACTTAGTGTGAAAAAAATAAGTGAAAAGATTGTATCAGTATTTTCTCATGTGGATTACATGTTGAAAAGATAATGATGGCGATAGACAACAAACAATTAAACAAAATAAGTACAAATTGCGATAAATGCTCTGAAGGAATAAACAGGCGTGGAGAGGCAGATAATAGAGGATATAAATAGCGAGAATATTAAGGAAAAGATTATTTTATTTTATATTTTATTTTGAGACAGAGTTTCGCTCTGTCAGCCAGGCTGGAGTGCAGCCTCGATCTCAGCTCACTGCAACTTCCACCTCCCGGGTTCAAGCAATTCTCCTGCGTTGGCCTCCCGAGTAGCTGGGATTACAGGCGCCCACCACCATGCCCAGCTAATTTTTGTGTTTTTAGTAGAGATGGGGTTTCATCACGTTGGCCAGGCTGATCTTAAACTCCCGACCTCAAGTGACCCGTCTGCCTCGGCACCCCAAAGTGCTGGGATTACAGGCGTGAGCCGCTGTGCCTGGCCAGAGATTTAGATGAGGAAAAAGCTATTGTAGATGGAGTGTTCAGGAAAGACGATGCTAAGGGTGTGATGTTTCCACTTGTAAACCCATGAGTTTGGTATAAACTTTCAATTTCTAACCCAGGAGAGCAGCAGGGGCTGGGAGCATGAAAGGGCAGTAAAAGGCAGGTTGGTCAGTTGCAGGCCATCACACTGCTCTACTCCCACTGGGTCCCATGTAAATGGCGCCCCCTGGCGGTGTGCAGCCCTGCGACGCTGTTCGTTTGAATGATTTGGATGTTATTTGTAAATTAGAGGTTGCATAGTACAAAAAGTAAAGTTTCCAAGATTATTTTTCCAGACAACTCTACATTTTCCAGATACGATTGGTTTGTCCGTTTTAATATTTGTAATATATTTGCGCCTCATCCTCCTTGTAACCTACAAGAAAAATCTTCACTTGGGAATATACAAAATTCCTGATTTCTAGTCTGAAATTCTCCTTTTCCTCTCCCGGTGGGCTGAATTTGTTAAAGATACATAAAACCTTCTCAGTACAAGTTAGCTGATTTCTAGAACTCAGTCTGTTTCTCTGATACAGGGCAAAAGTGTTACCTAGTTTTCAGACTTGCCTAACACTACAGACCTCCAGGCAACAGAAAACAGGCCAAAGCCCACACAAGCCAGCCAGGGTGCTGCGATCTCACTCAGGCCGCTAAAGCAATGAACCTAGATGTACTTTTCCAGTAATTACTGCTTCTGAAAAACACATTTACTGCCTTTGTGCATACACTTTCACATTTTTAAAAACCCAAAACGTTGTGATTCCCCACTCCCCATCTCATACCTACACATCCCTAGGAGAGGGGAAGCTCTTAAAGAGGTTGAATGTTTAAACTATATTAATTTAGTTTAGGCGGGGCGCAGTGGCTCACACCTGTAATCCCAGCACTCTGAGAGGCCGAGGCGGGTGGATCACCTGAGGTCAGGAGTTCGAGACCAGCCTGGACAACATGGTGAAACCCCGACTCTACTAAAAATACAAAAATTAGCTGGACATGCTGGCAGGCGCCTGTAATCCCAGCTAGTCGGGAGGCTGAGGCAGGAGAACCCCTTGAAACCTGGGAGGCGGAGGTTGCAGTGAGCCGCGATAGCGCCACTGCACTCCAGCCTGGGCGACAAGAGCAAAACTCCGTCTCAAAATAAATAAAGTATATTAATTTCTTTTAATGCCTACAATAAATAATATTCTCCATTCGCCTGAAACGACAGCCTTACTGAAATGAATATTACTCGCTTTGCTTTGGAGTATCAGTCACACTCACGCAATCAGACACAAGGTTTCTAAATTGACTTTCAAGAGCCTTAGGAACTTCCTCCATATCACAATAAGAAAAAGCAAAAGTTAATTACTACCTACTTTTAACCAGGGTTTTGTTAACAACAGTTTGCTTCCCTGATCCCTGTATCTATCTCCTGCGCCAGGTACTTCCACCCAAGTCACTGGGAAAATGCAGCTTCCTTCATGGACAGAGTCAATTTCACTGACCAGCCAGGAGGACAGCATCTGCTCCTTGTCTGTTCCATTAGTGTTGAAAGGTTTGCACAAATCTATTTACCCGCCCTCCTTTCCCTGTGCCCGTTATGACAAAAAAAAAAACCGGAGCTTTGCCAGACAGCTAGCCAAACCTCCACTGTCCCCTGGCTGTGGAACTGTGTCCGGAGATGGTTCCTTCCGGTGGGTTCTTGGTCTCGCTCACTTCAAGAATGAAGCCGCGGACCTTCACGGTGAGTGTTACAGCTCTTAAAGGTGGTGCGGACCAAAGAGCGGACAGCAGGAAGATTTAGTGTGAACAGCAAAAGAGTGAACAGCAAAAGAGCAAAGCTTCCACAGCCTGGAAGGTGCCTGGGGGGAGGGGAGGGGGGAGGGGTGGTCAGCCATTATTCCCTTATTTGTCCCCGCCCATGTCCTGCTGATTGGTCCATTTTACAGAGTGCTGATTGCTCCATTTTACAGAGCACTGATTGGTGCATTTTACTGAGCACTGATTGGTCCATTTTACAAACCTCTAGCTAGCCACAGAGAGCTGATTGGTGCGTTTTTGCAGAGTGCTGATTAGCGCATTTTAGAAACCGCTAGCTAGCCACAGAGACCTGATTGGTGCGTTTTTGCAGCCTGCTGATTAGCGTATTTTAGAAATCTCTAGCTAGCTACAGAGCGCTGATTGGTGCATTTTACAATCCTCTTGTAAGACAGAAAAGTTCTCCAAGTCCCCACCGGACCAAGAAGTCCAACTGGCTTCACCTCCCAGAACAAGCCACCAAGGAAACCACCTGGATCACACAGAAATCACACGCATGACCCTGACCTTGGTCCCTTCTCAACAGAAAATTTAAAATAAAATAAAACAACCTCTCAAAATTGTGCTCGTTCTTGAGAAAACTTTTTATAGAATTATCTTATTCAGAATAAAATTTTTATACCAGACAAGGAAAACATTTTCCAAATTACATTTACAAGAAACCTTGGGGAAAGTCTGTGAGATTAATCCAAGGAGTCTTTATCCTTTATATTCAGAGGTATTGACGCCAGCAGCAAACTTAAAATCTCTTCCTTTCAATAATTTCTGCCTTGATATGTTTGCAGATGCATTTCAGGAAAATGGTTTAAAACTGAGAACAAGGCCCGGCGCAGTGGCTCATGCCTGTAATCCCAGCACTTTGGGAGGCCGAGGCGGGCAGATCACGAGGTCAGGAGATCGAGACCATCCTGGTTAAAAGGGTGAAACCCCGTCTCTACTAAAAATACAAAAAATCAGCTGGGCGCAGTGGCGGGCGCCTGTAATCCCAGATACTCGGGAAGCTGAGGCAGGAGAATGGCGTGAACCCGGGAGGCGGAGCTTGCAGTGAGCCGAGATCGCGCCACTGCACTCTGGCCTGGGCGAAAGAGCGAGACTCCGTCTCAAAAAAAAAAAAAAAGAGAACAAGGAACACTGTTGGGCATTTTGGCATTTCCATTCATGTCATTCCAGAGGCAGCACCACCCTGATCCCAAATCCGTTCTCAGAAATGTGCGCAAGAAAACTCTCTGGGGACCCTGGGGGTGCCTGGATGAAGTGCACTGGCTCCCTGCCAGGGCAAAAAAGAAAATAATATTCTGTATGAAAAAGTTGTTTTTCTTTTCTTTCCTTTCCTTCTCTTTTCTCGGAGGGGAGGGGAGTGTTTCTATTTTTCTGCATTGTGCACCATATCCCTAGAGACCACAAATCAATCCCTAAAAGTATACACATTTATGTGAATGCAGTCAGAACAGGAACTGTTAAACAAGAACTGGTTTTTGGTTTGTTTGTTCGTTTGTTTTTGTTTTTTTGAGACAGAGTTTTGCTCTTGTTGCCCAGGCTGGAGTGCGATGGTGCGATCTCAGCTCACCACAACCTCCACCTCCCTGGTTCAAGTAATTCTCCTGCCTCACCCTCCCAAGTACCTGGGATTACAGGCATGCGCCACCACGCCTGGCTAATTTTGTATTTTTAGTAGAGACGGGGTTTCTCATGTTAGTCAGGCTGGTCTCAAACTCCCGACCTCAGGTGATCCACCCGCCTCAGCCTCCCAAAGTGCTGGGATTACAGGCATGAGCCACCGCGCCTGGCCAGAACGGTTAAACAGTAAAGAAAGCAATGAAAACAAAAGGATTCCTGCCTTAGATAATATTAGGATGTGCTTAGCGTCTCTTGAGAGACGCTCATTTTACTAACAAGTACCTCTGTGGCGAGGGTGGCAGGTGCAGGGTGATCTTCAGACTGTGCTCCAAGGAGCCTCCTTGGTGAGCAGGTCGCTCACTGGGACCGAGTGGCTGCGGGAGGAGGTGGGCCACCCTTCCAATAGGTTCCAATGGGGCTACCCTATGTGTCCCGCTAAGCAGACACAAGGTTGGAGTCCCCAGCCACCTTCAACTAGAGAGTAGAGCCAGTGTACCTGCTTTACACATGGGTCCTCAGGAGAATATTTTCTTCCACCAAGGAATCTCAGAGGAGGGAGAATTCCATATAGTAGAACAGCCTTGAGCCTTAAATCAGACCTGGTTCTAGCCTAGAGTTTGTCAATGAGGTAGACAACTTAACTGCACCTACTACAGGTCTAGACTTCATTATAAAATGAAATGGCTCACCGGGCATGAACTCTCAGGAGTTCGAGACCAGCCTGACCAACATGGTGAAACCCCATCTCTACTAAAAACACAAAAATTAGCTGGCTGGGGTGGTACAAGCCTGTAAATCCCAGCTATTCTGGAGGCTGAGGCAGGAGAATCTCTTGAACTCGGGAGGCAGAGGTTTCAGTGAGCCAAGATTGCGCCACTGCACTCCAGCCTGGGTGAAAGAGCAAGACTCCATCTCAAAAATAAACAAACAAATAAATAAATAAATAAATGGCTCAATTATAAATCATCTCCAATACGCCTTCTAAGTCTAAAACTCTAGAATCATCCGGGGGCAGTGGCTCATGCCTGTAATCCCAGCACTTTGGGAGCCCAAAGTGGGCGGATCGCCTGAGGTCAGGAGTTCGAGACAAGCCTGACCAACATGGTGAAACCCCTTCTCTACTAAAAATACAAAAAATTAGCCTGGCGTGATGGTGGGCGCCTGTAATCCCAGCTACTCGGGAGGCTGAGGCAGGAGACTTGCTTGAAACCGGGCGGTGGAGGTCGCAGTGAGCCGAAATCATCCCACTGCACTCCAGCCTGGGCGACAGAGCGAGAGAGTGTGGCTCAGAAAAAGAAACAAACAAACAAAAACTCTAGAATCTACATCTACGTCTACCAAATGTTTCAAATGAAGATAATGACAACTTTCTCTCTATAGCAACTCTCAGCTCTCAGGAACTTTTCCTGTTCATACCTTTCCAACAGGCTTATATTGAGTTCAGAGACCACCACATTTAACACAAACGAGGGACTATTCCAATGAAATGTTTTAATTAAAATTAATCTATGGAATGTTACTTTTATTAATTCTTTACTCTGAAATTAATGTCTAAAACACACACACACACACACACACACACACACACACCAAAAAACCCCACCAACACTCTAATCTAGACAGTAGTTCAGCTTTATTTTCTTGATCGCCCAGAGCTGTTCTTTTTTCCTGGAACTAGAGAACATTTTATGTGTTAAAATAAAGCTAGAGAAATAGTAGAGGCCAGTACCGTCTATAGCAAGTCAAAAGGCCTCTGATTTTTCATTTACTTGATAGTGCTGACTTTATCTGTTTTCAAGAAATGTTTTTCCTTTTGCTGGATTAAACACTAGTGACAGGCAAAAAGCAGAGTAAGGAAAAACAAATAATGGGTTTCACCATGCTCTCCTTCTGGCTTGGCTATTAACTAGTTGTGTGGCCTGGAGCACATTACCTAACCCTTCTGAATCTCAATGTATTCATCTGCAAAATATAGATAATAACACACCAGTGCCACTAATGCTCCACCGCCCGCCACCACCAGAGTGTTAAATGAGGGAGAAGGGATAAGGCCAGGCACAAGAAGCAGGCAAAGTGTGGGTTCTCTCACTGATTCTTCAAAGCATGAGCATTTGCTTCATTTTCAAAAGTATGGACACTGCTACCAATGAACTCTGGTGATTAAAGAGAAACAAGTAGGCCGGGCGCGGTGGCTCACGCCTTTGGGAGGCCAAGGCGGGCGGATCGCGAGGTCAGGAGATTGAGACCATCCTGGCTAACACGGTGAAACCCCGTCTCTACTAAAAATACAAAAAATTAGCAGGGTGCGGTGGCTGGCGCCTGTAGTCCCAGCTACTCGGGAGGCTGAGGCAGGAGACTCGCGTGAACCCGGGAGGTGGACCTTGCAGTGAGCTGAGATTGCACCACTGCGCTCCAGCCTGGGAGACAGAGGGAGATTCCGTCTCAAAAAAAAAAAAAAAAGAGAGAGAAACAAGTTCCAGAAGTTCCATGTAGGTTGAATCAGGCCCAGAGCCAACCAAGAGTGGAAGCAAAAGTTAGGCTCCCAGGCCGGGCGCAGTGGCTCATGCCTGTAATCCCAGCCCTTTTTTTTTTTTTTTTTTTTGAGTGGAGTCTTGTTCTGTCGCCCAGGCTGGAGTGCAGTGGCGTGATCTCAGCTCACTGCAAGCTCCGCCTCCCAGGTTCACGCCATTCTACTGCCTCAGCGTCCCAAGTAGCTAGGACTACAGGCGCCCGCCACCAGGCCTGCTTAATTTTTTTGTATTTTTAGTAGAGACGGGGTTTCACTGTGTTAGCCAGGATGGTCTCGATCTCCTGACCTCGTGATCTGCCCACCTCAGCCTCCCCAAGTGCTGGGATTACAGGCGTGAGCCACCGCACCCGGCAATCCCAGCACTTTAAAAGGCTGAGGCAGGAGGATCACTCAAGCTCAGGAGTTCAAGACCAGCCTGGGCAACACAGCGAGTCCCTGTCTCTACAAAAAGTAAAAAAATTAGCCGGGTTGGCAGCACACACCTATTGTCCCAGCTACTCAGGAGGCTGAGATGGGAGGATCACTTGAGCCCAGGAGATGGAGGCTGCAGTGAACTAGGATCACGCCACTGCACTCCAGCCTGGATGACAGAGCGAGACCGTGTCTCAAAAAGAAAAAAAAAAAGTTAGGCTTCCAAAGTTTACCTAAACATCTTATTTAAAGAAACTCAAGTTGCTTCCTCATTTTCAATGTGGAAAAAGGGTCAGTGGAAAAGGGGATGGTGGAGACTGTGGAATTTACTATCAGTTCTGACTCTAGGGGTTTAACATCTGGCAAACTAGGCCTCATTTCTTCATCCATCATCAGATTTAGCTAATCTGAATCCTACTAATTGGAAACATCTATTAATCTAAATTGCCCTCCTGCTTCTCTGACAAAGCCGAAAATGACTTCAGAATATGAACCTTACAGAAACTGAATCATACTTTGGCCAAAATGAATTATACATTAAAGAATTTATAATTATATTACAGGTGGAGTCTGATGAGTCTGATTTTGTTGGCCAATTAAGAAAGGAAGGGCTGGCTGGGCGCAGTGGCTCATGCCTGTAATCCCAGCACTTTGGGAGGCTGAGGCAGGCGGATTGCCTGAGGTCAGGCATTCAAGACCAGCCTGGCCAACATGGTGAAACCCCGTCTCTACTAAAAATACAAAAATTAGCCAGACGTGGTGGCAGGCACCTGTAATCTCAGCTACTCAGGAGGCTGAGGCAGGAGAATTGCTTGAATCCAGGTGGCGGAGGTTGCAGTGAGCCGAGATCTCGCCATTGCGCCCCACCCTGGGCAACATAACAAGGCTCCATCTCAAAAAAAAAAAAAAGAAAAGAAAAGACAAAAAAAAGGAAGGAAGGAAGGAAGGGCCTCCACCTATATCATTCAAATGTAATTACCCCACGGTATACCTGTGGGTATTTCGGTACAAAAACAAAAGTGGGAAAAGCATCTGCCTGAGTGTTTCAGAAAGCCTGAAAAGGGAACCAACTAGGATAAAGAGATTTTGTAGTTAGTAGAGAAGATTCTAGAACTGGTTCTTTTCTTGATTATCACCTGCAATTTTCTGTGTATTTCATGCAGTCCCAACATTGCTCCTAGAATCCAAACTCATATCAAAAAACAAGGTCATTAGGATATGGAGTAGAGGGATCCATGCCTCCCAGCTGAATTACTCTAGCTCAACTGCCCACAAGGTGGGACAATCTCCACCTTTTCTGGAAAGACTCCTATTAACCAGTCCCATTCATTTGCCCTTCTCTTTCTCCACAAAGCTATGTCCTGCTTCTCCACTTACAAGGTCATATGCAACTCGAATCTCTGTCTACCCACCTGGCATCCACCCTTCCAGACCCTGCTTAAATGCTACCTCCTCAAATGCCAACGAACTCCAAAACTCGGTTGTTCATTCTGGTGGAAGCTGATCTCTCCCTCCTTGGCAGCCTGTGTCCCCGTGATGCGTTTTGTAAACTTGCAGCTACTTTGATCTTGTCTTGGATTGTACTTGGGTCTTACCTTAACCCTTGGTCCAGATGGCAAATACGGACAGCCCCTGTGAGCTCAGCCATGTTCTCAGTTATGCATCTTTTTCTCTCCCAAAGCACATCGCCCCTCTCACCAAGTAGTGGCTCAAAAACATATCTGATAGTTTCGAGGCACCAGATTTAAATATAAAGACGGTCTGGGTGGCTGATTTCATGTGTGTTGCCACACCAAACCACACTAGTGAGTTTCACGTTGCCTTGCTTGGCTTTGGGCTCCCTCGCTGTCCCTGGACAGAGACGCTCAGCAGTCGTGGAATCACCACAAAGGTGGGGAGGAAGAAGGGGAAGAAAGGGAAGCCGGGGCCGGAATAATCCTATCTGAGTCACCACTTCCTGAATACTGGAGCTCGCGGCTTCGCAGGATCGGGAGAAGGACAGCAGAGCCGCGCTTGGAGGACGAGCCCCCGCCCCGCGCCCGGCGCCCCCAGCCGGCAGCCGCGGCCCCGGCACCACGTGCTGGAGCGCCCTCCTGTGGCCGCGTCGCAGCCCCCGCCGCTCCCGGCTCGCGCGCCGCTCCCCGCGGCGGAAGAAACAAGAGACGCAGAAAGTTTCCGAGCCAGGCGGTTTGCGAAAGGACACAGCCGGGTCCCGAGCCTCGAAGGGCGGACGTGCCGGGAGCTGCGCCCAAGCCCGCGGCGACGGCGAGAAGTCGGGCCCCGCAGGGACCTCCCCTAAGGGCTCAGAGGTTCCTCCCGCGGGGCTCGGGGCGTGCAGATCCCGAGGGCGCAGGGCTCCTCCTCGCACCCCTACCTGACCGCAGAGGGCGGGGAGGGGAGGCTGGGCCCACGGCCAGGACGGGATGCCCCCCAAACCCCAGCTACAGCGCGCGCCGGGGGCTCTTGGGTTTGGTTTATTCATTTTCTTATTTGGAGGGAGGGGGCGCACCCACTCCCTTTGGCTCATAGTGATCCCCAACAGTCTGGATTCTGGGCGCCCCCGAAAAGCCCACCCGGAGTCCGCCGCCCCACCCAGCGCCGCCCTCCCCCGCTGGGGTGACAAGTGGAAGCCGCAAATCCCCTCCCTCCTCTCCTCCAGGCTTCGGGTTTGCGGGGTAACGTCCACCTGGGTTTCCTGCCGCTCGCCCGGGGCTCGCCGGCCAGGAGGCGGCGGTAGCGGCGGGGGTCCCGGAGCGGGCGAGGCCGGGCCGGGCGCGGCGCTTACCTCGTCTACGGTGAGCGGCATGCAGATCCGGTACTCTTTCAGCAGCATGGTCCTGCCGGCCGCGGACCCCCGGGGCGGGAAGCGGGGGGCGCCCCCAAGACCAGCAAGGCTGCTGCCCAGGCGCAGGGCAGGGCGCCCGGAGCCCGGCGCTCGGAGCCGGAGGGCGAAGCAGCCCCCGCGGCGCGCTCAGCTCCTGGCTTCCTCCTCTCCGCCCCAGAGCATGTCAGGGTTTGGGTCTGGGTGTTCGCAGCTCCCCCGCCTCCTCCCTCGCCGAGGCCGGTCCTCCCGGAACGCGGTGTTGCAAAGTCAGGGAGGCAGGGAGGGAGACCCGCTGGGGACGACTCTGCTCGGCTGCCCAGGGTGGTAGGAGCGGCCGCCAGATCAGGACATGCCCGGCAGCGAGCGAGGGAGGAAAAAAGAGAGATTTCCAAAAATTAAAACGAATGCACAAAAGTCACCCGCTCGATCCGCCTCCGAAAGCAGACGGGAACCTGGCGACCCCCCTCCTCCGGCGGGTCTGCCCGATGCTAATGTCACCAGGAACACATTGCAGCCGGAGCCGGAGATGCTGACTTTCCAGACAAAGGCTCGATCGGCTTCTCTCCGCGGGCGGTAAACAAGATTTCCTGCTCTTTTTAGGGCCGGTCCCCGCGCCGCTCCGGGGCTCGGCTCGGGGAGAAAAGGGAAGCCGCCGCCGCCGCCGCCGCTCGGCTCTGCCCGGCTGGGGCCCCGGGCGCCTCCAACCTCGGCTCGCGGCTGCCAGGGGCGGGCGGGAGGAAGCTGGCGCCTTCCGCGCGCGTCCCCTCCCCCGAGTCCCTCGGCTCCCCGGGCGCCGTGCGTGCCCGCGAGTTTGCAGCCACCTCGCCGGGGCCGGAGCGTCCGCGCCGATGCAGTGTGCCTGGGGCCGGGAGGTGGGTGCGGGAGGAGCGAGCGCGAGCGAGGCTGACATCAGCAGCGGCCGCGGCGGGGAGGGTAGCCCCATCCGGCCAATGGGGAAATGGCAAAGAATGTGGAGGATTTAAACAAAACAGCATGTCTCTGCCAGACGGCGGGGCTGCTCCGGAGCGGAGCCCGGCCGGCGCTGGGGAGGCTCGGGCAGAGGGGCTTTCCTCGGCTCCTTTGCCCTTTGAATCCGCTCTCCATTGTGCCCTGAGTGCTGCCGTGCTCCATCCAGCCCCTCTGGGAAGTTTCTGGTCCCCTGACCCTAGGGACAAGTCACCAATGCCCACCACCTATGTGTGGTCCAGTAAGCAAGTCTGGGGCTGGAGAGGCAATGGGTGGGATTTGGGAACAAACCCTTGCCTGGTTTCAGAGGAGAGATCCTGGAAAACTGGGAAGTGCAGCCGTGTGAATGGAAATGAAGTACAAACGGGGAGGGAACAACCAGAGAGAACATGAACCCCACGTAGCCTGTTACCTCGCCTGGCCCGGCTCTGCAATCTTTCTGCAGATTGTGCAGGCTCCGCGCAGCAGAAAGAAAGAGTAGGTTTTCGTATCCGCACTCCTAAGTTCAAAAAGTCACAGTGAAATGTCAATGAAAATGCCTGGAGTGTTGCTATTTGATCCATATTAAACAGATCTCTCATTTTAACCACAAGAAGCACATTCTTCAGTTACTCAGGAAGCAGCATGGAACTGCTGAAGTCTGTTTTTCATTTGTCTGGTATTTTTCAGCTTGTTTTTATGAAAAGTTGCCGGATGAAAAATGCATCAGTTGCCTGTATGAGAATAACCTGTAAGCGTTATCTTTTCTCCGAAAAATCTTCACGCTCTGAAGTCCTGAAGCTAGAGCTTAGATGGCGATGCAGATGCCTCAATACAGTATTTTGAATTGTGTTTAATTAATAAGTAATTAACCAATATGACGATGATGGGCTTGTGGCAAAAGTCATCCAGAGGGCTGGAGAGAATTTATAACTGTTAACTGATACAAACCCTCCTAGGAAAATGATACCCTATATCCAGCTTATATTTTAGTGGAAACTATTTTCCAGATAAATGCTTTCCAGAGTTGGCTCAGAAATATTCACAGCAACTAATTAAAGCTAAACCAAATTCCTCGAGGTGGAAAATCTAAATCTGACACTGCAGTGTTGAATAATAACACATTGGAAGGCTGTGATATGGAAAGAAACTCAAGCTGTTTTTCCTTTTTTTTTTTTTTTTTTTGCTTCTTACTTGAAAACAAATGGAAGACCTAATAATCTTCCCAGAGGCAGGAAGGCAAGGGATTGGCTAGCCACACATGCGCATGCACTTGGGACATCGGGATGTGTAGGCTCAGTTCCTGGCTTCCTGGACATTTCCTGACACTGATTCTGGAAGGAAGTATTCTACTGACGGGTGACACTGTTGAGGAGCTACTTCTCTGAATTTCCCGAACTGTAAATTGTCACATATATGCTTCCTCCATCATCCGTCTTGTTGCTGTTATTGGTTTGTGATGGAGTTTCGCTCTTGTTGCCCAGGCTGGAGTGCAATGGCATGATCTCGGCTCACTGCAACCTCCACCTCCCGGGTTCAAGCAAGTCTTCTGCCTCAGCCTCTGGAGTAGCTGGGATTACAGGCACCGGCCACCACGCCTGGCTAATTTTGTATTTTTAGTAGAGATGGAGTTTCACCATGTTGGTCAGGCTGGTCTCAAACTCCTGAGCTCAGGTGATGGCCTCGGCCTCCCAAAGTGCTGGGATTACAGGTGTGAGCCACCGCGCCCAGCCCACCCCTCCTGTTGTAAGGTGACTTCTCCATTGGATTCTCATTTTCTTTTCATTCATTGCATCCGCAAACCTGGTCATATTAATCTTGTGCAAGTACAGCTCTCATCCTGCCACCTTCAAACCTTTTAGTGATTCCTGGCTGGGCTCGGTGGCTCACCCCTGTAATCCCAGCACTTTGGGAGGGGAGGTGGGCCGATCGCATGAGCCCAGGAGTTCAAGACCAGCCTGGGAAACATGCTGAAACCCTGTCTCTAAAATTTAAAAATATATAAAAACCTTTTAGGGCTTCTCTATGGCCTACTGAGCAAGTCAAAATGCTTTGGTAGGAGGTTCAAGGCTCTGGATCTACCTTTCCCACATTAGTCCATTACCCTTCCCAGCCCAACTCCAGCCAAATGAGACGAGTCAGTTGGCTGCAAAAGCCCCTCCTCCCCGGCCACCTTTCTAGCTCAACCCTTCTGCTGTTCAACCCGTTGCCTTCACAGAGAATCCCTCTCCCCAATTCAATCCCCATGACACCATTTTAAAGCCAGGCCTTGGCAATCTGCGCTTCAGACAGTGGTTCTGATAGCAGTGAGCTGGAGGGGCTAGCAGAGGCGGGAGGGGCTGGTGCAGGGCATAGGGAGGGCATATTCATTCATAAGTCATGCACACTGAGGGCGGGGCGCGCCATCTACTGGCCAAGCACTGTGGTTTTAAGTCCTGTCCTCAGCAAGTGTCTGGCAAGAATTGTATCTTTGTTTCTTCTCAACCAATGAAGTCGCAATATCTACTTACGAAGAGCCTTGAAGCTGTTGCTATCATCATTATGGACAGTCATGATGTTCCATTAACAATGTACAATCTGCCGTGGCTGATCATCACATTTTTTTAAATGGGGGTGGGACACAAAAGGCAAAAAGAGGAACAAAACAGTAAAGTTACCAGAGAGGAATGATAAGACAAAGAGGAAAAGAATATGAGGCTGTGCATGTCTGTGACAGCATCTGTTCTCAGATAAGTGACAGTCTCTGAAAGCAGGGGTTCTCAAAACGCAGGAGGGGGTATGGCACACCAAGATAATCTAAGAAGACTGTCAACCTATTCTCTTCGAGGCATTCTGATGATCTCTTTAATCCTCCATGTCTGTGTGAAAAAACTAATAAGGTCTTGACCCACCTCTGTAAACAGCCTCTGAAAGAAAAGTGTACTAACAGGAATTTCTGACGATTAAAAAATGAAGGCCGGGCATGGTGGCTCACGCCTGTAATCCCAACACTTTGGGAGGCCGAAGTGGGCGAATCACTTGAGATCAGAAGTTCGAGACCACCCTCGCCAATATGGTGAAACCCCGTCTCTACTAAAAATACAAAAAGTAGCTAGGCGTGGTGGCTCGCGCCTGTAGTCCCAGCTACTTGGGAGGCTGAGGCAGGAGAATTGCTTGAATCTGGGAGGCGGAGGTTGCAGTGAGCCGAAATCATGCCACTGCACTCCAGCCTGGGTGACAGAACAAGACTCCATCTCAAAAAAAAAAAAAAAAGATTTGTCCCTTCTCTATATATATTTATTCAAATATATATATATATATATATATATATATATATATATATATATCTGTGTGGATTTGTGCTTATTTATTCTATACTTCAAGTTATAATCAACATTATGTTATTTATTTTGCTGCTCAGACAGTTCCAGCATTGGCTGTTGGGAGCTCTTTCTGGTTGGCTCCTATGTGCTTTTGACATGGCCTCTTTTTGTTTTTTGTTTTTTGGTTTTTTTTTTTTTGAGCCGGAGTCTTGCTCTGTCACCCAGGCTAGAGTGCAATGGCTTGATCTCAGCTCACTGCAACCTACGCCTCCCAGGTTTATGCGATTCTCCTGCCTCAGCCTCCCAAGTAGCTGGGATTACAGGCATCCGCCACCACGCCCGGCTAATTATTTGTATTTTTAGTAGAGACGGGGTTTCACCGTGTTGGCCAGCTGGTCGCGAACTCCTGACCTCAGGTGATCCACCCGCCTCGGCCTCCCAGAGTGCTGGGATTACAGGCGTGACCCACGGTGCCCGGCCAACATGGCCTCTTTTTTATAACATTTTAAAAATCAAATGTTATTCTTGCATTTTTTTTCTTTTTTTTTTTTTTGAGACAGGGTCTCACTCTGTCACCCAGGCTTCTGTGGAGCAGCATGATATCAGCTCACTGCAACCTCCACCTCCCAGGTTCAAGTGATCTTCTGGCCTCAGCCTCCCAAGTAGCCGGGACTACAGGCACATGCCACCATGCCAGGCAATTTTTGTATTTCTTTTGTAGAGATGGCATTCTGCCATGTTATCCAGGCTGGTCTGAAACTTTTGAGCTCAAGCGATCCAACTACCTTGGCCTCCCAAAGTGCTGGGTATAGTGTGAACCACTGTGCCCAGCCTACAATTAATTTTTGTTTTATTAAATATTACTTGCTTAATTCCAACAAAGGCTAAGTGTTTGTGTGTGTGTTTGTGTTTAAATACCTGTATATTTGATCTTGTTTGGTTACTAAGCTAATGTTAAATTCTTTCTTAATGACACAGAGGAAGTCCCAAGGCAATTCTTATGTATAGACCCACCCATCTATCAGGCCTCTGTTAAATATAGACAATGTCTTTGATGTGGAATTGCTTGTATTTTTGCAGTAAATGCCCATAAAATAAAAGTGAATTGACAATGATGTGTTACAAATTGCTTCACATAGAAAAAAAACTGGAGGTTCTGTGGCCAAAGGTATAGTTTCTTTTTTAAATAAGTAAGATAGCAATAAATTGGCCAGTGCGGTGGCTCACACCTGTAATCCCAGCACTTTGGGAGGCCAAGGCAGGCAGATCACTTGAGGTCAGGAGTTCGAGACCAGCCTGGTCAACACGGTGAAACACCGTCTCTACTAGAAAAAATACAAAAATTAGCCACAGGGGACAGTGGCATGATCATAGCTCACTGCAGCCTCAAACTCCTGGGCTCAAAGGATCCTCCCACCTCAGCCTCCTGAGTAGCTAGGATAACAGACATACCACACCCAGCTAATTTTTAACATATTTTGTAGAAACAGGGTCTTGACATGTTGTCCAGGCTGGTCTTGAACTCCCGGCCTCAAGAGATCCTCCTGCCTTAGCTGGGATTACAGGCGTGAACCACTGCACCTCACCCAAATTCAAATCTTAGGCCCAAATGACACCTCTTAACTTGAAACTTGAACACCAACTTGCCTTCTTGTCACTTGGATATCTGACAGTCACCTCAAATTTATCCAAAACTGAGCTCCTCTCTCTCTTTTTTTTTAATTAATTAATGTATTTATTTATTTTTGAGACGGAGTCTTGCTCTGTTGTCCAGGATGGAGTGCAGTAGTGCAATCTCGGCTCACTGCAACCTCTGCCTCTCAGGTTCAAGCGATTCTCCTGCCTCAGCCTCCTGAGTAGCTGGGACTACAGGCACGTGCCACTGCGCCCGGCTAATTTTTGTATTTTTAATAGAGACGTGGTTTCGCCATGTTTGCCAGGCTGGTCTCGAACTCCTGGCCTCAGGTGATCCACCTGGCTTAGCCTCCCAAAGTTCTGGGATTACAGGCATGAGCCACCACACCCAGTTTACCACCTTGATCTTAGTTCAAATCACCATCATTTTCCTTCTGGATTATTGCAAAAACCTCTCAACTGTCTCCTAACTTCTGCCCAATCTAGTCACCACACAGCAGCAAGAATGATTCTTTTAATATGTAAGTCAGCTCATGCCACTTCCTTGCCCAAAACCCCCAATAGCTTCTCATCTCACTAGGATTAAAAGCCAAGTCCTGGCCAGTTGAGGTGGCTTATGCTTGTAATCCCAACACTTTGGGAGGCTTAGGTGGGAGGATCACTTGAGTCCAGAAGTTCAAGACCAGCCTGGGCAACACAGTGAGACCCTGTTTCTACAAAAAACAAAAAAATTAGCCAGGTGTCGTGGATGCGCCTATAGTCCCAGCTACTCTGGAGGCTGAGGTGGGAGGATCACTTGAGCCTGGGAGGTCGAGGCTGCAATGAGCTGTGATTATGCCACTGCACTCCAGCCTGTGTGACAGAGCGAGACCCCATCTCAAAACAAAAACAAAAAAACAAAAACCCAAGTCCTATAGCTCGTGCCTGTAATCTGAGCTACTTAAGAGGCCAGCTACTTGGGAGATGAAGGCAGAAGGATCGCCTCAGCCCAGGGGTTCAACACCAGCCTGGGCAACATAGCGAGGCCTCCTTCTCTAAAAAAGTAGAAACCGAAAACACCAACCCCTATAATGGCCAAGTTGCCCTAAACCTCATTTCCTAGGACATTCGCCCTCACTCATTCTGCTCTTGTCACTCTGACCTCCTTGTTCTTCAAACAGGCCAGATGTGATCTGATTGCTCTCATCTCAGGGTTCTCTCACCCGTGGTAGCCTCTGCCTGAATCTTCATCCCCCAGATACCTGCAAGCCTGGCTCCCTTCTGTTCTTGGCTTACTAGTGATTCCCTCCCTGACTACTTCCCAAATGCTTATCACACCTCCTGCCCTACCCACACGCATATTTACATATTTATTTTCTGTCTTCTCCCCATTATAGAACATTGACTTTCCATAGCTGGGCGTGGTGGCACAGGCCTGTAATCCCAGCACTTTGGGAGGCCGAGGTGGGCAGATCACCTAAGGTCAAGAGTTTGAGACCAGCCTGGCCAATATGGCGAAACCCATCTCTACTGAAAAAATACAAAAATTAGCCAGCATGGTGGTACACACCTATAGTCCCAGCTACTTGGGAGGCTGAGGCTGGAGAATCACTTGAACCCAGGAGGTGGTGGCTACAGTGAGCTGAGGTCATGCCACTGCACTCCAGTCTGGGCGACAGAGCAAGACTCTTTCAAAAAAGAAAAAGAATGTTCACTTCCCAAAGGCAGGATCTTTAGGACAATTATGTGCACGACTAATAAGATGGATGTACCAGGAATGCCAACTATAAAAAAAATACCAGGCAGGGCACGGTGGCTCACGCCTGTAATCCCAGCACTTTGGGAGGCCGAGGCGGGCGGATCATGAGGTCAGGAGATCGAGACCATCCTGGCTAACACAGTGAAACCCTGTCTTTACTAAAAATCCAAAAAAAAATTAGCCGGGCCTGGTGGGGGGCACCTGTAGTCCGAGCTACTCGGGAGGCTGAGGCAGGAGAATGGTGTGAACCCGGGAGGCGGAGCTTGCAGTGAGCCGAGTAAGCCACTGCACTCCAGCATTAGCGACAGAGCGAGACTGTCTCAAAAAAATAAAAAAATAAAAAAAAGTACCCAACATAGTAATTAATATAGGGGCACATTATTTCTAATAATGAGTATCATAATATTACTGTTCTTTCTGAATAAACTCCTCTTCGCAATCAGCATTTCTCCCTTGCCTTTTAGATATTCCTACACTGCCAATTTTTCTCTTCTGAAATCAACTTCTTTCTTGCAAAGCCACAGATTTAATCTCAGACTCACCCAAATAAAGAATTCATATAAAGTATCTGTCTGTAATACAGTACTCTCACCTATTTTTTTCTGACTATTGCTCAGACTTCTGAGTTCCTCTTTATTTATTTAACTTTAATCTCTTGTTTTCTTAGGATCTCAACTTGCTTTCATTTTCTTTTACCTCTAAGCTCAGCAAGGAAGGGCTTCAGTTTGGTTTGGGAGTCAACTACTTTTCTCCCCCTCCTATTTGCCCCTTCTTAGACCCTTCCCTTTATTTTTGAGTTCAGGAAATCATAAATCTGTCTACTCCATCACACCTTTGTTACTTTTTGTCTTCTCAAACTCTTCACTCTAAATTTAGACCTTCAGCTGGGCGCTGTGGCTCATGCCTGTAATCCCAGCACTTTCGAAGAGGCAGGAGGCTCGCTTGAGGCCAGGAGTTCAAGACTCGCCTGGGCAACACAGTGAGACCTCCCCCATCTCTGCCAAAAATAAATAAATAAATACATAAATAATAAAACAATAGCTGAGGGCCGGGCACAGTGGCTCAGACCTGTAATCCCAGCACTTTGGAAGGCCAAGGCAGGCGGATCACTTGAGGTCAGGAGTTTGAGACCAGCCTGGCCAACATGGTGAAACCCAGTCTCTACTAAAAATACAAAAATTGATTAGGTGTGGTGGTGCACGCCTGTAGTCCCAGCTACTTAGGAGGCTGAGGCAGGGGAATCACTTGAACCCAGGAGGCAAATGTTGCAGTGAGCCGAGATCACACCACTGTACTCCAGCCTGGGTGGCAGAGCGTGACTCCGTCTCAAAAAACAAACAAACAAACAAAAACCAATAGCTGAGTAGTCTCAGCTACTTGGGAGGCTGAGGCAGAAGAATCACCTGAGCTTAGGCCGTCAGGGCTGCAGTGAGCCCTGATCTTGCCACTGCACTCCAGCTTGGGCAACAGAACAAGACTATGTCTCCAAAAAGATTTTTTTTAACAAAAAACAAATTTACACTTCCAGATCCTGTTGTCTACTCTCATCAAACCAATGTCACACAGAATATGTAGTGAAAAGGCATCTTAGCCTAGTGTGTCTCAACAGTACCAGCCTCTAGAGTGTGTTTTAGAAGCCTGCAGGGGAATTTGGGTTGTGACAATCACAGAGGGAAGAGGGAGACACCAGCATGTAATTGCAATGCTAAACAGCCTGCCAGGCAACAAGCCCACACAATAAAATATTGTCCCACATTCCATCAGACTTTTGAATGTCCTACCAGACACTTTCTTCTGTGTCTGAGGCCTAGACTCTAAGTCAATTTTACTTACGACAAGCTACTTTTCTTTCACTTTTAACATCAACTAAAATTTCTAAGAATTCTTCCATGAGAAAAACAATGGAAGATTATATGTTGATATAGTCAGAACTTTATTTCAGCGTGTCATGGATTATAAAGTTTCTTTGTTTATTTATTTATTTATTTTGAGACAGGGTCTCGTCTGTCACCCAGGTTGGAGTGCAGTGGCGCAATCTTGGCTTACTGCAACCTCCACCTCCCGGGTTCAAGCAATTCTCCTGCCTCAGCCTCCCGAGAAGCTGGGATTACAGGTGCGTGCCATGACGACTGGCTAATTTTTGCATTTTTAGTACAGACGGGGTTTCGCCATGTTGGTCAGGCTGGTCTTGAACTACTGGCCTCAAGTGATCCACCCACCTCAGCATCCCGAAGTGCTGGGATTATAGGCATGAGCCATAAGACCCATCTGATGGACTATAAAATAAAAAAAAAACAATAAGAGCTTTACCAAGAAGTGGCTTGTTGCTCACCATTTTGGAAAATGTCACCAACAATAGGCCCTTACCATGCTTCAGGAACCAAGAGAACACACCTGTTGCAGTTGCAGCTTTTACATTTATAGTTATTGTGTATGGGTGTAAATAACTACTTCCTTGTATTTTCCACTGTAGACATGTTTTAGCCCTTATCTCTTGAAATATATATTATTTTGCTATTTTAAAATTTGTTTCTTGGTTGGGCACAGTGGCTCACACCTGTAATCTCAGCACTTTAGGAGGCCAAGGTGAGAGGACTGCTTGAGGCCAGGTGTTTGAGACCAGCCTGGGCTACGTAGTATAGCTGCTATCTCTACAAAAATAAAAAAAAGGTAAAATTTGTTTCTCCTCTACATTACAGATTATAGCTGAGATATTGTCTTATTTTGCTTGTAGATGGTTTATATTTTCCCTGATTTTCATTGCAGTTAAAACAAACAAAGAGATCTATTCAGCATCTATAAAGCGATGTCGGCACTAATTAAATTGAGAACCACTAACATAATAGATAAACCACTCCAAGATTTCCCGTTTTCCTGTTTGCTTTCCAGGCTGCTGTTGACCATATGCCCACACCAAACACAACCTCATTCCCATTTTCTTTACTTTTCTTTTTCTTTTTTTTTTTTTTTTTTGAGACGGAGTCTTGCTCTGTCGCCCAGGCTGGAGTGCAGTGGCGCAATCTCGCCGGCTCACTGCAAGCTTCGCCTCCTGGGTTCACGCCATTCTCCTGCCTCAGCCTCCCGAGTAGTTGGGACTACAGGTGCCCGCCACCACGCCCGGCTAATTTTTTGTATTTTTAGTAGAGACGGGGTTTCACCGTGTTAGCCACGATGGTCTCGATCTCCTGACCTCATGATCCGCCCGCCTCAGCCTCCCAAAGGGCTGGGATTACAGGCGTGAGCCACCGCGCCCGGCCTCATTCCCATTTTCAAGGATCCTAAGCTTTTTTAAGATCTCAAGCTATTTTCTAGGGACCAGCATGGTATGAATGATAACACATAAAACGTGTAAGGCCCTTAAGAATTGAAATTGTCTCACATGTCATCTAGTTTGATGCTCACGAAAATCCTATAGGGATAACAAATATGTCTTTTTAACTTTTCTTTTTACCAACTTAGTGGATTACAGTGAAAATGAAAACAAAGAGAAAAACCACTTTGCTTATTAAATGACTGAGCTGCTGCCATATCTTCTCTTAGGAGCTTTCAGAGATCCCACAGAGTAAGCCACCAAGATTCTCAAGTAGATAAAACCTTAGAATTTTCTATTTTAAGGTTTATTTTAGCCTCCTGATGTAGAGATGAGAAAACCGAGATCCAAGAAAAGCGACTGGCCACGGTCCTGAGAAATCATATTTCGAAGCAGGGGTGTAGGGATATATGAGATGGTCTGTTCTATTACACTCGCTTTTCTCATCGCAAATTTTAGGTAAAAAGTCTGATGTTCCCAGAGACAAAACCTGACGCTGCAGGCTGGAGTGGCGAGTCCCGCCCCGCGCGCCTCAAGCCCCACCCCCAGGCTGTCCGCGGCAGTGCCTGAGTGGCAACCAGCGCCGGGGACCTCGAGGGGTCCTTTGCGTGGGCTCCCGATGGGCTGCCTGAGCGGGTGCGCGGGCAACTTCCGGTGTGGGTGACGAGTGGTGGCCGAAGCAGGGGGACAGCAAGGGACGCTCAGGCGGGGACCATGGCGGACGGCGGCTCGGAGCGGGCTGACGGGCGCATCGTCAAGATGGAGGTGGACTACAGCGCCACGGTGGATCAGCGCCTACCCGAGTGTGCGAAGCTAGCCAAGGTGAGGAGAGGCCGGCTGGCTGTTGGCGGGCGCCAGGGGCTGAGTCACGGCGCGGAGCCTGCTTAGGCCTCAGGGGGCCTGCGGGCTGGAGCGTGCACCCCCCAATGCCTGTCCAGCCCTAGTTGGGCCTGCACGAGTGGGAGACCCCAGGTCGGCCCGGCCAGGGCTGCGGAGTACGCCAGCGCCTATAGCTTCCCAGACCCTCCCCAAAACAGATGGTCACTTCCCTCCGTGGGACTTAGGGCTCCGTTTAACTTTTTGCCGTTTCTTGGATGCTGTTTAAGTGATATTTACCTTAGTAGTTTCCCAGGGGTTAAGGCCGCTTCAGTATTAAGGCTAGATCAGAGAGTTTCGTTCTGTTGCTGTTGCTCAATCAATTTATGTCGTTACATCGTTTGTGGATCATGGCTATGTGCCTGGTCTTTGGCCAGGAGAAGGGGCAGGAAAGTGATAGTACGAAGATGACTAACACAGGACCCTGTCCTTTAGGAGTTGATGTACGTGATGAATTAGTCAAGTCATGCATGGTGGTGAGGGCCATACAAGGGGAAAGTGTTACTGGAACACCGAGAAGGAAGCTATGCATTCTTAATGGTGCCATAAGGGAAGGTTTTACAGGAAGGCTGACGTTTGTATTGGGTCTTGAGGAATTAGTAAGATTGAGGTGGGGTGGAGTCATTACTGAAGACGGAACTACAGAAGTAAAGACAAGTAGGCACTATAAGAGTTTAACGGGCTTTCCAAGAAACAAGGATGGAGAAAGGTGATAAAGTTGGTACGTATGTATATCTTAGGTTCAGTATGCTTGCTGAGGGGGAGCCACAAATTCATTAAGAGCTTTCTAGCAGCTAGCATCAACAAACATCAGTTACATAAGGGTGGGAAAACTCAGCCGCCTCCAATGCCAGACAGATAACAATAACTGATATTTGTTGAGTAGTTTCTGCAGTGTCAGGCACCGTGCTTACATGCACTAAGCCATTTGATCCTCACCTCAGCCCTATGCGATGGCTATTACTATTATCCTTATTTTACAGGTAAGAAAACTTGGGCTAGAAAAAGTTGAATCACATGCCCCAAGATCATACAGCTAGTAAAGTGGTGAAGCCAAGAAGCAAACCCAGGCAGACCGATTCTAGATTCTGGAGCTGGTGCCCTCACACACCATGCTGTCCTGCCTAGAAGCCTATTGTAGTGAAAACCTGAACTTTTTTTTTTTTTTTTTTTGAGACGGAGTTTCACTTTTTTCACCCAGGATGGAGTGCAGTGGCGCAATCTTGGCTGACTGCAACCCCCGCCTCCCGGGTTCAAACGATTCTCCTGCCTCCGCCTCCCGAGTAGCTAGGACTACAGGTGCCACCACGCCCGGCTAATTTTTGTACTTTTAGTAGAGACGGGGTTTCACTACGTTGGCCAGGCTGGTCGCACGCGACCTCCTGACCTAAAGTGATCCACCCACCTCTGCCTGCCAAAGTGCTGGGATTACAGGCGTGAGCCACCGCGGCTGGCCAAAAACCTGAACTTTCGAGCACCTGCCCAGGAAAAGGAGACGGCAGATCTTCACCTTCAGATAATCTTTGCCAATTGGGGATGAAGGCCGAGTATTGTCGATGCTGCTAATTTGAGGGAGAAACCAGGAAGATGAATTTCTCATTAAATACCTTAATATTTAGAAATTGGATACTAATCTGTCATATTAAAATACTATTTGAGCCAATACAATGTAGCTAGAACAAAACATACAGGCCAAGGTCAGCCCCTGAACCTCCACTTTGGAATTAATAGAATGATAGTGTCCATAAGGAAGAAACAAGTAATTTGCTCTAGAGAAGGACAACCAAATCTTCCTTTTATGAATTTCTGTTAATACCAGTCTACTGTTTGCAAGACCTAGTCAGTGTTAGACACTATGAGAAATACAGAGATTACTAGACAAAGCTCTTGCCCTCGAACAGCTTATAGATCAGTAAGAAAAAAGACTTCACTGCTACAGTTGTTCTGGTGATCTTATGTAGCATTTATTCCTAAATAATTGTTGTTATGCTCCAGGCTGTTGAAAAACTTGCAAACTCCAATACCATATGCCTTTTTAGGTGTCCAGTGGGTAACAGAAGTGTTTAAAAAAAAGAATGTTGGGGCCTGTTAAGATAGATACATTTGAATTTTGATTTTTTTTTTTAAGCCAGTGTGCCAGCTGAATAAAACAAGGTATATGTTGTGGGAGGGTATACTTTTTTTGTTTGTTTTTTGATACCGAGCCAGTTTCAACTGTAAATTAGATGGTTACCCTACACTCCTGGTTAATTTTTTTAAACATATTTTTCTGTTTTGCTTTTTATTTATTTTTTTTATTTTTTGTTTCGAGACAGAGTTTCGCTCTTGTTGCCCAGGCTGGAGTGCAGTGGCGCGGTCTTGGCTCACTGCAACCTCCACCTCCCGGTTTCAAGCGATTCTCGTGCCTCAGCCTCCCGAGTATCTGGGATTACCGGCATGCACCACTACGTCCAGCTTATTTTGTATTTTTAGTAGAGACGGGGTTTTACCATGTTGGTCAGGATGGTCTCAAACTCCTGGCCTCAGGTGATCCACCTGTCTCTGCCTCCCAAAGTGCTGGGATTACAGGCATGAGCCACCGTGCCCAGCTGCTTTTTATTTTCCATTTCATATTATTTTCTAACCATTCTGCCAAACATAAAAAAAAATTAACATTGCATTTCTACATTGGAATGTATGGAACAGTTAGTATACATTCTTTTGATTTTATTTTGAGCCCATCAAACTATGAAGAACGTCTTGTTATTTTCACTTGTGAGAAAATTTAAGCTTCAGGCAGCTTAAGTGGTTTATTCAAGGCAGATCAAACTCACATCTCCTGGTAAAAAGAATAGTGTTCTTTTTGCTACTACCTCTTTAAGAGATTATCAATTCTGTCCTTAATTTCCTTAAGGCATTTTTTATTTTAAATGTGAAAGACATTTGAAGATGAAAATTGTGTATATAGCACTTTGGGAGGCCCAGGTGGAAAGATCACTTGAGGCCAGGAGTTTGAGGCCAGCCTAACGAGATGCTGTCTCTACAAAAAAATTTTTAAAATTAGCCAGGTGTTGTGGTACGCACCTGTTGTCCCAGCTACTCTGGAGGCTGAGGCAGGAGGATCGCTTGAGCGCAGTAGTTCGAGGTTGCAGTGAGCTATGATCGCATCACTGCACTGAACCCTGGGCAACAGAGTGAGACCTTATCTCTTAAAAAAAAAAAGTTGTATATAGAGACTTAATAATGTATTAGATGGGAAACTGTATTTAGCAGAAGCCTTAGAAAGGCAGACAAATCCTAGAGTTGGTTTGTAAAATTGCCAAATGTAGATCCTTTAAATCACTTGTAGTTGTCACCTAGTACAGTTTTATGTCTGTCCTAACACCCATGTTGCAAATGATAATAACTAATATTTATTGCTGTATACGTTTTATTAAAATGTCAGCTGCTATGATGATAATGATATGTACTCATACTGTGTTCCAGGCATGCCTTTATAGGTATTGATTTAAATCTTACACCAACCCTGTGGATTGGTACAATTATTGTGCCCACTTCGCTGAAGAGAAAATTGAGAGTCAGAGAGCTTGTGTTTTACTCAAGGTAATATGGTAGTACAGCTGGGATTTAGACCTGAGCAGTCTGGCTGCAGAGCCTGTAGTGGGTTTTTTTTGTTTTTTTGTTTTTTTTTTGGGTTTTTTTTGTTTTTTTTTTTTTGAGATGGACTCTTGCTCTGTTGCCCAGGCTGGAGTGCAGTGGCGCGATCTCGGCTCACTGCAACCTCCATCTCCCGGGTTCAAGGAATTCTCCTGCCTCGGCGTCCCCAGTAGCTGGGACTACAGGCGTGCACTACCATGCCTGTATTTTTAGTACAGACAGGGTTTCACCATACTAGCTAGGCTGGTCTCAAACTCTTGATGTTGTGATCCACCCGCCTCAGCCTCCCAGAATGCTGGGATTACAGGCGTGAGCCACCGCGCCCAGCCAGAGCCTGTATAAATTAACCATTCTACCGCCTCTGTGATTGGTGTGTAAGCACCCTGTGTCGGGATGATGGGGTGTTAGTAAAAGTGATACTAGTTCTTGATGATGGTTATCTCTTTGCCTTGTATTCAGGAGTTAAAAATTAAGGAGGGCCTTTTCTGCACTGTAAAGATATGGTATTTAGCAGTTCTTAATATACTGAGGGTTTCTCATTCTCTCTTTTTGATTATGTTGTATTTGGCACATGGTTATTTGGGGACTACTTACATTCTTAAATTGAATGTATCCTTTGATTCTCCTTCCTCTTAACCCATTTGTGCTGCAGGTTGCAAAATCTTTTTTGTGAAAAATCAGATCTTGGCGATGACCTTGAGCAGTAGGATATAAATAACTCCCACAAGCTTAGCGTTCCAGTAATGGAACACTAGGCCTAAATGTTAATGTCTTCCTCTCTCTCTCCCTCCCTCCCTCCCTTCCTTCCTTCCTTTTTTTTTTTTTTTTTTTTTTTTTTTTTTTTTTTTAGATACAGGGATCTCAAACTCTTGAGCTTAAGAGATCTTCCTGCTTCAGCTTTCTGAGTAGCTGGTAGTGCACAACACTGTACCTGGCTTAATGTCTTTTCATTTCTTTTGGTCACCTTCAGCCTCTTATGGTTAATGTCAAAAAGAGCAAGTGAAATGTAAAACAGTTTACATTGTTAACAGCTTAAACAAAAGAGACCCCTTTAAGGAATAGGTCACTTTAAAAGTTGGACTATGTAGGGGGAGTATTGGACTGGCTTTAAATTTCAACTATTTGTGGTGACTTTTTTTTTAGACCGAGTTTCGCTCTTTCACCCAGGCTGGAGTGCAGAGGCATGATCTCAGCTCACTGCAACCTCCCGTTCCCGGGTTCAAGTGATTCTTGTGCCTCAGCCTCCCAAGTAGTTGGGATTACAGGTGCTTACCACCACGCCCGGCTAAATTTTGTATTTTTAGTAGAGATGGGGTTTCACCACGTTGACCAGGCTGGTCTTGAACTCCTGACCTCAAGTGATCTGCCCGTCTTGGCCTCCCAAAGTGTTGGGATTACAGGCGTGAGCCACCATGCCTGGCTGTGGTGACTTTTTATTAGCCTTTTTCTTTCTTATTTAGGTTGTGTAACAAATCATTGAAAGATTGGATTCATTCAGGAATTAAAGGAGGTGCAAACAGAACTTATACTCAACATTGATGTTGAACAAACTCATTAGTCGCTTACATCATTTACAAGGATTATTTTAATGAGGAAAATGAGTCACTGAAGTCACATGTTCTAACAGGTTGGTTTTGGATAGCTTTCTAACCATTTGTTCCTCTGAGTTGAAAGGCAGCATCAAGGAGTTGGAATTTCAGGACCTGAGTGAATAGACAGGAAAAAGAGGAGGATGTTTAGCCATAGGGTAGAATGTGGAAGATTGGGAGAAAAAAGGGGGATGATTTGAAAATTGGAAATTGTATTAAATGAAATGATGGTAGTGTCCTTCAAATAGCACTAAATTGTCAACGGTATAGTTTGTCACATCCTGCTTATTGTGACAGTAAGAATCAGGAATCGTAAGCCATTGAGATCAACTGAATACAGATCAGGTGAGTGCCAATCCATTCAACACGTATTATATGGAGGTTGGTGCAAAGAGAAGTGACAAGTAAACGAGGATCCAGCCCTAAAGGAACTTGTAGACCACTTAGGAGGTAAGCTATGTGCATCAGTAACTGATACAAGGATGGAAGGATGGACCATAGTGTCTGCAGAAGCAGTGGCATGTGCTTGGTGTGATGCAGCTCACTGAACTGCAGTGATGAACAGTATAGACATGGCATCCCTGCTCTTACAGAGTTCGCATTCTACTGAGATTGGAAAGACAGTAAACACCAAAATAGAATATAGTTTGGGGTAATTGCAGAGTAGAGTCAGTATGGTTGAGTATGAAAGGAAGAGGTACTAAGTGACTACTGATTTTTAGAGAGTGTTATCCAAAAATGCCTTTGTAAGAAAATGACGTTTAATGTTTTGTTGATACTCCAGACTGTGGCTTTAGGCCAATGTGTGATTCTCTCACATGTATGATGCAATTTAATACCCATGCTTCTGAATTAGAATACCATATATTAAACCACACTTTATTGATCACAGTCACGTGACTAATAGTAATTGCAAATGTGATGGGTGACTGTCATTAAATAGTATTTTGCATTTTAACTATTTTTGCCCTTCATTTTGTTGCCAGATAGTAACCATAGAGATGACTTTGATCAAAGCGAAAGGTGAGATTTAAACTAGTACAGTAGGGGAAGCGCTGCACTCTAGTGGAGAGAGCTTTGGAGCTTGAGGCAGGAGCCCCGGATCTAGTGCTGCTCATTTCCTTTTGTGGCTAAGCAAGTCATTTTAAGCTGTTTAGTCCTCAGTCTTTTTAATCTCTAAAATGAAATGATTGAATTAAATAATGCCTAGCCGTCTTTCTAGTTCTAAGATTCTTTCATCTTTTAGGATTTATTAGCCTTCAACTTTGGAGAATTTATAGATTTGTTCATTGTTTTTTTCCTCTGATGAACATTTAGCCAGTATTTATTATATATATAAATCTATAGAACTTTCAGAGAAAGGAGAACTAGGGCTCTCCAAACAGGAAACGTTGTTAAAATATGTTAAGAATCACATATTTCAGATTTAATTAAAATAAGTTCAGACGGGCCATGCAGTATATATGCTGTGCCGCATGGAAGATTCATGCATGTTTAAAAGCTATCTTGGAAAAATATGGCAGCAGTATTTTAAAAAGTCAAAACATTATTTATGCCCATAATTCAGAAGCTATTTAATAAGTTTCTTTCATCAGTAGAAAAGGATAGTACTCACGTATCATCCATGAATGTTATTAAGATAAAAAAAATTCATTTTTGGTTAGAAAAACAATTTTTAAACAATACTCTTCTCATTTCAATTTATTGTCAGAGATATTTACATGATAGTTATTAATATTAGCATGTTAAATAAATGCATTTTAAAAATTTTTTATCTAGAGACCAGGTCTCACTCTGTCACCCAGGCTGGAGTGCAGTGGTACATTCCTAGCTCACTGCAGCCTCAAACTCTTGCACTCAAGTGATTCTTCCGCCTCAGCCTCCTGGGTAGCTAGGACCACAGGCACAGGCTACCTTGCCCAGCTAATTTGTAAATTTTTTGTAGAGACAGGATCTGCCCCTATTTTCCATGCTGGTCTCGAATTCCTGGGCTCAAGTGTCCTCCCACCTCAGCCTCCCAAAGTGCTGGGATTACAGTGCGTGAGACACCATGCCTGGCCAATGAGTGCAGTTTTTGTGCTGTATGTTGGTTTTGGTTTTATCAAAATGTGTGGTTCCTAATAGGATAACTTGTTTTACTCCTGGTGTATTATCATTTATGTTTATATTATTTGAGTTTTATTGTTCCAATCTCTAAATATATAGCCTAGGGAGAATGTTTTATTTTTACATCTGAGTTAGAGATGTGGAGAGGTTAGTGTAAGTTGTCAGAAACTGTATTTCAGTTGAATCAGTATCTGCTCAAGAGCATGACTTTAAGGATAGCATGTGTGGGTGTTCTCAGATGCCTTCATTTCCGGTAAGCATGATTACTAATTTATTCTTAAAGTCATTGAAAAATTAAACCATAGTTTCCTGTCTTTTAGCTCCAAGCATTCTTTTTATTTCTCCTTGGAACTCTGTATTTTAAAATATCTGTTAGGGTGACGGTAACTTCATAAAGGAATCATTTATTTTCCTACTTTTTTTTTCTTTTTTTTCTTTTCTTTTTTTTTTTTTTTTTTTGAGACAGGTTCTCACTCTGTCGCCCATGCTAGAGTGCAGTGGTGCGATCTTGGCTTACTGCAGCCTTCACCTCCATGGCTCAAGCCAGCCTCCCACTTCAGCCTCCAGAGTAGCTGGGACTACAGGTATGCACCACAATGCCCAGCTAATTTTTGTATTTTTTTGTAGAGACAGGTTTCGCCATGTAGCCCAGCCTGGTCTCGAACTCCTGAGTTCAAGATATCTGCCCCCTTCGGTCTCCTAAAATGCTGTCATTACAGGCATGAGCCACTGCACCTGGCCTCTGTTTTTATTCTTTAAAGACACATGTGACTACCACTTAGAGTCTCTGATCAGAACAGGATCCACCAGATGCAGTGGCTCAGGCCTGTAATCCCAGCACTTTGGGAGGCCGAGGTGGGATGATCGCTTGAGGTCAGGAGTTCAAGACCAGCCTGGCCAACATGGTGAAAGCCCATCTCTACAAAAAACAACAAAAATTAGCCGGGTGTGGTGGGGCACTCCTGTAGTCCCACCTGCTCCGGAGGCTGAGGCATGAGAATCGCTAGAACCCGGGAGGTGGAGGTTGCAGTGAGCCGAGATGGTGCCACTGCACTTCAGCCTGGGTGAAAGAGTGAGACTCTGTCTCAAAAAAAAAAAGAACAAGATAAACAGGTGTTACCACACTGAGTTGATAAATTAGAATCCAAAACAAAGACTTGATGTTTTCTTAGGTGTTACATGATTGTTATATGTTCAGTTTCTCTTAGGCATTTAAAAATATTAAAAATAGCTTATGGGCTTCAAGTAGGGAACCACTGACTGATGGAACCCACTAGAGAAGGAAGCACTATCATGAAAAGGAGAGAAACAAAACTAGTTATGGGTAGTCCTTTTCCTCTAGAAGAGGCTGTTGATTTTTCCTTTTCTGTGTCAAAACCATTTCATTTTAGACTAGTTATTTGCATTTTGTGTGTTTTTTTATTGTTCATTTTCATCTTTTGTTTTAGGAAGGAAGACTTCAAGAAGTCATTGAAACCCTTCTCTCTCTGGAAAAGCAGACTCGTACTGTGAGTAGTTTACAGGGGAAAGCTCAGTTACCATTAATTTCATTGAACATTCTTCCATTAACTTTCAATATATTTTTACCCTTACAGGCTTCCGATATGGTATCGACATCCCGTATCTTAGTTGCAGTAGTGAAGATGTGCTATGAGGCTAAAGAATGGGATTTACTTAATGAAAATATTATGCTTTTGTCCAAAAGGCGGAGTCAGTTAAAACAAGTGAGTTCATGATCATGTCTGCTCCAAACACAAAAGCATTTGTATTTCAGAACTTTTCACAAGCTCTTCTATAAGTCTGTTTAAAATGTGTTAAGTCAACGTTGTAACATCCTAGAGGGTGTTTTAAAATTCAGTCTACATTCTCACAATGATATGACTGTTTTCTGTTTTTTCTTCTAGTCTTTATATGTTTGCATATTTTTAAAAATTGTGTTGTACTTAGAGTGTTCATACAGCTTTGTTCTATTTTGGTATTGCTACTTTTATTTTTTCCTTATTTATTTACTTATTTTGAGACAGGGTCTCACTCTGTCACCCAGGCTGGAGTGCAGTGGTATGATTACAACTGACTGCAGCCTCAACCTCCTGGGCTCAAGCAGTCTTCCCACCTCAGCCCCCAAGCAGCTGGGACTGTAAGCGCATGCCGCCACACCTGGCCAATTTTTTTATTTTTTGTAGAGATGAGGTCTCACTATATTACCCAGGCTGGTCTCAAACTCCTGGGCTCAAGTGATCCCTCTGCCTTGGCCTCTCAAAATGCTAGAATTACAGGCATGAGTCCCTGTGCCTAGCCCCACTTTTATTATTTTAAATGGTTTTGTTTTAATTTATCAAGCTGATATTCTCATTTTATTTAGTCATATCCCTTTTATTAAGCACATCTTTTTATGCTGTTTCAAAATTTTTTTTTAGTAGTAACTAAATATTTCATTTTCTTTTTTTTTTTTTTTTTTTTTTTTTTTTTGAGACGGAGTCTCGCTCTGTCGCCCAGGCTGGAGTGCAGTGGCGCGATCTCGGCTCACTGCAAGCTCCGCCTCCCGGGTTCACGCCATTCTCCTGCCTCAGCCTCCCGAGTAGCTGGGACTACAGGCGCCCGCTACCACGCCCGGCTAATTTTTTGTATTTTTAGTAGAGACGGGGTTTCACCGTGTTAGCCAGGATGGTCTCGATCTCCTGACCTCGTGATCCGCCCGCCTCGGCCTCCCAAAGTTCATTTTCTTATATTATCCCAATATATGATTTTTTTGCAAAACAGCTTTTTGAGGTATTACTGACATTCAAAAACTATGCATGTTGATAAAGATTTCTCTCCTTGACTAAACTCTCTGAGCCCTCTTCTTGACAAGTCCTTAACCTTGTCCTGTGTAGACTTAAACAAATACTAAGATTGTTTCTAACAGCTCAAGGCTGCATTTCCAGGATGACCCAACCCCCACTTAGAGTGCCTGCCTGAGAAAACTGAAGTCTGCCAAAAGAATGTACTGTTAAACATTTAATCTTGTGTGTGTGTGCGTGTGTGTGTGTGTGTGTGTGTGTGTGTGTGTGTGTGTGTAGAAATGGGGGCTTGGGTCTCACTACATTACCCAGGCTGGTCTTGAACTCCTGGGCTTAAGTGATCCTCCCACCTCAGCCTCCCAAAGTGCTGGGATTACAGGCATGAGCCACTGCACCCGGCTTCCAACTTATTTTTGAGGCCATTTTTAGAGAGACTATTTTGCTCATTTTGTTTAGAGATTATGTAAGTTCTCTTTTAGTGTTTTGGTGAAGTTGGATTTTTCTTTACTGTTTCCTTATTCTTCTTGAGATATATTTAAATGTTCCCCTGTACAAGTAGATCTCATTTTTTACATTTTTATCTCATCTTTTAAATACTGTTTCCTGAGTAGTTTCTGGGTTTTAATTTCTTGCTTTAAATAATAAAGACAATGGCATTGTAAAAGAGGATGTAATGGAACCAAAAATAGATATATAGTGTTACTGGACAAATTCCTGATTTTATTAATTAGACTGCTTCTAGGGTAAGGATAGTATTAAAGTGGGTTAAATTATTTTTTGCAGAAGTCAGTTACTGTAATTGATTTTGGTTTATTTTTCTTTAGGTAAGTTTACATGCATATAAAAGACAGTGTTGGCTCAGTGCAGTGGATCACACCTGTAATACCAGCACTTTGGGAGGCCAAGGTGGGTGGATTGCTTGAGCCCAGGAGTTCGAGACCAGTCTGGGCAATACTGTGAAACCCTGTCTATACAAAAAATACAAAAATTAGCTGAGTGTAGTGGCAGGCGCCTGTAATCCCAGCTACTTGGGAGGCTGTGGCAGGAGAATCAGTTGACTGGGGAGGCAGAGGTTGCAGTGAGCCGAGATTGTGCCATTGCTTTGCAGCCTGGGCAACAGGATGAGACTCTTGTCTCCAAAAAAAAAAAAAAAAAAACCAAAAATATGCAAGCCGATGTGAAGAATTAGTATAGATTTAATTTAATTGAGACAACCTAAAATATGTGAATGTGAAATTTATGTATGTATTTATTTATTTGAGACAGTCTTGCTCTGTCCCCCAGGCTGGAGTGCAGTGGCACCATCTCTGCTCACTGCAACCTCCGCCCCTCGGGTTTATGCACTTCTTCTGCCTGAGCCTCCCAAGTAGCTGAGATTACAGGCATGTGCCACCACACCCAGCTAATTTTTGTATTTTCAGTAGAGTCAGGGTTTCACCATGTTGCCCAGGTTGGTCTCGAACTCCTGACCTCAAGTGATCCACCCACCTCAGCTTCTCAAAGTGCTGGGATTACAGGCATGAGCCACCACACCCAGCCATGAAATTTACTTAAATGTGCCTTTTGGTGCCCAGTTCAGTGGTTTGAGAGACAATTATTAGACAAACCATCGTCTTACTCTATTTTCTAAGAAACTTACTCTCTATGGGACAATTTTGAAAGGGCTCCTTAATTAGAAGTCTTGGGGCAACCTAGGTTGAAATCAACAAAAATTTATGTTTTATGTAGTATTAGGACAATTCAAAGCACACATCTTAAACTTTAATTTCTCATGCCATAAAAACTCAGAGCTAGTAGGGGGTGTTGCTTAACGCTTACTTTTTTCTTCCCTTTTTTTTTTTTTGAAACAGTCTCTGTCGCCCAGGCTAGAGTGCAGTGGTGCAATCATAGCTCACTGCAGCCTCAATCTCATAGGCTCAAGCAGTCCTCCCCATCAGCCTCCCGAGTAGCTGGTGCTACAGGCACAAGCCATCACACCCAGTTAATTTTTGTACTTTTTGTAGAGACGGAGTCCTGCTATGTTGACCAGGCCTCTAATTCGTGAGCTTAAGCAGTCCTCCTGCCTTTGCCTTGTCTGCCAAAGTTCTGGGATTACAGGCATGAGCCACCGTGCCTGGCCCCTGGCCCTGTTAATTTCCAAATGGAGAAACGTATTTTTATGTAAAGTGCTTGGAATGTGAAGAGACATGCAGCCTATAGTTCTTGCCCTTGGCACCCTATTGGTTAGTAACGTATGTAAGTCACAAGTAATCATAGCACATCTTTAACAAGTAGTCTTAAGATTTTTTTTAATTGCTACACATACATTAGGCAATGTATAAGTGACACAAGAGTAATAGATGTACAAAGAAATGTGAAAGAAGGAAGAAAATATGTTGAGTTAGATTTATTGGGGAAGGCTTCTTGGAGAGAGAGGAATTTGAGTCTCTCTCACCGCTGGCTAGTGACAGCCAGAAGTGGAGCCAGGCATGCTCCTTTCCCTGTAACATATTATGTCTTCATAGCTATGGAAAGTTCTTAGGAAACATAAATGTCTCTGTGGCCCACAGAGTCCTCTTTTCTCATAATTATTTTTTACCTACGAAATTTATTTTTTGCTTAAGCAGACTTAGAAAGTAGCTTTAAGAAAATAAACTTTTTGGCTGGGCATGGTGGCTCACACCTGTAATCCTAGCACTTTGGGAGGTCGAGGCAGGCGGATTTCCTGAGCTCAGGAGTTTAAGACCAACCTGGGCAACATGGCGAAACCCTGTCCCTGCTAAAAATACAAAAACAATTAGCCAGGCATGGTGGCGCACATAGTCCCAGCTACTCAGAAGTCTGAGGCAGGAGAATCGCTTGAACCCCAGGAGGCGGAAGCTGCAGTGAGCCAAGATCGCACTCTAGCCTGGGCGACAGAGTGAGACTGTCTCAAAAGAAAGAGAGAGGGAGCGGGGGGAAGGAGGAAGGGAAGGAAAGGAAGGAAGGAAATAACCTTTTCTAAATTGCTTAATATGAATGGTTTATATTCATTGTCTGTCACTCGAGCCCAAGGGGTCACTCCAACTGTAACTTCCTGAATGTCTTGCATTTTTTTCAGAGAGGAGCAAGACGTTCACTTATTATTAGAATTTTTTTAATAGCTTCCCCATTGCATTGTTAGCGTATTAATGTACAGTAGTCCCCCTTTGTCCATAAGGAATATGTCCAAAAATCCTCTCTGGAGACCAGAAACCACAGATAGTACAAAACCATATATCCACTATGCTTTTTCCTTGTTGAGAACTTTCACCTTTTCATTTAAAGGAGGCACTTTATGGCTTCGCTTTGGCATATACAAATGGCCAGCATCACCACTCTTGGGTTTTGAAGCCATTGTGAAGTATAATAAGGGTTGCTTGAGCACAAGCACTGCCCTGGATACAGTGGATCACATGAGACTGAGATGGCTACTGAGTGACTAGGGTGGGTAGTGTGGAGACACTGGACCGAAGGGTGATTTGAGGGACTGCATTTGATTTCATCACTACTCAGAATGGTGTGCAGCTTAAAGCTTATAGATTGTTTATACATGGAGTTTTCCATTTAATATTTTCACACCACAGTTGACCATGGCTAACTGAAACTGGAAAGCAAAACCTTCGTAAGTGGAGACTACTGTAGTTGTTGTTTTTAACCCCATCTGATTTCTGTTAATGTATTTTTTGCACAGCTTTTAGAATTATCAAGTTGTGTGCTCTTCTAGAAATTATTATTATAATTAACTTTACAGGCATCCTATGTTTTGTGAGACACTACATGTCCTAGGGCCTTGAACTTATTGAAAGAGTTATAGTTTACAATAAAACCATAGCTTTCCAGAATGCCTGGGTCTCTAAATAGCCAGTGTTTCAGATAGTTAAAAGTTTAATACTGCTTGTTCTCATTGATAAATGGAAGTTAAACAGTAGGTGCACATGGGCATGAAGATGGTGAGACCCCTGTCTTTACAAAAAAACTTTAAAAATATTAGCTGAGTGTGGTGGCACATACCTGTAGTCCCAGCTGCCCAAGAGGCTGAGGTGGGAAGATCACATGAGCCCAGGAATTTGAGGTAGCAGTGAGCTGTGGTCATGCCAGTGCACTCCAGCCTGGGTGACAAAATGAGGCCCCATCTCTTTAAAAAAAATTTTTTTTTTTTTTTTTTTGAGAGAGATTCTCGCTCTTGTCGCCAGGCTGGAGTGCAGTGGTGCGATCTTGGCTCACTGGGTTCAAGCAATTCTCCTGTCTTAGACTCCTGAGTAGCTGGGACTACAGGCATGCACCACCACACCCGGCTAATTTTTGTATTTTTAGTAGAGACTGGGTTTTGCCATGTTGGCCAGAATGGTCTCGATCTCTTGACCTCGTGATCCGCCGGCCTCAGCCTCCCAAAGTCTGGGATTACGGGCATGAGCCACCGTACCCAGCCAAAAAAATGTTTTTAATTAAAAAAAAAAAAAGGTGGAAATAACAGACGCTGAGGACTCCAAAAGCAGGGAGGATGAAAGGAGGTGAGGGTTACCTGTGTATCCAAAATTACCTATTGGGTGCAATGTTCACTGTTTGGGTGATAGGTTCGCTAGAGGCCCATACCTCACCACTATACAATATATTCATGAAACAAACCTCCACATGTACCCCCTGAATCTAAAATAAAATAAAACCACCTCCACAACAAAAACATTTAGCCTGAGCTGCTTAAACATTAAATGTTTTTCGTGGAAATCTTTCTAAGATATTCTATTCACTTTTCTGCTGCCTTAACCAAAATATACTTAATGTAATTTAACATTTTCTTGATGACTCATGGTCCTAATTATTATTATTATTATTATTATTATTATTATTATTATTTTGAGACAAGTCTCGATCTGTCTCCCAGGCTGAAGTGCAGTGGCGCGATCTTGGCTTACTGCAAGCTCCGCCTCCCGGGTTCACACCATTCTCCTGCCTCAGCCTTCCAAGTAGCTGGAACTACAGGCATCCGCCACCACGCCTGGTTAATTTTTTTGTATTTTTAGTAGAGACGGGGTTTCACCATGTTAGCCAGGTTGGTCTCGATCTCCTGACCTTGTGACCCGCCCATCTCTGCCTCCCAGAGTGCTGGGATTACAGGTGTGAGCCACCACGCCTGACCCATGGTCCTGATTGTTAGTGATTATCATATATTGCTTAAAATCTAGATCAAACATTGGCAAATGATGGGACACAAATCAAATCCCACCCGCCTCCTATTTTTATAAATAAAGTCATTGGGACACAGCCACACTCATTTGTTTTTAAGGAGGCAGAGTTGAATAGTTGCCACAGAGACTGGCCCACAAAGTCTAAAATAACTACTTTATGAACATTTGCAAAAATTTACAGAAAATGTTTGCTGATTTGTGACCTGGATCATAGAATGTTAGTGCTGAAGGGAGTGTATTCTAGCCCCTTGATATAACCTGTGAGGAAACTGAAGGCATGAGGGTCTCTGGCTCTCAGTGTCACATGGTATTGAGGTGAATTTGGGTGACTGTGGCTCTTCCTCCCACCCGGGTGGTAGAACCGTTTCGCCTTTTGCCTCTGCCACTGCCTTTTTCCTCCTCAGTCACAGTGTCTGCAGGTCATGGCTTCAAGCCGCTGTGGACCTCTGCTTTCTCTTCCCCTAGTCAGATGCCATTTCTTCCATGTTTTCCTGCTTGGCTGCATCTCTGCATCTGAGGTTTTCCTGACCTTTACTGACTTGTTACGGGGTACTCGGTACTTTTTAGGTATCAGTGAGATTTCGATGTGATGTTCTTTATGACATTTTGGTGTCTAGAGTTACTTGGGAAGACCAAGTTCGATCATTGCTCTTTGATCAATAAAATACATTTTTTCGCTCTGTGAGGAATGTATTTTACTTATGAATGGTTTTTAATATTTTAGGCTGTTGCCAAAATGGTTCAACAGTGCTGTACTTATGTTGAGGAAATCACAGACCTTCCTATCAAACTTCGATTAATTGATACTCTACGAATGGTTACCGAAGGCAAGGTAAATTTTCTGTTGACATAACTCAAAATGATATGAACTGTTTTTTCTGTATTCAGAGATACTTAATGTATGTAGATATTTTGTATATTTTTATGTTTATTTTTTAAAGAAATACACAAAATGTCATCACTGTAATTCAACCAATAATGTCTTTGTACATCCCTTTCTGCAAATGAATCTATTTAAATACTGACAGCCATGGTATATCTAGATTTTTCTGGGAATTGGGTATCTTATCACGGATTTAAATGTGACTTTAAAAAAAATGAATAAAAATTCTACAGGGTCAGGGTGTGGGAGAAGAGCATTTTAGACATAGAGGAAATAATATTCAAAGATAACAAAGTAAGAAATGTATAATAGATGTAGGAAGCTGTAATTGGTTTGATATTATTGAAAATAGGGTAAGCAAGCCTAAGCATGAAAATTCATTCACTAGGTGCTTTAGGTTATACTGTAGTCATATTTTTGGTGTTTAATTTGTTGGAAATTATAAATCTACTAACATTACTTATAGCTACAAAAATGTTAACAACTTTAATACCTAGCAAAATTAGATATTTTTAAAGAAGGTAGTCTTGTATTTAAAGATAAGTCAGAATTAGAGTATTAATTGAAGACATTGGACTACATATAACACACTTTTCAAATAATCACAAGGCATTTTGCATCTTCTGTGCCGTTTATGTAGCTTGTGGTCCTATTATTTGTTAAACATAGTAATTTCATATTTAGGTTCTCAAAGCAGAGTTACAAAATATGGATAAGGTTTTATAGAGACATTTTCTTAAGAATTATGGCTATATTTGTGAAATATAAAATGTCTCACAGCTGTATTTGTACATGGCGGATAAAGTGCACAAGAGCTGTAAAATATTCTTATAGCTGGGTTAAAGAATAGTTCGGTTCTGGCCAGGCACAGTGGCTCACGCCTGTAATCCCAGCACCTTGGGAGGCCGAGGTGGGCGGATCATCTAAGGTCTGGAGTTCAAGACCAGCTTGACCAACATGGAGAAACACCCTCTCTACTAAAAATACAAAATTAGCTGGGCGTGGTGGCGCATGCCTGTAATCCCAGCTACTCTGGAGGCTGAGGCGGGAAAATCAGTTGAACCCGGGAGGTAGAGGTTGTGGTGAGCCGAGATCACGCCACTGCACTCTGGCCTGGGCAACAAGAGCGAAACTCCATCTCAAAAAACAAAAAAAAGTAGTTCAGTTCTACCTTTTATTTTTTTGAGACAGTCTCACTCTGTTGTTGAGGCTAGAGTGCAGTGGCCTGATCATGGCTCACTGTAGCCTTGAACTCTGGGGCTCAAGTGATCCTCCTGTGGCACCCTCCCAAGTAGCTGGGACTAAAGGTGCATGCCACCACACTCAGCTAATGTTTTGATTTTTAGTAGAGACGGGCTCAACATGTTTCCCAGGCTGGTCTCAAACTCCTGGACTCAAGCGATCCTCCTGCCTCAGCCTTCCAAAATGTCAGGATTACAGGTGTGAGCCAACATACCCAGCCTACTTTTTAAATTTTAACACGTTTCCATGGAATTTTGATTGTGTAAATTTCTCATTTGTAGATTTATGTTGAAATTGAGCGTGCGCGACTGACTAAAACATTAGCAACTATAAAAGAACAAAATGGTGATGTGAAAGAGGCAGCCTCCATTTTACAGGAGTTACAGGTAAGGTATTGCATTTTAGAGTTGGTAAAACTTTGTTTTGTCAGCAGCATTTTCTAATGGAAATATAGGTTGAGTATCCCTTATCCAAAATGTTTGGGACCAATAATTATTTTGGATTTTGATTGAAAGCCTGTGAATGGCATCTTTTTTCATACTGAAAATTGTCATTTCCTCATTAGCCATTAAGAAGATGCAAATTAAAACCACAATGGGGTACCACTACATACCTATTAAAATGCCTACAGTTTAAACAATAAAATACTCATTGCTGGTGGGGATGCAAAGCACCTGGAACTCCTGTACCTTACTGGTGAGAATGCAAGGTGGTGCAGCCAGTCTGGAAAACAGTTTGGCAGTTTCTTATAAAGTTACACATATGCTTACCATATGACCCAGCAATCCCACTCTTGAGTATTTACCCACGGGAAATGAAAACTTATGTTTACGTAAACCCAGTCTACAAAACCTGTTCAGAATAGCTTTATTTGTGATAGTAAAAAGATAAAATCAGCTCAGATATCCTTCAACAGGTGAATAAACTGTGGTATGTCTGTACGATGGAATACTACTAAGCAATAAAAGTAAATGAACTATTGATGTATAACTTGAGTGAATCTTACAATTTAGGCCATTATACAGAGTGAATAAAGACAGCCTCAAAGAGTTACATACTATATTTGACATTCTTGAAAAGACAAATTTGTAGTGATGAAGTACAGATCACTGGATGTCTTAGGAGGGCTTATGAGTGGGGGAAGTGTGTGATTATAAAGGGACAGTATGAGGAAGATTTTTGGGGTTCTGTGTCTTCATTGTGATGATGGTTATGCAAATCACTACATGAGTTAAAATTCATAGAATTTTATACCAAAAGGGGGAAAATCCATTATAAATTGTAATTTTCTAGCGGTAACTAGCTTTTAATGTAATTGTCAACACTCTCCCTATATACATGAAGGTTCTTATTATTTAACAAGGATGAATATTTTAATATCTATTTCATTTTATTGCAATTCACAAAATTGCAAAGTATTATAAACTTATTTGGGGAATTACTGTGCTAGGTGGAAACCTACGGGTCAATGGAAAAGAAAGAGCGAGTGGAATTTATTTTGGAGCAAATGAGGCTCTGCCTAGCTGTGAAGGATTACATTCGAACACAAATCATCAGCAAGAAAATTAACACCAAATTTTTCCAGGAAGAAAATACAGAGGTGAGCATATCTGTGACCACATGTTTACTTTAAAAGTATGAATAAAACCCATAAACCCCAATTTGTTTTGTCAACTTTTTTGCAGAAATTAAAGTTGAAGTACTATAATTTAATGATTCAGCTGGATCAACATGAGGGATCCTATTTGTCTATTTGTAAGCACTACAGAGCAATATATGATACTCCCTGTATACAGGCAGAAAGTGAAAAATGGCAGCAGGTAAGAATATATTCGTGTAATTGACATGGCTTCTTATTCAGAAGAGTAATTTGCTTTTTTTATTTTCAAATCTTTTTAACTGCAATAGTTAGATGCAATTGTATGGTGCTGCTTTCTATTCAGTGTTGTTCAGTATATTACTGATTCAGTCCAATTGCAGCCATAGTTTAGATTATGTCTCACTTTTGGAGAAATGTAGGATTCCTGTTTAAAATGTGTACAGTGGGTCATATCCTAATAAAGGTTGCAGTTAAAGACCCGGCATTACTTTGGAAAATTATTTTACAAAAGCTGTTTTAAGGGGCTTATTTATATATATATTCCACATTTATACTGCTAACTTGTTATAAGAACTTTTTCTTTATACATTTGTCAAAAATGAATGTCAAGAAAAATGTCAGCTGAGGGGAGTAAGTCAGATTAGCAATGATTTATTATAATAGTTTTGTGAAAACTAAATACTATAGAAAGACACTATGAAAAGGCAGCCTTGCAATATTTTTCCCCTTAAGACTTTTTTTTGTTTGTTTATTTGTTTTTTGTTTGTTTTTGAGACAGAGTCTCGCTCTGTCGCCCAGGCTGGAGTGCAGTGGCACAGTCTTGGCTCACTGCAACCTCCGCCTCCCGGATTCAAGTGACTCGCCTGCCTCAGTCTCCTGAGTAGCCGGGACTACAGGCATGTGCCACCATGCCCAGCTAATTTTTTTTTTTCTTTTTTTTTTTGAGACAGAGTCTCACTCTTGCCCAGGCTGGAGTGCAGTGGCGCAATCTCGGCTCACTGCAAGCTCCTCCTCCCAGGTTCACACCATTCTCCTGCCTCAGCCTCCCGAGTATCTGGGACTACAGGCACCCGCCCCCACGCCCGGCCAATTTTTTGTATTTTTTAGTAGAGACAGGGTTTCACCGTATTAGCCAGGATGGTCTCGATCTCCTGACCTCAGGTGATCCGCCCGCCTGGGCCTCCCGAAGTGCTGGGATTATAGGCGTGAACCACCGTGCCCGGCCTAATTTTTTTTTATTTTTGTATTTTTAGTAGAGATGGGGTTTCACTGTGTTAGCCAGGATAGCCTCGATCTGACCTCAGGAGATCTGCCCACCTTGGCCTCCCAAAGTGCTGGGATTACAGACGTGAGCCACTGCGCCCGGCCAAGACTTTAAAATTTGAAATGGATATATAGTTATTCCATGATTGTTCAGTTTTTGTCAAAGTTTCCATTATGTCCAGTCTTGCATATAACTTGTTGTACAACTCTTTTAGGCTCTGAAGAGTGTTGTACTCTATGTTATCCTGGCTCCTTTTGACAATGAACAGTCAGATTTGGTTCACCGAATAAGTGGTGACAAGAAGTTAGAAGAAATTCCCAAATACAAGTAAGTACTTTTGAAATTAGCATGATATATCTCAGTCGAAACACCATTTTGAAAGAAAATTGGCTAACCTAAGTGTATACTTCTGTGTATACTTCTTTTTTTGAGATGGAGTTTTACTATTGTTGCCCACACTGGAGTGTAATGGTGTAATCTCAGCTCACTGCAACTTCTGCCTCCTGGGTTCAAGTGATTCTTCTGCCTCAACCTTCCGAGTAGCCGGGATTACAGGCACCCGCTACCATGCCGAGCTAATTTTTGTATTTTTAGTAGAGACAGGGTTTCACCATGTTGGCCAGGCTGGTCTCGAATTCCTGACCCCAGGTGATCCGCCCACCTCGGCCACCCAAAGTGCTGGGATTACAGGCTTGAGCCACTGCGCCTGGCCTAAGTGTGTACTTCTTAATTGGTTACTGATAGCGTATACTAGAGAATAAAACTAGAGAGGATAACGTGGTGGAATTTTTTTTTAGCATTGCATCAGCAGTAAATGAGATTATAACATACTTTCTTCTAAATTGCTTATCAAGTGGAAGTTTCATATCAGGTCTACATTTGCAGCTTTTGATTAATTATTTGATAGAGTTTCATCATTAGTAGTTTAGAGCTTTGTGATTTTCAGAAATACATACTTGTGAAAATCTATTATATAAAATAGACTTGCTTCATCATAAACACAACAGGCTCTTATTTCTGTTTGTTTCATGAGTACATTTACATTCAGTTATTTCAGAAATTGACAGTGCAGAAGAGAGCAGAGTGTTAAGTGGGAGAATGCTGTATTCTGAACTACTGTGGGAAAAATGGTAATAAAGTTGGTAAAATACACAATAATCATATGGTGTCTCATTCTACTAAATAAAATTTAACGAAAACAGTCTTTGCTGAATTTTTTGAACTTTGCTATTATATTAGTTAATACTTAATTTTTACAGATTTGGAATATTAAGATGTATACAATTTTCAGGGATCTTTTAAAGCTTTTTACCACAATGGAGTTGATGCGTTGGTCCACACTTGTTGAGGACTATGGAATGGAATTAAGAAAAGGTTCCCTTGAGAGTCCTGCAACGGATGTTTTTGGTTCTACAGAGGAAGGTGAAAAAAGGTGGAAAGACTTGAAGAACAGAGTTGTTGAACATGTAAGAATCTGTCATAGAGATGACAATTTTTATTTTAACCTTTAGTGAATTTACTTTTTAGAATTAAATTTTGGCAATTTTGAGCATAAACTATTTCATTTGTCACATTTGATAACCAAATGTTCATTTAGGATGTTATGTGTTTAATTCTTCACTTAGGATATTTTTTTTCTATGCCCACTGTAGTAGTGATGCACATTTGGTGTTCAGATGTTTACTCTGCATTTCCCAAAGCATATTGGAATGTATCTCACTCATCTTGGGTTTTTTCCCTATTTTTGGCTTTTCAGAAAAGATAGCTATATTTTAGCTTGCTTCATTGTGAGAGAACCTCTTAAGAATCCAAAATTTATAGTATATAAACCAGACAGAATTTCCGAAGAATGGGGGCAGGAGGGTGTTTCTCTCTTAATATTCACTAGTCTTGGAAGCAGGTAACATGTCTTAAACCTGAACTTTGATCTTTTTAGTATCACTGCCGTTATGTTGTATTATGTTGCCATTCACTCCTTCATGTAACAAACTTTATTGTGAGCCTTCTGTGTGCCAGACACTTTACAAAGCACCAGGGCACACAGGAGAATAAGACAGTACCCTCCCTAGGCCGGGCGTGGTGGCTCACACCTGTGATCCCAGCACTTTGGGAGGCTGAGGTGGGCAGATCACCTGAGGTCAGGAGTTCGAGACAAGCCTGGCCAACATGGTGAAACCCCATCTCCACTAAAAATACAAAAATTAGCCGGGCGTGGTGGCGCACACCTGTAATCCCAGCTACTCAGGAAGCTGAGGCAGGAGAACTGCTTGAACCCAGGAGGCAGAGGTTTCAGTGAACGGAGATCACACCAATGCACTCCAGCCTGGGTGACAGAGCAAGACGCCGTCTCAAAAAAAACAGACATTACCCATTACTCTACCTTTAATAAGATTAAAAATTATAGGGAAAGACGTACTTATAAATAAAAAGAGTATCAGATATTGTAGTACAAGTATCTAGAGAGCAGAGGGAGGCTTATGGGAAACTTTGGTAGTTCTACATGGAGAAATGATCAGGTCGGATGAATCGATGATTGAGGTGAGGTTTGTAAGAGGAGTGTGAGGTTATCGGGCAGACAGGAACAAGGGAGGGCAGCCTGCGCACCAAGTCCCTCTGAGAGTGAGTGTGGAGAATGCATTTGGAGAGATAGGAGACTAGAGAAGACTAGTAAGGTGAGAGATACATGGATTTTAAATAAGGCAGTAGCCAACGGATTAAAGACTGCTTGGAATGGGATTGTTTTAAGGAAGGAAATCAATAGAATGCAGCCATTGATTAGACTTAAAGCATGAAGGAAAAGGTTAGATTTAAAGGATAAAAGCACAGAGAAGAATGCTTCTCGTGCTTTCTGATGTGTTGGTGTTGCCATCAGCCCTGATAGAGATGGGAGAAGATGTAGCTTCTTCAAAGATTGAGTTCATTTTTCTCCCCACTGTTCCCCCACCTTTTTTTGAGTGCTATTGTTAATAATACTACCAATAAGAACAGTAAAGGGGAGTCTCTGTGTCTTAACTTCAGCACCATCGCCAGTTGAAATTAGGAAATTTAATTTGAAGCTATCTTTAAGTCATTGGAATAATGGTAAAGTGATGAGTATTTGAAATGATGTCTAATCTTTTTTTTTTTTTTTTTGAAAGAGAGTCAGTGTAGCTCTGTCATCCAGACTGGAGTACAGTGGCACAGTCATAGCACACTGTAACCTTGAATTCTCGGGTTCAAAGAATTCTCCCCCCTCAGCTTCCTAGGTAGCTAGGACTATAGGCATGCACCACCATATTCAGCTAATTTTTAAATTTTTTGTGGGGATGGGGTCTTGCTGTGTTCCCAGGCTGGTCTTGGTCTCCTGGCCTCAAACAGTCTTCTTGCCTCAGCCTCCCAAAGTGCTGGGATTACAGGTGTGAGTCCCTGCACCCGATCGATCTCCAATCATTTTTTAGATTTTAGCCTTTAAAACATTTGTGTTATAATTAGAAAATCTTAACTTTAGATTCTTGCACTCAGCAAAAATATTTCAGTACAATTATAATTTTTAACCACTAGTTAAGACAGGCATATATTTTGACTATATATTTAAAGAGCTGTGTAGAATATTCATAGTAATTCAGAATAACTACAGAAACCAAAATATCTAAGTATTTAGTTTTGTTATTGAAACTTAGAACTAGCTTTGCTCCAGTGATGGACTGTAGAAAAATAAAAGCTCTGAGTCTAACATTTTAAGTAAACTTACTTGGATATGAAAATAAATGGACTTTTAGACTTACTGACAAATGTTACGTGTTCTCCCTGCTCTCTATCCTCTCCCCAGAATATTAGAATAATGGCCAAGTATTATACTCGGATAACAATGAAAAGGATGGCACAGCTTCTGGATCTATCTGTTGATGTAAGTAGTAATCAACTTTGAGTTATTTGTAGGCATTCCTTTTGAATGTTGACTTGTAAAAATTGAGTAAGAAAATCAATGTTATGATTTAATTTTATGTTTAGGTAATAGAGTAATAGTTTCCCAAGCAATCTTGAGTACCAAAAACTAACTTAAGTATCAAGTGATCCTAGGTCTTGTTGGAACAGTGTTGTCTTTAGGTCCATGTTTCTATGTTGACAAAATGCATAGCACACAAAGAGGAGTTAACCCAAGTGTGTAGTAATGGCCTGAAAGCCATTTCTGTCCCCAGAAGGATCTGTGACAGTTTAGGTGGTAAGACTCATGGAACATTAGAGTTGGAAGGTTTGTTCCTTGATCAGCTTGTCAGCTCTTGTCACTTATGAATGAGAGTACCAGAGTCCTTAGAAGTCAAGTGTCTTGTCCGTGGTACATACTTGCCAAGTAGCAGAGCATATATTCTAACCCAGCATTTCTGGAAACAAATTAACTGTACCATACTGCCTTTTAAGGGGAAACTTTGTAGAAAAGGGAGTAGACCAACTTGCCGTTGGCATGGATACCAGCAGTATTGAGCTTGCAAGGAGGCAGATTCAAACTCACCCCTGACTGAGTCTACTCAGATTCTATTCATTCCCTAGACTATCAGTAAAATAAGTACTTATTATAGGAAGTCAGCAGTTGCTAACTCTTTTTTTTTTTTTTTTTTTTTTTTTGAGGCAGAGTCTCACCTTGTCGCCCAGGTGGGAGTGCATTGGTGCGATCTCAGCTCACTTCAACCTCTACCTCCCAGGGTTCAGGCGATTCTCCTGCCTCAGCCTCCTGAGTAGCTGGGACTACAGGCGTGTGCCACCATGCCTGGCTAATTTTGGTATTTTTAGTAGAGATGGGGTTTCACCATGTTGCTCAGGCTGGTCTTGAACTCCTGACCTCAAGTGATTCACCCAATTCAGCCTCCCAAAGTGCTGGGATTACAGGTGTGAGCCACCACACCCAGCTGAGTGTTACTAACTCTTAAGAATGAATTCCCCTGCATATTCTTGGATGAAGAGTTCAGAAAATGCTTTTCTGAAGTTTTGTTTATTGTCTGTAATTTATCCTGTCTTAATCCAATTTATCTTTCTCTCTTGCAGGAGTCCGAAGCCTTTCTCTCAAATCTAGTAGTTAACAAGACCATCTTTGCTAAAGTAGACAGATTAGCAGGAATTATCAACTTCCAGAGACCCAAGGATCCAAATAATTTATTAAATGACTGGTCTCAGAAACTGAACTCATTAATGTCTCTGGTTAACAAAACTACGCATCTCATAGCCAAAGAGGAGATGATACATAATCTACAATAAGGGTCTTAGTGCTTTAGAAAAAAGTTAAAATTGGAAGTCATTAAAAAAAGACTGTTATAATGGTGTATATGTTGGGGTTTTTTTTCTAAGCTTCTTTGTCTTAAATTTTAAAATAGTGAATATGTTTGAGACTCCCTTTGACCTTTCAGTTCCCCAAGTTCATTGTTAACTTTGCATTTGCAATTGGTGCAAAAATACAGATTTCTGTCGTCTGAATACACAAAAAGTTGTGTCATAACTTACCCAGATATGTTTTTCTATCATTTGAAACCTTTTTAGCTACTGTTTGTTTTCATTCAACTAACAAACATATTCCAATAATAAAAGCAGTATATACATATTTCCTTTCTACAGTTACCTCTGATTCTCAACATTTTGTGGGGTAGTGATTTGGCAAGTGTTTTTTAAATAAAACAAATCTCATTGTAAAGCTATCAGTCATTTAGTAGAATAGAAAAGCAACATAGAGCATACAAGAACATTTGGGATAGAGTTGTGATTTGTGAAGAATTTGTACTTTGATATTGTGGCGGAAAGTCTAGACTGAGTGTGTATGCTGGTAAACTGTAGACTTTTTTTTTTTTTTTTTTGAGTCCGGCTGGTTCCAATCACAGTAGCTTGATTGCTTTCAGCCCTCATCCTCTCACTTGATCAGTTGTTCAACAGAATCAGCTGACATAATTGACACAGTTTATTGGGTGTTAAGTCCGCTCTATAGGGATAGTGACTACTTTTTTTTTTTTTTTTTTTTTGCTCTTCTTCCTCTCCCCTTTCTTTATATGGGTTTAAATTTAACATAAAGTTGTTTTTATAAGGCTTATTTGTGGCTTTAACTTGTAAGTCTGATTACATCATTATTGTTCCAAATTCATTATCTCTGTAGGAACTTTTAGTTCCATTATATGAACACTGGATAACCTAATTTTTTTTAATGCTTTAAAAAAATGGCAAAAAGACGTCAGGCCACCCTCATAGTAAGTGGTGTAGTATTAAAATATTTTCACGGAATTAAAAGTAGCTTGCTGTCAAAGAAACACCTGAGATGAATTGGTGTGAACGAATTTTGCAAGTTTAATTTGATTTATTTCAGAGAAAATAGAAAAAACAATGTTAGAAGGTTATTTAAAATGATACTTAAATAAAGAAAGTGTGAGGTCTACTTTAAAAAAATTCAAATGAAGAGAAAAAGAAAAACAGCATTCTAGAAATGGCATTTCTCCTAATTAATTTTCCACTTAATGGAAGATTATCAATTGTCCTATTTTATGATCCCAGGACTGAAGACAGTTGTGGGATATCTGTCATATTTATCCTGTGAGTCATTGTGAATAATGACATACAGTACTGAAGTAATCTGATTTTATTCTTTGGAAATTCAATGCATTGGTCACACTAATAACATCAACATCTGCTATCACTTATCTTTTTAAAACTAACCAAAAAAGGCCGGGTGCAGTGGATCCCAGCACTTTGGGAGGCCAAGGCGGGTGGATCATCTAAGGTCAGGATTTCGAGACTAGCCTGGCCAACATGGCAAAACCCTGTCTCTACTAAAAAAAATACAAAAATTTGCCGGGCGTGGTGGCGTGTGCCTGTAGTCCCAGTTACTTGGGAGGCTGAGGTGGGAGAATTCCTTGAAGCCAGGAGGCGGAGGTTGCAGTGAGCCAAGATCACACCATTGCACTCCAGCCTGGGTGACAGAGTGAGACTCCGTCTCAAAAAAAAAAAAACAAAACTGGAAAGTTCAGAAACAGAAGTTCACACTAACAGAGTATGGTTTTAATTTTCCTTTGAATGAAAAGGATAGAAGATAAAATTGTGTATTGTTAACATGTAAATAAAATTGGAGCTAATTTGAAACTAGCTTCTCAATAACTTCATCTTTCTAGAGACTCATTACCTGTGGGCTTGTCAAACCTGGACTATTTGGCCAAATAGGTTGCTATAGAGATTGCAAGTGTTCCTCCTCTTTATTTTTTTCATATTTTTTGAGACGGAGTTTCACTCTTGTTGCCCAGGCTGGATTGCAGTGTCACGATCTCGGCTCACTGCAACCTTTGCCTCCCATATTCAAGCAGTTCTCCTGCCTCAACCTCCCAAGTAGCTGGGATTATAGGCGCCTGCCACCACACCTAGCTAATTTTTGTGTTTTTAGTAGAGATGGTTTCATCATGTTGGCCGGGCTGGTCTCAAACTCCTGACCTCAGGTGATCCACCCGCCTTGGCTGCCCAAAGTGCTGGGATTACAGGCATGAGCCACTGCACCCAACTCCTCTTTCGTCTTTCTTTAACACACACTAGGCTCTTTGTGTATTATGATTCAGTGCTATTTGTAACTGTGTCCCAGTGACCAAATTGCACTCGACTCGATCAGCTGTTCATCCATTTCGTGTTTTTTCCTGTCAAACATTAATCCAGCAAATATATGAGGTATTTACCAATTTATTTTCTTAGTATTACAAAATAATTCATTAGCATAAAGTACAATAGTGAAATATTTGAGTTGTTCGGAACCTCAATTAATCCTGTTTTACATTTCAGACCTAAAGCTGGCAATCAGGAGAAGAAGCACTTTGTTTTAAATGTGGAGAAGATAACACTTGATTCCATTTCATTGTCATTAGTGTATTAACCAGCAGGAGAGGTGATGAGCCATTTTTCAAATGAAATACCTTTTATTTCCATATAATTTTTTTATTTTAGAGTTCAATAGCTGTTTCTATGATTATCCTCAATTTCCATATGTTACTGAATCTGAAAAACATCTTTAAAATTCAAACAGTTCCATTTTCTCTCTTGTAAGTGTTAAATGTGATAAAAGTACATATTTTAAATTGTTTTCAGCTCTTGGATATAGCAGCAATAAAAACACTAATTTGTGGGTATTTAAGAAAACCTGGAGAATAAACTCATACTTTAAAAGATCACTTCTCTTTTCAGTTCTCATTGTCTGAAACAAAAAGCCATAATTTTCATTTTTACCCCAAATCATCTCTCTCTAAACCTACTTTTTTGTTTTGTCTTTTAAGACTTTATTATATTTTTAGAGCAATTTTAGATTCACAGCAAAAGTAAGTGGAAGGTACAGAAATTTCCCATATCCTCCTTGCTCTCACACCTCCCTCATTGTCAACATCCCCCACAGAGTGGCACATTTTTTACAGCTAATGAACCTGTTTTGACACCATTATCACCCAAAGTCCGTAGTTTACGGTTCATTCTTGTACATTCTGTGTGTTTGGACAAATGTATAATGGCATGTATCCACCATTATACTACCATAATACTTCACCGCCCCACAGTTCTCTGCCAGTTCATATCTTCCTGCAAATCCCCTGACAATTGTGAGTCTACGGTTTCCATAGTTTTTCCCTTTTTCAGAATGTCATATAGTTGGAATCACAGTAGGTAGCCTTTTTTTTTAGATCGGCTTCTTTCACTTAGTAATACGCATTTCCATTTCCTCCACATCTTTTCATGGCTTGATAGCTTATTTCTCTTTAGTGCTGAGTAATATTCCATTGTCTGGTTGTACCACAGTTTATCCATTCAGCTCCTGAGGGACACCTTGCTTATACATTTTGGCAATTACAAATAAAACTAAACATCTGTGTGCAGGTTTTTGTGTGGACCAAGTTTTCAAATCCTTTGGATGAATCTGAACCTGCCTTTTAAGCGGTGACAAAACACCTTGCACATGTTTCGAAAGCCAGCTGACGGACTTTGCCCCTCCTAAACTCCCGATTTGGGGTTGGTGGCTTAGGCCGTGCTTTATTGGGCACCTGACAAGTGGTTCTTCATCTCAAGGCCCATCAGAATATGCGCGGGGCTTGTTACACACAGATGCTGGGCTCCACCCCCAGATTCACACTCAGTCGGGATGGAGCGGGGCCCACGAATTTTAATTTCTAACAAGTTCTCAGTACCCGAACTACTGGTCCATGGACCGCACTTTGAGAACCACTCTTCTTGACAACATGGGTAGTAAGGACTAGAAAAGAACTGAAATGTGTTGGTGTTTTAGATGTTTAGGGGAAAAAAACATGGATATCAGTTAAGGTACATGTGGCGGTAAAGCTACAGCGAGATGCTCATCCGGAGCCCGTTGTTTTAGGAGTTTAGTGGTTTGAAAGTCTGCTTCCATACTGCCTTCTGTGATGCAGAGAAATGGTCTTGGCATTTTTGAGAGGATATTAAACAATTTTCCTAACTTAGAGCTTTATTTTTTTTTATTTTTTATTGTTTTTATTTTTTGAGACGGAGTCTCGCTCTGTTGCCCAGGCTGGAGTGCGGTGGCGCAACCTCGGCTCACTGCAAGCTCCGCCTCCCAGGTTCACGCCATTCTCCTGCCTCAGCCTTCCGAGTAGCTGGGACCACAGGTGCCCGCCACCACGCCCGATTAATTTTTTTGTATTTTTAGTAGAGACGGGGTTTAACCATGTGTTAGTCAGAATGGCCTCCATCTCCTGACCTCGTGATCCACCTGCCTCAGCCTCCCAAAGTGCTGGGATTACAGGCGTGAGCCACCGCGCCCGGCCCTTTTTTTTTTTTTTTTTTTTTTTTGAGACGGAGTTCCTCTCGTCACCCAGGCTGGGGTGCAATGGCACGATCTCGGCTCACTGCAACCTCTGCCTCCGGGGTTCAAATGATTCTCCTGCCTCAGCCTCCTGAGTAGCTGGGATTATAGGTGTGAGCCCCCATGCTCGGCTAATTTTGTATTTTTAGTAGAGACGGGATTTCACCAGGTTGGTCAAGCTGGTCTTGAACTCCTGACCTCAAGTGATCTACCCACCTCGGCCTCCCAAAGTACTGGGATTACAGGCGTGAGCCACCACGCCTGGCTTTTTTTTTTTTTTTTTTTTTTTTTTGCTTTTGAGACAGGGTCTCATTCTCACCCAGGCTGGAGTGCTTACTGCAGCCTTGAACTCCTGGGCTCAAGTAATCCTCCCATCTCAGCCTCCCCAGTAGCTGGGAGTATAGGCGTGTGCCACCATGTCTGGCTAATTTTTTAAGTTTTTTGTAGAGGCTGAATGTGGTGGTTCATACCTGTAATCCCAGCTACTTGGGAGGCTGAGTCAGGAGGATTGCTTGAACCTGGGAGGTTGAGGCTGCAGTGAGTCATGATTGTGCCGCTGCACTCCAGCCTGGGAGACAGAGCGAGTGTAGAGACAGGGTCTCACTATATTACCTAGGCTGGTCTCAAACTCCTGGCCTCAAGGGATCCTCCCACGTCAGCCTCCCAAAGCGCTGGTATTACAGGCATGAACCACTGCACACAGCCTGGAGCTTAGTATTTAGTATATGGAAAGAACTGAATGACATTTCTTTGAAGTTTCCAAGTTTCATTATCTTGCTATTCTTACTAAATTAGGGACCATGTTTATCTTTGTAATCCATCATTTGTTACATAGTAGAAACTTAAGTGCTTGTTGAATTGCTTAATCTTTTTCAACCCTTCATTATCACACCCTGCTGGAATTTTGTTTCTATCTTCATGTCCAACCTTACATTACTCTGAAAAGTTTTTTCCCAAGAGTATATCCACCGTAAAAAATAGACTGGGCATGGTGGCTCACACCTGTAATTTCAACACTTTGGGAGGCCAAAGCAGGAGGATCCCTTGAGGCCAAGAGTTCAAGATGAGCCTTGCCAAGATAGTGAGATCCCCATCTCTACAAAAAAATTTAAAATGGCTGGGAGGGAAAAAACAATTTGCTATAGCTCAGATTAGCCTAGCATAATGGTACGTACCTGTGATCCTAGCTACACAAAAGGCCCAGGTGGCAGAATCACTTGAGCCCAGGAGGTGGAGGCTACAGTGAGCTGTGATTGTGTTCCCAGACCAAACCACAGGTGGGGCTGCTTATTCTCACGGCCCAGTAACGAGATGTAAATGAATTGGGAAAGAAGGCAGTTTATTTCTGTAACAGGGTACAGGGTAAAGGTCTGGAAAATATCGCCAGACCAACTCAAAATTACAGAGTTTTCCAGAGCTTATATATACCTTCTAAGCTGTGTCTACGTGTAAGTAGCATTCATCTAAAGACATAAGTGATTAACTTTTTTTTTTTTTTTTTTTTGAGACGGAGTCTCACTCTAGGCTGGAGTGCAGTGGCGTGATTTCGGCTCACTGCAAACTCCGCCTTCCGGGTTCACGCCATTCTCCTGCCTCAGCCTCCCGAGTAGCTGGGACTACAGGCACCTGCCACCATGCCCTGCTAATTTCTTGTTTTTTTTTTGTTTTTTTTGTTTTTTTGTTTTTTTTTTTACTACAGACGGGGTTTCACGGTGTTAGCCAGGATGATCTTGATTTCCTGACCTCATGATCCGCCCACCTCGGCCTCCCAAAGTGCTGGGATTACAGGCGTGAGCCACTGCGCCTGGCCATAAGTGATTAACTTCTAATCATTAACTAAGATCTAAGTCCTGAAGACCTTCTGGAGCCTCAGTAAATTTACTTAATCTAAATGGGTCCACGTGCTGGGGTGACTACCCTTATCTTGTCTCCTGCTAAATCACGGAGGTTTGGGGAATTTCTTCAGATGCCCCAATAAACTTGTTTGTGGAGGTCTGGGGAGTTTCTTCAGCGCCCCCCTCCCGCCCCCCCACCCCCCGAATAAAGCTTGTTTAATTCTAAACGGGTACTGTTAAGAATTTCTGCGTTATCTTGTCATGCTTTAAGGCCTAGGAAGGGCCTGGGCAAAACTCTTGATGGGCTTTTATTATGTTCCAGCCTTTGTAGAAGGGCGTTGGCTCTCTCAGCTTTTAATATTGAACTTCACCACTCAGTCAGTGCTGAAACAGTTGTTACAGAGGCCTGCGTTAGTGAGACCTGGCCTGCCACAATCGCACCACTGTACTCCAGCCTGGAGAACAGGGCAAGACTGTCTCTTAAAATAATTTAATTAAATGAAAGTAAACACTCAAAGTCTCTAAAACATTTCCCAAATTGTAGCTTCCAAGATTACATTGGTTTCTTCAAGTTTTCCAACATGAAGAACAGTTTAATAACAGTCTGAAATGCCCTGTTTAAGAAATAGGACTCAGCTTCCCTTTGTAGTTCTTCCACTCTCCGCCCCTCAGATACTTCTAACTCACTGGAAGGAGATATTCTACCACTTTCCCATATTTCTTTCATTTTATTTAGTGAACACTGTGGTCTGCCACCCAGCTAGTCTCCTTCAAGACTGAAAAACAGTCCTGAGAGTGTTAATGACCCATAGCTGAGTGTGTCCTCACCCGCTTCCTCCACTCCCCGTGATCACCTTCAGCTGAAGAGAGCTACCTCCCTTCCAATGACAAATTGATATAAGAATATGAAGTCCTGGTCCTCTTGCTACAATTTGGGACAACTCTGAAGGGCCATTTTAGCTCTGGAGAATTCCCGCAAGATTGACTGAGGCCTCTGTTACAACCATATTGTGGTTCAACTCCTCCCTCTTCCCAATCCTCCTTCCTTCACTTGCTTATGGGAGCTGATCTCCCAAGCAAGCCTCAATAAGCTCTCTGTGCAAATATCCATTTCAGAGTCAGCTTTTGGGGGAAGCTGGTCTATGGAAGCTAGGTCCCTATGATAGTTGGTGCTGGAAGTGGTCTGAGAAAGCTGACTCAAAAAACTGGATTTCATAGCCAGCTTACCAACTGGCCAGCTGGCAGTGAGAACCCCATCACTGGTAATAGGTGGAGCATGTACAGCCCCCAGCATATAGTAGGGGTGCAGTTGTTAAAACTGCTGGTGAACTAGGATGACTGATGAAAGGTATATTATTAGTCCATTTTCACGCTGCTGATAAAGACATATCTGAGACTGGGCAATTTACCAAAGAAAGAGGTTTAACTGGACTCACAGTTGCATGTGGCTAGGGAGTCCTCACAATCATGGTGGAAGGCAAGGAGGAGCAAGTCACATCTTATGTGAACGGTGGCAGGCAAAGAGAGGGCTTGTGCAGAAAGACTCCCATTATTATTATTACTATTATTTTTTGAGATGGAGTCTCACTCTGTCACCCAGGCTGGAGTGCAGTGGCACGATCTCAGCTCACTGCAACCTCTGCCTCCCAGGTTCAAGTAATTCTCCTGCCTCAGCCTCCTGAGTAGCTGGCATTACAGACGTGCTCCACCACGCCCAGCTAATTTTTGTGTTTTTAGTAGAGACTGGGTTTCAACATGTTGGTCAGACTGGTCTCAAACTCCTGACCTCATGATCCACCCGCCTTGGCCTCCCAAAGTGCTGGGATTACAGGCATGAGCCACCGCGCCCAGCCGAGACTCCCATTTTTGAAACCATCAGATCTCGTGAGACCCATTCACTATCACGAGAATAGCACCAGAAAGACCTACCCCCATGATTCAGTCATCTCCCACCAGGTTCCTCCCTCAACACTTGGGAATTATGGGAGCTACAAGATGAGATTTGGGTGGGGACACAGAGCCAAACCATGTCATTCCATCTCTGACCCCTCCCAAATCTCATATCTTCACATTTCAAAACCATTCATGCCTTTCCAACAGTCCCCCAAAGTCTCAGCTCATTTCATCATTAACTCAAAAGTCCACGGTCCAAAGTCTCATCTGAGACAAGGCAAGTCCCTTCCACCTATGAGCCTGTAAAATCAAAACCAAGTCAGTTACTTCCTAGATACAATGGGGGTACAGATATTGGATAAATACAGCCATTCCAAATGGGAGAAACTGGCCACAACAAAGGGGCTACAGACCCATGCAAGTCCAAAATCCAACGGGATGGTCAAATCTTAAAGCTCCAGAATGATCTCCTTTGACTCCATCTCTCACATCCAGGTCACGCTGATGCAAGAGGTGGCCTCCCATGGCCTTGGGAAGCTCTGCCCTTGCGGCTTTGCAGGGTATAGCCCCCCTCCTGGCTGCTTTCATGGGCTGGCATTGTCTGTGGCTTTTCCAGGTGCACGGTGCAAGCTGTCAGTGGATTTACCATTCTGGGATCTGGAGGACAGTGGCCCACTTCTCACAGCCCCACTAGGCCATGCCCCAGTAGGGACTCTGTGTGGGGACTCTGACCCCACATTTTCCTGCTGCATTGCCCTAGCAGAAGTTCTCCATGAGGGCCCTGCCCCTGCAGCAAACTTCCGCCTGGATACCCAGGCATTTACATACATCGTCTGCAATCTAGGCAGAGATTCCCAAACCTCAATTCTTGACTTCTGTGCACCCACAGGCTCAACACCACATGGAAGCTACCAAGGCTTGGGGCTTGCAGCGTCTGAAGCAACAGCCCTAGCTGTACCTTGGCCCCTTTTCATGATGGCTGGAGCAGCTGGGATGCAGGGCACCAAGCTTCTAGACTGCACCCAGCAGAGGGACCCTGGGTCTGGCCCACGAAACCATTTTTACTCCTAGGCCTCAGGGCCTGTGATGGGAGGGGCTGTTGCAAAGGTCTCTGACATGCTCTTAACACTCACTTCCTTGTTACTCATGCAAATTTCTGCAGCCAGCTTGAATTTCTTCAGAAAATGGGATTTTCTTCTCTCTTGCATTATCAGGCTGTGAATTTTCCAAACTTTTATGCCGTGTTTCCCTTTTAAAACTGAACGCCTTTAACAGTCATCTCTTGAATGCTTTGCTGCTTAGAAATTTCTTCCACCAGATGCCCTAAATCATCTCTCTCAAGCTCAAAGTTCCACAAATTTCTAGGGCAAGGGCAAAATGCCACCAGTCGCTTTGTTAAAATACAACAAGAGTCACCTTTGATCCAGTTCCCCATCTCCATCTGAGACCACCTCGGCCTGGACCTTATTGTTCATATCACTATCAGCATTTTTGTCAAAGCCATTCAACAAGTCTCTAGGAAGTTCCAGACTTTCCCACATGTTCCTGTCTTCTTCTGAGCCCTCCAAACTGTGTGAAACATAAACCACAACAGGGGTAGAAACATATCCTTACCCTCTGCCTGTTACCAGTTCCAAAGGCGCTTCCACATTTTTGGGTGTCTTTTCAGCAGCACCTGACTCTACTGGTACCAATTTGCTGTATTACTCTGTTTTCACGCTGCTGATAAAGACATGCCTGAGACTACGAAATTTACAAAAGAAAGAGGTTTAGGCTGGGTGTGGTGGCTCACACCTGTAATCCCAGTATTTTGGGAGGCCGAGGCAGGCTGATCGCTTGAGGTCAGGAATTTGAGATGAGCCTGGCCAACCTGGTGAAACTCTGTCTCTACTAAAAATACAAAAATTAGCTGGGTGTGGTGGCATGCACCTGTAATCCCAGCTACTCAGGAGGCTAAGGCAGGAGAATTGCTTGAACCCAGGAGGTGGAGGTTGCAGTGAGCCGAGATTGTGCCACTGCACTCCAGCCTGGACAGCAGAGTGAGACCCTGTCTCAAAAAAAAAAAAGAAGAAAGTAAGAGGTTTAATTGGACTCACAGTTCCACATGGCTGGGGAGGCCCCACAATTATGGTGGAAGGCAAGAAGGAGCAAGTTGCATCTTACGTGGATGGTGGCAGGCAAAGAGAGGGCTTGTGGGGAGGGACTCCTGTTGTTAAAACCATCAGATATTGTGAGTCCTATTCACTATCACAAGAACAGCACGGGAAAGACCTGCCCCCATGATTCTCACCAGGATTCTCCCACAACACATGGGAATTATAGGAGCTACAAGATGAGATTTGGATGGGGACACAGAGCCAAACCATATCAGAAGGGAATGAATGACCTTTAAGTAATTTTGTGGAAATAGGCCCGGTGCGGTGGCTCACACTTACAGCGCTTTGTAATCCCAGCACTTTGGGAGGCCAAGGGGTCGGGGGGGGGTGGATCACCAAAGGTCAGGAGTTCAAGACCAGCCTGGCCAACATGGTGAAACTCCGTCTCTACTAAAAATACAAAAAATTAGCTGGGCATGGTGGTGGGTGCCTGTAATCCCAGCTACTCCAGAGGCTGAGGCAAGAGAATTGCTTGAACCCAGGAGGCAGAGGTTGCAGTGAGCCAAGATCATGCCACTGCACTCCAGCCTGGGGAACTGAGTGAAATTCTGTCTCAGGAAAAAAAAAAAAAAAAAAAAAAAGAAATATTGTGGAAATAGTCAAAAGATAATGAATTTGGATGGTTGGTTGTTTCTTGGGGCGCTCAGTAGTTAGGAGAAGGACAAAGGCTTAGAATGATGAATCACCAACTGGGGGTTAAGTGTGAAAACCAGAGGGGCCTCCTTGGCACCTTATTAAGAGACTCATCTACAGTGTGTCAGTAGCTTTGAGGATCTGGCCTAGGAATTGCCAGAGTAGCGGAGCTCCAGGGGAGGTCGAACAGTCAACCTCAATAACCTGGTCTGTTATGCTAATGTCAGGCCCCTAACTGGATTGGAAAAGAGGGGGACTCTGAGATAAGGGATGGAGACAACTGGATCCATGTACTTAAGAATCTTGAAGTTGGCCGGGTGCAGCGGCTAACGCCTGTAATCCCAGGACTTTGGGAGACCGAGGCAGATAGATCATGAGGTCAGGAGATCAAGAACATCCTGGCTAACATGGCGAAATCCCGTCTTTACTAAAAATACAAAAAATTAGCCAGGCATGATGGCAGGTGCCTGTAGTCCCAGCTACTTAGGAAGCTGAGGCAGGAGAATGGCATGAACCCAGGAGGCGGAGCTTGCAGTGAGCCGAGATCGCGCCACTGCACTCCAGCCTGGGATTCAGTCTCAAAAAAAAAAAAAAAAAAAAAAAAAAAATCTTGAAGTCAAGATCCCCCTGAAACCTTAGATTTTATAGAAGTGTTAAAGAATACCCTTACCTTGCCTGAAGATGATTCTACAGAGATGTCTGCCTTATAAGGCAACGTGAACAACGTGAACAACTAATAAGGATTAGTAAAAGAGGAGGTAGAACAACGTGATCTACCTCCACCTCCCCTCCTAATCACCAGACCAATAACTAGGGTTAAAATTACAAAATAATTGGCTAGGGAAATTCACTTGGGAAATAGACCAAACTCTAAAGGAACTACAGGATCTAGCCAGCAAAAACCAGAAAAGTATATATGGGATTGGATCCTGAGGATGCTGGAACAAAGGTTTCATGCGCATCCATGTGAAGAGACTACCAAACAGGCTTTGTGTGAGCAACATGGCTGTTTATTTCACCTGGCTGCAGGCGGGCTGAGTCCGAAAAGAGAGTCAGCAAAGGGTGGTGGATTATCATTAGTTCTTACAGGTTTTGGGATAGGCAGTGAAGTTAAGAGCAATGTTTTGTGGGCAGGGGTGGATCTCACAAAGTACATTCTCAAGGGTGGGGAGAATTACAAAGAACCTTCTCAAGGGTGGGGGAGATTAGAAAGTACGTTATTAAGGGTGGGGGAGATTACAAAGTACATTGATCAGTTAGGGTGAGGCAGAAACAAATCACAATGGTGGAATGTCATCAGTTAAGGCTATTTTTACTTCTTTTGTGGATCTTCAGTTACTTCAGGCCATCTGGATGTATACGTGCAAGTCACAGGGGATGCAATGGCTTGGCTTGGGCTCAGAGGCCTGACAAGTTTGTCTTAGCCCATTTTCTGTTGCTATAACAGAATATCACATACTGGGTAATTTATAAAAAATTATTTGGCTCAAGACTCCGGAGGCTGGGAAGTCCAAGGGCGTAACAGCAGCTTCTGGCATACAAAGTGTACTGCTTCATAATATGTCAGAAAAGTGGAAGGGCAAGCAGGTGCAAGGGAAAGAGAGAAAATCAAGTGAACTCATCCTCTTATGGAGAGCCCACTCCCACAATAGCTAATCCCCTCCTACAATAACAGCATTAATCCATTCATGAGGGCACAGCCCTCATGGCATAATTACCTCTTAAAGGCCCCATCTCTTAATATTGTTATAATGGCAATTAAGTTTCCAACACATGAACTTTGGGGGGGGACACATTTAAACCACAACAGGGGTGGAAACATACAGTTGGAGAAGAAATAACTTATCAATATGGAAGCACTCTCCTGAGATACAGGATTTAAGACCCCAGCAAGGACCTGGAGAGCAGGTGCTAATATGCTGTTAGGATGACCTTTGGAAGTCTGGAGGAAGCAGCAAGCCCCACTAAGTGAAGTAAGTGTGGGGAAAAGAAAGAGAGATCAGATTGTTAATGTGTCTGTATAGAAAGTAGACATAAGGGACCCCATTTTAATCTGTAACCTTACCCCCAACCCTGTGCTCCCTGAGACATGTGCTGTGTCAACTCAGGGTTAAATGGATTAAGGGCTGTGCAAGATGTGATTTTTTAAACAGATGCTTGAAGGCAGCATGCTCCTTAAGAGTCATCACCACTCCCTAATCTCAAGTACCCAGGGACACAAAACACTGCGGAAGGCCTCAGGGACCTCAGCCTAGGAATGCCAGGTATTGTCCAAGGTTTCTCCCCATGTGATAGTCCGAAATATGGCCTCATGGGAAGGGAAAGACCTGACTGTCCCCCAGCCCGACACCCGTAAAGGGTCTGTGCTGAGGAGGATTAGTAAAAGAGGAAGGAATGCCTCTTTGCAGTTGAGACAAGAGGAAGGCATCTGTCTCCTGCCCGTCCCTGGGCAATGGAATGTCTCGGTGTAAAACCCGATTGTATGTTCCATCTACTGAGATAGGGGAAAACCGCCTTAGGGCTGGAGGTGGGACATGCGGGCAGCAATATTGCTCTTTAAGGCATTGAGATGTTTATGTATATACCTATCTAAAGCACAGCACTTAATTCTTTACCTTGTTTATGATGCAGAGACCTTTGTTCACGTGTTTATCTGCTGACCTTCTCTCCACTATTATCCTATGATCCTGCCACATCCCCCTCTCGGAGAAACACCCAATAATGATCAATAAATACTAAGGGAACTCAGAGGCCGGTGTGGATCCTCTGTATGCTGAACTCCGGTCCCCTGGGCCCCCTTTCTGCTTTCTCTATACTTTGTCTCTCTGTCTCTTTCTTTTCCAAGTCTCTCAATCCACCTAACGAGAAACACCCACAGGTGTGGAGGGGCAACCCACCCCTTCAGTAAGAAATGCTAGAACTGCTGTGGCAAAGGGTGGAAGAAAGATGAAAAGACTCAGGGAAATGGGCATACTGAGTGGATGTGCCACATAAGGCCAGAAAACCCATCAGATGACTGTTCTGCAAGAGGGCCCAGAAGACATGCCATTGATCAAAGCAATGAGGAAAGCTCTGGTGACAAATACCCTTACATCATTCAGCAGCTCTCTGATGGCTGTCCTCTAAAGGTCAGGGCTTCCAGCAGGAGATGCAGTCACAGAACTCAGCTCCCTGGTAGAAATGGAAATGATAGGATTCTAGTATAATAGAGGCCAGGACACTTAATCATCAGAAACAAGATGGGGCCGGGCATGGTGGCTCATGCTTGTAATCCCAGCACTTTGGGAGGCTATGAGCGGATCGCCTGAGGTCAGGAGTTCAAGACCAGGCTAATCAACATGGTGAAACCTGGTCTTTACTAAAAATACAAAAATTAGCCAGGCGTAGTGGCGGGCGCCTATAATCCCAGCTACTCAGGAGGCTGAGGCAGTAGAATTGCTTGAACCTGGGAGGCGGAGGTTGCAGTGAGCCAGGATCGCGCCACTGCATTCCAGCCTGGGTGACAGAGTGAGACTCCATCTAAAAAAAAAAAAAAAAAAAGTAAAGAATAACAAGATGGGCACAAAAGTCATGAGTGACAAGGTGAGAATGGTGGCAAAGGGAGCCTGATGTGCACAGAACTATGGAGATGGTTAACAAAACATGGCTTCTCTAGAGTCAAGATAAATGGACAATCAGTAAGGTGTTAATCGATACAGTCAGAAAAAATTAAAGCACCCCAATAGATTGTCATGATGCCTTGGCCAGTTTCTGAACTGGAGCCAGTTTTTATACCCAGATTGGAGGAGAAACTGGGTCCTGGGAGGAAGGAAACTGCAGCCTTCAGCAAGTGTGCGTAGTAATGATTCCCCATTCCTTCTCCTTAAAGGACTATGACCATTCACTTGGGTGAGCATCCGCCAGGCAAAGGGCTACACCCCAGCATTCCAAGGACTGTTGGACACAGCATCTGAGTTCACATTGCTATATCCTAGGACCCAAATTGTCATCACTACCCCTCCCCCAACTGCCCATTAGAGGATGTTAATATGTGGAGACCAAGAAATAAATGAAGTTGGTCGGGTACTGTGGCTCACGCCTGTAATCCCAGAACTTTGGGAGGCTGAGGTGGGCGAATCGCAAGGTCAAGAGATCGAGACCATCCTGGCCAACATGGTGAAACCCTGTCTCTACTAAAAATACAAAAATTAGCTGGGCATGGTGGCGCATGCCTGTAGTCCCAGCTACTCGGGAGGCTGGGGCAGGAGAATCACTTGAACCCAGGAGACGGAGGTTGCAGTGAGCTGAGATTGCGCCACTGCACTCCAGCCTGGCGACAGAGTGAGACTCGGTCTCAAAAAAAAAAAAAAAAGACAGAAAGAAATGAAGTCTTGAGTCACAACCAGCTCACAGTGTGTCAGGGGTCCATGGTCATTTCTCAACCCCCAAATATATCATTCGATGGACCTACTTGGAGTTGGCGAACCCCCACATTAGTCTCTTAACCTGTGACATATCATAGTGAGAAAGCCTATCGAGAAGCCTCTAACCCGCTTCTTACTCTTTTTTTTTTTTTTTTTTTTTTTTTTTTTGACGGTAAATGCGGGGGATTTTATTGCCAGTGAAAGTGGCTCTCAGCAGGAAGGGGAGGTGAAAAGGGGAGGGGACGGGAAGGTAGTCTTCCCCTGAAATCCGGCCATCTCCAGCCAGATTATTCTCTGAGATTACCCTGTCAAGCTGTCCGTCTGAAGTCAAGCCACTTCTCTCTGACATCCAGACGCAGTCTTCAACGTCCAGCTGCTTCTCCTCTTTCTGCTGGCTGAGTATGGGGTTGTTTTTTTTTTTTTTTTTTTTTTTTTTTTTTTTTTTTATTATACTCTAAGTTTTAGGGTACATGTGCACATTGTGCAGGTTAGTTACATATGTATACATGTGCCATGCTGGTGCGCTGCACCCACTAATGTGTCATCTAGCATTAGGTATATCTCCCAATGCTATCCCTCCCCCCCGGCTTCTTACTCTTTACTGGCCAAACAGAAAATTGAAAACACCATCACATCCTGCGAGGAAGGGCAGAGATAAGCGGCACCCTTAAAGACAGAATGAATGCACAGGTGGCAATCCCCATTCTGTGTCCTTTCAGTTTTCCAGTCTAACCCCTACCAAAACCAGACAGGGTCTAGAGAGTGACAGTGAACTGCTGAACACACACCAAGTGGTAGCCTCAATTGCAGCTGTGATGCCACTTAAGGTGTCTCTGCTAAAAGAGACTGACATGGCCCCAGGCCTGTGATAGGTGCTACTGGCCTAACAAATGCATTCTTTTCTCTCCTTATCAGAATCAGTTGACATCCACTTAGGATGGACAATAGTATTACAGCTTTTCTCCAGGCTCTGTTAACTCTTCCTCTTCTGTCAGGAGACATCCCAAAAGCAGCTGGACCATCTGGACATCCTGCAGAGCATCCCACTAGGCCACAATATTGATGACAGGAGGTGAATCAGACAAAATGAACAAGAGGTGACAAGTATATAGAGGGACTTGGTAAGACTCATGCTCCAAAGAGCCAGAGAGAAACTCTGTGAAGATCTAGGGCCTGGCAGATCAGTGAAGGTTTTAGAGGGCCTGGCCTGAAGCATGCTGGGACATTCCTTACAAAGTAAAGATCAAAATACTGTTTATTTTCTTTTTCTTTCTTTCTTTTTTTTCTTTTTTTTGGGACGGAGTCTCACTCTGTGGCCCAGGCTGGAGTGTAATGGCGCGATCTCAGCTGACTGCAACCTCCACCTCCCAGGTTCAAGCAATTCTCCTGCCTCAGCCTCCTGAGTAGCTTGGACTACAGGTGCCCACCACCACACCCAGCTAATTTTTGTATTTTTAGTAGAGACGGGGTTTCACCACATTGGCCAGGCTGGTCTTGAACTCCTGACCTCCTCAGCCTCCCAAAGTGCTGGGGTTACAGGTGTGAGCCACTGCACCCAGCCCAAAATATTATTTCTCACAACTTCCCCATGACAAAAGAAACACAATGCCCCTTCGGTTCTGGTGATAGTACATCTCACACCTGGGAATGCTGTGTTGACCTATGTACCAAGAGCCATGGAAGGCTGCCCCAGGAAAGGACTCGGTGACGTCACCCTGATACCAAATGCAGATTTTGTAAACCTTGATTTTACAACTCTTTACATTTGTCAAAACTCATGAAACTGTACACTTAAAAATAATGTTATTCTATGTGAATTATATGTCAATAAACTTGATTTTACAAAATTAGCTGTATTAGGCTGGACAAAGGCAGTGGCTGTTAGTTTGGAGAAACAAGGATACACACCAGAGATATTAAGAAGTTGGAATTAAAGAACTTAGGCTGGGCGCGGTGGCCCACACCTGTAATCCTAGCACTTTGGGAGGCTGAGGCAGGCAGATCACTTGAGGCCAGGAGTTCGAGACCAACCTGGGCAGCATGGCGAAACCCCATCTCTACTAAACATAGAAAAAATTAGCTGGGTATGGTGACACATGCCTGTAATCCCAGCAATTCCGGAGGCTGAGGCATGAGAGTTGCTTGAGCCCAGGAGATTGAGGTTGCAGTGAGCTGAGACTGCACCACTGTACTCCAGCCTGGGTGACAGAGCAAGACTCTGTTTCAAATAATAATAATAATAATAATAAAGAACTAAAAAGCACTGTAATCTGAGCTATAGCAAATTGCTTCTTTTCCTCATACACCCACTCATTAAATTGGAAATAGAAGTTGTCTTCATTATATGGAAAAAATAATTTTGGTCAGTCCAGCATTAATATAGTAAAAGGAGGGTTAAGATAGCTATGCGGATAATTTTCTGTTTTAATTATGTATGAATAAACTTTACAATACAATGTTTTTAAGACACATTATCATTTCTTTGATGATAGCATCATCCTGTGTTAACAACTAAGTTAAGGTTTTAAATTCACCTATGAGCTGCTCACCTTTTGAAAATTAAACACTGGGTGGGTTGCAGTGGCACATGCCTATAACCTTAGGACCCTGGGAGGCTGAGGCTGGCAGATGGCTTGAGCCCAGGAGTTTGAGACCAGCCTGGGCAACATGGTGAGTCTACATCTCTACAAAAAAATTTAAAATTAGCCAGGCATGGTGGTATGTACCTGTAATCTCAGCTACTAGGGAGGGGAGGATCACCTGAGCCCAGTGAAGCAGAGTCATTGTCTGGGGTAAATACCCAGGGTTTGTCATCTCACACCAAGAAGATTAAGGACATGGACACACATGAGAAGTGAGTTTAGGAGGGAAGCTTTAATAGAAAAAAAAAAAGAGAGAAAGGAGAACAGCTTTCTCCCTTGCCAGAGAAAGGGGCTTCCAAAAGGAAAACCATGCCCTCCAGGGACTGCACTATATTTTATAGGCAGGCTTGAGGAGGTGGTGTCTGATTTACATAGGACCCACAGATTGGTTCCATCAGGTGTGACATTTACATAGTGTGCTGGGAAGGCTGGTTGCCCCACCCTAATCTTATTATGCAAATAGGATCTTTGCCTGGCCGGGGATCCCTTTTGTCCTCTCCTTATTGTACTCATGGTTTGGCAAAGAGAAGGGAAGATGAAGCCACCATTTTGAGCCTGCTTGTTCCCAGGTAGCCTTTTCCTATTGGCATAACTGCCGGCATTCACCCGTGCAAGCTTCCAGCTTGCTTATCTATGTCTGCAGCTTGATTTTACAGGCTGCTCTTTGTTAGAAAAGAAAATGATTTTGGGGGTGCTTTTTACTAAAAGGAAAACCTTCCAAGGACTCCTGTACCCTCACTATCTGCCTAAGTAATTTCTTTTCTTTTCTTTTTTTTTTTGAGACAGAGTCTTGCTCTGTCTCCCAGGCTGGAGTGCAGTGACACGATCTGGGCTCACTGCAACCTCCGTCTCCCGGGTTCAAGCGATTATCCCGCCTCAGCCTTCCGAGTAGCCGGAATTATAGATGTGCACCACCATGCCCGGCTAATTTTTGTATTTGTAGTAGAGACGGGGTTTCACCACGTTGGCCAGACTGGTCTCAAACTCCTGACCTCAAGTGATCTGCCTGCCTCCCAAAGTGCTAGGATTACAGGCATGAGCCACCGCACCAGGCCAGTAATTGCTTCTTAACTCCTATATCGCCAGGAAGTTGAGGCTGTGGTGACCTGTTATCATGCCACTGCACTCCAGCCTGGGGGGACAGAACAAGACCCTGTCTCAAAACAAAAATTCTCTGTATATTGACTTTTTACAAACTTGCCGTGAAATAAATAAATATAAAATTTGCCACTTTAACTCTTTTTTTTCTCTTCTTTTTTTGAGATGGAGTTTCACTCTTGTTGCCCAGGCTGGAGTGCAATGGCGTGATCTCAACTCACCGCAACCTCTGCCTCCCAGGTTCAAGCGATTCTCCTGCCTCAGCCTCCCAAGTAGCTGGGGTTACAGGCACCTGCCAACATGCCCGACTAATTTTTGTATTTTTAGTAGAAACAGGGTTTCTCCATGTTGGTCAGGCTGTTCTTGAACTCCCAACCTCAGGTGATCCGCCCAGCTTGGCCTCCAAAAGTGCTGGGATTACTGGCGTGAGCCACCACATCCAGACCCTTCTTTAACCCTTTTTAAGTGCACAACTCAATGGCATTAATGGCATTCAAAATGTGCAATCGTCACCACTATCTATTTTCTAAACTTTTTTTTTTTTTTTTTTTGAGACGGAGTTTTGCTCTTGCTGCCCAGGCTGGAGTGCAATGGCACCATCAGCTCACCACAACCTCCACCTCCCAGGTTCAAGCAATTCCTGCCTCAGCCTCCTGAGTAGCTGGGATTACAGGCATGCACCACCACGCCCAGCTAATTTTGTATTTTTAGTAGAGACGGGGTTTCTCCATGTTGAGGCTGGTCTGGAACTCCTGACCTCAGGTGATCCACCTGCCTCGGCCTCCCAAAGTGCTGGGATTACAGGCGTGAGCCACCGCGCCCGGCCCTATTTTCTAAACTTTTTTCAACACCCCAAACAGGAACTCTGTAACCATTAAGCAGTAAGTGCCCATTTCCCCCTTTCCCCAGCCCCTGGCAATCTTTATTCTACCTTCAGTCTCTATGGATTTGCCTATTCTAGATATTTTGTGTAAATGGGATCAGACAGTAAGTGCCTCTTCATGTCTGGCTTCTTTCACTTAGCATCATGTTTTCAAGGTTCATCCCTTGTAACCTGTGTCAGACATCTTTCCTCTTAAAGGCTGAAGAGCATTCGATTATATGCACGTACCACTTCTGTTCATTCATCTGTTGATGGTCACCTGGGTTGTTTTCTTTTTTGGGTTTTTGCTTTTTTGTTTGTTTGTTTTTTGAGAGGGAGTCTCGCTCTGTCACCCAGGCTGGAGTGCAATGGTGCAATCTCGGCTCACTGCAACCTTCGCCTCCTGGGTTCAAGCAATTCTCCTGCCTCAGCCTCCCGAGTAGCTGGGATTACAGATGCATGCCACCACACCTGGGTAATTTTTGCATTTTTAGTAGAGACAGGGTCTCACCATGTTGACCAGTCTGGTCTCGAACTCCTGGCCTCAGGTGATCCGCCCACCTCGGCCTCCCAAAGTGCTGGGATTACAGGCATGAGCCACCATGCCCAGCCATTTTATTTGGGCTATTGTGACTAGTGACGTTATGAATATGGACATACAGGTATCTGCTTAAGGTCCTGTTTTCAATTATTTTGGGTATATCTGCATTTTGGCTTCTTTTTTTGGAAATAATTATAGTTAGAGGAAATTGCACAGATAGTGCAAAGACCTTTCATGTACCTTTCATTCAGCATGCATATTTTAAAACCAAAAGGATATGTATGTGCAAAGGAGTGATGTGGTAGACCAGGCAGGGACAATTCCTGGTAAAGCTGTTACTATTTAATTTAATTTAATTTATTTATTTATGTATTTATTTATGTATTTATTTTTGAGACAGAGTCTCACTCTGTTGCCCAGGCTGGAGTGCAGTGGCGTGATCTCGGCTCACTGCAAGCTCCGCCTCCTGGGTTCATGCCATTCTCCTGCCTCAGCCTCCTGAGTAGCTGGGACTACAGGCGCCTGCCACCACACCCGGCTATTTTTTTGTATTTTTAGTAGAGACGGGGTTTCACTATGTTGGCCTGGATGGTCTCGATCTCTTGACCTCGTGATCCACCCGCCTCGGCCTCCCAAAGTGCTGGGATTACAGGCATGAGCCACAGCGCCCGGCCTCAGCTGTTACTATTTTATTATGATAATTATTATTTTATTTTATTTTATTTGAGATGGAGTCTTGCTTTGTCGCCCAGGCTGGAGTGCAGTGGCACAATCTTGGCTCACTGCAACCTCCGCCTCCTGGGTTTAAGCGATTCTCCTGCCTTAGCCTCCCGAGTAGCTGGGACTACAGGCACACGCCACCATGCCCGGCTAATTTTTGTATTTTTAGTAGGAACTGGGTTTCACCATTTTGGCCAGGCTGGTCTCGAACTCCTGACCTCAGGTAGCCTGCCCTTCTGAGCCTCCCAAAGTGCTGGGATTACAGGCGTGAGCCAACGTGCCCAGCCGATTATTATTATTTTAGAGACAGGTTCTTGCTCTGTCACCCAGGCTGGAGAGCTCATTGCTCACTGAAGCCTCGAACTTCTGGGCTCACGTGATGCTCCTGCCTCAGCCTCCTGAGTAGCTATGACTACAGCCATGTGCCATCATGCCTGGCTGTGTTTTTTGTTTGTTTGTTTAACTTTTTGTAGAGACAGGATCTCGTCATGTTGCCCAGGCTGATCTTGAACTCCTGGGTTTAAGCAATCCTCCCGTTTTGGCTTCCCAAAGAGCTGGGGTTACAGGCATGAGCCACTGTGCCCAGCCTTACTGTTTTAAATCTTACCCCACTAAACGTAAAGACAATTCCTCAAAAACTCCTATCTTTTTGTACCGATTGCCAAGGAGAGCAAGAGCCAACAGAAGAGGCATTTCTCGTGACCAACGCTATTGGGTCATTTCAGCCACATTGGGTATGTATCGTGTGCATGAGTCCCAGTTGAGCAATTATGATTAAAGTTGGCGCTCCTATTTTCTCAATAGATGGTCTTCGGTCCAAAACCCATTAAGGACGTTTTAGGATTTTAAAACCAAAAAATTGAAAGCTCATTTGGCATCACTGGGTACAAATAAAAAGGGATTATTCGGTATGAATAATAAAAATAGCTAAATAAACATACATTATTTACGTATCCAGAAAAGCACATCTGGGCCAACTTTTCTTCGGAAACTAGGGTGTAGAAATAATGTTCTCGGCCCAGCACAGTGGCTCACGCTGTAATCCCAGCACTTTGGGAGACCGACGCAGGTGGATCACCTGAGGTCAGGAGTTTGAGACCAGCCTGACCAACATGGTGAAACCCCATCTCTGCTAAAAAAACAAAGAATTAGCAGGCGTGGTGGCATGCACCCGTAATCCCAGCTACTCGGGAGGCTGAGGCTGGAGAATCACTTGAACCCGGAAGGCAGAGGTTGAGGTGAGCCGAGATTGTGCCACTGCACTCCAGCCTGGGTGATGGAGTGAGACTCCATTTCAAAAAAGAAACAATGTTCTCAATAAGGACAGCTTTACCTACTAGGAGGAAGAAAGTTGACACAGAAGCACCTTTTCTTAATTTTTTCGTATTGCCATATATACAGCCTTATTTAATGTGTGGCAAGTACCAACTCTATGGTAAAAATCATCTTTGTCTTTAAGAAATCTATTATCGTGGCGAGGAGCGGTGCTTCGGGATGCCTGTAATCCCAGAGCTTTGGGAGGCTGAGGCGGGCTAATCATGAGGTCAGGAGATTGAGACCATCCTGGCTAACACAGTGAAACCCCGTCTCTACTAAAAATACAAAAAAATTAGCCGGGCATGGTGGCGGGCACCTGTAGTCCCAGCTACTTGGGAGGCTGAGGCAGGAGAATGGCGTGAACCCGGGAGGCGGAGCTTGCAGTGAGCCGAGATCGCGCCACTGCACTCCAGCCTGGGTGACAGAGCGAGACTTCATCTCAAAAAAAAAAAAAAAAAAAAAAGAAATCTAATATCTCTAAATTTAGTACCCCGTTCAATTTAATACCTTAACTTGAACTTTGGACATTTTTCTTGAACTATGAGGGAAAACTTTCTAGTTTCATAATGATTTTCTTTTTTAAATGCTTAAATGTCATTTGCAAGTACAGAAACTAAAAACGATTAAAGAAATATGATGTAGACTAATTTTATTTGATCGAGCTTTTAGCATTAGATTCAATTAGAATTTTTGAGGATTTTAAGAATTAAGTAACTTTAAAAGAGCTAACTCACCTTCAAGAAAAAGCAACAGGCCAGGCACGGTGACTCATGCCTGTAATCCCAGCACTTTGGGAGGCTGAGGTGGGCAAATCACCTGAGGTCAGGAGTTCGAGACCATCCTGGCCAACATGGTGAAACTCTATCTCTACTGAAAATACAAAAACTAGCCGGGGCGTGGTGGTGTATGCCTGTAATCCCAGCTACTCGGGAGGCTGAGGCAGAAGAATCGCTTCAACTCAGGAGGTGGAGGTCGCAATCAGCCGAGATCAAGCCACTGCACTCCAGCCTCGGCGACAGAGCAAGACTCCATCTCAAAAATAAATAAATAAAGGAATAAAATTCTTCTTAAAATGCACATCATGTCAGCTACTACTGAATGCACAATACAGCTCCTCACTACAGAATACTAAACAGCTGGTTTCCTGGTGCTGCCCCATTGCTTTCCATTGTATATAGAGTGCAGTGCAGCTGTTTCATTCAATATTCCCGCTTAATGGACCTGCTACAGAAGACCACATATCCTTCACCTTTTGGAATGCAAATCTTAGAAGAATAATGTGATTTTCTTCTGCTGTCAATACCTAGGGATTACAGTAAGAGTGTGGAAATAAATTCTTCCTCTAAAATTTAGATTATGGGGCCAGGTGCGGTGGCTCACGCCTGTAATCCCAGCACTTTGGGGGATGGAGGTGGGCGGATCACTTGAGGTCAGGAGTTTGAGACCAGCCTGGCCAACGTAGTGAAACCCCGTCTCTACTAAAAATACAACAATTAGCTGGGCATGGTGGCTCGTGGTTGTAGTCCCAGCTACTCGGGAGGCTGAGGCAGGAGAATCGCTTGAACCCAGGAGGCGGAGGTTGCAGTCAGCCAAGATTGCGCCACTGTACTCCAACCTCGGCGACAGAGGAGACTCTGTCTCAAAAAAAAAAAAAAAAATTTGGTGTATCCATGTCATAGAATATTACTCAGCAATACTGATATATGTTATAAGGAGAGTGAAACTTGAAACATTATGCTGGCTGGGCGCGGTAGCTCATGATCGTAATCCCAACACTTTGGGAGGCTGAGGTGGGTGAATCGCTTGAGCCCAGGAGCTCAAAACCAGCCTGGGCAATGTGACGAAACCCCGTCTCTACAAAAAATGTGAAATAATTAGCTGAGCATGGTGGTGTGCATCTGTAATCCCAGCTACTCAGGAGGCTGAGGCCAGAGGATCACTGAAGCCTGGGAGGTGGAGGCTGCAGTGAGCCAAGATCATGCCACTGCACTCCAGCATGGACAACAGAGCAAGATGCTGTAAGAAAAAGGAAATAAAAGGAAAGAAAAGGAAAAGAAAGGAAAGGAAGGGAAGGGAAAGGGGAAGGGGAAGGGGAAGGGGAAAGTAAGTGTCTACATTATGGCAAGTGAAAGAAGTTAGACACAAGAGGTCTCATATGGTATGATTCCATTTGTATAAAATATCCAGAATAGATAAATTCACTGAATCAAAAAGCAGATTGGGAGTTGCCAGGGGCTAGGGGGAGGAGGGAATGAAATTCCTTCTGCTTAATGGATAAAGGATTTTTTTTTGAGGTAGTGAAAGTGTTTTGGAACTAGATAGAAATGGTGGTTGCACAACGCTGTAGATGTTCTAAATTCTGCTGATTTGTTCACTTTAAAATGGTTAATTTTCTGTAACATGAATTTCACCTAAATTTTTTTTTTGTTTTTTGAGATAGAGTCTCGCTCTGTTGCCCAGGCTGGAGTGCAGTGGTGTGATCTCGGCTCACTGCAACCTCTGCCTCCTGGGTTCAAGCAATTCTCTGCCTCAGCCTCCCGAGTAGCTGGGATTACAAGCGCCCACCACCACGCCCAGCTAATTTTTGTATTTTTAGTAGAGACGGGGTTTCACCATCTTGGCCAGGCTGGTCTTGAACTCCTGACCTTGTGATCCACCTGCCTCGGCCTCCCAAAGTGCTGGGATTACAGGCCTGAGCCACCGCGCCCAGCACACCTTATTTTTTTTTAAAAGATAATGTCATGACTGATGCAAGTATAAAATACATACATATCAAATATTTTATTCAACTTATTAATTAATGAATTAACCAGTAAGATGTTAAAATTAGTTCAAAGGGTATTTGAGAAGCTAGGATATTTATATGAGGATAGATTGCTAGTTAGATAAAAATATCAAAGTCCAACAGGGCCATACGCTGTTACGTCTTAAGGTTATCTGTTTTGCCACATAAGAATTATTTGCACGTCTAGAGGACAAAAATCTATAAATGAATCTCTGATCCTACAGAATTTTTTTTTTTTTTTCGAGACAGACTCTCACTCTGTTTCCCAGGCTGGAGTGCAGTGATGCGATCTCAGCTCACTGCAAGCTCTGCCTCCTGAGTTCACGCCAATCTCCTGCCTCAGCTTCCCGGGTAGCTGGGACTACAGGTGCCTGCCACCATGCCCGGCTAATTTTTTTGTATTTTTAGTAGAGACGGGGTTTCACCGTGTTAGCCAGGATGGTCTCGATCTCTTGACCTTGTGATCCGCCCGCCTTGGCCTCCCAAAGTGCTGGGATTACAGGCGTGAGCCACGGTGCCCATCCGATCCTACAGAATTTTAAAATAGCCCAGACAGTAGAAAGTCAAGCCCAGCATTACACTGAAAATAACTCCAGTAACCTCCTTTTTTTTTTTTTTTGAGACTGAGTTTCACTCTTGTTGCCCAGGCTGGAGTGCAATGGCACCATCTCGGCTCACCGCAACCTCCGCCTCCTGGGTTCAAGCGATTCTCCTGCCTCAGCCTCCCATGTAGCTGGGAGTACAGGCGAGTGCCACCATGCCTGGCTAATTTTGTATTTTTAGTAGAGATGGGGCTTCTCCATGTTGGTCAGGCTGGTCTTGAACTCCTGACCTCAGGTGTTCTGCCCACCTCGGCCTCCCGAAGTGCTGGGATTACAGGCATGAGCCACCACATCCGGGCTAGTAATCTCTTTTATCTATTTTCAAGTTTTGGGTACTTTTTTGCCATCTTACATGTCTGTCAGGAGAGGATGGGTTGGTCATATGTTTTCCTGGATGACTGTTAGATTTCTTATTAGTGATCAGTAAATGGTCATTCTGGTTTTATTTATTTATTTATTTATTTATTGAGATAGAGTGTTGCTCGGTCACCAAGGCTGGAATGCAGTGGCACAATCTCAGCTTACCGCAACCTGCGCCTCCTGGGTTCAAGCAATTCTCGAGCCTCAGCCTCCAGAGTAGCTGGGATTACAAATGCCCAACACCACACCTGGCTAATTTTTGTGGTTTTAGTAGAGACAGGGTTTCTCCATGTTGGCCAGGCTGGTCTCGAACTCCTGACCTCAGGTGATCTGTCTGCCTCAGCCTCACAAAATGCTGTGATTACAGGTGTGAGGTCATTCCGGTTTGTTGTTGTTGTTGTTGTTGTTGTTGTTGTTTTGGAGATGGGGTCTCACTCTGTTGCCCAGGCTGGAGTGCAGTGGCACGATCTTGGCTCACTGCAACCTCTGCTTCCTGGGTTCAAGCAATTCTCCCACCTCAGCCTCCTGAGTAGCTGGGATTACATGGGCACGCGACCATGCCCAGCTAATCTTTTTTGCATTTTTAGTAGAGATGGGGTTTCAACATGTTGGCCAGGCTGGTCTCAAACTCCTGACCTCAGGTGATTCACCTGCCTTGGCCTCCCAAAGTGCTGGGATTACTGGGTTGAGCCACCATGCCAGGCTGTCATTCTGGTTTTATACGCCAGTGGATGGATAATGGATATCCATTTGTGAAAGACTGATACGCTGTTAATGAGTTGGAAACACTGGGTTTCTGTGCCTATAAGGCCAGAGGTCAGACTTGTTTTCTAGAAAATTCAGCAAGGTAACAAGTGTGACCTGGTAAAATCTTTCCTGATGGACAGTTTTTTGGCCTCCCTGAATCAAAGACTTTTCCTCTGCATTATAACCTCTACATTATAAATGTTTTCAAGAGAGAAGAGAGTCCTTTTCTTTTTTCTTTTTCTTTTTTTTTTTTCTTTGAGAAAGTCTCGCTTTGTCACCCAGGCTAGAATGCAGTGGTGCGATCTTGGCTCACTGCAACCTCTGCCTCCTGGGTTTAAGCAATTCTCCTGCCTCAGCCTTCCCAGTAGCTGGGACTGCAGACACATACCACCGCGCCCAGCTAATTTTTGTATTTTTACTAGAGACGGGGTTTCACCATGTTGGCCAGGCTGGTTTTGAACTCCTGACCTTAAGTGATCTGTTCACCTCTGGGCTTTTTTAAAATTCTGTAGAATCTGAGATTCATTTGTAGATATTTCTCCACTAGAGATGCAAATAATTCCTGTGTGGCAAAACAGATAACCTTAAGACATAACAGGGATATCCCCAAGTTCTGGAATTAGAGGCGTGAGCCGCCGTGCCCAGCCATTTTTTGAGACAGGGTCTCTCTCTGTTACCCAGGATGGATTGCAGTGGCACGATCATGGCTCACTGCACCCTTGACCTCCGGGGCTCAGGTGATCCTCCCACTTCAACCTCTCAGGTAGCTGGGACCACAGGTGCGCGCCACCACACTTGGCTAATTTTTGTACTTTTTGTAGAGACAGGGTTTCACCATGTTACCCCGGCTGGTTTTTGAACTCCTGGTCTCAAGTAATCTGCCCACCTTGGTCTCCCAAAACTTGGAATTACAGGCGTGAGCCACCATACCCGGCCCCTTTTCTTATTTGGAATTTAACTTCATTTTTGGCCTGGACCATTTTTTTTTCAGAATTTGAACCTAAAATGTTTAATTATGTACATACTTCTCTGGTTTTTGAGATACACTGTATCGTTGAAAGAAGTTTGCTAAACTCCAGTTACTACTGAAGCTTTGATGATCTATTCAGGCAAATTGTTCACTATTTGACACCAGTCTAAGCACACTCAGTTGCCAGGCAGAGGGTGGATGGGATACAAGTGAGTACTGAACATTTATGTCTTTGTGAGGAAGTTCTGTTCCTTCCCATGAGATCATTATCACTCATTTCCTTCCTGGTTTTTAAATTCCCCTGCTATTTGTGAATGTTTATGGCAAGTGTTTCGCGTGGAGGAAAACACTGGCCAGTATTACAGTCAAATGCTCCTTCTGTGAAAGCATTTCCAATCTGGATTAAAACGCTGTAATGGGGCCGGGCGTGGTGGCTCACTCCTGTAATCTCAGCACCTTGGGAGGCCGAGGTGGATGGATCACCTGAAGTCAGGAGTTCCAGACCAGCCTGGCCAAAATAGTGAAACCCCGTGTCTACTAAAAATACAAAAATTAGCTGGAGGTGGCATGCGCCTATAATCCCAGTTACTCAGGAGGCTGAGGCATGAGAATCGCTTGAACTCGGGAAGCAGAGAGGTTTCAGTGAGCCGAGATTGCGCCAGTGCACTCCAACCTGGGCGACAGAGTGAGACCCTGTCTCAAAATAAAAACAGAAACCTCTATCGGTTATAGTAGTTACACCAGCATTTGCTGGAGGTGCATTAGATACTGCGTATTCTGAGATGGTATCATGCTGAAATGTGTATGTTTATGAACTACCTGTTTTGCCTGTAAAGGGATGAACTGACTGTCAAAGCTGTTTCCTTGGAATCCTGGGGTTTGTAATAGAATCATTCAGCTCTGCTACTCAAAGAGAATTTAAATGAAGACAACTGCTGGGAGCCATCTTCACTTCCTTTTTCCAGATGCATCTGAAAACACCAAACCATTCTGTCGTTTTCAAAAGTTAAGTCCTAGAGTATTTCCAGTTACTTTGAGCAAGAAAATATCTAAAGACCTCGCAGGCAAACGGAACCAAGATGAGGCCATTGTGTATCAATGCATCCAAGAAAGAACCTCTACAGAGAACCAGGACCTCAGGACTCTTCCACTGAATAATGTGGAGCATGATTTATTGAGCTGTTTGTTTGGTATTCCTACTGTTATGGATGGCTCAAAAACAAATGAACAAACAGGTATTTTTTTAGGCTGGGTGCGATGGCTCATGCCTGTAATCCCAGCATTTTGGGAGGCCGAGGCAGGCAGATCACCCGAAATCAGGAGTTTGAGACCAGCCTGGCCAACATAGTGAAACCCCATCTCTACTAAACGTGCAAAAATTAGCCGGGTGTGCGCACCTGTAATCCCAGCTACTCAAAAGTCTGAGGCAGGAGAATCGCTTGAACCCGGGAGGCGGAGCTTGCAGTGAGCCAAGATTGCACCACTGCACTCTAGCCTGGGCAACAGAACGAGACTCCGTCTCAAAAAAATAAATAAATGAAATAAAACAAACATATTTTTCCCTCTTTCATTCCAAGAAGTCTTTATGTTTCTGTGCCCCATCGCCCTTTCTTAAAGAGCTATGTGATATGGGCAGAGAGGTGAAGTTATGTACATGATAAGGGCAGAGAGGTGAAGTTATGGGGAGGCTCTGTCTTCTACCCCTGGAGTTGTGTGAAATGAGCAGTTTATTAAGGGAGGCAGATGTTGTGGGAGGCTGGAAAGAGAAGAGGCCGAGCTCCATTGCAAAGGAGGGAATTGCTTACTCTCAACCCTGGGGAAGGAGTTAGTGCCTGCACACTCTGCATCATCAGGGATGTGTGCCGCCCTCCCACACAGCCCCTAGGTTCAGAAAGGGGGTGAGAGAGCTTCAGATATGGTGGGATCAATGTATGCCCCTCCGAAGCAGCAGACCAGGTTTGGCATAGAGGGGCTGGGGCCACCCACTTCTAATAGACACCCAAGGGCTGGCCTGTGCCCATGCAGCCTGAAGGCCAGGCCCCTTCCTGGTTTTTGTTTTTTTGAGTCTTGCTCTGTTGCCCAGGCTGGAGTGCAGTGGTGCTACCTCGGCTCAATGTAGCTTCTGTCTCCCGGATTCTCCTGCCTCAGCCTCCCGAGCAACTGGGATTACAGGCGTGCACCACCATGCCAGGCTAATTTTCGCATTTTTAGTAGCGACAGGGGTTTCGCCACATGGGTCAGGCTGGTCTCGAGCTCCAGACCTCAGGTGATCCACCCGCCTTGGCCTCCCAAAGTGCTGGGGAGGCCTTCCTGGTTTTTGAATTGAGCAAGCTTAAATTCTTACAGTAACCAGACAAGAGGGAAAGCATCCCCAGGAGTAATCAGTTTTGGAATTTCTCATTTACTTTGTAAAGTAGTGGAGGCCTAATGGGATGTCATTTGATTTAGAACAAAAATCAAATTGTAGGATGATTTCTGACCTAAGCATGGGAGAATGAATTTATATCTACTGTATTAGGCAAGGACTGTGCTAGGTCATCTCTGCCTTCCTAGCTCTAAGACTCAGAATTCTCTGAATAGCTTACCAAATTATTGGGGACCCTTGATTTTTTTTTTTTTCTTTTTTGAGACGGAGTTTCACTCTTGTTGCCCAGGCTGGAGTGCAATGGCAAGATTTCGGCTCACCACAACCACCGCCTCCTGGGTTCAAGCGATTCTCCTGCCTCAGCCTCCCGAGTAGCTGGGATTACAGGCATGTGCCACCACTCCTGGCTAATTTTGTATTTTTAGTAGAGATGGGGTTTCTGCATGTTGGTCAGGCTGGTCTCAAACTCCCAACCTCAGGTGATCCGCCTGCCTCAGCCTCCCAAAGTGCTGGGATTACAGGAGTGAGCCACCACGCCTGGCCTTGATTTTTTTTTTTAAACCGGAGTTTCTGGGTCATCAAGGCAGTACTTTTTTCAAACTTAAAAACCTGCTATGTGACCCCTTAATTCACATTTAGACTCTTTTGACCAGGCCTTCGAACCCCAGTAAACTGTATTCTTGTGGTCAGAGAGCTTGATTGAAAAGAGGGCTACATTCTGGTTTCAGCACAGGCAGACTGAATTCATTTCCCAGGGCTGCCGTAACAAATTACCACAAACTTGGTGACTTAAAAACAACAAAAATTAGGCTGGGCACGGTGGCTCACACCTGTAATCCTAGCACTTTGGGAAGCTGTGGCGGGTGGATCATTTGAGATCAGGAGTTCAAAACCAACCTGGCCAACATGGTGAAACCCCGTCTCCACTAAAAATACAAAAAACTAGCCAGGTGTGGTGGCGGGTGCCTGTAATCCCAGCTACTCAGGAGGGTGAGGCAGGAGAATAGCTTGAACCCGGAGGCAGGAGTTGCAGTGAGCTGAGATTGTGCCACTGCACTCCAGCCTGGGTGGCAGAGCTAGCCTCCTTCTCAAAAAAATTAAAAAAAATAAATAAAAACAACAGAAATTTATCCTCTTACAGTTCTATAGGTCAGAGTCCAAAATCAAGGTGTCAGCAGTGCCATGCTCCCTCTGAAGCCTCCAGGGGAGGATCCTTCCTTGTCTCTTCCAGTTTCTGGTGACCCCAACACGCCTTGGCTTGTGGCTGCATTGCTCTAGTCTCTGCCTGTGTCTTCTCATGGCCTTCCTACCTGTGCCTCTTCGGAGTCTCTGTCTATCCTCACCTCTTCTTTTTTAGAGTTAGGGTCTCACTCTTGTTGCCCAGGCTGGAGTGCAGTGGTGTCATCACGGCTCACTGCAACTTCAAACTCCTTGGCTCAAGCAACCCTTCTGCCTCAACTTCCTAAATAGCTGGGACTACAGGTGCACGCCATCATACCTGGCTAATTTTTTTATTTTTAATTTTTTGTAGAGATGGGGTCTCGCTATGGTGTCCAGTCTGGTCTTGAACTCCTGGCCTCAAGTGATCTTCCTGCTCTGGTCTCCCAAAGTGCTAAGATTACAGGTGTGAACCACAGCACCTCCTTGTTCCCCTCCCTTTTCCCCCATGTCAGTATCTACCAGTGCCTGGCCTCTTGGCATTAAGTCTAGTTCTGTTGCTCAGGCTGGAAGCCTGGAGTGCAGTGGTGTGATCTCAGCTCACTGCAAACTCTGCCTCCCAGGCTCAAGTAAGTCTCTTGCCTCAGCCTCCCAAGTAGCTGAGATTACAGCCATGTGCCACCCTGCCTGGCTAATTTTTGTATTTTAGTAGAGACAGAATTTCACTACGTTGGCCAGGCTGGTCTCGAACTCCTGACCTCAGATAATCCACCTGCCTCGGCCTCCCAAAGTGTTGCGATTACAGGCGTCAGCCACCGCGCCCGGCCAGCATTAAGTCTATTTCCTCTCATTGGACTGTTCGCTTGTTGAGGGAAAGGACTGTCATATGCCTCGTTTGTTTCCTGACAACATATATCATGTATATGTTTGCCCACACTTCTTAAAATGAATTAGCTGAATAACTTAGTACTCACTTTTTCTCCTTCACTGTGCTCTTGGAGGGGAATCAAACACAGGGAGTGATGAGTTTAGATCTGATTAATTCAGATTGGCTGTTCACATCGAGTGAATTCTGATGAGCTGTTCAGTCCAACTCCCCACACTGTTCATCTAGGAAACTATCAACTTGGCAGCAGCAAAGAAGAGAAAGTAGGACTTTGGGCTGGAATATCATGAAGTCATAGCTGTTCATCTGTGAAACACTGGATTTAGTGTTGTTTTACTATTTATTTATTTACTTATTTATTCGAGACGCTCTTGTTGCCAAGGCTGGAGTGCAATGGTACGATCTTGTCTCACTGCAACCTCCACCTCCCAGGTTCAAGCAATTCTCCCACCTCAGCTTCTTGTGTAGCTGGGATTACAGGCACATGCCAGCACGCCCAGCTAATTTTTGTATTTTTAGTAGAAACAAGGTTTCACCATGTTGCCCAGGCTGGTCTTGAACTCCTGAACTCAAATCACCCCCCCACAACGGCCTCTCAAAGTGCTGGGATTACAGGCGTGAGCCACCATGTCCAGCCTGTTTTTTTCATTTTGTTTTGAGACGGAGTCTCGCTCTGTCGCCTAGGCCTAGCCTGTTTTAATATTTACATTAATTTTTTTTCTTTTGATGTTTATTGTGCAAATTTGCTTTCAGTTCCTCATTATGCCACGTGTTTGGTTATCACACAGGTTTAATTATGTTGTCTGAACAGAGCATTTGTCTATCCATAACACAGAGTGCATAATTTGGGGTGTTGAAAATGTCTCTCGAAACTGAGTTTCTCCTTTATTTAAAGACATTGTTCTTTAAGTAGTTTGTAGTTGTAGAAATAGTAATAATAGTAATAGTAATAATAATAATAACGTCCCCCAGTGCATCATGCCTCTTAATACCCATGCCCTGGTATAATCCCCTCTCATGGTGACTCTGGGCTTGGCCATGTGATTTGCTTGGCCCATGGGACAACAGCAAGTGGAATGCCAGCAGAGACTTGACAAGAGCCTCTGTATGGGGCTGGTCCTCCTGGAAGGCTGTCTAGGCCATCCTGCTGGAAAGGCCACCCGGAGAGACAGGCCCACTGTCTAGCCATCCCACCTGACCTTGGTCCCAATCTGACCTGCAGCTGAATGTAACCATGAGTGAGCCCAGGCCAGACCAGCAAAAGAACTTCTCAGTCAACACATCAAATGAGAAATAAGAAATTGTTGTTGAAACAATAAGTTGTTGGGATAGTTCGCTAAACAGCAGAGACTAACTAAAATATTAAACTTACTGAATAAACTCATTTATTACATAGCTCTAATTCTAATCTTCATATAACTGCACACCAATTCTTACCTGCAAACATTTTCTTTAATCCCATTCGCAATTTTTCTTTTTGTAGGAATTTTTTTCTCTCTCTTTTTCTAATGCAGATGGTATAAAAGAATGAAAACTAAAAGGGCCTATAATTCTACCACACAGTTAAGTCTGAATTTTAAAAAAAACTGTAAAACAAATCGAATTATACAGGACTGTATAAAATAAAGTCTCCATCCATTACCCTCAACCTGAAACCCTCTCCCCAAAGGAAAACACCTTTAACAAGTTCTTCTTCTTTTTTTTTTTTTTGAGATGGAGTCTCACTCTGTTGCCCAGGCTGGAGTGCAGTGGTGTGATCTCGGCTCACTGCAACCTCTGCCTCCTGGGTTCAAGCAATTCTCCTGCCTCAGCCTCCTGAGTAGCTGGGACTACAGGCGCCCACTACCGCTCCTGGCTAATTTTTGTATTTTTAGTAGAGACAGGGTTTCACCATGTTGGCCAGGCTGGTCTTAAACTCCTGACCTCAAGTGATCCACCTGCCTCAGCCTCCCAAAGTGCTGGGATTACAGGTGTGAGCCACTGCACACAGTGCCAAATTCTTAAATATCTTTTTTTTTTTTTTTTGAGACAGGATCTGGCACTGTCACCCAGGCTGGAGTGCAGCGGTGCCATCTGTACTCACTGCAACCTCTGCCTCCCAGGCTCAAGTAATCCTCCCACCTCAGCCTCCCAAGTAGCTGGGACCACAGACATGCACCACTGTGCCTGACTAATTTTTGTATATTTTGTAGAGATGAGGTTTCGCCATGTTGCCCAGGCTGATCTTCAACTCCTGAGCTCAAGTGATCCACCCGGCTCAGCCTCCCAAAGTGCTGGGATTATAGACATGAGTCACTGCACCTGGCCAAGTTCTCAAATATCTTTTACAAAAAAATTTTAGGAATGTACCAGTAGTAGATTCTGCTCATTGCCTACCTGGTATTCTTTTTCCTCTCACAAGTAGTGGGATCCTACTAAGGAAGGAGACCACTACTACTCCTGCTGCCCTCCTCCCCCCACCTTGCCTAGTTCACAAGACAGGAGGAAAGAGAGAAAGCAAAAAGTTGGGAAGAAACAGAAGTAAGATAAATAGCCAGACAAGCTTGCACCACGACCCGGCCCTAGGAGTTAAAAAAAGTAATAATGATAATATCAACCCCTGACCTAAATTACTTGTGTTATCTGTAAATTCCAGACATTGTATGAAAAAGCACTGCAAAACTTTCTGTTCTGTTAGCTGATGCCTGTAGCTCTCAGTCACGTTCCCCACGCTTGCTCAATTTATTACACCCCTTTCACGTGGACCCCTTAGAGTTATAAACCTTTTAAAAGGCCAATAATTTCTTTTTCAGGGAGCTCGGCTCTGTTTTTTTTTGAGGCAGAGTCTCGCTCTGTTGCCCAGGCTGGAGTGCAGTGGCACCATCTCAGCTCACTGCAAGCTCCGCCTCCCAGGTTCACGCCATTCTCCTGCCTCAGCCTCCCGAGTAGCTGGGACCACAGGCGCCCGCCACCACGCCCGGCTAATTTTTTGTGTTTCTAGCAGAGACGGGGTTTCACCGTGTTAGCCAGGATGGTCGCGATCTCCTAACCTGGTGATCCACCTGCCTCGGCCTCCCAAAGTGCTAGGATTACAGGCGTGAGCCACCGCGCCCGGCCGGGAGCTCGGCTCTTAAGACGCAAGCCTGCTGACGCTCCCGGCTGAATAAACCTCTTCCTTCTTTAATCGTGTGTCTGAGGAGTTTTGTCTGTGGCTCGTCCAGCTACACTACCTTCAATCACAGGTTTGACTTCAGTTAGATTAGACTCTATGTTGGTCCAATCAAACCCAGAGGAAAGGTTTCTGTTCTATGATTGGGGAGCTAGCTTTTCACTCCTTCTTGCTGCATAAAAATATGGAAGCATGGGCCGGGCGCGGTGGCTCCCGCCTGTAATCCCAGCACTTTGGGAGGCAGAGGCGGGCGGATCATGAGGTCAGCAGATCGAGACATCCTGGCTAACACAGTGAAACCCCGCCTCTACTAAAAATACAAAAAATTAGCCGGCGTGGTGCGGGCGCCTGTAGTCCCAGCTACTCGGGAGGCTGAGGCAGGAGAATGGCGTGAACCCGGGAGGCGGAGCTTGCAGTGAGCCGAGATCACACCACTGCCATCCAGCCTGGGCGGCAGAGCGAGACTCCATCTCAAAAACAAACAAACAAACAAACAAACAATGGAGTGCAATGGAGTGATCTCGGCTCACTGAAAACTCCGCCTCCCGGGTTCAAGCGATTCTCCTGCCTCAGCCTCCCGAGTAGCTGGGATTACAGGCATCTGCCACCACACCCAGCTAATGTTTTATATTTTTAGTAGAGATGGGGTTTCACCGTGTTAGCCAGGCTGGTCTTGATCTCCTGACCTCATGATCTGCCCTCCTCGGCCTCCCAAAGTGCTGGGATTACAGGCCTGGCTCGTTTTCTGTTGTGTTCTAGCCCCAAATGTTCTAGCCTGCCCACATGTGTAAATCTCTAAAACTGAACACAAAAGAGACTATCTTAGATGCATCGTTCTGTACTTTGCTTTTTTCATTTAATATGTCTTGGGGGATGTGTCCAAATCTCCTTGTACCCGTCTTCCTCCTTCTTAATGGATGCTTTTTTTTTCTTTTTTTTTTTTTTTGAGACAAAGTCTCGCTCTGTCACCAAGGCTGGAGTGCAGTGGCATGGTCTTTGCTCACTGCAACCTCAAATGATTCTCCTCCCTCAGCCTCCCGAGTACCTGGGACTACAGGTGTGCATTGCCACGCCCAGCTGATATTTGCATTTTTAGTAGAGACAGGGTTTCTCCTGTTGGCCAGGCTGGTCTCGAACTCCTGACCTCAAGTGATGTGCCCGCCTCGGCCTCCCAAAGTGCTGGGATTATAGGCATGAGCCACCGTGGCTGGCCTAAATTTTTCATGTATTAAATACCACCATTTATTCACCAATCCCCTACTGATTGAATGGTGGTTTCCAGGTTTTATCATTTTAAAATTTTTATTTTTATTATTTTAATAGTTTTATTTGGGGTATGATAAACATATAATAAACTTCACTATTTAAAGTGTACACTTCTTGAGTTTTTACATCTGTATACACCCATAAAACTCTCACCAATGTCAACAGTGGACATATCTGTGACCCCCAGAACTTTCCTGGTGTCCCTTTGTAAACTCTTCTTCCCGTCCCTCCTTTTTGCTCCCCACCCCTCATCATCCTTCTTTTCACTGAAGGCTTAGATTCTTTAGTGTATTAAATACCATCACTTATTAACCAGTCCCCATTGTTTGAATGCTTTTTCCCATTGTTCTTGATTGTGATTTTTTTTTTCCTATTACAAGCAGTGCTGCTGTAAACACCCCTGAACACACATCATGGTTCCGTTGTTCTCTGAAAGACACAAGGTCTTACTGACATTTCTGGCTGTTGTATTCTTTAGAATGACAGTTCCAATTATTGTTCAGATGATACATCAATACCTCTCATGCACCACCTCAGGCCTTTTCAGCCCCATCTGTTACTTTTCCAACTACCTCTTCCGCGTAGACTTCAAACAACTTAAAGCTTGCACGGCCACACCGTGTCTTGCCGTGGGTCTGCATTATCACTTCCGTCCCACTCTAGGGCTTCCCCGTTGACATAGGACAGAGCAGGACCCCAGTCTGGCACTTGTGCAAGCCTGTGCTACTGCAGGGGGGTGAGTTAGCATACCATGAGGCAAAGCCTTGGCCAATTGGGGAAGGGAGCTGGGGATGGCTTCTTTCCTGTTTCTCACTCTGGAGTGAGATGACTATCCTAAGATGCAGATTAGGTGATTTGTTGGAGGACAGTCCCCCAGGATTGAGCAGTCAGCCACATTTAGTAGCAGCCAGTTTAATAACGTACCTTCCAGCCGCAGTGGCTCACGTCTGTAATCCCAGAACTCTGGGAGGGCGAAGTGGGCAGATCACTTGAGGTCAAGAGTTTGAGACCAGCCTGGCCAACCTGGTGAAACCCCATCTCTACTAAAAATGCAAAAATTAGCCAGGCATGGTGGCGTGCACCTGTAGTCCCAGCTACTCAGGAGGCTTAGGCAGGAGAATTGCTTGAACCCAGGAGATGGAGGTTGCAGTGGGTGGAGATGGCACCACTGCACTCCAGCTTGTGTGACAGTGCGAGACTCCATCTCAAATAATAATAATAATAATAATAATAATAATAATAATAATAATGTGCCTTGCCTTCCTTCTAGTGTTGACTCTCCCTCCTTTGTGGCCCCTCTCCCTTGGTCCCCTGCTCCTGCTCCCTGAAATTCCACTCCCTAATAAATTAGTAGCACATAAGCTTTTGCCTCAGGCTGTGCTTCCTGGAGAATCCAGGCTAAGACAGTTGCTATTTTCCACACGATTATACTGTCTTTAAATTAAGCCATCTGTACATCTTCCTAGTGATCGATAGAATACTGAGATCTTGGGATTGTCAAACACCGATTGTAGCAAATGCAGACCTGCTCCCCACTCCTCTGGATGAGAGATGTATCAAGAGTATAAAGGTGGGTCGGGCACAGTGACTCACGCCTCTAATCTCAGCGCTTTGGGAGACTGAGGAGGGCGGGTGGCTTGAGGCCAGGAGTTCCAGACCAGCCTGGCCAACATGGTAAAACTGCATCTCCACTAAAAATACAAAAATCAGCTGGGCGTGGTGGTGGGTGCCTGTAGTCCCAGCTACTCGGGAGGCTAAGGCACGAGAATCGCTTGAATCTGGGAGGTGGAGGTTGCAGTGAGCCAAGATCATGCCACTGCACTCCAGCCTAGGCGACAGAGCCAGACTTTGTCTCAAAAATAAATAAATAAATAAATAAATAAATACGAGTATAAAGGAGTCCAAGAAGTAGCAGTGGCTTTGCCACAAACATTTTCTACAGGCAGATTCACTGGGTGTACATCTGCTGCTCCCTCCTCTCTTCAGATTGCAGAAAGCAAACTAGCTTTGGTGTCTACCATTCATATGAAATGACTGTTTTTTTTTTTTTTCGAGATGGAGTCTTGCTCTGTCACCAGGCTACAGTGCAGTGGCTCGATCTTGGCTCACTGCAACCTCTGACTCCTGGGTTCAAGAGATTCTCCTGCCTTAGCCTCCCTAGCAGCTGAGATTACAGTCGCGCACCACCACCCCCAGCTAATTTTTGTATTTTTAGTAGAGACGGGGTTTCACCATGTTGGCCAGGATGGTCTCAATCTCCTGACCTCGTGATCTGCCTGCCTCGGCCTCCCAAAGTGTTGGGATTACAGGCGTGAGCCACCGTGCCCGGCCTGAAATGACTCTTTCAAGGGGACTGACACCCTCCATCCAATCACGTCCAGTGGCCGGGTGTCCTATTCCCATCTCTCAGCAGCCCTAGTCTTGGTTAACCACTGCCTTACTGAAATTCTTTCTTTCTTTTTTGAGACGGAGTTTCACTCTTGTCGCCCAGGCTGGAGTGCAATAGCACGATCGATCTCAGCTCACTACAACCTCTGCCTCCTGGGATCAAGGGATTCTCCTGCCTCAGCCTCCCGAGTAGCTGGGACTACAGGCATGTGCTACCATGCCCGGCTAATTTTTGTATTTTCAGTAGAGGTGGGGGTTTCGCCGTGTTGTCCAGGCTGGTCTCAAACTCCTGACTTCAGCTGATCCACACCCACCTTGGCCTCCCAAAGTGCTGGGATTACAGGAGCCACTGTGCCCCACCTGAAACACTTTCCTCTCTAGGCTTCTGTGCCAGTTGCCACCACACCGTATGCAATGGCTGCTCCACCACCACCACCACCAGACCTGTCGCTGTTGCAGGGTGCCAGGGACTCTCCTCGGCCTCTTCTCTTTCTTGTCCACAGCCTCTCCCCAGATCTTCTCATTCGGGCCCCTGGCTTTATTTAATTAATTAATTTATTTATTTTGAGACAGCATCTTGCTCTGTTGCCCAGGCTGGAGTGCAGCGGGGCAATCGTGGCTCACTGTAGCCTCAACCTCCCCGGCTCAAGCAATCCTCTCACCTTAGCCTCCCAAGTAGCTGCAACTATGGGCACATGCCACCATGCTTGGCTAATTTATTCTTATTTTTGTTTTTGTGGAGATCGGCTCTCACTGTGTTGCCCAGTCTTTTTTTTCCCCATAGGTTATTGGGGTGCAGGTGATGTTTGGTTACACAAGTAAGTTCTTTAGTGGTGATTTGTGAGATTTTGGTGCACCCATCACCCAAGCAGTATACACTGCACCCTATTTGTAGTCTTTTATCCCTCACCCCCTTTCCAGCCTAGGCAACATGGCGAAACCCCGTCTCTACCAAAAAAATATAAAAATTAGCCAGGCATGGTGGCGCACGCCTGTAGTGCCAGCTACTCTGGAGGCTGAGGTGAGGAGATCACTTGAGCCTGGGAAGCAGAGGTTGCAGTGAGCCAGGATCACACCACTGTACTCCAACCTGGGTGACAGGGTGAGACCCTGTCTCAAAAAAGAAAAGAAAAGAAGAGAAGAGAAGAGGTACAGTAAAAATAAAAGATTAAAAATGGTATAGGTATATAGAGCATTTACAATAATAAAGCTTGCAGGACTGGAAGTTGCTCTGGGTTAACCAGTGAGTGGGTGGTGAATAAATGTGAAGGCCTAGGGCATCACTGTACTCTACTGCAGACTTTATCAACACTGGACACTTAGGCTACACTACATTTATTTATTTATTTATTTATTTGAGACAGAGTCTCACTCTGTCACCCAGCCTGGAGTGCAGTGGCTCGATCTCGGCTCACTGTAAACTCTGCCTCCCGGATTCAAGTGATTCTCCTGCCTCAGCCTCCTGAGTAGCTGGGATTACAGGCCCATGCCACCATGCCTGGCTAATTTTTGTATTTTTAATAGAGACAGGGTTTCACCATGTGGCCAGGCTGGTCTTGAACTCCTGACCTCGTGATCCACCCACCTTGGCCTTCCAAAGTGCTGGGATTACAGGCATGAGCCACCGCGCCCGGCCTAGTACACTAAATTTATTTTAAAATGTTTTTCTTTCTTCAATAATAAACTAAACTTAGTTTACTATAAACTTTTTTCATTTAGTAAGATTTAATTTTTGAACCTTTAGACCCTAGTAATAACATTTAAAACATTAACACTGCAGGGCGTGGTGGCTCACGCCTGTAATCCCAGCACTTTGGGAGGCCGAGGAGGGCATATCACGAGGTCAAGAGATCGAGACCATCCTGGCTAACACAGTGACTACTAAAAATACAAAAAAAACTAGCTGAGCATGGCAGTGCGCGCCTGTAGTCCCAGCTACTCGGGAGGCTGAGGCAGGAGAATGGCGTGAACCCAGGAGGCAGAGCTTGCGGTGAGCCGAGACTGTGCCACTGCACTCCAGCCTGTGCGACAGAGCAACACTCTGTCTCAAAAAAATAAAGACAAAAAATAAACACATTGTACACCTTACAAAAATGTTATCTTCCTTTATATCCATATTCTATACACTTTTTTCTATTTTTACAATTTTTTATTTTTAGTTTTTAAACTTTTTGTTAAAAACATACATAACTCGGGTCGGGTGCAGCCGCTCACACCTAGAACTTTGGGAGGCCGAGGTCAGAGGATCGCTTGAGGCCAGGATTTCGAGACCACCCTGGGCAACATGGCAAAACCCTGTCTCTTCAAAAAACACAAAAATTAGCCAGGTATGGTGACGCATGCCTGTAGTCTCAGCTACTTGGGAGGCTGAGGCAGAAGAATTGCTTGAACCTAGGAGGTGGAGGCTGCAGTGAGCAGAGATCACGCCATTGCACTTAGTCCTGGCAACAGGAGTAAAACCCTGTGTCAAAACAGACAAACAAAAAACCCGTACATAAATAGCCTCAGCCTACATAGGGTCAGGATCATCATCATCACTCTCTTCCACCTCCAAGTCTTGTCCCACTGGAAGGTCTTCAGGGGCAATAACATGCATGGAGCTGTCATCTCCTATGATAACCATTACTGCTTCTGTAATGCCTCCTGAGTACCTGCCTGAGGCTGTTTTACAGTTACCTTTGTTTTGTTTTGTTTTTTTAGATGGAGTCTTACTCTGTCACCCAGGCTGGAGTGCAGTGGTAATCACAGATCACTGCAGCCTCGAACTCCTGGGTTCCAGTCATCCTCCGGCTTCAGCCTACCAAGTAGCTGGGATTACAGACGCATGCCACCACGCCCGGCTGATTTTGTATTTTTAGTAAAGAGAGGGTTTCACCATGTTGGCCAGGCTGGTGTCGAATTCCTGGCCTCAAAGTAATCCACCCACCTCGGCCTCCCAAAGTGCTGGGATTATGGGTGTGAGCCACTGCACCTGGCCAACTTTTTTTCAATAAGTAGAAAGAATAGGCTGGGTGCAGTGGCTCACGCCTGTGATCCCAGCACTTTGGGAGGCCGAGGTGCGAATCATGAGGTCAAGAGATCAAGACCATCCTGGCTGACACAGTGAAACCCCGTCTCTACTAAAAATACAAAAAAAAAATTAGCCAGGCGCAGGCAGGCGCCTGTAGTCCCAGCTACTTGGGAGGCTGAGACAGGAGAATGACATGAACCTGGGAGGCGGAGCTTGCAGTGAGCTGAGATCGCGCCACTGCACTCCAGCCTGGGCGACAGAGCAAGACTCCGTCTCAAAAAAAAAAAAAAAAAAGTAGAAAGAATACACTCTAAAATAACAATAAAAAATATACTATAGTCATAAACCAGTAACATAGTCATTTATTATCAAGTATTATATATTTTACATAATTGTATGTGCCAGGCTGGAGTGCAGTGGCTGGATCTCAGCTCACTGCAACCTCCACCTCCTGGTTTCAGGCGATTCCCCCGCCTCAGCCTCCTAAGTAGCTGGGATTACATGCACCTGCCATCATGCCAGGCTAATTTTTGTATTTTGAGTAGAGACAGGGTTTCACCATGTTGGCCAAGCTGGTCTTGAACTCCTGACCTCAGGTAATCTGCCCGCCTTGGCCTCTCAAAGTGCTGGGATTACAAGCATGAGCCACTGCGCCCGGCCTATGTGCTAGATTTTTACATGATACCAGCATCACCAGAAACGTGAATAATGTCTGTGCTATGACATGTCTACGCTGTCACTAGGTGATAGTTTTTCAGCCCCGTTATAATCTTACAGGACTACCATATAATATACGTGGTCTGTCATTAACAGCAGCATTGGTATTGGGTGTGCGATTGCACATGTCTGTTGAGTTGATGAATGGTGTGTGGTGGAATTCTGGGTAAGTTATTTCCCTTGAGTGGGCTGTATTAAATGACTTGGGGCAGAGGATGGTTTTCAATCTTTGGAGATAACCCAGCTTTTCTGCTCATTAAGCGCCCTGAGTCAGGAGGTCTGCGAGGCCCTTCCTCTCCTGGGTCTTGTTCTCCGAAGCGGGCCAGTGCTCGGCACGCTCTTTGATCTCTCAAAGGGTAGCAAGAAACAGCTGCAGCCTCCTTTCTGTGGTCACCAGTGGTCCAGTTGACCCGTATGTTGTTAGCCGTTCAGGACCCTGGGGCAGGCCCAGAAGCTTCAGCCCCAGGAAGGGACGCAGGCCTGCAGAAGAGGGAGGGGGCGAGCCCTAGGGAATTTTCCTTTGTGACCCCGGAGGATAGGGCAATGTTTCTCTGGCCTTTTTTTCATTACATGTATGATTTTTATTCTTTTGCCCAGGGAGTGAGGGTCACTAAAGAGCTTATTGATAGTGAGAAACAAAAATCATCTGTGTCTCCCCTCTGCGTCTCATGGGCTTGGAGGGTGTCAGAGCCCTCAGGAGCGACTCACCTTGTCCCATCTCCTCCTTTTACAAATGAGATAGACATAGGCTCCAGGAGGTATAGGGGCTTGTCCAAGGCTCACGGATAAACCACTACAAAGCCACTGGAGGTGGTCACGGCGATGTCTCAGGAGGGATCTGAGACATGAAGGACTGAATTTGCGGTGAGTTCATTGGAATGGGTGGCCGGGTGCGGTGGCTCACGCCTACAATCCCAGCACTTTGGAAGGCTGAGGCGGGCGGATCATGAGGTCAGGAGTTTGAGACCAGCCTGGCCAATATGGTGAAACCCCGTCTCTACTAAAAATACAAAAAAAATTAGCCAGACGTGATGGCAGGTGCATGTAATCCGTTACTTGGGAGGCTGAGGCAGACGAATTGCTTGAACCTGGGAGGCGGAGGCTGTAGTGAGCTGAGATTGCACCATTTCACTCCAGCCTGGGCGGCAGGGTGAGACTCCATCTCAAAATATATATATATATATATATAAAATATATAAAAATATGTAATTTTATATAACATATAGATGTATATAAATATATATTTGGTTTGGAGACAGGGTCTCACTCTGTCACCTAGGCTGCAGCAGCATCGAACACTTAGGCTCAAGTGATCCTGGAGCCCCTTTAGTAGCTGTGATTGCAGGCATGTCCCACCATGGTGGCTGGTTTTAAAATGTTTATTTTATAGAGACGAGGTTTTGCTATGTTGCCCAGCTACAAAACACTTTTCTAGGGCCAGGCACTGGGTTACAATGGTAATCTCAGCACTTTGGGAGGCTGAGGTGGGTGGATTCCTTGAGCACAGGAGTTTGAAGCCAGCGTGGGCAATGCGGTGAAACCTTCTCTGCAAAACAAATATAACAATTATCCAGACGTGGTGGTGCACACCTGTGGTCCCAACTACTCAGGAAACTGAGGTGGAAGTGTGTCCAGAATTGGTGGGTTCTTGGTCTCACTGACTTAAAGAATGAAGCCGCAGACCCTCGCGGTGAGTGTTATAGTTCTTAAAGGCAGTGTGTCCGGAGTTTGTTCCTTCTGATGTTCGGATGTGTTTGGAGTTTCTTCCATCTGGTGGGCTCGTGGTCTCGCTGGCTCAGAAGTGAAGCTGCAGACCTTCGCGGTGAGCGTTACAGCTCTTAAGACGGTGCGTCTGGAATTCTTCGTTCCTTCCCCGAGGGGTTCGTGGTCTCCCTGGCTCAAGGAGTGAAGTTGTAGATCTTCCCGGTGAGTGTTACAGCTCATAAAGGCAGAGTGGACCCAAAAAGTGAGCAGCAGTAATATTTATTGCAGAGTGAAAGAACAAGGCTTCCATAGCATGGACACGAACCCCAGCGGGTTGCCACTTTTGGCTCGGGCAAGCAGTTTTAAGCAGTTTTATTCCCTTATCTGGCCCCACCCACATCCTGCTGATTGGTCCATTTTACAGAGAGCTGATTGGTCCGTTTTGACAGGGTGCTGATTGGTGCGTTTACAATCCCTGAGCTAGACACAAAAGTTCTCCACATCCCCACTAGATTAGCTAGATACAGGGTGTGGACACAAAAGTTCTCCAAGTCCCCACCAGAGTAGCTAGATACAGAGTGTTGATTGGTGCATTCACAAACCCTGAGCTAGACACAGGGTGCTGATTGGTGTGTTTACAAACCTTGAGCTAGATACAGAGTGCCGATTGGTGTATTTACAATCCCTTAGCTAGACATAAAGGTTCTCCAAGTCCCCACCAGAGAAGCCACATACAGAGTGTGGATTGGTGCATTCACAAACCCTGAGCTAGACACAGGGTGCTGATTGGTGTGTTTACAAACCTTGAGCTAGATACAGAGTGCCGACTGGTGTATTTACAATCCCTTAGCTAAACATAAAGGTTCTCCAAGTCCTCACCAGACTCAGGAGCCCAGCTGGCTTCACCCAGTGGATCCTGCACCAAGGCCGCAGGTGGAGCTGCCTACCAGTCCGGTGCTGTGCCGCCGCACTCCTCAGCCCTTGGGTGGTCGATGGGACTGGGCGCCCTGGAGCAGGGGGCGGCGATCCTTGGGAAGGCTCCAGCCGCGCAGGAACCCATCCATGGCGGGGAGGGGAGGCTCAGGCATGGCGGGCTGCAGGTCCCGAGCCCTGCCCCGCGGGGAGCCAGCTAAGGCCTGGCGAGAAGTCGAGCACAGCAGCTGCTGGCCCAGGTGCTAAGCCCCTCAATGCCTGGGGCTTGTGGGCTGGGGGGCCGCTCCGAGTGCGGGGCCCGCCGAGCCCACGCACACCCGGAACTCGCGCTGGCCCGCAAGCGCCGCACGCAGCCCCGGTTCCTGCCTGCGCCTCTCCCTCCACACCTCCCGGCAAGCTGAGGAAGCCGGCTCCGGTCTTGGCCAGCCCAGGACGGGTCTCCCACAGTGCAGCGGCGGGCTGAAGGGCTCCTCAAGTGCCGCCAAAGTGGGACCCAGGCAGAGGAGGCGCAGAGAGCGAGCCAGGGCTGCCAGCACGCTGTCACCTCTCAGGAGGATCACTTGAGCCCAGGGGGTCGAGGATGCAGTGAGTCAAGGATGGCGCCACTGCACCCCAGCCTGGGGAACAGAACAAGACTCTGTCTCAGAAAAAAAAAAAAAGTTTTATAAAACAAAAAGGCCATGCGCTGTGGCTCACGCCTGTAATCCTAGCACTTTGGGAGGCTGAGCTGGGTGGATCATTTGAGGTCAGGAGTTCAAATAAAATATATTTATATGTATTAAAAAATATATATTTATATGTTATATATATTTTAAAATATACTTTATATATATATATACTTTATTGTTTGGTTTTTTGTTGTTGTTGAGACAGAGCTTCACTCTTGTCGCCCAGGCTGGAGTGCAATGGTGCGATTTTGGCTCACTGCAACTTCCACCTCCTGGGTTCAAGCGATTACTCCTGCCTCAGCCTCTAGAGTAGCTGGGATTACAGGCGTGTGCCACCACGCTTAACTAATTTTTGTACTTTTAGTAGAGACAGGGTTTCACCGTGTTGGCCAGGCTGGTCTTGAACTCCTGACCCCAGGTGATCCGCCCACCTCGACCTCCCAAGGTGCTGGGATTATTGGCATGAGCCACCGCGCCCGGCCTGTTTGGTTTTATTTTTAAAGAAACGAATGATACCTGGCTTCCTGGAGAGACTAGCATGGCCCTTCTAAGCCACTAGGGGGTGGCGCTGTTCACGGCCTCAGGCTGCGCTCCCTTTGCAGGAGCCTAAATGTGCCCTAAGTCAGGAGGGTGCCCTGAATCAGGAGGAGGTCGCCTTGAGTCAGGAGGTCTGCGAGGCCCTTCCTCTCCTGGGTCTTGTTCTTTGAAGCGGGCCAGTGCTCCGCACGCTCTTTGATCTCTCGAAGCGTAGCAAGAAACAGCTGCAGCCTCCTTTCTGTGGTCACCAGTGGTCCAGTTGATCCGTGTGTTGTCAGCCGTTCAGGACCCTGGGGCAGGCCCAGAAGCTTCAGCCCCAGGAAGGGACGCAGGCCTGCAGGAGAGGGAGGGGGTGAGCCCTAGGGAATTTTCCTTTCTGACTCGGGAGGATAGGGCAATGGAAGGAGCCCAGTTGGAGAAGGGGAAGAAGAAGTAGAACGATAGACGTTCCTCCCCCAAGGTTGGCGTCATCTCCAAGACAAGAGCAGCGGAGGCTGGACACATGGCTCACGCCTGCAATCCCAGCACTGTGGGAGGCCCAGGAGGGCACATCGCTGGAGCCCAGGAGTTCGAGACCACCCATGGTCAACATGGCAAAACCCCTACTCTACAATAAATACAAAAATTATCCAGGTGTGTTGGTGTGTACCTGTGGTACCAGCTACTCGGGAGGCTGAGGTGGGAAGATTGCTTCAGCCCAGATGGTTGAGGCTGCAGTGAGCTGTGATGGTGCCACTGCACTCCAGCCTGAGTGATGACAAAAAAAAAAAAAAAAAAAAAAAAGAGACAAAGAACAGGGCTTGAGGGTTGGCCCTCTCCTGACCCTCCTCCCAGCCAGGAACTCAGAGTGGGCATGCCTCATTGCCTTGAACTTCTCATGGACAGCAGGGAGCTCTGCCTCCACCTCCACAGACAGCCCCCAGCCCACCCACCTGAGAGGGAGGCAGACATTGAGGCAGGCTGCTCTGTGTGAGTGGGAGAGGTGCCCGAGGGTGGCCACAGCTGCAAACTTTCTAGCTCTCATCACCTCATCCTTCTCTCAAGCCAGGTTTCCAGCCCCTCAGCCTCAGCCTTCCCAGATGTCGTCACTCTATTCTTTTGTTTTGTTTTTGTTTTTTTTTTAAACTTTTTTTTTTTTTTAAGACAGAGTCTTGCTGTTGTCGCCCAGGCTGCAGTACAATGGCACAATCTTGGCTCACTGCAACCTCCCCCTCCCAGGTTCAAGCGATTCTCCTGCCTCAGCCTCCTGAGTAGCTGGGATTACAGGCGCCCGCCACCACACCCAGCTAACTTTTGTGTTTTTAGTAGAAACAGGGTCCACCATGTTGGCCAGGCTGGTCTCGAATTCCTGACCTCAGGTGATCCACCTGCCTCAGCCTCCCAAAGTGCTGGGATTACAGATGTGAGCCAGCGGGCCTGGCCATATTTTTATTTTTGAGACAGAGTCTCTCTCTGTCACCCAGGTTGGAGTGCAGTGGCGCGATCTCTGCTCACTGCAACCTCCACCTCCCAGGTTCAAGTGATCCTCCTGCCTCAGCCTCCCGAGTAGCTGGGATTACAGGCACATGCCACCATGCCTAGCTAATTTTTGTAATTTTAGTAGAGTCGGGGTTTCACTACGTTAGTTGGGCTCTTCTCAAACTCTTGACCTCAGGTGATCTGCCTGTCTTGGCCTCCCAAAGTGCTGGGATTACAGGCGTGAGCCGCCGCACCGGGCCCTCACTCTATTCTTAAATATGAGTCCCTCTCCCAAAGCTCCGGGGCACCCTCTTAGGCACATTCTAAGGCTCCATCCAGCCCACCCCAACCGCAAAGTGAGAATTCAGAGAAAGTGACTAATGCCAAGCTATGAAGAGGCATGATGCTGCTTCTGTGAGGTGGCTGTGAGACAGCCTCACCATTCATGTGAAGAAAATTCATTCTTTGGGAAATTAAGGGCTGCAAAAATCTAATGATATTTAAAATAACAAAAAAAGGACTGGGCACGGTGGCTCACATCTGTAACCCCAGCATGGGCCAAGATGTGTGGATCATCTGAGGTCAGGAGCTTGAGACCAGCCTGGCCAACATATTGAAACCCCATCTCTGCTAAAACATACAAAAATTAGCTGGATGTGGTGGCGGGCACCTGTAACCCCAGCTACTTGGGAGGCTGAAGCAGGAGAATTGCTTGAACCCAGGAGGCGGAGGTTGCGGTGAGCCAAGATGGTGTCACTGCACTCCCGCCTGGGCAACAGGAGTGAAACTCCGTCTGAAAAAAAAAAGGCGGGGCGCAGTGGCTCATGCCTGTAATCCCAGCACTTTGGGAGGCCGAGGCGGGCGGATCACGAGGTCGGAGATCGAGACCATCCTGGCTAACACGGTGAAACCCCGTCTCTACTAAAAATACAAAAAATTAGCCGGACGAGGTGGCGGGCGCCTGTAGTCCCAGCTACTCGGGAGGCTGAGGCAAGAGAATGGCGTGAACCCCAGGGGGCGGAGCCTGCAGTGAGCCGAGATCGCACCACTGCACTGGCGACACCACTGCCTGGGCGACAGCGAGACTCCGTCTCAAAAAAAAAAAAAAAAAAAAAAAAAAAAAACCAGCCAAAAAATAGAGTCCTGTAGAATCCACTGTCCCTAACTCTCTTCTCTTTCTTGAGATGAGCTAAGTTTTTCCTCCGCGGAACACGCTAAATGTTTCCAAGGGACAGACTCTGGCTATGTCATTATCCACAGTGCAGCTGGTGTTAGCCACGTGGTCCCAGCATGGCAGGGGAGGCAGGAGGGAGGGCTTATGGGTGTCAGGAGCCTTGAGCCAGAAAGCAGCCGGGACCCCAGGAGTGTGGGCCACTCTCTCAGAGGTGCCAGACAGGTTGAGGCAGCTGCGAAAGTTGTGGAAAGTAAACAGAAAAGTCTTTCAGAAGATCAGGTGAGGAATACGGGGCGGGGAGTAGGGGCAAGAAGCTGGTTTTGCTCTAGAAGTTTGGACTGCAATTGCCTGGGAAAAATATCTGCTACTGTATTTCTTGCTAAATAAGCCAATAGTCTGGGAAACCGGAGTAACACGGAGGGAAACTCAAAGGCAAAGAGGCAGGGGGTGTACTCTAGCTCTGGCCTTCCAGGCGTTTTCCCTCAGCAGCAAGCATATTGCAACTGCCAAATATTTCTGAAGAGCATTCCCCACCCATTTTTCCACAGCCCACACCTTCCCCCAGGCTGAGGGGCCACTGGGTTGGTGGAGTTTGGGGTGGTGTCCATTATTATTATAAGGTCTATTTATGATAATCAAAAAACACATCCTAGCTGGAGGAAAATTTAAAAGCTGTAGAAAAATGTCAAGAAGAAATACAAAATGACCTGTTATCCAACCACCCAGAGAACATCACTGATAATATTGTATTGTATTTCCTTCTGGCCTTGTTTTTCAATGCATGCTTTAAAAAAATTTTTTTTTAATGGAACGGGGTCTTGCTATGTTGCCCAGGCTGGCCTCAAATTCCTGGGCTCAAGGGATCCTCCCTACTTAGCCTCCAGAGTAGCTGGGACTACAGGCACATACCACCATGCCTGGCAAAATTATTATTTTTTTTTTAACATAGGTGGTATTAGATAGATAGAGCCAGGCGCGATGGCTCATGCCTGCAATCCTACCACTTTGGGAGGCCAAGGTGGGCAGATCACCTGAGCTCAGGAGTTTGAGACCAGCCTGGGCAACATGGTGAAACCCCATCTCTATAAAAAATACAAAAATTAGCTGGATATGGTGATGTGCACCTGTAATCCCAGCTACTCGGGAGACTGAGGCAAGAGAATCACTTGAACCCAGAGAGGCAGAGGTTGCAGTGAGCCGAGATGGTGTCACTGCACTCCAGCCTGGGCGACAGAGTAAGACTGTCTCCAAAAAAAAGATAGATAGATAGATGTATATATATAATCTTGACTTTTTCATTCAACACTGTATCATGAGCATTTTTTCCATGGGTGGTGGGAGGTGTTTTTTTTTGAGAAAATTTCTCAGACACCAGGGGAAACCTACCAGGCAGACCGTTTCTCTCCTTCACAGTGAGGCAAGGCAAAGGGTGCAGGCATTCCGATCTGAGCGGAGTCTGGATCTCACCCCAGCCTGCTGCTCCCTTCCAGGGTCAGTTGGAGCTGCTCGCCTCTCGTGCCAAGCTTCCTCCCACGGGGCCTTCTGAAGCTTTCTGCAGCTTCAGCATCAACAGCACTTTTGTCTGCTCCACTTCGGGGAGAGAGCTGGAGAGTGTTTTTTGTGTGCCTGATGGATCCAGCCCAAGTTTGATGGCCCCGTGTACTTGCTCAGTTTCCCTAGATGGCCCCGCTCCAAGAACAGCTCAGAAGCCAAGGAAACCAAAATCCCTGCGTCTGCAGCCAAAACGGACAGGCTATTTCCTGATACTCTGCGTGCGCACGTGTGTGTGTGTGTGTGTGTGTGTGTGAGTGTGTGTGTGTGTGAAGTGAGGCTCAACCTGCAATTTTATTTGTGATAGTGTGAAACAGTTCAGTACATAGCACTGCCCTGGTTTCCCCCTTGCTTTCATGCAAATAGATGATCTGTCCCTCCCTAGCTGACTTAGTTGTAAAGAATAAGTGACTGTGAATGAAAATTTTTGCAAATGAATTCGACCATTAGCTGGACCAGAGCTTTGTTGATGATGAAAATAATAGTGTCTTTTTTTTTTGTTTGAGACAAAGTTTCATTCTGTCACTCAAGCTGGAGTGCAATGGTGTGATCTTGGCTCACTGCAACCTCCACCTCCCAGGTTCAAGCGATTCTCCCGTCTCAGCCTCCTGAGTAGCTGGGATTATAGGCACCCACTACCATGCCCAGCTCATTTTTGTGTTTTTAATAGACACGGGGTTTTGTCACGTTGGCCAGGCTGGTCTGGAACTCCTAACCTCAAGTGATCCACCTGCCTCGGCCTCCGAAAGTGCTGGGATTACAGGCCGGCTCCCATCTTTTTTTTTTTTTTTTTTTTTAAGATAAGGTCTCGCCTTGGAGTGCAGTGGCATGATCTTGGCTCACTGCAGCCTCTACCACCCAGGCTCTACCCAGGATCCTCCCACCTCTGTGCACACACCACCACCCCCAGCTAATTCTTTTGTACATTTTTTTTGTAGAGATAAGGCTTCACTATGTTGCCCATCTGGTTTCGAACTCCTGGGCTCAAGCGATCTTCCCACTGCAGCCTCCCAAAGTGCTGGGATTACAGGCGTGAGCCACTGTGCCCTGCCCGAAAATACTTAGTGTCTTAGTAGATGTAAAAGCCTCTCTCATTTGAGCTATATCAGAGGTAATCTGTTACCTGTAATGATTCAAGTACCCACATTTGCAAATGACTAATTTTTTTATTGTGATAAAACATACATAACAGAAAATGTACTATTTCAACCACTTGTACAGTGTACAGTCTGGTGTACCAGGTGTACAGGCTGTAGCACAAAATACATTCACATTGCCGTGCGACCATCATCTCCATCCAGCCCCAGAACATTTTTTATCATCCCCAACAGAAACTCTGTACCCATCATGCAATTCCCCATTCCTCCCACCTTTCAGCTCCTGTCAACTGCCATTCTACTGTCTGGCAAATCATTTTTTTTTTTTTGAGACGGAGTCTCACTCTGTTGCCAAGGCTGGAGTGCAGTGGCATGGTCTCAGCTCACTGCAACTTCCGCCTGCCAGGTTCAAGCAATTCTCCTGCCTCAGCCTCCCAAGTAGCTGGGATTACAGGCGCATGTCACCATGCCTGGCTAATTTTTTGTGTTTTTAGTAGAGATGATATTTTTGGGTTTTTTTGTTTGTTTTTTGTCTTTTTTGAGATAGAGTCTTGCTCTGTCACCCAGGATAGAGTGCAGTGGCGTGATCTTGGCTCACTGCAGCCTCTGCCTCCCAGGTTCCAGTGATTCTCCTGCCTCAGCCTCCTGGGTAGCTGGGATTACAGGCACACGCCACCATGCCCAACTAATTTGTGTGTGTGTGTGTCTGTGTGTGTGTGTGTTTGTGTGTATGTGTGTATTTTTAGTAGAGACAGTGTTTCGCCATGTTGGCCAGGCTGGTCTCGAACTCCTGACCTCAGGAGATCCGCCCACCTCGGCCTCCCAAAGTGCTGGGATTACAGGCGTGAGCCACCACGCCCGGCCTGTATTTTTGTATTTTTAGCTCCCCTAGTGCAAGGACACTCATGGGAGGAAATGCCTTTCTTGGCTAGCTGCATGCTTATCTGTGATGCCTGGAACTGCTCAGCCATCTTTTGACCACAGCGAGGGATGCTGCTGACATGCTGAGTGTGGCCAAATGGACAGTTGGAAAGCTGGAAAGTACCTCGGTCTTCAGTGGCATGGTTGAGCCCCTGCGTTTAACCCGGAACCCATGCCTCTGCCTTTGAACCTCTGATTATGTGAAGTCATACATATCCTTACTGGTTAAGCCAGCGGCTGTCAAACTTCCGGTCTCAGGACCTCTTTAAGCACTTAAAAATTATTGAAGACCCCAAGAAGCTTTTGTTTATGAGTGCTGTCTTTTTGTTAATATAAACAACATGTTTTTATAAAAAATTATCATATTTTCCAAAAGAAAAAGAGATTAGTAAAAGAGCAGTCGTTTTACATTTTTGCAAATCTCTTTTTTTTTTTCGAGATGGAGTTCGCTTTGTCGCCCAGGCTGGAGTGCAGTGGTGCAATCTCAGCTCACTGCAACCTCCGCCTCCCAGGTTCAAGCGATTCTCTTGCCTCAGCCACCTGAGTAGTTGGGATTACAGGCATGTGCCACCATGCCCAGCTAATTTTTCTATTTTTAGTGGAGATGGGGTTTCACTATGATAGCCAGGCTGGTCTCAAAATCCTGACCTCTTGATCCGCCCACCTTGGCCTCCCAGTGTTGGGATTACAGGTGTGAGTCACCACACCTGGCCTGCAAATCTCTTTAATGTCTGAAATAACTCTAGGTAGCTAGGGCCTCATAGTAGTTTCTGTATTCAATCTGTTGTGTATCACACATGATACACAGCTACTCCAGTTTACATGTATAAAAGAATGAGTGTGGGTCTAGTGCAGTGGCTCATGCCTATAATCCCAGCACTTTGGGAGGCTGAGGCGGGTGGATCACGAGGTCAGTTGTTCAAGACCAGCCTGGCCAAGACGGTGAAACCCCATCTCTGCTAAAAATACAAAAAAATTAGCCAGGCGTGGTGGGAGGCCCCTGTAATCCCAGCTACTCGGGAGGTTAAGGCAGAGAATTGTTGCTTGAACCCAGGAAGCTGAGGTTGCAGTTAGCCAAGATCATGCCACTGCACTCTAGCTTGGGCAACAGAGTGAGACTCCATCTTAAAAAAAAAAAAAAAAAAGAATGACTGTGATCTTGGGATTATTATAAAAATACTTTAACTGGCTGGATGCAGTGGCTCACATCTGTAATCCTAGCACTATGGGAGGCCGAGTTGGGTGGATCACCTGAGGTCAGGAGTTCGAGACCAGCGTGGTCAACATGGTGAAAACTTGTCTCTACTAAAAATACAAAAATGAGCTAGGCGTGGTGGTGCGGGCCTATAATCCCAGCTACTTGGGAGGCTGAGGCAGGAAAATCGCTTGAACTTTGCGGGGGTGGAGGTTGCAGTGAGCCAAGATTGTGCTACTTCACTCCTGCCTGGGTGAAAGAGCGAAACTCCATCTCAAAAAACAAACAAAAAAAACTTTAACCTGGTGGAGGCTTTGAGAAGAGGTCATGGATATTCCCAGGGGGTCCCCAGATGACATTTTGAGAACTGCTGGCCTAACCCATTCTTTATTTTATTTTATTTTATTTATTATTTTTGTGGTACCTAGTAGGTGGATGTATGGCCTAAGCCATCCTTCAGTGGATATTGTACTGCCAAGGGCAAAAATCCTCCTAACTCATACACCACCTCAGGGTTGGTGTGCTGGTTCCCTTCCTTTAGATTTTTTTGTTTGTTTGTTGTGTTTTAAGATGATCTCACTCTGTCGCTGTGGCTGGAGTGCAGTGGCGTGATCTCAGCTCACAGCACCCTCCACCTCCCGGGTTCAAGTAATTCTCATGCCTCAGCCTCCCAAGTAGTTGGGATTAGAGTTGCCCACCACCATGCCCAGCTAAATTTTGTATGTTAAGTAGATACGGGGTTTCACTGTGTTGGCCAGGCTGGTCTCGAACTCCTGGCCTCAAGTGGTCCACTTGCCTTGGCCTCCCAAACTTCTGGGATTACAGGCTTGAGCCACAACACCTGGCCTTCCTTCTGATTTTTGCATGACTCCCTCTTACTCCATAAAGTCTCCACCCAAAATGTACTATTTACATTCCTTAGTAAAACTATCTTGGGTCACCTGGGTAACTGTCTCCTTACCTTGCACTTACTGCTACCCTGCACTAGGTTATATATTTGTTTACCAGTCTGTTGTTTAAGAGCATAAGCTTTCCAAGGGCAGGTGCTTTGCTTTGTTCATGTGTGTGGGCACTCCATAAATGTTTGTTGAATGAGTCAACGAATGTGAGTGATGATATAAAGATAATCTAGAATACACTCTAATTTATATGAAAAATAAGTGATTTGGGCTGGGCATGGTAGCTCATGCCTGTTTTCCTAGCACTTTGGGGGAATCACTTGAGGCCAGGAGTTCAAGACCAGCCTGGCCCCAGACCAACATGGCGAAACCCTGTCTCTACTAAAAATACAAAAATTAGCGGGGCAGGCTGGGTGCAGTGGCTGACGCCTGTAATCCTAGCACTTTGGAAGGCCGAGGCAGGCGGATCATCCGAGGTCAGGAGTTCAGGACCAGCCTGGCCAACACGGAGAAACACTGTCTCTACTAAAAATACAAAAACTAGCTGGGCAGATACCTTTAATCCCAGCTACTTGGGAGGCTGAAGCAGGAGAATTATTTGAACCCAGGAGGTGGAGGCTACAGTGAGCCGAGGTCATGCCACTGTACTCCAGCCTGGGCGACAGAGCAAGGCCTCATCTCAAAAAAAAAAAAAGGTGGGGGGAGCTTTTTGTGATGTATTTTAGTTTCTTCAGCAACTTTTTTTGTTTGTTTGTTTGTTTGTTTTTTGAACAGAGTCCTGCTCTGTCGTTCAGGCTGGAGTGCAGTGCAGTGGCACAATCTCGGCTCACTGCAACCTCCACCTCCCGGGTTCAGGCAATTCTTTAGCTTCTGTCTCCTGAATAGCTGGGATTACAGGCACCCAGCACCATGCCTGGCTAATTTTTGTATTTTAGTAGAGACGGGGTTTCGCTATGTTGGCCAGGCTGATCTTGAACTCCCGACCTAAGGTGATCCTCTCGCCTCAGCCTCCTAAAGTGCTGGGATTACAGGCATGAGCAACCGTGCCCGGCCCAACCTTTTAATTAGAAGGTTATCTGATCGTCCTCAATGGAGAGATAGTACTTTGGGGCTATGAGAAATGTAGGTAAGGCATTTTATAATTAAGGCACTAGTACCAGCACTTTGCATTTTTCTTTATTCCAATAGACTTTAATAATTTAGAACAGTTTTAAGTTTGCATCAAAACTGAGGAAGATACAGAGACTTCTCATATACCTATTGCCCCCATATAGGACAGCCTCCCCCATTATCAATATCCCCCGCCCGAGTGGTACCTTTGTTACTGTCAGAGGCATTTGAACGAGAGCTACTCCATCTTGAACAGGAGCTGGGTAAAATAAGGCTGAGACCTGCTGGCTGAGACCTACTGGCTATATTCCCAGGAGGTTAAGGCATTCTTAATCACAGGATGAGATAGGAGGTCGGCACAAGATACAGGTCACAAAGACCTTGCTGATAAAATGATGTGGTAAAGAAGCTGGTCAAATCCCACCAAAACCAAGATGGGGATGAAAGTGATCTCTGGTCATCCTCATTGCTCATTACATGCTCATTATAATGTATTAGCATGCTAAAAGACACTCCCATCAGTGGCATGACAGCTTACAAATGCCATGGCAATGTCCAGAAGTTACCCTATATGGTCTAAAAAAGGAAGGAACCCTCAGTTCCAGGAATTGCCCACTCCTTTCCAGAAAACTCATGAATAATCCATCCCTGGTTTAGCATATAATCAGGAAATGACCATAAAAGTTGCCAGCTAGCAGACCTCGGGGCTGTTCTGCCTATGGAACAGCCATTCTTTATTCCTTTACTTTCCTAATAAACTTGCTTTCACTTTCCTCTATGGCTTGGCTTCAAATTCTTTCTTGTGCGAGATCCAAGAACCCTCTGTCGGGGTCAGAACTGGGACCCCTTTCCAGTAACATTACCATCAATGGGCCTGTACAACATCATCACTCAAAGCCCATAGTTTATATTAAGGTTCACTCTTGGTATCGTACGTTATGGGCTTGGACAAATGTAAAATGACGTGCATGTATCTGCATTATAATATCATACAGAGTAGTTTCACCCTCCCCAAAATCCTGAGCTTCACCTAGTCATCTGCACTTCACTTTTTTTCTGGAAACGCCTGGGCCCAACAGGCAGTTCCTTGGAATGGTGAATGGCAGAAGTGCAGGTAACACAGTCTTTATTTATTTATTCTTTTTGACGGAGTCTTGCTCTGTCGCCCAGGCTGGAGTGCAGTGGTACGATCTCGGCTCACTGCAACCTCCGCCTCCTGAGTTCAAGTGATTCTCCTGCCTCAGCCTCCCAAGTAGCTGGGATTACAGGCGCCCACCATCATGCCCAGCTAATTTTTGTATTTTTAGTAGAGACAGGGTTTCACCATATTAGCCAGGCTGGTCTCGAACTCCTGACCTCAGGTGATCTGCCCACCTCAGCCTCCCAAAGTGCTAGGATTACAGGCGTGAGCCAATGTGCCCGACCCAGGTAACACAGTCTTATGTGCTGTTTACACACTTTGATTGGGACTGGATTCTGGGGGAAAAAACATAATAAACCAAGCCAGATGGATCACAATTTTGCCCTTCATATTATCATATTATCATTTTCCCTTCAAAGGTCTTTTGGTTTGTTTGTTTGTTTGTTTGTTTGGGTTTGAGATGGAGTCTTGCTCTGTCGCCCAGGCTGGAGTGCAGTGGCGCAATCTCAGCTCACTGCAACCTCTGTCTCCTGAGTTCAGGCAATTCCTGCCTCAGCCTCCCAATTAACTGGAACTACAGGTGCAGGCCACCACACCTGGCTAATTTTTTGTATTTTTGGTAGAGATGGGGTTTCATCATGTTGGCCAGGCTGGTCTTGAACTCCTGACTTTGAGGCAGGCAGATCACTTGAAGTCAGGAGTTCCAGACCAGCTTGGCCAACATGGTGAAACCCCTATCTCTACTGAAAATACAAAATTAGCCGGGCATAGTGGCAGAGGCCTGTAGTCCCAGCTACTTGGGCGGCTGAGGCAGGAGAATCGCTTGAACCTGGGAGGCAGAGGTTGCGGTGAGCTGAGATTGTGGCACTGCACTCCAGCCTGAGTGACAGAATGAGACTCTGTCTCAAAAAAAAATTGATTTTTAAAATATAGTTTCATGATCTGCTTTTGTCAAAATGGCCTGTAGCACTATATCTAAATATCTGTCAGGATGTGCTTTGCTCAATTTTACAAAATCTCTCAAAGGGCGGTCATGAGCTTTCCTGATAGGAATTCTCAGATTTCGATTTGAACTTGATGGCCTGGAAACAGGAACATCAGGGTGGTTATGGTGCTGTACATATTCCAAAAGCAGCCCCATGAAGTCTGTACAGTAAATCTGGTTATCTGGCCTGACCTAGATAATAATATCTAGACTGGAAAAACAGATTTGCTCTTATTGTTATTGCTGTTGTTTTGTAATTAAAGTTCTATTTAATAGAGAGTTACTATTTAGGTCATACCTTGCTGACTCAATATTTAAAGAATTAGCAAATCTCACTTCCTCGGGCACTCCCAGCCTGACAGGCTGGGCATGGAGACACGAGTAATAATCCTAATTGTAATGAGGCTGGGTGAGCTGAATTTTCATCCTGCTCCCATCCCCTGAGGCGCCAAGAAACCTCCCGGCAATTTGGGCCTGCCAGCAATGGTTGTCAGTTGAGGTAGGATGCTTTGTCATGCAACTGTGAGCAAGGAACATGGGCAGGCTCACGTGCTAAGCACGGGGCAAAACAGATTCGTTTATAAGAAACAGGATGAACGCTGTGTTAATAGAAGGAATATGAATCTCCTATGCAGTCCAGACAGGAGAGGGTTTTGGGAGAAAATTAATCAAGGCAACATATGTTTGATTTTTTTTTTTGAGATGGAGTTTCACTCTTGTTGCCCAGGCTAGAGTGCAATGGTGCGATCTTAGCTCACCGCAACCTCTGCCTCCCGGGTTCAAGGGATTCTCTTGCCTCAGCTTCCCGAGTAGCTGGGATTACAGGCATGTGCCACCACGCCCCGCTAATTTTGTATTTTTAGTAGAGACGGAGTTTCTCCATGTTGGTCAGGCACGTCTCAAACTCCCAACCTCAGGTAATCCACCTGCTTCGGCCTCCTAAAAAGTACTGGGATTACAGGCGTGAGCCACCTTGCCCAGCCACATATGTTTGATTTTAAATACCCTAGGACAAACCAGCTGCAACTCGAAGTTGAGCCTCTCCCTACCCTAAGACATCCCCCACATTGTTGAAACCAGAGCTTACTCTCATCTCCCTGGGGAAGCCAGGAAGGCTGGAGCTCCAGGAACCTAGTTGACTGCTTTGCAGGAGCAGCAGTGACTGGGCCATCAACATGCTTTTGACACCAGAGGCTTGTGAAATTTGCAAGACACAGACAGGGAGAAGGATGGGAATTGGAGCTTGATCATTTTTGTAGGGAAAGGTGACCAATGGGGAAGAAAGAGGAGGAAAGGAATCCAAAGTAGAAGGCGGCTTAAAGGCAAGTCAGAATGGACTTCTTATTTGCCAGAAAATCCACTGCATGACACAATACTCTAGATACTTTCTAAATAATCAAAAGAAAAAAAATCAAATTGTATTCAGAATTCTAATGGACTTTTACACCTAGCAAATGTCTGGGTTTTTGTTGGTTTGTGTTTGAGGTGTAAGGAAGGAGTGATATCTCGAATATAATCTTGGATTCTATCACTAGCATTTAAATTCAGTGGGTCAGTACAAACCCAAGAAATGCCCTAAAGAATAGGACTTTGCAGAATACATAGGAGAGCTGCCCAAATGGCTAATTTAGGTTTTCCAACAGGGCTATTCCTCTTGGAGGTAGACACTGGACACTGGATGCTCTTAATTTCTTTTCCAAAAGTGAAAAAAAAATGTTATATTGGTGGTGAAAGCCCTTCCTCACCTCTGAGAGACGAGTAATGCAAACTATGGGACTGATGAGGTCAGGGTACCGGGTATGAGGCTCTGGTTTCAGCAAGGCAGCAGCTGGAAAAACTGTCCAACCTCTTCTCCTTGGCAAATAGGGCCTTGGATTCTAGCCCAGGCCAGGAGCTTGGGAGTCAGGTCTGGGCTTGAAAGAGGACATGATCGGTCAGCAGTTATGAGGCAATGGAAAATACCGAAATTGATTCTCCAGTGAGGGTGGGTTAGGCCTGTGCTCTGGGTCATGGTGCAAAGGCGAACTGGTATTGAGTCTCGGGAAAGGGCAAACAAAGAAGGAAGGAAAGCTTTGAAACATCAAGTCCAAAGCCAGGATTTGAAAGGGTGGGTTGGCAGTCCTGAATTGGCAAGAAGAGGGGAGGCCTGACGATCCCCAGAGGAAAATTTACATAGGCAAGAACTTTTATGGAGTGGAATGGATAGGACTGTTGAGAAGTCCTCATCATCATAGGACTGAAGAAGGGAGGACCTCCTGTGGGCCTTGGAAAACCATAATGAATGCCAAACAGAAAAGATGAATCTTCTGAGATACTTTCCAGGGAAAAGGGGGAGGGCAATGTCTATTTGCTATATATATATATATATTTTTTTTTTTTTTTTTGAGACGGAGTCTTGCTCTGTCACCCAGGCTGGAGTGCAATGGCACGATCTCAGCTCACTGCAACCTCTCCCTCCCGGGTTTAAGCGATTCTCCTGCCTTAGCTTCCTGAGTAGCTGGGATTGCAGGCGCCCACCACCATGCCCGGCTAATTTTTGTATTTTTTAGTAGAGACAGGGTTTCACCATATTGGCCAGGCTGGTCTTGAACTCCTGACCTCAAATGATCCGCCCGCCTTGGCCTCCCAAAGTGTTGCGATTACAGGCATGAACCACTGCACCTAGCCTGGCAATGTCTATTTGCATTCAGAGACACCCCCGCGCCCCTGCACCCCCTCCTCCCCACTCAGCATCCTCCCACCCTCCGGACCTTCCCAGGCAGGGCTTGTGCTCTTCAGTTCCATTTAGTGTCTGCAGCTGTTCTCTGCGCAGTTGTTACCGGTGATAAAAGAAAAACTTCAGCCGAATTAAATTTAATGGCGTTTAATTAAGCAATGACAATTTGCAAATTGGGTAGCCCCCAGAATCACAGCAGATTCAGAGATTCCAGCGTAGCCACGTGGTGGAAGAAGGTTTATAGACAAAAAATGGGAAATGACGTACAGAATTTGGAAGTAAGGTAAAGAACAGCTGGATTGGTTACACCTCGTTGTTTCCCTTATTTGAACAGACTTTGAACACTCAGCAGTGTATGAATGGCTGAAGTATGGCCACAGGCATTGGCCAAGACCTAGCTATTGTTACAGGTGCATACTTCTAGGTTAGGTTTTCAATATTGTCTACCTATTAAGCTAGGTTTTGGTTCACCCACAAGGATTCAAATATAGAAATACGGAGTCCTTCTCAGGCCATATTTAGTTTGCTTTAACACCGGAAAGGGGTCCCAATCGAGACCTCAAGAGAGGGTTCTTGGATCTTGCACAAGAAAAAATTAGAGGCGAATCCATAAAGTGAAAGCAAGTTTATTAAGAAAGTAAAAGAATAAAGAACGGCTACTCCATAGGCAGAGCAGCAGCTTGGGCTGCTGGACTAAGGATACTTATAGTTATTTCTTGATTATATGGTAAACAAGGGGTGGATTATTCATGAGTTTTCTGGGAAAGGGGTGGGCAAGTCTCGGAATCAAGGGTTCTTCCCTCTTTTAGACCATGTAGGGTAGCCTCCTGACATTCCCATGGCATTTGTAAATTGTCATGCTGCCGCTGGGAGTGTCTTTTAGCATGCCAATGAATTATAATTAGCGTATCATGAGCAGCGAGGACGACCAGAGGTCGCTCTCGTCGCCATCTTGGTTATGGTGGGATTTGGCCAGCTTCTTTACCGCAACCTGTTCTATCAGCAAGGTCTTTGTGATCCGTATCTTGTGCAGACCTCCCATCTCATCCTGTGACTTAGAATGCCTAACCTCCTGGGAATGCAGCCCTGTAGGTCTCAGCCTCTTTTTACCCAGCCCCTATTCAAGATGGAGTCGCTCTGGTTTAAACGCCTCTGACACACTGAGTAACTGGGCAGGTTTTTGTGGCTGGGTGTTCCTTGCTACTTATGATCCAGGAAGTGGAGGTTGCTTATACCCGCAAGGGATCTGGGACAAAGGAGCTATCCTCTGCCTGCTCTGGATAATCCCTTTGCTGTTTTTGCTTTTTTTTTTTTTTTTTTTTTTTTTTGAGACCAGGTCTCCCTCTGTCACCCAGGCTGGAGTACATTGGCACGATCTCAGGCTCAATGCAACCTCCCAGGCATAAACCATCCTCCCACCTCAGCCTCCTAAGCAGCTGGGACTACAGGAGTGCACCACCATGCCCGGCTAGCTTTTGTATTTATTTTGTAGAGAAAGAGTTTCACCATGTTGCCCAGGCTGGTCTCGAATTCCTGGGCTCAAGCAATCCTCCCACCTCGACCTTCCAAAGTGCTGGGATTACAGGCGTGAGCCACCGTGCCTGGTTCCTGGATGATTTTTTTGCTGGCCTTTCTCTAAACCAAATACACACTGAATGCTAACTAGTGTGTAAAAGCAGCTCTTTCGGCCGGGCGCGGTGGCTCACGCCTGTAATCCCAGCACTTTGGGAGGCCGAGGCGGGCGGATCATGAGGTCAGGAGATTGAGACCATCCTGGCTAACACAGTGAAACCCGGTCTCTACTAAAAATAGAAAAAATTAGCTGGGCATGGTGGCGGGTGCCTGTAGTCCCAGCTACTCGGGAGGCTGAGGTGGGAGAATGGCGTGAACCCGAGAGGCGGAGCTTGCAGTGAGCCGAGATGGCGCCACTGCACTCCAGCCTGGGCGACAGAGCGAGACTCCGTCTCAAAAAAAAAAAAAAAAAAAAAGCAGCTCTTTCCTAAAGAGTTTAAGATCTCATGCAAAGCCACACCAAATGTGAAGGGGATGGTGATTAGGGCCATATCCTTGTCTGCTCAGTCATTTTCAACTGGATCGTGCCCATTACCCTCCTTTTAACCAAACATTTTGTAATACTCTCTCTGTTCTCCTGAAATGAAATTCATGGGAGCGGGGAGGTTGAGGGGGGAGGGAGAGCATCAGGAAGAACAGTTAATGGATGCTGGGCTTAATACCCAGACGATGGGATGATCTGTGCAGCAAACCAGCGTAGCACATGTTTACCTATGTAACAAACCTAAACATCCTGCACATGCACCCCAGAACTTAAAAGTTGAAGATAAAAAAAGAAATTAATATAGAAAATAACCCACTTATGCACATAATTCCAAAAATGAAACTCCACAATACAATGACCTAATATAAAGGAGAAATAAATGGCATTTAATTTATAATAAAATAAGGTAAATAAGATACAAAATTTCAATATGTAAATGCTTGGGCATGGCTACACTAGAAGACATAAGGAAGTAACCAGATGCCTGTGCGTAGCTATGGAGTCATCCCAACTGGCACACTACAAAGACAGACTGGGATGGGTGGACAACATCATTGACTTAAATACCAGGGGTACTGTGGCCAGTAGTGACATCCTTTCCAAAAGAGGAAATAACTTTTGGGAGGGCCCTGCACAAAACGAAGCACAGAATTTATATGATAGTCGAATCCCTAAAACTTTCACGATTATTTAAAATGGGTGGCTGGGGCTGGGAGTGGTGGCTCACGCCTGTAATACCAGCCCTTTGGGAGGCCAAGGTGGGTGGATCACCTGAGGCCAGGAGTTCGAGACCAGCCTGGCCAACATGGCAAAACCCCGTCTCTACTAAAAATACAAAAAATTAGCTGGGGCCAGGCGCGGTGGCTCACACGTGTAATCCCAGCACTTTGGGAGGCCAAGGCAGGCAGATCACGAGGTCAAGAGATCGAGACCATCCTGGCCAACATGGTGAAACCTGTCTCTACTAAAAATACAAAAATTAGCTGGGCGTGGTGGCGCACACCTGTAGTTCCAGCTACTTGGGAGGATGAGGCAGGAGAATCGCTTGAACTGGGCAGATGGAGGCTGCAGTGAACCAAGATTGAGCCATTGCACTCCAGCCTGGGCAACAAGAGAGAAACTATCTCAAAAAAAAAAAAAAAAAAAAGTGCAGCTGGGCATGGTGGCTCACGCCTGTAATCCCAACACTTTGGGAGGCTGAGGCAGGTGGATCACTTGAGATCAGGATTTCGAGATCACCCTGGGCAACATTGTAAAACTCCATCTCCCAGGCAGAGGGGCAGCGCCAGGACCAGGAGAACGGGTCCTTGCTAAACATCAAGGTCAATCAGGAGGCTGAGATCGCCACCTATCGCCACCTGCTAGACGACGACGAGGACTTCAATCTTTGTGATGCCCTGGACAGCAGCAACTCCATGCAAACCATCCATAAGACCACCACCCCCCAGATAGTGGATGGTAAAGAGGTGTGTGAGACCAACGACACCAAAGTTCTGAGACATTAAGCCAGAAGAAACAGGGTACACTTTGAGGAGCAGGAGGCCAATAAAAAGGTGAAAGGTAAAAATAAAAAAAAAGAGAAAGAGAGAAACTCCATCTCTACAAATAATACAAAAATTATCTGGGTCTGGCTGGGTGCACTGGCACACGCCTGTAATCTCAGCACTTTCGGAGACTGAGGTGGGCAGATCACCTGATGTCAGGAGTTCAAGACCAGCCTGGCCAACATGGTGAAACCCCGTCTCTACTAAAAATACAGAAATTAGCTGGGCGTGTTGGCACATCCTTGTCATCCCAGCTGTTTGGGAGGCTGAGGAAGGAGAATTGCTTGAACCTGGGAGGCAGAGGTTGCAATGAGCCGAGATTGTGCCACTGCACTCCAGCCTGGGCAACAGAGCAAGACTCCCTCTCAAAAAAAAAAAAATTAGCTGGGTGTGGTGGCACATGCCTACAGTCCCAGCTACTTAGGAGGCTGAGGTGGGAGGATCACTTGAGCTTGGAAGCTAGAGGTTGCAGTGAACCATGATTGCACCGCTGCACTCCAGCCTGGGTAACAGAGTGAAACCCTGTCTCAAATAAATACATAAATAAAATAAAATAAGGCTGGGTGCGGTGGCTCACACCTGTAATCCCAGCACTTTGGGGGGCCCAGGCAGGCAGATCACGAGGTCAGGAGTTGGAGACCAACCTGGCCAATATGGTGAAACCCCGTCTCTACTAAAAATATAAAAATTTAGCCTGGTGTGGTGGAGCACGCCTGTAGTCCCAGTTACTCTGGAGGCTGAGGCAGGAGAATCACTTGAACCTGGGAGGCGGAGGTTGCAGTGAGCCGAGGTGCACCACTGCACTCCACCCTGGGCAACAGAGCAAGACCCTGTCTCAAATAAATACATAAATAAAATAAAATAAGTCTGGGCGTGGTGGCTGATGTCTGTAATCCCAGCACTTTGAGAGGCCAAGGTGGGTGGATCACCTGAGGTCAGGAGTTCGAGACCAGCCTGACCAATATGGTGAAACTCTGTCTCTACTAAAATTACAAAAATTAGCTGGGCGTGGTGGCGTGCACCTGTAGTCCCAGCTACTCAGGAGTTGAGGCAGGAGAATCGCTCGAACCCAGGAGACAGAGGTTGTAGTAAGCTGATATCGTGCCACTGCACTCCAGCCTGGGTGACAGAGCAAGACTCCATCTCAAAAATAAATAAATAAATAAAAAATAAAGTAAAATAAAAAATGTGCTACAATACTCAATGCTTATATGCAGAGTAGAGTTAGGTTCTAGACTGATATATTTAGTCAGAGTTCTCCAGAGAAACAGAACCAATAGGATATATTTAGAGAGCCATAGAAGGTTTATTAGGGGAGCTGGCTCACTAAATATGCTATCTGCAAGCTGGAAAATCAGGAAAGCTCGTGGTGTAATTCAGTCCCAGTCCAAGGCCAAAGGTCTAAGAACCAGGAACCAGGAGCTACGATGTCCAAGGGCAGGAGAATGATGAATGTCCTAGTTGAAGAAGAGAGGATTCTCACATCCTTGACCCTTTTGTTTTATTCAGGGCCCTGTATATATTAGATAATGCCCCCACACACCGCCACGTTCGTTGAAGCTGGATCTTCTTTTCTTGGTCTACTGAGTCAAATGTTCATCTCTTCCAGAGACACCTCCCAGAGACACCCAGAAATACTGTTTTACTAGCTATCTGGGCATCCCTCAAGCCAGTCCAGCTGACACATAAAATTAACCATCACAACCGAGATCATTATAAACACCTACATGAGGCCCGGTGCCATGTCTTTTGCCTGTAATCCCTGCACTTTGGGAGGCCAAGGCAGGTGGATCCCTTGAGCCCAGGAGTTTCAGACCAGCTGGAGCAACATGGCAAAACCCCATCTCTACAAAAAATACAAGAAAAAATTAGCCAGGTGTGGTGGTGTGTACCAGTGGTCCCAACTACTTGGGAGGATTGCTGATCACACTACTGCACTCCATCTCAAAAATAAATAAATAAATAAATAAATAAATAAATAAATAAATAAATAAAAATAAAATAAAGTAAAATAAACAATGTGCTACAATACTCAGTGCTTATATGCAGAATAGAGTTAGGTTCTAGACCGATGTATTTAGTCAGAGTTCTCCAGAGAAACAGAACCAATACGATATATTTAGAGAGCCATAGAAGGTTTGTTAGGGGAGCTGGCTTACTCAATATGCTATCTGCAAGCTGGAAAATCAGGAAATTATTTATTTTTATTTACTTAAATTATTTATTTTTAAGACCCTGTCAAACAGCAACAACAACAACAAAAAACACCACCATGATTGATAAAATTTATTTATTTTATTTATTTTATTTTTTTGAGACGGAGTTTCGCTCTTGTTGCCCAGGCTGGAGTGCAATGGCGCGATTTTGGCTCACCGCAACCTCTGCCTCCCGGGTTCAAGCCTCAGCCTCTTGAGTAGCTGGGACTACAGGCATACGCCACCACACCTAGCTAATTTTGTATTTTTAGTAGAGACGGGGATTTCTCCATGTTGGTCAGACTGGCCTCGAACTCCCGATCTCAGGTGATCCACCGGCCTCAGTCTCCCAAAGTGCTGGGATTACAGGCGTGAGCCACCGAGACCGGCCCAAATTTATTTATTTTTTTTCTGAAACGGAATCTTGCTCTGTGGCCCAGGCTGGAGTGCAGTGGTGCAATCATAGCTCACTGCAGCCTCCAAGTGACACCCCCTGCCACAGCCTGCTGAGTAGCTAGGACTACAGGCCTGCACCACCATAAGCTCCGAATTTTTTGTCGTCGTTGTTGCCCAGGCTAAGAAACTTGAATCTTTTTTTTTTTTTTTTTTGAGACGGAGTCTCATTCTGTCACCCAGACTGAAGTGCAGTGGCGAGATCTCGGCTCACTGCAACCTCCACCTCCCAGGTTCAAGCGATTCTCCTGCTTCTGCCTCCCAAGTAGCTGGGATTACAGGCGTGCACCACTGTGCCCAGCTAATTTTTATATTTTTAGTAGAGACGGGGTTTCACCATGTTGGCCAGGATGATCTCGATTTCTTGACCTCATGATCTGCCCGCCTTGGCCTCCCAAGGTGCTGGGATTACAGGAGTGAGCCACCGTGACCGGACGAAACTTGAATCTTAATCCTGGCTTTTCCATTTATTAGCCGACCTGGACATGCGCCTGTGGAATAGAGCTGGTGGTTGATTGCATTGTGGTTGAGGCTTGACAGCCCCTGGCCCTGTGTCAAACTTGGAAATGTTCTAAGCTAGTTTCTAAGCCAGTTGTCTTCTCATCTTCCTGAGGATAAAATTTATATTCTGATGGTAGCCTCTGCCTCCAAGTATGAGTGTTGCCACAAGGGGCGCAAAGTAGACCTTCGATAAACGTGTGCTCCTTGGCTCTTCATTTAGAGGGGCACCTTGTGTCAGGAGCTGCACAAGCACCAACTCTGAGATCAGCCGTGCCATGAGCCCACTTCTCTGGGACCCAGAACTTAGTGCCTTTGGGAGAACATGTCTGGAACTTCTAAAAGGTCAGCCAGTGGAAAAATCACCCAGTTTGCCTCTCAATCCAACTGCAAGATTAGCTAGGCTCCCGGTTACAGTGTTCTCTTTGGTTTCTTTCTCCAGTGTCTCACTTTTACCATGGTCCTGGTTTTAGTGTCTCTGCTGTATCCTGCCTTTCTGGATCCTGATCCTGACACTTGGTACTTGGCTCCTGATTTATTTCCCTTTTGCACCCCTGGTTTTGGCTTTGGCCTATCTATAATCTTTTTTTTTTAGACGGAGTCTCACTCTTTTCGCCCAGGCTGGAGTGCAGTGGTGCAATCTCGGCTCACTGCAACCTCCGCCTCCTGGGTTCACGCCACTCTCCTGCCTCAGCCTCCCGAGTAGCTGGGACTACAGGCGAGTGCCACCATGCCCAGGTAAGTTATTTTTAGTACAGACAGGGTTTCACCATATTGGCCAGGATGGTCTCGATCTCTTGACTTTGTGATCTGCCCACCTCGGCCTCCCAAAGTGCTGGGATTACAGGTGTGAGCCACCATGCCTGGCCAAGGTTTTTTTTTTTTTTAATTGTGTATTATGTAACATTAGGCAAAATTATTCAAAGTCAATAGATTTTTATCCAAGGGATTCCATGTTGTGATTTTTTCCACTGTCCATCAGGGTCACTTTAGATCCTCTAAAGAGCTGGAGTCAAAAGATTTATCTTCAAGTTAGCCCTTTTTAACGAAACTGATGCTTATTTTAATCCAGTTGTCCCGTCAGCCCATAATTCTTTTATTTTGGCTTCTGTCATCTCCTTTTAATATGGATATACTGATGAAGACTTGAAAATTCACCAAGAATCTTTGGGATCTAATTTCTTCAACCAATTCACTTTAGGGTCATCTTTACTGTAGGTGGTGGATCTGCCTGGTTCTCAATTCAACACCCTGGAAGAAGAAAGGCATTGCTTACTGTTATAGAGTATATCAAACTAAGCACTCTGTGAAATCTATACAAATACTGTATCAATAGAAATACTAGGTTTAACAAGCACAAAGTCAAGAAAACCAATGATGCCAGATACTGAATTTCTATAGCACTGACCTTTGAACACCTTAGCAAGAGTAAACTGCTGGGTGCAGATGCCATGCAGTGCAAGATCTTTTTTTTTTTTTTTTTTGAAACAGGGTCTTGCTCTGTTGCCCAGGCTGGATTGCAGTGGCATGATAATGGCTCACTGCAGCCTTGACCTCCCAGGCTCAAGCGATCCTCCCACCTCTCAGCCTCCCAAGTAGCTGGAACCACAGCCATATGCCACCATATTCAGCTAATTTGTAGAGACAGGGTCTCCTTGTGTTGCCCAGGCTGGTCTTGAACTCCTGGCCTCAAGTGATCCTCCTGCCACGGCCTCCCAAAGTGTTGGGATTACAGGCATGAGCCACTTCACCTGGCCTATCTATGATCTTTGATCTAAAATTCCAGCTTCTGGCTAGGTGCAGTGGCTCACACATGTAATCCTAGCACTTTGGGAGGCCGAGGCAGGTGGATCACTTGAGGCCAGGAGTTCAATACCAGCCTGGCCAACATGGTAAAACCCCGTCTCTACTAAAAATACAACATTAGCTGGACGTGTTGGCACATGCCTGTAATCCCAGCTACTCGGGAGGCTGAGGCAGGAGAATCGTCTGAGCCCAGGAGGTGGAGGTTGCAGTGAGTCAATCTTGCCACTGCACTCAAGCCTGGGTAACAGACTGGAACTCTTGTCTCAAAAAAAAGAATGGAGCACTGATACATGCTACAACATGGATGAACCTCAAAACATTAGGCTAAGTTGAAAGAAATCTCAAAAGACCACATATTGTATGATTCCATTTAGATAAAATGTCGATAAAAGGCTAATCCATAGAGACAAAAAGTAGACTAGTGGGTGTCAGGGGCTGGAGGAAGGATGGGGAGAGACTTTAAATGGGCATAAAGTTCCTTCCTGAAGCGATGAAATGTTCTAAAATTAGATAGTGGTGATGGTTGCACAATTCTTTGTACTGAAGACCATTCAGTTGTGCACTTTAAATGGGAAAATCTTGTGGTATATAAATTATATCTCAATAAAAAGGTGGGTTCTGGCCGGGCACGGTGCCTCATGCCTGTAATTCCATCACTTTGGGAGGCTGAGGTGGGCAGATCACGAGGTCAGGAGTTCGAGACCAGACTGGCCAAAATGGTGAAACCTCCATCTCTGCTAAAAATACAAAAATTAGCCGGGTGTGGTAGCGCAAGCCTGTAGTCCCAGCTACTCGGGAGGCTGAGGCAGAAGAATTGCTTGAACCCAGAAGGTGGAGGTTGCAGTGAGCCAGGATCATGCTACTGCACTCCAGCCTGGGCAACAGAGCAAGACTACATCTCAAAAAAAAAAAAAAAAAAAGGGTTCCAGCCTAGGTAACATGGTGAAACCTCCTAACCTCCTCTCTACAAAAAATACAAAAAATTAGCTGGGCGTGGTGGCACACACCTGTAGACCTAGCTACTAGGGAGGCTGAGGTAGGAGGATCATCTGAGGCCAGGAGCTTCAGGCTGCAGTGAGCTATGATTATGCCACTTTACTCCAGCCTGGGCAACAGAGTAAGACTCTGTCTCAAAAACAAAAACAAACACAAGATGGATTTATTTATTTATTTATTTATTTATTTATTTATTTATTTAAAAAAAAAAAAGAACTAAATCTGGCCAGGCGGGGTGGCTCACACCTGTAATCCCAGCACTTTGGGAGGCCGAGGTGGGTGGATCATGAGGTCAGGAGATTGAGACCATCCCGGCCAACATGGTGAAACCCCGTCTCTACCAAAAATACAAAAAAAATTAGCCGAGTGTGGTGGTGTACGCCTATAGTCCCAGCTACTCAGGATGCTGAGGCAGGAGAATCTCTGGAACCCGGAGGGAGAAGGTTGCAGTGAGCTGAGATCGCACCACTGCACTCCAGCCTGGGCTACAGAGTGGGCTCCGTCTCAAAAAACAAACAAACAAAAATAATAAAATTTTACTAGCTCAAGGATATTTGATAAAGTAAACGAAACTTCTTTCAACTTAACAAAACTTATTAGCCATGTCAGGCATGCTTGCTAATGCCTATGAGCTACGTAAAAGCCTACAAAAAGGTTTCTGGTTGGAGACCTAAGAAAATGTATTTTTTTTGTTGTTTGTTTGTGTTTTTGAGAAGTCGTCTCGTTCTTGTCACCCAGGCTGGAGTACAATGGGGCGATCTCAGCTGACTGCTACCTCCGCCTCGCTGGTTCAAGCAATTCTCTTGCCTCAGCCTCCCGAGTAGCTGGGATTACAGGCACCTGCCACCACGCCCGGCTAATTTTTGTATTTTTAGTAGAGATGAGGTTTCACCATGTTGGCCAGGCTGGTCTTGAACTCCTGACCTCAGGTGATCTCCTGCCTCGGCCTCCCAAAGTGCGGGTTTTATAGGCATGAGCCACTGCACCTGGCCAATATGTATTTGTTTTAAACTATAAAAACTTAACAATTAAAATTAATAAAATGCTAACAAATTATAATGGTATGTCAACCAACTGATAAAACTCATCTCATATAAAATTTGGCTGAGTGTGGTGACTCATGCCTGTAATCCCAGTACTTTGGGAGGCCAAGGCAGGTGGATCACCTGAGGTCAGGAGTTTGAGACCAGCCTGGCCAACATGGTGAAACCCCGTCTCTAATAAAAATACAAAAATTAGCTGGGCGTGGTGGTGGGCAACTGTAATCCCAGCTACTCGGGAGGCTGAGGCAGGAGAATCGCCTGAACCCAGGAGGCAGAGGTTGCAGTGAGCCAAGGTCAAGCCACTGCTCCAGACCCGGGCAACAGAGTGAGACTCCATCTCAAAAAAACAAGCAAACTCATCTCATATAAAACTAATATATATACACATAGATTAATATAGTATGAGATGTGGGCATATTTCATGTTTGACAGGATATCAGGTGAGACTTCCACAAGCCAGGACTATGAAGGTCATAGGCTAGGATAGCTGCCCCACCCAGCCAATTCTTCCTTTCTTTAAAGTGAGATCTTTCTTAAGGCTTCTATAGTCCTTTCTGGCAATCTTGCTCTTGCCTGGGCACCCAAGATCCTCAGATACATCAATAATAGATAGTGTTGAAGTTTTTGCCTCCCAGAAAGCAACATCTTTCTCAGTGTATGCAAATAGCTGGATGACAAAGAAAGTGTGTCATCTTACACCACTCCATAGAGGAGCCCTAGACCCTACCATACAAGGAGCCTGGTTCTAGAAGTAGCACTTACTGTGTTGTATTTATTCACATGTCCCCTATTAAACAACTGTGCTCCCTGAGAACTGGGATATCTCATTTACTCTCTTTTTTTTTTTTTTTTTTTAAGGTTACAGCATGTGGTATTCCCTGTTGGCCTCTCATCCAAGTACTAACCAGGCCTGACCCGGGTTAACTTCTGAGATCAGATGAGATCAGGCGTGTTCACAGTGGTAGGCCCATGGACTCATTTACTTTTGAATCTTAAGGTCTGGCACAACTCCAGACACATGCTCTGTGTTCAAAAAGAGATTTCTTTTTTCTTTTCTTATTTATTTATTTATTTTGAGACAGAGTCTTGCTCTGTCGCCCAGGCTGGAGTGCAGTGGTGCGATCTCAGCTCACTGCAAGCTCCGTCTCCTGGGTTCAAGCGATTCTCCTGCCTCAGCTTCCCAAGTAACTGGGAATACAGACGCCTGCCACCACGCCCAGCTAATTTTTTGTATTTTTAGTAGAGACGAGGTTTCATCATATTGGCCAGGCTGGTCTCGAACTCCTGACCTTGTGATCCGCCCGCCTCGGCCTCCCAAAGTGCTGGGATTACAGGCGTGAGCCACTGCACAAGGCCAAGACGAGATTTCTTAATTGGTAAATTATTTTTATTTATATACTGTTCATGGAGATAAGCACCATGTCCTTGGGTTTTTGTTTTCATGTCATTCTAATTTACAATCCTCCTTGGAAAAGAAAATAAAAGTGTTACAATATCACTATTGGCCAATCATCGTAGTAATAATTGATTTATGCAAGAATCATTAGGCCGGGCACGGTGGCTCACGCCTGTAATCCCAGCACTTTGGGAGGCCAAGGCGGGCGGATCACGAGGTCAGGATATCGAGACCATCCTGGCTAACATGGTGAAACCCTGTCTCTACTAAAAATACAAAAAAATTAGCCGGGCGTGGTGGCGGGCACCTGTGGTCCCAGCTACTCGGGAGGCTGAGGCAGGAGAATGGTGTGAACCCAGGAGGCGGAGCTTGCAGTGAGCGGAGATCCCGCCATTGCACTCCAGCCTGGGCGACAGAACAAGACTCAGTAGCCCCCCACAAAAAAAAAAAAAAAAAGAGAGAGAATCATCAATAAATGCTAAGAGGTTTGAATGAAAGTTGGAGGATTACACAGTTATTGACACAGTCTCAAAGTGCTTCACACATAATACTTATTATATTTTATTTTTTGAGAAGGAGTTTCGCTCTTGTCGCCCGGCTGGAATGCAACGGCACCATCTCTGCTCACTGCAACCTCTGCCTCCTGGGTTCAAATGAGTTTCCCACCTCGGCCTCCTGAGTCACTGGGATTACAGGCACCAGCCACCACGCCATGCTAATTTTTGTATTTTTTAGTAGAGATGGGGTTTCACTATGTTGGCCAAGGTGGTCTCCAACTCCTGACCTCAGGTGATCTGCCCGCCTTGGCCTCCCAAAGTGCTGGAATTACAGGCCTAAGCCACTGTGCCCGGCTACATAATACTTATTTTACAAAGAGAAAATACTAACTTTGCTGTGAAGACAGCTGGTGGACACCATCTCAACCAATGATCAAAATTAACATCCCCAGTAACACACTGACATCATAGGTCTCCTGCTATGATGCACTAAGAATAGCACAGCATCACTTCCGGGGTATTCCTGCCACAAATGCACAAACTGAATCTAGTCCTGAGAAAAGCAACAGATGTTCCCAAACTGAGGGACATTCTGCAGAACCGACTCCTCAAAAATGTCAAGGCTAGGCCGGGCGAGGTTAGCTAATAGTATTGTATGAAGGTGAATTTTCTGATTTTAATCGTCTTACTGTGGTTATGTTCCCACATAATTCCTTGTTTTTAGGAAACACATGCAAAGTGTTTAGAGGCTGGGTGTGGTGGCTCATGCCTATAATCCCAGTGCTTTGGGAAGTCAAGGCAGGAGTTTGAGAGCTCGGGAGCTCGAGACCAGCTAGGGCAATATAGTGAGACTTCTTCTATGCAAAAAAAAACACACAAAAAACAAAACTTACCTGGGTGTGGTTGCACACACCCGTACTCCCAGCTTCTTGGGAGGCTGAGGTGGGAAAATTGTGGGGGCCCAGGAGGTTGAGGCTGCAGTGAGCCATGATCACACCATTATACTCAAGCCTGGGCAACAGAGCAAGACCCTATCTCAAGAAAAAAAAAAGTGTTTGGAGGTAAAGGGGCAGTGTTTCTGCAGCTTACTCTCAAATGTTTCAGAAAAAAATATAGATATAGTGAGAATGATAAAGCAAATGTGATAAAATGTTAACATTTGGGGAATGTGGGTGAAGGTTGTATGGGAACTCCCTCTACTATTCTTGCAAGTTCTTGCAAGAATAGTACAATTATGCAAAAAAGTTACAAAATATTATAATATCTTCTGCCTCTGGACACTAAAGCTATTATGAGATGTTTTCTGTGGCACTAGGGGAATCTGGTAAGCCCGTGAAAGCCGGTCAGAAGGGTTTTGAGTCAGTAGAATTCCCTACCCTTTATCTGTTCTCTCTGCAAGGCCCACCCTGGGCCTAATGACTTTTGCATGGGTCTAGGTAAATTAGATTTATATGCAACATGACTTTATAAATTCCATATGTTAGAATGTATATCTGGCTACATACATTTAAAAAAATAATAGTGCGGAGGCTGGGTGCAGTGACTCATGACTGTAATCCTAGTGCTTTGGGAGGCCAAGGTGGGTGGATCATGAGGTAAGGAGTTTGAGACCAGCTTGGGCAACATGGTGAAACCCCATCTCTACTAAAATTACAAAAAAAATTAGCTGGGCGTGGTGGCAGGTGCCTGTAATCCCAGCTACCTGGGAGGCTGAGGCAGGAGAATCCCTTGAACCCTGGAGACAGAGATTGCAGTGAGCTGAGACCGTGCCACTGCACTCCGGCCTGGGCAAGAGTGAGACTCTGTCTCAAAAAAAAAAAAAAAAAAAAAAAAAGGCTTAAATGTGATAGAAGTTTAGTTTCTCACTCAAATAACAGAATTCAGATGGTCATTCCAGGGCTGGTATGGGGTCCCCTAATCATCAGAGACTCAAGACGCCTCTAATTTTCTTCTTGTTTTTAGAGACAGAGTCTTGCTCTGTTGCCAAGGCTGGAGTGCAGTAGCGTGATCTTGGCTCACTGCAACCTCCACCTCCCAGGCTCAAGTGATCCTCCCACCTTTGCCTCCCCACTAGCTGGGATTACAGGTGTGTGCCAACCCCCCTGGCTAATTTTTGTATTTTGTATTATTATTATTTTTTAGTAGAGATGGGGTTTCACTATGTTGGCCATGCTGGTATTGAACTCCTGGCCTCAAGTGACCTGCCTGCCTCAGCCTTCCAAAGTGCTGGGATTATAGGTGTGAGCCACTGTCCCCGACACCTCTAGTTTTTTTTTTTTGAGAAGGAGTCTTGCTTTTGTTGCCCAGGCTAGAGTGCAATGGTGCGATCTCAGCTCACTGCAGCCTCTGTCTCCCGGGTTCAAGCGATTCTCCTGCCTCAGCCTCCCAAGTAGCTGGGACTACAGGCGCGTACCACCATGCCCAGTTAATTTTTTGTATTTTTAGTAGAGACAGCGTTTCACCACGTTGGCCAGGGTGGTCTCAAACTCCTGACCTCAGGTGATCCACCCACCTTGGCCTCCCAAAGTGCTGGGATTACAGGCGTGAGCCACCACACCCAGCTGACACCTCTAGTTTTAATGCTCTGATGTGCTTAGCACACGGCCTCATGATCCAAGCTGGTTGCTCAAGCTCCAGGCTGCACATCCATATTCTACCCAGCAGGAAATAGGATGGAGCAAAAAAGAGTGCCTATAACCCTTTTTAAAGGACATTTTCTGGACAATGCACACAATAATTTTGATTGCAACTCTTTGTTCCAGGACAATTTCTTTTTCTTTTGTCTTTGTTTTTGAGACAGAGTTTTGCTTCCTTGTTGCCCAGGCTGGAGTGCAATGGTGCGATCTTTGGCTCACTGCAACCTCCACCTCCCAAGTTCAAGCGATTATCCTGCCTCAGCCTCCGGAGTAGCCGGGATTACAGGCATGTGCCACCACGCTAGGCTAATTTTGTATTTTTAGTAGAGATGGCATTTCTCCATGTTGGTCAGGCTGGTCTTGAACTCCTGACCTCAGGTGATCTGCCTGCCTCAGCCTCCCAAAGTGCTAGGATTACTGGTGTGAGCCACTGTGCCCAGCCTGTTCCAGGACAATTTCTAACTGCAAGAGAGGCTGTGAATTGTAGTCTGAGCAGCCATGTTCCATCTGAAAATCAAGGAGGGAGAGAATGGATATTGGGGTGTGTAACAAACCTGTGTTCCAACGCAAGATAAAAGGAATCAGTAAGAAAAATCTTGCAATTATGACTGAAGTGACAGTATTGAGATCACCTGGTGGCATAAAGGAGATTTGGAGGTGGGTGGTCTAGGACATGTGATCAGAGACAGGAGATGTTTTCAAAGAGAAGAAAATGGGAACAACCCTAAAGATGCCCTGGAAGGTAGTAACAAAAGACAGGTGAGAGTTCTGGGTAAGAGCTGTAATTCAGTAAGTGATTAAGACTTTAGAAGAGCTGGGTGAGGTGGTTCATGCCTGTAATCCAGGTACTTTGGGAGGCTGAGGCGGGAGGATCGCCTGAGCCCAGAGTTCAAGAACGTCCTGGGCAACATGGCAAAACCCTGTCTCTACAAAAAATACAAAAATCAACTGGGTGTGGTGGCATGCGCCTAGTCCCAGCTACTCAGGAAGCTGAGGCAGGAGGATTGCTTGAGACTGGGAGGTGGAAGGTGCAGTGAGCTGACATCACACCACTGCACTCCAGCCTGGGCAACAGAGTTAGACCCTGTCTCATTAAAAACAAAAACAAAAACAAAAAAAACTGTAGCTGAATAGGGAGAGAGGGAAGAGAAGGAAAACAGGATAAGTAAGAGACAAGGAAGAAAGTGGCCGGGCGTGGTGGTTCACGCCTGTAGTCCCAGTACTTTGGGAGGCCAAGGTGGGCGGATCACCTGAGGTCAGGAGTTTGAGACCAGCCTGGACAACATGGTGAAACCCCATCTATACTAAAAATACAAAAATTAGCTGGGCATGGTGGTGCACGCCTGTAGTCCCAGCTACTTGGGAGGCTGAGGTGGGAGAATTGCTTGAACCTGGGAGGCGGAGGTTGCAGTGAGCCAAGATCACACTAATGCACTGCAGCCTGGGCGACAGAGGGAGACTGTCACAAAAAACAAACAAACAAACAAACAAACAAACAAAAAACAGGAAGAAAGAAATAGAGGACCCAGTGAGGGATAGAATGGGAATAACAGGAGGCTCAATTTCAGCCCTGCTCTGCCCTGCTTGATGCTGGCTCTTTGGTCCCTGGAACTGTGGCCTCTCACTTTGTAAGAATTCCAGTGAGGGTAGCTTTATTTGGTGTAAAGAACCATCATCCACTTCCTATCATCTTAGTGTTGGAAACTCTCCTGACTTCACATAAAGCCTTTAGATAACAAAATCAGGTGGGCAAACATGGTACAAGGGTCAGAAAAAAAAATTAGGCCCCATTTAAAAGAAATCCAACTGTGTGCAGATACGTATGTTAATAATGACTGATAAATCAACCCATAGCTTTGCTGCTGTCTTCTGGGACACCGAAGCTATTATGGGAAAGTTTATTGTGGCTCTGACGAGGTCTGGTGAATACTGTGAAAGCTGGTCACGAGGCTTTTGAGTCAACAGATTGTTTTTTAAAGGAGTTCTTTAAAAAACTGCCTTACGTGCAATAAACAGCTGGCTCCTTTCTTGTGAGGCGGATCTTTACCTTTGGTCAAGACAATGGAAGGTCTATTGTTTTGGGTCTGATGAGGTTTGGTGAAAACAGTGAAAGCTGCTTACCAGGCTTTTGAGTCAATAGATTTTTTTTTAACTTTTAAGTTCTGGGGTACAAGTGCAGGTTTGTTACTAGGTAAACTTGTGTCATGGGGTTTTGTTGTACATATTATTTTGTCCCCCAAGTTTTAAGCCTAGTAGCCATTAGTTATTTTTCCCAATCCTCTCCTTCCTCCCACCCTCCACCCTCCGAAAGTCCCCAGTGTGTGCTGTTCCCTTCTATGTGTCTGTGTGTTCTCATCATGTAGCTCCCACTTTTAAGTGAGAACATGCGGTACTTGGTTTTCTGTTCCTGTGTTAGTTTGCTAAGGATAATGGCCTCCAGCTCCATCCATGTTCCTGCAAAGGTCATGATCTTGTTCTTTCTCACCGCTGCATCTTTGCTTTTTTAGGCTCCTTAAACAAACTGTCTTGCATCCAATAAATACTTGGCTACCTTCTTGTGAAGAGAATCATAGGGATATTTTTACCTTTCCGTCAAGCCTATGGGGCAAAGAGATGAGTTAGGGTAAAATGTGCACCTGAAGGTTCTGAGGTTTGCTCAAAGCACTTCATTTATAGTTAAAAAAAAAATTACATTAACACATCCTTGAGCTGGAAGGGACCCTTTTCTTTGGGTATAAATATTTCTTTTTCTTTTCTGGTTTTTTTTTTTTTTTTTTTTGAGACAGATCCTTGCTCTGTCGCCCAGGCTGGAGTGCACTGGTGCAATCTTGGCTCACTGCAACCTCTGCTTCCTGGGTTCAAGCTATTCTCATGCCTCAGTCTCCCAAATAGCTGAGATTACAGGTGCACACCACCACACCCAACTACTTTTTGTACTTTTCTTTTTTAGAGACAGAGTTTCGCTCTTGTTTGCCCAGGCTGGAGTGCAATGGTGCGATCTCAGCTCACTGCAACCTCCACCTCCCAGGTTCAACCAATTTTCCTGCCTCAGCCTCCCGAGTAGCTGGGATTACAGGCATGTGCCACCATGCCTGGCTAATTTTGTAGTTTTAGTAGAGATGGAGTTTCTCCATGTTGGTCAGGCTGGTCTTGAACTCCCGACCTCAGGTTATCCACCTACCTTGGCCTCCCAAAGTGCTGGGATTATAGGCATGAGCCACCGCACCTGACTTTTTTTTTTTTTTTTTTTTTTTTTTTTTTTTTGAGATGGGGTCTCACTGTCGCCCAGGCTGGAGTGCAGTGGCGTGATCTCGGCTCACTGAAACCTCCGTCTATCGGGTTCAAGCAATTCTCCTGCCTCAGCCTCCCGAGTAGCTGGGATTACAGGCATCTGTCACCATGCTCAGCTAATTTTGTATTTTTAGTAGAGGTGGGTTTTTGCCATGTTGGCCAGGCTGGTCTCAAACTCCTGACCTCAGGTGATCCACCTGCCTTGGCCTCCCAAAGTGCTGGGATTACAGGCGTGAGCCACCGCGCCTGGCCAATTTTTGTATTTTTAGTACTGGTGGGGTTTCACCATGTTGGCCAGGCTGGTCTCGAACGCCTGACCTCAGGTGATCCACCCGCCTCGGCCTCCCAAAGTGCTGAGATCACAGGTGTGAGCCACTGCACCCGGCCGGGTATAAATATTTCTACAGCAGGCTGGAGAGACTGGAGTTTGCTTTGTTTACAGAAATCTGTTCCACCTCACTCATGAGAATTTCATGATTGTAGACGGTTGCCTGTGCCAACAATTTCAAAATCTAAAACTGGTGGGGTTTTTGCAAGTTTTGCAAAATATTTTGCAAATCCGGATCTGAGTGCCTTTGAGTGGTTTAGGCTGAGAGAGTGGGGGCTGTGGCCTAGGACCCATAGTCACTCCCAGGACATGACTCCCCTGAGTCCTCAAATGGTTCTTTAGAGTGCGGACAGGAGACCAAGATGTTAACCAAAGCAGTGAAAACGCAATGAGAATGTTCTGGCGTCTCTGAGTGTATACCCGACCACTGTGATCAAACAAACTGCTTGGCCTATTAAAAACACACTGAAAGCAACATTTTTGTTTCGCAACATATGAGAGGGCAGGTTGCCAAGTACTTGGTTATAATGTGGAATCCATAAAAATAAATGCTGCCCTTTGTCACTTTCTTCATACTGGATTAACCCTATAGTAACAGAAATGGCACAAAAGAATTACGTACTCAAGTCATTTGCACTTGGAATTCTCCTTCTTTGCAGTGACTTTCTGTAAAAATGACAAACCAGTTTTCAGTTTCAGTTTTCTCTTCTGTATGTAACTGGCCCATAGGTAGAAAGTGTCAGAAACCTTATTGAATTTTTCTACTGAAGAGGTACCTGCTGGAGACAAAAATTAAAGTTAAATTAACTAGAACAGAAAATGCCTAAGGGTTATTTTCTTCCTTTAAAGTGAAATTTGACTTATAATTAAAACACACTTTGTTTTGTAAGAAGAAAGACTTTAGGGGATACTTTTTTTTTTTTCTTCATAGCTGGTTCTTAGCCAAAATCTTCATCACTCGCTCTCCTTTCTTCTCTCCCTCCTCCTTTTTTCTTTTCTTTTCTTTTTTTTTTTTTTGAGACAGAGTCTCGCTCTGTCCCTCAGGATGGAGTGCAGTGGCGCGATCTCGGCTCACTGCAACCTCTGCCTCCTGGGTTCAAGCAATTCTCCTGCTTCAGCCTCCCGAGTAGTTGGGATTACAGGCATGCGCCATCACGCCCGGCTAATTTGTTTTTTTGTATTTTTAGTAGAGATGGGGTTTCACCATAGTGGCCATGCTGGTCCCGAACTCCTGACCTTGTGATCCACCTGCCTCGGCCTCCCGAAGTGCTGGGATTACAGGTGTGCGCCACCATGCCTGGCCTCTCTCTTTCCTTCTTTTTCTCTCTTTCCCTCCCTCCCTCCCTCTACCCCTCCTTCCCTCTACCCCTCCTTCCCTCTCTCTTTTTTTGAGAGGGAGTCTTGCTCTGTCACCCAGGCTGGAGTGCAGTGGTGTGATCTTGGCTCACTGCAACCTTCGCCTCCTGGGTTCAAGCCATTCTCCTGCTTCAGCCTCCCGAGTAGCTGTGACTACAGGCACCCGCCACCACGCTCAGCTAATTTGTGTATTTTTAGTAGAGATGGGGTTTCACCATGTTGGCCAGGCTGGTCTTGAACTCCTGACCTCAGGTGATCGCCTGCCTCGTCCTCCCAAAGTGCTAGGATTGCAGGTGTGAGCCACTGCACCTGACCCTCTTTCTTTCTTTTGTTAGAAGAGTGAAACCCTTACTTATTGAGGTGAAGGAAATTTAGACCATGTAGTCCAGTGTTTCCCTTTGATGGATAAGAAGGGCCAGATTCAGTAGTTAGCCAAAGGTCTCGTGGACCAAGGTCTAAGTCACCTCTAAACCTGGTGCTTTCTGCTTTCCCACAACATCTTAACACCTCTGGAGACCACGCTCACCACGTGAGAATTCATCACCGAACCCTGTGCTTCCTGCTGTCTTTGCTGAATGAAAAGCTCCACTCCGAACCTTCACTGATGTAGAAATAGGAAGTTGGTCTTGTGGAGCCTAAGTGCCATTCGAGTTGCAGTAGGACCTAGGATGAAAATGTCCTCAGACATAATATCCTATTTTAGTACTGATCTCCTGTAGATTAATCACAAATGCCAAACCCTGGCTACCAGGGGGTTTCTGATTTGTTTTGTTTGCTTGTTCGATATTAGTTTCAATTGAAACGTGGGAGCTAAAAGGCAGGAAGAAAATAAGTGGGTATTTAACATTCCCTGTTTTAAAACCGTTGAAGTAGTAAGAGCTAATCTTCTGTAGACTTACTCTATCCAAGCTGAGGTTTGAGAAGCCTGTAATCCCACAGTCCCTGGAAAGGCTATTGTTTTTTTTTTTTTTTTTTTTTTTTTTGGGACGAAGCCTCACTCTGTTGCTCAGGCTGGAGTGCAGTGGCGCGATCTCGGCTCACTGCAACCTCTACCTCCCGGGTTCAAGCAATTCTCCTGCCTCAGCCTCTTGAGTAGCTGGCACTACAGGCACGCACCACCATGCACAGCTAGTTTTTGTATTTTTAATACAGACGGGGTTTCACTGTGTTGGCCAGGATGGTCTTGAACTCCTGACCTCGTGATCCACCCGCCTTGGCCTCCCAAAGTGCTGGGATTACAGGTGTGAACCACCGTGCTCAGCCCATGGAAAGGCTATTTTATTATCCCTGTTTCACAGGCAAAGAAACTGTAGCAGAGAGAGGCCGAGGAGCTTGCCTGGGATCAGACAGGTCAGAGGACACAGTGCAACTCAGGGTTTGTGCTTCCCTTACAGGCAACAGGACTCCAGGAACATCATACGTTAAGTCTCTAGACCTGTCTTCAGAGGGTCGCCTTCTGTCTTCAGGCTGCCTTCTTTCTCTTCTGCGGTTCTGAGGCCTTTGTTTCCTTCCTGCTCTGCTGACTCAGGACCCCAGGAAGCCTGGCTTCCTGTCATGGACTGTTCGAGGAAGGCCTGCGGGGCTGCAGAGTCAGCAGAGGGTGCTCCGTGGGAGAGCCTGCAGAAGCCAGAGAGCCAAGGGCCAAGGCTGAGCCACACAGGCGCCTGTGCGCACACACACATACACACTCATTCACACACACACACACAGTCTCACATACTCTCATGTTCACAAACACAAGCACGTTAGCACATACATGTTCACAAACACACGCAAACACACAGACGTAAACATTCACACACACTCATCCACACACAAATACACGTTCACACATACATGCATTCACACACTCATGCATTCACACACTCATGCACACACACACACACACACACAGAACACATCTGACTAGGAGAGAGAAGGAAAAGTAGGGGATTCAAAAGTGAACTGAGAAGCCAGAAACAGCCACTGGATATGTTTGGGAGGCCAGAAATGCTGCAAACTTCTACTACTTCCTTTTAGAAAGGTTCCTGCTTTCATTAGGAAGGAGAAAAATACAGAGCTGCTTTTTTGTCAAACATATCCACTGAGTTTTAAATTTTTATTTTTTTTTTTTTTTTTGAGACAGAGTCTTGCTCTGTCACCTAGGCTGAAGTGCAGTTGTTTGATCTCAGCTCACTGCAACCTCTGCCTCCTGGGTTGAAGCTATTCTCCTGCCTCAGCCTCCCGAGTAGCTGGGACTACAGGCACGTGCCACCATGCCCAGCTAGTTTTTTGTATTTTTAGTAGAGATGGGTTTCAGTGGTGTTAGTCAGGATGTTCTTGATCTCCTAACCTTGGCCAACCCCGCGTTGGCCTCCCAAAGTGCTGGGGTTACGGGCGTGAACCACCGCGCCCAGCTGAATATTTATTTATTTATTTATTTATTTATTTATTTATTTATTGAGATGGAGTCTCGCTGTCACCCAGGCTGGAGTGCAGTGGTGAGATCTTGGCTCACTGCAACCTCTGCCTCCGGGGTTCAAGCAATTCTCTGCCTCAGCCTCTCGGGTAGCTGGGATTACAGGTGCCCGCCAACACGCCCGGCTAATTTTTGCATTTTTAGTAGAGACAGGGTTTCATCACCTTGGCCAGGCTGGTCTTCAACTCCTGACCTCATGATCCATCTGCCTCGGCCTCCCAAAGTGCTGGGATTACAGGTGTGAGCCACCGTGCCAGTCTGTTTTCTTTTAGCCTTTTCTTATTGTGAAATATAACACACTACAGAAAAGTGTATGAAACAGAGATAGCTCATTGTTTTATCACACAGCAAAGAGCCATGTCACAGAACATCAGGTCAAGACATGTACCATCATGAGCAACTCGAACCCTCACTCATGCTTCCCACCTCCTTTTAGAGGCAACCACAGTCCTAAATTTTATGGCAATTGTCTCCTTGCTAAGCATGTGTCTGTCAATGCTGTAGTTTAATTTTGTTTGCCTTTTGTTTTTTGAGACGGGGTCTTGCTCTGTTGTCCAGGCTGGAGTGCAGTGGTGTGATCTCAGATCATTGCAGCCTCCACCTCCTGGGTTCAAGCAATTCTGCTGTGTCAGCTTCCTGAGTAGCTGGGATTAGCATGGTGTGCGCCACCATGCCTGGCTAATTTTTGTGTAGAGATGGGGTTTTGCCATGTTGGCCACGCTGGGCTTGAACCCCTGGCCTCAAGTGATTGGCCCATCTAGGCCTCCCAAAGTGCTGGGATTACAGGCCTGAGCCACTATTCCTTGCCTGCTGTGGGGTAATTCACAGTATGAATGTAGAAGTTTGCTCATTCCACTGCTGAGGTACATCTGGGTCTGCCCCCAACTTTTGGCTATTATGATTCATACTGCTACAAATACTTATAGAATATTCTAATACAAATACTCATGTCTTTTGAGGTACAAGTTCATATATTTCCTGGAGTGAAATTGCTGGGTTACAGAGGATGTTCAACGTCAGTAGATACTGCCAAACAGTTTTCCAAAGTGGTTATACCAATCCAAACTTGACCCAGCTGTATTTGAGATTCCATTGCCCTACATCCTAACCATCTCTCTGTATTGTCAGCCTTTTTAATTTAAGCCCTTCTGCTGGGTGTGTGCTGCTATCTCATCACGATTTTAATTTGTATTTATTTGCTTATGAGTGAGGTTGAGCAGTTTCAAACACCTTTATCGGTCATTTGGATATCTTTTCTGGTGCATTGCCTGTTAATGGCTTTTATCTGGTTTTCTTTTGGGTTCTTTTTTTTCCTTATTGATATGTAAGAATCCTTTATATATTCTAGATCTCAGTCCTTTGTTATTCATGCTGTAAATATCCTTTTCCACTTGTGACATGACATTGCACTCTTTTAATGTTTTGTAGTGTACACAATTTCTTAATTTTAATGCAGTCAAACTTCTTAATTTTTTTCTTCTTTTTGGTTATTGATTTTTGTGTCCTGTTTAATAATTCTTTCCTACCTTCAGGTCACAAAGATATTTTAATATTATCTCCTAGTTCTGTGGTACCCAATATGGTGGCCATCTGTGACTACTTAAACAGAAATGAATTAAAATGAAACAAAAGCCAGGTGCAGTGGTGCACGCCTGTAATCCCAGCACTTTGGGAGGCCATGGCAGGGGGATGGGGGGGGGGGGGCGGATCACGAGGTCAAGAGATCGAGACCATCCTGGCCAACATGGTGAAACCCCGTCTCTACTAAAAACACAAAAATTAGCTGGGCATGGTGGCGTGTGCTTGTAGTCCCAGCTACTCAGGAGGCTGAGGCAGGAGAATCGCTTGAACCCGGGTGGTGGAGGTCGCAGTGAGCCGAGATTGCGCCACTGCACTCCAGCCTGGCAACAGAGCAAGACTCTGTCTTTAAAAAAAAATTAAAAAATTCCTCAGTTGCCTGTATTAAAGCACAGATCATAGAATACTTTCATTTTCTCTTGATTTGTACTGTTTTAGGAGCTTTATATTTTTTTCTTACATATTTAAATCTACAACCCACCTGGAATTAATTTTTCTTTGTAGAGGTTAGGTGTCTTTCTTCTTTTTTTTGGAGACAAAGTCTCACTCTTTTGCCCCTGGCTGGAGTGCAGGGGAGTGATCTCTGCTTAATGCAACCTCTGCCTCCCGGATTCAAGCAATTCTTGTGCCTCAGCCTCCGCCGTAGCTGGGACCACTGGCATGCACCACCACGCCCAGCTAATTTTTTGTATGTTTAGCAGAGACGGGATTTCACCAAAAATTAGCTGGGCATAGTGGCACACGCCTGTAATCCCAGCTACTTGGGAAGCTGAGGCATGAGAATCACTTGAACCTGGGAGGCGGAGGCTGCAGTGAGCCAAGATCGCACCACTGCATTCCAGCCTGGGCAACACAGTGAAACTGTGTCAAAAAAAAAAAAAAAAAAGCCAGGTACGGTGGCTCACGCCAGTACCAGCACTTTGAGAGGCCGAAGCGGGCGGAACACGACGTCAGGAGATCAAGACCATCCTGGCTAACATGGTGAAACCCCGTCTAGCCGGGCGCGGTGGCTCACGCCTGTAATCCCAGCACTTTGGGAGGCCGAGATGGGCGGATCATGAGGTCAGAAAATCGAGACCATCCTGGCTAACACGGTGAAACCCCATTTCTACTAAAAATACAAAAAATTAGCCGGGCGTGTTGGCGGGCACCTGTAGTCCCAGCTACTTGGGAGGCTGAGGCAGGAGAATGGCGTGAACCCGGGAGGTGGAGCTTGCAGTGAGCTGAGATCGCGCCACTACACTCCAACCTGGGGGACACAGCGAGACTCCTTCTCAAAAAAAAAAAAAAAAAAAAAAAGAGAGAAAAAAAAGAAACCCCATCTCTACTAAAAATACAAAAAATTAGCCAGATGTGTTGGCACGTGCCTGTAGTCCCAGCTACTCGGGAGGCTGAGTCAGGAGAATCGCCTGAACCTGGAAGGCAGAGGTTGCAGGGAGCCAAGATTGTGCCACTGCACCCCAGCCTGGGCGACACAGAGAGATTCCATCTCCATAAAGAAAAAAAAAATAGACTTACCAGGGGCTTAATTTTATTGGGCTTCTCAAAGAATTAACTTTAGCCTATGTTTTCATTTCTTTGTGCTTAATTAGATGTTTTTTCTAATTTCTCAACAAGAGTACTTTGTTTATTCTTATTTCAGTCTCTCTTATTTTCTAATACAGGCATTAAAAATACTTTAATTAAAAACCTTCCATTGAAGTATGGCTTTAGCTGCATCTCATTTTTGAGGATGTAATATTTTTATGAACTATCAGTTTAAAATATTTTCTAATTCCCATTGTGATCTTTTTAAAAAATGTGAGTTATTTACAAGTATATGTATAGTTTCTGAACATGTAGATATTTCCTAATTTTTAAAATTCTTATTTTCCAGCTTAATTGCATCATTGTCTGAGAATGTACTCTGTATGATTTACATCACTTGAAATTTGTTGGAACTTGCTATATTGCCGAGCATTTCATAAACATTCCATGTATACTTGAAAAGAATCTGGGATCTGCAGTTGTGGGTGCACTATTCTATATATGTCCATTTGGTTAAAGTTTGCTTATCCAGTGGTTCAGATCTATTGCTTACTAATTTTGCATATGCTTCTTTTAACAGTTACTGACAGACATAACTTCTGCTATAATCATAGATTTGTCTCCTTGGAATTCGGACTATTTTTTGCTTTATATATTTTGAGCCTATGTTTATCAGCAACACACAAACTTAGAATTGTTATATCTTCTTGGCGAATTGAGAATATTAACGTTACCCAGTGTCTTTCCTTATTTCTAGTAATGCTGCTTGCCCTAAAGCCTACTTTATTTTGATCAGTCTTTGCATGGTTGGTGTTTAAATTTTTTTTTTTTTTTTTTTTGAGACTGAGTCTCAGTATGTCTCCCGGGCTGGAGTACAGTGGCATGATCTCGGCTCACTGCAACCTCTGCCTCCCAGGTTGAAGTGATTCTCCTGCCTCAGCCTCCCAAATAGCTGGGATTACAGGCACGCGCCACCATGACGGCTAATTTTTTTTTGTATTTTTAGTAGAGACGGGGTTTCACCATGTTGGCCAGGCTGGTCTTCAACTCCTGATGTCAGGTGATCCGCCCACCTTGGCCTCCCGAAGTTCTGGGATTACAGGCGTGAGGCACCGCACCCAGCTTCAAATGTTTTAATTTTGTAAACTGCGGTAAAATATGTGTAATAGAAAATTTCCCATCTAAGAGTTTTTAAGTATACAGGTCAGTAAAGTACATTTGACCTATTTTGCCAGCTGATCTCTAGAACTCTTTTCATCTTGCAAAATTAAAACTATGTCCATTAAATAACAACTTCCCATTCTCTCCTACCCCAGCCCCTGGCAATCACCCTTCTACTCTCTGTATAAATTTGACTCCTGTAGGAACCTCATATAAGTGGAGTCATACAGTATGTGTACTTTTCTGTCTGCTTATCTGCTTTATTTTACTAACCTAATGTCCTCAAGGTTCATCCTTGTGGTAGCATGTGTCAGAATTTTCTTCCTTTTTAAGACTTAAGGCCAGATATGATGGCTCACACCTGTAATCCAGCACTTTGGGAGGCAGAGGTGGAAGGAGACCAACCGAGGCAACATAGGGAGACCCCAACTCTACAAAAAAATTAAAAAATTAGCTGGGTATGGTGGCACGTGCCTATAGGTGTGCCACCTACTCAGGACGCTGAGGTGGTAGGATTGCTTGAGCACAGGAGGTTGAGGCTGCAGTGAGCCTTGTTCGTGCCACTGTACTCCAGCCTGGGCGACAGAGTGAGACCCTGTCTCAAAACAAAAATTAGTATTTCACTGTGTGTATGTACCACATTGTATTTATCCATTCGTCCATCAGTGGGCACTTGTGTTGTTTTCATCTTTTGGCTGTGATGAATAATATTATGAATGTGGCTGTACAAATATTTGTTTGAGATCCTGCTTTCAATTCCTTTGGGCATATACCCAGAATTAAAACTGCTGGATTACATGGTGATTCTATGTTTAATTATTATTATTATTATTATTTTGAGATGGAGTCTTGCTTTGTCGCCCAGGCTAGAGTGCAATGGCATGGTCTCAGCTCACTGCAACCTCCACCTCCCAGGTTCAAGTGATTCTTGTGCCTCAGCTTCCTGAATAGCTGAGATTACAGGCATGTGCCACCACACCAGGCTAATTTTTGTTATTTTTAGTAGAAATGAGGTTTTGCCATGTTGGCCTGGCTGGCCTTGAACTCCTGACCTCAAGTGATCCGCCCACCTCAGCCTCCCAAAGCACTGGGATTACAGGCGTGAGCCACTGCACCTGGCCTCTACGTTTAATTTTTGAGGGCCTGCTATACTGTTTTCTTTAGCAGCTGTACCATTTTACATTCCCATTAGCAATGCGCAAGGGTGCATCTTTGACAACACTTGTTATTTTCTGTTCTTTTTTTTTTTTTTTCCTGATAGTGACCATCTTAATGGGTGTGAGGTGGTATTCTTTGCCCATTTTAAAATCAGATTGGGTTTTTTTTTTTTTTTTTTTTGGTCGTTGTTGACTTGTAGGCATTCTTTGTCTATTCTGGATGTTAACCCCTTACCAGATATATGATTTATAAATATTTTCTCCCATTTCTCTCATTCTGTAGGTTGCCTTTCATTTTGTGTGTTTTTTTGGGGACAGTAACTCTCACTTTGTTGCCCAGGCTGGAGTGCAGTGGTGTGATCCTGGCTCACTGTAACCTCCGCCTCCTGGATTCAAGCGATTCTCAGTCTGCTGAGTAGCTGGGATTACAGGTGTGCACCATCACACCCAGCTAATTTTTGTATTTTTAGTAGAGACAGGCTTTCGCCATGTTGACCAGGCTGGTCTTGAACTTCTGGCCTCAAGGGATCCACCCTCCTCAGCCTCCCAAACTGCTGGGATTACAGGCGTGAGTCACCGTAGGTTGCTTTTCACTCTGTTTGCATGGCTTGTCTTTGTCTATATGGTTACTTCTTTTTTTTTTTTTTGAGACGGAGTCTCACTCTGTCACCCAGGCTGGAGTGCAATGGCACAGTCTCGGCTCCCTGCAACCTCCGCCTCCCAGGTTCAAGCAATTCCCCTGCGGTAGCCTTCTGACTAGCTGAGATTACAGGTGTGCGCCACCACGCCCAGCTATTTTTTGTATTTTTAGTAGAGACGGAGTTTCACCATGTTGGCCAGGCTGGTCTTGAACTCCTGACCTCAAGTGATCCACCTGCCTCAGCCTCCCAAAGTGCTGCGATTACAGGAATGAGCCACCGCGCCCAGCCTATACTATTTTAAATTTTTAAAATCCATATCTTTTAGGTTTACTTCTTGATAACAGCATATAATTAGTTTTATAACTAGAGCAATTAGTTTATTAATACATTTAAAGTAATTACTGATATAATTTGTTTAAATCCCACCTACTTTGCGTGTTTTTTTTTTGTTTTTTTTTTTTTTGAAATGGAGTCTCACTCTGTTGCCACGCTGGAGTGCAGTGGTGCGATCTCAGCTCATTGCAACCTCTGCCTCCCGGGTTCAAGCGATTCTCCTGCCTCAGCCTCCCAAGTAGCTGGGATTACAAGCACCCGCCACCACGCCCGGCTAATTTTTGTATTTTTAGTAGAGACGGGGTTTCACCATGTTGGCCAGGATGGTCTCGATCTCTTGACCTTGTGATCCGCTCGCCTCAGCCTCCCTAAGTGTTGGGATTACAGGCGTGAGCCACCCTGCCTGGCCTTTTGTGGTCTTTTTAATCAGTATTTGCCTTCTTTTGAATTTATTATTGTCTTCCCTCTATGTTAGCTTGGAAATTATTCATTCTTTTACAGGTCTAGTGATTAACTTAGATGTTACAACATGCATCTTTGCCTTTGTCAATGTCTAGTCTTAACTGGTACTTTAGTCGTATTGCTGGATAATGTAAATACTTTGGACCTTTTTTTTGTTTGTTTTTTGCTTTTTTGAGACGGAGTCTCAGTCTGTCACCTAGGCTGGAGTGCAGTGACGGGATCTCTGCTCACTGCAAGCTCCGCCTCCCAGGTTAACGCCATTCTCCTGCCTTAGCCTCCCAAGTAGCTGCGAGTATAGGCGCCCGCCACCATACCCAGCTGATATTTTGTATTTTTAGTAGAGATGGGGTTTCACTGTGTTAGCCAGGATGGTCTTGATCTCCTGACCTTGTGATCCGTCCTCCTCAGCCTCCCAAAGTGCTGGGATTACAGGCATGAGCCACCGCGCCCGGCCTACTTTGGACCATTTTAACTCCACTAACTGCAACCACCGCCCTTCTCAGATTTATACTCACTGTTATCAAATATTTCAATTCTAGATGTACTTTACATTCCTCAAGGCATTATAATTTTTTTTTTTTTGAGACAGTCTCACTCTGTCACCCAGACTGGAGTGCAGTGGCGCTATCTCAGCTCACTGCAACCTCCGCCCCTCAGGTTCAAGCGATTCTTGATTCTCCTGCCTCAGCCTCCCGAGTAGCTGGGATCAGATGACAGGCATGAGCCACCATGCACAGCTAAATTTTGTATTTTTTGTAGAGATAGGGTTTGCCATGTTGGCCAGGATGGTCCCGAACTCCTGGTCTCAAGTGATCGAACTCCTGGCCTCGGCCTCTCAAAGTGCTGAGATTACAGGCGTGAGCCACCGTGGGCAGTCCATTATAATTATTTCTCTTTTTTTTTTTGAGATGAAGTCTCACTCTTGTCACCCAGGCTAGAGTGCAGTGGCACGATCTCAACTCACTGCAACCTCTGCCTCCCAGGTTCTAGCGTTTCTCCTGCCCTGGCCTCTGGAGTAGCTGGGATTACAGGCGCCCACCACCACGCCCAGCTAATTTTTGTACTAAGGCAAATGACCAGGGAGTGTAGTTGTAGAAGAGAAACCCAAGGACTGAGACTTGGGACTCTCCAAGCAGAAAATGAAGGCACTGCGGCCGGGCACAGTGGCTCACACCTGTAATCCCAGCACTTTGAGAAGCCGAGGCGGGTGGGTCACTTCAGGCTAGGAGTTCGAGACCAGCCTAGTTAACATGGTGAAACCCTGTCTCTACTAAAAATACAAAAATTACCTGGGCGTGGTGGTGTGTGCCTGTGGTGCCAGCATTCGGGAGGCTGAGGCAGGAGAATCGCTTGAACCCAGGAGGTGGAGGTTGCAGTGAGCCAAGATCGCGCCACTGCACTCCGGCCTGGGTGACAGAGAAAGACACTGTTTCAAAAAAAAAAAAAAAAAAGAAAAGAAAAGAAGCCACGGCCAGTGGGAGCAGAGGAGAAAGAAAAAATGTGGGAAGGAAGAGGGATGTGATGTCGGGGGGATCAGTTAGTTAGGGCTGTGTGTGTTCATGAGATCAGAATCAGAATTGAGCTAAATCAGTGGTGGCCAAGGGACCTGTTTTCCCTCAACACTGTTCCTTTCTGCCTGCCTCTAGCTGTGTGTGGTCAGTGGTCTGAAGAGATGCGAGGCAGGGCCCTCAGCATCTCACTTCACACTTTAGCACTCCTTTTCATCAACACGCCCATCCCTGAGAGAAGTTTGGTCATGTACTCGACTAATACTTGGTGAGCGTCTATGTATGTGCCAGGCCCTGGTCTAGTCACTGAGGCAAATAAGCCAGACAGAGCCTGTGCCCAGAGGGAGCATATGATCAAATGGGGGCGGGGCAGATAAGAAACAACTAACAACAGGCAAACAAGAGAACTTTTTTTTTGAGATGGAATTCTCACTCTGTCACCCAGGCTGGAGGGCAGTGGCACGATCTTGGCTCACTGCAACCTTGGCCCCCCAGGTTCAAGCAATTCTCCTGCCTCAGCCTCCCGAGTAGCTGGGATTACAGGCGCGCTGTAATTTTTGTACCTTTAGTAGAGACAGGGTTTCACCATCTTGGCCAGGCTGGTCTTGAACTCCTGACCTTGTGATCCACCCACCTTGGCCTCCCAAAGTGCTGGGATTACAGGCATGAGCCACAGCGTCCGACCTAAACAAGAGAACTTCTAACACAGGTCAAGTGTTCAGAGTGACTTGGTCTGGGTAGGGGGATCACAAAAGTCCTCTTTGAGGGGACCTAAATATGATGAAAAGATGATGGGTCGGGCGTGGTGGCTCACGCCTGTAATCCCAGCACTTTGGGAGGCCAAGGCGCATGGATCACGAGGTCAGTAGTTCAAGATCACCCTGGCCAAGATGGTGAAACCCTGTCTCTACTAAAAATACAAAAATGAGCCGGGCGCGGTGGCGGACGCCTGTAATCCCAGCTACTCAGGAGGTTGAGGCAGAGAACAGCTTGAACCTAGAAGGCGGAGGTTGCAGTGAATTGAGATCGCGCTACTGCACTCTAGCCTGGTCGACAGAACAAGACTCTGTCAAAGAAAAGATAATCAGAAGATCTGGGGGAATAGGGTTCTCACTGGAAGGAAGCTTGGGGCGCTGCAGGGAAAGAGAGAAGGCCAGCCTGGACCACTGCTGGTGAGGGAAGGTGGGACCACCTCACACAGGAGCTTGTAGGCCAGGGTTGGGAATCTGGGTTTTATTCCAAGGTTTCAGCAGAGAAGTCTCGATCTGATTTACATTCATAAAATATCACAGGGTTGGTCAGGTGGAGGATGCATTGTAGGTATCCAGGAGGGGCAGGGAGAAGAGTCGGCAGGCCGTCCCAGCTCAGGCAACAGGCGGTGTATTTGACAAGGTTGGGCTTGGATGCACACACTGGAGGCAGTGAATGGGTTGGGCAGTCACACAAACTGAACACTTATTTGGGTCAATGCCTATACAAGGCAAAGAAAGGCTGCTTATCAAAGAAACGTGTTTGGGAGACACAGTCCTTGCCCTCAACTTATTTCCTGTTTACTTATATTAGGTGGGTGCAAAAGTCACTGCGGCTTTTGTCATTACTTTTGCATAAACTCAGACCACATACCTAAAGGTGCCATGCAAACAAAACCACCATTAAGCCAGTGCATACCAGTGGCTAAATAAGTGCAAAAGAGGAATTGGAAAAGAAGCACCTGGGGTACCCTGGAAAGAGACATTGGAGCCTTCTTCAGACGGGCCAAGCATTCCCTTTTCCAGCAGGAGGGGCGCTGCCTCCCCCCAGCCTAGCCCATGCCCTTGGTGGCTACCTTGCTGGGCCGTCTAAGAACCTGGCTCCAGGCTCCAGTTTCTCCACTTATTCCGAGGTGAGAAGCAGGTGACTCAGGGGAGGTTGCTCCCCAGCACGCTGCGTTCTTGGCTGGGAATGACTCACTACCTCGTTCCCTCCTTCACGAGTGACCCGGGGCCAATCCCTTAATGTGTCTACACCTTCTCATCAGACCGGGACAATTGCCTGGTGGAGTTTTTGGCTCCCCAGGGGCAGGGCTCCTGTCTGCCACCGTTCACGTTCCTAGTGAGGCTGTTGATAGGGTCTGGAGGAGCGTAAAATCCTCGGGTAGATCCAAGGCCCCAGGCCCTCCCCGTGCACCGAAAGAGGGTTTTAATGCCAGTGCTTCTGCGGTCTTCTAAAGGTAGAGCCGTTCAACAGCATTTTGTACCGAATACAATTCGCAAGCATTCCTGTCTTGGAGAATTTTCTTTTGGGTATCTCCTTGTTGTAAAAACTTGCTTGGAAAAAAAAAAAAGCAACTGGAGCAGGCCTCCAAAGACAGCAAAGCAGGGACCAGAGGCTCTGCGGAGAGCGCGGGAGGAGGCTGACCAAGGGGCCTCCGTTGCTGGGGGGACCTGGGCGGCTGGACGCCGGGGTCAGTACGCTGCTCGCCCCGCGCAGCCGAAAGCGGGCGTGGTGTCGCGGGGAGAGGATGCCCGGCAGCAGTGTGGCCGGCGGGCTGGGGGTACTCGCCCGGGTCAGAGACCTCAGCCCGCGCCAAGGCGCCCCACACTTTCCAGCGCAGCGGGTCGCAGCCCGGAGACGCCGGGCGTCCCCACCTCCAGCCTCCCGAGCTGCAGCGGCGCCCGCGGTTCTCCCCCGACCCGCCAGGTGGACCCGGACTGGCGCACCCTGCTTTCCGCCCGGGACCCTCCCCCGAGCCCTGGCTGCCTCCGCGCCCCGCCCCGCCCGGAGCCCGCAGCCGGCGCCCCGGATTACCTGCCCCGGAGTCACAGTCCGCAGCCCGGACGCTCCCAGGGTGGCTCCGCGGAGCCTGGAGCCACATTCCTAGGGGAGGGGTCCCCACCTAGAGGGTCGCGGATCACGTTACCCGCCCGGAGGAGGAGACCGCGGGACACAGAGTAAACAAGGGGTAAAAAGTTGCATTTGGCTCAATTTTTTTTTTTAAATCGTGCTTCGACGCTGGTGGACTCGGGGACACGGCGTCCTCCCAGTTCCCGGAGCCCAACGGCCCCGGGGCGGTTTCCCAGGGCAGAGGCACCTCTCCGGGCGGCGGGTGCGGAGCTGGTCTGCGCGGCCTCTGAAGGCGACCCCGGCCGCTCGCGGGCTTCCTGGAAGCGCGGCCGCAGGAGCAGAAACGCTCACATCCACGCGCACAAATAAATCCGCGAGCAGCTCCGCGCCGCGCCGCGGGCGGCAAGGAAACCTCGGGTTGATTCAATGCAGACGCGGGGCGTCTGCCCGGGCAGGAACGCGGCGAGGCGAGAGGACCGGGCGTGGGGGCAGGGAGGCCGGGGCAGGAGAAAGGGAGAAAACCCCAAAGCCACGTTTTAAAAATGCGGGTGAATTTTCAATGCCGTCAGCCCGGGGGAGGGGAAGGGGCCAGCTGCGGGCGCCGGGGTCGGCAGTCCACCCGGGGCAACTTTCCGGGCGGGAGGCGCGGCCGGAGGGGGCGGCGCCGGCGGCGGGAGGCGGGAGTCGGGGGCCGGGGGGAGTCACTTTAAAGGCTCTTTCTTACCCATAATGCTTTGTGGGGACGTTGACAAGTGGATCCAAGATGGCGTAGAAAGTAATGACAGGTAAGTCCTGACTTCCCCCTTCTCTGCTCCTGGGGCCGCTCCGCGAGCTCCCGGAGCTCTCCGGGGAGGGGACCCGACTCCCCTCCGGTGTCCCGGACCCCGGGCGCGGCGGCCCCGGGGCAGGCTGGGGGCCTGGGCGGCCCGCGGCTGGGCCTGGGAAGCGCGGCTCTTCGAGGCGAGGCCCGGACGCTGGGGCTGTTTACAGCTTCTTCCCCTACTTAGTCCCCTTCCCCTCCGCTGGGGCCCGCAGCGTCCTGGGCCCTGGCAGGAGAGGGGGCCTTGCACGCCTGGCCCGGGAGCCTGCGGGAGGTTTCTCCGGCCCAGAGCACTCTGGGAGGGGGACTCGAGCCTCCCGGCACGTTCCCCTCCTCCGGGTCGCGGCTGGGGGTGGGGAGCGTGCGGGCCTCCCACGCCCCGCTCGATGCCCCCCCTCAGGCCTCGGACTTCCACCGGGTGGGGTGGGGGCTGGAGCGGGGGCGTGGGGAAAAGTGGGTCAGGCGTGCGCCCCCTCCCTCCCCCGCGGAGGGCTCTCGGCCCGAGATTCACTTTCTTCCCCCCTTTCCCCGCCCCCTCCTCGGAAATGCTCTTTGGCCCACAAGCACATCAACAAAAATAAAGATAGGCTCTCTTTTCCTGGAGATTCCTTGAGAGTACTCCAGTACCCTTTTCAAGGGCTCACAGACTGCAGTCTTACCTAGGGAACTTCGATTCCTCTCCCCTAAATTATTGGAGCCTTCTGCACCCTCGCCTTTGCTGAGAAATCTTCAGACAGGGCTGGAAGCCAGGGTCCTCTGATTGTTCTTGGATCGGGATCCTCAGGTTTTGTTTGCAGTTCAAAAATTGTCATTCCTTCTCCCTCACAACTTAACACTTCTCAGGCAAATCATTAATATAATAAAAAGTGTAACTTCAGAGACAGTGGATTCCTGGAGCGGGGGAAGGAGGGAGGAGTTGTCTGTCTTGCCTAGTTTGTTCTTAATTTTGCTCTCTCTTAAACTCATATTAATGAAATTTCCTCTCCTTCATTTCTTTATGTTTTTGAAAGTAAGGTCAGTCTGTGTTGAAAAAGATGATTTTATTATGTTTTTGAGTTTTAAGAGCATTGTATAATCTATTCTTTTACCTTACTGAAAGGAAATGTTTTAAGGTCAAAAACCAGACTCATTTGCAAAGCTGCACACTGTACCATTTTTGTAACTTTTTCCATTTTAAATGTAGATGCCCTTTCACTTCAGGCTGATAAAATGTTTGCTACTGATAATGTCTGTTACTGGTGTTGTATGGAAACATCTTTTCTATTTGCCTCAGGATTTGGATGAAGTAATGGATCACTAATGAACTACAGTGCTGGTGAGATGTGTAAGGTGAGACTGCAGTTAAAAATGATTTCCTTTTTTTCCTTCTTTATTTTAATCAACTGGTAAGAGTAAGGCTGAAACTGAGTAATTTGATGGGGCCATCTTTGTTTTCCAAATGTATCACTCAGTCAGTGGGTCTATGGGCAGGGCTAGATTTAGAAAGGAAAAATATGTTGAATGTACCAATCTTTTCAGTTGCTCCAACATACTCAAACATAGTGGTACTTAACTAAGAGCCAAATGTTACTTGCAGCTATTCTTGATCAGTATCTTCACCAGGGATAATTATAGTTTGCCTATTCAAATTTTCTTGCGTAACTTTACTTGGATGTCTTAATTTTATTTGTGTTTTGGTGTCTATCACCTACTGTACGTTTAGTCCCGGTGATTATGTATATGGATTTTGTGTGTACCTGGTTTGTGGGACTCGTAAAGTATACCCTTTCCGTTAGAAAGAATTAGGCAGGTCAATCACTCCTGCTTTTATTTTCTGAAAAATGGAGTAGTACTTTTCTCTTTAATAATTATTTTGAAATAAAGATGATAGTGTTGAGATCTGTTTAGCTTATTAGGAAATAGACTAGTTTGTCATTATGTCCTGATCACACACGGTGTGTGAATTTATTCAAAGTGCTTTATTTAATCTAATTTGTAATGCTTTGGATTTAAAGGATATTATTGATACAGTGTTAGTGAATAGTTTTCTGTGCTATAGAGAGGAAGAGAAGTTTGCTACTTTTACATTTTTCACGAGTTTTCTCAACTTAAAATGTTTTACTAAGTTTTTTTTTAGAAAAATAATAAGTAATTGTGGTCGATTGGTTACTGTAGTTTTTTTTTTGTTGTTTCTCCACACATCTGGGCCTCTGGATTTTGAAATCCTCTCACAAATTTTTCGTGTCTATCACAACATCTGTTTAAGAAGAATAAGCTATCCTTTTTTTTTTTTCTAGATTGAGGCATGTAATTGACATTTTGCCTTAAAAAAATAAAAACTTAGGAAAGGAAGGTGGACATAAACCAAGATTCTTTTGTAAGTGCACATACTGCATTTTCTTGTGTTTGAAACTCAGCAGTGCTTATGTTTATTTCATATAATTTTTATTTTTGGCAGAGCAAATATGGATTTTTAAATTTATTTTTATTTTGCAGATGGAGGCATATTCCTGCCTTAGACCTCCCAATTTGAACTTTATATATGTGTGTATATATACATATATGTGTGTATATATACATATATGTGTGTATATATACATATATGTGTGTATATATACATATATGTGTGTATAGATATGTGTGTATATATGTATATATGTGTATATATGTGTGTATCTATGTATATAGATAGATAGATTTTTTTTCTTTTTTTTTTTTTTTGAGACAGAGTTTCACTCTTGTTGCCCAGGCTGGAGTGCAATGACGCGATCTCAGCTCACTGCAACCTCTACCTTCCAGGTTCAAGCAATTCTCCTGCCTCAGCTTCCCGAGTAGGGATTACAGGCTTACGCCACCACACCCGGCTAATTTTGTATTTTTAGTAGAGAGAGGGTTTCACCATGTTGGTCAGGCTGGTCTCGAGCTCCTGACCTCAGGTGATCTGCCCGCCTTGGCCTCCCAAAGTGCTGGGATTACAAGCGTGAGCCACCATGCCTGGCCTTATCTTTTTTCTTGAAGCCTACAGATAATTTTGTGGAAAGGAGCCAGTGGTCTGCTTTTTGACTGTGGAGATGTTTGTTTGTAGTCTAAAATGGAATACTTAGAAGTAGGTAATCTTGTGTGGCTAGTGTTGTTTGACCTGAATTGTGTCAAGACATTTTCCACAGTTCTCACACATGTAGACTCTGTGAAGTGTTAGTATTCATTTCAAAGCGAAGTTAGTGGTTGGCCACTGAACAACTTGTTACACAAAGTATTCTAAAATGGGAAATGCCATAGTATTGAAGGTTGTGGTGAGGTAGAAGTCTGTGTCTCTGAGCTGAATAAAGACAGAGCTTTTTTAGTCTGTCCTTTTGGCTGGGAAGCTAGGACACTATTTTTAGGTAAGGCTGTAGTTTTTGGGAGTAAGTACCTTTCTATTAGCTGGTAAACTTGATTATTGCATTTGTTAACAAGAAGTTTTATTTTCTAATGCCATAGATATTAAAATGCATTGTCTTAAAGTTGGTATATATTTATAGACTGTCCAGTTTTCACTGGAAGAGGAGTGATGCCAAAACAACAGGAAAAGTCATTTTTACTTGCAAAGGGCCTCGTGTAATTAAAAAATCTACAGCATATTCATGAAAGGCTAAGAATAGTGCAGAGGGACCTACAAGTAAGTAGCCCAGATCTTACAGATGCATGTGTTCTCTATTTAAGCAGTAGGCTTGGCATTAATATTGAATGTAGATTAGTCTATAATTGTCTGTCAGAGACCCTAAGATCCAAATACAGGCCCCATACAAGAAATAAGGACCTTTGCCTGTTGTTTCAAATGTATAGAAGATTTCGGGCCAGGTGTATCAACAACAGTTATCCAAGAGATGGGGAGGAACTACTTAAAAAATTATAAGCAAATTTTTAGGTTTAATTTTCATAAACTTAGGTGAATATACATGCAGATGTAATTGGATTTCTAAGTAATGTTTTGAAATGTTTTCTAGAAGAAAAGTGATACAAGTGGAGAGTATGCCATACTATCTTACCATTCATTTCAGTTGATGAGTGCAGTCAGGGTTACTTCTGTAGCATTGGCTAGAAGCAGCATATAACATGATGGTTTATTGCTTTGAGGGTGGCTGGGATAATAGTTTTCAGTAATCTTGAATCTGTTAGAAGTGAATATTCCTCTTTTTAAAAGACCACTGTAGATGTAACAGGAAGAATTTTATTTATATATACATGTAATAACTATTTTGGTCAACTTTTAATTATTCAAAAGAAATGGAAAGTTTTTCAACTAATACCAACAGTCATACCAACTTGTTTACTTTTGTGAATTGTACTGGGTCAGTTTCTCCAAGTAAGAGCAGGAAGTTGTTTGGTAAAGCAGAGTGTATACATATATCTTGTCTTTGAACAAAAAAGAACTTGATTCATCGTCAGGTTCTTCAAAGAATGCATGGCATCTTTGTTGACTGAACTATTCTGAAGTGTGAATGTTTGTGATTTTTGTCATTTCTGTGCTATATTTTAGGTGTTCTTGTCACATCTGAATTTGCCTTTTTGCTTCCTTCTGCAGAAATTATCTTTGTTGTGATGAAAATGTCCTATAATGCGAGCTTCCTGTCAGTAGGCAACGTGTTTAACTAATACAGTTTTAAAAAATTATTTACTTTTATGCAAAACTCCTGTATGCTTATGGTAAACAAATTTGAGCAGTACTTATGTAAAGTAAAAAAGGTTAAAAAAAAGAAAAGCCTCTGTTCTTCTTCTGTCTCTAGTCCTGCTCCCTTGAGCTGAATCTGGCAAACAGCTGGGTGTCATTTAGCTTTTGGAAGACCTCTCTATTCCTGAGATATTCTGGCAGTGTGGAAGTAGAGTGAGAAGTCAGAAAAGGCATGGTCATTGAACCAGAGTTTGGATGTTGTGCAGGGACTATTCTGTTCTTATTTTCTGTGATAAGTAATAATGATAAACTACCATCAGCTTAAGATAACTGTAATTTGAATTGTGAAACATGAAAACAGTTAGTTCTTTAGTCAGGTTGGTAAAGTTTTGATTTGTTGATCTTTTAAAAGAAATATGCATGAATTGAATTCATGTAATGTTAGGGCTGGTGGGGGTTAATGGTAGTAATGAATTACCATCTGTTGAATTTTAGGATAAGCTGCACAGTATATTTACTATAGGCTTTTTATAACTCATCATCTCCTTTAATTCTCATAGCAACTCACGAGATAGTTATTTCCATTTTACAAAGGAAGAAATTCAGGCTTAAGTGTGACTCAACTAATGTAACGTCACGAGACCAGTAAAGTAGTGGAGCTGGTGTTCTTCCTGGAAAGCCTGTGCTCTTCTTTCTCTAGCTAGTCTAAGTGACTTATTTTCCAGATAAGGAAATATAGGCCTGAAGAAATTAAATGAGTTGCTCAAGGTCACACAGCTCAGTAGTAGCAACATTAAACCAAGCTTGTTTTTAATCTTTGGAGGCTTATCTCAAGACTCTTGGTCTAGTGCTGGTCATGCTACATTTTATTGAACTAGTGTGGACCAAAAGACCATATGCTGGGAATATTGGATACAAATGCTTTGGAACTGATATCTTGGTGAATGGTGTTTTCTACTATGTATTAAAAAAACTTTCTTCTTTGTCTTTCAGAAATTATAAAGAGCTCTGATGGGCTATTTGGGTGATACCCAGTGCAGTGAACTGCAGGTGAGTAAGGTTTAGAACTTTATTTAGAAAACAAGAATTTTATAATGCCTGAAAGAATAAGGTGGGACAAGGGTGAAGTGATACAGGGCTGTAGTGAAACAGTGGTAACCTGAAGGCACAGATCCTAACGGAATCGGTTACTTCTGGAACAGACTGAATGATGAACAAGCTCCGAAGAGACTGCCTGCTGCCTTGTCAGGTTAGTGTGTGAAATGAGTGAGGGTAGGTTAATCTTCCACTTCTGTTCAGATGAGTAACTGCATAGGGGCTCAGCTTATCTGCGTGCTATTGGAACTTGAGAGGTCCTTCAGTTTTTGTGTCAGCATTCTTGAGTGGCGATTACTTTGTGCTCCAGTGAACTTGGTTAAGTATTGAATTGTTTTTCCTGTTATCTGCTATTTACATAGTGTCATGAATGACTGTATATATCTGCAGTTTTGAGGATCTAAATATGGAGAACATATCAATAGAAACAAAAGGTTGAACTTTTTTTCCTAGTGGTTGTACTACCTCTATTGATACTATTAGTCTTTCAGATTATTTACTTTTTGCTGAAATACCTGTTAATTAAAAACAGTTTAGTCTTGAGTATTTATTATTTCACAGTAATTAATCTTCTTGGTCAGCTATGGTGTCTTCGTCTTTCATTATTACACTTAGAAAATGGTAATACTACAGAAATAAATTAGAAGGCTTTTAATACTTTCCTTATGAGGCATCAGAGTTAAAATTATTATTATTTTTTTGAGACGGAGTTTCGCTTTTGTCACCTAGGCTGGAGTGCAATGAATGGCACGATCTCGGCTCACTGCAACCTCCGCCTCCTGGGTTCAAGCAATTCTCCTGCCTCAGCCTCCTGAGTAGCTGGGATTACAGGCGCCCGCCACCATGCCCAGCTACTTTTTGTATTTTTAGTAGAGCCAGGGCTTTACCATGTTGGCCAGGCTGGCCTCAAACCCCTGACCTCAGGTGATCCACTCGCTTCGGCCTCCCAAAGTGTCAGGATTACAGGCGTGAGCCACCGCACCCGACCTAAAATTATTTTTAAATTAATTTTCTTCCTTTTTTTTTTTTTTTTTTTTTGAGAGACAGAGTCTTGGCAGTGTCGCCCAGGCTGGAGTGCAGTGGTGCAATCTCAGCTCACTGCAACCTCTGCCTCCCAGGTTCAAGCGATTCTCCTTACCTTAGCCTCCCAAGTAGCTGGAATTATAGGTGCCTGCCACCATGCCTGGCTAATTTTTTTGTATTTTTAGTAAAGACGGGGTTTCATTATGTTGGCCAGGCTGGTCTCAAACTCCTGACCTCATGATCCACCTGCCTTGGCCTCCCAAAGTGCTGGAATTACAGGTGTGAGCCACCATGCCTGGCCATGAATTTTCAGTACTTGTCTTTTGTGAGATATCTTCATCCGCAAAAAGCTTCAGGTCTTTTTTTTTTTTTTTTTGAGATGGAGTCTTGCTTTTGTTGCCCAGGCTGGAGTGCAATGGGGCGATCTCAGCTCACTGTAACCTCTGCCTCTTGGGTTCAAGTGATTCTCCTGCCTCAGCCTCCCAAGTAGCTGGGACTATAGGTGTGCGCTACCACGCCTGACTAATTTTGTATTTTTACTGGAGATGGGGGTTCACCATGTTGGTCAGGCTGGTCTCGAACTCCTGACCTCAAGTGATCCACCCGCCTTGGCCTCCCAAAGAGCTGGGATTACAGGTGTGAGCCACTGTGCCGGGCTAGCTTCAGCTCTTAATAAAATGACTTTCCATCCTCCCTTTTGCACTCTGGCTAAGACTTAAAAGAATATCTCCAGCTATTTTTTTACTCATCTGGTTTAAGCTGGACTTTTTAGCTTTGTGTTTTTTGTAGTTAAAAAAAAAATCTATCTACATTTTGCTTTTAATTGTTCTCAGGTCTCCTGGCCCCTGGTTCTTTGATTGTCTGAGTCCACACTGCCTTTTAACTGATACAGTCCACTGCTAAGTCAGCAAGTTAGCCTTGAGAATCCCAGAGACTTTAATGTGGCAATATTGTATATTTTTAGGGTTTACAGTGAAACTTGGGCTGACTACTTGCTGATTGGTTAAAGTAATAAATAAGTAAATTGTTAAAGTAATAAATGTTAAACTAATAAATAAATCAAAAAAATTGTTTTTTTTCGAGACAGAGTCTCACTCTGTCGCCCAGGCTGGAGTACACTGGTGGGATCTCGGCTCACTGCAACCTCTGCCTCCTGGGTTCAAGCGATTCTCTTGCCTCAGCCTCCCTAGTAGCTTGGGACTTTGCCATGTTGGTCAGACTGGTCTCGAATTCCTGACCTCAGGTGATCCACCCGCCTTGGCCTCCCAAAGTGCTGGGATTACAGGCGTGAACCACTACGCCCGGCCAGGTTCTTTGTTTCTTGAGTGTTCGCTTGTTTTGCATGATTTGTCTCCCACGGGTTCATAGGGATGATCAGAGGACCAATTGAGGCAGTTGGCTGGTCCTTGAAAAACTGGGGTTTGGGTTAGTATAGGTCATCATGACCAAGGAGAGTATGAAAACACTCAGTCAAGGCCAAAGTGAGCAGTAGAAGGGAGGGGTGGTCCTTTTGAGACTTTATCAAGCTTGTGTCCTGGAACCCCTTCATTTCCTTGGTAGGGTAGAACTTTATTATTTAATGTTGAATAAATTGATAATAAATAAATTGTTAAATGTTGGGTTATTATCCTAAGACAATTGATTTTCTTTTTGGCATTTCATTTCAAAATATACATTTTAAAATTCATTTTAAATTATGATACATTATAGTTTGATTTTTAAAAACTTACTATATCATGAAACATTTACATCTTATAGATTTTATAATTTAACTTTATATATTGAAAGGCTGCAAAAATAATTTCATCAAGTCATGCTACAATTTACCTAAGTCTTTTTATGTGAAGTATTTATACTGCTGTCTGGGTGGTTTTCAGTTAACACTTTAATCTACATCATTGTAGATACTGTTGCATTTTTTCTAATGATATCTTAAGGATAAATTTTGGAGTGTGTTATTATGTTAAGGGGTATCAGTGTTTTTATGGCTCCTCACATATATTGTCCTACTGTTTTCAAGGGTGTTATACCAGTTTGTGCTCCTAACAGATATATGGATATACCTGTTTTACCATAAGTAGTAGAGAAAACCATTTTTCTTCAGAAGTTTTTGTGAATTTAATAGTGTAAAATGGCACTTTCATTTCTTTGTTATATAATGTTGAATTTAACTATTTGAGCCTCTTTATGGTGAACTGTTTGTTGATATCAGTTGCTATATTATGCAATTAACTATTGTAGGCTTTGAATGGTAAGGCTGGTATAATATGGTCAGTAAAAATTGTTCACAAGAGTGTGTGGTCGAGGCTGGGTGCAGTGGCTCACGCCTGTAATCCCAGCACTTTGGGAGGCCAAGGCGGGCGGATCAGGAGGTCAGGAGATCGAGACCATCCTGGCTAACACGATGAAACCCCGTCTCTTCTAAAAATACAAAAAATTAGCCGGGCGTGGTGGCAGGTGCCTGTAGTCCCAGCTACTCGGGAGTCTGAGGCAGGAGAATGGTGTGAACCCGGGAGGTGGAGCTTGCAGTGAGCCGAGATAGAGATAGCACCACTGCGTACAGCCTGGGCAAAAGAGGGAGACTCCGTCTCAAAAAAAAAAAAAAAAAAAAAAAAGAGTGTGTGGTCAAAATGGTAAATGATCTTGGGAAGAGTGTTTGAAGGGGAACAGATGGATTATTCCAGGATTCAGTTCAGCAAGTATTTATTGGGCATCTGCTGTGAGCCCCTTTGTATCACTGCTCCTCTGAGTGGTTCTCAAGTTCTTGTGATGGCATGTGCTGGGTTGAAGCAGGACACTGCTTGAGGCTTGACCATTTGTGGGTTCTGGCTTCTGTTGTCTCTCTCTTTTTTTTTTTTTTGTGAGGGAGTCTCGCTCTGTTGCCCAGGCTGGAGTACAGTGACACGATCTCGACTCACTGCAGCCTCCGCCTCCCTGGTTCAAGTGATTTTCCTGCCTCAGCCTCCTGAGTATCTGGGATTACAGGTGCGCACTACCATGCCCTGCTAATTTTTGTATTTTTAGTAGAGACGGGGTTTCACCATGTTGTTCAGGCTGGTCTTGAACTTCTGACCTCGTGATCCACCCGCCTTGGCCTCCCAAAGTGCTGGGATTACAGGTGTGAGCCACCGCGCCCGGCCTTCTGTTGTCTCTTTGTGGCTGCTTGGATTGCTGAGAAGACCACCACTGTCTAGGCCATCTTTAACTCATTCAGGGCATACCAGTGTGCCATGGCACACCCTTTGAGAAGCTCTGTTCTGAGGGATCCAAACATGAAGGAAACATTGTTCCGTTGACAAGGAACTAATTATCTGTAGAGAGAATGGGGCACCCCAAAATGAAAGGACTAATAGGAATTTCATAGGTGCCATTGAAGGGGGCCATACAAGGTACTTCGGGATTAAGTGGAGGGAGCGATACTGCCTTCTTGGGGATATCAGGGAACACTTCCACTGAAGAGGTGGCATTTAAATCACACCACCAGGAAGCCGAGAAGCAAAGGGAAGAGGGCATTCTGGAGGGAAGTCTGGGGGTTATGTCAGAAATGTGGGTGTCAGGAAATTGCATATCCAAGTTTCCTGGGTCCTAGGATACATAAAGGAATATAATGGAAGGTAAGACTGCCAATAGGTCAGGACTGGGTTTTGGGGAGTTTTTTTTTTAATATTTAACTTTTTGTTATTTTTATTTTTTATAAAGTTAGGGGTCTTGCTATGTTCCCCAGGCTGTCTTGAACTCCTGGCCTGAAGCACTTGGCCTCCCAAAGTGCTGGGATTACAGGCCTGAGCCACCACGCTTGGCCTTGGAATTTCTTGAATGTTAGAGTAAGGATGAGTATGATGGATTGTAGGGAAGAGAACTGAGAGACAGGGCCTTTAGTTGGGTTCATAGTAGTCTAAGTGAGGGCGATGAGAACCTGAATTGAGTTGGTGGCCATGGAAAGGATTCAAGAGTTATCTTGGAGGTTGAATGGAGAGATGTGGTGACTAATTAGATGGGGTAGGGTGGGAACAATTAATTCTGTATCTCTGTGTTTTTTTTTTTCTTTTTTCTTTCTTTTTTTTTTTTTTTTGGAGTACAGTGGCTCCATCTCGGCTCTTTGTAACCTCTGCCTCCTAGGTTCAAGCAATTTTCCTGCTTCAGCCTCCCTAGTAGCTGGGATTAGAGGCACAAGCTACCACGCCCACCTAATTTTTGTATTTTTTGTAGAGATGGGGGTCTCCCACGTTGCCCAGCTGGTCTTGAACTCCTGAGCTCAAGCCATCCACCTACCTTGGCCTCCCAAAGTTCTCTCTCTCTCTCTCTTTTTTTTTTTTTTTTTGAGATGGAGTCTGTCTGTCGCCCAGGCTGGAGTGCCATGGTGCTATCTCAGCTCACTGCAACCTCTGCCTCCCGGGTTCAAGCGATTCTCGTGCCTCAGCCTCCCGAGTAGCTGGGATTACAGGTGCCCGACACCACACCTGGCTAATTTTTGTATTTTTAGTAGAGACGGGGGTGGGGGTTTCTATGTATACAGAACTTGAGTTCTATGTCTCAAGTCAGAGATGAGGCTGTGGTTTTTATGGTTGGGTGGCTGGAAGAATGGGACATTAAAGAAAAAAAAGAATAGGGAAGTCAGGAGGGAGAATGGCTCTTAGGAGTTTAGAATGAAGATGAATTTGGTTTTGATTGTGTTGAGTTTAAGGAGCTTGTAGAAAGTTGAAATCAGAATTTTAATCCTAGAAGGAACTTCAGAGATTATTGGGGCAACAGCTAAGGAAGTTTAGGGCCCTGAAAAGTTAAGAGGACTCAGTGAGGTCTCACAATTAGTTAAAGTAGAACCAACATGGAAGCTTCAAGATTCCCAGTCCATGACTTTTCTCTCTGCTTCACACTGAGAAATGCTGAAGGTTCTTAGCGGTGGTGTCTCCTCACCCAGGCAGCAGTGCTCAATAGAGAGTAGGAAGTGCCATAGTTATGTTGGGGAGTGAGGACTTTATTTTCTATCTTTTAATTTTATTTTTAAATTTTTTGAGACAGGGTCTTGCTCTGTCACCCAGCCTGGAGTGCAGTGGTGCGATCTCAGCTCACTGCAGCCTCCGCATCCCAGGTTTAAGCGATTCTCCCACCTCAGCTTCCCAAGTAGCTGGGATCACAGGGGCATGCCATCACACCCGGCTAATTTTTGTGTTTTTAGTGGATATGGGGTTTCACCATGTTGGCCAGGCTGGTTATGTTTATTTTATTTTTTTGAGACGGAGTCTCGCTTCTTCGCCTAAGCTGGAGTGCAATGGCTCGATCTCGACTCACTGCAACCTCTGCCTCCCAGGTTCGAGCAATTCTCCTGCCTCAGCCTTCCCAGTAGCTGGGATTACAGTCATGTGCCACCATGCCCAGCTAATTTTTGTATTTGTAGTAGAGACAGGGTTTCACTCAGTTGGCCAGTCTGATCTCGAACTCCTGAACTCAAGTGATCCACCTACCTTGGCCTCCCAAAGTGCTGGGATTACAGGCGTGAGCCACTGCGCCAAGCCCAGGCTGGTTATTTTTTAATTAAAAGTTTTTTATTATGGACATTTTCAGACATACAAAAGTAGAAAGAAGAGTGTAATCAATGCCCATGTACCCATTGTCCAACTTCAACAGCTCTCAGTATTGTTTCATCTGTTTCCTCCCTCTGCATCAATTATAGTGAAGCAAAAGTAATCTGGTGACCTTAAATTTTGTGTATTAGCAAGTAAGAAGAGTCAAAAAGTTTAATAGGGTATGTTCTTAGGTCTCTGCATGGGGTCTAGAGTAAAGAGAATTAATTCCAGAATTCCTATGCTGCCGCAATTTTGTGTCTTTGGGCGAATTAACTTAAGTCTTCTGGGACTAAGTCTTGTTTTCCATGACAATGAAAACTTATTGCTTGTTAAAAATTTTAAAATACAATGCCAGACACAGGGGCTCACGCCTGTAATCCCAACATTTTGGGAGGCTGAGGCGGGCGGATCATGAGGTCAAGAGTTGGAGACCGGCCTGGCCGACATGGTGAAACCCCGTCTCTACTAAAAATACAAAAATTAGCCGGGCATAGCCGGTTATGGTGGTGTGTGCCTGTAATCTCAGCTACTCAGGAGGTTGAGGAAGGAGAATCGCTTGAACCTGGGAGGCGGAGGTTGCAGTGAGCTGAGATTGTGCCACTGCACTCTAGCCTGGGTGACAGAGCGAGGCTCTATCTCGAAAAAAAAAAATTATAAAATACAGATGAATAAAAAAGCTGTAATAGCATCACCTGGAGATACCCAGTTTTATTTTTGTAGTAAACTTTTTTTTTTTTTTTTTTTTTTTGAGATGGAGTCTTGCTCTTTGTCCCAGGCTAGAGTACAATGGTGTGATCTTGGCTCACTGCAACTTCCCCCTCCCGAGTTCAAGCAATTCTCCTGCCTCAGCCTCCTGAGTAGCTGGGATTACAGGCGCCTGCCACCACGCCTGGTTAAGTTTTGTATTTTTAGTAGAGACAGGGTTTCACCATATCGGCCAGGCTGGTCTTGAACTCCTGATCTCAGGTGATCCACCCATCTCCGCCTCCCAAAGTGCTAGGATTACAGGTGTGAGCCACCGCACCTGGCCTGTAATAAACTTTTCATTTTGTAATAATTTTAGATTTACAGAAAATTAAGAAGTATAGGTCAGAGTTCTCATAAACTCTTTACCCAGTTTTCCCCATTGTTAATGTCTTAGGTTTCCACGGCACGTTTGTCAAATGTAAGAAACCATTGTTGGTACATTTCTTTTTTTTTTTTTTTTTCCGACAGAGTCTGGCTCTGTCACCCAGGGTGGAGTTCAGTGGCATGATCTCGGCTCACTGCAAGCTCCGCCTCCCGGGTTCACGCCATTCTCCTTCCTCAACCTCCCGAGTAGCTAGGACTACAGGCGCCTGCCACCACGCCTGGCTAATTGTTTCCATTTTTAGTAGAGATGGGGTTTCACCATGTTAGCCAGGATGGTCTCGATCTCCTGACCTTGTGATCCACTTGGCTTGGCCTCCCAAAGTGCTGGGATTACATGCGTGAGCCACCACACCCAGCCATTGTTGGTACATTTCTATTAACTAATTTTTAGACTTTATTTGGATTTCACCAGTTTTCCCACTAATACCCTTTTTCTGTTCCAGAATCTATCCAGAATCCTGCAATGAATGTAGCAGTTTTGTCTTCTTAGTCTTTTTTGGGCTGTGATAGCCTCTCAGACTTTGTTTTTCATGACAGTTTTCAGGAGTACTATTTGGATATTTAATAGAATGGTCCTCAATTTGGGTTTCTCTGGTATTTTCTTCATGATTAGACTGTGTCTTATCCTTCCTGATTTTCTTATGCAAAATATTCAATACTTACATATTTCACAAAAATGAGATGACCATTATTTATAATCTGTTTTTTACTTACAAAATGGGATTATACCATATATATTATTTTGTAACTTGCTTTTGTCACTTTAAATCTTCCCAGTAACCTTATTGTTAACACTGTATAGAAAACTCTGTTCTCAGTTTTAAAGTCTGATTTGAAAATACAGCATTAGAACATAATCTGTTGGTAAATTGAAGATGGCTTTTAAGGGGCTGTGATAGTACTGGTGGTAGTAGTAATGTGATTCTGTGTCTACACAGATAATCTGGAAGCAAAAATCAAGAAACAAAAAGAATAGACAATGTTTTATAGTAATATAATTTTCTTGGCAAGCAGTAACCTTTTCTAGAAGTCAGCCTTTTAGTATAATTTGCTTGCTTTTTTTTTTTTTTTTTTGAGATGGAGTCTCACTCTGCCACCAGGCTGGAGTACAATGCCGCGATCTTAGCTCACTGCAACCTCTGCCTCCCAGGTTCAAGCGATTCTCCTGCCTCAGCTTCCCAAGTAGCTGGGATTACAGGAATGCACCACCAACCCCAGCTAATTTTTTGTGTTTTTAGTAGAGACAGGGTTTCACCATGTTGGCCAGGATGGTCTCCATCTCTTGACCTCGTGATCCGCCTGCCTCGGCCTCCCAAAGTGCTGGGATTACAGGCATGAGCCACTGTGCCCAGCCTTGCTTGCTTCTTAAGTATGGGTTTTTTGTTTCTTCATATCTTTTAAATTAATAAGCATGTTAAGTGATTTGGGAAGAGGCTCAAACTCTTCAAGAAACAATTTGGAATTCTTGAAACTAAGAAGGCTAGCTCCAGAATTGCTGGAAACCCTGAAAAATGGATCAGGAAAAATCAAAGTAATAGATGGAAAAAAAATCTCAATTTTAGCTGTTGATATAATTTTTAGAAAATTCAGTTTATCTCAGTCATTAAAACAGATGGCAGAAGGCCCATCAGGATATTTCTTTTATGTATTTAAAACATTCTATACTCTACTAAATTCCACTTATTCTAAAATTTAAGAGAATTTACCTCTTTATGAAAATGATTATTCAAAAGAGACCACGGTTGATGATCTTAGTTTCTAGTTTTCTTCTCTGTAGGCTTAGTCTCTCTTCTAATGCTTCTTGCATACTCAGTGATTTTATGTTTTAGAGAAAAATGCAAGTCTGGCTGAATATTAAGTACAGTACAATGAGTAAAACTACTTTGCAGACTATTTTGCCTGTGTATACTATAGGACTATATAGATTCCAGTTTTGGAAAAATGCAGATGAACTAAAAGGTAATAAAACATGCCTCTTTGTGACTTGACATGCTAATGAGAACTGAATTTGGTACAGGACAGTTCTTGGTATGCTTGGCATTTAGGTCATCTTTGGGAAATTTAATTATTTATGGAATGGTTTTAGTGAATTGAATGGTTGTCATGGGGATAAAGATGGTATAAAATGGATTCTAATTTATAAGATAGTTGTGTTGGGCAGATAAGGCATTTTACACGATGCATTTAACTCAAGATAATAGATGATTCAGAGGCCAATTAATTCTATAGGAAGTAATGCTATTTTAGTTTTGGGAGGAGAGCATCTTAGAGAAGTAGATGTTGAAGCATTCGTTAAAATCTGGGTAGGATTTAGGTCCAGAGAGAGGCGAGGAAAGGATGTTCTGGGCAGAGGGAACAATGTTATCAGAGTCTCAGAGGCCTGACTGTGTACTTGGGGCCTGTGTTGGGGTGATGGGCAAGTGAGGTTGTAGCCAGATTGGTGGTGGCCCGGATATCTGTTAATGAGCTTTGACATTATTTTATAGGCATTTCAGAGTTATTGTGCCATCTCTAAAGTATACTTTTTCTCCCTCAGGAAGCATGATACACTTTAGCCACACTGGCTTACCAGGGCCTTGCTGCTCAGTGGGGAAAGGGGCACATTCTGATAGGCTTTCTTCCTCTTCACTTGGGTTACTTTAATTATGTATCAGCTGGGTGCAGTGGCTCATGCCTGTAATCCCAGCACTTTGGGTGGCCGAGGCGGGCGGATCACCTGAGGTTGGGAGTTTGAGACCAGCCTCACCAACACAGAGACACCCTGACTCCACTAAAAATACAAAATTAGCCTGGTGTGGTGGCGTATGCCTGTAATACCAGCTACTTGGGAGGCTCGGGCAGGGGAATCTCTTGAACCTGGGAGGTGGAGGTTGCAGTGAGCCGAGATTGCGTTATTGCACTCCAGCCTGGGCAACAAGAGTGAAACTCTGTCTCTAATAATAATAATAATAATAATAATAATGTATCAATTTGGCTTTTCTTTCGTCACAATAAATTTTTTTTTTTTTTGAGACAAAGTCTCCTCTGTCATCCTGGCTGGAGTTCAGTGGGGTGATCTCTGCTCACTGCAACCTCTGCCTCCCGGGTTCAAGCAATTCTCATGTCTCAGCTTCCAAGTAGCTGGGACTACAGGCTTGTGCCACCACTCCCAGCTAATTTTTTGTATTTTTGGTAGAGGCGGGGTTTCGCCATGTTGCCCTGGCTGGTCTCGAACTCCTAAGCTCAGCAATCTGCTGGCCTGGGCCTCCCAAAGTGTATTTACTTTCTAGTTTCAGGTTAGTAACCGAATTTCCACAAGGAAAGCAATTAGAAGAATTAATGGCAAATAACTAACTTAAAAAATGTGGATATCCAATTTTTTCTAGCAATTCTTCTGATACAAATTTTTGTTTTGTTATATAATGAAACGTGCATTTTATTATATTTGTCCTTTAAGTTTTATTGTTTATATAGCCTAGTAAGTAAAGATATCTTGGGGTCTGATTAAGAACCAATTACGGATGTTAGTAATTTCTATCAAAGGAGATAGTGATTATGGTTAACATAACTCATCAGTCTTCTAAAACCTTTAGAAATGCAGTCTGATTCATTGCACCTAAGTTAATTATGTGGTAGATACATATTTTTTTTCTAATAGGCAAATGTATAAGACAGAGATGCAGAAATCATCTTGAATTTAGATAGAAGAAATTTTAGTTACTACTGTGGCCTCTTGCTATTTGATCAGTTTACTTTTGCTTAAAGTCTCTCTGTTAACAAAGGATTTGGTCTTTTGAGATCAAAGAAGACCATAACTACATTAACAAGAGAAGTTAATTTGAGGAATATAGCTGATTTTTAAAATAAAAGCATATTTCATGACTTGATTTCAAGGTGGTCTGGTGGTTCTTCTCATACTGTCACAGACAGAGGTTCAGAGTGGAAAGATTGATTTTGTTTTTCTTCCAGCATTTACTTTTGGTCCTGGACCAACCATCTAGCTATGATGCAATTCTTCAAAAGTATTCTACATTTTTTGCCAAGAGAGCTCAATCATTGTTCCATTTGGAGAGGTTCTTTTTGAGGCTCCATTCTTGTCTCTAAAACCTACATATGCAGGAAGGGAAGTGCATGGGTTTTCTGTTTATTCACAGCACACTTATCCTGCTGCATTTTCTTCTTTGTAGTTTTAAAAAATCATGTCGGTTGGGTGTGGTGGCTCACACCTGTAATCCCAGCACTTTGGGAGGCCGAGGTGGGCAGATCATGAGGTCAAGAGATCAAGATCATCCTGGCCAACATGGCGAAACCGTCTACTGAAAATACAAAAATTAGCTGGGTGTGGTGGTGTGTGCCTGTAGTCCCAGCTACTGGGGAGGCTGAGGCAGGAAAATTGCTTGAACCTGGGAGGTGGAGGTTGCAGTGAGCTGAGGTCACGCCACTGCACTCCAACCTGGGCGACAGAGTGAGACTCCATCTTAAAAAAAAAAAAAAAGTCAAATGTGACATTTAGGTCATATTTTAAAAATAATTCTTACAATTTTATAAAAATTAGCATATAGTAAAATTGATGTTTTTTGCTATACAGTTTTACTAATTTAACACATGTCTAGTTTGTGCAGCCATCACCACAATCAGGATACAGGGCAGTGTCATCACCCTAAAAACTCCCTCATGCTATTCTTTTATAGTTACCCCTACCCACCCCATACCTGCTCACAACCACTGATCTTGTTCTTCATTTTTATAGTTTTATATTTTTGAGAATAAGATTGTATAAATGGAATCATACAGTATGTCAGCTTTTGAGACTGGGGTCTTTTATGTGGCATAATGTTTTTGAGATTAATTCAAGTTATTGCATATATTGAATACTTGTTCCTTTTTGTTGCTGAGTAGTTTTATATCACAAAGAGGTCTGTTTATTCACTCATTAAAGGACGTTTGAGTTGTTTCCACTTTTAGCAATTATGAATAGAACTGTTATGAACATTTGTGTTCAGATCTTTGTGTGAACATAGTTTTCATTTCTCTGTGGTATCTGAGGGGCGAAGGGGATTGCTGGGTCATATAGTGTAGTGTGTGTATTTGATTTTATAAGAAGCTGCAAACCCTTTTTCCAGAGTGGCTAAATCATTTTATATTCCTACTAGCCATGTATGAGGGTTCCAGTTACTGTACATCCCTTGGTGTTATCAATATTTTTAATTTAGCCATTCTAATAGGTATGTAGTGGAATCTAATCATGGCTTTAGTTTGCATTTCCCTAATGGCTAATAACACTGAACATCTTTTATGTGCTTATTTGTTATCATTATATCCTGTTTGGGAGTATCTGTTGAAATCTGTTGCTCAGTTTTTATTTGGTTAGTTTTCTTATTGTTGACTGTTGGGAGTTCTTTTTTTTTTTCCTTTTTTCTTTTTTTTTTTTTTGAGATGGAGTCTCACCCTGTTGCTAGGCTGGAGTGCAGTGGTGCGATCTCGGCTCACTGCAACCTCCGCCTCCTGTGTTCAAGCGATCTCCTGCCTCAGCCTCCCGAGTAGCTGGGACTACAGGTGCACGCCACCACACCCAGATAATTTTTGTATTTTTAGGAAAGATGGGGTTTCACCATGTTGGCCAGGATGGTCTTGATCGCTTGACCTTGTGATTCACTCGCCTCAGCCTCCCAAAGTGCTGGGATTACAGGTGTGAGCCACCACGCCCGTCAGGGAGTTCTTTATATTTCAGATCTGAATCCTTTTTCAAATAAGTGATTTGCACAAAATTTCTCCCAGTCTCTAACTTGTCTTTTATTCTTTTAACAGTGTCTTTTTCATGGTACAAAAATGTTTAATTTTGATAAAATTTATCGATTTTGCTCTTTTGTCAGATTGTGCTAAGATGAATCAATTTTAGAACAAGTTTCTGTTTTATAAAAGTGGCAAAAAGTAAGTTAGGGATGGGATACTGTCTGAAAGTTGACTTTTGTGGAAGGATGCAAATGTTACCATTTTATGGAAAGATGGTGCTAATTAATACACTCCTTTGTCTTGGGACACTTAGGATTTTTGCTTAACCAAGGAGATAATTGGCTTAGGGGTGTGTGTGTGTTTTACATTTTTTAAAATGGTAATCACTAACATTGCGGTTACTAACACAGACATACTTTTTATAATGCAGAACTATGTTAACCCTGTTTCAGAATTAAAAGGTGATATTTCACTGTCACATTTGGTGCTTTTGGGAGTGCTGGACTTTGAGTTTTTACTCTGTTGGAATAGCATTAGAACCTTAGTTGCTTGTGGGCTCAGAATCAGTGTCGTGGTAAAAGTAGGAGTTGTCGGGCTGCCTGGATTTGAATCCTGCCTCTGTCGTTTACAGTGTAACTGGATAAGTTAACTCTGTGCTTCAGTTTCCTCATCTGTGAATGGGAATGATAATAACAATTCTAATATCTACTTTATAGGGTCATTGTGAGGATTAAATTAGATTACGTACATATAATCTTTTAAACATCTGGCACACGATGAACCTTCAGTAAAAGCTTCTTGTTATTACTGAAGTAACTTTATAAGTTGTTAAAACAAATGCTTTGGGCTTATATATATATGTAATTTTTTAAACATAAACTCAAGATTTTATTGTCTTCATAATAAAAGATGACACATAGAACTGGATCACTTGACCCTTTCTCTTATCTCCTTCCAGTTCAAAATGCTTGCATCTTTTTAATAGCCAGCATTCTCTTAGATCTGTTTGGGCTCAACGCACTCAAGTCTTAGCACAGTCGTCTTTGTAGTTTTAGCCTTCTTCCGGAAGATCGGCTTAGTTTGCCCACCATAGCCACTCTGTTTCATGTCATAACGCTGCTTTCCCTGGGCATACAGAGAATCCTTGCCCTTGTACTGTGTCGTTTTGTGGGGTTGGTGCTTGCCACACTTCTTACAGAAAGTCCGGCGGGTTTTAGCAACGTTCACCATGTTTGCATGAGCACTATGGGCATGGAAACCTAGGCTTATATTTTTAAGACACAGAAGAATCATATATCACACTAAGCCATTTGTCTCCCATGCTCACTTATTTTTTCTCTTTACACTTACTGTTATTAGTAATAAATAACATGATCATTGTTATTAATAATCGTGTATACACTATTTTACAAGACAATTATCAGCTCATTTGGTACTGATCAGATTATCTAAATTAAGACTGTCTTGGTTCCAACTGCCTGAAATATCAACCTAAACTGACTTAAGCTGGAAAAAAGTTTCTTGGCTTACCTAACTTCGAAGTCCAGGCACAGCTAGCCAGAGCTGGATTCAGGGGTCAGGTGATGTCATCAGGACTTAGTTTCTCCCTGTGAATCAGCTCTGCCTTTTCCTGTATAGACTTCAGTTGCTGACACTGTAAGAAAAATGGCTGCGGTATATTCAACCCCCTGTAGTTTCTCAGAATTTAGATTCAGCTGCAAGGAGCTTCAGTTTCTTTCCCAGAAGCCTCAGCGAGTCTCATGGTGTCTCATTGGCTCTTACAGGGTCATATGGCCTACCCTGAGCCAATCCCTGTGTTCAGGGCTGTGAGGCTCGGATTGGCCAGTTAGTGTCACATGCCACCCCACATCCCTGGTGGAGTTAGCTCTTCAGGAACCACATGGTCTGAGAGATGGGGAGAGGTGAATTCTCGAAGGGAAATCGTGGGCTTTTATTACCAGGGAAGGGAATGGGTATTTGGTGGCAGAACAACTAACGTTCATTGCATGGTATTAGTCTCTTTTTATAGGTCAGCAACAGATCAGAGGAGTTAGTGGATTTGGATTAGAGTCCTGGTTTCTGATTTCAGCTTTCTTGCTTGTGAAGTCACATCCTCCAAGTCAGTGTTTCTCACAGGGATAGGAGTTTAAAGGAAATTAGTGTTTTATGTTCCTTTGATAAAAGTTTGGATATTTTTTTTTTCTTTGAGAGGGAGTCTTGCTCTGTCGCCCAGGCTGGAGTGCAATGGCGCAATCTCAGCTCACTGCAACCTTCGCCTCCTGGGTTCAAGTGATTCTCCTGCCTCAGCCTCCCGAGTAGCTGGGACTACAGGCATGTGCTACCACATCCGGCTAATTTTTTGTATTTTTAATAGAGACGGGGTTTCACTTTGTTAGCCAGGATGGTCTCAAACTCCTGAGCTCAGGTGATCTGTCCGCCTCAGCCTCCCAAAGTGCTGGGATTACAGGCGTGAGCCACCACGCCCGGCCAAGTTTGGATAATTTTTAACAGGAAGAGAAAGAGTCAAGACAGATGGGGCGGACCTCAGCAATGGGCGAATGTGATGCTTCTTCCTACATTGGTGTGCTTAATGTGCTTAATGTGACTCAGCTCCAGCGACTTCCATTCCCTGGGCCACTCTGTCCCTGTGGGAAAAATCCTTAGAGACCCAACTTAGTATCTTCTTTTTTTCTTTTTTGAGACGGAATCTCGCTCTGTTGCCCAGGCTGGAGTGCAGTGGCGCGATCTCGGCTCACTGCAAGCTCTGCCTCCCGGGTTCATGCCATTCTCCTTCCTCAGCCTCCCGAGTAGCTGGGACTACAGGCGCCCGCAACCATGCCAGGCTAATTTTTTTTTTTTTTTTTTTGTATTTTTAGTAGAGATGGGGTTTCACCGTGTTAGCCAGGATGGGCTCGATCTCCTGACCTCATGATCCACTCGCCTCGGCCTCCCAAAGTGCTGGGATTACAGGCGTGAGCCACCGTGCCCGGCCTCACTTAGTCAGTATCTGCCCTTGGATCTGGCTGTTACGTTCAGGTAGCAGGATCACATACAATAGATACAGATGTATCGATGTGTCCTAGGCAGGGGTGTCAGCTACACTCTTGAAGTGTATCTGGGAGCTGGCCTCATTTAGAAGTACTTCTAGATCTCTCACTGCGTATTATCCATAGTCCATTTTAGCATGGCCTGAGATGTTTTCTCATTTTGACTTTGACAGACAGTTTTGCTTTTATGCTTGATAAACCACTTTAGCTTCTTCAGAAGGAGTGGGTGCAGTAAGGTCATGCTGTTTTCTGAAAAGCTCGACAAAACAGCTGAACGGAGCATGCGTTGTATTGAGTTCCACACTACAGCTAAGTGACCCTACTGTGATTCAGGTAGATCTTGGAAACTAGTCATCAGGCCCTGATTAACAAAGGTAATTGGGGTAGATATCCACTTCTGAGGAAGGGTCGTAAATTGAGTCATTTCCTCTCAAAGCTCCTGAAATTCATAGTTCTGCGCTTAATCTCTACTTACATATTAATGTTACCGAGCTCTCCCTGGCTAATATGTTTGGGAATCATTGTTGATATTAATCTTTGTGATCATCCCTCATAGCCAGATTTACGGTTTAGCTAGTCCTTGTCAGTGACTTGCAGATATACTTTTTTCTCCAATGGCTATTCTTTGGATAATCATTACCAGTGTATTGAGATGGAGAAAATAGGTGAAAATCCTCTGTCAAGTAGGTAAAGTAATTACATAGAATAATACTTCATTGTCTATACCGTATTGTATGTTGAGATCAGTAAAGTGATTTCAGCTTTATGTAGGCTGGGTACAGTGGCTCACGCCTGTAATCCCAGCATTTGGGAGGCCAAGTTGGGATGATCTTTTGAGGCCAAGAGTTTAAGACTAGGCTAGGCCACACATTGAAACCCTGTCTCTACAAAAAAATAAAAAAAAAATTAGCCGGTTGTGGTGGCATGCACTTGTAGTCCCAGCTTTTTGGGAGGCCAAGGAAGGAGGATGATTCCCAAGTGTGTGGCAGCAGGAGCTATGATTGCACGACTACACTCCCAGCATGGGCTGCGCAGCGAGACTCTGTCTCTTAAAAAAAAAAAAAAAAACACAAAAAACAGCAACAACAACAACAAAAAACTTTATATAAAGTGAAAATAAGGAATTTTAGAGACATTATAATAGCTAACACTTATTGAGCACTTATGTCCCAGGCATTCTTTTAAGTACTTTATAGGTATTATTTCACTTAATCCTTGCAGTAACCCTAGGAGGTAGGTATTAGTTGTCTTCCCAGTTTAGAGGTGAGCAAGTTGAAATAATCCATGTAAAGCCACTTGCCCCAGGCTATGCAGCTGGAGAGTGGTGCAGCTGGTGAATTCTGGTTCCCAGTCTGTGCTCTGGATCACTGTGCTATACTCATTCCTAAGAAAGATTTTAGCTGGTGCATTATTAGCTTTGTTTTCTTACGACTTCTTTTTGTATTATTGGTCTGGATGTGGGCTGGGAGTTCTGTAGGGAAGATTTGCTAATTCTAGGGCCTCTGGTATCCATGGACTTTATGAATCTTGTGTTGCTGTTATCTGGCAAGCAGTGTATGCTTGTCTATATTAGTAGTTCTCAACTAGAGCTGATTTTGCCTTCTCCAGACATTTACTGGAGACATATTTGGTTGTCACAAGTCAGGGGACGTGCTACTGACATCTGCTGGTGAGGACTAGGGATAATGACTGCTCAATAACCTACAATGCACAGAATGGCCCACAGCAAAAAATTATTGAGCCCAAAATGTTAATAGTGTTGATATTTTATATCTGGACTATATCATGAGTTAGTAATTTTGTAATGCCACTCTTTGTCTAATGGGCAACATTGCTGTAGTGATACAGAAATTATTTTTGACTTTTATTGAACAATTGATTTCACCCACATCAATGTATGTTTGTGTAACAGGCATGCATACCAACTGTGTCTTATTTAAATCCCCTTACCCTTAAACTAAACTGGGAATTACAGCCTCCCTGAAGGAAAGCTGAGGAAGTTTAAAGGGAAACCATGTAAAAGACCAAGAATACAGTACTCTTTTTTTTTGGGGGGGGGGGAGTTATCTTAATAACACAATTAAATTTCTTCTTTTTTTATATTAAAAGTGTTAGTTTAGGCTTGGTGCAGTGGCTCACACCTGTAATCCTAGCACTTTGGTTGGCTGAAGCGGGAGGACAGCTTGAGCCCAGGAGTTTTGATACCAGGCTGGGCAACATAGGGAGACCCTGTCAATACAAAAATAAAATAAAATAACGATTTAGCGGGACATGGTGGTGCATGCCTGTAGTCCCAGCTACTCAAGATGCTGAGTTAGAAGGATTGCTTGAGCCTGGCAAGTCGAGGCTGCAGTGAGCAGTGATTGTGCCACTCTACTCGAGCCTAGGTAACAGAGTGAGACCCTGTCTCAAAAAAAAGTGTTAAAATTAAAAATTCCAAACTGAGAAAAGTAGGGAATGTTATATTGTACCACATGTGTAAATCCCCAATATTGAACAAATGCTGACAAATACTGTTGAAGTCCTTTTTGAACTCTCCCTTATCTCATTCCCTAGCTATTTCTACTGTTTTGGTAGACCAAGAATCTCAAAAGCTGAAGGGGCTTAGACCTCTTCAGATGTCTGTCATCTTGCCTCCTGCTGCTCTCTATGAGCTGCCCATCAATGACTTTTCTCCCCTCATCTTGCACTGCAGTTTATTGGCAGCAGATGGTTACAGCACAGCGAGGAGAGGGCAGGGCCCATGTGTCATTATAAAAGCCGAGAAGGCTGGCAGAGAACATATATGTAGGCTGGAGGCAGGCGGAAGGGACAAAGAAGTACCGTAAGGCCAGCGGTTAAGGTGGAAGGTAGGGAGGAGCAGGAGAGAGAGAAGGTGGATGCAGGCACGGAAAGCAATCTGTAAGTTTGACAGAGATGGTCAGCAAGAGTGACTCTTTGGAGCAGTATTGTGAATGTCAGGTCAAAGGATGTCGGTCTTCTGTGTCCAAGTTTTCCACCCCTGCCATGAGTGTTATAGCTAGGGAGAAACAACGTGTAAACTCCTGCTATTTCTTACTTGGACTATTTTAGTGATCTCTTACTAATGGCAATGTTTGCCATTTCTTCCCCTGTGGCAAGCTGTGATTTCTTCTATTTCTAACCAGTTCTTTATAGAACTGGTAGGACTTATGTTTGATAGATTCCTTCCGTATTTAAAAAATTTCATCGTGTTCCATTGCCTGTGGAATAAAACCCTTGCTTCTTGTTGTGGCATTTGAGGTCATTCATAGCTTCTCTTACTCCTCTGATGTACCTTGAGTTTAGGCTGTGTATTTTCTCCCCTTGGTGATTTCACTTGAACTCGTCTCTCTGAAAAGCTCACATTTGCTCTCCCTGTCATCTGTATGGTGAACTCCTGTTCACCTTTTGCAATCAGCTCATGCCTTTAGGCAGATGGAATAAGTCTTTTTTGTAATTGTTCATTTGTGCTTTGCCTGTCTTGCTAGAATCTGAGTTTCTTGAAAGCAGAGATGACATGCCCTGTCTTTGCATTCATTGCTGCTAGCACAGGGCCTGGCCCTCGAGAAATGTTTGTTGAATTGAATTAATGGACAGTTCATACAGTTCCAACCAGTTTTTTAATTGGTGGGAAATAATCCTGCATGGTATAGATTTTGGTTTTTTGCAATCATGGTCACAGAACTGTGAGACTGAAATTAGGAAACTGAAATTTGGAGATTTGGATATGAAACGTTTCTGTCCCTTTGGTTAAGAAAGGGGATCCTTTATGGTTTGTTGTATACTTTGCGGTATTCACAGTCATGTTTCATTTCTAAATTTGCCTCATTTATAAATTTGTTATATTGTTGGTATGATCCTGGCTTATGATTGACATTTTGCTTGAATCTTAGTAAAGACTTCATAAAATATCAAAGAGAAGTATAGATTTTGTAGCATCAATAGCTGCTGCTTAGCTGTGACCTTGATCAAAAGGCTAGCTGAGAGTATTCAGATAGATAATTAAGCCAGCTGAGATAGGAATGGGGCTAGAATTTATAATTAATAAGTTTAAAAAACCTTCTCTTGTTCTTTCTCCCTGTCTGTAGGATTTTTGTCCCTGAGTCATGGAAGACAGAAGAGCTGAAAAGTCATGTGAACAAGCATGTGAATCACTTAAGAGGCAGGACTATGAAATGGCCCTCAAGCACTGCACAGAGGCCCTTCTTTCTCTTGGCCAGTACTCCATGGCAGACTTCACAGGGCCTTGTCCATTGGAAATAGAACGCATCAAAATCGAGAGTCTTCTCTACAGAATTGCCTCATTTTTGCAACTGGTGAGTAAACACTGTCAATAAGCCAATGCTGAACTATGTAAAATGGCCTTTTTCATTGAGGGGTGACGATACAAATAGCTAATTCTGGGCCAAAGAGATGTGAGTGAAGTGGCTGGTGATTGCTGAATATATTTGATGGCAAGGTAACTACGTTTTTGAACCTTGAAAACTGTTCTACTTTAGGGCATTTTGGATTATGCACTCACTCAACAAGTATTTATTGAGTATGTACTGTGTACTAGACACTGTTCTAGGTTCTTGTTATATATATTGATGAAAGAGAAAGAAAAGTCTCTTCTTTATGATACTTTTTCTAGTAGGGGAACAGAAAATAAACAATAAGCATTATAAAAAATAAACACCGGCTGGGCGTGGTGGCTCATACCTGTAATCCCAGCACTTTGGGAGGCCAAGCCAGGTGGATCATGAGGTCAGGAGTTTGAGTTGGCCTAACCAACATGGTGAAACCCTGTCTCTACTAAAAATACAAAAATTAGCCAGGCGTGGTAGCGCGTGCCTATAATCCCAGCTACTCAGGAGGCTGAGCCAGGAGGATCGCTTGAACCCAGGAGGCAGAGGTTGCAGGGAGCCGAGGTTGCACCACTGCCCTCCAGCCTGGGCAACAGGGCGAGACTCCGAGACTCCGTCTTAAAAAAAAAAAAAACAACAAAAAACAAAAACCAAAAAAAAAACCCCACCATAGATTGTTAAAAGGTAGTAACCGCATGAAAAAAGGAGAACAGGGCAGGGGAGATTGGGAATATTGGGGTTAGAGATGTGGTTACAATTTTAAATAGAGTGGTCAAGGCAGGCCTCATTGAGAAGGTGATAACCAGAGGCAAGGGGGTGAGCCATGTGTAAAACTGGAGGAAGAGCATTGCAGGCAATGGAAACAGACCCAGCAGCAGAAGCATGCCTGCTGTGCTTGAGTAGCAGCTAGGAGTTAGTGTGGCCAGAGTAGAGTGCACGCGGTGGAGAGGTGGGAGGACCAAAGCCTGTGGGGCCTGCTGGCTCGTGATAAAGACTTTGGTTTTTATTCTCTGTGAGTTGGGGAGCTATTGCAGGGCTTTGGGCAGAGGAGTGGTGTGATCTAATTTAACAGAAATTGTTTGACTTTTGTGCTGAGAATAAACTGTAAAGGGATAAGCGTTGATGCAAGGAGACTAGATTGGAGACTATTAGAATAATCCAGGCCAGAGTGGCTCAGATCAAAATGGTAGCAGTGGAGATAGTGAGAAGTAACTAGGTTTTGGTTTATACATTGAAAATAGAAGCAATCAGGTTTCCTAATGTATTGAATGCAGGGAATGAGGGGGAGCAGTCGCAGTTACTTACCTCGATACTTTTTGTCTGAGCAATTGGAAGAATGATGTTTCCTTCAACTGAGGTTAGAAGGCTACAGCTGGGGAGGAGGTTTTGTGGGGGAAGGTGGGAGTTCAGTTTTGGACGTACTGAGTTTGAGATGTCATTCAGATACCCAGCTGAAGATGCTGAGTAAGCAGTCAGATATGCACGTATGGAATTTGGGAGAGAGATTCATTGAAGACTGTGGGATAGAAGTGCTATATGATGTCTTGAGCCAGCGTAGAATCACCAAGGGAAAATGAGCATCATAGAGAAGAGGCGAGGACTGAGGGCCGAGTCTTGGGCTGCTGCAGTGTCAAGAGGTTGGGGAGCAGAGCAACAACCAGCAAAGCAACCTAAAGAGCAACCCTGAGGAAAGGGGAAAGTGTGAGAGGAAGGAGTCCTGGTAGCCGCGTGAAGGAAGGAAGTGTGTCCAAGTGAGGAAATGAGGAGTAGTGTCAGCAGCTGCCAAGAAAGCCATGAGAATGTGTCTGAGTGGGCACATGTGAATCGTGTGGGTCCACATGGATGCAGTGGAGGTCACTGGTGATCTCTTGAGAGTGGCTTCCTTGGAGTAGTGGGTGAAAGTCTGCTTAAAAAGAGGGCTTAGGAGAGAATTGGGGGAAGGAATTGAAATACATCAACATAGACAACTCTTGAGGAGTTTTGCCATGAAGAGACACTAAAGAAAAAAAAGAGAAAGGAAAAGGAAAAAGAAAAAGGAATGGTAGCTAGTGGGAGAGATAAAGTCAAGGGAAATATTTTTTTAGATGGGAGAAATAACTGTATTTCTGTATAGAAATGAACCAATCAAAAGCAAAAAATTAATGATGTAGGACAAGTCGAGGAGGCTTGCTGGAGTGCCATACCTGCGTAGGCGGCTGAGTTGATCTGCACAGGCGTAGGTTGACTTTAGAAAGGAGCATGGTAGTATGTCTGTTAACAGGTAGAAGGAAGACAGAGTGTATGCTGGGAAGTGGGGAGACGTGGTGGTGACAGTCTATGAAAATTCTCTTCTTGTGGCTTCAGTTTTCTCAGTAAAGCTTTTGGCGGGGAGGGAGGTGCTGATGAGTTAGGGTTAGAGAAGGTGAGAAGTAGGAGTGGGGGTCCATGGACTAGGAAGTATACTGTGACGTTTATTTGTAGAGTGCCCTGTAATCCTCAGAGGGCACATGTGTTAGCTTTGCTCTGTGAATAGTAAGTTTACAACATTAATGATTAAACTTTGAAACAAAGCCAAGTTTCCCTTTGACAACATCTCTGTTAAAAGCAGCTCTTGAAATACTTAATTTTATCTTGTATTTTTGTTTTGCAGAAAAATTATGTGCAAGCTGATGAAGATTGTAGACATGGTATGTTTAAAAATGAGACTCGAATTATTGAATTGAACAATGTTTAAGGTTTGATTTTTTTTTTTGGCTAATTTCAAAAATGATGATAATGTTTGAAAAGCCCACCTTACTGTGGTGGCTAGTGACTGATTTGGATGATGACATTCCCACTGAGCTGGGCATACCTGTGAACATTGCTCTTACTCATGAATGTTTAAGTTCTTGTCACTCCCCTGGGAACATTGATGATGTGTCCTTTTGAAGTTTGTGTGAGGCCGGGTGTGGTGGCTCACACCTGTAATCCCAGCACTTTGGGAGGCTGAGGCGGGCAGATCACAAGATCTGGAGTTTGAGACCAGCCTGGCCAATATGGTGAAACCCCATCTCTACTAAAACTACAAAAATTAGCTGGGCGTGGCGGCGCATGCCTGTAGTCCCAGCTACCTGGGAGGCTGGGGCAGGAGAATTGCTTGAACCCGGGAGGCGGAGGTTGCAGTGAGCCGATATCACAGCACTGCACTCCAGCTTGGGCGACAGAGTGAGACTACGTCTCAAAAAAAAAAAAAAAAAGTTTGAATAGCTCCAGTCACAAGGGCCAAAGTTTAAGAAACATAACTCACATTGAATAAAATGTTAAGCTTAGCTAGATAAATTGAAAGGATGGGCCTGTCCCTCCTAAAATGTCTTTCCTTCTTGATCAGAAGATCTTTCTTAGAGAGGAGACTAGCTAGAATGCTCTTTAGTAATTTTTCCTGTGTTTTTTTTTTCCCCTCTCTGAGACAGAGTCTTGCTCTGTCTCCTGGGCTGGAGTGGGGTGGGGTGATCACAGCTCACTGCAGCCTCTACCTTCCAGGCTCAAGCAGTCCTCCTGCCTCAGCCTTGCAAGTAGCTGGGATTACAGATGTGTGCCACCACACCCAGCTGATGTTTTTATTTTTTGTAGAGATGGTTTTACCATGTTGCTCAGACTGGTCTCTTACTCCTGGGCTCAAGGGATCCACCTGCCTTGGCCTCCCAAAGTGCTGGGATTACAGGCATGAGCCACCGCACCTGGTCTCCTGTTTCAGGCTGGAAATTGAGATTAATAAGATTCTTGCTCTTCGAGTACTGATAGGAATCCTTTTCTTTGTGGTTGTTGCTGTTTACTAGAATGAATCTAGGAGTGAGTGGGAGAAGAGTTCACTGTACATTCTCACACACGTTTGGTGGAATTGTTTGCAGAGCTCAGTGGTTTGAATAATACAGTGTTTTGTTCATCCAGAATTTGGGGGTAGTGGTGCTGAGGTATTTAACATGAGTTAATTTTTTTTTTTTCCCTGCTTACTCCTTTGTGTTAACATTTTAAAAAGTATTAGGCCGGGCGTGGTGGCTCACGCCTGTAATCCCAGCACTTGGGGAGGCCGAGGTGGGTGGATCACTTGAGGTCAGGAGTTCGAAACCAGCCTGGCCAATATGGTGAAACCCCATCTCTACTAAAAATACAGAAATTAGCCAGGCATGGTGGTGCACGCCTGTAATCCCAGCTACTCGGGAGGCTGAGGCAGGCAAATCATTTGAACCTGAGAGGCAGAGGCTGCAGTGAGCCAAGAATGTGCTACTGCACTCCAGCCTGGGTGACAGAGTGAGACTCTGTCTCAAAAAAAAAAAAAAAAAAAAAAAAGAAATATTAATTTAACCATTCATTAAAGATTCTGTGACCTTTGTTCACCTCACTTCATAGAATTGTGTGCTTTGAGAGTTAACTAGAAATTAAGAGATATCTAGTAGAATTTTCTTTTAAAAAAATCCCTGCTATCTATGGGAATTTTAAAATTACAATGAGCAAACAGTAATAAGTCAAATAATATAGAGGAAAAATTTATCCTTCCCCCATCTGAAGAAGTTATTGTTATTAGTTTGCTGTATGAGAAAGGTCTTCTGTGCCTTTACAGTGACAAACATAAGTGCTTATAATACGTAGAGTTTTTCCTTTAAAAATTAAAAAGTCATAATGTGATCATCACCTAGCACCTTGCTTTCTTACATATCAGTATACCATGAATATTGTTCTAAATTAATACACTGGCTCCAATTCCTGCTTAATTTTCCATGGCGTGGATGTGCTGCTATTTATTCAACCATTCCCGTATTGATGGGCATTTAGGTGGTTCTAGTTTTCTGGTTTGTCATTATAAACCATCCTGTAATAAACATATGTTCTTTCTTATTGTTGCCCTTTTTTTTATAGGATAGTCTTAAAAGTTGGATTTCTGGGTTAAGGAGTATGTACACTTACAATTTTATTTTATTTATTTTTTTTGAGATGGAGTCTCGCTCTGTCATCAGGCTGGAGTGCAGTGGCGTGATCTCGGGTCACTGTGACCTCCGTCTCCCAGGTTCAAGTGATTCTCCTGCCTCAGCCTCCTGAGTAGCTGGGACTGCAGGCATGCGCCAACATGCCCGGCTAATTTTTGTATTTTTAGTAGAGACAGGGTTTCACCATGTTGGCCAGGATGGTCTGGATCTCTTGACCTCGTGACCTGCCTGCCTCGGCGTCCCAAAGTGCCGGGATTACAGACGTGAGCCACTGCGCCCGGCCTATAATTTTAATAGACACTGTCAGATTAGTTTCAGATGCACACACCCACAGCAATATACGAGACTGCCCAGTCTCTGTAATCTGTCACTGAAACCTGTCAGTGTTGAAATTTTGCCAATCTCATGTGTGAGAAATAGTTCCTTTTTCTTCAGTTTTCATTGCCCTGAGTGCTAGTGAAATTGATGCAGTCTTGTTTTTTTGGAGATGTACAAACAAAAGTCTTAGAAAGTTCAGTGACTTAGGAAAAGTCATACAAAAGTAAATGCTGAAGGAGCATATGGACAAATGTTGCATTATTCTGTTAATTGTTTTACTTAGCATTTTAAAATTAGGTGCTATTTCACAACTTTTGAATCACTAAAATATAAGTTTAACCGATGCCTAAGATAAAGTTGTCATGAAATGAGTATACTTTTGTGGTATTGGTGGAGTATGGAATGGAATGCAGCTTGGTAATATATTCATACCCTTTGACCCACTAATCTCATTTCTGGGATACTATCCTAAGTCAGTAATCCAAAAGAGAGAAAAAATTGTATGCAGAGTGGTGTTCATTGCAGTGCTGTGTGTAAAAGAGAAAAATAGGTTACCTTCCAATAAGGAAGGAGTTCATTAATTACATTCTACACATTCCTTGTTCCCCTTTATGTGATAAGTAAGAGCTTGAAAAATGGTCATTTTTTAAATAAATCCAAAAGCAGTATATCCAGAGTTGTTTATTTGAAATAGACATTTGGAAATATTGGCCAAGATTATACATGTATATTAGTAGTTGTAGAGTTCTGCTGTTACATGTAATTTTTTTCTTTTCAACTTTTAGTAACATTATTTTTGTATAAGATGAAGTACTATGGTTAGACAGTAATAAAAAACATGTGAACCTCAGTCTCTGTTAATTATAGTTTCGTAATGCTAAGATGCTTCCAGGGATAGCCATGGATAGCTCATAGTTTAAGCACTCCAGACCGTGGACTTCTTATGTTTGCATTTTATATACAGTGTAGCCTTTTTTTTTTTTTTTTTTTTTGAGATGGTGTCTCTCCCTGTCGCCCAGGTTGGAGTGCAGTGGTGCGATCTCGGCTCACTGCAACCTGTGCCTCCTGGGTTCAAGCAATTCTCCTGCCTCCCCAGTAGCTGGGATTGCAGGCACCTGCCATCATGCCCAGCTAATTTTTATATTTTTGTAGAGATGAGGTTTCACCATGTTGGCCAGGCTGGTCTTGAACTCCTGATCTCAGGTGATCTGCCCGCCTTGGCCTTACAGCATAGTCTTGATGTCTGTTCTCTTACTGTCAGGCTATTAATTTGCATTCCTTGCAACTCTCAACATGCCTCATTGCAGCTCCTCTCCTCTCCACTTGCAGCTTCTGACCTACTGTGGGTTACGAAATCAGACCAGCAGTCTTCATCATGGAATTAAAAAACAGTCTTTTCTTTCCCTTCCCTTACCTTCCCCCTTCCCTTCCCCTTTTCTTCTTTTTTTGAGACAGTTTTGTTCTGTCGCTCAGGCTGGAGTGCAGTGGCGTAATCTTGGCTCACTGCAACCTCTGCCTTACGGGCTCAAGCAATTCTCCTGTCTCAGCCCCCTGAGTAACTGGGATTACAGGCGCCTGCTACCACGCCCAGCTAATTTTTGTATTTTTAGTAGAGAAGGGGTTTCACCATGTTGGCCAGGCTGGTCTCAAACTCCTGACCTCAAGTGGTCCACCTGCCTTGGCCTCCCAAAGTGCTGGGATTATAGGCGTGAACCACCGTGCCCAGCCCATTATTTCTTTTTTAATATGAAAAATGTAAGACACACAGGAAAGTAGAGTAAATGATATAATAAACATTCATATTCTCAAAACTTTGGTTGAACAACTAATGTTTTGCCATATTTACTTCATTTTTTCTGAAATATTTAAGAATAATTAAAGACATCATGACATTTATCCCTAAATACTTCAGTATGCCTCTCTAAAAAATAAGATCAAGACTGCATAACCACAATATTATTATTAGCATAATAGAATTGATATAATTCTCTAATAATTCCCTAACCTATCTAAAGTCCAGTCCATAATCAAATTTACCTGTTTTTCTGTCCCCAAAGTTTTTTTTTTAAATAGCTGATTTGTTTAAACCAGGAACTGATTAAAGGTTATAAAATTTTAAAGTTGGAATTCTGCTTCAATAAGAGTAAACATACTCTGAGTGAGGACTCAAGGGCACCTTTGTAAGTTCCTGGGTTTCAGTTCCAAGTTCATTGTTGTATTCTGGATAGTGAAGATTGCCAAGCCAGCGACCAATGGATAAGTGAGGTAGTTAAGTCACTTTTCATTGTCTGAACATCAGTTGTATTTGGCATAACACAAAAACTTTGATGAAATAATGGTTCTATTTTTGCCTTTCGAATAGTCATTATATAGGAAACTTACTTTTTTTTTTGAGTCTTGTTCTGTTGCTGGGCTAGAATGCAGTGGCGTGATCACAGCTCACTGCAACCTCTGCCTCCTGGGTTCAAGCGATTCTCCTGCCTCAGCCTCCCAAGTAGCTGGGACTACAGGCATGCGCCACCACGCCCAGCTAATTTTTGTATTTTTAGTAGAGACAGGGTTTCACCATGTTGGCCAGGATGGTCTCCATCTCTTGACCTTGTGATCTGCCTGCCTTGGCCTCCCAAGGTGCTAGGATTACAGGTGTGAGTCACTGTGCCCGGCCATTTTTTTACACTAAAAAAATGAATGAGGTAAATGGAGAAAGTAAAATCAAAAGAACGTAATCTTATCAACTAAGAGTATTGTACCACTTGTAATATGTAGGTTAAACTTAACCATCATAAACATCAATGAAAATTTTTTATGAGGCTGTAAGATTTGTAAAGCCTAGCTAAGAGTTTTGTTAATGTAAGAAGTCATCATTGCAAACAAAGGGGCTTGGGTCATCTACTGATGTTTGTTGTTGTGAGACTTGGCCTGTGAAGTAAATGATTCAGTAATCAGCAACCCCTGTTAAAGAGGCTGACTTTTAGAAAAGGCAAATTGATAGGCGATTGGTTGAAACTTCTGTACTCTCTCTGGGGGAGGAAGTGATATCTGTAACTACCTTTCTTCTGAGAAGAATTTGTTTGTTAATTTGGAGATGGCATGTCATGGTGTCACCCAGACTGGAAGTAGAGTGGCGTGATTATAGCTCACTACAGCCTTGAAATCCTGAGCTCAAGTGATCCTCCTGCTTCAGCCTCCCCAGTAGCTGGGACAACAAAGTGTGCGCCAGCATAGTTGATTAATTTTTGTTTTGTATTTTTTGTAGAGATGGGGTTTTGCTTTGTTGCCCAGGCTGGTCTTGAGTGATCCTGGCTTCAGGTGATCCTCTTGCCTCATCCTCCCAAAGTGTTGAGATTACAGGTGTGAGCTACTGCACCTGGCCCTCAGAAGAGTTTTGATTAAATAGTTTCTATGGTAGTTAAAAATTTTTTTGGAAAAAATATTTAGTGAATGAGTTAACAGTATTTATTTAAAATTGTCACAGGGTTGGGCCCTCTGAAATATGTTATTTAGTCAAATTGTATTATCATTGCAGTTTTACAGATGAGCAAACAGACTTTGTGAGATTAAGTTACTTGCTTAAGAGCACAGAGCCAGTCCAGAGTGGAAGTGTGGTTTTGAACTGAAGTCTTTCTGATCTGAAAGGGCATGTTGCTTTGCTTTATCCTCAACTACTACTTGTGTATACTTCAGCTTTGTTTTGTTTTGTTTTGTTTTTGAGACAGAGTCTCGCTCTGTTGCCTAGGCTGGAATACAATGGTGTGATCTTAGCTCACTGCAACCTCTGCCTTCTGGGTTCAAGCGATTCTCCTGCCTCAGCTTCCCAAGTAGTTGGGATTACAGGCGCCCACCACCATTCCCGGCTAATTTTTGTATTTTTAGTAGTGACGGGGTTTCACCATGCTGGTCAGGCTGGTCTTGAACTCCTGACCTCAGGTGATCCACCCACCTCGGCCTCCCAAAGTGTTGGGATTACAGGCGTGAGCCACCGCGTCCGGCCTACTTCAGCATTTTGCAGATGTTTTTATCTCCTTTAGCCTAACAAACTTGGAAAACAGGCACAAAAAGAACTGTATTATTCTAGAAATGAAAAAGATTGTGCCTCAGGATCACTAAAATAATTATAATATTAGTGTGGTGGAGACAAGAATTTCAGTATTTAAGCTCCTTGCCAGTGTTGTTTTTTTTTTTTTTTAATTCCCCAGGCTTTTAAAATAGAGACGCAGTTCAACAACCAACCTACCTTCTTTCCTTCCTTCCCTCCCTCCCTCCCTCCCTCCCTTCCTCCCTTCCTTCCTTCCTTCCTTCCTTTTTGCCTTCCTGCCTCTCTTCTTTTCTCTTCTCTTCTCTTTTCTTTTTTCTTTTCTTTTTTTTTGAGACAGAGTTTCACTCTGTCATCCAGGCTGGAGTGCCATGGTGTGATCACAGCTCACCTCAGCTTTGATGACCTTCTGGGGCTCAGGTGATCCTCCCACCCCAGCCTCCCAAGTAGCTGGGACTATAGGCACATGCCACCACAACCGGCTAATTTTTTTCTGTTTTTTTGTTTTGTTTTCTGTTTTGTAGAAATGGTGTCTTGCCATGTTGCCCAGGCTGGTCTTGAACTACTGGGTTCAAGCAATCCTCCTACCTTGGCCTCCCAAAGTGTTGGGATTACATATGTGAACCGCTGCACCCAGCCTTAACAACATTTCTTAATTCATTGTTAGATCCAGTTACAAACTATTTTTTAAAAAATTTATATATATATAAGCTTTATGTATTTATTTTAAACTCTTTATTCTGAAATAATTATAGGTTAACAGGAAGTGGCAAAGATAATACAGAGAGGTCCCACGTACCCTTCACCTACTTTCCCCCAGTTATTACGTCTTACATAACTCTGGCACCATATCAAAACAAGGAAATTAACATTAGTACAAGGAATGTGTGTATTCTGTGTCATTTTGATCATGTGTAGACTGATTTAACCACGAATACAATTAAGATACAGAACTGCTCCATCATCGTGAAGATCTCCCTTGTGCTGCCTCCTACCTTTTACAATTTTTTTTTACAATTTTTTTTGAAAAACTTCTTTTTTTGTTGTTTCTTTCTCAGGAAATGTACTATTCCTTTAGAGTCACACTCAACCACCCTTCCTTACTACCTTTTCTAACCCTTGGCAACCACTAATCTGTTCTTCATCTCCCTAATTTTGCCACTTTGAGAGTGTTATAGAAATGGAATCATATAGCATATGACCTTTTCAGATGGCTTTTTTCCACTCACCATGGTCCTCTTGAGATCCATCCATGCTGTTTTTTGTTTTTGTTTTGAGACAGGGTCTTGCTCTGTCGCCCAGACTGGAGTGCAGTGGAGTGATCTCAGCTCACTGCAACTTCAGCCTCCTGGGTACAAGCAGTCAGCCTCCCAAGAAGCTAGTATTATGGGTATGCGCCGCCATGCCTGGCTAATTTTTGTATTTTTAGTAGAGATGGGGTTTTGCCATGTTGGCCAGGCTGGTCTCGAACTCCTGGACTCAGGTGATCCACCTGCCTCAGGCTCCCAAAGTGCTGGGATTATAGGCTCGGCCTTTATTTTCATTTTAAATTCAGTTTCTGAATTGTTAGTTCTGAGAGCATGATTATATCTAAGCAGTGAGTGATTTTATATCATTACTGACTAAAGGATTTAGTTTGTATGGTAATGAAAAAAATTTTTAGGAAAGTTTTTGGAAAAAATACCTTCATTAGGCTAAGCTCTTTAATAAAACACTTCAGAAGTAACTAAGGATTTGATAAAAGAAATAACCTAGGCTGGGTGTAGTGGCTCACACCTGTAATCCCAGCTCTTGGGGAGACTGAGGTGAGTGGATCACCTGAGGTCAGGAGTTCGAGACCAGCCTAGCCAACATGGTGAAGACCTGTCTCTACTAAAAATGCAAAAATCAGCCAGGTGTGGTAGCACGTGCATGTAATACCAGCTACTGGTGAGGCTGAGGCAGGAGAGTCGCTTGAACTGAGGAGGCGGTGGTTGCAGTGAGCCTAATCATGCCACTGCACTCCAGCCTGGGCAACAAAGCGAGACTCCATCTCAAAAAAAAAAAAAAAAAAAAAAAAAAAGGCCGGGCGTGGTGGCTCATGCCTGTAATCCCAGCACTTTGGGAGGCAGAGGCGGGCGGATCACTTGAGGTCAGGAGTTCGAGACCAACCTGACCAACATGGAGAACCGCCGTCTCTACTAAAAATACAAAATTAACCATGGGTGGTGGCGCATGCCTGTAATCCCAGCTACTTGGGAGGCTGAGGTAGGATAGTCGCTTGAACCTGGGAGGCAGAGGTTGCAGTCCGCTGATATCATACCACTGCACTCCAGCCTGGGCAACAAGAGCGAAACTCTGTCTCAAAAAAAACCCAAAAAAACAAAAAACAAAAAAACCCGGCATAGTGGCTCACGCCTGTAATCCCAGCTCTTTGGGAGGCTGAGGCGGGTGGATCACCTGAGGTCGGGAGTTCAAGACCAGCCTGACCAACATGGAGAAAGCCCGTCTCTACTAAAAATACAAAATTAGCCGAGTATGGTGGCGCATGCCTGTAATCCCAGCTACTCGGGAGGCTGGAGGCAGGAGAATTGCCTGAACCTGGGCGGCAGAGGTTGTGGTGAGCCAAGATCGCGCCATTCCACTCCAGCCTGGGCAACAAGAGTGAAACTCCGTCTTAAAAAAAAAAAAAAAAAGTCCTAATATGGTCATATTACTGAAAACAGTAGAGAATATGTACTCAACATTTACTATAAGCTTGTTTTAAGATTACTTTCCTTATATTAGGTAATTCTTTACAAGCAAAGGGAATTGCATTTTAATTGTTAATCCTTGCCTTGTGATAGCCAGAGGCTATGGAACCCCAGCAAAGATGTATTTTGCTAAAACAGTTGAATGAATATTACTCCTTTAAGTCTACTCAGTTTCTAATCCAAAACATTCTAAGTAAGACATATTTCAAGTGTTAGAAAATATCACAAAAAAGATACACAGCGAGCTGACAGAAGTCCTCCTTTGTAACTCCTAGTGAACAGAAAGGAACAATTCAGTTTGAGAACAGTTGTGTGCGCACAGTACACTCTCACACATAGTTGATGGGAAGAGAATTTATCTGCAAGGAGCTGTAACTTTTTTATAATTGTTCAAGATTGTATTATTAATGTCATGTCTTTTGGCAAGTTCAGTTTTTATAGCCGAGACAAGTTTAATAATACAGTAGGCCATACTTTTTTTCCCCCAAGCTTTTTCAAGGTAATAAGGAACTAGATTGGCAGCATTGCAATTTAATTTTGTTATACGATACAGTAGCAGGAGAGGTTTTTATCTATAGTTATTGACTATTTCTATGCCATAGTTTTTTATATGGGATCCTCCCATACATAAATTGAATTTCATTTAAGGGGAACAGGAAGAAAGTATGTCAGTACTGCTTCTTGTCTGAAAAAGAGATGGAAAAAAGGGAAACATAAATTTGACAAATATTAAGATATTCATACAGCAATGTAGTGGAAGAAACTTGCAAAATGAAATTCAGCAAATACCTCATACAAAACCAAAGATCTATGAAACCTGTTTGTAAAATGTTATGTGATTTAATACTCTTTAAGTATGACATCATCATATGAAGTTGAAATACTCTTAGACTTTTTCATTCCTGCAAACATTTTTCAGCTCTTGACAACTAGTTTCTTAATATCCCAGTTACTAAAAATGAACTAAGATATTTCCTCAGCAGTGCTCAGTACTGCTGTAAAATTTTTAGAAGGGGAAGGTAATATGTAGGGAATTCTTACTTATGCAGGAGACTGCTAGTTACTTTTCTAATTAGCATAATTAATCTTTACCACAACCTTATGAAGTAGCTACTGTCACCTCCGTTTGATAGGGGAGGAAATAGGCTTAGCGATGTAACTAATCCATACCTTAGTAGGAGTGTCATTTTTCTTCAGAGCAATTTTTTTTTTTTTTTGAGACAGTTTCGCTCTTGTCCCCCAGGCTGGAGTGCAGTGGTACGATCTTGGCTCACTGCAACCTTTGTCTCCTGGGTTCAAGCGGTTCTCCTGCCTCAGCCTCCCGAGTAGCTGGGATTACAGGTGCCTGCCACCATGCCCGCTAATTTTTGTATTTTTAGTAGAGACGGGGTTTCACCATGTTGGCCAGGCTTGTCTTGAACTCCTGACCTCAGGTGATCTGCCCGCCTCGGCCTCCCAAAATGCTGGGATTACAGGCATGAGCCACCATGCCTGGCGAGAGCATTTTACTTGTATTGTTTCATTTAATCTTTAATGGCAAATTTATACGTGTTTCTGTTTTACAGATGGCCACACTGAGGGTCAGAGAGATAAGTAACTTGCCCAAGGTCAGATTTGAAGAGTTTTAGGAATAGTAAGATCTGAGGGAGATGAATACTTACCTTGGAACTTTATAAGACACTCAAGACATTCTTAATGATACCTTATTGGAGTTTTTCACTTGATAACTCCTTATTGGAGTTTCACTAGATAACAGAATTATCTAGTGACTGTTGAATAGATGAGTGATCTGTAATATGGATGGATTGAAACAATAGATTCGTCCAAACTAAAAATAATTGAATAAAACCCTGTCAAATACAGAGAGACTGCAACTTTCAATTTAGTAAATTCAATAAAAGGTATATGTAAAGATTTTTATTATGGCATTATTTTTAATAGTTAATAATTGGAATTATTATCTTATAAGGGAAGGGTTAAATAAGTTGATGTATCTACTTGGTAGAACATTATATAGCCAATAATAAGATAAATATAAGCACTCTGATCACATGGAAAATACTGAATGTGCTGAGGGCAAAAAAGAATACAAACTGTCATGTTGGCATCAGTTACAATCATTGTAAAAATGTTGTGAACATTGATCAGAATTGGAGGAGAAAATGAGTAAGTGAAAACTTCGTTGAGTAGTGAGATTATGATGAACTCTTATGTAGAATTTTATTAGTTTTATAATGTTTGTGTAATAATAGGAGAAGATATATTCATAACAAAAATATGAACAGATCCAGTGGACTTTATATATATGGTATGTTATACTAAAAAGAAACATTTCCTTGGAAATAATTTTAAAAATAATTTCTAAAATATTTTAGCAAATTATTGCAAAGGAAGCTAAAGTATGTACAAACTAATAATAGAACCTTGGACTTAGCAATGCAGAGGATATAGATTGCTCTACTAATTGAACCATTAGCAGTTGCTGTGAGAAATCATCTCAAATGACATGGCATAAAAATGAGTATATTCTGTTTTGTTAGAAACATGATCCTCATGATTGTATTAGATTAAATCTGCAAACCCTTGCAAACAATTTGGGTAGCATTTTCTGTGGCCACTGGGCAATTGGATTCTTAGTAAATCTTGTTGGATTTGATAAAGACTAATTCTTAATTGCTTAGGAATATCTAGGTGAGATTTGTAGTTTCTGTTCTTACTCATTTTAATGGCACCCAGTCTTATGTCACTGTAAAAAACATGAGAACTTTATTCAGCTAAGTCTGCAATTTAAAAGCCCTCATTTACCCAGAATTCGTAGGTTGAACAGTATTTTTCCCTCGAGAGCTTAAGGATTGATTCTTCCTGTGATTTTGATCTCAACTGGTTGTAAGTTCGGTATGTTTATTGCCGCATGTTTTTTCTTGTTCTTATATGCCTGTTTTGGACAGAACAGAAACACCACTGCTTCCCTCTAGAGTATTTGAAGTTACTCTTTTAGCATATAAAAAGCCACGCTTGTGATAGTGTGTTAATACTATAATCAAGAAAAATGTGCATTAAATGTCATATGGTTAATGATGGCTGTTCTTTCATGGCAGTGCTGGGAGAAGGACTGGCCAAGGGAGAAGATGCCTTTCGGGCAGTGCTTTGCTGCATGCAGCTGAAAGGGAAGCTCCAACCTGTATCCACCATTCTTGCCAAGTCACTCACAGGAGAGTCCCTGGTATGTTGATAAGCTCTAATTTTGTATGCCTGAAAACAAATTTTTATTTGATTCCTTAGGTATATTGTGGGGAAAAAAAAGTGTATCTTTTTTTCTTTTAGTTCTTCCTCTATTAGAAAGCAAAATTCATGAGTATCCTGAGATATAGTACCCATTTTTCTTTTCTTTCTTTTCTTTTTTTGTTTTTTTCTTTTTTTTGAGACAAGGTGTCAGTCTGTTGTCTAGGCTGAGTAAAGTGGTGTGATCACTGCACACTGCAGCTTCAACCTCCTGGGCTCAAGCGATCCTCCTGCCTCAGCCTCCTGAGTAGCTGGGACTACAGATGCGCACTACCATCCCTGCTAATTTTTGACTTTTTGTAGAGACGAGGTCTCATTATGTTGCCCAGGCTGGTCTTGAACTCCTGGGCTCAAAAAATCCTCCCTCCTTGGCCTCCCAAAGTGCTGGGATTATAGGTGTGAGCCCCTGCTCTTTTTTCGAGACCAAAATGATATTTAATTATTAATTCTTGTAGTTTGTGATTATATATAAGAATTGTAGATACTTTAAAATAATTTAGGTTAACTAAGTGATTTTCTTTGAAGATATGATTTAACAGAGCCTGAGTTTTAAAATGCTGATGTGGACATATGATCTCATAGGGTTCTTAAATTCAACAATTTATTTCATAAAATGTTTAAATCTATCTAAACTAATAAGTGCTTCTGTTTCTGTTTGTATGTGTGTAAGTAATATCCATAACCACTCTGATGGAACTAGCTAACTCTATTCAGACTTTACAATCAATTTTGTAAATATAGCATTTGATTTTTTTAAGTTACGGAGTCTTGCTGAATTGCTGAGGCTGGAGTGCAGTGGCTATTCACAGGGGGTTATCATAGTGCGCTACAGCTTTGAACTCTTGGGCTCAAGTGATCCTGTTTCAACCTCCTCAGTAGCTAGGGCAATAGGCATGTGCCACTGTGCTCAGAAGTATATTTAATTTTTTGGCTTTTTTTGGTTGAGATAATTGAAAGGCTACTTTTTGAAACTTTGGATTTGATAATCTATAGAAAGTGGAAGAAAAGAGCTATAACCTTTTTTTTTTTAAACCAGTTCGTAACTTAAGAAATTTGTTGATAATTTTCAAGAATCATAATGAAACACAGTGAAAGCAAGAAAGTATATGTATACTTTGCTCTGCTGTGTGAATTCCCTGTATCTTTCCTATTCTTCTGAATTGATATAGATGATAAAATTATGGGGCAGATTTGTGCTTTTACTCCAAATATTAAATAATTATATTTGGTTAAAAAAAAAGAAGTTAGGGAAGTACTTGGTATATTGTTGAGTGTAATGTATTGGCCCATCTCGGGATAGTTATTTTCTAAGGAATTATTGTGCAGTGAATTGTTTAATTATGTTTAAGTTTAGCAGTGTCTTTTGATTTCACCAGATTCATAAATGAACTTAAAAGCTAAAATGTATTAGCATAGAAAAATTATATAGCTATTTAGTTCTAAGTAGATAATAAAGGAATATATCTCTTCTTTGTTATTAAGATTATCATTAAAGGGCTTTTCTGTATAAGTTAAGTATATTACAGTTTTACCTGTTGTTTTTAAATTTAAAACGAGTAAAGAGTAATTTGCTTTTAAATCTCAAATGAAATTTAGATTTCAGAAGAGTGATATTTTCCTTTTATTAAAGAGCCATTTTTAAAGTGGTGTGATCAGCTTATATGAATCTTCCTGAATCATGGCTGGGTTCACCATTTTGTACATACAAACTTATTAATCTTAGGAAAAGGGTTAAAAACAGCAATAGGTTGTTTTCCTTTTCATTTATGCTGTCTTGTTCTGTGGTGGTACCTGTTGTTAATATTTTCTTGAGTTAATTTTAATTAATGTAAGGTGAATACAGTGGTTTTACTTACCAGAAAAGGCATTCTGTATAGTTTTTCCTGTTAACCTTTTAAATTTTCCTCATAGATGTGTTGCTTTATTGTCATCGTTAATGGTAGTAGTGATGAGGGATGAGGATAACATTGTTTTTTACAAATAAACTCAGAAACAACAGAGGAATTGAGCTAAGTTGCCATAGTAAAGAATTAATATACTAATTGGTTCTTCTCTTTTTTATTCACCCTTTCAGAATGGGATGGTAACAAAGGATTTGACAAGACTAAAAACACTTCTCTCAGAAACAGAGGTAAGGCCATTTCAGTGGATCCGTTTGGAAGAGTTTGACTCAATCTGTCTAGTAAGCATTATGTATTAAAATTTGGAAAACCATTGTGGCATCAGCCAGAAGGCGAGGCTGTGAAGGTGGGGCAGTGGGACTGCCAGCCTTCCCTCGTAACCCCCATAACCCACAGTCCCATCGTGGGAATGCTGCTTCTCCACATGTCTCCTCTGTGTGCCAGGGCTTATCTTCTGTCCCTAGTGGACAGAACTGGTATCTTATTAGCTGTCTCTGGACAACAAATGGGAAGATGATTGGGAAATTTTAGTTTTTAACTACTTCTGGCTACTAGAAAATGAAATGCTATCATTAAAAATGAGATATCCTCAAGCCTTATTTATTTATTATTTGTTTATTTGAGACAGGGTCTCGCTCTGTTACCCAGGTTGGAGTGCAGTGGTGTGATCACAGCTCACTGCAACCTCGACCTCCCTTGGCTCAGGTGATCCTCCCACCTCAGCCTCCTGAGTAGCTGGAACTACAGGCACACTCCACCGTCTGGCTAATTTTTTTATTTTTAATTTTTGGTAGAGATGGAGTTTTGCCATGTTGCCCAGGCTGGTCTCCTGGGCTCAAGTGATCCGTCTGCCTCTGCCTCCCAAAGTGCTGGGATTACAGGCATGAGCTACCACACCAGGCCTTCTTTTTGTCTTTTTTAAAGCACCTGATGGAAGTCTGTGATTTAAGGACTGTCTTTAAGGAATGTGTTTAGGAGATGGAAATAATGTGTATGAGGATAAATAGTGAACAAAAAAGTACTCCAGTGAAGGACTTGGAGGACACATGGAAGGTCAGGGACAACAGTGGCATGTAAAAGGCCCTGAGGTTTGTAAGTCTCAAATTTTTCTTCTTCATATAGGCATATAAAAGTATTTTTATTTTTAGATGTCCTATTTAAAAAATAGCCATTTTGTCAGCTTTTGTCATAAAAGCCCATGTACAGTGATTAATTGGCTTATTTATTCAAAAATTGCCTATGTGCTAGGTACTATGCTTGTTGCTGGGGATACAGCACTGAACATGGTTCTTGTCCTCTTGGAGGTTAAAGTTTTAGGAAGGAGATAGACAACAAGTAAATAAATTGAACAACTGTAAGTGTAATTCACAGAGAGGTAGGTGATATGAGGGAAAAGAATGAACTCTTCTGCTGGAAAAATCACTGGATTTGGTGGCCAAGGACTGAGACAGTTAAACCAAGAGCTGAGAGTTGAGAAGGTGCTTGTCTCACGGAGAGTGAGATGGAGGGCGCTTCAGACAGACAGAGGGGATGTGCAGAGACCCTGGTGTCAACTTTGAACTCCTGTGGGTTCCTTTCCATTCCAAATGTAGTAATGTATCCCAGTTCATACCAAAAAACAGCAAAGAAGGTGGTCACCATGGATTATACAAGCTGGAAAAAATAACTGTTTTGCTACTATTAGGCTTTTTCTTCTAAATTTCATTTTCTTTGTCTTATGTTGCCTGATTGTGAATCAACCGAGAATCAGTAAGCTCTCACTAACTTCAAAGCCATGTGTATATATAGGTATTAGGTTGGTACAAAAGTAATTGGGGTTTTTGCCTTTGAAAGTAATGGCAAAACAGTCCCGGTGCGGTGCTTCACGCCTATAATCCCAGCACTTTGGGAGGCCAAGGCGGGCAGATCACCTGAGGTCGGGAGTTTGAGACCAGCCTGACCAATATGTTGAAACCCTGTGTCTACTAAAAATACAAAAATTAGTCAGGCATGGTGGCAGGAGCCTGTAATCCCAGCTACTCAGGAGGCTGAGACAGGAGAATGGCTTGAACCCAGGAGGCGGAAGTTGCAGTGAGCTGAGATTGCACCACTGTATTCCAGCCTGGGCGACAGAGTGAGACTCTGTCTCAAAAAAAAAAAAAAAAAAAAGTAATGGCAAAATCGCAATTACTTTTGCACCAACCTAATAGTGTATATGTAGCCGTTTTAATTTCTAAGAAGTAACAGAAGGCAGTTGTAGATGTTTTAGACTTTTAAAATGACAGCATAAAATGACCTTTCATTTTGTTAAGATTTTTGGCTTTGTTCTTCTTTTATTGCCTTAATTGAATTACCAACTTTACATCTGATAATCACATGCAATTTATTTTATTTTTAATGTTTATAATCCTGTTGCATGTAAGGCCACATATATCACTTGACTCTTATTTTGTGACTATACTTTTGGAAGAAGTGACTTAAGTTTTTGTAATTTTTTTCTATCTAACTAGAGTAGTAGTCTTTTTGGTTAGTGAATTGATATTATTAAAAGATAACCGTTTAGGAAAAGCTAACAAACAGTGCTACCCTTATTTATTATTGCACATGACACATTTAAAAATGGCAACAATTTGTTATTTAAAAATTGGGCTAAGCTGGTATTTAACTTGTAAATGCTAATGGATGAGAATAAAGACCTGGAACTCAAGACTGATTTATGAAAACAAAAACAAGTATTCTTTAGTAAATATTCTTTAGTAACATTTAAAATATCTGATTAATAGATTTGATTCTGAATTTATAGTTCTAGCAGTGTAATCTTTGGCCATTTTTCCTGAAGGTGTCGGTAAAGACTAATGATGATAAACTGTTGCCTTTTTGTTTTGGAGTATAAGTGCATAAAAAGAGTGTTTAAAAAACAAACACAACACTTTGGAACCTAAAAGCCAGGACTGCTAAATACTTAGCCAGGCTGAGTGCCTTACTTTACCAGTTCTCTGCTGAGCATGTGCTGCTCCCCAGATCCCCAGGAGACCTAGAGCTCAGTGTCAGCACAGGCCCGTGCGGGTCGTCACTGATTCTTACAGGTGCTGACTGCTGAAATGCACTGTGTGGTGTTCTCTCCAACATTTATAAGTGTTTTAGGCTTTATTTTATGACCAAAACATTTTAATAATGTTTATCAAACATTTTTATTCCCATTATTTTTCTTGCACATTTGATAAATTTATTTTGATAGGTTTTAAAAAGGAGATACTTTAAAATTTTCCTACTTGCAGTTAATTTTTAGCCTATCTATTTATATATGTTATGTAAATAGAATCATTTGAAGGGCTAGTTTGTGACAGTGGCACATAGACCTTGCTTGAAGAATTTAAAGAGATCTTTTAATGGCTTTTTTTTAATTTTTTTTGCAGCGTAGAATGCTAATAATATGAATAATTACTCCTGATTTGTTAATCTGTGTATTCTTATATTCAGCCCTTCGTTTTACAAAAAGAATGGCTTGCTTTTTAAAAACTCCTTAGTAAGTGCTTTACTGATAATCAGAAGGCATTTTCCTGTGGAAACAGTATTACAGAGTTTAGTTCAAGCCCAACCTAAAAAGTACAATTTAATCAACCACATATAAATTATAGTGATAGTATTGTTTCAGTTATGACCCGTTAGCATTCTGACGTTCTTTCTATGGTACAAGATATTCCAGATTTCATCTTGGGATACTGTTTACTCCTTCTGATTCAGTTTAACATTTACTGAGCACCTGTGCTGTTCAAGGCTCTGGAAAGCTGAGATGTCCATGAAAAGCAATCTGGCAGGTCAGTCAGAGATGCACACAGCTAATGTGCACACAGGGCAGCCTGCAGTCAGTAAGTGCTATCACAAAATACAGGCAGGGAAAGGGGAAAACTCTGCAGGGAAATCAGGGGGGCAGAAGTGTGAGAACTGAGTTTAAAGGATAGGGATAGCTAAGTATATTAGTCTGTTTTCACGCTGCTAATAAAGACATACTTGAGACTGGGCAATTTACAAAAGAGAGGTTTAATGGACTCACAGTTCCATGTGGCTGGGGAGGGCTCACAATCAGCAGAAGGTGAAAGGTACATCTCACATGGCGGCAGACAAGAGAAGAATGAGAGTCAAGTGAAAGGGGTTTCCCCTTATAAAACCATTAGATGTTATCAGACTTACTCACTACCACAAGAACGATATGGGGGAAATTGCCCCCATGATTCAGTTATCTCCCACTGGGTCCCTCCCACAACACAAGGGAATTATGGGAGCTACAATTCAAGATGAGATTTGGGTGGGAACACAGCCAAACCATATCACTTAGTAAAGACCCACAGGTGACTTGATATAAGGCAAGATTGGCAAGCTGTCAGTTGGTTCAGGGATAAATGAGACAAGCGGTAATGAGGGCTTTACCTAGGACAGTGGCAGTGGGAGGAGAGAATGTAAGAGAGATGAGAGACATTCTAGACCTGTTTGGACAAGATTTGGAGAATATTCAGAGCAGGATAGAAGAGGGAGGAGTTCAAGATGGCTTTGAAAATTTCAGCTTGGCTCTCTTTGGGTAAGAAGAATCCATTAACTTGTGATAAGGAGCACTGAAGAAGGATCAACTTTAGGATAAAGTTGATGAATTTTGCTTTGGGCCCATTGCATTTAAAGTGCTTAGGTGAATCATCCATTTATCCATCCACCCACCCACCCAACCACCTACCCATGTTCCCATCCACCCACCCATGTTCCCATCCACCCACCCATGCACCCATCCATCCATCCATCCATCCATCCATCCATCCAACTAACCAACCATCTATCTGTTTATCCACCCACCCACTCATCCAACATTTACTGAGCACCCATTATTATGTGCCAGATACTTTGAGAGGTGCAAGAATATAGAAAGGCAGTTACAGACTGCTGACAGCAGATGTGTATATCGCTGATAACGATCTAGCATGTAAAATACTACAGAATAGTTTAGAAAAAGTGCTATGGTTGGCGCTTTGTTGAAATTGGAAGTGTAGAGCTTAGGGTAAAGTTAGAGCCAAATGCGCTGATTGGTGGTTTATCTGAGGATGTTAGAGTGAATGGATCCCTAGCCTTGGACTCCTCTGTGGGAGAAGGGCTCATCTCAGAGTGAGTGGGGTACCTAGCAGTAAGTGCTCCCAGGCTCCAAAGTGGTAGCATGCCATTAGCTGCAAGAAAAAGGAACCTCTAGCCGGGCGTGGTGGCTCACGCCTATAATTCTAGCACTTTAGGAGGCCGAGGCGGGCGGATCACCTGAGGTCAGGAGTTGGAGACCAGCCTGGCCAACATGGTGAAACCCCATCTCTACTAAAAATATAAAAATTAGTCAGGCGTGGTGGTGGGCATCTGTAATTCCAGCTACTCAGAAGGCTGAGGCAGGAGAATCACTTGAACCCGGGGGGTGGAGGTTGCAGTGAGCTGAGTTTGCGCCACTTCACTCCAGCCTGGGCAAAAGAGCAAGACTTTGTCCCAAAAAAAAAAAAAAAAAGAAAAAAAAAAAAAGGAAAAGAAACCTCTGTAATCAGACATTTTCTAGGTGTTATGAAGAGGAGAGTAAAGTGAATAAATGGATGGAAGGTGCTAGCCTGTGAGGTTCAAGACTGGGGACTTGGACTTCTCTTCTGCTGCCAGCTAATTTCTATGTAGGAGGCCTCTATCAGCTTCCTTAATGAGAGCCTCACAAATATGTTTTCCATATTTAATTATAGTTTAACGTAGAAAAAAACAAAAATCATTGGCAACATATTAATGTTATTAAAAATTTCTGAGTATTCCAACTTCACCTTTGTTTTAATATTGAAAATGTTCAAGTTTAGTTCAGCATCAACGTTATTCTTGTTTAAAAAATTCTTTCATTTGGAAAATTGCAGACAGCAACTAGTAACGCCCTCTCTGGATATCACGTGGAAGACTTAGATGAGGGTAAGTGCCAAATGCTGTGTAACTTCTGGTAGCTGTGAATAAGGGCTTTGCTTTTATTAATTATTGGGAGAAAATTTACTGAGTTACAGTACATATAAGTGGAGATGTAGGAGAGAATATAAGATTTTAATTTTAAGAAGTAGGTGTAGTTGAAAGCAATTTTCTCCCTGGCACCTTTTCATAGAATAATGGAGTAATGGAGGTAGGAGGTAACTTCAGAGGTCATTTAGTTTATTTTCTTGCCTCCGTGTAGGACTAAATTTAAACATCATTCTTAACAATCTATAGAGGGAAGACTTTTCTTCTCTCTCTGTCCTAAGCTAGTACAGTTATTACTTTTTGGAAGTTTTGATCTGTGAGCTGAGTTGTTCCTGCCCTAATGAAACTCTGTGATCTCCTCTCCTCTCACCAGAGGAAAGGGAAAAGAAGAACATTCATTGAGTGCCTGCTGAATGCTGTGTACTATGGGCATTGGCTTTCACAAAACATGTACTGACTTAGAGTCCTTCTGCATCTTTTTGACAGGTGATGAAACTGACATTAAGGTTTATGAGTTGCCCTAAAGTCACACAGCTAGTATAGAGATGAAGCACAGCTTTAAACTCAACCTGGCTGAATATCTTTCTTTTCCTTTTCTGGGGGGCATAGTGACTTGTGAGGGAGTAGAAAATGGCTATAAGTTCCTTGAAACTTGTTGCTGCTCAACCTCTATAAAGTTCTAGCCTTTTTTTCTCATTATCCTTATTTTCCCTGGTTTATTTGGAAACTCCTATCCAAACAAATCAAAGCTCATTGTATTCACAAGTAAGTAAATACTGTGTTTTTAGCTCCTATCTCAGAATTAAACTTTTTGAACTTTATTTCAATTTTAAAAAAGGATTATATTCTACAGTGACGTGTCAGACAAATCTTAAGGAACATGGGTGATAATGTGATAACATGGAACTTCTTCTCACTGTGCAGTAGTGGAATTTGTTATGTAAGCTTTCCTTCCAGGATACAATGATTTTTTTCATCCCTGAAGGAATTCCTGATAGACAAACATCCCATGCCTAAGAAATGACAAGTATGCCAGCCACCCGCCTTGTGTTGTTAGGGAAGAGATTGCACTGGAAACCTGTCCACCAGTTGCTAGGACAGAGTCAGAGTCACCAGCTTGATTTTAACTAACTGCTGGGAAACTGCCTCTTCAGTGATTCCTATGTTTTATGTAGTTGATTGGTAGATTACTTTTTGGTAGAGGCAAGTATGTCATGTTCTTTTTTACATCATATGGGATGATGTATGTGGAGGGATTGTAGTATCTCTTACACATTAAAATATCAGAATTACTGGCTAGCCTCAAATGATAAGACTATATCCTAATTACTCCCTAGGGTCTTGTAATGGTTGGCATTTCCGCCCACCACCTAGGGGAATCACAAGCAGCGAGGAATATACTTTGTGTAAAAGGTAATGTGAATTTTTTTGTTTTTAAACAATGACATGTCTTGTTGAAAGGACAGATAATTTTCCTTATCTAATGGAGTAAAATGGTTTATTTTCAATTTGAAACAGAAGCCATAAAGGTCATTATCATTAAGTAATAAAAGTCAAAACCATATTGATGAGTTCTCTTCCTTTAATTCTAAACAGCAATGATCTAAATGCAGGTTGTTAAGACTGTTCAGTAGTCTTTTATTTTTTATCTATTTATTTTTTTTGAGATGGAGTCTCGCCCTATTGCCCAGGCTAGAATGCAGTGGCACAATCTTGGCTCACGGCAACCTCTGCCTCCCGGCTTTAAGTGATTCTCCTGCCTCAGCCTCCTGAGTATCTGGGATTACAGGCATGTGCCACCACACTGGCTAATTTTTTGTATGTTTAGTAGAGACAGGGTTTCACTATGTTGGCCAGGCTGGTCTTGAACTCCTGATCTTGTGATGTGCCCACTTTGGCCTCCCAAAGTGCTGGGATTAGAGGCGTGAGCCACTGTGCCTGGCCTCAGTAGTCTTTTATAATACCAGTTGTATTATTATGGCTGAACTTAATTTCTGTCCTTTTGTTTTTCTTTTCTTTTTTTTTTTTTTTTTTTGAGACAGAGTCTCATTCTGTTGCCCAGTTGGGAGTGCAGTGGCTTGATCACAGCTCACCGCAATCTCTGCCTCCCAGGCTCAAATGATCCTCTCACCTCAGCCTCCCAAGTAGCTGGGACTACAGGCGTGTGCCACCAAGCCTGGCTGATTTTTGTATTTTTTTTGTAGAGATGGGGTTTCACCATGTTGCTCAGGCTGGTTTTGAACTCCTGAGCTCAAGCAATCCTCCTGCCTTGGCCTCCCAAAATGCTGGGATTACAGATGTGAGCCACCACACCTGGCCATGGCCATTTGTTAATGTGAAATTTACTTAGGTTGTGGTGATTGAAGTTGACAATACTTTATGTAAAAAGTAGAGCATAAAATAGATAAAGAAATGTTAAATTGTTTTAACCTTTCTGAAAAATATTATCTTCATGTAATTCTTATGTAGAATTTATGAATAATTCATAATGAAGGGCTAACCTTTCAAAATTTAATAATTATTTATTAATGTGGAAGGAATGATTAAAGTTACAGTTAAAATGGTAAACTCTTCGGTTCTTTTTGTAAGAACTTGTAACTAGTGGGATTTTTAGATATAAATTCTCACCGCCTCTTTAGATTACTTTTGATAGCGAAGGAAATTTGCTACATGGTTTTGATTATTGAATAGTCAGGAAACTAATGTGTAAGTATTGAAAATCCTAGTGGTGTTATGTTGTAGAAGAGACAGAACACAATCCTATGAAAAGGAAATATGAGAAGATTTGAAGTACAGATAAGAATATAACACTTTCACTTTTTAGGGAAATAATTTAAAGCCAAGCAATAGAAAGACAAAGATTTGGCCCATTAAGACATATTGAAAAGAAACATAAAATGATTTTAAATGTGTCTTCAAAAGTGTAAGAGAATTTAATAAATAGTATAATTTTAAGTTCAAGTACTTTGTTGTACCATCAGGAAAAGTTTTAAATATACTCATTTTTTCAAATACGGTGAACCATTTGAAAATTCATATTGTGCTGTGGTTCATTTCTTATTTCTTACTATCCATATTTTTTCCAATTGAAAAATGGTCTGTAATATAACATCTCTCTTTTGCTATTTATAGTTTTATATTATATTTACATTTAATTATGTATTTTTTTTTATTTTTGAGACAGAGTTTTGCTCTTGTTGCCCAGGCTGGAGTGCAATGGCATGATCTCGGCTTACTGCAACCTCCGCCTCCCGGGTTCAAGCGATTCTCCTGCCTCAGCCTCCCAAGTAGCTGGGATTATAGGCATGTGCCACCACCCCGGCTAATTTTCTATTTTTAGTAGAGACAGGGTTTCTGCATGTTGGTCAGGCTGGTCTTGAACTCCCGACCTCAGGTGATGCGCCTGCCTTGGCCTCCCAAAGTGCTGGGATTACAGGCGTGAGCCACTGTGCCCGGCCATTTAATTATATTTCTAGTTTAATTTTCATTTTTTCTCAGAAGATCTTTTATCAATGTTTTTATTATTTTTATTTAAAAACTGGCTTTGCCTATAATTTTGCAGGGTATTTAAAACTTTTTTAAAAAGTTAATGCCATCTCAAAAAAAAAAAAAAAAAGTTAATGATCAGGGCCGGGCATGGTGACTCATGCCTGTAATCCCAGCTCTTTGGGAGGCCAAGGCAGGTGGATCACTTGAGGTCAGGAGTTCGAGACCAGCCTGGCCAACATGCAACCCCATCTCTACTAAAAATACAAAAACTAGCCGGGCATTGTGGTGGCAGGCACCTGTAATCCCAGCTACTCTGAAGGCTGAGGCAGGAGCATCCCTTGAACCCGGGAGGCAGAGGCTGCAGTGAGCCGAGATCGTGCCACTGCGCTCTAGCCTGGGCAACAGAGCGAGACTATCTCCAAAAAAAAAAATTATCAAAGTATTTTATTTTTATCTGTTTTTGGTCACTGAATTGTCAGTTGAATTTTCCGAGTTGTAAACGTCGAGAAATCATTGACTCTCTGTCCTTTAAAATGAACATTTATAATTTATTCCCTTGAATTTAACATGACTGTTGAATAAATTTGTGACTCTGTAATATAAAACTTTGATTCTAAATTTATTTAAAGCTTCAAGCAAGTTAATATATTTTCACTGAAATATAGGTAATAGTAATGTAGAAAAGAGTAAAATCACTATGTTTAAAGGTGAAAAGTAAAAGCCTTAAAATGGTAATTAGTCATATGTTAACTGTTTTTTCAGAATGAAATTCCCATATATAGAAAATTTTTTTAAGGTCCTTATCATTTTGGGAAGTAGGGTATACCTGTGTGTGAGCAGCAAATCCACTTGATGTCAGTATTGCTTAAAAAAATCCTACTCTGGCTGGGCGTGGTGGCTCACGCCTATAATCCCAGCACTTTGGGAGGCCGAGGCGGGTGGATCACCAAGTCAGGAGTTCAAGACCAGCCTGGCCAAGATGATGAAACCCCGTCTCTACTAAAAATACAAAAACTAGCCAGGCGTGGTGGCGGGCGCCTGTAATCCCAGCTACCCGGGAGGCTGAGGCAGAGAATTGCTTGAAACCAGGAGGCAGAGGTTGCAGTGAGTCGAGATTACGCCACTGCACTCCAGCCTGGGCAACGGAGTGAGACTCCGTCTCAAAAACAAAAAACAAAAAATCAAAAACAAAACCCAGTTACACTAAGAGGAATTGTCTAGTAAGAGTCCTTATATGACCAAGGAAGCTACTTTTCAGTGCCTCTTTTGGAGGGCCGACGTGAATACCTATGCCTTAGGATCCCCTAATTCCAGAGAAAGTCAGTGAATAATATGGGGAGCTGATGTTTTGGTTAACTGTTGTAAATGTTCTCTAAACCTCTTCTCCCTCCTTTGTACAAGACAGTACGATAAATATGGCCTTTCAGCACATGAAGTTTTGTTTTTATTGAAGAATCAGAGGGCAAATGCTGGGAGTTTATTTTTAAATGGTTCAACAAAGTATATGATAAAACAGTCTTTCCTATTCTACTTAGATTTTTAGAACAAGGAATCTGTAGGTATGGTGCCCAGTGTACTTCAGCACATTCCCAGGAAGAACTAGCAGAATGGCAGAAAAGATATGCTTCACGGCTGATAAAATTGAAACAGCAAAATGAGAATAAACAGCTCTCAGGCAGTTACATGGAAACCTTGATAGAAAAGTGGATGAATTCATTGTCTCCTGAGAAAGTGGTGAGGAAAATAAGCTACATTATTTTTTGTTTGTCTTAAACAATGAACTTGAGTCTTGACTTTATTGTGTGCTCTATTTTGGTTTATTTCCTTATCTTCTTTGCAAAGAACTTGATTCTGATAGAATGATGTTTTTAGTAGCTATAGTAGACCCATTTGTTAAAATGAAGAGCAGAACTAAACCACTTGTTTGGAGATTTGCCTGTACTGTATTAATTACCTTCATTCAGGCAGTTTTTGAGTGCCATTTTTGTGGTGGTGGTTAATTTTCTTTTCTCTCTTATTTTAGCTTTACTATATTTTGTTCTTGTCAAAATTACTGAAAATGAAGGTATAAAATACTTTGGTCTGTAAACAGTTCCATCATCATCTTAACTGTTGACATTTATTTTCCATGCTAAAAGATTTTGTTTGTGCCCTTAGCAATAAAAACATAACATAAATTGCTGTCTGTTTTCAGCTTAGTGAATGTATAGAAGGAGTAAAGGTAGAGCACAATCCTGACCTGTCAGTTACTGTCAGCACCAAAAAATCCCACCAGACATGGACCTTTGCTCTCACTTGTAAGGTATGAATTTTGTGCTAGTTAAAGCATAAAAGTTGTGTTTAATTTTCTGAACGTTTTTTTGACCTTTGAATCTCTGTGTTAAAGAATATTGAAAATATTTTAATCTAAGTACATTATATATAGGTTCTATATTGTACTAAAGTATATTTCTGTACTTTGATCATTAAAAGTACAATTTTAAAAATACTTTTAGATGAGATCTTTGTAGATATTTAGGGTGCTTTCATATTTATTTATTTGGTAAAGAGATCTTTGACATATTGTCTTCTAAACTTGGGACATAGGATGGGGTTCATGGCTTGTAATTAACTACTTAAAAATTGTTTATTCTAGTAGTTCTAAGATTTTTAAACCATAACAACTTGTTTTTATATTTGATATGATGAAGTCACAAATTCTGTGATAATGGGTTTTTAATATGGGGCATTTTCTGCAGTGCTTCCCATCTTAAATTATAGTAGTCAAAGTTTAAGATCGAAGCAAAGTAAAAAGTTTCTGTGAGTATGCTCAGTGGAAAAGTTTTTGTCTTTTTTGTGGCATTTCTTCTGCTGTACTTTCTGTATCTGGAGATGAAAAATCTAAGAACAGTTAGCTTCAGCCTTGAACCCAATCCAGTGCTTTCAGAGGTAACTGCCCTCTTACGAAGGCTTCCTACTTGAGGCTACATGAAACTTCTGTAGGTGAAGAGTATGGAAAGTTTGAAGGTTGATGGTTATATAGGGTGATAGCTTTTGCCACAGTGAAAAATGAACATGTCACAGGAAGAGAAGGGAGGCTAGCGATATAGCATAAATAAATAATTTTAACAACTGATTTTAAAAAACCATTCTGATTTTTTTCTTAAATGGCTATAGTATCTTAGAAGCTTGGGGAAGTAAAAGTCCCTTATGGAAATATTTTCATTGAAGAGCCCAATTACAATTGGATTTTTCACCCCCTTGTACTCAATGAATTATTTTAACTTCCTTGTAGCCTGCAAGAATGCTGTATCGTGTAGCATTGCTTTATGATGCTCATCGTCCTCATTTTAGTATCATTGCAATATCTGCCGGAGATAGTACTACCCAGGTATCACAAGAAGTCCCAGAAAACTGTCAAGAATGGATAGGAGGAAAGATGGCCCAAAATGGATTAGATCATTACGTGTATAAAGTCGGGATAGCATTTAACACAGAAATATTTGGAACTTTTCGCCAAACCATAGTTTTCGACTTTGGATTGGAACCAGTACTCATGCAAAGAGTAATGATTGATGCAGCTTCTACAGAAGGTAATATTTAGACTTTTTTCCCCCGATACAATGTGTTAAAAAGCAACATTCAAAGATATGTATTGGCCCCTGAATATATTCCATGGATAGGAAGAGAATAGTAATAAAGAAAAAAATCCCAACTTAATTGACTCATTTACTGTGTAATGGGCTTATAATGATTCACACTGTGCCCTGATTTCTTCACAGAGCCACCAGGTAAAGCTTGAACTTTGAGGTTCCCCAAACTTGTATGAGTAGATGATCAGACCTGTTTTGGTCTACCAGTTTCATTTCACAGTAAGATGGTTTTAGCACAGTAATATCTTTCAATATTAGTTTGGGTAGAATATCATTTTAATGGTAATTGTGTATATACCTACAATGTTTATTTTCATGTCCTATTGACTAGTTAACTTTGCTGATGTTAGTACATTGTTTCTGAATGAAAAGTCTTGAGTATAATAAGCCTTCATAAATCAGTTTGTGCATCCACTAGTGTTAAGGAGGCCAAGGGTGCCTTTAATCAAATCTGCTCTTTGTTTTTGGGAAGAGGTCCCTGGTTTCATCATGTAAGCATGACATAAGGAATTACTTTGTACATTGTCAATTTATTGCCTATATCTAAATTTTATGCCAAGATCCAACAGGACAAAGAAAGGACATGTTAGCCCACATTTCCTTTGCTCTTGGTTGGATTTATAGGTGTTCTATTCTATTTAACAAAAACTTTTTATTTAACAAACACTTCAAAAAGCAGAGCTGTGTGAAACTTGCTTTTGTATTGACTATAACTAACCATATTGTGGAGGACGTTTTTTACTATGTACCATAATGTCCCATTCATGAGAACCTAGAAGTAGTTTTTCTCATTAGCGAATGCTAGAATTTTATTTTTTTTCACATAGTGAAAAGGTGAAATTGGTCTGTCTTCCTCTTTACTTTAGCTGCTAGTAAGGTTGAAACAACGATGGTGCCCAAATTTAACAGTTAGGTGACATCTTCTTCTACGTGTGCTAAGATTACCCAGACTTCACTTTACCCTTATTTCCCACTGACTTTGATCCCTTTTACTTGTTTTTATTCTGTAGTATGTATTTTTGTCATCTTTTCAGTACTCTTTGGAATCAGAATAAATTAATTTCCATAGCTAAATAGATATGGTAGTTGATAAAATAAAAATAAAGTATTTGGCTTATATATATTAGCATAGTATTTGGCAAATTCTTTCTGCAGAGGGCCAGACGGTTAATATTTTAGGTGTTGCAGGGCAGGTGATCTCTGTTGCAACTACTCAGCTCTGCGTCGTAATGAGAAAGCAGCCATAGACAATGCATAAGCAAATGGGTGTGACTGTGTTCCAATAAAACTTTATTTTCAAAAACAATGGCTACATTTGACTTTCGTGTTGTAGTTTGCCTACCCCTGAACTAGTAAGTTGCTTTTAGAGACCAGACCTTGAGAACCACTAAGCAGCATCCTTTTTAAATCATAAAGAGATTTAAGTCATAAAGAGAGAACAACATACATTTCCTACTCTCAAATATAACTGTAAAGGATGTTCTTGGCTTACATGTGGGTTGTATTTTAGAAATTTGCTTGTAGGTTAGTGGCTTATAACTCAGACTCCTTTACCCATAGAAATGTTTGTAAGTGCTGTCAAGAATTCTTATTAGTTAGTAAAATATTTAATTAATAATATAAAATGTTAAATGTCTGCAGTAAAATGTAAAAGAACGATAGTATTAAAACATGATAATTAGAAAAGGTGGTGATGAAAAGGAGCTCAGGGTACTTTCATAGGCTTGAGAAGAGTAAAAGTACTTTGACTACTTCTGCCTCAGATACGAGTTACTTTTCTTGTTGGAGAAGAGCAGAGGACAAAAATCAGAGTCAAATAGAATAGGATTTGAATCCTGATTTTCGACTTATTGCCTGTGTGAGCCTGGGCAGAGTACTTAACTTCTCTGGGCTTCACGGGGAAACATCTGTAAAATGGGGCTAGTAATACCTGTCATAGATCATTGTGACAACCTGAAGCCTCGTACGACATCAGGCTCATAGTAGACGTTTAGTTAATAGTAGCTATTATGTTTATAATTAGCCTTGATTAGGATAATTTCTGGCTTATACACAAAAGGAAGAAAGTAGGAAAAGAGAAGAGTTGGGTTTTTTTTTTGTTTCTTTATTTTGTTTTTGTTTTTTAAAATGAGGACTCGGACTAGGGTGCAAGCAGAGGACTTAAAAAGCAGAGAGCCCTTGAGGCCACAGTGCCTGCAGATGTTGGCAAGAGAACACATTGTAGGAGTTGAAAGCGTAGTTTTCCAAGATGATTGATGTTTTGAGCCTGGTAGCTGGAAGAAACAAAGAATCTCCTTTCTGATATTTCTAACATATTAGTTTGAAAATTAAGTTTTACATTTCATTCAGATGTGGTAGAGAGGATTTATATAGACAAGGATATCCTCCTCTTTTTTCATAATACCATATCCTTTTTTTAGTGACTTCTTTGTAGTTTGATGTCTTTGCCTTTTTTCCTTTAAGATTTTACTTTTAAGTAGTTATGTGATAGAAAATAATTGAAAAAACTTAAGCATTTTCTTGGACTAATTTGGAAACATTAAAATGATTTCACATAGTGAAATTTGTTTAAAGACAAAGGAGAAATAACAAACAGTATGAAATCTACAAAATGCATTTTCTTATGTAAGATTTTGAAAGTTGGGGAAAGGAAAACTTAGATCTAGGTTTTAGGCAAGCTAGATGATATTGGGCTAACTTTTTTTGGTCATCAGCATAATGACTTATGCTAATTTTTAGCTCTTTGATAACTTCCCCACCCTTAAAATTGATGTCATTGAATATCTTACCATTTTGTTAACTCTTGAAATTTTTATTGCGTGACTACTTTTGTTTCATTGTGATTATGTGGAGAGTCCTAACAGAATTGTAAAGAAATAAAAGCAGAATATAAGTAGTGTAATATTTGTTTCTTGCTTTTATCTCAGTACTATTACAGTTAGTGTTTTTGATTATCACGGGAGAGTCCATGTCAGCAGAAAATATGTTTATGGGCAAACAATTTGTTTATGTGAAATTACAATTTTATAAAATGTTCTGAGACAATAAAAATGTAAAATGGCAGTGTCCTATTTTGTATCTTTTCCTGGAATACTTGTGTGGACAACATTCAGAGACATTGAGAGCAAGATAACTGCTTTGTTAAATTGGTGACAATCTGACAGCCTGGCTAATTTGATCTTCAGCCTCAGCCAGTTCATCATTGGATCTTCCTTGGCCTGGAATTAGGAGAAAAGTGTCATTCCAGGTATAAGTTGGCCAAATGCAATTGGGAATTCAATTAGGTCTGGGATCTGTCATATTTCCATATGGTTTCGAAAATATTATAAATTATAATATAATTTGGTTTTTGCATACACAAGGAAACTTAGTGATTCTGTGAAACTGGAATTTGAATGGGAAATATCTCTATTTATTTATTTATTTATTTATTTATTTGTTTAGAGACAGAGTCTTGCTCTGTTGCCCAGGCTGGAGTGCAGTGGTGTGATTATAGCTCACTGCAGCCTTGAACTCCTAGGCTCAAGTGATCTTCCCACCTCAGCCTCCTAAGCAGTTGAGACTATCAGTGCACACCACCATGCCTGGCTAATTAAAAAAGTTAATTAAAAAAGTCTTTTTTTGTAGAGACAAGGTCTCTCTGTGTTGCTCAGGCTGGTCTCGAAGTCCTAGGCTCAAGTGATCCTTCTACCTCAGCCTCCCAGAGTGCTGAGATTATAGGCATGAGCCACCATGCCCGGCCAGTATGTTCTTTTTTTTAGAGATTACTCCTTCTCAGTGGGAAATATTTATTGCATCTTCCACTTGATTGGGTGTTCATTGTTTTTAAGCAAGTTTTTGTCCTTAAATGAATGCTGGAACCGTATTTCTCTTGCATAAGTTTATAAATTTGGACCATGCTAGGCTATTAGCTTAGCATTTTCTAAATTATGTTCCACTAAAATTAATAATAACACCGAAGGTGTAGAATGCCATGTACAAATAAGTTTAGAAATGCAGCATGCATTATTTCCCTCTTAGAGACAGTGTAGCTCAGTTAATCATTGGCTCTCAGTGTCTGTCAAACTGATATGTTCATGTAACTTAGTTATGTTAGTGTGTTACTCATTGAAACTTAAAATCAAGTTATATAGCAAATGTTTATATTTCTCTAGTTCATTGTTAAGTATTGAACTAAAAATCCTACTTTAGTTAATTCAAATTTGAATTGGAGGAAAATAAACATAGGTTTTGGGTTTCTTTTTTTTTTTAAATATTACTGTCACTGTACCTAAAGCATCCAGACCTTTTCTATTCGTAGGCCATGAACAAATATTTTTTTTCTCTAGTCATTTTGGCAATCCTGAAAACTCTTTAGGAAATATGAGTGACTTTAGTTTTGCTTTTTGTAGTTTTTTTTTTCCCTTGTTGGGGAGATTCGGGTTCAGAAAAAGACACTATATACTAAAAAAGCTTCTGGACTAAGGATAGGCTTTTCAAAAATATGTGGCAAAGGCATCTGCAAAGGAAGGAAGCTAGTGAGTTATCCCCTGTTTAGAAAACAGACTGCATTCTTATGGTTTATACCACAACTTGATTAATGGAAAATTTTTGTTTGGCAAAATTGATTTGGAATTCTGTTTTGAATATCTGGAAGCAACATGCTGAAAATGAACTCTTGGAGTTAAATATGGAAACTTGATATCATTTATTTCTCTAGTTTGAGTCTAGCTATCTATGTTAACATTAGCATTAAAATTTAGTCTATCTTAGAAAGTATTCCCAACTACCAAAGTTGTTGGTAAGTTAAGAACATATTATATATCTACATACTGTTACATGATCAGAAAAGTAATAGAAAAATAGACTTAAATAGTTTGTCAATAAAAGAAACTGAATAGAAGTATGTAAAAAGCATGAGGTATTTCTTAATGCTCTTACTCTGCTGTTTTAACTTTTTGTTAGCCTCTTTCAGAGAGAGAAATAGGGACAGTTAACATAGGCAAGCTGAGAGAGATTCACCTTGCTTCCATGTGGCAGTTTGGGTGAAAGAAAGGATATAGAAATGGATCACTGAAGCAGTAGTTTGGGATTACTGTGGGATTTTATTTTATTGTTAATTTGGGCAGTCAAGATTTGTAAAGCCACATACCAAAATATTTTCTAAGGAAGAGTGTGGTATCTGATTTTGGAATTAGGAAGCATTTCATCTCATTCTCTAAGTCCTAGATAAATATAGCAGGTTTTAATAAATTCCATATTTAACACCCATTTATTACCTGCCTCTTACATGTCAACCCTTGTGCTGGGTACTTAGAACACTCGATTTCCCCACCGCTTATTTTCTTCTTATCTACCTTCCAGGTCCTGTTAAAGGTATTTTTCAAGTCTGCTATACTATATACTTCAAGACGAAACAAACCCACCCTTTGGATGCTTTATTAGAATAGTAAAGATGTGGTTGAAATGCAAGCACTGCTATTCTCAGGGTCAGAAGGCCAAGGGAAGTTGGGAAATGTATCTTGTGTTAGAGTAGTTATTTCAACCTTGAATTCTATTTTTGATAGCGGAACCCCTTCAAAAGACTGTTATCTTCAAAAGATTAGGTGTATTCTAATTATCTTTAACTTATGGATTTCTATTAAAATCTGTTTATAGTTTTTGCCTAGCACATCTCAGGGTAACACATTCCATAGGTCTGTAATTTCTGTCAGGTTTGCTTTGAGATTTATTATTGTAAGAATTGGTTAATAAGTCACTGTTAAAGTTAAATTCCTAAATGGTTTTATGAATATTGATCCTAACCTGCTCACTTCTCATCTTTCTGTTTTTTTTGATACTGAGTCTTGCTTTGTCACCCAGGCTAGAATACAGTGGTGCAGTGTTGGCTCACTGCAACCTCCACCTCCTGGGTTCAAGCGATTCTCCTGCCTCAGCCTCTGGAGTAGCTGGGACTACAGGCACGAGCTATCATACCCGGCTATTTTTTTTTGTATTTTTAGTAGAGATGGGGTTTCGCCATGTTGACCAGGCTGGTCTTGAACTCCTGACCTCAGGTGACCTGCCTTCCTTGGCCTCCCAAAATGCTGGGATTACAGGCATGAGCCACTGCGCCTGGCCACTTCTCAATTTTCCAGTGTTTTTCACTTTAGCCTAATCTAGGCTGAAGAAAACGCATGCCAAGGATGCACTGGCTCAGGCTGCCCTGAGTGCTGAGGTGTTAGCAGGTACGCATGTGCTGTAGGTGGAGATGACAAAGAGCCCCAGTAGGAGTCATGCCCAGTGTCCCCATAAGGGACCCACATCCTTCTGCTATTTATGAGGTGACCTTTAAGCACTGTAAGTTAGGTGGGTCATTAAATCAGTTTAGTAAGTTTCTTTGTACAAGTGAGAGGAATGGAGCTGGAAGTTTGACTCAAATTCAGATGAAGTAGGGAAAGAGAAATGGGTTTTGCATACCGTATCCTTAGTAGTAGTCACTGGCCATAGTTCATTTTTGACATCCGAGTTAAAGACTTAGATCAGTAGTTTGTAGGCTTTTTGTTGCTGGAATATGTGGATTTTTTTTTCAAGATTCTTTTTGCTCCCCTAGTTTTCCTTTCCCCTGCACTGTGTTTAAAGTCATTAAAAAAAGTAAATGGAATAAAATTTAGCATTGTTGGAGAATTGTTTTGAAATTACTGTGCTACCTGCTAAAGACACTTAACATTTAATTTTTAATTTTTATGGATACATAATAGTTGTATACATTTATGAAGTATGTGTGATATTTTGATACAAGCATTTAAGAGTTTCATAAAATCCAGGTGGGAATCAGGGTACTATATAGATAATGAGAAAAACAAATACTGCTATTGCTCATGCCACTTTTCCCCAAAAGCCTGAATACTGTTAACCCAGAGTAGAAAAGCTTTCTGCATTTTGTTTGTATATTAGGTAGGTGAATCAAAAAGCATTTTCCAGGGAAAGCTCTGTCATTTTAGGTTTGTTCTTGTCTCAGCTACTTAAACATCAGTTAGGAATAACTAGTGACTTTTTAAAGTATATGAACATAATAGTAATCTAGGCACAGTCTGAATTAATTTTTTTAAAGTGAAATGTAAAATAAAATTATGAAATATAATCTCCCCACCACCAAAGAGTAGTTAGACCTCCTTTAAAAGCTACATACTAAATAGATTCCTTACTATTATGTAGAGTTTAGTATTTATTTATTTATTTATTTTTTGAGACAGAGTCTGGCTCTGTCGCCAGGCTGGAGTGCAGTGGCGCGATCTTGGCTCACTGCATCCTCTGCCTCTTGGGTTCAAGTGATTCTCCTGCCTCAGTCTCCTAAGTAGCTGGGATTACACGTGCATGCCATCATGCCTGGCTAAAATTTTTTTTTTTTTTTTTTTTTTTTGAGATGGAGTCTCACTCTGTCGCCCAGGCTGGAGTGCAGTGGCGCGATCTCCGCTCACTGCAAGCTCCGCCTTCCGGGTTCACGCCATTCTCCGGCCTCAGCCTCCCGAGTAGCTGGGACTACAGGCACCCGCCACCACGCCCAGCTAATTTCTTGTATTTTAGTAGAGACTGGGTTTCACCGTGTTGCTCAGGCTGGTCTTGAACTCCTGAGCTCAGACAATCCACCTGCCTCAGCCTCCCAAACTGCTAGGATTACAGGTTTGAGCCATTGTGCCCCGCAATTTTTGTATTTTCAGTAGGGACAGGATTTCTCCATGTTGGCTATGCTGTTCTGGAACTCCTGACCTCATGTGATCCTCCCGCTTCAGCTTCCTAAAGTACCAGGATTATAGGCGTGAGCCACCGTGCCTGGCTGTCAAAGTGATTTAGGAAGAAAATGTGGTTAGTGTACATTAGGAAACTTCTGCTTGTGAGGCTATTGCAAAAACAGACCATCAATCCAGAGTATTTTTTTTAATGATAGTTAATTTTATCGTATATTTTTATTTTATTTTTTTAGAGACAGGGTCTCACTATGTTGTTCAATCTAGTCTTGAACTCCTGACCTCAAGCGATCCTCCTGCCTTGACCTCCCAACGTGATGGGGTTACAGGCGGGAGCTACTGTGCGCAGCCCCAATCCAGAGTATTTTTAAAGTGCAAGTTTTTAATAAGCAGACCATCTTTACATTTGATGGTTATAATGGTATTTGTGTTGCCCTTTGAGAAATAAAACTGGCATGTGAAAATGGCTTTTCAAGGAGCAAAGGTTAGAAATTACTAAGATTATTTGGATAAGCTATTTGCCACTATTGAGACATTAATCTTGGTGAATGACTAGGCTCATGTTTATAATATATATGTAACATTTAAATGTTGCCAAATCTCTCACTAAAAAAGACATGGCAATTGTGCATTATGTTGTCATTTCAAAGATAGTTTAGGATAATTTGTACTTTGGAGACTGATCTTTGTCTAACTTTTAATTATTTCTTCCTAAAATTTTAATCTGAGTTGTGAAACCGTTTTTCCAATTATGTTATGTCAAAGTCTTGGTGTAATGTATCAGTAAGGTTACATTTTTTTTTTCTTTTGGTTAAGTTTTCTTTTTTAGGTATATGTATGTTTCACTCAATAGAAAAGTAATACGCACTACATATAGAGTGAGCCAACCCAGTGCTCAGAGTTTATGTTACTATGGATTTCATCTTGTGCTGGTATTGTGCTACTTTTTTTCCCCTGGTATGTCAGAACTTGAACAGTCATTTGTTTTGACATTGTGCCCTACTTACAGTATAATTTAACGAAGGCTAACCTGGATTTTTTGGAAATGACATTTGAATGGCATTGTACTGCATTTTAATAAGGACTTAGCAGTGTTTTACATTAATATTTTCGAAAAGATTTTTGTTTATAGTAAGTTGACTTAAAGATACTGTAGTTTCATTGTGCTTTATCACACAAGAAAAGATTTAACCTTTTACAGTTTTTGATCTTCTCTTTCTATAATGGGATGGGTATTGGTAGTAGGAAGAGAAAGTGATTATCATCTGATAAAACCTATGAAGAATTTATCATATCTTTTTCACGCAGATTCAAATTTCTCTTGACTGAAGAGTTAAGTTCTAAATGTTAATCTGTATTTTAAAAATGTTAATTTCTAGTATGTCCTAGCCTGATAAAAAGTTTTTTTTTTAAACATGGATTTATACTAATGTTATTTTGTTTTGTTTTGTTTTTTGATATGGGGGAAATAGTCAATGGGTATTTGCATTGTTTTGTTTTTAAGAATTTGAGCTCTAGCATATACAATTCTCATACAAAAATATGTAATATAGTTAAGAATTTTAATGTTATTTAAAAATTTTAATGTTCTGTTTCTTTATAAATGTGTTTTTTGTTTCCATTTAGATCTCGAATACCTGATGCATGCAAAACAGCAGCTAGTAACCACAGCTAAACGTTGGGATTCTTCCTCTAAGACTATTATAGATTTTGAACCTAATGAAACTACTGATTTGGAGAAGAGCCTTCTTATCAGATACCAAATTCCCCTCTCTGCTGACCAGCTATTTACTCAGTCCGTTTTAGACAAATCATTGACCAAGAGCAACTATCAGTCACGGTTACATGACCTTCTTTATATTGAGGAGATAGCCCAGTATAAAGAAATCAGCAAGTAAGTTACTTTAGAAACACTTTAAAACAAAAAATCTCCCCTTTGGATGGTATTTCTAATCTTTAAAATGAAAGTGTGCCTAAGTGAAGACAGGTAGTAAATGGTTGTTATTGAATAACTGTATTCTATCTTTAAAGGAAATATGAGCTTCTTAAGGCAAGAACTGTCTCATGCTCACCATGGTATCCCTGTTATTTAGCACATAGTTCATTTCTATAAGACCTTATTAAACATCTATTAGGGGACAAGCTCTTTGCCAGATGCCGGGAGTATAAATCCGTGGTTCCTGCTCTTAAGAAGCTTTCAGTCAATGGTAGTCATAGCAAGCACTGAATGAGTATTTGTTGAACAGATATACAACAACCGAAAGAGACCACATATTTTGAAAAGTTGTTTTAGGAATGAAATTATTTAGATTTTCAGGAAAACGGGTTAATAAAACAGCTTTATAGCAGTTTATAAATACGTTAACATATTTTACATTTTATCCATATGCCACAGGTTAAGACCAAGTGCTTAAATCAAAAGCTTATTTGAATTATTTTAGGAAAAATAATCTCAGAAAAGAAAGTTAGAGTGAGGGAAGATTAGTGAAATAGTTGTATTTGGTAGTAGCTTTCTATTAATATATTTTAGATAAACTGGAGACAAGCCTTAAAAACTGAACCACAATTATGAGACCTGAATACATTTTTATAAGTAGTTTTACTTTTAAATACAGCTGAACCAGCATATTTTTCTTCTCCAGGATGCCTTATGGTTCCTTATCATTAGTATTATTAATAAATACTGAACACTCATTAAGAGTATATTCAGAAAGGAAAAGAAAGTGAAAACTTATAGATATTTTGGTCACCCTATTTATAGATTAGTTATGATCTAACTTTTGAAAATACCTAATTTCAAATTAAATACATGTAAAATTTACAAAGTCAGATGGAATCTATTTTTCATTACTCTAAGACTTTAAATCCTGGCCCATTGATGGTGTCTTAAAAGGCTTTTTTTTTTTATCAATTGTGTCTGTAGGCTGTTAAATAAGAAGGACAGTGGGTTATATCATCTATATTATTTATATTATCATGGATTCCTTTTTCTTAGGAAAGAACACCATGATAAATCGTAAATATTGGGATTAAATATAATTTAAAAGCTTACCAGAATCCTGGAGACTATTTTTGAGTATCATAGTAGGAATTCAGAAAAAATTATATATTAACTTTTATTTGTTTAATATTTTATTAAGGTTGATAAATCATTCCATTACTTTAGAATGTGCATGTGAAGCCTAAAAAGCTTAGTATTATTATATTCAAAATAATCTTTTAAAAGTGGAAACTTGTCTGGATGGAAAAAAGGAGAAACCCTACAAAATTGTAGAGGTTAAATACTGATCAAGTAACTAAGGCTGGGTGTGGTGGCTCACACCTGTAATTGTAGCACTTTGGGAGGCTGAGGTGGATGGATTGCTTGTGCTCAAGAGTTTGAGACCAGCCTGGGCAACATAGTGAGACCTCATCTCTACAAAAAGTTAAATAATCAGGCATGATGTGGGTCAGTTTGAGGTCTGAGGTGGGAGAATCGCTTGAGCCCAGGAGGTCTAGGCTTCAGTGAGCTATGATTACATCACTGCTTGGGTGAGAGAAAGAGAGACCCTGTTTCAAAAAAAAAAAAAAAGAGAAACTGAATAGTTGAAAGTGCACTCTATGAGTACCTTGCGAAGGCTTTCAAAGCCAGTATGAGAGGGCCTTAAAAATATTAGCACTGATGGCAAACTAAGTTGGTGTGATCTTTTTAAAAAAAATTATTACTATTTTGAGACAGGGTCTCACTCTGTCACTGAGGCTGGAATGCAGTGGCATGGTTTTGGCTCACTGCAGCCTCAACCTCCCGGGCTGGGGTGATCATCTCCAGCCTAACTGGAGACGCTGAGTGGCTGAGACTGCAGGTGTGCATCACCATACCGGCTTCATTTTGTATTTTTTGTAGAGATGGGATTTTGCCATGTTGCCCAGGGAAGATCTGGAACTCCTGGGCTCAAGTGATCCACCCGCTCTGGCCTCCCAAGGTGCTGGGATTACAGGCATGAGCCACCGCCCCTGGCCCAGTTTGTGTGATCTATCTGGAGAGCTGTTTGGCAGTTTGTATCCAGGACCTTAAGTTTGAATCTTTTGGTGTGGAAATTCCACATATGGGGGATCATAAGCAATAATCAGAGTCAAAGATGTCTGGACACATGTCTTGCAAAGAGTAGTGAAGAATAAGTTAATTATGATATAGCTATATGATTGAATGTTATACAACTTGAAATTATGTTCTTGAAGAATTTTTAATGCAGTGATGATGCTCATGATATAATATTAGGGAAGAAAATATGCTAGTTATAATACCTTATTGCCATTCTAATTTTTTATAGATGCCTATACACATACGTGTATGTATTTGTGTATAAAAATGTTGGAAAGAATGAAAGCAAAATGTTCTGGTTGGTAGACTAACAGCTGATTTTTATGTTGTAATAGTTTTCTCTACTTTTGAAATGTTCCATAATGACCATATATTCCTCCTATAATTAAAAAAATTTAAAGGAAACTGGTACATCATTAGTGGCAACACTTGCTGCTCATGGTGTAAAAAAGCCCTTAGGTATGAAAAGAAGAGATTGTGGTACGGCAGTGGTAAGATAGTGTAGAGTGTTTTTATAGGAACTTCTGAGCTTTCTGTTTTTTTAATCTTTAAAGTTATATCATATTTATTGACTCAAATAGGGATATTTACAAAATGTAAATCAGCTGGATCAGTATTGATGTGTTCTGTACACAACTACACAAGAGTTTTGAAGGATCTTCAAGATATAACTGATAATTTATTGCGACCTGCCTAACATGTGACAAGTAGTTACTGTGCTAGAGAATTCTGGAATTTCTGGTGATACTCTCACCTAAAGGTAACCCTGGATATGAAGGCTGGTAAATTAAATTTCTGAATTTGGCAGGCCTATAAATGTTAGTGAAGTGTGGTGCAGAATTGGTACACATACAAAGAAACAGATCCTATAATAATTAGATAGAGTTCTCAGAATGCATCTATAAGCAAGTAAACATAGATTGTGAAGATTTTCAAAAGTCTGTGACAGACATTCATATGTTGCTTAAAAGAGTATTTTGTTTTCTTCTTCACTCTTTAAACTTAATATTTATATGCATTTTAATGTTGCCTTGAATTTAATTTACATTTGATTGTTAATTCTTTATAAATAAAATAACTAAGATATATTTTTGAAAATTTTGGGGGAGGTGTCTATGCAGCTACTAAGCTATGGTGTAGTGCAGGGCTCAGTAACTTTTTCTGTAAAGGGTCAGATAATAAATATTTTAGGCTTTGAGAATTTCATACAGGCCTGGTTGCATTTCTTCTTCTTTTTTTGTTTTTGTAAAATCCACTGTCAGTTAAGGGCTATACGGAAACAGTTTGAAGGTTGGCTTTGGGCACATCTTTGGGCTGTGCTCTAGTGTGTGTGACTGGGCCATTTTGCTTGTCTGTTCAATCAATACCAGTCATCAGAGCAAACCCAAATCACCATTAGAATCATGAAGAATGTTTTGTTGTGGTTTGAGACCCAATTTAAAGGTAGGAGACAATGGTATGCTTATATAGACTCATCTCTCTAAATGACTTGGACATGTATTGACAATAATAAGTGTGTTCTGAACACATTGAAGTTTGCCTCTTTGTGACATCGTGGTCAGATCTGCTGCCACACAATTAGTAGGATATTTCCCAAGGTCCCGAGAATGTATGAGTCCTCTGTGAACTTTGACAGTTTAAGCAGAATATTTCTTTTTTTCTTTTCTTTTCTTTTAAATGGAGTTTCGTTCTTGTTGCCCAGGCTGGAGTGCAATGGTGCAGTCTCGCTCACCAGAACCTCCGCCTCCTGGGTTCAAGCGATTCTCCTGCCTCAGCCTTCTGAGTAGCTGGGATTACAGGCAAGTGTCACCATGCCCAGCTAATTTTGTATTTTTGGTAGAGATGGGGTTTCACCATGTTGGCCAGGCTGGTCTTGAACTCCTGACCTCAGGTGATCTGCCCGCCTCGGCCTACCAAAGTGCTGGGATTACAGGCGCGAGCTACCATGCCTGGCCAAAGCAGAATATTTCTAATCACGAAAGTAGTATCAAGGGGCTTCATACTAGTTTCTTACATTTTGATGGTAAGGGTTGCAAGAGACTGAGGCAGGAGGATCACTTGAACCCATGAATTTGAGGCTGCAGTGAGCTGTGATTGCACCACTGTGTTCCAGCCTGGGCAACAGAGCAAGATCCCATCAGACTGTGCCTTTTACATGGTCATTTTAGCATTTCTTCCTAGAAAGTAGATTGAAAAAAGGCTCTCAAGATTAGATAAAATACATTTTGGTTTGAGACTGGATTTAATAATCTATCTTTTTTTTTTTTTTTTTAAAGGATGATTTTTTTCAAAGCAGTCCAGAAATTTCTTCTTAGGTTGTTTTAGTGTGAGATGTGTGTACGTGATAAAGATAATACTATATTTCATATAAGTTTTAGAAAATGCTTTTCTTTTGAGATTTGTTTTACTTCTCTTATCCTCAGTCACATGTTGGTGTGTGTTCAATAATGATTCTACTTTGAAGTGAAATCTGTTTGATTTTAAGAGATACATTTTCAAAGGAAATGTGCTTTAGCTGAAGCTATTGTGTCCATTAAACTGTGCATGCCTCATTGGGTCATTGTGCCTGGCTTCTCAGTGCTAACAGCTGGCATGACAGGCCTAGTATGGGGTGCACATTTCATCGTTAGATGGGTGCTGCTTCTGTTGGTGACAGGCCTAGTGTGGGGTGCACATTTCATCGTTAGATGGGTGTGGGGTGCACATTTCATCGTTAGATGGGTGCTGCTTCTGTTGGTGACAGGTCTAGTGTGGGGTGCACATTTCATCATTAGATGGGTGCTGCTTCTATTGGTGACACCTCAGTTCTGTCGCTCTGCTTTAGTAAACTCAGGGATTGTTTTATTACTTTGTTAGATTTTTATTGTTCATATAGTCAGAAATCACATGAAATGAAAACCCTATATAGGTTTGAAATTTTTTGAAAGTTGCACTCAAGAGATGGAATTGTTACTAAGGTTGATAGAGCCATATTTCTCATTAGCATGGAAGTATCTTTTTCAGTCTATTGAGTGTTCAGTTGGCTGTAATTCTGTCATTCCCTAAAAGGTTAGGGAATTATGTAAACTTTAAGGATGATTTTAAAATGTAGCATGCAACAATGGAAAGATGGTTTTTCTTCTTATTAAGAAATATCTTTCTTAATTGTAGGATATATTTTCTAGTTTAGGTATTTCTGAGTTACTAAATTTCAAAAAGTACATATTTTAATATTTAAGATTACTAACATAATTTTAGTTTTAGCCTGTTAATCTTTTATACAAATTAATTATTAGTATAGCTATAACCTTTACTAGAAAGTCTATAATGTCTGCATCTTGAACATGTGATGAATTTTCTGTGGGAAAAGCTGCATTTCTTAGGACTTTTATTTTATTTTATTTCTTAGCACTTCTGGTGCCTCTACCTCAAGAATTTTGTTGCAAGACACAACCAATGTCACAAGAGGATTCTCTTGTTGCTCTAAACTGTGAGATTAACTTTTCATGCCTGCTAAATTGTGATCAAGTGTTTTGGGATGGTGATTCTCAAATAGACATGAGTGAAACTTTAATATATGGCCTAAGGCCTGGGCGCAGTGGCTCACACCTATAATCTTAGCACTTCGGGAGGCCCAGGTGGGCAGGTCTTTTGAGCCCAGGAGTTTGAGACCAGCCTCGGCAACATGGCGAGACCCCATCTCTACAAAAAATACAAAAATTAGCTGGGCGTGATGGTGTGCACCTGTGGTCCCTGCTACTCAGGAGGCTGAGGGGAGGATCGCTTGAGCTCAGGAGGTCAAGGCTGCAGTGAGCTAAGATTGTGCTACTGCACTCCAGCCTGGGTGACAGTGAGACCCTGTCTCAAAAAACAAAACAAAACAAAAAACTATTAAAAAATATATGTGGCCCAAGATAGTTGAGAAATATATGACAGGATTTCAAGAATATGTTAGGAAATAATATAAAGTGGCTAAAGTGGGAATATGGTGCTTGGGAAAAATCAGATTATTAGAAAAACATAAAATTAATTCAATGAACAAAATTTATGGAATGTTGAAGGTGTTAGGTTCTATGCTAGTCACTGCTGATTTCTAAGGCAAGCAAAATATGTTTCCTTGTCCCCCAAAAGTTTGTAATCCAGTAGTGGAGGCAGACTCATAAATACAGGGTTATAATAAAATGTGCTCAGCACTGCACTGGAGGAATGCACAAGGGCCCCATGGAAGAGGCACTTTCTCATCTTAGTGGAGAAAAGGAGGGTAGTCAAGGAGGGGCTCACATCTGCTTTCTCAAGCAGATGGAATGTAAGTTGAACTTTGAAAAACAGGTAAGATTTGTCAGGTTTAGAAGTAAGACAAGGCTGGGTGTGGTGGCTCACACCTGTAGTCCCAGCACTTTGGGAGGCCGAGGTGGGTGGACCACCTGAGTTCAGGAGTTCGAGACCAGCCTGGCAAACATGGTGAAACCCTGTCTCTGCTAAAAATACAAAAAATTAGCCTGGTGTGGTGGTGGGCACCTGTAATCCCAGCTACTCGGGAGGCTGAAGCAGGAGAATCGCTTGAACCCGGGAGGTGGAGGTAGCAGTGAGCCAAGATGGGGCCATTGAACTCCAGCTGGGGCATCAAGAGTGAAACTCCGTCTCAAAAAAAAAAACAAAACAAAACAAAAGAAGGAGGACAAAAGTATTTGGTTAAAGGAAACAGGATGTGAGAATAAGAGCATAGAGTTTTGGGGAGCTGCCAGTTGATTATTATAGTTGCAATGGAGGGTGCTTGTGTGGTGGGGACAGGGTAAATGAGAGAGAAACTCTGTCCTCAGAGCTATAGAAAGCTACTTACCAGATTTGCATTTTTCAGAGATCCTCTGATGGGGGTGTGGAGAACAGATTTGAGACAAGAAGTCATGTTAGAAGTCTATTATAGTAATCCAAGTTAAAAATGTTGGGATGCAGATGAATTAGGAAGGAGGGGAACTAACAGGGCTATGAGGAAGTAACAGGGCACAGTGATTCTGTGATGTGTGAATGAAGGTTGGTAAGAGAGGCAGGGTCAAGGATGACTTGATTTTTGGTTGGCTTGGATACCTACGTGGATGACAGTGCCATTTTCTAAGTTGTTAATACATGGGAAGATTGGGTTGGGTCACACTGGGGAGGTCAGGTAGTCAGTTTTGCATATACTGAGTTTAAAGGGCATGTAATCAAAAGTGTCCATTTGACAGTTGGATTTACAGCCCTGAGCTGGGAGATCTGGGAGAGGGTGACCTATCAAGAACTTACAGAGTAGAAGGAAGGCAGGCTGGAGCTTATAGAAAATAGTTGGTGCTTAGATGGGAGATGGAGAGCAGCTAGGAGAGGTAGGAAGAAAACTAGGAGAGTATTACCATACAGAAGTCCTTGGAAGAGGGAGTTCAAAGGTAGAAGACATTGACTGTATAGTGAAAAAAAAAAAAAACTGTACATCATCTTAGCAAAAAGATTCTTTTTGCTATGATTCTTTGTGAATCAAGAATTTCTTGCACTATAAGTAATCTCCTCCCTCTGAGAAAGTTTTAATGACCCCTAAACTCTGCATATTATATAGGTAGTAAAAGGAAAGTAAAATTTTAACTTCATTTGAGAAAGCATGAAATAAGTAAGGGTTCCTGCTCTTTTTTTTTTTTTTTGAGATGGAGTCTCACTCTGTCACTGAGGCTGGAGTGCGGTGTCGCTATCTCAGGTCATTGCAGCCTCTACCTCCTGGGTTTAAGTGATTCTCCTTCCTCAGCCTCCCTTGTAGCTATGGACTACAGGCCGGGCCATCACGCCCAGGTAATTTTTGTGTTTTTAGTAGAGACAGGGTTTCACCATGTTGGCTAGGCTGGTCTTGAACTCCTGACCTCAAGTGATCTTCCCGCCTCGGCCTCCCAAAGTGCTGGGATTACAGGTGTGAGCCCCCATGCCTGGCCTCCTGTTCTATTTATTTATTTATTTAGTTTAGAGACAGAATCTCGCTCTGTTGCCCAGGCTGGAGTGCAGTGGCGCGATCTCAGCTCACTGCAACCTCCGCCTCCTGGTTCAAGCAATTCTTTTGCCTCAGCCTCCCAAGTAGCCGGGATTACAGGCATGTGCCACCACGCCCAGCTAATTTTTGTATTTTTAGTAGAGACGGGGTTTCACCAGGTTGGCCAGAATGGTCACTCCACATAGACTTCAAAGGATGTATTGAACAGTCTGAGGGCCCAGGCGGAGACTTGGTGCAGAGGCAGAGCCACTGTGCAGAGTCCCCACTAGGACAGTGCTTAATGGAGCCCTGGGAGTGGGCTAGATCCTGAGACTCCAGAACTGAAGGGTCAGCATTATGCAGCTCTCGTCTGGGAAAGCTATATAAGACTTTCAATCTGTGAGAGCTTCTTGGGGGACTGAGCCCAGCAAAGCCAAAGAAGCCAGGCTGCCTGAGGCCTTGGGGGCCCAACTGCTGTTCCAGTGTGTCAGGATGTGGGATGTGGAAGCAAAGGAGATTATTCTTCAGCTTTAAGACTTAATGTTGTTTTCCCTTTTGGATTTTGGACTTACTTGGAACCACTTATTCCTTTCTTCTTGCCTAGTTTTCCCTTTGGGAATGGGAATGTTTATCCTGTGCTTGTCCCACCATTGTATTTTGGAAGCATGTAACTCGTTAATTTCACAGGCACAACTGGAGAGGAATTTGAATCAGGATGAATTGTGCCTTGAGTCTTATCCGTATCTGATTTAGTTCACACTCTGGACTTGGACTTTAGAGTTGATCCTGGAAAGAGTTAAAACTTTTAGGGGCTATTGGGATGGAATGAATGTATTCTGTATGTGAGAAGAACATGCATTTGGAGGCTATGGGCAGAATGCTGTAGTTTGAATGTCCCCTCCAAAACTAATGTTGAAATGTAATTGCCATTGGGACAGTATTAAGAGGTGGGACTCTTAAAAGGTGATTAGGCCATGAGGATTCCACCCTCATGAGTGGATAATGTGATTATACAGGAATGGGCTCCTTATCATGAGAGTGGGCTGTTAGAAGAGTGAATTCAGTCCTCTCTTGCCATTGCTTTTGCTCACACTTTCGTGCCCTTCTGCCTTCCACCATGGGATGATGCAGCCTGAAGACCATCACCATATGCCAGCCCCTTGATCTTAGACTTTCTATTCTCCAGAGCTGTAAGAAATAAATCTCTGTTCTTTATAAATTATCCAGTCTCAGGTATTCTGTTACGGCAACACAAAACAGACTAAGACAAACCTAAGAAAAAGGAGAAAATGTTGCCACCATTTCTTACCATGTTGTCTTACCTCTTACAGCACCATTTCAGAACAGCAAAGGAGAACTGTTAATTAGTTTACATCTTTCTTTCACTTCATATTTCTCTTTCTTTTTTTTTAATTTGGGGACAGAGTCTCACTCTGTTGCCCAGGCTGGAGTGCAGTGATGTGATAATTGGCTTACTGCAACCTCCACCTCCTGGGTTCAAGTGATTTTCCTGCCTCAGCCTCCTGAGTAGCTGGGATTACAAGTGCCTGCCACCACACCTGGCTAATTTTTGTATTTTTAGTAGATGCAGGGTTTCACCATGTTGGCCAGGCTGGTCTTGAACTGCCCCCCTCAGGTGATCTGCCCGCCTTAGCCTCCCATAGTGCTAGGATTACAGGCGTGAGCCACCATGTCCGGCTCCATATTTCTTGACTGTGTAAATTAATCTTGATTCTCTGTGCTGCCTTTACACATACTCTCTCATACTCACGTGCACACATGGAAGTGTGAGGGAGTATACCAACCATTGTCTGATAAGATAGGCCTTAACTTCTCTTGCCATAATTCCTGCATGAGACCTGCCTCCATGTAGCCATGAATGAAAATTTATTTTAAATGTTATTCATTAACATTATTGAAAGAGATATTTTATGGCTAGAATCTGCTGGTAAGATCTACTTGGAAAGTAATTGGTTTAAAGTCCATTGTAATTTTCAATGCAATGTGTTTCCTTCTGGTTCCAGGTGATTTTAAAGTCTTTATTGTCCCAGTGGTGTGTTCAGACTTTTATATTAATTAGTATATAATATTTCATGTTACTTAAAAAACAACATTTAGTTTCATTTTAAATACTCAGGTGTTTTTTGAATGTGCATATTCTTCAACACAACTTAGCTTGTATCTTTATGTAACTTACATGGGAGTTTATTCACTTAAAAAAAAGTTTTGTTGACCAGGCATGGTGGCTCACATCTGTAATCGCAGCACTTTGGGAGGCAGAGGTGGGTGGATCACCTGAGATCAAGAGCTTGAGACCAGCCTGGCCAACATGTCAAAACTCTGTCTCTACTAAAAATACAAAAATTAGCCGGGCGTGGTGGGCATCTGTAATCCCAGCTACTCGGGAGGCTGAGGCAGGAGAATTCTTGAACCTGGGAGGCAGAGGTAGCAGTGAGCCAAGATCGTGCCACTGTACTCCAGCCTAGGCGACAGAGTGAGACTCCGTCTCAAAAAAACAAAAAAAAAAATTTTTTTTTGTTGTTTCCAGCTTGTATTAAAGGCAGAAAAATACAGTTTTTAGCTCAATGAAGTGGAATTGATATAATGGTTTAATTTTTGGTATGTTTATATTTGATTTACTTTGTTTCACTCTTCTAGTTTTTATATATTTTTGATGTAAAATATTCAAACTAGTTTTCTACTTCTGGTTTAGGTTCAACCTTAAAGTGCAATTGCAGATTCTGGCAAGCTTCATGCTCACTGGTGTTTCTGGAGGTGCAAAGTATGCTCAGAATGGACAACTTTTTGGTCGCTTTAAGCTTACTGAAACACTTTCTGAAGATACTTTGGCTGGACGACTGGTGATGACCAAAGTCAATGCTGTTTATTTATTACCAGTCCCTAAACAGAAGTTAGTACAGACCCAGGGAACCAAAGAGAAGGTTTATGAAGCTACTATTGAAGAAAAAACAAAGGAATATATATTTTTAAGGCTATCTAGGGAATGCTGTGAAGAACTTAATCTTCGGCCTGACTGTGACACACAGGTATGTTTGAAGGTTGCAGCTTAACCATAGTGGTCTGTAGCCTCATTATCAGCTCGTAGTCTTCCTCTGGTTTAGTTTTTCTTCTGCCGTAAACAAAAGCAAAGCTGACTTTGAAGTCTACAGTGGTGGGTTGAAAATTGCACCTGTAGTAACTCCCAGAGAAAAGTGATTCTTTTAAATATAAGTAACATTTAGAATGTTCCAGTGTTATACAAGGTTGAGCTTTCTGATTAGAGTTTTAAATCAGCAATGGAAGAAAAGATGAAAAGAAACTATGTAAGCTACCTCCTGGGACATCTCTCATCTGCAGTTGTATCTGTTCCTGTTCTATCTTTATGGGTTTTTAGGTGAATTATGTCTTCAGTCTGCCATATTTAACTGGAAGACTAATCTTTTCTCTTTTTAAACATAAAACTTGGTGAACATTATTTATTAATTGTAAATTGATAGAGTATCAGGGCTAATCATCTCTCACGACTGGATACTTCACATGTTCTGATCTTTTGCAAAAGTATTTTCATGGGAATGGTAGAATAAAGTAGCCTTTAACTAGAGATTAGGTAACTTACAAATATGTCAATTTCTTAATATGTAAAATGATGTTAATAATAGTATATATATATCATTGGTACTATTAAATGAGATAATCCATAGTAAAGTACTTGTTACAGTGCCTGGTTATAAATGAACAAAGCAAATATTATTCATCATAATTATGATTAGACTATGATTATACTTTAAAAGAATCTCTAAACTTACTGTCCCAAACAGATTCCTCCCAAAGTATTCTAGTGAGCTGCCAGCATTGATGTTTGCTTTCATGCAGTTTTTAAAACATTCATTTTGTCTTTCAGGTTGAACTTCAGTTTCAATTAAATCGATTACCCCTCTGTGAAATGCACTATGCACTAGACAGGATCAAGGACAATGGGGTTTTGTTTCCAGACATCAGTATGACTCCCACCATACCATGGAGTCCTAACAGGTACAAAAAGGCGATATCTTATTAAAGGAAGTTAGGTTAATATTAAATTGAATATCTGTATCAAATAACTCAAGCATACTTTTATAAGAAAGTTTGCCTTTGCTTTTCAGGAGATATTGGTTTAGAAAGGAGAGTAAAAGAACACTTAAAATGAAACATTTGAGGTTCATCATTACTTTTTCTCAGAGTCTAAATGAATTCTACTGCTTTTCTCAACAGCCTTAATTTGATAGGATGCCAAGCAATTTAGGAATATTTCCAAGTAGAAGTTGAATGGGGAAATTAGGGCCTTTCTAAAGTGGTTCCAGTAGTTAATTTAAAATAATTTTTATTTATTTATTTAGAGTTGGGGTCTTGCTCTGTCATGCAGGCTGAAGTGTAGTGGCATGATCATTGCTCATTACAGCCTTGAACTCCCGGGCTCAAGCAACTCTCCTGCCTCAGCCTCTGAGTAGCTAGGATTATAGACACATGCCACTGTGTCTGGCTGATTAAAAAAAATTTTTTTTTGTAGACAAGGTTCTTGCTGTCTTGTCCATGCTGGTCTCGAAATCCTGGCCTCAAGAGACCTTCCTGCCTTATCTTGCCAGAGTTCTGGGATGTGAGCTACTACACATGTCCTAATTTAAAATAATTTTTAAAGATAGGAGAGATTTTTAGAAATTATCAAAATGGATGAAGTACGATAGAAGAAACTACTTCAGAAACTGCTCTCCAGTTAATGGTCGTATAAATATTGTTCTGCTTAAATTTTTTTGGGATGTCTTTACATGTAATGAAGAAGGTACTTCCATTTTGTTATAAGCATGGATGACAGTGAGAGCTGTATGCCTGCATCTGTCTTTTCATCTCTTCACTGGGTTTTATGCCCTTAGCACCTGCCCATGCTCAACTCACAACACCTTTGTTTCTTTTTTAATCTCAGTGGCTCTACAAAATAGAAGTTTATTTATCACTGTGTCAATTCAATCATGGTAGGATGGCCCTTTCCAAGACTAATGGAGCCTCTGGGATCTTTAGTAAGTGGTTTCCAGGGTCACCCTGGGTGTTGACGTTCAGCTGGCCGACAGGGGAAGAGTGAGCACGGAGGGTCACGTGGGAAGCTTTTATGGGCCAGGCCTAGGAGTGGTATATATCACTTCCCCTCACATTCCATTTCTTCTGGTCCTAAAAACAGAACAACACGAAATATGCGTTACAACACAAAACCTCAGTCATTTCTCCCTTGTTTTGCTTACTCTTACTGTGCAGTCCCCTCTGTTCTTTTTAGTGCCAAAATTCTTGAGAGGGAATAGTCTGCGTGTTTCCAGTATTCTTTCTTATTCACTCTGTAACCTCTGTTTTCCTCTTGTGTACTATCCTGAAAGTGATTGGTGATCTACTGATTGTAAAAATCCAGTGACATCTCCCAGTTCTCTTCGGATTCAGCTCCTCTTCATGCTTCCTTTTCTTTTCATTCTCAGAGCCAGTGCTGCTTTTAGACCCGGACTATTTCAGTAGCTTTCTAGTTGGCCTTTTGTCCTGTTGTCTGTGGCCCTGTTTTCTGGCTCATCACAAATATTTCTCCCAGAGTTAGTTTTCTAAAATAATCATGTCATTTCACTGCTCACAAATCTGATGGCTTCTCCTTGATATGTAGATAAAGGGTGAGCAGTCTAAGCCAAAGCGCCTGTGTATGGCCTCGTTGACTGTGCTTTCCAGCAGTATCCTTTCAGATTTCTTCTACTTTTTTCTACTTGACACTCCTTTTCTCCCTCTAAACTCTCATGTTTTAGCAATGTTGAATTACCTTGAAGTTTGTTTAATTTGCCCTGTACTTATTTGCCTCCTTATCTTTATGTTATTCTTTTTAAAAAGTTTTTAATTGTGGTAAAATCCACATAACATAAATGTACCCTCTTTACCATTTTAAGTGTACAATTCCATAGTGTTAAATATAGTCACACTGTTGTGCAATCTCCAGAACTTTTTCGTCTTGCAGAACTGATACTATACACCCATCGGACAACTCATTTCCCCCTTCCTGCAGCCTTGCCTCCTCTTTAAGTGATTTTCTGTCTCTCATATAATCTTTGCCCAATGTTAATTCACTGAAGATCTCTCTATCCTTTAAGATTGAGTCCAGCTCATATGCTCTCTTCCTCAAGCAGATGAACCTGACCCTTCCATGTCAATATTTTAACAACTATTTATTGAGTGCCTGACATGCGCTAGGCTCAGTTTTGTGTTTTCAAGCATAATTTCTCTCAGTTTATCAATTAATTCGTGAACATTTCTAGACAGTTTTTCTGGGTAAACTCTGAGCTTTGTACAGGAAGAGACTGCGTCTTATTTTTCTTTGAATACCAACAGGGTTTTACATATTATTCATATTCGGCACATTTAAGTTCATAAGAATTTCGAGTTTAAAGAAGAAAAGTTTCAATTGTAAGGCCATACCAGTAAGCTTTTAGGCATTTTTCTTGATATGCTCACTTCTGAAAATTACATTGTATATGATGTAGTATATTTAAATACTACTGACTGTAAGTTTTAACTGCAAAAGTAAGCAAACTTTCAAGCAGGAAAAGATTTTTATACCACTGTAATTTAAATAGCAATTAAAAGGTATCTGGGTCTAGGAACATACTGAGAAACTATTAGTTGTAATGGTAATGGGCTCACACCTGTAATCCCAGCACTTGGGGAGGCCGAGGTGGGAGGATTGCTTAAGTTCAGGAGTTAGAGTCCAGCCTCAGCAACATAGACCCCATCTCTATACATAAAGAAATAAATAGGTTGGGTGCGGTGGGTCACGCCTGTAATCCCAGCACTTTGGGAGGCCGAGGTGGGTGGATCACGAGGTCAGGAGATCGAGACCATCCTGGCTAACATGGTGAAGCCCCATCTCTACTAAAAATACAAAAAAAAAATTAGCCGAGCGTGGTGGTGGGCACCTGTAGTCCCAGCTACTCGGGAGGCTGAGGCAGGAGAATGGCGTGAACCCTGGAGGCAGAGCTTGCAGTGAACCGAGATCGCGCCACTGCACTCCAGCCTGGGCGACAGAGCGAGACTCTGTCTCAAAAAAGAAAAAGATACTAAGTTGGGTCTCTAAGAATTTGATAAATAAATACAAGTTGTTCCACTCATTGGCTTTCTATAAATGTTTATCATGATATCTGTCTCATTCTTAAGTTCATTAAAGTCCTCAGATTTGAAAGATGAAAGGATGTTTTAAGAACTTTTTGCTTTGAAAGCATGTACTAGTCAAGTAATATCTCATTTTTCTGTAATCTCTATAAAATATTGTAGTAACAAGCTAACCTTAATTGAGCTTTTGTTGCTCAATTATTTTTCTAAACAGCTTTACATGTATTATCTCACTTGATCTTTAAAATAACCATCTGATGCAAATGTCATTATCTTCATGCACAGATAAAGGAACCATTGGGGGCAGGTATCATAGAATCACAGTGGTCAGGTATAGATTGAAGTAGCAGTTTACTGAACTGATTGTGGCTTTAAAAGGTGGAGTTATCAGCCTAGAGATATGTGGTCCAGGGCTGTGCAGGAGCTCTGCAGGGCCATCATGGACAGACACCTCACCCTCCTCTACTATGTAGGGCATGTTCATTTTCTTCCTGATGTGTTTTGCCTCATGCAAAATATAAGATGGCTGCTGTAGTTTATTTACTTTTCCTGGTCAGCTGTGGAAGGAAGTGAAGAGCAAGAAGGCCTTTCTTTAGTTAAAAAAAAAAAAAAAATTAACAATAAGCAAGGCTTTGCTTTTATTTTATTGGGTATAGAAGTCCTTCTCAGGACTTCTTCCTGCATCTAATTGATCAGAATTGGGTCTGTAGCAAAGGAGGCTGGGAGATGGAGCATTAGAGCTGGCTAGGCTCAACAGTAGAGTAAGGCAGGGGAGAAGGCTCCTCGGATGGTTTTAGGGTAACCATTTCATCTAATGCTACATACATTAGATCTGGACTTAGCCATCACCTGAAGCAGTTTTTTCATTTATAGAAGATGGAAAATTGCTGGATACTGGCAGAATTATGAATAAATAAGCCGGTTAATGCTGAGGGACTCTGAAATAAAATGTTTGAGATTTAGCAAATGGCAAATTTCAGAAAAAATATTGGCATGATTACATGGTCAAAGTTTGTTTTCTAAGGTTTTACATTTTTTAAGGAGAATTTTGTTGGTTTGAGATTATATGTCATAATATAACAGTTATATATATATTGTAGAGATAGGGTCTTGCTGTGTTGCTCAGGGTGGTCTTGAACTGCTGGTCTCAGATGACGCTCCTACCTTGGCCTCCCAAAATGCTGGGATTATAGGCATGAGCCACCATGCCTGGCCAGGTTATAATTTCTTGAAAACTGAAAGCGTTAAGATTTTTCAAAAATAACCACCTTCTGATTTAAGTACAATATAGCCTCACAGAGAGAATTTTCCTGTCTAAACTCTGTCCTCTATTTGAGGGTTATTTTGCAGGCACTTTTATTTTAAATTTTCTAAGAGTTTCTTTACACACCCTTACTATTTTGATTCACATCCCTCTCATTTTTACCATAGTTGTTGTGACGTATAGTATTTTAACGGTAGTTGTGAGAAAGAATGCTGTTGATTCTCCACTCAGTTTGATGTGTTTCAGTATCTGCTGTCCATTTAAATCTTCAAAACTTAGCCAAGTCATAGAAGGGACACTAGTAAGATAGATCTCATTACAGTAGCCATCTGTGCGACTGTGACAGGTGTTCTCTACTTTGACCAATATAATATGTGTATTATTTGTGTGTGTGTGCAAAAATATTAAAAAACATTTTATTTTGTTTGGCTTTTTATGCCTTTTTAAAAAACTTAATATTTTCTACATTAAGATCTTTGTAAAAATTAGGATCTCTTAACCAGGGACATACAGATTTGTTCTTTTCCTCTTGTTTTAAACCTTACCAACAGATCTTTTAAATAATTAGAATTTGAAATTCAGATAGTTTCCCTATTGCATTTCATTTGTTATGCAAAAAAACCTACTACTTAATTAATATCAGTAAAAAGTTTTCTGATGCTTTTTTGTAACAGAGGGAAATTACATTTTTGAAACATTGCCATTTCTACTTAAAGACCTGGCAGCAGCTAGATTCGAAGTATGTGATTTCCTTAGATTAGTTACCAAAATCTTTTTGTACGTAGTGTAGGACAAGATAAAATTAATTTTGATTTACACGTTAAAACACTCTACACTGACTCTGTTGGGTAACTTTATAAAAAGTAGCTTTAGAATAAGCATTTGTTTTTATAGATGCTATGCTATTTCAGTGGTTTTAATGGTTCACTGAAATTCACGATACTCGTGTGTTATGTTCTATTTATTAACGAGATGCATGTGTTTAACATAAATTTTTATTTTCCATAGACAATGGGATGAACAGTTGGATCCTCGACTAAATGCAAAACAGAAAGAGGCTGTTCTGGCCATTACCACTCCACTTGCAATCCAGCTGCCGCCTGTGCTTATCATCGGACCCTATGGGACAGGCAAAACGTTCACTCTAGCTCAGGCTGTCAAACATATTCTGCAGCAACAGGAGACTAGGTGAGAGGGTGGGAAGCGTGCTCATATTTCCCTGGTAGGATACTACCTCTGTTCTTGTTTTAAATACACAATGAGGGCTAGCAAGACAGTTTTCATGCAGCTCTTAAACATGAAAAAAAGAGAAAAGGAAAAGCCGTAAATCCAAACCCCAGAGCACTAAAAATTTGAATTCTCTTAAAACATACTGTTTTTAGAATTGGTAGTATAGACAGTAAGTTTTAAAATAGTTTTTAAATAGCCATCAGAACAAGTTTGCTATGGAATTGTGGTATCTATTAGAGCCAGAAGACTTGGGTTTAAATATATGTGTATATTTTATATGATAGACTTAAAAATAATTTTGGGGTACTTCCTTTTTAACTTAAAGAGTAGTGTAATTTCCTAAAGGTATCACTGAATAATGCTAGGGATTACTGAGTAGGGTAAGGGAATTGTATAATATTAGGATGGCCACTGCTTTTTTTTTTGGTATTATACTGCTTGAATAGTTTTGTGTTTTATCATTCTTTTTATTTGCACCATTTATTTCAGCAGGATTCTCATTTGCACCCATTCTAATAGTGCTGCTGATCTCTACATAAAGGATTATTTACATCCATATGTAGAAGCAGGCAATCCCCAGGCAAGACCTCTCAGGTATTTTTTTTAAGGCTTATTATGTATCTGTATCATACTTTATTATTCTTAAGAAAAGGTGTCTGTAAAGATTTTAGTAACTTTGGAAATACCAAAGTCTTTATGCATTGACATTTAGAGGTTATGTCTTTTGAAGAAACTGTTTAAATTAAGGAAAAATGTAAAAATCTTTGACTATTCATTTCTTAAACATTAAGTAAGAGAAAGACATCCTTTTTTAAGTTTTGTGTGTATTGTTTCAACCTGAGTAGATTTTGATATGTACCTCTAAAAGCTAGTATGATGAAATAATATAAATATGATAACTTAAATTAAATCTAGTTCAGTAAAAATTCTAACATATTTTGCATGGCAGATTAGTCATGCAGTGGACAGTTCTTTATGAAAATAAAATTTTGGCTGTGATCATGCAGGTAATTTCATAGAAGCTACACATTAGATAAACATGAAATACTGAAATGATTTCTGCAACAAAATGTACTTGACTGGTATTTAACAACTTTTGCTACCATTTAAGAGACAAAGTGTCAAAGAAAATTTAAGGTTGATATAGAAAGGTCCTCTGAGTATATATGGACATGAAATGTACTTAAATATAGGATATGGGGGAATAAAAATCCTTTTCTTCAGAAAACAATAAAGAATCATCAAATTGTTATTTATTATACCATTTGCTTTCATTGTTATATGAATTAATGTTTAGTTTTGCCATTTTACAAACTAATATGTCATGCCCTAGGTTGTTTGAATACAATTGTTTATAAATTAATTTCTAACTGCACTTTTGAATCATAAGTCACTAACGTTTTATTTCTACTTGAGCTCAAGCATGGAAAAATGAAATTATGTTATTTAATTCTTCAGTAATCATAACCAAAGCTGTTTGAATGATCTTAGAGTTCCATTAAAAAAACAAAAGAGGAAAAAAGTGGTGTGACCCATTAACACGGGTTTTTATGCCATATTTTATTTTTACTTTGGAAGATTAAGAAGCAGTAATTATTTTAAATAGAATCTGGTTGTATTTAATGAGAAAATATTACATATATACAATCACTATCACTGTAAATGAAAACATGGTATTTATTGAAGGATGCATTCATCAATAAATAGTTTGCTTCAGAATCTAATCTCTGAGCTTGTAAGTGAAAGTTGAGTAGTTAGCATTTTTGCTATAGGTGTTCTTACTTTAATGATATAAGTTGTTTTGTTCACTTATATTGTTGGTAGAGTGAGCATGTGTGTGTTACATAGGAAGTGTGACCTTCTCAGTTATCGTGGTGTACTTGGTGTGAAAACAGTGGAGTAAAGCCCCCTCAAATCTCGGTCGACTTAGCATAGGTCATTTGACACTTGGGGCTGTAGAGCTGTTGCTGATGAACACTAAATCCGTCACTCGACTAGCTTATATTTAGCTTTTTCCATGTAAAATTATTTTTTGGAGGTTATAATCAAACATGTGGTGCATCTAGATATGCAGAATAAGAAGTTATGTTCAGTAGGGTACATGTATAGTTGTTGTGGCCCAAGTATCGAGACTCGCCCTTTAACTTACAGAGAGACTTACACCTGTCTGTAAGTCTCGAAAGTGGTTCAGCCCAAGATGGAAAAACATTTATAAATATATTCAAATGCAAATTTCATGTGATTTCATTTAGTAAATGGAATAAAGTAAGAAAAAGCCTGACTTCCCAAATATTTTCTTTATGTAGTCCTGCATTTTTGCCATAGTTTTTCTCTTTGGGAAAGGTGTTAACTTGCAAATGTATTTCTTAAGAATATTCATGCATTGAGTTCAGATTTATTAGCACTATTATTACATTAACTCATTAATTTATAATTTTTCTAATAGACAACAAACATGGGAGGCATGTGAAATGGAATAGAGAAGATTAGAATGACTGAGTGCTCTGGGAAGATTAGCTTTATCTGAATTGTCCCAGGATGCAGAGGAAAGAACACAAGAGGGCACTAAGTGTCTGCTCATGACCATGAAGATGGGTGTCTCTAGGGAGCAAGGCTCATGAAGAGTTTGCTCTCTTCATGATATAGGCTGGAACAGGCCCTGGAAAGTGCTATAGTGTGAAAATAGTCAAAACATTACATAGTGAATACAGTTGTAAATGTGCTTAAATATACATACTTCATGGTTAAAATTTGTAAAATTCTTTTAGTTGCCAGGAGTTGAGCTGAACTTAAAATATTTGGAGATGGAGATTTTAGAAACCATTTTAGATCATGTTTAGTTTCAGTTTTTACTTCTTCACTAGAACTAGAAGATTTTAAAATGGAATAGAGGGGAAAATATTTTTGTGTGTGGTTCTCAAGATCAGTATCTGGTTCTGGCAGATTTATGGCTTTGCAGATAGAGGTCATCTATGGAGGGGTGTATTTCCTGCTTTCTGGGAAAATGGAAGGTAATTGTTGTTTTATATTGATCTTCAAAGAAGCATATTCTTCTGTGATCAGGTCATTCTTATTCATAGTCTTTTAAGTAATAACATTTTGGGGGTTATTTGTTGCATATAAATTTACTACAGGAATAAAATTTCAGTGAATTAAAATTATATATTACCAGACTCTCTCTTATAATTCGTGTGGGATATGTGGATTGGTTTCTTTCTGGAAAATATGTAAATTCCTTAATTGGTATTACTTATATTTTATACTGTGAACTTGAAACTGTCTTGTTACCGTCAATTCTCCAATTTTAAAAAAATGTTGGCTGTGTTTTAAATAATCTTTTAGACAGTGTCTAACTTAAATGTTGCACAAAATGAAAGTACAGAGAATATTTTAAAATCTTTTAAAAGTTGGGACTAGAATATTATGCTTTCAAGAAAATTGGCTCAGCGATCAAGCTTTGTATTCTTACTAGCTTCAACTTGAGGTAGCTTTCCAAGGTAATTGTGAAAACGTCAGCAGTGAGACTTAGAACTTCAGTTTCTTTCTTTTTTTCCCCCCTCTTTGAGGAAGAAGCAGGTGCTTGGAGTTAGTTGATGAGTGTATTAGGCCGTTCTTGCATTGCTATAAAGAAATACCTGAGACTGGATAATTTATAAAGAAAAGAGGTTTAATTGGCTCATGGTTCTGCAGGCTTTATAGAAAGCATGGTGCTGGCATCTGCTCAGCTTCTAGGGAGGCCTCAGGAAGCTACAATCGTGGTGGAAGGCGAAGGGGGAGCAGGATGTCACATGGTGAAATCAGGAGCAAGTGAGAGTGAGTGTACGTGTGGGAGGTGCCACACACTTTTAAGACCAGATTTCAGAGCAAAAGCTTACTTATCATCAAGGGGATGGCCCAAGCCCTTCATGAGGGATCTGCCGCCATGATTCAGACACCTCCCACTGGGCCCTACCTCCAACACTGGGGATTACATTTCAACGTGAGATTTTGATGGGAACAAATATCCATACTATATAAATGAGTAATTTGAAAAACCACTTTTTTTTTTTCAATTTTACAATGAAATATTAATTGGAGCTCAGAGGTGAGGTCTTGGCTGGAGAGAGAAAATGTGTGAGTCACTAGGGTATTGGTGGTGATTGAAGCGTGAGCATAGATGAGATTGTTAGGGGAGAGGAGGGCTGGAGAGTTAGAAGGGAAGCAGAGAAAGCTTGAGTCATGGAAGCTGAGGGGAGAGTTCCTGGGAGGGAGCAACAGCGGAACTTTGCATGCTGCCAAGTCAGGTAACTCGCTGGGCCTGGAAACATCGATGTGATTTAGTGATGTAGAAGTTGTTTATGTCCCTTGATTAGATGGAGGGTAAGCCATGTTGAATGTTTAGAGGAGTGAATAGGAGGTTGGTAACTGGAGAGAACAATCTGGATAATACTTCTAAGAAGCCTGGCTGTGAAAGGAGGGGAGAGGTTGGGCAGTGGCTGGGAGAATATGAGGATTTAAGTAAATATTCTTTTTATATGGGAGAAACTAGATAATTTTAATTTTAAAAAGCCACCTGTAAGTGACAGGTTAAATTCAAATATTGGTAATTTTTTTTCTCATAATGACTCAAATAATTAGCTTTTGTTTTAGATTAGTATTTATATTTATTAAAAAATCACATGCATACACTATTACAAAAGGTCATGTTGTATTTTAAAGTTGGTAGCAAAAAATGTTTTGTTTTTTTTAATTAACCTAGCCATTGTTCACCAAATATCATTCCCAAGGGAATTTTTTACTTTTTTAGCAGTTTCTTTTGATACTTCCATTTTTCTAAATTATAAATATAATATATAAAAATTATGTGTGTATATATTATATAACAAATTATGAATATATAATACATAAAAATAAAAATTATATGTGTATATATGTATAATATATACACACACACATACATATATCAACTGTTATGTCTTAATTTGGTTTTGGATATTTGTTGACTTTCTATTGTAGCTTCTTTTTTTTTTTTCTTTTTTAAGACAGAGTCTTGCTTTGTTGCCCAAAATAGAGTGCAGTGGGGCTATCTGGGCTCACTGCAACCTCTGCCTCCCAGGTTCAAGCGATTCTCCTGCCTCAGCCTCCCAAGTAGCTGGAATTACAGGCACACGCCACCACGCCCAGTTAACTTTTGTGTTTTTAGTAGAGACAGGGTTTTGCCATGTTGGCCAGGCTGGCCTCGAACTCCTGGCCTCAGGTGATCTGCCCGCCTCGGCCTCCCAAAGTGTATGGTAGCTTCATTTTTAGTGTTTATTATTATGATCCTGTAAGTTATTTGCTCCTAACAAATAATATGCATATTTCCTTTCATATACATTTTTGGATTTGTTCTAGCATTAATAATACTTACTGTTTTTCATTTGCTTTATTTTCTTTGAACATCTAATCAGGTCTTTACACCCTAAGTAACCCTGTAAATACCTGCCACAACAAGTCTTCATTGTTACAGCTCTTAGATAATTTGTCAGTGCTGTTTTTTTCTCCTGGAAACTCCCCTTCTGGATTTCACTTGCTCCTCCTTTCTGAACTGGTTGTTCTTTGTTATGCTGATACTTCTCTTTGCCATTATTTTGGAATTTCTTTTTCTTCTCTCCTATATTAGATCCCATTTCCTGGATCTTAGGTCTTCCTCTTTCTTGATTTTCTACCTTGTTTTGATGGTGCACATCCTTTTGTACACACACTTAACTAGTGCTTTCAACCCTTCTGACAAAGTTCGTAAGAGGTAATGTTTTTTAGCTCTTGCATATCTGAAAATGCCTTTATTCTACTATCAGATTTAATAGCTCATCTGGGGGATGGGTGGAATTTTAGTTTTAAAATGTGGCTCATAACTGCATAGTTTTTCTTTAGTATTTGCTTACCAGTAAGTTGATATTTAGACAGGTAGGCCAGGATCAGAAATCATTAGGATTTTTTTCATGATTAACTTTGATGCATCCAGAGATGTTTTTATGTGAGCCAGTGCTTGCCTTTTAAGAAAATGATTATACATAGCTTATGATATAGAGGTTATAATTCTTCTGCCAAGTCTAGATTATCTACATTGTGTAAAATTTCCCCCTCACCAAATACCACTTACAAGCATGGTCTTGAATTGAATGAAAAATGGAAAAATGAACTCAATTTTGGTTCGAAGAATTTAAAAACATGTTTTGATATGATTTTTAATAAAAAATGATTATCAACTTCAGGCTTGTATTTTTCTTATTTAAGAAATCAATATTTAAAGCTGACTTTTAATAGCAATTTTCAAGATTTATTACTATAATAGAATTCCAATGTCTAAGAAAAACAAAGAAACAAAAAATTACTTAGTAATTAGTATCAGACAATAAAAAGAATTACTCTTTTATTTTACTTTTTAAATTATTATTATTTTTTTTTAAGACAGAGTCTCACTCTGTAACCCAGGCTGGAGTGCAGTGGTGTGATTTCAGCTCACTGCAGACTCCATCTCCTGGGTTCAAGTGATTCTTGTGCCTCAGCCTCCCAAGTAGCTGGGACTACAGGTGCATTGCCACCATGCCAGGCTAATTTTTGTATTTTTAGTAGATACGGGGTTTTGCCATGTTGGCCAGGCTGGTCTTGAACTCCTGGCCTCAAGTGTTCCACCCACTTCAGGCTTCCAAAGTGCTTGGATTATAGGCGTGAGCCATCACGCCTGGCCAAAATATTAATAATTACTCTTTTTAAAAACCTTTTTGGTTTGCTTCCAAAAATAATTTAAGTTTGCTCTAGTAAAATGTGCAGAGGCCATAAAATTGAGAAACATTAATACAAAGTAAGAGACAAGAGCCTAGTAACAAATGGTGGCTCTTTGAGAAAAGGAAATTATTACCAAAATTTTAGACTAACTGAAGGCATGCCAATTAAGCACCAGATTTTGCTCTTAAACTTTTTTGGAAGCTGAGTAGAAATTATCCTTTTGTTCCATATGATGACTTATTAAATAAAATACTTTGCACAATATGTGCTTTTAGATGGAGTAAACAACATACCTTTTAAATAATTATTTTGATTGCCTATATTCATATCATGATGCTACCTTTTTGCATTTGTGCAGTGTACATTGAATATTAACTGAGTGTTTAGAAATGCTGATTTTAGTTTCAGCTTTGCTGTGGGTGAAGGGAAGTGGGGGGGCTTCTGTTTGTTGGTGCCAGGCATTATGCTACATATTATACATCTGTTATCTCATTTGATTTCCCCAAATCCTTAAGAAGTTGAATTATTATACTCATTTTGGAAATAAGAAATGAAGCTTAGAGAGGGGAAGAACAGGTTTAAATCCTGGCTGTAAGCCCTTTGGGCTTTGGTTTTCCTAACTAGGGAAGAGGAATAATAGTGATGAAAATAACAATCATCTGATGATCTTTGTAATTTTACTGACGGAGTAGAAGCCATCAGAAGAGAATGCCCACATCTTCCCTTTGATAGAGCATCTGACTTGCATCTCCTTAGTAACTACTTTCCCTCCCATTCTAAACTGTTCTTTTCTAGGGGCCAACCTCTCCTCTTGTGAACGAGCTCTCATCCTTTCCTGGATACACAGCTTCTTCTTTCCTGCATACTTTTTTCTTTGTACAGCATGAAAATATACTATTGTGTCTTGTTTAAAAAAACAAAACAAAAACTCACCTTCACCCGACCTGCATCAGCCTTTAAGCAAAACTTATCCAGACAGTTGTCTATATATACTCCCTGGCACTACCTCCTCTCTTCTCTTTCTTTCTTGAGCTCAAGCTAATCAGATTTCCATCTGTAATTTTACACTAAAACCATCATATTGAGGTTCATCATATTGGTTTCCTTGTTGTTAAGTCCTGTGGTCAGTCTTCATTTTACGTAGCCTCTTAGCAGCATTTAACACAGTTACTCCTATTTCTATCTGAAACACTTGCTTCATTTTGCTTCCAATACCCCATGCTCTCCTGAATTCTCTCCTATTTCTTTGCTCCTTCCCAGGCTCCTTTCCCAGCTTCTGAATGTTGGAGAGGTCCATCAGTCATTCTTCCTTCCACTAGTTGTTTTTTTTTTTTTTTTTTAAATCTACTCTTATTTTCTAGGTAATCTCATCTAGTCTCAAGGTTTAGTATTATCCCAATTGTAGCTATCTTGCCCCAGGCATTCTCCTGAACTCCAAACTTATGTATTGCCTTGCTTACTGGATATATCCACTTGGATATCTACTGAATATGCCCAAAACGAAATTCTGAATTCCCACCCCAAATCCGTTCCTCTTTTTTACCACCTTTGCAAACGCCATCACCATTTATCCAGTTTCAAAGGCGTGGAATCATTCCTTCTCTCAAATTCCACTTCTAGTTCATCAGTAAATTCTGTTGGCGTTACTCTCGAAATGCCTAGTGAATCTGACCATTTTCATATCTCTATTGTTGGCCTAATCCAAGCTACCATCTGCTCTTGTCTGCACTCTTAACAGTAACCTTGTAACTGGTCTCCTTGCTTCTACCCTCTGCTCCTTCCTCCGTGCCGCTCAGTGTTGTGTTGGAGCCAACTTGTATTGGTTTGTTAGAGCTAATCACGTGTACGACTTCTCAGGTTCATGTTCAGTGAAATGCTGGTAGCTTGAAATTACCATGACAGTTTTACACCACAAAAATCAGCAAACACTACAAACCGGAATCCTCTCCCCTTCCTAGCCCTGGAGCCGGGTGTTAAAATATTTACCAGCACACCGCTATCCACCCCCACCATATATGTTCTGCCCAGAGAAACAGAATAGTCCTTTAACAAAATAAGTCATGTCATGTCACTGCCCTGTTGGAACTCTCTGTTGGCTTTTCATCAAACTCAGAGTAAACCCAAGGATTGCTCACAAGCCCTATGTGATCTGCCTGTGTGCTGGAGCATAGTGGATACCTAATGAATCTTTGTTACATGGGTAGGTTAGAGATGGGTGGGTGGATGAGTAGATGGATGGATGAGTCATTTCTGTGTCATTTTAATAATCCATTGCGTGAGGCCTATTAATATTTTTCTTTTGCAAATAATGGAAGTACTTAAGACTTTCCAGTTGTTCAAACTTTAAATTTATTCTTAAATTTCCAGAACCTCAGACAGAGGTCTACTTAAGTATAGGTATAAGAATATATTCTAAAATAAAATGAAAATAACCTTTGAATTCCTGTTATAAGTATGCAATTCACTGTTTTTTGTTAGCATAAATAGTTAAAATATGAGTCAATGTATTTTTGTAAGAACGTTCTAGAAAAAGATAATTCCAGAATGGGAATGTTTTGAACTTAAAAAATTGTAGTGCTTATAAATCTTACGTTTATGTGCCATTCTGTTGCAAGATTACTCTGAACACTTAAAAATAATTAGGTGTTTATTTTGTGGTACTGCATATACTTTCTATGTCTGTCATTTTTTTGGTAGAGAGTCACAGTGGTTATAGTGGCAATTGTGTGTTAAATTCTAATTCAATAGAGTGCTAACGGTTACCAGATTCATTTGTAACTTTTCAGATATTACCATCTTAAAATAACAATGTCAGTGTTTTAATAACTAGATACTGTTAAGAAATTAGTAAATGTAAATCAGAAATATTTTCTTCTTTTCCAGGGTATATTTCAGAAATCGCTGGGTAAAGACTGTCCACCCAGTTGTGCATCAGTACTGTTTGATCTCAAGCGCACATTCCACCTTTCAGATGCCCCAGAAAGAAGATATTCTTAAACATCGAGTGGTGGTTGTTACCTTGAATACTTCCCAGTACCTCTGTCAGTTGGACCTTGAACCTGGTATGCTGACTCAAGACACAGTCTCACAAGTTTAGGGCTTATGAATTCAGTTTAGACTGGGATTGGCAAACTACAGTGTGTGGGCCAAATCTGGCTCACTGACTGTTTTTGTAAATAAAGTTTTACTGGCTCATTTATTTACCTATTTATTGTCTATAGATGCTTTTGTGTTACAGTGGCTGAGTTGAGTTGTTGCAGCAGAGATTCATTATATGGTCCACAAAATCTAAAATATATACTGTTTGGCTCTTTACTGAAGAAAAATTTGCCAGCCTCTAGTTCAGACATTTTAGTGACTGCTATTCCATTTATTCTCTAGTTGGTCAGATGATGTTTATTATTGATCATATGAAGAATTCCAATTTGGAGAGTGTTGGTGTTTTCCTTTTCTTTTACACTTTTCTCAGATTTTTGTTATAAAATGCTTTTGCATTATATACTGTAGAGATGATAATTATGATAGGTTTTATTATGGCATGTTATTAAGATTGTTATATTTGAGTACAGGAACCATGTAAAATCAAACTAGTGTTATGTGAAGTACAGATGTAAGATGTCAAGAAGTTGTTCTGATAAATATGGCAAAACTTAACCATCAAAAAGCAGTACAAATCTGGGGCCAGGCGTGGTGGCTTATGCTTGTAATCCCAGCACTTTGGGAGGCCGAGGCAGGCGGATCACTTGAGGCCAGGAGTTCAGCCAGACTGGGAAATACAGTGAAACCTTATCTCTACAAAAAAGTTCAAAAATTAGCCAGGCCTTATGGCATATGCCCGTAGTCTCAGCTACTTGGGAGGCTGAGGTTGGAGGATCACCTGAGCCCGAGGCTACAGTGAGCTGTGATCATATAGCACTGCACTCCAGCCTGGGAGACAGAGTGACACCCTGTCTCAAAAAAAAAAAAAAAAAAAAAAAGAAAGAAAATAAATAAATAAAAGTACTCAATACTCTTAGATTAGCAAACTAAACTCTTTACTTAGCAGAAAAGAAAATAACTATAGTCCTTCTGCCTTTGTTGCTGCTCTAGCGTGCTATCCTGTGTTTATGCTGCATTTTCTAGGGTTTTTTACACACATTCTATTAGATGAAGCTGCCCAGGCCATGGAGTGTGAAACCATTATGCCTCTAGCATTAGCAACTCAAAACACTCGGATTGTCTTGGCTGGTGATCACATGCAGGTAAGTGCCCTCTGAGTTGCTGTGTTGAAAGTAACTTTTAATTATATTTTGATGTTTAATATTCTATTTCTAAAACATCCTATGACATTATGCCATGCATTATAACTTTAGTACTTCAAATAGTTCTGTACTAATAGTGAAAAATACTGTTATTTCTGAAGAAAAATTACTATTCTGCTACTCTTTTTTCTTTTTTGGATAGTCTGTCACTGTTATAATTTTCATGTTTATTTATTTAAGTTCTGTTCTTTATAGTATGAATATCTGATTCTTACTTTTTTTTGTGAAGTGAAATTTAAATGATCATTCCTGTAGGATCCTGGGGAATTGTAATTCCCCAGCTCCTGTCTCTATTATTTGTTTACCTGAAGGAGTAATTTTTTTTGGTGTAATAGAAAACTAGGAAATAGAGGGCTTAAATTACAGCCAAAATGTCAAAGAGTGTGATTTTATATATTTGAATATCTATATGTAGGAAAGAGAAATACAGTTTTTCTGTGAAGATACCTGTTTTACAAGGTTGCAGTTTGGGGCTCTTTGTCTCCTGCTGCAGTTAAGATTGGACCTACATCATACTATATAGCTGTCGGGACATCAAGGAGAGAGTTAAATGTAGAGGAACAAGCTCTGTTTTCATTTCTTTGCCTAAAGTAGTTTAATTTTGTTCTTTAGTAGTAAAAGGCATAACCATGAATGGCTCCTTATACTTCATAAGATCAAGAGGGTTGTTTTGTTAATTATTAACAATGATTTTTTAGTGGTAGGCTGTATGTCCTACCAGCTCATCATTTAAAATAATTAATCAATTTTAGTGAAATAACTGTTTGACTCCCACAGTGATACAGTGGGTTGCATGCCTGGAATCACTGAAGTAGTAGCTATTCATTATTATGCTGGGGAGCCCTTTGTCAGGTGTAGAAAGAAACTCTGGGTTAGTGTTGGTAAACTGCAATGAGAAGTTAGAAATTTTAGCCAAGTTCTTAGTAGTGGTAATGGTTCAGAGAAAATATTACTGATTGTGCTTGTCCCAGCATTTAGCATGTTGAAGTTTTGTATATAAGAAGTTTTAGCATAGTGGATTTTTTATAAGTAGGTTAAAAAATACTATTTGTATGTTCAGTTAAACTTTCTCTGTATGTTTGTCTGTTACAGCTCAGTCCTTTTGTTTACAGCGAGTTTGCCAGGGAGAGAAACCTTCACGTTTCATTACTTGACCGACTCTATGAGCATTACCCTGCTGAGTTCCCATGTAGGATTCTCCTGTGTGAGAACTACCGCTCCCATGAAGCTATCATCAAGTAGGTGTGAACTGCCCCCTCCGTGTCATACTTTCGTTGGTCTGATAGTAGGAGGGAACTCAAAACAGCACTGCTGCTAGGGACAGATGATTCCCAACACACTTACATAGTGTCCCTAGTCTTGCAAATTATGTTTAATTTTATGTCTTTAAAAGAAAACTTCAGAAGTCAGAGTTGTAATTTTTCACAGAATAGGGCTATTTTGGGAAAAACTCTGAAATCATGTTCTTCCTTTACTCTCTCACAACAATTAACACAGAAGACTTGTATGATCGAATGTAGGGAATTCCTTTCCACCAACAAATAAGCAACCAGTTCCGCAGGGGACACCAGCTGGGTGTCCTCCATTTCACTTCTGACACCATCTATCCAGAAATAATGTCCAATCCCACAGGTTGAGGGCTTAGAAGACTGCCCCCCTCCCGGCCCCCCAGCAGTCACAAGCCTGAGCCTTACTTCTGACCGGCTGGCTTCAAGTTGAGGGTCCTGCGACCCTCTTTTTGGGTCTTTGGGTTCACTTAATTTGCTGGAGTGGCTCACAGAATGCATGGAAACAGTTATTTACATTTACTGGTTTATTATCAAGGATATTACAGAGGATACAGATGAAGAGTGCCTAGGGCATGGTATGGGAGAAAGCGCGCAGAGCTGGCATGCCCTCCCTGGGTGCGCCACCATCCAGAACCTCCACGTGTTCAGCTTTCTAGAGGCTTTCGAACCCAGTTCTTTGGGTTTTTATGGAAGCTTTGTGATGTCAGCATTCCTTCCCTCAGAGTATAGGGTGGAACCCTCTCTGTGGAGGGTCTTAAGACCCACAATCACTTTGGGAGGACGAGGCAGGAGATTTGCTTGAGTTCAGGAGTTCGAGGCCAGCCTGAGCAACATAGAAAGACCCCCCCTTCCTACCAAAAAAAAAAAAAAAAATTAGCAGGGCATGGTGGCATGCACCTGTGGTCCCAGCTACTTGAGAGGCTGAGGTGGGAGGGTTTCTTGAACCCAAGAGGTTGAGGCTTCAGTGAGCCATGATCATGCCGTTGCACTCCAGCCTGGGCGACAGAGCAAGACCCTGTCTCAAAAACAAAAATAAGAATAAAAAGGCAGGGGAAGATTAGAGTCCTGCTTTGGGGCAGGTGAAAGGAAGGCAGGAGAAGGCCAGAGAGATTCTGTTTCTTGAGGCCTGACATACCCAAATTATAACAAAAGACTGTAACAAGAGCTGTGGTAGTTATGAGCCAGGAACTGTGGATGAATATATATCTATCTATATATCTATGTCTATATCTATATCTATATATATCTACACATACAAATAAAATAACACCACAGGGGCAATTCTGGAAACCAAAACTTTAGATTCTGTTAGCTATGCATATGTTTTTCTGTGACTAAATATATAATCTATATGAAAAGCTACATGCTGTAATAAATATATTGACAAACAGCATGATGGTTTGCTTATGTCTTTGGCTATGTTGTACAAGTAATCTGCTTTAAAAGAAAGGAAGAAAGGAAAGAAAGGGAGGGACAAAACCATGAAACTTATTAATAAGTTTTAAAGTATTTCTGTTAGCTATAGTATGCATCTATAAAGGTATATATCTCAACAACTCAGTGGATTGTCACCACCTGCGTGCAGCATGTAACCCTAATCCACATCAGGAAGCAGAACATGACCAGTGCTCCAAAAGCCCCTTTGTGCTCCTTTCCAGTCACTACCCTGACCAGAAACTTACACTATAAAAAAGTTTAGTATAATTTAATAATATTGATTATGTCAGCCATGTGAAAACCATTTTTAGGTTTCCCTGAAAGCAATTGGATAGATATAATTGTATCTCTCAAAATGTGATTCTTTTATTATTTTCAGTCATTTGCTACAGTCACTGATGAGTCAAGTACTAGATGGTGTCTTCATCAGTAAAGCGAATTCATTTTACAGTTGACGGCTTGACTGTCTTTCAGTTGTGTACATTGTTCCAGCATCTGTATGTCTTTGTGTTTGCATGTATTAGTACAATCATGGGTCACATTCTGAGAAATGTGTCATTAGGTGATTTTGTTGTTGTGTGAACATCACAGAGTGAACTTACACTAACCTAGATGGCATAGCCTACTACACATACAGGTTATATGGTGTAAATGGCCTGTTGGCTCCTAGGTTACAAACCTGTACAAAGCATGCTACTGTACTGAATACTGTAGATAATTGTAAAACAATGGTAAGTATTTGTATATCTAAACATGGAAAAAGTATGGTTAAAATACAGTACTATGATCTTATGGGACCATCATCATATGTACTGTCTATTGTTGACTAAATCATCATTATGTGGTACATGATTGTATGTGACTCATTTAAATAAAAAAAAATTAACCAAGGAAATATACAGGCTAGCAAATTTCCTCATAAAGTCTCATCTTGTATTGAACTGTCATCATTTCTTCCTGTTTTGGCTTCGTACCTTACCAAAATCATTCCATTTAACAATATTATGCCAGGACCCTACTCTTGTTATTTATGGAGAAATTCTTGGTATCACAAGTATTAGATGATTGGAGTAAAATTAATCATGGACATAAGGCAATATTATTAGAATCGACTGATTTTTTTTTTCTTATGGGTGAAATTAATTTTGATGTAGATTTTCCCCCTTTTTTCTTTTTGTCTTTTACTGCAGTTATACCTCTGAGCTTTTCTATGAGGGCAAACTGATGGCCAGTGGGAAGCAGCCAGCACACAAAGATTTCTACCCACTAACTTTCTTTACAGCACGAGGAGAAGATGTACAAGAAAAAAATAGCACAGCTTTTTATAATAATGCAGAGGTACCTTAATTCTTTTTGTAAATTGTTAACATTTTCTCAGTCACATCGTCTAGTTTTGTTAAGCATTTATTTAAAGTTTTGGGTTGACATTGTATTGCATATTGACTTCATTTACATGTAAATAGTATGTAAAGTTTATTCTTTCTTGTATAACATTGATTTGTTCAGATGAATCTCCTATGGGAAGCAAAAACTTTGATTTACATTTTGTCTTATGGTAAGACAAAATACATGATTTCATTCAAAAGAAAAACCAAGATTGTTCTCAATTAGATCATTATTGTTAGGTATCTAAAATAGACTCTGAGTAAGTTTTATAGTGCATATGCAAATGAGGTGTATCATTTTAAATGAATAAGACTTGAATTGCAGAATTCTATGCTCCAAAGAGATCACAGGGACCCAGACAGCGATGTTGCAATTCCATGATGTGCTCCAACTTATATAATTCTCTTGCAATTTCTGACTTTTTAGGTTCAGAGAGCATGTGAGTAGTTTGAAGGGTCAGGTCAGGCAGCAGACCAAAAAAATGGCAACGTCTTCAGGGGCTAACAAACCAGAAACCCTGGAGTTAAGGTTCTGTCCGTCAGGAGGGAGTTGAGTTCTGGACTTCAGGAAGCCCGAGGATGGCATATCATTAGGGGCGGCATGGCTCTTGATCTCCAGTCTACACTGCCCTTGAATTCCATGCTTTACCCATATTATTTACAAAGAAATGGCTTTTATTATGTAGTAGGAATTCATTTTTCCGTTAAGACATTGCTCATGGGCCTGTAGTTAGAAGTCAGTACAAAAAAATCATCAGTACTCACTTGATAAAATCCTAGCCAAAAGCAAAGAAACTTGACATTTTGGTTAGTCTGTGCCATTTAATTTTAGGAAAAGGTAAACTTTTCTTTAAATATTTGAAATATTGAAAATAACTTTAGGGGTCTCCTTTATCGTTTTTGCACTCAAGTTGGAAACCACTGGCCTAGAAATTAGCCATGGTATGGGTGGGAGGGATGACAGGAAGTGGCAACCAGGGCCTGTCCAGAAGCCTTGGTGGCCCTGCGGTGACATCAGGGATCAGAGCTGAGCCCTGATCCTTGATCCTGAGGCGGGATTGATGTTTGCCAGAGACTCAGTTTCTCAGCCTGGGTTACTTGTTCATTCACGGTGACCTGGTGTGTTTCCCAGGAAACCTATAAGCTATAGGATAAATAAGGTGCCGGTTCATGGACTGTCAGTTTTACTCAAAGGTTTTTTTTTTTTTTTTAATATTTGTTCGTATTAAAAGATCACAAAGACAGCTCACTTTAAAGGTCGTGTGACCTTTAAATATTAAACATGTAACTTTAGAGACATTTCAAACCACCTTGACTTTCACCAGAGCATGGTTGTTGAGACAGTGTCTTCAGCCCCATAAGTTACTGTAGTCAAAAATTTTGAGACACATTGCTCCAGGACTCTTCCTGCAAGGGGCAAGGACTGACCCTGTTCACCTCAGCTAAATACCAGTGTAGGCGTTTTGAATTTTTGAATACCAGTATAGGCATATTTGGATACTAATATAGGTTTATTTGGACAGTAAGATGATTTTAGAAGCTCTGGGCTTTTCTTGATGGTATGTAATTTAAAGGTGAAACTCAAATCTATTTTGTGTTATAGAACAAGCAGACCAAGTGGCATCAGTTACATTCGTAGGGGAAAATGATATCTTTTATAAAGATTCTGACTAATACTTAGGAGGGCATTTGAAAAGAGTTTACATTCCACTATTAGGAAAATAAGATAGTCTTACATAGAGTTAAAATCAAAATGAACCTAAATAAAAAAGTTTGGAATTATAAGTTCAAGAACCTCAAGTTGAAGGAATACTCATAGCATATGTGCTGTGTGTAATTCTCCTTTGTTTAGACAACATGCTTTTTATTTTATGTATCTTGTGCTTTGTACATCATTTGAAATTGTGTCTTCTTTCACATGCTTAAAATTGTAGAAGGAGACTGAGAAAGATCATTCTTTTTTTTCTTGATTCTGAACTTATATCCCACAGTAATGAAATGGTTTCAATTCAATGCCAAGGTGAAAAAAAAGTACAATTTAAGTACTAAGCACCAAAGATATGTTTTTTTTTTTTCTTTGTTTTTTTGAGACAGAGTCTCTCTTTGTCATCCAGGCTGGAGTGCAGTAGTGTGATCACTGCAGCCTTGACCTCCTGGGGTCAGGTGATCCTTTAACTTCAGCCTCCCAAATAACTGGGACTATGGGTACGCACCACCACGCCTAGTTAATTTTTTTTAAAAAATGTATTTTGTAGAGATGGGGTCTTACTATGTTGCCCAAGCTAGTCTTGAACTCCTGGGCTCAAGCGATCCTCTCACCTCGGCTTCCCAAAATGCTGAAACTAGAGGTGTGAGCAGCCACACCGGGCCAAGGTATAGTTCTTAACCTTGAAAAATTCAGTTGGAAGGGAGGAGCTATGGATAATAACCGTAAGATGGTGTGATCTGAGAGGTAGACAGAGTTGTACAGATATACAAAATGAATTCATTGGGCTTGGTGGGACCTGAGGCATAGAGGAGAATGTGGTTTTTGCCTCATATGTTTTGAGAATCTGCAATTAATTATCTATATTTATAATTGTTACATCTCCCTAACAGGATGACCTCTTTTTATCATTTTTAAATGTCCCTCCTTGGCCGGGTGCGGTGACTCATGCCTGTAATCCCAGCACATTAGGAGGCTGAGGTCGATATATTGCTTGAGCTCAGGACTTCGAGACCAGCCTGGGCAACATGGTGAAACCCCGTCTCTACAAAAAAAATACAAAAAAATTAGCTGGGCATGGTGGCAGGTGCCTGTAATACCAGCTACTCAGGAGGCTGAGGTGGGAGGATGGCTTGAACCTGGGAGGGGGAGGTTGCAGTGAGCTGAGATTGTGCCACCGCACTGTAGCCTGGGTGACAGAGCTAGACCCTGTCTCAAAAAAATAAAATAAAATAAATAAATAAATATCCCTCTTTATCTTAGTACAGCTTTTTGTTTTAAAGTTGATTTGTCTGACATTAGTATAACAATTTCAGCTTGTTTATAGTTGCTGTTTGCATGGTATATCTTTTTTTATTATTTTACTTTCATCTTGTTTACATGTTTGAATCTAAAGTGCATATTCTATAGACAGCATATTATTGGATCTTGATTTTTTAAAAAAAGTTTGAAAATCTCTGCCTGTTTGTTTTGTTTTGTTTTTGAGACAGGGTCTTGCTCTGTCACCTAGGCTGGAAGGCAGTGACATGATTATGGCTCACTGCAGCCGTGAGCTCACTGGGCTCAGGTGATCTTCCCACCTCAGCCTCCTAAGTAGCTGGGACTACAGATGCATGCCACAATGCCCAGCTAATTTTTGTATTTTTTGTAGAGATGGAGTTTGGCCATGTTGCCCAGGCTGGTCTTGAACTCCTGGGCTCAAGCGATCCACCTCCCTCAGCCTCCCAAAGTTCTGGAATTGCAGCCATCTTTGCCTTTTGATTGGGGTTTTTAATCCATTCACATTTAATGTTACTGATATGGTTGGATTTACCTCAGCCCTTTTTTTCTCTATGTCTCATGTAGTTTTTGATCTCCTGTGTCTTCTTTATTGCCTTCTTTTGTATTAAGTGCATATTTTCTAGTGTCACATTTTAATTCCTTTAATTATTATTTTTTCTTTTTTTTGAGACAGAGTCTCACTCTGTTGCCCAGGCTGGAGTGCAGTGGTACGTTCTTGGCTCACTGCAACCTTCGCCTCCCAGGTTCAAGTGATTATCATGCCTCAGCCTCCCAAGTAGCTGGAATTACAAGTGCCTGCCACCACACCTGGCTAATTTTTATATTTTTAGTAGAGGCAGGGTTTCACCATGTTGGCCAGGCTGGTCTCAAACTCCTACTTGAAGTGATCCACCCACCTTGGCCTCCCAAAGTGTTGGGATTATAGGTGTGAACCACCATGCCCAGGCATTTCTTTTAATTATTTTTTAATTATATTTTTTGAGTTATTTTCTTAGTGGTTTCTTTAGGGCTTACAATATATATCTTAATTTATCAGAATCTACTTCAAATTTTTATTAAATGAATTCCAATGGGCTATAGAAACTATACTCCTACATAGCTCTATTCCCCCTTCCTTTCTAGGGAATAGAAAGGTTATATTTCTAGACACTAGAAAATATGCACTTAATACGAAAGAAGGCAATAAAGAAGACACAGGAGATCAACCTGTGCTATTATATATAATATACCTATATATAACAAACTCAATATATTTTTATAATTATTACTTTATATAATTTTATGTTTTTTAAAAATTCTAAGAGAAGGGTGGCAAGTACATATTTATGGAGTTTGCTGTATTAACCTTCACTTCTCTTTGTGGATTTGAATTACCATCTGGTGTCATTTTTTACCTACCTCCTTTGTGCCGTTACTGTCAAACATTACGTTGTTATATATTATAGCCTAACAATACAATTATATACATATGGGTTTTTGCAGTTGCTTTTTAAACCAGTTAAGAGGAGAAAGAAGAAATATGTTATTATACTGTCTTTATAATTACCCACATAATTACCTTTACCAAGATTCTTTGTTTGTGTGGATTTGAATTATTGTCCGGTATCACTTGCTTTCAGCCTGAAGAACTTCCTTTAGTATTTCTTATAAGGGGAGTCTGCAAGTGAGGAATTCTCTTAGGTTATGTTTCATCTGGGCATGTCTTTATTTTGCCCTCATTTTTGAAAAGTAGAATATAAGATTATTGGTTGAATTGGTTGGATTTTTTCTTTTAGCACATTGAAATATGTTTTCTTACTGCTTTCTGGCCTCTATTGTTTCTGTTGAGAAATCTGTTAGTCTTACTGGAATTTCTTTGTAAGTGATGAGTTGTTTTTCTCCTGCTGTTTTCAAGATTTTATTTTTGTCTTTGACTTTAGTTTTTAATATGGTTGTCTGGGTGTGGGTCTCCTTGTGTTTATCTTACTCAAAGTTCATTGAGCTTGGATGTATAGCTTAGTGTTTTCCATCAAATATGACAAATTTTTAGCCATTATTTCTTTGAACCTTTTTTCTGCTCCTTTCCATCTTTGCGCTCCTCCTGTTCTCCCATCAGATGCATGTTGGTGAGCTTAATTGGTGTTCCACACTTCTTTGAGGCTATTTTTTCTGCATTACTTTTTCTCTCTGTTCTTCAGATTGCATAACCGCTATGTATCTTCACGTTTGCTGATTCATGCTTCTGTTATTTCAAATCTACAATTGACTCCTGGCAATAAATTTTTCATTTCAATGTTTTTCCTTTTTCACTTCCTGGGGGCATAAATTGCTCCACGGTGTGATCCAGCTGCCGTAGGTCTCTTGGCGGAGGCAGAATTTTGCCAGTTTGTGAGCCTTCCGCTCACCGTCTCCTGGGCAGAACTTATGGAGCAGTTGTTGGGGGAGGACATGGAACTTGCTCCTCACTGCTTTTCCCAACCTGCATCCATCCTGTGGAGCAGGAGCTCTGTGTATGCTGTATGTTTGTGTGTAATCCATGCTGCCATCCAGGTGCTTCCATCCAGCTGGTGCCGCTACCAAGTGTGGCTCTTCTGCAGTGCACATCAGGGGAGGTTGGGATCTGCTGATGTTCATTGGCTGCTGAATCTACCCAGCATAGGTCTTCTGTCCTAGGAAGCTAGAGAAAATGCAAACTGTCAATGGGCTGCCAAGGCCATTGGATCAGCTCTCCTGCAATGCAGAGCTATGTGGGAAAGAGGGACTGCACTGCCACCCACTGTCCCACTCCCTATGTAGCAGGAGATGGGGGTTGGGTACCACCTGACTACTACCAACTGCTTATCATAGGCCTTCTGCAGCACAAAGCTGTGAAAAATGAAATCTGCCAATGTTTACCAGCTGCCAAAAGTACCTGGAATAGGAGGGAGCTAGGGCGATGGGAATTGCCCCTTGGCCGTTAAAACAGTTCTGTAAGAGCTGTGGGGGAAAGGGGGCAGTCCATAGCTTGTAGGCCTCAACCTTCCACTGTTCTCAGTGAGTTTTTACAGGTTTTGTTGAATAGATGGATGCTTCTCAATTTCTTGTAACCTCTTTGATCTGTCTTTAGAGACTTTGAATGATTGTCTTTGCTAATTTTGACCAGCTTAGAAGATGTTTTTCTGGGAGAGAGGTTTCCCAGAATGACTCATATCATCATTCTAAGTCTGTTTTTTGACTACATGACAGGAGGATAAAGTGCAGAAATGGTTGTGTGTTGCTTAGAGGTGGGAACTCTGTGGGGTGGGAGGGCGCAGCAGAGGTGTCTCCCAACTCATCTATCCCCACATCTAACCACATGGGTAAAGATAACTTTTTCTTATTCCTTATTGCAGTAGACTGAGTATGTCTACTCTGTTTCCTGATAGTGAGAATGCCATGTCTTTAGTCCAGTTTGCTCTTCACCTTCCCTGGGTAGTCTGTGTATGTGATACACTTGCTGCTGTATCATAATAACGATAGGATGACTGTAGTCCTTACCTCTGTAGTTCACTGAATTTGTATCTGGACATGGGAACTGCTTCGTAGTCAGTAACCTCAAGTTTTTCAAAGGATGAAAATTGTCAATTTTTATTAAATATATTTAATATTATAAATTAAAATAGATACTGTTAGTAAATAATAAAGAAACGATGTACTTAAAGACATTTGAAAACACACCTCCTTCCTCTGTATGCCCCTGGACTCTTGACTGACCCTCTATTTGTGCTTGCCTTATATATTTTTTTTATTATGACTCTCTTTTCTAAATAAACCATAAGTTCTTCTCAGTAAGTAGCGGGCAAGGAACATGTTTTATTAACTTTTGTACCTTCTCCACTGTGCCAGACATTGAAACTGTTTGATCAATTCATTGAATTAAAATAGAACAAACTATCCTAAAAACCCTATCATAATCCAGTAATTGGGGTCTGAAAAATTCAGTTGCATAAACTGTGGCATTGCTTTATTGCAAGGTTAATGAAATGGCTTGGCTGGACTTGTACCACTAGCAGGCAGTGAATTCTGAAAGTCTTTCTCTGTGATCCAAATGTGGCCTAGTCCCAGCTGTGGTTTGTTGTCAATTGGTGGCTGTTGGCTGGTCTGCTTAGTTATATCAGTGAGGAAGGGGACAATGTTAGACCTTGTACTGCTGGGACTTAGTGATGTCACTGATGACAGGAAGCTTCTAGTTGGTTGGTTAGTTTCATTGGCCTGATCTGGAGAGAGTGGACTGAGAATTACTGGGGCTGTGAGAACTTGCCTTCCCTAGAATCATGGCCTGTCTTTTTCCCACACAGGAACTTGAGCTTGTTCCTCCCTACACAGGAACTTGGGGGCCAATAGCATTGTCCCTGATTTTCATGTTTTCACTGGTTGTATTATTGGAGAATTTTACTGTTTAAAATGTAAATGAAAAATTTATATTCTCATTCAGTTCACATCAGCAAAGCATTACTCCCATTTAGGGGTAGTTTTTTTTTTTTTTTAAATGACATCTGCTAAAATGGGATCCTTTATAAATCAGTTTTAGTTACGATATTATTTTCTCCAAACATTGGTGATAACTTTAATATGTATGTGTGTGTTTGTTTTTAAAGGTGTTTGAAGTGGTGGAACGTGTAGAAGAGTTAAGAAGGAAGTGGCCAGTAGCGTGGGGGAAGTTAGATGATGGCAGTATTGGTGTGGTGACTCCATATGCTGATCAAGTGTTTAGAATACGTGCTGAACTTCGAAAAAAGAGATTATCTGATGTTAATGTAGAAAGGGTGCTAAATGTTCAAGGTAAGTGTCAATTGAAATGAATTCAGTCATTCAAATGCTTAAATCTAAAGTGTGTTCACATTGGATTTTTAGTACTCAAGATCTCTTTTCTGAAGTTATGTGTTCATTTCATATCAAGTTCTTTAATGCCAGGTTTGGCAATTAAAGGTTGAATTCATTTACATGTTTATTAAGTTTTTATATCCAAATAAAATAAGTATTAACAAATATACCTTTTCTGTGACCATAATTATATCAATGCCACATAGTATATGTATGCTGTGAATTACAGTCATAATAGTATATAACACATTCTGCTGTTATACGGTATCTGAGGATGAATTTCTTCATAAAGATTTTTATGTATAGACTTTTCTAAGTTTATAGTTAACAGCAACTCTTTTAAATTATGTTCATTTAATTAATTGCTATAAAATCTGTGCTTTTAAATATATGAAGCAACACTCTGATGTGAACTCTAATTGAAGCCTAATACAATGTTAGGTTTTATGGTAATATCCAGCAGTAAGAGTAATATACAGCAGTAAGAGCATGGGCAAAAAATAGTTCTACTGTACCATGTGTTGTCCAGATTATACAGAATTTAGGTGAGCATTTTAGAAAGAACATTAGGAGTAAATTAGAAAGCACCCAGAGGAGACTTAGGGTAGTGAATGATCAAGACACTGCCATGAGAAAACTAGGATTGTTTGGCCTGGAGAGGAGAAGACTAAAGATTGACATCAGCATTGTATTGAGATTTGTCATAGGGTGAGGGAATAGATATGTTACTATTTGAAGCACGTAAGAAAAAATGATATACACCTAGACTTTCTGTAGACTTCTTTATGAAATCAGCTGTGCGTGCCCTCGTTGGCCAGAGACTGGATGACTGCTTCAACAAAGGGTCCTTGTATTGGGTGGAACCTGGGACTAGATAATTTTAAGGTTGGTTCCAATAGTATCATTAAAAAAAATTTTTTTATGGTGGTAAAATGCGTATGATGTAAAATTGACCATTTTAACCATTTTTATGCACATAAGTTCTGTGGCATTAAGTTCATTTACGTTATTGTGCAACAGTCATCACCATTCATCTCCAGAACTTTTTTGATCTTTCCAAACTGAAACTCTGTATGCATTAAATGCCCCCATTCCTCCTTCCCTCCTGGCAGTCACCCTTCTACATTCTTTCTCTATGAATTTGACTGTTCTAGCTACCTCATATAAATGGAATTATATAGTATTTGTCCTTTCCTGACTGGTTTATTTCACTTAGCATAATGCCTTCAAGGTTCATCCATGTTGTAAGATGTGTCAGAATTTCATGCCTTTATAAGGCTGAATAATCTATTGTATGTATATGCCACATTCTGTTGATCCATTCCTCTGTCCAGGGATACTCGTGTTGCTTCCACCTTTTGGCTATTGTGAATAATGCTGCTATGAACGTGGATATACAGATATCTGTTTGAGTCACTCCTTTCAGTTCTTTTGAGTATGTATGTAAGCATGGAATTGCTGGATCATATGGTAGTTCTCTGCCTAAATTTTTGAAGAACTGCCACACTGTTTTCCACAGCAGCTGTACCATTGGACATTCTCACCAGCAGTGCATAAGGGTTTCAGTTTCTCCACATCTTCGCCAATGTTTGTTATTTAGCAATAACATTTTAAAAAATGCAATGCTTTTATTATATCAGTGGTTCAGAATGACAATCTTAAGTCTTTTCTTAAAAAATTTTCTTTGTAGGAAAGCAATTCAGAGTTTTGTTTCTTAGCACAGTACGTACAAGACATACTTGTAAACATAAACAGACACCAATTAAAAAGAAAGAGCAACTTCTGGAAGATTCCACAGAGGACTTAGATTATGGTTTTTTATCTAACTACAAGCTTCTCAATACTGCCATCACAAGAGCACAATCCCTGGTTGCTGTGGTGGGTGATCCCATTGCTCTGTGCTCTATTGGAAGATGCAGGTAATTATGTGTTAATGTTGAGACATTAAAGGGGAAATGTGACATGATTTGTATCCCTATGTGTATATTTATTCATATGACCTTCTGGCTAATTAAAAACAGGTTTATTGTAGCCTGATATCCAGTGGGAACACAAAAGCATATTACTTTGGATCTATTTATTGTATGCATAATTGTGTATTCATTGAGCCATTATTCAAGAGATATTTCCTGAGTGACTTCTAGGTTCTAAGCACTCTTCCAGCTTCTGAAGATACATGAGTGAACAAAATAGACAAAGATCTCTGCCCTTGTGGGGCTTACATTTTATTGGTGGGGCTTACTTTTTACTGGTAAGGAGAGGAAGATTACCGTAAACTAAATAGGAATATTATATAGTATTTTACATGGTAAGTTGAATGGAAAGGAAAATATTAAGAGGAATTAGGAATGATGAGGACGGTGCAGACTAGCTTGTGATTGTAAATAGCGTGGTGAGAGCAGACCTCACTGAGAAGCTGACTTGGAAGTGAGGGAGAAGCTATTTGGGTTAAAAGTGCTCCAGGAAGAAGCAACAACTAGAGCAGGGGTCCTGAGCTGGTTTCATGCATGTGTTTGTCTTTGATGGATATTAACTTTTATATCCCTTAGTGCCTCACTTTTTCACTTAATTGTTCTAATTTTTGATGAATTTCCTTCTGTAGTCTTGCTCTCTCAAGGCTTCTCAATGTAGATAATTCTTTGTATCTGGTTAATCCAGAAGATCTTAACATTAGGGGGTTAGACGTGGTCATTACTTGTCTTTCGGTAGCATTATTAGTATTCATTAGACTTTAGTTTTAAGGAACAGTTTCTACTAAATATGGTTAAAATATCAACCTACACACCAAAATCTTTCTTTATACACTTGTGACTTATACCAGTTAATTGGAATTTTAACTGTACAAAGCCAGTAATAGAAGATTTGGCCTTTTGAGTGTTGAAGAACTGTGCTAGCATTAAAAAAAAAAAAAGCAGTCGAACAGTTATTTATAATATTCTTTTGTGAAAAAGAAAGAAATACACTAGGGATTACTTAAAATTTTATAAGTGTGCTAGTACCTGTCATAGGAAGTTCAGAATAGTAAAAAGAGATGTAGGTAGTCCTGAATCTGCCTTGGGTAATTATTTCTTTTTGATATGTTAGAATTAAAGTAGACAAAACTATTAGGACATGGCACTCTTTAAATCAGGTTTTTTTTTCTTACAATATAGATAATGACAGCACTTTATTATCTATTTTTGTGTTCTAGCAGGAAGAAAAATTCTGGGAAGGGAGACTATTTGGGACCTTTAAGAATAAGTTTCATATATTAGAATTTAAGACCCCTCAAAAAGTTAATATCCTTTATAGGGGAAAGCTATCATCAAAGGAATCAAGTAGAGTTTTAATTTATGAAAAAAAAATTTCTTTTTTAAAAAACAAAGCTTGAAGGGTCTGTAACTTATTTATCTGTAAACAATTCTGTTGTAACATCTTTAATTTCATACTTTAAAAATATATTGCCATGCATTTGTAGTCACTAATGACAAATTGGAGAGGGGAGAGTATCTTTTTTTTTTTTTGAGACAGAGTTTCACTCTTGTTGCCCAGGCTGGAATGCAATGGTGCAGTCTCGGCTCACCGCAACCTCTGCCTCTTGGGTTCAAGTGATTCTCCTACCTCAGCCTCCCGAGTAGCTGGGATTACAGGCATGCGCCACCACGCCCAGCTAATGTTTTGTGTTTTAGGAAGAGATGGGATTTCTCCATGTTGGTCAGGCTGGTCTCAAACTCCGGACCTCAGGTAATCTGCCTGCCTCAGCTTCCCAAATTGCTAGGATTACAGGCGTGAGCCACCGCGCCTAGTCGAGAATACCTTAATTCTGAGTTACAAATGAATAGAAGAACCAGGTATATCAAGAAGTCTACTAATTTTGCTTTCATCCTAAGAATTTTACTTTATATTACTTTACTAGTCATTGTAAGTATATTTCGTTTAGAATGTTGCTTGTGGTATTTTACCACTTTTGCTTGTATTTATTATTTGATAAGTGAGACAGCACATACAATTTGATTAGAATGTAATATATTAAAGCACATGTTGAAAACAACTAGAAACTATTAGGGGAGTAAATGGATTTAAGAATAGTGTTCCGGCCAGGCGCAGTGGCTCACACCTGTAATCCCAGCACTCTGAGAGGCCCTGGTGGGCGGATTGCTTGAGCTCAGGAGTTTGAGATCACCCTGGGCAACATGGCAAAACCTTGTCTCTACAAAAAATACAAACTTTAGCTGCGTGTGGTGGCATGTGCCTGTGGTCCCAGCTACTCAGGAGGCTGAGGTGGGAGGATCGTTTGAGCCCAGGAGGTTGAGGCTCTAGTGATCACGCCACTGTACTCCAGCCTGGGTGACAGAGCAAGACCCTGTCTCAAAGAAAATAAAAAAAAGAATAGTGTCAAGCCACATTAGTTTTGGGCTCTCCTTATAAATAACTCCAAATATATTTACCAACCTGAATATTTTTAAAGAAACCATTACCCCTTTCTTAAAGAATCATATTATACTGTGAATTGCATGAGATCAGCATTTTTCATCCATTGTCTTGACAGAAATCATTACTTTCTTAGAGCAAATGGGTGAATAATTCTTCCTGAGGCCATGTTCTCAGAATTATCCAGGGCTAATTTTTAACTTCAAAGCTGAGTCTGCAGTTGCCTGTTTCTTACTACTCAGCTGGGAAGTGTCAAGGTATATACATTAATTGATAAGCTAAGCAGAATATTTTCAGGGAAGTAAATATATTATGTTGAGTGAAAAAAAAACATACATTTCATAGTTACATGGCAATGTTGATTGTCTGCTTTATTTGTACAGTTTAATCATGGCTGTAGCCCAAGAATTGATAGTTGGGGCATATGGATATTTAAGCTTTAATCTCACTAATTTAATTAGATATTAATTTACTCTCACAGTACAAGTAAGCTCAGAGAATATAATATGATTCTTGGGTCCTGTAAAAATGGAAGAGTGAGTTCTTTGTAGTTTGAGTTCATTAGGACTGTTTTCCTGCTTTTTTCATTTAATATTTTCAAAAAAACTAATATATTCCCAAATATCAATCAAGTTTTTAAGGAATACTTACTGTGTATATTATACCAGTTCAGAAGTCAATCAGTTACATATTCTTTTTTGTTGTATTTTTAAACAGATTTTTTTCTGTTAATCAAAAATGGATATAGTGAAGATCCTCCCCCTCTCTCACCAAGCTAAGAAGTATTAATAGTGGCTGCTGTTTATTGACAGCTTTCTTTGAGCCAGGTGCTGGTTTATGTGCTTTGCACACATTGCCTCATTCACTCCTCCTAACAACCCTATAATGTGGGTATTTTATTTGCATTTTAAATGGGCAGCCTGATTCAGAGAGATTAAATTGCCCAGGGTCACATAGCTATTATGTGGTTCACTCAAACAGGTGTCAGATTGACTTCAAAACCCACATTCTTCTCTCTGGTTATGCTGCCTTTCCCAGAAATGATGGATATGCTCAGATAAATCTGCACGGAATGGCAGGAGGCTAAAAGGAGAGTGATAACCTTTTTTCAAACCAAGGCGTTTGGAGAAGGTCTTCCCTTGAACTGAATTTCTTCATTTAGCACATTTTATTTACTCTGTAAAATATAAACATATTTCATGTATGTGTAGAGATATATGTATATTTGTGTACACACACACACACACACACACACACACAGTGACCTAAGGACACCAAGTGATTTTTTAGTGTTTTATCAGTGATCCTAGAAGTAAGGTTAACAGAGAAAGAAAATCAAACTTTGTGTTCAGGCAGTGATTAAAAATAAGGTTACATCCTTTGAAATGCCTAAAATTATATTACAGTGTAATACACACTTGGGTTTTTAAACCAATAGTACTAAAAAAATGGGTAACATAATATTATGTTAACGTTTTAGGGAGGGGGCTGAGAATTGATGAAATCTTTAACCAGAGTGGTGAATTCTTGTCCTCATTCTATTGTGATCTGTCAATTATCTGTATTCAGAAATGCTTCATAATTGTATGCATAGTAGTTTGGTAAGGTATTGGGGAGTTCAAGGGCCAGTGTAAAGAGAAAAAAGGAAAAATTTTAGCTTTAAAACTAAGAATTTTTGAAGGAAAGAAGCATTTCCCTGAAAGTTTAGAAGTGAGACACAAATGTCATTTCAATAGTAAGGAATAATAATAATAGTAGTGCTGGCGCCCCACTTTGCACATGAGGAAACTGAGATATAAAGAGAGGCTAAGTAATCTGCACGAAGTCACACAGCTACTGAATGGTAGAGTCAAGATTTCAGGCTAGTTCTAGAATCCATGTGCTTTACCATTTTGCTATATCAATGGTGTCAAAAAAAAAAAAGGTCAGATTTAACATGCAAATTTCAGGTCACTTTTGGAGCCAGTTTAACTTGATTAACTTATAGTAAGTAGTTAATGTTACTTTTAAATTGGTACACGTTAACTCGAAGGCTATTTCTTTGAAATCTCTAGAATCTTCTGGTAGGCAAAGACTGTCACCAAGCTCCAGCTTTTTGTGAAGTGTGAGGTTGTTTGACTTAATGTTACTTCAAATTCTGTTCATTGCGGTCAAGGTCAGTGAGGGTGATATAGGAACAGGGTATGGAGTTTTAAAAAGTAGCTTAAAAATAGAGCAACTTCTAGCATTTTGGCTGTGAAAGCTGGAAATGAAAAATGTAATAAGAAATTGATATTAAAAATTGAGCTAGAGGCTGCGTACAGTAGCTCATGCCCATAATCCTAGCACTTTGAGAGGTCAAGGTGGGAGGATTACTTGAGGCCAGGAGTTTGAAACCAGCCCTGGCATCATAGCGAGACCCCATCTCTACAAAAAAATTTAAAAATTTAGCCAGGTGTGGTGGCACACAACTACAGTCCCAGCTACTCTGGAGGCTGAGGCGAGAGGCTTGAGCCCAGGAGTTCAAGGTTACAATGAGCTGTGATCATGCCACTGCCCTCCTGCCCTTCACTCTGAGTGACAGCACAACCCTGTCTCTGAAAAAACAAATAACTGAACTAGACAGAGTAAAAGTCAATCCATTCTTTCCTTAGCGTTTTGCTTTGTCTTGAAGTCCAACGCAAACCTGAAATGCCACTCTGTGAAACTGATACTTTATCAATTAGACTAAAAAGACCTTTCTTTTGAATGTAGTATGTAATAGAATTGTATTGATAAATATGCAGTTGAATATTGTGGCTATTCTTATTAAAAGGGTGGGAAAGTGGATGGATTTTAGATCCTGAGTGCTATATAAGATAGTCCTTCCCTATATTTTCTCATGTTATGATGAGAAAAAAAGCACAATTCCTTCATTGGTGTTCTTAAAAATAAAAATAAAGGACAGCTTTTCAGCATGTATTTCCTGGCAACACACATTTCCAGCAACTGCATGACTGTCTTATTAGCCTTAGTCTTATAGTCAGAAGTACATATTTAATATTTTGTAGCATTTTTACTTTTTCTGTTGTTTACATATAGGTCTAAAATTTTTTCTGAACCCATTTGCTTATTTTTTATTTATTCATTCCATTTAAAATTTTTAATTTTTTTTATTAAAATTCTTTTTTCGACAGCTTTATGGGTACAAGTGGTTTTTGTTTACATGGATAAGTTGTATAGTAATCAAGTCTGGACTTTTAGTGTACCCCTCACCTGAGTAGTGTACATTGTACCCAACAGATAGTTTTTCATTCCTTACCCCTCTCCCACCCCGCTACCTTCTGAATCTCCAGTATCTCAATTGATTTCTTAAACTCATCTTCAAAAAACTAGGAAAGATGGATATAAGGCATATGTAAGAGAAGCACGGTTTGGAATTAAACTCTGCAAAGTTTTATGAATATATTAATAACCCAATTCCCATTCATATACTAACTTTTATAATATAAACCTTTTCATTTATGCTTCTTGAAGCCATCTTGATTACCTGCTGTCCACCTGGACACAAGGATACCAACTTGGGAAGAAACCATATCACATATCTTTTATAGCATAATAAAACATTATTTGAACCTCTCATATTAAACATAGGTATGCATATTTATAATAGTCATTTAAAATTTAAAAACTTTATATGTTGTCTTTTGTAATATGTATTTAATAATTTTAATATTTAGAAATCAATTTTCAAACCTAGAAACAACGGTATGTAAATGCAACAAGTTTTGAATGTACTGTTCTCCTTTAGTACTTATGAATTTGATTAAGAAATGAATAATCAACATTAAAATTAGCATTCCAACTTCCCATATTTTTCATAATTCATTTAACACTTATAACTTAGTTAATGGTATAAGTTGTGCTTGTAACAAGCACCTGTTAATTAAGAGAAAAATACGGAGTAGCTGGTTATTTCTTAAGAATCCTCATGAGGATTATGTACTTTGTGACTCAAATTTATGTCTTGAGTTGGCTTTTCTTAGTCATCTAACACTAGGCTACTTTGGCCTTATAATTCAAATATATACACACACACATAGATTACACATACATGTGGTATCTATGTGTGTGTATATATGTGTATGTGTATATATGTGTATGTATGTGCATATATACACATATACATGCGTGTATATGTATATATGCGTATGTATATAAATTAGAATTATGTGATTTATATTCATTATATTGAATTTTATATACATAGTATATATATGTATGTAGTAAGTATGCCTAGAAGTACAAATTTTGTGTGAAATGAGTTGCCATCAGTTTTGAAAACTTATTATATGGGTAATAAAAAAGATCATTTTGAATTAGTGTGGATAGGTGAGTACTGACCATATTACTTGCATTGTTGAGCCAGAATTAATGGAGAGCCTGTTTTATATGTACTATAATACAAGGTATGACTGTAGTTTCAAAATCAAACTTCTGGAGTCTTGTGATCTGGTAGAAAGATTTTATCTCAATCATAGATGACTATTGGGTTTAAGGATTTGAGGTTGGGGGTGGAATTTGAGATTATCTTTAGTTATTTATATTCATTTCTGTGATCTCATCCATTGAATTGTAATCTGATCTTGTAAATCTTTTCTGTAGGAAATTTTGGGAACGGTTTATTGCCCTGTGTCATGAAAACAGTAGCCTACATGGAATCACTTTTGAACAGATCAAAGCCCAGTTAGAGGCTTTAGAACTAAAGAAGACATATGTGTTGAATCCGCTGGCACCTGAATTTATCCCCCGGGCTCTAAGACTGCAGCATTCAGGAAGTACCAACAAACAGCAGCAATCACCACCCAAGGTAAAGCCTCTGTTAATGAAATTGAAGAGGTTAAAGGGAGAAAACTTCGCAGAAGTGCCAAAGGTTTATTGGGATGCAAGTTACTTTAAGTGTTGGAATTGAAGGTTACATTTGGCGGCAAGCGGTTTCTGCAAGGAGCTTGTTTAGTGTGGACATGTAAGTGAAAATACAGTATGGTGTTTAGTCATGCTTAATGTTATGATCATTCTCAAACAATTTTTAATACTGATAACTTCTGGTATCATTTATATAAAATAACCTTCTAATCCTCTCTACTGATAGAGTTGTTTTAGTGAGATGTGAATAAAACAAAGAAGTTTAAAAGATTATCACACTTACTAAAACATGTCCTTATATTCTTTATAAGGAATAATGTTATAATAACGATATTTGTATAAAGCAAATAATTCTGAACCTTTACTGATGACCAATTTATTTGAGGTGGTATTTGACAGAGTAAAAAAATTTGGCTGACTTCTTGAAGATGACTTTAATTGATTTTGACACATATTTTTTGTATAGAAGCATTCCAGTCAGAGGGAGTGGAGCAGGGGAGTCAAGGCTATTTCCACTTTTGAACTATAGTTATTTTGGACAGAGACAGCCGGCTTATTTGCTAGAGTGCCTGAAAAAGATGCTTGCACTTACCATCTAGAAAAGAAGGTTCTGAGACTGGCATGTTTAGTATTTGTTCTGTTTTTTTTCTTTGATATTTATAATCATCAGCATATTAAAGTTACCAATAAGAATTAAAAGAGTATGTCAGTTTTGCACTTCCTTTAAAAAATGTAAATCTTTTTTTTTTTTTTGAGAGGGGATCTCTGTCACCCAGGCTGGAGTGCAGTGGCACATTCTGGGCTCACTGCAACCTCCGCCTCCTAGGCTCAAGCAATCCTCCTGCCTCAGCCTCTGGAGTAGCTGGGACTATAGGCGCATCCACCACGCCTGGCTAACTTTTGTATTTTTCGTAGAGACAAGGTTTAGCATGTTGCCCAGGCTGGTCTCAAACTCCGGGGCTCAGGTGATCTGCACGCCTTGGCTTCCCAAAGTGCTGGGATTAAAGGCATGAGCCACCGCACCAGGCCAAAAAATGTAAATCTTAATGTGTAAGCAGTAATTAAGAGTTTAATATTTTGAAAATCTTTTAGCTAAATAGGTATTCAGCTGAGAACTATTCTCTGTGTTAATATACTGTTGTATATTCTTAGTTTAATAAAAATGGACCTAATGTGCAATAATACTTGTGATTTGGCATTTTTAGGGTATCACACATTGTACATAAATGAATCTTGTAGATTTCTCAAGCTTATACTATTAATGTATTAGCTGTTTATTTATCAGTTAAGTTACTTCTATGTGCCAGATGTTATTGTAGGTGCTAAAGGAGCACAGTAGCAAATTAGCCCCCGAGTCCGCCTGTGGCCATGTTGGAGAAGTGAGAGGAAGTGAGAGGAAGAGGAAGTAAATTGAAGGCAATTTCTACCAAGGAGATCTTGTTCAGAAGTTTATTGGGTGGGTGGAGGTAGTGGGAGATTGGGGAAACATGTCAAAAACTGGAAGATAAGCTCACTTAAGGCAGAGATTTTTGCCTGTATTATTTGTTGCTCTCACCTCTGTGCCTAGAGCAAAATCTGGCTCATAATAGGTACTTAGAAGTATTTTTTAAATGAATGAGTAAAGCTTAAGAGAGCTTTTACAAAAGACTCCCGGTATAAGAGAACAGGGGACATGACTTTCATACATAGCTAGCTCTAGCTTAGTGCTACATTATTATTACTATTATTATTTTTTGAGACAGTCTTGCTCTGTTGCCCGGGCTGGAGTGCAGTGGTGCAATCTGACTTTTACTGCAGCCTCCGCCTCCCGGGTTTAGGCAATTCTTCTGCCTCAGCCTCCCAACTAGCTGGGACTATAGCCAAGCGCCACCATGCCCAGTAGTTTTGTGTGTGTGTGTGTGTGTGTTTTAGCAGGACAGGGTTTCATCACGTTGGCCAGGCTGGTCTCAAACTCCTGACCTCAAGTGATCCGCCTGCCTTGACCTCCCAAAGTGCTGGGATTACAGGCTTGAGCCACTGTGTCCAGCCTGCTACATTATTATTTTGTTAATAAGCTACCAAACACTGTATATTTTATATAAACTAAGTAAATTTACTGTTCTATGGTTTCTTGCTAAGTCAAAATACAAAATACAGTGACTGGAGGATTGTATCCTGTATTGAACCATGTGGAATGCTGAGTTATACTTGTAGACATGCCACTATCTTTTTACTCCATAGGCCCGAATTTGCTTTTTTAATTTAGTATACTACACAGTACCCATAGTGCTGATATATATTGTCTAGCGTTCTTCCAGCTTTACAATGTAGGATTACCCTAGATTATGGTTACTATTTATTAGTTTCCTATTGCTACTGTAATGAATAAGCACAAACATAGTGACAACACAAATGGATTACCTGGCAATTATATGAGTCAGATGTCTGAATTGGCTTGGTTGGTTTCTTTGCTCTGGGCTTCTCAAGGCCAGCATCAAGATATTGGCTTTCTGGGCCCTTACCTGGAAGCTCTGGAAAGAATCTGCTTCCAAGATCATGCAGGTTGTTGGTAGAATCCAGTTCCCTGTGGTTATAGGACTGATGTTCTTGTTTCCTTGGTGACTGTCAGCTGGGAATCATTCTTAACTTCTAGAGGCTTTTTACCAGTTCTCAACTGTGTCCCCTACATCTCATAGCCAGCAGTGGTGCATTGAATCCTCCTTTCCCTGGGAATCTCTCTTACTTCCTCTTCCGCTGCGTCTCCCTTATTCCAGCCAGAGAAATTTCTCTGCTTTTAGGGCTCATGGGATTAGATTGGGCTCACCCACATAATCCAGGATAATCTCCCTGTTTTAAATTTATAACTTTAATTAATATTCACAGAGTCCCTTTTGCCACATAACATATTCACAGGATCCAGGGATTAGGATGTGGGCCTCTTTGCAGGGGCTATTCTGCCTGCCACACTCTGATTAAATTGCTGTGTTTCCTCCACATGCTAAGCAGTTGTCCCTGGTTGTTGAGTCATTAGCAAATTAGTGATAGGTCTGGAGGATAAGAAATCTAAATGGTTTGTCACCGTTTTGGAACTGTCTTATCTGCTGTTTGTGTCACTGGCTCTCCTTTCTTCTGTCAGTGTGTGTGCTACTGGCTGATCTTGTCTCTTCTAATTGCTCCTGCTTCTCATCTTATACTTTTGCCATCTTGATGTTTGCCTTTTTCTCCTTTTTTCTGTATGCTTTTCTTATCACGTCTCTATTCCTCACAAGTATATATATATATATATATATATATATATATATATATATATATATATATATATATATATAGTTGGTGCCAATCACTGTGAACATGCTTTCTCTTGAGGTTAATGGACCAACTATGATTTTTTAGGGGGTCTTTTTCTGACTTCATGAGGCTTTTTTATGACTTTCTGACTTCAGCTGCCCTTCCTCACTCATAACCAATTGACCTTAAACCTTCTGTGTTTACTGCTGATCTGAATATTTGCTCTTTCCAACAGTTAGATAGGTAGGTAAATCAAACATCATTGTATTTTTGCTTTTGTCAAGAATGATTTTTTTTTCCTGCTGTAGACATAATCCCCTCTTTAGTTTTCAGATGTAATTTACAAATTTACAAATTTGTGTGTGTCTAAAGGTAAGTTGCGCAATGTGCTACTTTTCCTCAATTGGCTTGATACGTGTTACTTTTAGCCCATGGGAAGAGAGAATTTTTTTTTTAATCCAGAAATTCAGAACCATTGTCTCTTCAAATACTGTTTCTGCCCAAATGTCATCATTTTTAATGGTAGACTAAATATACCATTATGTGAATTTGCTATTGCTTATTTAATAAATCCTGCACTGATGGGCATGTAGATTGTTAACATTTATTACACACATAAACCATGCTCTCTGTGCCCAAATGCATGATTACTTCATTTGGATAAATTTCTGGAAGTGCACTTACTGGGTTAACGTATGTACATTTTTGATGCTGTTGATATGTATTGCCATATTGCTGTCTAGCAGTTAGCTAGATTATCTCACAAGCAAATAATGACAGTTCCCCTTTTCCTGTTTTTGTTTTTTTAAAGTAAATTTTATACTTTAACACAGCATGAATTATACTCAAAACGTCATAAATCCTAAGCCATATTTGCATTCTTTTTATTCCGTTAAAGGTTCTCATCTTGAAGATTAACATTTTTACTTTGAAAAACAACCTCTGTGTTTCGTGATTTGTTAGAAAATGTATAGAGAAACTGCAATTCTATTTCTGCAAAGGAATAAAATTTAAATCATGTTGATTGCGTATTTCATTTTAATGAAAAATATTCATAAAAAAGGAATTTTAGATACCCTTAATTTGAAACTGAGAAAACTTGAGGCCCAGCAATATTATTTGAGATGGCTGTGACATAATGTTTAAAAAGAAAATTGGCTCAAAGCAGTCTAATGGTTATTAATTATAGACTCACAGTTTTTAGATTTTAATTATTGATGTGTACATTAATTTACATATGATTAGGAAAATGGTTATTGTTTTCTAATACTAAACATGCTTAAATTATTATACATTTGTGTTTTTCTTTAAAGGGGAAAAGTCTTCATCATACCCAGAATGATCACTTCCAGAATGATGGAATTGGTAAGTGGAAAAATTACCCTATGAAAACTTGCTTTTATGATGTAAGAGATTTTCCCCAAATTTCACCACAAGAAAGAGGAGGGTGGGGAGATGGTTTCTCTCTCTCTTTCTCTCTGACACACACACACACACACACACACACACACAGTCACTTTGGAACCTCTCAATTTTTTTATTCAACACTTAGGGTTTTATCAGTGCATTGATATGTTATTTCTGAAAAGGGGCAATTTTGTAGGTATTCATGTACATATCCAGAGGTTTTGAGGAAAAACATTTAAGCCTTTTATGCAACATAAATTTTCAGAAAATATTTATGTCCTACAAATATCAGATCATAAATATTTCAAGATAAAAAATGTACTTAAATTATTTTAAATATTGCATAGTCGTGCTTTTAAAATAATTCCTTAACTTTCATATTGTATGTGGTTCTGTTACAGTTGTAAGTCAAAACTTTATTCTGAAGAGTTGTATAATTTTTTAGATAGAAGACTGTTTACTAGGAGTGTGTGCATAGCTTTCTCTCTTGAAAGACACATCCTGAGTTCCTCAGAAAATATTTAAAATTATGCTAGTTTATAAAAGGAATGCTTTGTATAATTCAAGTTAATTTTAGGGAGCATTATAAAAATTTTTTTTTTTTGTAATATGCTTTACTTTTCCACACTGATAATTCTTTGATGATAAGATATCTTAGGCAAACCTGGGAAATATATTTTGCTGTTGAATGATTTAAATTATTTTTTCTGGATGACTATGTACAGCTGTTGAGTGCATCCTTTTTCTGTTTATTTTTCAGTTCAGCCCAATCCTTCTGTACTTATTGGCAATCCTATTAGAGCATATACTCCTCCACCCCCTCTTGGACCTCACCCAAATTTGGGAAAATCTCCAAGCCCTGTTCAAAGAATAGATCCTCACACTGGGACAAGTATTCTTTATGTACCTGCTGTCTATGGAGGGAATGTAGTTATGTCGGTGCCTTTACCTGTAAGTGGACATTCGAAATACTTTCTATTGAATCAAGTAAAATAGGTTTCACTAAAATGGTTCTAATCCCAAATAGCATTCTACCAACTTCTTTTTTAAAAAAAATTTTCAGTGCTGATAATCTTCTTTTAAAGCAAATGTTACCTCTAACCTTGAAATTACGAATTGTTGCTTACAATTTGTTATTAGGTTACTAGTGACTGTGAAGAAATTATAATTCAATTTAGAAACCTTTGTACTATTTTGTTTTGTTTTTTTTTTGAGATAGAGTTTTGCTCTTGTTGCCTAGGCTGGAGTGCAGTGGTGTAATCTTGACTCACTGTGACCTTTGCCTCCTGGGTTCAAGCGATTCTCCTGCCTCAGCCTCCCGAGTAGCTGGGATTACAGGCATGCACCACTACGTCCGGCTAATTTTTTTTTTTTTGAGACGGGGTCTCACTCTGTTGCCCCGGCTGGAGTGCTGTGGCGTGATCTTGGCTCACTGCAAGCTCCGCCTCCCAGGTTCACGCCATTCTCTTGACTCAGCCTCCCTAGTAGCTGGGACTGCAGGTGCCTGCCACCACGCCTGGCTAATTTTTTTGTATTTTTAGTAGACGCGGGGTTTCACCATGTTAGCCAGGATGGTCTCGATCTCCTGACCTTGTGATCCGCCTGTCTTGGCCTCCCAAAGTGCTGGGATTACAGGTGTGAGCCACTGCACCTGGCCATGCCCGGCTAATTTTTTGTATTGGTAGAGACAGGGTTTCCCCATGTTGGTCAGGCTGGTCTCAAACTCCTGACCTCAGGTGATCCACCCGACTTGGCCTCCCAAAGCACTGGGATTACAGGCATGAGCCACTGTGCCTGGCCACCTTTGTAATCTTTTAAAATATTTAATTGTAATCTTAATTTGTAATTTGTAATCTTTAAAATTTAATTTGTAAATCTAAATATTTAATTTGTAATCTTTTAAAATATTTTATTGAGGAAAATTGAGCTAAAAGTTAACGGAGCTAATGAATTGGTCTCATTTTGTAAAGTGATGTTTTCATTTTATCTTTTTATTTTTGTATAAGTCAAAAACTGTTCCCAAGAAATACAGGACACAGGCTTGGATTAGTCTAGTTCACTTGGATCTAAATTGATTTGAGAAATTCCACATCTTGTGAAATCTTAACTACTACTTAAAAACATTACTCTATCCTTTGTAAGACTATAGATTTTTAGAGGCCGTCCGTCTTGTATATAAACCCATTTTCTCTTTCTTTAGAATTTTTGAATATTTTGTTAATTTGCTGACACGAGTATTTTCAATTCAGGAGTTTTAGCCTTGGAAACAATTTCTTTCATTTAAGGCAAGCACTGTAATTTCAGGCTGAGATGATCATTGCCAAAGGTTTTTGGCAACCTTGCCCACACTCCAGAATGGGAAAATGCTTAGCTGCAAACATTTCTCAGCCACGTTGGTCAGGATAGTTCACAATCATGACAGCCAAGGAGAATGACTGTAAATGAGAAATACGTAATTCATGCCCACTCCCCATAGACTTCAGACTTTGGATTTTAGCAGTTATTTCTTCCAGACAGCTTGGCAACACTATACATCATCTGCTTTAAATAGTAAGTCCCTTAGGATTTTTATTTCACTTTACTAGGTCAAAGAGACTTCTATTTTGTAAGATTTCTGAGAGTTTGCATTTAACAGTTATAATAAAATAATAGGAGCAGTAGCTCAGATGTCATTGTATTTATTCCTTTTGTGTTAATATGCAGAGATTATATATCTAGACACACTTAAACAAGTTTTCTGTTTTTGTATTTTAAGGTGGAGTTGAATTAAAAGCACAGATGACCTATTTGAATTTTACCTATAATAAATGAACATTAAATGATGTGGTTACTCATATTAAGTTGGAATACCAGTTTTTTGAGTTGAGACTCCTTAGGCTAAGTTCTTCCTTAACTTTTCCCCCTGTCTATTAAACTATGTTTCTATGCAATTATGACTTTAAAAGATTATTTTTATGGTAATCTGACATGTATACATTCATATGGAGGGGAAACAAGTAAATACTATAAAATGATTTAATGCCTCAAGGAATAATTACCAATTTTAAGCCCTCAGTTTCTTCCTAATCTGAAAAATGATCTATTTTCCATTACATACTAAAGGTGCAGGGAGCTGTTTTTTAGCCAGTTAAGACACAATTGTTAGTATTAGCATCAACTTTGTAGTTATTTATTTTGAGAAAATTAACATCTGTGTGTGTGTGTGTTTGTATGTCTTTGTATGTTTGCTTTTCCCTAATCAGCAGCACTCTAGCAGTTTGCCTTCCAAAATATACTTAATGCATGTATTTTATTTTTTAATAACCTAGGTACCATGGACAGGATACCAGGGTAGGTTTGCAGTTGATCCTCGAATTATTACACATCAGGCAGCAATGGCCTATAACATGAACCTATTACAGACACATGGACGAGGATCTCCTATTCCTTATGGCCTTGGACATCACCCACCTGTCACCATAGGCCAGCCACAAAATCAGCATCAGGAGAAGGATCAACATGAGCAAAATCGAAATGGTAAGTTGTACTTCGCTGTTCTCCTGTTCATAAACTGATGACAGGTAAAGTTTTAGCCACATAGAAAGTTCCTTTAACAGTATGATTGTTAACTTTTTCATGGATTATAGACCTCTTTGAGAGAGAATCTACCAGCACTTTGGGAGGCCGAGGCGGGCAGATCATGAGGTCAGGAGATCGAGACCATCCTGGCTAACACGGTGAAATCCCATCTCTACTAAAAATACAAAAAAATTAGCCGGGCATGGTGGCGGGTGCCTGTAGTCCCAGCTACTTGGGAGGCTGAGGCAGGAGAATGGCATGAACCTGGGAGGCGGAGTTTGCAGTGAGCTGAGATCACGCCACTGTACTCCAGCCTGGGCGATAGAGTGAGACTCCATCTCAAAAAAAAAAAAAAAAAAAAAAAAAAAAGAAAAGGGAGAGAATCTAACATATAAACTATGGATCCTCTCTCCAGAAGATACAAATTATGTACACAGACACAAAATTGAGATGTAACCTCAGAGGGTCCTTTAGGTTAAATCCTACCACTTATGATTGGTGTCACTGAGTTTCTGAAAAAAATATTAAATTTGAATATTTAGAGTACTTTAAAATGGTAGTCATTTAAAATTGAGATGGAAGGTCCTCTCCTGTTAAACATTTTTGTTAACTCGAAATATTTTTGTGGTGTACTAAGCATTAATCTTGTGGGATTGTTGATATAAAGGTTATTTTTACTACAAGTCTGCTAGAATTACAAGGAAAAATTACTGTATTTTTTATTCAAGTTTATTGAGGTATGAGTTATATACAGTAAAATTCACCCTTTTAAAACGTACATTGATGAGTTTTAACAATATCCAGAGTTGTTAACTTCCACCAAAATCAAGATACAAGATATTTACATATTTACAAAAAGTTTCTTTCCACCCTTTGCAATCCCATCCTCCAGCTCCCAGCCCTGAGCAACCACTGATCTGACTTTTGTCCCATACTCTCTAGTATGTCATAAAAATGGAATTCTATAATTATTTGTGTCCAGCTTTGTTCACTTAGCTTAATGCTTTTGCTGTTCCACCAGATTATATGTGTCAGTTGTTTGTTCCTTTTTACCGTTAGTATTCAGTTGTATGGATGTACCGCAATATGTTTATTCATCCATCATTTGATACACCTATTAGTTGTATCTAATTTTTGGCCCTTATGAATAGAGCTGCTGTGAACATACATGTGAACATGTTTTTATTTCCCTTGGGTAAATACCTGGGAGTGAGATTGCTGGGCATATTATAAATATATATTTAACTTTATAAGAAACTGCCATATTATTTTTCAAAAGTGGCTGAACCATTTTTCATTTCTACTAGTAATGTATGAGATTTCCAGTTGTTCCAGATTACCATTTGCACTTGGTATGCTCAGTCTTTTTTTAAATTTTACTCTTGTTAGTGGATGTCTAATCATATCTCATTGTGGTATTAATTTACATGTTTGCATGTCCCTAATAATGAGTGATGTTGAGTATCTTTTTATTGTGCTTATTTGCCATGTGTGTATCTTGTTTGATGAAACCTCTATTTATATCTATTGCCCACTTTTTTATTGGGTTGATTGTCTTCAGTTATAAGAGTTCTTTATACATTCTGGATACTAATCTTTAATGAGATATATATTTAGAAAATATTTTCTCCCAGGATATGGCTTGCCTTTTTTTTTTTTTTTTTTTTTTTGCCTTTTAAAGACAGAGTCTTGCTGTGTTGGGCAGTCTGACCTTGAACTCCTGGGCTCAAGCAATCCTCTCACCTCAGCCTCCTGAGTATCTGGGACTACAGGCACACGCCACTGTGTCTAGCTTTCATTTTCTTAACAGTATCTTTCAAAGAGCAGCAGCTTTTATTTTTGTTGAAGTCCATTTTATCCATTTTTTCTTCTATGGATCATGTTTTGGGTGTTGTGTCTTAAAAAAAATATATCTAACCCAAGATCTTCTTTTATGTTTTCTTCTAGAAGTTTTATAGTTTTTAGCTCTTACATTAATTAGGTCCATTTTGAGTTAAATTTTATATATAGTGTAAGGGTAAGGACTGAGATTTTGTTGTTATTTTGTTTTAGTTTTGTATATGTATGTTCAGTGATTCCAGCACTATTTGTTGAAAACTCTGTCCTTCCTTCATTGAACTGCCTTGGCACCTTTGTTGAAAATCAGTTGATCCTATATGTGGATACTTTTTATTAATGCATATGTTTATGTTTACACCAAATATGCTGTCTTGATTATTATAGCTTTGTAAAAGTCTTTAAGTCAGGTAGTGTAAGTCCTCCAACGTTGTTCTTTTTCAAAAGTGTCTATTCCAGGTCTTTTGCATTTCTATGTATTTTAGAATCAGCTTGTCAATTCCTACTAAAAAGCCTTCCGGGATTTGGATTGACATTGTGTTTAATCTTTAGGTCACTTTGGGGAGAATTAACATCTTAACAATACTGATTCTTTTGATCTTTGAACGGAGTATATATCTCTCCATTTTTTTCTATTAGGTCTTTATTTTTTTTTCAGCATTAAAAAAAGTTTTCAGGCCGAGCACGGTGGCTCATGCCTGTAATTCCAGCACTTTGGGAGGCCAAGGTGGGCAGATTACCTGAGGTCAAGAGTTCGAGACCAGGCGTGGCCAACATGGAAAAACCCTGTCTCTACTAAAAGTATAAAAATGATCCGGGCATGGTGGCACATGCCTGTAATCCCAGGTACTTGAGAGGCTGAGGCAGGAGAATCGCTTGAACCTGGGAGGCAGAGGTTGCAGTGAGCCGAGATCACACCACTGCACTCCAGCCTGGGTGACAGAGCAAGACTCTGTCTCAAAAAAAAAAAAAAAGTTTTCAGTATATACAGTCTTTGCACATATTTTGTTAAAGTGAAAGCTTAAATGAATATAAGTATTTAATTTATAATTTTTCTCTTCAGTAATACATTCCAAAAAGACCAGTATGTTGTATTTTTATTTTCATTTAGTTCAGTATGCTTCCTAATTTCTCTTGAAATTAGACCCATGGATTATTTAGAAAGGTGCTTTAGTTGCTGATTATTGGTGATTTTCTAGAAATTTTTCTGTTACTGATTTGTACTTTAATTCCATTGTGTTAAGAGAACATATTTTGTATGACTTGAATGCTTTTGAATGAGATTTGTTTCACAGCCCAGAATGTGGTTTATTTTGGTAAATGTTCTGTGTGTACTTGAGAAGAATAGATTGCTCTGTAAATGTTAATCAGGGGCCGGGCATGGTGGCTCATGCCTGTAATCCCAGCCCTTTGGGAGGCTGAGGTGAGCGGATCACCTGAGGTCAGGAGTTTGAGACCAGCCTGGCTAACATGGTGAAACCTATCTCTATTAAAAATACAAGATTAGCCGGGTGTGGTGGTGCACGCCTGTAATCCCAGCTACTCGGGAGGCTGAGGCAGAAGAATTGCTTGAACCTGGGAGGTGGAGATTGCAGTGAGCCGAGATTCATGCCATTGCACTCCAGCCTGGGCAACAAGAGCGAAACTCTGTTTGAAAAAAGAAAAACAAATGTTAATTAGGTCAAGTTGGTTGGTAGAGTTGTTCAGGTCTATTGTATCCTTGCTGATTCTACTCTTTCTATCAATTACTGAGGAGGGGTATTGAAATCTCCCAATATAATTGGTATTTGTCTAATTTTCAATGTTCAGGTTTCTAAGTTCTGTGAGTTCTTGATGAATTTTGAAGTTCTATTATTAGGAGATAAATGTTTAGGATTGCATACTCTTGATTAATTAACTCGTTTATCGTTATGGAATGACCTTCTTTGTCCCTGAAAATATTCTCTGGTTTGAGATCTACTTTGTGTGATATCAGTGTAGCCTCTTCAGCTTTCTCTTATCAAGTGATAGCATGGTGTGTGTGTGTGTGTGTGTGTGTGTGTATTTTTACCTTTTACTTTTAATCTATTTGTGTCTTTATATTTAAAGTTTGTTTATTTTAGATAACATATAGGTGGCTCTTGATATTTTTCAATCTAATGTGACAGTCTCTGCCTTTTAATTGGGGTGTTTAGACCATTTGCATTTAATGTGATTGTTGATACAGTTAAGTTTGATTCTATCATCTTGCTATTTGTTTTCAATTTGTCCAATTGATTTTTCCGCCTTCTCCTTTTATTCTGCCCTCTTCTGGATTGGTAGAGTATTTTTTTTTTTAATGACTCCTTTTTGTCTCCATTGGCTTATCAGTGACAACTCTTTGTTTTATTATTTTGCTAGTTGCTTTAGGGTTTATAGTATAAATCTTTAACCTATCACAGACTACTTTCCAATTTATATTTTACCACTTCATTTACAGTAAAGGAAGCTTAAAGTATGCTATTTTTTCTCTCCTAGCCTGTATGCTATTGTTATCATGTATTTTACTTTTACATAAGTTACAAATCCCCAAAACATAATTGTTATTTTTGTTTAAACAGCCAAGTAAAAGAGTTCTAAATTATAAGAAAAATAGTCTTAAGTATTTACCCATGTGTTACCATTTCTAGTAATTTTTCTTTCTGTATATTGACGATTCCAGCTGATACAATTTTTCTTTTGCCTGAAAGACTTTTTAAAAATATTTGTTGTATTGCAGGTCTCCTGGTGATGAGTTCTTTCAGCTTTTGTGTGCCTGAAAATGTCTTTATTTCACTTTCATTTTTAAAAGATATTTTTGTAGGGTGGAGAATTCTTGGTTGGCAGTTTTTATCATTTGATACTTTAATGGTGTTGTTCTACCATTTTCTCACTTGCGTTTTTTCCAGTGAGAAATCTGATGCCATCCTTATCTGTGTTTTTCTGTATGTAACAAGTCTTTTTCTCCCTGGCTGCATTATAGATTTTCTTTTTATACTGGTTTTATCAGTTTGATTATGATATGCCTTGATGTAGTTTTCTTCCTGTTTCTTGTGTTTGAGGTTTGTTGAGTTGCTCAGATCTCTGAGTTTATAATTTTTATCAAGTATGTAAATTTTTAAACTTTATATCTTTTCAGATATTTTTTTCTGTGTTGCCCCTACCACTGTTCTTCAGAGATTCTAATTACCCATATATTAGGATGCTTAAAGTTTTTGCACAGTTTATGGGTGCTAATTTTTTTAACATTCTTTTTTCTCTTCATGTTTCATTTTGGGTAGTTTCTATTTCTGTGCCTTCAAATTTGCCAGATTTTTCTTCTGTAATGTCTATTCTGCTGGTAATTCCATTCAGTGCTTTCTTCATCTCCGATACTATAGTTTTCATTTCTTGAAGCTTAATGGTAAGGTAATTCTGGCATGATAATTCATTTTACAAAGTTCCAGTGGAATTCCAAAAAGAATGTTTTGGAACAAGAACCTAAATCAAGGATTCCTTCAAGGAACTTAAACTATCCAGTGGTTAATTCTTTTGTAGATTAAAAGCCTTTCCCATGTATGAATTGTCTATTATAACTGTGCTTTTTTAAAACCTTAATTTTGCCTGCTCTACTATTTATCACCCACTTATACACGGTTTGATATCTATTACTTTTAAGCAGTATAACTACATTACTTTCTGAATATCTTTATTATGTTTAGATTCCTTTACTAAATTAGATTGAGGCGTTATTTAGATTTTTGCTTAATTGCATTTATAAGTGACCAAAGCATTGAGCCTTTATAAATAGGCAAGAAGGCGAAGGCCTTTAACACATCTAGTTTAAGCAAATGAGGCTGTAATTCCTGGAGATTGGGTAGTTTCCTTTGGGATTATTTGATGCTTTAAGGTTTTTCCCTTATTAGGCTTTGCCTTGTCAATGAAGTTTGCTTCATTTGTAAGTTTTCTTTCTTGCAGAGAAACTGTAACTCTGAAAATTTAAGAACAAAACCCAAGTAGTCATACACTGATCATAATGGGTGAAAAGTGTTTAAAGTATTCTGCCTCTTTCTCTAATATTGGATAAGCATTGGAAGTGTCATATCCACTGGAGAAAACTTATAAGGATTTTTAAATATTTTCTTAGGTAAAAGTGATACAAATAATTCCGGACCTGAAATTAATAAGATTCGAACACCAGAGAAAAAGCCAACAGAACCAAAACAGGTATGCTGCTTAGTTACTGTGTTGTCCTAGTGGATTTAGTCTGATTGGTCATCTTGGAATCTTGATGTTTTAAAGAAAAATACCTCCCTTTGTACACTTATCCTTTATGTTTATTTTTTCACAGGGATATAGTGAGCCATATTGCCTTCTCTTTCTTCATCTTTTCTTTGGCTGTGCTATTTCATGTATCAGTATACTTTTCTCAAATTCTGTTATTCAGTGATAAAATTGAATTTAGAGATTTTCTATGATAAGGTAGTAAATGAAGACAGAGCTACAGGTGTGTCATTACAAGTGTGTCATTATCGTGAAGAAGGAGAACTTCTTCCTCAGAGAGGGGAAGACTTACTCAGGTCCCTCACCTTATTCTCTCATCATACCCACTAAGCCCTTAATTCTTTATCTGTCCATTCATCTATTTTCTCTGCTTCTGTGCTTATAAACTACTTAGAGAAAATCAAGTCACTGGTTGAATTAGTGCCACTGGAAGTTCTTGTTTTCTAATTTGAATGGAACCATCAGGGCTCCCCTGCATTTCTTTCACACGTATCTCACTTCCTTTGCCCAGTTGTCTCAGTGACTCTTCTCAAGCCTGATTACCTTCCACATTCTATTATCCTATTGGATGGCTTGCCTCAGACTGACCTCATCAGGATTTGCTCTTGTTAATTTGTAACCTTAAATTTAGCACTTTTACCATAGCCCTGAGCACCCTTACTTCCTGATCACCAGTCTCAGAGGAAGAGTTCCCGTTAAGATTAATCTCTACTTGGCGGTTGCTCACGCCTGTAATCCCAGCACTTTGAGAGGCCAAGGCGGGTGGATCATGAGATCAGGAGATTGAGACTATCCAGGCTAACACGGTGAAACCCCGTCTCTACTAAAAATACAAAAAAATTAGCCGGGCGTGGTGGCGGGCGCCTGTAGTCCCAGCTACTCGGGAGGCTGAGGCAGGAGAATGGCGTGAACCCAGGAGGCGGAGCTTGCAGTGAGCCAAGATCACGCCACTGCACTCCAACCAGGGCGACAGAGCGAGACTCTGTCTAAAAAAAAAAAATTAATCTCTCCTCTTCAACTACCACATAGACCTTGTCCCTTCTCCTCATTTATCTTTGGATTCTTTCCAGCTGTTCGTTCTTCCCTGTCAGCCTATAGCATATTTAGATCTCTTTTAGCCTAAAGTAAGCAAATTGCTTGATATATTTTTTTAAAAAGATAATTTCTTTAACCTTCATCTCCTTTATAGCTACTGCCTCATTTCTCCTTTCTTCCTCACCTCTTATTTGCTCTTTAATCCACATAGTCTACATTTCACTAAAACTATTGTGCTCTTACGAACATACTTCAAATGTAGTCTTACTTGACTTTTCTTGGTATTAGGCACTGTTTTCTACTTCTGTCTTTGACCATCTTGTTTCTTTCGTTTTCTTTGACACATTTTTACTTTTCACAATCTCTCTAACATGACCTCCGTCTTTTTTAAAAAGTTCCTGCTCAGCCTCCCCAAGCATCTGTCTCTAGTCCTTAAGCTGGGATTTCTCAGAGTTCTGTCCTAGTCCCACCTGTCTTGCATTCTATGGTTTCTTACTATAAACCAGTGCAATCCATAATTTTAAGTATCCACTTCATGATACCGACTTCCAAATCTGTATCTCCAACCTCAGCCTAGTTTTATTTAAGCAGCTATTCTCTTTATTCAGTTACTTATATCACATAAGCATCTCTTACTCACAGCTTCTATATATGGAAGGATTCAGTACCCACTGGAGGGGCTGCAGTACAAATGAGGCAGCCAAGGGAACCTCCTGATAGATAAGTGGGGGCTGCAGTGAAAGCTGAAGTGGTACGTGTTTGGGAAGTGGTGCAGAGAGAGAACGAGTGGCATGTCAGGATGGTGCACCTGCACCAGCAGCACATATAGTCAGAGGCAGCTTGGGACGAAACCAATCGCACGAGTCTTAGGTGCTCTCAGAGCAACTGAAGCCAAGATATCTAAGTGTCTCTCATGTCCTTGTTTTAAAATTTCTGTTAGGATTCTTCTCTGTTAGAGAACTAGGCAACCTGAAGACATGTTTTGTTTTCTCTCCCACCCTGATGCTTTGTCTTGGGGCCCAGGAAAAATAAAAGAACTAGTCCTGGTTCTTTTGACTCAGTGCCTCCTCAGTATTAAGAGGAAAATGATAGAGGAGAATCTGATTCTGATAGTAGCAGATGCAGGCTTCTTCAGCTCTTACCATTCTCTACCTTGCTTAGGGAGCCAATTGTAGTATTGTAGAATAGCACAGTCCTTATCTAAATTTCTGTGACGCAGACCTAGCTTCCTTTCAATGTCAGGGTCAGAAGTGATAGAGACAATTAAGATAGCAACTTATTCATAAACAACCTTGACACCTGATTATGACCTCCTTCATGTGACCAAACTATGCATATCAACAATATCTTCTGGAAAAAAGTATATCCCAGCTGAATATAATTTTAGTCATTGAAAAGATGGAGATTTATGGAGGAAAATGTTTGTTTATGAAGAACCTTAATCAGGTTCTGAGACATCTGAAGAGCAGGCATTGCATACTTGGGAAAACTGAGATAGAATTGTCGTGCTTCTCACTTCTTTTTGTAGATAATTTATACATACTCAGTAATCTTAAGGGCCTAAAATTGGCCAAATTTAATGGCAATCCATTTGAGCTAGATGATTAGAGATGAGGATGCACTTGGCACACAATTTGCATCACAACCATTTGTTGCAACAGGTTGGTCACCAAGTGTACCCCAGCTGCAACTCAGGAACAAGCTGCTTGTTCTGTTTTTGGGGAGTGGTCAGTTCTATGGCTAATTTAAGAGCCTAGGGTGAGGCAAGTGCTCTGCAATCCTCAGTCACTAGCTCATCAGTGAAACTTGTAAGGAGATTGACGTGCCAAATTTATTTACACTCCAAGTAATGCATGGAGTGTTTTGACAGAGCCGGAAAAGAAAAATTGCCTCTTTCCATCTTATATTTTATTTTTCACATTGTCATCACTTATGATCAAATTTACATTTCAGAAGGATGACAACACTCCCCAGCTTAAAAACTTTTTGTAGTTATCACAGTTTATGGAATTAAAAACAATTACTCAGTATTGAATAATTCAGGGTCTCATGTGATTGGGCTCTTGTAGTTTCCTCTGATATTGAAAAGGGAAAACTAATATATAAACAAGTGAAGTTATAGCTCTGCGTACACAAAACTTCCCATGCTGTCCGAATCTGCCATACTTTTCCTTTCTTCAACCTTTGCATAAACTGTTACCTTTACCTAGCATGTCCTTCTCTCCTTGGAATATTCCACCTCTTTTTGTAAGATTCAACTCGAATGTCATGACCTCTGTGAAACCTTCCTTAATTTTCTCAGGCACTACAGTTGCATCCTCTTACAGTACCTCTAGTGATATGTTTACATATTGTTATCTTCTACTGAACTCTAGGCCAGGGGTCAGCAACCTTCTTCTGTAAAAAGCCAGATAGTAAATCTTAGCCTTGGGGACCACATGGTCTCTGTTGGAGCTGTTCTGCTCTATCATTATAGTGCACAAGCAGCTACAGACAACATGTAAACAAATGAGTGTGACTGTGTTCCAAGAAAACCTTATTTACAAAACCTGGTGAGCCGGAAATGGCATTGGAGTGGGGGCATGGTATATAGACGCCTGCACTAGGCTCTTGATGTGTAGGCTGAGTCTTCTTATTGCCTGTTTAATTTCCAACACCAGGCACAGTGTATTGTTTGGCCACAATAAATGTTAAAGAAAGAATGTCAATATGTAATGGAAAAATTGACAACCAAACTAGTTATATACAAAGGTGATATAGTACTTGTTTGTTCATTTCAAAGTTGTTTAAATTGAGATACATCTTTTTATTAACATAGATATTTTTGAGGAAATATATTAGATATATAAAAACAATAAAATCAGGCTGGGTGTGATGGCTCACACCTGTAATCCTAGCACTTTGGGAGGCCGAGGCAGGCGGATCACCTGAGGTCAGGAGTTTGAGACCAGGCCTGGCCAACATGGTGAAACTCCATCTCTACTAAAAATACAAAAATTAGTTGGGCGTGGTGGTGCATGCCTGTAATCCCAGCTACTTGGGAGACTGAGGCAGGAGAATTGCTTGAATCCAGGAGGCAGAAATTGCAGTGAGCCAAGATGGTGCCACTGCACTGCAGCCTGGGAGACAGAGTTAGACTCTGTCTCAAAAAAAAACAAAACAAAACCCAAACCCACCCTGAAATCAGAAGGAAAACACATTTTAATGATTTATATCAGAATGAAATAAATGGCCATCTTTCTAAGGAAGAAAGTGTGAAATTAAAAATAATGCCCTGAAAGGAATTAAAGTAGATATGCTAATAAAATGGCAGTATCTTTTCTTATGACTCACATTTAATATGCTGTTTTTTTTCTGTCATCTTTTTAAATTAAAAAAAAATTTCCTTTATTTGATTGTGAGAAAGTAAATAATTGAGCACTCAGCTCTCCTGCTGGAAGATATCAATGTATCATATCCTTTAGATGTGTTAGGGTTGGGAAAAGGTGGAGAGCAACTGAATTTGAATCTTCTGCAGTTAAAAAAGGCTTCTTCTTTTTTTCTAGGTTGATTTGGAATCAAATCCACAGAACAGAAGTCCTGAATCACGTCCTAGTGTTGTTTATCCCAGTACCAAATTTCCTCGCAAAGATAATCTCAACCCAAGACACATAAATCTTCCCCTTCCTGCTCCCCACGCACAGTATGCAATCCCTAATCGCCACTTTCATCCCCTTCCCCAGCTACCAAGACCACCCTTTCCAATTCCACAGCAGCACACCTTGTTAAATCAGCAGCAGAATAATTTGCCTGAACAACCAAATCAGATACCACCTCAGCCAAATCAGGTAGTCCAGCAGCAAAGTCAGTTGAATCAGCAGCCTCAGCAGCCACCTCCTCAGCTTTCTCCTGCATATCAGGCGGGACCCAACAATGCTTTTTTTAATAGTGCAGTTGCTCATCGGCCACAGTCTCCTCCTGCAGAAGCTGTAATTCCGGAGCAGCAGCCCCCTCCCATGCTGCAAGAAGGCCACAGTCCTCTGAGAGCCATTGCACAACCCGGCCCCATTCTTCCTTCACATCTGAATAGCTTCATTGATGAGAACCCCTCGGGATTACCTATAGGGGAGGCTTTAGGTAAGTTCTATTACTGCCAGATGTGAAAATTCAGAGATTACTTAACATGACTTGGACTGTATAATATCATTTTGGGTTAAGATTGAATTGTTTCTTCAAATAATGCTAGCAAAACCCCCCCATTTAGTGTGATAATCAGAAACTAGTTCTAAATGCTGTATGATAGTATCCAGTGGATGTCAGGATCATCATTATGTAAGTGAGGAAGAGTTGTCATCATCATCACCATAACTGATTTCTGGCAAATTTAGAAAACATTTACTTCTTACCAAAACCAAATTTGTAGCTACGTCCTTTGTCTTTGTGGAGAAAATATGTTAGTAAAAAACTTTAAATAATGAACTTGAAACCCCAAATTCATAAAAAATTTTTCACAAATATTTTTGCAGATCGTATACATGGGAGTGTCGCTCTGGAAACATTAAGGCAGCAGCAGGCACGGTTCCAGCAGTGGAGCGAGCATCATGCCTTTCTCAGTCAGGGCAGCGCTCCATACCCACACCATCACCATCCTCACCTCCAGCATCTTCCTCAGCCGCCCCTGGGATTACATCAGCCGCCAGTGAGGGCAGACTGGAAGCTCACCAGCAGTGCCGAAGATGAAGTGGAGACCACATACTCAAGGTATTCCAGCGGACTGAAAATAGCCCCTGGAATGCGACCCCCTCACTGTTCTCTTTTTTGACTGTAGTCCTTTTAGCTTCAAGCTGGAATATTGCCTCAGAGAAATTGGATGCTGGCCTTCCAAGCACACGCTACACAGTTCTCTTGTTGACTCTAAAATACAGAAAACTCATTTAGAAGTAACTCTTCTACAAATTTAGGCATGGATGATCTACTATGGGTTGGAAATTAACTTGTTCCCTTACTTTGTGGTCTTTTCTGCGAGAGAAACATACCATCACTGTGAGCAGCTTTTTTTATTTAGTAGTAATACTTGCAAAGAATGAATAAAGACAGGAGTAAATTCGTGGTTAAAAGCTAAAAATTATATCATTAATTATTTTTATGGTGGCACAGAATTCTACATTCCTATAATTCCAGCTACATATGAGTATTTGGTCCTAACTCTAAGCTTGTTTTTGTGGCCAGTGTCACATGAATGCTCTGAAGTGTTTCCTAATCCCTTCTGAATAAGGTCCACCATCATGGTGACCTTTTATAACTTCCAGTTGTCAAAGCTGTATAGAGACAAGGACAGATGTTTTTAATACAATGGGAACAGAAAGAAATCAGGTAATTGAGCATATTTAATTTCTTCACCTCAGCATCTATTGAGTGTTAATGCTTACATCTGAGATGAATTAATGCCAGTTCTAGTTATTAGTACTATGATTTTGTTTGTTGAAAATACATGTGTAGTTGACTAAGCTTTCCTTAATGTGATGGAGCCTTTTGTTTTCTCCTCATATTTTATTGTTTTCATGTAGGTTTCAAGACTTAATCAGAGAACTGTCTCATCGTGATCAAAGTGAAACACGGGAACTAGCTGAAATGCCACCACCTCAATCAAGACTTTTGCAATATAGACAAGTACAGAGTAGAAGCCCACCAGCAGTCCCATCTCCCCCATCCAGTACAGACCACAGTAGCCACTTTTCTAACTTTAATGATAACAGCAGAGACATTGAAGTAGCCAGCAACCCAGCATTTCCACAGCGCCTCCCACCCCAGATATTCAACTCACCTTTCTCGTTGCCATCTGAACACCTTGCCCCTCCTCCCTTGAAATACCTGGCACCTGATGGAGCATGGACTTTTGCTAACTTGCAACAGAATCACCTAATGGGGCCAGGTTTTCCCTATGGCCTACCTCCATTGCCTCACAGGCCACCGCAGAACCCTTTTGTACAAATACAGAATCATCAACATGCTATTGGTCAAGAGCCATTTCACCCATTGTCATCTCGAACAGTATCTTCTTCTTCGCTCCCTAGCTTAGAAGAGGTAAATGTCTTCTTATTTTCCTTTTGTTATTAGCTGATTGTGAAAAATATCAGTATTTATTGATTTGATAATAGGAAGGCACAGATCTTATTGAATTTAACAGCGTATTAAAGATAATCCTTTCTTGGGAATTATTTTAATTGCCACCCTCCTATTGTATTTCAGGTTTTGTAAAGTGGACACTTTTGTTGAAACATGAAGCCCCTTAAAAGTCTTTTATTGCTGTTTAAAGAAAATATTGAATATCTGAGGACTCTATTCAAGGAGCTTTGTCTTTTTTTAATCTGAGGAAATGGCTTTTAGTGATTCTTCTTTTCGCTTTAAGTTACATGTGTTAATTATAAATTTGTTAATGAGAACTTTCCAAAGATGCTGGCTTTTCAGCCAGTGCCAGCTCCAAGTGCTGTGCTCCTTCTCCTGCCACTCAGCCTGGTGCTTTGTTAGACCCAGGGACTCTGATTCCCAAATATCAGAATTTGCAGATTTTTAACATAAAATTGACTGTGCTAAACTAAGCATTTTAAGTTAAACTGAATTTTATCTTAAAATACTTAGATATTTCTGCCGGGTGCAGTGGCTCACGCTTGTAATCCCAGCACTTGGGGAGGCCGAGGCGGGCAGATCACGAGGTCAGGAGATCGAGACCATCCTGGCTAACACGGTGAAACCCCGTCTCTACTAAAAATAGAAAAAATTAGCTGGGCGTGGTGGCGGGCGCCTGTAGTCCCAGCTACTCGGGAGGCTGAGGCAGGAGAATGGCGTGAACCCGGGAGGCTGAGCTTGCAGTGAGCCAAGATATGCCACTGCACTCCAGCGTGGGCGACAGAGCAAGACTCTGTCTCAAAAAAAAAAATAAATAAATAAAGTAAAATACTTAGATATTTCTAAAGAGCATCTTTATGGACTTTTTTTTCCTATGAAAAACTTAGTAATTCCAGGTTATAAAACTTCCAAAGCAGTACCATGTGGTGTAGGCTACAAAAATGTCTAGCTGATCCCATTAAATTTGCAGTGATTAAAGATAAAAATGTGTAAAGCCGGTTGTAGTCATATCAGACAGAGACATCTTAAATCAGGATAAAGATTTCTAATTTTGATATATGAAAAATACTTTTTTGATATTAGCTTCATTTTGGCAGTTTCAGAATGATATCTAAAGGCCATTAGAAATAATTGATTCACATTTTACAAGTTGCCTGCTATAGATGCTAATTAAAAGTCAAGATTCATAGGGAAAGCTGTATGTCTTATTTGTAGGGATTTAGAGGCAGTCTGTTCAAATTGTCCCAGTATTCATTGATTGGCTCATTCTGTATAGCTGTCATTAAAACAACTTACTGTGATTTTAGGCTCTTAAAGTAAGTTAGAAGCACAATAAAGATGAATTGGTATCTACATATATGTATTGTGAGGATCTAGAATTTTGGAACCATACTTTACAAAAATTTGGCACACATCTGACAGTCTTTCAGATTATAATGAACAGTAGTTTTACAACTGATCAGTAATGTAATTTTCAGTTAAGTGATGTTTTAGCTATTTATAATAAAATTCACATAAAAGTCACCATTTTAGCCATTTTAAATTGTACAATTTGGTGGATTTTAGTGTATTCACAATGTTATACAGTCATCACTACTGTCTAATTCCAGAACATTTCATCACCCATAAAAGAAACCCCATAACTGTTAAGCAATTACACCCCAATTTCCCCACTCTCAGATTAGTAACCACTAATCTACTTTCTGTGTCTATGGAGACATTTCATAAAAATTGAGTCATACATTATGTGGCCTTTTATATCTGGCTTTTGAAGTGCATCCACACTGTAACTTAGGAGTGGAGTTCTTGGGTGATGTAGTAAGTCTATGTTTAACTTTTTGAGGAACTGCAAACTGTGTTCTCTGCACATTTATATTCCCACAGCTATGTATGAGGATTCCAATTTCTCTATATACTCGCTTTGTAAAAAAAATTATAACCATCCTAATGGGTGTGTAGTAGGATCTCATTGTAGTGTTGTTTGTTTGTTTTTTGACACGGAGTCGCACTCAGTCGCCCAGGCTGGAGCGCAGTGGCATGATCTTGGCTCACTGCAACCTCTGCCTTCTAGGTTCAAGCAATTCTCTTGCCTCAGGCTCCTGAGTAGCTGGGACTACAGGCGCCCACCACCACACCCAGCTAATTTTGTTGTTGTTGTTGTTGTATTTTTAGTAGAGACGGGGTTTCACGATATTGGCCAGGCTGGTCTCAAACTCCTGACCTCAGGTGATCCGCCCCCAGCCTCCCAAAGTGCTGGGATTACAGGCGTAAGCCACCGCGCCCAGCCCTCACTGTAGTTTTGATTTGCATTTCCCTATTTACTGATGATGTTGACATCTTTGCATGTGCTTCTTGGTCATTTGTATCTTTTTTGGAGAAATGTCTATTCATATGCTTCAGCCATTTAAAAAAATGGTTATTTTTTTGTTACTTAGTTATAAGAGGTTTTTTTTAATGTATTCTGGTACAGACTCTTAATCTCATATATGATTTGCAATTATTTCTCTCACTGTGTGGGTTGTCTTTTCACTTTCTTGATAGTGTCCTTTGATGCTAAACTACAATTTATCTATTTTTTTCTTTGGCTGCTTATGCTTTTGGTGTCATATCCAAGAAACCCTGGCCTAATCCAAGATGGCAAAGATGTACTTTTACATTTCCTTTTTATAGTTGTTTGTTTTTTTTTTTGAAATGGCGTCTCGCTCTGTTGCACAGGCTGGAGTGCAGTGGCGCCATCTCGGCTCACTGCAAGCTCCGCCTCCCGGGTTCACGCCATTCTGCTGCCTCACCCTCCGGAATAGCTGGAACTACAGGTGTCCACCACCACACCCGGCTAATTTTTTTTGTATTTTTTTTAGTAGATACGGGGTTTCACCATGTTAGCCAGGATAGTCTCAATCTCCTGACCTCGTGATCTGCTCGCCTCGGCCTCCCAAAGTGCTGGGATTACAGGCTTGAGCCACCGCACCCGGCCCCTTTTTATAGTTTTATAGTTTTACCTCTTACACTTGGTTCTTAGTTCTTTGGTCCATTTTGAGTTAATTTTTGTATATTGTGTGAGGTGGGTATCAAATTCATTCTTTTGCATGTGGCCATACAGTTTTCTCAGCACCGCTTTTGAAAAGACTCCTTTCCCCCATTGAATAGTCTTGGCAACATTGTCAAAAATCAGTTGACTGTAGATGCTGGGTTTATTTGTGGATTCTCCATTGTATTTCATTTATCTGTGTGTCTGTCTTTCTGCCAGTACCACACTGTATTGTACACTGTAGTATTGTAGTAAGTTTTGGAATTGGAAGTATGAGTCCTTATATTTTGTTCTTTTGGAAGATTGTTTTGGCTATTCTGGGTTCCTTGAATTTTCTCATGTGAGGTTTAGGATCAGCTTACTAATTTCTTCAGAAAAAAAGCCAGCTGACATTTAAAAAAAGAATTGCTTTAAATCTCTAGATTAATTTGGGGAGTATTGCAACCTTAACAATATTAAGTCTTCGAGTACCTGAACATGGACATCTTTCTATTTGTTCAGGACGCTTAACATTTCTTTCAACAGTATTTTGTAATTTTCCAAGTATAAGTCTTGCACTTCTTTTGTTAAATTTATTCCTAAGCATTTTATTCTTTCTCATGCTATCATAAATGGAATTGTTTTCTTAATTTCATTTTTTGATTGTTCATTGCTAGTGTTTAACCACATGATGATATATTGATTGTGTATCTGCAATCTTGCTGAACTCTATTAACAGATTTTTTTGTAGATATCTTAGGCTTTTTTATATGGAAGATAATGTCATCTACAAATAAAAATAGTTTCATTCTTCCTTTCCAATCTGAATGCCTTTTATTTCTTTTTCTTGCTTAATTCTTGATTGTTTTTCTGGTTGCCACAAGCTTTTAATTAGGTTTCTAGGTTCCCAAAAAATGGATTATGACAGCTTTTGCCAATTTTTTTCTGTTTTTATGGAGGGATGGACTTTGGAGTTTCTCACTCTGCCATTTTTGCTGATATCACTTATGATGTTTTTATTTAACCTGCCAAATGAGTTCATGATATGAGGGGGAACTGTGTGCCAAAGTTTTTATAGGTTTTATGAAGTTTTGTACTTTACTAAATAATACTTCATATTGAATAATCTACTTTAGTCATTGATCTTTTTAAATGGGCCTTAATTTTGGAATTTAAGCTTTTTGTACCTTGGTGCTCTTAATGTCTGATATTTCTGTTATCTTTGTTTGTGTGTGAATAAGTACCTTTCATTGTCAGTGGGTTCTTAGAGTGAAATTTACTTTTGCAAAAACATTTGGTCAGTTTTATTTTGTTGCATGAGATTCACAAATGAGTGATTTACTGACAACACTGAAAAATTTATTTGACAAAGATAATATTTTTTTAGCACATTGCAGATTTTCACATTTTCAGTGTATTAGGGTAACTTTAGTCTGTTCAAAATGCTTTTGCATGAATCATCTCACAAAGTGAATGATTGATGTGCTTGCTGTTTATTTCCAACCTTTTAAAATAATTTCTTTAACGTTAACAACAAAGAAAAGGCTTTTCCCTCCCACTATGGATCCTTTTATTCCCAGAAAACTTAGTAGATTAATCTTGTGGGATGATATCTGGATGTTAGTGTAACAGTTCATTTAAATGGAAATGGTTGGTTACATTATGTTTCACTTGTTTTTTCTTTTTATAGTAATTTTGATTTTCTTGTGACAAATGAAATACATGGCCAGCACAGAAAATGTAGAAGTTAGAGAAATTATTTATAATTTAACTAGACAAAGATACCTACTATAACATTTAGCCTTTCCTAGCATTTATAGATGTGAATGTATGATCCATTAATGGAGGGAGATTATTTGTTGGGAAAACTTGAAACAATTTCTCTCTGCCCTTCCCCCAATTGCTATGCCCACCTATATCACCACTGAATGGGATCTTGGTCCCATTCTGTAACATTTTTTGCTACTTTCAATTTTTAGACTATTCTCATGTAGATAATTAGGCTTAACTCCATGGATTTTCCTTCCCCACCTCAAACGCAGCAAAAGCCATGGCCCTTGGCTGCTTGGCTAAGGCTGGACATTGTGGTCTGGCAGTACTGCCTGCATCCTTTCCCACTTCCGGTCCTTACAGGTGTGATGGGATGAGGAGGACAACAAAGGGCAAAGTGCCATCTTCTCCTGAGCCAGGCAGTAGACCATCCCCAATTGCCAATAGATTGATAAATTGCTCCAATTTGATTTTAAATGCCAGTGTAAGCTTGGGATTAGTGTTTACATTTTCTCTAGACGTTTAGCCAGTTGTCTTCCTGTCTTTTTGGAATTATTACATTCTCACTAAAGAGATGTCACTTTCCAAATTCTTTGCAATAGCACTGTATCATACTTGCTCCGAGGGGTGGGGGTAGTGCAAAATGAAATGCAGAGAGAAACAACAGAAGTTAATTCTTGACCTCTGAGCTTCCAAAAGTTCAGTTTTTAGTAATTTTGGCATGATTAAGGATTTTTCAAAGGTAATTTTTATCTGTGTGGGATTTTTCACTTTGCATGATAATTTAATACTCTAACCTCTGAGTAAGATGTATTTCTTCATTACATATTGTGATCTATTTCTGGACTTTGTGTTTTTCTTCATCTATAAGTTTCTGTGCTAGAATTATACTGTTTTAAGTTTTGAGATTTTGTGGCATTCTAACCCAGTAGTTTAAAGTCTCCCTTATTACTTTTTCCCTTCCAGTTTCTATATGTGGGGCATGGAGTGGATGGGGGAGGAGGGTCATTCTGTGGTTTTACTACTAAAAAAAAATTTAAAATAACTTTATGAACTCTTTCCTCCTCCTCTGTCCCACCTCTACACACCCTTCTTGGCTTTTTATTTGAAATACATTAAACTTGTAGCTTAAATTGAGGGAAATTTTATCTTTACAAATACTTCTCATTTAATTTATTTCCTTCTTTCCTCCCTCCCTTTTTCTCTCTTCTTCTATTTTTCCTTTTTTTTTTTTTTTTCTGAGACGGAGTCTCGCTCTGTCACCCAGGCTGCAGTGCAGTGGCGCTATCTGGGCTCACTGCAAGCTCCGCCTCCCGGGTTCATGCCATTCTCCTGCCTCAGCCTCCCGAGTAGCTGGGACTACAGGTACCCACCACTGCGCCCAGCTAATTTTTTAATATTTTTAATATTTTTAGTAGAGACGGGGGTTCACCATGTTAGCCAGGATGGTCTCAATCTCCTGACCTCGTGATCCGCCTGCCTCAGCCTCCCAAAGTGCTGGGATTACAGGTGTGAGCCACCATGCCTGGCCTCTCTCTTCTTTCTTTCTCTCTCTCTCTTATTTTTTGAATGTTCCTCTTCAAAAATCTGTAGCATCTTCATTTAAATCTTGAGTATTTCCAATATTCTTAGAGTGATGTGTTTTGTTTTGTTTTTGTTATTAATGGGACCTTTTTTTTCCATTATACTTTTCAGTCATTTTATCTTCAGGGACAAATTCTCAAAACGATTATGTAGCAATGTTGATACTGGTGCAAAGGAAAGCTTTTGCCATTTAAGATGTGCTTCACTATGGAGTAGTTTGATTAAAAGTGCTCATAAGGAATAAATAGAAAATCCTTTTTGAAGGCATCTTTGTAAAAGTCTCGGAGTTGGCTTGTGAAATGGCTCATTTTTGTGTTGTGATATTGTAATGGCTTTCTGATAAAAATGGAATGCTAGTAAGTCACTTACTTTGATCAGCTTTCAGTAAATCGACATTTACTTACATCATCTTAGAGATGACATACATGTTTCAGTGATGTGTCTGCTTTGAACTATTTCTTGTTCTGTGTGTTGGTTTTTCAACAGAGACACTTTGAGCCATCTATTTTCATTTTTTCTTTCAAACAACTCTTGTTTTAAATTAGTTGATAATTTTAATTTCAACATACTGTTGTCTAATCATCGTGACTCCCCCAATTTCTCTTTTTTAGAGGAAAGTATTGTACAGATGTATCTTGAAGATTATAATCTTGGTTGATTATTGCCTATTCTCACTTTAGGAATAGATGGTGATAGCTTATGACTTGTGTTGTATAACGAGGTAGAAATATTGCTGTCTTCTCTGACATAGCTTCTCAAAGAGATCATTAATGTATGATATCTAATAAACCATCTAATGCATGTAACAGTGATCAGCAAATTAATAAATTAGACCTCTATTCATGCTTAAATTATCAAAGCTAATCATTTAAATGAGATGTTCTATTTTAATTAAAATTTCTGGCACCATCGTTAATGAGACTTAGAATTTCAACTAGTGTATTTAGCTCTTACTTGGTGATTAGCTTTGATGGCATAATTATAAATAGAGCCCTTATTAATTAAGTTGCTGACCTTTCCCCAGTTATCTATTTATATACACACAGGTGAAATGGCTTGATAACGTCATATATTAGAGGTATATCTTATAAGACAGTGGTAAGCAAATTAGGAGTTTTTACTCAAACTAAAACTATCTTTAACAGTAAAAATTTATACATGAGTTTTGTAGTTTAGTTTTTTCCTTCTTTCTTAGATTTCCTGTATTAAATGGCTTTTGAAATGTTAGCATTACATTTTAATATTTGGAAAGAAATATTAGCAGAATTTGAAAATCGTGATTATATGTGTAGTACCATAATCTCACAGTAAAACATGAAGCATATTTATAAACACACAATCATATATGGAGTTGATACTGAACTTCACAGAATCTCTTTAAGAATCTCTCTGGCAGGGTAAATGAGCCTTTAAACAACATTAATGAAATTATTTAAGACCTGAGGACTCTAAAATTAAACCTGAGCATCAGTCATTGGTAGGGTTGCCATCCGAAAATAAAGGAACAATCTGATTGGCTGAAGATGTATGTAGAAGGAATACTCACTTCCCGAAACAGAACTGGGCGAAAGCAATAGGAAACAAAGTCAAGAAATAAGAAAAGAAAATAAAAGATAAGAATAGAAACAAGAATAAATAAGAAATGAGAACAGAAAGGAAGGAAAGTATGTTTAAACAGCCTAGGGGCCCACAAAGCTACAGTGTTGATAGAGATGTAAAGGGATTTCTCTGTCAGAAATATTTTTCTTTTGTAGGCTACAGATGTTTTTCTAAAATTTTGGTTTGGGGGCCTTTACTGTATAGGAAGTACCCTCTGGCAGAGGAAAAAAGGACATTTTAAACTTGTTGCCCAGAATCCATTTCATTGCAGTCAGTTAGCATGTCCTATAGTTTTCTGGATTTAAATCACATAAATAGGCTTGGATTTGTCATCACACTTGGAATATTTTAGCGAGTCTATCAAATTGTTGATGGTTGTTAAAGATGATAGATGTTGTTTGGACATTTTTATTTTTACTTTTTGAGATGGAGTCTCGCTCTGTCACCCAGGCCGGAGTGCAGTGGTGCAGTCTCGGCTCACTGCAACCTCCGCCTGCCAGGTTCAAGCAATTCTCCTGTGTCAGCCTCCCAAGTAGCTGGGATTACAGGCACCCACCACCATGCCCAGCTAATTTTTCTTTTTTTTTTTTTTTTAGTAGAGACGGGATTTCACCACGTTGGCCAGGCTGGTCTCAAACTCCTGACCTGAGGTGATCCGCCCACCTTGGCTTCCCAAAGGGCTGGGATTACAGGCGTGAGCCACCACGCCTGGCTTTGTTTGGACATTTTTAATTAAAAGTTAAAATATATTCTTATTGAAAAAGACTTTGATTTATCAAAGACTTTAAATCTTGTAACTTTGGAACTAGTCAGGCCTTAAAGATCATTTAACTCCCCCCTTTTAAAAGGAAACCGAGGCACAAAGATATTAAAGGACTTGTAACTTAAGCAGTTATTAACTCAAGGGAGTGGAGACTCCTGACAGTCCCATGCTGTTTCTGAAGCATCACACTGCTCTTCAGATCTCTATTCCATGAGTAAGGTTTATTCTTAGAAAATGAGAAATGATTGCAATTACACAGAACTAGATGTGGGGGAAAAGCAAAATTATGTTCTTGTGAAGAATTCAATCTTCAGTTGTGTAAAATTTGCCTTTTATTTTTTCTGGGTGGTGGGGAGAAAGGGAGCTAGTTCATTTTAGAATTCTTGATTTCTTGAATTGTATCCAGTTGTAGCTGCTAAATGTTTGACTGCTCAAATGATTAATTTAGAGATCTCAAATATCAGAAATGTACTTAATTTCTCCACATTCTTTAAGAATAAAACACATTCTCCAGCATTACATTTTTTCCAAAAGCTGGAAAATTTATTTAGTTTTAATAATTATGAATCTTCAGAGAAAATTCAAATAGTTGTGGGTCAAAGAGTAAACTTTTACTGCAAACTATTTTATTTCCTATCCACCCCAACATTTGCTCATTGTAAGAGCTGTTGTGCTCTATAATTGTTAATTCACTGTTTCATATTCAAGAACAGTAAACAAGAGTCAGATAGATTCAAGGTAGCTCCAAATGTCACAGCAGTGAACCTGACGTTTTTCTCTGAGATGTAATATTGTATTCGTTCTGGTATCCCTTCTATGACCTTGTATATGGATGTATAGGAAAATAATATTGCTTGGTAGGAAAATACTATTTGTAAATTATAAGTGCCCTTGCCTCTGAGATGCTTCAAATGGCATTTTTTAAAATTTAGACCCAAATTGATTTTGATGCACTGTGTTGCAAAGTCACATTTATTTCAGTATATGGGCATGCCTTGTTTTATTGTACTTTGCTTTATTGCATTTCACAGATATTATAGTTTTTACAAATTGAAGGTTTATGGTAACCCCATGTTGAGCAAGTCTATAAGCGCCATTTTTCTGACAGCACGTGCTCACTTTGTGCCTCTGTATCACATTTTGACAATTCTCACAGTATTTTAAACTTTTTCATTATTTCTTTATCTGTTGTGATCAATAATCTTTGATGTTGCTATTGTGATTGTTTTTGAGCAATCAGTGTTATGTGTATTCTGACTGCTCCATTGACTTGCTGTTCCCCCATCACTTAGTCTCCTTGGGTCTCCCTATTCCCTGAGACACAACAGTATTGAAATCAGGCCAGTTAACAATGCTACCATGGCCTCTATTTAAGTAAAAGGACAAGTTGCATGCCTCTCACTTTAAATCAAAAACTAGAAATGGTTAAGCTTAGTGAAAATGGCATGTCAAAAGCTAAGACTGGCCAAAAACTAGGCCTCTTATAACAGTTAGCCAAGCTGGGAATGCAAAGGAAAAGTTCTTGAAGGAAATTAAAAGTGCTACTTCAGTGAATATACAGATGATAAGAATGTAATGAAACAGCCTTATGGCTGATGTGGAGAAAGTTTGAGTGATGTGGAGAAAGTTTGAGTGATCTGGTTAGAAGATCAAACCAGCCACAACATTCCCTTAAGCCAAAGCGTAATCCAGAGCAAGACCCTCACTCTCTTCAATTCTGTGAAGGCTGGAGATAGATGAAGAAGCTGGAGAAGAAAAGTTGGAAGCTAGCAGAGGTTGGTTCATGAGGTTTAAGGAAAGAAGCCATCCCCATAACATAAAAGTGCAAGGTGAAACAGCAAGTGCTAATATAGAAGCTGCAGCAAGTTACCCAGAAGATCTAGCTAAGATCATTGATGAAGATGGCTACACCAAACTACAGATTTTCTGTGTAGACAAAACAGCCTCTTATTGGAAGAAGATGCTGTCTAGGACTTTCTCAGGTAGAGAGGAAGAAGTCAATACCTGGCTTCAAAGCTTCGAGGAACAGGCTGACTGTCTTGTTAGGAACTAATGCAGCTGGTGAACTTTAAGTTGAAACCAGTGCTTGTTTACCATTCCAAAAATCCTAAGGCTTTGAAGAATGATGCTGAATCCATGCTGCCTGTGCTCTATAAATGGAACAATAAAGCCTGGATGACAGCATATCCATTTACAGCATGGTTTAACCCATGTTTTAAACCCACTATTGAGACCTACTGCTTTGCTGGTGGGCGGGGGAGGGGGGGTGGGATTTTTTAAAAAGATTCCTTTCAAAATATTACTGCTCATTGACAATGCAGTTGGTCATCCAAGAACTCTGATGGAGCTGTGCAAGGACATGAATGTTGTTTTCATGCCTGCTAACACATCCATTCTGCAGCCCATGGATCAATGAGTCATTCTGACTTTCAAGTCTTATTTAAGAAATACATTTTGTAAGGCTATAGCTGCCACAGACAGTGATTCCTCTGATGGATCTGGACAAAGTAAATTAAAAACCTTCTGGAAAGGATTCACCATTCTAGATGCCATTAATGATTCTCTGGCTAAAAAATTTAAGAACAAAAAATATATACTGTATTGCTAAAAAACGCTTTCTTGTTGTGATTGTTGGGAAGAGGTCAAAATATCAATATGAACGGGAGTTTGGAAGAAGTTGATTCCATCACCATGGATGCCTTTGAGGGGTTCAAGAAGTCAGTGGAGGAAGTAACTTGCAGATGTGGTGGAAATAGCAAGAGAACTAGAATTAGAAGTGGAGCCTGATATGACTAACTTGCTGTAATCTTATGATTGAACTTGGGTAGATGAGGAATTTCTTCCCTTTTGTTTTGAAGAGAAGGGTCTTGCTTCGTCACCCAGGTTGGAGTGCAGTGGTGCAATCATGACTCACTGCAGCCTTGACCTCCTGGACCCTGGCAATCCTCCCACCTCAGCCTCCTCAGTATCTGGGGCTACAGGCACATACCACCATGCCTGGCTAATTTTTTTGTTTTGTTTTGTTTTTGGTGTTTGTTTGTTTGTATCTCACTATGTTACCCAGGCTGGACTTGAACTCCTGGCCTCAAGTGATCCTCCCACCTTGGCCTCCCAAAGTTTTGGGATTACAGGCGTGAACCACTGAGCCCAGTGAGAAATTTCTTGTTATGGGTGAACAAAGAAAGTGTTTTTTTGTGATGGAATCTACTCCTGGGAAGATGCTGTGAACATTGTTGAAATGACAACAAAGGAGTTCAAAGGATTTAGAATATTCCATAAATTTAGTTGATAAAATACTGGAAGGGCTTAAGAAGATTGACTCCCATTTTGAAAGAAGTTCTGTGAGTAAAATACCATCAAACAACTTTGTGTGCTATAAGGAAATCTTTTGTGAAAAGAAGAGTCAACTGATGCGGCAAACTTTATTATTGTCTTATTTTAAGAAATTGCCACAGCCACCTCAGCCTTCAGCAACCACCACCCTGGTCAGTGAGCATTTTTTAGCAATACAGTATGTATTTTTTGTGATTAAGTTTTTTAGCCAGAGAATCACAAGCAATACATTATTTTAAAATTAAGCCATATACATTTTAAAAAATGTCTTAAAGAGTGTCTCACTATGTTGCACAGGCTGGAATGCAGTGGCTATTCATGGGTGTGATCATAACTCACTTAAGCCTCAAACTCATGGGCTCAAATGATCCTCCCTCTTCAGCCTCCCAAGTAGCTGGGCCTACAGGCATGTGACACCATGCTTGCCTTTATACATTGTGTTTTTTTAAACATACAATGCTATTGCACACTTAATAGATTATAGTATAGTATAAATATAATTTTTATATGCACTGGAAAACCAAAAAATTTACGTGACTCACATTATTGCAGTATTAGCTGTATTGCAGTAGTTTGGAACCAAACCTGCAATATCTCCAAGGTGTGTCTGTATCTCTCTGTCTCTCTCACCAAACCTGCAATATCTCCAAGGTATGTCTGTATCTCTCTCTCTCTCTCTCTCACCAAACCTGCAATATCTCCAAGGTATGCCTGTATCTCTCTCTCTCTCTCTCTCTTTTTTTTTTTTCAAGACCAGGTCTCCCTCTGTCACCCAGGCGCAAGGTGCAGTATATGATCTCAGCTCACTGCAACCTCTGCCTTCCAGGCTCAAGCGATCATCCCACCTCAGCCCCCTAAGTAGCTGGGACTACAGATGCATGCCACCACACCCAGCTAAATTTTGTATTTTTTGGTGGAGATGGGGTTTTCCTGTGTCACCCAGCTGGTCTTGAACTCTTGAACTTAAGCACTCTGCCCACCTCGGCCTCCAAAAGTGCTGGGACTACATGCTGTTTCCAGCTTTTATCTTAGGTTCAGTGGAGTATGCGTGCAGGTTTGTTATATGGGTAAATTACATGTTGCGGGAGTTTGGTCTGTATCTTTTAAGGGAAACAACAAAACCTAGAAATAAATCTACTATAGTTTTGGGAACTAAGATAAATTTTTGCTTCTGTCATTATGATTGAGTTTTATAAGGCTAAAATGACATTAAAATTACTTTAGAAATTGTATGAAAATAATGCAATTTATTTGTTTAGAGTTTTAAAAATAATATAAATAGTGAAGGATGTCATAGTTATCTAGGCAAGAGGTGATTGTGGCTTGGACTGTGGGGTAGCAGTGGAAATGGTAAGAAATAAATTCAGGATCTACTTTGCAGGTAGAACCTAGAGGAATTCTTGATGGATAGGTTATGATTAGGAATGAAATAAGATTTAAAATTGAGTTCCTCAGTCCTAGTAGGCTCATTTTGACTGACCAGGAGCTCCCATGGCAAGGCGCTGCCTTATGGAACAGTACAGACACAGAACATTCCCATCGTCACAGGAAATAGTTTTTGGACAGCATTGCTTTAGAGAAGGACTCATATCCTTCAACTGTGTGAAATTGTCTATTATTATTAATCTTTTTTGATAATTTTCTAGCATTATTTTTCTCCATGTCTCACTTTCTGAAACTTCTTTTGATAAGATGTTGGGCCTCCTAGATTCTCCAAATCTTTATTTCCTGTCATACTTTGATACCTTTGTACTTTTTCTTACTTTCAGGAAGATTTCCTTGATTTTATCTGCAAGAACTATTGCATTTAATATTTGAGCCCTCAGGTTTTAAACTCACAAGAGTTCTTTATTCTGAGCTTTTTCCTTTTTCATAACATCTTGTTTTCTGCAGTGCCTTTTCTGAGAACACCAGTTAGAGGGTTTGTTGTTGTTTTGTTTTTGATTTTTAATAAGAACTAAAACAATGTTCTAAAATATTTTTAAAACATCACTATTGTTTCTTTCCGGGCCTCCCTTTTTTCAACTTGTTCATCTGGGACTATCTTTTATGCTGGAGACCTTCCTTAAAAGTCTGGTAATCCTTGATTATCTTTTTTTTTATGAGACAGAGTTTTGCTCTGTCACCCAGGTGGGAGTGCAGTGGCACAATCTTGGCTCACTGCAACTTCCCCCCCCCGCCGGTTTCAAGCAGTTCTCTTGCCTCAGCCTCTCAAGTAGCTGGGATTACAGTCACCCGCCACCACTCCCGGCTAATTCTTATATTTTTAGTAGAGATGGGGTTTCACCATGTTGGCCAGCCGGTCTCAAACTCCTGACCTCAGGTGATCCACCCACCTCGGCCTCCCAAAGTGCTGGGATTACAGGCGTGAACCACTGCGCCTGGCCGCTTGATTATCTTTCACTAAAAAGCAACTTGGGAGTTTTGTGTATATCACAGGATGTATTGCCTGGCAGGCCTTTCACTGGGGACTTTTTAGTGCTTGAATCCATGTGGAGCCCTTCGTTTTTCCCGGATTTTTGCTTGTCTGTCTCCTTATCTTTTTGTCTGTATTGTAGGTACCTGGCTGGCTGTGTCCCACTGTTGTTGCGGGGAGGAGTATGAGTCCAGCTGTTTCCTGTATAGACTTTCATTTAACCCCCCTAATTTTATCCCTTCATCTTCCTTTCATTTTATATTAGTTGGCAAGCCTCTGTGGAATTCTGCTAGGTGAATCGTTTCCCTTCTTGGGGGGTAGCTATAATTTCATTCTTCTTCCACAGACACCATTCCTCCATCCAGTCTCCATGTATTCTGGAAATGTGTCCTCTATTGATGACGAGGCTCATGGTCTTGATTGTTGTATATCTATAATATTCATTTATTATTATTTTAGTGGAGTCTTGGGCCAGTTGCCACCATTAACTGGGAATCATGCTTTTAAAAAATGATTTTGTAATTTATCAAGTGCTTTTCAATAGATTACATCACATGAACCCATAGATATGAACCCACAGATATTACTGTTGTAAACTACAGTTTATTCATCACACGTTATCTGGCTTGTTAATAAATTGATTATTTTTAGTCTTATAGTGATAGTCCTCTCCTTGCTCCATCTAGTTTTTTCTCTCTAGGGAACTGTACTGATCCACCAAACTGTAGCGTATTTGCTTTAAGCAGAAAATGATAATTTGAGGGGGAGCTAAATTGAAATAAGTTAGTAGACCCTAAGTGTTCTATAATCAAGGATTTCTTCCTCAAATCTTGGGGAAATTAAATAGATTAGTTTTAAGTAAATGAAGAAAAAAAATGCAGCTTATTAAATCTGATATTATAAGAGTGTCCATGACATGGAAAGATACCTATGATATTTCAGTGAAAAATTACCAGGCAGTATGTAATGTCTCATTTTAAATTATATGTTTAAAGATGTACATAATATCCAGTTTTCCCACTTTAGCTATGTTAAGTTGATCAGTATGTTTCAGTGATCAGATGATGTCATTCTGATCTATTGACGTTAAAATTTCTAGCAACCTTTCAGATTTTAGCAGCTGTTGATGGTTGTTGCTTAGATCTATTGTTTCATTAGAATGGCAAAATGATTATTTAAAACTTCTTTGAATTTCTTTTGTATTTATTTTTCTTTTATAAAGGAGAACTTTTCCTCATTGAATATTTAATTACTACCTAAAATATAGTCTATGTAGAAAGGGAAGGATAAATGTTTAATCCTTGCCCTTTATTAGTCAATTTTCAGAGTAATGAATTGAGGCCTTAGCAGGCCTCAGGATGACCATTGAGGCTTTTTTCCCCTTCTTTTTTCACTTTGAATATTATTATTTGATATCATTATGTATTTGAATTTTTACTTTATTGTAGTCCTTATACATTTTCACACCTTGTCCCCTATCTTTGACCAATGGAAGGTTCTTCATTAGAAATATTAGAAATGTTTTACATTGAGTGAAAATGGAAATATAGCCTGTCCTAATTTGTGTAATGCAGCTCAAGCCATGTCAGAGGGAAATTTATAGCTTATATTAGAATTTAAATTTATAGCTTGTATTAGAATTTAATAAAAGCTTTATTAGAAAAGAAGTAAGATCTCAGATCAATAATCAAAACTTATACCCCAAGAAATTAGAAAAGGAAGAGCAAAATAAATTCAAATCAAGCAGAGGGAAGGGAATTTCAAAGATGAGAACAGAATTCAATACAATTCAAAACAGAAAAGCAATAAAGGAAAATCAATAAAACCCAGTTAGTTGTTCGGAAAGATTAGTAAAATTGATAAACCTTTAGCAAGATTGACAAAGACAAAAAGAGGATACAAACTACCTATATTAGGAAGGAGACTGGGTCACTACAGACCCAGTAGACATTGAAAGGATGGTAATAAGGGAGCACTACAAACAACTCTGTGCACATACATTCAGCAACATAGATAAAATGAACCACTTCCTTAAAACCTCACCAAAGATGAAATAGATGGCATATGGACAGTCTTATAACTGTTAAAGAAATTGAATTTGTAATTAAAACCTTCCAAAAAAGACATCTCTAGGCCCAAATGGTTTTAGCATGGAATTCCTCCAAAAATGTGAAGAAGAAAACCACCAACTTACACAATCTTTTCCAGAGAATAGAACACTTCTCAATTTATTGTATATGGCCAGCATTACTCTGATACCAAAACTAGATAAAGGCAATACAAACAGAGAAAATCACAGATCCACTTCCATGAATATCAATGTAAGCATCCTCAGCAAGACATTAGCCATTTGAATTTAGCAATATATGAAAAGAATATACTATGATCATGGGGGGCTTATCTCTAGAATGCAAGGCTGGTGTGGTATTTGAAAATAAATTAATGTAATACACCATTCTAACAATCTAAAGAGAAAAATCACACAATCATATCAATAGACATAGAAACCACATGCATTTGACAAAATGCATGGTCCACTCAGGATGAAACTCTTGGTAAACTAGAAATGGAAAGGAACTTCTTCACCCTGTTAAAGGGCATCTATAACAATTCTGCAGCTACCATCATACTTAATGGTGAGAGATTTAGTGCTTCTAAGATTAGGAATAAGGCAAGACATTTGTTCTCAACATTCCTCTTCAACACTGTGCTGGAAGTCTTAGCCAGTGCAATAAGGCAAGAAAATAAATGGCATTAGGGATTGGGAGGGAAGAAATGAAGCTGTCTCCATTCACAGATGACATGGTTGTCAGTATAGAAAAAGCCCAAGGAATCTCCCAATTCCTTGGGAGATTCCTGTAACTAATGTGAATTTAGCAAGGTCACAAGATACAAGGTCAACACACAAAAATCAATCAATCTCTCTGTCTCTGTCTCTCTCTCTGTCTCTCTGTCTCTCTCTCTCTCTCTCTCTCTCTCTCTCTCTATATATATATATATATATATAAAATCTCCAATAGATCTAATTTTAAAAGCATTAAAAAATTTTCCAGTTTCGGTTTTGCTTTTCTGACATAAAAAATTAATCATATTCATAACATAATTTGAAATTGAATTTCATATTTTATCTACATGTTTATCTCTGTCAATAGCTGTAGATAGGTTATACAATACTTCCCCGGAGCCTGCTGTGCATGTCAACTGAGTGATTATTTTGGATTTCAGTTTGGAAGATACAAATGATATAAATTTTCTGTAAAGTTTAATTGAATATTCTCTCTTATATCAGCCTTCCATTTCTTTCTGAGTTTTCGTTTTCTTCCTTTAAGCTTTCTGGTTCATATGTCTATTCATTGTAAAAAGGTTATCGTTTATACTACTGGTTTGTGTATGTTCGTTATTTAATGAAAAGGGGCTTATAAAGTTAACGCCTGAAATTCATGAGAGTATATTTAGTGTTCTGTATCACCAGGAGACATGGTTATCATAATCTGCTCTTTCTGAGCCCATACCCAACGTTAGTTTTGTACTTTAGTATTCACATATGAAAACTTTAGAATGTAATCCCCTGAAGATTGTGACTAAACACTCGGGATAGTCATAGAAAGAAATACTACATTTCAATTTTAAGAGCTAATTGTCTTCATTACAAACCTTGATTTAAAAAAAAAGACACGCTGCGCAGCCATTGTGATCCAGGGTTGTCAGGCATAGAGCACACAGTGCAGTTTAGAAAGGTTACTTATTCTACTCACTACCGTAATTGAATGCCTTAGACAAAGAAATTTCAATTGTGCTGATTACATTCCTAGTTGACACTAAATTAATTTGGATGGTTAACATTCTAGAAAACCAAATCAAATTCATAATGATTTGACCATTGAAAACAATTGCCTTTAAAGCAGAGTAAAATTAAAGATGAATTGAGATACTGTGCTTAGAAACAGATCTATAAAATTATATGAAAAAAGAAATTAACCAGATGGCAGTACTACCTCTTGCCTTCCTCCATTCAATAGCTAAGACTGTGGAAATGGAGGCACTCAAAACTTAATAGCGAGAGAATTGCTCTCGTCACGGCTTTCCTGCCTCTCCGCACAAGGGCAGCCAGTCCAGACCCATTTTCTTCCCTAGTTTACATCCTAGTGGTTCCATTTACTTTAACTTAATACTCTCAGTGCTTACCCCCACAATTTTCACATTTAATTGGCTTGATAATGTCTGCTTGTGCTATTTTATATTTCCAGAAGCCATCCTGTTATTGTTATGCCAGTTCATCTCTCTGCCTTCTTTTTAATCCAGCCTCCAGTTCCTGATTTCCAATTATTGCTAACAACAGTGGTGAAAGTACAATTTCTGAGAGTCATAACTGACCACAGACTGAACAGCAGATTTATCATTTGCTATCCAAAAAAGAAAAGAGGAAAAAGAAAGGGGCAATGAAACACCAATCCCATTCTGTCATTTGAGACGGAACGTGGAATCTTATCTTTATATATTACATTAAAATAATTATATAGCAATGAACCCTTCCTGTGTGCCAAGAACTGCTGTACATGCTATGCATCCTTATTTAATTCTCCCAACAATCCCAAGATATGGGGACTGTGGGTAATTCATGTTACAAAGAAGTTAAATCAGTTGCCCAAGGTGACACTGCCAATAAAAGTCAGAGCCTGAAGTCTAACCCAGACAGTCTAGCCTTAGATGGAGGCTGATACCTAACCACTGCTCTACACTGCCTTGCCATTAGAATTGACTCTGAATATTGATCACAAGTATCTGGCAAGAACAAATTGAACAGCACTTGGGTAACTATAAAAAAATCTTGACATGGCTGCCACATAGATCTTGTCGGAAGGGTTAAAGGAATTTGGGTTGTGCAAATACAGGGAGTTTAGGGAGGAGAAAATATACTAAGTTAATTGGGTTTCAAACATATAAAATATTTTTTGACTAAATGAATGAGTATGCTGTGTCATTTGACGTTTGACTAAAAGAAATGCAGTGGAGTCCAGTCAAGAGTACTTACGTTGGACAGGAGGAATCACATCTTGCCATCAGGTCTAAAGAAAAATAAATTATGATGTTATGAAGGAAGGGCCCAAGAGATAAGTGTAGAATAGCTGACTCTGCTCAAGAGGGCCATGACTCAACTGCCTATACTTTACCCATTTAATTTTGAGCGGATTTGCTCCTTCGTGCTTTTTCTTAATCTACTATTATCTAAAATGTCAATAGAATTTTAGAACTGAAAACAACTACTTCAATTCCCATATTCTACAGATAAGAAAACAGAATCAGAAATCAGACATATATTGTCAGGACTATGCAGTGAGGAACACAACTGAGTTTTGAGCCCAGGTCTTCTGACACCATGTCCAGAGCCTAGCCTGTACCCTTCCCCGCCCTTTTTCTTTTTGGTGGGAGTAGGGTGGAGGGAGGGTTTCACAGTCACAGTATATTCTTGACAATTTTTACTTTATATAGTGAGATATTGCTATGGAGTGAAAAGAGAGAGGACTATGGCACAAGGTGCACTGATTTATGAAATGTTCTTTTTCTTTGTGTAGTATGAGCCCAGAGGACCTGGTCGGCCCTTGTACCAAAGAAGAATCTCATCTAGCTCAGTTCAACCTTGTTCTGAAGAAGTAAGCACTCCTCAAGACAGTCTGGCTCAGTGTAAAGAGCTTCAGGACCACAGTAACCAATCTTCTTTCAACTTTTCATCCCCGGAGTCCTGGGTAAACACCACCTCATCTACTCCTTATCAGAACATTCCGTGCAATGGATCCAGCAGGACAGCTCAGCCCAGAGAGTTGATAGGTAAGACAGAGTTGGTGGCTAAAACTAATCTGTACTCCTCAGCTCCCGGATATCTGTGGAGTTTTTCTTCTATACCACCTGCCCCCAATTTGCATTATCATCTTTGAACAATATTTAATGATGCTAATAGCTCATAGGTGTGCAATTTAGGACTATATTGATTCTATATATATATATATATATATATATATATATATTTATATTTATATTTATTTATATATATATATTAATATATGTATATATATTTGAGATGCAGTTTCACTCTTGTCGCCCAGGCTAGAGTACAATGGTGTGATCTCGGCTCATTGCAACCTCCACCTCCTGGGTTCAAGTGATTCTCCTGCCTCAGCCCCCCAAGTAGCTGGGGTTACAGGCACACACACCCACGCCTGGCTAATTTTTTGTATCTAGAGATGGGGTTTCACCGTGTTGGCTAGGCTGGTTTCGAACTCCTGACCTCAGGTGATCGACCCGCCTCGACCTCCCAAAATGTGATTATAGGCGTGAGCCACCGCACCTGGCCAGTTCCATATTTTATGTCCAGAAGGTTAGTAGATATATCCATATTTGGAAACTGATCATTTTGACCTGTGATTGAAAGAAGAAATGGAGCTTAAAACATGTTTCTGAATAGATAGAATCACCTTTGTTTGGGAAAAGTTTGTTTTCTGCTTTTTGGTTTTTTTCCTTCAGGGCTGAGGGGGGTGAGTGGGAGCTGGTTAGATGAATGTTTTCAAGGATTTGTTGTCAGTAAAGTGTTGACAATTTGCTATATAATAGAGTTTGGCCACGAGAGAGACCAGTAAAGTCTGACATTTTGAGATTTAAGAATCCTTGTTTATTCCTTTATTCTAATAAACTGTAGAACTTCATGGCTAAAAAACAAAAAAGGCATAGAAAGGGATCGGAATGGATAAGACACTCTAAACTTGTATGATGGAAAATCTAGAGTCTTCCTCTTTAGCCTTAAAGATGAATGCGCTTTGATCTTTCCTCTGTTCTCTTTTTTATATTGAATGTAAAGAAACTAATTATACTGCTTGAATTCTCTAATTCCTTCTCTTTGTATGCTGTAGACGTTGATCTTTGTGAACAAGTCTGAGATCTTTGTGTGGTGAATTTTTGCCCAGTAACATCAACTTTTTTATTTGAAACAAATTTTGTTCATCTTTAGAATGTGAATCTGTTGTTTCTGTAACTGGCCCATTTTTGAGTATGTGCCATGCTAGCATATTTTTAGAACAATAGACATGGTAAAAAAAATTAAAAAAAAACATTTAAAAGCTTTTGCTTTTATTTCCTGGCAAAAGACATTGTCATTTTAATCTTTAAACATTCTTTGGTACCTTTTAGGAGTAAACCGCTGTATTTTGCCTCGGGTTGCTTTGTCTTTTTGTTGTTGTTTTTGAGACAGGGTCTTGCTCTGTCACCCAGACTGGAGTGCAGTAGTGCAATCTCGGCTCACTGCAACCTTCACACCCCAGGCTCAAATGATCCTCCTGCCTCAGCCTCCCAAGTAGCTGGGACTATAGGCATGTGCCACTATGCCTGGCTAATTTTCGTGTTTATTTTTGTAGAAATGGGGTTTCGCCATGTTTCCCAGGCTGGTCTCAAACTCCTGGACTCAAGCGATCTGCCCACCTCAGCCTCCCAAAGTGCTGGGATTACAGGCATGAGCCACCATGCCTGGCTGCTTTGTCACTTTTTTGTTTGTTTGTTTTTGAGACAGAGTCTCGCTCTGTCACCGTGGCTAGAGTGTAGTGGTGCATTCTCAGCTCACTGCAACCTCCGCCATCCGGGCTGAAGCGATTCCTCCTGCCTCAGCCTCCCGAGTAGCTGAGATTACAGGCATCTGCCACCATGCCCAGCTAATTTGTGTATTTTTAGTAGAGGCGGGGCTACATCGTGTTGGCCAGGCTGACCTCAAGTGATCCATCCGCCTTGGCCTCCCAAAGTTCTGAGATTACAGGTGTGAGCCTGCCTTGTCACTTTCAGGGTCTAGGATAAATACACTCACTCATGTTATCATATTTGAATTTCCTGGCAAACATCTACATTACAAATCAGTGATAATAATTTGTTACTTTTTTGGTGGTTTTGTTTATTATAATTTTTTTACGATAACATCATTTCTCTTCTTCTTTTTCTTTCTTTTTTTTTTTTTTTGAGACGGAGTCTCGCTCTGTCGCCCAGGCTGGAGTGCAGTGGCGCGATCTCGGCTCACTGCAAGCTCCGCCTCCCGGGTTCACGTCATTCTTCTGCCTCAGCCTCCCGCGTAGCTGGGACTACAGGCGCCCGCCACCACGCCCGGCTAATTTTTTGTGTTTTTTAGTAGAGACGGGGTTTCACTGTGTTAGCCAGGATGGTCTCGATCTCCTGACCTTGTGATCCGCCCGCCTCGGCCTCCCAAAGTGCTGGGATTACAGGCGTGAGCCACCGCGCCCGGCCTCTTTCTTTTTTTTAACCTAAGTTTTAGGATAGCTTTTTGCTGAAATTAATAAAAAGCTGACCCAAGCTGATAAGGTAGAAAGTTCCTGAGCAAATGCTCATGTCATTTGTGGTATCTTTTCTGCAAATATAAAGTCATTATTTTCTTCATTGCTTGGAGACAGAGTGTAGTATTTTTAAATTGAAAGTATCACTTAGTTTAGCATTAAAAAATTAATTCAAATCACGAGTGTCCTGAAGCACAACTTCTTGTTTATCAATTTTTTATTTTTAGAGAATTGTAGTAGTGGTATCAGACATAAAATAATCACATGAGAGACTTCTTACTGAAGTTAGAGATTTATTTCTTGAGCTTGAAGAAAACTGTTTATATTATATTGGTTTGAAATTTTAAAAAGATGATTGTGTTTGATATGGATATCAGTTTACAATTAAACTGTAAGCCTAAAATAGAAACCCCATCTTTGGCCTTTTTAAACTTTGAATTTCCCGTTTTGACACTGAATACACTTTAGGCTCTTAGTAAATGCTTGTGGAGAAAGGAGATAATGAAACTAGATTCTGTGCAATTAAGGGGGTGACCCAGTTGCACTGCAGAGGGTGGGGAATCCCTCCTCCAACACAGGTATGTTTGGTTTCTGTTCACTTACCTGGTGACAAGACATACTTTAGCAGACATTTTCTTTTAATGCATGGGTTGAAAATTTTAGATTAGAGATGTGTTTTTTGTTTGTTTGTTTTGTTTTGTTTTTGAGACACAGTCTTGCTCTTGACACCCAGACTGGAGTGCAATGGCACCATCTTGGCTCACTGCAGCCTCCGCCTCCTGGGATCAAGCAATTATCCTGCCTCAGCCTCCTGAGTAGCTGGGATTACAGGCGCCCGCCTAATTTTTGTGTTTTTAGTAGAGACAGGGTTTCACCATGTTGGCCAGGCTGGTCTAGAACTCCTGACCTCATGATCTGTCCGCCTCAGCCTCCCAAAGTGCTGGGATTACAGGCGTGAGCCACTGTGCCCGGCTGAGATATGTATTTTGAAAAATATTAGTTGTAAGACTAGTGAAATTCATAGTTTCAGAGAATGTTTTCTCTTATTGGGAATATATACATGATTAATTAGTAGCAATCTTGTATTCATGGTTAGACAAGGATGTAGGCATTAGGTTAAACTGCCTCTAAACTATTATTTTCTAAGTATTTATTTAATTAAAAACATTTAAAACTGGGCCAGACATGGTGGCTCACACCTGTAATCCCAGCACTTTGGGAGGCCGAAGCGAGTGGATCACCTGAGGTCAGGAGTTTGAGACCAGCTTGGCCAACATGGTGAAACCCCTTCTTTGCTAAAAATACAAAAATTAGCCAGTTGTGATGATGCATGCCTGTAATCCCAGCTACTTGGGAGGCTGAGGCAGGAGAATCACTTGAACCCAGGAGGTGGTGGTGGCAGTAAGCCGAGATCACACCACTGCACTCCAGCCTGGGCGACAGAGCAAGACTCCATCTCAAAAAAAAAAAAAACAAAAAAAAAAAACAGTTAAAACTAATTACATTGCTATAAAACTGAGAACATGGTTAAATAAGTCTTAATAAAGTAAATAAAAATAGTAAGTTCTTGAACAATGAAAGCCATGTTTATTTTATATATTATTTTAGACAGCAAAAAACACTTATATTGAAATATTTGTTAAACTAATTGTTCTTGAAAGCCATTGTTTTATTCACAAAATCAGTGACATTTAAAGGGAAAAGTGATAAATATACTAGAAAGATATTAAATGCTTTAAAATCATTTTGAAGAATTTTATGAATTTTTAAAATTTTTAAATAGTACTATAAAATTAGCATATTGAATAAATAAAATACTAAAGCTAAAACGTGAAATATTTTCACCTTCTGAATTCTAGTTTTATGTTATATTGGACAGCTGTATTGCTGATGTTAACATGGTTTTGAAACTTTGTCATATGGAGTGTGAAGTAGCTTCCATCAGGTGTCACTAGTGTGTTTTAGAGGAAATGAACCATTGTGGTTTGGGTTTTAAAAAGAAATATTAGTGGGGTTTCTTGTGGTTTCAGTTTTTTACTTATTTTGAACTCAAGGATAGAGCTACCTCACTAAATATCTGAAGATCAAATGTCTGAGTTCATTCTATTTGATGATTGTCTTAAGCTACATCTGATTGCAAGAAACAGAAACCAACCCAAAGTAGCTCAGGTAAAAACAGTTTTACTGGAAATAAGATCCAGGGAGCCAGCTGGGTTGATGAGGGGAGCCGGATAGTTTTCTGGTCACTGTGTTTAATCCATGGAAGGTGCATAGCACAAAGTGCCTGGCCCATGGTAAATAGCCACTAGATGTGATGGTCTCAGCATCTCCCTCCAGGGCCTATGGCTTCCTCTGTGTACCTGCTCCTTCGTCCTGCTTTTCCTTGTAAATTGGTCTTCTGATCACTCTGCTCTTGGTCTTCTGATCACTCTGCTCTTCTATGTATTTTTAAGTGTCTTTTGGTTTCCAAAGTAATCTAGCTAAAGGTCTCACTTTCCCTCTCTGTCTGTACCTGCACCCCCCTGCCCCGCCCCACATACACATACAGAAATTTCTGGGAAAAGAAATCCAGCCCAATCTAAATCAGGTATGTTCCAATGGGACACTTCCTTCTAGACATGAACACAAGGAAGGAAGAGACAGTTTCTGTGGCCCACTAACCACAGGGCCATCAAGAAGCAGAGTGCCATACTCATAGAGCTCAGTGAAAAAGATGGCATGGTCCTCTCCCTCAAGGAGCTATCTAGTTTGGGAAATAAGATTAACATACATAAAGCAATAACAATCAATATTAAAGGACATAAAACCAAGTGCTAAATGTGCAGTTTAGACACTGTACCCTTAAAGATGGTGGAATAGTTGGGAGAAAACTTTGTACAAGAGGAACTAACTCACCTCTCTGTTGTTATTGCCCTCTGTTGTCTAATATTAACCTTTTACCGTGTTCAGAGGAGACTAATGAGGAAATGCTTCCCATTCTTGTCCTCTTCTACCTGTATCAGTTAGGGTAAGGGCTAAGCTGTTGTCCCAAAGAGACCCCAAAGTACAGTGCCTTAAATAAGATAGAAACTTATTTTTCTTTTACCTAATTGGGTAGTTCACACTATCTGAGTAGCTTTGCTTCACAAAGTCATTGAAGGGCCCAAGGTCCTTCTACTGTGTCCCACTGTCCTCTGAAGGATTGTCTTTGTTGCATAGTCAAAGCTAGGTTTCTGCCATGACAGTGTTTCAAGGCAAGTGGCTTATCTTCAAGCTAGAGATGACACAGAAATTGCATGCACACTTTTGCTCATATCTAATTAAGCCAAATTTAGTTACTTAGCCATACTCAGCTACAAGGGAAGCTGGGAAATGTAGTCACTAGCTGAGCAACTACGTGTCCAATTTAAGCTTAGTGTGATGGGTGGGGTTTCTGTACCTAAAAGGAAGCAGGGAAAGCACAGAAACCGAGAGATTGTTACTAGTCTCTCCTGTGCCCTCCTAGTCTTTCCCCACCTGTTTAAATCCTTCAGGACTCATCCCAGGTTTCATCTTCTCTATGTAGATTCCCTCCTGGCTCTCCCAGAACTCCCTTAGGACATATCAGCCTTCATTGTTCCACTTCTATTGTTATTTAGCCATGCCATGACTGAATATTATATATTATTTCCACAATAAAATGATAAGTTTACAAAGGGCTGCTCTAACCAACTGTATACTTTCATGGGTCTAGCACAGCAGTGAATACATAGTAAGTGCCCAATAAATATTTATTGGATTGAGAAGGCAGTTTAAGGTTTTGGATGGGTAAATGGGCAAATTCCAGATATGAGAAGCAACCTGTGAGAAAGCAGGAAGAGCAGACTGAGCATGGCTCACCTGCCTGTTTAATTAAATAGAAGGTCTGTGAGAATATCCAGAATTTATCTGAAAAGAGGTAGAGGAGGAAAGTAAAGAAGGAGGACTTCAAAGAGCAGAGAACACAATTTATTATAGGGCCACAAAAAACTTAATACTGATACAGAAATAGAAACACGGTTCAGTGGAACAGGAAGACTAGAAAGCCCAGATACAGATTTCAATGCACAAAAGAATTTAGTAATAATAAAAGTATGATCAGTATAGAAGGGATGGATTATTCAATAAATGATTAATTAACCATTCAAGGGAAAAATAAATGAACAGTTATATCTTTACCTTATGCCACATAATAAAATAAATTGCAGATAGATTATAAAATTTTAACTTAAAACAGGAAACCCTTAAAGATTCACAAAAAGATGTAAATATCTGACTTCGCATAGAAACTAGTTCATGGATTTGCTTAGTAAAATCTAAAACATTTGCTGACAAAGTGGAAGCATTATAAATAACATTAAAAGGGAAATCACAAAACAGGTAAAAATATTTGCAACATATGACAAAAGAATAGTATTCTTCATATGTAAAAAGTGCCTACAAAATAATAGGAAAAAACAATAGAATAGTATGTCCAATAGAATAATGGACAGAGGTAGTCTGCAAATAGGTAATAAACAAGGAAAACTGTTCATACACACCAGCTATCAAGGAAATGCAAACTGTAACCACAACAAGATAATTATTTACTTAATAAAATAGGCTAAGCTTTTAAACAGTTATCATGCCAGTGCTGTGATTGGGTAAGGCAATGGGCAAATATGGCTGGCTGAGTACACATGGGCAGCATCTTCCTGCAGAGTGGTTTGGCCACAGTTGTCAGAAGCTTTGTACACCTAGGGATTTATCCTGAGGAAATAGCTGTGAAATACATGAATTTGTATGGCTCGTACATCCCATTGTACACCTAGGCACTTATCCTGAGGAAGGAGCCGTGAATATTTAGAAATATTGACCTGGAACATCACGGTCTAGAGAAGAGAAAAATTGGTGATAATGAAAATTTCTAAAAATGAGACATTACATAAGTAAGTTATGAAATACTCTAAATCAAGTACTTAGGGAAAAATAAAACAACAACTTAAGGCTTATCTCTGGTATTTAGAAGTATGAATGACTTTCTTCTTTGGACTTTTCTGAAATTTTCCAATTGTCCTCAGTGAATTTGTATTATGTTTATAATCCAGTACAATGTTACATAAAGTTTTAAAAGATTGAAAAGAAAAGCAGTTATTTGAAAGCAAGCTATGGTTTAGTGAGCAATAAAATTGGTTAGGAAGGATGGAGTCAAATTTTAAGGGACCTTGAAAGTCAGGCACATTATAGGAAATGTGAAGTCATTTACAGTCTCCACACGCACCCCTTATTCCATGTTACTCAGTATATAATACAAGGAAGGGTAGCATTGTAAACAAATGGAATCCCATGGCACTATTACTTAGCTCAGTAATAAAAGCTGTTTTGACCAAGAGTCTGGATATGCAGCTCCTTTTTATTTAAGAGAGAGCATGTGCCTGTTTACAAACTATGAGCAGTTACTAGAATAAATATCAAAGTGTACAGTTACACAAACTAGTTTTTTATTTTTCAGCAAGCCTTCAGATTTGAACTTTAGTTTTTATATGTTAGCTATTCCACTTCTCATGGCTGTTTTATGTGTCTATAAGATAGGGACGTTTGGTTGGATGTGTTGTGATTTCAGCATTCTATGGCAGAAGGTGTCTGTCCTTGTGGCTATACTGTCCTTGAGTTCCTGGAGATGAGAGCCAGTTCTGACACACTGAGTGAATGAGGCACATGAACATTGCTGGGCTCATCCTTAAATCTGTGTCACTGTTCTCTGCTTTTAGCGCCACCCAAGACTGTCAAACCCCCTGAGGATCAACTGAAGTCGGAGAACCTCGAGGTGTCCAGTTCCTTCAACTACAGTGTGCTGCAGCATCTTGGCCAGTTTCCACCCCTTATGCCTAACAAGCAGATCGCGGAGTCGGCCAATAGCAGTAGCCCCCAGAGCTCTGCGGGGGGCAAGCCCGCCATGTCCTATGCCAGCGCTCTGCGGGCCCCTCCAAAGCCCAGGCCCCCTCCTGAGCAGGCCAAGAAGAGTAGCGACCCTCTGTCTCTCTTCCAGGAACTGAGCCTAGGGAGCTCATCTGGCAGCAATGGCTTTTACTCATATTTTAAATAATCACTTTTTTTTTCCCTCAAGGGAGAATGTTTTAATTTCTGTTTGTATCAGTAGAATTAAGGTAGTTGGACTTCATCTATAGATGCACAGTTCCCTTTGTTTTAATATTAAATATGTTCTCACTTAATTGCTTTGCTGCTAGACTTGCAACTAATTTTTTTAAAGTATATTCCATTATTTTGCATTTTTGATGTGTCAAAACTTTGACAGCTTTTATGTAGAATAAAAAAATTTTTAAATTTGTGTATTGTTACATATGTTTGCATCAAGCTAGCAGCCAAGAGGTTAATTGTGCAACTATAAAAAAAAAAAAAAAAAGAAAAGTTTGTCTAAAATGTATTTAAAAAGAAAAAAAAATTGTAAGTAGCATTTACATTTATTCAATAATATTACCACATGCTGGGTTTCTGTACCAGAAATGGCCAGTTGATGTACAAATGTATGTTATTTTTGCTTAAATTCATTTAAATTTTTTTTAAAATAAAGGGGCAGCATCTTCTAAATAAGTTTTATCAGCTTTTTTTTTTTTTTTGGTGACACGATGCTGCATTCTAAAACTTTTATAGTTTTAGACTATGTATGATGTGTTGTTGTAATCTCCATCCACCATAGGATAGAGTTAAAGGCATTCTTTGCAGGCATATTTTGTATGCCACTGTTTTTTGAAATGTGAAAAAAACGTTGGCATACTTAGTTATTTTTTGGACAAGCTACACTTCAAGCTTGTTTTTAATGTTAATTTGATAGTGTGTGTTTTTTTTTTTAAACAAATCAAGAAGCTGAAAAATTTTTAGGATTGTTGGTGCTTAGTAGACTTGATAACTATTTTAAAAATGCGTGAATTTAGTAAAATTCTTTTTTTCTCACTATGCATGTGTAAATGTTTGTAACCTGGCTTCCCTCTTCTCCAGTGGTATAAAGAATTGTGCCGCTTTAAGGTTTGGGTTTTTTTCTCTCCAGTAAAAATTTTGGTACCTTATTTGATGTTTACATTAAAATGTGACATTATACGTGGCAATTCAAATATTTTGCTAGCTGTCTTGTTTGAGGAACACCATTAAAGAAGAAATATAATGTTTGTCAAAAATGTATCAAAATTCATCAGAATCTGGGGCAGAAAACTACCCTTGTTTTTCATGTCTTTCAATTCTTCTAAAATACCCCTTATTGAACTTGTACACAATATAAAATTTAAATAGCCATCTTAAATATTCTACCATCTAAAAATTGCTTTGAATGAATTTTGGTAAAATCCAAAGGAAGATGTTTACCCTCTTGAAACTTATGGTCTTGTCACACATTTAAAGCAATATATGTCCTTATTTTCCTGACCTTGTAATACTACTTTTATATTTCAGAGGTATCTCGAAACTACAATATAAACTTTTAAAAAAAAATAAGATGAGGCTGGGGAACCTTTCGAATGAACCCAATCTTCCTGATGATCCATTCAAAAACAGGTTTTTGGAAGACCACTTTCGATAGGCAATCCTATAATCAAAGTACATTTTTAAAATCAGGTTGTAAAATGGCAAAGGTAAAGAAAAATTACTGACATTTCTTCTATGATTGGAGTTTAGTTTATGTTGGCCAGCTACAACCCCTTTTAATCCTCAGACAGTTTGGGATAAAAGAGTGCCTTTGGTTAATGGTTAGCAAGCTCCAGGATAAGCGCTGCGTGCCTCTTGTATTCAGCTCTACCTTTCTGCTAAGAGTGCGGTTCATTTGTGTGTGGCTTTGCGTTCCAGGCTGTGGGTCTCTGTGTAAGGTGGCAGACATAGACTTGTAAACTGCAGACGTGTTAATGGTTAGCATAAATCACAGCTGGAAAACTGAGCCGGCAAGTTACAGCACCACTCTTTCTCTGTATGATGTCAGATCACCACATTTAGCAATGTCAAATTTTACTCAACATTCTTTAGTAGGAAGAAAAGAAGAAAAAGTTTTGCCACGTAGCTATGTGCTTTTAAGTCTGTGACAAAACTCAAGACATATCCGAATGAAAATTAGATCTCTCTGATGTGAGGATGTTATGGAAAATAATTTTCCCATCAGTGATTATCCACCCCCCAGCCCCCATATACAGGACTACAACGCAAGCTAGATAAATGTTCAAAAGCAATCTGATAATATGAAGACAGAATTGTCAAGTCAGGGCTTTCAGTTGACCCCTTGTCATGAGGTTATTGCCTAATTTTCTGTTTTCTATACTTGAATCTTTAAAAAATATCAGTTTTTAAATTATTTATATTTATATTTAGTTAAGGGTCATGGGGTCGTGTATGCACCCCATCACCTTATATAAATATGTTGATGATGGAAGCTTTGGATAAGGAAGCTATTAAGTTGTCATGACATCCTTGTTCTAAGCAGTTATTTCTAAAAACTAAAAATAATAGCTACTTATTGGCCCACCGCTCTGCTGTGAGTATATGAGTACTTCTCATTCCTTATTTCCATAGCCAGTCAAGGATTCTAACGCTGCTTCCATCTGATACTCTTCTTAGATTCTGCATCAAATGCTTATTTTGACTTACAACAAGCTTACTCTTCCTCAGCATTACATAATGCCATCTTTCCAACCATGCTTTAAAGAACCTGCTCTTTACGCATAGTATCTTATAACATTTTGAACACGTCTTGTGTAAGAATCATTGCAAGTTTCCATCAAAATGAGGCGTGTCTTCTGAGTACAGCTGATGTTCTTTGGGTATTACTTGAGTAGTAGTAGCAAGTACCCATAAATCAGATTTATGAAACATAACTTATATGCTAGGTTCAACCCTTATATATGCATATATATGTATAGTATATGTATATAAAATTTTTTTCCAGAAAACTTGATGATAGCTCTCAGATAATACCAAGTATTACCAGCTTCCATTTCTTCAGAGCAGATTTTTTTCTAAGTGAGGTTAATTGTTCACATAATGTCTTTTTACATCTTTGTCCTTTGTATCACTCTGAAGTTTTCTTTTTCTTGCCAGAATATTTGTTTCACTTTTTAATTTCAGTGCTACTTGAGATTTTCTTTTTTTTTAACCTGAAAGACGATATTTTGGATGATAGAGTTTGTAAAGTGAGCCTTCATGCTGAAAAAATTCTTTTCATGATCTAAAAATGGTCTTTTGTTACGATTTGAAGAACCTCATTCCGTGTAACATGGATATTTTCTTGTGTGTCTTTAAAGGGGGTTTTGGTTGTCATTTGGGCATATGCTTTGCCAAATTGTTATAGCAGAACTTTGTTTTTGATTAATCAGTAGTTAATTATTGACCATTTAAACTAACATGACCTTAATTTTCCTTTCCTCACACAGATGTGCTTTCTATCCAGGTCATTTTTTACACGTGAAATAACAAACTGCTTTGTGTAGATTTTTTTTTTTTTTAAATCATCAGATTTTAGAATAAGTTTAGGTTTAATGTAAACATCAACTGGTCTTTTCAGTTCAGAGAACTGCAGAATAAGTAAAATAAGCAGAATTCCCACTGAATAAGCATTACCTAATTAAACATAGCAACATCTAAGACCAATTTATGAAAATACTCTCCTTTTTTATGGAGGCATTGGAGCTGCTGAGAAAGCTAATGAATTTCCCAACTTTGGGATAATTAATATATAGTATTGTGTTGCTCTAGTGTAGTTGATTTTATGTGTTTAATATTTTTCATGTCAAGAGCAAAGCTGCAGACGTAAAAGATGTTTCTCTAGCCCCCTTAGCTAGAGCGAGCCACCTTTGTTAAGAGTCAGGGTGTGAAGAACAATTTCAAGATAAATTTTAGTATTTCAACCATTGTTATTAAGAAAATTAGACTTACTGAAATACTCATTTAAAAACAGACACCTTCTATAGCATTGTTTTATAGTGGAGTTATTTTTAAAAAGGGAATCCCAGAAAGAATCTATAAAAATACAAGGTTAAAACTTTAAATGTATTGAAAGATACAAATTGGTGCTTTCAAATGTCATGTAAGCTAGCCATTGTGTTTTTTTTTTTCCCTCCAGCTCCTCAATGGTAGTAATTTGTCTTTTATGATTTACCGTACATTATTTCTTGCTCACCATCCCCTTAACATATGAAAATCCTTAATTTCTACTGCCGCGCTATATGTCTTCCTGAATCTCAAGGTATAAATGTCTTAATGGATCTGATTTGTCTCCACTCTTTGCCATCTGATCCACATTCAAACCGCCTAGAAATTAGAAAGAATAGGTAATGTTCTATCTACGATTTCTTGTTCAAAATATCACGTAGTGGTGCCAATCACTTACAAAGACACCATCTCCATCTTGAAAGAGTAACTGGCATGTTAGTCTTGAAAATGCTCATTATGATATGCTCCTCACATTTCCCATCTGCTTGAGGATGGACATTTATTAGCTGAGACTTTAAAGCTGCTAAATTCACACTTTCTACTTTCATACCTTTTTAATCAGTAATGTCAAGACCATTGTTGCAAGGAGTGAATCTTACTAAACACATCCTGTTATTACTTTAAACTAGAATATGAGATTCAAGAGATTTAAAAACAATTTTAATGTAACGTTTAAAATTTTTGAACCAATTGAGAATGTCTACTTTGGAGTGAAGTTTAAGGAAACAGTCACCAGAGTTTCTAAAAATTTTTTGGAGGGAGGTACCTAATAGAAGAATCTAGACTTAGAAATGTGAACTGTGGTTAAATACCAAACCCAGTTCCGCAGTGGTCGTCTAAAGCGTCTAAAACTGGAGTGTTAAGAAAACCCAGAGACATTCATATAGTTTCAGTTATCAGAGTATTAGACCAGACTTTATTTGCAATTTGTTCAACAGAGAGATTTTATTTTGATACAGATATTAAGCATAAAGCATAGTAAGTTTTATATAATTCTATGAGTTCATTAAACAATATTATGAAATTTTCATTATGTTCGTGGGGAGTCTTTTTAACTGTTTCTACCTCATATATGAGGTCTCTTCTGTATTTTACTTTGCATACTAGCATGTGATTGCCTGCCTTAGAACTATGTAGAGGAGGGGAAATCGATATTACCTTTTAAGAAATTTTTGATTTTATGAAGTGTTTTCATTAATACTTTTTTAATGTTTGAGAAGTAAAGGGGAAAGGGTGGCAAATTACATAGGTTGCAACACAGAGTAGAAGTCACATAGTACTATTTACAGATCTGTCCTGTTTTAAGATTTGAGAATTGTGAACAGGATGGAGCAATGGTTCTCAAACTTCAGCCAGTATCAGAATTGCCTCGAGGTCTTGTTAAAATTCAGATAGCTGGACCCACCCCCAGCATTTCTGATTTTGGTCTGGAGCCTGATGATTTGCATTTCCAACAAGTTTCCAGGCGATGCTGATGCTGCCAGTCCAGGAACCACACTTTGAAAATCACTGGGTCTGATTCTCGCAGTTTGAAAGTCTCAGAGACCTTCAGAGTCTGAACGTCTTTTCAACCATGTATTTATTTACTCAGTGTAAAAAACTGATCTCTGGAGACATTTTTATAAATCTGGTGCCATGACTGGAACATTTGTGGAGAAAGGTCTCCATGGAGCGACAGGCCCTTTGGATTGGCCACCACCCCTCCTCACTCTCACCCCTGCTGGGGTCTGCACTGCTCTTCCGCAGTAGGGTGAAGGAGCTCTTTGGTTTTAGGGTGAGTTTGCTTTTGTGTACGCTGCTGCCTGGACATCAGTCTGGAAGCTGTGCATTTGTTTGGTGTGCTTAGGGTCAATCTTGATCCACATGCATGGAAGTGAGAATCCTGGAAAGAAGCCATCAGAATGCCATGAGAGTGCACCTAGCATGTATCGAGGCACTAAGTGCAGGAGTCCCTGTCCTAAGATGGCAGTGACATGGAGCATCGAAAACCACAGATAATCCTTAAATAATAAAATAATAGTTTTGTTTTTTTTTCTTCGGGGCAGAGTCTCGCTCTGTTGCCCTGGCTGGAGTACAGTGGCATGATCTCGGCTCACTGCAACCTCCGCCTCCCGGCTTCAAGTGATTCTCCTGCCTCAGCCTCCCAAGTAGTTGGGACTACAGGCATGCGCCACCACGCCCAGCTAATTTTTGTATTTTTTAGTAGAGACGGGGTTTCACCGTGTTGGCCAGGATGGTCTCCATCTCTTGACCTCATGATCTGCCCGCCTCGGGCTCCCAAAGTGTTGGGATTACAGGCATGAGCCACTGCGCCTGGCAAATGTTTTAGTTTTTATGGTTATTATTATTTTTTTTTTTTGTGGGGGAGGGTGGTGAGGGCAAAGGATTTGTTTTTCAAATTATGTGTTTCTCAGGTTAACAAAGTTATTTTAGATTCTCTGCCATGCCAGCAGGTGTTAGAGAGAGCCTGAAGTGTTACATATGGCAGAAAATAAATGTCTCTGATTACTTTGCTACCTTTAAAAAAATCTATATGTGTTTGCAAAACAGCCTAGGGGGATCTACCACCTACACAGCATGAATTATTCATAAGTCATAGGTGCACATGTATGAGCAAGTTATTTTTGAGAAAGAAACTGCCTATAATATAATAAACCTGTCAGGTCTTTGGGTATTGTTTAATTTGTGTGTTGTTGCTGTTTTATCTGGACTGCATCTTGGGGGGTACTGGGCTCTGCTTCTGGTTTTTAGTTTGCCTTTGAATTTACTGAGCTACTAGAAAGACAAAAAAAAGCTATTTTTATGGTAATAGAATACAGAATGACTTAGGTGTAAAAGTACACGTGAAGACCATCGTAGAATATACAGCTTTGGAGTTTTCTTAAGACACAGTCCTTCCTACTGAAAAGGCTTGCTCACCTTTGGAGAGGATTGTTTATATTTTCAGCCTGGGTTCCTTTATGCAGTCCCAACTTAGAGGGGAGCTTCGGTTTATTTACACTTTGCTTTGCACGATAACTTGTATGCGAAGACCTCTTTATATCTTTCAGTAGGTCAGAGGGCTCTTTGTCCTGGTTGAAGTCCCAAAGTGTCAGTGCAGCTGAGAATGTTTCTCAGCCTCCCCCTTTACAGAGGAAGGGTCCTGGATTTTCATAAATCCAGACCATGCCTGCTTCCTATAAATCCATGTATATGACATTGTACTGTATCTGATTTCTGTGCCAGTCATCTGACCTGATTCTTTAAACCCCATAAAGGTACTGGCTATATGTAGTAGTTGTATCCTAGGTAAATATGGTGATTAAAATACTTCTCTTCTAAATTATAAAGATAATGAGTTTTGCATTTTATTAAAGGGTCCTGTTATTAGTGACACAGGATTTTTTTTTAATGCTTCATACATATAGTTCTTATCTAAACTTGTTCAGCTAACTTCATAGATCAGTTACTTAGCAAATTCATACTGAGTCTTATTTTGGGAAGTCTTCCTGAGGGAAGCTGTACAAAACTGAGGTGGTCAGGTTCATCTCTTCAAAGTACCAGTTATACAGCCATCTAAATAGGCATAACTTATGGCAAAATTATAACAATTTTTTTTCTTTGCAGTAAATGATACCTCATCTAAGAGGCTCTAATACCTAAAGAGTTTATCCTTAAAAGTAAAAGTGACTTTGTACCATAAAATAACCCCAAAGCCACTCTCTAGGGTTTTTATTTTCTTCTTTCTTTGTCTTTATCTTTTCTAACTTAGTTTTGGAATTACGTTAGCTACTTTGGTTCCATAGAACAAGTTTTCAACTTGGGGTCTACAGTTCCTACAGTGTGCTCATTGTCTCAGTGAAGTTCTTTTGTTTTCAAAGATTCATGGTAACAAAATGTATTTTACTGCTACAACTAAAATGTATTTATAATAAAATGCCTTTTTAATAATTTGGAGATGTGTTTATTATGTGTGAACTATAATTCTCTGCTTCCTTCTGCCCTTAAGGTCAAAGGTCTGACTGAAGTTAAGCACAGCCCTTTGATTTTATTCCTAATAGTAAATGGTAAAACGAATGTAACTGAGAACTCAGTGTGAATTTGTAAAGTTCTAACTCTACTTTCCAGACATTTGTGACTTGGCTTAAATCCCCTAACTTCAGCAGTAATGCTTTTAAGACTTAAACGTGTTACCTGAAAGTTTAAAGATCTCCAGTGGTCAGTGAGAAAATAAGCCCTTTTCAAACAGTCATTCAACAAATATCTTACAAATTTAAGAAAATTATCCTGAATTACTCTTAACAAGTCACTTAGTTGTTAATGCGGCCCAGAATTTATTTGAGAACTCATAAACCTAGTTTGTAGTGATATATTATGTAGGTATAATCATGCACTTCACAGTAATGCGTGCCAAACATTAATTCAACAATCCAAAAAAAAAAAAAAATGCTGGTTGTGCAGAAAATTGCCCTGAGTCAAGGTCTTGTTTTTCTTGGGGAAATAATTCTTTGCATCTGCCATGATGTGATTTTGAGAAGCATTAGCAGGTCACAGAAGGCTTTGTGTGCCCTGGCTATTTTATTTTTAACATCCTATTAATGTGGCACCATAAATCTAGCTTGAATGTACTGTGCTTCAAGTTTGTAAATGTAAGTAGATGGGACGGTCAGCCTTTCCTAAGGACAATGTACCATTTGTACTCATTGCGGTGAATCCATTTTAAGCTAGGTATCTCGCTTTGAGATGATTTGATATGACAATCAAATCTGGACTTAAGAAATAAAAACTTCTCTCCATATAAATCAAATGGATTTGGGGGACTCCTTGAGCTGTTCCCTGCTCTAGATGAAATAACCCCAAGGCTCCACTGTCACTGGGAAAATGCAGATGTGACTGCCGCAGGTGTTAGCCCTATGCCATATTGATGCTATTTGAAGCATTTTTCTGAGAATGGTATTGGTATGAAAGTTCGTGTGAAAATGTAATTGATAAAACAATCACTTCCTTTCATCAAAACTGCAAGATGGGAAATTCGATGTGGAGTGCAGGTCAAGTATGAAGAGCAAAAGCTGGTTAGCAGAAGCAGTGCTGGCATCCCAGCCGTTTTTAAACTGGAGCATCCAGATATTCCTGTGGTTAGCTCTGAACAGCCAAAGAGCACTTAGTCTGAAATTGACTCTGCTGCTCGAGTTACATAGTATTGTCCTAACAAATCAATTCCCTAATGGGTGGAAATCCTCTTAAGATTTGAAGAGCCCTGTGTTGATTGCATTGCCTCACTTTCAGTTCATGCTACCAACTGCAGCCATTTCCCTTTCTGAAATAGACTGTACCACTCTTTTGCTGAAAAGCCTTCAGTGGCTCTCCATCACATCCTACATTTTTTAGCTGGATTTCGAGGCACCCAAGGCATGTTCCTGAGCATTGCACATACCAGGTTGTAGCAGATCAGTCACCGTCACTTTCTGAACAAACCCTTGATCTTCCGGCCTCTCAATTTTGTTTGGAGCATGCCCATCAGCTCTCAGACTCCCACTCCTCAGGGATACTGATTAGTCGAGACCCAATGTCACCTCCCACACTACCCAGGTGGAATTAGCCCTTTTGTCTCTGTGCTTGCAATTAAGCTTTATATCTCCCTTATCACCATTTTTGTGTTATAGTTGGGAGTCTAAGAGCTCTTGGGAAGCAGAGATAATGTCCTCAGACCTCTAAACCACCAGCACCAGCTCTGTGCCTGTTATATGGCAGGCTTTCGATGAACGCTTGCTGAACTGGATCTGGGGGTTTGATCGAGAGAAGAGCTTAAAGATGCTCTCCCCTCCCCGTTGACATTATTTGCCTGACATTCTTTGCCCACACAGTGTGGCCTTATGACAACACTTGGCAGGAGAGTGATGGCTTGGGATGAAGGAGGAGTAAGCTGTCTTGTCCGGTGTTGTCTCTGCCCATTCCACATGGTTCTCCGAGCAGTGACAAAGCGTTAGCATTCATGAGTATTTTCTGTCTTGCCTGGTATCACTGTTAGAACCCTTCACCTGACAGCTTCACCATGGTTATGTCAGTTTTGATGGATGCTGCCTACTTTAGCACATTCTGGTCTGTAGGCATATACCTGCCATGCAGTGTTCTGGGAATGTGATGAAATTCCCCCTTTGTCTGAAGCTCTGGTTGATTTGAAATCCACAAGGGAAGGTAATTAAATTGAATAGAAGCTGCAGCTTGCAAAACCTATGGTATTATCCCACTCTTAGCTCATTAAAACTGCTGCTCTGCAAATTGATTTGAACCTTTGTTTCAGGAAATTGTGCTGCAATTCCCTGAGAACAAAGTGGTGCTGGCGAGGTGATCTGGAGGAGCCAGTGAAGGACTCTGAAGGTAGGCATGGCCAGCTGGACACTCGGCTCACATGCTATGCTCCCCTGCACACGGAGCCGTGGGAGGATGGAGTTTTGATGTCATTTGCTCCCAGATTGAACAGAAACACTGATGACAAGCCATTTTGGATGTAGGAGGGGAGTGCCTGAAAGTTTTGGAGACCTTGCAAAGGAAACTCGGAAATGTTCCAATTAGTCTTCTGAGTTTTGTTTCCTTTATAGGCAAAAGATACACGGGAGCCTAAATGGAAGGTCCGGAAGTCACAGCAGTAGGTGGCCTTGTCTTCATGCCTGGTCCCCAAACCCACCTGCTGGTTAAGTCTTCCATCTGTTTAGAATTCAGGGATGTGCGTGATTTTCCAAAGCTAAACAGACGTGGGTGCTCTAGGCTCCTTTTCTTAGACGAAGTTTTGCAGATTCAATCCTCTTAGACTTAGAACCAGGTTTAAAGCAAGTTGTATAACTTGGGACAAAATTAACAGAAGATGATTGGGAGATGGGTGAGGGAATAGGCTTCATCTTGACGAATCAAGTCTCAGTGTGGCTGTCGAGGACCACAGACAATTCCTGCTGGGCTGGCTCAGCTAACAGAGTGGAAGGTCAACTTTTTTGGAAAAAAATAAACTGTGATCTAGTGTAATTATACTTCTAGAAATCTTATTATTTATTTATTTTTTTTTTGGAGATGGAGTATTACTCTGTCGCCTAGGCTGGAGTGCAGTGGCACGATCTCGGCTCACTACAACCTCCGCCTCCTGGGTTCAAGCAATTCTCCTGCCTCAGCCTTCCGAGTGCGCCTCAGCAGGTGCACGCTGCCACGCCTGGCTAATTTTTTGTATTTTAGTAGAGACAGGGTTTCACCGTGTTGCCCAGGCTGGTCTCGAACTCCTGAGCTCAGGCAATCTGCCTGCCTCAGCCTCCCAAAGTGCTAGGATTATAGATGTGAGCCACTGCACCTTGCCTGAAATCTCTCTGTTCTTAAAGGCTGTCAGCTGATGTGTTCTAGCTCATAAAATCGTCTCATCTCAGAGATGTGCAGCTGTGGGCTCTGCTGTACCAAATACAGCTGGCTCAGTCACATTGATCTGACTTAAGCAAAACTCAGGGACAAGCCACTCTGGCTGCCAACACCTGAGGTCAGGGACCTGGATTGTGAATGAGCTCTTGTGTACTCTTTTCTTGCTTCTTGAAGTATTCTTATGGTGTGGATTCCCCCACGACCTTTTATTTTTTGTTTGTTTGTTTTTGTTTTGAGACAGGGTCTCACTCTGTCATCCAGGCTAGAGTTTAGTGGTGCAATTATAGCTCACTGCAGCCTCCACCTCCCGGGCTGAAGCAATCCTCCCACCTCAGCCTCCTGAGTAGCTGGGACCAAAGGTGTGTACCACCATGCCTGGCTATTTTTTTTGTTGTTGTTGTTTTTGGTAGAGATGGAGTCCTGCTATGTTACCCAGGCTAGTCTTGAACTCCTGGGATCAAGTGATCCTCTTGCCTTGGCTTCCCAAAGTGCTGGGATGACAGGCGTGAGCCATGCATCCAGCGCCGATTCTTTTTTGTAGCATCATTGCATGCGTCCCTCCTGCCCATTCCCTCTCTGACAGCACTTTAGTTCATGAGCTTATTCACTGCATTAGCATGTCCTGAGGCCACCGTGTGCTGCTGTGCAGAGGATTTGGCAAAAGGATTGTGGGGAGGGGGTGATTCTAGCTGGCAGGATGATTCTGCAGAAAATACAGGCCTTACTTTCAAAGAATTTATAATCAACAAAGCATGTGGCCCAATGAGCTATACTACAATGAGGTAAGTATTAGAAATATGAACAAAGTGTCAAATAGGAGAGAAGCATGAATTTTGCCCTGAGGAGATGGAGAACATCTCACCTTATAATGTCTGAGCTGGGCCCTGCAGAACAAGTAGGGTAGAGAGTGCCAGGCCACATGCCCCTTCTATGCTTCCAAGGAACCCTCCTGAGGCTGGGCGCGGTGGCTCACCCCTGTAATCCCAGCACTTTGGGAGGCCAAGGCGGGAGGATCACGAGGTCAAGAGATCGAGACCAGCCTGGCCAACATGGTGAAACCCTGTATCTACTAAAAATACAAAAATTAGCTAGGCGTGGTGGCACGTGCCTGTAATCTCAGCTACTCGGGAGGCTGAGGCAGGAGAATCGCTTGAACCCGGGAGATGGAGGTTGCAGTGAGCCGAGATCGCATCAGTGCACTCCAGCCTGGCGATAGAGCGATACTCCGTCTCCAAAACAACAACAACAACAAAAAGGAACCCTCCCTGTCGACAAAAAGAGTCAAACTCTGTAAAATATTTGAAGAGATTTATTCTGAGCCAAATTTGAGTGACCATGGCCCATGACACAGCCCTCAGGAGGTCCTGAGAACAGGTACCCAATGTGGTCGGTGTGCAGCTTGATTTTATATATTTTACAGAGGCATGATACATCAATCAAATACATTTAAGATATACATCTGTTTAATTCAGAAAGGCAGGGCAACTCAAAGTGGGGGCTTCCAGGCTATAGGTAAATTTAAATATTTTCTGGTTGACAATTGGTTGAGTTTATCTGAAGACCTGGGATTAATGGAAAGGAATCTTCAGGTTAAGATAAAGGATTGTGGGGACCAAGTTTTACTGTGCAGAGGAATCTCTTGGATAACAGACTTCAGAGAGAGAGCAGATTGTAAAATGTTTCTTTTTTTTTTTTTTGAAACGGAGTCTTGCTCTGTCACCCAGGCTGGAGTGCAGTGGCATGATCTCGGCTCACAGCAATCTCTGCCTCCCAGGTTCAAGCAATTCTCGTGCCTCAGCCTCCGGAGTAGCTGGGATTACTGACGTGTGCCACCACACCTGGCTAATTTTTGTATTTTTAGTAGAAATGGGGTTTCACCGTGTTGGCCAGGCTGGTCTTAAACTCCTGACCTCAGGTGATCCGCCCACTTCCGCCTCCCAAAGTGCTGGGATTACAGGCGTGAGCCACTGCAGCTGGTCTAAAATGTTTCTTATCAGACCTAAAAGGGTGCCTGGCTCTTAGTTGATTATCTCCTGGATCTGGAAAGAAAGGAAGGAAAACAAAGGGGGAAATGGATTCTCTATAGAATGTGGATTTTTCCCACAAGAGACTTTGCAGGGTAATTTCGAGGTATGGCAAGGAAATACATTTTGGGGTTAAATATTTTTTTCCTTGTCTCATAATGTTATGCCAGTCAGATTGAAAAGTAAGTCACAATATATAGGGTCAAATAGAACCCATCCGATGAGGATTATGATTTGTAGGGCATGACTCCTTAGACCCCTTAGGTAGGAATTTGAGCAAGATAGAAAAATAGAGCTTAGTCCTCATCTCAAATCTCATAGGACTTTACTTTTTATTTTTTATTTTTATTTTAATTTTTGAGATGGACTTTCGCTCTTGTTGCCCAGGCTGGACTACAGTGGCACCATCTTGGCTCACTGCAACCTCTGCCTGCTGGGTTCAAGCGATTCTCCTGCCTCAGCCTCCCGAGTAGCTGACAGGCACCCGCCATCACGCCTGGCTAACTTTTTGTATTTTTAGTAGAGATGGGGTTTCAGCATGTTGGCCAGGCTGGTCTCGAACTCCTGACCTCAGGTGATCCACCCGCCTTGGCCTTCCAAAGTGCTGGGATTACAGGAGTGAGCCACCTCACGTAACCCAGCACTTTACTTTAAAATCATCTGCCATTGAACTCTGAGTTCCTGAAGGACAGGACTGTAATTTATTCCTTGTTTTATTCTAGTTTAGCACAGTGCCTAGCCTGGCACGCAATGTTGATCATCAGCATGGTAGACAGAACAGTGGTCCTCCCCAAACGTCCCCATCCGAATCCTCAGAACCTCTGCGTGGATGTCCACTTCCTAACCTGTGAGACCTGCTTCTTTATATGGAAAAAGGGACTTGGCAGGTGTGCTTAAGTGAAGGATTTGTGTTTTTTTTTTTTTTGAGACTGAGTCTTGCTCTGTCGCCCAGGCTGGAGTGCAGTGGCATGATTTTGGCTCACTGCGAGCTCCGCCTCCCGGGTTCACGCCATTCTCCTGCCTCAGCCTCCCGAGTAGCTGGGACTACAGGCGCCCGCCACCACGCCTGGCTAATTTTTTTGTATTTTTAGTAGAGATGGGGTTTCACCGTGTTGGCCAGGATGGTCTCGATCTCCTGACCTCGTGATCCACCCGCCTCAGCCTCCCAAAGTGCTGGGATTACAGGTGTGAGCCACCGCGCCCGGCCTAAGTGAAGGATTTGAGGTGAAGAGATTCTCCTGGATCTTCTGAGCAGGCCCAGTGTAGTAATCACAGGGGCCCTTCTAAGAGGTAGGCAGGAGAATCAAAGTAAAGAGACAGAGACGCCATGATGGAAGCAGAGATTGGAGTGACGCAGCCACAAACCAAGGAGCGCCATCTAACTCCAGAAACAGGAAAAGCAAGGCGATCAATTCTCACCTGAAGCTTCCAGAAGGAACTATCCCCGCAGACACCTTGATTTTTGCCTCATAAGACTCATTTCAGACTTCTGATCTCCAGAACTAGCAGAATAAGTTTGTGTTATTTTAAGCCACTACATTTCCGTTATTTGCTACAGCATCCATGGAAAGTGAATATACTCAGTAAGCATGTGTTTGTTTAAGTGAAGGAGGCCCTGTGTGGGAGGGATGTCAGCTGGCTTGGAATGTTTGAGAGACAGTGTTCTCCAGAGCAGTCAGTGCTCACCAGTGACAGCGAGAGGGTCAGAGAGCCCTTAGGCAGTGACAGAAAGAACGAAAATGAGGAGATGGATTTGGGAGTCATTTCAGAAGCAGAATCTGCGAGACTTGGCTTAGTGAGCACGATAGGAGTCCAAGAAATGACAGCAACTTCTGGCTTGGGGGCATAGGTACATAGGGTGCCCATCAAAGTGAGGGAACAAAAAAGGCAGAGTCGGTTTGGTTAAGAAAAGTCATGGGTTGGGGCCAGGCTCAGTGGCTCATGCCTATAATCCTAGCACTTTGGGAGGCGGAGGTGGGTGGATCACCTGAGGTCAGGAGTTCGAGACCAGCCTGGCCAACATGCTGAAACCCCATCTCTACTTAAAAAAAAAAAAAAAGTCAGCCAGGCATGGTGGCGGGCACCTGTAATCCTAGCTACTTGGGAGGCTGAGGCAGGAGAATCACGAACCCAGGAGGCAGAGGTTGCAATGAGCTGAGACGGAGCCATTGCACTCCAGCCTGAGCAACATGAGTGAAACTGCCTCAAAAAAAAGAAAAAAAAAAAAAGCCATGGGTTAGGTTTGGACTTAGGCACGTGGGGTGGCCTGGAACCTCCGGAGAACAAAGTTTCTGCAGAAAGCAAGGCAACACACCGGGTCTGATACCTGAATGAGAGATTGGCAGGGGCTTATGATGGTCACAGGTAACCGATGTCCTGGAGATGAATGGGATTTCCTAGAAATTGTGATGTGAGATGAGACCTGGCAGAAAACACCAAAGTTTAAAGGGCAGGTGGTAGAAGCACAAACATTGGACAACGGAAATATTCGGGGGAAAATTTGGAGAATTTTTTGAAGGAAGCAGAGGTCAAAAGTACAAGGCTGGGCACGGTGGCTCACACCTATAATCCCAGCACTTTGGGAGGCCGAGGTGGATCACTTGAGGTCAGGAGTTCCAGACCAGCCTGGCTAACATAGTGAAACCCCGTCTCTACAAAAAGTACAAAAACTAGCCGGGTGTGGTGGTGCGTGCCTGTAGTCACAGCTACTTGGGAGGCTGAGGCAGAATTGCTTGAGCCCAGGAGGCGGAGATTGCAATGAGCCGAGATTGCGCCATTGCACTCCAGCCTGGGCGACAGAACAAGACTCTGTCTCTAATAATAATAATAATAATAATAATAATAATAATAATAATGTAGCAGTAAGGTAGGGCTAGCTGTGTATGAAAGTCATATCCCCTAAATGACGAAAATTTCCAAAAAGTCCAGGCTTTCACATTTAGGCAAAAATTCTTGTCAGAAGCAAAGCCAAAAGAATAGAAAGTATCGCTGCTTGTAATGGCAATGACCTTAATTAACTTTCTCCAATGTGCAGGATCAATGCCTTGTGTGGGGATTAATTTATGGCCTCAGTGGTTGCAATTGAGTGAGACTGAGAAATGAAGGCTTGGGGAAGCCAGGGGCAGCTGCATCCCAGCCTGAATACCAATCATTGGTTTAATAGATATGTTCCACATCATAGGTTTATTAATACCTTGTCTCCACTTCTAATCATTTCTGAAAGTGGGCAGGGTATAAATTAGAAATGGATTTGTAAATAAAATATTTGGTCAAAATGGAACAAGTCACACTGGCAGGGGAAATATTGCGATAGGCTGTGATTAAAATCCGTCTTTACCGGCACAGCCAGAAAAAAAAAATAGAGGTACACAGAGATCCTTGAAATTTTCAGTTTAAGGAGGAACTAAGCACCAAGCCACTGGAGCAGGTCCTACCGTGTGCTGGCCAGAGAGAGAGGGAGCCATCTCTTGGTTCTCCCAGGAACCTGGGCAGAGGCCAAGTGAGGATTGGTAAGGGCCCTCATCAGACAGGTGGGAAAACAGCAGCCTTGGTTCTAATTTAGGTTGGTGCAAACATAATTGCAGTTTTTGCCATTACTTTTTTTTTTTTTTTTTGAGATGGAGTCTTGCTCCATCACCCAGGCTGGAGTGCAGTGGCAGGATCTTGGCCCACTGCAACCTCCGCCTCACAGGTTCCAGCGAGTCTCCTGCCTCAGCCTCTGAAGTAGTTGGGATTACAGGTGCCCACCACCTCGCCTGGCTGTTTTTTTTTTTTTTTTTGTATTTTTAGTAGAGACAGGATTTCACCATGTTGGCCAGGCTGGTCTTGAACTCCAGACCGCAAGTGATCCACCCGCCTCTGCCTCCCAAAGTGCTGGGATTACAGGCATGAGCCACCACATCTGCCCAGTTTTTGCCATTCCTCTCAATGGCAAAAACTGCAATTACGTTTGCACCTACTTAATAGTTTTGATATGGTGTTAATTGTGGAGATTTTGCATTAATTTTAATTTTTTAAAAATGTCCCAGTCAGTGCATCCAAAACAACCAAAAGCAGGGCCTGAAGCAGAGCATGAACCCGTGTTGATAGCAGCAGTAAATCACAAGAGCCAAGAGTTGGAAACAACCCAGCGTCCATCAGTGGATGAGTGGATAAACAAAATATGGGAATACGTAGAGTGGGATATTGCTGAGCCTGAAAAAGGAAGGGAGTTCTGATACCTGGTACCGTGCAAATGAACCTTAAAGGCATTAGCAGTCGAGGGAAATGAGCCCGTCACAAAAGGACCAATACTCCATGATTCCGCTGATCCCGAGGTACCTAGAGGAGTCAAACTCCCAGAGACAGAAAGTGGAAGAGTGGCTGTGGGAAGGAGAGGACGCAGAGTTAGTGCTTGTGAGTTTCAGTTTGGGATGACGAAGAGTTCTGGAGATGCACGGTGTTCAGAGTTGCACAACAATGCGAGTGTATTTAACGTGATTGAACTCTACACGAAAATGTGATTAAGATGGTAATTTTACGTTATGTGTATTTTACCACAGTTCTTAAAAAATCACACTTAAGTCTGGATCTTGATGAACTAGTTGCTGGTCCTGCCTCTGCTGCCTTCTTTGCCTCACGGAAGATGATGGATGTAAAAACGCTGAGAAAGCCTGGGCAACATGGCGAAACCCTGTCTCTAAAAAAAAATTGCAGAAATTAGCCGGGTGTGGTGGCACGTGCCTGTGGTCCCAGCCACTCGGGAGGCTGAGACAGGAGGATCGCTTGAGCCCAGGAGGTCAAGGCTGCAGTGAGCTGAAGTCGCACCACTGCACTCCAGCCTGGGCAGCAAGTAAGACTCTGTCTCAATAATAATAATAATAAAATTAATAAAAAAACAAAAAACGCTGAGAAATTGCAAGTGTGACAGGACATCAAGGTGTGCTGTGGGTCAAAGTCACATAGTTCCAGGAGGCGAGGTGGTCGGATCACCCGAGGTCAGGAGTTCGAGACCAGCCTGGCCAACATGGCGAAACCCCGTCTCTACTAAAAGTACAAAAATTAGCCAGGTGTGGTGGTGGGCGCCTGTAGTCCCAGCTACTCAGGAGGCTGAGGCAGAAGAATCGCTTGAATCTGGGAGGCGGAGGTTGCAGTGAGCTGAGATCATGCCACTGCACTCCAGCCTGGGCAACAGAGCAAGACTCTGTCTCAAAAAAAAAAAACAAAAAAACACACAGTTCCCACAGCAAGGAATGAGAAGCCAGTAGCTTCTGAGGCCAACCAAGGCTTCAGGGCAGATGGCACTGTTTGTTCTGTGGTTGGGCTCTGGGTGGCCTTCAGAGCAGGGCCTGCATGGACCCTGAAGTGAGGCCTTCAGTCCCTGGCAAAGCCAACCATTTTCCCCTGTGGACATCCTTCTGGCAAGCAGCATTTGGCGGGTGGGGAGTAAGACGTTTTCCCTCATTGGTTTGGTCAACTTTATTTTGCTTTGCTGCGTTGCCTCTTTCTGGGGCAGATGCCAGGATGTGTGGCTCTCTGGCGGCCAGCCTCCAACCCTTTGGTTTGTATCGCAGTTCTGGCTGTGCTGAAGTATATCTTGGAAGAGTTAAAAGCCTGGGAAGCCGAATGTATTCTGTTTGGTGGATATTCCATTCAGATGTGTTTTGGGGGGACCGACCCATAGGCATCCATGGGGAAGTAGAAAATGCATGCCAAGGCCCCGGGCATGGTGGCTCACGCCTGTAATCCCAGCACTCTGGGAGGCTGAGGCAGGTGGATCACCTGAGGTCAGGAGTTCGAGACCATCCTGGCCAACATGGTGAAACCCCGTCTCTACCAAAAATAAATTAGCTGGGTGTGGTGGCCGGCACTTGTAATCCCAGCTACTCGGGAGGCTAAGGCAGGAGCATTGCTTGAACCCGGGAGGCGGAGGTTGCAGTGAGCTGAGATCACACCACTGCACTCCAGCCTGGGTGACAGAGCAAGACACCATCTAAAGAAAAAAAAAAAAAAAGAAAAAAGAAAAGAAAAGAAAAAATGCATGCCAGTCTGATTCTGCTAAAAGTAAAAATAGTAATAAAAGAATAATATTGGAGCCAGGCATGGTGGCTCACACCTGTAATCCCAGCTACTCCAGAGACTGAGGCAGGAGGACATCTGGAGCCCAGAAGTTTGAGGCCAGCCTGGGCAGCATAGCAAGACTCCGATCTGTTAAAAAAAAAAAAAAAAAAAGGCTGGGTGTGGTGGCTCATGCCCGTAATCCCAGCAATTTGGGAGGCCAAGGCTAGCGGATCGCTTGAGCCCAGGAGTTAGAGACCAGCCTGGGCAACATATCAAAACCCTGTCTCAACAAAAAACAAAAAAAAATTAGCTGGGTGTGGTCTGCGCACGCTTGCAGTCCCTACTACTTGGGAGGCTGAGGTAGGAGGATCACTTGAGCCCAGGAACTCGAGGCTATAGTGAGCTGTGATTGTGCCACTGTACTCCAGCCTGGGCACTGTACTCCAACGTGAGACCCTGTCTCAAAAAAGAAAAAAAGAAAAACACCAATAATATCAACCTCCAAAATGGTTATCAATGGGATGAAGTTATCGCTCTTCCTTCTTACTCATAAATCATGGCCCCAGCTCCCTGGCTGGCCAGGACAGTCATCTTCTGATTCTCCTTTACCTGGAGCAAGTTTGTTTCCTGGCTGGATCTTTGCGTCTTTGAGTGAGTCTCCTCTGACACCCCTCCTAGCCCAGCCCACACCCCCGAGATACCGCAGGCGAACTGAAATAATGAACTTCCCCTCAGCTTTTAGATGGGACCAGTAAGAGGTTGATATGGGGGCTGATGGTTGTAGTTTTCCTCCAGAACAGGCGTAATCACACATTTTTCATACAGGGTCAGATAGTAAATATTTTCAGCATTGCGGGATGGAAGATCTCTGTTGAAACTACTCAATGGTGACGAAAGCAGCCATAGAATGGGCGTGGCTTGGTGTTAATCTAACTTTATTTACAGACATTGAGATGTGAATTTCTTATCATTTTCATGTGTCATGAGATATTCTTCTTCTTTTTATCTGTAAATTATTTTATTTTTATTTTTTATAGAGATGGAGTCTTGCTGTGTTGCCCAGGGTGGTCTCAAACTCCTGGCCTCAAACAATCTTCTTGCCTCAGCCTTCCAAATTACTGAAATTACAGGTGTGAGCCGTGATGCCCAGTTCCTTGATTGTTTTGGGGGTTTTTTTGTTTTGTTTTGTTTTTTGAGATGGAGTCTCACTCTGTCGCCCAGGCTGGAGTGCAATGGCGTGATCTCGGCTCATTGCAACCTCTGCCTCCCGGGTTCAAGCAGTTCTCCTGCCTCAGCCTGCCGAGTAGCTGGGATTACAGGCACATGCCACCATGCCCGGCTAATTTTTTGTGTTTTTAATAGAGATGGGGTTTCATCATCTTGCCCAGGCTAGTCTTGAACTCCTGACCTTGTGATCCACCTATGTTGGCCTCCCAAAGTGTTGGGATTACAGGCGTGAGCCACCACGCTTGGCCTTTTTTAAAAAAAAAAAATTTTATTTATTTTTTTAACAATTTAAAACTGTAAAAACTACCTTTTGCTTGTGGGCCATACAGCAAGAGGGGGCAGGCCAGGTGTGGCCTATGGGCCATAGTTTGCCAAACCCTGCCCTAGAAGCGTGAACTCCAGTGGGTTCTCCGGGGTGCAAGGCAAGGATCCCATCTGCCGATCATGTCTGAACTCCACTTTGGAAGCCTGGGCAAGTACTGCGGGGTTTTGGAAGGCAGAAGAGTGCAAATCATGGCTCTCCATGTGGCCCTAAGTGTCTAACTGCTAAGCCCTGCTTCCTGATGTTCTTCACAAGAAAAATCCAACATCAGAAATCAGACACTGGCTGGCTGCTTTAGCGCTGTGTTGGCACCAGGTGCGTTGCATGCCAGGCTCTAGAAATAACCCCTCCTATTTTTAACACCCTTGCTTCATCAGAGGGTTTCTAGTTTCTCCCGAAAACAATCTCAGGGCCTAGAGATACGAGTTGGAATTCAGAGCCTCTAAGCCACGTGCGTTGCCCTCTTGTCCCCACAAAAGACCTCAACATACCCGGGTGACCGGCCTTTCCTTCTCATTCGGCGTCAGGGGAGCCCCTGATGTGACTGGGAATCCGAGCGATTTCTATGCAAGGCTCCAGGAAAGCATGAGTTTTCTGAGAGCTTTTTATTTCAAGCCACAGTCAGATTCTACCCAGTTAAAAATGCTTCCCAGGGCTCCTGGAAGCCAAGGAGGGGACGCTGGGCTCACCAGAGAGGGTGTGTTTTATCACCGAGAAAGAGACAGGCTGGCTATTTACACGGAACACCCAGCTGGCAAACACAGGTTGTCCCTGCAATGTTCATAAAGGACAACTGGAGGCAGCTTATCAGAGGCTGGTACAGTGGGGACACCTCTGAGCTCCAGGGGAAGTTGGGCCCCTGCAAACACCTGTCCACCTGCTGGCTCTGCCTCCCCCAACTGTGGCCAGGTTAGGACTCACGTCTTGCTCTATTCCCAGGGGAGCCTGCGGCAGCCCAGAGGAACTCAGAGAGAGGAAGCAGCCTGCGACTGTTGCAGGGGGGCAGATGGGAGCAGGGTGGGGCTAAAATTGCTCCCGCCTCCTCTCTGGAAGGTTCCAGGCCAAGACCCCGCTTCCTGGGGAAGAAGCCTGAGGGTCGCTAGGGCCGCAGGAGGGTTAGTGCTCGGGCTCAGCATCCATGCAGGACTCCCATGGGTTCCGGGGCATTCGAGGCAGGGAGAACAGCAGGAGGGCGAGACCGCCGAGAAAGAGGAGGATGAAGGCGGCACAGGCGCAGGCAAAGGACCAGGAGTAATAGTACTCGATCCAGACGGTGTCCTCACTGTCAATCATGCGCTTCACCGACTGCCGCATGACCTCCACCGAGACGAGGATGCAGAGACCTGGGGGCAGAGCCAGGCATGCTCAGGGACCGAGGGGCGTCTGCCGTAGCCACCAGCCCCATCCCAGCCTGTGTGCATGGAGGAGGCGGTGACCTTGCCTTGGGGGAAAAGCTGCCTCAAGGCAGGTTCTAGATGGGAACCTGCAGAAGGATCCATTTGTCCACCCACCACCCTATTCCTGCATCCCTCAGAAGGGCAACCATGTGGCCAGGTGTGGTGGCTCACACCTGTAATCCCAGCACTTTGGGAGGCTGAGGCAGGAGGATCGCTTGAGGCCAGGAGTTTGAGACCAGCCTGGCAACATAGTGATGAGCCCTCCGTCTCTACAAAAAATTAAAATACAATGAAAAATTAGCCAGGTGTGGTGGTGCACGTCTGTAGTCCCAGCTACTAGGAGGCTGGGGCGGGAGGAACCCTTGAACCCAGGAGTTCGAGGCTGCAGTGAGCTGTGATTGTGCCACTGCACTCCAGCCTGGATGACAGAGCGAGACCCTCTTCCTCATCCCCCAAGAAAAAGAAAGAAAGGTGACCACGTTTCTTTCCTTCTTTTGTTAATCATTCTCTGGGCAGTTTCTTTGGGGCCTTGAGGGTTGAGTCGTGGAGAGGAATGGACAAACCGCCAAGCTCTGTCTCCCTCCAACCCACCTGGAGTCGCTGATGGCCTGGCCAGGTTTGCCCCTGGATGGGGATGGAGCCTGGGAAATGCCCCTCACCCAAATCTCGCGGTGGGCATGAGGGTGGAGCGGAGAATCCCCCGCGACATGGTCCCCCGGCCCCGGCGCTCAGGCAGATCCCCCAGTCTACCTGCAAAGGCATAGAACATGGACGCGGGTCGCAGCAGATAGTCCCTCTTCTTCCCGAGGGACAGGAGGACACAGAGGCTGCCCAGGATGATGAAGCCAAGGCTGAAGATGGCGATGGCGGCTGCCGAGATGCTGTACTCTGCAAACACAAGGGACACCCAGCATGCGGCCTCAGCATGGGAGCTCTTGTCATGGCTCGTTAGGGACCACACCATGCACCACAGTGTGTGTGTCAGTGTCTGTGTGTGTCATTGTGTGTGTGTCAAGTGTGTGTCTCTGTGTCTGTCTTGTGTGTGTCATTGTATGTGTGTATCTGTGTGTGTGTCAGTGTCTGTGTGTGTCATTGTGTGTCATGCATATGTGTCAGTGTGTGTCTCTGTGTCTGTCATTGTACGTGTGTGTCAGTGTGTGTCTCTGTGTCTGTGTCATTGTACGTGTGTGTCAGTGTGTGTCTGTGTGTGTCACTGTGTGTCATTTTGTGTGTCATCATGCATGTGTATCAGTGTGTGTCTGTGTCACTGTGTGTCATTTTGTGTGTCATCATGCGTGTGTGTCAGTGTCTCTGTGCGTCTGTGTCTTGTGTGTGTCGTGTGTGTGTATCTGTGTTGTGTGTGTCTGTGTGTGTCAGTGTGTGTCTGTGTGTCTGCCCACTCACCCTGTGTGCAGCTGTCTGGGCGCAGGCAGGCACGGGTCTGTACTCCCGACAATGGGTGTGCGTCTGAGCTCTGCGGATCCTGAAAAGCTCCCAGAGCCCACCGCACCCTCCTGGTACTCAGGGAGGGATTTCTAGGCCAGGGAGGGACTCAGACTGTCCCTGCAGACTCTAACTATCACATGCCACCAAGAGCCACCACGGGGCTTCTGAGCATTTGTTCCACATCCACACCTCCCGTCACAACAGCTGCCCTTGTGTAGGGGCCTACCAGGAGGTGCTGCTTCTGCAAACGCTCCCTGGCCCCGAGGTGTGGAAGCTCCGGGCCCTGGAGATGGAAGGCGGCTGCCTGGGGCCTCCGGAGCGGGGAGCTGACAAGGCTGTTGTTCAAATGCACCACAGGCTTCTTCTCATCAGGCGTGAGGAAGTCAGTGCTTTTGCCAATGACTTTCTGGCCCAGTGGTGCACAACACAGAAGTCCCCTCTTGTCACCCCAGACCCCTTTCCACCCAGGCTCACCCTTCTGAGTGGTGAATTCGAAGATCTCCGAGCTCTCGCCGGGGTTAAAATGCCTGAAGTAGGAACAGTTCTTCTCTGCAAAGGAGGAGACAGACTGTGAGTTGAGGGGAGCAACCCGTAGCAAGGACAGAGGCCTGGCAGAGAGCGTGGTGTCATTCTGCTCGGCATGCAGGGGGCTCTGGCAGCCTCTCTTCTCCCCAGATCCTTAATCTGGGCTGAAACATCTGTCTTTGACCCTTAGAACAACATCTCAGTGGGATAATGAGGTTGCCTGCAGGGCTGGGAGGTCTTCAGGGAGCTGAGGCTGGATGAGTCTGCAGGGCAGACGGCCTGTGGGTTCTGCACCCCATTAGGCAGACAGGGTAACCGAGGCCCAGGCTCAAGCCATTTTTCAGGGTGTGCAGGGTGCACAATCAACAAAGAACCAAACAGCAGTCTCTGTTGGGGCCGATTCTGCCCCCCCAGGGGACACTTGGCGATGCCTGGGGTTATGGTGGTGGTGAGAGGGGTACACCTGGCACCCAGCCGGTAGAGGCCACAGACGTTGCTGAACATCCCAAGACACACAGGACAGGTCCTCCCAACATGGAATGATCCAGGCCAAAATATCAAGAGTGTCAAGGTTGAGAAACCCTGGATCAACCCCAAACCTGGGACTGTGTTTCTCATCAGAATCCAGGCACACCCTGGTTCATTGGTGGGACCTGGGAAACAGTGTTTTTCAAAAGCTTTCTGGGAGAGCCTGATGTGCAGCCAGGATGGGAACCCTGCTCCAGGCCCCTTAAAATGCCCTGCAAAGGGCTTTTTCCGAGTGGCCATTGGGATGGCCTGGATGCAGATGGAACCCCTACGAGGGCTGAATGTGACCATCATGTGGTTTCACTGGGTCCCTGGTCTTTGCGAGACAGCCCAGATGAGACCTGCCCCCACAAAGCCGCTTGGCCCACCTGATAATTGTCATAAAAGCTATGGAAAGTCTGTGGGCAGTAGGAACGCAAATCTGAATTTGATGAGGGAGAGGGGAGGGGCTCAGCACAAGGAAATTCATGCTGATTTAAAATATAATTTCATTTCCATTTTTCTCTTTCAGTCTCTCTCTCATAGCTAGGTATACTATAAAATCAAAGCACAGGCCGGGCGTGGTGGCTCACACCTGTAATCCCAGCACTTTAGAAGGCTGAGGCAGGAGAATTGCTTCAACCCAGGAGGCAGAGGTTGCAGTGAGCTGAGGTCGTGTCACTGCACTCCAGCCTGGGTGACAGAGTGGGACTCTGTCTCAAAAAAAAAAAAAGCACAGTCTTATTTCTTGCTAAATACGGTTTATCTTCTTTGCTCTTGATTTAGGAAGTGGATGAATGGGTTATTTTATATTATGTTTCCTTCCAAAACTAAATTAGTTTGCTTTTTATTTGTGGAGGCCCTTCATTGATTTCTTTTCCTGTGGATCAGTGACCCTTAAATAGAAAAACATCTCTTTCTCTAGTTGAGATGGTGTCTAGTTTGCCAATTCATTTCTTCACTTCCAGGCTTCATTTAGATGCTCATAAGGCGGTTGATGCCTAGTTCTTTCTGGAAATGTACCTGCAGTGATACCAAGGCTTTTCTTTGGGATGAAGACTTTCTTTAACCGGACCTAAATCATTCTTCTTGCACCTTAAGCCTGTGGTCTCATACCATGCCCCTCCTTCCCCCCAGAGCCAGGGCTGCTGCCTCTCCTGAGGTTGAGGAAGCAAATGACCCCTGGAGATGGGATCTGGTTTAGCAGCAGTACCCATTCCTGGCATAAACAGCCTTCTCTGTGTGCTTCTATATTTAAATCACTTTCCTTTTGAACCGCGTTACCTGGGGTGTCTGACTGCTGGTGGTGATGTCAGAATTGGTGCTCTGCTATTCTCTCTGGGCATCCGGTGCTATTTTAAAGCATAATGCAGATCTCTTCTATTTGTTAGATTATTGGCTGTAGATCTCTCGAATCACTGCTTCAAAATGGCCCATGCTATGTCATAAGTCTCCATGTGTCTCCCTCTGGACAAAGAAACATTTCTGTTTCTGTTTCATTCTTGAAGGGCCAATTTCAGTTGTCAGAATTGACTGAATTCAAGTGTATTTCATGGTCAGCTGCCTCCCTGACTGCTCAAAAGCCATAAGTTAAAATCCTTCCCAGCGGAGGGCCCTGAGATGAGGGCCATGGAGTGCCTTGCTGGGGGCACAGCTGTTTGCACCTGGTGGGTTGCTGAGGTGACTCTCACACAGGTAGCATTTGGCTCACCAAATCCCCACCAGATAAACGCCAGGCTCCGCCTGGCTGCTGGCTGCTTGGATAGAAATGATCTTAACTCAGACACAGGGGTAGGCTACGTGTCTGCAGGAGCCAGGTTGTGAGCTTCTGGGGGGATGCTTTTCTTTTGGTGGTCCAGGTACAGTGTTCCTCCTCCCTCTTCTCCATTAAGTGTCCTCAAATGGAGGGAGGGGGCCTCCAGTGGGTAGGATTCCTTCTCAGGGTAACAGGAAGCCTCAGCTTCACTCTTACATGGCTGAACTGGGGGCCTGAGGACTGATGGGCTGACCTCTCCCCTTTCTTGGGCTTAGCATGTGAAAAAGACCGGTGTCTCCTGCCCTGAACCTGAGAGAAACATCCACTCCTGGGCTATGTGGCTGCCCATTGGAGACCATAAACCCTTTCATGGTCTCTAATGGCCCCTGTAGGGGTGGGGGCACGTCAGACCCAGGCCTCATTTAGGACAAATCAGGCCAGGCATCTGCCCATGTTACTCAAGAGGGTGCAGGGTCCTGTTCAGATGGACAGACCCTACTATGAGCCCCTTCCCTCCCTGCCCTGTTCCTGGGTCTAGGTGGATATTATTTGGGAAACTGAGCATCCAGGGCAACGTAAAGAGGAAGGACATCCGAGGTGGACCCATCTTAGTCATGGGTCAAGAGGAGAGGGACCGTGACGGTCCTGTGCAGACTCTCAGTCTTCCTGCCTCTGCCTCTGGGATGCCCCTCTCTGCCCCGCTGCCCTGGCTTCCATCACACTTACACAAAGCTCAGGGATTGCAGCTTTGCTTCCGACTAAGTCAGCAAAGATTCCAATGCCAGGATGATGATCTGGGGTGTTAGGAACTCTGAGGTCGTGCCATTCTCCTTTGTCTCTGCAGATGGCTTATGCTGATTTTAATCTCCTTATTTCTGTAAGACTCAGCGGTTTAAAAATATTAAATGGGTTATTTATTAAAAATATGGTGAACTCAGCTCTCAGACTTGACTGGGGGATGGAATAGTCTGGCTAACCCAGTGTTCTGGTTAAGGGCATCAGTAACTGTGCAGAACCATGTGTAGTGTGCCAGTTTCAAAGAATTAGAGCAGAAGCCACATTTAGCTCCAAGCTGAACTTGAGTTAATAGGGATCTTTCTTTGATAGTTGGAACAGCTGGCAGGATTAGTGGATGCCTTGGGTTATCACTGAGAATGTATCAGTGTGCCAAGTGACTGTCCATGGAGACTTTCATATATTCAAAGATACTTTGTGGATTTGTCCAAAACCAAAGAAACTGGTACTTTAGGGGTGCAAGGAAGCCTCTAACTTGCATTGATGTCAGTGTTGTTTTTAGCCTTTTGGTAAAAGAAGTTCTATCAGCTCCCAACAGTGGTTTCTCTGGGCTGTGTCTCCTTCCACATCTCTGATTGAAGAATTTTATAAAATGGGCTGGAAATCTCCAAGACCTGACCCTAGAGCTTCAGAGCACTGCTCTTCCATGGGAGAAGCCTGGCTTTGGCCTAGGCCTCTGGCATGGACTTCTGTGGGTGGTGAAGTGAGCCCATGAAATTCCTGGGGTCAGTAGTATCATGCTCTTTTATACAATCCCAGTTCCCGCACTGAGAGAAGATGGACCAGTAGGGAAAATGGGGCACTAGGCAAAGTGGGCCCTGGGGCAACCTGCCTCCTTGCCCTAAAGAGGCAGAGTCTGAAAGAAGCAGCACTTCACCCAGCCCAAGGGCAGGGGATGGCCTCTTTGCGGGTTCATTTGGACTTTCAGAACACATAGTCTCTCCTTTGGGAGAGGCTCCTACTCTCATTCTGGAGGCATTGGAATTGGTCTTGGATGTTGATCTTGTACATGGAAGTCCTTCTAAGACTGTTTGGAGTCTAAGACTGTCTAATTTGGAAAAATTAGACAACTCTTGCCCACTGAGCCTCCAACATTTTAAGACTAAGTGGGACCTTGAGAAGTCTGCTCCACTGCACCAGCTTCTGGTCCAGCTGCCCTCAAACTATGCCATGTCAAAAGCTGGACTCCTTGTGTTCACTTGGGTCAGAGCTTTTAGGAGCTGTGTTTTCATGCACAATAGAGGGTGTGAGAAGGAACTGGAGGGAAAGGAGGCTCTGGATTCAAGACTTGAGTGGAGAACCTCTATTTGTTAGCTGGTTAGCCTGGGGAAGGCTATGCTCAGCCTCCCTGTTCCTACCTGTAGAATGAGACCCACCTGTAGAATGAGAACCACCTGTAGAATAGGAACCACCTGTAGAATGAGAACCACCTGTAGAATGAGACCCACCTGTAGAATAAGAACCACCTGTAGAATAAGAACCCACTCACTGGGTTGTTGTAAAGTAGTTAATGTATTGACTAAAACGGTGAATGTTAGGGTCTGAGTGTGAGTCCTGGCTGCTCTGCTCATCACCTGTGTTACCTTGTCAAATATCTCAACTCTCAGTGGTTGATTTTCTTTATCTGTAAGATTGGGATGATGATAATAGCATGGCCTTCACGGAGGTTTCTGTGAGGATTAGGTGAGCTAATATATGTATGTCATCCCACCACCTTCTGGCCTCCATAGATTTGGGGAAAAATTGGCTGTTCATCTTATTAAGGATTCCTCATATGTGGTGAGTTGTTTCTTTCCGTTTTTAAGATTCTCTGTCTCTATCTTTCAACAGTTTGATTATCATGTGTCTAGATGTGGATCCCTTAGAGTTTATTCTACCTGGAGTTCATTAAGCTTCATAAATTTGTCGATTTTTAACGTTTTTCATCCAATTTGGGAAGCTTTTGGACATTATTTTTCACATACCTTTTTTGCTCCTTTCTCTCTTTCCCTCTCCTTCTGGGACTCCCTTTACATAAACTTGATGGTGTCCCATAAGTCTCCGAGGCTCTCGTCATTTTTCTTTATTCTTTTTATCTGTCTGTTCCTCAGACTGGCTAATCTCAACTGACTTATCTTAAAGGTCACTGATTCTTTTGCCTGCTCAGATATGCCATTGAGCCCCTCTAGTGAATTTCTCATTTTAGTTATTGTACTTTTCAACTCCAGAATTTCTATTTTGTCCTTAAAAATAATTTCTGTGTCTTAATTGATAGTTTCTATTTCATGAGGCATCATTTTCATCTTTAATTGTTTTGATTGTTTTTTCTTTGGATATATTTACTATAGCTGATTTAAAGTTTTTGTCTAGTAAGTCCAATATCTGGCTTCCTTACAGATCTATTGACTTCTCCCTGCCCCATGTATGCCCCTTATCATTTTAGTTCTTTGTGTGTCTTGTATTATTTATGTATGTATTTATTTATTTAGAGACAGAGTCTTGCTCTGTCACCCAGGCTGGAGTGCAGTGGCATGATCATAGTTCACTGTAGTCTCTAACTCCTGGGATCAAACAATTCCCTCACCTAAGCCTTGGGAGTAGCTAGAATTACAGGCACATGCCACCACTCCTGGATATTTTGTGGGGTTTTTTTTTTGTTTTTTTTTTTTTTTTTGGTAGGGACAGGGTCTTGCTATATTGCCCAGGTTGATCTCAAACCCCTGGCCTCAAGCAGTCCTCTCACTTGGCCTCCAAAAGTGCTGGGAATACAGGAGTGAGCCACCACACCCAGCCAGTATTTTTTAAACAATATAATGTGGCAACTCTGGAAATCAGTTGTTCCCCCTTCTTGAAGATTTGTTCCCGTTGTTTGTTTAGTGACTTTTTTGAACTAAGATGGTAAAGTATGTGTTTTTTGTCATGTGTGATCACTGAGATCCCTGTTCAATTAGCTTAGTGACCAATTATAAATTTCCTAAAACGCTTGGCAACAATGCCTCTCCCAGTCTTTACTGAGGGGCTCTGTGCATATGACTTTCATGCTCAGCTAAGCCACCCACATCTCTGCCTTAGCCTTCACTTCCTGCTTGAACAGAGTCTCAAGATAAGGCAGAGAGTGCTTAGGGCCTTCTCAGGTCTTTCCTGAGCATGCATATAGCATTGTGCATGCATGTGGCCTCCTAGATTCCCAGGAATATGTTGGAGCTTTTCAAAGCAACTTATGGACATTTCAGTCTCCAGTTTTTTGGTTAGCCTGTTGTTTTCCCTAACTGTTATCTACTGCCTCAGACAGCCATGATGTTAATCAATCATCTCTAATTATTTTCAACAAACATCCCCAGGGAGAAAGACTATTTGCACTGGATGAGCTCAGAGTCAGGTCAAACAGAAACAGCTTCTCAAGTGGGGGTTTTCAGGGAATCACCAGACAGGTCAAATAATGACAACTCTCTGGGAATGGGCCTTTGATCCAACCCCATTCTCTCCCCTCCAGAGGCTACTGGGATGCTGATTTTCACTGTGATTACGGAATGTTGGTTTGCAAGGTTACCACAGAGCTGGGAAAGGGAAACAGGAATAAGGCAAGTTAAAACACCACAGAACTCACTGGTCCTCCTGAGATTCACCCATTTTTCTTGCTGGATTGCTGCAAGACTTTGGTTAATTTCCAGAGTTCTGAAAATGTTGATTCTGACCATTTCTGCCAGCCTTCTCATTACTATTATGGAGAAGATTATTTTTGGAGGTTCTTTTTCTATCATTTTTTTTCCTGATGTCTTTCAAAGTTAATATATGTAAAGCGTTTACAACAATATTTGGCACACAGGGCTACATGTATGTGCCATTATTATTATTGTTGTTAATAATAGATGACGGGCCACATATGAACCCACTTCCTCCCTCCAGAGAAGAGTGGTCCCAGGGAGCACAAGAAGGGCAGATGGGGAAGGAGAAAGATGTCCATTTGCAGAGAAAAGAGAGGGAAAAAGGCAGGAACATATTTTGGAAGATTACTGGGGGAAAGGTAGTGCTCAGTGTCACAAGTGTGGGAGGTGTGGTTCATAGCTGGTTAGGCTAAGAAGGCAAAGAGGTAGATCCTGTCAGGCTCAAGGCCAAGCAATGCCTGTTGGCCCCCTGCAATTGGTCCAGTCACCTCTCACCAGCCTGTCTCTTCCTTGTGTGGATTCTGCTCACTGCCCAGTCTTCTGCTCTGACTTTAAAAGGCAGATGGTTCCAAGGACGGGTGAACAGGACTGTAACAGCACGTCCCCATGTGTGGTCCCTGAAGAAGCTGCCTTGCCCTGCCCTGCCCTGCCCTGCCCTGCCCAGGGGAGTTGGCTGGAGGCTGTTCCTGTTTATGGGTGTGCTCAGCAGTGGCCAAGGGGCATGGGCATCCGGGCTATGCGATACCCTGCAAGCACATGGCCACACCTGTCACTCTCAGCCCTGGGACTTGGTGTTTCTACAACAGCTGGGCACTTATGAGTCTTCTGGGCCTCCAGTGGGGCTGAACAAGGGAGGGGATCTCTGGAGCAAGCAGGAGGGAAGGAAGAGGGAGCAGAGACAAGGGAGGATGGGGTCTGTGCTCTTTGCCTCACAAGCAGACTGCAAGATCTTTGGGGACTTAGCCCTAGTGTCCTTGAAGGACAGGTTTCAAGGAACACCTAGTCTGATAAAAGAGGAAATAATCCTGAAAACCAGGTGGGACATCACACTGACATCACTCTGCTCCACTGCCACTGTGGATGGGCGTCTGTAAGCCGAGGAAGGGATCTCACGTTGCTGAGAGTCAGTCCCATATTTTATAGAGGAAGAAGCAGAGGCTGAGATGAGCTTTGTCCTCCCTGGATGGTCATTTGAGGGTAGTGGGCAATGGCGATTAGATCCCTGGCTGCCTGGTCTCCATGAGCACTCTTTCCTCTAAAGTGCTGTATTTGCTAAGAATCCAGAAGCCTCTGCATTTGCAGAATAGAGGCTAGTCACGCGACTACCAGGTACTCCTGAAAAGGACCTTACCTTCAACGTGTGGTTCGGTCACACGGTAGGAAATCGAGGAATACGCTTAAATTACAGGGTGAGGAAATGCTTTGTAACTCTGACAGGGTCTGAGCTAAGACAGGATGCATAGAGGACTGAAGTCCTGACAAAAGGACAGGTGGAGGTCGGGCATGGTGGCTCACGTCTGTAATCCCAGCACTCTGGGAGGCCAAGGCAGGTGGATCACCTGAGGTCAGGAGTTCGAGACCAGCCTGACCAACATGGTGAAACCCCGTCTCTACTGAAAGTACAAAAATTAGATGGGTGTGGTGGTGCATGCCTGTAATCCCAGCTACTGGGGAAGCTGAGGCAGGAGAATCGCTTGAGTCCAGGAGGCAGAAGTTGCAGGGAGCCAAGATCATGCCACTGCACTCCAGCCTGAGCGACAAAGTTGTCTCAAAAAAAAAAAAAAAAAAAAAAAGAAGGTGGGGGCAGGTGGCTCACCTACAGCCTACAGCCATGTCCTGCTTCACAGACATTCAACCTGTGCAGCTGCTCCAGGCCCAGAGCCCACAAGGGCCCATGTGTGGTTTCATGTGCTGCTGTCACTGCCTTGAAATCCTTGGTAATTTGGAGCAAGGAACCCTGCATTTTCATTCTGCACAGGACCCTGCAAATTCCATCGCCTATGCTCTCTCCTCTCCTGCCTTGAGGCCAGGAACAAACCTGCCAGCCCCATGGGTCCCCCTAGCCTGAGGACACAGAGCCACCTAGCTTTTCTTTGCAGGGAGAGAGTGAGCAGGTGGGGCCCAGAAGTCCCTGGGCTGGTAGAGCTGCAGTTCCTTTCTTGAGCCTGCCCAGCTCTCTGCTCTGGGCAAAAAGCCCCAAGGTCCAGCCAGACAGAAATAGCTGGGACAAACGCCCTCGTCTTACAACCCAGCCCCAGCCACCAGCACCACACATGCAATTCATATCTTCTTCCCTGGGCAGAAAAGGCTGGGCGGCTGCCCTATTTCTAGGCAGAGAAACCTGCCTTCCTTCGCAAGGGCAACTTTGCCAGGGGGATGACGGGGAAGAGCAGGAGGTGGGGATCGGGACGGAGGGTGGGTACGTTACCCCCGGGCAGGGTGATGGGCCCGCAGGTCTTGCTGTCGTCCATGGGGATGCGCTTGGTACAAATCCGCCAGAGGCCGAAGTGGGCCGCCTCGCAGGTAGTGTTGTGGTGCTCCATGTGGGGGCTCAGCACAGCCCAGTGGTCGGTTACCACGGCTGTCATGGCCAGCACGATGCCTGCCAGGATGCAGAAGAGGGTCACGCGGACCTTCAGCATTTTGGTCTGGGACATGGTGGTCGCCGAGGCGTGGGTGCCCTGGGCAGGGTCCGGCGGCTGCGTCTCCTAGGGCAGGTGACAAGCCGAGCTTGGGGGGTGGCAGTGGTTGTCGAGCTGGGAGTGGCCACTAAGTTTAGTGTGCCTGGCTGAGCCAGAGTGGGCTGGCCTTGGGGCCGAGGGACGCGGGACGTGCTGAGCAGCTGCCCAGACGCGTCAGGGGCCTGAGGGAGGCTGCTATTAATGCCCATCTCCAGGCGTGGCACCGAGGACAGCTTCTGCTCGGGTTTCAGGGTTTTCTGCCCCTCTGGGAGCCAGAAATACCCCAGTGCGGCGGGGCAGGGTGGCAAGGAGAGAAGGCTCTGGATGGTAGATTGAGGCCTCTGTGAGTAGCAGCTCAGGGTGCCTGAGTTGGGAGAGGGCGAGAGGTGGGCAGCAGGGCCCCGGGGGTGGGGATCTGCCTGCTCTGGGCTGATGGGAAAGGGCAGCCCAGGCCAGGGGAGGAGACCAGGAGCTGCGGGCTGCACGGCTGTCCCGGGCTCCCACGGGGTAAGCCTGTTACCGGCAGGGCAGTGAGTAGGTTCTCATCCTGGGATCTGAGGGGCTAGGATTCTGTCTAATGACATCCCGGGAACCCAGTCCAGGGCCTGTGGAGTCCACCTCTTAGGCAAGCGTTTTAGCCACAAACCCCACGGCATCCCCCAAACCATAGGAAGGTTTTAGGTGGTTCCCAGGTCTGGCCTTACCCAACTCTGATCCCTCCACGAGAACATTACTTCCTTTTCAATTCTCTTTCCATCCCCAAAACTGGGTCCAGAGCAAAGCTCTGTTCGAGGTCAGTGTCATTATTGCCTGTAAAGTGTCCTTTGAAACAAAGCGAGAACGGCCCGAAGAGGACGAGGAATCCTGCTGGACTTGGTCATTCTGTTTTTCAGGGCACTGTTTGGTTTTGCCTTCTATTAACAGCAGGTGATAACGACTTTCCAGTTATGTTTGAATTTGAAAAATAAGTGTGTGAGTAAAAAAGAATGAATAGGTTGATTTATAGGGGATCATTAGGAGCTCATGGGCGTGCAGAGAACACAGAAAGCCCGGGATCGACCACCCTCCGACGGTCCTGTGCACCCGCCTGGCCCCCAGGCTGGTCTCCGAGGCTCCAGCCTCTACATCTCTCCTGGGTTGTGTCATCTCTTCCTTCTCGGCTCACAGGGTGGCCCTTTTTGGGTGTAGCCGAGAGGCTGACGCATGACCAGGAATAGCCTCCTGAGCTGGGTGGGGCCTTGAGCTTCAAAATCCTGGCCTCAGATTGACACGATTTACAGAGACTCTGCCCATGTGGACAGAAATGTTTCGGCCTCCAGCCTTAGAATCACAGAAAGTTCATGATGATGATAATCAGAACAGTGGCTCATCTTCAGTGAGTGCTTACTATCTACCAGGTACCCTGCTAAGCCTTCATCCATTGTCACAGTTACTCTTCACACCAATCCACAAGGGGACTACAACGGTTACTGCCATTTCACAGACAAGGACATGGAAGCTCAGAGACATGAAGTCACTTGTCCAAGGTCACACAGCGAGAAAATGAGGAATCCAGGTTTCAGGACCCAGAGCCCAAAGTCATAACGAATGGTTGGAACTGGGAAGAAACTTCATGATCTATTGTGACAGATTAGGAATCTGCAGCCCAGAGAGGAGATGTGAGGAGCCAGGACTACCTGGTGAACAGCCCCAGGGCTGAGCTGAACCCTCGCATCTCCAGCCACTGGCTTGTGCTTATTGCAGTTCCATCCAAACTTCCATATTTTTAAAATCAGTCTCTCATACATATTACAATCTCCTGAGAGCTTATCTCCCCACTGTTCTCATCTCTGCTTCCCTTCCTCCCTGTCCCCCCACCTCTGTGTTCCCTGTGGGTGCTAATCCATCACAACTGACTGATCACTGACTGACTGTTGACATATGCCACCGCCCCTGCTTCAGCTCGTGGAGAAACTGCCTGTCACCAGGTGGGTAGACCATCTCCATGGGGAATTCCCAGAAGCTGGGACATGGCTGCAGCCTCTGAGCCCTCTCTTGTTGTTTGTGGGGGCCCAGCTTCAGGATCCTGGCACCTGGGGATCTCAGGAGGTGCTGTACAGCTTGATTAGACCTACTGAGTGCCAGGCACCCAGCAAAGCAGTAGCTGGGGAGCCAGAAGAGGGTTCCAGTGTTTTAAGACAGAAAATCTAGAAAGAAGCTATTTAATTTTAGCATTACAAGTAAATACAGTGTCATTGGAAAAATGAAAGTGTCTTTTGAATTTCCTGGTGTGGTGGGGGTGGATGCCCTAAGCTCTTCGGTGCCAAGAGCCTCTGACGGCCTTGGAAAGCACCCTGAAAGGGCCCAGCCCAGAGGGTGCACCCAGCGCCAGCCATGATGACATTGCAGGCCCTTCAAAGATGCCAGGCCTTGGTGAGGACAGCAACCAGGAACTTCTGCTGCTCTTTCCCTCCATGGGGGGCAGGTTTGTGCCCCATGCAGGGGTCCAGAGTCCTCCGCCCCAGTGCAGTGAAAGCATTAAAGATTGATGGCCTCTGCCTTTTGAAGTCATCTTTGTGTAAGTCGCACCAGGAGACCCGCAGCTGCAGCTACTGCGGGCAGGTCCACTTTCTCTTCCCTGTTTACTGAAAGCTCCCTCAAATACACCTTTTCTGCTCACAGAGGTGCTGCCGCGCTGCCTGCCTGGTTCCCCAGGGGCCTGGAAGGGCCAGGAAGGGACTTCAGTAGCCACAGGCATTTGCTGAAAGTTGGGCAGGGCAACATCCATGTCCTCCCCCAAGATCTCACCCTTTCCAGGGCAACAGGGAGAGGAGCATCTCAGGGAGGCAGCATGCGAGAGGGGGACCAAGCTAGAGGGTGATGGAGCTGGCCAGCCCCGAGCAAATCCCTGCACTGCTTGGCTCCAGCTGTGCACGTTCCAGTAAGTCATTAGCCTTTCTAAGCTGCCTCTTGTAAAATGAAGGCAACGGGCCTGGCTGCGGAGCAGGTGGAAGGGCTGGAGGGAGTGCGTTGGACCAGCTTAGCCATAGTAGGCGCTATGGGCTGAATCATGTTTCCCCCAAGTTCATATGTTGAAGCCTAACCCCCAGTGTGATGGTGTGTAGAGGTGGGATCTTTGGGAGATAATGAAATGAGCTCATGGAAGTGGGGCCCTTGTGATGGGAGCAGTGTCTGTATTAGTCTGTTCTCACACTGCTAATAAAGACATGCCCAAGACTGGTAATTTATAAAGGAAAGAGGTTGAATGGACTCACAGTTCCACATGGCTGGGGAGGCCTCACAATCATGGCGGAAGGTGAAGAAGGAGCAAAGGCACGTCTTACATGGCGTTAGGCAAGAGAGCACGTGCAGGGAACTGCCCTTTATAAAACCATCAGATCTTGTGAGATTTATTCACTATCGTGAGAATAGCAGAGGAAAGACTCACCCTCATGATTCAATTACCTCCTACTGGGTCCTTCCCATGACACAGAATTATTACAATTCAAGGTGAGATTTGGATGGGGACACAGAGCCCAACTGTAGCAGTGTTCTCATAAGAGGAGACCAGAGAGTGGCCGTCATGCATTTAATAGAGTACTGAGTACTTGATTCAGCGAAGGACGTAATGGTAAGAAATCAATCGCCCTGGATGCCTGGTACTCACAGTGTTGTGGGAAATTTGGGGGGCTCTTTCCTGTTCTGTTCTCCAGATGTTGATGCTTACTTGTACCCCTGAGATGTTTTTATCCTATCTGCACCAGTCCAACTCCCTTTGTTTCGCAACCCCCCTCTGCTAGCCTCCACTTCTGGCAGCTTTTTCTGGCTGCCCTGCCACGGTGGCCATTTCCCTCCCCATTGATCCAGGACCCTCCTGAGGACTCCAGAACATACAGGCCAGCCAGGGCTTGGGCCATAGTTAAGTTGGGGCACAATAAGGCCCACGCTGGGATTTCTGTCCTGCCAAGCAGAAGACCCACTCCCTCCCCTTGAGGAGTCCACAAACTGTTAGGGCAGCTGAGATCATACTGGGAGGGGCTGTGGGGTCTCCTGGGACAGAACTCAGCCTACGTGGAGAGGTGTGGAGAATAGGAGCTCCAGGCAGGACATGGGCCCCTCGGGAGACTTGAGCCCGCAGCTGGGGTTCTCAAAGTGCGCCCTGTACACCCCTGCAGGAGGAGAGCAGGCAGCCCGTGATTTAAAGACTTTTATGTTTCTTTTTTTGAGATGCAGTCTCCCTCTGTCACCCAGGCTGGAGTGCAGTGGTGTGATCGCAGCTCACTGCAATCTCCGCCTCCAGGGTTCAAGCAATTCTCCTGCCTCAGCTTCTCAAGTAGCTGGAATTATAGGCATGTGCTATCATGCCCAGCTAATTTCTGTATTTTTAGTAGAGACAGGGTGTCACCATGTTGGCCAGGCTGGTCTCAAATTCCTGACCTCAAGTGATCCATCCGCCTCGGCCTCCCAAAGTGCTGCAATTACAGGTGTGAGCCACCATGCCTGGCCTAAAGATTTTCATATTTCTTTTCATGAGGATCTGAGTTATATTATTAATATAATTTCTTTAGGCCAAGGTCAAATTAAAAGTGACAATTTAAAGAAAAAGATGAAGCAAGTAATTGTACAGGTGGTGCCTAGGATGTGGTAAGCATCATGCCAGTGTCCCGGGGTGGCTGCTGTGTGGAGCACGCAGCTGTTAGGGAAAGCGCATATCCTTTCTGGAAGTGACAGTCATAGCCTGGAGCCCCAGCTTTGCTGTTGACTGTGTGTGTGCCTTGTGAGAGATGGGTCACCTTTCTGAGCCTGTTTCTTGCTCACAAAGAAGGGAGGATCATAACTACCTTGTAGGGTTATAGCGAGAATTAAATGCGGTAATGCATGTGTGCACATGTAACACGCACATGAAGACTGTGATGTATGTTACTTCACAAGAAGCTTCATGGGACTCTGAGAGGGCTGGGCACCTGCAGTGTTGGTGCCCATGGCTTGGGCAGCAGCAGGAAACATCTTATTGAGCAGGTCAGAGTCAAAAGATAATGATGATGATTTTCTAGCCAAGAGAATAGAAGTTTGATGAGAACATGCAAATCCCCATTGACTGTCCGCCTCACTGCTCTCACTCTGGGAATGCTTCTGGAGAAATCTGATGATGACAGTGGTTCCTGCAGAATGGGTAGTGATGGAGCTAGGGAAATATTATTTTGTGACTGTTGTTGTCATTCATTCATTCATTAAACACTTACTCATCACTGTAGGGCTATTAGAATGTGAATAAGACATTGAGTCTGCCCTCTAGGAGCCCACAGTCTGGTGGGAGAGTCAGGCATCAACTAACATGAGTCTGCTCTGATGGATAGCAGAGGGCATGCTGGGAACATTGGTGTTCAGTGAAGGGTTAACTCAGCAGGCCTGGGTTGTCCAAACCCTACACATTCCAAAGAAAGAACTGGCCCTTAACTGGCTCCTGGGAGATAACCTCTATGCCCTTGGAATACTCTACCTGATAAGAGTATTTTCACCTAGCTGGAGTCTTGGACCGCACCAGATAGTTTAGGCTAACAATGTGATTGATGGTAAGGGCCCTGGACCACCTCAGATAGTTTGACCTCTGGGATGGGGGACTGAATACTGAGTAGCTAAGGTCAGTCACATAGGCACCGCCCCTCAATAAAAAACCTGAACACCAAGTCTCACCTCAGATGAGCTTCCCTGGCTGGCGATACTTTGTGCATGTTGTCACACAGCACTGCTGGGAGAATGAAGTCTGTTCCACTCCCTTGGGGGAGACGACTGAACGCTCACGCCTGGTCTCTCTTGAACTCTGCCCTCTGCACCCCTTTCTTGTGCTGATTTTAATCTGGATTCTTTCTGCAGTAAACTGTAACCATGAGTATAACAGCTTTTCTGAGTTCTGTGAGTCCTCCTAGTGAATCATTAAGACCACTTGAGGGCAGCCTTGGGGACCCCTGGCCCACTAGGGTAGGGACAGTGACACTGGAGGGGGTAGTCAGGAGACCTCATGGGTGAAATGGAGGCTGAGTGGGGTAAGGACGGAGGAAGGAAGGACCAGCTGGCAGGGAAAGAGCAGGTGTGGAGGTTGTGGGGAGGAGAGGTCCAGACTCTAACCTGCATAAGTGGTTAGGTCTGGGCAGGTGAAGGGAGGCAAGGGGGGGGACAGAGAGACAGGGCTGGAGAGATGGGTAGGGATCAGACCTTGCAGAGCCCAACAAACCATGTCAGAAAATAGTGTACTTTTGTCTAAGAGTATCTGGAGCTGCAGAATGGGTTTTTTTGTTTTGTTTTGTTTTTGTTTTTGTTTTTGTTTTTTGAGACAGGGTTTCACTCTGTCACCCAGTCTGAAGTGCAGGAGGCGATCTTGACTCACTGCAACCTCTGCCTCCCAAGTTCAAGCAATTCTCCCATCTCAGCCAGGACTACGGGTGCCTGCCACCATGCCCAGCTAATTTTTGTTTTTTTTTTTTTGGTAGAGATGGGGTTTTGCCATGTTGGCCAGGCTGGTCTCAAACTCCTGGCCTTGAGCAATCCACCCACCTCGGCCTGCCAAAGTGCTGGGATTACAGCGTGAGCCACGGTGACCAGCGTGCAGAGGGGTTTTAAACAGAGCATTGATATGTCTACAACTACCTGGATGATATGATTTGACTGAGTCCCCACCCAAATCTCATCTTGAATTGTAATCCAAATTGTAATCCCCATATGTTAATCCAAATTGTAATCCCCACATGTAATCCTCACATGGTGGGAGGTGATTGGATCATGGTTTTCCCTCATGCTGTTCTCGTGATAGTGAGGAAGTTCTCATGGGATCTGGTTGTTTGATAAGTGTCTGGCGCTTCCTCCTCCTCTCTCTCTCTTTCCTGCTGCCTTGTGAAGAGAGTACTTGCTTCTCCTTTGCCTTCTGCCATGACTGTAAGTTTCCTGAGGCCTTCCCAGCCATGTGGAATTGTGAGTCAATTAAACCTCTTTCCTTTATAAATTACCCCGTCTCAGGTAGTATCTTTATAGCAGTGTGAAAATGGACTAATACTCTGGACCAGCAGCAATGCAGGCAATAGAAGGGGTTGAGATGGAAATAACAAAAGCCTGAATGAAGATAGAGATGGCAGTAGGAACCAAAGCAGGAAGGGGTCTACTGGGAGGACCCACAGGTGGGAGACCCAAAGGGATTTGGTGAGAGACTAAACATGGAAGGAAGGAGTTGGGATTTCAGACTCAGAGGCCTGGGTGGACAGTGACGCTACTGACAGACGAGATGAGCTGGAGGAGAAAAGACTGAGTGTTCAGGAGATGGGTTCAGGCTCAGGTACTGTATTCATTAGATACAAGCCATGCTTCTATCACAGTGAGACCCCCAAAGGCAGTGGCTTAACCGGGCAGAAGCATGGCATTCCTCTCTTTCAAGCAGTGTGGCTGGCAGGGTAATTGTCTCCATCCAGTCATTAACGGAACATGGCTGCTTTCTGTCTTGTTGCTCCACCATGCTCTGGGGTATCGTCCTTGTGTGCAAGGCCAGGGTCACTGACATGGCAGCTCCAGACCACAAGAAGGGGGAAAGAGTGGGAGTTCAAACCAAACAATTTCCTTATAAGCAGTGGACACACTGGTTGCACAAAACACTTAAATTGTTGAGAACTTATACCTCTGACCATCTCCAAGGGCCCCGGAGATTAGCTGGGTGGCCATTTAGCAAGCTAAAGCTCTCTATTACCATGGAAGAGGGGAGAACAGATTTTGGGAGACAAGGGCAGTCTACCACAGACACACCAGGAGGAGATCTGGAGCTTGGGGAAGGATCTGAGTTAGACATATGGACTTGGTGGTAGTTGTAATAGTGAGAGGGAATGAGGTTACTCAAGGGAAGTGATGAGGTGAAGAGGAGAGGAGCTCCAAGAGTGGAATCCGGGAGTTCTGTGGCCTAAGATATAAGGATACAGAATGGAAACCAAGCCAGCAAAGGAGAAGAGAAGGAGAAGGCAGAGAAATAGAGGAAACCAAGAGGGTAGGGTCTTAGAGGTCAGAAGCAGAGGACATCCCTAGAAGGCAAGAGTGGCTGATAAGTTCTGGCACTACAGAGGTCAGGATTGAAACATGTCCATTGGTTTTGACAACTGGCAGGTAAAAAATCAAGGCAGACTGCAGTAAATTGAGGAGTGAAATGGGAGGTGAGGAAGGGTAGACAACACGTGTAGAGCTTTTTGTGAAGTGCTTAGCTTAGAAGGGAAGGAGAGGCATGAGGGAAGTTTGGCATTTGCCGTGGTTTTTTTTTTTTTTTTTTTTTTTTGAGATGGAGTCTCGCTCTGTTGCCCAGGCTGGAGTACAGTGGTGCAATCTCAGCTTACTGCAAGCTCCACCTCCTGGGTTCAAGCCATTCTCCTGCCTCAGCCTCCCAAGTAGGTGCGACTACAGACACCCGCCACAACGCCCAGCTAATTTTTGTATTTTTATTAGAGACGGGTTTTCACCTTGTTAGCCAGGATGGTCTCGATCTCCTGACCTCGAGATCCACCCACCTTGGCCTCCCAAAGTGCTGGGATTACAGGCGTGAGCCACCGCGTCCGGCCTGGTATTTGCTGTTTTAAGACAGAAATGCAAGATTCTAGGGGAGGAGATGGGAATGACCAGACCTCAAATGAAAGGGCTGGCGATGGACAGAAAGAGGGAGGTGACCTCCCCCACTGGGATGGAAAGGACCGAGCAAGAGATGAGTCATGAGGGAAACCAGTCTATAGGTGGTGGAGCGGTGGGGAGGTGAGGGGATTGCCATCTAAAGGCTTCTGTTTTCTTGGTGACCTCAGAAGTGGGGCCAATGTCTGAGAATAGGAGATGGAAATGATGTGTGGAGGGTTTCGTGGAGGTAGTGAGAGTCTGAAATAGCTGTTGTGAGTATCGGGGTGCCCACTGACAGGGCTGTTTTAGTCTGCTCTTATGCTGCTAATAAAGACATACCTGAGACTGGGTAATTTATAAAGGAAAGAGATTTAATGGACTCACAGTTCCACACGGCTGGGGCAGCCTCACAATCATGGTGGAAGACAAGGAAGAGAAAAGGGACGTCTTACGTGGTGGCAGGCAAGAGAACTTGTGCAGGGGAACTCCCATGTATAAAACCATCAGATCTCATGAGACTTATTCACTACCAGGAGAACAGTATGGGAGAAACTGCCCCCATGATTCAATTATCTCCACCTGGTCCCTCCCACGACACATGGGAATTATGGGAGCTACAATTCAAGATGACATTTGAGTGGGGACACAGCCAAACCATATCAAGGGCATTGAGGATGATAGCTGGGGTGCAGCATAGTACCAGCCCCGTGCATACACATGGGATTGTGTTCATTGGCTCTTGCTTTTGGAACAAATTACCTCAAACTTAGTGGCTTAAACAATACAAATTTATTATCATATCAGTTCTGGAGGTTTTAAGTCCTACTGAACTAAAAATGAAAGTGTTGGCAGGGCTGTGTTTCTTCTGGAAGCTCCAGGGGAGACCCCTCAGATTTCTCACCCTCTAGAGGCTGCCAGTGGTCCTCAGCTTGTGGCCCCTTCCTTCTTTGAAGCCAGCAGTCCCAGAACTCTGACCTCTGCTGCTCTGTCAGAGCCCTCCTCCAACACTCCTGCCTCCCTCTTTCCCTTAGAGGGACCTTTGTCCTTCTGTCTGGGGCCACCCAGATAATCCAGGATAATCCGAGCATCTGAAGATTCTTAATTTAATCACACTCTCAAAGTCCTTTTTGTCATGTAAGGCCACATATTCACAGGTTCCAGGGATTAGGATGTGGACATCTCAGGGGACAACCATTCTGCCTCCCACAGGCACCAATTTACAAATCACTTGATTTTCTCTAGTGTTACCCTGAGGCTCAGGTGCAGAGATGGAGAAAATTTGAGAGGTGAGATTGGAAGAGGGTTGGGGATCTTCTAGGAGACAAATACTAGAAGAGAGCCCAAGGGAACTGAGGTGTTGGCAAAGGCGAGGTTAAATGATGCCTCACCATGGTCTGGACTGGTTAGGATGGCCCTGAAACCAGGAAGCATTGATAGATTGGGAGAAAATGGAGGAGTCAAGACCTGGAGGCTTGATGAGGTTGAAGAATGGGTGTCACGGTGGAGAGGGCATGGAGGAATCGGGAGCATTGGAGACTGTGGTCAGAGAGGAGAATGATGGCCCTGAAGATTACACTGGGACAGTTAGGGGTGATGACAAGGTCAAGGTTGGAGATAAAAGTCAATGGAGGTGAGAAGACCAGAGAACTGTGTGGTCAGGAAGTCAGAGTGGTTGGCCCCATGGACATCGATGTGTTGTGATGGCGGCAGTATTTGGGGTACAGAGGAAGGCTTTAGCCAAAGTGAAGTCTTTGATGAAAGTCAGGGAGAGGCCAGGAAGGAGCTGGGGAGATGATGGGGTTGAGAAAGGGCTCAGGATGGCCAACTTAGACCCTCAGAGGAGAAAACTTTGCCCCAGGAGGGTGGAGGAGTGATGGTTTGCAGGTGTCAGCATCCCCCCAACCGCCACCACCAACTCTCCTTGACTGCAATTCCAAGTGCAAGGACATGAGTTCATAACCATCTGTTATCGTTGACTTCTATTCCTGAGATTGCACCAGCTGTTTTGTTGCAAGCTGCAAGTTAAAAAATACCTGTCTCAGGTGTGTCTGCCCCGGCCAGTCCCTGGAGTCTAAGGTCCCTCAGATCCTTTCTCCCTTCCCATCTGTGTATCTCTTGGGACTGAGTCTGGGGCTGGGCTGCCGGGAGTGCTATATTGGGAACCTGGGCAGAGAACCTCTACAGAACGGGCAGCTTTCACCAGGGAGGACGCAGTGTCCTTGGGTGAGGGCAACTTTAGGGCCTTGGCGGCTGTGGCTCCGGCCGGCCTCCACCCTGCGGGAGGACAGGCCTTGCTCTCTTGGCTGCCCAGGGGCCCACACCCCACCCAGAAGAGCCTGTGTATCTTCTGGCTCATTGGTGAAAAGCCACCTCAATGACACCACCCAGAAGTTTGAAACCAGCCGTTGGTACTGGGGAGGTGGCCAGTGACCCAGATAAAAGCCAGAAAACCCGGCCTTGGCCAGAGCCTGGCCTCCCTGCCCCCTGGGCCTCCTTCTTCTTTTCTGGCGGCGGGGGGTTGCGGGGGAGGGGCACAGCGTACCCCAGACCCAGGGACATCTATTTACCCTAACTGCCCACAAAGACTAATGGGGGGCTCTTCCCCTGCCTCCCCACATCAAGAAGAGAACATTTTAAAAATGTTTTTATTTAATTAAAAAAAAGACAGAACAACCAACCCAAAACCAGTAGTAGGTACTGGAGTCACAGGTGCTTAACTGGCGAAACACACAGGGGTGGGGGCGAGGGGGCGGGTCGGGAGGAGGGAGAGAAGGTGGGCACAGGCCACCACATCCCCCCGTTGGGTGTCAGGTCTGAGATGCAGCGGGAGGGCCAGGAATGGGCGGCCCAGGGCCCAGGGTCCCCGGAGACCCAGCTGGCCGCGGGGAGAAGGCTGAGAAGGCCCGGGTGTCTGAGGTGGTTTTGCTCCCGGCTCGTCCCCTTCTTCCTACTCTTTCTTGGTCCCTAGGTGGGCCCTGCTTACTCTGCCTGGGACTGGGCAAGAGGTAGGATTCATTGGAACACAGCTTTCTCCATGGAATGATAGAAACTTCTGGGGCAGCGGGAGGGGAGGTGGCGGATGGAGAGGAACTAGAACAGCACGGCTGCCTTGCTTTTGGAAATCACAGAAGAAAAGTCTCGGGGCCTTGCTGGACAGCGGGACTGGGGAGGGCGTTCCCTGCCTTCGGCCTGGTCATGGCAGTGGAGGTGGTGACAGGGCTGGCCTAGAGCAGGTGAAGGCCTTGAGCTCTGGTGCTTCAGCATCCGCTGCTGGGCACACTTGGACATGCCATCAGATGATGCCAACCCTGATGGGAGCGAAGGCTCTGGAGCACAGCACACAGGGGCCCTGGCAGGCCTCATTTCAGATCCCCAGCACACGGCGACAGTCAGCTGGGGCCGCTACCGGTGGATGCGTCCTTTCCTGGGGGCAAAGGAAGATGGGATGGACGATGACATCATCACTAGGCCGAACGGACCTGGGTCTGAACCCCAGGGGGCCGAGTCCACCCATGGGCTGTGAGCAGGTAGCTGAGGCAAGGATGCGCTCGTTATTTCCAAGCACAACAGCTACCAGGACTACAGGCGACTGTTCCAGGGTGGATCAAGGAGTCTCAAAAAATAAGAAACAATTTTTCTTTAGAAAGCACATGTTTTATACAAAAGAGGGTTAAGTTCCATGTTCTGGAGAGTTCTTCTTCCAAGCCTGCACACGCCTCCACGCTCTTTGCTTGCTTCAGGAGGGGGAAGAAAAGAATGGCTGGAAAAACTGTAAAACACAGAAACCACTTCCTCAGCTCCGGACAAAGTGCTGAGATCTCCCCTCTGTAGGGAGGAAGAGAAGCCCAGCTCGGTCCGTTTATCCAAACTCACTCCACTCCGTCCTGTTAGGTGGTGGCAGAATAACTTACAATGACAGGAGTTGTGGGGCCAGTTGCTGCTACTTTTTAAGACAAAGAAATGAAGGTAAGTTGCTCTCCTGGCGTTGATTTGCAGGAAGTTATGATTTGTAACCACCTAGGAAATGGATGTTTGTTCTCTAGGGTTTTTATTGGCCACTGTTCACCCTTAGGTCTCCCTTTCTTGCACAGAAGTCCAGGCTCCTGTTGCCAAATGCCAGTTGGAGGGAGGTGTCTGTCCACCTCTCCCCCGGGACCCCCAACGCTCAGGGGACAGAGTTGCTCCTTGGGTCTATGACAAGGGGCACGGCAAGAGGTCACGTGGCCGCCATTCCCCTGACCGATGGAACCCTCCAGACTCTGAAGTCCAGTCAGTGGGTCTGTCCTGCCCATTCTGAGTGAGGCAGAAACTTCCAGAAGCAAAGAGGATAGCCAGCAACAGCCCCCAGCCTTTACCTGGGCCTCCTCCACAGGCCACGGCCTCCCCAGGTCGAGGGAAGCTGGCCCCGGGACAGCGCAAAGGCCAAAGCACCAGTTGGCTGCAGAGCTGTCTTCAGGATCATAGGCCACTGCCAGAGTCTTGGAGAGAGGGAGAGATGGAGAGGAAGGGAGTGAGCTTCGGTGGTCTGATTTCTGGCTCAACGACGCAGGAACCTCAGGTTCAAAAGCAGCTGACAAGAGCCCAGAGACCGTCTTCTTGGCGTCCGGCAGAGCCTTCTGGTGGCCCGACACCCAGGCAGGGAGGGAAGGCCCTGAAATCCCGTTTTTCTGGCAAGATTCGTTTCCAAGAGGAGATAATGGCTCAATTTTGTCTTCCCAAGTTGATCAAGGCCAGGCAGCCTCAGGAAAGCTCTGGGGCTTCCCGGGAGATTTCAGAGACCCTGAGGCATCAAAACACCCTTTTTCGGGGAGGGGACAAAGTCAGCCTTCAGCTTCTTCTGCAGCCCCGGGTCCGGTCTCCCAGCACAACCTTCGTGCAAAGCCAGCCCACGCCACCTCTGGAGGCCAGGGAGGGCTGCATTTGGCTTTAGTTCATTGTTCGTCGTCTTGAGGATCACATGCCATCCTGTGTGACAAAAAGAGCCGTTCTGGGGAGAGGCTGGAGCGGAGAGAAAGGGCAGGCGGCTCACACAGGGGTCGTCCGTCGGTTCAGCATGCTGACGTGGAAACCTTCCTTCAGGTCCTGCTGGAAAAAGTCATGCACCTGCAGGAAGCTGGCCTCCTGGTCGGGGCTGTAGCTGGCTGCGGTGGTCACCTTGAGGGGCTCCCTGGACAGCGTGTACATGGACAGCTCCCCCATGGGGATGGCCCCTGTGATCTTCAGGCCCATGGGCGACACGTCCCTGGAGGGCGAGGCCTCGGTGGACCTTGAGCTGGACCTCGAGCGCCGTCGCCGGTACCTGTAGCTCGGCATCCTGGCATAAGGAGAAGAGGAAGACGCCTTAAGGAATTCCCGTTTGGTCTTAAACCTCAACTCTTTATTTTTCTCAATGTAAATGTTTACAGCCAGGACGCCCACGGTCTCAGCCACAATGAAAGACAGAGCTCCAAAGTAAAAAGACCAGCCGTAGTTGTAATGGTTCTTTTTGTCTTCGTCCCGCTTGTCACTCGGGTCACCTGTGTTGCTGGAAATGTAGACGATGATACCGATGATGTTACTGAGGCCTGAAAGGGAAGCGGGGAGCGGGGAGCGGGGCCAGGGAGGGAGAGAGGCAGAGGTTAGACCCACAGTGGGACGGGCAGTGTAGGGAACAGGTGGACACTCCCCTCTCTGATGAGTATTTCTTTATTCTGGTTGCTAATTTTTCTTTTCAGTAATTAATGTTGAATGGGTAATAGAGTACAAAGTTCAAATGAGGTATACAATAAAACACACTCTCAGCCCCCAGTTCCCCTCTTTAAGGCAACTACTGTTGTCTTCTTTCGTATGTCCTTCCAGAAAAAAAATTTCTCTCTTCACACACACACACACACACACCCCTATTATTTCCTTTGCACAGTACTCTGGCTGCTTAGTTTTTCTCTTAACAGTACATCTGAGAGACGGTTCTGAATCAGAACATGGAGAGCCATCCCTGTCTTTCTAACTACGTGCGGCACCGCCATACAGAAGTCTCACGACCCACCTAACCAGGCCTTTACGGGAGATGTCTGGGTGCTCCCTGCCCTCTGCTGTGACAAGGTTGCCTTGGACACCCTTGTGTCTACAGCCTCACATGTGCACATGGGTACAACCACGGGGTGCATTCCTTGCAGTGAAACTGCTGGGCCATGTGCATTGAAACACTTAAAATACATTTTTGTTTGGGAATAATTTTTGATTTACCGCACAGTAGCCAGGTCCAGAGAGTTTCATATACTCCTCATCCAGCTCTCCCTAATGTTAACATTTTACGTTATGTGGAACATTCGCCGCCACAAAGAAAACAACCTGGTACATTACTTCAGACTTTACATGGATTTGTTTGTTTTTGTTTGTTTGTTTGTTTGTTTTTTGGAGCCAGAGTCTCGCTCTGTCGCCCAGGTTGGAGTGCAGTGGCGCGATCTCGGCTCACTGCAACCTCCGCCTCCCGGGTTCAAGCAATTCTCCCGCCTCAGCCTCCTGAGTAGCTGGGATTACAGGCGCCCGCCACCACACCCAGCCAATTTTTTTTTGTATTTTTAGTAGAGACGGGATTTTATCACGTTAGTCAGGCTGGTCTTGAACCCCTGGCCTCATGATCCACCTGCCTCGGCCTCCCAAAGGGCTGGGATTACAGGCGTGAGCCACCACACCCGGCCTCGTTTGTTTTTTGAGACAGAGGCTCAGTCTCAGTCTGCTGCCCAGGCTGAGTGCAGTGGCACGATCTCCGCTCACTGCAACCTCCGCCTCCTGGGTTCAAGCGATTCTCCTGCCTCAGCCTCTTGAGTAGCTGAGATTACAGGCACGCACCACCATGCCTGGGTAATTTTTGTATTTTTAGTAGAGACAGGGTTTCACCATGTGGCTAGGCTGGTCTCAAACTCGGGACCTTACGTGATCCACCTGCCTCAGCCTCCCAAAGTGCTGGGATAATAGGTGTGAGCCACCACGCCCAGCCTTTACTTGGATTTTACTGGGTTTGTACTAATGTCCTTTCTCTGTCCCTGGATGGATTCAGGATATTACATTGCATTTAGTGTTTTAAATTTAGTCACTAAGTGCCCTCTGTAAGGGTACAAATGTCCCAACAGCCTATCATGAATATTATCAGACTTCTGGTTCTTTGCCAATATGGGAAGTGAAAAATAGCCATTGTTGTGTTTATCCAATTCTCTCTTATTCTAAGGGAGGTTGAACAGAGCCACACTGGTGGGGTTTGAGTTCTGGTTCTACCAAATACCAGTGTGTGACTTTTGGCAAATTACTCCCACTCCTTATGCGTCAGTCTCATCTGTAAAGTGGGAGTAACTGTGGTCCACACCTCACTGGGCTGGTGTGAGGATTAAATGAGCTGATATATACAAAGTGCTCACAACAGCACCCAGCACACAGGGCGCCTGACGTAAGTTCAATTACCATCCATTGCGTTTTTTTTCTGTTTTTGTTTTTCTTTTTTGAGACGGAGTCTCGCTCTGTCCCCCAGGCTGGAGTGCAGTGGCGCGATCTTGGCTCACTGCAAGCTCCGCCTCCCGGGTTCACGCCATTCTCCTGCCTCAGCCTCCTGAGTAGCTGGGACTACAGGCACCCGCCACCATGCCCAGCTAATTCTTTGTATTTTTAGTAGAGACGGGGTTTCACCGTGTTAGCCAGAATGGTCTCGATCTCCTGAGCTTGTGATCCGCCCGCCTCAGCCTCCCAAAGTGCTGGGATTACAGGCGTGAGCCACCGTGCCCGGCCCATTGCGTTTTATCATAAAGTGCTGTGTTGTGTTTGTCTCTGCACCGTCCACGTCCTCTGTCCATTCTCTGTGGCACCCACCCTGTGTGGAAGGGTTAGAATATCTTCTGCTAAGGGGTCCAGCAGTCCTGCCCTGAGCACACCAGTCCTGGGTTTCAACTCCTTGTCTCTTCTGTTGTGTTCTGTAAGAACCCTTTCCAACATGGTTTTTTTTTACCCTACTAGTTCGCTTTTTATTTATTTATTTTTTTTGAGACAGAGTCTTGCTCTGTCGCCCAGGCTGGAGTGCAGTGGCGTGATCTCAGCTCATTGCAACCTCCGCCTCCCAGGTTCAGGTGATTCTCGTGCCTCAGACTCCCAAGTAGCTGGGATTACAGGCACCTGCCACCAAACCCAGCTAATTTTTGTATTTTTTGGTAGAGACAGGGTTTCACCATGTTGGCCAGGCTGGTCTCGAACTCCTGACCTCCAGTGATCCGCCTGCCTCGGCCTCCCAAAATGCTGGGATTACAGGCATGAGCCACCGCTAGTTCACCTGTCTCCCCTCTGATCTCTCTCTTGCTGCTTCCCTAGCTTTGTGTTTTCTTCCCCTCTCTGTATTCAGCACGAGTTGGAAAAGGGTTTCTTAAATAACAACTCCATGAATTCCAGTTTCCCAGAGAAGTCTTGTGTCTTCTTCTGACTTTCCCAGCCTTGGAAACTGTCCCTCTCCTGTGGCACCTACCATTTTCCACCTCGAGTTCTTTAAGAGCCTGTCAGACCTCCCTGCTAGGGCTGGTGGCCTGAAGCCAGGCCCCACACATGACTCAGTGCCTGCTGCCCTGCTCAGTCCCCATCAGTGCCCCATGCGCCAGGGAATAAGCCAATGTCCCCTTGCTGGCCTCCCCATTGCTTCCTTGCAGCCAGCCGCGGCCACCTTCTCTGCCTGGACTCATTTTCTTCGGCTAGGGCTCTGGGTCCAGGCTCCAAGTCCCTCTGGTGGCACCAAGCATCTGGGCCTGCCTTTGAAACGGCTCCTCCTGGGGGCACGGGCAGCTGCAGGGGGCACCTCGAAGGGCTTTGGAGGCTGGCAGCCCTGGGCACAGCATGTCTTTGCCACTGTGCGTGTGACTTCAAGGAAGCCACCTGAGCTGCTGGACCGCCTGTGTGCCTCCTCCGCAGGAGCAGGGATGGTGGGGTTGGGCTCACAGAGCGCTGGCATGGCCACTGTGGTTTCTGATGTGACTGGAGTATTCTCTCCCTGCCGTGGGGAGGACGCTCTGGGGCAGTGTTGAGGGGTCACAGCCGGGACCTCCTAAACGGCTCACACCTTTTGAAAAATGACTGCTTCAAGGAGCAGGTGGCGGGCACTGGGGCAGGAGAGAGAGAAAGGAGGTGGGGGGAAGAAGGGAAGGGCGGGGGGACCTGTCCAGGAGGGAGGTTCATGCTTCTCCCAGGAGACCCTCAACACAGGCTCCTCTTCCCAACACACACACATGTGCACACACACACCACACTCCTCACACACACCATAGTCCTCACACACACAAACACACCACAGTCCTCAACACACACTCCTCAGACACACATATACCATAGTCCTCACACACACACACCACAGTCCTCAAATACACACACGCACACTACACGTCTCAGACACACACACACCACAGTCCTCAAATACACACACCACACTCCTCAGACACACACACACACCATAGTCCTCACACACACACCACAGTCCTCAAATACATACACACCCCACAGTCCTCAAATACACACACATACACCACATTCCTCAAATACAGACACACCCCACAGTCCTCAAATACACACACATACACCACATTCCTCAAATACACACACACCATGCTCACACACACAAACCCACCAGTCCTCAAATACACACACACACCACATTCCTCAAATACACACACACCATGCTCACACACACAAACCCACCAGTCCTCAAATACACACACACACCACACTCTTAACACGCACAAACACACCACACTCCTCGCACACACAAACACCATAGTCCCCAAATATACACACCACACTCTTCACACACACAAACACACCACAGTCCTCAAACACACACACCACACTCCTCACACACAAACACACCACACTCCTCACACACACAAACACACCACAGTCCTCAAATACACACACACATCCCACACTCTTCACACACACAAACACACCACAGTCCTCAAACACACACATACACCACACACACAATCACAGTTCTCAAACACATACACACACCACACTCCTGACACATGTACAGGCCCCACAGATCACTCGCAGATGCACGCACTCCACACACACGTCTATTTATTGCGCTGGAAGGAAACAGATGCTGGAATGGTGTAGAACCGGGGCCCGGCACCTTGGCTCCCCAATGGCGGCTGCAGAGCTGGAGCCAGCCCCTCTAAGGCTGCAGTGGCTGCGGGTCCCAGGATGTGAACGGAAGTCATCTACCCTCTCCAGGAGAAAGGGCGAGGGAATGCAGGACAGGACAAGGGTGCTCTGGGAGGCCCACGTGTGCGGCACCACGCCAGGCCTGCCCATCTTCAGCCAAGGTGGCATGTCACTGTCACCCACAGCTCTGTGGCTATTCCCCGATGGCACTTTCCGGGGACATCGGGCATGGCTCTGAGGTGCTGCTGCCTTCTTGTAGCCAGGAGGGTTGGGGCAGTCGGGATGGGCGGGGGCCGCCTGCTCTGCCGAGCTTCCCCGCTCACTCTTCCCAGGGCACCCTGGACTTCTGCTTCCTCTGCAAGACGGCCACTCATGCCCATTCCGGGCCCTCGCCCTGTCTTTACCTGGCCAACTCCTTCGAGTTTTGGCATGATTCCCGTGGGCACCTCCCTGACCGCCTGACCCAGCCAGGCTCCTGTCACAGGCTTGTAAAACTGCCAGCTGAACCCCACCCACCACTTTGCACACCTGGACTTATTTTCCGGTTGAGGTGAAATTCATGCAAGATAAAAGTAACCCTTTTGAAGGGCACAATCCAGTGGCTTTTGGCGCATTCAAAATGTTGTGCAAGCATCCAAAACATTTCTGTCACCCCAAAAGGAAGCTCTGTTTGGCAGCTGCTCCCCATTCTCCATCCACCCCCAGTCCTGAACATTGGGACTTTACAAGTCAGTTGCATGTGGCGATGTTATGTCTGCATTCCCCTCTAGGATGCACACTGCCTGGCAGTGGGGACCACACGAGACAGGCACTCCTGTGTCCCCAGCTCCCGGCCCAGCACCAGCCCGGGCGGGCGGCTCACCTGCAGCCACGAAGAGGATGCCGGCACTGAGGACGATGTTGTTCTTGCGGCTGTAGATCCTGCCAGCACCGATGCACAGGCCACCCAGCAGGAGCAGGATGGTGCTGAGGATGGGGAAGACGCTGGAGGCTCGCACGATGCCTGGCCGGGGAGGTGGGGGGCACAAAGCAGAGGGCAGTGAGATCAGGTGCCCTCCCGGGCATGGCTGCGTATGTCTCCCAGGAACCTTGCAGCTCCAGGCCCTTCCCCAGGATTTGAGATTCCCATCAGGACCTGGAGACTCGAGGTGGGCCAGTGCCTGGGGAGGCTCAGGGCCATTGGATCAGATGCAAGTGGGGGCTCCGGGCCTGCCCTTCACCCTGGAGTCACATCTGTCTACCTCTTGTTTAGTCTCTCCCTGGGAGTGGGCACCAGGGAGACCAGAGTAACAGCCATGAAAGCAACAAACCGCATCACATTTTTGTGGCACTGCACAGCCCCCTAAGCCCTTGCATGAACGCAGTCTCCGTGAAGCCCCTGGAAGGCTGGGAAGCAGTGTCCACAAAGGGTGGCCCTGGTCAGTGGTTGAGAGCACACGCATCGGCATTAGGTGGGTCTGGGCGTGGGCCCTGCTGTGGCATGCTGGCTGTGTAGCCTTGGCCAAGTCACTTTCCCTCTCCAAAACTCAGCTTCCCATCTGTGGAATGAGGTTCCTCATAGCACCAGTGTCCTACACATGTGCTTGGTTTTGTACATGTAAGGTGCATAGCACTGGGCCTGGCCATTCTATACCTTGATCATCATCATCATCATCAGCCCCTAGGTGATAGACAAGGATGTGGGACCTCAAAACCGGCCTGAAGTCGCAGGGGAGGTGTGGCTGGGCCGAGAGGGATGCTCGTGACCCACAGTGTCCACAGAACCAACTTTGTAGCCCTGACACCAGGGCTCTGCCACTGACTAACCTCGCTCTGCCACTGATTAGCTGACCGGGGACAGCTGACTTTGGTGACCACCTCAGTCCCCTTTTATAACTTGGGAATAGTAACATCTACCTGTAGGGAGTTGAATTGCAGCCTCCCTAGAATATACCTGTGTCCTAACCCTTAGGACCTGTAATTGATCTTATTTGGAAAAAGGGCCTTGGCCAGGCGCAGTGGCTCATGCCTGTAATCCCAGCACTTTGGGAGGCCAAGGCAGGCAGATCACCTGAGGTCAGGAGTTCGAGACCAGCCTGGCCAACATGGTGAAACCCCGTATCTACTAAAAACAAACAAAAAAAATTAGCCGGGCATGGTGGTGGGCTCCTGTAATCCCAGCTACTTGGGAAGCTGAGGCAGGAGAATCTCTCGAACCCCAGAGGTGGAGGTTGCAGTGAGCTGAGATTGCGCCATTGCACTCCAGCCTGGGCGACAAGAGTGACATTCTGTCTTAAAAAAAAAAAAAGGGCTGGGCGCGGTGGCTCACGCCTGTAATCCCAGCACTTTGGGAGGCTGAGGCAGGTGGATCACGAGGTCAGGAGATTGAGACCATTCTGGCTAGCATGGTGAAATCCTATCTCTAGGAAAAATACAAAAAATTAGCCGGGCGTTGTAGCCAGTGCCTGTAGTCCCAGCTACTTGGGAGGCTGAGGCAGGAGAATGGCGTGAACCCGGGAGGCGGAGCTTGCAGTGAGCCAAGATCGCGCCACTGCACTCCAGCCTGGGTGACAGAGCGAGACTCTGTCTCAAAAAAAAAAAAAAAAAAAAAAAGAAGAGGTCTTGCAGATGTGACTCAGTTAAGAATCTCAAGCTGAGATCATCCAGGATGAATCCGGTGGGCCCTAGATCCAACGACGAGCATCCTTATAAGAACCTTAGGAGAAGACACAGGGGAGAAGGGGCTGTGAAGACGGAGGCAGAGACCCAATGCTGCTGCCATGGGCCAAGGAGTGCCAACCACCTCCAAAGCTGGGAGAGGAATGGTCCTCTCCTAGAGCCTTCAGAGAAAGCAGGGTCCCCCAACACCTTGACTTCGGGCTTCTGGCTTCCACACCATGACAGTGAATTTCTGTTGCAGGTCACGCAGTTTTGATCATTTGTTACAATGGCCTTGGGAGATGAACATGCCCCATTGGAGGGTTACTGTGAGAAAATGTCAAGCACCCAGTAGGGGCTTAGGGTGCCCCTCCCTTAGCATCTGGGCTGGGAGGAAGGCGAGAGGGAGGGAAGCAAGGCTTGGGAAAGGAAAGCCCAGAGCTCGGCCTTTCCCAAGCACCTGCTGTCTCCCAGCCCCGTAGAAATCTCGGCTGCATGGACCCTTGGTGGCCCCCGCAGGGGACAGTGAGTCGGGCCGCACTGGCAGGCGCCACCCTCCCCAGCCAGCTGAGCGGGTTTCAGGGCTGTCAGCCTCTCCTCTGAAGGCAGGGTTTGTCTCCTTTTTTGTGAACGCATCAGTGTGTGTCCCTGCTTCACAGAGAGGAGATTGTCTGGGGGCATTAAATGCAGTTCTTCTCTCCGGTGCCTCCTCCTCTCCGATTCCTCTCTGCCTTCTGGCAGCAGCGGGCTCTGGGATGAAGTTTCCTGTGTTTCTGAAATGTGCCTCTGAGCTGTGCTGGCCAGAAAAGTTGAGGTCAGTCATCCCCTCAATGCCCTCGTTCTGCAGACAGGTCAGAGGAATCCGAAAGAAGGAAGTCCATCCAGCACTTTGGGAGCCCGAGGTGAGTGGATCACTTGAGGTCAGGAGTTTGAGACCAGCCTGGCCAACATTGTGAAACCCAGTCTCCACTAAAAATAGAAAAATCAGCTGGGTATAGTGGCGAGTGCCTGTAATCCCAGCGATTCAGGAGGCTGAGGCACAAGAATCGCCTGAACCCGGGAGCAGAGGTTACAGTGAGCCAAGATCGCGCCACTGCACTCCAGCCTAGGCAGCAGAGCGAGACTCCGTCTTAAAAAAAAAAAAAAAAAGCCCAGTTGCTCTAAGATCACTGGATGCCCAGGCTTGGCTCAGAGCCATCCATCCTGCCCAGATAAGTCACACAAGCACCTATGCCTTGCCACACAGACTCATTCCTGAGCTGTGGATGTGCAGATGCCAGCTGGGATTGCCACGGACAGTGGTGCAGGTCGGGCACAGCGCAGGTGGCTAAGGGGTGGAGGGATGAGTGAGGCTGAAGTCCAGCCCGTGCCCTGCTGGCCATATCAAGCCCTGGCAGAGGATCTGCATCTGCCAGGAGACAAGACACTTCCTTCTAACTCACCCCCGGGCACACTGTGGACTCCCAGCAGCCCTGACACCAGCCCCCTGCGGCCTGGCACAGAAGTTATCCACCTAACTGGAAATGCAGACTTGGAGAGGGGCACCAGGCCCAGGGCAAGGTGGGCAGGAAGCCCTGGGACCAGCAGAGCCTGTGGAAGAGAAGGTAGGCAGGATGTGGGGTGGTGACCCCCTCAAATCTTGGGCTGTGAACCTGCAAATCAGCAGTGACATCGTAAGAGCTCAGAGGCCTTCAGGGGGCTCTGCAACAAACAACACAAGCCCAGCTTCTGTGGAAGGCTTCAGAAAGCATGGCTCGGGGCGGAGTTCCTTCTTGAATTGTCAAAGACTGGGTGGGAGCAGCGCAGCCTTGGATCTACCAGGGTTGGTGCTCCACGCCCACGCAGATGAGCTGGCCTGAAACAGGCATCCTGCAGGCAGCCCCACCATGGAAGCTTCTGCTGCCTTCTCCAAAACACCCATTCTCCACCCGGAGGCAGAGCCCTGTTTTCTTTGCTGCTGTACTCCACATGTCTAATACAGTGCCTGGTACATAGCAGGCCCACAATAACTTTTTTTTTTTTTTTAAGATGGGGTCTTGCTCTGTCATGCAGGCTGGAGTGCAGTGGCACGATCGTGGCTCACTGCAGCCTCAACTTCCTCGGCTCAAATGATCCGCCCACCTTAGCCTCCTGAATAGCTGGGACTGGAGGCATGTGCCATCACTTCTGGCTAATTTATTTTTATTTTTTGTAAAGATGAGGTCTCACTATGTTGACCAAGCTGGAACTCCTAACCTCAAGCGATCTTCACGCCTTGGCCTCTCAAAGTGCTGGGATTACAGGAGTGAACCACTGCATCTGGCTGCAATAACTTGTTAAATGAATGAATAAACGAACTCTCATGAACCCTCACTTCTTGCAAATATCAGCCGCCAGAGACCTCCCTCCTGTGCTTCTACATATTTTGAGGAGCCATAGTCTGGACAGGGACCAGAAGACAAAATATTAGAAATCAGGGTGGCCCTGGAAACACATGCCAGTTGTCTGTGGTGATCATGACCTTGGCCTGTCTCTGAAAGTTGCTCAGCCCCTCCGGCTTCAAGCTCACAGGCACCTGCACTCTGGAGATAAAAGGATGATCAAAGACACATGCAGAGCTTGGTTTTAGGGCCAGATATCCCTGTTTCTGCAGCCACCGAGTGGAAAAACACCTCCCTGTTGGGAAGTCAGTTCAGCCCCACCCCGCCCTGACTTCTGCCAGCAGCAGAGACCACAGGCCCGAAAGCCGTCAAGCTGTCTCTTCCATGTGCATCTCTGAGCTTGTTAATGAACCTGGCTGCTTTCCCCACAGCGTACGCTTAAGGAGAACATGGCCTTCCCCAATGAGCTCTAATTGCGGTTGTGCTGTCACCATCATTATATCTGGGAAAATCACTCTGCAGCCCTCCCCGCCTTGCGCCCTCCCCAGAGGAGCTGGAACAGCTCACTCGTTTTTGTTTTTCTTGCTCTTCCAGATCCTCACTCCATCCTGCCCTGGGCCAAGCTGACTGTGTGGACCAAATCCTCGGGCTTCCGCCTCTGGCTTTTGGAGAAGGGTCTCGGCGAGGGAGTTCTGCCCAGCTGCAGGTGAAGGGGTGGCATTGCTTCCCAACAGCCGCAGCTCCTGCCAGGCAGCCCTGTCCCTACTGCTCCCTCCTCCAGGCTCCCATGCCTGCCCCCCTCACCTATCCAGGCTGAGGAGGGTAAGGGCTCCCGGCTATTGCTGGCCCCGGGGTGCTCTCCAGCCCTTGTGGGTTTCCCTTAACCTCACCCGCACCTTTGTAAATAGTCCTTCCGTAAACATCCTTCATTCATCCTGTTTGACTGTAACATCTACTTCCTGCTGGGAGATTGGGAAGCCATGTGGGGTGACCTCTGGGCTTCTGCATCTTGAAGCCAATCCATAAAGAGACCCCAGCACTCCGGGACCATGAATGGGACAGAGACAGGCGAGTAAAGAACAACCAGCACCAACGCCCATAACCTCAGGGGAGCTCCAGTGGGAAATGGAGAGGGAACGGTTTGTTTCTCTAATGCCTCTTTCCTTACAGTCCCAGGGTTGGGCCATGGGCACATCTGCCCCCAGAGCTTTAAGAACCACCTGATTGCCCTGGATTGGGCAGAGAAAGGCAGATTCTGAGTTGGGGCTGATTTTCAACTGAGCCATCCCAGCTAGGCTGAGCACCAAGGGCCTCTGTGGCTGGTTGTGCAGACGTGCACTGTACAACTGGAAGGATGTTCATACCATAATTTATGCAGGTGACATCCCTTGAGTTGTGCAGTGTGCAACCTGCACAACCATCTCTGGCGGCCCTGTGGAAATCTCATTTGCTTGGTTCAGTGTGGGCCCCCGGTAAGCAGAACGAGAGCATAGACAGGAGGAGGAGGAGGTGAGGGAGGAAGGATGGGAGGCAGAGCGGTGGCCAAATTAGTTCATGTTCTGGGCCTGGTCGCAGCAGCCTGACACTGCCCCAGGCTCTATGGGAACCGCGTGCTGTTCTATTTCACCAGATGACTCAGAATCAAAATCCTTTCTCTTAGAAAAAACGATCCATAAGCAGGTGCAGAGTGAATTGTGCTCTCTCTGAGGATGCTGGTATTGATTCTCCATCAACAAGGCTGGGTCTGAGCCCCAGGGGTGCTGCTGTGAGCTGCTCTTTGTGTGTCTTGGTTAATGTGAAAGGGGAAAATGACTCCAAAATGGTGCAATTTTTCTATTTGCAGGCTCCTCCCTGGCTGCTGCCAGGGAGGTATTCACAGGCCCAGGGATGAGATCTGGACTTAGTGTGGGGGCTGGGTTTGTCATTTGGGATTGAGCTTGTGCTGTGACTTCCGGGCTTCAGTCTGCGGGCCACATGCAGTCACTGGACCCAGGAGCAGGTGGGGGCTCCCATGGGCAGAGGCGGTGCTGAAAAGACTTCAGGACCATATATCAGAGGCTGCTCCCTGGCACCTTCCTCGCCTTCTCCCCTGGGTCTCCCAGCACCCCAAGAGGCTGTCTTGGTGTGTGACTGTATCTGATTTTTCAAGACTGGAATGGAAGAGAGTATGCAGGAGAGGGTGGGGAGGCCCCATTGTGCTTAGAGAGCCACACCCCTCAGGGAGGCCCAGCCTGGGCAGAGCCTATATCTTTAACCTTCCTTGCTCCAGCCCCAGCTCCAGCCAGTCAGTAACTTTGAAGCCTGCCATGCCCAGCAGGCTTTCTGCTCAGGTCTCTCTCCCCAGGGCACAGGCCCATCTCCCCAGGGTACAGGCCTCTCAGCCAAATAACCGCATTGAGATACCCAGTATGTCATGGCAGTGATGAGCAAAACTCCATCCTCCAAACTCACAATGTCTGAATAAGTAAGACAGTGAGTGGACCATCCCAAGACAATCACCCTCTCCATGCCCAGTGTCTCTCTTTCCTCCGGCCGCCTTCCCCCACCCTTCCGCCTCCCCACAGAAAGAGAGTCCAGGCCTCCTGACACTCACGGAGGAGGTACTCCGAGCTGTCGTGGTCGTAGTCATTGTCCTCTGGGAAGTGATTGATCCGGAAGCAGTGCCCTTTATAGATCCCTGGAAGGAACGAGAGGAAAAGAACACTGTAAATGCTGTCTGGGTTCACTCATCCGTTCACTCCAGACACGGTTGCCATGTGTGTGAGCCTCTGTGCAGGTCCTGGGGACAGACAGAGAAGAAAGGCAGGCTCCAGCGTTCCAGTCTGGTGGGGGCACGGGAGAGACACACAGAGAATGGCTACACCGGGAGAGATATGCCCCAAAGGTGACCCTAGTTATGGTCCAAGGGTGGACGCACGTGAGAGTAATGGGACCCGGCATGAATAACCATTGAGACAAGAGGTGCCATGCAGAGCTGCCCGGGGCAAGCAGGAGGTCGGATCCCTCTACCCAAGGGACTCTTAGCCGCATCTTGAAAAAAATAAAAAACAGGCTGGGCACGGTGGCTCATGCCTGTAATCCCAGCATTTTAGGAGGCCGAGGTGGGTGGATCAGGAGGTCAGAAGATCGAGACCATCCTGGCCAACATGGTGAAACCCCGTCCCTACTAAAAATACAAAAATTAGCTGGCCGTGGTGGCGAATGCCTATAGTCCCAGCTACTCGGGAGGCTGAGGCACAAGAATTGCTTGAACCCGGGAGGCAGAGGTTGCAGTGAGCCAAGATCGCGCCACTGCACTCCAGCCTGGCGACAGAGCAAGACTCTGTCTCAAACAACAACAAACAACAACAACAACAACAACAACAACGAATTTGCCCACTGGGAATGGGGCACAGGGGGCTTTCCAGGCAGAGAAGCAAGACATGTGAAGGCAAGGGTGGGGTTGAAGTCTGTCTGTCTGTGTCTTTCCCTCTCTTAAACCATAGTTATGGCCGGATGCAGTGGCTCACGCCTGTAATCCCACCACTTTGGGAGGCTGAGGAGGGCGGATCGCTTAAGCCCAGGAGTTCGAGACCAGCCTGGGCAATATGGTGAAACCCCATTTCTCCTAAAAGTACAAAAATTAGCTGAATGTGGTGGGGTGCACTTGTAATCCCAGCTACTCGGGAGGCTGAGGTGGGAGGATCACTTGAGCCTGGGAGGTGGAGGTTGCGGTGAGCTGAGACCACATCACTGCACTCCAGCCTGGGCAACAGAGCCAGACCCTGTCTCAAAAAAACTCAAAAAACCACAGTTATGGTGACTCCTTCCTCAGGTACACAGCTGGTGCAGATTCCAATCCCCTCACTCAATGCGGTTGAGGGAAGAGAGGATGGAGCAAGAGAAACTTCCAGAAGGGCTGAGACCATCATCTGCTTGGTTTCTTCCTCCCTACTCTGAGAAGTGGCTCTCATGGGGTGGGGGGCCAGACCCCTGGGTAGCTTCGTAATGTAGGACAGGCCAATCCTCCCTTCCAGAATCTTCTGCCCTGCTCTCCTAGTCCTCTGCTACCCTGAAGTCTGAGAATGGCCACCACAGAACTGGACATTGGTTGCCAGGGGCACAGGGTGTTGCCGCCACGTCCTATCCATGTCAGACAACCCCTTCCCCCGGGTCAGCCCCCCTGCTCCTGCAGCCTGGGAGCCACAAGCTCATCTTGACACCAAAGGAGCAGTTTCCACCTGGGGCCAATTCCTTTCCTGCAGCGGCTGCAAGCGCCCCCTGTTGCCTCAGTCAGTCAGGAGCACAGTCCTGGCGGCAGGGTCCGGGTGCACGTCCACCTCTCATGCTTCCAACCAGGAGAGGTCCCTGGCGAGCTGGGAGCACGCTGCCCTTCTACCTGGTCACCAAGAAGCTGATTACCAGCTGCCGTCCCCAAGCTCTTTCCTCCATTGGGCCCCTTCAGCTGCTGCCTCCAAGGAGCTGGAGTGTTCAGTGACAACCCTGATTCCTGAAGGTCCATGGGCCCTGGGGGCCAGCGGTGGGGGGCAGGATGGTGGGGAGGCAGAGGGAGGGTCTCAGAGGTGATGCTAGGAGTGTCCTCTGCATAGGATCCAGCATGAACAACGTAGTTATTAACTCCTCGGTCTCCTCATCTGTAGAATGGGCAGAGCCACAGCCCTTATATCCTGGGGATCTTAGGAGAATTACACCACGTCATACTTGAAAGGCACTTAGGGTGATTCCGGGCCCATGGTGGTGGCTCAGAGTTGGGGGGTTGCTGCTGTTGGATCTAGAAATGACCCACCCTCGCTCCTTCATGAGTGGCTGAATTGGTGGAGAACCATGAGGGTTTGTGAGCAAGAGGAAGGAACTCCAAGACAGGCTGGCCTCAGGGTGGTGGGGTGGGGACACAAAGGCCAGAGTGGGCCGGCTACATCCCCTCTCACTCCTGGCTCTCCCATGGCAGGCTCAGAATGTTCCTGGAGACCTGGAGTAGGCATTTTGCCAGCTGTGGGTGGGTGAGACCAAGCTCTTTGCTGTTCCTCCCCTTCCCCACACACCTTTTTTTGGGCTACTTCATAGGTCTAAGCAAAATCACCAAGTCACACATGCATGGTGGGACCAGTGGCAATAAGAGGTTGAAAAAGAAAAAGGAGTCCCTCTTTCCCGATTTGCTCTGCAGCGGCAGGCTGCTAAGTCCACCGTGTGTCTTCTCAGATGCTCCTTCGTGGGCACACCCTTCCACGTATATACGCGTGGGGTTCTGCCCATCTTAAAAAAAATTACACTTGTCTTGAAATAATTGTAGAGTCACATGCAGTTGTAAGAAATAATACTGGAACACCTACCCTTTATACTCAGCTTCTCCCCATGACAACATCGTGCAAAACTGTAGTGCAATATCACAACCAGGACGCTGACATTGACAGTCAGGATACAGAACACTTGGTCACTGCAAGGAGTCCCCACGCTGCCCTCGCACAGCCCCACCCAAGCCCTCCTGCCCGTCCCCTCCCTGACCCAAGGCATCCAGGAACATGTTCTCCATGTCAATAGTTTTGTCATTTTGAGACTCTCCTACAAATGGAATGATACAGCATGTAAGCTTTGGGGACCGGCTGTTCTCACTCAGCCTAACCCCCTAAGGATTCATCCAAGCTGTCATGCGTATCGGTAGTTTGCTCCGTGTTATTTCTGAGCGGAATTCTGCGGCATGGATGCTGCATTGTTTGTTTCATCTTTCACCCACGGAGGGACACCTGTTGTTTCCAGCTATTACTAACGAGGCGGTGGAGAAGGGCACAAGCTGTCTTCAGCCCCGTGGAGAGTGAATGAGATTGTTCTCTGTCCCTAGAGCCAAGAATCTGGGATATTTCCCCTAAACATCCTAAGTCAACACCTTCAGCTATTTCTTTCTTTCTTTCTTTTTTTTTTTTTTTTGTTTTTGGAGATGGAGTCTCGCTCTGTCGCCCAGGCTGGAGTGCAGTGGTGCGATCTCGGCTCACTGCAACCTCTGCTTCCTGGGTTCAAGCAATTCTCATGCCTCAGCCTCCCAAGTAACTGAGACTACAGGCACGCACCACCACCACTGGCTAATTTTTGTATTTTTAGTAGAGACTGGATTTCACCATGTTGGTTAGGCTGGTCTTGAACTTCTGACCTCAAGCAATCCACCCACCGTGGCCTCCCAAAGTGCTGGGATTACAGGTGTGAGCCACTGTGCCCAGCTACCATTTTTTTACTGGCGGTTTCAAGTGCCTTCTCCCTGGCTCCCTCCTCTGGGCTTGTTCCCAACTCTTGGTGCCTGGAGGCACAGCTCCACCACCAAACCCAACGTTCAGGCTGGGTCTGACCAGCTCAAACCACATTGGCACTTTCTTCTCTTCTCTGGACTCCATGCTTCTGTTAATGGGACTGGGTATCGCTGTTGACTCGGTCTCCTAGGATTTTTTTTTCACAAAAGTTGCCTCACCTCCCCCGAATCTGTTTTTGTGGAGTAGAATGCTTGGCGCTAAGGACTTCACATTTATCCCTGTCAAATTTAATTTCGTTAGCGCTGGCCTAGGGCATTTAGTAAGGAGAAAATGAATAGCTGATGCAAGGAGTAAGAAAGAAAGCCATTTTCAATCCACTTCACATGTGTTCGCTCTCCATACATGGGCCATTTGCTGTGCTATCTATTAAGTGATATTTAGGGTGGCTAATTGTGAGATCCTGGCTGGCTGGGCTGCAGGAATGCTGAGGTCGCGAGGTGGAGACAGGGGTCGCTGGGCTGTGCTCCCAGAGACACTGTGGCCCTCACCTTCCTGAGGGCCAGGAGACCACTAGCGGGAGACTTTGTTAGTCACTCGGCCTCAGGCAAGTTACTTCTTCATCTAGAAAACCTAGGAATTGGACCAGAGGGAGACGGTCCTGCTTGAAGATTCTATGACTATTTTGTAAATAACAGGCACGGGGTGTGTGCACAGGTGTGCATGCCCCTTCATGAGCAGGTACAGGCTCGTCTGCACACGTGTATATCCCTTCATCTGCACATATCAGGGGACACTTTCATTAAAAGAATATTTCTTTTTTTTTTTTGAGACAAGTCTCACTCTGTGACCCAGGTTGGAGCGCAATGGCATGGACTCGGCTCACTGCGACCTCCACCTCCCGGGTTCAACCAATTCTCCTGCCTCAGCCTCCCAAGTAGCCGGGACTACAGGTGCATGCCACTAAGCCTGGCTAATTTTTGTATTTTTGGTAGAGATGGGGTTTCATCATGTTGGCCAGGTTGGTCTTGAATTCCTGACCTCAGGTGATCCACCCGCCTCGGCCTCCCAAAGTGCTGGGTTTACGGGTGTGAGCCATCACACCTGGCCTCATTAAAAGTATATTTCTATGGGCACAGGAAGCATCTGGAAAGAAATATCCCCACATGTGTCCAGTGTTTTATTTCTGAGCGATAGAGTAATGAGCAAGTTACATTTTTCTTCTTTACATTCCTCTGTGTTTTCTGAATTTCCTACAGTATCTGAAAATGAACCAATAAAACTAAGAAAAGAGACCAGATTCTTTGACTCCGAGTGAAAATGAGGTGGTGTGTCTGAAATGACAGCAGATGCACTTGGACATGGGAGCTGGGAAGCGAGGTGTGAACCCTGGGGGCCAGAGGGTGTGTGGGCAGCATTTGAGCCTCTCCTTCCATGACCTCCGTGAAGGTCATGCCTTGGGGTCATATCCCCAAGTACAGTTGAATGGCCAACCCCCAGGACCCGATGGGTTCCAGGGACATAGGAACATTGGAAGAGTCCAGGCAAACGGGGTGAGCTGGTCACCCTGTGAGCCATTTCAGGGGCACTAAGCCTCCATATGGGCCACCTGAGGCCATCGTCATTAAGGGAATCCTGGAGAAAAGCATGTCAGAGGGCAACTTGCTGATGGTGCTCATTCATATAATCCTTTGTCATTTGCAATGCATTTTCAAAAGCATGACCTCATTTGATCCTCACATTCACAGCTGCCACAGGCACCTACTGAGGGTGTATGGTCACCCTTCTGTCCACCTCGTACCTCTTGGCCTATCTTTTACCCCAGCCACACATGGCTGCCGCGAGCGACCAGCTCTGTGCAGGTGGAGCCTGCTGACACCTCAATTCAGCTGCACCAGTTACTTCTTGCTTTCTGCCCACAGCACTGAGTAGGTTGCCTGAGGGAACGACTCTGCACTCGCGCACGTGCAACTGGAAGTTTGAGGGATTAACCACCCTGGGGGAAACCTTTGAACAGTGGAGGACGGGATGGGAGCTGGTGGATAAAGGTCCCCAAACGCTGTCCCTTGGTGGGCAGTTCTGAAGTCCTTTCTACACTGCTTCTGAAGGGGTGGGTCCCAGCAGGACCAAGCCAGGTGATCATCAGCCCAGGACATCCTTGCATTGGCTCTCCCCTCCCCGATGCCTGGTCCCTAGGATGGCCACCCAAGATACACCCCCTGCATGCCAGCCCTGGGCTCAAGCTATGATGAAGGCTGGGCGTGTTGCATGCTTCAGCCCATTTCATCTCTGCAATAATGCTCCTTTGAAGATGGAGAAAGAGGCTTAGAGATGCTGAAAGACCTGCTTCCACAAGGCTCACAGCAGAACGATCAGGCATTCTACCCTAATGTAAAACAAAGTCTTCTCTGCTCCATTTGACAGAAGAGGAAAGTGAGGCTCAGGGAACACCTGGTCCCCTGCACAGGGCACCCTGGAATCCAGCCTCTTGATTCCTTGTCCAGTGCTCCTCCCACACCGCCCCAATGCAGCCTTTCCAAGAATCCTCTATAGAAGCAGGGCTGGGGCTCTACAGGAGGTGAGGCCCAGCTGGTTTTTCTCCCCAAGACAGAAAAGGAAGAGAAACCAGATAGCCACCAGGTGCACTGGGTTAGCTTCAAGGAAACAGCTGTCAGGTGATGAAGAGCGGGGTATTGGGAGTCTCCAGGCCCTGGGAAAGAAGGCAGCCTCGGATTGGCTGGGGCTGTGGAAGCCAGGGAGAAGGCGGCCCAGCAGCACAACTCCCCTTTAGGATCTAGGAGGGGACGACTGTGCATAAAAAGGAAAGAGAAGGAAAGAGGGCAAGTAGAAGATGATACTGAGTGGGACCTTTCCTGTTCACTCATGCATCACTCATTCATTCTCAACAGACTTTCACCGTTTGCTCATCACTCAATCATTCATTGCTCGACAGTATTGTCACTGTTTACTCATCTCACTCATTCATTCATTCATTCATTCATTCATTCCTCAAGAGCATTTTACAGAGCCCATAGCAATGTTCTAAGTGCTGGGGCTGCCAGTCTGAGTAAGACGGAGTCCTGGCCCTCACGGAGCTCTCATTCTGGTGGAGCAGGGCAAGGCGGGCTGTTGACACAAGAAGATAAAATAAATGAATATCAGCATCATTTTAGGTGGCGCCATGAGTGAAGACAGGGGAAGGGGTCTGAGGCGTGTTAGGCTGTGGACTCTTGTCCTAAAATTGTGGCTGAGCTCAAAGCTGAGATGATGAAGGTGTGGAGTCCACTTCCAGGAACACACACCCCTGCGGGGGCTGCTCACATACGTGATTTCAGACCATCCTCCATGATCCCCACTCTCTCCAGGCAACACTAGAAGAGGAGAGGGAAAGAACCCCAGACTCAGTCCAGGGACCAGCAAGAAACACCTACTGAGGCCACACAGACCAGAGAAGGCGGTGAGGGTGAAGACCACATCTGGGCCAAGCGTCCAGGCAATTTTGGTTGAATTAACTTAGGAACTGCAAAATAATCAAACAACATGTATTGTTCTAGAGAGCCAGCAATGCGAACTTTACCATAATTTAAAGTGGCCATCTCCCAACTACTCCAAATTGGAGAGGTTTCCCTGGACTGTATGCTGTGAAAGGGGGTAGCTGTACTCAGGTAACAGCCCTGGTCCAAGGGCCAAATGGACCATGTCTGTGTCTCAGAAAGGGGCACACTGCAGGAGCTCAGAGCATGCCTGTGTCTCTCTGTCCTCCTGCCAATCATCTGCCATCACTACTTCTCCTCAAGGTTTTCCCAGAACTACTCAGGACCTGGCCCTCTCCCACACCACCCCATTTCCACAGGAAGGAAGGGAACAGCCTAGAAAGACTGGAGGGCTCTATGTTTCCAGGAGGCTGCAGACCATCCCGGAAATGACCTGCCTGGGACTTCATGGAGGAGGTGGGGAACTGAGGGGTAACAGGACTTTAGCTGGGCTGATAGGTGATGGGGGCATGAAAGAGCTCTGTCCTCATGATAAGAGTGACAGCAAATATTTACTGTACTTAGCACCTATGATGTATCAGGCACTATTTTGAACACCTGACATTTATTAACTTAATCTTCATGCTAACCCTATATGGTAGACAGGCTAACACCCTTTGTTACTAAGTGCCCTAACTGGGATCTGAACCCAGGCTGCCTGGCTTCAGAGTCTGTGCCCCTACTTCGTACACCAAGGAGGCAGAAGAACACAGAGCTCCAAGACGTTCTGTGTGGCTTCAGCATGATGGGGAAGCACATGTCCCCAACACTCCTTAGGATTAGACTCTGGGGCTGAGGGTATTGGCTGATGCTTCAGGCTGTGTTAATCCTTCACTAGCAGGCAGAGATGCTGAAGCAGCGGGGATGGCAACCCAGGGCCCCACACCACTGGGACAGCGAGTAGTCAGGGAGGGTAGGCATGGGGACAAAGGCAGAGCTTGGCTGGGGAGCAAGGTTAGGATTTTTGAGAAGGGCTGATGTGTGCAGAGAAGGCACCACTGTGTCTGGTGCAAACAAAGGGGGCAGTCGGGGCAAAGGTGTGAAGGTTCCCAAACCACAGCTGTCCTGGCATGGTTGGGTAGCAGTGATGGGGGAGGTAGAGGAAGAAGGAGCTGGGATGGGGGTGGGGTCTTGCATGGTGGGCAGAGGACATGGGAGTTTATTGTACAGTCTCCACGGTGGGGATGCAGTAGTCTGAATATTTGTGTCCTCTACCCCCAAATTCATATGCTGAACTCCTAACCCTGAGGTGATGATGTTAGGAGGTGATTAGTGGAGCTCTCACAAATGTGATTAGAGTCCTTTTAAAAGAGACTCTGGAGAGCTTGTTTGTCCCTTCAACTACATGAGAACACAGCAAGAAGGCACCGTCTATAAACCAGGAAGCCACCCTCACCAGACACCAAATCTGCTGGCGCCTTGATCTTGGACTTCGCAGCCTCCAGAACTGTGAGAAATAAATTTCTGTTGTATTGTAAGCCACCCAATTTATAGTATTTTGTTATATACTACAGATACACTATATTTTGTAGTTTGTTAGCAGCCTGAATGGATTAAGGGAGGGCGTGACTTCAGGTTGGAAGGCCCAGGGAGGTACCCTTCTTAAAGGAAGCTGCATGGGATAGGAGCAGCAAGGAGATGTAAAACCAAGAAATGCAGCCCAGAGCAATGATAAGCGATGTTCTTGGTTTGGGGAGACACTGGCTCCTATCCTTGGACGTGGTTTCAGAAGAGGGACTGGAGGCCAGGATGGAAGTGACTTGGCCAAGATCATTCCAGCACTGAGAGGCAGGGTGCATTAGTTTTCTGGGGTTACTTTAACGAAGTATCATACACTGGGGGGTTCCATGACAGAAAGTTATTGCCTTACAGTTCTGCAGGCTTGAAGTCCCAAGATCAAGGTGTTGATGGGGTTGGTTCCTCCTGAGGGCTGTGAGGGAGAAAGCTCTTCCATGACTCTGCCTTGCTTCTGGTGTTTGCTGGTGATCTCTGGCGTTCCTTGGCTTGTAGAAGCATCAACCCCATCTCTGCCTTCTCTTCATATCATATTCTCTCTGTGTGCATGTGTCTATGTCCAAAGTTCCCCTTTTCATAAGGGCCCCAGTCATACTGGATTAGGCCCCACTCTAAAGGCCTCATTTTTTTCTTTTTGAGACAGGGTCTCACCCTGTCACCCAGGCTGGAGTGAAGTGGCGCGATCTCGGCTCACTGCAACTTCCACCTCCAGGGTTCAAGTGATTCTCCTGCCTTAGCCTTCTGAGTAGCTGGGATTAAAGGCATGTGCCACCATGCCTGGCTAAGTTTTGTTATTTTTAGTAGAGATGGGGTTTCACCATGTTGGCCAGGCTGGTGTCGAACTCCTGACCTCAAATGATCCACCCACCTCGGCCTCAAAAGGCCTCATTTGAACTTGATTACCTCTGTAAAGAGCCTGTCTCCAAATCAGGTCACATTCTGAAGTACTGGGGTTAGGACTTCAACATAAGAATTTTCGGTGGGGATGGGGTAGGGTGCAATTTAACCCATAACCCAGGATTTGGAGCAGAGGCACCGGTCAGGCCCACCAGCCAGTGCTCCAAGCTGCTGCTGACAAACTCGAGGCTCCTTGATTCCCCATGCCTCAGCTCTTTGCCCAGCCCTGCCCCCTGCTCCCCGCAATTCTCCCTTAGAGGTCCCCTTCTTAATTCCTCCACTTCCACACCGAGTGCCAAAGAAACCCCCTAATAACTGTGATTTCCTAATTGGCACACTCTGGTCTCCTACGGGCTGGCCTCTTTCCAGCTTCAGCAAGCCAGGCTGTTGGGAAACCTCTCCATGGGTTCCTGAGCGAAACTCCAGGCGTGGAGAGGCAGTCTGGGCTGGTTCAGGCTTTCTCAGGGAGCCCTAGCTTCCTGGCCTGCTAGTGGCTCTCCATGAGACCCTCGTAAGCCACTGTGACCTTCAGTTCCTTCATTGAACTTACATTTATTGAGCACCTGCTGTGTGTGAGGTGCTGGGGACTCAGAGATGTAGCAGAGTGTCTGCTTGCTAGAACCTGTTTCCTTTTCTTACGGTGCACACGGCTACACTGTATTTCCCAGCTTCCCTTGCAGTTTGAGGTGGCCTGTGACCCAGTTGTCCAATGGAATGTGAACTGAAGTGACGTGAGCCACTCCTGGACAAGGCTCAAGAGCAGTGGGGGTGGCCCTCCATCTCCACTCCCTCCCAACCTGCCATGGGATGAAGGAAGCCTGGGTCCCTGAATCACTCTGTGGAACACAGGTGTCCGTTGAGAGGGCCACCCATTTGGACTGTTACATGAGCAGGAAATGAACTCCTACTATGTTTAAGGCATTATACATTTGGGCATATCTCTGTTAGAGCAATAATCAATAATACAAGAGGAGAACAGGACAGACATGGTCTCTGCCCTTCTGAAGCTTTCTGGTTCCATAGGTATTCAGTGACGACTGAGGAAAGGGCTTAGAAAGAGTCCTGAGTTTCCGACAGCACATCACCGAGAAGCCTGGCCCAGGCTGCAGAGTAGAGGTCAGGGAAGCCACTCCTCATTCAGAAAATGGGGGAAATATTTTTACAACCTTTCATATCTCAAGTGAGACCCAATGAGACCCATGTTGGTCAAGAAACCTTGAGAAGGCTAAATCGTGATGATGTCATGAGTGTGAGTATATGGTTTTCAACTCCTCATTTCTCGGAGATGTCTTTAGACTAGACTGTTCCAATTAGAGTTAAGAGAGGGGCTAAAAATAATAAATGCTTGCCATTCAGATCCTGGGAAGTTTCTTTGGGCAAATGAGGACGACTATCACTGGCAACTGCTAAAAGATTCACACAGGCTTATTACTTTTTTGATAGTTTAGAGTCATTGAGGTGCCTTGTGGTCCCTCTAGAATCTGTTTGGGTTTGTTTTTTGTTTGTTTGTTTTGAGATAGAGTCTCGCTCTGTCACCCAGGCTAGAGTGCAGTGGTGCAATCTCAGCTCACTGCAACCTCTGCCTCCTGGGTTCAAGCGATTCTCATGCCTCAGCCTCCTGAGTAGCTGGGACTATAGGCACCGGCCACCATGCCTGGCTAATTTTTGTATTTTTAGTGGAGACAGGGTTTTACTACATTGGCCAGGCTGGTCTCGAACTCCTGACCTCAAGTGATCCACCCGCCTTGACCTCCCAAAGTCCTGGAATTACAGGTGTAAGCCACTGCATCCAGCCTCATTTCTTCTTTGATAGCTTAAAGTCATTGAGGTGCCTTGTGGTCACGCTAGAATCTGTTTTGGGTTTTTCTTTTGAGGTGGACAAGGTTCACCCACTCAATCCTTTGCCCATTCTTTCTTTTAGTTTGGTATTCATTGATTGACACCAGGCCCCGTGGATCCTGCCTGGGAGAGCTTATGACCTAGCTGGGGAGGTGAGCGAACACAGTAACTAGAACAAGAGAGCCAGTGACACTATGAGACAAGGAGCAGGTTTGTGGAATTTCAAAGAATAAGGGACAAGTGCTGAATGGGGTGTCTGGGAAGCCTGGGGAGGTGCTGGGGTTCACACAGAGTAAGTAGTACTTGGCATATGGCGGCCCAGGCGAGACGAAGCCCAGAGGCATGTTTGGCATGAGCTTCTGGAAGGGACCTTGCCTGGGGAGGTGACGGAGACAGTACTGAGGCTGAGTAAGCAGGTGGGGCTGCAGTCCTGGAGGGAGCCAGAACCGTCCTGTAAGGAGACTGGATTTCATGCCATCAGCCGAGGCGCCCTGGGAGCTTTCCTGAAGCTGGAAAACTCATGGCTCATGCCCGGAGCTCTAGACCCTCCAGGCTCTGAATGTCTGTCATTCTGTCCCCAGCCTGGCTGCTATCATCTGGCCTGTTAGGGCTTTTGGATCCCACCCTGGGGCCCTTGGGTGGCCTCTTTTAGTCCCAGAGGAGCCTGGCTGCCTCGACACGGCAGCCCCTGCTCACCCACGAGGAACAAGCTCTCTCCTCCTCACTGCCCCTCATGGTGGAGTGCCTTGTGAAAAGGGACACATTTCAATTCTGGCTTCAAGTTGGCAGCTTCCTGAGGCTGCCAGAGGCTCCCAGGTGGGGAGGGGTGGTTGATGGGATAATGTCGGGCCCCTTGGACTCAGCCTGCCTCACCTCTCACCTCTGCCAGCCACAAGGAGAGAGCCATCCTGAGGAATGCTGGGCCGTGAGCTGCACTGTTTCAGACCCAACAGAAGATAATGGCTTCCATAGTGACTCGGGCCCATTGTTCCTTCTGTCGGCTCATCTGTAGAACCAGGCAGTGGGGCAGGAGCCCTGTCCCCAAGACCCCACCTGTGTCTAGCAGTCCAGGGAACTACAAGGTCCGAAAAGGTGTTTCCTTTCAATGGAGCAGCCTGGAATGGGGCCAGTGGAGGATTTGGGAGAGAGGTCACCTTTGTGATCAGCAGAAGGGAGACGGCACTGGACTCTGATACAAAATCCACTCGGGGACCGAGGCCTGTCTGCAGCCCATTCTGGTTCCCTTAGGAAGCAGGATTCTTGGAGAGAATCCATTTCTACCTCTAAATTCTCTCTGTGAACCTGGAACCTGGAGATCAAAGCTCGTGTGGTAAGCGGAGACATCACTCTGGGTCCTAGACTCTAAGAATCTTGTGTTGTGAGCACCTGTGCAGTGATTCAGAGGGGCAGAAGGTGGGTGGAGAGGGAGTGGGCCGTCTGCCTTGCACTACACCCATACTGAGGTTCTGATGGTCCTCAGGGGTGTACCACTGGGGAGCCCCTTTCTCTGGGAATGAGTCCTTCACACAGAACTTCCCCCATGGCCCTGCATGACATGGCCCTGCCCCCAGCCAAGGCTCCTGGGCAGACCTCTGGCCCAAGCTGGACCAATCAGAGGTTCTCTTGGAAGTGTATATTTTGGATCAGAGACAGAGGAGACCCATGGACTAAGGGACTTTTGGGAGTTTTTAAAATGGTGTTCTTGAGTGGTCCAGGATGCCAGATATGGAGGCTCCTGCCTCTTTCCTTCCTTCATCTTGGCTGTTAAGCTCTCCCTTCCATCCTTTGGGACGCTTCCACATCCTTCCGATACATTCCTCTTTGGGACGGGGCAGGGTGCCTCACAACTGTAATCCCAGCACTTTGGGAGGCTGAAGTGGGCGGATTGCTTGAGCCCAGGAGTTTGAGACCAGCTCGGACAACACGGCAAGACCTTGTCTCTACTAAAAGTACACAAATTAGCTGGGCATGGTGGTGCACGCTTATAGTCCCAGCTATGTGGGAGGTTGAGGTGGGAGAATCAACTGAGCCTGGGAAGTCGAGGCTGTAGTGAGCTGAGATCATACCACTGCACTCCAGCCTAGGTGACAGGACTGAGACCCTGTCTTAAAAAAAGAAAGTCCTCTTTGTGGATCAAGTCAGAGAAGTTGGTTTATGTGCTTGCAACCGGCAGAACTCTAACCCCCAACCAGCTGTACCTTCACTGGGGGAGGGAGATTCCAACCTGTTTTTCCAGGGCTCCAAAGCCCAGGCTCTACTCCATGTCTCAGCGCAGGTCTGCAACACTTTCTAAGACACGAAAATAAGCATGGGTTCCCTGGAGACCACAGGGCTCCAGGGAAAGGAAGGATGTTGTATCGGGGATGAGGATGCTGAGCACCAGCCCCACGCTGCGTGGAAGCTTGTGGCTGGTGCTCATCTGAGGTCTCATCTGGCTCAGCGAGTTCTTCAAGAACCCACAGCACCAGCCTCACGCCTCCTCCAACACTTTGTTCCAGAGAGGGCCAGGATTTTCCAGGCTTCCTGCCGAGATTCATAATTAAACGGAGCCGGAGAGATTTCCCCAACCAACCGCTCCTTTTCTCTCCTAACACAGGGGAATGGGTATTCAGTTATTGTCTCTGTGATTTTTCTCCTTGCATCTACTGGATAACTGCTGCTTGGATGAAACCTCAGTACTAAGGGTTGTTGTTGTTGTTGTTTCTTTCTTCATTTCTTTCTTTCTTTTTTAATGAGGAACAACTAGGGAGCTGTAAAGGGCGAAACAGCTCTCTGCAGATTTCAGCTTTTCCGTTGGTTTGCCTCTGCAGATCTCTGGGAAGTTATGCTCCAATAACCTGAGAGTTTTAATTGAAGGGGCTGGGCAAGAGAGGGAGCATCATAGTAGATAATCATAAACTTCTAGAAGGGACCCTTGGGATCATCCACTTCACCCCACTCACTTCACATATTAAGAATTTGCTGCCTGGAGAGGTGAAGGGCCATTTCCATGGTGATAAGCTGATTGGTGGCATAGCCAAGCTTTGACTGTTGGTCACCTGACTTCAAGTTTAGAGCTCTGTTACCCCCTGTCCATTGCCTGCTCTAGTGCAAGGTTCTCTACAGGGGGTGATTTTGCCTCCCAGGTGACATTTGACAAAGGCTGGAGACAGTTGTGATTGTCACAACTTGGGGTTGCAGGGCGAAGTGCTACTGGCAACACGTGACCAGGGATGTGCTAAACATTCTACAATGCACAGGATGACTCCCTACCCTGCCCCAACAAATAATGATTTAGCTCCAAATGTCAATAGTGCAGTGGTTGGTGATGAATAAATGTCCTGCACAGAACTGAGTCTTCCCCTTCTCAGCCCATGGCAGACATTACTAATCAATCACAGTACTTTTCTCCCCTGATCACAGTCTGAATCCTCAACACAGTGCTCCATTCAGGAGCTACTAGTTGATAAAATACCTATCGATCATCCTTTGGCTGGATAGCATAGAGACAGTACGTTCTGAAGTCATTCTGCTTGGGTTTGAGTTCTGGCTTTGTTACCACCTATTAGCTGTATGATCTGGGGTCCTAATTCACTTCTCTGTGCCTCATTTTTCCCATCTGTGAAATGGGGATCACAAATGGGGATAAACCGAGGGTGATTTGGGGGATTAAACAATTGTATGCATTTTTTAAATGTCACTGTGCCTGTCCCATGGTATGTACTTAAAACATGTTTGCTGTTGTTATAATCAGCCCTGTTCTAATAACAAAGAGTCAGCTGGTCTTATTGTCAGAAGTGAGCAGGCCAGGTTTGCCCCCTATCAGGACTGACACAGACTCTTCCTTGTCCACATATACCCATAATACTGTGTCTTCCAAAAGAAGCAGAGCTCCCCTGACTCTTAGAAGGCCCAGCAAAGTAACCCTGTTTTTCCCTGAGCCTCATGACTAATGGACTAATAAGTGTTGGCTTTGGTTGAAAACTATATTCCCTGCAAAGCATGTGCTAAGCTCTTTCCATTTACTCATTAAGCTTCAAAAACAACTTATGAAGGGGGAGCTTCTATACACCCATTTTACAGATGAGAAAGCCAAGGTTCAGAGAGGGCAAGTAACTTGCCCAAGGTAGCACAGCCAGGATTCTCTCACCTGCTTCTGTCTGATCCTACAACTAGTGCTGTCACTGCTATGATTCCCTGCCTCCCTATTCTATTTGAGGATGGAGAGAGAGAGAGAGAGAGAGAGAGAGAAAGAGAGAGATGAGAGGTGGAGAGAGCCAGTGTCTGGGAGGGCACACACCTGCCAGGTCTGCCAGGTCACCAGTGCTTTCTGGCAACCAGGCCAGGATGAGGGAGCACACATGCATTTCTGGAGTACCTCCAGGGCTGAGAACAGTTCTTCCAGGGCAGCCAGATACCAAGTTCCAACCCAGTTTTTAAGATCCCTCTCACCACCTCCCTGATATGGTTTGGCTATGTCCCCACGCAAATCTCATCTTGAATTGTAGCTCCCATAATCCCCACATCTCATGGGAGGGACCCAGTGGGAAGTAATTGAATCATGGGGGCGGGTCTTTCCCATGCTGTTCTCGTGATAGTGAATAAGTCTATTAGATCTGATGGTTTTATAAAGAGCAATTCCCCTGCACACGCTCTCTTGCCTGCTGCCATGTAAGACGTGCCTTTGTTCCTCCTTTGCCTTCTGCTATGATCATGAGGCCTCTCCAGCCACGTGGAACTGTGAGTCCATTAAACCTCTTTTTCTCTATACATTGCCAAGTCTCAGGTATTTCTTCATAGCAGTATGAAAATGGATGAATACACTCCCATACCTGTGGTCTGGAGCACCAGGTTAGAATTCTCCATCACTTGCCAGCACCCTAGTGCTTCTTGGTCACTTGGTGAGGAGCCGCCAGATCATGGGCTTAGGCAAGGCCTCAGAGCTCCTGGGCTAATCAGTCACACCTGGTGTCCATGGCCCTGCATCCCAAGCCCCATGGCACCCAACATCCTGCCTGCGTCCTGCCCACTGGTGGCTTTCCAGGAAGAGCTTTGCCATGTTGGGACCATGTACCTTCCATTCCTTATGGAATCACAAAGAAATGTCTAGTTCGTCTCCCCCATGAGGGCCCCTGAAGTCCTGGAAGAGCAGCTGCAGACTTGGTCGTCTAGTAGAACCCTGAATTCAAATCAGCGCTGACACATTAAGAGGTTGCTGGGTGCCAGGCACCATGCTAGGCCCTGGCTATGGTGGTGAAGGTGCCAGAGTCATCCCGTCCATGCCTTTGAGTAGCATGAGGGGGCCTGGGATAGCCTGTAAGCGGGTCAGGGAGGCTACTCAGAGGAACCCACAGTACAGCTGCGCCTTGAAGGAGGAGCAAAAATTAGCAAGGTAAGATGCAGCGGCTACGGCAGACAGAGGCCCAGAGGGGTCAGAGCCTGTCTGAGGCGGCAAAAGGAGGCTGGTGGGGCTTGAATTAGAGAACCAGGGGGAGGGGACAGGGGTGGCAGGGCCTCAGGGGCCTGGGAGCTGGAGGGAGCCATGTGGGGGTGTGTATTAGTCTGTTCTCATGCTGCTAATAAAGGCATACCCCAGACTGGGTAATTTATAAAGAAAAAGAGGTTTAATGGACTCACAGTTCCAAGTGGCCGGGAGCCCTCACAATCATGGTAGAAGGTGAAGGAGGAGCAAAGGCACATCTTACATGGCAGCAGGCAAGAGAGTGTGTGCAGGGGAACTGCCCTTTATAAAACCATTGATCTCGTGAGACTTATTCACTACCACGAGACCAGAACAGGAATAACCCACCCCCATGATTCAATTACCTCCCCCCAGGTCCCTCCCATGACACATGGGGATTACAGGAGCTACAATTCAAGATGAGATTTGGGTGGGGACACAGCCAAACCATATCAGGGTGTGAAGCTAACCATCTGATATACAAGATTTGCTTTTTAGGAAGGTCTGTTCTCCTCCAGGATGGAGGACAGAGTGGAGGCAGGGAGGCCAGTCAGAATCCAGGCTCTGGGAAAAGAGTCTTACTCAAGGTCTTCTGCTGACTTGGAGCAGAAAGGGAGGATCCCCAAGGATAACTTGTGCCCCCATCGCTGTCCATCTTCAGACTAAACATCCCTCCCCCCGTCCCGAAAGCAGTCCTGGCTTAGGGACACTAGCACCCTCCCAAAGTGGCCTTCCCTGCACTACTTCACTCAGGGCCTAGGGACCTTGGCCACTGGCCCTCACTTGTCCTCCTGTGTCTCTCCCTCCTCCGGTCAGTCCCAGAGACCATGCCCACATGGCAGGATCCATGTCCCAGAGCAGGCGCCCTGCACCCTTGCCCCCTCTCCTGGCTCCAGGCTCCTGAAATCCCAGGCACAGATCACTCAGCCTCAGCTTCCTCCTGGAGTTTTGGAGCTAAGGCTTGAGGCTTTTGCTTGCATTTAAAAAAAAAAAACAGTAAATAAAATGTAAAATCCAGCTTCCCTCCTTCCACAGGCACAGGACAGCCCAGGCGTGGGGCTTGGTGGGCTGGGACACAGTGAGAACAGGCTGGCTGGGAGGGAGACGGAGCAAACCCTGGGAACAGAGTGGAACAACAGTCATCGTGAGTTAAGCAGGCTGTTTATGGGAAGGATAAAAGTTAATGGGAAGCTATACTCCAGCTCCCCACCATCAAGCAAGAGAAATGCTGTAAACGACACAAGGAAAGAGAGGAGAGTCCTGAATGCAGCGATTCTGCTTGCAGAGAGAGCCTGGGGAAGGCTGCGTGGAAGCCAGGTGGAAATAGGCAGTGGGGAGCCACATTCATCACCTGATTAGGAGGGCAATCGAGATTTGGACACCACTAATTTCATCTAAATGCTCTGGGTGGCTTCTTCATCTATTACCCACCATCCCCATGCCAGGGACGAGCTGAAAGCCAGTTGGGGAGGAGGCGTTGGCTCTCTCTCTAATTCGTCTAAATAAAGCCCTTCCCTCGGGAGGCCGCGCACTCAGACAGCCCGGACAAGGAGCCTCATCTATCCTAATAGATCACAGTTGCTCTGGCTTTTGCCAGTTGATATGGTTTGACCCTGTGTCCCCACCCAAATCTCATCTCGGATTGTATTCCCACGTGTCAATGGAGGGAGCTGTAATCCCCAGGTATTGATGGGGGGACCTGTAATCCCCATGTGTTGAAGGAGGGAGGTGATTGGATCATGGGGGCAGTTTCCCCCCGTGGTGTTCTCCTGATAGTGAGTGAGTTCTCACGAGATCTGATGGTTTTATAAGTGCTTGGAAGTTCCCTCTTCGCTCGCTGTCTCCTGCCGCCTTGTGAAGAAGGTGCCTGCTTCCCCTTTGCCTTCCGCTGTGACTGTAAGCTTCCTGAGGCCTCCTCAGCCATGTGGAACTATGAGTTAATTAAGCCTCTTTCCTTATAAATTGCCCAGTCTCAGGCATTTATTTACAGCAGTGTAAAAACGGACTAATACACCAGTCTTCTGAGATGGATACAGAACACAGGACCGAAGTCTGTGGGGGCGGTGCCCTGGGGTCAGGGAGCTATTCCCATGCTAACTACCACAATGACCACCACCACCACCACCACCACCAACTCTACTGCCAACTATTACAGTAATAGCAGCTAATACTTGTTGAGGTCATCGCCGTTCTATGTACTTCATATTCTAACTCATTCAGTCCTCACTGCAACCCTCTCATGCAGGTGCTGCCATTGTCAGCCACTCCATTTTACAGATGAAGAAACTGAGGTCCTGAGAGGTTCAGTGAGTTGCCCAGGATTGCCCATCTAGTGCAGGGCTGGGACTAGAACCCAAGCCATCATCCTTCAGAGCCTGAGAGCCTAAACCACTCTGCCCCACCACCTCTCAAACTACATGAAGAAATACAAGCAGGCACCAGCTGGCAATTCAGGAGCTGAGGGAGGCCTAGCCCAAATGGTGGGATGTTCTTTGAGCTCCCGGACCATCTCAGGAGCATCTCCCCTTCACCAGCTTCTGTCCTAGGCTAGGCACCCATGCTCCAGTTAACTGGTGTGTCTGTTTGGAAAGGGGCTCATGTGAGAAGGCAGGGTGGGGGTGAGGAAGCAGGGCATGCAGATTGTTCCCAAATGAAACAGACTTGGAAACTGAGCAAGAGGCAGGGCATGAATGGGCAGCCCCAGAGCGTGCCCAAGGCCCAGGGTCTGGCCCTGGGTGAGCTCAGCCAGGCACTGACAAGGAGCTGCCTGCCTGGGGGCTTGGGAGGGTGAGCGGGGAACACTTAGGGCAGTGGATGCACCTCCTGAAGGTGGGGAACTTGGCTTCAGGCCAGCGCCCTCAACTAGCAGTTTTCAGTCTGAGGCTCAGGAGTGCTCACGTTAAATAAGTATCCCAGGGATGGGTGCGGTGCAATTCCAGCACTTTGGGAGGTTGAGGCAGGAGGATTGCTTGAGTTCAGGAGTTTGAGTGAGACCCCATCTCTACAAAAAGCAAATTTAAAAAATTAGGCATGGTGGTGTGCACCTGTAGTCTCAGCTACTCAGGAGGCTAAGGCAGGAGGATCACCTAAGCCCAGAGTTGGAGGCTGCAGTGAGCCATGACTGCACCACTGCACTTCAGCCTGGGGGACAGAGCAAGACTCCATCTCTTTAAAAATAAAAAAGATCTCCAGTGGTCTGCAGGATGTCTGAGGCCTCACTGTGGGGAACTCTGCTTCAGATTGGGGGCCTCAACATTTGCGGCATAGATGGAGTCTTCCTCCAATGCCACTCTATCCAGAACAGCCCTGACGTGTCCTGAACCCTGACATTGCAAGGCAAACAGTCCAACATCCTTGAGCTTTGCAGTTCTTCTCACATGTGGTCCCTTTCCTGGTTCCTGTGGCCTTTCTCTCTCACGCCCTCCTAATCACTCCCTGACTGGTCCTTTCCAGTCTCTCTCAGGATCTCCTCCTCCTTCCCTTCCTTCTCAGGGGTGTGCAGCTTCTCCTCTGTCCTCAATTTCCATTCTCATGCTCCTGTTGGTGACCTCTGCACAGGTGTGGGTTTTTTGTTTGTTTGTTTGTTTGTTTTTGACAGGGTCTCACTCCCATTGCCCAGGCTGGAGGGCAGTGGCGTACTCTTGGCTCACTGCAACCTCCACCTCCCAGGCTCAAGCGATCCTCCTGCCTCAGCTTCCTGCATAGCTGGGATTACAGCCGTGTGCTACCACGCCCAGCTAATTTTTGTATTTTTAGTAGAGATGGGGTTTCCCCACATTGGCCAGGCTGGTCTCGAACTCCTGACCTCAAGTGATCTGCCCGCCTCAGCCTCCAAAAGTGCTGGGATTATAGGTATGAGCCACTACACCCTGCCTGGTTTTAACCATTCTCTTTGCACTGCAATTCCTCAGACTCAGGCATCCCATCCCCGGGGACATCTCCACCTAGAAGTCCAACAGGGGCCACAGGGCTCAGCATGGCTCAAACTAAGGTGTCATCCTGCCCTTTGTAACCCTCCATCTACTCTCATTGCCTTCTTGCTCCCACCCTCTGGGGGTCCTCACTGGAGGGCGTCTTGACTCTTCCCTCTTCCTCATCCGGCCTGTATTTCATCCATCAGCCGACCTTGGAATTCCACATCCTTGATGCCTCAAATCCACCCCTCTTATCCATCCACACTGCCCTGCCCTAGTTTGGGTTTGCATAACTCTTCCTTTTTACTGGTATCCCTGTTGCTGCTTCCCTCAAAACCACCTGCCAGGACAATCTGGTGACATAGGACTTTGACCACAGCACCATCACTGACCTTCCACCTCCCACAGCATAGAGTTTGGTCATGCCAGCCATCACAGCTGGTTCCTGCTGACCCTGAGTCCTGTTGCTGGCCCCACCCTCCAATAACCCTGAGCTCCGCAGGGAGCTCATGCTGTTTCGAACCATCTTCTAGCTTGGGCTGTTCCCTTTGTCCTGCCCTCGTCCCCTTATAAACTCTCAGAAGTCATCAGGGCAGGCGCTGCCCCTTCTAAGAAGCCCTCAGGGACCTGTCCCCCTCTTCTCTTTTGCATTCTCGTAATGGTCTGTACACATCCCTGTCATTGTAACCTCCTGCATTATTTCTAAATTGTGTCTCCCCGTGAGCCAGGGGTCTGGATCTGAGACTGACTTGTCTTTAAACCAAACCTTCTATTTAGTCTCTGCTCGATTCATGTTGGTTGAATTGCACTAATGGGCTGGGCACGCTGGCTCATGCCCATAATCCCAGCACTTTGGGAGGCCGAGGCAGGCAGATCACCTGAGGTCAGGAGTTTGAGACCAGCCTGGCCAACATGGTGAAACCCTGTCTCTACCAAAAAATACAAAAATTGGCTGAGCGTCATGGCGTGCCCCTGTAGTTCCAGCTACTGGGGAGGCCGAGGTGGGAGAATTGGTTGAACCTGGGAGGCGGAGGTTGCAGTGAGCCGAGATCACACCACTGCACTCCAGCCTGGGTGACAGAGCGAGACCCTGTCTAAAAAAAAAAAAAAAAAAAGAATCGGACTGATGTTCTTTCTCCAAAGAGGGCTCTGAGGGACTCAGGATCTAGGAGGCCAGGGGAGGCACTGCTCTCTCCTGGCTCCCTGGCTCTGTGTCTGCGTGCAAAAGGCAGAAAAAAAAATCCACTCTGCCTTCTGCCCTCTTTACCACTAGCGAGTAAGATACCCAGGAATGCCATCAGAATGCCCAACCACGGAGCAGAGAGGCATTGGCAGAGCATGCGGTGCCCCATCCACAAGATGCCACTGGAATGAGCTGCTTGTCATCAACCTCCTAAGTCAACCAGTCGCTCCTGGAAGCATGGCTTGATTGTAATGTGATAAATATTAATGTCCTAGAGGCGAATCCAACGGGCCACACTCAAAACCAGGGTTTGGGATTCAGTGGAACCAGATGTCAGACTGGTTTCATGTCACTCAGTTCCAAAATCAAAGTAAAAATCACCCCCTCACAAATAGGTTGAACTGATGGCAATAAGGAAAAATGGAAAAACCTAGAGGTCTCTATAGATCCCATTTTTTTTTCAAGATGGAGTCTTGCTCTGTCACCCAGGCCGGAGTGCAGTGGCACGATCTTGGCTCACTGCAACCTCTGCCTCCTGGGTTCAAGCAATTCTCCTGCCTCAGCCTCCCGAGTAGCTAGGATTACAGGTGCCCACCATCACACCCAGCTAATTTTTGTATTTTTAGTAGAGACGGGGTTTCACCATCTTGGTCAGGCTGGTCTCGAACTCCTGACCTCATGATCTGCCTGCCTTGGCCTCCCAAAGTGCTGAGATTACAGGGGTGAGCCCCTGCGCCCGGCCTAGATCCCATTTTTAACACAACCCACACTGTCATAAATTCCTGTAGTCCTGATATTTCAGAAATGCTGGCCTACTCCGAGAAGATGCTGGCAAACCAGGCCTGGACTCATGAGGCCTCCAACCCTGCAAGGTTCCATTCTGCCCTTCCAGTGCCTCCCTTTTGCTTAGCTGGGGCTGAAGAGCCCGACCTTCCTCAGGCTTCATGAGAGGCTGCCGTGTGATCACAAAGCTTTCATTATTCATTAAGCCATTTTCCCTCCCAGTCGAGGTCTGGATCCAGACATAGGAATAGCACATCCTTCAGTTCTCCAGCAGAAACCCCCTCTCAATGGACAGAAGCCAGAGACACCCATTTCCAGAGGTGCAAATAACAGCTGGAAAATGAAGTTTATCACGGTGCCACGACCCGGGGCAGTGGCGTGAGGGCGCCAGGGCCACCTCCACGGAGGCCTGAATATTCTACATCTAATGACTCTGAGTAACCAGCTTTTCACTGTTAGATACCAGATTGAACTTGATTTGAAATTGGCCCGGGGGGAAACTTGTTAAAGAAAAAGAAAGATCTGAGATGGATCTTTCTTTGCAAGGTAATTTGCAAAGCAGTTCTCTCCAGCTGCATCCCACAGCCATAGATTTCCGGATATTCAAGGGGGCGAATGGCTCCAGTCCTCCTCCTACCAATGCCCCCATTCCCCCCTTCACCACCCTGCCTGGGAAGACCTCTCACTCCCTCCCCCTCCACTACCACTGGCCTCTGAGAACGTATGGAGGAGGCGCTGAGTGCTAACTCTGTACAGGTGCAATGACATTGATGTTGCTGTTACATCAGTGAATCCTCCTGAAAATCCAGAAGATAGGGACTGCTGTTCCCATTTCACAGAGGAGAAAACGGCAGTTCTGGGAGATGACCAACTGGAGAAAGCCGGGACCTGAACATCATTGTATCTGGTTCCAAAGGGCATGCTTTCTACTTGCATGACACCCAGCTCCCAGGCTCCGTGGTCACCAGGACTGGGCCCCTGGGGGGCCAGGGTGGCATTCTGGCTGACAGCAGCATGGGCTGCTTGCTTAATCCCTCTGTGCCGCACCTTCCTGCTCTGAATAGCCAGGATAATGACAAGATCTATCTCCCAGGGTGAGGGCAAGGCAAACACGCGAGGTCCTGACACACACGGTGTGCTGAGGCACCTTTTCCATGCGTGTCTGCTAGTAGCGGAGGCGCAGTTTTTTTTTTTTTTTTTTGGAAATAGGGTCTCGCTCTGTCACCCAGGCTGGAGTGCAGTGGCTTGATCATACCTCACTGCAGCCTCAAATTCCTGGGCTCAAGCAATCCTCTCACCTCAGCCTCCTGAGTAGCTAATACTATAGGCATGCTCCACACTGGGCTAATTTTCTATTTTTAGTAGAGACAGGGTTTCACCATGTTGCCCAGGCTGGTCTTGAACTTGTGGCTTCAAGTAAAGCTCTCACCTCGGCCTCCCAAAGTGCTGAAATTATAGCTGTGAGCCACCGCACCTCTGGTCTCTTAAAAAAATGTTTTTTTTTTTTTATGTGTATATTTGAGGGTTACAACATGATGTTATGGGATACATATAGAGACAGATGGATAGTACAGTAGTTACTACCCTGAAGCAAGTTAAAGAATCTCATTGGCCGGGTGTGATGGCTCACGCCTGTAATCCCAGCACTTTGGGAGGCTGAGGTGGGTGGATCACGAGGTCAGGAGTTTGAGACCAGCCTGGCCAATATGATGAAACGCCGTCTGGTGAAACGCCGTCTTTACTGAAAATACAAAAGTTAGCCGGGCATGGTGGCGGGTGCCTGTAGTCCCAGCTACTTGGGAGGCTGAGGCAGGAGAATCGCTTGAACCCTGGAGGCAGAGGTTGCAATGAGCCGAGATCGCGCCACTGCACTCCAGCTTGGGTGACAGAGCAAGACTCCATCTCAAAAAAAAGAATCTATCATCTCACATGGTTACTTTTTAAGCACTTTTGTCCCTGGGTGAGCCCCCTTGTGTGTGCAAGAACAGGCGTGGGAGTGCCCTGGTGACCTGGCAATGGAGGAGATTGTGAGTTGTCCAAGCCTGGCCCCAGCTAGAGGGTGAAGCAGTCTTCTGCCCCCAGATGTATGAACTCTCCTCTGGGAAGATGAAGCTCTTCTTTGGGGTGTGGCCATAGGGAATGGCCTCAGTGGCAGGAGCAAAGCCTCTTCCAGCACCAGTGATGACACAGCCCTGCGAGCCAGTGGCCCTGCCTACCCAGCCACTCAGAGCTTCGTCTCCAACTGAGCCTTAATTCACAGGACCGCTGCCAACGCTCATTAATAAATGATGGAAAACCTCTCAGCAAATGCCAAGCCCCGAAATGGTGCCATGAGGCCCCCACCACAGGCCTCAGGCCCACACGAGCCACCGTCAGGCAGCCTTGGAGTCCCCTGGCTGGGGATTGGGGTGGCTGAGCCCCAGTGGATGCCAGCTGAGCACCACAGGTGCCACCCTGAGGGTTCTCACAGCCTGTCCCAACCCAGTGGATGAGCCGGGCCAGCTGCTGTAGACACAGCGCACGCTAGGTGCAAGGTGGGCGCTCCCTCTGGGAAACCCACACAGAGGGGCCCGATCTTCCTGAGAAGTCCCACTTGGGTGATGGTTCTACCTGGGGTTTTATGTATGGCCCAAACGAGGGCAGATCCAGATTCTGTTGGGTCCTGAAGTTTGTGTAAGCAGACAGGCCCTCATAAAGAAAAATAACACACAATCACAAGTGCGAAATGACACTCAGGAAGGGCCCATGATGCTTTAGTGTCTGGGAAGTCCAGCTTTGGGCTCATCCAGCCAAGGCCCTCGGCCCTAGGACAGAGAAACCGGTGCAAACGCAACAGCCTCTCCGGCTCTGTTACCTTCTCAGGAAGCCTCCACCAGGCCAGGGGCTCTGAACCACGCTCTGGGGAGCCATGGGATGCCTCGAAGGGGCCCACATGGGCAGCTCCCACCTGACCCTCCCTCTATCCAGCCATGGCAGGGTTGCTTCCAGCTGTTTTCTAGACATAACCCCCTTCTAGAAAGGTGGGTGTGCTGGTGGGTAGTGCCAGGTTTGTTTTGTGCTGCTGGGAGGCCTTTCTTATTTGATGGATCCCCTGCGCCTGGGAGAACCAGTGCTAGGTTGAATGAATGAATGAATGGTGAATGAATGATAGGTGGGGATAGGACCTAAATAAGCTCTTCTGATCTCAACTTTTTGAAACTTCCCATACAGAGATTCTTGGATTGATCCAACATGGGGTCCCCACCCGTCTCCTCCCCAATCTATGGGACCTATTCATTCATGTAGCAAACATTCACTGAGGGTGCTGACTTGGTGGGGCAATTAGGTACTCAAGGGTGAGAAAGGAGGCATCACAGCCCCCCCCCCCCAGGAGCTTGGCGGAGCAACCAGGTACCCCGTGACATGACATAACACATTCAGCCAAAGTCTGGGCACAAACCCCGTGCTCCAAGAGTCCAGAGAAGGGAGGTGTCACCACCAACTGGAGATGAGTAAGGCTTTGTGGGGAAGGTCACCTTTGAGTGAGTCTTGAGGGATGGACAGAGTGAGTTGGGTGGGCAGGCAGCTCGCATTCCAGCAGGCATGGTGGTAAGAGAGGCAGTAAGTGTAAACCAGACAGTGAAATTTCAAGTTGGACTCTCCTTTGAAGTGGTGAAGAGAGGTCGGCCTGCAGATCCTGCCTTCACACCTCTGGCTTCTGTACACTTCAACATCAGGGCCAGGTGATGCCCTGAAATGTACAAGGTTTCCGGCCTTTGGCTGGAGACACGCCTTCCTGGTGGGTCACATATCAGAGAATCATGAACATGTGGTTGGGAGTTGTCAGGTCTTACTCAGGGTTAATATCTGGGGGCTGAATCCTGTCTGGATGGTTCCCCATCAGGATGGGGGGCAAAACAACTGACACACATCCTCGCAGGCCCGTATCCTTACCCATGTGAGTAGGGAGGTGTTGCCAGTCTACTGAATACCCAACAGGAGAACAGACTCAAGCAGCTAAATGGACCAATTAGTGACCACCCAGGAGCAAAGACATCTGCCACCGACCTGCATAGCCCCCTGCCCCACTGCTTTGCTCAGCACTAGGAGGGGAGAGGGGGCACTCCTCTTATGGGATCTGGCTTCTGGGAAGAGGAGAAACATGCCTCACACAGTACAGGAAGGAGAGGTCTTTCGGAAGTGTTTTTTTTTGTTTGTTTGTTTGTTTGGGGATGGCAATTCATCTTCATCTTTCACCAGGCAAAGCTGCTGTGATTCTTACCATTTGGGAGAAGGGGAAGGGGCAGTGGAAACGGTGAGATGGGTAGGACCTGCCGAGATCAAGCTGGAGCCCAGGGAGGCTTCTGACTCCAGGACCAGGTGCCTTCCACCTGCACCACCCACCTGTGTTTTCCTCTGTGCTGGAGATTTGCTTGCAAAAGGGAGGGAGGGAGCGCCATTCACCGAGCTCCTAGCAACTGCCAGCGCTTTACGGTTTGACTCATCTAATCCTCATATCAGCCCTTTGAGTCTGGTATTAATGTACCCCTTTTTAAAATAAGGAGACTTAGGCCGGGCGCGGTGGCTTACTCCTGTAATCCCAGCACTTTGGGAGGCTGAGGCGGGCGGATCACGAGGTCAGGAGATCGAGACCATCCTGACTAACACGGTGAAACCCCGTCTCTACTAAAAATACAAAAAATTAGCCGGGCATGGTGGCGGGCGCCTGTAGTCCCAGCTACTCAGGAGGCTGAGGCAGGTGAATGGTGTGAATCCGTGAGGCGGAGCTTGCAGTGAACTGAGATCACACCACTGCACTCCAGCCTGGGCGATAGAGCGAGACTCCGTCTCAAAAATAAATAAATAAAATAAAATAAAATAAAATAAAATAAAATAAAATAAGGAGACTTAGATTTAAAGAGTGCAGAAGAAAATTTCGTAAGATCAACTCTCCACCCCTAGTGAGGGACAGAACCAGAAATCAAAGTCAAGTTCATCTGACCGGAGACCACCCTTTGCACCAAAGCCCCTTCCATCTGTGGTAGGCAGAGTTCTAAGATGGCCCGAAAGATACCCACCCGCTGCTGTGTGCCCCTGTATAACATCCTCCCCTTGAGTGTTGGAGGAACCTGTGAATATGATGATTCAATTACGTAATATAAGACTCTGTTGTGGCAGATTGGAGGGGAAGAAATCAGAGATGTTCCTGTTGGCCTGGAAAAAAACAAATAGCCATGCAGTGAACTGCCAAGGGGGCCACGTGGCAAGGACTGTGGGTAGTTCCCAGGAGCTGAGAAGTCCTGGCTGATGGCTAGCAAGAGAATGGCAGTCTTTGTCTCATAACCACAACCGGGTCAATTCTGCCAACAACCAGTGAGCATGCAAGAGGTCCCCAAGCTAAGAAAGGGAAGCCGCCTGGCAAATATCTCAATTGCATCCTTGAAGACTTAAGCAGCGGATGCGGCTAAGTGTGTCCAGACTCCCAGTCCACAGAGACTGGGAGATAATAAATCTGTGTTGTTTTCAGCCACTAAGTTTTGTCAATTTGTTAAGAAGCACAAAGAAAATGAATGTATTTTTCACCCAAAGTCGCTCATTTTGCCTTCAGGACCCCAGTCCAGCCTTGGAAATAGTCACTGACCCAGAAAGAAAGAAAAAATTTTCATGTTGCTTCGACAAAAGTGTTTCATCCGAGACTCAGTTTCCTCCACTGTCAATCAGGAAAGGAACAGTACCCACATTGGGAGGTTGGTGGGCGGTTCAGGGAGGTGACACATACATGTTCTTAGCCTACAAAGGGAGTTCTCAACACACCGTTGCTAACAAAATCAACTTTCTTTTATTTGAGGCTACCCCCTCTTGGAGAGCAGCATGGGAAACACTTCGGAAGCGTGGTTAATTCGGCAGTTATTTGCAAGGCTGAATTAATCTCCTTGTATTGGTTTTCTGGGGCTGCCATGACAATGTACCACAAACGAGCTGGCTTAAAACAACAGAAGTTTATCCTCGAATGGTTCTGGGGGCTAGAAGTCCAACATCAAAGTGTCAGTGGGGCCATGCTCTCTCTGAAGGATCTAGGAAGGATCTGCCCCATGCTTTTCTCTTAGCTCCTGGTGTTTGCTGGCAACCCCGAACATTCCCTGGCTTGTAGCTGCATCACTGCAATCTCTGCCTCCATCTTCTGTGTCCTTCTCCGTCTGTGTCTGTCTCTTCTCCTTTTTTTTTTATAAGAACCCAGTCTATTAAACGAAGGCCTATTCTAATGGAGTATGACCTCATCTTAACTTGATGACATCCAAAAAGACTCTATTTCCAAATAAGGTCAGATTCCCAGGTTCCAGGCATCAGGGCTTTGACATATCTTTTTAGGGGACACAGTTCCATCCATAATTCTCCCTGAAGCTAAAGATGCCGGGAATAAAAAGCTCTTAGCAGCTTCTGTTTCTCTTCTCATTTAACTCTCTTGCCTTTTTTTTTTTTTTTTTTTTTGAGGCAGAGTCTTGCTCTGTTGCCCAGGCTGGAGTACAGTGGCATGATCTTGGCTCACTGCAACCTCCACCTACTGGATTCAAGTGATTCTCCTGCCTCAGCCTCCTGAGTAGCTGGGATTACAATCACCTACCACCACAACTAGCTAATTTTTTTGTATTTTTAGTATAGACAGGGTTTCACCACGTTGGTCAGGCTGGTCTTGAATTCCTGGCCTCAAGTGATCCACCCACCTTGGCTTCTCAAAGTGCAGAGATCACAGGCGTGAGCCACCGCGCCCTGCCTCCTTTGCCTTTTCAACGCCTTACGTAAGATAGAACTAGAAATGGGAAGCCCCCACCAAGAAATTTCAGGAAGATTCTGGTCTAAGAGAGGCAAAGAGACCCCTCTGACGTCCCATATCTCCTTAGAGCCTCTGGAGAGCAGCAGAGACCATGAGCTGCTCTGTTGCAACCGACTGGTGACAGATCCAAGGGCCGGATGCATTACTGAGGTGAGGCGAGGCGAGGGGGCAAGTGATGGGGATGGGCGGGGAGGCCCTGCAGGAGGCCAGGCAGACACGCGGAGCCAAGAGGCAGATGCAGCAACATCCCTCATGATGGAGCTGGATTTCCAAGAAAAACAGAAACTCTGCTTCCTCACTTCAAAGAAAAGCTGGTGCCGCAGATTCAAGGGCCTTTTCCTCTCCTGCTTGCCGGCGGCTGTTTGGAGATGAGATACATGCACACAATAGTTCTGATGACCGGACTGGCCGAGTCACAGGACACCCTGGAGCAGACAGCGCTGAGCCTTGATGCGTGTGCTCCAGCCTGGGTCTTCCCGCCATGGCAACAGGACAGGATGAGCTCCAGGCAGATGGAACTGCAGACGCTGTGTGATGGCCTCACATGCTCCCAGGTGCAGTACACGGGGATTCATGCAGCCAAGCTGGGTGCTATCAGGGTGGTAGCTCTGTGACCACACTGTGTGCAGTTGCATGTGTGTGTGTGTGTGTATATATATATATACACACACACACACACACAAAAAGGATGTATAGCCATAAAGCACACTCTCAAGGGCTCCCACTCTGCCTCCTTTCCTGGGTGCATACCTAGAGTATGCACACACTGGGACCATGCCCAGTCTCGAGCATGCCAACATCGTGCATGAACCGGCACACAGAGACCAACAGTAAGCTCTGCTCACCAGCTGAATGCACCGCTGAGATCGCTTCTTTATCCCAGGAACCATGCTTCCCAGGCTCCCTTGCCCTTGGCTTCTGGGTAGGTTTGGTCAGTAGGAGGCTCTGATGGAAAAGAGGGCCGTCAAAAGGGGAAAGTCAGGGTATTTCGCCCCCTCTTCCTTGGACAGTGTTTCTGCAGCTGCTGCATCTCCTCTGGGGGTCTAGTTACTTCTGGAAAGCCCCTCCCTCTGTGGTCCCAACCTCCTCCGGTAAAACCACTCTCTCATTTTCTCTCTGAAAGGGGCTTCCTGCAGCCCCACATCTCAGTGCCTGATGCTTCTCCTGTTTGGCTTCTCAGCTCTTCCATCACCCGAGTGATCAACTCCCTCTATTAAATTTCCTCTGTCTGAAAGACACAGAGTGGTTTCTGTTTTCCTGGATGGACCCTGACTGAGAGAGTAATGATAATGACCATTTAGTAAGCATTCAGAATGTACCAGTGACTCTCACTAGGTGAGTTCTGTGAATTCTCACATGGGTAGAGGATAAGGGTGATATGTTGACTCTATTGTGTAGATAAGGAAATGAGGGTCTGGGAATCTAAATAATTTGTCCAAGAAGAAACCTCCACTTGAACCCAATTGCAATAGAAAGAATACAAACTTTGGAACAAATCCCATCTTAACCACTTAGCAGCTGTGTGACCTCAGGCAAGTTACCTAATCTTTCTGAGCCTGTTTCCTTGTTTCAGAAAATTTTCATCACCCCAAATGGAAACCCTGTACTCATTAAGCAGTCAATCCCATTCCCCTCTCCCCTCAGCCCCTGGCAACCACGAATCTGCTGTCTTTTTTCTGTAAATACACTGGATATTTCGTATAAATGGAATCACTCAAGATGTGGCTGTTAAGAATTGACTGTGTCCCCTCCCCACACCAAATCCATTCATGTAAGTCCTAACCCCCAGTATCTCAGAATGTGGCCTCATTTTGAAATAAAGTCATTACAGATGTAGTATAGTTAAGGATGATGTCATTAGGGTAGACCCTAATCCAGTATGACTGGTGTTCTTATAAAAAGAGAAATTTGGACAGAGACACATGCACCCAGGGAAAACGCCATGTGAAGAGAAGGCGGAGACGAAGGTGATGCTTCTACAAAGCCAAGGGACACCAAAGATTGCCAGCAACCACTGGAAGCTAAATTCTCTCTGTAAATTGGAGATAGTTAAAGAGTGAAGACATTAGTTAAGACGCAAGCCTTGTACCATCTGCTCCAAGCGATCTGTGCCCTCCCCCTGGAGCTGGACTTATCCGCCTCACTCATATGTCTTCTGCTCTTCCTGTGTGTCCTGTCTTGCTCAGTGACATCACCCTTCCCCATAATGGGCTCTCATTCTTGCATCCAGTCTATTTCCAAGGCACCATCTCCTTCAAATCCACCATCTCCTCCATTCCACTGTCCTAATTCAGGACTCATCCCCCCGGGCTGGAATTTTCCAGTGTTTCCCCAACAAGTGCCCCTGCCCTAGCCTTGCTCCCTCCGCTCCGTCCTGCATAGGAGAAGCCACATGAGCTCTCCAGACACACATCAGCTCTGAATGTCCCCTTGGTGAGACCCTCAACCCACACGGCTGGGCCAGGAGGGCCAGAGGCAGGCTCCTAAGCAGGTATGATGGAGCGAAGGGCCCTTTTGCTTCTGTTCTCCTACCTCCCTGTCCCCAGCTTCTGGCCTCCTCTCATAAGAGGCTTTCTGTTTCGATAGTACCAGATTTCTTAGGCATCCGGGAACAATCCCTCTGTCCCATGCATCCCAGGAGCTGGCTCAGGGCCGGGGGCCCCTGGTAGGCACTGGGTAACTATGGAATGCCCCGGAGCAGGCATGATGTTTCTGGAACTTTGCCTGTGTTCTGTCTGGAACCTTCTTCTTCTTCTTCTTCTTCTTTTTTTTTTCCTTTTTTAAACAAACTTGTGTTCATCTTCCTAAACTGGCTCACATGACTTACCATCTAGAAACTTCCCTGACCACATCCCTTGCCTCCAAGGACCTTCCTCTTCCCACTCTGTGCTACTGCCACTCCTTGGACGTGCACTTAACGCATTTCCACACAGAATCGTAACAGATGGCCGTCCCTCTGTCTCCCTTCTCCCACTGGACGCTGATTTCTTTGAGGAACAGGACAGGATTCTACTTTTCATCTGGGTGCTCCATAAAATGTCTGCTGGATGAATAAAGAATGAATAGGAGACTGCATGTGTGCATTCAGGAAGGAAGACGTGTGCCTCTGTATATTCCCCTGCCTGGGGAACTCTTACACATTCTGCAAGACAAGAGTAATGTTGCCTCCTCTGGGAAGCCCCCCGGGACTTTCCCAGGCTGATAGAGGCCAAGCCTCCCTGGAATTGAGTGCACTAAGACAAATGACACTCTAACATCACAAGCCTCACCCTGACACTCCTTTCTTTTCTTGCTTTTTGTTTGTCTCTCTTGGACAATAGACTCATTACTGAATTGCTGTCTGTTTTATTCTCTGCTATGAAGAAAACTTTCCCTATCACTTCGAATGCTGCTTGAGCAGTAGCAGACACTCAATATTAATATTTGCTGAATGAATGAATGAATGAATCTGGGAGTGCCCAGGACTCAGCCTGGGATTTAGTTTTCAAATCCTCAATGAGCATTTTCTGGATTTGAATAGAGACTAAGAAAATGCAGGTAGGGAGTTGGAAACAGATAAGGCAGGATGAGGGCGGGTGGTGGGAGCCCCCCAGAGCAGGGTACCAGGCAGTATCTCCCGATCACAGCTGCCCAGGCTGGGAGAGAGGACGGTCTCAGAGAAGCAAGGCCATTCTTTGCCCTTGGGTCAGACCCTCCTCACCCCAACCATGTCAGTCCCCTGCCACCCTTTGGTCTGGTCTCGTTGAGCTGGTGTGCTCAGCTCAGTGGGGCATTTCCCCAAGGATGAGGTCGAGGTGAGCAGAATGACACTGGGCTTGTTGTCAGCACAGACTCCCAGCCTGGTAACCCTGGGGACCCTGAGGCAGGCTCAGGCTCGAGGCTAAACTCAGGCTCGGGTTCAAGTCAAACTCTGCCCCTGCTGCTTCGCCTTCTGGGTGAAGAATCCAGGGTGACAGAACCCACCTTCCTGTGGGGTTATGAGGATCCCATGAGAGACAGCACAAGCAGATGGCGAGGCAGGAACAAGTGGGAGGTCATGTCATTCTGAACAGCTCCGAGTCTCAGAATCTGCAGATACAGGAGTATCTTTCTCCTCCAGAAGGTCAAACCCTGTTCCCAAGAGGCTGGGTGCAAAAATAAGTGCTGAATGAATGAATGAACGAGTCCCCAGAACATAGCACAGGGCTAGGCACACACATTCTCGACTAGTATTTGCTGGATCACCTAGGACTGAAGAAAATACAGGCCAGCAGTTGGGGATGAATGGGGGCGGGTGCAGGCTGGTGGCAGGCCATCTGTGAGTCTTTGTCATCCCAGACCTATATTTGTTTTTTGTTTTTGTTTTGAGACAGGGTCTTGCTTATTGCCCAGAGCTGGAGTGCAGTGGTGGCTCACTGCAGCCTCAAACTCCAGGGCTCAGGCAATCCTCCCACCTCAGCCTCCTGTGTAGCTAGGGCTAAAGGTGTGCACCACCATGTCCAGCTAATTAATTTTTTGTTGTTGTTAGAAACGGGGTCTCATTATGTTGCCAAACTGGTCTTGAACTCCTGGCCTCTAGTGATCCTCCTGCCTTGGCTTCCCAAAGTGCTAGGATTACAGGTTCAAGCCATTGCAGCTGGCTACTATTTTTAATTTTTACTGAAGATAATCTACAGAGAGTAATCCTAAGGGTGCAGTTAGATGAACATGTGTCTACACCCGTATAACCAGCACCCTGATCAAAATATAGAACATTGTTCACACACCTTGCACCCTCCCAGACAACAGCCCACAAAGGGAGCCACTGTGCTGAGCTCCGCTGCCTTGCATTCGTTTTGCCTGCTTTTGAACAGGGTATGAATGGAAACACACAGTATGATCAGCCTGTTTTTCTATCTGCTTTGTGCGAGCTGGGAGTCACCACGTGAATGCCAACAACCAGAACCTGGGTGTGAAAGTGTGCCAGTGGGTGGCAGCCCCTGCAAAACATGGGTTCCAGGGCTTTGAAGTGCATGGTTAATGTCTTCTTAAAGGATCTGTCTCGAGCAGAATGATTTTCACCTTCTTTGCGGAGAGTGCCCCATCTGAAGAGCCGCCCTCAGTCTGACAGCAGAATCCTTTCTCTTTAGACTGCATGAGTCAGACCTGGGGCCTGGCATCGTGCGTTGTTCTGGTCACGACGCTGTGCCCACCTCCTCCAAGAAGCCTGCTGTGCCAGCCCAGCCCACAGCCAGCATCTGGCAACCACGGGGACACACCTGAGGGGCGGGTCCTGCTCTCTTCCCATCTAAACTCCTCCTCCAGCCTGGGTAGCCTTCACTGTGGCCCCAGATTCCTGGGGTCACCATGGGTTATTTTGGATATTCGCAGCACACTGAGCCACCCCACAACCTCGCCTTTTCCCCAGCGTGCAGCAGGCATGTGACTGTTTTTAGCATGGGGCTGAGAAAGATCTTGCCAGGGGCTTTGGGGCTGGAGACCTGGGTGCAGGTGCTGGGGGGTGTCACAGGCTGGTGAGTCTCCCACAAGGGGAGTGCCATCCATGCTGCATTGTGAGGAGGAAGTGAACTCTGCAAAGTGCCTGCAGAGATTTTCATGTCATAGCTACCACTGTTATCAACTGGGAAGAGGTATAGCCGAATGAAGAGAATGGAATCTGAAGCCAGACAGCCTGGGTTTCAATTCTGACTTCACCACTTGTTGGCTCCGGGGCCTTGGGCAAGCTGCTTAACTTCCCCGTGCCTCAGTTTCTGCATCTACACCATGGAAGTAGTGCTAGCACCTGCCTCACAGGCTGGCGGAGGATTAAGCAAGTTAATCTATATAAAGTGCACAGGGCAATCCCTGGCACCTAATAGGAACCACAGTAGAGTTTGCTCTCATAGCCAAGCATGGTGGCTTGTGCCTGTAAATCCAGCTACTTGGGAGGCTGAAGCAGGAGGATCGCTTGAGCCCAGGAGTTTGAAGCCAGCCTGGGCAACAGAGCAAGACCTCATCTCTATAAACAAATTAAAATTAGATGGGCATGGTGGTGCACGTCTGCAGTCCCAGATACTCAAGAGGCTGAGGTGGGAGGATTGCTTGAGCCCTGGAATTCAAAGCCACAGTGAGCTATTGAGAGGTGAAGCCAGCTGGACTTCCTGGGTTGAGTGGGGACTTGGAGAACTTTTCTGTCTTACAAGAGGATTGTAAAATGCACCAATCAGCACTCTGTAGCTACGATTGTAAAACACGCCAATCAACGCCCTGTAGCTAGCTAGAGGTTTGTAAAATGCACCAATCAGCGCTCTGTGGCTAGCTACAGGTTTGTAAAATGCGCCAATTGGTACTCTGTAAAAACACACCAATCAGCACTCTGTGGCTAGCTAGAGGTTTGTAAAATGGACCAGTCAGCACTCTGTAAAATAGATCAATCAGCACTCTGTAAAACGAACCAATCAACACTGTAAAATGGACCAATCAGCATGCTGTAAAACGGACCAATCAGCAGGACATGGGCGGGGACAAATAAAGGAATAAAAGCTGGCCACCCTAGCCAGCAGCGGCAATCCGCTTGGGTCTCCTCCCACTCGTGGAAGCTTGTTCTTTCACTCTTCACAGTAAATCTAGCTGCTGCTCACTCTTTGGGTCCGTGCCACCTTTAAGAGCTGTAACACTCACCGCAAACGTCCATGGCTTCATTCTTGAGGTCAGCGAGCCCATAAACCTATCAGAATGAATCAACTCTGGACACACTATGATCCCACCACTGCACTCTAGCCTGTGTGACAGAGTGAGACCGTATCTCTAAAAATTTTTTTTTATAAGAGTTAGCTCTCTTTCTGCAATAATATACCTGAAATCTGATTAAATCATAGTTAAGTAATTAACTAGTGTGAAATTATAGCTGTTACAAAGATAAGTTGAGATAACATATGGAAAGTTCTTGAGATAATACCTAATGTGCTTGGTGCATAGCAAGGGCTCAGCAGGCATTTGCTCTTATTTTTTAAACTATTCATAATTCTGGACTCTAAACAGAGGAGCCAGCAGGAGGGTGTTGAATGGATAAGCAGCTAGGGCGGAGGGGACCTTGCCGGGCTCGCCTGAGCACCGTCCTACTCACGGGCGGCTCAAGAGGCCACTGGTGACAAACAGAGTGGGTCTCCTGTGGTTCTCTCGGCCCCAGCACCCCCAACCCTGACCCAGTGCTTTGCACAAAGGCTTGTATGTTTCAAGCCACAGTCTAGAGAAAGCAACTAGGTTTCAAAACAAAAAACCAGGTAAATTTCCTTCCCTTTCCTCCAGAGATGGGTAGACCAAAGAAGAACCCAAAAAAACTGCTTGCAAGAATATGAAGGGCTATTAAGGGTCGAAGATGATTGCTTTGTTTTCAGCTATAGGAAAGACTGAGCAAGAAGAAAGGAACAGACATTACTACTGAAGGTAGCAAATTTGATTAGAACTGAGGGATAATTTTGTAGTCCTAGTACTGGGAATCTCAGCTGGAGGATGCTGGACTTGATCAGCATCTCCTTCCATATTCCCTCGCGCTTCTGCCTTAACTGAAACTCTTGCTAAGAACAGAAGGTAACATTCTGAGCACCTGGCAACAAAGACACAAGGGGAAGCTTGTGTCTCTGCATTGATGGACATTTGAAGGGTCAACTGACTCACTGCCACAAAGAGTGAGGGATTGTTTCAGGGTCGCACGAGTCACATTGGAAACTGCCTTTCCTCCAGTATTCACCATGCAAAGATTTTTTTCTTTTTATTTACTTTTTCTTTTTTTTGTTCTTTTAGAGGAACCTCTGGAAGAAATGCAAAGATGTTTCTAACAAGGCCGGGTGCGGTGGCTCACGCCTGTAATCCCAGGACTTTGGGAGGCTGAGGCAGGCGGATTGCCTGAGGTCAGGAGTTTGAGACCAGCCTGGCCAACATGGTGAAACCCTGTCTCTACTGAAAATACAAACATTAGCCAGGTGTGGTGGTGCACGCCTGTAATTCCAGCTACTCAGGAGGCTGAGGCAGGAGAATTGCTTGAACCCAGTGAAGGTTGCAGGGAGATGAGATTGTGCCACTGCACTCCAACCTGGGCAATAGAGTGAAACTCAGTCTCAAAAAAAAAAAAAAAAAAAAGAATTTACACAAAGGGAATTGTCAATGGAAAATTTTTGAGGTAAAAGAATCTTTTATTTTAAAGAGTTTGAAGATTTTTGGTGCAATGAAGCCTGCTTAAGCTTGCCACAGGACAGTTTCCTAGGGAAATAATTTAAAAAAGCAAGCGTCTTCTGCTCAAACCTCATCGGAGTCACATATTAAGAAATCTTGAGCCATCTGACTCAGGCAGAAAAATTCTCCCTGAGGGGCCTCTCACGACACAGCTTTCCGATTAAGTACTTAGGTTTACACATGTGATAAAGGTTTGTAAAAGCATAGATCTGGGTTTTATTTCCTTCTCACTTACTTTCATGGTCAGTTTTAGCACTTTTATTGTAGGAGATGGATTTCTAGGGATGGAAGCCCAATGTGGAAATTGTGCTGACAGGAAATAAAGATTCAACTGTGGTTGGCTTGCAAAGGCTTTGATCCAGGAATCAATTTGGTTATAAGTCAGAAGTGGCCTGTAATAAAATGCTGGCAAGAAGTCGCTGGGCATAGTGCCTGGGAGCGTGTTCCTGGATGCATTTAAGAATAAAAAGAACAGGCTGGGTGCAGTGGCTCATGCCTGTAATCCCAGCACTTTGGGAGGCCGAGGTGGGCAGATCACGAGGTCAGGAGTTCAAGACCAGCCTGGCTAACATGGTGAAACCCCATCTCTACTAAAAATACAAAAATTAGCTGGGCATGGTGGCACATGCCTGTAATCCCAGCTACTTGGGAGGCTGAGGCAGGAGAATTACTTGAACCAGGACCCAGGAGGTAGAGGTTGCAGTGAGCAGAGATTGCGCCACTGCACTCCAGCCTGGGCTACAGAGTGAGACTCCATCTCAAAAAAAAAAAAAAAAAAAAAAGCATGAAAAGAACAAACACCGGCCGTGTCAAATCGGCATACACACCCATTCATCTGTCTGGAGACTGGGCTTGGGATGCTTTTCATCTAAATATCGGGTTTATATTTTTTCCTCTCTGCATCACAGAAGTTCGAAAGAAGAAGGAGATCAGATAAGTCACTCCTCATTCCCATGACCATCAGTTTAACATTTTGGTGAATTTCCTTCCAATATTTGTTCCCAGCTTGATAAAGCAGCCACTGGTACAGTCACATCTGTTTCGTACCAGATGATCTTCAAAGGTTCCACATCTGTGGGTTTTTGGCTCACTCAATTTGCCATTTAATAGAATTCTCTTCATGTTTAATAACCCTCCTAATAATCACAGAGTTAAAATAATACATTTTTATCTAGGAAATGCTTCAAGAACTCTCAAAAGACTGACTTGAACAGGAAGCAGGAGAGGGCTTGCGTGGTTTACAAAGATGGCAGACTCAAAGGGAAAAGGGGAAGAATTAATTAGAAATACAAGGAAGAAAGAAAGGAGAGAAAGAGGGACGAGAGGAAGAGAAGGCGGCACTGGGGAATGGGGAAAATGGGTTTGGGTTGCAGAGGATGCTCACACAAAAAGGAACCTCAGGTTGGCCGTGTGGGTGTGGTGACTGGGACTGTGCGAATGGCAGCAGCACAAAGAAGACTGGAGACACATCAGAAACCACCAGGGTGAGGGAAGGGGGTTGGCTGGAAGGAGGGTGCGGGGCAGGCCTGCAGCCAGCAGGGAACTCCCCCAGAGACTGAACCTCAAGGCCGCAGGCCACAAGGTAGAAGACGGGAGATCCTCCAAACGGTTGAGCAAGTGAGGACACTCTGCCCACCAGGCATCTGGCCTCCACTCACGCTCAGGAATCCGCAGGCAGAAAGACAACCAAAGCCATTTTTCATGCAAGAGGAGTTGGATATCAGGAAAAATCAGAGCCCCTTTGTATGACATGCCAAACTGCTGAAGCGAGAAAATGTCTCGGGCGAAGGCTCAGATGCGAGGCAGGGACAGCGTGCTCGCCCTGGGGAACCTGGGCCGTCAATGTGCACTTGTTATCAGGCTTTTCAGAGCTGAGGGCCGGAAGCGAGTACGGGGCATCCCTCCCCCATCGCATGTTAATGATGAGCTGGTGACATGGCCTTGGCCGGACTGTCCGGCCCCTGGAAGGGAGCCTGGGTGTCCTGAAATGTCCTCAGGGAGTCTTTGGGGATCTGTGTCCTTTTCTTGCCTGTGCTTTGGTGTGTGGGGGAGGGGTGAAGTGGGCAGGAGGAACCCTGGGAATTAAGAACCGAAGCCCCCCTTCCTCTGAGACCCATCTTCACTCTGGGTCCCCTCCCCTGTCCCCATGTACCACGTATTTTTTGGGTTAGCAGATGAGAATAACTACATGCATTGAACACATGTTATGCCAGCTCCAAAGCAAGCACTTAGATACTTTATCGCGACTCCTGCCAGCAAACTTGCATAGCAGGTATCGCTAACAACCCCATATTGCAGAGAAAGCAACTGAGGTTCAAAGGAGGTGCAATGACTGGCTTAAGGCCCCACAGCTAGTAGGAGGCAGATCCTGGATTCAAACCCTGACTCACTCTGGGATCTGGGCCCTTTATCACCATATCCTACCTCCTCTCCAAGATGCCAAGCAAAAGAGTTGCTGTTTATTTCAGGTCTATGGTGAGACAGATGTGCGGGGAGCCCTGTGCGTATTTCCCATCTGATTCTCCTGACAACCCTATGGGATAGGCCTCCTTAGGGCGTCCGGGAGGAGCCCCTAACGTCTAGGACGTGTTCTGTTGCCCTCTCCACATCGTGCCCTGTATGGTGTCTGTCCTACTGCTGGTGCCCCAGGGTCTCCAGAACCAGAGAGTAAATACCCTGGGGGCTTTCTGTGCCCACAATGCCCGGCCTGAAGCCAGGCACTCAGCAGGTGCCCCACAAACACCTAAGGACGACACAGTTTTAAGTAATTCTGCTCTCCAAGGCAGCCCCTGGCCCTGCAGGTGCGTGTGGTAGCTCTCAGAAAAAAACAAGAGAGAGGTGAGGTCTGGTTCTGCACCCAGCTCTGCTCCCTGCCCCGTGGTGCCTGGGCCACCCTCAGGGCTTCCCATGTCCAATCTCATTTAATCGTTCTGATCATCTGATGAGATGGGGGAGGGGAGGGTCTATCATTATATCCCCATTTTACAGATGAGAAAATAACTGAGGCCCAGAGAAGCTAAGGAGTCTGTCCAAGGTCACAGAGCTAACACAGGGCAGAGCAGGATTCAAATGCAGGTCTCATCGATCCCCCACCCACAACCCCCGTCCTATTGACCATCACACAGACTTAGTTCAGATGTCATCTTCGACTCCCTTCTGCGCACGAAGCTCCTGGAGAGTCAGAAAGTGGGGCGGGCTGGATCCGTGGGGCGGGCTGGATCCATGGGGCTTCAGGTATCAGGGAATGAGCCTGACTTTATCACAGAGGGATGTGTTCTCACCAGAAGGTACTGAGCTGGGGAATGATGTGATCTGGTTGATATTTTTACAAGCTCTTTCTGGCTGTGTGTGGAGAGCAGGGAGAGTGACCAGTCAGGACTCTACAGCGGGCATCCAGGCGAGAGATGACAGAGCTGGGAGTGCTCTGAGATGGAGAGAGGTGGAGGGAAGGAAGGCAGTGGGCGTGTGTCGGAGGTGGAGCCCATAGGCCTGGGGAGGGTGAAAGGAACCCCGAGGGATACTGCAGGAGAGGGACTTCTGTCTCTGCTAGGCACAGAGCAGGCTCTTGGCAGCATTTGCTGGATGGATGAACTGGTGACTGAGTGGGCTGGAGACGGAGGGGGCGGTGCTGTCCAAGCGAGACCACACTGGCGGGAAGCACAGCCGACGTGTGAGGTTACCACCAGCAGGCTCCTCCTTGCCAAGGTGTCAGAGGGAAAAGAGGCCACAGCCAACAGTGTTTCCAAGAAAAGGAGCCTGAAGTCACTGTGTCCTGTGTGGTGCCTCTGTGGGAGCACGGCCGCTGTGCTTCTCACAGCACTTTCACAAACATCCTTGGCTTGGATGTTCACAGAACCCTGGGGGTGGGGCGGGGCAGGGAGGACTCAGGGATAGAAAGAAGATGAAGGCAGGGAGGAGGGACGATGGGGAGGAGAAAGGAGGAATGGAAGATGCAGGGAGGGAGGGACCAGGAAGAAAGAATAAAGAGAGGAAGGAGGGAGGGAGGATGGAGGGAGGGAAAGAGGGAGGATGGAGAGGATAGAGGAAAGCTGGAAGGAGGGAGGGAAGTTGGAGGGAGGAGGGTGGAAGTTAGAGAGAGGGATGGAGGTGGGAAGGATGGAGGGATGGAAAGAAGTTGGAGGGAGGGGAGGATGGAGGGAGAAGGGAGGGGAGGACGACAGGAGGAAAGAGGAAAGACAGAGGGAGGAGGGAGGGGAGGACAGGTTTTATTTGCCAATTTGACAGCCGAGCAAACCGAGGCTCTAGGAGGTTGAGTGACAAGCCAAAGACTGTCCAGATGGTGAGTGGCGGAGTCAGGACCAGGCCACAGGTCCCCTGACTCCAATCCTGATGGTTTTCACTCCGGTGCCTTGTCCTCCTCTACCCTGGCCCTGGCCCTGAGACACTGGGAGGTCACCTGACGCGGCAGGGCTCTCGGCAGGTGTCGGTAAGTGACAGGGAGATGCGAGGGTCAGTCACAACCCCCACGAGCGCTGTCTCTGTTCCTGAGTATCAATCTGGGCACTCAGTTCCCACCCCTGAGGCTACTGGAAGTTCCCCAGTTCCTCTCTGCCTCCTTGGGGCCAGGCTAGGGCACTTGGCAAAGTCACTGTGCCAGAAAATGTGATGTTGGGAACACACACCTGGGTGGCTGCCATCCCCAGCCCAGCCACAGCCTGGGTGCTAGGCCCTCTTTCAGCTCCCAGCTGAGAGCCTCAGTCTCTGATTTTGCAGTTCACAGGAGCCATTCAGAACGCCCTGCCTCTGAGAGGTGAGGAAATAACACCGTGGCCTCCACTGGGGGGTGCTCAGCTTCTTCCATTCCTGGACCCTGCAGGCTGGTGAGCTGACCTGGGGCAGCTTACAAAATTTGGGCAACTTATGTCTTCTGGGAAAAATTCCATGGTTCAGGAAACATGGAAATAGAGAGAAAGCGATGATATGTTTTGAATATCTATAAGGTGCCAGGCACGAGAAGGGGTATTTTCCATGTTTTTTCTCATATAACTTCACAACCCCAGGGTTGATTCTATGATGCTCCTAACTTAACAATGAAGGAAAAATTGCTCTCTGAACAACAAAGTTCAGAGAGGTTAGGCAATTTGTCTGAAGACACACAGCTGACAAGTGGGAGTCTGGACTCAAACCCGGGGCCATGTGGCTTCAATGCTGACCGTCTGATGCTGCTGCTTCCATGTGGACTCATGGTGGGGAGGAAAGGGGGAGCTGGAATGAAGATCCAGCCCCTTCCTGTGTCCCTGGGCCCAGGAGGTGACAGATGCTAGTGGCAGGTGAGCCAGGGAGACTGATGATTTTTACTCATTTGGTTTTTCCCAGGCTCTGTCTGGAGCTGGGCTTGAGTCAAGAAACTGCCCTCTACCTTTCCACATTCTCCTTCAGAAATGGGGTGATAGCGGTGGAAGGAGGAGAGGCAGTTAAACAGCATTTCCCGACACCTCCACCTCTGTGGGCTTGCCATGGTAGCAGGCAGGCCGTGTTGGATGTGGTGACGTGGAGAGCTTGCTCTGGGTCTACAGTCCTCAGAGGCAAGTCACGGCGTCAGGGTGGGAGGGAGGGAGGGGTGCAAGAGCAGCTCCAGTTAAAGTCCAAAGCCCTTGCAAGCCCATGCACCGCAAAGCCATCTGATGCGGCGGCTTCCACGTGGACTAATGGGGGAGGAAAGGGTTTGACTCAAGCCCAACTCCAGATAGACCCTGGGAAAAGCCTGCAGAGAGCCTGGGGCCTGTGGGGGCGGAAGTGGCTGCTTTGTAAAGGCTGTGGTGCTTCACCAGAAGGGTCCCCTGTGCACATTCGGGGTTGGCAGCTCAGTCTGTCATTGTCTCCACCTCATAGGCTCACACCCAGGAGCCTCGAAGAATGCAGACACCAGGGACCACTGATTCCACCCAGAGGTACCCTAACGAGCACTCTGCGCGGGGGGCATCCATAGATATGTGCTGGGCACCTTTCCATTCACTGCCTCATTATCCCACTTTCCAGACATCAACAAGAACTCAGAGAGGTCACCTAACCTGCCCAAAGCTACACAGCTGCCTGGAAACTGGGGTTTTGAACTCTAGAGGTCCAACCCCAAAGCCTGGCCTCTTTCCCCTACCCCATGCTGCCTTTTCAACAGAGTCCATTTTAACAGAATGTCCCTCGAATAAGGGGCATCGTTTTTTCTAGGCCTCTGTTTCAGGAAGAGCTGGGCTTCTATTATGAAATATTCCCCTTTTATTGTATGCCCCCTGTGAACACACCTCTGGCCACACTCCTTTCTTTGTCCTGGCCTCCAGGAAGCTCAGCGACAAAGCTGTGGCCTGCCTCGGCCCCCAGCTGGCTTCTGCAGTCGGTACTGTGGACACTAGCTGGACGCAGCCATCATCTCTCATTTTCCTACTTGATTTTTCTATCCGCCCCAGTCCCTCATCTCTTTATTTATCTTGTCCCTTTCTTCCTTTTATGGTTGAAGGGGGAAGAAGTAAACAAACAGTAAAATCACGGGATGTCATTTTCACAGCTTTGAAAAGTTTTTCATTGGAAGAAGTTGATAATGCTAGAAAAAAAGTCCTTTGTCTGGTACCATGTCCTGCCTCGCAGTTCAGAAAAGAGAGTCTCGCGCAGCACTTCCCGGAGTCTCATGGGGATACAGAACAAGAATTGGGGGACGGGACGTTGGGGGCAGATCCAGGCAGGCCCTCCCTGGCCTCTCCCTGGAGCTTAGAACCAGTTTGTTCCCTTTTTGAAGCTGTTTCCCAGGAGACCAAGCCCATGCACCCGCTGGAGAGAGCATCCTTGTTGAGGGGAGGCTGTCATGGAGGGCAGTGCCGCTTCTCTGAGACTGTATGCAGGTTAACCGCGATGGAGGCCCGAGGCACAGACACCACGGGAGGGAGTTTCCATCGCTGTTCTGCACCTATTGCTGCCGCACGCTACGGTGGCTGTGTGTTGCCCAACCTTTGCCCAGGTACGCACCCAAGGGGAGGTTATGCTGGGACAGAGCCCCAGCCAGGCAGCCCCACAGCCACTTTCTGCTCCTGAGCCATGCCACCTTGCGTAAGTCACTCTGCCTCACCTGTCTTGAGCTTCCCTGGCTTGCACAGCATAAGAACTGGGCAGCATTGTGGTTCTCAGCTCCATGGTGGACGCCTTCTGGGCATTGTGGGTAGGGAAAGCATTACTATTAATAAAGGACTGGGGCTGGCCCCTAAAGCATATGCCAGGTCATCCCATTGATAGGATCGCTTCCCCCACTTATGTTACATGTGCTTTCGCTTTTTTTTTTTTTTTAATGGAGTCTTGCTCTATTGCCCAGGCTGGGGTGTAGTGGCGAGCTCTCAGCTCAGTGCAACCTCCGCCTCCCAGGTTTAAGCAATTCTCCTGTCTCAGGAGTAGCTGGGACTACAGGTGCCTGCCACCATTCTGGCTAACTTTTGTATTTTTAGTAGAGTTGGGGGTTTCACCATATTGGTCAGGGTGGTCTCGAACTCCTGACCTCAGGTGATCCACCCGCCTTGGCCTCCCAAAGTGCTAAGATTATAGGCGCGAGCCACTGCACCTGGCCTCTGTTTTTTTTGTTTGTTTGTTTTTGTTTTTGTTTTTGAGACAGAGTCTCACTCTGTCACCCAGGCTGGAGTGCGGTGGTGGGATCTCAGCTCACTGCAACCTCTGCCTCCCACATTCAAGCAATTCTCCTGCCTCAGCCTCCCGAGTAGCTGGAATGACAAGCATGCACCACTACGCCCGGCTAATTTTTGTATTTTTAGCGGAGACGGGGTTTCACCATGTTGGCCAGGCTGGTCTTGAACTCCTGACCTCAGGTGATCCACCTGCCTTGGCCTCCCAAAGTGCTGGGATTACAGGCGTGAGTCACCGCGCCAGGCCCCATGTGCTTTCTCGAAGGGAAGTGAAGTGACTGGAATTCCAGCTACAAAGAATCATGCCTTCCCCCTCTGCCCTTTGTCCCTGCAACCCTAAACGATGCTTCCCCTAGATTCAAGAGGTTCTCCATGGGGGCAGTTTTGTCCTCCAGGGACATATGCAAAGTCTGAGCCCATTTTTGGTTGTCACAGCTGGAGAAGGAGGAGCGCTACTGGTTCCAGTGCGGGGAGGCCAGGTATGCTGCTAAACACCTACAGCACAGAGGACAGCTCCTGTGACAGAGGATCCGGCCCCAGTGTCAGCAGTGCTACAGGTGAGAAACCCTGCCCTGCTCCGAGGGGCAGCCGATGCTGAACCCATAACCCCTGGTGCTCCTGAGTTATGCTCTATGGAACTGTCCAGCACTACTTTAGGCTGTGGGGTGTCAGGCAGTAGTGTCAGAATCTGGCACCCCCATGGGCATACCTTTAGCTTTCTTTCCCACAACTGTTCCTTCTTCTGTCTTTCCCTACTTGGCCATGGTGCTGTCGCCTGGCCGGCTGCTGTGGCCCCAAATCTGGGAGGTCACCCTTCATTCCTCATCCCCTTCTCCGGGCCATCCCTCCACTTCTCCCATCTCTGCTGCTGCCACGTAGCCCCAGGTCTCCAGTCTGCCACAATGTCCAGATGGGTCTCCTGGTAGCCTCCCCTGCCTCCTGATATCTCCATCTCCAAATGCAGTCAGAAGGTCTGCTAAAAACATAAACCAGATCACCGTACTTCCTTGCCCGAAGTTCTGCAATAGCACCGATCTCATGTGAAATAAAGCAGGCTTCTGACCCTGACCTCAGAGCCTCCCCAGCCCAACCCCTGACCTCTTCCTTGCTCCCTCTCCTCCATCCTCACCAGGTTCCCTCCTGCTCGGGGCCTCGGCTCGCCCTTTCCTCCTCCTAGAAGGTTTTCCCTCCAGGTCCTTTTTCTGGTTCAGGTTTTGGCTTAAACATGACCTTCCCTGACAATTTCCTGTCCCCTTGACCAGCCAACAGCGGCCCCCTCCAGCCGCTCCCCACACGCCCCCTGCTCTGTTTTCACCGTAACATAAATCTGCACCTAGAAGTGCCAACTGCCTCATACATAGGAGTATCAATTCCAGGACAGCAGGGACCTGTCTGTCCTTTCTGCAGCTGTGACCCTGAGCCCTGCATGTCTAATACAGACCAGGTGTTCAGTGAGCCTGTGCTGGAAGAATGAATGAGGGAACAGCAGCACACCCAGCAGGCGGGTGACTTGTAGCCCGTGTGTGTGTCTCAGCAGCAAAAGGGTCAAAAGTCACTGAACTAAGTAAGCTCCACAAGGCTCTTCTGGCTGGAAACCCCTCCTCAAGGCTCTTCTGGCTGGAAACCCCTCCTCAAGGCTCTTCTGGCTGGAAACCCCTCCTCCAGCAAGGACCCTCCATGAGGCCACACCGACCCACCGTCAGCGTGGAAGCTATGGGCAGAGGCTTTCCGGGGTTTGTATGACAGAGAGTGAGAGGTGGGAGGAGTGTTCCAGAACAGTCAGGCCCCATTTTCAGATGAGGAGACAGAGGCCCACCAGGCCCCCTCCCCTGCACATTGCTGTTCCAGTTTAGCTGTGGCTTCCTCGCCTCTGACACTCAGGGTCTGGTGACCTGAGGCCCCTTCCTACTCGGCACTTCTGTCACTATGTCCTGGAAATCCTCAGAGTCTGGGCTGTTGGTGGAGACTGACACAGGGGATTTATTTTAAAGATCTGCTGATTTTCCTACTGAGACTTTTTGAAGGGCCTCTTCCTGAATGATTGGAGAGTAAGCACCAGCTGTGAAGCAGACACAGGGCGAGAACATGTCTGTGATGGACACATGTCTGTGTGCCCCCAAAATACATATGATGAAGACATAATCCTCTGTGTAAACAATGCTATTTGGAGACAGGGCCTCTGGGAAGTGATTAGGTTTAGATGAGGTTGTGAGGGTCATGATCAGACCAATGCCCTTGTAAGAAAGGACCAAAAAACTGGTGCCCTCTCTCTCCACCATGTGAGCATTTTAATAGAATGATCTGGCCCCAATGTCAGCAGTGCAAAGGCTGAGAAACCCTGCCCTGGTGTGAGGGGCAGCTGATGCTACACCCATAACCCTTGGTGCTCCTGAGTTATGCCCTGTGGAACTTGCATGAAGAAGCCGGCCATCTGCAAGCCAGGAAGAGGGACCTCACCAGGAACTGAGTCCAGCGACACCTTAATCTTGGACTTCCCAGCCTCCAGAACTATGAGAAGTTCACATCTGTGATCTAAACCACCCAGTCTATCATATTTTATGACGTCAGCCCAAGCTGACTCCAACAACCCCCTTACCTGCCCCTTCCAAATCTGCATGGTTCCAATATAAAGGATTTCCCCTGACTAGTGGACAGAAGAGCTCCTATGTTCCACCTTGGCCGTGATCCGGGGAGTGAGATGCAATACTCAGGAGCTGTGCACGTCTTAAGCCTCATTTTCTACAACTATAAAAGGCAAATAATTAATATCTACCTTGAGGTGTTGCTGGCAATTACATGCACGAATGTGAGTCCTGCATGAAGGTCTTCCATAGTGATGGCTGTGATAATTAGCACCCAAGGGCGAAGGGGGTCCAGGGTGAGGATTCTGGCCGGTGGTACTTAGCGCGTCAGGGAAGGGGTGCCTGTTCTGACGCTGTCACTCACCTGGGCCTGACTGGACAGGCTGCCTCTGGGTTATTTCAAGAGAAAATGAAAGCAAACACAGATAAGAAAAGTTTCAAGCCCAGCACCAGGCCTGGAGTGGGTGGAGAAAGGCTATTATTTGATGAAACCTCTCTGAATGGTCCTATGTAGGGAGTGTGGTTTAAGACAGAGCCATGTAGCTGACCCACCAGGAAGGAGTTTCAGGAAACTCTTTGGAAAAAGCCTCCCACCTGTGGGCACCTGGGCGGGGCTCGGGGCAGCTGGGGCCCCTTGGGAGACATCCATGGCTGTCTTCTCAATCCCCTCCCCAGGGTGCAGGGCTAATGCTTCCTCTTCCTCAGTGTGCCATGGTGGGAAGAAAGGTTGGGTACACTGGTGTGCAAGATGCTGCCCAGGTGAGACACGTGAACATGACTGGGGCAAAGAACTCCTTCACTCTCAGGTTCCAGAACCTTCTCCATAACTTCCCCCACTAGTACCCAGCACAGAGCTGGCACAAAACAGGTGCGGGGGCCACCCCTGGCATCAAGTCTGCTATATTAAGGCCCTGGCAGAGCTGTGGGCATGCTGGAGGCAGCTTTCTCCATCAGGTTGGGGGAGGGGCACGGCTGAGGCGCCAGGACCCTTCTCTTTGGGTGGAGAGCTTTCCTGATGGCAGCACGGGGACTGGGTGGCTCTAGTGAGTTCTCTAGAGTTGGTGTGGGTGGCAGGGCTTTGGCATGTGGCACAAGCTGCTGCCCTCTGGGCCCAGAGTCTCCTCTTCCCTTCCACGTCTACACGGGCTCTTCTGTCCCTGGCAAGAGTACATGTTCCGTGATGTTTGCTTACATTCTGTACCCACTGAATTCCAGAATGCATGAGATTGAACAAATGTTGGTTGGTGATGCCTTTGATAAACCTTGAAGAAAGGTTTACTACCCCTTTCCTATGTCCTCAGGCTTGGCTGGGTGTCACCAAAGATACAAAGAATGAGGTGAGTGTCTCAGAAGGCAGGGAGATGACTGACTGTGGTGACCAGTCTAGCACACAGTGGAAGGAGAGAAAAAAGAGAAAGAGATAGAGATAGTGACACAGAGAGACTGAGAAACAGATTGGGAGAGAGACATAGACAAAGACTGAAAGAGAAAGAGGAAAAGGGAGGAAAGAAAAGGAGAGAAGAGAGGAATGGAGAAGAGAGGAAGGGAAGGGAGGAGGAGGGAAGGGGAGGGGAGGAGAGGAAGGAGAGAAGGAGGGAAGGTGAGGGGAGGAGAGGAGGGAGAGGAGGAGGGGAGGGGAGAGGAGGGAGAGGAGGAGGGGAGGGGAGAGGAGGGAGAGGAGGAGGGGAGGGGAGAGGAGGGAGAGGAGGAGGGGAGGGGAGAGGAGGGAGAGGAGGAGGGAAGGGGAGAGGAGGGAGAGGAGGAGGGGAGGGGAGAGGAGGCAGAGGAGGAGGGTAGGGGAGAGGAGGGAGAGGAGGAGGGGAGGGAAGGTGAGGGAAGGGGAGGGAAAGAAGAAGAGAGGGGAGGAGGGGAGAAGAGAGGAGAGGAGGAGAAAAAGGGAGAAGGGAAAAGAAGGGAAGGGAAGAGAAAAGAAGGGAAAAGGTGTGTTACGCAATTTATGTATCCGTTGTGCATCCTCACTTCTAATGCCTTCATGCTGCCGCCAGCCCAACCTCAGAGCTGGGCTCCACTGGGTAGTCAAGTACTTGGTCTATTTTTAATGGCAACCCAGAAGCTGTTTGGGAAAAGGCAGGATGATCTGGTGAGAAGAGCTTTGTAGTGAGACAAAGGCTCCAATCTGGCCCGGCTGCCTCCTACCTGGGCGCCTCTGGGCAAGTCCCTGAACCTCTCTGCACCTCCCTGGCTCATCTGCAGATGGGGGTGAAGACAGCGTCCTCCCAGGGCTGTCATGGGCAGGCCACGCGGTAATGTGCACAAGGCTCTGCACACTTGAGTATTTTGGACACTTTCCAGCAGAGGGGCAGGCAGAAGGGAGAGACTTTGATTTGAGGGGTAGAAAGAGGCTAAGACAAGGTCAGCCCTGTGAAGCTGGGAGCAACAGTCTTTTGCACGTAGCCCTGCCAGAATGCATGGATACCTTAAGCACACAGAGGGCTGGGCTTCCTGGCCCGGCAACATCATTTATAAGACACGAACATGCAACTGAATCTGTTGTTTGCCAGTTGCCAGCAAACCCTTCAGAGTTCTGCCTTTATCCTCGGAGTCTTATTAGCTGCCTGCTGCAGTGTTTCTTTAGTTTCAGCCCAGAGGTTTGATTTTTTCATTTTCTTCTGTTCATTTTGCTTTGGAGGTAATGCTTTGGAATACTTTTCTAGAGAACAGGTGGAAACAATGCATCTTATACATGAAAGCCAACACGGAGGTAACCCTCCCTCCGTGTCCCCAGAAAGTGGCCTAGGGTTAAGGTGCTGTCCAGGCCTCAGCTCTGGCTACTTGCTGGCAGGTGGAGGCATCGTAGGAGGTGAGGTGTCAGGTGGTTGAGAGCTGTTGGTCTAGGGATGTGCTTTTTATGAGAAAAGCTGTCAGTTCCCACCCAGGTTGAGGGACTGTCACAATGATTCTAGCCAAGGAATCTTGAACCCACTCTCCCAGCCCTGGGTCCCACAAGGATGTTCTGGCCCTCAGAACCACTGAGCATTGGGGAATAACACAGGCAGCCCAGTTCTTTCGGTGAGGTCCCCCAGATGGCTCCCTCTGCTAGTGGAGCCAGCTGCCCAGATCAGCTTGGGGCTCTCTTGATGAACACCGAAGTGCAAATGGCTCGAGGCAGCTGGCAAGATGCTAAGTGCAGCATTAATCCTAATTAGCATGAGGAATTAATAAAGGAAGCCAGGTTTGCTGGCGGGGAGGAGTTAGTTTCAGAATTTCCACTGGGAAACTGGAAGGCCCTGGGTCCACACATGCCTTCGGGTCGTGCCAGTAGCATGACTTATGACTTACTGTGCCAGGCAGTTGGCACCTGATGGAACTTGCTTGTGAGGTGGAATATGGGGCATTGCAGCCCCTGCTCTGTATCCAGCTCAGGTGCTGTGGCAGGTAGTGACGTGGGTACATTCTCCAGAGGAGAGGAGTAGGTGTTCGTGATCTGAGCAATTGCACACTAAAAATGATGTTTTTCAAAAGAAAAGAGGAGGGTGTGATCATGAGCCCACTGGCTCTTTTGTGTGGCTGTGTTTCTCGAACTACTGATTGCACATTTCTGTTACCTGCAGACTCCACTCAGCCCTGCCATTAGGCTCCAAATTGCAAAGGGCAAAGCAGCCTCTTTTGGGAGTGGGGGTGGGAGACAGAGGTGGGCAGGATCCCCGATGAGATGAGAACAAGCATGGTCTGGAGGGGAAAAGGGGGCCAAGTTGACTTCACTAAGCAGATCCAGCTTCACAAAGCCTCTTTTCAGATGACTTCAAATGCGGCCAGAAAAGGGCTATGGTTTTAAGAGCTCCTTGCCAACCTCCACCAAGAAACAACCGCGGCTGAACTCTGTGCAGGGGTTGGAACTGCAGTAAGGAAGGCTAGGTGTGTGGGAGAACTTCCCGAACAACCGAGGGGCGGAGTTAACACGCGGGGAAAGGTTACCGAAAAAGAAGGAATTCTGTCCAAGGGTTTTTGAAAAATCAAAGGAAAGCCCCCACCAACTCCCTCCACCCGGTCCCCGATCTGAGCGCCACGCTTAAGCAGCAAACCTGTGCCCAACCTTGCTGGGACCAGGTGGCCCCTCCCCAGCCACCTGTTAGTTCAAGTTCCGCAGCCGGGCAGAAGGGCGCCCGGAAGGCGCCGAAGCCGAGCGCATTTTGGCGTTGGAGGCATCCAGGCCCCTCCCCAGTAGGGAGCTGTCCCCACGGTCCCGGGGCTGAAATCCTGGTCCCCTAGCATTCCAGCCTCATGACACCTACTACTCAGCCTCCAGTCGCATTTGGGGGTCGCAGCGCCCAGCTCCGACGAGATGACCACGCCCCTCCCAGTCTGTTCCCGGTCCGCAGATCGGTCCTGCACACCCTAGTTTCCTACTGAGGTCTCCGCAGCCTCCCTGCTGAGGGGCCGCGACCGAGGTCGCTGTCTCCGTTGGGGGAGACTCGGTGTCGCTCCCCTTACCACCCCACCGCACAGCGAGGAGCGGGCCGGTGACTCCGTGGGAGACGAGGCGGGCGTCGGGCTGGGCCTACCCAGCTACCCTAGATCCGCTAGGAACTCAGCCCCTACCCCGGCTCCGACCGCGCCCCCGCCCCTACTTCTGCCCCTACTTCTGCCCCCACCCCTCAGCCCGAGCCTGTAGAAAGCGCCCAGCGGCACCGACGCGCCCCGCCCCCGGCCGGCCCCGCCCCAGGATGGCCAGTTCCCATAGCAATAGCACAGACACCGGTTGCCAAGCAACCCCTCCCCCCCTCCCGTCCGCTCCCCCCAACCCCAGCCTCCTCCCGCCCCCTCGCCAGCCTCCACCTCCCCCGGGGGTGCCGGCGCGGCCCCTGGGGATCGCTCGGGTCCCGGGCTACGCGCGCGTGCTTGAGTTTCGGTGTGTTTCATTGTGTCTGTGGGCGAGGGGGTGTGCGCGTGGAGAGTTTGTGGGATCGGTGTGCTGGGGAGGTCCCCAGCCGAGAGGGACCAGAGCTGATGTACAGCTGGCCGCGAAGGGACCCGCCCGCCAGCTCCGGCTCCTTTGTGTCTCGCGCGGAGCCAGCGCCGCGCCCACCCTCTCCCCGGCCCGCGCGCCGGGCAGTGTGTGCGCGTGTGTGTGTGTGCGCGCGCGCGCGCGCGCGTGTGTATATGTGTGTGTGTGTGTGTGTGTGTGTGGGGCGGCGAGGGGTCGGGGCTGGCCGTACCTTCGATGCAGCACACCCGCCACAGACCAGAGTGGGTGAGGTCGCCGCGGGCGCGGCGGGGCGGGGGCCCGTCGTCCATGGTCAGGTTGGTGCCGTTGCAGATGTGCGCGCTGGAGTACAGCCAGTAGTCGGTGCCGATGGCGATGGCCATGAGCGAGAAGGCGGCGAAGGCTCCGGCCGTGGTCAGCAGCATCTGCAGCCCGCGGTCGCATCGCACCATGGTGGGCGCCTCATAGTCCGCCGCCCGCCGGCCCGGCCCGCCGCGCCCGCCCGCCCTCCTCCCTCCGCGCGCCGCTCCGGGGGCGCCGGGGTTGGGGGGCCGAGGGCCGGGGGGCGGCGCCGCGCTGCGCGCTCCGACCCCGCGCCCCGGGCGTGCCTGCGCTCCGGCAGCGCTGGGGCTCAAACTCCGAGGCGCGGCGACGAGTGCGGGCTGCGCGGCCGCCGGGCGGGCTGGCGGCGGCGGCCGGGGGCTCCTCCCTCTCCGCTCGCCCTCCCCCCTCGGCCCGCGCCTCCGCCCTGCGCCCTCCGCGCCTCCCCCGCCGCCGCCGCGCTCCGGGTCCGCGCCCCGTTTCTCTCGGCGCCGCCCCTCGAGCCTCGGCCCCCGCCCGGCTGTGCGCTCCTCTGAGCTCCCCTCTCTCCCCAGCCAGGATTTTCTCCCCCTCGCCTCCCTTCCCCTCGCCTCCCCTCCCCTCCCTTCCCCTCCCCTCCCCGCGCCCGCGCGCGCTCTCTCTCTCTCCCAGAGTTCATTCACATTATTGGAGTGAAGGAAGCCGAGGGAAGTGTTCCCCAGGAGGACCGAAGGGAAAGCGCGTCTCCAGCCACCTCTCTTACCCGCCCAGGACATCCAGCCTCCCCTCCGACGGCCCTGCGGATTCTTTAATTTGTGGAGGAGGGCGTGGGTGGGTGTGTCCCTCCTTTCCCCTCTGTGCCTGTTCACCTGGTGATGAAGGTGAGTGTGGGAGTGCGTGTTCAGGTCAGAATTCCTGAAACCCCAGATGTGGGACACAGCTGCCAGACCCTGCAAGCCACGCCAGGCCCGGGCCAGGCCCCACCCCAACCCAGGTGGTTCCTGCTCCTCCAGATCCCCTTGCAGGGCCTGGAAGGACCCTGACTTGGGGTTGAGGGAGAAGGGCGATGACAGCGAGAAGTCCTTTGGGGAGAACACAGGGTCTCTGCTTTCTAGAGTGGTGGCAAGGCTGAGATTGAAGATGGGGCGTTCCTCTGTGCTCACATTTCTGAGGGTCTATTACTGCTAGAGTCCAGGGACACTCCAGTTGTGTTAGATTCCAACACTCCACCCGCCAGCCTTTTCCCTTTCTCTCCCAACCTTTCGCAATGCCTTTATTTCGTTTTGCCTTTTGCTCTGCTCGAGCTTAACCGGCTTTCCCTCCCCTGGCCTTTATTGTCAGCCTCTGACCCCAACCCCTGCTGGCTTCACTTAATTGCCTTTGCTGCTGGCCGTGATCCCAACCTGGACACACTCCCTTCTCCAGGGAGCCGGTCCGGACTCCTCCTTCCAGACCCAGCTCCAAACCCCTCCCTCCAGGAGGTTCTCAGAGCCCAGCATCAGGAGGTGCAGCACCCTTTGACATGTCCAGGTGGTCCTGTTGTTGGCATCCCTGGCTGCACTGGACCCCAGGATATGGAAAAAGGTATAGGGAGTGCTGCTATTCTTGCAAGACGAAGCTTAACTTTCTTTGTGGCACCTTCCCTGGTCCCCACTCCCCGTGTTGAAATCACTGTTCTCTGTCCCACAAGATTGTGAGCCTTTCCTGTGACTGGCATACATGGTAAGGGCTTAGCAAATGTTTGCTGAGTGAGAGTTGTTTCTTGCCACTTGGAAAATTATAGTCTGATTGGGAGGAATAGATCATATACATAAAGGGAAAAAACAAACATCACAAGGTGACAGAGCCTGAGGACCAGGCTGGCTGTGACAGTGATTGTTGGCCCCTTCTGCCCTTGGGGTGTCTATTCTGCTTTCCAAGTCACAAAGGACGAGGGTCATCATCTCTAATTTACTTTAACCCACCTGCCACCGGATCTGGAGTTCTGCACCCAGCAGGTGCCCAATGTATGTCTAAGTGGACCAGAAGGTGTGAGATGGTTTGCTCTGACCCAGAACAGGGTTACCCACCTCCAACCCTAACAGCCACTAGGATTAAGTCTAGGTTCTGTTCTCAGAAACTCCAGGAAAATGAATCCCAAGTTCTTCTCTCCTCCTCCTCCTCCTCCCCTCCTCCTCCTCCTCTTCCTCTTCATCTTCCTCCATCTCTTCTTCTTCTTCTTCCTCTTCTAACAAATCATTGTTTCAAATTAAATCATAAATGGAAGCGCAATGTAAACAAACCAGGTCTCCTACCAATTAGCCTTGTAGGTAAGGGCTGGCATGGCTCTGGTTGAATGAGGGGCCCAGGGCACTGGTACTCACCCACCCACACACGCACTGCAGCCCCCAAAGCACCTCTCTAGACCCCGGGTTCCACAAAGCATGGTGTGAAAATCCATATCCTGAGCCAGCCACTGGGTTACTCAGGAACATCCCCCTCCACCCTGTCCTACTTGCAGCCTTCCTCAGGGACTTTGGGAGAAACAAATGAATGTAAGTTGCATGAACCTGATCTTCGGGGGTGGAGAGCAGCAGCTTCCCCCAATCACCTATTAGATGGCAGAGATGACAGGTGGTGGGTCCCTCCTCCAAGCAAGCAGTCCTCATGTTCATCCCAAGGGAGACAAAACCAAAATCTTCCTTCATCAGAACCTTGGTAGACCAGCTCTCACTCCTCCACTTGCAGAAAAGTGTGTGGGAGAGTTGAGAATGCACTGGACCAGAAGCCAAGTCAGTCACCACCTCATGCTGGCTCCGGGACTAATTAGCAAGGTGATCTGGATGAGCCGAAACCACCTGGGAAAAGGATACCTCTCTAGTGCAACTTGCCGAGTTTTTCAAGGGTTGGTTGGGCACGGTGGCTCACGTCTGTAATCCCAGCACTTTGGGAGGCCAAGGCAGGGGGATCACTTGAGGTCAGGAGTTCCAGACCAGCCTGGCCAACATGGTGGAACCCCGTCTCTACTAAAAAAAAAATTAGCTGGACGTGGTGGTGCTCACTTGTAATCCCAGCTACTCGGGAGGCTGAGGCAGGAGATTTGCTTGAACTCGGGAGGCGGAGGTTTCAGTGAGCCAACGTCATGCCACTGCACTCCAGTCTGGGTGATAGAGTGAGACTCTGTCTCAAAAAAAAAAAAAAAAAAGTTGTTTCAAGGGTCAAAAAAAAGCAACCTTGGGCCGGGCGTGGTGGTTCATGGCTGTAATCCCAGCACTTTGGGAGGCTGAGGCAGGCAGATCACGAGGTCAGGAGATCGAGACCATTGTGGCCAACATGGTGAAATCCTGTCTCTACTAAAAATACAAAAATTAGCTGGGCGTGGTGGCACACGCCTGTATTCCCAGCCACTCCGCAGGCTGAGGCAGGAGAATCACTTGAACCCAGGAGGTGGAGGTTGCAGTGTGCCGAGATCACGCCACTGCACTCCAGCCTGGCGACAGAGTGAGACTGTCTCAAAAAAAAAAAAAAAGCCCCTTTTCGTGTGGTGTACGCTTAGCCACCGTTTGTGGACTGGGCAGTAAATTCTGGCTTTTCTGCCTTTTTTTAGAGACAGTAAGCCCAACACTGTCTAGGAAGCATATATTACATCCACTTTAAAAAATTTGTTGTGGTTTTTTTTTTTGAGATGGAGTCTCACTCTGTCACCCAGGCTGGAGTGCAGTGGCACGATTTTGGCTCACTGCAACCTGTACCTCCTGGGTTCAAGCAATCCTCCTGCCTCAGCTTCTTGAGTAGCCAGGACCACAGGTGTGTGCCACCATGCCGGGCTAACTTTTGTATTTTTAGTAGAGACGGGGTTTTGCCATGCTGTCCAGGCTGGTTTCGAACTCCTGGCCTCAAATGATCCACCTGCCTCAGACTCCCAAAGTGCTGGGATTACAGGTGTGAGCCACCGTGCCCGGCCTACATTCACTGTTAATTCTCACTTATCACCCCCTGACAACACCAGAGGAATCTGAGGTGCAGAGACCTGAGTAACTTGCCCCAGGTTTCACACCTGGAGGATGGTGGGGTCAGATCTTAGCTCAAATCTCAGTGACTTCAAGGCCAGAGTTTTTCCAAGGACGCTAAACAGCCTCTTTGCCATTGTTAAGTACTGCTGGGCTGTGTCATTATTATTACCTATTAATTCAGGGGGACCCCAACGGGAGCTCCGCAGTTTGCCTTTCTGTTTGCGGACACCCACTGGCAGCTGCACTTGGTCCTGCGGTGATGAGGGTGTAGACTGTGGAGTCGCATAAGGACTTGACCGCCGGCACAGGGAGCTGGAGCAAACCCAAGACTGGCTGAGACCATTCATCATGCCTGGGTGAGCACAATTTAAATCTGGAAATTTCTGCTCAGCCAGATTACAGAACTCTAAATGACAGTATTTAACTGCTGCCTGAGGACCCTGGAGTTTCTCCCATGTGACGCTTCCAGAATCAAGGGAGGGATGTGCTCTCCTCTTGCCTAGGAGGAGGTCCTGGACTGGTCTTGTTCTGGAGAGACTGGACACTTGGCATCCTCTCCCACCATGAACTGCCCCCCACCGCCCATATAAATGTTACTGCTGGGGGTGTGAACAAGTAAACGTGTATTATTACCTCCCTTGCCAGCTGAGGAGGTGGCGATATTTGCCAGTCACTTGGACCAGTCTCCCAAACTATCTTTTTCCACCCGTGGTGGTGTCTTTCCTCCTTACTGAATCATTTAGGTAATTACCTCAATTCTTCACTTTACTTTGGCTGTGAAGACAGAGTCTTAATGAGCCCAGAGCCCTGGACAATCCCAGCTCCAGGGTGAGGCAGCCGGGTGGCGGCTGTGGGAGGGGAAGACGGTATTAGGATGCTCACATTGCATAACCTGCACGTCCAAGTGGCCAAGCTGGCTGCCATCTGCAGCCCGGGCGAGAAGACGGGAGAGGCCCTCCACCAGCCAGGGGAACGCAGTCGCTTTCTGCAGTAGCTCCCAAAGCCTTTAGGAAAAGCTTTGTTTTACCCCTTTGTCCTCCAGAAATAATGACCTTTGTGTGTCAACTTTTGTAGTATCTCATTTCTGAACCCAAAGCAGATGGTTCTGGTGATTTCAGAAGGCTTAGTGAGGGGATTTGAGGAGCCTGGGTGAGATCTCAGGTGAACTGACACAAAGCATGATTTCTAGTTTCTATAGCCAAGGCTTGGGGATGAGGCTCAGAAGATTCCGGGGCTCGGCTCGGTGTGGAGGCTTATCTGCAACCCATCCAGCCTGCTCAGCCTTTAAGAAGAATGCCTGGAAATCCGGGTCCTACCAGCCTCCCCTCCATCAGATTATGCACGCTGCAAGGATGACTTTCTTTTTTTTTTTTTTTTTTTTGCTTCAGTATTTCAGTAGACTCCTTTGAGGGAGATCAGAAAATGCTACATGGCTTTATGTATTCAAGTTTATTCCGTTTCATTTGCTTATCACGGATATCCTATTCAAGGTGATGGAAGCTGGATACACAGCATTTTTTTTTCCAGCTCAGCTGCGATAAAACAGTGGCACACTCACCATCTCCATGCCAGGCCAGGACCTAGAAATGCAGAGAGAAGGGAGATAGCATTTCGTGAGTGTCCTCTGGGTGCCAGTCATTGAGTCTCTCCTTTCAGTTATCCATCACAACAACCACATAAAGAGGACACTTTTATCCCCATTGTGTAAGTGGTGAACTCGCAGCTAAACAGAGAGCAAGTGGCTGAACCAGGATTTGAACCCAGCTCTGCCTGGAGCACAGCTGGGCTCCATCTGCTACTACACTGCACCCCACTCCCTAAAGGGCACAGAGGCCTCTTTGCCCGTCTCTTCCTCCCCTGCTCCTCCTCACATATTTATCCAGATGAAATCAAGTTCAAATGATGATCAAAGTCACATGAGGGGCCAGGTGTGGTGACTCACGCCTGTAATCCCAGCACTTTGGAAAGCCGAGGTAGGTGGCTTACTTGAGGTCAGGAGTTCAAGACCAGCTTGGCCAACATGGTGAAACCCCCTATCTACTACAAATACAAAAAAGTTAACCAGGTATGGTTAGGTGAGGGGGAGGGAGGCGCCTGTAATCCCAGCTACTCAGGAGGCTGAGGCAGGAGAATCACTTGAACCCAGGAGGTGGAGGTTGCAGTGAGCCGAGATCACACCACTGCACTCCAGCCTGGGCAACAGAGCGGGACTCCATCTAAAAATAATAATAATAATAATAAAATTCACATGAGGGTGGAGAGGTTAGGAAACAGCTGTGCTTTTTAAGCTGTTGGCAGTGGGTCTGGAGTTTGGGGTTTGGAGAAGGCTCCCCATTTCCTGGGCAGATAGGAGTGAGCTGGGCTGATGGCAGGCAGGTTCTAGAAGCTACCAGCCTTGGGAGCCCACCCTTCTCTTCCTCCCTCCTGGCTATTACCCCCAGCACCTGCCCTAATGCTGGCCAGAGTGGAGGGCGGAGGGCCAGCCCCTGACCCAGGTACCCAGTGGCCCCTCTGAGATGCCTCTGGCCTCTGGCTGCTACCCTCTCCTGGGCATTTTCCATTTACTGTGATGGCAGAAAAACCCAGTACCCTTAAACAGTAAACAACACAGTGAACTGTGAGTGAAGTCCGTGTGGGCTTAGCCAGACCTGTGTGTTTGCAAACCGGATCCCAGTATGGACTGTGCCCTGCAGGCGGCCTCTCTTGCTAGAATCTGTTCTGGAACTAGCCCGGTTGATGAGCATGTTGATATTAACGGCCTGGCTTGGCCAAAGCTTCCGGCCCAGCACGCTTTAGCATCAGCTGGTTATTCTGAGAACATTCTTTTCAAAACACTCTACAGGACAAACAGGCCGAGAGGTTCCTTTGTCCACAGCTGGCCTCTGAAACTGAGCAGACTCTCAAAGGGTTGAGAAGAACCCCGAGGAGGCTATCGTCTGCACTCAGAGGCTGAAACGTTTGAAAACAGGTGCGGGAGGGGGCGGGGAGGATGGTCAGTGACAGCACATTCTTCAGCAAACATGTGTCATTTGTGCTTTTACCAGAGCGGAGCTTTTAATTCCTAAAATATAACAGCCTGGTGCAGGGGCTGGAAGAAGAGGGCGCGTTTTATGTGCAACTCTGCTAAGGGCTTGGTTGCTGAATGAAAGGTTTGGTTCCATGGAGGTTCAGGTACCTTCGCCTTCAGAACCACACCTTCCTTTTCATCTCCAGCCTCCCTGGGCTCTCACCTGGCTGCTAGGGGGTCGGGGGTGGGTTGGTCTCAGCCCTCCTGGAGCTCTGCTTGCTACTGGGTGGGAAGGCTTGCTCTATACTGCAGACATCTTTCTGGATTGAGGCTATCAATTGACTCCCTGCCCTCTGCCTCCTATGTCCGTGATTCCTGCTTGTCACAGAAGAGCTGCTGGGTCTTCGTTGCTTTTATCTCCAAAGCCTTTTGATGAGGTAGAAAGGAAAGGTCATCAGATTCAGGCTGACCTGCGTTTCCACTTCTGCGTTGTCATTTGCAGCTGTGTGGCCTAGGACTAGTGGCTGAACCTCTCTGGGCCCCAGTAAGACGGGAAACCAAACACTGGCCTCATTGCGTTGGTTATCATGCAGAGTCAGTAAGCCCAGGGAAAACATTCACACAAAAATGCTAATAGCTGATGGTTACTGAGCTCTTTGTGTGTATCATGCTCTATTCGACGTGCTTGGCCATACATTAACTTATTTGATTTTTTCCAAAATACTTTGAGATAGATACTGTTATCGACCTCATTTTACCAAAAGGTAACGAAGGCATGGAGAAGGTAAATTGCTTGCCAAGCGTTGCCTGATTTTAAACCTCTGCGATCTGTATACAGAACCTGTGCTTATAATTTTGATTTAAATACTTACTAAATAAACAATAACTTTTATTATGTTGCTCGTTAATACTCCCTGACAACTAAGTTGAAGCTACTGCTTATCCTCAACTGCCAACAACCACTGATGTCACTGGACTCCAGCACCCTTCGTAATACAGACCCATTAATTTATCTAATCCAGAAATACTGTTGTTGTTTTTTTTCCCCTTTTAGCAGAGCCCTCCCTATTGGTTCATATTGTCTCCTTGGAACCTATGTGGGTCTTCTTGGGGATGAAGACATTATTGAAATTTTTGCTGGTTGGGCACGGTGGCTCACGCCTGTAATCCCAACACTTTGGGAGGCCGAGGCGGGTGGATCACCTGAGGTCAGGAGTTCGAGACCAGCCTCGAATTATTATAAAATAATTCCAACACGCTGAAACCCTGTCTACTAAAAATACAAAAAATTAGAAAAAATTAGCCGGGCGCGGTGGCAGGCGCCTGTAGTCCCAGCTACTCGGGAGGCTGAGGCAGGAGAATGGCGTGAACCCGGGAAGCGGAGCTTGCAGTGAGCCGAGATTGCGCCACTGCAGTCCGCAGTCCGGCCTGGGCGACAGAGCGAGACTCCGTCTCAAAAAAAAAAAAAAAAATACAAAAAAAATAGCCCAGCGTGGTGGCAGGCACCTGTAGTCTCAGCTACTTGGGTGGCTGAGGCAGGAGAGTCGCTTGAACCTGGGAGGTAGAGGTTGCAGTGAGCGGAGATCGCACCATTGCACTCCAGCATGGGCAACAAGAGTGAAACTCCATCTCAAAAAAAAAAAAAAGAAAAGAAATCGTTGCTGTCAGTTGCCAAAACTCTCTTCAAATTCTTTTCTTGTCCAGGAAGTGGCGGCAAAGTGTGGTATACAAAAAGGGCTATGGCAAGCAACTCAACTCTTCCAGGCCCACTCATCCCAGCAATCCATTGGCAGAGTGGCACCTGCTTTGGTAGAGCTGCCATGAGATTTGAAGAAGACATTGGTGCCCTGCTGACCCAGGCAAGATGGTCTGGCATCAGCAGATGTCACCAGGAGATGTACATAACACAAAATAAGAAATCGAATTTACTCATGAGTGAGCAATGCTTCTGGGGCCTTGGGGGCCTCTTCAAGTGGTCTGCAGGATCACTGGGGTGTCTGCCCAGAAGCACTTGCTCCCTGCATGACTGTGGTGGGCCTCAGGGCTTCCCCATGCCACCCTGGCCCACCCAGGGCGGTGCCAAGCAGAGTGAGTTTTCAAACACTCGCATCTGGCTCTACTCTCAGCTGAATCTGATAGCAGACCATTTCCAGATAAACAGGATGGGAGACACATTGGCTTCCTAGAGGAGATACTTTAAATGCTCTAGATCCTTTAAAAATTCAAGGAGAGGAAGGGCGCGGTGGCTCACGCCTGTAATCCCAGCACTTCGGGAGGCCGAGGAGGGCGGATCACAAGGTCAGGAGATCGAGACCATCCTGGGTAACACAGTGAAACCCCGTCTCTACTAAAAATACAAAAAATTAGCCGGGCGTGGTGGCAGGCGCCTGTAGCTCCAGCTACTTGGGAGGCTGAGGCAGGAGAATGGCGTGAACCCGGGAGGCGGAGCTTGCAGTGAGCTGAGATTGCATCACTGCACTCCAGCCTGGGCGACAGAGCGAGACTCCATCTCAAAAATAAAATAAATTAAAATAAAATGAAACAAAATAAAATTCAAGGAGAGATATTCTTTTTTTTTTTTGAGACGGAGTCTAACTCTGTCACCCAGGCTGGAGTGCAGTGGCGCAATCTCAGCTTACTTAAACCTCCGCCTCCCAGGTTCAAGTGATTCTCCTGCCTCTGCATCCCAGGTAGCTGGGATTACAGGCATGCACCACCATGCCCGGTTAATTTTTGAATTTTTAGTAGAGACAGGGTTTCACCGTGTTGGCCAGGCTGGTCTCGAATTCCTGACCTCAGGTGATCTGCCCACCTTAGCCTCCCAAAGTGCTGGGATTACAGGTGTGAGCCACCGCACCCGGCCTCAGAGAGATATTCTTTGACTGGTGCTGTATCTGTTGGGAGTGTCATCACCTGGGGAGTGGTATGGCCCATGACTCAATTGCCCTCTTGCAGCCTTGGTACCCAGAGGTAAGGACTGAATTGCCCTCTTGCAGCCTTGGTACCCAGAGGTGAGACCTTGAGGCTGTTCTGCAGGTAAGGGAGGTAACAGTTCCAAGGTCCCAGTTCTGTGCATGGCTGGAAGCAGCTGCCTGGCCGGCTGCCTTGCTGGGCTGCTCTGCATACTCAACACCAGCAGTCTCTTGTCCTGGAAGATGGGTTCGTGATGGAAGATGATTAATAGCAGCTTGACTTTGTTAAACAGTTACATGTGCTGGGCACCCTAGGACAAGAAAAATGTTGTTATCCCCATTTTAGAGATGGTGCAACTGAGGCTTTGGGAAGGCAAGTAACTGATTCCAGGTCACAGCAAGTAAGTGAAAGAGCAAGGACTCCAGTCTAGGACTGCCTGTGTCCAGGGGACATAGTCTTCCCATAGCTCAATAGTTTTCAACCCCGGATGCCCTTGGCAATGACTTGGGAGATTTTAGAAATATATGCCCCACTCTCAGGTATTCTGACCATGCTGGAGTGGGGCTGGGCATTGATATTTTTTGAAGCTCCCCAGTGGTTGCTGATGGGCAGCCCAGGCAAGATCAAGGGCACAAAGCCATGATGCCTTTGGACCCAAGATCTCCTGGAAAGTGTTTGATTTTCACCAGAATTCATCTTTGGCAGATACAGCCTGGCTCAGACTCTGGTAACTATCAAGGAATGTGGGGCTGGGGGTTCCTGGATCCATTTGGCTGGCTCTGCCACAGTGAGTACAGAAGACAGCAGTTAAGCTGGTGTGACCTGGGAGATTCCATAAGGTTCTTATTGCTACCTCTAGCCCTGCTGCCCAGCCAACTCTCTCTGTCCCCGGTGTGGGTCACACTGTCCCCAAAGGTGGGAAATGCCCATCAGGGAGAATGAGGGAGGCCTCTGGCTCTGCCTTTAGAAGGCTTCCTGGGAGGGGAGAGCTTGAGATGCAGGGGCCAAGCCAGCACCCTCTCCTTTACCAACTTGTCCCACTGGGAATTGTCGCTGAAGAAGACTCTTAGAGGCTGCCGTGGAGAACTGGTCACCACCCAGGTGGTTTACCTGGGGAGCTGGGGAGCTTTGGCATCAGACCAGAAGACTTGAAGGGTGAGAGTGAGAGAGAGGCTGGTGGGGGTGCCTGTGAGGTCCTGTATCCTGGCTGCTCTCTTGGGATGCTCCAGCCCCATCCCTGGGAGCATCACAGAGCCAGGACCGGAGGCTGCCAGCCTGTGGCTCCTCCTCCCTCTTCCTCGGCCAATTCCCAGCAAACCACCCGCTGTACTTGCCAACGGAGCCAGATGCTGCTTTGGGGAAAATACCTTCTGGAGTTTGTTGTCTGAGCCCTCCTAGCTGACACCCACGGTGGAGAAGACGTGTCAGGATAAATGGAAAATCTCTTCATAAATATTTGAAAAAAAGGCAAAAAGGAAAAGAAAAAAAGAATACCCCCCAACTCCCAGCGTTTGGGAGCATCTTCATGATTGTGGTACCAGATGGAGGAAGCAGGTCATTAGCGTTCATCAATTTGTAGTGGGATCCCAGCAAGAGGGCCTTTCTGCGGCTGCAGCCAGGAGCCCCGTGCTCGGCTCCTGGGACTGCGGGCACCAAGGGGCGCCTTGGCTTGCTCTGTGTGCCCAGGGGAGGGACAGGCCTGCTGGAGCCTCTGATGGGAGCCGTGGGGCAAGCACAGATGCCCAGCTGGCTGGCGGGGGAGGGTGACCTGCCCTTTATCCATAATGCATAATTGTGTCTTTAAACCCAGCTGCTTTGGGACTTGATTACAATTGGAGCTCAGGAGCAAGTAGCTTTTAGGGGAGCCCCTGGGAGACGAGTGAAGAGGCCCCGGGGGGTTGAGGTGCTAAGTGGATAGTGCTGGTGCCCACACAATGTGGGGAGAGCAGCACACCCCAGCAGGAAGGCCCAGGGGATGGGGACCTGCCTCCCAGAGAGGGGCTCAGCTGGGGAGACAGGACACTTTCATGCTGAGGCAGCAGTCAGGAGTCCCAAGGCCCCTGTGGAAAAGGGCCCTTCTCAGGTCTGGTGATCAAAGAAACTCAGCACCCAGGGAGAGCACTTGGCCTTGCTCGTGACAGCCCCAGTTCCTGCCATGTGCATCCCTGTGTGTTCCTGGAGCCGGAGCTGCTGCTCTCAGTCCCAGGAGAGCCTGGCCTTTGGGCTCCTCAGACACTTTTCTGCTTGTCCCCCTGCAATGTCACTTGCCTTCCTCCAGGGTCTGGTCCTTGCCTGTCTTGGATCAGGACAGGCAGACTCTTCATACTGGAGGGGGGGATGGTCAGCCGGGCAGGGCCTGGGATGGGGCAGGGTCTCTAGGAGACAAAACCTTGCAGAAAACCTTCATAGGTAGAGAGAAGTCGGGTTCCTAAGACTAAGTGTTGGTGGCTGTGGTCAGCTTGTAAAGGCAGACGTGTTCTGAGGCCTTCGAAGGGTGCCATGTACCCCTCAAAGGTCCCCTCTGCCCTGGACCTCTCTGCCTGGATTGTGGGGCACACAGACAAACCTCCCACTTTTTGACCCCCTGTAGTTTCCAGAGGGGGTGGCCCTCATTGCAGGGTGGCAGTGTGGAGAGGAGGCTGCCTGTGACCTAAGGTGTGTATGGCAGGATGGGAGGTCATAGCAAGCTTGACCAAGATGTTTAGAGCAGCATTTGTTGACCTGCCTCCTGCTCCATGCTGGAAATATTCATTGCTTCTGGAAGGAGGTAGACCGGCCAGGCAGGATGCCTGAGAGGGGTGCGGGCCTGGAGGTCGCGCTGTGCCGCCTGGCTCAGTGATGGTATTTATTTATCTGTCTCTGCCTTGGCTGGCAGAGGCATAAGAATGGCTTCAGCCTCGAGGCTGGATTGCTGTTCACCTTTGGAATGTTAAGTCCGCTTTTAACTATGACTCAGCTTCTCTTCAGTTTATTCACTGTGAGTCACCTACCTGACATGCTGTGTTATGGACGCATCCCTAAATGACCAACTTAGAGAAACTGGCGGTGAATACAAACAGCTACCACAGAAGGCTGGTTGAAAAGCCAGGGCTTTGTTCTCTGACCCAGCGTTTGAGTTACACTTGGTTCTCCAATCAACCAGAAATCGCCGGGTACTCACTCATTCATTTTCTCAGTTGGTGGATGAAGTGGGTTGAATTGTGACCACCCAAAAAGTATGCCTGAGTCCTAATGCCCAGAGCCTGCAAATGTGGCCTTATTTGGAAAAAGCGTTTTTGCAGCTGTAACCAAGTTAAAGATCTTGAGATGAGATCATCCTCAATTAGGGTAGGCCCTAGGTCCAATGACAAGTGTCCTTAGGAGAGAAGGGGAAAAGACACACAGAGGAGAAAGCAGAGATTGGAGCAAGGTGCCAGCAAGCCCAGGAGCACCGCAGACTACCAACAGCCCCCAAACTGAGGGAGAGTCGCGGAACAGGTTTTTCCTAGAGCTTCCTCAAGGAACCAACCCTATCTGCACCTGGATTTCAGCCTTCTGACTTCCAGAACTGTGAGAAAATATGTTTCTTTTTTTTTTTTTAAGCCATCCGGTAATTAGTTACTGCAACCCTAGGAAATGAATACAGTGGCTATCCGAGGGCCTTCCGGTGCCAGGCACTGTGAGCACTACTCAGAATGGAGCTGTGGGCTGGGCACTGTGGCTCATGCCTGTAGTCCCAGCACTTTGGGTGGCCGAGGTGAAAGGATGGCTTGAGCCCAGGAGTTCCAGGCTGCAGTAAGCTGAGATTGCACCACTGCACTCCAGCCTGGGTGATGGAGCAAGGCCCTGTTTCAAAAAAAAAAAAAAAAAAAATACAGCAGTGAACTGTGTAGGTGTGACCCCAGCCTTCATGGAACCTCCCATTCAGAGAGGGAGACAGACTCAAAAGGGGAATTGCATAAAGAGGAATTGCATGACAAGGCTTCTGAGCAGGAGGCAGGTGCCATGGAGTCTATTTCCTCCTTCCAAACCTACTCCTTCTCCAGCTTCTCCATCTCAGTACAGCACCACCATTGGCCTGTGGCTCAGGCCACAGACCACAGGCAACTCATCACCAGATCCTGCCAGTGTTATGTCCAAGATGCATTTCTACCCTGTCCACTGTTCCCTGTCTTGCTGCCGCCTCCTGGCCAGGCCACCTGCTTCTCTCCTCTGGATGCCTGGAAAACCCTCCTCCAGCGACACTGTCCTTCTCCTTCACAATTGCCACCTACATTCCCTCAATGCGTTCTCTCCTTGGCAGCCAGAGGATCTGTGCAAATGTCAATTACTTCACTTGTCTGCTGAAAACCATGTCAGAGAGTCTTCCCGTGCACTGAGGGTCAATATGAATGCCCACACCTGGCCTGTCCTATGTGATCTGGTCCTTACCTGCAACTGCACCTTGAGCTCAGGTTCCCTTTTCCCTGAGAGGCTGCCACACTGGCCACTGTCCCTCCCTCCAATCTACCAAGCTCCTTTCCAGCTCAGAGAGAGTTCTTCTTTCTCTCAGGTCTCAATTCTTGGTTTCAAGTTCAAGTTCAGTCTCAAGTTCAATCTCAGCTGAAACATCACCTTCTCAGAGAGGCTGTTCCAGACCAGTAGTCTGGATGGCGTGCTCCTCTCTTCATAGCTCTCACCCCCATAATCAACATCAGGATTTGCATGTCAGTGTGTCTTTGCATGTCAGCCTGTCTTTCTCATACCTGGCAAACTCCAGGAGGGACCCAGGTCTGTTTTGTTCAATTCTGAAACTCCACCACCTAACGCATAGGGCCTGGCATACAGAAATGCTCAATAAATTATTCGTTGAGTGAAAAAGTAAATGAATATATTTTCTGAGCTATATGGTGAGGAGAGGAGTAAAGAAGAACCAACACTTGTATGGTAAACGCCGCAGCTCCCGAGATCCTACAAGTTTGATATGACAGCAGAGTTGGAAATGTAATTACTTTGTTTTTCTCTCTCTTCCAAATGCCTTGTTTTTAAAGTTGGGTGTTTTGTGTTTTTTTTTCCCCCCTGTGTTAAGTAAATGTGTGTATTAACCCTAAGGCAGCAGAAAAGGAAGGGTTTGCAGGCTTAGTGAAAGCATGCTGCAAAAGTCAGACCCCAAGAAGGGAAAAGTTCCCATCAAATAGAACATCTGAGGGAAGTTAAAATGCACTTGCAGAAATAAATTGGTTGCTGTAGCAACCAGCTCTAGTTCTCCCCCAGAATAAAAACACAGAAAGAGGAGGGGAGGAGGGGGATGCTAGCTAACTCTGATCTAGGCTTAAGAGAAGGAGCTGTCCAAATAGAATTATGGGACAATATTGTGAACCGTGTCACGTTACCAGCATAAAATGACGTTGTGCATGCTTGCCTCGATCTGGCAATGGACTCTCTTACTGGGCTTGATTCATCATTTCCGTTGTCTTCCTGGCTGGCTCCTGTGGGTGGTGGAGTATGTGACGCCTGCCAGACAATGCCTCTTGTCACTCTCAAAGTCGTACACCAGCTCCTGTGTTGAAGTGCTCCTGGAAGCCTGCACTTTAGAGAGACCGCGTGGTGTATCCTTCTGTAATGAGTAATCGACTTCTAACAGACCCTCCTTGCAAATTCAGATTTTTACCTATATATGGTTTTCTAGAGTGGCATCCACCCACTTGTGCCAGGAGAGTTCACTGAAGGTACCAGAGTGGGGAGTGAACTCGCAGGGGTGATTCTCCATTGCATGTTTGGGGTTCGTGAAGAAAGGCAACCCACTTATGGGGGAGAAGGGCAGACACAGGACCCTGGGTCTGGGCCAGGGTGGGTCGTGTGCAGACACCACGGCCTGGATAGATTTTTCGTGAAGTGCGGTGGTCACGGTGAGGAGGCAGCCCAGCCTCGGCGGGTTTTCTCTGAACAGATGATTTCCAGTGTGTGATTCCAAAGAAGCACTTTTAGGCAGTTCAGTAACCACTTACGATAGAGGCAAAAAGGTGCAAAGAATTGGTGGTCCATGAAGTTTGTAGGTTCATCTCATTCATTCATCTTTGCTCAACATGAAGGATTGAATTCTTACTGTGGTGGACAGAATAATGGCCCCCCAAGGCTTCCCCCTTCCTTATCCCTGGAACCTGTGGATATGTTATGTTGAGTGATAAAGGGGAATTGAGGTTGCAGGGGGAATGAAGGTAGCAAATCAGCTGACTTTGGAATAAGATTATCCTGGTTTGGCCTAAATGGAATCGGAAGGGGCCTTTAAAAGTGGAAGGAAGAGGCAGAAGAGGAGGTCAGAGTGATACCATGTGGGAAGCACGCACCCCACCGTGGCTGGCTCTGAAGATGGAAGATGCCATGAACTGTGGCATGCAGGCAGCCTCTAAAAGCTGGAAAGAGCAAGGAAACAGAGTTTCCTGAGAGCCCCCAGGAAGGAACACATCCCTGCCAGGCTGGATTTTAGCCCAGCCAGACTTGCACTCCTGATTCTACCCCTGTTAGATGTGTGTTGTAAGCCACAACGTTTGTGGTCATTTGTGGTGGCCCCGGGGCACTGATTTATCCTCTAAGTGCCAGGTCCTGCACCAGGTTATGGGAGGTCAAAGTCAAATGAGACGTGGTTCCCACCCTCACCAGGCCCTCAGTGCCGAGAGAGGGCAGTTGGCAAATCAGCAGCTGAGGTGTGGAAAGCAGGTGTGGGGTGATCTGGGCGGCTGTGGTGGGGGCAGAGGGCTGTGCTTGGGGAAGGCTTCCCAGAGCCGACTTTTGAAGAATGGACTTGAAGGGTTGTCCCGTGAAAGAGGGCCTGGGGAAAGCCATCCCAGACAGTAGGGCCACTGGTAGGGTCAGAGGGGCTGGAAATGCAGCGGCTGCAACAAGAGCCGGCCGGCCCAACAGCTGAACTGGGCAGCTGGAATCTCACCCTGAGAGCTACAGGGGATCATCTGGAGGGTTTTGAGTGCAGAACTGACAGGTTTTGATCAGCCTGACCACAGAAGTCAGCCAGAAGCAGAGCGTGTCAAAAATAGAGCCATGTGGATCAAAATAAAGGCTTGTGGGGCCCTGGGCTGAGAGGGAGCAACCTGCCCAGGGGACAGCATGGTGAGCAGCACCCCCAGACCTTCCCCTCCACTCTTCCTCATCCAAGTCTGGATTGCTTAGGTATTGCTGGACCTGCTGCAGAGAAATCGGTAGGACCCACGGACTGGCCCTCTTCCCCTCGCCTCCCTTGTGCTTTTCTCTTGCTCCTGGGCAAGGACACCCAGGGAAAGAGGCAGATGGAGGACGAAGTTGTGGTCACAGGCAGGGCGCTAGGCCTGTCATTCTTTCATAAATTAAATGTAAGCTGTAAAAATTGATTATTTAAGGAATAATTTCCATTATTTTCTAATATAAAAAAGCAGGGACATATGCTGTGATAAATTACAGAGTCAGAATGAAGAGAAGAATTTAATTAATTTCACGAGCTTGCTGAAAACGCCATCCCTGTGGAATCAGGGGCTGCATTGGGCCCTGCCAGGCTGCAGCTGGCTTTGCATGGCACTTGACCCCCCCACCACAAGCTGGGGGCCACCCTGGGCAGAGAGCCCTTCCCTGGTGGGCTGAGGCCTGGGCTGCCGCATGGTGTGGTGGAGGGCAGCAGGAACAACAAGTCAGGTCTCTTGGTGCTGCCTGGGGGCTCGGCTGAGCCCTCGGGATGGCTGTGGCTTCATGTCTGGACCTGCATGACAGCTGGTTGGGCAAGTTGGGCTGACTGAGCAGGTGGGAGATCAGTAGAGGACCAGAATCTGGGCTTTGGAAGGTCGAAGTCAAGTCCAGACACTCAGCTAAACCTCCTGTCCTCAGCCCAAGCCAAGGGACCCTCCCCTTCAAACACACACATTCTTGGCTTTGTAGCCAAGCAAGGCAGGTGGTCTTCAAGTAGGAGCCCAAGTTCATTCCTCCTGTGACTGAGCTCAAGGACCCCCCTACTTCTGTCCTAGTCCTCATGAGCAAGCCTCCACCATCCTTTCTAGCTCTGCTAACTAGGTCCTGCCTTGCCACTTCTTTTCCAGTTCTGGGGGGTTCCTGGGTGATCATGATGGCACTAACATTTTATTTCATGCCCCCAGATACTATATTACATGCTCTGTAAACATTGTCTCATTTAATCCCCTTGACAACCTCACTTTGTTCCCATTTTACAGATGTGAAGCCTGAGGCACAAGGGCTTAAGCCATTTCCCCCACTAACTTGTAGTGCATGGCAGAGTCAGGATTCAAACCCAGGTCTCAGGCCAGTTGAGCCAGTCTCTTCCCTCTGTGGCCATGGCCTGTCCCAACCTCTTCTCCATGGTCCTCAAGAGTCCTCATTAAACAAGTCCTGGGGTGGGATTGCTTGAGCCAAGAGGAGAGACTTCTGGTTTGGCGTGGCCACTTTCAGAAGCAGCGTTTCCTAGCTTCCTTCAGAGCTGGATCATCACCCCACCAGAGCTTCCTCACATGCCACTGCGTGGTTCCCAAATTGAACAGCAAAATGAGGATGAAAGGACTGGCATTTCTCCTGGTTCCCAGAGCTCTTCCTTTCCCCGATCTTTCTCTCCTGTCTCATCTGGCACACACCTCTCTCACCTGCACCCTCTACTACCAGGCCCAGAAAATACAAATTTTCCTTCTCCAGAAGCCCGTTCCTTCATTCAGCCCTGCCACAAACGCTGATCAAGCATTTGCCATTTGCTGGGTGCTGAGCTATAGATAGAGTCAAAGGCCTAAATCTGCCTCCCGGAAGTTCCAAGCAAACAGGTGACAATTCTGCATGGCGAGTGTGCAGGGGCTGAAGGATTCCAGAGAATCAGGGTTCTTTCCCTGGTCTGGGGAGGCAGGGGACACTTCTTGGAGAAGGGGATATTTACAGAAGCTCCCAAAACGATGAGAAAAGCATAGAAGAGCTCTTGGGCCAGGGGCAAGGCATGTGCAGCTGCCCGCTGGAGGGAGGCTGGAAGGAGCAATGGCGTGGCATCTTTTCTTGAAAGCCAGGGCAGGCCGTTGAAGGACTTTCAAAGCAACGAGAGCGAACCTCCTTTCAGAAAGATGAATCCAGTGCCAGCATGGAGCACAGATCAGAGGGCTGTAGAGAGGAGGCTTCGGGCAAGAGAAGGTGCTGGCTTGGGCAAAGGCAGAGGCGGTGGGCAGGGAGAGTTAGGGAGAGATTTGCACTTATTCGAAGATGGCTTTGGGCATTTTTATCAGGCAGAAATTTCCAGGAAAACTAAACTAAAAAAGGAAGCAGAAGACAGAAAGCAGCCATTTGCCTCCTAGACCCCTTCCCAATCCCCGTGGTTCTCAAAACTGGCCGGCCATGTGTATTTCCATGGCCAATCTTGAGCTTTCACGGATGCATCCCTCAGAATAGAGTGAGCAGCACCTTACCGACACTTGTGTGATTCATGATCCTGGTAACGGGCGCTCGCCCAGGAAGCTGTCTTGGCCTCTGCAGCCGTTGGCGTCTAATTGATTTAATACATCAGCTAAGGAACTGCTGTTTCCTGAATGAAACCTAAAATTGCATTGACTCTACAGCTGCAGCTGAGAAGGACTTCACTCCAACAGTGCAATAGCCCTATCAGCCCGATCCCAGGTGGCGCTGAGATCGCAGGGACTGGCGTGGAGTTAATAACTGCCCCTTTGATCTGGCATCTTCTGCTTCTCCCCGTGGGGACGCATGAACACAGGAGAAATCAGGGAGCAGTGTTGGAGGCTCTTTAATGGGTGACAATGGCCACTTGTAGGAAAACAGGTTTCCCCTCCACCCCCATCCCACCCCCCACACAGCAGGGTGAGGATAATGAATGTTCTATGAGCAGCTCTCGTCTGAAGGGAACTAATTGATTCCAATTTTCATTTTACCGGATCTCATAATTCTTTATCATGACTTCCTTTACGACTTAGAGGGCTTTGGCGCTGAACTGCTGTGTAACAGGAGGGCTGTGTGATCCACACGATAATCATTTATTCACCAGCAGGACAAATGTGCCTTGTTGTCATTAAGAGGATGCACGATTCTTACCCCTGTAGCCCTTCTTTTCCCATCTGAGACAGGTGTGTCAATCTCCGAGCTGCGGGAAAAGTCATCTTCCCCTCTGACAAGGAAGGGAACGGGAGGCCTCCAAGGAATTTCAGAGACGAATCTGGAATCTCAGCCTCCTCTCCTCAGACATTCCAAGACAAATGGAAGGTTTCTGGGAAAATCGTGCTTTGAGGTGGATCCCTGGTGGCAGGTGGCTTGAGACAAAATTCATTTAAGGAGAAGGGACATAGCTACATCTCTACACGGGCAGGAGTTCACCTCCCTAAAGCTGGCTGGGCAAAGTTCCAGAAAGCCAGGTTATTCGGCAGGTTTTGAAAGACAGGTCATTGCTGTTCTGTCCTCTCTGCAAAATCCACAAAAAGTCAGCTCCTCCCTGCAGCTGACTTCACAGCTTCCCGAAGGCACAGCCTCATTCACTCACTCACTCATTCACCCTCTTACTCCACACACATTTATCAAGTCCCTGCAGCGTGTCCGGCACTGGGAATATACAGATGAATAACACTCATGGCCCTGTTGTCAAGGAACCGACTTTCTGATAAGGGAGGAAGGAAAAAGCAAGCAAATGAAAGAGCTACAGAGCTGGGTGCAAGCAGGGAAAGAAGCAGTTACAGGGGAGGGCGGGGTGAGCTGGGGTCTGGGAAGGCCTCCCAGAGCTGGGGAGCCGTTAGATCATTCAGGCAGTGTGGGGTGGAGAATACAAAGGCTTGTAACCAGAAAACGACTTTAGGGAATGGTTAGCAGCTTACATGGCTGGAGTGGGAAGTTCAAGAGGAGGAATGGCTGAGGTTTGGTGAGCTAAGTCACAAGGGCTGTGTCTGCCAAGCTAAGCAGTTTAGGTTTTGTTCTGAAGGCAGCGGGGAGCTGGGACCAGGACAAGTTCTGTTTTATTCTATTTTGTTTTGTTTTGTTTTTGTTTTGTTTGTTTGTTTTTGTGAGACAGAGTCTCCCTCTGTTGCGCAGGCTGGAGTGCAATGGTGCGATCTCGGCTCACTGCATCCTCCGCCTCCGGGCTCAAGCAATTCTTGTGCCTCTGCCTCTCAAGTAGCTGGGATTACAGAAATCCGCCACCACATCTGGCTAATTTTTGTATTTTTAGTAGAGACGGGGTTTCGGCATGTTGGCCATGGCTGGTCTCGAACGCCTGGCCTCAAGTGATCCCCCCGCCTCAGCCTCCCAAAGTGTTGGAATTATAGGTGTAAGCCCATGCGCCCGGCCCAAGTTTTTAAGCCAAAAAGAAACATTATCCAACATGCAATGTACGCATCTTAGAAAGATCCCTCTGGCTGCATGGGGAGAAGCTTCGGAAGGGAAGATTGGATAGGGGTGCATGAGAATCCGACCTATGATGTAGTCAGTCATGGTGGCAAGGAGGGGAGGAGGGGAGACACCAAGGAGATAAAAATCTCCAGGGCTCCATGAGTCATGGGACGTGAAGGGTGAGAGCAAACAGGGGGCTGAATTTTACCCCTGAAATCCCGGCTTGGGAAGCTGCATAGATGATGTTGTTTTAGGAACGCTTGCAGCTGTAAGAGAAACTTAACAGATATCTAAGCAATAAAGGCATTTAATTATTTTCACATATTGAGAAGTCTGGAGGTGAACCTTTTAGGGCTAGCTTAACATTTCAGTAGTGTCATTAAAGACCCAGGATTTTTATTTTTTCTGCTCTTCTACTCTTTTTTTTTTTTTTTTTTTTTTTGAGGCAGAGTTTTGCTCTCGTCGCCCAGGCTGGAGTGCAGTGGTGTGATCTCAGCTCACTGCAACCTCTGCCTCCTGGGTTCAAGGGATTCTCCTGCCTCAGCTTCCCCAGTAGCTGGGATTACAGATGCCCACCACTATGCACCATGCCTGTCTAATTATTTTGTATTTTTAGTAGAGATGGGGTTTCACCATGTTGGCCAGGCTGGTCTTGAACTTCTGACCTCAGGTGATCTGCCTGCCTCAGCCTCCCAAAGTGCTGGGATTACAGGCACTGGCCTCTCCTACCATCCTTAATGTACTGGCTTTTTACCTCATGGTTGCAAGATGGCTGCTGCTGCGCCGGATATTTTCATAGCATTCAAGACAAGAAGAAGGGGAGAGAGGTGGTCACAGCCACATGTCTGTTACCTTTTATCAAGAAAACAAAAACTTTGGCCAACCTTAGTTACAGGGAGACTTGGAAAATTAGTTTTTAAATTTTTAACTTTTCCAGCACCTAGAGTGGAGGCAAGTAAGGAAGAAAGGGATTGGGCATGGGTTATTGAGTTGGCAGTGTCACCAACCAAGATGGAAAAACTCAGAGGAAAAGCCAGCATAGCCCTGTGCCCTGGGCTAAGTGGGATGTGGGAGAAAGAGCAGCCTCTACCGGCGAGGGTTATGGGGCAGCAGGTGATATATGGGGAAAGCTTGGGCACTGCGTCCTTCGCTCCCAGATCATTCAGCTGGTGGGAGGAGGTGGAGGGCAGCAGGAAGAGAGAAGTTCAAGCATTCCCCTCCTCCCCTGTCTTCAGTGGCTGCGTCTCTTTGCAGGCTGTGGCTCCAGCCTGCTCCGGTTCCACCTTCCCCTGGTTAACCCCAGGCCCTCCTCCCTCTGTCCCTCCAGACAAGAGCTGATGGCTCCTTCCTGCTGTTGCTCATGTCTGGGCTGCCTTACCATGGCAGTTTGGCTTCTCAGCTCTCCACCCCACCCCACTGCCTGTGTAATCAATTCCCTAGGTTAGATTCTGTCTGTTTCAAATACTCAGAAGGGCTTCTGTTTTCCTGGTTGGACTCTAACTGCTTCACCTGTCTTTGAAGAGGCTGGGGGTGGGGGGAGGTTTAAAGGAGTTTGTTTCCTGAAATAATGGTCACAGGAGGTCCCAATAAACAGAGACAGAAAGAGAGGGCAGCAGGCCTGTGCTGGATCAGAGAAGCCGAACCGAAAGCAGGAGAGGGAAGAGGGAAGACTGCTTCTTGGCTTCCTGAGGTTGACAGGGACGGGAGGCCTGGTCGGAAGGGATCCACAGTTGGAAACTTCAGTAGATGGGAGGACAGGGGGATCCTGGATGCGGGCCGGCTGCTTCCAGCCTGGGCTGGAACCTGTAGTCGTCTGATATCCTGGAGCAGGCGGGGATGGGGTGATGGCCACTGTTTACACAGAGAGCAAATTCAAGATGTGGAAACTGCCCAGTGTGCTTAGTGCAAAGAGTGAGGAAACAGGACAGGGCTCCTACATTTGCACTCTCTGCTTAGTGACCTACAGTTATGCTTCTGGTGATCTGTTAGTATATAACAACAAGGCTTGTACCATGGAAAGCTCTGCCAAGGCTCAAGTTGGGGAGGTCAGTTTTATCCACCAGGAGATGCTCTGTTATGCGACAATAACAAGCAACCCCCAAATCTCAGGGTTTTAATACCATGAAAGTCTACTTCTCACTCAGGCTACATGTCCACTGTAGTTCCACACGGGGGCTCCGTGGCTCTCAGTCACCCAGGCACCTATCTGGTCCCACGTGTCCCTGAGTACTGCAGCTCCGGGGAGGAATCATGGTGTGCCGTGTGCTAGCTCTTAAAGTTTCCACCCAGGACAACTGTCATTTCTGCTCATGTTGCATTGGCCAAAGCAAGGCACATGTTCACCCCAACTTCATTGCTCAGAAGGAGGAGACATGGAATCTTTGGAAAGAGACCTGGTGAATGCATCCCAACTGAAGTGGTCTGGCACTTAGCCAACTACACTGCTGCTGCTGCCACTTGGAAAGGAAAGTCATTCACACTCTAGTAATAGTTAGGGCACCTACATTGTGGTAGCAGCTCTGCCTGTGTTCACTGTGATGAAAGCTCCAGGAAGGCAGGTGTCTCTATTTTGATCATTTATGTAGCTCAGGCACCTAGAAGAGCAACCAACACATATTAGGTGTCCAACAAATATTGGTGAGATGAATTATTAACTCATCAAATCTCATGACAACCTTGATGCAGTAGGTATTGTAAGTGTCTCCATTATTCAAAGGAAGACGCTTAGGTTCAGAAAGTTAAGTAAATTTCCCGGAGCTGAACATCTTGACTTAGAAATCATTGGATCCCACATAGACCTGGTCCGAGCTTCTCTCCTCTCCCTTGCCTGTGCTTCTCTCCAAGATGCTGCTGCCCCCTGCATCAATCAAGAGGGGAAACCTTGTCACCTCTGGGAGGCAAGAAAGTGGCTTTCCTGGTGTTTGCCATGCATTTTTCCCTGGGGAATGTTATTGCACTCTCCTTCCACAGGCTGATGGATGGCGGATGTCCTGATCTCTCAAATCTCCTGCACATGCTTTGGATCATGTGGCAGGTCCACTCCTTCCCTGCAAATGTCAGAGCATCTGTGACAACCTGGAACAGAGGGGATGGACCTCAGTGCGCACAGGGTCACACACCCCATTACTTTTCTGGAAATGTCACCTGCAGGGGAATTACCTGACCGTCCCAATTCAATTGGCATGTATTGGACATACTGTGTGCTGGACGCCGTCTCTGGTGCTGGCCTTGACTTTTGAGTAACTCACAGTGAAGTGGAATCCTTCAAGATGGAGATGATTTTTTTTTTGAAGATGAAGGAAAGCCCCAGACTATGGATAGTGACAGTGGGAAGAGCCAGCACCTCAAAGCTCTCAACGGCACTAGGCATAGTTGTCTTAAGTGTGTTCATCCCTGTTGGTAGAATCAGAGTTGTGTTTCTGGACCTTTGTCACACCACCTAGGGTGGTGGGCTTCTTTTGGCTTTGCCCCGGTGGCGTCCATTCCCCTTTCTGAGGGCAATGGCACCTCATCTCCCCCTGGAGGTCCTCCTGTCCCCTGGGTGCAGCACGAGGGGACTGCTGACCCAGGCGCCCTTCCCTCTGCTGACCAACGTTAATGCAAAGATATGGATCCCTCCTGGTACTGGGTCCCTAGAGAAGGTGCCCAGTGGTACCCACCACCCTGATCTTGGACCACCTCTCTGTTTCTGTCCCATTTTCTCTGCTTCTGTGAGCCCTCCTCTGCCCACCTCCATCATACAAAGCTATTTCTATGCAGCTTAGACACAGTTGCCAGTCTACTGCATGCAACCAAAATAACCTAACTGACGTACACAGGGTTACTAATTCCAGAGCTGGAGGGCAACTTAAGGGCCATTTGCTCCAACCCTTTAATCCTGTTGCTGAACAAATTAAGACCCAAGAGTAAATTGAAGTCTGGAGAGTGGACGTAATGGCAGGCAGCCACTGGGAGGTCTCTGTGAGTCAGCCGTTTTACTGAGCCTCCCAGGCAAGTCAACAATCCAACAGGAGGGTTGGCGTTCCCATCTCAGAGTCAGGAAGGTGCTGGGCAACTTTCTCAGACCCACACAGATTGGAAGTAGCAGGACCCATGTCTGAACCCAGGCACTCTGTTTCCAGATCTGAGCTGACCTCCCCCCCGCCAAGGGGTGCTCTCCCTCCTGCGGTTTGCCTGGGGGCAAATATAAGTGAGAAGACTGGAACCCCAGGGCTCCTGGGTCCTGCGCAGGGTCGGCCCACAGCCCTCCATCGAGTACACGAGGTTCCGATCAGACTCATTTGTATATTTCTTCCCTTCCTTTTTTCTATGGGTCTGGCGGGGTCCCCACTTTTGTTTTGGAGATGGTTCCTTGAAAACCTCTTGGGTACCCAAGGAATTCAAGCAGCAGATGCCTGTCACGGGGTTTCCTTCGTCACCATGGTCAAGGGTTCCTGCCTGTCACCAGCAAGGGCCAGGCCTGGGAGCCCAGAGAGCTGTACCTCTCAGAGCCATTGAAAGATAATTCGGGAGACTTAGCCAAAGCAATGGCCCTGATGCTCCCTTCTGGGGGCGCACTTCACCCCCCAACTTGTGCTCCCCCAGCTGAGGGTATGTCCCCACTCTAGGGTATGCCACTGGGGTGAGTCTCACTGGTCAGAGAAGGCTCAATGGCAAAGCCTTACTAACCACCTGGTCCTAACCAAATCCTACACATCCAGCTACGGAGGCCTCAGCTGGGCCTCTCACAGCCCCCTCACCCCAAAGAAGGAGACCTTGCCCTCCGCGCTCACTCCCTTTCTGTTTTCTGCCAACTTCAGCTGGGCAAGCCTCACCCAAATGCCAAGACGTGCTCTCCTCTTCTCTTTGGCATTTCCAGAAGGAGAGGGAGTGTCCTCAGCCTTGAATCGGGCTCCTGTGGGGCTCCCAGTCCCGCTAGTTCCACCTCACTAGCAGTGAGAGCGGAGCCTCCTCCCCGCTTTGCCCCAGCAGCCAGCAGCCAGCAGCCCTCATCAGAGCAAGCCGTCATCTTTCTCAGGAACAGCAGGGCAGCCTCGCACTGCTGCAGGGGACAGGAAGGAAGCTCCCACTGTCAGCAGGGAGAGGAATGAACCCCATGATTTCGCATCTAGGAGCGTTTCACTGTTTTCTAAGTGTCCATGCTAATCTGTACATGGCTTGTTCGGTGCCTTCCAAGACAGAGGGGCAGAGCCAAGCGGCTTGTGCTCTGAGCTTCTCCCTCCCCGAGAGTGGGAGAAGGGCTTTCCGGTCATCTCCCCACATGCTCTTCACTCCTCCAAGATCTAGGGAGAGATGACAACAGGGGGCATGATAGTGCACAAGGCAGGTATTGCGTCTGTTAGTGCTGAGCAGGGCAGACAGGCTTTAAACAGGCAACGACATGGAGGGGAAGTGTATTAGTCTGTTTTCATGTTGCTAATAAAGACATACCTGAGACTGGGTAATTTATAAAGAAAAAGAGGTTTAATGGACTCACAGTTCCACATGGCTGGGGAGGGCTCACTATCATGGCAGAAGATGAAGGAAGAGCAAAGTAACGTCTACATGGCGGCAGGCAAGAGGCTTGTGCAGGGCAACACCCATTTATAAAACCATCAGATCTCGTGAGACTTATTCACTACCGTGAGAACAGTGTGGGAAACTACCCCCATGATTCCATTATCTCCACCTAGCCTCACCCTTGACACATGGGGATTATTACAATTCAAGGTGAGATTTGGCTGGGGACACAGAGTCAAACCATATCAGGCAGTGGAGAGGATCTGGAGCCCAAGGAAAGCATCCTTTGTGGGGGGCCAGGGGGACTTTGAGGCTGATGTTTAGGGGACCCCCTGCAGTTTAGCAGGCCCAGGTGAGTGAGGTGGAGAGAGAACTATCCAGGCAGAGAGCATAGGTCACCTGACAAACCCAGCAAAGATCTGAAACTGGACTTCAAGAGGAAGGGGGGGTGAGGACGTTTAATTCAACAGTCAATTGAACACCTGCTGTGCTCTCAGTGTTGGGACAGAGGGAACAAAGGGCTGGCCAGGTTAGGGAGGGCTTGATACAATTTTATGCTGTGAGCAGTAGGAGTCATTTACATATTTTAAGCACATTCTCACCTGAGAGGGATCATTCTGGGGCACCATGTGGAGTTGGGATTGATGGGGCAAAGCTGGAGGCGGGGAGGTGCTATCTGGAGGCTGTTGACATAACTCGAAGGAGACAGGGAGATGGTTTGGGCTAAGGCAGTGGCAAGAAGATGGAGAGAAATAGGAGGATTGGCAAGATATTTAGGAAGTAGAATCAATAGGTGACAGGGAGAGAGGGCGAAGCTTTTAACAGAAAGTTGCCTTCTGCTAGGTCCGTCCTTGCCTTGGTGCCGGGAGCACCTGGGTCAGTCTGGGTGATGCAAGGTTGACCCTTCCTAATGAAAGTCAGTGGTCACTAAAGGCCCCCAGTGCCCTGGGTTCTGCAGCCAAAAGCCCTCAGTCCTGACCCCTCACTGGCCCACAGCCCGCCAGTGAGGTCCTCATGCCACCCCTCCAACATCCTTTCCAGAAGCTGAGCCTCACAGGGACTGGGGAAGAGAAGGCCACAGCTGGCCACTGAGCCTGATGTCCCTCAGGGATGTCCTTGGTCCTGTGTTTTCCCTGGGGGCAACTCAGTAATGCAGCAGGAATGATTTGTCTGTGAGAAAACCATAGACGTGACAATGAGATACCATCTCACACCCATTAGGATGGCTACTATAGAAATCAACAGACAGTAACGTGGTTGGTGAGAAAGTGGAGAAATCGGAACCCTGTGCACTGTTGGTGGGAATGTAATGATGCAGCCACTAAGGAAAACAGTATGGCAGTTCCTTAAAAAATGAAACATAGAATGACCATGTGATCCAGCAATCTCGCTTCTGGGTATACACCCAAGAGATTTAAAAGGAAGGACTTGAACACGTAGGTTCATGGGGATTATTCCATGTATGTATGCCCATGTTCATAGCAGCATTATTCATGATAGCCAACAGGTGGAAGCAACCCAAGTGTCCACTGATGAATAAACGGATGAACAAACTGTGTGTATTAGTCCGTTCTTACAGTGCTAATAAATACATACCCGAAACTAGATAACTTATAAAGGAAAGAGGTTTAATTGGCTGACAGTTACTCAGGGCTGGGGAGGCCTCAGGAAACTTACAATCATGGTGGAAGGGGGACCAAACACGTACTTCTTCACATGGCAGCAGCAAGGAGAAGTGTTGAGCAAAGGGGGAAAAGCCCCTTGTAAAACCATCAGATCTCGTGAGCACTCACTCATTAGGATGACAACAGCATGAAGGTAATTGCCCCATGATTAAATTACTGCTCACTGGGTCCCTTCCATGACATGTGGGGATTATGGGAACTACAATTCAAGATGAGATTTGGGTGGGGACACAGCTAAACCATATCACGGTGGCACACACATACAATGGAATATTAATCTGCTCTAAAAAATGCATGAAATCCTGACACGTGGCTCAACATGGATGACCCTTGAGGACATTATGCTAAGTGAAATAAGCCAAATGCAAAAGGATAACTATTGTGTGATTCCACTTATGTGACAGAATAGTCAAATTCATAGAGACAAAAGTAGAATGGTGGTTGCCAGGGACTGGGGTGAGAGAATGGGCAGTTATCATTTGTGGGTATAGAGTTTCAATTTTACAGGATGAAGAGAATTTCTGGAGACGGATGGTGGTGATGGTTTTGAAACAATGTAAATGTACTTAGTGCCACAGAACTGTATACCTAACAGTGGTTAAGATGGTGAACTTTATGTTATGTGTATTTTACCACATTATTTTAAAGTGTAAAAAAATATCATGGGAGGGAAAAAAAGT